>NC_000002.12:177489618-187489618 GCF_000001405.40 Homo sapiens
TACAAAAAGTATACTGATATTTCTGTATTAGTCCATATCAGGTTTCATATAGTTTCAGACTATTAAGTATAAAATATAGTTAGGTACAAGTTCGATGATTTGAGAGATTCTAGTAAGGGTACATTTATCGTAGCAGGAAAGAAATCAATTATTTCATTAGCTCAGTTTTAGTAAGCAATTTCTGTCTGAGTATTCTTGAATTCCCTGAATTTATCATTAACCCATCATTAAAATTTGTAAAAATATTCCCTCTCAGGTTAGTTTTGATCGCTTACCAGCAGGGGTCACTTTAACTCAAGGACCTTTTTCCCTCCTTTACAAAATCTGTGGAATACTCTCAGCCCTGCATTAGTAAATAACATGGGAGTGAATTTAGAGCTCAAATTCTCAGAACTTGTGCTGTCTCTGACTTTTGAAGGCAATCTTTTGTGGTTTTTTTAAACCTACCAAATTAGTTTTAAAGCAGTGGAAACATAACCTAATCTTAACTGTACATATAGTAACTCAAATTGATGTTGTTTTTTAAGAATAGTAACATTATTTTGATCTCTTGATTATAGAACCTTCCATTTAATTAACTGTAGTGGTAACTTTTAATTATTTGAATTATAAGAAATGTTTTCAGCTTTATATATTTAGAATGATGTGCAGTGATTTACAAATATCAATTACCAGGAGATCATAAACCAACCTAGATGCTATTTTTGAGTGCTTTACTTATATAAGCATTTAGTTATGACAATAACTGAAAAACTCTACTGACTTTTTAAAAATCTGGTACTATTGAAGTATGAGACTTTAAAACCGTTGGTTTGAATTAGATAATTTCAAAAAAGTCCATGTTAAAATAATTTAATATCTAAAATTAAAAAAATTCTTTAGCTTATTAGTTCTGTTTTGATAGTGTTTGTCTGTTACCATCTACTATTCCTCCTTGATACTAATAGGAATACTGGATAGCTAGCTTATGTGACTTGATTATCAAGTTAAAAATCACACTCAATATAATTGAATATTAGTTGCTATATGATACAGCAGTTGCCCAGGAGCTTTCTTGCCTTTTTTCCAGCTTTTTAATTTGAAAATTTTAAGCATACAGAAAATTTGAAAGACTGGTACAGTGATCACCTGTCTATCCACTTCATATATTCAACAATAATTAAGTTTTTGCTCTGTTTAACATGTACGTGTATATGTTTTTTGGACCATTTGAAATTAAGTTGCAGACTTTTTTTTTTTTTTTTTTTTTTTTTAAAGACAGAGTTTTGCTTTTGTTGCCCAGGCTGGAGTGCAGTGGTGCAATCTCGGCTCACTGCAACCTCCGCCTCCTAGGTTCAAGTGATTCTCCTGCCTCAGCCTCCCAAGTAGCTGGGATTACAGGCATGCACCACCACGGCTGGGTAATACTGTATTTTTAGTAGAGATGGGGTTTCACCATGTTGGTCAGGCTGGTCTCGAACTCCTGACCTCTGGTGATCCACCGCCTCAGCCTCCCAAAATGCTGAGATTATAGGTGTGAGCCGCCATACCCAGCCTAGGTTGCAGACTTTACAGCACTTAACCTAAATACATCAGCACCGTCTCCTAAAGACGGAATAGTGTTCTTCTTTATAACTACAATACCATTTTCATGTCTAAGAAAATCAGTAGGAATTTTTTTTTTTTTGAGACAGAGTCTCGCTCTGTCGCCCAGCAGGCTGGAGTGCAGTGGTTCACTGCAACCTCTTCCTCCTGGGTTCAAGCAATTCCCCTGTCTCAGCCTCCTGAGTAGCTGGGACTACAGGTGTGTGCCACCATGTCTGACTAATTTCTTTTTTTTTTTTTTTTTTTGTATTTTTAGTAGAGATGGGGTTTCACCATGTTGGCCAGGCTGGTCTTGAACTCCTGACCTCGGGCAGTCTGCCTCCCTTGGCTTCCCAAAGTGCTGGGATTACAGGTGTGAGCCACTGCGCCTGGCCAATCAACAGTAATTTGTTAATGCCATCTAATATTCATTATATAAGATTATTCCAGTTATCTCCAAGATATGTTTTATGAATAGTGTTTGCAAACCAAGATTTAATCAAGACTTGCATATTTTAATTGTTTTAAAGATTAAATACCCATAGAAATTTACTACACTAAATGTAATATACTTTCCTTCCCCCCCCCCCCCTTTTTTTTCATTTTGTTTTGTTTTGTTTTTGAGACAAGGTCTTGCACTGTTGCCCAGGCTGGAGTGCAGTGGCACAATCTTCGCTCACTGCAAACTCTGCTTCCCAGGTTCAAGTGATTCTCATGCCTCAGCCTCCCAAGTAGCTGGGATTATAGGTGTATACCACCACGCCCAGTTAATTTTTGTGTTTTTAGTAGAGACAAGCTTTTGCCATGTTGGTCACGCTGGTCTTGAGCTCCTGTCCTAAAGTGATTTGCCCACCTCAGCCTCACAAAGTGCTAGGATTGCAAGTGTGAGCCACTGCACCCATCCCCTCCCATTTTCTGATATATGTGTACTTACGTGAATTGTTTTCATTAATAATACTTGCCATTGATAAAGGTGCGGTAGAATGTGGTTGTTAGCAGGAGATGGAATTTACAAGTTGCTGGTAGGAACTTAAAATGTTTTTGTTATGAATGACAGAGTGGCTGTTACTGTCTCATATTTTACTTATGTGCTTAAGCTAGAATATATAAATATATATGTTATATGTATATTCTACTTATGAAGAAAAGAAATTTGGTCTAATCAGGCTTTGTATATTTTATTAGAAGTCAATGTGCCCACTTTATGAAAAACATTTCAGATTTGTAAACGTGAAGAAAACTGATTTTCCTTTAGTATTTTTGGAAACTGGTAACGTTTTTAGAAGTATCAACCCAACTACAAAGATACTCTTATGCCAATATTTGAAATTACTCAGGTAGTACATTTCTTTAACATTTTTAAACTATTATACATTTAATAAGACTACAAAATAGAAAATAACATAGTTTTAATGTAATTTTTGTTTGGAATATGATAAAGCTGTGTGTGCATGTGTCTGTGTTTTAAGTGATTTTTGGAGGCTGTGTGGTTTGCCTGAAATAGTGCTCATCTAAAAGTCAGAATGTCTTCATCTTCTACCTTTACTGTGGATAAAATACAGTATAGTTCATAAAATGGCATAATACTTGAGGCACTGGATTTTAGTTTTAGAAACATCTTTGTTCTAAAATAATCCACTTTGGGGTCTGGTATTTCTTTTAGGATATTCTCATATGTCTTTGCCAGACATTAGGCAGCTTTTTCTGCTGATAAATTTAAAATCTGTTAACTTATGTTTGTATTTATTTATCTATATCTGTAGATTTCTTCTCTCCAAATATTTTATAGAAGTCATTGATATTTGTCTTCATAAAAGTATATGAAAAGTTAACTTTTTTTCCTCTGTAAATCCTTAGGAACTAAGCTCTTGATCTCTTAAATATAGAAAGATAATATTCACATTCTACCTGTCTAGCTTCTTACTGTATTAAATTTGTATCACTTTTTTTTTTCTTTTTAAAACAGAGATGTGCTCCGGCATCTATTCGCCTCATGGACAACAAGCAGTTTCAGTTTGGTAAGTAAGGAGTGGTAATTTTAAAATGTCATTTAGCCACAGAAATTTATGAAACATCAGTAGGAAGAGTACGGAGTGCAGAGGTAGAAAGAACGTCAGTCTTGCCTTTCAGGAAGATGTCAGTCTAATGAAGATAGACAATTACATAAATGAGTGAGGGTAGCAGTGTTGGAGGGCCTGTGAAAGAAGACTGCACTGGATACCATGGGCTGCAAATGAAGGAATTGATTCTTCTTGATTTTGCTTGAGGATAAAGAGTCAGAAAAGGCTTTTATAAGAGAGATGCTTGAGCTAAATCTTCAAAGGTGAATATAAGTTTGCCTAGATGTCTCTTCTTCTTCTCAACCAGACTTCTTCACTTGGCAGCAAAAATGTGAAGGTGTGAAACTCAATGATGTGTGTTAGGGGACTTCAAATTGTTCTATGTGGCTCAAATAGAGGGTGGGGTTAGAGTTGTTACATGAGATAAAGTTGGTTGGGTGGGCTAGGGCTTTGCAGGATAGATTTGGATTTTGTCTTGTCAGCAGTGGGATTTCTTTGAAGAATAAAATCAATCAACTTTACATCTTAGCTCATTCTGGCAGCATTGTGCAGGATAGATTAGAAGGGTACATGCATGGAGGAGAGACACTAGGAGATGAAACAGCTCAAGAAGCAAAGTTTGAGGGCTTTGAGCATGGCAGCAGCAATGGAGATAGAGAACGGATGATAGATTTTCAGAAAATCAGTTTGCTAACTGGATGTGGAAGGCTAAATAAAAGGAGGAGTTGAAGACAACACCTAGACTGATTTGATTGGGTAGATTAAATAACATAGAAGAATGGGTGGTGGTCTTGGGAAAAAGATATGATAATGGGTTGTAGTTATATTGTGAAATTTACTTTGGGATTTAAGTTTATAGAATTTAAATACCCTCAAAACAATTCCTAAAATCATGAGAGTGATCGTTCAGTAATAAATACTAAAGGCAAAGATAGGCAGGCTTTTGTCATGTCTAAAAGTAAGCTGAGATTTTAATTTAGGGAAGCATGGTTATAGTTACATAGAAACTTAACTAAAGTCAGGTTCGTAACATATTAAGAGTTTTAAAATTACATTCTTCTAAGTTAGTCATAATTGTTTATTTCTTTAAGTAAATTACTTTCAAAATACTATACTACTGACAAAAGTTTAAGATAAATATGTTCTATAAGTAATGAAATACTTAAATCAAGTGAAAAACCACTTGTGTGTTTTGGCCTGCATTTAAAGATCTAGGTCTTAAAGAGAGCCATGCATCTAATTAATAAGACTGTGTTATTCGTTTATATGTTATTGTTGTTGTAAACAATGTTAGACCTAGGCATTTGTAAAATTAGTTATGATTTGGCCATACTTATTTATAATTGGAGTCCATAACAATTTAAAGTGAAGGTTTAAAGAAAGTCTTCCTGTCATCCCTCTTCCATGTTCTCATTACTATACCTGAAAACATACTTACTTGCTCCCCTCTAGCTTGCTCCTGTCTGTGGTATTATAGGTTCTACCTTCTCTAGTCTTTACTGTGTCTCCCCTCTCTCTGCCCTTTACTTAGCCACCAAAGTGATCCTTTTGAAATACAGATCTGATCATGCTTTTTGGCTGTCTATATAACCTTTTTTATTTCTCAATTTTAATTGAAGCCTTTACATTAATATATCCTGCCATGGCTTCATGATCAAGCAAAAGAGGAAATAATGCTTAGCACAACAAAAGGTGCCCCAGACCCTGCACTAACCGTATGGCTGATTGGTCGGTGTTTATACCACATTGGTTGTTAACAAAGCACATGCCATATTATTAGTTGTTAATATTTTTAATATAATCTCTACTTCAGGTACAACTCTTAATACATTATATTGACATTATCTAATTTTAGTATATTGAAATGATATATATCATTGTGTATATTGAAATAATCCAAAGATGTCCTCTATAAACCAAAGTTTCTCGAATTTAGGGTATGTTTCTTAGTCATTTTTCTATCACCTGCACTTATCACGTAATAGGCATTTATATGTTGATTCAATTAATCATCAAATTGGCAAGGGGGTGAACAAATCCTAGATGGCATAGTGCTGATTACATTGTCAATAGCACACTTTATAAAATTCTATTCATGACTGTTCGTCAGAGTGGTATCCCCACTTTACAAATGACTCAAAGACTCATTATTTTGACTACGGTCCACAAATCATACGTGGTAGAGCTAGGGATGAACCCAGATTTGTCTGACTACAAAGCCCAGGAGTTTTTGCACTGTCTGTAACCACTGCTTTAAAATATAGATAATTAATAAATCCTGTTAAATGACACGATTAACATTGAAATAACAGAAAATTCACTGATCAAACTGTCCAGCTAGTAAATTTGGAAGTGAGTTTAATATTTTAAAAAACCACAATAGCAGCTGGGTGCAGTGCCTCACGCCTGTAATCCCAGCACTTTGGGAGGCCAAGGCAGGCGGATCACCTGAAGTCAGGAGTTTGAGACTAGCCTGGCCAACATGGTGAAACCCTGTCTCTACTAAAAAAAAAAAAAAATACAAAAATTAGCTGGGCATGTTGGCGAGCACCTGTAGTCCCAGCTACTCGGGAGGCTGAGGCAGGAGAATTGCTTGAACCGGGGAGGCAGAGGTTGCTGTGAGCCGAGAT
Source organism: Homo sapiens (assembly GCF_000001405.40). Taxonomy (NCBI): domain Eukaryota; kingdom Metazoa; phylum Chordata; class Mammalia; order Primates; family Hominidae; genus Homo; species Homo sapiens. Next base: position 177,495,872 of record NC_000002.12, read on the forward strand.
CACACCACTACTCTCCAGCCTGGGTGACACAGTGAGACTCTGTCTCAAAAAAAAAAAAAAAAAAAAACAAACCCACAATAGCTAGAATATATTTAAAATGTAATTATATTGTTAGGCAACATATTTAAGAAAAAGTAAAAGATAATATTATCTAGTTGATACTAATGCTTGACCCACCTAAAAGTCAGTATCACTTTTACAATAATTTATTCTTCAAAGCTATCATGTCACCTTAGTATCACAGATGTATGTGAGTAATTCTACTAGCATTAATGGAAATTGTGCATATAAATCTCGATGAGTTAAGTGAACATTTACCCTTAAGGATTATTTCATATCAGAGTAGTATCATATGGAGTCCGCATGCATTGTATAAAGATAAGTGAATCTTTTGTATAAAGAATAGATAATTTCAACTTCTGCCAAGAACACAACATGCACATTCAATATATAAATGTTTATATATGTATTTCTAATTGTTGTTAATATAGGATGAGTTCCATTTGGGACCAGAAATGAATGTTTTGATGATACGTTATTTCTATCTTTATAGATATTAGAAATTGTCTCTTAAAGCGCTAGTTATACTAGGAAGCATCTCTGATAGTTTAAAATAAAAGAAAAAAATCCCCAAGCGTATCTCTTACTTGTGATCCAGGAGCTCAAAAAGATTGCTAGGTTGATCTCTATCTAACCTGCAGTTCAGTTTGTTTCTTTGTTGTTGTTTTTTAATGCCTCAGGTATAGCATAGATATCTAATTCTTAGCCTCTGGTTAAGACTTCTATTACTTGGTCTTTTATGTAACACAGTTTCCTATTATAATCAGCAAAAATGTAGTAAGTAGTATTACAGATTGAGATTCTTATAAAAAATGGATAGAAAAAAACTACCAGTGATAGTTTTAGAAACAGCTAGTTTGCTCTTTGCACCTATTTTAAAAGAAGGAAAGGAAGGGCCTACACTTTAAAAACAAACAAAATCCCCAAACCTTAAAGGCTTTTTTAAAAAAGAAAACTTTTTATTTGGAGATAATTTTGACTTACTTAAGACTGAAATTCTTTATAAAAATTTTGTATAAATGGTATGACACCTTTTTCTGAATTGGGCTGCTAACACTGAGGCCAGATGCATGACTCTTAAATGTAGCAATCATAGGAGTTGAGTCGTTACTACTTTCTGAAAAGTGAGAAAACAGTAAAAGGTTTTCACTCAATTAAGCTTAATCTGCAGGCAAAGATGTTAATTTAACAGACTTTGAGACTCCATTTATGTTATTTTGGCAATTTTAACTCTCCGGGTGTGATTAAGGAAGCAATTGCTAGTTTTATGCCAAGAATTCTGGATGAATTAACAATTAATTAAGAAACAACCTTAAACTTGGCATTAACTCCATATTTGGATAGTTCTGAATAGTTTCTATATAATTAAAAAAAAAAGTAAAACCAGCCACCATGGGTGTTCTTAATGAAATAAAAATTAATGAAGTAATTTTATTATGTGTAAACCATACCGTTGAAAGAAAACCTAAACTATGTGTAGTATTAATTACATATAGTGATTTGACTTAAAAAATCAAATTGATAATGGGTTTTGTAAATAAAAAGTTGTTTGTGACATTTGAAAGAAGATAAAAGTAGCAAATATTAATATAACTATATATCGTAATATAAATATTTATGTAAATAACACGGGAAGATTTTAAAAATTAAAGTTGTGAAAACTTTTACTTTCTTTTAGGATTCTAAGTTGGAGTAGCTTCTTGATCTTCTGAAAAACATAGACTAACCTATTAATATAAACTTTTTTCTCTTCTTAGGTCATGCTCTTAAACCTCAGGTTTCCTCTATTTTTACATCATTTTTGGACGGATTAAAAAAGTTTTATATTACAAAGGTAAGAATTTTTATAAAATGCTAAAATTGTAAATGCTTAAGATATCTGTTTTCTGCTTTCTTCCCACATGCACCTATTGTAAGGGTGTTTTTCCATGTTGCTATGTACATTTCAGAATTACAGTTTTTCATGTTGGAATAAATATTAAGTAAATCAGGCAGTCAATTTCAGAAAATTTTATTTCTTTTCCAGTTTTGAAGCTTCTAAAAATAACACTGCATTTGAACAGTTTTGTTTTCATAACATTTTCTATAGTTTAAATTTTTTCCTTTATGGAAGGTATCCATAAAGTGAAATAAGAGTGTGGATTTTTTTTAACCTTTGATTGTTGAATTTTTTTCCTAGAGTGTTAAGCCATCTTATAATACATGTGTGCCTTCTTTTCCTTGCATCCTTGTTATTCCATGTGGGATTCTTTTTGTTACATTTTTAATTTACCAGGGGGAAAACAGTACTTTCTTCTAGTTCATGTTTTTTGAAGCTCCAATGAGACTGAACGTTAACATTTTTTTTATTTTCTAGATCTAATTTTTGTGTGAATTCGTTGGATATGGTTATTTTTGCCAGGTGGTGGTGGGGGGTGTGCAGCTTCATGTTTTTTTCTTGGTACTTTGATGTATCTTTTTTTGAGATTGGAATTATTAGATGTCCTTTGTCATAAATGTTGTAAGTAATTTTTTTTCCCAGTCAGGCATCTCCTTTTTTAATAGGGATTTTTCTTTTTTGGTGTAAAAGTTTCAAATTTTTATATCTTTTCCTGTGATTATTTAATATAGTCTAAGCTTAGAAAAGCCTTCCTTCCTCCAGTAATATGATCAGGGCCATTTTCTTCACTCTCTCTCTCTTATACTAAATGAGAATTTAAAAAAAAAAAAGTCTTTATTACTATTTGTATTTATTTCAATTTTATTATGTGAAAAAGATCTAAATTAATCTTCACCTCCTGCTCCTCCAATTGTTAACCGGTTGTGGCAGCACCATTAATTAATCTGTGCTTCTCATACATTGATTTGCTATGCCTCATATCTTATATACTTATCTAAGAAATAGATTCCATTTTAGTGCATCTCAGTCTTTTTTAATGAGCTTTTTGTTCTTGAAAAATTAAATAGATTTCATTGTTGTAGGTCTATTTTTCCCTCTTGCTATTCAGAATTTTCCTTGTTATCACCATCACCTATTATTCTAGAAAAATTTTAGAAACTTTTCATCATTTTAGGAAGTTCATTGTGTTTTTTAATTAGAATTGGAATAAACTAGTACATTAATTTGGAGAAATATTGACTGGTTTATAATACTTAGTTTATGCATTTGGGAGCATACGTCTTACTCATCTTTTTTTGGATGTGTTTTAGATATGTTTCCTAATATATTTCTTTTTAAGATTGTTAGATACTGTTTTTGTTTTATGCATAAGATCGCCTTTGAAAACTTTATTTAATAAGAAGTTATTGTTAGTATGTAGGGATGTTGTTGATTTTTGCTTCCCGCCCAATATATCCAGCTACTTTATTCTATCATTCTGCAGTTTTTTATTTGATTCTTTATCATAGTTATTATTTCAACAAGTTATTTGTTGTATTTACATAAGCAATATGTTATTATGATTAACACTGTGGCATACTTTGAAATAAAGTGTTTTTTTCTATGCTGAATAGCTTTGCTACGTTGTAATGACCTAAATAGGTTTATTAAACATTCTTAGTGATTGACATGTAAAGTTCCAAAGCTCAATTTTTAAGAAATCAGTGTATTTGAGCCCAGATCAGAAGGAAAAGAGCAAAATGTATTTTGATTTATTGTTTTGTAGGATAAGACTTATCTGTAATAATAAATTTTTTTTTTTTTGTAGTTTAAAGGATTTGACCCAAATCAGCTAAGTGTAGCCACATTACTGTTTGAGGGGGATCGTGAGAAGGTTCTTCAACATGAAAAACAAGTGTATGATATTGCTGCAAAATTTGGGTATGGCTTCAAGTTCATAATGCCAAGAGAAAGAGTTAAAAGCTAAGATTCTAATATCACCAAGCAATTATTAAAGTACTAGGCATTAATGTCTCCAAACAGACTGCATGTCTCAAAGTAGTTATTAATTTCAGTTTAGTGTTAAATTTGTGGTAATTTATGATAGTAAACTTAAAATATTGTTTTGGTTTACATCCAGAATTTTTAGGAAGTTAGATTGATATGTTGCTCTTGTCTAATCATATATATATTATTATTAAACATTGTATTTTTCCTAGATTTTTACATTAATGTCAATTTCATGATATTTGTTCTACTAGAGTAAAATAGAAAATTCATTGTCCTCTTACTCTGTGGTGATAATAGTGTATGTATAAAGCGTGCTACTAGTGTGTTTTTAAAAGGAAATTGTGTTTAATCGAAGGTATTTGATAAATTATCTATACTGCACCCCCTGTCACTTACTGTTTTGTGCTGGTATAAAGAAACAGAAAACATTTCACATCTATAACCAACTGAATAATGGTAGGGTGGTTTCTCTCTGTCTTCTTGATGGATTATAAGACTGATTGATGAGAACTATAGTGAAAATGCCATTTATCAGGACTATGTTTTTTCCTTTCCTTTTAAAGTACATAAACTAACAGTTTCTAGACACTAATCTTTTCTTTTTTGATTTCAGGGATTAAAATATATCATATACATTATGCTTAATATTAGTTCTTTGTAAATATTTATTTTCATTTCTTTTTCATTGTTTTTTAAGAAAACAAATGAACACTTAATTTGGACCCATGTGTTTTAGAATGCCCCACTTTTATGTATTTTTTTTCATATCTAATATTAGCCCTTTATTTCTAGGGTTGTCTGAATTTAGTGTTAACGTGCAGTATTCTTAAAGGGGAAAATAGTCTAATCTTAGACTTAAATTTTAGTTTTCTTTTGCACTATTTTTAAGTATTGAAAATGTCTCACTTTTACCCTATTCTGAAATTGGCAAATGGAATTTTAATTTTTTCAGTAAAAGAGAAAGTTTATTCATCTTTCATCTTTTCTCGATAGCTGTTTTGGGAATTGCTGATATTTTAACTAAATCACTTAAAAATAATTGTGCTATAAAATCCATGTAATGACCAGATGGCTTGAATTTCAGGTCATCTCATTTTTGTTTGAATTTTTGAAATGTACATGTTTTCCTTCCCAGAAGGAATTTAGCCCTATGTATGTACCCGTTTTTTAGTTTCTAAGTTATAGGGAGTACGTATGTAATTTGATTAAAGGACTGTTTTCTTAAAACATATGATGTTAGTAAGGCACAAGGACATTTAAAACCTACTCTAGCCTTAAATATTAGAGACTGAAGCTTTAAAAAATTGTTCATTGTGTATTTAAATATTTACTTGGATTTCATAATTTCTAAGAAGGGCTTGTAGGGAAATGGAAGGGTGCATTTTGCTTTATCATTTAAATAACTGTATATAGAGTTAAATTTGCTTAGTTTCACCTCAGTCGTCTCTCTGCTCACACACACCTCCACATCTGTACACACACCCACACACAGAGGAATTTCAGTTTTTAGGATCTATCTTTATAATTTCAATTAAGTATGGCTAGTAACTCATTACTAGTTAGTAATGTGTCACATTTCCTGTTAGAATGGGGTAGGATGATGACATAATGCTTGTTTGTTGTGCCTCATAATTTTTATAGGGCATGACCTATCTTTTTCTTGTGCATCACTGTTGATGTCTAGTTCATTCTAGATACTTGATTTAATAATTGTTGAATGAATGAATGAAAGTGAATACTATATTTTCCTGATATCTTTTATTCTACTTTGTTTATGCCTAATTACTGTGCCACCTGTAAAACAGTGTATTTTCATCTTTAGGTATTTGTCAATACATTTTGTCAGGATTTTTTTGTTTGTTTGTTTTTGTTTTTGTTTGTGTTTTGAGACGGAGTCTTGCTCTGTCACCCAGGCTGGAGTGCAGTGGTGTGATCTCAGCTCACTGCAACCTCTCCCGCCCAGGTTCAAGTGATTGTCCTGCCTCAGCCTCCTGAGTAGCTGGGATTACAGGCTCATGCCACCACGCCTGGCTAACTTTTGTATTTTTAGTAGAGATGGGGTTTCACCATGTTGGTCAGGCTGGTCTCGAACTCCTGACCTCGTGGTCCACCCGCCTTGGCCTCCCAAAGTGCTGGGATTACAGGCATTATTTTGTCAGTTTTAATTTGAGCCACCGACTGACATGAATGTCAGTAATGCCAGTTTTGTTTTCTTATATGTCACTATCCATTTACCAATTAAAACTATAAGTGAATCTTCTTTAAAATATGGCATCCAGCTGCCTTCAGATACTGACACTTAGGCCCAAGCACTATTGCTGTACTTCTAGCAGTTTTGCTTACTCAAACAAAACTTGTATCAAATTTGTCCATTAAAAATAGGTTATAGTAAATGAGACTCAATTTAAAGCAAGGGTAAAGAGTTAAAGATTGGCTCCGTTTGAGGTCTCATTTTTTTTTTTTGCTGTTATTTGTTCCTTCTTAGTTATAATTAATTTCTTAATGTGCTTTCATTCTGGCTCCCTTTTATTAGATGTGGACATCTTCTATTTTAAACAACCCAGATTGTTATTTGGCAGATTACTTAGATTACTTAGAGCCATTTCGATTTTTTTTTTTTTTTTTTTTTTTGAGACAATGTCTTGCTCTGTCACTCAGGCTGGAGTGCAGTGACCTGATGATCATGGCTCACTGTAGCCTCAGCCTCCCTGGGCTCAAAGGATCCTTCCTCTTCAGCCGCCTGAGTAGCTGGGACTACAGGTGCACGTCACCATGCCTGGCTAATTTTTGTGTGTATGTGTGTGTGTGTTTTGTAGAGATGGGGTTTTGCCATGTTGCCCAGGCTGGTCTCAGACTCCTGGTCTCAAGCAGTACTCCCACCTTGGCCTCCCAAAGTGCTGGGGTTACAGGCATGAGCCACTGCGCCTGGCCTATTTTAAGTTTTTAATACTTGGAAATATCTTCTTTTGGTTTTCTACCAGAAGTTCTAGTATCCCACCAGTTTTCTGTAGGCACTAATTTTTTGTTCTAATCACTGAAGATTCAAGGATATTTTACTTAGGTAAAATGCCACTCTTCCCACCTCAATCCTCAATCATCTCTCCTGCATAACAAGACAAAAGAAAGCACCACCAAGTTTCTTTCTGCTACAGTTTTCATGTGCTAGTTTAGCTCATGTATTTTATTTTGAATTGGGGCATTATTCATCTATCCCTTTTTTTTTATTTGTTTATGAAACTCTCTACTGCCTTATTAGCTTTACATTGATTTTTATGAAGTATTCCCAACAATTTAGAGCATTTTTATGTGTTGTCTTAGCCATTTTTTCTCTTTGCTTACCCTTCACTCACACCCCAACATAGTTCAATACCTTTGAACACATATGACCCAACAGAACATAGTAGCCACATAATGAATAATCATACTTTGATTGTTTATCCATGTTTGCTAGTAATGTATTTTAACTTCTCCAAGAGCAGAGCAGAATAAACATTACCTGTCAGCACTCATGACAGGTGTTTTGACATTTACCATAGAACTTAAGGTAATATGTTATCATTATTTTTAAAGCATGCTTAAGTTGTTTAATATAATTCAACATGAGAGTGATTAGGTTCACCAGATGGCCCTTTTATATAAAAAGATTGTCTCTCATTCCTCTTTCATTAGTCTTTCCAGTCCTTCCTCATGAGACAGCTTTAAATTTGTTTAAAAACCTTGAATTGATGTTTGAAATTTGTGGGGACAGCAGGAAGTAGGGGATCGATGTTGCTACTTTAACATAAAGCAGTTTGAATCTACATGCAGTCATTTTGGAGTGATTACAAAAGTCACAATTTAGAAGCATTTGATTTTTAAGCCCTACTATTCTTTAATATATTGTATTTTAAGGTAATTCTGGCTAGAATATTGACAGTTCTGAAAGCTAAAAAGAGAAAAGTTTCAAAAAGTTCAGTCATAAGTCTATGATTTCCTTGTAAAGCCCAGACTGACTCTACTTCTTTGGGCTTATGAATTTAGAAAGGACATCCAATTTCTTCCTGCTTTGAATTAGAAAATGCATGTTTCTCTGTGGTTTGTCTCCCTGGATCCTAATGTGAACAGATCTGTTTCCTCCCTACTGCCAGATATTAGAAATATTAGAAGAGGGTCTAAAGAAAGATGACTTAGGACTGAAAAGTAAGACTTTTTGTCTCATCTCGACATAACAGAGGCAAGCCTATTAAATGTTTATACCTGTTACTTCTCATCAGATACATACTTGGCATTCTCTTTTCTCAAATATTCCCAACACAGGTGCCTTGCACCTTTTCCTACTCCTCACTCTCTTTTCCTTTCCTTCCACCACTAGGTTCAGGATGGATGAACTGTTTCTGTTTCCTAGACCTGTGGTGCTTTTTCTCTCTTGGACTCAGAGTCTGACTCTATTTTATATCTACTTGAGCTATGGGCTAAGCTGTTTTCCTTTACGCACTTGCCACAGCAGTTTTCTGACTTGTTTTCCTTTTGTTTTGAAACTTGGAGGCTTTCTACCTCCAACCTCACATCCAACTCAGAATTGTGTTTTATCTCTTCTTCTCACTTTCAGCTGCTTGACCAAAGTTTTATCTTCTTTGCTCATTAACATTCTAATACAAACAGTCCCCTTCATTTTTTTTATTATACCCCATTCTCAAGTAGTTCTAGACTAGAGCTGCTTATATCAAATCTTTGCCACTTCTTTTGGATAACACCATCTACCTATAGTGGCAAGTCAGGAAATTTTGATTTAGCCCATTTAGCTTGAAATTATCTTACAGTATTTGTACAGAACAAGAGTACATCTACATTGTAGTGTTTACTTACTACCAAATTCAACACAACTTCAGAAGAAGAAAATATTTAATTATAAGGTGTTAATTGAGGTGATAAGATAAACAATTTTTCCTTTAGTTGACTAAAGTTAAAATTTTAATTTCTGTATGATAATGGAAAAAGCATAATTAAAAACTATTTACTAAAGGTAGTGGAAAAACAGTATTCATTCATTGTCTTTTAAAATAAGAATAACTTTTACAAACAAGAGTACTTGGACTGAATTATATATTTGTATGGGATTAATTCTAACTAGATCATCAAATACAATTTCTATGGATGAAATTTTCCAATTGAAAGAGATAGTTTATATGTTCATAGTAGTAAGACCTTACCTGTGTTGGTCTTGTGTTTGTTTATACATTGCTTTATAAAATATTTCTATGTAAGTATGTTTTGTCTCTCATTTAAATCATAAATTTCATAAAATAAACACCACATCTAACATTCCAAATACTATGTACTCATCTTGTATTCTGGAAGCTTCTCAGTATTGGGGAGTTCCTAGTCGTCACATTTCTTCAAATATGAGTGAGACAGTAATAACATATGAATATATGAGTAAGAATATGATGAGTAAAATAAGAATACTTGTGTGAAGATTATTTCAGCTTATTTGTTTCTCATAGTTAATTCTTTCTGTGCTTTTTTGAGAATATGGGTAGAAGTAGTTGAGTTTATGAGTCAATTTTATTTCGTGGATAAAAGTTTGAAATTAAGATGAAACAGAAATATTAAAAGTGTTTTCAGATTTTTGTTATTCAAACTTATTCTCTTGACAGCTTTTTGATACATTTATGATAAATGAGATTAAGATAAAAAATTTATTAACAGTTTGTTCTTTAATTACAGTGGGTTGGCAGCTGGAGAAGATAATGGACAGAGAGGTTATTTGCTGACCTATGTTATTGCATACATTCGAGTAAGTTATATCATATTTCCCTTGCCACTTAATTTATGTTGCAAACAATACTTTTTCTTACTTTAAGTGAATGCAATTGTCTTCCCTATTTTTTAAAATTTTAAGCTACTGTAATTTAGCATATCATTTTACATGAACCTTATTTTAGCTACAAATCTTCAGAAGCCCATTTAAACCTTCTCCATATGCTCTTGAAGAAGTTAAAGATGATTTAATATGTCTTTCTGCTCTTTAAAAGAATGGAGCCTTTCTCTGTTTAAAAGTTGAGCATACCATTCATAACATTACTTGGTTAAAATCAAGCTGTTTTACTTAGCAACACTCTTCACTTAATAATCTGTTTTAATGATGTGTAAATCTTTAACTGTGTTGTAAAATTTTGATATTTAACTTGAAGTAGTTATTTGTTCACTGATGATGATTATAGAATTAAAGAAATAATTATGTGTACTTGAACACTCAAATGTTTCTAATTCTAGATTTTCTACTTACGATATACTGAAATAGTCTTATTATCTCAAGTCTGTTGTATTTACTGATATGAAATTGTTCTTTTGAAATTTTATTTTTTCAATTTAGTTTTGTTTTTCTACTTTGTAACAAATTCAAATTTCTTAATTGCTTTCTGCTGTTGCTGGGGTTACTTTTTTTATTTTTTATTTTTCCTGTTTACATAATTTGAATGATCTTACTCTAAAAGGTCATTTTTTCAGATATCCTATTGAGAATTTGGCTTCCACAAATACTCAGCTTTCTTGTTTTAATTATAAAAATTTTTGGAAATTTATACATAATAAATATACATATTTTCAGGGTACGTATGATATTTTGATAGCTTCATATAATATGTAAAGATCAAATCAGGATTGGGATATCCATCACCTCCAAATACTAAATTTACTAATTTTTCTCTTGGAAATTTTGAACCTTATACACAACAATTGTTGTAAGCTTATGTACAACATGTTTTTCTCTAAAAAAGGCTGAATTAATATGTTCTCATTTTAGCAAAAATTTAATCCCAGCTAAAATCTAAATGTTAAATTGCAGTGAATTTGAAGCATATAGTCCTCCTCTTTTGTCCCCTGCCCCCACAGTGATGATGATAAGTAAAAGTATATTTATTGCCTGTTCAGCATTTTAGAAATTTTGACTAAGAGATGTACTGATCATGAAAGGTAATAGATGATTGTAGATCTTGTAAATAATATCTACAATTATCAATTGTCAATATCATAGTTTCTTCCCATAGTAAGCATTTTGAATATACATAAAATGTTGTTTGTTAGGCATTTTCTCTGAGGATATTGGCCTTTTCCCCATAATACTGAATTCAGAATTCTAGAAAATGAAATATAACTGTAACAAGTACAGCATAGACACAATTTGGAGTATCTATCTTAATTTTTAAGGTTCTAGTTAATGTTAAAACTGAGTCAAAAGCAAGTTAGGGATTCCGCCCCCCCTACCCCGGGATTACATGTTTTCTGTTTTTATAAGTTTTACAATGGTTAATACCATTGTCTCTAAATATATTTTTACTGAATAAATGAGTGCATTAGAGAAAAACACATGCTTTAGATCAGATCAGTAATTTGGGGATTTTTTTGTTTTTTTCCCCAAACACAGGTGGGTTGAAATGACTCATTTTACTTGAAGTGAAAACTTAACATATGTTGAGTTTTCTGCCTTATAAAATTTTCTTTAAAATCTCTGGACTTCTGTGAAGCTTTCTTTCCAATTTTGATAACAAAACAATATTGCTCTGGGTAAAGAAATTAAGTATTATAAGTTACTTGTAATATGAGTATTATATCCTCTATACTGTAAAATATTTTCGTAGTAGAAGTGCCTCCAGATGTTTGATCTATTCTGTCACTTCAGATAGCTGCACTATATTACTATGTTTTCTAAATTTGTTTTTAAAGAAAAGTTGATTTTAAGAAAAAAATCTCCTCATTCTAAACACCTTCCCCCTGCCCCTCACTTCTTGATCTTCCTACTCCTTTGATCTTGACTAATTTTCGATATTGGTTAATTTACTATTTATGCCACTAAAATTCTGTTCTGTCAGTATTCTCTACATGTACACAGACTGTTCCTGGATAGAAACTCCATTCACTAAAGAAATAAATTTGAGTTCTTGCCCTGAGTCAGGCACTCTGCCTGGTGCCAAGGATACAGAGAATAAGACAGACAAGGTTCCTTTAGTTACGGAGGCTGCATCTCACTCCAGGGACAACTTTTCAGTGCTCTTATGAGGTGGATAGTAAAGAGTGGATGAAGTTAAATGAGAAACATGTGATACTAACAATGAATATGAAAGACTAACAGTGTTATTGATTCTTCTGCATCTGTTGTAGTTTCTTGATTTTTCTGTTTGTGTCTTAATAGGACTTGGCTTTGGAATACTATGTATTAGGAGAATCTTTTGAGACTTCTGCTCCTTGGGACAGGTAAAATATACTAAAGTGCCTGATATTATTCAAATATGCGATATGAATTGCTTGAAGTAATGTTTCTTTTTGTGTGAATATGTAAGTTTAAAACATTTTATGAAGAAACATTGAGACAAGGCAGCTACTTTATTTAAATTAATATATTCATCAGAATGCCGTATTTTCAAGTGTTTTATTGGGTGGAGGGAGTTGAAGAAAATTTGTCTGTGATCCAAAGAACGAAGGTATTGTTGAAGTTTACATTTTGAAGAATGTTATTGAATGCTCAGTGTTACTATGTGGTTATACTTCGCTTTGACTTAAATTCTTAAGTGATTAATATTGCTTAAATGTTCTCTAAAAAGTCCTCCCAAAGTATAAAACCAGTTAACTGTCCTTTATAATATTATTTAGTTTTTGATATTTGTATGTGTAAAAATGGGAATTTAGGTGGTTTATAAAGGAAATTTAGTTTAGGAAATTATGTACAATTTCTGTTTTTAAATTTAAGCAAAATGTTGATACTGGAGCATATTTTAGGAAATGGCCCAAATAAGATAGATGGAAATAGATTTTAGAAGGGTTTCTTTACTGGAAATACATACATACAGTATTGGTTAGTGACTTAATAAAAACTGATTAGGAAATGCGAAATGGTTTATTAATAGACCTGTGAGTTGTATTATAACTCATCCAGTAATAAAAAAAATCCTCAAAGAGATTGTCTATACAATCCCTTATTCAAAATGCTCAGGACCAGAAGTGTTTGAGATTTTAGAATATTTGTATTATATATTTACCAGTTGAGCATCCCAAATCTGGAAATTTCACTGGAAATCACTGCAGCATTTCTTTTGATCATCATGTTGGTACTCAAAAACTCTCAGATTTGGGGGCATTTCACATTTTGGTTTTTTGCAGGATATTCAACCTGTATATTTTTATTTGTTTCTAGTATACTGATATTTTACTTTTCTTTATAAAATTTATAAAGTACTTTAAATCTACAATGAAGTGTATAGGACGGAACAATTCCCTGTGAATCTACTTCTTAGATTGCATATCTTAATATTTTGGTTTCTTCCAATCCCTCTTTTTTCCCCCAGAAAACTTTTTACTTTTCTACATGCAGTCATCATCTACTGAGTTAGTACGCTGGTGTTCGTATTCCATGCATTGTTAGCTAGTAACCCAGTTTATGTTATACTATCACTCAGTCATTCACAATTTTTTTTATTTTTTAAGTCAGATTTCTCAAGTTGAAATGTTATTCACAAATTTTGATGCTAAATTTTAACAAGGGGAATAAATCCTTTCAATAAAAAAATTATCAAGTCATCAGCCTTTGAGTAGTAGAAATAGTTTGGCAGCGGCTGGGCGCGGTGGCTCACGCCTATAATCCCAGGACTTTGGGAGGCCGAGACGGGCAGATCACGAGGTCAGGAGATCGAGACCATCCTGGCTAACACGGTGAAACCTCGTCTCTACTGAAAATACAAAAAATTAGCTGGGCCTGGTGGCGGGCGTCTGTAGTCCCAGCTACTCGGCATGCTGAGGCAGGAGAGTGGTGTGAACCCGGGAGGCGGGGCTTGCAGTGAGCCGAGATCATGTCACTGCACTCCAGCCTGGGCGACACAGCGAGACTCCATCTCAAAAAAAAAAAAAAAAGAAGCAGTTTGGCAGCTATTCATAGTGGTCTCAAAGATCTTTTTTTTAGTATGAAATTAGTTTTTATTTTTAACTAAAAATAAATGCTTAACATCTTTCCAAAATCAAAACTAAGGACGAATACTTAGAAAAAAAGGTGGAAACATATTTTTCCTTCCCTGGAGAAACCAGTAAGGCAGACATTTTAACGGAGCTTGTTTTTTTCCACAGGACTAGTCTACGCAACAGAATCTCTCTCCAGCCCTTTTTCTATGTCAGTTCTGTCTACCTGGCAGGAAAAACCAAAAGAAACCCTGAAACAACCCCTCCCCACAAATACAACACAAGACAAGGGACTTGAAAAGTTGGGGAAAACCTTTTAACGCGTCTAAGACCATTGTAGTGTTTAATTCCTCTCTTTGGGTATCTTAGCCAGTTTGGCCTGCTATACAGAGCACCTTAGACTGGGTAGCTTAAATGTTCTTAGACAAGAAACAATTATTTCTTACAGCTCTGGAGGCTTGGAGTCTGAGATCAGGATGTTAACATGGTTGGGGTTTTGGTGAAGGCCTTCTTCCTGGTTTTATAGATGGCCATCTTCTTAGTAATACCTGCACCTGGAGGAAAGCAGAGAGAGAGAGAAAGCAAGCCCTCTCATATCTTTTTATAAAGCACTCATCCCATTAATGCAGCTCCACCCACAGGACCTAATGACCCACCTTCTAATACCATCTAACTGGGGCTTAGGATTTCAATATATGAATTTTGAGAGGGATGCAAACATTCAGTCCAAATCACCGGGACAGTGGATTAGTGCAATGCTACCTCTTAAGAGTTAATGAATTTCCTTGTCATCAGTTAGTACTGATGATTGACATCTTGTTTTTTTATTCTTCCAACTGTGGAAGCTAATAATGTGCAATTTTTTTTTGTTTTTCATCTATTCTTTATATATACTTACATATTTATTTGACACACTGATAATTTCTGTTTTATGCAGTTACACATTTGTTTTCCTTTAAAACAATTTCTTCAGCCGAAGTTTTAATAAATAATATTAATGGAAGGCAACTACATTTTTATGTAAAATTTACTTGTTGACAACCATTTAGCAATTTTCTTTTTCTTTCAAACCTTTAACTAGCTAGAGGACATGTTTGCAGTAGCCCATGGGATCACGGTCTTTTAACTTTCACACATTATTAGATTATTGGCTTTTTCATATATAAGCCACTTAAGGGATTACCGGTCATACTAGTTTTTGTGTATTCCTAAGTGTCCCATCCTATTGTGTTCCATCCCATCCCTACCACAATGGCTGCACCTGTTAGGTTCTCAATGAATATTCTTCATAGATTCTTATGAATGAGCTTGGGAATAATTTGAGAGTACAGTCTATAAAAATAGATATTTTAAGGGTTGGAGATATACATTTTTTGTTGTTGTTGTTGTTGTTGAGATGGGATCTCGCTCTGTCACCCAGGCCAGAGTGCAGTGACGCTTATCACGGCTCACTGCAGCCTTGACTGCCTGGGCTCAAATGATTCTCCCATCTTGGCCTCCTAGCTAGCTAGGATCCCAGGTGCACGTCACCATGCTTGGCTAATTTTTTTTGTTTGTAGAGATGAGGTCTCATTATGTTGCCCAGGCTGGTCTTGAACCCCTGGGCTCAAGCGATCCTCCTGCATTGGCCTTCGAAAGTGCTGAGATTACAGGCATGAGCCACTGTGCCTAGCCGATGTTACAGATTTTGGAGACACCAGCAAGTCTTCTGATTAAAACCAAGAAAGTGGATACAAACACTTATAGATAGTATGGAGTGAAGGAAAAAAAAGAAGGCCTAAGAAAGAGGTCCAGGGAACCTCAACATTTAAGGTTACAAACAAAACAAAAGGTGGCAAAGTGTATTGAATAATAATATCTAGAGGATGTAGAGGTAATCCAATGATGTAAAAAAAGCCCAGGGAAGTTTTTTTCAGGGAGGAAATGGTCAAGTGTTAAATTTGCTAATAAGTAAGAATTTGAAAATATGCAGTTATGTTTCTGTCCTATAAAAGGATTGATCCAAGTGGACTGTGTTAGCCTCTTATCAAGTTCTGTGAGAGAATACTTTCAGAAACCTTTCCCTAAAAATCATTTACTGAAAGTGTCCCATTGTGGGTTATAACTGTTCAGTCTGGTCCTTTCTCCATCTCCTTTTCATTATTCAACTATCAGTGAGGGTTTAGATATAAGGAGCTCTTAATATTTTCCTGTTTACTATTGTATTTAAGATGATTGGATACATTTAAGTGCATTTAAACTGAAATGCAGTTCACACAGTGCCATAACTTGCAAAGGACTGTAACAGCAGATGATTGTATTCTTAGATTTTTTTTAGACTACTTAGCTGTAGCACTTAAATTTCATTTTCTAGAGCCAACATAAAGAACTTGTTCCAAAGAAAAGAACTTACTACTTTTATAAATTTGTAATATACGTTAACTCTTATAAATATTAAAGCTTAATAGATTTTATTTATATTTAAATATTTGTTTTATAAGGTATATATTCAAAATAAAGACATATTAAATATCAGTCATCTAAATGTTTTATGAGATTTTTTTTAAATGTGCATCCTTGCCATGCATAAGTGATGCATAGATAACATTGATAAGTCATGTATACCTGCAACTCTCATAAATTAAAGAATTTAACTTAAGAACATTGTTTTATAAAATTAGATTTTATAAAACTTTCAGATACTGTATTCATAAAGATAAAAAATGTGACATGCTAATAAGACACTAAAGCCCTTTTTGTATTTATATTTTAATCATATACTGTTTGTTCTTATTGACAATATGGATAACTTTTATAAAGTATGATCTGTTTAAATGCTACTGTTTTTTATCAAAGTGGTTCTCATACAGTCAAGTCTGCGTCTTGAGACTAGAGATAAGCCAACCTTTTGAGTTTTTCTGGTATCATTTCAAGTCTCATGATGCTAAACAAATCAAGGTTTAAAACACAGAATCGGTGTTATTATGTGGCCAGGATATTTATTGGGGAATAAAATGGGACTTTAATATCAAATAGTCCAGCATAACACATTAATACTTTACATCGTTTGTCTTCAGTAGATCTTTGTCAAACTGGATTTCAGCTTGTGAGTAAGCTATCGAACATTTGATATAACATCATGATTATAATTTATTTTGAAAGACAGTGCCTTGCTCTGTTGCCCAGGCTGGAGTGCAGTAGTGCGATGTTGGCTCACTGCAACCTCAACCTCCCAGGCTCAAGCAGTCCTCCTGTCTCAGCCTCCCAAGTAGCTGGGACTACAGACATGCACCACCTTGCCCAACTAATTTTTTTGATTTTTAGTAGAGACAAGGTCTCACTATATTGCCCAGGCTAGTAACATCATGATTATTAATTGAATCATTATTATTATTATTATTATTTTATTTGAGACAGAGTCTTGTTCTGTTACCCAGGCTGGAGTGCAGTGGCGCAACCATGGCTCACTGTAGTCCTGCCCTCCTGGGCTCCAGCGATTCTCCCACCTCAGCCTCCTGAGTAGCTGGGACTGCAGGTGTGTGCCACCATGCCTGGATAATTTTTTAATATTTTGTAGAGATAGGGTCTCACTGTTGCCCAGGCTAGTCTCAAACTCCTGGGCTCAAGCAGTCCTCTGGCCTCGGCTTCCTGAAGTGCTGGGATAACAGGTGTGAGCCATGCACCCAGCCTGAGTTATTTCTAAATTAAGGAAAACTTCTTAGACATGGGTAAAGATTGGTATTCCTGTAACCTAGAATCGAATTTTCATTAACATCTTTATAGCTTTTTTAAAGCTCTTAAAATCTTATAATCAAATTGATTTTGAAATCAGGCTTTCCTAAGTGTAGGAAACCACATTCAGGAGACTTGAGTGTGTTCTTGTGACTTTCTGTTTTCCTTAAGTCAAAAAAAGAAAAAACTTTCTTCTTTTTGAAGTTAGGAATGGAGGGCTCAATTTGAGTGATCAGGGCTCTTTTCCATTCTTGAAAGGACAACTATGAAAGCTTTAGCTAAGAAAATGTCAGACTTGAATGATGCCAGATTAACCAACGTTTATTAGCACTTGTGTAGTTCTCACTTGAAAACTTAATATTGTATTCATTTATCTTTTTTTAGGGTGGTAGATCTCTGTAGAAATGTAAAAGAAAGAATAACAAGGGAATGCAAAGAGAAGGGTGTTCAGTTTGCTCCTTTTTCTACATGCAGGTAAGTTTTAAAAATTGTTCTTATACTTCTTATTCTGAAAAAAATGTTTTTTTTAATCAAGGGGGGGAATATAATTTTCCAGCTGAGAAAAAGCTTCAGTCTATTACATTTGGCCAGCTTTCCTAACCTTCACTTACCACCTTGTTAGGATTGTGCCACTGGAATTTTACAGTAGTCCTGAGCCTTTTAGGAGTAGGACACCCTTCTGTGAGTAAGCCTTCCCTGCCATCTGGGTGGCATGGCAGTGAAGAGCCAGGTGTCTGGACTCCTGGAAAAAGAAGAGGACTACTCTACTCACTGAAACTATAAATTATATAGTCAAGAAATTATAAATTATATACATACTCAACATGACTCTGAAGAGTGAAGGCAGTGTTTTGTTGTTTACTAGTAATTTAATCTCTTCAAGCTCTAATATTATCAGTAAAATAGTGGTAATGCCATTTCTTCATGGGACTGTTGTAAAAATGAAATGAGAAAGCATATGAAAAAACTGTTAGGTTCTGCTGTAGTATTGTTTTGACATAATTACATTAAGCTTGAGGTAGATAATCCATACTAGTATTAGTAAGGAAAATTTGTATATTTCCCTTTCCTTTCCAATGACAAGTCCTCATTAAGGCATTCAGTTGTTAAGCTTACTTGCTCCTTATAGCATGATAATTTGCATATATTTGTTTTCCAAGACTAGAAATATTTCTGTATTCTTTAAACTGCTAATTGTATGTGTGTGTGTTTTTGTTTTTGTCTTTTTTCTATCTTTTCTATTGTCTTATCTTGTACTTTCCTAGTACTAGTGTTGTGTTTCTTAGTTTTCCTTATTGTTCCCATTGGGAAGAGATACCCTTTAGAATTTGCTAAATTGCACTTCTGCAAGGTAAGAAAGTAAAATTCTAACATGAGATCTGAGGAAAGCATCTTTCTTACACCTTAAATGTTCATTTCAATCAAAAGGATCTCCTTAAAGTAGCCGTTTCTGCTTCTGTGTGGGAGACACTGTCCATGTTTAACAAGCCTTGCAGAAAGTACTAAGTCATCTGTATATTAACATGTTTTAAGCAAGTACACTGACGATAGGATCAGAGATTATAAAAGCTGAAAAAGTAGATTTTAGAGATTATTTGCTGGGCATTCGAGATATCTGAAGGAAAGGCAAAGAGAGGTCTTGTTCTCTGTAGTAAAAAGCTTACAATGGGATTAAGCTAATGTCGACATAGTGGGTGTAAGAATGTCATGTTACTTTTAATTTATTTTAAATTTGGGGGTATCTTTAACAATGCACCTTTTATCTTAAAGTCCTTAAAATCTAAGACAAAAATTTTTGTGTTTATATTATCAACCCAAACTGATGCTTCATTTTTCTCTTGATAGCCCAGTCTTTTAGCAGTCAGCTCTCTTTTATTGTAATCCTGAAAACAAATCAGACATAATAATCCAAAAGCTATTTGTTACCATTAGATTTTGAAACATTTTAGATAGTCAAATCTATTCTTGTGTAGTTGAGAAATTTTTATTCCTTTGTTTTTTTGAATGGTAACTTAACAGATTTTACCCTTCCCCCTTCTTCCTTCTGCCCCCAAGTTCCTGTTCAACATCTCTTAAGAACCCCACCCCCGCTGTAACATTATGAAACTATCGTGATAAACCACTACCTATGGAAAATGATTAGGAAGTAAAATATTCTGCCTTAGGGCACATTCTGTAATTACACTTAAATCTAGGTTCTTCAGAATGTATTCATGAGGCCTAAGAATCTTCATTCTGTATTGTAGATAAGTAGAATTAGTATATTTAGACTGAATTGGCCATATGTCATTTTTATTAAATAGCAGTAGCTATGTTTTAAGAATGGTTTTCCTATAAAAGCTTATGTGTTCAGTTTCTGTGACCATCTTATAAAACCAGTTAGAATATGCAAAGCCTAGTTACTTGAGTGGCTTTGATAAATAAGACTTTTATGGTTCTTATGGCTCATACTTGATTAAACTAACATTTAATTAGAATTTGATTTCAGTTTAGTTTGGTTTGACCTGCTTAGTAGTGGCTAAGGAGATTATTCCATGTTGAATATGTGAGATGTATTTTTTAAACCAGTTTTTTATCAGGTGCTATGCTCACTACCTGGGTGATAGGATCCATACTCCAAACCTCAGCATCACGCAATATTCCCACTTAACAAACGTGTGCATAGACCCCCATATCTAAAATCAAAGTTGAAATAACATTTTACAAAGCTGTTCCAAAGTTATTTAAAAATAATTATGGATCTATTTAAAATCAAGGATCCTAAGAAAAATAACTCAGGTGTAGGGTACATTTATTGAGTTCATTTATTTCATTTTTGTCCATTAAAATGTACTTTGTACATTGGAATAGAAATTCCAGTCCAAACTTTTCTGAAGACGTTATATGGGAAGTAATTGCTAGTCATTGAGTCTAATACAAATAAAGTACTCCAAAAAGTAGGGAGCACAAAAAAATTTTTTTAATTAAAGAATAATGTAGTGACTTTGACAACCACGCTATTACTTGTCCAGATGATTTTGAAAGAGGTTAGTGTTTAAGTGTCTTAAATGATAGAGTTGATCTATTGTAAAAGGTGTTAGATCTAAGTCACTTTCTGAAATGGACCCAAATTAAGGTATTCCATAAGGTGTTTTTCATTATTTGGACTTGTCTGAGATACTAATCAATCAGGCCCATCAAGCTTTGTTATGACTTCAGTAATCTGTTCATCTACTGAAAACTGAACTGTGTAATACATAGATGCTGGATTTGTTTGAAAGATGATAATGCTCTATTAATATTTAGTTACATCTATTTATGAATGTTAGTGATTCTCTTATGAGTGATATATATTTTACTAATTTCTGCAAGTTCGTTTCATTCATTTATCCTTCACACTTTATTTGAATTTGGTTATTCCTAATGATAGTGCCCTTGGAGTTAAAATGGTTCTCCGTTGTTTCTTAAACTTTGTATATCTGGTACTTAAAATGTAAATATTCAAGGGATCTTTTTTTTATGAGGGTGAATTAACACTAGAAGAGAAACACAGCTGGCAAATTGACAGTAGCATTGTTAAACAGTTCATTTCTTCTGTTCTGAGGCACCTAACATTTGGCCTAAAATGCGATTAAAATTGTAGATTAGATTCTATTTGTATTGTGTAGTAAAAAGAGTATTTCCTCTGCATTTGCTCCTTCTGTTAAATTAAATTCTTTGTGGGAGCCTCTGTAAATTGCATATGGAGATTTGACTATGATTACCTTACCTCCCTTTTAAATGCTTTCCTAATTGCATTTTGAAAGCTCAGATATATATTATATATATGATTTAATAATCTAACATTCTTGATATCTTTTGTATATACACATTCAACATGTATAAATATTGAGTCATAGTATTTTAAGGCTATGTCACTGCATTTGGTACAATCATCCTATTTGTTTTCCAAAGGCTTACTAATTATTAATGTAAACTTAGTGAAGATGCTATATTTCACTCAGTCTGATCATATTTGGTATTTGGGCATTTCTCCCATTTCTTAGTTTTTAATTCTCATATCTCATACTTATTTCTTTTAACTTCGAGGGAGTTTGGAAAACTTAACTGATCACCACGTTTCATCTGGTCTGTTTAGTGACTGACTTTAAGTGCAGTATACTTAGTTTTTTAAAAAAGAATCCCTCTTGATGGAGATGGGCCAATTGGAAAAACATTTACATTGCTTTTAAATTTCTAATTTTGGGGGAGGTGTAACTAGACTTAAAAAAAAATAGTATTGTACAAATATTTCCTGTGTACCCTTTACTCATCTTCCTCAAATGCTGATATCTCATGTAATTATAGTATGATTATCAAAACCAAAAAATTAGTGTTGTTTCAATATGATTACCTAACTCACAAACCTTTCTTTATCATTTGTCCTACTGATATCTTTATCTTTCATAACCTTCATACATTTGAAGAATACTGGCCAGTTATCTTGTAAAACATCTCTCAGTTTGAGTTTGTCTGATGTTTTCTTGTGATCAAATTCAAGTTACACATTTCAGCAAGATTACCTCAGAAGTGATAGTGAAGTGCTCTTCATGGTAGATCATCTCAGAAGAAGCATGATATTTATTAAGTCTCATTATTGGTGACATTAACTTAGACTACTTGGTTAGGGTGGTACCTGCCAGGTTTCTCCACTCTACAATTACTATTTTTCCCCATTGTATTTAAAAAAATATCTTATGGCTGGGCACAGTGGCTCACGCCTGTAATACCAGCACTTTGGGAGGCTGAGGTGGGTGGATCACTTGAGGTCAGGAGTTTGAGACCAGCCTGGCCAACATGATGAAACCCCGTCTCTACTAAAAATACAAAAAAATTAGCCAGGTGTGGTGGCAGGCGCCTGTAATCCCAGCAATTCGGGAGGCTGAGGTAGGAGAATCGCTTGAACCCGGGAGATGGAGGTTGCAGTGAGCCAAGATAGTGCCACTACACTCCAGCCTGGGCAACAATAGCAAAACTACATCTCAAAAGAAAAAAAAACCCAAAAACCTTATGGGGAGAAACTTTGAGACTATGCAAATATCCTGTTTCTTATATCATCTCCTAATCACATCAATATCCCACTGTTGATTCTTGATTACAGCAGTTATAATTGTGATACTTGTAAATGGTGATTTTCTATTTTAATCATTCATTTTACATTTATCAATTGGAATTCACTGTAAAGAAGAGCTTTCCTCTCCTCTCTTTTTCTGCCCGCCCCCCACCCCTTGCCACTATCTATCTGTCTGTATATGAGTCTATCAGTAGGGACTCATAGACATTTTATTGTCTGGAATATAGCCATTATTGTCATTATTCACTTTGTTGCTCAGATTTTCCCAGTGTGGCTATTGGGAGTTTCTTTAAGTTGGCTTCTGTGTCCTTTTGATCTGGGAAAGTAGGTTTTTGAAGAGGAAGAAAATGGGCGCACATACTTAGGAAGAGTCAGTGATTGAGGCAAGGTGTGAAGATATGAGGCCTAGGGAGAAAGGTGAGAAGATATGAGGCCTAGGGAGAAAGAAAAGCAGGTCTGTGGGCCACAGAGGGTCTGTGTTCTGTAGAGTTGGTGCTGAGTGAAGGTATATCTCCTCAAGCTTTCACAGCAGTGATAGCCGTTGCTCCTTTGATATTGGTTTCTTCCTCAAGTTCTTTGGTTTTTCTTATTCCTGATGTCAGAATTGTAGTTATTTTCAGCTCATTTTTCCCTGCTTTTTTCCCTTAATCTTTTTGTTCATCTGGTTCCTCTACTCATGGATGTCTAGCTTTTTTTACTCTCCTTTGTTATCTCCTGGTTGATTTCTCCTATATCTTAGTAATATTGGCATTTGTTTTACCTAGAACAATATCTTATGTTTCTTTGTCAGTCTCCATTTAGGTATGCCTTTCCAGAACACTTTTCCCAATCCGACCTATCCCAATTTTCTTATTCTTTGTATAGACTGATTTTTAAGCTGCATAAGCTAATTGATGGTGTCTGTCTTTATGTTCTCTCAGCATTCTTCAATCTCGTTTGTCATTCTGTATCTTTAGACTATGTCATATTTTGGCTATATACAGCTTAGAAGAGTTTCTTCTAGTGCATTTAAATTATCTGTGTAGAAAAAAATATTATTGATATTTATTTTGTTGTCATTTATTTTTAAAGTTATAGCCAGAACTGAACAGTGTCTTTGTTTTGGTCTCAACTGCAGTGATTTGCTTTTTTTCTACCCAGAATCTTTAAGTCTGTTGAGCCAGGAGAATCCAAACAAATGATGAGTTCATAGTATTGTTGCCAGAGTGTGACAGGAAAAGGGTCCCAGGATGATCCAGACCTCAGGAGAAGGTTCTTGGATCTCACACAAGAAAGAATTCAGGGCAAGTCCACAGTGCAAAGTGAAAGCAAGTTTATCAGCAAAGTAAAGGAATAAAAGAATGACTACTCCATAGACAGAGCTGCCCCAAGGTCTGCTGATTGCCCATTTTTATGGTTGTTTCTTGATGATAAGCTAAACAAGGAGTGGATTATTCATGCCTCCCCTTTTTAGACCATATAGGGTAACTTCCTGATGTTGCCTTGGCATTTGTAAACTGACATGGCACTGGTGGGAGTGTAGGTGTAGCAGTGAGGATGACCAGAGGTCACTCTCCTGGCCATCTTGGTTTTGGTGGGATTTAGCTGGCTTCTTTACTGCAATCTGTTTTATCAGCAAGGTCTTTATGACCTGTATCTTGTGCTGACTTCCTATCTCATCTTGTGACTTAGAATGGCTTAACCCTCTGGGAATGCAGCCCAGTAGGTAGGTTTCAGCCTCATTTTACCCAGCTCCTATTTAAGATGCAGTTGCTCTGATTCACATGCCTGACAAGAGGACTTAATGTACTTTGAAGAGATTATAATTTGCCCATTCTCTATCAATATGGATTTTTTAAATAATGAAAATTGACTTTAGTCAGTGTTTGCATGTCCATATGTATTCTATGCATTTCATGTTCCTATCCTCAGCAGTGACGGAGCCAATGAAAGGAACCAGGTTTCTTGTTTTGAGTCTAATTTTGCCTTTTTCAAGGGGCAGATGTTTTGCATCCCATCTGTTTACTGTGGCAGTACAAAATGTAGTTTTCACTTGCACATATGGAGCTCATTGTGTGGTCCTTTGGCAGGAAAACACGCTCTTGAAAAGTAATGGAGTTGTACTATTTGTAGTATGGAAGTGCCTCAAATTTTGTCTTATACAAGTCACATGAAGAACTTAATTGTGCATAAAATTTGTTAAATAGCAGAAAGAGAAAAAGTTAGTGTTACTTTTATTGTCAAGATATGTATGTTTTTAAGTAATTTTGTTAAATGTCATTTTGATTATGCAATTTAAAACAATGAATACTCATGCTTACCTGACTATATATATATTGTTTTCACACATGCTGCTGATAGTTCTCATTACTTCTAGATAACAAAACAATAAAATCAGTGAAAATGGCATTTCATCATAAAATTCTGATACAATGTATAAAAGTTTTTGGGTTATTTCCCAATAGAAGTTTTAGTAACATGGGACAGACATGAAAAAGATTGAATATGTACCTATAATATTGACTAATTTGGTACTTCAGTGAAGGTAAAATTCTTGTTTTGCACTGCGTCCTCAGTTCACCTGTTTTGGCGGACAACTCTAAAGCAAGCCAATGTGTATTCCTTCCATGGAGTAGAGGCTGGGAAGAAACTGAGATTATATCTTAAACTAATCATTTGGGTCGTCTTGACTTTCAGTTTCTAGATGTTAAATCTGATTTCACTTAACTTAAAGCCCCTGTGGGGATTTTGTTTGTTTTTTAGGGTGACGCAGACTTACGATGCAGGTGCTTGTATCTACTTCTATTTTGCCTTTAACTACAGGGGAATTAGTGACCCACTGACCGTATTTGAACAAACTGAGGTAATTTTGCATACCTGCATATAGCTTTTACAGCTGTTGATTAATTTCAATAAATTTTACTGTCAATTTATGAATTTTAAGTTGAGTCTCTTTAATCACACATGGTTTGCCTAGCTGTTAGCCCTTAGAAATGAAAAGCATATTTGTTTCCCTGGCTTATGTACTGAATTGTGAGTCTAAAATTAAGGTACTGTACACCTAGTCTGTGATTCTTCAGTTGTTACAGTACATAATAGCTGATTAAATTAAATAACAATTAGGAATTCATTAAATTAAATAACTATATAGGAATCTTAGATATCACTTTCACAGCCCACTCATTTCCACATGGTGGTTGCTGTTGAGGTCAGCAGCCCTAATGCCCTTGGTCTGTGTTGTTGTAATGTCATTCTAGATTTGTAATTTTTTTATATGCTATAGCTGTAAGTGGGTGCTTTGGGTTCATTAGCTAGCAGTTTCTATTACTTTCTTAAAGAGTGTCAAACTGTTTATTTTTATAAAGCTTTCTCTTGATAACCAATATTTCTCCTTATGAGTACGCCTAAACAGACTAGAGTGTGGAGGATCCTGTAGGAAGCTGAGGTTTCTTAAAAACTCAGGTGTTCTACTGTTTTAACTGCATTGCACACCTGCTAAAGCTAATTTCAGTAGCACACTTTTAGACCCAAACTATAGAAAGGGTTTGGTTGGCTTCCTCCTATGCCTCCTCTTTTTTTTTTAAGCAGCTTTTTTGAAGTACAATTCAAGTACAGTAAGCTGTATATATTTAATGTGTACAGTTTTGACATATGTATACACCTGTGAAACCATCACCCCAGTCAGAATAATATCATTCCCAAAAGTCTGAGTACTTTTTTGTCACTTTAGCCTTTCACTGCTTCAGTGTTGCCCTCTGGCTACCCAAATGTCCCTTCTGTACAGTACCACAGAGTGAAATTATTCCTTCTTTCTCAGTCCAAACTGCTGGTCTCTAAGTGCTACTGATCTCAAGTAGCTATTGCTTAATTTAAAGTAATTTGTTAGAGGATATAAATTCTTAGAGCAGGGGAGGGCATATGTATGATTCATTCGGAAAACCCTAAGTAATGAGGGTTTTTTGGAGATGAAGTCTCACTCTGTTGCCCAGGCTGGAGTGCAGTGGCGTGATCTCGGCTCACTGCAACCTCTGCCTCCCGGGTTCAAGCGATTCTCCTGTCTCAGCCTCCTGAGTAGCTGGGATTACTTACAGGCGTGCACCACCATGCCTGGCTAATTTTTTGTATTTTTAGTAGAGACAGGGTTTCACCAGTTGGCCAGGCTGGTCTCAAACTCCTGACCTCAAGTGATCCACCCACCTTGGCCTCCCAAAGTGCTGGGATTACAAGCGTGAGCTACCGCACACAGCCGAGGGTTCTTATAGATTACTTTGCAGTGGGATGTGGTCCGTCTGTCCCACCTGGGCCCTCTCCTACCCTGGCCTAACTCCTGATAGTTTATACATACACAACTGAGTAATTTTGAGAGGCCCAAGGTACTATAGATATTTTACCTCGTAGCCATTATATATTCACGAATCATTAGGAACTGAAGGCAATTCCAGTTTCTGTCATCCTTTTTTACAGTGCTCTTTAGTCATTCTATATTTTGTTACAAGTGTTTATCTTTTCCTACCTGTGTCCTCTATAAGGAGCTTGGTTAGGACCTTACATATTAGGGTAAAACGAGGTTTTTCTTTTCACTCTTAGGTATCCATAAGACTGACAAGTAATTTATCCCAAGTCATTGACCTAAGAAGTGTTCTCCATAAAGGCATTTATGGTTGATTTCTAATAGGTTTAATAAAGACTCTAATAGCTTTATAACTCTGATGCCCACTATATGATATTAGGCAAATAATTTAACCTATCTAAGCCTTATTTTATCTGTGAAATGGGAGTAATTGTAGTTATTTCATAAAGCTATACTGAAAATAAGATACTGCAGGCAAATTACTTGGAACTTTTCTGGTACACTTATAGGAAGCAGTCAGTAAATTTTAGTCACTTTGTTGGTATAATGAGAGATGTTCGTTACTAAGTAGAACCTGACTCTACATTTACAACTTTGCAGTTATTAATATTATTAACAATTTAGTGTGCTGAATGGTCATTTTGTCTTTTTTCCCTAGAATCTCAAAGTGATCTTTAGACATTGTGACTATTCACTAGAAAAAAACTTATGAAGCTAGGCTACTTATTTAATTGCTTTTTAAACACATTTGACCAAAAGAGAGGAAAGTTAGGCTTCTAGTTTATTATTTAACCCAGGAAACATGTGCCTTCTTTGGGAGTTGGGTCTTTTTCTTTCACTGCAAAATGAAATCTAACTAGCAACAATTTGTTGTGTTGTTTCCAAATACAGGCAGCTGCTAGAGAAGAAATCCTTGCTAATGGAGGGAGCCTGTCACATCACCATGGAGGTATTCTTTTTTGGGAGTAGAATTTCTAATATTCTTACTTTAAAAAATATTCAGTTCAGTAAAATGCTAGGGAGAGACATGGTATGAATAATATGAGAGTACTTGAGGTTTCTTTAAAGTTTCTATGTCTTTGAAATAGCTGTTACTGAGGTAGATAGTTAGGTTGTGGTAGTAGCCACTAGAAGCTTACTTTGACACGCCTGCCTAGAAATGGAGCCCAGGCAACCTTCTGAGGTCTCAGGGACCTCATGTTATCAGAGAATAGCCCAGCTTGCCTGGGAGGTACTTGACCATTACAGCAAACGTTTTTAAAGGATGATGGGGAAGAAAACCTACATAAATGTTTTTCAGCCACTATCGGAATGTAGCTGGTCATCAGTTATATAATATATTGAAGGGCTGTTTGTTCTGCCCACCCAAAGCTCAGCAAATTAATCAAGACAGGATATGAGAAAAATCTTTTTTCAAGGTTTTAATGCTGTTTTGTTATTACTTAGTGGTCATTTTGGTAAGTATCGAGTGTTGTCAGAATTTATCACATCACCAATAAAAATTATTACAATATGTCTATCTTTGTTACTAGCATGCTTATGAAAATAATGAGGCAACCCTTTAAAACTTAAACAATGGCCATTCTGTTATTAAAATGGCAATGTTTGAGGTTATCCACTTGTTCTGTAGAATAGAAATTTGTTCTTAATATATCCCTCAATATAATTTGATGCCTAGGAAAATAGAAATGTGTAGATTTTTAAATAGTTTTTAGGAAGCACAGTGACAATAACCACCTAATTTAAAAATTCAACTGCTCTGGACTCCTTATATCCTTTTTTTTCCTGTTTAATTTTCATTCATAGCACTTATTATTATCTAATATGCTGTATATTTGTACTTTTTAAAATTTTGTCTTCCTACTGCAAAGTGAGAATCCATGAGGACAGGAATTCTAGTTTTGTTTGTTGCTATATGGTAGCACCTAGAACAGTGCTTAGCCCCAGTCAGCCCTCCATACATTGATGCAGAATGAATGAAAGAATTCTGTTGGAAAAGGAGTGGACTATGGAAGGTGTGTGTCCATATCATATTCTTACAGCAAGGTCTGGAAAAGATTGCTAATGTTGATGAATAAAGTAGCTCCCAACGTCATTGTGTCAATTTAATCTTTTGCTATACTT
Organism: Homo sapiens; assembly: GCF_000001405.40. Classification (NCBI taxonomy): domain Eukaryota; kingdom Metazoa; phylum Chordata; class Mammalia; order Primates; family Hominidae; genus Homo; species Homo sapiens. Next base: position 177,524,981 of record NC_000002.12, read on the forward strand.
TTCTCTTAACCCCCACAAATGAATTCTTAACTTAGCCAATAGCATTGAAGATAATATGCTCCTCTCTCCTTTTTCTATTTATTATCCTTTCATTTGATGGTGGTTCTCATGAATGCTAGCATAACAAAAATGGAAAAGGGAGGGAAATGAATATTAGAAACCTCTCAAGTGGAATTAAAAGCTTCCGATTACTCTAAAAGTCCAAACCTAATTTTGGAAATTTGAATGAGGAGTTACTTAAAGATACTTAGATTTTAGCACCTTCCTGTAAAATTTTCAGAAAGCCATATACATTATTTTAAATATTTTTTATTCTGTTTCAAAATGACACTGTATTAATATTCAGGGAACTTTAATATATATAAATATATCATGAATTATTCGTTTGTTTTTTGTCTAAATTGATTACATGGGACAGAGGAAGCGAAATGATTTAGCCATAATTACTTGTTTGAAGAAAAATTAAAACTTTCCCAGTGTAGCCAACAAATTTGCCCTTTGGTATGTGTCAGCAGCCAATAGTTTACTTTCTCTTTTAAAATCAAGAAATGTGGTTTCTGTGTTTATAATGGTAAATATGGGGGAGAAGTGATTCTGCAAGAGGGTGAGAGCAGCTGAATCATATATATAACAAGGAAATAGAGGCTTAATTGTCTTTAGGTAATTGGTTATTAGATGAGCTGTTTCCTTAATTGTGGGATGATGTTCTCAGTTTATTCAGTCTTTATACAGTGTCAGAAATTCTCTAGAAGTTGGAAATGACCAAATGACTGCATGCATTACAGAGGAAAACCAAACCAACAGTTTTTTCCTCGGCCAGTGACTCTGCTTCTTTAGGGTCTATGAGGAAATTCAAGTCCCTCTAATAGTGTCTATTTGTAAGATGCAGAAAGTGTAATATGGCAGAACTGCTGATTTTACTTATTCAGATGTACCCCAGACACTGAGAGCTTCTTGGTAGGCTCTAACAGAGTCTGTGTAAACATACTTGAAATAATATATTCATAAAGCTGTCATTACAGAAAAAAGGAAATATGCACAAATATAAAATAATAGAATTAACCAACTCTAGTGCAAATCTGTTTGAAACCTGGATTTCATTTGTGAGAGCTATGGTAATAGTCCATTATAGTAATCAATTCACAGAAATAAAAGTTAATTAACAAATAGTTAGAAAATGTTAATTTATAAGATCATGTTTATTCAATTCTTGATCACAAAGCAAATAATGTAAATAGCTTCTTGTCTTTTTTTTTTTTTTTTTTTTGATACTGAGTCTCACTTTATCACCCAGGCTGGAGTGCAGCGGTGCGATCTCAGCTCACTGCAACCACTGCCTCCCAGGTTCAAGTGATTCTCATGCCTCAGCCTTCTGAGTAGCTGGGATTACAGGCATGCGCCACAATTCATGGCTAATTCTTGTATTTTTAGTAGAGACGGGTTTTCACCATGTTGGCCAGGCTGGTCTCGAACTCCTGATCTCAGATGATCCGCCCACCTCAGCCTCCCAAAGTGCTTGTTATATTTTTTGATACAAAGTATGCTTAATACCTTTTAATGTTGTATAATCTGTTTTCCATATTATAAGTACTACTGGTCTACTAGGCAATATGGTTTCAAAGAATGGCAGTCCTTCCCGTGAAGGGCCTTATAGTCCAGTAGAATAAAATATTATACCATTTCAAAAGCTACTGACAAAAACTGATGGGATTATATTATTGCTACTTTAAGGTAAGAGTCTGCCCTTTTCTTTGAAGAGCATTCAAAAGATGCCTTTAATAAACATGTAAATGCTATAGATGCTGAAACAGTGAAGAGAAAGGGGATAGAATAAAGGAAAAGAATTAACATTTATAAAGCTGTGAATATTTGCCTAGGTGTTCTGCATACTTAACCTCTTTTAATTCTGCTTAATGCAGTGGAATAGATATTATTCCTGTCTTTCACATGAAGATGCTAAGGTTCTGAATATAAAGTAACTGGCCCAAAAATCAGTAATAATTGTTAGTGCCAGAATTTGAATTTGAACTCAGGTCTTCCTGCCTCAGTATCCTTGTCCTCTTAATTAAAAGCCTAAAATGTCTGGAATGAGTAAAATCTAAAAAGATTGAAAATGACAGGCTTTGAGAAGAGACATGTAATTAATTTTTTTTTAAATGTATATGGGCTGGGCATGGGGGCTCACACCTGTAATCCCAACACTTTGGGAGGCCTAGGCGGGTGGATTGCTTAAGCTCAGGAGTTCGAGACCAGTCTGGGCAACATGGCAAAACCCCATCTCTACAAAAAATACAAAACTTAGCTGGGCATGGTAGCATGTACCTGTAATCCCAGCTACTCAGGAGGCTGAGGTAGGAGGATTGCTTGACCCTGGGAGGTTGAGGTTGCAGTGAGCCATGATCACATCATTGCACTCCAGCCTGGGTGACAGAGCAAGTCCCTGTCTCAATCAATCAATAAAAGGAAAATAAATATTATACATTACTATTTTTATTTTAAAATATAAAATCTGTTTCTTTAGTGAATTAAAATTTTAATTTCCTCATCATAGATATTTTTATTGTTTTCTCAGTTCTTTCCCATAAGTCAATTTTACTTTCTGGTTGCTTTTATACTTCCTGATAGTAGGTTCCTAACATGTCAGCAGTATCAGGTAATAGAACAAATGGCGGTCATATCATGTTACATTAAAGCTATGTGTATAAGTTATGTGCATTTTTCAGGTTCTAGGTTTATAGGCCTTCTTTTATTGAAGACTCCCAATTTGGTGAAATAATTTATTTTTTAGGAATTATTGGGTTGAAGTTGAATCTAGCAACGTTTGATGGCATATTAATTTATTTAGAGGTTTTGCCTCATTTAAATAGAAATCTTTTATGTCTATCCTATTTCTTGTATTTTTATTTTCTATGTGGTCAAAATATGACCGCATGGAAACAGACTCTGAAATACCTGGTTTTCTCTAGTGCTTAGAAAAAGAAACTTTGATAAGTCTGAATACAAAACATACTTTAGGTATGCTGATAAAATGAAGATGCTTTCCCTTTTCTATTTTTTTTCTCTTCTAAATTGCTAAATATTGGAGTCTTCCAGGGCTCAGCCCTCAGACCTTCATTTCTCTATATTCACTCATTTATTTGATGATTATCTCAAGTTTCACAATTTAAAAGACCATCTGTATGCTAACTCCCAGATATCAAAAGATAACACCTCTATACCACTACCCTAGTTGCAATCACTATTTTCTGCAGTAGCCTCCTAACTGGTCTTTCTTCCACTCTGCTACTGTATTCTCATTTCTCTTGCTGCTCGATTAATCTGTTAAAAAAATCAATGGTTTCTTCTCACATTCAGAACAAAATGAAAACTCCTTATCATGACCTTCAAGGATACATTGTATATCACTCTGTCCTCAGCTTTGATTACTTTGTACCTCTAGCAGCATTGGCCTTCTTGCTATTCCTCAGACATACTAATCCCTTTTCCCATTCAAGGCCTTTGCTGTTTGTTCCCTCTTTTTATAATGTTCTTTCTTTTGTCCTCTCCTTCAGATATTTGCATGACTCACTTTCTACCATTGTTTAGGTCTCTAATAAAAATGTCACCTTCTTAGAGGGATCTTCCCTGTCCTCTTGTGTAGTTTCTGTAATCCCCATTTGAATTAAATTTATTGAGGTTAATGACTTTATCTTGTTTGTCACTGTATTTCTCACTCCCTAAACAGTGACTGGCTGCTCTACATAGTTCAACATCATAAATGCTCAATGAATATGTTAAATGAGTGGATAAGTGCATGCCCAAATAAATGCTCACAGAATTTGAGCAGTTTTGCAAATTCTCAAATAGCTCTGAATCTTGCATATTAATCCTTTTTTTTTTTTTTTTTTTTTTTGAGATGGAGTTTCACTCTTGTTGCCCAGGCTGGAGTGCAATGGTGTGATCTCCACTCACTGCAACCTCTGCCTCCCGGGTTCAAGCTATTCTCCTGCCTCAGCCTCCCGAGTAGCTGGGATTACAGGCTCCCGCCACCACACCCAGCTAATTTTTTGTATTTTTAGTAGAGACGGGGTTTCACCATGTTGGCCAGGCTGGTCTTGAACTCCTGACCTCAGGTGATCCACCTGTCTCAGCCTCCCAAAGTGCTGGGATTACAGGCATGAGCCACCACTCCCGGCCGCATATTATTCTTTTATATTAGAACAGCAGTAGTTGGCTGTGGTTCACACCTGCATTCCAAACACTTTGGGAGGCCCAGGCAGAAAGAGTGCTTGAGCCCAGGAGTTTGAGACAGTCTGCGCAACATAGCAAGACTCTATCTCTACAAAAACTAAGAAAAAAAACTAGCTCACTGTGGTGGCACATGCCTATAGTCCTAACTACTTGGGAAGCTGGGGCGGGAAGATGGCTTGAGCCCAGGAGGTTAAGGTTGCAGTGAGCTGGCATCGCACCACTGCACTCCAGCATGGGTGATAGAGAGTAAGATCCTGTCTCTTAAAAAAAAAGAAAAGAAAAAAGGCAGTAGTCTTGTAGTTAATTTAGCTTAACATTTGGTAACTAGGCCTAAATATTGAATAGAGGGTCATATTTAGTCATAGAAAGTCTCAGTTTATTCTCTAATATTTCTGGGAAAGCATATTAGCAGAGTGAGTTAGTTATTCACTGGAGAAGTAGGGTAAAATAATGTGCATTTTTCTGCAACTCCATACCACCAACCATTTAGTGTTCTTCCATAAATGCATTAAGTATGTAAGGTTTCATTCGAACTTTTTGTCTTAAAACCAATATAAATTTGAGTGGCTGAACAACAGAGGGGAAATAATGTAGGCTATGGAATCAAATCTATATTGGATTCCTGGTTTTGCATTTAACTGTGTGACCTTAGGGAAATAATTTCTCTGACTTACACTTTCCTCACCTGCAAAATGGGAATAATGGTACCTGTCTCATATGTTTATTGCAACACTTAACGTGTTAATCTATGTAAAACATCTAAATGCCTTACATTTAGTAAGTGCTTAAAAAACAATAGTTTTGTTTGTTTGTTTGTTTGTTTTTAATAATAGCAATAAACAGCACCAGGTGGCAATCTGTTTGGCACTCTTGCCTTAACCATTAAAGAAAGGATTACAGTGTATTTGAGAAAGATCCATACATTCAAGGGATATGATTCAACAATAGTTTTAACACTTCATTTATAAACTACAGTTGATCTCACCCTATAGGAAAGTTTCTTACAATCAGCATGAAAGAAAAATAAATTTCCTTCACAGTATTGGCTATGAAATTTGCTATCGAAGAATGTTATTTTCATAATAGCTTTTCTGTTTATAGGTAATCATATAATTTGTGTATTTCAAATGCCTGCTGCTATTCAGTATAATTGCATAAAGCAGAAACCTTTTCAACATAAATTTTAAATAATGTTTTTAGTTACCTTACTAAACTTATTCAATGCTAGAGCTTTTGAGAGATCACTTATTTTTATGTATAGAAAAGATTTTTCTTGATTTGCACCCTGAACTTAAAACTCAAGTTGAACTCATAGTAGCGTCTTTATTTACTGACCTTCAGGCAGTGTCATGACACTCTCAGTACCACTTTTGAGTTCCAGAGTAAAAGGGCCAGGGGTTGGGAGAATATTGATGCAATTTCTCTTAGAGGGTTTGGCCTGTAATTGTGATTAATAACAGTTGCTTTCACTATCTGGCAACAGGCTGGTTTGTCTGCCTACAATCATGCTGTGATAAATGGAGCTATGTTAACTCTGGTTTTGTGTATCAGAGAAAACAGATGTAGTCTGGAACTGGAGGCTATAGGAAATATAAAGCCTACTTAACTTAATCTTCATAGTGCTTGTTTTTGTAACTGATGAGCTGGTCAGTTTCAATAGCAAAGTTTATGTCAGCCATGTATTTAATTTCAATTTATGACTTAAGTTTTTAAGTTGTTCATTTGCTAAAATCATACCTAAGTCCTTGTCAGGAAGTTAAAAACCTTGATTAAGTATAACCAGCCTTAGTTTAAATATTGATTTTTTTTACCTAACCAAAATTACTCCCTATTATAATTATAGGGCAGCTGCTGTTACCTTTTTTTGGTAGTCTTACCAGAATCTAATAGTATTAGAAACTTTAAAAGTAAAAGGAAACTACTCAAAGAAGCTGAACAAAAAAATCAGTTTAGGGCCATTTGTTAATTTGTAGTGTGAAACAAAAGGCATATAGATTGGAAAGGAGGAAGTATAACTATCCCTATTTGTAGGTGCCATTATTGACTATATAGAAAATCCCAAAGAATGTACAAAAACAAAGTCAGCAAGATTTCAGGATACAAGATCACACACAAAAATCAATTACATTTCTAAATACTAACAATTAAGCATATAGAAACCAAATCTAAAATATAATACCACTTGCAGTTGTTCCAAAGAAAATGAAATAGGCATAAATCTAGCAAAATATATACCGAATTTGTATTCTGAAAATTACAGAATCTTGATGAAAGAAATCAAAAAAGACCTAAATAAATGAAGAGACATACAGTATTCATGGTTTGGTAGAAAACTCAACATAGTAAAGCTGTCAGTTCTTTCCAAATTGATCTATCTGTTTAGTGCATTTTCTGCCAAAATTTCAGCAAGATGTTTAAATAGATATAGAAAATATTATTCTAAAATTTATATGGTAAGGAGAAGGAACTAGACAGCTAAAACAAATTTGAAAAAATGAATAAAGTAAAAGCAGTCAATCTACCTTATTTCAAGACTTACTATATAGTTACAGTAGTCATGACTGTGTGTTATTGGAGGAGGACACATAGATCAGTGGAACAGAATAGAGAACCCAGAAATAGAGCACACAAATATGCCAAGCTGAGTTTGACGAAAGTACAAAAGCAATCTAGCGGAGGAAGCATAGCTTTTTCAACAAATAGTACTGGGCGGAGGGGGCGGGGGGAAGAACTCTGACCTAAATCTCATACCTATACAAAAATTTAACTCAAAATGAATAATGAACTTAAAAGTAAAACAAAACTATAAAACCTTTAGAAAAATTTAAAGAATATCTTCAGGATCTAGAGCCAGGCAAAGAATTCTTAGACCGGACACTAAAAGTACAATTTATAAAAAATTGATAAACTGGATTTTATCAAAATTAGAAACTTTTGCTCTATGAAGGACTCTGTTAGGATAAAAAGATAGGTTATAGAGTAGGAGAAAATATGTGCAAACCTTATATCCAAGAAAAGACATATCTATTATATATAAATCTCATAGCTCATTAGTAAAAAGCAAATACTTTAATTAGAAAATAGGCAAGAGACATGAAGAAAAATTTCACTGAAGAAGATATACAGATGGCACATAATCACATGAAAAAATGTTCAACATCGTTAGCTATTAGGGAAATGAAAATTAAAGCCACAGGAGATATCACTACACACCTATCAGAATGGCTAAAATAAAAAAATAGTGACAATATCAAATTCTGCCAATGATGCAGAGAAACTGAATCACTCGTACATTGCTTGGGGGAATGTAAAGTGGTACAGCCATTCTGGAAAACAGTTTGGCAGTTTCTTATGAAACTGAACATGTAATCACCACTCAACCCAGCAAATGCACATGTGAGCATTTGTACCAGAGAAATGAAAACTTATGTTCACATAAAAACCTTAACATAAATATTCATAGCAGCTTTATTCATAATAGCATAATAGACCCAAACTGGAAACAGCCCAGATGTCCTTCAGCTGGTGAATGGCTGCCTACACATACTGTGGTACATCCATACCATAGGAATACTACTCAGCAATAAATAAAAACAATGAACTATCGATACATGCAACAACTTGGAATAACTCTCCAGGGAATTATGTTAAGTGAATAAAATCCATCCCAAAAGGTTACATACTGCCTGGTTCTATTTCTATAACATTTTTGAAATGACAAAATCTTAAGAGTAAAAAAAAGATTAGTGATTTCCAAAAGTTGAGGCTGGAGAGGGTGTGACTGTAAACAGCGCAGGGATCCTTAGTTTGATAGAACTGTTCTTGACTATATCAGTGTCAATGTCTTATTCCTTTGATAGCTACCAGATGAGTTTAGCCTTTCCAACACTGAATCTTTATCAGATTACTATAAGATAGAAAATTTGTTTTGCCTTTTAATTTTTTCAGTTTCTTTGACTGGCCTTTTCTAACAAAACGTATATGTTGATTATAATATTTTTCCATTGAAGCAATGTTGTAGTTAGAGTGTAAGAACATACTGTGGAAACCAACTTAACCCACAATTTAACTGAACATTAAACTATTAATATTTCAGCTGTAGCATAGGTTAAACAGATTTGAGAGCTGACAGAAAAATCTGTAGCAAGAAGATACTGATCCCTGCTCCCCACCCCACCATCCCCCCACCCCTGTGTGACTACAGGGGCCAAGCCCAAGACAAAAGGGCCAGGGACAACATTGTGTTGGCTGTCTCTTACCACATGCTGTACCTTTAGTAGCTTCTAGCCTCAGGTATATCACCAGGAGAGTGAGTATAGGTGGCTTGGATAATATCACTTAGCTTTGGATCTCTAAAGAGAACTTTTTCTCTTTGACAATTTTATGTCTATAACTTAAAAATAATATGTTTGTTAATCTGAGAATGCCTGTATTACATTATTACATTGTTACAGAATACTTTTATAGTTAGTTTCATGTGATTAGCAAACAGTTAATCCTGGGAAGAGGTTGGTTGTCCCCTCTAACACTACTTTCTTACATAATCCAGCAGTAGTTTGGTCAGATTAAATTAAATCTTGAAATACAAAGTCAATGCTCAGATCACTCGTATAAGCAGCTAAGTCTGGGTTTTCTTCTTAAAATCTGACCTATAGAATAGTGCTAAAGAGATATCCAGGATACTCAAACTAGAACTTTCAAAATATAGTTGTTATAATGGTTAGATGCTTTTTGCTTTGGCTGAAGTCTACTTCTGAGCTTCACCTTCAATGATCTTCTAAATGTATGGCCCATTTCATAATTTGTTCTTTTTAATAAGTCTATAATCTTTTTGACTTATAATCAAATGTGTGATTCAAAAAATTAAAATTTAGCTAGAGACCTCTGTGACCAGCAGACGCTGGATTTATCCCTTTTAGATTAGGACTGTTTGGTAGTTTCTGCTAAATCTTCAATCCGTTAAGCCTCAAAGAGTAGTTTCAGATAATTTTTGGTGGCCAGATTGGCCTCCATGTCCACATTTTCCATGTACATCATTTTATCTCTTATACCTTGCGTACATGTCTGTTCATTCATTTATGCTGTTGATCATACCACAACTTCTTTCTTGCATTCTTTCTTGAATCTCTTAGCATCCAGGGGAATAGTGAGCCTGTAATTTGAAAAACTGTACTTGAAAGTTTTCATATTCTCTGTTCCAAAAGTAAAGTTTTAAAAATGTACTATGTGTTGTGGAAGAATACACACAACTTGTTTGATCCAGTCTCTATATACATTATTAGAAATTAAATTGTAAAACAGTGAACTCCATTTTTAATTTAAGCACAGCCCCCCACCCCCCGCCCCATTAGTTTTCTTTCTTTTCTTTTCTTTTTTGTTTCTTTTTTTTTTGTGAGCTATGGAGTCTCGCTCTGTCACCTGGGCTAGAATGCAGTGGCATGATCTGGACTCACTGCAGCCTCAAACTTCTGAGCTCAAGTTCTCCTTCCGCCCAATCTCCTGAGTAGCTGAGACTGCAGATGCGTGCCGCCACATCCAGCTTATTTTTTATTTTTTTATTTTTATTTTTTTAGAAATGGGGTCTCACTATGTTACCCAGGCTGGTCTTGAACTCCTGGGCTTAAATGATCTTCCCACCTCAGCCTCCCAAAATGTTGGGATTACAAGCATGAGTCACTGTGCCTGGCCTAGTTTTCTGTAATATTCAGTATTTGGCCCATCTTTTTTATGTCTTATAAAATACATCTAAATACTTAAGTACTTAAGGAATCATATATTTAGAATAATAGAGAATTATGGAATGCAAGGTACTTATCTTGTTTTCAGAGATGGTGATCTTGGCTTTTTGTAGCTCTAGTGTTGACTCTCAGGCTAGATTTATACTTCTAGAGCATCAGAAGTCAAAGGAATATGTTGGGTCAGTAGCTATGAATATCCCACATCAGATGATTCAGGTCTAAAAAAGAAGAATAGGCTTTATGTGGTATGTGTACACATGCCTTTCAGTAGATAACTATCACATACAAGGTAAATTGAAATAGTTTTAGGCCACCTGTTATTTGCTGTCTTCAGTAATTCATTTTCCCTTCCTTTAATATGGTGTGCTACATAAGGGACAGAGTATAATTTCTTCCCTTTCTGAAAATGAGCTTTACAGGTGTTTAATAAGGAACTGCTATATAGTTGTATACCCATGTGTGTTAACATGGGTACAGATCAGTATGGTCAGCTAATTTCTGAATGCCCAGCAGTACAACTAAGAATTGTACAAAGGGCATTATTAGTGGTGGTGTTTAGCTCTGGAATAAAAATCTTGTACTTTGAAGTGTGTTTCTTCTCCAAGATTAAGGCCTGTGGTGTTTGTTGTTTTATTGATCCATGTGGGGTAACTACATAAGGTTCTCCAGAATCTCAAGAAGACTCCAATAATTGTCTTGTTGTTAAGGCATATTGAACGTTTTTGTTTGAATGTGTTTTCTACCTGTATATGTATCCTGTGAAGTAGTTGACTTAAATTGTTAAACAAAGCCAAAGATTTCTAGTACCTTTAATTGCATAAACCAAGATTTCTGACCCCATTTCAAATTCTGTTATCAGTGGCAGAAGAAGTGCCAGACCTCTGCCACGAAGGGGTTAAATGCTTTTATCAAATGTGTTTATGAGGGGCCACAGCTTTGTTGGCCGTACTGCCCTTTTTTTTTTTCTACTTTCTACTTCACTAATCAAATGTATATTAGATTGATTATTGTAAAAGTATAAACCATAGAAAATTTGACAAGATAGATGTGTAAATTATCCTTCTGACAGAAGTAATGATGCACTCCAAGCACCTTCTGTTTTCCAGCGCTTGGTGAGTGACTTCATTAAATATGCAATGGCTGTTGGGTGGCTTCTCAGACGATGGTTCAGTTCCTTGTGGAATTGCATTATTACTAGAGGTGTAAAACCAGGCAGACAAGCTAGCTGTTGGGCATCCTGCTGAGGTTCTAATGTGCTCCATCTTGTTGGAGCAGTTGTTTGCAGTCTTTTCAGGACAATTACATCCATAACCACAGGATACATTCAGTGAAACTGTATTACAGATAACAGTGGAGACTGGTATTCACTGCTCGTCACCCCTCTCTCTCTTCAGCTGCCTCAGTGTGGGCAGCTTATAGTAGTATGGTAAAGCCCCTTTTACCATTCACAGAGTAGTTGTTTAAAAAAAAAAAAATCCTGTGGAGCAAATCTGGAAAAAACTGATTTTTAACTTTTTTAAAAAGTGCTTAAAATCATAGAATATTAGAGTTGAAGAGACCTTATAAAGTCTAATCCATTTGCAAGTGAAAAAACAGGCTGAATCATAGTCATGGGCAGTCCCTTAGGAGATAATAGAAGGTCCTGGTAGAATATCTTTTAGGTGGTAGAGATTGCAGGAATAGGGATTTATTTACTCTTAGCTTCTGGTTTTAGAGCTATCTCAAACAAAATTTTTCATTTTGAATTTAAGGTTTTTTTTCTGCTGAACTTCATTTCCCCCCGTCTTAATACCAGCAATACCTTTTTATTTCTGAAAGCCAAGCAGATAATTTGCTTTCTGAGATTATCACAGTATTTATTATTTTGATGACAATTTGATGGTTTCTTAGAGAACTGGACACAAAAGATGGTTTTAGTTGAGCTCGAAATGGTATTTAAGGTTTCCAAAAGGCAGATGCTATGATGTATCACTATAGCCTAATAAATGGGAATGCATTATAGAATGACAGGCTGAATACTTTAATGAAAGAAGGTTTCCCATTTCAGTTGGTCAATTAAATCACTGTTGATGACTTTGGATCATTAATGAACATTTGTAGAAAATGACCGTTTGAATTCAATTAGTATGATAATAGGTTTTTTGGAGAAGTACAAGTACAAATAATCCTAACTGTAAATTAAAAGATTTATCCATTTTGCCACAGATAAGTTAGCATATTGCTTGCTTTTTAATACCAGAGCAAACTGACATTTCAGAATTCTTTTACAGATTAAGTACATATTCTTTCTTACAAAAGTTCTACTTACAAAAGGTTATGTTTTTCATTGAGTACCTTTTGAAATATAATTTATGCTGCTAACCATTATGTTACTTCACTATTCTCAGAACAAATTAGCAAGACCTAGAAACAAAAAAAGGGAACTTTGTACAGTATGTAAAAGCAAAAGATTAAGTTTACGATGGATTAGGTATTTGATTTATTTAATGCCTTAGGAAAAAAATTCTAAATCTGGAAAAACAGTAGGAAGAAAGTAACCATTATTTGGGAACATGCAAATTTATTTAAAAGTACTGTGAAAAGAAAATGTAAATAGAAGCTTAATAGCCAGAATTTTTTCTTGAGCCTATTAAAGTTTCAAATTTTCTTATTATTTGAAGCCTTTATGTTCGTTAAAATATTTTAAGGATATATATCCTGTCATTTTTGCTGAATTTACCCAACAAATTCGTCTCAATGTGATGTTTTTCTTTAGTTAACTTCATTTTCTCTAAAACTTGGGTGTGTTTTGGTAGTTAAGGCAGAGGTGGGTTCTTTCGAAATGCACGTTTTTCTCATTTTGTTATTTGTAAAATGGGCTATAATCTCTGTCCAAGCTTCCTTCAATCTCCATTTCATAGTTTACAGAGAAAGGAGACACTGTGGAGCACAGACTTCCCCTGGGAATACATTGGGCTTAATGAGCTTGATAGTCTGGTGGGCTCAATAAATCAAATAAAGCAAAACATTTCTCATTTTTGAATAAAAGCATTTATCACACAGTGTTTGTTCACTCATGGTCACAAGATTGATTGGTTCCCAGTATCATAGCATATATTGAAGCATTTTTGATTTTGTTTTTCCAGTGGGCAAGTTACGGAAGCAATGGCTAAAGGAAAGTATCTCTGATGTCGGCTTTGGGATGCTGAAGTCTGTCAAGGAATATGTGGACCCCAATAACATCTTTGGAAACAGAAACCTTTTATAAATCCATTAGTACCATTACAAAAAAATGTCAATTTTTTTTTTAAGTTTTCAACTGTGGTTATACTAGTAATCAAATATATCATGGACTATATTTTGGATACATTTGTTTCTTTGGTTTAAAATAAGTTTGTTTTCATTCTGTAGTTTGTTTTGTTTCTACATCTATGGATTGACAGATAGTATTCCTAAATCTCTCTCATTGTAGGTACATCATTTTACATTCAGCGGTTGTCATTTCAAATTTTAGTCAGGCAGCACAAAGCTGTCAATTATTCCAGAGGAAGCTGCTGCCAGCTGTTTTGTATTGTTGCTTCCTCTTGGGGAACAAAGACAGATTTGGTATCATTGATTGCTCAGCTAGCCTCTTTTTAAAAGAACGTTTCTGGGAATCAGATGTCTAGGGAAGGATTCCACTGAGGAGTGATACACGTGTACATTGTTTAAGAGCATAGTCTAGTGTGAGTAGGCCATTAAGGGGAAGGATATTCATGAAAGAATTTAGGCAACCTGTTATTTAGAAAGCCTTCACGTCTGTAAGGTGCTTGGCCTACTTTTTTTTTTAAATTAGTATACATGCATAAAACCTTGTATCATCAATATACAAATTATTCTGTTAGGGGACATGTTTTTGTTCTCCATGTTTCTGTTTCTATTGTGGTATGAGTTGTATTTGTATCACTGAGATAACCTATTGTTATATTCTAATTCATTGATAATATGTTTTGTAAGAAAAGCTGACATCCTTCATTGCAAGTGAAGAACAGGTTTACCATGAAATGAATGCCTTTATTCAACTTAGAGTCCTAATGTTTCTGATTTCACATTCTTGTTGCTGAAATGCAGAAGAAACAGCTACAGCAAGAGCAGAAGGAAAACTCTTAGACTTAATGTCTCCAATTGCAAGAATTGTTTCACTAAAGAAACAGTCATCATTCAACTACTGAATTTGAAAGCCTCAGCAGTTTCAATGACAAAAATCATTTTTGATTTTTTAAAATTAATCCCAATGGCATGATAAATTTTCATATAAAAAGTAAAGTTTCAATTTAGTTTTTAATAATGGTTTAATGCCTTTTTTGAATAACTGGTTTAACCTAATTTTTTTTAAATGTAATGTATTAATGCATATACCATAATCAAAAGTTTGAAATATCCTGTTTCTTAAATAATGAGAACATTAATCACATTTAGCAAGCATTTGTACATTCAAACCTGGATATTAAAGTGAAATGATTACTTTGAATCACTGTCTGCCAAGGTTCATGATTCACATTTTGAGATGGATTCTTTTCTTAATGCAATACCTAACTTTTGATAATTTTTTAAAACTAATATTTGATCAGATAATGTAAGTCAAAATGCAGACGATCCTTTAAAAGGATGCATTGTCTGTGTATGTAGCAACAGCTCCAAAGTATTTTTGGGCAGTTTGATACCTTTTATATCTGAAGTAGCCTTAACCAGAAAAATGGTAATTTAAAATTGACAAAATGATATTTTTAAGACTTCAAAATGATAAATAATTTTTAACTATTAAAATTGGCCTCAAACTAATAAATCTGTAATTAAATTAGAATTAAATATCAGTTTAACAACAAAATGAAATATTTATTTTTTAGAAGCTGCCTCTCTTCATTGGTCATTTATTTTTAATTATAAAATTTCCAACAGATCTTTGCTTTAAGCCCTTGATATTTGACCTAGTTGGACACTTGATGAGGAAGTTGCCTCTAGAATTATAAAAATCTCAGCTTTATAAAATGCATCTGTTCACGAAGGTAATTTCTTTAATTGGTGATCAAAATATAAAATTAAGGTACTAATGTCTCACTGGAAGTATATATATATATATATATATATGTATGCATGTGTGTGTGTGTATATATATATATATATATATGTATATGTTTCTGAGTAATTTTTAAAAAATAAAACAGGTTAATAAGAAGATCCATTCCTTTGCATGTGATTGTTATAACATTCTTTCCCAGGGAGTTCAATTTCAGCAACCTCAGAAATCCATACTTGATATTAGGAAACTGTAAATGTAACACCTGAAATTATTATGTTCACTATTCTACATGAACCTTATGGAAATTCATGATTTATGTCTTTGTTTTTCTTTTTCCAAGTATATGCAGGACTCCCCAACCTTGATTTTATAATGGTGACTGCATTTTGTAGGTGGAATCATTTCTACCGAAATCATTTTGAAACACAAGAATATTGATCAGTACTGTTTCACTCTGATTTAGTAAATCAGAAAGCCTCCCCCTACCCCCAGCCCCCACTTTCACATACCTTCTGGGAGGTGCCTCAGTATAGACTTGGTATCTGTGAAGGACTGAGTTCATGAATATGCACAGAAGCACTTAAACCATGCCTCTTATTTCTATAATATCTGAAAATGGCTTCATAAAAGTTAAGTCAGGAGAACACTGTTTACATGACACTTCTTAACTCATTTTTAATGTTTATTTTTAATTTCAAAAACTTGTTGCCTATTTGGTTTTCAGTACTGCATAACACTGACTTTCTTAAATTAGTCATAGTTGCAATAATTTACTTAAATTTGGTAATGTCACATTTGGGTTGGGGTTTCAGTGGGAATAGTAACTTGCCGCTAGTGAGAAATGGCATTGAATACTAAAGACTCAATATGAACAGGCTTTATAGACCCTTAGAGAAACTGTTGCCTTAATGTTTGGTGCAATTTCTAGTAGTGCATAAGTGAATTTAGTCTTATGATAAGTAACTTTGAGCTGTTTTTAGCTTAGTAAGAATTGTGGAAACCACATGTTTATTGTGCCCATCATTTTACACAAAGAAAAGAGGATTATATTATTTCTTCTAAGGAAGTAGGAGTTTTCTTCCTAAAAGTGCTTACATATTGTAGTACTATTACTTAAAAGTTATTTATGAAGTTGGGAGCCTTCTAGTTTGCCTGTGTTGATGTATTTTGAAAACAAAATTGCAATAAAGGATGAGCTTCCATCGGTGTGTATGGTATACCAGATACAGATGGTTGCAAGGAAACCTTTTCCCCCACTAGAATAGTCTATTAGTAACTGCTAAGTCCTAGCTTGCATTTTTGAAAATGCCTTTCTGCATGTTAGCACCCAGACTTTCCTTTGTCATATTCCTTTATAGCTACAACTTAACTGTAGCTTATCAGAGAAGCTCTGTAGTCCTACACTGAAGTGTGTTCCCTTGGCTGTTCATATGGGGCTGGGTTTGGTTGAACTTCCATTCTGTATAAATGCTAGAACACAGTTACTACAGATTGATTCACAAACTGCATGTGCTGGTGCTTGAGGCAGCCAAAATGGAATGCTGTGGAAAGCATATCTATATCTTAAAAAACACTCAGACAGGAGTTAAGGACAGCTTTAATAATTTTTTTGTTTACCACTTAATCTTTATCAACTTTGATTTTAGTTAGGGCTTAGCTCATGGTTGAAGAAAAGTGGAAAATAACAAGTGCCCATTTAGGTTTGAAGAATCCAGAATGTTTTACCTTTGACTTTATGAGTTATAGAAGCTTGGCTTTGCTCTAGGCTTCATGTTCCCAAATGAGCCATCTGTCAGTATATTCACTTAATTCTTACTAATTTCAGTTTCCTGTAAAGGAAACAACTTACATATTGATGCTTAAATCCAGAAAGTGTAAAAGGTTTTCTTAAACTGTTAAAATATAGTGTCTGATATAAAGGATGTAAGTTACTCAGCTTTCTGCTCCCTAAGCCAAACAGTGTTTGTCTTCAGTGTGAAATTTAACTGTAAAAACTACTTGTAATGTCAAGAGATTATAGATCATATTATTAATAAAATGGACCTGGGTCTAATATTTTTTTTCTTCAAAGGGAGTGTGAAGCTGTTTATTCTTTTATTTGCATATGAGTTTTTCTTTTAGTTTTAGTTTTTCATGTTCATATTTCCACTGATTTGAAAACACAAAATTTATTTTTATAATTTTGTTGCTTGTAGCATAATCAAGTGCAAAATCAAGTGCAACCTACTTGTGACTAAATCTCTTTGGATTTATAGCTGAGGATATTGTTAGCTAGGTTTTGTCAATCCCTAATCATTTTTTAAAATCAATGCTGTATTCCCAGGAGGCTTTGAGACTCCTATGAACCTGAAGCACTCCCTTTTGAACCTTGGAAGATCCTCAAAGAGTGAGCACTCTTGTGCTCTTCTAATCATAATTAATTCCTTAACAAATCAGAGTAAGGACCACTGACATATAGAACCCTCAAGCCAAAGAACCATCACAGAATTTAGTAACTTTAGTTCTGTGAACATGAAAAGATTTCTTTTTTGGTTTCCAAAGGAGATTATTTATTTTTCCACAAGGAAAAACATCTTGCAGAGACTCTGAATTCCAAATCTGAGTGAGAAAGAAAAGGAAAAAAATCTGTTTCATGGTGGATTTCTAAGCAACATATATACATGTTTTTAAGACAACCTTTTGTTGGCAGTGTTTTTCCTGAACACCATATGCACCCTAGGAAACATGTTTTTCCTTTAATCTTGTTCACATATCAGAAAAGGACATGAAATGCTCATACTGGCATACAAGTTTCTATAAGTAGTTATTTTTTGAGCTACTTATACTATATCCCCAAAAGCTCACAGTGCCTTGTTGGGATTTTTTTTTTCCATGAACTAGCCATTATTTTAAATGAGTGGGAGAGGGTAAGTCTTTAGACAGAGGTCATTCAGCAGTTCAAGACTATTCCTCTTCAAGAACATGTCAGGAATTAAGCAGTTATATGTGGAAACACTGGTAATTCTTTCCACAGTGTTGTTTTGGATAATCTGTTCTAGTATATTTAACTAATTGTATGGTGGACCTGTACTCTGATACACATCGAATCAGTCAATGGGATTTGTATGTGCTTTTCCTTCCTACATTTTCATTCCTACTGCCCCAACCTAGTAGCCCTAAGTTGTGGCTTGGTGGGTTTGGCATTGAGCCTCAAGACACTCACTACATTCTTTCTGGATGTTTGCTCACAGGCTCCCTGAGGAGCAGAACCTGTGGAGCTGGGGAGTGCGGGTGGTTTCTATTCCTAATATTGTGTGTCAGTCCTTTTTCGTGTGATGGTGCCTTCAGAATAACGAATATTTCTGTTCTGGACAATGATTAAATCTTATGAGAAATATATGTAGGTTATATTAATTCTTGTCCATTTTTGCTAAGCCTGTGAAATACTTTGGCTCTGATACAACTTAACTTGAATAATATCTTATCCTGAGTCTTCCTCCAAGGCAGTACATATTCCTGCCAGGACTGTAGTAATCCTTTGGGAACTACATGTGAGTAAGCACTTGTATGTAAGCCATTATACTGCTGTAACTAATGCATACAAACAATTCTTCTCTTTACATTTATAGTCTAAAAGGGGATATGCAGTGGGAAGGAAAATTCCTGAGAGATTCCAGCATAGCTTTGTCAATTCCGACTGAGCCATACTGTTTTCCACAAGGGCTCAACACATAGTCAGTATTCCGTGCTTTCAGTGTGTGTTCAGATTCTCCTCTTACTGGTTTTCTTAGACTGTATTGTTCTATAAGCAAATGCCCATGTGTGATTTTTAAGATGTGCTGGGGAAAAATAAATCAATACCACAACCACCCATTGTTATAGAAATTGTTGTTTATTTCATATTGGTTCTATTTAACCTTTATTGACAGCATGCTATACTCGGCCAAAACAAACAGGATACACTTTGTGCCCATGAGTACCCTCTCCGGTAGTGAAGGGCATGTGCAGATACTGATTTTATAATGGTGATTTTATATGCAGATATATGCAGATTTTAATGCAGATACTGATTTTATAACATCCCTGCCTGTGGCTCCCACACTGAAAGGAAGGTTGTAGCTGTCTGGGCTCTGAAATGACTGAAGGTCAGACCTGTTGAACTCTGTCTTACATGATACATTTCAGTAATCACTAGCCACACTAAGATTTTAGCTCTTGTATTATATAGTTAAGAAAAGCAATTTTCTACCTGGCTTATGTAAGTTCAGATTGAATTAACCCTAGAAATCATCCCATCTTATTTCTATTTCATCCCATCTGAACATAATTGCTACCTAACATTCCCCAGGCTACAAGCAGATAACTAGTCTTCCTGAACATTTGCTGTGAACAAATGCATATTCATTGCCTTTCCAGGAAGCCTTTTCCAACTTCTGTAATCTTCAAGTATTAGGAGGTTTTTAAATTATTATTAGACTGAAATCTGTGTTCCTCTTCTATCCCTTATACAACTTCTGCCACCTTTAGTCATAAAGAATTGTCCAATTGCTCTGTTGAAGGGCTGCTCTTGAGGTATTTAAAGTCAGGTCTCATGTTCCTCAACACCTTCTCCTATCAACTTTTGCTCCTGTCATTTCTAGACTTTCACCTTCCTAATCTTCCTCACATGTGCCCATTTTACATTTTTACAGTGAGGTGTCTAGGCCTGAAAACAAATCTTCCAGAGTAGTACCAATGCTTCCTCTAGTGTAGTCACTAATAAAAAAGCATTTTTGGTGGGCATTGCTCTGTCAACTCATACTGAATATATGCCATTTACCAAAGATTGTCTTTTCCATGTGACATTTTGGCCGCATCTCCTTGGAGGCTAATTTTTTTAAAGCCCCATTACTTATATTTAGCTTTACTAAAATTTGTATCTTACTGGAGTTAGTTCCATATTTTCAAAATGTTAGGATCTAGATTCTTGCCCAGAATATTTTCTGTGCCGTCAAGCTTCAGGTCATCAGTAAAATTGAGACAAATACTGTCTGGATTTTCATCCAAGTAATGACAGATAATTGGTACATTACAAGGGCCTACCTGACCCATGATTCTGACATTTCATCCATGAAAGAACATTCAGGATTCAGACATCTACACTTTCACTTGACATACAGTTGTCCAACTTATATTTTTACATTTTGGCCACAAATACGCTTTTTATTCAGTTAATCAGCATTTATGTCAGATAAACAAGTAATCATGTTTACTTAACATTTTCTGCTGCCACAGTGAAATCCTGATAAAGCTACTACTACAGTTTCCTGTGCTACCCTATAAGAAAAAGAAATGAAACTTTCCGGCCATCACATTTCCTTTTGCCTATGTTTGGCCTCAGGGGCGTGTCTCTCTTTTTGAAAGACTCAAATCCATTTTCTACTGCATTTTCTGATGTGGTCTGTTGATTGGGCCTGGTATTGCCTGATGGACAAGCTCTGAAATCCACCCTTGCATAGTTTTGCCATGTCCTTTGTACCTCATTGTGCTAACATTAGATAGATGAAGCTGCTCTTCTTTGAAAATGGCAGAATTTTACCACTGTAAAGTAACTTAGAAGATAGGATTCTAAATACAAGAAGCAGTGGATAAGGTTCTATTTTGGACATTTTGGGTGTGATTCATTTTTCTCAATGAACTTCAAGTCACTTTCCCTATTCATTTCTTCTTTTATATAGTGAAAAACTCTGAGGTCCCTTTCAACTCTGTCTCAGTGATTCTAATGAGTCTGTGTTTTTTTGCTGAACACTACCCTAGAATTGATTATTATATAATTAATTTTTTAATTCATCCTTTTTTGCCAGACAGGCAAGAAGGTAGCATTGTTATCACAACAACCCTGTGAAGTAAGTGGTATCATCCCCTTTTTACTGGTGAAAAAAACTGAAGTTTGGTTAGGTTAAGAAGCACCCACCATTAGTAGCTGGGAAGTGGCATTGCAGGGCTGTGGAGCCAGGTGACTAACTCCAGTACCTGTGTGCTGGCTGCTTCACTGCTGTAGGCTACTTGTGCTGGATGACTATGATGTACACAGAATGTATTTTTAAAGTAGATTATTAGTTGTTGTCCTCTACAGAAGGGCACAAGTGTTGGGGTGATCAGACCCAACACCAGGTCATCGGGGTGATGAAGTCCAGTAGAATCAAAGGAATGAGAAAAGACAGTTTGAGAGATAAAGTGGGTCTGGGGGCCAACGCGAGTATGGCGGCTGCAAAGGCCCCGAGCTCTGGAAGCCCAGACTGTTTATTGGTGATCAAACAAAGAAACAGATGGTGAGAATGTGGGGTTGAAAGGGAGCGTTGCATTAAGCACATGATTTACAGCTGTGACGGTTTAACATTTATATGGCCAATTCTAAGACACAATTGATCTAGGAGCCTGGGAGGGCTAGAAGCAAGGAGCCAGCAAGTCTAGACACATTCCAGAGGCCATGAGGGATTTTATGCCCTGAGCCCTGGATTCTTTCCAATCTACGAGGGGTTTTATGCCCTGGGCTTAGATGATGGTGCGTCAGGGTAGTCTTCCACCCTTTAGCACAGAATTCAGTGTTCCAAAGGCCACGAGGGGTTTTAGACCCTGGCCCCCGGACATGTTCCAGGACTCTTTTTACATTATGTCAGAAATGCAAACCCTGCCTCAGCTTCTCCCAACACTCAGCTTTTCCCAACAACAAGTAAGAAGATGGAGTCTCTTTCTCCTACAGAGTAGAAGCTGCTCTCTTTGTGACCACATGCCATAGAATGCCAGAAAGGTTTTTTCTCAGATATTGTCTTGCTGTGTAAATGTTTAACCCACAGTATCCTGCACTGATTTTGTGGGTTTAATGTGAAACTCATAAAAGGAAATATCTGATGGAGTTAATAAATTTGCATTTTTATAACTTTAATATAGTACTATTTGAGCTGCACTTAAAAATATAAGACAATCTTTTTCTATAAGTTATACATCTTCCATTGGGAGACTGGAAATTGAAAGAACTGTTTGAGATTAAAGAAATGTTTTATTATAACCTAGAGACAATCTAGGACCTTAGGAAAGTCACAATTCCTTAAAAGTACTAATTTAAGGATTCAGGTTGCTGCTGTAGGGTTTGAGCTACATTAGGGTACTCAAAAAGTATATATAACTGGAATGAAAGTATCAGTTTAGAATCTGATGGTTACAGTCATGGTGATTATGTAGTTGGACAACCAAAACCCAAGAGTTACTGGCTCATGACAAAATGTGGTTTGACTGAATACAAAGGGCATAGCCCAAAAACTGAAAACTACTGAAAACCCACATGTCACTTTAGTCCCAGAGGTAGGTCAACAAGGGATAAGAGGCATTTAGTGAATGGTGCAGAATGAGCTGCAAGTCACACTAATACCAGGAAACTACTCTGTGGCAGAGAACACTCTCAGAAACACAACCTCTAGGTCTTTCCAGATCACCCAGAGTCATTAAGAAAAAGAAGAAAGGGAACCTGAAACATAAAAATTATATTTGAAAATCCTGATACTCACTTGTGAAGTCTTTCTTTAGTGATGTTATCCTTTTAAAGTTAGGTTGTTTAGGTAGTCTCACTCTGCTTAACTGTAGTCAGACTTCCAACACTGCTAACCCTCCAGGACACCAGGGAGAAAATGAGCCCAGATGAGGATTACAGGGCAGAGGGGTCAGAAAGTTACTTCTAAAGCTTCCCCTCCAAGCCATTTACCCTTTCTAATTTCACATTTCCTAATAAGTATATTTATTTGGGCATCTATCCCATAGCCCTCTCTAAACAAATCATTCTGACCTTGGGCCAAACCTATCACTGTGATTCTGTATGGATTCCATCTGAGGTGCTCCTCTAAGCCTGTGAGGCCATACACCCCTCAGGTTAGGAGTGTCCCTCCTATGATGACAGCTATCCCATTGCCAGATGACCCACCTTCATCCCCACACAGTCATCCCAGTTCCCAATTGTCTGCTTCTCATGAATGGGTCAGAGTTAGCCACCACACCTGACCTTCACAGATGGTATTGGGGCAAACATCCATTCTGCAGCTGAGGCCACATTCAAAGGGGGACTGTCGTGAGGAATAAAAATCCTTTGACAGGCATGTCATGCCACCCATCAAAGGAGTCTGTGCTTGCTGGTTCTGCACAGAGAGATCAAGTTCTTGTTCCTGAGAAAACAAATATAACTACTTGTGTATAAGCACACATTCCTATTTTGTGTGTGCCTGTGTGGAGACCAAGGGGTTGACTTAAGATGAAATACTCGATATTTGATTCCTTTAAAATAGACTATGCAGGTATTATGAAGAAATCTTAAAATATTCCTTATATTTCCATAATGAACTCATTGTTGTCAAGAAAAGTGCTTTTAGCGCTTTATGTACTCTAGGAGCACAGAATAAAGCTTTCATTTGAGTTTTAGGTACAGAAGCTTTCACTCAAATGGCAAAATATGGGGTCATTGTGAAGTCATTTTCTTTTTAGAATCAAGAAGCAAAGCAGGGTACTTTGAATGTGAGTTTTAAAGATATATATCCTGAAAATAAGGACAACAAGTGCCAGGGGAGTTAGGAATGCCCTGTCTTCCCAGGCCTCAGCACCAGACTTCTTGACTCTGTGTGGTTCATAAGACTTTGTTGTTGCCAGCAGCAATCTGAATCTGGGTGGGTTCCTCTCTGAGAGCCAGGGTAAGGAAGGGGACAAATGGCATGGTTCACCTTTATTTCTTAGTGGTGTGAGCAGTCAGGATTTCCTTATACATTACTAAGCAGGAAATCCCAAATGCCCAGCAGCAAGGGGTTAAAAACCATTCTGAAAAGCTTTTTATGTTCTGAAAAGTTAAATTACACATACATGAAAACCACAAACACATAGCACCTGGGTAAATAAATTGTGGCCAAATAAAGACCAGGCTATTTGCAAAAGGGAATCTGGAAAACATTTGTTTTTGGGTGGTTAACATTAGTTACACTTTATGCTTTTTTTTCCCCCTAAAGAAAATAGTGTGGTTTAGAAGAAACAGGAAAAAAAAAAAGAATTTTAATATGGCCATTGAAAACAAGATTTCAGTTCATTTACTTTCCAAATCTTAAGGGGCTACCAAGACTGACAGGGGCACAAAGCTACTGCAGCAACACTTTTAGTACAGAAGTTGTCAAACAAAGAACATTTCCCAGACATTGAATGTGCTATGGGATGCAGTGAAGAGGTCACTAAACATTGCTTGTCCTCCACATGTGAGACTAAAGCATCAGTGGTAAATGATAGCAGCTCAGATAATTAAGATTTAAAATGCCATAAATTCAAAACCATTGAACTTCACAATAAGCCAAATTTCCTGGTATAATACAATTTGAGCACTCAGGAGGTCATGCTACAGAGGAATTATGCTGAGCATGTTTCTTATCAGTACTTATGTGGCTAAGTGGTTCCTTTTCCTTGAAGGAAAAAATCATCTCATTATGGCAGAGGTTCCCTATCATTCAGAAGAAAGCTACTAGGTTGAGCTATGAGAAACTGCTAGTTTTGTACATCAAAAACTGTCAAAATCAACAACTGCATATGATTCAGTCTAATACACTTGATTTTTCTAAGCCAGGTCAAGTTAGGATTGACAGTTACTTTTTGTGGGAAGAGAGGAGTGAGGAGTGGGAAATCAAATAGTAAGGCTCTTGTAAGGTTCAGAAAATAAAATGCCTGATCAGAATGCATGTGGTTCCCAGTGGGAACTCCAAATAACTCTTGGGAGTTGCGGACATGAAATGAACATTACAACTTAGAATTGACCTTTTTGGTCAGACCTGGTGGCTGAGATTTTTCCTTATTCAAGAGGCTACAACATGGAAACACTGTACAGCCAGCATATCCTAAATTGCAAACACAAAGGTAGGAATTAAGAACTGAGAACTGGACCCAGTGATTTGTGCCAGTAGTCCCAGCTACTTGGGAAGCTGAAGTGGGAGTATGCTTAAGCCTAGGAGCTGGATACTAGCCTGGGCAACAAACATAACAAAACCTGTGTCTCTTAAACAAACCCCTGAGTTCTCAGGATAGCTCTGTTATTTCTCACAGAGATATTTAAAAAGTTATCATGGAAAATAGTAACAGTGTATCTTGTTCATATATTTAAATTATTAAAGGGAACAAAAGAAAACCAGGGAAATTTGTTCTTTGATAATCGTTCATTGTCTCTACATTATAGCACCATAATTTTGTTAAGGCAACAAAATTTTTTACTGACTTTTGCACGTTAAAACCACTTATAACCTAAGGAATTTTGGTTAGGTAAAGAATTATATCCATATGAATAAACACTGCCAAAATATCCTAAAGTCTATATAAAAAGTATGCATTACAAATTAATGAGTGTAAATTGTGAGACTACTCTCACACAATCCCTGAAATGATTATTTAAAGACTACTCTTAACTATTACTGAGATAGTGCTTGGTCCCTGAATGATGTAATCCTTGTGCAAAGACCCCTCAAGATACGTCAAAGCACAAAAGATAACAGAGGAAAGGAAACAAACGTATTACAACTTCTGATATAAACATTCCTCATAAGTTTGGAATTTTTCATAACTCCTGGGGTAAAAGTTCTTAGAATATGTCACTTTCTGGGAAATTTAACAGCAAAAGTTTTAGCTACTTTTTTTTTTATAATGCATAAGTGTACAAAGTTCAACATGTAACAAATATAAAGATGCCAAAGGGTAAATAAAGCGATGCAAATTTACATAACAAAGCCATTTGATAAATGCCACTATCAGCTATTACTATATATTCCATCCTATAATCTCATAAATCAAAGCTTTTAACTGCCTAGACTCATATGTGACTGTATTCTTTCCAACATGCATTCTTTCTTCTTCCAGGGGTTGTTCAATAACAGCAGGTATGTTTCTGCCATGAAGTTCACAGTGTTCTAGAAACTGGACACATTCTTGAATAACACTATCACGAAGCATGATTGTGTGTTTTGACATGTTTTCTAACAAGGACAGGAAGCATCTTTTGGCATAATACCAGGTGTCTGTTCCCAGCTTTTTGTTGTAAGGTTCCAAGCTTTTGATAACTCGAGAAATACCAAAGTCATAATTTCCTTTGGCACAATAAAGAGTTCCTATCACCAAATTCACAATGCAGAGATGGTACATTTTCTTATCTGGGTCATCATAAGAGAGCTGCTCTTCCTCCTTTTCAATCTTCCTCATCAACTCCTCTGCTTCTTCATTTTGACTTGTCATAATATAGGAAACACAGAGATTAGCCAGTACAATAGCACTGACATTCAGGATGTTATCATAATGCTTCTTGACTATGGGTTCATAGAAACCAATGGCTTCTTTGTATTTGTTTTCCTGCATGA
Organism: Homo sapiens; assembly: GCF_000001405.40. Classification (NCBI taxonomy): domain Eukaryota; kingdom Metazoa; phylum Chordata; class Mammalia; order Primates; family Hominidae; genus Homo; species Homo sapiens. Next base: position 177,551,359 of record NC_000002.12, read on the forward strand.
ACAGAACATGAGCCACATTCAACTTCCACACATCATGGTCGTTACAGAATTCCACAGATTTGCGGAAGATCTTTTCCACCATTGGATAATTTTCAAGATTCCAGTAGATTTTTGCCTGAGCCATCAACACAGGAATGTATTTCTCCATGGTTTCATCATATTCATTCACTGCCTTTTTGATAGCTTCATCATCTCTATTGTGTCTTGCTTCCTGTACTTGTATGGTAAGTTTCCGGAGGACCTCAGTCAGCATCCCTGCTAGCCCATCAAGCTTAATGAAAGCCTCTTCAGGAGCTGTCTGGCAAGTGATCACAGCGTCCAAGAAGTCATAGAGATAGGGTGTGAGGAACTTATAAATCAAATGGGCATTTTCTGCCAGGACATCTGCTGCCAGGTCAAAATACTCATATTTACAGTAGAGCAGCAACAGGTTGCCAAAAGTCTCTGGAGGAAAGGGATTCTGTTGGAGCAAAAACTGTAGCTTTTCAAACCCTTCTGTAGGCCTGGCATCCATGTTCATTAGTGCCTGGTTGTGTAGGGTCACAGGGTCCAACTCTTCCTCTGCCCTGGGTGGCATGTCAGTGAGGGCTTCTTGAGCTGCCTCATAGTTTCTCAGTTGGTATTCTATAGCTGCCTTAAGGTTGAAGGCTTCCACCAGAGCAGTCTGATGGAGGACTAAGGTGTTGCCAACACTGCGAACATCAATGCCCTCAGTGGTCATGCCCACACCTAGCTCAGGGTGCTGGCGGATGCCACGCTCAATAATCTCAGCGATATGCTTCAGTGCTGAAGCATACTGTCGGCTGCTGTAATAGGCCAAAGCCAGGTTGTAGGAAAGGTCAGGCTGGTAGCCCGAGGCCTGCAGGGCGGCAAAAAACTTGGAGCATGCAGCTTCATACTGTCCCTCCTTGTAGAGCAAACAACCCAGGTTGATCTGGCCATCGGTCTCATTCTCGCCCCCACTTTCCTCTCCCCCTTCCCTACTCGGCAGCTGCTCTACCAGGCTCCTGGACCCTGGCAGATCGCCCTCGCTGTACTTGATAGCAGCTTGCAGGCGGAGGACCCGGCTGTGGTAGGCGGGGTTATCCAGGAGAAGGAAGGCGACCCGGGTGGCCTCCGCATAAAGGCAGGCCTTGTACAGGGCCTGGGCCTGGTACAGGCGGTACTGCTCCAGTTCCGGGTGCAGCTGGCCCAGCTGCTCATAGCACTCGGCCGCCAGCGCGAACTCCTGCAGGCGGTAGTAGCAGTAGCCTAGCAGCGACAGGCCGGCGCGGCTCCTAGGGCTCCGCTGCAGTTCTCCGCCCAGCAGCTGCACCGCCTCGGCGTAGCGTGCATTGCGGATGAGGCGGTACACGACCGCGGTGAACTCCCCGTCGGGGATCTGCGCGCCGCTCAGGCCAGCCATAACCACCACGGCTGTTATGGGTGCGGTTACTATGGCAACAGAGCAACCGGAAGCGGAAGACTGCCGGTTTCCTTGTCGCAAGAAATCTGTTAGGAACAAAAAGGGACCACTCTCGTCAGTCTCTCAATTTCAGCTTGATCTTCAAATACTCTGGACTGCGGAGTGGCGGCATTCAGGAGGGGAAAGACTACTCCGGGCCGTTCAGAGACTGAATCTACTCGTCCCGGCATGCACCGTTCCAGTGGTTCCGCGGCGCGGGTCGTAGCCGCGCTGCATGCTGGGAGACGTAGTCCCGGCTGTACCTACCGAACCGGCGGCCCGTGGGGGTGCAGGGTAACTCTCCTTCCCTGCCTCTTAAAGATGAGGGGCGCTCACTGTGTCTGTTATGGCACCGTGGTCTCTGGCGCGGCGGAGGAAGGTTTCCGGCCCCATGTTCCTGGCGATTTTGAGCCTGGTACACGGTGTGGTCGATAATAATGCTGGCTTTTGGTTTAGTTTCAGTAAAAGAACCGGGATGGCAAAAGGCGAGTTATCTCTTGGAATTACCCTGGAATTAGAGCACGTTCTTTTTTGCACTACCCCGAGGGCACAGTTTGTAAGAACGGAATAGAGCGGCGAGCAGGAATCCTTAATTTGGTGGTTTCCAGAGGTTAATGAGGAAAAAGGACTGTGAATCTTGATTGGTACTGGGAGAGTTTCGGTTTTAGGTCCAAGTATCTCCCGCTCTTTTTTCCCGTAACAACAAATATTACTGAGTATATATTGGCGTTTACCCTTGGCCATCCCCATTGCGCTGGAGTTCCAACTTTCACTACTAGGTAGAAACGTTGGAGAAATGCATGACTTCAGTTTTTTCCAAGAGGGGAAAATCCAAGACATTAAAATGTGCTCCTTTCCCTATGCATTTTTACTCTTCTCTCTTAACTACTAAATTAGTCAGCCAGTGATGTGTGGGTGTGTGAGAGACACACATGCTCAGTTTGTACTTTTCAGCCTTCTAGGGATTTTGGATATTGAACTGATAAATATGGATTTTCTTCTGTTAAAATAAGAAAAGATTGCCTACACTTTAATTTTTTTTCCAGATTCTTAGTTTGAAGATTTCTATGCAGGTTTGCTAGACTGTACAAGATATCATTCTGGGTTTTCTTTCATTCTTTGTTATATATTTGGAATAGATGCTGTAGATTCCATGTTATTATCCTGGGGCTATTTTTGTATAATTTTTTTTCAGTTTATTAGTGGCCATGATGGGGCTGTGAAAAACTAGGGGCTTAATTATTCCATAAAATTATATTTAATCACCAATTTAAAAAATACCCCTAGATAAACTGACCTGGAGACCATAGACTTTAAGGGAGAATAAATACAATTTTTCAATCAAGAATTAGGGACATAGACAAGATAGCAAAATATGAATTTGGCTTATCCCAGTGAGGTACTTGTAAATAGTGTAGTTTTCAAGGTAACAATAATAGTTGTAATTCATTAACATCTATCATATGGTGGCCTGGGACAGAGCATTGTCTTTTGTAGTCTTCCATGATGTCCATTGGCCTCACTACCACCCATGATAAACAGTCCAAGTCAGAGCATGTCTTTGCTATATAATTAAATACTTCAATGCAGGTACCTTACTGCCTCTTCAACAGTATTGCTGTTCATAAATCTTTTCTACATATAAATTTTGGAGCCAACACCAACCATATTGCATCACATTCTATTAGACCACCTATATATATTATTTCTAATCATAATAACCACCCTGTATTCTGCATATTACTGATGAAGAACATGTGAATCAGAAAGATTAGGCAACTTGCCTGAGATGACACAGCTAGATAAGAAGCAGCTGAATCATGAAATTCCAAAGCTAAGTTCAGTAGGTAATAGTCACTGATGAATTAACTCTATCTATCATGTATGGGCCCAGTTATAGGGGAATATTAGTGTCTTGCTTTTTTTATATTGTTATTTTCCTGTTAAAGCAACCAGCCACCTTGGGTTGGCCAGTGGAAATTTGAACTTCTTGGCCTAAGTCGTAACTGTGAGCAAGTATTAGAAAGTGATTAGTTGGGAATGGTCACCTGTTATACCTAAAAAGGAACTTCAGTAGGCATCTGAATGCTATACCATAAAGCAGCTGACTTCACGTACTCCTGTATTCTTCTCTCTTGCTGAGAAGTTTGCCACAGTTCTGTCCTTCTAGATGAGAACAGACAAGAAACCTCCTACTGCATCAATACCAAGAAAGGGACAAAGTGCACTCATTTTAGAGAGGTTGAGTGTAGCTCTGGACCATGCAAGAACACCAGGGAAAGCAGTTGAGGAAGGCTTCTGTAACCCTATTTCAAGGCTTCTTTCTCCCCAATCTCAGCTACAGCCTTATCCAGTTTTCAATCCAGAAGTGTTTGTAGATTGAAAGATGCTGGCTAGTGCTGCTCAATATTCAAGGAGTAGGGGGTGTTCTGCTTACTGCCTGCCTGATTGACACTTGTCCCTTGGAAACAATATGCAAAAGGCTTAATTTAAAAATTCTGGCTCATGCCTGTAATCCCAGAGCTTTGGGAGGCCAAGGTGGAAGGATTGCTTGAGGCCAGGGGTTCAAGACCAGCCTGAGTAACATAGGAAGACCCCATCTCTACCGAAAAAAAAAAAAAAGGCCAAGCGTGGTGGTACGTACCTATAGTCCCTGCTACTCGGGGTGCTGAAGCAGGAGAATTGCTTGAGCCCAAAAGTTTGAGGTTGTGGTGAGCTGTGATCCTACCACTGCACTCCAGCCTGTATAACAGAATGAGACTCTGACTCTAAAAAAAAATAAAATAAAATTCTTATATATTGAGCTGTTACCTTGGGTAATAATAAATTAAGGTAAGAAGACAGAACATGGAAATGAGAAATTGTCTTTCCTATCTTTCAGCTTTATCTCTATTTTGCAGAGTTGTATTTGCATCATGAAAGCATTCACCTTCAAATGGCTTCTTGAAAATGTATGAAAAGTAAAAGGACTATTTTCTTCTCCAAATTTCTGGGATCCCTACAGGAATCAGTTGGGGTTCTCCTCTTTTTGTTGGTACCTGTGAGCGTGGCAGCTGGAGTGGGCAGGAGGGAGGCCATTCTGTGTCTCTTCCTCCTTATTTCACGTGATGCTGCTCCTTAGGCCTGGCTTGAAAAAAGCAGGACATTCGGCTTAGACAGATGGAGGGCAGGGTCATTTTCAAAATGAAATGAATGCAAAGATCACACTGTGAAATTGGCATGACCATCACTGCTGCTGTGATAGACCGACCTTTATTTGGTCTCATATAGGCATATGGAGAGTAGATCAGCTTTTTGGGTGGTAGAGGAGGGGAAGGAGACCCTTTAATTAATGATAGAAACTCTGGAAAGCAATAAACAGGGTGGAATATCATAAAGTATCTTTTTTGTTTACAACAAAATCTTGAAAAGCTGGAACATATATCAAAAAGTAAGTCTATAATACCACTCCCAGCAGTAAGAAAGCATTTGGTGTTTACAATAAAATGATTTAGTGCCTTAGCGAAGGGAATTTAGCTTTCAGGAAATGGTTTAGGACTCGCAGTGGATTTTGCTGAATAAGCAGAGGCATGTTCACCATGTGGAAGAATTCCATTTAGGCAAAATGTGTAGGAGCAAAAAGCATGATGTTTGGTTCCTAACACTTTTGTGTTTCTGCCTGCCAAAATATGAGATGATCAAATTGCATGTATATTCTATTTGGCAGTCTCTTTTAAAACTACTTGGAAGTGATTGTTTCATGATAATAACTACTTCTTGTTGGTAAACATTGTTTATTTATGAGTATTTCAACCACAGCTGTGGTCAGCCATCTTCCTTAATAAAGGAAGACTTTCTGCAAAACCACTTTCTACTTGTTATTTCTGTCTCCCATTCATTCCAGGGCATTTTCTTTAGGCTGTCCAGTTATGGAATTAACTTTTTTCTCTGGTAGTTCCAGCTTTATTAATATTTTAAATAGTAATGTATTTTCTTCTTAAATATGCCTTGCTTTTGATCAAACAGTTTTTATTTCTGGGTTTATGGTATTGCTATGGTTTGGATGTGGTTTGTTGCCACCAAATCTCACAATTTGATTACCAGCATGGTGGTGTTGGGAGATGTTTGGGTCATGGGGCTGGATCCCTCATGAATGGCTTGGTGCTGTTCCCATAGTAGTGAGAGTTATTGCTCTCATGAGACTGGATTAGTTCTCGTGGAAATGGATTAGTTCCCATAATAGTGGGTTGTTATAAGGCAAGTTGCCCTTGGGTTTTGCCCCTTTGCACATGTCCACTTCCTCTTTGACCTTCCACCATGTTATGATGCAGCACAAACAACCCCACTGGAAGCTGAGCAGATGCTGGCACCATGCTTCTTGTACTTCTCAGCCTGCAGAACAATCAACTAAATGAACCTCTTTTCTTTATAAATTACCCAGCCTTGGGTATTTATTCAATTACAGTAACACAAAATGGACCAACACAGAAAATTGGTACCGAAGAGTGGGATTTGCTCTGTGGATACCTGAAAATGTGAAATCTGCTTTGGAATTGTGTAATGGGCAATGGTTGAAAGAATTTGGAGGAGGAGCAGGCTAGAAAGAGACTGTATTGCAGTGAACAGAGCATTAAGGGCAGTTCTGGTGAGGGCTTAGAAAAAGACAAAAAGATGAGGGAAAGTTTGGAACTTTTTTGAGATTGTTTAAGTAATGTGACCAAAATGCTGATAGAAATATGGATAGTAAAAGCCGTGCTGATGAGGTCTCAGATGGAAATGAAGAATACCTTATCGAAAATTGAAGTAAAGCCCATCCTTGTTACACAGTTGCAAAGAAATTGGCTGCAGTATGTCTACTCCCTAGGGATTTTTGGAAGGTAGCACTTAAGAGTGATGAACTAGTGTATCTGGTGCAAGAAATTTCTAAGCAGCAAAGCACTCAAGAAGTGATGTGGTTACTTTTAATAGCTTATGCTCAGTTATGGCACCGCAAAGTAATAATCTAAATGCAAAATTTATAATTAAAAGGGAAGCAGAATGTAAACACTTGAAAAATGTGCAACCCAACCATGTGAAATGAAAGAGTGTTTTCAGGAGAATAATTCAAGGGTACAGTCAAGAGACTACTTGCTAAAAAGATTAGTATGCATATAAGGGAGTCAAGTACTGTGCATCAGGATATTGGGAAAAAGGCCCAGAGGCCTAAGAGGGCAGAATGGTTTTGAGGGACAAGCCTGGGTGTTTTCTGTGAAATTGCTGCCCACAACCACTTCACGCTGCTGCTCTTGCATCCTGGTGACTTAAGCAGCTCCAGGTGTTACTTGTGCTGCCACTCCAGAGATCCCAAGCTGTAAGCTTTGGCATCATCCACATCCAAATGGTGCTAATTTTGTAGGCATGCAGAATACAAGAGTGATGGAGGCATGGCAGCTCCCACCTAGATTTCAGAAGATGTATCAGAAAGCCTGGAGCCCGGGGAGACTTGTCAAAGGGGCAGAGCCACTGTAGAGAGCCTCTACTAAAGCAATGCTGAGCAGAAATGTATGACCAAAGCAGCCATAAAGAGTCCCTACCAGGGAAGTAGGAATCGAGGGAATAGGGCTACCTTTGGGACCCCAAGATTGTAGAGCCATTGACAATGTGCAATGTCTGCCTGGAAAAGCTATGGGCATTTGACTTCAACTGTGAGAACAGCCATGTGTGCTACACCCAGTGAAGCAAGTGGGACAGGGCTGCCCAAGGCTCTGGGAACCCACCCCTCACATCAGTGTGCCCAGGAGATGGCACATGGTGTGAAAGATTATGCAGGAGCCTTAAAATTTAATGTCTGCCCTGCTGGGTTTCAGACTGGCATGGGGTCTGTCATTCCTTTCTTTTGGCCTATATCTGCCTTTTCAAGTGGGGATGTTTACCAAATGTCTGTCCCACCAGTGCATCTTGAAAATAAATAACTTATTTTTAATTTTACAGGCTTACAGCTGGAAGGAACTTGCTATGAGTCTTAGATGAGACTTTGGACTTTTGTTGCTGGAGCAAGTTAAGACTTTTGGGACTACTGGAATGGAATGATTGTATTTTGTATATGAGAAGCACATGATTTTTTTGAGGCTAGGGGCAGAATGCTATATTTGCATATGTTCATCACCATCAAAACTCATGTTGAAATGTTATTTTCAGTGCCGCAGTATAGGGAAATGGAGCCTAGGGGAGCTGTTTGGGTCAAGGGAATGGATCCATTATGAATGACTTGGTGCTGTTCTCGCAGTAGTGAGCTCTTGCTCTCATGAGACTGGATTATTCTCATGGAAATGGATTAGTTCCCATGAGAGTGGGTTGTTATAAAGCAAGATGCTCTTGGGTTTTGCCCCTTTGCACATGTCTGCTTCCCCTTTGACCTTCTGCCATGTTATGATGCAGCACAAAAGCCCTCACCAGAAGCCAAGCTGATGCTGGCACCGTGCTTCTTGTACTTCCCAGCCTGCAGAACCATGAGCTAAATAAACCTTTCTTATAAATTATCCAGTCTGATGTATTATGCTATAGCAACACAAAATAGACTAAGACGGGTGTTATTATCCAAATTAATTTATTAGGCAGAACACAATCACATGATTTATACAAAGGAATTAGCAGAGAAGACACAGTTTTCGGTACTACCGTTGAAAAATTTGTTCCTCAGAGTTGGAGTGTGCTGTGGGATACACTAATGGGGATGTTACACAGATTATTTTAGCATGTTTTACTGCTTTCACTTCTAAGAGGTAAGCGACATTGAAGTATCATGTCTTTCCTCCAGACTGGAACCTTTCATGGTCAGAGATATCCTGTTAATGCCTGTTTTTATTTCTGCAATAAAGCCATGAAAGTAATAAATTGGATGGGAAGGATCTTTGAGGCCAATGGTCAAAATATAAGATTTCCAAAAGAAAAATGTCATCAGCCTGTAGGAACACATGTTCTGGCTTGCAAAGCCTTCAAACTATTTGTTCCATGGCATCAGACAACCTTTGATGGCCAGCCATCCAGTTGTCTGAAATGACACAGGTTTTCATTTGACTGTTGCGTAAGATTTTATAGGCCTGGTCAGATTTATCTTTAAGTCCTGAGCAGCGGCAATATGCAAAATTGTCCTATTGCTTTATGCTTTAAATTTTCTTGCTAAGATTAATGCAGTGTATACAATTAGCTTTCCTTAGACCACACCAGCCTTATGAATAATTAAGAACTGGATGACAATTGCCATGGTATTTGAGCAGCAACCTAACTACTGCACTTGTTTTTTGAGGCTTTTTCTGTGGAGAGTTATGGAACACGTTTCCTGGGTGTGTTAGACCATTCTTGCTCTCATGGCTAAAGTGGTAGCAAGGGAGAGAGGGAAGAAATGCCACATGCTTTTAAACAACCAGATCTTGCAGGAACTCAGAGTGGGAACTCACTCATCAGCAAGGGGATGGCACTAAGCCATTCATGAGGGATCCACCCCATGATCCAAACGCCTCTCACCAAGCTCACCTCCAACACTGGGGATTATATTTTCACATGAGATTTGGAGGGGACAAACATTCAAACCATATCACTGGGTCTGTGCTGGTGGACTAAGAGACCAACCTAGAAAACAAGCCTGGCCTTTAAGCCACCTGCTGTCTTACTCCCCACATTCAATGGCTCAAGTTCTAACAATTCTGCCTGTGAACTAACTGAACTCTGTATACTTCTGTCCAGTCTCTACCACCACTGCTCTGGTTTCTGCCACCACCATCTCTCTCTTGGATACGGCAGTAAGCCTTCTTGCAGAATAAATGGTTTCCCTTCATCTCTTCCAGGAATGCTTCCAAAGATTACAAGGTACTTTATCTCCCTTCTTTGTTCAGGATTTTACTTTGGGGACCTCATTAAGCCTTTAAATGCACTTTACCATTTCTCCCAGGAAATCATGGGATCGTTGTACAAAATAGACCTCCCAGTGGTTTGTCTTTCTGTGCTAGTGTTTCTGTCTCAGGTGTGGAGTGCTGTTGCTCTCACCCCAGTGACTCTTGCAGCCTGAGTGTATAGGAATGTCTTAGGACTGAGACTTCAAATGATTTTGGAAGAAATGGTTTCTATAAATGGTATTAGAAGTTGAGGGTGATATAGAGAACTTAAATTGATTTAGTGACTTTCTTTTTTTTTTTTTTTTTAGATGGAGTCTCACTGTATCGCCCAGGCTGGAGCATAGTGGTGCGATCTCAACTCACTGCAACCTCCACCTCCTGGGTTCGAGCAATTCTCGTGCCTCAGCCTCCCTAGTAGCTGGGATTACAGGCATGCGCCACCACGCCCGACTAATTTTTGTATGTTTAGTAGAGATGGGGTTTCACCATATTGACCAAATTGGTCTCAAACTCCTGACCTCAAGTGATCTGCCTGCCTTGGCCTCCCGGAATGCTGGGATTATAGATGTGAGCCACCATGCCCGGCTGTGACTTTCTTCTAGTGAAGAATTTAATAATGTTATTTTGCTTTATAAGCACATCAAGTACTTTTCTTACCTCTGGATCTCTATGCCATTGGAGGACTTTTTAGAGATGGTGATACAGTTTGGCTGTGTCCCCACCCAAATCTCATCTCGAATTCTAACCTTGATAATCCCCACGTGTCATGGGAGGGACCTGGTGGGAGGTAATTGAATCATGGGGGCAATTTCCCCCATGCTGTTCTCAAGATAGTGAGTTCTCACTAGCTCTGATGGTTTTATAAGTGTCCGCATTTCCTCTGCTGCATTCATTCTCCCTCCTCTGCCCTATGGAGAAGTGTCTTCCACCATACTTATAAGAATCCTGGGCTGGGCGCGGTGGCTCAAGCCTGTAATCCTAGCACTTTGGGAGGCCAAGGCGGGTGGATCACAAGGTCAGGAGTTTGAGACCATCCTGGCCAACATGGTGAAACCCCGTCTCCACTAAAAATACAAAAAAATTAGCCAGGCGTGGTGGCGGGCACCTGTAGTCCCAGCTACTCGGGAGGCTGAGGCAGGAGAATGGCATGATTCCGGCAGGCGGAGCTTGCAGTGAGCTGAGATGGTGCCACTGCACTCCAGCCTGGGGGACAAAGCCAGACTCTGTGTCAAAAAAAAAAAAAAAAAAAAAAAAAATCCTGAGGCCTCCCCAGCCATGCAGTGCTTTGAGTCAATTAAACCTCTTTCCTTTATAAATTACCCAGTCTCAGGTATTTCTTCATAGCAGCATGGGAACAAACTAATACAGTTTTGTCTTTCTCTGGCCTCAGCAAATGAAACCATGAAGACCTTCCATTCCATCTGTAAAGAACCTATACAAACAAAAAAACAAAGAAATAAACAAAAAATTGATCAAGACATGAAAATGTCCTCAGGTAGCAGAGTGTGTTTCAAGATGCCATTTCAATATAAAATCATCTGAAGTGAGATCCCTGTTCTGCCATCAACAACAGTGTAGCCATGAAAAAGTTCTTAACCTCATTGAAACACAGTTTTCTTATTGGTAAAACAGGAACAAAAAACGTCTGTGTAAATTTATTACAAGAGTTCAAGATAATACAAAGCATCTGGCCTAGAGCAGATATGTAATACATTTGAACTATTAGTTTTACATAAAGGGAGCTATTGTGGTTCCTTGGGATTCTTATCAGACTATTTTAGGCTTAAACGACTGTGGGCCAAAATTATTAAGTTAAACATCTGCCATCCAGGAGTAGATGTTCTCCTTCCACTTGATATTACATTCCTAAGAATGTCTGATAAGACCAGGCGTGGTGCCTCATGCCTGTAATCCCAGCACTTTGGGAGGCCGAGGTGGGCAGATCACGAGGTCAAGAGATCTAGACCATCTTGGCCAACCAACACAGTGAAACACCGTCTCTACTAAAAATATAAAAATTAGCTGGGTGTAGTGGCACATGCCTGTAGTCCCAGCTACTCGGGAGGCTGAGGCAGGAGAATTGCTTGAACCCAGGAGGCAGAGGTTGCAGTGAGCCGAGATCGTGCCACTGCACTCCAGCCGGGGCGACAGAACGAGACTCTGTCTCAAAAAAAAAAAAAAAAAAAAATGTCTGATAAACTCTAGAATGTGGAAGGGCAAATATCTGGCAGAAAGTAGTGTGTTTATTAAACCTGCTTCTCTCTAAGAAATCAAAGTTTCAAGTTAAATAGTTTATTTTGTTCATTAAACAAATTAGTAAGTAATTTCTCCACTCAAGGCATCATGAAGGATCCAGAACTTTCAAGAAAATTACAGCCCAGAGGAGATACTACAGCTACATTAAAAAAAATTGTAATCCAGGCAATGTGGACAGTGCCTTAAAAGTGATACAACATGACACAGAGGTTCAGTGTTATAGTAAAAACAAACCCTGGTTTGGCTGGAGCAGCAGTTTGCAACCGTATCAGATACCTTGCCCCTCCTTTTAAAACAAATATTTTCTAAGGCCCTCTTTACTATTTTGAATTGAAATTCATATGTAATATATAATATTTACACATATAATTTCTTCTTTTTCTTTTTTAAATCTCAGGTGCATGAACTGATTAATCATAATCTTTAGTCATTGACACACTTTCATTATTGATCCATGCATAGCTCTCTCCTAGTCTTCTCTTTGTTTAGTTTTAATAATGTAATAATCAGCAGCGAAGCCACCACCCAGCATAAAAGACAAGACCTTTACTATGACCTACATTTGACTCTCAAGATACCTCCCAAACCATCCTCCATCTCTTTTATCCTAGGTAACCATCACCCTAAATCTATTGTTTTCATTGTCTTGCTTCCCTTTTTATATCGTTTCATTGTATCTATGTGGATTTCTTGGACATATTTTTATTTTAGTTGTTTTAGCTTTATGAAAAGGGTCCACATGGCATATACCCTTTTAATGTTATTCATCCATATTATCGCATATGTCATTGTGGAGATTCACTGGTTTCAACAACCGTATTACATACCATTGTGTGAATTTGGCATGGTTTACTTGCCCACTCTCCTGTTGATGGGCATTTTGATTGTTTCTGAGTTTTTGCTGTTTTGAAAAGTACAACTATGGACATTTTTATATATGCCTCTTTGTGTACACATCCAAGAGTTTTTCTTATATATATACCCAGAAGTGGAATTGTGTCAGTAGACTATTTGAATGTTTAATGTTATCACATAAAGCCAAACTGTTTTCCACAATTGTTGCCCTAATTTACCTTCCCACTCACAGTGTATAAAATATTCTGTAAATATACATCCTCTTTAACACCTGCTATTGTCATAATTTTTGTTTATTGGCCATATAGACTCTCTTTTGTAAAGATCTTGTTGTCTTTTGCTCATTTTTCTGTTGGATTGTTAGTGCTTTTCTTATTGATTTGTAAGAGTTCTTTATGTAGTCATTATACTAGTTCTTTATCAGTTATGTGAATTGCAAACATCTGGTTTGTAACTTTTCACTTATATTTAGGGTAAAGTAGTTAATTTTATTAATCTTTTATAGTAAATAATTTTTATGTATTGTTTTAAAAACCTTTTAATCTAAATTGTATTCTTTTTTTACAGTTTTGTTTCTGCATTTAAATTTTTAACCCATCTGGACTTGAGTTTTCTATATGATGTGAGGTTGAGATTCATTTTAATTTTTTTTCCAAATAACCTTTTTTTTCTCAGCTCCATTTATTGAACAGTCTTTTAGTCTACCTCAATTTAACATACCACCTCTGTCAAATACAAAGTTCCCTATAAGCATAGGTCTGTTTCTAGGCTCTCTCTTCTATTCCACTGATAAATTTTATCAAATTCTGGACCAATGCCACATTGTCTTAATCTCCATAGGCCCATCATAAATCCTAATATCTGGTGGGGTGGATACCATCTCTGTACTTTCCTTTTTCAGAGGTAAATTGTTGTGCCAATTCTTGGTTCTTACTTTTCCTTACATGGCTAATTTTAAAAATCAACATAATGCCCCTACTATAATATGAATAATAAAAGGAAAATGATTTACAGTAAAATAGTGTGTAGTTTAATGTATATAACGCTAGGTCATGACAGCAGCAGAAAAACATCTCCACAAATATTCAAAATGCCCCCTAAGAGTAGTGCAGCTCCCATTGAGAACTGTCAGCAAAGAGAACCAAGGGACACTGTAGAGAAGATAGCATTATCACTTGAGCCTTAAAGGCTGGGTGGAATTTGTAGGAAGTTCATCCTGATGAAGTTGTAAAAAAATTTTTTTTTTTTTTTTTTTTGGTAGACAGAGTTTCACTCTTGTTGCCTAGCTTGAAGTGCAGTGGCGCGATCTCAGGTCACTGCAATCTCTGCCTCCTGGGTTCAAGTGATTCTCCTGCCTCAGCCTGCTGAGTAGCTGGGATTACAGGTGTCCGCCACCACACTTGGCTAATTTTTTATATTTTTAGTAGAGGTGGGATTTCACCATGTTGGGCTGGCTGGTCTCAAACTCCTGACCTCAGGTGATCCGCCTGCCTTGGCCTCCCAAAGTCCTGAGATTACAGGCCTGAGCCACTGTGCCCATCCCTTTTTTTTAGGTTTTTGTTTGTGGGGAGCTGGTGCAGACCAAGGCGTGTTAATACCTATATCACAACCCCTTAGACTAGTGTAGTCCAACACACAGCTCCACCCACCTGCTTTCTTTTGGGCAAATCATCTAGAGACTAAATTAAGTTCTGAGAACATAAACCAATAAACCAAAGCTATAAATCCAGCTTTAATAAAAATGAAACAGGTTTTCTACATTCACTTTAAGCTGTAACTTTATTAAGTACCTTTACATTGTATTTTATTAAGCATGTTTGTAATAACTTTTTTTTCAATTGACAAGTATTTCCTATTGTTTCATTTTGCCTCTGTGAACAGCTTAGATCTTTTAAAAAATAAAATTTGGACATTTTAAAAGCATGGTTGTGATTGCTTGAAAAAGCCAGCTAGTAGGAAAGTGGGGAAAGGGCCCCGACTTCATTATATGATGACTAGGCCGGCCTAGTGGAGAATTTTATTCTTTCTTAGGTGGTAGTCCCCAGGCTGCCCTTCACTCTGTTGACTCCATGGGTAGGGGCTGGGAGGAAGGGAGCTATTCATTTGTCCATCTAGTAATCAGTTTCTCTATAAATCTAAATGTCTACAATTCCCTTTAGATAGAATAGCAAGATAGAATAGCTAGTTTTTTAGACAATCAGTAAGACAAGAGTGTTAGGACCTTCTTGAAGGTCTCAAAGCTATTTCTGATGTTGGAGGAGGATGTTCACATTACATGTTTCATAGTGTAAAAAACCACGTCACTCATGTAAGTTTGTAAAAGGCTTTGAGCCTGATTCTAATTACAGTACCTCTGAAAATTTGCAATATTATTTAAACCAGATATTTTCTGTACCCAAGTCATGCTCTCCTATGATATTTAAATTAAGATTTTTTATTGCTAATATATTCCAGCATTCCTCCACCATAGGGTTGCCAGATTTTGCAAATAAAACTACAGGACATCAGTATAAGTAGAATATGTATATTTTGTATACTTATTTGTATACATCAGTAGAATAAGTATATAAGTATATTAAAAAATCATTTGTTGTTTATCCGAAGTCCAAATTTAATTGGGCATGCTGGATTTTATCTGGAAACCCTACCCCACCCCAATATTTCATACTCGGATTTCTCACTTCTACTGAACTCTTGATTTCTCATGAATCTCACTTTTCATGGCATATCCCCTCTTTAGTCATTATAACTATACAAATATGAAAGTTGCCCCTTTTCCTTACTTTCTCCCCAACACCATTGCCACCAGACGCTAAGTAGGAATAACACTAAGGAAGGGAGTGTATTTAAGCATAGTCACATTAAAGAACAGCCATAAAAACCCACATCTCTTATCCCAGTTACAATATGTAGCTACATGTAAACCAAACTTCAGTATATTTAGGTGTCTATATATGTAACACATTTTGATGTATTAAACTAATTAATAATTATATGCATTGGTTAATAATGATCTTCATTACTTGTTTTGTTTTTGTTTGTTTTTTTTTGAGACAGAGTCTCGCCCTGTTGCCAGGCTGGAGTGCAGTGGCATGGTCTCAGCTCACTGCAACCTCTGACTCACCGGTTCAAGCGATTCTCCTGCCTCAGCCTCCTGAGTAACTGGGATTACAGGCCTGCACCACCACACACAACTAATTTTTGTATTTTTAGTAGAGACAGGGTTTCACCATGTTAGCCAGGATGGTCTTGATCTCCTGACCTCATGATCCACCCACGTTGGCCTCCCAAAGTAATGGAATTACAGGTGTGAGCCACCGCGCCCAGCCCATTACTTTTAAACCTATACCTTGGCATTTTCTTTAAATGGATTTGATGATTTTATTAAATATATTTAACTCAACTTCTTTTAATATAAGACTGGTATCCATGGCAGAATAAGCAACTTTATACTGAAAAGATTAGATATTTCTGTTCTTAGAAAGTCCACATGTCTTATCCTGCACTGGAAATTTCTCACTCACTTTCTCTTCTCCTTCTGTCACAGACTGCCCCCTCTCTTGCTGGTCCATCTCTTCTCATCACCTCTTCTCATCTCTCCTAGTTTGCCTCCATCCCCGGGCCCCCTCTTCCTCCAGCACTGCTCTTAGAAACTCAAAAATTCTTCTCGCTTTATAAACCTTCTTATCTCATCCAGCCCAGGCCCTAAGGATCATCTTACTATAGCCAAAGTGGCTTATCAAAATGTTTTGGTAAACAAGTCTCCACCAGGTAAATTCTGCTACTAGCTCCTAAAACAATGTTTACCTCCCTGCTACTGTTACCAAAGGGGAGAGAAACATGGGGATCAAAAACGCCAGTTTAACCAGGAGGATGAAGAGTGGAGCGACCCTCCCTGGTCCTTGAATTAATTTCAAGCCACTGTGGAAAGAGGGGTGAAGATCAGAAGCTGGTGGAACTGCTCAAGAGAAACTTCGTTGGGCCTGGGTGGAGATGCCTCAGTCAGGTAAACAGACAAGGGTCTGTGGGGAGGTGGGGGGGCGGGCAGGAGGAGGCCTCTTCCCACCTTTCCTGACTTCCTTCTGGTAGCTGGAACAGGAGAGACCTGGTTGGCACTCAGGAACAGATACTGGCATTCTTTTATTTATTTATTTATTTTTGAGACGGAGTTTTGCTTTTGTCACCCAGGTTGGAGTGCAATGGCACGATCTTGGCTCACTGCAACCTCCACCTCCCAGGTTCAAGTGATTCTCCTGCCTCAGCCGCCCAAGTAGCTGGGATTACAGGCGAGTGCCACCACACCTGGCTAATTTTTGTATTTTTAGTAGAGACGGAGTTTCATCATGTTGGTCAGGCTGGTGTCAAACTCCTGACCTCCAGTGATCCGCCTGCCTCAGCCTCCCAAAGTGCTGGGATTACAGGCGTGAGCCACTGCACCCGGCCTACTGGCATTCTTCTATCGGGCAATATCCTCTTCCAGATGAGTTGTATGCAACTGGAAGGGGAACCACTACGGAAGAAGGAGCGGGGATTGCTGTTCACAGGCTAGTTTGTGGAACACTGTGAGGCTGCCTTTTGGGCCCCCCAGGAATAGCAAGGGGAGACTCTGACAAAAGAGTCAAAAGTGACAGAAGAGAGGTCAACAGAGAGCTCACACATAGTTATTTGGTCTATGGAGGAAACATTAATTAGCTAGACCTGGAAGGATTACTCAGTAGGCAGCCTCCTTTGAAGAAGTAGCAACTGCAATGTGAAGAGAAGTGCATCCATGTATGATTTTTTTTAGTATTGTTTTTACTAGCTAATGCAACGTAAAGACAGTGGCTTCCTGTCAAGGAAATGGTTGCAGTGTTTCTAGTAGATGACAGATTTCTCTCCTTTGGCTTTTAAAAGATAGGTTATGAATGTTGGTAGCTCTCAGATGAGAACACTTGAGAGACTATGAGGATCAGACTAAGCCATTGGGACAGTGGCCCAGAGCTGTGTCAGTTCATTCCACCCTCATGGAATCTAAGACTCCCACCTTTTTATTGCCCTCAGAGATAGGTCTTTAAAAACACACCCCCAAAAGAAGAAAAACAAGCAAGCGAACAAATTGAACCATCAACAGTACAGAAAAAGCAAAATGGAAACCAAGACCTGCATTCATTACAGCCCGTCGGGGTGACTCCAACCCTTTAGCTTAGAACCCACCGAGGTATGTGGAGGTAAAAGCTGCCAGCTCCCGGTGGCCACATGAGAAGCAAATCCATTTGGCGGGTGGACATTTTTAAAGCCTGCCACATATGTTAGCTATTTTTATGGCAATTAAATTGTTGAGGGATCTGTGCAATAAAACCTTTCACAATAAACCATGTGGAAAATCATCTAATCCAACCCCTGGAGGTCAAAAGCCACAGCAACATGTTGCTTTATACCATGAAGAAGAATGAAGACTCTTTAGACAGCTTGCTTTTCCTCTTTTCTTTATAGACTGGTGCTCCAGATTTGGTGTGGAAGGTAAATTGTGTGAAATGGCAGCAGCAGGGCTGAGGGTGGGGGAACCTGTCTTGCCAATTTGAACCTAGGGAGTGCTCTGCCAGTGACTTCCAAAGCAGTGTCATTTCTGTGCTACCCTTTGCCACGTTGGGAAGTAGATACCCAAATTAAGGAATATAGGGAAGGGGAAGTGGAAGGAGAATAGTTACTTGATGCTTTTCGCCAGGACAGGGAAGTAAGGGACATCAGTCAAAACAGGATTTCACTGTGAAAGGGCATGGGGTTTGGGAGGTCTGAAAGAGATGTTATGATCCTATATATTGAGATATATGCATGGAACACGCAGCTTTCAGAACACTGGGGAACCCTTTCATTTTCTCCTGAGAAAATGCAATGGTCTAAATGAAAATAAATGCTTATAAGACTTCTAGAACACATTCTTACTAATTTGTACTTTGAGGATTTAAGCATAAGTCATTTAGCTATATGAGAGTCTAGAAAGTCATTATAGTTTCAAGAAAGTCTCCAGGCCAAAAACATTTGAAGTTTCTCATTAACCTCTAAAAAATGACTAGTTCAAGTTGTTTACCTCTATTCGGAGTTCTTTCTGAAAACTTCTATCATTCAAATGTATTTATCTCCTAAATAGGCTTCTAATGAAGTCAGCATACTATTCAATGCTCTTTTCTCTTTCCTACCCAAATATTTTAAAATTTGAGACTTAGGGCACATCTGAATAGCATGAGATGCGTGGACAGAACTGTTTAAATAGAAAGAATAGGGCTGATATTAACAATCAGAATACCCTCAGATCTCAAACGACTAAGAGACAGTGTCACTCTCATTCTTACTCTGTGATAGTCTAAATTCTGCCTGAGGAGTGACACAGGTATTCATGCCATGCTCGGTGACCTCACCTGTGGACCCAGGCCAATTCTGGATGGATGAAGGTGTGTGGACAGTGTTTTGACTCCTCTTTCTAAAACATCTTTACAGTGCGGTTCATTTTATTGAAGGATGGTTTCTGATCAACAGAGCATGTGCAGATAAAACAACTGAGCAAGAGATTGAAATTTCACTTCTTGGTTGTTGAGTGTGGTCCCAGGGACCTGAACTATTCCATTCCCAGAACAAACCTCCACTATCATGGTTATGGCGGCACTTTCAGCCCAGTCTGAATCTTAGAGAGCATCTGGCATAAACCTCATATTTTAAAGGTGACAGAACTGAAGCTCACAGAGGCAGGGGTGACTTTGACATTCAACAAACTAGGGCGAGAACCAAGGTCATCTGAATTCAAACCCCAGGTCTTTAAGTAAATAGTAAATAGTTGTGTTATTTGCTATTTATCTACTCTGGACTTGCGTCTTCTATAAAATGAGAGTATTGGGTGATTTAATATGGTTTTTCTCTTGGTCCCGACATTCCTCAGTTCTTTCCACTGTGCTGTATCTTTGATCTCATTCATTCATTCCATTCTGAGGAGGGTTGCTTGGAAGCAGGTGCTCATCAGGGATCATATCTCTCAGTTTGCCCCCACTTCCCTCTCATCCCTTGCCTCTAGCTGGGGCCAGTTCTTAAAATGGGATGTGACTGGCACAGAAGCATGCCACTTCCAGGCAGATGCAATTAGGAAGTAGGTGTGTCATCTTCATTCTTTCTTTCCCATTCTCTAACTGGAACAGAAGGACTCCAAGACCCTAGAGGATGGTGGAGCCATAGAATGAAAGGAACTAGAGTCCCAAATCACTCCATGGAAGACTGCCTGCCGAACAACTGCACTGGACTGTTATGTGCACCTGAAAATAACTTCTATGTCTTAATTTTTATTGTTGTTGTTAATTCTAATAGCATTACCTTGACTAATTCAGTCAGGCAACAGGAACTTAAGTAAATGCTTACTATGTGCATGTTGTTATGCTGGGTAGTAGGCATCCATCAGCGAATAACACATCGTTTCTGCCATTAAGAAGTTCAACCTGGTAAGAGAAGACATACAGGTGTGCGGACAATTGCAATAGAGTATGGTAAGTACCATGGTAAATATGAGATGCTGTAAGAAAGAAACCATAGCCTTGGGTATTTCAGGGAAGACTCCCAGCAGAAGTTGTCTTTAAGTGAAGTACCAAACAATGGTGGGATGACTGAATGTTTGTGTCCCCCACAAATTCATATGTTGAAGCCCAACCCCACAATGTGATGGTGGTTGGAGATGGGGCCCTTTGGAAAGTAATTAGGGTTAGATGATGTCATGAGGAGGGTCCCTCATGTTGGGATTAAGGCCCTTATAAGAAGAGGAAGATATTCTCTCTCTCTCTCCTCTCTCCTCTCTCCTCTCTCTCTGCCATGCGAGGACCCAGCAAGAAGGTACTCACCTGCAAGCCAGGAAGAGAGCCCTCACCAAAACCTCACCATCCTGGCACTCTAACCTCAGATTGCCAGCCTCTAGCACTGTGAGAAATAAATTCTGTTGTTTAAGCCATGCAGTCTATGGTATTTTGTTATGACAGCCTGAGCTAAGACAGATGGATATTTCTTTCCAAAGAACCAACCTTTGCAAAGGCCCTGAAATAAGAGAGAACAGCACTTATTTAAGGAGCTTGGTGGCTACAGATAAGGATGGAGAGGTAAACTGAGGTTGGATCTGAAGGGAGAGCCTCACTAAGGAATTGAATAAGGTTCCCAGGAAGACAGGCTTCTATCCTGCACCAGTCTTGCAGTGGCACCCGAGGATGATGGAATGTGCCTTGGGACCTGTGGGCATGGTTGAAAGGTTAGACAGGCAGAGAGAAATAAGGCATTGGCCTAGAAATGGTACTAGTGAGATCTGTAGCCTCTCTAATAAAGAAGAGATCTAAATGCTATCAGCTTGCAGATCAGGTGGATTTGACACAGCTTAGCAGTAAAGAGAAAAGATAAGTAACTCTGAAAAGTGTGGTTCACTTACTAATAACATTGTTAAGTAGGCATGCGTTCAACTCTCAAATTCATGGAAACAGAATACTGTGGCTCTTCTGGTTGGCAGTAAAAGCAAGTGTTTCAGGGCCACGGCAGGACTTTGAGTCTAACACTAATGAATTCCTCCTACAGAGAGAGAAGTCATTATTTGCATTGTGGTTTCTGACTTGGCAAATAACCAGAGGGATAAATTAGGAATCTCCCAACCTATTTCCCAATAAGCATCATTTGGTGGACTTTTTTATTGCCTTTATTCTAGGTTTTTCCTCACCCTCAAATCTTTACAAAAGAGGGAAGAAAAACAACAGAACCTCCCTTCTCCCAAACCTTGTCTAATCCTTTCATAATTCATGATCACAGAGCTGCTGTAAAAACCCAGCCTCAATGCTGTGCTTATTCCCTGTGTGCTTGGCCAAGCACGCAATTCCATTTACCAGCACTCCAGTGAGCATGTGGTGATAAATAAAGCTGCCACCCTGCACTTGCCCACCGTGTTTAAAACGACACATTGGACAAGTGGGTCTCTATTGCCTCCACTTGTTTCATAAAAGACTAAAAATGGTCTGCAAATGCAGTAAATCTTAATTTCTAATACAAACTCCAAATACAGAAAAAAAAATCATAGCCCAGTTTAGACCAAAGTGAATTTGATGACCAGATGGTGAGGTCTAGAATATTAAAGAGATAAGCAATCTGAAAACTCATCTGGTAGCCACCTCATGGATTGGGTTTCTCCTTTTCTCTCCTTGAAGGAAACTTGCCTTCTCACAGAGCAACTTTATGGGGAACTAAAAGCACAGATGCAGGCAGAGCCAAGTGAACATTTAAAAATGCTAAATTTTTAACTGCAAAACCCCAGAATTTAAAAATGCCCTTTTGTTATGATTGTTTAAACTAATAATTCACTCTTACCACACAGTTATTACTCTGTGCAAGTCCATGCGGTGTTCTTTCATGCATTATCTCATTGAGCTTCTTGGAGCCTGTGAATTTTCTTTTCAGATCTCCCACTCAGAAATCAAGGGCCTTCTTTTTCTTTTACAACCATTAATAGGAGAGTTGAGATTGCATTACCCATTGAGTACTGAGGCATAGATGGGTGATCTCTAAGACGAATGAGTCAGCATTAAATCGTCTTGTTGATACATAATAATAGACTCCTTTGCCTGGCAGCCAAAGACCTCCTCCAGTGCTGTCCAAAACTACTTATGAATCTTACTTCTAGCCCCTCTGCTTCATCTACTCTGTGCTCCAACCTCATTTCACTGTATTCTTTGTCCCCACCCTTTCCCACCTCTGTGCTTTTACTCTCTAGTTCAGTCAGTTGCCTTGATTGCCTTTCTTTTTTTTTTTTCTTTTTCTTTTTTTTTTTTTTTTTGAGACAGGGTCTCACTCTGTTGCCCAGGCTGGAGTGCAGTGGTGCGACCTCGGCTCACTGCAACCTCCACCTCCCAGGTTTAAGCAATTCTTTTTCTCAGCCTCCTGAGTAGCTGGGACTACAGTCACATACCAACACGCCTGGCTAATTTTTGTATTTTTAGTAGAGATGGGGTTTCACCATATTGGTCAGGCTGGTCTCAAACTCCTGACCTCAGGTGATCCACCTGCCTCAGCCTCCCAAAGTGCTGGGATTACAGGCATGAGCCACTGCGCCCGGCCACCTTGATTGCCTTTCTCCCCAATCCTCATCTCACATTCTCGACCCAGCCTTCAATCCAGCTCAGATTTCATATGTGCTGTGAAGCCTGCCTCAATTCTCCTTCCCCAACTGGAAGTCATCTTTCCTCTTCTGACCATTTGATGCTCTTTATTAAATTCAGAAAATCTGTCTTTGCAAGGATGTACACAGCAACATCGTTATAATAGCAAAAAGTAGGAAACAACATAAATGCCCATCAATGGGGTATCAGTTAAGTAAATTATTGTGCTCTGGTATACTGTGGAGAACAATGCAGCTATTAACCATGGCGATATATATCTATATGTTTACTGATTTGGAAAGATGACTACTACCGATTGATAAGTGCAAAAATAGGGATGATTCTATCTTTAAAAACAAAGGTAATTTAAATATCACCTTCTATATTCAATGGCTGAAGTCTACCTCCCTCCTTTTTACTTGCCCAAGCTCTGACCCCAGAAGTGGCCTAATGTTTCTGAAAGTTCTCAAAGGGTGAGGAGGGAGGATCCCATATGCTCACAGCTGCAGTCCCTATTATGCATCTGTCCTTGAAGGTGCTCTAAGATGTTTCATTGCTTCGCCTTCTAATAGAGCCCGTCATGGGAATGATGTTGATTCACCCCAAGCCATCGATCTGTGGGAAGGCGCTGCATTCCATTGACTGCAGTACTCATCACGACCCCCTTCCTCCTTTGTTCACCACTTGATGAGACACATGATAAACAGGACGTGATCCCTATCCTGAAAAGGCTCTTAGTCTCTTCAGGCTTCCCTTCCCAGGCCCTGCTTGGATGTTCCTTTGTAGCTATAGGATCGTAGTACTTTCCCCTAGTGTAGGTACATGAACTGAGTTAGAAGATCTGGGTTCAAATCCCAGCTCTGTCACTTACTAGCTTACCATCCTAGGCAGGTCATTCTCTCTGAGACTCAGTTTCTTCATGTAAAATAGGAGTGGCAATGTTACCATTTAGCTTTCTGGTAAAGGATGAATGAGATGTGATTATCAAAGTTATTCATATATCATAAAAATCTCCCACAAAGGCTATTACTAAATACATGCCCAGTTGCACACCTCCTTCTCTAACCTATGCTATATGCCAATTTATACACTTCTGGGAATTTTTAAACTCTAGTTTGTTTTAAAAAAAGGCCAGGATGGGAACAACACCTGCATGACCTCACTGATGTGACCTTCAACGGATCCTTCGAATGTGAAAGGCCTGATGTCAGCAGTGACCCTGACTCAGGATCACTGAGTCTCCCCACGTTAGCAGGATCTAGGGTGGCAGCACTTCAGTGGATCCAACTCTTGGTAGAAACTCACAGCCCATTCTCAAGTTCTCATCCAGACCACAAGATGGGATCCAGAAAACCACTACCTCACGTGTCAAATAAATAGGGTCCCTTTGGTGAAATATAAAAAATATGCATTTCCACGAAACTGAGGATTTGAACAAGCAGCCCACACCCAGGAGTTTGAGGAACATTAAATAAATGCCCCCAATTTCTCTTGTTTTTTCACAGCTGAACCTCTCTAGGAAGAATTATCTGTTCTGCACTGAAGGCCATGATCACTTTCGGGTGTGTGGATTGTTGTGTGTTTCCCCTGTTGAGTGATTTCTTTTGTGGGCCTCAGTTATAGTTACGAGGTGTTAACAGGCTCCTGGAAGAGCCATCACATCAAGTGGAAGGTGTTAGATTTTGATTCTGGCTGTGGTTCAGGTTTATTTAATTCCTGTCTCCTCCCCTCACCTCCCTACTCTCAACCTATTAAGATTTAAACCCTTTGGCCCATAACTCCTGGTTTGTTATTTGTATCTGTTTGGGGGCTATATCCACTGTCATTCTTAGCCTTTATAGCTTTGGAAATAGCTTTTTCTTCCATCATGAAGAGGTTGGGCCTTGATGGGAAAACCTACCGTATTCAAATACTTTGTACTCTTTTGATGCCCTTCTCCTGGGAGTCAACAAGAACTAACTAAGTCCTTACTGCTATGGCCCATATAGTTGACTTACAAACAACACATATAGATTTGTCTTCTTACTTGCAGTTTTTATTTTAAACCCAACTAGTTGGGTGCTGTGACTCATGCCTGTAATCTCAGCACTTTGGGAGACCAAGATAGGAGGATCACTTCATCCCAGGAGCTCAAGACCAGCCTGGGCAACATGGAAAAACTCCGTCTCTACAAAAAATACAAAAATTATCTGGGTGTGGTGGTGTGCGCCTGTAGTCCCAGCTACTCAGAAGGCTGAGGAAGAGGATGGCTTGAGCCAAGGAGGTGGAGGCTGCAGTGAGGTGAGATCATGCCACTGCACTGCAGCCTGGGCTACAGAGTAAGACTTTGGCTCAAAAACAATAACATATATATATATATATATATATATATATATATATATATATGTATATATATATGTGTATATATATATATATATACACATATATATATATATGTAAAAGTAAAAATAAAATAAACCCAACTGTACCCCAATCCTTCTTCAGAAGCTCTCTCTGGGTCAGATGTGGGGTTTTCCTGCTGGTCATTTCTCATCTTGATAAACCCAGAACTCTCAGTGACTACTCTGTTGATGGACAATCATTGTCTCTCATAATTTGTCTCTCTCTCTCTCAATCTTGATTTTAAAAAATACATATTTATTGGAGAAAATTTGGAACATCAAGATGCACAAAACAAAACAAAGAATCACAGATGAGCTGTCTTCGTGAGACAATTGCTGTTAACAATTAGCATGTCTTTCTAATCTTTCATCTAAGATCAAATGGACTATTTAGCAGAATTGGGACCATCCATTTATGCACTTTTGGTAAGTTTCTTAAAAAAATGTATCAGAGTCATGTTACTAGGCCTGGTTTAGCATTCTCACTTCACTGGGTGTAGTGGCTTGCATCTGTAATCCTAGCACTTTGGGAGGCTGAGGTGGGAGGATCATTTGAGCCCTAGAGTTTGAGACCAGCCTGAGCAATAGAGTGGGACCTCATCTCTACAAAAAGTATTTAAAAATTAGCCAAGCATGGTGGTGTGTGCCAGTGGCAGGATTGCTTGAGCCCGGGAGGCGGTAGTTGCAGTAAGCTGAGATCACACCACTGTACACCAGCCTGGGCAACAGAGTGAGACCCTGTTTCAAAAATTGTTTTAAAAAAGCATTCTCACTCTTCAACATCATTCCTCATGTTCACAGGACACTGAGAGTGCCTGTCTTCAACAGCTTCTCATGCACCAGTTCTCTGTGCTCACCTTGTCTGGTTCCAGGTTTCAAAGTGTTAGCACACTGGGGCTGGAGACAGGATCTTTGGAGTCATCCAGAAAGCCCCAAGTATGAAACTATTCCAGTTCTGAACATGGGTATGGACTTACAGGACGAGCAATGTCAGCATAAAAATGTAAGACATTCTCATGTCAAAAAGAACCTAAGAAATCTGCTCAGGGCCCTAACTGAGTAACTTAATCATCAGATCTATTGATTTCTTTCTACAACTGCCCACAGATTAGAATGCCATTCTTTGTCATTTATTTAATTATTTATGTATTTATTCATTTATTTATGAAGTAGACTTTATTTTTCAGAGAAAAGTTTAGGTTTACAGCAAAGTTGAACATAAAGTACAGAGTTCTCATATACTTCCTCCCCCACCATTAACATCTGGCACCCCAGTGATACATTTGTAACAGTCCTTACAGTCTCATGAACCAACAATGACACATCATTATCAATAAAAGCCCATAGTTTACATTAGAGTTGTGCTTTCTATGAGTTTTGATAAATACATAATGACATGTGCTATGGTTTGAGTGTGTTTGTCCCCTCCAAAAATTCAGGTGTTGGAAACTTAATCCCCAATGCAACAGTGTGGGGAGATGAGGCCTAATGGGAGGTATTTAGGTCATGAGGCTCCACCTTCCTGAATGGATTCTCTTAGAAAATGGGCCTTTGGGAAGAATGATCTGTCTCCTGCTCTTCTGTCATATGAGGAAATAGCATTACTCACCTCTGGAAGATTCGGCAAGATGGTCCTAACCAGACACCTGATGTCAGCACCTTGGACTTCCCAGCTTCCAGAACTGTGGGAAATAAATTTCTGTTGTTTATAAATTACCCAGACTCAGATATTTTGTTGTAGCAGCACAAAATGAACTAAGACAACATGTATTCACCATCATAGTATTGTACAGAATAATTTTACTGCCCTAAAAATCCTCTATGCTTTGCTTATTCATTCCTCTCTCTCCCTAGACCCCTGAAAACCACTAATCTTTTTACTGCCTTCATGATTTTGCTCTATCCAAAATGTCATATAGTTGGAATTGTACAATATATAGCCTCTTTAGATTGGCTTCTTTCACTTAATAATATACATCTAAGGTTCCTCCATGTCTTTTTGTGGCTTGATAGCTCATTTTTTTAGCGCTAAATAACATTCCATTGTCTAGACATGACATAGTTTATCTGTTCACTTATTGAAAGTCATCTTGGTTGCTTCCAAGCACTTACCAAAGGTCATTTTGCTTGCTTCCAAGTTTTGGCAATTCTGAATAAAGCTGCTATAGACATCTACAAGCAGGTTTTTCTGTGGCATAAGTTTTCAACTTTTTTGGATAAATACTAAAGAGCACTATTGCTGGATCATATGGTAAGAGTATATTTAGTTTTGTAAGAAACCAACAAACCGATTTCCAAAGTTTCTATACCATTTTGCATTCCCATTGGTGATAAGTAAGAGTTCCTTTTACTCCACATCCTTGCTAGTATTTGACATTGTCAGCGTTTTTCATTTCAGCCATTCTAATAGGTGTGTAGTGGCAACGTTTTTTTAAAAAAAAAAAAAAAGATAAAAAGCCTTTTTTAGTTGGAATTGCCTGACAATGAGTATGTGAATATGAATCTAATATATTATCTACTCTCTGTTCTTAAGCAAAAATACACTAACTTCTGAGAGCCACACAGTTTGTCCCTTAGCCCCTCCGTTTTAGCACCATACTTGGCACCCTATAGGTGGTTAGCAAATATCTGCTGGTTGCATGGCTTCTAATGACCTAGCTGCCTCTGCTTTTGAGAACCATAAGGAATCCATTTAGAGTTTCAGACCAGCATTTAGGCATATGCATGCACATATACATGCATACGTGCGCGCACGCGCGCGCCCACACACACACACACACACACACACACACACACACTCTTATGCTCTAGCTTGGGACTGTATTATTTAGACTCTTGAGCTCCAGACTCTGAGTACATCCAAATATTGGCCTTGAGGCCAGTAAGTGATAACAAATGAAGAAAGTTTTGTTGATGTTTTATTTTGGTCAATAATCAAGTCTAGTATTATATCTGGGTCTTAGACCATGAAAAAGTCACTCCTCCTATTGCTGCCCACATGAACAAATCTCACACACCTGCATCTAAGGACACACACATCTTGTCAGGATAGAAGAAAAGGCTGATGGCAGCTGTGTTCACTGCCCTTCTCCTTCTTTTTTCCTTCCATCATGGTTCTTCTTAGGAGGGTTCTTGAAGTAAGGAGACCTGGCATTTACTGAATCCTTTGGAGGTAAACCTACCATCCATTTTCCTGTTCCCACTGTACTCTGTACCTATTCTGCACTATGTACCTGGCAAAGGGTAGGTGGTAATACATGCTTGTTGAATGACTAATGTACCTTTGAGCTGATGTAGAAGTCCAGAGTTTGCTAGTAAAGAACCACATAACATTCCTAGGTTCATTGTTTGCAGCCATTATTGTAGCTGCTTTGCAACTGCAGAAATCACTACAGGTTTTCTGTTATGAGCCCACAACCATAGTCAAATGTGGAGCTGATACTCCCCAACCCCCTACCTCCTGCTTATTGTCAAAAACACACTACACATTGTAGCAATCATATTGCCAAAGCTTTACGGCATCCATAAATTGAAAACTACTGCCTCTGAGAGTTATGGGCCTGTGTCAACACCAGATCACGTTGACTCTTCTGGAATGTGTTTGCGAATGTACTACACCAGCCTTGGAAGCTGTTGACATCAGAGGCTGTAAGTTAATTAGATGTGGCCCCAGAGCATTGTGGGTCTTGCCATCTAGGAGAAATTTTTTTTTCTTTAAATTCTTCTCTTTAATTCAGTCACAGGGCAGGAGCTGTCTTGGCTGCCTTATTTGGTGGGGAGTCTGAGTTGCTGGGCAAGTGATGATATCTGTGAACAACTTCTCTTTCTTCCCTTTTGGCAGATGGTAGTAGGAATGGCTGGGGACAGCAAGAAATGGTGGTGGCCATGAAGTCCGCTATGAAGGAGGGACTACTCACCAACATGCATGTTTTGAGCAGGTTCTGTCCAACTACGCCAGTGCAACCCTCTGGGCAGGATGTTGCTGAGAACTATGCTGTGACTCCATTTTAGTGGCCATGCAAGCTGTGGGCTCCCTGGCCCTTGTACATGTAATGGAGTGCCTGAGAGGACATCCTGGCTCTTTGGAGGTCGTTTCTCTGCCTTATTTTTCCTCTCTGCTGTAACATCCTTGTCCTTCAGAAAGAAAATGAGGATCTCCCACTAGTTAGAATATGCCCCTGAGTATATACACAGTTTCTATTATAAAGGAGCCAAGAAAGGAAGAGGATTCTGACTGGTTCTATCAGGCTTCAAGGAAAATGGCTGTCCTGTGAAATCTTCAAGACTTGGGTTCCTTCTCCCACTGCCATGCCCTGGTGCAGGGCATTACCCCAGCCTGACAGGTTGTCATGTGTGCTTCGGCTGACAGGAGTCAGACAGTAACAGAGAGAAGTGGACATCTAGGGCAGTGGGAAATGAAGCCAAGGAGGTCAGGGAGAACCCTGCAGAGCTGCTCGCTGCCAACCTCCTTCCCTGCCCTGTCATATTGATTCAGCTTCAGGTGCCAAGAGCTGAGCAAGATGCAGAGGAGACAGAGAGTTTACATTTGAGTGGTGGGAAACACACACACACACACACACACACACACACACACACATTTCCACACAAAACCACCTAACATGCATCCATGCAAGTGTGTGGAGGCTGAGTCAGTACCTCAAGAGTTCTGAGGAGGAAGGCAAGAAAGATCGCTGTGGGCTGAGGTTGGGATAAAGGTCTTCATAGACAGAGGCCTTGACTGAGATTCAGGAAAGTGTGGCTCAGGTGACATTCCAGGACAGGCAATAGTGGAAGCAAAGGCAAGGAGATGGGAATGAGGAGCTGTGTTCCGATGAGGGAAAAGCTTGGGAAGATGGAGAAGGGAGGCAGGGCAGATAAGCTGGAGGAGGAGTGTGAGGTCTTGGGGACAGGGAGTTTTGTCCATTGTATTTCATCTTGTGAATACCTACAGCCTTGTTGGCAATTCACATTTTTTGACTATTGTTGAAAGGTAACTTAAGGTTAGAAACAGAAAGAGCTTAAATACCTTAGGCCATGTTCTTCAGATATGTGGAAGATTTGGGTGGGATTTTGGGCGGGGTGAGTAATCGGTAGGTAATATGTAGACTCATAGAAGAGAGAGGTGCTTTTAGGCAGGTGGCCTAATTAAGAAATAAATGTGGTAGTCCAAGCATGAGCTACTTAAGGACTCAACTAAGTTAGAGAGAGCTCAGAGGGAGTGAGGGGTGGGGATCAACAAGAGATGCAGTAAGGTTTTGAAGAATAGGCTCACACAAAATGAGTTGGAGAAATCTCAGGAGACCCTCTAACCAATCCTCAGTCCTATTTAAGGCAGTGGGGTGGCTACAGCCATGGAGATTTTGCTGTCAATCTTTGGGGATACAGATGCTCCACTATTTCCAATGGGGTTACATCTCAATAAACCCATTGTAAGTTGAAAATATCGTAACCTAAAAATGCATTTAATACACCTAACCAACTGAACATTGTAGCTTAGCCTCGCTTCTTTAAATGTGCCCAGAACACTTACATTAGCCTACAGCTGGACAAAACTGGCAACATATTTCACTGTAGAGTATCAGTTGTCTACCCTTATGATTGTGAGAGAGTATCATACCACTTTCCACTGACTTTATATCATTTTTGTACCATTGTAAAGTTGAAAAATCCTAAGTCTAAACATCTTAAATCAGGGACTGTCTGTATTTCAACATTTTATTACTATTTCCAGATACATCCTAGAAAAATCCCTCTGCTTTAATTTAAGTTGCTTTGTGATTCATTCATTCATTCACTCACTCATTCATTCATTTATTCTTCAACAATTACCAAGCATATACTTTGTGCTTGGCCCTCTGCTATGCTCTGGGGATTCATTCATAAATCAGACCTCCTGCCTGCCCTCAGAGAGCTTACAATTCAGTAGACATCATATACATGTAAACATAGACATATGTGCAAGTAATAAAGGGTTGTGCATCTGCAAAAGGTACAGTGAGCACATAAAGGAAGATGTCAGCTCTGCACTGAGGTGTGGAGCTAGGAGCATCTTAATAGAGGAAGTGATCATTGGAGTTTTTGTTTTAAAGGATTCACCAAATGGACAAAATGGAGTCGGGGGAGAATTTTCCAGCAAAGAGCAGAGTATCCAAAAGCCTTGAGGTGGAAATGACTGAGGTGGACTCCGAAATTGGATTCTAAATTCCCTATGGTGAGGCATGGTGGGCTGGGGATACTAGAAGTCAGCAGGTCACTATGACTATGGCTTGATTTACTGTATGTGTGATTGGAAATAATACATTTATATTAAAGCCTGTAAGGCTATTACAAGGCAGGATACAAGAATATCAAAACTTATTTTAAAACAAAAGACTTCCCAGCACGTTGGGAGGTTGAGGCAGGAGGATCACTTGAAGCCAGGAGTTTGAGATCAGCCTGGACAACATAGTGAGATGCTGTGCCTACAAAAAAAAAAAAAAAGCAGCTAGGCATGGTGGTGCATGCCTGTAGTCACAGCTACCTGGGAGGCTGAGGTGGGAGATTCACCTGAGCCCACGAGTTCCAGGTTGCAGTGAGCCATGATTGCCCCACTGACTGCACTCCAGCCTGGGTAACAGAGCAAGACCCTGTCTCTAAAAAAGTAAATATAGATAAGTAAATGTTTTAAAAGAATTCAAAGACATGTCAAGGTTTTTGCAGACTGTTTCAGGGTATGCCCTTGCCCTAGTCTGTTCAGGCTGGTATAAGAGATATCACAGACCAGGTAGCATAAAAAAAGAAATTAATTTTCTCACACTTCTGGGGGAAGAAGTCTCAAATGCAGGTCTGGCAGGGGCAATTCTGGTGAGGGCTGTCTTCCTGCTTTGCAGATGGCAGCTTTCTTGCTGTGTCTTCACATGGTAGAAAGAGAAAGCGCTAGTGTCTTTTTCTCTTCTAAGGACACCGGCTCTATAAGACTAGGGCCTCCCTCTCACACCCTCACTTAACCTTTGTTACCTCCTAATAGGCCTTGTTTTCAAATGTAGTCACATGGGGGTTTAGGGCTTCAATATACAAAATTTAAGGGGGACAGGTTGGTTCCTAGCATGGAATCCAGGTAATGAAGATGGTACTTCTTTTACCCACCTCTTCATTGCAAACAGTCAGCAGGCACTAATACGGCTTTCAAGAAACTCGATGTGAAAGTTATAAAGAAAGGAGAATCTCACAAGAAGGCCAGATAAGTGACCTGCAGACAAATCACAAGGACCCTGCATTTAGGCTAAGGCTGTCCCAAAGGCGGCAGGAAGCCCCTGAGAGGGAGAGTCTTGATTGATTTAGGTTTCTGGAACATACTTCTGGCTGCAGTCGGCAAGTATTTAAGGGAAAAGCCTGGAGGCAGAGAGACTGGTTAGGAGGCTCTGGCCCTGGGCAGGTGAAAAGTTGAGGCTTGACAGGTTATATATAAATGAAAGATGTTTGGGGGATAAAATTAAATAAATTGATGCCCTATTTGATTTGGGGGGAAGAGAGAAGGCAATGGAAACCTGTGGGTGACTCACAGGTTTTTGGCTTGGGTAAATGGTATTCCTCTGTTCTGGATTTCAGGGGAGCAGAAATCTGCTCCAGAACTCACCTCTTGAGATCTAACCTACTTACAAACAGTAATCAAGTCCCCTCCTGTTCTTGGTTTCCTGAGCTCTTCCTCCATTTTTCTCACATTAAAATCCAGTTGTTGGCAAGTTAGAGCAAACACAGGTGTGGAAAAAAAAGGGAGGCCAGGTGCAGTGGCTCATGCCTGTAATCCCAGCACTTTAGGAGGCCCAGGCAGGAGGATTGCTTGAACTCAGGAGTTCAAGACCAGCCTAGTCAACATGACAAAACCCTGTCTCTACAAAAAGTACAGAAGTCCCAGCTACTCGTGAGGCTGAGGTGGGAGGATCACTGAGCTGGCTCCCTGATTGCTCAGTGATCACTGGGGTAGGAGGATCACAGGGAGGTCAAAGCTGCAGTGAGTCGTGATCACACCACTGCACTCCAGCCTGGGCGACAGAGTGACACCCTGTATCAAAAAAAAAAAAAAAAAAAAGAAAAGAAAAGAAAAGAAAAAAGAAAAAGGGCTTCTCTGGGTTGAAGGTGGTGGACACTTGCTGTTTTTGACCACCCAGTTGTTCTTCCACCCTGGTAGATCAAGCCCTTCACTGTGCTCTGTAAAGTCTTGGTGGACTGTCAATCAAATTAAGCCAATCTAATTGGCTTTACTGGGTCACTTGATCCCAAGATAGTCAAACAGATTCACCAGGAATACTTTTTTTTTTTTTTTGAGATGGAGTCACACTCTGTCACCCAGGCTGGAGTGCGGTGGTGCAATCTAATCACTGCAACCTCTGCCTCTGTTCAAGCGATTCTTGAACGGTTCAAGTGAATCTCCTGCCTCAGCCTCCAGAGTAACTGGGATTACAGGTGCTGCCACCACACCCAGCTAATTTTTGTATTTTTGGTAGAGACAGGGTTTCACCGTGTTGGTCAGGCTGGTCTCAAGCTCCTGACCTCAGGTGATTCACCCAACTTGGCCTCCCAAAGTGCTGGGATTACAGGCATGAACCACCGGGCCCAGCTTTCACTAGGAATCTTGAACGGCTTGATACTGGACAGAAAATGTCCTGAAGGGGTAAACTGTACTGTATGCCCTGTTACCTTGATCCCAAGACCTTCCCTTCTTCCTGCCCTTTCTAAGACAAAGGGATTCAGCATTTCTTATGATGTTGTGAGCTGGCCTGTATCCTTTCAGTAAATTCTGTTTGTTTTTTTTTAAATTTAACATATTTAGTTTCCATTATTTGTAACTAAGGAACCCTAGCTGATGTCCAGAGAGTGGCAAGAAAGTCCCAGTACCCCACAACTGTCTCTGTTGGGCCCTCCTTGGACTGCGGGTGGAGCCCAGAGTTCTGCTGCCTCATTATGGCCATCACATGCTCTGTGTAGTCCCTCTGCCCATCTGTGGCAGGGAGTCAGGTTTGTCCCCTTCATGTCGAAACCATCTTCCCATCTATCCCAGGCTCAGTTGACAACCCTATGGAAATTACTTCAGCTGTCTTGCCCAGCTGTCACACTGTACGGAGGAGGGAGTCATCAATGAGGGGATGGTGGAAGACTGTCCACAGGACTGTCCCCAGAGAGGGCATGGAAAGGACAGCAGAGGCTCTGGCTGCTAAAGAGAAAGTGAAAATGGAGAATCATAAAGGGAGGGAACGACAGATGGAGGTGGCCTCAGGTGAGCTCTGCCAATGCAACATTAGCTTTCCTTACTTTTTTTTTTTAAAGGTACTATTTCCAGGATCTGCTGCCAGTAGTTTCTGAAATGCCAGGTCTGAGTGCCAGGGTAAGCTGGAAAGCCAGCCAGTCAGGACTGCAAGTGCCAGAAGATTACAAACACAGCCACTCAGCGCAGCTTGCTGGATAGCCCCGTGCCTTCTCATTTCTGCCAAATGGATGTGGCCATCAAGGTAATCTTCCAGGCCTCTGGTCCAGGTGCAGGCCCAAAGAGGCAGACTCACCCTGGAACCCTGGAGCTGGCCTCTGGCAATGGTTTGGGGGCTTTAATGAATGGTCCTCCTTGTCACATTCAGGCAGGTCTGTATCCATCAGAAATTCAGCTCTCTCCATATCTCCTGCTGCCAGGAGTGATTGCAGAACATCTGTCAGTAGTTGGATCAGGACTCACTTCTGTCTCTATAATCCTTTGAGTTTTCTTTAAACAAAGAGGCTTACTACCTTCTTCCCCATCCTCCTTCCAAAAGTAAGCTGTCAAAGGGCATTAATACAGAGATGTTTGTGTTTTATGTTTCTAGAAAGAAATATCAAAGGCAACGATAATACTAGAAGAATTGCCCTGAGAGGGCACTCACTATCTATCCCATATGCATCACAAATCTAAATATCAGGTAACTGATATTCGGTCTAAATATCAGGCCTTAGGTATAAATTTATTATTTATTGAGCACTTATGATGTTCCAGGCATTGTGCTAGGTGCTATCCAGGAAGGCTCTGAGGAACTTAGTTTCCTGTTTAATAGGAGACAATGACAGGGTCATAAATAACTGGAGTTCAAGGTCTAACATTCAGCTAAGGTTCAGCTCAGAGCACAGAAGTTGTGGTAGGAAAGGTCTGTTTTTAAATTACCCCTCCTCCAACTGCCATCAGGGAAATGTCTGGTCCACTCTTTGGTACTTATCACATATCTCCTTGGATGGTCAGCTCTCCTTGTAGGTGTGTGCATGTCTCTCCACTTATAGGGGAGGGCAGGGAGAGACTCACCTTTGACCTTGTATCTCAGAAGAAAGTGAGCGCTGATTGATGGACTGGTTGGCTCAGGAAAATTCAGGGATTTTCAGGGTTCACTTTAGGGCTCCTTATGAGTGGCAGTTCAGGAAGGAGACATTTACTCATCATTTTATACCCTTCTGTACTCTCTGAGATTTGTTCAATATCCTTAAATATTTAGTGCCTGGTGCCAATTGTCTCTGAGTGCAAAATTGGCCCTGGTTTGTACGATGACATTCAATGTAACAATTTTTAATGGTGTTTTATGAAGAGCACTGAATTCTGGATCCTCTAGTAGAGGAACATGTTTGGCTGTGAGTGTATTAGCTGGATCAGGCAGGTTGGATGTGCTTCTGATAACTGAAAAAAACACAAAAGGGACATAACAAGCACATAGTGGCAGTTTGGTTTTCCTTCTTAATGACAAGCAGCCTTTAAAAACTACATATTCTGAGGCCAGGCATGGTGGCTCATGCCTGCAATCCCACCGATTTGGGAGGTCTAGGCGGGCAGATCACTTGAGGCCAGGAGTTTGAGACCAGCCTGGCCAAAATGGCAAAACCCCAGTCTCTACTAAAAATACAAAAAATGAGCTGGGTATGGTGGCACACCTGTAATCCCAGCTAGTTGGGAGGTTGAGGCGTGAGAATTGCTTGAACCTAGGAGGCGGAGGTTGCAGTGAGCTGAGATGGTGCCATTGCACTCTAGCCTGGGTCACAGAGTGAGACTCTGTCTCTAAAATAAAAAAATAAAAATAAAAATAAACTATACATTCTAAACTACTATTAAGAACCTCCTTTCCTACTGGACAATCCCTGCCAGCCACCTTCCTGGCTGTACAGGTGTGGAGACCTATCCCTTTCCACATTCCCTGTGCTATTCTTCTCCTGAAACAAAAAAGACCCCATGGGACAAGGAGGGATGTGCTAGGTTTCCTAGCAATGAAGTTCCGTTAGCTCTGTTGAAAAGTTTCTATCAGACTTTATTGCCAAGGACCTTGGCCAAGAAGCTGATTGCTTTCAGAAGAGGTCTTAAACACTCATCCTTCCCATGGCCTTCATATCAGTGCCTTCCTTCCAAAAGCCTTTTCCCTTCTCCCCAAAGTGAAGACAAGTGCTGGAGTAGATGGAAGTTCAGCAACTTCAAGATAAATGCCAAATTACAAGGACATACTCACCTGCAGTTGCTATTGTCAGCCAGGCACTGGGGAAACAGGCCGAGCGGGCTCTGGAGCAGGCCCACTGGAATCCAGGCTGTACCAGTTATGGGGCCTTTGGCAACTTAGTTACTTAACATCTTTGAGTCTTACTTTCTTCATCGGTAAAATAGGAATTAAAATATCTGCTTTGCAAGATTGTAAAGATTTGAAGTAATAAATTAATCCATAGTGATATGATTAAACTTTCATTCATCCATCAAACATTACATGTTGACTATGTGTTAAGCAGTATGCTGGGTGCCAGAGATGTTTCAAATATTAATTCAACATGCCATTGCCCTGCAGGGATTCAAACCTAGAACAAGAGGTGAAAAATGTAACAAATACATTAAATCAGGTGATGAATGCAATAATAAAATATGTACCAAGTTTACTGGGTCTTACAAAATAGGAGTGAAATTCAGAATTCAGAAATTACAATAACAAGTACTGTTTTGATAAGTATGATGATTTCTTCCCAAAGAATTGCTTATTATACTTAATTAGTTCATTTATTAAATAGCTCAGATGCCCCATATGGGTCAAAAAGTCAAGACAGGGTCTCTGTCTCTTTTTCCTGTTCCTACTGCCTCTGCTTGGTTGAAGGTGGCATCACCTGCAGGCTGGTGACCTGCAGCAGCCTCCTAGCTGAACTTTTTACCTCTAGATGTGCCCGTCACCATCCATTTGTTTGCTAATTGTTGTTGATATTAGTAATAGTTCGTCATACCTGTACAGTATTCCACTCATTTACACTCTTTCCTCAAAAGGCATCTAAACTGACCTTCACTACAACTAAATGAGATGTAGGAAGAACAGAGTGATTATCCTTATTTTTAAGGAAAGTGAGAGCCTTAGAAGCCAAATGACTTATATGGGGCCAAACTGAAACTGAAGTTCATCCCTTCCGAGTCCAAGCCCAGTACTTTCCTTTCCATGTCTCTCAAGCAAAGGCACTGGACTCTTAAATAATATTATGGCTTCTTGTTTCTCAATGTAACTGACAAGTTTGTTCGTTGTTAGAGCTCAGGAGAAACATCTGTTTGACTAGAGATGTCTGGCATTCCCAGTCACTCTTGCCAACCTGAGATTAATTAGGGAGTGCAACTGAAGTCCTCTCCTCTTCCAGAGGCCTCTTGAGTCAAGCTCCTGTCATTGGCCTAGGGTCAGTTTTCACAGCCAGAAGGAGGTTCTGGGTGAAACCCCTGGCAGACAGGGTTTTTTCCTTGCTCACGCTCCAAGGGGCACCCTCTGAGGGGCCAGGGCTGGGGTGTAGGAACAGAGTGTGCCAGACACAGCTCTGGTTCAAGAGGGCTGCTGGGCAGTGTCCGGGCTTCTTGTTCTGGCGTTACAATAATTGTCTTCTGAGCAGCACTTGATTCTGTTTCATTAATTTCCCATATTCCCTTATATGTTCATTCATTCATTTATCCATTGATTCAACATATATGAAGCACTATTTAAGCACTAAGTATGCAAATCAGAAAAAAGACACAGTCCTGGCCTCTTCCTTCCATCTCTCTGAGGACTTGTACTGATTGCATCAGTCCTGTACCTGCTTCACTGACCCCACGCCACAAAGGAATGCCACAAGCTCACAGCCCTCCTGCCAACATGACCAAGTCTGGTACCATGTGACCTGCCCTTGCAGCCCAGGCTGATTGGACTAGGGCTGGGCACCTCACCCAGAATAGATATACAATTGGCTGACCCCTAATGTGGCCCTCTGGGAAAGTCTGAGCCACATCAATCAGATCCATGCTCCTGGAAATTTGAATTAGGAAATACAGAGTGATGGAGGCAGTGCAGAGGCACAAGCTGTAGGGCTGACTTGTCATTGAGTCCGGGCCATGGCTGGCTGAAACCACATGTAAGCTAAAGTGATGGAGAAGAAGAAACTGTGATTAAAGTTCAAGGGAGGCTTACACCTGTAATCCCAACACTTTGGGAGGTCGAGGTGGGAGGACGACATATGACACAGTTTGGCTCAATCATAGGACCTCATATACTTGGCTCTAAAAGGTGGGTGACTATCCACATGGGACTGAATGAAATCCTCTGTTTAAGTGGCAAATTGCCTCTTGTCCCTGACAAGACAATTCAGTGGCATGGACAGCCACTGAACTCAAGTGTGGCTCATCTACTTGTTTATCATTTGCGTGTTTGTTTTGACAGTGTGCTGGAACCCACTGCTTATGACCACAAACCCCTAAACCTTGCCATTTCCCTCCAGTTATGAAGCACATTCTATAGCCTTGTTGTCTGAACCCATGTACCTTGAAGAAAGTTCAAGACCAGCTGGGCAACAAAACAAGACCCTACTTCTATCAGAAAAAAAAAAAAAAAAAAAAAGAAGTGCAAGAGATACAATGGTGAACAAATAAACAAAACTCCTCTCCACCTGGAGCAAAAATCTTGACACAGTGCTTGCATGAATACAAGGCCCTATGTAGTCTAGATCTTGCACACTCACCAGCTTCATGTTCCCAACAAGGGCTCTAGGCGTGTTGCAATTTGCAGCTCCAACACGCGATTTCTGAGACATGGTGGGATTCTTTCCATCATAGTATTTCTGTGTGGAATGTGCTTTCTCCACCTCTTAATGCTTGCTCAACAGCAAGCTCAGCACAAACACCATCTTCGCCTGGAACTTTTTGCTTGACTGAGGCTCCATTTCCCCATCCCAGTGAAAGTGGGAAGCCCTTCTGTGTGTTTATATAGTGCCCTATATGTATGCCCTTACAACACTATCTTTTACATTTGTTCATTCATTCATTCACCTATTCAACAAACTTTTTTTTTAAGCACCATCTCTGTTAGGTGCTACGGAATAAGACACAGCCCTTGGCCAAAGGTCTCCCCATCTTTTAGGGGAAAACATATGGAACTGAGAAAATGTCATTCAGTTTGAAAGGTGCTGAGATCTTTGTAATTGTTAGCTGCTCATTGGCCTTCCCATGAAACTGTGATTTTATTGCAGCCAAGGACCTTTTCTCCATCTCCTCAGTAAATAATTGTTGAATGAATAAATATGAGGAGACTCATCTAAGATTGATGAGTTTTGCTGGAGAAATAGGGACACTATTTTGTTTTTTTATTTTATTTATTTATTTTTTGAGACAGTCTCACTCTATCACCCAGGCTGGAGTGCAGTGATGCAATCTTGGCTCACTGCAACCTCCGCCGCCCAGGTTCAAGCAATTCTCCTGCTTCAAGCAATTCTCCTGCTTCAGCCTCCCGAGTAGCTGGGATTACAGGCACCTGCCACCATGCCCGGCTAAATTTTGTATTTTTAGTACAGATGGGGTTTCACCATCTTAGTGAGGCTGGTCTTGAACTCCTGACCTCGTGATCCACCTGCCTTGACCTCCCAAAGTGCTGGGATTACAGGCGTGAGCCACCATGCTGGGCCATAGAGGTCACTATTTGGAAGACACTTTTCAATTGGTTTCTCATCTTGGAAATTCACTTTCTTTCTCTGCAGCCATTCCAGTATCACTTTCCCAGGGAAGGGGAAGGGGAGGAAGGCAAGTGCTACATAGAGAAGGAAGACATGACCTAGGCACAGTTCTGATTAAAGAGGAAGGGGAAGTAGGAAGCCTTTCTGGGCAGGAAGGAGAAAGAACGACAAAAAGTCAGACCTGAGTGTTCTTAACTCTTCTTTCACTTGGGGTTCAACCTGGAGAGTGCCATCAGGGGAAAACACCCAGATAGACTTGGGGGAACATCTAAGAACATGGTTACTCCTTGCTTCTTCAGGGATAGCTGGAAAGACTGAATATATCTTCAAAGACTCATGAGAGGCATAGTCCCACTTCCTCCCTGATGCTGGAAGATAGAAGTGGCTGAGGGCTGTCCGGATGGATGAGCTAAGCTAGCACTTCCCGTGGCCCTTGCCTTTCAAATGATAAATGGTCAGGGCCAAGATATCCAGTGGGTTCCAAGAAGAATGATGGACTACAAGGTACATGGGTTCGGACAACAAAGCTATAGAATGTGTTTCATAACTGGAGGGAAATGGCAAGGTTTAGGGGTTTGTGGTCATAAGCAGTGGGTTCCAGCACACTGTCAAAACAAACACACAAATGATAAATGAGTAGATCAGCCACACTTGAATTCAGTGGCTGTCCATGCCACTGAATTGTCTTGTCAGGGACAAGAGGCAATTTGCCACTTAAACAGAGGATTCCATTCAGTCCCGGGTGGATTGTCACCTACCTGTTAGAGCCAAGCATATGAGGTCCTATGATTGAGCCAAACTGTGTCGTATGTTCCCATCCCTGCAGCTAGTGGAATTGAACTCCTTTCAGAAGACAGGTGTGTTTGCAGTGGAGGGTACTAAGCAGATAAGTATTTTAAAAATAAAAATAATAGTGGATTCTGATGATTGTCCACTGCCTCAGGTTAGCTGAAATAGCTGCATATCCACCACTGACTGTCGCCTAGCCAGGAGGAGACACAGTCTCTCAGCCTTGGAGACAGTTTCACCTTGAAACCATTCTGCCAGTCAGATAATCTGGTTACTTCTTACACATACATTTCACTGAGCTACACCTTTGCTTAGGGCAGCTTTACACCTCCTTCTCAAAACCAGTTACTTCCATAAAGGATCTGGGATACATGGAGGTGGAGTTAATACATTCAAAGGAATAGTCAGACCTGGCAAGAAGGTGAGTTTCTAATAGAGATGTTTCCAATTAATCATCCTCACATTTCAGATGGGGATAGAGCAGAGAGCCACCAAGGGCCTGCCAGCCCAGGCCTGCTTGCTTACACAGCTCCATTACAGCCTGTTGTGCAAGCAGCTGACCACCAGGACCCACCCCTTGTTAATGGGCATGCGGCTCAGAGTTAAGTGTTTCTGGGTGTGAGGGTCCAGAGGGTCATAATTGAGAACTGCTGTGCCCCTCAGCCACTTACTCAGGTTGCGTTCCAGGGATCAGTGGGTCTGTGTGGGAACCTGCAGTTGAGCCTACCAGGGTCTTACCAGAGCTCAAATTTGTATCTAGGCAAAGCCAAAAGGTTTGTGGTCATAAGCGGTGTGTTCTTCCTTAGAGGAAGAGGCAAACAATTCAGAACGGCTCCTGGATAGACAACACTACATACAATCTAGGCAGATGTGGAAACATCTGTCCGATGATGAGCCAGTTCTCCCTGTCTTCTGGTTGAGGGGCAGAGGCAGTGGTAGGTAGAGGAGATACTGGCTGCTCAGAGCTATTTGCTATCAAAGGGTCAAGCAAATGGGCAGAGACATTTCAGCCCTTTCAATGTGATCTTGAAAGGAGATTCCTGTGCTAGGTTACAGGCTGGGTATAAGTGAGGTCAATGGAAATTATGTAACCAAGAGGTTAGGGTCAAAGACATCCTGGCTCCCAAAGCTGCCTGCCCCTTGGCACTGGCCCCATTAGATCTGTGATGTTTCTTTCTCAGCTGCACTCTCCTTTCTGGTTCATACTGTATCCACCACCAAACTGCTGAGCTCCACCATGTGGCTCTAGATTGTTTTCTGTTATAGAGGGAATTATATTGATGAATTATGTTTGTCAAAGAAATGTCAAGCTTTCTCTCCCTGATAATGACAAATGTTTGTAACTTTTCTCATTCTGCCAGACTTTTCATTTTATATGTTTGCTTGATCATGGGACTCATGATAGATTGTATTATTATTCAAAATATTTGCTGTTCCTCCCTGGGAGAAAATTATACTTCCCCCACTGTCTTAGTCCATTTGTGCTGCTGTAACAGAATACCATAGACTGGGTAATTTATAAATGATGGAATTTGCTGTCCCTTCAGTCACCGCCCCCACCTTGGTCTGTGCCTCCCTTGGAGCTGCTGCCTTTGAAGTCGGTGGCCCAGCAGGACTTCAGCCCTTTCTGTCACTGTGGCTCGCTTGAGTGGAGCTCTGTGGCCCACCACATCTGCACCACTCCCAAATCTGGCCAGTAACTTCCAGCTGCAGCAGTGTGATCTCTCCAGATGACCAGGAGGGATGTGCCCAACTGGGATCTACCCTTTCCCTTCCCAGGCAGGGAGATCTGGTTCCTCCCACCACCAAATCCAGCGAAGCCATTGGGTTTTGGGGTAGGGAAGCCAAGGAATTACAAAAGCTGAGTGGTAAAGAGGGGCTGAAGGGGCTTGTGGTGAGGGTATCAGTGACTGGGGTGGGAGATTGTAGGGTCCAGCCCCACAGGATCGGTGGGTTTTTCTCCCTGAGTGTGGGGACGAGAGATTGTAGAAATAAAGACACAAGACAAAGAGATAAGAGAAAAGACAGCTGGGCCCAGGGGACAACGACCACCAAGATGTGGAGACTGGTAGTGGCCCCGAATGCCTGGCTGAGCTGTTATTTATTGGATAGAAAGCAAAAGGGGGCAGGGTAAAGAGTGTGAGTCATCTCCAGTGATTGATAAGGTCACGTGAGTCACATGTCCACTGGACAGGGGGCCCTTCCCTGTTTGGCAGCCGAGGCAGAGAGACAGAAAGAGGAGACAGCTTACACCATTATTTCTGCATATCAGAGACTTTTAGTACTTTCACTAATTTTGCTACTGCTATCTAAAAGGCAGAGCCAGGTGTACAGGATGGAACATGAAAGCAGACTAGGAGCGTGACCACTGAAGCACAGCATCACAGGGAGACGGTTAGGACTCCAGATAACAGGCCCTCCACAAGAGGTGAAGGAGTAGAGTCTTCTCTAAACTGCCCCTGGGAAAGGGAGACTCCCTTTCCCAGTCTGCTAAGTAGCGGGTGTTCTTCCTTGGCACTGACGCTACCGCTAGACCACGGTTCGCTTGGTAACGGGCATCTTCCCAGACACTGGCGTTACCGCTAGACCCAGGAGCCCTGTAGTGGCCCTGTCGAGGTGTGACAGAGGGCTCACACTCTTGTCTTCTGGTCACTTCTCACTGTGCCCCTTCAGCTCCTATCTCTGTATGGCCTGGTTTTTCCTAGGTTATAATTGTAGAGCAAGGATTGTTATAATATTGGAATAAAGAGTAATTGCTACAAGCTAGTGATTAATTATATTCATATATAATCATATCTATGATCTATATCTAGTATAACTATTCTTATTTTATATATTTTATTACACTGGAACAGCTCGTGCCCTCGGTCTCTTGCCTCGGCACCTGGGTGGCTTGCCGCCCACAGGAGATAGGTAGGAGACAGGCGGGGTAGAATTGGAAAGGGAGAACCAAGTTAACTGATGACCAAAATAACATTATTACACCAATAAATATATCTGTATTTGAATGCATAAAATAGCATTTATACCAAACATCAGACAACCAAAAACCAGCACTGCAATCACTAGATAGATCCCTCATGGTTATTATTCTTAAACGGTGTATGGAGTATTTCATACAGTGGAATAAACTCTCAAGACCTAACCCAGACATCATTCCTATTTTTCTCCCCTTTGTGTCCCCAAAGGTCCTGATCCCAACTCCAGCCTGGAAGGAGGTAAGTTAATTGTGGGAAAGGGAGGGAGGGAGGCACAGAGGGGAGGGATTGCTGAAAATAAGACTCCAGAGGACCTAGCCCAGAACGGAGGGTAGCCGAGCTGGCCATCTTAATGTGCAGGCTTCCCCAAGTGCTGTGTCTGGCAGCCCTCCATGCCAGCGCAGGAGGAAAATCTGGTTGAAGGGAGAGCAGGGAACTTTTATGATGCCCAAAGATTTCCCCAAGACAGATGTTTTTGCTTCTTGGCATTGCATTTCTGGAGGGGCAGAGCAATGGAGTCACTGTCATTGAAAATGACTGTGTCCCTGTGGTGAAATTGGCCCAGCCAGGACTGGTAATACATTGAGGTGGTTCCCAAGTTTGGTTGGCTTCCTAGAAGTTGAAAGCCTTATTTCTCTGAGCACATTTCCCTTTAATCACTGTGCTTTCCAGAGACCCAGGCTTCAGCTGTATCCAGCACAAAACAATTTGGGTACAAGCCACAAAGAGGACTCTAACAGCATGCATAAAGACTCCAACTCCCTGAAATTGATGTTTTTCTTCTCATCACTGCCATTCCCACACATGCCTATAACATGGATTTGAAATGGCCTGTTTGTATAAAGACTGCACACTGTTTC
Source organism: Homo sapiens (assembly GCF_000001405.40). NCBI lineage: Eukaryota > Metazoa > Chordata > Mammalia > Primates > Hominidae > Homo > Homo sapiens. Next base: position 177,595,869 of record NC_000002.12, read on the forward strand.
AAGCCATCACAACAATGGATAAGAAGCATTTACACTATCATTTTTAATGCAAAAGACAGAGTTACCCTAAGCCACGCTGCTATTAGCTTTGAATGTTTTTTGTCAGGGTGCAGTCTGCTGTGCATGAGACCAAGATGAAATGCCATTCCAGGTGACTCCGTGACCCTATGTGAGTATGTGTGTTTAGGCACCTGTTTAAAACATAACCACAGGCCAACATACCTTTTTTGAAGCACATGGATATCATTACTACACTTGAATTTTGGGTTGGAAGGAAATACAGCAGTTAACCACCTGAAATCTCAGTAAACAAAATAAGAATACCATCAAGTTTTACAACTGTGGGACAGAAGATTGCCAAATATAGGTTCCATTTAAAAAATTAGGAACTAAGTTATGTTACATACTTGAGTATTTTTGTCACAGAGTTATTACCTGTAACTAGAAGATTCCATTTCTACTAAGAAGTGGAGTAATAAATGGAAAAACATCAGTTGCTGTACCTTTGATTCCAATCCCATTGTATTCAGACAATGCAATGAATTTCTCACAAGCTTTTAATATGTAAAAACAATGCACTGGTATTCCTAATATTTTAAATGTATGTTGCTTGTCTTTTGCTAGTGGCAAAGAGGACCAGCATTAAGATGTCTGTTCATCAATTTCTTGATGTCTGCCCATCAGTTTCTCTCTCGATCAGGTGCTCCACCAGACTCAATTTAATGGAGGAAATCTCATTTGGGTCCTGGAAAGATTAAAGCACCTTACCCTTTACTTCCAAATTGAGTTCCTCTGGGAATCAACTTGAGATCCAGAAGTCTTGAATGAAACCAAATGCTTTGGGAGATAGTTTGCATTGCCTTAAAGTTTGCTCTCTGGAGGACTGTAGACACCGCAAACGGCCTTCTGTACTGTGTTCGGCTACTGTAGTCAATGTACTGAGAAACTCTTAATATTCCTAGGGCTTCCTAAATGGCCTAGAAATAAAGCTAACAGAAGAGGGCAATATATTTCACATAACTAACTTAACAGCATACCCAAAGTTATTTCTTTTCAAATAGCTCATGAAAGGACCTGGTCAGAATTTTGGTGGCAATAGAAATACCTGAACATGAATCCATCAGCTGCCCTTTAAATCTCCAGACTTTGAGTCTATTAAGAATGAAACACCACCCTGGAGGCTACAACCTTTACAAGGTCTGTGTTTCTTCTCCAAAAAATAAAAAGAACAAAGTCACCACTCTCCTCTCTCAACTGGAGGAAAACTCAGTAGAAACTCAACACTCTTTTTCAGTGAGAAATACCTGATGTCATATATTTTGTTTAATAAAGACTGAATTGGCTGTACACTAAGCCGATTTAAGAATGTGATCTGCAACTCATAGTCTTAATTACATGGAAAAAAAAGTGAATGAGTTCATTAATGCTGTAAAAAGGAATAGTGACCCTACCTGCCAAGTAGCAAGGTGGAAATAATTAATCTGGTCAATTAAAAAGAAACAGATAATTTAAAACACAAAGGCTTCCAGGTGGGGCACTGCATTCTGCTCTCTGGAACTGCGACTTCTTATTGTCGATTTTGGTTTTCTCAGTAAGTTTTCTTTGTTCTTTCCTTAAAATTTTTTTTTTTCGTCATGGATCAAATCAAATAGAAAAATCTGTCTGAGCTACAAAGCATGACTTGTTGCATTATGTCTTATGTCCTAAAATGTTGATTGATGCTAACTAACATACACTCTGGAAGTGCTCTGGCGGGGGCAGCGGGGGGTGGGTGGGGGAAGGGGTTACCAAGTTCCAGTATCATATCCAAGATTCTTTTCTCTCTTGGTGGGAGTCTGTTATATCTTACTTTCCCTTCAAAATTGTTTGCCTTTCCTGGGGTTTTAATAATATTTTTAAAGTGCTGGAGTCTGAGCCGCACTGTCTGGCTTATCTAATCCCATTTATGATCCTATAACCTTGAAGCTTGCCATGGCCTGGCTGTCAGCACCAGATTCTAAATACATGGGGCAGTGTGTTTGCTCCATGGAACAGGAAATTAGTCAAACAGTTACTTTTCTACAAATGTTCATAATTTCTCTTGACATTTACAAGCCAGTAGTAGTTCTTAGACATCGAATGATCTCAAGCCCCTCAGGGAGCAGTGAGTGGTTATCTATAACACTGCCCTGTGCAGATATTTGTGCAGAGCGTCAGTGCACTCCATTCCATTGCAGCAGAAAGATTGAGCACCGTCACCCAGCGCTGGTCCAGTCTATCTGTGCACTGCAGGTACAAGGAAAAAAGAACGTGTTAGTACTTTAATCCTTTTCAGCTGGTCCAAGCCCGGTCTCAGGACAAATATTAATATCATTTTCATTTTAACCATGGCAAAGGTTGAATAAAGCAGCATCCAATTTTTTCAATCTGCTCAAGAGAAAACTGTTTTCGTGGTGAAAGTTTGACTGCAAAATTCTGGTTGCTAAGGAGGAAAAACCTCATCTAAGAAAACAAATGTTGCTGTGGTGAAATGCGATTTGAAAGTCTGTATTTCCTAGGTGTTAGACTTGGCAAGTTAGAAATAGTGAGGGTGGAGAAAGGATGCTTTCCGTGGATGTGCTCAAACACAGTAGTACATATTGTCAGCTCTGCAGGAGGCGTGCTGTGGCCATATGTGTGTTGCGGAGTGAAATGGAATAAACAGCTGCTGCCAGGAATCCAATTCCTGGCAAGGAGGCAAACCCAAGTCCTCCTGTTTCCAAAATAAAAATCACCAGAGGGATTCCCCTTACAGCAGTTCCAGCCAGTAGTTTTATAAAAGCATAAAACATCAGTGTATTGTGGTTTATAATAATCCCTTACATTTGTAAAGCATTTTACAGTTTATAAAGTGCTTTACATACATTATCTCATTTGAGCCTCATAACAGCTCTGGAGAGTACTAGGCAAAATATTGAGATTCTCTTTTCACAGATGGAAAAAGGAAGGTTCAAAGAATGAAATGGTGAACCTGGTGCCCCAGCCTACAGCCATCCAGGCAGAGACATCCAGGGGCTACACTGGGGGCCTTGGGGACCCAGTAAAGGGATTAGTTTTTGTGTAGTTGAGGTGCAAAAGCAATTTTACTTCTCTTTGTGCAAGCATCAGCTTGCTCTATCAAAGGGCTTCTCCCACACTTTTTGAAGCAGCAAGGGAAGAAAGTAAGTTGTAAGGGAGCAAGTGGCAAGGGGAAAAGGTACTCAGCATACTGAGTGCAGAATCTAGTTTGCCCTTGATGGTAGTCAAGGCTATTTCAGTTTCAGCACGTACTGCAGAGATCAGCCAGGGTCACCTCAGAACTGCCTGGAGGAAGCAGCTTTGATACTGTTCAATTGTTCTCAGACACTGCCACCTTTGTTCACCCTTTGCAGAAAAACAGGCTTTTTTCCTAGAACTGCCAGCCTTGTGGTCATGTGAAGGCAGATTTATAGGAAGAACCTACATAGCCTTTTATGAAGAAACCCCCTCTGACCTTAGGAATTGGTGAGATGCAGAATTGTCCTATTCTGTGAGACAGGGGACATCACAGGTAGATGCTGTGGTGGCCCTGTTGTGGGCTGCTTTAGTCCTGAAATAGGAAACTGCTCTCTGGTAGAGACATAGAGACTTCTCTGACATGTACCTGGTTACCTGATCAGGTCTCAGTGGGCCCGCTACCACGCCTTGGGGTTTTGTGCTCTTTGGTTCTAGCTGCAGAATCTAGAAGTATAAGCTAGTGGTTAAAACACAAATCCTGGAACCAAAGTGCCAGTTGTTCTATGCTTACCAAATGTCTGTGGTGACAGAGGTGTACCTTACCTGAAAACATGGGGCTACTAATAAAATCTGTTTCATAAGGTTGTTGTAAGAATTAAATGAGGAATTATTTGCAAAGTGCTTAGAGTTGTGCCTGGGGTGAGGCAGGTGCTCTGTCCCAGCCCAGCTCCAGCCAGCCTCTTGCTGCTCCCTGACAATGTTTCAGTTACGATAGTGGTGACATCCCTCCTTCCTGTGTCAACTGTAACTCACTGTCCCATGATCCCCCAGGAAGATGCACAAACCAAGAGGCATTTTGCCTTTTGCAGTTTAATCATGGATCTTTTCATGCTGCAAAACAACCGGGGTTTATAGGGACACAATACATTTTAGTTGAGTTTATTTACATTTTTGACGTTAAAGCAAAAGTGGCACCCCCAAAATTTAAACAGGCAAGAAAGACTTTATTCAAGGCTATTGCAATAGGGGAGAGAGGCCAGAACTTTGTCTGAATTCAACTCCACTGGAAACAGTGTGTTTTTGAATGCTGGAGTGAGAGGGAGATGTGTGAGCTATCTGTGTTTGCTAACTGGCTTTACCCAAAGGAAAGCAAACTTCTCATATCTTTATGACAGGTGGTAGTTTTACAACTTGGAGCAAGGCACCCACTGAAGTTAGGTTCCTGTCATTCCACAGGATATGTTATGAGGCTCAAAGCTATCTTCTTTGATGATTATATTTCAAAGACATGGATCCTAGATCCTTGACAAACACATTTCTGGGTAGTAAAACTGGCAAGGGATGTTTTAAAAGATTTACGTATATCTCAAAGGAGCAGAGAACAAATTTACAATTAAAAGTTTCCTAAAGAAAATACAGCCTGGCCAACATAGTGAGACTCAATTTAAAAAAAAAAAAAAACAATAGTCACGCCTGCTGGTGCGCTCCTGTGGTCCCAGCTACTCCAGAGGCTGAAGTAGGAGGATCACTTGAGCCCAGGAGGTCAAGGCTACAGTGAGCTATGATAGCACCACTGCACTCCAGCCTGGGTGACAAAGCAAGACCCTGTTTCAGAAAAAAAAAAGCTCTAAGAAAAGAGAGGTCAGAGCCTCAAGTCAGGAAGAAGCCCGTCTGAAGTTTAGTTACGCTGAGGGAAACATTAAGGCTATCTGTGTCCTTGGTGTTTTAGAAACTGGGTGGTGATTTGCTCCAGAATGCCCCTTCCAAAGAATTCCTTTTGAAGGTGAACACAAGAAGTGCAGGGCCCCTGCTAGGCCACAATAGGAGCCCAGCTTCTTTCAGTTACCTGAATGTCCAGTCTCAGCCCTTTCCTTTTTCAAAGGGCAGCTAACTCTCACTGACTGAGAAAGGAGACAGCCTCATTCTACTTTCTGTCTTGACCTCTCTGAGTCCAGGTCCACTTGATAAGGTGATGTCCCTCCCCTGGACCAAAGATTGACACTCTGCCCCTTCAGTTCATCCAAGGTCATGTGGTTTGGAAAAACCTATATAGCAGAGGAAAAGTCACGACCCTGCTAATTAGGACTTTGCCCTGAATGTCAAACGGGATGCACTTTAAAGATATAAGCCTGCTCACAGGAAAAAGACCCTTTGTGGATTCCTACTCCCAACCTAGGTCACAACTAGCCCATCAGCCTTCAGGTGCACACCCATTCCTTTCAGGAAAACTCCACTCCCAAACACCCCTAGTCATTTGGTCTGCAGAAGCCATCCAGGACTTCGACCAAATGGTTAGTGATGGCTGTTCCTATTTAAACCTCACGAAACAATAAGGTGTGTGGTGGTCGGGGGGCGGGGGGCATTTCTTGTTGCATGGAGAAGGGTGGGTCTGAAGTCTACTGGTCAGATTTATTTTTCAATATTTCTACCAGGGTGAGCTATAGGCGTGCTCATCCCTTCACCTCTTATGCTGTGTCTGCCAGTCTCATCCAATGGCCACATTCATTTTCAGGAAAAATATAGTTTATTACTTATTTATTTATTTTGAGACAGAGTGTCGCTCTGTCGCCCAGGCTGGAGTGCAGGGTCACAATCTCGGCTCACTGCAAACTCTGCATCCCAGGTTCAAGTGATTCTCCTTTGCCTCAGCCTCCTGGGTAGCTGGGATTACAGGCACCCACTACCACTCCTGACTAATTTTTGTATTTTTAGTAGAGACAGGGTTTCACCATGTTGGCCAGGCTGGTCTTGAACTCCTGGCCTCAAGTGATCCGCCCACCTCGGCCTCCCAAAGTGCTGAGATTACAGGCGTGAGCCACTGTGCCAGGCTCTGGGATGATAGCGTTTACATTGATATTGAGAAGTATTTCCCAAATTTGCAAGGTACCTTTCCTCTTCTCTCTCTCCTCCTTTCCCCCCTTGGGGCATTAGGCCCCATTTTTGTATAGGACAGTGTTTGGTTTCTTTCCTGTTCTGCTCTGGGAGGAGAGCAGGGGAGAAGAAAATTATTGCTAGAATATTAAAGGAGCTATGTTACCCAAGGGCCATTCTGATCCTCCTCCGGGCCTTTTGTGTATGGGGCTAGAGTAGGGAGGTTGCCAGTTCTTGCTGTGTCGCCCATGGGGTTTTGGCTCTAGAAATGCTACAGAGCTGTAGTTAAATTGTATTTTACGCATTCAAAGGAGCCACTTTCAAATCTTAAAGCAGACCCTGACCTGCAGAAAATCAAATGTTAAAAATCAACAGATGTTTGAGCAAGAGGAAGTACAACACTGAAGGTCTCTTCGTCGTTTGCCACATACAAGGCCTATGAGGGTAAATGTGGCATGCTCAAAGTAGCACAGATTTACACTAATGTTTTACCCAGGCAAAGTTTTCAGAAGAACTCAACTACCTTTAATGTTGATTCTAAAAGGGTGGTGTGTTCTTAGAGCACCCGTGGTAAAAAGAGTATGAAGCTCTGGACATTTGGGGAAGAGACAAAGAACCTGCTGGATTGTCTGTGCAAGACACAGGCGCTGACCTGGAGCTTACAAGAGGTGAAAGGACTAATCTGCATGGAAGGGACCCACACTCTGCACTACAGAACACATGGGAAGACACAGACCCAACTCACAGCAAGCCACATGTTGCCCACAGCAGGCCAACAGGCTAAGTATGTTGAAAGGGTTAACCATAGAGCAGTAATGTAAGAAATCTATGTAACAATGTGAACAGCCTCATAAAAAACGCCCAGCCAAGACCAGCTACATAGTTTTCAAAGCCCAGTGCAAAATGTAAATGTGAGGTCCCTTGTTCACAAATTATTAAGAATTTCAAAACAGTGACAGCAGAGATTAAACCAAGCACGAAGAGGATCCTCCTATGTGTAAAGCTTTGTGTGACTGCACAGAACCCACATCCAATGAAGTGAGCCCTGTGTCTCCAATAGAATCAATCCAAATGTATATCATCAAAACACTCTAATGCATTGATTTTACTTAGCAGGAAAGACCTTTGTCCTCTCCACAGAGCAGCTATGTCAACAGAAGGAAAAGAGATGGAGTGGACCTTCCTGGGATCCAGGCTGAACAGGGCTCTCCTCACTCTAAGGTGAAGACTGTGATTCTCTGTCTCCTTCTAAGGTGACGGGGTTCCTATTTTAAGCTATCTGCCAGTATGTGTGTCGGGTCTGAAGTTGTGTTGGTTCTGTGAAAAGGTTTCTCTTATACATGATTTCTTTCCCATGTCCCCCTTTCTTAGCAAACACATTGCTCTTTAAGAGATTCAGGGAAAAAAAATTTTTTGGCAAGTTTTGTGGGCTTTTATTAGATATACGCTGTAATTTCAAACTGATTACATGATGTCTGGCTTTCTCTGAACCCCAATTCAATATCCTGAAGAAGGGGAAGCTTTATTGCAAGGCTGAGGCACACACCAGGAGTGGGGTCTGGTGGGAAGTGCTGGCGCTCACGGGTCTGCTGATTGCTCTGGCTTCACCCCCTAAAATCTCTGGCTGACTGCGGATCCTTCACCTCTGCATTGCTTTTTACATGGACTTTTTCATCCTTCTGAATTATGTTTATTTTGCAATTATAAACTTTTTTTTAAAAAAAGACAAATCATTCACACTGTTACAACCTTAATATGCCAACTGTTTTCACTTTTCCACATTCTCTTACCGTCCTGGATTAACGTTTTGATCGTTGCATTCATGCTGGAATTATAAATTTTTGTTCCGGTATAGTCGAATTTTAATGCCTTCTATGCTCATAAAGTTAAAAATCATTTACAAATTTAAAGAACAGAAAGGAACAATAAAGCCAAGAAGAGGCCTTAGAATTGCCTGCAAATAGAAGATAAAGATTATGCAACAGTTATAAACTTTTTTCAGTAAAAGACAAATCATTCATAATTCTACAACCTTAGCACTCCATCTGCCTCTAAATGCTTAGTGGCAGTGATCCCAATAGAATAGAACTGAAGTGATTTTAATGGTTACCTATTTTATAGAAAAGAAAACGGAGTCTCAGAGGTTAAATGACCTGCCCAAAGTTGCACAGCCCCTAGATGCAGTCAGGACTAAAGTGGGCTGTGAAGGACTTTTTCACATAAGCTGAATAATCCTATTTCCACACTAGTAAGTTTCTGTGGGACATAAGTTCTTTGAGTGTCTATACTTTGTGGAATGAGAGAGTTGGAACAGATGCTTTCAAAAATCTTTCCAACTCTAAAACTTTGAATCCAACTCAAAATGAACACAATTGGATCCCAGCCTAGTCAGCCCAGGATTACCACACACATAATGAAAAATGTGGTAATGATCAGAACACTCACGATTTTAACAAGATGTTTTGTGCAGTGGCTAACTGGATTCTTACAAAAGCTGAAGGCTGGATCTCAGACTGCACTGTGACAATACATCCGCTGTCAGACAGATCCACAGGCTGGTGCTGACACTGTAAAATGACTAAGTCAGAGTAAAAGGAGGTGGTGGTCAGCAAACAAATGGAGGGGTGATCCTGTTTCCTGCAAAGATCCTTGAGCTTAGAGGACTTTCCAAGCAGAATAAGGCCCCCTCTACTGGTAGGATTTGTCATCCACCAAAAAGTCAGAACTTGTTAGGTTTGTGAGAAATGGGGGAAAAATCCTAATATCAGAACAGATTAGAGTGGTAAGGAAATGTGAAAACAACAACAAAAAACATAGTTTATAAAGTTTCAACTCTTCAGACAAGCAAATACAGCTCTAGAAAGTTTACAGTTGTTTTCCAATACATTTGTTAGGCAGCATTCTCCCAAGGAAATTTTCACCATAGGTGGTGAAAATATCTGACTAAAAATATAAAGCTAGCTTTTTGAAAATAGTGAATCAATGTAAATAAAAATCACACTTTTGATCAGCGGAGAGTAGGATTCTCCCCACACTCTCTCATGAAACTCTTTCATTTGCCTTTACCAAGATTTCTTAAACTTCAGTCATTCAACTATCACTGTCATGCTTCTTGCCATAGCCTAGTACTATGTGTATTATTTAATATTTTTCCTTCAATAAAACCATTTTTATTTTAGCTTCATCCTAAGCAATAGAATCCATGAAATTTCAGGTTTGATGTGTTAGGTATATATGTGTTTGCGTATGTGTGTGAATGGGTACATAAACCATACACACGATAAAATAAATACATGGCTCTTGAAAAATGTTCATCTGTGTGCCAAATTCTTCTCCATTAATTATTGCATGCGTGTAACATGCTTTACAAAACACTGAGGTAGCACCTCATGTTTAAGTCATGTAAATACGGTAGTCATAATTTCATCATTCCTTTAAAGGCAAGTTGTTGATTGCCTTTCTTCATCTGGTCTTGCCCTTCTGCCTTATCCTCTTCCTTGAGGCCTTTCTTCATCTCTTTTCCATCCTTTGACAGTCATTTGGTTTAGTATTCATATTTCTTTTCTCCAGTGTGGTGAGGAAAACGTCTTTCTCTACTGCCCACTGGGGACTGTGCCTCATTTGACACTGAACTCAGGGAAACCACATTGAAACAAACTGGCATTTGACAGGATGAATAAAAAGACCTTTGCATCCTTGTCATCTCCTAGGAATTGGGGCTTGAAGAATATTGAACAGTGATGTTATTTCTATTTCATCCTCATAGTCAGCCTTCTCTGAGGAAATGGCACATAAACACAGAAAGACCAATGTACAAAAACATGTTTAATAAATTATTCCTTGAGGAACAGAATAGAGTCTGTTTTTGTTTGGGCACTGTGAAGGCTGAAGTACTTGCAGGGAAGAATGGAGATGAGAAAAAGGCTGATCTTCATGAAATCGTTTCCTTTATTAAACATTCCTGTGGAATTAATTCATGCTCTGTTTCTTCAGTAAAAAAAGCGACCATTATGCATTTATGGCTGGATCAATACAATTCCCAGTTAGTTATAACTTGATACTGCTGTGAACCCCCAATTATTTACAGTGAATTATCTGTATTGAAGCTGACCCACAAAAGATCACTTTTGAAACGTCTTGTCATTGTAATCTGTTTTCTTGGCTCTAACCTATTATATCATCTCTGTTAACACTTAATAAGAAGTAAATAACCTAGGTTAGGCATGGTGGCACATGCTTGTAATTTCAGCACTTAGAGAGGTCAAGATGGGAGCCTCACTTGAGGCCAGGAATTCAAGACCAGCCTGAACAACATAGTGAGACCCCATCTGTAAAATTTAAATTTTAATTTTAAAAAGAAGTGAATAAACAGCCTTTCAACACAAAATATTACACTTTTAAGCAACTTTGGACCTAAAGAGCTCAGAAAGATTTGCTTCAAGTACAATCCATTTTATATTAAGAAGTGCATTACCTAAAGTTATATAGAAAACTCTTCTCCCAAAGGAAAGAACTGCAGCGGCTAAATTTTCATTTTGGTAACATTTGCATAAGAGTTTCAGAATCATATGGAAGATTTTTACCAAGTAGCCCATGATAAACCAAACATGGATGAAAATGAAAGTTACAGCAGAAATTTAAGCATATTCAATTCTAACAGCAGCTGATCCTGAAGACTGAAAAGCTAATACAAGACTCTGGGACCCATGTGGAGGAATGGGTTCTCTGCATTTACCGTGGCTTCCCAAAGAGGTTCTTTCTGATGGCAAACAGATGGAAACCCCATAGAGAGGCAGATTACCGCTGTGACTATCACAGGGCTACATCGTGCTTTGGAAATGACATCAGCCAGGAAATCAGTGACTGGAGTTTCAGATTTCATAGAAGGATTTTGCTTCGTTTTTTGTAGGCCCAAAGATGGCAGGAGGAGGCAATAAATTCTGCCTTAGAACCTCTCCTGGTAGATGTTTAAAGAGATTATAGGAGTAAATCAACTGTCCCAATCCCCTGATGTGATGTGGACCATCCGGTTTGAATTTTAATTTCTAGCGTCCTTCTTTTAGAGAACCGAAATAAGCCAACAACTCAGAATTAAGTTGGGCCTGATAAGTGGAATGCAATGCTGAGGGGGATTATCAGGAAGACCTAAAGTATTTACTTTTTATGAAGCTTTTCCCTTAACCAGATTTATAGCTGGAAAGGGCCAAGACTGCAATAGTGCTGTACATAGATTAGCATTTCTCACCAGAGAATAGATTAGGTTGTCTCACTTCAACGCTAAATCCTGCTGTTGTTTTCATTCTTTCATCGTTACTGAGATTTTACTGAAATCACCTTTGTGAATGTGGAGGAAATTCTAAAACTGGGGAATATGTTTTCTGTGACTTGCTGTATGCATTGGTATTTACCTTGTGTTTTTGCCAAGAAGCAGTAAGCAAGGTTTAGACTTAGTTCTTTGGGTGGAACAATTTAACTCTCTATTTAACTCTACATAAGTGAATGCTCTTCCAGTGAATTCATATCCAATTTTATGAGTAGCTGTTGCAATTTCAAAAGACTTGATGAGCAGTTAATGCTAATGAAGTCAAGGTTTTGGGTAACATCTTTACAAAGGTCAGTTAATTTTGTCCTACTCACCTGAACTTGAGGAGTGACGCTGGGTCTCAAGGAAGACATACTCCCAGAGTGTTTGGGAATACGCATAAAGATTCATCACCCTATGAACAATAGTCAAAATGTATGGCGTATATGTGATGCCAAAAGAAATTCAATGACACTTTAGATGATGAGGCATCCTTTATTTAAGGTGTGTATGTGGGAACTACCTCCATAGGTATACAGGACCACTGCAATGCGATTTTGCGGTAGGGAAGAGTGATTGGGCTTAACTCCACATATAGCATGGGCAAGTGGGAATTTATAGCCAAGGAGCAGGGTGGGGATCAATGGATGGAAAAGTACTAAGAGCAGACATTAGGGCTAAGTGGGGATTCTGGCCAGACTGACATAATAGGATTCTTGCTGAAAGCAGGCTGGGGTGATCAGACATACCTGAGGAATGGTGGAGAATAAGAGACCCAGTAACATCTGGAGGGTAATCAGATATGAAGGAAGAGGGAGTCTACTAAGCCAAGGATTCTTGTTAAAATTGGACAGTGCAGGCCGGGCACGGTGGCTCACGCCTGTAATCCCAGCAGTTTGGGAGGCTGAGGCAGGTGGATCATGAGGTCAGGAGATTGAGACCATCCTGGCTAACACGGTGAAACCCCGTCTCTACTAAAAATACAAAAAATTAGCCGGGTGTGGTGGTGGGCACCTGTAGTCCCAGCTACTCAGGAGGCTGAGGCAGGAGAATGGCATGAATCTGGGAAGCGGGGCTTGCAGTGAGCCGAGATCACGCCACTGCACTCCAGCCTGGGTGACCGAGACTCCGTCTCAAAAAAACAAAACAACAACAACAAAAAAAAAACTGGACAGTGTAGGGACAAATACGGAAGTCCAAAAGTCAAGGCCTACTTGAAAAGTTCAGGGGAGCCTGAGTAGAGTTCTGTCAAAGAGAAAATCTTTTTCAATGGTGTTTTCTGGGTGCTTTTAGAGACAAGAAGCAGAAAAATATGGCTCAAACAAGTTCAAACAATAAGATATTATTTCCATTCTACTGAAGACTCAGAGGTGGGTCAGGCTCCAGGATCATCAAGGACTCAAATTCTTTCTGTTTCTTAAGATATCTTCAAAGTCACCTTCACCCAAAGTCACCACGACCCTCCATCAAGGTCACAAACTGGTGGCACCAGATTCAGATCAACAATGCTTGATGAAGAGAGACTTTTTCTTATGTCCTTTTTTTTTTTTTTTCCAAAGGGGTAAAGAAAGCTTTCCCAGCAGCCTTCCAGGAGACTTCCTGTGTCTTGGTAAGGATTGGGTCACATGCCTTTTCCTAAATTAATCATGGAAAGGGAAATTATAGTGATCAATTAGACCAGCGGTTCTCAACCTTGGCTGCATTTTGAAAGCTCAGGAAAATACAGATACCTGGGTTCCACCCTCAGAAATTCTTTAGTTGTTTTGGGATGCAGCCTGGTGCATGTGATATGGTTTGTATCTGTGTCCCCATGGTTTGTATCTGTGTCCCCACCCAAATCTCATGTTCAATTGTAATCCTCAGAGTTGGAGGTGGAACCTGGTGGAAAGTGATTGGATCATGGGGGTAGATGCTTCATGAATGGTTGGCACCATCCCTTTGGTGCTGTTCTCATGATGGTGAGTTCTCACAAGATCTGGTTGACTAAAAGTGTGTAGCACCTCCGCCCTCATGCTCTCTCTTGGTCCTGCTCCTGCCATGTTAGACGCCTGCTCCCACTTTGCCTTCCACCATGAGTAAAAGCTCCCTGAGCCTCCCCAGAAGCAGATGCTGCCATCCTTTCTGTACAGCCTGTGGAATCATGAGCCAATTAAACCTTGTTTCTTTATAAATTACCCAGTCTTAGTTAATTCTTTATAGCAGTGCAAGAGTGGACTAATACAGCATGAGAGCTTTAAAAGCTTCTCAGATAATTCTACTGGGCAGTCAAACATTTTGAGAACCATCAGTTTAGACCAAATGTTTGGGGGTGGGGGCAGAGTGAAGCTGGAGAATTCATACTGAATAATAAACCAATATAGGGCTGGGCACAGTGGCTCCTGCCTGTAATCCCAGCACTTTGGGAGGCCAAGGCAGATGGATAGCTTGAGCCCAGGAGTTCGAGACCAGCCTGGCTAACTTGTGAAACCCTGTATCTACAAGAAAAAAAAAATTAGCCAGGTGTGGTGGTGTGTGCCTGTAGCCCAGCTACTCGGGTGGCTGAAGTGGGAGGATTGCTTGATCCCAGGAGGTCAAGGCTGCAGTGATCCATGATCACACCACTGCACTATAGCTTGGATGACAGAGTGAGACCGTGTCTCAAAATAAATAAATCAACATAACCATTGAGTATTATTAATTTCCAATGCAAATTTTTAAAAAATGTATGTGTATCTATAAATGCATATGTGGGACTGGAGTCTGGTTTGGAGGAATCCAAATTTATAGGAAGAACAGTTGAATATGGCTCAAATATTAGGAGAACAAATTGGGTGTATCCAAAGTCAACCAAAAGCATTTGTAAGCATGGTTATGATAATGCACAGTCACTTTTGACTTTAGCAAAGCTAAACTAATAAACTAAGTAGAGATGACAGTGAAGGAATTCAGGACATGCCACTCCAAAATATGCTGCCTTGGCATCTTAGTTGTTTTGAAATAGAGGCACTTGAGAAATAGCAGGTATAGGAAGGGCACTCTAATCTCCCCTTTTCTTCCCGAAAGCAGTAGATGAAACTCCCAAGTGGAAGATACCCTCCCTATACCAGTACAAAAGAAACAACATGCTTATCACCAGAGACAGGGAATTGAGGCTGAGAGAAATCTGTACAAACTTTGTTAAACTAACTTATCTTCCTAGTTACTTTTCCACAATTTCCACCCTTTGTTCAAACTACTGTATAACTGCTTAGGCCTAGCCACTTCTTTGGGTCTTCATTGTCCTTGTGGGGGCTCCCGTGTATATGTAAATAAAATTTGCTTTTCTCCTGTTTAATCTGTCTTACGTCAATCCTAGCTGAAAACCCTAAGAGGACAGTAGAAAAATTTTCCTCTCCTACAACAGCAAATGACATTTATGAGTCTTTGAAAACAAAGAGAATATTTTCATGTTCTTAAATTTTGAAAACTCTTCTTAGCTTCCACTATCAAATTGTATAGCTTTTAGCTACTTCAGTATTTTTAAAATTCCTTCTATGAAAGCCAAAGTTTCCTTAAGAATTATTGAATGTATGATTTAAAAAAATGTTTTTAAAAAGTTTCACTGGTTTAAAAGCTATTTTTTAATGAATCGGAATACCCCAGATTAAGTGCCTCTAAAAAAAATTCAGATCCTTTGATTTGTTCCATTTATTCATTTTGCATCATTTCTTTAGGTTGGGCATCAGGATTACTTTATTCTCAAACATGTTGCACCACAACCTTCACACCAGCACAGAGCAGTCACATGGTCACTACTGTGTGTATACAGAACAATGGTTCTTAACCTTTGCTATACATTAGAGTTACCTGGGGGACTTACAAAAAAACTGACCCCTCCTCCCACTCCCATCTCCATAAATAGAAATAGAATTGTTAGGGGTTAGAGCCAAGGCATCTTTACTTTTTAAAAAGTTTACCCACTGATTCTCATGTAGAATGTGGACTAAGAATTATTAGTACAAAAAGAAAAAAGAAGGTAAATAACAGGGACTTAATCATGGCTCAATTGCTTGCTTTTAATTTTTCCTCCTCAAAACCTAAGCAAAATGAGCAATCAATCTCCTGGAAGAGGGTGTTTAGGAGTTTAGCTCAAACGGACTTTGCAAGTAAAGGTAAAGCCTTACGGGGCCTCAAAAGTCTCTGGTAACACTTTGTAAATACTTGTGAAATCAGCTGGCTCTATGCTGGGATTTTTGGATAAGTGAGTCACAACTCTTTGCACTTAAGGTGTAGGGAAGCCTTCTGACAGCCATTTTTACGTGTTTGGTGGCTGGAAACTATAATGAAGAGAAGAAAATCACTGACTTGAAGAAGGATCATATAAGGTGATTTTTTTCAAAGCAGTGATGAAACAACAGGTGAGTCAATAATCTTTCTGCCCAGCCCAGATTGCACCGCAGCTAAATCTGCGCTGCTGCAAATAGCACAGCACACCTGCTCAGGAACCCTCAACGCACTTTTGTAAACCATAGTGTAATTTAGGCCAGCCCTGGAATGTTCTCACTAAGTGTATTTTGGAAAAAGCCTATTAAACCACTGATTAAATTATCAGCAGGAACTGAAGTGGCAAAAGTCATAGCTCTGGGAAAAGAAATGCCTAGCACTGATAGAAAAATTTGTAAAGAAAGCAAACAAACAAATAAAAAAACAAAAAATACCTAAGAGAAGGTGTTATGGAACTGAACAGGGATTCGCCCTCCTGGCACAATAAGGCCAAACATCCACACTGAGGTTTGCAGCAGGAGAAAGGAGGACATTTATTTGCAGAGTGCCAAGCAAGGAGGATCAGGCAGTTCTTGCTTAAGTCCTGACTTATGGTTTGCAAGCAAGGGTTTTTTAAAGGCAGGGGTAAATTTTAGGAAAGCAGATGTTACAGGCAAAATTGTAAATCAATATATGGCGTTTACACATTGGTTTGGCCTAAAAGGGCAGGATATCTTGAAGTGGGGACTTAGTGATCATAGATAGATTGAAAAATTTTCTAATTTGCAATTGGTTATGGAAAAGAAGGTTTGTTTAAAAATTCTGGGGTCAGCAGAAAAGAATGTAAGCTCTGGCTCCTGGGTGTGGGTTCCTCCAGGCACCTCAGAAAAAAATTTAGACCATAAAGAACGGCAGTCAGAGTTCAGTCCTCAGTTCCCCCTTATCTGAGGTCTATGTGCAGGCAGATCTGTTTGGTGGGGGTCTGGGTTTCTGAAAAACAATTCAAGGACATATGTTAAGATGTTATCTCTAGTTCCTATAGGGGAACCAAACATCCTGTGATTCCAATTTCTTTGGCTATCGCCTTAAGTTACTAATACCTTCTTGCTCATCAAGTTGCTTATTTGCTTTTCAGGGCTAGCTAGGTGGCTGGAACTTCCCTTGTAGGAACTCAGGATTTTCCTTTATTTCTATACTTGGAGGGCCCTGTAGGCCCCTAAGAGGGGTCCCTGCCCTAAGAGAAAGGTAGTAGAGTGGAAAGAGCAGGAGAATTGAGTAAGACGCCCTGAATTCTGATCCAGGCTTTGCCCGGATCCTATTTGGCTCTATCATATTATCCCGGGGAAGACATCTTAATCTCTCTGAGCCTCAGTTTTATGATTCAAGAGATGAACTGGTCTAAGCCCTCATTGTTCAGACTCTAGCTGCAGACACATTCCAGATGTTTATCTTAATCCTTAATTTGTAATTTAAAAGAACCTATTTAGGTCGTATCTACAAATGTAAAAAAATCACATTTACAATTTCCCATTTTATATTTTACATGATTATTTCCAGAACCATTTTATAATTTTACCAATCATTTCATTATAGATCTTATATACATTGTCAGAAAAATAGTCTCCTCAGTTTCTGAAACTACTTGCAGCGTCTTGGTCAAATCATGTATAGCTCTCCTCTGTTCTTTGGCATTTTGTGAAAACAGTTTAATGGTAATGAATCAGTACAAGAACAAAAGTTCTAGAAACAAAAATATTGTTTTAACTACAGAAAAATTTTTTGCCTTTTCCAGTAAACATACAAAATAATTGCACTCCTTAGCATATGTGAGTATGTGGTATTGCCTTCTAATTAAATATTTTTCAGCAAAGTGTTGCTGTTATGGTCTGATTCCTGAAGCTTTCTTTTGCTTTACAATGTTAGGGTGTGACCATCTCTTCCTATGGTACTTCATGACTAAAAATGGAACAGACACTTTATATTCACAAAAGTACATATTCTCCTTTCCATATACACTATAGTGTATGGTTTTGGAAAATTTGGAAGAATTGGGACTAAGACGTTGAGACTCTGATTAGAAAAACTAACCAGTAATTTACTGTTGAGACTTAAGATCTTGAGAGTTTGTGGGTACTCTGTGGACACATGTTTTATAGCAGATGCCATGAGTGCTGGTGAAACTTTTAGTCATGTGTCCTCTATCTTAAGCATTTGACTCTCCTAATGAAATAATTGAAAATAAAATATTAGCAGCAATAAATGCTTTCCCACATAACTTACTAGGGTCCTGCTTGCATAGTATAATTTTAGCCATTTGCTGTTTTGAATTAAGGTATTCAGTCATTGATATTGATGTGTTTTATTTCACAAACGTGCAAATTTCACTTTTGAACAAGGATTTGGGCCCATTTTATATGTTCACATGATATTAATATTTGCAATCAAGTTATTGGCAGGTCTCACTTAAACTAACAAATGCTTATTTTTCACACTAGAAATGTACTTATAAGTCTCTATATTCTAATAATTTTTCCTTATGAAGCAAGTCCTTTTCTAGTAAATACACATTATGATGTTGTAGAACGGATTTCAGTATGTGGTGGATCAATCTTGGCCCAAATCCAAAGGAGCTGATTTAATTAAACAACCAAAAGAACCTCAATTAATAGTGGTATCAAGTATAGAGTAATCACTTAGTAAAGACTCACTCCCCAAGAGAATATTAAACACTATACCTATGGCTAGTAAATTAATTACCGTTTGGCTAATGTCTGGCCCTATTTTTCAATATAAAATGATTATAGATTACAGTAAGGCAAGTGTCCTCTAAAGTTGAGTATATTTAATTCCCAGTGTTACAGAATTTAAAATGATACAAATACTGCATGTCTTTAAAATTTCAGTCTGTTTTTCTACTGAGTTCAAAAAGTTTAAAAGATGGAGGCTACCACAAATATATAAAAAAACTTCACTCTATTCTACAACTTACATAGATCTAGTACTTTTGGTGAGTCCTCTTAAAATTTTTTCTGGCATTACCAATCTGAGAGTCACTTTTTATCAATATATGTTATCTTGTTTTGCAAAAATGCATTTTTAAAAGGTTTCCAAAGTCACCTTGATAATCATAGTGCTCACTCACTTGACACTTACTGCTAAAAGGTTGTTATGCATCTTTTATACCTGGTTGAGGTTCAACTTCCAGCTATCAGAGAAAAATGTCCCTATAATTCTATAATTGACAAAAGGGAAAAGATAAAAAAGGGAAAGAGAACAGGGTGGTAAGAAAGATTGATTTTTCATTTCTTATCTTGTGATACATGCTGCAGCAGTAAACACCACTATCTCTCAAGTAGACCCTTTGAAGACAGGGGGAGAAAACACTCCAAGAGAAAGCTTTAAACTAGAGATTGCCTTCCTATTCTATGTGGCTTTGACCTTTTGGAAAGTGCATGGCCTCTTCTCCTTGTATTAAATAAAACAAGAATATGAGGACTGATGATTTGATTTGGTGAGTTAGTTATGGAAGTAGTTCTGGCATCTCTTATTTCCATTCTGTTATCCATTACTTCTGTTCTGTTAATGGCAGCAGACACTTGATTAACTACTGAGATTTGGACATGCAGGAGATCCAAGGTGGATTGTGAAGTACATCATTAGCTAAATCTCCATTACATCTTCACTTCACCGGTTCCTCTGTTTCCAGATTTCTGGCAGACTGGCATCTAAAGGCCTTCATGTTAGAAGCAGGAGAGGCTCTAAATATTTCAAGAATAATTGAGGAAAAAATACACATTATAACAGCTTGTCAAACTACTGAATGGAACGGTGGTTCATCATTTTTTGGAAGGATTAAAAGCAAATCTCCTCTTCCCGAACAAAAACAAACATTAGTACAAAAACTGAAAGAGGAAGTTAAGAGAATTATACCATTTCTAAATACTTATAAAATTATTAATTTATGCGCAACCATAACAGAGACTGGGGACCACCCTATATATATTCATAGCTACGGCTGTAAGCAAAAATTCCAGGTAAAAAGGCAAAAATCCAAATTTCTTATTAATAATCAGTATAACATCCAACAATAACAATCACTTACCATAGGGGTTAACATTTACTGTAAGCCAAAATCCTAGAAAACATTAATATAAAATACAATTATATATTTCCTAGCTGATTTGCTTATATATCCAGGTCATAAAAAAAGAAAGGCAACTTTTTTCTATGTGGCTTATACAGAATCGGATGTTACAGCTAAAAGTAATTGTAAAGGCTTCTGATAGTTCAAATGATTGTGAAATCCCAAAGAATAAAGGAATTTCTGACAGCCTAAAATTAGAAGGTATGGAACTCATACTTTTATTCTTCTCATTCTCAGTTCAGTGCTTATTTTTTCCTAAAAAATTAAAAAGTAAAAATTAAAAATTTCAGTTTTTAAAAAACCAAAAATATTAATAAGCTTCCACACTTAATATATGTCAGTATCCACAAGGAGGCAAAATCATTTCTGTAAAATCAAAAATAGAACATGAAGAAAAACGTTTATTATAAAACTTAAGAAGCAACCAATCAACCAAATTATGAAAAAAAATTTTGTCACTGACCAAACCTCATAACCTGAAAAGAACCAAGAAAAGAAATTCCCATTATACTTGTACTTCTAAAAGGGCTTAGAGGTCTAAACTAGACTTCGTTGCAATCCAGAAAGTTAAAGGACTAAAAAACTGGAGAAATAGAGTTAAGAATTAGATTTATCAGACAGCATAGTCTATGCTGAGATAGCAAAATAGACATGGCTTTATTTGCTGATTGAGAAGTGGTCCAGCCGTGGGCTAGCAGTCATTTACATATCAGTGACCAAATGCAAACATACCCGTACTAACAGTGCTTTGGTCCATGACATACCCTTTTGACAGCCCAAAGCTGAAACGTCAACTCTATCTGGGGTTACTTGCTTATACAAAGATGTTACTCTAGCAATTGTTGCTTGAGGGCAAGACCAGATGATTGTCACTAGTAGGAAGAAAGCAGAAGTGATGCAGCTTACACTGCATAGTCCCTACCCTTCTGGATTAAATGAAAAAGTTGCTCAAACATAAACTTGTTCTTACAAAGTGGATAAGATTCAAAATAAGACAAATATAAAGATGCCAAGGCTAAATACAGATAAAAAAAAGTGTGGTACGTAAGAAAGCCATTTTGAAAAAAGCCACTATCAGTCATAACTACTTATTCCATCCTATAATCTCATAAATCAAAGCTTTCAATTGTCTGGACTCATCTGTGACTGTATTCTTCCCAACATGCATTCTTTCTTCTTCGAGGGGTTGTTCAATAACAGCAGGTATGTTTGTGCCATAAAGTTCACAGTGTCCTAAAAACTGGACACATTCTTGAATAACACTGTCATGAATGACTATCATGTGTTTTGACATGTTTTCTAACAAGGACAGGAAGCATCTTTTGGCATAATACCAGGTATCTGTTCCCAGCTTTTTATTATAAGGCTCCAAGCTTTTGATAACTCGAGAAATACCAAACTCATAGTTTCCTTTGGCACAATAAAGAGTTCCTATCACCAAATTCACAATGCAGAGATGGTACATTTTCCGATTTGGGTCATCATAAGAGAGCTGCTCTTCCTCCTTTTCAATCTTCCTCATCAACTCCTCTGCTTCTTCATTTTGACTTGTCATAATATAGGAAACACAGAGATTAGCCAGTACAATAGCACTGACATTCAGGATGTTATCATAATGCTTCTTGACTATGGGTTCATAGAAACCAATGGCTTCTTTGTATTTGTTTTCCTGCATGAACAGAACATGAGCCACATTCAACTTCCACACATCATGGTCGTTACAGAATTCCACAGATTTGCGGAAGACCTTTTCCACCATTGGATAATTTTCAAGATTCCAGTAGATTTTTGCCTGAGCCATCAACACAGGAATGTATTTCTCCATGGTTTCATCATATTCATTCACTGCCTTTTTGATAGCTTCATCATCTCTGTTGTGTCTTGCTTCCTGTACTTGCTTGGTGAGTCTCCGAAGCTGCTCAGTCAGCATCCCTGCTAGCCCATCAAGCTTAATGAAAGCCTCTTCAGGAGCTGTCTGGCAAGTGATCAGGGCATCTAAGAAGTCATAGAGATAGGGTGTGAGGAACTTATACGTCAAATGGGCATTTTCTGCCAGGACATCTGCTGCCAGGTCAAAATACTCATATTTACAGTAGAGCAGCAACAGGTTGCCAAAAGTCTCTGGAGGAAAGGGATTCTGTTGGAGCAAAAACTGTAGCTTTTCAAACCCTTCTGTAGGCCTGGCATCCATGTTCATTAGTGCCTGGTTGTGCAGGGTCACAGGGTCCAACTCTTCCTCTGCCCTGGGTGGCATGTCGGTGAGGGTTTCTTGAGCTACCTCATAGTTTCTCAGTTGGTATTCTATGGCTGCCTTAAGGTTGAAGGCTTCCACCAGAGCAGTCTGATGGAGAACTAAGGTGTTGCCAACACTGCGAACATCAAAGCCCTCGGTGGTCATGCCCACACCTAGCTCAGGATGCTGGCGGATGCCACGCTCAATAATCTCAGCGATATGCTTCAGTGCTGAGGCATACTGTCGGCTGCTGTAATAGGCCAAAGCCAGGTTGTAGGAAAGGTCAGGCTGGTAGCCCGAGGCCTGCAGTGTGGCAGAAAACTTGGAGCATGCAGCTTCATACTGTCCCTCCTTGTAGAGCAAACAACCCAGGTTGACCTGGCCATCGGTCTCATTGTCGCCTCCACTTTCTTCTCCCCCTTCCCCACTCAGCAGCTGCTCCACCAGGCTCCTGGACCCTGGCAGATCGCCCTCGCTATACTTGATGGCAGCTTGCAGGCGGAGGACCCGGCTGTGGTAGGCGGGGTTATCCAGGAGAAGGAAGGCGACCCGAGTGGCCTCCGGATAAAGGCAGGCCTTGTACAGGGCCTGGGCCTGGTACAGGCGGTACTGCTCCAGTTCCGGGTGCAGCTGGCCCAGCTGCTCATAGCACTCGGCCGCCAGCGCGAACTCCTGCAGGCGGTAGTAGCAGTAGCCTAGCAGCGACAGGCCGGCACGGCTCCTGGGGCTCCGCTGCAGTTCTCGGCCCAGCAGCTGCACCGCCTCGGCGTAGCGGGCATCGCGGATGAGCCGGTACACTAGCGCGGTAAACTCCCCGTCGGGGATCTGCGCGCCGCTCAGACCAGCCATAACCACCACGGCTGTTATGCGTGCGGTTACCACGGCAACAGGGCAACCGGGCAACCGGAAACGGAAGACGACGGGTTACTTTGCCACGGAAGGAATCTGTTAGGAATAAAAAGGGACCGTTCTCGTTAGTCTCTCAAGTTCGGTTTGATCTTCAAATATTCTGGACTGCAGCGTGGCGGCAGTCAGAAGGGGAAAGACGACTACTCCGGGCCGTTCAGAGACTGAATCTTCCCGGTCCCGGCATGCATCGTTCCTGTGGCGCCGCTGCGCAGGCGTGGCCGCACTGCATGCTGGGAGGCGTAGTCCCTGTTGCACCGACCCGACTCGCGGCCCGTGTGGACGCACGGTCACTCGCCTTCCCTGCCCCCTAAAGATGAGGGGCACTCTCTGTGTCTGTTGTGCCACCTCGGTCTCTAGCGAATCGGAGGAAGATTTCCGGCACCATGTTCTGGCGATTTTGAGCCTTGTGCATTGGTGTGGTCTATACTAATGCTGGCGTTTGGCTTACTTTTAATAAAGTAGAGATCGTCAGTACAATAAAAGGACCTTTTAATAAAAGGAGCGGGATGGCAAAAGGGAGTTAACTCCTTGAATTCCCTTGGAATTAGAGCAGGTTCTTATGCTACCCCGAGGGCACAGTTTGTAAGAACAGAATACAGCAGCAAACAGAAATCCTTCTTATTTTGGTGGTTTCCAGAGGTTAATAAGGAAAAAGTGCTGTGAATCTTAATTGGTACTGGGAGAGGATCTGTTTTTGATCGCAGTATCTCTCCTTTTCCATGACAAAAAAAAAATTACTGAGTATATGTTGGCGTTTACACTTGGTTGTATCCATTGCTGTGGTCCTCCAACTGTCTCTGCCAATAAGAAATCAGTATCTTTTGTCATCTCCCATGATATCCATTGGTCTCTCTAGCACCTAATATAAACCTAATCCAAGTAAAAGTGTGTTGTTTGCTACATAATTACTGCAAATCCTTTGTATGCATCCATAATAGTGTTACTGCCCATAAATCTTTTCTGTATATAAACTTCACAGCTATCATACGGTTGATAACGATGTCAACCATATCATATAGCACCTCTATTAGAGACTGTTTACATATAGTATTTCTAATTTGAATAAGCAGCCTGCATTCTGCATATTGTAGTTTAAGAAGTCTGTGGGCTAGAAAGGTTTAAAGATTTAAGTATTACATTAATTAAATCAAACTATTAAATTAATAGTTTGTTTAAAGCCACATCTAGGTAGGTAGGGGCTGAACCATGATATCCAATAACCAATTTCAATAGGAAATAGTGACTGATGAATAACCCAATCCATGTATCTCATGTACGTGAGTTTGTAAGGGCCCATTGTTTGGTGCTAAGTGTGTATAAGGAATATTATTGTCTTTGTTTCTCCATTAAAACAATGAACTAACTTTGTGTAGTTAGTAAACTTTGAACTTCTAGGCCTTGATTCCAGCTGTGAGCAGATGTGACTACTGGAGTTGTGTAGTTCGTATTTACCCAGTATCACTGGAAGGAGATTTTTAGTAGGTGTGTGATTGCTCATATCATCATATGACTGACTTTATGTACTTACTCAGTCTTCTCCCTTGCCAGGAATTGGCAGAGTTGGGTCTTTTTGGCTGGAACTAGACAAGGAGCTTCCCAGTGCATCAATTCCAAGAAAGGGAAACTGCACCCATTTCAGGATTGAATGGGACTTTGGCTCACCTAAGACCCCACAGAAAGCAACTGTGGAATATTACTATAACTCTATTCTGAGGCTTCTTTCAATCTGATCTCTTGGTGCACCCTTTTAGAGTCTTAAGCCCAAGGAGGTACATGGGTAGAGGATACTGCTCAGTAATAAATTGGGGGAAGGGGTGCATCGACTTCTTTACAGCAGGCTGCCTGATGGTTCTCCCTTGGGAATTTAGGCTCAGTATTTTATTTATTTATTTTTTAGAGACAGGGCTTTGTTCTGTTGCTCAGGCTGACATGCAGTGGCATGATCATAGTTCACTGCAGCCTTGAACTCCTGGGCTTAAGTGATCCTCATGCTTCAGCCTCCTGAGTAGCTGGGACTACAGGTGCACAACCATGCCTGGCTAATCTTTTTTAAAAAATGTTTTAATGGAGATAGGGTCTCACCATGTTGCCCAGGCTCATCTCGAACTCCTGGCCTCAAGCAACCCTCCCACTTTGGCCTTCCAAAGTGCTGGGATTACAGGTGTGAGCCACTGTGCCTCGCAAGGCTCAGTATTTTAAAATTCTTATATATGTACTGTTACCTTAGGTAATTTGCTATTAAATTAAGGTGAGATGACAACATGGGAATGGGAAATTGCCCTTCATTAGTCTTTCTCTCTGTTTTGCAGAGTTGTATTTACATCATCTTCAAATGGCTTCTTGAAAATGTATGAAAATAAAAGGACTATATTCTCCTCCAAATTTCTGGGATCCCTACCAGGATTCAGTTGGGGTTCTCCTCTTTGTGTGGGTACCTGTGAGCATGGTGGCTGAAGTGGGCAGGAGGGAGGCCGTTCTGTGTCTCTTCCTCCTTATTTCATGTGATGCTGCTCCAGAGGCCTGGCTTGAAAAGAGCAGGACATTCTGCTTAGACAGATGGAGGGCAGGGTCATTTTCAAAATGAAATGAGTGCACAAATCACACTGTGAAATTGGCATGACCATCACTGCTGCTGTGATAGACTGACTTTTATCTGGTCTCTGATAGGCAGTTGGGGAATAGATTAGTTTTGTTGGGCGTGGTGGTGAGAGAAGGCTGTTTAATGATAGAAATTATGGAAAGAATGAAATAGGGTGGAATATTATAAAGTGTCATAAAGCATCATTTTGTTTGCAATAGGATCTTGAAAACCTGGAGGATATATCAAAAAGTAAGTGTATCATACCATTTCAATTAATAGGAAAGCATTTGGTGGTTGCAATAAAGTGATTTGGTGACTTGTAGAAAGGAATTGTAGTTTGATGAAATTTGAGTTGGACTCAGGGTGGATTTTGCTACACAAAGGGAGACATGTTTATCACGTAGAAGAGTTTCATTTAGGCGAAATAGATAGGAACAAAAAGCATGATGCTTGGTTCTTAGCATACTTATGTTCTGCCTGCCAAAATATGCCATGATCAAGTCCCATATTCTATTTGTATGTACAATCTATTTGGCATTCTCTTTTAAAACTAGTTGGCAGGTATGTCTTATTTATACTGTATCTGTGGCCCCTTTCTGTTGGTAAACATTGTTAATTTGTGAGTTTTTCAACCACAGCTGTGGTCAAACATCTTCCTTTATAAGGGAGGACCTTCTGCAAATCCATTTTCCAGTTGTTATTTCTTTTTCCCTTGGATTTCAGACCATTTTCTTCAGGATGGACAGTTTGTGGAGTTCAGTTATCTTGCATCCCCTTTCTCCCACTCCAGTCTTCTACCGTGAACAGAGAAGAAAACTATAAATTAGTGCCAAATTGGAAATATAGTTGACTGACTTTTTGGAGCATCTGTTCCACCTTTTAAGACTTTGGGAAAGAGTGTATGCTAAAATCAACACTTGAGAACATTTGTCCTCAGATGGTGTGACATTTAACCTCATTATGAACTCTCCTTTTGCGGGTAGTTCCAGCTTTATTAATATTTTAATTAGATTTCCTTCTTGAATATCCCTTGCTTTTGATCAAGTAGCTTGTATTTTGGGGTTTACAGTATTATTGTCTAAATTAACTTCCCAGGGAGAACACAATAGCATTTTGGTTTATAAAAGGGATTAATGGAGAAGGCAAAACTGTGGATACAGCAGCATTTAAAAAAAAAAAATCAACCATTCAGACAAAGAGCTACTCCAAGCCCCTGTGTTTATGCAGTACTTTGAGTATCAGGCCTGCTTTGCCTAACTTCCCTCATTAATCCTCACAGCCCTTCTGTGAATTAGGTGAGCCTTACTGTGGGCCCCACTTTAAAACTGCAGACTGCAAAGCACAAAGAAGCCAGTGATTGCAGCAGCCAGCAATGGTGATTGCTTATGCTGGCCAGTAGAGGGTCACACTGCACCTCTTCCCTCTCTCTCCCTGGCCACCTCCTCTCCAGTCATTTGAATTGGCTTTGGATCATTTGCTGCAGTTTGTTCTAATAGAACAGGCACAATGGTGTAAGAATTTTAAAGTTTAAGCACCGAAGCCGTTGTGTAATTGTATGGCGACAGTGTGGCTAGCGGCCCTGCATTGATGCGATCCCCCTGTGTAATTGCCCATGCAAATTTGAGCAATCTGTAACGGACACAGGAACCCAGCATTTGTCCGCAGACTCTCCTACCTCCAGAAAAACTTCGATAATTTGAAGAACCTTTTGTCATCTTTAAAAAGCTATATGGACAGGCGTGTCCTAGTGTCCCTCTCACACATGAAAACATCACAGATCAACACAAGGTTAATGGACTAAATTAACAGTCAACATTTAAACTGTAGGTATTTGGATGCTTGCTTCCTTCTTTCAGCCCTGAAATCACCCTTCTCAAAAGAAATAAAGATTATTCCAGAGCTTTAGTTAAACTCTAAGTATTTTATTAAAAACAAAGATATTCAGGTCTCTTAAAGCGGGCTTCCAAAACTATGGATTAGTTGCTTGTGAAATGGCCAACCTGTCTATAATGTAATATTCTTACAATGAAACATCAGTCTGGGAAATCTACACAAAGTGAATGATTTCAAACAACTCAATTGAAAACGTATTTCCTTTCTTTCGTGTAAAACAATAATAATTAGGAAGGAAGTCAGTAGGAGATCCTTTTTAGGTTATTGTACATGAAAATAAAATGGCAAAAGCAATTTCCCCCCAAGGGAATGAGACTCAACAAAACTTAGCCTCCTATTTCCAATGTTATTTTTAAAATTTCATCTAAATATGTCTTAATCTAAACTAGAGTAAAAGAAAAATTGAGATTCGAATACACACGCATATACACACAGAAAATGAACACAGATATAAACGGTGGCACAAATAATACATTTTTCACAGCAAATACTTCATTACTTAATAAAAAAACACATTTGTGTACTAGCGTATACAAAAATGACATTGGTGTAGTTATGTTATACAGATAAACAATTTATCTTTAGCAGTGAGGAGAGAGGTACCAAACATGCAAGAACATTCAAAATTAAATTTAAAAAAGTACAACCCCAAATTACTAGCTGAAGACAAGGTCATGACAAACAGTGTCAGCATGACATTGGGCATTGCTAAATCTAAATGCTCATCATGAAATTCTCCAGATACACCTCATTTTATTTCTGCCCTCTATATGTTTTATTCTATTATTCTTCACTTAGGAAGCTGGTGCAATTTTGGCCTTCTTGTAGTCAGACTTAACCTTTACATTTCCTGATACATTTGAGTTTTGGGAGTTCTTTACAGCATGTAGCAGAATAACAATTTCAGAGACTGTTACTCTGAAGCAGATAATGAAACTTCATTACAGTGGCATTGCCAGAGTTTTTAGGGTCCCAAATTAGGTTTTGTTCTGTTGCTTTAATGAATCCTTTTTGTGTTTTGGTGGTTTTTTTTTTTTTCAGCCAAGGCATTTTTCTTTATATTTAAATCTTTCCCTAGTATGTCTAGGTTTCTGTCCCACTGGAAGGAAATTGTTTCACACTATTACTGGAGATGAAACTGGTTTTTGTCTTTCTGCAATTTCTAAGAGTCAGCAGGAAAAATAGATTTTAAAATAATTTTACTGCAGAATAAATTGGGCAGATTCTGTTTAATTACCTAGTGTTAAGTGGAAAAAGTTATGATAAATTTTGATACACAGAAAAAGCAACTGGATTCTGGCAGCATTAATATTAGATAATATTGTTATTACACTAACACAAAATGTTAAAGATGATTTCTAACCCAATGTATTTGCAAATATACAATACCTGGAAATGCATAGACATCTCAGATTTTAGAAACAAAATGCATGTGCAATTTTAACTTCTCTTAACTTTATAAATTCACTTCTAAATTAATGACTACCATTTATGGGATATGTGTGATATCAGATAATCTAAAATTGTTTTTTATGAAATAAAAGGACATATAAGGTGGGTGTGGTGGTTCATATCTCTAACCCTAACACTTTGGGAGGCCAAGGCAGGAGGATTGCTTGAGCCCAGGAGTTCGAGACCAGTGTGGTCAGCATAGTGAGGCCTCGTCTTTACAAACAATACAAAATTTAGCTGGGTGTGGTGGTGCACACCTGTGGTCCCAGCTACTCATGAGGCTGAGGCAGGAAAGATCACTTAAGTTGGAGAGGTCAAGGCTGCAGTGGCTGTGATTGTGCCACTGCCCTCCAGCCTGGGTGACAGAGCAAGACCCTGTCTCAAAAAAAGGACATATCTTTTTTTAAATTGTATTGATGACTACATCTTTCATCATAATTAGAGACAGGCTCAAGATACATCTGTAGTATGATTGTGCTTACATCTACCCCATATATGTAAGTTTTATTATGTCTTTATTAAGAAGATGACTGCTTTAGGTTTGTTGCTATTTTATTTGAGAAGAATAAAAAAGAAAATTATCTGGAAAATTTCTTTAAAGCTAAACACGTCTTGGTCCTTTGGTGTGGGGACTGAATAAAAGTCAGTGCTTTTATGTAATAGATGGAGATTCTAAGACTTGGAGAGTCCTAAGATTACAGGTTCAGCTGGTGGCCAAGCTAGGAGGGAGTTCCAGTCTGCTATGCACTGAATGGCACCCTTTGCAGTATGTGAAGCTGTCCCTACCCACCAGGATTGCCACTACATTGTAGATTGTGCACATAATAGCTACATAGTGACTAGTAAGAATAAATATGTCTGAAAAAAATACATCTCATCGAAAAAGTAGGATGAAGTTATTTCAACAATTAATGCCAAGAGACCTGAGGAAGCAAACATAATCTGGTCAGTTTGAGTTTTTACAAGAAGGCTCATATTTCAAATGTCTTTCTCCAATAGGAAATAAACATTAATAATAAGGACTGGGAAACTTCCTTTCTCTTTTTTGGAAAAGCAGATTATATGGATAACTGCATATGCCTCACATTCTTGCAAAATTATAAATTGTTTAGAAAAGGGATTAAAAACGCCTGAAACCCGCAAGAGTTCAACCTCTAACCTCTGGGGTTGTTGGCACCAGGAAGCTGCTACCTTCCTGTCCACTGCTTCATAGTCATGGAGACACAGACCCATGGCATTAGTCAGCAGTTTCTAAATCTTGACCCACAATAGGAAAGATACCTCAAGACAGGAGAAATAGATGGAGGCAATTACAAACAGCTACTAGATTGATGGTTGACATTGTCAGGGCTCCACTGTATGGCAGATTGCAATGGTGTTGAACTCCCCTTGCTACCAGTGGATGTTGCTATTGGCAACCATGCAGTGAAGCCAATAAAACGGCAAGAAAATGAGAGGAAAACTCAACCTTAGTGGAAGCTTGTAGGGTTTATGCTATAAATTATGTTCCCCTTAGCAATATGTAGCATCAATGTTCAGGATAGCTACAGTGCTCACGGCAGCCTGCAGTCTCTGTCAGACCCTGGGTCCAGTTTTGTCATAAAGCACATGCTTTAAAATGTTGCTGTAGATGGACTGGCATCCATTTGTCTGGGCTATTTATTTATTTATTGTTGGGGAGGATAACAGATGTGGGCTCATCTCTGCCTCACACAGACTGATTTTCAATTCCCGTTCGTGATATAAACATGATGTGGCACATTACCCAGAAACACCTGCAGTGCTTCGGAGCTGCAGACACGTCACGATCTCGCAGACCAGACTCTGTCCCTGACTCCACCCACCCTTTGTTCCCCACCTGAAGGAGGAGAGACAGCCCTGCAGAAGCTATTTTCCTTTATAGCAGAGTGATACAGAAAACTGGCTTAATAAAATCCATAAATCTGAACAACCTCCTCTTACCTGCTCTGCAGAGGCAGTTTCTTCCTGCATTCATTTCCCCCTCTACTTTCTCCAGTCTTCCCTGCAGAGACAGCTGTAAAGGGTAGCTAGGAACATTATTTTTTAGGGCTCTCACTCCTTCCTTCTCCCCTTTCTCAAACCCCTCCCTGCTCAAGTGTCTCTCTTTTCTGAGCAATTGATGACAGGGTTCTACACCTTCATTTTTTTTGGTTGGAAGTGCCATTTTTCTTTGTTTGGATTGACTTTCACCTTTTTTTTTTTTTTTTCATTTCCCTTAACCACCTGTCTCGGTCCCTGTCTTTCCTTTACTGGTGTTCTTACGTTTCTTTTTCTTCTTGCTTTTATTCCCCTCTTAGTCTGGTTTATACTTTTTTTTTTTTTTTTTTTTTTTTTTTTTTTTTTTGAGACGGAGTCTCGCTGGTCGCCCAGGCTGGAGGGCAGTGACGTGATCTCGACTCACTGCAAGCTCCGCCTCGCGGGTTCCCGCCATTCTCTTGCCTCAGCCTCCCCAGTAGCTGGGACTACAGACGCCTGCCACCGCGCCTGGCTAATTTGTTTTGTGTTTTTTAGTAGAGACAGGGTTTCACCGTGTTAGCCAGGACGGTCTCGATCTCCTGACCTCGTGATCCGCCCGCCTCGGCCTTCCAAATTGCTGGGATTACAGGCGTGAGCCACCGCGCCCGGTCTATACATTTCTTTTACTTTGTTTCTTGCCATAAAGAGTCTTTTTCTCTACAATTACCTGCTCTCCCCTCAATTCCATTTTGGTATCTTAATTTTACCCATTCCTTCTTCAGACATTTCCTGAATTGTCTACTGTGTGCCAGGAAAACAATGTCGCATGTAGAACATGGCCCCTATTTCTTTAATATCTGTAAAGTTAATGATTGATAATGATTAATAACAATAACAAGGGCCGGGTACGGTGGCTCACGCCTGTAATCCCAGCACTTTCGGAGGCAGAGGTGGGTGGCTCACCTGAGGTCAGGAGTTTGAGATCAGCCTGGCAAACATGGTGAAACCCTGTGTCTACTAAAAGTACAAAAATTAGCCAGGCGTGGTGGCAGGCACCTGTAATCCCAGCTTCTCAGGAGGTTGAGGCTGGAGAATTGCTTGAACCCAGGAAGCAGAGGTTGCAGTAAGCCGAGATCACGCCATTGCACTCCAGCCTGGGCAACAAGAGTGAAAACTCAGTCTCAAAAAACAAACAAACAAAGAAACAAAAACAATAACAAGAAAAATGGTTTGTAAATTTCAGATTTTTTTAAGAGCTAGAATGGCTCTCAGGTTTAATCTAGGCCAGGGATTTTCAAACTCTTCAGAGTCCCTGTGGACCCCCATGTACGTAATCAAAGAGATGAAGGTTTGTAGGTGCTCTGGATGTCCAAACCCTGCTTATAATTCACATAGGAATTCAGCTTTTTGACGTTTTATATGTTGGGGATTCATTGAAAGATTTATTTGAACAAAGAGTTGTAAGGTTAAAACATGTTCGAGAATCGTTTCCTAGTGTAATCTAATTTGACAAATAAGGAAACAAGCTTGTAGAAGTTAAGTGACTTGTTCAAGTCAATCCAGTCAATAATGCCAAAGCTAAGGATAGAAATCTATCTTCTAGCCCAATGTTCTTTGGATAACACATACCATGTCCACAATTTCTCAATATAGGGAGCAAAGCAGCTTTCTAGTCATTACATCTACTTAATACAGTTTATTCTTACCTATTGTAAACCTGGCTTCCTATAGAATATGCGTTCTTTGCCCAGACTGTTATTTCTTAACATTTGAAGCATTGTTTCTTACACTTAAGGAAAAATCCAAAATTAGGGACCCCTATAGTTTGCTTTAAGTTGGTTACTGGTAGTAATCTTAAATTTTATACCAGAACTCCTCACTAGGAGAACTCAAGGTAGTCAATGCTTAGTCTCCATGGCTCTGCTCTGTCCTGTGAACTATAGTTTCTAGATGTCACTTGTGGTAAATCCAGCTACAGATTTCCTTCCACCCTTACTTTAATCAAAATCTATCAATCCATTCCTTCTGGGAGAAAACTTTGTCTGTAATGAAGGTTGAATTTTAAAACTCTGGAAAAGGGTACCATAGTCCCAGTCTAGAATTACCCATCAAACACATTTGCTATAGTCCTACTATGTATTCATTTTTAGGGGGAGAACTGGGATTGATCAGTATTTATAAGGATAGTATAGTTTACCTTTTAGGTAGGCAATTCTAAAGGATCCATCAATAAGAAGCTCTAGGATTAAAAATAAAATACCTCTATGGAATACAAATTAGGATTCTTGGGACAGTCTGGCACAAAAAGGCATTC
Organism: Homo sapiens; assembly: GCF_000001405.40. Taxonomy (NCBI): domain Eukaryota; kingdom Metazoa; phylum Chordata; class Mammalia; order Primates; family Hominidae; genus Homo; species Homo sapiens. The sequence goes on from NC_000002.12 coordinate 177,628,979, forward strand.
AGGGACAGGAAGCAAAGACAGGCAGTGTTTGGCTTGTAACAAACAGAAAAGCCCTATACAAAACGAAGCAGCGCTAATGACGCTTTTACTGTTCAGTGTTCCCTCAGCTCAGAGTAAGTAGGCCGACTGTCCACAGGTCCTTGGATCCAAAACAGTCCCCTACCCAGAGCCTTCATTTCAGCCCATGCGTGTTCATTAGGGAAAAGTGAGGGTCCTGGGGTGTGCTCCCTGCCCCACCTCTTTCTTTGTCCTTCCCGTTGCTCTCTCTGCTGCTGACCATGCTTCAAGGTGAAAGCCCAGGCATGCTTCCCAGTGCATCCTTGAGATGTTAGGTCTTTCTGAGCTAAAAGAACAAAAGGATGACATTGCTGGACTGAAAATGGCCCTTCAGGCTGTAGTCATTTTGCAGCTGCAGCTGACCTGGAGGTTTAGTTCCTGTCTTCCTTGGCTACCATAACACTGGCAGGGGAGGATGAGGCAGTTGAGGCCAGCAGTCGTTTTTGGTGTAGCTCTTCCCACTTACTTCTGTTTGTAGCTACTGAATCTAGCATCGGCTTCAGTTTCACGTTGACCTTCACCAGTGCCTAAAACAAAACAAAACAAAACACAGGTGGAGGAGAGAGGAAACAGAGTAACTGACATGATTTTCCACCTTTCACTTATGAGGAGAATGGAAACTGGCTATAGGAAATGAAAGTGATGATTATTTTGGTAAACAAGAGCTATTTACAAGAAGTAAATATGCATTTAACACCAATATGTTGTATTAATAGAGCCTACTTAGAGAATGAAAAAATAAGACATCACCAGCATAGCTGTGTACAACTCTAGGGGACACCAGCCATGTAGACTCAAATCCTGTTTTACAACTACATCAAGCAAGACAGGAAACAAAATATCCAGCTCACATATGCCTACTTACGTGTGCATCTTTGCCTGCCACAGAGGGCTCCAGATCTCAATTGACTATGCACTTAAATTTTTACAAAATAATCCTACAATTGCTTTACCATAGATGACTCTGGGTGGACTTACTTGAATAGGAAAGGTCAGGTAAAATCCTGAAATGAGGAGGTGCTCATTTTTAAAGCTAAAGATCTGGGAGTTGTGCTAAATATACAAAGCATGGAAACATGCATGGAAATAGACATGGCAGAAAGGGAAGCAGTGTGGAAGAGAGTGACAGAGGGATGAAAGGGGGATGAGGGAAGAGGAAATGTAGGGTGTGGCCAGGGGCAGATGGACGACCAGGCTGATGAAAGTCAGGCTTCAGCATCCTCACTTGTGCCAGACCCTTCTAAGTATATTCTTTTGTGCTTAATTTTGTGTGTGTGTGTTTTTAAGAGTCCTCCTGTTCCCAAATGGTATAAGCTTGTCTCACCGCTCCTGGGTTGCCCCTGGTAGTGGAATGAGAGCCCTAAAAGTAAGATGGCTTACTTTAATTTAATGCAAATGAGTCCATCTTCAGCTTTCATATCAGAGGGCTTCTCCAAGATAGGGGGTAACATGGGGGCAGGGCCGAGGATTTTGTTTCTGAACTGGGACTAGAACAAATTCAAGGAGCTCAGATTAAAGAGCAATAGGTAAATATTTTACAGGTCAGAGGAGCATGGAATTTACTCTGCCCAACAGGAAAATTCCACTATTCTCTACTTTACTGATTATTTTCTTTCTTTTAAATGCATGAATATCTACATTTTCCTTATTTTAATTTTTTTTTACTTTTCATAATGAAAGGCTTCTAACATATTCAACCAGTAAAATATGATCAGCAAAAATCTCTATTATGTATCTATATGCCTGTAAAGATGAATAATAAGTAAAGCCACCCATGTAAAACATATGTAACAAAGGATCTAGGAGCCTTTTAATTTTCTGGACAGCTCAATGAAAAGGGAAATAAGATTTTGATGACATTTAACTTTTAGAAACATGGTCTTTGTCCTTTTAAACCATGAGGTTTTGGGGGGTTGTTTTAAAAATAATACCTTTTCTTCCCTTCACAGTTATTTTATATATTTTAAGTAACATGTTAGTGTTAGAAAATATAGAAACAATAGGTTTAAAAAGTAGGAAATGGAGATAATTTATAATCTCATAACTCAAGAGATAGACACTACTAACTTTTGGGTTTTGCCTTGAATGGAATCTTTCTATTATGTTTCTAACTGGTGAAATGATCAGAACATCTAAAATATGGCTCATGCCTGTAATCCCAGCACTTTAGGAGGCTGAGGTGAGTGGATCATTTGAGGTCAGGAGTTTGAGACCAGCCTGGCCAACATGGTGAAACCTCATCTCTACTAAAAATGCAAAAAAAAAAAAAAAAAAACAAAAAAAAAAACAACCTAGGCGTGGTGGCACATGCCTCACATGCCTGTAATCCTAGCTACTTGGGAGGCTGAGGCAGGAGAATCGCTTGAACCCAGGAGGCAGAAGTTGCAGTGGGCTGAGATCACACCACTGCACTCCAGCCTGGGCAACAGAGTGAGACTCTATCTCAAAAAAAAAAAAAAAAAAAAAAAAAAAAAAAAATATATATATATATATATATATATATATATATATACACATGTATATATATATATATACATGTATATATATATACACACACATATATATGTGTGTATATATATACATATATGTGTGTGTATATATATACATATATATGTGTGTGTATATATATACACATATATATATGGTATTTTATAATCTCAGTTTAAAAATGGACAGAATCAATGAGAATGTATGGATTTTTAAGCATTCATACTTCTTGGGCCTGTTTTCCATCTCCAGGGTCTGAAAGAAGTATAAAAAGCTGGCATCCCACGTGGATGAGGGGGAGCTTCTGTTAACACCTAACACCTCCTATGTGTTAAACACATTGCCAGCTGCTCTGCATACTTCATCTCAGCTATTCCTCACAATGACTGTGCATCTTACAGATGATAAAACATGTCCCCCACATGTTAGGATCATAAATGATCCTTAGCCTTTCCATCACAGGAGGAAGGTAAGAATCCATATAGGAAGTTAGGGCTTCCTTTTGTAATCTTTCCATTTGTTTTGGAAGCTATGGAGAAAACCATTGTTTTTCTCAAGTAAAAGTCAGGGATAGGACACTAGCCTGCCATATAGAATGAAGATATAGAGAAATCTGCTGAGGATGTAACATAAAAGGGAAGCTCTTAAAGAGTCAAGAAGAAAAACCAAGGAATAATAAGATACACGTCTTGAAATTGTATGGCTTCAACCTTTGTCAATGCACAATTCCAACCAGCTAGTAATTGTATCATTCCTGTTTTTAGAGACTGTGATGATGATGAGGAGACTGAAGACATGAACTTCTGAGGACACATTGAATGTGATTGCTGTTGTCATCAATTTGGGGTAAGGGTTGACACCAGGACCTTTCTTCTGACTTATTCATACCCATCTCTCCTTTCTTCTCTCCTCTTATCCATTAATTCTATCACCCATCATCTTGCATATGTATACAACTCTCATGAATTCTGACATTGTTCTTTGAATGTAATCTTATGTCACTTGAGGCCTCCCCAACCCTTTAGACTTGAGATTAGACCTCAAATCTATTTCATGCTCTGGGGGACCTTTCAGACTCCTGCCAGTGATTTCCAAGTCTTACTTCCTTGTACTCTCTGACTTCTTCTTGAGTCTATTTGGCCCTCTTGACTCCATTCTGCATCATTCCTAATGCAGTATTTCACTTTATTTCCCCTTTTCACAGGAAATCCCATCACCCTCAACATTTTGGATGCCTACTAACTGTACCGAACTTTAGAGGTTGTCATAGGGGAAGTGACTTACCCACTGACTTACTCTTACATACTCCTTTTCATCTCAAAGGGCACAGTCTTTTACCCCATGGAGAGTAATCCAGTTTTCTCCCCAGCCCTAGCTCACTGCTTTTATACAGATCTGGACTGCCAGCCAGCCAGTTTTTTCCCAGGCTCCCCAGAATTCTGACAAATTAAAGTTTCCCTTTCTTGTTGCACTAAGGCCTATAAGGTAGTTTTTATTTTCCTTATAAAGAAATAAAAGAAAGAACACAGAAGTTGTGAGATTATTAGCCTATGGAAAGGTGATTTCCCACTTTATGCTTTGGGTTAGTTAGCTATTTTTTGTTCTGTGGACAGGGTTATATCCCTGGTCCCGTGTAAACACCTTGCAGGTGCATCCCATTCATCACAAGGGGGACAAAAGGTGAACATATCATTAAACCACTATGATTTCAGCACACCTTGTGAAAAGCCTTCTCCAAGCATGACTGTGGTTAGGGAGTAGTCAATAGTAAGTCCTCCAACAGGAAGAATAGCTCTTTTTCTGTTAGAATGCCAGAGTGTATGACTCCAAGCACAACTGCAAACCACCTGTTAGTAAACCTAATTTATCTGCTCAAATAATCCTCTGCTCCAGGGAGTTATATGAATATGAGTAAAATGTAACTAGATGTAAGTTAACGGAGTGGGGGTGGGGGTTGAAAGCCCGATGTCCTTAAGACAGAGTATGTTCTGTCTCTCTCTTAACAGTGATATTTATCACACTAAACAGAAACATCTAATTTTAAATCAAATTTACTAGTTATTTCATATGATAATAAAACAAAGCAACATTGTAACTCCAGCAGCGATCAAAATCCCCTTTATTTCCATGAGAAAAATACAGGTGCTTGTTTTCCACTCAATGCATAGTGTTTTTATTTAGACAATAGTGTGAGGGAGCCACAACTGCCATGGTTTTATTTAGTATAGCTTGGCACCAGCTCCTCTTTACTCTGATCAAGCCTTTTAATTAAACTGACTACTATAATTCCTATGGAAATTAGTGTTTATGTTATTTTCCTGCTACAAAAGCATTTCTCCAGAACTTATTTTTTTTAATCCCAGGAGCATAAATTAGAATTTTTTTCTGCTTGATATGTAATTAAAAACTCATTTGATTACAATATTTCTGGCTCTGTTTTACTTATTAAATTCCTGTAATCAGTTTTCTTTTATGAAGCTGCTGGGAAATGATCTTAAAAGCAACACATTTTTTTCTTCCCTGGCAGGTACCCAAGCATTTACTAAATTACATTCATAGCACCTGCCCATGATTCGAATCATTCCACCAATTTATTCCTTAAGCCATTTAAGTTTATTTGGCATAGCCCCAAACAGCTTTCTTCCCTTTATCCTTGCTCTTTGTTCTCCTTCTTGCTTCCTTTGTATGGAATAAAGAAATTGGGGAGGGAGGAGGAATACATATTTCTCAGAATTCCTTTCTCTTTGTTTTATATTCTCCTGAAACACAGAATTGCCATACTAGAATATCGTTTTCCTGTGGCCAGGTGCTGGTTCTAGGCAAAGGTAACAAAACTCCTATCTTGAAAACTTACTTTTTCTCTCTCTCTTTTTTTTTTTTTTGTGAGAAGGAGTCTCGCTCTGACGCCCAGGCTGGAGTGCAGTGGGGCGATCTCGGCTCACTCCAAGCTCCGCCTCCCTGGTTCAAGCGATTCTCTTGCTCAGCTTCCCGAGCAGCTCGGACTACAGGCGCCCGCCACCACGCCTGGCTAATTTTTTTGTATTTTTAGTAGGGACGGGGTTTCACCGTGTTAGCCAGGGTGGTCTCCGTCTCCTGACCTCGTGATCCCCCCGCCTCCGCCTCCCAAAGTGCTGGGATTACAGGCGTGAGCCACCGCGCCCGGCCGACTTATTCTTACACTCTTAATTTGTTACAGAAATGCAGTTAGCTGAGAGAATATGGAACTATTAAAATACTAGTAAAGCAAGGGTTTATCCACGAACCTAAATTCCAAGGCTTATGGTGATTATGTGTAGTGAGTCATCAGCAAGAGAATTGCTTCTAGTATTTAAAAGTTTCTTATCAAGTGATACGGGATGGGTTCTGTGAGAATGCTATTGTCTAGTTTGACTTGCTCCTCAGTGAAAGAGAAGGGGGGAAACTTAGCACCCATCTGATCACTCTCCATATACACACGGAGGAACTCTAAAGGTTATGTATGCGGCTGCATCAGCCTCAAGACACCTGACTCTCCTCTGTGGCATCCCTGCTGCGTGACCACACAGCTACCGTTGAAACCCTTTCAGAGGCAGTGCGTGCACAACCTCCCAGGGGAGTCCATTTAGTTTTTGATTGTTCTGTTTTTAAAATGTTGTTCCTTTATGTTGGACTGAAATCTATACCCCTGTAACTTCTACCTAATGGTTCTAATCCTTAGGGTGCTCTTTCTTTAAACCAGAATTTTCTTTAGTAGTGTAGGACTGATAACTCAGGTTTTGTTTCAAGTGTAGGTTAGAGTTGATGCTGACCTAAAAACCCTATTTGGGATGCAGTGCTTCTCCCTTGGGGCAACCTTTTTGACATCACTGGGGCCCCATGTTCCTTCCAGTTCCCTCCTGGCCCATCGCAGACAGGACCTCGGATACTTGCCCCACTATGGGACACAGCCTGGGCATCTGGTCATCTAGGTGGCCAAGGGACCCCACTTATTTCCTGATTTCATTCACACTCCACTGTTGAGTTCTCTTGTGACCAGCATATACAGTTTATTCCGTATTTTATTTATGTTTTGAATAAGGAACACATTCACATAGTTCCATGGATACAAAACGGTACAAAGGTGCAATATAAAATCTCCGTTCTACTATTTCCCAGACACTCAGTTTCCTCCCCTAGAGGCAACAGATGTTTTCAGTGTCTTGAGTAGATAATCAAGAAAAATTTTCTGAATGTGTAAGAACATAAATATATTTGCCCCTTTTTACAAATGGTAGTACACCATACAGAGGGATCTGCACTTTGCCTTTTATTCTTAATATATCTTGGGAAAAACTCATATCACTACAAAATTAGATTTCCTCATTTTTTATGGCTATCTAGTATTCCACTGCTGTCAAAATTTGTTTAACCAGTTCCTTTTTGATGGAACCCAAACATTGTTTATATTTGGCCATTACAAATAATGCTGTAATGGATATCCCTGTACATAGCCTCTCCATAGGTGTGAAGTTTATCAGAGAGTCAAATTCTAGAATGGGTATTGCTGGGTGAAAGGGAATGTGTATTTGCGTTTTGGTAGATATTACTGAATCAACAAATATAATTTTACTTAAGATATATAGCAGGATTTTTATAATAGCCATACTAACAAAAGAGAGGGAACAGAAACCATAGCTACTGTTTAGATTAAGGCCTTGGAAAGATAGTGTGAGGGTGGGTAGAGCTAAGAAGGATACACAAATCTAGAATTTGATCCCTCTCTTCTCTGTATACTCCAGATGCTAATTTCTACACAGTACACTTGGTATCACTGAAGCATCATAATCATGTTGTCCAGAAGGTTTTGATTTTACTCCCTCTCTGAAAGAAACTCCCCAAATGGTACTTGAATCTACTGAAATCTCTTACAGCATATCAATCATTTTTGACCAGTTACAGGTGTTTTCAGTGTGTTTCATGGACTCTTACTGTCATTAGCAAACTTTTACTGAATGCTTAGTTGGAGTCAGACTGTAATAAGTGCTTAACACTGTCATATAATTTTCTCAGGAACTTTATGAAATGGTTACTATTATTATCCTCTTTATATATATATAATTAAGAAAAACCAAGGCCTGGATGAAGAACTCACTCGTGGTCATTCACTTGGTAAGTGAAGAACTGAAACTGCAGGGTTTCTCTACCTCAGTACTATTGATGTTTTGGGTTAGATAATTCTTTATGGTGGGGGCTGTCTTTTGCATTATAGAATGCTCTAGAAGCCAGTAGCATCCCTCCCCAAAGTTGTGACCACCAAAAATGTCTCCAGATATTGCCAGATGTCCTCTGGGGAGCAGCATCTTCCCAGTTAAGAACCACTGCTCTGCTGCCTCTAAGCATTATCTCGTCTCCATCAGGTCTTCAATGAACTCAGCTTCCCCTCAAATAGAAGGAGGAATAAAAGTAACTAGCTACAGTCTGAACCCCAGCAGCATCTCTGGTAGCAGAGAAGGAAAGACTTCTTCTTGGGCCAAATACATACTCTTCCTCACCTCCTTTTTCTGAAGACATTTAGGAAGGAGAAATAAGAGGAGTTTCTATATATTGAATGTTCACTGTGCTGGGCTAGGGCCGGGGCCTAAAGGCCATTATCTCATAAAATCTCCACAGCAGTCCCACGAAGTAGGTACTTTTATCATCTTCACTTTATAGATAAGGAAATTGAGGTTCACTTAGGTTAAGTGCCTTGTCCATGGTCATATAATGAGAGATGGAGCCAGGATGTTTACCTAAGTCTTTCTGACTCTAATGCATTGTGTAAAAAATTCCTTCCCTAGAGAACTAATCCTTCGCCACTCAGCTCACATTCTGTCTTCTCTGTGAAGTCTTCTCTGGTCTTCTGGTATGGAACCAGAACTCTCCTTCCTTAGGCATGCCTGTAGCACACTCTCCATCTCTCCAATTCTATCTATCGCACTGAAAAGGTATTTGCATTTTTTTGCAGTTCTTCAAAGATCCTGTTCTGGATTGTGTTTTTGTCTCTTTGTACTTGTCTTTTTTCCCCCTTCTGGGTCCTTTTAAGCCAAGTTTTAAAAGTGCTGGTTTTCAGCAATTTGATTCTCATGTGCATTGCTGTAGTGTCCTTCATGTGTCTTCTGCTTGGCTTCATTGAGAATCTTGGTTCTGTACATTTATTTCCACCATCCTGTCTTCAGCTATGTTTTACATCTGTCTTTTCCCTCTGGGACTCTAATCATACATATTTAGCCATTGGCATTGTCTCACAGCTCAAATGATGCTCTGCTCATTTCTCTTCCATCTTTTCTATATCATTTTGGATAGTTTCTGTTGCGTCACTGAGTTTTTCTTTTGCAGGGCTTAATCTGCTATGGATCTCATCTACTATACATATATATATATACATATATACATATATACACATACATATATACATATATACATATATACACATACATATATACGTATATATATACACGTGTATATATATATATATATATTTTTTTTTTTTTTTTTTTTGAGATGGAGTCTCGCTCTGTCACCCAGGCTGGAGTGCAGTGGCGCGATCTCCGCTCACTGCAAGCTCCGCCTCCCAGGTTCACGCCATTCTCCTGCCTCAGCCTCCTGAGTAGCTGGAACTACAGGTGCCCGCCACCGTGCCCGGCTAATTTTTTGTGTTTTTAGTAGAGACAGGGTTTCACCGTGTTAGCCAGGATGGTCTCGATCTCCTGACCTTGTGATCCACCTGCCTCGCCCTCCCAAAGTGCTGGGATTATAGGCGTGAGCCACCGCGCCCAGCCTACTATATTTTTTTTACCTCAAAAATTAGCGTTTTCTTTTCTAGAAGTTTGATTTGGGTCTTTTTAATATCTTCCATGACCCCTTAATCATGCTCAATCTTTCCTCTACCCTCTGAAATATCTAAGTATAATAACTATCTTAATGTCTTTTTCTACCAAGTCTATGATCTATATAATCTCTGAATTTGTATTGATTGATTTTTCTAATTATTATGGGTCAGATGTTTTTGCTTCTTTGCATGCTTGATAATTCTTGATGAATATCAGACATTGTAAAGTTTATATTGTTGGGTGATGGATTTTTTTTCCTTTGCTTTAAGCCTTCTTCAGTTTTGTTCTGGAATATAGTCAGGTTATTTGGAAATAATTCAATCCCTTTGAGGCTTGCTTTTCAGCTGCGCAAGCTGGGTCCAAAGCAGCCTTTTTTTTTGTGGAGGGCTAATTTGCTCCCACTACTGATGCAATACCCTTCTGAGAACTGCATCCAATGCCTCATGTATTTCAAGGCTTTTCTTGGGTACTCTAGCTGGCAGGAGCATGGACTATTTTCCCCAGGCTGTGTGACCTCTGTGGATCACTTTACTTGCTCCTTTTTGCTTCAGCCTCAGTAGTTTCCTCACATGGATATGATGAACATCACTAACCTGAAGACTCAAAGTGGCCCTCTGCAGATCTCTGGGCTTTTTCTGTGCAGTCCTCTCTTCTCTCTTACTCTTCCCTGGGAACTGTAACCTCTTTGGCCTCCCTAGACTCCTAGCTCTGCCTCCTTAACTCAGCAAGATCACTGGGCTCTGCCTGGATTCCCCCTGCCTGTGCCGTGGCCTAGAAATTCTATCCAGGCCACAAGCTGGAACAGTTGTAGGACTCACTTCATTCATTCCCCTTACTCAGGAACCACTGTATTATGTTGTCTGTTGCCCATTGTCTGAAAAGTGTTGTTTCATATATTTTTCAGGTTTTGGGGTTTTGTTGTTGTTGTTGTTTTGTTTTGTTTTGGCCCGTTACTCAACCATGGCTAGTAGTAGAGGTCCCTTATCACTGGTTTTAAAAACTCTGTCTTGCTTAGTATCCCACAAGCTCAGAGAGACAGTGGAAACAAGGCCTTTTATCTTTGTATCTTCAACATCTGGCACAGTGACCCCAGGAAGCAGCAGCCTCTCCTCCATTCTTCCCCATAGAACAGTGGCAGGAAGAAGGGTTAAGGCTAGGACAGCTGCCAGTGGCTGAGAGTGGGGTTAGGATGTTCTGACCTGCTACAAAATCCTGCTGTAAAAACACATCTAGAATGAGCCACTTGGGAAATGGATATATTTTCTCTTATTACCATTATTCCTGGGCCTTTGTTTTTATCAGTTTGCCAACCTGCTAGGAGCCAGATCCTGGCCTTTGTGTTTCTCTGCCATCGTGGTCCACATCTGTTATCATCTGGCTCAGTTTGTGCTTATTAGTTGACCACAGTTACCTCTTGGAACCCAGCTGCTGGATAGATAGGGCAGATGTGGGACAAGGGAGGAGCAGAGAGAAGTCATGCTCTTAGAAAATGTGAGTACTCCTATACTCTGTTGTTGGAAAGGGGCATAGAGGAACCCCATCAAATTAAAACCAGATTAGTGTTTGAACCTGAAAATGTCCAACGGTGTCATTAATATATTTTTTAAAACTTTGAGGAAATTGTCTGACTATTCATTTATTAAGAAAAAAAGACATTTATTAAGAAAAAAAAGGACAAAGAGAGAAGATGGTTTTGGCCCCCTATTGTTGAAATCTATTTCCAGAGTTGCTAGTGACATCACTTAGTATTTTTTGCCTTCTCTCACCCCCACCTTACCCAAGAGAATCAGAAACTAAGTGACACAATATACCATAGAGGAGAAAGAACTTAGAGTATTTTTTAATGTTGATTTTTAAAACTATAAAGTTAGACTTGGAACTTATCTTACGTATCTGTTTGAGGCAGCGTATTCCTGTTATGAGGTCATGATCACTTTACTACCATGATTATTCCCTTTCTGGAGGAAAATATCAAAAAAATCATTGGAAGTTGGTATTTTGAAATGGAAAACCACTGATGATATGACCAACTGTTATCATCTCTGCTCAGATTCTTCAGCAGGAGGGACAAGAGAACATGCAAATGGTGGCAGGCCCTGAAATTCTCATGAATTCGTGTGCCTGTCCAGCAGTTACAGATGCAAAGAGCATCTTCAAGAAACAGCTTCCTGTTCAAGGTGTATGACTTCAGAGACAGGTAGCCAATTGTGGGAGCAGAGCCTAAGTTATAAATTAGTGAATTGTTGAACTGCTAATCCCTCTTAGGTCCAAAGGTTAAGATTATTCATGATTTAATCTGAGATACTCCCAGATTTTACATGCCACACCTCAGTGCTGCAGTTGGCTGGAAATCACTTTGGCTTTCCAGCCTTCTACTTTTTTATGGGTTGTAGAGGCCAGAAACTCAGTGGACGGACTGTTTACAACTGAATTCCTCACCTTCCCTCAAGCCTTCCTCTTACGTTTACTCTGTCAGGGAACTGGGCATTATCATCTATCTAGCTGTCCTACCCAGAAATCCATGGGTCATCCATGACATCTTCCTCTTCCCCTTACATCCAATCTGTCACAAAAGTCCTGTCAATCCCACTTCCAAAGTTTCTTTGAACATGATTCTGTTGCCATTTCCACAACCCTGGTTTAGGCTACCATCATCCCCCTGACTGTTTTAAATCTGCTGCAGCCTCCTAACCAGTCTCCCAGCCTTCCTCTGCCACTGTCCAATCGGTACTCCATATGGAAGCCACCATGGAGCAGTCAATCAGAAACAGAAACCTGAGCTTGCCATTCACTTCTCTGAGACTTTCAGTGGCTCCTATTTGATATGAATATGCTCATCATCGCAAGTCCAAATCCCTCAATGTGGCCTATAAGACCCTATCAGAAAAGAGTATTGTGGTAGTAAGAGAGAATGAAATCCAGAAACAAAACAAAACAGAAACAAAACCATAAAGACTGATGGAAAACTTGGGTTATGGTACAAAAACAGAACTTTGAAATGCCAAAATAATCCCACTAAGTTTTCTAGAAATCCTGAAGTACACATCTTTATATGCATTTTCACGTTTTACTGAGTCAAAAAAAAAAAAAAAGCTAGACTCCACATGGTGCGTTTGGCAGGAGAGAGCTAAAATGTTAGTTACTATATGTGAGAGCAGATGGAGCTGGCTGTGGAGTCCAGATGGGAGGCAGCAAACAGACTCCTCCTAAACCTCACTCCTTCCCTCCCCAGTTCAATGGCTTTTGAAACTCAAGGTTGTGTAAAAATTAATTTGTATTAAATTGCTTAAGATAATGTATTAACTACCATAGAAGGCTTCCAGCAGTTTTTAAAACTTGCTTTGAAAAACAAATAATCAACCTATAATGGTGAACACAGAAGGAAGCCCAGACTTCCTTGGCTGTTTTTAAGCATTCACATTAAAGATACCAGCCTTAAAAACATATCTTTTTTGTGTTATTTGCAGAAGTTGGAAAATTAATAATAATTATTTATGTAGGTTACACATGTAACTGTGTAAGACACTGTGGTATATTTGTGCTTCATATAGTTTATCTCATTAAATTCTCAAAACTACCAGGTATGTGCATTATCAACCCGTTTTAGAGAGGAGAAAATCAGGCTCAGAAAGGCTACATAATTTGCCTGGGGCCACAGAGCCAGGGTTTGGTCCCAGGTCTCTGACTCCAGAGCCCAAGTTAGTAACCACCTACCATATGTGTAATGCTGGCATGTGAGTTTGAATAGGTCAGCCTGCTGGTTAGAATTATGAATGAAAAGTGCATTTCTAGATAGGAATTGCCTGTTTATCTTCAGGAATATCTCATTAGCTAATAAATGTTTTCCTTAACAGACTCAAGTGCTGCTGTGGTCTCAGACATGTTCATATGACATAGGTCTATGGAGGTCAAGATTGGTCAGAAGGCAAGTAAGAGGCAGAGTCACCCTGGAAAAGAGTGAACAGGGTTCAAGGTTACCTACATACAAGGCTGAAGTTTGGCAACACGACCAAGGGTGAAATAATAAGAAAAGACTTAGGCAGAGGCAAGGACTTAAATAGCTGATTCAGTGGGTTCATAACAGCTGAGTTCTTCTCAGACTAGAAAACAATGGAGTTTAAAGGGCTCTAGCTTTATAATTCCTGCCCTGTTTAAGGACATGGTCATTTATTCTGCCAGAACTGTGGTATCCCTAGCAGAGTTTGTTAGTTGCCTACCCAATACACGTTTTAATTTACCTTGAGCTTAGGAGTGGCCAGGGAGATGTAAGCAGAATTCATAAAGGCTCAGAGAAAACTCTTTAAATGGGGCTTATTCTGCTGGGAGGTGCATTCTCTTGCTCTTGTCCCTATCTGTTTCTTGCTGTTGGAATATTGATATGGTTTGGCTGTCTCCCCAACCAAATCACATCTTGGATTGTAACTCCCACAATTGTAACCTCCGCCTAGGTTTTAGACGTGACATGTCATGGGAGGAACCCAGTGGGAGGCAATTAAATTATGGGGGCAGGTCTTTCCCATGCTATTCTCGTGATAGTGAATAAGTCTCACGAGATCTGATAGTTTTCAAAATGGGAGTTTCCCTGTACAAGCTCTCTCTCTTTGCCTGCTGCCATCCATGTAAGATGTGACTTCCTCCTCCTTGTCTTCCACCATGACTGTGAGGCCTCCCCAGCCGCATGGAACTGTAAGTCCCTTAAACCTCTCTTTCTTTTGTAAATCACCCAGTCTTGGGTATGTCTTTATCAGCAGTGTGAAAACGGACCAATACAGTAAATTGGTACCAGTAGAGTGGGGCATTGCTGAAAAGACACCCGAATATGTGGAAGCAACTTTGGAACTGGGTAACAGGCAGATTTTGGAACAATTTGGAGGGCTCAGAAGAAGATAGGAAAATGTGGGAAAGTTTGGAACTCCCTAAAGGCTTGTTGAGTGGCTCTGACCAAAATGCTGATAATGATATGGACAATGAAATCCAGGCTGAGGTGGTCTCAGATGGAGATGAGGAACTTGTTGGGAAGTGGAGCAATGGTGACTCTTGTTATGTTTTAGCAAAGAGACTGGCAGCATTTTGTCCCTGCCCTAGAGATTTGTGGAACTTTGAACTTGAGAGAGATGATTAAGGGTACCTGGCGGAAGAAATTTCTAAGCAGCAAAGCATTCTAGAGGTGACTTGGCTGCTGTTAAAGGGCATATGAAACACAGCATAAAAGTTTGGAAAATTTGTAGGCTGACAATGCAATAGAAAAGAAAATATCATTTTCTGAGGAGAAATTCAAGCCAGCTGCAGAAACTTGCATAAGTAATGAGGAGCTGAAAGTTAATCCCCAAGACAATGGGGAAAATGTCTCCAGGCCATGTCAGTGGTCTTCAAAGCAGCCCCTCCCATCACAGGCCCAGAGTCCTAGGAAGAAAAAATGGCTTCGTGGGCCAAGCCCAGTGTCCCCCTGCTGTGTGCAGTCTAGGACTTGGTGCCCTGCATCCCAGCCACTCTAGCCATGGCTAAAAGGGGCCAAGGTACAGCTTGGACAGTGGCTTCAGAGGGTGCAAGCCCCAAACCTTGGCAGCTTTCATGTGGTATTGAGCTTGCAAGTCCACAGAAGTCAAGAATTGAGGTTTGGGAATCTCTGCCTAGGTTTTAGAGGATGTACGGAAATGCCTGTATATCCAGAAGGAAGTCTTCTGCAGGGGTGGGGCCCTCATGGAGAACCTCTGCTAGGGCAGTGTGGGAGGGAATGTGGGGGGGAGCCCCCACACAGAGTCCCCACCTGGGCATTGCCTAGTGGAGCTGTGAGAAGATGGCCACCATCCTCCAGACCCCAGAATGGTAGATCCACTGACAGCTTGCATTGTGCACCCGGAAAAGCTGCAGATTCTCAATGCCAGCCCATGAAAATAGCTGGGAGGGAGGCTGTACCCTACAAAGCCACAGGGGCAGAGCTTCCCAAGACCACAGGAACCTACCTCTTGCATTAGCATAACCTGGATGCTAAAACTCTTGTTTTAACACGGAGTCAAAGGAGATAATTTCGGAACTTGAAGATTTGACTGCCCCACTGGATTTCAGACTTGCATGGGGCCTTTAGCCCCTTTGTTTTGGCCAATTTCTCCCATTTGGAATGGGTGTATTTATCAAATGCCTATACTCCCATTTTATCTAGGAAGTAACTAACTTGCTTTTGATTTTACTGGCTCATAGGCAGAAGGGATTTGCCTTATCTCAGATGAGACTTTGGACTGTGAACTTTTGAGTTAATGCTGAAATGAGCTAAGGCTTTGGGGGACCGTTGGGAAAACATGATTGGTTTTGAAATGTGGGGACATGAGATTTGGGTGGGGCCAGTGGTGGAATGATACAGTTTGGGTGTGTCCCCACCAAAATCTCATCTTGAATTGTAACTCCCACAACTCCCACATGTCGTAGGAGGAACCCAGTGGGAGGTGATTGAATTATGTGGGCAGGTCTTTCCCATGCTGTTCTCATAATATTGAATAAGTCTTAGAAAGTCTGACAGTTTTAAAAATGTGAGTTTCCCTGCACAAGCTCTCCCTCTTTGCCTGCTGCCATCCATGTAAAATGTGATGCTCCACCTTGCCTTCCACCATGATTGTGAGGCTTCCCCAGCAACGTGGAACTGTAAGTCCATTAAACCTTTCTTTCTTTTGTAAATCAACCAGTCTTGGGTATGTCTTTATTAGCAGTGTGAAAACGGACTAATACAAATATGCACATGATAGTTGGAACCAGAGTGGCCATCTTGTGACTATGAGGCAAACTTGACTACGGCAGCCATGTGCTAAGGAAAGATAAAGGAGAACTAGGTTTCTTTATCTTTTTCTTTCTTTTTTTGTTTTTACATAGAGTCTCACTCTGTCACCCAGGCTGGAGTGCAGTGGCACAAACTTGGCTCACTGCAACCTCCACCTCCTGGGTTCAAGTGATTCTCTTGCCTCAGCCTCTCTAGTAGCTGGAATTTCAGGTGTGTGTCACCAGGCCTGGTTAGTTTTTGTATATATATAATCTTTTTAGTAGAGACGGGGTTTCACCACGTTGGCCAGGCTGGCCATGAACTCCTGACCTGAAGTGATCCACCACTTTGGCTTCCCAAAGTGCTGGGATTACAGGCATGAGCAACCATGCCTGGCCAAGAACTAGGTTTCTGATGGCTATGGAACTGCCATATAATAGCAGTATAGCATTGGCTTTTCTAGATTATTTTTATTTTTTACTAGGAGCTAAATATAATTCCTAAATGAGAAAATTGATTTCATATTGTAGGTCTCTATTTTCTGACTATCTGTGCAGGTGGCACAGTGTTTTGGGCATCTTGATACTCAAAGATAATGCTTAGTATGAAGGCATATTAGCTCATTAGAATCCAACACAAGAATAATTCAGATTTGCAGTTGGAATATTAAGGGCATAGTCTACCCAAGTTATAACAAAAGATGATGTTTGTAGCATCAATGTCTAATATCCTGTAAGCTAATTATACTATTAGTAATAAGTTAGGAAGAGACCATTTTTTCCCCAAGATTTGAAGCAGATTAGTCGTGCATGTAAAAGTGAAAATGCAACAATGCATTACAGCAGTTTTATCTCCTTCTTTCTTTTCTCTTTCCAGTTCCTTCCTGACCTCTCAAGTTACTTGTTTTGCTTATTTATATGCACAAGAGATTCTTTTGTGGAAAATAATATTCACAAATGACATTAACATTCTGAATTAATGAGGCAGGAATGTTAGTCTTTTTGGATTAACTGCATTGTTATTTCCATAATATAGGGCAAGAGTCTGAAACTAAAATGTTTACAGGGCCAGGCCACTAAAGTTAATGACTGAAATAGGCTGCATGATAGAGTTGGGAGTGGTGGGGACTATGGCAAACTGGACATTTTACAATTTTAAAAACTGTATTCAACTGAATGAAACAAGTCTGTGAGCTGAATCTATTCTGTGGGCCACCTGTTTGCTTGCTGTGATAGAAAGTAAAGCACATCTTGCTAACATGAATTAACTACTGAGTATTCATGTGCCCTATGTTCCAGGAGCCATACTTGGAGTTCTTCATATGTGACCTGATTACAACTCAGAATGGTGCTGTGAGATAGCTATTATTGGCTCTGTTTTGGCAGATATGGAACCTGGAATTGGAAAAACTAAGTTAAAGAGCCAAAGTTTACATGGTTAAGTACACAGCAGAGCTGAAATGTCAGTCCAGGCTTGGCTGAGTACCAGGCTCATGGTGTCTTTACATCAGGGGTCTCAACTGGCACACTAGTAACAATGGGTATCTCACACCTTACTGCAGTGTTGAGGACAATGGTGCAACTTTTTTTGTTCTATGTCTCTGATGCTGGTTCAGAACAGATTCACAGGAAAGTGGAGGTCTTGCTGAGTAAAGAAGAAACACCACTTCCCAAACGTTAGATGTAGTCTGTGCATCTTTTATCTTTGACTCATCTACTCTACCCTGCCCTGGGAAAATAAAACAAGAGTTCTAAGTTGTAAAGGACAGGCAAGCCTAAAGACAGCTCATGTAAATGGGAGCAAGAACAGTTTCTTGTGTTATAATGAGCCCCTCCAGAATGCTGTCCTTGGTTATCCTGTTAGTTGGATTTTCAGAGCAGACTGGTAGCTAATCAATCATGTTCATTGTGTAGGCAACTTCTGACTTGGAAGGAATGGCTGCTGACCCAGAAGCCACAGCCTTTGATGAATGGGGCTTCTTACAAGAGGTGGTTGGAACATGTAACTAAAAAGCAGTCACGTGGTAATAATCCATTTTCCATATACTGGAATGTTTTCTGCTAATACCATCACCTGAAATTTCATAGAAATATATAAAACTATTATTTTTTCAAAGTTCAATGTGTAAAAAGGATCACTTAAAACTTTTAGTTTGTTGAGCTGCAAACATTCATTCACTGTACATTTTTTGTATATTTCCCACATGCCTCAAGTTCTAGGATTTCCTAAAATAATGGATAGGGTGTCTGTGTGGGAATGGGTTTACAAATACAGAATTGCCAATATCTGTCCTTGGTGTGAATGGTGCTCGGTGTAAGTCACTATAGGACCTCAAAGAATGTATTCTAGAATATTCTATTAGCATTGGTTCTAAATTTTTAGCTTATATTTGAGGGTGCCAAAAGAGTCCCAAAAGAGAGTCCTAACTATACACACTACTGAACTGCTTAGTGTGCACCATGCAAATATGATGACTACTGAGCATTTCTTGCAAGAGTTTAAAGGTGGCTTCCTGCCTAGCACCAGACATGCTTAGTTCTGAGACGGGGAGGAACCATCAAGTCCATGAATCCCAATGTCCCGGATCTACAGAGGACCAGACCCAAAGCATCGAGGAGAAATGCTTTGTCTTTAGGTAAAGATCCTTGGGGGATAAAAATCCTTTATTATGTTGGTGGTCTCTCTCCCTATGGCAAGGGAAACTTCTTTTTCTTAATTTTACAGCCTGATAAAGACAGTGGGCCAACCTCAGTAGCTCATGCCTGATCTTTGGGGGGCTGAGGTGGGAGGATCGCTTGAGACCAGGAGTTCGAGACCAGCCTGGACAACACATTGAAACCCTGTCTCTACAGAAAAATTTAAAAATTAGCTTGGTGTGGTGGTGTGCACCTGCAATCCTAGCTACTCAGGAGGCTGAGGCAGGAGGATTTATTGAACTCAGGAGTTCAAGGTCACAGTGAGCTATGATAGCACCACTGTACTCTAGCCTGGGTGACAGAGTGAGACCCTGTCTCCAAAAAAGAGTGACAATTTTGAGATAATAAAAAGATAGAAAGGGAATATGTTACATATACCACTAGGTATATGTCTGAGGAGGATATTGTATCATTAGCTGGCCTTCTCTTTGTCCTAGAAAGGGGCCAGTCTGTCTACTGGAAGACCCGGTAGAAGGTATGTTATTGTGGCTCTTCTTTAACTACATTGCTAACTCCCCAAAAGCCAAAGATATGGGAAAAGTTTGTTTGTGTAGGCACAGAGGGACCAATATTTTCAGTAGTTTTATTTCATTTTTAGAGTGCAGTTTAAGAGGGAATATAATAACTTTATAAATTAAACTTCCTAATGGGCAACATTTTCTATCTTTTAAATGTTGGAAAGTTTCATATTAATTTAACTCTCGAACATTCACCATGTAAAATTAAATAAGCAGCCAGTAAAAAGACAAACCAGATTTCCTTTTGAACTAAATTTTAAAGCTTATGTGAAAAAATAAGAATACCTAGAAAATATTGAAAAAGAATAATAAGGAAGGTGAAACTAGGATTATGAGACATTAAAATATATTATAAAGTGATATTAATTAAAATAGTATAACTAGGCAGATAGATCAGTAGAACTGATAGAAAGACTAAAAATAGAAACAAAGTTAAGGGAATCAGTATATGATAACAGTGACCATTCAAATAATAAGGAAAGAGTTCAGTCAAAAACTGATGTGAAGAAAACTAGGTAAGATAAATAACAAACTTGGAAACATATTTGTCACCTTTGCAAATAATAAGGGTTTATTTCTTTAATAGATAGTGAGCTCCTATGGATCAGTAAGAAAATAGCCCTAGTTCAATAGAAAAATAGGCAAAAATATAAAGCATTTACAGAAGAAATACAAATGGCTTCTAAGTAAATAAATCTATACTAAAAATATGATCATACTTATTTATAATATGGAAAATGCTAATTGAAACTATAATGAGATAGATTTTATAGCTATCGTATTAGCAAAATTGAAATTTGGTAATACATTGTGTTGGTAAGGGCATAGAGAAATAGGCATCTCAGACATTACTGATAGGAATGTAAATTGGTTCAAACTCCACAGAGAGAAATTTGGTGATATCTATCACGATCTCAAATGCTTATATGCCAAATGCCCAGTTATCTTATTTCTTGGTATTTCTCCTAAAAATAAAGTATGAAAATTGTGTATTTACAAGAATATTTATTGCACATTGTTTACAACAGCAAACAATTAGACACAACATCAATGTCCATAAATAAATAATTAATTGTTGTTTAAATAATTTATTTTTCATCTTTAAAATCTAATACTATGCAGCCATCAAAAAGAATGAGACATCTTCTGCATGGAGACTGAAAAAGAATAATCTAAAAAATAAATTAAGTGTAAAGAAGCAAGATATGGAGCAGGATATACACTATGCTCATATATGTTCATAGATACATATGCACTTACACATAGATACATATGTGTGAGCATAGTATATATAGATGCATGCATATGCACTATATTTACATAGAAAACAATGTAGAAGCATTATGTATTAAAAACAGTGTAAAAACACACTGTATATAAACTATCTTTAGAAGCATACGCAGGAATTGGTTAACAGTGGTTGCCCCAGTGAAAGGAACTGGGTGACTTGCAAAAAGGAGTATGAGGGAGGATCTCTTTTCTCTGATAATTTGTGCCTTTTGTACTTTGTGAATTGTGTTCACTGAGGGTGTCTAAACTATTTAGCAATAAAAAATTTAAAAGTCTATCATGAACAGATAAAGGAAATAGCAATCTTTGGTCATGTGTTAGAAATATTAAATCACCTGATTGGTTAATTGTTAAAAAAGGCTTACAAGTACAGGGGCACAAAGTAGAAATGCTTATTTCCACAAAGATCAAAAAAATTTAGTGCTTTACCACCATAATTCAAAAATAATTTTAATACCTTAATGTATGTTGCAATAACATCGTATATAAATAAACACCTCCCTCCTCCCACTCCCCCATCCATATCACAAATAAAGGCTGACTACCTCATTGCTCCTCAGCATTTCCTCTGAAAAGCGATCGATGTCTCCTGCCTGGCCATTAAATAGATTTTGAAAAACTCTTCAATCCCTATCAGTCTCATATCCTTATTTAGTTCCTCAAATTTGCCCTCAGCTGGGAATTCTGCAGGCAACTGTGATTCTGTTGTGTTCACCACTCATTTGAAGGGTCCCATCCATCATCATTTCTAGTCCTTTTCTGATGCAATGTAGCTTGTTATTTGTCTTTCTTATAAACTGAATGGCTGTTAAATTATCCATTTATCTTCCTTCAGATTTTCTGTTCAGTTTCTCAGGCCCTATCAGGGCTGTCTTTTCTACCTTGTTTGCTGACTTTTCATTCCATTGCCCCTGTTCTTGGAGGCATCTTGGTTCACCATGCTGCCCTTCAAAACAAACTCTCTGGTTCAGTCTGCTTTTTGCTTGTTTGAAAGCAAGCAGAACTTGCTACTTCAGTAGATTTCCTTTTAAAATTTTTTTCCTTAGAATAGTTTTGAAAACTTTGAGGTAATATATTTCAAATTTTATACATAGATAGTAGGATATATTGGAACAAACCTTAAACAAAAAGTCCAAAGTCTAGGGTTCTAAACCCAGCTCTGCCATTATCAAGTCAGGTCACTTAATAGTGACCTTTCAGGGTTTTGCTTTCCCCTCCTACAGATGGTCTGCAGGTATGCACCTAGTTAATTATTCTAGTATAAAAATAGCATGTTTCTTCTGTTAAAGGTGACCCAATAAATGATCTGAGGTTTGTATAATACTAACACCTGCACATACATTATCTCAGGCAGCACTAGGTCATACTGGTTAGGAGTCACAGATTTGAAAGCAGAAAGAATCTATGCCCTGTCACTTACTATATATTCTTAGGTAAGTTACAGAAGCTCTATAGCTTCAGTTTTCACATCTGAAATAAAAAGATCCTCATAGCATCTAACTTGGTATTGTGAAGAGAATTAAATCAGATCATGCTTGGAAAGTTAGTCTTGAGCACATACTAAGTGCTCAAAAGTGTTGTTATGGACTCACTACATCTTTGTGAGACAGGAAGCTTGGCTATTATTATCCAAATTTACAGCAGAGATACTGAGGTTGAGAGATGATATTAATGATAACAATAGTGACTCACATGCTGGAGGGCTTTAACTATAATAGGTGTACTCTTCCCAAAGCTTTTCCACATACTTCACCTCCCTTTGTTCAGACTCTTGGAAAGGTTGATATTGCCTATCATCAATTCCATTTGCTCCAAGAAGAAAGTCACTTTGTGAGGCCCAAAACCTTTAAAAAGTGCAGAGTGAAGCTGCTTTCAGCCAAACCTACGAGCCAGTGGTGATCACCATAAAAAGAAAGCTGAGGATGGCGAGTCCTCAGTTTATGAGTGTAGAGGGCAGGTTTGAAAGAGGACAGTTAGAAAAACACTCAGCCCTTACTGCCTCCTCTTAGGCCCTCTTCTTAGGTCTTTTTTTTTCTCCCTCCTGCTGTCTCTCTTTCTGTATGTCTCTGTTTCTCTATTTCTCTTTTCTTCTTTAGATTTTTCAGCTGTTCAGATCACCTGTAACACTAAAACCTAAATTCGATGATGATATATTGAATCAAAGACTTGGAGAATAATTTGTCCTTTTTTGTTATTTTATGGTTCTGTAGCTCATCCCTCTGCTTGTAGGAGTTATTGGTTCAGATGCTGAAACTCCCCTAATTCACTGGGGCGATTGTGAGCAGCAAGTATACCCTCCCTAGTTTCTCATCCGTGAAATAAAGGCAGGAATGTTAACACCGCCACAGGGCAATTCAAGAGTGATAGGTTATTTCAGGGCATCCTGAAAGCATAAGATGCTGAGGAAATGCAAGCGCTTACTAGTAACAATGTGATAACCCGATCTTTCCCGTTCCTGTCACTCTCTTGCGCTTGCTTTGTTGCTGAGGCAGCCCTGTGGGGTCTCCCAGTGGCTGATAACAACACACACACACTGCTGCTGCAGCTTGGATGAGGGAAGAGGTTGGTAGATTCAGCTGTGCTGGGCATCCTGGCTGAGTAACAGAGACAGTGAATGTAAACAATTAAGATGTTCTAATAAAGGAACCCAAAGAGGGTCCCAGAGGCTAGAATATCTACCTCCTGGGGGCAAACAGAGGTTTCCTAAGAACATGTCATCTGAGCAGAGTCCTCAAGTAAGACTAGGAGTTGCATGGGGAGAGGAGGGGAAGGTAGGCCTGCAGACGGCTAGGTGAGCACAGGCACGGGGTGTGGAACATTTAGCTTATGGCAAGAGCAGAGGGTACAAAGGAAGGAGAGAGAGGAGGTGGGATGGGAAGGTCAATTGTGCCAACTAAGATTTTTTTCCTGTAGTAAGGGGGAGGGAGGGCCTGAAGGACTTTAAACAGGTGAGCCATGCAATCAGCTGTGCTTTGGGAGGATAGCTCTGGTGGTGACATGGAGCCTTGAGGATGGGACTATACGCATGAGACTGGGATCAGAGTGGAGGCAGCTGGCAAGGAGGCAGTCAGGAGACCCTACTAATATAGGGAATCCAAATGAAGGAGAAAAATCATGATGGCACAGCTAGAAACTAATAGAGAAGAAAAAATACCCCAGGCATTTTGGCCTTGTTTTACAACATATTTCTTAGCTTTTTGATGGCAATGGAAGCTTTTTTGAAGTTGTCTTTTGTTTCCTGCCTTTACTGTATGCTCTGAATTCCCTTCTCTTTCATGCTTTTTGGTTTGCATCTATTCTTTCATATTGGAGGCTTTGCTCAAACATTCTGTGGACCTTATCTGTTTGCATATATTTAAATGCAAGGCACTGAAAGACAAAAGACCTATTCAAGGCAGAGTACAAAGTGGACCAGGGCAGGTAAGTGGGAGAGCTGTGATTGTCAAATGGTGGCTCCATTTTAAGGGCATCCTGCAGGGAATTGGTTCATCGAGAGAATATGAAGTGCAAGTCCATGCAGATCTTTTCTCTGAGGCTGTTCTGTTTCCCTAGAGAAGATTCCCACTTTTCTGCTTCTGGGGATATCTGGCTGCTGGCACTCCAGGTGCAGAGTCGTAGGGCATCTGAGAGTCCAGCAAATCATTCCATGGGCTTTAGATTTCAGCCATGGATTCTCTCCATGAGTGCTCTGAGAGAACTCTCCAGTCTCCTGACTTGGCAGTGGCTACACAGGCTGTTGACCTGGCTGTGTGGGTTGTGGGAGATTCCTGAGATCCCATTTACCAACTTCTAACCTTTCTTTCCCTCTTGTTTCCAGGCTGATTTCTCAACCTCTCTGTCGTGAGTTGACTCGTGTACTCCCAAAAGCTATGTTGAAGTTCTAACCCCGGTACCTGTGAATGTGGCCATGTTTGGAAATAGGGTCTTTGCAGATGTTAGTTATCAAGGTAAGGTGAGATCATATTGGATTAGAATGGGCCCTAAATCCAATGGTTTGTGTCTTTATAAGAAGGTCATGTGAAAACACAGACACAAAAGAACGTTATGTGAAGGCAGAGGCAGAGGATGTCAAGAACTGCTAGCAGCCATCAGCAACGAGGAGAGATGCATGGAACGGACTCTCCCTCAGAGCCTTCACAAGGAACCACCCCTGCTGACACCTGAATTCTAGCTTCTAGAACTGTGAGCAAATACATTTCTGTTATTTTAAGCCACCCAGTTTGCTGTACTTTGTTACAGCAGCCCTCGGAAACTAACATATCCACCCTTGGCTGTTCCTAACTCCTGAGCCTCTCAGGCATTCCTTCTGAAAGGCAGATCGGCTGGCTCCCTGTTGCTCTCCCCTTGTGCAGACATTCTGGGAGATTACTTCCTTCTTAGCTTCCAATATTTGAGGATAGCTTATCTCCACTTATTTTCTGTTTCCTTCAGAGTGTATATCTTTCTTTGAAAAAAAGAAATGCAACTTTATTATTTCTAATCATGCTTAATACTATTAAATAAGTCAATAAAATGAGGCACCAAAGTGCTCATTTCAGAATTATCTCTATTAGGAAAAAAGTGTGGGACAATTAAATAAATTACAACAAGTCAATTGATCGGAATACTAGGCTGCCATTTCAAAGGATAATGTGAAAGTTGGATGCGGTGGCTCATGCCTGTAATCCCAGCACTTTGGGAGGCCAAGGTGGGCAGATCACTTTAGCTCAGGGGTTGGAGACCAGCTTGGGCAATGTGGTGAAACCTTGTCTCTATGAAAATACAGAAAAATTAGTCAGGTGTGGTGGCGTGTGCCTATAGTCCCAGCTACTCAGGAGGCTGAGGTGGGAGGATTGCTTGTGCCTGGGAGGCAGAGGTTGCAGTGGGCCGAGATTGCACCACTGCACTTCAGCCTGGGTAACAGTGAGACTCTGTCTCATAAAGAAAGAAAGAAAAAAGGACAATGTAAAAATTATGTAGAAACATGGAAACATATTAAGAACTTTATGTTGTGACCAAAGCAGAATACACTCATGTACCCTGGTAAAAATGTGTTTGGATGTGGACAGTAGTATGAAGGGGTATCAGGAATAAGAGAATGTGAGGTTCTTATTTCTCCCAACAGTCACTCTTGACAATTTAGGTATTCTCTAAGGTGATGTATATTTTCTTTACTGTTCTCATTTGCTTTTGATACCTCAACAGCAGAGTTTTTAACATTCACATATATTTCTCCTTTTTTCCTTCCTCCCTCCTTTCCTCCCACCCTTCCTGCTTCTTTCCTACTTCTTCCGAAGAGAGACGAAGAAGAGAGGCTCATGAAGAAAAGGCAAATAAGCTTTTAAAATATGCTCTCTAAAAAAACTATAAAGTTACTTAAGGGAAGAGAACATTCCAAGCCTTGTAAGGACTTGGGGTTAAGACATTTAGCTTCATTATTCCAAAGCAGAAATCCTTTAAAAAAGAGTTACGTATGTTGGTCAGCTGGATAAGAAGAATTTAAGATAAGAATTAAGATCTTATCTTAAATCTGTCCTCAAAAACCTTATTGTGGGTATATCCTATTTTTTTCCATTGGATTCCAGCATTTTAATATGGATTCATGGCACTGTTTGAGCTCATAAAATACATATGAATAGGAATATATTAATACTAACATACAAAGAATGGGTATTTTTTTCAAAGTTTTATGAAATAAAACAAATTATAGTCCATTTTATTTACCAAAAAATATGCATAGAGATGGTTGTTTATCAGGTCAAAAGACTTTTTGGAGGTGAAAAACATCAGGTATGCTGGAAGAACTCTGAGATGTAGCGAAGGGTATGAGATGCCTTCACCTGCCAATTATCATGCATAATGTTGGAAGGAACAGGAACTAATCCATTCTTCTATTAATGAGTCCTCACTGCTACTCAGAACTTCTTCCTGCCCAGCACGTTCTTTTTTACTTTTCCTTTCTTTCTTTTTTTTAAAGAGATGGGGTCTTGCTCTGTCACCCAGGCTGGAGTGCAGTGTTGCAATCATAGCTCACTTCAGCCTCGAACTCCTGGGCTCAAGCAATCCTCCCACCACAGACTCCCAAGTAGCTGAGACTACAGGTACACACCACCATGCCTGGCTAAGAACAGAGCATATTCTTAGTTGATGTTTGTACTGATTACTTTTAGACACTACAGGATCCTAAAAGTTTTCTAAGTCAAAGAAAGATTAAATTTTAATCATGATAAATTTAGTGTATTTTATTGTATTATAATTTCTCGAAATCATATGTATGCAATATACAATATACATTTCTTGAAATCTATCTGTGACATATGCTAGCTCCATCTCTTAACCTGAATATTAAAATAACTAGAGGACTACATTTTCTGGCAATGCTGGATAAAAGAAAATTTAATGTATTTCCTAGCTGAAAAAGTCAAAGCTCTGAATTCATGGCTATTAACTGGCCCTTTACAGTAGAATTCAACTATGATGAGAACTAAACCACTTTATAAAAAGATATCATAGGCCATATACTCCAGATTATGGGCAGGAATATAACAGTGCATACTCTGATGAAAGGTTTTATACATAGTCATGCACCTTATAATGGCATTTCAGTCCATGATGGACCATATCTACAACCATGGCCCCATAAGATTATAATATCATATTTCTACTGTACCTTTTCTATATGTTTAGATGCACAAATATTTACCATTGTGATACAATTGCTTACAGTATTCAGTGCAGTAAAATGCTGTACAGGTTTGTAGCCTGGGAGCAATAGGCTATCCCATATAGCCTAGGTGTGTATTAGGCTGTACAATATAGGTTTGTGTAAGTACACTCTACGATGTTTGCATGACGAAATTGTCAAAGATGCATTTCTCAGAATGTATCCCTGTTGTTAAGCAACACATGACTGTATTTATAGGTGATAACTAAATGACATTATAAGCTTACTTCATACATTCCACTGCTTATACTGCATCCCATCATTCACTTTTCTGTTTCTTCATTCCTTTGTTCAACAAACATTGGCTGAGCAGCTCTAATGTGCTAGCACTGTGCTAGGTGCCAGGAATATGGTGGCTCCAGGAAACCCGTCTAATGGGGAAGAGACAGAAAGATAATCACATACAGAGTGTGTGGTTATAAAGAGATGGAGACAGTGCTGTGGAATGTTGTGGGGAAGTAGAGGTTTTACAGAAGTCACAGCTTGGGCTGGTGTCTTCCAGGCACATATGAGAGCGAGGAGGCATAGGCAGAGGCCAGGGAAGATGGACCAAAGGGCTAGTGAGTCCTGAGCTTGGGCAAAGGGTGTCTGGTAAGGAAGTGGGCAGGGTGAAAGGAGATGAGGCCAAGGAATAGATGTGAGCTTCAGAATGAATGAGGGGGTTTCCGAATGCTATACCGAGGACTTCGGAAGGTACCTTATAGATGGTGATAGTAACCTGAGGTCTTTAAAGCAGGGAGATGCTGTGATCAGATTTCTTTTTAAAAAAACATCATTTTGTCAAAAATTTGGAAGATAGACTGTAGTGGAGGGGCCTATAAATTACATAAAACCAACACTTTTGAATATTAATGTTTCTCTTCCATTCATATTTGACTAATAACACATAGAATATTTTCTGAGATAAACAGGCTTTACTATCTATCAGCACTCAGATTTGGGTACATTATTATGTAACAAGGACAATATTTTGAGAATGGTAAACCAGTGCATTTTCCATTCTGTTTGAATGGTGATGCCTGGGGCTCCTCTCCCGTCATCTCAGTAGGCTTCCCTCCTTCAGGCAAATGGCGGTTCCCAGCTAGAAACAAGCTGCCATCATTCAGCTTTGAAAAAGAATAGCCCTACTTGTAGCTTTGCAAGGTGAAGTGGCTTTCTACATTTCAGAACTCTCCTTTCTCTATTAAGAACCAAACCTGGCTAAGTTAGATCTTCAAGTTTTACTACAAAGCTCTAGCAGGAAGAACACAGAGGAGACCATGTAAGGATAGTTCCCATCAGGAAAAGCAAAGCAAATGGAAATATTAGGGGAAGAGGGGGAGTGGGGAGAGGGGCAGGGAGAGAGAAGAGAGGAGAAAGAGAGAGGGGAGAGAAAGCAGAAAGAGGCGGGTGAGAGAGAGGGAGAGTAGTCCTGGCTTCACATTCCTTGGGGGTCAAACCTTTAAGGGGAGGGCTTTTATTTCAAATTTCAGAGCCTAATTCAGGAAAATAATAGAATCTTCCTAAAGCAAGTTGGTATCGCCCAGGCAGCATATTAGAAAAGACTTAGGAAGTTATGTGGACAGCAGGGTGAAGAGAAAGTAGCTGGGAGTTCATGGGTGCCCCAGGGGGACTGAGGAAATGCCAAGAGAACCAATCAGCTAGAACTGGCCAGGAAGCTGCTGGGGGTGGTGAAGGGGGCTTGCCAAGAGGCTGCCACAAGGACCACAGACTTAAGTAGCCAGAGCTGGTGGCCAGGGCTGGCACAAAGTACTCATCACACCCACACCATAGTCACACGGGGCTGGCACAGCATCACAGCCAGAGTTGCGACCAGCCACCTCTCAGTTAACCCAGAAAGACCCAACAGGCAAGATGTGTACCAGGGGTCCTTCTCTTGAAGGTCACAAAATCATCACAACCATAGGTGAGTTCCCTGGTACCTAGATGTCAGCTGGGGAGGAGAAAGAGCTCTGATTAGGAGTACTTTAACCAGAAGAGATTGAGATACTTTAATAGTCAAGTTTAAATAATAGTCCCTGAATGCAGCCACCACCCTACTCCCCATCACCAGGAAAAAGTGGAGCCAGATAGATCAGTTATAGAGAAAATAAGAAGTTGTTTTCCTTCCTTTCTTCCTTCCTTGCTTCTGTCTTTCCTTCTCTCCTCCCCTTCCCTCCTCTGCCTCTCCTCCCTTCCCCTCTCCTCTCCTCTTCTTTTTTCCCTCCCTCTCTCTCTCCTTCCCTACATTCCTCCCTTCCTCCCTCCTTCTTTCTTCCTGTATTTTTTGAGTTATGTATGATGCCATTCCATATATATACCCCCTTTGTAAGGACAAGTAAGAAACTAGACCCAACTATCTCTTCCTTTCATCCACAAGAATACTAAAAGTCATAGAGAAACACTTATAGGAAACTAACTGATTTGAGTGGTGTCTTTTTTTTTTTTTTTAATATCTGATGAAGTTGTTTTTAGGGAACACTGGATTGCTTTTAAAGTACTTTCATCAGTATCCAGAGAAAGTGTCCTGGAGTAGCACCTTATATCCTCTTTTCTAGTTTGTCAGTTTCTAACTCCCATTCTACTATTTCAACTATATTTTAAAGTTTTTTCTCCCTTTTTTCCAGAGAACCTATTAATATTGCATCATGTGGAATGTATTTTTCAAAATGACCATTAAAAGTGAAGGCAGAGGCTGGGCATGGTGGCTCACACCTATAATCCCAGCACTTTGGGAGGCTGAGGCCTGTGGATCACTTGAGGTCAGGAGTTCAAGACCAGCCTGGCCAACATGGTGAAACCCCATCTCTACGAAAAATACAAAAAAATTAGCCAGGTGTGGTGGTGCATGCCTGTAATCTCTGCTACTCAGGAGGCTAAGGCAGGAGAATCGCTTGAACCTGGGAGGTGGAAGTTGCAGTGAGGCGAGATCAAGCCATTGCACTCCAGCCTGGGCAACAAGAGCAAAATTCTATCTCAGGGGGAAAAAAAAAAAAAAAAAAAAAGTGAAGGCAGAGAAAAAAATCAAAGTTTACTGTAAATCTTAACATTAGCAGCCCTGCCTGCTTCAGAAACCTCATGACATTTTAATAGAGAGGCACTACCCTTACCAAAATTTTCCTACTCTTAATGGAAAGAGAAAATTATTCTGGCTAGATGCTGGCCAGGTCACATCCTTTTGCATTATCTGTGAGAAAATATCCACTCCAAAATCAAAAGCCAGTTTGGGATGAGCTAAAAATCAGATTACATTCATAATAAAAATGGAATCTCTCAGTTCTTAACAAACAAAAGATTTATAATGACTCTGCACCACTGACATTCTAGGTACACTGAGATTTGGTTAAGTTGAGAATGAAAATAAGGAGCCAGAACTTAGCTTGCTATTGCAGACAAAAGCTCAAAATGATACTGTGACATGAGGGTTTCTGTTTATCCCTAAGGCTGGTGTGGCAATTTCAAAGTTTGATTGTGTCTTTTTTTCTTCCTTCTTCTTCTTTTTTTTTTTCCCCCTCCAAAGACGTTGAGCAGCAGGGCTAATGGATCCCCAGCAGGGTGCAAAGACAGCAGAAAGTGCAGGAATCAGATGTCAATGTATTCCTTCGAGATACCCTGCTAGGACACAGCTAACTAACCAGGGCTTGAGTCTTCTCTTGGGGAATGTGCTTTGATGGTTCCCTGCCCACTCTTGGCTTCCTGATTAAAAGGCTGTCACCCATAAATCACGACTTCATCCTGTTACAATCATTTTCTTTCTTTCTTTCTTTCTTTCTTTCTTTCTTTCTTTCTTTCTTTCTTTCTTTCTTTCTTTCTTTCTCTCTCTCTCTCTTTCTTTCTTTCTTTCTTTCATTCCTTCTCTCTCTTTCTTTCTTCTCTCTCTCTCTCTCCTTCTCTGTCTCTCTCTCTTTAAGGAAAAGTCTGAAGATTAAAAAGAGAGCAAGTTCCAGAGAACTCTATGCTCACATATAAACATATGGATATAAGCCTGGCCTACATCCTTATTAGATAGCTATTCATCGATTTGGGACTGTTCTGTGCATGTGTCCTACCCACCTGGCATGTTGGGAGAGCTAAATCAATACCACAATGACATGCT
The DNA here is from genome assembly GCF_000001405.40 of Homo sapiens. Lineage (NCBI taxonomy): Eukaryota > Metazoa > Chordata > Mammalia > Primates > Hominidae > Homo > Homo sapiens. The sequence goes on from NC_000002.12 coordinate 177,660,380, forward strand.
GTCTTTCTCCACTTGAGATAGAACCAGTCAGCCTCTCTCGTTGACAATATATATGGTAAAGAGGGCCTGCACATCGTTTTTTTCTGTTTTATTTAAATATTTTTATATATTTTCTGTCTGTCGCTTTCTGTCAATCTCAAGATTACTTAGATAACTTCCTAGTGAATAGATTTTGGAGGAGGAGGAGTTCCTCATTGTTTTCCCTCAATGTAGTAAAAAATTGAGTGGAACTTGAAGCTATCAGAGATAAGAGTTTCGATTTTAAATGCACTGGGCATCCAAAATATACCGGTGCAGGTGCCAATTAGGCACATAAATAAGTAGCCCTTCAGGCACTGAGAGTAGTGATAATCTTCCCCTTTGCTTGGAGAAGAGCTAAACTCAGCAAACAGGAACACAAACAGAAAGTGCTTTATCTATTTGATATTTGACAAGCACAACCCTTTTAAAACCATGAAGTAAAACTGAACTACCCAGTGAAAGTCAATGAAGTCAAAAAGCTGTACCAAAACCATATGCATATGTACTGCCCAGCAGCCTGGCCACCCGCCCCTGCCAAACTCGCTGTTCTGTCCCACTGCTGTACTCAAGAGCCTCCAGCCGTGGGGTGCCCTGGGTCAACTCCCACCCTCTGTAGACTCCAACTCTCCAACCTCCTCCACCTGCAGGAAGATCCCAGCTCTCTCTATGAGAGTGCTTGCCTTGGGCTCTACATGAAGGTTCTTGCCACCCAACCTTGCCCTACCTTGGGGTCAGGCCTTAGCTGTTAGAGGGGACATGCTTTGTCTCATGTGTACTCCTCGGTATTCTTTTGCCATATGCCTAGACCAACATGGTAAAGCAAAGCTGAATTCTTATGCTGTATTTCAGACCAATCACATCAGGGATTCCTGCCACCTGCACACTTCCCACTTGCCTTCGATCCTCTCAGACTCCTTATGATTGCATTTTTATGTTCAAAACCCCAAACTTGACTTTCACTGAGTTATCTCAGTGAATGGTGTCACATCAGTGACCTTCCTGGCTCGTCACTTCCTCAAGGTGTTGTGTCTTCCTACAAATGGTGATTCCTGCCCACTGACTGATTCAATTTCATTTCGGAAGCACCAACAGTTAATGTGAGATTATCCAGTTAAATAGTGGAGGGAAGGGAGAACACTGCATGAGATCAAATAAAATAAAATAGGACCCTCAGAGAGGATACTTAAACTCACCCTACAAAGTTTCAGTTGAGGGCTCTTAAAATGATTGGTTTCAAAGCCTTGTATAAAACTTACAAATGAAATAATGAGATCTTTTTTTACTTAGTGATGACAAGGAATCAAAAAGAGCAAGATTTTCACCCCCTGTTAAATGAAAAGATACAGCAGCAAGTATGAATATGAGCTTCTGTAAATAGCTCCTTCCATATTCCCTTTCAGCATGACACATCTCTCCCCAGTTAGTTAAATAATAAAAAAATGGTGCAAGAAATTTCCATCAGAGGTGAAGTAGGGCATTAGAAAGGTCACTACACCAAAACAAAGGTCAGGGGTGAGCAGGACACAACTCTAATTTGGTGGGAGCATCACTTAATCTTTCTATATGTTAATTTCCTGAAGCTGAAAATAGCAGATGTATCTAACCGACAGATAAGTAGTAAAGTAAAACAGATGTGAAAAATCAGGACGATATATAATGTGAAGGGATAATATTACTCCCTAAATTCTAGAAACTGCTATTTCCACTTAAATTCAAGTAACTTCCTTTGTAACCTAAAGATTTCAAAGCATTTAATAGGAAGCATAAGATAAGCCCTAAAGGATTGTCAATCAGTAATAAAACAAATTAACATGGAAAACCATATGAGGATCCTTTACAGCCTTTCCTATAACCAACACATAGGAAGAGTGTGTAGACTTTGAGTTCACTCCAAAATAGCTTTGCAAACTAGTACCAAAACTTAATCAGCTTCCCACCCCAATACATATCTTCATCCTCCTAAGCTTTACCCAAAGTAAAAGGAATGTAGTAATTGCATGAATAATTTCTTCATCCCATTTATTGCCTAAGTGTGCACACAAAACTGAATAACATTAAAAAGTAATTCAACATGTATAGTCAAGGTCAGTTTTGCAAAGCAAGATACACCTGACCCAAAAGTTGTTGAGCTTTGCACATGGGGGACTGCTTATTCGGAGACACTGAGGATGGGAGGAGCAGACAGGAAGAAAAAAGAGTTGAGGATCCCCTTAAAATAAAGTATACATCATTTTCTATTTTGTTTGCCCAATCTTCCATTATTAAATAAAAGAACATTATGTTCCTTTTATAACTAAAATAAGCAGTTGTAGATTATTTTAAAACTTTACCTGATTTTATGGTATCATGTATTTAATGGCTAATATAAAACAAAAATGAATTTATTTTTGTTATAGTTATCAAAAATTACATATCCATCTTCAAGACAGTATTCTAAGTTTGTTTGTTTTCAGAGTTCTGTGACAGGGCTCAGCAGTTCCTAAAAGTGCTGAAAACAAAGTGGTAGATGATCTTGAACTTGATGGTTGTGAGGTCCTTAAAAAACAATACTGCGTTTTTAATGGGGTTACATAGGGTGAGGAACTAAAGAGCTTTTGCTTTCCCTGCATGTTTCTCACTTTGAAGTTAGGAAAGCAGCTCAGTCTGACTGAGCTAGGTTGTGGGTAAAGAACTTGCCAGGTTTTTACAAATGAAAGCAAATGCTTAGAAGTAGAATTAAAAGCCAATGTACAATAAACTGTTAGTGTTAACTGATGCCAGCCCTGATCCGCACTCAAAAAGTGCAGTGTGAACCATTCAAAGCGACACTTTTCTCCTTTCAGAAGGAGAGGCCTACACACCAAGTAGCAGAGCTGGAAACATTAGCACATCTCGCTCAGAATTCACTGGTTGGGATTTGTCTCATGCATCTCAGAGACAGGCAGATTTTGAAGCTGGAAGGTGCGTCACAAAACCCCCTGTATCAGACCATGGGGTCAGAGCCGAACACCATGTTTCATGGAATCCTCATTCCCACATTATATTAATAAAGAAAATTTGTAAAAAAAAAAAATTTCCATGGTCAAATATGTTTGAGAAATTGAGCTGATCAAGTTTAAACGTTTCTTGGGCCTGTGAGCTTTTTTTGAACAGATAGCTATTAGATGATGGCTGGATGTTCATGTTCTATGGGACACAGTTTGAGAGATAGTAAATAAAATATTAGTATCCCTGGTTTACAGATGAGGGAGTAGAGGCCCATGGAGATTATATCCTAGAAAGTGGAGAACGCAGGTCTGCAGCCTCCTAGAACCAACTCTTCCCAGCCAGGGCACAGTCAGAAATCCAAGAAAGACAAACTGCAGCCAGAGCTCTCCGCAATGTGCATACCCTGGAAATGTCTCCTCAAATGAGTGCTTTTGAGAAATACACACTTTTCCTTTTCTGATTCAGTCAGAACATGTAGGCCCTCCCAAATCAAAGTACCTGATACAAAGGCATGCAGATGCTATCAATCCACTCCAGTTGCAACCGAGGCAGTTCATCCTTCCGGTTCCGATCAAAAATTGCCTAGAATGGGGGGCAGGAAGAACCTCGCTTTATTACACCAAAGTATTTTACAGGGTGCTTTGTCAAACACTTTGCTAGAATGATCCATTTTTTTTACAAACTGAACCCTTCGCAAATCACAATCAATCTTTACACATACTTTCTTTTCCTTTATCTATGATGAGAAATAAAATGTTTTTACCTCTTTTTATGAGATTTGTAAGCAAATTTACTTGAACTTTCTAGCGTGCAACTTCTTGGGGCAAAAACCTGTCTTCAAATATAAGTAACTGCTACTAAATCAAGTCATCAGGTCACTGCGAATTGGGTACAGGTCAAGGGGAAAGGAATATGTTTTACTGCCACAAAAATAATGCAGGCTTTTATTTCTGCATTATGAGAGGTTGGGATAGAATAGGACAAATCGGAAAATATCCTTAAAAGCAATTTTATTGTAAATAGAAACCATTTATACTAATTTTTCTGGGTAGGGGTTGATTTGGCAATTGCATATGTTTTTCAGTAAGGTTCTGTCATTAATAAATTTTTAAATATTTATTTATCATTGTATGGATGATGGTGGGTGGACTCATTATCTCTTCATTCCCAGCCCTTAAGCTTTATGATGATATAATGTTTGAGATAATTTAGGTATATTTTTGGGAAAAATAAATGACATTTTTCTGTTGGGCAGACTTAAGGGAAACAATCAATTGGAATTTTAGTGTTAAAATTAATTCACTGAACAAACACTGCCAATTCTGTGCCAGTGAGACTGTCTCTCCCTTTGTTCTTAAGGAGTCAGGCCCAGACCAGAGAAGCTCCCTTGTGCCCTTACTTATCTAGAAGACTGGGCTATCTAGTTATAACTTGCCCTCCCTTAATGTTATATAGTAAGTTTTATCTTTCCTTTACATAAAATGTGGCATTCACATTATTTTGGTGTCCTTATAGGCCATGAGGGTGGAGCCAAGCAATCCCTTTGGTCCAGAGATGTAGGAAAATCCTGCATCGTTCAGATGTATGAACAAGAGTGGGAGTGGGTGGGGCAGAAATCACTAGCTGCCAAATCTGAGGAAAATATCTCCAAATTGGGGAGAAGGTCACTGATTCCACCAGGCTTTTCTCATCCTTGTCTTGCAATGGAAGATGGGAAATAGCAGGAAAGAAGACTGGAATTTGGAGAAAATTGTGAAAATGTGCTGGAGAGAGGGATAGTTCTTGTGAATAATATGAGTCTTGATCCAAAATGTTTCTTTAGAGCTGGCTGCGGTGGCTCATGCATGTAATCCTAGCACTTTGAGAGGTTGGGGCAGGAGGATCACTTGAGCCCAAGAGTTCAAGACCAGCCTGGACAACAGAGTGAAGCCCCTGTCCCTACAAAAAAAAAAAAAAAAAAAAATTAGCCAACTGTGGTGGCACACACTTGTCGTCTCAGCTACTCAGGAGGCTGAGGTGAAAGGATTGCTTAAGCCCAAGATGTCGAGGCTGTATTGAGCTACAATCATGTCGTTGCATTCCAGCCTAGGTGACAGAGTGAGACTCAGTCTCAAAAAAAAAATAATAATAATAAATAAATAAAATAAAATAAAATAAAAATAAAGAAATAAATACACAAAATGTTTCTTTAAAAAATATTATTCTGGGCTGGGTGTGGTGGCTTATGTCTGTAATTCCAGCACTTTTTGAAGCCAAGGAGGGAGGATCACTTGAGATCAGGAGTTTGAGACCAGCCTGGCCAACATGGCGAAACCCTGTTTCTACTAAAAATGCAAAAAATTAGCTGGGTGTGGTGGTGGGCACCTGTAATCTCAGCTACCTGGGAGGCTAAGGCAGGAGAATAACTTGAACCTGGGAGGCAGAGGTTGCAGTGAGCCAAAATTGTGCCACTGCACTCCAGCCTCGGCGACAGAGCAAGACTCCATCTCAAAAAAAAAAAAAAAAAAATTATGTTTTCTTTTCTCTATAGTTCTGTCTAAAATTTTCATATTTATTTAATTATTCCATTTCTAGTGGATATTATAAAGTTACTTTTTTAAAAAATGCAGTGGTTTTTAGTATATTTACAAAGTTGAGCAACTATCACTACAATTATAGAACATTATTATCATCCTCAAAGAAACCCCATACTATTAGCAGTCATTCTCGCTTTTTTTCCGCACTCCCAGCCTTAGGCAACCACTAATCTACTTTCTCTATCTATGGATTTGCTTATCTTGCACATTTCATATAAATGCAATCTTATGATATGTGGTCTTTTGTGACTTGGCCTCTTTCACTGTTTTCAAGGTTTACCCATGTAGCATGCATCAGCACTTCATTCATTTTTATTGCCAAATAATATTTCATTGTATAGATGTCTTATTTATTTGTTCATCAGTTGATTGACATTTGAGTTGCTTCCAGGATATTATGAATAATAGCTGTGAACATTCACATACAGTTTTTATGTGGATGTATGTTTTCATTTCTCTTGGGGATATACCTAGAGGTAGAATTTCTAAGTCATATGGTAACTCTGTTTAACTTTTTGAGGAATTGACAAACTGTTTTTCAAAACAGCTGCACCATTTTACATTCCTGCTAACAATGTATGAGCTTCCAATTTTTCCACAGCCTCACCCAACACTTGTTATTGTCTGTCTTTTTTGCTATAGCTATCTTAGTGGCTGTGAAGTGATATCTCATTGTGGTTTCAGTTTGCATTTCCCTGATGACTAATGATTTTGAGCATCTTTTCATGTGCTTTGTGGCCATTTACATATTTTCTTTGGAGATATGTCTGTTCAGATCCTTTGCCTATCTTTTAAATTGAGTTATCTTTCTATTGTTCAGTTATAATAGTTCTTTTTATCTTCCAGATACTTGGCCCATAAAAGATATATGATTTGCAAATATTTTCCCATAATATGGGAAAATTTACTTTCTTGATAGTGTCCTTTGATCCATGAAAGTTTTTAATTTTGATAAAGTTCAATTTATTTATTTATTTATTTATTTATTTATTTTGAGAGAGTCTTGCTCTGTCACCTGGGCTGGAGTGCAGTGGCACAACCTGGGCTCACTGCAACCTCTGCCTCCTGGGTTCAAACGGTTTTCCTGCCTCAGCCTCCCAAGTAGCTGGGGTTACAGGTGCTTGCCACCACACCTAATTTTTGTATTTTTAGTAGAGTAGAAGTTTCACCATGTTGGCCAGGCTGGTCTCGAACTCCTGACCTCAAGTGATCAGGCCGCCTCAGCATCCCAAAGCGCTGGGATTAAAGGCGTGAGCCACCACTCCTGGCTGTTCAATTTAATTTTAATGAAGCTCAATTCAACATCTCTGGACCAACATCTCTGGGTCATTTTGTCTTTTGTCTCCTGTGCTTTTGGTTTCATATTTAAGACACCATGGCTAACCCCTATCCAGAAGATTTATACCTATATTTTCTTCTAAGAATTTTATAGTTTTAGCCCTTACATTTAGGTGTATGATCCATTTTGAGTTTATTTCAGGGTATGCTGAGAGGTAGGGAGCCAACTTCATTCTTTTGCCTGTGGATATGCAGTTGTCCTTGAACCATTGTTGAAAAGACATTATCTTGGCACCCATGCTGCAGATTAGTTGACCATAATTTTAGGGGATTTATTATTGTACTAGTCACTTCTTAATCAATGCTTGATGAGAAAAAAAATGAGTGTGAGGCCCCACACAGTCCTGTGCTTCACAGCATTTTGCATCTCATAAAATAAGTATTAGTAATCATTTATTTCATGTCTATATTTCCCACCAGTTGACAAGATCCTTGAGGGCAGGGAAGATGGTGTCTTACTCATTGCTGGAAACAAGGTGCCTTGCTTCATGCCCGACACATGGAGGCACTCAGGCAGGCTTTCCTAACTGACTCACTGCTTCCAATCCTGACCCTCTGGCTGTGGGCCAGATTAGCCTTTGTCTCCATGAAGTGACTCCCATGACTCCTGGGACCATGATACCTGAGGGGGCTCCAGGACAGTTTTCCTCCTAAATATCAAGGGATAATGGGCACAGCAGCTGTCAGCTCTGGGTGCATGCATTTACAGATATTTCTGGAAAAGAACTGAGGGCTAACCCTGCCACATCAGCCAGGCCTCCCCTGAGGAGATGGTCATCAGTGGTGCTCCGTAGTCTTTGTGAGAAGACAGGAGCATTTAGAGCTATGTTTCTACCGCAAAATTAATTTCATTTATGTCTACAGAAAATGCCTTACCTGAGCCTACAGATAAAGGCTCCTTAGTGCTGCGCTACTGCACCCACCAGCTCACCAGTGCTGGCAATTTACTCATATTTTTTTCATTTAATTAAATGACCTGTGGTATTGCTGCATTGTAAACCCTTCAGAGTATGCCTCTGAAACAGTTTTTAAAGGGGGAAAAGCTTTTATTTGAAAGTAGATATGACAGAATTTGGGTCATACTAGGTTTTATACATTAACTGTATGTATCCCAAGCTAATATTTTTATTTTTATAACCAAATTTGATGACACCACCAAAAAAGGGATGTTTTGAGAAACTAAGTCAATGTTGCTTTGAAAACTCAAATAATTGTTGTGTGTGTTTCAACCTATGTAGCCTCCTGATCTTTTGTACATAAGCAACCAATTAAGAATATTCAAAATTAGCAAGACTGTGCGTTCTGACTTCAAGCAGATGAAACTATTCAAACTAGGAGCTAGTTCTCTTGCTTTTCCTTGTTTTTAAATGTCAGCAAAGAAGGATGTCTTAAAACTTGAAGACCTTATAAATACCTCCAAATGTTCAAGCTCAGTTAATTTGGGTTCTCATAAACAGACATTCTTGACAATTGATACCTTCCTTGAGTATCACTAAATCTACTGTGCTATGCTAGGCTTTAAAATGCTTTGCACCACTCTCAGAGTCATTGGGTTATATGTTTTTAGCTAATCATTGGTTAGTAATAAAGAGGCTGCCCCTCTTGAGGTGGTGACTGACGCAGTTATGTCTTCTGCATCCTTATGCTTAAAAACAGCATCATCTTGAGCGTAAAGTAAACATTCTTAAGTAATAACTGAGCAGATAAGTCCAATATAAATAGCGTTCAAATCACCAGAACCTAGTTCCCCAGGTGAAACTTTTTCATTTTACAGACAAAAGAAACAGAGATTTGAAATGATTTGCTTTTGGGATTTTGAAAGTTGGAAATTGGAAAATAAAATCTAGCTTCTCAAAGCTAGAAAGCCTTCCTTTAATTTTTGATGCACAGTGTTTCTATTCTAAAGTAGGCATACATGAAATGCCAGCACTGGGCTTTGAATTATTCAAACTCCACTTTGCTCATCCTCCCTCGTGCCTACTTGTCCCACTGTGGGTGCGCAGGAAATGCTTGTTAAGTAGCTCACCACTCTTAATCAGAAACTTGGGAATAAGAGTGTTTAGCATTTGAGTTTAATTAAGGTTTTAAACTTTCAGGAGTGCTTCCTTAAACCCATTTTCAGTCTTTCCCATTTCCAACTTGTAATTTGGAGTTCTTTTTGAAAATGTCATTCAAAAGGGTAAATACGTTATAATTAAAGGATGAACTCACTGAAGGAGTGAGTTTGAGCTCTAATCTCTCCCGATCTCCTTGTTCGAAGAACTCACTGGTTACAAGTTCTGCCACCTGAAACATATAAATATTTTAATCTGTGATTATGTGTAGTTTATCACGAGACTCAGAAGTTCTTTCTTGCTTATGTATTTGGTGATCCTCATCAACACAATCATTTAAAAAGCTTATGAGGAAGTAAGTATATTAACCTTTCATGTTTGAAGGTGTTATAGAACTTAATGAAACTGATTTCCTTTTAATCAGGACAACTTGTGCAATGTAATTTTAGATGCATGCCAACAGGCAATCTGCCACAGTACGGCTTCCATATTTGGGATGAGGCAACAGGTTGCCAGCTTCAAAGCAGGAAAAGTTCTTATACAGAAAAGTGAAGCAAATATTCATTTAATAATAATGTGTAATTATTATTATATTATGTAATGATAGTTTAGCCACTTTTTATTATTTCTATGTAGATTATTTATTTTGTTGCATACTTTTATGTTAGCCCAGCTTCAATTTGCCACATGAAAACTCCTCAACTCCCTCCCTACCAATATTTGTATGCACTCTGGGAGGGATAACCCCAGGGCACATCCTCTGCTTCCTACTGTTGCAATCAATCAAGAGGCAGGACTAATGCCAGATTCACTGTTCATAGCAGACTTTTACAGTAGGTCACGGTATAGTTTGAAGAGCATGACTTGGTCTTCAGGCTGTCTGGATCTACGCACTAAAAGTGTTAATTTATGGTAGGCTCTACTTGGTACAAGGACAATGGGATGCTTGTTCTACCTGAAACCTTAAATAGAGACTTATATTTTTCTACTTTTAATCCATTAGCTTGGATGGTCAGCAGCTACTGATTATTGCCAAGCTAAACAGATTTTTTTTTTTCTTTTCCACACCTTCACTTCTCAGGATAGTGTGTGGGAAGCAAATTGATATGACAGATTAAATGTTGAATGGCTATTTTCAACGCTACTACAGTGTGCATCTAGGACATTTCTGAGATGAACTAGCTGGATTTAAAAAAATATTGGAAGAGTAGAATAAATCCCAGACAACTTCATGGTAAGAGGGCATGGATACCAAACAAATTTTTCTCTATTCCAAGTTCTTATGAAGATAAGGTTCTTAAATCTGGCAAAGATGAGACAGTTTAATTTTGGTCAAGTGCACAGTATCAAGATAATTTAACTCCGTTGATCTCTCAAGAGATTTGCTCAATCACAGATTATAGATAAAACTGAAACACAATGCTAAACTCACACACACACATCTGAGAGTAGCATGTGTGCAGTCACATATAAAGAAATCAAATATCCAGTAAGTTCAGATTTCTATATTTCTGTTAAGAAACATGGGCCCCTTTCAAGATCAACCACAAAAAACTAGTTGGAACTGACTGAAAAATCCCCTTCACCCCAGCCTCTTGTATATGTGCCTGTTTTCTAGGACTCAATTCACTTGTCTCCTCTCCAGTCTCTCCTGCTACCCTGCATTTCAGCACACCAGGCTTCTCTCTTCTTTCTCTGGCCTTCCTTTGAAGAGGAAATGGTCCCCTAAGGGTATGACCTCATTTATTCAGTTCCCAGAACTCTCCCTCAGATTGCTCTAAGCTAGGTCTTTTGCATTAAAGAATGTAAATGTGCACATCAGGCGCCTCAAGGTGGGAGTCCTGCATAGGTCTGTAGCCCCTGGAAAGAAAAGAAATTAAAACAAAATTCTGTCGTTGCTCTTTCTCAAGTACTTGTTGGTATCTCCCCTGTGCTCCTTTCACAGCTTAACTTGCACAACTGCTTTGTTGGTACTTAAAAACCCAATCAGGAACATTAAGTGGTTACTGATTGAATTTTTTATTAAAGAAGGAAATTGAGATGCTAATCAGGCCTTGGGGGAATCACTGGGGAAACCCACATGCTTAGAGTCTTGTTGCAGGAAGGGAAAGTGGAATAGACCCCAGCAGAAAACATTCTGAAAGGGAATTTTAAAAAATCAACATCCAGGAAGTTAGAGAAATATTTTTTAAAGAAGGGCCTATTGTTTTCTCCAAATGTTTCCTAAAATTTTGAAGTGAGCATTAAAAAAAAAAAAATTTAACCCATCAATTTGGAGACAAACAAGAATGAGATTGCTAGCTTAGAACTGTGACAAGCTTTCCGATGGAAACATTAGGAAAAACACGGTTTTGTGTTTTATTTCCCTGAGCTCTTATGTTTCTGCACTTTTCAACAGAAACTCACATCCAGAAAATAAAATAATATTTACACTAGTGACCGAGAAGACCACCTACAAGCAGCTACTGGGCCTCCCAAGTCGGCCTAAAATATCAAGGCAGAAATTTTTTTCCTTGCAAGTACTTTGCCCTGTCACTTTCCTGTTCCCTGGGGCTACTGCTCCTTGAGTCCTTGACATGCGTTTCACTGTGGTTTCTGAAGGTGCTGGCACATCATACCTCACCCCATTCCCTTTCTGCTCTTCTCTAGTTTTCTCTCAGTCCTCCTAACTTCCTCACACTCTCCACCTCCTTCCATCCCTATTACAGGAGCCTCCCCCAGTACTACACTTTTTCCCAATACCTGGAAGAGCCTCCTACCTCTTCCCTGCAGTCTACTCACCAACTCTCCCAGAAGGGAGGCCTTCCCACATGGGAAAGGGGAGGGGGTAAGATGAACAGTGGGCAGAGATGTGGAAAGAAGCTAGTCAACCACACAAATTCTTCACAATTATCCTGCTTTATGTGACTTTTTGTAACTTCAAATATGTCACACTGAAATTTAAACCAAAGCACAATTGGTGAAATACTCTATTGGAAAACTGCCTGATGTACATTGGACAGTGTGAGCAAGAAATAAACCTTTATTTGTGTTGAACAACTGGAATTTAAGAATATACTTGTTACTGAACCAAGGCCTAGCCTAGCCTTGACTAATACAAAAATTGGTACGGAAGTGAGGTGCTGCTGTTAGAAAAGAAGAGAAAGACAGAAAAAGACCCTAAAATATGTGTCATCAGCTTGGGGGCCAGGTATCAAGATAGTGAGGAGGCTATAAGGATGAGAATCCATGGCAAAATAATTTGTACAATTATAACTAAAAGCTAACAATGTTCTGAATAAACTTACAGTCTTCGGAGATGAGATTAGAAAACAAAATGTTAGTAGCATGTGATGATTGCCATTGACTGTTTTGCGAGGAATTACAGGAAGTGAGTTAGAAAAGGAGGAACAGGCTTATAACCAGGAATGAAAGGAAATGGAAATAGTCGCAAATTCAGGGACTTGTAGGGATGGAAGATAAAATTGCTTCTCAATTCCAAACTATGAAAATGAAAATTGCGATACACTTTGACGAAGTTTGATTAGGACTCAGCTTTGTAACAAGAATCAAATAAAAGACATCTAGAGTTAGAATCTGAATGAATTAGGTAGTTTGCAGCATATCCTTCTAGCTGGACAAAAATGGCTCGATTAAATGATTTACCTATATGGTTCTCTCACTGAAGCCTGTTAGGCCCAAGGCACTAGGAATTAAGTCAGAAGAGAGAAAGAAATAAATATATTTGCCACATTTCTTTATTCCTAAATGTAAAGAAGCAAATAAATACAGAAAATCTAAGATGTTTGTATGGAATGTGGATGTGGTTATGGGCAAATGGAAAGGACTTGAATCAAAAACATAAAAAGCTGACTAAACGTACAAGAGAGTTTTGGTGCCAAAGAAACGCTAAGCCCATGATTACACAAAACAAGTGTTGGGACTTCAACCTTCTTTAGGTGAGAAGAAGGCAGTTTGACCTTCAGATAAAGCTAAGAAGGGTGATGGGAAAGGAATAATTTCCCAGGGAGGATTGAAAGGTCAAGGGAAAAAGGAACCAGAGAACATCTCCCAGAGAATCAGGGTCCCCTGCATGGTAGAACACCTCACAGTGAGTACCCAGTGGGATTTTGGAGTTGCCATGGACCACTCACCACTCCACATTGCTATGAATATCGCTCATCTCTTCCCTTTCCGAATGGGAGTCTTTGGGTGCATGTTGGACTCTGTATTTTGGGTGTGTGTAGGTCTTTAATCTGCATCCAGATCTGTTGTAGAGACTAGCATGTATCTCCCAGAGATCCTGGACTTAAGAGTTTGATGCCGTGACTGATGGGACATTTGGGTTGTCTTTCTTGGAGGAAGGATGGGTATATTTTGTCTGCTGGAGGGAGAATGAATCACATTTTTGGTGATGAGAAGGGTAAACTCTGGTAGTCATGCATTCACTATTTCTGGCTTTCTCCTTTCTGAGCAAATAGAAGGATGGTACTTCCTGGTTGGGTGGGGTCATGTGACAAGTTCTGGCTGATGAATTGTTGCGGGAAGCATTTAATTGCCAGTGCAAGACCTTCCAGGGCCTCTGTCAGAATGATCTAGGTAGTGGCTGTTCCTTCAGCCCCAATACAGAATAAGGACAAAGTGGCGCCTGCCAACCCTAGGTGCCCATGTTCGTGAGCAATTTGTTGTTTAAAGCCACTAAGATCTTGGGTAAAATGATAACATAGCCTATTCTGTGGATACGCTTGCATCATTTAAAAATGCTGACTGATGCATCATGTGAAGGAACCCATAACACACTGCTAAGAATGAAAGCTTTGGAGCCTAATCTGCTAGAATCTATACCTAGCTCTGCCACCTACAAGCTGTTTAAACTCAGGCTGCTTATCCTTTCTAAGCCTCATTTTTCCCATTTGTGAAATGGGGATAATAACCATATTAGTTTCCTAAGGCTGCTGTAAATTACCATAAAGTTAGTGGCCAAAACGACAGGAGTGTATTCTGTCATAGTTCTGGAGGCCGGGAGTTCTACATCAGTTCACTGGGCAGAAATTGAGGTGTCAGCAGGGATGTGCTCCCTCTGGAGGCTCTTGGACAGAATTCGTTCCTTGCCTCTTCCAGTTTTCCTTTGCTCACGGCTGCATCACTGCAATCTCTGCCTTGTCTTCACATTGCCTTCTTCTGAGTGTGTAATTTCCCCCTGCTCCCTCTTATAAGGACATTTGTTATTGGATTTAGGGCACACCTGGATAATCTAGGATCAGTCTGCAGCTGAGATGCTTAATCACATTTGCAAAGATACTCTTTCCTTTCACGGTAATGTTTACAGGTTCCAGAGATTAGGACCTGATATCTTTGGGTGGCCATTATTCAGCTGACTACAATTTTAAGGATTAAATGAGATAGTATATATAAAGCAGTCAATAAATATTAGTTATTTATTGATATGGAAATGCATCTTATTTTCCCTAAAACGTCAAGTCTTTAGATGCCAAGTTACTGTTCTGGACCCCACACAGTAGGTGCATCATAAAACGCACATAACGATTAACCTCTAAATACCATCAGTAATCCCTGGTCTTCAGTTGGGTAGTTACTTAAATTGAAAACTATTCTTATAGAACTAATGCTTTATGGCAGAGAAATCAGATAGGTGGTAAAGGCATGGTTTGTTTTTCTGCAAGTTAAATTGGATACTGCATATTTTGACCACAGAGGTTTCTGATATCTAAATAATATTTAAAAAGAAAAATATAATTTCCTTTTTGCCTCCTTTTATTTTCAGATATTAAAAAAAAAGAAAACAAGACTTTGTACTGAGATGTGATTATCTTGCCAAAAATCCTATCTTTGAAACTCTTGCCTTAATGGTCAATGTATTATTCAGATTTCGCACATTAAAAATATCTTACAGAGTCAGAAATACTATTGCTTAGTGAAAGCACGATAAAAAAAAAAAAAAAGGGCTGTGCAATAAACTGTGTCGTGCCTAAGCCTCCTGCTATTTTTTACACCATGTTAATACTGATGCAAATTGACTAGGGTTTCAGTGCCTGGTAGTCAGGGCTCTGGGAATATTGTGTCCCCCTTACGCCCCCCAGTCCCTCCTCTGCTGAGCCCTGCCATTAATCACCACTTGCCTGTCTGGAGATCTCCCACGGTTTGGTCACGGCTCCAAGGTCACAGGCTGTCATTAACATTGATCTGAAAAACAGAACCAAACAAAACAGCCTGAATAATCTTTTGTTGCATTCCTAAACAAACCCGTCCTAGATACATAAATAAATAAAATAAAATGGAAACGAGGCCAGCTCACATCTTCCTTTCCTCAACAAGGGGCAGCACTGTTTATAGTCCCTGTGTTCAGCATCTCCATCATGTGGCCACGCTGCTTAGGAAGACAAAGCTCTCACACATCCTCTGGTGGCCCTTTTGTTTTGTCTGCAGCAAATCAAGGAAAGCAAAGCACTACTTTCTGTACACCTGAGCTAAGCAAGCTCTGCTTAAAATAATTTATAATGGACAATGTTGTTGGGTTTTTTTAAACTATAAGCAAGAGAATCAGTATATAACACTATATACATGGCTGATGAAACTACTTACCAACTTATCATTGATTGATGGGAACAAAAGAAAACCCACACCAAAGAGGCAAGGCACATGCCACATAAGGGGCTCCTTCATTTTCATCTGCTCTACAGAGCTAAGATTTATGGGCAAGAGCTGTATCATTTCACTCCAGTTTACTACCTGGCTCCAACAATGGTTTATAAGCATTATGAAGAAGAAACATACTCAGCTCCAGCTCTCATTAATTTGGGCACATAAGAAAGCACAGGAATGGTCTGAATCAGAGTTTTGAGGGGCAGGGTTAACCATAATTCATACGGAACCATGGAAACACTGGGAACAATTCAAATTGTAGATAGCTCTGGTGCTTATATATAATTTAATGTGGTGGGAGGAGGAAAAATAAGGCACACTCTGTCCCAAATCTGCTTTCTTTGTGCTGATAACCAGCAGAATGTGATGAAAAGTAACATAGGATTTGAGCTGGGGAACCACATCTTGGCTAACTGCTTTTGGAAGAAAGGGGTATGCAACCAAAGGTCAGAGGGCTGTCCTGATGTCGGTGTTAACATTTCATACCCTGCCAGATCTAATGCCTTGGAAACATGTCTGCTGCCCAGATGGCAGAGCATGCTTAGATGGCAGGGGGGTCCCCCCACAGGAAACCCCTCCAGGGAACAAGGCAGGGTCACAGATAACAATAGGTCATTCAAGGCACAACCAGGTGGCACCGGCATCAGCAGCCCTCTCAACTCGAGCAGCATTGATGAAACCTCTAATTCCAAACATCCCTGTGTTAAGAACTACGCAAAGGGAGACACATCAGTCTATTCATTTTTGACCTTCTGTATCAGGCATTTCTACACTGCTTACTGTGTGTCTGCTTCTGTACTAAGTGCTTTACTAACCAACTGCTAACTAAACTACTAACTAAATGAATCGTCATCACCACCCCAGAGGTAGTTGCTATTATCCTTATTTTACAGATAAGTAAACAGAAGCACACAGAGATTAAGTCATTTTCCCTTCCCAAGGTGAGTAAATGATTCAGGATTCTGTGCCTATCACAAAGCTACCAGATGCCCTCTTACTACACATGGATGCTGACAGTACTGGAGGGGGACAAGACTGGCTAAAGCATTGGATTTCTCAGCATCTCTCCTGCATAGCAAATAATCTCTATGAGGTTGCCTATTTGTATCATAATGTGGATAATTACTTAGGTTCTGTCCAGTTGATAATTTGAAACTTTCTCTTCAAATGCATATTGCCATTAATCAGTTGATCAACAAGTTTATTGAGTATCTGCTAGGTCCTCAGATGATAATTCTAATAGCTACCACTTATTGGGAAGTCTCCACAGGGTGACTGACTCAGTCTCTATATGTGGTAGTGATACTATTATTATCTCTTATTAAAGTTAAAAAAATAAGGCTCAGAAACGTTAGGTAACTTGCACAAGGTTGTACAGTTATTAAGTGTCAAAGCTGGGATTGGAATCCTTTGTCTGACAGAAGAATCTCTACTTCAATGAATACAGTGGAGCAAGAAGTCCATGCAGAGAAGGGAGACAGGACAGGCTGAGAGGTAGGACGGGTAGAGTGGCTGCAACCTTTGTCCATCTGGCACTGGGGAGTCAACTAAGCCTGGGGACTCAGGAGGGACCTGGATAGACCTTTAGGGAGGAAACTTTAGGTGGTGGATGTGAGGATGGTTTGAAGAAGGAGAGGGTGGAAGGAAGGAGACTCATTGGAGATGTAAATTGATAGGAGCCTAAAACAAGGAAGGGAGAGTGGGAAGGGAGGCACAGGGATGGAAGATTGCAAAGGAAGAACTGAAGAAAACAAATGAGCAGTTCTATGTTATTTTTTAGATTAAGGCTCTTCAAGAAGTGAAAGATCTTTTTGAGAGTAAAAGACCAGGGAGAGAGTTTTTACTAACTGTTTTAGACTGAGGTCCCTATAATTCTAGTTCAGTTTATAGTGAGTTAACATACCTCTCCTCTATATGCCAAAATTATTTCAATAATAATCTTGTGACAATCATTATCTTCTTGATTTGTTCTGTAGTTGTAAAACAATTTAAAATGAACAAATTTTAATGTTAAAGATATATTCAAATTGAGTACAAAGATTTTGTGTAGACTGAAATCTGCACTTGCCTAACAAAAATATGACACTTTGCAGTTTGCACTTATTTCAGTTTTAAATTTTAACCATGAATAAAACCCACGAATGATCACATAAAATGACAGAATGAAAGTATCTCAAGTTGTATGTCTTCATCTTTACCATCACCGTGCTATCATTGTTTGTTCTGAATATAGTCTTTAAAAGCAGGAATATGAGTTCTGCAAGGTTAGAAACACAAACGACACCCAGAGAGTTTGAGAGGTTCTAAATGGTTAGGAACTTACTATTGAAAGTGTATAGCTGCATCTACCTATGTCAAGAGCCAGCTGTATGCCTGGGCATTCTTAGAATTAACTTACATTACGTGTGCAAAGAAAGGATAAATAATAAACATGTGCTTATTTGAAGCTTTCATATCAATTATTTTTATCTTAACAGTAACCTCAGCAATTGTTTGGAATTTATACCAATAAAAGACATTTCTTAGGAGGTATATCTCACCATTGACTATTTAGAATTGCTGGCACATGGTGGTAATAAAAAGCAGACTGACTTTTAGTTGGTTTTATTACTATTTTAAAATTCTCTACAGATGGTGCTCCCTTAGAGCACCACCCTTGGTGCAAGGTGGTCAGAGTGTAACCATGAAATGGGGGAGGGAGGGCAGATGAGGGGAGAGGGGAGAACCCAGAGCACCTCCATTTTATGTAACATGCTTCCAAATAAGATATTTCTTCCATATGGGGTTCCTTGTCAAAACAGTTTGAAAATCTCTGTAGGAAAATATCTAGGCAGAGAAACTCAGAAATGGCATTTCAGGAAAAGAGCTCAGAAGAGAGGCAAGCCCAAGAAAAGGGCTGGGAGTCATTTGAGAAGAGATAGTAGTGACACTAGAAGGATGCTGAGGAAAAAGAGAAGAGAATAAAAAATACATCCTTGGGGGACAGTTCTGTTTAGTGGATGGTGGGGGGAAGAAGGGCTAGAAAAGACTAAGAAGGAAAGAGTCAGAAATAAAGGAGAGAATCCAGAAGCGTATATGGCTTTGCAGAATCCAAGGCTGTAGAGGGTTTTAAGAAAAGAGAGGCCAACACAATTAGGGGCTATAAAGAGATCAGGAAGCTGAAGAGAACAAAGGTTGTAGCTTTTAATACTTGGAAGGTGACTGTGGTTCAACAGAAGCAGAAATCACATAGTACAGACTTAATTCCTCAGTAAGGAATGGGTAAATACTCTGTGGTATATCTGTATTTTGGAATACTGTGCAACGATAAAAGATGATGAGGTAAAAACATGTAAAGAATTCCAAAGCATGTAGTTGAGTGGAAAACCATGTTCACATTGGTATGTAAATATACAATTTATGTTAAAATAGACAATCAAAATACACACTAAACAGTATTTTTCCTAAGGGTGCATGTGTATGTAAATGCTTTGGAAATGGTCTGGAAAAACACAATACACTAATAACAAAATACAGCTGTGCAACCAGTATGGGAATTGGGGGTTGAGCTCAAAGGAGATCTGGGGGCTTATTAGCAATGTTTGATTTGTTACAGAAAATATATATTCATATAATTACTCATGGCATTAAAAATTATACAAAAAGAAAGAAATTGCCTTGCAAGAAATTAGGAAGTGTGGGAGTAAAGGGAAGGAGAAAACTATGATGGGGTCTGGAGAAAAGGCAGCCTGTAGGGATGACTTTTTGATTGGGGAGGCAGAAGTGTGTTTTTAGGTCTAGAAAGGTCATGATTAATAAAACAGATTTTGAAAATGGAAGCTGAAGGAGCATGATTGATAGAGCCAGGTTGGGGTAAGGGGCGAGGAGGTGGAAGGAATGGAATTAGGGCACCAGTGGAGGGGCTGGTCTTGAAGATGAAAAATGAAGAAAAAGGCCTGTAAAGATAATACAGAGGAATATTAAAGCATAGAGGAAAAAAACTAGAGCCCTCTGGGGAGAGGGCTGCAGGAAGGTGACATGAGGACAGCTACAGAGGGTGGGGCAGGCAGTGGCCTGTGTTCAGAAGATGGTGCCAGAGATTTTATATAGCAGATACGGCAGGACTATGTCAAGGTTTCCGCTTGGGGTAATCCAGTAGTTGCCTGGTTGTGGAGCAGACCCAGTGTGCCCTAACCCTGGCCTCACGAGCTCTCCCAGCAAAACTTAGCAATGTTAGAACAGGGATAAGACAGCAGAAGGTCTGGTTGAGGTGGAGAGAGTAGAAGGATGGGGTATGAGAGAAAGAGGAATAGTGCCCACTCTCTGGAGTGGCTGCAAGAGAGGCTAAAATTTGCCCCATAAACAGAGTGGGTTGCTACTGTCCTTTCTAAACAACTTGGAAGACGTCCCAGGCAAAGGCTAGAACAGACTCCTTATCTCCACCTCCAATATTGTTCTGACTGGTTTTCTATCCGCAATGCCTATTGTCTCTAAAGAAAAGCAAAAGTTACTCCCCACTTCCTTTGTGCTATGTAACTCTGATTTCTAGGATGCAAAAATCCCTTCTCCACCCAACTTGCACCCCCACTTCCCCAGGAAACAGAAGAAATCATGGCTTGCCAAAACTGAACTAATTTGAACTTCATTTTCTAATTTTGATGGCAGATTTTTGAGACAAAAATAAATTATAAGATGAAAAGACATTCTCAGTAATTTCTTTAATTATTCAACTGATCTCTGAATGTTTTGAATGTAAGCTAAGATTTGTTACTTTAAAAATCACTTCTATGCTCTTAGTACTGTCAGAAAATTTATGTGGACTAAATGTCCAAATAATGAAGAAACACATAAACAAGAGCTTTTTCTTACCGAAATATATCACGATGGTTTTTGATGTTCCAATCGTATTCTCCTTTACTGACAAGTTCAAAGAATTCAGTTCTCCTCCTGCAGGAAAATCAAATGAAGAAAGAAAGAAAAAAAAAACTGGAATGAGATTTCCCAGTCTGTGGGGTGACATAAACACATCTATGGGAAAAACATAAGACCACTTGAACCAAGTAACTTAATATTTGAAATCATGAGGCTAAAGCACTATCAAAATAAATCACTTTCTAAAAAATGTTGAGGCTTCAAGGAAAAGCCACAATCATTTCTGAATGTATTTACAACAGAGGAGATTATAGAGCCATAAAACAGAAAACAATGTGGTGCGGCATTTAGGATTATGTGCTGTGAAGCCCTAGTGATACTTACTGAAAGTCAGAGAAAGGAGGCAAGGACAAATAAAAAGTGGGGACAATTCTAGAATGTTCTTTTATCATCCAACAAAGAATTGAGCTGCATGATGATCCAAGATAAGATAAACTCCCTGGTAGTAAATTCAAGATAAATATATTTTTTTCCAGGTTAGAAAATAACTATTTCACCATTTCAGTGCTTAAACGCATAGGCTATGAAGTCTGAAAGTAACGGTGTTTAAACACTCGCTCAGCAACTCGCTTTGGAAAGTTAATTAAATCCTCTGAGTCTCAATTTCTTAATCTCTAACACGGGGGTTTCAGTTGCTAACTCACAGAGTTACTGTGAGGATTAAATGAATGACATGTGGAAAGCATGTAGCATAGTGTCTCAACATTTTAAGTGCTTGACACTATAAACCAAAAATAAAATTCTAAGCCCCCAACCAAATAAATGGCCTTCTGCTCTTGGCCAAGGGCATTCCTAAATTAACCTGAAATGCTAGTACAGGCCATGATGGGAAGTGGGAGTTGGACATGTCTCATTATTCCTTCCTCCCTTTTGGAATTCAGGTACAGCTGACCAGCATTAACATTAAAACAGAGACCTTAAGACTGACAAAGCAGACACTTTGTAGCAATAAGATATCAACATGACAGACAGCAGGCCCTAAAAGAAATCAAAGTATTTTATCCCAAAATATATTTATTTGACATATTTTGAAATGGCCTTGCAAAGCTGTCTCTTTTGGAGAAAATCTACATTCTGTAGAGAATCCCCTTCCCTTTCCAGGTCCTTTTCCTAATCCAGGGGAGAATTAAGTAAGAGCTTGGCACCTTTTAAAGTCTGATAAGAAACATTTACAATTTATTCTGGAAGGCTGCTACCTGGAGGCTTCATCTGCATAACAAAAACATTGGTCTCCACAACCCCTTATCTTAACCCAGACACTCCCTTCTATTGATTCCAGGTCTTTAGATAGACCCTTTCAACTAACTGCCAATCAGGAAATCTTTGAATCCACCTATGACCTGGAAGCCACTCCCCACTTCAAGATGTTCCGCCTTTCCTGACTGAACCAGTACATCATACATGTATTGATTGATGTCTTATGTCTCCCTAAAACATATAAAACCAAGCTGTAGCCCAGCCGCCTTGGGCCTATGTTCTCAGGACTTGCTGAGTCTATGTCACAGGCATGTCCTTAACCTCAGCAAAATAAACTTCTAAATTGATTAAGTCCTGTCACAGACACTTTTTGGTTTACAACTCACACATACACCCATGGAAATCCATTTGGAGATGCGTAGATACGGAAAAGACAAGCAAGGAATATTTTAGTTAGATGATTTTCAGTTTTAGTGAGAAAAGGAAAAAAAGAGGACATCACCATTTTGATTTAAGAATCACTTCCCAAGTTTTCATCCTCTTGGCACTTGCTAATGAGAGAATATTTAAGAGATCCTAACACACCATTTCCCAAAACGCATCTCTCAAAATGCTAGACTTAAGAGGTGCTCCATGTGAAGATGTTCCTGCCAAGTAGGTTTGAGAAATGCTGCCCTTAATATACCTCTCTTGGAGACACCATCTATATTAGCCTTTGAAGTCTCTGAGAAATATGGACGTAGAAAAGCCTGTTTAACCTTATTTCATCACAAAATTCCACATAGTACTGATGTTTCAAAAACTACACTTTGGAAAATACCATCATGACATATAATTTATGGTAGAAATCAGACATATTTGGAAAATACCATCATGACATATAATTTATGGTAGAAATCAGACTAGGATCTCAGAAACTTAGTGCTGACCCTCTGTACTGGGGGACAAAGGACAAGAGGTTGAGAACAACTGGCTCCTCTGTGTCTGGCCTGGGGTGCTTATCACCAACTGACCAACTGTGTGGATTTCTTGCCAATGGGTCAGACTAACTACTAAAATTACTTGAAAGGAGACAGGTCAGGAAGACAAATGTATAGTTCACTTCTGTATTAGAGACACAAAGACAGGTCCTGGATCTATCCTTTCAAGATGATGCAGGTCAAGGCCATACTACATACAGCATGGAAGAATCTCCAAGACAACCTTACGGCAACTGGCGAGATGGCATAACCCAATTACACAGAAGGGCCCAGGAACTCCTTCTACTTTGGGTGGGCAGGTGTATACAGTTCTTTTCTTCATATAACTTTCTTATCTTCTTCACTTGACCCATTCCCTTCTTCATGACCAATGGTCGTGCCTTTTTCATATTACTGAGATAGCCAAGTAAAACGAGCTCCCCGGAGAATCTCCAACCCGCCTGCGCATTGGGAGGATGGGTGAGGCCTCCGGAAGTTTGCGCTGTTTGCAGTAGGGAGGAGCCTGGCCCCTTCTGTTCCTGTGTGGGAACCTGGGATTCAGTCTGTGAGATGGGGGCCTGTTAACAGGAACCTCTCTTGCTTTGCTGAGTCTTTTTCCTTTTTGCCCAATAAATTCCATAACCTCTCACCCTTCAAAGTGTCTGCTTGCCTAATCTTTTCTGGTCGTGTGACAAGAACCCAGTTTATTCTACAACATTACAGTCACTGACTGTGAAGTGAAATAGAAAGGGAAGTGGTGGAGTGGAAAGAGCCCAGGTTTGGACCCACACCGACCTGGCTTAATGCTGACTGTCACTTATTAGCTGTGTGATCTTGGGTGAGTAATTTCACATTGCTGAGCCTTAGTTTCCAGCTTTGTAGTGAGAAATTGAGATAAGGTGCACTAAACATTTGGCCCTGTTAGATACTCAATACCTGAAGCTATGGTTAATTTGTAAACAATATTAATACTATTACTGCCAACAATAATACAAATTGGACTAACTGGACTAATGGAGATCTAACAGTTTGCCCAGTTTTCTCCTCTCACTACATAGAAATTCATCTTTTTTTCAAATTATTATGAAGTCCAACAAGTATTTATTGAACATCTACTCTGTAACAAGTCTTTATTAGGCTTTACGGTCACATGATAATTGGGTGTTACTTTTAAATGTCTCTGAGTTTAGCCAGGGCTACCAACAAATAAATAGGTAATTCCCTCTTTAAATGTAATATTAATGAGAATAATAATATTGGGACTAGAGTGATGTGAGAGAGGCACTCACCTGGGGCACAAAACTGAAGTGGGTGCCAAAAAACTTAGTTATCAAGATAAATATTTTAATGTGATATTTAACAAAATAAAAATAAATGTAAAACATCCATAATGAACACAACAACAAAATTCTAAATAAAGACAAGATCTGAACTTGTACTTGAACCACTCACCTCACTTGCTTCACCCTAGTTCCAGCCCTGATGAGGATGATATTCACTGGGTCTTTACTGTGTTCCTGGCAGACTTAATGGGGTCTGGCACTCACTACTTACATGACTGACCTTGAGTAGGTTACTTAACCTTGCTGGACTTCAGTTTTCTTATTAGTAAAAGAGTTATAGTAATGGGATCTGCCTTGTAGGGTTGATGGGAGGATCAAAGGAAATGATTTATGTAAAACATTTAGCAGATTGCCTGGCAAAATTAGGTTATCAGTAAGGATTAGTTACTGTGATTAAGCTCAGAAGGGTGAGTACCTGGCTCAAGGTTTCACAGATGGTGAGTGGCAGAGCTGGGATACAAACACAGTAGGTTAAAATAACAGCTGCCCCAAGCAGCTAAGATACATCCAGGGTGTCCTTGGAGCACAGAGGAAGGCACTTTGCTTGGCTGGGAGGATCCTGGAGGATTGTGAAAGACTTTCTGAAAGTTTGTCAGCCATCCTCCTTGTCATATGTTCCTGGGTGGCCATTTCAATTCTATGAGTTATTCCAAGAAATCGCTAGAATTAAGCTTCATGAGGACAAAGGCTTGGCCCACTTTTGTTCACTTCTGCCCCTTAATACCTACAACAATGCCTGACATGTAGTAGAAGCTCAATAAATATTTGTTGATGAATGAATGAGAATGATTATCTTAGAAAGCTAATCATTAAACAAACAAACTCTTTAAACACTGGTTTCACCTAGATCCTAATTTTTCTAGGGGCTTCACAGTTGCCATTTGGAGAGAGAGATTGAGGTAAGTAAACAACACAAAATCTATTCAGGAAAAGCCCTGTCAGATTCTTGCAGAGTAGATTCTAACATGAACCAAATGGGCAACATAACAAGTTGTAGAAAGTAAGAACACCATTTCCATCCAATATCTGACTCACCTTCCACTAACGATTGTTATATCTGCCCATAGTATGTTCACTATAGGGAACATAACATCTTTGATGCAGAGTGAAAGCATGTTCCCTGTGTGACTAACTCATTGCAGAAAACAAATCCTTTTTTTCTCTTTTTTTTGTTTTTTTGAGACGGAGTTTCGCTCTTGTTGAGTAGGCTGGAGTGCAATGTCGCGATCTTGGCTCACTGGTTCTGAGGCGCAATCTGCCTCCTGGGTTCTCCTGGGTTCAAGCGATTCTCTGCCTCAGCCTCCCAAGTAGCTGGGATTACAGGCATGCACCACCAGGCCTGGCTAATTTTGTATTTTTAGTAGAGATGGGGTTTCTCCATGTTGGTCAGGCCAGTCTCGAACTCCAGACCTCAGGTCATCCACCTGCCTCGGCCTCCCATAGTGCTGGGATTACAGGTGTGAGCCATCGTGCTGGCCCAAATTCCTTTCTATAAAAAATGCAAATCTATGATATGAAAATCAAACAGCATCATAAGAATAAATTCCCCAATGATAGAAATTTTAACAGCTAGAGTTGCTGGTGTGAAGGTCTTAAATCAACAGAATCAAAATCAGTCATAGACTTCACATCACATTAGCAACACTAGGACAAAAGGGAACATCCAGTATTCCTAGGGAACAGTGAGAGGAGCCTTTTCATTGGGTATATCAAAACGTAGCATGCTAATTTGATTCTTCCTTCACAGACAAAAGGATGGCTACTTCGTGATAAGTTCTATTTACTCTGTCGTCCCAAGGTTTGATTATGTTCTTAAGAGAGATTAGGAATCTTTCTGGATAATAGGAATCATGAGGAACTCATCAACTTGTATAATTTTGTCAAGAAAAACATGAGAGGCCAGGTATAGTGGGTCACGCCTGTAATCCCAGTGCTTTGGGGGGCCAAGGGAGGAGGATTGCTCAATCCCAGTAGTTGGAGACCAGCCTTAGCAACAAAGTGGGATTCCGTCTCTAGAAAAAATACAAAAATTAGCTACATGTGGAGGCACACGCCTGTAGTCCCAGCTGCTAGGGAGGCTGAGGTGGGAGGATAGATTGAGCCTGGGAAGTCAAGGCTGCAGTGAGCTGTGATCACACCACTGCACTCCAGCCTGGGCGACAGAGTGAGACGTTGTTTCAAAAAAGAAAAAAAAGGAAAAGAAAGGTGTAGTCACTGGTGGAACCATGTATAACACATCTGGTAATGTATTTGGTCACATATAAAATAGCCAAAGAGATATTTTAAAGTTTAAACCAAAGTACATGTAAATTTTTTTTTTTTTTTTTTTTTTTTTTTTGGAGATGGAGTTTCATTCTTGTTGCCCAGGCTGGAATGCAATGGTGCGATCTTGGCTTACTGCAACCTCTGCCTCCTGGGTTCAAGTGATTCTCCTGCCTCAGCCTCAGCCTCCTGAGTAATTGGGATTACAGGTGCCTGCCACCATGCTCAGCTAATTTTTTTAATTTTTAGTAGAGATGGTGTTTTGCTATGTTGGCCAGGCTGATCTTGAACTCCTGACCTCAGGTAATCCACTCACCTCGGCCTCCCAGAGTGCTGGGATTACAGGCATGAGCCATTGTGCCTGGCCACATTTAAATTTTTTTAAAGTTCCTGAAAAAAATCCTTCTTGAAAGCTCAGGAGATAGAGTTAATCATTTTCACAAGGCTACAAAAAGGATTTTGAAGTGATGATATGGCAAGATCATGTAATAAATTTATTGTGCATATTTAATAAACGTAAAAGGTATAAAAATTACACAGTGGACATACATAGAGTTTCCATCTACCTCCCTGCCTAGAAGTAAGTCTCTGCCAGTCCTGTTGAGGCCCTGTGCACCTCCCAACTGTTGCTTCTGTCTTCTTCCCACTCACCATACAATGACCATTTTCTAAATTGTGTATAAAGCATCATCACATATATCCTTATAATTTTACTAGGCAAATTTTGTATAATATTGCTCTATGTGTTTTAAAAGTTTATACAAATACGGTCATCATAGTGTATGTATTCTCTGGCAACTTGCTTTTTCCATTCAATGCTTGCGAGAGTTACCCATGTTGTTATATATAATTCTAGGCCATTCCTTCATACTGATGTATGCTATTTCCATCTATTATTATACCACTGTCTATTTACCCATTTCCTGGAAGATGAAAATTTATATTTTTCTAATATTTCTTGCTATTACATACAATGCAGCTATGAACCACCTTGTACATGTTTCCTTGTGAATTTGTGTGAGTTCTCTCTCTCTGTGTATATGAATATGTACATGTATATGTAAAATTGCTGGGTCATAGAATGACTTCTTTTCTATGTTTGAATTTTCATTATAGTTATAGACTGGTAGGGCTGTATGGAACTTTTGAGAAAAATCTCCTATTAATTCTCTCATTTTATAGGTGAGGAAACTCAAGGTGAAGGAAGGTGAAGTGACTTGTTCAAGGTCCCAGGGCAGTTACAGAAAGATTTATTGTTGCCAATAAAAATTACTACCGTGGTATTTGCCAGCTGATGATTTTTCCATTTCCACCTTTCCATGTGTGTTAATTGAAATCTTCTATAAGGAAGAACTTTTCCTTCTGGGTAGATTATAAGTCCCCAGCCTCCCGGTTCTGCCCTCTGAGATAATCTTTGTAAACTATGTGTAGCATAAACCTTTGGGCCAGATAGCTTTTCATGTTGTAAGTGTATGGACAGTGGGGCCAGCAGCCCTCATGCTATGTAACAGCATCACAGGCTGCTGTACCAAGGCAATACCAAGTATCAAGGCAGACACAGACAGGGTTCTTTCCATCATCAATAAGGGGGTGCTCCAAAGAAGAGCTGCAGATTGCTTGTGCCAGGTTGGTGGTTCACAGCTCCAGGTGATGTATTTCTGACCTTCTCCCTAGTAATAATCATTACAAAGTAACAATGTGAAATTCACTGTGCTTTTGGGAACAAGTTTGCCTATACAGCTGTTCTGTTAGCATCTAAATGTACATGTGTATATAGATTAAACAGAGTAAACAGCATGAACATATGTGAAACTGTTAGAAACAGGGGCATTTTTAGAAGCATGAGGCTGCTAAAAAGAATATTTGAAAATCCACAAAAATACCCAATACCCGCTGGATCCAGACTTCTTTGTCATGAGGAACTGTATCATTAACTTCTCACGCAGATCATGGGGAACCTTGGTTTTCAAGGA
This sequence comes from Homo sapiens, assembly GCF_000001405.40. Taxonomy (NCBI): domain Eukaryota; kingdom Metazoa; phylum Chordata; class Mammalia; order Primates; family Hominidae; genus Homo; species Homo sapiens. The sequence continues at coordinate 177,688,623 of NC_000002.12, forward strand.
CAATGGCAAGTACCTCAGCTAGTGAAAAGCAACTTACTGGAAAATCTCATTTATAATCAGATATGTTTTTATTAGGCTTTCATCCTGCTCGCCTGACATATGTCCCACTCAGAAAAATAGCAGTCTTTAAAAAAGCATCATTTGAACAGAACGGCTAAAATTACCTTCAAAAATAATTCTAAAGATTGGTTACCAGTCACCCATCACCACATTGAAAAACTTTCTGGTTTGTAATTTATCTGCAAGGCATCTTTTATTTGTAAAGTGAGAAATCACCATTTCTGTGAACATTTTAATCATGAAATTTTTTGCAAATTTATGTATCTATACATGTACTTAGGAATATATATTCTTTATCTATTCATCTAACTCCTTTGAATCTACTGAAAGTCCATAAACATTAGGAAGGTTTTACTGCTGAGGTGGCAAATCATCACTGTAACTCTCCTCAATTTCTTTCTTTTTGTTTTTTTATTTGAGATGGAGTTTCACTCTTGTTGCCCAGGCTGGAGTGCAATGGCGTGATCTCGGCTCACCGCAACCTCCTCCTCTCGGGTTCAAGAGATTCTCCTGCCTCAGCCTCCTGAGTAGCTGGGATTACAGGCATGCACCACCACGCCCAGCTAATTTTGTATTTTTAGTAGAGACGGGGTTTCTCCATGTTGGTCAGGCTAGTCTCGAACTCCTGACCTCAGGTGATCCACCTGCCTTGTTCTCCCAAAGTGCTGGGATTACAGGCGTGAGCCACTGTCCCCGGCCTGTAACTCTCCTCAATTTTAACTCCAGAGTTGTCAGGCAGGGGTTGCAGGGTGCACAGATGTGTGGATGCGGTGAGTGGGTGCTTTTGGTCTTCTTACAGCTTGCTCAACAGGCAAATCATACATCTGCAATTAATTGTTACATGCAGATTCTAGAGAGATTTCTGGACTTTCTTTGCATACAAACATTGAAGAGGAATAGAAAATTAATATACAGATGTTAACTCCAGTTATTATGACTAAAGAAAAAAAGTGTTCTATTTAATTTTGAAGTGAACTTTCTCCCTGCTTCAGACTAGCACTGATAATACAAGGGCCTGCCAAGAACCTGAGTGAATGACTTGTTTGATGCTGTGCTTTTGTTGATGGCACAAATAAAACCGGCAAAATGCAGGAAGTAGAGATAAGAATTACTCTAGATGTTGAAAATGGCAGAAGATTAGAGACCACAAGGCCCCAGCAGTCAGTTCATTCAAACCACAATCACCAGGCAAAGAAGCTGTGTAAGCCATGGCTAGAAGGAGCGCACTCCAGCTGCTCCTGCATTCACTTCCACACAGCCCTTCGCTGCTAGATGTTGCTGCCTTCTCTCTTCCCCACTGGGCTCTGAGTCCCTGAAGGTAAGAACCGTGTCCTATCTGCTTGTACATTACCAGCAACTAGCACAGTGCCTGGCACAAAGAAACCATTAAGAAGTGCTATTTGGCTACATTTCTCATTTTTTAGTCAGTTTTGATATCATATGGATGGGGATATGGAATGAGTATATGGAAAAATTCTTTGAAATATGTCAAGAATTACCAAAATATTTCCTCCATCAACCTACTACAGGGGCTGCTGACCTAATGTTATAATAATATATAATTTCAATGAGTTAAGTCATCAGGCTCTGTTAAAATATAATAATGTTTGGGATAGAGTAATGGCTTAAGTTTTGTCAGTCATTAACACCTTATTACTAATCAGTTTACTTTCATCCTTTCCAGTATGGGGTTGGTTGAGCGCAGGCAACTGTGGAAGTTGAGGACACTGAACATAGCTGGCTTTTAATAAACTTTTGTTGAATGATGAATGAATGTTTGCCTAGCAGTAGAAACATTTGTTGAGTTCCCACTGTAATTTTTTTAAATGAATTGTCTAGATATTAATCTAATTTTTAAAAGAATTGGTCAAACTATCACATTGAACAATTTAAAATAGTTTAGTGCATTTTTCTGTCATCATCAGATGCTTTCGAGAAATGCTATTTACTGCATCCCTTTCGAGAGACAAATACAAAGAAACCATCAGACTGGGCATTTTCCATAATTGCTGATGAGTGTAGATCACAAAGAGAGGTGGCAAATTTTCAATTTGAAGATAAGTCTGATTAATTTAGGAAGCCGATCTTAAAAGCATTGAGCACCCAAGTGGATTTATCTGAATTATTGGAAAATTATTTGCTTAAATCATGCTCTGAGGCATTGTGTCATGGAGAACTGATCACAGACAACTTAGTGACTTTGGACAAATTACTCAACCTCTATAAGCCCAGTTTTCCCTATTTATCAGATGGGGCTAACAATATCTACCTTGCACATTGATATGATAATTCAGTATCAAAAAGTTATTTTGAGAACTCATTATGTCAGGCAGTGTGTCAGGTTTTGTGGGTTCCAAGAGTGAGCTAAAGAGTAAGGTGTCTGCATTCATAGAGCTTCCATTTCAGTGCTGATACAGGAAGATACTGTAATGCCTAGAATGGTGCTGGGCATGGAGCAGGCACCTAGAGGATGAGATATAGCGTTATGTAATCACAACCTGTTGAGGATCAGTGCTAAACTGTTTATTGCTACCCAATAGCAACAACCCCTGTGACTGTATTAAAGCTACAGAATTTTCAACCCCTGGTGCACCAACTTAGCTCAACTTCACACAAGAAGCCTCTAATTGCAGTCTTAGCCCCACCAGACTGGGTCCGAGTATCACTGACTTGGAGCCTCCACATCCACCCTGCACTCCCAGTGGTGGGGCCTGGCATTAGCTGAATTGCTAACACTTAGCATGCTAACACAAAGTGTGTTTGGAACTAGCTTTAGACATTTGCATCCTCAAATTTCTGCTGTTTCTAATGCCCAAATGTTTCCTGGATTGGCCCCAGTTTCCCCTTGAGTACTCTTGGACTGCTATATAACTGCAGAGTAACTAAGAACATTTTGGAGTCCAACTACTTGGTTCAAATTCCAGATATACTATTTAATATTGTGAGCAATTTACTGAATCACTCCAAACCTCAGTTTCCTCATGTGTACTGTGGGGTTAATGAGAAAAGAAAAAACAGCTCAGAGCAGTCTGAGCTCCTTGAAGGCCCAGAGAGTAATGAGTATGGGACTTCAGTCACGCTCCCCACTCCCCTAACCCATGCTTGGGGGCCACTGTTGAAAGTCATTTTGTTTCTGACTAGCTACCTCACCCACTATCTTCATGTTCCTAGAATTTGTGATACAAGAGACAATGTAACAAAGCCAATCAATAGCTTATGTTATGTTAATGTAAATTCTTGGTAAACAATGTAGAAAATACCTTTCCTTTCCTTTTGAAAATCCACTTGTAACTGCTGCTAATTGGACTGTATATTTAAGGCAACTTGAATCCATGCTCCGGGGTTGCAGTCCTCAATCTTGGCTCAAATAAACTCTCTACTTATATTAATTTTGCCACAGTTTCTTTCTTTTAGGTTGACATTAATAATAGTACCTATTTTAATAGGACTGCTTTCACTGTTGAATGGCATAATGTATATATAAAGGTCCTAAGTAAGCACTCAAAAAGTATTAGTTGTTGTTTTTATTACTAATAGTGGAAGGTGCATAGGTCATCTTTGTTGATTTACATGCAGATAAATAGTACAGGGCATTTGTATCATCCCTTTGAAGTTATAACATTTGTAATTTTAGATCTCTCTGCCCACTCCAACAAGCATCATCTTTTATGGTGCATGTTTTATTAAGTTTTCTGGCTGAGTGATTCCTTTTTTTATAAGGTACTTTACATTGTCAAAGCTCTTTCATAAAATTAATCTCTTTTCACTGCCACAAGGATCCTAGGAGATTAGAATGGGTGATATGCCTATACCCCTGTTGCTGACAAGGAAACTGAGGCAAAGAGAGATCCGACTCTCAAAGCTGGTGAAATTACTACTTAATTATCAAATCCTTATTCACTGCAGGGACTCAGAAACAGGCACAGAAATCATTTCAGAAAGTTGCTCAGCAGTAACTGGAAAACGTTTTCAGTGAGTTGGAAAATCAGAGTGAATCATTAACCCCCAGGCTCAGGTTGTGAAACTTAGAAATTCACATTAAGGATTTTGTTTGTTTTTGTATTTTAATCTTGTGAATTCTGCTTTCATATGCCATTTGAATGACATAGAATCCCAAGGACACACAAGGTCTTTAGAAATTAAAGTCATAAGTTTTTGTGGATGTTTTGAAAGCCTTTCCACATTTCCATGAATCTCATATATTTTTTTCCTTTTAGAGCATGGCAAGAAATCTTGCCTCTAGGAATGAGTCAGAAACCTGTCTCCAAAAGGCAGGGCTCTACCCTGCCCAGCCTGGCCCTTTCCTAGAGTGACTTTCTCCCTCTAGGGGAGGAAAGCAGTGAGCTTCCTTTTTGGTTTCTTCAACTGTATCATGACTTTTAGGTTGAGTAGTCAGGGCAGAAGAACCAACAATAATCCAGACTTCCAGAAACTAATTGTACGGGGAGCCTAATATCCTCTTGGCTCACCCACCCCTCTCCTGCCATTGCTGCTACACGCAGTGCCTCAGCGGTCCTGCGGATCACATACTTTCTGCCCTGGCACTTCACACATGACTTCATGTGTGAGAACAGGGATGAGACAGCTGCAGGAATGCCCAGTCATCAGGCACACACAACATGGAAGTACATGAGAGTTAACATCCCACAGATCAACATTTGGTTGATGAGGATGGTGGGTGGCGGACAATTTTGAAGTGCGATATATGAGACTTCTCAGATGGTCCCTGCAGGATCAAGACTGGCTGACCATAGTGGAGAACAACAAAGAAATGTGTCCTTCCTTTCACTGGCTTCCCTCCTTCCCCATTTCACTGTCCCAGCCCCTCACTCTTATTCTTGGTGTCATTTCCAAAACTAAACTACCTGAATGCAAGCCTTTATCTCCAACTTTGCTTTGGGAGAGGACACAGGGGCCTCAAGCTAGTGTTTAAACTGATTACAGAACACCTGGAAAGAGTCAACATTATCACATAATATATCCCCAATTAAAATGACAATGATTTCTTGATTCTTCCATTAGAGAGGGAAGCATGGTGATTGAAGAAAAAGCCCTGAAAGAGGAGGTGTGGGTTCCAGTTTTACCAATAATGAGTTATGTGACCTAAGCTACGCTATTTAACCATTTGGACCTCTGTGCCTGATCAGCAAAAAAGGAGATGAATTGGATTGCATCATTTCTAAGATCCTTCCGATTCCACAATTGCACATTTATTAAATAAAAACATCGGGGCGACAGTTTGTAGTAGCTGCTTTCCCTCTCATTATAACTCTAGGGATTGTTCTGGCTAAAAATATGGCAATATTTTAATGCAACTTTAGACAGGCAAGTGAATCAATCCTCTGAAAGTCTAGATTAGAGAATGGGCAGCTATTCAGAACCTCAAAAAACAATAATGCTGATGAAAAGAGAACAAGCCAGCTTCTTTGGGAGTCAGCAAACATTAGCAGGGGCTGCAGCATTAAGATAAGAACAGAGTAATGAGAAAACGAGTTGCAACCAACTTCGTTGACTGCATGCCAGTGGTCACTCAGTGATTCGTCAAATCCCTAACAGAGCTTGATAAATGGACTCTGAGTGTTGATATTTTTTTTTCTCTCTTTAGAAGTTACTTGGAAAGATGGCTTGGGAAAATTCTTCTACTTTGAGGAAAATAACACAAGATCCTGCAAGTGTCAGGGACAGGCAATAAAACATTAAAAGGATACAGACTTTCCATAAATCCCAAATCAAGGAGCATTAATCCAGAAAATAGATGAAAGATCATGATATTTAAGTCAACCAAAGGGCCACAAAACATGCAAAATAAATAGGTTATAAAGCAAATGAGGTTGTAGATGTCACCATTTCTAAGACATGACATAGGTACTGTTATCTCCATTTTATACTTGAAAGAAAGGCTCAGAGAAGTAAATAATTTATCTGATGACACACAGCTAATTAGTGGCAGAGCTGGGATTTTAATTTTTAAGTATATATTTTAAACTAATTAAAATTATATTTATCAAAGTAATACATGAACATAGTTAACAAATCAAATAGTACTAAAAGAGATACAATGAAATATAGCAGTGTTTTCTATTTTGCTGGCTTTTGTCCTTGGCCTGTGTTTCCTAATGCTTTCATTTGATTTTTTTTATTTTGGCTATCATGTTCTTAATTTTTGAAAGTGCCTTCTTTTTCATAGTTGCTCCTACTACTATTTTTAAAAAGCATCCTGTTCTTGTTTCATGGATGCAATATCTTAGCTCTCTGAGAATTCTAACAACAGTTTTTAGTTTTGTTTTCTTCCTCTCCCTGTTTTCTCTGAATTTCATTTTTTTTTTCTGTTTGTTTGGCCTCTGTCTTTCCTATCGGATGCTGAAAAAATGTTCTGTGATTCTTGGTTTTCTGCATGTAATAGTAAGGTATTAAAAAGCTAAATGGGAGTTGTGTGTGGGGGGGGAGGGGTATAATTGCTAGATAAAATAATTTGTTTCCGTTAAAAATAATTATTTTAAAAATATTTTATTGATACATAATATTTATACATATTTATTGGGTACATATGACATTTTGTTACATGCACAGAATGTGCCATGATCAAGTAAGGGTATTTAGGATATCTGTCACCTTGAATATTTATCATTTCTATTTGTTAGGAACATTTCAAGTCCTCTCTTGTAGCTATTCTGAAATATACAAAAAATAATTTTTAGTATAAATATGTCCCAAATGTTTCATGGGACATCTAACTATCTATTCTAAAAAAGTATTTATTGTTTATCTGAAATTTAAATGTAACTGGACTTTCTGTACTTCTACTTGCTAAATCTGACAACCCTGGGTGTATGGCTTATAGACTCCTAGCTTCTAAGTGCTTGGCTATGGCCTACAGGTTTTCAATCCAGAGACTGGTTCCACTTAACTTAATCTCTTCTTCTGAGCACTGTATCTCATTCCCACCCTGTGCCTCTCCTCAGTTCAGAGCTCTTCATTTTATTTCTCCAGAGGATACATTTCTGGCCTTCTAAAGGTAGAATAAGGGGAGTGACCTGGCTGTGTTAGTAGAGGACTTCCTGGGTGCTAAGCATTCTATATACTGATTTTCTAGCAATCTCTTTGAGCTTTTCGTGTCTTAAGCTTTGAACATCCCTTACAATTGAACCTAATTCTAACTGATGCAATGCCACAGTGCTTTTCAAAGGGAGTCATTTCAAAGCGAATGGCACAAGACTTCCTAGAAAAAGTGACAGAAGAGACAGATCTTAAAGGATGGTCAGTCAGGAAGATGGCGAGTGGAGGAACAGGATTCGATGTGGGAATGGTGATACATCAGGGCACAGGGGGCATTACACAGGGTGTTCCAAAGGGTAATGCGTAGACTAGTCTGGTTGACGTAGACCAATCATGTAGGGGAGAAGTGGAAGGTAAGAATGAAAAAAGGTTGGGGGCAGATTATAGAGGGCCTTGAAAGTCAAACCAAGTTTAGAACTTCCTTTGAAAGCAATGTGGACACTGAAGGTTTTTGAGATGGAAGCTGGAGGTCTACAGTGTGAGGAAGTTTGGAGTGAAGAATTTCAGAGTCTTCTACACACAGGTCATAACATAAATATAGGTAACATAGAAATGAGGCCAGGGGAGTGGTCTGAGTAGAGAAAGAAGAACATGTTTCAAGAGCTTATACACAGGAGCAAGGAGAAAAGAAACCTGCCAAGGATCTAGAAAAGAAGAGAGAAAGGCAGCTGGAGATTGGGCAAGCAAGGAGAGTAGAAATTAATAATAACTAACTAAACCTTCAGATATCTCAGAGAAGATGGAAACTATCAAAAATGAGTACAGGCCATTGAATTTGAGGAAAGAAATGTCTCTGGTGACCTCTGAGTGTACAATTTTGATAGAGTGCGGAGATGGACTCTGCTCTTCACGGTGTAAATGGGTGTTAGGAAAATAGAGGTACTAAATGTGCTCTGTTTATTTAAAAAGGTAGACAGTAAAAGAAAGGTAAATAAAAAAGCAATTAAAGATCTCCATGGGGTCAAATGAAAAATTTTTTTAAGGGAGTGACAGGCTTTGGTCTTTAAGATAGGAGAAAATTGTGCAAATGAGTGGTGGAAGAAATTTCCAGGCTGCTAAGAGAGATGGCGCCTGATAGAGCAGGTCCCACTGGAAATGGGAGGGTGCAATTTCCAGCTTAGAGAAAGGCCTGAACTTTGGTGAAAAGGAGAGAAAGCCCTTCTAAGAAAGAGATAGAAAAGAATCAAGGAATGAACTGTTGCATTGCTAGTTAATTTTCCATCACTGAATATTTTTCATCTTCGTTATCAATGCCATTATACAGCTGACCAGAAGTTAACAGTCTTAAATAGCAATATTAGCTAGGATCTAAGATAAAAATGGCCATCACTTAGTTTCAGAGTTGTGTGTCAAACAAGCTCATAAAACAGAAGAAAAATAGAAATCTTGTGACTGTAGTCCTGACTCTCTTGGCTTATACACACCACTTTAATGGACTTCATTTATATCAGAGAGAAACAACAACAAAAAAAGTTTAGCTGGTTTACACATTGATATCAATGCTAGAATAACAGGTAACCTCCAGTGTAGACCTGGAGATTAGTTACAGGATGGAACTTCCATTTGTCAAACAGATCAAATGCCAATACCTACTCAAAGTACAGCGTGAGGTCTGTTGCCAATATTGACTGCTTCAAAAGCTGCATAAGGTCACTATATTCCTTGGAGGACAGGTTAGCAAAGATATTGTGACCCTGTAATGAGAAAGTAAAAAGTCACAAAAGACATTAAATCTGTGGTTGTTGATTACATGTTTTTCCTCTATTTAAAAAAAAGTCTGGGAACATTAAAAAAATCACTTTTTAAAAAGCATAGTGAAATTTTGTATAAATATAAACAGATTCTCTGGCAAACCTAGCAAAGCCAGAATGCAGTCATTTTTGACAAAGTCTAACAAGGGACACTTTGTTACATGCTTAGTCTCAAAGGGAAAATCTGAAATTGTTGGAACTTATCTTACTATGAATATGTTGTGCCCACAATTCCATCTGACTACCCATTTCCTATGGAATTACTTAGAGGAGAAGTTTGTGAAACATTTGGGAACATTTCTCCCCCTAAAATAAATGCTATTTTCACTACCAGTGAAGGTTTAAGCTGGCATTTTGGAAACACTTGCTATGGCAACAAATGACTTTAAGAAGAATAAAAAGCCATTAGAACAGTGGTTCTCAGCTGGGGGCCGTTTTGACAATGGGGAACTTTAGCAAGGTCTAGTGACATTTTTGATTGTCACAAATGGCTAAGGTGCTACTGGCATCTAGCAGTGGAGGCCAGGGATGCTGCTACACATCCCATGATGCACAGGAGACCCCCACAACAAAGATTTACTGGCCCAACACGTCACTGCTGCTGAAGCGGAGGAACCGTGCCTCCCACCATTAAGGTGCACTTTGATGAAGTGTGTGGCAGGCTAAATTCAGTATGGTGAATATGAATAATTCTGAATAGCTAGGATGCATAAGACATCGTTCTTGGCACAGTGGGACTCTAAAATGACGTTTACCTAAGTAAAGTTAGGATGACATCTTTATCCTCATACCTTTGACAGGTACCCTTGTTTTCATCAAAATTTGTGTTAGCTACACTTAGGCTAAAATATTTGTCTTTAGTAAAGTGAAAAATCCTTCTGTAAAGTGACCAACAATTCACTTAGTTTGTTTTTAAAGTCAGGACTTTTCATTTTTTAGGTTTTCTTAGTGTGAAATATGAACTCATGAGCATCTGGCCTGGGAACTGGACCAGTTTTAAATCTCGTGTTGAGAGCCGGAAGATGCTGGAGAAGGAATGTGGTGGAATGACTGCCTGAGAATGAACCATTCTCCAGTGAGAGGTAAATTAATTATTTCAGGGAACTAGGATATCAACTAGCAAATTACGTCTTACCAGGCACCAGATGATTATCTGTTTCCCCAAGTTAATTTATTTCATTGGGTGAACCCGCCACTCCTTAAAGACTAGAGTATATTGGTTCTACCTGGGACCAGGTCCAATATTAATAATAATTTTCAAATGAGCTCTTCAGACCCTTAATTCAGCTGTTAAGAAGAAGACAAATAACGAAAGGAATGCTGCACCATAATTCTGCCCAGGTTTTTTTGCCTGTGCATTACCCAATGATCAATCACAGGCAGGTGTTCTGGGGCCAGAGAAAAAGTGGTAGGAAGCTATGGAAAAGCAGTCACCTGGGTCCAGCGATGCACCCAGAATCTCCCAAAGAAACACAGCATTTAAGAGCAAGTTACAGTAAAAGTTAACATTGAGATATGAAGAAATCTGGTCTGAATTTGAGGATGTGGATTATTTTATGAGGATGTGTGTTTTATTACAGTCATGCATCACATAACAGGAGGGTACATTCCAAGAAATACATTGTTAGGTGATCTCCTCATTGTGTGAACATCACAGAAAGCACTTACACAAAACTAGATGATACAGCCTACTGCATACCTAGGCTATATGGGATAGCCTATTGCTTCTAGGCTATACATCCATACATCATATTACTGTCTGTAACACTGTGAGCAACTGTAACGCAATGGTTGGTATTTGTATATCTAAACCTATTTAAACATAGAAAAGGTACAGTAAAAATATGGCATTATAATCTTATGGGACCACCGTCGCACCAATGTGGTCTCTTGTTGATCAAAACATGTTGCATGTGACTGTACTTTGAAGGATATATAATCACTAATGCTATTTACAGCTAAGAGTGACAGTGCTAGCCAGAAAAAGTTAATTTGCAATCAGTTTATTGTTTATATGCAAATTAGTCTTCTATTTTCACGTTATGTGCCTTAACGTTTTGGTCCCTGAAGTAGATTTGAGTCTCCCTGAAATACTGCATCTACTCTTTGTTTAGGGAGGTGGTGAGTGTGGTGTTAATGGAAAGACATGCAGATCTGGAGGAAGAAAGGTCTGGGCAAACTTCCTCAAGCTATCTAACTTCTCTGCACCAGAGCTCATTTGGAAAGTGGAACAATAATAGCACCTGCATTTCTGCCTTTCTGATGGGCAGGACCACAGGGGACTGGAGGCAGTGCTGGGACAGTGCATGGTTCCGTCATTGATAGTCTCTGTTCTTCATAGGGAACCCCAGAGTGAAGGACGGCCAATGTGTTTTGTTTGCATGAACACAAATTCTGAGTGAGTGGGGTTTGTTTCCCTGAGGAAACCTGACATCCTGTTTATAATACTTGTTATTACAAAGGTGGTGGTTTGTCAGAGGTGTATACTCATCACCTTTACCAACACAGAAAAGATAGTTTGAACCAAAGTTCTTCCATAGTTCTCAGCTAAGACACTGTTTTTGGAGGGCAATTCCACAGCCACAGAGGCCAGGATGCTGGCTTCTGCCAGTTACTGAGAGCCTAACTCTTGGTGTTTAATTCCCAACTGAAAATACATCATTCCCAGCAGGTTTTCCCTTTCGCAGTCTGCATTCAGGTTCTGGAGTGCCAACTCTCCTTTATGGGGTCGAAGGCCTCCATGATATTGCAAAAGACATGCTTTCTCAAGATAGGCTGGAGGTAAAAAACCTCCATATTTAATGATGCTATTCTAGTGAAGCAGGGCCTTAATGATGATAATAATAATAATAATTAATGGCACAGCTAGAGAACTGACAAATAATGGGGAACAGATGATCCCTTCCTGGCCTCAAAAAAAAAAAAAAAAGTCTGTACGCTTGCAGAAAATGAAACAGATCCTTTCCTGGCAATTTAAAACTCAGATGCCGCAGCCAGACTCAGTTAGTGGTTTCTGTTTTTCTCTGTGGAGAGCTAAAAGTATAAAATTCCAACTACTTCTAACTCCTGCATTGCCACATGAAGCAAAATCAGGCATATGGCATTAGCTCTGGGTCTTAAGTTTAGCTGCAGTTCTCACTTCCTAACTGGTCCCACCAGCAATTTTAAGTTCTTTTAAGTTGTATAGTTTCTCAATTGTGCTAATGAAGTGTAACTTTCTCACTCTGTTTTTGCTTCTACCATCTTTTAAAATGACTGAGAGTTTTACCAAATGGGAATGTTGGGCCGCTCATTATTTGGATCAAGTTGTTCCCTTAGTGCTCTGTATCCTTTGAGGAAGGTCAGGTCATGCTCTGGTGACAAGCAGTCTATATCTGTTACCCTGCTAAGTGAATCTGAAAAGCCTCCTAACCAATAATGAAATCCAAGTAAATCAGCTCAGGAAGACTCTGCAAGGTCCTGCTCAGGCATCTATAGGAACAGAAAAAGCTACTAAGGCCCATTAAGTTGACTTAGAAATGGTTTTCCCACTGCTTTGTGTCTACCTGTGGCACCACAAAGGAAGAGAGGGAGGAAACAAAGAGTTGTTTTGGTTTCTGTTAAGGGGAGAAGCAGAACATCAGGCCTGTACCTCACTTTGAAGGATCATCACGGCGTGGTTGAAATGGTGATGCTCCAAGGTAGCAGAGGTTCCATAGAGTTGGGCCAGGGCAGAGCCACTCCTGAAAGAGGACAGAGGGTGAGTGAGCAGGGCCTATCGATGGTTCCCCCACACCAGCTTTTTGGATCAAACTGCTTTTCTTGCTTTTGGCAAAGGACCATGAGCAGACACATCCTTAGGTAACTGCTTTTGTAGTCCATTCATCTATGAAATAAATCGTTCAGGAACTTTCTATATATAAGAAAGTTCCTAATACATAGAACTTTCTATGTATTAGGCTAGATGCTGCAAATGATATTTGATGAATTTGACACAGTCTCTGCCCCTAAGAAATTTACAGACTAGTAAGAAAGATGAGATGAGATAACAAGGAAAAATAATGCACATAAAAACAATGCAAATACTAATCACTGTAGAAATGTGTTCCAGGTCCAATCGAAGTGCTATGGACGTTCTGAGGAAAAAAAGACATAATTTCTGGCTCCGGGGATCAGGGAAGCTTCATGAACTAAACCTTCTGTGACTTCTGAGTGTTCAGAACAACTGTCTTATACAAAACGTATTTGACCTTCCATAGGAGAAGACCTTGTGAATATTCTGCAGAGTGCATTTTATCTACTCTACATGAAAGGCTGACAGCCTTCTACTACAGCTTTCCAGTCCATAGTCACACTGTGATATCTCAGTGTGGAACTCTGAAAAGTTCTCTGGATTTGGAGGGAAATCTCAGCTCTTCCTCCAAGTAGTAGCTTTGGACGGTTACTTGGCCTTTTTAAGACTCAGTTTCTTTGTCTCTAAGATTATATTATCTACCTAACCTGTTATTTATGAGAACAATAAAATATTTGAAAATGCCTATTACAGTTCCCAGCATGTAGTAGATTGTAGTCTGTATTAATTATTAATCAATAATTGAAACACATATGACTATTTCCATTTTAAATTAGTTAAATACTCATTGATACTTAAAGGGATTACTTTGAGTTATCTGTAAATTTCATTTATGTAGAACAACCCATTCCTTAACAATGTCAGTTCTGCAAAGCGTTCATTACTTGGGAGTCTGAGGCAGGAGAATCACTCGAAACTGGGAAGCAGAGGTTGCAGTGAGCTGAGACCATGCCATTGCACCCCAGCCTGGGCGACAGAGTGAGACTCCGTCTCAAAAAAAAAAAAAAAGTTCAAAAAGGTTCGTGTCCAACTCTGTTTAAGAAATGGGAGTTAGAGCATCTTAAGAATCAAGAGACATCCCAGAGAAGCCCACAGTGTAAACGGCAGCCATGGGACTCAGGATAAGGATCCATCTAGATCATTTTGTTCTTTCTTGCTTATTGCAGGGGGCTTCGATATTGAAAGGGCAATTTGGCCTTAACTTGGAAATGCTGGAGATTGATTGCATACAATCTGTCCTGCTAGTGAGAGAAGCAAGGACTGCATCTAAGTGCAACATGAAGACTTTTGGTCCCAAGCTTTCCTCCAACTTCAGTGGGAGGCAGCCCAAAACCACCGTCGGTTCAAGAATACAAGTGACCTGCAATTCTTGGAAAGACTCCCCCAATTCTTCTCCCAATATGTGGTCAGCTTTTCCAGCAGGATTAGGTTCGGTAGGAATTATTGAATATAATATAATATAATGTAAAATATCGGAATTATTTTTCTTAGGTGCTTAGTAAGGAGGGTATTAGATTTTAATCATATATGTGTTATTTCTTTAAATCTTGCCTTAATTTATATTATTTAATAAGTGAAGATTTGCTAGGCGAATCTTAGTGATAAATTAATACTTAATGTTAGTTACTATTTGTCTTACATAGAGTTCATTTCTATGAAGACACGTGTTTCAAAACGTATACTATATGCCTTTGTCTTGGCTGTTGAAATTCTGTGATGCTTTATATGCATATCACATCCTAGAGCCTGGCATAGAGTAAGTGCTTTAAAAAATATTGGTTGCTTGTCTAATAAGCTTACAGTAGTTACTATGTCGAGAGATTACAGTTCAAGTTGGGAGGTTGATAATAAGTGTGTTAGCATATTTTATAATACTAATATTATTATTAATAAAGCTACCATTAGTATCTACCATGCGGTAGTCTATATATTAACAACTTAATACATTATAGCATTTAGTCCTGACAATGACCATGATATAAGTATTATTTTCTCATTTACACATGAGGAAAACAGGGCTCAGAGAAGTTAAGTAACTTTTCCAAGGTCACACAGCTAGCTTGTACCAGTTCCAGATTTGAATCCAAGTTTTTAAGCTTCTTGTTACATAATGAAAATGATAATTATAACATACATTTCTGACATTTGATTCTCCATTTTTACTAAGCTGATTGTTATCAATGAAAGAAGATTTCAAAATCTAATTCAGAATTCTATTAGTATCATTGCTAACCACAGGCTGATTCCTGTGATCATTCCTATGAATCAGCCATGCTCACATGCACCTCACTTACTAGTGTGAATCTTTTGTATCTAGTCAAGATACAAAATGTTATCTCTTCCCTTATTCATGTTGGGTTAACAGACTCCACAAAAGCTGCATCAGCTAGATGATCAGAAGTCACTCTGTATCTTCTTTGTTTTGGTGAATAAGGAATGTTTTCTCCTTTAAGGGAGTGGGGATGGGGACGATAACAACAGCTTTTAACAAATACACCATGGCTTCTGAGGCACTGCTCCTTCCTGTGCGTAGGATGGAGGCCTCTCTCCCATATCCATATGTCTCCGATCTGGTGTGTTCTATCTCCCAGTATTTGTGCAAAGGCAGCCACTGTCTATGGTTTGACCATCTTCCTCGTCAGATTCCCTCTTTGTTCTCTTTTGTAATTCCATCTTACTTTCTGCCCAGCCTCACACAATACTGATTCAATCACAGAAAATAGGTAGATTTTGCCACTGAACCAGACTAATGCCATGAAAGTGTGGGGAGACTTTGTTATTCATTCATTCATCTATCATTCATTCAACCAATAAGCATTGATAACTATTATGTCAGGCCCCAGGCATGTGGAATACAAAGAGAAATAAGACATGTTCTGACCTTCAGGAAGCTCACAATCCCCTATAATTGTGTCAGGAATTTTTCTCTGATCAACCTTGCACTAAAAATGCTCACTTTTCTGCAAACAAGGTGCCATCTTAGCCCTCAGAGAATGGAGCATGGTACTAACTCAACTTTGAGGGGTTTTTTTAAAGTAAAACCATCTAAGCAAGAATACTTCCATTTCCAAATGGATCCCTTATTTACACTATTAGATTTGGCCCCTGGCAGATTTTCTAGACTGCCAAAGCCCTCAGTGCCTTTTGTCTCAGGCCAAGGCCCATTAGGAATGCTGCCTGTATCTGCTGTTACACACTGGGAACTTCCTGGGACCACCAAGAGCCAAGTCTACAGTCTTGATATAAGTGGCAAAAAAAATAAATAAATAAAACATATCTGTGAAGATAAGCTTTATCAAAAAGTATTCTACAGAATACTAGTTCTTCTGAATGTTAAATGGCATTAAGAGAAGAAGTAAAAAGGGTTCCGTGGCCAAATAAGTTTGGAAAATGCTGGCTTTAAAAAGTGAATCTGTTTATTTATGGTAAGGATTTTCCAGAGGCGGCAATATGTGAAAATGCATTGTGATTTTGTGGGAGGGGAACATAACAAGCAGCATTATCTACTTTTAATTGATTGTGAAACCTCTTTTTTTTTGAGACGGAATCTCGCCTGTCACCCAGGCTGGAGTGCAATGGCGCGATGTTGGCTTACTGCAACCTCCACCTCCTGGGTTCAAGCGACTCTCTTGCCTCAGCCTCCCAAGTAGCTGGGATTACAGACATGCACCACCACGCTTAGCTAATTTTTTGTATCTTTAGTAAAGGCAAAGTTTCACCATGTTGGCCAGGCTGGTCTCGAACTCCTGACCTTGTGATCTGCCCGCCTCGGCCTCCCAAAGTGATGGGATTATAGGCATGAGCCACTGTGCCTGGCTGATTGTAAAACCATTTTTAAAGAGGTCATGTCTCTCACATAATACACTTCCACTTATAAAGGTATGCTTCTACTTTCTCACATAAAATATGAAAAAAAAACCCTGAGATCAATCACATATGGAAAAAATTGACTTTAACAGCACACCTCATTTTAATTGTTTGTGCTAAGTATATCCATCATATAAGTGTCTTTGGGGCACACATCCTTTAGTTGTGAAAATATGATTATATATACATAGGGTGTATGGAGAGAGGAAGAGAAGAGAATCCAAATTCCATAAGTACAAATACCTTTATACATGTAAGTATTCATGATGTGCATTATTGATGGTAGGTCATCTTAACATACTAAAGCTTTTCATTTTGGATAGGCAGCTCAATGAGGAGAAACTTATTAAAAAGAAAAGTCAAGGTGGAAATTTCCCTATAGGCATTTGGCACTTTGCACAGGCACCAAAAATGTGTGCAAATGTAAATGTACCTTCATAACTTCCCTAGATATGCATATTCTTTGAAAAAGAGACTGAATGGCAGTGTGCAGCTGTGACTTAAAGGAAACTTTAAAAAGGAAAACTATGAAAGGTAATTAGGAAATTGAGAGTTGTTGGGAGATGGTGAGGAATGGGATTAGGCTGTCATGGCAGATTAATGTGCCCCAGTATTTCACTTCTGGGACCTGGCCGAAAGCGACAAGATGGGTTTTCATTCCCAAGAAATGAGTATAAGAGATTATGCTAGAAATGAATAGAAGAAGTCTCCTAGGAGAATATACTACAAAGCTGCTTGGTACTGATATTTAATCATCAGGGGCAGCTGTAATAGAGAGAAGGATGAGTGGGGAACGCTGTCCCTAGAGAAAACAGGGGAGAGGTGTGAACAGAGCAATTTCAAAGCACTGTGGTATTGCTGCCCTCTCTACCTATTGATCATTCATTGTATGCACTCCAATACTTAAAAATTAAGAACAAAATATGAAAATGCGAAGGATCACTTGTCAGAAAGGCTAAGAGAATAAATCAAATTGTGCTCTAACGAAAGCCACACTTTTTATTGTAGAGGCATTTTGCATTTTATATAGTAATTTGTCCCTTGCTAAATGTCTCCTGTTTTTTTATAGCCTTATATATGAAAAAAAGGTAGCATATACTTTGCTGCATAATAATTGGTGCATTTAAATCCCATTTTCAAATCACTTCAAAGACTAGAATTCGACTGGGAGCACTTTAAGAGAAGGGATGTTTGCTATATCTCTTTATTTCTCCCACAATTCCTAGCACAGCATCTTGAATATAGAAAATACTCACTTACTGGGAAATAAAAAACAAGAAAAGAAGATAGGTTTCTTGCAAGGGATTTTCTCAACAATGGCACACTCACTGAATAAATCTCATTCTAATCAATAAAAAGGTAGTTCCTTGACCATGATGCTAAAAAGCCTCTTTCAGCATTCATCGTCAAGGGAAATCTTAACGGAGGTTGGGTAATGGTGGCATTAAGTGTCCTAAGTGCAAAAATGACTCCATAAGGTAGGTGCAGTGCCCCTGACATCCCATGAGCTGATAAACTGCGTACAAAGTTAATTGTCTTGAGAAAAACGCATCACACTACCTTGGAATAGGCAGATTTGATCATGTGATGTGAGGATGCAAAAAAACTCTCTGAAATCTAGTACTAGTGACTCAATACCTACCTCATATGTGTGAATGTTGTTCAGTCTTATACAAGCAACCTGAGATTTGGGGACCTCGGTTTTTGTTTTTTTTTGTAAAATTGAGGAAGTGTAAAACATAGCTAGTAAGGTTTACTTTGGTTTTATAATTTTTATGGCTTCATGTCTTTGAACTGTTGGATGTCAAAATATATTTTAGTTCAAGAGCTCACATATCTGGAAAGGCAGCCAATAAACTGGAAGCTCAACAACTCAAAATAGATGTCACAAAGTCATGGACCAGAGTGTGATACAGTGGTTAAAGAATGGCTTCTGAAAACAGACAGCCCTGGTCCAGGCTCCAGTCTACCACATGAATGGATTTGGGCAAGTTTACTTACCTTCCTGAGGCTCAGTTCCTCCTGTAAAATGGAGACAAGAATATCAACTCTAAAGAGTTGATGTTGGTAAGGGCTTAAGACACAGTAAACAATAAATAAACTGTAGTTCTTCTCATTGTCTCAGGAAGTGTTAGTTGCAAAGAACAGAAGTGGAGTACAACCAGCTTCACTAAAAGGAAGGCTGATTGAATGATACCAGGAACTCTGAAGTAGCCCAATTTTCACAAGCATGGCTGGGTCTCCTAGAAATAGGAACAAGGATGGAGAGAGCCAGGCATCAAGCCTGTCTTTTTTCTGTCTTTCTCTCAGGTTACACAGTCTCTCCGTTCTGCTTCTCTTTGAATATCAGCTCCATCCTTCTCTCCTCTTTGTAGACTGGTTTTCTTGTTTTTTTCATCCGCTTGGTATGTGGTCATCATAGCTTTTCCCAAATGGCAGCCTCAGCTCCCAAATCTGCATGAGCCTGCAGCTTGGATCCCTGCAGCTAACTGTCTTAATATCACGGTAATCCAACTCCAAATTCCTGTGAGATAAAATCCGATCGGTCCAGCTTTGATTAGGTGTGCACTGTTGGTCCCAACAGCTGAGGGATCAACTAGCAAGAAGAGCAGCCTCTGTCAGCGCCATACACCAGCTCTCTCTCTGGGGAGGGGCCATTGGTATCTGAGTATAAGTATTGGGCACTTCACTCTTGAAAGTACTGAAAAGGCTCTGACTCTTGTTTTACAGACACAATTCTAACACAGTTATCCCATCTTTCTGCATAAGTGGTAGAGTGGTAGGGGGCTGGAGAGAGCATGCTAGAGGGAGATACAGTGATGATGATACCATTGGCCTGGGGGAGAGAGGAATCCTAAAAAAGTAATGCAGTGCAGACACAAGAACTCCAAACAAGGAGCAATCGGACCCTACAATGAAAGCATACACAACGTACACAATGGGCTCCAGCTGTTTAGTGCAGCATCAAGACAATGTATAAAACAATGTTTCATTGCAGCTCTATTCACAATAGCAAAGACATGGAATCCTAAATGCCCATCAATGACATTTGATTGAATTTTAAAAAATGTGGTATATATACACCCTGGAACACTATGGAACACTATGCACCCATAAAAAAGAATGAGGTCATGTCTTTTGCAGGAACATGGACAGAACTGAAGGCTATTATCCTTAGCAAACTAATGCAGGAACAGAAAACCAAACGCTACATGTTCTCAATTACAAGTGGGAGCTAAATGATGAGAACTTATGAACACAAAGAAGAAAACAATAGATACTGGGGTCTGTTTGAGGCAGGAGGGAGAAGAGCAGAAAAGGTAACTATCAGGTACTGGGCTTAATACCTGGGTAATGAAATAATATATATTTAACAAACCCCCGTTACACATGGTTACCTATGTAACAAACCTTCACATGTACCCCCAAACCTAAAATAAAAGTTAAAAACAAACAAGCAATGTTTTATAATAATTTATAAGAGGTTGCATCTGTTAAAGAAATCAGGAAACTTTGTTAAAGTGCTGTAGTTAAAGATATCTCATCCACTCATGCAGTTATCCTTTGTTCATTCACCAAACATTTATTGTTTATTATGCTCCCCCAAGTACTGTCCATGCACTGTTGTACATGCCAAATAAGAAGGGAAGACACATCTGCAAGTCAGCAATTAAAATGGCATGAAGTGCACACTTTGGAAAAGGCACAACCAGGGCATAGGAAATTGACCATGGGGGTACATTAGGGTGGATAGAAACACGAAGGTGATGCTTTCAGAGGAGTTTTGGGGAAAGAAGGAGAGAAGGGCATGCCAGGCAGGGGAAACAGCATATTGGGCAGCAGAGAGATGTGACTGAGCAGGACCCCACCAGTGCTTCTTGGAGTCCCTGTGTCTGGAACATAGATGCATGAGTAGGGTGAGCTGCGGCGAGTGGGCACTGGGCCAGGGAAATGGGCAGGAGTCCGAATGAAAAGGGCCCGAAGGGGCTAAGCTAAGGAACTGGAACACTATTCTAAAAGCCACAGGAGATGTGGATGGCTTTTAAGCAGGGGAGTGACCTGGTCAGCTTTGTGAATTAGAAAGATTATTCTGGAGTGCCAAGCAGCCTCGGGAGGAGAGTCGTGCTGTTCGTTGTAGCAAACCAGGAGTCATGCCAAGAAGCAGTCCTTGCTGTAAGCATGCAGAGGAGGCACTGGCTTTGAGGGGAGCTGCAGGGTAGGCTGGGTGACTGGCGCATTTTTGGTGGGGCCATTCCTTGGGGTAGAGAATACAAGAAAGAGGCATGGAGGGAAAGACTGAGGTTGAGGGGACTGTAGGACTTTGAAGAGGAGGTCTTCCTCAAGCAATGGAATAAGTGCCTGGAGATAAGCTGGGAATTATGGTTCAAAGAAATGTATTCAGGGCTCATCAGCAGATGGCTGGTGGCCCTGCCTGAAGGATCGTGAAGAGTGAGAGAGGAAGAGGGAGGGCATCATCAGTGAAGGCTGGGGCAGAGGGACAGAGGCCTGAAACCAACGGAGATTCAAGGTTGTACAGGTGGATGAAAACCCTTTGTCTGTGAGATAAAGGAAGAGAGAGTTTCAGGAAGGAGGGAGCGACAAAGTATATCTCATGGCAAGAGGTATTATGAAAGAAGGACAACGAAAAGGTCCGACAGCTTTGAGAAAAGGGGGCCACGGGTGTCATTCCTGAGGTGGTTTCTCCAATGATTGGAACCGGAAGCCATGTGGGAGGACAGGGGTTGGGAGAAGGGAAGGAAGTGAACCCAGACAGCTTTCCATGAAGCTTGACTGGGAAGGAAAGAAGGAAATAGAACTGAAGCTGGAGAGTGAAGTGGGGATTAGGGTAGGCTTTTTTCAAGATGCGGGGGAGCTGTTTCTATTAATAGGATGCAGACAGCCAGCAGAAAGGGACAGCAGATACAGGAGGGAGAGGAAGATTGATGGCACAAAGTCCCAGAGGAGAAGCAAGGAAGGGTCCAAGGCAGAGGTGGAGGGATTAGCCTCGGACGAGGGAAGGACAGCCCTCTTACCGAGATAGGAGGGAAGGAGGGAAGGATGGGGATGGACAGATAAGTTTGTAGGTGGCAGGGGAGGAAATTGAGAGAATTCTCGATTGATGGCCTCAATTTTCTCCGTGAAGTAGGAGGCAAGGTGATCTGCTGAGTGGTGCGGGGGAGGCGGGGGAGCAGGAGGTGGTTTTGGAAGACACAAGTTTGGTATATGAAACTGCTAAGAGCAATGGGGAATGGGGCTGGCTAGGGACACAGAAAGACTGGCAGCGAGTTCTAGCGTCCAGCCAAGTGGGAGGAATATATATTTGGTATGTCTCTAACTCTCACAACTGTGACATTTTCTCCTAAAGCTTTTATAAGTCTAGGCAGAGTAGCAAGAGACTGAATTGTTAGACTGAACCAGGACTGAGTTTCTGCAGAGTGGATGTCACAGAGACTTGGTCAGGAAATGATAGGATATTGAGAAGAGAGCACTGAAGTGATGGGCTATAGGATACAGATTGGACAGAGGGCACAAAATTGAAATTCATCTGCTAGATCAGGAGTAAATACAAGAGTCCAAGACTCCTGAAGTCTTAGTGGGTAGATGTTTGGAGGAAAAAAGAGAATGATGAGCTGAAAAGAACCTGTTGACAAAGAGCAGACTGTGAAAGTTTCAGATAATAGAGGCTGACTTGTTCTAGAGGCTGTGAAATCAGTCATCTGAAGTTAATCTTACCTCTTCGTTGAGGCCTTCTCTACTTTCCCTACCCCAAAACTTTTCTCTCCAGCCTCTGAAAGCCTCTGTCTTTTGTTTGCAGGCAGACAGTGAAAGAAACATTAACGGCAGACTCTCAATATACAAGTCAGGAGACCTGGGTTTTGGTCTTATTTCTAGCACCCATAAGTTCTGTGGCCTTGGCCACAGTATGAGCCACAAAGCAACAGCTATCTTGACCAGGAAAACCTGCTTAGGGACAGATTATTCTATCTATACACATCATGTGTGTGGCAAATAGTTGCCCAGACATCCCTGTATTTCTGTAATTCCTTTGTTTCTTCCACCTTTCTATGGGAGTAGGGAATGGGAGGAGCAAAAACTATATTCCTTGAACGTGGCTTTATTTTACTATAGTTTATATAATACCCAACATCAAAAGAATCCTGGAAGAGACTCTGTTGGAGAAGGAAAACTATATTTTGCTTCATCAAATTTCCTAAGACTGCTTTTATTTTAACAGTCTCACACCAGAGTTTGAGAGTAGCAAGTCCAAGAAGCTTATAACGCCATAAAGGCAAATATTCTGGGAGGAAAAAAGTAGACCCTTTAAAATCCAAGCTTTGTTATCTGAGTAAGGTCAACAGAGACCGACCAAATCAACAAGCATGACATGAAGGGCAAATCTGCAATTAAAAGAAGAATAGGGAATTATAAAGATGGATGGGCCCCATGACATGCACGCCCAAGCCTGCATGGCCTTGGCCTCGGATGCCAGAAATTAATGCTTTACTCTTTAGCATTCGTCACCTTTGGCTCTGAACAGAAAGGCAAATGCATTAAAATAACAACAGTTTAGAACACTTACTTAGCTTGGAAGGCATTGTTGGTTCCCCTGTGGTCGAGGTCATGACACAGGCATCCCACAATCACCGCTAAAATTTCCACCTCGGTCAGAATGTCTTGAAACCCAGCAGTCTGGGAAGAAGGGGAAAATGGCAACAGTCACTACTGGGGTACGGAGGATGGATAAGGTTAGGTGCTGAGCAACAGTCAACTCTGTTTTCATACCCACATCATTTAAGGAGATGATTAACTGCCACTCCCTCAGACAACAGTAAGTTGGGTGGTCAGTTGCACAGCCTAAGGTCCCCACAGTGATGAATTAGCTTGCTGTCACAGCAGCCCACGCTGCCACACTGGGACATAGTTCAGACTATTTTGTTCCCTTTTTAGAGAGAAGGTTGGACTATCCAGAGACAGTGACAGTTTAGCAAAGGCCCAGGGCAAAATGTGTTTTGTTATTATACATTTTAATGATGAGCATAGGGTTTGGAGGTTGGAGGTTGGGGAATAGGAAGGGGCAGTGAATTGCAAAGTGAACACTACACCTGCCAGATCCCACCCAAATGAGAGCAGGCAGAAGGAGAACACAACCCTTCTTTTTTTTTTTTTTTTTAACATTAAAAGGAGACACTTTAACATACTCAAATTGTTATACAATGACATCCTAGAGGTTATCTTGTAAATACCCTAATTCATATTAGGTTGGTAGACAGATGAAATTCATACAGATAATAAGGCAGTGCATGTCATGGACACCAGAATTTGTCAGAGGATTGTCAACCCAGACTGAGGATTGAGTGGGGTATCCATTACTGGGAATTCTTTTTTCTTATCTTGTGGTAGCTTGCTGGTGAAATGCACAGCTGTGATGTGATTTCTTTTAGAAGCAGGTTGACATAATTATGTAATCAACAGCAGCAATGCTTCTTGGGTTGCTGCTGGCCCTTTCATTAGTTTAGAAGAGGAAGTGGACCTCTGGGAATGCAGGTCTATGCATTTTCTTGATCGAAGGCCTTTATATCTCCCCCTCTTTTACTTTGTAAGTCTCCCATTTCATTACTTATTAAAATCTTTATCAGAGAGTGGGAGGAGGGGGAGGATTAGGGTACAAATTGCTTCACTTTTCATGTGTTTTTTTCCACCAAATCTAGGATCACTGGCCCACACCTGTAAGACACTTCTCTTAGTAAAATGAAAATTTTGTTTTTAAATTGGTTATGTTTGTGTTGCAGAAATAACTGAATAACAGGTTTCTGTGTTGACAATTTTATTTTTTTTTTAGGAGACAGTCTTGTTCTATCACCCAGGCTGGAGTGCAATGGCACCATCTCGGCTTACTGCAACCTCTGCCTCCTGGGTTCAAGTGATTCTCCTGCCTCAGCTTCCCCAGTAGCTGGGATTACAGGCACCCACCACCACGCCCAGCTAATTTTTGCATTTTTAGTAGAGATGGGGTTTCACCATATTAGTGAGGCTGGGCTCGAACTCCTGACATCAGGTGATCCACCCATCTCGGCCTCTCAAAATGCTGGGATTATAGGTGTGAGCCTCCACGCCTGGCTGACAATTTTATTTTAATAAATAGACTTGGGTCCACTGCTACATTTAGAAATACATATAACTTCATTTGTATAGCAAATGGGAATGTTAATAAATTGGGAGTATGAAATAGTCCATGTCAAAGCTTGCATATGCCGGCCAGGCACGGTGGCTCAAAATTGTAATCCCAGCACTTTGGGAGGCCGAGGTGGGTAGATCAACTGAGGTCAGGAATTCGAGACCAGCCTGATGAACATGGCAAAACCCCATCTTTACTGAAAATACAAAAATTAGCCTCGCTTGGTGGCACGCGCCTGTAATCCCAGCTATTCGTGAGGCTGAGGCAGGAGAATCGCTTGAACCGGGAGACAGAGGTTGCAGTGAGCCTGTATGGCACCACTGCACTCCAGTCTGAGCGACAGAGCAAGACTCCATCTCAAACAAACAAACAAACAAACAAAAAAGCTTGTATATGCCCTTCATTTTAAAATCTGCAGTTGGCTGTTAGTTTTTCTAAGTTAATTTTATTTTACTTAAATTATTACCTGCAGTAACTAAAAAAATTCAAATTATACTGAGACTTAGAACTAAAAATCAGTAGTCCCTCATTATTCTCCTTTCTTGATTCCTGAAGGCAACTACTTTCTATTTTCTTTTTCACCTAAATTCGTAGTTTTCCCACCATATTTCTTTTCTTTTTTCTTTTTTTTTTTTTTTTTTTTTTTTGAGACGGAGTCTCTCTCTGTCGCCCAGGCTGGAGTGCAGTGGCGCGATCTTGGCTAACTGCAAGCTCCGCTTCCCAGGTTCATGCCATTCTCCTGCCTCAGCCTCCTGAGTAGCTGGGACTACAGGTGCCCGCCACCACGCCCAGCTAATTTTTTGTATTTTTAGTAGAGATGGGGTTTCACTGTGTTAGCCAGGATGGTCTCGATCTACTGACCTTGTGATCCACCTGCCTCAGCCTCCCAAAGTGCTGGGATTACAGGCGTGAGCCACTACGCCCAGCCCCCCACTATATTTCTATATAGCATGCACATATTATTAGCACTTGGTTATTCACCAAGTACTCATATTGTCCTTTCTATGTACCATACATTGTTCTAAGAGCTTTACAGCCATTTAACTTATGGAGTTCTCATAACAGTCCTGTTAGGTAGAAACTATTACTGTCCCCAGTTATAGATGAGAAAACTGAGTCACAGAGAGGCTAAGTCATATGCCCAGGGTCTCCCAGCTAGTGCATAGCAGAAGGGAGCAAGCTCCTAGCATCCTTTCACCAGAATCTGCCCTTGAACACTGGCGACGTCTAGCAGCGGGTGAGTTTATGGTCACCCTCCCCTCACACTCCCAATGTGATCCACAGAGCTTTCCTATATTACCATCCTATAAATATCATTCACCGCTGAGCCAACCAGTATACAATGATTGTTTCCTTAATAATGTACATTTTCTTGTTTCCTGGAGTTAGGATTTCTGTGAAACATCTAAGTCTTCTCACACCCTACACAATTCTGCAAAATGCTTCTCAAAGCAATTTTGAAGTGGGTCAGAACGGTCACAGCTTGTTTCTAGATCCTTCCTGTCCTGGGGACTCCTTCCTGCAGCCTGACCCTGGGGTCTGGTCTGGATTCTCTCCTCTGCTGCCAGCAGCCCTCGGAGCTTCCTCCACCGTCATTCAGGGGGTTCCTCCTTCCCCTCCTGTGTCTGGTTCCCCACCTCCTGCAGCCCATGCCTTTCTTTTTCCTCATTTACTCCCTCATTTTACAGGAGCACATCTGCAGGGGCTTCATGAGAAAAGGTCTTACTGTTTTTAAACACTGGAGGAGTTGGTTGTTTTCGAGGATTTGCATGACTGAAAAAACATCTTTATTCTATTCTCGTACTCAGTGTGCCTCACAATTCTAGGCTGAAACATTTTCACTCAGAATTTTGAAGGCCTGCTCTATTGTGTTCTAGCTTCCAAAGTTGCTTTCGAGAAGAACATACCATTCTCAATCCTAATACTTTGAATGTTATTTGATTTTCTTTCTTTTAGAATTTCCTCTTTATTTCTGGTGTTCAGCAATTTCACAGAGATATGCTTTGGGTTGGAACTTTTTTCCCCGTTCAATTTGTGTGTTAAGCCTAATCTGGAGAATCAATTTCTTCAGCACAATGAAGAAATTTACTAATCTTTTTTTCTTTTCTTTTTTTTTTAAAATAATTTTCTCTTCAGGAGTTTTTTTCTGCCCTATTTGAATGAAACTCCAATTAGTTGGATACTGGACTTCTGGTACTGATTTTCTTATCTCCTCTTTTCTGTTTCCTATATAGGTCTTTCCTCTTACTTTCCAGGCATAATAATATGTTTAGTTTATAAAAATTTTCTTGTTTGCTGCTCCTTGTCTTATAATAGCATGCTATTCTTCTCCCATGGATGCATGATCTTTTCTTGTCTTTCTGAAGATATTGATTATAATTCTTCTGAAAATTTCTTCTGTTCCCCGTATTGCCTTTTTTCTCTGAACTCCTTCTTTTCTCTGTGTTTGGTGGTTTCTCTCAAGTGTCTGTCTGGTAACCTTTGGTGGTCTTTTCATTCTTAAGAGTAAAGCATCACAAAACTCACTGTGCACCAGTGTATGTGGGTGGTGCCTGGAGATTGCTGTGTCTTATCACGGGGTGACTGTGTGGCCAGCTGGTCTTTTGCTGGAGATGCCCAAATGTCAACATCTAAACTCATTTTCTCTGGACTTTCCAATCTGTTGCCTGGGAATGGTGTAAACACGTGTGTTGGCATCCTGAGAAAAGAGAACTGTAGCTGTCCACCTGTGAGGATGTAGGCTTTCACTTAATCCTCTTATTTTGAGTGTGCACCTCATCCTAACTTTGCTTTAGGTTGTGTACCCAACTCTGGGATTCAGTTTTTCTGGCAAATACTCTGGTTATGGCAGAGGCAGGGGGAAAAGTAGCCCTCCAGCTACAGAGAGGGGATGGAGACTTAGGCACTCATTGTTTCCATCACTCCCTCATTCCACATCACCTAATTTTCATGGTATCTGAGGCCTCCAGTTCCTGAGTCTCGTTAGGTGCTGGGGGTAGCATTATTTCTTATGGGTACCCCTTCCTCCACACCCTCACCTCTGAAGACACTTGGGTTTCTCTTCTCTGCTAAGTTATGAACTATCCTCCCTTCACTTTCTGCCTTCATGTGTTATGAGTCCATGCAAGGCAGGATTTGTGTACATTTCTTTCTCTCCGTATTATTTGAGGATGATTTTTGAGAAGGGGAGGGGGGATAAATGTATTTTGTTGTCATCTCTATCATCTTAAAACTCAAAATGTTGAGTTTGGTCTTGCTAATACTAGGTAAAACTTGAAAAGTCTATCAAGTATGAAATAATTACCTATGATACTCCAGAAATAAGTGTTGTGCAATGATATTGTGCTAAAATTTAGAGAGACTTTGCCCATGGAAAAGCTATTGACTAGAATTAGCTGATGAATCAGAGCAGTAAGTTAGAGATAATGTTAAAATAAGGTAATTTGACTAGAAATTTAATCAGTAGTTAAAATCAAATGCCATCTAATAGATTTGAGATCAAAATCCCCAGCCATTTTTAAGCCATCAGTTATCACCCATTTTATAATAAGATGGAACATATTTTGCTAAAATGTTCCACACAGTCCCTGTCCCCTGCTCTGCCCAGAAATCTAGCATCTTGGTCTTAAACTACTGGTATCATGGATACTTTTAAGAACATAACAGAGCCCTAGACTCTCTTCCTAGAACATTTTCTATAATTTTATAATATCAAAGACTATGGAGCCTATCTCTAGATCCTCGGAGTAGAGAATCCCTGAAGTACAGCACCCACACACAGTCACACAAAACATATTTACCTCTCCCGACGGTGATACCTGAGTTACTGAAGCAGCACCTATCTCTTGACTGTGATTTAAAGCTGCCTGGTAAATGGTTTCTGGGAGTCATCAGGCCTGAAAAATGCCCACCTGCCACTAAGTGTCCTTTTGCCCCTCCCCCGCCCTCATCCATCTTCCTCCCAGGGCTATCCATTCAGGCCTGCACGTACTGATATTGAGTAGAAAAAGTCAACTGCCTGCTGAAGACAATATACTTTCAAAAGAAAACAGAGAGGCGGCAGGAAGTATATTTTAATGCATTTACCCCATTCTTGACTCTGGTTTATTCTTTTATTTTCAAATAAAATTATATTTTTCTGCTCCTGACCCAATCATTATGGGTTTTATTGAGCTTTAATGTTAATATATCTTCTCACCTGTATTCCCTCACAGTTCGTATCAGAAATAATAAGCAGTAAATACAATATATCTAAGTAAAGAGTCAGCCAGGGCATATAAACCTATTTCCCATGTCACCCCCTCCAGCAAAGCCTTTCACCTGTCCTCTGAGCAGGCCTCCAATGATATTCCTTCATTGGGCTGAAATGTATACTGGGATAAGCCTACCCCCAGCCACTACGGCATATAATAACTAGAACTCCAAAAGACCCAAGCCAGTAAGATTGATTCTCAGGGTCTCCTGGACTACCCAGTAATTTCTATCATTAGCCAATGTAAAATTTAAATCAGCCAGGATGTACTCTCATTTTAATGTTGATCCTGTATGATACCAGTGAATGGGGGAATATCATAGCCAGAGAAAAATGACTGTTACTTTGTGACTCTGTTGAATCCAAACAGGTGTAAAAACACCCATAATATCAACACTAGATGGTGCTATAGACAATTTACTAATTTAAGAAGTGTCATTAAGTGCCTATTATATATTGAGCACTGGGTAGATTTGAGAAGAGGCCTGGGATAATGTCAACAACAGTTAACTTTTATAGTGCTTAGTATATGCCGGGCATTTTCCTAAATACTTCACATTCATTAGCTCATTTAATCCTTACAAGAACTCTCTGAGACAGGTAACTGTTCTTATCTTCCCATTTTGTAGATGAAAACATTGAGGCACCAGGTTACAAGACTACAAAGTAAGAGAGGTGGGATAAAAGCCCAGGTAGCCTGGCTCCCCAGTCTGTGTTCTTACTTACTGTGCTACACAGCCCCTAAGTTGAGGTGTGGGTTCAGTTGCACAGCTTTTAAATCCTATTGTGATGATACAGTGTTAGATAATAGGGCTGTAAAGAATCCCTTGGTGTGTGCTTTATTTCACGAAGGACGTTATTCTTGAGTAGGAAGAGATTGATACTGCAGAGCCATTGGATATTTTTAGTTTAAATATGGCTCTGTCACATCAATATGTGCTTGATAATATACAGTGCTTTATAAGTGAGGTTTGGAGAGAAAAGAAAGATACAATAGTTTGTAATATCTCAACTTTATAAAATGTTTAAATATATGTATAGGAAAAAGACTGTTAAGATGTATATCAAGATATTATCAGTAGTGGAATTACAGTTGGCTTAAATTTTTTCCTTTGTGTCTAAAATTTCCATAAAGAACATTTGTTTATAAGAACATCTATATTTATACACGTGTATGTATATTTGTACATTCTTTTTTGTTTCAAGAATTAGCCCACACTTCATCAAACTGTCCCAGCTTGAAATGAAATAGTGATATTCTAAAAAGTGTCCATTCATTCATTGAACAAATATTTATTATTTACTGATTTCCTGGCACTAGGAACAGGGCAGTGAAGAAGACAGCCGCCCCTTGCTGCACATAGAATCTGGTTACCCTTCGAGCCAGCAGAGCAGTGCCACAGAGCACTGTTTTCTAAAGAGAAGCTGTCATAACATTGGTTGTGCTTTGTGGAAGACAGAACTGGTAGGAATGTCCAGCTCCTCCTGCTTGGTTTCTGGAGGAGGTGCACCATGGACTGCACACCCTTGCCATGTGTGCAGTCCTGGCTCAGCAATCTGAGAAAATGATGCCAGAAATTCTGCTCTCACCTTTCTTTTTGAACCCAACTATCGGAAGTATTGAATGATAAGGGATTTCCTGATGAGTTCATCCTGTTGATTCTGAGATGTAGCAGATGGCAAACTAAGACAGAGGGAATCTAATGATGTACTAGAAATTCCTAATGGTTGCAGACACCCTAAAGCTGAAGACAGTAGGCTCCATATGCTCCACCATGGATTCTGATGTCCAGGCACTGCAGCAGAGCCCTAGGTGGATTGGCTAAGGTTGAGGGACAATATGATAGATTTTGGAGAGTCTTTCTTCCTCTTCTTCATCTTTCTCACTCTTTTGGAAAAGAAGAGGAAAAAGTACGGCTCAGACAATTCCAAGGGGTTGGAGAGACATGGTTTCTCAAGGAGGTGCCTCCTCTAGAAGAGTCTGCACACCATATTCCTAATCTGTGTCATCGTGCCTTTGCTGATCTATAGATGGCTTGAATTTGAAGGCCTTATGAGCTTGGAACAGAAAGGCAGTATTTACAGAAGAAGCATTTAATTTCTGGTATTTTAAAATTTCTGGTACGTAGAGTGTTGCAGGGTCACTCTCTGGGGTCTTTGTTTGGTACATTATTAAAATCACATTTATTTCAGCCAAAAAAGTGCTCTTTGAAGGTTTCATTGTAAATGCCACAAACAAGATGCTCATATCATCTTAACAACAAAAAAAAAGGCCCAATTTGCAATGCTGATGGCTGGTCCAGCTCTGCTGGGTCATACTTAACATGAAGAGTCTGCTTGTGAAACTTACATCTCCTAATGGAAGCTGATGGTTCTATAAGAAGGGTGCCTTCAATCACCCCCAAGTTCAGCACATATCCCACTCATGGGTGGATCACGGTGGTCAGAGAATTGTTAGGGCAATGTTAGGGCTCCATGTGCATGGACAGCAACCCCAGTATGCTTCTTTTTGAGACCCTATTTTATTTGCTTTGTGATGGAATGGCAACCACTCAACATATAGATCCTAGGGGCAGCCTAATGGGTATCAAACTGTTTTATATGCTCCAAGGCAATAATATTGAGCAGAGGACTATCTCAAGCTTTGGAGTGGAAGCAGATTTCAATTGCTTACTAGGAGTGCTTATGAGTATTTATACTACTGGATGTCGCAGCATACCTTCTTTTTAAAAAAGGATCTTACCTTTGTCAATCAGAGACAGTGTGTGATGAAAGCATAAGGGGAAGAACAGGTATGCAACCACAAACTTCAATGGAGGGGAAAAAATCCCTACTGAGCAAACTATAGCATCTAGATTTAGTGGTCATACTCCCTCGGCATTTACAGTAAAGTTTGTCTACCAATAAATGGGTCTGCTGAAGAGAAAAGGGGGCACCTTAGCCCCATTTTGAGGTCCAGAGACCAGAACCTTTCCAGCTGATAGGGAATCACCATCTAGGACCAACAAACTCACATGTCTCCTTTACCAGAGTATGCAATGTAACAAGCCAATTGCAGGTTGTCTAATTATTCATGGGAACGGGATAGTTTTGATTGAATTTGCTTATCTTTCTTTTCAAGATGAATGCAACCAAATATTGATTTGGCATTAATTAACTATTGATTTAGGCCTAACTGGTCCTTTCCTTACCAAGCTCAGAGTTGGAAAAACCTTACAGTCTATATATAAATGACTTTCTTTCCCAACCAGAAGCTTCTGAAGGCACTTACTATCAAATCATAAAACCTTAGTCATGTTTTGGGAATATGTTGACCCTTTAGCCTCAACTACGGTTGCAAGTGCTTGTGTATGTAAGTCTCAGAAAGGCAACACAGTCCAGTACAATTACATATGTTGCGTAGATGTTTGATGCATACATTTAAAAATTGGATTAATTTTATATATAACTTTATTATTATATTCTATTACATTTATAACCACTTCTAAGGCTTAATTTTTAACCTGTTTATTAGCATAAATTTCAAATTCTTTATTTTGGAGAGTTAAAAACATACAAAAAATAGAATACCATTAATATAATGAACCCAGTGCAGTCATTGCCTAACTTCAGCAGGAATCCAGGTTTTGCGGCTTGTTTCATCTGTCTCTTCACATGCAGTGTGTGTTTGTTTTGTTTTGTTTGCTAGCGTATTTCAAAGCAAACCTCTGGTATCTGTCAACACTATTTCATTCTCAAGAAGTCCTAATGTGGTCAAATAAAATTTGCTCAATATATTTCTGCTGTCTTATTTTGATAAAATGTACAAAAAGATATACAAATAATATAAGGAAATTTTCAACTAAATAATAAGACTTGAGAAAGTGGAGGTTTCTACATCAAAAGATAATAAATAAACATAGCTGTATGTATATAGCACATATAATGCATTTTAAAAGGAACCAAAAGAAAAATATCAGATTCTTAAGGACTTAGCTTTCAACCCTAACAATATTTGTGCTTTATGATTTTTTTTGAGGACAAGGACGGTATGTTTTGTCCATGTTTAGAAATATAATTTATATTTTATTTCTGATAAATTACCAGTGAACTGCATATAATATAACATATGGTTTATGACCACAGAAAATGAAGCAGATCACTTGCTGCACATTAATTGTGTAGAAAGACAGATCTCTCAAAGTGCCACAGAGCCCAGGTTGGTGAATTTCAAGAATTTGAGGCTTCTTCAAAGCTCAAATTTTTATTAGCCATAATTCAGCCGAAACTAAACTTGAGACCCATGAAAATTTAAAACTTTTTATAGCTCCCAACTTAACACCCTTAGGTGCCAGGTTTCAGTCCCAAGAAAGTGCCACTAGGAAATCATACACCGTGGAAAATGGAGGCTGTGATAAATGACCATGGCTCTGCTGCTGGGTCTCCCTGACCTGGAGGATTTGGCTGGCGTCATAAAACACAAAGCGACAGATTAAGCAGTTTACCAACATCATAAAAATCTCAAGAATAAATTCACTTTAATCAAAAATCCTATATTGTAACTAGGCAGCCCCAGCCTCGAAACCACATACATTTACGTATAAGCCTATGTCCGTGAGCAAGAGGTTATACTTTCCCTGTAACGTCGGACATGATTATGTTCATACACTTTTACAATTTACATGTCCTAAGAAAAATACCCAGCTCTGGCTGATGGTGCGGGAGAATTTATTTTCACTAGAAAGGGAATGACCCATAACTCATGAATGGCAGCGCTTAAAGTGAGTTATGGAGGTTACTCTCCTGTGAGAGGAAATGGATTGGATTATCCTTCTGCCCAATTGTATGTTTGGTTATTAGCACACCAGGTTCTTAATTATGTGCAGCTTTGCCTTTTTTCTTTTATAAAATAAATGTGGATAAAGGCAATGTCAGCTGGAAGCATGGAGTGCCTAATTGGGGCTCTGAGATGCAGTCAGAGAGAAGAAAAATAGAAACCTTTTTTAAATGATTAAAAGACAGGAGTCTTAAATGTAATTTAAACACAGTATTCAAATTGATTAGCCCCATAGTTAATTTATTGTGTCTGGTGCTGATGTTCTGCAAAAACATTTAAAAATTACTCCTTTTCTAAATTAAAAATTTGCCATCTTGTAGGTTACATTTGCATGAAGATTAAAGAGTTGGTTATTCTATCATGTAGATTTTATTATAGTATTACAATAATGCTGCCATTTATTTTAAAGTAAATATAACAAGTTACTACTTTTTTGATAAGGAAATACAATGTAAAAATGATGTTTGATGATTACAAATATGATTACTGTTTATTAATTTATTTCAGTCAGTTACAGAACAAAACATCTAGATCTCTCTGTAACTTCCAGTGTTACAGTCTACAAAGGAATTTGATTTCTGTTGAGATTAGGATTCTGATTATTGAGTAAAAATATTTTATTTAAAATTTCAATTGGTTCTGTATTTCTTGGACAGGGAGGGAGGAGTTTCAGCTGTGCTTCTAAGATCTTCCAGAATGAATTTTCTACCTCAAAAATCAAGGACTTTTCTGGAAACTGCAGTCAGAGGACAGAACATCAGCCTCAAGCTGGTAAATAGGATGGATTTTCTCCCTAAACATCCCTTCTGCTTTCTAGTTTGAATTATCAATAAAATGGTTTGGCTTATCTCTGAAAATAACCTTGTTGACAACACAAATATGGATTTAAACACGCTACCTCCACATTAAGATTTAAGAAGCCCCCAGTAAATGTCAGGGGGTGTCAATGTGTTTGCTGTGATACTTGGTTATTATTAGTGTTTAACTGCAATTCCCCACCAGCGCCACGCTGCCTGCACCACCATAAATTTTAATGTGATCATGTGCTCTTCTCTTTTCATATCCAGTGAATTCTGCAAGATCATAATATTCTATATGAACCCTAGCTGAACCTTAGTGTGATATGAAGAAAGAACAAGATTTCAAGCAATAATAGTTGTTCACCATTTTATAGCTTTTTTTAACTGGACACTGAGCAACATGGTTCCTTGAATAATATTACCCTAAACTAAATTCACTCATTCAATTAATCTTTATTGATACCCTACAGGATGCAGGGCATGGCTCAAAGTGCTAATGAGTACATTTATGGGATAGTAAAGAATACTGACTCTTAAAGAAATCTTTTTTTTTCCCCTTGGAAAATCTGTCAGAGCTCATACATCATTTATAAAACCGAAAAAAATGTCTCTGCAACCTTGGCACCACTACATGCCTTTTATTTTACAGAATACAAACAAAAGCAGAGTCATTTCCGATATCTAGTCTACATCGTGAATATAAGAAATATGTCCCTCATCTTTTATCATGTATTTATAGTTATAATTTATTTATTATGTATGTGCATGATGGAATATTTGTTCTATAAACTTCTATTAGTAAAGAAAATTTATATGATGATCATTCATCTGCAGGTTTTCTTCCTCATTTTAACCACAAATAATAACTGTCACTACCTACTGTATTTGTCAGAGGAATTCAAAGTATTTGGGAAATTTTAACTATCTAAATATCTTTTTAAAAACAAAGAATAACATTGAAGCTTTCAAATTTATAAATGTGAAATTTCAGACCAGAGGCATGGAACAAATTAATAAGTCATTAACAGGGTTCCCAGTGAATAAAATGTTCATCATTTTATATCAATTTGCCTGTCCTACACAGTAGTTCTTTTTTTTTTTAATTTCTAAAGGAACAAAACCGCTTTGTTACCTACACATGAACCTGAATACTTTTGCAAAACACAATGCTGAGTCAATAAGTTTATTTTCCACCCGTGAAGTGATTTTAGGGTTAAAGGTTAGGAAGCTGGGGCATATATTTATAATTTGCTTGTCCTGTTGTACGTGGTGCCAAAATTTGTTCAGCAGTGACACACAACTATGCATTTCCCCATTCCCAGAGACAATAGGCTTGGAAAAATACACAATCACAGATTTAAGGTCACACGGAGAACACTATTATTCACTTTAACAGCACGGTATGCAAGGTGGCAGTCATAAAACAGGCCCATCCTGATGGGAGATGCTCTTTTCCGACAGACTGGTTTTGTTGCTATCTCTTTTAGGAAAAACATTTATTTTGTGGTGGGGTGTGTACCTCAGTATTCCCTGTGCTAGAAGAAAAGAAGCACTTTCAAGGAAGGTGGGTAAGGTTTTTTCCCCCTTTTCTGGAAACCAGCTGAGAAACTTTGCCTTGGAGCGCCATCTAGAGGAAGCCTCAGCACACACACGCTGTGCTTTCTTAGCCTTATGACATGACCCAGGTTGAATCCAATGGTTGGTACATGGTGAGTTTCTTTTCTTTTCTTTCTTTTTTCCCCCCAGATTAATAGAGAATTTTGGTTCTAACACAACCCACAGACAGGAAATATGAGATCACTGGAATGGAATTTTAATCACTGATAAGATCAAAACATTGAAAGGCTTTTAGAATCTTCAGGAGTGCCAAAAGCATGAGTGCCCATTGGTGGTAAGAAATAGGGCATCATTTTACCATAGGCCGAGTCACATTCCAGAGATGAGAATTGATGAGCGAGTTAAATTTATTTTTAGCTACACTGATTGAGTCGTCTTTGTTACTTCTGTAATTATTTTCTTAATTAAAAAATTCTGATTAACCAGATTGACCAGAGTCAAGCTTGGAGAAGATACTTACGTTAGAGAGAAACAAATGTTGACACTTTTAACTGACTGTAACCCTTAGTTAAGTTCAACAAAATTTAATGAGCAGAAAATACTATCTTTTCCAGATGTGGCTACTCAATACAATGTGAAGGAGAACAAAATAACGTTGTATTCTTTCTGAAGTCATGTTTTTGTTTTGTGATCTCCTCCACCCACCCTCCTTAGAGAAATTTGACAATGAAGTCTCCTCTTTCTGTGTTAGCATGAATGCAAAAAAACAAAACCTAAGCCTTCTCCAACAATGCTGCTCTTCAAGATTGCTGAGCATACTTGCAAAAACAACTGTACCCTGGAAATATTCTGACGATATGAGCATCCCCATTGTGG
The DNA here is from genome assembly GCF_000001405.40 of Homo sapiens. Taxonomy (NCBI): domain Eukaryota; kingdom Metazoa; phylum Chordata; class Mammalia; order Primates; family Hominidae; genus Homo; species Homo sapiens. The sequence goes on from NC_000002.12 coordinate 177,725,666, forward strand.
TGACATAGTTTAAGAATTCTATTCTCTTCAATTTCTTGGAAAGGATCAAAATTGCCCATATAATGGAAATACCCACTGCAGAAAACTGGATATATATTTCCTTTTGCTCCTAAGTGTCCACTGTGACCCTGCTGCTCTTGCCAGTTTCCCCTATTCCAACTATTTTAAGGTTTGTTATAAAAATCTGTCTCTGTCCTTGACATTTCTAACTCAAAAATGTCACAGCCATTTCTTTTTCCTTCATTGAACAGGGTTCCTACTTACTTATTTTGGCAATTCGCATAAATCCATAGGTTTTCCCAAATAATGGGTTAAAAAGTTTTTTATTGAATGTCCTCTGTGGGCCAGACATATGAAATCTGTACACAAAACATTATACCTTGTTTACTGAGGTAGGATATGGAAAAACAAAATGAAGATTTTTTTTTTCCAAGCAATGGTTGTTACTTGAGCTATTAAGCCTCATGGTTCAAAGCACCTTCCTTTCTCACTTGATGGCTCACTCCTCTAACGGTGGATGCAACAGAAGAATGGAATCAGTCCAGTTTTCCCAGGCCAGTCTGCCTGTTTATTAAGCAGTTGAGGACCCAAAGCACAAGTCCCTAGTATAAAAGACATTCTGGCCCCATCTTATGCTAGATGCACATTTCAGCTCATGTCAATTCAACATACATTTTTTGAAAACCCACCAAGTACATGACAGAGTGCAGGGTGCTGGTGTGACCCTCAATAAATGGTGGTTGAGCAAATAAGTAGATGCTGTTGAAAAAACAAGAAATGATCTCTTCCCTCAGCAGCTTACTCTATAGGAGGATGACAGATTTGTAACTTAAAATACACAGTAGCAAGAAAGATGTGTTGTACTAGATACAGTACAGGGAAAGAAGTAATTATTGATGATTTGGGAGAAAGGGGAAGACTTTGTAGAAAAACTGGCACTAGATGAATGCCTTAAAGGATGAGTAAAATTTTAATAGGCAGAAAATGAGGCAGAGTTTTTTTTTTTTTTTTGAGAAAGAAGCAGAATTGTCTTTGTTCATTTGGACCAAAGGAAAATGCATTTCATTTGGCGTTCTGATTTTGTGTTTAAATTTTAGTCTGGGTGCAAAAATATAAGGTATTTATTTTATGTTGGAAGAGTCCAAGACTCACATTCTTTTTTTTTGTATGGCAATATGTTTACACACACCCACAGATATGTACGTACACATGTGTGTATATATAACTATGAAGCCAAAGAAACCAACATATTTAAGCCAGAAAACATTGTACTTGATGATAGTGTAACAATGTAGTAGAAATTATGCCAAAAAAAGCCTTATTTCTTGCCAGAAGAAGTAAATAGAGGATTTGTTTCAATATTTGCCACAAACATTTGCTTTGAGATTAAATTCCAAGGCTTATATCTGCCCAGCTGCACTAGATATCTCCGTGAAACAGACTGGCCACCATCACTGGGTTAAAACCCCACGGGACGAGATTTTAAGGCAAGTAAGCCCTAAACCTGGAGAGTGCGCACTCTTACCCCTCTTTTCTCCTTGGCCTCCCTGGGCATTGTCTCAAATAAGCATCCTCTCAGGATTTCCATATTCCTGCGGGTGATGTTCACACCTCCCTACTGGCTTTCCACCAGCCAAGAGAGTCATATCCAGTGATCTCTTTGTTCTGTTACTCAACTACATTTCCTCTGCAAAAAGATTACTTTAAAAATCTGAGCATTTCTTTTGTAAAAGAACAAGTTTACCAAGAAAAAATACTGAACAGAAGCTCAAGTAATCATTCCAAGGCTACACTGGCTTCAAGGGGTCAACAATGTTACAGCTTTCAAGCTCAGAAATTGCTGGCACATATATACTTTCATAACCAGGGTAGGTAAGTTCCAACATAAAATGATCACATGGTAATTTTTCAGAGAAATGGAAATGTAAAGGAGAAGGCCTGCCAGTTCCTACGAATGAGAAATGATCTTCCACCATCACTAAGCACACTTACGGTTAACATCGCGAACATCAGCTGACACACGTTGAAGGCATGTCTCCAGTTGTGGTATAGAACCATCCGATAGTTTTTCCTCACTGTCAAAAGCCACCTACACAGTGTCTGAAATGGGAGGGAGAGGGTGCGTCAGGCAGTTGTAAGTGATTCTAGTGGACCCTTATCTCAATGGTGCCTTATATCTGAGTAACCCTCAGTGATCAAAGGCCTTCCACAAACATCTCTTCTGGTTCTCACAGTAATCCCATGAGGTGTGCAGGGCAGGGATTATCATCCCCATTTTGTATTTGGGAAACCAGTGGTTCAGAGTGGCTAACACGTTGTCCCAGGTGAACTGCTTGGATCACCCAAGACAGACATCTTACCTCATAGTCAATTTTAAATTTCTGTACCATCCCCAGCTCCATGAACATCCGGAGAGCAGCTGTGATCATGGCATCAACGTCGAGAGAAAAGTCATCAAAATGAATGTCATCGATGGCAAGTTCTGACACCAGAGGGATGTTGGCTGCCTAGAAAAGCAAAAGACATAAGTCAAGCCAAGTTCACCAGCTTTCCCAAACCCCCATCCTGCTCTCCTCCCCTGCTTATCAGAAGTGCCACATAAATCAGGCCTGACCTGCACTTACACCCTGATACAGCTAAACTCTGAGCTGTAAATGTCTTTTGTTTCTGAACTGCAAATGCCCCAAGCAAATGAAGGTGGGGGCAGGGTTGGGGGCGGGGGGAGGGAAACTAATCTGAAGATAAAATACACGCACTGGATCTAGCCTGCAGAATTTATAATACAGAACTGTCAAGTTTATGGAAACTGTGGTCATACAATATATTCTGATGCATATTACAGAGCACTAAATGCAAGAAACATCTGGGCAGCCAGCAGCTGTGAATTTTAATTGATGCTATTCAGGAGAAGGAGAAGGGAATACACCACTTTGCCTTGTTTCTTATATCCTTATATCCTGTAGCTTGCACGTGTTCTTTGTTACACACGTGTTCTGTATATTCAGAATGATCGAAAGGATCAGACAGCACATCTCTGGTGGGAAATATGTTGCCTTAATAAAATAGAGATATCTGAAGGTTTAGCATAAGCCTATGTTTCACTGAGGAGATCAATTTTGCTTTCTTGTTTAGCTTCATTCTATATAAACATCACAACATAATTACAATACTGGTCATACATATTCAAGGTTTTCAAAACACCCATGTTAGGCAACTGTCAATCAGCTGCCCACAAACGAGCCTAAAGAGGAGAAAAAAAATCTTTGGAAATCATTTGTATGGTGATTTCATTGGGTTTACCATATTCTTTGGATCACTCTTGGTAAGGGAGTCACTTTTATATTTTCAGGTTATCAGAGACCATTCTGTATTCATATTCCTATCTATTCACTGGGTTTAAATTACCCTGACAGTAATTTATGCCCTGGAGCTACTTACTTTGGCTAAGAGATTCAATCCAACTCTGGCTGCTCTAAGCATTCCAGAAACCACATAATTAATCCTTGCTTCCCAACTCTATGCTCCTCCATAGGTGGAGCTTAGTTTTTCCATGTACTTGCAATTAATTCAACCCCTAAACTCTCTATCAGTTGTCTAAGTCTCTTCTCAAAATGTTCATATGCTTTGGGCATTCCGTCAGTTTCACGAATAAATCACTCCTGGAACTTCCCGCATTTCTCCAGTCTAGACCAACTATCTTATAAGTCTGATGTGTAGTTTTCATCCTAGGATATTCCTTCACCATAATTGTGGGGATGCCTTTCTCTCTTTCTTTTGTTTCTCTAGCCCACATCTTTCTCTTTCTTGCTTTCTCCTCTCATTTTGGTGAGACACATCCTCTAACAGATTCCCAAGAAAAGGTGTGGGGTAGATTTGTGAGGCTGTGCAGTCTGAAATGTTTTTGTATTACTGTCACATTTCATTAATAGTTTGCCTAGGTAAGATTTCTAGGTTGGAAATCATTCCATTAGAATGTTAAAGGCATTGCTCTTTGAGCTTTCGATGTTACTTTTGAGAAGTCAGAAGCTATTCTGTGCTATTATACTTTGAAAATAACTCCCCCCTCCAACTGAGTTTTTGTAGAATCTTTTTGCTTCAAGAGTTCTGAAATGTCATACAAATGTGCCTTGGTGTGAGTTTATTTTCATTCATTATCCTAGGCACTTTGTAAGCCCTTTTCTTTTTTCCCCCTTTTTTTTTCCAGTGTATCTATTACAGGTTTTTGCTTTGTAGTTACCATGAGGCTTAGCTTTAGCTGTAGTAAATTATTTTAAAGGCTTATCATTAGCTATAATAAATTATTAAGATGACATCTTAATTTTGATTGCAAAAAAAGAAACAGAGGGAAAAAAGATACTTAATTCCATCCCCCTCTGCATTTTGATTTTTTGTTGTCACTTTAAATCTTTTTTAAAAATTTATTTATTATACTTTAAGTTCTAGGGTACATGTGCACAACGTGCAGGTTTGTTACACATGTATACATGTGCCACGTTGGTGTGTTGCACCCATTAACTCGTCATTTACATTAGGTATATCTCCTAATGCTATCCTTCCTCCCTCCCCACACCCCACGACAGATCCCGGTGTGTGATGTTCCCCGCCCTGTGTTCAACTGTTCTCATTGTTCAGTTCCCACCTATGAGTGAGAACATGCGGTGTTTGGTTGTAAGCCCTTTTCTTAATTGGAAAATTATGTCTTTTAATTCTAGAAAAACATTTTAAAATAAGCTCTTTGAAGATCTCTTCCTCTCTTTGTTTTTCTGAAATTCCCTTAACTTGACCTTTGGACTGGTTTGTCTTTCTTTTCTTTTTCTTTCTTTCATTTCTCTTTTCCTTTAGTTTTTATTTTCTTTTTCTTACATGTTTTTCATTTCTCATATTTTTTCTTTTCCTTTTTGCTCTGCTTTCTAGGAAATTTCTTCTTACTGTTGAGATTTTAATACCACGGTTTTCATTCTAAGAGCTCTTCTTTTGTCGTCTGGATATTCCTTTTTATGTATTTTTAATAGTACCCTAATTTTATTTCACGGATACAATATTTTCTCTTACCTGCCTGAGGATGTGAATGACAATTCTATTTGTCATTTTCTTCTCTTCTTATAATTGGCTTCACTCTCTGTACTTTGTTTTAGTCTCTCCTTTTTTATTGTGGTAAAAATACTGTACTGTGTACAGTACAGTAGTGTTAACTATATGCACATTGTCATACAACAGATCTCTAGAACTTTTTCATCTTGCATGGCTGAAACTCCATACTTATTAAACAATTCCCCATTTCCTCCTCCTCCCAGCTACTGACAACCACCATTCTACTTTCTGTTTCTATGAGTTTGATTACTCTACCTCCTACAAGTAGAATCATGCAATATTCGTCTTTTTTGTCATTGGCTTATTTGACTCAGCATAATGTCCTCAAAGTTTATCCATGTTAAAGCATATGACAGGTTTTCTTTTTTTTAAGCTGAATAATATTCCATTGTATGCATATACCACATTTTTGTTCCATTCATCAATCGTTTCATCTCTGTCTTCATCAGCCAACTTTCAAGAAATTATTTTAATACATTAGAGGCTTTAGAAATATTAGAGGTTTTCCTTAGCGGCCTGATAATCTTTAGTTTTCCACTCCTGTGTAAAAGTGGGGCTCTAAAAGTTTCTATTGGAGCTTCTGGGGGCTTCTCTGTAGGGGGAATGTGTCTGACCTGTTTCCTTGGGGAAGCCACCAAATATCAGTGTCTTTGTGTCTTTACTCTTTAGCTACTCAGAATCCCCAGAGAAGAGTCTTCTGGCTGGAGCCTAGCGGGGAAGCAGGTTGGAGGAGGAGTCTCAGCATTGGTTTCCTGTTCATTCAGTCCTCCTGCTTTCACCCTGCACGCCCACCCTCACCCTCTGCACTGACGATTCCCTAACCCAAAGACCCAAGATTATACTCTCTCCAGAGGACAAGCCTCTAGTCTTTATGGAGTGGGGGAGTAGAACAAAGGATATGGGGCTCTAACTGCTTCTTAGACTCTCTGTTTTCCTGTTTATAAGCCCATCTTCATTTGCACTTCCAAAGGTACTTAATTAGTCAATTCCTGAGCTATCTGTGGGGAGGAGTCTATGGTATAAATCTGCTTGCCTCTCAGCTTTTCCCATTGCTAGGTTATTTTGGCTGTCTTGAGTTTGCTAAATTACTTTCTATTCATCCATCTGTTTTCTAGCATCCAAAATTTTGTCACCATTAAGTCCCTTCCCAATTTCTTTGGCTTTGAGAATTTATGCACTAAAAAAAACCTTTATTTTTGTTTTAATAGGGCATGGGGAGAGAACAAAAGAAAATGAGTGTAGTTAATCTATCATCTTTATCCAAAAATAAATGAAGTTATCTTTATTAAATGATACCTAGAATGGTCAGCTTGGAGAACTCAGAGGGAAGCCAGCCTTTGGTCTGTAGGCCCTTTGTTTCTATGTGCACACCTGGCTGCAACCATGTAGATCTCGTTCTCTTATTCTGCGCCCCTGTGGGTTCACTTGTGCCAGTGAACTCACTTATTAGGCTGTAACAATCTTAGAGGCAGATGCCATGTTTATTTTTCTTAGGGAAGATCCAAACAATTCTTTACTCCTATCATGTGTTTGAGGGTTTGTAAATAGAGAATACCAAGGTCTCAGAAAGATCTGTGCTTGTGGTAATTTGTTCCAATTCAAAATCAAATGTTAGTGGGAAAAACACTTTTCAAGAGATAGAGGCCCTGTCCCAAAAGACACAAATCTTTCTGGTCTCAGGAGAGAAGTTTAGTTCTGAATTGGCAAAGGAGGCTGAACCTTGTTACAGTTTGTTACCAAAGAAGCAGAAATGGTGATAGAGGCAGCACTACTCCACTCCAGGTGGCCCCTGTCTTGTAGATTATTAATAGTGTATTCCCTGATACCATTATAAATCCTCTACCTTCCAAAGGCACTAAATCCACTTAATTATCTTAAAAATTAAAGAATATAGGAATTTTTTCATTATGAAGTGTTAATGGAAAGGAAATAAGAACATTACGTTGAAAATGTAAAATGACCTCTGGTTCACCAAGACCCATCCTTATTGACCTTGTCTTTTTTTCCCCTAATAGGTTGATTGATCCATGGTTAAATCATACCGGTGTGTAGATCACACTAAGCCCTGCCATAAACCCTTGCTGGCACTTGTAGATGAAAGAAAGTTCCAAGCCTTTCAAGAATGACCATTTTCAGCTATTTTGAGAAGTCTGGGTAGTTTTCATCCCCACATTGCTGGGTTCAAGGGCAGGTTCTGGAGAAAACTATGAAGAGTAACAGGCAGTATGTATCCTGAGCAGACAAGCATAAAAGATTTGGGAATAGCCTTCCATTGACAAATTCCTTGTTATAGAGACACAGTGCTCCCCATTGCTTCCAGTAAACAGAAAATGAGATTGCATCTTCCAAACCTATAATTACTCTAGCCATAGGATATTAACAAAACAAATCAAAGTCAATTTCTCCAAATGTCAGTCTTCAACTTTTCAATATTTATAAGGTGTCATATCCCTAAATCAAAGAGGAGTGCCACAATCCAAAATAACTACTGAATTAATAGCCAGAAAATAACATTTGGATAAAAGAACCATTTACTTTACTGCAGCAATAAATGAAAACACAGAATTATGAGTCCTGGAGCTAATTTGAATAATGTTCAAGAAGTGAGACTCTAGCTGGCTGGAAGCACCTGATATCCTTTGACCATTCCTCTTCTTTGTTTGGGTCTTAACAGTTAAGTGGTTATCAAAGGGAGTCATAAAACTGCCTCCTCTAAAATTGAAAAGGTAGCTTTACAAAGAGGCCATAAAATGTTAAAATACAATCCTGGATCCCTTGACACATGAATATTACATTTTGTGATGCTCAGAAAATGGGAAGAAACAACAAAGTGGGTGGTAGTCCAGCCTTGGCAATTCAAAGGAAAATTGACTTGTTGCTAATTCCAGCCCACTCACTCTCTTAATCCTCTGGACAAAAAGCAGTAGTCAGGAGCCTTACGATTCTGGGATTAATGGAGACAGGAGGTTGAGCTGTGGTGATGTGGAAGGGACAGCAAAGTTCTTTCTTTTGCCAATATAATTATAGCCCTTATTATGTGCCAGATACTGTTTTAGTGTTATGCTTTGCATATACTCACTCATTTGATGTTCACGAGAACCCTAAAAGCTTGGGAATAGTTTTAATTCCATGTTATGATGAGGCAACTGAAATAAATAATGAATAAGTTGGTCAAATTTGCAGTGTGATTGTCAGAGGCAGATTTGAACCTGGGGAGCTTTGTGCTAGAGACTGGCTCCTAACCATCACACTGCCTCTCAAAATGGGCCTATGCCAAGCGAGGGTCCCCCTTTCTGTATTATGCAAACTAACTTGGGTGCACCATGACTGGAGTTTGGGATTTATATCCAGATGACTAGCTTTTCAATCCGTTTTTTATTATAAGCAACCTGGACCTATGTGAGGGACAATGTTTTTGTCTTTACCTATATAAAACTCCTTGGGAAAGTCTCCAAATTCAGAGCTGACTTTGGAATGAACCCAAATTGTTACTTTGTGTTGATTGTAGCTAACCCAGAATCAACTCGAATACTCCCAAGACCATGCTGAAAAAATAACTTGTCTTCTCGGGGAGCAAACAATGAGGAGGTGACAAACGAGGAGATAAATAGTATTAGCAGAACAGCGATGTTATGAAAAAGTAAGTTTTTGCTTGATCACAGGAGTTTGAGGCTGCAATACACTATGATCGCGCCTGTGAATAGGCACTGCATACACTCCAGCCTGGGTAACACAGCGAAACCCCATCTCTTAAAAAAAAGTAGGATTTAAATTCTCCTGGCAATTGTTTTCTCTTGATGCCATTCATTAAATTTGCCTTGTAGTTGCCTAGAACACTCTTCATGACAGATATGGGCTCTCATCCTACCTTTAACACTTACTTGGCTGAGTGGCAGTGGGCAAGAAACTAAAGTAAGCCTCAGATTGAGCATTCTTTGTATAAACAATCACAAAATTGTGTTGCATGGCTGTTGTGAGGAGTGAATGAAATAATGCACACAAGAGCCTAGCACAGTGCTTGGAAATAGGAAATAGTAAGTAACGGTGCCTGGCATGATGGCGCTTGATGTTGGTGTGTTGTTGTTATGCTCATTATGATTTTTATACTGATAGCAGCCCCATAGAAGGATAGGGTGAGTGGAGAAGATTTTGGTAACTAGACTCTGAAGAGTCAAGCTCTGTCCTCTGCCCCAGGAGACCGCCCAGTTTAATCCATTTTAATTCAGTACATATGTATTGTGCATCTAACTGTACGCCAGGCACTGGCATATGCTGTAGTTATGTTTGTAAAATTAGTGTGGTCCCTGTGCTCGCAGCCTGTCAGAGGATACAGAGAAGCAAACGGGCAATTACAGAACAGTATGGGTTAAGAGCTGCGATGGGGGAAACACGGGGCACCACAGGAACCCCCGGGAGAGTTTAGTGAAATACATTCGGCTTCACGTTCCTGCCTTAATTCCAAACTGTCATTAAACCTCAGCTTTATAAAGTATATTTAGTAATTTAAACAGTTAAAAATAGTTACTATGATAAAAAAATGTTTAAAGGTCATAGAGAATGTATCAAAACCTAAGAAAAGCCGTGGACTCCATTCCTGAGATGCTCATGGCCTACCCAAGAAGAAAGAAAAAACAATGATTCGTGGAAAAAAAAAACCCCAAAAAACCAGAAGCATAAAGTTCAGAGGCAACAACAGGAATGAGCGTATGAGATGCAAAGAAGCACAATGGAGGAGGATCATCTAATGTGGGCATTGGAGGGTGAATACAAGTTCACCAGGAGAATAAGGAAACATGGCGGAGAACAGCACTACAGAGTAGAGTTCCAATCTCCCCTGAAGATGGTGCAATACCAGGAGGCACAGACAGGGCCCCATTGTTAACAAAAAAACAGTGCTTGTTCACAGAGATCCAAGACTTCCTCTAATAGGCTTGGACCCCTTGGCTGCCTAAACAACTGTAAAACTTGAGTTCATCCAAGTAAAGGGCATCCGCTTTGCCAAGCTCCAGTGGCCTTGGACCACAGTGCAGGCGCCTGGTTTGCCTGTGACTCCAGGACTGACTTCTGTTCGCTGTCCATGCCAGGTTGGCTCCCTTGACCCCTGGTAGTGACCAGTCTCCATTCTCTATGGCCAAACCTCCCAGAACTTCCCCTTTGAAGCTCTGGTCCCAATTTTAGTTGTGGCAGGTGGCAAATGTTTGGGCCGTTTTCGTATGGGAAAGCAATTGTCAGTGTTTCCTTTTCCCTTTCTTTGCTGCACTCAACAGCGAACCCTTTCTTTCCTCTCCTGGGAATATTTGAAGACCAAGCAACCCTTTGTGTCCTCCAGGGAAAAGGAATTTGTTTTCGGTTGAGTGGGGTTCTGGGTCTAATGGGTCTATCTATTTTGAAAGAACCAGGGAAAAAGAGAGAGTACTCTAGAACCAGAAGGAAGGAAGGACGTGCTCCCGGGGGAGATAAGTAACAGAGGAAGGGCCAGGCGTAGTGGCTCATGCCTGTAATCCCAGCACTTTGGGAGGCCGAGGCAGGTGGATCAACAGAGGTCAGGAGTTCGAGACCAGCCTGGACAACATGGTGAAACTCCGTCTCTATTAAAAATACAAAAATTAATACAAAAATTAGCTGGGTGTGGTGGTGGGCACCTGTAATCCCAGCTACTTAGGAGGCTGAGGCAGGAGAATTGCTTAAACCCAGGAGGTGGAGGTTGCAGCGAGCACTGCACTCCAGCAGGGGTGACAGAGTGAGACTCCATCTAAAAGAAAAAAAAAAGAAAAAAAAAGAAAGGGAGGAGGAAGAAGAATTTCCCCCTTTCACAGAGATACAGGAATGAGGAAAGAGAGGGAAGGAGACAGCCCCTGGGAGCATGGCTGCTGATCCTTGTGCATTTACCTAGAAAGTGGATGCACCTAGCAAAGGACCCCCATGGAGGCAAAGGACTCCCATGTTGGAGCTCCCATAAGCTAAGTGACAGTTGAATCAGAATCCATGGACTGTCCCATGTTTAAGTTGAAACCTCTCATTATTTGCACTCAAGAGTTCACCAGCTCTTCCTCCCATGGAAGAGCGGTAAGGACTTTAGCTCATTAGCATCCAGCACCTCAACCACTGACCACCCAATGGAAATGACACCTGTTTGGGTAATGCACCCTTGCTTAGTCACCAAACACACAATACCTAAAGACACTAATAAAGCCAAGAAAGAGGCTGGGTGCGGTGGCTCACACCTGTAATCCCAGCACTTTGGGAGGCCGAGGTGGGTGGATCACTTGAGGTCGGGAGTTCGAGACCAGCCTGACAAAATGGAGAAACCCTGTCTCTACTAAAAATACAAAAATTAGCTGGGCATGATGGCACATGCCTGTAATCCCAGGTACTCTGGAGACTGAGGCAGGAGAATCGCTTTAACCCGGAAGGCAGAGGTTGCGGTGAGCCAAGATCACGCCATTGCACTCCAGCCCAGGCAACAAGAGTGAAACTCTGCCTCAAAATAAAATAAAAATAAATAAATAAATAAAATAAAATAAAATAAATCACATTATTGGCTGGGTGCGGTGGCTCACACCTGTAATCTCAGCACTTTGGGAGGCTGAAGTGGACAGATCACGAGGTCAGGAGATCGAGACCATCCTGGCTAACACAGTGAAACCCCGTCTCTACTAAAAATACACACACACATACACACACACACACACAAATTAGCCAGGCGTGGTGGTGGGTGCCTGTAGTCCCAGCTACTTGGGAGGCTCAGGCAGGAGAATGGCATTAGCCTGGGAGGCGGAGCTTGCAGTGAGCTGAGATCACGCCACTGCACTCCAGCCTGGGCGACTCTGTCTCAAAAAAAAAAAGCCAAGAGAGAGGGGCAGGGTTCTGGATACCTACAACCTACAGGAATGCTGGGAGGGTGGGAGTGGAAGGTGGAGAAGGCTTCTACACCTGAACTAGGTTGGGAAGCTGAAATGAAGCAGCTTAAAACTTCCTGAGAGCCAAGGCAGTGGTTAACGATGTCCATCATTAATATGTTGTGTAATTATTGTTGAAAGTCTGATGGACAAGGATAGGAATTACGTCTGTCTTGTTTACTGTTGTGTCCTAAATGCTCATTGCAGTCTTCACCACTGTAGGCAGTAACTGGCACATGGGAGAAACTCATTAAATATTTATCAGATGAATGAGTGAAGGCTTGATAATCCTGCTGGAAGTCATCTTACTAGTTTTTCCCAAACCATGCCACAATATCCCCTGGTGAATTTGAGTTGTGTGAACTTTTTGCCAACCACCCTGGTGATTACCTCACACTTAGATACACGTGCACATGGAAATCCAAGATCAGGTAATATAGGTGAGTCAAGTTGCCTTCTAAGTTTGTGTGAATCCGGTGCTCCATTTTTTATACATCAGTGGGGCAGTTTTTAGTAGAAGACACATAGAGGAGTCCCTAACCCTGTGACCCCAATCTTCAAGTTCCAATCTGAGCTCACCAGCTGGGTGACTCTGAGGTTAGCCTGCTTCATCCCTCCAAGAAGAAGGTAGGTCCTTGCAGGGTGGATGTGTGAGTGCAGCATGGTGGCTCTGTGAGTTTGTCATGAATTTCCTGTAGTGTCCTTCTTTCTATGTCTTAGTAGCAGGAAAGTGATGGAAGGAAGGAAGTGCTCTTGGGGGAGACAAGAGGCAGTTAAGCTTGTGTTGACTACATTACACATTAAGGTTTAGAGACGTAAGATACGAATTCCCCAAAGATGATGCTGCCAGTCCAGCATGATCTTTCTGGCTCAGAGATTGCTGCCTTTTGTCTTGGTTCTGCTCAGACCTACTATGCTCTCTGTATACTGCTTCTTAACTCACATGCTCGGTTGAATCTTAATGGCTTCCTGCCTACATCAACCTCAACCTGCTGCATTGTGGGTCTTTCTTGAGTCCTCACTGACCCTCCCTGCTGCAGCCTCACCAGAGAGAGGGAGGGCACAACCACTATTCCTTCTTCCATATTCCATGGTGCTTGATAGCACACAGGCATGAGACAACAATTCAATGACTGTTTCAGTGACTAGGCAGAAAAAGAAGGAAGATAATGAGAGAACTTGTTCACCAGCAGGAAATGAAGCTGTCTGGAAACATCGGCCTCTAGAGATGGACCAGGGTTCGTAAACTAATAATAGAGACCACATGAGTTGGTTTAGCACTTTAGTGTCAAACAGCTAAGCCTAATGAACATCATATTCCCTTGTTTCTGCAGTTTAAAATGTCAAGTTTATCAAAGCATTGCCAGTAACAATAAGTCAAAGGAACAAGCCAACACTAACATGGAACCAAGCTCTTAACGCACAAAAGACAGCAAGGGGCATCAAGCCTCAAGGCCTGTGAAATGGTAGAGAACAATGTTAGAGGGCAAAGGGAACTGGAGGCTCAACTTCCTGTTTTTATCGTTTTGTTCAAAATTAACCTGATCTTGCCCTGCTTGTCCTGGGGTGATGAGTGCCAATGGTCCTGTTACAACGTGCTGCACTCCACCGTGCAGCAAAGCCAGTGAAGGGTGAAACTGGAACCTTGGGATTAGACTTAGTAGCTAATGGCAATAGTAGGCTACCTTGAGGATGAAGAGGATGGTGCAAAGCCACTGCCAGAAGAGGGGTTTTATTTGGGTTTTCTATTCATGTTACTAACTGGATCCCATGCTCTTCCTCAATCTTGTCCTGTACCCCAAGCTCCCATATTTTGGCCTGCTATTTGGAGATAGGAGTGTACTCTGTCACCAGTGACACATGAGGCTAGTTACCCAATCATCACCTTCCAGTGAGCTGGTCAGAAGAAATGTTTCAAAATTTATGCATTCAATATAAACAATTTCCCATCCTGTGCATCAAAAAGTATCGTAGAGTCTCTTTGTCACTTCTGAAATGAAGCATCTCTCTGCTGTTGTCTCAACATTCAGTTGAGTGTCTTCTTAAAGAAAAACAGACTCTAGTTTCCACATATTTTTCACGGTCCCTCTATGCAGCAAGATAAATAAGAATTTATATACTTTTACTTGTAAATCCAGTAAATATTTATATTGGTTTTTGCCATAAAAGCACATGAAGCATTATGAAAGAGGTTTCTACTCTTAGGGCTGAATAAAGCCATCACTCGCAGTGAGGAAGTAATCTATCAAATGAGGCAAAGAGGGGTGTGTGTCCTGATTCCTGAGCCACAATTCCCTGTCTTGAATTGTACCTGGATTTACTCTTGGCTGGATGGTGGTGTTCCTGAATACACACACAAGTACATACATGCACACATCTCATGTACACACTTCGTTTTTAATCTGCTCTTTGACTTCTCTCAGATATTTTATTAGTCCATTCTGTCTTCAGTTCTGTTAGACTGTTATTCCACACAGACAAACATTTGAATTTTGCCTGGACTGTGTTGTTGGTGAAATATGTTAGTATCTGACTTAAGCTGAATATGGTGGACAGAGCAAAACTACCTTGGAAATGAAATTATATTTGAATAACCCACATACAAAGGTCAGTGAAGATATTCATAAATTTAACAACACTAAGAGCTTTAATTTAAAAAATTAAGAACTCAACCATGTTTAGACAGGTTGGCTAGTTTTGTTAGTGCTGGGTGGAACACGCATTAGAAACTTTTTTTCATCATGGTGCATTTATTAAGACATATTGTGTATCAAGCATTGTGCTAAGTGCTTTATAGTATTCCATTTAATCCTGCAACAACCCCATGGGTAAGATTCTATTACTAGTCCCAGTTTAGCCTCCATAGCACAGATGAAGTAACTGAGGTTAAGAAGATAAGCGACTTTCTCAAGGTCACATAACTAGAAAACTGCTGGGACTAGAAATCAATCCCAATGAATCTAGCCCTGCCCTCTGTGTTTGTAACCACTACCCTATATTGCCCACACAATCATTTGAATGCCTCTTAGCTTAGATCCACTGCAGCACAGCATGGAATTATTGCTTCCAGAGATTTTCTTCCATGCAGCTTTAAAAAACTTATTTATTTTTGTGGTCTTGTGAATCTGTCTCTCATCATTCATAAGTTCCATAAGGAAAGGATTCAGATTCTCATATGTCAGCAATTATCATAGCCTAGTACTTTTCTCATGGCAAGTAATTAATAAATGTGGGTTGGTGGGATGCCAAGTGCATAACCTCCTGAGCCAAACAGATGTGCATTTGAATCTGAGTTTGCTGCGTGCTAAAGCTGTGGCCTTGAGCATCAGTGTCCTATTCTGAGAAGGGAACACAATGATAACTATCTTACAGTCATTGAAAAGCTTCAGTGAGACAAAATACTTAGCACAGTGCCAGGTTCATAGGAGGCCCTCAGAAAAAGACAGTGTGTTAGTCTGCAAAATACCACAAATTGGGTGGCTTAGACAACAGAAATTTATTTTCCCACAGTTCTGGAGGCTGGAAGTGCAAAAGCAAGGTATTGGCAGGTTTGGTTTCTCTTGAGGTCTCTCTCCTTGGCTTGTGGATGGCTGCCTTCTCGCTACGTGCTCACACGGCCTTCTCTCTGTACATGTGCACCTCTGGTGTCTTTTCCTCTTCTTGTAGGACACTAGTCATTGGATTACAGCTCAACCATATGACTTCATTTAGCCTTAATGACCTCTTTAAAACCCCTATCTCCAAATACAGTCACGTTCTAAGGTACTAGGGATTAGGGCCTCAACATATGAATTTGGGAGTGGGGAAGAAACAATTTGGTCCATAACAGACAGTTATCATTATTGCAAATGAATTGAGCACTAAATATCTAGAAATTCAAAATAAATGTTCCATGTCAGACCCAAAAATGGTGGTCCCTTTAAAGTGTCCTGATTACAATTTTAGTTCTTTCTCTCCTTGGTGCCTTAGAGAACGCAACCTAGAAAGGCTTTTTCTCTTTAGGGAACTGCACCATATTCACTCTTGGAAAGAAATATATTCAATATGGGGTTATCCAAGATACACTGGAGGAAAACATGATACATCAAGTCCAAGTTAAAGATAAGAACTGGGTGTGATGGCTCATGCCTGTAATCCCAACACTTTGGAAGGCCAAGGAAGGAGATTCACTTGAAGCCAGGAGTTGGAGATGAGCCTAGGCAAGATCCTATCTGTACAGAAAAAAAATTAGCCGGGCACAGTGGTGCACGCCTGCAGTCCCAGCTACTTGGGAGGCTGAGGTGGGAGGATTGCTTGAGCCCAGGAGTTCAGGGCTGCAGTGAGCTAGGATCACAACACTGCACTGCAGCAGCCTTGGTAACAGAGTGAGACACTGTCTCTTAAGAAAAAAAAAAAAAAAGATAAGGATCAGAGGACTGTAACCTTGTCAAATGCAATTATCAGGCTGCACAGTCTGCCAGGGAAGGAGACCCTCTTGTGAAGAGCTGGCAGTGGAGTGCTTCTCCAGTCCAATAATCTTGTTGAGTGCACCCTCCCTTACTATGCCTAGGTTCCTATCATTATACTCCCTGTATTTAGAGAAAACTATACATGACTATCCTGTTTAGAAAAGGTCCAGGAAAGATTTTCCCTTCTCGGGGAGCCCTAGTATGACAATCCCAGTTTGTCTCACCCCATCTAGCTCTACGGAACCCCTGGCCTGCAGCTCTAATCCTCTCTATTGCCCCTGATGAAGTCTTTCTTGGTGCCTCCAAGCACAGGCAATGTCTGTCACTTCGATCTTCCCTTACATTTTGTCCTTTTCTCTCCTACAGCATTTACCATAGACTGCTCTCCATCGAAGTTGCTGTGCAGTCAACCACTCACTCAGTTCATTTGACAAATACTTAGTGAGGGCTTGCTATGTGTCAGGTACATTGCCAGGTGCTATGCAGGTATCTATGCATCCCACAAGACAGGGACTCTCTGAAGGGCCGGACAGAACAGAAACTGTGTTTGCCTCATTTTTGTACCAGCTAGAGAGTCCACCCCTTGGCAGGCTGTCCCTAAATGTTAGCTAAATTCAATGGACAGATGTGAAAGGGGACTTTCTCTGAGAACACTTTCCTCAGGAGGAAGACAAGGCTAGGAAAGTAAAAGGAGGCAATGTCTTGAGGTCTGAAGAAAAGCTCCATTTCCAAAGGTCAGTAGAGGTAATGGAGGTTCTGACTTTTAATCCCCATCCTGAAAAGGGAGGCCCCAGCTAAGAGGAGAGGTGGCAGAGCCAGCAAGAGGAAAGTGTTAGGGACCAGTCCCAGAGCACAAGCGAAATGATCAAGCAGCTAAATAAATATCAGCTGCTTTTCCTACTCTGATGCTTCTGGAATTCGTGGGTAATGTGTTTCTGAATTCGCCTCCTGCTTCTGCATAAACAACAACATGATTTAATGATGTGGATAATAAAGCTGTTGAAAATGATTTTTCTTTAGCTCTCTTTTGGGACAAGGAAAGGGAAAGAATCAAAGCTTAATACAGATGCTGATTACAGAAACCAGGGGTGAAACTCAAGTTTTAAATAATTGTACTTATTTTCTGTTAAACTCTCATGGTTTTTGTTAGTTATAGGATCACTAATTGTTAGCACCACACAAAGGTTAAATGTGCAAATACTGCTCTCTTGGTTTCAGCTGTGAAAGAAAAGAGATAAGAACAAGGACATATAAAGAGGGCATGAAACTTGTAAGATGAAGGACAGGAAAGTGAAGGGTGAGAGAAAGAAATTGGGTCATCAAGTGCTCACTGAGCACCAACAGTATGCCTTGAACTGTGCAAGCATTGGATGACAGGGCACAGGGTAGAAATGCCTGCACAACTCTCAGATAAAAGGGTACAGGGTAGAGATGTCAGGAAAATCAACCTCACTTGGTCTAGGATGGCCAAGAAGTTATAGTTCACTCAGATCCCTTGAAGAGAAATTAAAAGGAAGTGAATTAGCATTTTTTAAGTGGCTACCACCTGCAGTTAGTTTCTTGTTGAATTCACACCCTTATAAGGCTTAGAGAGTTAACTAACTTGCTGGTAAGAATCTGCAATAAGTTATTACTATATTATAACCCTAAAGGGAAAAGGTAGGGAGTGGGGTAGAGTAAGAACTTGGACAGTTTTACAACTCTAACACCCAGAAATCAGGAAGGGGTGATTGAATGGGGCTATGGATGAAATTCAAGTTGGAAATGAGAGAATGTGTGAGCAGAAGGCCCTAAAATCTCTGCCAGCCTTGACTGGGTGAGATAACTTTTGCTTTTTAGGTATCTGTATCACTCAGAAAGAAAGATAAGCTTGCTACCACCTGGGGTCCACCTGGGGGCTTTCCTCCCCTCCTCTCCTCCTCTGCCCCTGCCCAGCAGTGAAGCCAAGCAAGAAAGGGAATAGTAGGGCTGGAGACTTAAAAGTCAAGACCAAATGGGGACTCCAGTTCAGGAAACAGAGGGGAGGAGAAAACCTTGAAGCTATAAAACAGAAAAAGTTGGAGGTATTGGGGGAAGGGAATAAAGGGATGTGTGCAAGAGGAAGAGTTATTAAGTTGGGGGTAGGAGGATAAGAGACATGCTCTAGTGACCTTGCAGGGTGCCCCTGAAGTCTGTCTGTGATAATCTGCCTGGGGGAGAGTGTGCCAACCAGTTGGACCTCTCTGATTGTTTCATGCTTTTTTTTTTTTACTATATGACTTTAGAGAGATCAACATGAATCTAAAGTATGTTCAGACTTCTTTCGGATTCCTTTTGCTTGTTTGCTCTGTGGAGGGCAGGAAGAGAAAGGACATCTCGCACCTGCCTGAATCACTGAGTGCTGAGATACCACCAGCCATGAGGTGTAGGAGGTCAAGGGTCCAGTTCACCTTATTCAATCACTATCTATCAGGTGGTTTTCTCTACTGAGTCTCTTAATGAGGATAATTTCTGAAAGGGATGCTTTCAAGCTCAATGGCTGTGATGAATGGTATTATTTCCAGTATCCACTTTCCTACATGTGAGAGGATTCTACATAAGCATGCATTGCCATGTGACCCAGGGCCTCCCTAGCAATGATGATGTTTACCTGTCCAGTGACTTCAAGCTTGGCCGTGACTTGCTTTGGCCAATAGAATGTGAGTGGGTTGATATATGCTCTCTCACACGCACATGCACGGAGCAGAAACCATAGGTTTATCATACGGTTTTGCTAGCTCTCTTGTTTTATTCCTTCTGCCATAAGAATGGCATGTTTCAGATGGGGCTTCTACTTCAGCCTGAATCCTGGATGAAGGAGCAACAGAGCCACAGCCAACCCATCGCTCAAATATAGTGAGAGCTAGAAACAAACCTTTGCAGTGCTTCTTTCCGCAACATAACCTAGTGAAAGTTGCTATCATAACAATTTTCTCTGTATGCCCTCCTCATTTTATATTGCCCCAGCATTTTTAGGTCCAGTGTTTGTAATAAAGGATATTCATTCCTTTTCACAAATACCTTTCCTTCTTATCCCAAGCTATAGAAGACCATGTCACAAAAAATCATGGCATGAAAGAGAGAGAAACTGGTATATTGAAAAAGAAGGAGAAACTGAGTATATCTCAGGTCTTTGGGAGAGTTAGCATTTTGGGTATAAAACACAGTGGCCAGAACTCTTACCAGGGCATATTTGTTCCAAACACATCTAAAATGGCCTCCTATTCCCCTAGACAGAAGCATCAGCTTCCACCCTAAATCAGTGGCTCTGCTACTCAGCCCTGTTTTAGATTCACCTAGAGAAAGCATCAACTCAGATTTCCAGGCCCCACGTTGAGAGTCTGATTCAGTAAGTCTAGGACGGGACCTAGAATCCTTATTTCTTAAACATTCCCCAGGTGATGCCAGTGAGATGCCAGGGTGGGAAGCCAGGGCTAGTCCCACTCCACTGGCAGGCTTGCTGGGCCTTGAGAGTGCCAGCAAAGCCCAGGTCCTGAAGGGTTCTGAGGCTGGTGTGAGATGCTGGCCTCTCTGGGCCACATCAGAGCCCAGGCCTTATGCTGGAGAGCACTAGGAATTCTAGGAACACCCTGTCCCCAGTGGTCCTTCTTGGCAGGAGGACAGCAACAGCATATGTGAGTGTATTTGTTTTCCCAGCCCTCTTGTATATCTTGCCCACTACAGCTTGTCAGGCGGGCTGAGTCCTCCTCCACTCCTGAGAGGTGGGGATGGTATCAGCCATGGCTGCCAGCTGAGGAGACTAGGGAGCCCAAGAGGTCCTCTGCTGAAGTCTCCATAGAGGTTGATAACCACCTGCCTGTGAACTGTGAACCCCACTGCTTACCTGTGGGGCCTCAATGCCTTTCAATAGTCCTTGGACTGCTGCCCTTGAAGTCTCCCAGGAGTCAGACCTGAGCCTCAATGAACAAAGGAAAATAACAAGGCATAGGAAGAACCCAGCCACCAGACAGAAATAGAGCTGCTGGGGTAGACAGAAGACAATTTGCATATCATCATAATCATCATCACATCTAAGGGTTAAAGCAGGAAAAATGGGTCTAAAAATGAGACTTTCTAAAAAAAATTCGTAGGTAAATTGAACAAGATGGTTCTTGTTGAGATCTGAAGTAGTGAGTTGGAAGATTAAGTGGAAGAAATATACTGAAGCATAGAAAGATACAAAAATTTGGAAATCTGGAGGGAAAACACAAAATACTTGGCGGATAGATCTGGGAGGAAACGGAACAAACACCAGAAATTCCAGAAGAAAAAAAAGGAACCTATTGAGGAAATGAAATAACTAAACAAACCAAAATAAGCCATTTCCCTAAACCAAGGAAAGACCAGAGTCTGTAGAAACAATGAAAATGACCCATACTCAGGCATATTCTGATATCACATCTAAGGTGGAAGGAACAAGAATTCTACAAGCTGCCAAACGGAAACAATGCATAACTTAAAAAGGAAAAAGAATCAGTCTGGTATTTTATCTCTCAAGGCAAACTTGGAAGCTAAAAGATAACATCTATGGACATATGAGACAAAAGAATTGCAATCCTAGATTCCTATGCCCAGCAAAGACAGGCTTCACTTGTCAGTGTGAGAGAAAGATTTGTGGCTGGGTAAGGCAGAGCTTCTAACCATACAAGTAAGCCTGAACAGAGACTCTGAGGGTGAGAGGGGAAGAGGGGAGGAAAAAGATGGTGAGAATGAAACTTGCAGTATAGAGAGCTAAACCTAAATGTGAAGTAATAAAAGATTGACTGGGATTATCTAACATTAGCATCAAATGAGGATTACTGAAATAAGATAGATACCAGAGGAAACTAAGAACTATCTGAAAGTATTAAACAATGACAGAAAAACTGAGGATAGAGGCAGGGTATGAAGTGGGCAGGCACAGGAGAGGAGAAAAGAAGGAAAAGCAAGCATTCTGTAATGTCAGCTGGATAGAGGCCAGAAGTAGGAGTGTTCTGAAGCTTTATTGTGGTGGTGCAAGAGTCCTGGGGAAACACTGACCTGTTGTCTCCATATAACAGTACTCTGAGGGTAGGATTCTCACTAGTAGAGAAGAAAGTAAAGAACAACTTGAAAAGCATCAATGATTTTGTCAGGGACCTGCTTCATTGCTCCTGAAATACAGCCAGCGTTCCCTCGACTGTGCCTTGTTTTGACAATTTGGCTCCTGTTTCTAAATTCACCCCACCTGTGGGAAAGACCCTGTTCTGACCTTGGTGCTCTACTTTGGACACATTTGCTTTTGGCTCTGAACTCCCAGAAGCCTGGTCTCCAGCCTCCGTGCACCTCAAGTCACACACTTCACCTCTACATAGAATGGGTGGCACAGGGAGTTTGCTGTGGAGCATCTGGGCCAAGTCCAAAATGGTTCTGGGTCTCCTACTCTTGAAGGAAGGTAAAGAAGTCAATTCTGGCGGTGTTCCAAACTGGTCTCTTGGGCTAGTTTAAAAGCTTAGAGATGTTGGAATTATCCTTTTCACCTTTCTCCTTTCCTCTTCCACTTCCATCCCCACCCAGGATCCAATGCTGAAGTTTCCATTTTGAATTTTGGGTTCTCAGGCAACATATGGCCTGCCTTTTATCGTATTGCCTGTAGCATTCGGGGATTTCAGGAAAGCCTTTGAGAGACCTTGGTCTCATCCTCAGCTCAGCTCACTAGGAACAAACAAGAGATTGGCTGTGGGCCTCTGAATATCACTCAGAACACCTGAAAATGATAGTAGGCCGATCCCTGCTTGTCTAATGCCAGAGAGGTCGAATAACTTGCCCAAGGTGAGAGCACCTGTTGGTGGCAGAGCCAGGATTAGAATCTACCATTTCCAGTCCAGACCCTCCCGATCCTCTAGTCCTTGCCAAGTCCCCTTTCAATCTGAGGCAGAATTTGCCAACATTCAGGATGCCCTGCTCAATCTTTCTTAGATTGGACTCTAATTGGTAGCACTGTGTAGCTTGTGTCTGGAATACGAGGCATTTCAGATAATAAGGGTCATACTTCTACTTTTATGCCAAGAAAGCTCCAGCACATGGAAACACGTTTAATAAATCCAATAAATGATATGATAAATAATTTATTTAAGACAGAATACTTTCAAAGTCAGAATTACCACTGAGAGGAAACATTTTGCCTCCATGAGGATGATTTGACTAAACAGAAATTCTAGATGGAGTCCATTTTTTGGACTCATACAGGAGTCCTGCATGCTAACCCATCAGAGAAAGAGTAGACAGATTGTAAATTTATCTTCTGAAAATGAATCAAGTCGTATTTCTCTTCATTCTGGTTACTCTTATAAAGACACAGCAGGTGAATAAAGCCCTTTTTCTATCTTATCTATTTGCGTATTATTAAACACTGAGATCGTGCAATGCCTCTGCCTCCTAGCAACAGTGTACTGGTAATTCTTGGAAGAGTCATGAACTATGTAGGGTGAATGAAAAAAGCTTCTTGCTCTTATCTAGTGTTGTGGGATATATACTATAGGCATGAGACAGCAGTTTTTTTTTTTTATTCTTTTAAAGGTCACAAAGGATAAATGATTACAATAACATTTCACCCACTGACTCTAGGTTTTTACTAGTAAATCCTGATGTTGATTTCAAAAGCTGCAAATCTATAATTCAAATATTTCTGATCGGACCATAAATCCTGAAAATCAAATCTTTTTCTGAATGAAGGATCTATGAAAATAGATGATGGATTTCATGGGCTGTCAAAGCAAAAATGTTACATTTCATAGTTTGTCATTGAATATGATATAAAACACCTGCAGGTAGGTTATTTATATTGATAAAATTATTGTTCTTCAACATTGGAAACTGTTTTCTGGGGAATAAAAATAAAATATAAAAATAGCTTTTACCACAACTAGAAATTTTGTGCTTTAGAATTAGACAGTGGAAAATAATGTGGATAAATGCCAAAAGCCATTTTCTTTAAGCCAAATACAGTGTGTGCTATTGCAAGGATGGATAGGCCAGGCTGGACTGCTTTTCCCATCAGACACTATATAGAGTATCACCCATCTACCATTATTTTTGCTGGAAATACAGGAGTTTTGTTTGTTTGTTTGTTTGTTTGTTTTGTGAGAGAGGGTCTCTCACACTCTGTTGCCCAGGCTGGAGAGTACAGTGGCACAATCATAGTTCATTGTAACCTCAGACTGTTGGGATCAAGCAACCCTCCTGCCTTGGCCTCATAAAGTGCTGGGATTACAGGCATGAGCCACTGTAGGAGCTAATATTCTAACTCTTTTTTGTTGTTTTTATACTTTCTTTATATATTGTCCTTTTTTATACTTTCTTCCCAGAGGTTAACAAACATTAGATTTATATTTCAGTCAGGTTAAGTATGTCCAAAGTTATTCTTTCCTTTCTGGGTAGTGATTGTGAGATTAAGAAGCTAGTTTGCTTTGCTATTTTCTATGGCTACTGTCGGTGGGCCATACTCCAGCCAACTTTCTCAGGCAAATCTAACACCACAGCTCCCCAGACAACTAAGAGTTGTTTAATGATTAAATTAAGATAACACATGTAATCTGGCATATAGTAAGTGCTCAACTAATGATAGTAATAATGGTAATACAAATTATTATTATTATTTTCATTATACCTAACTTGAATAATTTCTAAGGCCCTTGGCATGGAGTATGGTCACTAGTTTAGTTTAACATGATTTAGAAATTGCTCATGGTTATATATTACCAACTACAAATGGAAAAATGACATTGTTGGAAAGGGAGTAAGTCAGATATTCAGGGAATATGTAGGCTCATATTAGGAAGGGAAGATGCAGGCTCAAAGAGCTCCCTTCTCAGATCCTGAAAACTAGAGTTTGGGTTTCATTTACAACAGTACATAATCTCAGCTGCACATAAGAAACCTTGCCACTTCTGCTCAGTAAAATACAAATCACTGACTACCCGTTTTTATTTTAGGCAGTTAGATAGTTAGTACATCGTTAATTTCTGCACATACTCAAGCTCAATATCATTGTCAGTTCGGTTTTATTTCCACCTCCTTTCAGAGATCCCTGGCTGGAGGTAAAGACTTGCTCTCTGAGTGTCTCTGGGTATACTAAGGCAATATGAATCTTTAGGAGCTCCCCTTCTTTGGGGGCAATTTATAACTCAAAACAGCAACAAATTTTCTTTTCAGGGTGGAAATACTGACAATAAAAAATGAAGCAGCTTTGAAATATACATTACTGTAATTAAAGTGACTTGCTCTTTGGAAATTCCTGAGATAAGTCTTTATTGCAACTATTATTTAATGATGAGCATAATAATTAAAGGCTCATTCTTGAAATAGTATCAGTGCCAGGATCTGGATGGTCCTGCAGCATTTCAGATTACAGAACATGGCCACTGGTGGATGCCTCAGCTCAAGATTCTCTCTGCCTTTCTTTTGACAATGTGAGGCCAAGGCCAAGTCCAAGGCAAGCATGTGCTTAGACTGGTGTTCCCTAGTACACTGTTATAGAAGCCACCAGCTGATGGGCTTTGTAAAAGGTGTGGTCAAAACTGGCTGGGTGAAGTTAGTACTCTACCATTTGAGGCACAATGCCCACAAGGGTATAAAGTATCAGAAATTGTACAGTAAAGGCACCTGTTTAACTTTATTTAATATAGCATTTAAAAAAATTATTTGAGTACCAAAACACTTTTTGTGGCCATGTGGTACATCTATTAATATTCTGTGGAGCAGTGTTCTATGAGATACCAGTTTGGGAAATATTAGCTAGACCTGTGCTTTTCATTCCTAGCTCTATTACAGAATCGCCTGGGGGCTTAAAAAGTATATCAATTCTGGCCCACTGCCCAACATTTTTTAAATTGGTCTGGGGTGACATCCAGGTATTGGTATTATTTTCAAAGGCTCCCTTCCCTAGCCAAGTCTAATGTCCAGCCAGAGCTGAGAGCCACTGACAGAAGCCTCTCACTTATGCATCCCAATTATCCCCTTTCTAATGCATAGAGTCATAGTGAGTAAGAAAAAAAAAAAAAAGCTCTCCAAAGCTCTGATGTGTCTGAGAAAGAAGCTTTTCCTGGGGTCAGATCTGGATCTACTCACTGATCTTGGAGTTTTAGCTGATATGTGGATTTGCCTGTTCATGGACTTACTTCCTATCACACTTCCTTCTCCTTGGTGGTTGTCATTTTCAGCAGGAAGGGACAGGCTGCCTGCTCCACCCAGAACCTTTCCTGAAAACCTACACCTGCCACTATACCAACTTTATGTAAATGACTAATAGCGCTTCCTCACAAAAAATGATGAGAACCTCTGTTGTAGGTAAACATTCCAAGACTTTATCTACAATTTATGAAAGCCTTTCTCCCATTGAGCTGGCAGGTCCTGGAAGCCCCAGAAATGTCCATATCATTAGTGCAGTTTCCCTGGGAAGTGGGAGCTGGGGAAGAAGCCTGGGAGGTGGAGCCTCAGAAAGCTGTGTCTAATGCAGATTTCTAGCTTTAAATTTGTTCCTTGTGTCTGAGATTTTCTAGAGTTTTACTGGAAGAGAAAACCCATTTCTCCTCCCCTTTAAATAAGAAACAAAAATTTACTGATTAAGCAAGACCAAAGAGAAAAATGAGATGACTTTATAGACTCATTTTATAATATTCTAAACAAATGAGATTCATCTTATTTAAGAGTACAGGAGAAACAGGCATTTAATATTTATTGAGCATCTACAATGTGCTAGGATACATACAGGTTTTTTCATATTTCCATCTTATTTAATCCTGACACAACCCCTTGAGGTGATTCTTCTGTTCTCATTTTTGTGACTGTGGAAAGGGAAGCCCAAAGGGGTTAAGGTGTTGCCTACAGTGGGACGTGAGACAGAGCTGGGACTTGAACCCACGTCTAGTGATGGTGATGGCCAAACCAGAGCCAGATGAGCCAGTTCCCCACCTCTGCAGCGCTCACCACGAGAAAAAGAATGTGAAAAACTCCAGCCTGAGATCAGTGACCTGTTGAGAGCTCAGGTTTTTCATCCGGCCTGCATCGTGACTCTCAGTGTATTTCATATCATCTCCAAAATAGTATCTGAATTTTATACGCATATTCTCTTCAATGTTCTACTCTGGGCTTTGAAACAGAAGAAGGGTTAATGCTGTGGTGAAATGTGGCCTGTCCTGCTCCCTGGGTTCTTCTTTCATTACTCAAAAAATACGTAGGTTTCAGGGTAGACTCTTATAATGGTAACAACATGAGCTTTGGATTAGACCTGGATTTAAATCTTATACTGTGATTACTAATTCTGTGACCTTCCGTGACTTATTTTACCTCCTTAGGCTTCAGTCTTTTCATCCATAAAATGAGGTAATAATAACATTTGTCTCATAGAGTTGTGAATAAACAAGATTATAACTCAGGTCTCCTGAATTTACTTTCCATTAGACGCATATACCCAAACATGTAAAAGATCGAAATGTTTCACAGCTTTCCAAGGCTTATCATCTGTGAAGCTCAGGTAGATTTGCAAGTTCGGGTTTATTTATCAATTCATTAATTCAGTCATCAATGTATTGCTTTAGTCATTCAACAAATGTTTTATTGAGTGCCTACTATGTGTCAGGCATTTTGTTAGTCACCGGAGATAATAGCAATTTTCAAGTAGCTTAGAGTCTAACTAAGGCAAATCTGACTGTATCATTATTTATACCCATTAGAGGTTCACAGGAATGATATTCACTCACTAATTTGTTAATGCGAGTCTGCAGAATTAACATGCATGTAATAGTATTCAATCTAAGTTAATATGTTTGCCCATTGTTGATTATCATAACTGTTAGTTATAGTTAATTTCCAATCTGTCTAGCTCTCTGGAAAAGCAAAAAGCACCTTCCCTCCATTTTGCTGCTCTGAACTGGGAAAGAGCAGATGCCCAGGTGAATGGCAGTGAAGAACGTATATTCAGTGAGCTCTTACAAATCAAACTGTTTGCCCTGAATTAGGCTCAAGTCCACAACTAATGACAACTAATGTATGGATTCCTGGCATTGAAGCATTTGGAGTTTAACTGTTTGTTGTCATTGAAAGTGAATGCCTTTCCAACATGTAGCCTGAAGTGCTGAGAGGGCAGATCCTCAGCTAGGACCGAATGTCAGTAATTTAATCATTTATTTTTTCTTGTCTGTTTTATGACATGTTCTTTTCAGAGCATTCCCTAGTTGCTTTGATTCACATATACATTCCATCAATATTAATTTTCTGTGTTATAGTAACAACAAAAGAGTAAAACCAGAAAGAGGAAAACCTTATTTTTCCCTATGAATAGCCCAGGTCCACATGAAGGAGAAATTAGAGTAGACAGGTGGCACTGCAGCCTGTTATTCAAGGCCCAGGCAACCCTGACTAGTTCCTTCGTTCTCTCCTTTGCTTTTTTCTGAGGAAGAAAAATCAGCCTGAAGAGTCAAGCAGAATGACGAACTTTTTAAGGGCAAGATAATTCACAGGATCAGTTAGTGATAGAGTAACTTTGGGGACTTGCTTTGCATTTAGAATACCCACCCTATATGGCATGTTAGTCCTAGCAGAGAGAGGCTTGCTTCCACACCAAAAGCCCTAATTCACTTTCCACGGAGGCCCTCCCCATCCCTCAGCAGCACTTCCCTTTATCAGGCAGATAAGATTGGGGGGGCCAACATCTATCTTGTATGCATCCTATGACACTGCAGATGAAAACTACCTGCCCTGGTGTGGTGTCACATTTTTTACATTTGATTTTTATGGATGAAAGCATTGCTTCATCTGATACTTATAAAATACCACATTTGCCACTGAGAGGCTTCTGTGTCCAAATATCTGCCCCGCCCCCCATGTCTAATCTTGATCTTCACAGCTGAGGCCCATCTGGATC
This sequence comes from Homo sapiens, assembly GCF_000001405.40. NCBI lineage: Eukaryota > Metazoa > Chordata > Mammalia > Primates > Hominidae > Homo > Homo sapiens. Next base: position 177,754,003 of record NC_000002.12, read on the forward strand.
ATCCTCCTTTCCAGCTGACAGTGAGAGAGCCAATGAAATGCCTTTTCCTGTTGCTGGGTGACTGCGAATATTTTGAAAACAAGTTCCTTAAAGGCAGCAGCTTCAAAGCCTGCCATTGGCTGGCTAGGCATACTGTGCAATGCTGACGCATGAAGGCTGGCAGAGGAGTGACAGTTGGGAAGAGCTACGCAAATATATTACTGGCCTGATGGTCCACTGGAGGGAAAGACTATTTCAAGGCTGAGTGACAACTATAACATACCCTGTCAGAAGAAAAATAAATCTCCCTGAGTCTACATTCAGGCATCTGAAGAACATTGCAGAAAATACTGCAGACAAAAAAAATGCAAAAACAAAAAACAAAAAACAAAAAAACTCAAGGTTGTCCTACCCTCAGATCTCCTGCTTTTTATGGTCTGATGAGCAGTTCTTCCTGTTCAAGAAATATATGGGTATTTCCACATACTTTGGTAGAATTTGTGTTCATACATTTTAAAGCCCAAGCTTGTTTATTTGGAAAATAATTTTCAACAAAGTCATGGAAGATTTTCTTTGCTTCCTTGTCTCCAGCGTCCCTTCCTTCACCTTCCTCCCCTGACCTTCAAGTCCAAAAATCCAGCAGGCACAGTATGCGGTCAGTGTCAGGGGCAGCATTGGCTGCATTTTATCTCACTCTGTCCACTTAAAATATTTGCATCCTGGTGGGAGGATAAGCACAGTCCTGTCTAAACAGCCTTGGGGTTCAGCTTTGCAGCTGGAGAGAGCTGTTTGGATACAAGTAACTGCTTTTGCTAACACCGGGTTAACTGTTCACACACAAATCTGCCAACGAGCCTCTAGGAAGGAATGTCCTTCTACTAATTGAATTCTAATGAGGCCAGGAAGTAGATTAGGAATTGAGCTATTTTACTATGAGTTTCAAATATCAGATCTAGGGATGTTTGGCCTGTCTGATCTCCTTAATTCTCCAGCAGGTCCCAATAAATTCATGAAGAAATGACTAGAAGAAATCTGTGGGTTATTGGTTGATCCAGTTGCAGGGGGCTTTTCTATATATCAGAGACTACAGTGTTCAAACACAAGAGAAAGAGGCTGATCTGAGATGACCTGATGGGCTAGTCATTAGTGAGGAGTTCCTGGACCAATTTAATTGGCATGTCCCTGGAAGTTATATTTATTTGCCTTATAATATTTGGGTAAGTTTGAGAGCCAAATCAGGGTGAGCATCAGTGGGGTCACCCCTGATTCTACTTAGTTGTGGAAATAGAAATGCTTTAAGGACATAGTAGAACATTCTTTTCAATAATGCTATATAGCCAACATCACTTGTGGAACCACTTCAGCAGACAGAGCGATCACTTGTGGGTGTCACCCAGTTTCTAGACATTACGAAGAGGCTCTTGTGAGCATCTTGCCTGTATCCCAGGAAATGCCTGCCTGCCATAAAAGAGGGCATGGGGTCATGCAAAAGTTACCTGCATGTACTGTGAAGGACAGCTATGATACCATCCACCAGGTACCTCTTTCCTTTCTAGAACTGGCCCTCCTTCTGCTGCGACCCCATGTTTCCACCTGGATTTGATTTTTCCAACTGACACACTTTCCTAAGCACACACTCCTCATCACAGTTGACTGGTCCAGGGATGGACAGGGGAACCAAGTGGGCCAAGCGGACCAATCAGAAAATGTCCCTGATATTTTCCAAACTGGAACTTGGGACTCCATAGTTCCCTTCTAGAAGGGGTTGCTGAAAGATGAGAAACCCAGGCTCTGCCAGAGGCCACTTTTACCCCTTTGTAGAGCAAGCCAGTCTGCAGTGAGTACCCAAGGGCTCCATGTGCAATGTGAGGCTTTTCATATTTGGCCCAAGGGGCCACCTGGGTGCTTAGTGGAGAGTCACAGCAGCCAGCCCCAGGAATCACCAAGTGGCTCTGAGGGTAGCAGATGGTTTTGCAGGAGCCCATTCTGTGGGGCAGGGTTTCCTTTTGGTGTGCACTACGCTCTCATTTGTAACACTTCCTGGGAAGACTTTGGGCTTTTACATACTATATAGAGGAAGGAGATTTTACATCTGGGACCTTGGGGCCATTTCAACCCTGCCTTCCCACTAATGAATTTACCACACAATAAGAGAAAGAGTTCCTGTTGGGAGAGAAGCTTGTTTGCACCCCAGGTCAGACAGGGCCACTGCTAACACTAGAATAGTGGGCCCCTGGTCTTTCAGGGGTTATCAAAATAACCAGCTTTTGCCCTCACACACAACTCCTCAGAGAACCGGAGTAAAGCTGTTTTCAAGAAGACCACTGATGGTTTAAAAGATATTTCAGGCAGAAGCATAAATTTCTTCATGGTTTTAAAGGGAAAGAAATTCCCTTTAAATTCATATTGGAGAAATGTCATCACAGAAAGCCTCTCACTCTCTTCTCGTTCATTTCTGAATTCTAAATCTTTTCTGTTGGTGGTGAGGGGAAGAGTAAAAAGTGGTTTTCCTCAAAAGCCAGCTTCAGTGGTTTACGGAGTTGTTTGACAAACTTAAGCCCAAGTGTTGAGGACGGCCACCTGTTCCCACAGAAATCACAAAGCTTGGTTTTCACAGAACTCGTCTCCATCTCCAGGAAGGCCAGAGGTGAATTATAGTATGTGTTAGGAAAATGAACCTAGTAGCAAGAGGAATGGGATCACTCAGCACAGGAATTGTTTGAAATTTGCCCTTTGGAGAAAATAAGTGCTGTTAGCGCCCACAAACATGTCCCTTGAAGTTGATATTCTAGAATGTTGAAGGCTAAGGAATCATACCTGCTCAAGCAATGGGGCTGGATTACTTTTCAAACTATGTAACCTTAAAACAAACAAACGAACACATAAACAAACCAAAACATTCTTAGCAAGGTCTGTTGAAACCTGAACCCATCTATCGAGAAAGTAAACCAAGATTATTCAAGGGCTCACAATCAGACGATAAGGAGGGTCAAGCCAAGACGAGAAGAATCTCAAACAAAACGCATTCCATGACATTTCAAAAAGGATCTTACAAATTCAGCATGCCCACCCATATCTCAATTTCTTAATGTGTGCAATGTAGTTACCTGGGCGTTTCTCTTTGTACCTCAGTTTTATCATCTGTAAAATAAGAAAAATAATAGTAGGGTTTTTGTGAAGACTAAATAAATTAATACAGGTAAGGCACCAAAAACTGGCCTGGCAGCTGGTAAAATGTTCAGTAAATGTTTATTTTCCAGATGACTGTCACATGGAGTAGACTGAGCATATACTGGGGCCCAAGAAAAGGGCCTCAGCAGCATGAACCAAGGTCTCCAAACTGGCAGTGTAACATCTCTCTTAGCTGCCTGATCCTTAAATGGGATAGAGCCGCTGATGCCTCCTTCAGAGGCTTGCTGTTAACATTCAATGAAATAAGAGCTATGAAAGCACTTAGAATCAGCAAAAATGCTGTGGTTATCATAGCATTTGTCTTAGTGAACAGCAATATTTGAAAATGTATAATGATTGGTATCATGTTATCCTACAGAAAGCCCAGGAAATGTATTTTAAAGTCCGTCCACTTGTAGATGCTTAACAACAGAACAGTATTTAAGCCTCTTATCCCTGGATAGGTTGAACAGAGCCTCGCTGTAAGTTCTTACCAGCCCTTCTCAGACTCTCACCTTTCGTGGGTGTGGATTTGATTATAGTGAGTGTAAAGAAGTACCTGTGGATGCTGCTCTGGGAAGGCTTTCAGAGCCAGTATGAGGCCAGATGCTGGGGCCCCCAGCCTGGGGGGATGAGGTGAAATCTGTTTTGAACTTAGATCCCTTCTACCATGTGGTCTTATAGAAACGATTCTAGAGTTTTCTGTTACAGTGGGACTGTAACAGACTTGCAGTTTTTATTAAAATTCTGACTTGTTCACAGCCTAATTCCTTTTAGTCTCAATGAAATGCTTTAGGCCCTGGATGGAAACATCATCCTGAATTACATGACAGTCTTAGAATATTCTCTGTGGAGGCAAGGCACGGTGGCTCACTCCTGTAATCCTGTAATCCCAGCACTTTCGGAGGCCGAAGTGGGTGGATCACAAGGTCAGGAGATCGAGACCATCCTGGCTAACACGGTGAAACCCCATCTCTACTAAAAAAAAAAAAAAATTAGCCAGGCATGGTGGCAGGCGCCTGTAGTCCCAGCTACTCGGGAGGCTGAGGCAGGAGAATAGCATGAACCCGGGATGCGGAGCTTGCAGTGAGCCGAGATGGCGCCATTGCACTCCAGCCTGGGTGAGAGTGCAAGACTCCGTCTCAAAAAAAAAAAAAAAAAAAAAAAGAATATTCAAAGAACATTCTCTGTGGCTATCAAATCCAAAGACAGAAAAATCCTGCACAGATGTTGTGTATTGACTATAGATGTTCTGATATCTGGCTAAGGTGGTGTCTTTGTGAACGTTATGAATTGCTTCTAGGGAAGCGAAAAGCACCTCAACAGAGCTACCATTTCACCAACATGCAGTATTCTGGGGAAAAGGAAGAGAAGGAGTGCCTGATGGCTCTATCAGCTCTGGCAAGGAAATGAATGCATTGAAGGAATAGAGTGCAGGCACACAGACAGCGAGGCTCAAATCTCCTGGCTGCATGCATGCTGCAATTACACACCACAATAAAAAGAATTAATGTAGCATCTGACCTGCTGACCTCCAGATGCCTACTGCACCACCTCATCAACAATCCCCAGACCTCCACGGTGCCTCCTTGGCCACCCGCCGGCTGCCTCACTGGGATACAGCAAGCACAAGGGCCTTACACAGGCTTTGTTCTTAAGGCTAAACCAAAGGGGAGAGTCCCCCAGTCCCTCCACCTCGTGCCTGGGCAAATGAATAAGCTGTCCATGTCACTAACATATTCCAGGTCATGCGTACACACAAACATTATTATATCTCGATATTACTTTTAAATTACTGTCTCTGGGGTTTTAGCCATTTTCCTAGAAATGTGGCTCAGCAAATCCTTACGTGGAGCAAGGATGGCACCCAGTGGCCAAAGTGCTTCATCTCAGACCCTGTTTTCTCAGGGATTTTCCATTTGCTTCTCTCTTTGGAGACAATGAATTGCCATGAGATCCTTTTGTAAAGCCAGAGTTGAAACTCCAAATCATATGACTATCCCGTTAAGTTGGAGCACGTGCACACACACACACACACACACACACACACGCACACACAAATGGAAACAGTATCAGGAGCTAATTCAGAATAGCTAAAATTTCTGAAAAATCTTTAAAATTTACCTTGAGAGTTTTATGTTAAAATCATCATATTTCAGATGTGCAGATTACCATCCATGATGTTCCCAATATCAAGTATCACTATAGGAAATATTATAAAAAATGCAAGCCCAGTCTCACATTCTTCACTTCATATTCCCCCAAATAGTCTCTAGTTCATAAGTGCTCATGCCTTAAACATAAGACTTTATCACCTGACAAGTGCTTTATCATGAAACTGATGTTTGCAATCTCATATCCTTGTTATCTTTCGTACAAGGTACTTGGCAGGCCTGGAGAGCACAGGATAATAGAGTGGGACTACTCTTTTTCCTTTGAGCTTTCCAGATGTCAAGAGATTTTGATACAGCTAGATAGCCAATCAGACTGTAAGGAAGACAGGCGAGATGTCAGAATAATGAACCATATACTCTCTTGCTAAGAATGATGCAATGTCTCCATAATGTTTCTGTTTCCAATTTCCTTAGGTTCCCAAGTAATCTAAAACCCCAGGGCAAAAAGTCACATGGATAGTACAACCACAATACAAAAAGAAGTTTCTAATAAAACAACATTACGTATTAATTGCCCAAAGAGTACCATAAACAGTCTTACTAAAAGTCAATATGTTGAGTTCAGCCAACAATTCTGTCTTTCTCAGACGTCATTACCATTCATGCTTATTTGACCCCCAAAATGTCAAAATGCCACCAAGATTTCAAGAATAATAGCTGAATCAAAAGAAATGACTTAAAAATGAAACTCCATGACATTGCTTCCATTTTCCTACTCCGCCACTTGAAGAACAGCATTGTCTTCAGGAACAGACAAAACATTGCAGAAGAAAAACCAAAGCAGAGGGGTTCCATTTTTCTTGCTGGTTCTTTGATCCTTAGTTGCCTTCTACATAAAATGGAGATATGCTAACCCTGCCCTCACCAAGACTTTGTGAGCCTCAAGTGAGATAATGGACATGTACCTGTTTTTATACACTGCAATTTCTTAGTACTTAAGACATTTTTCTTATTTAAACATTTATAGGTAGCATTAGTGTATAGTTTTTATACTGATGAGATTGAGACTCTTGTTTTACCCACGTAATCACACATCTTCCTCATGAGTATTATTATATTATATTACCTTTCAAATATAATATAGTCATGGGGGCTTTGGAAATTACTTATATGTAATTAAATCAAGCTGAGCTATCTTGAACAGAGCTTGAATTAAAAAATTTGAGTATGCGAAAATCATAAAAACCCCTAAATGTTTTGTCAACATTTATGTTGTTTTATGTTTTATTTTCCCCTTTCTTCCTAGAGATAAATTTTATAGGTTCATAAAATTATAGCATTTTTTAGCTAGAGATGGCTTTGTTTTGCAGATGAGGAAACCTGGAGCCTAGAAATTGAAATTAACCAAAAGGTCTGGTGGTTACTTTGTCTTTTTATACACTTGCTTGCTCTTGTCTTACTGTGTCCATGGTCTTACAAAGACTGTTAAAAGGGCAGATCTGGCTACAGAGACTGCAGAAAACCCTTCAGCCAGACATTGTCTCCTAACTTCCTATTTCATAGGGTGTCTTGAGACCAAGAGAATTATGATTCACAAACACTTAAAAGATTTTGGATGAATCCATTTCCAAATGAGGAAAAATAGGAAGAACAGCCAAACCAGAGCATGATTTCAAAAACAGGAAAGACAGACTATAGAACTATATAAAATAGTAAATACAAATACAAATAACAAAGCATTAGGTGTTTTGAAGGTCAAAAAAATAGGTTTAAAAAAATTTAGTCAGCAGGGTGGTGGTAGGAGGATACATGAATGAAGAAACGTATTTAGTAGTAAAGAGATTGCTGAATCAACTAAGAGTTAAAGGGCAAGGGGCTTTTGCCTCCAGCGGGGAAGAGAGACACTATCATTACAGCACACTCCAAAGAGGATAGGAGTACCTATCCTAAACAAAGAAAACGAATCCCTTTATTTTCATATAGTTTAGGGTGCACAGGACAACAACCAGGAACATAAAAACAAGGGGTTTCAAACAGCATAAAGCAAGGATTGGGGTGAAATTGTCAGAAATTTCCATCGTCATAGGTCCCTGCTTCAAAATTCCACCCAAGCATTATAAGTTCTTTTGCCATAAAAATGGCGAACATTTCAAGGAATTTGGTCACAAGGTAGAAATTTCTCCAGCACCCAGGTGCAAGGCATGGCTTTAGGTGATATAAGGGTTACCAAATGAGTAAGTCAAGGATTCTCTCCTAAAAATGCAACTGCTTTAATCATTTGAGTAGACAGGTGCACCAAGATTTATATTGCAAGGTAGAAAGTGATGAATATGGTAGGAAGAAAGGCAAATGAGAAGGTCACTTTTGACTGAAGGACAGCAGGAATGACTTCATGGAGAAAGGGGCAGTTGAGAAGGGTCAGGTAGATTGTTAGCGATTTATATATACAGATAGGGAGAAGGATGGGTGCAAACATATAAAAGGACAGGGAATGGGCAGAAAACACCAAGTAGAACTATTTGGTTAAGGATAGCTCAGTGGGAGCATGGGAAACAGGCTGGAAAAGTGAGCTGAAAGTTAGAGTTTGGAATACTTTTAATGTCCAATTAAATAATTCGAATTGAAAGAATCTAGAGGCTTCTAGAAGATACTAAACTTTGTGAGCTGGAACCTACACCAACAGAAGAGTTCATCTGTTCATCTGTTAGCTGTGCACAGGATGGATCTCGGATAGGGTCAACAGCAGGAGGCGGGAACCCAGCTAGGAAAGCAGTGTACAATAATGGCCTGCCTGAAGGAGAATGAGGATCTGAACTAGTGAGGGCTGTGAGGATGGACAGGAGCAGGAGATGTTTGGAAGGCAGAATGGACGGGACTGCATGTGGGGGCGGGCAGTGATGAGGACCCCATGATGACTGTACAATGATAGCCAAAGTGTGCAACTGGAGATTGAGGGCTACAGAAGCCCAACAGCCAGGAGGTCGTAGCTCTGTGCACACTGAACGAACAGTAGAGGGAAGGCCACCCATTGTGATGGCTAACCCAAGCCCCTCTCACTGAAGTGAGGGACTACGTGTTCTTCATTTCCTGGCGTCACAGCTAGAGTTATCAATGGATCTAATTAGAGGAAAACTAAAAAGAAGATAAAGTGATACAGTCCCAGATGCGCTAGTGTTCTGGAAGGTTCTGATGACTTTAACCTCTCCAGTTCCCTTCACAGTTCAGGAGTCAGGGATCTCACTGGGCCACACTGTTGCTCTCCACTGGACCTTCAGGACTTGTCGCCGCTTTGTTCCTAGCGCTCTGAAACAAAAATGAGCCCTCCTTTGTTTCACTGCCTCAAGTTCAGACTTCCTGCGCCTTCCCGTGTGACACTTAGGGAATGCAGTGAATTCTGCTGTGCTAACATGGGGGAGGGAGAAGGTGGGAGAAAATCCTCCAGGCCCGCTCTTCCTCCCAGGGAAAGGAGATGCTCACAGTGATCTTCTGGGGAGAGTGTCCTCGCTTTGTTTTCAAATAGAAAGAAGTGACAAATAGTGGCTGCTGAAGTTGATGTGAGGGGAGGTCAGGGTCACCACAGGATGTATTTTGGTCAGGCGGGTCCTTGAAGGGCCCTCAATACCTAGCCGCTTAGCTCAGCAGGAGGGAAGACGAGCCTGGGCTTGCAGATCTGGTTCCCCTCATGCTCAGCACCCACTCCCCCGCCCTCCGCCACTATCTTCAATACTCAAGAGTGACAAAGTACAACCATCCTTTTTCTGATGTGGCATTTGATTAAGACACAATTCATACAGACAGCCGGACATTTGAACGCGAAGCACTCCGCATATTTATGGATGCGTCCTGAGCAGTGCAAGCCGCCCGGCTCGGCTGCTGCTTGTGAGCAGGAGATGCCCTTTAGGGTGCTGATGCAGCTGTTTCCTCTGCAGTCAATTTCCTGGTGAAGGTTCAATAACTTTCTCTGACGATAAAAAAAAAACTCGGATATTAAACTTGACATAAATACTATTTAAAGTCAAAACAACTTCCTAAATTCCAAAGGCGGGCACAGAAGAGGAGACAGCATAGGCTAGGTAACGAATTCCTTCTATATAGCTTCGAGGTAATCTTTTAAACAACCTTAGAAATGACCCGAGATGCACTGGAAAGCCACTGTTGGGATTTCAGAAGGTAGCATTTCAGGAAGGCCATGAGAACTGAGACTGTAGATAAACAAGACAAAGCTCCTGCCCTCTTTCTGGTACCCAGAAGTCCTGCTTTATCCCCGGCTGTGGAGGAGCCTCTATGGGTCATCTGCCCTGAGGGGGAGGAGCTGGAGGTGCCCCTACCGATGGGGTGGGTAGTAAGCTCCCGGCCTCTGCCACCCCGCTGCTGTCCATGGGACTCAGGTCTACCCCTCTTCCTCTTCGGCGTTCTCTGTGTCGCCTGAGTTTGGGTAAATGCCATGGTGTTACCCTCTGTCTGCATAGTGCACTCCGCCTCTGCAAGGGGCTGCTGCAAGAATTGGGCTCTTCCAGGGCTTCGGAAATTGATTGCACAGGGCGGTGGCTAGCGCGTGTAGTGCCTTTGTGGCAATTGGAGAAAGGAGCGCCACCTGGTGGATCAACTACTAAAAGGCACTCCATGCACTTGGCCAGCCAAGAGAAGGGGGGCAGCCCTGCACCCGCCTGCTGTGCAAGGGGCCCTAGTGCAGGGCATAAGGCAGACACATCTCCTGGCATAGCTGTAAAGGCAGTCTTGAGGGCTGAAGCTTCTTATTATACACTATTTCATGGATTAAAGTGTCTTATCAAATCTAATTTTTTTTAAGCCTAGTAAATCACATCCTATTGCTCAGTCTGCAAAGGAGGTCATAAGATCCTATTTTTGATGCAGTCATTCTTATTTCAGTATATAAATGCCACAAGGAGTACCTATTCTTGGTACTTTATTTTATTTTATTTTATTTACTAGGATATTAATTTGTGGCCTAGTCATTAACATTGAAAACTTGAAATATGTATGAGGTAGTCCAAACCCAAACCCCAACCTGAGTTACTGGTGCTTAATTACTGAGGCAGTTACAGTGCTGTAAATGAGTTCATCTCTGATTGCAGCCGTAACCCATGCAGTGCTCAATTGAAGGAAGGGATGATACAAGGTGGCAATATAACACCACAACATCCATGAGTTGATTTTAATTGGTAAACTGGCAATATATAGTGAGAATTGTTTGGTCTGTCCACCGCATTGCAATTTAAGGAAAGTCCATAAAATTACAGGAGCATATAATTGGGGTACTAAACTCATTTTCTTATGTTATCACAGCTGGCATCTTTAGGTTATTGAAAGCCTTTAAACCAGCCATCTTCAAGGAGATGTAATTGTCAATGTGGTCTTTATACATTATTCCTGTTAGCACAGAGCTGCAGAGATAAAAACAGTCACTAAAATATGCACAAATTTTCTGTATATAACTTTCTTATTTCAAGTTCATGGAAGATCAGTAAATGTTAATGAGGATTAAAAACCATTTTTTAGATCCTGGTTTCCTCATTAGATGCACAGGGCAATCAACCCATAAAGGATAATTTATTGATACTACAACCTGAATCAGACTTTTGAAATAGTTAATTCATTAGTTCCAGGAAGTTCTGTGATCTTTTTGTGTATAGGTGAAGCTGCAAGAAAGACTGTTTCTTGAAGTATAAATGATATATCAGAATCAGGAAAAATAAACCCAAATTCTGACATTCTTGGATGAGTAATTATATGTTGTTTTATCTATTTATTCTGGCTGCACAGTCCAAGGACACTTCTAGAAAGGTTTTCACACTCTAATCCCATTCTCCCACCCATCACTACTACATGCTCCTCAAGGAAATTTTTCCCAACAGAAGTAATAGGGTTATCAGAACAAAACAGAACAACAACACTCTCCCTAACAAGGCATTCTAGAATAGGGGGAGAAAATCCCAAAACATAAAGGAGTATGAAACAGAAAGACCAGATATGAGGAAGGGTAAGATGGCATCAGCCTAGCATTAATGATTATTAAAAGATTCACTACAGGTTTATCTTATGTGAAATCAATCTTCCTTTAGGCCCCACAATCTCTGAGTACAAATGGTACAAACTAAGAGTAATTAATGGTGTATATATCACATTCTCCAATAGTACAGAGTCTCCATCTCTCCTACTTATTTTTGGGAGTCCTCAGGGTGTACCTTACCTGCCTTAAAATGTGACCACTGAGCCTGCATTGATTCCATCGATGCCATCAGCTTCTGCTGGTCACACAGGTAGGAAGGGGCCCTGCCACGGGTCCGTAGTGATGCTTCCTTCATTAGGCTGCTGCCTTCTGTTAGCACACTGACCCATTCTATCGGGAGCATTTGATGCACTGAAACCATACCAAAGCTCATGCCTTCTGTGTTTACTCACGTTCTGAGCTGAGAACATGGATCCATGGGAGGCTGAGGTGAGGGATAAATCCAAGGTACAAACTACATGCTGAACTTGGAATCATCTAGACACTGAGGTCCATGGCCTTAACTTTCATGAGGAAGAGTTCTTGACTCAGAAGGCCTGTTAGTCTCTCATGTAAATAACTACAACTAGCTTGTCTCCCAGACATTTCTGCATCCCAGATGTGGTGCAACTTGGGTTCCAACTGAAGTCTGTCATATTTACGTATGTAAAATTTGACCTCCAGATTTTTGTCAGCATTGGATGAATCAGTTTCTTCCCAAACTCTGGCTTAAGCTCTGAATCACTGATCACTAGTCTGGTCGGGTATAATCCAATACACTGGGACTCAGCCATCCTTTAACTCAGTGGTCTCCATGCTTTTTGGCGCCAGGGACCAGTTTCATGGAAGACAATTTTTCCATGGACCTGGGAGGGGTGGGGGTGTGGGAATGGTTTTGGAATAAAATTGTTCTACCTCATATCATCAGGCATTGGATTCTCATAAGGAGCACGCAACCTAGATCCCTCACATGTGCAGTTCACAATAGGGTTTGCACTCCTATGAGAATCTAATGCCACTGCTGATCTGACAGGAGGCGGAGCTCAGGTGGTAATATTTGCACGCCTGCTGCTCACCTCCTGCTGTGTGGCCTGGTACCAGTCCATGGGCTGGGTTAAGGACCCCTTCTTTAACTCATGAAATCTCACGGATAACTGATTCCAGACTTCAAATCATTGCACACTTAAAAAAACTTTTTTACAATCATGTTTGTTAAAAAAGTACTGCAGGTAGGAAGAATGACAATACACTTGAACGTAAACATGGTTTGTCATATATATTGGTCAAAACAAAGCATGTATTTACTATTATTTAGCTACAATGTTAGAAAACTGCCATTGCACATACTCCAGCCTGGAATTTCAGTAAACGCTTTTCACTGTCTATGTGCAGGATTATGTTAAGCCCACTACATTTTAATGTTATTGCTGCAGTTATAACAGACATCAACTACCAATTAGAATAATGTTTTATTTACTGTCTATATCAAGAAAAATCCCATTTTAAAATGGTTAAAATGATCTACTATATCTCAGTTACATTGTAATAGGATACTAGCTAATATCTGTCATGATAAAATCTGGAGTAAATCAGTTAAATTATTAATCTTGATAATTTTAAGATAAAATAACCCTTTGTTCTCAAATTTAAAAACTTCATATTTTAATATATTTGTGAGCTAACAATAGAAATGCATACCAAATTCCAGGACAATGTTTTCTTTAAGCAAAAAATTAAGCCTGAATGTTGGTGCCTTTAGAAAGTAAACAGCTAGGCCAGGCATGGTGGCTCATGCCTGTAATCCCAGAATTTCGGGAGGCTGAGGCAGGCAGACCACAAGGTCAGGAGTTCGGGACCAACCTGACCAACATGGTGAAACCCCGTCTCTACTAAAAATACAAAAATTAGCAGGGCATGGTGATGCGCGCCTGTAATCCCTGCTACTTGGGAGGCTGAAGCAGGAGAATCACTTGAACCCGGGAGGTGGAGGTTGCAGTAAGCTGAGACTGTGCCACTGCATTCCAGCCTGGGTGACAAAGAGCAAGACTCTGTCTCAAAAAAAAAAAGTAAACAACTATGGATTTTGGCCTGCTATATCTCTGGGCAGCTCTTGCAGTCATATCTAGTCATATGAGTCAAAGCTCATATTATCATCTTTGCTGTCTTTCTTCTTGCCTACCCCACCCTCTTTTAGCAATGATGATAATTATAACAACAGCAAAAATATAATATAAACATTACATTAGCATTTTAGCAGGAACTGGATATTTTCATAAATAGGATTCCTAAATAATTGAACTTTATTGGCTAACATTAAAAAGCTTAAATATTTTTGATGGAAAATGTATAAAATTTACATACATTAAGTAAAATTTATATGAAATATATAAAATAATTATATATTATCACCGTTTTAAAATTTTCTTAATGACCAACTGCTTCGAGTTCTAGAACCATTGGTGCTCTTCAGATGTATTTATTCATTCACTTTTCCATTCATTCATTCATCCATTCAACAAGTATCTATTGAGTGTTACTATGTCCCAAGGACCAAAAAAGGCAGGAGAGATACAGCAGTGAATAAAACACAATTAGTGCTGTCCTGATGGAGCTTGAGTTCAAGCTGGTATGCAGGATGTTTTCCTCTGCAACAAATGGGCCCTGACTGCTGTGGTTTTAGTTGTTCTGTCTCCTCCCTCTGCTGTCAGCTGTCACCTCTTGGTGGCACCCTATCTCTCCCTTTTTATCTGGGTTACAATTGCAGGTCTTTCCCCAAAGCATCTCTCTATGTCAATAATAGACCCTATCCTTGGATGGAGCCTGAGCAGTTCCTATGCTTGCAGTGTATGTGCTGCTTCCGGCCCTTGCGAGGAGTTCTTTTATCCCTACTCTCAGTGTTTGGAACAAACATCTTCCTTTGCTCCCTTTCATCATTCATGCGCTTGTGTTTGGAACAAACATCTTCCTTTGCTCCCTTTCATCATTCATGCGCTTGTGTTTGGAACAAACATCTTCCTTTGCTCCCTTTTGTCATTCAAGTGCTCAGTTCTAATGATCTGATTCAATTCTTAGGCCCAATGGTCTCTGCACCATATATATGCAAATGGGACTCTTAGAAAAGTGTCCATCACCAAGTGATATTACATTCTAATATTGCAGTATAAAACATGATCTTTCTCATCACTGTGGTAGCTTTTCCTGATAATTTTCTGAACTGCCACCTAAATATAAAAAGGCAGGCACCAAAACTTTCAAAAGGAAAGGAAATCAATTTCCCTTTACTCCCGTGTTTTGCTCATTGCTAAAACTGCCTGGTAGGAGTGCAGGGACACAAGCAGGAATTCTGAATTGCACTTAAGGAAATGGTAGTAACTAAGGTGATAAGGAATATCTAACACTCATTCATAGACTCATCAGATGTTGGAGTTGAAAGGGGATCACTCTGTGCGGTAGTGAAGCATGGTGGTTAAGAACTCCAGTTCTGGGACCAGATTGTCATACGTCTTACAATTGTTTGACCTTGGCCTGGCATCTCCATGCTTCAATTTATTCATCTGTAAAATAGTATGTTTTTCACAGGATTGTGAGGATTAAATGAATTAATGCAGGTAAAACGCTTGGTAGTGTGTCTGGCACACAGCAAGCACTTAGTGTTAGCTATTATTATCCCAATCTCGTCACATATTTTTACAGATGGAAATACAGCCCTAAGCTTTTAACTGAACAGCAAGTTAGAGGTAAAACTGATGCCAAAACCGGGTGTCCTGATTCTCACCATATTATAGACTTTTTTTTCCCTGATATCGTGCTTTCTTAATAAATGGGAAGAAATACTGAATCATGTACATGATTATAAAATGACTACTCAGTTATACAAAAGTCCTTCTTCCCCTCTAAAACAGAAATATAAAAATACACCTTTGCCCAGTGCTAGTCCTCCAGCTCCCAATGGGCAGGATTAATTCTCTAGAGGCATGTGACAGAGCTCAGGAGGCCAGGAGAAGTTTAACTGTATGCACTAATAAGGAAACCATTTTCTTCCTTACCTTAAACTTGTCAACTTCAGCTTTTGAACATGTTGCATGGTATGATAGCACCTGATTCAGAAGAAAAAAAAATAATTTTAATAACTAGACATGACTGTATTTTCTGAAATTCTCCTGGCTTAAAAATAAGCTTTGCTTATGTATATCACCTTGATTTAAAGGTGGACTTTAATGTATGACAAGAAACAACATGTCTAATAACATTCTCTGACATAATTCACATATTAAAGAATATTTTATACCGGGATTTTTCTATGGGTAGTTATGTCATCAAAAGGACAATGGCCAGGTGCAGTGCTTCGCGCCTGTAATCCCAGCATTTGGGAGGGCAAGATGGGCAGATCACTTGAGCCCAGGAATTTGAGACCAGCCTGGGCAACATGGCGAAACCTTGTCTCTACAAAAAATTCAAAAACTAGCTGGGCATGGTGGTGTGTGTCTGTAGTCCCAGCTATTCAGGGAGGCTGAGATGGGAGGATCACCTGAGCCCAGGAGGTCGAGGCTGCAGTGAGCTGAGATCATGCCACTGCACTCCAGCCTGGGCGACAGAGTAAGACCCTATCAAAAAAAAAAAAAAAAAAAAAAAGGCATGCTGTGGCTCAAAACTGTAGTTCCCAAAGGATGTGAATACTTGTCCTGTGAAATGCTCTACAAGCAAATGAAAAGCTAGAGCATGTGTGTGCGATCTGTAGCAAACACTGTAGGTTGATGACTCAACTTCCATTTCCTCACCTATTCTCATTTGCCTGCTTTTATTATATTAGGAAAGATTATATTGATATATATCTGTGACCCCTTTTGTAAGAGGATTGTGCTTCCCTGCCCTATTGACATCAGCATTGGCATATGACTTCTTTTGGTCAATGGGAAAAGTAACAAATGCCCTTTTGAGTGTGTCTTCAACAGCAATCACATAGTTCTGCCACCTCCTTTTTCCCTCCACCAAGGGAAGGGCATGGCCTGAGAGGGGCCGATCCTTCAGTCTGAGCCCCCAAATAAAGAAGATATATTGAGTAGAACTGCAGCCAACCTGCAGCTGATGGCATGTCATTTGAGTGAGAATCAACTTTTGCAATTTATCTACATCATAACTCACTGACACAGAGGCTTAAAAGTTAAAAACCCCAATTCGCAGGCTCCCTGCAGCTGGGGTGGTCCTATAGGGTGGCCTTTATGACACGGCCTTGGTCAATGAATTATAAGTGGGAGTGTCGGCGCTGCTTCTTTCTTTTTCTTCCTTCATGGAATACAGCTGTAAAGCCTGGAGGTGCAGCAAAATCTGGTGTGTATGAGGTGACAAGCATGGCAGTGAATGCCAGCTTGCTGTGAACAGAACAGAAAGGGAAAGAGAAAGGACCCTGGGCTCCCCTGCCCCAGAATTCTTGTTGTGTGAGACAAATAAATGCACATTGGTGGCATTTTATAAGGCATATTTACAGACATATACACACTCACACATAAATAGCATATGTATGTTATATGTTTTATGCTGCCAGACACATGTTTGTTGTGGTTTTGTTTTTGAGACAGGTCTCACTCTATTGCACAGGCTAGAGTGCAGTAGTGTGATCATAGCTCACTGAAGCCTTGACCTCCTGAGCTCAAGCGATTCTCTCACCTCAGCATCCCAAGTAGCTGCGACCACAGGCATACACCACTATGCTCAACTAATTTTTGTATTGTTTTGTAGAGACAGGTGTCTCATCATGTTTTCCAGGCTGGTCTGAAACTCCTGGGTTCAAGCGATCCTCCCGCCTCAGCCTCCCAAAGTGCTGGGATTATAGGCATGAGCCTTCGCACCCAGCCTACATTCTTAATCTACACAAATCTCAAACAAATAAGTCTGGGAAATGCTAACTCCTTCTTCACCTACAAACCTTAGAGAATCACAGTGCATATTTGGCTGCAAAAAGTAAAGTAACATGCTTTATTTCATTAAACTTAGTATTTCCCAAATTTAATTAGCCACAGAACTCCCTTTTAGGTAACATTAAACTGGTAACATTCAACCTAATAACCTATTGACCAAGAACTTTGAGAAGCACTGACCTATGGCACATACCATTTGTGTGATACAAGCAAAGCCACAATGGAAGCAGTGTCTCAGGGTGGTTAGAACACAGCCTTCAGAGTCAGGCTGCCACGCCTCCACTTCCGAGCCCTGGGAGCTTGGGCAAGTGGTTTAATCTCTTTGGGTCTCATTTATAAGGTGGTATAACATAATACTACACAGGCATCTCCTGCTTAACGTAGAGGCTCCTCCTGAAAACACTAACAAGGAGTCTACTTTTAATTATTTTTAATTGGAAAAAAATTACAGTGTATTATAAGATCTGCAGCAACTTCTTAAAACTCAACTAAAGCACAGTAAAATTCATAGGTATATTTAAAACAAAAAATACAGTTATGTTATAGTTACTTAAAATGTTACTTTCTGTGGGAGGCTGAGGCGGGCAGATCACCTGAGGTGAGGAGTTCAATACCAGCCTGGCCAACATGATGAAACCCCACCTCTACAAAAATAGAAAAATTAGCTGGGCATGATGATGGGTGCCTGTAATCCCAGCTACTTGGGAGGCTGAGGCGGGAGAATCGCTTGAACCCGGGAGGCGGAGGTTGCAGTGAGCCGAGATCGTGCCATTGCACTACAGTCTGGGTGACAGAGTGAGACTCTGTCTCAATAAATAAATAAATAAATAAATAAATAAAAATAATGCTACTTTCTGATCATAACTAATATAGTTATTAACAAAAAGTTTCTTTGTGTTAAGTAATACTTTCTCTTCCATTGTAGACTTTTTTTTACTGAGTTTACTTGTTTTTCCATAGTTTTCTCAATCCTTTTTTATCTTTGGGAGGGGACTCAGAAAAATGTTGTATTGAGAGATAAATATGTTCTATGAGGTTTGGTTATTAAAAATAAAGATATATTCTACTGGGAAATTTTAACCAAGGAAATATTCTATGGAGTGGGCCTGTACTTTACAGAGTTCTTAGGAAGATTAAATGCAATACTACATGTAAAATAATGTGGCACACAAATAGCCAACTTATAGGTATTGTATTAATATTCAATTAAAATTCTACCAAATAAATATTTGGCTGGATATTATGTTATGTCATTATCTTATCTTAAAATATCAATAGGTATTTCAGTGCACAGATGAATTGATTTTGCTCTTTTGTTTCAGTTTTACTGTGGTAAAATTTAATTTGGCTGTCATTTTATTAGAATTTCTTACTGTTTTCAAGTCTATTTCTGCAGATTCACTCTTCAAACTTTACCTTTAAAAAATAACCCACAAAAACTCAAGCTGCAATTCAAAATCTATGCCACCAGGTGGTGCTTAGTTAGGTTTGTTTAAATCAACTCTTCCCACTTCCTTTATTTAAAAAAAAAAAAAAGCTATTTACTCCACTAAATTGAAACAATTTGAAACAGTGAAGCAGACAATTATTACAGATTAAGACTTTTGCTCATTTAAAATTACAATAGTTTGTTTTGTTTGTTATTGAGTTGTAGGAGTTCTTTGTATATTTTGGATTCAAGTCCTCTGTCAGACATATGTTTCATAAATATTACCTCCAGTCTATGGCTTGTCTATTAATTTTCTTTTAATGTGTCTTTTAATAAACAGAAGTTTTAAATTTTGATAAAGTGTAATTTGTCAATTATTTAAATTGCTATCGTTTCACATATTATTTCTTTCTTTTTTTTTGAAGAGTCTCACTCTATCACTCAGGCTGGAGTACAGTGGCATGATTTCAGCTCACTGCAGCCTTGACCTCCCTGGCTCAAGTGATCCTCCCACCTCAGCCTCCCAAGTAGCTGGGATTACAGGAACACACCACCACGCCCAGGTAATTTTTTTATAGAAACAGGGTTTCACTATGTGGCCCAGGCTGGTCTTGAACTCCTGGATTCAAACAATTCTCCCTCCCAAAGTGTTGTGATTACAGGCATGAGCCACTGTGCTCAATCTCACATATCCTTTCTAAAATTTTTTTACTGCCCCCGAGTTGTGAATATATACCTCATGCTGTCTTCTACAAACTTTATAGTTTTATCTTTTATGTTTAGGTCTATGATACATCTGAAATTAAATGTATGTACAGTTAAAGAATAAGACCTTAACGAAATAAATACATGCTTTGGTTACTTTTTCATGATTCTTAAATTTCATGGGCCACATCTTAGACCTAAAGCTTTTTTGGATTGTATCCTGAGATTTTAAGCCTCTACTGGCTAATCTATTAAGTACATAGGAATTTATTTATTCTACCTAATTAGACAAAGTTAATGATAAGGAAGCTTCTGGTTTACCTTCTGGATCTTCTTGTTTCTGAGAGTTCCTGTTTGTAGGACTCCAAGAACCAGTAGAGGGGGGAGAGAAATGGTCTAGCTAAAGAATCTTTCAACTACCTTTTCCCAGAAGAGTACAATCCATGTTGGTGAGCAGGGAGGAATCATCGGCTAATAGGAGTACATTGTTCTGAAGGACTGGGCCCTATTGCTAAACCACAGTCCAGGAAGATGGTAGCATTGTTCCCTCTAAGAATCCGTAGAAAAACCAACAAGCCAGAGGAGTGGATTCCTTAAGATAAGAGACCCTTAAATCTTGCTTAAGAACTCTGATTTTCTTCTTTAAGCAGTTCCTTCTGTTTGGTCCCATAGGATTTTCTGGGATGCATTCAGAAAGATGGTGGTGCTTCAGTTTACCCTCAGTGTTTGCAGGTTTTACACACAGGGCACAGCGAGAACCCAGTAATATCTGTACCTCTTTCATGTATTGTATCAATTTAGCCATCATGCGATTCTGACTGGATGTAAATACACAACCAAGCTAAGTTTCTGCTTAGCTCCCAGCTTCTTGTTGAAAAGCCTGTGACCAAATGTATTTGCCTTGCTAATTTTAACAAGCATCTACACATGCTATTGTGGTCACATAGGACTTTTCCCCATCACCTATGGTCACTGGCCATATCCCATTTACTCCTCAATATGCCTCAGTTTTGGTTCTGCCCCCACCTCTCCACTGGAACAGCTCGTGTCAAGGCTTTCAATTTCTTGCCAACAAATCCATTGATGAATCTCCAATTGCCTTTTGCAGCAGTATTAAACTTGGGAGAGCACTCACTCCTATTTTGAAAAGTCTCCTTTCTGGGCTTCCATGACACCACATTATTTTGGTTTTCATCCTATTTCTTTGGCTGCTCTTTATGTTTTCTTTTTTGGCCCCTCATCCTCTACCTTAACTGTAAATGTGGAAGCTTCTAGGCTCAGTCTCTTCTTCAGTGATGCCATACACTCTCATGGCTTTATACACCATCGTTGTGTTGATAACTTTCAAATCTCTTTGAGTTTTGCACTCACATATTCGTCTGCCTACATTACTAACTTCCAACTTGGTCAATTCACTGGCTTTTCAAATTTAACACGTCTAAATAAACATGAAGATTTTCCCATATGTGATAGACAGAATAATGCTCCCCCACAAGATGTCCATGTCCTAATCACTGGAATCTGTGTATATGATATGTCACAAGGAGGAACTGAGGTTGCAGATGGAATTAAGATTGCTAATCTTGTCACCTTGAGATGGATTATCTTGGATTATCTGGCTTTGCTTCATGTAATCACAGGGGTCCTTATAAGTGAAAGAAGGAGACAGGAGAATGAGAGTGATGCAATGTAAGAAAGACTTGACTAGCCATTGCTAACTTTGAAATGGAAGGGGCCACGAGCACAGAATGCAGGTAGGTTTTCTGTGGAAAAGGCAAGGAAATGGATTGTCCCCTAGAGTCTCCAGAAGAATGTAGCCTTACATACATCTTGAATTTTGCCCAGTAAGACCCATTTCAGACATCTGACCTGAGGATTGTAAGATAATAAGTATGTGTTGTTTTAATCCACTAAGATCGTGGTAATTCGTTACAGCAGCCACAGGAAACTAATATACCACACAAACCCATTTCTCTCTCAGTCTTCCCCAGCTCTGTAAGTGCCACTCCATCCAATCAATTAGTATCAATTGGATACTAATCCAGTCTCCTTGGTACACATCAGCCAGAGTGATCTTTAAAAAGTAGAAATCAAATCATGCCATCTCCCAGCTGAAAAGTCACCAGTGGCTTCCCACTGCACTTTTGCTGTATTTCCTTCAATGGCATCCACAGATTGGTCACAAATCTCAGGTTCATGAGGTTAGGTCCAAAGCCTGGATCGTGACTGGACAGGTCCTGCACCATCTGACTGTTGGCACGTTCTCAAACTAAACTTCGTGCTGCCTGTGCTCTGTCTTCTACACACTTGGCCACACTCATTTTTGTTCATTTTTGTTCATTTATACACCAAGCGCTTTTCTACCTCAGAGCTTCCCTGTCCTCATCACCTCATTGGTATCATCTTCTGAAACTAAGTTAAATGTCACCCCTTCAGTGACTTATTCCCTGACCACCATGAGAAATCAGCCTCTGTTAACTCCATTATTCTCTGAGTTAAGTGGCTGTTTCCTTCATGCCACTTGCACAATTGGAGTTGCCTGTTATCTTATTCATCACCTGCCTCCCCTACTAGACTGTAAGCACTTTGAAGGCAAGGATTGGTCTAGTTTTGGTCATGAAGGTATATCCTATCCCTGGGAGTATGGTTGATACTTAGTTGGCACTTAGTAAATATTTAATGAATCAAGGAATAAAAAATAAAAACATTTTAAAACAGTATCTCCATTACCCATATGTCTCACTGTTTGTATTATTAATGGCCTGAATTAGTGTATTTTTTTCAATGAAATCATGATATGCCTTATATATGAGCATAAAGTAAGCAATGTAGGTAGGATCACCAGTTTTAGCAAATAAAAATAGAGGACACCCACAGTTAAACTTGAATTTCAGATCAGCAATAAATATTTTCACTATTTGTGTCATATGCATACTTAAAATTGATTTATGGTTTATCTGAAATTCAAATGTACTTAAGTGTCCTGTATTTTATCTGGCAACCCTCCTTCTACATGCTCCAAATTAAGAAGGCTAGAAACAAATCCGGAAAACGCTAAGCTACATGCCAAAATACTGTTTCTCCTTTCACCCCCACCTCACAACATCTCCCAATGACATTTCTTCCAAAATATTTTATCTGCTAAGCTTACCAAATGCCTCAAGTCTGAAATATTTTCAGCAATGCTACTATTATGAGGGGAATTGTGCCCCCCAATCCCCACCAATTCATTTATTGAATTTCTAATTCCCAGGACATCAGAATATGACTGTATTTGGAGACAGGGCCTTTGAAGAGGTACTTAAGGTAAAATGAGGTCATGTGGGATGTGGGTGTGTCCTAATCCAATATGACTGGGGTCCTTACAAGAAGAGGAGTTCGGAATATGAATAACAGAAATAGAAGACCAGGTGAGGACACAGAGAGAAGGTGGCCATCTGCAAGCCAGAAAGATAGCCGTCACCAGAACCTGAACATGTTGGCATCCTGACATGGTTTGGCTGTGTCCCCAACCAAATCTCATCTTGGATTGTAGTTCCCATAATGTCTATATGTCATGGTAGGAACCTGGTGGGAGGTAACTGAAGCATGGGGGGGCAGTTACCCTCATGCTGTTCTCATGATAGTGAGTCCTCATGAGATCTGATGGTTTTATAAGTGGCTTTTCCCCCTTTTGCTCGGCACTTCTCCTTCCTGTACCATGTGAAGGACATGTTTGCTTCCCTTCTGCTGATTGTAAGTTTCCTGAGGCCTCCCCAGCCATGCTGAACTGTGAGTCAATTAAACCTCTTTCCTTTATAAATTACCCAGTCTTGGGTATGCCTTTATTAGCAGAGTAAGAAGGAACTGATACACACCCTGATTGTGAACTTCTAGCCTCCAGAACTGTAAGAAAATAAATATTTGTTGTTTAAGTGACCCAGTCTGTGGTATTTTGTTGTTATGGCAGCCCAAGCAAGTTTATACAGTCACATAACCTCATTAACCTAAGACCTGTCACAAATCTATGGAGGCCATTGAAGGAAATATAAAAAAAGTAATTCTTAATTACTTTTAGCATAGTCAATCTTCAAGAGAATCGTTACTGTTTTATATACATAAATAATATTATATGGCTCAGATAATGACTAAAAATCAGGCAAATTTCTATAGTTGAGAATAAATCTTAACAAATTGCAGAATCATATTATTTAAAAGTACTATTGCCCTACCTTCCTGGATAAGTTAGTTTCCTCCACAATTCCAAACTATATATTTCATAGCAAGTATCTAGGTTCATCATACATTTTTGAATAATAATACCTTTGATCAAGTAAAAATGCTTTAATTGAATGCATTATAATAGTTTTGAAGAAAGAGGCATTTGTAAGACATGGTTTTATAAATATACTATCATACTCTATGAGAAACAGGTTATGAGAGTATTACTATAACGTACATATCAGTTAATTTTTTCGACAGCTAAATAAAATTTGTGTAAAGCATACATACAAAAGCAAACAGTTAATCCACAGAACACTTGATGAGCATTAAACTTTCACAAGAAAATTTCTGATAGATGGATTTATCTTTTGTGTTGGTATTAATTGAGCAAATATTTTTGACTCAGTTTTGTTGGTGAGCTCTGACTTAAGAAATTTTTATAGTTTCTAAAATAAATCACTATTTGCAAAACCATACCAACTTTAATTAACTTTTGGATTGAACTTGCTTCCAGCAAAACAACAACAAAAAAGCAGATAAGGCAATTATCGGACCCATGAAAGAGAGAGGAAAGAAGTCACGTTTTTGTGTTGCATTTACACAGCAAGAAAAGACAATTAACTATATTTCAAAAGAAAAACAATGGGCAGAGCTATGAGATAGGACCACTGGATCAAGCCTTGCCATTCTCTACATGCAGTTCAGGACCAGAACCAAATGCTTGTCTTGCAGCCCCCAGAACTGTCCCTGAGTAGCTGGAAGACAGACCTCTTGCACCAATTGTCTTGAATGTTAATTTGTTGTGGATTTGGGCAGCCATTTGCTCCTGAAATGAGATATGGACCATTATACCAGCAGAGAGAAACACAAATGTAAAGAAGCACTTAAGAGCGAGGAGGAACAAAGACCCCACTGAGGATCCAGACTGAGTGTCTCAGGCACAAAAGGGCTGCATGAATACGTTTATTGCTCTGCTGGCAAAGTGGCACTTGGTAAAGGCTGGATGGCCGACTTAAGCTAAGCTGATCTGAAGTAAAATCCCAAATAATTTATATTGATGAGCTCCAAAGAAATAAAGAAGCTTTGCTCTCAGCAGTAGTCCTTAAACTAAGAAAGATGACAAACCACAAGGAATGAAAAGCCAATTTACTTGGAATAACCCGACAGAAGTGTCATCTAACTATATGAAGAACCATACTCCAGGATTTCTTAACAAGATGATGACAGTATTCAAAGACATGGCAACTGAACAGACGCGTTGAAACTGAGAAATCATCAGTTTTTATTGTCAAGTATTTAAGACACTGCTGTATAATAGAATGAAATGTTCAAAAGGTACTTCAGATAACTGTGTCTGCTGTGTGATCTGTTATCATGACCTTCAGAATCGATCATAAAAAATATTTTTAAAAAATCTAAGAAAGATTCATTTTTTTAAAATTGAAAGTAGAATAAAAGATACCTGCCAAACATGGGGTAATAATAAAATACAGGCATACCTCAGAGATATTGAGAGTTTGGTTCCAGACGACCTCAATAAAGTGAATGTAGCATTAAAGTGAGTTACATACGTTTTTTGGTTTCCCAGTGCATATAAAAGTTATGTTTATACTATGCTGTAGCCTATTAAGTGTGTAATAGCATATCTAAAAAACAATGCACATACCTTAATTTAAAAATACATTATTGCTAGAAATGCTAATGATCATCTGAGCCTTCAGCAAGTCGTAATATTTTTGCTGGTGGAGGGTCTTGCTTGAATGTTGAGGGCTGCTGATAGATCAGTGCGGTGGTTGCTGAAGCTATGGCAATTTCATAAAATAAGACAATGAGGTTTGCACATGAATTAACTCTTCCTTTCATGAAATATTTCTCTGTAGCATACAATGCTGCTTGATAGCATTTTACCCACGGTAGAACTTCTTTCAGAATTGGAGTCAGTCCTCTCAATTCCTGCCACTGTTTTGTCAACTAAATTTGTGTAATATTCTAAATATTTTGTTTTCATTTCAATAATGTTCACAGCATCTTCACCAAGTGTATATTCCATCTCAGGAAACCACTTTCTTTGTTCATTTATGAGAAGCAACTCCTCATCTGTTCAAGTTTTACCATGAGACTGCAACAATTAAGTCACATATTCAGGCTCCACTTGTAATTCTAGTTCTCTTGCTATTTCCACCACATCTGCAGTTACTTCCTCCACTGAAGTCTTAAACCCTTCAAATTCAGACATGAGGGTTAGAGTCAACTTCTTCCAAACTCCGGTTAATGTTGATATTTTGACCTCCTCCAGGGAATCATAAATGTTCTTAATGGCATTTAGAATGGTGAATCCTTTCTAGAAGGTTTTCAATTTATTTTAGCCAGATCCATTGTTGGAATCACTATGTATGGCAGCTACAGCCTTACAAAATGTATTTCTTAAATAATAAGACTTGAAAGTAGAAATTACTCTTGATCTATGGGCTGCAGAATGAATGCTGTATTAGCAGGCATGAAAACAACATTAATATCCTTGTACAGCTCCACCGGAGTGTTTGGGTGACTAGGTGCATTGTCAATTAGCAGTAATATTTTGAAAGGAATCTTTTTGTCTGAGCAGTAAGTCTCAATGGGAGGCCTAAAACATTTAGCAAACCATGCTGTTTACTGATGTGTTGTCATCAAGACTTTGCTGTTCCATTTATAGTGTACAAGCAGAGTAGATTTAGCATAATTCTTTTATTTTTTATTTTTTAGACAGGGAATCTCACTCTGTCACCCAAACTGGTCTTGAAATCCTGACCTCAAGTGATCCTCCCGCCTCAGCCTCCCAAGTAGCTGGGACTACAGGTGTACACCACCACTTCTGGCTTGATTTAGCATAATTCTTAAGGGCCCGAGGATTTTCAAAATGGTAAATAAGCACTGGCTTCAATTTAAAATCACCAGCAACTTACCATAGCCCCTAACAAGAGAGTCAGCCTGTGCTTTGAAGACATTGACTTCTCCTCTCTAGTTATGAAATTCCTAGATGGCATCTTCTTCCAGTAGAAAGCTGTTTTGTCTGCATTGAAAATCTGTTGTCTACTGTAACAACCTTTATCAATGATCTTAGCTAGATGTTCTGGATAACTTGCTACAGCTTCTACATCAGCACTTGCTGCTTCATCTCACACTTTTATGTTTTGGAGATGGCTTCTTCCCTTAAAGTTCATGAATCTCTGCTAGCTTCAAACTTTTCTTCTGCAACTTCCTCACCTCTCTCAGTCTTCATAGATTTGAAGAGAATTAGGGCCTTGATCTGGATTAGGCTTTGGCTTAAGAGAATGTTGTGGCTCATTTGATCTTTTCTTCAGACCACTAAAACTTTCTCCATATCAGCAAAAAGGCTGTTTCACTTTCTTATTATTCATATGTTCACTGGAACAGCATTTTTAATTTCCTTCAAAAACTTTTCCTTTGCATTTACAACTTGGTTGTTTGGCATAAGAGGCCTAGCTTTCAGCCTATCTCACCTTTTGACATGCCTTTCTCACTAAGCTTAATCATGCCTAGCTTATGATTAAAAGTGATAGATGTGCAACTCTTCCTTTCACTGGAACACTTAGAGGTCATTGTAGGGTTATTACTTGGCCTAATTTCCATATTGATGTGTCTTGGAAAACAGAGAGGCCCAAGGAAAGGGAGAGAGATGGGGAAGAGCTGGTCAGCAGAGCAGTCAGAACACAAAACATTTATCAATTAAGTTTACCGCCTTATATGGGCACAGTTCATAGTGCCCCAAAGGATTACAATAGTAACATTAAAAATCACTGATCACAGATAATTGTAACAGATATAATAAGACGTATAAAATGTTGTAAGAATTACCAAAATGTGACACAAAAACACAAAGTAAACACACACTGCTGCAAAAATGGTGCCAATAGAGTTTGCGGTCAATTTGAGACCTTGCCCATCTTGGCTGAATTCTCAATTTCTTTTTCTTTTCTTTTTTTTTTTTTTGAGACTCTGTCTGTCACTCTGTTCCCCAGGCTGGAGTGTAGTGGCTTGATCTCAGTTCACTGCAGCCTCCATCTGCTGGGTTCAAGAGATTCTCCTGACTCAGCCTCCAAGTAGCTGGGACTACAGGTGCGTGCCACCACACCCAGCTGATTTTTGTAGTTTTAGTAGAGAAGGGGTTTCGCCATGTTGGCCAGGCTGGTCTTGAACTTCTGACCTCAGGTGATCTGCCCGCCTCTGCCTCCCAAAGTGCTGGGATTACAAGTGTGAGCCACCATGTCCAGCTGAATTCTCTTTTAATTAAACTTCTTGACCAAAGAGATATGCCGTTTTTGCTTTTGTTTTATCCAAAGGTATGAAGCCAACTCTCCAGTGGTTTGAGTGGGCCCTCAACTTGGGATGAGAAATTCATTCACCATTTTTTCACCCAAATCAAAGGTTTAATGTAATCATTCTATGTCATTACCCAGATTAAAATGTTAATTTTAGTAACCACACTTTAAATCTCAATCTAATTTTTAAATGCAAGCCATTAAGATGCATTCATAAGGCTAAATACTATTCATTAGCTAGTACATAATGACAACACTGACATTCATTTGGCAGTTTCCCAAACTATCTTTCCCTCTAAATATTGGTACCTGTGCCCTTGCCAGAGGATAACATATCTTGTATTATATAAATCTTGAAATTTAACAGGTACTTTGCAACTACATCCAAATTATTATCTGGTGAATTAAGATGACCACACATTCTTTGACACTATTTCTATGAGAGGTGGGGTCTATGTCCCTTCCCTTTGACTCTATGTGGGGTTTGTGTTTAAACCATTAAGTTGCCAAAAAGTGGTTAAAAAGCAATAAATAAACAAAACATTATCAACATTCAACTGGGACTTGCCACCCTATGCCATCCAAAGATTTCTGTAATCAGGTGTCAACTGAAGCTTCCTTGTCTTTCAAAATCTAGGTAAGATCAACGTGAACCCCTAAACTCATGAAATACTATGGAAATTCAAAGCCTTTTTCAAAATGTCTACATATTCTTGGCAGGTTTATATTCTCATCTTGGCCTTTGAGTTCTTATGTATTCTTGTGCTGTATCTGTTATATAATCATCACACTAAATGTGAAATTCAGCTCCCTCCTCAATTTCCACACCAAAAAAATCCACTCACATCAAGAATTCATAAATTTAGTATAATGTGAAGAAGGTTCTTTCTTTTTTGCTTCCTTCCTTCCCTCTTCCCTTCTTCCCTACTTCCTTCCTTTCTCTTTCTCCCTCCTTTTTCTTCTCTTTCTCTCCCTTTCTTTTCTTTCTTTCCTTCCTCCATCCTTCCCTTCCTTCTTTCTCTATCTCTCCCCTCTCCACTTGCTTTCTGAAAAGACAAATTATGAAGTTGCATCAAAACAAACAAACAAACAAACAAACAAACAAGCACCCTCTCATGAAGTATCAGCTCCACCATTCTCAAAATAGATTTTGCCCCTGCCACCAATGGGGCATTTCACTGACCATTAATCTCGTACAGTCTCAGCCTTTACTCATATTTCTGGCTTCTCTCCAATGTAACTTTCTCTTTTTCTCTTTTCCCCCTCCCTATATTCAAATGTATAATAACACAATTCTCTTCATTTCTCATACAGAATCATTTCCCACATCCTCTGATTACTAGAGGCAGTCAATATTCATTCCCTCATAATCTGTACAATATCAAGAGGGCTTGTCAAGGATTTTCCCATACAACTCCTTCCTTAGTCTTAGTGAGGAATGCTGGGGCCTATGGTTAGATAACATTTCATTCACCTTGTTATACTTCAGAAGTTCTCATATGTGTCTTAAGTTATTTATTAGCTCAGTGGTTAGATTCTAGTCTTGTCCATGTTTTTGAGGTGGTTTTTTTCCCCCTGGAATTTGGACTGATTTCTAAATTCTTTCTGAGCAACAAGTACCCAAACTAACATTTTCATATTTGTCTTCCATTTTTTCTATTAAGCTCATTAAAATTACTACTACCTTTTTTCCTGAGGCCCTGCAAGCTAAAGCTTATTCCTTGCAATATAGGCAAGAAAAATGAGTCAGATTGCCACTGCATTACTCTTCTGTAACTAAAGATGCTTTAAGTCTAACATCTGGATAGATTTTGCCCAAAATTAACCTTTGTTTTTATTCTGTTTCCACAAAAACGCCTCTTATTGAAAATCTGTTTGGCTTTGTATTTCAGACAAAAGGGTACTGGTTTTCCAGCCTATTCACTTAGATTTCAAATGGCATTGATCTCTTCCTATAAGCATTGTTAAACTGGGGTTAAGCATTTTATTAATTATCACTAGGTGCTATTTCATTTAAAAAATTATTTGTTATATTCAACAGGTATTCAGATGGGTAAAGTTTATATCTTCCAGGCTACCAAAGTTCCAGACAAACATGATAATTGACTCAAGGGTTCCAGCCTGTGCCACTGCAGGAAGGACTGAGTCCCTATAAATCATTAGATAAG
Organism: Homo sapiens; assembly: GCF_000001405.40. Lineage (NCBI taxonomy): Eukaryota > Metazoa > Chordata > Mammalia > Primates > Hominidae > Homo > Homo sapiens. Next base: position 177,784,016 of record NC_000002.12, read on the forward strand.
GTAGTGAGAGATTTCTATGCCTCCAGATCAGATAGAGATGACAGCTCCTGTTCAGGATGAAGCAGTTACAGAAGATGAAACCTCTGTCCCTCTACAACCTTTTAGGATTAAGGAAGAGTGCACAGTCTCTGAGGAGAGATGAAAAAGGAATTCAGCAGGACTTGTTTCACAAGATACAGACCACAAAGACTGCTGATAAAACAGGATGTGGTAAAGAAGTCTGCCAAAACCTGCCAAAACCAAGATGGCTATGAAAACAACCTCTGGTCATTCTCAGTGCTCATTATACACTAATTATAATATATTAGCATACCAATGGAAACTCCACCAACATCATAACAGTTTACAATTACAATTACAGTTACAAATGCCGTGGCATTGTCCTGAAACTACCCTATATGATCTAAACGGGAGAGGATCCCTCAATTCTGGGAACTCTCAGCTGCTTTCCCAGAAAACTCATGAATAATCTACTCCTTGTTTAGCACATAATCAAAAAATAACCATAAGTATAGTCAGTCAAGCAGCCCATGCTGCTATCTGCCTATGGGGTAGCCACCCTTTTATTCCTTTAGTTAATAAAGTTGCTTTCACTTTACTCTGTCACTTTACTGCTGGCTTTCACTTTACTCTATCACTTTATACTTTATTGCTGGCTCTTGAATTCTTTCCTGCACAAGCCAAGAACCCATGTGACCTCCCAAGCTGAGTTCCAATTTTGAGGTTTGCCCTGTGACATCTTTGGCTTATGAAAGCAATCTGATTAAGATCCAGCTTAAAATTATAATCATGTAAGTCAACTCTACTACATAGTTTTGAGCACAGAAATCAGAATTCATGCTATGAATTGCCCTAGGCTTGTAGTCTGAACTTGTTCTCTCCCTATTTGCAGGGGTCAGTGGTAGGATTTAATCTGTTTATACGGATTAACTGCTGTATAGATTACCTACAGCAATTCTTAAGACAGGCTGTTTCCTTTCATTTAGTAAAACTTTGTTTTCTTAATTTGTCAATGCTTAGTGTGCCAACAATGGGGGGCCAGTATAGTTTGGTCTTTGAGCATAGGGGCTTTGTGTCAGACTGCTGAGCTCACAATCCTGGCTCACTAGACCTGTAACCTTGGCCTAATTATATAACCTATGTCTCAGTTTCCTCATCAGTAAAAGGTGAGAAATATATGCACTTTTCAATCATATTTCACTGGCCAGAGCAAGTTACAGCACTCCACCTGATTTCAAGGAAGTGAGGCAGTGTAATATGATCATGGGCCCAGATAGGAGAGAACCAGAAAAAAAACTGATGATGAGCACTGATGGTAACCACAATGGTTTGGGCAATCAAATAGCAAGTTATGTTAGAATAGCGTTTAAAGACAATTCTGGGAGGGCAGCCAAGATGGCCGAATAGGAACAGCTCCAGTCTACAGCTCCCAGCATGAGCGACGCAGAAGACGGGTGATTTCTGCATTTCCATCTGAGGTACCGGGTTCATCTCACTAGGGAGTGCCAGACAGTGGGTGCAGGACAGTAGGTGCAGTGCACCATGCATGAGCCGAAGTAGGGCGAGGCATTGCCTCACTCGGGAAGCACAAGGGGTCAGGGAGTTCCCTTTCCTAGTCAAAGAAAGGGGTGACAGACGGCACCTGGAAAATCGGGTCACTCCCACCCTAATACTGCGCTTTTCCGACGGGCTTAAAAAACGGCGCACCAGGAGATTATATCCCACACATGGCTCGGAGGGTCCTATGCCCATGGAGTCTCGCTGATTGCTAGCACAGCAGTCTGAGATCAAACTGCAAGGCGGCAGCGAGGCTGGGGGAGGGGCGCCCACCATTGCCCAGACTTGCTTAGGTAAACAAAGCAGCCAGAAAGCTTGAACTGGGTGGAGCCCACCACAGCTCAAGGAGGCCTGCCTGCCTCTGTAGGCTCCACTTCTGGGGGCAGGGCACAGACAAACAAAAAGATAGCAGTAACCTCTGCAGACTTAAATGTCCCTGTCTGACAGCTTTGAAGAGAGCAGTGGTTCTCCCAGCACGCAGCTGGAGATCTGAGAACGGGCAGACTGCCTCGTCAAGTGGGTCCCTGACCCCTGACCCCTGAGCAGCCTAACTGGGAGGCATCCCCCAGTAGGGGCAGACTGACACCTCACACGGCCGGGTACTCCTCTGAGACAAAACTTCCAGAGGAATGATCAGACAGCAGCATTCGCGGTTCATGAAAATCCGCTGTTCTGCAGCCACCACTGCTGATACCAGGCAAACAGGGTCTGGAGTGGACCTCTAGCAAACTCCAACAGACCTGCAGCTGAGGGTCCTGTCTGTTAGAAGGAAAACTAACAAACAGAAAGGACATCCACACCAAAAACCCATCTGTACATCACCATCATCAAAGACCAAAAGTAGATAAAACCACAAAGATGGGGAAAAAACAGAGCAGAAAAACTGGAAACTCTAAAAAGCAGAGCGCCTCTCCTCCTCCAAAGGAACGCAGTTCCTCACCAGCAACGGAACAAAGCTGGACGGAGAATGACTTTGACGAGTTGAGAGAAGAAGGCTTCAGACGATCAAATTACTCTGAGCTACAGGAGGAAATTCAAACCAAAGGCAAAGAAGTTAAAAACTTTGAAAAAAATTTAGACTAATGTATAACTAGAATAACCAATACAGAGAAGTGCTTAAAGGAGCTGATGGAGCTGAAAGCCAAAGCTCAAGAACTACGTGAAGAATGCAGAAGCCTCAGGAGCCGATGCGATCAACTGGAAGAAAGGGTATCAGTGATGGAAGATGAAATGAATAAAATGAAGCGAGAAGGGAAGTTTAGAGAAAAAAGAATAAAAAGAAACGAACAAAGCCTCCAAGAAATATGGGACTATGTGAAAAGACCAAATCTACGTCTGATCGGTGTACCTGAAAGTGACGGGGAGAATGGAACCAAGTTGGAAAACACTCTGCAGGACATTATCCAGGAGAACTTCCCCAATCTAGCAAGGCAGGCCAACATTCAGATTCAGGAAATACAGAGAACGCCACAAAGATACTCTTCGAGAAGAGCAACTCCAAGACAAATAATTGTCAGATTCACCAAAGTTGAAATGAAGGAAAAAATGTTAAGGGCAGCCAGAGAGAAAGGTCGGGTTACCCACAAAGGGAAGCCCATCAGACTAACAGCGGATCTCTCGGCAGAAACTCTACAAGCCAGAAGAGAGTGGGGGCCAATATTCAACATTCTTAAAGAAAAGAATTTTCAACCCAGAATTTCATATCCAGCCAAACTAAGCTTCATAAGTGAAGGAGAAATAAAACACTTTACAGACAAGCAAATGCTGAGAGATTTTGTCACCACCAGGCCTGCCCTAAAAGAGCTCCTGAAGGAAGCACTAAACATGGAAAGGAACAACTGGTACCAGCCGCTGCAAAATCATGCCAAAATGTAAAGACCATCGAGACTAGGAAGAAACTGCATCAACTAACGAGCAAATTAACCAGCTAACATCATAATGACAGGATCAAATTCACAAATAACAATATTAACTTTAAATGTAAATGGACTAAATGCTCCAATTAAAAGACGCAGACTGGCAAATTGGATAAAGAGTCAAGACCCATCAGTGTGCTGTATTCAGGAAACCCATCTCACGTGCAGAGACACACATAGGCTCAAAATAAAAGGATGGAGGAAGATCTACCAAGCAAATGGAAAACAAAATAGGCAGGGGTTGCAATCCTAGTCCCTGATAAAACAGACTTTAAACCAACAAAGATCAAAAGCGACAAAGAAGGCCATCACATAATGGTAAAGGGATCAATTCAACAAGAAAAGCTAACTATCCTAAATATATATGCACCCAATACAGGAGCACCCAGATTCATAAAGCAAGTCCTGAATGACCTACAAAGAGACTTAGACTTCCACACAATAATAATGGGAGACTTTAACACCCCACTGTCAACATTAGACAGATCAATGAGACAGAAAGTTAACAAGGATACCCAGGAATTGAACTCAGCTCTGCACCAAGCGGACCTAATAGACATCCACAGAACTCTTCACCCCAAATCAACAGAATATACATTCTTTTCAGCACCACACCACACCTATTCCAAAATTGACCACATAGTTGGAAGTAAAGGTCTCCTCAGCAAATGTAAAAGAACAGAAATTATAACAAACTGTCTCTCAGACCACAGTGCAATCAAACTAGAACTCAGGATTAAGAAACTCACTCAAAACCGCTCAACTACATGGAAACTGAACAACCTGCTCCTGAATGACTACTGGGTACGTAATGAAATGAAGGCAGAAATAAAGATGTTCTTTGAAACCAACGAGAACAAAGACACCACATACCAGAATCTCTGGGACGCATTCAAAGCAGTGTGTAGAGGGAAATTTATAGCACTAAATGCCTACAAGAGAAAGGGGGAAAGATCCAAAATTAACACCCTAACATCACAATTAAAAGAACTAGAAAAGCAAGAGCAAACACATTCAAAAGCTAGCAGAAGGCAAGAAATAACTAAAATCAGAGCAGAACTGAAGGAAATAGAGACACAAAAAACCCTTCAAAAAATTAATGAATCCAGGAGCTGGTTTTTTCAAAGGATCAACAAAATTGATAGACTGCTAGCAAGACTAATAAAGAAAAAAAGAGAGAAGAATCAAATAGATGCAATAAAAAATGATAAAGGGGATATCACCACCAATCCCACAGAAATTCAAACTACCATCAGAGAATACTACAAACAACTCTACTCAAATAAACTAGAAAATCTAGGAGAAATGGATAAATTCCTCGACACATACACTCTCCCAAGACTAAACCAGGAAGAAGTTGAATCTCTGAATAGACCAATAACAGGATCTGAAATTGTGGCAATAATCAATAGCTTACCAAACAAAAAGAGTCCAGGACCAGATGGATTCACAGCCGAATTCTACCAGAGGTACAAGGAGGAACTGGTACCATTCCCTCTGAAACTATTCCAATCAACAGAAAAAGAGGGAATTCTCCCTAACTCATTTTATGAGGCCAGCATCATTCTGATACCAAAGCCGGGCAGAGACACAACCAAAAAGAGAATTTTAGACCAATATGCTTGATGAACATTGATGCAAAAATCCTCAATAAAGTACTGGCAAACCGAATCCAGCAGCACATCAAAAAGCTTATGCACCATGATCAAGTGGGCTTCATCCCTGGGATGCAAGGCTGGCTCAATATACACAAATCAATAAATGTAATCCAGCATATAAACAGAACCAAAGACAAAAACCACATGATTATCTCAATAGATGCAGAAAAGGCCTTTGACAAAATTCAACAATGCTTCATGCTAAAAACTCTCAATAAATTAGGTATTGATGGGACGTATTTCAAAATAATAAGAGCTATCTATGACAAACCCACAGCCAATATCATACTGAATGGGCAAAAACTGGAAGCATTCCCTTTGAAAACTGGCACAAGACAGGGATGCCCTCTGTCACCACTCCTATTCAACATAGTGTTGGAAGTTCTGGCCAGGACAATTAGGCAGAAGAAGGAAATAAAGGGTATTCAATTAGGAAAAGAGGAAGTCAAATTGTCCCTGTTTGCAGATGACATGATTGTATATCTAGAAAACCCCATTGTCTCAGCCCAAAATCTTCTTAAGGTGATAAGCAACTTAAGCAAAGTCTCAGGATACAAAATCAATGTACAAAAATCACAAGCATTTTTATACACCAATAACAGACAAACAGAGAGCCAAATCATGAGTGAACTCCCATTCACAGCTGCTTCAAAGAGAATAAAATACCTAGGAACCCAACTTACAAGGGATGTGAAAGACCTCTTCAAGGAGAACTACAAACCACTGCTCAATGAAATAAAAGAGGATACAAACAAATGGAAGAACATTCCATGCTCATGGGTAGGAAGAATCAATATTGTGAAAATGGCCATACTGCCCAAGGTAATTTATAGATTCAATGCCATCGCCATCAAGCTACCAATGACTTTCTTCACAGAATTGGAAAAAACTACTTTAAAGTTCATATGGAACCAAAAAGAGCCCGCATCACCAAGTCAGTCCTAAGCCAAAAGAACAAAGTTGGAGGCATCACACTACCTGACTTCAAACTATACTACAAGGCTACAGTAACCAAAACAGCATGGTACTGGTACCAAAACAGAGATATAGATCAATGGAACAGAACAGAGCCCTCAGAAATAACGCCACATATCTACAACTATCTGATCTTTGACAAACCTGAGAAAAACAAGCAATGGGGAAAGGATTCCCTATTTAATAAATGGTGCTGGGAAAACTGGCTAGACATATGTAGAAAGCTGAAACTGGATCCCTTCCTTACACCTTATACAAAAATTAATTCAAGATGGATTAAAGACTTAAATGTTAGACCTAAAACCATAAAAACCCTAGAAGAAAACCTAGGCATTACCATTCAGGACATAGGCAAGGGCAAGGACTTCATGTCCAAAACACCAAAAGCAATGGCAACAAAAGCCAAAATTGACAAATGGGATCTAATTAAACTAAAGGGCTTCTGCACAGCAAAAGAAACTACTATCAGAATGAACAGGCAACCTACAAAATGGGAGAAAATTTTTGCAACCTACTCATCTGACAAAGGGCTAATATCCAGAATCTACAATAAACTCAAACAAATTTACAAGAAAAAAACAAACAACCCCATCAAAAAGTGGGCGAAGGATATGAACAGACACTTCTCAAAAGACATTTATGCAGCCAAAAGACGCATGAAAAAATGCTCATCATCACTGGCCATCAGAGAAATGCAAATCAAAACCACAATGAGATACCATCTCACATCAGTTAGAATGGCAATCATTAAAAAGTCAGGAAACAACAGGTGCTGGAGAGGATGTGGAGAAATAGGAACACTTTTACACTGTTGGAGAGACTGTAAACTAGTTCAACCATTGTGGAAGTCAGTGTGGAGATTCCTCAGGGATCTAGAACTAGAAATAACATTTGACCCAGCCATCCCATTACTGGGTATATACCCCAAGGACTATAAATCATGGTGCTATAAAGACACATGCACATGTATGTTTATTGAGGCACTATTCACAATAGCAAAGACTTGGAACCAACCCAAATGTCCAACAATGATAGACTGGATTAAGAAAATGTGGCACATATACACCATGAAATACTATGCAGCCATAAAAAATGATGAGTTCATGTCCTTTGTAGGGACATGGATGAAATTGGAAATCATCATTCTCAGTAAACTATCACAAGAACAAAAAGCCAAACACTGCATGTTCTCACTCATAGGTGGGAATTGAACAATGAGAACACGTGGACACAGGAAGGGGAACATCACACTCTGGGGACTGTTGTCGGGTGGGGGGAGGGGGGAGGGATAGCATTAGGAGATATACCTAATGTTAAATGACGAGTTAATGGGTGCAGCACACCAGCATGGCACATGTATACATATGTAACTAACCTGCAGATTGTGCACATGTACCCTAAAACTTAAAGTATAAAAAAAAAAAAAAAGAATAGTGTTTAAAGTCAGAGCAAATGAGTCCAATGTATGAACTCTAGTATATACATTTGTGGTTTATTTGACTTTTGCTTACTTCCTGATTCTCTCCTGTGTTTCAGGGTTGTGTTTGATAGATATGATCTCCAAATAAGTAAGATTATAGTATATGTTTCTTAAATATTGTTTATATTTAACATACATAGTACATAGAGTATATGACCATTAAGTACTATTGCTTTTACTATATTTTGTTACCTATAGGAGAAAATAATTATGTTAAGGAAAATGATTGGCTTATTTTTGTTCTATAACTTTTGTGAAATGCTTAGTTATTAATTTCAATCATTTCAATGTCCTTAAGGTGAAAGAAATTGCCTATTTCTTTGGAAAACGTTGCATGTGATAATGAGTCTTCTGATTTTTCTAAGTTTTTAGTATTCTCCTATAAAGGATCTCAGGCATTAACACTTAAAAAGGTTTTAATGATTAATTCTTAGTGAGATTAAATATGGCTCTATACATATGCATATTGGACTATAATTTATAACTATTTCAAAATTAGTGTTCCATTCCCACAATTGCATTACTCCTCTCATTCTGTTTTAAAGTGAGGCTGTTTTTCTTAATCATATAGGTTATTAAATGTATTAATGTTTCACAAATTCTTTTCTAATGAACTACTTGCTTATTTGCTTTTCTCATTAATAAGAACAGAGAAGAACATAGCATTCTTCGGGTATAATTGAGCAACTTGGATTGGTTATTGCTGTTTCTGAAACCACTATAATATGTGCCAAATTGTTTTCAAATCTATAACTTATATAACTAGAACTTTTAGTAGTCTGATTTCACTTAAGACCATACTTCTGAGTAGCATGTTATTAAATATTTATATATACTGATTTTCCATTCCTCTCCCCCCATGGTTTTTGCATAATCAAAGGATTACCATTATGCTTTGAGAGAGAGATACATTGCTTATTTGCACTGGTTATGCAGGAACACCATGGAGCATTTTATGTTTGAAACAGCGTGGCTCTGCTGGGAGCTCCTGAAGTAAAAGGAATAAGGAGAGATCAGGCCTAGTTTGGGCCACTGTCAAACTCACTAGGGCCACAGAAGTGACTCGTCACCATGGATGAAATAAAAATGCAAAGGGCAATTTCCAATCTGTCTGGACCAAGGTTGCTGGCCATGGAGATCAGATTAGATTTGAGTAAACCAGGGAATCACATCAATGCAGTCTGGGATGTACCGATGAATGAACCATTCATTCAATCAAGACATATCCATTGAAGACTTAATTTGTGCCCAGAACTGCGCAGTCACTAAACAGGCAAACATACAAGTTGAAATAATTGCTACAAAGTCAAGTAGCAAAATGCGAAAGAAACCATGGGAGGAGGTGGGAAGAATGGCAGGGAGTGGCAGGGAAGTTGGTTAGGGATGACCTCTTTGAGACATGATACTTAAGCTGAGACCTGGAAAATGATAAAGAACCAGCCAGCCAACGGGTAGGGGAAGAGCTCTGGGCAGAGGGAGCAGTCACCTTTGTGTGGTGTTAGGGCATGTAAGTGGGCAGAGGAGACAGGAGAGCTGGGCACAGGCCTAGTCATGCAGGGCCTTTCAGGCGGATAAAGACTTCATTAGAGTCCATGGGAAGCCATCCAGGGTTTCAGGCAAGAGGCTGACATTGTCTCATTAGTTTTCCAGTCATTATGACCTTGGAAGGCCCTAATGTGCCCCTCCTCAGTGATACCCCACCCCAGAAGTGACCACCACTCTGACTTTTGTGGCATTCATTCCCTTGGGGTAGTATATAGTTTTGCCTGTTCTTGAACTTACATAAATGGATTCATATTACATGTAGAACATGGCCCTGGTTGTGTAGAGGGTGGACTGGAGGTGGGCAAGAGTGGATGTGGGAGGGAAAACAGTGGCTGGATGAGGATGGTGGATGCGAGACCTCGATCTGTGGAGACAATACACAGGGATCTGCAAAAAAAAAAAAAAAAAAAAAAAGAGCTCCACTCAGGGAGGAAAGGACCAGAGCCACAGAAGCACTCAGTCCCGGGTCCCGGTCCCTGAAGGAAGGAGCCATACACCAGAGACCATCAAAAAGGAGGAGGAAAGGGCATGTGAGGCCACATACAAGCAAACTGGAACCCAAAACAAGGAAGGCTGCTTCCCTCTGCTTGTGAGTACCTGGCTCCATCGCTCACACTGCGGCAGTACAGGGATCAGGCACACTGACTTGCTCCGGTGTCTAGTCAGTAGAAGGATGGGGAGGGACTGGACCACTTTGGTTCACAGCCATCTGAAGCTGCAGATAGTGAATTTCATTATGAATTTGAGGCAGGAATGGGCACCAGTATTGGGAAACACAATGCCTTTAAACATTTCTCAGTCAACAAATATTTATTCAGTATCAGCTATGTTTTAGGAACTATTGTAGGTGCTAGGGATACATCAGTCAAAAAAAGAGACAAAAATCTCTGCCAGTATGGGGCTTATGATCTAGAGTGGAGAGAGTGGAGTGAAATAAGGAAAAGGTAGTGTATCAAGTGATGATGAGTGCTATGGAGAAAAACAAAGCAGGGAAGGGAGATTAGCATGTTGGGGGCAGGAAAGGGGGCACGGCAGATTTAAATAAGACTGTCTGGGAAGGTGGCACTGAATAGTACAAATAAAACCTGAAATTGCAGAGAGAGCAAGCCGTGTGGATATCAGGATGAGAGGGTGTAGGGTGCAAGTGCAAAGGTCCTATGGCACAAATGTGCCCAGCTTGTTTAAGGAAAAGCAAAGAGGCCAGTGGGACAGAGTGAGGAAAGTGAGAATAACAGGAGGTCATAGAGGGACCAGGGATTAGATCACAGAAGTTTTGGAAACCATCGTAACTTGGCCTTTTGTTAAAACAAGTAAGTGTAGGCACTTGCTGGGGATAAAAACAAATTTCCCAGAGGCAGGCTCATCGAATTGGGCCCAGTATACTTGCTAAATTAAGGAGCCATTTTCCTCCTTTTCAAAGAGATAAAGGCAGCTTTCCCCTCATTTCTGTTAAGCTCAGGGGCTGCTGTCAGCCCCACAGACCCACATGAGCCAGATCTTTTTCTTTGGATGAATCTAATTCCTTGGCAATCTGGGTATGATTCCCACCCCTACCCCTACACCGACCCCCCAACACACCCGACAAACGAATGTCTGCTGTTTGTTAATTGGTGTCTGGTTTTTGTTTGTTTGTTTGTTTGTTTGTTTGTTTGTTTTTGAGACAGAGTCTCGCACTGTTGCCCAGGCTGGAGTGCAGTGTCACGATCTTGGCTCACTGCAACCTCTGCCTCCCGGATTCAAGCTATTCTCCTGCCTCAATCTCCCAAGTAGCTGGGATTACAGGTGCCCACCACCATGCCCAGCTGATTTTTTGTGTTTTTAGTAGAGATGAGGTTTCACTATGTTGACCAGGCTGGTCTTGAACTCCTGACCTCATGATCCACCTGCCTCGGCCTCCCAAAGTGCTGGGATTACAGGCATGAGCCACTGCACCCAGCCGGTGTCTGGTTTTTAAAATGGCATTCTAACCTTTATTCTTATTTCATTCTACGGGATGAATTTAATCACGGAAGTTGAATGTGAGGTTGGGAGATGGGTCTGATGGGGCCAAATTTGGAGTTTCTGGACAATGGGAGGAGTGTTTAGGGTGGGACACACTTTTGGAAATAGACATATAAAAATAGAGGGTTTGAAAACTTCCTTACATTCATCACCTGGTGACATCTGATGACAGGAACGGGAAGGGGCTACAACAGGTAGGTTTCTCCAGTCTCTGCTCTGGGCCCAACACCTGAGCCAATGTTCTGATTGGCTCCTGTTTGCTTCCATTCCAAGAGCAGATGTTTTTGCTAGAAAGTGTTGATTACCCGCTTCGGCTTAACTGCCACAGAGTTTATCAATATATGTGATGTCACACACACACATTTAGGGCATGGAGAAGGGGGTGGGGGCTTTTATGCTCTTTGTTTTTAGGTGCTAGTCAAAGACCTTCTGAAATGCCTTCTTGGGTACCTAAAGTCAGGCCTCTCCTCTTTCCACTGGGCAGGGAATTGAAGATAACCCCAAGCAGGTTTTGTTTTACCCTTTATTGATATATGATAATTTACATATTTATGGGGTACATGTGTTTGTTACACGCAAAGAATGTATATAGATCAAATTAGGGAAACTGGGCTATCCACCACCCTCAGTGTTTATCATTTTTATGTATTGAGAAATGTGGATCCCACCTCCCTAAGACTCTGCATCATCACATACTTTCAGGTGGTTAGGGAGGGCCACGTGAAGCAAAAGTCTCCCATGTTGTCTCTGGGGATTGTAGATAATTATTACTATTATTTTGTTTAAACTATATATATATATATATATATATATATATATATATATATATCTTTGCTTTAAGATGCCAGTATGGGGCTTATGATCTAGAGTGGAGAGAGTGGAGTGAAATATATCTTAAAGTGATATATATATATCTTTGCTGTAAGATTTTAGCTACAGTAAGTCTTTTTGGAAAGGCCTGACTGTGACTTTAAGGCCATAATGAAGGCAGGTGCTGGGATGGAGACACTCAGAACAGGAGCCTGGTTAGTGTCTTTGTGACACTCAGGTGACTGACTTGTGAGAGTTGGCCTGGGCCCCAAGCTTTGAAGGGCTCCACTCTGTCTCTTCTATCCCCTGGAAAGAAAAGTCCATGGATTTCCGGGACGATGTCATTCAGATTATATTCCAGGTACCTGGGATCAGCCAAACTAAATTCCAGGTATCTCAAATTCCCCCAGGTACCCCAAATGCCCCAAGCCCATTGCCAGTACCTGCATGGGCTTCCCCCTGAGATTTGGGCTCCTCTGGATGCACCTCTGCAGGGGCTGTGTGTGGGGTTGACCAAGTTTGAAATGTGCATAATGTAGGGCTCACACCTGTTAAAATCCAGCACAGTGTGGAGGGGGATCTAGGGGGAAGGGGAGGTGAGTAACTCCAATGTCTTCTAAACGGTTTGTAGGCTTAGTTCCTTCTGGTTGGATTTGGGGTGTGATCTGCCACCTTTTGATAGCAGCATCCTGGTACTGTCCCCTTATGACAGCACTATCAAGATACTGAGCACTGGGCCTAAAGTGAATGTCAGTTTCTTACTTGGCCAACTATAAACACGGCTTTCATAAGCCAATGTTTTACAAGAGAAGCCAGCAGGCAAAGGCATGGCTGTTCCACTACAGAAAGCTGTTCTCTTTCGCACACTGTGGGGTAACTGACCTGAGTCAACTAACTTAGACTCAGCAACTGCTCCAGAAAAAAGTGAGCTGCTGGAGCCCAACAGAGACACTGGCTATTACTCCTAGGATCTGCACTGTAAAACCAAAAGCATTAGGGTTGAAAGAAACAGTTTCCTTACTGACAAGTTAGTAATTTTCAGTGAGGTAAAAGAGGAGGAGGAGGACAATACATTTCCAAGGGTGCTTTATTCAGTTTGAGCTTTTAAATCAATGGGCAAGTCTTCATTATTTACCCTTAATTACTGTCATCACAGTCTCATAAACCAGAAGCATGCCCCCGGTGTAGAAAACAGGCCCTTTACCTTGGCTCTCCTCCCACTTCCATCAGGGCAGCCAAGGGCTCCAGTGGTAAATGCTCTCCTGCAACTGATAGGACATTCCTCAAAAGAGCCCTTGCGGTACAATTTGTACAACATGGCCCTTTGAAACAGATAGATCTGAGCTTGAATCCTGGCTCTACTTCTAGCTGTGAAATGCAAGCCACAAAACCTCTCTCAGCAAGTTCCTAAACCTTTCTGAGCCTCAATTTGCTCACTTGTCAAATGGGAATGATACTGTGTACTCCATGCTGTTTTGGTGAAGGTTCAATAAAATACATATGCAAAACACATAATTAATGCCTGACACATAAGCATTTAATAAATATAGCATTTCAAAAAGGACCAAAATAACATAGCAAAAGCAGAAGAAATAAGAAGAATGTAAGGTAATGAAAGAAAAATTTTAAACAAATAAACCAGAACAAATGCATCCAAATAACAATTACTTCTTAAGGCTACTATGGGGACTATGTTAAGTTACTCCAAATGTTCTGCTGTGTTTGGGAACTCTTATCCAGGATCTCAAAGTACGTTCCTTAGACCATGACAGTGGTGGCAAATCATTTGAGAGCAGATTTGATTTTGGAAAACCACAAAAATCATTTAACAGAAAATAAAATAAAAACATGATCAACAATTTTGTTTTAAAAAAGTATGATTATGAAATACTAAGATAAATTTTATCTTCTCAGCTGCCAACATGATCTCTCTAAAATGTCAAACTAATCATGTTCCTCTCCTGCTGAAAACACTTCAATGATTCTCCACTGCTTTTAGAATCAAGTTCAAATTCCTTCATGTAACACAAGCATCCTTTGTGATCTGACCCCGGGTAGCTCTCCAGCCTCAGGCCCTGCCTCTCCCCTGCTGTGCCCTTTTCCCTGTCTGCATTGAGGTGCTTGAATAGCATGCTACTTCAGTTCTCCCTACTTTTACCTATGACTTTCCTTCTCCATGGAGCATTCCTGCTAGTTGTCTTTAGAAATTGTATAGCTCACTGCTACCTGTCACTCTGAAATTGCCTTCTATGCAAAGCAGTTATGTCTGACTTTGAACAAGATGCCCCCTCCTCTATGCTTCCCCTAACATATCTACCTCTTTCTTGGAGCTCGTTACACTTGGCAGTAATCATACTTTCATTTATCTCTGTCCTCTATTAGACTGAAATCACATGAGATTGTACTACAGCTTATGAAATTTACATAGTCGTAGTCTACTCTATGCTGTTTTGGTGAAAATCGAGTTCTTGGCACATAATAGGTGATCCATTCGTAACATTAATGATTATTTATCTTACAAATCTCATGGTTTCCATTAAAGTGTTTCAAACATATTTAAATGATGATATAATTATTAGAAGTAGTACATAGACTCCCCTGCAGACTATTTGCAGAGAAGCACCATTTGTGCATACACATAAGTTCTTTTTTGTTGCTGTTAAAAAATTACCTTACTGGATTCTGGTATAAAATGATATCTGATGAAGAAAGGAGTAGTGGAATATAACCCTAAGTGTAAAACAAATATTGGTGTATATATATCCTGAGTATATAAATATATTGAGATAAATAAACACATAAACAGAGAGAAGAGACAAATATCCCATACAAAAGAATTCTAAATAATATATGTAGATAATTCCTCTTCAAGGAGGTGGAGCATAACTCCCCACTCCTTAGGTGTGAGCTGTGCATAGTGACTTCCTTCTAAAGACTACAGTGTAGAAAGAGGAAAAAAGAGTAACTGTACATTGGGGAAACCTGACAAACACTACTTCCACCAGACGATCAAGGTTAACATCAATCATGGTAAGTCATTTTGATAGTATGTCCCCTTGATATGATGTGATTAAAATGGCACTTAACCTCTGTGCCTTCCTCCCCCAAACCCATAATTTTGGTGTAATCGTGAGGAAAACATTGAACAAATTCTAATAGAGGGAAACTCTACAAAATACCTGACCAGTTTGCTCGAGACTGTCAAGGTCAACAAAATTGAAAAGTATGAAAAAGTATCACAGCCAGGGAGAGTCTAAGGAGACATGATGAATCAATGTAATAGGGTATCCTGAATGAGATCCTGGTACAAAAAGGGGATATTTGGTTAAGATTAAGGAAATATGAATCAAGTATGGACTTTAGTTGATAATAATATAGCAATATGGTTCATTAATTATAACAAATGTACCATATCTTAATAGAGGAAACTGGGTATGAGGTATAAGGGAACTCTCTGTACTATCTTCCCAATTTTTCTGTAAATCTAAACTGTCATAAAATATAAAGTTTATTTCTAAAAAATGATACCTCACGGCTGATTCTCCATGTAAGTTCTCCCACTTTCCACAGAATACCTAAATGAAAACCTAGAAACCATCAATAACTAAAACTGATAACCTACTACTAGAATATGAGAAGAATTTTCACCAAGTATAAGGCAGATGCAGCTGGACTCAGAAAAATAACTAGTAGCTTAACCATGCTTTATCTCCACCCCCAAAATGAAGCAGTCCCCCTTGGTCTGAAAGAAGATGGGAAGGCATTGTTCTGAAAGCAGTCTCCAGAGGGCAGTGTTCCTTTCTGTACTGTCTGAGCTCTCATTCAGAGACCCAGGATCTGTGCTAACCAGAAAATTAACCAGTTCACCTTCTACTGAATGGTAGCTGTTTTTGAAGTATTCGCTTTCATCTTGTGGGAAAGAGTCACTGCAAATAAAGCACTGTATGATGGTGGGGGGTGGGGGATGTTATAATATAAATAACTACTACTTTTGACATTATATGAACACAGTGGTAAAGATTTTACTGGCGTTAATTCACTTCATCGTTATTAACAATCCCACAAGGTTGGGAAGTGAGAACAATGAAGCACAGAGAAATTGACCTGCCCTGAGATGCACAGGTAAAAAAGTAGCACAGCTGAAATTAAAATCCTAATAGTCTCAGAACAAAGGTTAAAAAAAAACCTTAAGAATAATCCTAACAGTCTAATTAAAAAAATTTTTCTTTTTTTTTTTTGAAACAGGGTCTTGCTTTCTTCCCCAGGCTGTGGCATGATCATAGCTCAGTGCAGCCTCGAATTCCAGGGCTCAAGGGATCCTGCCACCTCAGCTTCCTGAGTAGCTGGGACTATAGGTGCATGCCACCATGCCTGGCTAATTTTTTTTCCCTTTTGTAGAGATGAGATCTTGCTATATTGCCCAGGCTGGTCTCAGACTCCTGGCTTCAAGCAATTCTCCCACCTTGACCTCCCAAAGTGCTGGGATTACAGGTGTGAGCCACCGTGCCCAGCCTCTAACAGTCTAATTTTAAAGCCTGCCCTTTTAATCACCTAACTGTAGTTCATTCAAAAACCCTCGTAGCAGCGTATGCTGAGGATTGAGATTCTTGTACTTTAATTATGATTTTTATTTGTATTTTACTATACTTGATCCACTCAACAAACATTTCCTACATGCCTACTGTGTGCTGCTGGTACTGGGCACATAATGGTGAACCAGACCCATAGACATATTTCTATACATAAGGGATCCAGAATCCACTGAGACCTGATGGGGGGAAGAATATTCCATCTCAGCCTAGCAGGAGTACACTAGATCTATGTCTACATGCTAGATGCTGAGAATCAGCCTAGTAACTAAATATTAGTACATAAGTTTGCTCCCCTTTTGTATATCTAACCAAGGAGATTCAACAGGACATAAGTGGACCACAAAAGAGCTCAGGGGCAACCCCAAAGTCTTGCCTGTTGGCAAACACTGCAGTCCAAGGGAAGGAGAGAAGCACCCTAAAAACCCAGAGAGAATGTTTTAATACATCTGATAATTGTTTCATGCATGCAACCTTTTAGAAATCTTATGCTTAGTATCTTCAAAGATACAAGAAGAAAGAGCATCATTGAAAGTGGATCAGAAAACCATATAGGCAAAATATGTTTGAATGAAATTTATAAAACAAACAGAAGAATGAGTTAACATAGTTCAACTGTCACTTGCTCAGGGTGGTCTCTCCTGAATGTATCCACAGTAGCCCCATATTTTTAGTCACTTTTTATTAAAACATCCTGCTTTATTTTCTTTATGATACAGTATAATAAATTTATCTTGCTAATTTATTTGTTTACTTGTCTACTGCCTGTCTTACTAGAATATAAGGTTCATGACAATATGAATACTGTTTGATTTTTAACTGCTGAGTCCTCGGTATGGAGAATGGTGACTACCAAAAAGTAGAAGCTCAACAAACATTTACTCAGTGAATGAATATATAGACAACAACAGAGATGGTTAAAATGTGGAACAGTTTCAAAAGAACTCAAATTATAATAGCAGAATTTAAGCCCACATTGGAGTTAATAAATATTTTTTAAATGCAAGAGCTCAGAATCAACAATCAATGGAAAAGAATGCAGAACAGAAATGGGCCAACACTTATTTTTTAAACAATGGTGCCAAAGTGATCCCATGGAAAAAGAAGAACTTTTTAATAAATGATAAATATTTTATTTAAAAATGAACCTCAATGGCTATCAAGATGAATCATAGAGCAAAATGTAAAAGCTAAACCCAAAAAAGCTTTTAGAGGAGAAAACAGTACAATATATTCTTGATTTGTGGGTAGGCAAAGGTTTCTTAGATCACTAATAGCAATAAGCTTTAAATTAAAAAACTGATAAATTAGACTTCATCAAAGCTAAAAAGACACCATGAAAAAATCTTATCAAAAGACACCATGAAAAAATGAATAAGCAAGCTGCAAATTGGGTGAAAATATTGACAATACATATATCTGACCAGGGACTAGTATCCAGGATGTATAAAGAACTCTTCCAGTCAACAATAAAAAGACAAGCAATCCTATTAAAAGTGGGCAAAAAAATTGGACAGCTCACAAAAGAAGACATCCAAATGGTAAATAAGCACATAGAAAAAGAGTACAACATTTTTAGTCATAAGGGAAATGAAAATTAAAGCCACAATAGAATATTATGCACTTACCAGAATGACTAAAATTAAAATCAATGATAGCATTAAATACTGGTGAGACTGCAGAACAACTAAGACTTTCATAGTTACTTGATAGAAATGTACAATGGTATAGCCACTTTGGAAAAATATATACCTGGAAGTTCTTATAAAACTAAACACATACTGACCTTTTGACCAAGTAATACTAGGTATTAGCCCAAGAGAAATCATAGCATATGTTCACAAAAATACTTATACAAAAATGTTCATAGCAGCTTTATTCACACAGCCCCAAAATGGAAATAGCCAAAGTATTGATCAAGAGGAGAATGGATAAACTATGGTATAATCATATAATAAAATGTTACTTAGCAATTAAAAACATCAAAGTTATATACCCAACCTGGACAAACTTCATATGCATTATGGTGGTTGAAAGAAGCCTTACCTAAAAGAGTACATATTGTATAACTGAATTTACATGAAATTCTAGAACAGGTAGAATTATGGTGGAAAGAATCAGAACACTGGTTGTGTCTGGGGGTAGCAGTGATATCCTGGGGACGGAGCAAAAGGGAACTTTCTGGGGTGATAATATATCAAGACATTTTTCCTATTGAAAAATAACAAAATTGTTGTTTTAAGCTAATACATTTTGGGGCATTTTGATATGCAAGATTAGATTACCAAAACAAAAAGATTATGCCTAACCAAATGTTATGAATACAGGTATATTCATACTGCAAAAGCACTTGTATAAATTTAAAAATTTGCTAATGAAAATGTAACTAAAAATCTACAATACATGAACAAAAACTAGGAAACTATAGGGAAAGTGCATACTCCAATTCTTTTTTTATATAGTAAGAAATTAAAAGATACTCATTCATTTTTGTCTTGAGAAATATTGATTAAAGAATGCTTTTGTAAAAAAAAGATAACAAATAATTTTCACTTCAAGTAAGGACTAAAAGAAACTAAGCAAAATATAGTCCAAATAGTAAAATTCAGGAAAAGCAAAGCATAAGAAAGTAGAAGCTCAGATAGAATAAGATGAAATAATAGATATAAAGCAAAATCCCTCATTAAAAGCAGAATCTTAGATTAGATAAAAAATTATATTCAGAGCAGTGAGATTATGTCACTTATAAAAAAAATCTCCTAACAACAACAACAACAACAACAACAAAAAGACCAGGAGCAGATGGATTCACAGCTGAATTCTACCAAGCATACAAATAACTAATACCAATCCTCCTGAAACTATTCAAAAAAATCAAAGAGGGAATTCTTCCTAACACTTTCTACAAGGCCAGTATAACCCAGATACCAAAGCCAGACAAAGACACAACAAAACAAGAAAATTACAGACCAATATCCCTGATGAACATAGACACAAAAATCTTCAACAAAATACTAGCAAATCAAATCCAATAGCACATCAAAAAGATAATATACCATGATCAGGTGAGATTTATCTCAGGGATGTGAGAATAGTTCAACATATGCAAATCAACAAGTGTGATACATCACACAAACAGAATTAAAAACAAAAACCATAAGATCATCTCAAAACATGCAGAAAAAGCATTCAATAAAATTCAGCATCCCTTCATGATAAAAATTCTCAACAAATCAGACATAGAAGGAACATACCTCAACATAATAAAAGTCATACACAACAAATTCACAGCCAACATCATACTCAATGGAGAAAAGTTGAAAGCATTCCCTCTAAGAACTGGAACAAGACAAGGATAACCATATGCAGAAGAATGAAACTGGACCCATATTTCTCACTATAGATAAAAATGAACTCAAGACTGATTAAAGACCTAAATGTAAGACCTCAAATTATAAAAATCTCAGACAAAATCCTAGGGAGGACTCTTCTGGACATTGGCCTAGGCAAAGAATTTATGACCAAGCCCTCAAAAGCAAAGGCAACAAAAACAAAAATAGACAAATGAGACTGAAGCTAAAACCTTCCTCTACAGGAAAAAAAAATCAACAAAGTAAACAAACAACCCACAGAATGGGCAAAAAGTTTCCAAATTATGCATCTGACAAAAGGCTAACATCCAGAATCCATAAGGAACTCAAATAATTCAATAAGAAAAACAAGTAACCTCATTAAAAAGTGGGGAAAGGACATGTAAGCCGGCAACAAATACATGAAAAAAATGTTTGACATCACTAATCATCAGAGAAATTCAAATTAAAACCACAATGAGATACCATTTTACACCAGTTATAATAGCTATTATTAAAAAGTCAAAAAACAACAGATATTGGCAAGGAGGCGGAGAAAAGGTAATACTTATATGCTGTTGATAGGAATTAGTAAATCTTTATGAAAAACAGTATGGAGATTTCTCAAAGAACTAAAAACAGAACTACCATTCAATCCAGTAATCCTACTACTAGGTATATCCCCAAAAAGAAATAAATCATTATATAATAAAGATACCTGCACCCATATATTTATCACAGCACTATTCATAATATCAAAGATATGGAATCAACATAAATGTCCATCAGTATAAGACTGGAGAGAAAGAAAATGTTATATATATATCCACATAATGGAATACTATTCTGCCATAAAAAAGAATGAAACTATGTCTTTTGCAGTAACATAGATGGAACTGGAGGCCATTGTCTTAACTGAAATAATTCAGAAACAGAAAAGGCAAATAACATATGCTCTCACTTATAAGTTGGAGCTAAAGAATGGGTACACATGGACATACAGAGTAGATTAATAGACATGGAAGGCTACAAAAGGTGGGAGGTTGGGAGCGGGTGAGAATTGAAAAATTACCTATTAGATACAATGTTCACTATTAGGGTGATGGATACACTAAAAGCTGGCTCACCACTACATAATATATCCATGTAAGAAATCTGCACTTGTACTCCCTAAATATATTTTTTAATTAAAAAATATATATATATTTAGATGTATGTAGTTTACAAAAAAATGCCTAAAACAAAATGACCCAGAAATAAAAAATAAAATAAACAGATGAGTCAGGAATTATTGTTTTAAATATATATCCTTAAGAAGGATTTACCTAAAACCCCAGTAGAGGTTATGTCCCCTCTCAGATGCTCTTATGGCATCCTGTATTTTCTCCTTACAAGAATTTATCACAACTATTACTATATTCTGGTTTCCATGATTTTTTTTTCAGTTTGCCTCCACATTCTAAGCTCTTTAAGGCAGAAATAAACCTGCTTTGCTCACTGCCTTATTTCCAGTGCCCAACCCAATGCTTAGAAATAGGAAATTTTCACTGAATGACTGTATTCCAGAAAAGGAGTAAAATAAAAGAGAAAGCACAGATAACAACATTAATTTCAAACTAAGTCGATTCCAAGGTCAAATCAATGAAGTAAAAGGGTAATCTTAAATCTATAAAAGAAACACCTCATGTTCTTGAACCTGTTTTTGCAAATAATATGGAATAAAAATGTATAAAACAAGAAATATTAACAATTCAAGGAGAGGGATAGATGATAGACTAAAAATATGTTTATATTCCTTCCTGACAAAATATCATGAAATTACCAAAATGCTAATATCTGATACATTCAGATCAGTAGTGGAAAATAGAAAGGATTGGCCAGTGGTTTCAATTTATGGTTAGGTAAAGAAGATCTCAAAAGATTATCACTGCCTTCATAACAAGAAAAAAGAGACAAAGCAAAAATCATACTTCATTTTAAAGCTGTCAAAGAGTGAATGTGAGACAAAGAGAAGTCTAAACAAATAAAATTCCAGTCAAGAGAAGCCTTTTATAGACCAATAAAAAGCAGTGACTGCTTCCATATCTGGGACCAATTGGTTACATAGTGGAGAGATGAGCCTGCCATCATAGAGCAACTCCTAAAAGGAGAAAAACTAGCAATTTTTCAAATGATAGTATGGGTTGGCAAACAGACTCTTATCTAGAAGAGCCACAAATGCAAAAGTAAACCTCTTGGCTTGAAAATTCTCTGCCACAGGAATTTGCTGTGAAATTGATGATGAGTGCAGAGCCAGAAAACTGAAATCTTACATTCTTGCACATGAATTTGGCTGGAGTTGATGCCAAAGAGAACTGAAATGAACTCTAGCTGCAATTCAAACCCCTCCCAGCTCAAATCCTGATTGTGACCAGTTACTCAATGCAGCCTGGGTAGTTGGGATTGGGTTGAAGGGCAAAGGGAAATCTTCATAATCTCTTTTTAAAGCAGAAATAAACTGAAACTAATAAAAAGCTTCAGCCAATCCCCAGCTAAAGCATTGCAGATGGTCAAATTTTTATGATCAGCCTCTCATTCTAGCTGTCTGACATTTTTAAAAAATCACATATCCTCTTTATGAGAAATAGAACAAAACAAAAGATTTTATTTAGTTCAAACAAATCTAGTAAAAATATTATTTACTTTTGTCCTTCTATACAACATGTTTGATATGCAATAAATACTTATGAATACATGCAAAGAAGCAGAAAAATGTGACCTAAAATCAAGAGAAGAAATAATCAATACAGGCAGACTTACAGATGCCCTTGATGTTAGAATTAAAGACCAAGAATACGAAATAACAATTATAAAGAATTATGTGTTAAAAATTTATAGAAGAAATTTTAGAATATATAGAAAAATTTATAGAAGAAAAGGTGGATATAATTAATAACAGTTGGTAAGTTTCTGCAGAGAAATAAAACCTTAAAAAGGAACCAAGTCAAAATTTATAGAACTGAAAAATGTCAGAGTGCCAGAGAACTGTGGGCCAATATCATTTGATTCAACATATACGTAACTGGGTCCAGAAAGAGAGAGAGAATAGGAAAAAATAAGTATTTGAAAAGATATTAGCCAAGTATTTTCTGAAATCAATGAAAGTTATCAACTCTTAGATCCAAGAAACTCGGCGAACACCAAGCATAAGAAACATAAAGTAAAACACATTTATGTACATCATAGTCAAATGACTGAAAAACAAAGATCTAAAAGGAAATGTTAAAAGCAGTAAAGAAAAAAACCCATTACATTTAGGGGAACAACAAAAATAATGGCAGAGTTTTCACTAGTAACAACGGAAGCCAAAAGACAGTGGTATCTTAAAAGGGCTGAAAGAAAGAAAAAACTGTCAATCCAAATGATAAGGTAGTTAGCTTTAAGCAGTAAGTTACCACTGATTTGATTTCTTCTAAATACTTTTTACATTTTCTATAACAATTGCATTGTTCTTATAATTTAAAAACATTTTTGTTTTTATTATTTTATTTTATTTTATTTTTTTGAGACGGGGCTTGCTCTGTCACCCAGGCTGGAGTACAGTGGCATGATCCAGCTCACTGCAGCCTTGACCTCCTGGGCTCAGGCAATCCTCCCACCTCAACCTCCCAAGTAGCTAGGACTACAAGCGCATGCCACCATGCCTGGTTAATTTTTGTATTTTGTATTTTATAGAGATGGGGTTTCGCCATGTTGCCCAGGCTGGTCTTGAACTCCTGGGCTCAAGTGATCCTCCTGCCTTGGCCTCCCAAAGTGCTGGGATTGTAGGCGTGAGCCACCAGGCCTGGCAAAAACATTTTTAAAAGAACAACTAAGACAAATATTGTATATGGGTTACACTTAGTATACAAGAATCCTCAGAAAACTATCTGACTAATCTTTATCCTCATACCAAATATCTACACGATTACTACTGTTTTCACTAGTCTTTGTAAAATATTTATATATGAAGATTAACTAAAAAACAGTTTTTATGTGTCAATAGCCCTTTTATAAAGAGATTAAAAGTAAGAAACAATCACATCTCTTGGGGTAGGTGAGAAAACATTAATGAAAGACGTGAAATTTGAGGTTTGTTAGAAAATACTTTAAGGAAATGGAGAAAAGTTTCAGAATAAAAATTTCAAGATATATTTGAGAAACACAAATAAATCTAGGTTTTTTCATGGAGGGATGAAGCGAGATATTGATGTCAATAGTGGAGAATCTTGAAAGATCTAATTTGTAGGCAATGGAAAAAAATATTTACCTAATCTAACATGTTTTGAGTAAAGAAGAATTTACAAATGAGAACAATTCTGTATCTACTGGTGTGCTACATTTGGATTTCTAATTGACAGCTTGGTATTCCTTGTACCTGTGAATCAACATGAGTAGATAGTTATCATTTGGACAATCACTAGATCATTGTCTGACAGTAACTTGGTCTGAAAAAATTATTTTGGTAGATAAAAGGATGTTTAAGTGGAACTCTTCCTGAGTTTATAACTTAGAACAACAGGTACTATATTCTAAAGGTACATGCTAAGCCATAGGACTTGGAAAGAAAATGCCCCAAACTAGGTCTACCTCCTCCAAGCTGAGCTGCTCACTGTTCATCTCTGAATTGTGTAAGAAAAGGGTAACAGTTTATGAGAGAGCCTTATATGGAAGATTTCTTAGCTAGGGTTTCTTAAAGCTTCCTTCTACAGAACTACTTGGAGAACCTAATATGTATTTGCCCAGGATGTGACATGCTAGCAGACACTGGTAGCTGATCCATACCTAAAAATTCTAAAGGTTAGTGGACAGAAGGAAGAGAGTGGAGTGCTACATTGAGGGGACCTGTGTTTGTACAATTTAATGAGCAAAGACTCATTAAATTGAGTGAGTTTTCCCCTGACCCAAAAAGACCCATGAAAAATAATCAGACCATGGAAGCAACCCTAGTATCCACTAATGTGTGAATGGATAAACAAAATGTGGTATATACTTACAATGGAATATTATTCAAGCCTTAAAAATGAAGGAAATTCTTACACATGCTACAACCTTAATGAACCTGGAAGACATGCCAAGGGAAATAAGCCAGTCACAAAAGGACAAATATTGCATGATTCTATTTATATGAGGTAGCTAGAGTAGTCAAATTCATAGACATAAAGTAGAATGGCAGTTGCCACAGGCTGAAGAGAGGGGAGTGGGGAGTTAGTGTCTCATGGGTACAGAGTTTCAGTTTGGGAAGATGAAAAAGTTCTGGAGATGGATAGTGGTGATGGTTGCACAACAACGTGAATGTACTTAGTACTACTGAACTTTACACTTAAAAACAGTTAAAGTCATAAATTTCATGTGTTTATTTTACCACTCTTTTAAAGCAACAACAAAAACAAAAACAACAAAAAATAACCTTCACCAAGAGGACTGCCTAGAGAAGTGAGCTGACCCCCACAGAGGGAGGGTCAGGATGGGCCAGTGGAAGCCAGGAATGAGAATGGATTATAAGCTGTTAGTCAGGAGAGGCAAACCCACAAGTAATTGCTAACAGGAGATTCCCAGCCAGGCAGTTATCTGAAGAATTTATAAAAGCAGCTCATTACAAAAAGAAAATGTTGGTGTCTGACACAGATGGCCCTGAAATCAAGTTAGGAAATCCTAAGACTTTGCCCTTTCATCCTACCTCCCTCTTGAGCCCTGTACCTGAATTGGGAGATAAGGTGAAGTGAGGAAGAGTAAAGAAGCTATGACTGTGTCTCTCTCCTGACTACAGGCTTCTAAATGAAGGGAAGGGAAGAAGCTCAGAGACAATTTAACATCTGTGTGTGCAGACAATTTAACATCTGTGTGTGCCAAAAAAGTGGTGGAATGGTACTAGACAGTTTATACAGGAGTGGGGATGATTGATTCAACAGAGTAAGTTTAAAGGAAGAAGAGTGAGAAAGAATGAAGTGGCATTCTACTTGTAGTCTCTGAGTCTAGCCCTTTCATCCAGTGAGAGAAAATCTTTCCTCGGAGCTTAGAAGATTCCTGATGAAAGAATCACTGCTTCCACTTCTCTCCTTCTCCCTTACCTTCAGGAAGTCAGATTGGCTTCTTCATCCTCATCTAAGGATATATCCCATGGAAGATGGTATCTAGGAAGAGGTCTACCATCCTCCCCAAATAAAAGCGCAACTCTGTATCTGTACCCATGGCTTATGAAGGAGGAAGGGAATACGAGCTGATGTTATGCCAGTCTGTGGTCAGCAAGACTGCCACTAAGAGTGACTGTCAATTCTCCCAACATAGCCCAAGCTTTTCCATTCCAGAATGTTGTCATGGCAGACAAAATGATTATTTGTGGTGGGATGCATTCATTTATTCCATATACTTTTATTGAGTACCAATTATATATAGAATACTGAAAAGAATAAAAGCTAGATAAGACATGATCACACACTTCAAGGCACATATGTTTCAGCAGAGGTAAACATACAGACTTACAATTAATGACAATGTAGGGCAAACAGGAACAAAAAAGCTTTGGGATTAGAAATTTTTATAGAGGAGATTACATTTACATTGTGCTTTGAATGATGGGAACATTTTGAGTGGATATGGCATAATTGAAACAGAGAATGACAAAAGTGGAGGGGAGGTTAGAGCAGAGATCAGATGGCAGAGAAACAGGTAGCTGGTCTTCAGACTATGACATCATTGGGTTTGTAAGTAGCATATAATACTCTTGAGAAGAGAAATGAGAGCCAGGGGTAGGAAAGTTTGGTATGAGATTTCTGAGGGCCTCAAAGGCCAGGACATTTGTTCTTTAATAGGTAATGGGGGAGTAATTTAAGGTCTATGAGTGGGTGAGTGATGAAATCTAAAATATGTTTTAGGAAGAACAAGTAGAAGGCTATTGCAATTGTCCAGTGCAGAGGTAATGGAGCCCTTAAGTAGGATGGTTGCTGTCACAATTGGAAAGGCAGAAATAGATGGGAGAGGCTTTGGGGAGGTAGAATAAAAGAGGCTTGGATCCTGATAGCATATGCCTTTTTCTTACTCTCTGTCAAACCCTCATTTCTTCCCTCTTCTGATCCTAAAGCTGTATGCAGTGTCCCTTAGCACACAGACTTATATTTTCTGGCAAATTTCTCTTCAGTATTAGGTAAGGCTTCATTTGCAGTAACTGTGAAAGACACCCCAAAGGACAGTTCCTGATGTTCAAAATGAGGAAGTTATATTCTACATCTACATTTTTATTTTATTTTTCTCTGTATTGTGGCTTTTAGAAAAAGGTTCCTCCTTTTACCTAAGAATTTCTACTCTCAGAAAATATGAACCTACATTAGCATAGCTCTTCTGAAGCTCTTGGTCATATAGAATGGAAATCAGGATCATGAAATTAAAGTTATTAAAATGATAGTAAATGCCTCTCTTTGTTCCATTATTCAGCTTTAAGAGCATTTCTGCTCTCTAAGAGCCTTAAAGTATTAATTTTATATATTTAGGACAAAGGATTTTAACAATAGAATTGTATAATTAAATTACAAGAAATTAAGAAAAACAGTCATCAAAATAATTGAGTTGATAATTCAATTGTTAAACAAAATCCAGATAATGTATTAGTCACTCCAATTTTTAAAGGCTAGAACAGTAGAAAATGTTTTGTATGCTTACATTTCTATTTCTCACCATGTGTGGATTATGGCTGAAATAAGCTGAAGTTGCCAATATGTGACAACAGGGAAAGGACTGCCTTGCATGGTAAGTCTTTTGGGGAAGCTTTGTCCTTGGAGATGTCTAGCTTTTAAAGACCTGTTCTGTTTCTGACATGGTAAATTTTGTATTTCTATGCCCTAGACTTTTCTGCAGATACATGTATAGTAACACAGGCTACAGACAATGGGCCTGCATTGAGCAAACACTGGTGCCCTGGAGCAGCTGCACTTGCGATGCTTCTGGGATGTTCAGTGGTGTGACCAAACAGCATGTATCAAAGAACTAGGAAACAGGCAATCTGTTTTCAGCTCTGACTTTAAGCAGGTAGTAATTTTCCTGATAAAACAGGCGAAAAAATTATAGCTCCCCAGTCAGCATAGTCTTACAAGAAATCTTGGGCTAAGTAGACAAAACTCAATGAAGATTAAGGACTCCAAATGCACTGGTTGGTAAGAACAACTAACTTTTATTAAGTACCAGTTGTAACTAAACACTCTTTCTAAACACTTTCCCTGTAATTTTTTTGTAACTGTTAAAACAGGCTTGAAAATTTTTTTTTAACTTATAATTTTTGTAGGTACATAGTAGGTATATATATTTATGGGGAAAACAGGCTTCTTATACCCATTTAACATATGAATAAAACAAGATTGAGAGGTTAAGTAGCTTGCCCAAGGTCAATAGCTACTGAACCAGGATTCAAGCCTAACTAAACTGATCAGGCTAATACTAAAATCGACACTTTAAATCTTCTCCCTATGCTGCCTTTTGCATGGATAAAGTTAGCAACCTCCTTCTGCAGGGGACACTGACACAAAGCAAGATCTGCATTAAAAGTGTACTTAAAGCAATGAAGTTTCTGGTTTAGAAATAGGTAGATCAATGGGACAAAGTAACATGTAAAGAAATATACTTGAATATATATAAGAATTTATATAATTTAATGCGGTATTTCAACTTGTTCAAGCAGGCAGATAAGCTAGATATGAGCAGGAGGGTGAGTCCCCTGAGAAAAGGGAGGTTTGGAAAAATCTCATAACCCAGAGACCACCCAAAACATGCATCCTAGCTATGAGCAGAGAGGAAGGGAAATACCTATGGAGAAAGAGATGCCCCTTGACTCCCAGTAATCACTCACTCCACAATTAAACTGTCCTGTCAGAATGTAGCTAGCTACATGCTGTTAAGCGGGTAAAGAGGGAAAAAGGAGAAATTCCTAAGAGATACACAGGTGCAATAAGCACAGCTTTAACCACTTTCCAACCTTCCTCAGGTGGTGATAATGAGTAATGCAGGCATTATATAGAATTTGTATCCAACACTGGCCTGCACATACATGTGAACTAACAGTAGGGGGGAATCCCACAAATTTGGAGTGGAAACTAGGTGGGGACTTAAGGCAGAAGTGGGAACTAGACAAAGACAAAGGTGGAAACTTGAGGCAGAGGCAGAAGCCTGAAGAAACAGTCTGCCATAATAACCACAATGCAGAACTCTTGGGGCTGCTGCTGGCTTATCCCTTTTAAACACCCTGCTCTGCCTCATCTTTCAGCGTGCACTGTCTCTGCTACTACCTAACCTTTGAGGCTACTACTCCTGTTTCTCCAGCTGGACCAGCCTGCTCCTTTCTTGGAGTGTCCTTCTCTCAATAAACTCTGTACTCTTTATTTTCTTTCAATAAATCTTTTGCTTACATTACTAATTGGTCTCTTGGCTGAATTCTTTCTCCCAGGTAAGACAAGAACTGAGGATTCCTGTACTTCCCAGTAACAAAATCATTAGGAAAAGTAGCCAGTATTAAATGAATATATAGAAATCAGTGGCTGTTTGGGAGAAAAAAATAAAGTTAAAGCCCTATTTTTTTTAAGTGTACTTCCAGTGAGCTCTGAGTGTTTTAGAGACTGTACTCTGCCCCATTTGTGAGAATTATTAGTCTTTCCAGGGAATATATATGGAGAATATTTACTTTCAGAGGATGTACCATGGAGAGAAGTATTTTTATGAAAAATGCCTTGGGAATAGGATTTTTAAAAGACAGAAGAGAACAGTGTGGTGCTGTCTCTTGAGTCTCATGAACACACAGCAAGACATGTATTCCCATTAACTCTCTAGGCCATGAACTACTTGTGCTCCCTTTTTAAGGAAGGAAAAGATTCTAGGGTGGTTTTTGTCACTGGGTGCTGTGGAATGGATTATTTCCCTCCACTCTTGTTGCTAACCGGAAAAAAAAAAAGACACTGCAATAAGGTTATGGGACTGAAAGAGCTACATTTAGACACAGCTCTTTTGGGGTCAAGGTCAAGTAGGACAATAATGGAAAAGAATAAGCAAAAATGAGACAACACAAGGAGAAGAGGAACCTGGGCACACCTGAGTGGGGAATCTTCCCTTAGCCACAGTGGAAAAGGGGAAAGCACTAGCCCAGGATCTCAGAAAGAAGGGATAGGAATGATAGAAGGGTAACATGGCATTTGGCTTTCTCTCTCAGCTCTGTTATTACTATTTTACTTTTTAAAAAACTTTGTTACATAATATATATTCTCATAAAGTAGCTCAAATCTTTTATGGGACTAAGCAAGTTATAAATACATACTTTCCATAGAAATATTTAGAAAAATATTACACTTACACATATTCATATATAATATGTATAAATACATAAATTTAAAAATATATATTCAGAAGTTGATGTATATTATAATATACGTATATCTCATTCCTGAATTTGGGTTTAGTAGCTCTCAAAAAATCACTTTTTGTCTTTATAAAGTCCTCAGGGTAAGAAATCCTTCCAGATACTCTTGCACATGGATTCCTAGGCCAGGGAGCGGGGTGGATGCCACCTGATCACTAGTGTCAAGAATTTCGTACTCAGTGGGGTGGGAGTTGGCTGAGAGTGGAAGCGGCAAGAGCAAGATGGCAACACCATAATTCTGACTGGGAATGCCACTTTCCACACTGGCACAAAATAAAGCATGTGGAACAAAGAAGTCAATGCCTATAAGTCAACTTCTTGAAAGTTTCAGATTGTCACAAGGCTAAGAGTTGGGCTAGAGATTTGTCAGAGTCAGTAATAATTTTTGTGTCTAAGGACAGAGGGATCTGAGTTACATAAACAAGAGGTGTTCACTATGAACTGAAATAAGCAATTCATGGGTAAAGAGACTGGGGCCAGAAATTCTAGGGTATATGAGCATTTTCTAGGTAATGGTAACTGTGGCTCATTGGGGTAGGAGTAGTGCCAGTGAGAGTGGTGCCTTTTACTGAATCTTCCCATCTGGGGGTAAATGGCCATTCATGCTGCAACGCAGTTATTCTAGCTCCTTCTCAAGAGGACGACGATGTGCCAGAGGTAGATGAGAAGTGAGAATATGGGCATATGTAAGATGTTCTCTCTTTGTGTGTTAATTATACTGTGACATAATGAAGTAGGATTTAGATGGGACTAGTGTATGGTGTGTCCTTCTTTTTAATAGCTGCAGTTACTGAAAAACAATGGGTGAAGCAACACTGTGGAGATCAGAATTTGATGATGGTGAAGGAGGCATAACTCAACATTTGCTGTTCTAAATTCCTGTCCTTTGCTATTTCTCCCCAATCCATGGTGATTTCTCAGTAATAAATATACTACCACAAATAATAATAGTATTATTGCTATGATTTTACGAATACTTATTAACATCTTCACATGCTTCATCTCATTTAATTCTCACAATTGAGGTAAGTGACAGATCCAGGATTTGAAAATAGTTCTGCACACAGACCTTAATGCTATACTAATGATTCTTATCAGTTGGTTGAATACTTATAGTTCACTCATTTATTGATGCATCTTATAGATACTGTTTTTAGTCCTTACTATAAAAAGATATTACATATAAACGAAGCAGGGCTGTCTCAGAAGAGCAAAAAGCATCCCTTGCCAAGGTAAGGGATTCTTTCCTTCCTCCTTCTTTCCCTCCCACCCTCCATTCAAAAATTATTCAATAAATCCCAACTTTGCACTAAGCACCCTGCTAGGCATTGCAAATAAAAATCCCTGTGCTTCTAGAATCCATGATTTAGCCAGAAAATTAAAAGCACATAGATAGATAACTATAATTTTACATCTTTTACATCTCAAATCAGAGCAGTGCAGGTAACATCAATTTGCCTACTTCTTATATCTGGCTTGACACACAGAATATTTTGAAGATTTCATGTGTATTATATCATACTCTTCTATATACTTTTATCTTGGCACTGACATTTTATCTTGCCTACTTAGTAAGTATTTCATAGATATAAAGAAAATATTTGGTAAAATCTACAGAGCAGGCCAGGTGTGGTGGCTCATGCCTGTAATCCCAGCACTTTGGGAGGCCAAGGCGGGCAGATCACCTGAGGTCAGGAGTTCAAGACCAGCCTGGCCAACATAGTGAAACCTCATCTCTGCTAAAAATACAAAAATTAGTTGGGCATGGTGGTGCATGCCTGTAATCCCAGCTACTCGGGAGGCTGAGGCAGGAGAATTGCTTGAACCCGGGAGGTAGAGGTTGCAGTGAGCCGAGATGGCACCACTGTACTCCAGCCTGGGCAAAAAAAACAAAAACAAAAACAAAACAAAAAAAACAACTACAGAGCAGAAGCTAGAAAAAAACGAGTCTTGAGTCAAAACAAGCGTCTGAGATTCAGGGGAGATTAGAACTGCTCTTTTGGAACTTAGTGTCTGAGAGGACATATGTGCAGACATGGGAACAGGTCAAGGTTCTTGATGGGACATGTGTTGGGGGAGGGAGGAAGAAAGGGAATCGGATAATGACAGGAGTAGCTTTCCCCATCTAGGTCATATATCCTTGTAGTGAATTCTTCTCCTACGATAAGAAAAGTTGTGACTTTATAGATTATCTATACATATTCAAATCTAAGTTTAAAATAAATTTGAAATCCTGCCAAATTATCTTTGGATTGTCACTATTTAATAAATGTAATTTTAAAAAATCTATATCTAAACATAGGACTTATATGAATGGGCTTCAAGGCATCTGTGAACCCCTGAAATCATATGCAACATTGTGTTTCTCTGGACTTCATGAGATTTAAACCCACAACCTAAAATGATTAAGGCCCAATGAATAATTAAAATTTGAGAAATTAAGCCCCATAACCAGGGAAATTTTTTCCCTCATAAAATTAGAGCTGACAGCATACAAACCTGACATAAACACTGTACTTACATCAAGAGCCACAGACTGCTTGGCCCAGGACTTCTTCACTTGATCATACATAATTGTGTTGTTGATGCCAAGTCCACAAAAGATGACAAAAGCCTAGGAAAGAGCAAACCTGCTAATTAAACATTGCAGCAACTCATTGGCAAAATCTAATATGAAAGCAGGCAGCCACCAGGGATGGGTCTGAAAATACAATCTTGTTGTACACAGAGGTAGGCCTTGGGGAAATAGGCACATTAAAATTCTTAATTACTATTGTTATATAACAACTTTATAGCTCACACTGCACATGAGGAAAAATTATGAATTTAATGTCATTGTAGAGAAACTATTTCATATGTTTAAAAACATACTTACACTCTGTTTAAGTGGGTTCTTAATTTATTTAGGTTGTGGACTGATTTTAGTAAATCCATTCTATTTAACCAAAGCAACCTCTTTTAGTTGCTAGGCTATAAAATACTTTGGTAAAGAAACCAAGTTAATGTAACCATAAGGTAAATGTTAAGGGGAAGGAGGATTGAGTTAGAACCATTAATAAAGAAGCTATGAGGTATTCTTGATTAGAGAAAGATAACCATGGGTTTTCATGTTGGCTACTGGTACAGTCTATGAGGAAGCCCATTCAAGGCTAGCTTCTCCAGCTAGAGCGCCTGGAGTGAATGCACGGAAGCGTGTAAACAAGAGAAATGTGAGGGCAGCACGCCTGGCAGAGCTGGCTCAGGGTTTCATGACTCTGAACACACACAAACAAGACAAGAATAAGAAAATAGCACTTTGGGGAAAAGAGAGGGTAATTCTGTAATAAAATTAAGATAAAAATAATGGATGGTTACAAAATAATCCAATTCATAAAAAATAGGATCAAATCTCACTTAAGCATTTACATATTCCTTAAATCTTCCTGTTAATTTTGCCCTCCATTTAAGTATAATAATAATTGACTAATAATTGTTTGTCTTTCAAATTTGGGCAAGCTGCAACCAGGGGACTATTGATGACTCCACTTGGTTTATAAATTTATTTTCTTACCTCAAAAAGTCGTTGATCTGCATCATCAAAAGGTTTCCCATCAAGTCTGTTTAACACTTGAGCCACTCCTATGGGGAAAGAGTGGATTATGTGGTCATTTTTAGTACTGGACATTGTGTTTCTCTAATAGAGTAGCCACAGCTAACTCTATGCCTTTTTTAAGGAACTGCACTCAGTTTAAACTCTGGTCTCTCAAGTGCCTGCCGATTTCATGAGAATAAATCTGAGGTGTAGGACAATGCACTCTCTCTTCAAGGCTGATTTATTTAGACTAGATCTCAGTAGTTCGGAGTTCTACCAAGGCTTTAATCTGATTCTAGATGACTAGTTACAGTAACTCTAATATATTGCCCATATATTATATATACAACTGAGTATATATGTAGCTGAATATGTGTGTGTATTCAGCTACATATATATATATATTTCAACTGAAAATATATATATATGTGTGTATATATATATATATATCATACTCTGAAGCACAATACTTGAAAGAGGCAGTATGGCACTGTGATTAAGAACATAAGCTTTGGACTTAGATGATCTGAGATCAAATTTCAACTCCACCATCAGGTGTGTGACCTTGGGCACGTTACCTAACTTTTTTAGCACTCAATTTCCTCATCTGTAAAATGGGGATTAAAATGTTAACTACCTAAGAAGGTTATGAAGATTAAATGAGATAATGTTAGAATGTTCATAAAGCATTTAGCATATTGCTTCACTCAGAGTAAACATTCAAGAAATGTTAGGAATTATTACAAGCAATAAAAGTTGATATAATACAGTTAACCTTCAAAGCAAAGTTAGTTCTGTTTCCTGCTACCAGGGGGTACATATAGTTCTACAAATCTTAATTTATGAGTGATTACTTTTTCCAAACTTCACCTCTAGTATTATACCAGATGTTTTAGGGCATGACTTCCCAAATACACAAGTTTAACAAGAAAAATCAACTATCTTGAAAACCACTAGCCTGTGTCCCCATTTAGTACAAAAGAAAAAAAAAACCAGCTGTAATTCTAAAGTATGCTTGTATTTTTAAAAACACCCAACTTCCCACCAGGGAGGTAAGTCATCATATGCAAGAAGACATATATATATAAATAATGAAACACAAAACTATTAGCATGTAACCAGGCAAACTACGGTTCTAATTTTGAAGTAATAAGGGATGTTTACTTTTAGGATTGAAATGTAGGACTACGAGATTGCCACGGAATATCAACAGGTAACACATGGTGTTTCTTATGGACTTTCCCTTTAAACATAAATTTATTTAAAACTCTGTGCATGATGTAGTTTAAGTCTTTGTACTAGAGGCTTAGATCCCAAACCTTAGAATATTCTTTATGTTCAGTAACATACCAATATTCTTATGCAGACTAAGCTGATGAAAAACATTATCTCAGAATTCATATCTTAAAAACACTCACAGAATACTAAATCCTTTAATAAGCAGCAGTGTCTTAGACTTTAACAGGCAATTTTAGGGGGAAGCAGAGAAAGGCAAATGGATGCATTAGTTACCAAATGAATTAGTGTTCTTACGTCTCTTAGGAAAAAAAGTCACATTTTTATTGTGTTTCAATAATTTCAACTAATTCCTCCATCCTTCATGACTTCTCTATTTCAACCATGAATTCTCCTTGCCTGGGCTTCTTTCTTGAATTTGATGCTTTCCTAATTGAGTTTTTTTGAGGAGAAGGAAAGGAGAATGGAGGAAGAGAAAAATTGGAAGCTGCTTTTGCCCATGATTCCCTTATTGTGAGGAAAATGTGGCCTATTTCAGAACTGCCCAGGCAGAAAATGCATGCTCAGTATATGTCCAATATAGAATGTTATTTCTTCCTTTGCCTTTACACCATGTATAAAAAGCACAGATGTAAACACATTGACATAGTAAGAAAGTCTGCACTAGGAGTTAGGAAGCCTGAATTTTGTTCCTGACCTTGCTATTAACTTTGTGGCCTTCTTGAAGTCATTTCTCTTTCTCTCTTTCTCTCTTTCTCTCTCTCTCTCTCTCTCTCTCTCTGTCTCTGTCTCTCTCTGGCTTTTTTTTTCACTCTCTGCCTCTATTTCCACAGGGTGAGATAAAAGAGTTCTATTGGTTGATAACTCAGATTCTCTACGACTTTAAAATTTATTGGTTCTTTCAATTTAATACATATTTGTTCAAGTTGTGGATAATGTTGATTCATTAGGAGCCTGTGCTTATGAAATTATACGAGAGTGTGAGACATAGTTTGATGAGTCCTGGCCATAAAAAGAGGGAACACATAAAAAAGATATGGGAATATTTTAAAGCAAACTTCTGTTTCTTTATTCAAGAAGTTTAACTATTTAGGTCATCTCTTACCAATTATTTGGTGGTTGCTATTCCAAATAGGGACACAAAGAACAGATCTTATGTGAAAACCAGATATCTGGTCTGCCTAGGAAACAAGAAAGAAGTTAATTAAAATTGAATATTAACTATTCATTTTTGATTTACATTTTTTCCATTTTTCATAACAGATATTCAAAAATAACTTTTTAAAGCTATTTTATACACTGTAACCTAATTTTGTAATGCATAAACTCACTCACCTGCCTCCTTCATCACAATGAACATCCTAAAGGAATCAAACCCAAGCCAAATATGAATCAACCAAATAAATCCAAAACCAACATGACCTCCTTCAATCCCTGCAGCCATAGAGAGCTGGACATAAAACTATCTTGATCATGACCACACCACTAGACAAGAATTCCAGCAACTGTTTCTCCTCTGGGTATTTAAAGCATTTTAATTAAACCAGTGATCAATTTTTATCTTTGACTGGGTGCACTTGTTAGTAAAACATGTTTGTGCCTATAATGCTGTCATATTTACATTTACTTTTAATACTCTATATTTTTACTGTTACTATATTATTATGTATGTTGTCAAATCTAGATACAAAAAAGGTAAGATAGAGGTAGAGGTTTGAATATTTTCCTTCTGTACCCCAAATATGTCAGGAGGTGACATTTAAAATACAGAGGTATAATTATCAACATCAAACATTGAGTAACAAACTCCATTTAATATTAAAAACAGTGGTCCATATTTGAATGGTTAGAGAGAAACCACTAAGAGTGAAAGGGTCTTAGGGAGTTAATATGACCTTGATTTTCAGTGAGGTCAATCTATTGTTCTAATACAATAGGAGAAAACAATAAGATATGAAGGTTTTGGATCATGGATATGGAGATAAAAAGATATTTTAAAATATTCTTTGTTGAAGGCAAGAGCCACATATTTTAAACACTTGAAACTAAAAGTTAATTTACATACCTAAATTTTATACTGGATTTTTTCTTTTTGACATTTCTCTTTGAGAAGTTAATTTTCCAGATATCTTCTATTCATTGTACCAATATGTTAGTTTCTCTTTTTCAATGTTTTTTGAAGATTAACATGCATGTAGAAAGGCCCCAAAATTGTAAGTATACAGCTTAATGGATTTTTACAAAATGAACAGATCTATGCAACTACCACCAAGATCAAGACATAGAATATTATCACTGCCCCAGAAGCCACCTCCAAACCCCTAAATTCTTGTACATACTTAGTGCATATATGCATTTCTGATAGGCATATACTTATAATAAAATTGCTGAGTTATTCACCTGTTCAGCTTCAAAATATATATTTTAAAGTTTTTGCAAAGTACTTGTACCAATTTACCTTCTAACCAGAAGTGTATGAGAGTTCCAGTTGATTTATATCATCACCAACATTTGATGTTGTCAGGCTTTTAAAAAAAAATTTTGACAATTCTGATAGATATGTGGTTATATCTCCTTGTGAAAGTAATTTGATTATCTCTGATGACTAGGGTGACCATAAATCCTGGTTTAAGTCTGTTTTCCTGACATAATTATTAATAATATGCCTTTCATTCTCAAAAGTGTCTAAATTTGGACAATAAATTTATAATTTTCCTACTTATGATTAATGAAGTTGAGCAACTTTTCATATACTTATCATCTATTTCTACTCTCTTCCATGAAGTGCCTGTTCAGAACTTTGGTCTTTTGTCCTGTTGGGTTGTCTGATTTTTAAAAATTGGCTCGTAAAAGTATCTTCTATATTCTGGATAAGAGCCCTCTGCAAGATATATGTATTACAAATATTTTTCTTATTCCATGGCTTGTTTTTCCACTCTTTTAATGGTGTCTTTTGATTCAGAGGTCCCTAATATGATATAGGCAAATATTTCAATTTTTAAATTTATGGTCAGTATTTTTTTGGTTTTGTTCAAGAGATCTTTCTGTATTCCAACCTCATGAAGATATTCTTCTGTGCTTTTCCTAGAATCCTTACTGTTTTAACTTTCACATTTAAATTTATAATCCAACTGAAAATGATTTTCATGTATAATATGAGCTAGGAGTCAAAATTTCTTTTTTTTTTGAAATGGATATTCAGTTGATCCAGCACTGTTTTGAGGGAAAAAGCAATACCTCTCCCCATCACTCTACTGTGCCATCATTTTCATTAATCAACTGTCCATATATATTTGGATCTGTTTCTGGACTCTCTATTCTATTCCATTGATCTAGGTATCTATCCTTATGCCAATACCACACTGTCTTAAATAATACAGTTGTATGATAAGGCTCAGTATCTGGTAGTGCAAATCCTCCAACTTTTTCCTTCTTCAAGATTGTCTTGACTATTTTTGACCTCTGGCATTTACATATAAATTTTAGAATCAATTTGCAGTTTATACACATACATATACATTCCTGGGATTTTTATCGGTATTTTTTGAATCTATCTGTTTGGGGGAGAATTGACACCTTTACAAAACTGAGTCTTTCAATCCATAAATATCCCTTAATTTATTTAAGGCTCTTAAAATTTCTCTTAGCAAAGTTTGGTAGTTTTCCATGTAGTGTTCTTACACATAATTTGTTTTATTTGTATCCTGATGTTTAAAAACTTCATGTTATTGTAAATAACAGTAGTATTTTATTTTCTAATGCTTGTAATTGGTACATAAAAATACAATCGACTTTTTAATATTAAATTTGTTTCCATCAATCTTGCTACATTCAATTATTAACTTTAATGTCTTACCTGTAAAGTGTTTTGGATTTTCTTGCCACATGATCACGTCATCTTATCCTTTAATTCTTATACCTTTTAGTCATGTAATTTTAGATTATGTGATTTTTCCTTTTTTATTTTGTTAATAGAGTGAATTAGATTGATTGATATTTGAGAATTCCAGATGCAAAAACAAAAACGTAAGCATAAATCATTCGTCCAGTGTACTCTTCCAAAAAATATTTATTTACCACCTTCTATGCACCAGACACATTGCTTAGTATTGAGGATAGAAAAATGGATTCAAATAGTCATTACCCTTGAGCTACTCACAGTCTAGGAAAGATAGAAATATTGAGATAAAATAAGTGTCCAAGTAGAGGATGTTCAAACACTATTGGAAAGACAACAATTCACTCTGTTTAGAGAAATCAGGAGCAGCCCAAGACCCTTTACAATGAGTCTTCAAAGACAACAGTGATGATGATAAGCTCACATTTGCTAGATGTTCACTCTCTGTCTGGCATTCCGCTCAGCACTTTCTTATGCATTATTTTATACTTTTTACAACCACCCCATGAAGTAGGTACTGTTATCATCCTCTCTTATCAGATGAGACTTAGGGAGATTAACTGCCTTGAATGAGAGAGACTGGCTCAAAGGAGCACAGCCAATGGCAAACACATCCATCAAAGTTATCTTCCAAAAAAACAAACTGGTTTTCTTCCCCTCCCTAAGGATAAAATCTGAATTAAGGCAATACCAGTAAGCATGAAGAGAAGAAAGCCAATTTTAGAAAGGTATAATCTACAGACTTAGGCTAGCCACAGCAGCACTAGGATGGCTGGGTCTGCTTTGTTTTGCTGTGGGAGCGACACATATCATTGTACAGACCATTGGGTTTGAGGCAGCACCAAGTAGTAAACACAATTGTCTCTGCCAACTCTGGGACAACAGTAGCTCCTGTCTAACGTTTCCTACGAAATCTGGGCAGCTGAAGGACAGGTCACAATGGGCAAGAAGAAAAGGAACATGCAGTAAGAAAGACAATTTAGAAGCTGGTGGTGAGAAAAACAAACCTTAGGCTGTTCGCCAGTTAAATAAAAGAGAATTTTGTTTACCCATCACTTTTAAAGTACTACAGTTCCCCAAAAGAGTTTTTTTTTTTCTTCTGGGAAAGTGGGAGTATGCACTCTCCCATCCCCATGGAGGATAACATTGAGGTTTCTGGCTTGAGTAAAGGTGGAAGAGTTCTTGAAGTGGGGAACACAGGAAATTTGAGGGAAATGATACGAACTCCAAATGGACACACATTACAAGTGAGAGGGGCTGGAGATACCAATCTTGGAGTCACCAGTCCTCTGGGTTAATTGCATGGGTAAGATTTAAGTTAATTGCATAGTTATTGCAAGAGAGAACTTGTCCAACAAAAAGACTAAAAACTGAACTTTGGGGAACACAATATTTAGTGCTGGAAGAAAAAGGTGACATCAGTGACAGGGATGGACAAGAACTCCAAAGCTCATGCTCTTAACCTGAAGGCTTTACTGCATCCATAATGTGTGTGAACAGATTTCTACAACCTTTCCGGAAATAGGTTTATTGATGTGTATCCAGAGCCTAAAAAGTATAAATACATACTCTTTGACCTATCAATTTCATATCTAGGAATTTATCCTGTGGTAATTATCAAAGCTATGCACAAAGCTTTACATGTAAAAGTGTGAACCACAGCATTATTTATCTTAGTGATTTATTAGAATAACATGAATATTCAACTGAAGGCAGTTGGTTAAGTAAATCATAGCACATTCACATAACAGAATATTATGCATCTAATTAAAATCATGCTATAGAAGAATAGTTACTCATATGGAAAATATTTAATATATTAAATGATAATAGTGTACATGCCTATGGGTATACAAAAGCATATTATATACATTGAAGGATCCTAGAAAAATTATGACCATAATAGTTTCCTTTGAATTTCTTGGCTATTAGAATTTTAAAATTATTGCTCCTAGTTTGTAAATTTTAGATAATAAACACAGATAATTTGTCCATAAGGGAAGAAGTTATTTTCTAAGTAGAACTTAGGGGGAGCAGCAGTGTCCAATGCTATAGAGAAGTCTAATAAGATAAGGACTGAAAATGGCTTACTGAATTTAGCAACATAGTGGGATCATTGAAGGCAAAAATGGTCAAGGGAAGAAAGGATGTGATCAGGAATAAAAGTCAAGTGGTTAGTCCTGGAAGAGAGGAAGGCCATAATGAGAAAGCAGAGCTGCAACTATTCAGAGCTGGAGTCTTGTATGAGCTGAGCACAGGAGAAGAGGTGAAGCATCAGAGAATGCAGAGGGTGTCTTTAAAGTGTTTCCACTGTGTTTGAGGGAAGGAGGTGAGGCTAAGGAATGGTGATGATCAACATGCTTGATGAGCCCAATCAGGTGGGAGAGGAGAACAAGGAAGGATGGCAGAGTGTGAGGAGAGTGAATTTTTCCATTTTAAAATCATTAATGAAATCCCCTAATTGCCTATTTGCGGCAGCAGCTATTTTTTCTGGAAAACTGTGCTAATCCAGGTTAGTTCATGTAACCATATGAAAAGGCAAGGCCCAGGAGTCCATTTTATCCTCTGCAGGGGCTGGAGGAAAAGGAGAAGGGAGATGAAAGAAGCACAGGATGTCTAACGAATAAATTCCAAACAGGGAGAAAGAGTAATAAGCAAGTATGAAGGAAAGAATCATTCCTGTTCACCAGATAACCCCAACTCTCCATATCAAATCAGTCAATGGAGCTCAAAAATGCCCATCAGCCACACCACCCCAACGAAGTCACCCAAAGTTTCAATGCCTCAATTTTATCATTAATATTTATCTCCTGCACACCAAAATGGTAACATTGGTTATCTTCATATTTTGGCCTCACAGCTGATTCTCATCTTTGTGCTTTTTCTTGTTTTCCAAGTTGTTTTATGAAAATTTGTGTGTGAAAGGGTTTCAAAATTTGTAAGGAGTTTTACAAATACAAATATTGCTAATATTGAAAGGAACAACTGCCAAAAAAATCTGCTTTATTGTTCCACATGGTGCCTTGGTCATTCTTGGTTTAACATTTACACCATTAGAGTCTCAAAAGTTAGACAACATGAGACAAAGCAGCCTTTCTAGAAGGCAACAGTTAAACTAAATATATTTCTGCGAGTGCTTAGTTCTTTCCAAGCAAAGATATGTCTACTTAAAAATGTTAACTAGTTTC
The DNA here is from genome assembly GCF_000001405.40 of Homo sapiens. NCBI lineage: Eukaryota > Metazoa > Chordata > Mammalia > Primates > Hominidae > Homo > Homo sapiens. The sequence continues at coordinate 177,826,201 of NC_000002.12, forward strand.
TGTCCTCATGGGGCCTTTCCAATTAATGGATCTAATTAAAGATGGTTTAGCTCTTGGAGCCATCAACATGTACTTGTTATATTTTCTAGCCTCTCAAAGGTGGTCAAAGGAAATGTTAAATAAATTGGTGATAATATAATACTATTTATTAATGTTCAGTGTATTTCCTTTCTCTAGAAAGATACGTACAACTTTAACAATAATCTAAAGCAACACTTTCTCCCCAAAGATAATCTAGTGGTGAGAAATTCTAGTAACCAGACAAGCTGAGGGAGCCAATGTTCCCAGTCAGTCCCTTGATTTCCATGAAATAATAGAGAGAGAACTGAGTTTGGCCTATCTTACCTGCACATAGGATAAATCCTAATGGTTTGTAGAATAGTGCCTGTATATGATTCCTTAAATTCCTGAAAAATAAATGATTGTGCTTGGAGCTGAGGCATTTTCTCCACTGCCCATGCAGCAAAGTCTGTTGGATTCTTAGAACTGTGGGACTTGTATTTGTTTTCACTACCCACTGCTTCCCCATTCTATATTTTATTTAAGTCTTAGTAATCCCCCTAACTTCTAACCTCTAACCTTCCTTTCCCTTCTGCTCAACTGTAATTCTTACGTTCACTGTCCAATCTACCCTTCTTCTCAGGAAAGGTTCTCAAACTGGTTCACACTAAGTAACAGAAACTGAGAGAAGATTGACAAGAGCAAATGAATTTCAGCTGATCCACAGAGCTTTGTCTCTTAATGTTTCCAATTTTGCACATTTCCCTTTGCAACAGAAGCATAACTGATAGACCAGAAGGTGTTACAGAGAATAGAGAATGACCTGTCCTGCCAGGCTAGCTCTCAGCAGCCACTGTGGGGGTGCGGGAGTGCTCCACCACAAAGATCTGGCAGGCAAAATGGGCTTTAATGCTCTAAATCAGAGAATCTCAGAGCCTGGAGCCCCATTATCCTTAAGTGCTACATGACGAGGATAAGTAATATTGAGTTGTCTATAATAGGCTTTAAAAAAATCAGAGGAAAAACTTTACATGGAAGAATTGCATGGGACTGAAGAGCTACAGAGTTCAGATCACACCACCTTAGTGTTAATTGTGTAACTCTGGGCATTGGCCTTCCATGGCAGAGAAGATCTAGGTACTGATGGATTTCCCACGTCTCCTGAATTTGTAACAAATAAATGGACCACCAAATCCATCCATGCATAAGGCCTGCCCTACTTTTTAGTTAATTTCTGACATTCCCTTTGCTGAATGAACCTTTTCTATTTAAATGTTGAGTCCAAGTGTTCATTCTTATTGTAGGCAAAAAGCAAATACTGCATGTGATGGCTCTGAAAATTCTCTCCATAACTACACAAATGGAAGGAAATACTGAATTAAACAATGGAATATAATACCTTAGACTGACTAAATAATGGCTTGTTTTGCATTAGTGTATTTATTTTAATGCATTCTTTGAATCTAATAAGAAGAGAAGGGCAGAAAGTGTCACAGATGATATACTAAAGTGCAACTAACTACAGAAAATTGAATTCCGAGGCACAATGCCAGTTGAAAGCAAGGACAGAATGATTGTAATGGTGAGGATATTTGTAAATAGAGTATGCATTCTAAGAAGTCACCTAATACAAGAGGCGGTCATCTGCAAATGCAGTTTATGTACATGCTATTGGGGCAATCTCAGACAATGCTCCTAGTTGGAATAAATCCCAAGAAACAGAGGCAAAGGCGAATAGAAAATAATCCATCTGAATTCCCCAAAGATACAGCAAGGCAAGTTGACTTGTTTAGATATTATATTATTTCAATAATGGTTTTAGATAATTGTTTATAACTTTAAGAAGACTCAAAATAACCTGGTAAAACATAATTTCATATAAGATATAGTCTAAGATTTTAGAATATCTTTAAAATTTTTCATGATTATAAAAATAATATGAACACATGAAAAATTTAAAGCACAAATAAAATCAAAAGCTCTAACCTTTCCATCTTTAGAGATAGCAATTATTAACAAGTTGGTACAAGTCCTTCCTCACCTTTTCTTATAAATATGTATTAAGTTCATGTCAATATATAATATATTTAATGACATAAAGCATATTCATAAATTACACATAGATAATATATTTGACAATATTGAACAATATTCAACAAGAATGTCTATTATTTACTAAACATGGTTCTAGGTGTTGGGGATACAGCAGTGAAAAACAACAACAAAATCCTCACCTTCATAGAGCTTACATTTTAGTGATAGAAGAGAGATGGTAAACAATACAAAGATAAATGAATAAATTATATGTTAGAAGATGTTAAGATGATAGGGAAAAAACAGATAAGAGGGGTAAGGAGTACCAAGGGTATCAGGCCTTACTGTCAGGTAACATTTGGACAATGGTCTTAAAGAGGAGAGGATATGAGCCATGCAGATATTGGGGGAAGAGTATTTCAGCTGAGGGAGTAGCCAGTGCAAAGCCCCTGAGGTGGGCGTGTAAGTGGCACATTATAGGAACAAGGAGACTAGTGTGGCTTGCATAGTATGAGTAAGGGATGGGGGTGGATGATAGGGTGCCAGATGGTGTATGGCATTGTAGATCTCTGAAAGAATTGCAAATTTGGCTTTTACTGCAGTGAAATAAGGAGACACTGAAGAGTGTGTGAGCAGAGTTGTAACATAACTTAAAATTTAATAGCCTCTGACTATTGTGTTGAGAAAAGAGTATAGAGGGGCAAAGTGGAAGGAGAGGGACAGTTTAAGAGGATTTGTACATGAAATAGTACAGGGATGATAGTAGGCTGGATCTCGGTGGTAGCAGCTGAGTGGTAAGAAGTGGTCAGATTCTGGATAAATTAAGCAATTGGACTTCCTGATGAATTCATGTTCAACATCAGAGAAAGGGAGAATCATGCCTATACTTTTTTTGACATAAGCATCCTGAAGGATTGTGTTGCCTCAATAGAGATATGGAAACAGAGAGAGGAGCAGGCTTGGGGGGCAGGAGACTGTGGCCTGTGCTTTAGACATGTTAAGTTTAAAATACCTATTAAAAATATGCATATACTGTTTATGTATATACCCACATATATTATTCTATACATACTTCTATACATTATTTTAAACATACTTCTCTGTTTACTTTTTTCTTGTAGACATTTTAAAATATCAGGATATATAGATTGCTTCATGGGGTAGACATTGTGCATGGACTATATTTTAGTCTTTATTAGGGTATGATAGGCAAAATTCTTTTTTTTTTAAGATGGGGTCTCATGCTATAGCCAGGCTGGAATGCAGTGGCATGATCTCGGCTCACTGCAACCTCCGCCTCCTGAGTTCAAGCAATTCTCCTGCCTCAGCCTCCTGAGTAGTTGGGACTACAGGCGTGTGCCACCACTCCTGGCTAATTTTTTTTTTTTTTTGTATTTTTAGTAGAGACAGGGTTTCACCACGTTAGCCAGGAAGGTCTCGATCTCCTGACCTTGTGATCCGCCTGCCTCGGCCTCCTAAAGTGCTGGGATTACAGGCATGAGCCACTGTGCCCAGCCTATAATAAGCAAAATTCTAAGATGGCCTCTAAGAATCCCACCTGCCACCACCCCCAACTCTGGCTTCCTACATATCTTGAATAATCCTTTCCCTTGAGTGTGGACAGGGCCTGTGAATATGTTAGCACGGTCACTTCCCTGGTGATGTTACGTTACATGGCAAAGACGATGGGATAATCACTCCTGAGATTATATAAGCCACTCCGGACATGAGGTAAGCTTCTGTCACAGCCAACTGGAGTGAGATTCTCCCATTGGCTTTGAAGAAGTAAGCTGCCATGTGATGAGAGGGCCACATTCTAGGACTCAAGGGCAATCTCTGGGAGCTAAGACAGACCCTGGGCCATGGCCGGCAGAAAAATGAGAGCCTCAATCTACAACTGCAAGGAACTCAATTCTCCCAACAATCTGAATGATCTTTAAAAAGAACGCCAAGATCCAAATGAGAATTCCACACGGCCAATATCTTAATTTCAGCCTTGTGAGACCCTGAGCAGAGAACCCAGCAATGCCATGCCCAGACTTCTGACCCACAGAAACTGTGAGATAATAATCAGTGTTGTTTTGGCTGGGCGCGGTAGCTCACGCCTGTAATCCTAGCACTTTGGGAGGCCAAGGTGGGTGGATCACTTGAGGTCAGGAGTTCAAGACCAGCCTGGCCAACATGGTGAAACCCTGTCTCTGCTAAAAATACGAAAAATTAGCCAGCCATGGTGGTGTGCACCTGTAATCCCAGTTACTCGGGAGGCTGAGGCAGGAGAATTGCTTGAACCCAGGAGGCGGAGGTTGCAGTGAGCCGAGAATGAGCCACTGCACTCCAGCCTGGGAGACAGAGAAAGACTCCATCTCAAATAATAATAATAATAATAATAATAATAATAATAATAATAATAATAATCAGGTGTTGTTTTAAGTGCTGAGTTTGTGGTGATCTGTTTTGCTGCAATAGAAAATTAATATACATAATAACCCTGACAATGTCTTCAGAAACACACATGGATACCCTGTTCCCATGGAGCAGATGACTGATAAAGCTACAAAACCTAAGAACAGATGACCCATAAACATGAGGGTTTCTTGTACTACTATAAATAAATATAATATTATATTGAGTAGGTCTTTTCTGTCTTACATTCTTTTCATAGAATCTTGTAACAGAATAAACAGTGATTTTCATAAGGTCGCAGAATTTAAAGCTCACAAATGTAGTTCTAGCTCTGTGACATATAATCTTTTGTCATAATTTTTCCACCCATAAGCCAAAGAGTCTGGCCTTAAAACCATGTATGCTATCAAGCCCAGCAGGTGCCACTTTTGAGAGCCAACTCAAACAGGCATTCAGAAGGCAAATAATCACTATGGCTCACCTGCTAAGTCTGCTCTGTTCACCACAAGGAGGGAACTCCATTAAATATTTAAGACAATCACTAAGAGAACACCCAGCAGGCAAACAACTATGATTACTTGCCCCATAGCCCTCTCAGCAGGCATCTGACAGCACTTGGGATGGGGTTTACATCACATTAAAGACATCCCTTTGTAGCTCCTATCAAAAGGAAGACCAACAGTTTCAAAACTGAGATTTCAAAATAAGGATCATTCTCTTGCTGCATATCTTGGGCAGAGTTTCTAAGGACTTCCCTGAATTTTATCAAGATAGGAAAGACACAGAAATTAGAAATCTAGTTTCCCTTCATACCTTAACTGTATGCCTAAAGCAAAGCTTGATAGAGTAAATTATCTCTTACTAACAGAAAATACCCACTGGTGTCATGAATTCCCAAATTGGCAAGCTTCCTATGCTAGTCTGAATTGAACAAGAAGCTATCAAATGCACACAAGTGGGTGTATTGGGATCAGCACCAGCAGTTATCAATCTGAAGAATTCACAATATGGTCCATGGGGCAAGTCATTCATAAGTTGCTGCTGAAATATTTCATTCACATAATAGGGAACACCTCCCTATCCCACCAACACTGATCAGGAAAACCCATTTGGGCTTAATATGAACAAAAACTAAGCCTCTATTATATTAAACCACAGAAATTTTGAAGTTTATCTATTACTTTAACTGATGCAGGGATTGTAAATGTAGTCATCAGGGCTATGTTTGAAATATACAAGTGCAACTGGCTTTAGCTATGTCTTAAGGATTGGTGCGGCTTTAGCTATATGTTTCAAGGATTGGTGGGTTGCATAGGCTTGGGCAGTACAGGTATTACAGTAGGTATCTAGTCAGGAAGGAGCACGGCAGGAGAGGCCCCCCCTGACCCCTCCACGAATGTCAGGTGACCATCAGGTGATGGTCAGGTGGTTGTTAAACTGTCTCTCTAAAATAATAATTGGCCACAGCCAGTGCCAACAAAAGGCAGTCTCCTGATAGATAGAAAAACCCTGAAACTAGTGATCAGTAGTGTGATGGTTAATACTGAGTGTTAACTTGATTGGATTCCAGGATGCAAAGTATTGATCCTAGGTGTGTCTGTAAGGGTGTTACCAAAGGAGATTAACATTTGAGTCCGTGGTCTGGGAAAGGCAGACCCACCCTTAATCTGGGTAGGCAACATCAAATCAGCTGCCAGCACAGATAGAATATAAAGCAGGCATAAAAATGTGAACAAGTCAGATTGGCTTAGCCTTTCAGCCTACGTCTTTCTCTTGTGCTGGATGCTTCCTGCCCTCGAACATCGGTCTCCAAGTTCCTCAGCTTTGGGATTCGGACTGGCTTCCTTGCTCCTCAGCTTCCAGCCTATTGTAGGACCTTGTGATCATATGAGTTAATACTCCTTAATACTCACATCCATCTATCTATCTATCTATCTATCTATCTATCTATCTATCTATCTATCTCCTATTAGTTCTGTCCTTCTAGGTGACTAATAGAAGTCGCTTCCTGATAAGATCTTGGGAGTTGGGCAAGCAGACTCAAGCATGTGCATTAAGAGACAAAATGGAAGAGTTTAACTGGTATATGACCTTCGAGAAACATTCCGCTGGTATGGGAAGAATGCCTCCAGTAAGCATGCAGACAACTCCAGTAAACACACTATGTGTGCTCCCCTTCCAAGCGCTAGCAGGCCACTATGCATGCAGACAGCACACTCCAAGGGAAGAGCCAGGGAGAAGGAATGAAAGATCCTGGAAGTATGTCAATGCATAAAATTCCAAGTCAAAGATCAAACAGCGCACTTGATTTCTCAAGTCACCTGCTTGGCCCTCCTCCAAGTGTACTTTACTTCCTTTCATTCCTGCTCTAAAGCTTTTTTTAAAAAAACTTTCAATCCTGCTCTAAAACTTGCCACAGTCTCTTCTTCTGCCTAACGCCCCTCAGTCAAATTCTTTCTTCTGAGGAGGCAAGAATTGAGGTTGCTGCAGACCCACATGGATTTGCCACCACTAACACAGCCAGCCCCCACATTTAATCATCTCCAATGTGCCTAGGAAACCTGGTGCCTGGATGTCTGGCCACTCTTATCATACTGCTGGGTCCTATAAGGGAGGACCTGGTGACTATATCTGCACAGTTTATAAGATATTTATGTAGGACTTTACATGTTGCAAACTAAGTGATATGTCCAAGACTCCTCAGCTCTTGAGCACAGCAGATAGGACAAAAAAGTAGGTATGCTGGCCATGAGTTCATGTACCTGTGAGGAAGGAGAAAGGAAGAATGTGGTGACTCTGTTGCCTAGGCAGACCCTCAGCAGCTGATGCTCTCCCCAAGAGGATGCTAAAGGAAAGAGCACTGAATCAGGAACCAGAAGGCCCAGAGTGTTTTCTGTGATCTGCCTTAAGAAAGCTGTGTGGTCTTGGCAGACCACCAGCTCCCCAAGTCTCCATTTCCTCCCCTGTAAGCTAAAAAATATCCAATATTTCTATTTACTGAAAGTTGATGTATCCATAGTATGAAATCCCAGAATAGGGCCAATCCATTTTGGGGCATTCTATCCCAGTTTCTGATGAATTGGGGTCAGTAAAAAGAATTCATTGCCAGAATTAGCCACTGAGCTATTGAGAAATTTAGAATAGATATTAGTGATAGAGGCAGGAGGCAGACAAAGGCGTAGACAGATAGAGAAGGATCTCTGGAGAATTTCCAACCTGCCCCACAAGTGTTACACCAGATGTTTTGTGCAGATAAGGGAACCTGCACAGGGGGCTTACCTGGGCATGCCCACGGCAGACTAGAGGCCCACATGCACTGGGGGAATGGTGTGGAGCCACCAGAAATTCGGGCCTAATGCAGAGGAGGAGCCTGGCCTCTTCAGCTGGTGTGTAGTGGCCCTGGTATTCAATTTGGGAGGTGGAAACCTGCTTGCAGGACCCCCTCTCTTTGCTGAGAGGTTTCTTTTCACTTAATACATTCCACCCTCCTCACCCTTCAATGTGTCTGCCTGCCTAATTCTTCCTGGTCATGAGACAAGAACCCAGATTAGCTGACCTAAGGAGCAAAAAAATCCTGCATCATTTTGGTGGCCTCTACGGGGACTTGTCAGAAGGGTGAGTAAAATGCAGACCCAAACATCTCTCTCACTTTTGTTTCTGAGCTTTCTTGTCCTCAGACTTTTTCTGAAGGCAGAGGAAACTGCCCCCTTCCCCACCCCATCATTCTCAGGCATTGGAAATGTCGGCCTCAGTCAAACCCAGTCTTTTCCATGGATTTTCCTTCATTTTTGGGGGAATGTATTGGCACCTATCTTTTCTTTTACAATATTAGGGGTGTTTCACCCTCACCCCAATGGTTGCAGGCATGTGCACAGGACAGACAGGTGAGCAGTGGCTCCCTGCCCCACTCCCCTCCTGTCTGGGGCACACAGCCTGGGCCTGGGGTGGCTAGCTGGCCAGTGTTCCCCACCAGGCACCCACGCAGTCTTCCCTTCCCCTGGCCAAGGGGTCCAGCTCAGTGGGAGTCCCAGGAAGGAGACAGCAATGAAAGGTTTCTCTCCCTGATGAAGAAACCCATTGCATAAGAATAAGAGGTTTCTCCCCCAGGAATCTTCCCAGGCTTGCACCTAAGCTTTTTTTTCTTCCTTTTCTCCACCCTGTAGGCAGTTAATGCAGCCTTGCAGATATAGGGAGCTTTTCTATGCAAGAGTTTTTTTTTTCATTTTGGAAGGCATCTTGTTAGGCCAGGACCCAAATTCACAAGACACCCTTTTTCTCTCCCTTGTTGGAGGAGAACCCAGCTCCTCAGCTTTACCTTAGCATTCAGCTTATGATAAGGAGGCAGCAGCCAGCTGCTGGCTGCAGTCTGTCAAGGTCTAAGGAACGCAAAGGTTATGACAACAGTGGAGACAGGGTGTATGTGGGTGAGTACGATATTCCCACCCTCTAGGCCCCTGTGTTAACGTGAGTGGAAGCTGCACTGACACCTATCGATAGCACCCTGTCAAGGTTGCCAGGACTTGAAGATACAAGGACAGAAGAAAGAAAAGAAACACCTCTTCTTTCTCTGCCTCATGTACCCCATATTTGCTGGGAAGACAAAGGAATTAGGGACACCTTATCCTGTCTTCCTAGCTGGGTAACCATTCATCTTTAGTCTGTACCTCTCTCAAATGCATCCTGAGGCAGGGGGGCTCCTTAGAGAAAATGCCTTCTTTTTCCTTTTTCCTCCTCTGTCCTCTCTTCACAGAGGGGTAATTGTGTCCCCCTACTACAGGATACTCCCCTCGGATGCATCCTCCAAACTGGGAAAAGTTAATTTCCCAGACCTTAAACTGCTTGGTCTAGAACTGAGCTGAGGGTGAGAGGTGACAGCGTGCTGGCAGCCCTCGCTTGCTCTTGGCACCTCCTTGGCCTTGGCGCCCACTCTGGCCACACTATAGGAGCTCTTCAGCCTGCTGCTGCACTGTGGGAGCCCCTCTCTGGGCTGGCCAAGGCTGAAGCCAGCTCCCTCTGCTTGTGGGGAGGTGTGGAGGGAGAGGTGCAAGCGGGAACTGGGGCTGCGCATGGCACTGGCAGCCCACCACAAGTTCTGGGTGGGCGTGGGCTCCGCGGGCCCTGCATTCGGAGCGGCCAGCTGGTGCCGCCGGCCCTGGGCAGTGAGGGACTTAGCACCCGGGCCAGCAGCTGCAGAGGGTGTGCTGGGTCCCCCAGCAGTGCCGGCCCACTGGCGCTGCGCTCAAATTCTCGCTGGGCCTCAGCTGCCTCCCTGCTGGGCAGAGCTCGGGACCTGCAGCCTGCCATGCCTGAGCCTCCCCACTGCCGTGGGCTCCTGTGCTGCCCGAGCCTCCCCGACGAGCGCTGCCCCCTGCTCTGCAGCACCCGGTCCTATCGACCACCCAACAGCTGATGAGTGTGGGCACACAGTGCAGGACTGATGGGCAGCTCTACCTGTGGCCCCAGTGCGGGATCCACTAGGTGAAGCCAGCTGGGCTCCTGAGTCTGGTGGGGACTTGGAGAACCTTTATGTCTAGCTAAAGGATTGTAAATACACCAATCAGCACTCTGTGTCTAGCTCAAGGTTTGTAAATGCACCAATCAGTGCTCTGGGTCTAGCTAATCTAGTGGGGACTTGGAGAACCTTTATGTCTAGCTAAAGGATTGTAAATACACCAATCAGCACTCTGTATCTAGCTCAAGGTTTGTAAACACACCAATCAGCACCCTGTGTCTAGCTCAAGGTTTGTAAATGCACCAATCATTGCTGTGTCTAGCTAATCTGATGCGGACTTGGAGAACTTTTGTGTCTATCTTGGGGATTGTAAATGCACCAATCAGCTCCCTGTAAAACAGACCAATCAGCTCTCTGTAAAATGGACCAATCAGCAGGATGTGGGTGGGGCCAGATAAGGGAATAAAAGCAGGCTGCCGGAGCCAACAGTGGCAACCCGCTTGGGTTCCCTACCCCAGTGTGGAAGCTTTGTTCTTTTGCTCTTTGCAATAAATCTTGCTGCTGCTCACTCTTTGGGTCTGCACTGCCTTTATGAGCTGTAACACTCACAGCGAAGGTCTGCATCTTCACTCCTGAGGCCAGTGAGACCACGAACTCACCTGGAGGAATGAACAACTCCGGACGGGAGGAACAAACAACTCCAGACGCGCCACCTGAAGAGCTGTAACACTCACCACGAAGGTCTGCAGCTTCACTCCTGAAGCCAGCGAGACCATGAACCCACCAGAAGGAAGAAACTCCAAACACATCCGAACATCAGAAGGAACAAACTCCGGACACACCATCTTTAAGAACTGTAACACTCACCACAAGGGTCCACAGCTTCATTCTTGAAGTCAATGAGACCAAGAACCCACCAATTCCAGATACAAGGGGAAGGGAATCCAGAAACCTGACGTGCCAGCAAAAGGGTAAAAGTTTCTTTTACCAGTTGGACTTTTGGCCTCTCCCTCCGTGTGCAAACCGGTAAAAGGAATGGTAAGGATCACTGTTTATATTCTCTGTAAAGTTTTGATTAATGAAAAAGGATTTATGAGTTTGGTCTTAAGCTGTAGCCAATCTGGTATGCTTTGCATGTCTTTCTGTATGGTTCTATCAGAAAGAGAGGTACTTTAGGACAGGATGTGGGTGTAGGACCCCATAAGTCCACTTTTCAAGTCAGCCCAGCAAACTGGTCAGTAACAAACTTTGCTGCAGGCTTGCATCTTGTTTACATCCTGGGGAGCATGACCTGTAACTACGTGGGAGTGCTTTGTTTTAGTCTGACATTTTACAATGGTGGCTCAGGTTCAATCCTGGCTTGGAGAATGGGTACTTTCTTTCTTTCTTTTTTTTTTTTTTTGAGATGGAGTCTCGCTCTGTCGCCCAGGCTGGAGTGCAGTGGCGCGATCTCAGCTCACTGCAAGCTCTGCTTCCCGGGTTTACGGAGAATGAGTACTTTCAAGTTAATAGCTGTGTGACTTCTACCATTTGCTGATTTTCTTCCCTTCCATGAACAACTTCTAGATTCTCTTCTTAAATCTTCCCTTCTCTGAGCTACCCTTAAAGATTCTAGATGTTGTAAAAACTGCTTACCTCCTGCTTTGAAAATACTTCGTACACTGGTAGTAAAGTCATAACCTTAATTGAGGCTTGTTGGTTTCACCTGTGAGGTTACTTTTGGTAAAGTTCAAAAGCCAGAAATATTGGCTGCTTGACATGGCTAAAGTCAGGTAATACGGGATTTAAAAGGACTTTCTTAAGGAGTGCTCAGCTTAATTAAAAGCAGATACCCAAGTATGTTTAAAGGACCTTTATGGTTTTTTTCCCTTCTTGAATCTTGTTTTTCTGGAAAAAGGTTTCTTCTCAGTTGATTGAATTATTTTTCTCCATTTTGTCTTGCCACTCTTAAGGCACACATGAGAGGCCCTAAAATAATTTCTGATGGCCTGTGACTCCTTGGCAAAAACAGAAAAGGCACCACAGATCCCATTTTGTGAGAAACCTGTTTTCCTCATGGAACCTCAGAAATTAGAGGCAGGTAGATCCCTCTCAAAATCTGTTTTTGTCTTCCAGCCATACCTGTTTGTTAGGCCCTAGAAAATACAAGCTTTCCTAGCCTTGCTCTTAAAGGGCTCCACCCAGAGGCCAATAATCCAATTAGATTGGCAAATGAAAAATCTTACAACTACTAGATTTTCTTCTGTCTGTCTACATAATCATATATGTGTTATGTGTGTTATGTTTATAAAGAAAAGAGCTCTAATTAATTGGTTTGAAGGAAAATAAGCACTTAAATGAAATATTTTTTTAAAAGAAAGACAAAAGCTGTAATACTTTTTAGTATTTAGTCTATCGTTCCTTCTCCAAAGAGGTAATTCTAACTGCCATTAGAATAGGGGCAAAGACGGATCTTAACTGCTTCCTGCTGACAGGGGGCACTATTTTGGGAAGATGGCAGTCAGATCTCCCCCAGAGGCCTAGCTAAGTGTCCCCAGTAAAAGGGAGCCATCGTCTGTGGTTCTGGTTGCATGACCGTTTGGAGTTCGATGGCCTACAGGGGAGAAGAGACTAACTTCTCTGATATAAAATCAGTCCTAACTCAACCACAATGGAAAAGTATATAAATGTTGACATCTGTAAATCATTTTCAGTGCTCCAGTCATATAACCAAGTTAGTAGTGTTCTACCTTACCAGAGGAGAACTGAAGAACTTTGAACTGTGAACTTTCCCAAGGAAAGGTAAGTCAAATTTCAAATTTAGTGTATAAAAACTGAGGAGAACTAGAGGGTAGTCAGTGTTAGGATAGCCAAGGGAGCAGCTGGAAAGGCACCCAACGCAGACTAGGACTTCATTTAAGGATTTAGGAGCCTCTAACCTCAAGAAGGAATAGAAAATACATGGAAAATGTAGCCTGGGGAAGAGAGTTCTAGGCAGCTACAGGGAGGTGGTAAGTTTGGGAATATAAGGTTTTCCTGCAGAGATCTGCAAAGATGATCTGACTGAAGTTGTAAATTAGACTTTGACCCCAGCCTCCCTGCCATCACCATGTCCTGGCCACAGACAATGGAGACAGCACAGGGCAGGATTAAGATTATGGGCTGTGGAGTTTGAGAGGTAGTAGGACTGAATTTTTGTCTGCCTCCAGAGCCATAGAGCAGCTCTCAATTTCTGTAAAATGGGAATGATGACATCTACTTCTCAGGGTTGAAGTTTAACTGTTCAGTTGTTATCATTACTAACCTATCCCCTGCTTTGTAGCCAGTGTGATCATTCTAAAATATAACTCTTGCTTCTCCCCCATTTAAAACTCAATGGTTCCCCATTGCACAGAACAAATACTCCAATTTCTTAACATGCCTTTCAAAGTTTTTTGGTGATCTGGTCCCTGCTTCCCTCTCCAGTTTCATGGATCATGGCCCTTCAGCCACATTAGATCATCTCACTTCCCCAACTCCCCATGCCTGCTCAGCTTTGCCTGGAACACACATCTCCTTACCCTTCCTCACCAAAAAAATGCCTCCTACTCTTCAGACTTCAGCTGGACAATCTTCAATAGGAAACCTTGTATTTAATGAATGTGTATATTCAATATGTATATATGAGTATATATATAGAGAGTACACATATGTACATAGAGACATTATCAGTTCATGTGAATTTATCTGTATGATACTCTACACTACCTTAGAATGTAAACTTCAAAATTGTTTTAATATATTCTGTATATCAACACAGTGTGCCTAGATAATTAACATTAAACAATAATGCCAACCAATTTACTGTTTCTTGGGAGCAATTTTTATAAATATGGTAGTTGTTTTAGGGTCTATTGGGAAATAACTTTGTTATATACACTTTTCATTAAATAGTTCATAGTTTAATATAAAATATACCCAATCATAAACGAGCATCAGACTAAGGATAACCATCTTGCTACAAATCATGGTAGAGTCAGACAAGTTTTTCTAACTTAGAGTCAACAGTAGGCAATGCTAAAAATAAGATCACAGGGGAAGGATGCAAAAGAATTGCTGGTAAGTATTCCTTTTTGTGTTTCAACTGTTTTCAACAGTGCGACAACTGAAACTTAGGATTGCAACCAGAGGGGCTCCTCTTACCTCTGCATCAAAGCGCGGATCCTGGTAGGCATCACTGATGTTCACTGGAAGGCCTGTTGAAGCAACCAGCTCAGCAATGCTGTTATTTATTAGCCAGTCGGAGTATGATGATTTCTCCATGCTTTCTTTGAAACTATCAGAGCACCAAGGTAGGCAGGAAGAAAAGAGAGAAACGTAAGTTTTCTTGAAAGGAAACCCTATAAACTACACTAATATCAGGATAATCTGTCCTTATTAAGAAAAAATAAGTGACATTAGTCACAGAACAATAGCAAGGTAATTATCAGTAGCTACTTCGAAATGACTTACCTGCTATAATGTATAATAATTAAATCCATGGGCAGAAACCATAGATTCCCTATGATTCAGAGAGACTCTAGGCTGTATTTAGGTCCCAAAGCTGGCAAACACATGTAAGGACCAAAATTAACAATAAGACACCAACAACTAATAAAATTCCATCAACTTCCCAGCTTGCCCTTTTTAATTGAACAGACTAGATGTTTTGGCACAAGGAAGAATGAAACCCAAGTAGGGAAAAATCAGGAAGTAAATTGGGAATTTAAAAAATTACAAATGCAGCAAAAGAATGTATCTAGACTATGGTCTTTTAATTAGTAATTATTTGAAAAACAATTTTACTATCTTAGTCATTATTTTGATAACATTAATATTTTAATAACTTTTAGTATCTTAGTTAACTATTTTGGTAATTTTAGATTATGTTTCTTAACAATAGCCCATATACCACTTACAAAATCTCACTTAAAAGGCTATTTAATGCAACAGACCCTTAACATTAATAATTAAAACTATTTTCATATTTAATTTGAACAAGGAATTTTATGCCAAATGATTTTTTGAACTTTCCCTTGTATCATTTTCATGACAGACACTACATAAACAGAAATGCTGTAAGAATTAGTTAATATCCCTCATTCTTCTCCTTTCCATCTTTTCTTCCACAAGTATATATTGAGCACTGCCAGGAGCCGTGGAGATACAAAATTGAGAACTGTTCAAATTAGTATTGGCAAGGAAAATTTTCCTGGAGGATGTCTGATTTGTCGCTTGGCAAGTGATAACTGAAATTATGTGGATGGATGCAAGCATACTAGGGCAAGGTTTTCAAGCTGCCTTATGTGGAACCCTGGATTTCATGAGATGTTAAATGAGTATACTACAGCAAGAATAATCATCACTCTATTGACTTTTTAATCTAAACTGCACTATATGTAAGAAAACACTAAATGTGCACATCGTCTTTGTTATTATGCAATAATGTCCCTGTGTAAAATTATGCCATGTTGAGAAGGCAGGAAACTGCATGGAAAGGCCATTGGATGCATGAGTGAGTGGGACACATAGACATTATTTAACATCATTAATATATCTCATCTGTAATGATTGCTGGCCTGTGTCTGATAAATTCAGCATGTATTTGTAATGTTATTCATCCCTTATTGCATATTAAACATTAATAATACATAAACTTTATTCTCTATGGCTCTCTGGCTGAAAAATGGAAGTTTTAATAAAAAGCTGAGTCTTGTAGTTCTTAGATGGCACCTAAATCAAAGAAGTAAAAAGACTGAGTACTTCAAAGAGAAGAAGAAGCTTTATTTTCTAAAACAAATCAAAACAAAAGAACAAAAAAGTTTTTATTTTCTTTTTGCTGTTTTATATGCATCTCATTTCATGAGATGAAATTTTATGTTGTGCTGCAATGAAAGCAAAATCTAGGAGAAACAAGATAATGCACCTCACACAAAGATCTAAATGACTTAGTGAAGTCATTTCTAAGTTTATAAAAGGGTATGGGCTAAATTCTGACCTTTCAGGGATTAATTGGCTTGCCAGTTCATTCTGCACTGTGTACTTTATTCCACATTTTAATTTTTGAGGTGTTCTGTGATCACACCGTTTCGAAGCTGCTGACCTAGAGTGTTCTGTGGAGTGTGGGAAGCAGCGCTGCAGCAGGAGCTGGGGAGAGGTCTGGGCACAGAAGTAAAACGGTTGGGTAGGGTGGGGCTCAAGGAAGGAGCCAGTTTTACCAATAAGTGTCAACAATCTTCAAGCTGGGTCTTTCAGGATGAGAAAGAGTTCAACAAGGAGAGATTGGAGGAGTTAGAAGGAAACAGCAGGAACAAAAGACACAAATGCAGCAGAGTACGAAGTGTGTTCTTGGCACAATGAGTAATTGTATGGTGGGAATAAAACTGAAAAAGAGGCCAAGGCTCAAAGGTGAGGCCTTGACCAAGTTGCTGAGACCTTAGTTATAGGCAATGGAGAACTGTTTAAGAATATGGAGCAGGGAAGTGACGTGGTTTAAGATGTGATTTTAGAAAGCTTAATCCAGGTACAATGAGCAAGAAGAACTGGGTAAGAGACACTGAGGATGGGAAGAGGTCTTGTAAACCACAGAAGTCATGCAGGTGGGAGGTGATGGTGCTGGTGACTCAAGAGGTACTGCAGAAGATTCCACAGGCTCTGTGGCCAGATAGCAGTGGCTTACATTTTGTTCCCGACTGCCTGTGGCCCTATTAGCAGAACACAGTTGTTTTAAGGAGTGGGGAGATAGGGGAAAGATGACAGATATTCTGTAAGCCTGGGACATGTTCATTTTTGAAAGTCCAGGAACAAAATCCTATCAGTCCTCAGGACTGAAAACTCTAATCCAGAGTTAGGATAATTTTCACGGAGAATAAAATGCATGAGATCACTCAGGGACAGAACACGTAGGGAAATCTATATCTAGGGAAGGGAAGGAGGAGAAAAGTGGTAATAAAGGGGGAAGGGAGAAAGAGAAGAAATTTTAAGGAAGAAAAACTGAAATTTATTGCCATCTACTGTGGGCCAAGGGTCAGGCCAGATACTTTACCCAACTAATTTGTTTTGTCCTCAGATAAATCCTGTGAGATGGATATGCTTCTCTATATTTTATAGATCAGAAAATGGAGACCTAGGATGCTCAATAACTTTCCCAAGTGGAGATAGAATTTTCACCTAAATCTGACCCCAACATCCTAAATTATAGTATTTTTCCTGTTGCCTTTCAGAAGGAGTTAATGGATAGCGTTATAGCAAGAATAGTGGGTTGTCACCTAAGAACAAATAGGGAGGGGCAGTCCACATCAGAGAGAGTTTAAGGAAGCTGCTAAAGATAATAAACACTTCACTGTGAGACTTTAGTCACAGGAACAGGGAGGAAAAACCATTGGAGTTGATAATTAAGAGCTTTAGGTCCCTACTTACAGAATTCCCAAAGAAGATACGATGACAAAAACACTTACTGAGCAGGGGCTCCTGAAAAACTCACTCTAAATCTAAAACATGCTTAGAATGTGGCTTGGTTCAGTATGCATACTGAATTGAAATCATTGTAAAATCAGTGAACAGTGTAGAAGGAATATTGACTCTGTGCAAGGCAGGGTTGAGGCCGTTTCTAAAGTATAAGCTATGATCTCTGCTCTCAGGGAGTTTGCTACTTAACTGGGGAGATGAGAAATAAACACACTGACATATAAACAATATAAAAATTAAATGCCCACTTCAAATTTCAAATGAAAAATTTTTCACATAGATGTGTTGATAAGTTACCAAGTCAACTGTACCAATCACGAGTGCTGAAGACGTCCATGGAGGGAGAAATGACTTCAGGTGTTGTAATCTAGCTAAGGCTTCAGAGAGGAGGTGAGATTCAAACTGACCTATATAGGTCAGTGCAACAGTGCAAACAGATTTTCTGAAAATCACCTCTGCATTTCTTCAGTTTAATGTTGCACAGGAACATAAATTAAGGCCTGAGTGATCAGATCCTCAGAGAGACAGATAGGAAAGTTGATTTGTCACTTGGTATTTACATCACTGTCTTAGTCCATTCAGGCTGCTAGAGCAAAATACCATAAGTTGGGTGACTTATAAACAACAAATATTTATTTATCACAGTTTTGAGACTAGGAAGACCAAGATCAAGGCACTGGCAGATTCAGTATCTAGTGCCTTCTTGCTTTAGTTCAGTGTCTAGTGCCTTCTTGTCCTCACATGGTAGAAAGAATGAGGGATCTCTCTGGGGCCTCTTTTATAAAGGCACTGATTCCATTCATAAGAGCTCCACCCCCATGACCTAATCACCTCCTAAAGGCCCACCCCTTCATACCCTCACATTAGGGACTGGGTTTCAACGTATGAATTTTTGGGCAGACACAAACATTCAGACCAGAGTAATCACATTCTGGCTTACGCACCAGCTCAATTTTGGAATTCCTTTTTTTTTTTTAATTAATTAATTAATTTATTTATTTTTTATTGATAATTCTTGGGTGTTTCTCACAGAGGGGGATTTGGCTGGGTCATAGGACAATAGTGGAGGGAAGGTCAGCAGATAAACAAGTGAACAAAGGTCTCTGGTTTTCCTAGGCAGAGGACCCTGCGGCCTTCCGCAGTATTTGTGTCCCTGGGTACTTGAGATTAGGGAGTGGTGATGACTCTTAACGAGCATGCTGCCTTCAAGCATCTGTTTAACAAAGCACATCTTGCACCGCCCTTAATCCATTTAACCCTGAGTGGACACAGCACATGTTTCAGAGAGCACAGGGTTGGGGGCAAGGTCACAGATCAACAGGATCCCAAGGCAGAAGAAGTTTTCTTAGTACAGAACAAAATGAAAAGTCTCCCATGTCTACTTCTTTCTACACAGACACGGCAACCATCCGATTTCTCAATCTTTTCCCCACCTTTCCCGCCTTTCTATTCCACAAAGCCGCCATTGTCATCCTGGCCCGTTCTCAATGAGCTGTTGGGCACACCTCCCAGACGGGGTGGTGGCCGGGCAGAGGGGCTCCTCACTTCCCAGTAGGGGCAGCCGGGCAGAGGCGCTCCTCACCTCCCGGACGGGGCGGCTGGCCGGGCGGGGGGCTGACCCCCCCCACCTCCCTCCCGGACGGGGTGGCTGCCGGGCGGAGACGCTCCTCACTTCCCAGATGGGGTGGCTGCCGGGCGGAGGGGCTCCTCACTTCTCAGACGGGGCGGTTGCCAGGCAGAGGGTCTCCTCACTTCTCAGACGGGGCGGCCGGGCAGAGTCGCTCCTCACCTCCCAGATGGGGTCTCGGCCGGGCAGAGGCGCTCCTCACATCCCAGACGGGGCAGCGGGGCAGAGGCGCTCCCCACATCTCAGACGATGGGCGGCCGGGCAGAGACGCTCCTCACTTCCTAGATGTGATGGCGGCCGGGAAGAGGTGCTCCTCACTTCCTAGATGGGATGGCGGCCGGGCGGAGACGCTCCTCACTTTCCAGACTGGGCAGCCAGGCAGAGGGGCTCCTCACATCTCAGACGATGGGTGGCTGGGCAGAGACGCTCCTCACTTCCCAGACGGGGTGGCGGCCGGGCAGAGGCTGCAATCTCGGCACTTTGGGAGGCCAAGGCAGGCAGCTGGGAGGTGGAGGTTGTAGCAAGCCGAGATCAAGCCACTGCACTCCAGCCTGGGCACCATTGAGCACTGAGTGAACGAGACTCCGTCTGCAATCCCGGCACCTCGGGAGGCCGAGGCTGGTGGATCACTTGCGGTTAGGGGCTGGAGACCGGCCTGGCCAACACAGCGAAACCCCGTCTCCACCAAAACCAGTCAGGCGTGGCGGCGCGTGCCTGCAATCGCAGGCACTCGGCAGGCTGAGGCAGGAGAATCAGACAGGGAGGTTGCAGTGAGCTGAGATGGCAGCAGTACAGTCCAGCTTCGGCTCGGCATGAGAGGGAGACCGTGGAAAGAGAGGGAGGGGGAGACCGTGGGGAGAGGGAGAGGGAGAGGGAGAGGGAGAGGGAGAGGCTGGAATTCCTAATGGTCTACTATAATGCAGAATCGTAACACTGAGTTAGAGCTTTCAAAAGCTTGCTTCTCTTCTTTACAAACAAAAGGTAATTTTATGTTATGATTAGGATCATGAGTTTTGGCATACCTCAATCAAATGTCCCCTTTGCTGATTTCTAGCAAAGTGATCTTAGGAAAACTTCCTTGGTAAAATGGGTATAATACTACTACTGTAGAGATTAAGGTGATAATTCATGCAAAGTGCTCAGCATATTATTTAGCCCATAGCAAACATTTTCTAAAAGCATCACAACTTTTAAAGCAAATTCTGCACATGACAGTACCCCTTTATACATTTCAGTGATGTGGTGTTGTGAGTTTAATCACAAAGGAAAGGGCCCAAATTATTTCTGCTTTTGGAAGGACACATCTAACTTTTAGGGTAAGCTCTTTCAAAAAGTTCCTACAGCTCATCACCTCCCCCTGATTTATGAGGGAACTTTTATTCAGTATGGTTTTCTCTTTTGCAATTGGTTGCTGTTGGGACAGAACATGGTAAGATCACAGACACAGCCACGTTTAGTTGTGCAGGTTCTGCCTTGCACACGGATGCCCTATAAAAGGGAGAAGTGGGGGTGGAAATTAGTCTAACTGTGCTTGTTTGCTTGAAGTTGCATCCACCTGGAGAGGGCACCTTTTCCTAATTCTCACAGAGACATTTGTATGGGCTTTCAATGGCCCTCCTTCAAGCTTTTCTTCAACACATCTGAAAATTGGGCATGTAATCTCAAATGGAGCACCATCAGTGACAGGAAACTCACTACCTATCATATATTACATTATATTTTGTGGCAGCTCAGTTTACTTTCTAATAGTCATCATCCTTGGTTCCAAGTTCCATGGTTTGTGGCCACAGAGCATGGACCTCATTATCTGACAGCCCTCAAAATATTTAGCAATAGTTAACATGTCACCCATGATCATCCACCTAACATCATTCTTCTCCCACCTGTCTCCAATTCCTTAAGTTACTCCTCTTGTGGCATGCCTTCCTTATTCGTACCATGCCAGCCCTAGATGTAACCCCCCTTGTTAATAGTCCTTTGGAGTATGAAAGCCAGTCCAGTCCACAGTTCTCTCCATGGGGTCTGAGTAGGATGAAGTGGGTATGACCACCTCCTTCATTCTAGAACCTATTTCTAGCAACAAACATCAGGAGTGATAGTTCCCAATAGGTCTTATTTTTGATAAGTTTTTGGAAGTTTAAATTAATATTAACCAACTTTCTTGAGTCTAAATTAACCAACTTTCTTGAGTCTAAAAACTCCCACCAGAGATATCAAAGGCCAACAAATCCAATACTAAGATTTTCAGTTTGGGCCAGAACCAAGATAGAGACTCACTGCTGTTTGGAAACACAACTACACCTTGATTACAACCAGGCCTCCAAAGCTTATGGGTGCAAATCAGTTCATGTCAACTCAGTGGTTCTTAGCTGCCATGTATATAATTGTAAGACGACAGACACCTCCAAGTCCTTCCCTGACCTCCAACCTTTGGGGATACTTATTCTTTCATTCAAGGCCCGTTGTTAAAGCCTACTGCTTAGAAATCACTTGAGGGAGCCTGACCCGTAGCTCCCAGACTGCCAAAGCTTCATAGAAGAAGGGAAGAATACTGTCTGCCAAGCTCTATGCAGCATGTTGGTGCCTGAGCCCTAATGCCATATTGCTTGTGCCCACGTTGTCACTAGTTTCCTATTTAAACAGCTCCTTTTGCCTTTGCCCATACCCCTCTCTGTAGACATAGAGGGCAGGGCTGGGATGCCCATTCACATTAGACGAGTACTCATGTACCAACTCATTCTTTCAGCAAAAAGACAAAGACCCTTATCAATCTCCTCATGCAAGTGAATGTCTAGTGTGAATGGTGTGTTTGTGTGTGTGTGTGTGTGTGTAGCCAACACATTAACTGTACACTGGTGCATAACAAGAAAAAATGGCATAGAATTCTTAGCAACATTTATTTGTTGTTGAAGACTAATGGTTGATTGAGAAACCATTCAAATGTTTCTAAAGTTTTTTTTTAAAGCAAGTCATTTGTCCATGTTTAATTTCACTTGTCCATATTTAATAGCTTCATACATTTAAGTCACAACACTATTTTGATCCCTACAGTGGGGATATTTTAAAAAATTCTGGCTTAAAGGAAAAAAACAGCAGACAGTAAAAATATATTGATATAAATGTTTGAGAAAAGTAAAAGAAACATAGTTGACACCTGAACTTCAGTGAAACTTCCTTAAAAGGTCATAGTTAACCACTTAATAGCTTATTTTAACTCTCTACAAAGTAGACCTCCCTAAGCTCGATTCACTTCAGCATAACACTCTAATTGTAAAGAAATCCTTTATCTTGTTATTTTGCTAGAAAAAGGGGTATAAGAAAATGTAGGTTTTTAAGTGAGTTTCACGTAAAGGGCTGTAGTTTAGATTCTTCTCAGTGGTATCTTGCTTCCAAATGTGAGACTCAAACTGACTTCAAAGAGAGCTTCATGAGCTCAAATATATTGACTGTGGAGGGATAAAAGAGAATTGCCCTATTACAGAAAACACGTAATTCCTGAAATGTGGCTGCCCCTGAAGTGAGGGCCGGTGAGGTATATATAAACCTCAGGGCTGACAAGTTGCAGAGTCGTGTAGGAGGTAAATCAATACGAGCAAAGAAAAACAAGACAAAATAAAATACCCCAGAACAAGTGACTCAACATCTTTAATTGTCTGAAAGTCCTGGCTTAGCTGAAGGTTCAAATACAGAGAACTGTGTGAAAATAAAAAGACTATCTTCAGCATTACTTTTCCAAAAAAAAGAGTCTCCACATTAGAAGACAAAACATCTTAATAAAATAATGCTAATCATTAGACTGTGCTTGTGTTCATGTTTCTCTTCTCAACATAACAGTTTACTTAGATGTCTTCATTAGAAACTCTCAAGAGTCTTTCAAGAATGACAACTAGTTTGGCCTCTACTAAGTGCTGGACAGGAGTGAGCCAAATCTTGCATTAAGCGAACAATAAGGATCTTTTCCTTGTTGTTGAAAGAAGCTGGCACATGGAAACCCATCCTTACACGGATGTCAGCCCAGCCTAGCCCCTACTTATACAGAAAGGGGTATGGGCAGAAGCCAAAGGGGTATACTCTCAGGGAGCTCACAATAGTGATACTGAATTGTGATAAATGGCCTAATGGAAGGATGTGGAAGGATGTTGGTCTAAGCTGGTCTTTAGAGGATAAGTAAGAGTTCACCTGGAAGAGAAAGAAGATAAAAACAATTCAGTCAAAACTATAGCATGAGTAAAGCTTTAAAAAGTGTGGGGTTTTCTCCATCGTCTCAGCCCAAAATCTCCTTAAGCTGATAAGCAACTTCAGCAAAGTCTCAGGATACAAAATCAATGTGCAAAAATCACAAGCATTCTTATACACCAATAACAGACAAACAGAGAGCCAAATCATGAGTGAACTCCCATTCACAATTGCTTCAAAGAGAATAAAATACCTTTTATTTATTTATTTATTATTATTATTATTTTTAGTAGAGATGAGGTTTCACCATGTAGTCCCAGCTACTCAGGAGGCTGAGGCAGGAGAATGGCGTGAACCCGGGAGGTGGAGCTTGCAGTGAGCTGAGATCGTGCCACTGCACTCCAGCCTGGGCGACAGAGCGAGACTCCATCTCAAAAAAAAAACAAAAAAACCTAGGAATCCAACTTACAAGGAATGTGAAGGACCTCTTCAAGGAGAACTAAAACCACTGCTCAATGAAATAAAAGAGGATACAAAGAAATGGAAGAACATTCCATGCTCAAGGATAGGAAGAATCAATATTGTGAAAATGGCCATACTGCCCAAGGTAATTTATAGATTCAATGCCATCCCCATCAAGCTACCATTGACTTTCTTCACAGAATTGGAAAAAACTACTTTAAAGTTCATATGGAACCAAAAAAGAGCCCACATTGCCAAGTCAATCCTAAGCCAAAAGAACAAAGCTGGAGGCATCATGCTACCTGACTTCAAACTTTACTACAAGGGTACAGTAACCAAAACAGCATGGTACTGGTACCAAAACAGAGATATAGACCAGTGGAACAGAACAGAGCCCTCAGAAATACTACCACACATCTACAACTATCTGATCTTTGACAAACCTGAGAAAAACAAGAAATGGGGAAAGGATTCCCTATTTAATAAATGGTGCTGGGAAAACTGGCTAGACATATGTAGAAAGCTGAAACTGGATCCCTTCCTTACACCTTATACAAAAATTAATTCAAGATGGATTAAAGACTTAAATGTTAGACCTAAAACCATAAAAACCCTAGAAGAAAACCCAGGCAATACCATTCAGGACAGAGGCATGGGCAAGGACTTCATGTCTAAAACACCAAAAGCAATGGCGACAGAAGCCAAAATTGACAAATGGGATCTAATTAAACTAAAGAGCTTCTGCACAGCAAAAGAAACGACCATCAGAGTGAACAGGCAACCTACAGAATGGGAGAAAATTTTTACAATCTACTCATCTGACAAAGGGCTAATATCCAGAATCTACAAAGAACTCAAACAAATTTACAAGAAAAAAACAAACAACCCCATCAAAAAGTGGGCGAAGGATATGAACAGACACTTCTCAAAGGAAGAAATTTATGCAGCCAACAGACACATGAAAAAATGCTCATCATCACTGGCCATCAGAGAAATGCAAATCAAAACCACAATGAGATACCATCTCACACCAGTTAGAATGGCAATCATTAAAAAGTCAGGAAACAACAGGTGCTGGAAAGGATGTGGAGAAATAGGAACACTTTTACACTGTTGGAGGGACTGTAAACTAGTTCAACCATTGTGGAAGACAGTGTGGCGACTCCTCAAGGATCTAGAACTAGAAATACCATTTGACCCAGCCATCCCATTACTGGGTATATACCCAAAGGATTATAAATCATGGTGCTATAAAGACACATGCACACGTATGTTTATTGCGGCACTATTCACAATAGCAAAGACTTGGAACCAACCCAAATGTCCAACAACGATAGACTGGATTAAGAAAATGTGGCACATATACACCATGGAATACTATGCAGCCATAAAAAAGGATGAGTTCATGTCCTTTGTAGGGACATGGATGAAGCTGGAAACCATCATTCTCAGCAAACTATCTCAAGAACAAAAAACCAAACACCGCATGTTCTCGCTCATAGGTGGGAATTGAACAATGAGAACACTTGGACACAGGAAGGGGAACATCACACACCAGGCCTGTCGTGGGGTGGGGGGATCGGGGAGGGATAGCATTAGGAGATATACCTAATGCTAAATTACGAGTTAATGGGTGCAGCACACCAACATGGCACATGTATACATATGTAACAAACCTGCACGTTGTGCACATGTACCCTAGAACTTAAAGTATAATAATAATAAAAATAAAAGAAGTGTGGGATTTTCTGTATTGGTATAGTAAATAATAGAGCTGACGCTTAGGATACACGGTGGAAGTGGTGAATAAGGCTACTGCGGAAGAGGCCAACCAATATATTGTGTGGTTTCATGCACAAGCTTTGTATCCCAAACTACATCCATACAGATGACTCTTTCTGTTTTTCGTTTTTAAAATGTCTTTTTTTTTAACTTTTAAGTTCAGGGGTACATGTTCAGGGCATGCAGGTTTGTTACATAGGTAAACATGCGTCATGGGGGTTTGTTGTATGGATTATTTCATCACCCAGGTATTAAGCCCAGTAACCATTAGTTATTTTTCCCATTCCTCTCCCTCTTCCCACCCTCCACCCTCCAGTAGGCCCCAGTGTGCACTGTTCCCCTCTAGGTGTCCATGTGTTCTCATCATTTAGCTCCCACTTATAAGGGAGAGCATGCCATATTTGGTTTCCCATACAGATGACTCTTCTCTGTATCAGCAGCCCCTAGAGTCCAGAGTTCCCTATGTATATACCTAAGTACTTTCTGGGGACTTCCTCCTGAGCACCTCAAAGTTGCCATTTTCAAGATCGAACTAACACACTACCCTTGATGCACTAGTGGTCATTAATGAAGAGTGTGACCATTAACTAAAAATAGAGGATTAGGGTGGGACTGAAAGTTTCAACATAAGCACAATCTATTTTCTCATTACCAAGGAATGATTGTCAGTTGCCCTTCTGACAGCTTGAGTGTTACCCAGTGAGGGGTAGGAGCCAGAGAGGCAAAGAGTCAGGAACTCAAATAACTATTTGGGACAGATTTCTTTTTAATGCTTTGCAAACCAAATATTGATTTTTGATCTATATGATAGTATTTGACATTTTGTTTCATTGACTAGAGGTCAATCTGAGGTTGGGTTCACAAAAAGAAACTGCATTCCTTACTTTTTTCCCCCTCAGCTCAGCCTGTCTATCCCTGGAGCCCTTCCTGAAGCCTCCAGCTGTGCAATGCTTTTTGAAGTTGTCTTTTAATTAGGAGATTAGGGAACTAAGTAAATACCAGTGGGACTCAAAGCTAGGACCTCAGCAGGAAAGTCTCGAACACCCAGGACTTGGGACATTAAAAATCTTTTAATGGCTTAAGTATATCTTTGAAGGTTATTGAACAAGTCTTTTAGTCATATAAAGTAATGGGAGAGAGTGTAATTAACAAGCAGAGCCAGCCTGTCAGCTCTTACCCTGTGGTAGGAAAAGAAGATTCTCTAAGTTGCAGGAGTTCCTAAATTTATCATGATCTGTTAGTGGAGTCGCCTTTAATGTCTTGCCTGAGGACACTTCATCACACTTTTATTCCTCTCATTTTAAGCATTCTGTATTAACAGAAATTAACACATGGTGACCAAAGAACACATTTTCTATCTTTTATTTCCTCAACTTCTGCAATTAGAATGATGAGATTTATCAGCCGGTGTCACTGTGCAGTTGTGACTATCAGATGGGTGTCAGATGACATTGCTGTAAGTGATTGGTATCTACCATCTAGCATCATATAATGACAATTGCCTGCTTCTGTCACAGCTGAATAAATCTGGGTGGTTTTTTTGTTGTTGTTGTTAATCTTGGTCCAACATTTCCTGTCAGTGAGATTACAGATAATTTTATTATTATCTCTAATTTTTAGTTTCCATAATGGAAAACATGGGAAATAAAACTCACTTTGCAGGGCTGTTTGGAGGATAAAATAATAGAATGTTGAAGGCTGCATAGCGCATAGAAGGCTCTCAATAAATACCGGCTCTTTATATCACAAAGATTTTTCTTTAATTAAAAACACCAAGGTGAGACATGCTCTGTTTAACTGCTTAACTTCTAGGACAGTAGAGAGATGTTAAATGTTTTTGACGGTGGCATCATTATCAGATTTGGAGAAATACTGAGGAGAAAATGTGCCAGCTGGCAAAACTGCTGATACTAGAGCAGTCAGGATTCTATCCTGCTGGAGGTTTCAAGTAGCCCCACAATATCTCTCTGTGAGGGTGCTGTGGATACCTCCATACATCTCTAGATTGAGGGCACACCTTCCCAACAAGTCCTGCATATATATATATATATATATATATATATATATATATATATATATATGTGTGTGTGTGTGTGTGTGTGTGTGTGTGTGTTTGTGTGTGTGTGTGTGTATATCTATATGTGTGTATATATATCTATATATGTATATATATCTATATATGTGTATAGATATATATGTATATATGTGCATATATGTATATATATGTGTGTATATATATCTATATATGTGTATATATATCTATATATGTATATAGATATCTATATATGTGTATAGATATATATGTATATATGTGCATATATATGTATATATATGTGTGTATATATATCTATATATATGTGTATACACACACACACACACAGCAAGAAAGGGAGCAGATTCAATTTGTTAAAATATTAATTAAAGCATGTTAAATGAGAGACCTACTAAAGCAAGACAGTCAAACATAAAAACCAACTGCTAAGGTTTCTAAATTGCCATAATTCTGTTTACTGCATAGTATTAATCTGAGGGACAGCTGACCTATATAGGCTACTTTATTATGCTTGATCTCAGTACTTATTCACATGGCTTATTATCATGGAACATTTTTATAGCTTTCATTCTCGTCTGTGACAGTTTTACTAGAGTGACAAGCTCATTGGTCTGAAATAAATAGGGGTAATGAGAGCATTTGAGTCTTCATATTCAATGCCATGAAAAAGAAAAGATGGAAATTACATATGGGTAAGAGGTAAAGATTAGATGCTTGAAAAATACATTTCCAAATTCATTAAGATGAATTTGGAAGATACACAACTTCATTACCAAGGCTTCCTTTCCTTCATTGATGTTTAGCTCTTATAATTAATATCATGCAAATGGGGCACAGACACATACTTCACTAGTGCCAAGGAGTATATTTACAAAATAGGGTTATTTGTGGGGGAAAATATGGAATCCCAGAAGTATCAAAGCAACATGATTCCCTGAGAGATGTGCTTAGGTCAAGCCTATAGTGTTTCAGTGGATCACCCCAACTTCATACACTCCGCATATTTTTTAGCGAAAGGCGGCAGAGAATATCTGGGTAACTTTGTAACAATGAAGCTTCCTGGTAAATGAAGTGGCTTTGATACCAAGAGGCAGACTCAGAATTCAACTTCTGGCACCAGTCTTGTCTTCCATTGAGCTAATTCAGACCTGCTCAGCCACCTCCTTGCCAGAAAGGGAATAGAAATGAGCCTCTAAGGTTATCTGGATCACTTGCTTGTCAATTGACAACATTAAATATTGGCAAAATGAGGTTCAGCAACCCTTAATATGCTAGAGAGTAGTCAAAAAGAAAGTCCTTGTTTAAAGGAAGTTACATAGCAACACAAATCTTGCTTACATTCCAAGACGACAGGTCGTGGTAGTGATGGTGCTGTTTTAATTTTTTAATGTTATAAAGGTTTTCTTCATTTCCTTGACATTGAAATATGTAGCATATTTTTGTTTATACAAAACACCTATTACATCCTTCCTAGCAGAGGCACAGTAGAAGAAAGAAGATCCATGCAGAAGAAAACAGAACAAATATGAAATATTCATTATATACTGTGGAAATATTTTGTCTCATATCAGTGTGTAAGTTTGACTTACATTCCCTATTACCTTGGACATAGAGAAATAAAAGAAAAAGTAAAGAGAAGAGGAAAGAAGTTCCAGATTGGCAGAGTAGATCACTGAAAATTTGCGCCTCCATAAAAGCAGCGAGAATACTAGCAAAAATTGTCAAAATCAACTTTTTCAGAACTCTAGAAATTAACCAAAGACTTGCAATAATCCAATGAGTATTTATTCAACTGTAGTTGAATCTCAGGAAAAACAGCAAGATCTATGGCTTTTTAATTTACCTTATTTGCATCTCCCTCTATCCATCTCTGGGGTAGCTGTGAAAATCAGCAGCCTAGCAGCCACTTGCAGAGGAAGAATGAGTTTGGAACTCCCCAAAAGCTCTATCCCCAGAGAATTGTCACTATTTGACCTGTTTGGCAGTTCCATGGAAACCTCCATTCACAGAACTTGTCTTTATTTGACCTGACTCAGGGCTTGTTTATTGAGAACAGCCTTTACCCCCAGGGATATTTGTGGGGAAAAGTCAGCAGTAATTGTTTAACATGGCAATTGCTTCAGGTGGTGATAACACTTGCAGCTAACAAGAAGCTGAGCAAAAAGCTTAATGAGATAAGCTTGGGAATGAGATGCTCCCAGAAGGCTTTGAAAAGCTTGTACATATTCATAGACATCTAGAACGTATGCAACACACACACACACACACACACACACACACACACACACACACACACACTACTGTAAGAATGTCTGGGAAAGAACTGAGAAGGCTCTCACCTCTAGCAGATTTTGAAGCTCTGTGTTAAGTGGAAAATGAAACCTAAGTAAAATCCCTGTCAGAGGATTGAAGGCATCCCTCATATGCACATAGAGCTCCTCAGCAAAGGCTGGAAGACTTATTGGTTCAGGCTTTTAAGGAAATCTCTGTCCCATTAGCTGACAACCAAGCTAACTGAGCAGTACCTTCAGTTGCCAAACCCTCCCAAAAATACAGACTTCAAAGAATTAGTTCTGGCAAGTCACTGAACAGCAAATAGCAGTAACAACAATAATAGCAACAAACAGAAATGACAACAAACATTAGATCGTGGGGTGAGGGGATAGACTTGATTTCCAGAGTTTCCACATTACATTATTTAAAACATTCAGTTTTCAATAAAAATTTATAAGACGTGCAAAGATACAGTAAAGGATACTCCATATATGAAAAAACAGTCAATTGAAACTGTCCCTGAGTAAACCAAGATGTTGGACTTACTAGACAAAGTATTTAAATGAACTATTGTACATACATTCAAAATACTAAAGGAAATCATATCTAAAGACTGAAAGGAAAATATGAGAAGGCTGTCTCCCAAATAAATAATATCAATAAAGAGAAAGAAATTATTTAAAAGAACCAAACAGAAGTTCAAAAATTGAAAAGTATAGTAACAGAAATAAAAAATTCACTAGGCTACCCAACAGCATGTTTGAAAAGGCAGAAAAAAGCATCATTGAACTTGAAGAT
This sequence comes from Homo sapiens, assembly GCF_000001405.40. Taxonomy (NCBI): domain Eukaryota; kingdom Metazoa; phylum Chordata; class Mammalia; order Primates; family Hominidae; genus Homo; species Homo sapiens. The sequence goes on from NC_000002.12 coordinate 177,856,726, forward strand.
AGGTCAATTCAAACATCTAGTCTGAGGAACAGAAAGTAAAAAGAATGAAGAAAAATGAACAAAGTCTCAGTAACATGTGGGATACCATCAAGCATACAAACATAAGCATAATGAGGATTCTCAGCAAAAAAGGAGACAAAGGGTCAGAAAGAATATTTGAAGAAATAATGGTTGAAAACTTCCCATACTTGATTGAAATAAACATTAATCTACACATTAAAGGAGCTCAATAAACTACAAGTAGGATAAACTGAAAGAGAACCACATCTAGACATATTATAATCAAACTGTCCTAAGACAATGACAAGAAAAAATCTTGAAAACAACAGCAGAGATGTAACTCATTATATAAAAGTAACCCTCAATAAGATTAATATCTCCATGATCAGAAACTATAAGGCTAGAAAACAGCTGAAAAATATATCCACAGTACCAAAAGGAAAAGACTATGAACCAAGAATTCTATATCCACTGAAACTATACTTCAAAAATGAAAAATTAAGACATTCTCAAATAAACAAAAACTGAGAAAATTTGTTTCCAGTAGACCTGTCCTGTAAGAAATACAAAAAGAAAAGCCTTCAGGCTGAAATGAAAAGATACTAGGGAGCAATCTGAATCCACATGAAGAATAAAGAGAACCGATAAAGAAAATTTTATAAGTAAATATGAAAGATAGTATAAATGTATGTTTGTAACTCTTTTTTCTACTATCTCATTTAAAGACAATGGCATAATGCAAAAATTATAAAACTGCATTGATAGGCTTATCGTATGAAAAGATGTAATTAGTAGGACAACAGTAACACAAATGAAGGGGTAGGGAACAAAGCTATATGGAGCAAAGTTTTTGTATACTATGGATACAAAAGAAGGCAGTAAAGAAGGAATAGGGGAATACAAAGGACAGAAGGCATATAGAAAACAAATACAGAAAAGGCAAATGTAAATCCTACTTTATCACTAGTTACATTAAATGTAAGTGGACTAAACACTCCAATCAAAAGGCAGAGATCAGTAGAATGGATAAAATAACATGATCCAATTTTACACTGTCTACAAGGGACATACTTTAGATTCAAAGACATGACTGGGTTAAAATAAAAAAATGGAAAAAGTATATATATTATACCATGCAAACAGTAGCAAAAGAGAGCTGAAGTAGCTATTCATATCAGATAAAACAGTTTTTTTTAAAAAACGGTTACTAGAGATAAAGAACAATATTTTATAATGGCAAAGGGTCAAACCAATAAGAAAATATAACAATTAAAGGATTCCCTATTTAATAAATGGTGCTGGGAAAACTGGCTAGACATATGTAGAAAGCTGAAACTGGATCCCTTCCTTACACCTTATAAAAAATTAATTCAAGATGGATTAAAGACTTACATGTTAGACCTAAAACCATAAAAACCCTAGAAGAAAACCTAGGCAATACCATTCAGGACATAGGCATGGGCAAGGACTTCATGTCTAAAACACCAAAAGCAATGGCAACAGAAGCCAAAATTGACAAATGGGATCTAATTAAACTAAAGAGCTTCTGCACAGCAAAAGAAACTACCATCAGAGTGAACAGGCAACCTACAGAATGGGAGAAAATTTTTGCAATCTACTCATCTGACAAGGGGCTAATATCCAGAATCTACAATTAACTCAAACAAATTTACAAGAAAAAAAAAAAACCACATCAAAAAGTGGGTGAAGGATATGAACAGACACTTCTCAAAGGAAGAAATTTATGCAGCCAACAGACACATGAAAAAATGCTCATCATCACTGGCCATCAGAGAAATGCAAATCAAAACCACAATGAGATACCATCTCACACCAGTTAGAATGGCAATCATTAAAAAGTCAGGAAACAACAGGTGCTGGAAAGGATGTGGAGAAATAGGAACACTTTTACACTGTTAGTGGGAGTGTAAACTAGTTCAACCATTGCGGAAGTCAGTGTGGTGATTCCTCAGGGATCTAGAACTAGAAATACCATTTGACCCAGCCATCCCATTACTGGGTATATACCCAAAGGATTATAAAACATGCTGCTATAAAGACACATGCACACATATGTTTACTGCAGCACTATTCACAATAGCAAAGACTTGGAACCAACCCAAATGTCCATCAATGATAGACTGGATTAAGAAAATGTGGCACATATACACCATGGAATACTATGCAGCCATAAAAAAGGATGAGTTCATGTCCTTTGTAGGGACATGGATGAAGCTGGAAACCATCATTCTCAGCAAACTATCTCAAGAACAAAAAACCAAACACCGCATGTTCTCGCTCATAGGTGGGAATTGAACAATGAGAACACTTGGACACAGGAAGGGGAACATCACACACCAGGGCCTGTCGTGGGGTGGGGGGATCGGGGAGGGATAGCATTAGGAGATATACCTAATGCTAAATGACGAGTTAATGGGTGCAGCACACCAACATGGCACATGTATACATATGTAACAAACCTGCATGTTGTGCACATGTACCCTAAAAGTATAATAAAAAAATAAAATAAAATAAATAAACTTTAAAAAAATCCTTGTACAACAAATATTCATAGCAGCATTTTTATAAAAGCCAAAAAGGGGAAAAAAACAAAATATCCATCAATTGGTTAATGGATAACAAAATGTGATATATCTATACAATAAAATATTATTTGATATTAAAAAAAGAAAAATAACAATTATAAATAAGCATACACCTAATAACACATCCCTAAAACATATGAAGCAAAGGTTGAGAGAACTGAAAGGACAAATAGATAATTCAACAATAATAATAGTGGAGCCTTCAACATCTCACTTTCTATAATAGAGCAACTAGACAGAAGATTAACAAGAAAGTAGAAGACTTGAACAACACTATAAAACAACTAGACCTAACAGACATCTATAGAGCACTCCACCTAATGGCAGAATATATATATATTTTAAGAGCACAAGAAGCATTCCCTAGGATAGCCCATACTTTAGGTCAAAAAACAAGTCTCAATAAGTTTAAGAGGGCTCATATGATAAAAAAAAAAATTCTCCAAACACAATGTGATAGAATTAGAAAGAATAACCAAAAAGTTTGGGAAATTCACAAATATTGGTTAGTAAAACAATACTTCTAACAAAGTAAGAGTTAAAGAAGAAATCAAAGGGAAATTAGAAAATACTTTGAATGAAAACAAAATAAAACATACCAAAATACACTGGATGCAGCAAAATCAGTACTTAGAAAGAAATGTATGGCTATAAATGCTTACATTAAAAAGGAAAAATAAGGAATAAGGTCTCAAATCAATAACCTCACCCTCCACCTTAAGATACTAGAAAAAGGAGAGCAAACTACACCTAAAGCAAACAGAAAGGACATAATAAAGACTAGAGGGAGAATAAACAAACTAGAGAACAGAAAACAATAGAGAAAATCAACAAAACAAAAATTTGTTTTTTGAAAAGGTAAAATTGGTAATCCTTTAGCTAGTTTTGCCAAAAAAAAAAAGAGAGAAGTCTCAAATCACTAAGATAAGAAACGAAAGAGGGGCTTTAACTACTAACTTTGTAGAAATAAGATTATAAAGGAATATTATGAATAATGGTATGCCAAAAAATTAGGTAACAATTATAGACCATATGTTAGGTCATAAAGCAAGTATCAAAACAACTCAAGGAGAATTTTAAAATTAGAATAAACTTATAATAATTAGAGAGGTTAAATTAATAATTAAAAATATTTCCACAAAGAAAAGCTCAGGAAGAGATGGCTTCACTGGTGAAATTCACCAAATGTTTAAAGAAGACTCTTTTTTAAAATGTCAGTCCTTAACAAACTCTTAAAAATAAAAAAAGTGGAGACTGCTTCCCAGCTCATTCTATGAGGGTAGCATTGCCCTGACACCAAAACCAATTATATCACAAGAAAGCTATAGACCCTTATAAATATAGATGCAAAAATTCTCAAAAATACTAGTAAACTAAATCCAGCAATATTTAAAAAGGTATGCACACCATGACTGAATGGCATTTATCCCAATAATGTAAGATTGGATTATCATCCAAAAATCAATATATATAATATACTATTTTAATAGAATAAAAGACAAAAATCACATGATTATCTCAATAGGCAAAAAGCATTTGACAAAATCCAACATGCTTTCATGCCACTTAACAAACATTCAACAAACTAGAAATAGAAGGGAACTTCCTCAAACTAATAAAAGGACACTTAACAAAAAATGCACAGCTAACACAGTAATGGTAAAAGACTGAATGTTTTACTTTTAACACCAGGAATCAGACAAGGATATTGGCTATTTAACCACTTCTATTTAACAATGTACTGGAGGTTCTAGACATGCAATCAGGCAAGAGAAAGAAATAAAAAGGCATTCAGACTGTAAAGAAAAAAGTAAAATTATCCCTATTTGCAGGTGATAAAATCTCATATACAGATAATTTTAAGGAATTCAGAAAAAACTATTATAATAAACAAGTTCAACAAGGTTACAGGACATAAGATCAATATACAAAACTCAGCTGTATTTCTACACACTAACATTGAACAAATCAAATTTAAGAAAATAATTTCATTTACAATAATATCAAAAAGAAAAAAACAGGAATAAATGTATCAAAATAAGTGTAAGTCTTTTACACTTAAAACTACAAAACATTGCTGAAAGAAATTAAAGAAGATACAAATAAAGGAAAGACAACTTATATACAGGAGTTGGAATATAATCTTGTTAAGATTGCAATACTCTCCAAATTGATTGACAGAGTCAATGCAATCCCTAAAATAAACTCAGCTACTAATTTTGGAGAGATTGACAAGTTGATTCTAAAATTAATATGGACATACAAGAGACCTAAAATAGTCAAAATGATCTTCAAGATGAAAAACAAAAAGTCAAAGGACTCACACTTTTAGATTTTAAAACTTACTTCAAAGATACAGTAACCAAGACAATGTGATACTGGCATGAAGACATACAGATTAATGGAGTAGAGTTGAGAGTCTCATAAACCTATATATCTATGGTCAATTGACTTTCCACATGGGTGGCAAGACAAATAAATTGGGAAGGAATAGTCTTTTCAACAAATGGTGCTGGAATACTGGATGTCCCTGTACAAATGAATGATATTGGACCCCTTATCTCACACCATGTACAAAAATTTAACTTAAAGTGGATCAAGGGCCTAGATGCAAAAGCTAAAATAATCAGCTCTTAGAAGAACACATGGGCATATGTATTCATGCGCTTAGATTAAACAATCACTTCTTAGATATAATACCAAAAGCACAAGTAACAAAAAAATTATAAATTGAATATCAAAATCTAAAACTTTTGTGCTTCAATAGACACCATCAAGAAAGTGAGAAGACAACTCAGAATGAAGGCAAATATACATAAATCATAAATCTGATAAGGGACCTGTATACAAAGTATACCAAAAACTCCAAGACTCAGCAATAAAAAGACCATTAACACAATTGAAAATGATAAAGGACCTGAATAGACGTTTCCTAAATAAGACATACAAATGGCCAATAATCACATGAAAAGATGCATAACATTGTTAGCCATTAGGAAAATGCAAATCAAAACTACAATGAGATGCCTCTCCAAGGAACTGTAAAGTATACTTACTGCAATGAAGAAGTACAATTATCTCTATTTGCAGATGACATAATTCTGGAATCTCCTAAGATTCCACCAAAAAACTGTTAGACCTAATATATGAATTGAGTAAAATTGCAGGATACAAAATCAACATACAAAAATCAGTAGCATTTTTATATACAAATAATGACCTAACTGAAGAAGACATCCAGCAAACAGTCCCATTTACTATAGCATAAAATGATACTGAGAAATAACTTTAACCATGGAGGTGAAAGATCTGTACACTGAAAACTATAAATCACTGATGAAAGAAACTGAAGAAAATACAAATAAATGGAAAGATATCCTATGCTCCTGGATTGGAAGAAGTAATATTGTTAAAATGTCCATACTACCTAAAGCATATCCAGATTCAGTACAATACCTATCAAAATTCCACTGGCATTCTTACAGAAACAGAAAAAACCATCCTAATATTTGTATAAAACCATAAAAGACCCCAAATAGCCAAAACAATACTGAGAAAGACAAACAAAATTGGAGGCATCACACTTCCTGATTTCAAATTATATTACAAAGCTATAGTAATAAAACAGTAAGATATTGACATAAAAACTGACACACAAGCCAGTGGAACAGAATATAGAGCCCAGAAATAAATCCAAACCATGTATGGTCAACTAATTTATGATGAAAGCACCAACAGGACACAACAGGAAAATAATGGTCTCTTAAATTAATGGTTCTGGGAAAACTGGATTTCCAAATGCAAAAGAAGGATATTGGACCATTATCTTACACCATACACAAAAATCAACTCAAAATGAAAAAGACCTAAATATAAGACCAAAAACTATAAAATTCCTAGAGGATAACATAGGGAGAAAAGTCCTGGACAATGCCTTGGTCATGATTTTTTGAATATCACACCAAAAGCTCAGTCCACAAAAGCAAAAGTAAATAAATGGGACTACATCAAATGAAAAAGCTTCTGTACACCAAAGGAAACAACCAACAAAATGAAATAGCAAACTATGTATTGGGAACAAATATTTGCAAACTATATATCTGACAAGGGGTTAACCATTCAAAATTTATAAAGAACTCATACAACTCAAAAGTGGAAAAACAAACAGCCCAATCCAAAAATGGGCAAAAAATCAGAATAGACATTTCTCCAATGAAGACATTAAAATGGCCAACAGGTACATCAAAAGGTGCTCAACATTATCAACATCATTAATCATCAGGGAAATGCAAATTAAATCCATTGTGAGATACACCTCATACCCATTAGGGTGGCTACTATCAAAAAGTCAAAAGATGACAAATGTTGGTGAGGTTGTGGAGAAAAGAGAACTCTTTACACTGTTGGTGGGAATATAGATTGGTACAACTATTATAGAAAATAGTATGGGGTTTCTAAAGGGGTTAAAAATACAACTACCCTATGACCCAGCAACCCCTCTTCTGGATACATACTTACAAGAAATGAAATCACCACCTTATAAAGATATCTACTTTCTCATATTCATTGCAGCATTATTCACAAGAGCAAACATATGGAAACAAGTAAGTGTCTATTGATTAATGAAGGGATAAAGATATTGAATATTATCAAGTGGTACATATATATAATGGAATGTTATTCATTCCTAAAAAAGAATCAGATGTTGCCATTTGCCATGACATGGATAAGCCTGGAGGACATTACACTAGGTGCTACAGGACAGACACAGAAAGAAAAATATTGCATAATCTCATTTATATGTGGAATCTGAAAAAAATTCAAATATACAGAGAGAACAAAACAGTAGTTACTAGGGGTAGTAGTCAGTGGGAAGAAAATAGGGAGATGTAGGTCGGAGGATACAAAGTAGCAGATATGTAGGATGAACAAGTCTAGAGAAATAATGTACATGAGGACCCTAGGTAACACAATTGTATTGTATGTGGAATTCATGCTAAAGGAGTACAATTTAGCTGCTCTTGCAACAAAAACAAAGAAATGGGCAACTGTGAGATGACGGCTATGTTAATTTGCTTCACTAAAGTAACATTTTTACTATCTATATGTATTCCATAACATGTTGTATACCTTAAATATACATAATAAAACTTATTTAAAAAAGAATTTAGCAAGTAGAAAAAGTGGTAGAGGAGAGAAAAATGATGGTCCAAATATAGAAGTATTTGATGTGAATTGTGGCAGAGTTTCAAAGAAAATAAAATTACATAATACGTGAAAAACAAAGAGACAAATTGCCCAGCAAGGATATGGACACATCATGTACTTCAGAAATGGCATAAAGGGAGATAATCAATTATGAGATAGCACTCTTCAAAGGATAAATTTTTAGATCCAAAATGATCTTAAGTAACATGAACTATGTTTTGGGGTGACTAATGGATGGGATAACCTATAGTGTTCTTTTATTATATGCTTGTTTTGTACACACGAGGGATGCCATAAACAAAATGAGTTCCCTTTTGCATTACTACTTAAAAGTAATCATACGGGTCATTTTCCAGTGGTCATTCACTTCTTGCTACTACACAATGCTTAGGCTTAGAATTCTGAGCCTGAATAGCACCCTAATTGCAAAAAGCATGGTCATTAAAAACAAACAAATCGGCCAGGCACAGTAGCTCACACCTGTAATTCAGCATTTTGGGAGGCCAAGGTGGGTGGAACACCTGAGGTTAAGAGTTCAAGACCAGCCTGGCCAACATGGCAAAACCCAATCTCTACTAAAAGTACAAAAATTAGCCAGGCTTGGTGGCAGGCACCTTAATTCCAGCTACTCAGGAGGGTGAGGCAGGAGAACCACTTGAACCCAATAGACAGAGGTTGCCGTGAGCCGAGACTGTGCCACTGTACTCTAGCCTGGGCAACAGAGTGAGACTCCATCCCCTGCATCCCCCAAAAAAACAAAAACCACAATGAAATGCTGTGTCACATCCACTAAAATGGCTATAACTAAAAGAAAGAAATAAAAATAAGGATTGATAAGCATCAAAATGGAACCCTCATTCTTTGCTGGTGCGAATGTAAAATGGTATAGCTACTGTAGAAAACAGTCTGACAGTTGGTCCAAAAGTTAGACACAGAGTTACCACATGACCTAGCAAATCCACTTCTAGGCCTATACCCAAAAGAACCGAAAATCTATGTGTACTCAAAAATTTGTACATGAATGTTCTCAGCAGCATTATTCTTAATAGCCAAAAAAGTAGAAACAACATCATCAACTGATGAATAAGAAACATATGATATATCCAAACAATGGAATATTATTCATCCATAAAAAAGAATGAAGGAATAAAGTGCATGTACACATGAATGAATAGTGAAAACATTATGTTAAGTAAAAGAAACCAAACACAAATGGTCACATATTATATAATTCCATTTATAAGAAATGTCCAAAATAGACAAATCCATTGAGGCAGAAAGTAGATTAGCAGTTGCTAGGGCCTTGGAGGAGGGAAGAGAGGGGAGTGGCTGCTAATGGGTAGAGTTTCTTTTTTGGAGTGATGAAAATGTTCTGGAAGCAGACAGCAATGGTATGGTTGAACAACCTTGTGAATATATTAAAAACCACTGAATTGAACACCTTAAAATGTTGATTTTGTGGTATATGAATTACATCTCAAGAAAAAAAAACTTAAAGATAAGAATAATTAGCATAAATATGATAATTACGCTGCCAAGTAAGATTAATAAAAATTGTTTTGGATAGTTGAACAAATCAAGTGATACTTATTGAGTAGCCTACCAAGTGCTGTGGCCATGGAGATGCCCTATTCACATCTCCCTTTAGGAGAACCTCATCAGGAAGTATAGCTGATTGACACCTCCATCTCCACGCCTCTGGGTCCAAGCCTCCCCTGGAGCTGTTCCCCGTCAATGACTGAGCGTGATGAGGGCAGGAACTGGGTCACTCCCGTGAAAGCATGATTTCTCCAACTGGCAAATTCTGCTCGGGACTTCCCATTGGCCAGGCAGTGATTTTTTCCAAACCACACTGTGACCAAAGACTCTTTATATTCACTCCTTACTTGTCTCTCTTCTTCCACAGAGCACTGTGGTCAAATGCTCTCCCCATCTACTGCTGATCCTGCTCTCTTTAGCTTTCACATTTGTTTCTCCTGAAAAACCTTTTGCTCATCTAATATTGGCATGTGTTCTTTGGAGAGCAGAAGTGACTCATGAATGTATGTCTAAGAAGGAATATAGTACAAGACTTGAGGAATGTAGCTGAAAGGCCTTAGTAGGACTGAATGTGTCTGCATGTGTCTCTGGGATTCCAGGGATATATTGTATTCGCTTGTACTAAACAGATGTATAAAAGACTTACATAAACAAACTACTCTCCAAGGTGCCTAATTCGAAGGATAATATATGTATTTGAGTGAAGTAGTTCTTGAAATGCTTGGGAAATACCAGTTTCATACAATCATGGTACTTAATAATAACCAATATAGGTACTGACTGAGGCCACAAACACTGCATGGGCAAATCAGACAAGGCCTGTAAGTCTAAAGCAGTGTTTTTCACACTTTGGGACACTGCAAAGTGTAAATCATGAAATCAGTTTTGTGGGTCATGACAGCAGATGTTTTAGTTTTGTTTTTCTTTCCTTAAAAGAATAGATAAGAATATAGGTGCATAGTAAAGGTAAGTATAGTTTCATAAAATATTTGTCTTAGATGTGTGTGTGTATACTTGTGTGTGTATTTATATACACTACCTAGGTTTGGATATTTTTGTCACGGATTGCATTAGAAAAGATTTGAAAGTCATGATCTAAGGGACACACAATAAAGTTGGCACAGTCAGAATTTACATAAAGACATTTAGTAACATTCTTTAAAGTAGGAACAGAATTTCTGATTCCCAAAAGCTTCACCAGGGTTGCATGCTTTTGAGTGATAATGTCCAAGTGGAGTGAGTCACATAAAACCTTCTGGTGCATAGAGGTGCTCCTCCAGGCCCAGAATCATATTCATAATCTGATTAGGTACTGGAGATCACCTCATGTAACCCAGGTACATCTCAGAGTTATAAAATGTGCAATATGGGCTGGGTGAGGTGGCTGACGCCTGTAATTCCAGCACTTTGGGAGGCCAAGGTGGGCGCATCACGAGGTCAAGAGATTGAGACCATCCTGGCCAAAATGGTGAAACCCCATCTCTACTAAAAATACAAAAATTAGCTGGGTGTGGTGGCGGGCCTGTAGTCCTAGCTACTCGGCAGGCTGAGGCAGGAGAATCACTTAAACTCAGGAGGCAGAGGTTGCAGTGAGCCGAGATCACCCCACTGCACTCCAGCCTGGGTGACAGAGCGAGACTCCGTCTCAAAAAAAAGAAAAACAATTGCAATATGATTGCAGGGTACAATCATAGTACACTCCGGAATAAACAAAATCCTCACTCATCATACTTCGTCTCTCCAGGCTAATACAGTCTCTTCCAAGTTTATTCCTGACTGTATCATTGCTGCTGGACAAAGACAAAGGGTGGTAACCCAGACATCTCTCGAGTCTTGCTAAGAGCTCCTTGGACTAACTATAGAGCTCATCCAGTGGTTTGCCTCACTAGAGCTACGTCTCATGGGAGTCAATTCTCCTTAAAAGAATGATAGGATTTGGGCCATGGTGGCTGGAAATCTAAAGGAAGAGTCACAGAGAAGTCAGGAATGGTTGCAAACCATTGCTAGAAGGGGTAATCTGTTTTGCAAAACTAGATTCCACACAGATGTGTAAAGGAAAAGAAAATAAAAGTCAATAAGGCATTGAAACAGAAGATTCACTCTTCTAACCTAAAAAATGCAATGCACAAAACTAATGTTGAGAAAAGTCACAGGGCTGTCTCATCTTAAAATTTAAAGAAACTCTAAACTCTCGTAGGTGCTTCTCAAAGTTGAGGTATATGTACTCTCTGGGGGAAATCATAGATGAGCTAAGGGATGGAAAAGCCACAGGAAAAACAAAGCGGCTCTAGGGTCATATTATGTCATTGAATCTATGAGAGCATCGATTGTAAGATGGACTGTTGTTGTCAGCCCACTAAAAGAAAAAAATGCTATGAGGCAATGCATTATCACTTAAAATATTTTAATCTTATTTTAAAAGATATTTCAGATTCAATATAAATTCTATCATATACCATTCTTGAAGGAAAATGTAAAACTATACAAGTTGATTATACACAAGGGAAAATAAAGAATGTCACTCTTCTGAATCAATTCTCAATTCAGAGTCGTCAGTGTTCACAGATCTTATCCTCTAAGCCATCAGGATATTAATGATGCAGCATGTATCTTTAAAAGTGCTCTGCTATCATCTCCAGAAATTTCTTCCAAGCTGCTGACACTCTCTTGTAAGTTTTGAGGCCGTCACTTATTGAACTTAGTAGAAGATACCATTGGAGGGTTTTTAGATAAAACCAAACTCATATTCCTTCCTAAAGTGATCTTTCCTTGGTTTGTTGGCTGCAATTTTAAGGGTTGCTAATGTCCAGTCTTGCCACTAGAAATTTTTTCACTGTGCAGATACATGTCTAAAAATGCACCAACAGCTAACATCACTTTGAAGGTTAAGTAAGACTCCTGGCCATCTTTCCACATGGCTGTACACCACTCATTCATCAGCTCACCTGTCATTCATCTCTATGTGTGTGTATGTGCATGCATGCATGAGTGCACACACAAAAGATAACAGCATTGAGTTCAATCTCATTTTCATCTGAGAATGGGTTCAAACTCACACACTAAAATTGCATTCATTTCCCATTTCTGCATAACAAATTACTATACATATAGCAGCTTAAAACAACACCTATTTATTATCTCAGAGGGCTGGAAGTCACAAGTTCATCATGACGTGCTGGATTTGCTGCTCAGGCTCTTATAAGACCAAAATCAAGGAATTGACAGAGCTATATTCCTCTCTGAAGGCTCTGGGGAAGAATGGAGCTCATTCAGGTTGTTGGCAGAATTCAACTCCTTGCAGTTGTATGACTGAGGTCCAGGTTTCCTTGACATTTGGCCCTGTCTATATTTAAACCAGCAACATTTGTTGAATCCTGCTCGTGCATAACATGTCTCCGACTTTTCCCTTCTGTTGAGCCTTTTCAGCTTCCTTTTGTGTCCTCAACTGGGAGAAGGCTCTGTTTTAAGGGTTCACATGATTACATCAGACTCACCTAGACAATCCAGAATAATCTCCCTATTTTAACATCAATTGATTAGTTATCTTAATTATCTCTGTAATCTCTTTGGCTTGTAATGTAACGTGAATATATGACAAGTGGTGAGGATCTTGGGGGTCAACATTCTGCCTCCCACACTTAGTTTGATATTGTTCAAAATGAAATATGGTGACAAGTTTTGACCACCTGACACCATGCATGACATCACATTGAAATGCTGTACATTTTGTCATCTATGTTCTCAGTGTTAATTGTTTTAGCACTCTTGGCATTGGCAGGTATGTCAAAGGACACAGGTTTTCTCAGCATTTCCTATTTGACTAAATTCCTAGTTTTTCCTAAATGAATTACATGTCACTGGATGTTAAGCAGTTTCCAATCAGTTGAAAATTTTTGACAAATTGATGTTCCACACCTTAATAACAGTCCTGCATCATGCACGAGTTTAGTTATATCAGCCTCTTGTTTTGAAATTTATTTCACTTATTATAAGAGCTTTGGCAATTTCTCCTGCCTTCAGTTGCATAACTTGACATGTGTTAGGTGACCCGTGTAGATGTATTTCAGTAACCAAATATAGCACCACTTCATCTTCTTGAGAGTTTCTTCCTTCATTGTTGCTTTGAAAGAACATACAGAAATGGGACCAGTTTTCCAAAAACAAATATTTTCATCACTAATATCAAATTTACACTCCACTTCTTATTTCTACGTTTTTCTGCAAAACAATAACTTTTCATTTCAATGCCAGACCACACTGTAATCTCATTGGACACACATATTAACCAGCATTTAAGTCCAATCTATGTAGTACCAACAACGTACAATACACAATTGAACAGATAACACAAACAGCTCTGACCAAGTTTGTACATGCACAGGCAATAGCTGTGTCACCAACTGTCACTAAGACATCACTGGTAGTAAGATACCATTCTGACTTTCAACATGTTAAGTGTGAGAAAAAGTGCCTTAAAATCATTGAGCAACTACTATGTGCCAGGCATTGTGCTCTTTCAGCAATTCTACTGAATTTTCCTGGTAATCTACTTGCAAGTAATAAACGTAATGGCTGAGAAGATTAGTGCCAGGGCCAGGCTAACTGGGTTTCAAATATTGCCTCTGTAACTTACTGTGTTACCCTGGACATATTTCTTAATTCTTATCTGTAATATAGGAAAAAAACGGGATAATTCATGTGCAGTACTTAGCACATAGTAAAACTCAAAAATAGTGTCATGTTGTTTCTGTTGTTTTTAACTGAGCTTAAGAGCTGGCTCCTTTTCTTCCCATATGCTCATGAAGCAAATACCTGTATTCTCCCAGTTAGTGAAAAAGTATTCATTCTGGAAATAGAACCTCTTTTAGTTCTAATTCCTTATTGTTCTAAAATATACCAGATTATCTCATCCTGCCTTGAGTGTACTGGTTCACTAAAGGACAGGAGCCATCAATACTCATGACCAGGGAACTCGGAGAAAATACGGTGTTTAAAAAAGGAAAAATGTCCACATAAAAGGTTTAACATTCAGGCTACTTAACACTCTGTCCTCCACCTTTTCTTTTGTGCATCCCTTTCCCTATATGCACTTGGATCTCTGTGGGTTAACATCTAACAAAGGTTTAGGAATTAAAAGGTCTGTAAAAAATGGGGTACACTCGGGGTTGTTTAGGGGCTAGGCAACAGACTATGACACCTGGGGGAGAAAGTGAGCCTTCTTCCCATTTCTGCACAAATGACCCAGCCTGTCCCAGGTTCGTGAAGGTCACCAGTGCACCTAAGGTAGTGCTGGGGAGCTGTGGCACAGCACTGGTGAGGAGTGCAGTTATGCCCGTGGGAATTCCGGAGTGGGCAAGGAAGCCCACATCATAGAACGCTGCTCTGTCATGGCCAGAGGGAGAGGATTTATGGGTGGTCACTTGGAAGAAATGATGAGTCAGTAGTAAATTATTATTATTATTATTATTATTATTATTATTATTATTATTATTATTTTAAATCTTAGGCTTGGCATGGTGGTTCACGCCAGCACTTTTGGGAGGCCAAAGCAGGAGGATCCCTTGAGGCCAGGAATTTGAGACCAGCCTGGGCAACACAGTGAGACTCCTGTCTCTACAAAATAATTTTAAAATTAGCCAGGTGTGGTGGCATGCACTTGCAGTCCTAGCTAATTGGGAGGTTGAGATGGGAGGATTGCTTAAGCCCAGGAGTTCAAGGATTACAGTGAACTATGATTGCACCACTGCACTCTTGCCTGGGCAACAGAGTGAGACCCTGTCTCTAAAAAAAGAAATCTTAGAAACTCCAGGAATACTTCAAGGATGGCTTTTACAAGGGACTAGGGTTCTTATGTTACACTACATAGGAGAAATGCTTAAGCAGCCAAATATATAAATTATAACTATTAATGTGACTCTATTTATTTAAAGCCATAGTCTGGAGGCCTGGTGAAATCTGGTTATGTTTGTATTATATTTTTAACCCACTCCCACCACTGTTCATTGCCCTTGAGATCCTTGAGGACAGAGACTGCTTTTAATTTTTAAAAAATCTCTGTAGCCCTATCACCTAGCAGAGAACTCAGCACAGAGTAGGTACTCAATATATGACTGTTGAAGGAAGGAATAACTGCCTCCAAACAACAAATTTAGAATAAACAGATAGAAGTTATAGGAATATAATTCAACATAAAATGCCTTTCTAACTACTAGAATCCCTTATAAATGCAAGAAGTCTATCATGACATAGTGAGAATCCTGTCACTAGAGGTGTTGCCAGTGATACCCTGGAAGAGGAGCACACTTCATGGAGGGAGATGGATTGAATCATTTCCAGCTCTTGAATTGATTGGTACTCATTGCATGGAGACCAACAGGAGACTAGCTATGACAAAGCAGTGAAAGACACTAAGCAGAAGTGATGAGTCAGCAAAACTGGTTATTATTTAAAAATGGCTTCAAGGACTATCTATAAAAATCAGCAAGCCTCAAACCAGAGTTCATCAGAATTGAAATAATACCCTGAAACATTGTTACAAGGAGCCATAGAAATTGTCTTCTAAAAACTACACTATTATAACTCTGACTGATGTTCAGAGGACTAAAGTATCTAATAGACATCATCTATAGTGATGATGTTAAATGATGAAAGGTTAAAGGAAAGATCAGACTGTGAGATCAAGCTGTGATTTTTAGACTCATAGCCCATTTCAATGTCCCTTCCATGTCACTGGTGAAGTAAATTCTGGAGTCACTTGTCTTGGTTCCTTTAACTTCCAATAAATGACTGAAGGAACTCAGATCTACACGAGGAGAATTACTGGACAATGATGGAAAGGTCTTCTGAGATAAATGAACATTCTACATTAATTTAAAAGCCATAAATAGAATGATGAATAGGACTATCTCATAATGTCAAAGTTCAAAGGCACTTTTCAAATGTCTCTTTAAAGAAAACCTGACCTTTCTTTCTGTCTTTTATTATCAGAAAGTTTGCCAAGAGCAGTCTAGGTCTTGGGTCATTTCATTTTGACATGGAAGTTCTCTCAGGATTAAAAATAATAAAAAAACAGAAGTATTTAACTCTGAAGTGACCATGAGAACATGTTCAGCAGTATAAAAAATAACAATATTGAAGCATTAGGACTTCAAAAGTTGTGTTTTAATAACTACATAAAGCTTCCCCTCTCATATATGAGAGATATAACTTATATGAGGTCATGAATAGCTAAAGATATCAGCATGAATAGAGATTTTTCTATCGTATTTCATGTTGTTTTATAACATTCTATTTAGGAAAATTGCTGAGTATACTACTAGTAACTTTCTATGCTAAATATCTTGGTTAGGTATAGATTAGCTGGCATTAAATATAGATGTGAATATAAATACATTTTTATGAATATAAAACCTCTTACCAAAGACCTCTTTTTCCCATTTCAATTTCCATTTTAAGGTATTATTAACAGTCAGTAAAATTCACCCTTTTTTAGGTAAATTTCTCCAAGTTTTGACAAATACAGTTGTATAATCACCACTGCAAGCAAGACACAGCGTGGTTCCATCACAACCCTCTACCCCTTTGAAGTCAACCCCTCTCTCCATCTCCTGTCCCTGGAAATGAACTGATTTACTTTCTCTTCCTATAATTTTGATGTTTTAAGAATGTCCTGTAAATGAAGTTATATAGTATGTAGCAAAGGCCCCTTTTAAACTTCATGCATTTGATAAAAAATAATTTACTTTTTATTTTTACTTACTGGTTTCTATTTCCTGAATTTAAAGGCAATAATGGATATAAAAATCAAATTACTCTTGAGTATTACATCTTGAAATAGGTAATTACCCAGAGGGCCTTTAGAACATATAGACCTTTAGGACTTCACTTCTGCAGTACTGAATCAGAATCTCTCAGTGTATGTTCTGAGAATTTAGTTTCTACTAAACTTTCTAAGCCTGATTCTGATTGACCCATTAGATTTGGGAAACATTAACCTGACAGGTATTCACTAGATGAGATCAACAAGCAGATTTTAAATGACGTGTGGTTATGGAATCAAAGTTCAGAGGTTGGGAGAGTCTTATCTAAGTGACCTTGTCCTTGGTGGCTACCACTTGCTGGTTGCAGGGCCTCAAACAAGTTACTTAAACTTGATGAACCTTGGCTTTCTCCTTTATAACATGGGGGGAATGCCTACTTCAAAAGATTGTTTGGGGGATTAAATGCTTATAAATCATTTAGCATACTACATGGAACACATAACAGTCAAATAATGGAGGTTGCTCATATTTTAGTATCAATATCTTCATCATTGTCATCATCATCATACTGCCCTGAGTGCTTTACGATTCTTTCTCCATGTCTGCATTTTGGTTAATTTCACTATTTTTTAACCCTTCCTCTAGAGGCAACCAAAGAGAATTTTTGTAGCAACACAGCTATTATTCAAGGCAGTAAAAAGCTAAGAGAAATTCACTGATTGCTTGCAATCTTCACTTCTACCCTGTTATAGCCTCAAAGATGCCAATGAGAACAAGAAGTGAATTACTGGAAACTCTCTCAGTCTTTTTTCCAAGCGGATGTTATTGGCCAATTATGGACAAACAAGAGGGAGGAAGAGAAACAAAGAGCAAAAATAAAGTAAAAAATTAGGCTGTCTGTACAGCTAAGATACATCTAAAATTTTACTTTTTTTATTGGAAGATTTAGTCAAATATGTGATGTGAAAAGAAACTGAAACTGTTGGCTTAATGAAAACAGGTTTGCTCCAGTACTATTCCATATTAACTTACCTAAATAACTTGGATTCAAAGTTCAGGAGTCAGCAGAGTATCTTAAGATTTATTTCAAAACATTACAAGGTGGCCGGGCACAGTGGTTCGCACCTGTAATGCTAGCACTTTGGGAGGCCAAGACGGGCAGATCACTTGAGGTCAGGAGTTCGAAACCAGCCTGGCCAACATGGTGAAACCCAGTCTCTACTAAAAATACAAAAATTAGCCAGGTGTGGTGGCATGCCCTGGTAATCCCAGCTACTCAGGTGGCTGAGGCAGGAGAATCGTTTGAACCTGGGAGGCAGAGGCTGCAGTGAGCCAAGATTGCAGTGCTTCACTCTAGCCTGGGTGACAGAGCGAGACTCCACGTTAAAAAACAAGACAAACAAACAAACAAAAATTTACAAGGTTCAGGGAAAAGAGGAAGCTAAAGGCAACATTTTAATCCTATTACAAGTACTAAAAGTTGGCCCTAAAAACTGATTGCAAGCTAGATGTATATGCATTTATTTATTTATTTATTTATTTTTATTTTATTTTTTTGAGGCAGAGTCTCGCTCTGTCACCCAGGCTGGAGTGCAGTGGCACAATCTCGGCTCACTGCAAGCTCCACCTCCCAGGTTCACTCCATTCTCCTGCCTCAGCCTCCCAAGTAGCTGGGACCACAGGCACCCGCCACCATGCCCGGCTAATTTTTTTTTGTATTTTGTAGTAGAGACGGCATTTCACCATGTTAGCCAGGATGGTCTCGATCTCCTGATCTCATGATTCGCCCGCCTCAGCCTCCCAAAGTGCTGGGATTACAGGCTGAGCCACCGCGCCTGGCCGTATATGCATTTATTTTTAAGATATAGTTTTAATTTAAGCCCTGAAATACAGAAGAGTCACGATATTTGGTTGTGCTTGCTAATATAAAGAACTACTACTATCTTCTAAGAATTATGCAATGCTGCTAACACCAAGGACAAAAGAACATCAAAAGACCCATGAACCCCACAAGCCCTACCTGTTCTCAGCATCAGCACTGCACTTTGGGGACATCAATTCAAAGGATTTGGTAAATTTCACCACCTGTCGCATAGAAAGATAATAAATCCAGGTCAATTAAAGCTTTATTGCCGTTTAAAATAATGTAATAAACATTTTCATCTTTATAATGATTATAATACTTGGAGATTATAGAGAGATTTTTAAGTGGAGAAATCCCAAGACAGAGTAGAAGAGGAGAATCCCATCCTACATCTTGTATCTTATTTCTTACAAAGCATACATTGTCAAAGTTTTAATACATTTCACTAAACATGTACATATTTTTACAATTAGGTGTACAATGAGCTATGGAGGTCAGGTAAAGGAAAATCTCATTTGAATACTTAAAAAGAAAACTGTTCTTTTAACAACCCAATCAACAGCAATAAGAGACCCAGGTAGGGACAGAACACCCCTCAAAGAAGATGCCCTCTGTCAACCCCAGGCTCCTGAAGTTAGTTCATCTTTAAGCTTGGCTCATCATTGTTCTCAGGTGAGCTTCGTGGTACCACCACCTAAAGGGTAAAGAGGAAGCCACCTTATTCAACAATCATTCTTGTGTGGACACTTCCTCTCTCACCTCTCCAGTGAAAGTAGCATACCAGTGCGAGAGTTGACCAAGGCTTATGTTGAGGGGGAATTTATGGAACAGAAAATGTCAATGTAGTTTTTCTTATTATTAGCTAATATTGAGTTTACACTGTAAACCAGGCCCTACAGCAGAAGCTTTTTTGATTATTTCTTTATTATAAATCTAAAGTAGAGAATTTTATACTCAGTCTATAGATGAGGAAACTAACCCCTAATTTTTAAAAAGACTTACTCAGTTTCACACAATTAAATAAGGCAACTGGCATGAAAGGAATTCTCTCTGATGCTAGAGTGCTAGCTCTTTCAACACTACAAATGTTGAGTGAGAAATGCACTATTTCTGGCCCTTGTAGGGGTGGACGGAAACCTTTCCTTCTACCCTCTGAAGGTTTGCTGAAATAAACTGACAATAGACAGATTAACAGGAGAACAAGCATACAAATTTACTAATGTGCAGAAGCACAGAAGCCATATAAAGTATGAGACTCAAAGGAGGGCCAGATGGTTGAAGCTTAAATAGCATCCTCTTTATAGGGGAGACGGACGGGGGATGTAGGCAATTTTGAGGGGTAGAAAAAAATTTCAGAGGAATTAAATGAGCCCAAAGAACAGACAATGACCAGGGACAAAGTTTCTCTGAGCTCTGGAGGAGGTGGCAGCAAGTTAGGGGTGGAACTTCACTGCAAACAAAGGTTATCTTTTTTTTTTTTTGGACAGGTTCTCACTCTGTCGCACAGGCTGGAGTGCAGTGGCCCAATCTCGGCTCATTGCAGCCTCCGCCTCCCGGGTTCAAGTAATTCTCCCACCTCAGCCTCCCAAGTCGCTGGGATTACAGGGGCGTGTCATCATGCCCAGCTAATTTTTGCATTTTTAGTAGAGACAGGGTTTCACCATGTTGACCAGGGTAGTCTTGAATTCCTCACCCCAGATGAGGCACAAGCCTTGGCTTCCCAAAGTGCTGAGATTACAGGCACGAGCCACCGCATCTGGCCAAAGGTTATCTTATTATGCAGATAAAGTCTCCCGGGTAATCTCTCAGAGTGCCCTCAGAAGAACAGATGGAAAGTCTGTCTGGGCATGGGGACATTCCTCAGTCTTCCTTTCTGTGATATGCGAATAATATTCTCTGGTTAATAAAATTTCAGGGAGGGGATGGAAGAGAGTTCCATCTTGTACTTGTGAGGAGGAACAAGAAAAGGTTAGAAAGTTCTTGGCTCTGAGGGGACTCAGTTCCAAGGCCTTTTAATTTCCTTTAGATCAACGTGCTCAGTATGCCAAGGCACCATGCTTTGAAGTCTCCTTTTCTGAGCCCCAATACCCTCTTTTGACAAGATATACCACATGATAGAAAAACAAGCCCCTATAGTGAAAGGAGTCCATCTGAATGTCATAGAATGCTTCCAAGGTTGACATTTAGATTTTCCTTAGCCGTACGCAGTCATGCTTCAAAGGCCTTTTAAATTAACCACTTACAAGGAATTGATGAGCACCTGAGAAAATGATTTGGAAAATAGGAATAGATTAAATATTTAAAAAAGCTTTATCAGTGAGGTAATGAACTCAAGCTAGGCAAATGCAACATTAGGGAAAAAATAGAAAAGAAGGGCTCATCACAAAGAAAATTCTGTGTGACCAGATGAATGTAGGGCAATGACAATAGCTCAACTGCAAGGAAATACCCTTGACAACTATAGAACATATTTCATTTCATATTGTAATATGAATTAAGCCTCTACAGAATCACTCATTGTGGCAAATTTTATTTTCCAAAGATGGTCACAACAATATCTTCTATCCCATATTCTTCTCTTCCATGTAACCCTGCCACTTTCCTACCAAGTGGTAGGATCTACGTCCTCTCTCCTTAAATCCGGTGGGCTTCTGAAAGCTTCAACAAATAGAGCATATGGAAGACATGCTACATGCCTTCCAAGGTTGTTGTAAAATGCAACACAGCTTCTGCCTTGCCTGATGAAATATGTGTGCTTGGAGCCCTCGGTCACCATGCAAGAAGTGCAACTACCCTCAGGCCACTATGCTGAAAGGGAGCCAAACCACATAGAGAGGACATTTTCCTGCAAATGAGGGATTTTTCACACATTATAAACAATCCTTTATGCATGTATCAATGCTTACAACATCCCAGAAGGTAGATTTTATCCTCATTTTATTGACAGCAAATTAAGGCTTAGGGGGTTAAGTGGTTTGCTGGAAGCCATGCAAGCAGGAAATTGCAGAACCGAGATTTGAACCATGTTGTTCTGATTCCACAGCTCCAGTGATCCCACTTCTCACTGCTTTAATAAGCAAGAGCAAGTGTTATTGCAGCAGCAAATTATTTGGACATGACTCCTTCAAAACCAGAATAAACTCTACTTTATTTACTAATTCTACAAATATTTATTGAGTACCTCCTATATGCCCAAATTTGAGTAAACACAGACTAAAAAGTAACTTGAAGTAAAACACTTGGCTTGGTATAAGATTAATCATATTATCAATAAACTGTTAATTGTTTCTGCATTTCAAAATTGAGCAGGACATTTTTTTAATTCCTGATCTGATAAATGAGATTAAATTCTCCAATATTAATAAGAATGCTTCATTTGGCCTACTTCTTACTATTGATTAGAATAATTTACAGCGTGGTAAGAGTAGATGTTAATTTCTGCAAATCTGATAGCAATACAAATAAATTTTATCCAAGTAAAGATGCAAATGATTTCTGTGCAGGAGAAAAGAAAAGCTCAATGGTTACAATTGTATTATCCTGACTGGTAGTAACCATTTTAAAAAGCTAATCTAGCAATCTTATGCTGGCATTCTTTCAGTGCCTATTTTAGAACCAACTTTGCCACTCTGCGGTTTCTCTTTTTGATGAGTTAAACAAATCTTTGATACATGCTTGCTTTAGATTTCTGCAAGAGTTAAGTTTTTAACTTTTTGAAAATTATCTTTCAATACAACAAATACGTACCGTCTTATGTGTCAGGCAGTGTAGTGTACAATGGAATTACAAATGTGAAAGTAAAAGAAAATAAAATCTCTGCAGTTATGGAGCTTGCTTTATGGTAGGGAGCTTAATTTGCCCTGGCTCCTCAAAACTAGTGCTCCCTGGAAAAAATAAGTGCACTTCTGGTTTCACATCTTAAGAAAACAAATGTGAGAAATGTCCAGAGAATGAAAGAAAATAAAGATCTTTTAAAAATATTTTTTCCATCTGAGGAATAGCAACTGAGGGATATAAGAAATGGAATAGGAAATAATAGCGTTTCAAAGCCATAGAACCTGTAGATCTACAGAGAATGGATAAGATATATACATCTCTTAATGAAATGACAGGATGTTTGAACTCTTGTAAAAGAAGTTGGAGAAACTACTAAAAGGAAAAAACACTTTTTTCTAAAATGTTAGAACATCTTACTCCAACATAAATTACAAGCTGAAAAGAAAAATAGGGACAAAACTTTTATTTGTTTTGTTTTCTAAATTCATTTTTAATGTATAAGGGGAAAGTCAAGGACTATGTATCATTCAACTTCAGCATTCCATAGAATGCATTAGCTGTGTCCTCCAGTAAAATGGCTTATGGTGCCATGATCAAAGTCAGACACTGTATTCATGAACCACGATTGACCTTGTATGTAGGAAAGAACTGAACCTTCCCTAAAGAGAGGTCTGGCCTTTGTCCTTGGCTCCTGAGAGATAATCTCTAAACCCTTGTAATGCCTGATTAATGTGCAAAGAGTAACAGTGTGATTTAGAATGGGGGCTTCAAGCCACACCAACAATATGATTTGGGTGGGAGCTTTGGGACACATGGTATCAGTTGACCACTGGAGGAAAGGAGTCAGAGGTCAGCCGCATGGGCAGGTCAACCCTATTTTTGTGATCAAGCCCCAATAAAGACTCTAGACACTAAGGCTCAGGCCCCGGTTGGCAAAATTTCATGCATCTTGTCACACATGATAGCCAGGAGACATTGACACTATCCATGACTCCATGAGCAGAGTCCACATGTGGAATTTTCCTAGACTCTGCCCCATGCTAATGTTAATCTGTATGATTTCCTGTAGTAAACTGTAACTGTGAGTGTAACAGCTTTCAATGAGTTCTTTGAGCCCTTCTAGCAAATTACTGAAACTTAGCATGGTCTTGGGAACTCCAAAACTCATAAATGGTGTCAGGAATGAGGAAAGTATTGTAGACTATGTTCCCTAACTTTACACTTATATCATAATTCTTAGGTTCCTGTGTCTTTAGAAGAAAAATGAAGATACTAATCTTCATTAGTGTCTTTAGAAGAAAAATGAAGATACTGATGTTTACTGATCTTTGGTTAAATATTGATTATCCAGTGTGTATAAAGTACTGGATAGCACAGGGAGATACCAAAGAAATAATAAATAAGGTCTCTAACCTTTTAAGACTTAACATTTGTGATGGTTAATTGGTATGTGTCAACTTGACTGGGCTAAGGGGTGCCCAGATAGCTGGCAAAACATTATTTTTGGGTGGTCTGTGAAGTGTTTCTGGAAGAGATTAGCATTCGAATCAATAAATTGAGTAAAGAAGATTGTCCTGAGCAATGTGGGTGGGCATTGTCCAATCCACTGAGGGCTCAGATAGAAAGGAAGAGGAAGGGCAAATGTGGTCTCTTTGTTTGAGCTAGGACATCCATTTTTCCCCTGTCCTCAGACACTGGGACTCCTGATTCTCTGGTCTTTGAACTCAGACTGAATTACATCACCAGCTTTCCTGGTTCTCTAGCTTGCAGACAGTAAACTGTGGGACTTCTTAGCTTCCATAATTATGTGAGCCAATTCCTAGAATAAATATCTTTATCTCTATCTATCTATCATCTATCTGTCTATCTATCTATCTATCTATCTATCTATCTATCTATCTATCTATCCATCTATCTATCTAGTCTCCTATTGGTTCTGTTTCTCAGGAGAACCACAACTACTGCAACATTTTAAAGAAGAAAAATTTAAAGTGCAAGGTGAGTTGACCTCTGAGGTTAGATTCACAGCCAAATTGACCCTGAGTCATCAGATTATTTGGCAAGGCAATATACATGTGGCATTAGTCCGTGATGAGGCAGCAAGATGAACAGTTGAGAAGTAACATAATTCTGGAGATGTAAATTCATCTGCCAGCCTCTCAGTCCTCAAAAGCAGGAGTGGGCAAAGGATGGCCCATGGGCCATATCTGGCCTACCACCTGTTTTTATTAATAAAGTTTCATTGTAACAAAGCCATACTTATTAATTTAAGTATTGTCTGTGCCTGCTTTCTACTATAACAGTAGAGTGAATAGTTGCAATTGAGATCGTGCAGGCCACAAAGCCTAAAATATTTAGTAGACAGACCTTTATTTTTAAAAGTTTGCCAACTTCTCTGGTGTAGAGCCATTTCTAGGCCAGATCAGTTATTTTTGCTAAATTGTTAATGGCTAATGATAGGTTAATGTATTAATATTCCCATGTAATATAGCTATATTCAGAAAGAGGATTCTTGGAGACATAATCTTTTAATTTGAAACAGTATTGCAATGATAGAAATTTTAGGCACCAGGGTAAGTGGTAAGAGATATACTCGAGGATATATCCCCAGTTGGCAGGGGACAGTTCCACTCCAATTAAGCCTGTTGTCCAGGGACAATTATTAATAGTGCCCACTTTCACGCTCACAAGTGTCTTTGAATAGCAAATTCTAGGCAGGCAGGCCATTGGCTGCTCCTCAAAGCATCAGACAACTTATATTTTTAAAAAGAATTGAAAATATAATGCATTCAAAGAGAAAATTGTTTATAGTCAGATACCTGGGTTAAAAAATAAAACAGCAAAAACGGCTTAAATATTTGGATATAATTTAACGGGATATATAGAATGACATTGCAGAAATTATGACCAATACCAAATAGGTGAAGGCATAAATAAAATAGAATAGAATTTATGCTTTATTCCTGACTTGGACCAATTATATAATTCTTAGTTTTATTAATTTTAAAAGTTTACTATCTAAATCCAACTTTGATTTTATTATACATTTACTAAATGAACATGGATTAAATAAATTAATATACACACACTAAGTAAAAAAGAGAATCTTATAAGGGAAATATCAGAAGTGGTTTCTAAATCAATGACACAAAACAACTGGTTTCAAGCTTCCTTTGCTGCTGATCAGCCCTGATTATTGCACCCTGGGGAAGGGAGTGTACCTGCCAAGTGAAGTAAACAAAACATCTCCCTGCTTGTTCTTTGGAAAAGCTCCATGGACAGAAGTCTTTTTGATTTGGATATTTATCAAGTGCTAGTTGGTCTGGCTTCTCTCTGTTCTTTTAACTTAAAAACAAGTTAAAAAAATAAAAACTATACTCAAATAGATATTCCGGGCACCAAAATAAAAATTATCTACTAAGTAATCATGATTTTTGTTTTCTAATTTTCTGAATCTCTATTTTTCTATAAGAGGACTACTCAAAATGGCAAAAGAATGAATTAAATAGGCCAAGTGTGGTGGCTCACACCTGTAATGCCAGCACTTTGGGAAGTCAAGGTGGGTAGATAACTGAGATCAGGAGTTCGAGACCAGCATGACCAACATGGTGAAACCCCGTCTCTATTAAAAATACAAAAATTAGCCACGCATGGTGGCATGCACCTGTAATCCCAGCTACTCAGCAGGCTGAGGCAGGAGAATCGTTTGAATCTGGGAAGTGGAGGCTGCAGTGAGCCGAGATGCACCACTGCACTCCAGCCTAAGTGACACAGCAAGACTCTGTCTCAAAAAAAAAAAAAAGAAAAAGAATGAATTAAACAATCATCTCTTACTATGCTTCTTAATAAATCTCTTACTTATGCCAATTTACTCTAATCATTTATTCATGCAGTCAGCATTTATCAAATACTTAGTGCACCAAGCACTGCTATAGGCTCTATAAACACCAAGGGGCACAAACCATATCCTATCCTTGAGAAACTCACAACACAGTACAGAGAAGCAAACAGTTCACAAATGTTTCACCACAATGTATGTCCAAAATGCTACCAGTGCACAGAGGAAGGTGTTAAGGAAGTCTTCATGTGAACTGTGTGACAAGCAGGAACGCTCTAGGCTGACAAGTGGGGGAAGTTTCCCAGGCTGAGGGAACAAATCAGTTCGTTCTGGGAGAAAATAGAGAACTCTCAAAAGAGTTTAACTGAACATAATTCAATAAAGGGGCAAGCTATAGAAGTGTGGGTAGGGTGAAAAGAAGCCCATAAGGAATGGTGAGGCACCCAGGCACTAGCAACTTTGGAAAGCAGTTAATACTCCTAGGTCTGAGGTTACACAAGAGGGAGGGAGGGGAGAAGGGAAGGGTGATTTTGAGATCCTGGAGGTGATTTTGATATCCATGTGAAGAGAAGCCATGGAAAGATCTAGCCACCACTAGAACTGGTAAACAAGGAATGAGGAAAATAACTACACCCAATGTCTTTCACTCCTCTGGCCCTTAAATCTTCTGCTCATACCTTCTATTTGTCAAACCCAACTGGCAGCCAGAGGACAAGAAAGCCCAAGTGGTGTGGTAAGCAAAGATCAGCCCTCAAGGGCACTGAGGTAAAGACAGAAAGACCAACCATAGGTAGTTGGGGAGTGGAGAGGTTCCAGAGAGTAGCCAGTAGAGTTGACAATGTTGAACTTTACCTGAGCTCTGTGCTCCCCCAAAATAGTAATGATAAAGAAATCTCCCTATCACTGTTCCAGAATTGGCTATCCTCAACAGACCACTCTGCCCTAGCACATTTCAAAATAAGACATTTCTCCATCCTTCCTCATGACTCCTGTAAGGCTCATGAATGATGTAGGTAACTCCCTTGTCTATACGTTTCTGTGAAACCCCATCTTTTTCTTTGAGATGTTCACCATTAATGAGCATTCTCCCTATTGCAATAGCCAGATGAAATGATCTTCATTGTCTGGTGCATTTTGTCTTTCACTGGGACTATTTGCACAAAGATATGCATCTTTTGTGTTAATAGGCTAGTACATGCTTAGGCTGACCATGGGGAGGTGGGGTAGAGGTGAAGTAAAGGATAGAGCAAGGCTGAGGACCAGAGAGGAGAACCGCAAGTTAAGTTAGAAGCAGAAGTGATGGGCCTTGAATGTTGGGTAGTGTGAGCATTATTATACAAGCAATAGACAACTACCAATGTTTTGAATCATAGGAGAGGCCAGTGCATGTTTAAAAAGAAGCAGTAATTGAAAAGAAGAGTGCCCTCTTTGCAAGCAAGAAATGAGTCAGGAGAAAAATGTCCTAGTGAGAGATCAGTAAAGACACAGTGAAGAAGGTGGTAGAAAGAGTGAGAAGGAAGGGCTAGAAATGATGTTTCAAGGTAGAAGCAACAGATCATAGACACAAGTGAATGTAGAATAGTGAGAACGACTTAGAAACTACTCTACAGTTTTTAGCTTGAGTTACTTACTAAATGGTGATGGTTCTATTGGCTAAATAGGAAATATCAGAGGTGGAGAAGATTTGGGATGGGATGTAATGGAGATGGACAGTGGGGTTAGGGGTTCAGTAGTTGAAGATTATATAAATATATATATGCATACATATGTTTATTTAACATATAAATGATTAATGATGTGAGTTGATTTACTATATTGATATACAGTTATTAATAAAATGAGTTAATATGTATGAACAAGTAATATGATACATTAATGATGTGAGTGTGTGTGTGTGTGTGTGTGTATATATAGTACTATATATGCACATTTTTTCAGTTAATATAATTGGCCCTCTTTATCCATGGGTTCTGCATCCACAACCAAATGCAGGTCGAAAATACAGCATTCAGGGCAATGTGAAACCTGCAGATACAGAAGGCTGACCTTTCATATCTGTGGGTTCTGCAGGGCTGACTGCAGGACTTGAGTGTGCATAGATTTTGGTATCCATGCGCTGTCCTGGAACCAATACCCAACAGATACTGAGGGATGACTGTGTATATAACAATAATAGTTTGGGTAATCATCAGAGGATTTTTTTTTAAATACTCTCCACTTTGCACACTAGAAAAACACTTGGAGCAAAAATCAAACTGAATTTAAGTGGGCTTCTTTATAGGGAGAAGGAAAATCAAAGAAGGAAAGGTAGGGAAATGGAAAGTAAGTGATATAGAAAGCAAAGGCTGAGGCAATTTTTGCAACTCACTTGAGAAGGAGGGCACTGAATTACGGACTGCCCCAGAACAATCGGAGGATGCTCGCCCCATCTCTTCCCCTTGAGTGTAGGATTCAGGAAGACTGTCTAGTTCATTGGCTTAACTGTATGTACATTTACATAAGGACCAAGGAGCTAAGGAGGATATAAGAAAACAAGTGTGCCTAGCTAGCTTATGCTTCACAGTTTTGTAAAGAAACTCCAGACACTAGCCAGGTATTTATAAGCTTAGTTAGAAAGTACTTCGTAGAGTTCTTAACAACGAAATAGCTGCCAGCCATCAAGATGATACATGAGAAGAGAACACTTGTAAAAACTAGGACTTGAGACAGTGCCTTAGGACATAAGATTAAAATGTCTACATTCACTTTCCTTGACTACACACAAAAATAAATAGAAATAATAGTAAATGCATGAGCTGGAAAGAACTAAGAGAAGTGATAGGAATTGCTTAGACAGGTTCATAGGATGGAATAACAGTAAGCAGGGAATATTCAGTTCAAGGAGCTAAATAGTTCCTAATGTTAACAGCAGCAGCCAGCTATGGAGCAATCTTTCCTTCTTCCCAGTCTAATGGAAAATGCCATTGACAAAATCACTTAAAATCAATGGACTGAAACACTTAAGAGAAGCAAAAGGGTGCAAAATATTAATTTTGTCAGGAGAAAGGGCTAGAACAGCATTCCTCATTTCTATTTTTGGCATCCATTCAGTAAACTGAACAGTTTACACCTGAGTGCCTAGCTTAAAGACCACAAATGCAGTTTCTAAACACAGAGTTAAGATCTTGGTGAATCAAAGCTTCTACAACCAGAATTAATTTTTTCTCCCTTATTCCCTTCAAATATAAAGGCCATAAAACATAAATTTGCAATAAGCAGTTTTTTTAAGTATTAGAATCACAAAATACAAATAGAACTTTTGTTTTCAGGAATTATTCTAATAAAATAGAAATAAAACTTACTTTTGGAGGGAGAAACTTTTATTTTCCTGAATGATACTGTTTTGTTTTCTAATTATAAAAGTAGTGTACAGAATGCCAGTAGAGATGGTGCTATAAGTTCATGCTTTTACACATCTGATCTTTTCCAAAAACAGAGCAAAGACTGATAAAACACAGAGGAAATCAGAAAGACATTTAGAGATTGAAAGGAAGAGAGAAGAAAAGGAGAGGGAAAGGGAGGAGAAGGGAAAGGAGGGAAAAGATCTCTAAAGTCACAAGCCTGAAGACATGTAGGCCTGCTGAACTCCAAGTCCAGAAACAGGCTGGCAGTGATGGTCGGAATTTCAGCTCCTGCTGGGGTGTGGGAAACAGGTGACCCAGCTTCACCCCAAGAAACTGAACCAAGCTGCCTCTAGCTTGGTGTAATATTACTACATAGCAGGAAATCTGAGCCACCAGAATAAGTCTTGGTTTTTGATTAGGGGTCAGGAAGCTGGGCAAACTATTAGACAGGTAGGAAAGAGGGCAAGAGAGAAAGAAAGAAAGCAATGGCATAAGCAAACAAAAACACTCTCCCATCCAAATCAGCTGCAATCCCAAATTCAAAAACACATAATTAATACAAACAACTAAATCAACAACCTACATAATTGGACAAAAAATACTGAAGAATCTGTTAAGCTAAAAATTTGAACACACCCATAATCAGAGATTGATAGATGAAGAATAGAAAAGTATTAAGAATATAGATGACTTGGACAACATTTCATTCTTGATTAACGGGGTCTTAGGAAACGTCGGCTGGACAAGCCGTTAAAAAAGAAAAAAAAAAAAGATTTTCCTCAGCTGGGTGCGGTGGCTCATGCTTGTAATCCCAACACTTTGGGAGGCCAAAGTGGAAGGATTGCTTGAGCACAGTGGTTTGAGACCAGCTTGGGCAACTAGTGGAACCTCATTTCCACAAAAATTAGCTGGATGTGGTGGTGTGCACCTGAAGTCCTAGCTACTTGAGAGGCTGAGGTGGGAGGATCACTTGAGCCTGGGACGTCAAGGCTGCAGTGAGCTGTGATGGTGCCACTGCACTCCAGCGTAGGTGACAGAGTGAAACCCTGTCTCAAACAAACAAGCAAACAAACAAAAAGGATTTTGCTCCCTGAGAGAAAAGAGAGGGATGTGAAAAGAAGTTTCTCTTTCTTCTCCTGGACACAGTTATGTGTGGACGTGCTGCCTAGTGCACTATAAAGGGAAAAGCCAGCTGGTGATGGCCAACCACTGAGACAAACAGAGGGCAATGGACAGAGCCTGGGTCCCTGATCACATCATCTGGCTGCTGCGTCATCCCCAGAACCACCTCCTGGAGACTTCTAGTCATGTAAGTTAATAAATGTTCTCAGTGTGAAAGCCACTTGCCCTTGAATATTCTGTTACCTGCAGGAGTCACCCAAATTGATCCATAAATTAGATACATTTCAATCAAAATCTATACAGAGTTTTCATGGAATTTGCTAAGCTGCTATTAAAATTTTATGGAAGAATGACAGGTCAAGAATAAGCAAGCCAGTTTTAAAGGGGAACAACACTGAGGACTTGGCCTATCAGATATCAAAATGCATTACAAAATTACAGAAATTCAGATAGATACTGGTGCAGAAATAAACAAATAGACCAGCAGGACAAAATTGTGAGCTCAGAAACAGACCCAGGTATATATGGAAACTATAATTTTGAAGTGCCACTACAAAGTGGAGGCAAAACAGTTCTAAGACAATTGGTTATACACATACTGCTTTATACCCCACACAAAAACATTCTAGATGGATAAAAAAGACCATGCATACCAAATGGATGTAAAAAGATATACAATAATGCCATTATAGCTAAAGGTAGATAAAGATTTTTATAACAAAACCCTTAAAGCAAAAATCAAAAAAGGAGGTTAATAAATTTGACACATTAAAATTAAAATATTCCACAAATATACCTGTTGAGAGAGGCAATCCACAAAACCAAGCCATGCATGTCAGGACTTTAAGGCCCTAGTTCAGTTCTCAGGATTGTATTTGCAGTGAGCAAACCTGGGAGATGAAGTAACATCTTTCCACAGACAAACATCAGGCTTGATACCACTCCACAGAAAAGGGATATATTTCCCAAGCACAGTGTTGTAATACGACCTCTTCTGTAATATGACCCAGTGCATGTGCATGCCCATACCCACCTGTTGCACCTGTGGAACTTGGAGAACATGGGGAACCAGCACCATTGTTATGGTTTACAATATAAGGTTTACATTTGTATCTACAAGTATATGCTCCACTGTTTTTAGCCTTACTTCGATATTTAAATACATTCAATACTCAATACCCATCTTACTTATCCCAACTTCCCCACTCATCACCTGCTTGGCTAGATTTCAAACTCTCATACTTTTCAGGAAGGGCTTCTTAGAACTACATTTGCTGTGCTCTTCTTTGTATATTTGAAAATATCTCTCTGCAACTTGTGTAATTGTCTATGAGTTTGGCTTTAAATTTTGGATTTAAAATTATAGGGTCACATTTTCTTTCCCTGAGGACTTTGTAGATATTGCCCATTGTCCTCCAGCACAGGAGACTGCAACTAGGTAGTCTAACATCAGAATGAATTTTCCTGCAATAGATGCTTTGATTTTTTTGTGTGTAAATGCCCATATGCTTTTTTCAACATCTTTGAAGTCTATTAACACCAAATGTGTTTCAGTGCTAAGCAGTCGGTATCAGTTTTGCCTGAAATGGTGTGTTCCTTCAGTCTGTAAATCCAAGATTGCCTTTATTTCAGTAAAATGTCCTAGTGTTATAATTTTGAATGTTTTTTTTTTCCTGTTCCATTTGCCATGTTCTCTTTAGAGTTGCCCAGAATACTTAGTTTGGACCTCTGTTATTCTGATTCCATTTTTATCATTCTCCTTTTTTAATGCTTTATTATTATCCATTTTATTTTCAATTTTATTATTTGTGTGCCTAAAAGTATTTTAGAAGTATTATTTCTTCTTGTTTTTAATCTAGTATTCCTTTCTGTGCAGCTACATATTTTTCTTCTACTTTTTTTCAAGTTCTACCAACCCAGTTTCTTATCTTTTATACTGCTTATCATTTATTCCTTAAGCTTTTGTATCTCTTTCTTGAACAACTTTATTTTTCCTGAGAGATCTTATTATTTTTTATCTCATTTCATGGAAAACTTTAAGCATTTTTCTGGTGTGTGTTTTTCACTTGGCTTTTGTTTTCACATCCCTTCCTACTTCTTTTTTTGGAGTATCTTTGCATGAGCCCCTGCTAGTGGCTCTTTGTTGTGTGTTAGTGTTTAAATGAATAATGGATGGGGAGGGTGAAGTCAGGGGAATGATTTAGGGTGGCTGCATTTGAATTTCAGTTTATTGTCTTTGAGTGTGTTCTCACCAACACTGCTCTGAGCAGCCATTTCAGCTTCTGCCTGGTGAGAAGTCTCCTGTGCTTACTGTAAAGTCCAATATGACATAGATATTTTTGTGTAATGAATTAGCCTTCAAATATCTTCATCTGGCCAAGATAAGCAGCTGCAGGGTGACTTGCCATTTGTGTTCCTATTTATCCTGATACATCAACAGCCTTGTTTCCAGGATGACTTGTCTGCAACTTTCCTTGTTCCACTCACCCTGGCCACACCTTCTGCCAATCTATGGCAGCAAGGAGGACTCAAGAAACATCCCCGAGCCTGCCCAGGCACCTGCTCTTACTGTTTCAAGCAAGTATACATGACTTATTTTGGTGAACATTGTGCTCTACCCAAGATGGCTGAAGGGAAGTAACCTCACTCAGCCTTTTATTAAATACTTCATCTTATCTAATTTCTACTGAATTAAGTAGCCCTCCCAACCTTATATGGGGTGGAAGTGGAGTGATGACTTGTGGCATGGGGTTATGAGAACTTCTTTTGTGGATTATGGAGTCTGCATGTCTTGTCCTGGGTCCAGATTGGTCTTTAATTGCTAAAAGATAAATCCATTTAGCAAATCCTCTCTCCTGACACCCTGACTTTTAAGTTTGTTCTCTTGCTAAGAGGTTGACTACCTGCCCTTTCCTTCCATGAGATGATAAACTCATGACTCCTTCTGGAAGAGAAGATACAAGAAAATATGACTCAAAAGGAGAAAATTCAAAGCTCTGTCAATTTAATAGTTGTGAAAATGTAATCTCATTTATGTACCCATGTTCTGATAAAAACAGCTTCTTTTTATATATGTTGTTTCTCCCCTTTATTATTCACCTAAAATTATATCAAAGACATTGTTTCTATGAATATAGTCATATATCATTGTTTTAAAACACTACATAGAATTTCATTAAATAAACTTCTATTGATATTTGAATTATTTACATTTTCACTACTATAGGAATGCAGTAAGTATCCTTATATACTCATTTTGGTCTCATCTCCATCCATTTCCTTATTCTAAATTTTAAGAGGAGGAGTTGCTGGGTGCAAAGGTTACCCCTTTTTCAAGTTAAAATATATTTTCAGCTATTCGGGAGGCTGGGGCAAGAGAATTGCTTGAACCCGGGAGGCGGAGGTTGCAGTGAGCCGAGATCATGCCACTGCACTCCACCCTGGGCCTCCAGCCTGGGTGACAGAGCAAGACTCCATCTCCAAATATATTTTACCAAACTTATGACCATAAAAGTTATCCCAACTTAAGTTCCCATATCAGTAATGAGAAAGTCAATTTTCTAATGCCCATACTCACACTGGTTATTATAATTATTTTCAAGCTTTACCAATCTGATGGCTGAAAAAATCATAGAGCTGTTTGAAAGTGCTTATTCTCATCAGAATTGAATGATTGTTCTAAAGAGCCTTTACCTACCTAGTGAATAAAACATATTAACCAGTATTTTTGCATTTGATTTTTTAACATTGAATCTTTGATTCTTCTGAAGTTTACATTGGCATTACAGAAATAAGGCAAAAAGCTGGGTACTCATTTTTCAATGTTATAAGACGGCAAAGGATTATCTAGAACAGTGGTCTGTAAACCCTTGTCTGCTAGTCAAATCTGATCTACTACCTATTTTTGTCAATAAAGTTTTATTGCAACACAGCCATGCTCATTCTTTATATGTATTGTCTATGACTGCTTTTGTGTTATAATGGGCCAAGTTGAGTAGCTGCAATAGAGACTGTGTGACTTGCAAACCCTAAAATATTTACTCTCTGGGCATTTACAGAAAAAATTGCCAATTTCTGATCTAAGAAATGTACTTAGTTCCTTCCTCTCACTGGTTAATACAGATAAAAGACTCCAGATTTAGTGAAATTACATGTTAACTTGTACCTTTCTCTGGTAGAGATACAAGTCATTCTCTCCAAAAGAAAAGATAATCTTGAAGATTATAGTTTATGGCTTAGTTTTGTCTTTAACCAGTATTGTTTTTAACCTTGAAATTGTATCTTAACATTGCCCATAAACACCTAACTTTTCAAGTGCTCTTTGGACTGGTTTTAACGTCATATTGGCTCCCTCATACATTAATGAGTTTAAAAAATCTTCAACTTGCATTTATTTTATATTTATATGAATCATAATTTTGCCTTTTATAAAATTATATTTTTATAGGTATGAACTAGAAATCCAGCTTCTTACGGTTTTTTTCCAAATTGCCAGCCATTTGCTTCCAAAACATTCATAGAATAATACATCATTCTCCCCATCTATCTAATTGTTATATATGTGGATTGAATACAAGATAACTAATTAGAGAATATAATTTGCATATTGATTATAGATTTAAAAGTTCACAGATACAGCTATACAAAAAAGTAACATATTCTTTTTCTATAACTCAACTAAATTTATCTGCTTAAGCCTCAAGTCTGCTTATTGGCAGAAGACAAAAGAGATTACTCCAGTTAAACTCAGCCACTTCAGGTTTTCTCAGTCATTTCAGATTTAGACTCATTTAATACTGAAATTTTCACCAAGGAGACATGCACCTTTCTGGGTGCTTGGAGGAGACATGGCTGGCCTGCAGTCACCTGCTCACCCAGACTGGCCTCTGTTCTGAGATAAGAAGGCCTTGCTGGCCCTCAGCACAGTCATTCCTAACACTGGATATGCATAAATATCCACAGCCCCTCCAGGACTAGGTCACAACCCTGTCCCTTCCTCATCCTGACAGCCAGGCTTCTTCAGGCCCCAGCCCTCATCTGTTAATGTCTGCCAGGAAATGGGAAAAGTTGCATTTGCCTCTCATGCTCCTTTGGGACTCTAGAAAAGCTGTCAGGCTCTCACTGCCTCTTACTGCCTCTGACATTGTCACCTCTTTTTTCCTGCCATGATGCCTGGGGGAAGTTTCAACTCCCCCCACCTGCTCTCCAATGCCCACCACCACCACTATACGGAGAATTGAGTCTGGGAGCAAGGTTAGGAAGACTGACAACCTCACATTTATTATTCTCCTCTCCACCTCTCCTCCCTTAGTCCAGGCAATCCAAGAATGGGATAGTCTAGGGCTTCATCTATTCTCTTTTCATTCTACTGTTTTGTTCATAATTTTAGGTTCTGATTCATTCAAGCCTTTAGGAAAAAGTTTTGGTTTTCCAGAATAACCCTGCTATAAATTTTATATTATTTATTTATTCATCTATTTATTGATTGATTGATTTTCGGAGGTGTTGTTTCACTATTTTGCCCAGGCTGTCCTTGAACTCCTGGGCTCAAGCAATCCTCCTGCCTCAGCCTCCTGAGTAGCTGGGACTGTAGGTGCATGCTACTGTGCAAAGCCCTGCTATAAATTTTAAAAGCCCGTTTTGGAACCTAAAAACCCATTTAGCTGTTCCTGTATTATGAGTAATTCCTCCCCTGAAGTAACATACCACATGCTTACTGTCAAGTTGGGGAGGGGTGTGGACAGGGGGACTTCCCTTAACCCCTTGATATCAATCTTTTTTTCCTGAAATTTTTGTTTTATGTTATGTAGATAACTATTGGTTATAACACATCTAAAAATGGAACTAGCACTTTGCATAAGGAAAAGCTCTTTGGTGTTTATCATAAATACCAGGGGCATCAGAGGTGATGAAGACTGTCTAAGAAGCATCCTGCTAGTGATATGTTCATTGATAATAATAAGGAAAGAAAGGTCATAAGTAATATGGAAAAGGTATAATTGTGGATTTGCTTGGTAATATTGAGATCTTATATGGATTCCCTTATTATTATAAAAATATACCTATTATTGAAATATTTCCAGTAAAAATAACTTTGTCAAGTTTGAAAATCTTCTAATACAGTAGATTAGAAGGGTGGTCATTCTTGCTAATCTTCTAACTTGGACTAGTTTTTATGGTGTGGTCTAACTCTTTGGCAGATGACCAAAAATGTACAGATGATGGAAGTTGATATTGAATGTGGGGGCAGAGATAAACAGTTTCCTGTTTATCCTGGCTTCTTCTCCTGAATGTGGTGGGACTGTTTCTAGTATCCTTTCTATAATTTCTACTGTACAACTTGGGTGGTGCACAGAACTGTGACACCTACAAGCCTAAAGGTTTGAGAAGCCTTTGGTGAGAAGTGTATTAAAGGAATGCCTAGTGTTGGTAAGTTTTCTGCTGGGGATGCCACATAAATAGATACCTTTACCCCAAACTTCTCCCACCACCTCCACAGGCAGCAGACTTGCCAAAAAGTCTTCACTGCTTCTGGAATAATACTGAGCAGATTAATATTTTTTTTCACCTGGTTCACTTTTAACCTTTAGAGTTCATCCGTATGGTGTTACAGGAGCTCATTCTCACTATAAACTAAAAATAAAATCCTACTCTAACTGAACAGACCCCCTCTTGGCCAAGGGGACCCAAGAAAAACCTTAAAAACTGAATTCCTGGCCATAAATGGAAGGAAAGTCGAATAGCCTCCTCATTATTCACCCTCCGTTTTGGAGTTCATACACAGCTGAGCAGCATTAATGTTCAAATAGAGATCATAAGACTCACGAAACAGACTCTTTGTGGCAATAATATACCAAATTATAAACAAGACCTAACACCATGTAAGGCAAGGGTTAAGTCATTCCTGCAGGCCACCAATCTTGCTACATAGCATCCTTATCTTAATTTAAAACATTCCTTTCTGCTGACTCTAAGTTCTAGATAGAGCCTTACTCCTTTAATCAACTGCAAATTAAACAATCTCCAAACCTACCTGTAACCTGTAAGTCCCTGCTTCAAGATATCCTGCCCTTCGGACCAAACCAATATACACCTTCCATGTATTGATTTATGTCTTTGCCTGTAACTCCTGCCTCCCTAAAATGTATAAAACCAAACTGTGATCCAACTACCTTGGGACCACTTATTCAAGGCTTCTTCTGTTTGTATTTTCCCTGGGCCACTGTCACTCATATTGGCTCAGAATAAGCCTGTTTACCTATATAACAAACTTGCACATGTATACTTGAACTTAAAATTAAAAAAAAAAAGGAGTGAGTTTCATATTTCAAGAGATGCTTTTTTGGAGGTGCTCTGAGGGACTTGATGACAGAGAAAACTTTCAATAATAAGTCTACAAAATACACAAGGTAACAGAAACAATTATCCATTTAAAAAATGCTATTCTGGGCCGGGTGCTGTGGCTCACACCTGCAATACTAGTACTTTGGGAGGCCGAGGTGGGTGGATCAACTGAGGTCAGGAGTTCGAGACCAGCCTGGCCAACATGGCGAAACTCTGACTCTACTAAAAATAACAAAAATTAGCTGGGTATCGTGGTGGGTGCCTGTTATCCCAGCAACTCAGGAGACTGAGGCAGGAGAATTGCTTGAACCCAGGAGGTGGAGGTTTCAGTGAGCTGAGATCGCGCCATTGCACTCCAGCCTGGGGGACAGGGCGAGACTCCACCTCAAAAAAAAAAAAAAGCTATTCTGCCTTTAAAAAGAATAACATTTTGTAATTTCAAACAACATGAATTAGCTTGAAGGATGTTAAGTGAAATAAGCCAGGTACAGAAAGACAAATACTGGATGATCTCACTTATTTCTAGAATTTAAAAAGTTGAACTCATAGAAGAAAAAAGTAGAATGGTAGTTGCCAGAGGCTAAAAGTAAAAGTGAGTAGACAGTTGTTGGTCACAGTGTACAAGTTTCGTTAGATAGAAGGACTATGTTTTTGATTATACATATACATTACAAATTATACATTAATAATTATCCCACAATATATACATGTATCAAAACATCACACTGTATACCAGAAATACATAAAATTATTATTTATCAATTAAAATTTAGAAAATTAGAATTTAAAAAATCAAAAAGCCAAAACAAAACAAAAATAAAATATTTTATGGAGTTTGGTTTTTCCATCAATATCACTTTGGAGGGGGATGGGTAAGAAAAGAGAAGAAATGATGAGGAGTGGTTCAGAATTTTCTGCCCCAACATTAGTCTTAGAATGTTCAGCAGTGATAGCAAAGAGGCCTTTTGAACTTTCAGTAGAATACCAGCCAGCGCTGTTATCGTTTGTACCATCTACTCTATCTAGATGGTGTATTTTGATCACTCCTCTTCCTACTTTATACCATGAAGATACTGCTGTTTCTACTGCTCCCTCCAGCTCTGCCCCAACATTCTATATCAACTTCCATCATCTATATTTTTTTGGTCATTTGCCAAAGAGTTAGACCACACCATAAAAATTAGTCGAAGTTAGAAGATTAGCAAGAATGACCACGCTTAACTGGTTTAAGTTGTTTTTATATCTGTTTACAAGTGAGCTAGCAAACAGTGAGTTTGCCTGTGTCCAGATTCCAGCCTGCATACCCCAGACCCTCACCCCCAGCCACTTGCTCCCACAGGGACCTTGGGGTGGTTCAGGTTATCCTGGCAGCCAAAGCCCCAACAGTTGCCCCTTCCTGCCTTTGTTTAATGGGGGCTTCTCTGTGGCCCTGAAATCTGCCAGGTATTAATGAGCACCCCTACCACTTCCCGTTCCTTTAAGGGGCTTTAGAGTCAGGCAGTGGAGGTGACTGGCAAGTCACACAACCTTCTGAGCCTTATTTCCTCATCTATAAAATTATTATAGGATGATAGTAACACCTACCTTATAAGATAAGGATTAAAAGAATGCAAATGTTTCACAACGTTTCTGGAAACACTCCATAAGTATGGCCTATTGGAGTGTGTGTGTGTGTGCATGTTCTCCCAAGGTTCAGCTGAGATTTATACAATCACAGGATACTTTCCAGGCTATTGTTTGTGTAAACCGCACTGACTGAAACAGAAATAACCCCAATCTCTGCTAAAATCTGGGGAAACACTCCTAAACATTTTAGACATATACAGATTTTAAAAGATACTCAATATTGTAAGTCTTACAATACTTATTAAATGTCCAAAATTTACCCTAAGGTTCCTATTCTTTGAGGAAAACAAACCCAAAGGCAAAGGGAATAATCTTTTCTAAGTAAAGTGTGGCAAAATAACATTCTGTCAGGTATTAAAGCAAATAATTGCTACACAATTCCCGATCTTTGAAGCAAGTTCTCAGCAAAAATATTAAATTGCTGCCAAGGGTTTAGACATTTAACTTTCAAGAATTTAGATTGATGATGATTATTATTTCAATATTGTTGCTTATCTACCCAGCAGATTTCCCCCTGAAAGCCAAAGGGCTTAACAAAACCAGAAAGCTGGCCACAAATTGCCACGGTGAGGCAGCCCTAAGGCTCTGAACGAGATGTTTCCCTATGGAGCAGCAGGAACCCCTGCAGGGAAGTGAACAGCAGCCCCCTTCACCTGGTAAGGCTACTTTGTGCCAGAATTCGCAGGTTAACAGCAGCTGTGAAAGAACCTGGAAGCCTCCACAGGACAAATCTGCTGCAGGGAAGGGCCCAGCTTCGGTTGGCCATTCCATTCTGCTCGAGTCCAGTTTGTCTGGGCTCCAAGAGCTAAGGGTACTGAATCTCCACTCATTTGTTTGCTTCCTCCTTGCCTTAAGAAGACCATGGAGCATTCTCTGGACTGAAATCCACCCCCCGAAATGCTGAGGGCCTTACCCTTCATAGGTAAATAAAATGTGAGACAGACACTTGAGTTTATCTTCTAATGGAGCTGTGTGAGGTTGGGCAAATCACTGAACCCCTTAGTTCCTTCATCTGCAATTACAAAGGCCTGGGTTAGATCTCTAAAGTCCCTGTTAGCTTAAAAGTCTATGTTTCTAAGTTGACTGCAAAAAGAGAATGAAATACACATAAAGAAAATAAAAAACTTGTTTGATGAAAAGTTGCCCCATGGTTGAAGAGTCACGAAGAGTGAATCAAGTCACAATTTCACAAGTTTAATTATAAATAAACTCAACTTTATTCCATTCACACAGTCTTCAACTTTAAAAGATAAAAGATAACTTACTGGTGATTCGATGTCCTCTAGGAGTAAAACAGAACAGCGTTCACATTTCAGCAGAGTTTGGGCCCGATGCATTATTTTCTTGACAATTTTCTCCAGGTCAGTCTGTTCTTCAAAGAGGTCATTAACCACCTCTAGCAAAGCCTAGAAAAGATGAAATAGATGTATATAAGTGGATGTAAAACTGAAAAAAAGTTGCTTTTCTTCTTAAAATTTAATCTTTGCTTCAATAAAATATAGTAAATCTTTTTGTGTAGCTAATTTTAAAAAATTTTATGATTGTTTTGACATATTTTTATCTCTCAATTTTAGAACACATGCTTAAACTGCAAAATACAACTTGAGAATAGAGCTAGTTCTTGTAACAGGTGTGAAGATAAGTAATTCAAAACCTAAGCTATTGGAACTCTAGATTATTTTGAGTCTTAAAGGATGCTGATTATAGGGGTCACTTGAGAGGCAGGTGTAACCAAGGCAGCTATAACCCTTGTTTCTCTTGACTATAGATTAGCCTTCTTCCTTACCAAAATTGTTTGGTAAAATGTTGAAAATTACTAATGAGCACCAGAGAATACCCCTTCCCTCTTCACTGTTGATCTTCATTACAGATTAACTTCCCTCTTACTCTTCTCACACAAGGACTCCATAGCCATAACATTGCCTTAAGATGGAATGTTAAATATACTCTTTTAAATTGGAAAGAAAATGAAAACCAGCTATGAAGAAAACAAGCTGTATAGAAAAGAAAACAAACTGTAACTAATTATATTGCTATAACTCATACACCGGCCTTGTATAGAAAATGCTGAAACCCTATTAAATTTCTTTACTTTGTGCCTGTAGAAGCAGGAGCTTAACTTTTAACTTTGGAACATTTACCCCATTTCTCTGGAGTCTGTATCTCCCGAATTGGCCATTCCCAGCTTTTCACTTGAATAAACTCTTTAAAACTAGATTCTGATTATTAATATTTCAGTTTGACACAGGGATCATATAACCATTAGCTACAGGCATTTCCACTTTTCTGTAGTGATTTTTCTGCAATGCAACTAGGTACAAACCCAATATTTTGGCCGGGCGCAGTGGCTCATGCCTATAATCCCAGCACTTTGGGAGGCCAAGGAAGGTGGATCACAAAGTCAGGAGTTTGAGACCAGCCTGGCTAATACGGTGAAACCCCGACTCTACTAAAAATACAAAAAAAATTTAGCCAGGCATGGTGGCATGTTCCCGTAGTCCCAGCTACTCTGGAGGCTGAGGCAGAATTGCTTGAACCCAGGGAGCAGAGGTTGCAGTGAGCTGAGATCGCGCCACTGCACTCCAGTCTGGACAACAGAGTGAGACTCTTTCTAAAAAACAAACAAACAAACAATAACAACAAAAAAACAAAACCAAAAAACATTTTATAAATAATGAATACCTCCAAAGCACATGGATTTCAGAAACTTACAAAGCAGCTTTTCCTCACTATCAGGAAGAAACAGGTTCTTGGTCAAACTTGAGACATTTTCACTAATACACATCCCTTACATAACTCTGAAAGAATTAGAGAGGTGAATGCTAATTAAGTTTCAGATTCTTAAATATATATATATATATATGTAATTTACATTTAGTCTTTGCTAAATATAAATACATAAATTACATATATAATATAAATATATATAATATATACATACCCTTCATATATATAAAATATATATACCCTCCATATACAAAAATATACATATATACACACATACATATGTACCCTCCTTA
Source organism: Homo sapiens (assembly GCF_000001405.40). NCBI lineage: Eukaryota > Metazoa > Chordata > Mammalia > Primates > Hominidae > Homo > Homo sapiens. Next base: position 177,899,813 of record NC_000002.12, read on the forward strand.
ATTCCTCTACCCAAGAGGAAATACTGCTTTATCCCAAACTGTCCAGAAGAACATTTAGATATTTATATATCAGGAAAGAAAACACATTAATTTTTTTTTAAAACAGCAGAATGAAAAGCAGACAACTTAGAAAAAAATCTTAAGCTCTAACTTGAAAACTGTGTACTTATTTAAAAATTAAATTGTAGTAACCCGTGGTTTTCTCTAGCTAAGAAATTAGCTGCAATTTTTTTGCATTGAAATAATGTTTGTTTGCTCAGGTCAGGTATGGATTTGTGAAAAATAAAAAATAAATAATAAATAATATTTGTTTGGAATTTTTAATGGCATGGATGTTTCCAGAGATTTAAGATTAGTAGGTTATGTACAGGTGGTAGACATTATGCTTCTCTCAGAGAGCAATCAGAAAATTACATAGTCAGTGAATTGCCCAGAGGGCACTTGATTCAACAGAATGTAGAAAGAGGTGCAATCTCAAGTCTGACCTCTCACAAAAGGAATTCATGAATTGTCAAATTCACATCTATTCATCATGGTGCTGATCATCATCTCAGGGACATGACTAATTTTCAACTTCAATAATGAATTTGATTTGTCCTGAAATTATTTGAAATGTGACAATTTCTTCTCTGAATCTATTCAGGTAAAAAAGCATTTGAGTAGCTGGGTGTGGTGGCTCATGCCAATAATCCCAGCACTTTGGGAGGCCAAGGCAGGCAGATCACATGAGGCCATGAGTTCTAGAGCAGCCTGGGCAACATGGTGAAACCCTGTCTCTACTAAAAATACAAAAAAATTAGCCAGGTGTGGTAGTGCATGCCTGTAGTCCCAGCTACTCAGGAGGCTGAGGCAGGAGAATCACTTGAACCTCGGAGGCGGAAGTTGCAGTGAGCTGAGATCACGCCACTGCACTACAGCCTGGATGACAGAGTGAGACTCCATCTCAAAAAAAAAGAAAGAAAAGAAAAGAAAAAAACATGTGAATGAGTTAAGAAATCCATGAAATGAGTCCAGTTCAATGAGCAATTGAAAGAGGACCAAATATCCTGGGTAGGGTTATTGAAACCACCATTGCAAAATTATAACTGGGCTGACCTAACCAGCTCCATCTTGCTTCTAATCTCCAAACTGTCCTTGTTCATTTCTGGGCATAGGCTGAACTAACTTTGGGAGGAACACAGTTTATAGTTTATTGTTTAAAACAAAGATGACAATAGCCCTTTCCCAAACAAACCTCCTTCTTCCCTGGGGACTAGAATGCCTTCGAAGGACTAACAAATTAGCCACAAGATCAGAAATTATGGCTTAGGAGTCATACAGCTGACTCTTCCTAAACTGCTTCTCAGATCAGTGCTTGAGATATTTTGCAGACCCCGTACCTGATGGATCAGCTGGCACCACCCAGATCGATAAATTGGCTCATCTGATCTTGTGACCCCCCCCATCCATGAGCTAACTCAGGGCAAGAGGACAGTTTCAATTCCCTATGATTTCATCTCCAACCCAACCAATCAGCATTCCCTACTCACTGGCCTTCCCCCACCCACCAAATTATCCTTAAAAACTCTGATCCAGGGAGACTGATTTGAGTAATAATAAAACTCCGGTGTCTGGCACAGCTGACCCTGTGTGAATTACTCTTTCTCTTTTGCAATTCCCCTGTCTTGAGAAATCAGCTTTGTCTAGGCAGCAGGCAAAGTGAACCCACTGGGTGGTTACATTATCTCTAAAGAAAGACTGAACAGAGCTAAGGACCATATTGCTCCATGATCCCAAAGCAAACAGGAACATCAAAAGGTGAAAAAACTTTTAAGTGAATCTTGATATTTGGCATTTGGACAGCAAATCTCTGTAAGGGGTCAATGAACAATAATTTCATGTTTAGACATTAAAAATGAGACAATTGTCTCAGTAATTACAAGCAAAAAGCCCTGTTATTAATGGGGAAAACATTATTTCTTTAATCATCTAGACTATTTCTTCAGATGGATCATATTAACTGAACAATTATTTAACTTTTCAATTTGTTGTGATTGCATGGAGAGAGCCTCTGGGATCCATATACAAGAATATTTATCTCAGAGGAAAAATTAATTGTGCCTTGAGTCTTGCACTGACAAATCACATTACAGTAATTTTATTGTTTCTAATTTAAAATTGCTTTATTAATGAGTGATGGAAGTTTTACAAATAACAATGCAGACTAGCTCCAGGATAGGAGAAAAAGAGAAGAAAATCTAGGATAATATCTGTTAGGCCTCTGAGCCCAAGCTAAGCCATGATATCCCCTGTGACTTGCAAGTATACATCCAGATGGTCTGAAGCAACTGAAGATCCACAAAAGAAGTGAAAATAGCCTTAACTGATGACATTCCACCATTGTGATTTGTTCCTGCCCCACCCTAACTGATACGATATATTCTCCCCCGCCCTTAAGAAGGTACTTTGTAATATTCTCCCCCGCCCTTAAGAATGTACTTTGTATGCCTATCCCAAACCTATAAGAAACAATGATAATCCCACCACCCTTTGCTGACTCCTTTTTCAGACTCAGCCTGCCTGCACCCAGGTGAAATAAACAGCCTTGTTGCTCACACAAAGCCTGTTGGTAGACTCTCTTCACACGGATGTGTGTGACAATATCCAATTCAACAGATAATGGAAGTATTTTACACAGTTGAATAGGCCCTGCTTCTTGATGTCACTTGCCTTCCAGGAAATGAGTATCTGCATTTTGTCCCTCCTTCTAGTGACCTTCTTTTGCTCCTGGATGTGTCCTTGGAGCTTTCCATTCTCTTATCTACATATTCTTCCCTAAATTAACCCAGCTAGATTCCTGGCTTTAAATAGCCTTTATATGCTGCTGGTTCCCAAATCTTAATCTCCAGTCCTGACATCTTCCCAGAGCTTTAGACTCCTGTATCCAACTGTTTACTTGCCAGCTGTGCCAGCCAAGAGTCTCTTTCACTCATTTCCCATATCAGCAAGCCCCCACAGATTTCACCACTGATTTTGGAGGAAATCTGTCACTTCTCACTGCCCTAGTCCCAGCCATATTATTTTTTGACTTCAATACAGTTCTTTCCTAAGTCCTCTCACTGCTCCAGCCTTCTCCCTCCCTCCCCAGCCAGTTTATTATCTCCAGGGAGGCCAGAGTGAACTCTATTAAAAGTAAGTCAGACTCAGCTCAAAATCATCTAATGGCTTTCCATTGCACTCAGAATGAAAGCCAAAGCCCTTGCCATGCCCACAGGCTTTTCTACCATCTGGCCTGCCTCCACGTCCTCATTTTATTTTTTTTCCCTTTCACTCTTCCCCTTTCTCTCTGCTCTCTAAACACACTGACCAAGCTTTCTCCTGCCCCAGGTCCTTTGTGTTTGGTATTCCATGGCCAGAAATGCTCTCCGCAGACCTTTATGTGGCTTTGCTCCTTCTTTTCATTCAAGTTTCTGCTTATAGATCATGTCCTTATACAGACCTTTTTGATAACCCTCTAAAATAAACATCCTCCCAACTCAGCCTTCCTCAACCCTTTATCCCTTTATCTCACTTTATTTTTCCTTGCAGTATTTATTGCTACCTATACTATGCAATTTAAAAAAATTGTTTTCTTATCTAATATGTATTGTTCTCATGAATAGTAAGCTCCGTAAGGGTAGGGATTTGGATAGACAGCATGTGAAGGGAACTACATAATCAATACTTGTTGAATGAATAAATTAATTGTGCCATACACAAGAATGCAAAGATTAATCATATATGAAGCTTCACTTAAGGAGTTCAAAATGTAGTTGGAGAGGCGGGCCCTCCTCAAATATCATAATACAGTGTGATAAGTATTCATAATAGAATAGTGGCAGTAGATACAAGGCAAAACCATAAGTGAAGAAGGGAAGATTAATCAGAAAGCTGAGCTGGGTCCTGAAGAATGTGTGAGGCACATGATGTGGTTGGAAGGAGTTGGATTGACATGAGGCATTGAAGGCCGAGGGAGGAATACGGCTAAAGGTATGATCAAATGAAACAGATTGTTTGCTGGAAATTGGGGACTATATTGCTGGAGTTCCAGATGAAAGCAGGAGCACGGTAAGACATGGGGCTAAAGATGAAAAGAAGATCAAAACAGAGAAAAGATGTGGTATGTCATGCTAAAGACCATGGCTATATTAGTCAACTATGTTCATCTGTTTACTGATAAAAATATCCATAAATCATAATAATTAGCAAATGAAATTTTAATCAACTTGATGGCCAGATTAATTAGGGTTTCAAACCTTTTTGAACATCGTTTTGTTAAATATATTTCTAAGTTGTTACAGTAATCTTCCTATATTTAAAATTAGAATGAGTATAATATAATTTAATCTCTATTTGATAATGTAGCATTTTTTGAGTACTAGACTTTGCCTTTTTTGCAACTTAGATCTATAGCTCCTGAAGGTATAAAAGAGCTCTCTAAGTGTTTCTTTATAATACTGTAAAACAGTCTTTGCATTATTGTTCCAAGTATCTAGTGAAGGGCACTTTCAGAAACCCTTTCAATCCAAAAATGGTTTCAATCCAAAAATTGTTTCAATTCAAAAATAAAATCTGGGAAGTGGGGGTAAGATCATGTTTGTAACATAACTTGCTTCTTAAAGGAACTTAGTTGTAAAAGCATCACCAAATTGTGTTATTGCTTCAAAGCCATAAGTAAGCAAGGATATATCTGCTGCCTTATAGTATAGATGTGATATTAATCTCCTTTTTTTTTTTTTTTTTGAGATGGAGTCTAGTCTGTCACCTAGGCTGGAGTGCAGTGGTGCGATCTCCACTCACTGTGACCTCCGCCTCCTGGGTTCAAGCAATTCTCCTGCCTCAGCCTCCCGAGTAGCTGGGACTACAGGCACCACCACCACGCCCGGCTAATTTTTGTATTTTTAGTAGCGACAAGGTTTCACCATGTTGGCCAGGCTGGTCTTGAACTCCTGACCTCAGGTGATTCACTCACCTTGGCCTCCCAAAGTGCTAGGATTACAGGCTTAAGCCATCGTGCCCAGCCAATTTCATTTTTAAAAGAAGCTTGTACCCCTTCCCCCAAATAACAACAGATAATGTGTATCCACTTCCATTTGGGCTTATTGCTTAAAGTGTATCTTCAACCACAGCCTTGCAGAATTATACAAATAAAAAAGATTCCTGTACTATTCAAAGATCATTCATTGGCTGTTTTTAAAAGACATAATGACTTACAGAAACCAGAAAGAGAGTTTTGAGGAGTGTCAACAATGTTTTTATTTACTCACTCTGCTTCTTTCATATTCTTTCCTTGAGGCAGCAAAGAGCTGAGCGTTAGATATGGCGATTCCACAAAATGGAAGATACATCTGCATAACCTGGGACAAAGAGAGTAGTAAGAACATTAAAACATAAGAACATTGATACATCCCTTGTAGACTAAATTGCACACTTCTTCTATATGCCTGATTGTAATACTTTATTTGCATCTATAGAGATTGAATACAGAGAGTTGTTGATACTAGTATTTTAACTTCATTATGAATATTTTTCAAAGTTAACTAAAATATGTTGTAAATCAAGCTTTAACTAGAGAATTCACATCTATGAAGACATAAAGTGAAGCAACAGATTATGAGGGCTGTGACATAGGAACTGTGTCTAAAGCAGCTTGTATTATTTCTTGGATAAAAGAAGGATAAATAAGTAAATGAACTGTGATATACCTGGAATTTAAGGCATGTGCCCATACTCACATTTGGAGGTAGGCAGGATATAAGTCAATTCTTTCGTTGGCATATGGCATATACCATATGTATATGGCATACAATTCACATCTGTAGCAGGGATTTCAGCTTGATTCTAGACCTATCTGCTACCAGTTTTAAACATGCCTGTCAGGATGGGCCCAGTGGGAACTAGGGGTCAGCAGGCCTGGCAGCCTTCTGCGACAGAGTTCTAATTGTGTCTGCCACTGTGTAGACATAACTGGACACAAATCATACTGGTGGGATGCTTCTGCAGAAGCCTGATGAGGAAAGGCTGGGAGCCTGTAATGGAGAAGTCCTCCTATGGGCAGAAACACCCAGCCGTGATGGGCCTACCCCTAACAAAGACTTTCTCATCATGGAGGTTTAGGCATAGGGATTTTTACTACTGCCTTGCACTCTCAAGAAATTCATCTCCAGAATCTCTGATTCCAGAGAGATAGAATGCTCCAAGTAAAAACTGAAAGAACTATTTCCCTAAATTCTTCGCAATGTAGATGAAACAAGTGACATACTTGGGACTTCTCTAAAGCAAGAGGGAAAAAAGCATGTTTATATCATAGACTCTATGTCTCTCTGTCTCTCTCTCACACACACACACACGCACGCACGCACGCACGCACGCACACAATGGTGCCCTAGGAAGAGGTAACAAGCGCTGGCAAAATAGAGCAATTCCTGCTGTAACCAGCAGAGGGCAGTGCAGTGCCCGCTGTGGGTGAGGGACGACAGCAGCCTCCACCAACTCAGGAAGCACTTGTGAAGCACCCAGGACATCCAGAAAAGAATCACCTGGAGTGCAAGGCAATTATGCAGAGGACTTGAGGTACACAAAAGATGAAGGGCAATTCACATTCCCTATCGCTGAATTTCCTATTAAAATCTTTCCTTGGTTACCTGGGCATGATCAACTCTGACCTAGGGTCCTGGAAAGAATTTCAGAGCCATATAAAAACTAAAGCTATGACCTCATTTTTAAAGAAGATAGAGAAACAATGGGATCCGAATTAAGAAGACATACAAAAATCAATGATTTTTGCAGATGTTTTGGGGATAAATTCCTTCCCTGGATTTTCACATGTTGCCTTCTGGAACTAGATGTTATTTCTGTTACCCCCTACTCTCCCCTTTCTTGCTACTCCCCCTCATACCTTAGAAAGTCTGTCCATAAGCCAAGATAAAGCTGTTGGCATAAAGCTGCCAGATATTCCATTAGAATTTCCCTGCCTTTAGGCAGAATGGGACCACTTTCAATATCACCTACACATAGAGCAAGCACTTTCCTTGTAGTTTTCTGGAGGTTTTGTTTTTGGCTCATTGTTTTTTTCTGCCATGGAGACAATGACTATAACGGGGATAAAAGCAAGGAGGAGACTTATTTTAACTTTCCACTACTTATTTGTTTTATTTATTTTTGCCTTCAGGGGACAAATTTAAGGTGGTTGGTAAGTCAAGCAAGTAAGAGGAGAGTGATCAAATGAAGATGTGAAATGTTTTCTAATATATCATAGGCTTGCTTCACTTCATTTGTAATTCCAATATTTACTGAGTTCCAGGTATTATGTTAAATTAAAAAGAATCTGAATTTTAAATCAAATAATCTTTGTTCTTTTTACAGTTTTGCTGTGTGAAGTGCAACAAATCATATAAGCTCTTGAACCTATTTTCTTATCTGTAAATGCCAGGTTTATGGTCTTTTTTAGTTCTAATCTTTGGTGATTCAAATAATGCAAAACATCATTAAGCTGCAATATTCTATTTACTAGAGAAAACAGAATTCAGTAAACATGCTTGCACCTTATTCAAGAAAAAATAATTTATAATAGTAATTGCCATTGGCTAAGCCCTTCTGTCATTGTGTCAGGCATGATGCTATGTGTCAGGGATGATGTTAAGCATTGTATATGCATTACATCTGTTTTATATTCACTTATGTTTTACCATTAATCCCAGTTTGCAGATTAGAAAACTGAGGCTTTAAGAACTTACCCAAAGTTCTTGGGAGATAATTCTCTATGGATATTTTATGTTTCTGTACACGTGGCAGAGAGAGGCACTGGCTGTATCTTTCTGGAATGCTTATACAATGAACAGCCTTGGAAGATAGAGATACTGTCTCCTTTCAGAGCAAAGAACAGAAGTGTTTACTATCCAGTATAATAAAGACAATATCTCCCTCTAGACAGAGGTCAGGCAGGCTCACCGTTCATTATAAAAGATTTGGGTTGCTTACATTTCAGGTTCCTCTGCTGTCATGCAATCTACTATATGTGCTATTACTGGGGTCAGGGAACCAGCAAAAATGCTGATGCTCAAACTATTGCTATTGTTGTGAGTAATAAACTGTTTTTTTGTCACTGATCCAGGAGTCTCATGTCTTCTGTCAGCATCCATGAGACTGTGGCAGACTAACTTGCTAGCCTGCATGTACTGTATAGTAAAATCAGACTCTTTACAAATCTTAACAATGTCACCTAGATAGCAAATGGAGAAGCTTAATTTAGAATCCAAGTGGCCTAACCCTAAGATCTACCTTCTTAACTTCTACATTCTCCAGCTTCCCAAAGTCATACATATCTTTCATACAATTAATATGATAGTCTGGTTAACTGCAATGCAAGATAGATGACTAAGACTAGCACTCCATTATTCCAGTGTATGAGCAGTCACAGGAGACTGCAGAAGCAGGAAGCAGTTCTGGTAGAGCAGGCAAAACCCAGTTTCCGGAGATAACAAGGCAACCATTCTCAGGGGGCAATTTGTCTAGCAGATGGTGTAAGGGAAATCCTAGGTAGAGAGCAGACCACACTGATAGGCATCAGAGTGTGGTTATGAAGGCCAGAGTAGAAAGTTGGGGCAGAAAAGAAACTGAGCCTGTCAGCAGGTAGCAGGGCCCTCGCCTCCAGGTGGAGCTTTAAGGATCAGCTTATACTCTTGGTAGTGAAAGGGAGGGAAATGGCAGAAGAAAGGAAGGGGCCCATCAGGTATGAAATGTGAGGCACTATGTTTTAATGAGACACAGAACTGCTCACAGATAGGGGCTGTGGCAAAGCTGGGCCCACAGGTGAGGGTCCTGTGGTGTGCGTCCAGCTATAGCGTGGAAAATGAATCAGGGACCAGGAACCAGGCTGTGTTCCACACATGGCTAGAGAGGTTCCAGTCTTAGCCCAGTGGGAACACTGCAGTGTCCCCGGAAGCCTAGGAACAGCCCAACATCAAACTGTCAGTCAATCACAAATCTCTTCATCCTCATCCAATCTTGTTTCTGTTAAACCTAGTTTTTAATCTAAAAATTTAGAATTTGCAAATACTTTTTCCAAGTAGTATAAGCTATTCTTCATGAATAGTACAATGTACTATCAAGAAAGCATGCAAATCAGATCGGTATTAGTTCTTTTCATCTACCCCACTGTGTCCGACAAAGCACCCCTCAATTTAGTCCTGACAGATGAATGGTATTTACTTGTCACAACCTCAGGAAAAGCAACACCACAATCTTCCTCCATTTTACACATCTAGCAAATGTCACTTTCATGAAATTTTCTCATACAAATGTAACAAACTCCTTATATCACAATATACTTCCAATTCTTATCCTTTAGTGGAGATGAAAAACAACAAAAACTCTGCCATTTTAAGCCAATTACAAGGCATTTAACATGGCATTTTGAATGGCAAAAGAGACTCCTGCTGTCTTGTTTTGTGTACTCCAATTTTTCAAGTTAATGCTCCTATAACAGCATCCAAACAAAAGCAAATGGCAAAATGAACACCCAACTCACTGTACTGGGAATGCACAGATCAGCTCAATTTAACAAGAGCCGCCCGACTGCCTTCTCCCGTCAGGCCCTGGGTTAATATGCAGCCCGTACACTAAATTGCATGACACCATTACTATTTTCAAGTTTACCACTAGTTTCAGCTACATCCCTGAGAGGATTACTAGCCAGCTCAAATTCCTTCAATATTTTCACAAAAATACAGGCTAAAGTTCAAATTTCAACTCCCTGTTAAGGCCTTCCAAATGTTGGCCCTATTGGACATTACTACTATTGTTATTATTAATGTTTGTTTAGATTTACCCACATGTGTACCAGTTTTTTCCTCCTCATTCCTTCCAACACCTCCTTCCTTCTTTCTGTGATATAGTTTTATTTTTTTTCCAAAGACAATCCTTTAGAGTATCTTTTAGCATTGGTGATAAATGCTTTTAGTTTTGTATGAATATGTTTATTTTATAATCAATCTTAAAAGGTAAGGTAGTTGGGTATGCAATCCTAGGCTTACACTTATTTTCTCTCAGTACTTAAAACATATTATTCCCTTATCAAGTGCAACTGATGCTGCTAAAAAGCCAGCTGCCAATCAAAATCTTGGTAGATTATCTGCCTTTGTCTCCGGTTTCTTTTAGGTCTTCTTTATGTCATTGGTAGCCAATTTGTATTTTGTCAGCCTCAATCAAAGGCTTAATTGAATCATGGTAACCTCCAATGTATATATTGGCCAAACATTACTGTGGATGGAGACAATATTATACCTTCATGACTCATTGCACACTGAGAGAGAATCTTTGTTAATGTAGGAAATGTTCTACCCTGTGTCATTCATTGGCATGACAATTCAGCCCTCTGGGGTCAGACTCAATTGCACAATGTATACGCATATGACAGTATGATCTATGGAGTTTCTAAAGAAATGTGCAGGAGAAGCAGGCAAATACATTTTTGAAAAGAGGCAGTAAGAAAAACTGAAGCAGTGTAGAAATAGAAAATGAAAAACAAAATATTTTAATCTTTTTTTTCAGTCCCAGTGTTACAGATGTCTCTCTCTCTCTGTCTCTCTCTCTCTCTCTATATATATATATATATACACACACACACATATATATATTGCTCTATTCTGCTATTCTGCTCTTTCTGAAGTCCCTCATTTCCAAAAAAACCAACTAATTTGGCCTTCACTATGTAGTTTCAGAATGCCAAAGGTCTAAAAAGCCTTAATGACTAAGAAGCAAATGAGTCTGTACACGCTTGTGCAGCACTTTTCGGCTTGAAAGCACTTTATGAACATTGGCTAATTAATCTTTACAACATCCCACTCAGAAAGAGAGTTAAACTGAAAATCATTAAACAGTGTAAAAAAGTCACTTTAGCCCTGGAAACTCATTAAACTATCACTAATATGCATAGAATTTGAGCACTGGGCCTTCTATCAATGTACACAAAAAAAGACAGTAGGTAGCCAGCCTTTTCAAACTTGCAAGCCACAGAGAAAGGCTATTAAAGCCCCATTGTGTGGTCTGGTCCAATTATACATCATTGAAGAATGCCGGGGGTCTACACTGGAGAATCTTAGTGAAGGGGGCCATCCCGTTCGTGGACCCTACTTGTAGAAGGCAAAACAGCTTGAAGAGCCACATCACTGTCAGCTAAATGAACAGGTGAAAAAAAGGTTTTCCCACCTACAGATAACACCTCCTCCCTTTGTGTAGATTCTGAAAACAGGACTCTTAAAGTCACTTCTGCCCTCAGGCAGTAACTATATGATAAAGCTTCACTGATTTGGAGCCCACTGATTTGGAACTGGGGATGTTTTAAGACAGTTGTGATTCAAATGCTGAATAAACTCTTCAAGTAGAGTAATTTAGAAAATAACATATCAAAATATGAAAGCAGTCACATTATTTTCATACGATGAAATACTTTCAGAGCATTTTTAGGAATATAATATTAAAAATAATTTTTAAATGAGTTTGCAGTTTTCCAGAGATTCCAGAGGAAAGCCCTGCTTCCAGAGGTATAGCTTCATTCACTGCAATTTTGTTTCTACACAAATTCAATAAAGATGAAAGATGGAGCTTTTATTTTAAGAATCAGAATCATAAATGACTTTTGTTAGTTCATACCAAAATATATGACCTTGGCTAAGGCATGCCTTTTTCCACCAGTGTTCCGCCCTTTTCAAAGAAAACAGTCTCCAAAAGATACAAATAAATATAAAACATTGTTTTAAAAATTGTAATGGGGCCAGGCGCGGTGGCTTATGCCTGTAATCCTAGCACTTTGGGAGGCCGAGGCAGGTGGATCACTTAAGGTCAGGAGTTCCAGACTAGCCTGACCAACATGGTGAAACCCCGTCTCTACCAAAAATACAAAAATTAGCTGGCCGTGGTGGTGTGCACCTGTAGTCCCAGCTACTCAGGAGGCTGAGGTAGGAGAATCACTTGAAGCTGGGAGGTAGAGGTTGCACTGAGCTGAGATTGTGCCACTGCACTCCAGCCTGGGTGAAAGAGTGAGACTCCATCTCCAAAAAAAAAAAAAATTGTAATGGAATAGATGATTCAATTACATGTCTTTTGAAATTGTCCACTATGAGAATTGACATTCTGAAGAATAGGGTGGGGGACTTCATTCACAAAAGACAAGGGAGAACAAGAGGGCAAATAAAAAAGAAGGAGAAGCTTTGTTTTTTGGAGACAGAAACAAGGACAAGATAATGGATCAGAGATGTGGGGAGGGAAGCAAGGAAAGCAAACCCAAGGTGGGCTCCTCACTGGTCCAAATTTGGGGCAGAACACATCCTAAAGCGTGAATCTTTACAGGCTCCCCTTCTCCTGTCTAGGCGTCCTCATCACTCTTCTTCCATGTTCCCTTCTTAGGACAGGGAAATTGAGGTGCTTCTACTTCTGTCCCTGAGTATTAAAGCTGGGACCCCAGGGAGGTTGGAATGAGCTCCCTTCCACTACTCTAGCCCCTCTCCTACAAGCTAGTGTTGGCTAAAATATCCCCAGGAGGCTATCCAGGGGCAGAGATGCTGAATTCAGTTCCTGGCAAGTAGCCTAGTAGCATCAACATCTATTCTCTTTGACTTTTTAGAAGCTCTGGTCTACTGAGTGCTTGAATCATGCAGGTACTACTCATATCACTCAATAACCTTATTTCTATTTGGTCCTATGTCCACCCCCACAACTTTAGGGAAATAACCTTCTCATGTCTGGGGGCAGTTTTTAATTCCCACCCTCTTATTTCCAGACCCTCAGGGAAAACCCTGAAGGAATCTATTGCAGGACCCATGTCCTTTCTAAAATAATTTTTTTTTCTGATCATAGATTTCAAGAGAAAAAAAATACCCATATTTCTGCCACTCAAGGGTAACCATTATTAACATTTTGGAATATATTCAAGTTTTCTTCTCTCTTTTTCCTTTCACATAAAGCCAAATAGGCTAATCCTATACATAATATTTTATCAGCTTTTTTCACTTTTTATAACTAGCTATTACCTATTATGACCAGTTTCTATGGATGCAAAATATCCCATTGTATGGTGCAGAAACATAAAATTTATAGAGAAGGAAAGTAGATTAGTGGTTGCCTGGGTTAGCAGCAGTAACAGGATTTGCTGTAAATGGGCATAGGGGATCTTATTGGTAGTGGGTTCTAAAACGGATTTATGGTGATGGTTGTACCTCTCATAATGTTACTAAAAGTCATTGAATTGCTCACTTGAAATGTGTGAATTTTATGATATATAAAATATACCTCAAGAAAGTTTTAAAAATTACCATAAATACTCTGTTCATGGTATGGATTAATGTAGTTTACTTAGTCAATCATAGAACGTTGGACATTTAGGTTGCTTCCAATTTTAGATTAATAATTCTGGGGTTAAACATCCTAGAAATTAAATCTCTCCGAATCCCATTATTATTTTCTTAGAGTAAAGCGTTGATATTGGAACTTACTTTATTCAACACACAACTTATATAGCGCTTTTCTGTACCGGGCAATATTCTAAATGCTTTACTAATATTAATTAATTGAGGGTTGTGTACCCTTTAAAATAATCCTTAACAATATAAACACATTTACTTTTTGCTAAAAGAAAACAGTAGAGAAATGCATAGAGTAAAGTAATGACAGTTCCCCCTTAATTTCCTGTCCCACTACCCACTCCCTTCTCAAGGTACAACCCTGCTAGCATTTGTAGTGTGTTCTTCTGGATGTTTTATGGCTACAGTCACACAATATCTAGTTTTAGGGTTGTTTGTAAACATAAGTGGGATCACACTATGTTATTTTCGATACCTTCTTTTTCACTTGGCAATATATCTTGGAAATCTTTACATGTTAATTCAAAGAGAACTTACTTCATTCATCTTAATGTCTGCAGAATATTCTAGGGGGTGGTTGTATCTGTTACTAGACATTGCCATTGTTTCTAATTTTTCTTTATTACAAATAATGCTGCTGTCAACTTTCTTACAAATAAATCTTCATGCACCTGGACAATACTTCTGTTTGACAGTTTCCTAAAAGTGGAATTTTAAGGTTGAAGAACATATGCTCAAAAAATCTTAATTACTACTGCCAAATCATCCTCCAAAAAGGCTCTACCAATTTATACTCCCACTAACAGTAATCAGAGGATTCATTTACCCCAACTCATACAACACTGGGTATTACCATTCTTTTAAAATCTTGTCTATCCGACAGATAAAATCAGTACTCATTTTTGTATTAACTGACATTTACTTGATTAATAGATTGAACACTTTTCATAATTTGTTGGTTGTCTGTATTTTAAAATATGGCCTCTTTTGCTTATTTTGTTTATTTTTTAGTGGACATTCATCTATTACTTATTGCTCAGTAAGTACCCTTTATGTGCTAAGAATATTAAACATTTTCCATTTTCACAATTCATGAATCTTACTTGATAATCAAACAGTAATTGTCATCTGTTTGATATAATCCATTAGGCCTACAAGCTATGAGCGCTTTGTCTAAGATGAATAATATTATGGCTCCATAAACTTGGCCTACTCTCTCTCACAGTGTGAAGATCTTTTACAAAGATATCTGCCTATATAACTCTGCCAAGGTTATTTTTATAAGCAGGTTGACCTACATATATCATCCTGCCCATTTATTCCATCTGCCTTTGTAACTCACAGCTTCTGCAAAAAGTTGTTTTGAGCTGCTGTTTGATCCAAGCATTCTTGAGTTTTAGTTATTAAGATCATTATGATTCCCCACTTACCCAGCACAGGTATAAATGCAGGAAGCTACACAATAGAGTAACTTAGTCAAGGTGTCAAGGTATCAACACCCTGAAATGCTAGAAAAATCTTATTATATCACAATGAACATACGAACATAAAATTTCCTCTTACACTATTTTCTGATGAGAAATGCCTAAGTTTTTCTTTAAATTTGAAATACATTCACATTATTTCCTCCTATTAGTAGCAGAAGGCTTTTCTTCACTGTCTCGTTTATCAAACTCCTTCCTTTTTATAATTCCTGGTTCATAAAGTACAGGACATTACATAAAGGCAGAATCATATAGCATGTGGCCTTTTGTGTCTGGCTGCTTTCACTTTGCATGCTGTTTTAAGGGTCCATTTATATTGAAGATATATCAGTACTTTATTCCTTTTAAAATTTTGTTTTAAAGAAGTAGATTTTTTTTAGGGCAGTTTTAGGTTTACAGAAAAGTTAAGTGGAAAGTACAAGGATTTCCCATAGACCCTGCCCAACACACAGTTTCCCCTATTATTAACATCTTACATTAGAGTGGTACATTTGTTACAACTGATGAGTCAATACCGACACATTATTAACTAAAGTCTAGTCTACAAAGTCTACAATAGGTTCACTCTTTGTGTCACACATTATTCGGATTTTGACAAATGTACATGTTCACCATTACAGTATCATACAGAATAGTTTATTGCCCTAAAAATTCCCTGTGCTTCACCTGCTAATCCCTCCCTCCTTCTCCCTCAGTCTCTGGCAACCACTGATCTTTTTATTGACTCTGTAGCTTTGCCTTTTCCAGAATGTCACATAGTTGGAACCACGCAGTATATATCCTTTTCAGATTGGCTTCTTTTACTTAGCAATATCCATTTAAGGTACCTCTACATAATTTCATGGCTTAATAGTTCATTTCTTTTTATCACTGATTAACATTCCATTAACTGGATATACCCATGTTTGTTTATCCATTCACCTATTGAAGAGCATCTCAATTGCTCCCAAGATTTGACAATTATGAAAAAAGCTGCTATAAACATTCATGTGCCAGTTTTTGTGTAGACATAATTTTTTGACTCATTTGGATAAATATCCAGGAATGCAATTGCTGGATTGCATGGTAAGCGTATCGTTAGCTTTGCAAGAAACTGCTAAGCTGTCTTCCAAAGTGGCTGTGCCATCTTGCATTCCCACCCTTTCCTATGTCTGGGTTCTCCCTGTCCCTTCAAAGGAGGAGTGTTTCCCTTCATTTGGTATTGCTTCCACCTTCACTGTGTAATCTACATCTGCTTCGCTTCATGTCCTCACTCCCTGTCATTTTGCTTACAGTTTTGCAGTCTTCAGAAATGGCTGGCTTGTGGCCTGTCTATGACATCCCAATTACCCGAACATGAAATACACCTATAATACATTCTTATTTTCTGCAGCCTTTAACACTTGATCACCAGCTAGATATGAAACTTTGGCTTCCATGGACTATACACCCCTATTTAATCTTTTTCTACGTTTCTGACACTCATGTTCAAGTTATATTCCCGGGTTCAGTCTTTGGTCTTCTAACTGTCCCTTTCTACATTCTCCCTCTAAGCATTTATTTATTTCTACAATATAAGAATATTACAAAATAAAGTGGGTTGGCTATGCAGGAATTAACCTTTGAGCAAGAGTCAGAAAAGACAACAAATTCAGTACTGCCATATATTTAAGGCAGCTGAGAAGTCTTCCTCCTTCTGCTCTTGAACTTTGGTCTGTCACGAATTCCCTCTGCCTCTGATTTCACTTTCCTACATCCCTAACCCCACTTCTAATCAGCCACATCTGCTACCTTTCAGACCCACGTTTCAGTCTCTAATCCAGACACAGCTTGAGCTCTGAAAACATTTGCTTCCTCTATCTTATAGTCTAATTTTAGTATTCCTGGTCCTAGACTGAACTGAACTCTGAATTCAACCATAGTGACCGAACAGGCACCAAAGTCCCTTCCTTCTATCTGTGTCTTCTGTAGTTACCTCTGGAACGATTCTCAAAGTGGGCTCTCTAGTGCTGACATTTTCTCTGTGCTCTGGCTTCACATCACCAGGTGCCTAGAGGACATTTCAACTTGAAGGTTCTTTTTATTTTATTTTATTTTATTATTATTTTAATTATTTGTTTATTTATGAGATGGAGTCTTGCTCTGTCGCCAGGGCTGGAGTGCAGTGGCACAATCTCAGCTCACTGCAAGCTCCGCCTCCCGGGTCCACCGCCATTCTCCTGGCTCAGCCTCCCGAGTAGCTGGGACTACAGGTGTCTGCCACCACGCCCGGCTAATTTTTTTTTTTTTTTTTTTTTTGTATTTTTAGTAGAGATGGGGTTTCACCGTATTAGCCAGGATGGTCTTGATCTCCTGACTTCGTGATCCACCCGCCTCAGCCTCCCAAAGTGCTGGGATTACAGGCGTGAGCCACCATGCCCGGCCAACTTGAAGGTTCTTATACTACCACAAACTCAGCATTCTGAAACCAAGTTTATCATCTCAATTCCCCTTGTCCTTCCAAAGAAAGAGGGCTTCCGCCTCCAAAACCACCCTATATGTGCCAAAAAAAAAATTAAAGTTCAAATCACCCAATTCCAAATCCTGGGAGCCATCATTGATTGCTATCCAGATGTAGGCATAAGCAATTCAGGAGCTTTTGAAACTTCTGTTCCCATGGCCTTGATTTCCCCTGCTCCAGCACTGCCATCACTCACCATCTCTGGTAATAGTTCCCAGATCTCTCACCATTGCTGCAACAGTAGCCAAGATCCTTTCATCCTTGCAATGTGACAAGAACCCAGTAACCTTTGTTTCCCATCCAGGAAAGCTATAAATTTAAACACACTGACTATCCATCCCAATGTGCTCCATTGTCTTAACTTTTTAAAATGTAAGGTATAAATATGTCTTACACATATTAAATACTAGTCTTTTTCAAACTACATTTGCGTGAGCATTTTCATACCACATACAGTATTTTTAAAAATCTCATTAGAAGCTCATCAGAAAGTATCTCCAATATTTAAGACTGTGGCTTAGCATTTTACAGACACTGTGGAAGATATGTAATAATCTCAGGAAAAATAATAAGGAAATATAAAATTGCTATTTAGAGAAACACATGAGACCCAGAGGGGATTATTCTACTTATATATCTTTTTTTTAATTTCCAAAATAATTCATCATCCAAATGCAACACTAATGACATGGATAATAAACCATACTATTTTTTAATTTCCAGTAATATTCTCCAGTGGAGTTTAAAACAGAGAAGGCTATGAAAATATGCTTAGAGCATTAATATTTAATTAATGTAATAGTACCCTAAAATGAATATTATAAGTGTAAAAGCCTTGATATAATTCGTAAGTTGTATCTATGCAACTAAAACACAAAAGTGGTACCTAGTAAATTCAGGGCATTCTTAATGGATAGCCTTGAAGACAAAAAGAGCTTTAAAGTTTGGCCTAACAACAAACAAAACTTTGTGAAGGGCCAATCATTTATTAACAAACTGGGGTATCAATCCAAAATAGCAGAGGGGAAACTGTCTACATGAGTCATCAGTAATTCAGCAAGATTTCTCATTTGGTATCCTAGAACAGTCTAACTTACAAACTAAGATGCTAGCTTCAAAGCCAAAATACTTTATTGCCCCTATTCACAGTTTCTACTTTCCACCCATATTCAGTCTATCTGCAACAGAGTCTCAGCCTGTCCTTTATTGCTTCCTTTCTCTTCATGGTTCAGCTATTTATTTTGAGGGCTCAATTACATACAAAGTAAGCAGAAAGAATAAATGATAAGCCTAAAGACAGCAGAAGGAAAGAATTAATTAAAATAAAAGCAGAAAATAGTAAATGAGAAAACAACCATTAGAATTGATAAATAAATCCAGAAATAGCTCATGTAGGGAAAAGCAATAAGGCAAATAAATCACTAGCTAGTTTAATCATAGGGGAAAAACCCCGAAAATATACTAAAACAGAAGTGATCAAGGAAATAGAGTCACAGCTACAGAAGAAAATGAAAAGAACTATAATAGACATTTTTTGCCATAATCTCAAACTTAAATATTTGCAAATCTGATGTAAACTTGTATATTTTAAGCAAAATATAAATTAACAAAACTGAATCAAGTTCTTCAAGAAGACCTGAGAATTTCTGAGTAAAATAGTCACCACAGAAATAATAAAGAAACTTGTAAAAGACTCATTCTCAGAAAAGGGGCTAGTCCAAATGGCTTCATAGGCAAATTCTTTCAAATCTTCAAGAACAAGAAAATTCCTATGCTATTCAAACAATTCCAGAATCCAGAGAAGGAGACTCTCAAATATTTTTTGAAGACACATTATTTATTACTGATAGCACATCATGATAAAAATAATGCAAAAATCAAACCTACAGAATAGATCCCTTATGAAAACAGATAAGAAACATTCTAAATAAAAATATTAGAAGATTTAACATTTTTTTTTTTTTGAGACAGAGTCTCGCTTTGTTGCCCAGGCTGGAGTGCAGTGGCATGATCATGGCTCACTGCAACCTCCGCCTCCCGGGTTCAAGCGATTCTTCTGCCTCAGCCTCTTGAGTAGCTGGGACTATAGGCGCGCACCACCATGCCTGGCTAATTTTTTGTATTTTTAACAGAGGTGGGGTTTCACCATATTGACCAGGCTGGTCTTGAATTTTTGACCTCGTGATCCGCCCACCTCGGCCTCCCAAAGTGTTGGGATTACATATGTGAGCCACTGCGCCTGGCCAGAAGATTTGATATCTATACATACCTGTATATTAGAAAGTTGAATTTAGCCAAATATTGAAAAATGGAACATGACTAAGAATTTATATTTAGAATAAACTGATTGTTCAATGTTTCAAGATCAATTATTCCAAACTTTCATATTAACTTTTAAAGCAAAAAAATGATCATCTTAATATTCTAAGAGGTCATTTGATAAAATCCAATACCCAATGGCTATAAAATTTTTAATAAGTTATAATGGGTATTAAAGATTTTTTAATGGAAAAACGTGCCATATTTCTCAATAAAAAGATATTGAATCAATATTAAAAAGATATCAATTACCTGTCCAAATTAATCTATAAATTTTATTCTAGTGAAACTTAGAATGATATTTTTGGAATTTAAAAAAAAAGGTAATTCTAAAATTCAAATGAAGTGAAAAATGTTTAACAATAGTCAATATTAAATGAAACGAGAAATAAGAGGAACCAATTGTAAGGTTATGATGACCAAAACAGAATAGTACTAAGGACAGAATAATCATGCAACTTAAAGGAACAGAAGTCCAGAACAAAATACATAAAATAAGCTCATATGTAAGAAAAGGATGGTTTCATCAATAAATCGTGTTGGGACATAGTTCATCATTTGGAAAAAAGCCTAAAAATTAGAAAATCCTTTTTGAAAAAGCCCAGGGAAATTAAAGATAGAATAAAAATATATAACTATAAAAGCCATAGGGGAAATATGGTAAACATTTACATAGTTCTTCATTGTGAAAGGCCTTTCCAACCATACCCTATATGTGGAAATTATATGAGAGACTTCACACTCATTTAAAATTGAAAACATCTATATCTCAATATGTAAAATAAATTAAAAAGCAAAACACACTGGGAAAATTATTTGCAATGTTTATGATAATTATGAACCTCTAAGTAGGAAAAAATCAGAAAAAAAAATACCTCAAAAATGGTCAAAAGATATAAACAGGAAGTTTGCCAAAAAGAAACACAAATAGCTAAAAGAAGAACAAAAAGTGTTCAGGACACTAATTATCAAAGAAATATAAATTAAAATAACAATGAGCTATCAGATTTCTCCTACTATATTGACAAATATTATCATTAAAATTAATACCCAGGGCCAATAATAATATGGGAAAACAAGCATTCTCATATAATTATTGAGGGAGATTCATTGGTGCAACAATTCTGAAGAACAGTTTTGCAAAATATATAAAATGCCTTTAAAAAGTACAGGCCCTTTGTCTTTACAATTCTATTCTTAGAAATTTATTTATTATTTATTATCACCATTAGTACTATTTATTATACTTAAAAATAGTGAAGATGGTAAATTATATAAGTATATTTTGCTTCAATTAAAAAATTGTTTTGGGCCAGGCGCGGTCGCTCATGCCTGTAATCCCAGAACTTTGGGAGGCCAAGACAGGCGAAGCACGAGGTCAGGAGATCCAGACCATCCTGGCTAACACAGTGAAACCCTGTCTCTACTAAAAATACAAAAAATTAGCCGGGCGTGGTGGTGGGCGCCTGTAGTCCCAGCTACTTGGGAGGCTGAGGCAGGAGAATGGTGTGAACCCGGGAGGCAGAGCTTGCAGTGAGCCAAGATCGTGCCACTGCACTCCAGCCTGGGCGACAGAGCGAGACTCCATCTCAAAAAAAAAAAAAAATTGTTTCAAAAATAACTTTTTTTTTTTTTTTAGTATTAGGAAAGAAATCATAATGTACAAGGTTTTTTTTAAATTGACAATATCCCAAACATCGCAAGATCCAGAAACGTAGCATATTTGTATTAATTTTTCCAAATTTTTGACAGCATGCTTTTTTATTGCCTCTGCATGTAACTATAAATTTTAATATTATTTTCCTATAGATATACAGAAAATAATTCCATTTTCATTAGCATATTGATACAAATGAGCTTTATATTATTTATGATGGGATGCATAATACATACAACTTTACCCAGAGACACATTTCCTATTTGCACTACTAGTACTGGTTTGTGTCCTACAAATGCAGGAATTCCAATAAATAATATTTTGCATAATTCTCATCTAAAAGCAAAAAAAAAAAAAGAAAAAAAACATGTTTATCATGGCATATGCTGCATTTTTGAGTATGCTCCTGATAGGAGAGCATAAAACTTCTATTTGAATAGGCATCTATGAAAAACCACATTTTACGAGTCTGATTGGAAGATTTTTTTTCCATAGACTAGTTTCTGACTTCGTACATTTCAAACCTTGTTTCTCCTTCACTATACATATTCTTCCAGACCCACATACTATAGACCACCTTCATATCAAAATGCAACCACTGACCTTGTATATCTGCATCAAGATGTTGAGTGAACTGGGATGGTGAGCAAAAGAATATTCAGAAAAGCCGTTCCTACAGCATAAAGCTAGCAACAACTTTCCACAAAAGGGATTGGGAACCATAAAAATTATCCTACTAAACTCAAAAGTATCTACAGCTGGACTTCTTCCCTAGCTACATCCCAAGAATGTCTGTGGCCTGATGAATGGGGAAATCTGACAGACAGGAAGCTGGAAGGGAAAAAGAATTATCTCAAATGAATATCATTAAAATATCTTACTTTTGTTAACTTTACAAAACTTTCCTCCTTCTCACGTTCCTTTGCAGAATGACTTTTTTCCCATCTGACTTACTTTTTAGCATTCCTCGAGGCTTGATTCTGAGACTTCCTATCTCACTCTCCTCTCTTTCTAAAAAATCTTATCTACAACACTGGATTAAATTGACCTCTGCATGCATGACTCTCAAGTTTATATTTCTAACCCAGGTTACCCCCTTGAGCCCAAGATCTGTGTGTATCCAACAGCTTACTCAATATTTTCACTTAGATGTCTCAAAAGCACCTCAAATACTTTATGTCCAAGACAGAACTCATAATTAAACACCCTCTTGACGAGTTAATGGGTGCAGCACACCAACATGGCACATGTATACATATGTAACAAACCTGCACATTGTGTACAGGTACCCTAAAACTTAAAGTATAATAATAATAAAATTAAAAAAAGAATATATAACAACAACAAAAAATAATAATAATAATTAAACACCCTCAACCACTTATTTCTCTTCCAAGAGGAGTATATCTTAGTGAAGGCACCATCTTGCCACAAAGGGCTGAACCCAAAAACCTGGAGCCATGTCCCATACCTGACATCACTGAGTCCGGCTAATTTTACCTGTTAGTTATGTCTCAACATTGTCTGCTTCCTTTAATCATCACTTCCCACTCCCTCACCCCCACTCCAATCCAAGCTACCTTTCTGGCTGTTCCATGGCTTCCTATTGCTTACAGGGCCTACACTCAAAGCCCTTCATAATCTATTCCCAACACACAGTGGACTTTTCTTGACTCATCTTCCAGCACTCTTCTCCCTCTACATTTCTTGTATTCCAGTCACAATAGATTATCCATGCCCATGTACAACTAAGTTGTATACCTCTGTCTTTGTTCATCATAATTCCCTCATTCTAGAACCTTCTTGCCTACTTTGTGCATCTGTCAGACTCTACTTATTTTACAAGGACCAGTTCAAATATCTCAATAAAATCTTTCTGGACTTTTCGATTTGCTCTACCATTGTCTCTCTGCATTCTCCTCATTCCACCAAAGAAATGGCACTTTATATGCTTTTATAGCTCTAATGCTTTTATAGCTCTTTGTACATACCTCTAATGCAGTACTTTTATATTAAATATTTTTAATTTATTAATTTATTATTTATTTTCATTTAATTTTTTTAAAAAATACAGGGTCTTGCTCTGCTGCCAAGGCTGGAGTGCAGTGGCACAGTCACAGTTCATGGCAGACTTGAGGTGAGAGGATCACTTGAGCCTAGGAGTTTCAGGTTGCAATGGGCTATGATTGTGCCACTGCACTTTAGCCTGGATGAAAGAGCGAGGCTCTGTCTCTCCCCCAGCAAAAAAAAAAAGGAGAAAGAAAAGAAAAGAAAGTAAGTACAGGGGTAGGGCTAGCTTCAGTAAGTGATGAATAAGACCTTGAATGAGGTCATTAAAATTCTGACCCATCCTCCTTTTATCTCAGCTGTCCCTCACTCTCATTGACCTAAATTGGGTCACGTGGTCATTGTTGACCCAATCTCTGAGGCCAAAGAAAACCAATCCTCTAGTAGACTTAGCCAGAACTTAGCCATATGCCCATGATTGAGCTTTGAGTAGAGCTTTGGGCTAAGAGGTGGGGACAAGATAGTTCTCCAGAGGAAAATCAAATCCTCCTATCAAGATGCTGAATGTCCAAGATAATAAATGTACACAAATATAAAGTTATTTGAGAAAGTTATAATTAACCTTCATTTCAGGCAGAATTCTCAGTGTTACCTCACTTATTTAGATTTCATAAAATTTGAAATCTACTTCTAAAAATATTCCGGAATTCTTAAGAATGTTAGGCTGATGTTTCTGAACATCCAGCGCAATACCTAGCACAGAGTGGTGGCTCAAGCAATATGTGTTAAATAAATAAAAGAATCAATTAATAAATAACACAGTCTGTAAGAGGTCTAAGATAATGTATAAAAATGTCATATATAAAGACATATATTCACCAGGTCAAGAAACCCAGATATCTGCTTTACTCTAAAGTGTAATTTATTATTTAATGAGTAAGCAAGTCGGACACAGCTTGTGTTGGCTTAAAGAAACATCTGTAGATTTTCGCCACCTCCTTTTTTATTTTTCCTTTAAAAGAAATAGTTCAGAATATGAGCCATGGCTTTAAATTCTTGTCTTCACTTACTCAAATAAATGTAATATGATCACATATGAACCCAAATTGTACTTTGGATTTATATTGATATATTATAGCATCCATGGCCATGATCAAATCAGAGCCTGACCTAAGCTGACACTACAGAAATGCTGACTACCAAGTAGAGTTTTGCCTGAGCCAAAAGCAATGATGCCTGTTTGTATTGGTCTTAAAGGGCAGAAATTTTCCTTACGAATATCTCTGGCAGACTAACTCTTGCAAGTTAGTTTGATTCCATGACTTCTCTAACACTTATTCATGGCCACGAGAGCTAGAGAAGGCCATCACTCAAGGAATTTATAAGATCCAGTGTCAAATCATGAAGAGAAAGTGAACTCCTTGATATCAGAGTCAATATTTTATTTATTTTTCTCTCCTTCTAAAACAGGGCACAATCTCTGGTACAATGCTTCTCAAGAAATAATTCTTGAGTTGACATACACACATACACACAAATATATATCTTTATGGCTTTATATGTTGATTCACATTCTGCCGGCTGTTAAGCTTTCTTTTTTTTTTTTTATTATACTTTAAGTTTTAGGGTACATGTGCACATTGTGCAGGTTAGTTACATATGTATACATGTGCCATGCTGGTGTGCTGCACCCACTAACTCGTCATCTAGCATTAGGTATATCTCCCAATGCTATCCCTCCCCCCTCCCCCTACCCCACCACAGTCCCCAGAGTGTGATATTCCCCTTCCTGTGTCCATGTGATCTCATTGTTCAATTCCCACCTGTGAGTGAGAATATGCGGTGTTTGGTTTTTTGTTCTTGCGATAGTTTACTGAGAATGATGATTTCCAATTTCATCCATGTCCCTACAAAGGACATGAACTCATCATTTTTTATGGCTGCATAGTATTCCATGGTGCATATGTGCCACATTTTCTTAATCCAGTCTATCATTGTTGGACATTTGGGTTGGTTCCAAGTCTTTGCTATTGTGAATAATGCTGCAATAAACATACGTGTGCATGTGTCTTTATAGCACCATGATTTATAGTCCTTTGGGTATATACCCAGTAATGGGAAGGCTGGGTCAAATGTTATTTCTAGTTCTAGATCCCTGAGGAATCTCCACACTGACTTCCACAATGGTTGAACTAGTTTACAGTCCCACCAACAGTGTAAAAGTGTTCCTATTTCTCCACATCCTCTCCAGCACCTGTTGTTTCCTGACTTTTTAATGATTGCCATTCTAACTGGTGTGAGATGGTATCTCATTGTGGTTTTGATTTGCATTTCTCTGATGGCCAGTGATGATGAGCATTTTTTCATGTGTTTTTGGCTGCATAAATGTCTTCTTTTGAGAAGTGTCTGTTCATGTCCTTCGCCCACTTTTTCATGGGGTTGTTTGTTTTTTTCTTGTAAATTTGTTTGAGTTCATTGTAGATTCTGGATATTAGCCCTTAGGCACAATCACTTACCAAAGGAAAACGTGGGGCAGATCTTCCCATACACACAGCTACCAAGAAGCTTACAAGGCAGGCGTGGGTTGGGGTAGATAAAGGATCAACTTTTACATTATGCAGTCTTTTCTTGTATACAATCTTCCCTATTCTTTGAAGAAGAAAACCTTGAAAAACTAAACTGTGTTCTTTTAGGTCAACATGGAAGATCAAATAAAAAAATGAAATCTTTTTTCTTCAGGACACTCGCTGGAGTTTTCAGGGGAACCTGAGTGTTGCAGAGGGGGAGAATCAGGACAAGGCTAGCCAACTTTTCTCTGCAAGTGCTACCAGCCTGGGTTCTGTCACAGTCACCCAAATCTCCTTCCTCCATTTGAAGAAAAATAGGAAAGCAGCAAAAATTCTCTCTAAATATATATCAACTTAGCAAGATAATAAAGATAGTAGAAACCAAAACAAATAAACAATTCCTGTCATTGGAAGCATTATTTGTGTAAATTCCACATTAGACTCAGCACTAATCTTATTTTGCCAACATCTCATAGATAGCCATTCTCAATATATGCTTTAAGCTAATTTCAGAAGTATTTTTTCATTGTCTAGGAAAAAAAAGATTCTTGATTTATCATCTGTACTTCTACTAAATTTTTTTAAAGTTAAAAAGGAATTTATGTTTTCCTTCTTGATTTCATGATACTTTAGGGAAAGTTTATAGCAAAATACTAGCTTCAGATGTTCTTATCTGTATACTCTTACTGTCTCAGAAACAAATTCTATGTCTAAAAGAATCAGCTTAAGGCACTGGTTCACTGATACATAACTCAGTATCTCCTCAATCTTTATGTTATAATTCAGTAGATAGAACTCAAATAAGCAAGTAAGAAATTAAGGCACTGAGGGCGAACAGCTCTAGGGAGTAAAATATGAAGCACACAAATAAGAGATACAGCAAGTTTCAGATTTTAAGGTTTGAAAGGTTTGAAGAAAGGATTGCTTCTCAGATATGTTCCAAAGAGGAGTTGATAATTTCATAGTATTTCATAGCTATTTATTGATTTTGCTTAAGTCCAAAATGTGGTACAGATAATATTTTATTTATTATTATCTACATTTCCTGGTTTTTTTTCCTTCTACTCAGTCTCCCACTATTCAGATATTTTGGGGCCTATGTACTTAAAATCCTGGCTCATTCTGAGGACCCGAAGGCCTGGATCATTCTGGTAATTTTTTTACTCCACATCTGCAAATCCTAATCAATGATTACCTGCACCATGAGAAAAATCTCTTCACTGGTCTTTCTGCCTCCAGTGTCTCCCTGCTGAGATCTCCTCTTCTCTCTGCCACCATTTACTCCCCAGATCTGATCATGTAGTCTCTGCTTAAATGTCCCCAGCAACTCCCTACTGCCTTCAGGTCAGGGCATTCCTGGACCTTCACAATCTGACTCCAACATATATTCCACTCTCATTTTCTCTTGGCCTTCGCACAAGTGACCCTGACCCACACCTATGAAGTGAAATATAAAACCAAACAATAGCTCTCTTCCTTTCAATCATTAATTTTTAAAAATCAATTATTGCCATGACAGCTAGTCAAACTTTTCAGGTCAACCTTTGCATTTGAAATATATTCTCTTTCTTGGTTATTTAGCATTAAATTTCAAAAAATTTGCCTTAATGTAAACCTGCCACTTGTCGTACTTATGTCAAATTAGCAAATACTTCCTAAATGTCCAATATCCAATATGAATATCCAGCACCGATTTTGTTCTATGGAAATGTGAAGAGGAAAGACATTCATTTCTTAACTGTTGAGATTATAAGAGAACAAAACTCTCATTACACTCCAGGATACCAGACTGTTGGTTCACATTGTCAAAGGTGAAACTCTTCCATTAGGTGCCTGGTAATGAAAGAGTTAAGAGTAAAGTGTTTAACACAGGAGTTCCAGAAAAACACATTTTCCATAAACCTTTGCTGACAATATATCAAATCATTGGTAAAATGGGACAATAAAATAACTGTTTTAGTAACCCAATCTTTGCATTAGTTTGTCTACCTTTGAGAAAGAAATACTAACATTAACTGCTTTCATAAAGCAAAAGAGTATCTCAAATCTCTGACTTATTATTTAAAATACAATAATGCCAAGTTCATCATATATTATTACAGTGGATTTTAAAAGAACATAGTCCGGATACGGTGGCTCATGCCTGTAATCCCAGCACTTTGGGAGGCCGAGATGGGCAGATCACCTGAGGTTGGGACTTCGAGATCAGCCTGACCAACATGGAGAAACCCCGTCTCTACTAAAAATACAAAATTAGCCAGATGTGGTGGTGCATGCCTGTAATCCCAGCTACTCGGGAGGCTGAGGCAAGAGAATCGCTTGAACCTGGGAAGTGGAGGTTGTGGTGAGCCGAGATCGCGCCATTGCACTCCAGCCTGGGCAACAAGAGCGAAACTCCATCTCAAAAAAAAAAAAAAAAAAAAAAGCCATGAGATAGAGGAAACATCAATTGGTAAATCTCATCTAATGAATACTCACAAAGCTTTATGACAATCACTTGACAGAATGTAAAGATTTTACTTATGTGATTCTAAGAATAAACTGTACACTTTGGTAGGCTGAAGTAGGAGGATCACTTGAAGCCAGGAGTTTGAGAACAGCCTGGGCCACAAAGTGAGACCCCATCTCTATAAAAAAAATTAAAGAATTAGTCAGGCATGGTGGTGCACACCTGTAGTCTCAGCTATTCAGGAGTCTGAAGCAGGTGGACCACTTGAGCCCAGGTGTTCAAAGCTGCAGTGAACTATGGTCTTGCCACTGCCTTCTAGCCTGGGTAGCAGATGGTGACCTTGTCTCTAAATACGAGAAAGAGAGACAGAGAGAGAGAGAACTGTAGAAAACTAATATAAGTGCAGTATCTCCAGTTCCTATATAAGTTCTGATTCTGACTGAAACTGAAGAATTAACTTTGTTTAAAATAACAGAATAGCCAGGCACAATGGCTCATGCCTATAATCTCAGCACTTTGGAAAGCTGAGGCAGGAGGACTGCTTAAAAAAATTCTTTTTTTAATTATCTGGGGGTGGTGGCACATGCCTGTGGTCCCAGCTACTTGGAAGCCTGAGGTGGGAGGATCGCTTGGGTGTGGGAGGTCAAGGTTGCAGTCAGCCATGATTGTGCCACTGCACTGTAGCCTGGGTTACAGAGAAAGACCCTGTCTCAAAAAAAAATAAATACATAAAAATAACAGAATAGTCTATACATAATCTTGAAGTTAGGTTTTCAATATTTATGTTCCTTAAAGTGAAGGTGTTTGAGAACCTTGAAAAAGTAAACTGTGCTCTTTTAGGTCGACATGGGGGGATGATTAAAAAAAATGAAATCTTTTTTCTTCAAAAGACTTGCTGGAGTTTGCAGGGGAACTTGAGTGTTGCACAGGCGAAAAATCCAGACAAGCCTAGCCAACTTTTCTCTGCAAGTGCTCCCAGCCTGGGTTCTCTCACAGTCATCCAAATCTCCTAATCTCCTCCCTCCATTTCGGATGGCTCTTCCCTCCTTCCCACAACAGCAGTGTGCACCAGCCCACAGGGTGTAGGCTCATACCCTGTTTTGCTCCTGGCACTTCAAGAGGAGTTCACACTCTCTGGGGTTTAGAGACCATATTTTGAGATACCACTTTTTTGTTAGCTGAGAATCTCCATTTGCTGGGCAAAATGTTCAGGAACACTGATTCAATGTCTCTAAGATCAGACCTAAACAGATATTTAGTAACTGCATGAATCCTGAGAAGGGAAGACTACTATACTCTGAGTAACTGTATGCTATAACTGTATTTTAAGGGCTGCATCAGTATTTTAAAGCCTGCTAGGATGAACTTGAAGCTTCATCCGTACAAGGACAAGACTCTTGTTCCAGTTCATAATTCCCATGAAGTGGCTTCTGTGGTCTACCTTCCCTTTCAACATTTGGCATTTTCCTGGGTTTCTTTTACAGTTAATCTCAATTAAATTACTTCAGGAGGCTGTATGTGGGTGAATGTGGGGGTGTGGGAAGAGAGAGTTAATTTTGTAGTTGAATAAATTCCACTTAGAACTTTATAAAGCTTTCCCCCCAAGTCTCACATCAAGCTCACAGCACAGAAATCATAGCCCACCATGTTGCTTTTCTTTCAGTCTGCTCCTGTGTGGGACTCTAAAGACAGCAATAGGATCTGTAAATAGGTAACTGCTGTTTGAGCAATAATCCTACCATTGTATAAGTTATTTACTTAACAAACCAGAGTTCCAGGATAAATATGATTATAATAAACAAAATACACTCCCTGCCAAGTAACGGCAATGAATCACCATTTACAAGTTTGATAGAGTAAGTGTGGGCTGTTCATTTTGTCAGTATCTGTATGTGATTTGGCAGTTAATACTTTAGATTTCTCATTGCTCAATTTAAAGCTTATTCTTAATTCAATTGATCGATTAATTATGTGAAATTCAACAGCCCTCTCACAATATCATTATATTTGTGCTGCTATTCATAAAGTGACTAGTGTTTCTGAAGCTAATTTTTCTGATAAATTTGAGAAAACAGATTAGAGGCTGTTTTACTTTTAAACAAGTTCCTTCAGTGCATGTAGGAGACAGACTGTGCATGCTCATAAAATGAAAAGGCCTGTAGCCAAGCAGGCAAGCAGGTATTAGCAGCTGTACAATGGCTACCTTGCAAGTAAACAACCATATTCAATAAAAATACCTGGATGAGTTGTAAATGAGCTTAATACAGATTAGAATAGACCAAAAAAAAAAAAGTCTTGGCATGATTCCCAGTATGCATCCTAGGGAAGCCCAGGGTAAAGGCAGAAGCAGTAATCAGAGTTAAAAGTAGAATCTGAATAACTACTCTGAGTAACAGAGAATACTGAATAGTATAGAAAACTGAAAAACAGCCTCCATGGCCCAAGCCTCTTCTATCTGGAAATAAGATTCACAGAAGAGTAGAAAGGATAAGAAATCTCATCCCACAACTATTCATAGGGAAGCTACCACATGCACTGTGTAGGACAGCCACGGAAATGGCCAAACACAGAGAAAGTAGAGACAGGCATTGACTAACACAAGGCCCAGGGTTGTTTTGGGAGCCCTGGACAAATGCAAATGCTCATCCTGATTAACACACCCTGAATCCCAAAGAGGATCCATGAACCAACCGGGACCTACTAAGGATCCAAAGAGGATGGTAGAATGCTTAGCCTCAACTGGTCTCTGAACCTTAATTAGAAAAGCCCCAGAACTTTCATATGCAGGGAGTCTTGCACTGTGGCTCCTTAGCCAGGATCACCTCCCCTTGGGACTCACATAGTCACAGGCTAATCCATAGATCCCACACTTTTCCCCAACAAGAACATCTTTTTGTTATTTTTTTCCTTATAGATACTATGTTTTAAAATCTCCACCTATCTGGCAGTAAGCCAAGATTGCGCCATTGCACTCCAGCCTGGACAACAAGAGCGAAACTCCGTCTCAAAAAACAAAACAAAACAAAACAAACAAACAAACAAAAACTCCACCTATCTCTAATTTTCTTTTGTTGTCAACGTTCTATTTTATTTATTTTTAATTGACAAATAAAAAGTGTACATATTTATCATGAACAACATGTTGCTTCAAAACATATATACATTTTAGCATGGCTAAACTGAGCTAATTAACATATGCATTCTCCCACATATTTATCATTTCTGTCGTGAGAACACTTAAAATCTACTCTCAGCAAGTCTCAATACATTCAAAAAAGTTGAAATCATGAAAAACCATACTCCTGGACTACAGTGGAATAAAAATAGAAATCAATACCAAGAAGAGCTCTCAAAACCACACACTTACATGGAAATTAAACAACTTGCTCTTGAATGACTTTTGGATAAAAGACGCAATCAAGGCAGAAATAAAAATAAATCTTTGAAATAAATGAAAACAGAGACGAACATACCCAAATCTCTGAGATGCAGCATAAGCAGTGTTAAGAGCAAAGTTTATAGCACTAAACGTCTACCTCAAAAAGTTAGAAAGATCTCAAATTAACGATCTGACATCACACCTAGAGGAACTAAAAAACAGGAACAAACTAACCCCAAAGCTAGTAGAAGAAAAGAAATAACTGAAGTCAGAGCTGAACTGAATAAAATTGAGACCCAAAAATCCACACAAAGAACCAACAAAACCAAAAGTTGGTTTTTGAAAGGATAAACAAGATCAATAGACCACTAGCTAGATTAACAAAAAAAAAAAAAAAAAAAGAAAGACCCAAATAGATCCAAATAAGCAAAATCAGAAATGACAAAAGTGGCATTACAACTGATCCCACAGAAATACAAAAGATCCTCAGAGATGATTACGACACCTCTATGCACACAAACTAGAAAATCTAGAGGAAATGAATATATTCTTGGAAACACACAATCTCTCAAGATTGAATCAGGAAGAAATTGAAACACAAAACAGACCAATATCAATATCTGAGATAGAATCAGTAATAAAAATCCTACCAACCAAATAAAATCTCTGGACCATATGAATTGAATTCTACCAGATGTACAAAGAAGAGCTGGTACCAATTCTACTATAATTAGTCTAAAAAATTGAAGAGGAGGGATTCTTCCCTAATTCATTCTATGAAGCCAGCATCACCCTGATACCAAAACCTGGTAAAGACACAATGAAAAAAGAAAACTACAGGACAATATCTTTGATGAACATAGACATGAAAATATTCAACAAAATTCAACAATACATAAAACCAAATTCAACAGTACATCAAGAAATTAATTTACCATAATCAAGTAGGCTTTATTTCTGGGATGCAAAATTGGTTCAACATACACAAATTAATAAATGTGATTCACCACATAAATGGAATTAAAAACAAAATCAAAAGATCATCTCAATAGATGAGGAAAAAGCTCTTGATAAAAATCCAACATCCCTTCATGATAAAAACCCTCAAGAAATTAGGCATTGAAGGAATATTCTTCAAAATAATAAGAGCCATCTATGACAAACCCACAGCCAACATCATACTGAACAGGCAAAAACTGGAAGCATTCCTCTTGAGAACTAGAATAAGACAAGGATCCCCACTCTCACCACTCCTATTCAACATAGCACTGGAGGTGCTAGCCAGAGCAACTAGGCAAGAGTTAAAAAAAAAAAAAGGCATCTGAACAGGAAAAGAAGAAGTCAAACTATCTCTTTTCGCTAATGATATGATTCTATACTTAGACAATCCTAAGGACTTTACCAAAAGGCTATTAGAACTGATAATTTTAGCAAGGTTTCAGGATGTAAAATTAATGTACAAAAATCAGTAGCATTTCTTTACACCAATAATGTATAAGCTGAGAGCCAAATCAAGAACATAATCCCATTTACAATAGCCACACACACACACACACACACAAATAAAATACCTAGGAATACATCTAACCAAGGAGGTGAAAGATCTTTACAAGAAGAACTACAAAACACTGTTTAAAAAGATCGTAGATGACACAAACAAATGGAAAAAAATTCCATGCTCATTGATTGGAATAATCAATATCATTAAAATGGCCATATTGCTCAAAGCAATCTATAGGTTCAACACTATTTCTATCAAACTACCAATGTCATTTTTCATAGAATTGGAAAAAACTAGGCTAAAATTCATATGGAACCAAAAAAGAGCCCAAATAGCCAAAGCAATCCTAAGCAAAAAGAACAAAGCCAGGCTGGGCACAGTGGCTCATACCTGTAATCCCAGCACTTTGGGAGGCCGAGGTGGGTGGATCACCTGAGGTCAGGAGTTCGAGACCAGCTTGATCAATATGGTGAAACCCCATCTCTACTAAAAATACAAAAATTAGCTGGGCATGATGGCTTGCACCTATAGTCTCAGCTACTCCAGAGGCTGAGACAGGAGAATTGCTTGAACCAGGGAGGTGGAGGTTGCAGTGAGCCGAGACCACACCACTACACTCCAGCCTGGGTGACAGAGTGAGACTCCATAAAAAATAAATAAATAAATAAATAGCCAGTGGTATTACTCAACTTCACACTATCAGACTATACTACAAGGCTATAGTAATCAAAACAGCATGTACAAAAACAGACACATAGACCAATGGAATAGAAAGGAGAATCCAGAAATAAAGCCACACACCTACAGTCACCTGTTGTTCAACAACATCAACAAAAATAAGCAATTGTGAAAGGACTCGTTGTTCAATGAATGGTGTTGGGATAGCTGGCGAGCCATGTGCAGAAGAATCAAACTGGACCCCTACCTTTCACCATATATAAACATTAACTCAAGATGGATTAAAGATTTAAATGTAAAACTTCAAACTGTAAGAATCCCAGAAGAAAACCTAGGAAACACCATTCTGAACACTGGCCTTGGGAAAGAATTTATGACTAAGTTTTCAAAAGCAATTACAATAACAACAACAAAAAAAATTGACAAATGGGATCTTATTAAACTATAGAGCTTCTGCACAACAAAAGAAACCATCAACAGAGTAAACAGACCCTACACAATGGAAAAAACATTTGCAAACTATGCATCAGACAAAGGTCTAATATCCAGAATCTAAGAGGAACATAAACAACTGAACAAGCAAAAAACAAATAACCCCATTTAAAAATAGGCAAAAGACACAAACAGACACTTCTCAGAAGAAGACATACAAGTGGCCAAGAAACATGTAAAAAAATGCTCCACATTACTAATCATCAAAGAAATGCAAATCAAAACCACAATGAGATACCATCTCACAGCAGTCAAAATGGCTATTACTAAAAAGTCAAAAAACAACAGATATTGGCCAGGCTGTGGAAAAAGGAGAATGCTCATACACTGCTGGTGGGAATGTAAATTACTGTAGCCACTGTGGAAAGCAGTTTAGAGATTTCTCAAGGAACTTAAAACAGAACTACAATTCAACCCAGCAATCCCATTATTGGGTATATACCCAAAAGAAAATAAATCATTCTACCAA
Source organism: Homo sapiens (assembly GCF_000001405.40). Classification (NCBI taxonomy): domain Eukaryota; kingdom Metazoa; phylum Chordata; class Mammalia; order Primates; family Hominidae; genus Homo; species Homo sapiens. The sequence continues at coordinate 177,934,670 of NC_000002.12, forward strand.
AAAGACACATGCATTTGCATGTTCATCACAGCACTGTTCACAATAGCAAAGCATGGATTCAGCCTAGATGCCCATCAACAATGGATCTGATAAAGAAAATGTGATATATATACACCATGGACTACCATGCAGCCATAAAAGAGGGTGAGGGCATGTCCTTTGCAGCAACATGGATACAGCTGAAGGCTATTATTCTAAGCAAATTAATGCATGTTCTCTCCTATAAATGGGAGCTAAACTTTGGGTACTCATGGATGTAAAGATAGCAACAACAGACGCTAGAGATTACTAGAGGTGGAGGGGGGAGTAAGGGTTGAGAAACTGTTGAGTACTATGCTCAGTACCTGAGTGACAGGATCATCTGTACCCCAAACCTCAGCATTTTACAATATACCCAGGTAACAAAACTGGACATGTACCTCCTGAATCTAAAATAAAAGTACAAAAAAAAAGATATTGATAAAATTCCCACCAAAAGCACACAAAATATCTTGTTCTATTTAATCTACATAGACTTGTTCTGGTTAAGCATGTTGTCTCTCTTAGTCTTTTTGAATTATGTAATTACTCATGGCCCTCCACCTTTTACCAACACCTCAACTCTTACCCACCACTACTTACCACCACTTCTCAGACTGCGAGGGGTCAGGAGTTACTGTGTTGGAAATTGTTGGGCTAAATAGCCACGAATTTGCAAAGGTCCAGAAAACAAGAGTAGTTTAGCTGCAGTGAATGTCATTGTGAGACATCATTTTACCATATTGATTTATATATAAAATTTTCAAGGTAGTGCTTTTGCTTTTAAACTGATTGCCTCAAATTGCCCCCTTAGTGCAAAGTTGTATTTGTTCTGAGGCATGACACAACAAATCACAGGCAGTACCCAAGAGACCACACAAACCAACTACCCCTCCACTCCCTCCACACTCAAGGTGGGGCCCTTGCCTCACCCTGCCAGCTGGAGGCCATGTCCTGAGATCCTTGGGGGAAGGAGCAACCAGAGGCAGATCTGTTGGGGCAGGATGCTCAGGGGCATGCCATGGAAGGAGCTTGAGACTTGGAGCCAGAAGACCTAGGTTTAAGGCCCAGCTCTGACTATAACACCTACCATAAATGCGATGTTGAGCAAAATAATTAACATCAGCCAAAAGGGAGTAATAGGGATCTTAGCCCCAGCTCCCTATCTCCAAGAGATGTCAGAAAGACCAGAATACCTAAGGAATTGGCCATTCAACACAGCAACCTGATCAGTTCTCAACCTGCTCCATGATGTGTCTGGGAACATAAAATCACTCCTCAACACACGTTGTCTCTTCTTTATATAATTTTGCTTTATTTTCTCCTAAACTCTTTTGGGAAATTCAATGTCTTCTAAGACATCTATGTATTTATCTTAACCTACCGTCTTAGGGAACCACAGAAAAAGATGGGTGGAATGTTATTTGAGAGAGTGAGATGTTGACAGAGAGGAAAAAGGAAAGCGCCTGTTTTACTTGGCAGATTGAAGTGTGAAAAACTGAGTATCGAACCATAATAAAGAATGTTCTTTTACATTTTTTGTTCTTGCTCTCCCAGAACATATTGCTAAAATTTTCCATGTCTGGTCTATTTTGAACTTGGCTGTATTTTGGTATTTGTGTGACAATGTCAGAATTGCAGCCCATCATTTCACATTCTGCGAGTGACACCAGATCTATTTTTCATTCAGGTTCAAAAAAAAAGCTCACATTATTTTCATTGTTTGGAACCAAGGCCAGAAAGCCACCCCTGTGCTCTTGATGTAGTTTAAGCAAAGCGTTTCACTTATCAACTGCTCACAGATCTTCCCTAATTGAAAAAATGCTGAGAAGAACAGGTCTCTAAAGATTTCCCATCACAGAGGGTCTACCACAGATAGGTGGCTATTTGAAAACTGTCTTGGATTGGAAATTTATTAATTTATTTCAGGACTTTAAAAATTAAGGAATATGGCCAGGTGCAGTGGCTCACGCCTGTAATCCCAGCACTTTGGTAGGCCGAAGTGTGTGGATCACCTGAGGTCAGAAGTTTAAGACTAGCCTGGCCAACATGGTGAAACCCTGTCTCTACTAAAAGTACAAAAATTAGCTGGGTTTGGTTGCCAGCGCCTGTAACTCCAGCTACTCAGGAGGCTGAGGCAGGAGAATCGCTTGAACCCAAGAGGTGGGAGGTTGCAGTGAGTTGAAATCGCACTATTGCACTCCAGCCTTGGTGACAAGAGAAGGATTCCATCTTAAAAAAAAAAAATTTAAGGGATACTTTTATTAAATATTTATATTTTAATATCTTTTTGATACTTCTCGGAGCTTCAATTTTCTGAAAGTTTAGGCTGCTGTTGAACTGTGTGGACTAGTTACTATGCCCCTAAAATATTTGTGAGGCATCTCTTTACACATTTCAACAGAAGAACGTTGTACGTGCTTTTACAGCACTCTAATTAGAGTGATCATACATCACAGTTTGGGAGTGACCTGGCTTCTGCCTGTTGAACCACCTCCTTTTGCTCACAGTTGGATGATACACTATATGGTCACTCTACCTCTAATGCACTTAGTTATAAATGTCAACCCTGGGGGAGACATGAAAGACACACAACTGATTAAAAACAGAAATTTCATAATAAATTGAAAGCTTTTTTTTTTTTTTTTTTGATGGAGTCTTGCACTGTCACCTGGGCTGGAGTGCAATGGTGCAATCTCGGCTCACTACAACCCCTGCCTCCTGGGTTCATGCGATTCTCCTGCCTCAGCCTCCTAAGTAGTTGGGACCACAGGCACACACCACCACACCCAACTAATTTTTTGTATTTTCAGCAGAGACGGGGTTTCACTATGTTGGCCAGACTGGTCTCAAACTCCTGACCTCGTGATCTGCCAGTCTCGCCCTTTCAAAGTGCTGGAATTACAGGCGTGAGCCACCGCGTCCAGGCCTCTTGGCAAGAAGATATGACTCTTTTCTTGTGAAATCTACTTTCTAAGTTGATTTAAATTTACTTTCTCTCTTTTCTTTCCAAAAACCTACAATGGGAAGAGCAAGAACACTTTAACTTTGCCTTGATCTCCAAGGTGAATAGAAGATCCTGTATACCCCAGACAGGATGCAGATTCATCTGTCACTCAATACAAGGGGCACTTCCAGGAAAGTTTCTCTTTTTCCAAGAAATAGAGAAAAAGGCTATAGATTTATTTTCTGAAGAGGAGCCTCAACCAGCCAAAAGACACTGACATAAACACTAGGTGCAATGCAAAAGACAAAAGGACATATCATATGAAGACAGGCAGAAATTGGTAACTGTGAGTATTACCAATATTTTTCTTTGACCTCCAACCTCAGGGATTAATAGATAAGGAGTTACTAGGAGAAGCTAAAAATTTTAGAGTGAAAAAGGAAAGAATGACAATTAGGATAAAAGGAAGGATGTAGGAGTGAAAGGGAAGGTTGGAAGGGAGGAGGGAAGAGTGCTAGCAGCTGGGTTTGGAGTTGTTAAATATGTTTAAGAGACAGAGTTTAGGGGACATGCTGCTTAGGATGCCTCCAAAAGTAGTGGCAGAAATATGAGCTTAGGGTTTCTTAAAAGGGAAAAGACTTATCATCACACATGGAAACTCCACAGTAAGGAGGTAGGGTTAGGTGATTCAGATTCCAAAGGCTCTTCAAGGACGTCCATCCATCCCTCTGCTCTGCCATGCCTACCAGTCTAAAGGTGTGTGGTGCACCAGCAGGCTGGCTTGCTTCCATCAGGTTCCAGCAGAAGCAGTTCTGTTTCTTCTCCTGTGTCTTCTTTCTAATTAGTGAGAACCATCCTCCTCAGAAGCTTCTCGGCAGCCTCCTCACATCCCATTGACCTGGCTGGAACTGCATTTCCTACTTATGCTTACACAATTCCCTGGCAAGGAAAATAAGACCACCAGATAGCCTAGACCCACCATAATTCACCCACCTGTGGCTCAGAATTAGGTTCCCCTACCTGGGAACCCATCGTAGTGAGGTGTAGTGTAGATTCCTATTAAAAAGAAAGAAGAGGAATAAAGGGTGTTTGGTATGTGTGATTGCTGAATTGTTTTCCCCCACAAAACCAGTATGTTGAAGTTCCTAACCAGCACCCCAATACCACATAATATAATCAGGGCTGGTCTTTAAAGTGGTAATTAACATAAAATGAAGTCACATGAGTGAACTCTAATCCAATATGACTGGTGTCCTTAGAAGAAGAGAAGATTAGGACACAGACAGGTACAGAAGGAAAACAATGTGAAGACACAGGAACAAGATGGCCAGTGGCACACCAAGGAGACAGGCCTTAGAAGCAACAACCATGCTGACACCTTGATGGTGGACATCTAGCCTCTAGAACCGTGAGGAAATACATTTCTGTTGTTTAAGCCATTTTAGTCTCTGGTATTTTGTTATTCCAGCCCTAGCAAACTTGCATAACATGCAACCAGGAACTTCTATAATTGAAGAAATCGGAGCTGGGAAAGGATTTTTAAGATGTTTTGCTAGGCTAAACATTGTTTATCAACAACTGCTAACATTACAAAAGGAGAGCCAAGCAGACATTATATATCTCCTGGCAGAGGCATACTACACTACAACTAATAAAGCCATATTACCAAAAGAAGAAAGGAAGGAAAAAAGGAAGAAAGGAAGGAAGGAGGGAGGGCGGAAGGAGGGAGAGAGTGAGGAAGGGAGGAAGGAAGGAGGGAGAGAGGGAGGGAAGGAGGGAAGGAAGAAGGAAGGGAGGAGGAAGGGAGGAAGAAAGGAAGGAGGGAGGGAGAGAGGAAGGAAGAAAGAAGGGAGAGAGGGAGGAGGGAAGGAGGGAGGGAGGGAAGGGAGGGAGGGAGGAAGGAAGGAAGGAAGGAAGGAAGGAAGGAAGGAAGGAAGGAAGGAAGGTAGGTTGACTCCGAATTTAACCAAGACACTAGATCCAACTACCAATTTACAGAAATAGATAGTTACAGAGAAAAATGTTAGCTACTGGAATGCAATCAGCAAAATCCATATTGTGGGAAGCATTACAGGGCAAATATTCTTGGATTGAGGGACTGTCTAGGACATGAGACTTTCAGTGCTAACACAGGAAAAGTCCTAGGCAAACCAGGACAAGTTGGGCATGTTAGCCTTCTCTTTAACAGACAAATCACAAGAGAAAAAAAGAGAGAACAAAGGAATCTATACTTTAAAAATATTTAACGATGTATCAGCCAATCATAAGTGGACCTTGTTCTGAACAAATAAACTTATAAAATTTTATGAAGCAATTAAATTATCGTTAATTTTTAATGCAAAAATAGTTTTTCAATTTTTTTTAAAAGAGTGAATCCTTCTGTTTTAGAGATATATAACTTAAATATTTGTGGATAAAGTTGAATGACGTTTGAAATTTGCTTCACGATAACATGGGAGGAGGAGGAGGAATGGGTAGGAGTGGAGATGAAATAGGATCGTCCAGAAGTGAATGGTTGTACAACTGGGGGATGGGTTTACTATACTATTTTATCTAATCTGCACAGGATGAAGCTTTCCATAATTTTTCTTAAAACAGTATCTTTTAAAGATTTTTTTTCAATATATTAAGAATACATTCTCCAATTTGGTTTTTTCTTCAGAGGTTGAGTATCTAAATCAACCTATTTGTTGTTGGGTTATGTTTTTTTGAAGACATCCAGGCCAAAAGGCAGCCCTGATGATATTTGGAATTATATTTGAAAAAGTACATGAAATGATAATCAGGATTTAATAGAGTCCTGAGAACTGATTCTATTTTATTTATTCCAGCATAGCTGAACTAAGAAGGTAGGATTTCAGCAGCTTCTTGAAGGAAGGATGCAAGTCCTATTTATAATAATTTGCCTTCCTATTTGTCCATTGCACTCCTAGCTAATACCATTATCAATTTCATTTAGAAAACATATATTCTGGTAATTTTTAAAATACAAGCAATTCACTTTGCAAATAATAGGAATCAAGAAATCACCCTGAAGTGTGTTCTGCATGGTATTAATAGCTGTCATGGGATAAGGGCTCTGTCAAATAAATTTAAAAATCACTAAATTAAACAAAATCTGGGAAAATACTTTTCATTCCCTGCACTTGAATATATACCGTGAGTCTCTTAGTAGGACATCGTTTACCCTCTATCTTGCAGTCTAGAAGAAATGGTGCTTCATGATGCACATGCTGGGAAGCACTGACTTGTTTTCAAGTTTACATATTTCTTAGTCAAATCAAAGCTTTACATGACCATATTTCAGACCAGACCAATCTGGACTCAATATCTAAATAAAGAGAATATGTAGTAAAAATTAACACCAGTTGGGAGAAGGTTAGGGCTCTTAATCTTCTCCACAACTCCCAGCTGAACTCCAGGTAATGAAAGCGCCTTTCTCAGCTTTCCTGCCAGCACTCGTTCAATCCCTGCTGCAAGCTGAAAACCGTGCTAGGTGTTTTGAATAGAGTATCTCATTTAATCCTCACGGCAATCTTCTGATTTAGGTATTACTAACTCATTTTGACAGACTAGGAAACTGTGGCTTGAAGACATCAGGCAGCTTGCCCTAAACTTTCCACCTAGTAAGTGTAGAAGCTGAGATTCCACCAAGTTCAATACTTTACTTTCTTCTAACTCGCATGAGGACCCCTTTATCAGTTAAATTCCTCAATCCCCAAACCCTAACCCCCTCCACCCTTCCACATCTTTTCCACCTATCCTTTTCCTGATGCAAGTGTTTGTATAGCAGCATGGCAATTTTTCCTGGATTGATTCAGGTGTAGAGATTCCAATTTTTTCCCAAAATACCGAGTACCCTGAATCACTATTATTGCCCCACCTGACAGGGTAATTTAAAAAGCACCTTAAAGCACATTTCAATCTCTCTACAAAGAGATCTGGAATACAGAATGCTTCACCAGTCCAGGCAAACGGGGTTCTGGAATTACCTTTATTTGACCTGATTACACCAGCTGCCCTCTCCTTCCTCCCCTCTCCCCATGCTGCCATGGTTATTTTGGTGCACACGGATTGGAGATAGGGAAAAGTAACATGTTCTACTTTAAGGAAGGAAATTGTTGGCCATAGTCAGGACTCAGAAGATGCAGGGACAGAACGTGGAGTGTTGCAGAATCTCCAAACATTTCTCCCTGTGGCAGAAGCCCTGGATAACTTTGTAGCTGCAATTCTAGAGGATATTTTGGCATATGATTTACAGGCTCAGGCAGCATAAATGGACCTTAAATATCATCTAGTCCATCTAGTTGAGATAAGCTCAGGGAATTTCAGTGACAAAAGCAGGGTCACTGTGGCTACGGAGCAGGACTTCATACTCCCATTCCAGTCCTTCTGTAATGAGGGCCTTCCTTTCCCATATTAATTATTTTCTACAAGAAATGCTATTGCTTTAAACATGTTCATCTACATTAGCCTTGTAATATAATAGCTATGAACACAGGCTTTGCAGCCAGATTGCTGAGGTTGGGACCCTGGCTTCATCATTCCCTCATTTTATGACCTTGGACAAACTTCTTAACCTCTCTGAATCTCAGTTCCCTGGTTGTAAAATTGGGGTAATAATAGATTCTACCTAATAGACCTGTTGTGAAAATGAAATGAGATTAACCATGTAAGGCATTTAAAACAGGACCTGGCACCTAACAAGTGCCCAGCAAATGTTAGCTATTATTCCTTACACCATCCATTGAAACCATTATTTTTTAAAATTATTTTTTTTTTTTTGAGACAGAGTTTTGATCTTGTTGCCCAGGCTGGAGTGCAATGGCGTGATCTCGGCTCACCGCAACCTCTGCCTTCCAGATTCAAGTGATTCTCCTGCCTCAGCCTCCCAAGTAGCTGGGATTACAGGCATGTGCCACCACGCCCAGCTAATTTTGTATTTTTAGAAGAGATGGGGTTTCACCATGTTGGTCAGGCTTGTGTCGAACTTCCAACCTCAGGTGATCCACCCGCCTCGGCCTCTCAAAGTGCTGGGATTTATAGGAATGAGCCACCGCACCCGGCTAAATTTTTTAATTGTTGTAAAAAAAACACATAACATAAAATTTACCATCTTAACCATTTTTAAGTCTCTAGTTCAGTAGTCTAAGTATATTCACATTGTTGTACAACAGACCTTTAGAACTTTTATCTCTTGCAAAACTGAAACTTTATACCCATTAAACAACCCCCTATTTCCCCCTCCTCCCAGCCCCTGGCAACCATCCTTTTACTTTCTGTTTCTATGAATTCAACTACTTTAGATACCTCATGTAAATGGAGTCATACAATATTGTTCTTTTGGTGACTGTCTTATTTCACTTAGCATAATGCCCTCAAGGCCATTCATGTCGTAGCATGTAACAGGATTTCTTCCCTTTTTAAAGCTGAAAAATATTCCATTGTAGGTGTACAATACCACAATATTGTTTTTCCATTTATCCACCAATGGCCACTTAGATTGCTTCTACCTCTTGGCTATTGTGAATAATGCTGCCATAAACATGGGTGTACAAATATCTCTTCAAGACCCTGCATTTAATTCTTTGAATATATATCCAAAAGTGAGATTGCTGGATTATACGGTAGTTCTACTTTTAATTTTTTAAAGAAATGCCATACTGTTTTCCAGAGCAGGTGCACCATTTTACAGTCCCACTAGTACTTCACAAGGGTTCCAAATTTCTCCATATCCCTACTAACATTTGGTCTTTTCTTTTTTCTTTGTTTTTGATAGTTGCCATCCTCGTGGGTGCGACATGATATCTCATTGTGGTTTGAATTTTCATTCCTTTAATGATAAATGATGTTGAGCATCTTTCCACATATGCTTCTTAGACATTTGTATATCATCTTTGGAGAAATGTTGTCTAAGTCCTTTGCCCATTTTTAAATCATGTTAGTTTTTGTTATTGTTGGGTTTTGCAAATTCTTTATATAGTCTGGATATTAACTCCTTATCAGATATATAATTTGCAGGTATTTTCTTCTGTTCTATATGTTGCCTTTTCATTCTATTCATTGTGTTCTTTGACACCCAGAAGTTTTTGAGTGTGATATAGACCCAGTCTATTTTTCCCTTTGTTGCCTATGCTTTTGACGTCATATTCAAAAAACCACTGCCAAATTCAGTGTAACGAAACTTTCCCCCTATGATTCCTACTAGGTTTTATGGTTTTGGGTCTTACACTTAGGTCTTTAATCCATTTTGGGTTAAGTTTTGTGTAAGGTGTAAAATAAGGCCTTAGCCTCATTCTTTGCATGTCGATGTTCAGTTTTCCCAGCACAACTTATTGATGGAGCCACTTTTAAATGTCCTTTACACATTCAGAAGTTAATGTTGAGTTTGTTTGTTTTAATGTGTGTTTACAGTATGCTGTCAAACGTTCTGAAAAAAATGATCAGAGCATGGGACTTTCTTTGTCATTTCTGAGGTTATTTGCATGATTTATTCTGGAATCTACAGGAAAGAAGACTGTATGGTAATGTGAAAGCAGGCTTCTAGTCTATGAAGGATGAAAATAAAGACCTGGACCCATCTTTTCCTTCCATCCTCTAGAAAGAGACAAGAGGAAAGGTATTTTACCTTAGGGCAGGAGAAATTTTGGATTAGAGGATATGGAAAATATAACCAAAATAACCAAAAACCAAATAACCAATAATCAAAATATAACCAAAAGAAAGTTCTGTCAATGTGTAACTGGTAAAGTGTTCTGAAACAGCCTTCATCATTGATCTTTGCAACAGATAGGGTGCCCTCTAACTGAGTTATATAACAAGGTGGAACTACACTAAGGATTCTTGCTTATGTGAATTTACTTTTCAAGACTCTGCTTAAAAAGCTGATGGAAATTTAGGTTGCTTCACATTCTTTGCTATACCCAACAATTAGAAAATGAACAGTTTTATTAGATCTCTGCATTGCTTGATCTGTTACACAATCACTTCTATAAATATATCTCTACTTTAAAATCTTAATTTTAGAAGTTCCTCAGCTACGACTACCAGGTACCTCGGCTTCCTCCCTCCTCCGAGAGACCGCCGAGGTGCGGGCTGTGAGAGAGGGAGCGTGGAGCCTCCGAGGCCGAGGACTCGGTCCCAGTTTGGACAGATAGAAGATGCGAGCGCTCTCCCTCTCCCTCTCCCTCTCCCTCTCCCTCTCCGTCTCCCTCTCCCTCTCCCCACGGTCTCCCTCTCATGTGGAGCCAAAGCTGGACTGTACTGCTGCCATCTTGGCTCACTGCAACCTCCCTGCCTGATTCTCCTGCCTCAGCCTGCTGAGTGCCTGCCATTGCAGGCACGCGCCGCCACGCCTGACTGGTTTTGGTGGAGACGGGGTTTCGCTGTGTTGGCCCGGCCGGTCTCCAGCCCCTAACCGCGAGTGATCCGCCAGCCTTGGCCTCCCGAGGTGCCGGGATTGCAGAGGGAGTCTCGTTCACTCAGTGCTCAATGGTGCCCAGGCTGGAGTGCAGTGGCGTGGTCTCGGCTCACTACAACCTACACCTCCCAGCCGCCTGCCTTGGCCTCCCAGAGTGCTGAGATTGCAGCCTCTGCCCGGCCGCCACCCCGTCTGGGAAGTGAGGAGTGTCTCTGCCTGGCCGCCCATCGTCTGGGATGTGAGGAGCCCCTCTGCCTGGCTGCCCAGTCTGGAAAGTGAGGAGCGTCTCCGCCCGGCCGCCATCCCATCTAGGAAGTGAGGAGCGCCTCTTCCCAGCCGCCATCACATCTAGGAAGTGAGGAGCGTCTCTGCCCGGCCGCCCATCGTCTGAGATGTGGGGAGTGCCTCTGCCCCGCCGCCCCATCTGGGATGTGAGGAGGCCTCTGCCCGGCCGAGACCCCGTCTGGGAGGTGAGGAGGGTCTCTGCCCAGCCGCCCCGTCTGAGAAGTGAGGAGACCCTCTGCCTGGCAACCACCCCGTCTGAAAAGTGAGGAGCCCCTCCGCCCGGCAGCCGCCCCGTCTGGGAGGTGAGGAGCCTCTCCGCCCGGCAGCCACCCCATCTGGGAGGTGAGGAGCGTCTCCGCCCGGCAGCCACCCCGTCCGGGAGGGAGGTGGGGGGGGTCAGCCCCCCGCCCGGCCAGCTGCCCCATCCGGGAGGGAGGTGGGGGGTCAGCCCCCCCGCCCGGCCAGCCGTGCCATCCGGGAGGGAGGTGGGGGGGTCAGCCCCCCGCCTGGCCAGCCGTGCCGTCCGGGAGGGAGGTGGGGGGGTCAGCCCCCTGCCCGGCCAGCCGCCCCGTCCGGGAGGTGAGGGGTGCCTCTGCCCGCCCGCCCCTACTGGGAAGTGAGGAGCCCCTCAGCCCGGCCAGCCACCCCGTCCAGGAGGGAGATGGGGGGTCAGCCCCCCCACCCGGCCAGCCGCCCCGTCCGGGAGGGAGGTGGGGGGGTCAGCCCCCCGCCTGGCCAGCCGCCCCGTCCGGGATGGAGGTGGGGGGGGGTCAGCCCTCCGCCCGGCCAGCCGCCCCGTCTGGGAGGTGAGGGGCGCCTCTGCCCGGCCGCCCCTACTGGGAAGTGAGGAGCCCCTCTGCCCGGCCAGCCGCCCCGTCCGGGAGGGAGGTGGGGGGGTCAGCCCCCCGCCCGGCCAGCCGCCCCGTCCGGGAGGGAGGTGGGGGGGTCAGCCCCCCGCCCGGCCAGCCGCCCCGTCCGGGAGGGAGGTGGGGGGGGTCAGCCCCCCTGCCCGGCCAGCCGCCCCGTCCGGGAGGTGAGGGGCGCCTCTGCCCAGCCGCCCCTACTGGGAAGTGAGGAGCCCCTCTGCCCGGCCAGCCGCCCCGTCCGGGAGGGAGGTGGGGGGGTCAGCCCCCCGCCCGGCCAGCCGCCCCGTCCCGGGAAGGAGGTGGGGGGGGTCAGCCCCCCCGCCCGGCCAGCCGCCCCGTCCGGGAGGTGAGGGGCGCCTCTGCCCGGCCGCCCCTACTGGGAAGTGAGGAGCCCCTCTGCCCGGCCAGCCGCCCCGTCCGGGAGGGAGGTGGGGGGGTCAGCCCCCCGCCCGGCCAGCCGCCCCGTCCGGGAGGGAGGTGGGGGGGGTCAGCCCCCCGCCCGGCCAGCCGCCCCGTCCGGGAGGGAGGTGGGGGGGGTCAGCCCCCCGCCCGGCCAGCCGCCCCGTCTGGGAGGGAGGTGGGGGGGTCAGCCCCCCGCCCGGCCAGCCGCCCCGTCCGGGAGGGAGGTGGGGGGGGTCAGCCCCCCTGCCCGGCCAGCCGCCCCGTCCGGGAGGTGAGGGGCGCCTCTGCCCGGCCGCCCCTACTGGGAAGTGAGGAGCCCCTCTGCCCGGCCAGCCGCCCCGTCCGGGAGGGAGGTGGGGGGGTCAGCCCCCCGCCCGGCCAGCCGCCCCGTCCGGGAAGGAGGTGGGGGGGGTCAGCCCCCCGCCCGGCCAGCCGCCCCGTCCGGGAGGTGAGGGGCGCCTCTGCCCGGCCGCCCCTACTGGGAAGTGAGGAGCCCCTCTGCCCGGCCAGCCGCCCCGTCCGGAAGGGAGGGAGGTGGGGGGGTCAGCCCCCTGCCCGGCCGGCGCCCCGTCCGGGAGGTGAGGGGCGCCTCTGCCCGGCCGCCCCTACTGGGAAGTGAGGAGCCCCTCTGCCCGGCCACCACCCCGTCTGGGAGGTGTGCCCAACAGCTCATTGAGAACGGGCCAGGATGACAATGGCGGCTTTGTGGAATAGAAAGGCGGGAAAGGTGGGCAAAAGATTGAGAAATCGGATGGTTGCCGTGTCTGTGTAGAAGGAAGTAGACATGGGAGACTTTTCATTTTGTTCTGCACTAGGAAAAATTCTTCTGCCTTGGGATCCTGTTGATCTGTGACCTTGCCCCCAACCCTGTGCTCTCTGAAACATGTGCTGTGTCCACTCAGCGTTGAATGGATTAAGGGCGGTGCAAGATGTGCTTTGTTAAACAGATGCTTGAAGGCAGCATGCTCGTTAAGAGTCATCACCAATCCCTGATCTCAAGTAATCAGGGACACAAACACTGCGGAAGGCCGCAGGGTCCTCTGCCTAGGAAAACCAGAGACCTTTGTTCACTTGTTTATCTGCTGACCTTCCCTCCACTATTGTCCCATGACCCTGCCAAATCCCCCTCTGTGAGAAACACCCAAGAATTATCAATAAAAAAATAAATTTAAAAAAATAAAAAAATAAAAAAAAAATAAAATAAAATCTTAATTTTAATTTTACATTAAAAAGAAAAGCAACATGTATTCATTACAAATTTGAAAAACACAGAAAAGCATGAGGAAGAAAGTTAAAGCCACCCACCCTTCAGCGATAGCCCTCCATCCAGAGATAGCCTTTCTCAATATTTTCTTTTGTTTCCTTCATATATGTATATAGATCATGATAGATGGTAGGCAGGTAGGTAGGTAATTGTATGTGTGCACGACCTTTTTTTTTTAACAGAGTCAAAATAATACTATGTGCATGTGTGTATATGTATACACTACGTTTTCATTTAATATAACATGAAAATCCTTTTGTGTTATTTTAAATTCTTTGAAAACATGATTTAACATCTGAATTGGGATATATAGTTTATATGCTTATTCTCTTACTATTTTCTAGAAATTTTCCAATTTTTTGATTTCATAAAACACTGTGATCCTTGAAACTTAGTATCTGTTTGCATCCATGATTATTGCCTTCAAGCCAAACCTTAGAAGTAGAATTTTTGGATCAGAGATGAAGAAAACTTTAAGAATCTTAATATACCTGTCGAATTCTTTTCTAGAAAAATAACACTTTTTCTAATTTATACTCCTATGTACAATATATAAAAGCTCCATCCCAGCTGGTCTTCTCAAACTCTAGATAGAAAAATGATAGGTAGAAAATAGTATCTGTTTATTTTTCATTAACTTTCACTTCTGAAAGTTGAACATTTTTCTTATATATGTTAATCAACTAAATTTCTTTGCCAATTTTCTGCTTATTTTTCTACTGATTTAAATTGTTTAAAAAATTAATAACAGGCTGAGTGCAGTGGCTTGTGCCTATAATCTCAACACTTTGGGAGGCTGAAGCAGGAGGATTGCTTGAGTCCAGGAGTTTAGAATCAGCCTGGGCAACACAGTGAGACACTATCTCTACAAAAAATAAAATTCAAACACTAGCCAAAAGTGGTGGCACATGCCTGTAGTCCTTGTTACTTGAGAGGCTGAGGTAGGGGGGATTGCTTGAGCCCAGGAGTTCAAGGCTGCAGTGAGCTATGATTGCAACATTGCATTCCAGCCTGGGTGACAGAGTGACATCTTGTCTCTGAAAAAAATAATTTAATAATAAAACTTGATTATATATATTACCAAAAGTCTTAATCTTTTTGCATGGCATATGGAGATCTTTCTGGGGTTTGTTTGTATTTAAAATGTTTAATCACAAGATATAAACTAATATAAAACATCTTAAAAAGACAGGAAAAATATTCTAGTGCTCATCCTACACACACAGTATTTGACAAGGTGCCGTACTCTTTAAGAATGCCAAATTTCAGTCTCATTCCTGCCCCATTCTAGAGCTAAAATCAGTCATCCTAAACAAATTTTGTGATTGCCATTTATACTGGTGAGTTATAGAAGTGATCTGTTACACAATCACTTCTATAAATACATCTCTAGTTTAAAATCTTTATTTTAATTTTACATTAAAAAGAAAAGCAACATGTACTCATTACAAATTTGAGAAACACAGAAAAGCATGAAGAAGAAAGTTAAAGTCACCCACACTTACTGAAGTGTGGTGATAGCCCTCCATCCAGAGATAGCCTTTCTCAATATTTTCTTTTGTTTCCTTCATATACGTATATAGATCCATCCCAGCTGGTCTTATTTGAGTAGGCATCTGGATTAACCAGACCTGTTGAGCCAGGGGGAATTCAGAGCTTCTCCAGCCTGCTTCCTGCTCTATTATAAAATGGAGGTGATCATAATAATAATACTTCTCACATCATGTGTTGTGAGAAATAAATGTGATAAAACATGTGATGTGCATAATGTAGTGCTTGCCATATAGTACTTAATACCTAATGACAATGATCCTGTATCTGTAATGACTTGATTAATATGACTCCCACTAAGGGCCTAACCTAGCCTCATCACAGCACTCAAAGGAAGGAGCTGTTGGGTAACTGGGAAGTCTGCATTATTCAAAGACAGTAGAGTCATTTCAGATTGACAATGAGAGCTTTCACAGCTTTTCTACTATCATTCTTATAGGGCGTGATGCAAATACAAATAAATATCTTAGTTGCCTTTGACAGTGGAATCTAGGTCTCCTTTATTTTATATTCCTCTTTTCATATTAATTCTGGAATAGCAGGAAAAATAAAGATAATGCTCTTTGTTGAGAACATGATATAACAGTTTGTGTATAACTTAAAGTACTGATACTGTAGATACGTGATCTACGTGATTCAAACTTACAATAATGTTGCATTCAAAGAACCACGTTTCAACAGCTACTTTCTTCTGACACTATCTCCAAATTACAAAAGCAATTTTATTTCTTAATTACATAGCTTGGGAATCCTAGTAGTAACTCTTAACAATACTTTCCTACTTTCTGTTCTCTCCTTCCCATTTTTTTTTTGCACCTTTTCCAGACTCTCCAGAGCTCAATTTGCTAGAGTTCCCCAGGAATGTCTTGCCTTCACTCTTTCTTACCTCTTGTTTTAGCTCTCCTTCTTCTTTACCTTTATAACTCACTTTTGCTTAGTTATTTCTCTCATCTTCTGCTACCTGGGTTCTGCCCATCTCTGTCTATGCTTTAGTCTTCATCCTCAAAGTCTGGTATCTGGTCTAAAAATGACAAAATCTCCCTGAAGTCACAGGGCAGCGTACATCTAAGTAGGCATGACCAGGCTATTATCCTCAGTATTAATAGTCTAGCCTAGGAGAGAATGAGGGGCAGAGATTTTCAGGATGGGGAGAAATGGGAAGAAAAGGATATGGGGAGTTGTGACATCCATGTCAATACCATGTTAATAATGCTTCGTCCTTCTCACGCCTGTAATCCCAGCACTTTGGGAGGCCGAGTTGGGCAGATCACAAGGTCAGGAGATCGAGACCATCCTGGCTAACACGGTGAAACCCCGTCTTTATTAAAAATACAAAACATTAGCCGAGCGCCATGGCAGGCGCCGATAGTCCCAGCTACTTGGGACGCTGAGGCAGGAGAATGGCATGAACCCGGGAGGCGGAGCTTGCAGTGAGCTGAGATAGCGGCACTGCATTCCAAGATAGTGCCATTGCACTCCGGCCTGGGCAAAAGAGTGAGACTCCGTCTCAAAAAAAAAAGAAAATTGTTAAGTCTGTAGGGTAGGTATTAATATTCTGTTTTTACAGATGAAGAAACTGTGATATAGACAATTAACATTATTGATATATGCAAACACAACTAATATTTTACCAATTCAAGTCTGTGTAACTTTCCTGTTGTGAATCTTTTATGTTAGATAGAAATGTTCCTCTGAGCTAAGTGTAAACAAGTGTTACTTAAAAAAAAGTATGAACAGAAATAAAATGAGAAGTCTTATACAAAAGTGAAGGAAAGAAGAATGATATTTATAAGGAGCCAGGTGTCCCTATGGTCTAACTGAACTACTAATTTCAACTTGGGCAATTTTAGTTGCCTGGCTAAGTACATGAGGCTTTAATAGCTGGATTCTAGTGAAAGTTTATTATGACAGTATCTTCTTGATCACTGAATATGAGAATGTCTTAAATTTAATAAGTGTTTTCCATAACTTATCAATGGAATTCAATGACACAAAATGTTGAGAAAGATAGTTTATATTTTTTTCAGGTGTTGTTATTGTCAAGACAGTGAAGAATCTAAAATCCTACCCCACTTGAAATCATCTAGTTAGCTTGTCATAATTTTATGGATGGTGACAGAAGGCATGAGATTCCTGGGTCAGAGACAAAGAACTTTACTTCTTAGAGTAATAGTGGTAATGAGAGTATCAGCATTTGTGAAGGTTTTCTGAGACTCAATCCCAAAGGGCAATGCAAGTGGGATATGTGACACCTGTTCATGCAATGGGCAGTGCTATGGGGGAGGAATTCTGAGCATTATGGAAGAGCCCAACTCTTCTATAATGGGCAGTAAGCTTACCTGACAGTAAACCCCAGAGGAAGATATTATCTTCATCGTACTTGGCAGAAACAAACTTGCCTTTTCCTCAGAGAGAAGTATTATCTTTATCTTCCAAGGTTATTTTCTTTGCAAACATTCTTAGAGGATTGTTTAGGGGAAAAAAAGGCAATTTTTAAAAAATACTTTAAGTTCTAGGGTACATGTGCACAACGTGCAGGTTTGTTACATAGGTGTACATGTGCCATGTTGGTTTGCTGCACCCATCAACCTGTCATTTACATTAGGTATTTCCATATGAAGATCTTTCTTAACTCACCTCCTGCCACTTCTCACTACCTAAACTTCCTCATTTATAGTTTGTTCCCACCATATTAAATGTCTTGCCATTACATGACAAAGTAGACTCTTTTATGACTGTTTATTCCATGCCCTCTATTTAGAAGGCCATTCTTCCACTTTCCACCTAAGAGACTCCTACTTATATTCCAAGGATTAAGTATCCCTTCCTGGAACAGACTTCTGTTATTTTTGCTTGATAGCATCCATTCCACTTTCTTCCAGTAATTGCACTTTGATTTCTCTTTGGGAATTACCCTTCCCTCATTGCATACAGTTTTGATTGCACTGTAAATCAAAGTGCCTCCCCTGTCTTATCTAAGTGGTAGGCATGTGGCCCACACCGGATTTTCTCTTGTGAATCTTGAGGGAGGCAACACAAGGACAGAAAACATTTGGAGTCAATTCATCCTATAGTAACTCCCCCTAGGAACTGTCCTTTAGTTTCTGATACCTAGATGCTCAGAACTCAGCAGTTTGGGTACTTTCTGAGGCCTGGTTCAGCTTTCTTTCTTTTATTCTTTTTCTGTCAGAAACCCATATCCTTCCAGGAAACTGATCCCTCTTTATTTTCTTTCTTTTGGCTTGTTATCTTGAAGAGGTTGCTGTTACTTGTAACTGAACAGGTGATATTAATAACTTACATTCTTGCTTCTTGCAGCCCTTTTCAACTCTCTCAGAGGTCTCTGCCATCTTTCTGTGGTTCGCCCCCACTCTGTACATTGCACTTACACTATATTATAGTTATTAGTTTTCTATTTCCCCTCTCATATGTGATTCCCTGACAGGCAATTACTGCTTTTCCTGGAATGCCTAACACAGAACCTGAGACATTTTAGACAGTCATAAATGTGGGCTTAATTTAAAATGATTATTAAGCTTCACAACTCAACCATCATTTGTCTTCCTGAAAAGCAGGAAAATATTTCAGATTTGTTGCCAAACCTCTGTGAGTATGTTAGTTTGGCTTAAATTAAAAGCAAAGTCCATCAAAGCCACGGAAATGAAATAGGCAGGTAACTCATGAACTCAGGTGTAGAAATTTTATAAGATAGAAAAATGTGAAACAACAGACAAGGGCCTAGCTGTCACAAAACTATAATCTCCATCAGAAACAAACAAACAAATAAAAATTCCAAGAATGATGCTGAAGCACATTAGAAAGAAGGGCAACTTTATCACAGAGCTTCCTGGTGAGGTTCCTACAATTAAAAAAGCCAATGTAAAGATTAAAGGCATAAACATAATCTGCATGCATTTTTCATTCCAAATAGAAAATCACTTTCATCATAATATATTCACAAAGAAAAACTGAGAAATCCCTTAGCCAGAAGGAAAGAAAAGTGAATATCATAATGTTTTAAAGAAAAGTGAATATCCTGTTTTTAAGAAAAGTTAATATCATACAAGTTACATTATATCTTTCTGAAAATTTATTTTCTCCAGACTGAGAAAGCATTATGACTAAAGCATAGATACTAGGAAAATAATCAGTTCCAATTTTTTTCATTAATGTTGAGTACAAGCTGCTACTTCAAAAATATCTTCATCAGATTTAAATTATTCTGTAACTCCATTCCCTATTTCCCATCTCCTAAAATGATGTTAATTTATCATTCTCAGGAATGCATTCTCATCATCTTAGAGGAAATTGTAATTAAATAAACCCTTGGTGAGTTCATCCCTGAGGTGAACATGAGGTGAGTACAAATCCTTCTAATTCCCATGGAAATTCCCAAAAGTGAGAAGATAAGTGCCCAGATTGCCAGAGATCTCCTTTAGAAAAGGATAGTTCGCAAACTAAGGTTATTTTTCGGAAAACTGCTTGCAAAATCGAATAATGCTAGAGTACCAAATAGAAAAATCTGAATATGTAATTGGGCATCAATTTGCAAATATGCCTTAGTGGAAAGCTTTACAAATGGAAACTTTATCATGGGATTTCACTTCCTTTACTTGGTGAAAGGCATACTAGTGACTGTATATTATTTCCCATCTAGAATGCTCTTTCCTATTCTCTTTGAAATCCTGAATCCTACAGATTCTTATGTGTTCTGGTCTATAATGCTTCCCTGTTTCCTTTGAAATCCTCAATCCTACAGATTCTTATGTGTTCTTAGCCTTGTAAAATGTCAGAGGCTGTTCATTCTATAACTCCACTATCAGCCAAGTACTTCTAATGGGGGGGAAATGTTACTTACAATTAACTTCTTTAGTTATAGCACAATTACTCATTTCCATCATTCTTACAGCATATCAAGTATCCTCCATAAAAGAGCCCAAGAGAGAGGTCCTTTTCAGGTTTATTGTATTTGAAAAGTCACTCGTAATATAAAAATCAGAAAGCTTTTCTGAGATGGACTGGTAATTAGAGCAGCAGACAAAATGCTGGAAGATTCAATAGTTCTTGAAGTCAGTTCCAGATTTGGACAGCTTCTTTGTACATCAGCCTCCATTTGACAAAATGAAGAAAGACAGAACAGCAGTGCACATATATAATGATATTTCAATAGAAAAAGGGATTTCATTGCCCAGGGGGAAGAGAATCAAGTGCCCCTTAGTTAATGCAAGACACACGATTCCCCAGTAAGGCCATTCTGGAATTTATCAAAAACATTGCTCTGTGCAAATGGTTCTTAACCTGGCTACACTTTAAAATTACCCAGGGAGAGTTAAAACAAAGTAAAACCCAGTAAACCTGGTCTCCACCCCCAGGGGATCTGAGAATCTGATTCAATTGGTCTGGGGTGGGATGAATCTAATATGCAGCCAGGGTTGAGGAGCTCTGTCATAGGGAATCAAAGTAATCAAAATGATAGTTAAGGCACAAAACTCACATTATGGAGACATTTATTTTTAATTACCCTAAAGCATGCAAGACATATGAGTACTAAAAAAGCAATATTCTCCTAACCTACCACATCAGGACCAGTGGAGCATAATTCAATTTTTGGGAATTAGAAAGCTGCTTCCAAAAATTCCTGGTCTCTGTGATCAATTCTCTAGTCAATTTGATTCTTTTTATTAAAACAATGGGAAAGGCTTATTGATGTTTTCTCTTAGATTTTTCCCGGGTAGGAATAATAATTCTGTAACTACAAGAGTCATCCAATTCCATGTTTTAATGAGAAGCATGGTGGTATTTATGGTTTTATAGCCTGGAATGGCTAACTTGTTTGTTTGTTTCCTGAGAATTTAATGAAAGCTGAGTATGTGTATACATATATAATTTTATGTAGAATTTCAGTGGGTTCACAAATCACCCACAATTCCCTGAGAGTTCACAGATCCCAGGTTAAGAAGTCCTGCTTTGCAGACTTCTCCATAAGTTACTGGTCATGAGTGATAAAAGATGAAAAGGAGAAAGGGCAATAAATGAAGCTAGAGGTATAGCAGTTAGGACCTGGAAATTCCCAAAGTATTCTAGGACAGTGCTTCCCAATTAATGTGTCTAAGAGACATTGAAGAGCTGGTTAAACAGCCAGTAGGTCTGCAATGGCCTGAGATTCTGCATTTCTAACAAGGGGCTGGTCCACAAAAGAACAAAGCTGGAGGCATCACGCTACCTGACTTCAAACTATACTACAAGGCTACAGTAACCAAAACAGCATGGTACTGGTATCAAAACAGAGATATAGACCAATGGAACAGAACAGAGCCCTCAGAAATAATGCCACATATCTACAACTATCTGATCTTTGACAAACCTGAGAAAAACAAGCAATGGGGAAAGGATTCCCTATTTAATAAATGGTGCTGGGAAAACTGGCTAGACATATGTAGAAAGCTGAAACTGGATCCCTTCCTTAAACCTTATACAAAAATTAATTCAAGATGGATTAAAGACTTAAATGTTAGACCTAAAACCATAAAAACCCTAGAAGAAAACCTAGGCAATACCATTCAGGACATAGGCATGGGCAAGGACTTCATGTCTAAAACACCAAAAGCATGGCGACAAAAGCCAAAATTGACAAATGGGATCTAATTAAACTAAAGAGCTTCTGCACAGCAAAAGAAACTACCATCAGAGTGAACAGGCAACCTACAGAATGGGAGAAAATTTTCGCAACCTACTCATCTGACAAAGGGCTAATATCCAGAATCTACAATGAACTCAAACACATTTACAAGAAAAAAACAAACAACCCCATCAAAAAGTGGGCGAAGGATATGAACAGACACTTCTCAAAAGAAGATATTTATGCAGCCAAAAAACACATGAAAAAATGCTCATCATCACTGGCCATCAGAGAAATGCAAATCAAAACCACAATGAGATACCATCTCACACCAGTTAGAATGGCAATCATTAAAAAGTCAGGAAACAACAGGTGCTGGAAAGGATGTGGAGAAATAGGAACATTTTTACACTGTTGGTGGGACTGTAAACTAGTTCAACCATTGTGGAAGTCAGTGTGGTGATTCCTCAGGGATCTAGAACTAGAAATACCATTTGACCCAGCCATCCCATTACTGGGTATATACCCAAAGGATTATAAATCATGCTGCTCTAAAGACACATGCACACGTATGTTTATTGCGGCACTATTCACAATAGCAAAGACTTGGAACCAACCTAAATGTCCAACAACGATAGACTGGATTAAGAAAATGTGGCACATATACATCATGGAATACTATGCAGCCATAAAAAATGATGAGTTCATGTCTTTTGTAGGGACATGGATGGAACTGGAAACCATCATTCTCAGCAAACTATCGCAAGGACAAAAAACCAAACACCGCATGTTCTCGCTCATAGGTGGGAATTGAACAATGAGAACACATGGACACAGGAAGGGGAACATCACACACTGGGGACTGTTGTGGGGTGGGGGAGGGATAGCATTTAGAGATATACCTAATGTAAATGACGAGTTAATGGGTGCAGCACGCCAACATGGCACATGTATACATATGTAACAAACCTGCACATTGTGTACGTGTACCCTAAAACTTAAAGTATAATAATAATAAAATAAAAAAAAAGAAAAGAGCAAAAAAACAAAAAAAAACAAACAAGGGGCTGGTCCATAGATCAGACTTTCAGTAGCAAGATACTTAAAATTATGTCATCAACTGCACTGGCTTCTCGTAGCACAAGAGAACATAAATGTACAAATATTTCCACTTTTCTTGAAAACTCAATACTGTATATAATATATGCTATTTTTTCCCAACAAAAAAGGATAAAGAAGATGGCAAACTTAATTCTTTATTTTCAATGGTCTCAGAACTTCCATGGTTAGAACTGTTAAATTCAGTAGTGTTTCTTTTCATTGAACCAAACATTATCAATTCAATGGAAGTAATTTTTTTAAATCCTAAAAACAACAACACAAAACAAAACAAAAAACTTCCCCTGGGTAATGTTGCTCAGGAAGAAATGAAATCCCATTATGTAGTACATTGTGATTTTTAAACCATTTTTGTCTGGAAAACAATTACACTTCAAACCCAGTTGTGAACCTGAAACCAGCTTTTCTAAACCAGAAAATAAAACAGAGCCCATTGAGCTATGTGATTCTCCAGGTTATTAGAGATAAGAGATGGAGGCCCTCTCTCTTGTCACACTCAAAGGTGCCAGAGGGTTGGCTGCTCACAGCCACCTTTGGGTTTTAGTTACAATAATTCTTTCTTTTAAATAGTATTCTTTTTATGATTATAAAAGTAATAAGAATAATAAACAAGAGCAATACATGTTATTGTTTTAAAATCTAGAAAGTCTTCAAAGATGTAAAGAATACAAAAATACCTGTAACTCCAAAACTATTTGTTGAAGACCACCTATACATTGCTCTATCCTTTACCTTTGTTTTTCCAATGCCTTTTTTTTGAGACGGAGTCTCTTGCTGTTGCCCAGGCTGGAGTGCAGTGGCGCAATCTTGGCTCACTGCAACCTCCCCTCCCAGGTTCAAGCTATTCCCCTGCTTCAGCCTCCCAAGTAGCTGGTGCGCGCAACCATGCCCTGCTAATTTTTGTATTTTTAGTAGACACGGGGTTTCATCATGTTGGCTAGGCTGGTCTTCAACTCCTAACCTCAGGTGATCCACCTGCCTCGGCCTCCCAAGGTGCTGCAATTACAGGTGTGAGCCACCGTGCCCGGCCTCAATGCATTTTAAAAAATAAATAGAATCCTCTAGTACATAAAGTATTGCAGCATGTTTTTTTCTCCTCAGTACATAAAAGGATGTAAAAGGATTTGGTAAATGACCTTGACGGAGAAATGTTTGTGAGCAGCACAAGGCCATCCCAAGAATAGTGCAAGCCCTTTGTGAAACTTCTTGCATTTTATCTCTGCTTTGAGTGTTTGTGCAATTTTATTTAACTGTTGAACAAGTATATTTTATTTTGGATGTGGAAAGAAAATTCAGACTAACAAATCTATACCTACAAATGGAAATAAG
Organism: Homo sapiens; assembly: GCF_000001405.40. Lineage (NCBI taxonomy): Eukaryota > Metazoa > Chordata > Mammalia > Primates > Hominidae > Homo > Homo sapiens. The sequence goes on from NC_000002.12 coordinate 177,958,490, forward strand.
ATAAGGCTGAGAGGGGTAAGTTATTCCCTTGTAACCTTAAAGAGACAATCATGGAATATCATTCTTGCATACACTGGGATTAATTAATCTCCCTCTTTTGGTTTCTGCACTATGAAGGAAGTACAGAGAATGGCTATCAAAAGAGAAATGCTAAAACCTCAAGGTGAATTTCACCAGAATCAAGCCTTAAGGAACGGACATAATTCCTTAAACTGAGCAACTCTCAGAGCTGGGTTTAGTAGAGAAAAGTGCTATTTTTTTCCTGCCTCTCCATATAATTCCAGAGTTAGAGATTAATAGTAACAGCAAACTGAAAGAAACTGAGAAAAATAACTAAAGGTTTGTCTCCTTAAATTTATGAAATAAAAGGAGAAAAAATACTGAATTAATAGATTGACTAATTGAACAAAATTTATTGAGCCCCTTTTACATTCCAGGTACTGTGCTAATTATTGGAAATAAGAAATTCCCATGAAGATAAGGTTGCTGTTCTCCAGTAGCTTACATGCCATAGTGGAGGAGGTAGAGATGGGCAATAAACAAGTAAATGAATAACTACGCTGCTATAAGAAAAGAGTAACTTGAAGGTCAACGGACTAATTTGGAAAAGATCTCCCAGGGAAGGGGTATTGAGTGAAAAGAAGAAGCTGATCTGGAAACCAGAGCCAAGAAGAGGAATGAAGACATGTAACAACCCTAAGACTAGAATGAGCTTGGTATGAGTCAGGAACAGAAAAATCCCTATGGCTGGAGAGTATTGAACATGATGGAAAGAAGACGGAAAGGTGTCTCAAAGGAAGACAGGCCTAGATGATGCAGGACCTCGGAAGCCAGGGCTGAGAATTTGGATACAGTGCCAAAAGTGCCCGTGGCAGTTTTTTATGCATAAAAGTGCCATGATCTGATTTACAGTTTTAAAGTATCTCTCTGGCTACCCTAAAGAGAATACATAGTCATGGAGCACTAGTGGAATCAGGAGGACCCAATAGGAGGCTATACCAATAGTCCAGACAAGAAATGAGGGTGGCTTGGATCATGATCAGGATGGTAACTGTATAAACAGAGAGAAAGCAGAGACTGTGATATATTTTAAGCTAACAGGGACTTGCTGATGAATTGATTAATTTGAGTAGTGAGAAAAAGATTTCAGGGTTGAACAATTGGGGGAATGGTGTGGTCCTTTATTGGAATAGGAAAGGCTTTGGAGAAAATAGGTTGCAAAGAGGCCTAAAATTTGATATATCAATCGGATATCCAAAACTCAAATCAAGTAGAGTTGGATTTAGATAAGGAAGCAAGGAGTTACAGGTTTATTAAGTATTGGTGAGAAGGTTATATATTATATTTCTTTAAATTTTACTCCAATTGTAATGCCTTCAAAATTTTCGGTATTAGAAATACTGGTTAATGTTTATGATTAGAATAAATAATTATACTATCCTTTTAATAAAGTAACAATAAAATTCATACTCTTTTTTTCCTAAGTAGCTAAGCATTAATCCCAGCTTACACAGCAATGTCCTTGCTTACTGATACATAACTAAAGGTTTAGAATTAGCCCAGCACCTCCTGGCAGGATTGATGAGCAATCACTGTCATTATTTTTTTTTTATCTCTGGACCACTTAGGAAATTTCCCCGTCGCTTAAAGTTTCCATTATCTTTTTCATCATTATTTTAGAGTTTCAAAGTGTCACCAGAGAATGATATAAAAATAAATTAAAGCGGACTTTAATTTAAAACCCTAATTGTAGTAGAGACGGGGGCCCAAAGTTCTCCTTTTCATCCACCTAGAAGACAGAAGACAATTTGAAAATAGTTCCACTTTGATACCATTGTGTATCAAAGAAGAAGCTAAAGGTACCATTTTGAAACTCATTGGGAATGAAAAAATTTCAACTACATCGTAGAATTAATAATGGTTTTCATTATTTATGAGTATTTTTTGAAATTGAATTTCATTATAAAACATTAGAGTCATTTCATGTCTACTTTTTTATAGCCAAACTTGTATGTAAACATACTTCAGAATAAACTTAGGAGAACTACTCCCAGGTTGCTAAAAATGCCCAGGCTGCCCACACGAGAGAATTAAAGCAAACTATATAGAATGGAATTTGAGATTTTCCATAGTCTTATATAATTGTCTAAAACAGAAAAGCTGCCAAGTCAAGAAGAAAAAAAAATGAAGCACATGAAAACAAATCTAATATAACACATTAATCACAACTCTTGTACATGTACAACATAGCTATTTAGAGAAAATAGGTCTGCCCTAAGGAAAACTATTGAAAGTTATCTTGGGCTGCCCAGCATCCCATATTTAATATTAGTCTAGTCTTGCCCTAGACATGACCCCTTTATATGGATCCATACATATCCTAATGTTGCCTCCCGACTGGTTGGTCTTTCAGGTCACAAGTTGATGCAGAACCACCGTCAGTGGTAAAGAAGATGTCAATCTTAGATAGCAAATGCTTCAGTAATTACAGTATTGAGACTGTCATGCTAAGAGACATATATGTGATCCAGACGGCTTTTCAGAACCTTCCTGATCATTCCTCCAGGATGCTGCCCCCAAATGGAGTAAAATGCTTCCTCTTACAAACAGCAGGAAGAGTCCAGGTTTCTCAGCCCAACATTCAATGTCCTGTGTAATTTTCCTCTCTCCAGTTGATAGCTTCAGACCTTCCTCCCATCTTCTCCTACACAGAACCTCTACTCCAAACTCTTTCTCTGTCCCAGAAGAGAATGTGAATTTTGGCCTCCAGGTTTTTTTTTTTAATCGGTGAGAATCTCACCTAAGGCATGAAGCTCACCCTTCTCTCTGCCCAGTCTCAAGTCTTCATGGAGCCTGCCCTGACACCCCAGCCTGCTGAGACCTTTCCTTCTCTAGTATAGAGGCTGTATCGCTGGCAACATGCCTTGTTACAAATAACTGTATGACATTTCTTTCATCCGTCTCCAAAATCTCAGTATTCACATACCCTTCACTATTTTTTCCCATATTCACATACTACCTGTTACGTTTTGGTCTTTATTACTTTCTTGAAACCAATTCCCACATTTTTACTTACATTTAATTTTATAGAAATTTTTAGATCATGACCATAATGGAAAGTCAATACATACTACCTGTTATGTTTTGGTCTTTATTATTTTCTTGAAGCCAATTCCCACATTTTTACTTACATTTAATTTTATAGGAAATTTTAGATCATGACCATAATGGAAAGCCAATAACATTTTACATAAATTGAAGATAATTGTAAAATATAACCATTAATATAAAAATGTTTGTCTATGTAGGCCGGGCATAGTGATTCATGCCTGTAATCCCAGCCCTTTGGGAGGCCGAGGTTAGAAGTTCAAGACCAGCCTGGCCAAATGATGAGACCACATCTCTACTAACACAAAAATTAGCTGAGTGTGGTGGCATGCACCTGTAATTTCAGCTACTCGGGAGGCTGAGGCATGAGAATTGCTTGATCCCGGGAGGCAGAAGTTGCAGTGAGCCAAGATCACACTACTGCACTCCAGCCTGGGTGACAGAGTGAGACACTGTCTCAAAAAAAAAAAAAAAAAAAAAAAAAAGTTTGTCTATGCCTACTACCTAAAATTATCTCACATATCTCAGTTTGGGAAATGCTACTTTATGTTGTCATCTCATATTGCAATTTAAGCCTTGCATCATGTAAGTTATTATGTGTGTATATCTATTTCCCTGAATATACCATAACTTCCTAAAGAAGGTCATATATTATACTTCACATTCCACAGTGTTTTTAGTCCAGTGTGTTGCACTTGGTAGGCATTAAATAAATATTTGTTCAGTAAATAAATGTCCACAAATGTATCAATATCCCTAGTCACAGTTTGTAGTTATACAATCGGTAAAATGAAAATACTCAAACTTAATAAGCCCATTTAATTATATAATGAATTTATATAGTATACTATCATGGATATAAAATATATTATAAATAAAGGAAAACATCGCTATTAATAGTAACAGTGTTAATCACATGAGATTCTGGATTTTAAAATTTTAAAGTGATAGCTCTAGATTTTATGAAAGTAATAAGCAGGAATAGATCCAATAGTTAACTGATGTGCCTTGCTTTAGACAAACCCAATAGATCAAAATCCAAGCATACATGAAAGATGAATTAGGGTCAGATAAGTTACACTGCAAAATAAATTTAGAGTAGAGGCCATTTGAACAGCAAATCCTAACAACATTTTAAATGCAGCTTGACTCCTATTTCAGGAACATATTTATTAGACAAATTAAAGTGTGCATTATCATAAAAATGAACACAAGTAAACTCAGGGGGAGATAATAAAAAGCTAAAGAAAAAAAATCTCAAAAAAAATCTCATAAATTTTCTGATTTGAACTGGAGGTTTGGTTAATACTGTATCCAAATGCATTTTTTTAAAAAATATTCTGAACTGTTATTTCCCGAAGATCAAAGTTTTAATTTTCAAAAGAAAAGTTGCGAAGAAGAATTTTTAAGACAAAGTAAATAGAGAAACTAGTTGGGGTGGTGGGAATTATTCCAGATCCCTGTGCCTTCTGTAGGAAAAATAAATAAAATCTGGCAGTCAGTAGGCTTTCTGTATCTATGTCCTTTAACTATTTCAAACAGAGAAAAATAAGAAACTAAAATCTACTGCTTCCAAATGATTAAATATCTTCCACTAAATTTATAAAGGTTCCTACTCAGACAATTTTTTCACTCATTCCCTCAAAACACCAATATTTCTGTATCTTCAGGATGAGCTCTATACGGATTCCAGAGGAAACATCAACCAGAAACAGACCTGAGTGTGTGCTAGTGTAACCCAGCATTCCACATACCCCCAAATATGCATTATGATATGGTGACCTACACTCCTCCATGGAGAATTATGAGATATCAGAGCAGGAGCAGATCTTTAAAGGTTCCTACTATAATTCCTTTGAATATGAAAAATGACTCCAAGGAAAAGTTATTTTCCCAACTTACAAAGATAAACTCAAGTCCAGTGGAGTGAATAGATCCACTCTTGCCTGCACCTAGCCACAGTTCAGCTTCCCAAGTACTACTCTCCCCTGGTCCACCTGCAAGGTGAGAAAGTAGATCCAGAGAAACACCCAACCCATTCTTTCCCTATTCTCTGCTTCTCTCTTGAAATCTGTCTGCAGAAATATGATATCTGAAAATAGCTTTTATCCTAAAGCACAAGTATAGGGCAAATTTCCAGAGAGTATCTAGAAAGCCACAAATAAAACTTGAGGATGGGGCACGGTGGCTGCTTGAGAACTGGAGTCATTTTGTAACCCAAGCTGGAGATGTTTCCAGTGGCCTCCACCATCCAGCTGCACCCCTTCAGACTGGGTTAGGTACAGGGGAAGTACTCTGCTTTACTCTGCCATGGCATGCCCTCCACTGAACTGTCATCGTGAGTGGATTCTGCAAGGGAGGCCCTGAGTCTTACCCATCTTCTTATCTCCAGTGCCTAGCACAATGCCTGGTATAGAGAAGATCCTCAATAATGGCTGTTTTTAAAAATTACTGTATATTATTTAATTTCTATTATTTTCCAGGTGATACATATAAATAACTTGAAAAAGTCAAATAATCAACAGGATTTATTTTATTTCTGTTTTGTTTGTTTGGTTTTTTTTTTTATTGAGACAGGGTCTTGCTCTGTCACAGAGGCTGGAGTGCAGTGGCGCCATCTCAGCTCAGTGCAACCTCAAGTTTTATTTTTAAAAGAAGTGTTATCTTCTATCCACCAATCCCTCAATTATATAATACACATATCTATTTCTCCGAGTTAATCATATTAAACTTTTAGCTATTTAGTTGATTATGTATTTACTACTTAACTCTATTTCTATTTTTTTTCTTTCCAACTTTTATTTTAGGTTCAGGGGGTACATGTGCAGGTTTGTTACATGGGTAAATTGCATGTTGCAGGGGTTTGTTGTACCGGTTATTTAATCACCCAGGTAATGAGCATAGTGCCTGATAGGTAGTTTTTTGATCTTCACCCTCTTCCAACCCTTCACCCTCAAATAGGCTCTAGCGTCTATTGTTCCCTTCTTTGTGTCCATATGTTCTCAATGTTTAGCTTCTACTTAAAAGTGGGAACATGTGGTATTTGGTTTTCTGTTCCTGTGTTAATTTGCTTAGGATAATAGACTCCAGCTCCATCCATGTTGCTGCAAAGGACACAATCTCATGTTTTTTAAGGCTGCATCGTATTCCATGGTGTATATCCATGTCCATCACTGATGGACATTTAAGTTGATTCTGTATCTTTGTTGTTGTGACTAGTGCTGCGATGAACGTGCATGTATATGTGTCTTTATGGTAGAATGATTTCTATTCCTTTGGGTATATACCCAGTAATGGGGTTGCAGGGTCAAATGATAGTTCTGTTTTAAGCTCTTTGAGAAACCTCCAAACTGCTTTCCATAATGGCTGAACTAATTTACATTCCCACCAGCAGTGTATAAGTGTTCCCTTTTCTCTACAACCTCACAAGCATCTGTTATTTTTTGATGTTTTAATAGGAGCCATTCTGAGTGGTGTGAGATGGTAACACATTGTGGTTTTGATTTGCATTTCTAATGATTAGTGTTGCTGAGCTTTTTTCACATGCTTGCTGGCCGTATGTATGTCTTCTTTTGAGAAGTGTCTGTTCATCTCCTCTGCTCATTTTTTAATGGCATTGTTTGCTTTTTGCTTGCTAATTTGTTTAAGTTCCTTAAAGATTCTGGATGTTAGGCCTTTGTCAGATGCATAATTTGCAAATATTTTCTCCCATCCTGTAGGTTGTCTGTTTACTCTGTTGATAGTTTCTTTTGCTGTGGAGAAGCTCCTTAATTAGTTCCCATTTGTCAATTTTTCCGTTGCAATTGCTTTTGGAGTCTTGGTCATAAAATCTTTGTCAGGATCTATGTCCGGAATAGTGTTTCCTAGGTTTTCTTCTAGGGTTTTATAGTTTTAAGTTTTACATTTAACTTTTTAATCCATCTTGAGTTGATTTTTATATATGGTGAAATGAAGGGGTCCAGTTTCATTCTTCTGCATATGGTTAGCCAGTTATCCCAGCACCATTTATTGAATAGACAGTCCTTTCTCCATTGCCTGTTCTTGTCAACTTTGTCGAAGATCAGATAGTTGTAGGTGTGTGGCTTTATTTCTGGGTTCTCTAACCTGTTCCATTGGTTTATTTGTTTATTTTTGTATCAGTACCATGCTGTTTTGGTTATGCAGCCTTGTCATATAGATTAAAGTCAGGTAGTGTGAGGCCTCCAGCTTTATTCTTTTTGCTTAGTATTGCTTCAGTTATTTGGGCTCATACTGGTTCCATATGAATTTTAAAATAGTTTTTTCTAATTCTGTGAAAAATGTAATTGGTAGTTTGATAGGAATAGCATTGAATCTGTAAACTGCTTTGGGCAGTATAGCCATTTTAATGATTGATTCTTCCAATCCATAAGCATGGAATGTTTTTCCATTTGTATTTGTTGTCTCTGATTTTTTTCAGCAGTGTTTCGTAATTCACATTGCAGAGATCTTTTACCTCCCTAGACAGCTGTATTCCTAGGTGTTTTATTTTCTGTGTGGCTATTGTGAATGGCATTGTGTTCTTGATTTGGCTCTCAGCTTGGACATTGCTGGTATATAGAAACGTTATTGATTTTTGTACATTGATTTTGTATCCTGAAACTTGGCTGAAGTTGTTTACCAGATCTAGGAGCTTTGGGGCACAGAGTATGGGATTTTCTAGGTATAAAATCATATCATCTGGGAAGAGAAATAGTTTGACTTCCTCTCGTCTTTTATTTCTTTCTCTTGCTTGATTGCTCTGGCTGAGTCTTCCAGTACTATGATGAATAGGAACAATGAGAGTGGACATTCTTGTCTTGCTGTAGTTCTCAAGGGGAATACTTCCAGTTTTTGCCCATTTAGTATGATGTTGGCTGTGGGTCTGTCATAGATAGCTCTTATTATTTTGAAGTATGTTCCTGTTCCTTCAATGCCTAGTTTATAGAGGGTGTTTTTTTTTAACATGAAGAGATGTTCAATTTTATTGGAAGCCTTTTCTGTGTCTGTAAGATGATCTTGTGGTTTTGTTTTTAATTCTGCTTATGTGATGAATCACATTTATTGATTTGCATATGTTGACCCAACTTTGCATCCCAGAAATAAAGCCTACTTGGTCATAGTGGATTAGCTTTTTGACATACGGCTAGATTCAGTTTGCTAGTATTTTTTTGAGAATTTTTACATTTATGTTCATCAGGGATGTATGCCTGAAATTTTCTTTTTTTCTTGTGTCTCTGTAAGGTTTTTGTAACAGAATGACACTGGCCTCATAGAATGGGTTAGGAAGGAGTCCCTCTTCTCAGTTTTTTGGAATAGTTTCATAGAATTGGTGACAGCTCTTCTTTATACATCTGGTAGAATTTGGCTATGAATCCATCTAATTCAAGGTTTTCTTCTGGTTGGTAGGCTTTTATTACTGGTTCAATTTTGGAACACATTATCAGTCTGTTCATGGTTTCAATTGTTTACTGGTTCATTCCTGTATGTTTCCAGGAATTTATCCATTTCTTCTAGGTTTCTAGTTTGTGTGCCTGGAGGTGTTTGTAATAGTTTCTGAGGGTGTTTTGTGTTTCTATGGGATTGGTGGTAATGTCTCCTTTGTCTTTTTTTTTTTTTTTTTTTTTACTCTCCCTGTGTCGCCCAGCCTTGAGTACAGTGGCAGGATCTCGGCTCACTGCAACCTTCGCCTCCTGGGTTCAAGTGATTCTCCTGCCTCAGCCTCCCAAGTAGTTGGGATTACAAGCATGTACCACCACACCCAGCTAATTTTTTATAGTTTTAGTAGAGACAAGGTTTTGCCATGTTGTCCAGGCTGGTCTTGAACTCCTGTCCTCAGGTGATCCACCCACCACAGCCTCCCAAAAGTGTTGGGATTACAGGTGTGAGTGACTATGCCCAGCCTCCTTTGTCACTTTTGATTGTGTTTATAATAAAGGTTTTTTGATTGAATGAAGGAATGATTGAATAAACGTTAATTTCTAATATCTGCCTCACAGGATTGTTACAAGCTTAAAGCATCTAGTATAGACTGACAGTAGTAAGTACTGAATAAACCTCAGCCTCTAAAACCTGGCCCCAATCTACTGTCTCCCCAGGGCCCATCCCCACACAAGCACCTCTTCTATATGTGTGTCAAACTATACTAGTCACTTTCTCTAATTTACTAGATGTACTAGGTGCTGGGCATTGTGCTAAGCGGTTTATCTGCATTTATCAGCTAATTCCCATAACAATTGTGGAAGCTAGGTACTGTTATTATTGCCATATTAGATGTAAATTCCATGAGGACAAATGTATTTTTGCTTGTTTTATTGAATAATTGAATAAATGAATGAATAAATGAATACCTATTTCATGAATGCAGAAATTGAGTCTGAAAGAGATTCAGCCATTTGCCCAAAGTCACACAGATAATAAATGGTAATTCAAGCCACATTGATTTCAATATCCATGCTTTTAATCACTTTCTCACACCCTCTCAGCTGGGAGAGTGGTGATTAGGTGTTTATCAGACGAGGTGCTAATTCTTATTTATCCCCTAGACCTTGGTAACAAGGTAACAAAGACAAACAAACAAACAAACAACAACAAAAAACAGAGACTGTATTTATTCTGACTCTAAACTGTAAGATATTCTTTTTTCTCCTAATAAATCAAGGTTTATCAACAGAAACATTTATTTTTATGTCAACACCAATTAGTCTTCCCTGTGGTTCTCAAAGCAATAAAATAATTTGTTCAGGCAAACCCAGCTAAAAAGACAAATATTTCTCCTTTTTGTTAGATTTTGATTGATTCCTATTTTATCTAGATCACAGAAATTATGCTAAGGTAGAAATTGTTTTTTCTATAGCAAACTAAAGAAAATTTGTAATTCTGATGTTCTTCTAAGTGATGCTCACTAGTTGAGAAGATAACAAAGAACTACTACATACAATTCCAAATAAACCCAAGCTTACATAACTATTTTAAAAAGCAAACAATTCAGGTGAAAATACTCATATGCAGTCAAATAAATTCCTATAGGATGAACCAATTTTTCCATTATTAAAAACTCTCAACAAACATATGAAAAAAAGCTAACCATTACTAGAGAAATGCAAATCAAAACCACAATGAGATACCATCTCACACCATTTAGAATGGCAATTATTAAAAAGTCAGAAAACAACAGATGCTGGCGAGGATATGGAGAAACAGGAACACTTGTACACTGTTGGTGGGAGGGTAAATTAGTTCAACCATTGTGTAAGACAGTGTGGTGATTCCTCAAAGATCTAGAACCAGAAATACCATTTGATCTGGCAATCCCATTACTGGGTATATGTCCAAAGGATTATAAATCATTCTACTATAAGAACACATACACATGTATGTTTATTGCAACACTATTAACAATAGCAAAGACTTGGAACCAACCCAAATGTCCATCGATGATAGACTGGATAAAGAAAATGTGACACATATACACCATGGAATACTATGCAGCTATAAAAAAGAATGAGTTCGTGTCCTTTGCAGGGACATGAATGAAGCTGGAAGCCATCATTCTCAGCGAACTAACACAGGAACAGAAAGCCAAACACCACATGTTCTCATTCATAAATGGGAGTTGAACAATGAGAACACATGGACACAGGGAGGGGAACATCACACACCGGTCCTGTCGGGGTTGGGAGGCAAGGGGAGGGATAGCATTAGGAGAAATACCTAATGCATGTGGGGCTGAAAACCTAGATGATGGGTTGATGGGTGTAGCAAACCACCATGGCACATGTATACCTATGTAACAAACCTGCACATTCTGCACATGAATCCCAGAACTTAAAGTAAAATAATAAAAAAAAACTCTCCAGTGTTTGCATTATACCCATAATTTCACTGTTAATGTTGATATAAACACTCAGTGTTCCATGAGCACTATATTGTTAAGCTGTGCTAATAGAAATCAAGGAACAGAGATGTGCCCTGTAATATATGATACTGAAACCCATGATTCCTATATGTGCAAAATTTTATGTAAAGAAAAAAAGTAAGTAAGCCTCTCCCTATAAATATTCATTATTATCAACAATCAGATCTTAGTGACTAAAAGTGGGGTTTGCAACTAATTATGTCAGTGCCAATCTTGTATTTACAAGATTGTATTACACTACTTTGTATCTCCTGGGGAATAAATGAGTATTAAAAATACATATAACCGTGAAGACTAGTCATTCTAAAGATTTTATTTCCAAGTAAATATTTTTGAATATCTACTATGCATTTGGCATTCTTCTAATTACTGGAAATACAATGTTGAAAAAAAATTGACCTCTGCTTTCATATTTATGCTCAGGAGGGAAGTTAATAATGATAATTCTATCCAAGAAACATTTATTGAATGGTATCATATGGGGAACTTTAATGAATGTTAGTGACTTTAAATGAATTCTGGACTAAAGGAATTGAATAAGCAAAGATAACAAGCTGGGAATATGCATTTCGAGTACTGTAAATGGCAAAAATTCCAACGTAAATCAAGTGTGAAACATATGGGTGATTTGTCCAGAGACTCGAGAAGTAGTTGAGACTCAATCCTGAAACCATTCAAATGCCATGCTAAAAAGTTTTGGTTTTATGCTAGAAGCAATAGAGAGCTGTCAAATATTTAAACTGACACGTTTACATTAGGACTGTAAAAATGTAATTCTAGCAATAGTAGTCCAGAGAGTGAGAGCAAGAATCAAGAATGTAGAAATATAAACTCTCATTTTTAAAGGTTATAGATCCAAGAGTCATTTCTAGGTCACATCGATAGACTTTGACTATATCTAATTAGTTAGATATAGACATGAGATTAGAGGGAGGAGCAGAATAAAGGATGATGCCAATGCCTCTAGCCAAGTAGTTGAAAAACTGACCAACACAGAAAACTCAAGAGAATGATGAAACTCAGGACACAAGCAGAGGAAGTTAGTGAGTTTGATTCAGGGTATGTAGCATTTGAGAAGCAAGCAGAAGATCCAAACAGAAATGACCTGTGGGGCCTTGGAGCTTCAGAAGTCAAATAAGCCTAGTGACCTAGGTTTAGCATAAAAGTGTTAGTTGAAATAATGTACGCTAATGAGACTCCCAAGAGATAGACTGTAGAACATAAAGGAAAGCAGAAGACAGCAACTTTGGAGACACCACCACTTCAAGATAAAAGAAGGTAAAAGAAGTGAATCACGGGAGGTACAACAGGGGAAGACTAAGGCAGGCAGTCCACCAGAGTCTTACAGCATGGAGTCATAGCAGTCAGGGGAGGAGTTTCAGGAAGGAGGGCTATCAGCACCATCAACTGCTTCAGAGAGATTAAAAGGATGACCATGATTACTTGTTACCTGGGGATCATTACTTATTGAGGCAAATGTACTTACTATTGTTTGATTAAAATAGTCATCTGGGGATATACATTCACACTTGAGTAATAAAGCTGTCAGAGAGCTACAAGTCCCTGGATTCTATAGGATTGAGAAGCTGCATAACAAGAAAACCCTACCTCTTCATGTTCCAACAAACATTGCTGTATAGAAAAACCACTCATTAGCAAGGCCTTAGGCAACTCACAAGACAGCAGCTATGCATGTGAACCTTGAGCCGGCTATTTCATAACAATACAAAAATAGTTACCAGCCACCTACAGTATATTTACTTTTCCTTTTCTTTTCATATTGATTTTCTCCCACACAAACTGCCCATGAAGTAGGAAGGAGAAGTCAGTAGGTTTACATATGTGGATATTAGAACTCATGAGGGCTAAGTGACTTGCCCAGGTCCCCACAGCTAGCCTGTCAGGCTAGGAAGGCTCAAAAGTCCCTAGCAATTATCCTACCTCCACAGATACTTTCAGTTTTAGGAAGCTTTTCACAAAGTCATGGATGTCATCCTGCTACCTTAGCTGACTAAACTAATACTAAACTAAACTGAAATAACTGACTAAAACATAGATCTGTTCCAAGTTGAAGAACACCAAATAGGGACATCCTTTATTGACTGGTCATCCACTGTCTAGACAGAGAGAAGGAGATGGGGGAAGGAAGAGGAAGAGAGAGGGGATGGAGGAGGCTGATATTTATAATAAGTCCCGTTATGTAAGGTCACCAGGGTATTTCTCTTCCTGCCCATTAATATAATAGCAGAAAAGGGACAATAATACCAGTCACTCAACTTATTACAGAGCTGGTGGGAACATCCAGACAATTCAAAAAGAAAATTCTAGAAAATAGCAACCTCTAAGTAATTCAGAAAAAAAAAAGGCAGTTATAAAAGACATAATGTGATTACCCAGTAGTGACTTTCCATTGTGGACTTCTGGGCATAATAAGAACTGGATATAGAACCATCTAGACACCAATAGAGTCTCATAAGAAAGTAAGAAATACATATCACTTTCTTATTTGTCTTCCTCACTTAGATGAAAGTGATACCAGCAGTAGGATACAAAAGCTAAATCCATCAAGCTAAGTTTGTATAATAGGTGAGCAGAGCTACAAAGAGCAATTTAGAAATCTCAAGGTAAAAGTGGTAGACAATGTCATGAAAAGGAAAAAGACCACTTAAAAAATGTAGACCATTTGTAGAAGAGGATTACATAAAGAACCCTGACACTGAAGGGCATGCAGGAAAGAGAAGCCTGAGAAGGAATGGTCCAAGAGACAGGAAGAGAACAGTGACAGAAGGCCAGAGAGATTTCAAACAGTATCAGTTATTGCTCTAAGATCAAGAGGAGCTGATGACTCAAAATACACCCTGGGATTTGTCTGGCAGGTAATACTCAACCTCAGTGAAGCATCCAGTGAAGTGGTGGGGAGAAAGCCAAATTAAACTAGAGTGAAGAATAAATGAAAATGGATGGAGTGGCCACATCAGGTGTAAAATCCTCCCTCAAGATGTTTATCCTTCAAGGAAAGCAGAGAGAGAGAGATGTGGAAAGAATGGCTGAATTGCAAAAAGGATGTTTTATGATAGGGGAGAGGTTAGCAAGGGGGAATGAGTTAGAGGAGAAGAAAAAGCTGAAAGAAAAAAAAGCTATAAAGAAGATGGGTGGGCAAAGGGTCCTATGTATATGAGGAGGAGTTGGCCCTAGACAGAAGAAGGGACATCGGTGGGACAGAGGCTAAGAAGTTAGAACAAGCATCCCAACTGGTCAGTTTACAGGTAAGGCTCCTACCAGACGCCCTTCTCTGTAACCAATGAGCCAGTTACCAAATAAATGGGACTAGGGTAGAGGTTGGTAGGCACTTAGGTGGGGAAGAAAAGCTTTGGATCTGCTAAACTGAGAGAAGGGAAGTTGTGCCTATGATAACAGCTCTGATGAGAGATGGGGAAAGCTTCATGAGATAGGGCCAGAGTGGATAAGGCAGTTTGGGAGTTCTGTGGCACAGCAGGCAAGATCTGATAGCCCATTAGATATATGTGGCTGTGACTCAGAATACTCAAGAAAATGGCTGAGGGAGGAGGAGTCAAGATGGCCGAATAGGAACAGCTCCGGTCTACAGCTCCCAGCGTGAGCGACGCAGAAGACGGGTGATTTCTGCATTTCCATCTGAGGTACCGGGTTCATCTCACTAGGGAGTGCCAGACAGTGGGCGCAGGCCAGTGTGTGTGCGCACCGTGCGCGAGCCGAAGCAGGGCGAGGCATTGCCTCACCTGGGAAGCGCAAGGGGTCAGGGAGTTCCCTTTCCGAGTCAAAGAAAGGGGTGACGGACGCACCTGGAAAATCGGGTCACTCCCACCCGAATATTGCGCTTTTCAGACCGGCTTAAGAAACGGCGCACCACGAGACTATATCCCACACCTGGCTCAGAGGGTCCTACGCCCACGGAATCTCGCTGATTGCTAGCACAGCAGTCTGAGATCAAACTGCAAGGCGGCAACGAGGCTGGGGGAGGGGCGCCCGCCATTGTCCAGGCTTGCTTAGGTAAACAAAGCAGCCAGGAAGCTCGAACTGGGTGGAGCCCACCACAGCTCAAGGAGGCCTGCCTGCCTCTGTAGGCTCCACCTCTGGGGGCAGGGCACAGACAAACAAAAAGACAGCAGTAACCTCTGCAGACTTAAGTGTCCCTGTCTGACAGCTTTGAAGAGAGCAGTGGTTCTCCTAGCACGCAGCTGGAGATCTGAGAACGGGCAGACTGCCTCCTCAAGTGGGTCCCTGACCCCTGACCCCCGACCAGCCTAACTGGGAGGCACCCCCCAGCAGGGGCACACTGACACCTCACACGGCAGGGTATTCCAACAGACCTGCAGCTGAGGGTCCTGTCTGTTAGAAGGAAAACTAACAACCAGAAAGGACATCTACACCGAAAACCCATCTGTACATCACCATCATCAAAGACCAAAAGTAGATAAAACCACAAAGATGGGGAAAAAACAGAACAGAAAAACTGGAAACTCTAAAACGCAGAGCGCCTCTCCTCCTCCAAAGGAACGCAGTTCCTCACCAGCAACAGAACAAAGCTGGATGGAGAATGATTTTGACGAGCTGAGAGAAGAAGGCTTCAGACGATCAAATTACTCTGAGCTACGGGAGGACATTCAAACCAAAGGCAAAGAAGTTGAAAACTTTGAAAAAAATTTAGAAGAATGTATAACTAGAATAACCAATACAGAGAAGTGCTTAAAGGAGCTGATGGAGCTGAAAACCAAGGCTCGAGAACTACGTGAAGAATGCAGAAGCCTCAGGAGCCGATGCGATCAACTGGAAGAAAGGGTATCAGCAATGGAAGATGAAATGAATGAAATGAAGCGAGAAGGGAAGTTTAGAGAAAAAATAATAAAAAGAAATGAGCAAAGCCTCTAAGAAATATGGGACTATGTGAAAAGACCAAATCTACGTCTGATTGGTGTACCTGAAAGTGATGTGGAGAATGGAACCAAGTTGGAAAACACTCTGCAGGATATTATCCAGGAGAACTTCCCCAATCTAGCAAGGCAGGCCAACGTTCAGATTCAGGAAATACAGAGAACGCCACAAAGATACTCCTCGAGAAGAGCAACTCCAAGACACATAATTGTCAGATTCACCAAAGTTGAAATGAAGGAAAAAATGTTAAGGGCAGCCAGAGAGAAAGGTCGGGTTACCCTCAAAGGAAAGCCCATCAGACTAACAGCGGATCTCTCGGCAGAAACCCTACAAGCCAGAAGAGAGTGGGGGCCAATATTCAACATTCTTAAAGAAAAGAATTTTCAACCCAGAATTTCATATCCAGCCAAACTAAGCTTCATAAGTGAAGGAGAAATAAAATACTTTATAGACAAGCAAATGCTGAGAGATTTTGTCACCACCAGGCCTGCCCTAAAAGAGCTCCTGAAGGAAGCGCTAAATATGGAAAGGAACAACCGGTACCAGCCGCTGCAAAATCATGCCAAAATGTAAAGACCATCGAGACTAGGAAGAAACTGCATCAACTAATGAGCAAAATCACCAGCTAACATCATAATGACAGGATCAAATTCACACATAACAATATTAACTTTAAATATAAATGGACTAAATTCTGCAATTAAAAGACACAGACTGGCAAGTTGGATAAAGAGTCAAGACCCATCAGTGTGCTGTATTCAGGAAACCCATCTCACGTGCAGAGACACACATAGGCTCAAAATAAAAGGATGGAGGAAGATCTACCAAGCAAATGGAAAACAAAAAAAGGCAGGGGTTGCAATCCTAGTCTCTGATAAAACAGACTTTAAACCAACAAAGATCAAAAGAGACAAAGAAGGCCATTACATAATGGTAAAGGGATCAATTCAACAAGAGGAGCTAACTATCCTAAATATTTATGCACCCAATACAGGAGCACCCAGATTCATAAAGCAAGTCCTCAGTGACCTACAAAGAGACTTAGACTCCCATACATTAATAATGGGAGACTTTAACACCCCACTGTCAACATTAGACAGATCAACGAGACAGAAAGTCAACAAGGATACCCAGGAATTGAACTCAGCTCTGCACCAAGCAGACCTAATAGACATCTACAGAACTCTCCACCCCAAATCAACAGAATATACATTTTTTTCAGCACCACACCACACCTATTCCAAAATTGACCACATAGTTGGAAGTAAAGCTCTCCTCAGCAAATGTAAAAGAACAGAAATTATAACAAACTATCTCTCAGACCACAGTGCAATCAAACTAGAACTCAGGATTAAGAATCTCACTCAAAGCCGCTCAACTACATGGAAACTGAACAACCTGCTCCTGAATGACTACTGGGTACATAACGAAATGAAGGCAGAAATAAAGATGTTCTTTGAAACCAACGAGAACAAAGACACCACATACCAGAATCTCTGGGACGCATTCAAAGCAGTGTGTAGAGGGAAATTTATAGCACTAAATGCCTACAAGAGAAAGCAGGAAAGATCCAAAATTGACACCCTAACATCACAATTAAAAGAACTAGAAAAGCAAGAGCAAACACATTCAAAAGCTAGCAGAAGGCAAGAAATAACTAAAATCAGAGCAGAACTGAAGGAAATAGAGACACAAAAAACCCTTCAAAAAATCAATGAATCCAGGAGCTGGTTTTTTGAAAGGATCAACAAAATTGATAGACCGCTAGCAAGACTAATAAAGAAAAAAAGAGAGAAGAATCAAATAGACACAATAAAAAATGATAAAGGGGATATCACCACCGATCCCACAGAAATACAAACTACCATCAGAGAATACTACAAACACCTCTACGCAAATAAACTAGAAAATCTAGAAGAAATGGATACATTCCTCGACACATACACTCTCCCAAGACTAAATCAGGAAGAAGTTGAATCTCTGAATAGACCAATAACAGGCTCTGAAATTGTGGCAATAATCAATAGTTTACCAACCAAAAAGAGTCCAGGACCAGATGGATTCACAGCCGAATTCTACCAGAGGTACAAGGAGGAACTGGTACCATTCCTTCTGAAACTATTCCAATCAATAGAAAAAGAGGGAATCCTCCCTAACTCATTTTATGAGGCCAGCATCATTCTGACACCAAAGCCGGGCAGAGACACAACCAAAAAAGAGAATTTTAGACCAATATCCTTGATGAACATTGATGCAAAAATCCTCAATAAAATACTGGCAAACCGAATCCAGCAGCACATCAAAAAGCTTATCCACCATGATCAAGTGGGCTTCATCCCTGGGATGCAAGGCTGGTTCAATATACGCAAATCAATAAATGTAATCCAGCATATAAACAGAGCCAAAGACAAAAACCACATGATTATCTCAATAGATGCAGAAAAAGCCTTTGACAAAATTCAACAACCCTTCATGCTAAAAACTCTCAATAAATTAGGTATTGATGGGACGTATTTCAAAATAATAAGAGCTATCTATGACAAACCCACAGCCAATATCATACTGAATGGGCAAAAACTGGAAGCATTCCCTTTGAAAACTGGCACAAGACAGGGATGCCCTCTCTCACCGCTCCTATTCAACATAGTGTTGGAAGTTCTGGCCAGGGCAATCAGGCAGGAGAAGGAAATAAAGGGTATTCAATTAGGAAAAGAGGAAGTCAAATTGTCCCTGTTTGCAGATGACATGATTGTTTATCTAGAAAACCCCATCGTCTCAGCCCAAAATCTCCTTAAGCTGATAAGCAACTTCAGCAAAGTCTCAGGATACAAAATCAATGTACAAAAATCACAAGCATTCTTATACACCAACAACAGACAAACAGAGAGCCAAATCATGGGTAAACTCCCATTCACAATTGCTTCAGAGAATAAAATACCTAGGAATCCAACTTACAAGGGATGTGAAGGACCTCTTCAAGGAGAACTACAAACCACTGCTCAAGGAAATAAAAGAGGACACAAACAAATGGAAGAACATTCCATGCTCATGGGTAGGAAGAATCAATATCGTGAAAATGGCCATACTGCCCAAGGTAATTTACAGATTCAATGCCATCCCCATCAAGCTACCAATGACTTTCTTCACAGAATTGGAAAAAACTACTTTAAAGTTCATATGGAACCAAAAAAGAGCCCGCATTGCCAAGTCAATCCTAAGCCAAAAGAACAAAGCTGGAGGCATCACACTACCTGACTTCAAACTATACTACAAGGCTACAGTAACCAAAACAGCATGGTACTGGTACCAAAACAGAGATATAGATCAATGGAACAGAAATAATGCCGCATATCTACAACTATCTGATCTTTGACAAACCTGAGAAAAACAAGCAATGGGGAAAGGATTCCCTATTTAATAAATGGTGCTGGGAAAACTGGCTAGCCATATGTAGAAAGCTGAAACTGGATCCCTTCCTTACACCTTATACAAAAATCAATTCAAGATGGATTAAAGATTTAAACGTTAGACCTAAAACCATAAAAACCCTAGAAGAAAACCTAGGCATTACCATTCAGGACATAGGCGTGGGCAAGGACTTCATGTCCAAAACACCAAAAGCAATGGCAACAAAAGCCAAAATTGACAAATGGGATCTAATTAAACTAAAGAGCTTCTGCACAGCAAAAGAAACTACCATCAGAGTGAACAGGCAACCTACAACATGGGAGAAAATTTTCGCAACCTACTCATCTGACAAAGGGCTAATATCCAGAATCTACAATGAACTCAAACAAATTTACAAGAAAAAAACAAACAACCCCATCAAAAAGTGGGCGAAGGACATGAACAGACACTTCTCAAAAGAAGACATTTATGCAGCCAAAAAACACATGAAGAAATGCTCATCATCACTGGCCATCAGAGAAATGCAAATCAAAACCACTATGAGATATCATCTCACACCAGTTAGAATGGCAATCATTAAAAAGTCAGGAAACAACAGGTGCTGGAGAGGATGTGGAGAAATAGGAACACTTTTACACTGTTGGTGGGACTGTAAACTAGTTCAACCATTGTGGAAGTCAGTGTGGCGATTCCTCAGGGATCTAGAACTAGAAATACCATTTGACCCAGCCATCCCATTACTGGGTATATACCCAAAGGACTATAAATCATGCTGCTATAAAGACACATGCACACGTATGTTTATTGCAGCACTATTCACAATAGCAAAGACTTGGAACCAACCCAAATGTCCAACAATGATAGACTGGATTAAGAAAATGTGGCACATATACACCATGGAATACTATGCAGCCATAAAAAATGATGAGTTCATATCCTTTGTAGGGACATGGATGAAATTGGAAACCATCATTCTCAGTAAACTATTGCAAGAACAAAAAACCAAACACCGCATATTCTCACTCATAGGTGGGAATTGAACAATGAGATCACATGGACACAGGAAGGGGAATATCACACTCTGGGGACTGTGGTGGGGTCGGGGGGAGGGGGGAGGGATAGCATTGGGAGATATACCTAATGCTAGATGACACATTAGTGGGTGCAGCGCACCAGCATGGCACATGTATACATATGTAACTAACCTGCACAATGTGCACATGTACCCTAAAACTTAGAGTATAATAAAAAAAAAAAAAAAAAGAAAGAAAATGGCTTACATGAATTTCTCCTTTTTATCTTTAAAAGCTTCCCCCTTTCCCCAACCCCTTTGGATGTGTCTATGGTTCACCATAGCATGCATATGTCCCAGATTGCAATCCCTTGCTATTCCTGAATAAACTTCTTTTTGGAAAGTCTGTCTCTGCTGTTATTTTAGGTTGACATATAAAACTAGTGACTTCTTCCTACTTTATAAACAATGTGTTGGGGGTGACCAATATAAAAAGAAAAAGAAAATGAAATATGGCTTACATGGTTGGTAATTATTTTTATATTGTTATGAGATAGCCAACTCAAGGTTCAGGATGCATAAATGCTGTCTTGTGAGTTGCCTAAGGCCTTGGTGGTTTGTCTATATAGCAATGTTTTTGAAACATGGAACACCTACAAAGAGGTAGGGTTTTCCTGGTATGCAGCGTCTCAATTCTGTGGAATCCAGGGACTTGCATCTCTCTGACAGCTTTATTACTCAAGTGTGAATGGATATCCTCAGATGATCTTTTTTTTTTTTTTTTTGAGACAGAGTCTCACTCTGTCGCCCAGCCTGGAGTGCAGTGGCGCAATCTCAGCTCACTGCAAGCTCTGCTTCCCGGGTTCATGACATTTTCCTGCCTCAGCCTCCCGCGTAGCTGGGACTACAGGCGCCTGCCACCACGCCCGGCTCATTTTTTGTATTTTTAGTAGAGACGGGGTTTCACCATGTTAGCCAGGATGGTCTCGATCTCCTGACCTCATGATCCGCCTGCCTCAGCCTCTCAAAGTGCTGGGATTACAAGCGTGAGCCACCGCGCCCGGCAGATGATCATTTTTATCAAACAATAGTGAAAACATCAAACAATAGTAAGAACATTTGTTTCAATAAATAATGATCCCCAAATATCAAGATTATCTTAATCATCCTTTTAATCTCTCTGAAGCAGTTGACAGTGCTGATAGCCCTCCTTCTTGAAACTCCTCCCCTGACTGCCATGACTATGGGTCACAGTCAAAAAAGTTTCAAACCTACTGCTTTAAGGTAGACCAATAAGTAGAAAGTGACATCCTAAAAAAAAAACGAAGAATACCAGCTAAGGAGAAATTTTAGGCATTATAAATCAAGTCTATCCCGATATTCCCAATTCTATCTCTGATGAGTTAATAGAAATCTAATTTGATAGTTTTAGCTTTTATATCCTATGACTAATGTCCAATCAACTGTCTGTATTGTGTAACTATTGGTCTAACCGTAATTCTTTTTTAACTGCATCAACCTGTGGCATTGTTATAAATTAAACTTTTTTCTTGGTTTGGATTTTTGATCAGTGAATGGAGTCAAACTGTAACATAGACATAAGTATTAGTAAAAATACGGCACTTACTTTGACCTTTGGAAGACAGCTGTTCTCAGAATGATTGGGTTATTCTCACTGATACAATTTTGGGTTCTAAGTTTTAGCCCAGGTTCAGTGTCTCTGACATCTACACAATTCAATGCAGATTTATTTAGTTTTTTATGAAGACATTGGTTGGATTTTTTAAAAGAAATTCTTTTGAAGCAGAAAATTGACTCCATGCAGATTTTTCACTCTGTTGCACATATTAAACTACAACAATTTGGGTGATGGAAAAAAGCAGAAATAATTTGAGAGGCGTGGGCGAAAAGGCCAATAAGGCTATAAAAATTTCGAATTACAAAGAGTCAAGAGAATATTACCAACCTTTTATTGTCAGAGAAATGAAGAGTCTTACTTGTGCCCTTGAACATGAAAGGTGGGGTTGTCAGTGAATTTCAAGAGCAATTCTTTAAATAGAGGTGGGTGGTTCTCAATGAGACATGAGGGTGGTGTGAAAGTGGCTACGACCTTAAACCAGTGAGAACTAGATACACACACACACACACACACACACACACACACACACACACACACAGCAGAAGGTAGAGTTAAACCAATCTCAGTTAAAATCCCAGCTCCTTCACTTAATAGCTGTGTGATCTTGGGCAAATCACTTAACCTCCAGTAAGCTAGTTATCTTGACTTGTTAGTATCTTGGGAAGATAATAATAGCCTTCCTGAGATTGGTCCTAGATGTAAATAAGACAATTTTTGTCAAGTGCTCATCAAAGGGCATGGCAGAAAGTACTAGCTCAATATTTACTGTATTAGTTTCCTAGGGCTGCTATAACAAAGTACCACAAATTAGGTGGCTTAGAACGACTGAAATGTATTGTCTCACAGTTCTGGAGGCTAGAAGTCTAAAATCAAGGTGTCAGAAGGGTCCTGCTCCCTTTGAGACTGTAAAGGAAAGATCTTTCCTTGCTGTCTTCAGGTTCTGGTATCCCCAGGCATTTTTTGGTTTATGGCAGCATAACTCCAGTCTTCACATGGCATTCTCCCTGTATCTCTTCACAGAGTCTTCCCTTCTGTGGATATTGGTCTCTCTCTGTCCAAATTGACTCTTTTTAAAGGACACCAGTCATATTGGATTAGGGTCTACCCTAATGAACTCATTTTGACTTGATTACCTCTGTAAAGACCCTCTTTCCAAATAAAATCACATTCTGAGGAACTGGGGTTAGTACTTCAACTTATCTTTTGCAGGGGTGTGGGAAGAACACAACTCACCCTATAACAATTATTTATGAAATTATCTTGCTAGAAATATTCTGCAGGAGATACATTAGTACATGAAGTACTTCAAAATTGTAGAATATCATTCTCTAGTGATTCATTTTCTGTTTCTTTTCTTTTTAAAGGAAGGAGTACTCAGTCTTTTCAATGGAATGACATAGGTATGAACTTAATGAGTATCCTTCCTGCGCTTAGCTGAATCCGGAAAGGCAGGATATTGACTCCTTTGCCATTCTATAGATTCCTGGTCTTGAGGCAAAGAAAACTGGCACAGGCCTTTGCGACTGGGCCTGCAAAAGTATATACTACACAGAGAAAGGGCATGTATCCTTACTTTGAATGGTGTGCTAATCGTCTAACAACTTCAATTGTACTAATCACGAATGGAAGAGAACGGCTCTTTAATGGAACTTCAATGAATATAAATTACATACTTACTAATCAAAATGAATCCTTTTCAGCTAATTTCTTTTTTTCTCCTTAAATGTCTTGAGTGAGTAATATAAGCTTTTGTTATTTTTTTTGGCCAGTTTTCTCTGCCATAACCCTGATTGTAACTCCACTCTCATCATGGAACTTAATGCCCAAACACTACACATTAATTTCTATTTCTTCATATGTTTTACAAAATGATATATATTTTTGCCCCAAACTGCAACATGCTATGAAGGCTTAATATTCTAACATTGCAATCATGGGTACAACCTAAAAAAAGACTTCAAATTAGTTAGCAAAGGAAATAAAAATAGGACTCTCTGGGGACAGAATGCAGGCCAGTAGGGGATACGACACCTTGGTGGGGGTTTTTAGGGCTATGTTGATTCATTCAAATGCCTTAATGACCTCCTATGACAGAACCATGTGGCAGAGAAAAAAGATTCATATGCCAATGTGAAGGGAGAAGAAGAATCAAAATGAGGAGGAACAGATTAAATATTTCACAATTTAACAAGATGATATTTAAGGCACCTAATTTCTTGCCTTCTAAAAACTGCTAGCAAAATGTAATTTCTTGATAGCCAAAAAAAAGAATTCAAATGTACACCAGCCTCTTGTTACACTATAAAAATAAGGCCAGGCATGGTAGCTCACACCTGTAATTCCAGTACTTTGGGAGGCCAAGGTGGGCAGATGGATCACTTGAGGCCAGGAGTTCGAGACCAGCCTTGTCAACATAGTAAAACCCCATCTCTACTAAAAATACAAAAATTAGCCAGACGGGGTGGCACACACCGGTAATCCCAGTTACTTGGGTGGCTGAGGCACAAGAATCACTTGAACCTGGGGGAATTTGCAGTGACCTGAGATCGCGCCATTACACTCCAGCATGGGTGACAGAGTGAGACCCTGTCTCAAGAAAAAAATCATGAAAAATTTAACTATAAATCCAGACTTCATAAAGCAAACATATTTTCCCTTTGACAGTATTAAGTAATTTAGAGATTTATTTCTAAATTTAGAAATTTATTTCTAATTTGTCCTCAATAATAGTCATTTCTCACTTTGTAATTTGTCTTTACCTTGGTTTTCTAAAATAGTGATTAAAAACAAATAATTACACGTGCTAGGGATGCACTTCTTAAAGAAACTTAATTTTAGATTCAGCCCCATTGAGGACCTGCTGTGTTTGTTAAGTGGGCAGCAGTGATGGATGAAGGCCACACGGTGGCACTATAAGCAATGGGCTACTGATGCACCTTTTAATCAACATCTACTCTAAAAAGTGAGCCAGTCCAAGTAGCTTTGAGAAAACTGGAAAAGTCTGAGGCTGCAATGCAGAATAAAGATGAATAAAGATTACATAAATGAAAATAAAGCAGCTATAATCAAAACCACACTCTAGGCCATCTACCAAACCTAAGAAGCCACTTACTGTGATAAATTAATTACTTAAAAAACAAACAAACAAACAAACATAAATGCATGAGAGTTTTGCTATTTGGTGGACTAAAGGAAACTTTTTTGTATGTTCTGGGTTTCTTAATATTTTTTATTTTGAAATACATGGCACTGATGAATTTATCATTGAACTGCAAGATAGCCAGAAAACTAAGAATTATTAGTTCACTAGATATAGCCATAACATAAACAAGTTTAGTCAGCAAGTCTGTGTAATCTGATTGTTTCAGTCAACTAAGCAAGGCAACTGACTTTGACAGCTTAGAAAAGTGACCTTCTAGATGAAGAGTTCTGAAGGTGATTGGAAGCTCTTATCAGAAGTGCATGACAAAACCGACTCCCAAAGTAGCACCAATTAATAAAACAAATTAGCAATATACCTTCTCTTTAATGCACTGGTGCTCGTATTTCCTTCTATGAAATTTTTTCTACTTAGCAGCTATCAATCAATACCAAAACGATTATCTCTTGCTGTGCAATTGTTGGACAGCTTGGGAAGCGAAGTGGTTTATATAAAAATTTGAAACGTAGACATGAATGGAAAAGACCACTATAATTTGAAAGTGGCTTACTGCTACCCTGATTTTAGACTGGTGCCTAAGGAAAGAGCTAAAAGTGATGCATAGCAAACTGCATGAAATTGCTTGCTCTTGTAAACAGATTGTAGCAACAGGGTAAGGGAAAACTTAGACTATATATTAAAAATATAGAATGAATACCTTTCTCATGATACCATACCATATTGCTGAAGATAGGGGTGAATGGCATACATATACTTTTAACTGAGTGAAAACAACTCCAGAAAGAAAGAAAACATAGGTTATATCTGTGCCTCCTTGGAGCATTTTCAAATTATAGGATTGTATTCTTTATGTTTTTATTCTTGATAAATTTGCACCTAATTGTATGTTTCAGTTCCCAATTAAATCAAGAGCTCCTTGGGATATATAATGTATCTGCTAATTTTTAACTCCTCCATGGTTATAAAAATCATATTAATAAAATAAAAGCTACACATGTTAAGTTCTCATTAGATGCCAGATATTGTGATAAGTACAGTAGATAGCATTATATACATAAACTTCACCAAAAAACCCCCATGAGATTAGGACTAATGCTCTCTCTATTAATAAAGAGAAAACAGAGGTATAAGTTAATTTGCCAAGTACTACTACACACTACTAAGTAGCAGAGCTAAGTTTTGAATTCAAGAATACCTTCTACCAAAGCTCCCAGCTCGCCTTGTAGAGCAGAGATTGAAGCATGGTGGTTAACAGCCACAGTGCCTGAGGTCTACCCAGCTCCAAAGCTGACTGGCTTTATGGTCTTTGGCAAGTTGCCTAGACATTCTGTGTCTCTATGTAGTTGTTATTATACCACCCAGCAGTTCATAAAGTAGAAATTCAAAAACTCTTACTGAGAACCTTCCAACTTCTCTCAGCTATCTCCAACCAGTTGCTCTAATGAACAAATAAATCAATTGGCATTTGATATAATTGAAATCAGGTGCATATTTGATTTTTCCAGTAATGGTCTTCAATTGCTTCTGACAGTCACTGTGCTGTGACTATTATCACTTCAGGTGATTATAGTTAATATAGTGCTTTTTTTTCTTCAACAACTCTACTAAAATGTCTACATGTCAAATAGAGTTGGTAACTGAAATTAATAATGTAGATACATAGTAAAGCTTTCTTGAAAAGTGATCATTTAGAGTTCTGAATTTTAATATTACTATACCTCATTGAAGGATTGACACAATTTACCTCCAGCTATTTCATTTAATCTGTGCGTTGCTGTGATTTGAACTAAAATTACACAAGGCAAGGAACACAGGCATAACAGAGGTTCCTCTCATCTTCAGGGGACTCATTGAAACAAAAAAAAATCAGTAAGGGATAATATTCTCTTCTCACTTGCAATGGCATTTTGGGCATTCAGCCTCTATATTTAGAGAAATTCATTAATTCTTTAATCAGTGGCATGGAGGCAATGCAAGAATTCTGAACTCAACGTTAAGAAACACTATTTTCATCCAAACTTTGCACTGTGTATCTCACTGAACAAGTCTTTTCTATCTGCCTCAGTCTCTTAATCTGTAAAATAAGAGGATTTCTATTGTTGAACTTTAAAGTTTTAAGAATTGATACAGTACAAAGACAAAAAGTGGGATTGCAAGAGTTTTATAAATTGCTATGTGAAGAGCAGAACAATGCGCAAGTGCTTGCATTTGCTTCTTTAAAGCTTACACATTATGTTGCAGAAGGGTGGAATTGCCCTAAAAAACATAAGCCAAAGTGATCTTTAACCAAAACCCTTTTATCTAGAACAAGTTCTCTCAAATAGGAAGCTATCAAACTATTTCAAGCAGCAAGGAAACAAGGCAAAAAGGATCCTTTTGCTCACTTTCTGAGTCCTTTTTTGTCCAAAAGTAGAGTAAGATTAACCCCACCCTGTTGTATGCAACTACAAACACTGCAAAGAATAGTGATAGCACTAAATTACCATGACCCTGTAGGATCGGGGGAACACACAGGTAAAACACACCTGTTATCATCTTCCACCTGGAGACCTTCAGGAAAGTGGGGATTCCAGATCCTAACACCAGGCTAATCCATCCTTGAATCCCTTCCCCATTCTCAGCTTTGTCTTCTCTCCTGGCACAGAGTCAGCCTTCAGGAGCCATGAAACTAGAGAAGCCGAGGACAAACAGAAGCATCTCTAGCAGCAGGGTCAAAGCCTTTTCACAGTCTCTGTGTGCCTGCTCTACCCACTATGAACATGTTTCATGAATGTTCTATGTTCTTCCTCTTAGACACAATATCCATAGTGATTAAGGAGCTGGTTCCAGTCCATATTCCACCACTTACTACTCATGCGTTTTACCCTCTGGTCCTTGATTTTGTCTTCTTAAGAATGGGGATAATGGGGCCAGGCACAGTGGCTCACGCCTGCAATCCCAGCACTTTGGGAGGCCGAGGTGGGAGGATCACGAGGTCAAGAGTTTGAGACCAGCCTGCCCAACATGCTGAAACCCTGTCTCTACTAAAAATACGAAAAATTAGCTGGGCGTGGTGGCGGGCACCTGTAATCCCAGCTACTCAGGAGGCTGAGGCAGGAGAATCGCTTGAACACGGGAGGCAGAGGTTGTAGTGAGCTGAGATCGTGTCACTGCACTCCAGCCTAGGCAACAGAGTGAGACTCCATCTCAAAAAAAAAAAAAAAGAATGGGGATAATAATGGTATATATCTCACTAGATGATGAAGATTAAATGATATAGTGCATGTAGAGTGCTTAGAATGGTGTTCAGCCATACATAAAAGCTACCATAAAATGTTAACTTTGAAGACTAAATATAATACTTAGTGTCCAGTATTTCTCAGCAAACTTTCTGCAACTACATCCTTCAATGTGTTTTCACAAACAGAAATAGATTAACCAATTGATATCTACTTAAATAGTAAAACTGCAACAATTCCATGAAGACCATGTCCCCCAAATATGTCCCCCACCAGCCTGCAGTGCTATAGCCAATACCATTCTCTTGCTGCTTTACGAGGGCAGCTTTTCTTACTGTGAGAATCGAGAGGCAGAGGACTCTCTAACCCTTAAGGGGATGAAGAGGGAAAAGGGTAAAGAACCAAAGGCCTCAATTACCTACTCCAAGAATGTCAATTACATATTCCAAGTTTCCTAATCTTCTCTAATATTTGCTAAATCAAGTATTTTTCCAACCATTCAATTACCATAGAACAACTATTAATTGATACCTTACACAGTCACTGTTCTGAGGGACGTTCTTATTGAAATGTTTAACTTTGAACCACATTTTTCTTATCTCAAAGTGGGGATAATGATACATACCAAATTGGGTAGTTACATATAATAAAGAAGATGATGTAAATGAAAGTCTCTACCACAGTGAGCCACTCCACACTTTCATATCCCTGCAGGAGTATCTTTTCTCATCAGAAATAAATGTTTTATTAAATTGCAGGATGAGTAGAAAACAGGCTGCTGTCTCTAGAATTATTTTGTTCAGAAACAAATATTCTATGCATGACTATTGCATTAAAAATTGGGGTCAACTCTCTTCTTATAGAATTTTAAAGAATAAAGACATTTCTCAGTTGTGTTTTAATTTTTATCATTTATTATGTTTTTATTTTTTGCTTAATACTTTGTGTTATCATAAAAGAAGAACCAGGCGATATTCTTTTATTAGCTTTTCAATGGCTCCAGAACATTCCTTCAAAGAAGTCTTTGTAAAGTCTTTCTTCCCCACTGTCACAGTCCATGCATTAAAAGCTGACCAGCTATGTAAAATTAAAGTCAGAAAGAGGAGAGACTATAAACACAATTTCTAGTGAATTAAGTGTGAGAAGTCACTGAGTACCACCATTGCCACACACAAAATCTTGTGCAGAAGTGTCTTCTCATGTCTTCTAAGTTTTGTGAGAATCTTCACTCTAAAGCTCTGATGAAAGCAACCCAGGCCTGGATCAATAAACACATTTACTCTGAGCCTTCTATAATTATCCTGAGACCAGGAGTTCAATAATGTCACCCATGCTCAGGCTTGGTATTCACAGTCACCTCTTGATGCTTCCATGGTTCAACCCAACTCTGTGGCCAACACAAATAAGAAACTCTTCGATCTACCTTGTGTGACTTCTCAGAGAAAGAGTTTGTTCCTGCTATGCTGTAAAGGAGTACATGCTATCATCACCCACCTTGAAACTTCAGTGGTTTCCCTAGCTTTAATATTCTAAGACACTGTAAACAAAATTCATGCATTCTATTACTGCTTTCCAAATTGTGTAGAGGTAAAGCAAATTCCTCTCTACCTTCATTATTTCAAGACTAAAAAAGCAGGCTTCATAAGCGTGCAACCTGTGCAGTCACAAGGGACCCCATGCTTAGAAGAGTCCTGTGCTTGATTTAAAGTCCTCCTGTCCCAGGCTTAAAATTCTTAATTTTTGAACAAGGGTCCCAGCCTTTTCATTTTACACTGGGCTCTATAAATTACGTAGCCAGTCCTGCCAGAGTGTCTGAATTGTCTAACTCTATTCTCATGTGGCAGTCATCTTCTCTTCACTGTCTGTGGCACTGGGAATAAGACATGAATTAATGTTGGAAGTCAAAAGGATGAGCCAAGCTGAGGGCCACTTAGAGCAGCTGTGGAAAGCCTGGTCATATGACAGGTATACAGGCAGCAAGAAATGTCCATTGAAACTGAGTCCTCTGAAACCTTTGTGAGGTCTTCTGTAGTCCCGTTATTTTTACTTTGCTCAAAACTCATCAGGGTTTCTAGATGCATCAAGATATGTGTGTTATCTGTACATAAAAAATGTATCACTTCTGTCTGCAAAATTTCAGTATTATATCTCAGAGAGGATGGCAAAATAGGCTTGCCTGCTAACTGCGTTCAAAGATCCACATACACATGCTCAAATTTTTGGTGAGATGAGTCTGATTCAGTTGTATTACTCAGCATTCTGTTAAGTGGCCTTCAATACTGTCATACAGTCTAAAGCAATTGATAGTTTTAGTGCCTCTATTACATCAGAAAATACACAAGAATGACAATATGAGCAATCTACTCTTTTTCAAGAAAGATAAGCAATTCACTAGAGATGTGGAATGCTGTTTCCTAAAGCAATATCAATCCTGGATGTGGTTATGATGAAAAGCTAGTAGTCATAGCACAGTATGAACAAAGTCCAGAAAGAATACTCTGCCCAGAGTCAAATCTTTCTATCATACTCAGAGGCGAGCTACAAATAAGAAAGGAAATAAACGCTCATTTCCTCTGTAAAACAGAGGATACTTTTTCTGTAAATTCCTTTATGCACAGACTAGGGACTGATGCCATTGACACAGTGGGGAAATGACTCCACTCACTGACCCACTGGGGATGCAATCCTAACAGTTATACTTATGTGTTAGCAAGGATCTTCACTGCAGTTAATGAATGTCCCAATTTTGAGAGAGAATAGCTTTTCTGGTTGGCAGGAATCAAGAAGTGCATGCTCAGTTAGTCACTGCTCCTCATCTGAAATTCCTTCAACCTGAGGTTAGGAGCATTTATCTAAATACCAGGAGTCCACTGGAATCCTCCAGCCTCACCTCATGCCAGAAAGAGTGGATCAATGACACATTCTGGTCAAGACAAAAAGTAGCTGGAAATTACCATCACATCATAGCACTGAAAAAAAATAAAAACGAAAAACCAAAAAACTCCTTGAGAATTCCCAGCTTATCACATTATCTGGCCATGAAAGTTTATTCATATTCCAATATTTTCCATCAGATGCCTCAAATCCTTTAAGAAACAAGATGGAAATGAAGGGAGAGAAGGGGGAAAGAGAATGAGAGAGAATTGACTATGT
Source organism: Homo sapiens (assembly GCF_000001405.40). Classification (NCBI taxonomy): domain Eukaryota; kingdom Metazoa; phylum Chordata; class Mammalia; order Primates; family Hominidae; genus Homo; species Homo sapiens. The sequence continues at coordinate 177,990,014 of NC_000002.12, forward strand.
GACATTTGAATCCAACCTAAAACTCACACCACTCACTACAGTTTCAGCTTCTTTAAATAATAATAATATGCAGAACCAACATACTTTTTCCTTTGATAAGCCTCATCCCAGCACCAACGGGGATAGGTAAGGATAGAGGTGGAATAAGGATTAACCTAGTACAAGCTACATGATTAGTAACCATGTACTCTTTTCAGAAAGAAACATAAATTGTTTCAATCAGATAACTGCCTAGTCAATGAAAATTCACTTGTATATGGAATTTTCTGCATATCGGACTTTGTGGTTCCTGCTTTAATGTTACAATTTTAACACTCACTTATTTTTGCCTTTTAATAATGTGGTTGATCAATAACAGAGCTTAACGATTTTCATTTTCAAAATTTATAGCAGTAATTTTTCAGAGTTACAAGTATCTGGGGGGGATAGTTTCAAAAAGTATTTAAGGCCAGGCAGTGGCTCACACCTGTAATCCCAGCACTTTGGGAGGCTGAGGCAGGGGGATCACAAGGTCAGGAATTCAAGACCAGCCTGAACAACATGGTGAAACCCCATCTCTACTAAAAATACAAAAATTAGCTGGGTATGGTAGGGTGGGCCTGTAATCCCAGCTACTCAGGAGGCTGAGGCAGGAGAATTGCTTGAACACAGGAAGTAGAGGTTGCAGTGAGCTGAGATCGCACCATTGCACTCCAGCCTGGGTGACAGAGCGAGACTCTGTCTCAAAAAAAAAAAAAAGGAAAAAAAAGGCGGAGGGTAGCGTGGTGGCTCATGCCTGTAATCCTAGCACTTTGGGAGGTGGAGGTGGACAGATCACAAGGTCAACAAAAATTAGCTGGGCACGGTGGTGCGCTCCTGCAGTCCCAGCTACTTGGGAGGCTAAGGCAGAAGAATTGCTTGAACCCAGGAGGTAGAGGTTGTGGTGAACTGAGATCATGCCACTGCACTCCAGCCTGGGCAACAGAGTGAGACTCCATCTTAAATAAATAAATAAATAAAATAAAGAACAAGTATTTAAAATATATCTTGGCTGGGCACAGTGGCTCACGCCTGTAATCCTAGCACTTTGGGAGGCCAGCATGGGTAGATTACTTGAGGTCAGGAGTTCGAGATTAGCCTGGCCAACATGGTAAAACCACCATCTCTACTAAAAATACAAAAATTAGCTGGGTGTGGTGGTACTCACCTGTAATCCCACCTACTCAGGATTGGGAGGCTGAGGCAGGAGAATCGCTTGAACCTGGGAGGCGGAGGTTGCAGTGAGCCAAGATTGTGCCACTGTACTCCAGCCTGGGCGACAGAGTAAGACTCTGTCTCAAAAAGTAAAATATAATATATTGGGCCGGGCATGGTGGCTCACGCCTGTAATCCCAGCACTTTGGGAGGCCAAGGCGGGCAGATCATGAGGTCAGGAGTTTGAGACCAGCCTGGCCAACATGGTGAAACCCCATCTCTACTAAAAATACAAAAAATTAGCCAGGCGTGGTGGCAGGCACTTGTAATCCCACCTACTCGGGAGGCTGAGGTAGGAGTATCACTTGAACCCAGGAGGCGGAGGTTGCAGTGTGCCGAGACCACACCACTGCACTCCAGCCTGGGCAACAGAGTGAGACTCCATTTCAAAAAATGATAATAATAATAATAATATACCTTATATTTGGAAATGAAAATATATATACTCTTTTCATATGCAAATTATAGAAAGTCACATCAAACAACTTTTTCATGGCTGGTCAGGATAGAATTCTTCTAGATTTTTATGATGGCATGAGTTTTTAAGTGCTGCAAAACATCTATATAAAGAGCATTATCTTCTTCCAATAAGTTTTTTGAGATTTCTTTTTAATTGGGTACATACTTAAGGGAAGAGATTTGGGCCATAATACAATCTCCTATTCTCAGCTCCAGTCCGACAAGAGACCCTAATTAAATTTCTAACTGTTCTCTAAATAACACATTTACCCTTATAGTAAAACTCATTTATAATAATGCTTTGGGGGGAGTACCTGATAACCTCTTAGAGGCTTCCTAATTATAAAAGACTAAATAATATATTACTGCTTTTTTTTCTAATTCTAAAATAATACATCTCACATAATCTTAATAAAGACAGTAGAGATAAAAATAGCACCAAAAAATCTACAGATCAATTTCATTATCCATATTAAGTGCTAACTGAACCCAGCATTATATCAAAATAATACACTACCACCAAACAGGATTCATCTCAGAAATAAAAGTAATACAAGACCAAAGTTTAACAAAGTTTTCAAACAGTATATAAATTAATACAGTGGAAAATAAAAATTGCCCAGAAATCAGATGGTGGTTAAGTGTGGAAAAAGATTCCAGGGCATCCACTTGCTTTAACTGTCAAAACGCCTGCATCAAAAACACTTGAATCAAAATGTTCTATGTATATAGATGGTAAACAGAAGTTACCAAAATATTTCTACCATTCATGCTATTTGCCTCTTCAGTAAGTATCCGCCTCCTACCTATTCTTAATCCATTTCCACTAATGTTTCTATGTCTAATGGTTAACAGTACATTCTGTATAAACTTTTATTCCAATGGTTCTCTTTATTCTTAAACCCTTGTGTCAATGATTTGGCCAGAGATCAATGGTCATCAGAAGATAGTTAAGTAGCTGAAGCACTCTTTTAAGATACTTCAGCTAAGCATGCTTCTGATTTACATAACAATTTTTAAAGATCCCTCAGTTTGACATAATAGAACATTGATCTATCCAAATATCAGCCTTAACAAAGTCAGAACTATGACTGCCTATAACCTCACCCCTTAGCATGTTGACTTGATTCCAACATAATTGAGATTGTCAAAGAACATGACAATATATACTTTACTTCAATGATAGCTGGAAAACAGATATTCTTTTTTTTCTCGTTTTTTCTTAATTCTTAACTCTCATGGCTGAAATATATAGATGATTCTCCGCAAGCAGAAACATGGTACACTCCACTATCTGTGAGAAGACAAGCAAAGAAGCACTTGAGACTTAAGTTACACCACTGACTGTTGTTTCTAGGGGCACTTCTCAACCAGAATTTTCCTACTCATAAAATGGGGCTACCATTGTGGTTTTGCTCACCAAGGAAATACAGAGCTGAATGGAACCACCACTGTCATCTGGCCCTCTGCCCACAGGCAGCCAAACATCTGCGTGGTAGAGAGTAGGGCTAGGGGACAGTGGCATTTGAAGGCACAGATTCAACTCTCAGCTGTGTGGTTTTCTAATTGTGTAACCTGGAGCAAATAATTAATTGTGCAACCTGGAGCAAATAATTTAAATTTAATAATAATTTAAAATCTCGAAACCTCTTTATTTTTCTTCTTTTTAAAAAAAAAATGTTTAGCTCTAAAATGAGAGTTTGAATAAAGTAATTTTTAAAGTCCCCTTGCTTTCTAAGATTTTCATATATTCAGTGTGCATGGTTCTTAAAATTTTTCTGTAAGGATTGATAAAATAAGGCTTGTGCAGCCTTTATGTCTTTAACAAGCTCAATGTGCAACCTGATTATCTGTGACTTCATTGATATAATCTTCCAATAGAATATTGCATTTCCTATTGATTGTTTATCTGTATATTTTGGCATATTGAGTGACATCATTTTTACAACTCATCAAATGGGGGTACTCTTTACTTTGAGCTCCCCTCTTCCTAAGTAGTAGGAATAGTCAATGCATTGTTTATGAAAAATGACAAGCCAGGAAAAAGGAGAGGAAAGAACAATGAGTTTCCAGCTCCACTATTAACTTCTTGCTAGACAAGACAGACTGCAGTTACCTCATCTATAAAGAAAAAAATTTAACAATTCTTACCTACCTCATAAGAATATTGAGAGAATTATATGAGTTAATATATATGTATATATGTGAAGATTAGACTCCGCAAATGTAAATTTTTTTTTTTTTTTTTGAGGCAGAGTCTCACTCTGTTGCCCAGGCTGAAGTGCAATGGAGCAATCTCGGCTCACTGCAACCTCCCCCTCCCCGAGCGATTCTGCTGCTTCAGCTGGCCAAGTAGCTGAGACTACAGGCACCCACCACCACATCTGACTAATTTTTGTATTTTTAGCAGACACAGGGTTTCACTATGTTGGGCGGGCTGGTCTCGAACTCCTGAGCTCAAGTGATCCATCCGCCTCTGCCTCCCAAAGTGGTGAGATTACAGGCAAGAGCCACTGTGCCTGGCCTGCAAATGTAAATTTTGATGTTATCTTAATGATTGATGTTTCCACCAGCTTCTAAGAGAGTAAACATAAAAAGCTGTATACATGGCATGTATGCTACCATCTTCCAGTTAACTGTCTTTCTAAACACAGCACCAGACCCACATGTCTGTGTGTTGGATAAACTCCCTGCCTTTAATGTCCATAATGAGCATGATACAAACATTTTACATCATTGAACCACAAAAAGCACAGAGTATTTTTCCAAGTTTTTTTCCTAGGGATAATTGTGAAGGATCACCTTCCAGGTGAATGGCTGCGACCCTGTACTTCTAGCACAAATAGAACTGTGTTTTATATACTGATCCTAGTGAAGATGTAATTTCAAGAAGGAGAATGACTTATTACGATGTGCATTGCTGAGGGAACAAAAACCCTTACTTGACCCAATGATCTGTGCATAATCTTCCCCTTGGTAACAATTTGAAGACAAGAATGTAAGAAGCAGTTTGGTTTCCCATTTTCTTTTACTTAAGAAATCCATGCTGCTGATCAGAAGTTTGCCATAATTTGTAGTTTTGTTGTTTTAAACTGGATGGGTCTTTTTTTTAATTACAAAAAGAAATTCATTTCAAAAGCATAAGGGGATATTTACATTTAAACAAGGTGATAAACAGGTGTCTTGCAAAAGAAAAAAAAAACCACAGTGTTAAGTTTTTCATTCAAATTCAGAAGCAAAAATAACCGAAGTTGTGCACTATTGTCTTAGGAAAGGGAAAGGGAAGAGTGAGGGGTAAGGGAACAGTCAATTCAGTATCAAACTTGAGAGAGTAAAGTCACTTCTGCTCAGCTGTGAGTTTACAAATATGCTTATAAGGAGGAAAAGTGGAAAAATTATACTTAATGTTCAAATTTATTTAGCTGTAGTCTCAACACAATTTCTGTAGTTGAAATGGCTTTGGGCCACTGGCTGATCTATCTCTGAGGTCCAGAGTGGCGGGTCAATTTTCAAATGGCAATTTTATATTCCTTTGTCTGTTCAGATTCCAAGGGAGTTTAGGTTCAGCTTACAGTCTTTTGGAATGTTTAGAGATTATTGCCACCAATCCATAGCCAAGCTGACCAACTTTTGCTCATTTGTATCATTCTAGCCTTTCAGAACTATTTTCTCCATATGCATGTGCAGTAATTCTAACAAAGGAATTTTGCTTCTTCTGCAGTGAGAGGTAATGGTAATGAAGACACCTGCTTTGGAATCACAAACTATTCCTAAAAAAATACATCAGACTACTAGAAATGTCATTCAGGCGTTTGATTTGAATAGCAAACTTGAGGAGGGAAGATTAACTGTGAAACAAAAATATACTAAACATTCAAATGCAGAACAAAGGCTCTATGCTACTAAAAATGCCCATGACATTAAATACTCCACAAACACCACCCACCCCGCATCTGCTGTTTTAACCTAAAAATTCTATTGGCTAACTTATACAATAATTTTGATTAATAACCTGAGAAGTTAAAAATCTTGAAAATGGCAAAAGCAAACTGAGAGAGCTTCCCTTCCTTATTGGTACCATGTTATCAAGTCACTTTTTCTGGGTAGCCCTGGTTATGAAATCTCCAAATTCTAAATTATACTATCTCTTCCTGTAGAAATCTATACATACATCAGATTCAGTATTTTGGCTGTATTTCACCAATAGCAATCTCCAATTTGTCTTTGAAAATGCAGCCTAGCTGGGCGCGGTGGCTCAAGCCTGTAATCCCAGCACTTTGGGAGGCTAAAGCAGGTGGATTGCCTGAGGTTAGGAGTTCGAGACCAGCCTGGCCAACATGGTGAAATCCCATCTCTACTAAAAATACAAAAATCAGCTGGGTGTGGTGGTGGGTGCCCATAATCCCAGCTACTTGGGAGGCAGAGGCAGGAGAATCACCTGAACCTGGGAGGTGGAGGTTGCAGTGAGCCGAGATCTCGCTACTGCACTCCAGTGTGGGCAACAAGAGTGAAACTCCGTCTCAAATAAAAAAAAAAAAAGAAAAAGAAAAAGAAAACACAGCCTTTATTTTTAGTTTTAAATAACAATAATCATGTAAGTGCAACTGACTTAGAATCCTTGGCTACTGGGAGTAAAAACCTAAATAACAAGTTAATAACAGATTCAGCCCCAAAAGGATAATCACTGTGTCAGACTACCCATTCCTGGAATTTAAAAAAGTGATTTATGTCGTGTAGTCAAGTTTCACAGCATACATATATACATATATATATATATATATGTATATACACACATATACGCTTATGTATGTATGTATATTATATATAGACATTTCTATTCAAATAGTAAGGGTCCGTATTCAAAAGTTTGTATCATAATATATGGAAAAAAGTTAAGCAAGCAGTGCAAAGCAACTTACTTTCTCCTAAAAATGTAATGTCATTCCTACATTTTAAGAAAGCAACGTAAATATTATGCTTTTATGACACTAGACAGGAATGTTGCACCACTGCCTAGCAGCTTTATTAAACAATGAAAACAAAATGTTAAGATTTACAGTTACCCTTCTCCATATATTGGGCAAAACACTAAAACAGAGGAAAGAGGAAAATCAGTAACTTTTCAAAACTGATAGTCTTTATCAGCAGAACTAGACTGAATTTCACTACATTTTAGAATGAACAGCTCTCAACAACAAATTATCAACATATTTAAAAGTAAAAGATTCACAATTTGAAGTCTGAATAATGATATTGCAAAAACAACTCAATATTGCAGACGAAGCATCCAAACATATCACTGTGATTTTACCTTGGATACAACCATGGTCTGTTACAAAAATAGATCATACATACAAAGGTATAAAGAACATTAAGTTTTTAGCTGAAGGCAGCAGTCTGTTTAAAGGGACACCCCCGGAAATCCAATGAGTAGTAGAATTTAAGTATATTAAGCTCATGACTATGCTGAAGAATGCTGATGTCTTATTCAGTAGAGTCTTCCACGACTACGATTTCTTCGTGTGCCCCAACCTCGGCCCCCTCTACTTTCCCTGAAGGCTCCTCTCATAATTAAAGTTGCCCAAATTGCTGCTATATTTCTCACTGGGAGGATTATAAATCTGCCTGGCATCTCTTTTTTGTTCTGCTGAAGATTTCTGGGGTGGTGAACCTGAAGTTGTATATTCACTGGCTCTCTTTTGCCCAATCTCAACCTTTTATACAGGTTTCCAGGATAGTGTTACTGTGCTCTTACAAGAAGGAGGAATGTGGAAGAGATCCTTGATTAAAACATTGATATTGTTTGTTGCTTTCAATGCAACAACTTTAATTTTGTTCTCTTCTGTTTTCTGTTCTTTTCTGTTCTCACCTGTTTCACCTGGAGAGCTAAGTGAAGTTGTCTGATATAAACTTGCAGGCCTCGTGCAAAGTATTGCAGCCTGATTTTGAAATCTTTGAGTTTTTCTGCATTCAGTTTGGCTGTTAAGAAATCTGGAAGTTTTTGGCCCAACTGGTGAAAACTGTACAACAAACATTCCACATAACTGAACTGTAGTTTGGGTTCTTCATCACCAGCATTCCCTCCATTTTCTGCTTCTTCTGGAGGGAGGGGCATGTATTCCAATAACTTATCAAATAGTTTCCCTAAATTTGTTTCTAGTTTTTCCATGTCACCACAAAATGAACTCATCTCCACCAACAATTTCAATACCTCCAACTGTATGTCAAGACCTTCCACTGCGGTAGTCAAGATACCAAGGTTAGGGAGAACCTGCTCACAGAAATATGTCACAGACCTTGTGGAATGGACAGTTTTAGAGAAGAAGGGTACTGCCTGCTGAGTGCACTGTAAGAGCCTGCCCACACACTCAGGATCTGAGGGATTGAAGGTCTGTTCTAGGTCGGCCTGTTCAGCCACCAACTTTACAAGTTGCTGTCTTCCACTTACTGTCTGTAAGCTTTTTAACCCAGACAGTAATTCATGAATAGAACAAATTCTTCATGAGTCACATCTTCTAGGACGTGTTTGGATTCAGTTAGTATAAGCTCTTCCACTTCCTTTGTTAATACTTCATCTGGTAAAGTCTTAAGTTTTGTAGAAAGGAATTTAATTGCTCATTCTCTAACAATGTCCTCTCCTTGAAGTATTTGGCTGAACAATGAACCTAAAGTCCCTTTTCCATCCATGTTAAATATACTCAACAGGGCATTGTTCACTAGGTTAAATTCTGCAGAGCCATCTGACTCCAAAAGTTGCATTAGTATATCTGCCACTCGAGGAAGATTTTCTCCAGTGGTAAATTGAGGCAGTTCTTTAATTGCTTGACGTCAAATAGATACATCTTCATCTTCACAGAGGTCTAACTGTGCATTGATAGCAGAATCAGCCAATTCTGTAAAATGCTTAAAGAATTTCAGAATAAATTGAGCTGCTAATCGTTTTTCCTTAGTACCACCTTTCACACCATCCAGTATCACTTGATAGGCATCTTTATGCTGGCCCACTCGCTCCGTGGTATCGGCCATGATGCCATAGTTGCCGTAAAGCTCCTCTACCATCGGCATGGTGAGCGACAAGCCCAGGGCCTGCTCCCACTATCTTCATCCTTGCCGGCACCACTGCCACCTCAGCACTTCTCCAAGCCCACTACCTGCACTATTACACCCAACTGGATGGCTCTTTAAAGTGTAAAACAATGGAAACATCCATGGCAACAAGCCACATCATCCGGATCAAATCTTAAAACAATGGGCACTCTAGATCTAGTGCAAAATGTATTTTCAGTCTCATAGAGACAATAATTTCTGCCACCCTGTTTCAGAGGTTAAAAGAATAAGAATAGCAAAACGCCCATCATGTCCTGTGACTGTCCTAATCATGATAGGAATCATGTCCAAGTGTTAAGCCGAGACTTAAAAATAAATTTAGAGTCAACCACTGAAAAGAAGCAATGGACATTTATAGGTTCATCCAAGGATCGTGGTCCTAATCATGATGGGAATCATGTCAAAGTGTTAAGCCAAGACTTAAAAATAAATTTAGAGTCAACCACTGAAAAGAAGCAATGGACATTTATAGGTTCATCCAAGGATCGTGGTTCTCTGTCTTCATGACAAGGGAGAATAACTGAAGACTTATTCTGATGCCTCACTCTGGGTTTGGAAATAAAAGTGGAATACCTATAACAAATTTCAGTTACACTACATCACAAGTATCACTGTGATATTAGGACAAACAAAATTGATGTCGATATTAAAGCTTCGAAAAATTAATCAGACACTTTTTTTAAGAGAAAGAAGACAGATATGGATAGGTTTTTTGTAAATGAAGTATACCAAATAACCAAGCACTGAGAATGGAGTTAAAACTGCCCAGACGCTATGATGCTACCCAATGCTATTAAACATTGGGTGGCACCTTTAAAGAAAAGGTACTGATTTCCCACAGCCACTTATTATATGCTATGGAGAGCAATTCTTCCAAAATACCAAGCACACTTTTTGGATGGTTAAAGCCCGTTCCAGCCTTCTGATGGTGTCAATTAATTCTTGTGAGGAATCATTTTAAATTCTCTCCAGTGAGAGAGTTTGCTATTATATTTTAGTTTTATTTAAACCCCCTTTCAAGAACTGTGTCTAATAGACCTTCAAAGCATCTCTGGGTAGCTCTAACTTACATAACCTCATTTTTCAAAACCACTCATTACTTTCTTCCCCTCTTAACATACTCTCACTCCAGCTTGGGCCCTCCCTTGGGGCACCTTGCTGCCTGCTTTGGTAATATAGTCATGCCTACCTTTGAGACTTTTTCTCATTTCTAAATAGAGTATGCAGAATATGAAAGGGGTGGGGGAAATGCTCTTTTGTTGATTGGCAATGGAATCAGAATCTGCCAGTGAAAATAACCTACAATCATATCTAGCCAGGATATTATCCACGGCACATGTGGGAGAAATAAAAGGAAATAATGGAAAATGACCAGAAAATGGTTTCATTTCTGCCTTCAATTCAGAAAAGAAGGGAAAAAATAAATATCCAAGTAGATTTTCTAAATCACTACATACTGTTAAAAATAGAAATTACAAAGTATGTCACAGAGTTATATTATATTTGAAATTCTCCAACAGGAAATATGATGTGGCTTCATTTAAACAGCATATTCCATAAATTTTGCTATACATAGGAAAATGCTCTAAGTAAGCTGCAGGGTAATTTATACTGGAAAACCTCACTTTATCACTCAGTGCAATCAAATGCTATTTGCAAATTCTGATTTGAGGCACAACTTTTTAAAGCAAGAAAAATGCTAAAATTAGACTAATCCTCACCTTCTTTTCATTCTCAGTTGAGGAAAATATAATAAACAACCATAAATTTAAAAATGTTTTGTCAGTAAAAGCACAAAATTGAAGAAAATGAAAATATTAAAGTATCTACCTCATAGCTGTATATGTACAAAGCCGTTATTATTTTTTAATGATTTCTAACTCTCTGTTAGTTTTAAACTTTTTCTTACAGACACAAAGCTCAAGTGTGGTTACAAATATTTATGGAAAGCTGAAATGCCACAAGGCAATGTAATTTAGAAATAATGTTTTCCTCGTGTCAAGTACCCTCTCCTCACACACACACACAAAAGTATTAAACCTCAGTTTATTTAACCATCTATACATGTATATCAGGCCCATCTACCTGTTCATGGGTCCCAAAAGTGAAGATGCAACAGTAGGAAACTAATGAACATCCACCGAGTGTCCCCATGTGGTGTGCCAAGACAGACAGTTGCAGACAATTCCTGGCTTTGCAAGCACAAGTCAAGCGACCCTGGACACATTTTTAAAATTGCTCACATTCAGTGTTCTCATCCATAAGGTGAGAATTATAATAATATCAACAGTGTTGTTGTGAGGATTAAATGAGACAATATATGCAAAGCACCTATCACAGAGTACACTCTTAAATGTTTCCATTATTTTCTCATTTAAGAAGAAAAGAAAACACTGAGAAATACTGCATGCTGTCCTGATGTCTATAATTTGCTTTACATTCCTTAGCAAAGACAATGTGAAAGTGTGTGTGTGTGTGTGTGTGTGTGTGTGTGTGTGTAGTAGGTTTAATATGCCATCAAGGAGCAGACAGTTGCCCTAGTGAGAATTTATACTCCAGGGATATTCAGAAAGCTGCACTCAAAATGTGGCTATTACAAGTGCTCCAGAGATCTTTATCTGCCTTCAATAGCATGGGGCTTTGCAATGTTAGAAATGGATTTCACTGGTGAAATCAGTAGCTTGTTAATCGGCACAATGGATTTTAGATATCAACTCTGATTACTGCAATTAGTCCTATTCAAGATACATGCAGTTATAATTTTCTAGGTCTCTAGAACATACAACCTACCTTTGCATTAATAAAGTATGAAAATCTAGTAAGTTCCAAACTTGTTTCCTTAGAGATAAGCCCTGAAGTTGTTTAATCCTGCCACTGGGTCAAAGGATTGGTGGTTGCCCACCAGCAGAAAACCAGATTCTGCCTTTGAAATATTGTTAGGAAAGTTAGGATTAGCTAAAATAAAGAGAGCTTGGGCTTCATGAAGCTTACTGAATAGAGTATATGAACCATTTGACCCAACTTGCCCACAAAACTTTGTTTAAATAAACATCTTTATGTGTGGCAGGATTTGGTCTATCTGCTTTTTATTTTCATTTTTTATAATTTCTACTTTTATTTTAGATTTGAGTATATAGGTGAGGTTTGTTACATGGGTATATTGTGTGATGCTGAGGTTTGGGATATGAATGATCCCATCACCTAGGTACTGAGCATATAACCCAATAGTTAGTTTTTCAACACTTGCCCCTCTCCCTCCCTTCCCCCTCTAGTAGTCCCCATTGTCTATGGGTGTCATTTTTATGTCCATGATCAACCAATGTGTAGCTCCCACTTAAAAGTGAAAACATGCATTATTTGGTTTTCTGTTCCTGCATTAACTTGCTTATGATGATGGCCTCCAGCTGCATCATGTTGCTGCAAAGGATATGATTTCATTCTTTTTTATGGCTGCATAGTATTCCATGGTGTCTATGTATCACATTTTCTTTATCTAATCCACTGTTCATGGGCATCTAGGTTGATTCCATGCTTTGCTATTGTGAATACTGCTGTGATGAACATTCAAGTACATGTGTCTTTTTGGTAGAATGATTTATTTTCTTTTGGATATATACCCAGTAATGGGATTGCTGAGTCAAATGGTAGATCTGTTTTAAGTTCTTTGGGAAATGAGATCTGCTTTTATTAAAACCAAATAGCAAGATTATAGGAAAGTAGCCAGCTTCCACCAAATTCAAACTCTTTTGAAGCTATTATAAGGTACCTAGGAGGTATTATGAATAACCTAGAAGTCGTGTGGTCGAATTGGCTTAGGTCAGTTTGCATCATGCTAGTGTTTATTTTCTAGTTAAAAAATTATGCCAGTTACAAAAAATTATATCAAAAATTAGACCAATGGTTGATTAATTCCTTGTGGAAGGCATGCATACACTGAATAAACCAAAGGGTGGAAATAAAGTGAAATTAGAAATCAAGGGAATGCAATTTTAAAAATGATTGAAGCTGATAAAAGTTTAGTGAGTTCATATACTGCTACTGGCATTATGAATTAATATAATTTTCTGGAGAGAAAAATGAGTGAAATTTATCAAGAGCCCTTAAAACAAACGTTCCACCAATAAGCACATGAAAGGATGATCGACATCATTAGCCATCAGGGTAAGACAAATGAAAACCACAATGAAATACCACTTCACACTCACTAGAATAGCTATAATTAAAAAGATAGTAAGAAGTACTGACATGGGTGTGGAGAATTCGGAACCCTCATACATTGCAAGATGCAATTCAAAATAGTGCAGCTGTTTTGCAAAACAGTCTGGTAGTTCCTCAAAAGGTTAAACACTAGAGTTATTTTATGACCCAACAATTCAATTCCTAGGTATATATCCAAGAGAAGTGAAAAAACTATGTTCACACAAAAACTTGTAAATAAATGTTCATAGAAGCATTATTCATAATAGTCAAGAAGTGGAAACAGCAACAAATATCCATCAACTGATGGATGAACAAATAAAATGAGGTATATCCACATGGTGGCACATTACTGGGCCATAAAAAGAAATGATGTACTGATACATGCTACAACATGGATGAGTCTTGAAAACGTTATGCTAAGGGAAAGAAGTCAGTCACCAAGGATTACATATTATATGGCTCTATTTATATGAATTGTCCAAAACTGGCAAACCCACAGAGATAGAAGGTAGACTGGTAGACTAGAAGGTACCACTCCTAGACTGGTATTAGGAGTAGGAGAGCTGGGGGAAATGGGGAGTGACTGCTAATGGGTATAGGGTTTCTTCTGGGGTGATGGAAATGTTCTAAAATTGAGTGTGGTGATGGTTTACACAACTCTGCAAATATACTAAAAACCACTGAATTAAATGGAGCATTGTATGGTATGTGAATTATATCCCAATAACACTGTTTAAAAATTAATGTTTAAATCCCTGGACTCAGTAATCCTAAGCATTAGTTTGAACCATATAAAACTGCAGATATCGGATCATTTTTGACCTATAGAACAGCAATTTAATAGTTCAACCTAACAGCTATTCTAAGACACAGTCCAAGACTTATTTGTAAAGATGTCAATATTTGTAATTTTGTAAGAATGTGATTTTTGAAACAACCTAAATGTTAAGAAATAAAATGATTAAATAAACTATTGTATAAGTACATGGTGGAAAATAATGCAAACATGTAAATTACATCTTTGAAGAATTATTTAAAGCATGATAAAATACTGTGTGTACTACTTTATGCAAACTTTTAAAACATATATTTATTTGTAGGTAAAAATAAATAAATATAGGTAAATAAACCAAGAATTTAACAGTATTATCTCTGAAAGTTAGGATTACGGGTGATACTAATTTTTCCTTTTTTTGTATTTTCCAAATTTTCTATAACAAGCTCATATTACTTTTAAAATTAGGAAATAATCTTATCACCAAAGAAAAGGAAAAAAAATCCAAGAAAGGCAGAGATACCCAATTCAAAGATAGACAAATATACTTGGATTCTATTAAATTTTACTTTTCATCAGAAAGGAATTTAATTTTTAAAAATTCAAATTCAAGTATTTCAGCATTCTAAGATGAAAAGAAGCAACCTTGCTCTTTTATTCAAATAATGCTAAACTAGTTATTCAAAGAAGACCGTTATCCATCTTAATTTGAAATCCCCAGTAAATAACAATTCACCACATCCCATTCTAGTTCTTTAATAACAATTTTGCCTGCCAACAAATTTATTTCTAATCTACAGTTGCAAATTGTTCTCTCCTGTCCAAGTCCTGAATAAATCAGAGAAGAGTTTATAAGACAGTTCTTTGTCATTTTGCACTTTTAGAAGTGGCTTAACTAAAATACTGTTTCAAGTCCTGCCAGCATCAAGAGCTATGGATGTATCAGTCCCTTAAATCAGAACGCAGCAAGCTCTCCTTACCCCCCAAACTTTTCCTCCTAGATGTGCCAGAGTCCTGTCTCTTCAGCACTATGATGCATATCTACAGCCTGGCTATGTCAGGTTATTATCATCCAGTCTCTTAACTTCCCCAGTTCAGGGGATGGCAAACTGAAATTGTGATTACAACTTAATACTCATAAGAAGATACAACAAAAAGTTACTTAAGGTGAACATAATAATAAGACAATACTTTCTTGAACTTCAAGTTTTAGTGCCTAAGGCAGCCTAGAGGGGTTTCCACATACTCTGCAGGATCTAGGTAAGGTAGTTTGCAGTTACCAGGAACATGAAAAATAAATGAACTCAGTAACTGAGTTGAGTCCCCTTTACTCCAGGTGTTCACAGTTTACATGAACACCTGGAGTAAAGGGGAAAAAAAGAAAGATTCTGTTGAAGAGTCAGTCACAATTTATCATAGTTATTTTGAGCGACAGCTCTGGATCAAATCTTGCTTCCTAGTGAAATACCCTACTTTACTGCTAGCCCTTTTGATATTACCTAGACTAATTAAGCACATTCGTATAAATAAAAGCTACAGAAAAAAATTGAATAATCTAAATTATGAAAATTACATATCCTGGCCAGACAAGGTGGCTCATGCCTGTAATCCCAGCACTCTGGGAGGCTGAGGGGAGAACTGCTTGAGCCCAAGAATTCAGGACCAGCGTGGGCACCATAGTGAGCCCCATCTCTTAAAAAATTATGTATCTAATCACTACTTGGAATTACATTATATACTTATATATTTACTTTGTTTGTTGTCTGTTTTTTATCACTAGAATGTAAACTCTGAGAGGGCAAGAATTTTTGTCTGCCTAATTCATCAGTTTAACTTCAGCATTTGGAACCGTGTCTCAAACATAATACTGTCTACTAAGTAGAAACGCAATAAATAGTGAATGAATGAATAGTTCTTCCACACAAATGGAACACTATATAGCTATTAAAAATAGTATGCAGATCAATGATCATGCAAAGTCCTCCAGATTCAGCACTGTAACAGTAACAGCCCTATAACTTACTAAGTTCATTTATTTTTCATGTTCCTGATAACTGCAAACTACCTTATGTAGATCCTGCAGAGTATGTGGAAAGAAATAGAAAGAAGGATGTTGCAACTAAGCATTTATCATTTCCTTGGTAACTCTTAGAAACATAAAAAGAGGAGCTAGGGAAGCAGGAAATTACAAATGCCAGTATATTAGCCATCAAGAAGACACTGGAATTTCTGCTGAAAGGGGCCTGTAAATCTACATGCATACCAAGCATTATCTGCATTTGGAATTTAAAAATACACTATATAGGTATCATCCTTCATTTTGTTCAATTATTGTGTTACTGATTTCCTTAAATTCCTTAATATTTGATCATTATATATTTTCTCAATAAATGTTACTCAAAATTCAACTGCAATCTTTTGGGGACTTCTGGAAAAAAATGTTAAACTATAAAATGTTAGGAAACACTGTTAAAGACAAAGAATAATCACTTTTGAAATAGTGCCTACTTAGGTCTGAGATGACAGAATTTGGCTTAAGCCTTGAAAGAAAGGTGGAAATGAGAATTCCATGCAATTAGATAAGAATATAAGGAAAAGTATGGGAGTGGGAAGCCCAAGACAAAATCAGGGGCAGGGTAGACCAGTTTTTGTTGAATGTTAACCCCTAAGCTGGACCCTGGCAGGCAAATTTGCCTTTTTACCCTAAAGTCAAGAAGAGGAAAAGACCACAGCCATGACACCATGGCAATATTGCTCCAATAGAAAAAAAATCCCTGAAGTTTAACCTGAGTTCTGGCAGGTGCTGTGTTGGTAATAGTTTTCCCATAAATCTTGGTTGTTGTTGTTTTTTTAAGTTTATTTATAGCCCTGAAAGAACAAAATTATTGAACAAAGTCATAAAATACAGCAGTTAATGTCAATGTATAACAACTAAATAATTGAATGGGATTAAATTAAAAATAAACGGCATTATAAAATTTGAAGACTACAGAAAAGACTAACTACTTTCACTTAATTCCATTTCTGTCAAAACAAGGGGGGGGGGGGAAGCCAATGCATTCCAACCAAAGATGTTGAATTCCAAACATACCTGTTTCTCTTAATAAAGAATGAAAGTATGCTTGACAGTATTATACATTTCTTTCTGCCTCTGTCTTGGCAGCATTTTAGAAGAGTGAATGAGAAAGACTTCAGTTCTTTCAAGGCCAGGCCAATACTTGCTTCTTCCTTGTAACTCCAACTTCATCTACCACAGCATCTTTGCCAGAGTGTTCAATAAATTTTATTTCCATTATTTTATTCCCACTACATCTATGTTAAGATTCAATTATAAGAAGAGAAGTGAATGTTTTTTATTGATAAGGCAAGAAGGTTTTCAGAAAAATGAGCAAAATAATTAATGAAACATATTTGGAGAACTTAATGGTCTCTGTTTTCAATATAATTCTTAATTTCATTTTTCTCTGAACTATATTGGCCTTCTAAAGCTATTACTGAATTACAGAAACTGGTTTATTTTTGGTAGAAAGCTGCAGTGCCACTTGAGTTCCAGATTTTAAATTTTTTTGTAAACAGTTGGATGGATTATGATAAAGAAGAATCTTGGTTGTTTTTGAACCACTCAGTCAGATATAGTCAAGTGAACACATAAAACACAAACAAATTGGTGAACAAATTATAGTTTCACAGTGATCATATGAAGCCTGGGTAACAGCTTTTAAAAGGCAAATAGTGCTGTGAGTAGATCATTTAAATATAGATAAAATATTGGAATTAATGAGTTATGGGATTCAATCCAAATTATTCCAGGACTGAAGTCTTAATGATCAAATATAACGAAATCATGAGCCATCTGCCAGGACTTTTAAAACCTTTTTGCTAATGACCGACTTTTAATTATTATTTTCATTTATTTATTTATTTATTTATTTTTTGAGACAGAGTCTCGCCCTGTCACCCCGGCTGGAGTGCAATGGCAAGATCTTGGCTCACTGCAACCTCTGCCTCCCGGGTTCAAGCAATTCTCCTGCCTCAGCCTCCCAAGTAGCTGGGATTACAGACATGTGCCACCACAACTGGCTAAATTTTTTTTGTATCTTTAGAGAGACAGGGTTTCACCATGTTGGCCAGGCTGGTCTCGAACTCCTGACCTTGTGATCTGCCTGCCTCGGCCTCCTAAAGTGCTCAAATTACAGGCATGAGCCATCTCACCTGGCCTTAATTATGGTTTTATTTCAACAGATTCAAAAATCTAACTTAGTTGAAATGTAGGCAGAAAAGGAAAAAAAATGAAATGAGAACACAAAGGGAATTTTTAAATAATTAGTTATTCTTTTTTTAGCATTTGTGTATCTTTTATAAAGACAATGGTGAATTAATATAGAACATAAAAAGTTGCCTGGCAGAGTTGTTGTAATACCACTATTCATGTACATAACAATATTTTTTAAAAATATTCAAAAAGTACCTTTGAAAAGTACCTTCTGTGGAAACTATTCATAAGATGACAGAAGAAATCTCTTTGCTCCCACGAAATTGACTTTATTAAGCTGATTAGTTGTTTGAGGGTTGGCTATTATAGTAGTACTACAGCTTGCAGCCATGTCTAAAGGTAATCTAATTTTTTAAAAAAATCAGTTCTATGCCAGTCAAATCCCATGCAAGTCATACATGTGTGAGCTGCATTCAGTCTTCTGGGGCCATCAATTTGTTGCCCCTTCTCAGCATGATGCAGTCAATATTCCCCTCCTCACTACAGTAAACTTAAATACCTTGTGCACCCCTGACATCTCAATAATCTTAAACATTCTCCTCACACTATTAGAAATGTGAGGCTAGGAGTTTATAAAATTTTCCCTATTATCTGGCTGTGAGTCTCAGGCCTGTTGCTGATAACAAAACTCCAGCTTCCGCAGAGACTCATTAGCATCATTCAGGCACCATCCTCAACACCAGTTGGCAGAGCAGCATCATCAGTAACAAGCTCCTGGAACACAGCCAGCCCCTCAGCAACCAAGCTCAAGTTGGCTGCATCCCAGCTTTATGGGGTGGCGGAACATGTCGGCATGAAGGAGAGCAGCAGGGTAACCAAACACTCTGAATCATGAGCTGAAGAGAGGTGACCAGGGCTAAAGAAACCTACAGAGATTAGCCAAAGAAGAACTTCAAACCACAGCTGCTAATACATTGGCTGTTGGAAAGTACCTGCAATAAACATATCATACTTTATGGAACACTGTAATATGAAATGACACTTTTAGGGCAGATGTATAGGAACCTGGGAAGGCAGATAAGAGCCCTTGCTCTTTTCCATTTCCCAGGTTTATGCTGGCGTGCCCACACATCTTAATAGATCACAAATGTTTGCTCCTATCGAGGTCTCATTATTTTCTTCTTCAAAATAATACCTTCCATCAATCACCCAGGAATAACAAAGTAATGACTTAATTGAATGCAAAGAGTCTACTCATACCACCTAAATCAGCTAGTTTATACATATTGCTGAAAAATAGGAATATTTGTTTGAAACCCACAAAGTGAACCAGAAAATTCCGATCATCTCTCCTGCATGGTCTGCCTTTGTGTGTACTTTCAAAGTGAATTATCAAACTAGTAATTTGTCAGTATGGAACTTAAATTATTAATATGTGAATATAGTAGGCTATATTTCATACAAACTCTCACCACTGCTGATAAAATTATTGCTAATTATCCAAGAACTTTAAAGAGCATGAGGATTTTAAAGTCATTAAAAGGGAAGCTTTCAGGCAGAGGCTGGATGACTATCTGTCAGGTAAAATTTCCTGCATTGGATGAAGGAAAAGGTGGCAGGGAATGGACTTGGTGATTTTTCCAGTCTCTTCTACTACAGGGTATATGTATTACATGATGTAGCACAGCCACTGAATTATAGGTGTAGAATTTTCAAGAAACACAATATAGTGGTCCTATGCACAATTATGTTAGGTACATAAATAGCCCAGAAATCAGTATACCACATTTAATTTTTAATTTATCTCAGTCAAATGATTTACTGATTTCCATATTACAAAATGTTTTGAAATTATACAGAACATAACTTATAGTCTCTAGATGTTGACATTTTAAGATATCAGGACATACAAATCATATTATGCTAATGTGCAACAAATTCACCACTACTCATGTGAATGATGACATGGCAGTTATGTGTATAAAATAAAATTACGAACAGGGTTCAAATTACTTTAGTCTGGCTTTGAAATATATGGTGAACTTTCATAAGGCTCATTTATTGATAATAAGTGCTACCCTAAGCACTTTACATCTATTATCTATTTTACTCCACACAACAACCATGTGATGGAGGTTCTGAGGCTAGAAAGATGCAGCCACTTGCTGAAGGTCACTCAGTTAATAAGCAGCAGAGCAAAGACTTGAACCTGCTTTGGAGACTTTCTAACTCCAGAGCCTCTCACCTAACACTCACGACATGGCTTCCTTTTTGCTTCCTTGTTTTCTTACTTGTAGGCAACATTGAAATTACTTTGGTTGCTGCAGTTTATGCTATTGAACGTGGGACAAGGTTTTCTGAAGTCTGCTTGGCTGACCAAGGAAAACTAATTTGAGTTTTAAAATGTGAAGTGAATGAAGTTGGCAGAGCTCTGAGAAATTAGGTACACATACTGCTACCATTGTAAATGGGATCAATATTTCCAAAAGCTATCTATAACATGGAATGAGAGCTATAAAACTTTTCTTGCCCTTTGACTCAGTAATTTCAGTCTTTGGAATATAACCTCAAGGAAATAACACCAAAGAAAAAGGTAATTTGTTCAAGATGTTCATTCAAGGGCTATTTGTATTAGTGAAACACAGGGGAAAAATCCAAATTCTCACTAATAGGACAGTGACTAAGCAATCGAGGCTCTGTAGAAAAAGAAAAGAAGAAAATTTTATGATCTCCCAAAATGACAAATGTAGAATATATTCGTATGTGGACGCATATGTAAGAAATAACTGGGTTAAAACGTAGAATGCAAATTAGTACATATAAGGATAACCTTGTACACCCAAGTAAAAGAGTATGTGTATTAATAAGGCAAGAGATTCATGAACTTATAAAGAAATATATTCCCCTTTTAACTGGAGAAATCCCAATAAGGGAGGATCATCTGGCATATACATTGTATTTAATAAAAATTTATCTTTAAATGAGGACAAACACAGGCTATTTATTCATCCCATGCTATAACAAGGAAGACAGTCACCATCTCTTGCATTTGGAACACTCAAAGGGGAGTGCACAAGTTTTACGGTGAAAAAAATAGAAGACTTTAGGTATGTTCTAAGTGGAGGTTGTTGGCATGGGGAAGCTGAAGGCAGGGTAACTAGAAGCACGGCATTTTAGGTAATGAGTTCAGGGAATATATTTGGCTTTTCTCTCAGTGGCTCTGAGTTGTAAGTATGCAGGGGTGGAGGGCATGATGAGAGCAAAAAAATAGGGAAGGTGGCGGTCATTGACCAAATCCTGGCTGTGCTAAGCTGATTGCTACAGAGACTGTGATTTGGCCTTCTAAGCTGCCTGCTGAAGAGAATGTGGGTCTGTCATTATATGTGGACTGGTCATTGTCCATTTGTATACCCAATCTCTCATATAGAAGACCAGTTTATAATTTTATAAAAGGTTGTAACTCAGAAACAGCCAGATGGAAGAGATACATAGGGCGAGGTATAGGGGAAGAGGTGCAGAGCTTCTGATCCTTCTCTGGGTGTGCCACCCTCCCAGCTACCACCTTTCAGCAACCTGGGAGGTCCACTTGATATGAATGTATAGACTTAAATTAGACAAAGGTAATTTTTAAACTGAGGCCTGACTGACATACACATGATACCTCACATGTATTCACGTGCTGTCAGGAAAAGCTAATCAATCGCTCATGAGAACTTACTAAGTCCTAAGTTCTCTTCCAAGTTCTTTCCCCGGATTCTCTCATTTAATCTCCCTACAGCCCTGTGAGTAAGTGTTACTATCACCCCTCTTCTAAGAGGAGAATATTGTGGCCCAGAGAAGCTAAGTAACTTGCCCAAGGTTACTGAGGCCATGGCAGAGATGTAATTTCAACCCAGATAGACTCACCATATGGCCAGTACAGCCATTATACTTTGCTGTCTTCTCTTATTTGGAAGAAATACTTTCCCGTGAATCACTTCTAGATTTTGTCTTCTGCTTTTCTCCTTCACCTTTTCTGTTTGGTTTGCAATATATAGGATCCTTTCAGGAAATAACAATACCCATACGCAGAAGTTGTTGAGATAAAATACTCTCCAGCTGGTGCCACCTGCATGAACACAATCTACCTGCACTAACTGGTAGGACTTCTTACAAGAAGCAAAACTAGAGTAGGGTTTTCAAGTCAGGTGTGGGAGTTGTAGAGGCTGGAAGATAAAATGCCACTGTGGCACATGGGATAACTACAGAAGAGAAAAATATATCATTTCAAGCTAGAAAATATTCAGATAAGGCTGAATCTAAGAAAAAGTTGCTTGGGGATAAGTGACAAATTAAGAATATTTTAAAACTCATAGGGAAAATATTAATTATTTAAAAAAATTGTATTTTACACTTGCCTAGTTTCTTGTATTTTGCAAAGTATTTCTCATTGATGATCTTATTTAACTCTCCTGCTATAGAGTGGTGAATAGTATAGTTGACAGATGAGAAAACTTCAGGTCAGAGGTAAGTGTGAGCTGTGCATCCAAGCAGCTGCCTGTCATTAGCTGAGCTGGGACTCAGTCCCAGGCTCTCATTCTTAATAGAACTAAACATTGATGCTATTCAAGAAAGGTACAGAGTCCTGTGCAAATCTTCCCTTTAAATTATTCACAGCTCATGAAGCTCTATCTCACAGGTACAAGTCCATTAAGAAAAGTCCAGAAAACAAATCTAACATAAATGGAATCAAAGATAAGAACTAAATATATAATGAGTTCCTTTTAAATGAAGGCAGCAGAGCAAAGGCAGGACTACCATCTGTGTACAAACTGAACTGTTAGGGGTATGGTATGGGTATGTAGTGGTTATATTTGGAAAGACGCAAAACCCACATCCTTCTACCTAAATCTGTATAAGAGGCACATCATCTCAGGACTCTGCCATCTATGATACAAAATGCACAAAATGAAATTTCTGCTTTATCTTACATTCCATGGAAATATCTTTATTGGAATAAAGTGGCCTACATTTATATTCACTTCTAAACAACGTCCTCTCCTTCTCATCTGTTTCTGTCTGATGGAGGCCTATTTTTGCTTCAGAGGACAGATCAAATACCGCCTCTTCCAGGAAGCCTTTTCAGATCCAAGTGAGAACAAGCCTGTCTTTCCTAGGCGCCCCCAGCCTGTCTGAGAACAACTTGCTGATGATTCTTGTCTCCTGCCTTGTGTAGCTCCTGGATGACATAACATGATTGGGATTTATCTTTGTGCCTCTTAGGATCCCAATACAAGTGCCTCATACCCCATAGCATTTTACTTCATTGTAAGAAATCTTTTGAGGTCCTATCATGCTCTATGAATTCAAAAACCTTTAAGGAGAGTTGGGCCGTCTCAATTCCACTATAAAAATGACCTCAATCAAGGACTGTCTTCACTTAAAAACCTTCTTGTTTCCTTACAATCATATTTCATGTTGACCTTCTGTGCCAGAACATTTGCATTAATTTAATGCATTTGTAATTAGCATTGGCAAATGACAAACCCACATCCAGAAGGTTAAATTATAAAGTGTTTTTTAATTAAATAGAAATATGAGAGTCATCAAACTTAAACAAACTAATTTGAGATTTGCTTTTAGCGCATATTTTATAAATATTCAACCAGATTTTATTCAATATAAAGGTAGAAGCTTCAAAGCCAGAACTTCAGTTCTTTGAGGACTCTCTCTCTTTTAATATAAACTGGTAAATAAACTACTAGTGAAAGAACTTAAAATTTCAGAGCAAAAAGTACATTACTTCCACCAAGGTCAATTACTCTTCAGGGACAAAAGTAATGTTCTTTTTATTAGCAATTTGAAATAACAATTAAATAACATTCGTTTTTATTGAGATTTTTATATAAGAACTGAGAAAACAATTCTTTGTTGTAGTTATAAAAATATAGGAGAAAGTGCTGAGTTTCTGAAACACAGCAATCTTCCTATATTTTCTATCTTCCCTTAGGCCATGTGTGGTGGAGTTGTGATCCTTATCTTACTTATAAGGAAGACAAAGACCAGGGAACAACAAGAATACTACCGAGGCTTATAATGAAAAGCAAGCTACAAAAAAAGATGAAGTAATTATTTTCAATTTTACCACATTCTATGAAATATCGAAAAACTCCCATTTCATTTTGTATACCATGAGAAAAAGCTCTTTGATCCATGAATGGGCTAATCCAACAGCTATTCACATAATTCCTGTCTTTTAAAGGAGAATAGCAATCAATGACCAAGAAGAAAAGTACAACTCACAAAAGGCATGAAATCTTACTTTTTCATCATCTTCAGTAAATGGAGCTCCTTCAGGAATCTTATTTATCGCTTGGGCCACACCAATAATCTCACCATCACTGCTTCGGATAGGCATGCACAATAATGATTTTGTCTTGTATCCAGTTAGCTTGTCGATTTCATCATTGAATCGTCGATCCTAAAAATAAGACAAAGAAAGCATTAACTGCATGTGCATTGTTGTCAGGGAGAAGGAGAGAGAGGTTTATTTCTGCATATGATACCTTATCACTGGGAACTAGCCCCATGAATTTTTAATCACAATAACAGATTTGACTTCATTTTTAATTCACCAAAGGAATATAAATCCAAATAAGTCAATGCCATAGTTGTTTGCCATAGTAAATGAAGAGAGAGACTTTAAGCCCAACCGCAACACATCAAAATTGGGGAAACGTGTTTTTAAGGAAAGCGATTTATGTGATTTATGAAAACATGTTATTTCAAAAAGACAGGATATGAAATGTCATATAAGAAACTTACATGAGAAATATATACTAAACACTGAAAAATTGTTCAATATAGAGCTACTTTATTTCTGGCCAAAATGATCCTGTGAAAAAAAAATCTATGAGTACATAATGATATTTCAAAATCCTCCCAAAAAGATGTGGGGTATGGGGAGATAAAAGACTTCTCTATAGAATGCCAGCTAAAATATATAAAATAAATGATAAAATTATACAATATATTTTGCAACTACCTATATAATTATGTTTACAAGCAAGGGTCATTAAGTATGCTAATACCATTGGGTGAAAATTGTTTAACTTAAACAGTATAGTCACACAGTCTCAAAGTGCCACACCCAAAGATTCCTTATTACAAAGGTAAAAGGTGTCTTTGTAGTGAATAAATCTGGTGAACGCTACCTCAAACAAGTAAACTTAGCATCACTCTTTAGAAGAAAAATTAACACCATGTGCCTCCTGATATAATGCAATGGAAAGGACACAACATCACCAAGAATACAGTGTTCTTGTCAAATGTGTAACGTGAATCTAATTATTCAAGAAATGAAAATTAAGAAATGTAGAAATCATCAGTCATTCTATCAGAAACCTAACGCTGGATGCTTAAAAAATGTCAAGATCATGAAAGACAAAAAAAAAGTTTTTTTAAATAAATATAAAGTTAAACCATGGGAGCTATACCAATTTAAAGAAGACTGAAGAGACCTGAAATCCAAATAAAATATGTGATCCTTTACTAGAAATTCCGAAAATTCCACAAAGGATATTTCTGGAGGGACAATTGGAGAAAGTTAAGTCAGATAATTATATCATTATAAACTTTCTTAAGTATGATACTGGTGTTGTAATTATGCTGCAGAATGTCCTTATTCTTAGGATATACATGCTAGGGTATTTGGGGAGTGAAATATCATACCTTCAACTCACTTTCAAGGAAGGAACGAATGGATGGAAGGAGGGAGGGAGAGAAGGGAAGGAGAGAGGAAAAGGAGGGTGGAAGGAAAAAAAGAAAAAGATTGGCTCCTGAGTAACTGTGACTAAAAATGCTCCAAGGTAGATGATAAACTGGATCCAGTCTGATGATAAACTATTTCAAGTCAGGGGTTGGAGTGAGGCTTCTTCCTGTACCTTCTGCACACCCCTGTTAAAGGAGGCTTAAAAGACAAAAACAAAGCACTGGTGCCTATGCTATGCTATTCTCGCTCTGTCACCCAGGCTGGAATGCAGTCATTTGATCTCGGTTCACTGCAACCTCCACCTCCCGGGTTCAAGCGATTCTCCTGCCTCATCCTCCCAAGTAGCTGGGACTACAGATGCAAGCCATCATGCCTGGCTAATTTTTTTTTTTTTTTTTTTTTTTTGCATTTTAGTAGAGATGGGGTTTCACCATATTGGCCAAGGTGGTCTCGAACTCCTGACCGCAGGTGATCCACTCGCCTTGGCCTCCCAAAGTGTTGGAATTACAGGCGTGACCCACAGTGCCCGGCCAGGAGTCTTTAAATGCCATTATGAGGCCTGGCTCTGGTCTGGTGATCCATGGAGGCCACACTAAACCCCAGAGAGAGGAGAGTCCAATTAAAGAGAGGGAAATCAAAACCCAAACAAAACCAAATCTCCTGCTCAAAATAAGTATGTGACCAAACTTTCAGAAAATCAGCAATCTGTATTAATTATTTTTAAATTTCTCTGAGGAACTACTACATGTCAGGCTATGGGCTAGGTGGAAGTTGCAATCAAGTAGGTGAGGCAGACAATGTATAGATGTATATTTATATATTGTGGTAAGTGTTACTGAGAAAAAAGCAAAATGCGTGAGAGAGACTGAATATGAAGGACTTATTTTTATAGGGATCAAGGAAGTTCTCTCTCAAAACAGAACAAATAAGCCGAGACTTCAATCATGAGTAAGAATTTTCTAGGCAAAGAGTGGTGGAAAGAACTTTCCAGGAAGATGAACCAATACATATAAGGTCCTGAAGCAGGAAAAAGCTTAATAAGTTCCAAAAAGTCAAAGGTCAATGTGGCTAGAGTAGAGGGAGACAAAGGGAGAGTGAAAGAGGGAGGCAGTGACCAAATGGTGCCAAGTCTCACAGGCCTAGAAAGAGTTATATTTAATCCCAAATGCAATGGAAAACCTTTGAAGATCTTGAAGCAGAAGAATAGCATTGGCCACTATTTAGCACTTAGATTCTCTGCAATTATCTTACCAGTTTACTTGTTCTCCTCCCAACTAAAATATAAAATCTAAGACAGCAGAGATTTTGTCTCTCCTATTTACTGCTTCATTCTGGCATGCATATTATACATGCACAATAATATTTTTTAAATAATTTATTCTTTTGAAAAGATTGCATTGCAATTATGCAGAATATAGAAAAGTTGTTAAGGCGCTAAGGCGCCACATACCACTCTTTGGCATGTATGTAGAGACATTTTTCCAAATATATAGAAGAGAGGTACACAAATGTTCACTGCAACATCAATTATGAAAATTAAAAACGTGAAGCCATTTGAATGTTGATCAAGAGAAAAATAAATTATGATCTTGTGGTTTGGTAGTGTATTATACAACAATTTAAATGAATAAATTAGAGCTACCTGTATCAACATGAACAAATGTCAAAAACATAATGTTAAGTGAAACAAACAAGCAGCAGTCTGATACAATCTATATAATACCACAATACTTAAAAATAATACTAAATATCATTTATGGATTCAAATATGTAGCAAAAGTATAAAAGCATGTAAGGGAATAATAAACACTAAATTTATATTAGTGATTACCTGTGGAGAGGAAGGAAGGAAGTGGCATCAGGGAGAACCACAGAGGAGGCTTCAACTACAACAAGAAAGCTTACTTCTTTAGAAAAACAATTCGGGGGGCCAGGTGCAGTGGATCACGCCTGTAATCTCAGCACGTTGGGAGGCTGAGGCCGGCAGATCACGAAGTCAGGAGTTCGAGACCAGCCTGGCCAGCATGGTGAAACCTTGTCTCTACTAAAAATACAAAAAATTAGCCGGGCGTGGTGCCAGGTGCCTGTAGTTCCAGCTACTCAGGAGGCTGAGGCAGGAGAATTGCTTGAACCCAGGAGGTGGAGGTTGCAGTGAGCCAAGATCACGCCACTTCACTCCAGCCTGGGCGAGTGAGACTCCGTCTCAAAAAAAAGAAAGAAAGAAAAACAATTCAGGAGCAAGATGGTGGTTCTCTGGAGGTTGAGTGTAATCTGTGGCACCCAAGGAAGCTGATCTCTGTTGCTTTGAACCCCACTGGTCAGACCTGCCATGTCTCAGCACATCCCTAGGGCCAACCTACCCCAGGATGGTGTGGAGCACAGCATGTTCACCTGCCACCCAGCCGCCATTCTGTTTCCAAGGCTGCGTCTGTCCACTGGACTGGTGACGGGGTTGTCAGTGTTTAGCTCCTGCTTCCAGCTGCTGCTTTGAATCCTTGCTCTGCGATGGACTACTCCCTGGCTACAGCCCTCACTCTCCTTAGTCACTAAGACTTTGAACAAGTTGTTTCAAACTATGTCTATGCAGACGCATCACGGAAAGCTGCCAAGGCAGGCCTTTTGGCACACTTGACTTTAACCTTTGCCGGGCTTTGTGATTTCAACTATCATGATGGGGGCATCTGGAAAGCTGTTGCCATGCTGTGGAAGCTCTGACCTTTTAGACTTAACACCTTAAAAAGTAATTCTTAACACCTTAAAAAGTACTTATCTTTGCCTCTGCTCTGCCATGCCATTCCACTAACAATAAAAAGGAAGTAACAGATAAGTTCATTGTTGAGACAAAACTCTTTGGTGCAATCATAGCTCACTTTCATCACCCAAAGTCCTGGGCTCAAGCAATCCTCCTGCCTCAGCCTCCTAAGTAGCTAGGACTGCAGGTGCACACCACCATGCCCAGCTATTCTTTTTTATTTTTTGTAGACACAGGGTCTCACTACATTGCCCAGTCTGGTCTCAAATTACTGGCCTCAAGCAACCCTCCCACTCTGGCCTCTTTAAACGCTGGGATCACAGGTGTGAGCCACTGCTCCCAGCCCAGAATTTAATCTTTGAGGAAAAGTTTGAGAGGATTTGTATTCAAGAAACTGTGCAACTGAGTCCCATTTTCTGGTGAGTTAATGAGATTTCTTTCCCAGAATCAGAGTATAACTAAACATTATATATGAGCTTTTGCATCTTCATTTACCAATCTCTTAAACAGAATTCAGTTTAATTACTAAATATGTGATCAAACATCTCCTGTATTTTTCCTGATAAGGATAGACAAAGAGAAAGACTGTTAATTCATGCACAAAGACTTTGCAGAAAATTAGACAATATTTAATTTTTGAAAATTTCCCCCTCTGTTCAGTTGATATCAGCTACTGATGGTTCCATGTCCTTGGGAAACATTAAAATTAGAAAAAGCTGATATCTCACACTACTAATTTCTAAATCCTAAGAAGAGGAGCTTGGAAAGCTGCTGAATATAGAGAAGTTCCGTTTAGGGAAGAAGTCTCCTTTGTAATTGTATGAAAATATCAAACATTCTAAATGAAAACTTAATCTCTCAAATATGTTTATTTTACTTGTCTTAAAACAATCTGCCTACAAGTATAAAAGTATAAAAAATTGTTATTTTCCCATTTGAAGTTTTCTAATATAAAAATATATTCTATGAAATAAAATTTCTAAAAATAAAATGCTATATAATAAAACATATTCGACTCTTTTATGTAAAAAAAGCCCAATGTAGTAAAATATTAAGATTTTATAAACCTAGATGGCTTATTCTTATCTAAAATTAAGAACTTTGTGGAGGATGACACAGAATTGAAATAGACCAGTTGGGAAATTTTGGTGGTCCAGGTAAGGTATGAGGATAGTCTGGGTTTAAGAAAAAGGCAATGAGGGTAAAGAGAAGTAGACAAATATGTTGGAAGTTGAGTCTGTAGTACTTCCTGATGAATTGGTTGGGAGGGGAGAATAGACAAAAGACAATGAGCCTCAGATTTTAACTTGAGAAACCGTGGACGGAAGTATCATTTACTGGAATGGGGGAGATTGAGATAAAGGTGAAAGTCTACATATGAAGAGAGTAGAAGGTTGATAAATCAATTTATTAAACAAGGTGAAGTGCATCTTTGACCAAAATCAGTGGTTGTTCCCCCTGACTGCATCTGAAAATTAACTTGAGAAAGTCATCACATATGGAATCAATCATTACTAGGCATTGGTATTTTTTTAAATGCTCCTCTGTTATCCTCATATGAGAACCACTGTCCTAAATGATAAAGACTTTAGTCATTAGTGAGAGCAATAAAACCTATTGATGGGAAATGCCTTAAAATGGGGAGGAACAAGAAGAGTGGTATGTATTCTGATGGTTGCATATCAATGGTGTTGGCCATGATGGAATGGACTGAAAATCCACTCTGCAGTAGGAACAGCCTGTTTGCCCTTACCTTTGTGATAATCTGCATCTCTGGAGAAGGGTCTCTTACCGACCAAAACTCAACTCTGAGTCTGAGTAGACCAACCACCAAGGCTATGGAGTAGGTTGCTACCCCATTGCTAAAGCATCCAAAGTCACATGAGAACAATAGACACTGGGATGCTTTAGCATGACAAGGAGTCACAAAAATGGTCTAAACTCTCCCCACCATCTCCTCACCTCTCTAAATCCACCTGATAAACTGATAACTTAAAGAGAAAATGTGGCCTGGAGCAGTGCTTCATGCCTGTAATGCCAGCACTTTGGGAGGCCAAGGTGGGTGGATCACTTAAGGCCAGGAGTTCAAGACCAGCCTGGTCAACATGGTGAAACCCCATCTCTACTAAAAATACAAAAATTAGCCAGGTGTGGTGGTAGGCGCCTGTAATCCCAGCTACTCCTACTCGGCAGGCTGAGTCAGGAAAATCGATTGAACCCGAGAGGCAGAGGTTGCAGGGAGCCAAGATTGCGCCACTGCACTCCAGACTGGGCGACAGAGCAAGACTCTGTCTCAAAAACAAAAAGGAGAAAATGTAATTGTATTAATACATGTGGTAAGTATTAATCTTTTAATTTAAAATAAAAGCTAGGAAGAAAGATTTTTTCTATTAAGTCTTTGTTTTTTTGTTTTTTTGTCTTGGTGTGTGTGTGTGTGTGTGTGTGTGTGTGTGTGTGTGTGTGTGTGTGTGTGTTTGAGATGGAGTTTCCCTCTTTTTGTCCAGGCTGGAGTGCAATGGTGCAATCTCTGTTCACTGCAACCACCACCTCCCAGGGTCAAGTAATTTTCCTACCTCAGCTTCCTGAGTAGCTGGGATTACAGGCATGTGCCACCACACCAAGCTAATTTTGTGTTTTTAGTAGAGATGGGGGTTTCACCATGTTGGCCAGGCTGGTCTCGAACTCCTGACCTCAAGTGATCCACCTGCCTCGGCCTCCCAAAGTGCTGGGATTACAGGCATGAGCCACCGCACCCAGCCTCCATTAAGTCTTAATGGTTTTAAAAAATAATGCATCTTAGGACATGCTTTGTCTGTGTCTTCATTACACTACTTATAAGATAATTCTCACAAATTAACTCAAAACTTGATAAAATCAAATTAATCTAATGGGAGATCAGAATCGCTGATACAATTATGTACTTTCTTAATATATACATAAATCTGTAGATTAATCTTCCAATTAAAAACAATCAAGAAAGCTGAGTCCCAAATTGAGGCATAAATGAATTATAGTAGATGAAGAAAATTAGGAAAATAATTAGATAAAGGAACATGTTACTCTGATATTATAGAAGGAACAAAAGTTTAATAATAGATGAAATTAAAAAATAGATTTAACTAGCCAAGTAATCACCACAAATGAGTATAATAGTAGAGGAAACACATAGCATTACGGAACACAACAGCAGGGTGCCACAACTAGTCTAAGGTCAGACAATATCTCCCAAAGAAAGTGAAGTGTTTAAGGTGATACCCACAGGATCAATAGGAATTATCCAGAAAAAAAGGAGAGAAGCATTAGGGAGAGGTGGAAGGGAGTGTCCCAGAAAGAGGGAATAGTATCTCTAAAGTCCAGAGGCAATAAACGCTGGTTAATTTGAGGAATAGAAAGAAGTTGAAGATGGCTCTTGTGGGAAGTGTCAGACATGGGGTAGGAAAGACAGCTGGAGGCTGATGAGAGGGTGTCTAGTAACTAGGTGTAGAATTGTAAATTTATCATAGAGGAAGCGAGGGGTCACTAGAGAGTTTTAAGAAGGTGAGTGGGAGTGATATGACTGAGTCTTCATTTTAGAAAGACTGCTGTGGCTACATGTAAAGAATGGATTGGAAGCAAGAGGTCCAGGTGAGAGATGAACCATCTCTGGGCTGGGATGGTGGTTAGTGGTAGTAGGAGTGGTGGAAAATGGACTGAGTTGAGAGATATTTAGGAGGTAGAATGAATAGAACTGATTCTATGCTGATTAATTTGGAAGGCTGTGAAAGTTAGAGAAGTGAAAATGACTCCATATTTCTGGTGCAGATGTCTGGGAGGGTAGTGGGATGATTCACTGAGTGAGGAACGCAGTAAGGAACAGATTCTGGGGAATATGAGTTTCGTTGTGGACATTTCAAGGTTTAGTTGCCTGTGGGTCATCCACATGGTACAGATGCTCAAAAAGAAGTTTGATAGATTTAGATATAGATACAGACATAGACGATTTTTTTTTTTAATTTCAGGAAAAGGACTTGAAATGGAAAGTAAAAATTGTCTAGGTAAGGATGGGAATTTTGCCTAACAGCTTTTAAGCCCAGGATCTTCAGAAGGTCATCACAATCACCAGCAGAGCTTCACAGAAGGCCAGGTAAGGAGGAAACAGGACTAGTAAGAAGGCAAAAAATGTGCTTGTTTCTGAAAATGGAAACTTGAATAGGAAACTAACAAATGCCTCAAGGATTATAATGAAATATCATATGGAGAATGGTGCCCAATTTTTACTCATCTCCCTTGGGACAAAAGAACAAGAAATGATCTACAACAGGAGAGATTTCTAATAAATTAAGGTAAAGTAAAGTTGTTAAAATCTGGAATGAGCTGTTATAATTGTGGTAGACTCTTACCGCTTTGAGTATTTTTATGTCATAATATTTTTTCTATCTCAGATATTTTAAGTACAACTGCTCTTGAGAAGTGCAGAAATCTTTTCCATGCCTTTTATGCAGATCTGTCTTTTGTATATAACACGCAGCCATGATTTTTAACCTTTAAAAAGACAAAGTCACAAGGCCAAAAGCAATTTTTACTTCTCAGTGAAGGAACTGACCTGTGCCTCCTTCATAGAGAACAGTAATTGGATACATTTCTGACCCAGGATCTTGCACTTGCAAACCCATCTGCAAGTTTCTGAGTTGAATGTGGTGCCATGAAGCACACCCAGAAAAAGGATTCCCACCTTCAAGATCCACAAAGGCTGTAAAAAGCAACCTCTGAACTCAGCTTTCATGTCTTTGAGAAAGAATTATATTTAATATGCTCAAGAATCCCAGCCAGCCCCAAAAAAACACACTTTAGAGGTACGAAAGAAGCCTCGAAGCAAAACAAATCCATCTTCTCTTTCTACTTTCTCAGAGAAATCACTGGAGGCTCCCTAAGGCAAGATTCAGAGTTGAGAATCTTATCCAGGTCCCACATTCATGGCAAAGATGGGTTGCCTAAGATCTCTTTTATTCCCTCTGTATTTAAGGACTCTATCCCCAATACTTTATAGTAAAATTTTCCAGTACTCATGATTAAGCCAAGAACTAATCTTGACCAATGTTTAATCTACAAGGGTGATTTTTAAAAACCAGAATCTTGAATCTACCTTAGGTCCTTCATAGCCAAAATGCTCAAACTGTTCAAGTCTAAGAGTGTCCACATGATGTAATTATGTTTCCTGAACATACTTATGAGGAAATATGTAATGACAAAAGCCCCTATTAATTCCATAACACTTTCAAATGACCTTGTCTTTGAGTTACAAAATATAGCTCAAAAATTATAAAGTTATAATTGTAAATTGTGGAGAAGATTACAGAGAAAAATTATAAAGAAATTAGAGAGAAAAGGTGAAATAAGATATGCATGTATATAAGGTATTCTTCGGCCTACAGACACTTAGACATACATAGGAATAGAACAGAGCTTGGCAGTCCTTGTTAATACTGGAATCACCTGGGACCTTTAGGAAAGTACTGATGTTTTAGCCCCACCCCAACTAATTAAATCACAATTGGTAGGGGGAGGGGCCCTGGAGGGGATCTGACTTCTGGCTGTTTGTCAGGGTAGGGTTAAGAACCACTGAATTAGAGGGTCACTTAATAAATCCAAGGCCTCATCAGGCATTCACGCCTGTAATCCCAGCACTTTGGGAGGCTGAGGTGGGTGAATCACCTGAGGTCAGGAGTTTGAGACCAGCCCGGCTAACAAGCTGAAACCCCATCTCTACTAAAAATACAAAAATTAGCCGGGCATAGTGGTGCACACCTGTAATCCCAGCTACTCGGGAGGCCGAGGCAGGAGAATTGCTTGGGCCCGGGAGGCAGAGGTTGCAGTGAGCTGAGATTGTGCCACTACTCTCCAGCCTGGGCAACAGAGCAAGATTCCATCTTAAAAAATAAAAATAAAAAATAAAAATCCAAGGCCTCTGGGGTCTGAAGACAACAGGTTATAAACCATGCTTTAGAGATTTAGCTTTTGTTTTATTTTGTCTTTTCCATACACTTTCCCTGAAGGCTTCATGAACTAGGCCTGCATACCTTTTTCAACATCATATTAGCCCATTGCCCCACCAAAAGATTCAGAGAAAAAGTTCAGTCTCATATTTCATCTACATCCTGTTTCAAATGCCTTATGGAGTTGTAATGTAGAGAAGTTAATGGAAATAAAAAAACATAAAATGAATAATCCATTGAAACACAAACCAATAGATTGCCAAACTTTCTGAAGCTCAAAAAATTGCTTTTATTGCTATATCATTTAGTAATACTCATTTAATTCCAATTCATAAAATCATCTCCTTACACTTATGACTTATCAGTAGACATCACTTATTTTCCAGAAAATGCTTGGAAGGCAAAGCTTTCGAAAATTGATTAGTCTTTAATGACTTGAAATCTATTATTCTTACTTTCTTCATAGAAAGAAGAACTAATTGTTCTGAATTGATGGAAGACTTGAGATTACACTGCATAAAAACAAAGACACAGCATGTGGCAACTACATAGCTCATTCTTTAGGCCTCCTAATTTGATATTTGCTGAGAAAAAGTGAAAAATTATCATTGTTGTTCTTAATATGTATTTGCAGAATTTCATTGCTGTACAGTAAACAAAAAAGAATCTCCAAATTCTTTCCTAAAGAGTTCTAAATAGTACAAAAGATTACCAAAAATTGTTTCTGAAGCTTCACTCTTTTATGGACCTGAAGTGGTGTAGTTGGAATTGGAGTATTTTGTACATTCACATAGGTAAGCTCTACTTGCTAAATGTTTAAAGGGCATACCTTTATTTAAGTCTTTCAAATAGAATTGGTGGTTGATAGACACCATCAAATAATTTGATATGAAGTTTCAAAACAGTTATTGTGATTACCATGTTGTTTGGGGCATTATCCCTTTTTTTAGTCACGTTGCTAAAGTAAACTTTGTTTGCTGATCTTATTTCCCTCTGTTCTTCCTTTCTTAGTTGGCACTTTTCTTTGGTCCTGTCTTATCATCATGATTATTATTATTTCTCTTTATTACAATAAATACAAATACAAATCTCAAGGCAAAATACACAGGAAAATGAAGACCCACACCACACTTGAAACCAAAGCGCAACTGACGTAGTAAAAAAGAAAATGATGAATTCTTAAACTGCTTTAATAGACAGCCCAGATATCTATTACCGTAAGTCTGCAAATATATTGTACCTAGAGTTAAAATGCAACCTCATGCTCTATAAGCTTTATTGCATATAAGGAAAATGTCTAAGAAAAGGCCAGTACCTGAAGAAAGAGTTATGGGAAGGGTCAGCTAACCAGAAGGCACCTTTTTTTCTGACACAGTGAGACCATCTAAGAACTGCAATGAATCAGGGAAATGAGGCTCTAAGGTAAAACCAGGAAGGCCAGGCAGTCTGCAAATAAGGGGAAGGGAACTATCAGCATGAAGCTGTGATTCAGACACCAGACAAACAGTCAGAAAGTAGAGAATACAGGGCAAGCCAAGGTCAAGACAGTGATGCATGAAAAGCCAGGTCCAGGTCAGAAGAACAGATCTAACAGTGAGACATTGGAGACTTGGTCTCACCCATTCATCAGAACCTAACACAGACTACCTCCAACAGAGAGCTTTGGAATTCTTCCCACTGAAGACAACTGAGACAACCCGAAAAGTGGCCCAAAAATGTAACTGATATGTAGGCAGCTATCTCAATCAAATGCTGATCCTTCCCACATTTATGGCAAATACCAGAATTTATAGAGTCATAGTGATATGTTATATTTTAATTACATAATTTGTTTAGGTTTTATTGTTAATATGCAAAGGTTACAATTCCTCTTTGACAAAAGTTTAATGTTAAAAAGTAATTTTTGACCGGGCGCTGTGGCCAACACCTGTAATCCCAGCACTTTGGGAGGCCAAGGTGGGCGGATCACTTGAGGTCAGGAGTCAAGACCAGCCTGGCCAACATGGTGAAACCCCGTCTTTACTAAAAATACAAAAATTAGCTGGGCGTGATGGTAGGAACCTGTAATTCCAGCTACTCAGGAGGCTGAGGCAGGAGAATCACTTGAACCCAGGAGGCAGAGGTTGCAGTGAGCCGAGATTGCGCCACTGCACTCCAGCCTGTGCAACAGAGCGAGACTCTGTCTCAAAAAAAAAAAAAGAAAAGAAAAAAGTAATTTTTTAAAATCTGCTTTTTAAAGTTTTTTAGGTTTTGAAATGTTTTAAAAACACATTTTTAAATAAAATGTCTATAGAAATAAGTGTATTTAGTTAATCAAAAGAGTATTATTTCAAATCAGTCAGAAAATTATGGATTATTCAACTAGTTACATATTTGGGAAAAATAAGTTAGACCCCTATCTCACATCAGACATCAAAATTAATTTCAAGCAGAATAAAGACTTAAATGTACTCATCTCTTAATAAATTGCAAAAGTAAAACAAAAAATTTACTCAAACCCTGCCAAGACATATTTCCTATTTTAACATGAAATACTATAGTATTAATCATTTAAGATGCCAATATCTAGCTTTATTGAAACGACCAGTGAAATGTCTACTTTTATACATTGCTAATGAGAATATAAATTAGTGCAATAAATATGGAGGGCAATTTGGCAAGAAGTAACAAAAGTCTTTTAAAAATTTTTATGCTCTTTAATAATTTCATTTCTAGGAATTTATGATAAGGAAAAATTGAAAAATATCTACATATTCAAGAGGAAATGGATTATATTATGATATAGACACAATACCACTAAAAAAAGCATTAGAATTTATTTTACATGTTATAAGTGGTTTTATTATGACATGAGAAAGTTACATGAAGAAAAGTGGTTTAGAATTCAGTAAAATTAGCATAATTTCCTAAGGGTGATGAAATTACCATCTAAGACAGCACAATAGTTTCAAAAGTGCCCTCCAAAAACATAGAAGTCATTATGCTACTGAATTGTCAGTAAAATAGATAGGCAACATACACCAGCCGTCAAGCTGGAGGTGGGTCGATATTCATAAATAATTTATCTCTATGAAAAACCATAGCATCCTATACTTTCAGCAAGATATAAGCGAGTCCAAGCTAGCAATCCAAATGGCCCCGGCTGTTTTTTTAAAGCCACTATCACCCTAGCTAAAAAATCTCTTATCATAAAAGGTCCAATTGACCTGCTACCCAGAATGCCAAAGGAACTTGGTGGTATTGCCTGAAAATCACAAAGAACAAAGAACAGAAGACTGTCAAGATACTATAATTGGGCAATGTTCTGATATGTGAAATGGATGGATTTTTCAACTCTCTCAGATTCTGACCTTCTCCACATTTAATGTGAAATATCACAACCTCTTATGTGGCATAGCATATATAATATTGGAAAACATCCTGATTTTCCAAAAGAATGAATACTATCAACTAAAAAAAACAAACTATTAAACCAGTAAATATAAGTTTGTAAAAGATTGCTGTGAACAAGTCCTCCAGCCACAGCAGTGTGTTCCACCACTGAAAGCCCAGGTTAGAAAAAATCAGGCATCTTCTACTGGGAAAAGGACTTGGAAGCAGCTTAACACTACTTCCCACCAACCTTCCAGGTGGATCCCTGGAGCTGGTTGGTTCCATACACATTCCCTTCCCCACTATAAGTCCCTGCATCCCTGAAGCCTTCCTTCTCCATTCCCAGGCCAGGCTCTTTATTTCCTTGGTGTTCACCCTCGCTTCAGCTACAAATAAGCAAAGTGCCGAGAGTACCTGGACTCCTTGCAGAAGTTATATAGTCACATGTTCCATCAAAAAAAAAAAAAAAAAATGGGGACATGAATCTCTTGCCCTATAATATGAGAGTAGGCGTGACATACCAAACTGAAGGTGTCAACCTGTGGGGGGAAGTCATTCAGAGGATGGATCCCATCAGCAGGAATCATTTGTAAATAATCTGGATAAATACAAGCGTGCCTTTTCCTTAAATAAAGCACCAAAGTGCTTTCACATAAATGTTTGTGAGTAGGAGCCCTCTAGCCAGACACACTGGAGAAATGAGTCGGCATGTTTATTGGCACTCTCATCTAAGCTATTCCACCTTGGATAGAGTTGATTAGCTCCTCTTAGAACTGTTCTCTTGTCTGCTGCCTTGTAACATGTCATTTTCTTAGCCAGCTAGCAAAATGCTGCAGTGTTTGTTTTATGAACTAATTCAAGCACCTGGAATAGCCAGCTAATTAGACCATTCATATTTTTCAGGTTTGGGTTTTGCTGGGCTAGAAAGATCTGATATATCGGCTAGCATTTACTCTCATGCAAATAACAGGGCCAGGAACCATTCTATAAATCTCAATTCATTTCTGAGGTGTTCCAGTAAAATGAGCAATCAATTTAACCGACTAGAATTCTTCACTTTAGGATCTGCATAGTACGGAACAACAGAAGCAGTAGAAATTGCAACAAGCCCTAGGCTACCAAAGTCTATAAGACTCCTAGATACTCCTTCAGATGGCATTTCAAAAACAAATTGAAAAATTTCATAGCTTCCAAGTCCCTCTGCCTTACTTAAGAAAGGTTATCTTATAGGCATCATTGGATATTGTCTTCCCCACCATAAGCCACCCATCAGCATGCTCACGTACATCTGATACATCTAGCTACACTGCACCCAACAACAAGAGATTTCATATAATTAGTTCCATGATTGACATGAAAAGTTTATGAAAATTCACCAAAAGCTAAGTCATCAGGTTAGCCAGTTTGAAATCACCATGTCAAATAACTGATATCACACAGAAAATATAATTTAACTCCAATGCACTTTAGTTAGGAACAATAATAAAAAGATAACTAGTGAAATCAAATATTTAAACATTTAGAATACATTTCTGAATTACCCATCAATCAAAAAATTAAAATAGAAGTTATAAAATACTTAGAAAATACTAAGAAAAATAATGTCTAAATATAAAAATACCAGGATGATTACACATCATATATCAAAACCGTGGTCCACAGTTAAAGAGTTCTTAAAGGTTCTGTTGTAAATGCTTACCTCAGGAAAAAAAAAATGTTCAACTTAATAATCATCCAACCATAAGGAGTTAGGGGAAAAGAACAGCAAAATAAATTCAAGAAAATGGAAAAAATAATACAAATAAGAGCAAAAGTTAATGAAAATGGCAGGAAATATATATTGAAGACAATTGAAGACAATTCAATATATATTGAAGACAATTGGTTTAAATGTTTTTCCCCCTCAAAACTCGTGTTAAAATTTAATTGCCATTGTGATGATATTAGGAAGTGGGACCTTTAAGAAGTGTTTAGGTCATGAGGGCTCTGCCCTCATGAATACACTCATACCATTATCACTTGAGTGGGTTCATTATTGCAGAAGTGGGTCTGCCTCTCCCCAGCACTCTTTGCCCTTTCACCATATGATGCCTTCCACCATGTTATGCCACAGCAAGAAGGCCCTCACCAGATGCAGACACCTTGATTTTGGACTCCCTGGCTTTCAGAACTGTGCACTAATAAATTTCTGTTTGTTATAAATTACCGAGTCTATGGTATTCTGTTATAGCAGCACAAAACTGACTAAGACAAAAATTAACAAAGTTCAAAAAAAGAATAACATATGAAAATCTCTAGAGAGAATAATCAGGAGAGAAAAAAAAGAGAGAGGCCTTATATTTTAAAAAATCAGGAATAAAATGGGGCTAAAACTACAGTTGCTACAAAGATTAAACAAATATAATGGTGTTATGAACAACTTTGTGCCAATAAATTTGAAAAGTTAGATGAAATAAATAGATAAAAACTTATCCAAAAAATCTTTCAAAAAACTAGAGAACATAAAGAGTCCTATAAGCTTTAAATAAATTGAATCAGTACTTTAAAATATTCCCGTTAAACATACACACACATCCTCAGATCCAGATAGATTTCTAGGAAATTATACCAAACATCATGGCATTGGGCAATTCTAATTTATTACAAACTATTCCAACTAATGGAAAAAGAAAGACCATTCTCCCAGTTCATTTGTGATATAACTTTGCTTTCAAAATCAGACAAGAGTATTCTAAGAAAAAAAAAAAGGCTGGGCATAGTGGCTCACACCTGTAATCCCAACAACTTGGGAGGCCAACACAGAAAGATTGCTTGAGCCCTGGAGTTTGAGACTAGAGTGGGCAACATTGTGGAACACTGTCTCTATAAAAAATTTTTAAAAATTAGCCAGGCATGGTGGCATGTGCCTGTAGTCCCAGCTACTTGGGAGGCTGAGGTGCAGGGATCACCTGAGCCCAGGAGGTTGAGGCTGCAGTGAATCTTGTGATTGTGTCACTGCACACCAGCCTGGGTGACAAAAAGAAGAAAATATAAAAATATAGGCCAGTCTTGCTTATGAATGGATATAGATGCAAAAACCCTAAAAACCAAAATTTTTGTGAAACAAATCAGACAATACATAAAAAAAGATCACTTTTTATAACCAAGTTGATGTTTCCTAGGAATGCAAGATTGGTTTAATATGAGATCAATTAAAGTAATTCACCACATTAATAGTGTAAGGTAAAAAAATTCATATCTTTATAAAGGCAGAAAAAGTTAATAAAACTCTGCATTCTCTTATTATTTTAAAAATAACAGCAACAACCTCCTTAGCAAACTGGGAATAGAAGGGAACTTTCTTAACCCAATAAAGGGGATCTCAAAAAACCCACAGAAACCTCATACCTAATGATTAAACTGAAAGCATTCTCTATAAGCTCAGTTTCAAGACAAAGAGACCTGTTATAATCAGTCTTGTTCTACATGATACTGGAGGTTCTTGCACAGTAGGAGCTAAGAAAAAGAAATAAAAGGTAAAGGATTGTAAAGAAAGAAAACTGTCATTATTTGCAGATGATATGATTGCTTACACAGAAAATCTTAAACAAGCTACAGATAAAAATTTAAATAAGAGTTGTTGGATTCCAAATTGATACACAAAAGTAAATTGCATTTCTAGATAAACACAAGAATTGACTAAAAATATAATTTTTTAAATATACTGTTTAAAATATCAATAAACATTTTTAAATACCTAGGATACAATATAGCAAAGAATGTGTAAGACTTTTATAGTGAAAACTAAAAAAAAGACTTAAAAGACATTAAAGAAGATTAAATTGGAAAAAAATATATATCATATTATTGGGTAGGAAGACTGACTCTCATACATCAGTAATTCCCCCTAAACTGACCTATAACTTCAGTGCAATTCCAGTTGAAATCCTATCAGAGTGTGCATGTGTGTGTATGTGTGAAACTCAACAGGCTGATTACAAAACTGACATGAAAGAATAAAGGGCCAGCTGAAGCCAAGACCCTCCTGAGGAAGAACAAGTCATAGGGGTTGGGGAGAAGATTCACCCTACTAGATATTAATACTTTCTATAAGCTACAGAAATTAAGGCAGTGTGATAGTAATACAGGCATAGATTAATAGACCAACAGAATAATAGAGAGCCTAGTAAAAAACCCATGCACATATAGAAAATGGATTTATGGCAAAGCAGTCATCACAGATCATGAGAAAAGATGAACTTCTCAATAAATGACCCTAGGTCAATTGCTTATTCAAATAGAAAAGAAATAAAATTGTATTCATATCCTACACCCTAACACAAAAAAGGAATTACAATTAAACTAAATACTTAATATGAAAACAAATTTATAAAAATTTCCAAAGACACTATAGGAGAATATTTTTCTTCATACCCTGTTTCAAGAATAAGAACAAAAATGCAAATTTCTATAAGATCAATAAATCAAGTAGTATTAAAATTAAGAGCTTGGGCTGGGCGTGGTGGCACATGCCTGTAGTCCCAGCTACTGGAGAGGCTGAGGCAGGAGAATTGCTTGAACCCGGGAGGCAGAGGTTGCAGTGAACCAAGATCGCATCACCGCACTCTAGCCTGGGCAACAGAGCGAGACCCCATCTCAAAAAAAAAAAAAAAGGACTTGGGTTTTCCATTAAGAATGAAAAGCAACAGTACACCAGCTCTGCTAAGGGACAGA
This sequence comes from Homo sapiens, assembly GCF_000001405.40. NCBI lineage: Eukaryota > Metazoa > Chordata > Mammalia > Primates > Hominidae > Homo > Homo sapiens. Next base: position 178,032,560 of record NC_000002.12, read on the forward strand.
ATGCCTCCTCAAGTGGGTCCCTGACCCCTGTGCCTCCTTACTGGGAGAAACCTCCCAACAGGGGTCGTCAGACACCTCATACAGGAGAGCTCTGGCTGGCATTAGGCCAGGGCCTCCCTAGAATGAAGCTTCCAGAGGAAGGAGCAGGCAGCAGTCTTTGCTGTTCTGCAGCCTCCACTGATGATACCCAGGCGAACAGGGTCTAGAGTGGACCTCCAGCAAACTGCAGCAGACCTGCAGAAGAGGGACCTGATTGTTAGAAGAAAAACTAACAAACAGAAAGCGATAACATCAACATAAAGGACCCCCACACAAAAACCCCATCCAAAGATCATCAGCCTCAAAGATCAAAGGTAGATAAATCCATGAAGATGAGAAAAAAACAGTGCAAAAAAACAACTGAAAATTCAAAAAACCAGAATGCCTCTTCTCCTCCAAGTGGTTACAACCCCTCTCTGGCAAGGACACAAAACTGGATGGAGAATGAGTTTGACGAACTGACAGAAGTAGGCTTCAGAAAGTGGGTAATAACAAACTCTTCTGAGCTAAAGGAGCATGTTTTAACCTAATGCAAGGAAGCTAAGAACCTTGATAAAAGGTTACAGGAACTGCTAACTAGAATAACCAGTTTAGAGAGGAACATAAATGACCTATTGGAGCTGAAAAACACAGCACGAGAACTTCCTGTAGCATACACAAGTATCAACAACCAAATTTATCAAGTGGGAGAAAGAATATCAGAGATTGAAGATCAACTTACTGAAATAAGGTGTGAAGACAAGATTGGAGAAAAAAGAATGAAAAGGAATGAACAAAGCATCCAGGAAATATGGGACTATGTGAAAGGACCAAACATATGATTGATTACTGTACCTGAAAGTGACGGGGAGAATGGAACCAAGTTGGAAAACACACTTCAGGATATCATCCAGGAGAACTTCCCCAACCTAGCAAGACAGGCCAACATTCAAATTCAGGAAATACAGAGAACAACACTAAGATACTCCTCAAGAAGAGCAACCCCAAGACACATAATCATCAGATTCTCCAAGGTTGAAACAAAGGAAAAAATGTTAAGAGCAGCCAGAGAGAAAGGTCAGGTTACCTACAAAGGGAAGCCCATCAGACTAACAGTGGATCTCTCTGCAGAAACCCTACAAGCCAGAAGAGAGTGGGGGCCAATATTCAACATTCTTAAACAAAAAAAAGTTTTCAACCCAGAATTTCATACCCAGCCAAACTAAGCTTCATAAGGAGAAATAAAATCCTTTCCAGACAAGCAAATGCTGAGGGATTTTGTCACCACAAAGCCTGCCTTACAAGACCCCTGAAGGAAGCACTAAATATGGAAAGGAAAAGCTGTTACCAGCCACTGCAAAAACACACCAAAATATAAAGACCAATGACACTATGAAGAAACTGCATCAACTAATGTTCAAAATAACCAGCTAACATCATGGTGAAAGGATCAAATTCACACATAACAATATTAACCTTAAATGTAAATAGGCTAAATGCCCCAATTAAAAGACACAGACTGGAAAATTGGATAAAGAATCAAGAGCCATTGGTGTGCTGTATTCAGGAGACCCATCTCACGTGCAAAGACACATAGGGTCAAAAAAAAAGGGATGGAGGAATATTTACCAAGCAAATGGAAAGCAAAAAGAAAGCAGGGGTTGCAATCCTAGTCTCTGATAAAACAGACTTTAAATCAACAAAGATCAAAAAAGACAAAAGGGATCAACGCAACAAGAAAAGCTACCTATCCTAAATATATATGTACCCAATACAGGAGCACTCAGATTCATAAAAGAAGTTCTTAGAGACTTACAAAGAGACTTAGATACCTGCACAATAATAGTGGGAGACTTTAACACCCCACTGTCAATATTAGACAGATCAATGAGACAGAAAATTAACAAGGATATTCAGGACTTGAACTCGGCTATGGACCAAGTGGACCTAATAGACATCTACAGAACTCTCCACCCCAAATCAACAGAATACACATTCTTCTCAGCACCACATTGCACTTATTCCAAAATTGATCACATAGTTGGAAGTAAAGCACTCTTCAGCAAATGTAAAAGAACAGAAATTATAACAAACTTCCCTCAGACCACAGTACAATCAAATTAGAACTCAGGATTAAGAAACTCACTAAAAACCGCACAACTACATGGAAATTGAACAACCTGCTCCTGAATGACTACTGGGAAAATAATGAAATTAAGGCAGAAACAAAGGAGTTCTTTGAAACCAATGAGAACAAAGACACAACATACCAGAATCTCTGGGACACATTTAAAGCAGTGTTGAGAGGGAAATTTATAGCACTAAATGCCCACAACAGAAAGTTGGAAAGATCTAAAATCGGCACCCTAACATCACAATTAAAAGAACTAGAGAAGCAAGAGCAAACACATTCAAAAGCTAGCAGAGGACAAGAAATAACTAAGATCAGAGCAGAACTGAAGGGGATAGAGACATGAAAAACCCTTCGAAAAAAATCAATGAATCCAGGAGCTGTTTTTTTTTAAACATTAACAAAATAGATGGACCACTAGTTAGACTAATAAAGAAGAAAAGAGAGAAGAATCAAATAGACACAATAAAAAATGATAAAGGGGATATCACCACTGATCCCACAGAAATACAAACTACCATCAGAGAATACTACAAACACTACTACTCAAATAAACTAGAAAATCTAGAAGAAATGACAAATTCCTGGACACATACACCCTCTCAAGACTAAACCAGGAAGAAGTCAAATCCCTGAATAGACCAATAACAAGTTCTGAAATTAAGGCAGTAATTAAGAGCCTACCAACCAAAAAAAGCCCAGGACCAGATGGCTTCACAGCCAAATTCTACCAGAGGTACAAAGAGGAGCTAGTATCATTCCTTCTGAAACTATTCCAATCAATAGAAAAAGAGGGAATCCTCCCTAACTCATTTTATGAGGCCAGCATCATCCTGATACCAAAACCTGGCAGAGAGAGACAACAAAAAAAGAAATTTTCAGGCCAATGTCCCTGAAGAATATTGATGTGAAAATCCTCAATAAAATAGGGCAAACCGAATCCAGCAGCACATCAAAAAGCTTATCCAACACGATCAAGTTGGCTTCTTTTGTGGGATGCAAGGCTGGTTCAACATACACAAATCAATAAATGTAATCCATCACATAAACAGAACCAATGACAAAAACCACATGATTATCTCAATAGATGCAGAAAAGGCCTTCAATAAAATTCAACAGCCCTTACGCTAAAAACTCAGTAAACTAGGTATTGATGGAACATATCTCAAAAAATAATAGCTGTTTATGACAAACCCATAGCCAACATCATACTGAATGGGCAAAAGCTGGAAGCATTCCCTTTGAAAACCAACACAAGACAAGGATGCCCTCTCTCACCACTCCTATTCAACATACTATTGGAAGTTCTGGCCAGGGCAATCAGGCAAGAGAAAGAAATAAAGGGTATTCAAATAGAAAGAGAGGAAGTCAAATTGTCTCTGTTTGCAGATGACATGATTGTATATTTAGAAAACCCCATTGTCTAAGCTCCAAAACTCCTTAAGCTGATAAGCAACTTCAGCAAAGTCTCAGGATACAAAATCAGTGTTCAAAAATCACAAGCATTCCTATATATCAACAATAGATGAGCAGAGAGCCATGTCATGAGTGAACTCCCATTCACGATTGCTATAAAGAGAATAAAATACCTAGGAATACAACTTAAAGGGACGTGAAGGACTTCCTCAAGGAGAACTACAAACCACTGCTCAGGAAAGAAGAGAGGACACAAACAAGTGGAAAAAAATTCCATGCTCATGGATAGGGAGAATCAGATCATGAAAATGGTCATACTGCCCAAAGTAACGTATAGAGCCAATGCTATTCGCATCAAGCTACCATTAACTTTCTTCACAGAATTAGAAAAAAACTACTTTAAATTTCATATGGAACCAAAAAAGAACCTGTATAGCCAAGACAATCCTAAGAAAAAAGAACAAAGCTGGACATGTCATGCTACCTGACTTTAAACTATACTACAAGTCTACAGAAACCAAAACAGCATGGTACTGGTACCAAAACAGATACATAGACCAACGGAACGAAAGGAGACCTCAGAAATAACACCACACATCTACAATCATCTGATTTTCAACAAACCTGACAAAAACAAGCAGTGGAGAAAGGATTCCATATTTAATAAATGGTGCTGGGAAAACTGGCTAGCCATATGCAGAAAACAGAAACTGGACCCCTTCCTTACACCTTATAGAAAAATTAACTCAAGATGGATTAAAGACTTAAATGTAAAACCCAAAACCATAAAAACCCTAGAAGAAAACCCAGGCAATACGATTCAGGACATAGGCATGGGCAAAGACTTCATGACTAAAACACCAAAAGCAATTGCAACAAAAGCCAAAATTGACAAATGAGATCTAGTCAAACTAAAGAGCTTCTGCACAGCAAAAGAAACTATCATCAGAGTGAACAGGCAACCTACAGAATGGGAAAAAATGTTTGCAATCTATCCATCTGACAAAGGTCTAATATCCAGAATCTACCAGGAACTTAAACAAATTTACAAGAAAAAAACAAACAACACCATGAAACAGTGGGCAAAGGCTATGAACAGATACTTCTCAAAAGAAGACATTTATGTGGCCAACAAACGTGAAAAAAAGCTCATCATCACTGGTCATTAGAGAAATGCAAATCAAAACCACAATGAGATACCATCTCATGCCAGTTAGAATAGTGACTATTAAAAAGTCAGGAAACAATAGATGCTGGAGAGGCGGTGGAGAAATAGAAACACGTTTACACCATTGGTGGGAGTGTAAATTAGTTCAACCATTGTGGAAGATAATGTGGTGATTCCTCAAGGATCTAGAACCAGAAATATCACTTGACCCAGCAATCCCATTACTGGGTATATACCCAAAGGATTATAAATCATTCTAATATAAAGACCCATGCGTACATGTGTTTATTGCAGCACTATTTACAATAGCAAAGACATGGAACCAACCCAAATGCCCATCAATGATAGACTGGATAAAGAAAATGTGGCACATATACACCACGGAATACTATGCAGCCATAAAAAAGAATGAATTCATGTCCTTTGCAGGGACATGGATGAAGCTGGAAGCCACCAATCTCAGCAAACTAACACATGAACAGAAAACCAAACACCACATGTTCTCACTCATAAGTGGGAGTTGAGCAATGAGAGCACATGGACACAGTGAGGGGAACATCACACACCAGGGCCTGTCAGGGGGTGGGGGACAAGGGAAGGGAGAGCATTAGGACAAATATCTAATGCATGGGGGGCTTAAAAGCTAGATGACGGGTTGATAGGTGCAGCAAACCACCATGGCACATGTATACCTATGTAACAAACCTGCATGTTCTGCACATGTATCCTAGAACTTAAAGTATAATAAAAAAAAAATTGCTAAGGGTTATAGATTAGATACCCTTTAATGTAAATATTCAAATTTCTTTTTATAAAAAAGCAGATATATTGAGATATAATTGAAATAAAAAAACTGTACATATTTAACATATATGATTTTATTAGTCTGGACATATGGTTACACCCATGAAATGGCCACAATCAAGATATGAATATAACTATCACCCCCACCAAAGTTTCTTCATGCCCTTTTTAATCCCACCTTCCATCCCTCCCACCCCACCATCCCCCACCTCAGATAACACTGATCTGCTTCCTGTCACTAGAGAGTAGTTTGCATTTTCTAGAGTTTTATCTAAATCAGCCATGCAGTATGCATTCTTGTCTGACTTCTTTCATTCCACATTATTAAAAAAAAAGAATGAAAATCAAGCAATAAAGAAGAAAAAATATTTGTAATACATATAACCAATAAGGAAGGTGGTGTTCAGAATATATATGTATATAAGGAGCTCCTACAAATCAATAAGAAAAAAGCAAATTCAATAGGAAAAAATGGGCCAATGACATGGACCAGTACTCCACAATAAGAGAAAACACAAACATATGAAAAGAGGGTTGAGGGGGAGTCATTCACTGAGCTCACCCCAGAACATTTGCATGGTCTATACTTTCATACCAACCATGAGTAGCCTGTTCTTTTCTTGGCTGGGAGGTAAATGAGGACCCTGTCCATAGATCAGGTGGCCATGAGGGGAATGGGCTTGGTAGGGAAAGCTAGAATTTGTGCTCTGGTGACTATGGTGGTCCTGGCCCCATATATATTCACTGTAAAGAGGAAGATGCAGCGGAACAAGAAGAACACTGAATAACTAAGAAACGAATGCTTGTGCTTACTTTGGCAGCACATATACTAAAATTGGCACAATAGAAGATTAGCATGGCCCCTGCGCAAGGATGATGAGCAAATTCATGAGGCATTCCATATTTTTAGCAATCCCATTACTGGCTATATAACCAGAGGAATATAAGTCATTCTACCATAAAGGCATGCACACGAGTGTTCATTGAAGCCCTATTAACAATAACAAAGACATGGAATCAATGTTTTTGCAGGACATGCAAGGAATCAACCTAAACGCCCATCAATGACACATTGGATATACACATGGATACTATGCAGCCATAAAAAGAATGAGATCATGTCTTTTTGCTGGAACATGGATAGAGCTGGAAGCTATTATTATTAGCAAACTAACACAAAAACAGAAAACCAAATACTGCATGTTCTCACTTATAAGTGGGAGCTAAATGATGAGAACTCATGAACCCAAAAAAGGGAACAACAGACATTGGGGTCTACTTAAGGATGGAGGGTGAGAGGAGGGAGAGGAGCAGAAAAAATAAATATTGGGTACCAGACTTAATACCTGGGTGATGAAATAGTTACACAGCAAACCCCCATGACACAAGTTTACCTATATAACAAACCTTTACATGTACCCCCAAACCTAAGAGTTAAAAATAAATAAATAAAAGTTACAAAAATGAATAGTTAAAAGTCTGCGGTCATGCAAATATGATGCCAAGATTCCAGGAGACCTATACAAAATGCCCATAGCAACATTACTGATAAAAGCAAAAAATAAAAATAAATAAATAAAAATAAAATAAAATAAAATAACTAGAAATAACTCAAAAGTCTGTCAATAGTAGAATGATAAATTGTGATATATTTATACAAAGGAACATTATACGGCACTGGAAATTATTGCTACACATTTCAACATGAATTAATCTCAAAAACATAATGTTGAGCAGAAAAAGAAACAAAAGAATACATGTAGAATGATTCCATTTATACAAAGTTCAAAAGCAGGCAAAATTAAATTGCATATTGTATAGGAAAACAAAGATAGGTGGCAAAGTCATGGGGAGGGAAACAAGGGGATATTTCACACAACACTCAGCATGACAATGAAGGTGGTGGTGACAAGAGGAAGGATAATATTATTGTGAAAGGGCACCAGAAGATTTCAATGTAGTGGCTTTTTTTTTTTTTTTTTTTTGAGACAGAGTTTCACTCTTGTTCCCCAGGCTGGAGTGCAACAGCGCAATCTCAGCTCACTGCAACCTCCACCTTCTGGATTCAAGCTATTCTTCTGCCTCAGCCTCCTGAGTAGCTGGGGTTACAGGAGTGCACTACTACACCTGGCTAATTTTTGCATTTTTAGTAGAGACAGGGTTTTACCATGTTGGTCTTGAACTCCTGACCTCAAGTGATCCACCCACCTCGGCTTCCCAAAGTGCTAGGATTACAGGTGTGAGCCATCGCACCCAGCTAGTGTTTTACATTTTAATCTGGTGTGAGTAGAAGGATGTCCAGTTTATTCTTCTTTATGCTGTACGTATATATTTTATTCTTCCATTTGAATATATGATGCATTTCACAATTTTTTAAAGGCAATGGACAATATAATGAAAATTGAAGAACTGAAGCTCTTGTCCTTTCCGATATGTTCAGCACACATATTGTTTTGAATGCGCAGAGTTCTTAGGGTTATGATTTAGCAACATGAGCAGTTAACAACCCAACCCTTGTTATGTTAATAGGAACACTGTGGCTAAACCACTAAACTAAAATTTCACTCCATAGACTTATTGATACTAAAATGGAATGTTTCTTCAGAGAACTACATACCTCAATTTGCTCACTTTTCTCTTCCTTTTACTATGCTTTGACATTACCATTTATTACAGATAATCTACTAAATAGAATTGCCTTCCTTCTTTACAGTTCTTTCTACATTGTTTTGTCCAGGTAATTTTTATGACTTTCATAATAGTGTCTGACATGCACGTAATTTAAAGTCAACAAATACAGAATGATAAAAATGAGCAGTCAGAAATTTTTATCTACTTATTTATTTATTTATTCATTTATTGAGACAGGGTCTCACTCTGTTGCCCATGCTAGAGTGCAGTGGCTCAATCATAGCTCACTGCAAAATTGATCTCCCAGGCTCAAGTGATCCTCTCTCCTCAGCCTCCCAAGTAGCTAGAACTACAGGCACAGCCACCATGCCCAGCTAATTTTTTTGAGTTTTAGTAGATACGAGGTCTCGCTATGCTGCCCAGGCTGGTCTCGAATTGCTGGGCTCAAGCAATGCTCCTGCCTCAGCCTCCCAAAGTGCTGGGATTACAGGTGTGAGCCTCCATGTCAAGCTCAGAAATTTTTTTTTTTTTTTTGAGACAGAGTCTTGCTCTGTCACCCAGGCTGGAGTGCAGTGGCACAGTCTCAGCTCACTGCAACCTCTGCCTCCCGGGTTCAAGCAATTCTTCTGCCTCAGCCTCCCGAGTAGCTGGGACTACAGGCATGCACCACCACGCCCGGCTAATTTTTGTATTTTTAGTAGAGATGGGGTTTAACCATAGTGGTCAGGCTGGTCTCGAACTCCTGACCTTCTGATCCGCCCGCCTCAGCCTCCAAGTGCTGGGATTATAGGTGTGAGCCATCGCACCCGGCCAGAAAATTCTTTTAAGAACCACGTGACTTCTGCAAATAAGGCATATTCAGTATTAACTTTTAACTAGATAAGACCTACAATGAGCTATTTTCACACACATATGTTTTTTTTCCAAAAATGGTAGAAGCTAATATTTATTTTAAGTCTGCATGGCAAGTTTTTCAGTTTTTCATAATACTTTGGATGACAGATGTCATTGCCAAGGCATCGAAAGCACTAAATTCCTCTTTGGAAGTGCTGTTTGTCCAGTTTCACATCTGCCCTGTATCCTTTACTCCTCGAAAAGACAATGTTTCAAGCATTATCCCCCTAGATGTTACAAACAGCTGAACCAGCCTGCAAATTAAAGGACTACCTTGAACATAAATTTCTGATAAGGCCCATATTAATCATATGCCCCAAAGTTTAGATGATCACACAAAAGTAATTTTCTCACAGAAAAGGTTTTTGCTTTCTTTTCAAAAAATTGTAAAGGCATGGTGTAAACATTACTATTCCTTTTCTCTGTTTCTAAATGGGTCTAGGTTCTTGTGTGAGGAAAGAGGACAATTAGTAAATGTAATTTTCTTATGCAGCCTCAGCTGGCTTCACATACCTCATAAATAGTTCTTATTCAAACATTCTAAAGATACCTACAATTAAATAAAATTCATCCTAAGGCTGGGTATGGTAGCTCATGCCTGTAAACCCAACACTTTGGAAGGCCAAAGTGGGAAGATCACTTGAGGCCAGGAGTTTGAAACCAGCCTTGTCAACACATTGAGACTCCGCCTCTACAAAAGAAAAAGATTAGCCAGGTGTGGTGGCACACATTTGTAGTCCCAGCTACTTAGGAAGCGGAGGCTGGAAGATGGCTTGAGTCCAGGAGTTTAAGGCTGCAGTGAGCCATGATCACATCACTGCTTTCTAGCCTTGGTGACAGAGCAAGACTCTGTCTCAAAAAAAAAAAAAAAGAAGAAAAAAGTCCATCCTAGTTATATATTTGATCTATTTCATGTTCTGAAAGATCTAACCTGGAACTTTCCCCTTACGTATACAACTTTAAAGAGTAAATGGCTATTCCAAGTCAATAAACTGGTGGCAAATTGAAAGATATTAATGTGTAGCTAATCTATTTTACATGATGGAGTTTCTAGTCTCCCCACAATGAGCCTCAGTATATGATTTTAAGTAACATTCAGAATACTAAACTTGATTTTAAAAACTTGCAAGCATTCAGGATATTCTGCCATGAAGCCTCTAAAATTATAACTATATTACACAGAAGTTAAAAACAAACAAACAAACAAAAACCCTACACTTAGGGGCAAGAGCGCTTAACCAAGGCATTGCTTATTGCTGCAAAGCTGCTCTGTATTAACCTCACATTAAATCATTAGAGAGAATGGTGGGAGGCGAGGGACAGCTGGCACCCTTGGACATGGGGGCTGAGGCATCCATGGCTGCTAAAGATTTTATAGATTTTTTTCCTTTTACAGGATAAAAATAAATCATTTGCCTTTAGTTATAGTTTCTAACTGATACTGTCACAAAGATAATTTCTGGTTGTGGTTTATGCAGTGCAGTCTTATATACTATTATATTATATCTGGCTGATATTAGGTACTGGGTGCCCATTTGTGAAATGGAACTTAAGGAACTGTACATTTTTAATAAGAATCAATGCTATTTCCCTAACAGACAGTATCTGTCATGGGCAGATGATTCACATTGATGGCTTATAAATAGCATGAATTCCCCAGGAAATTTCTCCACTGGGTCCTCCTTTCACACTAAATTCAAGATATTAGTCAAATCCTGCTAAGGTACACAGATTTGACTATCCAGAAAAGACAGATCAAGGTTCTTCAGACATCAAAACTTGCTTTGAAGAGAGAAAGACAACATAATCTGGTTTTGCAGTGGCAGATGGCTCATAACTTTGGCTTTGAATCTTGATCTTCTAAGCCAGTAGACAAGCGGAGACATAAGAGTCATACCAATTACTCCAGCACCACATATGGTGAGCTAGCCTTTAAAACAGGCACTAAATGAGACTTGTGATCAGTTTAAACTGCAAAGAAATTGAGGCAATTATAAGACTTATTGATTCCTCAGATAATAGCAATGATGGCTATCATTTACCAGGAGCCTACCATATAACCTGTGCATTTATGTATGCAAAAATCTGTGCCAGAGTTTTGCACACATGGAATAATCACAACAACCATGCAAAGTGGATACTATTCGCCCCATTATACATATGAGGAAACTGAAGCTAAGAGAAGATCAGTAACTTATCTCATGTTAAGTAATTTACCAATAACTGAGCCAGGATGCTAACTAAGAGATGCTTGAGTCTAAAGCTTGGGCTCTTTTCACCATATTATGTTACTTTGAAGAGTTAGCAATTTGTCCTCAAGGCCTCTGTCCATGCTGGTGTTTAATACAGCTCAAAAATCATAAAGAAACTTGTCAGTGGTACAAACAGTAGTTTATGTTCAGCCTAATGTACTAGGACAGAGTGAGAAGTTAATACTGCTTGCCATTCTTCTTGTGACCAGTTCAACACCAGGTCTTTTTATTTTTTCCAGTCTATGATTAAATATATTAGCAAAGATTGACTTCTGCAGAAGGAAAACATAGAAGAAATAAAATATCTCCCCAAAAGCTTGAAGCTCTTGCTTCATGAAGAGTAGGAACATCATGAATTGCAAATGTCTTTCAAATATTTTTTCCAGTAATAGGCCATTTCATAAAAATAATGCAATGACCAAAGAAGTGAAGAATCCTGATTTTACCATATTTTCCAAAAACAGAAAGTGTATATAGATATATAAACTTTATATATATGTTTTTATATATATAAACTTTATATGTTTATATATATATAAACTTTATATATATGTTTATATACATAAACATATATATGTATGTATACATCAGTAAAATGTATGATTTTCTGATATAAACCCTTGTTTATAATATAAACAATATAAAACTCTTGTTTCTGATATAAACCTCTCATGATCATGGTCACATAAGAAGTTCTTGGGAGGTATAACAAGCACTGCATATGATGCCACAAGTCCTGAATCCCCTGCCCAGCCCCCAAACTGAGCCATTTAACTTCCCTCAGACTGTTTCTTTACCCTCCAAATGAGGATAGTAATTCTTACCTTTCAGACAGCAAGGATTAATTAGGTAGTATGTGGTGAAGCATTTTATAAATCATAAAGTGCTACACAAGTATATCACCACATTCAGAATACAGAACAGGAATCAGACTAGAAACATTAGAAACTCTCCATTTCCCAAATTCTGTCCCTAGATGTTTTTTTGGGGGATGTTATACCCCACTCCACTTATTATTTTTGATTGCTTCAGTAGGTATCTAGCTCCAGCAATCAAACCAATCCATGACTAAGGCAACAAATGCCCCCAAAGGACATTCCCTGCAGCCAAACAGCAAAAAGCTATTGGATCAATAGATCACCGGTATGGCTGTAGCTTCAGTGCCCTACCTACAGGTCACCTAGAGTTTACAAAAAGTTTCACAATAAAGAGAAATGTGCAGTTTTTTTCTAGAATAAGTTGCTTGCTTGTATACACTAGAGCTTCAGGTTTTTTCTCAGAGACAAATTGTACATCTCTTTGTTTTATGATGGATATATGCAAGTATAAGACCTGCATAGAGCAACTCAAACTCTGCCTTGAAAACTCTCTAAAATGTTGTAGGAAATCTGTTAACTATATCCTCCAGTTAATTCCTAGTAATATAAACAGATTCCTTCCCTGCAGGTTTTGGTACTGATTAGTTGTGATGAAAAATGAAAGTTTTTCATATTTAATGAAACTATCCATTTTGCACACTCACAACATAGCTCCCAGAAATATTGTTTAGTCCTTGGCAACACTGTCTCACAACTTTGGTAAAGAGCATTGTGAAAAGATGTTGTTGAACAGACTGCCACTCATTGTTTACATACCACACCAGAGACAGCAGTTTGTGGTGGTTAAGAGTACAAACTGTGGCTCCAACAATATGGGTTCAAACCCTGGCTCTCCAACTTAATAGCTGTGTGACCTTGGGGAAATTAAGAAAGCTTCTAATAAGTGTTAACTATCACTACTGTCAGTAGTAGTAGTAGTAGTATCGCCTTCACAGGCATTAATGGATTATATTGCAAACCATGAAGTTTCCTGAGGCATCTTGTTCCAAACTCTCCAAACCTGACACAATTGTTGGGATCTTCGCACAAAAATAATCAGTTACCTGGTGTCAATGGATGTGAATGGCTAAAACAGCTTCTGGAATGCATTCTAGCAGATTTTTGAACTTCATATTCCATCAAGGAGCCGCCTTCTTTCATGGACAGGAATCCAGCCTTGAACATGTGAACAGAACCTGAATGTAATCCTTAATATTTCCCATAATGGTAAAACTGTAGAATCTAAACAGAGATGGATAATTTGAGTTTGCATCTGGTCTCTGCCTCTTACTAGCTGTATAAACTTGGGAAAGTTACTAAACCTATTCAAGTCTAGCTTCCTCACATGTAAAATGTAGGAAGTAACGGTGTCTATCTCATAGAACCTTGTGAGGATTAAATGAGATAACTAAATCTTACCACAGTGCCTACTGCATAACATATTCCCAATAAATACTGGCTATTACTATTAATTTTTTTGGGGGGGTTGGTTGGTACAGTTGATATGAGCTCTTCACCTGTGTGTTAATTGAAAAATGAATTTTTTGCAGCTGATCCTTTGAGGACTATAAAATGTATGGATGAAGTCTTATCAGCAGAAGTCTTATGTTATTATAATGTTGAATTCAGTTCACTTTTTGGAAGATTTTATAATAAATCTTACAGTGTGAAACAATCATGGAGTAGATTGTCTAAGAAATTATAGAAAGATAACATTGAGAAAGTAGTTGATCTCTGTATTGTAACCATCAATGTCTCCTTTCTACTTAGGTTTCTTGTTTGTTCGTTTGTTTGTTTGTTTGTTTTTATAATTGAAGAATTGGAGTCAGAACTTCAGAATAATAGTCATTGAGTCAGAAGGTGAGATGATAGATAGAAGGTCAAGGAAGGCTGTTGATTGCCCCTTTCAAGTCAGGCAGGGCTGACTTAAACATGGTTGGCTTTTGGCAAAGCTGAGGTAGTCAGTTCATCTTGAGTTCCCTTGTAGATTCTCTTTACTCTTCTCGGTCAATGTAACTATCCTGGGTCCAATTATTGCTCATATCAAGTGGTAAATTTATTTCTGTTAGTGTTAATCACTAATTAACTTGTTCACTGCTCATGGGTCCTCAGAGATGTCTGGAGACTCTTACAGTTGGAAAAGCCAGGAATCTTGAGGTGCATAGAACTATAAAAGAATTATAGGTTGTGAAGTTGTTAGTTTGAGGCATATATCTTTTGTCCACTATTCCTATGTCTAGGGCCTATCTCATTCCTGTAGACTTATTATGTGTTCTTAGATGAATAATTATGCAGAAAAACTTTCTGGGATTTTTTTTTTTTTTACTTGGAGACAAAAGGACTCAGATCCTATGACATGATAGTTGTCTATATCCTTTATTGCAGTTGATGGGAAGACTCAGAAACAAACTTGGACCCAGATAATTTCCTTCTTCTAGATATCACCCAAGGCCGGGCATGGTGGCTCATGCCTGTAATCCCAACACTTTGGGAGGCCAAGGCGGATGGATCACTTGAGGTTAGGAGTTCAAGACCAGCCTGGCCAACACAGTGAAACCCCGTCTTTACTAAAAATTCAAAAAATTAGCCAGGTCTGGTGGCACATACCTGTAATCCCAGTTACTTGGGAGGCTAAGGCAGGAGAATAGCTTGAACCCAGGAGGCGGAGGTTGCAGTGAGCCAAGATCATGCCACTGCACTACAGCCTGGGCCACAGAGCAAGAGTCTGTCTCAAAAAAAAAAAAAAAAATCACCCAGTGGCAGTATCAAAGAATGGCTTTTCCCCAGCTATCCTAAAGATATATAAAACAACATGCTGTTACACAAATAGAGCTTTGTTACAAGTCACCTCATCAGTACTTTCAGTCAGATGACAGCCCAGAGCCCCTCTGGTAACATGATAGAGC
This sequence comes from Homo sapiens, assembly GCF_000001405.40. Lineage (NCBI taxonomy): Eukaryota > Metazoa > Chordata > Mammalia > Primates > Hominidae > Homo > Homo sapiens. Next base: position 178,047,637 of record NC_000002.12, read on the forward strand.
AGCCACGAGTCACACTATGAGCAGATCAGACATGAGCCTCATTCAACACCAAGAATAACCTGCTACAAAGCTAGTAGCTTAAAATTTTGGGGAAGGATTATTTTGTAAGGTTTCTCCTCTGTGTTTTCATAATTAACATGGAATTTTAGAGCTGAGAGAGTCTCAGAAGTCATTTTCCTAACCCCCCCATGTTATATATGGAGATTCTGAGGGCCAGAGAGAGAGGTCATCTGCCTGCATTCCCATAGATGATGAGTGCAGGGAAGCCCAGATTTATGCCCCTTCTTGCTCCCAGGCCTTCCATGGCTCACTGTCTTCAACTGAAGGTGACTAAGATAACAAGGCCCTCGAATAATCTGGCTCTACCATCCTATCCACTGCCTACCCAGGATGAACTCCTTTTGCTCATGAACATTCTACGTGAGAAATGGTTACAGACAGAAGTAGATAGAGCAGCTGGGAAGCAGTTTCAATAATCTGGGTGAAAGATAATGGTGACTTGAATCAGAGTTGTGGTAGTAGAGTTGCAGAAAAGTGAACAGATTGGAGATTGTTTTATGGAGTGAATCAGAAGAACCTTCTAACGGATCTAATATGTAGGTGAATAAAAGGAAGGAATCAAAGGTAACACCTAGGGTTCTGGCTTGGGCAACTGAAGATAAAGAAGATAAGGCAGAGGCAAGAGAGTATTGGGATGGGGGGCTGGGGGCGCGGCATGAAAGAAAGAGTTCTCTCAATGTTCCGTGTATAACAATCTGAGAGGTGGCATGGCATATGTCAGAGGAGGAACAATATTTCCCCCTTTTCTGTTTTCCATGAGGAGAGACTTCCCTTAACCCGTCCACCCTTTGGATCCATTCCTTGGTCCTCCTCAGAAAGGTAGGGTGAGTTATCTGATGAGGGAATTAGGGAGACTAACAGGGCATGCACAACCTAGCTCCTTCCTCCCTTTAATCCTTGGGAGTCAGGCCACCCCCAAAGAGCAGTCCTTCAGTTCCTCGATGCTGTAATTTCCAAAGGGACAGGCCCCTTGCATGGGGAGGACTATGGGCATCCAGCATTTTCTGTGCTTGGGAGGGTAGGTTTATCTAATTCTGGTGCTGAGAATTATACACGCCTATAAATATAAGCCCATATTCCAGTATCTGTTTCATAAGCCATAAATGTGATATTTTGATATCCCATATGCATTTCTTTTTTGTCTTTTTTCTCATCTGAATTGGTTCAGGGTAGGGAAGAAAGAAGGTAGGTATTGGGTCCTCTCAAAACTCAAGAGTGGGAGGAACAGTGGGAGAGGAACACAGAGTCCTTCCTCTAACACTGTGGCCCTGTGACCTCAGGAAGAGGACCTAACTTCTCAGTGCTTGTTTCCTAATCTATGAAAGGAAAGGGATAGCATCTACTCTACATTTCTCAAAAGGTTATTATGAAGATCTTAATAACAAATATTTGAATATTTAAATGTTCAACATTTGAATATTTGAATAACCAATATTTGAATGTAACCTTAATATTCCAATATTTGAATATGACTTTGAGCCGGGCACTTAAAGTGCCAGTGGCATATGTTAAGAGTTGTGGTAGTAGAGTTGGAGAAAAGTGAACAGATTTGAGATGGTTTTACAAGTAACTCAAAAGAACTTTCTGATGGACCTAATATGGTAGGTGAATAAAAGAAAGTAATCAAAGATAAGACCTAGGTTTTTGTCTTTAAACTGCCAGGCTTGGGGGGGAAGTTCCAAGGTGGCCAAATAGGAACAGCTCCAGTCTGCAGCTCCCAGCATGAGTGACGCAGAGGACAGGTGATTTCTGCATTTCCAACTGAGGTACCGGGTTCATCTCACTGGGGCTTGTCTGACAGTGGGTGCAGGACAGTGGGTGCAGCCCATGGAGCATGAGCCGAAGCAGGGCAAGGCATCGCCTCACCTGGGAAGTGCAAGGGGTTGGGGAATTCCCTTTTCTAGCCCAGGGAAGCTGTGACAGATGGCACCTGGAAAATCTGGTCACTCCCACCCTAATACTGTGCTTTTCCAACAGTCTTAGCAAACGGCACACCAGGAGATTACATCCCATGCCTGGCTTGGAGGGTCCCACACCCACGGAGTCTTGCTCACTGCTATCACAGCAGTCTGAGATCGAACTGCAAGGCAGCAGCGAGGCTTGGGGAGTGGTGCCCGCCATTGCTGAGGCTTGAGTAGGTAAACAAAGCGGCCAGGAAGCTCAAACTGGGTAGAGCCCACCGCAGCTCAAGGAAGCCTGCCTGCCTCTGTAGATTCCACCTCTGGTGCAGGGTATAGCTGAACAAAAGGCAGCAGAAGCTTCTGCAGACTTAAACATCCCTGTCTGACAGCTTTGAAGAGAGTAGTGGTTCTCCCAGCACGGAGTTTGAGATCTGGGAACGGACAGACTGCCTCCTAAAGTGGCTTCCTGACCCCCGAGTAGCCTAACTGGGAGGCGCCTCCCAGTAGGGGCAGACTGACACCTCATACGGCCAGGTGCCCCTCTGAGATGAAGCTTCCGGAAGAACGATCAGGCAGCAACATTTGCCGTTCTGCAATATTTGCGGTTCTGCAGCCTCTGCTGGTGATACCCAGGCAAACAGGGTCTGGGGTGGACCTCCAGCAAACTCCAACAGACCTGCAGCAGAGGGTCCTGACTGTTAGAAGGAAAACTAACAAACAGAAAGGACATCCACACCAAAACCCCATATGTACATCACCATCATCAAAGACTAAAGGTAGACAAAACCACAAAGACGGGGAGAAACCAGAGCAGAAAAGCTGAAAATTCTAAAAATCAGAGTGCCTCTTCTCCTCTAACGGAACGCAGCTCCTCACCAGCAATGGAACAAAGCTGGACAGAAAATGACTTTGACGAGTTGAGAGAAGAAGGCTTCAGAAGATCGGTAATAACAAACTTCTCTGAGCTAAAGGAGGGTGTTCGAACCCCTGCAAAGAAGCTAAAAACCTTGAAAAAAGATTGGAAGAATGGCTAAATAGAATAAACAGTGTAGAGAAGACCTTAAATGACCTGATGGAGCTGAAAACCATGGCACGAGAACTACGTGACGCATGCACAAGATTCAGTAGCCGATTCGATCAACTGGAAGAAAGGGTATCAGTGATTGAAGATCAAATGAATGAAATGAAGTGAGAAGAGAAGCTTAGAGAAAAAAGAGTAAAAAGAAATGAACAAAGCCTCCAAGAAATATGGGACTATGTGAAAAGACCAAATCTACGTCTGATTGGTATACCTGAAAGTGACGGGGAGAATGGAACCAAGTTGGAAAACAATCTTTAGGATATTATGCAGGAGAACTTCCCCAACCTAGCAAGGCAGACCAACATTCAAATTCAGGAAACAGAGAGAACGCCACAAAGATACTCCTTGAGAAGAGCAACTCCAAGACACATAATTAACAGATTCACCAAAGTTGAAATGAAGAAAAAATGCTAAGGGCAGCCAGAGAGAAAGGTCATGTTACCCACAAAGGGAAGCCCATCAGACTAACAGTGGATCTCTCAGCAGAAACTCTGCAAGCCAGAAGAGAGTGGGGGCCAATATTCAACATTCTTAAAGAAAAGAATTTTCAACCCAGAATTTCATATCCAGCCAAACTAAGCTTCATAAGTGAAGGAGAAATAAAATCCTTTACAGACAAGCAAATGCTGAGAGATTTTGTCAACACCAGGCCTGCCTTACAAGAGCTCCTGAAGGAAGCACTAAATATGGAAAGGAACAACTGGTACCAGCCACTGCAAAAATATGCCAAATTATAAAGACCATCGATGCTAGGAAGAAACTGCATCAACTAACGGGCAAAATAACCAGCTAACATCATAATGACAGGATCAAATTCACACATAACAATATTAACCTTAAATGTAAATGGGCTAAATGCTCCAATTAAAAGACACAGACTGGCAAATTGGATAAAGAGTCAAGACCCATCAGTGTGCTATATTCAGGAGACCTATCTCATGTGCAGAGACACACATAGGCTCAAAATAAAGGGATGCAGGAAGATCTACCAAGCAAATGGAAAACAACGACAAAAAAAAGCAGGGGTTGCAATCCTAGTCTCTGATAAAACAGACTTTAAACCAACAAAGATCAGAAGAGACAAAGAAGGCCATTACATAATGGTAAAGGGATCAATTCAACAAGAAGAGCTAACTATCCTAAATATATATGCACCCAATACAGGAGAACCCAGATTCATAAAGCAAGTCCTTAGAGACCTACAAAGAGACTTAGATTCCCACACAATAATAATGGGAGACTTTAACACCCCACTGTCAACATTAGACAGATCAACGAGACAGAAAGTTAACAAGGATACCCAGGAATTGAACTCAGCTCTGCACCAAGCAGACCTAATAGACATCTACAGAACTCTCCACCGCAAATCAACAGAATATACATTCTTTTCAGCACCACACCACACCTATTCCAAAATTGACCACATAGTTGGAAGTACAGCACTCCTCAGCAAATGTAAAAGAACAGAAATTATAACAAACTGTCTCTCAGACCACAGTGCAATCAAATTAGAACTCAGGATTAAGAAACTCACTCAAAACTGCTCAACTACATGGAAACTGAACAACCTGCTCCTGAATGACTACTGGGTACATAACGAAATGAAGGCAGAAATAAAGACATTATTTGAAACCAGTGAGAACAAAGACACAACATACCAGAATCTCTGGGACACATTTAAAGCAGTGTGTAGAGGGAAATTTATAGCACTAAATGCCCATAGGAGAAAGCAGGAAAGATCTAAAATTGACCCCCTAACATCACAATTAAAAGAACTAGAGAAGCAAGAGCAAACACATTCAAAAGCTAGCAGAAGGCAAGAAATAACTAAGATCAGAGCAGAACTGAAGGAGATAGAGACACAAAAAACCCTTCAAAAAATCAATGAATCCAGGAGCTGGTTTTTTGAAAAGATCAACAAAATTGATAGACTGCTAGCAAGACTAATAAAGAAGAAAAGAAAGAAGAATCAAATAGATGCAATAAAAAATGATAAAGGGGATATCACCACCAATCCCACAGAAATACAAACTACCATCAGAGAATACTATAAACACCTCTATGCAAATAAACTAGAAAATCTAGAAGAAATGGATAAATTCCTGGACACATAAACCCTCCCAAGACTAAACCAGGAAGAAGCTGAATCCCTGAATAGACCAATAACAAGCTCTGAAACTGAGGCAATAATTAAGAGCCTACCAACAAAAAAAAGTCCAGGACCAGACGGATTCACAGCCAAATTCTACCAGAGGTACAAAGAGGAGCTGGTACCATTCCTTCTGAAACTATTCCAATCAATAGAAAAAGAGGGAATCCTCCCTAACTCATTTTATGAGGCCAGCATCTTCCTGACACCAAAGCCTGGCAGAGACACAACAAAAAAAGAGAATTTTAGACCAATATCCCTGGTGAACATCGATGTAAAAATCCTCAATAAAATACTGGCAAACTGAATCCAGCAGCACATCAGAAAGCTTATCCACCATGATCAAGTGGGCTTCATCCCTGGGATGCAAGGCTGGTTCAACATACACAAATCAATAAACATAATCCATCATATAAACAGAACCAATGACAAAAACCACATGATTATCTCAATAGATGCAGAAAAGGCCTTCGAAAAATTCAACAGCCCTTCGTGCTAAAACCTCTCAATAAATAAGGTATTGATGGGATGTATCTCAAAATAATAAGAGCTATTTATGACAGACCCACAGCCAATATCATACTGAATGGGCAAAAACTGGAAGCATTCCCTTTGAAAACTGGCAGAAGACAGGGATGCCCTCTCTCACCACTCCTATTCAACATAGTGTTGGAAGTTCTGGCCAGGGCAATCAGGCAGGAGAAAGAAATAAAGGGTATTCAATTAGGAAAAGAGGAAGTCAAATTGTCCCTGTTTGCAGATGAAATGATTGTATATTTAGAAAACCCCATCATCTCAGCCCAAAATCTCCTTAAGCTGATAAGCAACTTCAGCAGTCTCAGGATACAACATCAATGTTCAAAAATCACAAGCATTCCTATATACCAACAATAGATGAGCAGAGAGCCACATCATGAGTGAACTCCCATTCACGATTGCTATAAAGAGAATAAAATACCTAGGAATACAACTTACAAGGGACGTGAAGGACTTCCTCAAGGAGAACTACAAACCACTGCTCAGGAAAGAAGAGAGGACACAAACAAGTGGAAAAAAATTCCATGCTCATGGATAGGGAGAATCAGATCACGAAAATGGCCATACTGCCCAAAGTAATGTATAGAGTCAATGCCATCCCCATCAAGCTACCAATGACTTTCTTCACAGAATTGGAAAAAACTACTTTAAAGTTCATATGGAACCAAAAAAGAGCCCGCATCGCCAAGTCAATCCTAAGCCAAAAGAACAAAGCTGGAGGCGTCGCGCTACTGTACTACAAGGCTACAGGAACCAAAACAGCATGGTACTGGTACCAAAACAGAGATATAGACCAATGGAACAGAACAGAGCCCTCAGAATAATACCACACATCTACAACCATCTGATCTTTGACAAGCCTGACAAAAACAAGAAATGGGGAAAGGATTCCCTATTTAGCAAATGGTGCTGGGAAAACTGGCTAGCCATATGTAGAAAGCTGAAATTGGATCCCTTCCTTACACCTTACACAAAAATTAATTCCAGATAGAGTAAAGACTTAAATGTTTGACCTAAAACCATAAAAACCCTAGAAGAAAACCTAGGCAATACCATTCAGGACATAGGCATGGGCAAGGACTTCATGTCTAAAATACCAAAAGCAATGGTAACAAAAGCCAAAATTGACAGATAGGATCTAATTAAACTAAAGAGCTTCTGCACAGCAAAAGAAACCACCATCAGAGTGAACAGGCAACCTAAAGAATGGGAGAAAATTTTTACAATCTACCCATCTGATAAAGGGCTAATATCCAGAATCTACAAAGAACTTAAACAAATTTATAAGAAAAATCAAACAACCTCATAAAAAACTGGGCAAAGGATATGAACAGACACTTCTCCAAAGAAGACATTTATGCAGCCAAAAGACACATGAAAAAATGCTCATCATCACTGGTCATCAGAGAAATGCAAATCAAAACCACAATGAGATACCATCTCACACCAGTTAGAATGGACATCATTAAAAAGTCAGGAAACAACAGGTGCTGGAGAGGATGTGGAGAAATAGGAACATTTTTACACTGTTGGTGGGACTGTAAACTAGTTCAACCATTGTGGAAGACAGTGTGGCGATTCTTCAAGGATCTAGAACTAGAAATACCATTTGACCCAACATCCCATTACTGAGTATATACCCAAAGGATTATAAATCATGCTGCTATAAAGACACATGCACATGTATGTTTATTTTGGCACTATTCACAATAGCAAAGACTTGGAACCAACCCAAATGTCCATCAATGATAGACTGGATTAAGAAAATGTGGCACATATACACCATGGAATACTATGCAGCCATAAAAAAGGATGAGTTCATGTCCTTTGTAGGGACATGGATGAAGCTGGAAACCATCATTGTGAGCAAACTATCGCAAGGACAGAAAACCAAACATTGCATGTTCTCACTTATAGGTGGGAACTGAACAATGAGAACACTTGGACACAGGGTGGGGAACATCACACACCAGGGCCTGTCATGGGGTGGGGGGGAGGGAGGAGGGATAGCATTAGGAGATATACCTAATGTAAATGACGAATTAACGGGTGCAGCACACCAACGTGGCACATGTGTACATATGTAACAAACCTGCACGTTGTGCACATGTACCCTAGAACTTAAAGTATAATAAAAAAATAAAAATAAAAAAATAAAGTGCCAGGCTCAAAGTCATATTCAAATATTGGAAACATCACTTGTAGTTCCAAATGCATTCACTAAGGAATTTATAGATGGAATTTCTACAAAGAGAAAATTAATAATGGACCAACTAATATTTCTATTGTAATAATAATTATTATTATCATGATTATTTTACTATATACTTCTCCTTAGGAAAATAGTGGTTATCAAAGATGACAGCCCTACAGGAAGAGATAGAAAGAAAAGTCATCTGATGCTCCTTTATTCACGTTTTTCTATTTCAAATATGGAAAAGCTGGCCTTATTATTTAGCTTTGTACACTTATAGAAAATTTGAGAATAAGAAATGCATTCGTAATAAATGGGCTCTTTTTTCTAGGAAAGAAAAAAAAGTATCTTTCATAAACCTGGGGTGATATTTTTTTAAATACGCTTTCACATACAAGCCCAGGGATTATGTTCTGCTAAAAATAATGAAGATGCAGATATTAAGGTTCTGTGTAGTTTTTAGTCAAGAAAAAAAAAGCTCTCAGAAACAGCTACACGGTTGATAAAGTGTGGTTGAGTTTCCCTTCGACGACTTGTCACAGAAGGGCACCAGCAAGTCCTGTGGCTGAATTTTACAAATCACTAAGCAAGTTTTGGAGCGTTAACATATTGAGGGAGAAGAAATATAATAACAAAGGTGATTGTCCCACATCCTTCCTGGTGGATTCAGGAAGATGGAAAATATTTCTTTTCTGTATACAAAAGAAAGAAAAAGAGTCCTGAAGGGGACATTCACCATCAGGAACTTTAGGTTAACAGAGACAAGACCTCAATCAATGAGCCTGAGAATTGCTGGCATGGTAACTCCTGGGTTGCTGCTGCTAAAAGTTCCTGGTAGATACCAGGCTAAGAGATATATCAAAGAAAGAATATTTATTATCGTTCTCATTCTAATAAAAGCCTGGATATTGCATACCAAGTGTTTAAATACAAATTTCCCTGTCACTTGTTCTACTTAGAATGGAAGGGCAAGGTCCTTTTTACATTGCAAGACATTGCAATATAGCAAATAAATTACAACCAAGGGCCACATGGGGTAACAGTTTAAAGTGTAATTAAACTCTGTGTATTTAAAAGAAAAACAAGTATTTCATATATCTGATATTAAAATGGAAAAGAAGGATACACTCACAGGCCACATGGAAGTAAAAAAATAATTGTTTTATGAAAGAGGCCAATGAGATTTAAAAATATGATTGTAAAATTAAAAACTGGGAACAAATACTTATTTTCATATTATATCAGTTTGATAGTAAGGTAAGTAAGGTCATAGAAGGCAAGAAGAGGATTAGGAAAAGAGAAAAGAGAATGAGGAGAAAAAGAGACAGGCAAGATGAAGGATAGGAGGAGGGAGAAGGGGAAAAATGGGGCGCACCAGGGGAAGCCATTACACAAAAGGAACGGCAGGTGTGGGATGTCCAAAAAGAAGAAATTAAGAGGACAAGACAAATAAATGGAAAGAGGAGAGGAAACACAGAAAGACTAAGAGAAAAGAGGAGATGTTGAGATAGCCAGCAGTTCAGGGGACTCTGAAGCATGATAGATAAATGCATTTAACTATTCCTTTGAGCTTTGGAGCATTAACTGTTGTGATCACTGTCTTTGGAAATGTCATTTAGCTGTTTAACAAAACTGGTCACAGATGACTTTAGAAGAATTGCGGGGGTTAAGTAGTTTCTAGGGTAATGGTAGATAATCCAAATAAAAATATCTTGAGTCCAAAAACAAATCTGACAATCTTGGAGGACACTTCCTGGAAGCAAGTAGAGAAGTACAGACTAGAAAAACATAAATATTCTGTGCTCTTGGTTCTTCAGGGGAAAGCAGAAGTGGTGGTGGTGGCAGAGCATTTGCTTTCACCAAAGGCTGAGCTCTGGCTCTTTACATACATTAATGTGCTTCAAGTTACCACCCTTACATCAGAGAGTTCCCAGCCTGACCTTTTATATTCTCCCTAGCAAATCACTCTGCCTTGCCCAAAAGATATCACCACGGTGATTTAAATAAACATATGAAATGCAGAATACATTTTCTTTGCTCCAACATTGCCATTATTAACTACATCATCACCACTGGAGTCACAGTCTTTCTCTCCTGCTCCATCCTTCCAACCTTGTTCATTCCTCTTCTCTACTGGTAATAGATGAATTGCTTGATCCCCTGAACCTTCATGTCTCCAACAGTCACAGCCTGGAGCATGATAGCCCTGCACCTGACCAGTTGACCAGGGAACCTGTCCTACCCTTATGTATGAGAAAATGCAAGGACTCTTGGCCTACAAGTGCCCTAGCTCAGCATTATTTTATTTATTTATTTTGAGATGGAGTCTCACTCTATCACCCAGGCTGGAGTGCAGAGGCGTGATCTCGGCTCACTGCAACCTCCACCCCCTGGGTTCAAGCGATTCTCCTGCCTCAGCCCCCCTAGTAGCTGGGATTACAAGCACCTGCCACCGTGCCCGGCCAATTTTTCTATTTTTAGTAAAGACAGGGTTTCACCATGTTGGCCAGGCTGGTCTTGAACTCCTGAACTCATGATCTACCCACCTTGGCCTCCCAAAGCGCTGGGATTACAGGCGTGAGCCACTGCGCCTGGCCCCTAGCTCAGCATTATTAGCTAAACCCCCTGGTCCTAATCTGACCTTGTAACCCAGTGCTGGTATTTAGGCCACTTACCCTGTGACTGAATTTTTCATTATATTCCTGATATGGTTTGGCTGTGTCCCCAGCCAAATCTCATTTCAAATTGTAACTCCCACAATTCCCACATGTTGTGGAAGGAATCTGGTGGGAGGTGATTGAATTATGGGGGCAGATCTTTCCTGTGTTGTTCTCATGATAGTGAATGAGTCTTCCAAGATCTGATGGTTTTAAAAATGGGAGTTTCCCTGCACAGGCTCTCTCTTTGCCTGCCACCATCCACGTAAAATGTGACTTGCTCCTCCTTGCCTTCTGCCAGGAGTGTGAGGCCTCCTCAGCCACGTGGAACTGTGAGTCCATTAAGCCTCTTTTTCTTCCCAGTCTCGGGTATGTCTTTATCAGCAGCATGAGAATAGACTAATACATTTCCTTTCCCTCATTTATTCATGTAACATATAACATTTTTATTGAGTATCTACCTACTATGTGCTAGGTACCATGCCAAACACAGGGAGTGCTACAAAGCCAAGAAAATCATAGCATCTGCCTTCAAGGAGCTCACAGTCTAATGGAGAGAAAGACAGGTGAGCCAAAATTAAAGCAACCAAAACTGGAATAAATAGCAAGAGTCATACAGATAAATTACTATGGAAGTTAGTGGAAAAAAGAATGAACTTCCATGGAGAGTTTGCCATTCTCATTATTTATCTTGACAAAGTCATAGTCTAGGCCTCATTCCAGTCTGGCTCCATGAGCCTGCATCCAGTGCATTCACCCAGGGTCCTGTGCCAAGAAGAGTCCCCAAACCCACCCTTGAAGTTTAATGCACTACAGTCATTATCTTGAAATTCTTAATAATTTTATTTTGGAATTTTTATTTTGTACATGAGGTCTGATGGAGCATGCCTCAGAGGTTCACATACAGTCCAGCCTCCTGATGGGTTCTCAGCCTCTGCCTCCTGCCCTAGCTCCATGAGCCCTGCCTTGTTCTATTCAGGGCTGCAACAGGGTCAATGAACAGAGATACCTGTGTTCTACTGTTGCCCTCTGTGTCTAGCAGGGTCCAGGGTATGGGTATGGGGAGAGTCAGTGTCCCTGGGTAGGGAAAGGCCCTGGCCATCTTGGGATGTCCCCACCCCAGGCCGGCAGCACCATGGCATGTTCATTAAGTGACTCTATGGGGGCTTCCTGCCCACCCCTGATCCAGGTAGCAAGCTTGTCAGGCACAGAGGTTGTCATCTTTTGGGGCTTGCCCATCTACCATGGGTCGGGTGGCTGCCTGCAGGGGCTGGCCTAGGGAAGGGGAGATTGACTTCCCTGTCCCTAGAAAGACCCCTGTTTTCATTTTTCACTGAGTCCTATAAATTATGTAGCTGGGTCTGATCCCAGTTCTTGACCTTGTAACCCTCAGAGCTTAGAGGCAACAATCTCATTAGCAAATTTCCTACCTCCAGTGTCCTATTTCCCAGAGTCCTATTCTCCAATCCATTCTGAAGAGTGAAAACTGAAACAGGAAGAATCATCTCCCTGTGCCATTCTGATCCCTTTCCCAAAGCCTAACTGGCTTTCCCTCTCAGATTTTGTTATGGGCAGTTAATCATGCACACAAGCACAGGCCTGTGAAAATCATGACCTGCTGGAGAGGACGCTCACCACTTAAAGGCCCTGGACTTTGACGGCATGCAGTGACTGGATGGGACTGGGGCTGGGGCCCACTCTGGGTCAGGTTGAAGCTACATTTGCCAGCCTCCCTGCACTTGGCTATGGCCACATCCCTGGGTTCTAGAGTCTAGAAAGACATTGAAATATGAGCAAGAAATGTGTGCCACTTCCTGACAGGACAGGAAAATCTCTCATTTCATTTCCCATTTTTCTCTGTCTCTTCCCTCATCTGCTGATGGGCTGTTAATGCTGACAGCACCCTTTGAACCCCTGTGTTGAGGCTCAGGAAGGAAAGAATCCTCTCTTGGAGGAGAGCCATCTATCAATCAGGAAGACTGTGCTGAGCCTCAGAAGAGTGAGAAATGAGCTTCCATTGTGTTACTCCTGTGTGCCACTGAGCTTTGGAAGGGTATCTGAGAAAGCAAATATGGTTTCTTTAAGTAATGATTAGTACATATATGGAAAAAAAATAAAAGAAAACAAAAAGAGAAGAGAAAAATTAGTCATAAGCCCACACTCAGAGATTACCTCTATCAATGTTTTGGCATATTGACCTCCACCCTTTGACCATGCAGTATTCTAATTTCTTTTTACTGAGCCCAAACAAAGTGACAAACAGTGTTAAGCACTTTTCAGGTTTAATCTTGGCAACCTCTTAAGACAGAAGGTATCATTATCCTCATTTTAGAATTGCAGAAACTAGCAACTAGAGAGGTAAAATATGGCACAGCCCTTGGATATGGTGGAACTGGGAATCGAATTCGGTCTGATTCTGAAAATGATGCACTCCACCATTTCCCTTATGCGTCTGTTGTTACTGTTAAGAAAACTGAGATTCTGTTGAATAAACTTTGTTCACTTAATAGTATTCTCTGAGCAATCTCCTATGATTAAATATTCCCTTTTATAATATATCATAATTGATTCATCCAACCCTCTAGTTGGATGTTTGGATTGATAATTTATTATTATTATAGATAATACTGCAACAAGTATTCATATAGACAAATCTTTGCACATACCCATAAAATTTTTCTTAGCATGACTGGAATTGTTACATAAGCCATTGTAAATATTCTTTTTTTTTTTTTTTTTTTTTTTTGAGACAGAGTCTCACTCTGTCACCCAGGCTGGAGTGCAATGGTATGATCTTGGCTTATTGTAACTTCTGCCTCCTGGGTTCAAACAATTCTCCTGCCTCAGCCTCCCAAGTAGCTGGGACTACAGGTGCGTGCCACCACACTTGGGTAATTTTTTGTATTTTTAGTAGAGGCGAAGTTTCACCATATTGGCCAGGCTGGAGAAGTTGTGACTATTCTTAAGGCAGTATACGGTTCTTGCCAAATTATCCTATATCAGTTGTGGTTGGCAGAGTCGGGCAGTGGGGGTGTGATTTTACTACCAGGGGATATTTGACAATGTCTGGAGACTTTTTAAATTGTCCAGACTAGGCAAGTATCTAGTGGAGAGAGGCAAGGGATGCTACTAAACAACCATCCTACAATGCACAGGTCACCCTACCTCCAACAAAGAATTATCTGTCCAAGATGCCAATAATACCCCTGTTGAGAAAGCTAACCCACATAATGACCTCATCAGTGTGTGTCAGTCTTGAGACAAAATAAAGTTTATAATAAAGTCTCTTCCACTTACTCAAACATGATCTACCAAGCGTCTACTCTATGCCAGATCCCGTGGTAGGTACTAAGTTAGAATTCAAGCATGAGGGTGAGATAAATAGGGAAGAGTAAAGAGAGGAGGTGGCTCGGAAGCAAAGTTTGACTTCACTTGGTAGTAAGAAAGCATATCTATTCCATTTTATACCTTCATATCTTTCTATATAATTTTCTATTAAATTATTTCCATGCGATTCTTCATTAAATATATAACCTCACAAGGTAGTCACAAGAAATGATTAATATTGCTATATTGCTACCTACAGGAATGGTTGATCCTGATTCTTTTTAGGCTATTTCTGAAGAACAAAATTAGTTTTTTCTTCAACAGAAACCCAAAGTCTTAAGTATGAAACATTCTTATAATGACAGTAGCTCTTCTTCCCCCAGTTGACCTTTTTGTTCTTTAACATAGCAAATAATCTTAATTTGGTTAAGTCAGAGGTAGAAAAATATTTTCCTGCCCTTTATATTTTAAAACTCCTTTCTATCTATTCACAGCAGGCATGAGTAAAAGAAAGGATCAAATCAGAGGCTGTTCCTCTTGTTCATTCATTTTAAAAATGAATGGCAAAAGAGATTGGGGAGAGATGCCTCAGCTTCCAGCTGTTCGTCTCCCTGCTTGGTTAATTCATGGCACATTGGCTGCCACTGGTTCCTCTCTTTGCTTCTCTGCATGATAATTTTAGGGTTATGATAAAAAGGAGGGCTATGGCTAGGGCTGTCTTGGGCTTTCAAAGCCAATGATCAAAGATGGGGAAGTGAGAGAATCTGACTCCAGTCTCATATACCTGAAGACAGAAAAAAAAAAAAAAAAAGAAGCTACCTTAGCAGTTGCACAGAGTAACAGAGTGTGCACCCTCTCACTTAGTGGTTCTCTGGAAGCAAAAGGAAAAAGAGGCTAACAGGGAAGTGTGAGTAGCCATAAAGGTGGCCATTAGAAAGAGGGAATTAGAGCTTCACTTTTCCAGAGGACTTTATTCAGAAAAGAACAAAAATCTGGACTGGTTTCTTGAGCAACCCTGGGATAATCTTTCCCACAGTGTCCCAAGCCTGCAGTTCTTAATGCCATTACAGCTGTTATGAAAACTTTAAATATGTAATCATGCATATTAAGTTGCCAAATACCCATAAAAACTGTTAGTTCATTAAACTGTGCATACCCATTTAAATGAAAAAGGAGTACCATTTAATTTTTTAATTGAAAAATGTAAAGGTTAAAACATTCTGGTAATCTGATAAAGTAGTACATGCAACATAAATGCAAAAATGTAATGCTAGTATTAAAAGTATCATCATTTCCAAACACAAAAACATAAAGAAAGCCTATGTTTTATATAAGGAATAGTCAACACATCTGCAATAAAATTGTGTCATAGATATACTTAGCCTACTAAATTATTAGATCTTGATTATAGGCATGAGATTTAGTGTTCATTTATTCTTTAATGCCAGCTGCTAGAATTGATTTAGTTTGCAAGTGCTTGAGCCAAATACCATCATTTTTAAAAATTTTTAATATTTTGACAACAAAACTACAAATCATCAACTTGGAGATTTCATATGGGGATTTATTTCACAGAGACCCAATGTATACTTCGGAAATTGCATTTTGTACTAGAAAAATAGGCATGTTGATCAATTGTAACAAGAAATTTAACATATCTGTGTTTGTCAAAGGTAGAATATTTATTATGGACTCTAAATCCTGACAGCATAATATTCATTTAAAGGATTTGATCTCTTTACATTTTAAAGTAATCATTTCTTGTGTTTCAGGGATTATGTATGTGTGGTACTGTGTTAAACAGTACCTAGGATTTGTTTTAATGGGGTATGGTAAAGCAAACACAGAAATGACTGTCATGAAGAAAGTTCATACTCACAGACCCTAGAAACGGGAGGCATGGCACACTGTGCAGGGCCGCATAGGGAAAGGCCAGGGTCAGTCCAGAGGCAGAAACAGGGCAGAGCATGGCACAGAACCTTTACTAGGGTCTTCAGGGAAGGATGAACTAGACAGGGTAGGTAGCTGAGTAAGTTTAGGATTGGCTAGTTTGAATAATTTTGGCAAACTATGGGCTATAGGAGTGGTCTTTAGTTGTTGGGTACCTGGCCCTGGGTGATTTAGGGCAAGGAGAATATTGTCTGGGTGTATGAGATTTTGATAAAGGAGATAGTTAGGGCTCTGGATCGGCTGATTTATATATCAGAGGTACCCTCAAAAGGGAGTTCTTCACTCTCTCCAGAAATTAGCTAGCCCTGGGAGGGGCATTCTCTCCAGGGTCGTAAGCCTCAAATGCTAGAACATCAAGAACACAGAAAATGTGGAATTATAGTCAATACAGGTACTACCACATTTTAGATCAAAACTCTCCTATTATGTTCAAAGCCCTTTCCAAAGACAACACTGTGAATAAAGCCTTCTGGACTGTGTATTTTAAAACATTAATAAGGCCTTACATTTCTGACTTTATCCATTGGAAAATGCTTTTCCATTATCTCATTGCCATCTAATGATTAGATTTGATGATTAGAGGTTTACAAAATACTATGGGGTAGACATGTCTGAACATATTATCCCTATATTATAGCTAAAAAACTAAGGCAGAACTGGGAATAGAACCACAATTCCTGACTGTAAGTCTAGAGCATGTTCTGTCACACTCTGATGCCTTTTACAGTTTAACAATGTTATTAGTAACCTAAGAATTCAATTGTCAGGCAAATGGATTTAATGAGGTTGTACAGAGAACAGGTTGCACAAACTAGATCAAAGTCACCTCTTCGCTGTAGGTGTGTTCGGCCAAGGTTACCTTTTATGGACTGTCTTTGGGGATACAGAATCTCACGAATAAACAGAATAACTTGAAGAGAATAAGGGAGTCAGCTCCCTCACTTACCAACGGAGTCACTTTAAGCAAATTACTTAAACTGTCCAAGCCTCAGTTTCTCCTTTTGTAAAATGGGTGTGGTCATAGTTACCTCAGGGGATTGTTGAGAGGATTAAAAGAGACAATGCTTGCTAACGAGCTGTGTGGCTCAAAGTTAGTACTCCATAAATGAAGTTACTATTCATCCACAGTGAAGCTTCCCTCTACCTTCTGTTATTATGTTAAAAAAAAAAAAAAGTAGACACCCTGCCGGGCTCAGTGGCACACATTTATAGTCCCAGCTACTCATGTGGTTGAGGTGGGAGGATCACTTGAGCCCAGGAGTTTTAATTCAGCCTGGGCAACATAGTAAGATCTTGTCTCTAAAAAAAAGAAAAAAATAGACACCCTAAAGAGGTATCTCATAGGTTTCCCCTTTTTTTTTCTTCAGGAAAAAAAGATTTTTTCTCCTGAATTTGCGACAGCCTTTAAGCTATATTTTATGATAGGAAACATAATTTGTCATTAATATATGAAACCACTGTTCAGTCAAAAACAACCAATTAATGAAAAAAACCTCAGGAATTATAGAAAGTATATTTTTTAATGCCAGAAAACCTTCTTTACTATTTTAATCCAAATAAATAAATATAGCCTCAATGCCTATAAATGACCAGGAACTGAAACTTCTCCTAAAATATTAGCAACTTAACCCACTCTTTTATGATTAAACTGCCTTTATCTGATTAAAATTTCACTTTCCAAAAGAATGTGGTTATATGGCAAAATACTACCCTTAAAATAAGCAGCAAGCAATGTACCTCAAGGACCTTGTTGACTTTCCTATAAAACAACTAAAAGCTGTTTCAGAGAAAAGTTTGTATGACTCTTCAACATTATATTCAACATGAAACCCTAACTTCCAAATTAAGCCAGGCTTGTCAATAAACAGGTGACCCAAACCTCAGGAACCAAAATAAATTGGTCAGAATAGTAAACATTTAGCTTATGGGTTGGGAAAAAAATTTAGTTAACCTTAAATTACCTTTACATGATTCTGTAGGAACTGTGCCTTTCTGTAATCTATCCTCATGTACAAAGCAGCAAATGTAATTTGTCCTTGTGTTTATCACGATCATGTGTCTGTCAGGAAGAGAGGCTGAAATAGCAGAGTTTCCTACTTCAAACACAAAATCAACTCTGGTTCTGGGCTAGTGAACATGTTTGCGCGCTTGGGGGAATTTTTTTTAAACACTGTGCAAAGCTGGAATAAGATTTCATGAAACTCCTTTATAATATCAGTGTTGGAGTAGGATCAACATCTGCCTTTTTAGACAAATCTCAGCAACTCAATAACATGAGTGTAGACCATATCTATCAGCACTGGCTCATCAGGGAACGAAGCACTCTCATCGCTGAATTTTCTAGACACCCAAAATTAATTCCTCCTGAGGCAAACACTTTCAATGTGATTATTTCAATGGAGATTATTCCAAAAAGAAAACTGAAATTCAATGAAGTACTAAATATTGTTATTCATATTATTAGAAAATATATATAATAAATATATATCAGCATATTATAATGCATTCTTAAATACAATTTTATGTATAATTTTTTGTGTTGTTTTCCAACTCCTCTCTTCAAGGATAAGGCACTCAGCTCTCTCTTCTCATATCATGAGAAGGCAAGCAGGTTCTAAATGAGCAAAGATGGAGAAGAAGTAGTCCTGGCAGAAAGGATGCAAAATACAGGAATAGAAAAGCACTATCTGGGCATTGAAAACAGCCTATAATTTAATTAGGATGGTGCTGAGGCCACATGAAGGGCTGAAGTAGACAAGGCTGGATTAAGATTGAACTTCTCTACCTTAGACTCCATATGACTCAGATTCAGGGCCCGCTTCGTGAGCATGTGACCAGTGCAGTGGCATGAAAGACCCCTGCTTGAGGTTTAATGCTATGCTGTGCGAGATTCTTAATACTTTTTATCATTGAATTTGTGCTTTGTAAGCATAGTCCAATGGAACAATGGAGTATGAGCCCCAGAGTCCAGAACCTTGGTTCACATACAGTCTCCCCTCCCACTGCCTGCCCAGGACTGGTTTTTGGCCACCTGATCCCCGCTCCATGGTGTCCCAGGCCTCACCCATCCTTCCCAGTCTCACCTCTGCCCTTAGCAACCAGGTCACATGGGCTGAGGGAGAGGCCCACATTCATGTCTGCCATTGCACTCTGCTCTTAGATGGGGTCTAGGGAGGGTACGGAGAAGGGCAGGTGCATGCCCCACACCACCTCAGGGAAGTGCAAGGATGTGGCCCTCCTCACCCAGAGCTGGCAGCAGCATGGCACCTCAGGCAGGCAATTCAGCGGGGGCCCCTTGCCCACCTTCAATCCAAATACTGAGAATGCCTCAGCCTAGAGGTTGCAATCCCTTCGGACTCTCAGACTGGAGCTTGCTATGGATTAGGGGACAGACTCTTGGGAAGGGGAGACTGACTTCTTTAACCCCGGCCAGAGTCCTGCTTTACCATCTTGCACTAGGCTCCACAGATTATGTAGCTGGCCCTACTTAGAATCTTTCCCCTTAACCCAGCTTCTCTCCCTGTTCTGGATAAAGGCATCACACTTCCTCATATCTCCTGGGTTTAGAATCTGAGTCATCATTGCCCTCCCTCCCTCCTTTCCCAAATCCAAACCCACAGGCCACTTCCCATCTGTCTCCTTCTGCCCATTCCCACTGTTCATGCTTGAGTTTAATTGTTCATCATGGCTCCACCAGACCATGACAGTAGACTCCTAATCATTTCCACAGCTTTGAGCCTCTCCTTGTTCAATCCATTCAGCTGCTGCCACCAGGTTACCCAAAACACCACTTTGATCATGCTAAGATATTTTTAATGGCTCCCTGTGGCCTACTCTTGGTGAAGTTCAAACTCTTTAGCTAGGTGTTCAAAGTCCTTCCTTCTTTTGTCCTCACCTTACTTTTGCAAATCATTCTATGACAATAGAATGTCATATATATGCAATATGCAATATTTTGGCCAAATTAAACCACTCACTCTCCCTTATACATATTTTATGCTTGGTCATCACTGTGTCTCTGCTAAAGCTATTTTGTTGGACTTGGAATCACTTCTCCCTACCCCACAACTATCTCTAACTGGAAAATCTAATCCTATTTATAGCTGGAATGGTGCCTCCTCCATGAAGTCTTTCATTATGAGCCCAGTCACAAAGTGACTCCATACTTGTCCAAGACTAACATCATTTAGTTTGTACAGCTTGGTACTAGTTTTTTGTGGACAGTACATGGCTGTCTACTGTACACCCTTGGAGAGCAGAAGCATATCCTGCCCTTTGTACACCGATAGGCCCTCTACCCAAGGCCTTGGGGATAATGGGCTCTTTCTGTGCATGTTTGTTGGAACTAATGAATAAATGAAGCTGTTGTGTAAACAGATCAGGCCTTCTGAAAGGCAGGCGCACCTGTAACCCTTCAGCGTCATCCCCTTTCCTGCTCTCAGTTCATCTAACAAAACATCCTGCTGCTTTTCACACCCAAGCCCATCAAACACCTGTATTATCATTATCAACACTGACAAAAATTCACCTCACGATTTTTATGAATGTTTAAAGTGCTATATTCTGAATGCTTAGAATAATCTCAGAGAACACCTGTTACTTGAATGCTCTTATTTTCAACCTCTTGAGGGCAATTTTTTCATTACTATATTAAAGTGGACTGTTAAATAACTTATAACTATCTGGGGAAAGGTATACTGCAGTCACTATGATCTGGACTGGATACCTAAAAATGAATGTTTTTTTTTTTTCCATTTACGATTTATTTTTTTCCTAATTTCAAGTCTGTCTTTTAGGACTAATTGAGGAAAGTAATGCAAAATAATGAAATAAACTGAGGGGTTTTGGGCTGTCAGAACTTCTATTCAATTTTAGCATTTCATTAAATATTCTACCCTTGACTCCAGAATGCCACGCTTATCATCATAATTTTGTCTCTTCAATGCCTTTCTCTTGCCCATATTAGGAACCCCCAAGAGTATCATCAATATAATTATTAAATGATTAAATTTGGAAATTCTGTGTGATAAAAAAAAAACCTTACCTCCTGAAGAAAAAATACACTGTCTGAAGCTGAGCAAGAAACACCTTAAAAATATAGTAGTTAACAAAGAATCAGGAAGGATGGTTACATATTTACATAGAAACTTCAAGATGCTTGCATATATGGTACAAATTAAAACATCATCACAAAAGAACATGTATTTGGAAGGTTGTCGGTTTTCATTAAGAGAAATCTGTAACACCAGGAAATGCAAAGGATGGAGGAAAATGCTAGAACTGGGGAAGGATGCAACATCCTTCCCTACAACAACCCTATAAAAAGTTTATACTGCATGTCTTACTAACAGGAACAAAGTATAGAACTTTTGATAGGCTAGGATATAGTGTTACCAAACCACATTTAGGGACATTTTAAGTAGAGAATGGAAGGATAGATATTTTCATGTTCCTTGAATGTAAACCTGGTTTCAAAATACTTAATTTAAGGGTGGAGCATGGAAAAGATTAGGCTGGTCAAAATGTGCTGACTTCACATCTCAGTTCCAGATAAGGAGAAAAACAATATAAAATAAGGTAAACAGAAAGAAAAAGAATATCAGCAAACTAGGTATCATCATTATCTTCATAAACTGTAACCATTTCCTGGGTAATTGCAATGTACCAGATATTATTTTAGGGGCTTTGACACAATATCTCATTTTATTGAGATAAACAAAAATAATCTTTGCTAGGTAGGTATTATTGTCCCCATTTTATGGGTGAGGAAATTGAGGCTGTGAGAGATTAAGAAATTCTCCAAGGTCACACCATTGGTGACTGTAGCGTCCCATAATAAAGAAAAAAAAGTAGCTTTATCAAAGAAGAGTAGCATAAGTAAAATGAAGAAAACTACACCAAGTTAAAAATACAGAGATACATAAAAGAAGCCAATGGAAAAAGAAAAGAGAAACTTTCTAACCAAATGAAAACAAGGTAAACCAAGGGTAAATTCCCAACCCATACAGCACGTTTCCCCTACCTGCCTTTTGCCAGTCCTCCCAACAACCCAGTCCCCTTTTGTGGCCATCATTACTACTCTGGGGGGAAAAGGGAAAAAAAAAAACTCCTCTTTCCCAATGTCAGCTTCCAAAAATATTAAAAGGCAACTTTGCTTTACACTCTGCAGAGTAAGGGTAGAGCCCACAGGAAGCATCAGCTGCTGAAAACCTGCTTTCCCCTGCCTGTGATGACACCTACAGCCACAATTCTAGACAGCAGCAAGACAAGTTAACTGTTGAAGAGGCTAAGAATTATGCTCTTAAAGAAAGGACAGTATGAAATAAAGGTTAGGGCCTGAAAGAGGACGGTAAGAAATAAAAGCTATAGAAATGGGAGAAAATCAATTGGGGATGAAGTTCAAAAGTAAGGGCAATAAAGAGAAAAGGCTGCAACCCTAGGCTGGAATAAGTATCATTGAACTAGGAAGGGATTTTTCTTTAGCCCAAGCATACAAAAAGGATGTGGGAAAAAAAAATTGGAAAGAAGAAAATGTGTGATTGTTTTATTTCTCTAGAAATAATAATTTGTGACAAAATTTTTATAGAATCTTCAACATATGAATTATTAAATGCTTATATTTCTTCTCATAGCTTTCTAGGATTGTAGAGGAATAAACACTTGTTGAAAACCACTCATTGTTGCTTCACCTACACCTTTTAAAGTTTCCAAGAAAGATACAATGAATAATGCACTTAGTCTATAATAAAAAGTTAACAAAAATGGTATTTTGAGAAACATCCTTTAATATTAAAGTGTTAGGTTGGCAGATATCTCACAAAAATATGAAACTTGGCTTTAGTACAAGCTAGTCAATTTTCTATGTAAAATTGTCAACTTTCAGATGAAATAGATAAAATTTTACCTTTAGTGTCCTTCCCACTCTTTTTGCTATTCTCAGCAACAGCAACTAAACTCTAGAGAAACATGTAGCTCCCTGAGACCACTGGAAGAAGTACTTACCAGATGACTATAAAACTTTCCTAACCAAGGATGAGAATTTTTAATTCTTATGAACCCTGAAGAAGTCTCATAGAAAATAACATCAAGTCTCATCATATTCAGTGAATAAGTACTGAAGAAATTAGAATGGACTGGTTTCAGATCCAGCATCTAATATCAAGTTCAAAATGCTGTGAAAATGAAAGGCTCAGAAAACCCAGATGAGAGCATGTTGGGTTTCCTTTTCCACTTGAAACTAACATGTTTACCCTGCTGATGGCTTTGGAGTTGCTAAAAAATTATCAATATTTGTTGTTTGTTTCATAAATTAAAAACCTACTTGCTCAGTCCTATCAAAGCTGACTACAGATAATGCTATATTTGAGCCTAAAGATAACTAGCCCCTCTATCTGTCCAATCTTTCTAATCTTAATAACAGAAACAGTTACGATACTAAGAAGGCACAAGTGAGTCACAGGACCATTTTTCCCCTGACATTCCTCTTCTTTTCCTCTTTTCCCTAGCTTACCACTTGTGCAACTCTAATCTAGAGAAGGGAACAGGGAAGTAGTTAAGCACTTTGTTCTCTTTCCAATATTGACTTAGAGAATGAAGCATTATGGTCCCCAAAAGACACCAAAGACACCAAAATGCTCATCTTAACACCGGAATTCTGGAGCACACATCTTTTTCTAGCAACTCACAAACACATACTAAAACCACACATTGACATATTAAAGAGAGGAGGAGGGAGCTGTGGATGCCAGACCAGCCAAAGTGTCAGTGTTAAAGACAAAGTGTCTTGACAGAGAAATACGTGGTGTTATTGGGTGATATATTAACTTCCCACAAGCCATTGGGTGTTAAGAAAGGACCAACACATCAAAGATGCCGTAGTAACATTCTAACTAGTCTAAACTCGGGAATTTAAATAGCAAAATTTGTATTGTAAAGAGCCTAAATTAATGTGTTCCTGGATGCCAGATGATAACCGAAGGCTTATCTCCCAAGCCAATGGGGCTCTGGGAGAAGGGGACAATGCAAAGTCCTACCTGGTAGGCATCAGGAATGTTGACCGTTTCTCCATGCTCCCCGACATAGCCAATGATACCTTTGCCCCAGGGGACCTGCACCTCATTTGAGTTCTCTGTGCTGCTGCAAGGCAGCAGAGGTGTTCCTGCATGCACATCAAAGAATTTGGAGACCAAGGTCTTCTTGCCAGCAGCTGCCCCTTCCACCAGGAAAAGAGAGCAGCGGTCAGCATCCACCATAAGGCAGACAAAGATGAGAATCTTGTAGCTCAGGCTGGTGAGGTCAAGGTCATTGGAGATATCTTTGACCAATTCCAGAAAGAACTGACGCTCATTATGCTTTTTCAGATGGCACTTGTAGTCGATGGCTGTAGGGGGATACCGAGGCAGATTCACTCTCGATTCCAGCAGCGCACTGAGAATATGGGCTGTGGTGGGGGGCAGGGAGCTTGCCTTCCGGAGAAGTGCCCTCCGTCGTACACTACTCAGGGGTTCCTGAGCCCGGGAGGTCACCTGTTCATCGTAGGTCCTGTTCACGTGGATGGCCTTGGAGCGGGCAAAACTCTTCCTTAGCTCTTTCTGAGAAGCTCTCCGCTGCAGGTTCCCATCGCCCCTGCTGCCACCGGCCCAGCTGGGACTCAAGGGAACCCCACCACAGTCCCCGCCACCGGGAAGGGGCTGGCTGTGGGCAGAGCCATTTGGTCCAGTGCCACCACCAACGCTGCTGCCACCTCTGCAGGTGCTGTGAGCCAAGCTGCTGGTACCAGCCAAAGAGGGCCTTGGACCTAAAGCCCCCTGACCCTGACTGTGCCTCTGCAGCCACTTTTCAACCATCTCCTGCTTCCCCTTCCGCATCAAGTAATCTTCAAACAACTCTGGGTGCCTGTCCAGGAAAGTTTCCACCTCCCCAAAGTCCAGGCGGGAGGCTGCCATGGTCCCAGACAGCTTTCCTTGCCTGTTTACACGTGAACCAAATGTTTTCCTGCCCCGAGGCCTCTAGCTGTTCCTGCACATGTTCACCCCCACCAGTATTCCCAGTTCAGCGCCACCTCCCCTGGAGATTATTCCCAGCAGTGGAATCTGGGAGATGCCCCTTCCTTCTCTGGCTCAGAGTGGCTGGCGCCGACCCCACCCCGTGGTCCTGCTACTCCTGCTCCGCACAGGTGCCCAGCACTGAGCTGCCGCCGCTGCCCCGGCTCCTGTTCCGGAAACCCGAGCTATCGCTGCTCCTGTTCTGGCTGCCGCCGCTGCTGCTGGAACTGCTGCTGTAACCGGATGAGTGGACCGCTGTGACAGGGAGGTAGGGCAGGACACGCCCCTGAGTGAGGCACGGAGCCTGGAGGGAGGAGAGAAGAGGAGGGAGCCGCGGACGCCAGACCAGCCAAAGTCCACGGCCCAGGCTGCCAGGCGGTTCCTGGAAGAGTCTCTGGACGGCCGGAATCGGCGCCTGGGTACAGGACTCCTGATTGGAACACGATTAGAAGAGGGAAACGCACCTTGTTCCTTCCCCGCTTCTTGCTCCCTTACCTCCCCAACCCTCCCTACTCACCGCGCCCCTTAATCCGTTAGCGTTTCGAGGAGGCCCAGCGGGAGCCCAGTGGGAGTCCGAGATACAAGTGTTGATGTTTTGCAGGGATCTGAACACAGAAGCGGACTCCGAGGAATCGAGAGTGTCGTTCACCCTCAGAGACAGGCAGGGTTATTTTTCTGGGATGTGACTGTGGATTGTTGGTTCCCAGGATTCCTGGGACTTGCTCACTAACACTGCCCAGCGCCTTGTGGGTGCTCAGTAAATATTAATGGAATGGCATTTCCCCGAAAATAGCAAATAAAGTTTCCGATGTGAGCAATTCATGACTTTAACCAAATTCATGTACCTGGGGCAGAGACAGATTACACAGAGAAAGGGTGTAAAACACAGTACAGAAAAAGAGTTTACCAGGTAGAGGAAGTAAGTGCTGAAGAGTCTGGAGTATTTAATTAACAGCAGGGAGACCAGCTAGGAGACAGTAAACCAAGCATAGAATCCTGGTAATTTGGAGCTGCTGGTTTCCAAGAAGGTGAGTGGTGATCAAGATTTAAAAAGAAAAAAAACAACGTTTAGCATAGTGCCTGGCACATAAAAAGTGCTCAGTAAATGTTAGCTGTTGTATTACTTTTGTTATTATTATTATTCTAAGGTGACGATGTATGGAAACTTTACTGAATGTAGCTATGTCTCTGGTCACTTGAGTGATCTATCAGTAAAGATGGTTAGTGATATGTTGAAACTGGCTTGTAAGGACTCACAAGTGCCTATTTTAAAATCTCTTTCCAATTCTGTATTCAGTCACATCATGGAGTTTGCAATCAGTCACAACGGGAATGTTTACACCATGGAAATCAGCAAATGTTATGTGTCAGGGTTTTTTTTTTTTTAATGGACTGCTAATTGTTAAACATTTACGGATATGCAGTGGAAATAATCCAAATGTCCATCAGCTGAGGAACAGACAAATAAAATGTGATAACTCCATACAATGGAATATTATTCAATCATAAAATGGAATAAAGCACTGACACGTGCTAGTACTCGAATGAAGCTTAAAAACATCATGCAAAATGAAAGAAGCCACTCACAAATGACCACATAGTGTAAAATTTCATTTGTAAGAAATGTCCAGAATAGGCAAATCCATACAGACAGAAAGTAGATTACTTTCTAGATGGAGAGGAAGTGGGTGACGCTAATGTGTATGAGTTTTTTGGGGGGTGTGGGGGGTAATAAAAATGTTCTAAATTGATTGTGGTGATAGTTGCACAATCTGAATATGCTGAAATTCATTGAATTGTACATTTAATTGAATGAATCGTATGGTATGTAAGTTATATTTCAATAAAGCTGTTACAAGATAAGAACAAAAAACATTTACTACCCTGAGACTGGTGATAATACAGCAGCAGTGTTGTGCACGGAGACAAGAAAAGCACTGAGTAGAGATCTGATGAAAATGAAGCAATGAGCTTCTCAGGGAAGTGAGAGAAGTAGACCAACCCTGGGCTTCCTAGAAACAGAAAGTTTAATAAAGACACTTCCTTAATTCCATCTTCCATGTATTCATTATACAAGCAGTTGTTTGGCATTTATCATGTTCCAGGCTCTGGGGACAAAAGAAGACCAAGACAAAAGCTGTGCTTTTGACTAAAGATCTCCGTCTACAGCACCAAGAGAAGTGAGAGTGGAGAAGAATACTGGGAAGGATGGGGAAAGCAATAGAAGAGAAATCCGAAAAACTGAATGCAACATTTCGAGCTGCGTTTTGAATCGGCTGTAGCCATGTTCCCTGCTTGGTGTGTGAGGTCACTAAAGGAGTTAATGGTTGGGGAAGAAAATGAGAAAGTGACAGAAAGCACACATAAGATAGTCCAGAGGGCTGTAATGGAGGGCTGATAATAAGATGTGTGTTGGTGTGGCCACATTGCCATTTATCTTCACTCTCAATCTGCAGAATGGTATGTGTATTAGTCATAGTCCCAACAGGAAACAGAGCACACTCAAATTAAATTCCAAGAAGGTTAATTTACAAAGGAACAAATTACAAAGGTGGAATATAGGTAAATGACAGAAACAGTGAAGAAACCTGGGACTCATAGCGGTAGAGAAGTTACCACCCCTAGACATGAGGGGAAGAGGAGGAAAAAGTTACTAGGACTTGGAAGGAAAGAAGATTGGATAGTGACTTCTGCCTTGAGGGGAGCAATGACAGCCCATCAAAAGGCATCAACAGGCCAAGCATGGTGGCTCATGCCTGTCATCCCAGCACTTTGGGAGGATGAGGCAGGCAGATCACTTGGGGTCAAGAATCGAGACCAGCCTGCCCAATATGGCGAAACCCCATCTCTACTAAAAATACAAAAATTAGCCTGGAATGGTGGCATGCACCTGTAATCCCAGCTACTCAGGAGGCTGAAGCAGGAGAATCCCTTGAACCTGGGAAGCAGAGGTTGCAGTGAGCTGAGATCGCACCACTGCACTCCAGCCTGGGCAACAGAGTGAGACTCTGTCTCAAAAAAAAAAAAAAAAAAAAAAAAGACATCAACAGCTCAAGCTAACCTCAAAGGAGGGATATTAGGAGTAAATATTAATAATAGCTGGAACTTATTCTTTTCCCTCCCTTCTATCAGCAACCAGATACAAGCTAGAAGGTATTGAAGCCTGTTGATACCTCATCCTCACTGGGCAAAGAGTAGGAGGGGACAAAGCAGGATCTGTATAAGATCTGAAAGGGTGAAAGGATGATTCTTGGCCCTATATGGAAACTTGAAGAGGTCCCCTTAGGAAATAATGGAAGAGGTCCCACTAGGAAAGAATGGCCAATATGGAACCTTGAAGGGGTTCCTTTGGTAAAGAAAATAAAAATATATTTCCCTTTAGGAAATATAGCTCCATATAATTTTCTGTGTAATTCTGACCTCTTCTGCTTATCTGCTAATTCCATCGAAACTATCTATAATACACTCCATGACAACATTTGCAGTCTATAAAGCCCCCTCAGGCACAAACTATCATACCAGAAAAGGTGTGATATTGTGAAGATACTGTGCAGTCCATAGAATCCCCCAGGGCACTATCACACGTGAAAAGGCATGATACTGTGAAGATAGATCACTCAGAGCAAGGAAGAGGCTCTGCAGGCTCCTTCTCCATCTACCCTTTCCCATCTCTATCAGTCTGTAAAGATTGTCCAAGTAGCCTCTCATTAAAGAAGATAAAGGAGACTTCCTATTTGTATTTTTCAAGAATGAGGAGTTCCTTTTTAATATAAGTATTTATTTCTTTATCATGGCCAATCAGCATTTATTGAGTACTTTCAATGTGCAAAACATTGGGTGGCAGGCAAGATAACTTTTGTTATCCCATTACATTTTAGTACTGGATGGAAGCTTATAGTTCTTCTAGTACTATGCTTTCCACATTTTGCTCATGGTTACATTGAAATCTAGAGTGGACACATAACTCCTCCAAAGTCACCTGCCAGGCCAACCTCTGATCTCATAGTTCCATCCCACCCTTAGCAACATCTCACAATTTGGTATTAACCTCTTAAAGCCCAATGAATTTCTGTCTCCTAAGTTTGCCTCCTAATTATTCGTCTCCTAAAACAGACATTACTGACTTTTATTGTGTGACCACTGAGCATCATCAAATATGTAAAGGGAGGCTGAAAACTTAGTTACTTAAAACAACAATTTTCCTACTTCTCACAATTCTGTAGGTTAACTAGTGGTTCTTCTCTTTCACTTGGTATTGGCTGAAGTCACTCATGTGGCTGCATTCAACTGGCAGCTGGGATGTGCTGGATGGTCCAGTAAGGCCTCTCATACATATCTAGGGCCTCAGTGCTGACTTGTGGCTGAGGCTGCTCAGTTTTTCTCCAGGAGGCCTCTTTCCACATTGTATCTAATTTTCCAGTTCCTCTTTACGTGGCTTCTGTCTCCAGCAGGATAACCTGCTTCCTTACAATATGGCATCTGGGTTTCAAGAGGGAGTGTTGCAAGAGGGTAAGCCCAATATGCAAGAGCCTATCAAGCCTATATAATAGTTGTTAATGCCCCATTGGTCAAAGCCAATTATATAGCCAAGCACATCAGTTGAGAGAGGGACAAGGACATGAATACTCACAGGTGTGGTTCACTGGGAGCCACTCATCCAACAATTCACCAAACAAACTCTCTCCTGAACCTCAGAGCCCCATTTCTTTTCTTTTCTTTCTTTCTTTTTTTTTTTTTTTTTTTTTTTGAGACAGAGTCTCACTCTGCTGCCCAGATAAGTGCAGTGGCATGATCATGCCAAAGCCCCATTTCTAACTACTGCAAAATATTTGCTCCTAAATGTTTCACAGGCACCTCAAATTTCTCATCTCCAAGATCACTCTCACTCCCACCCACATGAAATCACTCAATCCAGTATATTTTACTGCAGAAATTTCTGTTTAAATCCAGCTGCCTTCTCCAAGCCTGCTTTCCTTAATTCAAGCCTTCATTATCTGTCCATTCTCTACCAACCAGTATCACCTTCCACATAACAAACGTAAAAATGGCACATTAAGGCCTTGTCAAAAGGCAAGTAATGGGTCAAACTGCAGCTCCACAAAAGCTATGTCCACCAGAATCTGTGAATGTCACCTTACTGGGAAGAGGGTCTTTGCAGATGTAATTAAAGATCTCAAGATAAGATTATCCTGGATTTAGGGTGGGTTCTAAATCAAGTGACACTTTCCTTATAATATATGTACAAAAGAGAAGACACAGAGACACACAGAGGAGAAGGTAGTATGAAGACTGAGGTACAGATGGAGTGATGGGTCTACAAGCCAAGGAATATCCAGGATTACTGGTGGCCACCTCATTCTAGAAGAGAGGCATGAAACAGATGCTCTTAGGAAAAAAAAAAAAATCAATCTTCTGAATGCCTTGATTTTGGAGTTCTGGCCTCCAGAACTGTCAGAGAATAAATGTATGTTGTTTCAAGTCACCATGTTTGTGGTAATGTGTTACAGCAGCCCTAGGAAACGAATGCAAGAGCTTTCTTCATTGCACCTTTATTTTCCATCTCTCTTCTCACCTCCTGCCACAACTCTCCAAGCATTCTCCCCTTCTCTCTTCTGGGCTTCTACTTGAAATGCTCTTCTCCCCTTCCCTGACTCTCAAACTTCTTTTTTCCATTAACACCTATTTCAAATGTCACACATATTATGTTTCCTGCTTCCCCAGTAAAAAGCTGTGCTGTGTCCTATGTGTCCTGCTTCCACACATTTGGTCATCTACCTGCTATAAACCATAGAACACTTGGTGTTTACTCAACCCAACACGATGCATTTAATTCTCCATTTAAAAAACATTTAACATTAAAACACACTTTACTAGTCTTTTATCTCTTCTTCTATCAATTTAGAAATTGAAAGCACTCTGAGCCAGAAGCCCACCTATAGTTGTATTAAAGACTAATAAGTATCTAGAAGGTAAGTCTTTAAAATTTCAAAGATATCTTGGTGAACGATAATGACCCATAAAGTTACAGAAAAATGAGCTTCAATGTCATGCCATAAATGTTTTACATATTTTCTTCATCTTAAAATCAAGAGTATTTTTCACCAGAAAAATCAGCAATAATCAAAATATCTTGCTGAAGAATAACTTGTTGATAAAAAAGTTGGTTGGTTTTCATTATTGAAAATATTTTCTATATATTTGGAGATTCGAACTTAGTAGAATATGGATAAATTCAATATTTAAAATATTCCTTGAATCTTCATAAACGTAACTTTGCTAAAATATCTTAAATAATCAAGATTGTTGAGTTAAGACATTGACAATATAAAATAGTCTAAGAGTCATGTCTTTCCTCAAGGAACATGTACAGTATAGCTAGGGAGGTAGAACATTTACATTAAAGAACAACTGACAATACAAGATACCACTGATGAAGTCTGACAGACAAGGAATTCTATTTTCTAAAAATCAGAAGTATCCTTAAATGCAATATGATATTCTTTATATTCAATAGCAATCCATAACTAGTATTAAGATTGAGAGTATAGACCTACTAACAATAGAACAAAAGGAGGAAAAAGCTGGAGGGAAAAATTCAACAACAGATTCTTTTTTTCTTCAACTTTTAAGTTCTGGGGCACATGTGCAGGGTGTGCGGGTTTGTTACCTAGGTAAAAGTGTGCTGCACAGATCAACACATCACCTAGGTATTAAGCCCAGCATGCATTAGCTATTTTTCGGGCTGCTCTCCCTCCCCCGTCCCCTTGATGGGCCCTAGTGTATGTTGTTCCCCACCTCCCCATGTCCATGTGTTCTCATTGTTCAGCTCCCACTTGTAAGTGAGAACATGTGGGTTTGGTTTTCTATTCCTGCGTTAGTTTGCTGAGGATAATGGCTTCCAGCTCCATTGATGTCTCTGCAAAGTACATGATCTTGTTCCTTTTCATGGCTGCATAGTATTTCATGGTGCATATCATCAAATTTTCTTTATCCAGTCTATCATTGATAGGCATTTGGATTGATTCCATTTCTTTACTATTGTGAATAGTGCTGCAATGAACATACACGTACATGTATCTTTGTAACAGAATGATTTATATTCCTTTGAGTATATACCCAGTAATGGAATTACTGGGTCAAATGCTATTTCTGGTTCTAGATCTTTGAGGAATAGTCACACTGTCTTCCACAAAGGTTAAACTAATTTACGTTCCCACCAACAGTGTAAAAGCATGCCTTTTTCTCCACAAACTCGCTAGCATATGTTGTTTCTTGGCTTTTTAATAATTGCCAAGAAACAATTCTGACTGGCATAAGATGGTATCTCATTGTGGTTTTCATTTGCATTTCTCTAATGGTCAGTGATGTTTAACATTTTTCATATGTTTGTTGGGCACATGAATGTCTTCTTTTGAGAAGTGTCTGTTCATGTCCTTTGTCCATTTTTTAATGGGGTTGCTTTTTTCTTGTAAATTTCTTTAAGTTCCTTGTAGACTCTGGATATTAGACCTTTGTCAGATGGATAGATTGCAAAAATTTTCTTCCATTCTGTAGGTTGTCTGTTCACTCTGGTGATAGTTTCTTTTGTTGTGCAGAAGCTCTTTAGCTTAATTAGATCCCATTTGTCAATTTTTGCATTTGTTGTGATTGCTTTTGGTGTTTTTGTCATGAAATCTTTGCCACAGTGCCTATGTCTTGAATGGTATTGCTTAGATTTTCTTCTAGGGTTTTTATGGTTTTGGGTTTTACATTTAAGTCTTTAAAACATCTTGGGTTAATTTTTGTATAAGATGTAAGGAAGGGGTTCAGTTTCAATTTTCTGCATATGGCCAGCCAGTTCTCCCAGCATCATTTATTAAATAGGGAATCCTTTCCCCATTGCTTGTTTTTGTCAGGTTTGTCAAAGATCAGATGGTTGTAGGTGTGCAGTCTTATTTCTGAGTTCTCTATTCTGTTCCATTGGTCTATGTGTCCAACAACAGATTTTAATTTAGGTTTGAATTCAGGGAAGTTATATAGAAGAAGAAGAAGGGTAGAAATAAATATTAAGCACTGATGCCTTTCTTCTTAATTGCCATGCCTTTATTCACTAAATCAAAAATAATTAATCATTCCAGCACTGCACTGTTTTACATTTCTTATAGGAAAAATTTTATAAAATTAGAATATAAATGCCTTATCATTTAAAAGACAGTTTCCATTAGTCTCATCTGTTATTTATGGCTTGATTCAAAGATGAAATATTACTCCCAAGAGTAACTTCCACAGCAACTAATAAATTAAAAAAAACATGCCAACCCTCAATTATTTATTTTATTTTTTGAGTGATCATGATAAATGACAGACTAGAGCAAGGCCAACCAGCTCTAGTATCAAATAAGCATTTTTTAAAAATATACTGTACAAGTTATTCATAAAACATTTATAATGTTTTAATGTCAGAATTTATCTTTCCAAAATAAATATATCAAAATTAAAGGTAGTTTGAACTTTGAGAAACCATGAATCTGTTGCCAAATTAACCTTACTAATGTGCAATGTAATATGAAATAGTACTAATATAATTAGTTATCATTCTGGAAACACTAATTACATCACAGCTACGTGTTATAAAAACAGCTAATGAATATACCCTTGTGCACTGAAGAATTAATAAAGACAGAACCTGATGCTAGATATTCCTCCTGAAGTTTAGCCTCTGAAAGAGTTTCTCACTTGTGTATAAATACACGTTTTTGGCACATAACCTGCTTTTTAATGAGACTCTTGTGTTTATAGGAAAACTTTTCTACAAGCTATTTTATCACCAAGAAATAGACCAATTTAAATGTCTTACCAGTTTATAAAAGAAAATATAGAGAAAAAGAAAAAAATTGAGCAAATTATTCAATTCATGCTATACTACAATAATAAGGTAAAGAATTTGGTTAATTTCAGTCTCTCATCAAATATTCTTTTGAGCACAGTACAAAGTGTCATTTGTTAACAATGACCAAAATGGCATCTTTCTCAGCCTGGCTGCCTTTGCCTGCATTCTTTCACCCATCTCTTCAAACAGGGCCTCACCAAATTTTCCCCTACTAAATGAGCTTAACCCTCCAAGGATATTCTGACACTGACGTTGGAGGGAGTTTTAAGCACTTTTTTGTTTGTTTGTTTGTGGTAGTGACTTCATTGTATTACTTCTAGCTCAGTCTTTTCTTTCTTCAGTTGCAAACAATTCTGGTGATTTTCTTTCAACATTTGCACAAGTAATTTTTTTAAAAATTATTAAAAGTTATCATTTCCACACTTACTGTCAAAGGTTTCCTCACAAAAGGACACCAAGGTTGAAGTCATTTGCATTTCTGCAATAGAACTCATACTTTAAATATGTATCAGAGACTACCCAGTACTTCGTAGGTTGGCTTTTCTCATTTAGATTTCCAATTGAAGTGGGAGCAGTGCTATCTGTCACACAGTCATAGTGAAGGCCATTGTGGGGGACTTCAGGCACAATGTCATCTCCATCACCACCTTTAATTAAGTTGATCTCAATTTCCCTTTTGCATATTCCCACTAGTATCAAGCCATGGTGGAGCAAGATGCCTCAGTTTCTATATCTGCAAAATGTGAATCATTAATAGAATTGTGAGTATTAAATGAGTTAATATGGATACAGCACTTAGAACAGTATCTGTACAAAAGGAGCAGGATTGAAAATAAAAGAAAGAAACAGAACAGTTTCGGTCACATAGTAAACTCTCAATAAATGTTAGCCATTCTATTATTATTGTTGTTATCATTAATTTAGCCACCAGTCCATACACCTGAAAGAAATACAATTTTAAAATACGTATACCATTTTTTAATAGTAAAACCTTTTTTAAAAACCATATGTCAACTAAAAAATGCCAGTTTATAAATTTCAACCCTCATAAGTGTTGCAGCCTGCAGGGTGGCCATTCTGACATGCTGGGAAGCATAGTCTCCAGTCAGAAGCTGGAAACAGACACTTTGAGGGAAGGGCAAAGGGAACAGGAATTTATGCTTAGCAGGGTGGCCAAACATACATATTCAATCAGCTATAGGAGGAGTCATGAATATTTATGAAAGAAGAAACAAAGTGCATGCACAGTTCAGCTTTATGTCCCTTCGTGGGGCCCACGTACAAAAAAACAGAAGCATTAGCATGATCCAAGGGTGATGTTTTTGCTCTCTGACA
This sequence comes from Homo sapiens, assembly GCF_000001405.40. Lineage (NCBI taxonomy): Eukaryota > Metazoa > Chordata > Mammalia > Primates > Hominidae > Homo > Homo sapiens. The sequence continues at coordinate 178,082,741 of NC_000002.12, forward strand.
TCAAATGTAAAGCAGAGGACACAAAAACCCTCACTGTGCATTCTGGGTGGACTGGCCAGAACCACTCCATGGTCGGTGGGGCAGCATCAAGTGACTGGTTGTTATCAGTGAAAGGACTAGTTTCTGTTGTACTCTTAGGAGAGAGTTAGCCAGGGAGAAAGTGTAACAAGCCATATCTGACCTCTCACACAATCATGGCTGAGAACTTAGTTTTCAAGGTTACTCTGATCCCCTTGGCCAAGAGATGGTCTGTTCAGTCAGTTGTAGGCCTTAGAATTTTAATTTCTCACATACTTTCTGCTAGTTAGGGCTAATTGAAAAATCACTGTATAGAAAAACAGAACTCAGTAAAACTAAAATTTTTTTTTTTTTTTTTTGAGATGGAGTCTTGCTCTGTCACCTAGGCTGGAGTGCAGTGGCGCAATCTCAGCTCACTGCAACCTCTGCCTCCCGGGTTCAAGCAATTCTCCTGCCTCAGCCTCCCAAGCAGCTGGGATTACAGGCATCTGCCACCATGCCCATCTAATTTTTGTATTTTTATAGAAACGGGGTTTCACCATGTTGGTCAGGCTGGTCTTGGACTCCTGACCTCAAGTGATCCACCCACCTCAGCCTCTCAAAGTGCTGGGATCACAGGCGTGAGCCACCTCGCCCAGCCAGTAGAACTAAATATTTGAAGGAGCACAAAAGTGTTAGGAAATTGAACCAACTTGAGAAGCCAGAAAATAAAAACAAAAATTTTTTTAAAGTACTGCTCAGAAAAATGACACACTTGTTTTTCCAAAGAACTGGCTATGTTGGTTTCCACAGACTGGCCAAGAAAGCACATGTCGAGGGCAGTCATATAGATCCAAAGACCCCTACCAGAAAGTGTCTGAATTACCTTTTCCTGCTAAAGTAGTTCCTCATACCTTTGATTGGCTGTACAACTAATAACACCACATTCCCCAAATACATACAAAATAAGTTTCCTAATAACTTCCTATGCAGGAAAATGTTCCTCTTTCTGGATTTTCATAAAATAATATGAAATTTAGTGACAGAAAACAGTTTCACAGATTTTGCTTTTGCATCTGACAAAATTTTTTAGTGACTTTGAGCTATACTTTTAGTTTTTCTTCTTTTATGAAAAGGATAATATATGCTTGTAAAAATTTAAACGTAAGATTATATAAAGAAAAAATAAGTCTTCCATCTCCATTCCCAAGAAACACATACTTATCAGTGTGGTATGTATCAATAGCCAATAGCTATATAGATACGTTCATATATACACAAATATACATATTCTTGTATGTATAGAAAAAAACTATATAGAAAAGTGAGCCATTCTACAAGATCCATCAGAAATTTGCTTTCTTTACTCAATAGTGTATTATAGCTATCCCTCCATGTGAGAATAAATAAAACCTCAAAAGTATAAAAATCCAAAGAGGACTTTTATCTTCAAGTAAAATTAACACTCCAAGGTAAAAAGACCATGTTTATTCTAACCAGAATTACAAGAGAAATAACTTTCTTTTCTAAATCAGAATTTAACCTCAATGACAAATTATCTCCTTGAGTAGCTCAGTGAGGTTCTTGGATATAATTGGGGAATAGAATCTTCTAGTCCTAGCTATCAAATAATCTCAGTTATCTAATTTCTTCATGCTTCAAGTAAAATTGCACAATAATTTGATCACTAGCCCATAGTCAATCTAAACTTGGATTTTACAAAGGCTTGGTTTGTTGCTCACATATCAGAACTGGAGAAGTAGTCGGAGAGTAAGAAATGCTGATGGTTTCGCAAGCCAGAATGCAGACATGAGCAAGTCTGACATGGGAGCAGGCAGGCTGCAAGCAACTATACAAACAAGAAAAAAGAATAAAGTGAAGTTGATGCATAGGGCATGACTGGTCGGGTTAACAGGTAAGTCAAAGAGCAATGAGACTGGGTTCAACAGAAAGATTGTATGAAGTGAAAATACAAGCAAAAAGAAATGCGTATACATGTTTATGGTAGACAGCTTTTTTTTTTTTTTGCAATTATTTACTACCCTCTTCCCTCTAAAAGAATGACAAACTATTGTCATGTGACTTGCATTCCTCCTTCAGGGAAAGTATACCTTCTCATTTAATTGACATTGGCCTTGCCTACTTAACATAAGTTTTGATCAGTGGAATGTGAGCACCCATTATGTATGCCACATCTAAGCAGAAGCTTCATGAAACATCAGGAGCTTCTTCCATGGCTCTTGGACTTTCCTTATGCCACACAAGTGGGAATGTCCATATAGGTACTTCTTTAACCTGGGTTCTAGAATGAGAAGATACTTGGAGCAAAACCACATCCAACCACAGTCTATATGCCATGTGAATGAGAAATATTAATAAATGTTTTGTTGTTGCAGGTCCCTGAGATTTTGTTACTATAGCAAGTCAACATACAGAAATTGGTACCTAGACGTGAGGTGCTGCTATCACCAAAATATATGGCCCTATATTCAATACCTGACAGAGAATGGCATGGAAACTATTATCAGGAGCTGGAAAAATGGTGACCTATGTTATACAGGGATAAAATATTTGGTGAAACTGTCACCTACAATACCTTAAACAGGTAAAAAATCTAATTAACATGGATATAAATATGGGAACAAAAGACACTGTGGAGGGGGGTGTTTTAAAAACTACCTATCAGATACTATGCTCACTACTTGGGTGATGGCATCCATACTCCAAACCTGAGCATCAAACAATATTCCCATGTAACAAATCTGCACATGTACCCTATGTACCTAAAACAATAGTTGAAATAAAAAAAAAAATAAACCTAAAGAATATACAGCTTCAGGTGAAGAAACTGAAGAACAAAATGTTACTAGTGTATTTGGTCATTACTAGCTGTGTTTAACAAGACTGTACAAGAAGGGAACTCAGAAAAAGAACTGGCCTATTTATAAGCAGGGATTCAAGGGAAAATAGAGAATCCAGAGATCCTAGAAGTTGCCCACCTGAAATCTGCAACTATTTCTCATCTCAATTTCAGATGAAATTAAAAATAGTCTTGCAACAAAGGCCAATTAAAACTCAGTACCGGGGCAAAGAAATGGCTCAGTAAAAAGAATGTGACTCTATGAAAGCCTGACAAGCACAAAGTACGATTGACAAAAAGAACAAAAATCAAACAGATTTTCGGAGACAGTTGTGCTATCAAAAGTACCACTATCCTAGGTTTTTAAAAGACTGTAACTTAATAAAAACAATCTTTGGGCTGAAGTCACCTGGAGACTTGACTGGACTGGATGGATCACTCTGTCTGGGCTCAGCTGGGACTCTGGAACCACTGATCACTCAAATTCTCTCTCCCCATCTCCTGGCTGAATCAATCTTTCCCCTTTCCCCTCTTCCAATAGTCTCAGGCCTCTCTCTGCATAAGGTTTCTCCACACGCTGTTTCCAGCAGGACTGCCGACCTTCCTACATGGTGGTGTAGGTCTTCCAAAAAATGCAAAAGTGTAAGCTTCCAGGTCTTCTTAATGCTTAGGATCTGAACTAGTATAACATCACTTCTATCACATCCTATTGGTTAAAGTAATCAAAGTCAACCCGGATTCAGCATGAGAGAGTTCTACACAAAGGCATGAATAGCTGGAAGCATGGTTTATCAGGTGCCATCATTAGAGACCAGATACCATAATGCACAATAAATAAATATTTATTGAATAAACTAATGAATGGTAATCCACTGTAACAGACCACATTCTTATCTATGGTAGAGATGGGCATACATGATTTAAAATGACCACCCTATTTTTATGATCAAACAGCAATTTATAGAGCCATGATTTTCACATAATACTATTCCAAATACTTATCAAAAAAGGAAAACAAACCAAAACTAAATCTCTTGGTAAGATTAAAACAGAAAGATTCCATTTAAAAATTTTTATTTTATATGATTGTTGCAGTTTTTATAGAAGGACAAAAAGTTAAATGTGAGGAAGTGGTTGGATAGACAACAGTCGTTAAAAGTGTATGAATCTGGCCAGAACCCCACATAAAAGTAGGAAAATCAGATTTTGTGAAACCAGGACCCATGTTCTAGTCCCAGTTTTGAGGACTAACACTAACTGTTTGACTTTGGAGAAGTTTCTGGGCCTCAGTTTTCTCAACTTTAAAATGAGCAATCCCACTACTGGGTATCTACCCAAAGGAAAAGAAATAATTGTAACAAGAAGAAACCTGCATCTGTATGTTTATCACAGCACTATTAACAGTAGCAAAGATATGGTCAACCTCCACCAATGGATGGCTGGATAAAGAAAATGTCAGCTGGGCGCTGTGGCTCACACCTGTAATCCCAGCACTTTGGGAGGCTGAGGTGGGCAGATCACAAGATCAGGAGTTCGAAACCAGCCTGGCCAAAGAGAACAGCCTGACCAACATGGTGAAACCCCGTCTCTACTAAAAATACAAAAATTAGCCAGGTGTGGTGGCAGGTGCCTGTAATCCCAGCTACTCAGGAGGCTGAGGCAGGAGAATTGCTTGAACCTGGGAGGCAGAGGTTGCAGTGAGCCAAGATCGCGCCATTACACTCCACCCTGGATGACTAGAGCAAGACTCCAACTCAAAAAAAAAAAAAAGAAAATGTCGTATATATACACAATTGAATATTTTTCAGCCACACAAAAAAATCATATCTTGTGCAGCAACATGGATAAAACTGGAGGCAATTAACTTTAATGAAACAAGACACAGAAAGACAAAAACCTCATGCTGTCACTTAAAAGTAGGAGCTAAATAATGTATTCACATGGGCATAGACTGTGAAATGACAGACAAAGGAGACTTGGAAGGGAGGAGGAGAAAAGAAGGTGGATGATGAGAGATTACTTAATGGGTACAGTGTACATTATTTGGGTGATGGATACCCTAAAGCTCTGACTTCACCACTATGTAATCTATGCATGTAACAAAATTTATACAAATTTTAAAAAACAAAAATAAAATAAAATGAGAGTGTGGGAACTGTAAGTTTTCAAACATTTTCTAACCTTTGTACACTTTATTTGAAAGTAGTTTTATACTTAGGAGTAGGGAGGAAGGATATGGAGGAGAAGGGAAGGTGTCCCACTCCTCCTCAATCACAGTGGTTCTGTTTTAAACACTGAGTTTTTTTTTTGTTTTTTTCTTTTTGGAGGAGGGCTGCATTTAAACAAGTGGTTCTGCAAATAAAATATATTCGAAAATGAGAGACCTGGCCCAACCCCTCACGTTTTATAGATGAGGAAATACTGTCCTTTTCTGCACTGAAGCTCCCCACCTCTGTCTTTCATGCAACCCCTGACTCACATGATGGCGCCCCACTCTGACTTGCCTTACTCTCACAGTATTATGTGTTTACATGAAGCCCCACTTTGTGGGGAATGAGAAATTCAAGCTGAGGAAATGCCTGAAATTGTAATTTCAAACTCAAGTTGATCATATTGATCACAAAGTGAAAAATGCAAAGAAGACAATTTGATTCTAAATTCTAATCTATGTTAATATTTCAGAAGAATGTGATGAGGAGGAAGAATAAGCAAAACATAAATGCTCAAAATTATTCTGTATTATACACAACATATTGTAGGACACAAGGGTTCAATTCAAAAAATTATTCTTCTTGAAAAATAAATGATATGTTGTTTCCCACAAGACCTACTGACTAGAGGTTTACATCTGGGAAGTACTTCACTCACTAGTCTAAAAAAATTTTAAGAATGCAGGATCTAACAATGTTCCACTGCTTTCTGAAGAGTTCTCTCTGTACCTTCTGTAACACACAAATAATTGCCAAGTTAACTAATCTCACATTTTCACTTTAATTAAATGAAACAACACTTTGTCCTTTTAGATCCTTATGAAGACATGAATTAGAATTGCCTATGCTAAAAGTGATCAGTGTTCCTATATAATCATCCAATGGTCTACATATTTTTAAATATATTTTTGTGGGTATGCTATCACCATAACATTTCCTGGTCACTAAATTCTCCTGGTTCCTGTTAACGGTACTACAAAACAAAAATACTTACTTTTTCAGAGTTCATCATGATAGAAATCTGTTCTCTGATTAACATGAATCCTTTTCCTACTGGATATTTAATTCAAGTGTAGGAGACATTTCCAGACTTTAACAACTTGACAACTGTAAAGAGTTGTAAAAGTTAATTATTATTTCCTCTGCTCTGTCAGGGTACACCTAATTTAGATGGAAGTGCACTCAAAGAGTAATTTCCTTAGAGGTTCTCATCTTTCACAAAGTAGGCGTTGCACAGATATGGTGCCCGTATCAGTTAGGGTTTCAGCAGATAAGCAGTACCACTACGATTGATGTGAATAAGGAATTTATTATAGGAATTAGGCCTTCCACAATTTGGGGAGAAGTTGAGGAGATAAAGGTCGAGAAAGGGACAGTTAAATGATCAGGGGAAAGTCAGTAAGACCACAAAGCAGAACTAGTGAAGACGACTATGGGAGGTTGTTGGTGTTAGAGAAAAAAATTATTCCAACACTTGTTAAAGACAGGAAGAAAGATGTTACTGAAGAAGAGACTACTGCAATGAGAGTTTTGCAGTAGGGAGAAAGATTGAGCTCAACTATAAATACAACAAGGTCAAGTGGAGCTTATAGCTAAGGAGCAGGGTGTAAGCTCAGTGGACGGAAAAACACTAAGAGGAAACGCCAGGTGTAAGAGACAATTCTGGCCAAACCAACTTAACAGGATACTTGCTGAAGGCAGGCCAGAGGATTAGATATCAAAGCTGAGGTGTGAGGAATTTTATCAGATACCAAGGGTGGGAGATTTTTGCTAAATTAGTTTAGCACAGTTCTTGCTAAAACTGCACTAAGTGGATCAAAGACAGAGACCAAGGTCAGGGCCTAGTCGAGAAGACAGTTTAGAGGAGCCTGACTCAAGTCTGGTCAAACGATCTTTGTTAATGGCTCTGCATCTGGTGATGGGCCTAAGGTTGTTGTAGATCAGCAGAGCAAGTACTTGGAAAGAAAGCTGCAAGCCAAACACAGAAAGCAATGACAAGCCTGTGAGGGTAAACTGGTACCTGTGTTATCTGTTTCTCCCCATTTCAAAGCTGGATGATAGGAATGGCCTGAAAAACCTAGGCCCTTTCCCCTCGAAGCTCCACGTAGTCCTGGCCCAAGACTTAGAGAAGCTATAAAAGAATATGTGGCAGGAGTTGGAAGAGCTGTTGTCCCACCACACAAAGGTGAGCCAACAGATTAGTTACAAGTATAATTTGTAACTGGGGCCCTGAACTGACCTTCCAAATGCAAAAGTTTCTGCCTGACCCCTTTTGAATCTCAGACAAATTTCTCTTGTGACCAGCCCTAACTGAGGACTATATACAGAATAATTTGGAAAATGCAGTTCCAGCTTAGCTAAATTGGCACAGTATAAAATCCCCACCACATCCAAAAGACCCTTTATGTAAATTCATCCTAAAATGGATTTAAGCCTCTCAGAAATAATATATATTCAATAATAACACCTATCACAATAAAGTATTTTACTTATTGCATTCATTTGCAAACTTTCTTCCAACTTTTATTTCTTTACAAGAAACATTGCTATCGGCAAAGAGATACTTATTTTGCTCTAAGGTAAACATAAAGCAACACTGAACACATTATTTTTAACTACAATTTTTTTAATGGAAATCTACTTAATATTTCTCCATTTCTACCCGCCTGCCTTTTTTCATCTCAACTCTCCTCATACTATCTTCTTTCTACTTCCCATAAGTCAAGCTCCAAACCTGAGGGCCTTTTACTTCCCCCTGCAATATGGCTTTTATCGGTGCCACCAAGTTCATCCATCAGGGTTGTATAAATCCAAACTGTAATTATAAATGTGGATGGAGTTCAAGTGCTTTCTCAGAGAGCTCTCTGGCCTCATGCCAATTAGGATAGGAGGTAGGTACATCACCTAATTCTACATATTTGCAAACCTAACTGAGCTCTGAAACTGGCAACATCCTTAGGACACTCTTACAGTCCCTACAGATGTCTCTGCCCTTATCAGATAATTCCTTCAGGGAGAGAATAACAAGCTCAGCTTTTTCTGAAGCCCTCCCTGGGCCCCCACAGGCACTCTTTCCTACACAATACTGGCACTGGGCTCCATGAGGAGCGCATTCTCCCCGACTTACCAGATGCATTAAGAGTAAGCCTGGGCACTTAGCAGATTTAATGGAACCGTCTGGAAATCATTGTCAATATGTTCCCCTCACTCTGAGAACTCTGTTAGGACATCTTCATAGAAGGTATATGCTAATATCTTTTTTATTTTATTTTATTTTATTTTGAGACAGGATCTCACTCTGTTGCTCAAGCTGAGTGTAGTGGCATAATCACAGATCACTGCAGCCTTGACCTCCCAGGCTCAAGCAATTCTCCTGCCACAGCCTCCCGAGTTGCTGGGACTACAGGCACGTACCATCATGGACACCTAATTTTTGTATTTTTTGCAGAGATAGGGTTTCACCATGTTGACCAGGCTGATCTCCAATTCCTGGGCTCAAGCGATCTGTGCACCTCGGCCTCCCAAAGTGCTGGGATTACAGGCGTGAGCCACTGCACCTAGCCCACTAATATCTTAACTAGCTAACATATTATCCCTATGATAATGGTGAAAAGCCGCAAGGAATTGGAGCAGAAGATCCAAGTTTTGGTTCTGGTGCCAGATCTCTCTAGGTGTCAACACAGAAGGTAAAACCCACATCACAGGGCTATTGTTGTGAAGTGTAAATGAGGTAACAGATGTCTTATCCTCACCCATAATGATTCCTGACCTAGTCCACTACCCATCCCTTTGGTACAGACTCAGCTTCTCCTTCTTGCATTGGGCCATATCATTTGGGTGATAGAACACTTGCAGGACTGCACAGCTGTTGCAGGGGCTGCCTCACACTACACAAAGCCACTGTTCCCTTCCACCCAGGCCCTGCTGTAGACCTGCCCCACCATGCGTCTCTTATATTTGCTGTAAGTGGGTGGGGGGGCTCTTTCCACATTTATGATGAAGGTTTTAGGGTTTTTTTCTCCCTCTCTCTCAGTGTCCCTGCTATCCTTCCCTGCAAATTTACCTTCATATTACTCAGGATTAGCAGAGTATCTTAATGCAGAAAGATTACATGTTATATGATACAAATATTTAACAACATTGGACATGCTTTTCTCCTTCTCTCTTTTATTTTAAGTCACCCAAGGTCAACATTGGCTCTTTTTTCCCAAAAACATTCCTAAGGTAAGATCAACTATGTGACCTTATTTTCCCTACTTTTTAAAAAGTTGCTTTAAGTATTGTTTATAATAAAAAGCAAACACATAACCAACCACAAGTTAATGAAAATTAAAGCTAATGTCTTCTATATTTACATTTAAATTACAGAGAAATAAGTATGTGGAAGCCATCATCAACAGTAGTTGTTAGACTTACAAACTATTTTGTGCATGTAGAGACTACTGAACCACAACAGATTTTAGTTTCCTTCCTTCTCCTCCTCCATCCTGACCTATCCCCTTCCTTAGCATGCCAACAAAAGCGAGTTCAGAATCTGAAGGGCTCCTGATCAGTAGATCACACACAATAAAAAATATCAACCTTTATTTTAAAATGTTAAACTTACTACAGGCTGATCAAAAATGATCAAATATGACTTCTCTAAACGTGCAATTTTTGAAATTAGAAATTTTGGCTTATAACATATTTCCGAAGTGAAGATGTTGCCCATTTCAAATACTGAATAAGATCTTCTCTCTCACTCTTCTTTTTAAGACCAGAAAAGGTCATGTTAGTTCCAGGGATATATTTCTTTCTTTTTTTTTTTTTTGAGATGGAGTTTTGCTCTTGTTGCCCAAGCTGGAGTGCAATGGCGCGATCTCAGCTCACTGCAACCTCCGCCTCCCAGGTTCAAGCCATTCTCCTGCCTCAGCCTCCCAAGTAGCTGGGATTACAGGCATGCACCAACATGCCTAGCAATTTTTTTGTATTTTTAGTAGAGATGGGGTTTCACCATGTTAGCCAGGCTGGTCTTGAACTCCTAACCTCAGGTGATCCGCCCTCCTCGGCCTCCAAGGTGCTGGGATTACAGGTGTGAGCCACCACGTACAGTCCCAGGGATATATTTCTTTGGGTTCTCCAAATATTCCATCAGAGTCTCTTCTCCCCATACAATACCTACAAAGGTGAAGGTAAGTTTTAAGTTTGTGTAGTTACATTTGTAGGGCTCACTTTCTGATCTGACCCACATATGTGAACAAAAGATTAATCTTGGACTCAGTAGGGAGGCTATTTTAACTGAGACTTATAGATTCTGACCTATAAGAAATTTCCAAAATGTGTCTCCACTCCTTGGCTTCTCTGTAGAAATCCATACTGTAGAAACAGTCGCATACTGTTTAGGGTCTTCTATGGTAAACCAATGAACTACCACCAAAGACATGTTATGCTTAAGCAGTTCCTCATCCTCCAAGAATCAGAGTGAGTTCCTTCTAGAAAAGGTCTTAGAGATCATGCAATCCAATCTCTAATTTTGTAGATTAGTAAATGATGGTCCAAAGCTTGTCCTAAGATTACAAAGCTACCTACAGTCAAGAATTTATGACTACTAACTCATATTTGCATGTTTTTTCTACCTATCATACCAAGCTGCCTCTATCCAGATCTCCATCAAAATCCATGATTTCAAAAATCCAGTTTTAAGACAATAGAGAAAGGTTCCTTTCTTTTCTTTCTAAAACCAGTCAAAAAGAACATGGAGAAAGAGAAACAGAACTGCTACCTTCACTTTTGATAAAACCTTTCAGGAAGCACCTGTTATAATTGTTATAATTAGAAGTCTACCAAGGACATGAAACCTAGACCAGAGTGAAATGACACCTTTCACTAAGCATCTCTCCAAAGTATGTGACACACTCTGAAAGGCAAAGGCATAAGCCTTTGTTTAGCTCAAAAAGAATAGGATATATCAGCTGGCCATGAAAGTCTTCTTAAATTCAGTTTTACACCATGGAGGACCAGGGGAGCCAGGATGAATGAAGAAAACATAAATATGTCCTCTTTGAAAGAAGCACTCTAACTTATAAGGTACAAGAGAAACTGCAAAGGTAACATAACCCCAGGCCTGCCAGTCTTTGCCAGCTGAAGTAAAGAGCCAAATAACAGCCCCACCAAAACATAAACCCATAAACGCTCAGGTATATGTTATCGCTAATATAACTATGCATAAGGAAGACATCAAAACTAACTGGAAAACTCAGACCATCATCCTTATTTTCCTTCTGCAAATAACTAGTCCAAAAAGATTATCTTCATCAGAAGATGGGTAATAATAAAAAATAACCAGCACAAGAAAGTACTGAAAATACACACAATACACACAATACACACAGTACACACGCAAACACACACACACCACATACATACACACAGCAGAAAGGAATATGAAAAACAAAAGTTAGGCCAGGCATGGTGGCTCACACCTGCAATCCCAGCACTTAGGGAGCCTGAGGCGGGTGGATCGCTTGAGCTCAGGAGTTCAAGACCAGCCTTGGTGACGTGGTGAAACCCCATCTCTACAAAAAATAGAAAAAAAAATGGCCGGGCATGGTGGTGCACTTCCGGGGTCCCAGCTACTCAGGAGGCTGAGGCGGGATGATCAGTTGAGTCCAGGATGTCAAGGCTGCAATGAGCTGAGATCGCACCACTGCACTCCAGCCTGGGCAACAGAGTGACAGCCTGTCTCGAAAAACAAAAACGAAATGTTAAATGAAAAATACACATCTGAAATTATGTATTAATAAATAGGCAGATGAAAATCATAGCCATATTTCCATGGATTCAAAAAAGGCCTTTATGAATTAAGGGCTCAAAGTAGAGTGTTCTAGTCTATTTTCACACTGATGTAAAGAAATACCCAAGACTGGGTAATTTATAAAGGAAAGAGGTTTAATTGCCTCACAATTCCACATAGCTGAGACGGCCTCAAGAAACTTACCATGATGGTGGAAGGTGAAGAGGAAGCAAGCACCTTCTTCATAAGGCAGCAGGAAAGAGAAGCATGAAAAGGAGGAATTTCCAAACACTTATAAAACCATCAGATATTGTGAGAACTCACTATCATGAGAACAGCATGGGGGAAACTGCCCCCATGATCCAATCACCTCCCACCAGGTCCCTCCCTCCACACGTGGAGATTATGGGGATTGCAATTCGAGATGAGATTTGGGTGGGGACACAGAGCCAAACCATATCATTCCACCCCTGACCCCTTCCAAATCTAACATCATTTTTACGTTGCAAAACCAACCATGCCTTCTCAACAGTCCCCCAAAGTCTCAACTCATTTCAGCATTAACTCAAAAGTCCATAGTCAAAAGTCTCACCTGAGATAAGGTGAGTCCCTTCCTCCTATGAGCCTGTAAAATCTAAAGCAAGTTATTTACTTCCTAGATATAATGGGGATACAAACAATGGGTGCATATACCCATTCCAAATGGGAGAAATTGGCCAAAACAAAGGGGCTACAGGCCCCGTGCAAGTCCGAAATCCAGCACGGCAGTCAAATCTTAAAGCTCCAAAATGATCTCCTTTGACTTCATGTCTCACATCTGGGTCACGCTGATGCAAGAGGTGGGTTCCCATGGTCTTGGGCAGCTCCACCCCTGTGGCTTTGCAGGGTACAGCCCTGCTCCTGGCTGCTTTCACAGGCTGGCATTGAGTGTCTGTGGCAAAACAGGCACACATGCAAGCTGTTGGTGGATCTACCATTCTGGGGTCTGGAGAATGGTGGCCCCCTTCTCATAGCTCCATTAGGCAATGCCCCAGTAGGGACTCTGTGATGGGGCTCCAACCCACATTTCCCTTTCACACTGCCCTAGCAGAGGTTCTCCATGAAGACTCTGCCTCTAGAGCAGACTTCTGCCTGGACATCCAGGTGTTTCTATACATCCTGTGAAATCTAGGCAGAGGTTCCCAAACCTCAATTCTTGACTTCTGTGTACCTGCAGGCCCCACACCACATAGAAGCTTTCCAGGCTTGGGGCTTGCACCCTCTGAAGCAACGACCTGAGCTGTACCTTGGCCCCTTTTAGCCATAGTTGGAACTGGAGTGGCTGGGAAGCAGGGCACCAAATCCCAAGGATGCACAGAGCACAGAGCAGCAGTGGGGCCCTGGGCTTGGCCCACAAAACCATTTTTCCCACCTAGGTCTCAGGCCTGCAATTGGAGGAGCTGCCTTGAAGGTTTCTGACATGCCCTGGAGACATTTTCCCCATTGTCTTGGTGCTTAACATTGTCTTGGCAATTAACTCCTTGTTACTTACAGAAATTTCTGTAGCCAGCTTGAATTTCTCCCCAGAAAACAGGTTTTTCTTTTCTTTTCTTTTTTTTTTTTGAGATGGAGTCTCGCTCTGTCGCCCAGGCTGGAGTGCAGTGGCATGATCTCAGCTCACCGCAAGCCCCGCCTCCTGGGTTCACGCCATTCTCCCGCCTCAGCCTCCAGAGTAGCTAGGAGTACAGGCACCCACCATCAAGCCCAGCTAATTTTTTTTTTTTTTTTGTATTTTTACTAGAGGCAGGGTTTCACTGTGTTAGCCAGGATGGTCTCGATCTCCTGACCTCATGATCCGCCCGCCTCGGCCTCCCAAAGTGCTGGGATTACAGGCCTGAGCCACTGCGCCTGGCCCACGTTTTTCTTTTCTGCCACATGGTCGGGCTGCAAATTTTCCAAACTTTTATGCTCTGTCACCTCTTGAACGCTTTGCTGCTTAGAAATGTCTTCTACCAGATACCCTAAATCATCTCTCTCAAGTTCGAAGTCCCATAGATCTCTAGGACAGGGGCAAAATGCCGCCAGTCTCTTTGCTAACGCATAGCAACAGTGACATTTACTGCAGTTCCTGATAAGTTCCTCATTTTCATCTGAGACCACCTCAGCCTGAACTTCATTGTCCACATCACTGTCAGCATTTTGGTCAAAACCATTCAACAAGTTTCTAGGAAGCTCCCAACTTTCTCATATCTTCCTGTCTTCTGAGCCCTCCAAATTGTTCCAACATCTGCCCATTACCCAGTTAGCCATAGCTGAAACTGGAGTGGCACATTTTGTTTTTTTTTTAAGACAGAGTCTTGCTCTGTCACCTAGGCTGTAGTGCAGTGGTGCAATCGCAACTCATTGCAACCTCTGCCTCTGGGGTTCAAGCAATTCTCCTGCCTCAGCCTCCTGAGTAGCTGGGACTATAGGCACATGCCACCACACCCGACTAATTTTTTGTATTTTTAGTAGAGACGGGGTTTCACCGTGTTAGCCAGGATGGTCTTGATCTCCTGACCTCATGATCCACCTGCCTTGGCCTCCCAAAGTGCTGGGATTACAGGTGTGAGCCACCGTGCTCGGCCATCTCTTACACATTTTTAAGTATCTTTATAGCAGTGCCCCAAACCCCTGGTACCAATTTACTATACTAGTCCATTCACACTGCTATAAAGAAATACCCGAGACTAGGTAATTTATAAAGGAAAGAGGTTTAATTGACTCACAGTTCCACATGGCTTGGAGGCCTCAGGAAACTCATAATCATGGAGAAAGATGAAGGGGAAGCAAGGTACCTTCTTCACAAGGTGGCAGGAGAGAGAAGTGTGAAGGAGGAAATTCCAAACACTCATAAAACCATCAGATCTCGTGAGAACTCAAAGACTGTAACAAGAACAGCATGAGGGAAACCACCCCCATGATCCAATCACCTCCCACCCGGTCCCTCCCTCGACATGTGAGGATTATGGGGATTATAATTTGAGATGAGATTTGGATGGGGACACAGAGCCAAACCATATCATAGAGCTACAAAGAAGCTAGTAGAAAATGATAAAACAGAAACATATAAATGACAGCAAAAATGGACAATGCTGCTGCTAGCACAATCAGACTTCAAAATACTGATAAAAATGAAATGGAAAAAATAGTTTTAAATGATCACTCTAGCTATCAGCTCTAAGGTCAAATGACAGATACAGAAGATACTCAGACAAAGGAGATACAAGATCTGCACAACCGGTGGCCCAAGTAAGATTTTTAAAAAACAAATGAAATAGAGTAAAACTATTACAACATATAAATCAAGAAAACTTTCAAAACTAAAGGCACTGAATCTATCAATTGGAAGAATACAACATGTCCCAGGAGATAGTGAAATTGATCAATCAAGGCCTAGATATAGCCTAGCAAATTTGCTAACTCTCAGTAAGACTTTTACTGAAACATAGGGGGAAAAAATAAAATAAAAAACCAAGTAACTCATAATGGAAAGGCAACAGGCTGGTTTCATATTTCTCCAAACAATAATTCAACATAAAGCATATAAAATCCTGAGCAATTAAAATGTCTCCCAATCATTTTACAACCAAATTATCATTCAAGTGTAATAACAATCCCCAGCTGTATTTAAACATCCAAAAACTGGGACAATATAGTTCTGGTAATACTTTCTTATTGTTACAATGAATAGAAAACCATCCACTAACCAAAAGATAAATGAAGATAATATGGTAAAATCTGGGAACACTCACTGGTACTATTTAAATGTAGAACAAACATTAAAAACAACTGTGGTAATTATGGTTACATGGGGTGTAAATGATATATGGCATCTCAGAGTAGAAATAACAACATACATAAGTGGTAAGAGTTGGAGACTATGAAAAATGGGAGATTGTATAAATATTTTGGCTTTCTCATCCTTCATAGAGGAGGATAAGCAGATGTTGCTTAATGCAGATCAATCTAATTGTAGAGGCACATGGATATTCTTTAGAGTATAAATATGACTATCAAAATTGTCAAAAAGAATAATATTGCCAAATAAATTTAGTTGGTAGAGGGACAGGAATAGGAGAATGTCAGGAAAAGTGAACATACATAATTTCCTTACCACACATAATGGTAAATATTTCTTTTGAACTATTTGGATTTTTGTATAATGTAAGCATTTCAAAATATTTTTAAAGTTATTAATACATTTATGATTCAATGTGTTCCTACTGCATCCACTAACAAAATTTGACATGACAATAAGCAAAAGATAAAGACTTAAATCCCTAATAAGATAGTTTAGCTAATATGCTAATCTCATGATACGATTTCTTTAAAGGCCCAAGAAAACCAGGGTTTGTATCCTAGTTCCACCATTTATTAGCATAGAATCCTGGAAAAATCATGAATTAATTCAAACAATTTGTTTCTAAAACCCGCTTCAATTATCATTGCCCAAAAATGCAAGTGGTGCTTCAATGCACTATAAAGACATTATTCTCAAAAGAAAAATTTTATCCATTTACTGATGTTTTTAAAAATACAGTACGGCCAGGAACAGTGGCCCACGCCTGTAATCCCAGCACTTTGGGAGGCCGAGGCGGGCAGATCACTTGAGGCCAGGATTTCGAGATCAGCCTGGCCAACATGGTGAAACCCCGTCTCTACTAAAAATACAACAACAGCAAAAAAAATTAGCCGCATGTGGTGGCACACGCCTGTAATCCCAGCTACTTCAGAGGCTGAGGCAGGAAAATAGCTTGAACCTGGGATGCAGTGGTAGCAGTGAGCCGAGATCACAACACTGTACTCCAGCCTGGGTGACAGAGTGAGTGAGACTCCATCTCAAGAGAAAAAAAAAAAAAAAAAAAAAAATTGAAGAACAAAGAAAAACACAGTATATATGGTTCAACATCACCAATCATTAGGGAAATGAAAACCAAAACCACATGAGATAGCACTTCAAACCCATTAGGATGGCTGTTATCACAAAAACAGAAAATAAGTGTTGGTTGAGAAGTTGGAGAAATTAGAACCCTTGTGTATTCTAATTCACAATGGAATTGTGGAAACATAAAATGGTGCAACCACTGTGAAAAATGATATGGCTGTTCCTCAAAAAATTAGACACAGAATTATCATGGGATTCAGCAATTCCACTTCTGGGTATATACCCAAAAGAATGAAAACACGGACTCGACAGATATTTGTACACCCATGTGCATAGCAGCATTAGTCACAAGAGCCAAAAGGTGGAAGCAACCCAAGTCTCTATCAACGGATAAATAGATAAACAAAATGCTATCTACATATAATAGAATATTATTCAGTCTTTAAAAAGATAGAAATTTCAACACGTTATAACATAAATGAACCTTGAAGACATTATGCTAAGTGAAATAAGCCACTCACAAAAGGACCAATACTGTATGATTTGATTCCACTTGTATTATATACCTAGGGCAGTCAAATTCACAGACAAAAAGCAGAATGTCAGTCGCCAGGGGCTATTCAATGGGTACAGAGTTTCAGTTTGAGAAAATGAAAATGTTCTGGAAATGGATGGTGGTTATGGTTGCAAAACAGTGTGTGCTTAAAATGACACAGAATTGTAAGTTAAGATGGTTAAAATGGTAAATTTTATGTTATATATATTTTGCTACAATTTTTAAAACCACATAAGATTATTATAATCATGAGTTTTGTAAAACTATATTCTATACAAGTCATATGGGACAAAGAATCTTTAAAATTGAGAATTTCTGTATTCTTCTGAAAATAAAAATAGTGTAATTATTTGCAACAGAAAGGTCATACACAAAAAAATAAAATATGGTTGACAGTGCACCACAATTTTTATTAACACTGAACTACTGACTTCATGGTTCTTCTTAATTATTGAAGTCTGTTTTTAGCCAAGCTGTGCTAACATATTTTTTAAATCCTTGTTTAGTTTTAAGTAAACTTACTTTAAAATCCTAGTGCAATTAACATAGTAAGCTACTTATTGTTCTTATCTCATCAGCAGAACTAACAAACAATAATATTATATCCTCAAATCAGTCACAAATATTACCTAAATAATCCAATTTAGGGAAATTTTATTTCTAATTCTTAAATAATATTAAACCCAAGCCTTATACAGCTTTCAACCATTGGCAACAATCTACATAATAAAAGGCATATTTGGTATAAGTTTTAATATTATTTCAAATCAACGCTATTGAGGAATAAATTCCTCAAACTACTGGCAGTTAGAGGAACAACATTGGCTTAAGTCTGCTCTACAAATTAGAAGTTCAAAAATTGTGCTTATAACAGGATAATAATAAAATGACTCTATAGAGAAATACTTTAAAAATTAAAAAGCTATATAAATGCTAACAATGAAGATGAGTTAAAAACTGATCTATTCAGTAGTCTATCAACTGAAAATCCTATTGCAATAACTGCAATACAAGTTTAATACTACCTGCCCACAGTAAGGGCAGACTCCACAGTACCTTTGCTTCAGACACCAGCTGCAAGCTCAGCGGCCCCCAAGCCACCCAAACTTCCAACTAACTGGCTACAAATTTGGGGGTTCCCACAACCTCATCGACTTCAATAATTTATTACTAGAACAACTCACAGAAATCAGGAAAGAACTATATTTACAATTATAGTTGTATTATAAAGGATACAAATCAGGACTAGTCAGGGGAAGAGACCCATAGGGTGACAGCTGGGAGGGTCCCAAATGAAAAGCTTCTGAGTCATTTATCTGTGGAATCAGGTCTCATCACTCTCCCAACACATGGATGTGTTCACCAAGTAGGAAGCTCAACCAGAGTTCCAGTTGAAAGTGTCTAAAGTTTTTAATTGGGGCTTCAATACACAGGCATGACTGTGTGAATCACTGGCCATGTGACTGAACTCAACCTCCAACCCCCTTTCTGTTCCCAGAGGTCAGACTTACTCATCTAGCTCAAAGCCTTAATTCTGAAATCACCTGATTGGTCCTTGCAGTTTGGTCAGCACCCATTCTGAAACTATCTGGAAGTTCACCGCAATTCATCTTATTAACATAAACTCAGGTCTTGGTCCCAGGGGCCAACTATAATAACAAACATACTCCGGTCACTCTAGAAATTCCAAGGTTTTAGAGGTTCCTTGCCAGGAACCCAGGACAAAGACCAAATTATTACCAGTACCTAGTACCAGCATTTTTGCACTTCCCAAATACAATGATATTGTGTTAATAATAAATATGCTGATATTTTAAAAGATGATAAAATACTACTGACTTGACAAATATTAAATTTTATTCAATGTACTTTTATTATAAGTACTTTATCAATTATGTATTTATAAATTTATTTACTTAATTTCTTTTTTTTGTTTTTTTGAGACAGGGTCTCACTCTGTCACCCAGGCGGGAGTGCAGCTGTGAGATTATGGGTCACTGCAGCCTTAACCTCCTGGGCTCAAGGCATCCTCCTGCATCAGCCTCCTGAGTAACTAGGACTAGAGGAATATGCCACCACATCTGTCTAATTTTTTTTTTTTTTGAGACAAAGTCTTGCTCTGTTGCCCCAGCTGGAGTGCAGTGGCATGATCTTGGCTCATCACAACCTCTGCCTCCTGGGTTCAAGCGATTCTCCTGCCTCAGCCTCCCAAGTAGCTGGGACTGCAAGCGTGCACCACCATGCCTGGCTGATTTTTGTATTTTTAGTAGAGACGGGGTTTCACTCTGTTGGCCAGGCTGGTCTTGAACTCCTGACCTCGTGATCTGCCAACCTCGGCCTCCCAAAGTGCTGGGATTACAGGCGTAAGCCACCATGCCTGGTCTAAGTTTTTTTTTTTTTTTTTTTTTTTTTTTTAGAGATGGGGTTTCACCATATTGGCCAAGCTGGTCTTGAACTCCTGACCTCAGGTGATCCACCTGCCTTGGCTTCCCAAAGTACAGGGATTACAGGCATAAGCCACCATGCCCAGCCATCAGCTAATTTATTTTTTGTAGAGACAGGGTCTTACTACATTGCCCAGGCTGGTCTTACAGATCAAGTAATCCTCCTGGCCTCAAGTAATCCTCCCACCTCAGCCTCCCAAAGTGTTGGGATTACATGTGTGTGCCACCATGTTTGGCCAATTATGTATTTATTTTATATGTAAAAGTAGTCCTTTATTATGAGTCTCCCCCAAATAAAGATATGTTGAGGTCCTAACCCCTGGTAACTCAGAATATGAGTTTGTCTGGAAATAGAGTCATTGCAGATGTGATTAATTGAGATGAGGTCATATTGGTGTAGGATGAGCCCTTAATCCAATATGATTGGTGTCCTTATGAATATGATTGGTGTCATTATGAGAAAATGGTCATGTAAAGACAGAGATGCACAGGGGTCATGTAATAACAAAGTCAGAGATTGGAATTATGTAGCTAGAGGTCATAACTAGAATTTCACCCATAAAAAGGAATGAAAAGCATCACAAGAAGTGTTGATTGCCATAAAAAATTATTAGACTTAGTTTCTCAGTACCACCTGTTGTATTCCAGGTTGTTTGTTGTAATTTTGTTGTTGTTGTTGTTAAATATACATTTCCAGTGGGGGGGGAAGGAATGAAGTACTGATACATGCTACAATTTAGATGGGCCTTGAAAACATTATGCTAAGTGAAAGAAGTCAGACACAAAGGGTCACATATTATATGATTCCTTTTATATGATCCAATAGGCAAATCCAAAGAGACAGAATGCAGATTAGTGGTTGCCAGGGAATAGGGTTAAGGGGGAATGCAGAGTGATTACCTAATGGATGCAGTTGTTCTGGAGTGATAAAAAAGTTTTGAAAATAGGGAAAGGCGGTGATTTTACAGCATTATGAATGCACTAAATGCTACGGAATTGTACACTTTAAAATGTCTAATTATGTTATATAAATTTCACTTCAATAAAAATAATAAAAAGAAATAAAAAATAAAATAAAATCCTTTTCAAATAGTAGTGACTTGAAATGCCAACCTATAAGATATGCTAGGCCCCAAGAAAAGTTTCAAATAGAGTTATACCCTATTTTGAAAAAAGGTGATATATATATATAATCTCAAAAAAGCTGATATATATATATAAAACCATATATATATTTAACAGGATTATCATATTATAATTTCCATTCTTAGACAGATAGATAGATAGATAGATGTACACATATAAATCTCCATATGATTAATCCAGGAATGACAAATTGCTTTGCAAAGATAGTGTAGTCTTTTCCAACCACTTCGATCTTAACCCTAAGATACTGTCTCACTTTACCCTCTTCCCACAAACAAAAAAACATGCTGAATATACGCTTCAAACTATATAGTATTTCTCCCACTCTGCTAAAATCAATACTACAAATAGAATCACTACTGCCATTATACCACTAAAATATGATTTTTTAAAAATCTAGCTTATACTTTTTCAAGAAAAATGTATTACCTAAAATCAAATACCCTGTATAGGCAAAAACCTATGCCATACAAGATTCTTAATTCTTCTGATTAAAAGGATGATCAGTTATCCAAATGCAGGTCTTATGATATAAATCCATATTTCAGTAATATGTAAAGAGTGGTCCATTTTTAACGCTGCAAATTAGGAAATTATTATAATGCCAAATCATATGCTTTATTCTTTCCTACAGTGTATCTGGTTCTCTCCCACAACTGCTAGTTTTTACCTTTGTTTTTGTTTGCCTCTGTATAAGAAAATCCTGGTGCTTTTCCTGTTTTTCAGCCAAAGAGGCCCCAGAGATTTGGACCAGTCTTGTGATTTTCACCTTTTTCCACTGTGTGGCACTGAGCACATTTCTGAATAAAGGTCTTCTTGCCTGCTTCAGCATCTCCCATGTTGCTCTGCAATGGAACATTAAAACCACAAACCAAAAAAATATATATATTAGATTTTCAAAGCCGGGGAGAAAAAAGAATTCCATCATTTTGACTGAAGTGAATGCTGATGATGTTAAACAAAAACATATCCTTTAAAGCATGCAAGCTTTAATGTATGAGTGCTCAAAAACACAGATATATTATAACATCCAATTTCATAAAGACAATCATCTCATTAATTAGGCTTATTTTAAGTTTCTAGCCATAGCTACTTCAGAAACTGCTATTGGTATCAAACGGGTTTTACTTCAGCCTTCAAAGAATTATATTAATTTATCCAGGTCAATTATATTCCTTTTCATTTCTAAAAAGTGCATGTGCAAAAGATGATGTAAAACATATAGGTCTAATTTTGCAACCCCTTATTTAAAAATAAGAATAGAACAAATAGGAAAGGTGTTTAACTATGATATTACTATGAGTATTTATATGTCTACAATAATCAAACTGTAAAAATAAAAATTATACAGAAAAGAATGCAGCCATAGAAACCTGTATGTAACATAATTTCTCATTTACTTTACATTCTTAGCTATAGATACCAGATTAGATCAAGCATTATCTGAAAGCAATCAGAAATAACATTATTGAATTCAGTCAGCAATAGTATGCATTTAATACTAATGTAGTGGAAAATACACAGTTTTAAGTAGTAAAGACCCTACTGGGTTGGGTGCGGTGGCTCATGTCTGTAATCCCAGCACTTTGGGAGGCCAAGGCGGGCAAATCACAAGGTCAGGAGTTCGAGATCAGCCCGGCCAAGATGGTGAAACCCCATCTCTACTAAAAATACAAAAATTAGCCGGGTGTGGTGGCGGACGCCTGTAATCCCAGCTACTCGGGAGGTTGAAGCAGAGAATTGCTTGAACCTGGGAGGCGGAGGTTGCAGTAAGCTGAGATTGCGCCACTGCACTCCAGCCTGGGTGACAGAGAGAGACTCCCTCTCAAAAAACAAAAACAAAAACAAAAACCTTACTGTATGATGGTAGACATATAAAATAAATTTTTTACAAAGATATTTTGGTTGAGACTGTTAAAAATTCTATAACTAAATAAATGCCTCCTCCATCTAAAATGATGTAAAAATTAAAATAAGTTCAAACTATCAAAAAATTGTACTTTATCGATGTCTCAGGAGGTTCTCCATGGTGGTACAGGATGGCATAATGAAGGCCCTGAATGTGGAACCTGATGGCATAGGTCTCACCTGCAGCCTGGCACCCAATATCACCTCACAGCTCTGAGCCCCTGGGCCAGATCACTTCCTCCACCCCTCCCTATCTCACCTGCCCAGCCAACTGGGACCTTGGCCAGATTTCTGCAATAAACACTTGCGGTTTCTGTCCAAAAAAAAAAAAGTGTACTTTAATATAGTAAGGAATATGCTGTCTGGGTTCTATTTTTCTGTTTTTGTGTTCTGTGAAGAATGAGTGCAAGGGAGATGGGGTTTGGGATGGATTTGAACACAAAGAATTACTACTACAGACATCATGAAAATACCAAATTCTTTGAGAGTAGAGTCCTAAGCACATATTGATCTATCAATAGAAACAGAAAACGTTTGTGTTATTCTGCCAATATTGAAGAAACCTATTGTTTAACTACAATTCATAAATTGTTTAACATACTGTGGTTAAACAATCTGTATTCTTCAATATTGGCAGAATAACACAAACATTCTTAGTTACTGCTCCAAGAAAGGCCAATGCTTTATACACAACAACCTGCAAAACCAGCTCTCCCTAACTTCTTTAAATCTATGTGGAAACCCATAACAGTGTCAACAATCCAAGTAAAGGGAAGATAGTTTTCTTTAGGCAGTATCCAAAAACAACTAAGCTATTAACCAATAGTTCAGGTTTCATGGAAAGCCGGGTAAGAAAACTTACTTTATCCAAGAGAAGCTTACTTTAAAACTTCAAACATCACTCAGAGTACTGCATTCAATTATCAGTTCTATTAATTACCTAAATAGGTTCAGAATTCAGTGAGCCTTTGAGCACAGACCATAGAGGATAAAACTTCACTCACAAAAGCACATTTTTGGCCTTTTCACAAAATACATTCACCATAACCATAAAGCTTGTATCATAAAAAAGTCATCTAAGCACTAACTAGATAATCTTTATTTCCAATTTTTATACAAAGCAGAAAAATCAGATTGAGGCTGGGCATGGTAGCTCACACCTGTAATCCCAGCACTTTGGGAGGCCGAGGTGGTTGGATCACCTGAGGTCAGGAGTTCGAGACCAGCCTGGCCAACATGGTGAAACCTTGTCTCTACTAAAAATACAAAAATTAGCCGGGTGTGGTGGTGCATGCCTGTAGTCCCACCTACTCAGGAGGCTGAGGTGAGAGAATCACTTGAACCCGGGAAGCGAAGGTTGCAGTGAGCCGAGATCGTGTCACTGCACTCCAGCCTGGGCGACAAAGCAAGACTCTCTCAAAAAAAAAAAAAAAAAAAAGGAAAAGAAAAATCATATTGATTTTTATACTAAGTAAATGTTGCTAGTAATTCAGGAAACCAGACATTTAAAAACAAACAAAAAACTGTCCTTACTCATAAACTACAGATTTCACATTAAAGTCACGTGTAACATATTTCCATTATAACTGTTAAAACTACCAGCATTAATCACAATTAAAACGTTTACTTCTGCCCTCTCTAATCATAGACGAATACTGCCAGTGCAAATACCTATGACCCTCTTCCAAGTGCATTAAAACCAACAGATTCAGTAATAGCAGGAAGGGAAGAGCAGGATAGCAAGGGATAGAATATCTTAAGAAGGACAGGAAGAATATGAAAAGAATTCATTTTGTCCTATAATCATTTGGCACTCTATCAGCATTTCATATTTCAAAAGAAATATCTCACTGAAATAGGCAAAGATGTGGCATCTAGTATGAAAATGGTCATTCTTCCAAGAATGAAGTAATTTCAACATTAAATAGAGTAACAGTAGCAAACATTTGTATGTGCTTAGTATGTGACAGGCATATTCTAAGCACTTTATATATTATTAACTCATTTAGTTCTCACAACAGCCCTGTAAGATGGATACCATTAACATCTCTATTTTTATAGATGTAGAAAACGAGGCAAACAGAAATTAAGTGACTTGTTTACGGTCACAGATTGGTGAGCAGTGGAGAAGAATTAATATTCAATCTATAATCTTATAGGTTTAACAATTCCTTTTTTTTTCTTTTTTTTTTTTTTTTTTGAGACGGAGTCTCACTCTGTCGCCCAGGCCGGAGTGCCGTGGTGTGATCTCGGCTCACTGCAACCTCCGCTTCCCGGGTTCAAGTGATTCTCCTGCCTCAGCCTCCTGAGTAGCTAGGATTACAGGCATGCACCACTATGCCTGGATAATTTTTGTATTTTTAGTAGAGACGGGGTTTCACCATGTTGGTCAGGCTGGTCTTGAACTCCTGACCTCGTGATCCGCCTGCCACGGCTTCCCAAAATGCTGGGATTAGAGGCGTAAGCCACCATGCCAAGCCAACAATTACTTTTTAAGGGTGACTTGGCAACCCTGTGTTGAACACAATATCTGTAACACTGCAGATGCTTACAACTTTTTACCCAACTGAGAGTGCTTAAAGAGGAATAGGTGGGTACATACCATTGCTATGTCTTATTTTTCATAAAAAGAGAAATGCTAATGAAACACTTTTTAATATTGGCATTAAAAACGGCCAGCGGTTCCTCCCTTTGCCCCCGCTCCCAGCAGTCACCTGGAACAGCCACCTGGCCAGAGTCCACGCCTCAACTTCGAGGCTGGCGATCCAGAAAGAGCACCTCACGCCCTGGGCTGCAAGCGCAGCCGGACGCGCGCGACCAGTGATCGCCAGCCAATGGCAAGCCGGGACCCGGTCCCACTGCTGATTGGCCCCCAGATCCCGTGGGATCTCACCTCTCGCAGAGGCTTAAAGCCTTGTACTTGCTGTGCAGTGCTTGGCTCTGCGTGCCCGCTGTCCAGTAGCTGTGGATAGCTCTTGAGCTGTCGGAAACTGGCTAATTCAACTGAAGAAATGAATTTTTAATTATTTTCATTATAATTCATTTTAATTTTAGGTAATTTTAAGTAATTTTAATTTAAATAGCCACAGTCACCAGATGCTTTAATGAAACTATTCTAAGTGGTATCTATGAATTTTGTCCTGTGATCTACACATTTAAAAGATGTATGTCATCAAGTTGAATCAAAAGGAGCAGGCATACTGTGAAAAAAAAAATCAGGTGTTAGATATTATTCTCAAACTCAAAGGCATGCAAACTCAAGAAGGAGACTACCATTTCTTGAGTGCCTGCCACAGGTCAGACTAAGTAATTGCCTACGTTATCAGTAGACAGTAGCCTTACAGATGGGTCAAATGGAAACTCTGGATCATATTCATATACAACAATCTGAAAGCTACTAATTGATCACCAATAAGTCTTAGTTTTAAAACCTATAAAAAATTTGCAAATAGGGCGAAATATTTTTAGTTAATTGATGTAACATATGAAGACTAATATCACCAACTAAGTAAGCCTCATTGTACTTCAGTTTGGAAAATAATGACAAAAATTTACTATTTGCTCCTGGCATTTCAAAAATTAGTCACAATATCACCTCTCATTTTTAAAAAGAAAAGATTTGAGGGAGAAAAAGTTTCAAAAAAATCTGAATTTCATGTGAAACAAACATGTGTGCACATTCTAATAACAGTGCTTTATAGGCTACATGTTCTAAAGCCTTGAAAAAAATTTAATCTGCAAATGCCCAGCACCTGGTTTCTTCTATTAAGCAGACTAACTAAAAATCATTCTTTTAAACCTCAGACATTTTTAGGTGTTTTAGTTACATGTAATTCATGTTCAAAGGTTTTATGATTTGAAATATAACAATTTGGTCATTGAGTGATGAAATGTTCTAAAATTGATTGCGATGATGCTTGCACAATGCTGTGAAGGCACTAAAAACGATTTAATTGAATACATCAAATGAGTGAATTGTATGATGTAAGAATTAGAACTCACTGGGTGTGGTGGGTCTCACCTGTAATCCCAGCTACTTAGGAGGCGTAGGCAAGAGAATCACTTAAGGCCAGTTCGAGATTGCCCTAGGCAACATAGTGAGACACCAATCCCTTAAAAAAAAAAAAAAAAAAGAAAAGAAAAAATAAGATAAGAAGAAGAATTATATCTCAATAAATCTGTTTAAAATAAATACATGTCATGAAGAAAATGTACTTACTTTTTTTAATTTATAAGTAAATTTCTAATTTTCCTTGAATATGTCATATTTCACATAATTGGATAGTAAAGAAATTTTGCTTTTCTGGCATTTTCCAATATTTGCGTTCCTGGTTTTGTTTTATGCAATCTTTTATCTTTTTTTGAGAAAAGAATTAACTGTTCTCAATAACAGCCTAAAATTTTCAGGACACCAATCAGTAGTCTTATTTCACAAAGAATAGAGATTGCCCAGTCAGGACAATTTAAGAAAATTACACATTTTCCACTAGATGGCACTGGTTTGCAAATAATATTGCTTTGCAGTTCCTCTCATCAACAAAACTCACACTATCAAATTATTTTCATTTACCTTGATTGTTGTGGGTAGGAAAAAGAGAAATGGAAAGTCAAGAAAAGATACTTCCTAGAGTTGTTCAGCCTCAGGGTAAACAGAACCCTCACTACAGATATGGAATGTAATACAAGGAGAAATTATAAAAATCTTAGTGCTAAATCCAGGGTGACAACCCACAATCCCTGACTCTCAGTAGTCATCACACAACTGTATAATATCAGTGGTGGGGGAGTGGATACCATAGTCAAAGGGAACAAGAAAATTAATCTCAATTATACCATTATACAAATATTATCTCATTTGATCTCTAAACTATGAACTCCATATATATTATCTTATATGAGCATAACTATATAAGGCTAAATGATTAACTCTGTGGGGGAAGAAGAGTAATTATTTTGTTCAATACTACATCCCTTCAGTATAACACAGTGCCTAACACATAGTAGATAGTCAAAAATACTTATTAAGTGAATGGGTGAATTAATTAAACTTGATAGTCATGCTCCTGCGTAGCTATTAGGCGGCTATCAAGCTTAACTAATCCAACCACAAAATAATATGTATTACCTATTTAGTAGGTAATATTATTCCTACTTTACAGTTAATGAAACCGAAGCTGCAAGTATTAAGTAACTTGTCCAGGCTCACACAATTCAGTAGCAAAACCATGTAACATAATCTGATATTACTTTGCATTATATATTTACATGTAAGATTTCCACAGTGGGGGAAAACAAGCCCTCGGGACATGTCTTTCCTGTTCCTCATTATATATCTAGCTCCTGGCATAGAGCCTGGCACACAGTTGGAGTACAATAAGTATTTATCTGGTTGACTTCATAGCAACCTAGGTCTTAGCATCCAGAACTTGTTCATTTGAAGAACTCCGCCCTCGGTCTACTTAGGGGTTTATTCCTTTCACTTCATTCCAATGCCACTGCTAAATCCAGGCCTTGTTTCTGGATTTCTACTGGGTTTCTGACCTCTCCTCTAAGGCTTGTTAACAAGAAGGCATTTCCCACTTTGCTTGCACTCTATGATTTCTCTTAGTTCCACAGCTGAGCAGTCCACCCTCACTGCCCTCCAACCCCAGGGTTGCTTGTAGAAGTTGAGTAAATCAACAGATGGAGTTAGTTCTGGGTTTTTTGTTGTTGTTGTTGTTGTTTGAGGTGGAGTCTCGCTCTATCCCCCAGGCTGGAGTGCAGTGGTGCAAACTCTGCTCACTGCAAGCTGTGCCTCCTGGGTTCACACCATTCTCCTGCCTCAGCCTCCTGAGTAGCTGGGACTACAGGTGCCCGCCACCACGCCAAACTAATTTTTTTGTATTTTTTTGGTAGAGACGGGGTTTCACCGTGTTAGCCAGGATGGTCTCGATCTCCTGACCTCGTGATCCGCCCGCCTCGGCCTCCCAAAGTGCTGGGATCACAGACGTGAGCCACTGCGCCTGGCCAAGTTAGTTCTGGTTTTAGTCGTACTTTTTATCTCTATTACTTTGGCTATGCTATAGGCCTCAGTTTCCTCATCTCTAACAAATGACGCTGAAATTGAATGATCTCAAAGCTTCCTTCCAACTCTAATGCTATATAGTTTGAACTCTGTCCTATATTGATCATCTATTGAGCTTATGACCAAGATGGTGACAACTCTCCACTTTGACCAAAACTTAGTTAGGCTCCTTTGAGTCCTCTGCTTGACTAGGCTTGATCTTGGGCTTTCTGTCCTTGTAGAATCCAATTTGAGCAAGAATCCTGCTGAATCAGTGTAGTGAAAATCCTCATTCTTGGTGTCTGACTACCATGGATATCAATCACCCTGGCCTGCCTTCAGCAACTATCCTGTCAAGTTGGTTTAGCCAGAATCCTCCTTAACACTGATGTTCCCTCTTTGTAATTTTCCATCCACTGACCTCCCACCAAGCTTCTTGGTTAGAAATTTGTCCTTATTAGAGTCAAAATTCAGTCCAATCTCTCTCTCCCACTGCAAGACCCCATTGCAGCTGTCCCTGGACCTATCTCCATGGCTCCCTTTGTCAAAGTCGGCCTTCCTGTACCATCTCTAACGAGTGTCATGAATAATTTTTTCTTTAACACTGGAAAGAATCCTTGGCCTTAGGGGTGGGGTAAAGCCAGCGTTGGGAAAGCCTGTGCATTAGGCAGCGCTGTTCTGCCTGCAGGGAACGATTGCACAACTGATAACTTGGGCCTAGGCTCAGCTGGATTTGAGGATTTGAGACTTAGACTGGGTCAGGGTCCCCCGCGTCGCCAGGGGGCGCTGCAGGCCGCTCCCCGGAAGGCCTCATCCTGCGCGGCTGGACAGCGCCTGGCGCCGGACTCCTCTTTCTCCCGGAAGCGGAGCACCGAGCCGGCAAAGGCTTGGGTGTGAGACAGCAGCGGTGGCAGACACCGCAGAAGCAAAGAGCAGTGAGGCTCCTGCATTCGGGTGGAGCACCATGGACGAAGCTGGCAGCTCTGCGAGCGGCGGGGGCTTCCGCCCGGGCGTGGACAGCCTGGACGAACCGCCCAACAGCCGCATCTTCCTTGTGATCAGCAAGTACACACCTGAGTCGGTGCTGAGGGAGCGCTTCTCGCCTTTTGGCGACATCCAGGACATCTGGGTGGTGCGGGACAAGCACACCAAGGAGTCCAAGGGCATTGCTTTCGTCAAGTTCGCCCGCAGCTCACAGGCCTGCAGGGCCATGGAGGAGATGCATGGCCAGTGCCTCGGCCCCAACGACACCAAGCCCATCAAGGTGCGGGTGCCCGGGTCGGGGTGCCCTCGGGGGAAGGAGTGGGCCTCTTGGACCTCCCTTCACCTGCTGCTCTGCCGGGGTGAGGGAGGAGTGGAACATCCGTTCCCGGCAGCTGACCAGACAGCACCTGGCTTGGGGACAGGGGCTGCTTTGAGGAGAGGCTCCCCTCCCACGAAGCTGCGCCGGGTTGCAGGGAAGGGGACGGGATGCGGAGTGTTTGCCCCACGAGAGCGGACCCGGCAGCCGCGGCCACCGGGTGACAGAACAGCAGTGGCTGGGCTTCCCCTCTCCCTCGCCCTCACTAATCCACCAGCTCTTGAGTTCACTGCCAAACTCGTCCTAGCCTACTTTGAGTACTTTTCTGACCTTCCTCTCTCAGATGCCCAGATTTCCATATATAAAAAACGGAAAAACTCTACTTTTCCTCAGGTACAGATGAGGCGTTAACAACTTGACAGAAGTACTTTAAACTGGGGAGGGACCTCTGGTGTTGGACGTTTTCCTAGTACCAGGCGAAAGAATACATGTACAGAAAGAATAAGTGCAGGTGTTTAAAACGGTCACTGTTACATATTCTTCACATTTTGTTATTTTGGAAAATTGTTTTGAATGAGCTCTGTTTCTGAAAGTGTTAATAGCATACATTTGGTTCTTGACCCTTTCTGTTACTGCAACTTTTCTTTGAAAGCAGACCAAAGTAAACTGCCTTAAGAAGAGCCAAATCATTGTGATAATGACACATGGCAGGAAGGATCATTTTGAGGGTTATTTGACATAATATGTGCTGTCAGCACAGTGCCTCACACAGGGTAAGCCCTCAATAATGTCCTTGTTATTGATCAGTAGTAGCCAAGATGTCACAGCTTACTCCCTGTGATCTCAAATCAGGACTCAATCCTGAGAATCTGGCAATTGCTTAAATTGTAGCCTTCGTCTGCCCCATGTAAATAGTTGCTGTGTATGTTATTCTGTTGGTACTTTGCACAAAAATATTTTCTCAATTTTTTAAAAAATTGTTTTCCAAACTGAGAATGGTATTAATATGGATTTATGTAAATAAAGGGCTCAGAGATATTTCAGTCTCTGGAGGTCTTGCTCCATCCACCAAAGAGAAGGAGCCTGGGACTCTACCAACAACACAGTAAACAGTCCCTTCCTCCCACTTCTCCAACCCTCTGAAGTGTGTCAGAGTGACAGCAACAAAATTAATTGTAGGGCCACAGCATACAGGATCAGGAATTGGCAAACTTTTTCTGTAAAGGGCTGACTAGTAAATATTTTAGGCTTTGCAGGCCACATACAGTCTCTGTCACATAACCTTGTCTGTTTTTACAGTCCTTAAAAACTGTAAAAACAATTATTACATCATGGGCTATACCAAAAATGGAGCTGTGGTTTGCTGACCCCTGTACTAGACTAATGAATTTTATCGCTGTCCAATTATGACCTTAGTGGAGAGGATTTTTATATTTTGAGTGTAACATGGCCACAGAGCCCTTGTGGGCAGCCCAAAAAACTGTCCCATATTTGAAATTGATGGACCACCTTCCCCTGATAAATTTCTATAAGAGAAATTAAAGGCCCAACACCGAAATGTACCCTCTCTTTTAGCCTCAGAGAAATTAAAGATCTTGTTCCCAAAAAGAAATAAACTTTACTATTTTCTTTGTCACATTTTTGACTATTCAGTTTTAGCCAGAAGGTTGTTTCACTGTAGTACCTAGCTAGACAGTCTAGTTTCTGTTTCTTTTTCTTTTTTTGAGACAGAATCTCACTCTGTCACCCAGGCTAGAGTGCAGTGGCTTCTTGATCACAGCTCACTGTAGCCTCCACCTCCCAGACTCAAGCAATCCTCTTGCCTCATCCTCCCTCTCGAGTAGCTGGGACTACAGATGTGCACCACCATGCCCAGCTTATTTTTTTTATTTTTCTTAGAGACAGGGTCTCACTATGTTGCCTAAGCAGGTCTCAAGCTCCTGGACTCAAGTGAGCCTCCCGTTTCATCCTCCCATTACAGTTGTGAGCCACCACACCCTAACAGACTAGTTTCATTCAGCAGCTGCAGCTTGAGCCATCTTCAACTGGAACACTCTTGGGTTGTTTTCAGCATTTCCAGTTAAATTAATTCAGCTTCAATATTTCTATTGTACTTTGCTTTTACAAAGTTTCAGAGGATCTGTAAGACAACAATATTATCTTACCAGCCCTCAGCCAGAAAAGATTGTCCAAGTAAAAGTTATTCTGTGACCAACTATGTTATCTGGCGGAAAGGGGGAAACCTAGAAAACAGAAGAAAAAAATCTTGGCTGTAGTTTTGCAAGAATGCTTCTTATCTAGAGCCTATGAACACTCAGTCTATGAAGGTAAAAATTTATGGGAGAAATCTACCATGAGGAGGTTAATTATTTTACGTATGTTCTACATAGACTGTCTCCTTTATCAGAGATTTGAAACACCTCAGTCCTCTAAAATATAGAAATCTGTGCTCTGATGGCACTTCCAATTTCATCTTACCTGAGGTTCTTTTTTTTTTCTCTAGTGTCTTTGCATATACTTAAAGCTTCCCTATTTGTATTTCCCTATTTACCATTTATTACTGATATCAGCCACAAGACTCTAGTGGGCCATTTCCATGTTACTCAATAGTTGTACTCATATGGTGCTTGACATATAGTATAGATTTATTGAAGGAATAACTAGAAGTAGACTATAAAGGGATATGTCTCTAACACTGTGGTTTTCTTGGTTGCTGCTTCCTACTGTGGAATTTCATAAGTTCCAGTTTTCTCATGCTTTAATGATACAGAGCCCCCTTTACCAGCAGTGGATCAGAGACCAAGATATAGAGACCCCTTTAAAGGAAAAAGAAACAAACAATGCAAGTGCCCTTGTTTATGGTGTTTTAATTAATTGTATTACGTTTCTTCAAATTACTCTGGCTAAAAATAAATGCAAAAGTAGAAATACATTTGGGAAAAACACAATGCAGAGATTGGTATTATCTCATAAAAAAAAGTCATTGCAGGCCCAGCACAGTGGCTCACACCTGTAATCCCAGCACTTTGGAAGGTCAAAGTGGGAGGATCACTTGAGCCCAGGAATTCATGACCATCCTGGACAACATAGCAAGACCTTGTCTCTACAAATATTAAAAAATTAGCTGGGTGTGGTGGTGTGTGCCTGTGGTCCCAGCTACTTGGGAGGCTGAGGTGGGAGGATCACTTGAGCCTAGAATGTTGAGACTGCCGTGAGCCATGATCACACCACTGCACTGCAGCCTGCTTTTTTTTTTCTTTGAGACCCTGTCTCAAAGATTAAAAAAAAGTCATTGCAAGAATAATTGCTTTTGAAAAAATTTAAGAAATGGGAAAATAGTTGACATTATTTTATTTTGGGAGTTTTGTTTGTTTCTTAGGTTTTCATTGCTCAGTCCCGATCATCTGGAAGTCACCGAGATGTTGAAGATGAAGAACTTACAAGAATCTTTGTTATGATACCAAAGTCCTACACAGAAGAAGATCTGCGGGAAAAATTTAAGGTATTTATTCTAATCAGCTAGCATATGTGATAACTCATAGTCCTGCATAGGTTGTATGGGTACTAAATCTGAAATGTTGTTGGAATAAGGTCAATAGAGTAGTCTTGGGGAATTACATAACTGCTTTCATCAATTTCAATCTACTCTTTAAATATTAAACCTAGCATAAATTAGTTTTTAAAATTAAAGAATATATAAAAGCTGGAAAATAGTAATGGTAGTCTCTCCCTACTTTATTGTGAAAGTAGAGATTCGCAGAAATGAAGCATAAAGCTCAGAAACTTTTAAGTAAAGTCACACAACTAGTAGGTGGTAGAGCTATGATTTAAACCCAGGCTGTCGGAGTCTGGAGCCTGCTCTTGGTCTTTAAAATTTCAAAGCACGCTTTTATCACTCCCCTCTATTGCCTGGCATGTAGAGGCGAATCAGGCAGACCTGAGTGTGTGAACTGTATTATCTAGTATTGAGAACGGGCCTATGGTGTGTTGACATGGTACTCATTCACAGAAAGGCTTATTCTTTGAAGAGTTTTTGTCCTAAAATTGGGCCTTTGAAGGAATTATATTTAAAGAAGAAAACGTAAATATAGCTCTGACCTATATAAGTGAAATTTGAGGATAATTTTATGTCTTTTTAGCCATTAACTTATGCAGTGATGAGCTTTCACACAAATTATTAAAAAGCAATTTTTTAATTGTTTTGAATTGTAGTTTTTTATCTTTTTTCTACTAATCCTCCCATGAATTGGGTGGCAACAAGCAAGAAAGAAAACAAGCAGTAAAAAGTAATTTTCAAACTTTCTCTCCTACCCCAATTGAGAATTCAATGAAATACTTCAAAAATAACAAATACCAAAAACGTATATTTTATACATCCTCCAGTAGTAAGGAAAATGTTTTTTACCTTAAATATTTATAAATTTTTCTTTTCCTGAATGAACAAATATAACACTTTAATGTATAGTAATTAAGTTGCTAATTGATTACATAAGAATTTATAAAATAAATAATAAATACCAATTATATTCCATATTTCTTTGAACATTGAAAGTAAACACTACTGCATGTTTCTCAGAATAGTAACTTTCTGAGTGAACCAGCATATTTTAGAAATACCCTTTGAAAAGCACTCCTTCAAAAGAATACACAATCATTTATGTTCCTGTTAGAAGACAGACAAGTAATAATAGCTAATGTTCTTTGAGTATGTTCCAAGCCCCATGTAAGCACTTCACATGTTTTACTTCAGTTAACCCTTAAACAACCCTGTGAGGTAGATACTACTGCTAGCCTCTTTAATAAAGAGGTAGGCACAGAGAGAATAAGTAAACTGCCTAATTAATGAGTGGTTGATTCAGGATTTCAATCTAGAAAGTTTAATTCCAGAGCTCTGGCTCTTAACCACTGTTGAGCAAGACTTTGGAGCTATCCAGACCATGTACAAATTCTTACTCTTCTGTGACTTTGTCCCTCTTTGATTTCTCTAAAGCCCAGCTTCCTTATCTATGAAATAAGCATATTTGCAAATACAAATATGCAATATCTGCATATTTTATACTGCCTATTTCTTTGTTTGCATGCAAGGGTCACATATAAACAAATTTTTAGTTCTGAAATACTCTGTTCAATTAATTTTAAGTCCCCTAAAATCATGTCTTTTAACTCTCTTAGGTGTATGGAGATATCGAGTATTGCAGCATTATTAAGAATAAAGTGACTGGAGAAAGTAAAGGTTTGGGCTACGTACGATACTTAAAACCATCACAAGCTGCCCAAGCAATAGAAAACTGTGATCGAAGTAAGGATGTGTTTAACATTGTTAAAAACTTTTGTAAAAAATTCTGATTATTCTAAATAGCTGAATTTAATATTAGTTTTTGCTAATAACTGTATCTGCTAATGTAATTTTAGCAGTGGGTATTTAAATATTTACAGTCCAAGGAAGAAAAATATTTTGGGGTTATGATTAAACATTCATTGAGGCACTATCTTGAAGAAATAAGAGCAACTACATTAACTTAGTAAGTGAAATGCATACTTTGGGTATTATTTTTATAGGTTTTTAGGGTTTTTTAAGTGTATTTTAGAATTTTAAGTATTAAAAACTTGACTTACCTTTTCAAGGTTTTTAAAATATTCTTTATATTTGTTTATATTTGATCTACATCCCAAAGACTATAAAGTATAACTAATAAACCTATAGGTTAAGGGTAAGATTTATAAGATGTGCTAACATAGGTAACTGATATAGATAGGGTTAATTTCAAGCTAGAGTGACATGAATGTGATCTTCTGATGTTGCTGTATATATAAAGAATAAGAATTTTAAAGATGTCAAAGAGAATATTCTTTGTTGGTATACTTCTAGTTAGGTATATTGACCTTTAGAAATGATATGTAGAGTAATTAAATTACTGGATTTTAGGACATTATAAAAATATATACTTACTGGAAAGAATTACTGTTAATCAGTAGAATTCTTAGATACCCCTAAGGTACATACCCAGATTTTCTCTTAGATCCTTCTAAATTTCTCATTTAGCTAGCAGTAATTGAGTACCTGCAGTATACTGATCAATATGCTAAGTAGAGGGATACAGATGAAGTATATGGCAGCCCTCACATTTAAGGAATTTATAGCTGTATTGGGTAGCCAAGATCTAATAGGCAAAAAATAAAGAATAATGGAAGAACTTTTTTTAAAGGCTCTTTGAAAGCAAGAAGTATGCCTTATTTGTCTGTCACTCCAGGTATCTAGTACAATAATAGGCCCTCAATAAAGATTTATTAAGCTCTCTATAAAAGTAAATGCCATTTATAGTAGACTCAGTAAGAATTTGCCAAATGAAAAAAATGTTCATAAGTGTATGGTAGAGTCTGTCAATGGTGAAAAACAAGTGCTGGATGAGCATGGCAACACATGCCGAGGGGGTAGGACTTGTGTCTGGTGTCGAGGAGGCAGGACAGAAGGTGAGAGCAGTGCTAGCAGAGGCACAATGCCAGGAATAAACATGTGTTTTGCTTGGTGCTGTGAAGGCAGCTGTCTGAGTAAAGCACAGTATTTCTGCTGAGACATTCTGAGACACAGTTAACTAGGTACATTGGAACATGGGAACCATATATTGGAGGTTAGGAAAAGTTCAAGGTTAGTCCGCATTAGGATTCCTTTGTAGATTGTTTAGAAAGACAAAAGTAAGAACAGTTGATCTAACCCCACTGTATTAATGATAGATTTCCAGAGAAGAATTCAAACTGGCTGGTTTTATCCTTTTTTTAAGCCACTGAATAATGTGAAGAAAACTGAACCCTTGAAATATGCCCATGTGCACATAAATGCATAATAAGCATTTTGTTTGAAGTGTCAGAGGGTTTGTGGAATCTTCCCACCTTTTGAAGCTCATCCTTGGACCCCTAGTTAAGAACCCTTGATCCAGAAGCAAAAAAAACAGTTAAAGGGCTCTTGTAATTAATTGAAGAGAATCTAAATTAAAAACAGAGGCAGGGAAGTTAGAGTAAAAGATAGCATATTCCAATTGTGTGCATTTCAAAGGAAGAAACTTGGTGACAGGTTAAATATAAAGAAGCCCTACAGGATTTTAATGTTGAGGAGCTTAGGTGAATGAATGACGATGTTATCTGTAATAGGGGGAGATGGGAAAGGATAGCATAGAATTGCTGATCTTTCATGTCTACATTGACCCGTAATTTGGGATACTTGCTGTTTGTCATTTACTCTTTGCCATCTTCCAGAAAGCAAAGAAGTAGGTCTGGAGGAGATGGCCATTGTATAGATTTTGCTTTGTACAATTATATTTATAAAGCTGAGTCAGGCACTAGCAATCAAGTATATTTGCAGGTATGTTAAATTTGCTGTGAAACTTGAAATTCATGGGGTTTTTTCAGGTTTTAGAGCAATCTTGGCTGAACCTAAAAATAAAGCATCTGAATCCTCTGAACAAGATTATTATAGTAATATGAGGCAAGAAGCTTTGGGACATGAACCTAGAGTAAATATGTTTCCATTTGGTAAGTAGGCAACCTTTACTTTTAATAGTATAATGTAGTATATGCAATCTAATTTGGGTTTTAAAGAATACTCTGTTATTGGGCATCTATAAATTTCACCTAGTGAATAAAAATCTTAAATGTAGTTTTTTTATTCCTAAAATGTGGATTATGACTCCTAAAGTTCTTAATATTTAACACTTATTTTGTTTAACTGATTTCTAATTATAGTTTTCTCTGTTAAGTTACGCATTCCTCATATTAGAAACTATTACCACTGCCACTTTTTTGGGTGAGCTTCTGCCTCTATATAGCTGACCAAAAACTTAAAAAGACATATGTAGAGATCCTCTCCGTATGAGTCCTAAAATTTTGTTCCAGAACTACTGCTACTTTAAAATTAGGGCTACAGAAAGGAGAGGAATGGTAAAAGTAGAAGCTCTAATAGAAAAAGGGGAAAATGGGTAATGAAAGTAAGGCCTGTGAATGTTATTTGACGTAAACATTCAGGTAAAATACTTACCATATTTTTCAGTTTTGCATACTAAACTTCTTTCTGTGAAATTAGACTATGCATTTCTTCTTATATTTCTGCATTAAAGGTAGGGGAGTGGGGAGAGTTGTCTCTTCTTGTCATTAGTCCCATCGGTAGTTCTGATGACCAGAAGCGTACTACAAAATACAGTGCCTTTATTCAGTACAATGGACTCTGTTTTCTAGTATTTAAAATGTTAAGCGAATTGTTGGCTGTGTAGAAATCTAAAGATTTACTTTTTTTTATATTGTCGGAGAACAACAATCTGAATTTTCAAGTTTTGACAAGAATGATAGCCGAGGCCAGGAAGCAATCTCCAAACGCTTGTCAGTTGTATCAAGAGTTCCTTTCACTGAAGAACAGCTTTTCAGCATTTTTGATATAGTACCAGGATTGGAATATTGTGAAGTTCAACGAGATCCTTATTCAAATTATGGTAAAATAATGTTCACATTAAAAAATATATATATATGTATATATACACACACACACACACACACACACACACACACACACACACAGAGTTTTGTTAAAATGGCTTTTCTCTAGTGGCACTTTTATGTCAAGTACTGCTCATGTGACAGGAATTTTATCTTTCCTTTTTCTCTACTTTAGAATTCAAAATATGGTGATACCTTAATAAACAAAGCCCTGGAAATATATCTTCTTTTTACAAAATTGTTCACTGTAAAATATATTTTAACTCCCACAAAATATAACATTCTGTATTCCAGTTGCATAACAAAAAATACCTCTGGATAGAGCCTCTGTTTCTATGTACTCTTTTGGTTAATGCTAGACAAAGTTACGAAACTCACAAAATTTCCTCCTCATTCATCCCTAGATCTCTTTCTCTTAAATTTATACCCCTCCTTCCTTTCATTCCAAGCATCTAAATGCCCTGCTTCTCTCCTGCTTCTTCCAATTCTCAATGGAAGCAAGTCTCCAATATCAGCCATTTGAACTTATTAATTAGTTAATTGATTAAACCCATTATCTAACATTAGCTAACCCATCTTTGTGTTTTAAGCTTTTGATTTTATTAAGGCTCTTTGTTAATGGAGGCATTGTGGCATAATGGGAAAGTCTGGCATTCCATTTTGCATAGAATCGGGTACAAATCCCAGCAGTGACATGTAGCTTTGAGACCTTGGCAACTTGCTTATCCCCTCTGAGCCTCTCTTTCCTCGTATGTAAAATGGGATCATTGATACCTTCTTTGCCAGGGTTAGGTAAGAATTAGAGATAATATATGTAAAATAACTTAATGCAAGTTCTGGCATGTAATAGGGCACTCAGTAAATCTAAGGGGTTTTTTTTTCTTTGTTAGTGAGGGGTGGTAGAGAGAAATCATACTTGGTTGGCATCTCTTCCAGTTTTGTAAGGATACCTGATTTAGTCCTTTTAGAGTGGCATGGCTATTGACATAGAAGTAGTGACGTGAGTTTGGTCATGTGGACCAACAGGACTAAGGTAACTCCACCCTTCATACAGACACCCCCACATACTCACTAGTACCCAACCCAGCACTAGTCTTTTTGTAGAACTGTCTTTGAGCCATCCCCAGTCTTAACCCGATCATATGCGTCATTCTCTGTTCTAAGACTTCTAGGCACACATTTTTGTGTTCTCTGGCACATTTGTTATATGCATATGAAGTTGTGTTCATTTTGTTTTGTTCCCTCCCTTTTATCTGGTATGTCAAAATGTATTTGTTCCTGTACCTCCTGTTTTGTTTCTCTGGTTGGATGTGTCTGAAATATATGTGTCATTGGAACATCTTTTTATTAATAGAGGTGTCATCATATAGTTCGAATCTCATTTGAATTAACTTTATATGGTCATTTGATTTCTGTGTTTTATTTTAATTTCATTAAAATGTTGGATGCTTGGGTTTCCAGATGAACATAAATTATAAGTGTTTCCCCAGTGGTTTGTATTATAAAAGTGAAAACCTTTTAGTTGTGTCACAAACTCCTGGGCTCTCTAAGGAATGCATTATAACATTGTCCCTCCCTTCAACATCACCCTCCTAAATTGAAATTCGTCCCTTTGGCAGAAATCTCTCCAAAGGAAAGTAAAATATATCACTTGTGATCTGAGATCCTCTGTTCCCTATCTTTTTGTTTTTCATTCAAATCACTTTTCCTCTCCCTACTGCTGCAGATAGCCGGGATGAGTATATATTCTTTTCAACTATCACTTCTCATTTCATTTCCTACCCAGTATGGTTGGGAAAATCTTAAAATTTCAAAGTAGATTTCAAAGAATAAAAATTTAGACTTTTAAGTATATTGGTATCATATAAGAAAAGCTAGTATCCTAAAACTAAACTTATTAGACAGGACGTATGTTAATATTCCATTTTCCCTAAAATATCATGTTCATATTTTTCCCTAAATTATTTCTTCCTTTTCTAGGAATACACCTGTTGCACACATGATAACAGAACTGTGTTTTCTGATACATTCGATTCTGTATTTACTAGTTGTGTGATATTAGAGTTCTACATGGTTTCATTTTTGTGATAGATTGTAACATAGGCCTTAGGCACTCAGTCTGCTTTCCTTTTTCATTTCTGTATGTTCTCTATTTTAGGTCATGGAGTGGTTCAGTATTTTAATGTAGCATCAGCTATTTATGCAAAATACAAATTACATGGATTTCAGTACCCTCCTGGGAACCGAATAGGTGTTTCCTTCATTGATGATGGAAGTAATGCAACAGAGTAAGTACCATTCCAGGAGTGTCTAAAGCCGAGCTTTGAGTGTACATGATTGATAGGACTTGAAGAATAAAAATAGAAACAATTGACCTCTCAGGTGAGAAAGTCACACAAAACAAGCTACTGTTAAAAGACTGAATATTTTTAGTTTTCTGTAAATTATCAGTTATTTTTTCCAGTCTCCTTAGAAAAATGGCAACACAGATGGTAGCTGCACAGCTTGCATCAATGGTGTGGAATAACCCAAGTCAGCAACAATTTATGGTAAGTAGGTAAGAATTTAACCTTTATAATATATCAATAGCATATAAAATAAATGTGAAGAGAAATCATGCTTTGTTGATTATCTGTGTATGAAAATTTTCAGAGCTATTGTGGAAGACCACATAGATGCCATGATACATATCTGTCTTTAGCTCTTGGCCAAAAATCCCTAAAGGGCATTTTTTTCTTTTTCTTGTTTTCTACCTGTTAACAGCAATTTGGAGGAAGCTCTGGATCACAGTTGCCTCAAATCCAGACAGATGTTGTACTTCCATCATGCAAAAAAAAAGCTCCTGCTGAAACTCCTGTGAAAGAAAGACTTTTTATTGTGTTTAATCCTCATCCTTTACCTTTAGACGTATTAGAAGATATATTCTGGTAAGAAAGTTACATTTTTTGTTATATTTTATTTACACTAGTAATTTAATTATTCTTATAATCTAGACACTTCCTTCACCCAGTACCTATCAAGTAGAGAGTATTAGTTCTCTGCTTTTAAAACCTCCTTATTTGTATCATCTTTTTCAATTTCTGATTATTTTCTTCTCTTGTTTATCAGTCACACATCCTAAGGCTCCATAGAGAATTTCCTGCTATTTTGTTTTTGAAACATAAAGTGGGCCTGGTGCAGTGGCTCATGCCTGTAATCCCAAC
Organism: Homo sapiens; assembly: GCF_000001405.40. NCBI lineage: Eukaryota > Metazoa > Chordata > Mammalia > Primates > Hominidae > Homo > Homo sapiens. The sequence goes on from NC_000002.12 coordinate 178,124,567, forward strand.
ACTTTGGGAGGCCGAGGTCAGGGGATCGCTTGAGCTCAGGAGTTCAAGACCAGACTGGGCAATATGGCAAAACCCCATCTCTACAAAAAATACAAGAATTAGCCAGGCATGGTGGTACATGCCTGTGGTCGCAGATACTTGGGAGGCTAAGGTGGCAGGATTGCTTTTGCCCAGGAGGTCGAGGTTGCAGTGAGCCAAGATTGTGCTACTGTACTCCAGCCTGGGTGACAGAGTGAGACCCTTTTTGTTTTTTGTGTTTTTTTTGCTAAGCATCTTCTGTTTTGTTGGTGCATTGTAGGATCCTTAAGGGTTATGCAGTCGCATTGTGTAAACAATTACTTGATTGTAGGGAAAAATACATAAATGTTTTTTATAATAAAAAAGGGAAGGTTCTTATTTATTTTTGTGTTTTTAACATAACTCCTTTCTTTGCTTTTTCTTTTAGGCCTTTTTCCCATTTGCCTTACAAGAATGTTAGTGAATTTGATAGACAGGAAGCTTGTTAAAGAGCTGCACAAAATATCAGGGACATAATGTGATAGTATATTGAGGCTCAAAAGGAAAAAAATATCAGGATATGGTTCAAGTATTTTGACCTTTATTTAACTGATATATTTAGTTTTCTTCTTGAACCTCCTCTTTGTTCAAGGCAGGAACTGTGCTAAGTACAAGAGACATGTAAACAAAATATTAAATGGACAAGACATTATGATTCTTGTCCTCTTAGAGCTGATCTCATGTAGGAAACAGACAAGTAAACAGAAAATTACAACCCAGGGTGATTGTTGCTGTGATAAGGAATGTGTAAGATACAAAGGAGGAGCAGTTACCTTAGAAACTCTGAGAAGCCTTGAAAGAAGGAAGGTGTATGTGGAGACCTGAAGTATAAAAATAATTTCTCCACAGGTGAAAGCTGGGGGTATGCATGGTTATTTCTGCCATAGAGAATGTAAAAGAAGGGCTGTTAAATAGGGAATTTGAGAGATTGTTAAGGAAGATGAAACTAAAGAGTCCAAGGACAATGTCAGAACGGCTCTAGAGCTATATTAAGGAATTTGTTGTCACCATGGAGGCAATGGGGAGCTGCTGAGGGGACTTTTAGGGAGTAAATGATCATATTTATGTTTTAGAAAGATCACTCAGAAGACAGAGTGAAAAATGGATTGAAGAGGGACAAGCTCAGGGGTAAGGAAACTAGTGAAAAAGGAGTTAGATTAAGGAAAAGATGATGGTCTGAATGAGAAGAGAGATCTGAATGAGAATGAATAGAATTGACTGAGATGTTTAAGATTGACATGAGTTGGATGTTGGATCTGGGGAGAAGGGTGAAAATGGAGTCAAGAATGGACTCCAAATTTTAGACCTGAGCAGTTGTATTTATCAATTTTGGTTGATTATTTTTTTCACTTTGTTTCAGTCGTTTTGGTAACCTGATCGAAGTTTACCTTGTGTCAGGAAAAAATGTGGGGTATGCCAAGTATGCCGATAGAATAAGTGCTAATGATGCCATTGCCACTCTACATGGAAAGATTCTGAATGGGGTGAGACTTAAAGTTATGCTGGCAGATTCGCCAAGAGAAGAATCTAACAAACGGCAAAGAACTTACTGATTCTTGAGGTAAGCCCTTTTTAATCTGAATTTTAAAACATATTGAGTAAATAGTATATGAGGAATATGTGTAAGTACTTTATAAACTTTTCTTTTTAGTGATTTAGAAGTTGTCAGTTAAAAGAGCTTTGCAACTATTTAAACTTTAAAAATTGTTGACATTTACTGAAGAATGTTTTTGCCCTTCTGTAAAATAAAATCACATTTCAATTTAGAAAGATAAATAATTGTTTTTTGTTTGTGAAATCTTCGATTTTAAGAATTCAACTTTTTATTATGTGCTTATATAAACTTTTAAGTTGTCCGGTGCTAGAATAAGGATTGCTTTAAAAAAAAATTGAAATACTTCTAAAGATTTTTAACTTGAAAAATTGGTGTCTTGAGTTATGAATTGAGGTAATTTATAACAGTCGTTTATAAAGATAATGTTTTGACTTCTCTCTAATGAAATGCCTAAAAAGCAATATCAAATAATATATCATTTTTGGACCTTTTGAACCTAAATGTTGGTGTTTTCTGGACTTGTATTTGTGAGTTTGTGCATTAAAACAATACATTCAGAAAATATTCTCGTATGCATATATGTATTTTTTAAGAAAACCTGACAATTTACCAAAAACTCTTTATTGTAAATTTTGATACATACAGCCATATGAATTCCATTTCCTATTTTATTTATTAGTTTTCAAAAATCAAACTACAATTTATTTGACTGTGACAGTGAGTTTATATCTGTGTGGTTTGGGGAAACATTCCTTAAAGTTTGACTTTTTTTTTCCCCCGAGACGTCTCGGTCTGTCACCCAGGCTGGAGTGCAGTGGCGAGATCTCGATTCACTGCAACCTCCACCTCCTGGATACAAGTGATTCTTCTGCCTCAGCTTCCCCAGTAGCTGGGACTACAGGCGCGTACCACCACGCCTGGCTAATTTTTTGTATTTTTAGTAGAGGCGGGGTTTCACCGTGTTTCGATCTCCTGACCTCATGATCCGCCCGCCTCGGCCTCCCAAAGTGCTGGGATTACAGGCATGAGCCACTGCGCCTGGCCTAAAGTTTGGCGGTTTTTATTCTGTAAAATAATTCTGAATTTCAGGGGAAGCCGTTTTCCTGTTCCCACACACTAACTTTCCAAGTCTACTATAGGTCAAATGTAGTAGATGGCAGGCACTTTGAATTCAGTTTGAAGTTACTGGCTTGAAACCTTTATTTTTTTCACTTAAGATTTTCTTTCTGACCAATTGTGTGAGCTAGCACGTATGAGAATGATTCCTGCCAGGCCTCACTGCTGATGACCCTTCCTCTCCTAGAACAGATCACATGATTAGTTCCTCCTTCATAGCTTCATAGAAGGCATTTGACAAGAGAAAGTGCCCATTGGGCCCATAATCCTAATTTTTAAATCTTTTTAAATGTTTTATTAAATGACAAAACCACTCTCATTGTACCATACATTGTTAGCAATTTAACCCTGGATATATTAAATTGGGAGTGGAAAAGAATTAGCAAGCATTTTTTCCTGTTTATGGATAAAATGTTAAGAATGAATTCTGTTTGGAGAAGCTATTCTCTAGCATGCAAAAAATGTGTTTTTTCTAGTCTGTGAATATTTCAATAATAGGAAATAAATAGTTCTTGCTTTTACTCAATAAATCTTTGTTCTTAAAAAGGACAATAATATAGACTTTAGACTTCTCAGTATAGAAAAGTATATAAATTATTCTTGTGGTTGAACCTTTTCTAATGATTATTTACATGTTAAAGAGAATATTGGGCTTAAAATAAAAAGCCATTTAACTGTGACTGGGCTGGTCTCTACGCCCTTTTTTTTTTTTTTTTTTTTTTTTTTTTAAACACAGAATCTTAGTCTGTCACCCAGGCTGGAGTGCAGTGGCCTGATCTCAGCTTACTGCAGCCTCTGCCTCCTGGGCTCAAGCAGTCCTCACAGCTCAGCCTTGCAAGTAGCTGGGACTACAGGCATGTGCCACCATGCCCAGGTAATTTTTTTTGGTAAGACAGGGTTTTGCCGTGTTGCCCAGGCTGGCCTTGAACTCCTAAGCTCAAGTCATCTGCCTTCCTCGGCCTCCCAAAGTGCTGGGATTACAGGCATGAACCACTGCGACTGACCCTCTTTGCCTTTTTGAGGCCCAGTTTTCTCATAGGGCTTTTGAGAGACAATGAGTCAACAAAATGTAAAATGAAAAAAAGGCTTTGCAAGTCTAAACTAAAACTCTTGCATTTGTAGCTTCAGTGAAACCTTTGAGATGTCCTCTTATCTAAAATAATGACATCCAAATGATCAGAAACTAAAAGTATAATGATATAAAACTACCTTGTGGCCAGTTGGTACTGTGAGAACTAAGCTTTATAAATACCACATTTTTCCCTTAAACTCATCCAATTTCCTACATCAGAGGAATTGCATTTTCAGCATGGCTGTTCATAAAAATTTTAATCTATCATTTTTCCCTTTTTTGAACTGTTACGCATATTCAGGGCAGAGATAAAATAGGGTCAGGTTAGTTGAAAATGGCTGTTTGGATAGGATACGATTAGCTACACGGTTTTGAATTTCTTCTAATTGCAGCATGGCTTTTTTTATTTTTGCTGCGGATCTCCTATTTACAATGGACTCCATTATGAGATTCTTCTTCTTTGTTGGTGTATTAAATAAACATATTACCTTATTTTAAGTTTCGATAAAATACTGTGGAAGACTTTGCCAAATTTTATATGATTGTGACAAGTTTTTTGGGGTAGGTGCACTTTTTTGTTTGTTTCTTTAATTTTTAAAAGGCTGCAAACACAGCTCATGAAGGCTGGTTTCTTTTATCTCTGAGGTATGGGCCTGGGATTAAGTGAGTCATGCCTAGGAAATAGAAGCAACTGATCCAAGGATATAACATTGAAAGTAGTTGAATTCTATTTTGAGATGGGTCTGATAACCACAATGTAATTCTCTTTCTATTTGAGGAAAATATAAATTTTAGTATTTCAGAGCATCAGATTTTTTGTTAATTCACAACACTTTCCCTCTAGAAATTCAGCACCTGCATCGCCCTTCTTAGTAAGTTTGGTTTTATTTGGGGGCAGCTATGATTAAGCAGATAACATTGGGTATATTGAAATAAAGGAACAATTCCTAACATTTTAGGAATACTACAACAGCTATTTCCTTTCCTTTCAGGTGATGATTTTCATACTTGTGTTGTGTTCTTTCTACAGAACAAAGACTAAATAATGACATAATCCTCAGCTGACTGACTGAAAATGTGACTGGACGCATTCCCTGTGGACAGTTGACAGCTTTTTTTTTTTCCATATACCTGATAGTCTGTGTACAGCATTGTTTTGTCTGGGAAGCAGGGATTGCTGACATGTATTTTTGAATCCATACATTAATGCTAAAACGAATATAGTAGTTGTTCCTTAGAGCAATATGTTGTTACGTGTAGCAGAAATAAAGTTTTCTTTGCTTAACTAAATCATGACTTATTTATGTGAAAGACAAGAACGGAAAAATTTAATAGACAGTCTTTAGAATTTGACTAAATGACATATGTCATTGATTTTGAGATGCACATCTTTCACATTTTAACACCCCTGAAAGTAGAAGCATCTCAATATCAGTTGTATGGCATAGTGTAATCGACAACCTTATTTTCTTTCTTAATAAAACATGAAAAGGTGCTTTTTTCAATCAATTGCATCTTAGAGTCAATAAAATATGGTAATTGCTACTCAATCTATATATGCAGCTTAACTGTTTACACTTAATCTAAGGACAAAAGACAAAATCATTGGAAATATTTTGTACTGTATTTTTTTTAGTTATACCAAAATGTGTTGGTAATTTTGTGAAGCTCTAAGATTATAAGCCAACAGTGATAAAAAAATTAAAACTTTCTGATAATAAATTTAAATAAATGTCAGTGGCTTTGGGGGGATGGACATTTTTATCTTTATAGAAATAATGGCCACTCCAAAAATATGACATGTAAGGAATTTTCAAAACAGACTACAATAGGAGGTATAGTTATTTTGAAATTAAAGATTAAAATTAGGGCCAGGGGTGGTTGCTCACCACACTTATAATCCTGGCACTTTAGGAGGCCAAGGTGGGAGGATCACTTGAGCCCTAGAGTTCAAGAGGAGACCAGCCTGGGCAACATAGAGGACCCGGTCTCCACAAAACATTATGAAATTAGCCAGGCGTGGTGGTGTGTGCCTGCAGTCCCAGCTACTCAGAAAGCTGAAGCGGAAGGATTGCTTGAGCCTAGGAGACCGAGGCTACCGTGAGCCACAATAGTGCTGCTGCAGCCTGGACAACAGAGCAAGACCCTGTCTCAAAAATAAAAACTAAAACTAAATAAAGATTAAAAATTAGGGATCTATTCTGCTTGTATTTTGAAAACTTTAACAAAAAAAAATTATTAGCTATGACATTGAATTGATATGTATAAAAAAGGTATATCTAAATCAAGCATTTGGCACTTTTTATAAAAAGGTATTATAAATGACATGCATTTGTTAAAACGTAATTATCTCCTCATTATACTTCTCACATTCTGACTCAAACGATGAAAGATTAAATTCAGCAATCTTAATAACTGAGTATCTTATACTTGGACATCTCCATTGGAAAACTAAAATCTTTTCTTTTAAAAGTCAGTGATTTTAGCAAATTTAGAAAAGAAAATTTAGTTGTGCCTTCACAGGCAAAACTGCTGACAAGAATTGGGCCAGGTATCTTTCTGTGAGGCAGAGGATGTATTTTAAAGAGAAAGCAAAGCTGGGTGCAGTGGCGCGACTGTAGTCCCAGCTACTCAGGAGGCTGAGGCGGTAGGAGTGCCAGAGCCCAGGAGTTCGAGGCTGCAGAGTGCTGTTATTGTACCTGTGAATAGCCACTGTCCTCTGTTTCTTTGTTTTTAATTTTTTAAAAGAACAAAGCAATGAAAAACCTAAACAAGGGAAGTTGTGGATTAATTACCAAAAAATAGGTGTGGTTATCCCAAACTCATTTACTGTACACATAGTTCAGTTTTCACAGATTGGAATTAAATTGTTCCTTACAAGTTATTGGGCTCTGCCATGTAACTAATGCTTGAATTATCTCAAAAATATTTCTGCCAGGTGGTTAATCTAAACAGTGTAAAAGTAACAGTTATAGAAAGGAGCTCTCTACCTCCTACCTGAGTCCATTGCATCTTTGGTTAATCTTCACAATTGAGATAAGATCCTATTTCCTACAGTTTTCCCCTATTAGAGTATTTCACTGGGCTTTCTAGGAGAGCTTGAATCTGTCACATGGTAGCTATCATATACCTGGCCAGCCCTCCACATTCTCTGTTCAGATTAAATGATCCCGGTTTCTCCCTTCTACCAGTCAGGCAGCCGGTCCCAGCAAACAGTTGTGGTAAGAGTAAAGTGCCTTATCTAGATGTATTTCTTTGAATCCTAGTATAAATTCTAAAGAGATCATATGATACCTCTCTACCTACAAAACACTTTGCTTTTTCAGTACAACCTGTTGTTTTGTTTTCTTTCCCAATTGCATGTCTCAGTAAACAATGCTTACTTCAGCTTCAGAGTGCATTTCATCTTAATCCTCTCAGTTATTTAGCCTTGGTCCTGTCTTCCTATCTTTTGCAGTTGATCCCTAAAGCTGTATTTTAAAAGCCAGAATTTTAGATTTTTCTTAGAATGAGGAAATTCTAGAACCTAAAAAATTGCATTTATTAATCTAGTTGTTTATGTCTTCACCTTAATGTTTACTTCTCAGATGCACTTTGAGTATAAGAACATAATATATAAATACTTGGATGCCCAGCAAATGTTAGTTATTAAAACTGCCAACACAGTGAAGTTTTATTAGTATATATTTCTTTAAAAATTTTTTTAAATAATAAGCAATACATCTCAATAAACCTCTCAACTATGTGGTTAAAATAAGAAATAACATTTAAAATAAGCCTGATTAAAGCCTTCTTGTAAATTCATTAACTGAGGTCTTGTATGGTAGATTACTGAAAGCAACTGTCAAATTTGCTGCTTCTAAAGCAACATGTTCCAAACTATGTTCCTTGAAATACTAGAAAGAATTTTTCAAAGTTAAATACATTTAGAAAATGTTCAGTACTTTTAGTTTCACAGGTTTCATCTACTGTAGATAAAAAGGTAGTGAAAAATAGCCAGGAAATTATTACTCTAAAATTTTAGCTTTCTCTGAATTTTGTTCTCTCTTAATTGGGATCCTATTCAGTATGAATGAATCCATGGAAAGTAGAAATAAGGGACTTTACCACTAGGTGGTGATAAACATTGGTGATAAAGTGCAGCATTCCAATCTTAATTTAAGGCACTGAGATGGAAATGATGGTGTTTGAAATGCCTAAAACTGCGGTTCTTTTTTGTTTGTTTGTTTGTTTGTTTGTTTGAGACAGAGTTTCACTCTTGTTGCCCAGGCTGGAGTACAATGGTGCGATCTCAGCTCACCGCAACCTCCACCTCCCGGGTTCAAGCGATTCTGCTGCCTCAGCCTTCTGAGCAGCTGGGATTACAGGCACGTGCCACCACACCCAGCTGATTTTGTATTTTTAGTAGAGACAGTTTCTCCATGTTGGTCAGGCTGGTCTCAAACTCCTGACCTCAGGTGACCTGCCCACCTCGGCCTCCCAAAGTGCTGGGATTACAGGCGTGAACCACTGCACCCAGCCAAAACTGTGGTTCTTTAACTTTGGTGTCCACAAGAATCACCATGAGTGTTTGTTTAAAATGTAGGTATACTGGTTCTGCAGGTTTGGGGTGAGTTTTTGAACAAGCTGTGGTTATGATGGGGTGGTCAGTGGCATTCACTTTGGAATATACTGGCCCAAAGAGATTTCATATGTTGGACCTTAGGTTGGACTGTTGTAAAAGTAAGGCATCGAGAAGTTGTTTCCTAGTCTTTTTACCTTGGGCATTTTTTAGAATTAAGCATCTGGTTTTTCCTCAGTTAATATCAGTAAATATGAATTGCATTAAGAAATTGAAGAACACAGTCTCACAAATAACAAATAATAGGCCATCTTTTTTTACTTTAGTGAATATTTTTTGATGTTTGTAAAGGATAGTAATTGTTTATGCCATTCAAAGCTTTTACCTAATATTTTTATTTACATTTATTTTTAAGTGAATTGTCTAAGTAAATTACCAAAGATTGGGGTTCTGAAGAAGTACGTAGGTAAATGTTATTTGTTTTAAATGACAAAGGAGTATGAAGGAGATGTAATTATCATTGTCAAAAAAACTGAAATAGAATAATCAAAAGGGTACAGAAATACCTCTGTGTGTATGTGAGTGTTCTTATAATCGTAAGATGAATCTTCTTGTAAAACGAATGCTTTTTTGATGTACCCAAAAACCTTTTGATTTATAGGTACATTGTAACTTTCAATAGCTTTAATAAATACTAAAGCTAAAAATCAGTGAGGGCAAGAACAAGTGAAATCTATTGCCTTTTCACCTAGAGGTATGCCACACACAGGCTTTGTTCCATATGTGGATGGTAAGCGCTATTAAAAATCAGGGCAGTTATTTTTACATATGATTTCAGTAAAGAGAAAACAAAAATGGTCATCCTTATTAGACAAGAAGTTCCATTTTAATACTTGAATTCTAATAAATGGATTGCATTATTTCCTTTTCTAGAAACAGTAGCTCAAGAACACATGGATCCTGGGAACTGAAGGTATGGTATTGATAGGAGATCAGACAGAAATATTCAGTTAAAATATCAAGTTGTAGTTCATTCATTACAATGGCCATGCTTTGACTTTATTTAAGGTAGAAAAGTCTTGTCCTTAGTAGAAAATGCAGCTCCCACTATACTTTGAGAAAGTTACGAGGCCCTGTGAAAATTTATCTGAGTAATTATCAGAGAAAAAGGGAGTTCTGTGACTGTCATATATGAATTGAAGACAGTATCTGGATGTCAAGGTCCATGTGAGCTAGCTAACCTAGGCTATACCACCGTGGGACTCTTAGAAACTGCCTGTCTGACCAAAATGCTGCAGAAGTGGCAGAAGGAAGGCATCGGAAGACCATTTTTAAACAGTTGTTTGTATATGAGGTACAAAACTCAAGAACTGTGTGAAAAGGCAAGTACCAGTACTGTTTTCTACAGAAACTGGGGGAAATACTGAGCACAGAAGAATAACCAAAGTGCTTCCCACCAATAACTTCTGTGAAACTACGTTCTCTGAATTCTTCTCCAAATTCTTTTCTGATTTTGTAAGTAATGATGTTACAACTAATTTTTTTGCTCATATATTATTAATATTTTCTAGCATTAACAAGACATAGGTAACAGCATTCATTAGCTCAGAGTTTTTAAGGGTTTTGTTTGCTTGCTTGCTCTGTTTTTTTTTGTTGTTTTTTTATGCCAGAAAAAAAATTAAAGTCATCTACTTTAAAGTTATATACTAATTTACTAGAAGTTCTGATATATAAAAATATGTAATTTCATTTTTTTCTCTCTTTGTCAACAAAGCCTATCTGGGCCGGGCGCAGTGGCTGACGCCTGTAATCTCAGCACTGTGGGAGGCTGAGGTGGGCGGATCACTTGAGGTCAGGAGTTTGAGACCAGCCTGGCCAACCTGGTAAATCCCTGTCTCTACTACAAAAAAATTACCCAGGCATGGTGGCAGTCACCTGTAATCCCAGCTACTAAGGAGGCTGAGGCGAGATAATCTCTTGGAGTAATCCCAGCTATGAAGGAGGCTGACGCGGAGGTTGCAGTGAGCCAAGATTTCGCCACTGCACTCCAGCCTGGGCGACAGAGCAAGACTCCATCTCAAAAATAAATTTAAAATAAAACAAAGCCTATCCACTGTGTTGGGTTTTGGCCCTAGGAGATAATTTTTACATTCTTATATCATTGCCCCACTGGCACAAAACTCTTCCTCCCTCTTCTATATTAGTACATTCGTAACTTAATACAAGTGCCAGCGTGACCATTTTGAAGAGGATAGAGAAGAAGATTTTAATCTGTTACTTAAAGGACTGACTTTAGAAACAATCTACAATAGTTGCTGAGAGCACTGGACAGGGGAGCTGCTTTGGCAATATCAAGATTGAGCCAACAGTGGCAAAAAAAGAGTGTACTAGGAAAGATAGCACCTACCTTTGGTTTATCATCACCAACTCCTACCAGGATTCATCTACCATTAGGTACCATCTTGGCTTGTTTATTTCACCAGAAATTCCTAACAGGACTCATCTCCTACTACTTTTAGCCTAAATCTGGGAATCATAGGCAATAGGGAGTCTATACCAGGTACTGTAATGTTGTCCCTACAGTCTTATTTTACTATGATAACTCAAAGGAGGTATTTCACACACAAAAAGAAATCAGAAGTAAATCTCCCTTACATCATCCTTAAAGATTAGCAATGTGCCTGGAATATCCAGCTTCTACTTAATAGCTTTTAGCTATTTGTAGCAGGAATTTATCATGTCTTCTAGATCTTGTTGATATTATTAGCCTTTAGTTCCCCAAAAATGAGTTTCATATGTGGTACCCACATGGCCTTTTTGGGTCTGTTTTCTCATCTAGAAAATAAGAAAGATAATAATTATTAGTGTAAATACAAGCCTCTGCAAACCCTCGTCTCTCAGGATTCTACAGAAACATCCTGGAAAACATTAAGTAGGAAGAAAATTTATATCAATCATAGAAACTTAGGTTAAGGTTAGTGGAAACTAGAAAGAATTTCTACTAAATAGAAATTCAGTAGAATCCCAGTAAGGGGTAGGATTTTAAAAAATGGCTGACTCCAATTCTGCATTGGAACATGCTGTTAATAAAACAAGATGACAGCCCAGTGTGATGGCTCACGCCTGTAATCCCAGCACTTTGGGAGGCCGAGGTGGGCAGATCACGAGGTCAGGAGATCGAGACCATCCTGGTTAACATGGTGAAACCCCTTCTGTACTAAAAATACAAAAAATTAGGCAGGTGTGGTGGCGGGCGCCTGTAGTCCCAGCTACTTGGGAGGCTGAGGCAGGAGAAAGGTGTAAACCCGGGAGGCGGAACTTGCAGTGAGCCGAGATCACGCCACTGCACTCCAGCCTGAGCGACAGAGCGAGACTCCGTCTCAAACAAACAAAAACAAATAAAACAAGATGACACCTTAGCCTCCCATCTTCTGACACTCCTTATTAACTTATGTATGAGAAGGCTATACTGTTAATTTGAGACAGCTATTGAGAGTCTTGTCATAATAGGCTTCTTTCTGCATTCCTTCACTAGTGGCCCTGAAGCTGCACTATGTTGGAGGTTTCCTTGACTAAGAGAACCACATGCGGCATTCAGCTCAGTAGGGGAGTCATAAAAGATCTCGCCTCTGACCAGAAGAGTATGAATGACAAAGGTGACATAACCAGCACAGAAAGATGTCTTAGCCTCTGCACATCAGCTGATTTAGAATACTTATGTAGATAGCGGTTGGGGTCGGGGGGGTGCGGAATGTTCTTTTCAGCTTCTTTGCCCTGAGAACTTTGATCTTATTGCAAGGAAGTCCCTTACCCTCTTCTACCCTAGATCTGATGGACCTCCTGGGATTTCCTGGGGAAATGAAATGAGTCTAACACCTTTGACCACCTGCTGGATATTATATCAGCACTTACTTAAGTAAGCTGTGGAAGAGCTGAAAGCAGTATTCAGAGTCTGACAGTTCTCTGCAATTGGCCTAGATAAACTCATTGTGAAATAAGTAACTAAATGGGCAAAAGATTTGAACAAGCACTTCACAAAAGAAGACCAAGAAGAGGGCAGGGTTTTTTGTTTGGGGAGTTTTATTTAGTTTTGTTTTGGGGTTGTTTTGTTTTGGCAGGGGACAGGAGTAGTGGATAGATTCATTTTGTAAAGAAATATTAAAATATTCTTTTTAATTTGATAGTTAATATAAGCTTAAGAATCTTTTAAAACTCAGAATGTTCAGCCGTATTAGTCATCAATGAACTGCTCATTAAAACTACAATAAGCTACCCTAACAGTGGTATGAACAGCAAGAATTAAAATGTTGACAATACCAAGTACTGGTGACAGTGTGAAGCAACAAGAACTGCTGATGCAAATTGGCTCAACCGCTTGGGAAAATGTTTGACAGTATCTACTAAAGTTGAACATATGTATACCCTCGACTCAGCAATTCCACTTCTAAGCATATATCCAACAAAGATGTGTACATATATGTACCAAAAGACACATACAAAAACATTCTTGGTATTATTCATAGTAGCCCCAAAGTGGAAACAACCCCAATGTCCATGAACAGAATGCATATGACACTCTATAGCAAGGAAATGAGCTAACTTGCTACACTTATAATGATTTGAAGGAATCTCACAAACATAATGTTGAACAAAAGCAACCAGCCAACAAAAGATGTGCTGTAGGATTCCCAGTTACAGAGTTCAAAAACAAGCAAAACATATCTTTGAGCAGAATGGAATGGGGGAGTTCACAAAGGGAGTTATGGTGTGCTGGTGGTCTTGTTTTTCTTGACCAGGATGGGGATAACTGATCGTTTTTGAGCTGTACTCTATGGAGTATGCATTTTTTATTTATCTTATACTTCAATTAAAGTTTTTCTTTCTTAGTGAATAAAGCAAAAATCAGCATGAGGCTGGTGAAACAGACAGTTCTGCAGAATGAGAGAAGAACAATGTCCTGAAGCATTTAGAAAGAAGGACTTTGTTCTTCCAGTGCTTATAGAACAAAAAATATTAGAAAATATCTGCTTTTGCTCCCCCTATGGTGCAGCAGGGTATTATGATGGCAAGAGGGCAGGAAAATAAGAGTGAGAAAAGAAAGGGAGAAGCTAAATTAATATTTGAGTCAGAAATAGTAAATAGTCATAGCACTAAAGAAAATTGAATCCATGATGAACAGTGAATACTGAACTACTTTTCAGAATCCTGTGGGTTCTCATGAGTCCACAAAGCGAAGATGGAGGGAAGTTCCCCCACTTTTTGTTCATTATCCAGATCAGAACTGCTTTCATCAATGTTATATATTGTGCTTTAAAAGCTTTCTTTTAAAGGATTCTCTGCAGCTTAAATAAGTTAGGATGAACAAAAAGCACCAGAGCAAAAGATAAAAAGCACCCTCCGACAAATATAGTAAGAGAAAAGGTGCAGATCAAAAAGGCTGATTACAGAGATTTATCCTTTGACTAATAGATGTTCCCAATAAACAATAACTCGTTTTAATAGAAGAAACATGGTTGATCTAAAAAATTTTAAAAGTCACAAGACTGAAGATCCTCTTCTACACATTTTAAATGCCATCTGGAATGGAGCAATGTCTGTAGTTTTGTAGCCCAAGATTCCTCTACTCATCCAAATTGTAAAGGTAACAGGCATTCTGTGATATACAATGTACTGCTCATTTGCCCTTTCTGGAAAAAAATTAATCACCACACTCCCAAAATGAATCAAAATTAAGAATAAAAGAAGAAGGAAAGAAAGGCCAGTCGGTGAGTATTGAAATCATCACTGAAACTATTAGAATAATGAAGGTAATTGTAAATTTCATTTTTTAAAAAAAGTTTTATTATATGACTTATCTATTCCGAAATTTTTCAGTGGGATTTATAACCCTAGGTTAAGTTAATGAAGGCCAAGAAGGAATGGCAGTTTATTTTTTGGGGGGGATGGAGGTGGGTGAGGGGTAAAATCCTTCTCTTTTGTAAAGAAATATTAAAATTCATTCTTTTTTTACTTTGATAATTAAATGTAAGATTAAGAATCTTTTGAAGTCTGTTAAGGTGCTTAATAATAAAATTAATAACAGAATGTCTCCTCTTCAAATTATTGAACAATACAAAAGTGAAATTGTGTGTATGACAAAAGTAAAAAAAAAAAAAAAGCACGTAAGACCAAAACTGTTTAAACTTTAAATTCTAAAAACAAAATGAAATTATTTCCTTCGTTCAAGAGACTTACCTTTAAATCCAATTCTGTCACACACACTTAACACAAAAAGTATCTCAGAGTACAATTTAAGGAGAAGTTATAAGGCTAAATAACAGAAGCATAGTCACTGACAAAATTACAATTAGTAAAAACAACAGACCCTGACACACGCGGGCTCATATAGGATTAAATTGTGAAATTACAAAGTACTTTATATATACTTGATATATAAAATATATATTTTATATAATATATTTTTATATAATATATTTTAATAATATATATTATATATATACTTTTATATATTACAATGTGAAAGTAAAAAGTACACTTTACAATAGTGTAGGGATTGTGATGGAAACCTTAACATGTTCTGTGAACCATTACAACACAAATCAAATATGGAGAGAAATTATCCACAAGAAATGAAAAATAAAACAAAATTAATATGTATAGGAAAAAAATATATATCTTTTCTCAAATGGTAGTTTACAAATTGATCAGAAAGCAATGCCGAATGACAAAAGCAGCATAGAGGACCCAGAAAGATCTGTTAGCTTTCTGCACATTAGCTGATTTACAGTATTTATTAGCAGGATAAACGAAACACCTCCAACATGTTCTTTCCAGCCTCTCTGTTTGAAATACTTTGGTCTGATTGCAAGGACACCTCTTACTCTCTTCTACCCTAAGCTTAGATCCTATAGGCCGCCTTGGATTCCTGGAGGAATGAAATGGTTCTGACATTCAGTGCTCACCTGCTGTACGTTACTTCAGCATCTGAATGGCCTGTAATAACGGAAAGCAATCCTTAGAGCCTGACAGTTTCCCTGCAGTGCATTTTAAAGGGCAAAAGTTATACGTGGTAATAAAACTTAAAAATTTTAATAATTAAATCACAATCATGTGAAAAATAATTTAGAAGCCTCCTAAACGGTTGTTTTGTCAAAAAGATCCAGTAAAATTGAGTGAAAACAAAATGGCAAATAAAAATTAGAGGATGTGTTTAAAGCTATGCTGAAAGGAAAACTGATAGTCACTATTATTTAGAACATGAAAATGAATGAATTAGACATGTAACACAAGGGAAAAAAGTAACAATATGGATAAGACTAGAAATAAATCAGAGGAAAGCAAATAGGCAACCTCCTGGCAAATGCATTTTCTAAAAAAATCAAAATCAGAAATAATAAAGTTAATGAAAAACAGATTATTAAAAAATAAATGTCATCCTTAATTGTTTTAATTTAAATATTTGCTATGAAATATTCAGTACACGAGTTTAGAAAACCCACTCAAGAATTACAAAATTCAAACAGGTCGATAACCAAAGAAAAAAATTAATGTAGTAACCAATGAATTGTATCTCCTCAAATGAGTCCTGATCACTCTATGCATTCTCCCAAACTTTTAAGAAGCACGTTATTCCTATGTTATATAAATTTTCTCTGGCAGACAGAAAAAGGTGAGTGTACACCACATTAAATTTTGTGCAGTTACTGTTACCCTGACACCAAAACATTGAAAAGACAAAAATCAAAGCTATAAATTGTTCTTTAACCTATGAATATGGATGCAAGCAAACCTAAATAAAATATTAGTAGTACAAATTATGTGTTCAAAGAACAACATACCATTGCTAAGTAGGGTTTATCCTTTGATGAAAGAGCAGTTCCCATTGGGGGGAAAAAACCGTTAATACACATTTTTTTTTCGGGGACAGGGTCTCACTTTGTTGCCCAGGCTGCTCTTGAACTCTAATACACATCTCAATAGATCCACAATGAGATCTGTTTGCCCAAATTGGTTACTTGTCCATTCTTATGATCATATGAATGTCATGGACTCTTTGGATTATTCATGATTAGTCTGAAACAATCACTAGCTGGAAGGATGGGACTAGCCTGAGTTGTTTAAATGAATCAGTGTCTAGCCTTGTTCCCAACTGCATGACTGCAATATAATGGGGAAGGTATGGAAAACATGTTGGTAAGGCAAACACAATGTCTAAAACTGCTTCTTAGCTAGATTTATTGCCAGGCACTGGGTGAGTGGCTTTACATGTATCTCAAAACTCTATGGTGTAAGTACTATTTTTCCTATTTTATCAACAGGAAGCTGAAGTACATTCAGAGAAATAAAGTAACTTGCTCAAGTAACAGCCAGCAAATGGGAAAGCTGGGCTTCAGATACAGGCAACTTAAAATTGATGCCCATTCTCTTAACCACTACACTAAATATCAATGACCATAACGAAGATTACAGATGCTACCACATGCACACACTAATCAAATATTATGTAACACCAAATCCTTCCAAAACTATGGGATAGAATGGAAATCATGCTTACTCTTTAGAGAAAGCAAGCAGAATACAAAATTGCATATAATGTAGTTAATGATTTATTTAAGCTAGAATGAATTTGAAAGAGCCATATGGGTGTATTTGCTTTTCACTATTTTCCATTTTTCCTTGGTGAACACTTGTACTTTAAAAAAAAAAAAACCTAAAAAGTGCCAGGCACAGTGGCTCATGCCTGTAATCCCAGCACTTCGGGAGGCCAAGGCGGGTGGATCATCTGAGGTCAGGAGTTTGAGGCCAGCCTGACCAACATGGTGAAACCCCGTCTCTACTAAAAAGACAAAAAAAAAAAAAAAAAAAAATTAGCCAGGCGTGGTGGCACATGCTTGTAATCCCAGCTACTTGGGAGGCTAAGGCAGGAGAATCGCTTGAACCCGGGAGGTGGAGGTTGCGGTGAGCCGAGATCACGCCATTGCACTCCAGCCTGGGTGACAGAACGAGACTCCCATCTCAAAAAAATTTTTTTTTTTTAAATATACTGTATACCCTACTAGATTATAAAGTTTTTATGAGCAAAGCCTGTGTTTTATTTTTGTAACCTCAAACACAGCTATGCACCTTACACATAACAGGCACAAAATAAATTTTTATCCATTTGGATTACAGCATGAAGTATTCCTATGTATGTCTCCTGCAGAGATTCTGTAAACAAGTGTGTATTCTCTATAGATATTGCAATAATTGTTTAGGTACTACCTTTTCAAACTGAAGTTTTACTTAGGCTTATTTTTAAAGATTATGCTAATTTTTATTTTAATGTTGTGTTTTTGTTGTTTGTACAATTTTACTAGTGCCTAGTTCACAATCCAAATACAAATCTAGGTGATTTTTGAATAATAGATGATACTTGTTAAACTCTTACTATATCACTACTGTTCCAAGCACTGTGAGATATTTTCCCATTTAGGCATCTAACAGTTCTGTGAAATTAATACTGTGAAGCACAGGGAGATTAAATGACTTCTGACAGGACACATAGCAAATAAGTAATGGAGCTGGGATTCGCGCTCAAGAAATATGACTCCATGGCCTCACTTAAGTTCACACACTGTGATACTCTGGTTTCTCTTCAGATCATATAAATCTTTTGCCTTTTACTGAAGATTTCCGTGGAGGGAACAGTCTTTACCCAATTTTTTGAGGCCTCTTGTTTAAGGATTTTTTTTTTTTAAGTTTACACGCTGTTTAATTCAACCACTGTTCTGGGTTTTATTTGTTTGTTTTTCAAGAAGGAAGTATAAAATCTTTATGTTATAAATAGACCATGTAATTGTGAAAAAATTTTATTCCATTGTATGACTCCTTGAAAGAATGAGGTGGAAGGATAAAGTAAGAAAAGTATAACTGAGATGAGAAGTGAAAGCAAGAGAAAAGGATTACAGATGACAGAATAAAGAGGGTGACTCAGTGACTTCGGGGTCAAAGTGTTGGTTCCTTTTTCACCTTGGTTGTACAAGTTTATTCAACAATAATATATTGAACATGTATGTACTAGCTGCCAAGGACATAATGGTGAAGAGAAAGAAAAAAAGATGACTTATTTGCCCTTATGTATAATAGCTTATATAATTATTTTAAGCTTCTATTATATAACGTAGTTTGAAGAAGTAGTTTACAGTGAGGTCAGCTGCCAGTAAGGCAGGCTGGCTTCTCCCAAACCTATCAATTTTAGAAGATTCACAAGAACACAGGAATCCCCCTTTTCTGTCATCCTTAATTTGTCCACACCTAATTCTGCTTTTGTGTTTGTTTTAAAGGGTTTTATTGTTGTGTTTTGGGGGATAAAGATTACAGTGTAGTCTACACATCTTAAGTGTAAGATTTGAGAATTCTTGATTAATGCATACACTCTTATAACCCACTTTTGGAGACTATTCCCATGGGTCTGTTGTGTTTCTGTTTGTCTTGTAAGCAGAGGCACTATCTTTTAAAGGATGCTTATATAGTAAACAGAATCAGAAGACAGTTAGTGTCTCCCTCTGGAGCAAAAGACAAATTCTGTTTAGTAAAATTAAGATAATGTCTCCTTCCAGGGCAAAGGGCAAGCAGAGTTACAGCTCTTGATTAAAGATTTAGGCTCCTTAAGCTTGGTGTTCCTCAGTTCTAGCACACACTGTGACATGCACAGCATCCACTTGGGCCACTCTGCATTACCTCTGTAAGACTTAAGGGACAATAGGAGCCAAGGCAGACATGCAGCTCAGGCTGCTTACTGTGTTGTGGATAATGAAGTCCTTTGTCTCTGATGCAGGAGATAGTGGCAGGCTTTTTATCTTGTAAGTAGAGTAACATCTCAGACCCTTCACAGTTCTTGACCATCACACCCCTTCAAGATAGAGATCATTTTTATTGGGGCAGCAAGTTCCCTCATGCCCCTTTCCCATCAATCTCACAAGAATATCCTTTTGCTGATTTCATTCACACTAGATAGTGTTGCCTTTTCTAGAACATCACATACATGGAATCATACATTATACAGTTGTCCGTTGGTATCTGAGGAGGAATGTTCTCAGGATCTCCCCGCAGATACCAAAATCCGTGGATGCTCAAATGGATAAGTCTCATATAAAATGATGTAGGCCAGGTGCAGTGACTTACGCCTGTAACTCCAGCATTTTGGGAGACTGAGGTGGGTGCATCACTTGACCTCAGGAGTTTGAGACCAGACTGGGCAACATGGTGAAACCCCATCTCTCCAAAAAAAATAAAATAAAATAAAAATTAGCCTGGCATGGTGGCTCACGCCTGTATTCCCAACTACTTGTGGGACTGAGGTGGGAAGATCACTTGAGCCCAGGAGGCAGAGGTTGCAGTGAGCCAAGATTATGCCACTGCACTCCAGCCTGGGTAACAGAGCAAGACCCTGTCTCAAAAATAAATAAAAATAAAATGGTGTAGTATTAGCATGTAAGCTATGCACATTTTCTTGTTTACTTTATCTGTAGATTACTTATAATACCTAGTACAATGTAAATGCTATGTAAACACTTGTTATACTGTATTGTTTAGGAAATAATGACAAGAAAAAGATCTGTATGTATTCAATGCAGGCACAACCATCCTTTTTTTTTTTTTCCACGTATTTTCAAACTAGGCTGGTTGAATCCACAGATGTGGAACCCAGGGATACAGAGAGTTGACTATGTACTCATTTGGGTTTATCTGCTTTCACTCAGCATGAGCTCTGTGAAATTCATCCATGCTGTTGTGTGTATCAGTGGTTCATTCCTTTTCATGGCTGAAGAGTAACCCACTGTAAGAATAACAGTTGTTACATTAGTCATTCACATGTTTAGCTTTATCATATATAAGACATTGGGAATCAAACATTGTTTAGACTAGACTCTATTACCTTTATACGAAGAGTCTTCATTTCTGTTCTAGCAGGCACTTAGCTTGTTTGGACCCCCATTTCTAACTCTGCCTCTTTTGCAGTGGGCAGCCCCTGGATTTCTCATCCTTTCAGCTGTTGTTTTCCATCACCACCACCTCTGGTAGTCTCCCTTGCCCATGCAAAGTCAAAGAGTCAGCCAAAGATTTTGAGTGAGGTTTACCATAGATTTTTGGGACTCCTTGTTTTTTGGCTCTATCCTTTTTGGGGGATGCTCCCTTGTTCTCAAATGGCTTAGGCATCCCCAAAGTCTGCCCATTGACTCAAGCCAGTAAGACTGCACTTTTCTGCTTGAGTTCTAGCATTGCTGTGCTGAGGTAAAATTTCATAAGCATGACTCTCACCCAGTGTGTTTCTCTTCTTTCAATATTTACTCCCCTTGGTTTCTGTCTGCTTTTGGTGATTCTCCAAGCACCTTCAATTAGGTCATATATATGTGAACTAATTGAATATATATATGTTGCCCAGAGCTTATAATGGTTAGAGGAGACATAGTCTGATAAAAGCTCCTCTATCATTTTCAGAATCAGAACCCTGTGTAGTGTATTTTTATTCCTTTATTTCAAAATTTCTGTGACATTTTACTTTGGATGTATCTCTTACAAGCAACATGTGGCTGTATTTTGTTCTTTGTGGAATCTGATAGTCTGCCTTTCAGTAGGTCAGTAACCCATTTACATTCATTGTGATTCACGACATTTAGATTTACTTATTTACTCATTCATTTAGAAGTGTGGTCTTACTGTGTTGCCCAGGCTGATCTTAGACTCCGGGGCTCTAGTGATCCTCCTGCTTCATCCTCCCGAATAGCTGGGACTTGTAGTGTGTGCCATCATGCCTAGCTCTTTTTTTTTTTTTTTTTTTTTGAGAGAGAGTTTTGCTCTTGTTGCCCAGGCTGGAGTTCAATGGTGTGATCTTGGTTCACTGTAACCTCTGCCTCCTGGGTTCAAGCGATTCTCCTGCCTCAGCCTCCCAAGTAGCTGTGATTACAGGTGTGCACCACCACACCTGGCTCATTTTGTATTTTTAGTAGACACGGAGTTTCACCATGTTGGTCAGGCTGGTCTTGAACTCCTGACCTCAAGTGATCCAACCACCTCAGCCTCCCAAAGTGTTGGGATTACAGGAGTGAGCCATCGTACCTGGCCCATCGTGCCTAGCTCTTGCATTTATTTTTTATCATTTTGTTTTATGTGTTTACTATTATTTACATTTGCTTCTTTAGTTCTGGTCATCTGCCAAATTGATAAGGTTTTCTACTATCCCCCCACTTTGATGTTCTCCTTACTTGGAAGTTATAGATTACATTTCTGTTCCTTAGGGGCCACCCTTAAACTTCCTACTAAAGTCTAAAGTTATTTGGTATTTGAATCTTTCTTCCAAACAGGAAAAGGACATTATTTTGTTTACTCATTAACAAATTCCTACCTTTTCTTTTATTGTTGTCTGGAAATTCAGTTTCAACATTTTTATCATAAAATACAAAAAAAAATTCAAACATGACAATTTTATGCTCATCGTTTCTTTTTAAACAAAATAATTTTATTGATATTCAGTTCGCATACCATAAAATCACCATTGTATTTTGCATCTAACTTCTTTCCCTTACATTCACTTTTCTTCTTGCAAGCTCTAATGGTTATTTCAGTGAGATGTATTTTGGGGTTTTGTTTCATTTTGTTTCCCTTTTGTCTGCAAATGCCTTTATTTTGCTTTCACTCTTAGATAGTAGCTTTTGGCTGAGTATAGAATTCTACATCCGGAGTAATTTTCCCTTAGCAATTTGAAACAATTATTCTATTGCATCCTGTCACTTATTTTTCTCAATTAGAAATCTGTTATTAGTCTAATTTTTATTCTTTTATGGTTAATTTTGTTCCCTCTTTGATAACTTTAAATTTTTTCTGTATCCTGCAGTTTTGCTTTTATGTGTCTACATAAGAGTTTATATTTTATCCTGCTTGGTACAGAATGTACTTTTACTCTAAGGGATTATTCTTCAATTTTGGAAAGTTCTCTGCCCCTATCTCTTCAAATATTGCTTGTTTGTAATTTTGTCTATTTTCATCTTTTGAAGTTTTATTAGACAGTTGCAGCCTCTCAGTCTGGTCTCTGTGTCACTTATTTTCTCACTCATCTTAAAAAACCTCTTTCTGTTGCATTTTACATTATTTCCTCAGTAACACCTTAAAATATAGTAATTCTTTCTTAGACTGTGTGCAGTCTAGAATGTCCATTGAGTCTTTAAATTGGTATGTTCTCCTAATTTTTTACTCTTTTATTTTATTTATTTTAAAAATGTTTACGTTTTTAGAGACAGGGTCTCACTATGTTGCCCAGGCTGGAGTGCAGTGGCTATTCACGGGAGCAATCATAGTGCACTGAATCCTTGAACTTCTGGCTTCAAGCCATCCTCCTGCCTCAGCCTCCCAAACAGCTGGGACTACAGGCATACACCACCATGTCCAGCAAATTTTTTAAAAACTCTTTCTACCTGTTCTTGGATCACTTAAAGCCTGATTTTGTTTCATAATTTATTCTTTTTTAAAATTTATGTGGCCAGACGCGGTGGCTCATACCTGTAATCTCAGCACTTTGGGAGGCCTGGGTGGGCAGATCACCTGAGGTCAGGAGTTCGAGACCAGCCTGGCTAACACGGTGAAATCTTCTCTACTAAAAATACAAAAATTAGCCAGGCATGGTGGCATGCACCTGTAATCCCAGATACTCGGGAAGCTGAGACAGGAGAATCACTTGAACCCAGGAGGCAGAGGTTGCAGTGAGCCGAGATTGCGCCACTGCACTCCAGCTAGGGTAACAAAGCAAGACTCTGTCTCAAAAAAAAAAAAAAAACCCACACCCACAATTCTTTCTGCTACATGCCTTTCTTTCTAGACTTTATTATGAGGAACTAATTCTCATTCGACTTCTGAGAGACCCTGCCCTTAAGCTTTCTAGAAACCCCTTTTTCCAGGTGAAAGGATCTACCAGGCACTACCTTAATTCTTTCAGATGTCTAAATGAAGAACGTTACAGCCTTGCCCTTAGTTTGATATTTTTCTCCCAGGCTGGATCTGAAACACTTTCACTAGCTGGAGATTAAGAATTTTATTCTTCAACTAAGCAGGTTCTGGGCTCTCTAAACACTTCTTGCAAGTCAGTGGGATTTTTTTTTATGAATTTCTCATTTTTCTTGTTATTTTAGCAAATAGGACTTAAAGCTGGGAGCGATGGCTCACGCCTGTAATCCCAGCACTTTGGGAGGCTGAGGCAGGTGGATCGCTTGAGGCCAGGAGTTCGAGACCAGCCTGGCCAGCATGGCAAAACCTGTCTCTACTAAAAATACAATAAAGCCGGGCGCAGTGGCTCATGCCTGTAATCCCAGCACTTTGGGAGGCCGAGGCGGGCGGATCACCTGAGGTTGGGAGTTCGAGACTCGCCTGACCAACATGGAGAAACCCCATTTCTACTAAAAATATAAAAAATTAGCCAGGCATGGTAGCACATGCCTGTAATCCCAGCTACTCAGGAGGCTGAGGCAGGAGAATGTCTTGAACCCAGGAGGTGGAGGTTGCAGTGAGCCGAGATCGCATCATTGCATTCCAGCCTGGGCAACAAGAGCAAAACTCTGTCTCAAAATAAATAAATAAATAAATAAATAAATACAAAAAAAAATTAACTGGATGTGGTGGCGCACACCTGTAATCCCAGCTACTCAGAAGGCTGAGGCAGGAGAATCTCTTGAACCTGGGAGACAGAGGTTGCAGTGAGCTGAGATTGCGCCACTGCACTCCAGCCTGGGCAACAGAGTGAGACTTGGTCTCAAAAAAAAAAAAAAAGAAAAGAAAAAGAATAGTACTTAAAGCACCTAGCCCCATACCTTTGACATATGCCTAGAAACTATCCTACTATCCTCCACATTACTATGGGCAACCATTGTACAAATACAGGTTGCCATTTTTCAGTTTCTCTAATAGTTGCCTCACCATATCCACCACCCTAAGCTAATAACATATATTTTAGGTTCTGATTACAGCAGCATCCCAGTATTAGGTGCTGACTTCTAGATTAGGTTACTATTGCTACATAAGAAACAATCACAAAATCTCAGTGACATATAAGCTTTTCATTTTGTTAATAAGCTTTTAATTTTCTCATGGGTCTGCAGGTCAGTTAGGGCAACTTCAGGCTGCAGTCGCTGAAGTAGCTTTACTTTATAAAGCAGGTCTCAGGCAGCCAGGACAGTTATGCTCCACATGCTCATTCTGAGGCGCAGCTGGAATCTGGGGCCCTGGGCAGCCTGGGCCTCTCTGAGGAGATGACAATTGTACTGACTTATGGGTGATGAGAAGGGCCCAGCTGGGCAAAATGGGGGAGGGTGTGCCAGTGCAAACACCCTGGGGCAGGTGTTCAAGGGAGAGGGAGGAAGCTATGGACCTGGAACAGTGAGAGAGGGAGAGTGGAGGGGACGAGGCCAGGAGGCTGCTGGATCATATCACCTGGGGCACTGTCAGCCACAGAGATGGTGTGAGGTGAGTGGAGTTGCCAGGTCTGCAAACCGGGAGGGCACTTCTGCTACGCATGCTTATTCTGGGGCCCAGGGCATCAGCTACCCTGGGGAAAACTCTCCTTATTGTGGTGACAAAAGTACAAGGGGGCAAGCCCCATTAGATAAGCACATTTCAAGCCCTTGCTTTCATCATACCTACTAATGCCCCATTGGCCAAAGCATATCCCATGGCTGAGCCCAGAAAAATATACTGCCTTTTTTATTTTTATTTTTATTTTTATTTTTTTGAGTCGGAGTCTCACTCTGTCACCCAGGCTGGAGCGCAGTGTCACAAGCTTGGCTCACCGCAGCCTCTGCCTCCTGGGTTCAAGCAATTCTCTGCCTCAGCCTCCCGAGTAGCTGGGATTACAGGCACCCACCACCACGCCTGGCTAATTTTTGTATTTTTAGTAGAGATGGGATTTCACCACCTTGGCCAGGCTGGTCTTGAACTCCTGACCTCGTGATCCACCCACCTCGGCCTCCCAAAGTGCTGGGATTACAGGCGTGAGTCATTGCACCCGGCCATACTGCCTTTTATGGGAAGAACTTCAACGTTACAATGGCAAGGGATATGGGCACAAAAAGGGGTAAATAAATTGGACCTATAAATCATTTTATTTTACAGATACATGCATGCATATATTTATTGCAGCACTATTCACAATAGCAAAGAAATGGAATCAACCAAAATGTCCATTAGTGATAGACTGGATAAAGAAAATGTGGTACATGTACACCATGGAATACTATGAAGCCATAAAAAGGAATGAGATCATGTCCTTTGCAGGGACATGGATGGAGCTGGAAGCCATCATCCTCAGCAAACTAACACAGGAACAGAAAACCAAACACCACATGTTCTCGCTCATAAGTGTGAGCTGAACAATGAGAATACATGGACGCAGGAAGGGGAACAACACATACGGGGTCTGTCCTTGCTGGTGAGGGCAGGTAGGGGGAAGGAGAGCATCAGGAAAGATAGCTAATGCATGTGGGGCTTCATACCTACGTGATGGGTTGATACGCGCAGCAGCACACGTTTACCTATGTAACAAACCTGAATGTCCTGCATATGTATCCAGGAACTTAAAATTTTTAAAAAATGATAATTTGGACCAGTCATTGATTACATCCTTCATGATAACATGTAGAATATTGGTTGCCAGCTTGTGTTTCTGTCCTGCCTCCTGAAGCTCACAGCTTCCCCTAAAGCTGTAGTCCCAGGCAGTAGTCAGCAGCAGCTTTTTAAGCTTCTTTGTGAAAGGGATGGGAGTAAGGATCACCAGCCCAGCTCCTGGTTTTAGGCAGTGAACCTGTCTCTGATCTCCCAAAAGGATATGAACTCACAATTGCCTCTATCTACTTAGTGACCCAGAGTTCAGCAGGCTCATGGCTCCCACCTACCTATTTTCTTTTTTCTTTACTTTTTTTTTTTTTTTTTTTTTTTGAGACGGAGTCTCACTCTATTCCCCGGGCTGGAGTACAGTGGCGTGATCTCAGCTCACTGCAAGCTCCACCTCCCGGGTTCAGGCCTTTCTCCTGCCTCAGCCTCCTGAGTAGCTGGGACTACAGGTGCCCGCCACCACACCCGGCTAATTTTTTGTATTTTTAGTAGAGACGGGTTTTCACCATGTTAGCCAGGATGGTCTCGATCTCCTGACCTCGTGATCCACCTGCCTTGGCCTCCCAAAGTGCTGGGATTACAGTTGTGAGCCACCGCGCCCGGCCTCCACCTACCAATTTTCTTCACTGTATTTTCTGTTCCTGGCTCACGGAGATTTATCTTACTGAACACAGCTAAGTCCTTTTTATAAAAAAAAAAAAAAAAAAAAAAAGCTGTGTATTTTTTTCCTTTAATGTATTATGTATCATGGCCATGAGTTTTGAGTAAAGGAATAATGCAAATCATGAACTATCAATAGCATCGTAATCCAAAGTCCTAGAATCCTATATGAAATATATCCTTTATTTCATGTGATGGTTTTTTAAAAATAAAAGGTTTTAAAATCTCTTGGCACTTAAGTATGCCAAATGTAGTATATTACCAAAAAATAGTTTCATAAATATTCCAATTCAGTACCTTTTTAAAAAAATGATCAGGCAGATTATATAAAAGGAAAATAGGCTGGGTGTGGTGCCTCATGCCTGTAATCCCAACACTTTCAGAGGCTGAAATGGGAGGATAGCTTGAGCCCAGCAGTTCAAGACAAGTCTGGGCAACAAAATGAGACCCTGTCTCTGCAAAAAATACAAAAAATTGGCCCGGTGTGGCGGCATGTACCTATGGTCCCAGCTACATGGGAGACTGAGACAGGAGGATCACTTCAGCCTAGGAAGTCAAAGCTGCAGTGAGCCATCATCAAGCCACTGCACTCCAGCCTGAGAGACAGTGCAAGACCCTGTCTCAAAATAAATAAATAAATAAATAAATGGAAAATAGCCAGCAAATCAGATCATTAAAATAAACTAGTAAAATGTGTGTGTATCAAATATGAAGGTATTTTATCACAGCCTGGTTATCTCATTCTCTTCTCTCTTATCAAAATTTTATCTCTTCTTTGTTTTTGACTTTTTATTATAGAAAATTTATTATCGAAAATTTTAAATATATAAACTGTACACAGAATAGTGTAACAACTTCTATGTACCCATCACGGAGCTTTCATAAACATTAATCTCAGCAAATTTAGTTTCATTTGTCCCCAGAGGTTGGAAACTATGACCCACAGACTAAATCCAGCCTGTCGCCTGCTTTTGTAAATAAAATTTTGTTGGAACACAGCCATACTCTTTTGTTTACATGCCTGTTTTTGTGCTGCAGTAGTGGAGTTGAGTAGTTGCAACAGAAGTTGTACGGCCTGCAAAGCCAAAAATAGTTACTGTTTAGCCCTTTACAGAAAAAGTTTGCTGACTCCTGAACTATAGACTTTCATCCACTCATCTCAGGAAAAATGTCTCTTTCATATTACATTTTTTCATGTTTTAGTATGTCTCTAGAAGCTAATCACTTTTTAAAAAGACAGTAACACTCTTACCTACAAAATTAACAGCAATTCACTAGTTTGCTCTTCTTTTCTATAAAACTCCAACTAAATAAGAACAAGTATGAATTCTTTAATAGTTCGTTTTTTTCCTAACTCATTATTCAGGTCCACCCATAGTTTATAAACCTTTGAAAGAGCTGCAGACTATTCTTTATTAGTGGTTTACTCTCAGTAATTTTAACAGTTTAACAAACAATTTATCTGTAGATGACCCCAAAGAATAGCGTATCCTGAATTTAACAAAGCATGTAAGAAAGTTAAGCAATAATGGTAATCATTAGAGAGATTTCAGCACAATGGCAATTTGAGTTGTATTAAGGTTCTGTGAAAAAAAATGCAGCCGGTAAATACAATCTCAGTTTTAAAAGGCTAATAGTGTTACCGGGTTTTTTTGTTTTTTTTTGTTGTTGTTGTTTGTTTGTTTGTTTGTTTTGCCACATTGGTTTTTCTTTCCTTGAGAAAACCAAGTTCACTTTTTGAGGTTTTAATAGTTATGTGACTGTAAGCATTTTTAAATAATATTTTATATAAAAATAGCCCTTTACAGTTTACATGGCAGCCTTATAAGAGCTATCTTATTTAATATTTACACAACCTAGTGAGGTAGAGATTATTTTCTTACTAAAGGGTTCTGCTGAGACACAAACCCAAGTTGTCTATTCTGTTCAAAGTCCATCACCCTTATGCTGCTGAACTGGCAATCACAAATCTTACCACAGAGCAGTTTTAAATGGATTTTATCACCTTTTATAGGCCTTGGCTATATAAATTGTACTATGTTATGCAAACGATTAAATTTACATTACTTCCTAGATATGCTAAAGATACACATCTACACAGTAAAGATATTGGAATAAACCTATGACATCTGTACCTTTGGAGCTTAGAATTCCAAGCACAGAGTGCTGTATCTTTCAAACTTAAAGAGCAAGAAACACTCCATTATATAGTTTTCATAAACTCTTCTTTAGCATACTTTTATATCCTTATGATGGGTGAAGTGCCCTAGTGGAGAGGTGACCTTAAATAGAGCTCAGAGACATAGGCCAGGTGTGGTGGCTCACCCATGTAATCCCAACACATTGGGAGGCCAAGCCAAGAGGATAGCTTGAGCCCAGGAGTTTAAAACCAGCCTGGACAACTGTATTAGTCCATTTACACACTGCTGATAAAGACATACCTGAGACTGGAAAGTAAAAGAGGTTTAATGGACTTACAGTTCCACGTGGCTTGGGAGGCATCACAATCATGGCAGAAAGCAAGGGGGGCAAGTTATAGCTTACATGGATGGTGGCAGGCAAAGAGAGCACTTGTGCAGAGAAACTCCTGTTTTTAAAACCACCAGATCTCATGAGACCCATTCACTATCATAAGAATAGCATGGGAAAGACCTGCCCCCTTGATTCAATCATCTCCTGCCGAGTCCTTCTGACAACATGTGGAAATTATGAGAGCTACAAGACAAGATTTGAGTGGGAACACAGAGCCAAACCATATCATTCTTCCCCTGGTCCCTCCCAAATCTCATATCTTCACATTTCAAAACCAATCATGCCTTCTGAACAGTCCCCCAAAGTCTCAATTCATTTCATCATTAACTCAAAAGTCCATAGTGCAAAGTCTCATCCAAGACAAGGCAAGTAAGTCCCTTCCACCTATGAGCCTGTAAAATCAAAAGCAAGTTAGTTAATTCCTAGATACAATAGGGGTACAGGCATTGGGTAAATACAGCCAATCTAAATGGGAGAAATTGGCCAAAACAAAGGGGCTACAGGCCCCATGCAAGTCTGAAACCCAGTGGGACAGTCAAATCTTAAAGCTCCAAAATGATCTCCTTTGACTCCATGTCTCACATCCAGGTCATGCTGATGCAAGAGGCAGGTTCCCATAGTCTTGGGCAGCCCCACCCCTGTGGCTTTGCAGGGTACAGCCTCCTTCCCAGCTACCTTCACTGGCGGTGTTGAGTGTCTGAGGCTTTTCCAGGCGCATGGTACAAGCTGTCAGTGGATCTACCATTCTGGAGTCTGGAGGATGATGGCCCTATTCTCACAGCTTTACTAGGTGGTGCCCCAGTAGGGACTCTGTGTGGGGGCTCCCACCCAACATTTCCCTTCTGCACTGCCCTAGCAGAGGTTCCACATGAGGACCCCACCCCTACAGCAAACTTCTGCCTGGGCATCCGGGCATTTCCATACGTCTTCTGAAATCTAGGTGGAGGTTCCCAAACCTCAATTCTTGAATTTTATGCACTCACAGGCCCAACACCACGTGGAAGCTGCCAAGTCTTGAGGCTTGCATCCTCTGAAGCCACAGTCTGAGCTCTACATTGGCCCCTTTCAGCCGTGGCTGGAGCAGCTGGGATGCAGGGCACAAAGTCCCTAGACTGTACACAGCATGGGGACCCTGGACCCAGCCCATGAAACCACTCTTTCCTCCTAGGCCTCCAGACCTGTGATGAGAGGGACTGCCATGAAGACCTCTCACGTGCCCTGGAGACATTTTCCCCATTGTCTTGGGGATTAACATTTGGCTCCAAATTACTTATGCAAATTTCTGAGGCTGGCTTGGATTTCTCCTCAGAAAATGGGATTTTTCTTTTCTATTGCCTTGTCAGGCTGCAAGTTTTCTGAACTTTTATGCTCTGCTTCCCTTATAAAACTGAATGCCCTCAACAGCATCCAAGTCACCTCTTGAATGCTTTGCTGTTTAGACATTTCTTCTGCCAGATACCCTAAATCATCTATTTCAAGTTCAAAGTTCCACAAATCTTTAGGGCAGGGGCAAAATGCTGCCAGTCTCTCTGCTAAAACATAACAAGAGTCACCTTTGCTCCGGTTCCCAACAAGTTCCTCATTTCCATCTGAGACCACCTCAGCCTGGACATTATGGTTCGTATCACTGTCAGCATTTTTGTCAAAGCCATTCAACAAATCTCCAGGAAGTTCCAAACTTTCCCACGTTTTCTTGTCTTCTTCTGAGCCCTCCAAACTGTTCCAACCTCTGCCTGTTACTCAGTTCCAAAGTCGCTTCCATAGTTTTGGGTATCTTTTCAGTAACGCCCCACTCTACTTGTACCAATTTACTTTATTAGTCTGTTTTCATACTGCTGATAAAGACATACCCAAGATTGGGAAGAAGTAGTTTAATGGACTTACAGTTCTACATGGCTGGGGAGGCCTCACAATCATGGAGGAAGGCAAGATGTAGCAAGTCATGTCTTACATGGATGGCAGCAGGCAAAGAGACAGCTTCTGCAGATAAACTCCTGTTTATAAAACCCTCAGGTCTCATGAGACCCATTCACTATCATAGAACAGCACAGGAAAGACCCAGCCCCATGATTCAATCATCTCCCACCAGGTCCCTCCCACAACACATGGGAATTATGGAACCTACAAGATGAGATTTGGGTGGGGACACAGAGCCAAACCATATCAACAACATAGCAAGAACCTGTCTCTACAAAAATAATTTTTTAGAAATTAGACAGGTGTGGTAGTGCATACCTGTAGTCCCTGCTACTCAGAAGGCTAAAGTGAGAGGATTGCTTGAACCCAGGAGGTTCAAGGCTGCAGTGAGCTATGCTGGAGCCACTGTACGCCAGCCTGGGTAACAAAGAGGGACTGTGTCTCCAAAAATAAAAAATAACAGAGCTCAGAGAAATGGCTGATTTCAGGATTAGGGCAGAGGAAATACAAGATTAACCTGGAACATCTTACTAGGCTAGAAAGTAAGAAGTGCCCCCCAAAATTGTGCAAGCATCAAGTCAAAATGACTCAGAAGTCAGCTTGAAGGGTACACCACTAGATAAATCTGGAACAATTTGAGCATCAAAGTAAATAATAGTAATAAATTGATTAAAGCATAAATCTATGAGTTCAGTCATATAAATAAATAAATAAATTGATACTTAGTGGAGAATGAGATATTTACATAGCCTCAAAGTATGTCCTGCAAAATATTTATGAATAAAAAAAGGGAAATGAGGTTAATTTATAATAGAGGAGCCTAGAAGATACCATTTTAATCAGATAATCAAAGTGAACATCTCAGTAATAAAACAAATTGAAAATGTAGACCCTCTGATAGAATGCAATGAGAACACAGCATTGCTTCGGTGAGATTCTTGCCAAAGAAGCATAACCTTATCATAAGATAATATCAGACAAAGCTAAACTGGGGAACATTATAAAAATTAATGACCTATAATCTTCTAAAGTGTCAGGGTCCTGAAAGTCAAGGAAAGACAGGAATGGTTCCAGATTGAAGACAACTAAAGAGATGAACTAAATGCAGTACTTGATTTTGGACTGGATTATTTTATTATAAATTACATTGGAACATTTGACAAAACTTGAACATGGTCTAAGGATTAGATCATAGCAATGTGCTGATGTTAACTCCCTGATCTTGAGTAACTGTGTTCTGGTTAAATAGGAGAATATCCTTGTCTATAGGAAAATATACACTAAAGTATAGGGGTAATACAGCATCAGGTCAGCAACTTACTCTCAAACTGTTCAAGTAACAAAAGTTCTTTGTCCTCTTTCTGTAAGTTTTCTGTATGTTTAACATGGCTTCAAAATGCAAATTGTTCTTCACAAAAATGCAAAACTAAACGTACATTAAGTTACAGCAGACTCTCACAGATATTTGTCACATAATGCCATTTTCCTTGGTCACAGGTTTAGCTACAGAACGATATCTTGCCAGTCTTTCACATGAGAAAAACTAGTTATCGAAGACAATTGTCTATAAAAACTTTAATAATACCATATTTATTTTTTTGTTGGGAAGGGGGACAATTTGCAAGACAGAACAAGGATATTCATTTATTAAACAAATTTTATTAAACATACATTAAGTTTTGTGGTAGGTACAAGTTTTCTTTCTGTGGTGGTCACTGTGATGCACTGCTCAGATTCCCCCTTCAGGACTCAAGGTTTTATTCCCCAAGCAGCAAGGAATGCTGTGGACAAGGCAGCCCTCAGCTGTCAGTTCCTTTCAGGAATTTCCTCAGTTGAAGAGAGATTCCTTGCCTAAGGTGACAGTCCCTTTCTGGGGTGGTCTACATCCAATCACTGGTCAATGCAGAGGTATAAAGGCCTAGCCCTGTTGCCCCAATTCAAGGCATCTTTGATAGGTCATCCCTGCTTCAGAACATCCCAGAGGGCTAAGGGTTTCATTGAGAATCCATCAATCCATCACGGCTCCACTTCTCCCTCTGCCAGTCCCTTCCGTTTCCTTGCCTTTCCTGTCCTAGGTGATGATCCTTGGAGCATGCCTAATGAACCTCCTGCCTGCTCATCTCTGACTCACAGTCT
Organism: Homo sapiens; assembly: GCF_000001405.40. NCBI lineage: Eukaryota > Metazoa > Chordata > Mammalia > Primates > Hominidae > Homo > Homo sapiens. The sequence continues at coordinate 178,157,804 of NC_000002.12, forward strand.
GCCTCTCCGAAAGCCTACCTGTGCCATCTCGGTAACTGGTTTCTCTCTGGAGTTACAAAGGACTATTATTTTTCAACTTTCTGACTATTAAATACGGCTATAATTTATAACATTAAAATTTTATGAGCTTCTCTTTGCCTGCTCCACTTTCCCTCTCTTGATCAAACAGCATGAAGTGGAAAGATATAGACGCTGAGAATGGGAACAGAAAAAGCCTAAGAGGAAGCCAGAGTCTGTCTTGGGAAGGCAAGTTAAGGTGTAGGACAAGTTTGTCTGGTCCACCACCCTTTTCTTTGCTATTTTCTCCCTCTTTCAACCCCTGCCTCCTAGTGATCCCTGTGTTCCATGCATTCATATTGCATGGCTCCTCCCTTCTCAGAAGAGTAACTCATCCCTACTGGAGCTGACTTGCCTTACTTAGTCAATTCCAGCTTCTATAACAGACTACAATAAACTGGGCAGCTTCAACAATAGATATTTATTTCTCACAGTTCTGGAGCCTGGGAAGTCCAAGATAAAAGTGCTGGCAGATCTAGTGTCTAGAGAGGACACACTTCCTGGTTTGCAGATGGCCATCTTCTCCACGTATCCTCCTATGGCAGGGAGCAGAGAAAGAAGAGGAAGGGGATGTGGGGAAACAGAAAAAGAGAGAACAAGCTCTTCTCCTTAAAAAGGCACTAATCCTGCTCCACCCTCAGGACCTAATTACTTCCCAAAGACCCCACCTCCAAATACTATCACTTTGGGGGTTAGGATTTCACCATATGAGTTTTTCAGGGGACATAAACATTTAGTTCATAACAGGATGTAATGTATCATTCTCCTTAAAGAGTTTGCAGTAGAAAGAAACTTTTTTTTTCTTTTTTTAAGGCTTATTCCATTCAAAACATACCCAGAGATTGGTGGAAGGAAGATAATGAATCTGTTGGCATTAGTAAGATAGATGGTTTTGGTACTCTCCTGAATCATCCATGTAGGCAGTTGTCTTCTTCATTTACACATCAATTGAAGTTCTCTTATAATAAGTCCTTGGGGGAAATATCTGGGAAAAGCTAGTATTTGGAACTATTCCTATTTGAAAAATTGCTATAAATCCTTTACCCCAGGCATTAGCAGATTAAATCATTTTTTGCAGAAACAGACTGAGATTTAATTCTTATGACACAAATTAGCTCTGTTTTGTTTGTTAACATCTATTTTTATCAGACCATAGGCAATAGAAATCAACGTTTAAGTTAAGAAAACTGTATCTGTAGGGATGTCAGATTTAAAATTCTGCCTAATTAGGTAGTCCTGGATATTACTAATTTTTTTTTGCTTTTTCAAGTAATATAAGTGTGATATGCTATCAGTATTATGAAACAAACACCCTTTTTCCATTTTTTCCTTCTACTGAGAAAAATATTTTTTAAATGTTACAGCTTAATGCTTCAGGATCTTGTCTAAACAGAAACATTAAGCATGTTGATTTGTGTTTTCCTAATTATCTCCTTTCTATTTTTAAAGTTGGCCCTTTATCAGGCATTTTTCAGTCTTTCCACACGTGCCCTTGTTTTTTGACAAGATGTCAAAGTGATAGCAAATGGTTCCACCATGGTAAGGAGCTTCCTGTGTGCTGTTGATGAGCTGAGATGGCGCACTGCACTGTACCCTGAATAACAGAGCAAGACTCCATCTCAAAACAACAAAAAACAAACAAACAAACAAACAGAATGCAATTCATTCAGATAAAGAGACTTAGAAACCACAGATCAATTTTGGCCTGTACAGGTGACTAAATTGCCTTTCAGAAAGGTTGTACCAGATGATATTCCCATAGCAGTGTATAAGAGTAGCTGTTTTCATGTCTTCGCTAACACTGAATTTTATAATTATTCACAATCTTTGGTGAATGACAAAAAAACCCACAATATTTCATTTGTCCCAATTAAAAATTATTTATTGCATTTCCTCATTATGTAACTCAGTAATGTTCATTACAGAAAAATAGCAAATCAAAGATTTTAAAAAGTAACCATAACACAAAGGCCAACAGATAATCAGCATTAACACATTCTTTGTATACATAGACATTCTCTGTTATGACTTTTACTTTTGATGTCATGCTTACATTTGATATATTTTTACCTAGATTTTCTTCTAATGATTATAAAAATGTATTTAATTTAATCTAAAAATTTTTAATTGAAAATCATACTAACATAAAATTCACCATCTTAACTATTTTTAAGTGTACAGTTCAGTAGTGTTAAGGATATTCACACGGTTGTGCAACCAATCTCCACAACCTCTGTCTTACAAAAATGAAACTCTATGTCCATTAAACAAAAATTCCCTATTTCCCTCTCACTCCAGCCCTCAACCACTACCCTTCTACTTTCTGTTTCTATGAACCTGACTACTCTATATATTTCATATGTAAGTGATATAAGTGGAATCATACAGTGTCTGTCTGTTTGTGATTGGCTTATTTCACATAGCATAATGTCCTCAAGGTTCATTCTTATTCTAGCATGTGTCATAATGTCCTCAAGGTTCATTCTTATTCTAGCATGTGTCACAATTCCTTTGTCTTTAATGCTGAATAATATTCCATTGCATGTATATACTACATTTTCTTTATCCATTCATTGATGGACATGGACACTTGGGTTGTTTCTCCACTTTGGCTATCATGAAATAATCCTGCTGATAACATGAGTGTACAACTATTTCTTCAAGACTTTGCTTGCAATTCTTTTGGATATATACCCAGAAGTAGAATTGGTGGATCATATGGTAGTTCTATTTTTAATTTTTTGAGGAATCACCATACTGGTTTCCGCAGTAGCTGCACCATTTTGCATTCCTACCAACAGGGTTTCAATTTCTCTACATCCTCATCAACACTGTTTTTAATATAGTAGCCATCCATCCTGATGGGTGTGAAGTGATAATTTAAATGTCTTCTCCCTCTCTTTCTCTCTCTATGCTTGAATCTGCTTCTCTCTGATTTTTAGCTTTATGATTTTGGGTCTGCCATCTGTGTAAGACTGGAAACATGGCCTGTGATGGATCCAAACTTAGCCTCATAGCTTAGCAACCAAACAGAAAGGAAGTGCTTCCTCCTGGCCCCAGTTTGGAAAATCTCTGGGAAGGAGACTGATTGGCATAGACTAACTCATACATGCATCCCTTGGACCAATCAACAATGGCCAAGTGATTAGCCCTTCTTGAGTCATATGCATATCTCTTCAGGGGCAGGGAGTTATATAACTAACAGGATAAAACCTCCAATTCAGAGCAAGGGGAGGATGAACATTTTCCCAAATGTGGGTGGGATAAGTAGGAAAAATATAGCCATTTGGAGAAGCATTGTGAACTGGGTAGTCAACGCAATGTATGTCTACTATACATTTGAAACCTTGACGGTTAGAGTTTGCTTTCTTCATTTTCTCATTGTCTGATTTTCCTCCTCTTTTCCCAAGAGATGTGAAAGAGAAGCAGAGTACTCCAATGAATGATTTCCTTTATCCCAAGCAAGGCCTGGTATTTGATGAGAGATGTATTCTAAGAGAGTTTTTAACTAGAAATTGTGTATTCACCTGCAGCATTTCAAAATTCAGATGTTTGTACTCTTGTTCAAGTATTTTTAAATTCTATTTTCTCTGAGAAGGTCAAATATTACATACTATCTGTTTCTGTGAACAGAAGAGTACATTTTCTGATTAACAGAGTTTTTTGCAACTAGGAAAATAAGACTGTTTTTAAGTATCATGATTTAAAGCCCTTGCAGTAGGAAACCAAATTATATAGTTTATAGTGAAATGAAATGGAGATTCATCCATTGTTATTGCCATATAAAAGTTATATTTAAATGTAATACCTTAATATATTTTACTTCCTTAAAAAAGAAACAAAATTTAATTTTATGACAAGGAAATTTCTATTATGTTTTTCACTATTAACATAATTTTAAAAATAATTTGATGTTAACACTTTTCTATGAATCAGAAATAATAAATTTTGGCCAGGCACGGTGGCTCATGCCTGTAATCCCAGCACTTTGGGAGGCCAAAGCTGGTGGATCACTTGAGGTCAGGAGTTCGAGACCAGCCTGGCCAACATGGCTAAACCCAGTCTCTACTAAAAATACAAAACTTAGCCAGTCATGGTGGCACATGCCTATAATCCTAGCTACTCAGGAGGCTGAGGCAGGAGAATCACTTGAACCCAGGAGGTGGAGGCTGCAGTGAGCTGAGATCGCGTCATTGCACTCTAGCCTGGGCAACAGAGCAATACTCCATCTTAAAAAAAAAAAAAAGAAAAAGAAAGAAAAGAAAAGAAATGAAGAATAAATTTCTTTAAATTTATTTCTTTTCAAATGTTTAAAGTTATTTAACCCTTTATTCTGAAACCCCAGATTTTCAAAGTCACAAAATGATGGTAATGATTCATCTAAATTGACTTGCAGAAAAAGAGGCATGGGAAAGAACCTCCTCAATGTCTTCCAGAGTGTCCATAATGGAATAGGAGAATAAGCTTAGACTTTCTGAATGTCCCCATTCTGTTCTGGATCATTTTGATTGCAGTTTTATTAAGACTTGTACCTCCTTGGCCAGATGCAGTGGCTCACACTTAAAAGCCCAGCACTTTGGGAGGCCAAGGCAGGAGGCAGGAGGACTGCCTGAGGCCAGGAGCTCAAGATCAGCCTGGGCAGCATAGCAAGGCCTTATCTGTATAAAATAATTTAAAAATTAACTGGGCATGATGGCAAGTGCCTGTAGCCACAGCTACCTGGGAGGCTGAGGCAGAAGAATCGCTTGAGCCCAGGGGTTTAAGGATGCAGTGAGCCATGATCGACTGCAACACTGCTCTCCAGGCTGTGTGACACAGTGACACCCTCTCTCAAAAAAAAAAATTGTGGGAGGGGGGAGGGATAGCATTGGGAGATATACCTAATGCTAGATGACGAGTTAGTGGGTGCAGTGCACCAGCATGGCACGTGTATACATATGTAACTAACCTGCACATTGTGCACATGTACCCTAAAACTTAGTATAATAATAATAAATAAATGAAAAAAAGGAAAAAAAAATTGTACCTCTTCTAAATATTAAGCAAAATTAGCATAATTAGTATGAGATTTTAGATGAACAATTTATTAAACTATAAGACAGCACAGTGATATAATAATGCCTTCCTAGATAAAGGAAAAGTAACTAATTAAATAAACAATCAGTATAGTAGTAGATATTTATTATTTAATTATAGATTCAATGTAATGGTGATTGAAATTATAAATTTCATAACTGTTATATAATTTACTTAAGATACTATGTTAATCACAGATCAAACCTCTGGTGAAACCTGATGGAAATGTCTGAAATATTATGTAACAAAAGAGCTATTCATAATAGGGTGAGCCGTGAGCATCTTTTGTTGTTGAAAATATGTTCCTTATGTTGCTTGTTTATACTTCTATATTTTAAAAACAAATTTTGGCTACTAGAATAAAATACTTCAACAGCTACCACAAAGCAAATAATACACAAATAAAGGATATTGAGAAATGACAGATTTGCATTTTTCTTTTTGAAGTTATCAATTCCTCAAGGAACTGTGACTTTTGCGTCTTATTCATCTCTGTATGATCAGGACCTAACACATTGCCCGGATTATGAAGGTCCTTGGTAAAGGTGTTGAATGAAAGGCAGAAAGAAAAGTACTAAAAAGAAAGGAAGGAAATGGGGAGGAAGGGAAGAAAGTGAAGTGGGGAAAGAGGGAAGGAGGGAGAGAAGGAAGAAGACTCTAAACTCCTTATGAGTTTCACTTTTGTTGTGAGTCATGTGTGACTGAATAGAGAAGCGCCTCAGAGTTCCCAAACCCCAGGGGCGAGGGGTGAGGGGAAAGGGGAATTCTAGAGGGCCAGGAGGCCAGAAGGCACCATAATTCTGCTTCTGGGAACTTCTATGTGCTGAGTCTCCACTGAAGACAACAGTGTAAGTAACTAGTGACAGAAAAATAGGAGGAATCTAAAATCTGTCCACAACTTGGTCTTTCTTCAAAATGATTCCTTCAGAAATGAATTCCCATCAATCTCCAAAGCCAGAATAGTAAGAGAATGGAGGTCATCATTCCCAACTCCTCCCCCTTCTTCACTTGTAAATCTAATTATTTTATGTTATGTTGTTTTATTTTACTTGTATTATGGTACGAACACTTCACACAAAATCTGTTCTCTTAACAAAATTTTAAGTGCATGATAATTCATCTTGCATAACTGAAATTTTGTACTCATTGAACAGACACTCCCTCCCTCCCTCAGCCACTGGCAACCACTATTCTCTTCTCTGCTTCTACAAGTCAACTATTTTAGGTGCCTCACATAAAAGAAATTATGCAGCATTTGCCTTTTTGTGACTTGCTTATTTCACTTAGTGTAATATCTTCCAGGCTATCTATGTTGTCATAAATGACAGGATTTCCTTCTTTTTTAAGGCTAGTCTTCCATTGTATGTTTTATACCACATTTTCTTTATCTACCTTTCTTTCTTGCTGTGTTCTCAAATGGTTGAAGGGGCAAGGAGTTTCTCTCAGGCTGCTTTTATAAGGGCACTGTATTAGTCCATTCCCCATTCTCACACTGCTATATAGAAATACTTGAAAATGGGTAATTTATAAAGAAAAGAGATTTAATTGTCTCACGGTTCTGCAGGCTGTACAGGAAGCACAGTGGCATCAGCTTCTGGGGAGGCCTCAGGGAACTTGCAGTCATGGTGAAGGCAAAGTGGGAGCCACAATTCACATGGCCAGTGCAAGAGGAAGAGAGAGAGAAGGGGGAGACGCTACACATTTTCAAACAACCAGATCTCACTATAACTCACCTACTCACTATCACAAGAACAGTACTGAGAAAATGGTGCGAAACCATTAATAAGAAACTACCCCCATGATCCGATGACCTCCCACAAGGCCCCACCTCCAACATTGGGGATTACAGTTAAACATGAGATTTGGTGGGGCCACAGATCCAAACCATACATATCAGGCACTTGTCCCATTCTTGAGCGCTCCACCTGCATGACCTAATAACCTCTCAAAGATCCCACCCCCCAATGCCATCAATCACCTGATGTTAGGATTTTAACATACAGTATGAATTTTGGGAGGACCCAAACATTCAGACCATAGCAAAGTATAACTGAAAATTTTAAATGTCTGTATCAGATTCTTAATGATAAATAAAGAATTTTGGTTCATTTATAACCTCTTAGCACTAATGTTAATACTAAAATACATTGAATTCTACATTCCATTACATCATTATTATGATAACACTACTATGCACATCCTGAATCTGTATACGTGATGGGAAATATCCTTGCTAAAATGCATACAATGCCTTCTTTTGTTTTGTTTTTGTTTTGATATGGAGTCTCGCTCTGTCGCCTAGGCTGGAGTGCAATGGCACGATCTCGGCTCGCTGCAACCTCCGCCTCCCAGGTTCAAGAGGTTCTTCTGCCTCTAATGCCCTGCTAGGATTACAGGTGCACACCACCACGCCTGGCTAATTTTTGTATTTTTAGTAGAGACCGGGTTTCACCATGTTTGTCAGGCTGGTCTCAAACTCCTGACCTCGTGATCCGCCTGCCTCAGCCTCTCAAAGTGCTGGGATTATAGGCGTGAGCCACCGCGCCCGGCTACGCCTTCTTATTAGTTACCTGACTCATATCATACCCATCCAAATAGCAGATTAAAAAATTTCATAGCACTGTGTTAGAAAGGACAGGAAAAACCGACACTCTCATCCTTCTAAATATAAACTGGTACAAGCACTTCAAAAGACAATTTAGCAATATTTATCAAAATGTTAAAAGCATACACCCATGGACTGTTAGCATTTCCACTTCTAGGAATTTAATCTGTAATATACTTGCATATCTATGAAATATGTATATGTTAGAATACACAATATATTAGCCAACAATTATAAACAAACTAGCCATTGATAGAGAACTGTGTTGATTAATTTTAAGTCACTGGGCCATGGTGCCCAGATATTTGGTTAAACATTATTCTGATGTTTTGGTGAGGGTGTTTTTGGATGAGATTTAATATTTAAATTAGTGAACTCTGAGTAAAGAAGACTGTGCTCCATATCATGGGTGGGCCTCATCTAATCAACTGAAGACCTGAATAGAACAAAGACTGACCTTCCCCAAGCAAGAAGGAATTCTGCCAGCAGTTGGCCTTCAGATTTGAACTGCAACATTGGCTCTTCCCTGGGTCTCCAACCTACTACCCCACCCTGCAGATGTGGGAATTGCCAGCATCTGTAATTCTCTTAAAAGAAAATTTTATATGTATACACATGTCCTCTTTGTTTTGTTTCTCTGGAGAACCCTGACTAATACAAGAAGTGATTAAATAAGTTACGGTGCATCGTTCAATGGAATACTATGCAAACGTTAAAAAGTAACGTGGTATTTCTACGGGCATTAATATGGAATATTTTCCCAGAAGTGTTCTTCAATTAAGAAAACCTAGTATAGAACATGTGTACAGTGATACTGTTTGTATAATTTCTACCCATTCATTAGCTTCTTCGCATTGAACAGCTCTGGAAAGGAAACAAAAAAAAACTGGTAATAGTGTATCCTCCAGGGAGAAGAGCTGGACACCTGGCAGCAGCAAAGAAAAAGAGCTATCTTTTTTACTTTATCCTTTTTTATCTACCATAAAGTGCTTGCATCAACTATTCAAAAAAACCTGATTGTTTAAAAATACTGTATTCTGGCCGGGCACGGTGACTCACGCCTGTAATCCCAGAACTTTGGGAGGCCGAGGCAGGTGGATTACGAGGTCAGGAGATTGAGACCATCCTGGCTAACACGGTGAAACCCCGTCTCTACTAAAAATACAAAAAATGAGCCAGGCGTGCTGGCAGGCACCTGTAGTCCCAGCTGCTCGGGAGGCTGAGGCAGGAGAATGGCGTGAACCCGGGAGGCAGAGCTTGCAGTGAGCTGAGATCGCGCCACTGCACTCCAGCCTGGGCGACAGAGGGAGACTGTCTCAAAAAAAAAAAATACTGTATTCTTATTTTAGTTTCAACCAAATGTGTTTTTCATTGTCTGTTCCTTATTTTGTGCCTTTTAAAAGGGATGAGTGAGAAAAAAATAGTATTTTAGATCATGTTAAAAATAAAATTTTTGAGTGTGAATTATATTAGTATGTTATAGCGTGCAATAATTTTTACATTCTGCATTTGAAACAGTATTATAATCATTTTAATGTATCAAACTAGTATGTGTATTAACTACAATATAAATGTATATTACAAATGCATGTTTTCTATGAAATTACATATTTGTAATTTAAAGGTTGAGGCATTAAAATACAAACAACAGTTACATTATCTACTTTTACAAGCTCCATGTTTATTTCATCTTCCTGAATTATTACCATAAATTTATTTTAGCTGTTTTATCTTTAAAAATGTTTAATAGAACTTTAAAAAATTATCATCCTAAACCCAGTAATACCTGTTGGAGAAAAGTATCAGGATGAAATTCATCAAAACATGTTGCCAAATGCTTCCCACACACAAATGATACCTGTCATCTCTCCACTGCCATATTACTATAATTCAGTCAAGTTGGTGGTGGATCATAAAAATTCCATTTTCTATCTAACGTAAACAGATATTGAATTTTAATCCAGTGAAGAACAATTCATTCTGAAGAAGAAATTCTCAATTATCTTTCTGACACCCAAAGTAACTTGTTTTTAAAAATGCGTAGCCAAAGTACACTTCTAAAGGCAATTGTGAAACTTCTGTATTTGTAAGTCATGAAAATATTGTCAATGCTATATAATTATTGCTATTATTAAAGTCATCTTGGCTAAAATGTCAGAAGACCACTTAATTAGACTTTTTAAAAAAGTATTGTTTTAAACCAACCAAGGAGAATAAGAGTAATTGAAATATATGAGCACCTGTTAATGAGCAAGGTATTTGGGATCCAATAATCTGCAATTACCAAATGATGTGTCTATTAAAAAGTTATTGGCCTCACACATTCATTACAGTATACAAGCATTCAGCATTCTTTATGTAACAATGTGTGTCACAAGCCTTTAATGCTCACGTATGCCCAGTTAAATTAATGTACCCTTCCTAGATGGCTCATCTGGACAATTTTATGTGCCAAAAGAGAAAGTAAACAACAGGGGAGGAATGGCAGGAAGATGGAACGGGTAACGCAGCCTGTTACGATTTATCAGGATTTGAGACACAATTACTTCATTTTAAATATTGCTGGAGGAAATAAAAATCCTAGCACTTTTACTATTCTTGCTAGCTTCTCTTTAAATATCTTTGTTTAGTAATCACTATACTATTTCTTTTGCCCCATTTTATGAGAGATTAGCAGTAGCTCCTAATCTTAACCAAAATGCCTAATCCTTCTTTGGTTGAGTGGACATGTGTTATTTCCCATCCAGTATCCATTTCTCCTTTTCCCTGTAAACAGCCCTTAAATTTAGGGGGGTCAGGGGAGTGGGGGACAGTCCATTCCAAGCTGTTTAAATGTGATTTGCCTTAATGCTAACTGCGGTGTGAGCCCAACTGGCCCACACTAATCAGTTTGACCCCATCCCATTGAAACACTCTGATTGGTTTAGGGAGGACAATGTATATGTTCACTTGTTATATAATCATTTTGCAGGTAACAACTTTATCGTATTATCTTATTGTTTGTAATAGTCAATTTTCTTGGATTTTCCAAATATATAATCATATAATCTTCAAATTATGATAATTATACCCCATCTTACTTTTTTTGTCTCTAATTGAATTTAGCTAGTACCTCTAGGATAGTCTTAAATTATCATGTGTTAAACTTCTAGAATATCCTTGACTTGTCCTGACTTTGATGAGGATGCTTCTAGTATTTACCCATTCAGCATAACACTAGCTTTCGGGTTTAGGTAGCTATGTCTTACCATGTCAAGGACGTTTCCTTTTATTCCTATTATTTTGTTGGGAGGTTAATTTTCTTAAACCAATAGTAACTGTTGAAAGTTATCAAATACCTTTTTGATAGAAATAGAATATAGAATATATTCTATTAGAATATATTCTAATATAGATATAGAATATAGATAGAATATAGAAACTATATTATGATTTTTTCTCCTTATATCCATTATAACAATGAATCACTCTATTTTAAATTATCCTTGCATTTTAAAAATAAACCTTACTTACTTGGACTTATAATTTTCCTATGCTACTAAATACTACTGCAATTTTTTGTTTGTTTGTTTGTTTTGTTTTGTTTGTTTGCTTTTTTAGAAACGTTGCATCCATAGTCATAAATGAGATTGCTTTGTGTGGCTTTTTAAAAGCAAATATTGGGTTATTAAAATAATTTAGGCCAGGCGTGGTGGCTCATACCTGTACTCTCAGCACTTTGAGAGGCCAAGGCAAGAGGACCTCTTGAGGCCAGAGCTTGAGACCAGCCTGGCCAATACAGTGAGGACCCTGTCACTACAAAAAATTTTAAGAAGTTAGCCACACACAGTGGCACCCACCTGATATGCCAGCTACTCCGGAGGAGAGGCTGAGGTGGGAGGATTTCTTGAGCCCGGGAGTTCAATGTTACAGCGAGCTATGATCACCCCACTCCACTCCAACCTATATGACAGATTAGCACCAGTCTCAGGAAGAAAGAGAGAGAGACAGAGAATAATTTAGAATGTTTCTTTCTTTTAATATACTTCGAAACAGTTTTAAAAGTTTTGGAATTGGGCCAGGCGCGGTGGGCTCACGCCTGTAATCCCAGCACTTTGGGAGGCCGAGGCGGGCGGATCACGAGAGGTCAGGAGATCGAGACCATCCTGGCTAACACGGTGAAACCCTGTTTCTACTAAAAATACAAAAAATTAGCCAGTTGCGGTGGTGGGTGCCTGTAGTCCCAGCTACTTGGGAGGCTGAGGCAGGAGAATGGCGTGAACCCGGGAGGCGGAGCTTGCAGTGAGCCGAGATAGCGCCACTGCACTCCAGCCTGGGCAACAGAGCGAGACTCTGTCTCAAAAAAAATAATAATAATAAATAAAAATAAAAGCTTTGGAATTTTCTGTTCCTTTATGAATTTTCTGCGAAACTACTTTATTTCTATTGTGGTAACTGGTCCATTTGGATTTTCTGTCTCTTCTGGAGTCACTTTTGGCAAATTATATGTATCTAACTATCATACACCTAAATAATGTATTGAATAAGGTAATCCTTATTGTTGAAACAAAGACTATAACGTCTCTTCAAAGTCCATTCATCTGTTCATTCCTGTTTTCCGTTTTATTTTCATAGATAATAGCAGCTCTCTATAACAGGGGTGAGCAGAGTCACTGGATTCTTTGTCTACTTCTACATAAGCAACTATTTCTCCCTTTTCGTTTATCATTCTGTGTATTTGTACTTTCTCTATTTTTTTGTTGTTGTTGTTAAGGTCACTTTACAGTTTATATTATATTGTTACTGTGTTCCTAAGATATTTGACAAGGATGCCAAAAATACACAGTGAATTTTTGTATTTTTAGTAGAGACGGGGTTTCACCATGTTGGCAAGGATGATCTCGATCTCTTGACCTCGTGATCCTCCTGCCTCGGCCTCTCAAAGTTCTGGGATTACAGGCGCGAGCCACTGTGCCCGGTCATTTAATAGTATTTTCTTGAGGATTTTAGCATCTATGTTAATCAGGGATATTGGCCTGTATCTTGCTTTCCTTGTAGTGTTTGTGTCTGGTTTTGGCATCAGGGTGATGCTAGCCTCATAAAATGAGTTTCAAAGTGTTATCTCTGCTCTTTTTTGGAAGAGTTTTACAAAAATTGATATTAATTATTTTTGAATGTTTGGTAAAACTCACCAACAATGCTATCTGGTCCTGTGCTTTTCTTTGTTGGGAGGTTTTTGATTGTGAGTCAATCTCCTTATTTGTTTTTGGTCTATTCAGGCTTTCCACTTCTTCTTGATTCAGTTTTGGTAGGTTATATGTCTACAGATTTTTTTGTTTCTTCTAGGTTATCCAGTTTGTTGGCATATGATTGTTCATAATAGTCCCTTATGGTGTTTTTTATTTCTGAGGCATCTATTCTAATGTTTCTTCTTTCATTTCTGGTTTTATCTATTTGAGTGTTTTTTTTTCTTAGTATAAGTAGAGGTTTGTCAGTTTTGTTTTATCTTTTCAAAAACCAAATTTTAGTTTGCTTTTTCCTGTTTTTTTTTTCATTTCCTATTTGATTTATTTCTGCCCTAATTTTTATTATTTCCTTCCTTCTCCTGACTTTGGACTTAGTTAATTTTTCTTGTTTTTTGATGTAGGCCTTTATCATTATAAACTTCCATCTTAGTACTGCTTTTGCTGCATCACATAAGATGTTTTATATTGTGTTTTATTTTCATTTGTCTTGAGATACCTTTTAAATTCCCTTTCAATTTCCTCTTTGACTTAAAGTTCTTCAAGACCATGTTGTTAGTTTCCATATATCTGTGAATTGTCTTGTTTTCCTGCTGTTATTCACTTCTAGTTTTATCCCATGTGGTTGGAAAAAATACTTGGAATGATTTAGATTTTCTTAAATGTATTAAGACTTGTTTTGAATCCTAAGATGTGATATATCTTATAGAATGTTCTATGCACGCTTGAGAAGAATGTGTATTCATCTGCTTTTGGATGGAAAGTTCTGTCTGTTAAGAGCATTTGGTCTAGAACGTTCTTTAAGTCAACAGTTTATTGATTTTCCATCATACATGTAAAAGTATAATACATATAAATTATACATGTAAATGTATAATTTAACATTATAAAATGACCTTCTTTGTCTCTAGAGACAGTTTTAGACTTAAGGTCTATTTTATTTGATATATGAATAGCTACCCCTTTTCTCTTTTGGTTACCATTTGCGTAACATGTCTTTTTTCATCCCATCACTTTCAGACTATGTGTGCCTTCAAATCTAAAATGAGTCTTTTGTAGACAAGGTAGCACTGAATCCTGTTGTTTTATCCATTCAGCGACTCTATGCCTTTTGATTGGTGATTTTAATCCATTTACATTTAAAGTGATTATTGGCCAGGCGCGGTGGCTCATGCTTGTCATCCCAGAACTTTAGGATGCTGAGGCAGGTGGATCACCTGAAGTGAGGAGTTCGAGACCAGCCTGGCCAACGTGGTGAAACCTGTTGCTACTAAAAACAAAAAAAATTAGCCAGGCGTGGTGGTGCACACCTGTAATCCCAGGTACTTGGGAGGGTGAGGCAGGAGAATAGCTTGAACCCGGCAGGTGGAGGTTGCAGTGAGCTGAGATTGTGCCATTGCACTCCAGCCTGGGCGACAAGGGCAAATCTCCATCTCAAAAAGTGATTATTGATAGGTAGGGACTTAATATTGCCATTTTATTAAGTGTTTTCTGTCTGTTTTAAAGTCTTTTTTTCCCTCTCTCTTTTTCTCTTGCTTTTTTTTGTTATTTATTTTTTTTGCAGTGATTTGCTTTGATTCATTTCTCTTTTATATTTCAGGTACCAATTGTAGGTTTTTCTCTTTGCAATTAGTTCAAGGCTTGCATAAAATATCTTGTAGTTGTAACCACCTACTTTAAGTTGATAACTATTTCAAATGCATACAAAAACTAAACTTTTACTTCCCGTACAACACTTTATGTTCTTGTAGTCAGAATTTGCTTTCTTATAAATTTATAAATTTATTTATTTTTATTGTTTCAGAGATGGGGGCTTGCTGTTACCTAGGCTGGAGTGCAGTGGCACAGTCATAGCTCACTACAGCCTCAAACTCCTGGGCTCAAGCAATCTTCCTATCTCAGTCTCCCAAGTAGCTGGGACTGTGGGCACAACTCTCCATCCAGTTAATTTTTTTCTTTTTTTAGAGATGGTGGCTTGCTATGTTACCCAGGCTGGTCTCAAATTCCTAGCCTCAAGGGACCCTCCTGTCTCAGCCTCCTGAGTCACTGGGATTATAAGTGTGAGCCGCCACACCCAGCTTGCTTCTTTTTATATTGTATACCGTTGACAATTTTTATCTTTTAACTTTTATTAGGGTTAAAAGTAACTTAAACACCACCATTACAGTGCTACATTCTGTATTTGTCTATATATTTACCTTTACTTGTGCGACTTATGCTTTCATGTTTTCACTTTGCTGTGTAGCATGTTTTTGTGTCAATTTTAAGAACTCTCTTAAACATTTCTTGTAAGGTCTAGTGGTGACGAACTACCTTCATTTTTGTTTGTCTGAGAAAGGCTTTACCTCTTTATTTTTAAAAGATAATTTATCCTTGATTGGCAGTTTTTTTCTTTCAGTACTTCGAATACATCATCTCCCTCTCTCCTGGCTTTCAAAGTTTCTGCTGAGAAATCAGCCGATATTCTTTTGTTTTTTTGTTTTGTTTCATTTTGTTTTGTTTTGAGATGGAATCTCGCTCTGTCACCGAGGCTGGAGTGCAGCGGCGCAATCTCAGCTCACTGCAACCTCTGCCTTCCAGGTTCAATCGATTCTCCTGCCTCAGCCTCCCGAGTAGCTGAGACTACAGGTGAATGCCACCACGCCTGGCTAATTTTTGTATTTTTTAGTAGAGACAGGCTTTCACCATGTTGGGCAGGCTGGTCTCGAACTCTTGACCTTAGGTGATTCACCCTCTTTGGCTTCCAAAGTGCTGGGATTACAGGCATGAGCCACCACACCCGGCCTAAATGATCTACAGGTTCTTTTTTCTGCTTGATTGAGTCTACCGTTTAATTTCTGTATTGCATTTTTCATGCCATTTATTGTATTGATCTGCTCCAGGATTTCTGTTTGGTTCTTCTTTATTATTTCTATCTCTTTGCTGAACTCATTTTGTTCTTGTGTTATTTTTTGCATTTCATTGAATTGTCTATCCGTACTCTCTTATAGCTCACTGAGCTTCTTTAAAACAATTATTTTGAATTTTTTGTCAGGAAATTCATAGATCTCCTTCATTTTAGGTTAGTTACTAGAAAATTATTGTGTTCCTTTGATGATGTCATGTTTTCTTGAATTTTTGTGTTCCTTATAGCCTTGCAGGGATGTCTGAATATTTGAGGGAGCAGTCACCTCTTCTAGACTTTGTGGACTGGCTTCAATGGGAAAAGACATTAATCTACAGATAGGTATGAGAATGCCAGCTCCAGCTACAAGGGGGCTGCAGTGGTAGCTGCTCCTCTTGGAGAGCATAGTGGCATGGACTCAGATCAGCTCCATCAGCTGATACCAGTGTTGGCGATAACTGGGGAGAAGGGTGGTCCTTGGTGGCAAAAGCTGCAGGTGTTTGCAGCGGTGGTAAGGACTGCTGAAGTCTTTGGTGGCAAAGGTTGCCAGAATCCCTCTAGTCTGTTTTTTCCCACTGGGAGGAGGTCACAGCCAAGGGGGTCCATCTTGGTGCTGAGCTGTGATGAACTGGGGGACAAGATAATGTGAGTAAAATGTTTGCTATGCTTTTTATATGGGCATCCTTGGTTTTGTGCTCCACTGGTTTGCTGCAGCTTCTTCTTTGTAATCTGGAGCAATCCCAGAGCTATTTTTGTCAGTAGGTGATTGTTTAATTGTTGTTTTTATGGAGGGACAAGCATTAAGACCTCCTAGTCTGCTTTCTTGTTGATGTCACCTTGATTAAAGTTCCACAATTTTAATAGGGTATGGCTCAGTCATTGTTCCAACAGAGTTTCTCCTGGAATAAATTGGGTCCCTTCAAGATACGATTTTGGCTGGGCATGGTGGCTCACGCCTGTAATCCCAGCACTTTGGGAGGCCCAGGTGGACAGTTCGCTTGAGTCCAGGAGTTTGATACCAGCCTGGGCAACATGGCAAAACCCCATCTCTATTAAAAATACAAAAATTAGCTGGGTGTGGTGGCACATGCCTGTAGTTCCAGTTACTTGTGAGAAGGAGGTGGGAGGATCACCTGAGCCGAGGAAAGTCAAGGCTGTGATGAGCTGTGATTGTACCACTGCACTTCAGCCTGGATGACAGAGTGAAACCCTGACTCAAAAAAAAAAAAAGAAAAGAAAAGAAAAGAAAAGATACAATTTTAGGATTTTAAGTATTCTTTTATCTTAGGAAACTTTTCTACAACTATATCTTTAAGTATTATTTCCTTACTTTTGTTTAATTGTTTTCCCCACCCTTCAATTAGGCAATTGATTCTCCTTTGCTTGCCTTTTATATCAATTATTGCTATCTAATCCTTTTAAAAATCTCTTCATTTCCATTTCATTTTGCTCACTTCCTCATTTCTACTTAATATATCCCTTTTTGTGATTTCAACGGGGCATATTTACCTACATATTCCTTCCCATTTGGCTTTTATTTCTGCAATGGTTACATTTTTTTTCTCTTCCCTTCCATATGCTCTATCAGCTTACATTTCATTTCTTCCTGTTGTGTTAACATCTGTTCCATAAGCTCTTATATTTTTGCTTTGTGGTTCTTCCTCAATGAGGAGATTCATTCATTCTATGTTTAAGGTCAGTGGTAAAATGTTTGATCATAATTGTAAGCTGCTTTATGAAAACATTTTTTCTGTAAGTGTGTTTTATCAACCCTTTGTTTCTTCCTGTTCTTCTTTTTTTTTTGTGTAGCATCTTTGTGTGAATACTGTGCATATTCCTTTTTGATTACTCATCACTGAAACAGCTGAGTTTCTCCTGTGCCACTACATGCGAGAGGTTCATGTAGGCCGGGCACAGTGGCTCACGCCTGTAATCCCAGCACTTTGGGAGGTCGAGGCGGGCAGATCACGAGCTCAAGAGATCGAGACCATCCTGGCTAATACGGTGAAACCCAGTCTCTACTAAAAATACAAAAAAACAATTAGCCGGGCGTGGTGGCAGGTGCCTGTAGTCCCAGCTACTTTGGAGGCTGAGGCAGGAGAATGGCGTGAACCTGGGAGGCAGAGCTTGCAGTGAGCCGAGATTGCACCACTGGACTCCAGCCAGGGCGACAGAGCGAGACTCCGTCTAAAAAAAAAAAAAAGGTTCATGTAATAGAAGGACCAGGGTTACTTACTGATTAGTGGAACATTTTTTATAGTCTTGATTTTATGTAATTTTGTTTAGCCTTCAGTTCTCCTCAGCCAAAGTAAACAGGCAGAAAATTTTCACAATGCGTTTTTCCCCTGGTTCTGCCATAGAGACAGACTGCTTCCTATAGTATGGCTTGTCTATATGTTTTCTCACTTAAGTTTTCCTCTGCCACTTCTCAGAACCAAACCAGGTCCAGGCGTGCTTTCGTGGCCAGCATGTATGCCTTGTCCCTACTGTTAGAAACAAGGTATTGAGATTTTGGAAATAAAAACATACTTTTTACCTTGAAGAAATGTTCTTTGCTATCTTTTTATGAAATTTACATCTGCAAACACTCTTTCTGCTTTTGTTAATGTGAATTCCTGCATGATCTTCCCTGCTTTGGGGGAACCACATAATTTGTTTTCTGGTTTAAGATTTTAGCTGTTTCCTTAGTTTAACGGGAAACATTTCTTGTGCGTTTCCTTCTTTTCTTCTTTCTCTCCTTCTTTTGTTTTTATAAGATTTCCAGTGAGAGAAAAGAGAAATGGAAAGTCCGCATTACTATACTGGATATATTTGGAAGGTAAAAACAGCAGGACTTAATGATTGATTAGATATGAGAAGTGAAATTTTAGACTTGAGCAATTAAGTGGAATGTGGTATCATTTATTGAAATTAGAAACTCTAGAGGTTTGGTAAGAATAAAATGAGTTTAGTCTTGAACATGTAAAGTTTGAAATGCTGTGAAACATTTAAGTGGAGATGTTAGGTAGGAAGTTGGAAAACAGTGTCTGTAGATCAGAAAAGAGATTTGCAAGGAGGGATTACATAGAGAAGAGAACCATCTGTGACCCTGGATGAAAGCTCAGAAATACCAACATTTAGAAGTTAATAGACAAAAAAATAACAAACAAGCAAAAAAGAAGTTAATAGAATGAGCACCATGAAGAAATTGAAAGAGATATGTCAGAGTTAGGAAGAAAAATCATGACAATGTGTCTCCCAGAAATCAAGAAAGAAGAATGAGTGTTTCAAGGAAGAAGTAGTAAACTTGTCAAATGCAGGTAAAAGATCAAGTAAGATGTAGATAGAAAGTCGTACATTGGATTTAGCCACATGGAAGTCACTAAGACCAACCTGTGGTGTTTAATGAGAGCAGTCTGGCAGATAGTAGGGCAGAAGCTATTAAATAGATAGAAATGGCCTGTGGAGGGAATAGGAAGGAGAAGGTAGAGAAAATTAGCTATGAAATGGAACAGAGGAGCATGCAGCAGCTGGAGAGATGAGAAAAGGATCAGGGAGGCTTTTTAGAATGGTTAGCCCTAGAGCATGCTTGTATACTCTTGGAAAGATCCCAGAAAGAGGAAGTGGCTAATCCTACAGTAGAGGGAAGGGATGACTCAAGAAGCAAAGTCCTTGAGGTAGCCAGAATACTGGTATCCAGGACACATGTTTTCTATGCCATTGGCCTCTGAGAAGAGGGGGAATCCATCAGTGGTAATTGGAGGGAAGAAAGAGAAGATAGAATTAGATGCAGGTAGGTTTGTAAATGGGTGAAATGGAAAGCAATAACTTCCTGTTTGAACTTCTAACTTCCCAACAAGAATGATGCAAGATTGTCAGATAGAGGTTTGAAGTGGTATGGAGTAGCAGATTTGAGGATGGAGAAGAATATATGAGATGGTATTTTTGGGAGCAAAAAAGAAAGCTACAGGAAAAGTCGTATGATTGCTGTGTTGTATAATGAGTACTTTTGAGAACTAAGATTCTAAAGGTAGAGTGAAGTCAATGTGTAATTTTCTCCACCAATGTTCAGCTGGTCACATGCAGAGCAAGAGTAGCTAGGGTACTTGAGTTCTTACAGGGTTCAAATATAGCCAATCAGAAAGAGCAGTTCAGGAATTGAGGAAATTTTATGGGAGAAATTATTATAACAGTGGACCCTGGAATATAAGATGGACAAAAAGGGACATGGAAAGCAAGAAAGCACTAATGTGTAGTGAGAAACTGGTGGGATGAATGAGATTAGTAGTTTTTTACCACGTCGGCCTTGTTGGTGAGACATCCTTCTGGCAGTTAGGGGCACATTTATTCTGTTCTTGTCTTAATCAAATTCTGATTATCTCCCTAGACTTAGACTGGTGTAAACTGAGCTTTGTATTTTCACTTCACTGTAGGCCTAAAATAGTTTTGCTGAAATCTACCTAGAATCCTTTAATTGAGGCTAGAGAACTGGAAGATAGGCTGGGCACGGTGGCTCAAACCTGTCATTCCAGCACTTCGGGAGGCCGAGGCGGCCGGATTGCTTGAGTCCAAAAGTTTGAGACCAGCCTGGGCAATGTGGCAAAGCTCCATCTCTACCAAAAATACAAAAAAAATTAGCCGGGTGTAGTGACACACACCTGTAGTCCCAGCTACTTAAGAGGCTGAGGCAGGAGGATCCCTTGAGCCCAGGAGGCCAAGGTTGCAGTGAACTGAGATTGTGCCACTGCACTGCAGCCTGGGTGACAGAGCAAGACTGTGAAAAAAAAAAAACCTTAAAAAACTGGAAGATATACAAACCTATAAACCTTCAATATATATTATGAAACATGCTATGTCACAGGGGCAGGGGCAGGGAAGAAATCAAAATTGTAGGTGTGTTTAAGAAAAGAAACATTATTACCCTGCTTCTTACATTGAATCAAGTTCTAAATGCTTGATCAACCTGCTTCTTGAACGGATTTGTACCTGACTAAGATCCTGTGGCTTACCAAATAAACAGGAGATCAAATGGTTAATAGCAACAAAAATATAACTCGTGATCACCTTTCCAAAAAAAAATTGATTTTCTAGACAGAAACATTTGGAAAAAAGAATGAATTAACCAAATCTTACATATCTCTGAACCATATGACTTAGGGGATATAAATTTAAAGTTAACATAAACCAAAATAAATAGAATAATTAGAACCAGGTAGCATAAAACATAGGTCTATTTGCTTTCTAAGATTTCTTTATATTTTCTATCTGCTTTACTGATAGCTTTAATTTTTATAAATACTTTTTATTTGATTTTTGTTTACCATGCTAGAACACTGTCTAATAGCATATGCCATTTTCACTATGTATAATTTTATTATGTCATTAAGCAAAATCATATGTAACCAACTATAAACGACATGGAACTGGGCACATTGGCTTACATCTATAATCCCAGCAGTTTGGGAGGCCAAGGCAGGAGGATCACTTGAGACCTGGACTTTGAGATCAGCCTGGGCAACATAGCATGACCCCATCTCTACAAAAAATTAAAATACATAATCTATTTTAAAAAATAAAAACAAAGGCCAGGCACGGTGGCTCAAGCCTGTAATCCCAGCACTTTGGGAGGCTGAGGTGGGTGGATCACCTGAGGTCAAGGGTTCAAGACCAGCCTAGCCAACATGGTGAAACCCCGTCTCTACTAAAAATACAAAAAATTAGCTGGGCGTGATGGCGGGTGCCTGTAATCCCACCTACTCGGGAGGCTGAGGCAGGAAAATTGCTTGAACCCGGGAGGTGGAGGTTGCAGTGAACCAAGATCGCTCCATTGCACTCCAGCCTGGGCAACAAGAGCGAAACTCCGTCTCACAAAAACAAAAACAAAAACAAAAAAAGAAAATATAAAAAGCATGTACTGGGGTTCTGATAATTTGTAATTCTTTCTTACTAAGGAACTGGCAAAATCTCATAGCCAGATGTGGCTTCTAAGACAGTAATATCTGTTTTGGTCCAGTCTCATGCTCTCTTTTTCCTGGTTCTGCTGACTGTCTCTTCTGTCTTTTACCTACATTGGCCTGCACTGGAACTCCACTTCATACATCGGGAAATGTATTCTTACTCTCTATTTGTGTACTTTAAAGTTCACTTTAAGCATAGATTTTTTTTTGTATCCATTAATTATTGAATAGGTGTTGCTTCTTTCCAAAATGTTGAAAATGGCCTGGCAAGATGGCTCATGCCTATAATCCCAGCACTTTGGGACGCCGAAGCAGGTGGATCACCTCAGGTCAGGAGTTCAAGACCAGCCTGGCCAACATGGTGAAACCCCGTTTCTACTAAAAATACAAAAATTAGCTGGGCGTGGTGGCAGGTGCCTGTAGTCTCAGCTACCCAGGAGGCTGAGGCAGGAGAACTGCTTAAACCCGGGAGGCAGAGGTTGCAGTGAGACCGTGCCATTGCACTCTAGCCGGGGCAACAAGAGTGAAACTCTGTGACACACACACACACACACACAGAAATGTTGAAAATGTCTTAACACTTGATACATACTTGAAAAAATAAATAAATAAAAGCTTTCTTTTCTACCCGTGAGCCCTGCAGCTTTTATCTCACTCTTGTCTGAGTCCTTAGTGTTCTGCTCAAGACTGCGGTAACAGGAAAAACGTTTTAAGTTCTGGGGTCTGATTTATGTATTTATTTATTTATTTATTTATTTACTTATTTTGAGATGGAGTTTTGCTCTTGTCGCCCAGGCTGGAGTACGGTGGCGTGATCTTGGCTTACTGCAACCTCTGACTCCCTGGTTCAAGCGATTCTCCTGCCTCAGCCTCCCGAGTAGCTGGGATTACAGGCGCCCACCACCATGCCTGGCTAATTTTTTTTTATTATTATTATTATACTTAAAGTTCTGGGATACATGTGCCGTGCATGCAGGTTTGTTACATAGGTATACATGTGCCATGGTGGTTTGCTGCACCCATCAATCTGTCATCTACATTAGGTATTTCTCCTAATGCTATCCCTCCCCCTGCCCCCAACCCCCTGACAGGACCTAGTGTGTGATGTTCCCCTCCCTGTGCCCATGTGTTCTCATTATTCAACTCCCACTTATGAGTGAGAACATGTGATGTTTGGTTCTCTGTTCTTGTGTTAGTTTGCTGAGAATGATGGTTTCCAGTTTCATCCATGTCCCTGCAAAAGACGTGAACTCATCCTTCTTTATGGCTGCATAGTATTCTATGGTGTAAATGAACCACATTTTGTTTATCCAGTCTATCATTGATGGGCATTTGAGTTGGTTCCAAGTCTTTGTTATTGTGAATAGTCCCACAATAAACATACGTGTGCATGTATCTTTATAGTAGAATGATTTATAATCCTTTGGTTATATACCCAGTAATGGGATTGCTGGGTCAAATGGCATTTCTAGTTCTAGATCCTTGAAGAATCACCACACTGTCTTCCACAATGATTGAACTAATTTACATTCTCACCAACAGTGTAAAAGCATTCTTTTGTATTTTTAGTAAAGACAGGATTTCACCATGATGGGCAGGCTGGTCTCAAACATCTGACCTCAGGTGATCTGGCTGCCTTGGCCTCCCAAAGTGCAGGGATTACAGATGTAAGCCACCATGCCCGGCCTCTGTTCCTTTTTAATAGTAAGAATACCTTCTGGGCTGGGTGCGGTGGTCACGCCTATAATCGCAACACTTTGGGAGGATGAGGTGGGCAGATCACCTCAGGTCAGGAGTTCGAGACCAGCCTGCCCAACATGGCGAAACCCCATCTCTACTAAAAATACAAAAAAGGAGCCAGGTGTGGTGGCACATGCCTGTAATCTCAGCTACTCAGGAGGCTGAGGCAGGAGAATTGCTTGAACCCAGGAGGCAGAGGTTGCAGTGAGCTGAGAGCATACCATTACACTTCAGCCTGAGTGACAAGAGCGAAACTCCATCTCAAAAAAAAAAAAAAAAAAAAAAAAAAAAAAATATATATATATATATATATCTTCTGGATCAGAGTTGTCCCATAAAACTTGATGTGGTGATGGAAATGTTCTATTCTGCACTGTCAATAGGGTAGCCACAAGCCACATGTGACTATTGGGCACTGAAATGTGGCTAGTTCAGCTGTGGAACACAATTTTAAATTTCATTGAATTTTAATTAATATTGACTGAAATATAAATAGCCGCATGTGACTAGTGAATACTATATTGATCAGCACACTTCTAAACTGTATTCCACTTTATTTACTTATTTATTATTTTATTTTATTTGAGGCAAAATCTCACTCTGTCATCCAAGCTGGAGTGCAGTGGTATGATCTCGCCTCACTGCAACCTCCACCTCCCAAGCTCAAGTGGTCCTCCTACCTCAGCCTCCCGAGGACCTGGGACCACAGGTGCACACCACCAGGCCCAGCCAATGTTTTGTATTTTTAGTAGGGATAGGGTTTCATGGTGTTGCCTGGGCTGGTCTCCTCAAACTCCTGAGCTTAAGTGATCCTCCTGCCTTGACCTCCCAAAGTGCTGGGATGACAGGCATGAGCCACCATGCCTGGCCCCTAAACTGTGTTCTATTTTAAAATTAGATCCTGGCTGGGCAAAAAAGAGAGGGTTATTATATTTTGTTCATAATAAGATTAATTGTCCCCCCTGGCTGCAGTAATTAAGGGAATTTCCCTAAAAACTGTTTTAAACTAACTCTTTAAAACTAACTCTTTGGGCCGCACTAATGCTATGCCTATCCAAGCATATTGTTCTGTGGTCAGTATATCCTCATGGGGAATTGATAACAGATGAGTTCATTTCCCTGTATTTGGAGAAGGGAGAAAGATCTCTTCTGAGTTATTTGGCTGTGGAGAGAGTTGATCACTGAAGTTTACCTATTGTTTATCAATTAACAAAATCTTCACAATTAGCTTTGCAAGAGGCTATTCCTTCTAATTAAAAACAGGGCCTGTGTGAGAGGTTCCAAAGGAATCTATAAATATGCATCTGCGAACTGGATTCTTATCCGCAGGACTGGATAAAGTGGATAATTAAATTATTCCTGGGGAGCTAAAATGATGAGATGATGGCCAGAGACCCCCAGCCAAGAGAGAGGCAGGGAATCCTTAGGGCAAGAAAACCATGTGAGCTACTTGGGAGACAATAACCTGTGGGTGGTAAAATACAGCTCATTGACTCAGAAGCAGAAACCTTACTCTGGAAATGAAGCTGGCCATGTTTAAATTATATAAATTTATCTTCAGTTATTGCCATTTACTTTGCTTTTACTGTTTAGTGAAGATATTTTGGAAATGTCAGCACATGTCAGCTCTGCTCAATGGAATCAAAGAGAAGAGCTTTGTATTTGGGCCAGAACTCCTAGGAGTCAGGTGTGGATGTGTCAAGGGAATCGAAATGACAAAACCCAAGGAAGAGAAGTCTCACTGAAACAGATCCAAGAACCTTCCCTGTCTTGACTCTTACTTCTGGACCTATTCTTTAATAAAACTTTGGACGGTTTGCTATATTGTTTTACTCATTCATATACATTTAGTTTTCAGATGTTGAAGGCACACCTTCTTAAAGAGAAATTGGTCTCCATCTGTTTAAATTGCAAATTAGATTTGGGCAGAAATAGAATGTATATTTTATGAATTACTTTTCCCAATTTCCTCTCTGTATTCTATGTAGAATAATTTGGCTGGGCACGGTGGCTCATGCCTGTAATCCCAACACTTTGAGAGGCCAAGGTGGGTGGGTGGATCGCTTGAAGCCAGAAATTGGAGACTACCCTGGCCAACATGGCAAAACCCTGCCTCTACTAAAAATGCAAAAAATTAACCAGGCATGGTGGTGCATACATGTAATCCCAGCTACTCAGGAGGCTGAGGCACAAGAATCGCTTGAACCCAGGAGGCAGAGGTTGCAGTGAGCTGAGATCATGGCACTTTACTCTAGCCTGGTTGACAGAGCAAGACTCTGTCTCAAAAAAAAAAAAAAAAAAAAAGAAGAAGAAGAAGAAGAAGAAGAAGAAGAAGAATTTGACTATCACTGTTTATTAATATATCTGCAGGTAAAATTAAAAACAATAATTTTGGGGGGAAGTTCAGATATAAAGAGTGGTTTGAACATTTTTATAGTTCTGTAATGATGGAGTTTAATGATAAAGTAAAAAGATTGACAGGTTTTATATGTATAAGGCAACTGGTTTAACTAATTTTTCTTCCTGGGAAATGTTGAAGTTAAACTAGGTAAATCTGAGTGCAGGGCAAACTGTTCTGTGTCAGGTGAGGGGACCATTGCTGTGGGATCTGTGTTTTAAAGGTCTTTTCTGGCCCTCTTCCAGCCATGAACCTCCTTTTAGGCAAGAGATGCACAGGTGGCATGCCCACCCAGAGCCTTTGTCCCTCTTCTACACTGCACTCTGGATACCTGGGATGCTGAGGCTAAGGGGCAGCTGTTTGAGGAAAGTGTATACAGAGCTTGGATGTGGGAACTGGATTTTCCCTATGTGTGAGCATCAAGACCCTCCCCCACTGGGATGGGCCAGAGCTGGAAGTGGGGAGGGAAGAGGCACAGGCTGGATTCAGGGCTATACCCTCCTGCACTGCCATGTTGTCTGGTTAGAACTACATGGAGTTTAAAAATTCCGAATTCCTTCCAGGTCATTACAAAGATACAGTTGTCAAGGCAGGACGATAGAATATAGTCAGTAATGCTTCTTTTTTTTTTTTTTTTTTTTGAGATGGAGTTTCATTCTTGTTGCCCAGGCTGGAGTGCAATGGTGCGATCTCGGCTCACTGCAACCTCCACCTCCCAGGTTTGAGCGATTCTCCTGCCTCAGCCTCCAGAGTAGCTGGGATTACAGGCACCTGCCACCACACCCAGCTAATTTTTTGTATTTTTATTAGAGATGGGGTTTCATTATGTTGGCCAGGCTGGTCTCAAACTCCTGACCTCAGGCAATCCACCTACCTCGGCCTCCCAAAGTTCTGGGATTACAGGCGTGAGCCACTGCGCCCGGCCAGTAGTGTTTCTATACAGTAAAAATGAATGATCTCAAAAAGGATTCTTTAAAAATCATATTTACAATAGGTAAAAATAAAATAAAATAGGAATAAATGTAACCAAGGAGGTAAAAATACCTGTGAACTGAAACATATAAAACATTAATGAAAAACATTGAAGAAGACACTAATAAATGGAAAGATATCCTGTGTTCATGGATTGGAAGAATTAACATTGTTAAAATGTCCATGCTACCCAAAGCAATCTACAGATTCAATGCAATTCCTATCAAAATCCCAATGACATTTTTCACAGAAATAGAAAAAGTCCTCAAATTTGTATGAAACCACAAAAGATCCTGAATAGCCAAAGGAACACTGAGCAAAAAGAACAAAGCTGGAAGCACCACACCACCCGACTTGAAAACATATTTAAAAGTTGTAGTAGTCAAAACAGCATGATACCGGCATAAAAACAGACATGTAGACCAATGAATGGAACAGAACAGAGAACCCAGAAATAAACCCA
Organism: Homo sapiens; assembly: GCF_000001405.40. NCBI lineage: Eukaryota > Metazoa > Chordata > Mammalia > Primates > Hominidae > Homo > Homo sapiens. Next base: position 178,185,157 of record NC_000002.12, read on the forward strand.
CACTTTTATAGTCAATTGATTTTTGACAAGGGTGCCAAGAGCACACAGTGGGGAAAGGACATTCTCTTTAATAAATGGTGTTGAGACAACTGGATAGCCACATGCAGAAGAATGAAATTAGACCGTTATCTCTCACCAGAAACAAAAATCAACTCAAAATGTGTTAAAGGCTTATATGTAAGACCTAAGACTGTAAAATTCCTAGAAGAAAACATAGAAAAAAAGCTCCATAATATTGGTTTAGGCAAGGATTTTTTTTAATACGTACCCCAAAATAGACAACAAAAGCAAAGTAGACAAATGGGATTACATCAAAATAAAAAGCTTCTGTACAGCCAAGGAAATCAACAGAATTAAGAGGCAGTCTACAGATTGGGAGAAAATATTTGGAAACCATACATCTGATAGGAGATGTTAGTATCCAAAATATATAAGGAACTCAATAGTAAGAAAACAAATAACCCAATTAAAAAATGGTCAAAAGATCTGAATAGACATTATCAAAAGAAGACATTTACAGATGGCCAACAGGTGTATGAGAAAATGCTAAAAATCACTACTTATCAGAGAAATGCAAATCAAAAACACAATGAGATATTACCTTACATCTGTTAGAATGGCAATCATCAAAAGACAAAAAATAACAAGTATTGCAGAGGACGTGGAGAAAAGAGAACTCTTGTACACTGTCATTGGGGAATGTAAATTAGTACAGCCATTAGGGAAAACAGTATAAAAGTTCCTTTAAAAATTAAAAATAGAACTACCATATGATCCAGCAATCCCACTCCTGGGTATGTATCCAAAAGAAATAAAATCAGACTGGGTGTGGTGGATCATGCCTGTAATCCCAGCACTTTGGGAGGCATAGGTGGGAGGATTGCTAGTGTTCAGGAGTTTGAGAGCAGCCTGGGCACACAGCAAGACTTTGTCTCTACTAAAAATAAAAAGAAGAAAGAAAGAAATGAAATCAACATGTCAACAGCTAGCTGCACTCCTATGTTTATTACAGCATTATTTATAATAACTAAGATATAGAATCAACCTAAGTGTCCAGCAGTGGATGAATGAATAAAGAAAATATGCTATATACAGGCAATGGAATATTATTCGCCCTAAAACAGAAGGAAATCCTGTCATGTGTGACAACATGGATGAACTTAGGAGTATTATGTTAAGTGAAATAAGCCAGGCACAGAAAGATAAATACTGCATGATCTCACTTACGTGTGGAATCTAAAAAATTTGAACTTGTACAAGTAGAGAGTAGAATGGTGGTTACCAGGGGCTGACAAGGGGGGTTTAGGGAAATGTTGGTCAAATACTAAATTTCATTTAGATAGGAGGAATAAGTTCAAGACATCCATCGTAAAACATGGTGACAAAGAGCACGGTGGCTCACGCCTGTAATCCTAGGACTTTGGGAGGCCAAGCGGGTGGACCACCTAAGGTCAGGAGTTCAAGACCAGCCTGGCCAACATGGTGAAACCCTGTTTCTACTAAAAATACAAAAATTAGCCGGGTGTGGTGGCAGGTGCCTGTAATCCCAGCTACTCAGGGGGCTGAGGCAGGAGAATCGCTTGAACCCAGGAGCGGAGGTTGCAGTGAACCGAGATCGTGCCACTGCACTCTAGCCTGGGTGACAGAGCGAGACTCCATCTCAAAAAACAAACAAACAAACAAACAAAAAACTATGGTGACTATAGTTAATAACAATGTATTATATTCTCGAAAATTGCTGAGAGTAGATTTTAAGTGTTCTTACCACAAAAATAAGTATGTGAGGTAATCTATATTAATTAGCTCAATATAGTCATTCTGCAGTATGTATATTTCAAAATAACAAGTTGTACATGATAAGTATATACAGTTTTTATGTATCAATTTAAAATAAATTTTAAAAATGATTAATTAAATTAGGTTGCTATGTACTAATCACGCACCATATACTATACAACAATTTGGACAAACAGCTGCCCTCATGAAGCTTATAATCAAATAGAGGGAACAAGACAAGTCTAAAACAACTGCTAAGAAAACCTGAATTTAGGAGTGCAGGAAGCTATTACGCGGGGATTAATGCAAACCTGCAAAGGATCAGAAAAAGTTTCATGAAGATCATGACATTCGTATTTCATCTTCAAGGAAAGATGGACTTTTGGAAGGCAGAGATGACCCAACTAACTTTTGTCCAGAGCCTTCTATATATGAGTTACTTTACACATTACTGTAACCACTCTCACAACAATCTTACTAGGCTTTGGAAGTTTTTTTTTCCAACTCTTCTATAAAGGAACAACCTGGAGCTTAGACAGAGGTTCAGAAACGTGTTCAAAGTCAAACAACTAGGAAAGGTTTGTACTAGGTTTAGAATCTCCGTCTTTTGGAGAGCTTTTCACTTTCACAGCATCTGTGTCAATCAAGAAGGTTGGCTTCCTGTTCCCTTAGCTCTTCCATAGGGCAAGGGGACTAATGTAATAGAGGGCGACTAATGTAATAACAAGGAAACCTTAAGGATCTAGTCCCACAAAAGGGCCTATGGGCTGAATAAGTATGTTCTGAGTCTGAGTTTACTTACAAAAAAGTCTACTTTTCTAAAATTAGACCCTGGGATATGAAGCAGTGGATTCTACTTTGCTAATTTTATTCAACAATTTTGGAGAAAAACTTCCTATGAGGTTTGTCATGTGTATACCGAAACATTCCACTTTTCCATGTGGACTAATCCTATGTTTGAGTGTGTGTTTTATAAAAGTCCAGTGAACTGAGCACTGCTGTGTTGCTGGGCAGCAAGTGTAATGGTCACTCTCAGGTATTAGGATCTTTGCCAGTGATCAGCATTCCTGAGAGCTAGGAGGGCCCTGCATTTCCTCCCACAACCTCACCAACGAGTGAATAGTGCAATGAAAATAAGTTTTTTTTCTTTCTTTAAAAAAAAAAAAAAAAAAAAGTCTTGCTCTGTCACCCAGGCTGGGAGTCTTGCTCTGTCACCCAGGCTGGAGTACAGTGGCATGATCTCGGGTCACTGCAACCTCAGTCTCCCAGGTTCAAGCGATTCTCCCGCCTCAGTGTCCTGAGTAGCTGGCATTACAGGTACCTGCCATCATGCCCGGCTAATTTTTGTATTTTTGTAGAGATGGGGTTTCACCATGTTCACCAGGTTGGTCTTGAACTCCTGACCTCAGGTGATCCATCTGCCTTGGCCTCCCAAAGTGCTGGGATTAAGGCATGAGCCACCATGCCCGGCCAAAATAAGACTTAATCATATCTCATGCAAACACTATCAGCAAGATCCAATCCATCAGAAATCCAATCCATCAGAAAATACAGTTGGCTCTACCTTTAAAGTGCATGTTAAATTTTGTCAGTTCTTGCCACCTCTACTCTACCACCTGGTGCTGAGCCACCTTTATCACTCACCAGGATGACAGCCACAGCCTCCTCTCTCTTTTCAGCCTTGCCCACCTTGAGACTATTCGCAATGCAACAGCCAAAGTCACTCTCGTAAACATGAGTCAAACCATTCCCTTCCTCTGCATGGAATCCTATGATTAATCCCCATCTCACTTAGAGTAAAAGTCCAAATGCAAACAATGGCCTATAGGGCCTTCATAAGCTGGCCTCAATTACTTCACTGTCTTGGTCCATGTGTTCCAGATGCTTTGACCTCCTTGCCCCTCTGGAATACTAGGCATGCTCACTCCACTTGTTTTGTAGTGGCTGGTCTCCCTGACTGGAAAAGGAACAGCCCCTCCCACCATTCCCTGATATCTGCTTAACTAACTCCCTCATCTCCTTCAAGTCTTTGCTTAAGTGTCTTCTTCTCTGTGAGGCCAATATTGGCCACTTTGTGTAACATTGCACCCTGGCAACCCTCCTCCAACCCTCTTAACATGCTTAAATTTTTACATTTTCCATATCACTTATGAGTTTCTAAAACACTGTGTAATTTACTGATACATCAAGCCTATTGTTTATTGTCTATATTCCCCAGCTAGAATGTAAGTTCCATGAGGGCATGGTCTTTGTTTTGCTTACTTATAATGTCTCAAGCATCTAGAATAATGCCTAATACATAGCAGGCACTCAAAAAGTATTATTGAATTAAATAATTGAAACAGGTACCCAACCCTTTCCCCGTAACAGCTTAACCTGTCCAAGCTCAATGAAATCTCAATTCTCTATCATTTTTGGCACTTTGATAAGCACTCTGAATGAAAGGTTCACTCTGAAGTAGATATAACAATATTCTCTGGGCTGGATCAGCAAGTCATCTGGGTGGATGATGAGAGTGTGGGAATAAAGGATATAGCACTAAATGGAGTTGAGGACTGAAGGTTGGCCTTCTAAACTTGCTGGATGCTTACCCAGGAGTTCTTGATGGCAATAATCTTGGTAAGAAAAGTTTCAACAAAATACGTGATTTTTAGGGAGCATTATGTCAATTGGGGAAATAAACGTATGCACATATTCAAAGGTGACACCAAATTTGACCAATGAACAGACTGCAGGTAAGAGTATACCAAGGCCCCTCAGCCCTCAAAGCACTAGGGAACATTGTATCCTTCCTGCAAGAAATCATTATGTCAAAGAGTTTGCCTTTTGTTTTTTGTTGTTTTTTTTTTTTTTTTTTTTTTTTTTTGAGACAGAGTCTCGCTCTGTTGCCCAGGCTGGAGTGCAATTGCGCGATCTCGGCTCACTGCAAGCTCCGCCTCCCAGGTTCACGCCATTCTCCTGCCTCAGCCTCCCGAGTAGCTGGAACTACAGGCACCCACCGCCATGCCCCGCTAATTTTTTTGTATTAGAGTAGAGACGGGGTAAAAAAAATTAGAATTTTTTTGTATTAGAGTAGAGACGGGGTTTCACCGTGTTAGCCAGGATGGTCTCGATCTCCTGACCTCGTGATCTGCCTGCCTTGGCCTCTCAAAGTACTGGGATTACAGGCGTGAGCCACCGCGCCCGGCCTGACTTTTGATTTTCTCACTGTGTTCTTTTGGTATTGTAAAAATAGTAAATGTTAAAAAAAAAAAAAAAGGAAAAAGAAAAAGAAAATCTACTTTACAAAAAGTAAATTACAAAGGACTACTACTCATCTTTATGTTCAAATTTATAACAAAATGGGAAACTCAGTTAGGATGCTTCCATAGCCAGGGAAAGGCAATGGTCAGAATTTTCCAGCTGAGGTTTGATCTGCTATTTTCCACATTAAAAGTCAAAAAAGTCAAAACAATGTCTCAACAAAAGCAAAAAATAAGCCATCATTCATTTTGATTATATGAGAGTGATTAACCAAAGTAGGTTAATTTAGTAATAATAAAAACATTTTCAAAGCTGAACTCTCTCAAGTAACAAATACAAGGCAAAACTATGAATATTTTTGCTATTTGAATAAAGCACAGGTAGCGTTCATCCTTAGAGTCTCTTGGCCTCACATTTTTCCAGGTTTCTTAGCTATTTGCCCTGCCTTAACAGTCCCCAAGTGACTGCTCCCATCCAGGCCTCCTGAAGCAGATCCAGCCTAAGCTCCTGGCAGACGGGCTTCCATCAGGGAAGCAGGACCATTGTGAATATGTTGAATAAGGAATTTATTATAGAAATTAGGGCTGGGCACAGTGGCTTACACCTGTAATCCCAGTACTTTGGGAGGCTGAGGTAGGCAGATCACCTGAGGTCAGGAGTTTAAGACCAGCCTGGCCAACATGATAAAACCCCATCTCTACTAAAAATACAAAAAATTAGCTGGGCATGGTGGCAGGCACCTATAATCTGAGCTACTCAGGAAGCTGAGGCGGGAGAATTGCTTGAACCCAGGAGGTGGAGGTTGCAGTAAGCCGAGATGACACCACTGCACTCCAGCATGGGCGACAGAGGGAGACTCTGTTTAAAAAAGGAAAAAAAAAAAAAAAAAAAAAAGACATTACGTCACATTTGTGGGAGGAGTTGGAGAAGTAAAAGTCTAAAAGTCTGAAAAGGGGAGTTAAGGGATCAGAGAACAATCCTGATTTGGGCAGAGGAGTCCAAGCTTGCAGGGAAATCTGGATATTAGGCTAGGCACATCCAGCTGCTGTAGTGAGAGTACAAAGATGGTTGGTGTAGACATCTACAGAAGGTTGTTGGCTCTTTATGATTGCTGCCTCTGTGAGTTTCTGTGAAGAGTCTGTTAGCTAGCCTGTGGTCACAGTTACTTGTCAGAAGCGAATACAGAGCAGGGAAGAATGAGAACAAACAGGAACTCTCCTGCATCTCTTCTCATTGGTTAGAAATGGCATTTGTCTCTCGCCACCTCTAACCAATGACGACTTTCATTACATCTTGACAGTTGTCACTGGTTAGAGGTGGCGAGAGACAAATGAAGATGCTGCTTCAGTATTGCCTCCTAAGTCTCAGGTAACTTCAATTTTGTCTGTCTGGAAGCATATACAAAAGGGGATTTGGGGAAACATAGTTTCCAGCATAACCATGTTGCCTATAGAACAATCTAGTATGATGACCATACCTTGTCTGCAAAGTATGGGATTTGTTTCTCTAGTCGCTGTCAGACAGGTCAGATGACGACTCATCCTGGAAGCTGGAGGAAATGGGAGGTAGCTTTCAGGTAAATTTCTTCTTCAGTCTTTTCTTTGATAGACTGTTCTTGGGCACAGTTTTGCATGGCTAAGCAATTGGCTGTGTCTTCTCAGGTTCATGAAGCACAGGCCAGGTTGGTAACATATCACTATGTATTTGCTTTCTATTCTTTCCTGTCTCATTTCTCCTATTCCTCATTTGTTGCCCTGGGTTTGCATCTTTCAAGGAAGCATTAGCACTTCAGCCTTCCTAAAAACTCCAGCTAAAATAGTACTCATCTAAGAAAATGCAATGAAAACGAAGTGGGACTTGGATGAATTGATGGGGGAAACTGATTCCTATGAGGCTCAGTTCAGTTGTATGTGATGGAATTATAGCATCGATGGCTTTTAAGAACATCATTATCTTTCTTCACTGGAAAAGTCCATGAACAAGTATTTTCTGAGACAAAAGGGATGGATTAGGGGAGCTGAGATCCTTTTAGTCAACATATGACTTGTGACTTTAACACTCAGCAAGAATGTACGCTTAATGAAAACTTTGCTCTCTGGCACTGGCACTTTTTTGAGCAATAATCCTGCCATAGCTCAAAAAGCAGTGAAAAGCCTGTTATTCATATTTACATATCTATGCCAGTCTGAGTTTTCAAGATACACTGATGCACCAATAGGGTGGAGAAACTGCCTTGATCTCTAGTTCCGCACAGCCCGCTGTGTTTAATCCACCCATTTCCCCAGATGGATGCGTGTAGTACCGTTACCTCTTATTTGACCATTAATCAATGAGATGGGGGGAGACTTTTTTCCCCTGATGTTTAAAGCCATTTTTTAAAACTATTAAAACACACATAGATACTATGGAATAGAGTGAAAAGCGTGAGAACATTCTTACACTAAAACGTGAGATTTAGGTTGTGGTAGTCCCCTCTCTTTCCCCATAGTTTATGGTTCTCTGCTATTAGGGGTTCAGAGAAAAAATTAGATAACCTCTTCTTTTTCTTTCTTTTTTTTTTTTTTTGAGAGTCTCACTTTGTAGCCCAGGCTGGAGTGCAGTGGCACGATCTCAGCTCACTGCATCCTTTGCCTCCCAGGAAGTTGAGATTTCAGGAAGTTCAAGCGATTCTTGTGCCTCAGCCTCCCGGGAAGTTGAGATTTCAGGTGCCTGCCACCACACCCTGCTAGTTTTTGTATTTTTAGTAGAGACGGGGTTTCACCATGTTGGTCAGGCTGGTCTCCAACTCCTGACCTCAAGTGATCCGCCCGCCTTGGCCTCCCAAAGTGCGGGAATTAAAGGCGTGAGCCACCGCGCCGGGCCTAGAGAACTTCTTTAGGTAAAGATTCTGTGTGCTGTGTGTACTCTCATTTCCGTTCACACTTTTGTATTTCTTTTTAAATACATGGGTTTTAGCTTTTTTTCTTTTAAGGGAGAAAGCCATTTCAGTAGAGTTTCTGTTAATGGAACTCAGAAGGAGTAAGTAGAAAGGGTGGCTGTGATGAAGCAGAGGTCAGCATCCCAGCTGCTCCCTTGAGGAGCCTGTCTTCACAGCAAAGGAATGAAGGACAAACTGCCATTGTCGCAGGGTCCCGCATCTATTATTTTGTGACCAGAGGACATGAGAACATTGCTAGTCTAGATGGAAAAAGCTAATCCAACAGGTGAGATTGGAGATTCAAGAGAAACTGCATGTGGGAAGGAGTGCATAAAGTCGACTATGTTTCATAGCAAATCATTTTGTCAGCACAGGGCACAATGAAATGCCATCACAGTTGCCTCATTAGTAAGCAATATCTTCCATTTTTGAAGGCACCCCAGCATGTTCTGTAATAGCTCCCATTAAGTCCAGTCGATGTCCTCTGGACTCCCCCTCCGCCTCCCACCCCCAGATGATGATGACACAAATGTCTTGAAATATTGACATGTCCGCAGTCACTCGTTTACAGAATGTCTGTACAAATATTTACATTACCCCGTCCCTCCCAGCAAATTTGCCTTTAGATTAATCTGCACACCGAACGCAGGCCGGGAGTGGCTTGGAGTGTGGAAGGGTTTAAGGGTGTGGAAGGGTTGTAGTGAGGCGGGACTGACTGACTTTGATCGGCTTTGCCAGGGGCTTGAAGGAACCGGCTCTTCCTTTCGCAGAACCCAGGTGTTTCTCTGGGCCCGGGAAGTTTTTGCTCCCGAGCGAGTCAGGGACGGGAGCAGGCACGCACAGTCGCGTAAGTGTATGAAATGACGACCTCAGAAGGGCGCCCAGGGACATGGGTTTGGCAGCCCCGAGCGGAGGCCGCCAGGCAGCCGTTCCTTTCGGAATTCGGTCTCCCGCAGTGCTCCCGGCTGCGGCGCTCCTGGGCCGAGCGCTGGAGCCGTTCTGGGCAACCCTCCCGAGCGCGGCCGGCTCACCTCCGCCGGACTGCGCGGGGCGAGGGCTCCGCTACTGCGCGCAGGCCCGCGGATGGCAACTCGGGGTTTCCACTGCGGGTGATCTCGGGACACCACGGGTTCCCACGGAGGCCGGGCCAGGGGAGAGCCCTGGCTGTGGGACCCCGCGTGACCAGGGCGCAGGGCGCCGGGTCCTTAGCCCATCTGGCGGCGCAGGGAGGGGCGCCCGGTAGGGCGGGTGCGCAGCATGAGCCCCAGCCGCTTGCCGCTCCACTCCAGCCGGGCGGACGGGCGGGAGCCGGGGGCGGGGAACCCGGAGCGCCGCCCCGCCAGCGCGCCCCGCCCGTGGGAGAGGAGGGGCTGCAGCGCAGCGGACCACTGGAGGCGCAGCACGGTCGCCGCCGCCGCTGTCGGTGCTGGAGATCGCGGCTCGGTGCAGGCGGCGCCCATGCCTCCTCTCCTCCACTAGCCCGCGCGCCAGTCCGCCTGCCGGGGCCGGCTCTCCGCCTCCTGCCTCCCGTCGCAGCCGCGCAGCCGCCGCAGAGTCCGCGGCGCCACCGCTCGCCCTCCAGGTAGGTGTCCTAGCTGCAAAGGGATTGCTTGGGGCGGGCGCCAAGGTGCCCGCATCGCGGCCCGGGGGCATTGTGCGCCTCCGGCGGGCCGAGGACCCCGAGGGACGCGTGGGTGGGCAGCCGCAGCTTCGGGTCCCCAGGACATCGCCGTCCCCCTGGAGGCGCCCCCGGCCGATAGCCCGGGCTACAGGGAAGTGGGGGCGGCGGTGTCAGCCCATTCTCGCGGCCGGGATGGGAGGGGGCGTCTGTATCGCGGTCCCGGTTTGCCGCCCTCCCTCCCCCTCGTTGCCAGGGAATTCCGGCCGCCTGCCACTAGCGCTCGCATTCCCTCGCGCGGGCCGGCGCCCCTGCTCCCCGCAGGCTGCCTGGGGATTGAAGCAGGGGCAGGGAGAAGGACTGATGTAATTGTCAGCGGAAAACCGAACCGGCGCGGGTGAGAGCGCCCGCGCCCGCGAGAGCTAACGCCTACGCCGCACCTTTCAGGGAATCGGGGAAGCCGAGAGGAGCGGCTGGGGAAGTTGTGCATTGGGTTTTATTGTGCGCGTGCACTGCGGACTGCCCTCGCGGGGCACCCCTGCCCACCCGCTGCTGGCGCCCCTGCAGCCCTCCCGGCAGCCTCCGTCCACTCCCCCGGCCAGGGCCAAGTCTGCCTTCCCTGGTTCAGACCGGGACAGCGTTTGCATTGCAGTCAAGACGTGCTTCCCCTGCATCAAGCCGGGAGCTGCCCGCAGATCGTGTCGCCGGGGATGCTGGGGGAGGAGGGAATGGGAGACCTGAGGAGAAAGCCTGGAGAAGTAATGACACAAGCGGATTTTCTCCCCAAAGCTTCTGCTGCGTATAGACACATCTGCAAGGCACCTTTTAAGCTGTTTTTGAAAGTTATAACCAGATACTGATTTTGTGACAATTCTATGATATACCTGAACGGTTGCTTAAACATAGAGACCTAAAGCTAGGGGAAGCATTACATAATGGACATGAAGCAAATGACACGAAACTAAGTGAACCCACTGGGTTGCCAGATTATTTCTCTCTTCTGGACACAAAATCCTGTAAGGTTTTTTCTATAGGAACTTTCATTTTTAAATTGCTGGGCTAAGTTTAGCCAATTGTCTATTATATTCAGTTGTGATTTTTTTTTTCTAAATAATTTTCTTGGACATCTTTTCTTAAATTTAAAAATTGCATACTAATGGTTACATATCACTAAGCTGATTAGGAAATGTAGTCTTCACAAGGTAAAAATAAGAAATTTCCCATCTTAATACATTAACTTTGTTTTCCTCTTGTTTTGTTTTTGTTTCTTTTCCTTCTTTCATCCTTCCCCCCGCCCCCAACCCCCGCTTTATTTTTTGGAAACATTTCTACAGTTTTGGGTACTGCAAGCTCACAACGTTGATATTTCTATCACATGCTACAGCATTGCGGAGACAAAGACTAATAATAAATGAAACAGAAGACCTCGCAGTAACTCTGAGAGTTAGCAGGGTTCCCAAGGTCGAAGGGAAGCTGCAGTGTAATTCAGCAATAATCACCTACAGAGAATATGCATAGCCCTCATTGGGAAAGGCCCTGATTGGTGGATTTTATTATTATTATTCTTTTGCAGTAGGAGTTCATATATTTTTTCCCTAAAAAATAATTTTTCTTAAGGTAAAAATGAAATATTTTGAAATTAAAATTTCAGGCTTTTAGAAAGCCTAAAAATTCTGGTTTTGCTCATATTTTTGGATGCAATGTTGATAACGCCATTATACATTCAGTGGATGGATTACCTTTGGCGGTACCTCAGTTTCAGATTACTATGACTTGTCAGGTGACTCTTGGCTTTAGTATGAGGTAGTTCTGCTGGACTTTTATAGGATCACATATGTAAGTTTTCTTATCCCTAGATTGCTATAACCTTAAGTTAACTTTATTTCAAGGAGAAAAATAAAGTCCTTCCAAGATGAAATCTTTGTGGTTGGAGGTCTTAGTACCACCACAGATACCGGATTAGGTAAACTGCATAAGGAGATAAAAATTCTTATGACTTTACTCATGAAACTGTTGGACTAGAGAGAAGATAATATAGTTTTGAAAGGTAAGGCATACATTCTCAAAAGAAGGATTTTGTTGTTTTGCTGCAAAGGTTAGGTCATAATTATGATACTTTTTAAAAAGTGGTTTTAAATCTTGGGGGAAAAAGGGTCTCATAGTATCCATTGACTTCTGGAACTTTTTTTTCCTCACTCAATATTATATCTCTGGATTCATTCATACTGTATGTAGTTGTAGTTCACTGACTTTCACTGCAGTAAAATATTCCATTATGTGTCTTATAACGCAGTATGTTTCTCTTTTCTCCTCTCTGACCATTTTTTTTTTTTTTGAGATATTGCAGTGTTGCTCTGATTATTGTTGTTTCCTGGGCACACGTGCCAGTGTTTCTCTTGGGTTAATACCAAGGAATAAAATTGCTGGTTTGTAGGTTATGTGAATATTCAACTTATTAAGTATTGCCAAATTATATTCCCAAATGGTTGTACTAATTTACATAAACCAGGGAAACAACCAAATACAAACACTAAATAAAAACATGCACTTCTGTTTTGCATATATGTCTGTTGAAATACATATCTTTTTAGAAAGCAAGAGAATGATGAACGTAAAACTTAGAATGGCAGTTATCTTTTATATGGACTGGAGGGTAGCATGTGGGGAGGAACACACACATGGATGTTTGTTATTGATAATGACCTAGTCCTTGGGTTTCATGGTGAGTTTCTAGGTGATCATTGTACAGTAATTCCCCCGTTATCCAAAGGGAGTATGTTCCAAGTTCCCTAGTAGATGCCTGAAACCTCCGATGGTGCCAAACCCTATGTATATGCTTCTTTTCCATGCATAGATACCTATGATAAAATTTAATTTATAAATTAGGTACAGTAAGAGATTAACAATCATAATAAACAGAACAATTATTAACACTATACTGTAATAAAAAGTTATGTAAATGTGGTTTCTCTCTCTTTCAAATTATCTTATTACACTGTATTTACCTATTCTCAGAACCAGATTGACCATGGGTAATTGAAACTTTGGATGGGGGTAGATATTGTATTAAAAAAAAAGAAAGAGGATAATGCATGGACCAGTGATGATATTTTAAGGTTCTAAGGAAAAAGAAAATAAGGACAATAGAGTTATCACAAGACAATAAGCCTACAAGATATTAGTTGAAAGATGAAGATGCAGTCCCTATGCATAGGCATGAGTTGCCCAGAGTTCATGGAAGAAATTTGCAAAAAGGTTGAGCAGGAAGTGGTCATGCTGAGAAGAGGAAGGCTGTTGTGGACTTAGAAAATGATATGAACAGAAGTTGAGGGAGCCATGAGAAATTTTCCAACAGTGAACCACTCAAAGCATTTATACACTAAGTTTAGGGAACAGATAGGTGGGGACTACCAGGAGAGATCCAAGGCTCCTCGTTAGGAGGCACTGCTGATTGAGATGAGAGTTCTCAAGTTTGGAGAAAATGAAAAGGATTAGTTTAAAAACTAAAACTACTGTCCTAAAAAAGAAGAGGAGAGTCAAAGGTATTTGACTATAATGAAAAGAAATATGAAGAATCTTGGCGTGTAGTATCAATTTTTTTTTTTCTTTCCAGACAGAATCTCGCTCTGTCGCCCAGGCTGGAATGCAGTGGCGCAATCTTGGCTCACTGCAACCTCCTGGGTTCAAGCGATTCTTCTGCCTCAGCCTCCCTAGTAGCTGGGACTACAGGTGCATGCCACCACACCCAGCTAATTTTTGTATTTTTAGTAGAGAGGGGGTTTCACCATATTGGTCAGGCTGGTCTTGAACTCCTGACCTCATGAGGTCTGACCCAGGAGGCAGATGTTGCAGTGAGCCGAGATTGCACCACTGCACTACAGTTTAGGTGACAGCGAGACTCCATCTCATAAATAAATAAATAAATAAATAAATAAATAAATAAATAAGAGAACTGCGGCACAAAGAGGTTAAGTAATCTGCCCAAGGTGTTTTCCTTATCTGTAATGTGGACGTACTATCTGTAATATGGACATACTATTAGGGCTTAACTCTCCAGTTGTGTCAAATATTCTGTGAACTTCTGGCCCAGAGTAAAAACTCACCACATATTGCCAGCAATGTTAGGGAGTTGTTGTTATAGAAATAGTACCCCCAAAGGTACAATAGCTAAAATGACCAAGGATAATTTAATTGGATCTCAGTTTTTCAAGTATTAAGCATTCAAATAGAACATTTCTTTCAAATTCATCTTTGTCTAACTCAGTTGGCCTTGGGTATATTGTTGGTGTTTAGTGACTATTAGATATGACAGTTTGTGCATTTGTTATATTCTGAGAGGAAATTAAATGCATCATATATCCATTGGATGTTGTGGATTCTTCACTCAGGCTTTGCCATGTTCAGTGCATAAATACTATCTGGCAGATAGTAAAATATGACCAAAATTATTAATCCCTATGTGTGATTAAAAGAAACATAAACATAAAACTCAATTTTCTTAAATCAAATGAGAGCTTTCATGTGTCAGTATCCAAAGGCAGCGTTTTAAATTTTGATTATACTGTGAAATTCTGCTTTAAACAAATAAAAATTCACATTATTTTCCGTCCTCTTCTCTTCCCCCTTAAACCCCTACCATTACTCTTTCTACACACTTAATATTTCTGTTAATTTGCTTCTGAGGGAATGCTTGGGTATTTACTGCTAAGTGTTTTTCTGGGTCTTTCTAGAAGGCCGACTGATTTTATTGCTTAGGTTTGGGGCCAAATCCTATGGTTGCCTGGCTCTCTGAGATATTGAGTCTTCAACCTTTAGCTGCCTGTGAGTGACTGCTCAAATGTCATGGGGAGCCTCTGCAAGATAACCATTAAGGGTTTTTTTTTTTTTTTTCATTTGTTAAATCCCCAAAACTAATGCTATTAAGGGGCTTTTCATAGAACTAGAAAGCTCTATGTATTCATCTTTTTAACTCCCACATCACATAGCCTTGTACATAGTGGACATTCAGTAAGTGTTGATAAATATACAATTTTTGTTAATTGATTCGTATAAAATTACACTGTACATTGTTTGCCGTTTGAAATGCTAATTATAGTTCTGTTTGGTTTGTGTTTACATTCTAATCTTTCGGAACACTGGGAAAAAAATACTTTAAGCTTTTTCCCTTTAAACTTTGAAGGAAAACACATATTTGGATAAGGCAGTGCTGTACTTCTAGTCTCAAAGTGTCCATTATTGGGTAGCTAACTGACAATTATTTCTCTGTGTAAGAAATATTTTAAAAAAGTTCTTCGAGAATAATGCCTAATTATTCTTTGTGAGCTGGCCAAATTTTGTGAAATAATGAGGTTTAGGGATTACATTTTTCAAAGCCAGCAATAAAATATACAAAGATTAAAGCACATTTCTTTAAGTTGGAGGTGCTGGAGCTTTTTAGTTGCTTCTTTTTGCTTTTAAAATGGGTCATTTGACATTTATATGCAAATCAATAATGTATGAGTTAAATGCAAGCAAGCAAGGTTCTGTTTCTTCAGACCTTTTTTTTTTTTTTTTTTTTTTGAGATGGAGTCTCTCTCTGTCACCCAGGCCCGAGTGCAGCGGTGCAATCTCGGCTCACTGCAACCTCCACCTCCTGGGTTCAAGTGATTCTCCTGCCTCAGCCTCTCCAGTAGCTGGGACTACAGGTGTGTGTCACCATGCCTGGCTAATTTTTATATTCTTAGTAAAGATGGGGTTTCACCATGTTGGCCAGACTCGTCCTGAACTCCTGACCTCAAGTGCTCCTCCTATCTTGGCCTCCCAAAGTGCTGACATTACAGGTGTGAGCCTCTGTGCCTGGCTCTTCAGACACTTCTAAAAACTGCCCACAAATCATGATGTAACTTTCTTCCTTTTTCCTCTGCTGGCATAGATGATTACTATTATAAGAAATTAGTAATATATTTTTGAGGATGGTGATGGAGTGTTGTACAGGGGTGTTCCTTGATTTTAATATTTTCTATAATTCCTTGACATTTTCTTTCTAAAACAGATTTTCTTTAGGACTTCCAGAAATGCTTTAGGAATTCCAGATAAATATTTCTTTTCTTTTTTTTTCTTTTTTGAGACAGAGTCTTGCTCTGTCACCCAGGTTGGAGTGCAGTGGCGCGATCTCGGCTCAGTGCAAGCTCTGCCTCCCAGGTTCACACCTTTCTCCTGCCTCAGCCTCCCGAGTAGCTGGATTACAGGCGCCCGCCAGCACGCCTGGCTAATTTTTTGTATTTTTAGTAGAGATGGGGTTTCACCGTGTTAGCCAGGATGGTCTTGATCTCCTGACCTTGTGATCTGCCCACCTCAGCCTCCAAAAGTGCTGGGATTACAGGTGTGAGCCACTGTGCCTGGCCCAAATAAGTATTTTCTAAAACTGTAGACTCTACAAATGTATATTAATATTTCATTTAGAATTAAGATTAAATTTACCTTTCTGATTTGAAGATTAAGAATCATGGTTACTCTGTCCAAAGAAAATATTGGTGGGCAATGTTGGGAGTTAGCAGTTTGTAGGCATCTGATTTTCATAGAAGCAACTCAAAGTGACAACTTGAGAGTGAAAAAATGGCCATTTTCCAATGTAGTGATTCTTTTGGGATTACTTTGAGAATATTTTGTATCAAGAGACATATTTTCTTATTTATTTATTTATTTATTTGAGATGAGGGTCTCACTATGTTGCCCAGGCAGGAGTGCAGTGGCTATTCACAGACATGATCATGGTGCACTACAGCCTCCAGCTGCTGGCCTCAGCCCCCTGAGTGCCTGGGATTTTAGTTGTGTGCCACAGCACGCGGCAAGAGACATATTTTCTTAGTGGCTCAATATCTAAGACTTAACTAGCAGATTAGTCTTTCCAGCATTACCCAAATCACAGAAAGTATCTTAGAAGTAATTTTGTAGATGAGGAAACTGAGGCTCTGAGAGGTGAGGTGTCCGAGCCAGTGCCAGACTTGTACTGACCATCACATGCCTAGATACTAAATCATCCTGACCTGGCACATGGTCCACATTAGAGTTAATTTGTGAAAACATGTATGTACAGATGTAGAAAAAATACTGACAGGGACCTGTGGCATTTGTTTTCAACCTGAGAAGTGTGCCTGACAGTGTTCCCATGACCATTCTTACATGTGCTTGTTAACTGCAGTTATAGTGCTTTATCAGATATGATGTCAGCTTTAAGATCAAGTCACATAGTAGGCTCATAGAACTTTCGGGAATGGCAGAATCCAGATAGACTTTGGGTCAGTTTTTAATCAGCCATTCCAATCTGACACTACAGTGAGTGCTTATAGTATTGGAACCTTATAATAATATACTTTATTTTCTCTCTTCCTGACTTTTGTGCTATTGTTGTCATATTTATGTAATAAACCCCACATTATATTGTTACTGCTTTTGTTTGAAAAGTTATCTTTTAAAGATATGTAAATGATAATTTACAAAATCATATATTTACTATGTATTTACCATTTATGGTGCCTTTCATTCCTTTTTGCAGATGCATATTTCCATCTGGAATCATTTTCTTTCTTCTTAAAAGGACTTTCTTTAACATTTCTTGTTTCCAATGGTGCTAACTTTTTCACTTCTGTGTGTCTGAAAGTGTCTTTATTTTGCCTTCAATTTTGAAGATATTTTCACTGGGCATAAAATTCTAGGTAGACTGTATTTTTCTTTTTAGTGTTTTGAAGATGTAGCCTCCTGTTTGCATTGTTTTCAGTGAGAAATCTATTATCCTTATCTTTGTACATACTGTATCTTTTTTCTCTGGCTGCTTTAAGATTTCTTTTTATCTGCCGGGCGCTGTGGCTGACGCCTGTAATCCCAGCACTTTGGGAGGCTGAGGTGGCAGATCACTCGAGGTCAGGAGTACGAGACCAGCCTGGCCAACATGGTGAAACCCTGTCTCTACTAAAAATACAAAAATTGGCCGGGCGTGGTGGTGGGCACCTGTAACCTCAGCTATTTGGGAGGCTGAGGCAGGAGAATCACTTGAACCTGGGAGGCAGAGGTTGCAGTAAGCTGAGGTTGTGCCACTGTTTTCTACCTTGGGTGACAGAGTGAGACTGTCTCAAAAAAAAAAAAAAAAGAAAGAAAGAAAAAGATTCTTTTTATCATTGGTGTTGAGTAATTTGATCAGGATGTACCTTGATGTGGTTTTCTTTATGTCTTTTGTGCCACTGAGATTCATTAAGCATCTTTAATCTGTGGGATTTTTGTTTTCAAGAAAGTTGGACAAGTTTCTGCTATTATTTCTTCACACATGGTTTTCTGTTTTTTCTTCATTATTCTGTCTTTTGTGGGGAGTCCATGTACTGTATATTAGGCTGCTTAAAGTTATCTCACAGCTCACTGAGGCTATGTTCATTTTTTAAAGTTCTCTTTTCTCTGTTTCACTTTGGATAGTTTCTATTGCTGTGTCTTTACACTTAGTTTCTTTTAACTTTTTTCTTTTTAAATTGAGGTAGAGTCTCACCTCAGTTTATGAGGTAAGACTGTGTTGCCCAGGCTAGACTTGAACTCTTGGGCTCAAGCTATCCTTCCACCTCAGCTTCCTGAGTAGCTGGGATTATAGGCTTATACCACTGTGCCTGGCCCACATTTAGTAATCTCTTCTTTGGCAATGTCTACAGTATTAATCTCATCCAAGGATATATTTTTAATTTCAGACTTTGTAGTTTTCAGCTCTAGAAGTGTTATTTGGGTCTTTAAAAATATCTCCGTATCTCTACTTAACTTTTCGAACATACGGAATATAATTATAACTGTTTTTAATATCCTTGCCTGCTAATTCTAATCTTTGTGACAGCTCTGGGTCAGGATCTCCTTACCATGAGTCATATTTCCCTGCTTCTTTATGTGCCTGGTAATTTTTGATTGGATGCTAAATATTGGGAATTTTACCTTGTTGGGTGCTGGATATTTTTGCATTCCTGTAAATGTTCTTGAGCTTTGTTCTGTGACGCAATTAATTTACTTAGAAATAGTTTCACTCTTTAAGGTCTTGGCTTTAAGATTTGTTTAGTGGGACCAGATAGTGCTCAATTTAAGGCTAATTGTTTCCATGAACTAGGCAAGACCCTTCTGTGTACTGTACCCAATGTCCGCTGAATCATGAGGCTTTCTAGTTTGGCAGGTGGGAGTAGACTGTTCTTGATTCTGTGAGTGTAGGCACTGTTCTGTCATCTCTAGTGCGTTCTAGTGTTTTTTTCTCCAACCTCTTTGGCTTCCTTATACCTATGAGCATGACTTAACTGAATTCTTTTCTTTTTCTTTTTCTTTTTTTTTTTTTTTTTTGAGACAATCTCACCCTGTTGCCTGGGCTGGAGTGCAGTGCCGCGATCTCTGCCCACTGCAACCTCCGCCTGCTGGGTTCAAGCGTTTCTCATGCCTTGGCCCCCCGAGTAGTTGGGACTACGGGTGCATGCCACCACACCCAGGTAAGTTTTGCATTTTAGTAGAGAGGGTGGTTACACCATGTTGGCCAAGCCAGTCTCGAACACCTGACCTCAAGTGATCCGCTTACCTTGGCCTCCCAAAATGCTGGGATTACAGGTGTGAGCCACCCTGCCCGGCCTCACTGAATTCTTGATGGGAACTCTCTGCAGATCTCTGGAAATCTCTCTGTGAACATCTCCCTTTTCCTTTGGACTACAGCTGCCTTGGTTTTTCTGAACTGTCAGCTCAAGTCTGCTGCCCTGGGCCTGGGTTCCCCCTCCCTGTGCCACTGCTGGAAACTCACTCAAGGTAGTAACCTAGTGTAGTCTTTCTTAGGACTCACCTCACTCCTTTCCTCTCTCTTGGGGATCACTGTCTTTTGTTGCCTGATAATATCTTGAAAACTATTTCTTTGTATGTTTTGTCCACTTCTTGGTTGTCTCCAACAGGAAGATAAATTCAGTCCTTCATCTTGGCCAGAAGGAGAAGTCCCCCAGATATCTGTTGAAAGTGAGGAGGCAGGCAGAGGAGTGAAGTGGAGGTCTTGAGGGATTGTGGTAAAAGTTAACATAGCCAGTGCGGTGAAGAGGAAAGAGCTTACCATTGGAAGCCCACCTGAGAGGGAGAGTTACTCTAGCAATGCAGTTGAGTGAGTTGGCTAGCAGTTTTATTGATTCATTGACTGATTCCTTTTTGCTACTATTCATTTACTTATTCAGTGCCTACTCTGCACCAGGGTCTTAACATACATTATTTCTCATCCTTACAATAGGCCTACAAGGTGTTGGTATTGTTAATCCTTTACCCCCACACTGTACCCCACCTTCCCCCACCGTGAGCCCCAGCCTTTCTCAGTTTCACAGATGAGAAAATAGAAATGTCAACTGACTGCCAAGCTCCTGCAGTTTGTAAATTGTATAATCAGATTTCAAACCCAGTTTCCTGTAGCTCCAAAGCCAATTGGCCCATAATGCCTTTTCCTTGCCAGGGTTGGGATTTGTGTTTGAGACAGTGAGCTGGGGGGAATTGAGAGTGCTAAAAAGAGGTTGAAGTGACAGCTCATGATTAAGTAGACAGGGAAGAGAGGAAGCCAAAGATGAAGGCTGGTGGATGGGAAGAAAAAAGAAGCTTCAGCGGCCTTCAGTTCTCTATGGTGTGGACAATGGCTGTAATGGCCTTAAAGAAACAAGGGAGCCTGTAGTTAGCCCCAGATGATGACAGTGAGGAGTGATGGGGGAGAAAGAAGTCTTAGAATTCTACCTGATCTAATAAGTTCTGGATCTCTAATAACAGTTCCAGATAGATTGTAGGTCTGAGAAAGGTAAAACAACAAAGCTTCTAGAAAAAGAAAATAAGCAAAGATTTCCTAAACAGGACATAAAGAGTGCTCATGATAAAGGAAAACAATAGACAAATGGGACTTTACTGAAGGATCTTTTCAGCAAAAACACTGTGCAGAGGACAAAAAATCAAGCAGCACAGCAGGAGATATTTCCCGTATATATGCCCAAGTCACTTTTAGGTCAGCGACTTGGACAAATGAGAAGTTACATGTAGTCACTTATTGAAACACGAATTCATTAATAAATATGATAGATTTGTATATTTCCAGAATTGTTTGTCTAATCCTCTTAAGGGCATTATGTCGCTAAGCAGCACAGCTAAGTGTTTGATCAGTTTAATTAGAATGATCATTTGTCACACTTTAGAAGCATTTGGCTCTTGGCTATGAAAATATCAAAGGGTGGGCAAAAAAGTATTAATTTTGCCTTTTTTGAAAATGATATTTCAAACTGTTAAAATCTAGTCACAGTTGAATTAGTAAGTAACCTTCAACTACTTGAGCCTACCCAATATGCTGATTAATCAGATGATGCATCCAACTTTTCCACAATTCTTTTTAATACTGTATTACACAGCCACATGCTTAGGATTTCTCTTATTGGCTGTTTTGAGAAAGCTGGCATCTAATTTTTGTCTTGTGTGAAGAACTAAAGTATTTTCCAACAGGTAGAATGAAACAAAAAAGACCCGTCTCGGGTTTATGTGTGGTGAAAAAGCTAGCATATACTGTGTCAGTACAAAGGAAACTGAGAACCCAAATAGCACTTAAAGTTGTGTGGTTAGGGATTATGAGGCATGACATAGCAATGAGACTGAGTTCACAGGAAAAACGGTGTCCTTACTTGATCATCTTCCTCTCTATACAGTGGACAATGGGACAGAAAATCAGCACAAAATGAAGAGGCCACTGTCACATAACCTGTATATTTAGTGATATCATTATCCAGCCTTTGGTTTTCAAGATGAAGAAAGGGATAGAAAATTTGATTTATGTTGAATCACTTACCATAGGGTTTAGTTTACTTACTAAAGGCTTTAGTAAGCTCTTTACCAACTCTTTCTTACAGGAGGTTTTTTTGTTTTGTTTTGTTTTGTTTTTGTTTTGAGATGGAGTCTCGCTCTGTTGCCCAGGCTGGAGTTCAGTGGCACGATCTCGGCTCACTGCAACCTCTGCCTCCCGGGTTCAAGCAATTCTCCTGTCTCAGCCTGCCAAGTAGCTGGGACTACAGGCACCTGCCATCATGCCCAGCTAATTTTTGTATTTTTAGTAGAGATGGGGTTTCACCATATTGGTCAGGCTGGTCTTGAACTCCTGACCTCAGGTGATCCGCCCACCTCAGCCTCCCAAAGTGCTGGGATTACAGATGTGAGCCACCACACCCAGCCTGTTGTTGTTTTTGTTTGTTTGTTTTGTTTTTAGTAGAGAATTTAGGTCTCGCTGTGTTTCCCAGGCTGGTCTCAAAGTCCTGGACTCAAGGGATCCTCCCACCTCAGCCTCCCAAAGTGCTGGGGTTTTTGTTTGTTTGTTTTGTTTTGTTTTTAAAGAGAAAGCGATAGCCAGTGGGTCCCTGCCTATAAAGGTGGTCTTGTGTGGGTGCACCTGTGAGTGCTGCTGTGGCAGAGTGGTATACTGGTTTCCCATGGCTACTGTAATAAATTACCACAAACTTAGTGGCTTAAAACAACACAAATGTATTCTCTCCTGTTCTGGTCCTTGGTGTTCCTTAGCTCATGGCCACATAACTCAAAATCTCTGTTTTATTTTACATCCCTTTTCCTCTGTGTGTGTCTTCTCCTTTTCTTTGTCTGTGTCAGAACTCTCTCTGCCTCTGTCTTACAAGGATACATGTAATTGTATTTAGGGCCCACTTGGATTATCCAGGATAAGCACCTCCTCTCAGTATCCTTCACTTAATCATATGTTTTGGGGTCATATATGGTAAAATATTCTCTCTTAGCCATATAAGGTAATATCTACAAGCTCAGGGGATTAGGAAGTGAACATAATTTTTTAAGGGTGGGGTCGGTGTGTATTTTTCAGCCAACTGCAGTTGGTTTTTCCAGCTGTGAGTACATCTGCATCAGGAGATGCCTGCAGAAGTAAATTTGGGAACATCTGCATGCCATGAGTATGCAGGGGAAGTCACCTATGAGAACCTCTTGTGTGCTGACCTGGAGTTAGAGCTGCTGTGTTTGTCTGGGGAGGAGGGTGGGAGATGGAGATGGAGAGAGTATTTTGAAAGAAACTTGAGGGAGGATATCAAATGTACAAGATATTTTTCTAAAGCTAGGTAGTAACTGGTTTGAAAAAGTCTAATTTAAGAGGTAATAACTTGAAGCTAATTTTAAGAGTATGTTTTTCTCTCTGAACTATTTGATGATAAGCAAATATTAACCAAATTATGGAGATTGAATTTAGAGAACTTGTGTGCCAGTGTGACAATTAGCAAAGTTTTATTAGAAATAAAGTGCCGGGCTGGGCATGGTGGCTCATGCCTGTAATCCCAGCACTTCGGGAGGTCAAGGTGGGCGGATCACCTGAGGTCAGGAGTTCGAGACCAGCCTGGCCAACATGGTGAAACCCCATCTCTACTAAAAATACAAAAAATTAGCCAGCGTGGTGGCACGTGCCTATAGTTCCAGCTACTTGGGAGGCTGAGGCACGAGAATTGCTTCAACCCCAGCAGGTGGAGGTTGCAATGAGCCAAGATCGTGCCACTGCACTCCAGCCTGGGTGACAGAGTAAGACTCTGTCTAAAAAAAAAAAAAAAGAAAAAGAAAGAAAGAAACAAAGTGCCATCCAATAGAATATTAATTAATACTTGCTTATCATCAAATAGTTGAGAAAGAAAAAAATGCTCTTAAAATTTGCTCGAAGTTATTACCTCTTAAATTAGACTCTTTCAAACCAATTATTACTTAGCTTTAGAAAAATCTCCTGTACATTTGATATCCTCCCTCAAGATCCTTTCAAAATACTTATTTGCTTATGTTTTGGTCTTAAACCTTTTTTATTGTCAACACACACCTCTCTCCTGTATTGGATCTCCTGCTTTCTATGTCTTCATGTTTTCCTCTTCTTTGCTTGTCCCTCTGTCTTTCCCTCCCCTCCCCTCCCTTCCCCTCCCCTTCCCTCCCATCCCCTCCTCTCCCCTCCCTTCCCCTCCATTTCCTTCCCCTCCCATCCTTTTCCTTTCCTTTCCTTTTCCTTCCCTTCTTCCCTCTTTCCCTCCTTCTGTCCTTCCATCCTTCCTTCCTTCCTCTCTTCTTTCCTTCCTCCCCTTTCTTTCTTTTTAATGTAGCACACCCTCCGTTAGCTTCCTGAGAGGGTAAAATTTTTGAGATCTTAAATGTCTATAAATATTTTTACACTATTCTCATTCTTGATTTATAGTCTGGGCCTAAAATTCAAGGTTGGGAATAATTTTCCTTTAGAATATTCAAGGCTTTAGTCCACTGCCCCCTAGCTTCTGAACTTACTGTTAAGAAGACCAAAGCCATTCTAAAACCTAAGTTTGTTTTTCTGTCTGGTAGTTAGTAGTATTTTCTCTCTTTATGTTCAATCTTTTGTCCGTCTTTGGTGTGCCGTTTCAGTCTGGAAAATTAAGGTCTTTAAGATCTGAAACATCTTCATTAGTTTTATTGATGCTTTCTTCCCCTCACTTTTCCCTGTTCTCTTTTTCTGGAATTCTGATTATTTGGGTATTAGACTTTCTGGATTCATTGGTTCTTTAATTTTCTTATGTTTGCTGTCATATTTCTTTGTTTTAAATCTTCTTGCCCTACTTTCTGGGTGATTTCCTCAACTTTATTTCCCTTTTCCTCTTTTTATTTTCTGGGTTTTCAAAGAGGCAATTTTCCAGCTTTTCTATTGAGTTTTGCATGTTTGAAATTTCTTCTTTCTTTCTTTCTTTTTTTTTTTTTTTTTTTTAGCATCCCTTTCTTGTTTGATGGATGATGCAGTATCTTCTGTCACCCCTCTGAGGTTATTGACATTTTCTGCTCCCTGCACAGGGAAACCTCGGTGTCCTCCAAGTGGCTTTCTTTATGTTTGTTTTGATCTGTGTTTCATGTTTGAGTTTTTCCTCAGATATCTGGTGATTGTGGCTTGCCTGCTTCTGTTTAAGAGTGAGTCCCCAAGGGAGCTGATTTGAGAGCTTCAAGCACTCAAGTGGGTCTTTTAAACTGAGGGCTTCATGGACAGAGCTGGTCCTGTAAGGAAGCCCACTCTCACTACAGTAGCAGCATCCTGAGGTTTTCCTGTTAGACTGGGCAGATTTCACAGAGATCTCACAAGCTTTTGCCTGAAGGCTACAGGTCTGGCTACCATTAAGAAAAAAAAAAAACTACTAAATAACTTAAAAAGCTTCCCAAGACATGGTGCCTTTTTTTCCCGCTTTTCTTTCTTTCCATACTATAGCCATATGTACTCTGAAAAATAAGACTTTATTAAAGATAAAGACTATAAGTAAATTTTATTTATTTATCTATTTATTTATTTATTTATTTGAGATAGGGTCTCACTCTATCACCCAGGCTGGAGTGCAGTGGCATGATCTTGGCTCACTGCAACCTCTGCCTCCCGGGTTGAAGAGATTCTCCTGCCTCAGCGTCCTGAGTAGCTGGGATTACAGGTGCCTGCCACCATGCCCAGCTAACTTTGTTATGTATATTTTAGTAGAGATGGGGTTTCACCATGTTGGTCATGCTGGCCTTGAACTCCTGACCTCAAGTGATCCTCCCGCCTCCCAAAGTGCTGGGATTGCAGGCATGAGCCACCACACCTGACCTATAAGTAAATTTGACAGTTAAAAAAAATCCAACAAAGACTTTCAAACTGACCTTCCCCTGCAATTAGGACACCTTAGTATTTTACTGTTAGATGATTCAACCTAAGGATATTATTTGATGGCCTTTTGGGTTTGGATATCAATTTAGGAAGGTAAATGTAGATACATTATGCCTTATATACAATGGACATAAAAATGACTCTTCTTGCCTGGACACAGTGATTCATGCCTGTAATCCTAGCACTTTGGGAGGCTGAGGCGGCAAATCACTTGAGGTCAGGGGTTTGACACCAGCCTGGCCAACCAACATGGTGAAACCCCGCTTCTACTAAAAATATAAAAAATAAGCCGGGCATTGTGGCACATGCCTGTAATCCCAGCTACTTGGGAGGCTGAGGCAGTAAAATCACTTGAACCCAGGAGGCAGAGGGTGCAGTGAGCCCAGATTGCCCCACTGCACTCCAGCCTGTGTGACAAGTGTGAGACAATGTTTCAAAAAAAAAAAACACACACACACACACACACACACACCCCTCTCTGCTGGAATGGCTCAGAGGCTGGGACAAGGACAGGGGTAGAGGGTTGTTTAAACCCAAGCTACTCATTCTTGCCTTTGTATCTTGCTATATTCGTGTAGGGCATGAATTTATACTACATGGATAGAGCAAGATATAAAATCGAGGCTAGGTGCAGTGGTTCACGTCTGTAATTCCAACACTTTGGGAGACCAAGGCAGGAGGATCAGAAGTTCAAGACCAGCCTGGGCAACATAGCAAGACCCTGTCTCTAAAAAAATTAAAAACTTAGCCATGTGTGGTGGTGCGCGCCTGTAGTCCCAGCTCCTCACGAGGCTAAGGAAGAAGGATTGCTTGAGCCGAGAGTTTGAGGCTGCAGTTAGCTATCATTGTACCACCACAATCCAGCTTGGGCTACAGAGTGAGATCCTATCTCAAAAACAAACAAACAAATAAACGAAAACCCAAAAAAGTCAAGGAGGTCCTGAACCACTCAGTTAATCCTAAAACCCCTGTATGCAAATAGGTGAGCAGGTGCCTGACTTTCAATATGGTTTCAGAGACTGGATAACCTTGTGTCCTGGGGCCCAAGGGGATGGTCTTTGATTAATATCTGACTGTGCCTAGGGCTCAGCTTTCAGTTTGTCCCAGCCCCAGGACCTCCGGTCTCCTCAGGGCTCCTGCCAGAGCAAGATTGCTTCCGGCACTTGCTCCTTATTTCCTGACCTCAGCCAGATGCCATTTTGATAGGGATGCCTTACCCTCCTCTGTCTCTGCAGCCCTGCCAGGGCTGGAGTCTCTACCTGACCCCATTCTGAAGCACTCACTACATCTTCATCTTTGCTTTTGGATCTCTCAGGTGTCAGCCACTGGCCCCAGTCCCTTATTGCTGCCCTACCATTACCCTCTGCCCAGATTCCCAGCTCGGAGCCACATGAGCCCTTTCCCTTCTCCTTGGAGGAGTGGTGTCTTCAATTGTAATGCACTGTGTTTTCTTCATTAAAGCATTGTTGTAAGTGGTGGTTAGGAACTCTAACTCTGTTATGGCTTCCCACATGGCCTGGACTCCACCAATTATAACACATTTTAAAGGAATAGTATATGTTTTGATTTCCAGGTCATAAATTTGAACAACCCATGTTTTGGCATAGGTTCCATTGGGAAGTTGGGGGCTGCTTTGCCATATCATGCAAGGGAGAAAAAATGTCATCATCAAATATTCATTAAGCTCCCACTTGTGCCTCGTGCTGTTGTGCCTGCTGAGTCTGTGAGGCCTCTGCTGGGCCTGTTTTTATAAACTCTAACAAGGCCGCCTTACAAATTGCCCTCTGAAGCTCAGCACACTGTAGAGGTTTCCCTGACATACCCTGTGTCATGCTAATGGGGAGGATTAAGGCAAGAAGTGTTCCTAGTCTGACAGAGTGCAATTGTAATTTAAATATGTCCTTTCCTGGAGCCCGAGTTCTTTTAGTCACTGAGCCTGCGCTAATTTGTGTGATTCTTTTAGGGGCCAGGGCACTCTTCTTAGAGTTTTTTAAAATTAATACTTCCTATCGGTTCAGTGTTTTATTTCAAGTGAGGCATTCTTAGAATAATGTGACACAGAGTGATTTCTGAAAGATTAAAGCAGTGTGTTCTGAGGTGAGCCTTACAATTAATTGCCTGAATTGGCTCTAATTATACATAAAGAGCCAAGCTATTAGTGTTAAGAAGAAGTGACTTCAGAAAGTACAGCTGGTCCCAAAGACCGAATAACTATTGCAAACAGTAATCAGTGAGGTGATACTTATTGTATAAAACACCTTAGCTGGAAATTACTTGTGTCCATTCTAATTGGGTTTTCCCCTTACACTTGGTTATTTCCTTTTCAGTGAAAGTATGCAATTTTTTAAACGCAGAGGCTAAAACTAAAATAGCTCATTGGAAAACATTTTTATGTAAACGAGTGTGCCCTGTGTGAACACAGACCCTCTTGATAATTTTTTTTTTTTTTGAGATGAGTCTTTCTTTGTCACCCAGGCTAGAGTGCAATGGTGCTATCTCAGCTGACTGCAACCTCCACCTCCCGGGTTCAAGCGATTCTCCCACCTCAGCCTCCCGAGTAGCTGGGATTACAGGTGCACACCACCACACTCGGCTAATTTTTTGTATCTTTAGTAGAGACAGGGTTTCACGGTGTTGATCAGGCTGGTCTCGAACTCCTGGCCTCGTGATCCGCCTGCCTCGGCCTCCCAAAGTGCTGGGATTACTGGCGTGAGCCAACACGCCCGGCCGAGCACGGACCCTCTTGATTGCTCCTCTTTAGATACTTTTGGAAGCTCTTCTTCCACCCACCTAAAATGTCAGTACTTCCAGGAATTTATCCTCAGTCTTCTCACTCCATACTGCCTCCCTGCTTGACCGCATCAAGTTCTGACTCTCTGCTAGCAAATTCCAAATTTATCTATCTGGGCCAGGTCCCTTCTGAATTCCAGAGGCACATTTTCATATGGTTATCTTACAGGAATTACAAACTTGTGCATGCCCAAAACAGAACCATAGACCATGATTGTCCCTCCCAAATCCACCCTTTCCCACCCTGCCCTGGCTCTTCCACTTAGGAGATCACCCAACACTAAACTCCATGTCTTGTTGATTCTACCGCTAACCATGTGTCTCCATCCTCATCACCCTGCCCTTTTTCATGCCTCCATCGTCTCCTTCCTAGACTGTAACAGAAGCCTTGCAACTGGTCTCCATCAATCCAATTTGCTTCCTGCCAAACTATACACACCTGCTAGGAAAATATTAAAAGCACAAGTCTGATCATGTCACTATGTGCTTAAACACGTGCAGTTGCTGTCAGTTATTTGACAAATTTGACCAATCATTGTCTTTTATTTGTGTGGCTGTTTGAACTTATATGTTCCCCATTCCTAATTTACAACAGCCCAGACTGACTGGTCATCTTTTAGGTGCTTGAATTCATGTAGATGGTTTACTGCATAAGGCCTTTGCACATGTGTCTGCTGTGACTGGACTGCTCTTCCTCCTGTCCTCTGCCTGGCTACTGCCTGCTTGCCCTTCTCATCTTCAGTGTCATTCCTCGGTGGCATTTCCAAAAGCCCTCCCCAGTTGGTTAGTTCCCCTACTAAATATGCCAACAGCATCCTGTATTTCCCAGCACTCATTATAATTATAATTAATCAAGTATTTGTATAATTACTGGTTTGATGACTGATGATGTCCCACTATCCTGTAAACTCCCTAAGAGCAGGGACCATGCCTGTCTGGCACACTATTCTCTCCCCAGTGCCTTTCATAACAAATATTTGCCAACTGAATGTGTAATGAATGCAGTTGGACAGAAGCCGTGGCATATGTTATATGTATTTGAACTTATGTTTGAATATGGGGTATCTGATGTTCTAGGAGCCTGACTACTTCCCACTCCAAAATAAGGCAATCCTGTAAAGGCCTTATATAGATTTTGCTAACTGTTCAGCTGTTACATCCTCTTTCCCCTTTCATTCTGGAAGTAGATTGGTCAAGAGTTCTACCAGAGAAACACAACCAATAGAAGATAAAAGATTTATTGCACACATTGGCTTGCTCATTTGTGGGGGCTGGCTAGGCAAGTACAAAATCAATCCGTAGGACAGGCTGTCTGGACGAACAGACTGGAATTCTCTGGCACAGGGTGGGGCTGCTGTTCACAGGTGGAATTTCTTCCCGGGGAACTCGGCTCTGCCCTTAAGGCTTCAACTGATTCAATCAGGCCCACTTATAATCTTCACTTAAAGTCAACTGATTATGGACTTTAGTCACATCTACAAAATACTTTCACATGGAACCAGGCACGGTGGCTCATGCCTGTAATCCCAGCTACTCGGGAGGCTGAGACAGGAGGATCACTTGAGCCCAGGAGTTTGAAGCCAGCCTAGGCAACATAGTGAGACCCTGTCTCTTAAAAAAAATTTTTTTTTTAATCAGCCAGGTATGGTGGCACGTGCTTGTAGTTCCAGCTACTCAAGAGGCTGAGGCAGGAGGATTGCTTGAGCCCAGGAGATCGAGGCTGCTGTGTGAGCTGTGATCATACCACTGCATCCACTCTGGGCAACAGAACAAGACCATGTCTCTAAACAAACAAAAACCTTTACGGCAATGCCTGGATTAGTATTTGGTTTAATAACTAGACGGTAGCTTGTAACAAAGTTGACACATAAAATTGACCATCAAATAAGTCTCTGATGCAAAGTACTGGTTTAAAAGCAAAATTATCCTTTAAAAAAAAAAAAAAGAAAAAACAGAAACAAAAAAACCTTGGTACTTCTGGGATTGGGAATGGTAATGAAATGTTTTATTCAGTGGGTTTCTTATTAGTTATGAGCTATGGAAGTAATGTCTATATAAAATAAGTTTTTACCTATTCTGCTGATGTATGCCAAATAACCTCATTCCTCTGCTATCCAAAACAAATGTATCACTATTCAAATGTGAATCAGTAATAAAATTCTGGAAAAATTGGCCCTTTTATGTGTAGTGTTTCTAATAAGTGGACAACTGTGTCTTCCACAGGTGCCTTTTTGTTTATCACAGCAGACATTTACTGAGCTCAGGGCAGGGCAGTGGAGATGAGGCTGAATACCACCTAATTTCAAGGCTTTGCATTGGATTGTGGTAGACAAATAAGTAAAACCTAATTGCAGGCCCAGAGTTCTGTGAGGTTGGAGTATAGACGGTGAGAGAGACCTAGTTTGATGCCAGAGCTTGGGGACCCAGCTTTATTCTGCAGAGAGAGAAGAAGCCCTCTCTCGGGGAGTGTCGTGTTCCTGTGATTTAGGGAGAGGAATCTGGTGAAGTAAGGGAAGGGAGGGAGAGTGTTAGTGGCAGGAGTTGGAGCTGAAACTTTGGCAGCAATGTTGAAAAAAAGAGGCTGGGTTCTAGCACTAGCAGAGTTTTGTCAACTGAGGAGATGACTTTGAGGTGACCAGTAATGGAGGTGTGTGGTACTGGAGGAAAAATGAATGTTTAGTTCTGGGGCAGGTGAAGGGGACAAAAGATAAGAGTTGCTATGTATTGTGCATCTACACTGGGTCTGGTGCGTGACACACACACAATTTCATTTATTGGTTTGGAGGCTGGTGTTATTTCTAGCCTGGGTGAAATCACCTAAGGAGGGTCTTGAACCAAGGGAGAAGTTTGAGGAAGGTCCTAACTTACTCATTTGAGGGGGCTGGCTAGGCAAGCACAAAATCAATCCATAGGACCTTGGTACCAAAGATTCTTTTTTACATCTTTCATCTTTTTATAAAGGGTAATATAGACATGCCACTTTAAATATTACCTGACAGCTGATTCTAAGAGGATATCTGTTTGTATTTAAATGTTGGTTAGTAGATATTGGAAAGGGGGAAAAAGGATTACATTCATGAATGATTTCTCTGTGTTGTCTTATAACTCCCAAAGTGAATTGAGAAAGCAGAGGTTTTTGGCCCTGAATATACCCCTTGGTACATGAAATCATATTCACTCAATTTACTTTATAAAAAGGCAAGTATGAAAGACTCTCACTGACCATATCTGGGAAAACTAGAGTGTCAAAATAAATGAGAGTAACAGATTGTAAGTCATTACATGAAATAGGATTCAATGAGTCTGTGTTGATAAAAATAAATAAGCGGAGGTGAGAGAGAGGAAGCTCTTCTTTTATTGGTTGAGAATGCTGACCAATGAATGTAGGAGGAATGTAGGAACTAGAATAATCACCATTTGGCAAACATAGTGATGGTTGATTAAGGCAGGAATTGTCAATGGATGCTAAGTTTGGTGGATGCTAAGAATGGAGGCTTGAGGAACAGGATATTGGCATAGTCTCATAGTGTTTCTCTACAACGTACCTATCAATTACGAGGAGGAAAATGTTGACTTTATATTTTTTTGGCATCTTCCTGCCAGGAATGCATGGCCTGAGTCTCGTCATGAGGAGACATCAGATGGATTCAAATTGAGGGTGACCTGAGTCATCTGAGAGAATAAAAGGTTTGGCTCACTAAAACTGTCAAGGATGAGAGGCAAGGAAAGACCGAGAAACTACTCCACACTGAAGAAGAGATTGGATAACTAAATGTAATGCATGGTCCCAAATTGGATCCTGGGCCTGGAAGGAGAAAGAGCCACTGTTGGGACGAGCTGAATGGCATTTGTGAATTTAGATAGTAATATTCTATTAGCATTCAGTCACTGATTGAGCTAGTCAGATGATTATTATATAAGAGAGTGCCTTTGTTTTGGGAAATACATACTGGAATATACAGGAGTGAAGGGGCATCATATCCACAATTCACTCTCAAATGATTCAGAAAGTGCTGAAGACTAAATAATCCAGTGTCTAAGTGAAAGGGAAAGAGGAGTGTGAGTTCTTTGTACTGTTCGTGCAACTTAAGTTATTTTAAAATAGAGTATTTTTAAAGGTGATGAAACTCAAGGAAGGACCAAAGAACTGTTTTGAATTGCAGGAAACTGAGAGGCATGACAAATACCATGAATGATCCTGAACTGAATCCTTTTGCTACAAAAGAAGTCAGTGGGATGGTGAAGTGGCTACATTGTCCGAGGTGTATACTCGGGGTTTTGTCATCGCACGCCAGGAAAATTTAGCACACAGACACACACGAGTTTAGGAGTGGAGGTTTAATAGGCAGAAGAGAAGAGAAAGAGAAACAGCTCTCTCTATAGAGAAAGGGGTCTCCCAGTGGAAAGGACCAGCAGGTGGTGAATGTGCCTGATTTTATAGTCAGGTTTGAGGAGGTGGTGTCTGGTTTACATAGGGCTCACAGATTGGTTCCATCAGGTATGACATTTACATAGTGCATAGGGAAGGCTGGTTGCCCCACCCTAATCTTATTATGCAAATAGCCTTTCCAGTTGATCTGAACCATCTTGTCTGCTTCTTACTGTACAGGTGGCTGACAAAGAGAAGGGAAGATGGAGCCGCCATCTTGAACATGATTGGCACAACTGCTGGCATCTATGTCTGCAGCTCAATTTTACAAGCTACCCATTGTTAGAAAGGAAAATAATTTGGGGCTGGTTTTCATGAAAAGGAAAACCTTATGGAGGACTTCCGTGTCCTCACTATCTGCCCAAGTAAATTCTTCCTAACTTTTGTATCAGTGGTTGGCAGGTTCAATAGGGTTTTTGAGTGAAGATATGGACGTTCTTTGTACTGTTCTGAGAGTTTACCTGTAAGTTTGAAATTGTTTTAAAATAAATTTTTTAAGGTTTCAAGAACTTTCCCTCAAGTCCAAAAAAGTTTTAATTTCCTTTTTCTTTGACCAGAATAGGATAGAATTTGTTTCTGCTATAAAAGGCTAACCAGACTGTGCTTTTGAAAAGGAGGTTGGAAGGTGTTAAAGATTTTATTTTACAAGTAGGAAATGCCTACGTGGTCCATCTGTAGACAAGTCAGCCTCTTGACTCTTTGTCCTCAGATGTAAATTCAGGATAACAGTTTCTGCCTGGCCTCTCTTGTTGGGTGAGTCCTTCT
The DNA here is from genome assembly GCF_000001405.40 of Homo sapiens. Taxonomy (NCBI): domain Eukaryota; kingdom Metazoa; phylum Chordata; class Mammalia; order Primates; family Hominidae; genus Homo; species Homo sapiens. Next base: position 178,218,362 of record NC_000002.12, read on the forward strand.
TAGGGCAAACAGATAAATCTGTAAGCATTATTAAAAAAAAAAAAATTAAAAAAAAAAAAGAGAGAGAGAGAATGCTATAGCAAGGTAAGCTATTCTTGACAAAATGCTCTTCATTCTATTAATAGAGGTATTCTGGGTTGGTAATGGAAATGGCTTTCCCCTTGTTTGCTTCTCAAACATCTCCTTACCATCTTTTCCATGATTCTCTTTCAACTTCTTCCTCTTTTACTGACTTTTTTCTCTCCCCGTCTTTTATCCCCCTTCTTTCTTTCTTTTTTTTTTTTTTCTGATGGAGTCTTGCTCTGTTGCCCAGGCTGGAGGGCAATGGCACGATCTCTGCCCCCTGCAACCTCTGCCTCCCGGGTTCAGGTGATTCTCCTGCCTCAGCCTCCCGAATAGCTGGGAATACAGGTGTGCGTCACCATGCCCAGCTGATTTTTGTATTTTTAGTAGAGATGGGGTTTTGTCATGTTGTCCAGGCTAGTCTTGAACTCCTGACCTCGTGATCTGCCCACCTCAGCCTCCCAAAGTGCTGGGATTACAGATGTGAGCCACCACACCCAGCCTATCCCTGCTCCTTTTTATTAGACCTGAATTTTTACCTCTTGTACATAATTCTTTGCTTTTTTTTTATTCTCTCCACTCCTGACTCTTCTGTCTTTGACAGTTTTGTTTCCCTACTTACCTGCTTTGACTCGATTCCCTTTTTGTTGTAGCCTGAAGGATTCTAGATGTAATCCTACTTGTCCAATTTGCCTTTATTCAAGAGCAAGACCAACATAAAATAGACTGTTAGTGATAGACTGTAAAAAAATGGAGTTTTATTAAAGATACCATTTAATGAATGCTTACTGTGGGCCAAGAATTGGGTTGCTTGCATCATCTATATTCAGATTTAAACCACACAACAACATTTTGGAGTAGGTATTTCTATCCCCATTTTACAAAATAGGAAATGGAAGCACAGAAGCAGTACAGCTTACTGAAAATAAAAAATAGTAGGTGGCAAAGCCAAGTTTCCAGATCCCAAGGTGAATTTCAAAACCTGTGGTGCTTTAATCCTACTATCTGGCCTAAGGGTATTAGTTCCATAACAATTGGGTTTGGAGATAGCACCCTAGGGGCCAAGGGTGTCATTTACATGAGAATCAATGAGGAGCCAGAGAAAGTGAGTTTTGTAGCAGTTATTAGGCTAGGGTGTTGGGGAGGGAAACTGAAATATGTGTCAGCCTCCGAATGGCTGATTCTTGGCAAGTAATTATTTATAATCAGTGCATGTTGCTGCTGAAAGCCATCCCATCGGACCCCTTTCCAGCAAGATTCTACTTTTGGAGTGTAACAGCAACTAATTACGTGCTGTTAAATCCAAGACCCATTTTATATTCAGAGGTTCCAGTGGTAGACCTCACATGTCAGGAGCAATTAGTGACACTGTGGCATGTCATCTTCAATGTGCTGAACTGTGGACAATAAATCCTAGCAGGCTGGATAGGTTAAAATAACCACATTCACCATCATCCTCACTGCCTTCCGAGCAATGCTATTTCAAGGCAACAGGTTCAGGATGTCCTCCTAAGTGGTGGTCTGGGGATTTCAGAAACATAAAAATATGATTAATACTGAAAGTTTTAAGATTTCGAGTGCTTAGGAAATAGGCTGGAGATATCGACAGAGGATAATGTCATGCTGTAGGTCTAAAAGCTGACCATGGAGGTGTCTGTTCCCCCATAGCTCAAATGTAATAACTACTATGTGCTGATAGAACCTGAGGCATACACATAACAAATGCTAGAATGTGGAAACTGGTTTGGCTGAGGCTTTAGACATCGAGTTCCATTTTGCTGATTGACTACCTTGGATTAATGGGAAGTATATCCTCCACCCCCACCCCTGCCTTTTTTTAAGTTAAAAAATGAACAATCTCCTTCTTTTTTGGGGGGCTGGGGAGGCGGGTGGACAGGGTCTTACTCTGTCACCTACGCTGGAGTGCAGTGGGGTGATCTTGGCTCACTGTAACCTCTACCTCCCAGGTTCAAGTGATCCTCCCACCTCAGTCTCCTTAGTAGCTGGGACTTCAGATGCACACCACCATGGCTGGGCCTTTTTTTAAATTTTGTATCATTTTGTAGACACAGAGTCTCGCCATGTTGCCCAGGCTGGTCTTGAACTCCTGGGCTCAAGCAACCCATCTGCCTCAGCTTCCCAAAGTGCTGGGATTACAGGCATGAGCCACTGTGCCCAGCCAAAAAGTGAATAGTGTTCTTATTGGAATTTGAAATCTTTGTTTATAAAATATATCTCATAGTACACATCCTTATTCAATTTCGTAGGGAAAAATGCAGAAGCTGAAATGTATTTTTCTGTTGAAAGTAAAATGTGATGTTGCAGCAGCAGCAGCAGATGAGTTGTCTATGCAGCCATACTCTGTCACTTATGGTTCTACCTCTGTTGCTGACATCAGGTTGATCTCCTAAAGGGGGATATTCTCGTCGATCTTGGATGTTTAGGATGTTGCTGAGATGCTGCATGGAAATATGCAGTAACAGGACATGGCTGGAGTGTGGCTGAGCAGTGAAAGCATCTGAAAAAAATCGCCCTCTTGGGAGACCCAGGCTGTGTCCATTAAGCCAGGATCTGCCCAGAGTGCCGTCTTTATGGTGGGTTTAGCTCAGAGGTAATTGACTCTTCAGCCCATTGAGGCAGCTCAGGGCTCTCTGAGGTAAAGAGGCTCTTTGTTTCCCCCTCCATTCTGGGGCTTGGCTATTTCAACTAGACTATTCATATCAAATGTAAATTCCAGCCACCAAAAACAGTCTGTGGAAATCTTGATTGTGTGCAGTTTAGAGATGGCCAGAGAAAGAATAAGAAAAGAAGATAAATAAATATAAATTGAATAAAAATAAAGAATTTGAGAGAAGTTGTTTAAATTTGGGTGACCACAGGGTATTGTCAGCTATTTTAGTGTAGGGTAGAAACATCACTGGGAAACACCTAATAAGCAGGTAGTACTACTTGAAAGAATGCATTGTAAAGATAATATACAGCTCTTTAATACGTGACTGGGTCATTATTGAGCGAAACTGAAGGAAATACTCTGAAAGAGTAGATGAAGCTATGAGCATGGTTTATTGGAAATGTATGTTAAGTTCTAAGATAATTATTTGATCAGAAATCTTTGTCGATTATGTACGTGTCACACATTTTTCACTGGCCTTTTCAAGTAGTAAACTTCTAAATATTCCTACAGTGATTTAGCTGATCATCAGTAAGCACCGTCTATCAGCCAAGTACAGTCTATTCTTACAGAGATGAGGATTGACTTTGCAAAGATGTGGCTTTGGTCAGTGAGTGATACTCACAGGATAATTGACTCAGTCAACCAACCATGTTTTGGGGAGTAGGGAGGAGGGCTGGTTTCACAATCAATACATGAAGTAGCATGTTTTAGATACTGTTACCTGGCAGGCAGGTATAAATCAATGGCTTCACTTTCCTGAGTTCAGATCTGTACTGTGAAGTGACCTGTCACAGGCATAGCCTTTATATTGTTCCCACTGGAGTAAATCACCAAGGAGTGCTGTGTTTGAAAGTGTGCACACTTTCGCATCCCATGTCCTCTGCCACACTACCAACTTTTCTCTCTCTTTTTCTATGTTATGCATTGGGAATGGAGAGGAATGAAGGAAGTCATCAACTAAAGAGTCACCTTTATGGAGACTGTAAGCATTGATGGTTTGCAGCACGTTCTCTTCCAGCCCCAGGAAGTTCTGCTTCTGTAGTTGTCACGGAGCAACCCCAGGCTGCAGCCTTTCCTGCCACCAGCCTGGTTTACAGGAATTGATGCTGGTGATGTAATTTTAATCCTTGGTTCATTCATCTACCTAAAATCCATAGATGTCCATAAACCTTCTATATTCTAATTTGTAGAGACTCAGATATTACAGAGAGATTTCATAATCTTGGCCCAAAACAAAGGTTTGCTGATAAAATAAAACAGAATCGGCTGGGCGCGGTGGCTCACACCTGTAATCCCAGCACTTTGGGAGGCCCAGGCGGGCGGATCACGAGGTCAGGAGATCGAGACCATCCTGCTAACACGGTGAAACCCCGTCTCTACTAAAAATACAAAAAATTAGCTGGGTGAGGTGGCGCATGCCTGTAGTCCCAGCTACTTGGGAGGCTGAGGCAGGAGAATGGCGTGAACCCAGGAGGCGGAGCTTGCAGTGAGCAGAGATCTATCTCGCCATTGCACTCCAGCCTGGGTGACAGAGCAAGACTCGTCTCAAAAATAAATAAATAAATAAAACAGAATCTTGGTATGCATAAAAATTAATTGTAAGTCCTTTTAACATTTGAAAAGTAAATGTTGTTATAAGAAGTAATATTTGTACAGGGCAGAGAGAAATAAGATAGACCCTCTGCCAAGAAATAAAAATCTCCTATAAATGATCCCACTATCCAGAAATAGATAATATTTGGTGTTAAATACTCATATTTTCTTCTCTAGTATTTATATTCCTGTAAATCATTTATTATATTTATTTTTCATAAAAATAGTCATGCACACATGCTGCTTTATAAACCTCTCCCTTCCCCAGTGTTTCCAAGTTGGTAGCTCTATATTTATTATTGTTTATAATGGCTGCAGAGATTTGGTGGACACATACGTTGTGTCCTATTTTTTTGTTGTTGCCATAAGCAACACTGTGATGAACATCTTTGTACACAGGAGTATGTACTTGCTTGATTTTATGCTTAAAATAGCTTCTTAAAGATGTTGAAGCCTTGTAAGACTTGTTACTAGTTCACTCTAAAAGTTTACTCTGATTCTCTATCAACCTGTTATGTGAAAAGTGATTTTACATTGTCTTAAATCGCATCTCTATTATTCAGATAGAGCATTTTTCTGTATTGTGTTGGCCATTTGAATTTTGTGGTTACATTCCCTCCTTTGTGTTTTTCCCATTTTTCTTTAAAGATATTCCTGTTTTGGCTTATTGTTTTGTGAGAGCATAATGTATTAGAGACATGGATTTCTTGTCTGCCTTGTTGTAGATATTTTCCCCCACTGGATTCAAATCTTGATTGAGATTTTGTCAAATGTATTGTTAGTTAAGTGGGTATATGTATATCTTTCGATATTGGCTCTTGTTTATTAAATACGTTTTACAATTAAGGAAATTGTAAAAAGTAAAAGGATATGGAGTGACGTTTCCCAGGCCCTTCAGTTTATTCTTTGCCTTGGGGTAGAACTGTTTTTAAATCCTTTGAGAAAACTGAGTATTTAGTATTTACACTGACTAAGTGATTGGATTCCATTTGGTTGGGTTTTAAAGTGTTCTTTTTAATGATTTTAGCACACTCACCTATTGTTACTCATTCTCAAATCTGGTATCTTTGGCTCTTTGAAACAGCTTTGAGTGGGTCCTTATGGCCTTGGGAGTCTGACAATTTTATGATTATTTCAAATGTTATTGAACTCATTTTGATGGATGTTTTCTGAGCCTTTGGCTGATTGCACAGAGACTTTGCCTTTAACTGTCACAGGGTTGGCTAGTGTGACCTTCACATCAGGCTGCGGAAAACACACTTGCCAGTCATCTTAGGACAATTTGGATTGGTTGCCTGGGCAACCTTACTGGCTTCTAATCAAATGCCCCAAGGATAGCCCAATTCCCAAGGGGAACGCCGCATCTGAAGGGAGGAACTCTGTCCTTGGAGTAGCAGTGATTTTAGGACACTTGGTTAATATTGGGGGGAAGTGAGGGGATGCCATGATCTCACAATGAACCCGGGAAGGGAGACAATAAAGGAAAGGGGGATCAAGAGAGAAGGGATGTAAGAGAGGCTGGAAGGGAAGAGAAGGTTGCATTGAAGCAAATGGTAGACACTAAATAGTGAATAAGAGCAAATGATTTGTGAATAAGAAAACTGTCTATTGCAGAGTGAGCAGAAGTACACCAAGAATGCAGATTGAAAAGTTATGTTTAGAAAAAAAAATCCATGGCCAATAAATGACTATCTAGAGAGGGAAAAAGAACTTTGGAGACTTCTGAAAATGCAATGAAAATATTTTTTCACTGAAACAGCCTTGCATGTGAATGTCTTTGATTGACTCCTTTTTAAGGAAATAACATTGTCTTCTTCCTATACTCTCCATTGCAGCCTGAGTAAATCCTGTGTCCAGAATCAGAATGACACCATTCAGAATTATAGGACGCATTTTTATTTGTTTCTTTCATGAATCAGAACTGTTATAGATTAGAAACTAGTGTAGTTAAAGTCAGTTCTGGCCAGGTGTGGTGGCTTAACCCTGTAATCCCAGCACTTTGGCAGGCTGAACTGGGAGGATTGCTTGAGTCCAGGAGTTCAAGACCAGCCTGGACAATATAATGAGACCCCATCTCTACAAGGAATTAAAAAGTTAGCTGAATGTGGTAGCATGCACCTGTAGTCCCAGCTACTCAGGGGGCTGAGGCAGGAGGATCGCTCAAGCCCGGATGGCAGAGATTGCAGTGAGCTGAGATTGTACCACTGCACTCCAGCTTGAGCAACAGAGCAAGACCCTGTCTGAAAAATAAATAGTTCTCTCTCTGTGTCTCTGTCTCTCTCTTTATCTCTCTCTGCTTCTCTCTCTCTCTTTCTCTCTCTCTCTCTCTCTCTCTGAGTGTGTGTGTGTGTGTTTAACAAAACACATCTAAAGAATCTATAGATATGCCAGGACGGCTATTATGACAGGTGGCAGTGTTTTAGTTGCTCTAATAAGCTGAATGAATGCAGATGCTAATAGGCAGAAAGGCATTGTGTAGCCCTGGGATGAAAGCCTCTCTAGAGAGCAGTAAGCTGACCACAGAACCCTTGGTCAGGTGCCCATTACTTTAAAAAAAAAAAAAGGAAAGAAAAGAAAAGAAAAGAAAAAAGGCTGTGACTCACTGCTGAAATACTCAGAACTGTTCTGAAGACCCCCTCTTTCTGCAGATCTCAGACTGAGTATAAGAGAGATGCAAATTTTACAGTAGTTGAAATTGGCACATCCAGCACTTTGTAAAGTATGCTATCCAAGGTAGTCACTCCATAAATATTGGACAGTGAAGGTAGTGTCTGGATTTCAGACCCTTGAGTTTGTTCAGATGTTCTCTAGTGATGGGATTCTGTAGTTACAGAAAACCGTGGTGTCAGTCAGAGCCCTGGGAGGTAGGGGCTGGTGCATTAGTTTGTTTCCATGCTGCTGATAAAGACATACCCGAGACTGGGCAATTTACAAAAGAAAGAGGTTTATTGGACTTTCAGTTTCACATGAGTGGAGAGGCCTCACAATCATGGCAGAAGGCAAGGAGGAGCAAGTCACAATCTTACACAGCAGGCAAAGAAAGAGCTTGTTCAGAGAAACTCCCGTTTTTAAAACCATCAGATGTCATGAGACCCATTCAGTATCATGATAACAGCACAGGAAAGACCCACCTTCATGATTCAGTCATCTCCCACTGGGTCCCTCCCACAACACATGGGAATTATGGGAGCTACAAGATGAAATTTGGGTGAGAACACAGAGCCAAACCATATCAGATGGTGTATCCTGAAGATTTACCTGAAGAATATTTAATGACAGAATGACTTAAAGTGGTGAGGGCAGAGTCCAGGGAACCCCCAAAGGAAGGCAAAGCAGCCCGGAGCTAGTAACAGAAGGAACCAATACCTTTTCTGGGCCATAAGCAGCAAGGGAGGAAGCTGTGTTCCTAGGGCCCACTGAGAGCTCTAGTCATGGAGGAGGAAGTGTGGATGCAGTGACAGCCTGGGTAGGGGTGGGCAAGGAGATGGGTTGGGCATAGATACTTCGTTTCTTCTGGCTCTCACTTTCTTGCTGGTGGCTCCTGTGAGCCAAAGCCCTCTGGAAGCCAGCGAGCAAGGGATGCTGGGTGGTGCAGTCACCTTCCATGCTGGTAGCACAGTGGGCAAAGGATGCTGGGTGGTGCAGTCACCTTCCATGCTGGTGGTGCAGTGGGCAAGGGATGCTGGGTGGTGTAGGTCAGCTTCCTGGAGCCCAGAGAAGGGCAGAGAAGGCTAGACAATGGGTCTGGGGTGGGAAGAGGCAAATGAATAAGAACCTTCACAGTGTGCACATATCCCTGTTCTATAAGGATCTCCTTGCCCTTTGGAAGCATAAGCATTTGGAAAAGAAGTTATTTATGAAATAATCCTTTTTATAGGAGCTGGAGACATGCTCACATGTGTTTAGAACTTTGGTGTATGTCGGATTTGTAGGAAAAGGAGGGACTATTCAGTATATGGAACAGAGAAGAAATGGTTATCTTTAACGGATTCCTGCTTCATACTATATACAAAAAAGTCAACTTCAGAAGGTTCTAGGTCTTAAATGTTAGAAGGAAAATGTTAAGACTTTTAGACTTGGATAGAAACGGATTTCCTTAGTTTTCTTTAAGACTTTTAGTCTTCAGAGAAAGAGAAGATTTCTTAAGGCACAAAAAGCATTTAATGTAAAAGAAAATATTGACACATTTGACTCCATTAAAATTAAGAATATTGTTAATCTAAAGAGGCCTTATTGAAATTGTATGTTGTGTGAGATTTGCTTCAATACAATTTCTGGGAATGAAGGTTGAATAGCTGGAGATATAAATGAAACAAAATTGATCATTTTTGAAACTGGGTGATGGCTACACACAAAAGATGAAAGGATAGTAGAATATATTAAGAATATATTAAGAAGTCCAATAACTCAGGATGAAAAGTGTGAACAACCCACTAGAAAAATGGACAAAGGATATGCATGGGTATTTTACAGTTACAAAAAAGGAAATACATATGGCTAAGTTTTATCAGAAATGTTTAACATTATTTGTAATTTGGAGGGAAATGCAAGTCACTGCCATAAAGATGCCATTTTATAACCATTCAATTGGCAAGAATAGAAAAGTCTGTTAATATCTAGAGCTAGGGCAAATATGGATCCACAGGATCTCATATCCTGCTAGTAAATTGTTGTAACAACCACAGAAAATAGTTCTGGCATTATGTCATAGAATTGACCAGTCACATTTCCTGCAACTCAGCATTTTACTCTTTCAGGTTTACATATAAAATAAATCCTGGCACATGTGCATCAAGAAATACGTCCAGAAATGTTGATATTTGCCCTGTACATATAAAAAACTTGGGAAAACTCAAAGGTCTACGGACAAAAGAGTGGTTGGATAAACTGTGGTATAGTCATCCAATGGAATACATGCCAAAATCCAAATGAAGTATAACGAAATAACGGCAACATAGATGAATTTTAGCAATGCAATATTAAATGGAAAAATTCTAAAGATACTACATTTAGTGCCCTTTTCTATAAGTTTAAGAGCAACTAAAATTATAACCATAGTTTTTAGGAATAGATATAAACAAGATGATAGTATATTAAAAAGGAAAGCAGTAGAATGTTGAGTATGGGGTTCAAGATGGTTGTTACCTCAGTAGGGGGAGGCAGGAAGATGAGATGGGAGGACCATTTGGGTAGATAAGTTATTATCAACGTTTAATTTTTGTGTTTTCTCTATGAAGCATGTGTGAATGAGGGCAGCCTTCATGACCCACATGTGAATGTGTCTTATATCAAATATTATGTTTAATTTAATTATGTGCAATTGAGGTAGAATAAAAGAAGAAAAAAAAGACTAGGACAAGTGGAAAAGAAAGAGTAGCACAGTACATTTACAGCAGTTGGAAATTATACATTTTGCATAAGAGGTAATCAGGATATAGACTAAGCAGCACTTACAAAGATATTCCAAACAAAACTAATGTGCAAACAAAATAGAAGGTATCTCTTCCACTTTCTCTCATTCATTTAATAGTTTAGTTATCATCCAATAAAAATTTAAGACACGGCCGGGCGCGGTGGCTCATGCCTGTAATCCCAGCACTTTGGGAGGCCAAGGTGGGCATATCATGAGGTCAGGAGATCGAGACCATCCTGGCTAACATGGTGAAACACCATCTCTACTAAAAATACAAAAAATGAGCCGGGTGTGGTGGCGTGCGCCTGTAGTCTCAGCTACTCGGGAGGCTGAGGCAGAAGAATGGCGTGAAGCCGGGAGGTGGAGCTTGCAGTGAGCCAAGATTGTGCCACTGCACTCCGGCCAGGGTGACAGAGCGAGACTCCATCTCAAAAAACAAAATAAAAAAATTAAGCCACATATATCATAATATTAAATTTCCTAATAGCCAAGTTAAAAAGGACAAAGAAACAAGTGAAATTAGTTTTAACAGTTTATTTACCCCAATATAACCCAAATATTATGCTAACATATAATGATATAAAAATTATTAGTGAAATAGTCTACCTTCTTTTTTTCATATTGTCTTCAAAGTCTGATGTGTATTTTACATTTACAGCACATCTGAACTTGGATGCTAAATTTTCATCAGAAATACTTGATCTATATTTAGATTTCATAAAATTTATAGTTGAAAAAGTAGATTCACAAACCCAGGATGTTCTAAATATATTTAGTTTACCATTAACTGAACTGAATATTGATGTGTTTAGTCCATTTTCTGTTGCTATAAAAGAATACCTGAGACTAGGTAATTTATACAGAAAAGAGGTTTATTTAGTTTACAGCTCTGAACTCTGGGAAGTCCAAGATTGGGCAGCCACATCTGATGAGGGCCTCGTGCTGCTTCACAGCATGGCAGAAAAGTGGAAGGTCATGGGAGCATGTGTGTGTAAAGGGCAAAATACAAGGGGTGGCCCCGCCTTATAACAACCCACTCTAGTGTTAACTAACCCAGTCTCTTGAGAATGTGACATGAATCCCTCTTAATGACCTAATCACCTCTTACAGGCCCCACCTCCCAATACTGCCACAATGGGGACCAAATTTCCAACACGTGAATTCTGGAGGACACACAAGATAGATTAGAGCCTTGTCTCTGAATGATCTCTAGACCGTGCATGGTGTTTAAATTAATTAAAATGAAATAATATAAAAAATTCAGTTCCCTAGTCTCCCTACCCGCCTTTGAAGTGATTAGTAACCACATTTGGCTAGTGACCACCATAATGGAAAAGCAGGTCTAGATCATTAGTTATCAAGGCGTGCTTCCCATTCCCTTTCCCTACCCCCAGACCAGCAGCATTAGCATCACCTGGGAACTTGTTAGAAATGCAAACTGTGGGCTGGGTGAGGTGGTTCACTGCTGTAATCCCAGCACTTTGGGAGGCCAAGGCGAGTGGATCTTTTGAGCTCAGGAGTTTGTGACTGGCCCCGGCAACATGGCGAAAACTCATCTCTACCGAACACATAAAAATTAGCCAAGTGTGGTGGTGTGCACCTGTACTCTCAGCTACGTGGGAAGCTACAGTGGGAGAATTGTTTGAGCCCAGGAGGTCCAGGCTGCAGTAAGCCTCATGCTAGCACTACTGCACTCCAGCCTAGGCTACAGAATGAGACCTTGTCTCAAAGAAAAGGAAAGAAAAAGAAAAAAAAGAAATGCAAATAGCAACTCAGACACTCTGGATGTGGGCCCAGTCATCTGAGTTAAAGAAGTCCTCCAGGTGATTCTGATCTACATTAAAGTTTGAGAACCACTTAGTCTATCTAGAAATGGACCAGCCCTCAGTCTCTCTGCCTTTTTGCTCAACCATCACTCATAGTGTTGTTCTCATCTTCAGGGTAGAAGCTGGCCAGCTAGGAGCACTTCTGCATTCTACCCTTAGGAAGGTTGGGTGCTGGGGAGAGGCGACAGATTGGACAAGCAGTTTTCCTTTTTTAAAGGCTGTTACACAACATTGCCCACATCCTTTTGCTCAGATCCCATTGAGTAGAGCTAAATGGCCCTACCCTGTTTCTGAGGCTGGAAATTGTAGATTAGTTGGCTGATCATGTGCCAAGTGAAAACTTGTGGAGGTGAGATGGTGGAGGAAGTTGTTCTGTTCCTGACAGGAAAAAACAGAATGGATACTGAAGGCAGTTTGCAGTTTTACTGCAATAGGTGGGCACAGTTTGATTTATTTTGCAACCTAGACCTTAACCTTGATTTTATTATTTCATAGTCTCTGATCTTCACTGGCATACTGGGTTCCTCGGAAAAGTGGAAGACATGAAGTATGGATGTATATAATACCCGAGGAAGTCTCAAAGGTACTATGAAATATGTCTAAACGTGAAAGGTGCCCGAGAGAACTTGAGTCACCAAGATCAGCCTCTGACCAACTTCTTTAATGCAGAGAAGGTTGTGTGTGGTGCATTGTGTGGGAGGCAGAATTTAGCCCTAGGTGTAACTGTTCAAAGGACAAGTATGAGTATCCTAAACCTACTCTACAAAAATAATAACCATTAACATTTTGGTCTGTCTACCTACCTAGATTATAAATATAAAAAAGAAATTGGATTATGCTTTTGTGTGGTTTTGCAGTCTGCCTTTTCCCTATACCTTATAGCACAAATACCTTCCATATCAATAAATACATGTCTGATTGTTAACAAATTTCTGTCATGGGATATTTCAATAGCTTTCACTTTCTGATTTATAATTAGCACTATAGTGAACATAGATATACATTTCTACCCACAACAGCATATTGAAGTAGCATTGTTGTTTGGGGTAGATACCTGGGGTTTGTCATCTCACACTGAGAAGATTAACGACAGGGACACACACACAGAGTGGGTTAAGGAATGGAAAGTTTACCAGGCAGAAGAAAGGAGAGAGGAGAGCAGCTCTCTCTCTTGTGAGAGAAGGGTGTCCAAAAATGGGAAAAAGGCTGGCCTGTGGTGGACCTCAGCAGGTTTCATAGGAAGGCTTGAGCAGCGGTGTCTGATTTACTTAGGGCCCTCCGGTTAGATTGACCAGGTGTAATGTTTACAAAGCACATAGGGAAAGCTGGTCACCCCACCTAATCTTATTATGCAAATGGGCTTTCCACTTGGCCAGGCCACCTTGTCTGCTTCTTGTTGTACATGTGGCTGGCAAAAAGAGAAGATGGAGCCGCCATTTTGAACATGCCTAGTCCCAGGTAGTATATTACTATGGGCACAACTGCTGGCATTCACCCGTGCAGGCTTCCAGCTTGCTTGTCTATGTCTGCAGCTCGATTTTACAGGCTGCTCTTTGTTGGAAAATTATTTTGGGGCTGCTTGTCATTAAAGGAAAACCTTACCAAGGACTCCTGTACCCTTACTATCTGCCTAAGTAATTTCTTCTTAACTTCTATACCAATATGAGCAGCCCTTTCCCCCATCCTGACCACCACCAGGGTGGTCCCATTTTTTTTTTTTTTTTTTTTTTTTTTGAGACAGGGTCTTGCTCTGTCACATAGGCTGGAGTTAAGTGGCATGATTACACCTCACTGCAGCCTTGAACACCTGGCCTCAAGTGATCCTCCTGCCTTATCCTCCCAAATAGCTGAGACTATAGAAGTGCACTGCTGTGTCCCTCTAATTAAAAAACAAACAAACAAACAAACCTTTTTGTAGAGATAGGGTCTGGCTACATTACCCAGGCTGGTCTTGAACTCCTGGTCTAGCATCCTTTTTAATCTCTGCAAATCTATTAAGCAAATTTATAAACTTAAACACGGTTAATTCTTGTTGAAATTTCCATGTCTTTGATAATCATCTTAGGGGTTCTTAAACTGTACTCCTATGCCATAGAAACTAGACACAGGTGTTTTGCTGCTCAGATCCATAAACTGGGTAAAACAATAATATCTTTTCTCACTTAGCCAAAATAATATTATAGCTTTCCTCTATTTGAAGCTTTTCCTATACATTTTTCTTAAACATTTGCTATATTTTGCTGCTTATTCTAGAATCTGGTCTAAGATAATGAAGATATATTTTTATAACATCTTAAAGGTATATTTTAACTTTAAATTTAATATATCAATTATTGCTTTTTTTCTTTTTTGACCCTCATCCTCTGACTCTCAAATTATGTTTCTCATGAGTACCTTGACTTCCAGGAAGTAAACAAGTTTGGAAATTACTAATCCCAGAGACATAGGGCACCAAGGTTAAAGAGAGGGGAAGGCTCTGGACTCAAAAGTGCTTGTCCCAGCTGTGGTTCAACCAGCAGCATGATCTTGGATAAGCTATTGAACCTATCTGAGCCTCAATTTCTTCATATGTAAGATGGGATAATAGAACCTGTACTATAAGGTAGTCGTGATGGCTAAATCAAAAGGTGAGTAGAACACTGTCACACTTCACAAAATAATCATTAGCTGCTATTATTATTCCTTTATAGAGGAGGAAACAGTTACCTAGCTCATTACTCTTAGCATTTAAGTAACATGTTACATTTTGCTTATTGTTTTTACTGTCTTGAAATCACATGCTGTTTTTTTTTTTCTTATTACCAGAATATTGAGGTTTCTACTCAGCCCAGTACTTTATTCTGGTAACAGCTCCCAATTGGTCTTTCAAAAGCAGTACCCCAGAAATATCCCTCGCAGTACCTTTCCATTCTGTGTAGTGGGGGTAGGACCTGTTACTGGGCCTCAGATGTACTCGTGTATACGCTGAACTCCTGTCTCTGAGAAACACTTCAGAATAACTCAGAACACCTGACTCTTTTAAAACTTTCAGATAATTTGTAATTGCAACCGACACTGGATATCAAGCAATTATACAAAGCTAATTCCTGATGGCCTGAGTAGAAACACCCCATGGTGTACTGCCTAGATGGTAATTATTTTTGTAATATTGGGAACTTTACATTCTTATTTTCTACTTGTTACAATTCTTCAAGTACCTTCAAAACAGCTGATTCAAGAAACCTGTTCGATATTCTGAGGGCAGAAATGGGAAGTGGAGTTTTTTCAGGCTTGGATAGGTTTGGAATTTGCTTCTTCCCCTTTAAAAAAGAATCCTTGAATTTGCTTCAGAAATGAAATACACAGTAAAGGTGAAGTTAGAAATCGGGTGGCAACCAACTTCCAATGCTGAATATCTAATTCCTGCGAACCAGCCTTGCTCTCTGAAAACTGTGGCCATTTTCATGGGTTTTACTTGGCCTTATTTTATTATGGCTGCATCCTCTGTGTTTGCTGAGGCTTCTCAACCATCTGAGAGTAGGACCCCTTCATTTCTGGCAGTTCTGCTTTCAATGCTATTTCATCCAGAATTACTGGGGATATTATTACTTTAGTCATTGAAATGTTTAGTGTCAGATTAAAAATCTCATCAGACGTCAGTGTCTTTGATTTCACTCACATGACTCAGAGCATCATCCTGGGGATCCCTCAGCCTCTGGAAATGTTAAGGAGGTGATGACACATGGGCAGGGAGGGAGATTTCAGTCGATGTTCAGTACCTGGAGGCTGAACTTTGGCATCAGAAGGGATCTGGCCATGGACAGGCTATTTAATCTCACTATTTTTTGAGTCTTTAGTGACAGTACCCACCTCATGCGTTGTTGTGAATGTTAAGCTGATCTACTTAGGATGATGAGCTTAGCACAGTATCTGGCACATGATAATTCTTCTATAAGCACTAGTAATTATCATTAGTAATATTATTCACAGTAGACACAATTCTAGAGACACTGAAAATACTCTTGCCTCATGCTTTACATATTGAGACAGTAATAGTTCTCTAGTGGCAGTTTTTTTTTCTCAAGAGTTGAATAATTTACTTTATTCAGCTATTTAATAATACTAATCATATAGTCTTAAAGACTGAATGTTCACTCAGTATTACATTAATAGGAAGAAAATGGAAATATTTTCATAACAGTTCTTAATGCTAATTACCATATATGTCTGAAGTCATATCATTTACTCAATTTCTATGGTACCTGTCATAATAATACTTTAGAAAATGAAATAGTAATAATAATGACAACAACATCAACTTTTGCAGTTGAATCTGAATGAATATGGAGTTGGAGAGAATATCTGTCCAATTCAGGTTGTCATCATTAAATATTTCACAGGTTGTGAGTTGCCAACCTTTGCTGGACTTAAGCCCTTTAGAATAAAATGTATTTCAGGCCGCAGTATAACCTACCGGCTTGTTACCAGTGAGAGAGAGAGAGAGACAGAGAGAGAGAGTCATTTTTAAAAAATACTTTTTGTTTTAAGATAATTATAGATTCACAGGAAGTTGCCCAAAAATGTACAGGGAGGTACTGTGTACATTTCACTGTTTCCCCCAAAGGTAACATCTTACAAAACTATAGTACAGTATCAAAACCCTGACATAGACATTAGTACAATCCACAGAGCTTATTCAAATATGTAAACATTTTCTCCCCGTCTGTAACTGGTCTTTTCATCCTCTTCATGGGATCTTTTGTAGAGCAAAGGTTTTTAATTTTGGTAAGGTCCAATTTATCCATTTTTCCTTTTATGATCTAGGGTAGTTTTTCTCAAAGGCTTTTCCAGACAGTACCTGCTTTTGGAATCATTTGTAGTACCTATTACGAAACCCATTTGCTTGGGCCCCACACCAAACACTCTGAATCAGATTCAAGGAATGGAGTCTGGTAGTCATTTAAGAAGCTCCCTAAAACCTGGGAACCACTGTTTCAGAGAGATTGGCCTTGGGTCCTTTTTCTTCTTGTTCTGCCTTGTCTGTGAATCATGCCACTCACTCTTACCACCTTATCAAATATGTTTGGATAACTTCTAAATTTATCTTGTTAACCTCTGTGATGAGCTCCAGAATAGGTACTTTGCCGGATACTCTTCTGTTATACAAAGAACATACTTAATAAATGGGTTATTTGTTAGGTATTACTTTTCTGGATCCCTTTGAACAGTATGCAGTAGAATATATATAACAAAAACCTTCCCAGTTAATGTTCATAAATTGTCAAAGAGGCAAGACATTGGTCCTGATGCATGAATTACTTAATTATAGAATACTTTGGTGGAGGGGTTGAGTTATACATATATAATCTTGGGGTTAATGGTTTTTTTGTGGTCTTATTTGTATCTCTTCTTCCTTTCATTGAAACAGATATTTTTATACAATTTCTTTTTTTTTTCCTTTTTCTTTCTTTCCTTTTTCTTTTCTTTTCTTTTTTTTTTTTTTTTTTTTTTTTTTGAGACAAAGTCTCGCTGTGTCACCCAGGCTGGAGTGCGGTGGTGCAATCCTGGCTCACTGCAACCTCTGCCTCCTGGGTTCAAGCAATTCTCCTGCCTCAGCCTCCCGAGTAGCTGGGACTACAGGCATGTGCCACTACGCCCGGCTAATTTTTTGTATTTTTAGAAGAGATGGGGTTTCATCATGTTAGCCAGGATGGACTCAATCTTCTGACCTCGTGATCTGCCTGCCTTGGCCTCCCAAAGTGCTGGGATTATAGGCGTGAGCCACTGCACCTGGCATTTTATACAATTTCTATTTGGAAAAAGATGCACAGTGCTTGATAAGTATCAATATGCCTATGGCTTAACAATCTAATTTTTAGATGGTTTGGTTCCTCTTTTTAAAATTTTCAAGTATTTTTCATTAGCATAAAGAACTATTCCTTGGGTGTCTTTAATGAAAAATGACCTTTTCATAGCTGGATATTTTATTTGATGTTGGAATGTAATCAGAATATGAAAATGTCAATTTTTGTTTTATTTTTACGTTAGATTCAGGAGGTACATGTGCAGGCTTGTTACATGGGTTCAATTTTTAAATGTCTCAATTTTATATCACTTGTTTTAACAAGTTAGACTTTTTTTTTACAAGTTGTATTCTCATTTTATATGTTCTCTGCAACCATTGCTTCTGTTTAATCCTTGTTTCTAGTTGCTACAGTCTCTTAAAAATTAAATTATCCCTTTAAGATGATAGAACATGCTTATGCTAAAGGTAGCAGCTAAAATGATGATGAAATACTCTTATATCTTAATCCTGAAAAAAAAATTATAAGTTTAGTGAGTAGTGCTTAATGATGTTTTTGTCTTAGTTCAATTAATTAGAGTTCAGTAGCCAAGAAAAGAAAGCTAATTTTGCCTTGGATGTAAAGTTTGGATTTCACTTTTTACCACAGTGGAGTGGTCAAAGAATTCACAATGTCCATCCTGTAATTATAATATGCTACTGTATCATGATATCATCCTTCTGCACTTGCAGCCCTTTTGGGAGAGTCTGATGTCAGACAGCGTTGGTTTCTGTGTGGGCCTGCTACCCCTGGTGACAGGGAACTTGGTCACTCAGCCAGTCTCTACTAACTTCAGATGGCCATACCACCAGCATGTGCTGTGGGAGATACCAGGGGATCCAGTGACAGTGTGATTGGCTTTTGTAAACAGAGACATATTCTCAAGTAAGTGGTCTCCAAAGACTGATGCTGGTAGGAATGTATGATATAGTCCAGGATGCTTGAATTCTCCCGCCCCCGCTTGGATGCCAGAATTTGTCTACAGTCACTTATAACATTGTCTTAACCTTCATGATAATTTGAAACAGTTTATCCTCCAGGATTTGAGACCCCAGAATTACCGTCTTTGACCATAGCTCCCTATCACTCTTTCTCTTTTTCACTTTTCCTTTTACTCAAACTGGCATTGCCCTAACTTCAGCCCCCAGCCTCCTTCCTGTCTTCTCTGTTCTTCTGGTTTGGGTTTCATGGCCTTAGCTTGGACCTCAAGTAGGCTAATTCAGCTGGACTGTCTAGTTTCTCTTACCTCTTATACTCTCTCAGCCATATGGCCAATACTGACCTTGAGAAAACCCTAATGTCATTCTTTTACCTTTTACTCTGGGGATAAATAACTTTTTGCGTAAGATATTCAGGACACTGAGTTGATATTTTTATTCCCCCTGCTGCTGGGCCCTCACAGTATACTGTACTTAAGTGAGGATTACTTAATAATCCTTTCGTGTCCTTCTAGTTGTTTCTACCTCCATGGGGGCTGTTCCAAGTGTTTTCCTCGCCAAGACCCTACTTCTGTCCCCATATCTCTGCAGAATTCTTGCTGCTTACTTTTCTAGTAAGATCAAGGCTATCAGATACATGTTTTCTCAATTTGTTTTTTTGTTTTGTTTTGTTTTTGTCTCAAATTCTCTGCATTCTTACTGCCTATGCTTTCATTCCTCCTGTTTCAAACAATTTGAAAAGGTCTCCTCTATTGCTCACCCATTGAAAAGGTCTCCTCTGTTGCCCACCCATCTGTTTCTTTCCTTAATCATACACCTTCCCACTCTTGTGAGATGCTGATTTATCAGTTATATTCTTCCTTTATTGTAATTTAAATTTAGTAGCTCCTCACCATCCAAAAATACTCAGATCTCTCTCAGCCTCAGCATGGTTGACATTTTGGGCTGGATAATTCTTTGTTGTAGGGCACTGTCCTGTCTGTTGCAGGATGTTCAGCAGCAACCCTGGCCTCTACCCACCAGATACTAGTAACACCCTGGAGTTGTGACAACCAGAAATGTCTCCAGACATTGCCAAATGTCCCTGGAGGCACAAAGTTACTCCTCTGTGAGGACCACTGGTTTAGAAATGATTCTTGCAATCAAGCCATTCCAACCATCGCTACCCTCCTCTCATTCCCATCACTACAAGCTTCTCTGTGGACCACTCACTTCTTATCTCCACTGAATCATCATCCAGTCAATCCTGAGTTAGGTTTCTGACAATACTCATTACTGGAAAATGCTCTGAGAGGTCTGCAGTGACCTGGCAGCCAAATCCAGGGAATGACCTTTTCTCAATTCCTTGATTGTCTGCAACTTTTAACACTGTCAGCATGTCATGGTATTCATCTCATGTATTCTTTTGGGGTCAGCTCCTATCTCCCTGACTGCCTCCTTCAGTGGTCCCTCCTTATCTGCAGTTTCAGTTACCCATGGTCAACCAAGGTCTGAACATATTATATGGAAAATTCCAGAAATAAACAAATCATACATCTTAAATTACTCTCCATTCTAAGTAGCATAATGAAATCTCATGCCGCCCTGCTCTGTCCCACCCGGGATATGAATCATCTCTTTTTCCAGCATATATACTGTCAACACATTAATCACTCAGTAGCCATCTCAGTGATCAGATGGTCATGGTATCGCAGTGCTTGTGTCCAAGTCACCCTTATTTTACGTAATAATGGCCCCAAAGTGCAAGACTAGTGATCCCAACAGTTCAGATATGCCAAAGAGAAGCCATAAAGTACCTCTTTTAAGTGAAAAGATGAAAGTTCTTGATTTAATAAGGAAAAAGAATAAAGCCTAAGCTGAGGTTGCTGAGAGCTGTGGTAAGAACGAATCTTCTATCTGTAAAATTGGGAAGAAGGAAAAAAAAATTCCTGCTGGTTTTGCTGTCATATTCAGACTGCAAAAGTTATGGCCATAATACTTGATAGATGCTTAGTTAAGACAGAAAAGGCATTAAGGTTGTGGATGGAAGACAATGAACAATGTTCCTACTGATGGTAATCAGGCTTGGTACTATCCATGGTTTCAGGTACCCACTGGGGATCTTGGAACATATCCCCCCAAAATAAGGGGTTCTACTGTACATACTTTCTAAATGTAGGTACTTCCCCCCAACTCATGTGGGCCTCTGCTGTGTGCTTTTTCACATTTTCTTATCCCCTCTCCCGCCTGTTAACAGTCACCTCCATGTGGATGATTTCCAAATATAGATTTGTCTCTTGGATGGACTCCATCCAGGCTTATGTGTCCTTTTGCCTTTCAATCGTCTATGTGACACATTAAAAAATATATTTCAACATTTTCAAAATCAAAGTTCTCACCTTCCCTTCTTTCACTGATCCCCATTAATGGTATCACAGTCCTTTATATCACCAGTTCCCCAAACATTTTTTGGCTGTATACTACATCAGTAAAAAGGTTTTGAGCATGTTACACCCAAAATATGTTTATTAATAAATTTGATACACATGCAATAGAATTATGTTATATGAAATAGAAATTTTACAAAGATGAGGGAAGATGAAAATAATATTTAACATTTTAACAGTGATGGCTGGGCACAGTGGCTCACACCTTCAATCCTAACACTTCCTTGAGCCCAGGAGTTCAAGACCAAGCCTGGGCAATATAGTCAGACCTCATCTCTACAAAAAATTTAAGGATTAGCCGGGTGCAGTAGCACATGCCTGCAGTCCCAGCTGCTTGGGAGGCTGAGGTGGAAGTTGTAGTGAGCCAAGATTGCGCCTCTGCACTCTAGCCTGGGTGACAGTGAGACCCTGTCTCAAAAAAATAAAATAACAGTGAGACCCCTGTTCTAAGATATTATTAATTTAATGAACTTTATTTTATTTATTTATTTATTTATTTATTTATTTATTTATTTATTTATTTATTTGCGATGGAGTCTCGCTCTGTCGCCCAGGCTGGAGTGCAGTGGTGTGATCTCGGCTCACTGCAAGCTCTGCCTCCTGGGTTCACACTATTCTCCTGCCTCAGCCTCCCGAGTAGCTGGGACTACAGGTGCCTGCCCCCATGCCCGGCTAATTTTTTTTGTATTTTTAGTAGAGATGGGGTTTCACTGTGTTAGTCAGGATGGTCTCGATTTCCTGACCTCGTGATCCACCCGCCTCGGCCTCTGAAAGTGCTGGGATTACAGGTGTGAGCCACCGTGCTCAGCCTGAACTTCATTTTTTAAAAAAATCAAATTTTAATACTTTGTTACACACAAATTTAAGTATATTTTATTTTGATTTTTCATTTCAATGTCTTACTTGAAAAAGTTACCCTACAGACAAGTGGATTCAAATAGAAGAAGCATATTATTGCCTATACTTTTGAAGTCATAATATTCAAGTATAATGGTGATTGCCAGAAATTGAGGAGAGGCGAGAATGGGGAGTTAATTTTTAACGGGTACATAGTTTTAGTTTGGGAAGATGAAAAGGTTCTGGAGATGGATGATGGTGATGGTTGTACAACAGTATAAATGTACTTAATACCCTAATTTTATGTGTATCTTGCCACAATTAAAAATAAGTCTGGGTGCGGTGGCTCACACCTGTAATCTCAGCACTTTGGGAGGCTGAGGCAGGTGGATTACTTAAGGGTCAGGAGTTCGACACCAGCTTGGCTGACATGGCGAGACCCCCATCTCTACTAAAAATACGAAAATTAGCCAGGCACGGTGGTGCACACCGTAGTTTCAGCTACTAGGAAGGCTGAGGCAGGAGGACCACTTGAACCCAGGAGATGGAGGTTGCAGTGAGCCGAGATCCTGCCGCTGCACTGCATTCTGGGCGTCTCAAAACTAACTAACTAACTAATGAAATAAATAAATAAATAGAAGTGTTTAGAATTAGCCGGGTGTGGTGGCAGGAGCCTGTGATCCCAGCTACTCAGGAGGCTGAGGCAGGAGAATTGCTTGAGCCCGGGAGGCAGAGGTTGCAGTGAGCCAAGATTGCACCACTGCACTGTAGCCTGGGCGACAGAACAAGACTCCTTCTCAAAAAATAAAAAGTGTTTAGCTGAGAACCATTCACATAATCACTTAATAAAAGTTAATGTTAATAATTAATAATTGCTATTATTATTTCTATACCACTATCATTACTAATTGTCCCCAGGGGCCTATTCATAGTTCTCAGATAGTATCCTAATTTTGGCTCAGTAATCCATCTTATCCATTATGTGGCACATGGTCCCTTGTATATAGTGGGAAATAATTATTGACTAAATAATGTGATAACAATGGACTACAATCTTTTTTTTCTTTTTTTCTTTAGGGATTTCTATGAAAATGGGCATGGCTTCTGATTACATATTTAGTTCATTTAAATTTGATATCTTAAGTGTACTAATGCCACTCTGCATGTATTCATATTCACGGTAGAAATTTATAGTTAAGGCAGTTTAAGCTCATATAGCACAGATATTTTTTTTTTTTTTACTCTGGACTCCTGGGTTCAAGCAATTCTCGTGCCCCAGCTTCCCGAGTAGCTGGGACTACAGGTGCACGCCACCACGCCCAGCTAATTTTTGTATTTTTAGTAGAGATGGGGTTTCACCACGTTGGCCAGGATGGTCTTGAACTCCTGACCTCGTGGTCCTCCCGCCTCGGCCTCCCAAAGTGATGGGATTACAGGTGTGAGCCACTGCACCCGGCCAGGGCTTTTTTTTTTTTTTTCTGAGACATGGTCTCATTCTGTCACCCAGGCTGGAGTGCAGTGGTGTGATCTCGGCTCACTGCAACCTCCACATCCTGGGTTCAAGTGAATCTCCTGCTATAGCCTCCCAAGTAGCTGGGATTACAGGCTCGCACTACTATGCCTGGCTAATTTTTTAATTTTTAGTAGAGACGGGGTTTCTCCATGTTGGCCAGGCTGGTCTTGAACTCCTGACCTCAAGCGATTCGCCAACCTCGGCCTCCCAACGTGCTAGGATTATAGGCGTGAGCCACTGTGCCTGGCCTGAGGCTTTTTAAAAGACATCTTAAAGTTGTGCCAAGTTAAAATAATTGCCTTGGACAACAGTGACTTTAAGATGATTTTATGGGCCACATAATGACATTTCAGTCAATCATGGACTGCATATATGACAGTGGTTCCATATGATTATCATATAGTATTTTTATGTTTTGCTATTTTTGTGTGTCTACATATACAAATACCATGAGTTACACTTGCCTACAGTATTCAGTACAATAACATGCTGTGCAGATTTGTAGCCTGGGAGCAATAGGCAATACCGTACAGGGTGGGTGTGTAGTAGGCTACACCACCTAGATTTGTGTAAGTGCACTCTGTGATGTTCACACAATGACGAAATCACCTAAAGACATTTCTCAGAACATATCCTTTTCACTAACATGTACATATGTTGTGAAAGTGTGATTGAGAACTGTCTTTAAGTGGATTTGATGTGGAAAGTATGTACTCAGAAAAAAGAAAAGGAAACACTTGGTGGTCTTAAACACTCACAGCTGAACTCTGCCTTTTATTTTTCCCCCTTAACCAATATTATTTGACTCCTCTGACATCATCTCAAAAGTACCTGCCTTTTCTTTCTTCACTGGTTCCCAGGAACCTTTCTATGTAGTTGTCTAGCTGAGCAGCCTACTTTCCAGCAAAATGTAATCCCAATTCCCACATCTCTCTTGGCTTTGCTGTTTCCTCCTCCTCTTTCCTCCTTTCCCAGTGAATCAGCAGATGTGGATGACGTCATCTTTGTATTTGGCAGTCACACGGGTGTTAAATATTGCCCTGCCAAGAGTCAAGTGTGGCGAGCCTGCTTCTGCAGTTTTTGCTCTTATTTAAATTGGTGGAAGTTTGCATTGAACAAAAAAATTTGAATTGTGATACTTTAGTTTTAAAAAAACACCAAAGTCAACCCTGGAATTAGATTTGAATTAAGAGTCCCTTATAACCTGCAGCTGAATCAATGGTTGATGCAGTGATTTTATACCATCTTGTAGTGCTTTTCAAAATACTACCAGTTGGCCAAAATGTGAGCAGGATATCGATGCGTTAAGTTTTTATCAAAGAAATGGTGGATGACCTCACTTAATCATCTAAGGCCTGTCCAAAAAATTAAAAAGCTGTAAATTTAAAATTGTTTTCACAAGACAGCTATGAAGCAATAGTCACAATATATATATACACACACATAAAACCTTAGAAAATGCAGCCATATTTTTTTCTTATGTAAAGTTTATTTATAACATATATTTAATATTTTAAAATTATATATTTCATATAGTAGCACATTTTTATAAATATATCATTTATAAAATATAAACAACTTGTATGTAAAAATGTATAAAATCAATAACTCTGTGTAGTCGGTTGATAGCAGACTTCTGTACATTCTCAGTATGTAATTTGCTGTAGTTAAGAATGAGCACTGTTCACAGTTCTTAGAGAGGCCCTGTGTTCCCATCCCATTGGCCTGCTCCTTGACATGGGAGTGGAAGATATCCAGAGGTTAGTGGGAAGCTGGGAATGACTCCTTCAAAGAAGGTAGGACAGTTTTAGTTCTCAAGAGTGAAATGGCACATATGCTTCATTTCTGTTTCACTTAATCCTACCACGTACCTGAGGAAGTCTCAAAGGCATCTTTAACTTCTGAGTTCTTTGTTCAAAACCAATCTTTTGATCCCCTACTTGCCAACTAAGCCTGTGCCTCTTGCTGTTCCTGTTGTTGTAGGGGCCACTCCATTCAATCAGTTGCTTCAGTCAGAAACCCAGGGTCACCTTTGGTGCCTCATTCCTTCACTGCACTCCCCCCGACCCATATGGCTTAGCCCTATCCATTCATCTCCAAAATATATTCCAAACTCATCCCCTTCTCCCAACTCTATTGCCATAGCTTCCCCATTTCTCATTCTCCTCCATTCATTCTGGGTTTTTTTGTTTCTTTGTTTGTTTTGAGACGGAGTCTTGCTCTGTCGCCCAGGCTGGAGTGCAATGGCTCAGTCTCGGCTCACTGCAATCTCCGCCTCCAGGTTCAAGCGATTCTCCTGCCTCAGCCTCCTGAGTAGCTGGGATTACAGGTGCCTGCCACCACACCCAGCTGATTTTTGTATTTTTAGTAGAGATGGGGTTTCACTATGTTGGCCAGGCTGGTCTTGAACTCCTGATCTCGTGATCCGCCTGCCTCAGCCTCCCAAAGTGTTGGGATTACAGGCGTGAGCCAACACGCCTGGCCCATTCATTGTTTTAAAAACACAAATCTGATCCTTTTTCTGCTCTGTTTAAAGTCTTTCACCATCTCCCATTGTAGTTAAAGAAAAAAAAATCCTTTATTGGCTGTAAATTATCTGTCTCCTGCCTACACCTACCACCACCTCATTTCATGCCCTCCTTTGCCTTACACACTGCTCAAACTCCGCTGGTCTGGTTTAAATTCCTGGCACACCCAGTCCCTTCTTGCCTCAGAGCCTTTGCACATGCTACTCCCTCTGTCTGGAGTGTCCCCTCCTCCTTGCCCTTCAGACTTTGCTTCACTGTCACTTCCTCTGAGAAGCCTTCTCCTCCCCTAGAACTACTATAACTTAGGTCCTCCTCTCTTATTTTTTCTCCTAATACCATGTTCTTTTTCTTCTCACATTTAATATTTGTAATCATAGGCTTAGCTATTTATTTAATACTTTAATCCATCTCTCCTATTAGACCTTAAGTCCATGACACAAAACAAGTTCTTTTGGTTTAACACCATACCCCCAGTTCTTAGCACTGTGTCTGGCACATATTAGGGATTCAGTATATATTTGCATGAATGAATCATTGAATGTCTTTATAAAAAGGGAATAATATCATATTCCTGATTTTTCCCCCTTGGTTCTTAAAGATAGTAGGTAGCCTTCTCAACTGGAAGGCATTTGATAGATATGCTTTTATAGTTTTATATGATTCTGAATATCCTGGCATTTGCTATGCAGAGGGAGACTACTGCTTATGCTTATTTCATGGTTTCTGACACTTGGTTAACAATTTAATTTGAAATCACTACTGAGACTTCCTTCAAATGGAAAAAAGCACTTACCTAGGTTGTTTAAAATGTATGAGCGAGCCCTACTGTACTGTACAGAACAGCAAAAATAATTTCCTGCTTTGGTAATGGGAAAAATATTTTCTCCACATGTGTTACTTTCCCCCAACAATGTGCTAAGTTACAGATGGTATATTATCTCCGTAATAAAAAGATTTTGATTGAATGGTAAGTGAGGCTGTAGCAGCCATATTAAAATGTACTTTTCCAGCATATGCTCCGTTTCAGGGGTAATAAGGATGCAAATGTAAAATGACACGATGGATTATACTGCAGCAACTTCTTACTCGATGATTTGACAGAACTCAAGCGTGTCTTTCGTTGATAGTGGGTTTCCACCACATCAGAGCTGTATGAGGAATGCCTGCCTCCTCACTCAGCCTGGATGTGCTGGTTGATTTTCACTAGATGCTTTCTCTAGACCCAGTGGCCAAAAGCTCTTGGAACATGATTTCTTACTGTTCTTAATTTTTTAAAAAAATCATTGACTTATGGCAATGATTGGCAACCTTTTCATAATTGCACTTCTGCTCATTTGAAAATGCTGTGACAATGTATGTATAGTTGAATTCTGTTGTTTGCTAGGAGCCTTACTAAAAATTCATGCTGGAAACCTACCCCAGGTTCAAGTATGATGTTTTCACTGTGTAGTGGTATAGGACATAGAAAGAATTCAGCCACACACCCTTCATTAAGAGGAGGCTGGTGCTTATTCCAAGTCAGTGTGTGTTAAACAATCTGAGTACAAAATACTATGTTAGACCCAGTGTGGGATGCACCACAGATTGAACAAATGCTACCTGTAGTGGGAAACAAGTATACGTGGGATAACTAGATACCAATCCAGTAACTTAATGCTGTGTTGACTTCAGGGTACATCCACATATAACATGTCATCTGATCCTCACAACAAGCCTTTGGAGCAGCTTGGGGAGGAGGGGGTCTGGCATTGTTATAGCTCATTCACTGCTGGGGAAACTGAGCTTCAGATGACTTATGACATGTTCAAGGGTGTACAGCTGGGAAGTGGCAGAACTGGCATGCAGAGCCATGTCTTAGACTCTAAGCCCCCAGCCCTAAATTCCATAGTACATCCTATAGGAATTCGGGGAAGGGAAAGGCTGATGTTTGTGTGCCCTGGATGGTGGCTTAAGAGTATTCTACACACAGGCCCTGCACTCCCTGCTCTTGTAGTTCTGTAAAAGACCCCGGAAGCTGACCTGGTAGCCTCCATCTGGTCCCTGGCCCTTTCCTCTCTCACTCCATCAGTTACATCCTCTTGTCAGTGTTTGACCTTACCACCTGCTCTCACCTATCTCCACTCCCATATTTTCCCTTGATCCCACTTCTCTTTCATGTCACCATTCTCTGTCTTCTTTCTCTTTTTTCACTGCGAGAGTATTAGCTGTTTCTCCTTTATGAAGGCCGTTCAATCCTTAACCTGAAACTGCATCAGTAAGATCACCAGGGCTATCTGAGTTCCCGTTTTCCACTCCTCACTCTACGTGGTCTCCATGCAGTCTCTGACTATGGACCAGCCACCATTTCCTGAGCATCTCCTCCTGTGGCTCTGGGCACCTTCTCCTGTGGCTGCACTCTTTCTGCTTCTGTGACTTCCAGTGCCCTTCCTCCACTCCTACTCCTTCAGCATTGAAGTTGCTTTATGGCCTGGTGTGAGAACTGAGTTACCAGGGGCCATCTCTCCATGTCCAGTAGCTACCTGGATCATCAAGAAGGTGATTACTCCCCAAATCTTCAGTTCCCCTTTCTCCTGAGGTTACGGTCTAGCTATATCATATTGTACCATGCCCAAAATAAAGCTGAAATCCTTTCCATCTATTAATGGAATCATTCTCCAGTTTCCCAAAATAAAAACCTTGGTGTCTTCTTCATATAAGGTCATCAGGAAACCTTGATGCATTTATCTCAGAATTATTTACTGTGGCCTCATAATTAGCCTTCCTTTTGGTCTCACTCCACTCCAGAAAGTCTTCCATTCTGCTTCTAGAGTTACCTTCCTCTCAATTTAGTTTGATTCTATCACTGTCCTGATTAAAGGCCCCTGACTCTGCACTTGCCTTCGTCACAGGGACAGAGCCACGTCTCTTCACAATCACTAGCAGCTGTGCCTTGCATGCAGTAGACTTGAAATTGTTTTTGAATGAATGAATCTGGTTCCAACCTCCCTTGGAACTTCATCTCCCTGTAACCTGCCCCTCCCCACCCCCCCATGTTATTGTGTACTCAACTTCTCACCATTTCCCAAATGCCTTAAGCTTTTTAATAATTTCCTGCTTTTGTTGTTTTTCTTCTTTTCTTCTGTATTCCTTATTAAATTTCAACTGGAATCGATGTTCTCTTGGGCACCTTATAACTTACTGCTCAGCTCTGAAGAAGAAATGATTTTGTCTATTTGTTTTGTTTTGTTTGTTGTATTCAATCAACTCTCATTGCATTTCTTCCTTTTGTGGTGTTGTCCATTTCTGTTCTTAATTTTTGTATTTCTGATTCTAGGTGGTTTTTTCTAAATTCTCCAAAATGCTTGTGTGAGGATATTTAATTCAGTTTGGAGTGTTGTGTTAGAATTTCTCTTTGCTTCATGGTTTCTTGGCAGGGAGAGTTTTCAGCAGCTGTTTGGTTTCGTTCTGATGTGTTTCTATTCCTAGGCATGTCATGGGCACTCTTCTTGGTTTAGGAGCTCTCATGTCTGGTGGCCCAGGACAGTGCTGGTGGATGGTGAGGGTCTGGCATGTCTTGCTTCTCTTTCACTGTGCAGTGTTTTCAATTTCTCCTTCTTCCTTCACTGCCACAACAGCACCCCTCCTCTGTAGCTTTTTCTCTTCCAGAAGTAGCACCTCTCCAAAGCCTCCAGACTCCCTCATCTTTGGGCCTTTCCCTACTTGTAGCTGGTCCTGAGAACTGCAAGCTCTTGGGCCTGTGTTTGAAATGTGGGCATTTAGTGCGGCACTTTCCTTGGGGAGTATTTTGTCTGTGTTCTGTCAAATCCTCTCCATGCCCCTGTTTCCCTTTCAGTTTCCCTGCTCCTTATACCTCACAGGTTTGTAGCAGCAGCAGGGGCTCTGTTGGAAATTAGTGTTTATTTCTCTACTTATAGGTAATTTGAAGTTTGTGGTATTCTCTGTCCCTAAGAATGCTGAACAGCTTGAGTCTTTTGAAGATACTTGCCCTCTTCTTGATTATGTGGTCTTTTGGGAAGGATGTATAAAGAGTTTTGGATCCATGTGGCTGCCATTGTCCTTCAAACTGAAAGCTCCTACAAGGAAAGTTATATTCTCCCTACTTGTAGATACAAAACGAAGATTCAGAAAGGCTAAATGACTTGACCAAGATGGCACAGATACTAAGTACCAGAATATAAGAAGACCATATTCTTTTTTGTATATCTGTGAGAAAGTTTAGTCCCATCTTATGAAGTTTACTTATAGCGGAGGGACAATGTAAGTTTCCCTGATACATTTTTAAAGTATTGTAGGGAAGTGAAGGTGCTCTAAAAATGTTTAATAATTTGTTTAAAAAATACAATTTCAGATTTGGTTGTGGATATGATGGTATATGAATATTTACAAACTTAAAAGTTTGTATGGCTTTATCTTTTCACAGTGAAATGACAGTTTTTTTCCTGTGATTTTTTTTTCTTGATGCATATTGTTGAAATCAATGAAAAACAAACAAACATATAATCCAATTTGTAACCCTGATGTTAGTTGTTTTGGGGTTAGGAAAGGACAGCTGGTGGAAAACATGGATCTGTTTTATTAAGGAAGGACTAGGGAATATTGTTCTTCATGTATGCAAAAGTGTCTGGTTCCTTTTGCTGTGAGGCTGAGGATGGAGATGTTTCTATTGAGTCTTCCATCTCAGTGTTGCTCCTGACCTTTTTGTTTGGGGATTTGAGGATTGCCAGTATTAGGTGTTTTAGAGGAAGAGATGAGAATTATCTGTTTGTTCCATTTCTGTTTATACAAGTAACATGACTCAATGCTGCCATTTTGAAAAACAAGAAAGTACAAGGAAAAAAAAACATCTGAAATCTCATTGTCCAGAATTAACTATTGTTAATTTTCTGTTATTATTTCTCCTGTTCATGTTTTTCTATTACCTTTTGTATTTTTTATTTTTCATTCTATTTATTTATTTATTGAGACAGAGTCTCGCTCTGATGCCCAGGCTGGAGGGCAGTGGTGCCATCTCGGCTCACTGCAACCTCCACCTCCCCGGTTCAAGTGATTCTCCTGCCTCGGCCTCCTGAGTAGCTGGGATTATAAAGTGTGCACTACCACACCTGGCCTAATTTTTGTACTTTTTAGCAGAGACTGGGTTTCACCATGTTGGCCAGGCTGGTCTTGAACTCCTGGCCTCAAGCAATCCACCCACCTCAGCATCCCAAAGTGCTGGGATTACAGGTGTGAGTTACCATGCCCAGCTTCTATTGTATTTTTTAAGCAAAATATTATGTTTTACATGCTAGATTGTGGCCTACTTTTTTGACATACCTAGAAAATGTGAACTTTTTCCAATTGATCATCTATGTATGGCACGGTGTTTAGTAGCTATAAATTTATTCCTTTACAGGGATGTACCACACTTTACCTAATCCGTCTCCTATTGTTGATTTTCACTAGGATTTTCACTATGATAGTAGTACAGTGAATAGTCTTGCAAATGTGACTTTGTATATATCTCTGATATGTAAGGGAGTTATTGACTCTTAAGGATTGATTGTCATTTTTTTCTGTTTAGAGGGAATAATAGAATAAAATGTACAGAAACCTTTTTCTGTCTATTTGCTTTGCTTCAGCTTTTCATCTTTGCTTTGCGTTTAAGGTACTCTCTATGTAGGCTCATTTCTTGATGCACTCAGTATTTCTCCTTTAAGGCTCATTTCTGCATCAATCCCTCTACTTTCTACAACCTTGGTTGTTATCAATATGCTGTTGGCACCCAGAGACTGACTTTCGAGCCAATTTATAAGTAAATCTCCAGTTGCTATTATAAAATCCCTAACTAGAAGTGTTTTTTTTTTTTTTTTTTGGAATCTTATATTAGCATACTCAAATCCTGAACATTTTTCATCCTTCCCACTTCCAGTAGGAGAGAGTTCTGAAACAAGTTACCTAATTGCCTACTAGACATCTTTGTTAAGGTCACCAATAGACATTTCAAACTTTAAGTACACAATAACACTAACAATACCTGCTAATATTTTACTGAGATTACTGCATGCCAGCAACCGTATAGGTTCTACCATAGTTCCCACTTCACAGATG
The DNA here is from genome assembly GCF_000001405.40 of Homo sapiens. Classification (NCBI taxonomy): domain Eukaryota; kingdom Metazoa; phylum Chordata; class Mammalia; order Primates; family Hominidae; genus Homo; species Homo sapiens. The sequence goes on from NC_000002.12 coordinate 178,250,082, forward strand.
ATGGAAACAGTGGCACAGATGCTAACACAGAAGTTAGTAAATCTGACTGTCCTTCTAACAGCTATGCTGATGCCGTTTGGTTTCCAAGACTGAATTCTTGATGCTTCATCCTGTAGCATCTTCCTAAGTATTTCTTATCTTAGTAAATGGTACACTATTTACCTAGGAGCTCCAGAAAATTAGGAGATATTTTTGGTACCTCCTTCTCTCTCATTTGCCAATATTTTTGCTGATTCTATCTTTCAAATATATCTTGGATAATGTCACTGTTCTCTATCCCAGACCAGGCCAGCATCTCCTGCCTCAAAACTCCTGCCCTAAGTTTCTGCTCTTGCTCCTTAGGCCCAGTCCTCACATGATCATCTTTTAAAAATGCAGCTCTAATCTTTCACTCCCCTTTCCTAAGCCTGCCAGTGACTTCCCATTGTACGTAGAAGGAAATAAAAATCAGCACTTTGACAAAGGCGGCTGCTTGCCTTCCCAGCCTTACTTTTACCTTTCTTGATTGACAAGGCCCCACTTCCCTTCCTCAGGGCTTCTGCACCGGCTGTTCCTCCTGCCTGAAACACTCCTGGGCTCCATTCTCCAACTGAACGACTTCTGCTCCTCCTCCTGGTCTCATTTTAAATGTCACTTCCACAAAGCAGAAGCCGTCTCATATCGTGCACTATAAATGAGGACTTCCCTTTGTATTCTCACAGATCCTGCTCTGTACCTTCATGGTGCTGAACCCAACTTGTAATCTTAGTTAGATTTGTGTCATTATTGATCTCATACCTCCCCACCATTAACCTGTCAGGCTGGTGCTGTGTCTTATCTTATGCACCCTTGAACCTCAACTCTAAGCCCATGGTAGACATTCATCAAATATTGGAATAAAAAAAAAAAAAGAAAAGAAAGTGTAAACATATTTTTCTGGTTGCACCTGGATGTGAGATGAGCTGGATGTTTCTTTTCCTGTCCAGAAGAGTGAGTGTGTATTTGATTCTCTGTGTTTGTCCAGTAGGAGCCTAAGGCCTTCAGGCATGGGAGCCACCTTTAGCCTAACAAGGGAGTGTGGTCCCAGAGAGCAGAAGGGGGATCCATGCTGGAGGAGTAAGAATCAAAGGAGGGTAGGAAGAGCCAGATTCCTGCTCTTGTTCTGGTCAGAGAGCCCACAGTGATCCCTAATCAGGACTGAAGCCTTGCATTAGACTCAGTTCTTAAAAAGTTTTCATTCGGTAAGCCGTCTACTCTGTCAGTATTATAAAGTCAGACTTAGCAACGGTTACTATGGTTCTTTTTTTTTTTTTTCCTTCCCGCTCCTCTCAACTAGAAGAATATCAGTGTTTAATTTTCTGTGGCATAAAATTTCATTAACTGTGAGTGTGCCATTTCTGCTTGCAAGGGGTTTCCATGGGAGCAGAAATAAAATGACAAGGGGCCCTTCATGCTTGATTACTGTAGAAGGGACAGTATTCACCAAGAGCCTCTCAGAAACTATAATATGTCATTCTGGCAATCTAATCTCTCCTCCAAGGCACCTGTGTTAGGGATCTTTTAAGGCTCACAGAAGTTTTAGTTTTGAAGGCAGTTGTTCTTTCTGATCACGCACTCTTCCTGCCTAAAGCAGTGAAGCCACAGAAGTACTATGTTGATTTAAATTCTAAATTCCTATAACAGTGACAGTTACCTCATAGGCACTGGCGCCAAATGGAGACAATTTCCTTTTTGCTGCTCTACTGCATTTTCATCAGACTACAAATGATGGTGGCAGCAGCAATCCTGCGCATGTGCTTGTCATTGTGTAATTTTCCCTTTTGAAATGCTGGATTCCCAGCAGAAAGAAATATGCTTTCTTGTATTTTCATGCTTGTATGTTTATTCTTTGGATTCTTAAGGACACCTGAGGCTGAAGAGTGATGTTCTTTTAAAACTACAGTTAGACGTATGAGCTGCTACACCAAAAATGCTCTCTGAGCACTTGGAGATGGCACGGGCTGAGTAGTAGATTGCTAGTTCTTGGGTTGGAAACCACCATTCATTTTCTTAAATTGTTGCCAAAAAGGTATAAAAACTTGAATGTTATCGTTTCATTTCTCCTTCTTAAAAATGGTATAATTGTTAGTATTGTTACTAACATTAATGTTACTAATGTTAATATTAGTACTGTTACTAATCTTTGTAGTTACAGCAGGGATTGGCAAATTTTCTCTGTAAAGGGCCAGGTTATAAATATTTGAGGGTTGATTGGCCATACCTTCTGTTGCCAACTACTCAATTCTGCCATTATAGTTCAAAAGCAGCGGTAGACAAAATGTAAATAAGTGGGCATGCTGTATTCCAATAAAACTTTTATTGTAAAATAAGCAGAGGGCTGGATTTGGCCCACAGACCATATTTTGTGGCCATAATTAGCATAATTGCCCAAACCAAAACATTTAAACCGGGGAAGATGAATTGGGTAAAACAAAAAAAATAGGAGACTTTCTCATATGGTCAGGGTTCAAACTCAGATTTTGCAGAGGAGGTCAGTGGTCTTTGTTAAACATATATGATTGTATCAGATGCTGATCTACATCACAGATAACAAGATTAGCTTACTTGAGGCCACTAGGATAAAACCAAATTTAGATAGGCAGATAGATGTAAATCCTTACAATTAATGCTAATACTTCTAGACTGTCTTTGGTCAGCATGAGTTAGATGTCTGCTGTTCTTTCCTTCCTGGCTTGATGAAATAACTTCATGATACAACCCCATTTTAGAATTATTTGGGATCTTCCACTAAAATAGTATGATCTTTTGGCAAGTAATACGTTAGGGATCACTACATGTAGTCATGGCTCCTGGTGTGGTTGGTATAAGGGACCACTGTTTTCTCTGCCGCTCTTGGACATCCCCTACAGAGTGGACTAGACAGAATCTATAGAAGGAGAACATTCAAACCACTGTATTTTATTTATTTATTTATTTTTGAGAAGGAGTTTCATTCTTGTTGCCCAGGCTGGAGTGCAATGGCATGATCTCGGCTCACTGCAACCTCCACCTCCCAGGTTCAAGCGATTCTCCTGCCTCGGCCTCCTGAGTAGCTGGGATTACAGGCGCCCACCACCAAGCCCAGCTAATTTTTGTATTTTTAGTACAGATGGGTTTTCACCATGTTGGCCAGGCTGGTCTCGAACTCCTGACCTCAGGCAATCACCCACCTCGGCCTCCCAAAGTGCTGGGATTACAGGGGTGAGCCACTGTGCCCAGCCTTAAACCACTGTATATGAGCAGAAGTCATCACTGTTGTGAGAAAATAGTCTTCAGGAATTGCTTTTGAAGGAGAAATAGAAATGGATAAGTTGAGTTGATCTTCTATGAGGAAACCTCTTCCAGTAGACATGAGAATTTTAGATATTGACTATTAAATTTGGTATGGGTAATGCCTTGTTAATAATTCAGTGATTTAATGGAATTTTACATCTGGTCCAACTGGTTCCATTTGACAGTTGGGGAAATGGTTCTTATCCTAGTAATATCATTATGCTCATTCTCATATTTTGCTGTAGTATCCACATGCAATATATTCTTAATGAATAAACTCAGGGCCAGCAAGTCAAAAGTGAATATAACAATATGCTTTTTATGTGCATGTTGATTTTACCTATCATTGTAGTGGAGTTGGGAGTTTGAGTTGCCCAGTTTTGCAAATAAAATACTGGACACTGCTAGGGATTGAATGTTTGACCCCTCTAAAACTCATGTTGAAATTTAATCCCCAATGTGGCAGTATGGAGAGGTGGGGCCTTTAAGAGGTGATTGAGTCATGAGAGCTCTGCCCTCCTGAGTGGGTTAATGGATTAATGTGTTATCATGGCAATAGGACTGATGGCTTTATAAAGAAGAGAGACCTGAGGAAGCACATGCAGCTCCCTTGCTGTGTAATGCTCTGTGCCACCTCAGGACTCTGCAGAGAGTCCCCACCAGCAAGAAGGCCCTCACCAGATGCAGCCTGTTGACCTGGACTTCTCAGTCTCTGTAAATGTAAGAAATAAATTCCTTTGGCCGGGTATGGTGGCTTATGCCTGTAATCCCAACACTTTGGGAGGCCGAGGTGGGCGGATCACGAGGTCAGGAGTTCGAGACCAGCCTGGCCAACATAATGAAACGCCGTTTCTACTAAAAATACAAAAAATTAGCCAGGCGTGGTGGTAGGCACCTGTAATCCCAGCTACTCAGGAGGCTGAGGCAGGAGAATCACTTGAACCCGAGAGGCGGAGGTTGCAGTGAGCTGAGATCATGGCATTGCACTCCAGCCTGGGTGACAGTCTGAGATTCTGTCTCAAAAAAAAAAAAAAGAAAGAAAGAAATTCCTTTTCCTTATAAATTACCCAATTTCAGATATTCTGTTATGAGCAACAGAAAGCAGACTAAGACAGACACCAGGTTAAATCTGAATGTCAGAAAAGGAATTATTTAGTATTACAATGTTTGAAATGTATACTAAAAAATGACTATTTATTTGACATTCAAATTTAGCTAGATGTCCTGTATTTTGTTTGGCACCCCTTCTGGGGGCACACAAGATGAAAATTGAGAAAGACAGGCTAGTGGTGGCCACTAGAATGTACTAGTTTCCAAATCCTAGCACCCAGCTGGAGAACTTACTTAAAATGCCAGGGAGTAGGTAGTGGTATTTTTAAACAGTGCCCCGAAGTGACTGTGAAAAGTTCTGGGGCCTGTTGTTTTATACTGCTCACTCACTGGTGCTTTCTGAAACAGAAATTCTCAAGGAGGTAGTGTATTTAGTCTGTTCTCATGATGCTACATACCCAAGACTGGGTAATTTATAAAGGAAAGAGGTTTAATGGACTCACAGTTTCACATGGCTGGGGAGGCCTCACAATCATGGCGGAAGGTGATTGAGCAGCAAAGTCACGTCTTACAGGGTGGCAGGCAAGAGAGGATGTGCAGTCCAGGAGCGGTGGCTCAGGCCTGTAATCCTAGCGCTTTGGGAGGCCAAGGTGGGCAGATCACCTGAGGTCAGGAGTTCAAGACCAGCTAGGCCAGCATGGCAAAACCCCATCTCTACTAAAAATACAAAAATTAGCTGGGCGTGGTAGCACATGCCTGTAGTCCCAGCTACTTGGGAGGCTGAGGCAGGAGAATTGCTTGAACCTGGGAGGCAGAAGTTGCATCAAGCTGAGATTGTGGCACTGCACTCCAGCCTGGCCACGCAACAGGGCGAGACTCCGTCTCAAAAACAAAAAACAAAAAACAAACAAAAACAAAAACAGAGCGTGTGCAGGGGAACTGCCCTTTTATAAAACCATCAGTTCTTGTAAGACTTCTTCACTATCACGAGAACAGCATGGGAAAAACGCTCCCCAGGGATTCAGTTACCTGCCACTGGGTCTCTCCCATGACACATGGGGATTATGGGAGTTACAATTCAAGATGAGATTTGGGTGGGGACACAGCCAAACCATATCAGATAGTTCTCTGGTATCAATACCATTGTCTTCCACTGGCTGAGACTCTCTAAGCGTTTTTCTCCATTGATTCAGCCATTGGGTACTGCAGAGCTGGTCTTCAATTCTTACAGACCAATTCCTAATCTCTCACCTTAACTTCCTTCATATCACTGTGGGATATCAGAATCTGGGTTTGGAGGAATGTTGGAAAAAAACTAGGTTGGGGGAGGAGAATGACAGAATGATTCAATTCCAAATCCTGGAGAGCTTCCTTTCCAGCTCACTGTTCTCATTCAGTTTCTCTGCTTTCCCAGCTTTTGCTGTTTCTTTCTGAATGTTAGAACTTTGGAGGGTAAAATGGCCTTGGAAGAAAACGTTTGGTCCAGAATCATTGGAATCCATTCAAACTTTAGTATTCACAGGATCTGTGGTTTGACCTTGATAACTGATTTCTGTGCTGGGGGGTTGGAGGGCAGCAAATCGAAGTCAGGGGCAAACAGTTGAGAAGCTCAGCTCCTCTTGGGTATCTCCTCTCTTGACTTAGTGGACCACATGGATGATCAAGCATGTGGTTTCCTGGGCTGATACAGAAGCTTTCTTCTTTGATGGCAGAAAAGCTGTGCAGTTCTGTGATGAATTAGAACAAAAAACAAGTTGGTGTTTAGAGAAAGCAGCACACTCCCTTAGCAAAAAGACCCTTTCCGTGGATAGGACATGTTAGACTGTAAGGAGGAATATAACTTAGGACATAGCTTTGGTATTTTGTGGAATTAGATGTGAAGATTTTGCTAACAGGGTGATATAACTGGAGTGGGAGTTTTAGCTTGAAGCCTTGATTTATCTCGAAGGGGCCAGCCCTTTTGCTATGGCGTTGTGTAGTATCATCTACCATAACAAAGGAACAAGTAGTCAGTTTCAAGCATGCTTTTCTTTAGTAATTTCATAAATAGCAACTCAGATGGTCTTCCTCAGGCAGCTCCTAAAACCCAGCAGTTGGTAGGTTTAGCCAGTGCTTCTCAAGGAAGTCGTGTGGAAAAGAGTGAATGCAGCGTCTGAGGCAGGCTGAGGAGTTCACCAGGTCATTTCATGGCAGAGCTGAAATGAATGGCATATGTTCCCGAAAGCCAATTCTTAAGAAGTTCTGGAGCACGGCAAGTAGGCACTTACACACATTTATTTTTTGAAGATAAAATTAATGCAAAATACTTTACCTAAGTGATTTTCTTATAAGTATGTTTTTGAACCAGAATATGCTTATTTAAAACAGCATTCTGGCATGCCTAACTCACTTTGAAATTTGAGCCAGCTACAGCACACCAGGCCAGCCTAGTTTGTCTTTTCCCCTGACTCCTGGGGATTAGACCAGAACATTACAGCAGAATTACACCTGCAACTGTCTCTCAATATGACTTGTATTTTGTGGATAGTGTCACCTGACTAAGCCTAACAGACAAATTTAAAAAAAAAATTAAAAATTGGTCCACATATCTACTTTTAGCTGGACTTTCTTGAATCGAATATATGTGTGTCTTAGCATTGGAAGGCCAAATATCTAGCTTTCCAGTTTCTAAGTACAGTTGAGTCCCATTAAGAATTTAATGTCTATTACCCCCAATGTAATTCTGTATAAACTCATGAATATTATTTTGGATGGTAAAGCTTCAGTGAGTTTTATAATGGTTGATTCTCAACTATAAACATGAATTATCCAGATCATTTAAAATATTAAACAAACTTCCTTCTAGAATATGCTTTTAGGCATCTTCTCTTGACCATCAAGTTTGTGTATGTTCAAGGATACAAACTTTCTAAAGGCTTAAATTTTTGCATTTTTAGGAAATGATGCAAAATGAATCATATAGTATACTTTGTAACCAAATAACGTTTTTATTATACATACTTCTGTCATATTATTTCTATTGCTATTTTTTTAGGCAGGAAATATTAAAAAGTGAATAAACTTTTTCTGTCGTAATATATTAATGATTTCTTCAACAAGGAATATGGCCTATGAGTAATTACAAATCCTCATTACTATGAATTTGCTATATTTATATATTGCTTCACAGTTTAGAAATTACTTTTATATCAATTGCCTTATTTGTTACTTAGCAGCAACCTAAGGTTATTTTGAATAAGGTGTGCAGGGGTCATTATCTCTAGTTTGTAGAAGAATAAACTGAGGTTCAGAAAGGTTGTGACTTTCTCAGGGAAACAATAGCTATTAAATGGTGGAGAGGGAACTAAAGTTCTAGTTGTCTATATTTTTTTAATTCCTTTTTTTTTTTTTGAGACCAGATCTTGCTCTTTTTTTTGAGACCGGAGTGCAGTGGCACAATCAGTGCAGGCTTGACCTCCTGGGCTCAAGTGATCCTCCTGCCTAAGCCTCATGAGTAGCTGGGATCACAGGTGTGTGCCACTATGCCCAGATGATTTTCAAAAATTATTTGTAGAAACAGGGTCTACCTATGTTGCCCAAACTGGTCTCAAACTCCTGGGTTCAAGTGATCCTTCCACCAAAGCCTCCCAAAGTGCTGGGATTACAGGTGTGAGCCACTGCACTGGCTTAAAGCTCTAGTTTTTTTTTCTTTTTTTTGAGATGGAGTCTCACTCTGTCACCCAGGCTGGAGTGCAGTGGCGCGATCTTGGCTCACCATGGCCTCCGCCTCCCCAATTCAAGCGCTTCTCCTGCCTCAGCCTCCCGAGTAGCTGGGATTACAGGCGTGTGCCACCATGCCTGGCTAATTTTTCTGTGTTTAGTAGAGAAGGAGTTTTGCCATGTTGGCTGGTCTCAAACTTCTGGCCTCAAGCGATCGGCCCGCCTCGGCCTCCCAGAGTGCTGAGATTTACAGGCGTGAGCCACTGTGCCTGGCCAGGCTCTAGTTTTTTAAAAGACATTTTATCATGGAAAATTTCAAACATGTATAGATTAAACAGAATACTGTACACCTATGTACCCATCACTCAGCCACGACAATTATTGATATCCCACCATTCTTATATCATCTATACATCCACCAACTCTCAGCCCCACGTGATGATAATGATGGTGATTTTTAAAAATTTTTAAGAAGTTTACCTATACTGAAAGCACTAGTCTTAGCTATACAGTCTTGACAAATGGTTATACCTATGTAACTCATACGCCTATCATGATAGTTCTGTCTCTCCAAAAAAAATTCCTGTATGTCCTTTTGCTGTCAACTCCCCATCCTGCCCAGACCAGGGCTGTTTTGACTTTTTTTTTTTTCCACTGGAGACTACTTTTGCTTGTTCTTGAACTTCTTATGAATCAAATCTCTCTGTATGTGTTCTTTTGTGTGTGGCTTCTTTTATTCAGATTCAAGTCTGTAAACGTCTGGTTTTTTTTAATCAGGAATATAATACTATTTGTTGAGTCTGGAGCTATAGCCTGAACTCATAGTTACAGAAAGATAATTCTCTGAATGATACTCTGAGAAAACCCAAGCTCTGGCTTCCTCTCATTATTAGTTGAGCTCACATAGAGAGATGAACAGTTTTCCTGATCAGGGATCCATCATTCTCTCCAGTGACAGAGCTGTTTCTCTTCTGAAGGTTGTTGTTGGAGGAGATGCCACATTGTGAAGTAGTTTGCCTGTAGCTAGCTGAGTCATTGGCTAATATAACAGATGCTTCTCCACCGTGCTTCCTGCCCCCTATTTTCCCCAAGTGTACCTGCATATATGTTTTTGTTATTTTACTTTTCTGGAAAATGAGTGACAGAAAGCATATATGTCTTTGGAGGTCTTTTGATCAAATTCCGTTTGAGATTGTGCTGACTTTTTAAGGTCAAGCGCTGATAATTGTAAAATCCAGAAAGCCATTTACCTGTCTCTTCATTTTTAACGAGATTACTTAATGGTTCAGTTTTGCTAATTAAGTAGAAGAGAAATGATCAAAATAGTGGTTAAATTACTGTACCCAGAGCTTGCATTTCATTTCATTTAAAAGAAATCAGGACTCAACAGTCGAATTGGATCCAAATGTGTTTTTCTTCTTCAGGGAATTTTCTTTGAATTCTTTAACTTAATTATCTCTATTTTAGGTTGGAGGAAGAGAACACAGAACCCCCATCCCACCAAAAAAAAGTCAGAATTACCCTTACTTTTAGCTTTTAGGGAAGACATATGTAAGAGTTTATATAGGAAATACTCCTAAGTAGAGCAGTGAACCCAGGGATGAACTAATTTATAACTGCCTCTGGCTTCTTTGACAGGCGGCAGTTTCTATTCCAAAGAAAGTTTGCGGGCTGATATTGCTGAGTTACTCATAATTTCTTTAACTCATTGGAGAGAAGAGAGTCCAAATGGTAAAATTAACTTTGGCTTTACTCCCTTTGCCGCTTAAGCTTGAGTCTATACTGGGTGATCTGTTTCCCTATGTGAAACTTGGAGAGGATGTGACTGGCCTTGGTAATTACCATAGCAGCGATGGATGATATTTGCTGAGGTTCCATTCATTCATTAGGAGATGCAAAATGGTAATCTTCTAATTCTAATATTCTTCTTCATTAATTGGAATGATTCTGTAAAAAATAACTGTTCCACATTAAGGCCTCAGCTACCTGCTGCTAATGATGTGTCATAGAAAAGCAGGATAAATTCTTTATTATTTTCTTTTATGCACCAGTTTCAAGATGGGTTGGTTAGCTGACCTCCAAAGGTGACCAATGAATTGTTTTTTTAGAAGATCATCATAACCATATGGACTTAAACACATTTGATATGTTTCAATTCAATTGTAGTAATTATTCTTTTGGATTATCTAATTATCCCATTTTTGGCTAGGAGAGCCCTTCCAATTGACTTCCAAGCTATATGTATATGTATATGTATATGTGTATGTGTATGTGTATGTATATGTATATGTGTATGTATGTGTCTGTCTTCTCTGTCTGTCTTTCTACTAATTTATAATGTGGTCCTAGTAGACAAGGTGTTTCAGGCTCATTCTATTTTTTTGTCTGCAGACCTGGGATTGGCCATCTCTCTAAGGAGCTCTAAGATGGAAATGGTATTTCCAGATACAATATGGGCACAAGGGGTGGTGATTACTACTTGGTTAGTCATTATTTCTAGGCCTTTTCAGAGGATAAAGTTAGGAAATTTTACCTTTAAATAAACTATTTCTTGAGCTCATGCTGATAATTCTAATTCAGATTGGAAATAACAAGAGATTTTTTAAAAACTCAAACTCGCTAATATGTATCGTTACTTCTTTTCTGTCATGCCAAAAATCCTAGTTCTCAATGAAACCATTTTACTTCTTCATCCTGCTGTAGATGGATGTTACGAAATTTCAAGTTAAAAACTGATGCTTAGGCCAGATGCGGTGGCTCATGCCTGTAATCCCAGCACCTTGGGAGGTTGAGGCAGGCAGATCACCTGAGTTCAGCCTGGCCAACATGGCAAAACTCCATCTCTATTAAAAATACAAAAATTATCCAGGTGTGATGGCAGGCGCCTGTAATCCCAGCTACTCGGGAGGCTGAGGCAGAAGAATCGCTTGAACCTGGGAGGTGGAGGTTGCAGTGAGCCGAGATCACACCACTGCGCTCCAGCCTGGGCAACAGAGTGAAACTCCATCTCAAAACAAAACAATACAAACAAAACAAAACAACAACAACAAAACAAAAAAACCCCTGATGCTTATCTATATAAAGTTTAAAACTGGAAGAAAGGAATCTTTGGTATTAGAAATCAAAATGGTGGTTCTTTGAGGAATTCTTGATTGGGAGGTTAATTTCTATACCTTGATTTGGGTGGTGGTCACGTAGTTGTATACATTTGTAAAACATCACCCTGTATACCTAAGAATTACTCATGTTACTCCTCAGGAACATTATAATTGAAAAAAAAAAAAAAACAAGGAAGAAAAACGTAAGAGAACTAACTAAAAAATGATTAGTTAGAAAAGCATGGGGTAACTGATCAAAGACTATAATATAGAAGGAGCTAAGGACATAATTTTCAAATTGTAGAAAAAAGAACTGCAAAAGGATCTTAAAATATTATACAGTCTGTTTTTCTGTCTACTCCTTTTCCCTTTCAGAAAAACTACATTCAAATGTGTCTGAATAAAGAAAGGACTCAGAAAGGTGAAACGCAAATATTATTAGTTACTGGCTTCTGCAGTACAGAAATGGCTGGAGGCCTTGATGCAAAGTGTCTTATGTGAAGTGAAGAGATCAGAAAACAGATTATAGAAGTTCAAATGGATAATTTTGTATTGAACGAATTTCAACTTTGGTTGACCTTTCTTCAACTATTTTCTCACTTTGAACACTTTCTTGGAAAAGGGATTTTATCTCTAGAAATGAGATATTCAGTGTATGAATATAAGACAAGATTGGCTGGGTACAAACCCCTCATGTCCACAGTGGTTCTGGTTTTCCTTTATAGTCAGATGAGAGCTATGTCACCATTTTTGTCAGATTTCTCCTACTGATCCTAAACTTTAATGTTGCTGTTATTATTATTTAATGAGAGGCAATGTGTAAGGCATTTTGGTTAGTATTTTGTCTTAAGCAGGGTAGGGATATATGTGTCATGCACAGAGTTTATATCTAAGGCAAAACATTATAAGTATGTATGTTACAATTTGAGATGAAGACCTGAATTATTTTACTTACTTATAGGAAAATTTAGGATAAAGCATAGAGATAGAATTTTTTGCTTTGCTAAAAAATCTCTGCCATACAGGTTTAAAATGCCAGTCTCAAAACTATGTCAGTTTTCAAATTGAATATCTTCAATAGTGAAGTAAATTTGTTAAATATTTAACAGATTAATGTGTGAAATAATTGTTTGAGTATTAAATTTTCCATAATATGTATTGCAAAAGAAAATTGTTTTTGATGAATGAAAATGCAAATTTACCAGTATTTTAGGGTAGTAACAAAATGTTAGCCAAACTCCACTTCATTCTTATTCAGAATTTGTCTCCAAGGCAAGGATTTTATGATCAAAATAAATGATACCAGAAGTGTCATTGTGTTTATTTAAGCTTAATATTCATTTTTAAAAAAGAAAAATATTAATATTTTGAAATAGACATCACTGAAATGCAGTGTGACAAGAGCAGAGTTCCTTTTGATATTTCGACAGGAAGTAGCTTAATAGTCTCCCTCTTTAGGGATGTGGGATCCAGTGGATTAATGGTGGAAGAGAGAAATCTGAATGCTTAAGTTTCTAAATCACTGTTTAAAGGTACAGTGTTAGGGCATAGGCAACTATATTCATCATCCTAGTGACCAGTGTTTAATGAAAAATTAGGAGACATTAATATATATAGATCTCCTTCACTTTAAACTGTTTCTAAGAATTAATAATTTGGGTAAATATGGGATGGAGATGAGGAATCAAATACAGTTGAAATTTAGAGTTGGAAAAAGTGCATCCAAATTCCATATAGTACTCAACAGACTCTTCTGATACTTCATTAATTCTTGTCTTGTTAGAAATTCTAGACTCAGTCTTTCGATGCTATAGTTTCAAATTTATCATGGAAATGGGTGGAAAAATTAGATTTAAAAAAAAAACTTTTGCTGGATCTTATCTGTTCTGAAATGAGAATTAGTTCCATGATAGTTTTCTCCAGGAACAGGGTGTTAGTATGATCTTGGATAAAAGCACATATAGAATAGTCTGTCAAGGCCAGGCGCAGTGGCTCACGCCTGTAATACCAACACTTTGGAAGGCCGAGATGGGCGGATCAGCTGAGGTCAGGAGTTCAAGACTAGCCTGACGGACATGGTGAAACCCCATCTCTACTAAAAATACAAAATTAGCTGGGCGTGGTGACACATGCCTGTAATCCCAGCTACTTGGGGGACTGAGATGGGAGCATTGCTTGAACCTGGAAGGCGGAGGTTGCAGTGAGCTGAGATTGCACCATTGCACTTCAGCCTGGGCAACAAAAGCGAAACTCAGTCCCAAAAAAAGGAATAGACTGTCAGAGCTGGAAGAAGATTTGCAATCCTCTAGCAGCCTAGCATCCTTGGTTTATAAAGAGTTCAAGCCCCAGAGATGGTAAGTTACTTGTACAAAGTGACACACATCAAGGCAGCAGAACCATGACTAGAAACCCAGACATCTGACTCTTGGTAAGTGTGGTTTTCTGCTGTATTGGGATGCTTGGTGATCACTCTTTTCTTTCTGTGACCACAAACGTGTGCTTGGGGACATGGCAGGCTCCTGCTTGCAAAACGTCATCTCTCATACCTCATGTCTGAGGACCGGCAGAGACACTCAACTGTGTACACGTGTGTGTGTGTGTGTGTGTGTGTGTGTGTGCGTGTACACAGGTGAAACAGAAAATTCTCAGTATTTTCTAAAATGATGATGATAAATTTAAAACTGCCTCAGGATCCCTGAAGCTTCTTCTTTCTGCTGTTTGGCCAGTGCTTTTAGTCACTTATAGCCCACATTTACAACAGAGAGGACTGTGGCATGTTAACATGAAGCTCAGGGAGCTGTCTGGTGGCAGGGCCTCCCTTCCTGGTCACCCACAATGGGGCTGTGATATGGGACACTACCCTAACTTCCTTGGTGAATGTCAATTGCTTTGTCCAGTAATATCTTTCAGTTATATCACTCAGTTCTGAAAATTAACCAGGAAAAAGTAAAACCCATAAAACATGAAAAAAAAAGTAAATTAAGTCCCTTGAAATTACTTGATTTGAAGCATCATTCTCTCATATAAATGTCCAAACTGATCATTATCACACTAACACTGGGTTTTTATGGCATCATTTCCTTTAAAGACCTTATAGCAATTCAGAAATGTTAACTCCTGAAAATTGAGCATATTCCTGTAAGCACTAGATTAGGCACTGCAGCACCTTGCATGTCTGGTGAGTTCCCTAATGAGGTTGAAAACAATTTTGACTCAGACAGAGTGATAAGGGCCCGTTTCACAAGAGGACCTCTAACATTTGTGCTGGGAAACAGGACCAATTATAACTAATTTCTAAATTGCATAGCTTTGAACTATTTGGAGAATGAGGACCTTTTTCAACATACAAAATTTCCTGGTCTTCAACGTGATAATTGGGTTTTAATGTATTCAGTCTGCAGGCAATACTTCCTCTGTGTGTGTATTTTCAGGCCCCTTACAATTGCATATTCTCCAATGGGTCCCTAGCCCTTACATTGGGAATCATTTGTATAGACCTCAAAGGGAATGTGAAAACTCAAGAGTATTGTCAGTGTGGCACAGTGACTTTTTAAATATTTTACTTTTTTAGGATTTTGTACTAATTGTTATCTTATTAAAAATTCACGTGTGTTTCTATAAAATGACTGAATACCACCCAAAAAGTTTGCATAGGATACCAGGATACTTTTTTTTTTTCTTTAGAGACAGAGTCTTGCTCTTTTGCCCAGGCTAGAGTGCAATGGTGTGGTGTAATCATAGCCCTCTGCAGCCTCCAACTCCTGGGCTCAAGCAGTCCTCCTGCCTCAGCCTCCTGAGTAGCTAGTACTGGCTGATTTTTTTTTTCACTTTTTTTTTAGAGATGAGGTCTTACTCTGTTGCTATGTTGTACTGGCGGGTCTTTAACTCCTGGTCTCAAGCAGTCCTCCTGCCTTGGCCTCCCAAAGTGCTAGGATTATAGGCATAAGTCACTTCCCCTGGCCCAGACGAGACTTTTTTTTTTTTTTTTTTTTTTTTTTTTTTTTTTTTTTAAGATAGCATCTTGCTCTGTCACCCAGGCTGGAGTACAGTGGTACACTCATGGCTCACTGTAGCCTCAACCTTCTGGGCTCAAGTGATCCTCCCACCTTAAGTTCCTAAGTAGCTGGAAACACAGGTGTGTGCTACCAGGCCTGGCTAATTTATTTTTATTTTTTGTAGAGACAGGATCTCCCTATATTGCCCAGTCTGGTCTCAAACTCCTGAGCTCAAGTGATCCTCCTGCCTTAGCCTCCCAAAGTGCTGGGATTACAGGTGCAGGCCAACGTGCCAGCTGGATGCTTTAATTTATTCATGCTGTTTTCCAAGTTTCAGTTCCAGTATTGAATAATTGTCCCTCAGCGTATTAGAGGTTACTGGTTCTTTTTTGTGGTGGCTTTAAGTGGGAAGATTTATCACAGCTCTTGGAAGCATGGCAGCCTTTTGGTGGGGAGTCTAATCTGGGTTGGATTTAGGCCCTGTCACTAGCCTAAATCTGACAAGACTGAAGCAGGCACTACCTTCGTAAACTTTTTTATTTTCTTTCTCTCTCGCTCCCCTTTCCTCCTCTACCTTCTTTCCTTCCTTTTGTGTTTCCCTCCCCACTTTGTTCTACAGATATTTATTGAGCATCATGTAGCTTTGAGAAACTTGCAGACTAGTGGGTAAAACATATGCCTGAAAAAAATCACAGAAATCTCTAATTGCAAACTGTGATAAATGCTGAAACAAAAATGCAGGTGCTATGAGACTGCAAAGCAGAGAGATCCGGCCCAGCCTGCAGGATCAGAGAATACTTCCCCAGGGAACTGACGGTTAGGCTGAATTGGGATTAACTAGATGCTAAGGAAAGGGAAAGAAGTGTTTTTCGGGCCAAGGAAACAGAATTTGCTTTAGGAATTAAGAGGATGAGTAACATGGTGTGGGATGAGGCAAGGAAGGAAGCAGGGGCAGATCACACTGAGATTCACGGGGCATGCTGGGGATTCTGGTCTCAATCGCAAGAAGACCACAGTGAGCCCCGTGAACTATTGGAGCCCCATATATGTGTGTTTCTGATTTTTGTAGGATAACACTAAGTGTTCAGCTGTTTATTGACCTATTACAACTTAGAGTATGACTTACAGTGATTGCACCCAGGATGATACCTTATAATTTACAGTGAGCTGGTGTCTCAGAAGAGGATGGAAAGTGAAATCCTGTGGCATTTGGGATTCTGCCTTTGAACAGTGAAAGAACCAAACAGAAGCCAGTTCTGTTATGTCAGCATGCTCTACCACAGAAGCCACCGGGCTTGTGGTTGATCAGCTTGCTCCGTCTGTAAGGTGGGCATGGCTCTTGTGAGGGAGCAGATGGTACTCAGTTGCTCGGATCCTGCAGGTCAGCAGGAACATGAACACAAAGCCTTAACACATGGAGCGAGGTTGAGACCTCAGAGCACCGCCCCTCACAGTCTCTTCACTCCAGTGATAACAGGTGGCTTCAAGAATCACTATGTGCAACAAGACCACAGAAAAGAAAATTATGAAACTAAAGCAATTCAAAGTTCTTTCAACTTGCCCCCATTTGTAAGTGCAATTATTACTATTGTTAACCACATTCCATTGTGGGGTCCAAGCTTTTTCCTGGTACTTTTAAATCTTTTCCACATTAGTGACCCTTAGAAAAGTTGCACTTAAAAAAATACTAGGAGGTAGATAAGACTGGAACTCTCTGTGTCATTCACAAGGATGTTTTCTGGACATGTTGATACAGATGGTGTCAGTGGGGTCTTGAGCAGCATGGGGAGGAGAGCCAGAGAGACATGGCTATTTTTGTTTTTGCCAATGCACTGCAAATTGTCAAAACAAGGTTTAGGCCAGACATGGTAGCTCATGCCTGTAATCCCAGCACTTTGGGAGGCCAAGGCAGGTGGGTCACCTGGGGTCAGGAGTTCGAGACCAGCCTAGCCAACATGGGGAAACCCTGTCTCTACTAAAAATATAAAAATTAGCCGGGCATGGTGGCTTGTGTGTGTAGTCCCAGCTACTCAGGAGGCTGAGGCAGGAGAATTGCTTCAACCCAGGAGGCGGAGGTTGCAGTGAGCTGAGATCTTGCCACTGCACTCCAGCCTGGGTGACAGAGTGAAACTCCATCTCAAAAAAAAAAAAAAAAAAAAAACAAAACAAGGTTTATCATTTTCTTCAATGACATGAGTCTATCTATTATGTCTTTACCTTCCCCACTTCACTTCTCCCATACTCTTAAGCTCTATTATAGGATGAAAAGAAAACTGAAAATAACAAAAGCTACATCTAATACTCTCGTTGTAGGATATATGTAAGTATAAGCTATATATTATTCTAGTAAGTGATTTTCAGGTTTCATCAGGGGCAGAGAAAAATGAAAACCCAGAGAAAAAGAACATTGGCCAGAAAACTTGAGGCCAAGAAAAGTACTGTGATGTAACAGGTTAAATGTGAAATTGTCACCTGCCTGCTGTGTATAAGATACTGCACTAGGCATTTAACAGCATAGAAAAGTTTGGAACAACCAAGGAATTTACATTTTAAATTGAGACCAGCTGTAACTATAAGCAACATATAAAATGTCAAGTAATTGCAAAAAAAAAAAAAAAAGATGAGGTGTCAGAAAGTAGTTTGTGATTTATTGCCAAATGAATGACGCTATCAGTGGAGTGATTTTCTCTGCTAATATCCATACTTCCTAATGATGAAGACCATGCGTGGTGGGCTTGCAGTGCTTACCATAGTGGTAGGTGTTGAGTAAATATTGGCATGAATGAATTACTGAGTGAATGACTGATTCAAGGCTGGAGAACACTAAAGGTTTTAAAGTAAATATGGTGCTTTTAGATTATTTAAATTTTCTTTTTTTTTTTTTTGAGATGGAGTTTCACTCTTGTTGCCCAGGCTAGAGTGCAATGATGTGATCTTGGCTCACTGCAACTCTGCCTCCCAGGTTCAAGCGTTTCTTCTGCCTCAGTCTCCCAAGTAGCTGGGATTACAGGCACCTGCCACCATGCCCAGCTAATTTTTGTATTTTTAGTAGAAACGGGATTTCTCCATGTTGGCCAGGCTGATCTCGAACTCCTGACCTCAGGTGATCCATCCGCCTCAGCCTCCCAAAGTGCTAGGATTATAGGCGTGAACCACTGCACCTGGCCCTTATTTAAATTTTCTAAAAGGTGTAATTATAGTAAAGTACACACATCTTAAATGTAACTGTGATTATTTTTTATATCTATATGGATACACAAAACTACCTCCAGATGAAGATATAGAGCATTTCTAGCATGTTGGATGGTTCTGTCATGACTTCTTCAGTCCATACTCCCCTTGGAATGCCATTCTGATTGCTGTCACCACACATTAGTGCAGCCTGTCTTTGAACTTCATATAAATGGAATTATACAATGGTCCTCTCTTATGTTGAAATTCATCCATGTTGTTGCATGCTGTTGCATGAATCATTCTTTTTTTATTCTGTTTATTATTTCATCATATGACTATTCCACAATATTCTATATTTTGTCTCTCTGTCTTTTTTTTTTTCCCAGAAAATAGAGACATTTATTCCTCCTTATAGCCAGAGCATTGAGGCAGGTTCACATCTGGGTTGGTAGAGCTCAGAGATGGCAGCAAGTGACACGCCTGCCCATTTTTTCCTCCTTCCTGAGCATGTTGGCATCCATCTTTGGACTTTTTGCCCCATTGTCCTAAGATGGCCTCCAGTGCTTCCTGCATGATTGTATGTGCACTGAGCTTCAATCTGCAACTTTGTGTTTGTGCTGAGGGTATGCTTTTTGGATTGGTCCATATTGCTTTGCATAGCTCTTGTTCTCCTGTGTGTCAGTATTGGCAGGCCAGGGTATAGCTCTCTGCTCATTTAACTCTTCTTTAATACCATTTACCAGTTTATTATAAAGGATACAGTTGAGGAACAGCCAGACAGAAGAGAGGTATAGGGCAGGACATGAGGGGATGGGCCAGGAGGGCATGTAGAGCTTCTGTGCCCCCCTTGGGTGTGTCACTCTTCCAGGACCTCATTGTGTTTGCCAACCTGGAAGGTCCCACAATATTATGTTGTTAATGGACATTTGGGTTAGTTTAAGTTTGGGACTACTATTAATGTTTATAAAGCTACTATGAACAATTTGTCTTTTAATGGGCATAAATACTCACTTCTCTTGGGTATATAACATGGAATTGCTGGGTCATAGAGTATTGGTACCTTTAGAAGATGTTGCCAAACATTTTTCTAAAGTGGTCATACCAATTCATTTTCCCAACAGCAATGTAAGAGAATTTAAATATGGATCCTTAACTGTTTTGTAGATGTCAGTAGAGTTCATTTAAAATGTATAAAGACTCTGGTCATTGCAACCCAAGGGAGGGAGGGAATGAATTTTTCCCAGTGTTAGCATTACTCATATTTCCAGACTCCAAACCCTGCCTCTCCCTTTCAGGGCCTTGTTATATTACAGAGTAGGCTCCAGAGAGCAGGAATAGTACCTGATTTCCTACTGCCACATGCTCAGGGCCAGGCACAATATAGGCATTCGGTCAGTATTCAAGTGGATCCTGAGGTAGGGCCATCACTTAGGAAGGCAAATAATAGGAAAAGCATAGTGGCAGCCAGTTACTGAATTCTGACCTTTATGGAGATCAAAGCTTCCAGCTTTATCACTTGCCAGGTTCATGTCATTCATCCCAACTTAATTGAGAGTCTGCTCTGTGCCGATAACTCTTGCTTTACTACTGCTGCAGAATGTCAGGCAGGGCGGACGATAACACACTGGCTTGTTCAGGTATGGGTTAGTGGCCACAGCCTCTCTTTGCTCCCTGAGTAGGCCAGACTTGCGGACTGCCTGGTAGTAAAGAGGGAGCCTGTGATAGGACCCCTGCAGCAGGGTTGGGGGTAGGCTCAGGACAGGTCTGCACCATGGAGAACAGCAATCAGGCAGTTAATGCTTTCCAAGAAATTCTTCAATTTGGCTCCCTTATCAAAGATGACCTCTTATTTTCTTTTTGTGTGGAGAGAGATGAACAGGGAGAATCATAAAGCATGACTATGAATGATTTGAATCTGGAAATATGTGCAATGTGACTTTTGGGCAAAGCTGCTTTAATAATAATAAAAGGTAACATTGAGCACTTCCTACATACCAGGCAGTGTTGTTTAATTCTCATTACAACTCTGTGAGGTGGACACTCTCTTAGTAGCCACATTTCACAGATAGGGAAACCAAGGAACAGAGAGGAGGCATACCTTTCCCAGCGTCACGCAGTTAGAGGGTGGAAGAGTAGGAATGTGAACCGACATGGTTCCAGACACGGGGCTCTTAGCCACTCACCGCATGACAGCTGCCTATTCTTTGTGGTGCTTTGAACTTCTAAATTCATGGTCTTTATTTCTATGAGCCTCACAAAAGTTGGATGTTTGATATGAATGTTTTTAATCTTTTGGGGATGTAATTTCTCCCAGAGATGGCAATTTTTTAGTGTGAAGAAAGTATGATGTATATAGAGGTGTTAGAATAATCCATTGGTCTTGGTTTTGAAAAAGAAAAATGTTAACCTAATATTAGTTGATCTATGTTAGAAAGTTTACAGTACTAGGCCCTGAACACCTTACCTGTAATCTCAAAAGTAACTTGAACTAGGTTTTATCAGGCCAAATCCCCATTTTGCAGATGAGGAAATAGAGGGTCAGATAGGCTGAGTAACCTGCCCAGGGCTTCAAATTTAGAAAACATCAACACTGGGATTGGAATTAAGCCTGTTTAACTCCGAAACCATGTTATCTTTACACAGTACCACAGACTTCCACTTGTGCCCAAAGGAAGCTCTCAATTTCAAGGAAATCATAGTCTACCTTGTTTGCCCTATCCAGTTTTTTTTAAATCAGCCTATGACATCAAATTATATTTCCAGAAGAACAGCTTTGAATTGTAATGGATGGCATTGTTCACTGTCTCGGCATTTTAAAATTTATTTCAATTTTACTGACAATACCATCTATTTAAATACAGGAAGCTTTAGTCATAAGAATGCTAATATGCCTGATTTAGTTGTTAAATTTTGTTGTGCTCTAATGAGCAAACAAGTCACTGTGGAAACCAAATGGAAATCTAGATGAAGAGAGATACAGCAAGAGGCCTAAGAAATGGGGCAGCTTGAAATAATTCCCTCAAAGCAGACTGGGAGACTGAAGAACTGACTCAAAGAGAAATTCGGCTGCTTAACAATGTTTTGTTTTTGCTTAAAAACAAAACAAAACAAAAAAGAGAAATTCAGCCAGGGTTATTCAGTAAAGCTATATATGAAAAATGTTACAGATTATGCAAACCTTAGACTTATTGAGGCTCTATTTTATCATTTCAAAAACTGTATAATTTATGGCAGTGCTACTAACAGTGTTCACCTAATTTATTAATAATTTTTAAACATTATTTTGACCTCGATTTGCATGTGACAAACATGTTTATACTTTAAAGAATATACATAATAGTTATTTTAAAGACTGACTCAATTAAAACACTTAGAATCTCCTGCTCCCTGCCCAAGGATTCAGTTGCCATTCCAGTAATCCAATAGATACTAGAAATGTGATATTCTAGACTGAATGTTCCAGATGTCATTGATATGAAAGCCCTACCAGATAGAGGACCCAACAGAAAATTTCCCATTAGCACAACTTAGTCAAGACAGTTCTGTAAAAGTCTGTTCTTTCATCTGGTTTAGGACTTAGATTGTTCTTTCAGGATTTGAGGCTTAGGGAAATTACTTTTGTCCAAGAGTGAATATCAAAACTCATTTACGTAACAGGTTTTGAACTGAATAGCCAGAGAAATCTCATCTGTGAACACAGGACTGCAGACAGTGGGCAGCTGTCCAGTGGTCTGGCAAGAACTTACTGTTCAGCACAGCCCTGGAGCTTCATGTAAGAGTGAAGTCAGCCTCCACTTGGCGATCCAAAAAGCATTTCAGTTACTGCCAAGTGCCATGTTAGGACTTGTCAACTTCTGCCCAAGTAGTATCAGACTGCTGATGTTTGGATATACTTTTGTTAATCTTTCCCTGTCTTGGCACTTGGGGGTTCTGTTATGTATCAGACTATGTAATTTTTGCATTTTGGTACTTGGATATTTAGTGTTAAAGGCATATTAGAGATGATGATTGAAATGATCACTGTATACGCAGATCTTGAAAGCTCTTGATCCAAGGCCCCAGAGGCAAACAGTATTTTAAGTTTGCAGCAGGGGAAAGACAGGATCAGCTATCTTATGATTTATCTAATTTGGAAGTATATTATCAGTTACCTCAATGGGAAGGAAGCTTTTAATGCACCACCGTTAGTAGCTGTTGGCAGATCACTAGTCGGTAAATGCCCTGGGAGTAGCATTACAATTCTCCTCTCTCAGTTTGCTTCACAAGGAAACAAGTCTCATTGCATATCTTTTTAACTGAAGTCTTTCTTCAGCAAAACTTGTCTGAGTGCAGGTACTTGTCCATTTGGTTTAAATGATCAGTCACTTGAGCTTTAGCACACTTTAGCATCCTTCTTGCATACTGTAGCAAAAAGCATGAGCACCTGCCATGGGCATAAGTGCAAATGGTGCAGGTGGGCTTACAAAGATGGAGCAGTTGTAGACATTGCCCTCAGAGAGCATCCAGTCTTGAAAATAAAAGGCATGTGTTAGTAACTTTGATCAAGATGGGCTGAGGAAATTCCCATAGGTGCTGAGTGAAAGTTATGAAAGTTAAGATCCTGGATAATTCCACTGAGCCACAGAGAATGGCTTCTTGTCATCCAGACAGGGCCTGAAAAGGATGGGATTTAGACTTTGGAGATGTAATGGGGAGACTGTTCTAGGTAGAGGAAATGCACAGAGTGGGTAAAGAGTGAGTATGATTGGGGGAATTGCAAGACGTTTCATTTGCTTGAAGATTTCAAGAAGTATATCCTGGAAGAGGAAGGTGGAAAGTTAGTTGAGGTAAGATCATGAAGGATCTCTAATAGTAGGCTAAGGAATTTCGGCTTTATTCTGTCTTTCTCTAATTTCAGTATTAACTTAAGTATTTTAATATGGCCGGGCTGTGGCACATTCCTGTAGTCCCAACACTTTGGGAGGCCAAGGCAGGTGAATCACTTGAGCTTCACAGTTTGAGACCAGCCTGGACAGCATGGTGAAACCCCATCTCTACAAAAAATAGCCAGGCATGGTGGTGCATGCCTGTATTCCCAGCTACTCGGGAGGCTGAGGTGGGAGGATTGCTTGAGCCTGGGAGGTGGAGGCTGCAGTGAGCTCAGATTGGGCCACTGCACTCCAGCCTGGGTGACAAAGTGATACCCCGTCTCAAAAAAAAAGTAAACAAGTAAATTAAAAGTATTTTAACCTAAGGTCTGATTATTATGCCATTAATAAACAGTAAAGTGATCCTTTTGGCAGTTTGTTGGGGAACAAATACTACTGTTTATACAACTGCAGTATTTATAATATGAGTGAAAATAGCATTTTTTGGCTGACAATTTTAAACAGAGGCAGTTGCAAATACATCGCATAACCATATCACTCAGAGAAAGTCAGCTAAGGCATACAGCATACACTTATTTTGATTTGTCCATAGATTTGCTGATATTGGGATCTACATTTCACAGCTTTTTTCTTGGCCAGGTGGGTGTTGATAATGCCTAATAGCCCATATCTCTGGCAAACAAGACACCAGCTTGTTTGAAAGCTGAGTCATTGAGCTCCTTTATCTTTCTTCCCAATTTCCTACTTAGCATTTTCCCTTTACATTGGGCACGTGGTAAGCAATGAGATGCCCATTGATTTGCTGCCCAGGAAAGAGCAGCTCTGGCTTTTTTCTATTCAAAGTAATTATTTTAGTGTACCTATAGTGTGCCTTGGAAATATTCTGAGCTGATGCTTTTAGTTATTGCAAGCTAGTAAAAGAATTTTATCAGATAGGCTTGCAACACTTTTCAGTTGATAAAAACATTAGTGAAGAGGGCCATCTTTGTTAGTATTCTCTGGCTAACTAACTCAGTTGATTAAAGCTTGAGGCTTATGTGGGCGAGGTCAATTTTTTTTTTTTTTTGCTCTGTGATTATCTCTTGCAAACTTGAGTCTTGGCTTTCAATAAATAATTATGATAATAGCAAGCACTTATGTAGTCTTAAGTGCTATATATAAATAAACTAATAAATAAACTGTACATAATAAACTAATTTAATCCTCAGAATAATCCCAAAAGGCAGGTACTGTTACTCTCTCCATCTTCACAGATCATGGAACAGAAGCTATGTAACTTGCCCAAGGTCACATTACTGGCAATTGACTGAGCCAGGGTTTGAACCTAGGCTGTTAGGCCTCCGGTCTTTACCATTGATCTCATTCAAATCCAGGGACACCAGTAAGGGTGTCCCTAGATTTAATTAAGTAAACACAATGTATGTCTACATATTTATAACTATGTATTCTCTATAAGGTGAAACTTTGAATTTAAGAAATTTCAAACCAATATTACAATATCCAGACACCAAAAATATATTTACATCTCTTTTGTTGTCCACTCAACAGTATGTTTCAGATATAGGAGTGTGACTAGGATGCAACTTAAACTTCAGATTGTACCCTGCTGAGCAGTTTAAAAATTGTCCTCTAGGACCATGATTTTTTTTTTTTAAATGAAAGACACAGAAATTTTTGTATCCAATTTCAGACACTTTCCAGAGTCTCTGAAGCGCACTCCTAGGTCCACAGATCTTTTCCCCAAGCAATAGAGAGTAATTGAGCAACAGGATAACATGATCAAATCTATGTTTTAAGAAAGATAACTCCGATGACAATGAAAGATGGCCTGGAGGAGATAATGACTGGGAGTAGAGAAATGAAATGGTAATGGAAAAATAACTATTTTCTAGCATGAAGTAAGGATATAGAGTGATGTCACTAACTAAGGAAATATAAGGAAAGGAAAAGGGGCAAGGGCAGAAAGATAATGGTGCTGGGCACAGTGGCTTTCGCCTGTAATCCCAGCACTTTGGGAGGCTGAGGCGGGTGGATCACTTGAAGTCAGGAGTTTGAGGTTAGCCTGGCCAACATAGTGAAACCCCGTCTCTACTAAAACTACAAAAATTAGCCGGGCATGGTGATGGGCGCCTGTAATCCCAACTACTCACAAGGCAGAGGCAGGAGAATCTCTTGAACCCGGAAGCCGGAGGTTGCAGTGAGCCAAGATTGCACCACTGTACTCCAGCCTGAGAGTGAGACTCTGTCTCAAAAATAATAATGATAATAATAATAATAATGGGTTTGATTTTTGAACACACTGAGTTTCAGGTGCCCTTGATATATTGCAATGGAATCGACAGTAGGAAATTGGAAATGCAATCTGGAAAAGAGGTCAGCATTGAGGAGACGGATTGAGTAGTCTCCAGCAAATGGTAGGTTTAAGGCCTCAAAGCGAGACAAGGTCACTCAGGAGAAGCCAAACGGAGAAAAAAAAGAGGGAAAAAAAAAAAGAGGAACCAGTAAAGCTGACTTGGGGAGAAGAGACTTGGGGAAGCAGCAGCAGCAGCAGAACATTTGAGCACTTCCGTATGCCTGGACTGTTATGAACACTTTACATGCATTAATTTGCTTAATCCTCAGGCAATTCAGTGAAAGAGCTACTTTTTCCAGATGAGGAACCCGAGGCACAGAGAAGTAAAATAATTTTCACAAGGTCACAGAGCTAGTAAGTCACTTTCAATGGTAAATTAGCAGTAGCATTGTTAAGCAAATGTAATTGAGTTAAGATAGTTTTTTAACTCTTTTAAAGATTTAAATATAGATTAGTAAGCTTTGATGATAGGATTTTCTACTTTCCCCCTAGTGTATCAAGTAAATATATTACGATCATCATAATTCATGAGGGAAATATGATCTGAGACTTTCATAAATTTACCAATCCCCTAGGCCTCTCTCATGCAAATATTCTGTCAAGATTCATGCATTTCTTAAATATTTTTATATGATAGTTTAAGCTTTCCCTGAAGTTTTCTCTCAGTGAGAATTTGGGCATTGGTTGGAATATCCCCTGAAATGATTTCGTGAGTCACATTTTTAAATATTTCTACTTAGAATATTTAAATATTCTAAATGGTTTTTTTTTTTTTTTTTTTGAGACGGAGTCTCGCTCTGTCGCCCAGGCTAGAGTGCAGTGGCATGATCTTGGCTCACTGCAACCTCTGCCTGCCGGGTTCAAGTGATTCTCCTGCCTCAGCCTCCCAAGTAGCTGGGATTACAGGTATGCACCACCACACCCAGCTAATTTTTGTATTTTTAGTAGAGACAAGGTTTCACCATGTTGCCCAGGCTGGTCTCGAACTCCTGACCTCAAGTGATCCATCCACGTCGGCCTCCCAAAGTGCTGGGATTACAGGCTTAAGCCACCACTCCTGGCCTTTACATTCTTCTTTATAAGTTTCCCTGAACTTCTCTTTGTCTCCGTGAATCCATTGCTTCCTCAGAACTTCTTCATTTTGTTTTCCCTTTTATTACTCCACTAGAAGAGTTTTTTTTTTTTTTTGAGCCCATTTTCTCACAATAATTTTTTAAATCACTTCATCAGAGTTATGTGCATTGAGGAGCAAGAACAATGAAACCATATCAAGCCACCACAGCTGGATTCTCTGCTAGGCAGGAGTCAGCAAACTGCAGTAGGTGCCCACCACTTTTTTATAAGTAAGGTTTTGCTGGAACACAGCCATGTTTATTTGTTTATATATTGTCTGTGGCTCCTTTCCTGGCACAGCAGCAGAGCTGAGTAGTTTCATCAAGGGATTGCACAAAATCTAAAATATTCACTGATCTGGACCTTTACAGAAAGTTTGCTAACTCTTTCTTTAGAGCATACTCCTTTCAGAAGATTAGGATGTGTCCTAAGCATGTTTATAGTGTTTTAGAATTAATGGAGTTATTAATTTTTATGCAATTTTATTCAACTGAATAATAGAACTATTGAGTGGTTTCTGTAATATTTATTCTTTGGATTTCACACAGATGTTGTCAAGGGAATAATAAAATTGCAGATTCCTTTAAATAGCCTCTACTCAGAATTCTTAGCTGTATGATCAGTCATCTGAATTTTTGTCAGCATTAACAATACTCTTTAATTTGGGGGAAAAAAATCTTTGAATGGTTAATAAATGTCAAGTCCTCCCTGTGCTTGGCTTTTGAATTTTGAAGAAAGAAAACACTTTCCCTACCCTCAGAGAAATATTGTCAATTAGATCTAAGTTATATGCAAACAAAAAAATCTGAAAAAATTGGCTAAATGGTAGAACTGTGATAGACTGAGAAAATTATGTTTGTCTTGAGCAAATTAGTTTATTAGGGTATATAGTTTATTAGCATTTATAAATAAAATATCTTGTTATACTTTGATCATGTTTCTGAAAAATCATGAATGTTTTGTTTCTCACTGATTATTTTGCTAAGGCAAGAAACACGTGAGGCTGTCTAGGTTCACCTTCTGTCCTGTCCACTGTTAGTTCTTGGTTTGTCCCCTCCTGTTTCCACTCTCCCAGGTTGCTTCATCCTCCCATCTGATCTCTGAGGTTCTCTCTTGTCTTTTTCCTCCCGTTTGTTCTGCGGCTAGATCCCCCTCCATGAAGTATGATCACGTGGCTCTCCTGTTCTGAACTTCGCTCCTGTTCTTTACAGCCCACACAGTGAAATTCAATCTCTCACCAGCATTTGAGACCTTCCACGCTGTTTCAAACCTTTTCTCTGGCTTCCCCTGCTCTACTCTCCTCCTTTGTCCCCTAAGCTCTGAGCTCTGAACTACAGACTACACTTTCCCGTCTCTTGATTTTCATATACTTTTCTCACTGTTTGAAATGTCCTTTATTCATCCCTGCATGCCCATTTTCTGCCTGATCTACTCATCTTTCAAATGCCTCCTCTTTTGAGGAACTTCTTCTGATCTGATTCCCACCCAGCCCACAAACGCCAAGCTAGAATTATTTTCATGCCATCAATATTCATAGTACATATTTTGCTTTTGTAACTTAAAAAGATTACTCACATACCTTTTCCTGTTATCTAGGGCTTTGAGCCCTCTAAATTTCTTAAGGGCAAGAGCCTGGTTTTTGTTGATTGTTACATTTCTAGATCCTCTTTAGAGTCTGGTTTTGATGTTTATATATAATAACTACATAATTGACTTACTGTTGTGGATTAATCAATCAATACTTAGTGGTGGATATGAAAACTCTGATATGTTATTTCAGCTTGTGAATTTTAACTTCTTTGATATGTAGTAACATTAATGAGATAAGATACTTTTCTGAGGTTAAATGTCTTTTGCTCTTTACTTATTAACAAGAAAGCCACAGTAGTTACTAGGTAACAATGACTGAAATTTGTATATTTCATCTTCAGGAAGTTACCCCAGCACAACCTGTTTCCATTAAACCTATTGGATTGTGGCACTTAAACTATATTCTCCAGAGACTTAGATACCCTCAGTGAACTTGAAACTTTCATAGGTAGGAAAAGAAAAATCAATTTCTTGTCTAAACATTGCTGCCAGTGGAAAAAAGCAAAATGATTATCTTTTCACTAATGAAGTTAGTGGTGACAATAGGCAAAGTAAGCAAGATAATAAAAAAAGGTGTTGTACTGTGTATTGTGCTACAGATTTCTAGAAAAGCAATTTAGAATGTTGAACCCTAAATTAAGACCAATCCTTCTTTGTAGAAATGGTGTGAGCATTGAAATAAAACCATGGCCCACATATGTGAGAAAATGATCAAAAGTGTCTCATTTCTTGTTTTTGGTATGAAATAGACTTTGCTATCTAGATTACATAGATAACTCTTCTGGTTGTCTTTATTATTTTAGGAATTCTTTATTATTGTACAGAGTGCTGGGGTTTGCTTAATCTTGTCTCCATTTTGCATTATATGCATTTACCTAGTAGCTACATGGGACAATCTAATCTTTGGTAGACTACATCTTGGTTTCTGATGGGCTTGAATAAGAAAGGAGAGGAATGTGCGGGGAATGCACTAGACAAGAACATGTGGGCAAAACCCAGGCTGTTGGGAGGATTAGTCACATAGCTTAAAGGAAAATTCTGTTGCAAAGATAATGGATCATTTGCTTCCTGAATGAGCCATTCAGAAGGAACCATTGCCAAGTCACTAAACTCTTCTGAATGAGATTTTCCAGAGACGCCCACTGGCTAGTACTGGTTAGTGTGGGAAATTTTGTTTAAATCAACCTTTTCAACCTTTACAACTTTTGCTCATTAATGATTTAGAAAGATAATGTTAGCATCCTTTTTGATCTACAGAGGATATGTTTAAATAGAACATGATTCCTATTGTGAATGTGTTTCAGTTAAAACCAGATGTGCTGTACGAAAACGCATGTGTGTGCACGCGTGTGCATGCACACACACGCATGCACGCCAATTTTGGTTATACTTTTTGAAAGAACCAATCTTCCTATCTCTGAGTATATTTCTTAACTGGGGTATTTCTTAGTGTGGCTTTAAGGATTAATCTTCAATGTACTTTGTCACAAGCAGTAATCAGGCTTGAACTTTATACACTTATCACCTTTGGACTTCTGCCCTGCATGCAGTTTATGTGCAAGGTAAAACAAGACCCAGTGAAATTTCTTAATTAAAATGAGGTTGGGACAGGTGCGGTGGCTCACACCTGGAATCCCAGCACTTTGGGAGGCCGAGGCGAGTGGATCACGAAGTCAAGAGATCTAGACAATCCTGGCCAACATGGTGAAACTCTGCCTCTACTAAAAATACAAAAATTAGCTGGGCATGGTGGCGCACACCTGTAGTCCCAGCTACTCGGGAGGCTGAGGCAGGATAATTGCTTGAACCTGGGAGGTGGAGGTTGCAGTGAGCTGAGATGGCACCACTGTACTCCAGCCTGGCAATAGAGTGAGATCTGTCTCAAAAAAATTTAAAAAAAATAAAATTAAATAAAATGAGGTTGAATTGCCACTTAGTGAACTCTGGCTTTCTAAAATAATATATGTCACCTAGAAATTTGGAATGTGAATGTGACTATATAAACCTGTATGTCCTAATCAAGCTTTTGAAGCTGAATTAAGACAAATGTTTCTAATATTTTTGGCTTGAGTAACTATCAGAGATGATTGGTTATAACTGAACCATGTGTTAATAGTGTGGTGGTAATTTTTAACTCAGAGTACTCAGTCCCCCTGGAGGTTATAGCGGGTACTACACTTCATCTTGGTTGTCTTTTTGAAGGTTGTACAGAATATTCGCATGAACATTAATTATGGTTGCAGAACAAGCCAAAACCTCTGTTCTTTGACATTTCATATGCATTGTGTGAAAATATACACTTTCGTGCATTTAATAGCAAAATAGACAATAATAGATTAGTTTCTTACAGAATACATGTAAGTCAAAACCTTGTAAATTTCTATTTTAAACTCTAACACACAGTGTCAGAGTTAACAATTGTGTGCAGGCCTGCATAAATGTCTTCTTTTGAGAAGTGTCTATTCATATCCTTTGCCCAATTTTTAATGGGGTTGTTTGTTTGTTTCTTGTAAATTCGTTTAAGTTCCTTGTAGACTCTGGTTATTAGACCTTTGTCAGAGATGGATAGATTGCAAAAATTTTCTCCCAGTGTGTAGGTTGTCTGTTTGCTCTGGTAGTTTCTTTTTCTGTGCAGAAACTCTTTAGTTTAATTAGATGTCATTTGTCAATTTTTGCTTTTGTTGCAATTGCTTTTGACTTTTTTTTTTTTTTTTTCTTTTGAGATGGAGTCTTACTCTGTTGCCCAGGTTGGAGTGCAATGGCATGATCTAGGCTCATTGAAACCTCTGCCTCCCAGGTTCAAGCAATTCTGTCTCAGCCTCCCGAATAGCTGGGATTACAGGCATGCGCCACCACACCTGGCTAATTTTTGTATTTTTTAGTAGAGACAGGGTTTTCCCACGTTGGCCAGTCTGATCTCAAATGCTTGACCTCAGGTGATCCGCCTGCCTCGGCCTCCCAAAGTGCTGGGATTACAGGTGTGAGCCACCGTGCCCGGCCGCTTTTGACGTTTTCCTCATGAAATCTTTGCCTTGCCTATGTCCTGAATGGTATTGCCTAGACTTTCTTCTAGGGTTTTTATAGTTTTAGGTTTTACATTTAAGTCTTTAATCTGCCTTGAGTTAATTTTTGTATAAGGTGTAAGGAAGGGGTCCAGTTTCAGTTTTCTGCATATGGCTAGCCAGTTCTCCCAGCATCATTTATTAAATAGGGAATCCTTTCCCCATTGCTTGTTTTTGTCACGTTTGTCAGAGATCCCATAGTTGTTGACGTGCAGTCTTATTTTCTATGCTGTCCCATTGGTCTATGTGTCTGTATTTGATCATGTCCTTTGCAGGGACATGGACAGAGGTAGAAGCCATTATCCTCAGCAAACTAACACAGGAACAGAAAACTAAACACTGCATGTTCTCACTTATAAGTGGGAGCTGAACAATGAGAACGCATGGACACAGGGAGGGGAACAACACACACTGGGGTCTGTGGTGAGGGGGGTGGTGGGTGGGAGAGCATCAGGAGAAATAGCTAATGCATGTGGGGCTTCATACCTAGGTGACGGGTTGATAGGTGCAGCAAACCACCGTGGCACACATTTACCTGTGTAACAAACATGTACATCCTGCACATGTACCCCAGAACTTAAAAGGAAAAAAATTGTTTGCACAGAATTAAGGTCCGGTCCCTGCTTCCCGGAGTACACACAGTCTGGTATAGGAGACACAGTTCACACATAAAACTGTAAGACCAGGACAGCCTGACACAAATAGAACTGACCAAAAGTACTGAGCAGCTTCTTCTTCCTAACTGGAAAGATCAGTGAAGGAGTTGGGAGTTGCAGTTTTGTGCTGGATTTTGAAGGCTGTATTGGCAAAGACTATGGCGAAAGAAGAAGGAAGTAGATGGATGCTCCTTGGGCTAAGGTTTTATTTACATAGGCAGGTAGCCAAGGACACACACACACAGCATATGTGATGCGATGGGAGAGGGCGGAGGAATTCCTTAGATATGGTTAGTGAGATTCAACTTGTCTTATCCCTCCCCTCTGCTGCTGCTTAGTGGAGGAAACAGCGGGAAGGAAAGGAAGCCTTAATCTTACCCCCTTGGTCCTCTCTTCTGGTTTACCTTCCCACTTGTTATTTTAGAATGGTAAGAACTTGTGGAGAATCAGACTAGGACAGAGGAACGGGGGTGAATGAGCAAAAAGAGCTGCAGGATAGCACAGGGGACTCTTTAGCTTGCCTTTTCTTTTTCCTCTTTATCAGTGTCTTCTCTGTTTCCAAAGCTTGACAGAGTTCATCATAGGAAGGAGGAAGGAAGAGATGGCTAAGGGAGTTTCTGCTTTTTGTTTTTTGTTTTTAGACAGAGTTTCGCTCTTGTTGCCCAGGCTGGACTGCAATGGCATGATCTCAGCTCACTTCAATTTCTACCTCCCGGTTTCAAGCGATTCTCCTGCCTCAGCCTCCTAAGTAGCTGGGATTATAGGTGCCTGCCACCATGCCCAGCTAATTTTTTGTATTTTTAGTAGAGATGGGGTTTCACCATGTTGGCCAAGCTGGTCTCGATCTCCTGACCTCAGGTGATTCACCCACCTTGGCTTCCCAAAGTGCTGGGATTACAGGTGTGAGCCACTGCGCCTGGCCTGCTAGGGGAGTTTCTATAGCTGACAATTCATATTCCATCTGCCTGTAATTAAATGAGATTAAAGAGCATAGACTGAGTAGTGTGCAGAAAATAAAAAGATGCAATGCTGAGCATACAAAAAGAATTCTGATGGATCTTAGCCTTAGTATTCAAGGTCATCATCATAATCAACAATTAAATTTTACTCAGGACTTACAAGGTACACGGAATCGTCTTACAACACAGTAGAATTTTTTTTAAAAATGTTATTTAAAGAAGTGGAAGGGGAGTTAGAACAAAAACTTTTGCAGAAAGATGGTACTTAAGGGGGCAATCATGGCATTGGATGCTGGCCAAACATAAATCTTCTGCAGTTTCAGTAAGTTGTAGCCTTAGAATATGTATGTATGTATACATGTGCTTGTGTGTGCATTTTTCCCATTCTCAATAAGTAAAAAAAAAAAAGGAAAACTAAAACAGAGTGAAAGGATAGGCTTGAAAAAGTCAAACCCAGGGAGTGATTTTTAAAGCTGGCTTGTGAATAAAGGAGCCTGCTAGAGAGGTTTATGGCTGGAAGGATAAAAACGTCTGTCATGTTTCAGGATCAGAGAGTAACTTCTTTGGATTACTTGTCACATTTTTCTCTTATCTTATGATGAATTTATTCTCTTGTAAAAATACTGTGTTTTGGTCCATTTGTGTTGTCATAAAGGAATACCTGAGGGTGGGTAATTTGTAAAGAAAAGAGGTTTATTTGGCTCATGGTTCTGCAGGCTGTATAAGAAGCACGGTGCTAGCATCTGCTTCTGGTGAGGGCCTCAGGCTGCTTCCATTCGTGGCAGAAGATGAAGGAGAGCTGTTATGCAGAGATCACATGGTGACAGAGGAAGCAAGAGAGAGAGAGAAAAGGAGTCCCAGGTTCTTTTTCAGCAATCAGTTCTTGTGGGATATAAAAGTGAGAATTCACCCCTCAGAATGGTACCAAGCTATTCATGTGGGATCCGCTCCTGTGACCCAGACACCTCCCACCAGGCCTCACCTTCACCACCGGGGATCATATTTCAACATGAGACTTGGTGAGGCCAAATTATATCCAAACCATAGCATACTGTTTCTTTGCTTTCTGAGAAATTATGTCAAGTTAAAAACTATATTCTTTTATAGTATGTATAGAGTCTGTTCTTCTTGCTAGAGGATTGTTCTAGGAGTTTGGCTACAGTTCTCTTCTACAGCAAATTAGAGACTGTTCATGCGTTTTTTTCAGGGCATTAGAGATTGTACATCTATGTGCATGTATGATGAAACCACTTCATACTTACTATTTTTAAAAACTCTATTGGGCCAGGCATGGTGGCTCAGCCTGTAATCCCAGCCCTTTGGGAGGCCGAGGCAGGCAGATCATCCAAGGTCAGGAGTTCGAGACCAGCCTGGCCAACATGGTGAAACTCCATCTCTACTAAAAATAAAAAAATTAGCTGGGCATGATGGCGTGTGCCTGTAATCCCAGCTACTCAGGAGGCTGAGGCAGGAGAATCACTTGAACCCAGGAGGCAGAGGTTGCAGTGAGCCGAGATCACACCATTGCACTCCACCCTGGGCATTGCAGCGAGACTCTGTCTCAAAACAAAACAAACAAACAAAAAAGCCCTGTTGAGGTTTATATTTAATTGGAGGGCTAAATGTGGTCCTGGAGAATATATTTTGTCCCCTTTTAGGAAATATTTGCTATATCACTTGAGAGTTTTCATACTCCAAGCTCTGGGTGAGATGTAAATTATGAATGTTACTGATTACTGAGAAGGTCAGTGGTTACGTCTTTGAGGTTACATAAAACTGAACAAAGGAGATAAAAAGCTGAGGCATGTACCCATATGAACTTCCTGTTCAAAAGATAAATTGGGAGGAATTTTCTGATTGGCCATAGGCAGTCCCCGTGAGAGGCTCACGAAAGTTTTGTAAAGATGTACTATATGACTGTAATCTCTCTTTTTCAGGTTCTGCCACTTGCTGGGAAAACAGCAACAGAAGGATATTAAGGAGCCACCCCTATAATTTACCCAGATAGCCCCAGCAAGGTCAAAGACATATCATGTCCCAAGGAGAAAAGCTGCAGGCATCTGAGGATAAATCACTGTGAAACAGCTTTGACCATAAAGCTGACTTGGAAGACTTTGACTCCAAGGTGCAAGGTGAGTTAGAAGAACACAAGCTTAAAACCAAAAGCAGGGTTAGGTTAGGCAGCGCTTAATAATAGCAACAGATTAGTGGGACACCACAAAGTCACAGGAAGGTGTTTCTTTATATCTCTTATTTGTATGTCAGATCTTAAAATAATATGTCATAATCCTTATAATAAAAAGTTCTTTTTTTTTTAAGGATAGGAAGTAGAAAAATGTGAAAATATTTGGTAACCATTTTCTGTTTTCTGTATGTAGTCTGGCATCATGTGGAAATATGATACTGCTTTTCCCTTCTTGAGCAATGAACGTGCAGACCTAAACCTTAAAATAGCCAAAATGTTATCCTTGCTTTCTTTATACACATATCCACAAACCCACATTTGACTACAGGTACACATTCTTAAAATGCATCCAGTTTTTATAATCTTCCATAGTAAACAATGAGACAGTCAACTTTTCTTTTTGCTCATGAGACTGAAATGGCTGTGGTACTAGCAATACTTTTTGTGGTATCCTTGTCATCTTTGATATTTGTGGTTATTATTTTAGAGCCGCTTTATATAACTATTTGATATCTTAGGCCTACTGAGTTTGTGGTCTTCACCACTTAGCTGCACCCTCCCAGTTATCCAAAGCTTTCTATTTCTTCAAGGTCAGCCATCCCCAGGGTGGAAGTTTGTGGCATTAATCGTCTTCGGGAGCTTTTTACAAGCTGCACATCCTCTGCTCAAACCTTATTTGCCAGGGGCACAGGGATGGTGGTGGTAGTGGTGATGACAATTCAGACATATATGATTTGGGAAAGTTTCTTTTGTATCCTGATGCCATTCCCGCCCTTTCCTAGCGTGGACTGGTTCCTCTTGGTAGAGCAGAAACCAAGGCTCAGTAATTTAGTGTAATCATTGTTATATTAGAAGCTTTCTGTTTATTACTGTATTGTTTAAAAGCGCATTTTAGATTAGAGCTTGCAAAGTAGCCCACAGGCCAAATTTTTTGCTAACATTTTTTAACCTGTAAAAATTTTCTTTTTATAAGAAAATTAATTGCCAACATTTGAAAATCTGGAAACTTCACATAAAAATCAGATAGATCAGATATCTGGTTTCTCTTGGAAGATTAAAAATCTGGTCTTGTTACTATCCTAGTAACTGTACTTTGCTAGTATTTTGCATTCCCTAAATATTTAACCAAACCAATCTTACAGATTATGGCACCTGCCTGGGACACGTAGGCTTTTGAGTTCAAGAGTCCTGCTTTAAGCATCAATTTCTTCTGCTCTCTGTATATGAGGTCACTTCTATGTACTTTAATATAACATTCTATTAGTATTTATCCTCTGCTATTATTTTAGCATTTATTATTTTATATAAAATGTATGAGCTTTGAGAAGCTGACACTTGCCAGCCAGGCTTACCTATGAAGTAAGAAGACTTTTCAAAGATAAGATGTTTCAGGCCATGGGCTTAAGGAGATCTAATTTTCATAGTGATGTGCTCTGCATCATTTTTTCCAGATGTGGAGGGTGTCATCTCAGGGTCTGATATTTCATGACCTAAGAGTTCAGTTGCCTGATCTGACTGTTTTGGTTCCAGGGACGTAAACTGATTCACCAAGTAGCCTTCTTTTTGAATGACCCCCGTAGGGATTTAGAGTCCATTTTCTAGGCCCTCACTCATTCTGGACACCAGGGCGACTCAGAGAACAGTAATGCTATGCCCTCTATATGTGCAGAGCTTTTAGCATTGAGAAATCTTGCCGTCAGAGTTAGACATACCTCCATCACAGTGAGTTGTAGTTACTCACAAACTTGTCTTTCCTCATCTTTGATTGCTATATATTGTTGCTAAATGAAATTCATGCGTAATGTTTCTGTCAATTTGATATTGAACCAAATGTTTATATGGTAATAAAATACTTTAACCATGGAAGCATTTCAAATCATAGGGTCCTTATAGGCATAGCATTTCTGTGCCTGCATTAGCTAAACTCAACGTGGGGAAACTGACATACTCCTAAAACAATGGTTCTTCTTTTTTTAAAAAAAAAAAAAAAAAAAACAAATTATTTTACTTAAAAAATAAGATTTACAGATATTTTCCCATAATGCATTTAGAGTCCAACTGGTAATGCCTGTTATTTAAGCAGATTTCAGGCCACAGGGTATCCATTTCTCCCCCCTAGATACATCAGACACATTGTAAATCTCTTCTTGATTGGTATCCATTTTTAAATGTTGAGGCACATAGGAAAGAAGGCCAATGGGTGGGATTTTTATTTTGAGTATCTTAGTTTCCTTCTGCCTGCATTACTTTGCTCCATCTCATGGATTCTGTTAGATCAGTATTGCCTAGGATCTCTCAATACTTGACAACATGCAGAGTTGAAATCGTGCATGAGTCCCTTTGAGTATCAAGTTTAAGTTCATGGAAATAAAGTACCTGAAAATTTGTTTCCACACTTTTGCTGAGTTGTGACTTGACTATAGGAGAAAAAAACTGAATTCTTTTTTGAAGGGGAATTTCAGGTGATTGATATCTCATTTTCTACATGAATTTTGTTTGCTAGATTCATAGAGCCTATCTCCCCCCATCTACCCCCCACAAAAAAATAAGAAAGAAATTTGCTTTTATTTCTTTGGTTACAGGAATTAAAGAGTATGTGTGCATGTACACTCAGAAATGCTTTCAGAAAACCTTCTTATCTCGTTTTCTTGGAGTTCCTGTTATCAGCTCCACATTCCATTTCCTTTAACTCCCTGAGGAAGTGACAACTAAGACCGAAAAAATGGGGAAATGGGGGAAAAATTGTAGGGAGGGCTTAGGAGCTGTTGTTGACATATGAAACAGGTTGATTTTTTTTTTTTTAAGTAAAACTAACCAGTGAGCAAAAATAACATGGTTAGGTAAAAAGTGGAAGAGGAGAAAGAGTATTCAACCCTGACATGGTGAGGAAGCTGCCATTGACTCCCTTTTATCATTTTTGGGTCATGAGACTTCCCCCTGGAGTAGTGGAAATGGAGAGAATAGCAAGCAGGAATTGGCAATGCAGACACCATTTCACCTGCCCTGTTTCTTCCTGTCCTGGGCTTTCCCTCAGGTTAAAGGGGGTCTCTTCTGCTCAAGGAGCACCTAATCTGAAGAGCTGAGGGACCCAGAGGAAGTAGCAGGCCAGTAGCCACCTCCTCTCTCCAGGGAAAAGGAGTGAGACCCCAAAACTTCGTTCTTGCCTGTTGAAAAGTATGGAAACAAAGGAGGGACAAGAGAAGATTCTTTGTCCAGAGAGAAGGGCTGTGCCCCAGGCCAGCTCTCGCCTGTGCATTCATTGTCCATCACAATCTGGTTTGTGAGGTTTTAGAAAAATGAGTCGCCCAAACACCTGAAAGATTTAGACCAGTTCTGAAAAATAAATTGTACCTTGAATACATATCCAGTAAAAGTATGTATAACTGTATAAGTAACTAAGTGGGGGAAAAAAAGGAGTATACTGTTCATATCAAGGTTTTCATATATAAATAGTAGGGAAAAGGGACTTTTTTTTTTTTTTTAAATTTTTTGAGAGGGAGTTTCGCTCTTGTTGCCTAGGCTGGAATGCAGTGGCGCGATCTCAGCTCACTACAACCTCTGCCTCCCGAGTTCATGTGATTCTCCTGCCTCAGCCTCCCAAGTAGTTGGGATTACAGGCGCCCGCCACCACGCCCAGCTAATTTTTTATATTTTCAGTAGACACGGGGTTTCACCATGTTGGCCAGGCTGGTCTTGAACTCCTGACCTCAAGTGATCCACCCGCCTTGGCCTCCTGAAGTGCTGGGATTACAGGTGTGAGCCACCGTGCCCGGCCAGGGACGTTTTTTCTTTATTAAGACTTTTTTCTTCTGTTGATTTTTGTTTTCTTTTTCTTTTTCTTCTTTTTTTTTTTTTTTTTTTGAGACAGAGTCTCGCTCTGTCACCTAGGCTGGAGTAGAGTGGTGCAATATTGGCTCCCTGCAACCTCTGCCTTCTGGGCTTAAGCGATTCTCCTGGCTCACCCTCCCGAGTAGCTGGGACTACAGATGCGTGCCACCACACCCAGCTAATTTTTGTATTTTTAGTAGAGATGGGGTTTCACCATATTGGCCAGGCTGGTCTCAAAGTCGTGACCTCATGATCCACCCGCCTCGGCCTCCCAGAGTGCTGGGATTACAGGCGTGAGCTACTGTGCCCAGCCAGTTTTTGTTTTCTATATTTTAAAAATACATTTCATTTGAAAAAATTTCAAACTTAGGCTTTTGTATAAGAATAGCATAATGAACAACCATACGCACACACTCAGATTCATCTATCTCCTTCTCCATTTATCAGAAGTCATTAGAAGTAGACATCATGTCATATCCACCCCTGCATTTTCCAGTAGGCATATTTTAATATGCACATTTTCCTACAGAACCATATTGCCATGTCACACCTAACAATATGAATGATACTTCTTTGGTATCATTTACTACTCATTCCATATTCAAATTTCCCTGATTGTCTCAAAATTCTCTTTTAATAGTTGGTTTATTTGAACCAGATCTGAAGAAGTGCATACATTTCATTTGGCTATTGAGTCTCATAAAACTCTTATCTAGAATATTCCCTTTCTTTTCTCAAGTCATTCACTTGTTGAAGTTAAGCCACTTTGGGAATAGAACTTTCCACATACTAGGTTTGGCTGATTGTTGTTACTTAACTTTTTTCTCTATTACTCAGATTTACTAGAACTTGGAAGTTAGATCAAGAGGCTTGATTGGATTCAGATCTAACTATTCTGGCAAGAATTCTGCTTCCTTTTGCTGTGTACTTTACGTAGTGCCACCTCAGGAGGCACATATGGTCTAGTTACCCCACTTTTAGTGATGCTGTCATTGGACCGTGTTTCGGGGAAGAACATCCTGATCCCCCTGTTCTAAAGTTACCCCATCCGTTTTTTTCACTTCATGATTTTGTCAGCCAATAATCATTGCCTGAATACATTATGTCATTAGGGGTTATAAAAATGGTGACCCCCACCCCATCCTATTATTCCTTCTACATTTGTTAGCTGTCATTCTTTTATAAAGAACTTCCATCATCAACTAGTATTTGGTGGCCCTGAAATACAGTTCATATAGGAAGGGCAGGGTGATTGCTTAATATTTCCCTAGTAATTGACAATATCAGAGTTGGTGCTATAGTTTCTTCAAAAGGTGATATTTCTGCTTTTTAGCGAGAAACTTCCCTTTTTTCTTGAGAATCATTGTAAATTCAAGGATTTAAAAAAATATTTGTTATGTTTCACATACTTAATTGTAGTGGTTTTTTTTTTTTTTTTTCATTTTGATGCTCAAACAAAACCTTCTTTGTTCATTATGAGCCCTTTCAACCTGGCTCCTGTGTATACGTATAGAAAAGAGAACCTATCATATGTGAATCACAGTGAATTTGCACATACTGGACACACCTATATAATCAGCACCCAGACCAAGATACAGAACATCCCCAAAGCATCCCTGGTCCTATTAATTTCTTTGACTCTACTTTTTGATACAACAGGTTGCCCCAAATTCTTTTTGTGCATTCCATACCCCAGTCTAAGAATCAGCCATTCTAAGCAGCCTGGTTCTTTTTAATAGGAAACAGAATTTAGAAACTATAGTCAGGCACTAGGGGTGCTCATTTCCATGGGTTGTCAGTGTTTCCATGCCTTTTCAGGAAACAAGGTGGGAAATACATGTGTCCAAAAAGAAAAAAAAAATGATGAGTTCATGCTGATTTTCCTGAGTTAACTTTATGGAGTCTTAATTTTTTAATTTTATATTTGTATCTTTTTTCTTTTACATTGAAACCATTGGTTCAAAACAGCATTATAAATGTATTTACTTTATCCTTTGGGCACACAAAATAGTTTCAAATTAATAATTTCAGCATGAAAACTACTAATTATTGTTATATTTTTATGTAGAGAAAATCTTACAGAATAAAGAGTTAACTATGAGGTGTTTTTTTTTTTACCTTTTATTATCACTATTATTTTTAGTCATTCAAAATTTCTGTATGAAGACAGAAGATGAATTTTTCTCCCCAACTCCATTTTTAGTATTAATGTTGATATGTTTCTTGGCAGTGATATTCAGTCTATTAAATCTTTAGTTCACCAGATTATCTGAGTTATTTGCAACTCACTGCATCATACGCAGGTGTTCCAGGAGTGACAGTGGGATGATTGTACATTTTGGATGGTAGATCAGTGTGTGCCATATTGAATGGCTTTGTTAGTGTCCACTGTTCATCATCATGCAGGTCCAGAAACAAAGGAAAGATAAACACTCTAAATAAAGCAGAGAGACTGAAGGTGTTCCAGTGTTTTTATTTTATTGCTTCTTCTTTTTATTGCTTCCTTTTATTTGATAAATGGATACTTACGGTACTTGTTTTGGAATGGTTTTCTCTTCTTTGGTTTGTCAAGTGACCAAGTGCATTGTTTCCTGGACACATTTTGTTATATCTGACCCGTGGAGAATGTTAGTGTTCATAGAAAATATAGGAACAGGTAGTCTCTTCCTTCCTTCCTTCCTTCCTTCCTTCCTTCCTTCCTTCTTTCCTCCCTCCCTCCCTCCCTCCTTCCTTTCTTTCCTTCCTTCCTCCCTTTTTCCTTTCCTCCTTCCCTGTTTTCCTTCCTGCCTGCCATCCATCCATCCATCCATCCATCCATCCATCCATTCATCCTTGATGTCTTTTTCCTACAACCAGTTAATTCCTTGAACCTGAATCTCAGAGGTAGGCAATGGAAGGGAAGATGGAGATCTAGACCATTCCCCCTTTTGTCTTTTAAACTTTCATTTTTGACTTTTAT
The DNA here is from genome assembly GCF_000001405.40 of Homo sapiens. Classification (NCBI taxonomy): domain Eukaryota; kingdom Metazoa; phylum Chordata; class Mammalia; order Primates; family Hominidae; genus Homo; species Homo sapiens. Next base: position 178,291,962 of record NC_000002.12, read on the forward strand.
TTTAGGTTCAGGGGTACATATACAGGTTTTTTATATAGGTAAACTCATGTCATGGGGGTTTGTTGTACAGATTATTTCATCACCCAGATTAAGCCTAGTACCCCTTAGTCATTTTTCCTGATCCTCTCCCTCCTCCTCCCATCCCCCACCCTCCAGTAAACTTTTTTTTCCCCGAAACTCAATGATTGGTACAGGACCTTCCAGTAAACTTTTAACCCGTCTTCTCAAAATATCTTGTTCCCAAATGACCATAAAATTGAAATCCAACATTTGTGAATTATTTTTCAAATATGTTTTACATACAGAAGAATGATTAATATTTTAATAAGTCTAACTTTGATGGTAATTTAAAATTTTACTTTATTCACTTTGCATATCAAATGATTAATGACAGGAACTACTGTTGCAGTGAACCAACAACACAAATCTCCTTTGAAAGGTTTGGCTTTCCAAGCAACAATTCTAAACTTTGCTCTTGGAAGAAATGACTACAAAGATGAAGGAAAAACACACACGCTCCCCAAAACTTCAACTGTATATGGCTGGTGCTAGTTATTTAAAGGTTTAACGTTTTAGAACTAAGAGTCATCTAAATAGATGTCTTTTATCATGTGTCTTACATCATCCCCTCTATATCTCAAGTGTTTGGTCATTCAGACAGGCTTTAATTCATCCATCCATCCATTCATTCATCCAGCAAAGTCTATTGAGTGTCCACTCAGTATCCTCCAGGCACTGTTATGGGCCCTGGGGTTATAACAAGGAGAGCAGGAAACAAGACAGATGAGGTCTCTGGAGACAGACAGTAAGCCAGTACACAGATAATATAAATACTGCGTGAGATAAGAGCTATGAAGGAAATGAAAAGAGTATTGTTCTAGAAAGTGACAAGGTGTGTGCCTATTCTGAGGTAACACTTGATCTGAGAACTGCAGGGTGATTTGCTGACTTTTTCATGTTTAGAATACCAAATTTGAAAGTACTGTAGAGTTTATTTAAACAATAACTGCAGTTTTGGCATTTGAATTTATTTTCAAATGTCTATTTTTTTTCAACTGGCACTATAAGTAGTTAAAGTTTCAGATGAAAATGTCTTGTTTTGTCAGCTTCTGAAAAACTGGTGAAAACTGGAGGAAGTCTCGGGTAAAGGGTGTATGGGAACTTCCCATAGTATTTTTGTATCTTTCCTGCAAATCTAAAATTATTCCAAAATAAAACATTTAAAAGAAAGATACTGGTGAAGAAATGCCAAAATGTGTACTGAATCAAGTACAGTGTTGCTTAGATTTACAAAGATGAAGAAGCCACACTTCCACAGAAAGGGGTTTTGGGGAGAGTGGTGGGTGGGAGAACCCGTGATCTGAATTCTCTTTCCATTTTGGACTTTTGTCCCATTGCTTATTTTCAAACTAGACAAAAAATAATCTAAAATGCTTCATTTTAATTTCTTAAACTTCAGCAATCCAATACAACCTACAAATAGAGTTAGTTTACGTTTTTGCTTTTCTTTGTGCCCAACTAATTTTTAAAAAATTTTTATGATTAATTTTTGTGGGTATGTAGTAGGTGTATATATTTATGGGGCACATGAGATGTTTTGATATAGGCATGCAATGTGTAATCACATCGTGGAAGATGGGGTATTTATCCCTCAATCATGTATCCTTTGTGTTACAATCCAATTATACTCTTTCAGTTATTTTTACATGTACAATTAAATTATATTGTCTATAGTCTCCCTGTTATGCAATTAAATACTAGGCCCTATTCACTCATTCTAACTATTTTTTGTACCCATTAATCATCCTCACCTCCCCCCACCCTCCACTACCCTTCCCAGCCTCTGCCAACTAATTTTTGACAAAGGCACAACAGCAATTTAATGAAAGAAGAATAGCCTTTTCAACAAATAGTGCTCGAGCAATTGGACATCTGTATATAAAACAGTGAACCTCTAAATTTTATACCTTATATAAAATTAACTCAAAATAGATCACAGATTTAAATATAAAAAGTAAAATTATAAAACTTTTAGAAAAAAATAGGAGAAAATCTTTAGGATCTAGGACTTGACAGTGAGTTCTTAGTCTTTAAAAAAATCCATTTGAGTATTTTATTCAAATAATAATGAAGTATTCAGAAAAACAAAGAATTATCAGCAGTCACCATGTGCACATTGACTGCATGTCCTGGATTTTCTGATTCAGTTTCTCTTTCAATTATTTTATTCTACTTTCCCACTAGGTGTCTTATGCCTAGAATAAATGCACTGCATTGTTCCATATAATTATGGGTTATACCAATTTTGAACCTAATTGAAAAAGGAGGTAAAACCTAAATAACTAGATATTTTTAGAATCTAAAAAATATTTTGAATAGACATATTTCTCCAGATTTGGTTTCAAAGGCAGAAAGAGAGTGAGACAGTCATCATCATTACCAAATAATACATGATAACAGACGTCTTAAAATTATCCAATATTGATTGGAAAACGTTTTTTGAAAGGTACAATTAAGCTACTCAAATGTTTGAAGATTTTCATGAGCTAAATTTTAGTGCTAAGAGCAGGTTGTTGCATTTAATGTTTAAAACAGATATCTTCTGGAATGTAGGATGATGATTAAGGGATAACATCAGCTTTAGGAGAAGAGATTTTAGTATAGCTGTTCCTCAATTTATGATGAGATTAACCTATCATAAAGTCGGAAAATTCTAAGTCAAACCATTGTAAGTTAGTTTCGGCCACCACAGCTATTTTTTTTTTTTTTTGGAACATTTCTGGATTTTTAAAAATCAACAAATCAAAATTGTATATTTTGATTACGTACAACATGTTTTGAAATATATAGACTTGAGGGCACGGCTGAATTGAGCTAATTAACATGTGCATTACCTCACCATTAGCTTTTTTTTTTTTTTTTGTGGTGAGAACATGTAAAATCTACTCTCTTAGCAATTTTCGAGGTCTTTTTTTCTTTTTAGTTCATACATTTTCCTAAAATACTCTTGGACTACTTAGGGTTTTATCCTTCAGGTGGATCTTAGCAATTCTTTTTCTCATGGGGTTTTTAATGAAACTAACATTATAAATAAAACTTTGATGAAAACAAGTTCCTCTTTTATCTTATTAATATTTTTCAATTTGTACATTTGCAAGCATAAAGTATCTTCTTTCACGTGTTAGGGGAGATAGGGAAATCTGGAGTTGGTGAGAAGCAATTAAATTCAGAATGTCCTGTGTAAATGATTTACCAACTGTAGTGCAGATTAACAGACCTGCCTGCCATGGGATGCTGTTTAGTAATCTACAGTCTTTGAAAGTACTTGCCAACACCTGGTTCTAAGAATGCATCTTGTTATTTCATAGTCTAGCGGTTACTCCAAGGTTCAGCACTATAGCCCACAAGCCAAATATGCAGCCTGTTATTATAAATAAAGTTTTATTGGAACATAATCATGTTTATTCACTTGAATATTGTCTAAGGCTACTTCTCCACTACAACGGCAGTTTGAGTAGCCACAGCAGAGATTGTATGGTTCACAACGCCTGAAATATTTTCTGTCTGACCCTTTGCATGAAAGCTTTGCAGAGCACCACCTACCCTCCATCCCCCATCTAGTCAAAGACAGTGACTGGGTTATCTCCTTGGGTTACTGAATCTGGAATCTGATACACTTTGCAATTGCAAGGATTAGTGGACAATGGAAGTCCTGTGGGCTCATGATAGAGCTTTTTGATTTGTTTTCCTTATTGGAAGGTGTTGTGTTTATATAATAAAAATTGTAATAAAACACAATTATAATAAAAATAAAATTATTTAAAGATTAATTATAATAAAAAATTAATGGAGGTACTGTGTTTATAAGAAAGTCATTTTTTGTAAGCTATCTAAAGTTGTTAAAACTAATTTGCAGTATAAAAACCATTTAGGAATATATACAGGTTAAATGCTACATGCTTTAATTATCTCTAAAATTCTTGTTCCAAAACTTTCTTAATTTCAGAGGAAAAATCTTAGCAATTCCTTTATTTTTGGGGCTTTAGGTCTGTGAGTTGGCGGTGATTCTGTGTCTGATACTGTGTTACTATTCCCTAGTTTTGTTGGTGTTAGGCCAGTGAAGAATGGGGCCCAATTGGCAACTCGGCATACCTGCTGCCTGCTGGCAGGCTTATTAAAGCACAGATTGCTGGGCACCACCCTCAGAGGTTTTGATTCACAAGCATAGATGAACTCAAGAATTTGCATTTCCAGGAAGTTCCCAAGTGACACGTTGATCCCAATGGTACCCTTGAGAACCTATGTAGTAGATGATTAGCACTGCCATTTCCCAAGCTTGGGGTTTGTGAAGAAGAGTTATTACTATCCCTGTTTTATAGATGAGGAAACTGAAGCAAAGAGAGACTTCAGTAAATTGCCTGAGGTTTCATAGCTAGGAAATGGCGGTGTTGGGACTGGCTTCAAACCCAGGCAATCCATGGGATATTTTAGAGTAAAAATAAAAATGAAAACCACTACAAGAGAAACCACTACAATGAAAACCACCACACACACTGGTGTACTGGCAAATGTTTAACAATCAGCTCTTAAAAACAAAACAAAACAAAACAAAAAGCCCAGATTTGAAGCATTCACATGGCATAGATACTCCCACCATAGTCTATTTCAAGGTCCCAGGGGAATGTCTTTGAAGCCCTAAACTGGGGAGAGATGCACATAGCTCCTGAGCTAGTGCAAGCCAGCTCCAGCTCACCACTAGATACGTGCCAAGGTTACCACACTCCAATTAAATGAGTTCACAAGGCTGCAGAACCTGGGACCTGGCAGTGGATTCTCGGTTATGTCAGCTGTTCCTTCTCTCATGTAACAATGAATGAGCAATAATTGAAACCAACACTCATGCTCGAATGCCCAACACGAGTAGAATTTTGGACATCCTGATATGTGGGTAATGGCTTGCATAAACACTGCTATTCTGGAGGATGACAGGTTTTCAAAATTCTGCTTAAGATTCCTGACCATGAGATGTTGTAATTAGTAGATGGTATCTAGTAAATCAGGTGCCAGGTGCCATAATTCTGTGTGGCCAGGCTAACCCATCAGTGGTGTTTTGAAAGAATTAATGCTACTGCATCTATTTCCTATTCCTAATGTCCCTCAGGCCCCTATAGTACTGTTAGCAGTCTGGCAGGCCTTTTTTTTTAGGACAACTGAGAGATTTTATCTTGGGAATGTTGAACCTTGTACAGTCTTTCTCTCCAGCTCACTATTGAACAGATAGGAAACTCCAGTCTACAAAGCATGTGGATTATTTTGGGTTATCTTTAGGCAAATATAGTAAAATTAAAGAACTAGGCTGGGTACAGTGGCTCACGCCTCTAATCCCAACACTTTGGGAGGCTGAAGTGAGAGGATTGCTTGAGTCCAGGAGTTCAAGAGCAGCTTGGGCAACATAGTGAGACCACCATCTCAAAAAAATTAGAAAAGAAAAAGAACTAATATTAGGGTGGATATCTACAGTCTGCAAGCACAATCAATGTTATTTAATGGATATAATGATGGAAGATTTAAGTCCTAATTAAAGTGATAAGCTCAGTAAACAACCTGAATGGCTTTTGTGGCTCATGACATTTGACTATGATGAGAAAAGTGACATACTCCTCACCTTCATGGATCTTACAGAATCAAGTCAAATAAATACAGTGCAGTATATGTTCAGAAATATATGTATGTGTATGTATAGAAGAAATGCAGATTGGCGTGACAATTCTGTCTAATAGGTTGGAAAGATTTCATAAAGAAGATGAAACTTGACCACAAAATAGTATAAAATTAATGTCTGCATATTGTAGAAGTCATAATAGCTGGTGATTCAGGAACTTTTTATTGTAGTAAAATATGTAGCATAAAATTTATCATTTTAACTGCTTTGAAGTGTCCACTTCTGTATCATTAAGTGCATTCACATTGTTTGGTATCCATCACCACCATGCATTTCCAGAACCTTTCCATCTTTCAAAGTGAAATTCTGTAACCACTAAACACAACTCTTCCCATTTCCTCCTCCTTACAGACCCTGATAACCACCATTCTACCTTCTGTCTTTATACATTTGACTACTTTGCATACCTCATATCTCATATAAGTGAAATCATACAGTATTTGTTTTTTGTTCTTTTGTGCCTAGCTTATTTCACTTTAAAATGATGCCTTCAGGGTCCATCTGTGTCATTACATGTGTCAGAATTTCCTTCCTTTTTAAGGCTGAATAATATTCCATTGTATGGATATAACCCTTTTTTAAATATATTCATTCATTCATTGATGGACACTTGGGTTGCTTCCGCATTTTGGCTACATGCTGCTATGGACATGGTTGTACAGTATCTTAGCCTGTGATTTTAGTTCTTTTGGGGCATATACCTAAAAGTGGAATTGTTGGATCATATGGCAATCTATTTTTAGTTTTTTGTTTGTTTGAGATGGAGTTTTGCTCTTGTTGCCCAGGCTGGAGTGCAGTGGCACGAGCTCAGCTCGCTGCAGCCTTCACCTCCCAGGTTCAAGCAATTCTCCTGCCTCAGCCTCTTGAGTAGCTGAGATTACAGGCAAGTACCATCACATTCAGCTAATGTTTTGTATTTTTATTAGAGACCTCAGGTGATCTGCCCACCTCTTCCTCCCAAAGTGCTGGGATTACAGGTGTGAGCCACCATGCCCAGCCTATTTTTAGTTGCTTTTTTTTTTGTTTTTTTTTTTTTGCCGTACTGTTCTCCACAGGACCTACATCATTTTCTATTCCCACCAGCAATGCACAAGGGTTGGTTCAAGGACATTTTTAACCCAAGTCATTTTGTCTGCTTTAGCCAACTCCTCAGAATGCCTTGACTCAGTGCAGAAATGGTTGTTTTGACAGGAAATTGCTCCAGAGAACAGGACATGTACTGTTGAAATCATATAGTGCCTTAGTAAGAATTTGTACACACCTAGGGATTTATGAGTCATCATTTAAGGTCACAAAGTAGGGCAAAATATTTTGTTATGTCTTATTGTTGCCAAAAAGTCTTAGCACTGTGCTGACAATTGGTATCTGTTAGCAGTCATTGAAACCATATTTCCCAGTATTATTTTTCTGTTAAAATATGAGCTATGACATTATCTAATCTTTCTTTCAAAACATGTTGGCAAAGGCCAGAAACCAAGTGATGAATCAAAAAGTGACTGACAAGTCTTGGAAAATTATTACTGGTGAAATGATCACTTACTATGCATTTAAGGTTTTTCCATGTCTTTTCATGGCCTTGATAGCTCATATCTTTTTTGCACTGAATAATATTCTTACTGATATTTTTAAGATCCTTTTTGTCGTTGCATAGACTAGTTTCTAGAATTCTTGTCTGTTCCATTTGCTTTTCCTGGCCCTGTACTACTACTATTAACCAGGGAAGCTGTTAAATAGCTTTAGTGTGTGATAAGTAAAGTATCTTTCATTATTTTTTAGAATATTCTTTGTTATTCTCATATGTTTACTCTTCCAGATGAACTTACTTTTTTTCTTTCTTTCCTTCCTTCCTTTCTTTGTTTTGTTTCTTTCTATTCTTTCTTTCGCTCCTTGTGGAGCAAAGTTAACCCATAAGCAGTGCATCCAGAGTAGCCCAGATGAACTTTAAAATAATATTGCCAAGTCATTAAAAATCCTGTTATGATTTTGGTAACGATTACATTAAATTGTGTCAATATGAGAGTAATAAGTGTTTTACAATATTTAGTTCACTGTAAAACTTACTTCAGATACAAAATTCAGATGTAGAGCTAAACAAAGTAAAAGATATGATTCCTTCTTCATTCTTTCTTTTCCCTTTTCCCACCCATCAGGTTTGATGGCTGTCCACATCAAGGATGAGGGTTTGTCTTATTCATTTACTTAGTAAGGGGCCTAAGAAGAGTGGAGAGAGATTAGAGGCTTGATGAGTTGAAATCAGGAAACTTGCATCTAGGATTTTCTAATGAGGTTCCTCCAAATTCTCTGTAAATAGTTACGCAAATATTTAAAAAGACAAACTGTCAATAACCCAAACACTAGCTTCAAACAGAATAATACAATGTCAAACTATAGAGGACTAAACCCTAATTTTATGAAAGCTATATATCTCAAATTGAGGAAAATCTAGCCAAGTTTTGATTATGACAAACCTTATCTTCACTTACAGAAAAGGAGTTGGCTTTTCTTACAATTTGTCCTCACACTTTGAGATCCCTGTAGGTCCCAATTAGAAAAAGTGGCAGCGTTCCAAGGGATGGGCAGGGGGTTCAGATGTTCCTCATAGACAAGGAGTGACACTCCAGGTGGATCACTCCATTATTCCTTTGCTTGGGACTGTGGACACACATTCTTCTTAGACCATAGGGTCACTCTCAGGGTGTGCTTAACTTATTGCTGTCAGATGTATCTGCCATAGAGAGGGTAAGGGAGGCAGGATGAAGGTCTGCTTTTTTTGTCTGTTTACAGCGGGGGCAGCGGGGACAGGGTCTCGCTCTGTCACCTAGGTGGGAGTGCAGTGGTATGATCTCAGGTCACTGCAACCTCTACCTCCTGGGTTCAAGTGATTCTTGTGCCTCAGCCTCCCGAATAGCCGGGATCACAGGCGTGTGTCACCATGCCCAGCTAATTTGTGTAGTTTTAGTAGAGACAGGGTTTCGCCATGTTGGCCAGGCTGGTCTTGAACTACTGGCCTCAAGTGATCCTACTTATCCTCCCAAATGCTGGGATTACAGGCATGAGCTACCACACCCAGTCCCATTTTACTCTTAACTGTCACTTACAGACTGTAGATTCCAGCGTGATTTAGAGAAATGTAAAGGGAAATGGAAATAGAACTTTAAAAGGAGAATTATATCTTTCAAATTATTGTCAAATATAAAAGGCTATTAAAACCATATGAAAGTCAGTATGCTGCAAAAGCCAGATTACCAAGCAAAGCCATCAAGCATTAAAGGAAACAAAGAAGAACCAAAAAAATAGAAAGTACAAAATGATATGGCAGGGGTAAGATCAATTATTAGTTAAAACATTAAATAGAAATTGGAAATACTTCACTAAAATTAGATTTTTTGAACAATTCAACCTGATCATTACTAGAGGGACACATAATATAAAATATACAGGAAGTTTAAATGGGAAGGATGGACAAAGTTTATTTAATCACTTGCAAGCAGAAAGGGAAGAGATGATATCAGATAAAGCAAAACAAAAAGTGTTAAAAGGAATGAAAAGGGTCATTTTTATAATGATCAAGACTAAATGTATAACTATTACAGACTCTTTTGTGATAAATCTCATTGTTCCAAAATATACTGAGTACAACCTAAACGTCCCAAAAGAAGAATGGTTAAATGTATTGTGGTATATCTGTGTGGTAGTCTTATTTGTAATGGTTAAGAATGGTATTGTTGAAGTTTCTTTGTTTATCAAAAAAGCCATTAGTGATATATTGTTGATCAAAAAACCATACTGCAGATAGTGTGAATATTATGCTTCTACTTTGATTAAAGTAGAACCAAAAATGTTAACAAGGGTTATCTCTCAGTGATGTAACTGGAGTCAATTTAAATATTTTCAACTGTACTTTTAATCTTTTCCTATAGTTTATATAGTAAATTATCATTATACCCAAATATCTACTGCCTCGCCTACTGGGAGAACTATAGTTTCATGCATCATTGACTCACCTAGGCCATGTGACTCGTTTTGGCCAATAAAACGTGAGTGAGCTAACCTGTACCACCTACAAGCAAAAGCTCTAAGAACCATCCCATGGTTCTGCAATGGCTCTTTGCCCTGCCTCTCCTGGGGGCTGTTTGTTAAGCCTGGAATGAAGAGCACTCAAGGTAGGTCTGCAGCTGACCTAAAGGACATGTAAATGAGCTAAAAATAAACCTTTCTTGTAAGCCTCTTGGAAGCAGAGAGACGGGGCCCTAACCTACTGGTGCCTTGATTTATCAGCCTTCAGGACTGTGAGAAAGACATTTGGGGCTTGGTTGTGACTCATTGCAACTTAGCCCAGGGCAAGTGGTCCCCAATCTTAAGTGTTTTTCTGGACACATACAATTTATGATGCCTTTGAACAGCAAGTTCTAGAAGTCTTCCCTACCAGCTTTTGCTTTAATTAGGTCCCTGGGTCATAAATCTGAGATTTATGCCACTCAATGAAAATGCAAATGTTACAGCACTTAGCAATACTTGTAGTGTTCCCACTGTTACAAAGGAAGAATGAGACAGAAAAATTAGATGTTCAGCTCTCTCATATTGCTGTTATTTTCAGTCACAATACGTTTCTCATTGAGTATAGTAATTATGTTGGTGTTGTGTTGACTTTAAAATTTATGGCCTTTCTTTGGTTTAGAATATTGTTTAGGCAATTTCTGAAAATGTTCTTTCGTAGAGATGACTTTTTTTTATGTTATAGCAGTTCCTACACTCTAAAGAATAACCTTCTCTCAGAGTTTAGACTTACTTTTATAATGCATTTGAAAAAGAGCAGGTGGTCAAACACTTGATTGAAAATTGGTTGGAATAATCTTTAAAGGGCATCTCATTCAACTTTATATTAAGTACTTGAAACCCTTTCTGTTAAAAAAAATAACAAAAATTAATAGAAACAACAACAATAACCTCAAAAACAATTCTTGGAATGAATTAAGTTCTCTTACTTTTTCTTCATTTTGCTATTATTCAACATATTTAAACTGTAGTTCAACTGAAATGTTGCCCTTTTATCATAAACAAGTTATCCTGAAAATGCCATTTTAAATTAAAACAAAAATCAAGGTGTTAGCATTGATGTTAATGAAAAAAGTACAGTTTTTTAAATGAAAAAATCCAGCAGAGGAAATATACCTTGGATTGAATTTACTTCCAAATGGATTTCAGTTTAATGAGTTAGGTTGTTACAACCTCATCCCTTGGAAGCACTTGAACGCATCACAAAAGTACCTCCTTTTTGGCTCAAGAGTCAGTATCTACTTGTAAAACATCTGGGACCAGAAAACTAAGTACTTCAAATCAAGGATCCGAGCAGTGTCTGTGCATTCTGTTTGCTGGCACCACAGCTTGGAATCAGAAACTTCACTCACTTATTAGAATGCCTTCATAAAACAAAAAGATTAGATGATCATCTGTCAAGTGGAGGTTTATTACTACCTTTTGCCAATAATGAATGAAACTATCTCTAGCTCACAGAAGAGATATACAGCGCTTTCCATTTCTGTTTGTCCAAAGGCTAGTTTTGTTTCAAGAGAAAGTCTCCCAGTTTGGAGGGAAAGTAGCTTTCATTTTTCCTGCGGTGACAGTGAAGTTGAAATTTTAAGACTGGATTACAAGTTCTATTCACTAGAATGTCCAGTTTTCACAGTTTACAAAAATTCCCCCTGTAATTATTGGGATTGTTCTTTTAGGTATTCTCTATAAACAGGTGACCATTAAAATCCTGAATAACACATTCAGGGTGACATAATCCATTATTAAAAATATAACTATAGGACCATATAAAATTTCATTTACTGGCACATATGAAATTTACATGATCTTAAAGGATCTGATTAATATATCTGTATCATTACCATAGTCTATTAAACATTTACATCTCCAGCCTAGATTTCCCTGAGCTCCAGACCTACATTTCCAAGAGTTTGTCTCCAACTGAATGTCTTCAGCAATGTCTCTAACCACAGTCATGACTTTCCCATGGATCTTGGATTTCCTTTGACCATTTCTTGCTCAGAATGCCAGAGACCTGAGATTTAGCCTCAACCCTGCCTCCCCGACCATGTCCAGTCACAGGACACAGGACTCAATGTTGGAATTTCTGCCAGCACTCTCCCATCCTCTCCTGAGTCCTGATTGGGCCCTCCTCATCTTCTTTACTTCCCCACTTGGAGTCTCCCCACAGCTGCCAAAATCACCCTTTAGTAACACAAATCTGGTTACGTCTCGATGGCTTCTCATGCTTATGATAAAAATCAAAATGCCAATGTCTTAGTCCACTTGTGCTTCTATAACAGAATACCCAAGACTGGGTAAGTTATAAAGAACATAAATTTCTTTCTCACAGTTCCGAAGGCTGGGAAATCAAGGCACCAGCAGGTTAGGGCCCTGTCTCTCTGCTCCCAAGAGGCACTTCAAATGCTGCATCCTCTGGAGAGGAGGAACCTCATGTCGTCATATGGCAGGAAAGCAGAAGAGAGAGAACCCACTCCCACAAGCTGTATCAGTCAATTCTCATGCTGCTAATAAAGACATACCCAAGAGCACCTAATTTATAAAGGAAAGAGGTTTAATTGACTCACGGTTCTGCATGGCTGGGGAGGCCTTAGGAAACTTATAATCATGGCAGAAGGGGAAGCAAACACTTCCTTCTTCACATGTCAGCAGCGAGGAGAAATGCCAAACAAAAGAGGAGAAAGCCCCTTACAAAACCATCAGGTCTGACCTCTCATGAGGACAGGATGAGGGTAACCGCCCCCAAGATCAAATTACTTCTCATCTGGTTCCTCCCATGACATATGGGGATTATGGGAACTACAATTCAGGATGAGATGTGGGTGGGAACACAACCAAACCATATCACAAGCTGTTTATATAGTGGCACTAACCTAGTCACAAGGGCTCCACCCTCATGACCTAAACACCTCCCATTAGGCCTCACTTCCCAATACTGTTGCGTTGGGGTTAGGTTTCTAACACATGAATTTTGGTGCACATATTCAGACCATAGCAACTGTCATGGCCTACAAGGTCCTGCAGGGACTGGTCTCTGCATTTCTTTGACCACCATATCGCCATATCTCTGACTCTAGTCATATTGGCTACCACTCATCTGTTGATCATGTCACGCCAGACACCCTGGTACTTAGTAAACCGCTCATTCTTTGGACCTCAGCTCTAACTCCCAGATCCATTAGTTCACCTCAGTCACTGTCTTCATAATGCCCATATATCTCCATCTTTTTTTGTTTATCTGATTCAGTGTCTCACCCTCTGGACTGAAGTTCAGGTCTCACTTTTTTGTGGCCTAAAAATTGATTTCTGTTTCCTGCTAGCAGCTTTCCTTCCCAGCCTGTGCTAACAAGCCTACACAAGTGTTCTGGTGTTCTGTACTTCCTCCAAGAAGATATTAGCATTAAGATGGGGGCTAGAATGTGACCTTCTTCTTGTAAGAGGATAAAGTTCACTTTAATTGTCTATCTTTTGGGAAATATCATTTTTTAAGCTTTTAATGTTATACCATAGTGCTTACCTTTTAACATTTTTTAGCATAGCTGTGTTGGAGACAAGGCCAATTTAAGAGCTTCTCTCTGACACAAGCTTTAACCTTAATACTAACAATGCAAACCTTCCTTACATGAATCCAAGTAAAAAAATTGAAGTGGCTGTTGGCTGTGCATAAGTGAAGGAACTCCATTTACCCCTGCTCTAAGATAACCTGTCAATCTGTAGATGTTTGCGAGCATGTTGGTTGTTGAGAGTCACATGTAGGCATGCTGTAGTTTTGAGGTACAAATAAATGTGGATATATGTATTCCTGGATCCTTCACAAATGCTGGATCACAGGATGCACACAATGTGTTAACTCTTTTGTAACTGACTACTTTGTGTTGGATTAACCGTCACATACATGACATAGCTAAACTAAACTGAAGACAAACATGGACCGAGCTCTTATTCTAGTCCATTGGGTAGGAGAGATTACGTTTCCGGAGGAGAATCTGGCGTCTTTAGCATCAGGGTCTCAAATATAGCGTTATAATCTGCTTTAAAACAAAGAAAATGCAAGAGGAGAGAATATGACTTTAGTACATGATTTCTTCCCATTTTGCTTGTTAACAGTCCTTTTTTTTTTTTTTTTTACACACTGACACTTTCATCTTCCGCCTTAAAATCTAGAGGAAGAAGTATTTCCTAATGTGTCAGAGTTCCTCCTCTCACTAACACAAATTAATATTTCATCCTAAAGATAATGATTTTAATTTGACTTTTAATTACTTATATGAGGCTTGTTTGTTTTGCTTTTAGGTGGTTTGGACACCCTCAATATTGCCTGCTCTTTTCTAGTCAAACCTGATTCATGAAATGGAATGAAGCTGAAAAATCATCTACTTCTTTGTTTGTGGATTTGAGAGAAGATTGGGATGGTCTTAAGTGCATAAAACGAGACTCTAACTGCAGCGATGAGTTCAGATGAGAAGGGCATTTCCCCTGCTCATAAAACATCCACTCCAACCCATAGAAGTGCCTCCTCTTCAACATCCTCCCAAAGGGACAGTAGGCAGGTAAGAGAAGAGCATTAAGTGCCTTTGGTTGTTTTATGCAAATGCAATACCACTGAGATAGGATGGGGTTGCTAATTAATTCTGAAATTTTGTTGTAAAGTCTTTTATTCCAAGTGAAAAATCGTCATTTTCTGTAGGTACGTTCATTGATGTCATGAAGCTCCCACTCTTGCTTCTCTGTGATTTAGGACTCTTTTTTAGAAGGCAGACACAGAAGGCTGGTAGGGTGGCTATGAGAAGCCCTGCCGTCTTTTCCTCCCTGCACCTGGAGGGGGAGCCAGCATCAAGAACTTGAACACTCTTCTCTTCGTTCATGGAGGTGGAAAGGGAACTGTGAACCCTGCAAAGGACGTCTTCCTATAAGGCTGTCACTGGGCTGCCAAGCCCTAACTCTGTTTGGTATTTTGTGGAATCTGGTAACAGCTAGATTCAGGAATTAGGTTACAGATAAAATTGTAATACCAGGAATTAAGAGCTGTGAGAACCCAAACAATGTTTACAGGCAACAGAGAAAGTAAATGGTTATTACTTAATCATGGTAGAAAACGCCCATGGTCCCATTTGAGCCAGTTTTGCAAGTTATTTTTGTTATGTCATTACTGTTGAAGTGGCGATTCTGCTGGCAGGGTTATGTGAGCCTTCATCGTATGAATGTTCTTCACTGTCAGAACAGGTTGTTATTTCAGCCAGCACAGGTCTGAGCATGATTATTTTCCATCATAATTTGTCTTGTGATAGTATCTTGGTTGTGTAACTGGAAATTCCCAATAAGTAGGTGTTATTACCTTTTTATAAAAGTTTTCCGTTTTGGCAACTTTCAATTAGTGAGCATCATGCAGGTTCTCCTTCACCCCCTCCACCCCTCACCCCCTGTTTTATGTTTTCAGAGCATATTACCTAGATTCTAGGAGTGTGAGCATCAGTTATTTGATTGGCCATCATATAGACATGGGTCTTGAGACAGCCACTTCCAAAAATGAATTCATTTTCGATAGTGCAAGTACACTGCTGGGGATGCTTTTTAGGAAACCCTCCCAACACTCTCTCTCCCTTTTTAGCAAGAAATTCCAGGAGAATCTGTAAGAATCCAGGGGTGCTAATGTATATATCTTTCACAGATCCTAAGGCAGGTGTTTCTACTCCAGGGTCTTGGGGAACTTTTGATACTGGTGTCTTTTGTTATTGAGTTCAAAGACGACACCTATATTCGGTTCTTTAGAAGTAGTCATGCCATTAAATCTGTGATTACACACAGTTATAATATTTATTGTATTGCACTTACAGAGTCAAAGAAAGTAAGAGTACCAGGAATGGAAGCACTTTTATATTAAATAACTACTATATTCTGAGATGCTTTCTAAGTTTGCAAATTTAGTCTACCTTTGCCTGCCCTGCTGTTCTTTCTTGTTATGGCTCTTCCATTTTTCCCTTCCCTGGGCATTTAAACAGAGAGAGAGTCATTGTAAGCAGCATGACCTTCCTGACTGCTGGGAAGAAGGAAGCAGTTGACCCGGCTCACCCTGGAGAATTGTGGCAAATGGTAAAGACGGATGACTCCTGTAGAAACATCTATCATGCGTTGTTATTCTGCCTGTTGCACCCGAGCTCCAGGACGGGCACGCAAAGCAATAGGGAAACACTGAGACCCTGGTGTGCCGGAGGGAGCATGAAGGTGGAATGTGTGACTCCTCACTGGCTTGTGAATGAAAAGTTTTATGATGGGAATGAAAGGAGCATGTCTGTACATGGATAATGAGTTCTAGAAAAGTAAGAGACGCTTTTCAAAGGGTTATTATTCTTTAAGGAGAGAGTTTATTTTTACTCCTATTTATCTCAGCAGGTGGAAACGCTCCCAAAAACTTTCTTCCCTGGTTCCTTCCTGACTCCTGTTTTGTGTCTGTCTACCTCCCTAAGGGGAGAGAAGAATAGAAGAGATCAATTACAGTTCTGTTTTTCCTTCCTTATCTCAATCACTGCCTAAACCTCAGAATTAACTTAGGGAACTCAGATATTTTGACTGATCATGTGATGTGATGTAGTGTTTTTTATATGCATCTATTTTTGTGTGATAACTGTTTTCATAGTGAAGGGACATAGAGAAAGTGTGATAAATTTGGCTTCATTGAATCCTTTCCATTCTCCTGATTTGACTGACATCTATGCAGATGGTGCCAAATTGCAAACTCCAGCCCCATTTCTCTCCTAAATTAGGATCTAGCACATAGCTGAGAATACAGTGGTATCTTAATGCACATTATTTGCCTTTCCTTCTCAAGTTCTAATCGTAGGTAACTAATGAATGATTGAGCATTTCTACTTAAATGCACTGCCGCTTGAGTGGTACCACTGTGTCTTAAATCAATATGTATAAACCAATTTGCTATCAGGATAACCATTCTCTTAGAGATCCAGGGTCAATGTCTGTCTTTCTCCTTTGCTTCTCCCACATTCAATAGGTTAACAAGTCCTATTGATCATTTCCTCCTTCATAATATTATAATTTCCTTCTATTCCCACTGTCAGCTCCCTCTCACAGCTCTCATCACCTCTACCCAGGATCCTGCAGAGTGCGCTTGCCTCACTATCTCACTTATGGCCTCACCATTTCAAATGTCCTGAGTAGGGCAGATTCATGCTCAAAATCCATCAGACTCATTGTTACCTACACAATTAAGGCCACAGTTTCTTACTTGGAACCCCATGTCTAGCATGATCTGGTCCAGGCTTGTGTTCCATTTTCCTCCCAACCTCAACAGTCTTGTCTGATCATAGTCCTGAACTGCCCTGTCTTTATCTCTACTTGCCTTTCCTGCATGGAATTCCCACCACCCTCCTCTCAACCAGATGCCTCCCTATGCCTCAAAGACCGGCTCATATGACACTCCCACTGGCCACGCAAACCCACTTTACCCTCTCCTTCCTCTGAACTTTTATAGACCTTTTTGACAATATTTGACGGTTCTATATTGCTTATCTTTTTATGTACTGATCTCCTCATCTGTATTGTGAGCTCTCGTATACAGACTATGTACTCTTAAGTCTTCAGAGACCAGCCTTGAACCTCAAATGTTTTAATATATCCTGGAGGATATATTTTAAAGACCTGCAACAACATTAGTTTTGTATTTTTATTACAAATTTTCCATTCCTGATTTATTTGTCCTTCTCTTCTTCCTTCCTCATGGATAAGTAAAACAAAGAACATCTGTGCATAATAGTAATTACCTGTCCTTCCTGTCACTACATTAGATAGCATAATTGGTAAAGAAGGGAGAGGAGCTACGAAATAAAATGACTCAGTGCCCCTGTGATCTCAGTAAGTGTTTCTTCACCAATGATAGCATCAAGCCTCCTCTTAGTTATTTAACAAGTTAGAAGGCTTTAATAATTGTTCCATTTGCATTTCACTAAATCTGATATGAGCTGTTAGAACATCTAGCAAAACTGGCTCTTTGTGTGTGTGATCAACTATGACTCATTAAGCTGCAATAAACATATTAATATATGCCCTAAAACATTCCAAGAGGGAGCATAAGGGTTGTTGATGAAACACCTAGGACTTACCAATAAACCAGCATTCCCCAAAGTGTGTGCCGAGGAATGCTTGCCACTTGAGATGTTGTATTAAAAGAGAGTTCTTCTGTCAAATAAGTTAGAGAAGTGCTAAACAAAATATCTTTTGCAATGTGCATTACAAAATTAAGGACACCGATAAGTCCCGAAGTAAGAACTTTTTATTTAACTGAGTAATTCTAGAATGTAGTAGACTGTGGAACTTTTTCCCCTGTAAGATTTGATTGTTACAAATTTAGATTCTTCCTTCTATGAAAAAATTGGAAGGTCTAGGGACATTGATCCCAGATTTCTGATGACAACAGTAGACTGGGCTCAATAATGCCTTCCAGTGTAGTTGGGATATTTACTCTTTGATCAGCTACAGTCTTCACCTGCCCTCAATACTTATTTATGTTGACTGACTTGCCCTTTAAAGCATTTGGATTTGTAATTTCTGATCCTGGATGTCAGTAGGTCAGTCAGTAGGTCAGTAATATTTAACTTACCAAGGGTGATTTCAACTTGGATTTTAAGAAAGCACCTTAAGTTTAACATGCCCAAAACTGAACTCTTTTTTTTTTTTTTTTTTTTTTTGAGACGGAGTCTTGCTCTGTTGCCCAGACTGGAGTGCAGTGGCGCGATCTCGGCTCACTGCAAGCTCTGCCTCCTGGGTTCACGCCATTCTCCCGCCTCAGCCTCCTGAGTAGCTGGGACTACAGGTGCCCGCCACCGCACCCGGCTAATTTTTTGAATTTTTAGTAGAGACAGGGTTTCACCGTGTTAGCCAGGATGGTCTCGATCTCCTGACCTCATGATCCGCCCACCTCGGCCTCCCAAAGTGCGGGGATTACAGGCGTGAGCCACCGCACCCAGCCTCAAAACTGAACTCTTAATTGCCCTCTCAAATCTACTCCTGCCCAGCTTACACTGCCTCCATAAATGACAACTCCATTCTTTCATTTGGTGAGAAATCCAGGAATCCAGGAATCATCCTTTTGGTTCTACCTTCAGGATATACCTGGAATCTGATGACTGCTTGCCACCTCCTCCCCCTCCACCTTGGTCTGAGCCACCGTCATTTCTCACCTGGACTATCGTCACAGTTTTCCAGTGGGTCTCCCTGCTTCTGTCCTTGCCCAACATACAGGTCATTCTTTACAGAGCAGTTGGAGTAGTACCTTCACAACCTAAGTCAGAGTGAGCCACTCTTCTGCACCAAGCCCTCCAGTGACTTCCCATCTCTGTCCAAATAATATTGAATTGCTGACCACTGTCTACGATGCCATTCATAATCTGGTTCTGCCTGGCCCTCTGAGCGCATACCATGTTCCCTTTAAGTGGTTCTCTCCAGTACATTCCTCAGATGTGCTAAGAACACACCCACCTCAGGGCCTTTGCACTTCTGGTCCCCTCACCCTCACCTGCTTTTCATCTAGCCATCCCCCGGTTTGTCATACACTTGGCTCAGTCTCCAAATATACCCTCCTTGGGCAGCCTTCTCTGCCCTTCCCTGCATGTACCCATCTCTCCTTGTCCACTTAGCTGGTTTGATTTTTCTTTAAAGCATTGACTACCACCTGGCATGTTATCTATTTGGTTTTGTATTTGTTTCCTGTTTATGTCTGTATCCCCTTCCTGTATTCCCTAACACTGAAATGTAAGCCCTATGAAAACAGGGTTTTATTTCACTCAATAATGTATTCCTAGCACCTTGTACAGCGCCTCACATTTGGTATGCTCAAGATGTATTAGAAGCAATAAATGAATGAATGAGAAGTCAGGATGGAGAGAAGATTGGGAGCTCGGCTCCAGAGGTCTTGATAGCTGCAAAGGAATAATCATGAGGTCAGGAGATGACAACAGGGAGAGATGATATTGTTTGGAGTTCCAAGTCCCACAAGAGTGGATTTTGAGAGTAAATGAAGGATAGCCCAAAGGCAGCAGAGAGGACCTAAGAGAGCACAGTCCCTTCCTCTTGCTCCTGAGAGTGGACGTGTGATGGAATAAGTGGAATCATGTGAAGGACAAAAGCAGACAAAAGCAGAGAGTTGGGAGCATTCTTCTGCACAGGTGTTAAACATATTGGTGGAGGTGGGAGGTATCTCTTTATTTTATTTAATTAAATTGAAATGGCGTCAAATTAAATTGAAATTAAATTGAAATGGCGTCTTAGTCTGTCGCCCAGGCTGGAGTGCAGTGGTGCCATCTCAGCTCACTGGAGCCTTTGCCACCTGGGCTCAAGTGATTCTCCTGCCTCAGCCTCCAGAGTAGCTGGGACTACAGGCGAGCACCACCACGCCCAGCTGATTTTTGTAATTTTTTTTTTTTTTTTTTTTTGAGATGGAGTTTCGCTCTTTTTGCCCAGGCTGGAGTGTAATGGCACAATCTCGGCTCACTGCAACCTCCGCCTCCCGGGTTCAAGTGATTCTCCTGCCTCAGCCTTCCGAGTAGCTGGGATTACAGGTGCACCACCACGCCTGGCTAACTTTGTATTTTTAGTAGAGATGGGGTTTCACCATGTTGGCCAGGCTGGTCTTGAACTCCTGACCTCTGGTGATCGCCTGCCTCGGCCTCCCAAAGTGCTGGAATTACAGGCATGAACGACCATGCCCAGATAATTTTGGTTATTTTTGAGACAGAGTTTCGCTTTGTTGCCCAGGCTGGAGTGCAGTGGCACAATCTCAGCTCTTTGCAACCTCCGCCTCCCAGGTTCAAGTAATTCTGACACCTCAGCCTCCCGAGTAGCTGGGATTACAGGCGCCTGCCACCACATCTGGCTAATTTTTGTACTTTTAGTAGAGATGGGGTTTCACTACGTTTGCCAGGCTAGTCTCAAACTCCTGACCTCAAGTGATCCACCCACCTCAGCCTCCCAAAGTGCTGGGATTTCAGGCATGAGCCACCACACCCAGCCTCTCTTTATTTTAAAACGAAGGTTATTGCTTCCTGATCAGTATATATTTTATGGTCACATTATATAATAAGGTCACTCAGTTTGTGACCCACTGACTGGATTTTGTTTCCATAATTACTTTTATGCTTACATTTCTTTCCTTCTTTCTTTTTTTTTGGAGACAGAGTTTTGCTCTTGTTGCCCAGGCTAGAGTGCAATGGTGTGATCTCAGCTCACTGCAACCTCCGCCACCCAGGTTCAAGCAATTATCCTGCCTCAGCCTCCTGAGTAACTGGGATTACAGGCGCCCAACACCACGCCCAGCTAATTTTTGTATTTTTAGTGGAGACAGGGTTTCACCATGTTGGCCAGGCTGGTCTTAAATTCCTGATCTCAGGAGGTCCACCTGCCTCAGCCTCCCAAAGTGCTGAGATTACAAGCATGAGCCACCACGCCTGGCCTATGCTTACATATTTTAGAGAATTTTAACAAAATATATGTTTCTGAGGCATTTTCAGTAGTTCTGGGATTATGCCCAAGGATCTGCATTTTCAAAAGCAAGTCCTGTATTTGGAGCCAATGATTATTTTTATTTGTATTATTTTCAAGTCATATCAGAAAATCAGACACTATGGCTCTGAGAATGTAGGGTTTGGAATGCATAATTTTCAGGTGATAGCATCTGTTATGGGTGAATTCTTATATGTATCTCCACCAGGTTAGACCTTGTAAATCCTTAAATGAGTCAATTTTTTTGTTCAATGAAAAATCAAAGAAGAAAAAGCCAGCCAGCCCTCGTAATGACTCAAAGTTTGCTGAAGCTCAGAGATAATAAAATAAAGAACATTTTAAGGAAAAAATATAAATAATAAAAAATAAATAAGTCATAAGAGGCTAGAAGTTCATCTTCTTACCAGTTTTTATGAAATCTATATTCCGTATAATGGTCCATCTTTTAACAACTATATATTTCAATTACATGAGTATCTAAAATGTTTCCTATGTATTATCAACAGCAATGCATTTCAAAACCAACAGTGGCCTATTCATTCAAAGCCCACTGGTGACATATTAAGGCCATCCCCAGCAGTGACTCAGTGGGACCATGTGCTGGTGTAACCATGGGATAGTGGCATGGCCATTCACAGCAGATTTCAGCAGCATCTGTTATACAGGAAACTCATTATAAGTAAAGAAGGTGCCTGGAAAACCAGACAGTAAAAATGTCTCTCATCAACATCTATCCTTTATGTGCAAAGTTTTCATAACAAGTTTTCTTGTTGAACAAACAGGCTAATAAAAAGATCCCCCAGCATATACGTGAACTGAATTGGAATGTGTCTCCTCCGACTGAGCCTCTGTAGCATCTTCAAATCGCTCTGTTGAATGAAATAACTAAATCACTACTTTGAAACATAGTGTCAAATCTTCTAAATAGGAAATGGATTTCCTTGAGTTGTGAAAAGTAGCATGTTATCTCAAACAAAAATGTTCTAATTTCTAAAGAAAAGAAAGTCAAGCATCCCTGATTTGATACCTAACCTCCAATTACAATCACCTCCAGTGTTACCAGTAAGGAGGAATATAACCTGAATTATTAGCTCTGTGTAGAATTCCACTGGACCCAGGGATTTGCAGGATGACCCTGGAACCCAGCTGTCAGTTCAGAGAGAAACACTAACCTGATCTGAAAATCTGCAGTGTCCTCTCTGGAGTGCTAGGTATATTTAAATTATTGAGTTGATTCAAATTTCAGTTTAGCCTTTTTGGGAATCCACTCATCCCATGGAATCAACTTTTTGGGACTTAGGACCAGTGTCAGTGAGAAAATAATATTTGTTTGCAAAAGCTCAGACTGGGACCAATTTTTGTTACTTGGATGCAAACTGGGTATTTTGAAGAGTCTAAATATTAGGCAAAGTTTATGAACAAACCAATAGAATAACACCAGCAATAGCTAATATTTCACGAGCTCTCACTGTGGAAGGCTGGAAGTGTCATCACTTTGTTCAAAGAACAAAGTGTGGCCAAAGTGGTGAAATGTCTTGCCAACAGCTAATGAGCAGTGGAGACAGGATTTGCTCCCTGGAACCCAGTTTCTGGAGCCCTTGTTCTTGGCCCCTCCACTATTAGATGTTGTAATGCTTGCCAAGCTGGATGTCCAGGCCTCCTGTATACTTTGAAGTGAACCTTGTAGGCAGCATTTGTCAATCATTTTTTAGTTAGGTATTGCCTCCTCATTTTTTTCCTTGAGCAATAATAGTAATTTTTCACATCCTTGATGGCTTGGGAAACTGTAAATCAAATGGTACATAGACTAAAATGTTAATAGTTATTATGAACTGTTGCCATCATAGGTGAGTTCTATGCTATCTGTGCTTTTCTCAATTTTTTGCATTTTTACTACACGTATTGCTTTTGGAATGAGAAGTTTTGATCATCTTTTTGCAATGAGAAGTTTTATTGACAACTGCTGTTAACCTTTCAACGAGCAGCTCCACAGCTTTCTTGGCATCGCCACCTTTTGGAGATCTCTGTCACTGTTGCATGGTGTTTACGGTACATGTTCAGTCCATGTCAAATGTGCTGAAATTGAGACCACTAGAAAGAGATTTGTTACCTGCAATGTGTTTTCCTAAAGGTCATATTTTATGAGTTTGTGTGTGTGTAGCTTTAAGACAGTATTTGGAATGTAGTAAATATGACAAAAGTGTCAGCAAATATTAAATATCATTATCTATTATATAATGGCACACAGATACTCATTACCCACAGATGATTCAGAACCCAGTGCTACTTGGTTAGGAGTCTGTTCACTGCTTTCCCTGGTGTGCCTGCCAAAGCCTTTCAGCTCTCTAGGCCTGCCTTTATCAGGTTTTTACTTTGGAGGTTATCTCTTGTTACCTTGAGATGACTGGTTTTGGGTGACATTTTTATAGCAGCAAATTCGTCTGTCAGATCCAAGATTAGCACTGCCTGTTCGGTTCTCAGGCATCACACCAAATAGACAGGGCCACAGTATCATGAGTTAATGAAGCCCAGAGGGTCTCATTCAGTAGGCCCTTGAAAAGGCCTGAGAATCTGTTGTTTACAGAAGCCACCCCAGGAGACTGTTATTCACTCAGTTTTGGAAATGATCACTTTACAGAGAACATTTTTAGGTGTTTCATTAGAACTATAAAAACGTCATCCCAAAGGACCATAGGTCTACAAAACTGCTTTATTTGATTTTCAACTTGGACAAACAGAAAATCTTACCTCCCTTTGTCCAGTATCCACTGTAACTCTCCTGGACTGGAAGTGAAATATTCTTACAAAGGTAAAGGAAAGTTCTGCACATACTGTATGTTTTATATTTCAAGTGCCAGACTTCCTGACCTCAACTCCCAATTAAGAGCTGATTTCTCAAAAATTTTAATAGCCAGCACTGGTGAGGCTTCAAGGAAATAGATACTCTCCTGCACTACTGCTAAGCATGTTAATTGATTTAGCTTTTTTGGAGTGAAATTTAGTGATATGTATCTAAAGTCTTTTTAAAAAGTCATACCATGGGACCCAGTAACTCAGCTTCTAAAAACATGTATTCTAAGGAAACAAAGATACATGTTAAAGATTTCAGTTAAAAAAATGTTTATCAAAGTATTTTTATAGTGGTAAAAAAATTAGAAACAGTCTAATGTTCAACAGGAGATATTTAAATAACCTCTCTCATAGCCACACAGTGAAATATTGCACAGCTGCTAAAAATGCTTTTGAATATTTAATGCTGTGGGAACCTTTTACTTTTAAAACCTCTGTAGCCACAGTTTCCAGATCCGTGGATTGAACCAGCCATTGTTGAGCCATATGAAGAGTTACATACATAACATGGTTTATGTAACTGCCGTGGATTGAAAATATCCCCCCTGCTACAACACAACAATCAAAATAATGCAAATAAAAAACAATACAGTATAACAACTACTTACATCGCATTTACATAGTATTAGGTATCACAAGTAATATGGAGATGATTTAAAGTATATGGAAAGATGTGCATAGGTTATATGCAAATACTATGGCATTATGTATAAGGGACTTGAGGATTTGTGGATTTTGGTATCTGCAGAAGGTCCTGGAGTCAGTCCCCCAAGGATACCAAGGGAGGACTGTATTGCTAATTGAAACCAAAAAACAAACAAACAAAAAGGCTATTAAATTGAAAAAATAGTACAATTTTTATTTTGTTTTTAAGAATTGAGTGTGTATATGCATTGAAAAAAAGCTGAAAGAAGATATATCAAAATATTGAAAAAGTTTATTGCTGGTTATGGGTGGTTTTAATTTCTATTTTTCTGTTTTCCCCCCAAAATTTCTGCAAAGAATGTGTTTCTCTAAAGGTCATATTATATGAGTTTGTGTGTGTATATCTTTAAAACAGTATTTGGAATGTAGTAAATATGATAAAATTGTCAGCAAATATTAAATATCATTATGTATTATATTAAAATATAATGAAATTGCAAACCCTACCTCGATAAGAATAAAATTAGAAGTTAAATGAGTATGAAGGATATTATGCCACATAGGAAGCTTGGCACAAGTTTTTCAAACCACTTTGAGGTGCTGAGGCATGAGGTGGGTCACCTTTTGTCTTCTTTCCTGCTTACATTTGATCTCACGGTAATTTAACTTAATTATGTCGCAGCAGAAACTTAGACACCATATATATATATATATATATATATATATATATATATATATATAGAATAATTATTCATTCATTCAGCAAACATTTATGAGAACATATTGTATATGATGAATATTTGCTGAATGAAAGAACATATATTCTCATAAATATAAGATCTGATATCAATACATGTTCTTATAAATATTTGCTGAAAGAATGAATATGATATATATATGAATGATATGCTCTCAGTTTATAAGGGTGATCAAAACAGTCCAACTTTCTGTCTCAAATGAACCTACATAAATATTAAAAAGATGTATATGGACTTTTTTTTTTTTGCTTGTATTGTTAGCAAAATCACGTAAGTGATTATCATACTAAAAAATCCTTACCCTGGGTAATTTTAAAAGCCTTTTAGAAAATTACAGATTAACTTTAGTATTATTTTCAGGTCACAGTTTTCCTGCCTTTAAACTGACTCTACATGTTCCAGAGCGTTAGCTCTTGATATGCCCTGGTATTTGTCTATGTGATTTGCCATTTGTTTATAATTGCCGTAATGAAGCATGATCCGTATGTGCTTATACTCTGGTTGCTGTGGTTTCCTCTGATTTAGTTATGCTGTTGAGTGTTATGAGTACAGAATAAGGAGGAAGTTCACCAGTAAGCTCTGGTTCTATTTCTACTTAAAGGCAACTGTGGGAATTAAAAAGCTGTTTATTCCCATACCTTTTATCTCTTTCATAGTCAATATTGCTGAACTACTCTTTGCTATCAATGGACCACTTGATGGGTCCACATGGTATTTCTTACAATACAGGGTGTCTTAAAACAGGCCAGTTCAATGGTGAGGCTATAGTGGTTGATTCATAATTCTGTGCAGGAAGGGATGGGACTGTGCTCACTTTGCTTTTCTCCCTTCAGAATTTCCCAGGTGTGCTGTGTAGACTTTTTTCAGCCACTGTTTCTAAAATTTTCTACTTTCATTCATTTTAAGGGTGCTTATATAGAGACCTACTGTTAATGCACTTCTGCATCTTTCAGTGAAGGCCAGATAATGGAGAAAGTAGTATAATTGCTACTTCTTCAGCCATGGCCTTTTGGCTTTGGTGATTTTAATATTTTATGCTAGTGCAAAGAAAAAACTGTTTTGAAGGAAAATCCACATGCATCTTCTGCTGCAGGCATTCAGAAGGATGCAATCTATGCCGCCATCACTGCTGTTGCCTTCCCATTAGAGAATATCTAGGCCATCTCTCTCAACTCACGTTGACAGCTCTCTCACCAAATTTTGATGTCCTGATCATGAGGTGATGCTGACCATGGTTACTGGGTTTGCTGGGTAACGTGATGGTCATGGAAGGCACGGCTTCCTCACTTCCAAAAGGGCTCCCAGGTGTCAGACACCAGCAAAGTGTTTGAAAGTCATCTTTCTGTGGCATGGGAATGCGTAAGATTCCTAGATATTTATTCCTGTAATGTTTATAACTGAGATGATAGCTGCTATTTATTGGGTGCCTACTGTGTGCCAGCCTTTGGGCAGCACTGTGCATACACTGGATGCCTACCCTGTGACTTGCAGTGTCTTGTAAGGTAGATATTATTATCCTCATTTTACAGATAGAGGACACTGAGGTTGAAAGAGGTTAATGGTTTGTCTACGTGTCATAGTAAATAGCAGATGAGGGTTGGTATGCTGGTCTGTAGAGCTGCAAAATTTATGTTCTTTTGTCTGCACCATACACCATACCCCCAAAGTAAAAGCTAGCTGACTTGCTCTCAGTTCTGGAAAATTACAAATTGTCTGGTTTGAGTGTGTTTTTGAAAATAAAATAAAATTAGAAATTGGAAATTAACTTGAGTGTGCTGTAAGGGTAACAAAGAAATTATCCCTAAGATTGTACCATATTTAAGAGTGCTATAATTTTTTCTTTTTTATTTCACTCATTTCTACTTCTCTATATCCACAGAAGATTGTGGTAAAGAATGCTTTGTGATATGTTCATTTATCAATTTGAAATTTCTGTTATTTTTGTCATTTGACATTAGCTTTCATGTTAATTCAGAAGGCCATATATACAAGCTTGACTCGAGTAAAATCTTGTCACCTTCCAACTCCAACCCTTAGTGACTGTGTGCCTCTCTTAATCTCTATATCCCTTTATCTGGTCAGTCAGGCAGATCATTAAATAGTCATTATTCAAAGGCTTGTGAAGATGGAATGCAATAATTCATGTAAAGCATAGAGATAGGAATGTAAAAACCAGTAACTATTAACTGCCATTGTCATCATTATCATCAACACTATCCTACAGAAGTTACTAGTACCACTGAAATAGTGTTGCTACGTTCAAAGTAGCAGCTATAACTAGAAGAGATACATGCGAGATAGCTGAAAGCTTGAAGAACGTACTTTAGAAATTCCTAAATTATTTTGGATATTTTTCTTTGAAAATATTTTGGGTAATCTGTGAATATAAAAATAGCTTAGCTAAGATAGTTAGGTGAACAATTTCAATGGAGTTAACATTCAGAGAGCAGTGGACCAATTCTCTTTACTACTGTCCTAAATTTATAGAAAAAGTGAGTCTGTAAAGAAATTTGTAGCCTCAGTCTAAAACATTTCCAGCAATGTCTTTATATCTTTGTAATGAAATTTAAGTAAGTAAATGACAAGATCCCTATTCAACAGATCTCCTGGACTCTCATTTTGAGAATCACGTTTCTCTCCGCGTGAGTTGCACCAAACCATTCAGCTATTATTAAGTGTCTCATTGTCTGTCTGTTTACCTATGTCTTTGATACCAAGTAAACTAGACTACAGTCATGTTGGCACATTTCCACTTGCTGCTCAGGAGGTATTGAGATCAATGAACACTAACCTGAGGAGCATATTTTTACCAAATTAAAGAGCTACAGTGAAATATGTGTTCCAGGTTCCTGGTTTTAAGCTAAATATGCATCAGTTATCTCTGATCAGGGGAAACAGAGGGCGGGTAAGTACTTCCACCTTCTCTGTGTGTTCTAAGTTCCTTAAAAAACTGACCTGGAAATTAACTTATAATTTTAGCATTTGAGAGGAAACTTGATTTTAGAAGAATAATTAACTGGTTTACATAACCCTTTATTTAACTTGCTTACATAATGTGTGTAACACCTTGAAAGTAGTGGCATGTGTTTCCAATTCACTCTGAAAGAATATGAAAACAGCTATCTTGTGAAGAAAAGTACAAAAATTATACCACAAATTATGATCTTAAAGGAAGCCTTATGAAAAGAACTGATTTTTATAACTGAAGATGTCATGAAATTAAATTTGATGTGTTCCCTAATGACTACTCATAGCTTTAAATTGAATAAGTAAGAGTTCTGTGATTAATCCGCTAGATTTTCCTGTTTTAAAACTTAGGCTTTTTAACTGTTTTCAAAAGTTCTATCCTATTGGAGCATGATTTTTATAATTCCAAGATAGGCTGGGTGCAGTGGCTCACGCCTGTAATCTCAGCACTTTGGGAGGCCGAGGCGGGTGGATCACAAAGTCAAGAGATCGAGACCATCCTGGCCAACATTGTGAAACCCCGTCTCTACTAAAAATACAACCGGGCGTGGTGGCACGCACCTGTAATCCCAACTACTCTGGAGGCTGAGGCAGGAGAATCTCTTGAACCCGGGAGGCGGAGGTTGTAGTGAGCTGAGATTGTGTCACTGCACTCCAGCCTGGCGATGGAGCAAGACTCTGTCTCAAAAATAATAATAATAATTCCAAGATAAAGCTGGAAGGTAATTGATTGCTGAAGGACTGTTCTCTGCAAATTAGCACTAAAAAATTCCACACATTTTTGACTGGCTTCAGTGTGCAGATTGTTGTGCTAGGATGGGGTGGATTACGGGTAGAGAAGATGGAATTCCAGGATGAAGATGAGCTTGTCCCCACCTTCAAGGAGCACTCAATCTAGCTAGAGGCCAGGACTGGGTATGGTCAGTTTAAACTGTCTTCTTTATAGCTGCTGGTGTAAAAAAATACAACATTCAATTACTTAGATATTTCATTTAAAATAACAAATTGCTTGGTATATAATTACATAACTTTAGGGTTATGCTTTTTTTAAAACCATGAGTTTGGAGAAAATTCAAGGTAGTGGATTAATTTTTTATTATTGAATAGACAATGATAGGTTCTAGACTCGTGAGTTTCTACAAGAGCTGTTGGCTTCTTCATTGTCATCCTGGAGGTTACATGGAATAGCTTATTTTTTGAAGCTAGTTACAATTACAATAATGGGTAGCAGCTGGTAGTTTTCTAAATTGTCCTTTAACTTTTTCAGTAACAAATACATACATTAGTGATAATAAAAATATTCATTTACTTGCTATGTCTCACTAAATGTTTTTTATGATTCTCTGGGCTTTGACAAATCAACAGAATTTAGGGTTTAGATATATTGTGCTATATTTGAAGTGATTGAACTTCTTATTTTTCTTCCATAATATAAACTGTTTTGTAACATCAAATGGAGAAGAGACTAATATTGTTTTCTTTGTGCTAGGTACTGTGGTAGGTATTTTACAGTTGTGGGTCCTGGTTTGTGTGGTTGCTAACTAACCCTTCTGACCCACATAATTCTGGCAACATCTTAAGTATCCCCTCGTATCTATACAGGAAAAATTTATTTCCATCACACTTCAAATATACCACATTGATTTCTATATCTATGGCTTGACTTGGAAGTTAGGGGATTTAATTTCCTTTCCCTAGCTTAGTTACTTTATTTCCTGCCTACATAGTTACTAAGGTCAAGTTTCTTTCCAGGTTTTGTTTTTCTTACCACGTTTTTTTGGAGGTGGGGGAAACAGTTGGTGATGTATCTGTGTTTTATTGCCCAGCAACCTGAAAGGATGGGGATCGGGGAGAGTCGTTAAAGAGAAGCTCAGATCAGAGATACCTGACTGGAAGATTAAAGTAAGCAAAAGCAGTAGCCACATGAAACAAGGTTAATATGTGGGCTTACAAAGAAGTCCTAACCATGATTTGGTCTTTTGTATGATAAGAACTCTTTCTAGAATATAAGCATCATAAGAGTAGTTCTCTTGTCTGTTTTGTTCTCTGTGGCCCTGTCATCTGTGCCTGGCAAAGTGTAGGTGCCTAATAATGACATGTTGATAAATTGAACTATGAATGAATAAATAACGTATTTCACTGGTAGTTTCTGGTCTTGTACTTTATTATATTTATTTGAATGAAGTTTTTTGTTGATATTCTATTAAATAGTGA
Source organism: Homo sapiens (assembly GCF_000001405.40). Classification (NCBI taxonomy): domain Eukaryota; kingdom Metazoa; phylum Chordata; class Mammalia; order Primates; family Hominidae; genus Homo; species Homo sapiens. Next base: position 178,322,679 of record NC_000002.12, read on the forward strand.
GGGAGAAACTTGCTACTAAAGTGTGTAATTTCTAAATGGTTATTTCAAAAATTACGTTGGAAACTTCTTTTCCTATGGAAAATTATCTCAAAGTATAAGGTAATTTATTTGTTGGTGGGGGAAGCATTTTATATCTCTGTAATACAGTGACACTTGTATCTTTGATCTTTACAGTGACACTCGTATCTTTGATCTTTATTAGCCATGGTTCTTTTTTAGAAAAATCACCTCATGCATTTAAAAAAAAAAAAAAAAAACCTTTAAAAAAAATCTTTGTAGTCTTTACAGTAGGGAAGTTTCGCTCTCATGTATTTGAAGAGTGCATGAAACAAGATTTGTTTCCTTCTTTTATGCTTTCATAATGTGCCAAGATAGTGAAGTATTCTTAATGAGTAGATTTATGTAATTTAGGTTAAGGCATGTACTTTTTTTCCCCCGCAAGGGCTTTAATATAATTGCAAAATTCCGCTTTAGAAAGATCATATCTAATTTATATTTTCTTTCTTCCAACCCCACTTCATTCTTGAATCTGATGGGTAAAAGAAATTATTATTTTGATTCTCTTTTTGAATACTTCTAAGTTAGAACATCTTTTCAAATGTTTTACATGTGTTAACTATTCGTGTACTTCACCCATTTTTCTGTTGAAATTTTATCTTGCTAATATATAAATGCTCTTTGTAAAAGACACCTACCGTTTATGGTATTTGGTGAATTGTTTTCTTCTCTGTGCGTTTTTGTAAGAAACTTTAGAGACTGAAGGGTGTGAAGGCTCTGGATTTTTATTTATTTATTTATTTTTGTGATGGAGTTTCCTTCTTGTTGCCCAGGCTAGAGTGCATTGTGCAATCTTGGCTCACTGCAACCTCCGTCTCCCAGGTTCAAGCGATTCTCTTGCTTCAGCTTCCCAAGTAGCTGGAATTGCAGGCTTCCATCACCATGCCGGGCTAATTTTTGTATTTTTAATAGAGACAGGGTTTCACCAAGTTGGCCAGGCTGGTCTCAAACTCCTGACCTCAAGTGATCCGTCTGCCCCAGCCTCCCAAAGTGCTGAGATTACAAGCATGAGCCACCATGCCTGGCCGCCACTGGATTTTTTAAGGTAGACCTTTCTTTTTGTCTGTTGCTATTCCCAGTTGGAGAGATGAGCAAATATTTCTATGTAAGCCTGATTAGTCTAAGTAGAAGGTGTGTCTTTGTCATAAAGTTGTAAGTTTTCTTGTGTGTATCATAAAATTTTTCGAGAGATATTCCTCTGACTCTCCAAGACTGAAACCGGCACTGCAGCAGCAGTTCAGCAGCAAATCTAGAAGAGGAGGGGAAAATCCTGTGCCGACATATTTTTCTGTCTGTTGCTGCTATCTTTGGTCTTTTCAGGAACTTGCCATTTTTAACATAGCTCACTGTTTTGACTGTGTTGTGTATGATTTCATCCCCATGCACATTCACATGAAAAGTGAGTTGTCTAACCCTGGGCTATGTTTTCATTTATTTTCAGAGTATTCACATACTGGAGAGGACTGCTTCCTCTAGCACCGAGCCCTCTGTAAGTCGGCAATTGCTAGAACCGGAGCCAGTCCCCCTCTCCAAGGTCAGTGATGAAATGCGGTGCTTTCTCTGCTGGCATGATGCCTGCTCTGGGGCCAATTGAACTGTGAATAACGTTTACACCTGACTCCCCTAAAATACTTGTGATGCCACTTGTAGGCAACTCTTTGCACTTTTTCTGCTTCCAAGGAGTAGAGTTTCTCTGCCCTTTATAAGAGAGAACAGAGAATGTATACTTTGCTGGGATTTGTAGGGTTACATTCAAAGGTCCAAAATTCTGTTTAAGGGAAGAAGGAAAAAGAAGCTATTGCCTTCCCTGTTGGAGATAAACAAATATTTCTATGCCCAGCTAATGGAAAAGAAAAAAAACTGCATCCAGCAATAAAAATAATAACAGCTACCATTATTGCCCATGTACTGCATCACCGGACACTATGAGAAGTATTTAAATCTATTATCCCATTTAATATAGTTCTCATAAACAGCTCCACACAGTGTAGGTATTTATCACATTTTACAAATATGGAAACTGAGAGTTAATAACTTGCCCATAGTAAAAACATAAATAAATAAGTAAATAAGCTATCAAGGATTATAGCAGAGCAAGAATTCAAACTTAGACTTGTCCAACTCCACAACCAATGCTTGTCAGCTCTTCCCAAGCTGCAAGGTAAAATAGAACCTATGCGGAGGGACTGTTGTATATTCTGGCTTCTAGGCTCCTTCTCACATCTGGCCTTCCTAGCAATGAGCTCGTGAGAGAACACTGCAGATTATTTAGAAGACCTTTTCTGTGTCATGGGAGCCAGTGTTCCCTCCCCTTCAGCCTGCTCTTCCTCAGACTGGGGAAAATTAAATTCACGTATGTCTAAAATGTAAAAATGATAGGGAAAAGTTGGAAAGATACCATCCTACTCCTGCCCATCCCTCCCTGAGATTTTCAATGGGCTTCCTCCTTTATTGAGAAATTCTGAAAATAGAATGCATACAGACTTTGAATTCCAGTATAAAAATAGCACTTTATACCCAAAGACGGTTAACTTCTAAATATGTAAAACTGATCATTACACCTTGCTTTTCTATATTAAACATAATCCTTTTAGAAAAGAACACTTTACTACCCAACTGTATGGAATATATACACTTGAACCTCTTTAAACTGTAAAGATATGACAAGCTATAAAGTTTGTTCTATCAGACAAGAATAGACTGCTAAACCATGGAAAGCAGGGAGTTATTAAACTATAAAACATAAGTGGTCTGACTTCCATTTGAATAGCGAGTACAGACTGTATACCTGGTAAATATAATATGACTAGTAATCTCTTTGAAATAGCAATTCTCTCTTATAGTTAGCTAAAGGAAATAGAGAACAAATAAATAAAAGGGCAATGGAAAAAGGTAGCTAAAATTTATTGAGCACCTACTTTACGCCAGGCACTGGATTAGAACATGTATTATCTCACTTAATCAGCCCCCAACTCATTGAAGTACATATCAATATTGTTCTCACTTTACTGATAATTATGGCATAGTTTTCCGGCATGAAGGCCCCAGCTTGGTCAAACAGCAATTCTTCCTAGAAGGAGGTGGCTGTTAGCCCAGCTCACAGCAGATGGGGCTTGGGTCCACTGGCTTGATATAAAGGAATCTGGGTAGGGTACAAACAGCATCTACTTCCCATTACTTCTCCATGTTGTTGCCCACTTAGATCTTGCTGTAGGACTAATAAACCCTGGTTGTGTTTCTGTGTCAGTAGACACCACATCTCTTGGGGCCTCATGAAATCAGAGGGCCATATCTAACCCAGGTACCATCACATCTCACCATCTCTCAGCCCCTTTGAGAGATGGGCTTCCTGGGCACTGATTAGTGGTGGAAGAATTTTTTTTTTTTTTTTGAAGTACACATTGTCCTGATCAGGATTTGTTCCAATCCTAAGCTTGATGCATTCACCTGCTAAAGCATTTTTATGTACCCACACACATGCACACTCACCCACATACATCTGCAAACGTGTGCACATACAGTTTACCCTTCAGAAAGGAAATGTCTCTGTTTTTTCCAAATGAAAAAACTTGGGCGATTATGACATTACTGTCTGTTCTTATTTATTGTTATTAGATTAAAAGTATTTTTAAAACTTATAATACCAAAAATATGTATATATCTGGCTTAAGTACTGACATGATCACATTATGGCTTTTAGCTCTGTTATAAGTAAACCCAGGAAAATTGGAGACTTTTAAACAGAAAAAATATCAACTGAAATTACAAAAACAAATTCTTCAATTTTCAGAAATCAATTTTAGTTTTCTTAAGATAGTCCTAGTCTACTAAGTATAGAGGGAGAAATTTTAACATAATGGAAAATAGAACATAGAAGGTTCTATTTTATACTGAGATGAGTTGTTTCATTTCTTACACACTGTATTTGTAACATTATCCACAGCATTTATAATTGAAACGGGGGAACATTGTCTGCTCTGGTTTTATCTTTTGCCTCTGTCAGGTTGACAGCCTATTTAATTGTGAGAACTATAGTAGGATTCTTTTCCATTTCTTTTACTGGACTTAGTAATATTGCATCAGACTGAATAAAATTATTTGCTCCAAGCTGTCACATCTATGTTTAAGAAATACATTTTAACTTTTTGCCTTTCTATCTTATCTCTTTTTCCCCCCCTTCTGGAGTTAAACTCTCAAAGAAGAAAAAAAACACTGTGATAGAAATTAGTAGCCATACCTAAGAATGATACATTGGAAACTTTGGGGGCTCTGGGGAAAGGGTGGGGGGTGGCGAGGGATAAAAGACTACACAGTGGGTACATTGTACACTGCTTGGGTGATGGGTGCACCAAAGTCTCAGAAATCACCACTAAAGAACTTATTCATGTAACCAAACACCACCTGTTCCCCAAAAACCCATTGAAATGAAAAAATAAAAAATTGGAAAAAAGAAATTAGTAGTTAGTAGCCATTACTACAATCTGAGTTTAGTCAGAAGAAAACTTGCAAAGATCTGCACTTATTAAATGTTTCCACTTTCACAAGTCACACAGAATATTCTTCATCATCCACATGTAGACACACAGTAAACCAAAGGTGAACACAAACTTCCAAATCTAGCCAGAAATAAAAATATTATTCTTCCAGAGATATTATCCATGGATGGGGCTACTGAAAATAGAAGTGCCACTAAATATAGTGGATATCTCTCTAAGAACAGAGAGAGAGCTCTAATGAATATATTTATACATAGATGGAGATTATTTTCTAGAATATAGTGGTCATCTAACTTTCTGTGTGAGTCAAAAGCCACAGGCATTAGACTTTTTATAAGAGCCTACTAGTTTCTCCTATTATTCTAAACATTATTCATAAACAGTGCTAACTTGTTGAATTGCAATTCACTACTAAGAAATGCAACCCAGGGGCTCCCAGGGGCATGTGTATCTTTGAAAGCACGAAGTTCTTTGGTGTGTCTTTGGTGAGCAGGTGTCTTATGTGCACTTTGGAATGCAAGCAAACCTCCCCGAGAGCAGCCGTGACCACAGCGCTGTTATTCCCTGTTAATAGCAGGTTCTGAGCCACTTGAGACAACAGCAGCCTTTCCATTTCTACACAGAAAGCCAGGTCCACACACTAATTGAACATTTGTCATCAAAGTAGTCTTATTTTGAAACTTTAAAGTGCCTCTGTGTTCAGGGATTCACTGTCTGGAAAAATGAATTTTAAACATTCTGAGTACAGGCAATCGAATTTCCATCCTACCCCAAACAGACAAGGTGGCTCCACTGAGTCTCTGATGGACCCCACTTACCTCTAGGTCTACCTGGGAAACTCTTTTTAACTGAAGTTAAAAGTGCATAGCTGTGTTTGATGTTAGAATTTGCTCCGGAATGTTGTTCATCCTTCTTTCTGGTGGGCCTAGTACTGCTTCAAAAGCAACTTCTACTTAAGAATCTGCTTTAAGTGTGTCATCAGGCACTGAGTAACATGTGATTTGTTTTTCTTCTTTTCTCTCAGGAAGCTGACAGCTGGGAAATTATAGAAGGGCTGAAAATAGGCCAAACCAATGTCCAGAAACCAGACAAACATGAGGGCTTTATGCTGAAGAAAAGAAAATGGCCTTTAAAAGGCTGGCACAAGGTAACATTTTTATCATATTCAGGTTCAGACCATCTTCATAAATAAAGAAGATCTTATTTGCTATCATGGGGTGGGAAACTAAGAATATGGCAGTATGTGTAAAACTAGCTTTTTAAAACTTTTTTTTGAGACAGATTCTCACTCTGTTACCCAAGCTGGAGTGCAGTGGCATGATCTCAGCTCACTGCAGCTTCCACCTCGCAGGTTCAAGCGATTCTTCCACCTCAGCCTCCTGAGTAGCTAGGACTACAGGTGCATGCCACCATGCCTGACTAATTTTTTTATTTTTAGTAGAGACAGATTTTTGCCCTGTTAGCCAGGCTGGTCTTGAACTCACAGCCCCAAGTGATCCGCCCACCTCAGCCTCACAAAGTCCTGGGATTACAGGTGTGAGCCACCACACCCGGCTGTAAAACTAACTTTTAAGGCCTTATTTTAACCACATGGGTTGTAGTCTATTATAGTTAACAGAGACTGAGATCTGTAATATACATATGGAGGGAAAAAAATATGTGATATTTAATCCAGTTGGTATGTATTGTTGTCTGATTTGCTTTTTTCACTTAAATTAGTATAGATAAGTTCTCATTAAATACTCTTTGAAATATGAGGTATTTTAAATGCATGCATGTATCACTTTGGATGGATCTATATTATATATCCCACTGCTATCGAACTAATTCCCTGTTGCTGGATATGTAAGACATGCCTTATTTTTTTACTATTGTGATGTGATGAACATCCTTACACATGAACTTCTATTTAGTTCTTTGGGATACATTCCTAGAATTATTGTTACCAGTACAAACTAAAGCTGGAGTTCACTGATCCCAGAAGTTTGTTTACTGCTCTTTGAAGGCTACAGTTTATTCCTCTCCTTCCTCCCAACATCCTTGTCCTATCTCTAAGTTTAAATTATAGAGAAAATATTTTTTACTGCATTTTACCATTACCCAAATAGCAAGGATTCTGTCATACTAAGGAGGAGAAAGTTGCCGTACATTTTCAGTTTAAACTATTATTTTTATTTATTTACTTATTTTTTTTTTTTTTTGAGACAGAGTCTCACTCTGTCACCCAGGCTGGAGTGCAATGGCACAATCACGGCTCATTGCAACCTCCACCTCTCGGGTTCAAGTGATTCTTCTGCCTCAGCCTCCCTCCAGAGTAGCTGGGACTACAGGCGCACGCCACCACGCTTGGCTAATTTTTTTTTATTTTTATTTTTAGTAGAGATTGGGTTTCACCATATCGGCCAGGCTGGTCTCAAACTCCTGACCTCATGATCTGCCTGCCTCGGCCTCCCAAAGTGCTGGGATTACAGGCGTGAGCCACCACGTCAGTTTAAACTCTTTAGTGGGCCACCCAGTATCCTCTTTGAAATCAGTGGAAGAATAAATCTATATATTTGGCACATCTGCACGTGGATTTCATCTCAGGGCAGATAAATTTATTGGCCCAAATGGCCAGTGGTGGCTGCCCATTGGCTCAGTGCAGGGAGGTTATGTATGTTAACTTCCTTGAGGAAACATTTTATGTGTTTTAAGGGAAAGACTTAAAAATGAACACATGGGAAATGTTGCCCCGGTGCCCTGTCTCTGAAAGTGCCTTCTTCCTTGTCAGAAACGATCTTTCCTGAACCCATAATATTATCGTAGTGCCAAGGACCTGTCCTCACTGTCGTTCTTCCTGAGATTTTCGCCAATTGGCCATCCTCCTTCCTACAATCACTGTTGCCTTTCATCCTTTGTGTTTCCCCAAATTGATGGCCTTGCTAATCTCTTTCCTTATGATATGCTATAGGTGATCTCTGCTGAAATTCTTGGATAGACAGAAATGGAAACCACAGGAAAAAACCGTCAAAGAAACAAATTTTGTATGAATTGCTAACTTTAATTTAGCACTTTCAGTCCATGTTTCAACAAAACTGGCTGTGGTTTGGCAGCAACTTTCTAGACCGTGCCTTTGAACATTTTGCTACATAAATAACAGGAGGGCCTGCTTTGCATTGTTGTCTTTTCTTCTGATCTCTACAACCACCATGTGTTTATTCAGATGTCAGCCCATTTGATTGACCAAGTTAAGGGCAACTGATTTTAATCAAGTGTTTTTCAACCGTAGAGACTCTTTTTTTCCAGTGTTTACTTGTTGTCCCGCAGAACCTGTAACAAAGGGTTTACAGTGGCCTTCTGTCAGTCCTGTGCAGAACTCATAGGGGTTCTCTGTGCAGAACTCACAGAAGGCCACTGTACTTACAGAAGGCGATCCCGAGGCCTGACTGCCTGCCATCTTAGCAGCTAAGAGGTCCCAAATCACATAAAAACTTACCAGCAGAGTAATTTGCCAGGAACAGAAAAATTCCTTGCATCTGTAGAACTAGAGGGCACAGGACCCATTCTTTGACCGGGCCCTGGGAGCTGTTTGTTCTCTTGTGAATTGCCCGTGGAAGAAAAATCAACAGCTGAGAGTTCCTGAGTGTTTGTAGAGCAAAAAGGGCAAATCCATTCAGACTGTACTAGGATTATCTTGGAGGAGAAAAAATTGCCAAAAACCCCTCTCTTTTTTTACCCTTAGTGTAGTTCAGAAATAATTTTCAACCTCTTTGATTAATGGTAGAATGCAAACATTTGCTAACTAGAGATGCAAGCATATTACTAAGCCCACTTAAATTTTCCAGATAATTCATTATTCATAGATTCAGTCCACTGGCTTCTGTAATGGACATGAACATTTTCAGGAATTGTCTGTGGTATCCAGGGAAAATTCAGAAGTTTATATTCACGGTGAAAAATTCCCTGTAGACCTGTATAGAGCTCCTTACAGAGTCACTGTGATCATTTCTCACTTTGAAAAACATCCCAATGTGGTTCATTCAGGGGATTGTAGCTTCAGGTCCTCAGATTCCTCCCCTGTTAAGAAAAATCATGGTGAAAAGACTCCATCCCCATTGGATTATGTATAAAAGAATCTTGGTAGGTTAACAGTATGGAACTAGAGCTCTTATCTCCTTACCATTTAATGTGACTGACTGTGGCCAAATGCACTGAATCCAGATACATTAAAATGATCAAACATATTGATTAATAAATGCCAAGCAACATTAGACCCACATTTGTGAATGTTTTATGTAATTCAAAATACAGACAGTAACTGGGGGTGTTTGGTTCTTGCAGCGTTTTTTTGTCCTGGATAATGGAATGTTAAAGTATTCAAAGGCACCACTCGATGTAAGTAGCACACAGGACATGTTTCAAAGGTTGATTTCGAATTCTGCTTGAAGTGAGTAAACACTGTAATTGTACAAGCCTTGTGCCATAGTTACCAGCTTTGTGCATGTCTGGGCCTGTAAGATTTCACAAGCTCCCAAACCTCCATGTTCTAAAGTGTGTCAACCTAGTGCATGAAGATTTAACTATTTTGATGTGTGTTATTAAAAACAGAAGCTTAAACCTTAAAAGTGACGCATGAGTAAAATCACCTTCTGTCACTTGGATAGAAAACGCAAATGGGCTTTTTTCCTCCATCTTCCAATAAACTCTGCTTTATGTGTGCTGCTCTGTTCTTGTCAATGTCCTTTTAAAAACTATCTTACAAATTTTATTTCTACGTCATACATCTTTTTATCTTGGAGATCCCAATTCACAAAAATTATTTCAAATTGTTTTTGTTTAGTATACAAAGGAGTAGTTTGCATGTAACACTGGAAAATTCCTTCCTTCATCATTGTGGTGTAGGGGAAGTAACTGAAGGCTTAGGTTTCAGTTTTGTCCCCATCCCTGCCATTGAATCAGCCATGTCCTTGATCAGTGGAGCAGCCAGAAGGAAGAGCTGGCTGCTCCTTGCTTTCTGGTCCCAGCTGCCCTGTTCTGCCCCAGCAGCTGTCTGCCAGCTGATTACTCAGGGATGTTCTGGGTTATACGTCAAAGATTGACCGCAGTTATTTTAGGACCGCTAAAGATGTCCTTTTGGGAGAATATAAGCTGTGCAATCTAGAATTATGAAGAATTAGTATTACATTCTATGCCAAAACAGGAATAAGATGAATAGTCTTATTTATAAAAATTGACGTGAAGTCACTGCAACATCAACTGTCCTAGAACCTAATCCATAGAACCTTAACTATTTTCTGTTTGTTAAGGAGGTATATGTAGTATTCCACTTCCCATAGATAAGTTAAAGATTACTTTGAGTTCACTTAAATACAGTACAGAAACATCAAATCATATATCCTTTCAGCCTATTTACTAGTCTTTTGATTTCAGATTCAGAAAGGAAAGGTCCATGGGAGCATAGATGTGGGACTCTCAGTCATGTCAATTAAAAAGAAAGCTCGAAGAATAGACCTTGACACCGAAGAGCACATCTATCATTTGAAGGTGAAATCAGTTTTCAACAGTTTCTCTGCCATTATCAGGGGAAACGATTTGCCTACACCAGTGGTAGGCAGGAGAGTTATTTTACAATTACTTTCTCCTCTCGTTCATTGTTTTAGGTGAAATCCCAGGACTGGTTTGATGCATGGGTCTCCAAACTGCGACATCATCGGTTGTATCGTCAGAATGAAATTGTGAGATCACCAAGAGATGCTAGTTTTCACATATTTCCTTCAACGTCCACAGCTGAATCCTCACCAGCTGCTAATGTTTCTGTAATGGATGGAAAGGTATGACTTTGTTCTATAAAAACCAGCCTGAAAATTGCTTAGAAAATTATGCAAATTTTGGCCAGGCACTGTGGCTCACGTGTGTAATCCCAGCACTTTGGGAGGCCAAGGCGGGTGGATCGCCTGACAGCCAGGAGTTCGAGACCAGCCTGGGCAACATGGTGAAAACCCCATCTCTACTAAAAACACAAAAATTTGTCAAATGTGATGCTGCATAGCTGTAATCCCAGGTACTCGGGAGGCTGAAGCACGAAAATTGCTTGAACCTGGGAGGCGGAGGTTGTAGTGAGCCAAGATTGTGCCACTACTGAATAGCCTGGGCAATAGAGCAAGACTGCGTCTCAAAAATAAATAAATAAAATAAAATAAAAAAGAAAATTATGCAAATGCATAACTGAGTCTCATTTGGGAAAACCAGAAAGAGGAGGTTTGCTTTGTAAACTAACACTCAGAAGACAACAGTGACATTTGGCATGAAAGTTAATTGCAAGTATAAATTAGGCAGAAATGTGGATCACCAAGAGAATTAGCAGTTAATTTTCCCTTTTATGAACGGACTACCTTTTAACTTTATGTGGCTTTGTAGGAATACTAGGAAGTAAGTAAACATTTATTTAATCAACATTCAGAAATCAGGTGCCTTCCTGGATGGTAATAAGAAAACCTCAGTCTTGAAAATGAAACTTGCCTTTGTGTCTTGACCTATAATATATACATGAGAGGCTATTAAATTTCTCCATGAAGTAATTACATGTGAGCTCAAGAATGTGACAATAATATAAATAGCAGCCTATTTAAGTGGTCAGGCACTGTGTTAAGCATTTGGCACTCATTCGTCTCTGATCTTTCAAATAACCAAAGTTCAGAGACAGTAAAAAATTTGTCCAGAAGTGACATAGCCATTAAACAGCTGAGCCAGGATCCAAGCCCACATCTGTTCCCAAAGTCAGTGCCCTTTCCATTTTTACCAGGTGCCAGACTAAGGGAGGCTGACCTTGTTCTCTGGGCTGAAATAAGAGTTCACTTCTGTGTTGATGAAAAGCAAGAGATGTTGTTTGTTAAAAAAAAATCAAGGTTAAGTCAACAGACAGGGAAACAGCTGTTTCTGCCTTTGATTCAATAATTAAGTTTCCTGAAACCTAGCCCCACTGCACTGCGCAGGGGTGCTCCGCCTTCACATTTGGCACCTGAAATTGAGGGCAGAGAGGGTGAGGAAGCTGGCTGCCACAGTACGTTGTGTTCAAGAACGTTCCAATGAAGATTCTGCTTTTCTTTGCTTACACAGGAATGTATGTCATACATACATCCAAGTTTCCTTTGCAAACCATTGAAAAACCTCATAGAGTAACTGCAATACTAACCAAATCAGATTAAATGAAACATTACTATATTCAGTTTTTGTTATTTTAATGGCAGTTTTTGATAGATCCTATTAACGATGTTAAAATTATCTCAAACCTTACGTTATTTATTTATTTACTTATTTATTTATTTTTGAGACAAAGTCTCACTCTGTCACCCAGGCTGGAGTGCAGTGGTGTGGTTTTGGCTCACTGCAACCTCCTCAACCTCCTCCTCCTGAATTCAATTGATTCTCCTGCCTCAGCCTTCAGAGTAAGCTGGGATTACGGGTGCCTACCACCACACCCAGCTCATTTTTAGTAGAGACAGGGTTTCGCCATGTTGGCCATGCTGGTCTCAAACTCCTGACCTCAAGTGATCTGCCCACCTCGGCCTCCCAAAGTGCTGGGATTACAGGCGTGAGCCACCACACCTGGCCTTAAACCTCACATTATTCCATTCTGGTTGCAGCCTTGCCAAGGACTATTTAATTATCTTTTTTCTAGGAATAGGGTGTTGGATTAACCCTAATACCAACCAGTTCTGAAATAAAAAAGGGAACGAACCATCTGGTCAGGGCATCAGGAAGGTTGGGAACTTACAGATGCCCAAGATAGTGCCGAGTTTCTCTGGCCTCCTGTGTTCTCACCAGAAGGCAGACTGAATCCTAGATTTAGTCCTTGTTAAATGAGAAATGTATTCCAAATAGATCTTTAAAAAATATAAATTTTTAATTACTTGGTTCATCCAGCTTCTGCCTACATCACTGGCACAGACTATTGATGAAAATATTTTATCTCTTATTTATTAAATTATTAAAATATTTATTAAATTTATTGATGAAAATATATTATTTTCATCCCTTATTTGTTAAATAACTTGGGTGATATCTGAGAATGGAAGACTAAAATCAAATCCTCCCCACTGTTTGCCTTGAAATAAGAAAGCTCTTCAGCTCTGGTTTTCAAAACAGATTTATTGCTCTGGTTAATGACATACCTCTAAGATCTGCTTGGTGAAAGATTTCCATTACATTTATCAACATGCAATAAAGAGTGAAAAGAGCTTTTTATCACTTTGCCTGTCTTCTACATATCAAATTATGAGACTCCTGAATGTTAATTAGTTTGTGGCCCTCTGTGAGTAATAAATAAGCCTGGGTTTGCTAAGAATGTGCATCATTCACTTTGTAATGATTTAGAAGAGACACAACTCAGTTGTAGTTGGATATTAAAGTCAACTATGGAGTTTTAAAATTATTTCAATTTTTTAAGAATTAAGTTTCTTCTTTTTTCACTGTTTCCTGCAGGCACCTTAGTATCTATATACTTAATACAATTTTCACTTATTTCACATAAAATCTTTTTAATGAGAAGTCTATAGATAATAACTTTAATGGAAAGCTATAGATAATAACTTGCCATGACTGCCTTTTTATAAATAATTTCCAATACGAATTCAAGGCATTGCAAGGTTGCTTACTGGTGGATAATGTATTTAGGAATCACATGTGGTTGAGGAGAACTTGAGTGGTCATAAGGGTACAGAAACCTTTTGGAAAGGAAAGACCTTAAATCATGAGTTAAGAGTACTGCAGTAAGGACACTGCAAATACAATTTACTCAGCGATTAAAAATTACTGGGAAATTGAGTTGGCAGATCCTTGTAATTATGAGATACAACACACTTAAATGTTGTCCTTCATTGAATGATGGAGATGGCAGTTTAATGAGGGGTTGCTGTTTAGGAATGTCGCCCTCACTGGGCACAAACCACATTTAGCCAAGAGGCTTCTTCCATGTTTTGAGTGTGCATTTTCTTCCTCTCTTTGTTAATACGGTTTTGAGGATACTTGTATTTTTTTAATCATTGAAATGTACTGTTTCATAACCATACAATTCATCTTTGTTTGCCGTAGATGCAACCAAACAGCTTTCCGTGGCAGTCCCCTTTACCATGCAGCAATAGCCTCCCTGCAACGTGCACAACTGGCCAGAGTAAAGTGGCAGCCTGGTTACAGGACTCGGAAGAGATGGACAGGTGTGCAGAAGGTTAGTTCTTGCCCAGTGTGGCCTGAGAGTAAGCCAAAACCAAACAAGAAACAAAACCCGAAGAGGTCAATTATGAGTGCTACATCTTTTACCCTGATTGCCTTGATCGTCTTGACCTTTCCTTGCTCTTTCTCCCCCTTGTTCTTATTTTTATGCACCAGCTCCTTCTCTCTGCCATGACTCAGGCTCCTTACCTGCCAGTTCTCTTGCACCCTCACAGCAGTTGAATCTGGTTCTTGCCTTTCCCCTGACTTCTACCCACTTCAGCCTTCTCTCCTTGTCTTTTCACCATTTCCTTCTGGCTTCTTTAGCTCCTGGATCCTGGGGCAGTCACACAGAGGAGTAACCCCCAAGGAGAGCCTACTCTGCCCATGGTCCCAGAATCACTGCTCTGTCGTCCTCACTAGGTCACTTCCGCAGCTGCCTTCTCTTCTGCTCTGTCTTGCCCATGGAGCAGGTGTATGTTTCCTGACAACTCGGCAATAAATGGCAAAGTTGTAAAATGCTGCATCTTATATCCACAGTTACCTGTTAGTGTGCTCCACTGTGGATCAGTGATTCAATATTCTGAACCAATACCTGCTTCTCTCATACTGCCATCTCTGAGCCTCTTCATCTCTTCTTACCTTCACCTTCCTCGTAATTAGCCAGAGCACAATGGTTCAAACTTGATCTACAGACCATTTCCATTCTATGAGACAGTTTTCATTTGACCTTCAAAACCGAGAAAAACAAGGGCAATGCAGACACTGTTTAATACGGCTCAATTAGTTTATTTTTAGATGATCCTAAGATGATATTGGGCCTATTTTTTCAAATTATTTTTTCTTATAAAATTATAATAAAAGTAGATATTAGATCACTTTTTTGTGTTCTCACTTAAAAAAATTAAAATTTGGTAATCTATGTTAGTCCTCCAACCAAAAGAATTTTTTCTTACTCTACCAGCATGTGGACTCAAAGTATGCAGCATTTTTTGTCATTTTTATCAGCCTTCTGAGATACTCACATCCCAGACTTTATGTGAAAGTATGATTTCCTCTCTTTCTTATTGTAAATAATAGAAGTGACAAAGAATGATGTAGCATGGCCCAGGTGAAGGCTCTAGCAGGGTGATGAGACATAGCGCAGTAAGTATTTCTTAGAGACCATTTCTGGCTTTCATAGAACTTTCTCATCTACCATCTCAGTAAGCAGGTAGGAGAGCTAAATGCTACTATCACCATTTGACAGATAAGGAAACTACAACTGAAAAATCTAAATTGATGTCTCCTTACGCTTAGTTTTGAGTCCTTGGCCTTAAACTGAATTATTCACAAAGTTCTGTTTTCATTCTGTTAGAAAAAGGGTGATGGTTTTCAGCCCCAATTCCAGATTTCTATGCTTATATAGCACCATTTATATAGAACAATCACAAATATTAGGGAGTATGAATGTAATATTTCCTGGATAGAAAGCTCAAAATGAAATTTTTAGCAACTGACCACAAAAATAAGAAAAGTAACTCAGTATTCTCTTTTTTTTTTGAGACGGAGTCTTGCTCTATTGCATAGGCTGGAGTGCAATGGTGCTATCTCTGCTCACTGCAACCTCCGCCTCCCTGGTTCAAGAGATTCTTCTGCCTCAGCCTTCTGAGTAGCTGGGATTACAGGCACCCACCATCATGCCTGGCTAATTTTTGTAGAGATGGGGTTTCACCATATTGGCCAGGCTGGTCTTGAACTCCTGACCTCAGGTCATCCTCCCACCTCTGCCTCCCGACGTGCTGGGATTACAGGCATGAGCCACCGCACCCAGCCCAATATTCTTGACCGTGTTTAATTTCACATATTAAAGGTCAGTTTTTTTTTTAAAGAGTGATATTTTATTGTATAGATTTTTAAATATTCTCTTGTACTAAATAAACCAAAAAATTTAAAAGAAAACTAAATGTCATTTCTTCATTCTAAACGTTAATTCAGACAGAATGAGTTGATGTCCAGGTGATGATGATATTGCTGGACCAGCGAATGCACTTTGAAAATCTGATTTGGTTAATATAATGTCTCTAAGAAATTTTAAAGTCATTCATTTCAACATTGTTAGTGAGCTAAATTACAGAAAATATGTTTAACTGATTCTGTATTCCGTCCTATTTTTCTGAACTTGATTTTAACGCTACCCAAATTCCAGATAACCATCTTCTAAAGCATGTTAGAGGAGCAGGTAGACAAGCTCCTAACAATGAAACCACAGGACTGCTGAAGTTCACTTGAGTGTGCTTCCCATGTGGCAAAAGCTATCAGAGCAGAAAAGGGATCACATACAGTGTGACTGAGAGTTTCATGGTTTCTGCACTAATAGCTATTAACTTTTAAGAGTGAGCTTTGAAATATAATGAATGGTTTTTGGTTCTGCACCAGAAAAGGGTCTGTTTTGTTTCACCTGCCAGTATCTTCATCATATAAACATGGATCTGCCTACTTATATTTGCCATAATTTGCATTGACCCTTTTATTACCATCCCCACCGCTCCCTACCCAATTTTAACGTATTTTTATTTCTGATTTCTTATTAGATCTTGCACATTGCCAGTCAAACCTTGTGGAACTTAGCAAACTCCTGCAAAATTTGGAAATACTTCAGAGAACTCAGTCGGCACCTAACTTTACTGACATGCAGGTAAACATATTCCTGCTGCTGGTAAAAGGACTTAGGGTATTAATTAATACTCTTTATTGGGTTGTTCTATGAATATATAAGGTAACATTTAAAGATAAATAACTGCAATACAGACATTCATTTATATTCTGGAGTTATTTTTAATATTTTTGAATCTCAGTGTCAGTGTGTTAAGATGATTATTTTAAAACATTTTACATTTAAATACACACTAACCAAAAGAAATACATTCAGTATCTGAATTATTCTTCCATGTTTGTGTCCTATTAGAAATGGTAGCTTTGAAGATATGCTTTAGATACTCTCAGAATTATTATTGTCTTTTCATATAGAAATCAAAGCTAGAGATTTCTAATCCTGTATTCATTTTGTTTATCAGTAAAATATATTTTATAATTAAGTTCTTATCTCTGCTTTTTAATGCCCACTATTCGTCTAATATGCCTTTCTGTCCTGGCTGGTTTGCTTATAGGCTCTAACAATGACCTTTAGTAACTTGCTGTGCTCTTGTCTATATCTGTATCATCTGTGTGAACTTAATAATACTTTGTTGCTTTTAACTATTTGTGTAATGTAGGCTAACTGTGTAGATATTTCAAAGAAAGACAAGCGGGTCACAAGACGATGGAGAACAAAAAGTGTCAGCAAAGATACAAAAATACAACTGCAGGTACAGATTTTACTTTTCCTTCATTCACGTTTCTACATATTTTTAAAGTACTAGTCTTTATACATCAGTTTATGGGCGTTAGATTGAAAGGGCAACTTAACTGCTTTAAAGCCAGCACTTTTCAAACTGTTACATTATCTAAAATAGTGGAAAATCTCTATATTTTTCTTACTCTGGCATAAGTGAGAAGGATTTAAAAGAAAGGTTAAAATTATGCGATATGTGTTCAAAATGGCATTTTTATTCACAATTATAGCCTTTGAACCATTAAAATATATTTTAACAAAAAGTTACCTTAAAAATCTAGATTAAAAATCTAGTGGGTTATAATGAACACTCATTTAAAAATACTAGATTTTAAAAGGGACTTTTATGTGTCAGCTTTGTCCAAATGTTTTCTATCAAGAAAAAGTGTAGGAGGTTCAATAGATTAGAAATCAGCAAACCCAGATTCTAGTCTAATCACTGTGATTTTCTGGCAGTATAATTTCGTACATTTCTGTTAAATTTCCTGAGCTTTTGTTTGCTCCTGGGTAAAGTAATAGAGTTTATTTAATAAGCTCTGAATTATCTTTCAACTCTAAAATTCTATGATCCTACAAAAATAAATATTATTTGGCTTTCAACAATCACCTTAAAATCTGAACTAAATTCTTAATAGCTTGTAATAAATGTACTTGAAATTTATTTGAAATAAATTATGTATTTGAAATGAGTAATGTTCTTAAAGTAAGATCCTTTTATATTATTGTGTTGCAGTGATTCAAAATATGGTAGATTATGTCATAAACCATATTACTTTCAGATCTTTAAACTAGAATCTCCATTATTCTCCTCCTAAATGCATATTATACATGGCCCTTATCCTGCACAATCAAGATTAGACTTTATGATTTGACTTTTTAAAATTATACTACAAATAAATTTATATTCTAATACAAAGGTAGAAAGAAGTACTTTTCAGAATTCTTCAGTCCCTTCTGAATAATTAACAAAATAATTCTTCTCTAATTTTGACTTCATTAATAACATTCTTCATATTACGATTCTGACTGTGTAAATAACAAACTTGCTTTGCTTGCTAATCTGATATATTTGAAAATAAATTTTCATAAGCACTAATACCCATGGTTTTTTTTTATTAGAATGTCTACATTCAATAAACACAACTTTTTGTGTTCCTTTGCTCAGTATGTTTCTGTGTGTTTTCCCTTCTGTTCATAAAATTAATATTGTAGGGACAGATGTGCCGAGTGATTTCACAAGAAAATTACTTAAAATTGCTTTTGGCAGTTTTATTGTTTTTGAACTTGTGAGTGTCTAGTTTTGTTTGTAAGTAAAAGAATCATTCCTCTAAATAAAATAATTGAAGAAGGCCTGCATCACAAGAAAGAACACATACACTTGTTAATAGATATTGTTTTAATCTTGTGTCTGTAGTGTATGCTATTGACCACATTCTTGTTCAGAGCTGTTGTCTTGGATAGGTTGGTTCTCAGTGAGTTGTAGTTCAATGTCCCAGCTACCTTGCTGCATCTAGGAGCTCCACTAGAGACCCCCAAATCATTCTTTTTTTTTTTTTTTTTTCTGAAGGACACAGAATGCAACTGGGACTATACCACCTAGCCTCTCAGCCTGTGGTTTTACATAGACAGAAAAGTTATGAAGATTTTTTTGAGTCATCAGGAGAAAATGTCCAAAAAGCTAGAAAATATTCATTCATACTTCCGCCACATCTTTGGGTGGTTCATTTGTTTTTAAATTTTTATTTATGCTATTTCACCTTGTTTGTGACTTTGCTAAGGGTAATAAAATGGCCTTTGTAATTCTAGTTTAGTTACTTTTGAGGGAAATTGAAATCATCTCATCCCTCAAAGACACTCAAAGACAACTGCCTATTGGAAGTGGGAGATTTAGTTCCAATTCCAAGAAGAAACAAATAGACAGTAAGCTGTTAATCATTCCCAGAGAAACTCCACTTCCACCTGGACTAAAACAAAAGGTATTTTAAGGGGAACACAGCAGAGCTTGGTCCTATCTGTGGACCTTTTCTGCTTGCCCAAACCAACAGGTCTTGCAGGAGCCTCAGGATACTCATTCTCTACTACTGGGAAGTTCCTCCAAGATCCTTCAAAATTCACACTTGGCTAGGGAATCATAAGTTCATCTAGGATGAGTATGACAACATGAAAATCTTTACTCAGTATTTTGCCTAGAGAGAGGCATAGCATCTAATTTTACTCTAGTGGATTAAAGATACCCACCACTTTCTCCTACCTCATACCCAGCTTTTTCCCCTCCTGTTTTAAATGTTTTGATCATGAGAATTCTATCTAATGAGTCCAAGTATTTGTTTTGAGTCAATGATCATCTCACCACTCAAACCACTTTCGCTGATGTTGCAGCCAATATGAGAGGCTCTCAAGCAGTGAGAGCTCATTTTCTGTCCCCACTCTTCTTCGTAACTAAGTACAACAGCCATTGTGAAGGTGCCCAGACCATTCAGTGGTGGTGGTTGTGGTATTGTTGCTGCTGTTGTTGTTATCAATGTTGTGTTACTGAACTTTGTATTCAGTATTCCATAGTAGTTGTCATTTTGAAAAAATTTTAAATAGATCATTAAAAAAATTGACCGCAAGAAAGTAAAAATGAAAAACATGTTATACTGGATGTTTGATTGCTTATTCTTGTGTAGGTTAGATTGTGCTATTGATTAAATGAGAAGGTTAAATTCTAGACTGGTATGGCCATGTTTCTACTGGAAACTATTGGGCAGTTGGCCTCAGAAATCCACATTGTATAACTCATGAAGTCAGCATTTGTCCTAGAGGGTTCTGTGGAGATTACCTTTTAGAATAAGGATTTCTTCTTGCCTCCTAAACTTCAAACTTCCTGGTTCGAATAAAAATCTCAGTACCATTATGCAGTAACAATTTGGCTGTGTTTTAAATGAAGTAAGAGGAAGGCAAGAAGGAAATGATTTTGAAAGAGCGGTTAGATCTCCTGTGTTGCTGATCATATGAATTAAATACTAGATCCCTGGATGTTGAAGGGAATGAGGAATAGTAGAAAGTACATAGTAGCAGACAGATGATCTTATGTTGCTCCTGTGTAGCTGTCCTGCATCTCATAGATGCTCAAATTACACTGAAGGGTGAGAATAAGTTCTTCCCCCTTTTACTACATTAAGTAGAAAGGATTTTGTCTAGAAATTTTTTTTTGTGGAAAACAGATTATGTGTGTATGTATGTATGACAAACATATACATATATGTATGCAGAAGACTTATGAAGATGGAAAATAAATAAGATCGTAATTTTGGAACTTTTTTGAAGATTTAGAGGTAGAAAAAGTTTAAATATTTTTCTGACATCCCAAAAAAAACTAAAGTGGTCCTACTGGTTCTTCAGTTTGGGCTGTTAGGAGATTCTAAGAAAGTATATCTTAATTATTTGGAAATGAAATTATTGCTCATGGCTGGGCAAGGTGGCTCATGCCTGTAATCCCAGCATGTCAGGAAGCCAAGGTGGGAGGGTCGCTTGAGGCCAGAAGTTCAAGGCTGCAATGAGCTATGATCGTGCCACAACACTCCAGCCTGGGCAACAGAGTGAGACCCTATCTCAAAAAAGAAAAAAAAAAGTATTGCTCACAACCTTGAGGTGTCAGGGTCTGTCAGATGGAGGCAAAGTTGAATGGTTAGAAGGAAATATCATCATCCCTTAATCCCATCCACCAAGAAGAAGAAAACAAAATGAAAGAAAGCTGTAGGATTCTTCTACCGGTTTGTGCATAGGTGCACATTACTAAATGAAAACTATGCTTTCAGGTTTTCATAGTTGATTTTTATAGGCATTGTCCTCACCCACTGAGGAACTTAAGTTTTCTTTTCTGATCTTATGGGGTCTGGCATCTTCCTTGGAAAATTCTTAGACTTGAAAATCCCAGCACTCTTACTGATGTTGAGTCCCAGATAGTGAGCTGTATAATAGGAGATTAAGTAGGAAGTCGAAGAACCCTCATACCCTTCCCTTACTTTTTTTCTTCCAGTAAGAAATTAAAAAAACAAAAAAAATTCTGTCTGGCCATTATGAGGCTCTCATTACAACCTGTTCATTTTAGCCTTCCCACATTATTTCATCAGTTTTTCCTGAACTTACTTTTTCCTTGCTACCGTTTATTGAATACCTTTTGACTTCATATAACATGATATCATATGAATAAAACAGTATGCATATTTATTTTACCTTAAAATCGCAGGCTGTCCATCAGTTTATAACTCCATCTCCTTTTGGGGTGTGGGTTATAGTCAGCAAATAGAATTCAGATGTTTGAGTAATGAGAATGATGAACATTTCTCATAGCATGAACTCCCCTGTGAGCGCTTTTCGATGCTGATTTAAGAAAAGTCGACTTCAGTTAAAAACTCTCCCTCTCCTTGTCTGATTATCTTTCATCCTCCCATCTTCCATCCTTTCCTCCCCCGTCCTGTGTTTCCTCCCCTCTTCTCCCATTCACCGTCAGGAAGGGCCACCCGCGAAGGGCCAGTTCAGCACAACTCGGCGCCGGCAGAGGCTAGCGGCAGCAGTGGCTACAACAGTGAGTGGATTTCAATCTCAAGTGGAAGTTTAATAAGAATGAGAACCTGTGTACAAGGATGACTCCCCTGTCCTGATGGTGCCACTGGTGTGTGATGGCATCACCTGTAGCCCAATCATGGCAGCATAGCTTTCACATGTTCTCTGGCTGTCTTTGCATGGCAGGAGTCGAACACGGGTATTCCTTTTTACAATGGAGAACTATTATATAATCTAGTTCTTCTACTATACATGAAGACATAATTTAAGTCAAATTTGCAAAATTGAGTACAGTGCCCCATGATGTGAGCTTTCCTTAAATTATATTGTTTTTTTTTCTTTTTGACCATACTGATATTGGAACTTTTGCTAACTGATTTCTCTTTTCCTAAGAAAAGTCATGTTACTACAGGCATAAATTGTGCTTTTTTTTGTAGCAGTGTGACTATTTGAAAAGGATGTGAGAATAAAGAAATGAGAGGGTAAGAAAAGGTGAATTTTGCTGTCATCTCTAAATGGCTACCCAAGTTACACTTAGCAAGGGAAAATTGTTTTCTGAAAAGAATATTGACATGAAAATTAGAAACTGTAGTGTGGAAATGACAAAAAAAAGACAGTTTTATGGTATTTAAATCCATATCTAGAGGTTTTTTTTTCTGAGAGAAAATAGAATGGATTTAAGGAGAGTAGAGAACATATCGAGGTAGATAAGGCAAATGGATAGTGAGTGACTTGTCTACAGAATATAAAATAGACTATCAAAACACAAGAACTCCTTGCTGGATAAAAGCCAATTATAATATTTGTTTAATCATGAGCACCTATGAACATCTTAAAATATAGATTACTGAGTTCACAGCAATCATAGATTTTAGTTTTTTGGCTATTAGATAATATTTCCTTAATTAACAGCAGTCTTGCTGTCACTAAGGGTGGAATGTATTTTAAGACTAGAATTGCTGAAAAAATATGAAAAAGTTTTGGCTGCATTGCAGGAGAATGGATGCTGGTATGAGGATGGGTGGCTTTCTACTTTATGATTAGTAATTGGCTCTTGCCTTATATGTGGGTGTTTAGCTAGACTGAGAAACAAATTTGCTTTTGATTATGAAATGAACCAGTGACTTGGAATTTATTAGGGAAATGACTCTTAAACTCACAGTTTTGTAAACATTTGAACAAACAAATTATTGAAATAGCTTTCATGGTCCATGTATATCTTATGCATGTATTCAAATGCAGATGAATAAATCCCATGACACTGATGTGGTAACAGATTCTGACAATAGATGCATATATAATCAGTTAAGTATTATTAAAGGTAATTTTCCATTTATAAAATTAAGAAATACACATGGTTATTAGAGAGAGAACAACAACTTAGTATGGAAAGGAACAGTCCATCATTTTATGAAAACACTGTTTTCTTAAGCAATATACATCTAAGATGGCATGCAGAGAAGTGATTCTGTCTCTTCTGTGTTCATTCTTTTAAATTGCAGATACATACAGTGAATATAATAAAACTGAGATTAGCACCTATTTGAATAGAATGGGTTTATATTTTTAAAATTGAGAGTAGAAGAGAAAAAGCCTTTAAAAGAAGAAATCATTAATGCCCACCTCCCAGGGTGACTATAGAAGTTACGAGAAAAACTTTGCAGCATGTAGTAAGAAAAGCTACTGGCAACATTTAATAAGGTATTCAGGAATAACTAGGGGGACTGGCTACTCCAGGATCTATAGCTTTGTCTCCATACCAAAATGCAGCAACATCTAGCAGATGTTTCAGAAATTTGCTCTTGATGACTCTTAGCACTAGCATTCAGAACAGCCAACTCACAGCAGCAGCCAGACCCAACAGAACAGGAGACTGGAAAAAGATAAATACTGGCTCTTTCCCATGGAAGAACACTGAGGATCCCAATGCAGTCAGTACCCTCAAAGAATCCCTGTACACATAGTGCAGAACAGCAACAGCAGGAGACTTTTCCCACTGGCTCGATGAGTCCTGTAAGCATAGTATCTACCTTAGACCTACTGTGTAGACTTTCATGTCTACCGTTGCTGAATTTCACTGTCAGCAACTCCATTGTCAATTCATTTCACTTTTGACTTATTCATGGACAGGACTTAAGAGCATCTCCTAATGTCCCCATTCCAAACTTCAGTTCTTACTACCAGAATATTCTACGATCAGGCTTCCCTCCTTTCACAGGACTTCAAGAAAGCCTTGGATTTCTTTCCTGCGCAGGGTAGAAAGGCCCAAATTGAGTGTTGAGGGTTCTCAGGTATCAACATGGAGAGCTGTAGGCAGCTCCCACTCCAACCATCACTGACAGAGAAACCAGTTACCACTTAGATTTTTGAATCCTATAATACCCAAATTGATGAATAAAAAGCTAAGTAAATAAGTCCCCAGTCTGAACAGATATTCAATTAGGGTTAGATTAATACATCCCAATTTGTATTCTCAATTTCATTTCATGAATTCCTCAATTAAAATGGCCCATTCCACGTACCTCTTTTAACAAAAAAAAGTATACCAATATATAAACATTTTCAGTCAGAAGTATGTGAAAATTAGTTCTCAATTCCCAGGGAACCATCTGATTGCAATTTGAATGGAACATTCAAGTCTCTTTCCCTGTGGGTAATATGCAAAACCACTTTTACTGTTTTAATAGCCAATTTAAGTTTCCATTGTGTTCAAAATATAAATTTGTAACTTACGTTTTTCTTCTCAGCATCTGACTCCAACATTTAATAGAGAAATAATAATTTATCTCAGGGACAAGTCTGGGTCCTTCCTGGACTCCCTGGGTTTTCACTGCATAATGGCCTCCTATACAAGCTTCCCGCCAACTCTCATGACCCCATTCCTCACCCGCTAGAGGAAGAGACTCCTCTTCCAAGCCATGTGAGTCCTCAGAGTGTTGAGGGCACCTGAATGCAGATAAAATCCTTTTCCATGATCCTCAACATATTACCAAAGACCCGCATTTATTTTTTTTAATGTTGTTCTAGTTCCTTATATCAGAAAACTGTACCATTAATTCTGAAAACTCCCAGATCTACCTATTTTTTCCACTCACAGTCTCTCCCCATGACATCCTAATCTCCAGCAACTTTTCCATGGAGTCTGTGTCCCTCAATGGGCTGACTGCTCTTTCTAGATTGAGCATCACCACAGTTAGGGTCTGAACTTCCTTTCTCTGTCTTCTGACATTCTGCCACATAAATACCATTCCTTTGTAAGTATCCTAAAAGGTCCTCAGTCCTTGTTATTATTAAGTTACCTGGACAGGATTCCAGCAGAGTATTGAACCCCAGCACTCCATTTTCTTAAATGGCTTATTGGCCACTTCTGGGTCTCAAATCTAGAATAGCCAGAAATTTTCAGCCTGATAATATTGATAAACAAGCTGTTTAACAATCATCTCCCAGCCCAGTGTAGCCAAGTTCTCCAAAGAAGATGAGGTAGGGTTCCTTTGATAACTCCAGATACCAAATGATTCAAATAACATATATTAGCATGCTTAGCTTAGCTGAATTTTGGGGAGGGGAAAGCTTCATGCTCACTTTCTTCCCCAGTAAGTCCTGGATATCTTTTAAGAGAAATAAATCCCTGCCAGGACAATGCTGCATCAGAAGGACGCTCTGTCTCAACTGCCCTTAACCTGCAGCTCAGGCCAGATATTTTGATTCTTTCCATCTCTTCCATGTGTCCTCTAAATCCTTGGAGAAAAAGTGCCCTCTTCTCCTTCCCCCTTTCTCTCACCAAATAGGAAGTTTAAAGCAAAAACCAAAAAATTAAAAAAGAAGAGGTCCTGACATACATATCCATCAGAAGGTAATGGTTCCTTCCTCCCACAGCACATTCCCTGTTAGCCAGGGGGTGTGAATTATCCTGTCAGTTACACAAAATTTCAACTTGTGGTGGAGTCTAAGAGTCTGGTTCTTGAAGATAATTGAATGCACGTCTTTGCAGTAAGAAATAGGGAAAAGTTGTTTGTGATCTGATTTGCAGGAAGAATTGGTATTTTCCTTTTCCAGGAATGTTTGGCTGACATTTGTAATGTTCAGGTAAAGCCTTCTTAAAGGGGAGGAAAAGGTGCTTTGCCTCCACCAATCAGGAACCTAGTCCATATCCAGCCTGGGCAAGGAAGTACCTCTAGCCATGTGGAAAAATCTATAGTAATATGACTTTTTCTACTTACTGCTTCTCAGTATTGGCTGGTTCATGAGCCATGTGCATATATGTAATAGAGTTGTGTGTAACATACAAAGGTAAACCACAGAGATTTATATCATATATATTTCATTTACTAATATAGATTTTAATAAGTCAGTTTCCAAAATAAGTATGAGTCTCTTTAAGCCATTACTGTATTTCCTGTTAAGCCTGATTTGTTTTTTATTTAATGGCTACAGAGTAAGTGAATCTTCCAGTATATGCATCTCTTGAATTTTCACAGGTTTAGTAAGATCCTGCTCCAGGATCAGATAGTCCAGACTGTAAGAGAAGGTCAGCTACATCACAGTTCAGACTGCTGTTTTTCTGCCAGTTATTTTTGAGGTGCAAGTATGAGTTCAGAGTTTAAGCTTGCTTGGGATTATGTCTTTTCTTCCTGTCATTCTATAGTTATTTCTCTCTGTAGCAGTGAAAAATTGGTGAGTCTGTGGCAGTTCTAAATCAACAATGGAAAATGAGACTCCCTCTTCCTACCCCAACTGCCTGCAAAATAAATGAGTACTGAGTGTCTCCAAGTGTGTTATCAGAGAGGAATCTATTATTTTGAAGAACGGGAGAGGTCTTTTCTATGTAGGAGAATGTGAAACAATGCACTGTTGCTGTTTAATAATTTGTATCTTCCCCTTTCAGGTTCCTTTCAGTGCTACCATGTCACCAGTTCGCTTGCATTCCTCCAACCCCAACCTTTGTGCAGATATTGAATTTCAGACTCCCCCTAGCCACCTCACTGACCCTCTGGAAAGTTCAACAGATTATACAAAGCTGCAAGAAGAATTTTGTCTAATCGCACAGAAAGGTAAGAACAAAAATAATGCGCCCTTTAAAGAAGCTCTCTTCTTTGATGAAAGATTATCCTTTGTTCTTTTATCTTTGTCTTTGTGGTAATGATAGAAAGATTAAATGGTTGGATATAGTGGTTGAAGTTCTATATACAAAAATGCAACAGGACATGATGCTTGCCTGTTGGAAGATCACACATCACAGGTTTACAGTTTTGACTAAAGAAAGAAAGTGCCATGGGGTTGGGGATAAAAAGTTATTGTACGCAATCTGGCAAGATACTACTACTCAACATTTTTTTCAATGTCTCTCGGTTATCATTTAATACGTATTTATTGGTTCTCTTTAGATTCTGTTTATTTCTTTTTTTATTAAATAACACTCATGTATTGGACTTTACAATTTGTGGGTCGGGAATTCAGGCAGGGCTCAGCTAAGCAGCAAAGCCTCTGTGCCAGATGTCTTTGACTAGCCCCAGTCACTGGGATTCGGCTGCAGGCTGAGCTGGGCTGAAAGACGCAAGGTAGCTTCCCTCCTGTGCCTAGCACGTTGGCACGACAGCTGGAAGGCTGCACACAACTGTGCCGCCTTCCTCTCCATGGCAGCTTAGGGTTCCAAGAGCCTGGTAGTGGAAGCTGCACGTCCTCTTCAAGGCCAGCTCTGGAACTGGTGCAGCCTTCTACTTCCATTGTATTCTATTGGTCAAAGCACCATAGGCCAGCTCAGATTTGAGGGGAAATTGATCCCACATTTGAGCCTCTTCTTTATGTTAAATTTTCAGTGAGGCTTGTTGTATAAATTAAATTGTTATAATCAGCCGCAGAGAGTAGGCTATGGTAAATAAGCAGGATAGTGGAGAGTAGATGGACTGAGCAGTCCTGTCAATGTTTAACAAGAAGAGTCTAGGCTCCCTATACTGCCAGAGTATTGAACTTTCAGCCACTCAAGTTTGTTCTTAAGATAGTATCTTCTCAGGCGTTGTCTTTTAAAATCTTCTAGAGAGAGATAAACATTGTATTGCTTTTCGTCACAAATATGTTAAATAGAACACCTCAGGTGCCTCCCTGAGACTCAACAGCCTGGTGGAAAAGAAGGGGGCACACTGAAGATCTCTCTGGAAATGTTGAATCAGCCAACATTTGCAATCTCAAACCATCCGCAAAAATATGCTGTCAGATTTCATTAATTCTATGATTCTAAAAACAATTAAGCTAAACCCCTTAGATTTCTCAATTGAGACTCTTCTGTAAGGCCAGCTCTCTCTTACCTGCCATTTTACTCCTGGTGTATGTTCATTGCATTTCTTAGCTGGATATTAATTATGATATTAGACTAGAGCAATATTAATTTGTTTATGTAACAGCATAGATTTATAGCCAGTAACTTCTACTTTGGGGAAGGAGGTGCAAAAGGTAGAGTGTGACCACAGATGTGTGAGTTGAATATATGAGTATGGCACAGCTGCTAAGGGGAGATGGTACTTTGGAAGGCAGCCCCAGGAAAACTTTGTGTATTTGGTTGCAATTCTGAAGCTTCCAGGAAATCCAAGCATCAACAGAGTTTTAAGGCTTCTGTTGAATGATACATCACATTAACCAACTGAAAGACAAAAACCACATAATCATGTCATTTGCAGCAAAAGCATTTGTCAAAGTTCAATACTCTTTCTTGATAAAAAAAACACTCTTAATGGTTTAGGTATAGAAGGAAAGTTTCTCAATATATTATAATAAAGGTCCTTTATTAAAAACACACAGCTAACATCACTTAGTGGGGAGAAATGGAAAGCTTTTCCTCTAAGATCTGGTACAAGGCAAGGTGGCCCACTCCTCCTGCTTCTGTTCAACATGGTACTGGAAGTACTATCAAGAGCAATTAGACAACAAAAAGAAATAAAAGGTATCCAAATAAGAAAGGAAGAAGTAAAATGATCTCTATTTGCAAATGACATGATCCTATGTGTAGAAAACCCAAAAGATGCCACCAAGAAACTGTTAGAGCTAATGAATGAATTCATTAAAGTTGCAGGATATACAATGAACATACAAAACCCTGTTATTCTATACACGAATAACAACATAGCTAAAAAAGAAATCAAGATCTATCCTATTTATGATAAAATAAAATACTTAGGAATAAACTTAAGCAAGGAGTTGAAAGACCTGTACACTGAGAACTATAAAAAAAATTGGTGAAAGAAATTAAAGAGGACACAAATAAATGAAAGATATTCCATACTCATGGATCAAAAAGTTATGTTGTTAGAGTGTTCATACTTGCAGCCATAAAAAAAGAACAAGATCACGTGTTTTGCATGAACATGGATGGAGCTAGAGGTTATTATCCTCAGCAAACTGACGCAGGAACAGAAAACCAAATACCACGTGTTCTCACTACAAGTGGGGGCTAAATGATAACAACTTATGAACACAAAGAAGGAAACAACAAACACTGGAGCCTATTTGAGGGTGGAGGGTGGGAGGAGGGAGAGGAACAGAGAAGATAATTATTGGGTACTGGGCTTAATACCTGAGTGATGAAATAATCTGTACAATGAACCTCCATGACACATGTTTGCCTATGTAACAAACCTTCACATATTACCCCCAAACCTAAAATAACAGCTAAAAAAGGCTCATACTACCTAAAGAAATATACAGATTCAATATAATTCTTATCAAAATGCTAATGGCACTCTTCCAAGATATAGGAAAAACAATAATAAAATTTACATGGGCACTCCATTCCAAGATGGCAGAATAGGAACAGCTCCATTCTGCAGCTCCCAGTGTGATCAATGCAGAAGATGGGTGATTTCTGCATTTCCAACTGAGGTACGTGGTTCATCTCATTGGGACTGGTTAGACAGTGGGTGCAGCCCACAGAGGGTGGGCCAAAGCAGGGCAGGGCGTTACCTCTCCCAGGAAGCATGAGGGGTCAGGGGATTTCCATTTCCTAACCGAGGGAAGCCATGACAGACTGTACCTGGAAAAACGGGACACTTCCACCCAAATACTGCACTTTTCCCAAGGTCTTAGCAACCAGCAGACAAGGAGATTCTCTCCTGTGCCTGGCTTGGTGGGTCCTATGCCCATGGAGCCTTGCTTACTGCTAGGACGGCAGTCTGAGATCGAACTGCGAGGCGGCAGACTGGCTGGGGGAGGGGCATCCACCATTGCTGAGGCTCAAGTAGGTAAACAAAGCAGTCAGGAAGCTCGAACTGGGCAGAGCCCACTGCAGCTCAGTAAGGCCTATTGCCTCTATAGACTCCACCTCTGTGGTCAGGGCATAGTTGAAAAAAAGGCAGCAGACAACTTCTGCAGACTTAAACGTCCCTGTCTGATAGCTCTGAAGAGAGCAGTGGTTCTCCCAGCATGGCATCTGAGCTTTGAGAACGGACAGAATGCCTCCTCACATGGGTCCCTGACCCCCATGTAGCCTAACTGGGAGACACCTCCCAGTAAGGGCCAACAGACACATCATATAGGTGGGTGCCTCTCTGAGACGAAGCTTCCAGAGGAAGGATCAGGCAGCAATATTTGCTGTTCTGCAGCCTCCACTGTTGATACCCAGTCAAATGGTCAGAAGTGGACCTCCAGCAAACTCCAACAGACCTGCAGCTGAAGAACTTGACTGTTAGAAGGAAAACTAACAAACAGAAAGGAATAGCATCAATATCAACAAAAAGGTCATCTACACCAAAACCCCATTTGTAGGTCACCAACATCAAAGACCAAAGGTAGATAAAACCACAAAGATGGGGAGAAACCAGAGCAGAAAAGCTGAAAATTCTAAAAACCAGAGCACCTCTTCTCCTCTAAAGGATCACAGCTCCTTGCCAGCAATGGAACAAAGCTGGATGGAGAATGACTTTGATGAGTTGGCATAAGTAGGCTTCAGAAGGTCAGTAATAACAAACTTCTCCGAGTTAAAGGAGCATGTTCTAACCCATCACAAGGAAGCTAAAAACCTTGAAAAAAGGTTAGACGAATGGCTATCTAGAATAAATAGTGTGGAGAGGACCTTAAATGACCTGATGGAGCTGAAAACCATGGCACAAGAACTTTGTGATGCATGCCCAAGCTTCAGTAGCTGATTCGATCAAGTGGAAGAAAGGGTATCAGTGATTGAATATCAAATTAATGAAATAAAACAAGAAGACAAGGTTAGAGAAAAAAGAGTGAAAAGAAATGAACAAAGCCTCCAAGAAGTATGGGACTATGTGAAAAGACCAAATCTACATTTGATAGGTTTACCTAAAAGTGATGGGGTAATTGAACCAAGTTGGAAAACACTCTTCAGGATATTATCCAGAACTTCCCCAACCTAGCAAGACAGGCCAACATCGAGATTCAGGAAATACAGAAAATGCCACAAAGATACTCCTCAACAAGAGCAACCCCAAGGCAAATAATTGTCAGATTCACCAAAGTTGAAATGAAGGAAAAAATATTAAGGGCAGCCCAAGAGAAAGGTCGGGTTACCCACAAAGGGAAGCCCATCAGGCTAACAGTGGATCTCTCAGCAGAAAGCCTATAAGCCAGAAGACAGTGAAGGCCAATATTCAAGATTCTTAAAGAATTTTCAACCCAGAATTTCATATCCAGCCAAACTAAGCTTCATAAGAAAGAGAAATAAAATCCTTTACAGACAAGCAAATGCTGGGAGATTTTGTCAACACCAGGCCTGCCTTACATGAGCTCCTGAAGGAAGCACTAAACATGGAAAGAAACAACTGGTACCAGCCACTGCGAAAACATGCCAAATTGTAAAGACCATTGATGCTATGAAGAAACTGCGTCAGTTAACAGGCAAAATCACCAGCTAACATCATAATGACAGGATCAAATTCACACATAAGAATATTAACTTTAAACGTAAATGGGCTAAATGCCCCAATTAAAAGACACAGACTGGCAAATTGGATAAAGAGTCAAGACCCATCAGTGTGCTGTATTCAGGAGACTCATCTCAAGTGCAGAGGCACACATAGGCTCAAAATAAAGGGATGGAGGAAGATCTACCAAGCAAATGGAAAGCAAAAAAAAAGCAGGGGTTGCAATCCTAGTCTCTGATAAAACAGACTTTAAGCCAACGAAGATCAAAAGAGACAAAGAAGGCCATTACATAATGGTAAAGTGATCAATTCAACAAAAAGAGCTAACTATCCTAAATATATATACACCCAATACAGGAGCACCCAGGTTCACAAGGCAAGTCCTTGGAGACCTACAAGGAGATTTAGACTCCCACACAATAATAATGGGAGACTTAACACCCCACTGTCAATATTAGACAGATCAAAGAGACAGAAGGTTAACAAGGATATCCAGGACTTGAACTCAGCTCTGCACCAAGCAGACCTAATAGACATCTACAGAACTCTCCACCACAAATCAATGGAATATATATTCTTCTCAGCACCACATCACACTTATTCTAAAATTGACCACATAATTGGAAGTAAAGCACTCCTCAGCAAATGTAAAAAACAGAAATCACAGCAAACTGTCTCTCAGACCACAATGCAATCAAATTAGAACTCAGGATTAAGAAACTCACTCAAAACCGCACAACTACATGGAAACTGAACAACCTGCTTCTGAATGACTACTGGGTAATTAACGAAATGAAGGCAGAAATAAAGATGTTCTTTGAAACCAATGAGAACAAAGACACAACTTACCAGAATCTCTGGGACACATTTAAAGCAGTATGTAGAGGGAAATTTATAGCACTAAATGCCCACAAGAGAAAGCAGGAAGATCCAAAAACCAACACCCTAACATCACAATTAAAAGAACTAGAGAAGCAAGAGCAAACAAATTCAAAAACTAGCAGAAGGCACGAAATAACTAAGAGCAGTGCAGAACTGAAAGAGATAGAGACACAAAAAAACCCTTCAAAAAATTAATGAATCCAGGAGCTGGTTTTTTGAAAAGATCAACAAAATTGATAGACTGCTAGCAAGACTAATAAATTAGAAAAGAGAGAAGAGTCAAATAGATGCAATAAAAAATGATAAAGGGGATATCACCACCAAACCCACAGAAATACAAACTGCCATCAGAGAATACTATAAACACTTCTACGCAAATAAACTAGAAAATCTACAAGAAATTGATAAATTCCTGGATGCATACATCCTCCCAAGACAAACCAGGAAGAAGTTGAATCTCTGAATAGACCAATACCAGGCTCTGAAATTGAAGCAATAATTAATAGCCTACCAACCAAAAAAAGTACAGGACCAGATGGATTCATAGCCAAATTCTACCAGAGGTACAAAGAGGAGCTGGTACCATTCCTTCTGAAAATATCCCAATCAAAAGAAAAAGATGGAATCCTCCCTAACTCATTTTATGAGGCCAGCATCATCCTGATACCAAAGCCTGGCAGAGACACAACAAAAAAAGAGAATTTTAGACCAATATCCCTGATGAACATCAGTGCAAAAATCCTCAATAAAATACTGGCAAACCGAATCCAGTAGCACATCAAAAAGCTTATCCACCACGATCAAGTCAGCTTCATCCCTGGGATGCAAGGCTGGTTCAACATATGCAAATCAATAAACGTAATCCATCACATAAACAGAATCAATGACAAAAACCACATGATTATCTCAATAGATGCAGAAAAGGCCTTTGACAAAATTCTACAGCCCTTCATGCTAAAAACTCTCAATAAACTAGGTATTGATGGAACATATCTCAAAATAATAAGATCTATTTATGACAAATTCACAGCCAATATCATACTGAATGGGCAAAAACTGGAAGCATTCCCTTTGAAAACCAGCACAAGACACAGATGCCATCTGTCACCACTCCTATTCAACATAGTGTTGGAAGTTCTGGCCAGGGCAATCAGGCAAGAGAAAGAAATAAAGGGTATTCAATTAGGAAAAGAGGAAGTCAAATTGTCCCTGTTTGCAGATGACATGATTGTATATTTAGAAAACCCCATTGCCGCCACCCCAAATCTCCTTAAGCTGATAAGCAACTTCAGCAAAATCTCAGGATACAAAATCAATGTGCAAAAATCACAAGCATTCCTATACACCAATAACAGACAAACAGAGAGCCAAATCATGAGTGAACTCCCATTCACAATTGCTTCAAAGAGAATAAAATACCTAGGAATCCAACTTACAAGGGATGTGAAGGACCTCTTCAAAGAGAACTACACACCACTGCACAATGAAATGAAAGAAGACACAAACAAATGGAAGAACATTCCATGCTCATAGATAGGAAGAATCAATATTGTGAAAATGGCTATACTGCCCAAGGTAATTTATAGATTCAGTGCCATCCCCATCAAGCTACCAATGACTTTCTTCACAGAATTGGAAAAAGCTACTTTAAAGTTCATGTGGAAACAAAAAAGAGCCTACATTGCCAAGACAATCTTAAGCAAAAAGAACAAAGCTGGAGGCATCACGCTACCTGATTTCAAACTATACTACAAGGCTACAGTAACCAAAACAGCATGGTACTAGTACCAAAACAGATACATAGACCAATGGAACAGAACAGAGGCCTCAGAAACAACACCACACATCTACAACCATCTGATCTTTGACAAACCTGACAAAAACAAGCAATGGAGAAAGGATTCCCTATTTAATAAATGGTGCTGGGAAAACTGGCTAGCCATATGTAGAAAGCTGAAACTGGACCCTTCCTTACACCTTATACAAAAATTAATTCAAGATGGATTAAAGACTTAAACGTTAGACCTAAAACTGTAAAAACTCTAGAAGAAAACCTTAGCAATACTATTCAGGACATAGGCATGGGCAAGGACTTCATGACTAAAACACTAAAAGCAATGGCAACAAAAGCCAAAATAGACAAATGGGATCTAATGAAACTAAAGAGCTTCTGCACAGCGAAAGAAACTACCATCAGAATGAACAGGCAACCTACAGAATGGGAGAAGATTTTTGCAATCTACCCATCTGACAAAGGGCTAGTATTCAGAATCTACGAAGAACTCAAACAAATTTAGAAGCAAAAACAATCCCATCAAAAAGTGGGCAAAGGATATGAACAGACACTTCTCAAAAGAAGACATTTATGCAGCCAACAGACACATGAAAAAATGCTCATCATCACTGGTGATCAGAGAAATGCAAATTAAAACTACAATGAGATACCATCTCATGCCAGTTAAAATGGCCATCATTATAAAGTCAGGAAACAGCAGGTTCTGGAGAGGATGTGGAGAAATAGGAACGCTTTTACACTGTTTGTGGAAGTGTAAATTAGTTCAACCATTGTGAAAAACCATGTGGTGACTCCTCAAGGATCTAGAACTAGAAATACCATTTGACCTAGCAATCCCGTTACTGGGTATATACCCAAAGGATTATAAATCATGCTACTATAAAGACACATGCACACATATGTTTATTGCGGCACTATTCACAACAGCAGAGTCTTGGAACCAACCCAAATGTCCATCAATGATAGACTGGATTAAGAAAATGTGGCACATATACACCATGGAATACTATGCAGCCATAAAAAAGGATAAGTTAATGTCCTTTGCAGGGACATGGATGAAGCTGGAAACCATCATTCTCAGCAAACTATCACAAAGACAGAAAACCATACACCACCTGTTCTCACTCATAGGTGGGAATTGAATAACAAGAACACTTGGACACGGCAGGGAACATCACACGCTGGGGCCTGTCCAGGGGTGAGGGGCTGGGGGAGGGATAGCATTAGGAGAAATACCTAATGTAAATGATGAGTTGATGGGTGCAGCAAAGCAACATGGCACATGTATACCTATGTACCAAACCTGCACGTTGTGCACATGTACCCTAGAATTTAAACTAAAATAAAAAAATTTAAAAAATAAATAAAATTCACATGGAACCACAAAAGAATTTGATAACCAGAGCAACCTGGGGGGAAAACAACAAAGTTGAAAACATCATGCTTCCTGATTTAAAATTATATTACAAAGCTATAGTAATCAAAATAGTATGGTATTGGCTTAAAAACAGATACATTGACCTCTGGAACAGAAAAGAGAGCCCCAAAATAAATCCAAACATATATGATCAACTAATTTTCAACAAAGGCACCAAAAAGGCACAATGAGAAAAGGATAGTTTGTTCAATGAAAGATGCTAAGAAAACCAGATTTCCACATGTAAAAGAATGAAATTGGACCCTTATCTTACACCATACACAAAAGTGAGCTAAAAATAGATAAAAGACCTAAATGTAAGACCTGAAACTATAAAACTCCTAGAAGAAAACGTAGAGCAAAAGCTCCTTGACATTGTTCTTGGCAATGGATTTCTTAGATATAACACCAAAAATTCAGGCTAAAAAATCAAAAATAAATAAATGGAAAATTTCAAACTAAAAAGCTTGTCATGTAAATTTTTAAAAATAAGCTTCTGCACAGCAAAGAAAACAATCAACAAAAGAAAAAGGTAACCTACAGAATGGGAAAAAATATTTGCAAACCATGTATCAGATAAGGGCTTAATATCCAGGATGTATAAAGAACTCATACAACTCAATAGGAAGAAAACGTATAACCTTTACTTGAGGCCAGGAATTCGAGACAAGCATGAGCAACATAGTGAGACTCCATCTCCACAAAAAATAAAATTAAAAAAATTAGCCAGGCATGTTAATGTGTGCCTGTAGTCCTAGCTACTCGAGAGGCTGATGTGGGAGGATCACTTAAGCCCAGGAGTTAGAGGTTACAGTGAGCTATGATCACGCCATTGCACTCCACAATAGACAACAGAGTGGGACCTTGTCTCATAAAAAAATTAAATAAATAAAAATGTTTTTAAAAAGAAAACATATAGCCTGATTTTAAAATGAGCAAAGGATCTGAGTAGATACTTCTCCAAAGATGACATAAAAATGACCAACAAGTACATAAAAAGGTGATCAGCATCACTAATCATTAGGGAAATGCAAATCAAAACCACTATGCGCCACCACCTCACACCTGTTAGGATAGTTATTAAAAAGACGAGACAAATGTCGGCAAGGGTGTGGAGAAAATGAAACCTTTGTACACTGTTGTTGGGAGTGTACGTTGGTGCAGCCATATACACCGGAAAATAGTACAGAGATTCTTAAAATAATTAAAAATAGAACTACCATATGACCCAGCAGTCCCTCTTCTGGGCATATATCTACAGGAAACGAAATCACCCTGTTGTAAAGTTATCTGCACTCACATGTTCATTGCAGCATTATTCACAATAGCCAAAAAGTGGAAACCACCCAGGTATCTGTCAGTGGACAAATGGATAAAGAAACTGTGGTATACACATACACAATGGAGTATTATTCAGCCTTCAAAAAGGAAGCGATCCTGCCAATTGCCATAGCATGGATGGGCCTGAAGGACATTATGCTAAGTGAAATAAGCCAGACTTGGCCAGGTGCAGTGGCTCACACTTGTAATACCAGCACTTTGGGAGGCTGCAGTGAGCAGATTGCTTGAGGCCAAGAGTTTGAGAGCAGTCTGGTCAACATGGCAAATCCCGTCTCTACTAAAATTACGAAAATTAGTCAGGCGTGGTGGTGCCTGCCTGTAATCCCAGCTACTTAAGAGGCTGATGCACGAGAATTGCTTGAACACAGGAGGCGGAAGTTGTAATGAGTGGCTTGTGCCGCTGCACTCCATCCTGGGTGACAAAGTGAGACTCTGTCTCAAAAAAAAAAAGAAGCCAGTCCCAGAAAATAGTAT
Organism: Homo sapiens; assembly: GCF_000001405.40. Classification (NCBI taxonomy): domain Eukaryota; kingdom Metazoa; phylum Chordata; class Mammalia; order Primates; family Hominidae; genus Homo; species Homo sapiens. The sequence goes on from NC_000002.12 coordinate 178,360,120, forward strand.
TGCATGATCTCACTTATATATGGAAACTTTTTGTTTCTTTTAAGTCAAGTATATATAGAGAGAGAATAAAACAGTGACTACCAGGATGGCAGTGGAGGGGAGATGTAGGTCAAAGGACACAAAGTAGCAAATGTGTAGGATGAACAAGTAGAAAGATCTAATCTACATTGTGAAGATTATAGTTAATAATAGTGTGTTATATTCAGGACTTTTGCTAAATTAGTAGATTATAGCTGTTCTTGCCACAGCGCGGTGGGGGGGCGGGAAATGGATAAGACGATGGATATGTTAATTTGTTCCACCACAGTAACCGTTTTATTACATATATGTATCTTATGACATCATGTTGTATACATTAAATATATACACAATAAATTTTTTAAAGCTAACCATTTTACTACTTATATGTATCTTATAACATCATACTATATACCTTAAATACATACACAATAAAAAAAATTTTTAAGCCTCCATTGAAACTACATATTTTCAACAGACACACAAATTCTCTATGCTAGGCAAAGAAACAAAAGAACTTTTCTATGACTATTGCATGAACTTTTTTGGAAGCGTTATTTTAAAATGGATGAAGAGCTTGCTTTTAGAGCTACCAGCAGGATTAATGTAATCCAGCTATCAAGTTATTACCTTTAAATTGATGATGACAGAATGTAGCACATAAATCAATAGATCGTGAATCCCTTGTGATCCTGCCATTTTCCCCCTGTAATTCAGCCACTCTATTTTATGCTAAAAATTTCCACTTTTATAAATACCTTTCTCAAATAAGGAAATACCTATTTTAGAATACTTTGCATATTATAGAAACTCTGTTATTATAAAAATAGATGTTGGAAAGTCACCCTTTCTGTAGTTCACGATTGAAGACTGCCTCAGATTTTACCAATGCTAATTTGTTAGGTATGTAGGAAATGGGGAGGGGGTGTTGTTTTTATTGTTGCTTTTAAATCAAAGCACTTTAACAACAAGATATTCCTGTCTGAGAAAGCAACGCAAGTGCTGTTCTTAAAGGCATATCATTTCCTACCTCCAAGAGAACCAGTCAAAACTTCTTGATCAGCCACCTGTTTTATGTTGGCAGAATGCATAAAATGCTCTTTTTGGGTGCATGCTTTTGGAGAATATTTTTGGATAGTTCTAAATTATTTATGTGAGACTTTATGCTACACAGAACTGCTCAAATATGATAATCAAATATGGCAAGTAAACTTGTTCCCTATTCTTTCTAGGGATTATAAGTTAATTTCTAAATATTGATACTTTGCATTGATCTTGATATTTTACATGCTACTTCCAGATTTTTGTTGGCCTGTCTGGTATAAAAAACAAATTTTTCACTCTGATCAATTGCCATTGTAATATTTGTGTGGAGTATAGATATCCTGATAAAGATTCCTTTTGAAGGCTGATTTTTAATTAGACTATTACATAGCCTTTCCAAAAAATGCCTATTTGTGAGTGAAAGTCTGGAGAAATTTATAATGTTGTGTATTCTTTCTGCACATATCTGACAGTTTTTTCTCACTTTTCTCCCCACCCAGTGCATTCTCTTTTGAAGTCTGCATTTAATAGCATAGCTATAGAGAAGGAGAAGCTGAAGCAGATGGTTTCCGAGCAGGATCACAGTAAAGGCCACAGCACGCAGATGGCACGGCTCCGACAGTCACTGTCTCAGGTAGGCAAAGAGTGTGTGTTTGCATGTACATGACACACTCCCAACCCTGTAAGATGAAAGATCAAAAGATGGGGGGCTGGCAGGGAGGTGGCTAGTCATGGGGATAGTACAGTTTGCAGAATTTCCCCCAAAAGACTGCAGTGTCAGTATTAGATTTTACTACTTTTCTTCCCCAAAATTTCAAGGTAAGAGTGAAAATAAACCAAACTTGCTTGTAAGCGTATAATGGTAATTTTGGCCAATTGAACACTTAATGCTTCTCTAAGGTCATTTATAAGGTAGCCCCTCATTTTAAAAAAAGAATTATGCATTTATTTGACCTATACATCTGAAATGTGTTCCAGGATATATTCAGTCCAATAGTGAATATTTTTTAAAAATGTACTAGATCTTCCACACTTAATATTTTTCCCACTTACATCTTAATCTGTTTAAAATTACTGATTACTATCACTCATTTTTTTCTTTTCTGATTTGCACTCTTGAGGTTTTCTTCCTAAGTTATGCTCCCTGAACTAGACTTTTATATTTCAATATATATTATAGAGTTGATCTTATTAATACTAATCAAATCCCTATGTATCTATATCAAAGTTGAAATTTCTGATAAAAATCCTTTAGAGCTGTGCTTATGCTTTTTTCAACTGAGTAGTTCCTTAGAAGTAAGTATTTTCTTTAGTCTATAAATGCACTGACTTAACTCCTTTAAGAATTCAATGTCGTTATGTGATTTTGTGAGAACTCGGTGTCTATATAAAATATTATTCACTTCCTGGTGCCTTGGATCAGAGTGAAGGAGCAAGCAAATCCTGGGTAAGTGGTTCTCCGCGTGGAGCAGATCCTGCTTGAACAGTTTCCCTCGGTCCCTAAAAAGTAGACTTACACCGTGTCACCGTGTTTTACGTCCCTGAACTGTCGGCGTATTTTCAGTGTTAAGTTTCATGTCATGGATGTTGTTATATGGGCCACACTTTCTGCATTATCCATAAAACACTGTCAGCTGAGGGGCATATGCTGCTTCCAGTATAAAGCCAGGGGTCTCAGGAGCATGAGCGTGAAAATCCGCTACGATTCTGCCAGTCTTCAGAGGGCTTTATTTAGAAGAACATTTTAATGGCTTTCCCTGGACCCTTCTCATGTCATGGATCGGTCGAACACTCAGTTGACGTTAATTGGTCTTCCAAATCATTATTCTGAAAGTATCGTGAATCAGAAAGATCAAAATATTGGTCAAGTAAACATTCAAATGTCATCTTGTAAACATATAAAATACATTCTTGTCCCCCTAAGTGTTGCAATGATTCCTTCAGATGTATTTAATGATGGAGGCTTAGAGTTAGAAGTCAAGCTTTACTAAGAAAAACAAGAAAATGCATTTGTTTCTTGCTTGCCTGCTTGCTTGCTTTTATTTGCTTGTAGGTGAAACAGAGAATGGTAAATAAAGATCTCGGGTCGGGCTTCAGGTGAGATTAGAAATAATTATGAAGAGAAATTTTACAACAGTTATTCATTTGTTCATTCCCTTATTCATTGTATTCCATTCGGGTGACTATATGCTAGGTATTGTGCAAGGTACAGAACACCAAGGTTAAAGTAGCCCTGGCCATGTTCCCAGCAAGCTCGTGATCTGATTCATGAGATGAGCAGGAAACAGTGAAATGGAGCACACCGTAGTACATTCAGAGCAGTACATGGTGGTGCACATTTCCCGGGCTCTGGTTGCTCAGAGGAATGGCAGATCCCTGAGTTGAGAGCAGAGCCACAGATCAGGCTTCTTGGAGGAATCAGACCTTGAACCTGGCCTGAGTAGACAGCAGCCGCTCACAAGGAAGGGTCTGATGCTAACATGATAAAAGTAAAATAAAGCAAAATTTGATCAACTGTGCTTCCTTGGGGTTAACATATTTCCCTCTCTTGTCAACACATATTTATTTGCATCTAAAGTTAGAGCCTCAATAGATTTTTGTTGGATTTTTTATTTTTATTTTTACAAAAAAATCTCAATTTTAGCCTTAAAAGATGTGAAAATAATTTGGAACTATTAAGTTTCAAATAGACCGTTACAGCCTATCCAGTAGATAATTCAGTGCTTGCAGCTGTGTGTCATCCCAGCATTTTGGTGATGTTCACATCCCCGTGTGTGTCCATGCCTTCCCCTCGGCGTAGTCGCACCCCCACTGGCCATCTATTCCCGTCACCTCTAAGTGTGGACTCCCTTTTGGAAACCACAGCAGCCTTTGCTTAAGGTATTTAAGTTTACTGACAGTTCTTTCCTTTCTAACAAATTGTTATTCATGGTTAGGCCGTTGGAGAGGTGTCTGGAGAATGGCAGGTAGTTCATAGTGGAAGAAGTAGGAGATGAAGAAGGAAGAATTACTCTTAAGAGTAGCTGATTAAGTAGGCAAGAACCAGCTCATCAGGGACTCCACAGAGGGTTTTGGATTTATCCTATCAGTTAACAATTTTAACTGGTAAATGATAATGCCAGAAATTAGAACTATTACAGCATATTTCTGCATATTAGAAAGATTACTCTGGTACAGTATGGAGGGTAGGTGGAATTGGGAGGCAAGGCTAGTTGGACAGATTCTTATGGTATTTGAGATAATTTGAGAATAGCTTGTACATTTGAGATATTTCTAAACTGAGGAAGTGCCATGCCAGCATTGGTGGAAGGAGGGAATACATTTCAAAGACACCCAGGAGGGAGAATCAGCATGGCTTGGAGATCAGCGGAATGTTAGAGAGGGACAAGGACACAGAGTCGAGACAGTCCAGGGTTTTTGCTTGGATAACTGGGTATGTGAAAGTTATTGTCCCCAAGGTGGGACTACAAGAGGAGCTGGTTTGCTTTAGGTATTTGATGATGGATTTCTGTGGAGATTGAGGTGTCTGTGGGGCATTTTACAGGCAATTAGATATTTATGTCTAGAGCTCAGAAGACAGGTCTAGGCTAGAGAGGAAGATGGATGCCCCTGCATATCAGGGCAGTTATAGATGTTGACGAGTTGCAATGCAGTCAGAATAAAATGGTCAGTGGTGCTCCTGCTGCTGTAGAGAACATTAACATTTAAACGACAGGCTGGCCGGGCGCGGTGGCTCAAAATAATCCCAGCACTTTGGGAGGCCGAGGTGGGTGGATCATGAGGTCAGGAGTTCGAGACCAGCCTGGCCAACAGGCGAAACCCCATCTCTACTGAAAATACAAAAATTAGCTGGGCGTGGTGGCGGGCGCCTATAATCCCAGCTGTTTGGGAGGTTGAGGCAGGAGAATCACTTGAACCCAGGAGGTGGAGGTTGCAATGAGCTGAGATCATGCCATTGCACTCCAGCCTGAGCAATGAGAGTGAAACTCCATCTCAAAAATAAATAAATAAAAAACTTATTTAAGTAGTCTAAAACTTTTAAAGCCTATGTTTTATTTGACATAAGTCCTATTTGATGTATGTCTAATGATTAAAGTGCTGCATTTCAACAAGGCTTTAAATATATCAGACTCAGCAAATTTTATCGTCTTTTCGAAGGCACATAGCAGATAAAATACTTGAAATTAGCATTTTTACAACATGCTTAGCATAAATTGTTACCTGCCTTGAGCAAACAAAAATTTGCAAGGCTGGACAGTCTAATGAATTGCTCTTCTAAAGTAATGTTACTTCAACCAGCCTGGTCAACATGGTGAAACCCCTTCTCTACTAAAAATACAAAAAATTAGCTGGGCGTGGTGGCAGGTGCCTGTAATCCCAGCTACTTGGGAGGCTGAGGCAGGAGAATTGCTTGAACCTGGGAGGCAGAGGTTGCAGTGAGCCAAGATCGCACCATTGCACTCCAGCCTGGATGACAGAGCGAGACTCTGTCTTAAAAAAATAAAAATAAATAAAGTAATATTATTTCCCAATCTATATGTACACAAAAACATATATAATTCTATTATTTAACCCCCATGAAACTTAAACTTTCACACTTGAGAGGGAGCCTGGATGTTGGACCCAAGCCTATAGACAGGACATTTTATGTGGCATCTATCCCTTATAAATGACTTTATTTGACATCAGCTATAATTTCATATCTTTTTTTGTTTGTTTGTTTTTTGGAGGCAGAGTCTTCCTCTGTTGCCCTGTTTGGAGTGAGGTGACACAGTCTCAGCTCACTGCAACCTCCGCCTCCTGGGTTCAAGTGATTCTCCTGCCACAGCTTCCCAACTAGCTGGTATTACAGGCATGAACCACCACGTCCGGCTAATTTTTTGTGTTTTTAATAGAGATGGGATTTCACCATGTTGCCCAGGCTGGTCTCGAACTCGTGGCCTCAAGTAATCCTCCCACCTCGGACTCCCGAAGTGCTGGGATTATAGGCATGAACCACTGCACCCAGCTTATGTCTTGTTTAATGCAGTACCCTGAACACCAAAATGAAATAGTCTGTAATAAAACTAAGGCAACCTCAGCACCCCAGATTACCATAATAATAAAAATCCAACTCATCTTGAGCCTATCTTGAATACATTACATTTTATCACTGTTATTAGTTTGATTCCTGGCCCCAGAAATTGTGCACAGCTTGTGTTAAACGCAGTGAGAGTTGGGCTCATATAAATGTGAATAACGGAATATGACCCATCTATTCCAGCTAGAATCACTGTATTTTATTAAATCAAGATGCCATCAATTATTACATGCATCATCATTTTGTGCATTACTGAGAAAAGGAAAAAAAACACTGCTGTCAATTGAACTGACACGGTGCTTCAGAGGCGGTGAATGTGGGGGGAAATGTGCATCTTAGAATCAGCGAAATGTAAATAGAATTGAAGCAAAAAAATTGCTTAACATACTATATAGTAGCATAATGTAAAATCCAAGTCATATCTGTCATCCTCCCTGTCCACAACATTTCACATACCCAAATAATTATTCTGTGATGAAATAAAAGTTGCAAGTGTATTTGTTTATTCCTTAATTTCATAGTTCCCTGAGACTTGGCCAAATTTGTTGTATGTGAAGATACTCTTTATAGAATCCTTCACATGTTCTTTAAACTTTAAATTGTTGTCATTTTGAACATAATTTGGCAATATTTATTAAAAGCCTTAAAATGTTTTTACCCTTTTACCCTGTAGGTCCATGGCTGATATGTCTATTAATGCTGAAATTTAGAAAACAATCATGCACATATTCATGGCAGTATTATTTATACTAGTAAAAATCAGTAACAGCATAAGTGTCCAATAGTAGGAAATACTTGCTAATGCAACTATTAAAATTATGTGTGTGAAGAGTTTGAAACAAAATAACTGCTTATGTGCAAAGAATAAGGGGCAGATACAGTATGTAAACTGTGCACCCATTAAACAATATTAAAAAATACAGAGGAAAAAAAAACTAGAAAGAAATGGGCCAAGCTACCAACAGTCGGGTAGTAAGATGCATTTTTTAAAAATTTGTCTATATTTTGCATTTTCCAAATATACTATAATGGTATTTTTGTAATTGAAAAAGCAAGTGATTTTTAAGAGAGACCCAGGATTTGGTTTTTGACAGCTCTAGCTTTGACAGTTTCTATGCTCATTTTCTCATTCCTTTTGAACCAGTTTTATTTTTATCTAAAATGTTTAAATTTATGATGATTTCATCTTGCCATATGTTTCATATCCTTCTCCAGCCATTAGGCTTCTATGTTTTTCTCCCAGAACCCACATTTCCATTTAGTAAAATGTTTATGCCAGAGTCTCACCCAGCCTAAGATAAATCTTCACCTAGGAATTACCTGCCAGGGTTGATGAATGGTAGTTAGTAGCTAAGGAGGTGGCAATTTAGGTAATTGATTCTGGCTCAAATCTTTAAGACAGTAACTTCTTTTACGCATTGGAAAGGAATTGTGTGTTTCTTGGATATATTAGCCTTGAAATGTGCATAAGGGACATGAGGTGTGGGGAAATGAGCATGCATTGTAGTTTTTAGTGCAGTCCGAGCTCAGTAAAGCAAGTGGTGAGAATATGCATAAAACCTGCTGCGTGAAGAATCTGTGCCCAGTTCCTGGCTTCAAGGTGCTTCCTCCCTGTTAGGCCTTTGGTCCTGTATGCCACTAATAGCGATGTTATTGCTGACAAGTCTCCATAGCTCTTCTTGCTCATTGGCTGGTTCCAGGGGCTGGTCCTCTGCCTCCTTTTCCCTTGCTTATGCCACTGCTCACTCCTCTTGGGTATATGCCCTACTTTATTTCTGCCATCTTCTAGGCCCTTTTCTGTTGTCATGAAGAACATCACTTCCCTGACAATACTTCTCCCAAAGTTTCAATGATATTATTATAGAAACATGGTATTATTAGATAAAAATAATTTTTAGGGCAGGAAATAATAAATGTAGACCTAAGCACTACCTGAGAGCACTACACCAGAAAGCTCATGGCGCTTGGTTGTAGCAAACTTTAAAAACAGCCTGTACGATCAAGGCAAAAGGGGGAGGATGCGCAGAAAGGGGCTGTTGCATGCTCAGTTGCCGGCTTACACTTTTCACCACTGGGGTTGCCAGAGTGGGAACAGTCTTGATTTCCATGCTTCCTGTGCTATGTAACAGCAAACTCTTTTCTACCACTGCATAGATATTATTAATAAAATGATGTCTTTAAAACTTTTAGCTTTGAACTCAACATGCTTAACATCTGGCTTGAAATCATAGCAGGAGAGATGAGTCTTCTACTTTTGTCTCAGTTCTAAAAGTGATTAAAATAAGAACTAGCAAAATGCATCATTATCTACTTAAAATGGAACCAAACTGTTTTCTTTTGGCACAATGTTAATATTTTGGCAGGAAAGTGTAATTCTTTACCAGTAGTGGTAAACTACAGGAGATCTTTGGCTTTGAGTATTTGCCATCATTAAAAAAAAAATAGTTTTGAAGTTTGAAAAAAATTTACATTAAAAAATTAAATGTAAAAAAATTAACAAATAAAAATACTTCTATTTTTCTTCATCTTAATAAAAAAAATCCTTTTTTTTTTTTGAGACACAGTCTCTCAGTGTTGCCCAGGCTGAAGTGCAGTGACACAGTCTTGGCTCAGTGCAGCCTCCACCTCGAGTTAAAGTGATTCTCCTACCTCAGCCTCCTGAGTAGCTGGGACTATGGGCGTGTGCCACCTCACCCAGCTAATTTTTGTATTGTTAGTAGAGTTGGGGTTTCACTATGTTGGCCAGACTGGTCTCAAACTCCTGACCTCAAGTGATCCATCTGCCTTGGTCTCCCAAAGTGCTGAGGTTACAGACATGAGCCACCACACCCAGCCTTCATCTTAATAAGAAATACTTTAACTGAGATTTATCTCTTTTGCTCCCATGCTACTCTTTTTGCCATCAATGGAAGAGAGAACAGGGTTTCAACAATAAGAGAATTAAGTAAGGACACAGGTGATAAAACTCTCTCCAGACCATCCCAATGAATGCCAAAGTAAACTTTGCATAGAATGTAAAAATACCTTGATTATGCTCTTATCAGAGAGCCAAATACTGATGATTTGCCCCATAAAGTATAGAAATTCCTATGAACCATAATCTAAGCATCAGAAAATCCCCAAACCCAGAATTATTTTTGCACTATTCTGGACACTAGTTGATCTTCATCATGATAACCAAGAAGCACTGTGCAGGATTCTGACTTAGCGTTTCAATCAAATTTGTATGTTTATTTAATACAACCCCAGAAAGGTTAAGTAACTTGGTGAAGACTACTTAGCCCTGAGATCAAGAGAACCTGATCTTCTGACTCCCAGGCTAGAATTTTTATTTTTCACATCACATCTAAGAAAAAGAATAAATTATATTTAATTTAAAAACCTCTGAGTTCATTTCTTATTGATATTAATGGCTAGATGTTATCTTGTGTTCCCATCACACATACCTGTAGGCATGATCACATTTAATGAACATGGGGTAAGATGAGAGCTTAAATAAGAATTTAATTTTTTTAAATATCCAGAGCAAGCTTTTCTTATAAATGGCAAACCTATCTTTAACATTCCCACCCCTGAAGAAAACCACTACTTATCTTTGCCCTTGAGTTTTTGTGGGGTTGTTTTGTTAACACTCTCACAGTGGCAACAGAAGGTATAGCTACTTTGGAGGAACCATTATTTGAGGTTTGTATGAAACCCTCAGGTCAAGACTGTGATTCTGGGCTGGGCAGGGTAGCTCCTGCCTGTAATCCCAGCACTTTGGGAGGCTGAGGCCAGAGGATCACTTGAGGTCAGGAGTTTGAGACCAGCCTGGCGAACATGGCAAAACTTCATCTCTACTAAAAATACAAAAATTAGCCAGATGTGGTGGTGCATACCTGTAATCCCAGCTACTTAGGAGGCTGAGGCATGAGAATCACTTGAACCCAGGAGGCCGAGGTTGCAGTGAGCTGAGATCACACCACTGCACTCCAGCCTGGGTGACAGAGCAAGAGTCTGTCTCAAAACGAACAACAACAACAAAACTGTGATTCTGCAATTAAAACTATCAAATAGCTTACCATGAGGCCTCCCACTTACATGACACCAAAGCATATCTGGTTCCAAATGTTTCAGTAACTAAGGCAACTATGCATTTACTTGTAGGCAGAGAAGCAACAAAGAAGAAATCAGCATCTTTTGTGGTCCTAACTTATAGGAGAAAGGCCTATGGTACTCACAATAGATAAGAGTAATGCAGTGTCGTTGCTGGGTTTTTTTCTAATTCTAAGTGTTTGAGATTTTGCTCCAAGAAAAATGATCCTGAGCACTTTTTCAGGATGAAAAGATACTAGGAGTCTTCCTTTGAGGCACATGGTTTATCTACTAAGAATGTTATCACCTTTTTTCCCATAAAACATTCCTGTTTTCTCAGATCGTCAGAGACATACTTCCTCCTATCTCCAAATGTAATGACTGTAGAATCTGTATCCACCTTTAATCCATCAATGTGACAGCCCTCCAGATCAAGTATATGATTTGACATATTTTACAAACTGGTTCTAACAGCTTCAAACAAAATCCAAAGGCTGCAACTGATAGTTCTGTCCTCAAAAAGCAAAAACTGGGTTGAGGGAAGGGAAGACATGGGGACCAGGATGGAGAGAGGAGAGAAGAGGCTGCTCTGTGCTCCATGCTCAAGGAGTAAGCAATGAAGAGTTTAGCTACTTTGTTTTTACCCTGGGTGTTTTAATAGGTACAGAGTTGTAATTATGAGATTATATTTGTGTATGTATTGATTTACTGTATTCATTGGCTCTGAATGAAGCGGAATGCCCATTCCCTGAAGCAGATGCCCTCTTTACTAGGCACTGACATTTATATCTTTACATCTTCTAATCGCTGATCTTAATGGGAAGGAAAAGAAGACTATCTTTTCTCTGGGCCTTGTCTTCTCACAGGTCTTTAACTTGAGGCTTGATATAATTCCAGTTAGCTACATCTGTAGTCTATAAATGGAACATGTTTCTGTGTATCAATGGGATGTTCATTCCCAGAGGATTCACTGTACCTTTGTCAATAGGGTCCTTGTAGGGATGCCATGCTTATGTAAAGCTGTTCTCTTCTTGTAATAAATGCAGTTGCTCCACATACTAAACCGTGTTATAGCAAGTAGTGTTTTACTGATGCTAACTTAAAGCATGTTGGAGGTAGTGTTATGAGGAGAACTTAGAGCTGGGGTACTTTCAGTGCTATGTTCTTTGTTATGGTTGTCAGTGTCTACACTGTTGAGTGAAGACACCTTTTTGTTTGCACTTAAGTTAGTTCTGCAGCACTGTCATATATATTAATTATGTGCTCCTGGAAAATGAAAATACAGATGTTTTCTTTAAACACACTAAAATATAATTCTATAAACTAAAGCCAGTTCATTCTATTTCTAACTAATTTTTAAGATAACTACCCAGCTTTGAAACAACTCCCAAACTTTAGAAACTAGAACAAAAACATGAAAGAATTTTCAATGAAAACAATAGTTTTCATCACAGGCTGCAAAAAGTAATATATATGTAGTGGTAGACTGGGCTTGAGTATAATGGGACTCACTCTAAAGGAAAGAAAATTTCATGAATCACTTTTATGAAATCTATTAACTCTTTCAGCCCACCAATCTGCAAAGTAGCAATCTTATTTTATAAAAAATGAATACCTTAATTTTGAGCCATTTATTTACTCCTTGCTGGTAGGGTCTGGCTCATGATGGCTTCAAAAGTTAGAGCTAAGAACATCACAGACATTATTGTCTAACTTGTACCTGTGTACTTGTTCTGTTTTATGCTTGCTTATTAATTTTAAATTACATATGTGGTTTTTGTTATTTTAAGGCACTCAACCAGAATGCTGAACTAAGGAGTCGGTTGAACAGAATACATTCAGAGTCTATTATTTGTGATCAGGTTGTCAGTGTAAATATTATTCCTAGCCCTGATGAGGTAAGACTCATTTTAAATAGATGCAGAGTACCTATTTTTTAGCATCTAAATTTACTGCATATTTTTGTTTATTTATATCCAGTTCTTTCACAGTTAATAAGGTTCCCTCCATAAATATTTGTGTCACTGACAGTTCAGTGTTCTTTGAAGTAAAGGTTATATAAGAGCTTGACATCATTTATACCTGGTGATCAGTGTCTATTTTTATTTATTCCTATGTTCACCTGATGCCACTGAATATTTGATTTATATATCTACTCCAGCTTGTTAATTTTCAATGTCTGTCTCATTCATCATTGGAAGTGTTCATTAGCATCAAATGGCCGGTGAAATGTTGCAAAAAAAAAAAAAAAATTAGCTGAGAAGTTGCCAAGTAAAAATGTTATTAACGTTTGTTTTGAAAGCCCTAAGGACAGAAGTCACCTGACCTTGTTAAGATAATACTAACGGTGCTGCTACAGCTACTACTGCTGCTGCTGCTGCTAATTAATAGCTGACATGTGTCAAGTGAATGCTTACTATGTGCTAGGTATTGTGTTAATGACTTTGCATGTGTTATCTCATTTGACACTCTCAACAACGCTCTGTTAGGTGGTATTATTATTCCATTTTTCAGATTGAAGAAAAGAGAATAGGAGAACATTCAGTATATGGGCTAAACTAAACTTAAGTGTATAATTCTGTTTATGACTCTCCATAAAATTATTACTTTATAGCATGAGAACTTACACTTTTTAACAGTAATGTTAGAGCTTTATATACAGTGGTGATATATGTAACAAGATGAGAGGTTTAACTGATACTAAGGTCATATTTGTACCAAAAACATACATTTTACTAGAAATCTATAGGTACAAGGGTTCTAACCTCTTAGGAAACGTTATCCCAGGACAACTTGTCTTTGACTTAAGTTTTCCACCCTAAATCCATTCACCTCCATGGGCCCTGTGTTCTCAGATAACACTTGTATTCACTCAACTGCCCAGAATCTAGAAGTATTTCTAAAATTTGTCATTCAAAAATAATTTGATAATCTCAGTTGGAATCTTCTTTTCAACCTGAAATGTGCACTAGAATATATATATACATTTCTCTTACATTTTTTATTGAAACTTAAATAGCTTCCTTGAAAACTATTTATCACTTATTGAATAAAAGTATAATTTGAAATAAGGTTCAATATTCCAGTCATGTGTTTTATTGGTTAAAATTCATGATCAAATTGGAAAGTGACGTATATAGTCTGTCTCAAAAATTAGTTTTATAGATTTTCTTAGCATAACTCTAGTAGTTTCTACGAATATTTCTTCATGTTTAATGTACCGTTAGAATATGACAGACCTAAGAATAAGAGAATGAAGTTGTCTCTACAGTCAATCAGGGTATTCATAGCGGCTTAACCTGACTCAGTATCAATCAATCAAAGATTTAAAATCAAGGCACAGTACCAACACCTTTCAACTATTCCTTTTGGGGTCTTTAGACACATTGGAAGGAAACTTATACAGTGATCATTGCTGAATTGCAAGTGAAAATTGCTTGTGGCTGCCACTTTTTAACATACAGTATTAAAGAGTAGAAATCTGGCTAATTTGAAGGAATAGCTATTCTAACAGGGAGAAAAGCAATTACACTGTATGCTTCTGTCTTCTGCAGGCTGGTGAGCAAATCCATGTCAGTCTCCCCTTATCACAGCAAGTAGCCAATGAGAGCCGCCTCTCCATGTCAGAGTCTGTTTCTGAGTTCTTTGATGCCCAAGAGGTGCTCCTCTCTGCAAGTTCGTCAGAGAATGAGGTATGTATGCCTCCTTGACTTGTTGGCCTCAACATCTTGTGACTGAGTTTGAGTTAAAGAACATAAAACTGTGGAACTTTTTGGTGATTACTTTCATTTGTTTTTTTGTTTACATCATAGTAAAATGTCCAAATTGCAGCAAAGCTAAAAGCATGCAAACTATTATGAGTTCCCAATTACTGAGCACTTAACGTTTCTGAGCATCAAGAATTTAAATTTGATGAATTAAGGGAAAGAACCAACATTTATTGGAGTGTCTTCTATGATTCCTATTTCAGGGTAACAAAAGAGTTTATGACAGAGCTGTTTATAGAAGGAGACTAGCTAATAAATATAGAAAGAATGAGAGAATTAGGAAAGCACCGTTCATGCGCATACACAGACACATACATATTAGATATTTTTGCTAGGGACATGAATTTAAACTTGGAAGGATAATGTGTAGCACATAGCTAGTTGGGTAATTATGCTTTTTGGAGGTTAACCGCTGACTATCATAAAAGCTGTACTGGATTGCTCTTCATGCTTATGATTCTTGCCAAGGTCTTGGAAACTGGGAACCTCTTCCTTGGTCAGGTTGCAGAAATTAGCTCTTTTGCTACAGTGTAGTCAACTTTTTCTGGCATGAGAAAAGCAGCCAAAACTCTTTTCCACAAAGCTGATTAGGAATTTTGTCATTTGGGATTGCAAATCTATACTGCATTTTTACAAAAAAGAAATGAAATCATTGCTAAACATTATTTCCATATGCATAGAAAACAGATTGGAAGGAAACATCCTGACAATTAGTAGTAGTTGTTTTTGGATGTTTGAAATTATGAGTGATTTTAGAAACAAAGACAAAGTGGAAAAGAGAAAGCAATAGTGAATACATATCATTTTTATAATGGGAGAAAAGTAAAATAGAATTCTTATATCAGATACAGAATTTGTCAGCATACCAAGGCATGCACCTGCCTGTCAGATCCCAAGGCATGCATTAACAGGTTCACAGCGACTTCCATTCACAGGCTGGAATGCTAATTTAATGATCTGTGATGGTAACTGATACATACTCTCAGATGGACAGAATAATCATCCTTGCTAATTAGTGCCTCTTTTCCTGTAGGCAAATCTGCATGGCAAGCCTAATTCTAGTCAGAGATTGCCTGATGAGCAAGGGACATGAGTAAACTTAAGGCTACAGGGCCAGAATGTTAGAGCTCCATACTCACCCTCCATCATAGGGATACTCTGGCACAAGGACTTGGTATTTGTGTCTGTCTGCCTGCACCCCCAGGGACCACCATGCTGTCGATAATGCTACCAAAATTTCCTTTTCTGACTCTGCCTTGCTGAGCTCCCATAGCTGACCCATCCTTCATCCTTCTTTTTTTGTTGTTGTTGTTTTTGTTTTTGTTTGTTTTTGTTTTGAGACAGAGTTTCGCTCTTGTTGCCCGGGCTGGAGGGCAGTGGCGCAATCTTGGCTCACCACAACCTCTGCCTCCCGGGTTCAAGCAATTCTCCTGCCTCAGCCTCCCAAGTAGTGGGGATTACAGGCATGCACCTCCACGCCCTGCTAATTTTGTTTTTTTTAGTAGAGACAGGATTTCTCCATGTTGGTCAGGCTGGTCTCGAAATCCCGACCTCAGGTGATCCGCCTGCCTCAGCCTCCCAAAGTGCTGGGATTACAGGCATGAGCCACTGCGCCCGACCCCTTCATCCTTCTTTAGTCAGGTTACAGTCAGACTTGACCGTGCATTATGTGAGTTCTTACCTATCATCTGATGACTTCCTAGCTTACCTTTCTGAGAGATATTTCCAAGTCCCTGGGGCACACCCCAGCTGGGACCCCAGGTACTGCTTGCCCTGGACACTGGGTATACAGAAATGAAGAGGATGTGAAGCAGGTTATTGCATGAGTCCAAGCAAGATGGTGGTGCCACCCTGGGACAGGTGAGGGGTTGGGGAGTGAATGTGGTGGCAGAGAGCGGGATAAGAAGGTGGAGGGCAGGGTCGCAGGGAGATGAGACATTCACTGTGAGGCATCATGAGTTTATCAGACCTCTCAGTGGAGTTACCTGTCAGGCATTTGCATATTTAAGTCTAAAACTCAAGGACAGAACTGTCCAAGAGAGAGTCAGCTCAGGATCTGCATAACCAGCTACCTGTTAGACACTGACACCTGGTACTCACAGAACCTCTAATTCAGCACGTCCCAAAAGAGTTCATCAACAAGCCCCACCACTCCGCCAGGGGAGAAACCCCAGCCTGCCCATACCTCTCATATCGCCTATCTAAGTGCCCCCTACCCAACTATTCACACCAAATGCCTGAAGATTTTCCTTCACTCCTTCTTTCCCTTTACTACCACCCACCTTGATTCACTCGGGTTCTATAGCTTCCATCATCTAAATACTCTCAGATTTGTACATCTTCCTGCAGCTTCAGTGCCACTGCTCCAATTCAGTTCCCATCTGCTCCCCACCTAGATCACCCCATCAGTCTCATAACTTTTCCAGTCTCCCATCTTGCTGCCTCCCATCCATTTTCCACTGGGGAACCTGAGTAATCTTCCTAAAAGGCAAATCTGATCATGTCCGTATTCCTAAGGACACTGTATCCAGTGTCCTTAGGATAATATTCTAAACTCCTTAGCTATTAAAACAAAGACCGTTATAATCTGATGCCTGCTGTCTCTCCAGCCTCATGCCACCTGTCTTCTGGAGCCTTCCAACAGCCAAAGGAATGATTTCTGGAGTTGCCCATTTGCTAAAGATACCTTGTGTCCCTTGCTGTAGCAAGGAGAGTGACTCTCTCCTACAACTCACACTGGAAAGAGCTGAACTGTACCCCCATTCCTTGTGCCCCATACCTCACAGGTTTTCATAAAATAACTGTTTTTACTTGCAACTTCTCCCTTTATCACAACACTTGGCCTTAAGTATTTGAAGGGGGTAGGCCAGCAGATAAACCCAAGTGACAGATATTATGATGTTCTCAGAGTTGCTTTTCCCCTTCAGCTAAGGCTCGGTTTCTGGGACAATCTCATCTGCCCAAGTCTCTAAGTTCCCTTATGTATAAGAGAGTTCTCACATTGCCATAAGGAAATACCTGAGACTGGGTAATTTATAAAGGAAACAGGTTTCATTGGCTCATGGTTCTGCAGGCTGTACAGGAAGCATGATGCTGGCATCTGCTTAGCTTCAGGAAACTTACAACCATGGCAGAAGGCCAAGGGGAAGCCAGCCCTCACATGACCAGAGCAGGAGCAAGAGAGCAAGGTGGGAGTTGCTACACACTTTTATACTACCAGATCACGCAAGAACTCACTCACGATCAGGAAGACAGTACCAAAGGGGATGGTGCTAAACCATTCCAGAGAAAACCGTTCCCATGATCCAATCACCTCCCACCAGGCCCCACCTCCAACACTGGGGATTAGATTTCAGTGTGAGACTTGGATGGGGACACACATCCAAACTGTATCACCTTGTGGTGAGGTCTCCCCAGAAGGCTCCTCACGCCTTCACACTCATAGTCTTAGCAACCCACCTGGTGAGTTGACTATACATGTGGGAATCCTAGCAGCAGCTGCAGGCTAGGCTCAAGCTACGTATCCTGCACTGCAGCTGCCAAAGGAAATTGGGCCCCTGCACTTGCCATCTACCCTGGCCCAAGCACTTCCCGCAGAGATCCACAACTTCAGCTCCTTCACTCTCTTCAGACCCTTACTCAAAGGTCACCTCCAGGGAAGCCTATGCTGGCTGTCCTATCTACAATTTAGAGTTGCCATTTCTTCCTTTCCTCTGACCTTTTGGGGTTTTTCTATTTATTTTTGAGACAGAGTCTCATTCTGTCACCCAGGCTGGAGTGCAGTGGTGCAATCTTGCCTCACTGTAATCTCCACCTCCTGGGTTCAAGCAAGTCTCCTGCCTCAGCCTCCCGAGTAGCTGGGATTACAGGCATGCACCACCACGCCTGGCTAATTTTTATATTTTTAGTAGAAATGAGGTTTCACCATGTTGGCCAGGTTGGTCTTGAACACCTGACCTCAAGTGATTCGCCTGCCTCAGCCTCCCAAAGTGCTGGGACTACAGGCATGAGCCACTGCGCCTGGCCTCCTCTGACCTTTTGTATCCCTCTTTCCTCATTTTTTTTCCTTCATGCTTATCACTGTCTTAAATATATATATATTTCCTATATTTCATTTGTTGTGTGTCTGCCCCACTAGAACATAAATTTCATGAAGGCAGAGATTTAACCACTGTGTCTCCTGCACTAAAACAGTTCTGGTGAGCCCAGAGCAGGTACTCAATAAATATCTGCTAACTGAGCAAAGGAAGAAATGCTTATAATGATTATTCTGAGAAACATCTGGGCATTAGCTGTCTTACATTAACATTTTCCATGGCAGAGGGAAAAATCCTCTTTATATGTTATTTACCAATGCACTTTACTGAATGAATCCTCTGCTCTTTTAAAAAATGTTCTTCTTGCTTCCACAATAATCTATTTGCCTTTACTTTTAAACTTGTTTCTGCAATGCTGCATGCCTGGTCACATTTAGGAAAAATATATATTTTCTGAACTCTTTTGAATCCCTAAGTTTGTAAAGAGAAATACTTGGTTCCAGGACTTCTTAACCACGGGGCAGAGGACAAACTGTTTGATTACAATAGTGCAGAGCCTTGGCTCTTTGTGCAGGGTAGCGTGAATTGACCACAGCAAGATAGCCCAGCCTTAGTTACTGCACACATGTGACATGTATACATCTTACTCAAGGCCCACTATTATTGTAGAATTCTTTTACACCAGTGATTTCTGATCATTTCTATGATATATTAGTTTGGGAGAGATTAGAAATTGAAGAGGAAGGCCAGGCATGGTGGCTCATGCCTGTAATCCCAACACTTTGGGAGGCAGAGGCAGGATGATTGCTTGAACCAGGAGTTTGAGACCAGCCCGGGCAATACAGGGAGCCCCCACCTCTACAAAAAAATAAAATAAAATAATTAGCTGGGCATGGTGGTGCATACCTGTGGTCCCAGCTCCTTCAGGAGGCTGAGGTGGGAGGATCCCTTGAGCCCAGGAGGGAAAGGCTGTGTCGAGCTGTGATTGTACCATTGTACTCCAGCCTCGGTGACAGAAAGAGATCCTGTATCAAAAAAGAACGAAGGAACGAAAAAAAGAAAGGAAGGGAGGGAGGAAGTAAGGGAAAGAAGAAAGAAAGAGAGAGAGAGAGAAAGAAAAACAAAGAAAGAGAAAGAAAGAAAGAAAAGAAAGAAAGAAGAAAGAAAGAAACAGGAAGGAAGGAAGGAAAGGAAGGGAGGGAGGGAGGGAGGGAGGGGAAGGAAGGAAAGGGAGGGAGGAAAAGGAGAAAGGAGGCAGGGAGGGAGGGAAAGAAAGAGAAAGAAAAGAAAGAGAAAGAAGAGAGAAAAGGAAGGAAGGAGGGAAGGAGAAAAAAAGAAACAGAAAAGGAAAGAAGAGAGAAGAAAAGAAATCGAGGAAGAATAGACTTTATAGCTGTTTGTAGGATAAACATGAGTGTTTTCTTAACAAATGTTCAAACAATAAACATGCATGCAATGTGAATTTGGTTTAGGTAGACATTTGTCTCCTCAAACATAATTGTGTATGATTAGATTTTTTTCAGAGAAATCACCAGAGGAGTTTGATTTACTTTTTTTCACTTTCAAGCATAAGAAGTTGGCTTTTCATGAGCCTGATGGTTTAACCTTCAGCTCTGCTGCAGTCAGTAGGAACTGTGGGAACCAGTTGCAGCGGGAAAATATGAATCAGAAAAAGATTTTGTTCTCAATTTGTCATCTTTATGGGCTTACTCTGTATGCAAAAACAAAATTACCATTATTCATCCATGTGTGCAATCATTCTGTCCATCACTGTTCTCCCTAAATATATGAACTCTTCTCAACCCTAATTTTTAAAACATTAGCAATAAATCCAGAAACCTTAAAGACAAAGACCAGTTGTTTTTATGTACAAATTCAAAATGTTTACATGACAAAAGAATTGGCATAAACAAAGTTTAAAAATGCAAGTTAAGAAAAATGTAATCTATATGTCAAACTGAAAAATGTGTGAAAGATAAGACAAGGAGTTCATAAAGGGTGAAATTTAAACTTTAAAGCAATCTTTTGGCCAGGTGCAATGGCTCATACCTGTAATACCAGCACTTTGAGAGGCTGCAGTGGAAGGATTGCTTGAAGCTAGGAGTTCAAGCCTGGGTAACGTAGCAAGACCCTTCATCTCTAAAAAAAAATTTATTTTTTAATTGGCAAGGCATGGGAGTGTGTGCGTGTAGTCCCAGCTACTTGGGAGGCTGAGGTAGGAAGATCCCTTGAGCCCAGGAGTTATGAGCTCAGGTTGCAGTGAGCTGTGATGGTACCACTGCACTTCAGCCTGGGCAGCAGAGTAAGAGTCTGTCTCAAAAAAAAAAAAAAAAAAAAAAAAAAAAAGTGATCTTTTATGTATACTAGGTAAATACTAAAAAAGATGGATAGTGTAAAGTGTTTAAGTGGATGTGGAAAGATGGATGATGTTCCCATATATTGCTGACGAGAACAAACTAATCCAGTCTTTCAGGAGAGCAATTTGGCAACATGGAACTAAAGCCTCAAAGTGACCCATCTGATCTAGAAATAAATTTTAATGTAATCACCAGGCAGATTTATGAAAATATATTTACAAGGATGTTCATCCAAGTATTGTCTATAATAATAAAATGTTAGAAACCACCTATATGCTGGTTAAATTCCTTGTTATAATCATATAATGAAATATGTTGCCTTTCCAAATAAAGTAGCTGTAGCTACTATAATGAAAATGTATTCAGAATGCTATAAAGCAATATGTAAACTGATCTCCTTTTTCAGTATATAAAGATAGATGTGTCAATATGTTTGTACAGTCATTTTGAAATTGGAGGATAATACTCACCAAAATGTTACGTGGTTTCCTATAGGTGATGGGCTGATGGGTAATTTTCATACTCATCTGTTTACTCTTACTTGTTTTCTAATTTTTTACAATAAGAATGTTTTATATTCAGAAAAAAATACAGCATTGTTTCCATTTTGAAGGAAGTAAGTATCAGCAGCTTTCTTGCCTGTGGGAAAGTCATTAGTTTTCCCATTCCTCTGATGTTCTATCTTATCTTCTCTTTCCTGATCTGCTCTGTTTCTAAGTCCCTTTAGTATGTACATTGTTCCTTAATTTCATTTTTCTGCTAATTTGTGTTTCATTTTAGTTTCACATTTTTCTCATGCAGGGGGTGGCTTCACTTTGCGTCTCTCCCCATTGTCACAGAGGCCAACTGAATCTAAGCCGTATTTCTTTTTTTTTGAGACAGAGTCTCGCTCTGTCGCCCAGGCTAGAGTGCAATGTCACGATCTCAGCTCACTGCAACCTCTGCTTCCTGGGTTCAAGCGATTCTCCTGCCTCAGCCTCCTGAGTAGCTGGGACTGCAGGCGCATGCCACCACACCCGGCTAATTTTTTGTATTTTTAGTAGAGACAGGGTTTCACCATGTTAGCCAGGATAGTCTCGATCTCCTCACCTTGTGATCTGCCTGCCTCAGCCTCCCAAAGTGCTGGGATTACAGGCGTGAGCCACCACACCCAGCTGACTGAGCTGTATTTCTTACCCAGATCTACACAGCATCCTAGTATCTGGCCTCCCTAGGGAGAGCTGCCAAATATCTTCCTGAAAACCAAATCTGACTCCAACATCCTGTGCATTTTTGTTGGTTTTACTAACTCTTAGGATTGTATATGAACCCTTTTTGTTGGCATGAAAAGCCCTTCACTGTCGGGCCCTCTTGTTTTCTCTCCCCTCTGTCACAGCCACTCTCAACATCCTTGCATTCCTGGGATAAATCTTGCTCTCATGGGCCTTACCTTTGCACGATCTCTCTTCTTTGTGTGCTTCTGTCCCTTCTAATAACTGGGCAACTCCTATTCATTCTCTAACACCCAGTTTAAATATTGCCCCCTGGGCAGCCTCTCCTGAGTCCTCTAAGGTAGAGTCATAGGGCCTTCTCTTAGTTATTAGGTTGGTGCAAAAGAAAGTAATGGCAAAAACGCAAGTACTCTTGCACCAACCTGAAACATTCTTAGTGTATTATATTAAAATATTTCTGGTTCTTTACTGGTCTCCCCTGCCCTCCTGCCCCTACTAAGATAAGGAGCTAAAGACCAGGCTCCCTTCTAGTGATCCTATATGCTAGTTCATGAAGACCCTCAAGTGTTCATTGCACATATGTCAAATACTTTTCCCTCTAGGACCTCTGCTTCTCACTGGAACAATATTTTGTTATTTTTAATCATTTGATTATCTGAGCTTGCAAAACTGAACAAGAATTCTGATCCTTGTATGTTCTTCCCTTCCTTAGGCTTCAGATGATGAGTCTTACATCAGTGATGTGAGTGATAATATATCTGAAGACAACACCAGTGTTGCAGACAATATTTCTCGGCAAAGTATGCATCATTTGAGCTTCCAGGTTGTTCTATCTACATGCCAAATTGCAACACGAAGACTTAATGAACAGGCATTCCCCCTCCCACGCCACCCCCACCCCTGCTAATTGTTCTTTTGGCAGCTGATTGTTCAATACATTCTATTTTGTATGATCTCTTGAGGTAAATGGTTGAAAAAATCTGTTAGGTAAATAGTTAAGAGAAAACGTTTTTCCTCTTTCTCAAACCAACAGCTTGAGTCCTTCTTATTAAATGTATTTAATTTTTTAAAACTTAGCCTGTCTTGTCTTGAATGATATTTGAGTGTATCTAATGCCTTATTTATAAAACTATACACTGTTGTTTTCTGCATTTATTAGCAACCTTGCATTGAAAGAATTCCATTTACTTTTGAAAAGATATAATGAAGACTCATGAAAGGTCTCAAAATCAGATTTATTTGAAAGTTATTTCCCTTCTTGATTTTGTGAAATCAGAACAGCAAAGTGTCCTTCACTGTGACTCTCCTTCTTCCAGTCCTGAATGGGGAGCTTACAGGAGGGGCCTTCCGAAATGGGCGTCGAGCATGCCTGCCAGCTCCTTGTCCTGACACCAGTAACATTAACCTGTGGAATATCTTGAGGAACAACATTGGTAAAGACCTGTCTAAAGTCTCTATGCCTGTGGAGCTAAACGAGCCGCTCAACACCCTGCAGCACCTCTGTGAGGAAATGGAATACAGCGAGCTCCTGGACAAGGCTTCGGAAACTGATGATCCATATGAGCGCATGGTAATAAATAACTAACAGAGCAGCGCCCCTCAGGGATTTGCCAACCCTAGACCTGGGCTAAGCCAGAATTCATTATGATATATTTGGCATTTGCATAATATTCTTACTGCATAGTAAAAGAGGAATTGATCTGTTTGCATAAATCCGGCAAGGCCAAAACCTCCCAGATACCAACACAGGAAGACACACTTTTTGTGCCTTATCCTTGGTCTAGAGTGTTTCTAAAGTTAAGGTGTAAAGGTCTCATACTCCTTAGAGGTTGAAGGCACACCTTGCCTCACTTTATCAGTTTTTCCTGAATGTCAGGATAGCCCATCTGTTCAGGAACTTAGGTCTGAGAAAATAACTTCTGTTTATACTTCACCCTTTATCCCATATGGCTGTGGGAAACATGCCATGCCCTCTGAAAAGCACCCGCAACCACAATCCTCATGCACATGAGGCTAAGATCATGCCTGTGGCAGAACCAATAAGCTGGGTTTCAGAACCTTTGAACTCTGTGATACTCATGACGTTGGATGGAAGGGTGAAAAATGCTTCACCTCAGTGGCCTGCTGGTTTCTGTGCGAGTGGTTTTACCTAATCTTACCTATTTTTTTCCCCATGAGTTGATAAAAATTCTGTACAGACAATAGAAAATGCAACTGTCATCAAATCAACACCCATCCACATGAGGTGTGTAAAATCTAGAGGGATGAGGAACAAACAGACCCAGCAGTCGTCTCTCCTATATTATTCCCTTTTCTTCAATGTTTTAACAGGTTCTCGTTGCCGCATTTGCAGTTTCAGGATACTGCTCCACCTATTTCAGAGCAGGAAGTAAGCCATTCAACCCAGTCCTTGGGGAGACTTATGAATGCATTAGAGAAGACAAGGGATTCCGCTTTTTCTCAGAACAGGTAAGCGCCACTGGACTCAGTGAGGTTTCTATATAGGTAAGAGGACAGTTCGGTGATGAAAGCACCATTTCGATAACAATCTGTTGGGATGGGTTATGATACCAGTTGTGAATTCGAAGTATCTGAGACAGGTCTTAATCAGTTTAGAAAGTTTATTTTGCCAAGGTTAAGGACACACCCATGACACAGCCTCAGGAGGTCCTGACAAAATGTGTCCAAGGTGTTCTGGACACAGGTTGGGTTTATACATTTTAGGGAGATATGCACCATCAATCAATATATGTAAGATGTACATTGATTCTGTCCAGAAAGGTGGGACAACTTGGAAATGGAGACTTCCAGGTCATAGGTAGATAAGAAAGGTTGCATTCTTTTGGGTCTCTGATCAGCCTTTCACTGAATACACAATTTACATGTGAGAGGGTGGTAGAGAGAGAGTCACTTATGCCTCAGTCTCACTCTGTGAATCTGCATTTTTACATAGACAGTAGGGCAGAGGAAGTAATCAGATATGCATCTCTCTCAGGTGAGCAGAAGGATGACTTTGAGTTCTGTCAATCCTTTGTCCCATACCTGTGAAGATAAGCTATCAATGTACATTGCCAGGTTGAAATTCAACAGAACTGTTTTAGGGTAAAGATCTTGAGGCCCACAAAGAATTTCCTTGTGGGCAAATTGTGAGGGAGAGAGGTAGCCTTTTTAAAAAAAAAAAAAAATCTTTGTAGCTATCTTTTTTAGGAATAAAATGGGAGGCAGGTGGTCCTGAGATTTATTTTCTTTTCACACAGTTAAGAAAACTAACACAAGAACAGAAAACCAAACACCGCATGTTCTCACTCATAAGTGGGAGTTGAACAATGAGAACACATGCACACAGGGAGGAGAACATCACACACTGGGGCCTGTTGGGGGGTGGCGAGCAAGAGGAGGGATAGCATTAGGAGAAATACCTAATGTAGGTGATGGGTTGATTGGTGCAGCAAACCACCATGGCACGTGTATACCTGTGTAACAAACCTGCACATTCTGCACATGTATCCCAGAACTTAAAGTATAATTAAAGAAAGGAAGGAAGGAAGAAAGAAAGGAAGGAAGGAAGGACGAATTCACTTCACTTATGGGCATTATTTCCCCTCTAAATTGTATAAGTTCTCAGTGTTTTTAAAGCATGAAGTCTTACAGATTTACTTATACATTTTGAGAATAATTCAGTAAGAGAAATGGATGACCATGTGGAAGTCTTAACACTGATACTGCCTTTTTTTTGTTTTTAATTACCAGGTTAGCCATCATCCACCCATTTCTGCCTGTCACTGTGAATCAAAGAATTTTGTGTTTTGGCAAGGTTTGTATTTCAATTATAATTTAAAATCAAATGTATGAGCCTATGAAAAAATATCTGGCTTCCAAAGGGACACTGTATTCAGTTTAGATTTCTACCTTTGGAACTCAGCAAATGTTAGTAATTGGTGCAGAGCTCATTTTGAGAAATCAAAATTCCTGGTTTCAACATGAAACAGTTTCAGCTAGGAGATGAGATTGCTTATCTTGGAAACAATGCTGTATGGAATAGCAGAGCTCCATGCGGACTGTGCCGGTGGAGAGCCACCACCTTATCTCATGTTCCTTATTGTCTGCATCTGTAACATGGAGGTTCCATCTGCTGCCTTCTTGGTTCTTCGGGGTGTGCAAAGACATTTTAATTCTGAAGGAAGGCTCTATGACACATCATCAATGGTCATAATCTAAATAGATATGCAAACATTACAGTAATTCCTGGCCTTTAACTCACTGGGGCTCCAGAGTTTGGATTGAAGTCTCTACTGAGTTAAGTCAGAATGTTACAAGCTTGCCTAATACAAAAAAGTTTCTAAACTCCTTTACAAAGAAAAGAATATTTATGTAAATGTGAACATTAAGTGTAAATAGTTCCTTCGTGTTTGGAAGGGTGCTTCATTACTCACAGAATGACTTCTCATGAGCATTTTCTTAACCTGAAAATACATAAAAATGATAGAACACTGTAGCTGTACTTTATTACAAAAAGATGACAGATCATTTCTTGGTCATCACCAAGAATCAGGCATCTTGTGGAGATGGCACGAAGTTCCCATAGTTCATCAAAATGGAACCAGGTGGTTATCACAAATGCACAAATAAATCTAAGTTTCCATACGTAAAACATAAAGCCATCGTGTGAGGTAAAGTGCTGGGCCCTGGTCTATATCTTAACAACCAGTATAAAAACATTCATTAAGTTAATCCCACTCTTTCATAAATCTTATTTTATAAATTTTATTTTATCTGTATTTGGAGATTTTTTTTAACTGTAATCCCAAATTATATGTCTTTGATATGGGGGGAAATGTATATATAAATTAATTGTATTGCTATACTCCAATTATTTTTAGTGTACATCTTATGCTTGATATATTTGTTAACTATTTTTACCACTTAGTTAAAACTTATAACAACCTTTATTGCTGTCTGGACATTAAAGCACAGTAGAGTCTATGTTTGTATGTAAAATGTGAATACACACACACAGACACACACACACACACACACACACACCGCACACACACTGTTCCAGGCTTCTCCCAGCTCTGTTAGTTGAAAACAAATAAAGAGCATATGTTATAGAGAAACATAGATAGTGGGGGTTTTTTTTAGTTTTGTTTGTTTGTTTGTTTGTTTATTTTTTGGTTCACAGTTAATATTTTCACCTTGGGCCATTTGCAGGCACTTGTCATACTAAATCAGCAATATAGAATCAGTTGTCATTCCAAAGTGTTTCATAAAGTGTAATACAAAAGTTAGTTTTTATAGAAGAGGTGATTAGATATGGGGTATGTATTTCTTGTCCTCTCCCTATGTCATTTAGATATCAGATGGAAAAACAAGTTCTGGGGGAAGTCGATGGAAATCCTGCCTGTTGGAACACTGAATGTCATGCTTCCAAAGTAGGTGACTCACACCTCCCTTTTGGCCTCTTGTCTGCTTTTCTAAATCATAAATGGGTATTTTAAACTCTAGAAGATGGTAAGGGTTTCTTTCTCTTTATACCCAAACTTCTGTTACCTTTGCCAAAGTTTTGAGAATAGACTCCCACAAAAACAAATGAGAACTTAAGCATATGTAGCAAAGCTTCCTGTTTATTTCTTCACATCCTCCATTCTTCAGTCAACACCACCAGGTACCTCCCATGGCCCAGTCATCATGCTAGTTTGATTGTATATAAAAGGTTCTCCTGTTTAGCCATTTCTTTGCTATACAATTCAGTTTCACTTTTGAGTTCATCTTAGATCCAGGGAGTATTTTATCAAAGAAGAGTGATGAAATCCTTTTATGGTTGTGTTCTAGAGGATACTGCCTCTAAATATTTTGAAATTAATTGGAATTTTTACTGAGGCCAAGGACTTGATTGTTTCTTCGGTTTTACCTATTTGAATGACAGAATTTCCAGATGAACTGGATATGGAAGAAGGTGAAGAGAGGGAGGTATTCCTAGGACCACAAAATAAACTTTGAATATTTGAACATGTAGGCCAGGCACGGTGGCTCACGCCTGTAATTCCAGCACTTTGGGAGGCTGAGGCGGGCGGATCACAAGGTCAGGAGATTGAGACCATCCTGGCTAACAAGGTGAAACCCCATCTCTACTAAAAATACAAAAAATTAGCTGGGTGTGGTGGCGGGCGCCTATAATCCCAGCTACTCGGGAGGCTGAGGCAGGAGAATTGTTTGAACCTGGGAGGCGGAGATTGCAGTGAGCCGAGATTGTGCCACTGCACTCCAGCCTGGGTGACAGAGCAAGACTCCATCTCAAAAAAGAAAAAAAAAAATGTATAAGGAAGAGAGTTTTCCTAGGTATATATGGTGCCTACATCATACCAATTCATAAACTTTGCAGAAACTTAGAAGCATCTTTTTTATGTTGATGTAACATTTCATTTGAAAATATATGTAACGTACAAACTTAAATGTGATTTGAAGCTATATCATTTCATTTCTTAGCAGAAATTCTGTAACCTTGTTCCCCAGAATTTGTAATAGATTTGTGCCATCTTAGTATGCTCTTCAGTCTTTTCCCGAAGAATTATTCACATCTGAGGTCTTAAACCTGGAGTACAAAACAGTGTTCCCAGAGTGATCTTTCTTCAGTGCACACTCTGTGGTGCCTCCCTCCTACCTGGAATCCTGCGGTGGCCCATTGCCTGCAGGGTAAATCTAGACTCCTTGGTACGTCCCTGCAGGCCTTCCCGGCTCTGCCTCATCACACCTTTCCTGCCTTGCGTCCTGCCACCCGCACTCACCTGGAGCACAGCATTCACAGGCCTGGATGCCTTGTGCCCTTCTGACCTTTGTGGCTCTGTGGATGCTTTTCCCCAGCCCATAGTGCCCTCTTATCTGCCATCTGTGCTTACACGAAACCCAGCCTCTTCTAAGGTGTCTTCCTTGACACTCATCCCACGTTCCAGGTAGATTGAAGGACTAAAAACTCTTCCTTCTGTGTTCCGATGATATGCATATTTTAAGTATTTGTTTGCATATCCATCTACCCTCCCATACTTCTGTCTCCAGAAAAGCAGGAACCAGGCCCTATTCCACTTTGTAACTTTAGCACCTGGCCCATAGAAAGCACTTAAATGTTCCTTAAGTGAATTAACCACATCGTAAATACTTAATGACCACAGAGAGAATTTCAAGACACAAATGGGAGGAGAATGAGGGAAAAGGAAGCTTTGGCCAAAGAATATTCTCATTAGCAGAAACAGTTATATGTGTTTGTGACCTTGGTTGTTTTTCATCAGTGTTACATTCTTCACTAGGTATGGAGATTACTATGTGTGGAATAAAGTCACCACTTGCATACACAACATCCTCAGTGGGAGAAGATGGATAGAACATTATGGAGAAGTAACCATCAGAAATACCAAAAGCAGTGTTTGCATTTGCAAACTCACATTTGTCAAGGTAAATACTATCATACAACAGTAAAGGAAAATGAGTATAAAATGCTTCTTAAAGAAGAAATAGAATAATCACCTTAAATAGCAGCAAGTGAATCTGTCCTGTATCATTGGTCCTTACGGACATTTTAGATAAGAAAGCAGAACAAACTGATAGAGTTTCTCAAGGCATGCAAGTTTCTGAACATATGGAGGTCAAAAAAGGCATCATCTAAAACAGAAAAAAAACACATGTCTTTTTAAAGAATTTTCTTTTGAAGTAGCCAGTCAGTTGTTCACTAAGTAAAATTCCAGAAAACACTTCTTGACTATAAATCTTCTGGTTTATATTTCTGTTTCTCTTCCTGCTTGATATGTGTTCAAGTGATCTGAATTTCGGGAACTCATTATAATGTTGTCATTTTCTGAAGACACTTGATGTAGTCATGTAGATGATCACCACCAGTCAGTACATGCTTATCCAACCCTGCCACTGTTATAATTCAAATAAGTTCAACAGGAAAAATTAGCCTCATTAACAAGAAAATATGTTGGGATAGAAACGCCCAAAAAGCACCATTTTCCCTCAGTTTCTCTGGTCTGAAGTGGAACATTCAGTATCACTGCCGTGTTTGTTTGGATGTGCTACAGAATTCAACATAGTATAGAAACCCCACCCAGCTACCATACCTGTTCAATTCATGATCCCATTCTAATATGGTAAACAGGTAACATATTGGAGTCTTAAGACTCTAATATTTTCTTTTCTCAGTTAAATCCTTTTAAGCCATATTGGAAGGTTGTATTTATTTTAATTGAGTGTCTTTATTTTAGCCCAAAATGTTTTCACTACCTTTTTTCTTAGAGACTCGTAAGGTACCTAGAACTGAAGAGCCAAGATCACTATGTGCTCTGGCTGGGTGATGATGTAAATATGTACATTTGGCTTTGTAGGCTATGAGAAGCTGCAGTGCAGTCCTGTCTCTAACACTTGCAGAGCCTGTATAATTAACTAAAATATGTAAATCAAGTCTGTAAGCTATAAAATAGAATATGCTCTATTTCTTTGCCTTGACAAATACACTTTTTATAACAAAGCCTGTGAGGCCAGGTTGGACCCTTCAGAACTCTGTGCTGTAACCCTGGCAATGTAGGACAGCCAGTCCTGGCCCACGGCCTTCCCTACTTTCTTCCCACCTCTGGCTCTGTTTTGACTGCAAGGGGCCTCATACACACATATACAGGCAGGCCAGCCCACACATCTAAGCTCTGTTCACACCCCCACAAACAACCACCCTTGGCCACTCTTCAGACCTAAAGGTGCACACGCTGGTGGGTGGTCTGCCCTTGGGTGCATGAATCCAAGGAAAAGGGCCTTGCCAGCTGTGGAATAACCTTGGAGCTACTTGGACAAGGAATTCTAGGGTCCTGTATACTTGGGGCCTGATCTGGAAGGGGAATCATGGGGTAGGCAAACTCCCATAGACTTCTTATCCCTTGGGAAGGAGTATGGCTGGAAGGGCCACTTGAGGGCCCTCCTCATAAAATTTGGCCATTTATAGATACTATGAAAATTATTTCACAAACAATTTCTGCAGCATGGCCAATTGAAATTTATTAAAATCCATGAGCAAGAGGAAAATTCAAAACAAGAGGAAAAAAAATTGCTAGCTTAGAAATTAATATTAGGTTCTTGGGATAGAAGCTGAGCCTTCTCTGTGATATACTACCATGTTATGCGTGGAATAGAGACCATCCCTTTCTTGAAAGTTAAGCTAACTCTTAGAAAGCCAGCCCTCCATATAAAACGTTTTGAGATTTCTGTATTTCTGAAAATGGTTTGAATAAGGGACTTCAAGGCTAAGAAATTTTTCTATATGGAAAATACAGGGAATGATGTTATTAAAGCCATCAAATGTCACAATTGGGGTTTGGTTTTTCCAGGTGAATTATTGGAATTCTAACATGAATGAAGTCCAGGGGGTGGTGATAGATCAGGAGGGGAAGGCGGTGTACCGGCTGTTTGGAAAGTGGCATGAAGGACTCTACTGTGGTGTGGCCCCCTCTGCAAAGTGCATTTGGAGACCAGGTGAGAGTGGCCTGAGTGTTCTGCCAACAGGAGGGCACTATGGACAACAGAAGGGAAGAGAACATCAGGTCATCTTATGCAACTCACATTATGTTTCCTTTAAGAGTGAGATTAAAAGCGTAGATGCTTATGGCAATTATAGTTACATTCATACTTAACATAGAAGTTATACATAAGCCCCAATATTTGATATTTCATAATAAAGAATGTAGGCCAAATCTCTGACAGGCAGTCAGAGATTGGGCTTCATGAAAAATTGCTCAAAGTGTAATGCCTACATTTGAAAAGCTAGGTATATTTATTAAAGACTTTAGATAATTGAAGTATACAAACTTAAAACCTTACTCATGTTATTTATTCTCTGCTTTAATAAAACAAAGACTACAAACATTTGTAATCCACAAATTCAATAACTCACCAGAATAAGTAATCTTTTCACTTGAGCCTCAAGAGACAGCAATATGTTGACATTTAATAAAAGACATCAAAAGAGTTCTGATAACACATTAGCTTATGATTGAATATCAAGTATAAATGGAACAAGTATCCACATGACATTTATTGTCACTGGAATTTTGTCAGTTAATCCCTAACTAAAATTAGTTGTTAGTTTCCTAAGAGACATCAATGAGTATTTAAATTTCCCGCTAGTAGAGTGGCTAGCTTATTCATTCCGCAACTATTTATTGAGTGCTGGCTGTACATCAGGCTTTATTCCAGGAGCTCGGGATACGTCAATGAGCAAGACATACAAAGATCCTGCCTTCAAGTTTAGTTAAAAAGTGGCAAAAAATATTAATTTAGGTCTGCATATTTTTCTTTTCTAAAAGGAAGCAAACAAGTGTTTCTGGTGTACTCTTAATGTTCATAGTTAATTGCCATAGTATTTAGTTAACCAATTGAATATTCAAGAGAAATATTATGGAGTAGTTTAGCTAATGAAGACTACTATATGTGCAGTTTTGTTTGAAAGACAGGATTGTATTAAATATATGAATCTGTCAATTCTGATCATCAACACAAAGTTTCCTACCTAGGAATACCACCAATTTAATTCACTTGAAAAAATCTATAATCTTGTGTTTATGACTACAAATTTGGTGTTAGTGTAGGTACTAAGTACTAGGGTAAGTCAGCTTCTTCCAGTTCCATAAACCTTCTGCCTCTCACAGTGGTTCATTGGCCTCTTTCCAGGTTCCATGCCAACAAACTATGAGCTGTACTATGGCTTCACAAGGTTTGCTATTGAGCTCAATGAGTTAGATCCAGTACTAAAAGATCTCCTTCCACCAACAGACGCCCGGTTCCGGCCAGATCAAAGGTGAGGATGGCAGTGGTATTTAATATGCAGACTATGGCTGGGTGCAGTAGCTCATGCCTATAATCCCAGCACTTTAGAAGGCTGAGGAGGGAAGATCACTTGAGGTCAGGAATTCAAGACCAGCCTGGACAATATAGTGAGACTCTATATCTCTAAAAAAAAAGAATTAAAAATTAGCTGGGTGTGGTGGGGCATGCCTAAAGTCCCAGCTACTAGGGAGGCTGACGTGGGAGGATCGCTCGAGCCTAGGATGTTGAGGCCACAGTGAGCTATGATTGTACCATTGTACTCCAGCCAGGGCAACAGAGAGAGACCCTGGCAAAAAAAAAAAAAAAAGGCAGACTATTATGGCTTGGGGCTTTAGAGGTCATTGTGACTTATTTTTACTACCATCATGTATTTTTATTCAATCCTTTCTCCATTCCCTTATTCACTCAGCAATATTTGAGTTTTCTATGCCAGGAAAAGCAGTATTCATAGAATGATCATAACAGATTATCTCAGCACATAGTTCCCCACAGAAGATAAGATAACAGAGATATTTTTTAACAAAGTTTCTCCCTCCCCCTAAAATTTACCAAAGGTCTGTAAATTTGTGAACTCTTTCTTAAATATATAATCAGTCCTCACCCAGTGTTTCTGACCTTTTTACTTCTATAACTCTGTAACATGGAGTATCTTTTAAACTGAAGAATAATAGGATAAGTTACAGGGGAACTCAGAAATGCTTTGAGTGCAAGTCTGCAATTTGCCCAATGTGGTTTTGATCCCACAGAGTATGAGATATACTCAAAATACAGTACCTTTAATACCTTCTGATTCTTAGTTTTTTATTCTTATGTAGCTCTGAACTCATGATGTCCATTCCTATGGAATTCATTTTACTTTTCCCAAAAATTCTATATGCCATACAAATTCCACTCAAGATCAATTTTCTGTTTCCCATGTATTTGTGGCTTTATCTGCCATCTGCCAAAATGCTCTCAGTTTTGAATGTTCCACTATTTAATTCTCTTCTATTTTGCCCTCTCTCTCTAGAACATGTTGTCTTGCTATTTGACATTCAAATTTATTAATAAACTTCCTGTACAATGTATAGCATATTATATTCCTGTTCTTTGCTCTCATTTTGAAATGTAAGCATTTGTAAGTCACCATTCAGTCTGCTTTTTCCTTCTCAATTCTATTTCAGTGTTCCTTTTCTGAATTTCATTTACTATTCATTTCACATTCTGTGGCCTTTTGTAATTTTCCCCATTACCTTTTCTTTTCTCATCAGTTTTGCCCTCTCCAGTAAAACAGGAAAGCTCCTTCCCTCTCAGCCTGTTCTCAAAATAGACGGAGAATAGCCAGTTACCATCCTCCATTCTATGGCCTTTTAGCAAAAGCTTTCTGATAATATAGAAAAGGAACATGGCTATGACTTCACGCTCTTCTCACCCTGGACTCTGCAGTTGTCCTGAAAATCTCAAGTTATAGAACCCTAGACAGCATAGAAAAGTCTTCAAGGCCAAACCACCCACCTTTCACTGATATTGCTGATTATAATAATTCAGTTCATGTACATAGAAAATATGTAAATCCTGGGAGGCAGAGGTTGCAGTGAGCTGAGATCACACCACTGCACTCCAGCCTGGCGACAGAGCAAGACTCCGTCCGTTACTGTGCGGTATTTTATGTTCATAGCAATTAGAAAACAATTTTGTGCAAATGAGGTTTTTTTTCCCCCAGAAAAGAGGATAATATGTTAAAATATCAACTGCTTTCTGCTTAGATTTTTGGAAGAAGGAAATTTAGAAGCTGCAGCATCAGAGAAGCAAAGAGTAGAGGAACTCCAGAGATCTCGGAGACGATATATGGAAGAAAACAATCTTGAACATATACCAAAATTTTTTAAGTAAGTCAGTTAACTCCCATAGCAAGTTCATGTTTTGCAAATGGTTGCCACAGGCCATGAGAAACTCCAGTTAAATGAAAATAAAATGGGTAAATGGATTTTGGTATCTTTGCTTTTGGCAGTGAAAATATTGAATCGATTTTGCACTTATGAAAAGTTAGTAACTATAAAAAGAAATTTTTTCTACAGCTCTTCTCTTTTCATGGGCAGCAGAAAAGAGTGAGCATCCTGCCCAGAAGGCTCTTTGTCCTTCAGCTGCACTCTTTAGAATGGTGGAAACTGGTTCCCACTCCCTTAGCCAGGGACTGAACCAGACCCCACTGCCCACAAGATCATCCTGGCTTTTATTAGGATTTCATTTTATTTCTATCACACAAAGCTTGTGTGTGTTTAGATTTGGTCTCTCTGTGGTATGATAGTAGGTGATTATTACAGGATTATTTGCAGGATTATATATACATCACACAGATTAATCTGAGGTTTCCAAATGCATCTGTTGCCCTCCAGAGCCAGGACAAAAAGCTCAGGGTAACCTTATCTCCTTTAGACTTGTCCTGTCATTACTGCCCTGGGGTAGAAATGCAGCCTTGCCCTTCAGATGTCTAAAATGTGCTCCTTGGACATGGGCCCAGTAGGGGCTCTTAGAGCTACTGATATTGCATACTTTTAGTGAAGGAGAAAGGATTCTTGTGGGTCTGGGACCTGAAGCTCTTAGTTACAGTATTTGTATATGCTTTATTGGGGGCTATTTACTTTTTACCCCTGCCAGGAGGTAATTTGTTCCTGCCCTGAGTTCCTCTCCCCCTGGCCCTACCTACTTCCATTTCACACATTTAACAACAAAAATGACTTCACTTCCAGTCAAAAATAGTCACATCATCAGTAGCTAGCAGATAAGATACTAACTGGCTTACAAACACTGCTTATATGTCCATGTCTAATCTATAGGAGAGGGTCCTATTTAAGGTTACCTTGATGTGATTCATGACTAATGTTGATGTTTATATTTTCACAGAAAAGTTATTGATGCCAATCAAAGAGAAGCCTGGGTTTCTAACGACACCTACTGGGAGCTTCGAAAGGACCCTGGGTTTAGCAAAGTAGACAGCCCTGTTCTTTGGTAGACTGGGAATGTAGAGCTAGCCAACATATCACATTCTGAATGAATAAATAACTATGCACAATTATGTTTCTTATAGCTATGTGTGGTTTCTGGGTCAACTGAAAACCTACCATTTGCTTTTCTATTCATCTTTATAATGGACTTTCAGAAGTGCATTAGACAAGGCCCCTAACCACTTTGGGATCCTTTCTGTTTTGCTGCAACCATATTCCTTAAAAAAAAAAAAAAAAAAAAAAAAAAAATCCACACCGTCCTTGGAAAGCAGAATAAAAGGAGCAGAATATAAAATCCAAAGTCTGACCAGTTTGTAAAGAAAAACAAATGGTAACTGGTGCTTAAAGCTGATCAAGAAAGTTAACAACAACATAGAAACCACACGATTGTTCCACTGTCTGGAAGCACCATCCCCTATCGCAGGACTCCTGGGCCACAAGCAGTCGGTCAGTGCAGACTTCAAGTGTGTCTGTTTGATGTGGTGTGATTGTGCTGGCCTTGTCGAAAAAGATGTGATGCTTCTCAGAACCTGTTCCATCTGTATGCCATTGTTCATGCCTTAAGAAATGCAAAGATGTACAATAAATCATTTTTAAAATGTGTGCTCATAGGTTTATGTGAAGAACAGATTTTTTGAATCATGGCATGATTCACTTTCTCAATCAGGACAATTATGAGACTAACTTAAATGGGTTTTTTAAAAGTGAACAACACGTGCTTTACTCTGATAAGTCAGTTACCATATGGTATGTCTGAAGGGAAAGAAGGAAAAGACGTGCTAAGTAGATCTCTGTATTTACGTGGCTCGTTAATTTCCTGTCCTGCGTCCAGATAATAAACCATCCCTCTTCCACCTAACCTCACAGTGTGCCCTATTATTTGGAAAAATCTGTCTTTGATTTGGACATTTGGTCATCAGTGTTAAAACCTTAAAAGGAAATAACAAAAAGCATATGGAATTCCTGTGTGGGCTTAGTAGTACTATAAATGTAATTGTTTTTGAGTGAAGCACCATGTAATCCATGTCTCAATCCCATGCCCGCTCCACTGACACTAGTCGAATTCCACTGAGAACAGAAGCAAGAATAATAGTAGTTTATTTGCATTGTTTAAATGAATTCTATGCAAAATCATATTTCAAATTTTCATCAAGTGATTCCATATGGTACATGGCTACATATTAAGCATTTACCTTGCTATTGGCAGAGATATGAAACTTAAGCTAAGGAATGTATCCATCCCAAAGCAGGAAAGCAGAAGTGTGTTTTGCATACTTCAGGATTTGTTTTTCCTCCACTAATATACAGAGGCTTTTGCAGAAAACTTGCATCAGTATTCCTGTTTCTGCACGTAGGTGACTATATAAATGCCTGTATGTTTTTTTTAAAATATCTCCTCAGAGATTTTCCTAGGGAATTATAAAATTACATATATTTTATTGTTAGTTAGATGTTTATTCTTGGATTCTTACCATTAGAATTTAAGTGTTATTTAAAACTCTGATACAGTTACAGACACTTTACATTTTATTATGAGGTGTTGATTTTAGTGGTATTTCTCCTCAGCAAAGCATTCCTAATAATGGCTAATACACCATCAAATGAAAAACTGCTGATGAGAGTGTAAGAGAAAGCGCTAACGTTTCCACTAGATGGCGCAATATTTTATTTATCCAAAACTCCTCCCTTGCATCTGAGTTTTTATGTTATGTGTACAGTCTGCATTAGCTTAGAATGGAATTTCATTCTCAGGTAAATTTTCGAATCCATCACCAGATCTAAGCATTCTGCTTCAACAATACCCTCTCTATTCCTCTCATTCCCATTTTAAATCCATAGGTGGCTTGCCCTGCGGCAGTAAAATCTTCCCCTTGATATTGATTCTTTTTCTGCTCATTCATCTTGATGTTCTTTTTCTGCATCCTGAGATACATGTCGTTAATTTTAATAAGAATCCTATTGACTTCCTCACGGGAGTCTGTTCTCCTATGGTTGATAAAGCTTTAAATACTATTTAAAGTGGTTCTGGTCTGTACTTACTAGCACTTCCCTGAACAGTCTCAAAATAGCCTAAACATAAGAAAACAATCCTGCAAAGTAAAGGTTTTTACAAGCAGAGATGAAGGAAAGGGAGCAGCAGCTGACCATCAGATGTGGTATCAGGTAGCTGGAAGAGGATCCAGGACCCATCAGGGAAGCAACGACTGTACTTAGCAATTTGGGTTATAATTACAAAAAAGAAAAAATAGTAGAAAGGATCTTTACCAGACAGTAAGGTCATGGTACAAATCAGGTGAGTGAATGTTGGTCAGAGGTAGCCTGACACTCTGATGAGGACTTCAAGATGAGAATGAGAAAAATGTCTATTAAAATCACTACATTTGATAATATCTCAGATTTAGAATCTCTTTTGGGATTCAGATAGTCTGATTATTCCAATTCAAGTGTTCAGTTAAGTTTTAGTTACTATTCCTATAATACCCAATTCACTAATATCATATCTCCTGTGGAATATTCATTGGTGCGATGGCCTCATCCCCTTTTTTACTTTTTATTGACATGGTGGTTATAAAATGAAGAGACTTACTCTATTGGAATTTTCATCTACGTAGTATTTGGGCTGTCAAGACTAAATAGCAAAAGGGTAGAATATTAGATCATTCTCTTAATAAGACCTGATTTATTCCTTAGGATGTTATACAAACCTTTTTATTTCAGGCCTACTTTCTTGTTTTTTCCTAAAAGGATCTAGGATAGAGGAGAACATAATATGCCTGTATACTTCTCCCATGGTTTATTCATAAGCTGCTTCATCTCATTGGAGATGGTCATTGAGGAGAGCAGTAATAAGTGACGATGATTCTGAGGACTTGGCTAGACTGAGCGGATCAATGGCACACACCAGCACTGGTAGAGGCTGACCAGAAGCTCATCGATTCCATATGCTGTCACCCAGGGTGCAGATTTACTCTCTTTTGCTGTTATTTTATTGTTTTTCTTAAATTAAGCCATTGTTTTTCATGGATTATTTTTAAAATACCTACCCCATAATTTTCAGGCAATTGTAAAAATAAACCTTATTTAAGATAACTTTTAATGGTACATATCAACTATATGTGGGGAAAAAATGCAATTTTCTGGGCAAGAGAAACCAAAGGATTTTCAATATATGAGATGCCAGGTTGTCAATTTTCTAAACCTTTTCCTCTAGATTATTCTGGCCCTAGGCCTTTCAGCAACCCCACTAATCAATTATTAGATCCTGCCCCAAGGAGCAGTGGCTTGGGGGCTGGATTTAGGGAGGAAAACCTGATTAAACTGTTTTGCTTAGTACTGGTTACAGCTGTAGCTGGAGAAGAGTTTATAATCATAAAGTACATTTTTGTTATTACCTTGTGGATTTTAATTATCCATCTTGTCTAATCTTGTTCTCTGTCATCCTAGATAATGAGGTGTTTGTGGGAGCAGAGCTCTGCACACACCAGGGGATGTAATAAATGTTTGCACTTGGCCCAGTATATTATGAATGTGGCACAGTAAATAAAGTTTGTGTACAAAATACTAGTTTATTTCTATGGGAGCCATTATGTTCAGGATATATAAAATGTATCTAATTAAACAATTTTGAATCTATTTTGTGCTCTAGAAATGTTCTTTTGGGGAAAGATGGAAAGAAATGTATAAATGGAGTTAAGATTAAAGTATTTGGGGTTTTTTTTCCCCAAAAGCTTCCCAGTTGTTTAGAAATAATACTATCCAAAGTAGGATTCGGTCCTGTAAGTCCTAACTGAATTTCTTTTGTAAAACTGATACGTTTAAACTGTACATTGCATAATCATTCTGTTAAACTAAACCTTTGTTTAATACATAATTGTAAGAGCATATATTTGTTATTGAATTGAAAGACTTTTTTTGTAGCTTTTGCTTTTAAAGAAGATGGCAAATTATCTAAGAAAGACTTAGCTTTATTACGTCCAAAATGAGATCTAAAGAAGGAGGTCTTTAAAAATTGTTGTGATGGACCAACATGTCCAACATCTTAAGCAAATGAAGCTTCATGATTAAGGCAGCTTACAGATAAGTGGAAAAGAACTTACCTGTCATATGCATCCTTTTGTTTTCCAAAACAACATCTGATTTAGTTCATTTTCTCCAGCCTTGCTCCTAACATAGTGAAAGGCATAGATACACATGTATGTTCTTTTACACTGTGTCATTGTTTGTAAAATATACAGTATTTATGTACAGTTTCAGAGACATTCAATATTGAAAACCACTTCAGTTAGCCTCCTAGTGAATACTATTAATTTTTCATGGATTACATATTACCATATGACCCCATAAATACATTTTATTAGTTACTTTGGTATCTTCAAATTGGTAAGAAAAAAACATAAAACAAAAATGTTCTTATTTTCTGCAATTTTTTTTTCTAGCCATTCCTTCCTCCCAAATAGAAGTGAGGGCAATTGTAGAGAGAGGAATATTAAGTTTTCATAAAGCAAAGTATCATCTTATTTGTGTTCCACCTGTTTCTTCTAACACTTAATTCATAAAGTGAGCAATTGAACTTCTTAATACTGTTAGAGAATATGCTAGAACTATTACTTCTTTTATCTTAGACACCCACTTTCCCTTAATTCTCATCTATTTAGTTTTTTAATAAAATTGTTGCTAGAATTTTTTTGTCTTTTCAAGTTCTTTTTTTGTTAATTTTATTGATATTGCTGTACTTTTTTTTTTTTTTTTGAGACAGAGTCTTGAGTGCTCTGTCACCCAGGCTGGAGCGCAATGGCACAATCTCGGCTCACTGCAGCCTCCGCCTCCCAGGTTCAAGGGATTCTTGTGCCTCAGCCTCCCGAGTAGCTGGGTTTACAGGCGTGTGCCACCCACCTAGCTAATTTTTGTATTTTAGTTAGAGACGGGGGTTTTGCCATGTTGGCCAGGCTGGTCTCGAACTCCTGACCTCAAGTGTTTCACCCGCCTCAGCCCCCCAAAGTGCTGGGATTACAGGTGTGAGCAACCGCGCCTGGACTCAAGTTCTTTTTAAAGCTTGATTAAGGTATAACCGACATATAATACACTTCGCATATTTGAACAGTACTTGATACAGTTTGATGTATGTATATACCCTTGACATAATCAAAATAGTGAACATATCTATCATCCCCAAAAGTTTCCCCTGCCCCTTTGTAATCCTTCCCCATCCTCTATCCTGAGGCAACCATTGATCTGCTTTTATTATTTTTAAAAGTTAGCGTATTTTCTTATATGTATTGCATATGGGATTTTTCTAGAAGGCCACGTGCATATGCACCCTCCCCTTCCATTACCCCAGTATCCGCCATCAAGTAGTAACATGTTGTAACAGAAAGAATCCCATTAAGTCCTAGTTCTGGTAGCCCGGTACAAATTTTAGATTTTCCCCCAAAAATGAAAAAAAATTATTTAAAAAATTTAGATTTGAAATGCTTAGAAAACAATCATTTATTTTTTTATGTCAAAATGTCCAAGTAAATTAATGGATTAATTTCCATGCTTCTGGTGATGTAACACCACTTGGTGGTGGCGCTGAGGAAACCCTGGGAAGTGTTTTTCTCTTCTGTGTAATGAAAGACTCACTGACAAAGCCGTCGGTATCCAGAATGACTGCTCTTGAAATGATATTTTGATGATGATGATCAGGGAAGTAGCCTATGCTGATTTATTTATCATCCCCCCACCCCAACCCCACTTTTGTGTCACAAACATTTGAAACACCCAGTGCTCAAGAATGCTGCTTTTCCAATTCTGCTAATATCCTCTCTCCCCATCTGGAAACAAAGTTACTAAACCTAGTTTTGAAAAAGCAATGGAAATGAAAGTGTCCAGTGAACTTACTGGCAGTTGTGCAAGTTGAAAGCTTATTCCTTACATCCTGAGCCTAAAAGCCTTATTCCTTATATCCGGAGCCTAAAAGTTTGCTCAAAAGTAGAAAACTTTCCAGACAAGATCACATACAAAATGGTTAACATGAAATGCTAATGAAGAAACAAGGCAAGAATGAATACAAGAGAAATGGAATCTGGGGAAAAAAGTAGGTTCTCTAACTGGGGCAGGGATCTTGCTTCTTGGGGGCATATGGTTGGATCCCAGGTGGGCCACGAAAATCATCTTGGATATTTGTTTACAGGCTGATTCCTGAGTTTCCCTCCAAAGATTCTGAGTCCACAGATCTAGGGTGTGGACCGAGAATCCTCATTGTAACAAGCACCCTCTGCCCCCGGGACATTTTAAGGTAGATGGAGAACTAAGGTGAGAGTGTGCCAGCTAAATACTCTTTCCTTTGTCCCTGTGCCTCAGTCTTTTTTGTTTGTTTTTTTTCATGTGACACTCAGTAGGAAAGTCTAGTTCAAGAACCGGAAACTGAGCCGGGCATGGTGGTGCGCACCTGTAGTCCCAGCTACTCAGGAGGCTGAGGCAGGAGGATGGCTTGAGCCTGACGCCCATGCCGCTGTGAGCTATGATTGCACCACTGCCCTGAGCCTGGACGACAGAGCAAGTTCCTGTCTTAAAAAAAAAAGTAATAAAAAAGACATTTAAAAAAAAATTAGAGCTCAGTGACCTGTGACTCACTTTGCCACTTTGTCATTTTCTTGACTTCTGTCCCAACGCCAGCCCTGTAATATGGAGATAAAGAGTGGGGAGGACAGAACTCTGAAACCTAAAAGGCAAGATTTTTGCTAAACCGGAGAACGTAAAAATACATTCCTAGAGGCAATCTAACCAGCCAGATAACCAGAAGTTTACTCTTCAAAGCCAAGAATCAGTACCCCCACCTCACCTTCCATTCTCTCTTAGGCTTTGTCTATGTCTCTAAGGGGAGTTTTTCAGTTGACTGATGAGGTCCTGACTGGTAGGGAAAGCCTGCAGGGAAATCCTGTGGCAAAGCACACTCTTGATCACCTACTTAACAAGAAGGTCTAGCAGGACATTCTTGATCCAGGTCAGCTTCTTCCCTGAAAATAATACATATTTTTAATTTCTGTTTGAAAAAACTCCACTGTGAAATTACTCTGCTTATATTAGAAGGTATGAAGACAGTAGTTATGTACTGTTCGTTTGCATACGGTCATTTTGAGATAGAAAAATTAAATTTTTTTAGGAAAAGAATTTCAAGCAACTTTCTACGAAAATACAGCTTGTGGTTAAATTTCCTAATGAAAGAGGAATTATTCACTGAAAAATTTGTCTAATCTGTGCCACCTCAAAATAAGAATTGTGCCTCTTCAATGAATGTTGTATATGAGAATGTTACATTTGTAACAGCACAGGAAACTCAATAAATTATAAATGAATTACATAAAGAGATTTTTTTGTGTACAGTATGTCCTGATGACTTTTCTACATTACTAATTTTACAAAAATTACTAAATTTGCCAAATATTTTTATCTGTTTGAAGCAAGAGACTTCACATAGGATATAAAGCTTGAGTACTTATATCTGACTATATTTCCAGGTCTTCTTCATGTGTTTTCAAATCGAATACTAAAACACAGATTCTTTTCCTGAATTTTGAACTGAATTTTCCTGAATATTAAAAGACTTAAGGCTGGGCACTGTGGCTCATGCCTGTAATCCCTGCACTTCAGGAGGCCAAGGCGGTGGATCACCTGAGGTCAGGAGTTTGAGACCAGCCTGGCCAACACGGCGAAACCCCATCTACTAAAAATGCAAAAATTAGCTGGGTGTGGTGGCACATGCCTGTAATCCCAGCTACTCGGGAGGCTGAGGCAGGAGAATCACTTGAACCCAGGAGGCAGAGTTTGCAGTGAGCCGAGATCACACCACCGCACTCCAGGTTGGGAGACAGAGCAAGACTCCATCTCAAAAAATAGTAATAATAATAATAAATAAACAAAAAAAGACTTAGAGTTGCCTTCAGTTTCCCATGTTTCTAGATTATGGGAGAAAAGCTGTAGTTCATGAAGTCTGCAGGAAACTCACAATCACTTAGGTGAGAGTTTCTTCCATCTTGGTCTCTTGGGAAAGTTCTAGGGATTCATTTACATTCATTCAATAATTCTCCCTTGGGAAGAGAGATTTCATGGGGGCTATTTTCTATCTGTCAATGGTGAAAACACTTTCAATAAAACAATGATGATGTGTTTAGTTTGTAATCTGTACACGTATTATAAGTAGATGATTTATCAGTCTTAATCTCCAAGTCTCCAATTTCTTCAAAAGAAGTAGAGGAAGAAATATTTTCAGAGTGTCAAAACAACATACCAACTGTTTGGTTAACTGGAATCCCAAAATCTGTTTTTTGTAAAACAAACATTGGTAGTCAACCTATTTCAATCCTGCTGGAATGTGATAAACTCACATGCTCTGGGGCCTTTCTACAGCCTGGCCTCACTGTGGTGCATTTATGGGCTGGTACCCAGTCTATCCTGACACTGTCCAATCACAGAAATGTGAGGACCTTGTAATATCACGTCCTAGGGATAAGTTCCTAGGGCTCTATTGAGGAGAAACTTTGATGTGGTTGGCAAGAACACACAAAGAAGTCAGTCTTGTCTCCTTTTCTG
Source organism: Homo sapiens (assembly GCF_000001405.40). NCBI lineage: Eukaryota > Metazoa > Chordata > Mammalia > Primates > Hominidae > Homo > Homo sapiens. Next base: position 178,404,123 of record NC_000002.12, read on the forward strand.
TGTATGCACCAGAAGTTATCAGCTTAGAGGGAAGGGGGAGGTGGCGAGAGAAGATTGAGAAAATGCTAAACACTTGAAATGACAAAGAAATGCCCCCACCCCCTTTGCCATATGTACTTAAGTAACTGGGAAGCAAATTGAAAATAGAGAGACATAATAGATGAAACTTTCATTTGCATAGTTTGTGATTATACAGTCACAGTTGCCATAAGTCAGTTTTCCTGCCCAATTATAAAATCATGCCAGAGAATTAATCTTTTATAAAAGTGCATATAGCCCCAGTTACATTAAACTATTGCTGGTGGTAGGCAGTGGTTTCTTGGTTTTGTTTTAGCTTGCTAAGTACAGAATTGGAGGATACGATGGGATAAACAACTGAATACGTGACAACAGTTTGTTGACTCAGACAGAAAGCCATCAGATGGCAAGGGTTGACCGTTGAAGGATGTGGGTTGGCCTGACTCAGAACTGCACGGCCTGTCTGGCAGCTGCTTGGCCAGGCAGCTGTGCAATGTGGACAGCTGTCTGCCTGAAGACCAGCCTGCTTCAACAGCACAGGTTCTGCTAACATACATGCTAACAGGGCTGTTTTCTCTTTAAAACAATGGGTTTGATGGGTTGGGAGGGAGTGAAAACTATAAAAATAAATCTCTGCCAGGAAGCTCTCAAGTCTCTTAACGAGGTCATCCATATAGCAAGTACTCTAAGGTATAAATAATGAAAGCTCAGTATTTCCTACTTATTCCTGAAATTGTCCATCATTTTTAAAGTTTACCAAGAGTAAACTTCCCAAATGTAACAGCTTAGTACTTTACCCTTCAAATTCAGATTTATAAAATTTTAGAAGAGAAATATAAGAATGAGAATTTTTCTTTCAAAGAAAATCAAACCACCTCACATTCAACCCTTCTCTTCCTTAAGATTCTCCTCCAAAATACTTAATTTTCTACTTCATTCTCAGAATTTTCTATATGTTAGCATAGTATTTTTTGGTTATTATTTTTTAAGCTGCTCATCTTCCCCAATTGCTTTATTATTATTATTATTTGAGACGGAGTCTCACTCTGTTGCCCAGGCCGGAGGGCAGTGGTGCGATCTCGGCTCATTGCAACCTCCGTCTCGTCTCGCGGGTTCAAGTGATTCTCCTGCCTCAGCCTCCCGAGTAGCTGGGATTACAGGCATGTGCCACCACGCCCACCTAATTTTGTGTTTTAGTAGAGATGGGGTTTCTCCATGTTGGTCAGGCTGGTCTCAAACTCCCGACCTCGGATGATCTGCCCGCCTCGGCCTCCCAAAATGCTAGGAGTAATAATTTAAATATGTTTTAACCCGTTGCAGTTATTATTTTTACTGATGCTTAAATTGTCTCCTCTTTGGCCAGTGGGAAACTTATTAATCAGCTCCTGAGCCTCTTGACACTGTGGTGCAGTGGTTCACACCTGTAATCCCAGCACTTTGGGAGACCAAGGAGGGCATATTGCTTGAGCCCAGGAATTGGAGACCAGCCTGGGCAATGTGGCAAAACCCTGTCTCTACAAAAAATACAAAAATTAGCTGGGTGCAGTGGCATGTGTCTCTAGTCTCAGCTACTTGGGAAACTGAGGCAGGAGGATCTCTTGAACCAGGGAGGTTGAGGTTGCTGGGAGCCAAGATCATGCCAGTGCACTCCAGCCTGGGGGACAAAGTGAGACTCTGTCTCTAAATAAATAAATAAATAAGCCAGCATGAGCTTATTAGAGATCTACATTTTACTTTTAGTTTAGAGACATGGTCTCACTCATATACTTAGCAGTATATGAGTAGATGCATACAATGAACAAGATTCTCACTTAACACATGATTAAATCTGAAAAAAAAAGAAAGTGAAAACCTTAACAATATCCTCTCTCTCTCTCACAGACCCTTGCAGGAGTCAATATAACTAAATACGTCCTAAAATTTCAAGGAGAGTAGCCATGGTTCTTGATGATAAGACAAAGTATGCTCAGACTGAGGGGCTGAGGACAGCCGGATCCTTCCAGTCGTGTGGGAGAAGCAGTTGATGCTACTGCTCAGCTACTTGGTGTGTCTGTTGTGCTGTGGTCTGTGCCTTGGCATGCAAGGTACATGAAGCAGGGTCAATGAAAATTGTGGAAAGTTATAGAGTACATAGAGGTTTAACAGTCTTATGGAAGAGTGTATAACAGTCCGTTCACTCTTGCTATAGTAATTCTAGTATTTATTGCATGGTGAAAGTCTACTACTGTTCATTTATTTTCTTGGTTGATAATAATTTTTTTTGTTGTTAACGAGACGGAGTCTTGCTCTGTCGCCAGGCTGGAGTGCAGTGGTGTGATTTCAGCTCACTGCAACATCCGCCTCCTGGGTTCAAGCGATTCCCCTGCCTCAGCCTCCCAAGCAGCTGGGACTACAGGCGAACGCCACCACACCCAGCTAATTTTTGTATTTTTAGTAGAGATGGAGTTTCTCCATGTTGGCCAGGCTGGTCTCAAACTCCTGACCTCAAGTGATCTTCCTGCCTCAGTCTCCCAAAGTGCTGGGATTATAGGCATGAGCCACAGCGCCCGGCCCGATAACAACTTTTTGTTTGTTGTAAGAAGCTAGCTTTTTAAAAAAGGACACATGTAATAAGAGATAGAGTACTGAATATTTGTTTTTTAAGAAAATTGATAGCTACTTGGGAGGCTGAGGCAGGAGAATCACTTGAACCCTGGAGGCGGAGGTTGCAGTGAGCCATTACACTCCAGCCTGGGCAACAAGAGCAAGACTCCGTCTCAAAAAAAAAGAAAAGAAAAAGGAAAAGAAAATTGATAAAGGATATGTAACTTGTACCAAGTGTTCATCAATGTTTACCATCCACTATTGGTCATTTCATCCATCATGAAATCAATGATGGGAAGTAGAGAAGACCACCCAAATGAGGGCAGAGGTTACTGACTCAGAGCTAGCTATAGCAAGAGAGTCAGCCTCCATCACTTGCATTTGGCAGAGACTCAAAGGCAGGAAAGAGAATAGTCAAGCTCTATATTTTAAGCAATTTCAGATATATTTGGTTTGGAAGTTGTTGGCAGGAAGAGATGCGGGTGGGCTAAGTGGAAGCAAGGCCTCTTAGGTGTTTGGTTTAGGGAGCATGTTTGACTTTCTCTGGTTGGTCCTGAGTTGGAAGAGGGGTTAAAAACAGGGAAGTTGGCAGCCATTGAACAAGTCCTGACTGTTCTGGACTGATTGTTGTAGGAGTTGTAATACGGTTTCCTGGACCGGTTACTGTAGAGCAAGCTTGCCCAACCAACGGCCTGTGGGCCACATGTGGCCCAGGACAGCTTTGAATGTGGCCCAACACAAATTCATAAACTTTTCTTAAAACGTTATGAGATTTATTTTACTTTTTTTTTTTTTTTTTTTTAGCTCATCAGATATCATTAGTGTTAGTGCATGTTGTGTGTGGCCCAACACAATTATTCTTCTTCCAGTGTGGCCCAGGGAAGCCAAAAGATTGGACACCCCTGCTGTAGAGGCTGTGGGTAAGAGTTCTATTGTCATATATGATGTGGCCTTGTCTGTTTGTATATTCAGTCTCTAACTTGAAAACCAGATTTAAATCTTGTGAATAAGCCATAGCATGTATTTGAAAAGTTAGTTGTTATTTTAAGAACTTCATGCCTAAAGATGGTGATTTGACACACAGAGCAGCAGAAGGGGCTTTGTTTTTTTGTTTTTTTTTGTTTTTGTTTTGTTTTGTTTTTTGAGACAGATTCTCACTCTGTCGCCCAGGCTGGAGTTCAGTGGTGAGATCTTGGCTCACTGCAACCTCCACCTCCAGGGCTCAAGCATTTCTCATGCCTCAGCCTCCTGAGTAGCCGGCACTACAGGCATGCACCACCATGACTGGCTGATTTTTTGTATTTTCAGTAGAGACAGGGTTTCACCATGTTGCCCAGGCTGGTCTCAAACTCCTGACCTCTGGTGATCTGCCTGCCTCAGCCTCCCAAAGCAGAAGGGACATTTTCATAGCATTCCGTGAAGCATGAGTTTCATTCAGTTCACATGTCTCTACTTCTAAATTACCTTTACTCATTTTTTAATCCAAGTTTCGTGTGTGTACATTAACATGAAGTAATAGCTGTTAGTGTGTTGGCTCCAAGAGCAGAACTTTGCAGATAGTTAAATAATGTCAATTTTATACCACTGGCATAAGATGCTTCAAATAGAAAATCAACTGAAGTAATTCCAAAAGTAGTTCAATTTTTTTCATCCAATTTATGAAATCAAAGTAAAACTTTTAGAAGTTAATTGTGTCGAAAATAAAATATCTGACACTATTTTGTGAACGTTACTAAAAATTCAGTTCAAAAGTTCAACTGTGCTGTGAAGATGCAAATGTCGGTGGGTATAGCATTGTGGTAAAAGCAATGTTCTTATTAAGAAAACTTCAAGGCAAAAATATACTAGATATAAAATAAGACAAAAATATGTATATACTAGATTTTGGCTACAGTATATATTATATAGTATAATATATATTATATATATTATATAGTATAATATATATTATATATATTATATAGTATAATATATATTATATATATTATATATATTTGGCTATAGTATATATATAGTATAATTCAAAACTGTGTTCAAACAGAGAAATCTTACCAATGAAAGTAGCTGTCACATTTAACAAATATTTATATAATTTCCAGTATACGTAATCAAATTACAAAATTTTTCTAGCAAAATTGATATTCAATTTTTAAAATCCCTGAAGTTTTCAGCATAGTTATATACCTTTTTTACTATCTATCATCAATTGAATTTTAAAATATTTGAGCCTTTGAAGTACTACTTTGTAAATCATCCTAAGTATCTTACAATGGTATTGAACTTTTATGTAACAAGTCCCCTAAATTTTGTACTTTGCACAAAATCAGTTAGAAATTGTTAATCTAAATATTCCATGAATAGCATGCTAAAAACTTCAGTTTTTGAAGCTTTTAATGAATTGCAATTAGTGAAAAACAAAACTTCCAAACAGGATAACACTACATTTTATTCCTTCACAGAAGACAGGAACTGAATAAATTAAATGATGAGGGCTCAAACAATGTAGACATAATCTTAAAATTTTCTAACTGGACTTTGGAATGTCGAGACTTACAAGAAGAATCTTTTGATCTAGTTCTTATTTTTAATTGCATAAATTTATATTCTTCATTCGAGTGGAATAAAATCAAGACCGCCCAATGGTTTTGCAGCATTTAAATTGACAAAACATTCAAAAGAATCTGGAGACAATTTATTTGACATATTTTGTCTTGTCAAAACTATTTGTTGCTTCAGGCGTTCTGACGAATGGCAAAAGGACAATTCTTGTGAAAATATTTAGGCTGAAATTTTACACATTTCACAACAAAAACTATTTTAGAATATCCTCCATTTAGCAGGATTTGCCCCAAATTTACCAAGTATTTCAGCACTTGCAGAGAGAGAGTAGTTTCTCAGTTAAAAATATTATTCTACTGTGAAGAAACAATTGAAGATGTAAACAATCACAAAATTATTAACCATAAAACACAATGTCAAAGAACACTGCAGGCAATTTTAAGAAGAAAATGAAAAATAATAAGACCAGACACGCACTTTGGAAAATGCCAGTGATACAATATTAGAGATACATCTAAGTAACTGATTAGTGGACACAAATATGTACCAAAAGTTATTATTCTGTTGAGTTTTTTTAATGTTCAGATAATCAATATGAATACATTTTTAAATTTGTTTTTAAATCCTTGTATATTCTTTTACGAATAAAACTTTCTAAATTTTCTAGATTTTTATTTTTTAAAAAAGAATTTTTTCTTTGAAAATTGAATACAATTGTTATAAGTCCACCAATATAATAACATGAATTTGTTGGTCAATAAATATTTTTTAAAATATAAAATTATAATGATGTTTAGCACCCCCTTCTCAAAAGTGTCCGGTTTGGACAGTAAGTCACACAATTAATCTACATATCTGTAGCCCCCTCTCTTTCTAAAATTAGGTTCCTTGAAAACTTCTATGGTCATCAGTTCTCCCAGGGTTTAGGTCCAACAAGAGGGTTTTTAAAGGATAAGAAACCTACAACTCAACAACAAAAAAGCAAACACTTTATTTAAAAATGGGCAAAGGACCTGAATAGACATTTACCCAAAGAAGATACACAAATGGCCAACAAGCACTTTAAAAGGTGCTCAACATCACTACATTGCATTACGGAAATGCAAATCAAAACCACGATGAGATGCCACATCACAGAGAGTAGGATGGCTACTATAAACAAACGAACAAACAGCACACAAGTGTCAATGAGATTGTGGAGAAATTGGAACCCTTGTGATCTACTGATGGCAATGTAAAATGGTGCACCTACTGTGGAAAAGAGTATGACAGTTTCCCAAAAAATTAAAATAGAATTACCATATGATCCAGCAATCTCACCTCTGGGTATATACCTACATCAGTTTCCTAGGGCTGCCATAACAGAAAACCATAGATTGAGTGACTTAACTGAAATTTATTTTCTCACAGCTCTGAAGACCGAAAGTTCAAGATCAAGGCATCAATCAGTAGGTGTGGTTTCTTCGTGGTCCCTCGGCCCATACAAGTATCTGGTGTCTCTCAGTGTGCCCAAATTTCCTCTTATAAGGACATCAGTCAGATTGAATTAGGGCCCACCCTAAGGACCTCATTTTAACTTAATTATCTCTATAAAGGCCCTGTCTCCAAATACAGTCACATTCTGAGATACTAGGGATTATGGCTTCAACATAGGAATTTTGTGGGGACATTCAGCCCATAACAATATCCAGAAGAATTGAAATCAGGGTCTTGAGAAGATATTTACACAGCCATATTCACAATAGCCAAAAGGTGGAAGGAAGTAATCCAAGTGTTCACTGACTGAAGAATAAACAAAATGTGGTATATACATAAAATGGAATATTATTCAGCCTTAAAAATGAAATAAATTCTGATGCATATACAACATGGATGAACCTTGAGGATATTATACTAAATGAAATAAGTCAGGTACAAAAAGACAAATAGTGTATGATTCCACTTATATGAGGTACCCAAAGTAGTTAAATTCATAGAAATAGAAAGTATAATAGAAAAGTGGTTTCCAGGAGATGGGAGGAGTAGAAAATGGGACATTAGTATTTAAAAGGTACATACACAGTTGCAATTTTGCAAGAGAAAGAGTTCTGGAGATTGGGTGCACAACAAAGTGAATGTACTTGACACTACTGAACTGTGCACCTAAAAATAGGATGGTATTTTTTTTTTTTTTTTTCGAGATGGAGTCTCACTCTGTCGCCCAGGCTGGAGTGCAACGGAGTAATATCAGCTCACTGCAACCTCCGCCTCCCGGGTTCTAGCCATTCTCCTGCCTCAGCCTCCTGAGTAGCTGGGACTATAGGTGAGCACCACCATGCCCAGCTAATTTTTGTATTTTTAGTAGAGATGGGGTTTCACCATGTTGGTCAGGCTGGTCTCGAACTCCTGACCTCATGATCTGCCCCCACCTTGGCCTCCTAAATTGCTGGGATTACAGGCATGAGCCACCATGCCCAGCCTAGGATGGTAAATTTTATGTTATGTGTACTTTACCACAAGTAAAATTTTTAAATAAAAAAATGACATCTATATCCATGTTGTACCATTGTTAATTTCCTTGTTTTGATATTGCACTATATTTATGTAAGATGTAACCACTGAAGGACTTGGTGAAAGGTACAGGGACATCTCCATACTACCTTTGCAACTTCCCGTGAATCTTTAATTAGTTTAGAGCAAAAAGTGTTAATTTCATGTTTGTGTTAAAAAAAAAAAAAAGGAAGTTATAGACTGCCAATCTCTTGGACCAGGATAATAGAACTTTATGAACACAGAGATTAAAGCCTATTTAACCACAGTTTGCCCATGATGGTAACTTTGATCAGAAAGAATCTCACAAGCTGGGACCCAACAGGACCAAGTAATCCATGTCATGATTATTACACGTTATCAGCCTTCCAGGGAAGTGGAATTTACAAGCTTTCCCTTTGGCATGGGGCCCAGGTGATGGCCTCCTATTGAGCAGAGTCCCCAGCAATAATTACCCTGCATGTCAAAGGCCTCATTTCCCCAAAACAGTAAACCATAAAATGTAGCCCATATTCTCTCCATGTATATCACTCAATATCACACCGTAGAGGCATATAACTGATAATATTGCCTCTGGCCCATGCCAAATTGCAAGTGGTAGATTTTTTTTTTCCTTCCGAATTAAGAAACACAAGATTTACCCCTTTTCTTGGAAAAGTGTTAAGAGTCTAGCACCCCCAATAACTAGGGTCTACAAATGTCTAAAAGTTATTAATCTTGGTCTGTCTTAACTACCAATTCTCTTAATTTGGGTAACCTCAATTTTGTTGTTGTTTTTTTTTTTTTGAGACAGAGTCTCGCGCTGTCGCCCAGGCTGGAGTGCAGTGGCGCCATCTGGGCTCACTGCAATCCCCGCCTCCCGGGTTCAAGCAATTCTCCTGCCTCAGCCTCCCTAGTAGCTGGGATTACATGTGTGCACCATCACACCCAGCTAGTTTTTGTATTTTTATTAGAGACGGGGTTTCATCATGTTGGCCAGGCTGGTCTCGAACTCCTAACCTCAGGTGATCCACCTGCCTCTGCTTCCCAAAGTGCTGAGATTACAGGCGTGAGACACTGCACCTGGCCTGGGTGACCTCAAATTTTTAAATGAAGGGATTGGAGGTAACATCTAGGATTTTATCTAGTTCTGTCTTCTATGATTCAAACCCCAAATTCTCCACTGCAATGACTGCTTCTGGAATAAATATTCCTGGTTGCCTGTCTCTGAAAAAAAGCTCTCACATAAGGCTAATGAGAGGCGAAACTAAGGCAGGATCTCTCCTTTCAAGACCACATAGTCAGGGTTGTTTAATAAGCACACAAAGTAGAGACATATTTACCCATTCACCATGAAAAAACACCCCTATAAAAGGCCCAATACCTGGGCTTAATAGCTTCATTTCTTGTGTGATCTTGCAGTGTACATCAAAAAATTAACAAATAACATCCAGTGACATGATCTTGGCTCACTACAACCTCCGCCTCCCGGGTTCAAGCGATTCTCCTGTCTCAGCCTCCCTAGTAGCTGGGATTACAGGCATGCACCACCACACCCGGCTAATTTTGTATTTTTAGTGGAGATGGGGTTTCTTTCTCCATATTGGTCAGGATGGTCTCTCTCGAACTACCGACCTCAGGTGATCAGCCCGCCTTACGCCTCCCAAAGTGCTGGGATTACAGGCGTGAGCCACCGCCCCTGGCTCCCCCACCGGCAATTTCTAAAATGTATCGGTCTCCTCCCAAGCCCTTGTTCCTTCATCCCCCACCCGGGGCAGATTCAGACAAGCATTTATTTTAGTTCCTAAGCCGCGCGGTGCTCCCAGCTTCCGCGCCTCTGGGCGGCCCACACCCCTCCCCATCCTCTCCTCCGCGCCGCCGTCTTCGTTGCTCTTGGGTGGCCGCGGCGCCCGCTCCCTCTGAATTCGCCGGGCAGGGATACAGCCGCCCGGGGCCTCTTGCTCGTGCTTGGTTTTCCGGACCTTGCTTCCTAAAGGGTCTTTAGGGGTTCCCGGACTCCTCCGCCTGGGAGCCTCTATCCGCCTGGGAGCCTCTATGCGCCCCGCAAAGCCCCCGGCAGAGCCGAGGGGAGGCTTCATTGGCGACCTGGTGGGGCCTCGCGGCCCTGCTCCCTGACGTCAGCGCCGCCGCGGTGATTTAACAGCTTTTGTTTTGGGCAGAAGAACCTATGGGCACAAAAAGCAGGAACGAGTAGCGGTGGCTGAAGAACGAGCAGGAGCTTGAATTTCAGTTTTCTTATGAGGAATTTTCCAGAAAAGATATCTTCACTGTGAAATAACTAAATAAATGCCCACTCAGTACAGTAAGTATTGATATCGTCCTATAGCATTTGGCTAGAAAGTGGTGTCAATAGGGTTTTTCCTTCAGACTTTGCAATACTGTTCAGAAGGGCCAATGCCAATCCTTCTGTGAGGAAGTTTTTTTCTTCCTAAATATGTTAATTGCCTCAACTTGGACTAACGGTCACACTTGTGAATATGAGTGTAAGAAACAGTTTATTTCTCACATGTATGAAAAGGAAATTTTCTTTCATCTATCTCAGGCCCCTATTCAGCGTAAAATCAAGATTATTTAACTTGCAAGATTAAACAACGACCTTATTTCAAATGAAATAAAATTCAGTCTGATCAGAAACCCCTTGGAGCAGTTTATATTAACCTAATTATCTTTTTACTGCAGTAAGTTAATTGAGGATTATGGAATGCATCTAAAAAGCAGTTATATTTACAGGTCCCAAAATTAAATGCTAAGGAAAAGCATTTCTGCAAACCCAGGTAGTACGGACAAACCGAAGGGAGTTTTATTCTGTCAAGTTTTACTCTAAATTCAATCGTTGATCAGCTAGATCTCGGCTTGGTTATTCTTGGAGGAGCTGCCTTGCAAATGATTCCACTCTGAGCTCGCCGGCCACAGTAGCGTGAAATGGATGGCAGTCAGTTTCCTCTTCCTAAGACTGGGTGTGGTTTCTCTGGGCAGACTACACAGTGGCGACTCTGGCGGGATTTGAGGAGCCTGGAGAGGCCCACCACGTGTGTGTCTCCCCCTAGTGACCAACGGGCTGAAGTTCCTGTGGTTAAAGGCAATTGCTGATTTTGTCATTAGCAGGAAGGTGAAGCTCAACGACCTCCTGCGTGTACAGCACCATTCTAGAAGCTGGATGTGTTTAAAGATATGATGCAATATGTACCCAGAAGGCATAAGACTAGATCACTAGGGTACAAATTAAAATATCAAGTTGCATACGCTGAGTATGGGATTAGGTCAGCGGAACACGCTTTGGAAAACACTGCTTTAACGACCTCATTCTGAGTCCCTGTAATGCTTAAGATTATAGCACAGTTTAGGCACCTTATATACATTATGATGGAATGCTTTCCTAGAGTGATATTCTGTGGTGGAAAGAGCAAATCAAAGGTCTTTGTGTTCTCTGTGACCGTGGAAGAAATTGCCATTAAGTAGTAATATAAATAGGGGTTTTAAAAAACGTGGGAAAAGTCTGAAGAAGCATTTGCAGAAACTCCTTACAAAGTCAGTGACAGCTAGGCCAGGCCAAGGTGGGCGGATCACTTAAGGCCAGGAGTTTGAGACCAGCCTGGCCAACATGGCAAAACCCTGTCTCTACTAAAAATACAAAAATTAGCTGAGCGTGGGTGGCTGAGATGGGAGAATTGCTTGAACCCAGGAGGCAGAGGTTGCAGTGAGCTGAGATCGCACCACTGCACTCCAGTCTAGGCAACAGTGCAAGACTCTGTCTCCAAGAAAAAAAGGAAAAAAAGACATGTACTGTAAATGTAAAATATAAAATATAGGCTGGATTTCAGAGACATAGTATGTAAAAAAGAATGTAAAATATCTTAATAATTTTTATATTTATTACATGTTAAAATGATAATGTTTTTGACATATTAGGTTAAATAGAATATAATTCAATCAGTTTCTTTTCTCAAAGAGTGTGGCTACTAGAAATGTTTAAATTATGTATATGGTTTGCATTATATTTTTTCAGACAGTGCCGATGTAATAGTAACAAAAAGTCTCAGCCTCATTTAAGATAAAAGGCCATCATCAGACAATGCAGGACAGATTGTAACAATAGGAAGTACTACAGAGATTCAGAGAATGCCATAAATAACCTTGGAATCCTGTGCTTGGGTAAAACATTTGCTTTTTACTTAGCTGATCCCTTAAAGCCTGTTAAGTTGAAATGTTACAGAGGGAATTTTATATTAGAGTTGGCCACCTCAATTTCATAACTTTTTAAGGAGAAAATGGCTTACATTTGTGCATCTTCAAGGTTTTCAAAGCATTTGCACATTTATTATCTCATTTCATCTTTCTAACCTGAGAGGAAGGTAGAGCAGTTTATCCCCATTTTACTGGTAAGGAAACTGAGGCTCAAAGAGTTCATGTGATGTGAAGAATATTGGAATTAAGGATGCCAGAGAACAATGACTCAGAGTGACCAAGTCATTATGGGGTCCATTTGGAGGTCTCTATGTAGAGGGAGAGCTTCCTCAGGGACTCCTGCAGACATCTCCTTATTGGAGGACAGGAGGAAGCTTGAAGACACTTTTCCCCACTCGGACTCAGTACTGAGTACTTTTCCACTCTAAGTCCTTCACCTTCTCCTCATCCCAGGCCCTGGGTCCATAAAACTGCAGGAGCCTTTTGTTCAAGGGTTCTCTCAGCAAAGCTGTGCTGATCCACCTGACCCTGGATTGGTGCCATTCTATCACAGCATGGGATTAAAGCCTTGACCCTTCCTTTCATATTGGCTTATTGTCTTCACTGCTTTTCTGACTTCTGGCACCTCAACTCTCTGGAACTAAGCTCGGCCCTTGACAGTTAGACCTGCTGTCTCTTCCCACTCTGACTTCCCTCTTGTCTCCCATCCCAATACTCTTCCTTGCTCTGGCTAGGCACAACCCCCGACTTTAAAGTTTTGGAGTGATCACGGGCATTTCTGGGATTTGGCCAAGGGATAAATTGAGTTGAGACTACATTGAGTTTGGGTTTAATGGGATATATGTATGTGGTTTGTAGTCACATCCATGTATAGTTAAGTAATGGTCATACCACTACTGGAATGGTTTCTAGGAATACTCCTACTAGTGACTATGCGGGTTCACATACACCCTACATATAAAAGCAGGGCCAGAGGTCACACTATGATATGAATGTGACCTATTGCTTGGCATCAGAAATATGCGGGTAGTGGAGAAGAAACAGATTGAAATGAACTGTGGTAGATCCATTGCAAGAATGTCTCCAATACTTCCCTGTAGGCAGACCCTTTGCAATGTGATTTTTTTTAACTCTACCCGTGAAAAGTTGGGCCCACCTCTTGAATCTGGGCGGGTTTCGTGACTTGCAATGCTGTGGAAAGAGTCATACTTGAAGAATAGGGGTGCTTTAGTCTCTAGGAAGGCGCTACTTTAAACCCATGCTAACAAAGCTTTTAAAATACCCCTCCTATAAGAATCAATGTGATCCATCACTAAATTAACTGTCTGTGAGAAAAAAACTCAATACTCTTTAAAGGAAGACAACAAAATCTTGATTCACAGCAATGTAGAATCTGTAATGTCCAGCATATAATCTATCAAAATATAAGAGAATCAGAAAAGCAGGAAAACGTGACACATATTCAGAATATATATTGCTGGACAGTGCTGATCACCTGTGTTTTCCAACACTGGAGGACTTGTGGAATCTTGACTCAGCTTGTCACTCATCAGTGGTAACTGTTCTCTGCTGGCCCTCACAGAGTCTTACTCTGCACATGCACAGCTTTGTATTTGGCTAAAGACTTCAGGGGAATCCCTATGCAGGATTCTGTAGTTCCTTCTCTACACCACTCCTTATCCTCAGGTACTCTACCCTACTTACTCTAGGCAATTCAGCATCCCTGAGGTCTCTCTGGACTTCACTTTTCCATTCTGCAGTCCAAAATGGGCTCTTGAGCAGAAATCTAGGGCCACCAGGGGGATCATCTCATGTGTTTCCCCTCTCTCAGGTTAGCAATCTGTGCTGTTGTCTAAGATTCTTTGCTTGGCCCCAAACTTTAATCAGGCTCCTGAGCCTTCTACTAAGCCCATCTGTGCACTTCCATGTAAAAGCCAGTTGTAGCAAGAACGCTGCTTAGTTGGGTTAGCAAGAATCCCCACCTTTGATATCTGATCACCCTTGATATCTGATTGGGTTCCTCAGCCTCTACCATCCCACAGGTGACATCTGATTAATCTGGTCTGACTTCGCAAGAATCCTGTTAGATTGGTTGGTTTAGGCAGAATTCCCCTTACCCTTGATGTTTCCTCTTAGTAATTGTCTATCCACTGCCACTACCTTGCCCCTTGGCTATAAATTCCCTCTTGCCCATGCTATATTCATAGCTGAACCTAACCTCTCTCCCCTACTGCAGAATCCCATTGTAACGGTCCCTATACCTTTTGAGATAGTCCTAAAATCTGCCTTATTGTGCTTTAACAAGTATCATTTAAAAATTTTTTTTTTTTTTTTTTCAGGAGACAGGGTCTTGCTCTGTCACCAGGCTGGAGTGCAGTGGCACAATCATAGCTCACTGCAGCCTCAAACTCCTGGGCTCAAGTGATTCTCCCACCTTAGCCTCCCAAGTAGCCAGGACTACAGGAGGGTACCATCAAACCCAGCTAATATTTTAAATTATTTTTATTTTTATAGAGATGCGGATCTCACTATTTGCCCAGACTGATCTCAAACTCCTGATTTCAAGCAATCCTCCTGCCCCAATCTCCTACAGTGCTGGGATTACAGGAGTGAGTCACTGTACCTTGCCTCATTGAGTAATTTTTTTCTTTATCATATACAATGTCTGAAAGGAGCTGCCTTCTGTCTTTTGTCCAGTTTTAAAGTTGTTTACAGTGAAAGGAGGGCTAGCCCACACATGTTATTATATCATGTTTGGAAGCAGAAGTCAGTTACCCTTAAATTAGAGATGAGGAAACTGAGGAACTGAAAGGTTAAGCAACTTGCCCCAAATCACACAGCCGTTTACCTGTGATGGAGCTTGAATTCAAACCCAGGCAGTCTGTCTTTAGAGATGCTCACTTAATTATTGTTCTGTACAGCTTCTTAGAAAAATGGCTTTATATATGTATGTAAAATGTTTTGTCCAGTGTAGGTAACATAGTCAATCCTTAATAAAGTCTAGCTAAATTATTCTTTAAAATCCTAAAGCTCAGTATGAATTTGTTCCTAGCCCAGTGTTTCAAAGCAAAAGTCCCATCATGTGAGTTGATCTTTATTAACACTAATTTTTATTACTGTCCTACTATTAACAAATAAAAACAAAGCATTTGCTTAAGTCCTTTATTAAGTGCATGAACAAAATATTAAATCCTTAGCCTGCTTTCTTTTGCCATTAAAACTACCTTTCTTAACTAGAAATATGAGATAAAATGAATAAAATAAACCAAGCAATCAGGCACAGGTACTGTCAGTTTCTGAATTTCAAATAAATCCTGTGCAGTAACACACCCATCTGGCCATAACGGAGATTGCACTAGAATGAAAGCACAAGCTCATAAATAAGAATGTAAATATTTGTAATAGAACCCAGCATTTACTATACTATCTAATTCTTAATCTGCCATCTAAATGTGCTCCAATTGTTCATCTTATTTTAAAAAATTATGACTGGAGACATCTGTAAGTCCAAGCCTTTCTTTGGTTTTAGCTCATATACTTGAAAACAGTTTGCCTCTGTCTTCTGCCTCTTTTTTTTGGTGAGATATATGTAAATATTTTTCAAACCTCTACTGTATCTATTAGCACAGAATGCTATAAACATGTGGCAGCTATCCATTCACTCAGATCAGCATAGAAAGAAAAACTAGTTTATTCAGGTCTTCTCTCCACGATGTCCCACTCTTGCCCCAGCCCAAGCAGTGAAGCAAAAAAAACCCACATATTCCAATCCATCTACTTCACCCTCTCTAATATTCAAATTGACTGAATAGCTATCAGATCTTCATTACACACTGTTCTCTGCAGATGGCCTTTTTGATAAGTCTTAATCTAAAAAAATTATTGAGGGAAATGAGGAAATCAGAAAATGATAAATTAAGTACAAGAAATTTAAGACTTAGCTTATTGTTATCGTCTCCTTTTTGATATCAGCTGTATTTGTGGCAGAAAGCCATCATGATCTGCTATCTCAATATACTGTCAAGCTGGTAATTCTGAATATGTTGTCAAGCTTGTAAATGTTCTGAGTAGACCACATCTTCAGTAATTTCCACAAGTTTACAATTTTTCAGGTAAAGCTATAATTTATTGCCTTAAATTCATTTTTTCAATGTAGTAAGAGCTGCTGCTTAGTTATAATACTCTGAAACTTCCACGAAACTATCCTTTTTAGAACTCATATTACAATATGGGCTGTTTCATGTTTTTTAACTTCTTTGGACCTTGAGATGCAGTGTTATTCTAGATGCAGCATTACTCACAGTGGACATTGTCCTCAAATTAGCATAATTTCTATTTCATTTCCTACATACTGTTTTGGATAATGTTGAAAGAAATCTTTTGAAAATGCAAATATTTTTTGTCGCGGCACATACACACACTCTCTACAGAAACCTTGTCTTAGTTTGTTTAGTGTTGCTTTAAAGGAATACCTGAGACTGGGTAATTTATAAAGAAAAAAATTATTTGGCTCCTGATTTTAGATGGCTGGAAAGTTCAAGATTGGGCTTCTGCATCTGGTGAGGGCCTTAGGCTGCTTCCACTCATGGCAAAGGTAAAGGGAAACTGGTGTGTGCAGAGATCACATGCAAGAGAGGAAGCAGGGCTGGGGAAGAGGAAGCAGGGGTGGGGAAGAGGTGCCAGGTTCTTTTTAACAACCAGCTCTTTTGGGATTTAATAGCGTGAGAACTCACTCATCCTTAAGGGAAGGCATAAATCTATTCATATGGGATCCACCCCCATGATCCAAACACCTTCCATTGGACCCCATCTTCCAACACCACCACACTGGGAATCAAATTTCAACATGAGATTTGCAGGAGAAGGGACAAACAAACCATATCCAAACCATAGCAACCCTGCCAAAAATAAAAAGCAAAGAAAAAACTGGCTACAAACTCATAATTTATCCTCTCTCTAGAAATTCTAATAAAAGGCAAAAGATATATGATCTGAAGAGAATCCAGAGTATCTCCAATGCTGACTTGTAATTTTATATATCTTAAATTATGTGATTTATATGATATTCTTATCATCTTTTTTCACTAAACTATAACTCCATATCTCAGGTGGGACTCTCAGGGAGCAGACTCAGGAGACAGTAGGCAGAAGGTTTATTAGGGAATGCTTTTGTGATCATCATCCGTGGAAGGAATGGAAAGAAATCAGGATTGGGTGGAAGGAGGACTTGGGTTGTGATACAGTGTCAACAGTGTTCTCAGCTGACCCCATGGGAAACTCTAAAGCTGGTTGGCCCTTTTGATGTCCCATATTGGAGCAAGAAGGTCAGGACTTTGTTGCCCAGTCACTGGATGCAAGGAACCCAAAGATGGGGGTGACCTTGGATGCAGTGACACTCTCAGCTGGTCTCAGTGACTTACCTGGTGATAAAACTCAGTCCTTGATCCTTAGAGGCTCAGAGTCCCCGGTCCCTATAATCTTTTTAGGCTCATAATGGCTGCTACACTGTCCGTTTACAATCAGAATTGGGCAAGAGCATACCAAGAGGTGCATACGTGCAGTGCTTGGTTACCAACATTTTCCTCCTTCCTCCAACTGTAACCGTGGTCCTACCTCCTCTTTATGATAAGATCCATTATCCCTGCCAGGATGTGACTCCTCTTTTTGCCTGCTACTTTCTTGGTACAAGGAACCTGAAGTACCTAGCCCGCAGATGTAGCTTATAATTCAATGAAACTGATGAGTCTCTTCTTGGGTCTCACTGAACTATAAACTACATCTGCTGGTGGAGGTGTTTCACCTTTAGGAAGCAGGACCTCTAAATGACAGGACCCAGTGTTGTGGAGCCAGGAAGCACAATTTCCCCCAAGAGAATCACTGGGAATGATAGAAAGCAGGGCCATTCCTGCTTCTACCTCTTGATTCCTGGACCCATGTATTCTACCTGTTAAGAACACAGCCCTACATAAAGACCATTAAAGTGTCCACTTCATCTTAAAGGATGGTGTTCGTGTTAGGTATGCCTTCAACAAGTTAATTATTCATTCTATCAGGGTAGAGGCTTCTGGGTGATGCAGCATGTAATAATAAGACAAGCAGAGGCTGTGGTCGTTTGCCCACTCTTTCCTCCTTTGCTATAAAACAGGTCCCATGAGGTAGTTCAAACTCTCTGAAAGCCCTCAGTGATGCTGGCCAATGCCCTGCAGATAGAAAAGGAGAATCATTTAGAATATGTGTCTATTCCTGTCAAAATGAGTCACTGCGTCTTGTTAGGATCATTATTGTAAGTCAGCTTGCCACCAAGTGACTGATTGGTCTTCTTGAGGAATAGGCACTCAGCATTGCAGCATTGGTCTCTGTTGTTAGCAGGCTGAAAATTCAGCAGTGAATATAACTAGATCAGCCTCAGTGTATAGGAGCGCATCCTGTTAGGTCTGTTACATAGCCTCCAATCCTGCCACAGTAGTTATTCCAATGCCAGATGCTGGATGTTATTAACCAGCCAAGTCCTGATACTGACTTGGTTGTTCAGGGCCTTTTCCATTATGGATACTTTGTAGTATAGATCAAACGCAGTACAAAGCTCCTAACGCTTTGTGCCCACTCTCATGTGCCCAATCCACCATTTTTATCTCAAAATCTCTTTGTTCCCAGTAGTTTAGTCTATTTTCAGGACCCTGATCCCATGACCAAGCCAGTTGCCACTACCCATGTATATTCTAACCTTGAGACCCTTTCTACACAAATGGACAGCAAAGTATACTGCCCGAAGGTCTGCCCTTTGGGAGGATTTTCCCTTACCATTGACTTTCAGGGCCACCCCTGAGTGGCACAGTACTATAGACACCATCTATTTTGTTTGCCAAAATATACCCATTTGTGAGTCAAATTCATGCATTTTCCTCTTTCATCAGCTCGTCATATGGGATCAGTGACAATAAATGTAAGCCAAGGGAGAGACACTGGTGCAACAGTGGTAGAGACATGGGAGTCTAGGCTGCTTGCTAATGTAACATACTGTGCCCTTTGCCTATGTTTGTGTTCTACATGTATAGAACCCAGCTCATGATCATTGTTCTTGGCTTCATGGCTACTTGACATCCCTTTGTCTGGTGCTATATCTCTATAAAAGCCCAGCAGCACATCAGCAGCTGTTTGTTGAAAGGTGTTTACTTCTCTGCTACAGATAGCATGGCCAGACTCTTGGGTCTGCATTGTGATTTTCCCATTAGGACTTATCATAAACTCCACACAGAATCTTTTCCTATATATCTAATACAACAGCATCTGCTGGGTGGTATGGCAAAGTGGTAAAACTGCCACCTGGACCTGCTTCAGAGCCCTTTTCTGCTCTGGGTCCCACTTGAAATTGGAAGCCTTTTATGTCATCCAGTGTATAGGTAACAGCAAGTATTTCCTGCTATGGCATATGCTGCCTCTAGAACCCATAGAAACCTATCATTCTTTTATGCTACCTTCTTTATGGTGAGAGGTACAAAATGCAATAATTTGTTGCTTATTTTGGAAGGCATATCTTGGCATGCCCTGGACTGTGGACCCACTAGAGAGCCACCAGTAGAAGTTCCTTGAATCTTTGTAGGGTTTGTCTCTCACCTTCGGAGTATATGTGCGGTAGCTCCAATATATTATCTACTTCTTGCTCTTCTGGTCCAGTTAACATGGTATAATTGATATAGTGAATCAGTGATGTTCTGCAAGATGCCCAGCTGGTCTTGGTCCTTCAGACTATATTATGATAAAAGCTGGAAGAGTTAACATGCTTCTAAGAAGATTATACATGTTCACTATTGTCTGATCCAAGGTAATGTGTTTCTGATCCTCTTTTCTAATATAGAAAGGATGCATTTGTCAGATCAACAGCTGCATATTGTATACGTGGTGCCATGTTGTGATTTCTACTTTTTTGAATCTGTTGAGACTTGTTTGAAATATGGTCTGTTCTGGATAATGAGAAAAGAATGTGTCTTCTGGGCTGGGCATGGTGGCTCACGCCTATAATCTCAGCACTTTGGGAGGCTGAGGTGCGTGGATCACCTGAGGTCGGGAGTTCGAGACCAGCCTGACCAACATGGAGAAACCCCATCTCTACTAAAAATACAAAAATTAACTGGGCATGGGGGTGCATGCCTGTAATCCCAGCTACTTGGGAGGCTGAGGCAGGAGAATTGCTTGAACTCGGGAGACAGAGGTTGCGGTGAGCCAAGATCACACCATTGCACTCTGTAGCTGTTGGGTGAAATATTCTGTAAATGTCAGTTAGGCCTATTTGATCTAGTATGTAGTTTAACTCCAAAGTTTCTTTGTGGATTTTCTGTCTGGATGATTTATCTGTTACTGAGAATGGGGTGTTGAAGTCCCCTAATATTACTGTATTGCAGTTTATCTCTCCCTTTAGATCTATTAATGTTTGCTTTGTATAATTGAGTGCTCCAGTGTTGGGTGCGTAGATATATAAATTATTATATCCTCTTGCTGAATTCACTCTTTTGTCATTATATAGTGACCTTCTTTGTCTCTTTTTATAGTCTTTGACTTGTAGTCCATTTTATCTGATGTGAGTATAGTTATTCTTGATCTTTTTTGATTTCTACTTGCATAGATTTTTTTTTCCATCCCTTCACTTTCCGTCTATGTGTGTCATTACAGGGGAGGTAAGTTTCTTGTTAGCAGCATATAGTTAAGGGCTTGTTTCTTTATCAGTTCAGCCTTTTAATTGGAGAATTGAGTCCCCTTACATTCAGTGTTATTATTGACAAGTAAGGACTTACTACTGTCATTTTGTGCTTGTTTTCTAATTGTTGTTTTATAATTCCTCTCTTCCTTTCTTATTGTCTTCCTTTGTGGTTAAGTGATTTTCTCTGGAGTATGTTTTAATTTGTTGCTTTTCATTTTTAGTGTGTCTATTATAGGTTTTTACATTGTGGTTACCATGAGGCTTACATAAAACATAGATATACCAAGTCATCTTAAAGAGATGACAACTTATCTTAGATTAAAAAAAAAAAAAAAGAAAAGAAAAAACTAAAAAAAAAAGCCTTTATACCTTAACTCCATCCCTTCTACATTTTGACTTTTGTTTGTCTCAATTTACATATTTTTATATTGCTTATCTCTTAACAGGTTGCTGTAGCTGTTATTGTTTTTGGTAGGTTTGTCTTTTGGTCTTCATACTAGAGTTATAAGTGGATTACACACCACAATTTCAGTATTGAAGTATTTGGGGATTGTCTTTGTACTTAATTTCATCAGTGGGTTTTATACCTTCAAATGTTTTTGTTTTTGCACATTGGTGTTTTTTTTTTTTTTCTTGTGGATTGAAGAACTCCCTTTAGCATTTCTTTTAAGATGGGCCTCATGGTGGTGAATTCTCTCAGCTTTTGTTTATCTGGGAAAGACTTTATCTTGCTTTGATGGTTGAAGGATAGCTTTGCTGGATACAGTATTCTTGTGTGGCAGACATTTTTTTCTTTCAACACTGAAAATTTCATCCCATTTGCTCCTGGCCTGTATGGTTTCTGTTGAGAAGTCTGTTGCCAGATGAATTGGAATTTATGTTATTTGCTTCTTTTCTCTTGCTGCTTTTAGGACCCTTTCTTTGTCCTTGCCCTTTGAGAGTTCGACTATGCCTACGGGTAGTCTTATCTGGGTCGAATCTGTTTAGTGTTCTCTGACCTGCATACCTGGATATTTATATCTTTCTTAAGTTTTGGGAAAAAAATTTTATTATTTCTTTGAATAAGCTTTCTACCCCTTGCTGTTGCTCAACTTTTTCTTGAACACTAGTTATTCTTCGATTTGGTCTTTTGAGATAATTTTCTATATCTTGTAAGTGATCTTCATTCTTTTTCATTCTTTTTTCTTTTCTCCCCCTCACTGTGTAATTTCAAATGGCCTGTCTTTGAGCTCACTGACTTTTTCTTCTCCTTGATCCATTCTGTGGTTCATCTAATTTTTTTTTAGTTCAGCAAATATATTTCTCAGTAATGAGAATTTTGCTTTTTTAAAATTATTTTAATCTGTTAAATTTCTCTGATAAACTTATAGATTGCTTGTCTGTGTTATCTTGGGGGTTACTGAGTTTCCTTAAAACTGCTATTTTGAATTCTTGGTCAGAGAGCTCACATATCACCATTTTCTTAGATTCAGACACTTGTTCCTTGCTTTATTCATTTGGGGAGGTCATGGTTCCCTATTGCTGTTGTTTTTCTTGTGGATGTACGTCCATATCTTTGCATTGAAGGATTATTTATTCCAGTCTTCTCTGTCTTGATTGTTTTGTTTTCTGTCGGGGATGTTTGCTTAGAGATTCTTTGTGACTTATCTGTTAAATTTCTTATTTTCCCACTAGGTCACTGTCTCCCTTTTGGAACTTGATGGCACCTTAAGCCCAGGTTTGCCTCCACTCTAGAAACTCATCAGAGTGATGCCCTTCTCAAATGGGGGAGGTCCCAAAGCGGATATCCTGGCAGTGTGAAAGGCCGGCTAAAGGTTTGTGCCAAGAGGATCTGTGGAATGCATCTCCTACAGCTGGTGCTGCTGAGTAACCACTCTGATCTGGCATCTTCTTTGATCAAGTTACAGAGCAGAGTTTCCAGGGCTGGGGATTGAAGTCCTGCCTCCTCCCTTTGTCTCTGGTTGTCCTCGGTAATGTTTTTCCCTCAAGGTACTCATGATACTTCCCATGGGGTGAGTCAGGGACAGGTCTCTTTCCAGGGAATCCAGGATGGTAGGGAGGTTGGTTGTCTACCTTGATCTCACTTTTTCCATTGTAGAAACTGTGAGTTGGGGAAAGTTTTCCACACACTTGGTGCTGGACAGATTGTGGCAAGGGGCACCACAGATATAAAAATCTGATTCTTTTACCATGCTCAGAGTTTTTTCACTTCTGTGTCCCCAGGAATTGACTCATCCTCATATCTGAGTTCTGGGATATTGTTGGTGATAATCTCAGTGCTGTATATTTGTTTTTGGTTTTCTGGTGTGGAAGTGAAGCCAGCTTGCGTCTACACTGCCATTTTTGAACTAGAAGTCCACCTGATGCCATGTGGGTCTGCTCTAACAAAGATGCCTGTAGCTGTCTCTGTAGGTACAATTGGAGCTACTACCTCATAAAGTTTGTGGTAGCCCACTATCTGGTTTTTGGAGGGGCTAGACTGGTAAATTAAATGGAGATACAATTTGAACCATCATCCCCGAATCTTTTAGGTCTTTTAGGATGGCATTAATTTCTGCCATTCCCTGAAATATTATTTTTTGATTTACTGTATTGGTATGGAGAAGAGGTCAATTTTTAAAGCTTCCACCTGGCCACTTGGCCTTTATCACTATGTTAGCTCTTACCACACACACCGAGAAACCTGGTGCCACTAATCAAGTGTATTTATCACAATTATACACTCAAGGACTAGGTGGGTCTGTGGATATATTGTGAGCCAGACTTGGGCCAGGACACCCTAGGACTTGGCCTCCATAACCCTTACTCTAATCAAGGGCATATAGTGAGAGTTCTGTGATATCATTGTTAACTCAGACCCTGTTTCCAACAGATATCAAAATGTTGAGTATTCCCCTTTCACCACTGTATGATTTCCTGAGTAATGGTGATAGGTCCCTTTGGAGAAGGACTAGAGGAATCATTATTGTGCACACTTGTGGTATTACACAATCCTTCCTCCTGGGGACCCAGATTCTTCTTTAGTTAATGGGCCTGGATCCAAAAACGGACTCAGGTCTGGAAATCGGACAAGGGGTCATGATTATTTTTTATTTTTATTTATTTATTTATTTATTTATTTTTGAGACAGAGTCTCCCTCTTTAGCCCAGGCTGGAGTGCAGTGGCACAATCTCTACTCATGGCAACCTCCATCTCCTGGGTTCAAGCAATTCTTTTGCCTCAGCCTCCCGAGTAACTGGATTACAGGCGCGCACCACCTTGCCCGGCTAATGTTTGTATTTTTAGTAGAGACAGGGTTTCACCATGTTGGCCAGGCTGGTCTTGAACTACTGGCCTCAGGGAATCCACCCTCCTCGGCCTTCCAAAGTACTAAATTTATAGTCATGAGCCACTGCACCCCGCCAGTTTAACTTTTTTTTAATTGGCTTAGTTGCCAAGAGAGGAAGTTGGGGAGGATCCTGAGGAGTGTATGTTTTGTCCTTGGAGAGAGAGCTCATTGTCTTCAAGCAAAAGAGGGAGCACACTAGCCCTTATTAGAGAAGAGAGGGGCACTTCTGTAGCCTTAGAAGGTTCTGGAAACCTGAGGATTGAAGATTTTTCAGGTGCATCAACCCAGATGGTTTCATCCCATGTGTCAGGGTTCCATTTTTTCCCAATCAGGGTCCTGACAACAGCACAGTAGACCTGCCTAGCTTGGGTCCTAACTTCTTTGGAGTTTTATTCTCATGACTAAGTCCTGGGCCTGGTCCTCAGCTTCCTCTCCTCATTGGCTTGAGAACCTGAGAGTCTCATATTCTACGAGGGAGGCTTTCTGGCCCTCACACTGAGTTTTTGTTTGTTTTTGAGACAAGATCTTGCTTTGTCACTAAGGCTGAGTGTGTAGTTGCACCCAGGCTGGGAGTGCAGTGGCACAGTAAGCTACTGTAACCTTGAACTCCTGGACCCAAATTATCCTCTGGCCTCAGCCTCTTGAGTAACAGAACAACAAATGCATGCCACTATGCCCTGCTGATTTTAAATTTTTGTGGAGATGGGCCTTGCTATGTTGCCCAGGCTGGTCTTGAATTCCTGGCCTCAAGCTATCCTCCCTTTTCAGTCTTCTGAGGCACTGGAATTACAGGCATGAGCCACGGCTCTTGGTCCCACACTCAGCTTCTAATTACCAACTAATCACTCTCATTCTTTTATTTTGAGACAGGGTCTCATTCTGTAGCTCAAGCTGGAGTACAGTAGTGCAAATATAGCTCACTGCAGCCTCAAACTCCTGGGGTCAGGTGATCTTCTTGCCTCAGCTTCCCAAATAGCTAGGACTACAGCCACAAGCTACTGGGCATGGATAATTTTTTAAATATTTGTAGAGACAGGGTCTCGCTATGTTGCCCAGGCTGGTCTCAAACTCCTGGCTCAGCCTCCCAAAGTGCTGGGATTACAAGTGTGAGCCACTATGCCTGGCCCATTCTCATTCTTCTGTTATCTTTTTCCAAGGTATCGGTCTAGCTCAGTAATAACTCTTCAGTTCCACTGTCTACACTGTTTCCCACCTGATCTTCGTGCCTGCCGGTGCATTTCTTTGTGTTGACATGCCATCTCAGTTCACCACTAGTCAAAGTTTTAATAACTGCACTGTCAGGGTGTGCTAGCAGTTAACTTCTCCCTGCCCCAGTGAGGAGACTCTCATCCTATAAGTGAGAAGGCAAGAGAAATGGCTCCAAAAGCACACTGGAGCACCTACTTTCCTGCAACCCTTCTGATACCAAGTATCACAGATGCTGAGATGAAGATTAGTGGGTAGGAGATTTGGATTGCCACCTGTGGAAAGAAAGGAAACTCCACTGGGTGGAGGAAGAATATGGACTATGATGCAATCTCAAAGGTGGCCTTAGCTGACACTAAGGGGAACTCTGAAGCTAGGATGGTCTTTCAGATTGTTCTAATATGGGGCAATGGGACTAGTCTTTGCATGCAGCCTGGCCCAAGAAGGAAGTGTGACTTCAGATGAGGTGGCTCTTTTCACTTAAGAGGGCAATTCTACTGACAGCTGAGGGCCGTTGGGTGCACACTGCCAGAGCGAGAAAACAAAATCCTCTGTAGGGAAGGGGACTGTGTGGCATATCACAGCACACCCCGAGAACAAGGGAGCGGCTCTTCATCAAATAACACAATATGGGCCCACATATTCCCAGAGGCTGCTATAGTGCTGGGCACATTAGTGCTCAATAACTTATTGAATTAGTATTATCATATTGTGCTATTGCCATCCTCATCTTTTAAAGTCACTTATCACTTAATGGATGTTCTTGTTAGAACTGACACTATGAAGATGACTATGACACAATTACCTGTTGAGCCTATTTGAGAAATTAACCTATATTTAACAAGTTTGACTAATTAGATTGGTTAAGAGCCTTAGCAGAGGGCTAAACAAAATGGTGTTAAAGAATACACCTGATGGTCCAAGAAAATCCCTAACTCCCTAGAAGGTCTGGATAGTCTGAGAAGTGACATTCGAACAGTGTAATGCACTTTCCTCCAGAGCCAGAAGCAGGGAAAGCAGAGGCAGCAGCAATTTTATCTTCTGGGCACCTTATCCTCAGACCTCATTTTATCAATACATACGGACTGTCTACAACCACGTAATATCCTTTTCATCAGCCTTATGAAATTTTCCCCCAATTTATCCAAGTCAGGATTTCAGTATGCAGAAGTCTAATGTCATCTTGGAGAGTTCATTGTGCCTCCCCCATATCCAAGACCATTTACTAAAACCTTAGTTCAGTCTTTAAAGAGTCACAAGATCCTATTATGCCTAGTTTTTTTTCCAGTCTTTTAAGTCTATTCCTTACCTTGCCAAAAAAGTACCTGTTTCTATGGTTTAACAAATGGAGCTTAGAATATGGAACTATGGTAAGTGCTCTTTAGAATTTAAAATAAGTTACATGTACTGGTTTTCCTTTATTTTGTAGTTTTGTTCTCAAAGAATTCCAGATATGATTTTTTTCCAGACAAAAATACCTGCTACATGCTTCCTTCTGTATGAATACATGAGACCTACCTTCATTCATGTTTCCTCTATGAAGCTTTCCCTGCACTCCAAACACAGAGCTGAGACTTCCACCTAATGTAGAAAGCTAGCACGAGCCGGCGCTGACAGATGGAAGACTTGAGATGTTACAAGATTATATATGGAAACACAAAAGGTAAGGTTAAAATCTGTTCATTAGACTTATTTCCTAACCTTTTAATCACTCATCACTTTGGAACATTCTTGCAACTGAACTGAATAAGCTGGGAAGGTTTTTTGGGTAATTCTACTAACGCTTTTTTTTTTTTTTTTTTTTTTTTTTTTTGAGACAGGGTCTCACTCTGTCACCCAGGCTGGAGTGCAGTGCTGTGATCCTAGCTCACTGCAGCTTTGATCTTCTGGGCCCAAGCAATCCTCCCACCTCAGCCTCCTGAGTAGCTGGGACTCAAAGTGTGCCACCACACCTGATTTTCTTTTTGGTAGAGATGGGGACTCACTATGTTGCCCAGGCTGGTCTCAAACTTTTGGCCTCAAGGGATCCTCCCACCTTGGCCTCCGAAAGAGTTGGGATTATAGGCATGAGCCAACATGCATGGTCAAATGCTTTTTAAACTAGTAATTCACCTGTGTATGGTTATGTCAAAGAAAAATACAAGGTTGCATACGCTTAGAGAAAGTAAGGAAGTAACCCATTACATGTATGTTTGTAAATTTTACTTAGGCCATCATTTTTTATTTTCACCTTTGAATTTCAAAGTAAATTAGAGATATGTAAATAACAGAATTATCAACATTAAAATCTTATTCACAATGGCTAACAAGAACAGGATGACAGTCAAGTCAGTAGCTTTTTAATAAAATGAGCAGAATCCCATCGTAACAGTTCTTTGTTACATGAATTCAAATACACAGCAGACCAATCATGTTCCCTGAAATTTAACAATCAATCATACTTAATAAAGGCCTGTTAGTGCTGTCCCTCAAGACTCTAATTCTAAAGGGCTTCCTTTGAATTCCCTTTATAAAGCTTTGTGCAAAGAAGAGCTTAAGCACCAGTAAGAAAGACTGTCGCTAGCATTTTTATTTCATCATCAACAACAAACATGCAGTTTCTTTCTCTGATGTGCATGGCACTGTAAAATGGGTGCTACACTCTCTCTTGTGGTACAAAGTTTATAAATACAGTATACTGATACAAAGTTGAAGCCATTAAAAAGAGCTTAATAACAACTATGAGGAGATAATTAAATCTGGAGTGTTGATGGAATCTATGAAGAGATTTAGAAACAAGACATAAACACTACGGTAAAAGTTTTACTTGGGAAGGGGCCAGAGGGGAACTTTTTATGTGCTACTGAAAGATTTTTTAAGTTGCTCCAGATTTACTTTCTTTCTGCTATTATCTTTAAATACTGCAAAGCATTGTGAGCTGCATCACTTTGTGCATTGCCACAGGAGATACCGGAGCCATGACAGACTGTGATGGGGCTGGTGGACAGTTCAGCAAGACATTGATATTGTCCATTGGCGCTCAGTTCATCTGTAATGACACATTCAAGGATGACGATTAATGTCCAATATGTATAAAGTGGATCCCTTTGTAAAAACAATACAATTCTTATTATTGTCTTTCTTTTTAAGCCTCCATGGTATACTACACCACTCGCAATCTTTGTTTTGCTTGTACAAACAAAAAACCACAACTGCTCAGCTGTAGCAGTTTTCAAACACATTACACTTCATAATGATCTGACAGTGTTAAAGACATACAGATATCTAGGCTGCACTCTAGCTCACTCAATCAGAAATATACAGTTGGGGGTGGCTGATTCCTACACTTAAAAAAATAACAGCTCCCAAGGCAATTCTAATATAGTTAGTTGAACACTATTTGGAAATTACTGAACCACACAGTAACTTTCTCAAAAGGGAAAGAACCATTTGCTAGAGGACTGGAGAGATTGTATTTTCCACTAGGAAGTCATTTTCAGGAGGCATTTGAACCAGGAATAACTTCGGTCAAGGCAAAACCTCCCTTGTGTCTTCTATTAAAAAAAAATGTTTAATTGATACATAATAATTGTATGTATTTATGCTGTTGTCCATTCATGTTCCTAGGTTTTAAGTCTGTGCAGAGTCTAGTTCTTTATTTATACTGTAAATGGGTCATGGTATTTTAAAAACAATACCTGACCCAGGAAACAAACGTTCTTCCCATCAACTGATGAGCCACTCTTACTAAAGATGGCTGAAATGAGGGCAAAGAGGAAGAAATAGAAACGTGTGCGGTATGATTTATTTGAAGTAGGCATAATAAAAATGTTATTTTTGATACTCTATTTAGTGGAAAATATCCAGATACAATGGGATTATTTAATGAGTAAAGAGGCTTTCTAGTTCTAGTATCTAGGTTCTTTTCTCCTGACCCTCCAGCTTCTGCTTGAGGCTCATCCATGTTGTAGAATGTATCAGAACTTCGTTTCTTTTTACAGCTGAATAATATTTCATTGGAAGGACAGTCCACAATTTGTTTATCCACTTATTCACTGATGGATGTTTTGGGCTGTTTCTACCTTTTGGCTTTTGTGAATGGTGCTGCTATGAATATACAGATACCTGTGTGTATAGGCATTTGTTTAAATACCAGTTTTTTATTTATACTCCTAGGAGTGGAGTTGCTGGGTCATATGGCAATTCATTTGAGGAACTGAGAAGCTTATTCCATGGAGGCTGAACTGTTTTATATTCCCACCAGCAACGTGTAAGGTTCCAGTTTATCTACATCATCACCAACACTTGCTATTTTCCATTTCATTAATGATAGCCATCCTAGTGGATTTGAAGTGGTACCTTATTATCGTGGTTTTGATTGCATTCTCTATTGACTAATGATATCGAGCATCTTTTCATGTATTTTTTGGTCATTTGGTCATTTTTCTTTTTTAATTTTAAAATTTTGAGACAGGCTCTCACTATGTTGCCCAGGTGGTCTCAAACTCCTGGGTTCCAGCGATGCTCATGCCTCAGTCTCCCAAAGGGGTGGGATTACAGGTGTGAGCCACTTTGCCCAGCCCATTTGTATATCTCCTTTGGAGAATATCTAGGTTCTTTTGAAGGTAGCTGCATATAAACTAGCCAAATTAACAGACTGTGGTTTTTAGATGGCTTTCCATATCTACAAGAACTATTTAGTTCTCAAAACTGGGAAGAAATGTTTCAGAGGCATCATTAATTCATAATCTAAAAATTTATCTTGGGTTTCCTTTTTTCCCCCAGATTCTGTATCCTCCATAGTCCTATTCATGACATGGGTCGTTCATCTCTGTATTCTAAACCCTCAATGAACTGTAGACAGTAATAAATATTTATTGGATGAATGGTCTCTCATCAGCCACCTTTTCTTTTTTTTTTTTTGAGACAGAGTCTCACTCTGTCACTCAGGCTGGAGTGCAGTGGCGCGATCTCGGTTCACTGCAACCTCTGCCTCCCGGGTTCAAGTGATTCTCCCACCTGAGCCTCCCGAGTAGCTGGGATTACAGGTGCACGCCACCTTGTCTGGCTAATTTTTGTATTTTTAGTAGAGACAGGGTTTCACCGTGTTGGTCAGGCTGGTCTCAAACGCCTGACCTCAGGTGATCTGCCCGACTTGGCCTCCCAAAGTGCTGGGATTACAGGTGTGAGCCACCGCACCTGGCCTCCAGCCTCTTTTCTTTTTTTTTTTTGAGACAAGTCTAACTCTGTCACCCAGGCTGGAGAGCAGCGGCATGATCATGGCTCACTGCTGCCTCAACCTCAGAGGCTCAAGTCATTGTCCCCACCTCAGCCTCCCTAGTAGACTGGACTACAGGCATGTGCCACCACACCCAGCTAATTTTTCATCAGCCACCTTTTCTAACCATCTGTCTGCACTGACTTCCCAGGTTCTGCATCATTATTGGTTTACTGAGACAATGCACTTCACCCGTCCTTCAATCCCAAAGTAGCACAGAATATCAGGAGTTCTTTGAGCCCCTAAGTGCCCTACTTTCCCAGGGTCAGGGGACCCTGACAAGCAAGGTCCCCACATCTTTCTGTGGTTGGATAGGGATATAAAATTTCTCACACATGTTAAATCAAGATACTTTGGCCAGGCACGGTGGCTCACACCTGTAATCCCAGCACTTTGGGAGGCTGAGGTGTACAGATCACTTGAGGTCAGGAGTTTGAGACAAGCCTGGTCAACATGGTGAAACTCCCATCTCTACTAAAAAAAAAAAAACTTTGGGAGGCCGAGGTGGGTGGATCATGAGGTCAGGAGTTTGAGACCAGCCTGGCCAACATGGTGAAACCCCGTCTCTACTAAAAATGCAAAAATTAGGTGGGTGTGGTGGCACACAGCAGTAGTCCCAGCTACTCAGGAGGCTGAGGCAGGAGAATTGCTTGAACCTGGGAGGCAGAGGTTACAGTGAGCTGAGATCATGCCACCGCACTCCAACCAGGGCAACAGATCAAGACTCCATCTTGGGGAAAAAAAAAAAAATTAGCCAGGCTTGGTGGTGGATGCCTGTATTCCCAGCTTCTTGGGAGACTGAAGCAGGAGGATCGCTTGAACCCAGGAGGCAGAGGTTGCAGTGAGTTGAGATTGTGCCACTGTACTCCAGCCTGGGCAACAGAAACAATACTCCGTCTCAAAAAAAAAAAAAAAAAAAAAAAATCAAGACACCAAACACACACAACTAATTAGCTCTATAAATTGAATTAAAAGAAAATCCATACTGACTTGCTTTCCCATCTGTCCATATTTGTCTATCCAAATGATTAAGGGCTAGAGAAAATACAGATGATGATGGCTGAGATGGGATAAAACTATAAATTGACTTGGTTCCATTTACCTCCCAGAATCAGCATACAGTGACAAAGTAGAGAGAAAAGGTCTGGGCACCACAAACTTGTACTTGTGCTAGAAATGTAGGTGCCTTTTCATTTGCCCAGCAGGGCTAGTTTAACAGCCAGGGTATCTTCTGGGACTCTTCCCCAAATCTTGCTCTACCGCTGACTAGCTATGTGATCTTGGGCAAGTTTCTCAACCTTTCTGTGCCTTTCTTCCTTTACTTATAAATAAGGATAACAGAATTTGCTTCATAGAGTTAGTCTGAGGATTCAGTAAGTAGATACGTGTAATCTTAGAACAGTGTCTGGCACACAGTAAAACTCTATCTTTGCTATTGTTGTTTTTGTTATAACTGTATAGATGTTAGCTATTATTACTATCCACAAGAATGGGACATATCAATTATATATATTACTGGCCTAGTAATTATATATACTTAGAATCCCTGATCAATAAAATAAATTGTAATAGAAATTTTTATTCCTCAAACACATTTTTGTTCCTCAAACACATTTTTAAATAAACATGTCTTGGGAAAGCCAAAGAAAAAAAAATCATACCTATATCCAAATATGTTATATTAAAACCTTGTTCCTTGGCAATTTCACTAAGCAGCTGGATGTAATCTGTATTTGGAATACTAAGGAGGCTTCTTTTCAGTAAGTTGATCTTTTCACCAGGAGAATTCCTCAAGGAATGCCAAGTACATCCTAAAGAATGTCCTACTACATTTGTCTGAAAAACAGAGATGAAGATTTAGACTCTTGACTAGGACTGGGTTCCAACACCCGTACCAGTATCATTAAAAGTACTTATTAAGCACTCACATTTAATATGTTATAAAGCATGTTTAAATGGATAACATTTGGTTAATTTTCCAATTTAAACAAGACAACATTAAAAAGTACACATTTAACAATACTATATGTTTTTAAGAAGCACTTGCAATAATATACTGAAAGCATTTTGTATTTTGTATAGTACAAATGTTTCTCAGTCAAGTTTTCTGATGGTCACATTAAGAGGTACAAGATATCTGGAAGCACCATAAGTAAATCCACAAATAATTAAATCTGCCTAATGGAGCAATTTGCAGATTAAAATATAGAACAATTTTCATATCTTTGGTTTTTTTTGTATTAAATACCAATCACTATAACTGACAGCTATCAAACAGGAAAAAAAACAGAAAAAAAAACTAAAAAAAACATGAAATGTGCGCGTTGGGTTTGAGGAACAAGTCATTCAAATAAATGACAGGATGTCAAAAAGTTCTTATCAGACTTCTATCCCAGAACCCAACTGAGTATTTTTTTCCTTTTTCTTTCTGCTTTTCCTCTTTCCTTTATCCTCCCCTATATCCTTCCCTTTTCATCTCTGTCCTTAGAATGCCTTATATTTCCATATTAGTTTATGGTTCTCAAATTGCTTTCATATGCCATTAATAAAAACAACTACTTTCTGAAGTAAGTAGGGTTACTACTCTTAATATTGTTTTATTAATGAGCACGACAGAGGGGAGGCAATTTCCAAAAGATTTTAGAGATGGCATGATATGGAATTAAGTAATTTATTAGATTTACCAAATAAAAATTTACATTATAGAAACTTTAAAATACTGTTTTTAAATAAAGAACACTATTTACATGGTTAAAAATATACATGCACTAAGAACAAATATATAATGAAGAGTACAGTCTCTTTTCCTTACCACCCATTCCCTGAAGACCTCTGTTCTATTTCTTAGACATACTGTTAAACATTTTTCAGTATCTTCCCATAAATGTTCTATGCATATGCAAGCACACACAATCTTTTAAAGCAAATGATAACTTACTCCTCTACATCTTGTTCATTTTTCTTTTATCAGTGCACATATATGCACTGTATTTACCTTACGGATCTCCAACTGTGAGCTTTAGGTTGTTTCTAGTTTCTTGCTTTTACTAGCAATAAACACTCTTTTGCACTTGAATGAGTTTCTCTGTAGAATTATTTCTAGAAGTGGAACTGCTAAGTCAAAGAACATGTACACTTTTAATTTTGATAAATACTTCCAAACTGATTTCTGAACCAATTTATACTCCTACCAACTGTCTTGGAGGGGGCTTGTTTTCTCATACCCTCA
This sequence comes from Homo sapiens, assembly GCF_000001405.40. Lineage (NCBI taxonomy): Eukaryota > Metazoa > Chordata > Mammalia > Primates > Hominidae > Homo > Homo sapiens. The sequence continues at coordinate 178,437,713 of NC_000002.12, forward strand.
CTAATACCAGCTATTATCAAATTTTGTAGTTTTTGCCAATCTAAAAGGTGAAAATATTTTATCTTGCATGAATAAAGTTGAATATTTTTTCTTTTTTTCCCTTAATCGTTTGCATTTCTTCTACTGGGTTGTCTTTTTAACTGATGCATAAGAGCTTTTTAAATTTTCTCTTTTTTAAGAGTTAGGATCTTGCTGTGTGGCTTAACTCTCAAACTCTTGGGCTCTAGCAGTCCTCCCACCTTAGCCTCCCGAGTAGCTGGGACTACAGGCATGTGCTGCTGTGTGCAGCAGATGTGTACAAAAGAGCTTTAAAGGTAGTACTGAAAACAGTTCCTTTATAGTTCTATGTTGAAAATAATTTCTTCCCACTTTTTTATTGTCTTAATTTACAGATTTTTTGCTGTGCAGTAGGTTTTATGTTGTCAAATGTATTAATCTTTTAACCTAGGTTTTAAGTTAAAATGCTTTCCCCATGCTAAGATTTTTAAAAAGAAAAACTCTTCCATGTTTCCTAATATTTATACTGTTTCAAATTTTTATGTTCAAATCTTTGATCCATCTGAAATTCACTTTGGTGTAAGGAATAAGGAAGCATTCTAAATAGATGTCATACACATCAACAAATATATATATATAGCCCCCACCCAAATGTGGATGTAAACTGTTTCTACATCATTATTGAATAATCCATCCTCTCACCCACTGATCTGAAATCTCACTGTTGCTATATACTATGGTCCTATGTGGATTAGCATCTACGCCTGGATTCTCTATTCGCTCCTCTGACTATTCCTGGCCCAGTAACTTGTCTGACAAGTTCAGTTTTACAGTATGTTTTGTTCTCTAGTAAAGCAGCACACCCTTGCTCTCCCAACTCTTCCTTTTCAGTTTTCTTGGCTATTCTTGAGGGTTTTTTTCCAGATAAACTTCAATAAACGTGTATCAAGGTCCAAAATGAACGCTGGTAGGTTTTTTTTTTTTTCGAGTTGGGGTCTCACTCTGTCGCCTAGGCTGGAGTGCAGTGGCGTGGATCTCTGCTCACTGCAAGCTCCGCCTCCCGGGTTCATGCCATTCTCCTGACTCAGCCTCCGGAGTAGCGGGGACTACAGGCGCACGCCACCAGGCCCGGCTAATTTTTTTTTTTGTATTTTTAGTAGAGACGGGGTTTCACCGCGTTAGCCAGAATGGTTTCTATCTCCTGACCTCATGATCCGCCCACCTCGGCCTCCCAAAGTGCTGGGATTACAGGCGTGAGCCACTGTGCCTGGCCAAACGCTGGTAGGTTTTGAGTGAGACCACATTACATTTAAATATATTTACAATGTTTTCTGCTCTATTCTTTAGTAGACTTTTCCTCACGTGGTCCTACGCATTTCTTTCTAAGTTTATTTTCATATAGCCTATCCCTGTCTACAATTTAAATTGGGATCTTCTATATTCTAGTTATTATTTGTAAATAAGAAAACTACTGACTTTTTTCTAGTATATTTTCTCAGAATAGGATTTTCTATTTTTCTATAAAATGACCAATGTTATGAAGCTTCGTAAGTTTTGTCAAAGTGATACACACATACAGCAAAAAATCAAATAGTACAGAAGTATAAAAGCAACAACCTCTGCCTTGCCCCTTCTCCACCTTCAGGTCCCCTTCCCAGATACAATAATTTTTAGCTTTTTATTTTTAATTATTCTGGTTGTTACCTACATAACTCTGGGCAATATGGAAAAGTTATTGATTTTGTATATTAATTTCATAATCAGTTACCTTGATGAATTCTCTTGTTTCTAGTAGTTTTTCTTTAGGGTTTTAAAGGGATACAATCATACCATTTGCAGTTAGTAACCATTTTATCTCCTCTTATTTCCAACTTCGTACTGTTTTCTCTTGTCTAATTTGTTTTTAATTGGTGGGTACTTCTAGAACAAGGTTAAATAAAAGTGGTGTTGGTGGGCGTCCTTATTTCTGATATTAATGGGAATGAGTATAATGTATAAATATATAACCATGATTTTGGTTTTTTTCCAAGTTTTTATCAGTAATGATTGCTGAGTTTTATCAAAATTTTTTTGGCATCCATTGAGAGGATTATATATTACTCTTTGACACATTAATGTGGTTAATTAAAGTAACCAACTTATTAACCTTGAAATAGTCTTAGTTAAATAAACCCTACTTGTCAATGCTATATCATTATTTTAATATTGTACTGAACATTTTACAAAGGTGTTTCACCATAAGGCATATTGATCTGTAATTTTTTTTTTTCTGTTGAACTTGCTATTGTCAGGTTTTGGTGTATTATGTTGGTTTTGGAGAATAAATTTAAAAGTTTCCTTTATGTTATCTATACATTGCCTGAAAAGAGTTTAAATAGCATTGAAAATGATCTCTTCTTTGAAGATTTAACCAATTTCACCTGTAAATCTGTCTGTGCTTTGTAATTTTGGTGATACTGTTGACTCAAATTCCAAAAGCAGTAAATGCAGTGTTTTATATTTTTCTATTAAAAATGTAAAATCAAATTATATTACTCATTTGTATATAGTCTTTGATTTTTTTCTAAAGAATGAGCCCTTATTTTATCATAAGCTCAGTGAAGAAGTTGCTACAGTTGTACTTTTTTATTTCCCACCTAATACACTACTCTCAGATAATGTACCACATGACACACCTATCTGTGAATATCAGAATCTGAAGTTATATATCATGTGTAGGCCAATCTCTTAAGCTCTGAATTTATTTGTTCAGCTACTCGATATATTCACTTAGCTATTCCATAAGCTATTCCATAAGCACTTCAAATTCAATATATTTAGTTCATTATCTGCTCCCCTCTTGCTATTGCCAAGTTTAAAATAGTAATTTCCTCCCTTTCCCTTGCTTCCCACATCCAATCAATTACCATGCCCCTTTACCTCAGTTTTCTAAATAACTTTAAAATCTACCCATCTCTCTCCATTTTCCCAGCCACTACCTTAGTTCAAGCTGTCATGTCTCACGTGTCTTCTGTAACAGCACTCTCGCAGGTCTCTTTGATCCTAATTTCACTCACTTACCATAATGCAGCCAAGTGATTTCCTTGTAATGTATAGACTAGATCCTGTCCTTCCCAGATTAAAATTCTTTAATGACTTTGTACTACCCTTGGGATAAAGTTCACTTTCCTTATATAGGGGTCCCTTTAAGATTTAATCCCTCTTTACTTTGCTGGCCTCATTGAGACTCCCTCCCTCCAACACTATGTTCTACACACAACAAATCACTTAGGGCTCCTAGACTGCATACGATGTTTCACTCCTGGCCTTTGCACACGCTTTTTCTTCTCTCTGGAATTCTTTTCCCCCATTCTACAGGTCTTGGCTTAGACATTACTTCTTCCTGGAATCTGTCTCCAAACCTGTTTTTGTTGGATGCCTTCTTCTATGTTCCCACATCACACTCTGTAAGGACTAGCCTATAGAATTCCTTCCTTTCAGTAGTCTATAAACTCCTTAGAGGCAGGGACTGCTTATTCACTGCACCCCAGTACCCAACACAACACTTAGCACACAGTATGAGCTCACTAAATGTTTGCTAAGTGAATGAATGAACAAACAAAGGGATGGAAATGCGCTGTCACTTTGAAGGCAAAAATGGCACTACTGGCCTATCATCTTTAGATCCCGTCCTATTATTCTGAATTTGACTGTGTCTCCCAAGCTCTCTTACCTAATTGCCTCTGTGATCCTGACTCACAAACAGGAAGCAGCTAAAAATGGGGTAGGGTATAACTGAATAATGAAGAGATTTCTAAAAATCACAACTCTGAAGTAGCTATAGAATAAGAAATCAAGGAAAGTTTCCTACTGCAAGAAATGCTTAATGACATTAACATCATAGCTGTCAACATTACTCACTAAAGAAATGTGGTTCTCTGGAGAAATATTACTAAATTTGGCAAGAAATTTCTCAGCAGCATTCCTTTTGGCTTGCTTTTTTGATGCCCCCTTTCCTGAACAAAGAAAAAGAAATGGTAGATTTAGAAAAGAAATTAGTGTCCACAGAGGATGATCAAACGTATGAAGTACTGTGTTTAATCAGAGAACCTCACGGTTTTTATTATATACTAGACTATGTTCTTACTGACCTGATAACTTTGTTTGTTATGCTATTTTGTTTGTATAGCTATTAATTCTTTTTTTTTTTTTTTTTGAGACGGACCCTCACTTTGTCACCAGGCTGGAGTGCAGTGGCACCATCTTGGCTCACTGCAACCTCCGCCTCCTGGGTTCAAGCAATTCTCCTGCTTCAGCCTCCCAAGTAGATGGGATTACAGGTGCCCACCACCACACCTGGCTGATTTTTTGTATTTAGTACAGACAGGGTTTTGCCATGTTGGCCAGGCTGGTCTCAAACTCCTTACCTCATATGATCGGCCCACCTCAGCCTCCCAAAGGGCTGGGATTATCAGTGTGAGCCACTGTGCCAGGCCTGTATAGTTACTAATTCTTACACTTTTGAAGACATTTGTTTTAAGTTTTTCTTTAATAGTTATGCTTTCTGTTTTTCTATAATAATTGTATTTTCCTATGTCTAGCATTACTGAACCATATTTGGTTTAATTCTGACCAATTATTTAGATTTATTAAAATACATCTGAATTATAACTCCTCTCTCTCAATGTCTATTTCCTGCTTATGATCTTCTCTAAACTGACGATTATATGAAATTCCTTTTAACAGGAATAAGAAAGGCACAGGGGATGGTGGAGTTGAAAGATACCATAAATATCTACCTCCATGCTTTTGTTTTATAGATTAAAAAACTGAGGTCCAGAGAAATTAAGTAATTTGCTTAACTTCGCGAATCAAGGACTGCATCAAGGACGGAAGCTGAGGTTCCTGCTTTTGGCCTGGTGCTTTCTGTACTGGCCACACTACCTCCCAAAGGCAAATAGTTTCTTATTACTTGAAACTATTATCTAGCTAAGCTAAAATCCCATTTTAAGCCACTTTTGAAAATAACAAAAACATGCCAGAGAAGTTAACAGGAATTCTCGCTAGTACTTTTTAAAGTGACAGCGTTTCTTATAGTTTATATCCTTTATAACATAGAAGTTGCTATAATTAAGAAAGATAATTTTCATTTTTATCTCACTGCAATTATTTGCCATGTAGTCTCTTATTAATCATATAATTTTCAAGTGTAATCTTCCTCTAGTCCTATTTTCTAGATAGAATAGCTGTTAAAATCCAAGAGATTTACTATAGCTTTTTCTCCAAATTGAGGTTTTTTAAGTCAGTAATTTATCAATGAAGACTGTTTAAAGTACAGAGCCAACAGTTTGTCTTTCTATTAATAATCTATGATTTTTAAAAATATCAAATTAAGAAGACTAAGTATCTTAAGCCAAATATTTATACTTAAGTTCAACCTCAGAAAGTCAGAGACAATAAAAGAGGAGTGTATCAATTTTTCTGCATAGAAATATTTGAAAACATTACGACAGAAATTTCGATAGTCATTCATCATCTGAAAATATTTCAAATGCCTTTAATTGTAAGAAATAAGTACCAGTTTCCATAAATGACTCTAGCCTGCAAATTGTAGTATATTCTCTCTTATGAGCAGGTCCTCCCTCCTGGGAAAGGGTATATTCAGGAAGTCTCCAGCCATGATGAATAGCCAATTCCTATAAAATCAAGATGAGGCTTTAATAGTAATTTTATGCAATGGCTCAATCACATAAGTGTTTTCTTAATTTTGATCCCATTTCTATGTATATGTTTGAAAAGAATAGTGATATTCTGCAACAGAAAAAAGAGGGAAGACCCTCTATTTCTCAAAGACATTCCCGCATTTTATATTTTTATACCCCAATACCAAAACTGAAGCAGTTTTGTGCTACGAATGGTGTTCTTGCATTAAACCACAGTGAGCTGGTATCAGACATCAACTAGAAAAACAGGCTACTACCGCCCTCTTTGGCAACACCAGAGGAGACCATCTACAGGTTTCACTGCCATCAGTTCCTAAAGTCCCTCCCCTCCTAGCTATAGACTTCCAAACCCACAGCTGGCCAAGAACACATGAGGAGTAGGGACAGCAAACAACAGACTTGCATAAAGTGGGGGACAGAAGGTGAAGAAAACTATAGAAAAGCTCACTGTGCAGGAAAAGGAGACCAAAGGACTGGCTGAATAATGGGGAGGGAAATGGCCTAACAGAGCACATGGATAATCTGCAAGAAGGATATTCTGCATATAGAAATTCAAAGCTGAATATATGTGTGTGTGTTTGTGTGTGTATAGATAAAATTTTTTTTTTTTGGTAGAATAAGCAAATAGACTCCTTTTCTTCAGTTAGGTTCACTGATTTGATTTAGGCTCTCTATAAAGTCTTCTGTCTCAACAGAAGTAGAAAGAGATTTGTCACAAGAGTAGCAAGAACTATTCTTAAAGTATAAAACACTTTACCCATGTGCACTGAGGGCCTGTTGATCTTAAATGAGAATTCTATAAGCCAAAGGCAAATACTGTATATGAAAGAAAACCCAGAACATAAATAGGAAAATAATTTCAAGTTAGCTCTGTTAATCTAATGATCGTAAGTTGGAAAACAAAATATATCACTATCTTGTCTTTAAAATATTAATTCCTTGTGTTAGCCCCTCTGACATTACAAACTTATTATATATTTCATCAGTAGGCAAAGAACTGTACAACTTACCTGTAATGAACCAATAGGATTAAGCTGGTTCTTTGGTTGCTTGGAAGGGTCAGGCATTAAGGGGTCAGGAACTGCAAAGCTAAATATTTTTTAAAAGTGTTATAAAACAAAATAATTTCCCCCGAATTATGAAATAAATGACAAGCATTTTCTAATTAACTCTCTATGTCTTTGCTCTTGTCATTCCTTCTACATGGAATGCCCTTTTCTCAGACCTCTTCTATGGGAATCTGATCGGTCATCCAAGATATATCTCAAATGTCACTTCCTCCAAGAAGCCTATCCTTTTACCCCAGTGGTTTATAATCTCTCCCTTCTTTGAAACATTATAACACATGGTTTAATCCTTTCTTGAAATTGTTTTACCATAAATTATATACTCTTACAAATACATATAATTTGTCCATCCTTCACCACACCTCTCCCCTGTTCAGACAGTAAGCTCCTTGAGGTAGGGCCTATGTATCACTTACCTACATAAGCTTTGTGGTGTTTTGTACATAATAGGCATGCCATAAAAATGTATTTAAAGAATACTCTGTTACAACTATACAAAAAACAGAAGAGTAACAATGATCCAGAAAATTTAGCCTGGCAATGTGAATAATACAGATTATGTGTAAATACTGTTTTTTCATCCACAGAACTATGAAGAGAGATCTGTTTGATCTATCATCTGCTCAGTGCTGGGATAATCCTCTAAGATTTACATGTATCCTGCAGAAAATAGATGGCTTAGATGAATTTGGTTTTAGCAAGTGGGGATTATGATTAGGGAAAAAGAGAACAACCTCTTCTAGGGAGTCTGGAATTACTAGTTACTTAGCAGGTCAGTACTTAAAACTGAATAAGCGGCATTTCAAGGTTAGTACCACCTAGGCAACTGGAGTCATTTTTCCATGACAAATGAGGTTTAGTTATTGCCACTTCCTCAAGGTTTTTTTTTTCCAACTGTGAGAATTTCAAGCTTTACATAGGCTGATGAGATATGAGTATTCACTTACAATGCTGCATGCCGAAGCTACCCAAATAATTGTGATGGAGAAGTGAGAAAGTCTCTGTATTAAGTCAGGCCACTTTAGGCCTGATTACAGCTTAGTAATTCCCATTTTATCTGTCAAGAAGCACAAATATAGTAAAGTTTGTTAGCTTTTTTTGCTGACAAAGTGCCAAGATGCAGAAAGGACACTCCATACCCCTCATTTCTACAAATGTACTTAATGGTTGGGTTCACCTTCAGGCTATACAGAAACAGCATGGCCATCACCAGTGGGGGAGAACCCAATACCTGCCATGTCATTTGGCATGTCTTTTTTTTGTTTGTTTGGAGACAGAGTCTTGCTCTGTCGCCCAGGCTGGAGTGCAATGGCGCGATCCCAGCTCACTGCAACCACTGCCTACTGGGTCCAAGGAATTCTCGTGTCTCAGCCTCCCAAGCAGCTGGGATTACAGGAGCGTGCCACCACACTCGGCTAATTTTTTGTATTTTTAGTAGAGACGAGGTTTCACCATGTTGGCCAGGCTGGTCTCGAACTCCTGACTCAAGTGATCTGCCCACCTTGGCCTCCCAAAGTGCTGGGATTACAGGTGTGAGCCACCATGCCTGGCCTTGTTTTTCTTTGAGGCAGGGTTTCACAGGCTGGAGTGCAGGGGCACAATCTTAGCTTACTGCAATCTCCGCCTCCCGGGTTCAAGCGATTTTTGTGCCTCAGCCACCCAAGTAGCTGGGATTACAGGCGCCTGCCACCATGCCTGGCTAATTTTTGTATTTTTAGTAGAGACAGGGTTTTGCCATGTTGGCCAGGCTGGTCTTGAACTCCTGGCCTCAAGTGATCCACCCACCTCAGCCTCCCAAAGTGCTGGGATTACAGGCGTGAGCCACCCCGCCCAGCCTGGCATAGATCAATTATAATGCATGACCCTAGAGAATCAAGCATCATCTTGTGAAATGCAAGGCTTGTCTTGGGCAGCTGCTTATCTAGAGGGTTGCCATGTCACTGGTTAGTTCTAAACTACCCAAACGGTTTAGAATGATTTACAAAAAGAGAGGAATACTACATGAGAACCTAACTACACCCCTAATCCAAAAGCCTTTCTATGACTAGGGAACAAAAAACCCATCCCAAATTCCCTGGGTCTCTACTGTCAACTATAAGCTGATTACACAGATCGTACTTCAGGCATATGTAAGTGTATGCACAAGAAGAACTTGAAAGCATGCCAAGCTCCAGAGTGCACCCAGTGGACACTACTTTAATATGTGAGATGCTCCAGGACCAATATTCTATCTAGAAACACCTAAAGTAGTAAAAAATCTATCCCAGCACTTTGGGAGGCCGAGGCTGGCGGATCACGAGGTCAGGAGATCGAGACCATCCCGGCTAAAACGGTGAAACCCCGTCTCTACTAAAAATACAAAAAATTAGCTGGGCGTAGTGGCGGGCGCCTGTAGTCCCAGCTACTTGGGAGGCTGAGGCAGGAGAATGGCGTGAACCCGGGAGGCGGAGCTTGCAGTGAGCCGAGATCCCGCCACTGCACTCCAGACTGGGCGACAGAGCGAGACTCCGTCTCAAAAAAAAAAAAAAAAAAAAAAAAATCTTACTTTAGAAAGATATGTCAAGAATTAATATCCCACTTAACATTCTCTTCTTTTGGTATACATTATATAATAAAAGAAAACCTCTGCCTGCTTCTTCAAAATTAGAATTCCCAAAAGAGTACTTTTAGTGGATCTTTCTCCATCTCACACTTTGTTTTCTTCAATGTAGAAATAATCAAAGTCTAAATACAAAATGTTAATATTAATATTTGCAAGAAGCACTGATTTTCTACTGTTGTATCCCATTAAAAAAAAAAAAACAGTAAAGCCTAGTTCATGAGCACCTTCATTTAATAGCTAATTGCTGGATTTGATTGGATAAAGTTTTCTTTAATGGATGATAAGTTTTCATAAGGAAATAGAATTTGAGAGGTAGGATGCTAACAACTGTTCACTTTGTTGCTTTTGTAAGCATGTTCAAATTTTTAATCTTACCTCAGCCATGATATTTTTGAGCTGCTGAATACAAAGAAATTTAGCTCACCAAATACTTGCATTGGCTTTCAAAATGTTTATGGCAGCCTCTGCAGCTCTATGTTTCGCCAGCTTCTTACTTGTACCTTCACCTGAATTAAGATTTAAAAAAAGAAGTCTTTATCTCCCACAAAAATGTGCAGCTTACAAAGATGTTTTCAATACACAAAACAAAGTCACTATAGATTTTACATACACATACTAGGTAATAAAAATATGTACGTTATATACTGTACATAAAAATATGTACATGTTATATACTACATGGTTATATACTGTAATAAAATATTCACCATGTGAAAAAATTTTAAAAAATAACTTTTTAAAGTTCTATATAATTCTATGCATACCTGCATAAAAATCCTTATTTCTACATTATATATGTTTATTATATAACATGGTAATAAAGTAGACCGTGTCACACCTCTGAAGAAATGCAGATTAGTATTTTACTCTTCCTTTATTCCTGGAGGGGAAATTCTTCTGCAGCAAGAAGTTTCTTTTAAAGGAACCATTTACAGCAGAATTGTTTGATAGCAAAATGTGCATAATTTTATTCTGACAGCCTGTCCTATAACGTATCAAACTGCTTTGCTAGGCTGAGCAGTCATGATTATGTGTTGGGTACAACAGGAAAGAGTTTTATGGAATAAGGTGACAGCTTGTTATGTATCTTCTGGACGGTCTGTATCTTCTGCATGGGTAGCTAAGTTGGGACTGGGGATAAGACTGATGTCTAATTTCAGTAAGCAATCACAATGGCAAATGATAAATTCCATCTTTTTCCTTTTAAGTTCAAACTCCCATACCCTCATGGAATAAGTTTCAAGTGTGGCCTTCAAGTGTGGCCCTCAAGTGTAAGAAGACACAGAAACCATATATTTATCTGCTAACACAGGTATTAGGGATATAGCATACAGGGTCCCTGCCCTCAAGAGCCAACAGAGTAGTGTGGGATTTTTGTCTGTTAATAGGCACCTGAAGTATGGAATGGGATATGTTACAACAAGCCTAAGTGCAGGCTGTAGCGGAGGTTGCAGTGAGCCAAGATCATGCCACTGCACTCTAGCCTGGGTGACAGAGTGAGACCCTGTCTCAAAAAAAAAAGAATGAACACTGGTTGTAATGTGACAAAAGGACATCACAAGACTAGAAGGTAAACGTGTAGCTACAAGACTGCAGCTACAATCCAAGTGAGAGATGATGGTGGCCTAGGCAGTAGCAATGGCCAGAAGAGAGAAGCCGACAGATTCAATGGATAGTTAGTGGATTATTAAACGCCAATGGATAGAGTTTAATAACAGACTGGACAAGAGGGAGAAAGACGGGAAGTAGTTAGGAAGACAAAAGCCTACATTTCTACTGAACTAGGTGATTGTGGAGCCTTTACATAGAAAGGGAATGCAAGAAGAATGGGTTTGAGGGAAAAGATGGATTCAGTTTGGGACAATGAGAGGCTTGAGGGGCCTCTGTGTCATCCAGGCAAAGATGCTCAGCAAGCACAGACTGATACACTATTCTGTAACTGGGCTTGGGATGTAGACAGACATTTCAGAATATTAGTCTTTAGACAGTATCAGAAGCCATGGAGGCAGATAAGCTTGCACAGGAAGCCATGGTAGTGTGAGAAGAGGGCGTAGGCAGAACGGTTGCCATAGGTTGTTAATTTGGGGTCTAAAACACATTGAGAGGGAAAAACCCTCCCTTTTCTTGAATTCTTCCTATCTAGAAATAGACTAGCTAAAGTAAGTAATGCAGTGTTGACTCTATGGTTCCCATGGGGACCCTTCCGGCCAGCACCTACAATCTAACTGCCTCACACAAAAAGTTTTAAACTTTTCTTAAAGTGGCATCAATTAAAATAAAAGACTCCAAACTTCCAGGGACACAAACAAATGCTGTCTTCAGATTTTCCAGATGGTAGAACTTGAGCCTTCCTACTAAATTTTTTTCTTGGCATTCTTCCAAATTAAATTTAGCATCCAATGTTTTCTGTGTTTGCAATTAAATAGATACATAAGAAAAATAATGTCCACATTTACAAATGAGCAACTTTAGTTATCATTTGCTCAAGCTCACAGACCAAAAGAAAGCATGAACTTTAAAATTTCATTGCTTTGTGACTTCATTGCTATACGCATGTTACTTATAATCTCTCTGAACCTGTTTCTTCTTGTTTAAAAAGTGGATAATATACAAAATATCTGTTCAGTTTCAAAAACTAGAAGTTATTATGTAATATATGAGGACCTTCTCCCCTTCCTCATTTTGTTTGGATACAGAATCAAAAGTAGCACAATGGACCTAAAGTGCCAAATGAGTCCATACAGAGAGGAGAGACGCTCAGAAAATTCTGGGGTCATGCCTCCTGGCATCCGCTATAATCTATGAAACTTCACAGTACCTACTGACCCAGCTATGACTGCTCCAAGAACCTTTCCTGCTTCCCTCTAATTCTAAGAAGAACCCTAGGAGGATCCTAGGGTATGAGAAGAGCCATGCAGGATCCAGCCATCCGGCTGGGTAACTTTTTAGTTTCTAAGCTTCCTTGGTATGTGGGGAAGAGAAAATTAGGAAGAGAATCAGATGCAGCTGAAAAGCCCTAACGACCTGAGATGAGAGGTCTCAGTTTCAGAGCCTGTTCCTCACAGCTGTCTGGCAAAAAGAGAACTTTTCCGAACTGAAAAGCAACACCAAGTATTGACTGCCAACCCACTCGGTCATCCAGGTTAACTGTGTATACAGACCTGTGCAGGTTATGTCACCAACGGTTACTCTGAAGGTGAAAGTGGGCACGTGTATTTGCACATCAGATCTTTCACATTCATAAACTGGGATGTTCTTGGTCTTCATGCCGTATTCGTGTAATACCTGAATCGGTGTTTTCCCTGGCTTAGCTGTTATCATCTTCCCCAAACTGCAAAAACCACAAAAAGGTGTGCTTTGCATGCCAAATTGGAGATTGAAGCAGAAGCGTAGAGGCCAGTTTTAACCGCCACCGACGGTGACGAGGGAGGCGCCGAGTTCCCCGGAGGCCAGGGCCAGAGCTGGCGAGGCTGGGGCGCACCTGTCTTCCGGCCCCGCTGCGGCAGTCACTCCGCAGGAGCAGGCGGGGTGAGCGAGGTCTTTAGAGAGAGCACTTGAATGCGGGTAGGAGAGATTCTCAACAGAACAGGGCTGGCAGCAGCGCCGCAGCCTCTCAGGGAAAACCTGACGATCCCTTCCCGGGCGCGCCGACCGAGCGTCACCTCCGCCCGCCCCGCGCGCCGCCAGGGACCACGAGAGGGGCGGGGCCCGGCCGCAGACCCCAACCCTCGCCGCCGAGAGGGCGGGGCCGAGCACCCACAGCCGCGGAGGCGTGGGCGCCGGGCACGGCTTTACCCAGAATGCCTCTGGAGGGCCGGCTCCCCGCGCCCCGGCCCTGCCGCCCAACGCTCCCGGCCCTGGGGCCCTGACTGCCCGCACGCTGACCTGAAGGTCCCACTGTCCTCGCGCTCCAGCGGCGGGGCCTCGGCGCGGTGCCTGCTCTGGGACATGGCGAGAAGGGACGGCTCAGCGGCTGGAGGAAGAGCGGTGCGGAGCGACGTGCTCGCTCCCCGGGTCGCTGGTCCCCGGGAGGAGCTCCAGCGCCGCCACCTCCTCCGACTCCCCCGCCTCCTGCTTGCGTTGCTCCAGCGAGGGGGCAGGCAGGGTGGGGGCGGAGCCTTGGTGCCGTAGCTCCGGCTACGCCCCCTCGCTGCTCCTCTGCGGGCCTCCGTCCCGGCCCAACTCCGCCCCTGTCCCTTCCAGGGTCCGCCCCCTTCCCGCCCGGCTCCGCCCCGCTCCCGCGTGGGCACAGGCATTGGGCTCCCGGGGGTTCTCCGCGCCCGCCCCTGCCGGCCCTGACCAGCCTGTAGTAACTGGCCCCTAGGCCGCAGTTCTTTGTCCTTAGCAGGAGGCCGTTTCTTGCCGGGAGAGAGGGATTAGAGGGATTGTCCGGCGTGGGTCTAGGGTCGTTGAGGCCTAAAGTTAAGCCTTTGTGGGGAGGACGGATTGGGGGCTGGGTCACTTTAAGAAAAAGATTCTAAAATTACGAAGGCAGAATTCCAGGGAGTCTCCCGGGCCTGGTCCTGAAGCTTGAGACCCCGGATATATACGCTCCAGGGGGCTGCGGTGCGCTCTTCGGGTCCCCGAGCCCTGTGTTTAGGAACACGCGGGGACGTCCAAACACCCGCTCCTCTCCCGCCGGGCGGGCTCCTTTGTCTTCTGGGCTTTCGTCGCGAGATGGAACGCTGGGTCAGTGCATCCCAGCAAAACACGTTAGGAGTAAACGAAGGCCTTTCCGGGGACCTGGGTAGTCGGTTGTAATGGCGTTTGCCTGGGATGCAGCACCTTTGGTGGGCCATTAGATGACGTGTCGCTTCTCCAGGGGCTTGCTAGGCACTAGCAGAAATGCTCCCCTGTGCTTACTCGGTGTTATGGAAGATTGCTTGCACAATGCTATTCGTACGAAAGGATATTATTAAAAGTGATTTATGGGCGGGCGCGGTGGCTCACGCCTGTAATCCCAGCACTTTAGGAGGCCGAGGCTGGCGGATCGCCTGAAGTAAGCAGTTCGAGACCAGCCTGGCCAACATGGTGAAACCCTGTCTCTACTAAAAATACAAAAATTAGCCGGGCGTGGTGGCATGCGCCTGTAATCCCAGCTACTCGGGAGGCTAAAGCAGGAGAATCGCTTGAACCCGGGAGGCAAATGTTGCAGTGAGCCGAGATCGCGCCACTGCACTCCAGCCTGGGCGACAGAGTCAGACTCCCTCTCAAAAAAAAAAAAAAAAAAAAAAGCGATTTGTTGTTTTGTTAGCATGTAAGCCCTGGATGCTTGAAACAAGTGAAAGATGTTCAGAATCTAATCAAATTATATCATCTGATGCTTTAATTAGAGCCTATTCTCTCTTCCTCTCCGTCTATATATGTATGTATATAGATTACTATCCATCACTGTTTTAATGGATATCTTATTGGAAGGGCTACATAGTCAGTATTTCACAATATATGAACTCCGCATAACACCTATGGCAAAACATTTCAGCACTCAGGTAAAATTCATTTTTTGCCACAAAATTACTTAAAAACAGGCCAGAACTTTATATAGCTCTTGTTAAAGGTTAAGTAGCTGGGATAATAATGAAACAAAAAGATGCAGCAGGACTCCATTTCAAAGAGAGAGAGTCTGTGTGCCCAACTTCAGAGTAAGAAACCACTAGGTAATAGTTTATATAGTTACTTATATGTAATGTGGCTTTATTTTTTAAATAAAGATTTGCATATAATTGTTTATATCTGTGAATTTATATTTAATATTAAACACAGTTTTGTAAGCATATAAGATGGAAAATGAATGAAATGCTCAATCAATGAGCTGTATGCCATGAGGATTCAAAACAGCACTTTGGTGTTGCCAAAATTCCGGTGGTGGACTTGTGAAGGAATTCCCTTTGGACTAGGTCCACTGTAGATTGTATCCGGGACTATCGTTAGTGCCTAAATTGCATTGCTTCCCACAGCACTATATGCTTCCCTTAAAATTGGCCCATTGCCAGTGGCAAATCACTATCTACTGTGATCCTTATCATAGACATTGGTCATATTTTTACGTTATTAGTTTTCTGTGTATATTTTAGTGCTATAGCCTGCCATTCCAAGTTAAACATGCTCTTAGCATATCATTTTACACCGTTGATCTATAATTCATTACCTGAGCACATGAGCAGAGGCAGGGAATTATACAGTGGTAAACTACTTGGTGAAACCATGCTTTGTATTTTTAAGATGTATAATTATATTTAAAAACAAGCAATGCTTAATTTTGTGCCTGATTTTCCTCTTTAAAAATGGATTTATCTGGGGGTTGCAGTTGATGACGTTTTGATTTTAATATGTTTGCTGCTGCTACCAAGAGCTTTGTCAAGCAAGTTGGAGATGGAGGGAGATTAGTTCCTGTTCCAAGCCTCAGTGAAGCTGACAAATATCAACCTCTAAGTCTGGTGGTAAAAAAGAAGCGATGCTTTCTGTTTCCTAGATATAAATTTACTTCAACACCTTTTACACTGAAAGATATTCTCCTAGGAGACAGAGAAATTTCAGCTGGTAAGTTTAAATGTTTGGGAGTGCCAACTCATTCATCTGTATTATTGGCAACCTAAACATAGGTCATATATGCTACTTATGTTAGTAATACACATTTTCAATGATTAAAGCAACTTTTATTATGATGTTAGTGTAATAACATTATTAAGATTAACAATGCCAAAAGTTTGTATAATATCAAATCTCTTATTGGTCAAATAATTTTCAAATCTATCAATTATTTTATAAATTGTTTTAACCAAATCAACTTAGAATATGACATATTTCTTCATCTATAAAATGGGATATTATTTGGGCTTACCTATGTTACATGGTCAAATGAGATGAAAATAATTTGTATTTATTTTTTACAATTCAATTATTACAATTGGTAAACTGAAATGTATTGAAGGGTAGGTTATATAATAAGCTGATATTTTGATGAGTTACTACTTATAAACGCTTATTTTTTCTTTTAATTGCCCGGTGGATCTTGATGCTTAAGAAGTTCTGTTGGCTGAATAGAAAATTTGAGTTCCTTTTAAGAATTCTGGCTATGTGTTTCTTTTTGTTGTAAGATTAATTGAATTACTACTTTAAGTCTTGGTGAGTCATGTTGCCTTTCTCTAACATTTGGGTATTTGAGTCTTCAATTGTTAATTTAACATGTTACTATATATAATCTACATAAGATAAAGATGTTTAAAAAATACTGAGTTTCTTCTTATAAAGGTATTTCATCTTATCAATTACTGAATTATGAAGATGAATCAGATGTTTCACTCTATGGAAGGCGAGGTAACCATATTGTAAATGACGTTGGGATTAACGTTGCTGGATCAGATTCCATTGCAGTGAAAGCTTCATTTGGTATAGTAACCAAACATGAAGTGGAAGTATCAACATTACTCAAAGAAATTACTACACGGTCAGTATAATAATCCTAATATATTTCAGTGTTTTCATTAAATACTTTAGGTATATAAACTTCATTACAAAGAATGCTTAAAACATTGAGGTTGTATTTTACTAGTGTAATTTGCTAGATATGTTTGAAATACATTGGTAGTATATCCAAACTTTGAATAAGGATAGATATCAAAAATCACTTGGCTGAAGTCAGAGACCTCAGGGCCCCAGATCAAGGAGCTAACTGATGAAGAGGCAGAGAGGCTGCAGCTAGAGATTGACCAGAAATAGGATGCAGAGAATCATGAGGCCCAGATCAAGAATGGCAGCCTTGACTCCCCAGGGAAGCAGAAGACTGAGGAAGATGAGGAGGAGGAAGATGAGAAGGACAAAGGAAAACTGAAGCCCAACCTAGGCAACAGGGCAGACCTGCCTGATTACCGCTGGACCAAGACCCTGTCGGAGCTGGACCTGGCGGTCCCTTTCTGTGTGGACTTCCAGCTGAAAGGGAAGGACGTGGTGGTGGCATCCAACGGCGGCACCTCCAGGTGGGGCTCAAGGGGCAGCCAGCGATCATCGATGGGGAGCTCTACAACGAAGTGAAGGCGGAGGAGAGCTCGTGGCTCATTGAGGACGGCAAGGTGGTGACTGTGCATCTGGAGAAGATCAAGAAGATGGAGTGGTGGAGCCGCTTGGTGTCCAGTGACCCTGAGATCAATACCAAGAAGATTAACCCTGAGAATTCCAAGCTGTCAGACCTGGACAGTGAGACTCACATCATGGTGGAAAAGACAATCTATGACCAGTAACAGAAGTCCATGGGGCTGCCAACCTCAGACGAACAGAAGAAACAGGAGATTCTGAAGAAGTTCATGGATCAGCATCCGGAGATGGATTTTTCCAAGGCTAAATTCAACTAGCCCCTGTTTTTCCCTCCCTGAACTCTTGGGGCTGAGCTGCAACCACCCAACTTTCTTTCCCACTCTTCTCTGGGACTTGTGGGCCTCAGGGCTTGGGGCAGGCATGGGACTGGCCCAGGCACACAGGTCCCAGGGCATCAGGAGAAAGGCTGGGGCTTGGGGTCTTGTCCTCCCCAGTTGGCCTACTGTTACACATTAAAATGATTTGCCCAGCTAAAAAAAAAAAAAAACCACTTGGCTTAAACAAAACTTTTAATTGTTCCACAAAATTACTTTGGCTCTACACACATTTGCTTAATTATTAGATTTAAATAATACAGCAATCTGTCTGCAACAAATAGAGTCCCCTTCAACAGACTTTCAACAGACAGAGTGAAACATTCTGCATAAGCATGTTTTAAGAAAATAGAGAGGAGAGACAAATTATTACATTTCTTTTGGGTGTATTTTCTGACTATTAGGATTGCCTTGATTTACTATTAGGTGAACTATGAATGAATAACACATGATAGCAAAAAATGTATTTGATTATGTGTAATTAGATGTTATAGAGTCTTGTGAATGTATCTTCTTTATTTTAGAAAAATTAACTTTGACCACAGCTTGATACGTCAGTCAAGGAGCAGCAGAAAGGCAGTATTGTGTGTGGTCATGGAGAGCATCCGAACCACACGACAGTGCTCACTGTCTGTGCATGCTGGAATTCGAGGGGAAGCAATGCGGGTAAACCACACTTGTTGGGTTCTCTTACTAACTAAAGTGTTGCCATGGGAATTTTTTTAAGTATTGAATTTCTAGTCAGGCTTGTGTATTTTGTGAAATGTTCTGATGAAAGAGCTGCAGTTGTATAGGATTTTGCACAGCAATGTCTGTTCTAGAATATGAAAAAAAAAAACAAATCTTGGGATTCTAAACATGTGTAATATAATGCAAAAACAGTAATCCTTGTGAAATTACGTGCATACTGGAGTCCCTCAAGTTACTATTTAAGTGTTGTTTTAAGAATAAAAATTGAGTGAGTTGAATTGATTTTATTTTTAAGTGATACAGTTTTTGACTGGGCACAGTGGCTCACGCCTGTAATCCTAGCATTTTGGGAGGCCGAGGTGGGCGGATCACTTGCAGTCAGGAGTTGGAGATCAAGTTGGGCAACACAGAGAAACCCCATCTCTACTGAAAATACAAAAATTAGCCAGGTGTGGTGGTACACCCCTGTAATCCCAAGCCACTCAGGAAGCTGAGGCACAAGAATCACTTGAACCTGGGAGGTGGAGGTTGCAGTGAGCCGAGATTGTGCCATTGCACTCTAACCTGGGTGGCAGAGTGAGACTCCGTCTCAAAAAAACAAAACAAAACAAAAACCCCAACCAAAAAAAAAATGTGTAACATAATGCAAAAACAGTAATCCTTGTGAAATTACATGCATACTGGAGTCCCTCATATTACTATTTAAGTGCTGTTTTAAGAATAAAAATTGAGTGCTTAAGTTGAATTGATTTAAGTGATAGAGTTTTTACACTTTGAATTTTTTAAAGCTGAATTTATAGATTTTTTTTTTGAGACGGAGTCTCGCTCTGTCCCCGAGGCTGGAGTGCAGTGGCGCGATCTTGGCTCACTGCAAACTCCGCCTCCCGGGTTCATGCCATTCTTCTGCCTCAGCCTCCCGAGTAGCTGGGACTACAGGCACCTGCCACCACGCCCGGCAGTGTTATCCAGGATGGTTTCGATCTCCTGACCTCGTGATCCGCTAGCCTCGGCCTCCCAAAATGCTGGGATTACAGGTGTGAGCCACCGCGCCTGGCCTGAATTTATATTTTTATATTCAAATAGTTTTTCAAAGTTAATATTATCAATGGCCATACATGCTTTATTCAAGGTTAGTTAAATCCTTTAAAAAATATTAGCGGCAAGGTGCAGTGGATCATGCCTGTAATCCCAGTGCTTAGGAAGACTGAGATAGGAAGACAGCTTGGGACCAGGAGTTCAAGACCAACTTGAGCAAAATAATGAGACCTTGTCTCTACAAAAAATAAAAGAATTAGCTGGTTGTGGTGGCACATGCCTATAGTCCCAGCTACTCGGAAGGCTGAGGCAGGGGGCTGCCTGCGGGGTTTGGGTCATTGTCTTTTAGAATTTGGGAGGCTTTGAAAAGCCGTGCTTTTGTGCTGGGGAAGATGTAGCAGTCTCTTCTCCAAACCACCCATTTGCCTTCGGACTTCTCTGGGGCCAGCAGCCATCCAACTAGGGGCCCGGGGCCACGGGCTCAGCTGACGACCATGGGCTTCGCGTCCAACCAGCAGTTTGCAGGTTCGAGCTCAGGACTTGGCGGGGACACCTTAGGATGCAGGAGTGGCCAGGAGTTCAAGGTTACAGTAGGCTATGATTGTGCCACTGCTCTCCAGCCTGGGTGACAGAGAGAGACCCTGTCTCTGAAAAAAAAATTGGAAAAGTATCTGTGTTTAATTTTCAGCTCAATTATGATATTGTTTATCTTTGTCATTCAGTGACACCTAATAATGACTTGATTGGATTAAAACCAATTGTTAGAAAGATAGGGTTCAAGGATAATCTTTTCAAGTCTTTGCAAATAAAAGTTATTTTCGCATATTCAGCTGCCTGTCAAATTCTGATTAACATTGGATCATTTTTGAGGCACAAACTGAAACATTTACTTGATTGTTAGCGATTGCTTTAGAAAGCTACTAAAAGCTCTGGAGGGCTTTGGAATGGTAGACAGGCTAGGCTGAAAACTTTAACTCTGGCACTGCTTTCTAAGATTTCCTGTTAAAAAAAAAAAAAAGGCTTCTGCTCCAGAGCATTATGGTTGTGGTAGCACTAATCATGGGCTGTAATACCAAAGTAAGTGAAAAGTGCAGAGGTATTTCCTAATATAGACCAGGAGTTTCTGTTGGACCAATTGGATCTCTGCTATAAAAAATGGTTTAATTCAAGCAGAATAATCCTTTACTTGGGAATTTTTTGTTTTGTTTTTGGTAGGATTATAGGAAATGTTTCATTTCTCCAAAAAGCTATCCTTACATGTTATGATCCTTAATTATGTTATTTATTTATTCAATATAGTTTCACTTTATGGATGAACAGAATCCCAAGGGAAGGGACAAAGCTATTGTTTTCCCAGCACATACAACCATAGCTTTCAGTGTTTTTGAACTCTTCATATACCTGGATGGTGCCTTTGGTGAGTTAAGGGTCTGCATGAAATACAAATGATTATATTTTTAAGGAGCATTCATTAGGGCATGTGCTCTCTCTCTCTCTTTTCTCTCATTTCTCGTGTCTAACAATTATAGAAGATGCTCTCAGCACTGTCAATCTTATGCTTTGGCAAAATAGCTGAGAAAGACCCTCCGTTCGCTGCTTCCCCATTCCACTTTTCTGCTTCTTGGTGAAGGTTGTAAACTCTCCACTACCCCATTTAAAATTATAAATAAGAGCTAAAATGCCATCTACTGACAAAGTATTCCTTAGCTTACATGGGGAGATAATAAATGACCTTCTTATAGGTAGTTTTTGATGGTGGCAAACAGAGGAGTAGGTAGATAGTAGGATGCCTGAAGTGTTAGGATGCCCAAACCAGGGCCTCTAAAGACAGCTTTTCTTACTTCAGTTTTACTTATCATAGACCCAGCTTCCCCTTGCACTCTTCCTAAAAAATAACTTTAAAAAGTGAAAATACTTCCTCCAAAATTGTCACCTTGTATAATACCTAAGTGCAGCTCACTTTAGGTCTCTACATTTCACAGGTCTTTAAGGTCTGTTGGCCAACTGGAACAAGTCCAGGTGTAGCCCAAGGGATCAGGAAAGGCAGCCCCTAGCCATGGTAATTTACAAATGTTTTTAGACCTGTTCTTGTTCATTTCTGCAATTTTGTAGGAGGAGGGAATAGGGAGTCCAGAAACAAAACAAAACTACATGTTAAGTAAATTGTCTTTTTAAAAAATATTTTTAATTTTTGTGGCTATATAGTAGATTATATATATATTTATGTATGGGATACATGAGGTATTTTGATACGGGCATACAGTGCATAATAATCACATCATGGAAAATGGGGTATCCATCCCCTCAAGCATTTATCCTTTGTGTTACAAACAATCCAATTATACTCTTTTAGTTATTTAAAAATGTACAAATTCTCAGTCTAAGATGGAGAAAAAACTGTACAATTACATTATTTTGACTGTAGTCACCCTATTATGCTTCCAAATACTAGGTCTTATTAAGTAAATTCTAATTGGATAACTTTAGGTTTTTACAGTTTTATTGATGGTTGGGAGGAATGTAAATGGACTGATATATCCACAAGAATTTAAAATATATATATAATTTGGACTTCCACTTCTAGGAATTTATCCTACAGATATATTTACACATATATGAAATGATATGAGTGCAAGTATATTCAGTCCTCAATAACAAGAGATTGGAAACAACATTAAGGAGACTAAATAATGGTGCATCCTTGCAAGAGAATACTATGAAGCCAATAAGAATATAATACTTTTAATAGATATTTTTCAAGAGCTGAGTATAATATGTAACTATTTGGGCATAAATAATTTTATACACATACATGTATATATGCATCTTTCTTTATGCTTATAAAATATATGGAGTATTTCTGGAAGCAAACATAAGAAACTTAAACCACGGGTGCCCCTAAGCCCCTGAGGTAGAAGACTGTGGCTGGATACAGGGTGGGCCAGAGACCTATTTGTCACTGTATCTCCTTTCTGTATGAATTTTGTACCATGTGAATGTTACCTTTTCCAAAAGTATGTAAAAGTCAACTTTTAAAAACAATACAATGAATGATTTGTACTAGAATTCATCACCCCATCAAACAATAAAATATGAATTATTCAAGTTATAACATCTTCTAACAATTTTTTTTGTAGACCTTTGTGTCACTTCAGTGTCAAAAGGAGGATTTGAAAGGGAAGAAACGGCAACATTTGCACTGCTGTACAGGTTGAGAAATATCCTATTTGAAAGAAGTATGTTTATTGAAGAGTACTGTGAATGTCTTTTTTTTTTCTTTCCTGGCTTAACACATGAGGTTTTCTATTCAGTAATCTCATCTGTTAAGGAAAAATTTAAATTTAAAAGCCTGGCTGGTATGGTGGCTCATGCCTATAATCCCAGCACTTTGGGAGGCCAGGGCAGGCAGATTGCTAGCACTCAGAAGTTTGAAACACTTGGGCAATGTGAGAAAACCCCATCTGTACAAAGAATACAAAAGAAAAAAAATTAGTTGGTTGCAGTGGTGTGCACCTGTAGTCCCAGCTACTTGAGAGGCTGAGGTAGGAGGATCACTTGAGCGTGGGAGGCGGAGGTTGTAGTAAGTGGAGATTGTGCCACTGCCCTCCAGCTTGGGTGACAGAGCCAGACCCTGTCTCAAAAAAAAAAAAAAAAAAAAAAAAGCCAAATTATTTCATGACTAGTGGATTCACATATTTATTAATGCTGTTTGCATTATGTATTTTTCATTTTCACTTCTAACACATTTCTTTTCTGTTTTTGTCCTTTTAGATAGAAGAGTGATGGATGTCATTTCTCGTTCACAGCTTTACTTGGATGATCTTTTTTCTGACTACTATGACAAACCTCTCAGCATGACTGATATTTCACTCAAAGAAGGGACCCATATCCGAGTTAACTTACTTAATCACAACATTCCCAAAGGGCCTTGCATACTCTGTGGAATGGGGAACTTCAAAAGGGAGACAGTTTATGGGTGCTTTCAGTGTTCTGTTGATGGTCAGAAGTATGTGAGACTTCATGCAGTTCCTTGTTTTGATATTTGGCACAAGAGGATGAAATAAAATGAAAAATGAATACACCGTGTTGGTGTTTTAGGTGCAGTTGTGCCACAAACCTTCCCTAAATTATCTAGGTTTGCTTTGATGAATTAAATTAAAATGAGAAAAGCAAAAAGAAATTAACCTGTCTGGGTATCATATTCCCTATCTATAAAGTAGCAATTATAACAGTAGTGTCTATTTCTTAAGTTGTCATGAAAATTAATAACATTGTTTATATCAAAAAAGATTTACATATAAAATTCAGAGATTATGAATCATGCCAGTCACTTTAGAATCATTTTTGGGATGTAGTCTATCATTTTAGTTCACCTTTTTTTTTTTTTTTTTTGAGACAGAGCCTTGCTCCGTCACCCAGGCTGGAGTACAGTGGCATGATCTCAGCTCACTGCAACCTCTGCCTCCTGGGTTCAAGCAATTCTCTGCCTCAGCCTCCCGAGTAGCTGGGATTACTGGCGCCTGCCACCACGCCTGGCTAATTTTTTGTATTTTTAGTAGAGACAGAGTTTTACCATCTTGGCCAGGCTGATCTTGAACTCCTGACCTTGTGATCCACTTTCCTCGGCCTCCCAAAGTGCTGGGATTACAGGCATGGGCCACCGTGCCTGGCCTAGATAACTTTTTATATAATTAAGAGATTTTTGTAAATACCAATTTTATTTTCAATCAACTTTCAGTTCAATATGTAAGGATGACAAGACTGCACAAGTAGCAACTTTTGGTGTTTCAACTATTGCCTTTGGTCTGGTAAAATGAGAAAAATGTGTTAATAATTTAATGCAATCTTAAATGTTTAATTGCAGTATCAAATTAAAAGCACACTGAACTCAACATGGGGTTTTGTGTACACAGTTAACAAGGTGACTGATAGTAGTAATGGGCTGCCATTCTATGATGTGGATATGCTCACGAGTTTTGTCTTCATAAAACGCAATACGGTCATTGTGAAGTTAAGACAGGTAAGACACATCTGTTTCTTTGAAAATGTTTAAAACATTTAACATATTCAATTCTGAAAGATCTTTTTAATCTACTCTGCTGAGAAATCTGAATTTTTCATACACAAACAACCTAAATTACTATTTACCTTTATTAAAATAATTATAAAATGAATAAAATGTTAAAATTCTAGAACTCAAGGCAACCCCCTTTGGGTCCCTCCTTGAATGGGAGCTCTGTTTTCACTTTATTTCACTGTCTTAAATCTTGCAACTGCACTCTTCTGGTCCATGTTTGTTAAGGCTCGAGCTGAGCTTTTGCTCGCCGTCCACCACTGCTGTTTGCCACCGTCACAGACCCGCTGCTGACTCCCATCCCTCTGAATCTGGCAGGGTGTCCGCTGTGCTCCTGATCCAGTGAGGCGCCCATTGCCGCTCCTGATCAGGCTAAAGGCTTGCCATTGTTCCTGCACGGCTAAGTGCCTGGGTTCGTCCTAATTGAGCTGAACACTAGTCACTGGGTTCCACGGTTCTTTTCTGTGACCCATGACTTCTAATAGAGCTGTAACACTCACTGCATGGCCCAAGATTCCATTCCTTGGAATCCGTGAGGCCAACAACCCCAGGTCAGAGAACACGGGGCTTGCCACCATCTTGGAAGTGGCCTGCCGCCATTTTGGAAGTCGCCCACCACCTTCTTGGGAGCTCTGGGAGCAAGGACCCCCGGTAACACTTTGGCGACCACGAAGGGACCTCCAAGGTGAATTGAAACTGTAAAACTACAAATGGTTCATCAAATGGAGCCCCAGATGCAGTCCATGACTAAGATCCACCGTAGACCCCCGGACCGGTCTCCCAGCCCATGCTCTGGTGTTAATGACATCGAAGGCACCCCTCCCAAGGAAATCTCAGCTGCACAACCCCTCCTATGCCCCAGTTCAGCAGGAAGCAGTTAGAGCAGTCATCGGCCAACCTCCCCAATAGCACTTGGGTTTTCCTGTTGAGAGTGGGGACTGAGAGGACTAGCTGGATTTCCTAGGCCGACTAAGAATCCCTAAGCCTAGCTGGGAAGGTAACTACATCCATCTTTAAACATGGGGCTTGCAACTTAGCTCACACCCAACCAATCAGAGAGCTCACTAAAATGCTAATTAGGCAAAAACAGGAGGTAAAGAAATAGCCAATCATCTATTGCCTGAGAGCACAGCGGGAGGGACAAGGATCAGGATATAAATCCAGGCATTCCAGCCAGCAATGGCAACCCCCTTTGGGTCGCCTCCTTGTATGGGAGCTCTGTTTTCACTCTATTTCACTCTATTAAATCTTGCACCTGCAAAAAAAAAAAAAAAAAAAAATTCTAGAACTCAAAATGTAGTCACAGCACTCAATGCCACATATATGCATATGAAGGCATAAGGCAATCATGCAGATATATGAAATACTTGTACACTGTATTGTATGTAGAATGATTATAAATTTATTTTTAATTATGTAAATACAAGTTTTAGAATGAATCATCTTCCTATTCATGTGGCATTATCTGTCATTTTTTAAAAACAAGTTTAAAAGCACTTTGTATGATAATGGGACAAAAAAATTAGAATTACAAAGTTTAGATTATAGGGTGACTTCTTAATATGGATACAAAAAATTGAGACAGGTTCCAAACCAAAATAAAGAATATTGAGTTACTTAGTTTACTTCAACGGAGCAGGTTTTTTTGAGGGAAGGCGATGAAAGAGTAAATGATTAAGCATGTGAAAAAGTATTAGAAAATTGAGCATAGAAATGAAGAAATATTGGGAGGAAGGAAAAGATAGTACAGATTCTTGTTTTATAAGGTGTCAAATTATGTGCTAGCCATATGTATTATTTACTAATCTCATGGTTGTGTTACCCCTATGTATACTTTTGTTTGTTTTTGTATGTACTCATCTGAAAGCCCTCTATTTTTAAATAGAATTTTTGATAGTGTAAAGAAGTTAAAGGATGAACAATGGTTTGGAAAGAGCAAGTTTCAGAAGGTAGAAAAAACTTTACTTGTTTGGAACTCAATTATTTTGAACAGAGCTATTTACTGTCTGACCATACTTTCCTATATATGCAGTGTAGTAGTCCATTTTCACACTGCTATAAAGAACTGCCCCAGACTGGGTAATTTGTAAAGGAAAGAGGTTAAATTGACTCATGGTTCCCCATGGCTGGGGAGGCCTCAGGAAGCTTACAATCATGGTGGAAGGCGGGGAAGCAAGGACTTTCTTCACAAGGTGGCGGGTGGGAGAATGAATGCAAGAGGAACTACCAAACACTTATAAAACCATCAGATTGCATGAGAACAGCACGGGGAAAACCACCCCCATGATTCAGTTACCTCCACCTGGTCTCTCCATTGACATGTGGGGATTATGGAAATTATGGGGATTATAATTTCAAGATGAGATTTGGGTGTGGACACAAAGCCTGACCATACCATGCAGTATGCAAAATCTATGTTCCGATAGACATGTGCCCTTTCTTTGGTACCAACGTGATCTTCTACAGCATCTCTTACATACTATTCTCAAGTCATATGATATCATAACTTGACCATGACACAAAATTGCCATGGCACTGTATATCCTCCTTTGTTTGGCACATTTATCAAAATTTGACAGCATACCAATTTGTAATGATCATTCATCATTAGTGACAAGAATGATGGGAAATGAGGTGACATAAGGAAAGAGATAACTAGAGAAAGGGAACGAAAACTAAGAAATTTCATGGCATCAATTTAAAACTATCAAGACAAAAGCTTGGGGTGGCAGACATCTTATAAAGGTTTACAAGAGGGAAGAGGAGTTGCACATTTACAATAATGTCTGAAGGAATACAAAAGCCAGGCAGTACAGTCTTTATGCTTGCTATAAGAGGCAAAAAGTCTTTGGTTTGGTCAAATATTTTTAAACATTCCCCACTGGAAAATACCCAAGGCTAGAAGCTTACACCAAAAAGTTTAGAGACTGTGTTGCGTTCTTTGTGGAACAGAGATATACAACTATCTTCCTGCACATATACCAAAGGAAGACTCTTCAGTTCTAGGATTTTTATATCGTCTTCATAATGTTATAAAAATGTATAAACAAGTGAAATGCTAATTCCTGGGTCCTTAATGGATATTTTCAAAATATGAGGCACTTTAACTTTTAAACTATAAAAAAACTGGATATTAACATGCTGGTAAGGTTAAAGTTGGGAAAAGCTTGCAGTTTTTGACATACTATACATGTCCTCCTACATCCTGAAAGGGGAAAAAATGCCCACTGGGACCCAGAGGTCTGTTTCATGGTGCTACAATTCTTGTTTACAGAATAAAGCAGTAGGAAACACAGTCATACCATTCCTGCAAGTTAAGTTTGCAAAACAGCCTCACATTTATTATACCAAAATCAATGTATTGGGGAGATCAAAATATCTTCTCATAGGGGAAAAATAGCAAATACAACTTGGAGAAAAGTGACTTTGTTTTATACATAAAGTACAGTAAATAGCTAAAAAAAAAAAGTAGAAATACAAATATGCTATAGTTCATCGTGTTGGTATACATTGTATTCCTTGGGAGAAATGAAGCCATCACCATCATGGTCATTCTTCTTAAAAATATCTTCTAAAACTGCATCCTGATATGACTTGTCACGTGGCTTCTCATCTTTTTCAAATTCCCTTTGCAAGTAGAGGTTTATCTGGAAGGCCAAAATAACATTCCTTTAATTAAAAGGTATCACAGTGAATTTCCAGTAACTTTAAGGAATAGTTATAATAATGAAACTCATGTGCAAGATTACTTACAGTAAATGATACAACAGTATGAAAAGCTATTTGAGGTTTTATTTTTCTTATTCTTTGAAGCAATGTTTTGGAGAGAAACAGGTCTTCAAATTAGTTTTCCCTAAGATGATAGATGGTTAGTGGTACATACTCGAAGATTAATATTTAAACTGAATTTTGTTGAAACTAAATGCTTTCTAATAATCCATGCTGTTCCTATTATCAAAGGAAAATCACGCATGACTGCCATTAGTGAAAGAAACCCAATTGGCATTTCTATAATCTCTAAAACTAATGAATATGTTGTATAATCAATAAAACACAACCATGGGGTTTGAAATAAAATTTAGTATTTTAAGTTTTTCTATGCTTCTATAGCTCTCCTCCAAGTCTACATAACTATAATAATCTCTTTAATAATGTCAAATAAAGAATCCTGAAGTATTCACTAATTATATAAAATTTCTATATGCAAACACACATTAAAAGTATTGTCCAATATAGTAGCCACTAGCCACATGTGACTAATGAGCACTTGAAACATGGCTAGATCAAAATGAGATATGTTACTATAAATATAAAATATATAACAGATTTTGAAGACTTCAAAAAGTTATCTCATTGATAATTTTACATCGATCTCATATTGAAATGGCAATATTATAGATATATTGAGTGAAGATATAACATTAAAATTAATTTCACCTGTATCTTTTTACTTTTTAAGATGTGACTATAAAAATTTTAAAATTATATGTGTAACAATTGTATTTCCTTTGGAAAGCACTAATCCTTATAATAACTAAAGAAAGCAATGCACAATCATCTGGAGGTAATGTTCAGTAAGGCTGGCATTATAGAGGCAAGAGTATTTTTGAAAGCTAGAGTTTGAGAGGTTTTTAGCAATACATATCCCAGGGTCAACCCATTGCAAGTTGACTTTATTTTAGAGCAATCAGTGGACCTTAATGAAGGATACATCAACTGTTCTCAAATGGGACTTTGGTCCTACATGAGGCAGACACATTTTTTTCTTCCAGCCAAAGCTTAGCAATCCTATGTAGGGGTAAACAATTTTTAATACCTTCAAATATTTCTCAGTTTCTAAGTAAGTCAAATTATTTTTACATAACCAATATTGCTGATGCTTAAACTTGACTCCTTTTCCAGTAAACTACAGTACAGAGGTACAAAAAGACAGTGGGTAAGAACATGACCTTAATTTTGCTAGTAATGGGTTCCACACTATTTCCACTTTTTAATTTAATAAAATACTGTATTTCCCCCGTCCTTTCCGTCTTTATTAATATTAAAGAAAGTTTTTCTTTTTCTTTTTTAAATGTTCCTTCCTGTACACTGATGAAATAGTTTACTTAATCTTTCTGACAATGAATAAAGTTTTTTGTTTGTTTGTTTTTGTTTTTGTTTTTTTAGTTCGTGTTTCTACTTCAGGCTTTGTCTTGGATTTGCTGTGTGGTCTTCTGCAAATTAACCTCTCTGAACCTCAGTTTTGTCATCTGTAAAAGGAGATAAGTAAGTATCTATATTGTAGGATTGATATGAGGATTAGAATAATGATTATGGCCATCAATAAAAGACAGCTATTGTTATTCAAGTTAGTGAAAATCACTCTCATCCATCTGGCAATAAAGCAGCTGATATCACATAGACATCTGGGGAAATTGTAGATAAGTAGATTACTATTTTGGATTTTCTCTATTTTTATTTTCCAGAAAAGAACTTAAGATCATCTAATGTCTTACTGAGGAGTATTCATACTGCAGAACGTGGCTCTTGGTGTGCCTGTGATAATGAGTGGTCTGTGTGCATAGGCTGAGCTCTTGGGTACTATGCGAATTCATCTGCAGCTGCTATTCACTCTAAAAAAGGGTGATAAGGAGTCAATAGAGAAGTACACTTTGGGAACCATTTGCCACCCCGGTAACTGCCCTTCTTCTTAAGAACAGGACATGTTCCCTTCTCCTTCTTCCACTGTTGGCCAACCAAGATGCCTGAAGGGAAAGTCATTACTAATATCCTGGTGTAAGAAGTTGAACTGGGTGGGGAAAGGATTGGAGAGGGAGATGAAAAAGAAACAGAGAAAAAGACTTATTTTTATTACTTGAAATCAACCTAGTTAGCTTTTACTACTTACTTATGTGGTAGAGTTACACATTTTTAAATGTCTCCTAACTAGTTAAGAGGGGAGACAGCTGGTTTACTAATTTTAAGCAGGAGTATCGTCAGTGGGACTAAGTAAGACATTAGAATTCAATAAATAGTATTAGACTTGAAACATTCATGATTTTCTCTGAAAGAAGCAGTCTAGGCCCAAAGTTAAAAATATAGTAGTGGGCTGGGCATGATGGTTCACACCTGTAATCCCAGCACTTTGGGAGGCTGAAGAAGGAGAATCACTTGAGGCCAGGAGTTCAAGACTAGCCTGGGCAATGTAGTGAGACTCCATCTCTTAAAAAAAAAAAAAAAATTAGCTGGGTATGGTGGCATGCTGCGGGGATCGCTTGAGCCCAGGGGTTTAAGGGTGCAGTGAGCTATGATCACTTCACTGCACCCTGGCATGGGCAACAGAGAAAGACCCTGTCTCTAAGAAAAATTTAAAAAATTGAAATGTAAGAACAGTCATGAAGCCAGATTGCCCAGGTTTTGCCCCTTACTACTGTGTGATTTTTGGCTGATTAACCTGATTATTATTTTCCCCATCTAAAAGCGAAGATGATGACAATAGTGTCTGCCCCATAAACTATCATGAAGATTACATAAGTTCACATACTTATGTGCTTATAAATAGTACCTGGTACTAAAAGTATAAAATAAATGTTATCTATTATTATCTTTTTTTTTTTTTTGGAGGCAAGGTCTCAGTCTATCTTCCAGGCTGGAGTGCAGTGGCATGATCACAGCTCACTGCAGCCCCAACCTCCTGGGCTCAAGCGATCCTCCTACCTCTCAGCCTCCTGAGTAGCTGGGACCACAGGTATGCACCACCATGCCTGGCTAATTTATTAAATCTTTTGTAGAGACGGGGGTCTCCCTGTGTTGCCCAGGCTGGTCTTGAACTCCTGGGCTCAAGCAATCCTCCCACCTCGGCCTCTCAAAGTGTTGAGATTATAGGCATGAGCCACATGCCCAGCCCAATTATCATTATTATTACAAGATCTTTATTACAAGGCTGAGATACAGACGCTAGCTGGCTGAACTTCTGGCTCCTGTTTACCAACTTTCTAGCCCACTCAATTCAGACCCTTGCTAGCTCTTTTCATCATCCTATGAGGCGTGAATTATTTGCCCTGTTGCAAATTCTTACAGTGCTGTCTGAAAAAGAGATATGCTAGTGTAATCTAGAAACTGGAAGAGCACTGTAGAGACAAATAATTCGGGATTTTAATGACTCTCTTGCAGGGAGAAAGGCAATTGAACAGGATGACTCACAAGGTTTATACTGAAAAAGCTTAGAGCTTTTTCTAAGCGCTTAGATTATTTTTTAGTGACCAGCTCTATAAAAGCAGTGATCAGAGCCCATGCTAGCTAGACCTAAAAAGTAATAGTTGTAACACAGATGTATTTAAACTGTGATAAAAAAATTAGACTATACACATGAAATTGGTTTGAATTACCTCGGCTTTAGAGAGCTGCCTGTCATTGTCCATGTCTATTTGTTTAAATGTCTCAATGCTCCGTGGTCCTTTGGTCACAGCATAAAGTTCAATCTCAAAAATCAATGTAGCATCCGGTGGAATCTTGCCTTCTGCTAAGGGTATAAATTTTAACAGTTTAACTTATGTAAAGATATAGTTCAAATATCTATTCATGAACTGCCATAACCATATTATATTATTTCATGTTGATAAGAATTGCTATCTGAATACTCACAATTTTTAATTTTTTCTCATCTTTTATAACTTTTTTCGGCTTTTCAATAGTTTTCTTTTTTGTTTTTTTTTCTCTTTTTTTTATAAATACTTTTTTAGGAATATTTTTTCCATATGTTTCCAAACCAAGTCAATTCAAAGGACCTATGGGACCACTATTTCTTGATTAATTTAAGTAAAAATCATAAACTTTTTATTAATGCATGGATATGACCCTCTATATCTGTGGGTTCTGCATCTGTGGATTCAACCAGTCTCGGCTTGAAAATATTCATACAAAAAAAGGATAGTTGTGTCTGTAATAAACATGTACAGACTTTTGTCTTGTCATTATTCCCTAACCAATACAATATAACAATCTTTTACATAACATTTACATTGTATTAGATATTATAAGTAATCTAGAGATAATTTAAAGTACACCGGAAGATGTCCAGAGGTTATGTGCAAATGTGATGCCATTTTGTATCAGGGGCTTGAGCTTCTGTGGATTTTGGAATCCATGAGAAGGTCTTGGAACCAATCTCTAACAGGTACTGAGAGACAACTGTACTCTCCTATCATCAACACAGAAGAGAGGTGGCACAGAGAAGAAATGCATGGGCAGAAAAATTGCAAAGCATAGATGAGTCATCTTTTAGAAAGTGATTTTGTGTAGTTATTTGGAAGCATAAATAAAACATAAGTATTAATATATTTGTCTTTCAAATTTTTTATAGACATTAAAAAATAAGTGCAATGATAGAAAAATCCAGTAACAGGCTGGGCACAGTGGCTCACACGTGTAATTCTAGCACTCTGGGAGACCGAGACAGGAGGATCACTTGAGCCCAGGAGTTTGAGACCAAACTGGGCAACATAGTGAGACCCTGTCTCTATTAAAAAAAAAAAGAATTAAAATAAAAATTCAGTAACAATTTTACAAAGAAATTGTATACATTTTTAAGCAATAAGTTGAATACCTATTTTTATTTTTATTTATTTTTTTTGAGACGGCGTCTCACTCTGTTTCCCAGGCTGGAGTGCAGTGGTGCAATCTCCGCTTACTGCAGCCTCTGCCTCTTGGGTTCAAGCCATTCTCCTACCTCAGCCTCCTGAGTACCTGGGATTACAGGTGCACACCAGGCATTGCATTATTAGTAGAGATGGGGTTTCACTATGTTGGCCAGGCTAGTCTTGAACTCCTGACCTCAGGTGATCCGCTTGCCTTGGCCTCCCTAAGTGCTAGGATTACAGATGTGAGCCACTGTGCCTGGCCAGAATTGCTCTCTTTAATTAAGTTAACCTATTAGCTGATGTCACAGATTTTTTTTTTTTTTTTAGACAAGAATCTTCCTCTGTCACCCAGGCTGGAGTGCAATGGCACGATCTCGGCTCACTGTAACCTCTGCCTCCCAGGTTCAAGCAATTCTCCTGCCTCAGCCTCCCGAGCAGCTGGGATTACAGGTGCCTGCCACCAATCCTGGCTAATTTTTTATACTTTATTAATAGAGATGGGGTTTCACCATGTTGGCCAGGCTGGTCTCAAACTCCTGACCTCAAAGGATCCACCCACCTTGGCCTCCCAAAGTGCTGGGATTACAGGCGTGAGTCACCGTGCCAGGCCATGATGTCACAGGTGATTTTAATAAGTGATGGGCTATTTCAGATAAATATGTCATAAAAGTGACTTGCAAAAATGACTTGCTAAGGGGCAGCGGGTAGCTTGTGTCATCAGTATATTGCCAGTGTCCTACACAGTGCCTAATCTACTACAGGCAGTCCAATATTTGCCGAATGAATGACCCATATCATTTATTTTTAAAATGTTTGTCCTTGGAAGGAAACAGCAATTTCTTTAATAAAAAAGTGAAGCATTCTAGCTAAAGTCTTTATATAGTCTGAAGAGAAAAGAGTTTGTGAGTTATAGCCAAAAGGAGTAGCAGATTAGTAGTTTTCAAAGAGAAAACATAGAAAGATCTACCCATGCATCATATGACTAACATAAAAGTCCTAACCTAATGCACCACATATTACCTGACTTTAGAGTAGAAGAGCTAGAGATTGAGTCAATGATTGTTTTATAAAACCCATTCCTATTTTTTCCAGTTATCTCCTTATGACAGAATTATTGTCTCCTGACAATAATTCAAGGCAAACTCAAAACACAAATTCAAATTTCTTTTCTTTTCGTTTTTTTTTTTTTTTGAGACAGAATCTGTTCTGTTGCCCAGGCTGTAGTGCAGTGTCGCGATCTTGGCTCACTGCAACCTCCACCTCCCGAGTTCAAGTGATTCTTGTGTTTCAGCCTCCCAAGTAGCTGGGATTACAGGCACAAGCCACCACACCCAGCTATTTTTTGTATTTTTAGTAGATACGGGGTTTCACTATGTTGGCCAGGCTGGTCTTGAACTCCTAGCCTCAGGTGAGCCACCCACCTCGGCCTCCCAAAGTGCTAGGATTACAGCTATACGCCACTGTGCCCAGCCCAAAACTTGAATTTCTTAAGAAAAAATATTGTAGGTACATATGCAGTTTTTGAACAATTTTGCTATAAACATAGAAAATATTGGCCGGGCGCAGTGGCTTATACCACTTTTTTTTTTTAGACAAGAATCTTCCTCTGTCACCCAGGCTAGAGTGCAATGGCGCGATCTCGGCTCACTGTAACCTCTGCCTCCCAGGTTCAAGCAATTCTTATTTGGCTTATACCACTGCGCCTGGCCAGGAGGGCGAGATCAGCCTGGCTGGCCAGGAGTTCGAGACCAGCCTGGCCAACATGGCGAAACCCCATCTCTACTAAAAATACAAAAATTAGCCAGGCATGGTGGCGTGTGCCTGTAATCCCAGCTCCTCGGAGGCTGAGGCAGGAGAATAGCTTGAACCCGGGAGGCAGAGGCTGCAGTGAGCCAAGATCAATCACACCACTGCGCTCCAATCTGGGTGACAGAGCAAGACTCCATCTCAAAAAAAAAAAAAAAAAAAAGGATATATTGCCAATTACCTCTTTTTCTTGTTTTTTTTTTTTTTTTAAAAAAAACTAAAGTATAAAAATGAGGAAAATATGCATTTGCTACGGAATTACTTATATTTAGAGAAGCAGATCAAAGAAGTAGGAATTAAGGTAAAGAATATATACATACCGCATGTATTGTTATTTAAGCACTAACAAGTCACATGCATTTCAAGACATGCAGGGTTGTTCTGTGACATGAGACAAGGATATTTTGCAGAAGAAAGACTTCTTCAAGTACTACCTAAAATAAAGTTATAGCTAATGTTAGGTCTTAATAACAACTTACTTTTAAATGCTTATTTAATCAAGAGGTTGTTTGTTAAACAGTTACTTAAGGTCTACACTGCAACTTTTAAAATAATGTAATCCAAGGTATTGGATTACAATGCCTAATGTAACGCAGGCAAGGTCAGTATTAACTATGGTCCAATTAACACTTTTTTTGGGCCTCAGTTTCTTACTCTGTAAAATGAGGGTGCTGGTGGTATTACTAGTGAGATTAATCACTTTAATGTTTGTTAGAGATACCTCCAATTGAATATGAACTTGTTTCACATCAAACTTCTATATCTCTGCAGCAAGTTTCTGATTTATTAAGAGCTTAGGCAGCCTGGGTAGTCATTCATATCTAAGCATAAATTAGTTTATGAAAAAGATAAGCTAAGTGGTCCTTTGCCTGATGGCGGTGAACCCTGGATGAGCACCTGATGATGACAGATGTGTGTGCTCTAGGCAGATAGGAGAGTGGGTGCTCTAGTGGTAGGCAGAATGTGGAGGCATCTGAAGACACAACGCAAGACAGAAAGGAAAACTTTGAAAATGAGAAAGAGACTGAAAGGCAAACTCTGCCTCCAACATTTTGCCTAGAAGTGGCCTCAACTTTTGACAACATTTTTAGCACAAGTATTGCATTTGACTTAATTTATTTTCAATTTTCCTTCTCTTTCTCCTAGGTTCCTATACAAATAAAAACAGGATATATGAATTATGGTACCATGGGAGCTGTTCTGATGGGATCAAATTATTGGCAAAAAGCATTAAAAATAAAGCTGAAGTTATCTGGAAATTGTCTCTTTAGGAGTTTTAAGCCTGACTGGGTCTGACTCAAAGCACTGACACCCCCCCACCACCCGCCAATCCAGTGTGGGGCACTGATGCCCCGATTTTGCTGGAAAGAACTCTTAATGACTAAGACAACTGCCTCAAAGAAGGCATGCCACTTCCATGAAATATTTGGGAGCAATGCCAATATCTCATTGTGGAAAATTAATCTTTACTATTTCAAACCGGTGGAGTCAGCAGTGGCTCTAAATAGGGTAAGGAGGCAAAGATTCTTTCTGTATAGCCTTCAAGCAGCAACACGGAGCAAGAACCTAACTAAGGATGCAAGGTACAGCCTATCAGGCTGCCCATCCTCCTGCCTGCTTTAAAAATTTTCTTCTCTGTTCTGCTACATG
This sequence comes from Homo sapiens, assembly GCF_000001405.40. Classification (NCBI taxonomy): domain Eukaryota; kingdom Metazoa; phylum Chordata; class Mammalia; order Primates; family Hominidae; genus Homo; species Homo sapiens. Next base: position 178,474,359 of record NC_000002.12, read on the forward strand.
CAATTTTTGTAATTTAAAATTTTAATTTTGGAAAAATTAATACATGCCTTATAAAACTTTCAAATGGTACAAAATGTTAGAGTGAAAAGAAATCTTCTCATCCTTGACCCTGAGGCCTCCTTCCCAGGAACACTTAATGTCATCAGATGACTGCATATTCTTCCAGATGTATTCTGTGTAGATACATGCATATGTGAAACTCCTCCTCTGAAATGAAAGCTCATAGAGGATTGGGAGTAGTGTCTACTTTGGTCACTGCTTTATGCCCAGTGCCTAGAACAAAGCCTGGCACTGATGCTCAATATATATCCCAAAAGTGGAATATAGTCTTGTCCACTTTTTTTTTTGAGCCAGGGTCTTGCTGTGTTGCCCAGATTGGAGTGCAGTGGCACAATCACAGCTCACCGCAGCCTCGACCTCCCAGGCTCCAGGGATCCTCCCATCTCAGCCCCCTGAGTAGTTGGGACCACAGGCGGATACCGCCACGCCTGGCTAACTTTTTAATTTTCTGTAGAGATTGTGTCTCCCTACATTGCCCAGGCTGCTTTCAGACTCCTGGGCTCAAGTGATCCTCCCACCTTAGCCTCTCAAAGTGCTGGGATTATAGGCATGAAGCCACCATGCCTGGCCTCCACTTTATTTTTAACATATTAATAAGTATAGCTCTACTTCATTCTTTTTACTGGTTACACAGTAATTCATTGTATAGATATACTATAATTTATTTAACTAATTTCCTATTGATGGATAGGCAGGTGGTTTCCAACCTTTTGCCACCCTCCCACCCAAAAATGCCTGCAGTGAATGTTCTTTTACATATACCTTTGTGCACATTCCTGGAAATGGAACTATTGGATAAGAAGGCACGTGCATTTTCACTTTTTTTTTTGAGATGGAGTCTCGCTCTGTTGCCCAGGCTGGAGTGCAGTGGCGCAATCTTGGCTCACTGCAACCTCTGCCTCCCAGGTTCGAGCGATTCTCCTGCCTCAGCCTCCCAAGTAGCTGGGATTACAGGCACACTCTACCACACCCAGCTAATTTTTGTATTTTTAGTGGAGACGGGGTTTCACCATATTGGCCAGACTGGTCTCGAACTCCTGACCTGAAGTGATCTGCCCACTTCAGCCTCCCAAAGTGCTGGAATTACAGGCATGAGCCACCACACCCGGGCCTGCATTTTCACTTTTGATAACAGTTGATAGAGAAGTTGAATGATTTCCATTCCCAGCAATAATGCTGGTTTTTCCATGCTTTTGCCAAGTTGTTTTGTGTTTGCTAATCTGATGAGTGAAATATGATGTCTCATTTTTAATTTCTCTTTATGAATAAAATTAAGTATTCTCATAGACTTAAAGGCCATTTGTAGTTTTTTGTTAGTGGGTGCTTATTTATGAATTTGGCCCATTTCTAGGGATATGTCATTTTCATTATTGGTTAGCAAGTCTTCATACATGTTACAAACATTTTTCCCGCTTATTTGCTTTACCTAGGTTTTCAGATCTTTTTGCTGTAGGATTTTTAAAATGACAAGATATTGAAAGAATAAGATCATTTCTTGCACATTTGAAGGCTTGTCCTGTATTGGGGTAATAATGACTGACAGCCCATTATATCTCAGCTGTTCCTTTTACAATGTGCCCGTCCTGTCCTTTTACTCTAAACCTACATGTTCCAGTTTCTGAGTTTTATGAATTTAACTTTGGTACTGCTTACCAAAGATCTGTGTTATAAATATTTATGTAATAATAACATATGCTGAAAACAAATAAAAATGCTTAAGGTAGAGCTTATAGAATATATATAATCATCATGAGTGTTGCCACAATGTAGAAGAAAGAACTCTGGCCAGAGATCTATATTCAAACAATGTCATATTATCCTTATAAGCAAAAAGAAGGGACTGGACTGAACTAGATAGAGCTTAAGGTCATTGGGCTTTACTGTTCTCTTTATTTCATCTATCATTTTTTATTTCACTTTTTTGTTTTTAATTGTGGTAAAATACACATAACATAAAATTTACCATCATAACAATTTTCAAGTGTGTTGTTCAGTAAAGTACGCTTACACTACCATGCAACCAATCTCCAGAACTCTTCATCTGGCAAAAATGAAACTCTATACCCATTGGTCAACAATTCCCCTTTTCCCTCTCACTTCAGCCTCTGGCAATCACCCTTCTACTTTGTCTCTATTAATTTGACTACTCCAGGTACCTCACATAAATGGAATTATACAGTATTTGTCTTTTTGTGACTGGTTTATTTCATTTAGCATAATGTCCTCAAGGCTGATACATGTTGGTGCATGTCTCAGAATTTTCTTCCTTTTTAAGGCTGAATAATATTCCATTTCATTTTTTTTTTTTTTTTTTTTGTAGAGCAGGGTCTTGCTGTTGCTCAGGCTGGTCCTGGCCTCAAGTGATTCTACCACCTTGGCCTCCCAAAGTGTTGGGATTACAGGCATGAGCCACTGTGCCTGGCTTCCATATATGCATGTATTCATTTTGTTTATCCATTTCTCTATGTATGGACATGTGGCTTGCTTCCATCTCTTGTCTATTGTACATGGCTGCTATGAGCATGGCTGTACAAATATTTCTTTGAGACTGTGCTTTCAATTCTTTCAGACCTATATACCCAGAAATCTATTAATCATTTTTTAAATATAACTAAAACAAGAAATTAAAATTAAACATCTTACCATAGCCTTCCTTTCCGTATGCAAATGAAGGGGGTATAACTACTTTTCGCTTTTCTCCAGGGCACATATCTGTCATAGCAATGTCTAGGCCTTTTATGACTTGCCCAACACCAAGAACAAACCATTTGGGGTGGCCTTCATTTTGTGTCCGGCTATAACAAAAAGCAATACTTAAGTAAACTGATTTCAAGAAATCAAACTTGAAAATACAGCTGGGCATTTAAAATTGGAGTCCTCTCTAACCATCATTCCCATATAATCACTCTTTCTAAAACCCTTAATGGGGTGTTTGACTCAAACTTCCCTATAATCACCAGAAAGAAGTATGATTTGCCCAAAGTTAATCATTAACAGCCATCTCATTTTTTAAAATTGTTATCTTTACAAAAACTATTCAACAGTTAACTTTTTAATGGGTCTCCAGCCCCTAACTAGGTGCATGGCTTGTACAAAGAACTCATTTAACTCCCTGGGTTTGTTGTAAAAAAATGATAGGGCAGTTTTAGCCTCAAAAAGTCATTTTAATAGTAATTTAAAATGGTATATTTTCTTATTAAATTCTAATGATATAATTTATTAAATTCTTATTAAATTATAAAATTGTATAAATTCTTATTAAATTTCTCTATTTTATTCTAAATGGATGGAACTGTTTTTCCCAGTCCTATCTTTACAGGGTAAAGAAAAGATTCTCCCTCTGAGTAATAAGCCATCAATTAAATCAGAGTAGGCACCAGGTGGAATGAGGGAGCAGGGCCCACCAGAAGTCACCAGGGAAGTAACTGTTTTTCTTGATAGAAAGTGGCCACAACCTATAAAAATCGTGCTTCTGAAGGCCAGAATTAAATCTCTTTATTCCATGTATTCCTCCGTAAAGACTCAATACTTCTGGCAAGGGAAAAATGTGAACATCCTTATAGGCAGAACCTTGATTTAATTCTGGAGGTCCCAAGGGTAATGGTGGTGGTTGATGTGTGTGTGGATGTATCGTATTTTTGATAATTTATTGCCACAACATTTTCAATACTTTAAATAAAAATATTCAGTTTATTAGAGAAACACTGCCATATAATGTGATTTTTTTTAATGAATAAAGGGCTCAACTTTTACCGTTAAAAAATAAAACCCCAACCAACCAACCAATGAGGCTTCCGCTTGGTGGAGGCAGGCAAGATTTTGTGCAACTGGACGCACGGGCAGCTCGCAGCATTTCCTACCTGCAGTAGAATTTCGAGCCGTCTTTAGCCAGGTAGCCGTCATAATGGGCATTTAGTAGGTCTCCCTTCTTGCTTGTCTTAGAGCAGTTTTCTGGACGATGCAAAACTTCTATTTTCACTTCTTCGGTGCTCTCCTCTTTCTTTTGTCTCTGAGCAGTAAAAAGGCCCCACAGATAAAAGAAAACAATGAATCTGAATAAGAAATGCATGGTTTTTGGCATCGGCTCCAGCAGAACACTGCTCTCCCTCCCGCGTGTCACTCGCGCCCCGTGGATGTCCCGCGGCCGAGTTCCGACGCGTGGCAGGCGTTGTCCTGCGTCACAAAGGGCCGGGGCGGGGCCATAGATGCGGCCCCGCCCTCTCATGGCCCCAACCCCTCCGCCTCCCGCAGCGGGCTCAGCGCGGTTAACGCTGTTTCTAGGCCCTCGGGCTGGCTGTCCTCAGTCTTTAAGATCGCAACGCACACTCGCTCCGCTTCTTCTCGCTAAACCCGCGTATTTTACAGCAGGTTTCCTCAGGGTTCGGTGACAACATTCGCATTTTCTAAAATGAAACTGGCATAAGACGAAATAAACAGCCTGGGATGTCGTAGAGTCAGGGAATATGGTTGTCATTTCTGGAAGCAAAAGGCTTCTAAGACCCCTAGGGAACGAGCAGATAGATACTGGGGGGAGGGAGAGGCATGCTGGAAAAGGAGCGTAAAAAATAGGCTGGCGGTGGCTTTCTGGGTGCTTCGGAGGTGTCCTTGAAGCGCATTCTCAGGTCGGAATCTTGCATTCAGAGGTTCCAGGCTGAGTCGCACAACCTGAAGGCCAGCCCGATGCAACGAAACTGCGGTACCGCAACTCCTCTGCCTGGCTGCAGGCGTTTCCGAGAGCCGACCTCCACAATTCAGCATCCTCCGCTGGCTTGCATTTCTTTTCCCCGCCACTCGGGGCCGCCCTTGATTCGAGGGCCTCTGGTAGTGCGGGGAATGTTCTTTTGACTTTTTTGTACCATCCCATGGGATACGTAATTGTCCACATCAGTCAAGAAAACTTGAGTATTGGGCATGTTGTCCCAATCTCACAGCTAATACGCAGCAGGGATTTGGTCAAATCTGTGTGACAACACCACTTCACCACCAATTTTAGTATGAAAACCTTTAAAATACACAGAAAGTTGAATTCTACAGTAAACTCTCCTACACCCACCATCTGGATCCTGTCATTGAACTATATTATATTTATTACATATCCATCCATCACTCTATCCATCCATCAATTCGCCTTGTTTCCAAGTGAATACCCAAAGACTACCCAAACCAGAAAACCAGCAAAGGCCTTCTGCATTCGCCTGGATTAAGTTCTGGGAGTAGAGGTGCTATTCTACCTCGGTGATGCGAAGAAAAGCCGCAGCACTGAGCCTGATTGATGTGCTTTGCTTAAAGTTTGCAAAATTCCATAAACCTGAAAATTACTGTCGATTATGCAAGATGACAATTGCGTCCAAGCAGGAGTTTCAAAAATCATAAAAGCTAGGGGGAAGTCCCCATTTCTAGACTAAAATTCCGAAGTCGAGTTCCATGTTTTATATTCTAAATAAAATTGTGGCTATCCAAGGTTATCGGCGTGATGACAGTTCCTTGGGGGCCCTCGCCATTCCTTGTCAGAGGACCCCGTCTGCTGCACATTGCCTTCCTAGGAGATAATTTCAGACCCCTTGAATATGAGGAAAATACGAAGCAAACAGAAATAGGAAGGCTTTTATGTATTTTTGAAGAAAAAACAGGATTTTATGTAAAATAAAAACAGGATTTCATGAAGAAACAGGATATTATGTATTTCTGAAGAAAACCCAGGAAAACCCGAGAGAACTAAGTGCCCGCGGGATGAGTGTGCGGGCAGCTCCTCCTTAGGTAGGCACCGGGGCTGCGCGCGCAGCGGAGCTCGAAGGTCTTGTCCCCCGGGGGCGGTCAGCCTGGGCCTTGGCGGCCAAGGGGAAACTTGGGAGCCTCGGGACTGTTGGCCACCGGCCCGTGGGAGGAGTAAAGGCGGCCCTGGCTGGCAGGCCGAGGGTGTGACGCGCCGGCCCGCCCTCCTCGCGCAGCCTCCGGCTAGGCGGCGAGGCCGCAGGCCGCGCCCGCTCCTTCAGCCCCGCCGCCGGGGAGGGGTTTCCCGGGACGATCCGGCCCCTTTCATCCAGGAAGTGAAATCGACGTCGGGGTCAATGAAAACAAACGGGGAGCCCAGGGGGAAGGAAGGCAGGCGAGGAAGAGGCAGCGCCGGGGCGCCGGAGGGAGCAGCCGGGCTGCGGAAGCGCGAGCAGGAGGCCGGTCGCGGGCGCATTTTTGCCGTTGTCGCGGCCGCCGCCGCCGAGGCTTACCCGGGAATGTCTGGGCCCGCGCCTCGCGGCCCCCAAGCTCCACGCTGCGCCCGCTGTCCCGGCCTCTAAAGGCCGCCACGTCCCTGCGGCGCGCGCAGGCAGAAAGCGGCTTCGTGCCGGCGGAGGGGGCCCGGGCGGGCCGGGAGGGGCTGCCCCAGGCCCTGCGCCTACCCCATCACCGCGGCCGGCGCCGGGCCGGGAGGATGCGCGGTGTGGGGCTCTGAAGCATGGAGGGGGTGTTGTACAAGTGGACCAACTATCTCACAGGTATGGGGGCTCGTGTGATGAGGGAAGAGGGGAGAGGCGGGGGGCTGCTGAGAAGGCGGGTCGGGGCTCCTCTTCCTCCGTCTGGCCTCCGCGGACCCTCAGAGCGAATTCGCTCTACTCGATTCCAGGGCTTGTTGAGTCCTTCTGGCCTCTTCAGGGGAGGGTTTGAGGCTGCGCACCTTCTAGAGGGTGGGAAGTGCACCTGCCACTTCTTTGCTAGTGTAATAATACTAATCCTTGCCTCCTGTAGCCTCAGGAACAATTCTCAGTCACCCTACATGTGTTGTTGCGATCTCCGTCCTTATTCACACTTAGTATTCATACTTTAAGAGCATTTTGTTAATAACTGAGTTGTCGGAGTATTGGACTGGAATGGACCCTTTAATTGTTTCAACTACAAGATTTAATTTTAATTCTTTTTTGTATTTCTTTTAATTTCCTTAACATTTTATTTAAAACGTTGTCTTGTTGAGGTTGTTCAAGCTTAGCGAGCATGATTTTGGAAGCTGTCCCCAGATAATATTCTCTTAGGGATTGTCATTGAAGTATCCTTACGTTGGGGAATTCTGTTAACTGAGAAATAGTGGAAGAAAGTGTCAATACACAGAAGGGGAACAGGCAAGTCACTTTCACCTGTGAAGTGGGTTGGAAGGAAAAACTTTGAAGAAATGAGAGACCAGCAGGAAAGGGCCCCTTACCATGACATTGGCAGCCTGTAGGCTTATTTAAAAGCTCCTTAAATTTGAGTTGTAGTCCAATCTCTGCCATCAACCAACAATGAAGGCAAGTCAGTTATTCTTTCAGGACCTCAGTCTGATAAGGCCAGGGTGATTAGTTATTTTGCCCCGGGATGCCTTCCAACTCCAGAATTCCATGACCTCACTAAGTGAGAAGATGGTTTTAACATAAATTTGAACAGTAAACAGATTTTTTGGGGGGGGGGGGTCTAGCATAATAGGCAAATCATGACTTGCTGCCCACTTCTTCGCTCTGCCAAAAGTATCACATCCCTCAGTAATTGTGTGGTACTCTCGACTTGTGTCCACCTGATCTTGTGCAAAATGTGCAGGTAAACTTTTTAAGGCATAAGCACTGAGCTACAGTTATACCTGCTTTTTGATTTATTAGAATGCTAAAGCCAGATTTGTAGCAGCAAATGCTTTTAACATTTATGATACACAGATGTTTTATTTTGTTCAAACTAAAAACTCAATTTATTTCTATAAGTGACATGTTTTAACGGGAAACATTTAAAAGTTAGATAAATATTTTTTATTGGGCATTTTCATTTTGGCCATTGTGAGAGCAGTTATACTGTTTGGTTGAGGTATAGTGTTAACTGTTAAAGACAGTAGAGTGCTTCATGCTTGTAATCCCAGCACTTTGGGAGGCGGAGGTGGGAGGATTGCTTGCTCAAGACCAACCTGGGCCACATAGGGAGACGTGGTCTCTACTAAAAAAACAAAAACAAAAACAAAAAACAGCTAGGTGTGGTAGTGCACACCTGTAGTCCCAGTTACTGAGGAGGCGGAGGCGAAAGGATTGCTTTAGCTAGAGAAATGGAGGCTGCAGTGAGCTAGGATCAGTGAGCTATGATTGTACCCACACACTTCAGCCTGGCTAACAGAGCGAGATCCTGTCTCAAAAAAAAAAAAAAAAAAAGACATTAGCTTGTATGCTTTGAGATGCAAATGCTCATCTCATTGCAAGTGTTCCTAAGCATGGTGTTGTGGAACCATTGGGCCATTACTGAGATGAGTCATAATTTAAGAGTTGAGATGAAACCTGGGCTTGGTGGCGATTTCCTTATCTCCTATGGTACTAAATAACCAGGGGTTGAGCTTTTAATCACATGTGATTTAGATTTTAGTCTTTGCAGGGCATTTAGTCAACTTCTAGTATGCATTGTAGAAGCTGGTTGAAAAGAAATCTTTTGTTTGGAAGAATTTATTTTTAAAAGTTAAATTTGGGTAGATGGTGTGCTGATTATTAATTTTAGTTCATCTTAGGTCATAAGAATGAGCAGCTGTTCATACTAAGTGATCTTTAAGTGTAATGATAGTGTTGTTCAGGCACGGTGGCTCATGCCTGTAATCTCAGCACATTGGGAGGCTGAGATAGGCAGATAGCTTGAGGTCAGGAGTTTGAGACCAACCTGGCCAACATGGTGAAACCCTGTCCCTACAAAAATTACAAAAAATTAGCCAGGCATGATGGCATGCACCTGTAGTCCTAGCTACTTGGGAGGTTGAGGCATGAGAATTATTTGAGCCTGGGAGGCAGAGGTTACAGTGAGCCCACATTGTACCACTGCACTCAAACCTTGGCGACAGAGCGAGACTCTATCTCAAAAAAAAAAAGTGTTATTTGAGAATCCTTTGTAGAGAGTAAGAATTTCAGTAACATTTTGTAGTTTGAGATAAAAAGAATTAAAAAAAAAAAAGAATTTTAAAAAGGGAATACCTGTGAATCTTTTTCACAGATATTACCCTCTGTTATATAAGTGTGTGAACCAATTAGAAATTGTTTTATTAAATATTTCTTCAAAAAGTGTGTAGAGATAATTAACAGGCTTGATTATATTAATGTGTTCAACCACTCACCTTTCACGTTGCTGCAAATTCTAAATGAATCATTTTGCCCAATATTTGTTTTAAAGAGATATTGAATTGCAGTACTGCAGGCTTGCAAAATCATAATTTGTCCTATAGGCACACTAGACCTGGGTGGAGGAATGTATTTTCACCACCCCCTGCTTATAATTTGTTTGGCAAGGTAAATTAGTGTTTGGAAAGATAATGTTTTTATCATTTCCATGCATGATCAATACAATATACTCTCAAAGATATATTGTATGTCTATACTCTCATGGTTAATAGGAAATATCTGCAGGGTGTGATGGCCCACATCTGTAATCCTAGCACTTTGGGAGGCCAAGATGGCAGGATTACTTGAGTCCAGGAATTTGAGACCAGCCTGGGCAACATGATGAGACTTCGTCTCTATAAAAAATTAAAAAATTAGCCAGGCATGGTGGCACTTCTGTAGTCCTAACTACTTGGGAGGCTGAGGTGGGAGCACCTTTTGAGCCTAGGAGGTTGAGGCTGTGGTGAGCCATGTTCATGCCACTGCACTTCAGCCTGGGCAGCAGAGTGAGATCCTGTCTCAAAAAACCAAACAAAACAACAGCAACAATCCCTGAAATATCTCACTTTTGGGGTATTCATTCATTCATTTATTTATTCAGTCACTTGAGAAATAGATTTTTTTGGTACCTCTTATGTGCCAGGCACCATTCTAGTTGCTGGGAATGCAGTGATGAACAAGATAAAGTCCATGTACCAAAATAACTTACCTTCTAATTTGTTTAGGTCTCACTAGGGAATACTCTGTTGTTTCATAAAAAGGAATCTTCCAGGAACCTGAAAGTTGCTGGTTTTTAGTTGCTTTAGATATCTCTCTTTCTGAACTGTATTACTGCATTCCCTGCCTTCCTAAACAGGGTTACAAAGTAAAATTTAATCTTTTTGATGACTCAGTGTTGTCATTTCAAAAGTGTTACAGATAAATCCTTTTGGGGAATTAAGTCCTGGATCTGTATTAAAGTGTAAGGATGACTGACCCATCTCCCCTCTCGGCACTATCTGACCCTGGAAAGATCAAATTGATCATGTGGCAGGCTATGGCAAAAGTGACCGGGATACGAACATCCATGGTTTAAAATGTACATTTTAGCCATGAATATTTGTGCTGAATTGTTATTTAATAGTCATGGAAAGAACAAGGACAGTCACACTGCTCCCAGCATGGTCACCATGTTAATAGTCAGTGAACTGTTGTAAATTAGTAGCATGCTTGATAAGACTCCGGGGAACACCAAGTTTGGCTTCAAAGAGGAGTGGGAATTGGGTGCCAAGGAAAGTCATCATCCTTGTCGTCAGCTTTGGCATGGAGCCAAGTCTGTGATAGATGTGAGCTCTAGTCACTGAATAAATATCAATCGAACAATTGCAGTTTCTAGGATTTCAACCCTAGCTGTGCAACTGCAGACAAGGGAAGAGGGGGTCATATGGGGAATCTGTGTTCTCACCATAGGGTATGTAGCTTCTATTTAAGAGACTGGAATTCATTTAGCACTCATTGTGTTTAAGGGAGTTTGCTTAGAAATATGTATTTTATAAGAGGCACATTGCAGAATTAGAGGGCTAGGTGGCACCTGAGAGGTCATCTTGTTCAACCTACACATTTTAGGGACTGGGAATTTTAGAGATTTATTGAAATGAAAAGATTTGTCCCCAGGGTATGATTATCCATTAAAGAATGATACTATAGGTAAGGCTAGAACCCTTGTCTTCTGTGGCTTTTCCCATAATATCGTAACCCCAACTCTGTTCCTTTTTAGGAAAAGAGGGCAGTTATGCTATACCCGGTTTAGGGCTATTACTGAGGATGGGCCTTATGGGTTGTTAATGAGAACACTGTGAGCTAGAATTAGAAGTATTACTCCCCGTGTTTTTGCTGCTCTGGAGCTTGCTCCAGAAACCTCTCCCAATAAAGTGGAGACTGATGCAAAAACATTTTTGGTAAGGCTTGGTGATTGAAAATTTCATTATCGGAATGTTATTTGAGAGCCAAGAAATAATGTGGATGGCAGGTTTTGAAATCACAGTTTTCTATGTGGTGAAAGTAATGTGTTTCCAATTGACCTTTTGTTATTTATGGTCTTTTTAGGCTGGCAGCCTCGTTGGTTTGTTTTAGATAATGGAATCTTATCCTACTATGATTCACAAGATGATGTTTGCAAAGGGAGCAAAGGAAGCATAAAGATGGCAGTTTGTGAAATTAAAGGTAAGTGAATATACAGAATTAGAGGAATTGGAGGTTAGATAGTCAAGGGTTCTTCAGCATACTCCAGACGAGGAAAAAAAGCATTTCTAACCACGTAGGGATCATCTAATACCATTTATATCCTTAGCAGTCAGGAGTGGCATTTCATCACAGTTAACACAATTAAACACAGTTTTTGATAATTCTCCCTCTACAAATGTATTTTTGAATGGAAATAACTTTTGCTAGTCTTCCAATTTGGATTTGACAAACAATTTCTTGTGGATACTACTTTAGTGTCCACCTTCAGTCTATAAGCATTCTATTTCATTATTGTTGTAATTAATAGAAAGATATTGTAAAAGTTGGAGGCTGAACTCTAAAGATGATGGGGCCAGCTCTGTAGGGTTTTGATAAGGTATGAAGTTGGAGTCATAAACTCTGGTTCTTTGCTGAATTTGGAGGTAAGTTCCTCTGGGTGATAGAGATGGTTTCCTTTTCTTCCAAAAGGGGAGAAATAAAGCAATAGGTCCTGCTGTAATTTTCGTGAAGGAAGATTTTATGGACCATTGATTCATTTGTGTGTGTGGTTGGAGTGTGTGGGGTGGAGGCGAAATCAGATAAAATGGCAGTGAAAAGGACTGAATTCTTCAAAGAGAGTGAAGGAAAAACTAGAGCACCAGGGGAGTGACTGTTAAACTCCTTCCTGGTCGTTTTCATTTCTCCACTCTAGCTTGAATACTTGTCCTTCATGAAGTGTGTTTCCTTTGACGTGGTGAGCTCTGGGTCATAGCTATCAAACAGTCTTCCTGAAAGGTAGCGATTAATCTGACTTTAATTGCCATACATAAGTGTTGTCTTTTAATGTTTTATAAATGGAATAATTCAGTATTTTCTTTTGTGTCTGGCTTCTTTTACTCAACATCATGTTTGTAAAATTTATCTATATTGTTCTGTGTAACAGTAGTTCAGTCATTCTCATTGTACAGTATTCCATTGTGTGAATATCTCACAATTTTGGTATCCATTCTAGTACTGAAGGATTTTTGGGTTATTTCCGTTTTGGGACTACAGTGACTAAAGCTGCCATAAACATTCTTACACATTTATTGAACATATGTGTGCATTTCTGTTTAGTGTATCTCTAGAAGTGGAGTGGAATGCTAAGGCACTGAATATTCATACTTTCAGCTTTAATAGATGTTAAAGAAAAAAGTATTCTTGACACGTTGAAATGGTATGGCAAACTTTATTTAGGACTATTGTGATAGATTTAGGGACTATTGCATTGGAGGAGAGAAATTGGGCTCAACTCCAAGTACAAGGAAAAGTGGGAATTTATAGCCAAGGAGCAGGGTTAGGGGGAGACAGTGTCAGTGGAGGGAAAGTTACTAAAAGGTAAGTGGGGGGATTCTGGCTAAACTGACCTAACAGGATTCTTGCTGAAGGCAGGCTGAGGCCAGGGTGATCAGACATTGCTGGGAAATGGTAGGGAATGAAGAATGTGGTCAGATATCAAGGGCGGGTGATGAAATATGGTGTTAGGGGATTCTGGCTAAACTGACTTAGTAGGATTCTTGCTAAAACTGGATTCTACAAGGATGGAGAAGGAAGCCTAGGTGAGTACAGGATTCAAATGAGCCTGACTAAAATTTGGTCAAGAAGAGAATCTTTTTCTTTTTTTCTTTTTTTTCTTTTCTTTTCTTTTTTTGTTTTTTTTGAGACAGGTTCTCACTCTGTTGCTCAGGCTGGAATGCAGTGGTGTGATCATGGCTCACTGCAGCCTCCACCTCCTGGGTTCAGGTGATCCTCCTACCTCAGCCTCCTGAGTAGCTGGGACCAGAGGCACATGTCACTATGCCCAGCTAATTTTTATGTTTTTTGTAGAGATGGGATTTCACCGTGTTGCAAAAACCAGGCTGGTCTTGAACTCCTGAGCTTAAGCAATCTGCCCGCTTTGGCCTCCCAAAGTGTTGGAATTACTGGTGTTAGCCACTGTGCCTGGCCAATAATCTTTTTCACAGATAATGCCAGATGTTTTCCAAAGTGATTATATAAATTTTTTCTGCAATCGATCAGAGTATTAGGGTTCCAGTTGTTCTGCATCTTTGCCAAAACTTGGTATTATCCATTTAAAAAATTCGGAATATTTCTGGTGTTTGTAGTGGTATCTCATGGTGGTTTTTTACTTGCATTTCTTCAATAACTAATGATGTTGAATACTTTTTTAGATGTTAGCCATTTGAATGTCCTCTTGTCGGGAGTGTTAGCTCATGTCTGTAATCCCAGCAGTTTGGGAGGCCAAGGCAGGCAGATCGCTTGTGCTCAGGAGTTCGAGACCAGCCTGGGCAACAAAATGAGACTCCTGTCTCCACAAAAAGGAAAAAAAAAAAGGGTTGAATGTTGTCTTCTTTTGAAGTCCTCTTTCAAGTCTTTGGCCCATTTTCTAACTTTGGCTATCTTTCATGTTGATATGTAGGAGTTCTTTGTATAGTCTGGTTGAGTCTTTGTGTTGCAGATGTTTTCTTCCACTGTGTAGTTTATGTTTTCATTTTGTTCATGATACCTTTTGAGGAACAGAAGTTCTTCATTTCAGTGAAATCCAATTTGTTAATTTCTTTTATTGGATCCTTTTATGACCCACTGAAGACATCTTCTGTGTTACTTTCTTGAATGTTTATTGTTTTACCTTTTATATTTAGGTCTATAGTAGGTCTGTACTTGACTTAATAGCAACCTTTCCCCCATGGGGATACCTTTGTCACAAAGCAAGTGACCATGTATATGTGAGTCTTTTTCTAGACTGTCTATTCTGTTCTGTGGCCCTGTTTTTGTTGTTGTTGTTGTTGTTGTTAATCCTTGTGCAGATATTACATTGTGTTAATTTCTTTAGCTTTATTCTCTTTGTATCTGATAGCCAAAGTCTCCTAACTTTAGTTCTTTTTCAGTACTGTCTTGGCTATTGTAAGCCCTTTGCATTTCCTTACAGATTTTAGAACTTGCTTATAAATTTCCACAGCTATCTGCTGGAATGTTTGGAATTGTGTTGAATCTACAGATCAATTTGAGGAGAATTATATTCTTGATGATATTGAGTCTTCTGTTCCATTAACTCTGTTTAATTAGATATTTAATTTCTCTCAGTAATGTTTTGTAGTTTTGTGTTTAGAGGTCTTGTCCATCTTTTCTGATGTTTTGGAAGCATCATTTTTAAGTTTGTTGCCTTTTCAGGTGACAACTTTGGAGGGGACCACCCTTGATTGGATGCATAAATTCTGGTATGTTTAAAAATGAGTCATCTTATTTTAGTTTCATCTTGTAGCAACATCATTAGAAATTAGAGCATTGCTTTCTTTTAAAGTAGGTATTGGTGCTTTCACTAGTATTGGCAAGTAGCAAGGAAGAGTTACTCTTATAGCTTTAGGAGTTCAGTAGTTTTACCCTAGCCTAGAAATCTTTTGCATTCATAATTGATTGTTGCATGGTTGTATGTTTCAGTGTCTGCAACTAAGAATGACCCATATAAGTAGAATAATAAGATAGCAACATTTCTGTGGCACTTACTTGCCATAATACACTAAACATCTGGTCAATATTTATAGCAATTAATTATTTAAGTTGGGGCTTCTGCCAGATTTTGCTGGGACCCTCATAATTTGGCTCCTCCCAGCTTGTCCATTCATGAATATGAATTTGTTTTCTTTTCTTTTCCTTCTTTTTTTTTTTTTTTTTTTTTTTTGAGACAGGGTCTTGCTCTGTTGCCCAGTCTGGAGTGCAGTGGTATGATTGTAGCTCACTGCAGCCTGTACTGGGCTCCAGCGATCCTCTTGCCTCAGCCTTCCGCCTCCCAAGTTGCTGGGTCTACAGGTGCTGGGAGTACATGCTTGCACCACTATACTGGCTAAACGAGTATGAATATTACTTTGCATTACAATGGAAGCCTCTATTTATGCTTGTTTCCTAATATTCTCAGTACATTCTGTGTTTATTTTCTCATTTAAGCTTCTTCTCATTCATTTTCTTAACCAAATCCCGCTTTCATCAAACCCTTCTTCTTGAAGCCTTTTTAAATTACTTTCTCTCATAATTACACAAGAAATCTCTGCACCAAAGAGTTAAACATATGTGTATTCTGATTGTTTTTGGTGTGTCAGTTTGTTTCTTGGTTAAATTGTCAACTGTATAGAAGCAAAGACACCTTTTTTCTTCCCCTCTATCTTCTCTTCTACTAGCACTGCTCTGAGCTGAGTAAATATTTGTTGATGAATGACAGCTTAACACAAATTTTGTTTTACAACAAAGACTTGGGATTGGCTCATCATAATTCCTGATTAGCTCTCTTTTCTCAGAGCATCAAAGGAGGTGTGTGTGTGCAGGAGAAGAGGTAGAAAGAGGGGAAGAGATGAATGTCTTCAAAATATACATGCCTTCCATGTGTTATGCTATGATCCATAATTAAGGGCATATCATAGAGTTACTTTTCTGACAGAAGGTGGCTGTAGTTGTCATTTATTACATTCCTTCTATGTGTCAGGCACTATATATGAAAACAAAGACTTTGTTTTCAAGGAAATCAGTAAAAAATATGTGATAGTGTAACATTCATTGCAGTTGTATTTAATAGGATAAGTGGCCCCAAGGTGGGGGAGGGCTGTCACTTCTCAGTAGTTAGTATGTCCCTGTTTTCTTTTTCATACTCTGTCATCGCTTTGGCACCATTGTTACCCCGGGTCTATATGAGAATGTTGATTTGGGGAGTGCCACTGGGTGGCCCCTCAGGGAGCAGCACTGCCTGCATCATGAATGATAGTTCAATGTTTTTGGTATATGAAGCATCTGATACTGTGTGATTAGATGATTATTTGATTACCCTTAAATTACTTAAGTCTATAACTGTATTTCCCCTTTGTTTATCATCATAGTTCATTCAGCAGACAACACAAGAATGGAATTAATCATTCCTGGAGAGCAGCATTTCTACATGAAGGCAGTGAATGCAGCTGAAAGACAGAGGTGGCTGGTCGCTCTGGGGAGCTCCAAAGCATGTTTGACTGATACAAGGACTAAAAAAGAAAAAGGTAACTATAAACTTTTCCCTTGTGGTGAGAGTACTTTCTTAAATATAAATATAAATGTAACTAAATTAGCCTGTCCACTTTTAGTATCTATCCCAAGGAAATAATTAGAAATGTAGATTTACGTATATCTTTATCATAGTAAACATTTTGTAAAAGCTATAAATTTAGGGGAATGGCTCAATAAACTCTTTCTTTCTTTTTTTTTTTTTTTTTTGAGATGGAGTCTCACTCTGTTGCCCAGGCTGGAGTGCAATGGCGCGATCTCGGCTTACTGCAACCTCTGCCTCCTGGGTTCAAGCGATTCTCCAGCCTCAGCTTCCCGAGTAGCTGGGATTACAGGTGCCTGCTACCATGCCTGGCTAATTTTTGTATTTTTAGTAGAGACGGGGTTTCACCATGCTGGCCAAGCTGGTCTCGAATTCCCGACCTCAGGTAATCCGCTCGCCTCGGCCTCCCAAAGTGCTGGGATTACAGGCATGAGCCACTGCGCCCAGCCTAAACTCGTGCTTTCACTGGCTGATATATAGACAGTAAGATGTTGAAAAGGAATTTCAATGTGAGAAAATGCCCAGGGTTAAATGATCATTGAAAAAAGCAGGATTCAGAATTATGTGTATTGTTAGTATTCATTGGCTGGCTTAGGAAAGGTATGTAAGAATTGGTCAGATTGTTACCTTTGGAAGTGGAATTTGTGGGAAGGAGACTCAGTTGTCACTGTATATACCCTTTGGTATCTTTTGACTTTACCATGTACGCATATTGCCAATTCAAAAAGATTTTTAGAAACTGAAAGCAAAGCAAATGATTTATGTTATTAGTTCAACTATATACAGATATAATGTGAAAATGACAATTTCTTGATAGTGAGATTATAGTTTGTCTTAGTTCATTTTCTGTTGCTTTGACACAATACTTGAGACTGTAATTTATAAAGAAAAGAGGTATGACTCATGGCCCTAGAGGCTGGAAGTTCAAGATTGGGCAGCTGTATCTAGTTGGCTTCTGGTGAGGGCCTCATGCTGCATCATAGCATGGCGGAGGAAGCAAGGGAAAGCGGGTGTGTGCGGAAAGAGATCAAACCCAAGAGGCAGCCTCGATTTATAACAACCCGCTCTCATAGTAACTAATCTAGTCCCAAGAGGTTGAGAACTCACTCACTCCTTTGACGACCTAATCACTTGTTAAAAGTACTACTTTCCTAACACTGCCACACTGGGGACCCAGACTCAACATGAGTTTTGCTGGAAACAAACGATATTCAAACCATAGTACAGTTATTTGATTTTTCTTTTCTATATTTTTTCTATTTTTCAAAATTTTTTATTAAGTATGTATTACTTATATAATTAAATGCAAATTAATTACATTAGTGAAAGCAAGTAAATTATAGGTATTGAGAAATGAAGGCTGAGGATTGAATTTATAACAATTTTGAAATATATGAAAACATTACAGAATATAGCTACAGGTAGGATAAGAAGGAATGAATATTCACAATAGCTAAAAGATGGAAATAACCCAAATGTTCATTGGTAGAGGAATGGATAAACAAAATATACAATAGAATATTACTCAGCTTTAAAAAGCAAATTGTGACACATGCTACACTGTGGATGAACCTTATAGACATTACAATAAGTAAAAAAAGCTAATCATGTGGGGTGGGGGGAGGGGGGAGGGATAGCATTGGTAGATATACCTAATGCTAGATGACAAGTTAGTAGGTGCAGCGCACCAGCATGGCACATGTATACATATGTAACTAACCTGCACATTGTGCACATGTACCCTAAAACTTAAAGTATAATAATGATTAAAAAAAAAAAAAAGCTAATCACAGAAGGACATATAGTCTATGATTCCACTTATATGAAATACCCAGGGCAGTCATACTTATACAGACAGAAAATAGAATGTTGGTTTCCAGGGCCCAGGGGGAGGTGGAAACAGGGTTAGTGTTTAGTGGGTACAGACCTTCAGCTGGGGAAGATGAAGACGTTCTGGAGATGGATGGTGGTGATGATTTTACAAATACGAATGTACTTAATGGCACATTTTGAAGTGAATACTTAAAAGTGGTTAAAATAGTAAATTTTATGTTTATGTATACTTTACCACAGTTTTTTTTAAAAAGGAGAAAGAATAGGCTTAAATATGAGCAGGAATTGATTTAGGTTAGATTAAATGCGCAGATAGAGCTGCTTTGTCCATTCTGGCAAAAGTGGCTTTGTGGCTAGGACCAGAGAGCAAGACCACTGGGGCCTGGCCCAGGGAGTGTGGAGAAGCACCAGAAATTTACTCTATGAATTTTCCTCCTCTGTAGCTTATACTTCTAGTTTAAAAGGTATTGGCTTGTGAGTGGCTGAGATTATGGCTGGATGTTTAGTTTGTCTGGACATACTAAGGAAGAAAGTATGCTCTTAATAAAAAATTTTGAAAATAGTATAATGTGAGAATGAAACTGAAAGAAACAGAAGAAAATAAATGAATGTTTATAAACAATAGTTTTAATTACATAAAAATTTAAAACTTCTGTAAGCCAAAATAAAGAAAACTGAAAGGAAGCTAACAGATCTGGATAAGGTATTTGCAGTATATAAGATAGAGGAAAGATTACTATCTTTAATTTGTAAGAACTTTTACAAACTATCAGTTTATATTGTTAAGAGAAAAACCAACATCAGAACTGGAAAAAATGTATAAAGGACAAAATAAAAAAGCAATTCACAAAAGAAAACCAAGCACTTTTTAAATGGAAGATGAGTAATGGAATGGAAATATCCTGTATAAAACATCCAGTGGTCATCATCCTATCTCTGGAAATCACCTAAACATGGCAGGCATATAACTGTCAGCTTTTTCCCAATTATCTGAAGAGAAGATGTTTCCTTAGGGCTCTTGTATCCTGTTTCCAAGGTCTCACATTTCTTGAGCTATAGGTATTTATATTCATTGCTTTTTTAAATGATTACATTTTGTTACATTGCTCAAAGAATATGAAAATGATCTAACTGTATATTTATGTATATTCTTTTCAGAAATAAGTGAAACCAGTGAATCGCTGAAAACCAAAATGTCTGAACTTCGCCTCTACTGTGACCTCTTAATGCAGCAAGTTCATACAATACAGGAATTTGTTCACCATGATGAGAATCATTCATCTCCTAGTGCAGAGGTAGAGCGAAGAGGATCTCTTCACGTGTGGTTATGCTTTGGAGTACTCTGGGGGGATCCTCAGTCATTCCATAAGATGACAGGCATTTTCACATTGAGTTATTTTCAGCTTTTCTGGGTTCTGCCTACTGTATACTATCTGGAAATCTGTAGCATCTTCTCGATTGTGTCTGTGTGGCCAGAGAAGAACATGAAGTAGCATATTTCTCCAGGGGTCAAGGCTTGTCTTTGCAGCCAGTCTGATAATTTGGAGGTTGGAGTGGGGAAGAAGCATTCCAGGCTTTGTTCTCCAGGCTAGCGGCATAAATTCACTGGACAGCTGCTATTCTCTTTTTTTGGTAATAAGGTCCCTGCTTCAACTATGAGAGTTGATAACTTATCTTTATGAAATAACTTAAAACAAATCCTTCTCAGAACAGTGACTTAGGAATCAAAACTCAGATTAGTAGGATCGGGCTATAATAGGCTCATTCTTCATGGTAAAATAGGACCAGTGAGCTATACCACTCTCTGGGTGAAAGGCCAGCATGTTGCCTGTCCCTTTTTGCCTAACTTGGTAGAAGTGGGGCAAGAAATCTTCCTATTTCTTCTGTGGCCTTCTCCTGTTGGGGAGGAATCTTGTGTAAGAAGCCCAAGGACAAACTGACCACAAGCTCCCTGGAGGTAGTTGACCTCACACTTGCTACAGCAGCTCAGTGACAGTATTAGGGACCCAGGCTTGTTCCATCCTTCCACTCTGCCATTCTTGGTGTGTTGAGTTTTTCTCCTAATGCCCCAGGTGTCAAGATGACTGTCAAGCTCACAAAGAGGCAGGAGGCAGTGGGGTTGCCAGGGTAGAGAGAGTCCTTCTCAACTTGCTGTGCTTGGTTTTGAATCGGGAAACAAAAATCCCAGAAATTCCCTAGCCAACTTCTCATCTTTTTTTTTTTTTTTTTTTTCCGGCTCAAAGGAAACTAGGAAAAAATGAGCATTTAGTAAAGAGTGTTGGAATAGCCATGACTAGGTTAGATCAGTCTCTATTCATCCCCCAGGATCAGGGCACTTTGCGATCCTGAACAAAATTGGGCTTTTTACTCTATCAAGGAAGAAGTGGGAGAATGGATAGAGGGTAGGCATGAATTGTACTGCCACTAATTAACTCTAAGGGTATTCCATGTCTGTGTCCACTTTTGGGAAAGTGAAAATTACTGTTTAGGTTAGATTTCTCTAAGATAAACTTTTGTACACAGTTTTTCAATATGATAATTAAATGCAAAGCTTATTTTTTCTTAGAATCTAGTTTCATACATTGTTTAGGAGACAGGCATTTCTTATACATAGATGTTTTAATGTTTTCTTTTTTCTTTTTTTGCCCCAGCTTAATTTTCTAAGGTACTGTATTTTAAATAAATTTGAACATAACATAGTAATGTGTCTGTTGGAGATGTCTTATTATTTAATGATAAGGTTGTATATGATTCCATGTAGTTGTATGCAAATCTGTTCAAGTCTTTGTGTAATTTTTCAGAACATGAATGAAGCCTCTTCTCTGCTTAGTGCCACGTGTAACACATTCATCACAACGCTTGAGGAATGTGTGAAGATAGCCAATGCCAAGTTTAAACCTGAGATGTTTCAACTGCACCATCCGGATCCCTTAGTTTCTCCTGTGTCACCTTCTCCTGTTCAAATGGTTTGAACTTCTTGTTTTGGTTTTTTCCCTCAGTAGTAATGTTGCATGTGGTTTTCGTTTCATTTTGGTATTTATTTTTAAGGGTGGAAGCAGGCAGTTGGGGGGCGGGGAACAGCTAACAAGTTGAATTTTTTTGTTTGTACTGTTTCATATTCGAGCTTCTTAGCTGATGAGCTGAGCACTTGTGCTAGTGTCCTCATTCCCTTCTCCTTGGAGGGGCTGTGCATGGCCTGCCCACAGGCTGCTTCATCCATTTTCCCCAGTGTCTAGGAAAATATTACAAAGTGCTGTGACAAAGAAAAAGTTGGGGAGCTCTATTCTGCTTGGTAAGAATTACACAATGGAATGAGATTTTAGTCACAATGGGGTACAATTACGTATATCTTTAAAGGAGTTAGAAGGAATTTGAAACATATTCCGGTGGGAACGGTATTCTCTACTAAGCATTTGGATCTGAACCCTCAGAGTAGCTGATCTTCAGTTTCTTCATGTGTAAAAATACAGTGTATATCAGAGAGTCACTGCAAACGATCTGACCTGCTTACTGTTAGGTGCTCAGTGTTAGTTTCTTACTTCCTTATTGCTCAGAACAAGTCCTCTTTTTGCCAGGGGTGGCAGATTCGTTGTCCTTTCTGAGCTAATAAATTTGCTCTAGCATGCTGTTAGAAATTTGTAGGTGAGATAAGCTTTAATGAGACTTCAAGTTTATTGCATCAAAGTGTTTTTAGGAGTCCATTTATAGGAGTAAGAATGCCACCTTGTTGCTGTTTCAGCAATTACCTGAAGATCTATTTGTTAGGAGAATAGGGTCTAACTTCTTCCTAGGTTCTCTTACCTATCCCAGCAAATTTAGTTATGAGATTTAGTAAAGATTATTGCCTAGATTTATTTAGAGAATTGTTTTCTAATCAGTATTTGATGGGCTAATAGTTTCCTCTGAGGCAAGCGTACCATGAAAATGAGTTTTATGGCCAGATTAATTTGGGAATTGCTAGGTTAACTTAAATGATATGAATTGGGTTTGATGGGACTTGTCACAGCCTTTTTACTTATTTATTTATTTATTTTTTTAGAGACAGGGTCTCACTCTGTTACCCAGGCTGGAGTGCAGTGACACCATCATAACTCACTGCAGCCTCAAACTCCCAAGTTCCAGCCTCCTGAGTAGCTGGGACTACAGGTGCACACCACGGTGCCTGGCTATGTTTTTTAATTTATTATTTGTAGAGATGGGGGGGGTCTCATTTTGTTGCCCAAGCTGGTCTCAAACTCCTGGCTTCAAGCTAAGTTTTTAAATTTATTTTTTGTAGAGATGGAGTCTCATTTTGTTGCCCAGGCTGGTCTCAAACTCCTAGCTTCAAGCAGTCCTCCTGCTTCAGCCTCCCAAAGTGTTGGGATTACAGGCATAAGCCACCATGCCCAGCCGTCACACCCTCTTTTATGCTGAAGTGTATTATGAATCTCTGAGAGGTGGAAGTGTAGTGTACAGTGTTGCTGAAATTTATTTGACAATTGAGCCCGTTATATATATACACAAATAAAATAAATATATATATAAATACTATATATGTATATATTTTCTTTTTTTGAAATGGAGTCTTGCTCTGTCGCCCAGGCTGGAGTGCAGTGGCGCAATCTCAGCTCACTGCAAGCTCCGCCTCCTGGGTTCATGCCATTCTCCTGCCTCAGCCTCCTGAGCAGATGGGACCACAGGCGCCTGCCACCATGCCCAGCTAATTTTTTGTATTTTTAGTAGAGACGGGGTTTCACCATGTTAGCCAGGATGGTCTCGATCTCCTGACCTCGTGATCTGCCCGCCTTAGTCTTCCAAAGTGTTGGGATTACAGGCGTGAGACACTGCGCCTGGCCCATTTTATGTATTTTTTAATACCATCTTACAGGACTGTGGTGTGGTGTTGAGTAAAACATAGTTTGACAATGTTGCTTTTTAGGACAATTGTAGATATGCTATAAACTGTTAATTAACAAGTATGTGTGAACAAAGAAACCAGTGTTTTGAGATGGATGTGTAGTGCTGTGTTCCTGAGGTTGATAGACAAAGGGTACACTTTTTTTTTTTAAGCTGTACTTTTTAGAGTCAAATGCAGTAAAACACCTCAGAGTTGCCTTGCTTCTGCATTGAACTTCTCAGGAAATCCCTTATGTTACAAATGCTCTGTAGTCCAGAGAAGTCAATGCGTATTTTACATATAAGAAACTAAAATAATTATTAGTTCTAGAGACAAATAGCATGGAAAGTAAGGTCAGACAATCTTCATGTTTTTTTTTTAAATAACATTGTTTATTTATTTATATGAAAAACTTACATTTATTTATATGAAAAATAAAGCTGAAAATTTGAGTATTCCAAAACAATTTAATCTGATCTTTGTAAGTGCTTTAATCTGATCTTTATAAGCACTTTATATAGTTAATCTCAATGAATTCATCTTAGAGTAAACTTGCATTTAACTTTATTTCAAGTTGTCATAAAAGTTCAGACAACCATCACTGGACCTACAGATTGAGTGATTATTATAGTGGGGATGTCCTTGGGTTAGTAAGCCTAAAGGAAGTAATTTCTGTTAAAGGAGATGTTAGTGGCCATTTGCATCTTAATGTCAATCTTATCAGATGTTCCCAGACTACAAACTGGGTGGGTCATATCTCTTAGCATTTCAACTGGTATTTCTCAGAGCAACTAGTGGCTCATGTTCCAAATATAGAAGGCATTTGCATAACATCAATGTTAGACCTGGGCTTGTTAGACTCTTGGGCTCATGTATACAAAAGCAACCACCCTAAACCTTTAGTATAATCTTTGTTTTTCTGCTACCATGTTAAACTTTGAAATAATCAGTTTTACTTGGCTGCCTCCCTTTATATTTTGATGGAGTAGTTGGATCTTCCAAATTATGTTTAGTATTTATCATATTTTTTAAATGTTCTGCTTAATTAGGTATTCTTTATTTTTTTAAATATATGTTTTGGAAATCCACTGAGACTTAGGGTTCTTCTTCTGAGTTCTTTAAAGTCTTGAATTATTAATGCTGTTTTCCATGAAAACCACACTTTAGAACATTTGTATATCAGCTACCTAAATAATTAATGATAAAGAGAAGCTTTGCTGCCAGACTCTACTACTGTCCTTTAAAAAAGAGATATTTATTAGAATATTTTGTGGCTTGCTAGATACTCCTTTTTTATCACATTTATATCTTATTTATAGTTATATACCCTGTTTTTTATATTTGTATACACACACATATATATGTATTATGTATAAAATTTGGTTTTCACTTTTGAAAAAAGAATCCAGCATGTTTTTGGTGTGTGTTGAAAAAGATTCCAATTAATGGTTATTAGGGAGAAAGCTTGATGTTGTACTAATTATGTTGCTTGAGTCTGTGAAAGATTAAATTTTTTTTTGCCAGTTATCTTTTTCTCTGAGTAAATTTATGTTTATTATGATAATAGTAAATTAGAGCTGCATGATTCTACTTGACATATGGATTATGCTAATTTTTTTTTTTTTTTCCAAAATTTCTAGATGAAGCGTTCTGTCAGCCACCCTGGTTCTTGCAGTTCAGAGAGGTAAAAGAACCTTTTCTTCTGACTAAGTTCTCTCAAATTATATCCATCTAGGGAAGTTCTTTGGGCCTTTAACAAGTGGTGTGGAATGTAAACTCTGTATGGGTTAGGTCTGGTTCAAAACCAGCATTTTATCTCTCAGTATTTATCTCCTAGTATTTAGTATAAGGGCCTGGCCTCAGTAGGTAGTCAGTAAAGAAAAAAATGAATGAATTAACCAGCAAGGTAAGCACGTTGCCAGCCATTTTACCTTTTTTAGATGTTTGAAATGCAGTCATATATTGAAGAATGACTTTTCCATCAATGATAGACTGCATATGTGACAGTGGCCTCATAAGATTATAATACCATATTTTTACTGTACTTTTTCCATGTTTAGGTATGTTTAGATACACAAATACCATTGTTACAGTCACCCACAACATTCAGTACAGTAACATGCAGTAGAAGTTTGTAGCCTAAGAACAATAGGCTATACCACATAGCCTACATGTGTAGTAGGCTATACTAGCTAGTTTTGTGTAAGCACGCTCTGTGATGTTTGCACAGTGACAGAATCACCTAGCGATGGATTTCTCAGAATGCATCCTTGTCATTAAGAGACGCATGACTGTATATCAAGTGATGGTTAGACAGAAGTACATTTTTGATGTGTTGAGACTCCACAGCTAGGGCTCATTTTACCTCAGCTGTTTATAGCATCATCTATTCATGCTGAGCTGTTGTTTCATTAAGAGAGAAAGATCTTGCTGAAGAGAGAAAACCACTTGATATTTTAAAGTACATATTCATATCAATACGTTTAAAAATTTTACCTTCTGGATAGATCTTACCAAAATGCTAAGTTGTTAAACTATTATTTTGTTAGGTAATAGTCCTTTAAGTTGCTATGGTTGTCTTATTTAGTTCTTTGGAAAGTGATTTAATTATAGTGACATTGGCATTTATTTCTCTATATTTGGACTGTTAAATGCTGTTTTGTCATGTTTTAATTTTTTCCCCTGATGATTGTATAATCTTTGATTAAACTGTCAAATACTCAGAGGAATCCAATGATGTATATATCCAACCTTGTCAGGGAATCAAGAGTCCCACCAACTGAATTTTCCAGAAAAATGGAAGCTTAATCAATTTTTGACCAACTTTTATTTTTATGAAAGAAATTTTTCTATCCTTTCTACCTCATAAAATAATAATTTTAAAATCTTATTTGTTTCCTGATGAATCAAGGTTGTCATTAAGTACAGTAAAGTTGGGCTGTTACAAAAATAGTAGCTGAGATGCTGTTAGGTGGTGGTGATTTGCTTCTCTGTTTAAATTTTTCAGACAGATTTTTAAAAGAGTTTTTCTAGGCCCCTTTTTGCCATCTTTATCTTCTCTTGCTGTTGTCAGTGAGTCTACCTCTAGCTCTATGAACTCCTTGCCCATCTCTTTCAGTCTGCTGGTTTTGATCAGATATGGATTGACTTAAAATACATGCATTCATGAAACCTATGACTTCTAGTTTTCAAACATTTGTAAACCGACTGATATGTCTGCTCTCTGGAGTCTCCCCTACAGAAGTCACTACTTCTTCATTGTACCCCTCTTCCTTTTAGTTCAGCTCAGAAGCCATATTCTCCAGGTTACCAGCTGTCTTCTAAATGGGTTCACTTGTTTTTGACTTCTGAGTAGAATGTTGCTAACACGGGACGTTGAGCATAAAAATAATTCTTTTTTCACTTAAAGAGAAGTCATTTAAAATTCCAGTTGAGTGTGTTTTTGTTTATGTAAGGCCTTACAATTTAATGCTTTTTACTTAATTTGCAGGAGTAGCCACTCTATAAAAGAACCAGTATCTACACTTCACCGACTCTCCCAGCGACGCCGAAGAACCTACTCAGATACAGATTCTTGTAGTGATATTCCTCTTGAAGACCCAGATAGTAAGTGACATAGATTCTGTCTCTTTCTTTGGCATATTCAGCAAAATTACTGTGGGGCTCTGTAATTTCTGGAAATGAAGTATACTGACTGAACATTGTACTTTGTTTCTTTGATTCCTTAATTCAGAGGTAAGCAAACAGCGCTCAATCAATGAAAGCTCATATATCCCCTTACAAACAGGTTTGTTACTAACTAAGGAGTGCTGAGGATTGCTTTGTAAATATCGTATCTCAGATATATATTTATAGAATATCATGATCTTTTACCACCACTAGGACTTAAAAAACATTTTAGAAGAAGGCATGAATTGTTAGCAGGATTCTAGGGGAAAATAAAGGCAAGTTCCAAGTTCATATAAAAGTCAGCATTGTTACTTTACTAAAATACCTAGAAATGGCTAAGGAAAAGAATTTTGTCTGGTAGTCACAGTGAATTATAGTAGCATTCATTCCTCTACCTTTTTCTTCCTTATTAAAGAGGCAGCATACTGTGATTGAATGTTTTTAGGAAAGGTTTTGTGATTTATGTTAAAATTTTTAAATTTTTCTCTTCAGAGAAGAAGCTTTGAAAGTGTGTCAGAATATCTAGTAAGATAGTAGTGACCATGATTTGCAGTGAACACAAATATAGTCTTATTATTACATCTCCATTAATAGACTTATACTCTCCAAGTCTCTACTATTTCTCAGGAAGCATGTGGGATAGAAACTATGTACAATTTCCAATTAAGGAACAGGTCGTGTTCCAATAGTTAGTTCATTTGTAAGTCAGTTGTTTGGAAAACAGATTTTATTTTTCTTGTGGAAATGACATGATAAGTGGTGGTTAGCTCTTTGGATAGCTAACCATTCTTTGGAAGAGCCCAGTGAATTCATAGTATGGCTGAAATGGGACAAAACAATGGTGTATTTCTAGCATTTGAGTGTATTGAAAACACTGATTAAGCTGGAGTTGTTTTATGTAACCAGAAAGTTAAACAGGTTTAGTTCATACATATGGCAATTTTAAAAAGGATTGCTGGTCATTTTTGGATTTTTAGGAGTTGATAGAATCTTTTTTTTTTTTTAATGCCCACTTTTTTTTTAAACTGAATTAATCATCTATTTATTAATATATGGCACTATTCTATGCTCATTAACATTTTGAATTTAAATTGAGATGTGGGTGGAGAAATGAAGGAAAGAAACCGGGAAGGGGAAGGGAGAAAGAAACTTTCTTGGGCCAATCAAGCAAGACCTGGAAGAGAAGAGGAGGAGAGGAGGAGGGTTAAAGAGGTTGAGTATGTGAAAAAAGTTATCTGAGGCAGGTAAGATAGACTCTGATTCTCTTTATTCTTTATGCCTTTTACACATGACTCTTAATCCAGAGTTCATGAAGGAGTTCTGTATGCTACCTTGTAGTTTTAAGTGCGACATCTTTTTTTTTTTTTAAGGGGATCATTTGTGATTACTAAAATAATTTTTTTAAAGCCATCCATTTTTCTTTAGAATTCTTTTCTTCTAGTTACTCTAGTCCTGAATATTTGAAAACAATTTTCAAAAGATCTAGGTGTACATGCTCTATTATATTTAGCATCCCCCAGTTTAACTGTTATGGACTGTAACAAAACTAGTCTCACACACACACACACGCACGCACACACACACACGCGCATACATATAGTTCACTTCTCTAGAACATCTTTAAATTAGCAAGTATAGACTAGGTCAGAAATTTTATCCTTAGATTTTTTCCTGTTTATACTAGTTTAGTGTTTCAATTAGCTGACAAAGCAAAGATTGAATTAGTGCTCTTTCCAGAAAGTATATATTTTGCAATTGGCAGTCTTAGTTGAAAGTTGTTACTCAAAAATATTCTTCTTGTGAGATGCAACTGCTTCTATTTTCTTTAACAAGCTTTTTCAAAAAGTATGAAAGTAATAAATGATGATGGTAAACTCAAACTATATATATAAAGGTACAACTGCCTTAGAACAGGACTATGCCAGTGTAGTCAGCTGTGTTAACATGGAGTTGCAGTGATAGTTCTGTGAGCTGCATTACAAATGGAGAAATGGGATCTTTCAGTATGAGGTACCTTGTCAGCTTTGCTCAGAAAGTCTTAGAATGAAAAGAGGAATACCTGAATTTAGTCCTCGTTCTGTTACCAATTGTGTGATCTTGGGTAAGGCATGTATCCTTTTATGGGTCTTGGTTTCTTTGCCTAGGAACAAGGAGGATATTAACAGCATTAAAATAGGCTGAAAAAGCAATAGTTAATTAATAAAGATTAAATTCAATTCAGCAAATATTTATTGACTACCTATTATGTGCCAACCATGATTCTAGCAGTGAACAAAACAAAAATCTCTACTTCAGGCAATTTCATCATTTATCTTATGAATTCTGATGTTTCTCCTTGTGGCTGTTGATACTCTAGTCTAAAAGTTAAGTTTTCCTGCATGAAACAAACAAGGAAATACAAAATTAGCCAGAAGCTAAAGGAATTTCATGTCCCTGAACAGGAAATTTAAAATGTTCTTTCACAGAGGACTGGAGTTAATATTGACAGGATGTTTAACGTTTTTATCAATGTCTTCATAGGACCTGTTCACTGTTCAAAAAATACACTTAATGGAGATTTGGCATCAGCAACCATTCCTGAAGAAAGCAGACTTATGGCCAAAAAACAATCTGAATCAGAAGATACTCTTCCATCCTTCTCTTCCTGAAGAAACTGAAGTGTCCAACTTCCTCTAAGTATTGCTATGCAAAAGCTGCTGTAATTAAACTATTGTTATAGGGAGTAGTTTTTTCCCTTAGGACTCTGCACTTTATAGAATGTTGTAAAACAGACAAACAAGAAAACAAACCACATACTTTTGAAGTGTATTTTATCTTTATATAGTTTGTTTGCAAGAGTATTTTCCTAATAACTTCACAGTATGAATGTGCATCTTTTTTTTTTGAACAAATGATGGTGTAACATTTTGACATCCATAAGGACAAATGTAGATATTTTTCTTAAAAACTCTGAGGGGACTGACAGCATGGTCAGGGTGTATTGTAGCTTATAAACATGAAATCTTATAAGGTTTCAGTTTGACAGAAGTGTGATATATGTAACTTGTGCCATGGACCAAATGGTCACTTTACCACAGCTAAAAATGAGTTACGATAGCAGCTTGATGGTGATTGTATTGTATTCCTTTAATCAAAAAGGAAACACAATATTCTAAGTATCTTTAGCCCAAATACCATGACATATTGAGCATCTTTAAATAACCAGACTGTATTGTCCTTCATATGTGAAGTTGACACTACTGATTTGTCAATACCAAATTTTGGGTTAAAGTGTTTAATTTTTATGTATTTATTTTCTTGTTGCCTCAAAAGATGATTGCATTCTAACTTTTGTGACCTACCAAATTTAAGATGTGTATACGTTGTTCTTTACGTTGTTCTAGAAAAGAGATTTTAATGCTGTAGTGACTTTGCTCACTTACACTAGAGAAATAAACAACTTTCAATGGAAGAGAATTTTAGTGCTTTTTTTTTCCTAAAATAGATATTAAGCTGCTGTTGTAAAGTATTGTTTGCAGCTCTTTCCAATATCTAGAGACATTTTTATTTATGAATATTTATACAAAAAGGAATTCTGTCAAGATGACTGCTCTATATCACTTGAGAATGGCATTATTTAATTAAAGAACAAATAGCATTTTTTGGTAGTGCCTGTCCATACCTATTGTCATTGTTTGCCTTGTAATCTGTTTTTTTGAATTCATTTTGGGCTGATAGTTTTGTTTAAGGTTTTGGATAAGGAGCACTTTAAAACAAACTGGTGTGTTGTTTTTAAGTTAATCATATGTTTAATAAATGCGTGGTTTTTGCATTCAAACACATCATATAATACATTGTATTTTTTACATTCATTGATATTCTGTCTAATCTTTATTAGGCACTAATATAATTCTAATGGATTTGAGTTTGTTTGTATATTTAGGCCTGCTGGTGAAGACACAAATGAAGCATAATTTTTGTTGCCTGTGAGCTTAGAATGGTGTGACCTATTTCATTTTATTTCAATTTATCTTGTAAGTTTATGTGGGATATTTTAAAATAATTAATATTTGGTATTTGTTTAAAAAACTGTAATTATAGGCCTTCCATCTTAAGTTTAAGATGGACATAAACAGTCTATACATTAATATGTGTTTGGGTAAACTGTATGCTACTTGAAGTGTTTGTAATTTTAAATAACACACAGGTCATCAGACTACTCTATATTCAGTGGAGTCTTTGCCTGCTCATAAGTTGTACTTCATATGTCTAATTTGAAAAAAAAAGTTTGATAATGTAGTAAGTTATGACGTTGAGCAGGTAATCAGGTTTTTCTTGTTTTTTTTTTTTTTTTAAATTTTGTAGTAAGAACTTGCACAGTATTAAGACCATGAAGGTCAGGGTGCTATTGATTGGGAGTTTTTTCTGGTAGTGAGTTTTTTTGCAGTAATAGGTTTATAAGGAAAACACCGTAACAAGCTTTTGAACTTATAGAAAATAATCACATCCATTTTCTATTGCTTTACCCAAATAGATGGGTTCGTGAAGAGTTTTCTGTGAATATTTTAAAAATACAATGCAATTATTTCTGGTTTGTATCATTTTTTCCCCCTTAAAACAGGTCCTTGAACAGGTTTGCGGTATCCCTAAGTATGTCTTTTGTTATGACTTGGAGCCACTTTTTGTTGTTATTGTTAGGAACCAAACACATCTGTGAAATCATTTTTTTTGTGGGAGTATAAATATATCTTGAATTATATCCAGGTTTTGATCAGTGAATTAGTAGCATGAAGAAACCTATAAAGCTTAAGGGAACCTTGCATTTTGAGGAGTCCTTTATTTTCAAGTGTGCCTGACTTTTTTGAATTTTAAGAAAAAGATGAACCATATAACAATTCTGTAAGAATTTTAGCTTGTCAAGTTGTTCTATACTTTATAGAAAAATTATTGGTTATTATTAGTTATTAGTAGTCCCTTTTTTTTGCTTTGTCTAGGTCATGGGGTTATTGAGAAACATGAAAAGTTATTGAGAAATTTGGAGGTTCTCTTGGCAGCCTATCAGTGATCTTCTAAGCAAAAGCAGTGCTTGTTTTTCATTTCAAGTGCTTGCTCACTATTCTTTGGGAATCGCAGGCCTCCATGACTAAAGGGATTTTGATACAATTCTTTTATAAATGAGCTGAATTTGAATTTTCTTACATCATATGGGATTATTGCATGATCTTCAGTCAGGAAAAATCCAGAAATGGATGCTATTGCTTAAACTTAAATTCCAAGGCAGAAGATAGAGTATCTTCATTTCCACAGATGCCCTAGAACCTTTGACCTTGAATTGTAGTTTTTCAGTATGTATTATCACATTTAGAAATGTAAAAATCACAAGATCTCAGGAAATGCGCCCTTGTGATATGTTAATACCAGATTGCTGTTTACACTAATTCCATATACATGATAATACCACTAATTTGGACTCTGCTAGTTCTTTTATTTAATAAGGCACCTCTAGGTCTGTACTTTGAGCCTTGATCTGGGTACTTGGTACAGAGGGAGTGTCCTGGCCTGAAAGAAAGCCAGATTAGGCTGCAGGAGTTCCTTTGAGGAGGTCTGTCTTTTAATAACCCTGGCGGGTAAATGAATGGTAGGTAGCTGGTAGGTAGGCCTTCTTGTTCATGTCTTTCTGTCTCCCCAATCCACTCTTTGAATTCATGTTGAATTCTTAACTTGAAATTCTGTTGTTTTTTTTTTAATTTTAGCTTTCTTTTTATTAAACTAGTTAATGTACATAGTTTGAAAAAATCAAATAGAACTAAAAGGTTTATAGTGAAAAAGTGTAGTTCCCTCTTCCCCAGTTTAGCATTCCAAAGACAAACACTTGGAACTCTTAGTGGTTTGTGTTAGTATTTACCTTCCTGTTTGAAAATGTTATACTACTTTTTGTTGACTTATCAATTTCAGAAACAGTTTCTCGAATACCTTTTATGGTAGACAGGATTTACTTTACTTAAACTCTCCACCTCCCACATTTTTCTTCCCCCACCCCTCCCAAAATAGATTTATATTCACACAACTTTTAGTTAGAACAAACTTTTTGTGAAATAGATAGACATAAATGTAGTTCACTGATGTACCACATGGTTAACTATCATTATTTCCTTTTTACTAGAATGTTATTTTTTCTGGGGTTGGTATTGCCTGATTTTCAAATTTGCTTAGTTTTTAATGTACCTGTCACAATGACTATCCAAAGGCTTAAATGCTGAAAAACATCAGATAATCGTATCAATTCTCTTAAAAAAGTTTTTAAAAATATTTTGTCATCCTTTAGGGACATTTCTTCCACAGTCCTTCATCTTCTGCCATTTGTACTGTTGCCCTCCAGGCCTGTTCTATGGTTCAGCAGTCATTCTGAAACTCCCTTTAGTTTTTAGTCTCACATTAGGTTTTTTTTTTTTTTTTTTTTTTTTTTTTTTTTTTTTGGCAAAGCTCCTCCACCAGTAACTTCCTAAGAAAAGGTGCATAGAAAGTAAAGATTTTAAGGCTTTACAGGTCTGAAAATGTCTCTACTCTTGATTGGTAGTTTGGAGTCTGGAAAATAACATGCCTTCAGAATTTTAAGGGCAACATTTCATTGTCTTAAGGCATTTAGTTTTTCTGTGAGAATTCTGATACCGTTCCTTTACCTGGGATCTGTTTTTACACTCTGTAAGCTTTTAGGAACTTCTCATTACTTCTGATGTTTCATAATAATATGTGGGTCTTTATTCATTCATCTTGATGGCTACTTGACTTGGTGGAATCTTTCAATTTAGAGATTTGTCTGCTTCAGTTCTGGGTGTGTGTGTGTGTGTGTGTGTGTGTGTGTGTGTGTGTGATCTTTTTGACAGTTTTCTCTCTTCCATTTTCTTTGTTCTATCTTTCTAGAATTTCTGTTATTTGAATGTTGGACCTCCCAGAGTTGGACCGCCTCTAAATTTAAAAAGCTTTTTCTCTCTAGTTGTTCCTTAAGTTATATTATCTTTGTTCTTTTTGTTATCCTCCAGCTCTTCTGTTGAATTTTCTTTATATATATATTTTAATTTCTAAGAGGTCTTTTTTTTCTGTTTCATTTCATAAAAACCTATTTTTATTTTATAGATTAACTGTTTCCCCATATCTCCCTGAGGATAAAATTAAGATTTTTTTCTTACATCTTTCCTGTTTCTTGAATGGTTCTCCCCCTCCCCCACCATGTTTCTGCTTTCTATTTATTTGTTTTGGGCTCTTTCATTCTGAAGCCTTTCTTAGAAATCATCTATTCATATTAGTCATGTATTAAAAAGCTAATGTCATAGGTCTTTATATGTGGGCAGGGTTTATAAGTTGTCTAAAGGGCCATCAGGTAGAGTTGGCCTTTTCTGTTGAGGTCCCCTAAATTTCAGTGGAGGTCTTCTCTTTGGGGCCAGTTTCTCTAGAAAACTGGGTCCTGATAGTAGGGTAAGAAAAGACAGCTGAGGACCCCAAGATTTGTATGATGACTTTTACTTAATCCCTCTATCTTCATCCTCTCTCATGCCCATCCGGCCCCACCCCCCAAATCCTCCTCTGGCTGCTGACCCTCAGGTTCAGTTTTTCCTGTCAGTGGAGGTTGAGGGTGGGGCGTAGGCTGGCTGTGGAGAGTAGGGGAGAGGACCTGGGTTCCAGTTGCTCTTTATACAGACTTCTAGTCCTGATTTCAGCCCTATACCTCACTCTCATCTTCTACAATACCTAGTGCTTCCAAGTCCTGAACTTAGTAGAGGTTTGGTGGGGTGTGTTTTTGGGCTTCTCCCTTTTGGGTACTTAGGCTTTAACTTCCTCCACTCTGCTAGGTTAGGTATTGCACTTCCTCCTGGTTTTTATCTGTATAAACTTTGTTAAAATCTCATGGCTTTGTCGTCTGTGCTTTTTTGTGGATTAATACTATTTATATTCCTTTAATATCTTTTGGTGGTTTGGAGGTAGAGGAAATAAATTCATGTGGTTGGTTTGTATGTTTCACTGAAAGTCTAGATTTAAATTCTAATAGTGTATAAAAAATAAAAATTCTTTAGTATTAATTTGTAATTCATTCTAGTGATTTTTAATTCATATGGTTTTACTGTACTACCTACCTCATAGGGTTGTGAGGATTAGAAGAATCAATTCATAAAAAGCAGTTAGAAAAGTGCTGGGCACGTAGTGTGTTGAATAAGTGTTAGTTATTAATATTGTTTACTATCATTATTATTATTACTACTATCAGTTTTTTTTTTTTTTTCTGAGACAGGGTCTCACTCTTTCACCCAGTCTTGAGTATAGTGGAGTGATCTCAGCTCACTGCAGTCTCGACCTCCCAGGCTCAAATGATCCTTTTACCTCAGCCTCCCGAATAACTAGGACTACAGGCATGCACCACTACTCCTGGCTAATTTTTGTATTTTTTTGTAGCAGCAGGGTTTTGCCATGCTGTTCAGACTGATCTCAAACTCCTGGGCTCAAGGGATCTGCCTGCCTTGACTTTCCAAAATTCTCGGATTACAGGCATGAGCCACACTGCACTCTCCTATCTCTCTCAATTCAGTAACCTGTTTATTCTTGAGTGAAAATGTTTCACCATAGGAAGAATTACTAATATATGGGAAAATCTAGTGTTTGATAATGTTGACCCTACATTTTTTTTGGACAGTCTCTGTCGCCCAGGCCGGAGTGCAGTGGCGCGATCTTGGCTCACTGCAACTTCCACTTCCTGGGTTCAAGCAATTCTCTTGTCTCAGCCTCCTAGGCTACAGGCTAGGACTACAGGTGCTCGCCACCATGCCCAGCTAATTTTTGTATTTTTAATAGAGATGGGGTTTCATCATATTAGTCAGGCTGGTCTTGAACTCCTGACCTCAGGTCATCTACCTGCCTTGGCCTCCCAAAGTGTCGGGATTACAGATGTGAGCCACCGTGCCCAGCCGACCCTGCATTTAACTAGACTTCATATGAAATGTTCAGGTGTTAGGTGTTATCTTTCTAAGAAACATTCAAGCCTTAAGAAATCCAATCAGTTATAGTTACTTTAAAAGTTTTAAAAAGAGTATAACAATTTTGATGTGCTTTTAAGCTTTATTGGTATTATATTTTGTTTTTATCATATAAATATGAAGTATAGGAGATAAGATAATGCAGATGATGTTTGTTATGCCTTACCTACCGCCAGTAGATGTAATACTCTTAATACATGGAGTACAGAAATAGTAGATTCCCTTCATTCCCAGTGCAACAGTGTTGGGAGGTGGGGCCTACCAGGAGGTGTTTAGGTCATGTGGGTACCACCCTCATGAATAGATTAATGCCGCCGTGTAAAGGGCTTGTGGGCGTGGGTGAACACTCTCCTGCTCTTCTGCCAAATGTCTCTCCCTTCCAAAGGACGTAGTGCTCTACATAGTGTTGGAAGCGAGAGACTGAGCCCTAACATGCCAGTGCCTTATCTTGGATTTCTCAGCCTCCAAAACTGTGAAAAAATAAATTTTCATTCTTTATGGTAAATTCCCATCACTGTATCCATAACCTCTTGTAAATAGTTGTACACCTTTCAGAAAATGTTGTGGACTTACATAAGCAAAATGCCTGCATTTATTTCATAGGTAAAATTTTAATCTATTTTCTAATCAAAGTGTTTTGGGGAACATTTAATTTAAATACTATGTTCAATTTTTTTAATGGTCTGCTTCAGATTTTTTTTATAAGTTAATGTTTTAAAACAAAATAATTGTGTTCTAGGTAGAAGCTACTCTGAGTTTAGGTTTTTAAATCTCTTTCAGATATTTTAAGTATCTTTTTTGTGTCTGGATTCAGAGAGGTATGATAATGAGATTCTCTTCTAGAGGGGAAGTGGGAGTAGGTAACCATACTACTCTTTCTACGGCTACAGAGCCGCATACTCGAAGGAGGGAGATTTTTATTTGTAAGGACATTTGTATTATCTTTCATTAAAGTAGAGTCCCATGGGCGTGGCAAATGGCTGTAAATAAAGTAAAAGTGGCTAAAGAAAACAGTGCCTGCTATTAGCTTGATGCTGGCATTTTCTTCTTTCCCTGGATGTGACTGTTATTGTCTTTATTGGGTCCCCTTATTATCTGCTTTGATATCCATCTCTGGAACTTTGATCTCTAATTTTTTTTTTTTTTTTTTGAGACAGAGTCTCACTCTGTAGCCCAAGTTAGAGTGCAGTGACACGATCTTGGCTCACTGCAACCTCCACCTCCGGGGCTCAAGCAATTCTCGTGACTCAACATCCCAAATAGCTGGGACTGTAGGCACGCACCACCATGCCCAGCTGATGTTTTGTATTTTTACAAAAATTTTTCACCATGTTGGCCAGGGTGGTCTCAAACTCCTAAGCTCAGGAGATCCGCCTGCCTCAGCCTTTGAAAGTGCTGGGATTACAGGCGGGAGCCACCGTGCCCGACCTGACCTCTCCATCTTTGGCGTCCTTATGCTGCCTCTTCTCCAAATACATGTTGGCCAGGGTGGTCTCAAACTCCTAAGCTCAGGAGATCCGCCTGCCTCAGCCTCTGAAAGTGCTGGGATTACAGGCGGGAGCCACCGTGCCTGACCTGACCTCTCCATCTTTGGCGTCCTTATGCTGCCTCTTCTCCAAATACAGTAACTAATCTAGTATATTTTCATAGGATAGAATTTGCCCTTTCTGTCCCATAATATGTTCCTCTTCCCCAAAAAGTTTTTTGTTGGTCTCTTTGGTAATAAAACATTTAGAGCATTTACTGTGGGCCAGGTGCTTTACCTCATGTTAGCCTTATAACAGAGATGCGGAAGTACAGGACTACCAGTGCAGCCAAGATGCACAGCACCAGGATTAACTCATGAGACTGATTAGAATGATGAATATCTTATTGTATCCTGAAACATTAAGCCTTTAAGTTATCCCTTTATTTAGTATTTAAATTCACATGCTTCTTGATTTTTTTGGACTAGCATTAGTTGTTGAATAAATAAATAATTCAGAATGTATCCACAAAACCTAGAATATATGACAGGGTGGATTCAGTTTTGCTTAGTTACTGTAGATAAACCAAATAAATTAATGTAAAGGGATATTAATGCATTAAGCAATTTTTTTTGACATAAATGAAGGGTTGTTTCCATGGGTAATATATTCAGAATATTAAAGATGAGTAAAATGTATGACTATAATGAATTCCTTCTTCACTTTTACTCTGGCAAGGTGGGAGGAGGGTGCTGTTGATAATCTCTGTGCTTTTGCAAGTTTGGCACAAAGACTTTTACTCACTTAAATCTCAATATAAAGTATATTGCCAGATCTGGCAGCATGGGGACAATTAGGAACAAAGGAGAGAGAATAGAATCAGCCATCAGGAGCTATAACCACACTCTTCTTTCTCAACCTTTTCTGGTATTAGTAGGCAGAACTCCTTTTGGATGCGGTGAAGCATTTTATGAGTGAACAATGGTGAGTCATGTAATGAAAGGAGATGTTCTAGGAAAACTTTTCAGTCCCGCTCAGTGCTGCCATCTTTTTCTCCCAGCACTCTGGACTTAAAATTCTGAGAGAACAGGGTATTTCCCACCCTTCCTCTTACTTTTTGAAAGCAATACCTGAGTTATTAAGCAATCATTTAGACAGTATGAATAAACCAAAATTCACCTTGACACTCCATCCCCTAGAGGTAACCATTCTTTTCTAGTATATATTCTTCCAGACCTTTTTCCTGTGTATTGACTTTTAAATAGATGTACATTGCAATAGTTTGGATTAGCTCATCCATAGCAGGGTGGTTAAATAAACAGTGGCACTTTTTTTTTTTTGAGACAGAGTCTCACCCTGTCGCCCAGGCTGGAGTGCAATGGCGCGATCTCGGCTCACTGCAACCTTTGCTTTCCAGGTTCAAGCGATTCTCCTGCCTCAGCCTCCCAAGTAGCTGGAATTACAGGCGAGCACCACCATGCCTGGCTAATTTTTGTATTTTTGGTAGAGACGGGGTTTTACCGTGTTGGTCAGGCTGGTCTCGAATGCCTGACCTTGTGATCTGCCTGCCTTGGCCTCCCAGTGTCAGGATCCTGGCCCCAGTGGCACATTTTTATGATGCATCTGGTACTAAAGAAGGAGCTGGCTTTATGACCTTTACTTGAGTATTTTTTTGTGTGTGACAGTTGAACAATTCTGACCCCTATTATTGTTGGCTGGACAGGCATTTTCTTTTTAATTCCTCTATGCAAGGAACTGTGGATTGCTTTTTTCTGGATAGCTAGAACGAGGCCATTTTCTTTCAAAAGACAGTCCTAGAGTTTCCAGTGGTTTTCTTTAATTGTGTATGCGTGAGTGTGACAGTGTGTGTGCCTGTGTCTCTATCTGTGCATGCATCTGTATGCACAGTTTCTTAGTTGTGGACAATGCAACTTGGAATCATTTTAGTTTTCCAATTGATTTTAAAAGTTTATCTATAGAAGATGAGACAAATTTGCTGTAGAAGTTACCACTACTTGGTCAAAATAGAGAGTTGTGGGTTTTTTTTTTTGTTTGACAACAATCAAAAGTATGGCCTACAGATAGTAAGGGTTAACCACCCAGATTTTTGTCAGATAATATATACATGTCCATGTAATTAAAAGTCTTCATTTGACAAATTTATATGGTAAATGAGCATAAAATGAATATCTTTTCAGTATTAGAACATTTCTGTTTATGCCCTATTCCAGTGGTATTTGTGGTCGCTAGGGGTTGCTGGGTTATCCAAGTGATTCAGCATGCCTTCAGAATTGGCATCCTCGGGTGATTGTCCATAGCCTCTTGCAATGGTGCCTCATCTTGGGGAGGCTTTAGAACACAGCTCTCATTTAGCTTATTATTGATTTTTTTTTCTTGTTTTGCAGTTGTTGGCTAGAGAAAAGTGTGTAGCAATAAGTACGCACACTTACTG
This sequence comes from Homo sapiens, assembly GCF_000001405.40. Classification (NCBI taxonomy): domain Eukaryota; kingdom Metazoa; phylum Chordata; class Mammalia; order Primates; family Hominidae; genus Homo; species Homo sapiens. The sequence continues at coordinate 178,514,160 of NC_000002.12, forward strand.
TGGTTTACCATCATGACCATGGATAGCAAACTGCCTTTTTTTTTTTTTTTAACTCCTGTGTCATCTCTGATGTTGTGGCTAATTTTAAGACTTTGATTTTTCAGCTAGGATTAGCGGAGAATGACCTACCTACTTGATTAATGATGTCTGCATGGGCTTACTAAGAGGGTGTGGGGAATGGTGGCAGGGGTAACTATCATCGAGAATATAGGGCAATGGGTATATTCTAACTTTGCATAACTTTGCTAGATTATATATATCTTTACTCACAATAAGCAAAGTTGAACAACTTAAAATTGATTCCCTGTTTTCTGTTTTCACTATCCAACTAGGATGAACTCTTAAGTTCATACATATACTTTAAAATGGGAACAAACATAGCCTGTCATGTCTTTATTTAGGCTAAGTGCATATGTATGTATAAGTAATGTGTATATCCTTCACTTATTAATAGTGCCTTCATGAATTCAAAGACCCTTGTCACATGGTGCTCAGGAAAAAAAAAGTGCCAATATTCTTTTTTTTTTTTTCTCTAAGAAGTACTAGTTTAGGTAAGTGAAATTCAATAGCATATCAGTGCTTTACCTTAGTCACTTTTTGTGTTTTGATCACCCTTAGTCATCACTGGAGAGAAGAGTTTGAATTCATTTGTGGTTTTGCTTTAGTGGCAAACCTCCTTACAGGGATGAGTTGCCCTCCATTCTCCTTGCCATATTTGGTTAATCTAGGCCATGACCTTTGAGGGGAAAAGGCACAGATTGCAACTTTTCTTTCCTGCTTTTGTGAATCAGGCCATGTTCACGCAGGGTCCTTGAAGGTGACTTGAGTGAGGAAGCTATATACCGATGACTTACCAATTTTTGGTCTTATAACATTCTCTCTCTTTTTTTTTTTTTTTTTTTGTAGCATATGGCTTCCTCTACTGTATGTTGGCATTTGCCACTTTTGGGGATTTGACTCCTGCAGGTATTTTTTTTTTTTTCTTTTGGGGGAGTGTGACGGCAGTGGATATAGTCTTAGATGATGTTTTTAATAGTTCAAGTCCATTAGTGTCTTACTCTAGAGAAAACGAAAGACTCACTGTGTGAGTTTTCTTGCCCTCTGGTTTTCAGAATTCTGTGTAGTTTCTCAACATTTCCTTTCTACCTGTCCTGAAGAGCTCTTATGGAAATCATGGTTGAATGTTAGTAAATTTCTAAGAGCTTTCCAATGTTGTCTATAATTAGCCAAAAAAAGACATATGAACTTTTCTCATTCTGTCTACCTTTTTAAAATTTTATTCACTTTATCTTTTTCTCCAGTTTTGATAGATGATTATAGAGTTCCCCAAAATGGCCTTCTTACTATTTCTATATTAGGTATATTATTTCAGAAAAGAAAATAATCACTTGGGAATGGCGGTGAGTTCAGGGGGTCTGTTAACCATTTAATTTAGGATTGTTTATACATTTATTTACCTCTTTTAAAAAATTTCTTCAGTTAATATTCATTGACCACTCACTAAGTGTTATGTTGCTAGTATTTATCTTTGCTTTCTAATTATTTTTTTGTAATTTTTTTGCTTTCTAATTCTTGAGTGAATTTAAAACTCACTGCTTTATTATTTAATATCTTAGATACAATGACTATCTTAATTATAATTGGCTTTCCAAAATTTTCACTTTTTTTCAGTTAACTAGTTGAATAGTATTTATCATTCACATTTGCACCCTAACTATTGTTTTAACCTAAACATAAATAAGCAAGCATTAGAAAGTAGCATAATTGCTGTTAAAATAGTCTTTTCTTTGCGTGTTTAAATATTGTTAGAAACATAAGCACATGAATTTTTTTGGCCTTTTAAATGTCTTTATTGTAGCTAGTTATAAGATGTATATATAGCTTATATATGTGTATATACACATACATATATATATATACATACATATATATACATAAAATGATTCTTGCAAAAGTAGTTATGGGTATTTAAGTGAAAAATTTGTAAGTTTAGAAGTTAAGAAATTGGAAATAATGGAATTGGTTTAAAAAGCTAGTCTCTAAATTAACTTAGAAACCTAATAGCAAATACAGATTTTGATTGCTATAACTAAACACTTTAATTTTGAAAAAGTTTCAGAATAGAATTTCTATTCCCAGGGGAAAATAAACTTCATTTAAAAATATATGTATACTTATTTTGTGAGTATTTTTTTCTTTTCCAAATTCCAAAAGGTGTATACTCTATATTTTTGTCATAAAAATTCTGCTTGTCGAAAATATTGTAGTAATTTTATAAATTCAATAAAACCTGAGTGATGTGAACAGTGTGGGGGAAAATGTTTAATAAATTTGCCATGCCACTGAGAAAAACTTAAATACAGCATGTTTTGAAAGTTTGAGGAAGCGTAACACTTTGCTTTTTAAAAACGTGACTGGTTTGCTGCACATTTAAATTTAAAAGCTGGTTGGCTATTTTAAGATTAGTGCTGTGATGTGAGAAAAGATAGTAGTGATGATAGCTAACCTTTAAACGAAAGCATACAGTGCATCACCTTATTTGTTTAGATCAGGAGTTCTCCATCTTGGCTGCACATTACAAACCCCCAGGGTGCAGCCAGGCACAGTGATTCACATCTGTAATCCCAGCACTTTGGGAGGCAGAGTTGGGCGGATTGCTTGAGCTCAGGAGTTCAAAACCAGCCTGGGCAACATAGTGAAACCTCATGTCTCCAAAAAAAAAAAAAAAAAAAAAAAAGAGCTGGACGTGGACGTGGTGTTGCTTGCCTGTAGTTCCAGCTACTCGGGAGGCTGAGATGTGGGGATTGCTTGAGCCCGTGAGGTTGAGGGTGCAGTGAACTGTAATTGCACCACTGCACTCCGGCCTGGGCAACAGAGTGAGACCCTGTCTCAAAAAAAAAAAAAGAACTCCCGCCCCGCAGGGTGCATTTAAATTTCCTAGGTTCATGGGTAGGTTGACGCAGACCAATTATAGCAACACCTCTGGGGGCAAGGTGAGACCCAATCATCAGTATTTTTTGAAAGTTTTTCAGTGATTCCAATGGGTAGCCAGCTTTGCAAACCATTGAGCTGGATGGAAATTCTCAATTCTGATTGTTGCATTTTAGAAGAGGTGGGGGATGTGTGTTTCTATGTGTATATAGATAGATATAGATCTATCTCTTTTATATATCTGTCTCACTAAAGTTTGTGGCCATCGTCTAGCAGTCAGAAAGGCCAAATAGGTCCTTATTAGCATGGGCCGAGGTTCCCTTGGGGGTTGTTAGAAATGCAGAATCTCAGCATCCCCATCCCAGATCTGCTGAACTAGATTCTGCGTTTTCAAAAGTTCCTTCGGTGATTGCTACACACTTTAAAGTTTGAGAAGCACTACTGGAGGTGATATTAGGGTAAATGTAGATCTCCATACACCCTGCCTTTTGCTTCTCTCTGGTTTTCTGACTAAAGTTTTGACATTTTTATGTGGGGTTGGAAAATGAAGCTAGTACTATGTGCTCACATCAGCAGATTAATAGCTGTGGTGAGTTTCTGATCTGGAGCAGATGTGAAGGAGACGACTGCCATCACCACAAAACTCCACTCTTCCCTCAGATGGGGAAAGAGAAAACAGCTCAAAGAATGGTCACTGGGCTGAAGGCAGTGCTCTTTCAGTCTCTTCTCTCAACTACCCTGTGTGTTAAGGAAAAATAAGAAGTACAGTACTTGCAAGGATACTGCTTTATACATGCCTTTGAGAATTCTCTGGAAGAGAAAGCTACTTCCCTTTAAGTAAGAAATGTACTCATCCCAGTGTCAAACTGCAATTAATAAAGCCAAATCCTCCAAGTTCTCTGGAATAATTTCTATACAATGCCCTGCACTCAGAAACCTTTCTTATAGTGGCTACAATCCCGTATCTTAAATATTTCAAGAACTCTCAGTCTGCTTCCCTCTGTCTCAACCCCTACCAAGAAATAGGCAGATTATTTTGCTAGGATGCTTTCTTCCTGCAATGATTGAACGATTCTTTTGTGTGAATACTATAGGGTCCAGTAGTGTAGTTTCTGGGAAGCTCTCCCATTGCTGTCCCTTCACGTGACACGCTGGGTCAGGTAAGCACCCTATTTCCTGACTATATTTCAGATGCCAGTTAAGGGTTCAGCATCTCTGGCCTGAGCTTTCTGAGAAGAGGAATTCCCTACACTAGAAATGAAGGACTTTTTTTACAGGAAGCAACCTGATGGCATTTTGCTGTTGACCCTGCCCTGGAACTACAATGATTCTCAAAGTGGAAAAGAGCCCTCTTCTCCCTAATCAAGCACTCTCTTGCCTGCTCACCCTCCAGCAGGTTTGGTTCTTGGTGTTTTGAAGGGGTGGAAAGACAACACTGATAAACAGAGACCTGGCCTCTAGTTCCAGCTCTGTTGCTAACCATGTGACTCTGGGCATGTTATTCAAAGACCTGGATCTCAATATTCTCCATTTTGAGCTTTCTTTCTGGGGTCTCATTCTCTTCCCCTTAGTGGTCCTTTAGGTTTTTAGGACAGAGCATCTCAGCCTCCCACCTGGTCTTGGCCTCATGGGCCTGGTGGTGTCCCTTCTCTTTGGCTTCTTTGGGTTGTGGCAGGGATATGGAAGTGAAGGGGAAACAGCTGGCCTGCCTTATGCATGTGGGCCGAATTTCTTGGCAAGTTGGAGAACGAGGAATACCTGTGTCCCTCATCTGACCAAAAGCTAAAAGTTGATTATGGTGGTCTCAGAAGTGGCAGCTGACAACAAAAAGCTGCATTCATTCATGTGCTACATCCCTTCATAAGGCTGAGACCGGTGTCTGACAGAGGCCCCTCAACATCGCTGGAGACTTCTATAACTCAGGGAATTCGTATCTATTGCATATAGCAAGAAGTATTCATCCTTGAGGCTCTGCTGGTTCAGGAACCACAAGGTTCATTGGCAGCAGCCTCTCCTGGATGCAGAAGGAAAGGAAATTCTGAGCATCGAGCCTTTGTAGGGTTTCAAAAATGGAGTTCATCACTGCCTCTTTTTAGGGGGAACTATGTGTAGGTATTTCTCAGGTGGCTTAGACATCCCAAGGAACAGAGTTGGGGAAATACTGACCCAGAGATACCAAAAAGCACAAAACCAAACTCTCACTTTTTATAATTTCAAATAAAAACCCACGGGCCAATCTATTTTCACAAATCCTATCTATCTAGTCTGCTGCCTCGTAGACACATGTAGGACAGCATTTCTTAAACTTTTAAAGCCACTGGCATCTTTGTAAATGAAACCTAAAAAATATACATAGACACAGTCTCAGGGAACCTTGTGGATCACTAACAATCTCAGGATAAGCATGAGTTTCATGTTTGGAATCCCGACCTTTAGGCCACACTATCTTTTGCAGAGAATTCTTACAAGATTGAGAAGCATTGGCATAGCTGCCCATTCCTCTTACCTGCTTTCCATCTCTTCTTAAAATAGAGCAGGAGTGAATGGGTATCATCTCCATCGGCTGTATTCTTGACACGGCATCCTCAGCGGAACTTGGTTTGCTGGGCAGGACTCTTCTACCTCTTCACTGCCAATGCCATAGCAGTGGCCTTTGTCACTTAAAAGGTTTTGGGCAGTAAGGTGTCCTCCTATATCCATCCCTTGCTGCCACTTTTCCTATGCCTGGGAAGTCTAACAGATTGGCTTCATTGACATGCACCCCCAAGTCCCATGAAAATCTTAGGAAAGACCTTTCCACGATTGCCTATAACCTCCCAGGGCTATAATTAAAAGGGACATCATGGGTTAGAAATTTGGTGGTAGGTGAAGTCTTCCTGTGAGTGGAATTCTATAGGCGGAAATAAGCTCTTTGATGTAGAAAGCAAACAAATGTCATAGCTTTCTCAGAACAGCTAAAGACTTGGTAAAAATAAAATTTTATCAAGTCTCTAGTTGACTTAAATCTCTTTAGTGATTCCCTTACCTCTTAGGGAAAAGCCCAAACTCTATTATATGGTATATGAGGCCTTCTGCAAGGTGGCCTTGCCTCTTGCACCCAGCCCTTCAAAGGTTGTTCCACTATAATCTTTTTTCTACTAAATTTAAAAAAAATTTTCTTTAAACTTTTTTGGATGTATTGTGCCATCCTTTGCCCCTAGGTCTCTGCAGGTGCAAAGGTCCTCTGCCTGGAAAGTGAGGCCTGCCCCTTCTTATCCCATATTTTAGGTTGCAGCTTTTGCCTGTTTGCCCCTTTCTCTGACTGGATAAGATGCCTCAGCAATGTGCTCCCAAACACTCCAGATTTCTTTGATCATAGCACTTAACTTCATTTCTTAGAGGATATTCAGTTGCCTCTTCAACCAAGATCTATTCCTTTCCACATCTTCAGTGTTTCCACCTCATATAGCCTGTCTCAACCTGCATTATGCATAGCACCAATGAAAAGCAAATTCTGTCTTCAAATAAATTTGGGGAACACTGTGTCACCTCCTGGAAACATAATTCATAGCTCATAAAAGACTGAGAAATCCTGTATAGAGAAGAAAAATTACCCAAATTCTAAGTTTATTAGGCTGTGGAACAGTTTTTCCACAACATCTTGAAGAGCAGAGTTTGGGAAACATTGACCCAGAGGTACCAAAATGCATAAAGGCAAGTTTTCATATTTTATAACCTTAGAATAAAAACCCATGGGCCAGTCTATTTTCAAAAGTCCTACTTAAGTAGCAGTCACTATTTTCTCCTATTACAAGGAAATGACTTTCTCTACCTGAATTTCTCAAAATTACGTTTGGGGCAGAGTAAACAAAACTGAAAATTACTTTTTCTTTCTGGAGCACGATCATAAAACAATCTTCTTGAATCAGTCACCATGGAGATATCAATTTAACCTGTTATTTTATGGGCTGTTTCTGGTTTAACAACCTCTATGGTTCATCGTTTCTGGTTTAACAACCTCTATGGTTCATCTACATAATCAGCTACTATTGGATAGAGAAAAAATCTGTCTTTTCAGAAATTCCCTCAGAACACTTACTATAAAGAGGTGCTGTTCCATGTCCGCCACATCTAGGGTGACAGGTTGGATTATGTCCCTCCCTAAGAGATGTTGGACTCATAACCTCAAGTACCTCAGGATGCGAACTTATTTGGTGATAGGCTTTATAGAGGTAATTAAGTTGAAGTGGAGTAACTAGGATGAGCCTCAGTAGTATGACTGGTATCCTAAAATGGAGAAATTTGGACACAGACATGCAGGAAAAATGTCGTGTGAACATGAAAATAGCCATCTACAGAAAAGGAGAGAGGCTTAGGAGAGATTCTTCCCTCAGAGTTCTCAGAAGGAACCAACCCTGCCAACACCCTGATTTTGGACTTCCAACCTCCAGAGCTGCGAGACAATACATTTCTGTTGTGTCTGCCACTCGATTTATGGTACTTTGTTCCAGCAGTGCTAGAAAATGAATACACTAGTCCCCTCTGATCTGTGGTTTCACTTTCTGCTGTTTCTGTTACCCATAGTACAGTACAATAAGATATATAGAGACAGAGAGATCACATTCATAAAACTTTTATTATAGTACATTGTTATATTCTATTATTGTTGTTAATCTCTTACTGTGCCTAATTTGCCTAATTTATAAATTAAACTTTTTCATAGGTATGCGTATTAGTCCATTTTCACGCTGCTGATAAAGACATACCTGAGACTGTGTCATTTATAAAGAAAAGAGGTTTAATTGACTCACAGTTCCACGTGGCTGGGAAGGCCTCACAATCATGGCGAAGGCAAGGAGGAGCAAGTCACATCTTACGTGGTGTCAGGGAAGAGAGAAATGAGAACCAAACAAAAGGGGTTTCCCCTTATAAAACCGTCAGATCTTGTAAGACTTATTCACTACCATGATAACAGTATGGGGGAAACGGCTCCCATGATTCAATTATCTCCTACCAGGTCCCTCTCACAAGGTGGAAATTATGCGAGCTACAATTCAAGATGAGATTTGAGTGAGGACACAGCCAAACCGTATCAGCATGTACGTATAAGAAAAATCATGGCCAGGCGTGGTGGCTCACGCCTGTAATCCCAACACTTTGGGAGGCCGAGGTGGGCAGATCACGAGGTCAGGAGATCCAGACCATCCTGGCTAACAAGGTGAAACTCTGTCTCTACTAAAAACAAAAAATTAGCCTGGCGTGGTGGCAGGCGCCTGTAGTCCCAGCTACTTGGGAGGCTGAGGCCAGAGAATGGCGTGAACCCGGGAGGCGGAGCTTGCAGTGAGCCGAGATTGCGCCACTGCACTCCAGCCTGGGTGACGAGTGAGACTCCGTCTCAAAAAAAAAAAAAAAAAAAAAAAAGGAAAAATCATAGTATTTGTAGGATTCAGTACTATCCACAGTTTCAGGATTCCACTGGGGGATCTTGGGACAGGTTGCCCAAGAATAAAGGTGGCCTGCCGTACATCTAATGAGTACCAGTGAGACCTAGGCTAGGTCCCCTCTAAAGTGCTGCTTCTCTAGTCCCTAGCTTCAATATTCTGTACTGTGGTCCCTAACAGAATAATGATTGCTGGTATTTATTGGGTGCTCTGCTAAGCGCTGTTCTGAGTTTTACAAGTAGTAACTTGTCTAATCGTCACAATAATACTGTGAGGTTGCTGCTGTTATTCTCATTTTATGGACGAGAATGTCAAAGAATGGAGAAGTTGGGTAACCTGCCCCAGGTGAAGTAAGTTAGTAAACAGCAGTTCCTAGATTTGAGCGGGGCCCTCAGGGTTTTGAATGCAGACATGTAATTGCAACATGATTCGGCTGATCATGTAGCCAGGGTGTGGGGTTTATAAAATAGACGTGAATAAAAAAAAGGGGCAGGATGACAGTGAAGCTTGCTCATGGGTTTTGTGGAGGGCGTAGATTGGAACCAAAAAGCACGCCTCGGCTTGGTGCTCCCTGTCGCCCTCTGTTGACATGGGGAGAGAAGAGCGGGTCTGACTCGGAAATGACGCCATAATGCTGAGGAACCACTCCTGGCGTTGCGGAAGGTGGGGTGTGGGGCCGGAAGACCCTCCCCCCGCGTCTTCAGAGGAGCGCTGTTTCTGGAGGAGTTAGGGGAAGGAGGCTGCCTGGTAAGCCAGGAAAGGGGCTTCTGGCCGTTCTGTTGGAGCGCCTCTGACTGACTTCCCCCATGTGTCCGTGTGGCCACACCGTGCTACTTTCAGAGGCAGTGGGCTTTTCGCTAAGGGATAAAAAGAAGTAAAACCTTGCCTTTAGCGCAGCTCTCCTTCACTGGGCAGATTGCTCTCCCTCCCCACTCTCCCAGGCCCAAATTGGATCTCAGCGCCTGGGAGCTCCAACTTTAGCAAGTGCGAAATCCTGTCTTCGGTTTTGGAATTTTCATCCGCACAGACTATATCAGCCACGGATAGGATATGTGAGAATACCAGCATGTCAAGGCTGGGAATCATCCTTAGGCATCACCTAGCCAGTCCTGCCTCTCATTTTAAGGTAAGAATAGGCATTTAACATTGTAAGATGATGTAGTGGGTTCTGTTGGCATCACTTAGATGCCCAGGAAATGTGTATTCTTCCATCGATTTCTCGATTGTTCACTGTTTGGCTGCGTTAGTCCACGGAGAATTGTCCTGGCCAACAGGCACCCCTCTTCACTTGGGAAGGTTTATTTCCCTCTTCCATCCCTCCTCAGCCCCTCAGCTTATAGCCTGTAGCCATTGACTGGTTGGTAAGGGGGTACAAAATGTCAGCCCCCTTGCTCCTAGATGGAACCAACTCTGTGGTACGATTGAAGCTCCCTGTGAGATCTGGCTGAGGCTTCTGCTGAGACCACATTCGTGCTCAGCTTGCTTCCTCTGCCCTATCTGCTGGCTGCCCCATTCCCTTTTTCCCTGAGAGTAATAATCCCTCAAAGAATTTCTGAGACAAGAATCCCCGTCTCAGGCTCTGCTTTTAGGGAATCTGACTTAAGACGGAAAACTTGCTGAATAAATTAATGAAGACCCAGGATTTTTCTCTGGAGAATGAAAACTGACAGTACATTTGCTTCAGCTTTGGTCACCTGTACCTACATTAAGGAGGTGAATTTAGGCAAATAACATCATAGGCTTATAATTATGATTAACAAATTGAAGTGGACAAATACAGATATTTTTGGCATTATTTTATTACCAAGTCTAGATCAGTTGTTTAAAAAGCATAGTAGAATGACACTATTTAAAATAGTGTCAGTCTTCCATATACTGTCATTCTACCATGCTTTTAAAACAACTGATCTAGACTTGGGAATAAAATAGTTCTTTAGTTCTGAGGTCCTTTATTTGTTCTGTCTCAATTTGGAGCTGCAGTAGCCAATATGGACTCAGATTCACAACTGATCATTTTCCCTGAAGTTGTCCTTTTCCGTTCACTATGCTCTTTGAGGGACAGTATCTATACCGTGTTAATCATCTTTGTATTGTTCCCTGTGGTGTTTAGCACAAAAGATTGTGAATTGTAGATGTTCAAAATCCATCAAAGATATTGAATCACAGCTGATTCCGAGTTGAATCAGCTCTCCTAAAAATATTTTTCTTGATATATTTAGAAGATAAACTTTTGGGGATAAATATATCCATGAGAACTATATCTAGGCTTTTTAAACAAAATTGCTGAATACATCTAACGATAATTTAAACATTTGCTTAAAAGAACTTATTAGCATGGGCTGTTTTTTTTTATTTTTTATTTTATTATTATTATACTTTAAGTTTTAGGGTACATGTGCACAATGTGCAAGTTAGTTACATATGTATACATGTGCCATGCTGGTGTGCTGCACCCATTAACTCGTCATTTAGCATTAGGTATATCTCCTAATGCTATCCCTCCCGCCTCCCCCAACCCCACAACAGTCCCCAGAGTGTGATGTTCCCCTTCCTGTGTCCATGTGTTCTCATTGTTCAGTTCCCACCTATGAGTGAGAATATGCGGTGTTTGGTTTTTTGTTCTTGCGATAGTTTACTGCGAATGATGATTTCCAATTTCATCCATGTCCTTACAAAGGACATGAACTCATCATTTTTTATGGCTGCATAGTATTCCATGGTGTACATGTGCCACACTTTCTTAATCCAGTCTATCATTGTTGGACATTTGGGTTGGTTCCAAGTCTTTGCTATTGTGAATAGAGCTGCAATAAACATACGTGTGCATGTGTGTTTATAGCAGCATGATTTATAGTCCTTTGGGTATATACCCAGTAATGGGATGGCTGGGTCAAATGGTATTTCTAGTTCTAGATCCTTGAGGAATCTCCACACTGACTTCCACAATGGTTGAACTAGTTTACAGTCCCACCAACAGTGTAAAAGTGTTCCTATTTCTCCACATCTTCTCCAGCACCTGTTGTTTCCTGACTTTTTAATGATTGCCATTCTAACTGGTGTGAGATGGTATCTCATTGTGGTTTTGATTTGCATTTCTCTGATGGCCAGTGATGATGAGCATTTTTTCTTGTGTATTTTGGCTGCATAAATGTCTTTTTTTGAGAAGTGTCTGTTTGTATCCTTTGCCCACTTGTTGATGGGGTTGTTTTTTTCTTACACGTTTGTTTGAGTTCATTGTAGATTCTGGATATTAGCCCTTTGTCAGATGAGTAGATTGCAAAAATTTTCTCCCATTCTGTGGGTTGCCTGTTCATTCTGATGGTAGTTTCTTTTGCTGTGCAGAAGCTCTTTAGTTTAATTAGATCAGCATGGGCTGTTTTGAACTTGAGTTGCCTTATCTATCTATGATCGTTTTTGTGATACACGAAGATGCATACTTCCCCACCCCAGAATTTCACAGAAAACAACCAGCCACACATTTTGAGGTGCAGATAGCTTGCTTTATTTTGTTGTTACTATCTCAAGGAGGTCCAACAATTATAACTAACAATTGAATTTATACTTGCATGAAAAGAACTACATCAAATTGACATTTTGGGCAATTAGTAATATTGTTTAAAATTTAACAACAGCTTTATTTTGTTGTTGTTCTTTACTTTTTGCTGTGGCTCATTGCTTAGGTGCCCAGGTTTTTCAGGTGCAATTAAAATTTAGAACTACCACACAAAGGCATTGGCTGCACTCTGGGACCTCCAAGAGTTGGCACTGCTCTGGCATAGGAATACTTGAATAGCTTGGTTAAATGAAGGGATGGCCAGGAGATGTTACTTTTCCAAGCTATTCAGGCACTCCTTATGTCAGAGACAGCGTAAAATGAGCGAACAAAGTGTTGGCCGTTACACTTTGCTCTGGTAATATTTGTCATGATAATTTTGTGTGACATCATCAGAGAAAATGTAAGACGTTAAAGTGTTGCTTACAGGAGGGTAAATGCAAACATCACCAATGCCTTACATTTCTGATTCAGTAGGTATTGGTGCACATATCAAGTGATATGCACAGCATCATTCTCTTTTAGGTGGACAGGACATCTTCAATGGGGATTTTCTCAACCCACTGAGGCATACTTAGACATCAACAGTATGTTGAGGCACAAAGATTGATTAAATGTTGAGCAGGGTATTCGTTCCATAAGAAACTTTCTCCTACCAACAGTTAGTTTCAAAACTTACATTGTAAAATGTCATAAAATAAATGGTACAAAACTTTATAACCGTTAATCCGGCTATATACAGTATGTACATGTCACTAGCAAATGTATTATATTCTTAGGTCAACAATTATGAAAAGATTGAAATGAATATTTTTGAACTTTGACTCATTTAGGTTGATACAAAACTACTTTTTTTTCTTTAAATATTTACAGTTCAGAAAGATTAGTCCGTGTGAAACGTTTGCGAAAAGTTAAGAATGAGTGTAGAGTATAAGGGCACAGGCCCTCTTAAATGGATCGAATATGTATATTCACAGTGGCAGAGTCAGATCCAAATTCATTCCCTAAACTCAGGGTATAAAGTCCACCATCTTGTTTCTGTACGTCCATGATGATCAGGGTTGTCAGGTCATCTGTGTTTTCAATGTGGAACCTCCCCTGTTCTTGACTGTGGATTTTTCTTCCACCACAGGACCATGTTACTTCTGGGGTAGGCTCACCCGTGAAAGCACAGGCTACTGTTAGAACTTTGCCTTCATCAATGCTGATATCAGATGGAAGAGCTTCAATTTTAGGCGGAATTCCTTTATGGAACAATGACAAAAAAAAGGTCTTAGAATCACTGAAAAAAATAAAGATTTGCTTTCTACTGAATTGTGTGTACTAAAGACTACACCATGTTACTTGGCTTGTCTACCTCTACCAGTAATTTTATTGCTCACCTCTTATGCCTGCTTTAAGCATTTTACTAGTTGAGCTTTCCAGTTGTGTCATATTAGATATTCCCATAAAGCTGCTGGAACTCATTTCTACAAAGGACTCTTGCATGGAGGACATGCTTTGGGCAGACATGCTTGCAAATTTCATCTCAGTCATGCTGCTAGCACTGCTGCTGCTGAAACTGCTGAAGGAGGCCTCCTGCTTGGAGGCAGACATTTGGACTGACTGAGACGAGAAGCTTCCTTGCAAGCTTGTGTCACCACTTGTTCTCAATACTACCTCTCTGGAAGGTTCTTCAACTAGAGCTGTGGAGCATAGCAGATACACAGTGAACATCAATGACATCTGGTTAATTGATGACATATGACGCTGACTTACAGAAATGGAAACTTCAACACACACACAGCAGCATAACCCAAACAATTTGCTGTTGAAGCATAAGCAAATACATATATACATACATTTGTCAAGAGCTAGCTCAATGTCTCCAAAACATGAATCCTTATATTTCTATCATTACATTACATGCAGGTGCTAGGAATCACTAGGAGAAAAATGATTAGTCATATAGAAAGTAATTGACATATTGTGCATCCTGCAAATAAATGTTACACGGCAGTTGGTAGCTTTACTTTGAAATGTAATCTATCCAAGTTTCTGTGTAGCTATAAAGAAAGTTTGACTACAAGAATGAATTCACATCAGTTGGCTGTCCCTCTTTCACATGGAATTTAATAAGGCTTCTTAGAGTTTTCTGTGCTTGAAAGAGAGGCAAAAAAACGATCTAAAGGCCTTAAACATGTAAGGAAGAAGGGTGAGGAGATACTTACGAAGGACCATTAAGGAAGCTGTAGCTGAACACTGGCCACGGAAATTTTTGGCCTTAATTGTGTACTTTCCACTGTCGCTGACTGATGCATTTCGGATTTCAAGGGAGTATACATTTCTGGAGCGGCTTATGCTGACATTTGAAGAAATAGAAATCTAAGACAAAGGAAAAAGAAAAGAAATGTTGAAGTTCTTCAGATGTGGAAGACATGGTATTTTAGTTTTTCTTCAATAATATATTCATAATTAAACTTACTGGCAGGTTGTTTTTAAACCATTCGATTTCAGGGGATGGCTCGCCACTGATTTCACAAGTAAAGAGAACATTTTGTCCTTCATTAATATTTTGAGATCTAGGCTGTGAGATGAAGGCTGGAGCATCTGAGAGTTCTTTGCTCAGTGTCAAATCATACTGACACTTGACGATTCCTTCCTTGGTTTTGCTTATGCAGGTGAGGATTCCTTCATCTCTGTGACTGGCTTGCTTGATGGTTAGGGTCTGATCGCTGCCTGAGACACCATATCGGTACTCCTCAGAGTTGGTAAGCTCTACGCCATTCAGTACCCATTTCACATCAGTGGCACCAGCAATGTTGGCTTTTAAAACCAGTCTTTGACCTTCGTTTATGCTCATCTGAGTAGAAAATGCTTTAATCTCAGCATGAGTTCTGACTTCTTCTGATGCCTGTGATGTTTTAGTGATTTCCTCATGGACAATGGATTTTTCCAGGGAGGTTGCTGCTGATTTCTTGACTTCTTCAGAAATCAGAACCTTTGAAGCTTCCTCTTTGAGGGCTAACTTTTCTTGAGATTTTGCCTCTGACATCTTAATTTCTTCAGACCTTAGGGCTTTTTGGGAAATTTCCTCTTGGACAACAGCTTTCTTCTGAGGTGTAATTTCAGAAGTCTTTTGTGTAGAGACTTTCTGTGCCTCAGTATCTTTTATAGCTAAAAAAGAAACCTCTGTAAGGCAAACTTAATTAGAAAGAGACCCCCACCTTTTACTCTTCTAGATTCTGCGTGTGAAAAACATAAAAAGAAAAAAAGTCAACTTCTTCATGCAATGTAGGTAATACCTAATACTTTCTCAGTTCCACTTTTGGAAAATTATCATGTGTGACTTTTGAGATCACTGTAATGATTCCTTAAACTAAACTGAGCCAAAGATGATTCATATGACTTAAGGAAAAAAGTCTTGAAAAGAATAGTCAACGGATTTAGGAGATAAGTGGATTTGGGAGATTTTGAGTAACCAAAACATTAAATTATCTTTCAGAAGATTGAAATGAAAGCAAACTAATTTTAATTGGTAAAATAGAAATAGTTCTTTAATTAACTTTGCACTGCTTTGGAAAATTAGCAACTGTGAAGGTTTAGGCAAGTAGTGCCATTTTGTATATTCACTGACTTTATTCTTAAATATTCCTGGGAGCAGGGGCTGACACTATGGAATCTTATATAATACCACATATAACTAGGTACTTAATAACTGCTTTTTATGCTCATAGAAAAGCATATGCTAACTTCAAATGTGTGTTTCTGCTTTGGTGTACAAATTGTATTCTGGAATTAGGAAAATAATTTTATTTTAATACTTTCTTGTATGTGTATATAAGGGGGGATGTTTGAAAATATTTCCCTAATATTATCTTCTGAAGAAATGTGGGTAAAAACAAAAGCCAACCTACCTTTTATTGTTAATTTGCAGCTAGAGGACACAGATCCAGCTGAATTTTTTACTGTACAAGTATAAAGTCCACTGTCAGAAGTATCAGTCTTATGAATTTCTAAGAAGAACCCTCCCTTGTCTTCAGAGAGTTTATATTTACCTCCTTGTGTAATGGCCTGTAGAATGCAAATGATTTGTGTTTTAAAAAGTGATTTCATTTTAAGCTTTTTTTGGGAAGCTGAATTTAGAAGATAAAATATTTTAGAAGATAAAAGAAAGAGACATTTAAGAACTGGTTACCTTTCCATCTTTTGTCCAGATGGCAGTTGGCCGGGGTTCTCCAGTAGCCTTAACTGCAAATTTAGCAACACTGTCTGAAGAAACAGTTGTATCCTGCAACCCAGTAACAATTACTGGTTTTGAGGAAATTGGTTCAGGAGCTTTTGGTTCAGTTTTTCTGGTTACTGTTGACTCAGTGGTTTTCTGATCTGATTTCTTAGTTTCTGATATTTTTGATACCTTCTCATGGATACTCTTAAAGGCTTGCCCCATAAATTGTAAGTTGGTTTTAGACGTTCCACCTTCACCAGAAATCTCACAAACATATTCTCCTTGATCAGATTCAGTGAGGTTATTGATTTTGAGCTCATAGGTACCATCTGCTGAATAATGAAACTGGAAATGCCCATTTTCCTTCAGTTTCTTGCCATCTTTATACCAGGTGACCTCTTTTGCCCTTAATACACTGCTTTCAACCACACAGGTCAGTTTTGCAATCTCTTTAGAAGCTTCTGCTTTCAGGAACTGAGTAATCTTTGGTGGGGCAGAGACTGGGAGGTGCTGAACTTTCTCTGTTGGTGTTGGTTTTGTCTCTGTGGGTGATACGGCTTTCGGGTGAGAAGGTTCTGGAGATTTCACTCGTTTTGGAGACTTAACTGCTTCTGGGGATTTCACCCGAGGCTCTGGGGATTTGACTCTTGGTGGTGATGTCACAGCCTTTTCAGTTACCCTGGCCTTTTGAATAGTCAGAGTGAACTCTGCTTCTTGTTTCCCTTCACTGTTTTCTACCACCACGCTGTAATTGCCCTCATCGGAAGCCTGGACTGAAGAGATCTCAAAGGTTGATTTGTACTTTGTGGTGGTCACTTGGTGGCGGGCAGAAGTACTTAGCACTTGTCCTTTACGCAGCCAGGTCACAGTTGGTACCGGCTCACCATCGGTGTCACAAGAAAACCTTGCAGACTCGCCCTCGTAGACGGTCATGGACCGTGGCTTTGTTAGAATTCTTGCTGCCAAAGTCGTCTTGATCTTTCTGGTTGTGGATTTTTCTTCCAGTGACTTTTCTTCTAATGCAGCACTTTTCATTTCTGCAGATGCAGAGTGTTCATATGAGGAGAGACTTTCCCTTGTCTCCGTCATCTGTGATTTCACTTCCCTGACAGAAGACGAAGCTTCCATCTCAGATGTTTTCTTAAATGATGAAACAGCATACGCCTCTGTTCTTGTCAGCTCAGGGAAAACAGATCTGGGGACCTCTTCATCTCTGCGTTGGGAAGCATAGGTGGTATAATCCCCTCCTGTCACGTCCAACGTTGCATAGTCAGAAGCTTCGCCCTTGTAGTTGGTGCACACAGCACGGTAGGTTCCACTGTCATCAGTATGACAGTCCAGAATTTCCAGGGTGAGGACTCCACTCGTGTTGGTGTAATGAATCTTACTGCTTTCTTGGAGTTCCACACCATTGTGGTACCATTTAACCTCGGCAGTTGGCTTAGACTGAACATTTAAAATAAAACGTGTATTTTGGCCACATGGTACCCTGTGCGAGCGCATTCTCAGTGTGATTCGAGGGGCATGGTCCAGTGTGAAAGGCTGCTGACTCAAAACTTCATACTTCCTTTCTGATGTCTTCTGAGTTTTTAAAGCAGCTTTCATGGACTCATACCTGGAAAAGATATCAAATCTTGCAGACCTCTCAAATCTCGAGAGTGATCTCTCACTAGACACAGGGCTGGGGGATCGTGGGCGAGTTCTCTCTGGAGTAGGTGACCTTCTTTCTGTGTCATCTTCGTATTCCTCAGCCGGTTGTGGACGTGACCGGATCAGCTCAGACACTGGCCTCATTAACTCAATATAAGTTGGAGACAGGGAGCGCCGTCGTCTCAGTAGTCTAGACGCAGATGAGGATGATTCTCTTTGAGCATGTTTTGAGATTTCGTATTCTTCCTCAATTTCTGTTATTTCTGTCACTTCTCTTTGTCGCCTTGATTTCTTTCTAGACTTTTCCTCCTTTGACATGAAGTCAAGTTCGCTTTTGTATTCTGAGAGATGCTGGGTGGTCGTAACTGGGCGAAGCAACTCTTCATCCTCCCTCTCAGCCATGATTCTTTGCCGTTGCTTTGGCTGTCTGTACGCAGCCTGGGCATGCCGTTCCCTCAGTTCTGCATAACTTGTACTAGCTTCAGCCTTCGTTGGGATGTGATAGGTTGAATACCTGAAGTCTTTTCTTGTTTCCTCCACCTTGACATGAGCTTGTGGTGAAGAGTAACGTAGGCTAGAAAGCTCAAAGTGTGGAGGGCTTCGACTTGGGGGTGAAGCTGAAAAACCTAACTCAAGCTCTTCTTCAAGACGCAGCCTCTCTTCCTCTGTTCTTTTCATTGCTAAGTAGTCATCAATGGGGAGGAGTAATTCTTCATCAGAGATGTCCCCAAGAGAACGTCTTCTAGGTCGGTAGTAAAAGTCATAATCAGGAGAAGGTGTACGCCGGCGGGCTGGTCTCACTATCTCAAGATCATCTTGGGACAGTTTAGGAATACGCCATTTAGGTCTGTATTGATCTGTAATGCGTGGAAGAGGCATCACATAGAACTGTTCCCATCTTGAAAGGCGGATGCGCTTGGGTCGTTTCTGTACAACTCTGTCAAGTTTCCCAGGCATTTCATACTGATCACGTATCTTTTTATACCACTTCATGTCAGACATGGGCACGAACTGCTTGATGCGTTGGTCTTCTTCTATGGTAGTCTGCTTATACTTGCGTGGCTCTGGTACATCATAAGGCATCCGGAGTTTTCTCTCCTCCTTCTTTTCTTCTATCTCAAGTCTGAATTCCCCTTTTACAGTCTTGGTGCTTACAGCCGGTTTATAAAGGACAGCAGCTTCTCTCAGAGCCTCTTTAGCTACCTGTGTCAGTGGTACACTTTCAGTTCCAGAAAGAATTTCAGCCATTCTGAGGGTTTTGTCAATTTGTTTTTGTACGTGTCGCTCATGCTCCTCCTTACTCTTGAATTCCTGTTTCTTGTACCTCAGGCGTTCCACTTGTAGGTGAGCCTGGCAGCTGGTGGACCCAGCTGTGTTAGTGGCTGTGACTCTATAATAACCCGTGTCTTCAGGCAAAGTGTCCCTGATGTGCAGAGCATAATAATCCAAGCCTTCATGGATAATTTCAATGTTAGGCCCGAGGGACAGTGGCTGACCATCTTTCTCCCATTTTAATGTTGGTGGGGGGATGCCAGACACTCTGATCTCAAAGCAGACACTTTGGCCTTCTTGGCATTCTGCATTTGCCAGTAACCTTTTGAACATGGGTCTTAAGGTACTATCTGTTGGAGGTGGGTGTAGGGTTACTGTCAGCTTTGCTTTACAGCTGTCTTCACCATATTTGTTCCTTGCCACAACAGTATATTCAGCGTCATCATCTGTAGTGACACTGTTGATTGTTAATTGGTAAAGACCCTTGTCTGACTCAAATGTGTACTTCTTGTCATTGTCACCTGGTTTGATTTTCTGACCTGATTTATACCATGTTACATGAGGCTCTGGGTGGACAGTTATAGTTACTCCAAACCGGACATTTTCACCTACATAAGCTGTCTTATTATAGAGAGGCAGGGTAAATTCTGGTGGCCTTTCCAGGAGTCTCATTGTGTCTGTTCTGCGCTTAATTTTCTTCATGGTTCTACGGCAGTAATAGTCATAGACTTCTCTCACACCTTTAACAAATAGCTCTGCATAAGAACTGTCTTCACCATAGTCATTGACTACTTTGCATCTGTAGGTACCATCATCTAATTTGGTAATGTCTTTGACATAGAGGATGGCCACTCCATCTTCGTAGGTGATTTCGTATTTCTCACTGTTCTCCAGCTGTCGGACGCCAAAGTACCAAGTCACTTGGGTAGACTGATCATAATTTTCAATTTTGCATACATATTTGACATGTCCTCCTTCTTCACCAACTGCATGCATTATCTGCCCAGAAACTGGGCCAATTTCAATGGATGCCACTTTAACTTTAGCAACACTCACTCCCTTCTGAGATCGAATTGCACCACCACAGGAGATCCGGGCTGCTGACACAACCATGTTGAGGTCTTTCTTGATCAGGGTGTGGTAATAACGCCGGTGTTTTAATGTTCTGATAACTTTAGTACTGACTCTTTCTATCTTCTGCTTCAACCATGGGTGCTGGAGAGCCTCCGATGCTGTCATGCGAGATTTCCTCTCTTTCACTAACAACCGGTCAACAAAATCCATGGCTTCAATGCTAATCTCTTTGAATGCTTCCTCATCGAAAGTATATTCAGCATTCATGATATTCTCAATGATCTGTTGGTTAGTTTCAGCCAGGAATGGGTTGATACCACTCAATAGCACATATACCAGTGTTCCAAGTGACCACATGTCTGTGGCTGTGCTGACAACATCATGCTGGTGGACTTCAGGTGCATAGTATTCTGGGGCAGTGAATAGAAGCCTGAAGTTGTCCCCTGGTTTCAGCTGACGGGCTTGACCAAATTCTATGATTTTAATGGTAGAGCTTCTTCTGGTTTGGTAAATGATATTTTCTGGTCTAATGTCAAAGTGTCCAATATTATGACTGTGTAAAAACTGAAGTGCTTCACAGACCTGGTGAACATAACTTACAATTTCTCTTTCATTAAGTTCAAAAGCACTTGTGTTAATGCGCTCAAATATGTCAAGTCCTGATATAAACTCAAAGATCATAACTAATTCTTCCATGCTTTCAAATGATTCATGGAGGTGTAAGATGTTTCTATGCCTAGCAATATTCAGAATGGAAATTTCCTTCTTTACCAAAACCTGATCAGTCCCTTTGACTTTAACAAATTTGGCCATGTATGTCTTCTTTGAGGATGTTTCAACACAACGATGGACAATTCCAAACTCACCACGCCCAAGATCTTCAGCAATCATATATTTCTCATAGAGTTCCTTGGTTGAAGAGTGAGATGCTTTAGTCATGGAGACTTCCCTGGTTTCATCTACCTCTTCATCATAGTTCATAGCTCTGGTCTTATCTTCTTTGGTTATGGTTGGTTCTGAAGGCTCTGAAGGCTTGCTCAGACCAAATTTATTTTCAGCTATTACCCGGAACTGGTAACTTGTTTTTCCAAATAAGTTGATCACGGTATAACGTGTTTCTCGGGCCTGTCCTACACGGAGCCATCTTTCTGCAGTAGTTGCACATTTTTCAACAATGTAGTTGGTGATTTTGCTGCCACCATCAGAGGCTGGCTCAGTCCATGTTAAGTTGACAGAATCTCGTGAGACATCACTAACTTTGACTCCTCTGGGTGGGTCAGGAACATCAGCCACATCCAGTTCAACTGTCTTCTGATCAATTCCAAATCTGTTTTTAGCACAGACCACATAGAAACCAGCATCTTTTCTCTCTACCCCATTGGGGAAAACAAGTGATGTGAAGGATCTTGTGACAATAACTTGGTAGTGGCCATTATTGTCAATGAGATCTTGTCCTTTCTGCCAGGTGATCACAGGATCTGGTTTGCCACTGAAAGGAATCTTGATGCTGACCACTTCACCTCGGAGAGCATGAACTGCTCCCATGCCTTCAAGAGTTTTAGGTAAGTGTATCTTAGCTGGAACTGTATCAGAAAAAAAAAAAAAAAGAATATAATTTAGCAACATCTAACAGTATGTGTTTAAGTGCAATAGCCTCCACCCCCAAGTTAATAACTCATTTAGCCTCAACTTGATGATAATTTATTTATTTTTACCTTCCACTTCCAAGGAGGCAGTGCCAGACACAGATCCCCCTTGGTTGGTAGCTCTGACTTGGTAAACTGTGGCATCATCATCTGTGACACTTGCAATGATGAGCTGGTGGTAGCCACCCTTAAATTCTTGAATCCTATATTTTAATCCATCTGCAATGATTTCTTTGCCTTGTCTGTACCATTTGACGATAGGTTTTGGATGACCAGTCACTTTGCAGACCAAGGTAGCATTGCTCTGATATCTGACATTTAGATTTCTCAGTTCCTCTTTAAAGTGTGGTGCCTGAATTGGGACATCAGATTTGGGAGTGATGGGTTCTGATATTTCACTCCATTCACTTTCCCCACCTAGATTTTCACATTTCACACGAAACTCGTATTCAAGACCTTCAATAAGGTTTTTCACTGAAAAGACAGTTTCTCGAATTTCTTCTGTTGTCACAGAAATCCATTTATTCTGCTTCTTCTCACGCTTCTCAAGGTAGTAATTTCTAATCTTTGCACCTCCATCACTGGCAGGTGGCTTCCAGGCCACAACACAAGAATCTTTTGTGACAGCAGTAATAGTTGGTTTGCCAGGAGCACCTGGCTTTTCTATTAAACAAAAAAAAGATTTGAGTCATGAGATGAAACAGGCAGCTTTATTAAAGCTTATTTTTTTAAAAAAGAATGTTATATGAGTCCAAAATTTTGTTAAAAAATAGCTATTCCAGAAAGATGAAATTGGTTACTTTATACTAAGACATATCAAAAACCAAAGTTCTATTTTTACAATGGGGTTAGGATATATATTTCTCCTTTTAGATATGCAAACATTCAATTAAAGTGAAAGAAAAGGCACTTGTACTTTATCTGAATCTTTGCTATTTCCTTTCAAAATTTCTTTCTGTTTAAAAGAATTTTATGCAAAGATGGAACTTTACCATAGGAAGATACAGAAATCAAGTTGTACTCACCAAATGGACTCTTAATGATCACAACTGAGGACACTTCTAGAGGGTCACTGATGCCGAAAGTGTTCTGAGCTGAAACCCGGAAGTAATAGCCAGCATTTTCTGTGAGGTTCACAATTCTACAGGTTGTCACTGAGATGGCTGAAGACACCAATTGCCATTCAGCCCCCTCCTTGGCCTCACATTTTTCCACCACATAGTTGGTGATCCAGGAGCCTCCGTCATCTGCGGGTGGTTTCCAGCTGATCACTGCGGAGTTCTTCAATAGAGCTTCGATCACAATTGGTCCTGTAGGTTTGTCTGGTTTATCTGTTGGGGGAAAATACAATTGTGGTGGTTTTCATAGTGTGTTTTTGAGATTTTTTTTTCTTTAAAAATAAAAAGCACTGAAAATAAAAATAAAATACCTTGTATTTCCACATCAAGGATGGCATCAACTGTTCCAAAAACATTGCTGAGCTGGACTTTGTATTTCCCAGCATGAGTCTTACGTTGGACATTCTTCATGACAAGATGAGTATAGTGCTCAGTGTTTTCAATAGTAATGTTTTCTGAGTTTTGCAAAAGTTTCTGACCATGGAACCAAGTCATGGCAGGTACTGGACGACCAATGTACATAACATGAAGCCGAAGTGTGGAACCCACAGCTCCATAATATTTCTCTTTCAGTGGGTAACCAGGATGGAACTGCGGTGTTGCTTGCAGGAGAAGCTTACTACTGGTTTCTACTTCTCCAACCTCATTGGTGGCTATGCAGGTATAAACACCTTCATCTTCCTGTTCCTCTGTCATTACTGTAAGAGTGTGTGTGCGTCCATCTGAAGACATTTTGTATTTCCGGCTTTGTATGAGCTCTTTACCAAATCTGTACCATTTAATGTCAGGAAGAGGCCTTCCAACAATCTGGCATGAGAGTTGAGCAGCTTCACCCAATTTTGTGGTAACATCCTTCATTTCTTTGCGTATTCCTGGGGCCTCTCCAGCTGAACAATATGAAAGATAATATTAAGTGACTGTTAATACTCAATCTGTAATCCTTTGTCCTTGTATATCAGGAATGAATTTACCTTATTTACTGACACATACCATGATTTACATATTAGCCTAATTCTTAAAAACTCTTTGAAGTGATTTTCCTAGGATCATATGGTAAATAGGGATTCAATGAGCACATCGTCACATTTTATGTAGAGTGTTTTTTTCTCTTTATGATTGGAAGGGGATTAATAATGTATAGGCTTTTAAGGGACTGTAAATTCTCTCTATAATTCTGTAGTATTCTTGCCCTTACTTAGGTTCATTGAAGTGGCATACAATTGTTGACCTTTCAAATCTTGTTGGGAAATATTTTTAAAAAGAAACCATTGCATTAGAGGGAATTACTCAAGGAAAGTGCTCAGTTCACTCCATCTAACATCTGCTGAGGTTGTGTGCTTGGAATGGTTTCCTGTAGAACTTGTCATATTTCCTGTGTGTGTACTTGCTTTTCTTTCTTAACACTTGCTCTCCAATAAAGCTTTCCAGGGTTCTACTTAGTATAGAGGGGGAATTAGCCTTAACTTGTTTAGTTTGTAAATCATAAGTAGAGAACCAAAGGCTACTTACATGTGAGTTTAGTCTTTATAGACATAGCAGTTCTGCGAGGTCTGCTCAGCCCAGTCTCATTCTCAGCAAAAACCCTGAATTCATACTCAGTAGCTTCCAGCAAACCTCCTATTGTGAATTGCTTGTCCTTAATACGTTCCTTATTGCTCTTCTTCCAGGCACTGTCTCCAGACTGTCTATATTCAACCCAGTATCCAAGAATTTCTTTACCACCATCACATTCAGGTTTCTCCCACTGTAGAGTGACACTATCTTTGGATATTGAAAGAATCTCAAGTTCTCCTGGTTGGCTTGGTTTATCTGAAATATTTTAAAATAATGAAAAGGGAGTCAGCTTTACTGGTGAAATAAAAGGACCAAACATGGCTTGCTTCTTTAATTTAACCCCTTCTTCTGAATTCCTTACCAAATGGATCTTTGCAAACAACTGGTTCAGAAGCAGGGCTGGTCTCACTCAGGCCAACATCATTCTGTGCGATGATGCGGAACTGATACTCAGCATCGGGAACAAGCCCTGTGACAGTGTACATTGTGGTGGTGATCTGAGTCTTGTTGTGTCTGACCCACTTGTCAGTGGATGTCTCTTTGCGTTCGATGTAGTAGCCTGTGACTCTAGAACCACCATCATCTTTGGGCCGGGACCAGGACAAGCTAACAGAACTCTTGGTTACATCGAGTACTTCTGGAGGATTGCTTGGAGGTTCTGGAGGATCTGTAAATATAAGTGGAAAGCACACATGTATTAGAATACAGTCCCAAGTATTATAAGCCAATGACTTTCATTTAAAAACAGAAAAGTGCTGAAATAATGTTTATAATTTTGTGGTTGAAAGGGCACTTACTCAATGGTGTTTTTGGTGTGACTGGTTCCTCAGATTTCAAGGGTTTGCTTATGCCAAACTGGTTTTCTGCTGAAACACGGAAATGGTATTCTACATTCTCTTTGAGGCCTTTTACCACCAGAGATGTACCTCGGACTCTGGAATCAATGGTATACCAGGCGGCTTTAGGCACTTCTCGTCTCTCGAGGATGTAGCCTAAGATGTCAGCACCACCATCATCAGCAGGAGGTCTCCAGCTGACCCTCACAGAGCGGACTTGGATGTCATCATATTCCAGTGGCCCTTCTGGACTGTTGGGACTTCCTATCACCCTGACCTTGATGTAGACAGCCTTCTTGCCACATTTATTTTCCAGAACCAGGTCATAAGTGCCAGAATCACCCCTGTCTGCTTCTTTGATCACAAGCTCAGTGTGTGTTTCAGATGTTGCAATCATGGCACGCTTACTAATATCCTGGCCTTCCTTGGTCCATTTACATATTGGGAATGGTTTTCCTTTGATTGGTATGGTAAGTCTGATGACGCCACCTTGCCTTACAAAGATACCTTCTTGGTATCTTTCATCAAGTTCATAATCAGGATATTCTGGAAAAAAAGGTAGGGTTTCAATTTAGCATTTGGGGTAGGGGGACTAAGAAATAAGTCTATGGCAATTATTGCAGAAAGCAAATGATCATATGTCTCACCAAGCATTTCAGTGACTTTGACTGTTCCTGGTACCTCAGCAGGCTCACCAGGTCCACCAGCATTACAAGCTAGGACGCGGAACCTGTATTCTGCACCCTGAGGTAGGTGTGTTAGAGTATACTCTCGAATCTTGGTTGGAGTGGTGTTACACTTGGTCCATTCATGTTGATCTACTTTTTGCATTTCAATCAAGTAGCCTGTGACTTTAGATCCTCCTTCATCTTCTGGAACACTCCAGGCCAGGGAGACTGATGTCCTTGTTGTATCAGTAACTCTTGGGTTTTGTGGCTTTCCTGGAGGAGCTGAGAATAAGAATAAGAATATACTGGTTAAAGTTGCTGCAAAGTTGAAAATTAGCTGTGCCACCTAACAAATTCAATGAGTTGTTGAAACGGACTGTTAACATTAGCCTGTTTTTTTGTCTTGTGAAAATTTTATTCATGGCTGGGTGTGGTGGCTCATGCCTGTAATCACAGCAAGTTGGGAGGCCAAGGTGGGCAGATACTTGAGGTCAGGAGTTAGTTCAAGACCAGCCTGGCCAACATGGTGAAACCGCGTCTCTACTAAAAACATAAAAATTAGCCATGCGTGGTGGCAGGCACCTGTAATCCCAGCTACTCAGGAGGCTGAGGCAGAAGAATTGCTTGAACCTGGGAGACAGAGGTTGCAGTGAGCCAAGATCATGCCACTGCACTCCAGCCTGGGTGACAGAGTGAGACTCTGTCTCAAAAAAACACAAAAAAACAAAAGAAAGAAAAAAGAAAATTTTATTCATTTTATCAGCTAAAAATACTTAACATTTTTTCACTTTCCTTTCTCTTAAATGTGCTTCATTTGTAATCACTATTATTATCTTACATTTATCAGCAGTTTTTAAAGTGCTTCCAGAAATATTAACTTGTTTTAAAATTTTAAGTGTGATAGAAAGCATATATTATGAATCTCATCTTAAAGAAGTGGAAATTGACTCCAGAGAAGAATATTAAAAATTATTTGCCAGAAATCGCTAGCAGCTGGGGTGGGGAAGGGACTGATTACAAACGGACACAAGGGAACTTTACGGGGTAATAAAAATATTCCACATTTTGATTGTGGTGGTGATTACAAAACAGTACATTTTTCAAAAGTCATAGAACTATATATTTCAAAAAGGTGAATTTTCCCACATATAAATTGTAACTCAATCAATTTGACTGATACAAAATGTCCTTACCAATTGGATCCATGGCAACGATGGGTTTGGAAGGACGACTTGGTTTCCCAGACCCTCTTGCATTAATGGCTGTGACACGGTGTTCATATTCTAAGCCTTCAGTAAGGCCAGTGGAGCGGTACCGTGTCATTGTCACAGGTACTTTATTTACACGGACCCATCGATCTGCTCTCACTTCTTTGCGCTCCACAATATATCCAGTCACTTGGGAGCCACCGTCATCCTCTGGTGGGTACCAAGTAAGTGTCATGCCATCACGGGAAACATCAAATATCTGTAATGTTTCTGGGGGTCCAGGAATACCTGCAGCAAGACAGAGGTTAACACGATATGGCAATATGAATACGTTAAAACAATGACTCATATATTTGTGTTTTCCTTAGGTTTTGGTTGGTATTTTAAAAGGTACATAAGGCACATGACTATTTTTCCAATAGTTTCACTTTTGTACTATTTGTAAATTTTAATTTAAATCATTTAATTATTTAATTATTTTTATTAAAAATTTTTGACTTTTAGCTTCAGGGGTACATGTGCAGTTTGTTACATGGGTATATTGCATGATGCTGAGGTTTAATTTTGTACTTTCCTTGCTGTTCCTCATTTTCTTCAATTCTACATTTATTAAGCATGCACTCTGTATTTTTTTCTCACTATAACATTGCCAGTCCTCCTTCCTTTCCTCTCTTCCTCCTTCCCTTCTCTCTTTTCTTCCTTCCATTCCTTTCTTCCTAACTCCCTCCTCTTCTCTTTCATAAGAGTGAAGATATTAAAAAAAAAATCAAGCCTAAGTGTGTTGAAAACCTCTGAGAAAAGGAGGTTTAGAAACCTGAGAAAAGGAGGTTTAGAAACCTTAGAAAGACCACAGGGTTAATTTTGTGACCTATTTTTATTTACATTAGGGCATATTAAAAACAAATTCTTTTTTGTTAACATTCAGAATCAGAGGTGGGGAGAGTGGTGGAAGGGCCTGTGGACTTACGGATGCTGCTGCGACACTCTATGACCTCAGACTGCAAGTAAGAGCCAATCCCGAAGCGGTTTGTTGCAGCCACACGGAACACATACTCATTTCCTTCGGTGAGTCTGGTAAACTTAAACGTGGACCTAGTCACTGATTCAGAAACGGGCAGCCATCCTGGACGATGAGCGTCACGTTGTTCTACCACATAACCACTCAGTGGAGCACCACCGTCCAATTCAGGTGGTTCCCAGGAAATGGTAATTGATGTAGCATCAATTTCATCAATCTTAATAGGTCCTGTTGGTGGACCAGGCTTGTCTATGAAAGAGAAGAAATACAGGAAATTAATTTTTACTTCAAATCAAAATTGGGTGACTGAACATCAACTTGCTTGTATCTTTGTCACACATCCTTACCAAGAATGATAACTTTAATGGTTTCTGAAGTAGTTCCGGTAACATTCTTCAATTCAAGTGTGTATTCTCCAGTATCTCTGATAGTGGTTTCACGGATGGTTAATTTAGCTACTTTAGTGTGAGTTTCAACTGTGACACGCTCTGATTCTCTCAGTTTAGAACCAGCAAAGAACCAGGAAGCAGCAGGAGGTGGACGGCCAGCAATAGGTATCACCAGCTCTACTGGTCTGCCAGCTGGGACATGGATGGTCTTCTGAGGCATTGTAGAAAGATCGATTGTTGGCAACACTATGGGAAAGAAATCAGGCATTTATTCTTAAGCATTATTTTTATGGTAAATTGTTACGAATTCTGAATGTTTTCATTTTACTTTACTTTTTTTTTTTTTTTGGCTATTTGGTACATACCTCTGAGGTCTTGTACAGTCACGGCTGTGACAGTCTCTCTTGGTTCTGACACACCTTTCTCATTTTGTGCCCTTATTCTAAATAAGTATTGTTCACCTTCATTTAAGGAAGTAACAGTGTGCTCTAGGACTGTGGGTTTTAAGGTGACAACCTTCATCCATCTCTCTGTGCCAGCTTTGCAGGCCTCGAGAACATATCCAGTGAGTCGGCTACCACCATCGTAGAGTGGTTTTTCCCAGGCAAGGGTAACAGTGGATTTGGTGACATCGACCACTTCTAGCTTTGCAGGCACCAAAGGCACTTCTGAGACCAGTACTGCATCAGATGTTTCACAAGGTTCTCCAATGCCATAAATATTTTCTGGCAGCACTCTGAAATAGTACATGGTTCCTTCTACAAGTCCAGAAATTCTGTAAAGTGTCTTGCTGCATTTGGTAGTTACTGTTTTGAATGCTCTCATAGCAGCTTCACGCTTCTCAACGATGTAATTGTTGACTGGAGCTCCACCATCAATCGTGGGAATTTCCCAAGTTATAGTCACAGAATCTCTTGATACTTCCTTAACTTTCACTGAAGGACAGGGACCAGGAGTATCTGAAAAACAGAATGAAAGATTCATATTTCCTATTTGCCTGATAGCTTTTTTTTTCTTGGGGAAATATAATCAACATAGTTCCTTTCTAGAGAGGTGATCAATCATAGGTCAAGCTATATTGTTTTAGAGGATCTACTCATTGTATAGCCAATTTTAAGTAAAATGCTTACCATAGACTTTAACAAGGACTGTTGCTGATTTCTTGCCAGATTGGTTTTCAGCTTCAATTGTGTATTTTCCAGCATCGTACCGATTAACTTTGTCCACTATTAGCAATGAGTAGCTCTCAGTGGTGTCAATAATTGCCCGGCTTGCAAGGTCAATGCCCTGCTTGCTCCACGTTATGACAGGAGGTGGTCTTCCAGATACAGACACCATCAAGCGCAAGGAGGCCCCAGCCCTGATGGTCACAGTCTTCTTTAGATCATCTGCAAGCTCAAGATCTGGTATTTCTGGAAAGTTAATGACAAAATTTAATTAATTCATGGACAGGTGTGAGAAGAAAATAATTCACCTAAAAGCTTCTGTGATAAATACCTATTCTTTCCACGGGCTCAATTTCAGCAATTGATTCGCTGTATTCGCTCATACCCTTCACGTTCACGGCAGCAACTCTGAAGGAATATTTCTGGCCCATTTTAAGGTCTGGCACAGTGAATTCAGTATTTCTTATTGTGGCATTGGTATGCACTCGGTACCACTGATCAGTGTCCTTCTCTTGCATTTCCAGAACATATCCTACAATGTCAGTACCACCATCGTACATGGGTTTGGTCCATGCCAAACTAATGCTGTGTTTGGTGGTATCCACAACTCTTGGAGCAGAAGGTGGTCCAGGGGTATCTGTGGAATTTAAAAAGTGAGATGCAGATATTAGGCAAATAAGGAAATGTTGAGATTTGTATTTTTTGTTTTCAAGACTCACAAAGGCATTATTGCTCTTGTCCACACTCACCAAGATAATCTTTATTAACTGGGCTCCTGATATTATAGGACAGCACAGAGTGCCACATTATAATTTAATATTATTATCTTAAGAATTAAATTGCTTTAGGAAAGTAGATATTTCTTCCCTACTTCTTTGGCCAGCTTTACTGTGTGTTCTCTATTAGCTAAGCTCATTACTTAAAGTACCCATTCTTAGGGACTTTTCTTTAGTTGCTTATCTTTCACTGGGTTAGTATCACTTGCCACCAATACATTTCTAATGAATACAAGAATTGGTTTCCTTAGCTTCCCCAATTCAGTCCCAGTGACTATTCCTTTATAGTTCTTGGGCTCAGACTCTGTAAAAGGATTTGCCACTTATTTTTGAAGCTCTTGTCACAATTACTTTGTCAGTAACTTATGAAACCACTAGAAACTGTATGTTCCTGCTAAACCTCTTCTTAAAAGGAGTTTTGCCATTTTTCTTTTCAGTTATTACAGTACAATGCATTTTTCTCTAAGGAAAATTTATAAAATAGATTCTTTTCATATTGATAGAATATTTTTTCATTAATTGGAAAATGCTGTACAACTTTTAGCAATTCTAATTGCTAACTTAACAGATGTAATAGTTAAAATGTTCTCTGACTTAAGCTATATTTATGATCATGCAAATAAGCATGTGCTTTTCTAGACCATTCATAAATTCTAAAAATTCTTAGAGATTGTGTGTTGGAAAATTATCTGTCATATAGTTTTGAGGAGCATTGTATTTATGTATGATTCTTGGAGCTCACATGATGGTTCTCTGCATGAGATGAAGTTGGAAGCTTCGCTGGGCTCACTGTTACCAGCTGCATTCACTGCGGTCACCCGGAACTGGTAATCACAACCCTCCATCAGGCTGGTCACCTTCAGCCTGGTATCATACACCACATAGTCTTTGTTGACACGTGTCCAGCGCAGGCTCTTCTTCTCACGTTTGTCTACTAGGTAGTTGCTGATTTCATTGCCACCATCAGATTCAGGTTTTGTCCACTGAATGATGATATGCTCTTTGCCAGTCCCAACTTCTTCAGGTATGCCGGGTGGTGATGGAATAGCTGTTTATGAAAATAAGGATGATGAGAATTGCACAAAATTACTATTGATAAGACTGCCCTTCTCCCTTCTCCCCCTGATTCTATTACATTTCAACTGTCAAATTATTTAAAAGTGTTAATACTTACTGAATGAGTTTCTGGCTACAATTGGCTCTGATTCAACAGGCACACCAGGGCCATATTTGTTTACTGCCCTCACTCGGAATATGTACTCATTGTTCTTGATGAGCCTGGTAACGACATAGGATAGGGTTGGGCATTCGCCTTCAACAATCACCCAGTTGAGCCTGCTAGTCTCGCGTCTTTCCACGATGTAGTGAGTGATTTCTGCTCCTCCGTCTTCCTGCGGAAGGCTCCAGGCTAAAGTGCACTTCTCCTGTGTTACTCTGCTGACGGTGAGCTTTCCACATGGGCCAGGGGAATCTGAAACAGGTGTAATGACAAGCCATGATGAAGATCATTCTTTCTGCCCACACTGGAAAATGCTATATAAATGTGAGAACATTTGACATGCTTACCAAGCACTTTGACCATGACAGACACGGCCTTGGTCCCGCTGGCATTTTTCACTGTTAAAGTGTATTTTCCACTGTCACTTCTGTCACAGAACTTGATCACAGCAGTTGCTCGTTTGCCAGTATACTGCAAAGAGACTTTTTCACAGAGATCTAGCTCCTTGTCTCCTTTGGTCCAGATAATTTTGGGTTCAGGTTTGCCACCAACTGCAGCATCCAGAACAAGATCAGAACCTGCTCTGATGGTAACCAGATCACCGTGTAATCGGGCATCCAGTTCGGCTTTGGGTGGAGCTGTCAGTAGGCAAAACAGATATGAATGAATATCTGAGAGTTTATTTTCACATAAATTGAGATAATTTTAAAAAGGAGAATGTTGACTATTTCCTACCGTATTCATCTCGGCAAGTGACAGGGCCTGTAGATTCAGACCCTTTGCTAATTACGCCTGCTGCATTCTTGGCTAACACACGGAACTCATAAGTGTCTCCTTCACTGAGAGCAGTCACGGTGAAGAAATTGTCAGATACAATGGTGTAGTTGCACTTCAGCCAGCGACCATCTCCTACCTCACTGACTGGCTTACGCTCTATGATGTAGCCCACAACCTTGCTGCCTCCATCATACGCTGGGGCAGACCAAATCAGTGATACTGTTGATCTTGTGACATCTGTCACCTCTGGTCTGCCTGGTGCATCTGGAAGGGATGCAAAAATAAGGTTAAAATATACCACTCTGAGTTCTACTAGAATCAGTAATAATAAACAAATATGCCCTTAAATTGTGATACATACCAACTGGATTTTGAGCCATTATAGGTCTTGAAGCTTCGCTGGCCTTGCTAACACCTGCAGCATTGAGTGCATAAGTTCTGAACTGATATTCCAGTCCTTCTACTAAACCAGTTACTTTGTAGTTGCACTCTAAGCATGGCACTTTGTTTTCTTTCACCCAAAGAATTGTATTACGTTCTTTCTTCTCAACCCAGTAGCCAATGATTTTACTGCCACCATCGTGGTAGGGTTCTTCCCAACGAATAGACATGGCATTGGCAGACACATGGTAGACCTCAGGTCTGGTAGGAGCGCTTGGTGGGACTAAATATAAACAAAGGTATTAAGTATGAATACAATTTTATAAAATTCAGGGGAAACATTTAATAATAGAGACTTTGAAATAGGATTTTTATTTTTCTTACCAAATGGATGTTCAGCAATTATTGGTGCTGATTCTAGAGGTTTGCTGACACCAAATCTGTTCTCTGAACTGACACGGAAAGAATATTCCATGTATTTTGTGAGATGAGTGACTTTAATTTGAGTGCGCTTGACACTGGAATTGACAAGCTGCCAAGCTGTTGTACCCGATTCACGCTTTTCAACTATGTAATTAGTAATTTCAGTGCCTCCTCCATCTTTAGGTTCTCCCCATGACAGGACACACGATTCAGCTGAGACAGATGAGACCTCAATGGGGCCGGTTACTGGACCTGGCCTTCCAATGACCACAACTGTGACGCTAAATGTTTTAACACCAGCTGTATTTTCCAGGGTCAAGAAGTATCTTCCAGAGTCACCTCTCATGCTGTCCTTTACAGTCAGTGTGGTTCTGTCTTTTGTTGTTGTAATGCTCACTCGATCTGTCTCTTTAAGTCTCATTTCTTCCAGTTTCCATGTTACTTTGGGGGCAGGACGACCACTGATTGGTACGTCAATGGTAAATGGGCTTCCTGCTTTGCAAGTTATAAGCTGATTGGTAATTCCAGTGAGGTCAGCAGTGGGCTCGATTTGAGGCTCCTTAATGATGACAGAAGAGAAGGCTTCTCTGGGTTCACTATAGCCAGCATCATTCTTGGCCTTCACACGGAATTCATATTCAGTTTTCTCAACAAGACGCTCTACTGTGAAAGTTAGCTGTTTGGTGTGACCAGCTTCAACCCAGAAGTCAGATCCCTTTTGTCTCATTTCAAGCAGGTAGCCAGTGATCCGGCTGCCTCCATCGTGGTCAGGTTTAAGCCAAGCTAAGACTGCGGAGGATTTGCTAGTATCAACAACATCAAGTCTCCTAGGTGGAGCAGGCTGTTCTGTGGCTACAATTGGTTCTGGCATTTCATAGGGCTCACCAACACCATACTCATTTACTGCAGAAACACGGAAATAGTACGGAACACCTTCGGCCAGGTCATTGACCTTGAAGATCTGACGAGTGCATTTTTCACTGATAACCTGCCAACTACGGCGACTTGCCTCTCGTTTCTCTACCACATAATGATGGATTCGGGCACCACCGTCAAGAAGAGGGGCATCCCACATCAATGTAGCAGATCCCCGGGTCACATCTTTGAAGGTAATTGGGCCAGGTGGGCCTGGAGTGTCTAGCACTTTCACGGTGAATGTGATTGACTTACTACCACTGTTGTTTTCCACAGTAAGGGTATATTTCCCTGCATCATTTCTGTTGCAGTTTTCCACAGTGAGGGTGCTGAAGGAATCTGTTGTATGGATATCAGCCCGAAGGCTAAGGTTAGAGTCTGGTTTGCTCCACACAGCTGTAGGAGTAGGTCTACCTTGGTAGGCAATGAAGAGGCGAATACTGGCCCCAGCTCTAACAACATGAGTCTGTTTGAAGTTTGCATCTATGTCTAACTCAGGAGCTGTTAACCGGTCAACTGCTTTAATTGTGCCAGTCACTTCACAGCTGTCGCCTTTTCCAGCACCATTGATAGCACTAACTCGGAATTTGTATTCTTCACCTGCTTGTAGATCAGTGACTGTATATCTTGTTTTCACACATGCCTCTGCATTCACCTTGTGCCAGTCTCCTAAGTCGGCCTTACACATTTCAATAATATACCCAATTATTTCCATGCCACCATCAAACACTGGTTTGGACCATTCTAAGCTCACAGTTGTCTTTGATGTGTCTGTTACTTTGACCACTGTGGGAGGACCTGGTGGGTTGACGGGCTCTCTACATTTAATGAGTCTTGAGATGCCACTTGCAGGTCCAACTCCTGCAGCATTTTCAGCCATGACATGGAATTCATACTCATTGCCTTCTGTCAGACCAGTGACTTTGAATCTTGTTTCAGAGATTGGTCGTTTGCTGATCACTTTTACCCATCTTGTGCTTTTCTTTTCTCTTCTTTCAAGGATATACTGTTGAATTTCACTGCCACCATCTGATTCTGGCCTTGCCCATGTCAGGGTAATGCTGTTGCCTGTTATGTTGCTAGGTTCTGGAATGCCAGGGGCATCAGGAACAGCTGTAAAACAAAAACAAAACCCCAAATCAATTAGATGCATTTGCTTGGAAGGTTAAACTTTTGACATAGTACCGCTTAGTAAAAACGCAAACTTACTATATTGTATTTGAGCAACCACTGGATCAGAATCAAGTGGCCTGCCAACACCAAACTTGTTAACTGCAGAAACACGGAATTGGTATTCATTGCCGTTTATTAGTTTAATGGCAGTGTAACTTTGGGCTTCACATTTATCCTCAATTAGTGCCCAGGCAAGTCTGCTGGTTTCCCGTTTTTCAATGATGTAGTGGGTTATGGGAGCACAACCGTCATTGAGTGGGGCATCCCACCACAGAGTCATCTTCTCCCCAGTAATATTGGTGAATCTTATTGGCCCAACTACTTTTCCTGGTGTATCTATAAGAAAAAGTTTCTAGAGTTAGTTTCTTTTTCCTTGTCCATTAAAATACAACTAGGCATGTCTCTAATCCAAGTTCATAAATTGTAGCATTAAGAAGCTATTTTAAAAGTACCTTGTACTTTCACTTTAATTTCTGCTTTTGCAGAACCAGATGCATTTTTGGCTTCCACTGTGTATACACCACGATGGTCCCGAGTAGCATCTCTAACAAATAGGCTGGTGGATCCAAGTACGTCGGTTATTTCCATATTCATCCTCTTTTCGATTTCCACTCCATCTTTGAACCAAGTTACTCGAGGCACTGGTCTTCCTTGTACCAAAGCTTTAATTCTAAGGCTCTCTCCGGACTTAATAATGAGACCATCAAAGTATTCAGGGCCAAACTCTACTATTGGTGGAACTATAAAAGAAAGAGAAATACTATGTATTAGTTTGGCTTAATAAAGACATACATAAATATATATTTTTCAGTAGTGCCATATCACAAGGCCAGGAAGAGTAGTGACTTCTACTGTGCTACCAAAGCCTATTTTGAAAGTAGGATTGATAATTGAGAATTTGGACTATGGGGTTAAATATTTGCCTATTATTATTCCCTTTGTAATGCCTGTCATGTTTTTAATTTTGCATTGCTCTTTGTAAAAAGGAAAGTGAAACATTTACAGATCATGTACTTCCTAATACTGCTGCACAGTCACACAAGTTCTTTTAAGAGGCCATCAGCTGCATTCAAGCAAGGGGATGATTGTGTTGTTGGATGTATGTTGTATTTTAATAACTTCAGTAAAGATGGACACTTATTCTCGAGAACCTTTTCTTTATGTACTGTTAAGTGGCGAAAATTACAAAGCTAAAAACTCATTCCCACTTGCTGCATGCTCTTTATATGGGAATGGAGTGAAATAATAGAAAAAATAATTGATGCCAATTATTTTTTTCTTCTTTTCATCTGAAAGGTAGAAAGACATAATTCATCCACTTAGCAACCTTGGGTAATTTGTTTCTGTTACCATTTTACAGGCCAGGGGCCAAATGTGTTTTTTAAAAATGTGAATGCTCTTAGTCTCATTGGAAATAAGTTGTAAATGCTTACCATTTTCATCTCTTGTCATAATAATGCCAGAAGACTGTGAGGGCGGGCTTATAGTTCCAACAGCATTTCTTGCAATTATTCTGAACTCATAGCGATCCCCAGGACTGAGTCCTGTAACTGTGTACTGACATTCACTGACGTCAGTAAAGTTGCATCTCACCCAGCGTTCATTTCCTTGCCGTTTCTCAATGCTATAGCCCACAATCTTACTGCCTCCATCACGCAATGGTGGGTTCCATTTAAGTGTGATGGTTTCCCGGGTGACATCAATGTAGTCAGGAGTGCCAGGTGGGTCTAAAAAATTATAAGGAAGGTAAATGCATCATTACATTTGTAACCAGGTCTTAATCATCCATGGAAGAACAATACAATTATTCTATAATTTTAATAAATAAGTAAAATTTTTATAATAAGTAATTTATTCAATCTCCCAAACTCATATTGGTCATTAATTTCAACTTTCCATTTCATAGTCTTTAAAATGAACTTCAAATTAGTTTATTAGACTGACTTAAAATAATTCCTCTTGCTTTACATGACCAGTTCTCTAGTGACAAGAAGATATGTAAGAAGGTGATGCAGAGAAGAAAAGCATTCCTTGATATATTTGTTTCTAATATGTTCAATTGCTAAACTAAATGTATTTGAATAATAATCACTTACCTACTGGAGAAACAGCTAAGGTAAATTTGCTTGGGTCACTAGGTGAGCTTAGGCCAGCAGAATTTTCAGCATATACACGGAATTGGTAATCCAGACCTTCTACCAGTCCAGTGGCTCTATATTCTCTTCCAGAGATTGGTGATGTATTAACTTTTTGCCAGAGGATGCTATTTCTTTCTTTCTTTTCAACATGGAATCCAGTAACTTCTGAACCACCATCATAAACTGGAGCATCCCAAGTTAGTGACATGCCATCAGAAGTCACATTGTATATAACTGGCTTTCCTGGGGGACCAGGAATCCTGAACTGGTGTTTTGCCACAATAATGCTTGAGACAAGTGGTTGGCTGACTCCGTATCTGTTTTCTGCTCTCACTCTAAACTGGTACTCAGCATCTTTGACTAGATTAGGAACTTTGAAAGTCGTTCTGGCAACACTTGAACACACCATCTTCCAGTTAGTTTGTGAAGTTTCCCGCTTCTCGATGCTGTAACAAGTAATTTCTCCTCCTCCATTATCTTCAGGTACATCCCATGACAGGATGACACTATCAGCCTTGATTTCATCAAATCGAATGGGTCCTTTGGGCTTTGATGGTGGGCCAAGGGTGATGACTGTAATGGGGACTGCAATTCTACACACTGCATTATCAAGAATAACAGTGTATTTTCCTCCATGCTCCTTCTTGGCATTCTTAATACTCAAAGTAATTTTGTTTTCAGTTTTACTGAAGCGAACAAATTCACTTTCTTTCAGTGGCAAGCCATCTTTCAGCCAACTGATGGATGGTTTGGGTTTTCCCTTATAAGGTAATTCAAGGTGCACATTGTGCCCAATTCTCACAGTGACTTGTGCCCCAGGGATATCTGACAGGTCAACTTCAGGTGTAATAATAAGTTCTTTCACTGTAATTGGCCCAATAGTGACAGGATCACTCAGTCCTTTCTCATTTTTGGCAAACACTCTGAACTCCAGGACTGACTGCTCCTTAAGTTGGCTAACCTCAATTTCACATGTCTTACTTATGCCAGCGTGGGACCACGTCTGTTCACCTTTACCTTTCCTTTCTACAACATATTCTGTGATGACGCTACCACCATCAAAGTCAGGTTTGGTCCAGCTGAGGATGACAGATGTCTTTGTTGAGTCTTTCATTGAGAGATCACGTATAGGAGCTGGTACTTCAGCAGCCTTCACTGGCTCTGTAGTTTCACAGGGTTCCCCAATTCCAATTTCATTTTCTGCAAGAACTCTGAAGAAGAATGGAGTCTTCTCCGACAAATCTATTAGCTTGAAGGATGTGCTAGAACATTTGTGTGACACGACAGACCATGTTCTCTTGGTGGCATCTCTCTTTTCAATGACATAATTAATTATTGGAGATCCTCCATCAATGAGAGGAGGATCCCAGAGCAAAGTGACTGTGCCTCGAGAAACATGTTTAACCTGTAGTTTCTGGCAGGCAGCTGGTGTGTCAAGCACTTTAACACTCACAGTTGAAGACTTAGGTTCACCAACTCCATTTTCTATTGTGAGAATATATTTTCCTGTATCATTGCGAGTAACTTGAGGAATGGTGAGTAATGAGGATGAATCAGTGTTTTCAATGCTGTATCTGGCATCACTGCCAAGATTCTTCTCATCTTTTCTCCATGTGACAGTAGGTGGAGGTCTGCCTTTAAAGGGAATCAACACTTGTACATCTTCACCAGCTTTGGCAATAACAGAAGTTCTGAGAGCCACATCCAGGTCAATCTCTGGTGCCTCTGTAGACATAAAATGGATACATACAGTGAATTTTAAAAGCAAAAAAGAGTGATTTCCTGGAAGTATGCTTATTAAAAAACATAATCAAACCAGTAGGTACATACCAAGTATATCTTTAGCTTGTACAGGTTCATTCATTTCTATAGGTTCTCCTTGTCCAGCACAGTTTACAGCAGATACCCGGAAGTAGTAATTGACTCCAGGTTTCAGGTTGGATACCACATATTCTGTAGTTCTGACCTCTCCTTTGGTAGAGACAGTAGTCCATTCCTCTTCCTCTCCTTGTCTTATCTCGACAACATACCCAGTAACAGCACTGCCCCCATCATAGACAGGCTTACTCCAGCCAAGGGTGATGGATGACTTGGTTGAATCTGCGATTCTTATCTTAGCAGGTGGACCTGGAGGATCTGGAATGGCCATTCACAATAAAATAATTACACAATCATGTACAATTTAGTCACACAGGTGAATATAGAAGACACAGGTGAAGATGCTGCAGGTATGAGCACTTACCAATAGGATCAGCAGCTTTGTAGAATTCAGATGGTTCAGAAAATGGACCCTGTCCAGCAGCGTTTACAGCACAAACTCTGTATTGATAGTCACTGTTTTCTGTGAGTCCTGTTACTTTTTGTCTGGTGTCACGGATAGTCTCTTTTAGTACTTTAAACCATCCTAGGCTCTTCTTGTCTCGTTTTTCAAGGAAATAGCCACTTATATCACTACCGCCATCTGCAATTGGCCTGCTCCATACAACAGTCATCGAATTCTTGGTAATCTTTGTCACTTCTGGTATGCCTGGTGGCCCAGGTGTAACTATTTAGAAAGGAAGGGAAAACAAGGTACAAGAATCCACATTACTGATAAATTATACCTTTGATGTTCGCATTCTTTCCAAGAACATTGGTTTTATTTTTTATATTTTTCACCTTGTGAAAAGGATGGTAATGAGACAGGTGTTATATAAAAGAAAATTAAAGCATATGCACAGGTTAGCGTAGTTTATTTTTAAATTTTTCACGTTTCAGTTTTCTAATGAAATCATGTCTCACCAAATGCGTTCTTGGCTACAACGGAATCAGATTCCAGTGGCTCGCCAATTCCATATTTGTTCACGGCTCGGACCCGGAAGATGTATTCATTTCCTTTGATAATTTTGGTGGTTGTAATGATGCACTCTTCCAAATGTTCAGACACCATAGACCACACAACGCGGCTTGTCTCACGCTTTTCCACAATGTAGTGAGTGATTTTTGCACCACCATCATCAGCTGGAGGCCGCCAGAGAAGGGTGATCTTCTCAGCAGTTACAGTCTTAAATTCAATTGGTCCACCAGGTGGGCCTGGTTTGTCTATCAGTGAAAGGACAAAACACGATGTTAGTACTTCTTTAAAGCCTACTTGTTCAAAATTACTAAGCTTTAGGCAAATGTAATATGACAGTGGTCTGTATTCAGCACCTACCAAGGATCTGTACTCTGATGGTGGCTGAGGCTGAGCCCATGGCATTCCTTAGTTTTAATTCATAGCATCCACTATTAAGGCGATCGGCATCTTTGATGAGTATAGATGCGAGGTCCGTGGTATTTTCAACACACACCAGTGCATTGGTTTGTAATTCTTTATCATCTTTATACCACTCAATAGTAGGCGCAGGTTTGCCAGAAATGCCAGCTCTGAGCTTCACAGATGTACCTGCTCTGTATTTGACAACTTCTGTATATTCTAGAGGCAAATCAATTACAGGACCACCTGCAAGAAAAACAGATGAGAAATATTTAAAATATTATAAGGATGGAAAAAAAAATAGTTGCACCAACCTTAAAGTAAGGTCATTGGCCATTATTAAATTATACACACACACCATCATTATAATTCTATGCAATTATTATTTAAAAATTAAAAATTTATAGGCCACTCTTCTATCTCAGATGGGGTAGAAAGACTGTGAGTTGTGCAGGGACTTAAGCACCTTTTACATGTGTTTTAAAGTCCATTAGTTGCTTTATTCCAGTGAAGAAATGGGATATGGTAGTGAGAACATCATGGAAGAAGCTGTTAAAACATTTCCTTTCACTTTAGCTTTTCTTTCCTTTTCTTCTACGCACCTCCTATTCTTTTTCTTTTCCCATCCCAGTTCACTGATATCCAAGTGTGGATGGTTCATGTCAGACACTTAAAGTCTGAATTCTCTACCCACAGAGCTACATAATTACTGGACAGATTTTCTGCCATGCTGTTTGGAATTATCAAGAAAGATAACTAAATTCGACTTGCTTTATACTCTCATAAACACTGATTCAGTATCCACAAAGCCTGATTCATAAATAATGAACAGCCCTGAGATTCTCAGCATGAAGATGGAAGTGGATACTTTTGCCCAGACACTACAGTGGCTCAATTTTCTCTTAGCAAATGGAGATCTTTTAGGTAAAGTGTCACAGGATACCTGACTCTCATGACGTTTTAATTTTCAAAACATTGTTGAGTTGAATGTGCCACTTATTTTCCAGAATGGTGAAGAATACGCATTTTGGACTAACCATGATAGAGAGGGCTCTGAAGTCTGTCTGTCTGAATTCCCACTCCATCCCTAACGGGGAAGTTACAAAAGCACTCTCAGCCTCAGTTTCCCTTCTATAAGATGGCTAATATGAGGGCTGTGAGAACTAAGGGAAAGAATTCATGAAAATTCCTCAATAAATGTTAGCTGCTGCTAATACTATCATCATCAAAGTCTGTGTTTAGACCAGGCATGGTGGCTCACACCTGTAATCCCAACACTTTGGGAGGCCGAGGTGGGTGGATCACCTGAGGTCAGGAGGTTGAGACCTGCCTGGCCAACATGGTGAAACTCCGTCCCTACTAAAAATACAAAAAATTAGCTGGGTGTGGTGGGGCATGCCTGTAATCCCAGCTACTCAGGTGACTGAGGCACGAGAATCGTTTGAGCCCAGGAGGCGGAAGTTGCAGTGAACCAAGACCGTGCCACTGCACTACAGCCTGGGCGACAGAGTGAGACTCTGTCTCAAAACAAACAAACAAACAAACAAACAAAAAAAAAAAAACCAAAAAATGAAGTCTCTGTTTAGTCTGTGGCTTATTTAAGAGCAATATTCTCTAGGAACTCAACCATGGTTTAATTATTGACTCTGATAATTTAAAACAGAATGAAAGCACCAACTCATACAATCAATCATAAAAGGTTGAAGTTGGAAAGGCCCATAGATATCCTGAGGTCTAAATCTCTCACTTTACAGTCAAGTCAAGAGGGCTGGAAAGGTATTTAAGGAATTTTCCTCAGACTCCCAGCTAGTCCATAATTTCTTCCAAAAACCCCATTAAGGCACAGAGTAAAAGTTATTCTATAGGATTAGAACCAGGAAAAGGTATGCGGAAATACTGAGTTAAATAGCAATTTTGATTCAAAGTGCTAAGCATGCTTACCATAAGAATCGATGCAAGTAATGGGCCCTACAACCTCAGATGGATTGCTAATGGAACCAACAGCATTCCTAGCAAAGACACGGAATTCATACTGGGAATTCTGAGTCAAGCCAGAGATGATGAATTGAGTTTCAGTAACATTGGTGAAGCTGGCCTTGGTCCATCTGCCATCTGGAAGGTCACGTCTCTCAACAATGTAGCCTGTAATCTTGCTACCTCCATCGAAAGCTGGTTGTTGCCATGAAAGGCTGACAGAGTTCTTTGAAATATCAGTGATACGAACATTTCTTGGGGGTTCTGTGGTAATAAGAGAAGCAGATTAGCGGCACTTATAATATTTTGCTTCGCAGAAGTAAGATTTGCATTTTTGTTATCAGAACTGCCCTTCCCATGACAAATACGTACCACAAGCATCAATTGCCAAGACTGGTTCAGAAGGATGGCTAGGTTTTCCAACTCCAGCAGCATTTTCTGCATACACCCTGAATTCATAAATAAGTCCAGCACTGATTGTTGTGACTTTGAAGTGAGTTGTGCGGATGACCAGTTTGTTGGCTTTTTGCCATAAAATACTGTTTCTGTCTTTCATTTCCAGGTGATAGCCTACGACTGCACTGCCTCCATTTGACACTGGTTCATGCCAGCCCACAGTGATGCTTTCTCGAGTAACATTAGTGACCCATGGTGTAGATGGTGGTCCAGGTGTTGCTACAAAAGAGAGAAATCCTATAGATTAGTACAGACAATAACACATTTATGGTAAAAGAAAACCTGGATCTTTGAAAAGTTGGACAACTTACTGTATGGTAGTTTGACAGTCACACAAGCTGAATCTATATGATCACTGATGCCAAAGCGGTTTTCTGCCTTGATGCGGAATTGGTATTCTTCTCCTGTGGTCAGTTT
This sequence comes from Homo sapiens, assembly GCF_000001405.40. Taxonomy (NCBI): domain Eukaryota; kingdom Metazoa; phylum Chordata; class Mammalia; order Primates; family Hominidae; genus Homo; species Homo sapiens. The sequence continues at coordinate 178,557,754 of NC_000002.12, forward strand.
CATGACTTTCATCATGGTTCTTGCAACTGTTGCAGACACTTCAGTCCACACTGCAGTACTTGTTTCTCTTTTGAGTAGAATGTAGTTGGTAACTTGACTTCCACCGTCATACTTAGGTGGCTCCCATTTGAGAGTCACACTTTCTTCAGTTATATCACTAATAACAACAGGGCCAGTTGGAGGACCAGGCCTGTCTAGCACAACAATGTTAATGAAAGCTTTGGTTGTACCACTGGAGTTGGCAGCAGTGATTTCATATCTCCCAGCGTCAGCTGTAACACTTTCTTTGAGATTGATGGTCAGGTTCTCAGCAGTAATTTCGGTATTAAATCTCATGGTTGCCTTAAGGGGGACACCATCTCTTGATAAGGTCACTTTGGGAAGTGGTTTTCCAGAGATTGGAATGTCAACTTTAAGGTTTGAACCAGCTCTAACATATACAGTGTGACTTGGGAAATTCTTCATATCAATTTCAGGTGGTTCTGAAAAATGAGTATAGAAAGTGAAAGTGAAAAAGTGTTTCTGAAAATTAACATAAATCAATGCAAATAATTTCAAATTTTGCTTCTACACAAAATTAGACATACCTAGTTGCTCCTTAATAAGAACAGGAAGCAGAAGCTCTCTCGGGTCACTCAGGCCAGCTTGATTTTCAGCAAACACTCGGAAAAAGTATTCAGAATTCTCTCTCAGACCGGAAACAACGTGATGGGTTGACTTTGCCACTGCACATTTAACCCAGTTTTTCTGTCCTTTTTCTAGTGCTTCAACGACATAGTGTACAATTCTGCTTCCGCCATCATGTTCAGGCTTCAGCCAGGTCAGGGAAACACTGTCTTTGGATATACTTGTTACTCCAAGTTTTTCAGGTGGGCTTGGTTTTTCTAAGAAAACAAAGCATCAAAAGAAAGTGAATAATTATTACAGCACTTTTAAATGTGCACTCTTCATGTATTGTCAAAAGAAAACTTTTAAATGAAGGCCATATTTTTATGTTGATTTTAGTCTTCCTTTTTACATAACCCATTTTGCTTCTGAACCAACCAAGGCTCCCACAAGCTATGTCATTACATGCTATAGCATTCAAATCCAAATTAAGGGTAAAATGACCAGATTAAATGATAAAATTTACTCCAAATTCACCATGGGGATAAAAAAGAGGAACAAGATGAACAATCTTTTAAAAAACTTTATATACAATTTCTGTACACACGCACATACACACATATGATATATGTCATACACACATACTATATATATATAATCTGTGTATATATATATATAAACATGTATACCTACATATATATACAGTTAGATTCAATAATACTTAAATTCAACATATATTATCCAATTTTAGCTACGTAAATTTCTGTTTTTTTAATCAATGAAAGACTCTTCACTAGAGATTCCATTTTGTGCCATAGTATGAATAGTTTGGGGTGTGAAGGGTGTGAACCCAAAAGCATTTAAGATGAAATAACGACTAATTAGAATGACTCACACTATTCTAGCAAAATTAACGTGGATATGTAGAATTTCCTTATTCTTAAAACATACCTGTTATTTTTACTCCTTCCTTTGTTTCAGCTGGTATACCAACACCAAACTCATTTTCTCCAGAGACTCTGAAGTAATAGATAGCTCCTTCTTGTAAATTGGTAACTTTGTAGGAGAGGCGGTTACAGTTGTTGGTCACAGAGACCCATGCTTTCTTGCTGGCCTCACGTTTTTCTATGTGGTAATTCTTCACTGGTGCTCCACCATCGTTTTCAGGAACATCCCAGGATAACACTGCAGACTCTTTGGTTACATCTTGCACAGTAATGTTGGTTGGAGGACCTGGGGTATCTAAAACTTTGACAACTAAGGTCAGTGAAGCAGCACTCAAAACATTCTGAATTGTTAATGTGTACTTTCCAGAGTCATTTCTGTTGGCATTTTCAATGGTCAGTGATGTACGAGAGTCTGTGGTATCAACATAAGCTCTAGTACGGAGGTCAGTGTCTGGCTTACTCCACAAGACATTGGGTACTGGTCTTCCTCGGAAAGGCACAGTCATGGTAAATGAGGCACCAGCCTTGACAATCAAGGTCTTCCTCATTTCACTGTCAATATCAAATAAAGGTTCTTCTTCTCTTTCCTTTGCTATCTGAGGGTCAGAGCTATCACTGGGGTCACTAGCACCAACCTTATTGACAGATTTTACTCTGAAAACATATTCAGCTCCTGTTGTTAGTCCGCTTATTGTATATTCTGTCCCTCGTAAGCTCTGAATGGAAGTTTTCCAGTCAGTGTCATCAGATTTTTTGTATTCTACAGTATATCCAGTTATCGGGGCCCCACCATCAAACAGCGGCTTAACCCAGGCAATAGTTATAGTTGTCTTGCCTGAGTCCACAATTTTGGGTTTGGATGGAGGAGATGGTAGGAACACTGGATCTTCTGCCCTAATTAAGGGAGAGGTTTCACTTGGAAGACTTAGGCCAGCAGCATTTTCTGCATAAACACGATATTCATATTCACATCCTTCCCGAAGTCCTGTTGATTTCACTCTTAGATCATAAACTGGTTTTTTGTTTACACGCACCCATCTTAGGCTATTTTTCTCTCGCCTTTCAATTATATATCCAGATATTTCACTACCTCCATCACTCTCGGGTCTTGACCAGCAAAGTGTCATAGATTCTTTGGTCACAGAAGTAATTTCCAAAGACGTGGGTGGACTTGGAACTGTAAATGGATCTAGTGCCTTTATAGCTACACTCTCTAGGGGCTCACCAACACCATATTTATTAACACCAGTTACTCTAAATATATATTCATTGCCTTTGAGTAACTTGGTTACTTTACAGGATGTCATCTGTAACTCTCCTTCACATATTGTCCATGCAAGGTGGCTTGTTTCACGTTTTTCTACGATGTAATAGTCGATATCTGCACCACCATCTTCTTGGGGACGTCCCCAGGAAAGAGAGCATTTCTCAGCAGTGAGGCCATTTATTTCAAGTGGTCCTGCTGGTGGACCAGGCTTATCAAGTACTTTGCAATTAACGGCCACAGACCGAGTGCCGGCAACATTCTTCAGTGTTAGTACATATTGCCCAGTGTCTCGTCTTATACAGTCTTTAACTGTTAACAAAGTATGATTGTCTGTTGAGATGATTTCTGTTCTTGCTCTTTCTTCAATTTCTATACCATCCTTGGCCCAGGAAATTACTGGCAGAGGTCGCCCTGCAATGTCTGCATTTATCTTAAGGACCTCTCCAGCTTTGACAACAATAACGTCTCGGAACTTGACATCCATCATAACTCTTGGAGGCTCAACATCATCTTTAACTATAATAGGCCCAGTGGATTCAGATGGCTCACTAACTGAGTCAGCAGCATTCCTTGCAAAAACCCGGAATTCATAACGCTGATCTTCAGTAAGTTCAGTTACTTCAAAGTATGTTTCTTGTATATTAGTATAATTGCACTTCAGCCACCGGCCATCTGGTAGTTCTCTGCGTTCAACAATGTATCCTGTGATCTTAGCTCCACCATCATAATGTGGTTTAGACCATTTAAGTGACACTGATTTTCTTGTGATATTTGTGACTTCAGGTTGTCCAGGAGGGTCACAAGGATCTCTTGCAGGGACTGGTTCACAAGATTTACTGCATTTACCAATTCCAGCAATATTTTCAGCATATACACGATACTCATACATCAGTCCTTCATCAAGGCCGGAGACTTTCATTTGAGTATCAGCAATGAGGATTTTATTTGCTTTTGACCAAAGAATGCTGCTTCTTTCTTTATACTCAAGATGATAGCCAATTACTCGACTTCCTCCATCATTAACTGGCACTTGCCAGGTTACAAGCATGGTAGATTTTGTGGCATGCACAACTTTAGGAGTACCAGGAGGACCTGGGGGACTGAATGGATACTCTGCAACAACAGCTGAAGATTCACTGTAGGAGCTCTTTCCATAGCGGTTTTCTGCACAAACACGGAACTGATACTCACTTCCTGTTGTCAGGCGAACTATTTTAATGGATGTTCTTGCAACTGCTTGTGAAACTATGTGCCATGTTGTAGAGGTGGTTTCTTTCTTTTCAACAATGTAATTGCTAATTTGGCAGCCACCATCATATTCTGGAGGATTCCAAGAAATGGTTATGCTGTCACAACTAACCTCATCAATACGTATAGGACCTGGAGGTCCTGGTCTGTCAAGGACAATTATAGTAATAGGAACTGTTATGGATCCAGCACTGTTTGAAACACATAATTCATAAGTTCCAACATCTTCCTTTGAAGCTTCCTTAATAGATAGTGATGTTACAGTCTTTGAAGAAGAAACATTGACTCTAGTTGTCTCTTTAAGAGTCTGACCATCTTTTCTCCAGTTCACAGTAGCTTGAGGTCTTCCTTTGAATGGCACATCAATCTTAAGTTGTTCTCTAGCCTTTACATTGAAAGTATGGAAAGGAAGCTCAACTGAAGGCTTTATTTCAATATCCCTTGCAATTACTGGCACTCCAAGTTGTCTTGGATCACTTCTTCCCTTTTCGTTAACTGCAGCTACCCTGAAGACATACTCTTCTCCTGCAGTTAAGCCAGATATAGTTGCTTCTAGAGTCTTAACTTGTGTGCAGGTGCTCCACTTTTCACTCCCTTTAGTCTGCATTTCAACCACATAACCAGTAATTTTGCTGCCACCATCACTTTCTGGTTTCTCCCACTTAATTGTAGCTGTATTACGGGTCACATCAACAAGAGTTACTCTTCCAGGTGGGAGGGGTGGTTCAGACACTTTAACGGGTTCTGTTGTTTCAGCTGGCAAACCAATCCCATATTCATTGGAAGCCAAGACTCGGAAGTAGTAAGAACATCCTTCTTGTAGATTTTCAATTCTGAAAGTAGTTTTAGTGCAATTATTTGTAATGGTAGCATAGGCTTTTCTTGTAGTTTCTCGTTTTTCGACAATGTAGTTTGTAATCTTAGCTCCACCATCAATAAGTGGTGGTTCCCAGGACAACGTCACTGAGTCTTTCTTCACTTCTCTTATGGTCAAATTCACAGGGGCACTTGGTGAGTCAAGAACTCTGACGTTAACAAAAGCTGTTTTGGAGCCACTATTATTTTCTAATGTCAGATTATACCGACCACTGTCAAATCTGGTAACATTATCAATCACCAACATTGTAAATGAGCTGGTCACCTCTATCTGAGCCCTGTCAGTGAGAATGCCTTCTGCCTTTTCCCATTTAACTTCGGGTTCTGGTCGACCTTTGATAGTGACAAATAAGCGTAAAGTAGCACTTGCACGCAGAACGACCACCTTTCTGAGATCAGCATCGAGTTCTATTTCTGGTGGCTCTATCCTCTCCTGAGCAACCACTGAGCCAGGTAGAGTTGCAGGTTCACCTACACCTTCAGAATTGATGGCACAAATACGGAAGTTATATTCAGTGTTTTCTTTAAGCTTGGTCACTGTGAACTGCTTTCCTTGTAATCCTGTTGGTGGAGTGCAGGTTGTCCATTCATCCGCAGCAGCTTCTTTGACCTCTACAACATAGCCTTTAACAGGTGCGCCACCATCATAAATTGGCTTACTCCATGCCAGGGAGACAGAAGATCTGGAAGTGTCCGTCACTTTTGGATTGCTTGGGGGACCTGGTGGATACAAGGCATCACACGCACGGTAGAAAACAGATGGCTCACTAGGTTCTCCCACACCAGCTGCATTTTCAGCAGCAACTCTGAATTCATAGGAATGGCCTTCGGTAAGACCAGTTACCCTGAGCCGCAGATCCGTTAATGTTTTCTTGTTGCACTTGGTCCATCTAACGCCTTCCTTATCTCGTTTTTCAAGAATGTAGCCCTCAATTTCGGTACCTCCGTCGTCTACTGGGCGTGCCCATGTTACTACCATAGAATCTTTGGTGATTGCTGAGACTTCAGGTGTTGAGGGAGGACCTGGTGGCTTATAAGGATTACAGGCCGTAACAGGCCCAGATTCCAAGGGCTCTCCAATTCCATATTTATTCACAGCCATGACACGGAAAATGTACTCATTACCAGGAAGAAGTTTAGTAACTTTGTAGTTAAGGGCCTGTACCTCAGTTGAAACCTGGGTCCAAGAGAGTCGGCTTGTCTCCCTCTTTTCAATGATGTAATGTGAAATATTAGCACCACCATCTTGCAAAGGTGGGTTCCATGCCAGGTAACATTTTTCCGCAGTAACTCCAGTAACTTTCAGAGGCCCTTCAGGAGGCCCTGGCCTGTCAAGTACCTTTACAGTGATGGGTATAGACTTTGTACCACCAACATTGCTGAGTTTCAGAATATATTGTCCTCCATCAGTCCGTATACAGTCTTTGACAACAAGAGTTGTTTTCTGAATAGTAGATTTAATTTCCATTCTAGCAGCTGTTTCTTCAAGTTCTTTTCCATCTTTTGACCAAACAACATCAGGTATAGGTTTGCCACGGATGTCGGCTTCAAGAACAAAAGTCTCTCCTGCATGAACAACGATGACATCTTTATATTTTGGATCCAGAGAGGCATTTGGTGCATCAATTTCATCTCTTGCAGTAATGGCACCACTACTATCAGATGGTTCACTAAAGTTTCCAGCTGCATTTCTTGCAATTACTCTAAATTCATATCTTTGGTCTTCTACAAGTCCACTCACTGTAAATTCAGTTTCTAATACGTTGGTAAAGCTGGCTTTCATCCAGCGGCCATCAGGTAGATCTTTCTTTTCTACAATATAACCTGTTATTTTGCTACCACCATCATAGGCAGGTTTCTTCCATTTCAGTGTGACATTGTTTCTTGTAATAACAATGGCTTCAGGGCGACCAGGTGGGTCACATGGATCACGAGCAACAAAGCATTCTGACACTTTGCTAGGCTTGCCAATGCCAACAATATTTTCAGCAGAAACTTTGAACTCATACTCAAGGCCCTCATCAAGCCCAGTTGTTTTGAATTTGGTGTCCTGAATGGGGGTCTTATTTAACTTGACCCATAAAATACTGTTCTTTTCTTTCTGTTCAAGATGGTAGCCAATAATTTTGGTGCCTCCATCATTCACTGGCTCATGCCATTGCACAAGCATCTGATCTTTTGAGATTGATGTCACAAAAGGAGTTCCAGGTGGTCCAGGTTCTTTAAATGGATATTGTACAATAACTGCCTTAGAATCCAGTGGGGCACTTTTTCCATACCTGTTTTCAGCAAAAATTCTAAACTGGTACTCCGTGCCTGTTTTCAGTTTGGTTATTTTAATTGTTGTTCTTGCAACTGTTGCTGATACCATGTGCCAAGTGGTGGTGGTTGTATCTCGCTTCTCTACAATGTAGTTGCTTATTTGGCAGCCACCAGTATAGGCTGGAGGTTCCCAAGATATGACTACAAAGTCTGCACTAACTTCATCAAACCGAACTGGGCCAACTGGAGGTCCAGGCTTTTCTAAAACGATAACACTGAGATTTTCTGTTGCTGTGCCTGCACTATTTGTTGCCGTTACGGTGTATTTTCCAAAGTCATCTTTGTTACCTTCTTTAATGTGCAAAACAGTTGAGGTAGCTGTTTCTTCAACGTTTACTCTTGTTGTCTGTTTAAGAGGCTCACCATCTTTGACCCAAGAAATGTTAGGTCTTGGTCGGCCTATAACTGGAATTTCTATTTTAAGATCTTCTCCAGCTTGGATACTATATGTGTTAAATGGTAACTTTAAACTAGGCTGTATAGTCAAGTCCTTGGCTATGACAGGAACACCCAACACTCTTGGATCGCTTTTTCCTTTCTCATTATAAGCCTTGACACGGAACTGATATTCTTGTCCAGAACTCAAACCAGTAACAACTGCATTACAGACTTTGGATTCAGCCACAATGCTCCATTTTTCAGTTCCTTTGGGCTGCATTTCAACAACGTACCCCAGGACTCTGCTACCGCCATCATGTTCAGGTTTCTCCCACATAAGTGATGCACTGGTCTGGGACACATCAGTGAGTGTAACCTTTCCTGGTGGGGAAGGAGGTTCAGCAGCTTTCACGGCATCAACAGTTTCCACTGGAACACCAACTCCAAATTCATTTTCAGCCATGACTCTGAAGTAATAAATGGCTCCTTCTGTAAGGTTTTCCACTTTAAAACTTGTTTTGCTGCATTTACTACTCACATTAGCATACGCTTTTCTGGTTGACTCACGTTTGTCAATCACATAGTTCTTGACCTTTGCCCCTCCATCAATGATGGGTGGCTCCCATACCAGGAAGGCAGAATCTTTTCTCACTTCTTTGACTGCCAAATTCTGTGGTGGTCCTGGAGTGTCAAGAACTTTCACAGTTACAAAAGCAGACTTTGATCCACTGCTGTTTTCCAACTTAAGAATGTATTTTCCAGCATCATTTCTATCACAGTTATCTATTGATAGTTGGGTATAGTTTACTCCCTTTTCAATTTGGACCTTATCTGTGAATTCACCTTCCTCTCGAGACCAAGTGATCTCAGGCGTTGGACGACCTTTGAATGGAATGTGAATTCTGGCAGATCCACCAGCTCTTACAACAATTCCTTTTCTTAATTCGGAGTCAAGGTCAAGTTCAGGTGCTTCAAGTTTATCTTCTGGTTTCACAGTACCAGGAACTGATGTAGCCTCACCTAAACCAACTTTGTTGAGGGCACAGACTCGTATTTTATACTCTTGGTGTTCAGTGAGTTTTGAAATTTCAAATCGAGTGACTCTCAGGCCAGTCTGTGGAGTAACTATTTGCCATTCTTCTTCATCTGCTTTACAGATTTCTACTACATATCCCAAGATCTCACTGCCGCCATCATAGATGGGTTTACCCCAGGCAAGTGTGATTGAATTTTTAGTGGTGTCTACAATGTGTGCATTGGTAGGTGGGCCAGGTTTGAACACAGGATCACAGGCTTTATAATAAACTGTAGCTGGACTTGGTTCCCCAACTCCAGCAGCATTTTCTGCAGAGACCCTGAATTCATACTCATGATCTTCTGTTAATCCTGTCACTCTTAGACGCAAATCTGTAATGCGGCGTTTATTACATTTTATCCATCGAATGCCACTTCTGTCTCTTTTCTCTACAATGTAACCAATAATCTCACTTCCACCATCACTATCTGGACGGTTCCAACAGACGGTCATGGAGTCTTTGGCAATATTTGTGACTTCCAAGCTTTTTGGTGGTCCAGGAAGCACAAATGGATTTTTCATTAGTACTGGTGCAGATTCCAAAGGCTCTCCAACACCATATTTGTTGACAGCCATTATACGGAAAACATATTCATTACCTTCTAAGAGTTTGGTAACTTTCAGAGAATTGGTCACAACTTCTGAAGCAACAACAGTCCAGGCAAGTCGACTGGTTTCTCGCTTTTCAACAACATAGTGAGAAATGTCACTGCCACCATCTTGAAGTGGTGGAGACCATGTTAAAGAGCATTTTTCAGAAGTGACTCCAGTAACCTGGACTGGCCCTTCTGGAGGTCCTGGTCTATCTAATACTTTTACATTTACTGGGAATGACTTAGAACCTGCAACATTGGAAGCTCTTAAAATATACTGCCCACCATCAATTCTAATTGCATCTTTTACAATAAGTAAAGCCTTGAAATCTGTGTTCTTTATTTCACATCTAGCAGATTCTTCAATTTCCTTATCTCCTCTTAACCACTCAATGGTAGGTAGGGGCTTTCCATGGACATCAGCCTCAAGTCTGAATGTTTCTCCAGCATTTACCACAATTGTGTCTCTGAATTTTGGATCCATTGAAATTCTTGGGAGTTCAACCTCATCCTTGGCAGTTATTGGTCCAGTACTGTCAGAGGGTTTACTTATTGCACCAGCTGCATTCTTTGCAATGACTCTGAATTCATATCTTTGATCTTCAGTAAGACCTGACACAGTAAATTGAGTTTCAATGACATTTGTAAAGCTAGCTTTCATCCAACGACCATCAGGCAAATCACGTTTCTCTACAATGTAGCCTGTAATCATACTTCCACCATCATACACAGGTTTGGTCCACTGTAAAGTGATTTCATTTCTTTTAACCATTATTGGTTCTGGGGTTCCTGGTGGGTCACAGGGATCTCTGGCTACATAGCATTCAGAATTCTTGCTTGCTTTGCCTACACCAACAATATTTTCAGCATACACTCTGAATTCATATTCAATGCCTTCTTCAAGATTCTGTGCTTTGAATTGGGTGTCATGAATAATAGTTTTGTTGACCTTTGTCCACAAAATACTGTTTCTTTCTTTTCTCTCCAGGTGGTAACCTATGACGGGGCTTCCACCATTGTTGACTGGTTCATGCCACTGTATGACCATGGAGTCTTTGGAAATGGCTGTGGCAAATGGTGTACCTGGAGGGCCTGGTTCTTTGTAGGGATATTGAGCTACAATTGGATCAGACTCTAAGGCAAAGCTTTGTCCATATCTGTTTTCGGCAAATATTCTAAATTGGTATTCTGTACCAGTTTTCAGTTTGGTCACTTTGAGTGTAGTTCTAGCAACAGTAGCAGAAACAACATCCCATACTGTGGTGGTTGTATCTCTTTTCTGAACAATGTAGTTGGTGATTTGGCAGCCCCCTGTATATAATGGAGGGTTCCAAGATAATGTAATACTTTCAGCACTGACGTCATCAAATTTAACAGGTCCTTTTGGAGGATCAGGTTTATCTAGAGTTACAATTTCGATGGATGCTGTCTTCTGACCAACAACATTGGCAACTGTGATTCCATATTGTCCACCATCATCCTTATGAGTTTCTTTAATACTGAGTGTGGTGAGATCCAGTGAATCGGTAACATTGATTCTTGTGGTCTGCTTCAGTGGGAGACCATCTTTAGTCCAGGTAATGGTTGGCTTAGGACGTCCAGAAATTGGCACTTCTATTTTCAAATCTTGGCCAACCTGTACACTGTAACTACTGAATGCAGGTTTTACATCTGGCTCAATTACCAGATCTTTGGCAACTATTGGAACTGCAAGGGACCGAGGATCACTTCTCCCCTTTTCATTTACAGCAACAACTCTAAAAAGATATTCTTCCCCTTGAGTTAGGTTGGTAATTACTGCCTGAAGAGACTTTACTCGAGCACACTCTGACCATTTCTCACTGTGTTTAGCTTGCATTTCCACAATATACTGAATGATTTTACTGCCACCATCATGTTCAGGTTTTGTCCAACTCAGAGAGACACTGTTTCTGGTGACATCATCCACAGTTATTTTTCCAGGAGGTTGTGGCACTTCTGCAACCTTAATTGGATCAGCAGTCTGGGCAGGAAGGCCAATACCATACTCATTCTCAGCTGTGACTCTAAAGTAATAACTGCAACCTTCTTGGAGCTGATCGATTTTCCAAGAATTCTTATGGCAGTTAGTTACAACAGCAGCATATGATTTTCTTGTGGCTTCACGTTTCTCAACAATGTAATTTTTTATTTTGGATCCCCCATCCAACAAAGGAGGTTCCCATGTAATTGATACTGAGTCTTTGGTGATTTCTGTGACTTTCAGGTTAACAGGTGGACTTGGCGTGTCCAGAACTCTCACAGTAACAAAGGCAGACTTTGTTCCACTGCTGTTTTCTAATGTAAGCGTATATTTTCCACTATCATATCGGTTGACATTGTCAAGAACAAGAGAGGTGAAACTGCTAGTGACATCAATTATAGCTGCATCTCGGATTTCACCATCCACCTTTCCCCATTTAACTTCTGGTGTAGGACGACCTTTTATAGGAACAAATAACCTTAAGGAGCCACCTGCCCTTATATTTATGATTTTCCTTAGTTCTAGGTCAAGATCAATGTCTGGTGCTTCTAATTTTTCTTCAACTATAATAGGTCCAGGGACGTCAGCATGTTCTCCAACTCCAGCTTTATTAATAGCACAGATACGGAAGTTGTATTCATGCTTTTCCAACAGCTTCTCTACTTCTATGTTTGTTTTATTAATTCCTGTTGGTGGAGTGCACATTGTCCATTCACCAACACTCACATCACATTTTTCAACAATGTATCCTTGAATTTCACAGCCACCATCATATATTGGTTTGCTCCAAGAAAGGAATACTGAAGATCTGGTTATGTCTATGACTTTGGGGTTGTTTGGGGGTCCTGGTTTATAAATAGGATCACAAGCCTTTTGGTAAGCAGAAGGAGGGCTTGGTTCACTAAGTCCAGCAGCATTCTCAGCAGAAACTCTGAACTCATAATCGTGATTTTCTATGAGTCCAGTTACTCTCAGGCGCAACTCTCCAATCAGACGCTTATGGCATCTTGTCCATCTAATGCCTTCTTTATCCCGTTTCTCAAGAACATATCCAAGAATTTCACTACCACCATCAGATGCTGGTCTTTCCCATACAACAATCATTGAGTCCTTGGTCACTGTTGTGACTTCTGGAGCTTTTGGTGCATCTGGTACTACAAATGGATTCTTGGCAACTACTGGCTCAGATTCAAGAGGTTCACCAACACCATATTTGTTTACTGCCATTATACGGAAAGTATATTCATTGCCTTCAAGAAGCTTAGTAACCTTGCAGCTGAGAGTCTGCACATTGGCATCAACCACAGTCCAAACTAAGCGGCTGGTTTCTCTCCTTTCCACAATATAATTTATGATGTCACTCCCACCATCCTGAAGTGGGGGTTTCCAAGCTAGTGTGCATTTTTCTGCTGTAACTCCTGAGATAACAACAGGTCCTTCAGGTGGCCCTGGTCTGTCAAGAACCTTGACATTCACAGTAACTGATCTTTCTCCTGCAACATTTTTGGCCTTCAGTATGTAATTTCCACTGTCGACACGTACTGCATCTTTTACACTGAGACTGGTGGCAAAGTCGGTGCTCTTTATTTCTAATCGAGCTGTGTTTGAAAGCTCCTGATCACCTTTTATCCACTGAATGGTTGGTATTGGTTTGCCATAAATATCTGCATCAACCTTGAATGATTCACCAGCATGAACCACGATTGTGTCTTTGTATTTTGGATCCATACTTATTCGTGGTGGATCTACCTCATCTCTAGCTGTTATTGCTCCTGTGCTTTCTGAAGGCTCACTAAACACTCCTGCGGCATTTCGGGCTATAACCCGGAACTCATATCTGTGATCTTCAACTAGGCCAGTTACTTCAAAATGAGTGTCAATAATATTTGTAAAACTGGCTTTCATCCAACGGCCCTCAGGTAATTCTTTCTTCTCAACAATATAACCAGTGATCTTGCTTCCACCGTCATAGGTGGGTTTCTTCCACTGAAGAGTCACAGAATTCCTTGTGACAATGATTGCCTCTGGCCGTCCTGGTGGATCACATGGGTCACGAGCCACATAACATTCTGATACTTTACTCGGCTTGCCAATGCCCACGATGTTCTCTGCAGAGACTCTAAATTCATATTCAACACCTTCTTCAAGGCCAGTTGTCTTAAACTTGGTTTGAGGAATAGGTGTTTTATTCAACTTAACCCAGAGGATGCTATTTCTTTCCTTGCGTTCTAGATGATAGCCAATGACTCTACTTCCTCCATCACTGATTGGCTCATTCCATTGTACTTCCATGCTGTCCCTGGAGGACAGTGTGACAACTGGAGTGCCAGGAGGACCAGGAACTTTGAATGGATATTGGGCTACAGTAGGCTCTGAATTGAGGTAGGTACTCTTCCCATATCTGTTTTCAGCTGCAATTCTAAACTGATATTCACATCCAGTCTTCAGTCTGCAAGCCTTTATTGTTGTCCTTGCAACTGTAGCTGATACAATTTGCCAGGTGGTTGTGGAAGTGTCCCGTTTCTCAACAATGTAATTATTGATAGAACTTCCACCATCATACTTGGGTGGGCCCCAGGAAAGAGTAATACTATCAGCTGTCACTTCATCCATTTTAACTGGTCCAGTTGGAGGCCCTGGTTTGTCAAGAACGATAACATTAAGGGTTTCAATAGCTTCACCAGCTGAGTTAGTCAGTTTAACCACATAATGGCCAACATCTTCTCGGCAGGCGTCCTTTATTGTCAGTAGTGAATTATTTTCTGTGCTCTCTGCATTTACTCTAGTTGTCTGCTTCAGTGGTACATTATCTTTATGCCAGGTTACAGCTGGGGTAGGGCGGCCAATGAATGGAACATCAACTTTTAGGTCTTCACCTGCCAGTACAGTGAAAGTATTGAACAGGAGTTTGAAGGCTGGTGGAATGACAAGATCTTTGGCGATCACTGGCACACTCAGTTGTCTAGGATCACTGATGCCCTTTTCATTCTGAGCTGAAACACGGAAAGAGTATTCTTCACCCTGAATTAATCCAGTGATAGTGGCTTCAGTGACCTTGACTGTGGCACACGTGGCCCATTTGTCACTGCCTTTGGTCTGCATCTCCACAATGTAGCCTAGAATTCGGCTGCCTCCATCATGCTCTGGTTTCTCCCAAGAGAGTGACACACTATTTCTTGTGACATCCATCAAAGTTATTTTTCCTGGAGGAAGAGGTCGTTCTGATGCTTTCACAGATTCTGCGGTTTCAGCAGGCAGCCCAATGCCATATTCATTTTCTGCGAGAACCCTGAAATAGTAGCTACAGCCTTCTTGAAGCTGGTCTACCTTCCAGGAAGTCTTGTGGCAGTTTGTTGCAACAGTTGAATATGCTTTTCTTGTTGATTCCCGCTTTTCAACAATATAGTTCTTGATTTTTGAACCTCCATCAAGGAGAGGTGGGTCCCATGTGAGTGTGACAGATGTCTTAGTGACCTCTTTTACCTTCAGATCCTGTGGGGGGCCTGGTGTATCGAGAACTCTAACATTGACAAATGCAGACTTGCTGCCTGAACTATTTTCTACAGTTAGTATATATTTGCCACTGTCAAATCTGTTTACATTTCCAACAATAAGCAGGGTGTAAGAGCTTGTGGATTCGATGCTAGCTTTATCTAAAGATTCTCCATGGTCCCGGGCCCACTTCACCTCAGGTGCAGGCCTTCCTTTGATGGGAACAAAAAGTCTCAGGGTGCAGCAGGCCCTTATAGTAACAACTTTGCGCAGGTCAGCATCCAGTTCAATTTCTGGAGGCAGCATTCTGTCTTCAGCCTTTGGAGTTCCAGGAACAAGGGCAGGTTCCCCAAGTCCTTCGGAATTCATGGCATAGATGCGGATCTTATATTCCTGATTCTCTGTGAGGCCAGTGATAGTATACGAAGTTGCCTTGAGTCCTGCTGGTGGAGTGACAATCTGCCATTCATCTTCCTCTGGCAGGGCAATCTCAACCATATACCCAGTGATTTCTGAACCACCATCATAGATAGGTTTATTCCAAGCGATTGAAATGGATGATCTGCTTGTATCCAGAACACGTGGGTTACCTGGTGGTCCAGGTTTAAACACAGTGTCACAAGCCTTGTAAAATGGACTGGTAGGACTTGGTGCACTAATTCCAGCAGCATTTTCAGCCATAATCCTGAACTCATATTCATGTCCTTCTGTCAGTCCAGACACTTTATATCTTAAATCAGTAAGAGTTTTTTTGTTGCATTTAATCCAGCGTTGGCCAGCTTTATCACGCCGTTCCACAATATAATTGATGATTTCACTTCCACCATCAGAATCAGGATGTCCCCAGCAGACAACCATCGAATCTTTAGTAATAGTTGTCACTTCAGGGTTTTTGGGCGGATCAGGGGGTCCATAAGGATTCACTGCAAGCACAGGCTCTGATTCCAGTGGCTCTCCCACTCCATATTTATTTACAGCCATGACACGGAATATGTATTCATTGCCTTTCAAGAGTTTAGTGACCTTTAGCTTTGTTACTTGGACTTCTGAGGCTACATTTGTCCATGCCAATCTGCTGGTTTCACGTTTCTGTACTATGTAATGATCAATTTTGGCACCTCCATCATCCAGTGGAGGGAACCATGATAGTACACACTTTTCTGATGTCACTTCAGTTACAGCCAAAGGTCCTTCAGGTGGGCCTGGTCTGTCAAGAACTTTGACATTGAAAATGTGTTTAGCAAAGCCACCAGGATTAGTCGCTGTAAGGGTATAGGCACCACTATCCCTTCTTGTTGAATCTTTGTTTACCAGATTAGTAGAGAAATCTGCAATTTTTATTTCTAACTTTGCTGTGCCTTCCAGCTCTTTTCCATCTTTGCTCCATTCCATTGTTGGAGGTGGGCGGCCTGAAACATCAGCTTCCAGTCTGAATGCTTCACCTGCTTTTAATATAACCGTGTCCTTAAATTTAACATCCACCTTTATCTTTGGTGCCTCAACATCATCCCTGCAAGTGATAGCATCAGATGGCTCAGATGGTGGACTGATGGCACCTGCAGCATTTTTGGCGATCACACGGAATTCATATGCAGCATCTTCTGTTAGGCCACTGACTGTAAATTCATTCTCCAAAATGTTGCTGAAGTTGGCCTTCAGCCACCGTCCATTAGGAAGGTCTCTCTTTTCAACGATATAACTGGTAATTTTAAAGCCCCCAGTATATTCAGGCTTAGCCCATTTAAGTGTTACTGTGTGTCTTGTAATATTTAGAGGTACTGGTTTTCCAGGTGGGTCAATGGGATCCAGAGCCAACATAGGTTCTGATGGCTTGCTTGGCTTACTTTTGCCTGCCATGTTTTCTGCAATCACCCGGAACTCATAAGCAATACCATCTGTAAGTCCACTTGATTTGAAAATGTTGCCTGGTACTAAAGCTTTGCTCACAGTCTGCCAGAGAATACCATTTCGTTCTTTTCTTTCAACATGATATCCTAAAATGGGGCTTCCACCATCAGAAAGTGGCTCATGCCAGCTAATTGTCATTGAATCCTTGGTAACTGCAGTTACCTGAGGGGTACCAGGAGGTCCAGGAACCTTAAATGGATAGTTGGCAACTATGCATGCTGATGTGATGCCTGGTCCAACTCCATATCTATTCTGAGCTTTTACACGGAACTGATACTCTAATCCAGTAGTAAGGCGGGTGGCTTTATAGGTAGTACGTATAACGGTGGTTGCTAACTCAACCCAGGTAGTACTGTCAGTCTGCCGCATTTCCACTACATAGTTGCTTATTGGTACACCACCATCGTTCTCAGGTGGGTCCCAAGAGAAGGTTACAAAATCAGATGAAACTTCATCAAATTTGATTGGTCCAGTAGGTGGCCCTGGGATATCATGGACTTGAATGGTGATGACATCACCAACCTCTCCTACAATGTTCCTTGCTGTTAATGGATAGGGCCCACTATCACTTCTGACACACTCATTGATATTTAAAATGGTTGAAGTCGCTGTGGTTTCAAAATTAACTCTCTGTGTCTGTTTAAGAATTTGGTCTCCTTTTTTCCATGTCACTGTGGGCTTCGGTCGACCGAGCACTGGAATTTCAACTTTGATGTTGTCACCAGCTTTGGCAATGACCAGTTTCTGATAGATGCCACGGAGATCCAGCTCTGGAAGCATTGTCTGCTCCTTGACAATGACGGGTCTGCTTTCTCTAGGGGCACTTCTCCCCGCGCTGTTCACTGCCATCACTTGGAAGGTATATTCCTCTCCTTCAGTTAGATTCCTCACAACACATTCTAACCCTTTCACGGTTGTGATGTGGGTCCACTGGTCAGAGCCTTTTCTTTGGGCTTCAATCACATAGCCAGTGATCTTGCTGCCACCATCGTGTTTGGGCTTAGGCCATGCCAGGCTGACGGTGCTCTTAGTTATGTCCATGATGTTAAGGCTGTCTGGTGGAGATGGTGCTTCAGAGGCTTTTACGGGCTCTGTAGTTTCTGTTGGCTCACCAATTCCATATTCATTCTCTGCCATCACTCTGAAGAAATATTCACACCCTTCAGACAAGCCGGTAACTTTATATGTGCATTTATGGCACTTAGTGGTGGCTGTGGAATAAGATTTCCGTGTTGCTTCACGTTTCTCTACAATGTAGTTTGTTATACGTGAGCCTCCATCTATCAGAGGGAGGTCCCAGTGCAGGGTGACACTGTCCTTTGTGATGTCTGTAGGCCGCAGGTTGAGGACTGGGCCTGGCGTGTCCAAGACTCTGACGTTCACAAAGCCACTTTTCTTCCCAGCCGGGTTTTCAATGGTCATGACAAATTTACCGGTATCATATCTGTTACATTCTGGGATAATCAGAAGAGTAAATGATTCCGTATTT
Organism: Homo sapiens; assembly: GCF_000001405.40. NCBI lineage: Eukaryota > Metazoa > Chordata > Mammalia > Primates > Hominidae > Homo > Homo sapiens. Next base: position 178,575,957 of record NC_000002.12, read on the forward strand.
TCAATGTTGGCTCGGTTTTTCAGGTTGATGTTATCTTTGGTCCATGTCACTTCAGGAGCAGGACGACCTTTAATTGGCACAAATATCCTAATACTGAGTCCTGCTCTAACAACAAGTGTTCTTCGAAGCTCGGCATCTAGTTCAAAATCAGGAGCCATCTCCCGTTCTACGATTTCAACATCTGGAATCACCGCTGGCTCCCCAACACCTGCATCGTTGATGGCACTGATTCTGAAGTTGTATTTTTCTTTAGTCTGAAGATCAGGAACAACGAACTGAGTGATTCTGAGGGCGGTTCCTGTGGTATCTTTTATCCAGGCCTCGTCTCCTACTTTTTGATGCTCCACGACATAGCCAGTGATTTCAAGTCCACCATCATAATGAGGCTTGCCCCATGCCAAAGAAGCAGATTTCTTGGTAGTATCAGTGACATGCGGATTTGAAGGTGGTCCTGGAGGATCTGAGAAAGAAACAAAGACACAAAAGTATATATTCAGAGTTTGGCTTTTGGGTAATTTAGATAAAATATTGGCACTCTGGAATGAACGGTGTTGAAAAAGACAAATACTAACATGCTGCATCTTTCATCAGAACAGAATCTGAAGCCTCACTGGGTGGACCAATTCCTGCTCTGTTTTCTGCACTGACACGGAATTCGTAGGTGCTTCCTTCTTGCAGTCCTGTTACTTTGCACCTGAGATCGGAAACTGGTGTTTTTATTGCTCTCACCCATCGCAGGCTTTTCTTTTCTCTCCTTTCTACATGATATCCTGTAATTTCGCTGCCACCATCATCCACTGGCCTTTTCCAGCTGACAGTGGCAGTGTTCTTAGTGACATTTGATACCTCTGGTTTTTCAGGAGGGCCAGGGGGACCTGAAAAGGAAGCAAATTTATTAGAAATCCATGATTTCCTAAACTCTGCTATAAATGTTTCCATGTCAATTCCCTCACATGCTCTACATACCAAATCTGTCTACCATTTTGACAGGTTCAGACTGTACAGGTTCTCCTTTGCCATAGTGGTTTACAGCTGAGACCCGGAAGATGTACTCATTTCCTTGGATAAGTTTGGTTGCCACATGCCTGCAAGACTGAATATCTTCAGAAACCACTGTCCACAAAAGTCGGCTGGTTTCTCTCTTTTCAAGTATATAGGACTTAATTGGTGAGCCGCCATCTTCCAAGGGAGGTGTCCATGTAAGTGTTGCTTTTTCAGCAGAAACATTACTGATTTCAACAGGACCTGGGGGACCAGGTACATCAAGGACTGTTACCTTCACATGTTCCACCTTCGTGCCAAAAGGATTGGTAGCAGTGATGGTATATTCACCCGCATCTTTTCTAGTGGCATACTTGATAGTAAGCATGGAAGATGTTGGGGTTGAAGTTATCTGAGTGATATCTGATGGTCTAATGTCTTTTCCTGCCTTGGACCAACTTGATTTTGGAAGGGGTTTGCCAAGAATGCTAATGGCATTCAAAACAATGGTATCCCCTGCTTTAATTGTTAGCCCATCTTTTATTGTGGGATCAAGGACAATTGTTGGTGCCTCTGCAAAGAAAAAAATACATTTTAATCAGAAAAGGAAGGAGGCTTAATTTGCTTTAAAAAAAAAAGTACATAAAAAGTAAAATGGACCTACCGTATTCATCCTTGCAAATAATGGTTTCTGTACTTTCTGATGGAGCACTGATAGCACCTGCTGTATTCTTTGCTCTAATTCTGAATTCATATTTTCCACCCTCAACAAGGTCAGTTACAGTAAAGGCACATTCTGGGACATTAACATGGTTGGCTTTCATCCAAGACTTCGAAGGTAGATCTCGCTTCTCCACTATATATCCAGTTAACTTATGACCACCGTCATATTTAGGTTCAGTCCAAATGAGAGTCACTGAATTCCTTGTTATGTTAATAACCTCAGGTTTTCCAGGAGGATCTAAAACATAAAAGCAAAACCAGTCAAACAAATACCAGTTTTCTTCATGTAAAACATGCACCTGGGTTTTTCTTCATATAATGACTTACCAATTGGGTCCAGTGCCACAACAGGCTCTGATGGTAGGCTTGGCTTGCCCACACCTGCTAAATTGATTGCCATAACTCGGAATTCATATTCAAGACCTTCAGTTAATCCTGTCACTTTAAAGTCTCTCATCCTTATCGGAGTCTTGTTAGCTCTCTTCCACAAAAGGCTGTTTCTTTCCTTGAACTCGAGATGATACCCTACAAAAGACCCAGGGATGTATCAAGTATAAATGCAGCTTGATTTTACAATATATATGTGTTGCCCAAATTATTTATACATATCCATATATATTGAACAAGTAGTCATTCTTGCTAGTATCTATACTTTTATTACCCAAGCATAGTGCCATTTTTTTTTTCCTCTTGGAATATGCATAGTTGTTGTCTTTTTTGGTGAACAATTTTAACTTACAAAAATAGATATTATAATTAAGAAATACTTTATTAACTATTACATTAGGATATTTTCAATAAAATTAAACATTAACCATATGTACTGAAATAAAAACACATTTCTGTATAAGCAGATAATGTTATCGATAAGCACATGTTCAACTGTTCTCAGGGAAATATTTGTGAGGAATCTTGATGTAAAAGCTGTAGGATAAGAACAAACAAAATACCTGTAATTGGAGAACCACCAGTTTTCTTGGGGTCAGTCCAAGTTAGAGATACTGAATCGTGTCTGACATCCACAATATTGGGAGGTGGGGGAGCATCAGGCACATCTAGAAAAAAGTAGATAATGCAAGATTTATAATAAGAAGCCTCCTCAAAACCGTGTTTTGCTTTACGTCTTCTGAATTTAAGACACTTACCAAATGGATGTCTCGCAACAATTGGCTCCGATTTCAGGCCTTCCCCTACACCATATTTATTTTCGGCACTGACCCTGAAGGTATATTCCATGCCCTCATGAAGTCTGGTTACTCTAAAGGTGGTTTTCTGGACAGCTGAGGCGCACGTCACCCACTTGTTGTTCACAGAATCCCTCTTCTCTAGGATATAGTTGGTGATTTCAGAACCTCCATCATCCTTTGGAGGAGCCCACTTTAAGGTCATGGCTTCTGCTGTGACTTCATCAAATTTGATTGGTCCAGTGGGGATGCCAGGCTTGCCAACAACCTTTATGGAGATAGTTCCTTCCTTGGTGCCAGCAACATTCTTAAGTGTGATTGTGTATTTTCCAGCATCAGATTTTTGGCAATCGTACACTATAAGAGTTGTGTTAACCGCAGATGACTCAACACTGACTCTAGTGTCAGTTGCTAGAGGATCTTCCCCTTTCTTCCAGGAGACTGATGGAGCTGGCTTGCCTTTTATGGGGATCTTAAGCCGGAAGTTGCTGTTTTCTTTAGCCAAGTAGCACAAATCAGGTAGACCCTTTAAGTCAAGATCAGGAGCCACTGTAAAATAGCAGAGATAAATTACTGTTATTTTTAAGGCCAGGCGATTAACTTTTTCAAATAGTTCTAGCTTTTAACGGATTTTTAGATAAGCTAGTGAGTGGGACACAAGAGTGCACTTTCGATGACAATAAAGGAAAAATGAAGATGTGTGCATAGAGCCTTACCAACATCATCCCTTGCCACAACAGTGATTTCGCTTGGGGTTCCTTCTCCATTTTCATTCTCAGCACTCACTCTGAAGGTATATTCCTTCCCTTCAGTCAAATCTTTTGCAGAGTACTGTAGGCTTAAGGATTTCATAACTCGTTGCCACTTATTTTCTTCAGTCAGGAAATCAACTACATATCCAATAATCCGACTTCCACCATCACTGTGAGGCTTTTTCCAGCCAATGCTACAGGATGACTTAGATACAGACCTCACTTTCAGGTCCACAACTGGTCCAGGAGTTTCTAAAGCAAAGGAGAAATGATAAGTGTAAGCCCCATATAACAAAGGAAGGATATAACTCAAAATGATGGGATGATGGTTCATTTGCTTACGGGAAGCTTTGACAGCATCACGAGTTTCACCGGGATCACCAATGCCATACTCATTTTCAGCAAACACTCGGAAGAAGTAGGATTTTCCCTCCTCCAAATTAGCTACTCTGAAGCTTGTTTTGGAGCACTCAGTTGTCACTGTAGACCAGGATTTCCTCTCTGCATCACGTTTTTGTACCACATAGTTTATGATGGGGCTTCCGCCATCAATAATGGGAGGCTCCCAGGTAACATAAGCAGAGTCTTTGGATATTTCCTTAACAGTCACATTGACAGGTGGCCCAGGAGTATCTGGATAAATAGTAGGTAAATAAGAAATGAATGTGTAAAAAATACATAAGCTATTTTAAAATATATATGATTCTTTTTTGAAATAGACTTACCAAGCACTTTCACAACAATGGTATATTCCTTTTTACCACAGCTGTTCTCCAGGGTTAAGATATATTTTCCTGCATCATATTTGTTCACATTTTCACAGCGCAAGAAAGTGTCAAAGTCAGTTGACTTTATGTCCAGTCCAATCCTGTCTCTTAGATTGACATTTGGTTTAGACCAAGTAATCTTTGGAGGTGGGCGTCCTTTTACTGGTACATATAGTCTCATAGTAACTCCAGCACGTAATATGAGTGTCTTCCTTAAGTCCGCATCAAGTTCTCCCTCAGGTGGAACTGTTTAATTTTGGGTGAAGAAGTTAAATAAAAATTTAATAGTCAAATGTATTTCCAGGGACTGGCCTTGTCACTCCTAAAATACATTTATTTTCTAGAGCTGATTTCTTGTTCTTTAAAACTTCCTTAATACAATCCTCAAAATCATTTTTCTGTTCTGTACTAATTGTTGATCTTTCCATTTTCCACTATGCTTTAGGCTTAACCAGGTTTTCCCCCCGGAGGATCTGTACCTCCTCTTTCATGAGCCTTATGTACTCTGAAATGCTACATATATTAAAAGGAAAGTAGACGATTGATTTTTGGCTCCCTTTCATTCTTGTTTTTTCCTTTCTATATTCCATGAAGGTATTCTGCCACATATTCTAGCTCTCTTTATTATTTCATAGTAGGAAGAAAAGTACCTGGAGGGTGACATATAATATCAAGTAATTCAAATAAAGGGGAAATTATCATGGAGGATAAGCAAATAGAAGAAATAAGAAGAAGGGAAATTAAGATGGAGAGCCCACCAGTCACATACTTAGGGAGATGGTGGATTGGAAAACAGAAACCCTAAGAATAGTAAATAGCTCACTACTTAGTTAAAAGGCCTCTTTATTCCTAAAATAAAATTCTTACATTCCAATAAAATTCTCTCATTTCATGTCTTTTGAAGACAGGAAATTCTTATATATATGAAAAGCTTTTCAAAACCACAAATCATGTGCATTTGATTTGCCTGTTCCACAATACCGTAAAGTACCCACCCAGCTCTCCTAAAAAGTACTCTTGGAGTTACCAGCTCTACACCTTGTTAATAAATTAATCTACCTAAGGGAGTTCTAGTCTCCCTCTTAGAATATGATTAATAGGAAAAGCCTTATGTACTCCCCCTGGTAATACTTACTTAAGATGTCCTTGGGATAGTGTTTATCTGGCACATCACTGGGGTCACTGTATCCAATCTTATTAACGGCATACACACGGAATTGATATTGTGTGTCTTCCATCAGGCCAGTAACCTCAAAGCGGGTTTTCTGTAGATTCTGTGGTAAGTTGCACCTCACCCAGTTATCGGAGTCAGCCCGTTTTACTTCAACGAGATAACCAATGATAGGGCTGCCGCCGTCATAGGCTGGCTTGCCCCAAGATAGACTCACAGAGCTGCGAGTTGTATCATATACTTTAGGGAAAGCCGGTGGGCCAGGAGGATCTGAGAATAAATAATGATAGGAAATTTTCATGAAAACTTCCTTCCTGGGTGTTTAATGCTGCTTTTAACACAGGATATGGAACTCGTTCATGAACACTTACACTGAGGGTCCCGAGCATAAGCGGCCTTGGATGCGTCACTGGGTTTGCCTGGTCCAGCTTTATTTATAGCTGTAACACGGAACTCATATTCGGTACCTTCTTGAAGACCTGTTGCTTTTAATGTTCTTTCTATAATAGGTTTTCTGTTGACCTTAGTCCAGTTAACAGCCTGGGTTTCCCGCTTTTCAAGCAAATAGCCAGTGATGGGTGAGCCCCCATCATCTGCTGGTGGCTTCCAGCTGACTGTCATGTGATCTTTGGTTATGTTGCTAATAACAGGAGGATCACAGCGTCCTGGTGGGTCTGCAGAAATTGATTGAAAAGTTAATTTCCCAGGCTAAAAGATAATTTTAAAAAATAAAATGAAAAACCACCGGGAAATGTTCCTACCATATGGGTTTTTGGCAATTGCTGGTTCAGTGAAGACTGGATCGCCTACTCCATATTTATTTTCAGCACAAATACGGAACTGATACTCATGGCCCTCTATAAGTTTCTCCACGCTGCAGCTGGTGATAGGCACAGTTGCAGAGACTTGAGCCCAGTTGGGCCTGCTTGTTTCACGTTTGTCAACAATATAGTTGGTGATTTCTGAGCCTCCATCTTCAAGAGGCGGTTCCCAAGAAAGCATAGCACGATCTGAATACATTTTGTTGATTTTAACAGATGCTGGAGGACCCGGTTTATCTGAAGGAATAAGGAAGAAGAGTGAATATGTGGAATGGGGAATGAGTATAGAGTAGAGGTCTGGAGACCTGGGCTGCAGTCTTTCTATTGTCAATTTCCTATATGACCTAGGAGGTTAGTTAATTTTTTAGAATCTTAGTTTCTTCACTTGTAAAATTAGGTAATTGAAATATGTGATTTCTAAAGCTCTTTTTAACTCTAAAACGTGGTTCTGTCATAAGAATAATTCTGTGCATAGGAAATACACATTAGAATATGAATGTCTTCTCCCACATTATTCTGTAAATCCTATTTACATCCCATTATCCAAAGTAAAATATGGGATTCCAATGAAGTTTATTAGTTACCTAACACTTTAAGCTTAATGGTGGCTGATTTAGAACCACTTGAATTTTCAGCAGTAATGGTATAGTCTCCTGAGTCCTTCCGGTTCACGCTGAATAGCTCCAAGGTGCACAGATTCCGCTGCATGGCCATCTTTATGCCTTCTGCTGGTTTTAGCAGTGTGCCATCTTTTTTCCAAGAAACTGTTGGCATCGGTTTACCAAAAACAGTAGCATCCAAGCAGACATTAGTTCCAGCTTTCACAGTAAGCAAAGATTTCATAGCCACACTCAGGTCTATCCTGGGAGGGACTGGAAAGAAATAAGATAAAGGACTTAATGTATGCAAAGCTATATTATGTAATCCTTATTAATAATAGTGGGAAATTCATATGCTGCTTCTTTCAAGAATGGAATTTTAGTGTTATTTCATTTTGTTTATTTTTAATAGACAAATAATAACTGCACTATTGAATAACTATTGAAATTATATAGTTGCCACAGTTGTGTATCTTGCTTTTTAATTTAGCATGTTATTATGATTCTCCATAATCATAATGTTTGTGTCTATATACAAAACATCATTTTAATTTTCCTTTTTTCCTTAGGTGTATATTTAGTTTTTTATTAGGAAAAATGACCATCATGAATGCTGTTACATCTTTGCCTATAATACTCAGCAGAATCTTACCATTTTCTGCGAGGATAGTCACTGGATCAGAAGGTTCAGAAGGTGGGCTAATGTTTACCGCGGTCCTGGCAATAGCTCTAAATTGATACTGAGCTTTCTCTTCTAGGCCAGTAGCTGTGTACTCTTCCTGGGGAATCTGGTGAGGTGCAGTATTGCACCGTACCCATTTATCACCAGGAAGTTTGCAAGCTTCTACGAAATAGCCAATAATTTTACTGCCTCCATCATGCTTTGGACGAGCCCAGATCAGAGATACAGTACTCTTGGTGACATCAATAACCTCAGGTTTCCCAGGAGGATCTAAAACAAAAAGAGGTACACTCACCATTTATCTTACCAGCAGAAGTTTAAACTTCCATATTTCACATTATCATCCCTGCTGCTAAGTAACAAGCTCAACAGGAAGACAATTATCCCATTTTAATAACCGTCCAACTAGTATGCACTTTTGAGTCCTTGCTGTATGCTTTAAAGGAAATTATATGTCCTTTTCTTTTTTTAATATGTCATCTTCATTGTAAGAGATAGAACATATTCTTAAATGGGAGTTGTAATCTTCAGATCTCTACTACTCTCTGTGTCTTGGAGTCCAAATCTTAGACTCCGAGATTTAAATGTGCCTCCATAATACTAAAACAACAACAACAATAAAAAAACCCCAAAACTTACCAACTGGCATTCTTGCAGTTACATATTCTGTGGGTTTGCTGGGTGGGCTGGATCCAGCTTTGTTTAGGGCATAGATTCTGAATGAATACTCAAGACCTTCTACAAGGCCAGCACAAGGATATTCAGTTGACCGGACAAGAGTATCATTGGCTTTCACCCACAGCAAACTGTTTCTTTCCTTGCGTTCAATCAGATAACCAATAATGGGGCTCCCTCCATCACTATCTGGTCTGTCCCAAGCAACAAAAATACAGTCCTTGTTGACTTTGGTGACTCGTGCATTCTTTGGTTCACTAGGAACACCTGGAGATGAAGACAAGGAAGATGTCAGTTTCTACATTAAGTAACAAACTAGAAAGAAAACAACTTTTTTTCTCCTTCACAAAAACATACCAAATGGGAACTGCGCAACCATCTTTGGAGATGTGAGAGGCTCTGAAATGCCAAATCGGTTTTCAGCACGGACCCGGAAGATGTACTCCTGGCCTGGGATCAGCTTTCCAACCCTGCAGGAAGTTTTTGTGACTGAAGCTAGAGCCGTGACCCAGTCACCTCGGCTTACATCACACTTCTCCACTATATAATTGGTGATGTTACTGCCTCCGTCCTCCAGAGGGATGTGCCATGACAGGGAGCAAGCATCAGCGTCTATATCAGAAATGTCAAATGGAGGCTGAGGGGGGCCGGGGGCATCTACATGAACCAAGAGGAAAGAAATGTAAGAACAAGGATTTGATACGTAAAAATATTTCTGAGCTTCATATTTAGATGGCCATTTGTCTAATACTTAACTTACCCATGACTACAACTTTGATTTTCTGAGTGTCTGTCCCAGAACTGTTCTCTGCTGTGAGGCTGTAGTAACCACTGTCTTTCCTAGTCACATCTTTTATGATCAGAATTGAAGAGCTGTCTGCTTTATGCACTGCCAGGTGGCTGGATGTGACAACTTCATCTTCTCCTTTTTTCCATTTACAGGTGGGATGAGGCTTTCCATACACATGGGCTTCAATTCGGAGTTTTTTCCCAGCTTTGATAGTTATTTGCTCTGGCATAAGGATCTTTGGTGGCACTGAAAGTAAAATGAAAAGATATTAATTTTGGGAAGGTGGATAAGTTTCTTCTGGTGGAGAGCTATACTGGTGCAAATTAATGCTTGTATTACCACCAATTTTTTTTAATATATACTTTAAGTTCTGGGATACATATGCAGAATGTGCAGGCTTGTTACATAGGTATACATGTGCCATGGTGATTTGCTGCACCCATCAACACATCGTCTACATTAGGTATTCTCCTAATGCTATCCTTCCCCTAGCCTCCCAACCCCTGACAGGCCCCAGTGTGTGATGCTCCCCTCCCTGTGTCCATGTGTTTTCATTGTTCAGCTCCCACTTATGAGTGAGAACATGTGGTGTTTGGTTTTCTGTTCTTGTGTTTGCTGAGAATGATGGTTTCCAGCTTCATCCATGTCCCTGCAAAGGACATGAACTCATCCTTTTTTATGGCTGCGTAGTATCCTGTGGTGTAAATGTGGTGCCACATTTTCTTTATCCAGTCTGTCATTGATGGGCATTTGGGTTGGTTCCAAGTCTTTGCTATTGTGAACAGTGCCACAATAAACATACATGTGCATGTGTCTTTATAGTAGAATGATTTATAATCCTTTGGGTATATACCCAGTAATGAGATTGCTGGGTCAAATGGTATTTCTGGTTCTAGATCCTTGAGGAATCGCCACACTGTCTTCCATAATGGTTGAACTAATTTACACTCCCACCAACAGTGTAAAAGCTTTCCTATTTCTCCACATCCTCTCTAGCACCTGTTGTTTCCTGACTTTTTAGTGATCACCATTCTAACTGGTGTGAGATGGTATCTCATTGTGGTTTTGATTTGCATTTCTCTAGTGACCAGTGGTGATGAGCTTTTCTTCATATGTTTGTTGTACAGCCAATATTTTTAAAAACACAGAATAGGGTAGAAAACATAAGAATGCACATGATAATAAATGGGTATTGTTTCAGGAAATGTTTTTTAGTTATATATGTGTTTGTATAAGTTTATTTACTGTGTGTTTTTGGCCCACTCATGTGTTTGAAAGCCACTGTTCTCTACTGTTTTTCAAGAATTTCTAGAGCTAGATTCCTCAGGGAGAAATGTCTACATATAAAAGAAGAAATTCTAATAAACTTACCACATGACATAAATGAAGCAAAGACTACTTACACAGTTGTTCTTTGGCTTCATACACTCCTTCAGCTTCTCTTGGCAAACTGACTCCAACAGCATTTCTGGCCGCTACTCTAAATTTGTATTTCTTTCCTTCCTTTAGGCCAGTGACAACAAGGCTCAGATCTTTTACCACTGAGTACTCTGTCCAGCGATCTGCAGGCTGCTCTTCTTCTCTGTAACTAGTGATGTAGCCATCGATTTTAGCACCTCCATCACGTAGGGGAGGTAACCAGGCTAAGGTGGCACTGTTCTTGGTCATTTCAGTCACTTCTAATTTCCTTGGGGGATCCGGCTCACCTAGAAGAAAAACATAATTTAGAAGATTACCTAGGTAACCTAATCAAATCCCCTTTGTTAATGTACATAAGAGTTTTAGTATGGATTTGCTCCAATGTACATAGAACCTGTAGTTCAGTACATTAAAAGCAAAACATATAAGATGAGACAGATCAAAAAAGTGTTTCATGAGTGAGATAGATATTTATTACACTATTTCGGTCTCTACAAATGAAATCTCTTTCAGAAGTGGATTAAAATGGTATTAGTATCTTGACCTTGCTAAAATAGGAGACTGGGGTTAAAAGGAGGAAGAAAGCATAATACTTACTTAGAGGATCTGATGCAAGCACTGGTTTTGGGACATCTGTTGGGACGCCAGGGCCATATTCGTTGACAGCAGTTACTCTGAAGTAATACTCATTCCCAGGGACAAGATTGGTTACATGGAAGCTTGTTTTCTTAACTTCTGGGGTAACGGTCGACCATGTCTTTCTGTCTGCCTCACGTTTCTCCACGATATAATGTGTCACTTGGCTCCCACCGTCGTTTTCAGGAGGGGCCCAGGACACATGGCATGATGTTTTAGTGACATCTGAAACTTTTAAATCAGACACAGGCCCAGGAGTGTCTGTAAAGAATCATAAAATCAGATATACATGTCTCCTCAGCATCCCTATTAACAAATTCATTTTTGAAGTGGGAGGGAGAAGCATTTTAGTAACCCACCTAATACTCTGACATTTACGAATACAGCCTTTTCTCCTGCTGGGTTCACAAGTGTTAAGGAATATTTTCCTGAGTCATCACGGGTAGAATTGGGGATGACAAGGAAGGCCATAGTGTCAACCAGATCAACTTGTCCTTTTCTGACCACATTATCAATGCCAACTTTTCGCCAAGTGACTTTAGGGGCTGGTCGTCCTCTCACTATAGCAAAGAGACGAATAGGGCATCCTGCTCTCACTATGACCAGTTTCCTCATGCTGGCATCCAAATCAATCTCCGGAGGTTCTGCAAATGACATTAAGGTCATTAATTGATTTTTCAGAATGTGGGGAAATCATAAGAAATTAAGTGTGAATGAATCACATGCTAAGGGAAGGACTTACCTAGTATTTCTTTAGGTTTGATAGCTTCCTTTAGCTCTGCAGGGCGCCCAATACCAACTTGGTTTTGGGCACACACCCTGAACTCATATTCCTGGTTTTCATCCAAGCTGGTAACAGTGAATTCCTTGCGTACAAGCTGTGCTGCAGCATTACACCGTTTCCAGCCTTCATCAGGAGACGCATCTGCTATTTTTGGTCTCATTTCCACAACATATCCAATGATCGGTGCACCACCATCATAGACTGGTTTTCCCCACCCAAGAGTTATGGAATGTTTGGTTGTATCAACCACTCTGAAATTGGTTGGTGGACCAGGTGGCTCTGAAAGTAAAATATACATATAGTTAACTACTACTAGTGATACTTCAATGTGTAATTTTATATAGCCTATTCTCAGTTAATCAAATATAGGTCATCCAATTTTTCAATTAGTGTCCTCTTTATTTTCCTTCATAAAAATGAGAATCTACTATTGTTTGTACCTTTTAGGTATTTTGGTAAAAGGTCTATTTGGAAAAATATTTGCTAAATACAGTTTGGATGTTACAGATTTAGATGTTACATTAACTTATTTATCGAATACTTCTGTGCTTGAGATTAAGAGTTGCTGTAATATCAGAAAAAACAAGGACATCCTACCTATGGGGTCTTTTGCCACCACCGGTCTTGAAGGCAAGCTTGGTTCTCCAATTCCAATTTCATTTTCTGCCTTGACACGGAACTGATATTCATGGTCTGGGAGGAGATTCTGTACTTTCATACGTCTCTCAGGGATTGCACTCTTGTTGACAGGGACCCATCGTGTTGAATGCTTTTCCTTTTTCTCCAAAAAGTATCCAGTTATAGACTTTCCACCATCATATTCAGGTGGATTCCAAACCACAGTCATCTCTTCTTTGCTTACTTTAGTGACTTCTGGGGGATCAGGGCGACCAGGTTTATCATACTTGGTTTTGGCTATGACTGGTTTACTTTCTGTTGGAGGCCCTGTGCCTATTTTATTTTCTGCACGGACTCTGAAAATATATTCATTTCCTTCTATGAGACGTGTTACTGTAGTACCAGGTGTCAAGACAGTAGCAGAATAGGTAGACCAAACCATTCGCTTTGTCTCACATTTTTCTAGAATATAATTTTGGATTTCACAGCCACCATCATCTTCTGGTGGATCCCAGCAAACAGTACACCTATCACTGGACACATCAACAATTTTCAGATTTCTCACAGGACCAGGCTTATCTAAAACATTGACAGTGGCATAGGCCACAAAACTGCCAGCCGTGTTAGTTGCCGTAACTACATATTTACCCCCATCACTTCGCTTTGCTTTAGTAAGAGAAAATTTAGATGAATCAGCACGGGTATCAATCTTGACCCTTGGTGATCTTGTTAAGTCTGTAGCGTCTTTGTCCTTGGTCCATGCAACTTCTGGGAATGGTTTGCCTCTAACCCCTGCCTCAAGCCTAATGGTGTCCCCTGCTTTGACAGTTAGGACCCCACTTAATTTCAGATCAAGTACTGGTTTTTGTAAGTCTTCTTTCACAACAACTTCCTCTGTCTTCACCCAGTCACTTTCCCCACCTTCATTCTTTGTTTGCACTCTGAACTCATAAATCTGGTTTTCAACACATCTGTCAACCATGTAGTGAGTTTCTTTAATGCTTCCTTTATGCACTCTTTCCCAGTCATCGGAGCCCTTAAGCCTTCTCTCAACATGATATGACAGATTTGGACTGCCACCATCATAGTCAGGCCTCCGCCACTTTAGATAGACAAATGTCTTTCCTTTATCTGCAATGTGAAGGTTTTCAGGCTCACCTGGTCTGTCAATAGGGTTAATAGCCAGAATGGGAGTTTTTGTTTCGATGGTTGGCCCAACACCTACTTTATTCTCTGCACAAACTCGGAAATAGTATTCATTGTTGGCTAAAAGGTTGGCCTTGATTAATCGTTTAGTGACATCTGATGCAACAATTGACCAGCCTTTCTGGTTTGGTTTGCGATATTCTACTATGAAGTTTGTTATTTCTGAGCCACCATTATCTAGTGGGTTTTCCCAAGAAATTGTACAGTTCTCTTTGGTTACATTGGTAACCTTCAAATTCTGGCAAGGCCCAGGTCTGTCAAGGACGTTAACGATGGCTGAACCTTGGGCATGTCCACTGCTGTTCTTAGCTGAGATGATATACTTGCCATGATCAGCTCTAACAGCTTCTTTAATTTGTAACTCAACACGAGGTAGATCCTGAATAAGGTCCACCCTCTTTTCTCGGACCAATACTTTGCCTTCCTTAGTCCAAGTTATGTCTGGTTCAGGTCTGCCTTTGACTCGAGCTAGAATGCGGATAGTTTGGCCTACTCTCACGGTAATAACATCACGACAAGTAACATCAAGTTCTACTTCTGGAGGATGAAGGATATCTTTTGCAATCACAGATTCTGCTAGTTCTCTTGGCTCACCCTCTCCTACAATATTAGCTGCCTTTATACGGAATCTGTACTCATTTCCTTCAATTAGTCCAGGTACCCTAAAGGCACATTGCCTAATGAGTTCATCTTTATTAATCCTGTTCCATTGTGCTGTGCCAGGTTTCTGACATTCCACTACATATCCTAGAATGGGGCTACCACCATCACTGAGAGGCTTTGTCCACACCAAATCAGCTGTTTCTCTGCTCTTGTCTTTCAGTTTAGGATTAATAGGTGGTCCAGGTGGTTTGATGGGCCGGCAAGCTTTTATTGGATCAGAACTTGGGGATGGTTTGCTTAGTCCTGCAAGATTTTCAGCAAAAACTCTAAACTCATATGTATTTCCTTCATAGAGTCCAGTCACTCTGAACTTCAGGTCAGCGATAGGTGTTTTGTTGACCCTCACCCATTTGCCAGTTACTTCTCGACGTTCCATATAGTAGCCAGTTATTGGACTGCCACCATCAGATTTTGGCAGGGTCCAAGACACTGTTGCTGCATTTTCAGTAATGTCAGTAACCACTGGTTTACCAGGAGGAGACGGAGGACTAAATTTATGCTTAGCAACAGTAGGTGTGGAGTCAAGGGGAGGACCAACACCTATCTTATTCTCTGCTCTAACTCGGAAAACATATTCACAGCCCTTCTGCAGATGTGGGATTTTCAGCTTTGTCTTACTGCTTCCGGAAGAGACAACACCCCACGTGTCTTTCCTTGTATCTTGTTTCTCAACAATATAATTTATCACAGGGCTTCCTCCATCATCCTTAGGTGGCTGCCATGAGATAGTCATGTGTTCAGGAGTAACATCCAGAATATTAATAGGACCTGTTGGTGGCCCAGGAACATCAAGAACAGTAAGATGTACGGCTACTGTTTTGCTACCGGCTGCATTGGAAACTGTGATTTGATATTCCCCAGTGTCTCTCCTTAAGCAGTTCTTAATGGTAAGTACTGATGAGAAGTTGTCTGTTTCAACTGTGTAGTGCTCATCGGTTTTAATCTCACTCCCATCGGTTGTCCACTTTGCAGTAGGAACAGGCACACCTCTTATAATAGCAGGGAATCTGACTGTGGTTCCAGCCTTTACCACAAGACCTTCAATTAATTTCACATCTAGCTCCACGGATGGAGGCACTGAAAAGTAAACATGAAAAAATTAGATTTTGATTTTCACCTATATGAATAATTTTAAAAAGAAATAAGGTAATACTGCTAGTCCAAAAATTACCTAGTTTTTCTTGACATTCTATCGGGATAGTTGTGTCAGGGAGACCAAGACCCACAATGTTTTCAGCTTTTACACGGAATCTATAGGTCTTTCCTTGTTGTAGTCCAGTAACCACACACTCTAAGTTTGTCACAGTCTTAAATTTAATCCAGTCCTGGGTGCCTTCTTCTTGATATTCTACCAAATATCCAGTGATTGGAGAACCACCATCACGATCCGGCTTATTCCAGACTAGGGAGACTTCAGTCTTGTCAACATCTACATGGTGCAGGTCCTTGGGTGGCCCTGGGGGATCTTTTCAAAGAAGAAGTTATGATGAAAAAGTAATATTCTTAAAGACAGTCAAACAATAGTTTTGTATTCAGAGAAAGCAACTTACGGAGAGGATCCAAAGCCTTGATTGGTTTTGGTGTTTCAACAAAAGGACCACGTCCATACTGGTTCTCCGCAGCTACTCGGAAGAGGTACTGGTTGCCTTCATTCAGATGCTTAGCGAAGTGACTCTTTTTCTTTGATGTAGCTGAGAGAGGTGACCACTGGGCGCTGGCAACATCTCTCCTCTCAACCACATAATTGGTAATAACAGAACCACCATCATCCAGTGGTTCTTTCCAAGTAAGGTAACATGAATCTTTCCTAATTTCACTGACTTCCAGATCTCTAGGTGGCCCAGGTTTATCTAAAAAGTGTTAAATAACAGTTTGATAAGTAATTTTATCCATATAAGAGCTCAAAATTATCAAAATTTATTTTTAATGGCCTAAGTAGTAAAATTCTTACCTAATACAAGTACTTTTACTGAGACAGTTTTTGAACCAGCTGGATTCTCCACTGTTAAAGAATAAATTCCACCATCTTCATGGGCAGCATTACGAATTTCAAGCTTGCTACCAACTGGAGTCACATCAATTCTTGCTTTAGTTGGAGCATCTCTGTCTTCTTTTTTCCAAGTTACTTTTGGGAATGGCACTCCTTTGATGATGGCACTAAGTCTTAGAGTATCACCAACTTTAATGTGTTGTTCTCTTGCCATGTTGGCATCAAGAATCAACTCAGGGGGTTCTAGAATAAAGAGAACAGAACACTCAGATTTGATCCATAATGCAGATTACAATTAAACACATACAATCAGACATCTATTTTCCTTGCAAACACAAGTGAGAGCATTTTACTCACCAAGCCTGTCTTTTACTAGGACTGGCTCCGGAACATGAGCTGGATCTGATTCACCAGCTGCATTGACTGCTAACACTCTAAACTTATAGGTTTGACCGTCCCGAAGACCGGTGACTTTATATTTAGTTTCAGGACATGACTCAGGGGTGTGATTGGCTCTTCTCCACTCTTCATCTCCAACTTTCTGGTACTCAACAATATAACCCAGAATCTTGCTCCCACCATCATGACGTGGTGGCTGCCAAGTTAGATCGACTGAATTGCATGTTGTATCTATTGCTTCAGGATTAACAGGTGGACTTGGTTTAGCTAAAAAATAAAAGTAAAAAACGAATTAGCATATAGCTGAAAACAAAGTTAGATAACATGAAAACTGAATAAATCCATTAATACTATACCAATTGGATCTTTAGCAAAGACTGGTTTGGATGGTGGGCTTGGATCTCCAATACCAATTTCATTTTCTGCAGAAACCCGGAATTCATACTGACATCCTTCTAGAAGATCAGGAACCCTAAATTTAGTGTATGGATGAATAGGATCTTTGGTAACTCTAGCCCATCGTTTAGACATAGTTTCTCTCTTTTCCAGGATGTAGTTTGTGATGGGTTTTCCTCCATCATGTGGCTTATTCCAGGTTACTAATGCAGAGTCTTTGGTAACTTCTGTAACAATTGGCTGATCAGGTGCATCAGGAACCCCTGTAACAAATGTTGGAAAATGCGTTAGAAATTTATTTCTTTATATTAGTTTTATCAAGCATTGAATCACTAAAAAGAAACATAATGCATACTGAAACGATCTTTGGCTTTCATTGAATCAGACACCAGAGGATCACTTATTCCATACAGATTTTCAGCATGTATCCGGAAAATATAATCTTTTCCTTCAAGTAGTTTAGAAACTTTGCATGTTGTTTTAGCACTTGCAGATGTCACTGGCATCCAGACGTCTTTACCCACTTCCTTCTTCTCAATAATATAATTGGTGATTTTACTGCCTCCATCATCTAAAGGAGGCTTCCAAGAGATAACCATGTAATCTTTGGTCACCTCATCAAAACTAACTGGTCCTACTGGTGGTCCAGGACGGTCTGCAGAAAAAAAAAATCATGGCACAAAATGTTATTGCCATTTCTGCTTTTGAAAGAACAGAAGATCTATTCTTTCCACTAAATAAGACTTACCAACAACATTAACTTGACAGAAACCTTTCCTAGAGCCTGTACTGTTCTCCACAACCACACAGTATTTGCCGGAATCTGAACGTTTGGCCTTGATCTTCTCTAAAGCAAGTGTTGCTGGTGTAGTCTTTATATGAGTGCGATCATCTTCCAGCACATCAGCTTCATCTTTGAACCAGGAAACCTTAGGCTTTGGTTTGCCTGAGTAACGGCCAGTGAGGGCAAAAGCTTCACCAACTCGAATCGTGAGCTTATCTCTGAAGTCGAGGTGAAGCGTTGGGGGTGCTAAAATTTGTAATTATAAAGGCAAGTCATTTTTATTGATGTCTTATTACAAATCTACAAATGTGCAAGTTTCAGAAGTATAAATTGTAGTAGACACATACCCAGCTCATCCTTGCAAGTAATTGGTTTGGTGCAAAATGATGGTTTGCCTTGTCCAACAATGTTGACAGCACTGACACGGTACTCATAGGTATCACCTTCTTTTAAGCCTTTAACAGTGTATTTTCTGCTAAGCAAGTTGTCATTTGTAACTTTGTGGAACTTCTCAGTCCCAATGAGCCGACTTTCTAGGACATAGTTAATAATTTCTGACCCACCATCATACTTAGGAGGATTCCAAGTCAAAGTTACAGTATTTTTAGTAACTTCTTTGACTTCCAGGTCTTCAGGACGCTCTGGTACAGCTGCGAATATAAGTATAGGAATTGTGGTAGAAAAAAATGTCACATTAAGAATGTAGTAGGATGTAGTGAATATTCCTTTTCTGAAGATTGCATTTAAACATTAAACTCTCTGCTCCCATAAATAGCAAAAGAGATCTCATCATAAAACTATTAGAGTTAAAAAGGACCCAATACAATTGAATTTCTTCACTTGACAGATGAGGAAATAGAGGTTTGTTGAGGCAAAATAATTTAGGAAAGGTCTTCAGAATTGGTAGTTTTAGAAGTAGGAAAATAATTCAGTTTCTATTAATGCCATTAAGTGGGAAATTAAAAAAAAATCTGTGAGGTATAGATGGAAGAAATTTGATAAATGAACTAGGAGTGGTAATGCCAGCACTTTCGGAGGCCGAGGCAGGTGGATCACTTGAGGCCAGGAGTTTGAGACCAGCCTGGCCAACATGGCAAAACCCTGCCTCTACTAGAAATAGAAAAATTAGCTGGGCATGGTGGTGCATGTCTGTAATCCCAGCTACTCGGGAGACTGAGACACAAGAATCACTTGAACCTCAGAGGTGGAGGTTGCAGTGAGCCAAGATCATGACACTATACTCCAGCCTCGGTAACAGTAAGACTATGTGTCAAAACAAAACCAAAAAGAAAAAAAAAAACAAAAAGAAATTCAATGAATTATACATATTTGTAAAATCTCTTTCACAATCACTGTCCAAATACTACCAAATCAGATACTGAGTAGTTGTGTGATAACTGCTTGTCAAGTGAATGAAATGTACGGCATTTATACACATATTTTTTCACCATAGTCTTGTACTAAATGAGTAAAGAAGTGATTAAGTATACATTTTTTTTTTTTTACTTACTTATTGGCTCTCTGATAACAAGTGCCTCTGATGTCTCAACAAATGGACCCATGCCAATACTATTTTCAGCCGCAATTCGGAAAAAGTAGGCTTTTCCTTGAATGAGACCCTGGACAGTAGCATTTTGTCGGGTAACTGTATATGTCACTGGGGTCCATGCTCTGCGGTCAGATTCACGCTTTTCAATGACATAATTGGTGATTGGAGAGCCTCCATCATCTTCTGGAGAAAACCATGTCAGTTTGCAGGACTCATTGGTTAGGTTGTGAGCTAGGAATGGTGTTCCAACGGGACCTGGAACATCTGGAAATAAGAAGAAAATAATTCAAGCTGTTTGCCTTCAATGAAAGATAATGCTCAACACTTGTTTTTTTAAAAGGAGACAAAAATGTTGTTTTGAAGAAAGTAAGGTTTTGTGTCTACTAATTGAGTTAGTTTTTCCTTCTGCTATCTAGTCAATACAAAAACAGTCAACCACTTTTTTTTTTTTTTTTTTTTTTTGAGATGGGAGTCTCGCTCTGTCACCCAGGCTGGAGTTCAGTGGCACAATCTCAGCTCACTGCAACCTCCGCTTCCCAGGTTCAAGCAATTCTCCTGCCTCAGCCTCCCAAGTAGCTGGGACTACAGGCATGTGCCACCATACCAGGCTAATTTTTGCATTTTTAGTAGAGACAGGGTTTCACCATGTTGGTCAGGCTGGTCTCGAACTCCTGACCTCAAGTGATCCACCTGCCTTGGCCTCCCAAAGTCAGGGGATTACAGGTGTGAGCCATAGCATCAAGCCCCATATTTGTTAATGAAGTAGGTTTGCAACAGTTATTGGTTACCATGGTTTTAGTAGAGGCTGAAGGGAAAATAAAAATGCTTTTTAAAAGCAATTTGTGAGTTGGACAGGAGGGAGCTGGGAGGCAAGCATGCAGAGGGATACAAGAGATGGGTAAGAGTGGCATAGTCAGTTTCTATGTCCAGTTTCCTCTGCAGGGGAAACGGAGAGAGAGATGGTTTATTTCTGGATGACCAGTGGATCAACAAGCAGCATAGGAGGCCCCAAATTTCAGAATGACTTTGAGGAGGTTGCAAATAATTAACGTGGAAATGTACCAGTTCTCAAATTAAAGTAATAACCATTAGGCAAAAGAGCTTTAGGTGCTTGAAACTAACCTGAAAGTTTGTGGGGCTACTGCTTAATGAAATATTTTTCCTTATGCCATTCTTATATTAATTATATTCAACATAGAACTGGCAATTTTCACATAAAAACTGTGGCTGGAGTATTGTTGTGCCTAGAGACATGCTTAGAAAGAGCCCTGAGTGGAAAGGCTTCGTGTTCTGAGCAAATCACTGGACTAAAGCCTCCAGTGAGAGCCATGAAAAAGCCTCATAGAGTTCAACTCTATATTCAGTGACTAGAAATGCAATATTGATAACCAACTATGATGCTTCTCTTCAATTAGAATACTGAAACCCTTCAAACAGGTTTTTGCATTATTATGATAATTTAGCGATAGGGGTAGAGTCTCATGATGTGAAATGGTCAGCACTGGCAAATTGTTAAACATTCATGTACAGTTTAAGGAAAGTTGCAGATTGTTAAACATTCATGTACAGTTTAAGGAAAGTTGCTTCTATGAAAACTATATAACAACATAATAGACACTATGGGGGCAAGTTCTATAAAAAAGCCATATTTATTCTGGGCCATGATTCAGAATACATATTCATGGCCTTCTAGCAATTTGAGAATTGTGTACATGCACTCTTTAGGTTCACTGGAAACATGGATGCATGTCTTCTTGTTAGCATCTGTTTTCTCAATTATATAATTTGTAAACTTACACCCACCATACAGAATACACATAGAATAAAAAAGTAAGGAGGAAATTTTTAAAAATTCTAATAATGTTCAACATGATTATGGGTGATTTTTCTTATTTTCCAAAATGTTTGTTACACAGCATACAGCATAGCTTTGTGTAAATATAATAAGAATGTTGGTTTAAAAAGTTGCACAGACAAATTGAAAGTATTTACCTAATACATCAACAATAATTGTCTTCTTTCTTTCTCCGGCTTCATTTTTGGCAAGAAGAGAATAGACGCCTTGATGGCTCCTCTGGCAGTTCTTGATGACCATGGATGAGCTAATGGCTGTGGTCTCAATGGTGGCTTCTTGAGGTAAGGTTCTTTCATTCATGTTCCAGGTGACGGTTGGAGGAGGCTTTCCAGACACATAGGCAATGATTCGGATCACCCCTCCAGCATGGACAACAATTCTATCTCTGACACTGGCATCTAGCTGAAGGTCAGGTGAAACTGGAAGCAATTGAAAATTACAAATGTGATTTTTCCCCTTCAATCTGAAACATAAATACTGATGGCATAAGGAAGGATTGATAATTACCAAGTCTGTCCTTCATTTCAATGACATCTGTGACCTCTCCAGGTTCTCCAATGCCAGCAATGTTGACTGCTCTAACTCTAAATTTGTAGAATGCTCCTTCCTTTAATCCTGTCACAACAAGCTTTGTTCCTCTCACTTCTTTATCTTTACCCTGGGGAGAAATCATAGACATTTTATAATTAGAATAGTTCTTTGTAGCTTCTTGCTTTAATGGCTTCCTAAAGCATCACCAGCAGCCTATTTAACTGTTTACTCTGGGAAAATTGTTGCTGGTTTAGGTTTTAGGGATCAGATATTACAGGCAACACTGAATGGAATAACTTGGCAGGAGTTATGCTTTAAAATTATTGTCAAATGATTAAACCTTGATTTATTTATTCCACATTCCAGGGTTTATAACCAAAAGATTAGTAATAACATGACTTAACTTTTGATTCGATTTCTGACATTAACAGATGTTTGGAATGTGAGTTAAAATTATGCTATTTTCCTGATTTCTTAATCCAAAAAGTATAGACAGAAGTTAATGGGATTGAGAATAACTATGACATTTTTTAGTTTATTCATAGTGCATTTCCTTAGTGCCAAGTTTTCCTACCTTTTCCCATTCTTCTTTTCCTTCTTCTTTATATTCAACGATGTATCCAGTTACTTTGGATCCACCATCTTTTAGTGGGGGAGACCACTCCAGATCTGCAGATGATTTAGTCCAATCTGTCACTTTGGGAAATGGAGGACCAGGAGGGGCTGCAAAGAGCCAGTATACGTTAGTATTCTTGACTTTTCCAAGGCACTTTTGGAAAATAAGATTTAAAAAAAAGGAATGGTTTCCAGGCTTACCAATTGGATCTCTAGCAGTCGCTGGGTCTGATGGCAGACTTGCTGGACCCACGCCAGCAGCATTGATTGCATATACCCGGAATTGATAGTCGGAACCTTCAATAAGACCAGTCACTTTATAAGAAACACCCAAAGTCATGGCTTTGATAGGATCTCGGTTAACTCTCTTCCATCTCTTTGAAGTGGTGTCTTTCATTTCCAGCCAGTACCCTGTCACAGGAGAGCCTCCATCATATTCTGGCTCTTCCCAGTTGACAGTCATGGAGTTACGAGTCACGCTGCTAACTGTTGGTTTATCTGGTGCTCCAGGGACAGCTGTGAAAAAGATCATATTGATTATAAGAAATTTAAAAAAAAAGTAAAAATGGCTTTGTATGTGAAAATGTTCTCCTACTTACAGAAGAGGTTTCTTGCTGTTTCAGGTTCACTGTCAAGAGGTTCTCCAATGCCATATTTATTCTGGGCCATGATTCGGAATACATATTCATGGCCTTCTAGCAATTTGGGAATCGTGTACGTGCACTCCTTAGGTTCACTGGAGACATGGACCCATGTCTTCCTGTTAGCTTCTCTTTTCTCAATTACATAGTTTGTAATCTTAGACCCACCATCATCTTTAGGTGGAAACCAAGATAGTGTCATTTGATCTGCTGAAACAGATTCAAATTTTATGGGTCCCACTGGAGGGCCAGGACGACCTAAAATGGTTTAAAGAAGGAACCCTTTATCACTCAGATGATTTTAAAGCCAAATGTTATTTATGAACAGAAAAACAAGTAATTTTAACCAAACCATGCAGTCTTTACCCAGGACATTCAGTCTCATCTCCTTTGATGCTGTTCCCAGATTATTTACAGCTGTGATGGTATATAAGCCAGTGTCACTCCTGCGAGACTGCGGAATAACTAAAGTGCAAGTATCATCTACCACCAGTTTGTTGACATGGGTGTCATAGAGAACAGGTTCTTTGTTATCAGGCTTCTTTGGAGGAGCTTTAAACCAGGTTAGTGTCGGGAATGGCACACCTTTAATTTTGGCCACAATGTTAACATTGGTTCCTTCTTCAACCTCCATGAATTCTTTTAGATCAATTGATGGTGGGCCTAGATTATTTAAAAAAAGTTGTCATTAGGAGCAAAAAGCATTGAGGGATAGAAAGTAGAATTCACAGTTACTATAAAGTTGTTTGGATCCACTGTAGGCAGACTTTGTAGCTCAGCCCAATATAAAGAATGGTTCTGTCTTTAACACTATTACGCTAGTTTGGGGAGCAGGTACACGGGGTCAGCATCTTTTATTGGATCTACATGTGGCTATGTATCTGTGCTTGCCTCACTTTATTTGGCATCATTATGCATGTAATGATGTGTATTATTATATTCTCATATCCTGACAAAAGGGAAGAGAGGAGATTGTAGTAGGAGAGTATCATGGGATACTCTCTTTAATATTTACACAGAATTATGAAGGGATACACAAGAAGGTGAATTCCCCTTTTAAGAAATATAACTGTTAATAAAAGGAAAGCAATTTTCCATTTTGCACAAATTTAGGACAGAAATATTCAAAGAGGGTAGTGACTACAGTTTCTTCACACTTAGATGAGAGAATAAACAAATACACAACAGTAGTGATGGTAATTATCAGAGGAAGAATTATTACCATATATATATATATATATATATATATATATACTTCATTAAAATGGATATATCTTTTCTCATATAGAGAAATAAAAACTTGATTGTGAAGATAAATGGGTCTCAGCAGTTGCTAAGAAAATGACTGGTTACTTTCTGTCCCTTTTGAGGAGCATGCAGAGAAATTGCTTTAGCCTCTGATAAATAAAACAGACTGCGAGGAAAATTACAGCGAGGAAATTACAGACATCATCTCCTTTGAACAGGGAAAAGGTAACAGGTAAGGGAATGTGAAAATTCTGTGGAAATTGAAGGAATGAGTAATTAAGTAATGTGCCCATGTCTACATTCAAGCCATAGTAGCTTCCTAAGGTACAGATATAGCTCTTTTAATTGTGAACTATTATTGAACACCTAGGAAGGCAGCTGTAAGGAGGACATTCTTTGTCAGTACATTGGTACTTACATGTCTGGTCTTTGACAGTCACAGGGCCAACAGTGGCTGAAGGCTTGCTGACTCCTGCAGCATTGACAGCTTTGACTCGGAATTCATATTCCCCACCCTCTACTAGGTCTTCAACAGTAAATTGCAGTTCTTCCACATCACGCTTATTGCACTGCCTCCAGGCTTCTTTCTTTGTCCCAGTAGGGTCCCATGCAAGGCACTCAACAATATAGTGGGTAACAGGGGAGCCCCCATCATTCTTCGGGGGTTTCCATGACAGATGCACTGTGTTCTTTGTGATGAGGCCAATCTTGAGTTTAATAGGAGGATCAGGAGGATCTGTAAAAATAATTAAAGGAAGTATTAAGCGTTGTTTATAATAATATACTTCAATTTTGAGAAGATATTTTAAATTTAGATTTTAAAGCTTACATATCGGATCTCTGGCAGTGGTCCTCTGAATGGTTTCCACAGGTGGGCCAATACCAAAACGGTTTTCTGCTCGCACACGGAAGAAATATTGCTGTTCAGAGAGGAGATCAGGCACTACAAATGTGGTGCTTCCACAGTCTGGATTGACTTTGGTCCAGGCTTTTCCATCAATAGTCCTCTTCTCAATAACATAGCCTTTGATCCTGTCTCCTCCATCGTCGTCTGGCATCTTCCATGAAAGTCTGCAACTACCCCTTGTGATATCACTGACTTTCAGATCTTTGGGTGGGCCTGGTACATCTGTTGGATGTAAATCACAATATAAGCAACGTTCCTTAAATGCTTAAAAATAATTTGTTTTTATTCTGTAGCAACTTTCAAAGTCTTTCTTACCCATGACTTTAACTCTGCAATTTGCAGTCTTTTGTCCTGCTTTATTCTTGGCTGTGATGCTGTATTTGCCTGTATGAGATCGTTTACACTCCGGAATAATAATTACTGAGGAGTTTTCAGCAGTCTCCAGCTGTACAAAGAAAATAGTAGTCATACATTGAATGAAATCATAGCAATATTGAAGTCAACCATATTCTGAATTATTTTAATTATTATTTTTTTACCTGTGCATCTTCGGGTATGTCATGAACTCCATCCTATTAGAAAAGGAGACAGTCAGTTGTAGTATAAATACTCCTTATAGTGATTCAGTGGAAAAAAGAGGAGAATGGTTATTTTCCTACCTTCATTGCTTTCTTTGCCTTTCCATCAAATTCCCAAGATGATTTTGGTGTTGGGCGTCCCTTGATGACAGCAGGAATCCTAATCTGTGAGCCAGCTTTACAAACCAGACAGTCCTGTGCTCCAATGTCAATGAAAACTTCTGGTTCCTCTGTAATACCACATACAATTTAACAGGATTTAGCTCATATTTGTCAAAAGTAATTGAAATATCTTCAGTAAATTAATCAATTTCATAATAAGATCAAAAGAGGAATACATAAACTGAGTAAGTACTAGTACCTTGAATATCAGTGGCAGGGATCTCCCCAGTTGTATCACTTGGTTCAGATTCACCAGCTTCATTGACAGCTTTCACTCTGAATCTGTACTTCCTGAGCTCTTTCAGATTAGGCACCACACATTCACAGGTAGTTATAAGTTTGTCTGGTTCATTTACTCTTTTCCAGTCAGTAGTACCTTCTTCTTGCATTTCTACAATGTATCCTTTGATTGGGCTGCCACCATCTTTGGCTGGAGGTTTCCATCCTAGTGAGATGCTTGACTTCGTTTTATCTTTAACTTCTGGGCAAGAAGGTGGCCCCGGTGGAACTAATAACAAAAGAAAAAAAAAAGCTTCATCAGATTTTGAAGCTGATGAAGTGCTGGAGTCTTTTACTACACATGATCATATATTATTTTAATCTATTAAAATATTAAAATAGAAATGCTAAAAGGAAATACAGTTGCCTTCTAGAGAAGAGAAATAAAGGAAATGGTCTATTTTCCTTTAGCATTAATGCAAAAACAGAGAAAGCAAACAACTAACTGGGAATAGAAAGACTACTTCCTATCTTGTTAGATTTACATTCTATTTATACATGATTGGTAAAAAACTACTTTACTTTTGAGATCCCTTTGAAGAAATTCTACAATAGCCTTTACTGAAAACATGATTTAAATTTAATTTGCCACAATATGAAAATTTAAAAAGGATTCCATCAATAGCTAGTAAACCTTTGAACACAAACTAATCTTAATGCCCTTTAGGGACAGGATCAGTGTCTACAATAATCCCATAACAATCCTTTACCTTTCTGAAAGTGCTTTACAATTACAGAAATTCTTTTACTGTACTTGTCTTTTTAATCTTAACTTTTCCCCCTCCAGTGGTTAATATAGATCCTTGCACAAAGCACATGTTCAATACTAGTTTGCAAATGAATGAATAACTACCTCATTATATAGGTATATATGCTCCACATAGCACTTGAGTATTTAAAATTTTCTTTTTAACAAATAATTGAATTTTTCTTCTATAGAGAATCTAATCAGATATGTAGCAAATAGGATGAATTATTATGGCCACAGTATTTTTTAATTTTTGAACGAATCTGCTCACAGATCTTTTAGAAGAATTTTTCTCTCTTATTTGACCTCACAGACTATGCCTGAGAATCCTAAATCTTTGTTCAATAATATTATAGAAAAGCTAACAACATTCTGTTTTTTGTTGAATTCCTACTGGAAGGTCTGACTGTTTAGTGGGAGAGATGATTTCCCCAGTATCTAATGAGATAGAAATTTATTTAAAGTATCAGAAGACATAGGAGTTTATAGTCCAGGTCTTTATTATTGTGATTCCTCATAAAATATTTGGTTTAATCCAAGAGTTTACAAACTGTATGATTTTATGTATGTGTGTATGTATATATCTGTGCATGTATGTATACACACATAAATATATACTTCCGATAGTCTATGTGAACATGAACCTTTTTTATTTTAATAAATAAAATAATTTGGCATAGAAAAATATAAGAAATTTAAGGCAGAATTATCCATTTAGTGACTTTGTGCTTTAGAAATTAGTCCCCAGAAACGGAAGCATACTTACATATGGGATCTCCTGCAACCTCTGGATCTGATGGTTCACTGGGAGGACCAATTCCTGCAGCATTTATTGCCATGGCTCTGAACTGGTATTTAACGCCTTCAAGCAAACGAGGAACATTAAATTCCACGCCTTTCAATCCCACTTTGGTTATTGGTGCTCGGCTAACACGTGACCAATAAGGACTTCCCTCTTCTCTTTTCTCCAGCCAGTAGCCAGTAATTGGAGAGCCACCATTGTCCAAAGGAGGAGTCCAGCTCACTAGCATTGATCCTTTGGTGCGTGCCAAAACTTTTGGTTTTCCTGGAGGTCCAGGAAGGCGATAAGGATCTTGAATGACTACTTTATCTGATTTGCACTCATCACTGATTCCATATTTATTCACTGCCCTGACTCGGAACTCATACTGACCATTGGGGATAAGTTTCCAGATCTAGAAATTAGAAAAACAGAAATTTATTGAAGAGAATATACTTATGTTGGTTTTCACTCATTTAAAAATTCAACTTATTTTGGGAGGGATGACTGTAAGAAGAAATAAATATATAGACTCAAAACATGGGAAGACAGAGAAAAGGAGAAAGCTTTTTTTAAAATAAAAATATGTAGATGTATTGTACCTGATAGTGGATCTCAATTAAAAGAGTATCTGTGTATCAAACGCTATGTACTAAGGAGCCTTATGTGTGTGGGGCTAAACACTACAATAACAAAATAACAGCTTATCGTGTGTGGTTTTGAGTTTAATTATCAAATTCCAAGGTTATATTAAAATGGCATCAAACCAGAGTCATGTACTTTTAATGTGTATAAGAAAATATTCAGAAGAGTTTACCCCATATCTTTTCTCTACAGCAGTGTTGGTGACTTCCTCCCATTCTGCTTTCTTCCTACTTGCATCACGTTTGTCAATAACATAATGGGTGATTTCACTGCCACCATTATCAAGAGGGGCATCCCATGTCAAGTAGCAAGATTCAGCTTTAATGTCAGTAACAGCAAGATTTCTTGGTGGGGATGGGCGGTCTGGAAAGGAATCAACAGAGAATATTGAGAAGGCAATTCTTAAACAGACACTGGATGCCTTTTTGATGTAAGAAAGCAAGTCACTTACCATATACTTCAACGTGAACATTTCGGAACACTGAGCCAAGGCGATTGGAAGCAGTAACTGTGTAAGTGCCTTTGTCCTCCCGGACCGCTTTGGGAATGCTAAGCTCAGTTTTTGCCTCACTTCGGGATACCTCTTCCTTGGTTATCTGAAGTGCATCAGTGGGTTTTTCAATTACAGTTTCATTTTTGGACCATTCAATCTTAGGCATTGGAAGGCCTGTCACATCTGCAGGGATGTGGACAGGCTCTCCTGCCTTAACTTTGATAGTGTCTCCTCGAACACTCAGACGCAACTTAATAGTTGGAGGCACTGCAAAGAGAAGAGAAAGAAAAACAGTAACAAAGTCATAAGGATGTTTTTTTCAACTTATGGGATAAAGGCACACTGTAAAATGCATTAAAATTATTATTATATTCAGATTCCGCACCTTCATCATCTTGTATGACTACATTAAGAGGTAGGGATGGTTCACTTTCACCAATTTCATTGACAGCTTTGACACGGAACTCATACATTTGGTGTTCATCAAGATTTTCAACCAGAAAAGATGTGGTTGGGCAGAGTCGCTTGTTAACTCTTTCAAAGTCAGGTTTGTCATGACGCCGTTTTTCAATGATATATCCTTGGATGGGACTGCCACCATTACTGCGGGGCTCTTTCCAGTCAAGTGTGATAGTGGACTTTGTCCTTTCAGTGTATGTGAGCCTCTCTGGAGATGTTGGAGGACCTTTAGCCAGAGGCAAGTGAAAATGATTAGCATGAGATAAATATTCATGTAAGAAATAATATTTCACTTCAACTTAATTATGTAAAAAATAGCCTTCTGTTTGGCATAACCTTACATCCTTATTTAAAATCATTCCTAAAACTTGTCAGTTGCCAAAATTATAGACATTCATGTAGACAGAATTTTTCTTAGCAAACTTTTCATCAAGATTATCAGTGAAAAATAAATCAAGGGCACGTATGCTTTTTTAATTTAACATTTTAGATTGTTTACCTTTGTAACTGGGGATGCTTCTAATTCTACTGAACTAGGAAAGTAAGTCTGTGAAGCTTTGCTTTGAATGACCAGCTGAGAGCAAAGTGTTTTTTCTTTTATTAACAGATAGTGGATATGTCTATGAACATACTTTGAGTCATGTTGCCTCACATGTGGGTTCAAAATATGGTGGAAAGAGGATGTATGTAATGCTGCTGAAGTTTTCTTTCCTGAAGGACCAAACTAAGAGTTAAGCTTTCAGTGGTAAAACTAGACCCAATCCATACTTGTTGACTGTTATTGCAACCAGAAGGAGTGGAAGCTCAGCTCTGTTCTGGTGCCTCTGGCACAGCCTGTGGTATATTGGACGTTCATAGATGAGCTGCAGCAGTGATATAGGATGTATTTTTTTTTTTCAGGGGGTGATGGTGAAGGAATAAGTTCTTCTGTCTCTTGAGGAATGGGTCTTCCTCAAAGCCTTTGCTTTCTTAGATGGGATGTCAGTGTGCATTACTGTGTGTGCAATTTTAGTGTTTCGTATTGATTTCTGGGAGATTCCCTCTGGTTGGTTTTCTATTCTTTGGAGGCTGTTTCTGGTTTTGGGCCTCTCTATCCTTCCAGTATGGGGACTTTTTGAATATAGAGGAAGACTAAGGCATTTATTCTCAGGAATTGTCTAATCTTTTAGAAGAACATTGAATTCTCTTTAACTACTACGCTAGTAAGTTTTAAAAACCCGACTTCCAATGTGTTCTACTGGAGAGATATAATATGTCTAAACTACTTCTAGGTTATTATTAAGCCCCTGTAGATCCAAGTTTTTCAGTACAAGAAACCATGCATGATTAATATACTTACAGCCACAAATTACATTGAAATTATAGGAAATATGATATCTTTAATGTTGCTAATAGTTTTTTGATTTACTTTTCTTATTACTCTTTAGCTATAGATTTTGAGACTGTTGGGAGTTTGAAGCCATAAAGCTCAGTAAATAATATAACTAGAAGCAAAACATTACTCTATAAACACAATGAAACCTTCTCTTTTACCTAGTGGATCAACTGCAAGAATTGGTCCTATTTCAACAGGAGGGCCACAGCCAAACTTGTTCTTGGCAATAACACGGAACTTATATTCTTGTCCCTCAAGCAGACCTGTGATGTCACATTTAGATCTCTCAGTCTCTATTGGTTGTCTCCAAGTATGCATCTTGGCATCTTTTCTTTCAATGATAAAGCCTGTTATTTCACTTCCTCCATCATCTTCTGGATCAGACCAGTTAAGTAGACACATTTTTCTGTTTGTTACAACAGGTTTTAAGTCAAGAACTGGACCAGGGACATCTGAAAACAAAACAAAGCCAAAAATCAATGTAATAAGATAGTATCACTTGGGAAAATCCTGTGAAAATCAGTGCAACATTCCTTACCAAAAACTTCTACCCTGGCTGCTGCAAATTTGGAACCACAGCTATTTGTAGCTGTAATCACATATCTGCCATGGTCTTTTCGCAGTGCATCCTTGATAATTAGTTCAGATTTGGTTCCAACGTTGTCTATTACAACACGGTCTTTATCCAGCTCCCCTTCTTCTTTGGTCCATACTTTTGTAGGTACAGGGCGACCAGTCACCACAGCTGGAATTCTAAGAGTCTTCCCAGCCATTATTTGTATTCCACCCTTGACAGAAACATCCAGTTCCACAGCTGGAGGCTCTGTTGAAAGAGAACAGTCATGCATTAGCCCATGAAAGATTAAAAAATAGTCCCATATAGAGAAAATATCCATAATTTTATTCCAATAACGTTAAGTACCTTGTGGTTCAGCCACAGTAACAGGTTGTGTTTCTCCAGGCGGTCCTTCCCCTGCGGCATTGACAGCACTCACCCGAAGTTTGTAATCAGCACCCTCTCGGATTTCTTTGACGGTGTACTGACGGACCTTGATCATCTTCTCTGTGCAGCGTGACCATTCATTTGTGCCAACCAACTGCTTATCAACAAAATAGCCAACAATTTCCCCACCACCATTGAAAGCTGGGGGTTCCCATTCTAGTTCAATAGTTGTAGAGCTTGTGTCAGTGACTCTTGGGATAGGTGGCCCAGGAGGAGCTAGAATGAATGAAGATAGACAAATCAAACTCCCTGATGGTTTTAAAATGTACAATAGCTTGTTCTACTCCACCTTCTTCTTAAGGAACTACTTACAGATTGGATCATGTGCTGTTTTGGGATCTGAAGGTGGACTGAACTTTCCAGGTCCAGCTGCATTTTCAGCACATACTCTGAAGACATAGGTGAGTCCTTCTAATAAGCCATCTACATTGGCTTTCAAGGCATTCAGAAGGCTTTTGTTGACACGAGACCAATGTGTACTGTTAACTTCACGTTTTTCAAGCCAGTAACCCAAAATGGGGCTTCCATTATCTTTTGGTTCATTCCATTTCACTAGCATACTGTTGCTGGTAACATCTTCCACAATGGGCTTATCTGGTGCATCAGGTGGTCCTGATAAAAAAATAACATTTGAAGTAAATTTCCCAGTATGACATAAAAATGCAATTTTAAAAGCTGTAGTAATTATATACCAAAGTACATGGTAAAAAGGCAAACTTTAGATGCCAAAGGAAACTTACCAAATGGATCTTTAGCCACAAGTGGCTTTGAAACACATGGTGGACCTGGCCCAAATCTGTTTTCAGCTCTTACACGGAAGAGGTACTCTTTTCCTTCAATCAGTTTTGTTACTGAATATTTGCAATGTCTAAGTGTTGAAGTGACAACAATCCATTCTGAGTCGGGTTTTGTCTTGTCTTTCTTTTCCAAAGTGTAGTTTATGATTTCACTGCCACCATCATCAAGGGGTGGTTCCCATTTACAAAGGACTGAGGTCTTTCTGATATCTTCAAATACAAAGTTGATTGGTGGTCCCGGTGTATCTAATATTTCAGAAGAGAACAGTAATCAAAAATTTGTGTGGGAAGGGTTGCTATGGAAAATATAAATGTGAGCATGCTCCTCTGACATGATTTGTGGTTTTCCCACATCTATCTTTGTATTCCATTAGCTAATAAATAACAAGATCAGGTGATTTCTTTTACATGGCCAGCAGATAAAATATGATTGAGGATAACTTGCTGAAGCTATGTCCCATTTCTTTTAACTCTCTCCCAAACTTTTTATTTTTATGTTTTACTAAAACCTTTTTCCATTGGAAAGTGTAGTTTTAATGACTCACCTAACACACTGACAGTACAAGGAGCTTTTGCAATACCGTGGTCATTTTCAACTTTGATCATATACAGACCATGGTCAGGTCGGAGAGAATCTCGGACGCGTAGCTGAGATTCTCCCTTTTTGCTGTTGTCAATACTCAAACGCTGTGTCAGAGGCAGGACAAATGGTTCTTCTTCTTGAACTTCACCCTTCCTTCTCCTAACCAAGGGTGCTGCACGCTTCTTAATTTCCTCTGGTACAATAACATTTTCATCCTTTATCCATGTAATAGTTGGGTAAGGTGATCCAGAAATACTTGCATCAAGTGCTATTTCATCACCTCGTTTCACTTCTAGGCTTGTTCTCAGAATGACTTTGGGGGCATCTATAGTGATCATAACCAATAAATGTTTTCAATTCTGATGAAAATAACTGACAAAACATTATTTTCATTTATTTCAAAATGGGAAAGTGGCAACTCCATGAAACAAAACTTACCAATGGGATCTACAGCTTTGGTTGGAGGAGTAGCCCGAGAAGGTTCACTAATACCCGCGGCGTTCTCTGCTCGCACACGGAATTGGTACTCTTTCCCCTCTTCAAGTCCTTTTGCTGTATAGGTCAGGATTGGTACCAGGTGTTCATTGCATCTCTTCCACCTTTCTTCACCCTTAGCAATCTTCTCTATGATGTAGCCCATTATCTTGCTCCCTCCATCATACAAAGGTGGCTTCCATGTAATAGTCATTGCCTCCGCTGTAGGATTATGAACCTCTACATCTACAGGTGGATCAGGGGGTTCTGAAGAACAAGAAAAAAATGTTAGTATCAGGAAAACCACCTTCTTAAAACAAAACTATGGTTTATTAGTTCTTAGCCATAGTGCATCCATGTCCAAACTTACGCTTTGGATCTTGAGCAATGACTGGATTTTTCAGTTCAATATATTCTCCTCCACCAACCTTGTTGACTGCTTTAACACGGAAGAAGTATTCACCATTTGGTATGAGATCCTTCACAGTCCATGACAGTTTGTTCTCACCAGACATGACTGGTATATATGTTCTCCTCCCAGCTTCTCTGCGCTCCAGGACATAATGAAGAATTGGGGTTCCACCATCAAATTCTGGAGGTTCCCAAGTTAACTTACAAGAACTCTTGGTAATGTCACTTGCTTTAATATCTTTGCATGGTCCAGGTAGGCCTATTACAAAAATGGATAATTATTCTAGTAATCCTGAAAAATCAGCATTTTAATAATGCACTTGTCTCTAAGTGGGGCTATCTGTATTTTGGGTAGGATAATCTTTGATGTGCTGGAGTGTCATTCACACTGCAGAGCATTTAGCATCCTTGGCTCCCAACTACTAAATGTCAGTGGTATCTACCTCAAGTCTGTGTGCCAAGCAAA
This sequence comes from Homo sapiens, assembly GCF_000001405.40. NCBI lineage: Eukaryota > Metazoa > Chordata > Mammalia > Primates > Hominidae > Homo > Homo sapiens. The sequence continues at coordinate 178,610,597 of NC_000002.12, forward strand.
AATGGCCCCACAAATTTCCAGACATTATTTGCAGGGCTGGGGGGAATGCAGAAAATGTTACTATCCCTGGTTAAGAACACTATGGGAAAATGTGAAGCTGTGCAATTAAAAAATTGTGGTCATTTCAATGCTCTTTGGGTATGCTAATATCTGTTATTTAAATTAGTATTTCACATGCAATTAACTAAAACTAGTATAAATTAGTCTAATAAGCGTTTAGCGATTTCATCTCTTTAGAATTGTTTTACTTCTCCTATGGAAAGACATAATCAGAAGTGACATTTAGTTTACAAGTGGCCAGTTCATGAAGCCAATTATATTATTAATAGCACTGCAAAGTTAACTAATTTCCTCTACATGTGAAGAATGTCTGGTTTTTCTTCAAAGAATGATTACCTATGACTTTGACATTGATTGAGGCTGTTGCTGAGCCGAGCTTATTCTCCAGTGTAATGGTATAAATTCCGGCATCTGCACGGACACTCTTGGGAACTTCAAGGTGTGCAGAGATGTGATCATTCTTCATTGTTAATCTATCACTTGCTTTAACTTCTTTGCCATCTTTATGCCAACTAACAGTTGGAACTGGGACAGCTCTGAAGGGAACAGGAATGCTTAACTTTTCACCTTCAATAACAATAATGTCATGAGTCTCCAGGTCAATTGTTGGCTTGCCTGTAAGATATCATTCAAAAGAGCAAAAAACAGAGTATGTCAAAATGCAATGCATGAATAAAGGGTATTTTATTAACTATAAAAGACCTTGTGCTCTTACAGTCTGGGTCTTTGGCAACCACATTTTCAGAGATTTCAGATGGCTCGCTGACACCAATAGCATTGACTGCTCTCACTCTCAGGACATATTCTTTGTCAGGAACAACACCTTCTTCAACCTTGAATTTCAAGTCCTTTATTGGGCGAGAATTAACTCTCATCCATTTCTCAGTGCCTACTGGACACATTTCAACATGGTATCCTATGATAGGACTTCCACCATTTTTCTCTGGAGGCTTCCAAGCAATGGCAATGTGTTTTCTCCCAGCATCAGTCACATGTAGGTCAAGGGGTGGTGAGGGAGGACCTGAGAAAAGAGTGAAATATTCATATCCACAGTCTCATCAAGTTCTAGACAATATCTTGTGTATAATCAGCACTACTTACTTGTTGGATCTTCAATGGATAGGATTTCTGTGGGTTCACTTGGGTGGCCAACTCCAGCTTCATTTTCAGCCCGAACCTGAAACTGGACCTCTGTTCCTTCGATGACATCAGTTACTCTGAAGTTACAGTCAGGTCCTGCAGTCTTTCCAGCTTTCACCCAACGGGTACCTAACCTTTCTTTCTTCTCAATGACATATCTATTGAAACAACAAAGCATTTCATTAGCATTAATGAAAAAACACAGTTAAGAATTTGCAGCCAAGTGTAAGTTATTCTTTATGAATTAATTCAAATTCTACCTCTGTATTGGTCTTCCACCATCATTTTTAGGTGGCTCCCACTTTAGGTCAACATGTCGTTTTGTCACATCAACCACTGCCAGGGCGTAGGGTGGTCCAGGAGTGGCTGAAAATAAAATAAACAATGATTAGGAAAACCAGAGGAAAGGTGATAATCTCCTGTCACAAAAATTAAGTGCGAGAGCACTTATTGTCACAAAGATTAAGTGCAAGAGCATACTAAAGGTGTCTTTGGCCAGCACAGAGTCCTCAATTTCGGTGTAGTCGCTTTGTCCTATAGCATTTTCTGCAGCAACTCGGAACACATATAAAGAGCCCTCAGTCAGTGGGGTGACTGTGCACTTGGTGTCCTTGACAGTGGTATCCACTGTTTGCCAGCCTTTTCGCCTGACGTCTCTCTTTTCCACAATGTAGTTGGTGATGGGGGACCCTCCATCTTTCTCAGGAACTGTCCATTTTAGGTCTGCTGTATTTTTTGTGATATTAATAACTTCAAGCCAGCGTGGTGGTGATGGAGGATCTGAAAAAGAAGGAAGGAAAACAAATTCATTTTTTTTTTTATTACCCAATAGTCAGTCTGAAAGTGCAGGCAGTCATTAAGAAGTAATGTAGCCAGGAGGAAATAATAGTAATGAATTTTTCATATTTTCTCATATCGTAGCTCACAGGCAGATATTAGAAGAATTTATATATCCCAGACATCAAGAGTGACTTACATAGCTTCTCCCGGCAAAGCACAGGGTCACTGGGTTCACTGGGTTCACTTTCCCCAGCCTTATTCACAGCTCTAACTCGGAATGAGTATTCCTGTCCTTCCATGAGCCCTGGGAGCAAGTGCTGAGTGGTGGGAACCCCTTCCGCCACTCTGACCCACTCATCTGTTCCAGTCTTCAGCATTTCAATGACATAAGACTCAATCTTTGCACCTCCATCATGTTCTGGTTTTGTCCAATTCAACCTTACTGATGTTTTGCCTACATCTTTTACAGTTGGTTTTCCAGGGGGCCATGGAGGATCTGCAAGCCAATGAAATCATTGTTTAGGTTTGTCAAAAAGGAGTTCATATGAACTTCGAAATAACCACAAAAATTATATAAATAATACCTATGGGATCCTTTATTAAGATTGGTTCAGTTGATTTGCTTGGTTTTCCAGGTCCAGCAAGATTTTCAGCCAACACACGGAATCTGTATTTTTTCTTATTAGTGAGACCTTTCACTCTGAATTAGGAACAAAGTGCATGTGTATCATCATGGTAAGAAGCAGAAGAAGCCTATGTTTATTTTACACAGAAGAGACTAATTTATTTAAATTGTGAAAAGGTGATTTGGAAATTTAACTGAAAAGCACTTCAATATAAATTAAAAATTGCTTTTTAACTGCCACACACTTTAGACTGGGCCAAACATACCAATCTAATTATAATATCTATGACAGTGGTCATTATCATAATATACTGGGGGATCAAACACTTTGAAACTTCCTGAAGGTTAATATTTTAGAGTAAACTAAGAAATGTGCCCTTGAATGGAATTTATATAATTTTTCAAATTATGAGGTAATAGAAAATATGAGTAAAAGTAGTTTAAAATTTTTTTAGTAATATATAATCATCTGTAATCCCAAGGAATACTAAAGAGTAAACATTTGAATATACTGCTGTCTTAACATCTTGATGGGGATTCTGAGCATACCTGTATGTTGTGTCCTTTACTGGCATCTTATTGCATCTAACCCATTTATCTGTATCAGGATCCAGTCTTTCAACCCAGTATCCTGTGATTGGGCTGCCACCATCATCATCTGGCTCACACCATGTGAGAGTCACTGCGTCTTTAGTGATATCAGAAGGTTCTAGGCGAGTTGGAGGACCAGGTGGATCTATAGACAGGATAATGGTGTAAAATGTTATATGTCCTGTATATAAATATGACACCAAAATGCAAGTTTGACATAAGCATCCTTTTTTTTTTATCAGCTGATTGAGAAACTTACCAAACTGATATTTGGCTGTTATTGGAGAGGCCTGAACTGGTTCACCAACACCATACATGTTTTCTGCAGCAACTCTGAAGATGTACTCTTTATTGGGGATTAATTTGGTGGCCTTGAAGTTTGTATCCTTGACGGTGGATGAGAGCTTGTGCCACACTTCACTATCAGTTGCTCGTCTCTCCACAACATAGTTTGTGATCTTAGATCCACCATCATCGCGTGGTGGGTTCCATGTTAGAAGACATGACTCATTGGTTACATCTGTGATGTCAAAGGCAGCTGGTGGTCCGGGTTTATCTGTGTATGGCATTACAGATGCAGAAAAAAAAATTGTTCACCATTTTTTTTATTTTTTTCTTTCAAGAAAGTAACTGCAAAGAGTTTATCCCCTTTTAAAATGAGAACCTTCCTTACCTAAGACGTTCACTTCCACCACAGCAGTGGCCCGGCCACACACATTCACAGCCTCAATGATATATGTGCCAGTGTCACTTCTCTTACTATCAACAATAGTCACTGTGGATTTCTTAGGGACATTTTCAATGGTAATTCTTTTGTCCTGCTTCAGAATCATATCAGCCTTTGTCCAAGTTATTTTAGGTTCAGGTTTTCCGGTTACGGTGGCAGGAAGTTCAATCTTGGTCCCAGCTTTTACAGTGAGACCAGCAAGGAGCTTCACATCGAGGAAGATTTCTGGGGCCTCTGAATTGGAAAAGATTATTTATGATGTTATCAAGTTCAAGCAGATTTAAGGTCAGAGGCCTATTTGATAAGACAAAAATCAAAAATAGATACCTTGTGTGTCCACAGCCTGGATTTCCTCTGTGGGTCTGCTTGGTTTGCTAGCACCCTGCCTGTTTAAGGCCTTCACGCGGTAGGCATACCATTTGCCTTCCTCAAGACCTGTCACTTCCATTCTGTCAGAAAACAGAATAGGATGTTTTACTGTGATGTCGATAATCGTTTCATTGTGTAGTACTCATAATCTTTCAAAAATTCAAACCCCTGGTATAATACTAGTCTTTAAATTAAACCTGGATTACTTCAACACTATAACTGAATACATTTTCATTTCAATACTGTCATGAAAACCCTGAGCAGGCAGTACATTCAGCAGCACCTTTAAAAATCAGACAGATACACCGGCAGCATAGGATTCTCAATGAAAAAAGACAAACATTTAAATTTTCCCCAACAAAGCCCATTTTAGTGACTAGGAGTACACATTTACTCTCATGCCAAATTAAAAACCTACTTTGTTTCTGCAACAGGTTCTCCACAGGCAACCCATTTATCAGAACCACGTGGACATCTTTCAACTATATATCCTTTGATGCGTGAACCACCATCATTTTTAGGTGGATCCCATGTTAAGAAGATGCTATTGGCTGTTCGATCTCTCCATTTAACATTCTCTGGTGGGTCAGGTACCGCTACAACATTTGGAAGAGAGAGTCAGTCTTACACAGGCCACCTATGCAGTTCTCTTCACATTGCCAACCCCTGCCTTGCCCCATAACTTCAACTCTAGGTCTAAAAGCAAAAACAGGCAACAAGATTAGGTAAGAAATCATCAAGAATGTACTCACTTGCAGGAGTTGACATATTTACAGGTTCATCAACATATGCAGGTTCTCCAGGGCCACATTTGTTACGAGCACAAACTTTAAATAAGTACTCTTTTCCTTGAACAAGATCAGGAACTGTGAATTCTAGATCAGTCACAAAGTCCATAACCTGGGACAAAGAAATACAGTTAATCAGTTATTTCCAAAAAACCCTTTCGCCAACCCAAAAGATTTTTACCATGACCAGGGATACAAACTGCAGTTGTTTTGAATGCTAGGGATTATTCTTACATTAATTTCATATTAGGGAAAATTGCAAAGTAGGATACATGATAATATTTGACTCAATATAAGAAAAACTGCTTCATAGTTTGTACACATGAAAAAAGATGGCAAATGAGGTGTTGATTCTACCAGTTTGCTTATCAGAAATATGATTTTAATTCAGGGTAAAGAATAGTAACTAATATAAACACAAGGAAATAATGGCTGATTAGGTCAACTAAGGTATTCTAGTGGAATAAGAAGTGTGACCACCAGGGAAATAAATATTTACTTTCCACTTCTAGCTTAATGGGTACATATTGGGTACTTAGCAGGTACCAAGTCAGTAGGGAATTTTTTTTTTTATTACAAATTTGGTAAGGCTCACAAGACAAGACAATTACAATTATACAATCCTTGGTTGAGCTACCTCAGGAAGCATTAGCACCGATGCATTCTTAAAAAGTTTTTGTACATTTTCAGTGAGGTAAAGGTAAGAAGTTGTAGCACATAAGACTTTTGTATGGCATCCCAACCTTCTGGGATTTCCCCTACTCTCATTTTTGGCATTGATGCAGTGCTGCTCAAAACTCACTTTAGTCCATGTTTTCCGGCTGACTTCTCGTTTTTCAACAACGTATCCAGTTAACGGACTTCCTCCATCATCATCAGGTGGTTCCCAAGTCAAATGTACTGAGTCCTTGGTTATATCACCAAATTTCAATTCTTTGGGTGCACTTGGGCGAGCTGAAAAAAAATGCACTCACGAGTCACTGTTAATAGTCTGAACTAATATTTGTTAATACTGCCAAATCACCTTAGATGATAAATGTTTTGTTCCTTACCAATTACATTGACATCAATTTCCCCAGAAATTGTTTTCACACGGTTTTCTAATTTCAGTGTATAAATGCCCTTGTCTGAACGTTCACTTGGAGAAATGACAAGTTCGGCATAGGCAGACAAGGTCTTCATTTTCACCCGGTCCCCTGTTTCTAGTACTTTATCTCCAAAACACCAGGTTGCAGTTGGCCTTGGATAGCCTGTACTTGGAACCAGGATCGTGATAGGATTTGGGACAATAACTTCCAGACCATCTTTAAATGCACTTAAATCCATTGTTGGTTCAACTACAAAGAAGAAAAGTTAATGAGTTTGCAGTGCCATATTTAAGTCCCTGTTGCCCCAAAGTAGCTATGTGCTATTCCCCGATCTAAAAATAAAATATCTATTTACCAAATGCATCGTCAGCGGTGAGAGGACCAAGAATTTCAGATGGATCTGAAACACCAGCTTTATTTTCTGCAGATACTCTATATAAATATTTATTTCCTTTTTCCAATCCGGTAACCTACGATTATGAATTAATATTTGTAAAAAACACATACAGTTATGTCCATGATCCACATTGAATATTCTTTTTTATATGCAAATGACCTACCTTGTAAGTCAGTTCAGGGACAAGTTTCATATTGCAACGAATCCAATTATCTTTTCCTTCTTCGCATCGCTCAATTATATAGCCTAATATTGGGCTTCCTCCATCTTTCAGAGGAGGTTCCCATTTGAGCTGAACTGATGACTGAGTCTGATCTGAGGAAGTTAGGTTTACAGGAGGACTTGGTCTCTCTGGAATAAAAGAAGGAGTTGGAGCATACCATTTACGTTAGTGACAATTTATGAAAACAGTGTTGTAATCAATTATATCATCCTCATTAACAGGTTTATCAAATTCACTAAGTAAAGTAGGCACAGTCTGGGTTTCTAAAACTTTATCCAAATTTTTATGATATTCTACCTTTTTATTAACTTTCATTTAACTTGATTTATTTTAATTGATAGGCCTAATATCTGGATTTCATGCAGTAATTATTTCCCTTTTTTGATGGGCTTACCAATTGGATCAGCAACTTTGACGAAGGGTGTGGCTGCACTTGGTTTTCCAACTCCAATTCGATTTTGGGCTCTCACTCGGAAACTGTACTCCTGTCCTTCTACCACATCAGTAACAGTTGCAGACAGGTCTTCAGCTCTCACAGTCATGGCAGTATCCCACCTGATAGAAGTCTTGTCTCTTAATTCAATGACGTAGTTTGTGATCTCAGCACCTCCATCATACTCTGGTGGTTCCCATGTCAGTGAGACACCAAATCGATTCACATCAGTGATGGTTACATTCAAAGGAGGGCCTGGAACATCTGGATTTCACCACAGAAGAAGAAAATATGAGTTTGGGGTAACGATGATGAAGGCAAAGACTGCAATTTACTTAAAAGCTAACTTGAATTTACTTAAAACTTCTTACCATATTTACTCCTTGCTTCTACAGGATTGTCAGTTTCTACTGGCTCACCAGTGCCAACTCTGTTTCTTGCACTCACACGGAATAGGTACTCAACTCCTCCTTTCTGTAGACCAGTGACAGTAAACTCACAACTCTCTGCACGGTCTGTGGCCAGAACCCAGGTCTTTCTCTTAATGTCACGTCTTTCAACAACGTAACCTATGATTTTGCTTCCACCATCAGTTAAAGGTTCTTCCCAAGCAAGGCTCACTTCACCATCAAATGTTTCTGTCACTTCTAAGTTACGTACTGGCCCAGGAACATCTGAAATTCACATATAGAGGAATTTTTTTAGTGTGCTGTCTTGCTTTTAAATTGTGCTTTGCCAATTAAGTCTGAGAGACCCAAGGGCTTACCAATAACTTTTAAATTGATGAATCCTTCTGCTTTTCCATGTTTGTTCTGAAGCACAATTTTATACCTCCCTTTGTCTCCTTTCTTGGCTTCTAAAATTCTGAAAGAAGTTTGTTCAGCCGTAGTATCAATGGTTTTTGTAGATAAAGGTTCATTTTCTTTAAACCATTCAGCTTCTGCTTTGGGGTAGGCATCATATGGCACCACCATTGTCAGAGGCTTGCCAACATCAACCACAAGGTCTTGGTCAGCTGTCTTGATTTTTGGTGCAGCTAGTGAGAAAGATAACATGTGAACGCTTTCGACTATTAAACGTAGCCAAGCTACATCATGTTATTATGCATTTATTAGAAAATATTGGTTACATAACCTTGGAAGTAAGCTACAGTAACTTTATAGCAGAGAAAACTAAGTGGCTTAGAGTTCTCATAGCTTTTTGTTGTTGTTGTGCGTGCAAATTAGATTGGAGAGTAGAGGATTGAGAATGGCATAAAATCATAAGACATGCATTCCTTGCCAAAAATAGTAACATAGGACTCAGTGTAGTGCAAAACATGTTTTGTTTTGTTTTTTGATAGAGTAGGCACTGCATACTTAGTTCAATAAATCAGAGAAACTTTTTTCTTATGAATGAGAGGTACACTAATGGCTTTTTCATAAGGACAGTGTATAAGGATGTCCTGGGTCAGGATGAGAACATACCTAAAAGGCACACAGGGGTTTGTAAAGTAGGAGAGTATAAGACCGTCTTTAGATTTGCCAAGACTCTCAGGGTGATAGCTTAGTTGTAGCCTAAGTTCATAAATAGTCATCATGTACTAGCAACTGTCCAAGGCTCTGGCATGTAAAGATTATTGCTATTAATTTCCTCTTACTCAAGACACTTACTTTGTAGTGAGCAAAATTAGAGTTGTTAACATGTGGGTAGGGCTTGCTAGAAATGAAAGACCCTCACAAGGATTACCTCATTAAATAACTGTGAAATCTGAAATCTAAACTCTGTGATATTGGAAGGATATTTTAAAATAAAGGGACTGACCTGCCAGTTCAAGCTTAGCTCTGGCTTCTTTGTCTTTGGCAATAAATCTGTATTCACCCTGGTCACGGGGCTTAATATCACAAATCTGTAGTCGATGTATCTTTCCTTCACTCATCATCTGGTGTTTATCACCCTGGACAACAACCATGTTATTTCTTAGCCATTGGACTTCCACCTTATCTTTATTGAGTTCTGCTAAAAAGACAACATCAGCACCAGGGGCTTCAAGAATATCTTGTGGAGGCCTGATGATCTCAACAGGAATTTCTGGAAAGAAAATGTGAAATAAATACAAATATGTTTACATTTTGATTAACAATTTTAAAAAATTGGTAACATTAGAATTGTTTTTTCACTTAATATGTACCTTCCACAAAAAGTCTAGCACGAGACTTCCTGTCTTCTACCCCGCAAGCATATTCACACTCATCATCCAGCCTGCAATCTTTTATAATGAGTCTGTGTATACTTCCATCTTTTTCAAATTTGTATCTAAAGGAGACATTGGATTATCAGTTAGCTTGCAATGATGGCCACTAAATTGTCAAAAGTGTATATATAGCTACAGAAATAGAGAATAAAAAGATCTTGCTTACTTTTTGCCTTCTTTGATTTCTCTCCCATTTCTGTACCATTTTACATTGGCTTTCTCTCTGGAGAGCTGGCAGGAGAAGACAGCGTCATCGAACTCAGTGACTGTCTGATCTTCCAAGTGTTCCACAAATTCTGTCGGGGCTTCTATGATGAGAAGCTCAGCAACAGATTTATCTTGTCCAGCAGTGACAATGTATTCACCTTCATCTGGGAAGCCACAGTCTTTAATGGTTAACATGTGCTTGTACTTATCAACTCTGTATGAGACACGGTTGTCAAAAGGCACTTCTTCACCATTTTTGGTCCACTTCAGTGTTACATTGAGACGATTCACCTTGCACCAGAATGTGACAGATTTCTTCTCCATTGTTTCAATATCTTTAAGAGGCTCAACAATCCTAAGGTCTTCCTCTGTTGTAAAGGAGAAAAATATGTTGATTTTAATTATTTTTATAACAGAAACTGATGAAAAAATCTCTAGTGGTATATAAATTACTTACCTTCTACTATTAGATTGGCTGCACTTTTAACATTTTCACCTCTGTGATTGGTCAAAGACACATTATAGTTGGCTTGGTCATCTAAGTGTGCATCTCTAATTCTGAGGGTGTAGACTAGGTCTTTTTGGAGAATGATGTATTTTGAACTATCAAATATAGCTTCTTCATTTCTGAACCATTTGGCTTTGGCACCTTCAGTATTGACTTCACAGTTGAAGACAACTTCCTGTTGTTCCTTCACCCGGGTGTCCTTAAGAGGAACTACGATCCTGAGTTTTTCTGAAAGCAACCGACAAGACTTTATAGTATGAATAATGATCAAAGTGGTAAATACAAATACAAAACAAACAAACAAACAAAAAACCCTAAAAGCAAGAACAAACTTACCAATGACTGTCAAGTGAGCTGCTGCTCTGGCGGCCCCTACCATGACAACGTAAGTGCCCATATCTTGTAATGTGGCATCTTTCACAACTAGGACCCTCTTTTTACCATCAGCAATAACGTCATATTTATCTCCAGATTCAAGTGTCTTATCATCCCTCTTCCACTGGACTGGAAAGCTTTCTTTTGATATAGAGCAGACAAATTCAGCCTTTTCTCCTTCAAGTATTTCAAGGTTTTGAGGCTTTGAGATAAATTCAGCAGCCAGTTCTGGGAAGAAAAAGTTACAAGATATTAGAAACATATGTCTTTGTACTTTAAATCTAGCAAGTGTGAATTGTTAGAAATAAAAGATTATTCACTGTAGTTTTCATACCATGTACTTTGACTTTGCCATCGGTTCGAGAGCTTGGGAGTCGACAGTTGTAGTTGCCAGCATCCTCAAGGTGAGCGTTCTGAATGACCAGGATTCTCTTCCGTCCTTCAGTCAGTATTTCATATCTTCCTGTTTCAATGATCTCCTCATCCCCTTTATACCAAATCACTTCTGCGCCAGGTTTGGAGACTTCACAAACCAGTTTTATAGTGTCTGTTTCACTAACTTCAATGTTGGCAAGATTTTTGGTAAAGACAGCTTCTTCTTCTGCAAGCATTGAAAAAACAAAAACCACATTGAGTTAAGCTGGAAATTATTATTTTTTCCCAACACATATACTTCACAAAGAATGACTTTACTCTTACCCAGAACTGTCAGCATGCCAGAAGTTCTCGCTGTCCTTACTTCACAGGAATATTCAGCTTCATCATCCAGTAGACATTTGTTGATGACAAGAATGCGCACTGCTCCCTTGGATATGATGTCATATTTTTTGCCCTTTTTAATTTCAGCACCATCTTTAAACCACTTAACCTATATTTAAGATAAATAGATTATCAGTTTTCTTGTTGTTCCTTCACACAGGTGTCCTTAAGAAAAACTATGATCCTGAGTTTTTCTGAAAGCAACCAACAAGACTTCATAGTGTGAAGAAGAACCAAGGTGGCAGACACAAATATAAACAAACCCCAAAAGCAAGAACAATCTTACCAATTACTGTTAAGTTAGCTGCTGTGATACTATTATCAGTTATTAAAAACAATGGGATCATATAAGTTTAGAGCTATAGTGAGCCTTAGACATTATGCAGACTAACTTCTTGGATGTGTAAACTAAGGCTCAGACTTGAAGAAACTTGCCAATGGTAGTTAATAGCAACAGGAGGTACTTAGTTGAAAGAAATATAATTGCTGATATTTGACTTTCTGATCTAAGAAAACAGCACTTTCATATGGTTCAAACTAATATCTAAATCTCCTGATTGTGAGTCCAGTGTTTTTCAAGTAATAGTAAATTAATAATACTAAAAAGAGAGCAATTAAAGTCAAGAATACATTTTATACTACAATTATCTTTAAAAGTAAAGTGGTGACCAGAGAAGTTGTGACTAACTTTTTTTTTTCCATTTTGGCTAGACCAAAAGTAAATATAAAGTTATTTGACAGTACAAGATGACAGGTATACAGTCACAGACCTTAGCATTTTCTCGGGAAAGTTCACACTCAAATCGAGCCATTTCTTTTTCTCTAACTTGAAGGTCGGTGAGTGGTCTTAAGAATTCCACATGAGGAGCTGTAAGAGAATGTCATCAGAATTCAAAATGAGGTTTCTGGAAATTTACTCTGACATTACCATAGTATACATTAAGAAAAAGTGACTCTTTTTTAGGGATTTTCCATCTTAATAGACTACAACTGACTTTGAAATCACTTGAAGCTGCCCATCAGGTATGATGCTTTGCTTTTTAGATATCTCTTTAGTTTACATAAAATTATGTGGCATTCTATATGTTCAACTAGTGTGCATGTGTGTGTGTACAGTATATATACTAGGGAGCCATCTCAGTTCTTTTGAATAATAGCTGGAGGAAAAATCTTCATTTGCACTGCACCAGACTTGAAAGATAATGTCAAAGGAAACTTCAGACACCAGTGGCAAAGAAACATTGTCTTATTTAAGGCACTTAGCACAATCTTTGAGAAATTAGCAGAATTCAAAGATAGAACACGTGAAGCACTATGGCCAGCCTTGTGTATGGCTAAGAGGCATGAGGCTGTAATTGAAACATACATTTAGCTTTTTAAAAAAATCAGCTTTGAAGACGTCACATATAAGTCAGGCATAACATCTATTAGTGCAATAAAGCAATGTGTTTTGTATGGGAGGGTGATTAGGATTTTACATCTGTTATTTCATTCATCTGTAGAATTAATTCAGCTGGTGTATAGGATTAGGGAGCTGCCCCCTTGCCCTTCCTTCTTTCAGAGCTCCCTGTGAGTCCTTCCCAAGATGACCATTCTTGAGCAATAAGATTCTGAGACAAATGCTGTCTAATAGGTTTGAAAATATGCTCCTTGCAGCTGAGCCTTCTTGGAGTGAAGGTAGATGTCAAGGTGAAGAAGGAGACCCAAGAAGCTACTTTGACATAAGCTTGAGCAGAGCAACCACAAAGTGGTAAGAAAAACATGGTACAAGATGCATGAAGCACAGAGTCACTAGGTTGTAGCTGTTGACAGATGGGAAGCAACCAAACCAAACAAACAAATATTGCACAAAAAATTTGCAGAAAAATGTCATCACTGGACAAAGGAATGAATGAAACAAATAAGCTAGTATGTGGCATTTTGAAAAAAGACATTACATTTTTCACCAGAGGAAGAAGTAATGTTAAAAACCATTAGAGTTCTCTTCATTCAAAGAGTCCAGGACTCAAAAGATCCAGGGCCTCACTCCATCTTCTTATCCATTCTTATTCTCAGAGATTGAATCATGTGAATGTGCTTTGTCATATTACAGCAGATCTCTAGTATGCTCCTATTCAGACTGAAATTTCATGCTCATTTTCTAGTTGTTCCCCACACCTGAAAATTCATTTTCCTTCCACATGGAAATCACTTTTACTTTGTTTTTAAAATTAGGACTCCCTACTTATCTTTAAAATTCAGTTTCTCCTCATCCATATCAGGATATCCATACAGTAGGCTGACCCCATGTAGACAAAGAGCACATCTACTCACTACTCAGTGAGAGAAAAGAAGCATAGGGAAAAGTGATTGCTCCATCATTAATCAGACCAGACATAGAATAAGACTTTTCTTTTCTTTTTTTCTTTAAACACATAAAGGATCAGGTTAGGTCAGTGTCAATACTAGAAGTTGCCAAGAAATGCAGTTAGGCCAAGAAGGGCATGCAAAAAGTGTTGTGTTGTTTTGTTGTTGTAGTTATTAAAGAATTGCAAATGAAAAGTCCTTTGTAAGAAGAATACTTACGCACGACATTCAGGTTACAGGAAGTCTTAAAATCCTTAGCATCACAAGTGTATGTTTTAATATCCTCTGGGGTACAGTCATGTATAACAAGTTTTCTGACCCTGCCATCAGCAACAATTTCATACTTCTTGCTTTTGAGGATTTCTGTCCCATTTTTGAACCATTTCACCTTAGCATTTTCTCTGGAGACTTCACACTCCAGCACTGCAGTGGCTCCCTCTTCGACCGTCTGGTCCTCAAGAGGCTTAGTGAATTCAACTGGGGGTTCTGAAAGAATCATACTCATTAGCCAAGGTACTCCTTTCCTTCTCCAAGAGTTTTGGTACCTTCTCAACTTTCCCCTGCCATCTCCAGGGCTTTGTTCTGTCCTAAGTTTTATTTTCAAGTTTTGATTACACTCAGACATTTTCCTCTAAAAATGATATTTTATCATTATTTGTACAGACAAGAGGAAAATCATTTTTAAAAACTAGGAAACATTAAGGAAATAACAGCCAACTCTTGGTTAATAAAGTGATGGATACCTAGCTTGATAATAATTCTTCCTCCAGCTGGCTTTTGAAAATCTAGGATGTGCAATAAAAACAATAGAGATGGAAGGAGGAAGTAAAACCTATGCTAGTCAATTTTGGCTCTTTAAAAAGATAGTCTGTGAATTATTTTGTTATGCTAAAAAGTAAAATCAGACTTTTGATTATTTGGTTGATTTTAAACATCTATAGTACTCATCATATAAAGATAATTGAGAGTTGGCATTGTTCATGAGCCTCTGCCTTATACATGTTTTTAAAATAAGCCTTGTAATTACCTTTCACAAAGAGGTTGGCGTGAGTTTTGAAATCTTTTGCTGTTAGTTGGACTTCCCCAGCATCTTCTAACTTTACATCCCTCAGAGTAAGTGTATGAACTTTTCCTTCTGAACGTGGGACCACCTAGTTGTTTTTAAAAAAAGAATACATGAAACAGCAATCTAGTATATGGGTGCATTTAATTCATTTAGATAAAAATAAATGGAAATAGAGCTTTCCAAGTTGTTTTATAATCATCTATTTAGCACGTATGCATTCAAAAATCATTTCAACCAATAGTTTGGGATCTTTTTTTTAAATTTATTTATTATTATTATACTTTAAGTTTTAGGGTACATGTGCACAATGTGCAGGTTAGTTACATATGTATACATGTGCCATGCTGGTGCCCTGCACCCACTAACTCATCATCTAGCATTGGGTATAAGGACTATAAATCATGCTGCTGTAAAGACACATGCACACGTATGTTTATTGTGGCATTATTCACAATAGCAAAGACTTGGAACCAACCCAAATGTCCAACAATGATAGACCGGATTAAGAAAATGTGGCACATATACACCATGGAATACTATGCAGTTTGGGATCTTTCAAGAAAATTTTAGGGTTTCATAGTTACCTTTATATAATTACTAGGTGGCCTTTCACATTGAAATTGCCCAGGCCAGTTTCTGTTTACATTTGTGGTCTTTTTTGCATATGCGTAGATATACAGCACATATAGTATATACGTATATGTGTATATATATGTGTGCCCCCATTCTGCCCCTGGGCTTATATACATATAAAGGAAGAACTTAGAAAAGCGAATTCATGAAAGGATGAAAGAAAATATCAGCTATGGCAAGCTAAAAGTAAACCTTATGTTCTGTATGTAAGGTGTTTGCCATGCAACAACAAGCTATAACTCTTCTTCCCATTTATTTTAGCAATTAAACTTATTTTGCAAACCAATTAAACCTGTGATTAAATAATTTGTACAACCTATTAATTTTGTTCAAAACTGCAAATGAAAGTTGGACTCTTCTTCCTTTTTCATGTGTCTAAGCATCAGGAATGGGAAAATCAGATGTCAATGGTGCGACAGATAGGGGTCATTCTGACAGCAAAGATAAGAGACTTGGGGGTTCTTCCAGTTCTATGATATAAAATTCCTAAGAAGCTGTGCCCTGTCATCCAGACTGATTTTGCACTGCTTAAGAGTTTACTTAGCGTTAAAAATAATGTAAAGTTTTTCACCAGTGGAACTATTTGTTATGCTAGTGTAAAGAAAAGAATCAGAAATAAGGTTTCATCTAAAAGTGTTTTCTTTAATTAAGAACTGGGCATGGTTAGTCACATAATTATCTTAATAATTGAGAGTGGCCAAAAAACATAATAAGGAAAAATAACAGCTAGGAGGGGGTAGTTAAATATGCCCTTGGAACAGAGCTACTTATCCGAGGGCATGGTGCTGAAATGGGAAAAATTTGTTTTTTTAATAACATTTCAGTATAAATTTTGGCATGCAACTTTTGGCTATTTGAAAAGGTGTCTCAGTTTCTAACCCACCCACAGATATATTTTATCTATTAATATTATGTTGCTTTATCATCTGAGTTCCTCTGTAGCTACTCTAGGACACTGCTCAGAATGCAGTATGTCTCAATAAACAGCTTGTATACAATCTACCTCCACTATGTTAAAAGAAAAAAAAGGAAAACTGGTAGGTGCCTTATAAAAATAAACCAATGAAATGAATGTTGAAGATTTTGCAGTAGATTGTAAGAATAATGTTAGAGATTTTAAAAATATTTATTTATAGTGGAAGCATATTAATATAATACGGTAGGCTTATGACCATGACAAAACTATTAAAGTTTTGTATTTAAACTTTAATTTTATCAAATTTAAAATTTAACTTTAAAATTATCAAATGCCATTTGGAACTTGGCAGTCCTTTCTTAAACTGACAGCCAAAAACAACTACAACAACAAAGAAAAAATGCAAACAACTCATGTCTACAAGTTTCTCTTCATATTTCCTATTCCTACAGCTTGTTTTTGCTTGTTTGGTTATTGTAGTTTTGAAGGCGAAAATTTTTACATAAAATGAGTATTAAAGTTCGGAATTACATTGACAAGAGCAAGTTTGTTCTGACAGACTTAATTTAAACAAAATCTGCCACATGTAACAAAATGATTTTATTACTTCAAAGTTTATATTTAAGTTCTTTTTGAAAAGAGACATTTAAGTAATGCAAGAGCAAGTTCACAAAAGGCTAAGGTATTTCGGGTGCCTAGAGTAAAGGATTAAAATTCCTATGCCAAAAGAGATGTAAAGGGGCCCTATAGAATTATAGTAAACTGATCCTTTCTAACCCTAGAAAAAATTTTAGTTACAATGAGAATTTTTTAAAAATAAAATGTGAATAAGATTTTTAGGAGTCTACATTTGAATTAAAATAGTGCAGTTTTTGTATTAGAACTGAGACTGATCTTTTAATAAGAAGCTCTTACTATGACAAAAAGATATTTGGTAATGAAAAAATAATATCATTTGTCTTTAAGCAGTGTTCCTATATATAAATCATGAATTTGCAGATCTAGAAAGAATCTTGAAAAAGCAACCAATTCTCTGCCTTTAGACATGAAGTTAATTAAATCATGCATGATAGGCAAAATATATTTTTTCAAACAATAAGCTTGAAGGTAGAGGTGCCTCCCTCAGTTCAATATTTAGAAGACCTCATTGTAAGGAAGGTTTTGTGATATGTAACTTAATTCCCATGCTACAAATGGAATGTACTGCTGCTTTTTCTGGTCACTGGAAAAGGAGACCAAGAAGATCTTATTATCTGTATAACAGGCAGGCGTTACCTATCAGATGACTGCTGGTGAATTACCCTGTAATCACTTTAGTGGAATACTAGTTTTGTTGTTGTTGTTGTTGTTTGTTTGTTTGTTTCAAAGCAGTTACTTGAAGGCATTGCTTTCAAATACTTCAGTCAATGCTGTGGCTTTTTGTTAAACTGAATCACTTTTTAATTATATTCCTTTAAGTCTTCAAAGTTTGATTTTTGTTGAGATCTTTATAGCACATTTAATAGTATTTCTGAAATATTGGGGGAATATGTCACAGAACAATGTACTGTCCTGTGCTTTATTTCCAACCCAGGCTGGACATATTCCATATATTTTATTTTAAGAATTCAAAATTAATGATGGATTGTCAAGATAATTTAAAGACATATGTTGTTTCTGGGGACAAAACATATAGATCAATTTAGGCAAATTGTATTGTGGGCCTATCTGAATAATCCCTTAGTTTTTACTTATGGGTAAAATCTTGGGCATAAAGAATGTTAGTAAAAGCTAAAAGCAGGAGCTAGTTATTTACCAAAGCTTAAAAAAAATATTTCATCCACATATGTGGATAACCACAGAGCCCTTCTTTCTTGTCAGTACCATCAGTTGCACTTTAAATAGTCCACTTGCATTCCAGATATCGCACAGCCCAGAGCACTTGAAGGTTAAAAATAGCTTTGGAGAAATGCTTGAAGAGCAAATCTGCCCAGAAGTTATCTCAACTACTTGATCAACTGCCCGAAATGGAATTTCAGTCTTCTCCTCTTAATCCCCTTATATGCAGAACACTAAATAGGATGGAGAGCGTTAGTCTTAAAACTTAATGTGCACCATGGCTGCAGAGCGTGCAATCAGAAAGCCTTTTTGATCCTTCCTGCCTTCTGGTTAATCAAACTATCATTCATAGTCAATGAGTCTTGTCTTTTCTTCAAAAAACTAAAACATGATCATACTTTAAATTTATTTCAATTTCAATAAAAAAATCA
This sequence comes from Homo sapiens, assembly GCF_000001405.40. Taxonomy (NCBI): domain Eukaryota; kingdom Metazoa; phylum Chordata; class Mammalia; order Primates; family Hominidae; genus Homo; species Homo sapiens. The sequence goes on from NC_000002.12 coordinate 178,629,110, forward strand.
TCAGGTTAAACCTAAGAAAAAATGCAAAAAATTGGCTTTACAGTTTCAGCAGAAATCAGGCTAAAGGCGGAAAGAGAAAGGCAAAGACAGAGGAAGAGACATTAGAAAGAGCAAAGAATAAGGAACATACAAGTGAAGGTGGAAGAACTCCAGAAAAAGAACGGGAAAGACAAGGCATGCCTGCTTTTTACCTTATCGCTGGGCTCTAGTTTCTTCCCTTTGAGATACCATTCCACTGGGATATCTTCGTAGGAGAGCTCGCAGTCGAAGGTGGCTGTTTCCCCTGCAGTCACGGTGACATCCTTTAAAGGCCTCAGAAGACCAATTACTCGTGCTTTTCGAGAGGGAAGAAACAGCTTTGCGTTACTCATTTTGTAATCCCAAAAGAATAAATAGAGACTTAGATATGAATCTTCATGGTTGCTTTCTTCAAGAAGCCACAGGACTGGCCACTATTTTAACTCCCACGTGAACGTGGCCCCACGGCGCTGAGAAGGGGAGAGCTGGTAGCCAGAGAGCGAGTATATGTAGGGGCCCTTTCGTTCTGACGTACAAGGTCAGCGAGAAATCTGTGCTGCATCTGTCTCTCTGCCAGGCGTCAAGTTCTTCTTGCTACATAAGGTATGTGACTTCCAAAATAACTAAGACTCTGATTGGGAGAGGACAAGGGGCCCTCAATCAGAGGCTGTCCCTATCCATCAAACACTTTGCACCTTCCAGAAACGTTAGCCTAATGCTTCCCACCTTCTTTCTTGAATCTAAAATGCCCACACAGCAAAGCTTGTCTTTCTGGTGCTCTAGTTGCACAGCCACTTGAGGGAAGTGGTCTTTAAGGGTTCTGAGTTAGATTCTCATTGTATGTGTATCTACTTTCAATGAGAGGACTACAGAGCAGGAAAATCTGATTTGCTAAATTTTCTTTTGTTCAAATGGCAAGGTCAACAAAATTTCCAAAACTTTACGATTTGAACCACTTCTGTATTGGAATGTCAAAGTGGCAAATACAAGAGAGCCAGTTTTTGTGTTTTAATAATATTTTCTAACTAATAAAATAGGTCCAATTAATTTCACTCACATTCATTTTCTGAAAAAGTGTTTATTTAATTTCCCTGAAAAATATACAATACTTACGCTTAACTCGGAGGTGGGCACTAGATTTAACATTGGCAGCTTGGAAATCCACCCCACCCGTCTGGTCCAGGCGACAGTTGTGCAAAACAAGGGAGTGTATTTTGCCTTCTTCCTTAATTTCACAATCCTGTACCAACAAAACAGAAAAACTTTCATAGAAAATAATTTTCTTTGAAATTTTGTTCTAAGGATAGATTATCTTAATTAAAGGAATGCAACAAATAAATGGTGATGAAACTTTATATAACTTTGAGCTCTTTTTTTAGGAAGTAAAGCTTACAAGTACTAAGAGGAAAGCCACATTTATTTTAGCTGTATAATTCTGAGCCAACTAGCAGCATCACAGAGTATCTACAACCTTATACTCACTCTGCTGGATCAAAAGTAATGCAAGTGTGCCAGTCTGAGCCCATTCATAGACCCTGACATCTCTCTTTGGCTTAGGGTCTGATAGAGAAACTGCTATCATGTTTTAAATGTCCTGCATCCACTCTGACTTTCACCTGTTCTTTTCTAATTCACACAGCTCCTTTAGGTGTTGACAAGTTCAGAAATAGCCTTACAGGTGTTTGGAGTAGGGCCTCTCCCTTGAGTTTCCAGTTGGCGTGGATATCATCTTCAGAGATTTCGGTTTCAAAGCGTGCTGTCTCAGTCTCCATCACCTCCACACTGTGCAGGGGTCGCACCAGTTTAATTTCCCGATCTAGAAAAGTGAAGGGCCAGCATGGGTCATTAGCCTCTGGCACAAATAACCCCAATGCTTCAAGAGTGAAACTCATGGAAATTTCCTTACCCTCAATGTCAAGTTTTCCTGAGGTCTTATCTGTCCCACAGTCACAGGTGTACTGTCCAATATCTGATTTCAAGGCTTTCTTTAGGATTAGCATGCGTTTCTTGCCATCTGCCTTAATAACAGCATTTTTGGATGGCTTTATTTCCTTCCCATCCTTAAACCATTTCACTGGTGCATCTGCTTTGCTAATTTCACACTGTAGAATAACTTCATCTTTCTCTACACCAGTATAATCTTGAAGTTTTCCTGTAAAATATGGGTCTCCCTCTGCAAGTAAAGTATAAGTGAAAAGCTTTTATTAATCACCTTAGGGAAATGACAATCTCTTGGAAAGTTTAAGACACAACTCACAGAGTTCTGAGTATCTTTTAAAATTGTGTCAAGTGTTCAATCATTTAACCTGTTTATGTTCAAAAGTTCTCTAAATATTAGGAAGGGAATCAGTGTGTGGGATTTATCAAGATCTAATCCATTCATATTGAATTTTGAAACATTTTATTAACAGTAGCTAAAAAGACTGAAATTTAGCTTCAAATACAATTTTGTGTTCCTCCATTATTTGGGTAAATTTCTAATTCTTAGCAACTCTATTATGTCTAGTTTACTTTTAAGCTTTCAGGTTCACATTGTTAGTTTTTCTTAATCAATTAATAGTTTGCCTTTAATCATGTCTATATATGTTAGCCTTCATGTTTAATCTTGTTGATATTAGGTGGCCAAGAAAAACAATGAGGCTTATTAATGTAAATTATGTAATATCTTCTCTTATGGGAAACTTGAAAAACATTCCTCTGAAATAATTTTGATAAAATGAAGAGATAGAAAGTATTTATATACTCCTATTTTAAACATGACAGGGCTCAATAATTAATGAAGAATTTTAAGTTGGCTTTTAATTGGCTATTTTGTGGGTGTAAGCTAGAATCTTCATTAACTTATAGTAATGAAGGTAAAGTGTTTTAGAAATAAGCCTGATTACATATGTGATAGCTTCTTAAGGAGTTGGGCTGCTTTCATGCAATATAACACTTAGAAGACTATTTTATAGAATAGATACTCCACAAATTTCTGTTGAATTTAATGCAGTAAAATTAAAATTTAAAAAGCACTTACCAAGCACAGTGAGTTTAGCTTCTGAACTCATCCCCATAGCTTCTACTCTAATTTGGGAGGTGTCATCAATAGACAGGTCTTTGAATGTGATCGAATGAGTTTTCCCTTCGTCTTGCATTGAGACCGACCTGGTGGTGTGTAGGCGCTGGTCATTCTTGAACCATTTAACTCGGATGTTATCATGAGATAACTCCACAGTAAATACAGCACTTTCCTTCTCTTTGGCAGTTACATCTTTGAGAGGGGTGAGGAATTTGAGCCGGATTCCTATCAAGAAAAAAAAGAAAGAACTTATTAATTGAAGCACTTTAAAGAAGAAATATAAAACTAAAGGCAAAAAAAATGATTTTGGGGTGGACTATTTGATAAAACTATTTACCTTCAATGATCAGTTTGCCACTTGTGTGCTTATCTTCAGCTTCAAACATGTATTTTGCTTCATCTTCAAAAGCAGCTGACTTGATCACCATTGAATGCTTAGTGCCATCCTTTATAAGCTCAAATCTGTCATCACCTGTGATTTCCTGGGTTCCTTTTAGCCAACGGAATGTTTTGGGCTCCCTGGATACTTCACACTCAAACTTAGCCTCATCTTTCTCGAAGACTTTAACATCACTGAGAGGTGTGATGAAGATAAGAGGCAATTCTGAAAGAAGTGGACAGTGGATGAAGTCAGAATACGTTTCCATTGATGACCCTTGATCAATGCAGGGGTGTATCAGGAAGTCTTGCAGAGAAAATACAAAAACGTGGCTGACAAGTAGAGCATACCTTTCACTTTCAGATTGGCTGCAGATTTGGCATTAGCAGCCTGGAAGGAAACCTCTCCTGTCATACCCAGCTGACAGTTATGAAGGATCAGAATATGCTTCTTTCCATCCTCAATGATTTCACAGTCCTGTTTGGAGTGAGGGTTAGAAGGAAAGAAAGAACATCATTTATATAGTTATTCCTACAAATCATCAAGATATTTTATGCCTTTTTTCACCCTACACAACCAAGCAACCCCTCTCCTATATAATTAGCTAATCTTGACTTACAGGGGAAGCTGTCAAAGGCTGTCCTTTCAGCTTCCACTGGCCGTGAACATCAGGTTCAGAAAGTTCAATTTCAAAGTGGGCTGTTTCACCAACAAACACCTCTACTCCGTACAGAGGCTTTTCCACTTTTATTAGTCGAGCTGAAATGATACAGTTTTGTTAGCATGACTGAACTAATAAACTGCAGATTCAGATAGGGTAAATTTTACATTGTTGAGCAACTCACCCTCAACAGTAACATTTGCCTTGGTCTTGTCTGTGCCACAGTCACACACATATTCGCCTTTATCTTTAAGGTCCGCCTTTTTGATTTTTAAGATGCGGCGCAGGCCATCTGCCTTGATAGAATATTTGGGTGAAGGGACAATCTCTTCACCATCTTTGAACCATTTCACTGGTACATCTTTGCTCACTTCACACTTCAAAGTAATCTCATCCTTCTCCACTGCAGTTTTGTCATGTAATTTCACAGTGAAGTAGGGATCGGCCTCTGTAAAAGACATTTAGCATAAAATTAGAAGAATGTGAAAATTAAAGTTTATTAAAGAGTAAAAGGTTGCAAAATATTTTATTACTCCCCACTCCCATGATTCAGAAACTGGCTATCTGGTTATACTTGGTTACATTTACCTAAGACCTTCAGCTGTGCTGTGGAGCTCAGCTCCTTGACTTGAGCTTTTATCTGAGATATATCATCCAATGTCACTTCTTTCATTTCCAATTTGTGAGTCTTGCCCTCAGAAGAGATGAGTACTGTTCTGCTTGTATGGAGTTTGGCATCATTTTTGAACCAGACTACATGCATTTTTTCATGAGAAAGTTCACAAACAAAAGTTGCTGTTTCACCTTCTTTTACTGTTTGATCTTCAAGAGGTGACATGAATTTCAGTCTTATACCTGAAATGCAAGCATAGATAATGCCTCAGAAACACAATTCACCTTCAGAAAGATTCCATTCTAATCTGCCTGAGTAAAAGGGACCCATTTCACATGGCACTTATTTATTCATCTTTCCAAATAGAGCTCCACTAAAAACAAATTAAGGGGGGTTGTTTTGGTAACACTGTGAAAGTTAATTAGTGATGCATTATCACAGCTTTTAGAACTTGGCGTCCTATCTTTAAAGTCATATATTTGCATGCCTTTATGGGATGTCACAGATCTCATTAGCTCGCTTACCTGTGACAAACAACCGAGCTGAGGTCTTCTTGCCCTCCACCTCAGCAGTATAGACCCCTTCATCATCAAATTGAGAATCATTAATAACAAGAATATGTTTCTTTCCATCAGCGATGATATCAAATTTGTCAGATGACTTAATTATATCAGGTCCTTTGGACCATATAACATTTGCCTCTCGGGTGAGGACACATTCGAATCGAGCCTGTCGCCTTTCTGGAACAGTGACATCCTTCAGGGGCACAGCAAAGTCAAGTTCGATTTCTGAAAATCAGACATTAAGAATGAGGCTTTTCAGAATGCACAGGGAAGTGAAATAAAGTTGAGACCCCTCCCCAAATTCTAAAAGCCCCATACCTTTTACTGTCAAAATGGCAGTTGTAATTGCATTAAGGGCCTGGTAGAGGACTTCACCAGCTTGGTCCAGTTTGACTTTGTGCAAAGTTAAGAAGCGTTTTCCACCTTCTGCTTTGATTTCACAAGTCTGAAAAACAATAGTTTTAGTAACCATTTGAAAGAGATAAATTCCCTATAGGAGAAGTGTTTCAGATACAAATTTCTATAGAGTTTTAAAAATTACTACTAATAAAAGTAAGCAGAGAATTCCCTGTCATAACATTTTACACAAATTGTTCAAGTTGTCCCCAAATGATACGTAAAATTTCTTTCCTTCTTGGAGACTTTAGAAGACTCCATTAACTCCATTATTATTAAAGCAACCCGAATCTAGGATATAGATCCTGAATATTGGATGTGGTTATTTTATATGACTAACAATTTAAAATGTGAAATTACTCACAGGTGAGGGCCTTAGAAGTTCTCCTTTCAGTTTCCATTGTCCAGGAATGTCTGCCTCTGAGATTTCTGCATCAAAGCTTGCACTTTCTTTCTCATAAATGGTAACGTCCTCTATTGGTTTAAGCAGTTCAACTTCACGCTCTGTATTGGTCAGGGATGAAGTAACATAATGCTTTAGACAACCCAACGATGCTTTGCTTTTATGTGTTTTGGTGTGTTATTTGGCTTTACACATACGCAAAACTTATAATTTGAATAAAAGGTAAGATTTTATACCTCCAAGTGTCAGCTTTGCAGGGTATCTTTTTCCTTCAATTTCCACTGCATACTCAGCAATATCTTCTGGCATAGCATTCTTAATTTTGAGGTACAGATGATTTCCATCTCTCAGTATTTCAGTCTTATCATTTGGTTCCGCAGGGATTTCATCATATCCTTTGAACCACTTAATGTTTGGAGTATCTTTTGCTATATCACAGGCAAAAATAGCTGTCCCCTTGGGTTTCACATGCTGGTCTCGTATAGGTTTCACCAGCCAATCTCTAATGACTTCTATATGAAAATAAGATCAGAAAAAATGATTAAGGTCTGAACAAGTAATATACATAGCTTCCTTAGTAAATTTCAGGAATAGGAAAAATTTCACAATACTGGGCATAATTAATCCACTGTAGGATATATTGTTATTCCCCTCTTAGGTACAAGATTTCTGATATTGTAATACTGGGAAACGAGGTCCTTTCTTCCATTTTCTTAGTGTAACAATAAGCAGAACGAAATCTCCCAGGAAAGTACTAACCTACTACTTTTACGCAAGATGAACACTCCAGGTTGTTGGCGTTTTCCACAGTAACTGTGTATGTTCCAGCATCTGTGTCATCTGCATCGTTGATGGTCAGAGCCCGCATCAAGCCAATGACGCCTGGCACAATTCGGCCAGGTTTCTCCACCACAATCTTGCCATCCTTCCTCCAGACCACGTCACGCTCTTTGTTTAACTCGCAGCTCAAGTACAATGGCTGTCCTTTGACCACTGTGACTTCCTCTTCCAGTGTTTTTACAAAACGCACAGGAAGTTCTATGGAGAATTTCAGTATATATTTCAATAAATACAATATTTTCAATGAAATAAAACTTGGAAATAAGAGGTTTTGTAAAACTACAATGCAAGTTGCTACTAAGGTTTGTTACATTAAAGTTTAATATAGATTATGTTCAGAAGACTAGAAATTACCTTCTACAACAAGTTTAGCCGTGGAGGTCTTTTCTTTGTTTCCCAAACGTAAAACACAGGTGTATTCACCAGCATCGGAAAGTTGAACATCAATGATGTGCAGCTTTCTGTCTTTACCATCTGCAATAAACCTGTGCTTGGGACTCTCACGGATATTGCTACCGTCTTTCATCCAGGTTGTAATTGCAGTGGAAGGGGAGACCAAACATTCAAAGATTGCTGAAGAGCCAACGAACTCTGATTCTGTCAAGATGATGTCTTTGATTTCTTTCACAAACTTCAGTGGCACAGCCTTTAGCTGGTAGGTGAACGGGGCTTCATCAGGAGGTTTCTCTCCACCACTTCCTGGCCTTAACTTTCTCCTTTCGGCTTCTATTGGTGAAGGAGTCTTTTTGGGTACACCTAATTCAAAGTAAAATAAAAAGTTGATTTGGCATCTCCTTAGGAGTCAGAAAGTTCATACTTGGCTGCCTGCTGGATAAAACCAGCCGTAAAGCAATTAGAAGACGAGAAAACTAAAGACCAGGCAATTGAAAGGCCAATTGAGTTTATACTGCCTTGTTTCAGGCAGGAAAATGAGATGGTATAAGGAATCCATGAATAATAAATGTCCCTTTTCTCAAGTTTTAATCTGAAGTATAAAATAGCCAGATTAATGTCTAATTATTTTATCTGCCATGTATAAATACCATGCATATGAAAAATGAAGCTAAGAACTTATGGGATTCACTATGCTAAAATATAGTTGGATATATATATATATATATATATATATATATATATATATATATATCTCCTTGCATAATACTAAAAGTATTATTTGAAATATCAGAAAACATGCTAGTTTTAGTAGAATCAATTAGAAAAAATAAAAATTGTTATGAATTTTGAAATTTTTTTCCCCTTGAATATGAACTTTGGAAATTCAGAGTGGAAGGTTACAATGCAAGTACTAGAAAAATGAATTTCACCTTTGATAGGACCTTTTGGCTTGGCAGCCTCTTCCTTAGGTGCTTTGGCTTCTGAAATAAAAATAAAACTCAGCATTTAAACACTTTTCGGACTTATTTCATGTTTAATAGTAAACCATGGAGGGTGAGTCATGCTCCATTATAAATATTAACGCATAAAGAGAAATTGGTTTCATTTATATGACTTCTATGGATAATCACATTTCCAGGAAGGCATATTCTGAGACTGAAGAGCTCAAGCTAAACTGCCAACATATTTAGGATTAACAACTTCTTTCAGCAAGTGCCTTATTATCTTCCCATTTTTGGAAGGCTTACTGTTGCCTTGTGAGGAAAAGTTTTGCTCCTGCCTAGCTGTGCAAAATATTTTATATGTTTATGTAAGTCCTGATTATGTGAACCAAGGAAATAAGGTTTTGTCAATAAATCAGTGTAGGGAAAAGGGAAATGGCTGAGAGGTTACCAAAAGCCTTTCTTTTTATGTCTAAATTGGGCAGACAAACAAATCCAGGGAAGACTAAGGAAAAAGAGTCCATGTACCACACATGCATGAGTTTCTTTGAAGATTTCCTTTAGACAATGAAGTAAGGCAGAAGCAAGAGAGTTCTGACATTTAGAGTTTGATTCCATTATTAATACAGGGACAGTATAAACTGTGGAATGAGTTCTCTAGCTTCAGCCCCCAGGATAACTGAGAATAGCTTTATTTTTATACATACTTAATTAGACAAGAGCAGTTCATCACCTTTTTCTGAATAATAAAAGTACTACGTTGACATTATAAAAGTTTAAAAGAATATGCCCAAATCATAAACATCAGCAACAAAATATAACACAAATATTAAAAATTAAACTACAGTCAAAAGAATATAGTGTATTTTTTTATGTCATTAAACATGGTAATGTCCAAATATTTTGAGATAATTTTAAATAAAAAAATTTCTAAATAATTTATATAAAAATATATAAACAAATATAAAATGACTAATTATTGAATTAATAATCTAAAATAATATAATTTTTCCAAATAGTTTTATTTATTGATTTATTAAAGATATAAGCCAATTTTTATTATTAGGTTCAGAAAATTAAATTAAAAAATTTCTCTGTCAAACTATTATGGACATTTCTAAATGTTATTCCCGGGGCCTATGCACATCTCACTGTGGAATGTAACAAATAGTTCTCTTTTTTTTTTTTTAAATTCACCCTGAATTTTTTATTTTGTGCTTTATCAGTGGAGATGATCATTTTTCCATAGGAACAAATTGTCAAGGCATTATATTGAATATCTTAGATTCTTCACATCTTAGAAAATTATCAATACATGCCTTCTCCCCACCCCACCACCACCGCCCCCGCTTTAAATTTACTTTGTTTTATTTTTGGTTTTGTTGTTTCTTTTTTAAAAAAATAATTTCAACTTTTATTTTAAACTCATGGGATGCATGTGCAGTTTTGTTATGTGGATATATTTCATGATGCTGAGGTCTGGGATATGAGTGATCTCATCACCCAGATAGTGAGCCAAAGGGCAAATAGTCAGGATGTGTATGTTTATCAATGACTATCAATTACACATCAAATCAGTTTTGATCAATTATATCTCAAATTATCACTTAAATGATGAACTATACTAAATAGTTCATATACAATTAATAGGTGCTTTAAGTTTGGACTTGAGATACCTATATCATTAAGTTAGAACATTTAAGAAAATTATTATTGATCTAATTCCTTATACAGATTAAAAGACTGAAATATGGAGTCTCTTTTTTCTTTTTCTTTCTTATTGTGGTAAAATATACCTAACATAAAATTTACCATTTTAGCCATTTTTAAGTATTCAATTCAGTTGCATGAAATACATTCACAATATTGTACAACCATCAACACTATCCATTTCCAGAACTTTTACATTATCCCAATATACACACTTTTTTAAAAAAGAGAAATTGTTCCAATAGGGTATAAGGGAAATTTGAAGCTTCATGGGATTCTTATATGTATACCCTTACAGGGTCTCTGCCTGTCTCCTTAGTTTTTATCAGCCCCAAACATATTCATTACTTAATCTCCAAAGCATATGAAAGAAATGGTGCAACCCAGGAACGTACATTCCAGTTAAGGCACAATATTCACCCACTGGGCAAGAGACAAGGTGGATAAAGGATATCACATGAAGAAAAGGTAGAAACTTACCATAAACCTCCGAAGTTGAAATGATACCTATGTTGCAGCATAAACAGGGCTTGAATTTTAATCAAGTGTGAATACTTTTATTAAGTCACCAAAACAAACTAGCAAAAAGAAAGCTACAGGATAAATACCTGCTTTCTTTCCAACCACTGGCACTGTTACTGGGGCAGCGATGGGGGTTGGTTCAGGTTCCACAGGAGGTGGTTTGATTGTTTTCACTTCTGTAGAGAGAAGTCCATTGCATTAGTGTATCAATTTGTCACTTCCTAAAAACTTATTTGGTAGCTTATTTGCCTCTTCTGATATAATTTTGAAATCTTCAAATAACTAGTTTTTAAGAGAATAGTATATTAAGCATTTTGAGACGTTAGAAATCATTTGATACATACTGACTTTCACCTACTATCTTTTATTAAGTACATGTTATGTGTGTGAATACAGAAAGAATATGCTGTTGACATTGAGGATAAGCTTGCTCACCTGCTTCGGGCTTTGGTTTCGGTTCAGGTGCAGGGAGAGGTATTGCTGGCTTGATTTCAGGCACTGAAATAATTTAGAGTAGAGGGCAGATTATTACAGGATTTTTGAAGTTTTTCACAAAGTCAAAACTAAAATTAAGCCCACGTATCTTGGAAGATATTAGAATTTATATACATATAATTATCAAATCAAGTATTTGATTAGTTTTCATTTTAAACAAAATATTTGGAAAATATAGTAAGGCAATGTTCTTGGTTTTAATGTTGTTATTTATCTCATTGCCCATAAATACAATTTTTTTTCAGGTAACTTATTTAGCAACTGAGTAATCATTAGCCAATTGCATAGGAGAGTGAGATGGTAAAGAAAATTAAGCCATATGTGATTAACAGATTAAGGTCATGTGTTCAAATCTTGATGTCAGTGTAATGATATTTTAAATGATACATATTTGCATTTTTAGAGACAACTAAGAATGACAGTAGATTTGTACCTTTTGTTGGTTCAGGAATCTTCCTTTCCCTTTTTGTAACAGTAGGTACTTCAACCTCTTCAACAGGTTTTGGAGGTGGTGGTTCTGGTACTTTAAGATAAGATTATTTTTTCAGTGTTAATATTTGAATATTTAGGAAGCACCTCATCTGAAATATCAATTTATTTTTCAAAAACTCTATGGATGGTTTTTTAAAAAACCTTATAGTTTATCAAGTAATTTCTATTTTATTTTCTTGACTCTGCTTCCATTTATTTTTCTTCCTTTTATTCCATCCACTTATCTTCCACTCCCCTTAGCTCTCTCCTTCTAAATCACTTCTATAATAGTTCCCAATAATTTTGCCCTTTGAGAATAGGCTAATGATAAAAACCAACCCATTTAAAAGCCCCCAGATTATGAAACCTTTGCTGACACCCTCCCATGAATAGCCACTTGATTATTTCAGTCATTTCTACTGGAAGAACTTAAGTTGCAAAGTAATGATAAGAATGAAGTGCAGGGAAATACATGAATGGATTTGGGAATTACTATAAAAATATTTAAACAGAAAGCAGACAATGGAAAACAGAGACTACATCACAGATGAAATATGAAGCCATGTTTACATCTAACTTCATTTATGTTTACAAGATAAACCTTTTGTTAAATGTCCATTTTGTTAAAAGATAATCTTACAAATTGTCACTGAGATTCCTACCTGCAGGTTTTTTAACTTTTTCTAGTTTTTTAGGTTCTACTTTAGGTTCTTCTTCTTCAGGTCTTTTTCTTAGAACTTTAAAGACAAAAAGGTTTATATGTAAACCAAGACAAACTAATGAAGATGTTGAATAAGCTTGACAAATGCAAATAATGTACAAAGCAAGGAAAATGAAAAAAAGCATGCTACCTAGCACTCTGGAAAGTAAGCATTTACACCGAAAGTGTTTTTTGTTTTGTTTTTTTTAAAATCAAAGGTTGTCAATTATAATAGCACTCAAAGTTACTTTGTTTCTATCTAGATAGAGGGTCTATTCTGAGACAAGTCTGTGGGAGAAACAGCTCCAACACAAAATGAATAATTTGAATAGCAACGAATTATAATAATAATTAAATGTTAATGATTTAATGAGTATGTAAATAAGTAGAAAGTTTACTTAAGCAGAGATATCTGAAGAAATGTAGCCTAAAAATCAGTAATTCTATGTGAAGACAATGTTAGAACTTAATTCTTCATTTGACTATCTTGTTTCTCATTCTTTAATATTTTATTAGTCAGAAAGAAATGTTCAGTTTTTTAAAAATGTTATTTATTAGTTGTGGTGATCCTGTGTCACACTTTAAAACTGAATATTGAATTTAAGCTAAAGTAGTTTCATGTAAGGTATTTAATAGGTTTAGTGTACTTTACTACATAATTTGGTTATGAAAATGGCAGTCATAGTTGTTGTTAGTTTAGAATATTATCAACTTAGTTATGTCTATTAACATTTTAAATTTCAAAATACTGTGAATGCTCACAAAATTTCTGTCTTTTTTTTTTAAAAAAAAAGATCTGGAAATGACATTTTTCTTAATTTTCAATGAAACTACAAACAAATTTTGATAAATAGCGAACCAATTCAAAGAAAACCAAAGGACAGAAACATTTTGTAAGCTTTCAAGTTCATTTTTAAAATATACTTAACGCTGACAGAATGGTTGAAAAATACTATACCGCTTTTCAGAACAACTTCTTCCTTTGGTTCAGGTTTACGTTCCGGAAGTAATTTGCGAACTTTCTTTTCACCTCCAGGCACTTAAAAGAATATGATTTCAAATTTTGAAGTGAATTTATATAAAAACGGAATTTCAACAAGAAAAATGTCTCTCCTAAAACTAGTTAACTGTAGTGCATTAAGTAACAATTTTCGCTGCATATAAATACCACAGAATTTAAGTTTAAATGATACATTTCAAGTTATCTCCTCTGCAAATATCTATACAGCCTTGTGATGAAATTCAACTCCATTAACTGCAGGCAAATGTATTCATTTTAAATGCATGTAGAGGATGTTGCTCCATACTGACTTTATGAATCTTTCATCAAATTACAGGGTTCTTGACAGCATCTTTGTCCCAAACTGCAATTGTAGATTGTCCAAATCTACGATGTTATCTACCCAACCACTAAATGTATGAAAATGATACTGGCAAGTGTTAGTGCCATCATTCAGTCTTCTCCACTGAGGGAAGAAGGTGGCCAAGAGTTCCGGTTTGTGACTTTGATGCTGGGGAAGGGCCATATCTCACTTTCTGAACAGAAGAAGAGTAGCCTTTCTTAAGATTTCCTTTTTGAAATAATGCTGGATAAAATATTTAAAATTATAGAATTATAAAATTTCAAAGCTGGTGTTGGAAGCTCGTTTTTCATGAATAAGAAAATGTTCTTAAATTCATTCAAATTAAGGAACGCAAGGAATTCAAAATTTCCTGTTGCGTCTACAGTGAATACTGAGCATGGTGGATGATGCTATTTTATAGAGCAGCCTCTTTTGCTATTATGGCCCTCATAGATTTGAATGGTGAAAGAAAGGAACACGTGGTGATTATTAAACCATTTTCCTCTCTACTAATGTCAATTAAAATCTAATTTAAAACAGTATTTATTTGTATTGTGTAACTATTTGCTATTAGGAATCTGAATTTTTAGATATTTCTATAAAACTTCCTATTTAGGGCTTTAAACAAGATATTTGCAATTCATTAAATGGTTTTTTATGTGATAAAGATAACTGCTTAACTCTTATTTCAAAAATTTAAACCTACAATAGGCAAATATGTATTTCGTTTTGAATAATCATTTTTTTAATGTCAAATATTTTAAGTAAAAATTTTAAAGTTAAACATTACGTATTTTATCCAGGATAAATTGTGTTGGCCTTCAATACTATTTTAGAGGTACCAATCTTCTTAATAACTATTTTTATTGCTCAAACCCAGAAGGAAGCACATGCATCTAATTAATGTAAAGTGAGGAGGCATAATATAGATTTTCTTTACTGATATAATGAACATAGTGAAAATATATCTGTGCATTTTTTATATTATTATTTGATTTTAAAAATCTTATTGATGTTTGAGAACCCAACATTGTAGCTATTATTTTTAAAGTCATTATATGTGATTATATGCTATTTTAATGTTTATGATCAATATCCATGATAACATTATTTTGTAATTGCCTCTTTATGAAATCAGGAAATGTATATTTATATGGGTGACTTTTTTCCCCAAAATTTCAGAGTGACCAGAAACAGTCTTAATTTCTAGGTCTGAATGTGTTGATTACTTGAACAGAACACTACTACCCATTAGAAAAATTATGTTTATTTTTGATAGATGTTTTCTAGACTCTTATAATTCATTTAGTTTTCTTTAGGGTCTAATTTTAGATGAGACCTTATTAGGGAAAATATTGTTTACAGAAAAATACATTTTGAAAAATTACCTACAGTAATAAGGAAATTTTTCTGAAATGTGAGTTCCGTACCCCTCAGAGAATGACTTAGAGCCAGTGAGAAGAGAGTGACATGAAAGTCCTAAGGAAATCCCTACAAATAACCTTAATAATATAAAAGGAAGATAGGACTTATTTTTAGTGCTTATTACATTGGCTAAAATTTTTATGTCAGGTGAAATGTCAAAACAGTTTACTACTAGCTCTCAGCATTTTAATCTCATATGTCTCTTGATATCAATTTTGGCTAACCAGTAAAATTTGTTATTTTTAAGTTTAGGAAAATGCAAGAAGACATATGTAGATGAGACAAAGATAGACCATGTCTATACATGTATGAAATGGATGGGAGACAAAGGAAGCAACACTCATGAGCCAGGACCATAAAAGCCACAGAAATATAAGAAATGAATGGGACTACTCTCTGATCATTGAAAAAGAGAGACAGAACATTCGATGGAGGCAGAAAGAGCAAGGAGTCAGGTAAAGGGGTACTACATAAGTATGTATTTTTCAGCCTGTGAAATACCTTTCAGAGGTGTAAGCTCCACTTTTTCTGGAACCTGAGGTTTTTCAGGAACTTTCTTCTTTGGAATAGCTTTAAAGAATATGATTTTACTTTTGTTATTTGTATATTTAATCTGAAGCAAGTGATTAACTTTCTACTCCAAGAATCAAAACCAAGCTTTGCTTATAACCAGAAAGCATTAATAACAGCCAAGAACAGCCTTCAAAGAACATACAAGCAGCATTCGAACCATGAAAACAGACTGCAGTTTTACTCCAAAGTTCAGTAGTTAATTAAAGACCAGCAGAAAAAGAAGACAATTTTTGTTATTGGCAGGAGGAAGAAATTTTCCTTTAAGCATATATTTTACATTAAGGGAAATGTATTTATGTGTGTGTCTTCATGGAGTGTCAATTAACAGATGGGTGGCCTTTCAAGAGGTGCCAGAAGGTCCCCCTAATGGCTATGAGGGTTGTAGAGGGCAAGAATCACCAGCAGCAATGTCTTATGCTGGAAGACTGTGGTTTGAAGATACATAGGTCTGTATAGGGAAAGTGCATATCTAAGATTATATCTAGATAATTTTAGATTGGGGAATCATATGACGTCACAAGACAACTTTTTATTAAAATAAGAATAATATGTTTCTGCCAGTTTATTTCAGCTTTTAAAGAAACTGATATTTTTAAAATTAAGTAACATTGTGTCAATTCATAGAAAAATCAAAATATAAGAAGGGGGAAGGGAAGTTTAATAATAAATGCTGGATACCAAATGTCTTCATAACCACTCTTTCCAGCTCCCCTGAGAACCACACAGAACACTTCTTTAAGTTGCAAGAAAAAAAAAGAGATGGGGGAACTGTAACAAGTCATTCATATGCTTTCCTTTCATGATATATAGGCACATATCAGCTACTGGAAATCATAACTATATTACTTGTAATATATTTAAAAGCACATGCAATTCTTTAAGAACAAAGTTTTGGCTTTTATGTAAATGTGTTACTGCAATATTAAAAATATCTTGCAAGGATTTCTTATACATTCCTTAAGCATAAGATCGCAATGATATGTATAGCAATCAGGCTTTGAAATCAGAAAACTCTTTCTCCCCACTCCACAAAAGAAAGTTAATTGGACAGTGCCTGCATTCAGATATCCCGGATGACGCTATCAATGTACTTTCTGACTTTTGCAGCAGCAGGCATGGCATGACAAGCAACCCAGGAACCATGGGGCAGCAGAAGAGACAGCTCTATGCAATCTCACAGTACAATCATGTCTGAAAGTACACACTTCTAAAAGTCATACATTTCTTGCAAGCATCATTTCAGATGGCTGGATAGAAGTTTGAAGCAGGCTAATAAAACTTTGGAAGTGGCATTTTTTACCTTTAAGTTGGAATATTTTCTCCTTCACATCTTCCTTAGGTGGAGCAGGTGGAGGAGGTGGGGGTCTTGGTTTGAGTTTTGGCTTCTCAATAACCTTTTCAGGTTCAGGTTCTTGAAAGAGTATTTCAGAGGTGTTAGTATATGTATATGTTAGCATGTGGATATGTAGTATATTTAATAGAAATTATATATATATATATATATATATATATATATATATATATATATGAAGTACAAAGTTTACTTTTTAAGGTACGTAATACCAGTATCCAACATAAAACACAGAACATAAAACATAAAAATATCAACCCTTTACAAAGATGATGAGAAATACAGCAAAGGCACCAATAACAACAACAAACAAAGCATCCAGACAAGCCACAGTTGACATGAGAGAAACAGTACAAGTTACATGGAAACCTAAGAATGAGGCTCACATTTACAACAAAGAATACTTTACATACAAATGGGAACAGACATACTACATATGTACAACAACATAAACCATATACATTTCAAGAGAAAGAATATGATAAAGAAGATTTAAGTCCACTGGATTGAATACCTTTTACTGGTATTTCTTCAGGCTGTGGTTCAGGTTCGGGCTCTTCAGGTTTAATATACTTTTCAATTTCACGTTCTTTAAAGAATGTTGACAAAGGAGATGAGGTTGCAATGTAAAGTTCTTCAAAAAGACTCATACAAATTTCACATTGATGCAAAGATTACAGTCACAAAATAAAAATATACAATTCATACAAATTCATGTATAGAAAAATTCACGTATAAGAAAAAGTTCTTTTACTTGAACTGCCTATTAATTAGATTATTCAATGTATATTGATGGCAAATGAGATGACTTTTAAAATTTGATACCGTGTTATCATTTGAGGATCCAAGGCAATTATTCCATTTTGCTTCAGTAAACTGTACCTTTTGGAAATTGTAATTACCAACAACAGTAACTAAATTAAAGATTCTAACTTAAAAGAAGTGTAACTATTTCAAAAATAAAGCAGTCAAACATGCTAGACTGCTCTTGTATATAATTTCAAGAAGGAATATTGTCCTGTAAATGCTTTTGTAATTCTAACAGGAATCTTCAGGAGATTAAAAAAATGTATATATATATATATATATATACCTTCAACAGGGGGAGTCTCTTTTCTACCAATGGTTATAGATGCTTTTTCTTCATATATTATTTCCTCAGGAGTCTCTTCAACTTTAAAAAACATAGTATTTTATTTTAGACTATATTTAGAACAGAATACTGCAACTACTATTCTAACATATCAACCTAGTTACATTAAGTAACACTCTATAACAGATTATTCAGATGACCCCCCAAATATCAATAACTTCAATACAGACAGACAAATACGTAAGATTCATCTACAATCAAAGCAAGAGGATGAAGACAATTGTCATCTTTCCAAGATTTATGGAGAAGCCGTGTACCTTCAGCAGGTGGAACTTCTGGCTCTGCAGGGATAGGCACAGACACTTCCTTTTCTGGGATGATTTTCTCAGGCACTTTGGGCACTTTAAAGATATGATTTTGTTTACTATTAAGAATTTAGAAGACATGCAAGATTGTCTAAAGAGCAGGCAAAGAATGCAGGGGCAAGAGCTTCATCTTAGATTTCATGGGGAAAATGGCTTCTGAGACATGGCACCATTTTGGACATCCTAATTTTATATATGAATCTTCTCAGCTTTCTTCATTTGCTTCTAGTCCTCTGTGTACACTTAAATGAAGGTGGTCTAACTTTGACACTTAAAAAAATTTGCTCTACATTTTCTGAGTAATTGTTCCTGCACACTCAATTCTTATTTACATGTGAATGACTTTAAGATCTACATCTCTAGGCCTGATCTCTTTCTTAAGCTCCTGATACACACTCCCAACTTTTATGCTTTAAAGGTGAAAAGCACATCTACCATTTTCCTCTAACGTTAGTTCAGAGACCCAATGAACCATTCTTTTGGCCATCTAGCTTTAAACCTTACAATGATCTTGGGCTCCTCAATTTCCCTAATGGTTTTGATAATGGTCAGAGGCCACTAAGTCTCCATCTCTTTCAAACCCAGTCCCCCTTTCCATTTCTGCCGCCACGGATCTTGTCCAACTCTTAAAGACCTTAAATAATTGCAATGGGTCTTTACTATTTAGTAGCTGAAATTGCTGCCAGTTATCTTTCTAAAGCCCAAATCCTATTAATATGTAAGCCTGCTTCAAAATCTTTGAAGCTTCCTATTGCCTACAGAAAAAAGTACAAGCCTTTTACTGGCATTTGAAGTACTCCAAAATATGACCCCATCTTTATATCTGGTATTATCTTTCAAGACATTCCACAGCCAATCCATACTCAAATTGAGTTTACTTGACATAAGTTTACTTGACAATCCTTGAACATTCTAGACCCTTCTATCTCTGTGCCTTTCAATATGCTCTTCCCTTTCCATGGGATATCATGTCCTCAATTTCTTTTTTTTAATTTTTTTGAGACAGAGGCTCACTCTGTCACCCAAGCTGGAGTGCAGTGGCATTATCTCAGCTCACTGCAACCTCTGCCTCCTGGGTTCAAGCAATTCTCCTGCCTCAGCCTCCCAAGTAGCTGGGATTACAGGCACATATCACCACCCCCAGCTAATTTTTGTATTTTTAGTAGAGACGGGGTTTCACCATGTTGGCCAGGCTGGTCTTGAACTCCTGACCTCAAGTGATCCACCCACCTTGGCCTCCCCAAGTGTTGGGATGACAGGCGTGAGCCACCACATCCGGCCTTATTTCCTCAATTTCTACATGTAAAAGTCCATCAAAATTTAAATTCAGTTTAACACAGCTTCCCATGATGCCTCTGCCTGAACTTAATCTTTTCTTGCCGTGTGTTTCTGCAGCCCTTTTGTATTCACTTGCTATGTGTAATCACTTCCTGTCTGTATTAGAGTCCTGTTATCTTTCTATCCTCTCACCAGATTTAACTTATTTGAAGACAGAATCAGGCCTTAATTTTTCTAATATGATGTCTTGTTAATGGTCAACATTCAACAAAATATGT
This sequence comes from Homo sapiens, assembly GCF_000001405.40. Classification (NCBI taxonomy): domain Eukaryota; kingdom Metazoa; phylum Chordata; class Mammalia; order Primates; family Hominidae; genus Homo; species Homo sapiens. The sequence continues at coordinate 178,648,985 of NC_000002.12, forward strand.
TGAATTGAGCTGTTTTACACATTGAATGAGAGAAGGTTCTTTTCTACTAGTTGTAGCCATGTGATATATCACAGCACAACTGAATCCCACTCATTTTTTCACTCCTGCTTGTCTGTTTCATTTTTTTCCCTTCATTATTTCCCTTTTTTCTGTGCAATATGGTTTTAACATAAATTCACATTCAGTATGTTTTTCTCTAAGACCTATTATTAACATGCTTAAATAGCAGTTAGAGAAATCTATTTTTTCTTCATGGTAGGTACCTTTTTCTGGAAGAACTTCTGGTTTTTTGGTAACAGGCACAGGTTCTTTCTTTACTGGAACAAGTTTCTTGGGCACCTCAGGCACTTTGAAGATATTAGTTTTGTTTTAAAAATAGTATTTAAAAACATTTTAAAATATTAAGAATAAAAAACCTGTATTTATTGGAGCAGCATTAAAATTAATGAAAGCAAAATAAGGAAATTTTTGTCCTTAGTTATGCAACAACAATGAGGACAACTTATTGGATTCCACTTTAAGATATCAGAATACTTTCTTTTTTATGATGCCAACGATGAAGTGAATACCTTTAGCTGCTGGTGTTTCTGGCTTCTTAACAGTTGGGACCTTCTTCACTGGAACAACTTTCTTTGGCATCTCAGGTTCTTTAAAGATATCAGTAGCATTTAATAATACAAAGTTGTGAGATGTAAGATATACATACAAGTTTATTCAACACTGTAACATATAGGTAAGAGTTAACAAACATATAATACAACACAACACACAATAAGAAGAGTGTAAAATTGTAGACACCACAAAAATGAAGTATTCATTTTAACATGAGTACCTTTAGGAGGCGGTGCTTCTGGTTTTTTGATGACAGGAACTTTCTTCTCTGGGATGATCTTCTTGGGCTCTTCAGGCACTTGAATAATAGGAATTTCTTTTAGAATTAGGTGATTACAATGAAAAATTTAATGCTAATGAATGAATTAAAAACCACACATATTTCTTGGTATATGTGGGACCAAATTCTGTGGGTCCAAAGTTTTATGTGTAGAAATAACTTTTGTTCTTAATGTAGTCAGATTTCAGGCAACAAGATACAAGACTGATATTTTGCCTTAAGGAAGATATATAGACATGAAAAATGAAATGACTGTATTTTCCCATACAGTGGATTCTGCTTTGTACCTGCTGGAGGTGGAACCTCTGGTTCCTCCTCTTCTGCAACAGGAACTGGCTTTTCCTCTTCAGGAGCAATTTCCTCTTCAGGAGCAATTTCCTCAGGTTCTTCATATACTTTAAAGATATTAGTTAATTTTATTTCAATGTATGGAACAATATTCTAAGATGGACAAACACTAAACACGATAAATAGTAATCTTGATTTCTTCCTTTGTTTCAATTGATACCTTCTCTTATTTTTGTTTAGATAAAATCTATCTCATTTGCACTGACTTCTTTGTCTATTGATTCAAATGCTTGCAAAGCCCTTTTAGTGTTTAATGTCATTTATAATCATTAGTTCTCCTGCCTTACTTTCTATGTACATTGGAGAAGCTTTGTTTAATATAGCTTACTATGACTTATGTAGATACTGTGGACCAATAACCCAAAATAGATTTGAGATTGGAGCTAATTTAGAATGATGAATTAAGACAAATAATTAAAGGTTAGAAAATGACCAAGAAATAATGAGTTAGGAAGGAAGAAGAACAAAGCTTAAATTAGAAATAGTCGCAAGTGGCAAGGTCATTAATCACCGGTCTCACGTGTACCTTCTGGGGGAGGAGACTCCGCTCTTTCTGGAACAGGAACAGCTGGTTTCTCTTCCAAGACAGGTTTCTTTGGCACTTCTGGCACTTTAAAGATATTAATTCATTTTTCTTATGAGTAGTTGAGAAGTATATTAAATTTATACCACATCGACTTCACATTTTGCTCAAATAACCCAGGGACAGATCCAAGAACAAATTTCACAATAAGGTCAGTGATCTGTCTTTGGACCCTCATATAGTGGGGAGGAAAATATGGCCTATTAAGAATAAAAGAACCAAGTTAGTAAACTTTTCCAATGCTTGTAATAAGTAAATATATCACTTTTTAAAGTCAATGAAAAAATTATTAAAAAGTATTCAGACCCTAAAAATCCAGAATGACAGTTTTGTAGTTGCAAATTTAAGAGGACTCGCAAACAAAAGGTTTGATAATAGGTGACTTATTAGACAAGGGTGAGTGCTTTTCTGCAGAATCTCATTAGTGACATGTACCTTTTGCTGGTGGGACTTCTGGCTTTTTGGGAACAGCTACTTTCTTTTCTGGAACAACTTCTTTTGGAACTTCAGGCACTTCAAATATATTAGTATTTTAACATTAGAAACAATCACCAGTAAACATTCATCACATTTACACAGAACAAAACCCTTTTAGAAGCTGGGGGCTCCATCCGCCCCCATCAAACAGTGGACAGCCACATATACCTTTAGCAGGTGGGGCTTCTGGCTTTTTGGGAACCACCAGAGGCACCTTCTTTTCAGGAACAACCTCCTTGGGCACCTCGGGCACTATAAAAGATATTAGTAGTTGTTTAAGCTCATGGTTTCAATGAAATGTGAAAATCATGAAGCAGAACAGTAGAATATGACACTTCAAAGAAAGTTTTTTGTTAGGGAGTTAGTGGCAGTGAGGAATACCTTTCACTGGTGGTAGTTCAGGTTTTTTGGCAACGACAGCAGGTGCTTTCTTTTCTGGGACAGGTTTCTTAGGTGGTACGGTCACTAAAGAATTAGAAGGTATGTTTTAGAAAGAACGAAGATTGAGAAACAAGACAAAAGCTCAGAGCACCCAGAATTATCAGGGCAGGAAGGGGAAAGAGTGGCCGAGGTGTCCTAGCAGCTTTCTTGCCATGTACCTTGTGGAGGCGCCGCTGGCTCTGGCTCTTCCACAACTTCAGCAGGAGGCTCTTCTAGGGCAACTTCCTCAGGCTCCTCGAACACTTTAAAGACATGAGCTCATTTTAATGCCAGAATTGACTAAAACTGAGATAGTTTGCAAAAAAATGTTTTTACAACACTAAGGAAAGATTTTTTTAAAAAACACTAATTTGAATAGTTTCATTATTACCTTCAGGGGGAGGACTTTCCGGTTTGGGAGGAATAGCTTCAGGCACCTTCTTTTCTGGGACAGCTACCTTTGGCACCTCTGGGACTTTAAAAGATATTATTATTTTCATTGTTAGACAAAGTAAAGACAAACAAACAATATCAAACACAGCACCATGAGGGTGTCTACCTTTTGTGGGTGGCACTTCAGGCTTTTTAGGAGGAGGCACTGGCACTTTCTTTTCAGGAACAACTTCTTTGGGAGCCTCAGGCACTTGAAAGATAATAGTGAAATTACATTTAGGCATTATGAAGACCACTAGAAAAATACTTTCCAGAGCAGAAGAGTTTGATCATCTGAAGCCTAAAATCAGTGACAAATACCTTTAACAGGTGTGACTTCAGGCTTTTTAGGAGGAGCCGCTGGCACTTTCTTTTCAGGAACAACTTCTTTCGGAGCCTCTGGCACTTAAAAGATATTAGTGAAATTACATTTAGAAGTTATGAAGACCATTAGGAAAAATATTTTCAAGAGTAGAAGAGATAGATCTTCTGACGCTTAAACTCAATGACAAATACCTTTAACAGGTGGGACTTCAGGCTTTTTAGGAGGAGCCGAGGGCACTTTCTTTTCAGGAACAACCTCTTTGGGAGCCTCTGGTACTTAAAAGATATTAGTGAAATTACATTTAGGGGTTATGAAGACCACTAGAAAAAATATTTTCAAGAATAGAGGAGTTTGATCTTCTGAAGCCTAAAGCCAGTGACAAATACCTTTAACAGGAGGGACTTCAGGCTTTTTAGGAGGAGCCAAGGGCATTTTCTTTTCAGGAACAACCTCTATGGGAGCCTCTGGCACTTAAAAGATATTAGTGAAATTACATTTAGAAGTTTGAAGACCACTAGAAAAGTATTTTCAAGAAATGAAGAGTTCAGTCTTCTGAAGCCTAAAGCCAGTGACAAATACCTTTAACAGGTGGGACTTCAGGTTTTTTAGGAGGAGTCACTGGCACTTTCTTTTCAGGAACAACTTCTTTGGGAGCCTCTGGCACTTAAAAGATATTAGGTAAAATTACATTTAGGGGTTATGAAGACCACTGGAACAAAATGTCTTCAACTGCAAAAGAATTAGATCATCTGAAGCCTAAGGTCAGTGACAAATACCTTTAACAGGTGGGACTTCAGGCTTTTTAGGAGGAGCCAAGGGCACTTTCTTTTCAAGGACAACTTCTTTGGGAGCCTCTGGCACTTAAAAGATATTAGTAAAGTTACATGTAGAGCTATGGAGACTACTAGCAAAATATACAGCAGAGGAATTGGATCTTCTGAAGCTTAAGGTCAAATGACAAGTACCTGTAACAGGTGGAACTTCTGGCTTTTTAGGAAGCACCAGTGTTTTCTTTTCTGGCACAATTTCTTGTGGGACTTCAGGCACTTGAAAGATATTAGTAGTTTTTCACTTAGGTTAATGAGACAAATGGAGTAAAATATTTCTAAGATCAGAAGAGATATTTCTTCTGCAGAAAAAGGACAGGGGTAAAAAATACCTGTGGCAGGTGGGGCTTCTGGTTTTGTGGGAGGAGCCTTAGGAACTTTCTTTTCTGGGACAACTTCTTGAGCTTCAGGCACTTGAAAGATATTAGTAGTTTTAGACTTAAGTTAATGAAGAGAAATGGGCTAAAATTGTTTACAGTAGGAGAGGAGATATCTCTTCTGCAGAATGAAGTCAGGGCTAAAGTGTACCTGGGACAATTGGAGCTTCTGGTTTTTTGGGTGGAGCCACGGGAATTTCTTTTTCTGCGGCTTCTTGAGGAACTTCTGGCACTTGAAAGATATTAGTAGTTTTATACTTAGGTTAATGAAGAGGAATGGACTAAAATTGTTTTCAGGAATGGAAGAGAGATTTCTTCTGCAGGATAAGGTTGAGCTGACATGTACCTGTAACTGCGGGGGCTTCTGGTTTTTTGATTGGTGCCTTGGGAATTTTCTTTTCTGGGACAACTTCTTGAGCAGCTTCAGGCACTTGAAAGATATTAGTATTTTTATAATTTATGAATGGCGAAGGTATATATTACAGTGATTGTGAGGGGTACAGACAGTAAGTTATTCTTAGCAGAGGAGAGGGAATAAATACCTTTTGCACGTGGGGCTTCCGGTTTTTTGGGCACAGCCACAGATACTTTCTTTTCAAGTACAACTTCTTTAGGAGCTTCAGGAACTTTGAAGATATTAGTATCTTTTAGTTAGAAGCTATAAAGGGGGAATATCGACTCCACATTTACCCAAGCAAATACAACTTGTGAGATCGGCGGACACTTCTATACAGTCTTTCCCCAGGGCCCCCCGACTGACAATGTGTAATGATACCTACCTTTAGGAGGTGGAGCTTCTGGCTTTTTGGCAGGAGGCACCGGTACTTTCTTTTCTGGGACCACTTCCTTCGGTGGCAGCACTTCAGGCACTTCAAAGATATTTGTAATTTGTGTTTAGAAAAGGTGAAAATGATGGATGCCTTTTGCATATAAACACCCACCAAGATATTTTGGATAGTGATTGACATTTGTTTTCTTTAGAATTATATCATCTTTATGTAGTAGGATTTTTAACATGTAATTTCCTAGTTAAAATAACAGTTATTTTTCTCCTATAGTTTGTATAGCTTTGGCATTACCTTCAGGGGGAGGACTTTCCGGTTTGGGAGGAATAGCTTCAGGCACCTTCTTTTCTGGGACAGCTGCCTTTGGCACCTCTGGGACTTTAAAGATATTAGTATTTTCATTATTAGACAAAGTAAAGACAAACAAACAATATCAAACACAGCAACAAGAGGGTGTCTACCTTTTGTGGGTGGCACTTCAGGCTTTTTAGGAGGAGGCACTGGCACTTTCTTTTCAGGAACAACTTCTTTGGGAGCCTCAGGCACTTGAAAGATATTAGTGAAATTACATTTAGGCATTATGAAGACCACTAGAAAAATATTTTCCAGCAGCACATCAAAAAGCTTATCCACCATGATCAAGTGGGCTTCATCCCTGGGATGGAAGGCTGATTCAACATACAAAAATCAATAAACGTAATCCATCATATAAACAGAACCAACGACAAAAACCACGTGATTATCTCAATAGATGCAGAAAGGGCCTTTGACAAAATTCAACAGCCCTTCATGCTAAAGACTCTCAATAAATTAGGTATTGATGGGACATATCTCAAAATAATAAGAGCTATTTATGACAAACCCACAGCCAGTATCATACTGAATGGGCAAAAACTGGAAGCATTCCCTTTGAAAACTGGCACAAGACAGGGATGCCCTCTCTCACCACTCCTATTCAACATAGTGTTGGAAGTTCTGGCCAGGGCAATCAGGCAGGAGAAAGAAATAAAGGGTATTCAATAAGGAAAAGAGGAAGTCAAATTGTCCCTGTTTGCAGATGGCATGATTGTATATCTAGAAAACCCCATCGTCTCAGCCCAAAATCTCCTTAAGCTGATAAGCAACTTCAGCAAAGTCTCAGGATACAAAATCAATGTGCAAAGATCACAAGCATTCTTATGCACCAATAACAGACAAACAGAGAGCCAAATCGTGAGTGACCTCCCATTCACAGTTGCTTCAAAGAGAATAAAATACCTAGGAATCCAACTTACAAGGGATGTGAAGGACCTCTTCAAGGAGAACTACAAACCACTGCTCAACGAAATAAAAGAGGACACAAATGGAAGAACATTCCATGCTCATGGATAGGAAGAACTAATACCGTGAAAATGGCCATACTGCCCAAGGTAATTTATAGATTCAATGCCATCTCCGTCAAGCTATCAATGACTCTCTTCACAGAATTGGAAAAAACTACTTTAAAGTTCATATGGAACCAAAAAAGAGCCCACATTGCCAAGTCAATCCTAAGCCAAAAGAACAAAGCTGGAGGCGTCACGCTACTGTATTACAAGGCTACAGTAACCAAAACAGCATGGTACTGGTACCAAAACAGAGATATAGACCAATGGAACAGAACAGAGCCCTCAGAATAATACCACACATCTGCAACCATCTGATCTTTGACAAACCTGACAAAAACAAGAAATGGGGAAAGGGTTCCCTATTTAGCAAATGGTGCTGGGAAAACTGGCTAGCCATATGTAGAAAGCTGAAATTGGATCCCTTCCTTACACCTTACACAAAAATTAATTCAAGATGGAGTAAAGACTTAAATGTTAGACCTAAAACCATAAAAACCCTAGAAGAAAACCTAGGCAATACCATTCAGGACATAGGCATGGGCAAGGACTTCATGTCTAAAATACCAAAAGCAATGGTAACAAAAGCCAAAATTGACAGATAGGATCGAATTAAACTAAAGAGCTTCTGCACAGCAAAGGTACTACCATCAGAATGAACAGGCAACCCACAGAATGGGAGAAAATTTTTGCAATCTACTCATCTGACGAAGGGCTAATATCCAGAATCTACAATGAACTCAAACAAACGTGTAAGAAAAAAACAACCCCATCAACAAGTGGGCGAAGGATACAAACAGACACTTCTCAAAAAAAGACATTTATGCAGCCAAAATACACAAGAAAAAATGCTCATCATCACTGGCCATCAGAGAAATGCAAATCAAAACCACAATGAGATACCATCTCACACCAGTTAGAATGGTGATCATTAAAAAGTCAGGAAACGACAGGCGCTGGAGAGGATGTGGAGCAATAGGAACACTTTTACAATGTTGCTGGGACTGTAAACTAGTTCAACCATTGTGGAAGTCAGTGTGGCGATTCCTCAGGGATCTAGAACTAGAAATACCATTTGACCCAGCCATCCCATTACTGGGTATATACCCAAAGGATTATAAATCATGCTGCTATAAAGACACGTGCACACGTATGTTTATTGCGGCACTATTCATATTAGCAAAGACTTGGAACCAACCCAAATGTCCATCAATGATAGACTGGATTAAGAAAATGTTCCACATATACTCCATGGAATACTATGCAGCCATAAAAAATGATGAGTTCATGTCCTTTGTAGGGACATGGATGAAACTGGAAACCATCATTCTTGGCAAACTATCACAAGGATAAAAAACCAAACATTGCATGTTCTCATTCATAGGTGGGAATTGAACAATGAGAACACATGGATACAGGAAGGGGGACACCACACACCGGAGTGTGTTGTGAGGTGGGGGGATGGGGGAGGGATAGCATTAGGAGACATACCTAATGTAAATGACGAGTTAGTGGGTGCAGCACACCAACATGGCACATGTATACATACGTAACAACCTGCACGTTGTGCACATGTACCCTAGAACTTAAAGTATAATAAAAATATATATATATATAAAAAGAAAAATATTTTCCAGAGCACAAGAGATAGATCATCTGAAGCCTAAAATCAGTGACAAATACCTTTAACAGGTGGGACTTCAGGCTTTTTAGGAGGAGTCGAGGGCACTTTCTTTTCAAGGACAACTTCTTTGGGAGCCTCTGGCACTTAAAAGATATTAGTAAAGTTACATGTGGAGCTATGGAGACTACTAGCAAAATATACAGCAGAGGAATTGGATCTTCTGAAGCTTAAGGTCAAATGACAAGTACCTGTAACAGGTGGAACTTCTGGCTTTTTAGGAAGCACCAGTGTTTTCTTTTCTGGCACAATTTCTTGTGGGACTTCAGGCACTTGAAAGATATTAGTAGTTTTTCACTTAGGTTAATGAGACAAATGGAGTAAAATATTTCTAAGATCAGAAGAGATATTTCTTCTGCAGAAAAAGGACAGGGGTAAAAAATACCTGTGGCAGGTGGGGCTTCTGGTTTTGTGGGAGGAGCCTTAGGAACTTTCTTTTCTGGGACAACTTCTTGAGCTTCAGGCACTTGAAAGATATTAGTAGTTTTAGACTTAAGTTAATGAAGAGAAATGGGCTAAAATTGTTTACAGTAGGAGAGGAGATATCTCTTCTGCAGAATGAAGTCAGGGCTAAAGTGTACCTGGGACAATCGGAGCTTCTGGTTTTTTGGGTGGAGCCACGGGAATTTCTTTTTCTGCGGCTTCTTGAGGAACTTCTGGCACTTGAAAGATATTAGTAGTTTTATACTTAGGTTAATGAAGAGGAATGGACTAAAATTGTTTTCAGGAATGGAAGAGAGATTTCTTCTGCAGGATAAGGTTGAGCTGACATGTACCTGTAACTGCGGGGGCTTCTGGTTTTTTGATTGGTGCCTTGGGAATTTTCTTTTCTGGGACAACTTCTTGAGCAGCTTCAGGCACTTGAAAGATATTAGTATTTTTATAATTTATGAATGGTGAAGGTATATATTACAGTGATTGTGAGGGGTACAGACGATAAGTTTTTCTTAGCAGAGGAGAGGGAATAAATACCTTTTGCACGTGGGGCTTCCGGTTTTTTGGGCACAGCCACAGATGCTTTCTTTTCAAGTACAACTTCTTTAGGAGCTTCAGGAACTTTGAAGATATTAGTATCTTTTAGTTAGAAGCTATAAAGGGGGAATATCGACTCCACATTTACCCAAGCAAATACAACTTGTGAGATCGGCGGACACTTCTATACAGTCTTTCCCCAGGGCCCCCCGACTGACAATGTGTAATGATACCTACCTTTAGGAGGTGGAGCTTCTGGCTTTTTGGCAGGAGGCACCGGTACTTTCTTTTCTGGGACCACTTCCTTCGGTGGCAGCACTTCAGGCACTTCAAAGATATTTGTAATTTGTGTTTAGAAAAGGTGAAAACGATGGATGCCTTTTGCATATAAACACCCACCAAGATATTTTGGATAGTGATTGACATTTGTTTTCTTTAGAATTATATCATCTTTATGTAGTAGGATTTTTAACATGTAATTTCCTAGTTAAAATAACAGTTATTTTTCTCCTATAGTTTGTATAGCTTTGGCATTACCTTCAGGGGGAGGACTTTCCGGTTTGGGAGGAATAGCTTCAGGCACCTTCTTTTCTGGGACAGCTGCCTTTGGCACCTCTGGGACTTTAAAGATATTAGTATTTTCATTATTAGACAAAGTAAAGACAAACAAACAATATCAAACACAGCAACAAGAGGGTGTCTACCTTTTGTGGGTGGCACTTCAGGCTTTTTAGGAGGAGGCACTGGCACTTTCTTTTCAGGAACAACTTCTTTGGGAGCCTCAGGCACTTGAAAGATATTAGTGAAATTACATTTAGGCATTATGAAGACCACTAGAAAAATATTTTCCAGCAGCACATCAAAAAGCTTATCCACCATGATCAAGTGGGCTTCATCCCTGGGATGGAAGGCTGATTCAACATACAAAAATCAATAAACGTAATCCATCATATAAACAGAACCAACGACAAAAACCACATGATTATCTCAATAGATGCAGAAAGGGCCTTTGACAAAATTCAACAGCCCTTCATGCTAAAGACTCTCAATAAATTAGGTATTGATGGGACGTATCTCAAAATAATAAGAGCTATTTATGACAAACCCACAGCCAGTATCATACTGAATGGGCAAAAACTGGAAGCATTCCCTTTGAAAACTGGCACAAGACAGGGATGCCCTCTCTCACCACTCCTATTCAACATAGTGTTGGAAGTTCTGGCCAGGGCAATCAGGCAGGAGAAAGAAATAAAGGGTATTCAATAAGGAAAAGAGGAAGTCAAATTGTCCCTGTTTGCAGATGGCATGATTGTATATCTAGAAAACCCCATCGTCTCAGCCCAAAATCTCCTTAAGCTGATAAGCAACTTCAGCAAAGTCTCAGGATACAAAATCAATGTGCAAAGATCACAAGCATTCTTATGCACCAATAACAGACAAACAGAGAGCCAAATCGTGAGTGACCTCCCATTCACAGTTGCTTCAAAGAGAATAAAATACCTAGGAATCCAACTTACAAGGGATGTGAAGGACCTCTTCAAGGAGAACTACAAACCACTGCTCAACGAAATAAAAGAGGACACAAATGGAAGAACATTCCATGCTCATGGATAGGAAGAACTAATACCGTGAAAATGGCCATACTGCCCAAGGTAATTTATAGATTCAATGCCATCTCCGTCAAGCTATCAATGACTCTCTTCACAGAATTGGAAAAAACTACTTTAAAGTTCATATGGAACCAAAAAAGAGCCCACATTGCCAAGTCAATCCTAAGCCAAAAGAACAAAGCTGGAGGCGTCACGCTACTGTATTACAAGGCTACAGTAACCAAAACAGCATGGTACTGGTACCAAAACAGAGATATAGACCAATGGAACAGAACAGAGCCCTCAGAATAATACCACACATCTGCAACCATCTGATCTTTGACAAACCTGACAAAAACAAGAAATGGGGAAAGGGTTCCCTATTTAGCAAATGGTGCTGGGAAAACTGGCTAGCCATATGTAGAAAGCTGAAATTGGATCCCTTCCTTACACCTTACACAAAAATTAATTCAAGATGGAGTAAAGACTTAAATGTTAGACCTAAAACCATAAAAACCCTAGAAGAAAACCTAGGCAATACCATTCAGGACATAGGCATGGGCAAGGACTTCATGTCTAAAATACCAAAAGCAATGGTAACAAAAGCCAAAATTGACAGATAGGATCGAATTAAACTAAAGAGCTTCTGCACAGCAAAGGAAACTACCATCAGAATGAACAGGCAACCCACAGAATGGGAGAAAATTTTTGCAATCTACTCATCTGACGAAGGGCTAATATCCAGAATCTACAATGAACTCAAACAAACGTGTAAGAAAAAAACAACCCCATCAACAAGTGGGCGAAGGATACAAACAGACACTTCTCAAAAAAAGACATTTATGCAGCCAAAATACACAAGAAAAAATGCTCATCATCACTGGCCATCAGAGAAATGCAAATCAAAACCACAATGAGATACCATCTCACACCAGTTAGAATGGTGATCATTAAAAAGTCAGGAAACGACAGGCGCTGGAGAGGATGTGGAGCAATAGGAACACTTTTACAATGTTGCTGGGACTGTAAACTAGTTCAACCATTGTGGAAGTCAGTGTGGCGATTCCTCAGGGATCTAGAACTAGAAATACCATTTGACCCAGCCATCCCATTACTGGGTATATACCCAAAGGATTATAAATCATGCTGCTATAAAGACACGTGCACACGTATGTTTATTGCGGCACTATTCATATTAGCAAAGACTTGGAACCAACCCAAATGTCCATCAATGATAGACTGGATTAAGAAAATGTTCCACATATACTCCATGGAATACTATGCAGCCATAAAAAATGATGAGTTCATGTCCTTTGTAGGGACATGGATGAAACTGGAAACCATCATTCTTGGCAAACTATCACAAGGATAAAAAACCAAACATTGCATGTTCTCATTCATAGGTGGGAATTGAACAATGAGAACACATGGATACAGGAAGGGGGACACCACACACCGGAGTGTGTTGTGAGGTGGGGGGATGGGGGAGGGATAGCATTAGGAGACATACCTAATGTAAATGACGAGTTAGTGGGTGCAGCACACCAACATGGCACATGTATACATACGTAACAACCTGCACGTTGTGCACATGTACCCTAGAACTTAAAGTATAATAAAAATATATATATATATAAAAAGAAAAATATTTTCCAGAGCACAAGAGATAGATCATCTGAAGCCTAAAATCAGTGACAAATACCTTTAACAGGTGGGACTTCAGGCTTTTTAGGAGGAGCCGAGGGCACTTTCTTTTCAAGGACAACTTCTTTGGGAGCCTCTGGCACTTAAAAGATATTAGTAAAGTTACATGTGGAGCTATGGAGACTACTAGCAAAATATACAGCAGAGGAATTGGATCTTCTGAAGCTTAAGGTCAAATGACAAGTACCTGTAACAGGTGGAACTTCTGGCTTTTTAGGAAGCACCAGTGTTTTCTTTTCTGGCACAATTTCTTGTGGGACTTCAGGCACTTGAAAGATATTAGTAGTTTTTCACTTAGGTTAATGAGACAAATGGAGTAAAATATTTCTAAGATCAGAAGAGATATTTCTTCTGCAGAAAAAGGACAGGGGTAAAAAATACCTGTGGCAGGTGGGGCTTCTGGTTTTGTGGGAGGAGCCTTAGGAACTTTCTTTTCTGGGACAACTTCTTGAGCTTCAGGCACTTGAAAGATATTAGTAGTTTTAGACTTAAGTTAATGAAGAGAAATGGGCTAAAATTGTTTACAGTAGGAGAGGAGATATCTCTTCTGCAGAATGAAGTCAGGGCTAAAGTGTACCTGGGACAATTGGAGCTTCTGGTTTTTTGGGTGGAGCCACGGGAATTTCTTTTTCTGTGGCTTCTTGAGGAACTTCTGGCACTTGAAAGATATTAGTAGTTTTATACTTAGGTTAATGAAGAGGAATGGACTAAAATTGTTTTCAGGAATGGAAGAGAGATTTCTTCTGCAGGATAAGGTTGAGCTGACATGTACCTGTAACTGCGGGGGCTTCTGGTTTTTTGATTGGTGCCTTGGGAATTTTCTTTTCTGGGACAACTTCTTGAGCAGCTTCAGGCACTTGAAAGATATTAGTATTTTTATAATTTATGAATGGTGAAGGTATATATTACAGTGATTGTGAGGGGTACAGACGATAAGTTTTTCTTAGCAGAGGAGAGGGAATAAATACCTTTTGCACGTGGGGCTTCCGGTTTTTTGGGCACAGCCACAGATGCTTTCTTTTCAAGTACAACTTCTTTAGGAGCTTCAGGAACTTTGAAGATATTAGTATCTTTTAGTTAGAAGCTATAAAGGGGGAATATCGACTCCACATTTACCCAAGCAAATACAACTTGTGAGATCGGCGGACACTTCTATGCAGTCTTTCCCCAGGGCCCCCCGACTGACAATGTGTAATGATACCTACCTTTAGGAGGTGGAGCTTCTGGCTTTTTGGCAGGAGGCACCGGTACTTTCTTTTCTGGGACCACTTCCTTCGGTGGCAGCACTTCAGGCACTTCAAAGATATTTGTAATTTGTGTTTAGAAAAGGTGAAAATGATGGATGCCTTTTGCATATAAACACCCACCAAGATATTTTGGATAGCGATTGACATTTGTTTTCTTTAGAATTATATCATCTTTATGTAGTAGGATTTTTAACATGTAATTTCCTAGTTAAAATAACAGTTATTTTTCTCCTATAGTTTGTATAGCTTTGGCATTACCTTCAGGGGGAGGACTTTCCGGTTTGGGAGGAATAGCTTCAGGCAACTTCTTTTCTGGGACAGCTGCCTTTGGCACCTCTGGGACTTTAAAGATATTAGTATTTTCATTATTAGACAAAGTAAAGACAAACAAACAATATCAAACACAGCAACAAGAGGGTGTCTACCTTTTGTGGGTGGCACTTCAGGCTTTTTAGGAGGAGGCACTGGCACTTTCTTTTCAGGAACAACTTCTTTGGGAGCCTCAGGCACTTGAAAGATATTAGTGAAATTACATTTAGGCATTATGAAGACCACTAGAAAAATATTTTCCAGAGCAGAAGAGATACATCATCTGAAGCCTAAAATCAGTGACAAATACCTTTAACAGGTGGGACTTCAGGCTCTTTAGGAGGAGCCACTGGCGCTTTCTTTTCAGGAACTACTTCTTTGGGAGGCTCTGGTACTTAAAAGATATTAGCAAAATTACATTCAGAAGTTATGAAGACCACTGGAAAAAATATCTTCAAGAGCAAAAGAATGAGATCTGAAGCCTAAGGTCAGTGGCAACTACCTTTAACAGGTGGGACTTCAGGCTCTTTAGGAGGAGCCAAGGGCACTTTCTCTTCGCGGATAACCTCTTTGGAAGCTTCTGGCACTTGAAAGATATTAGTGAAATTACATTTAGGTGTTATGAAGACCGCTAGAAAAAAATATTGTCAAGAGCAGAAGAATTAGGTCTTCTGAAGCCTAAAGTCAGTGACAAATACCTTTAACAGGTGGGACTTCAGGCTTTTTAGGAGGCACCACCGACACTTTCTTTTCAGGGATAATCTCTTTGGGAGCTTCGTGCACTTGAAAGATATTAGTATTTTTACACTCAGAAAATACAGAGATTACTAGATAGATACAAAGACATTTTCAAGAACAAAAGAGCTATTTTTTTCTCCTGAGCTGAGATCAGTGGTAACAAGTTCCCATAATAGGTGGTGTTTCAGGTTTTAGAGGAGGAACTTCCGGTATTTTCTTTTTGGTAGCCATTTCTTTGGGAGCTTCAGGCAGTTTGAAGATATTAATACATTTACACTTGAGTTGCAAGAGTCAACACAGACATGATTCACATGTACACATCAAAATAATTTTCAAAACTAGAAAGGTGGTCCTTTCTATCGCCCCACCCACTATCCCACCATAAAAAGACAGTTAAGAATGTACCTTTGACAGGTACAACTTCAGCCCTTTGGGGAGGATGCACTTTCTTTTCCGGGACAACTTCTCTGAGAGCCTCCGGCACTTTGAAGATATTAATAATTTTACATTTAGAAGTTACAAGAATCAACACAATCAGGAAAAACATTTATACAAGAAAAGACATGTTCCCACCCCTCTAAGCTTCCAGCAAGATATACCTTCATCAGGAAGGACTTCAGGCTTTCTGAGAGGAACCACAAGCGTTTTCTTTTCAGGGACAATTTCTTGGAGAGCTTCAGGCACTTTAAGAAATTAGTAGTTTTATGTTTAGTGTTATGCAGATAACTAGGAATAGCAAAAATATTCTCAAAACTACAAGAGCTAGTTCTTGACCCTGAGAGCATGGTGACTTGTACCTTTAACTGATGGGGGTTCTCTTTTTTTGGAAGGAACTGTCTTGGCAGGAATAATTTCTTGAGGAGCTTCGGGCGCTTGAAAGATATTAGCAATTCACATTTAAGAGTTAAAATGATTAATGGAAAACAGTAACCACAATAAGTTAGGAAATATAACCACATTTTCTTCTCTTTCCTCCATCCTCCCTTTGTTCCACCAATAGGCTAAGTCTTTTAAGGGGTTAGTGGATCCTTGAGAGGAGGTGCTCCCCCTCCTCCAGAACCTCACAGAGCTCTCGCGACACTCTACACTCTCATTATAAAGGATTTGTTGAATGAATACTTCCAGCAGGAGTGTTTTCTGTTTTGGCAGAAACAGCCATAAATAATTTCTTTTTAGAGGAAACTTCCTGTGGAACCTCAGACACTTAAAAGATATTAGTATGTTTATATTTAGAATTTATGAAGAGTATTAGGAAGAAACCATAGTTTTAAGAGCAGAGGACAGATAATTTCTTCTTCCACATTTGTTCAGAGGTAACGTACTTTTCATACGTGGAGTTTCTGGCTCTTCAGGTACATCCTCAAATATTTTCATTTCAGGGACAACTTCTTTCATAGCTTCTGGTGCTTTGAAGATATTAGTATTATGGTTAGAGGTTAAAAGGATCAGTGGAGACATTAATTAAATGAGCTGAACCAAAGTGATATTTATGGCTAAAAAGATGATTCCTTTAAAGAATCTGAGGAGGTATACAATCTTGAGGAGAGGAACCACATATTAATTGTCTTTGTTTATTATTCTCCAGTTCCCTAGCACCCTGTACATGCTAAGCACTCTAATAAATGAAGGAAGGAATGGCAGGATGAACGATACCTTTAGTGGGAGGTATTTCAATTTCAAGGGGAGCAGCCATGGGTGTTTCCTTTACAGGGACAATTTCTCGAGGTGATTCAGGCACTTTAAAGATATGAATGCATTGTACTTTGGAGTTATGAAGAGGAGTAAAGAGTTCCCATCTTAACTGCACATACAGAACATTCCAGATGGGAACCTTCTCCCACTCCCCGCCCCCAGAATCGGATCTTTTGTAGCAGTGTGAGTATTTGGTTATAAGCGGCTGTTTTCTTGGTCACCTCAGGCACTATCAGTATTAGTAATTTTATTTCTTGGAATGGTAGATGCATAGAAAACTAGATCATGGAAAGTGGAAACATTGATTATAATTAATGCTATACCTCTAGCTATTATGTTGAGAAAAACAAATTACAGCCACTTCGAAAAATCTAGGTCGGCATTTTTTTGTATTCACACCTCAGGCACCTTAAAAAGGTGAGTGTTTTTCAAGTTTAGGAGAGAGGAGAACAACCAAAAGATTCCAGACTGAGAAAAAATATCAAAATATTCAGATATTCTTCAAATTACAGAATACCATGGGTGTTATGATGAAATTATTGTTCTGGAGGTTTTAAAGCTTTTTCATGTTTTGACTTATCTAAAGATATTCAAAATGAAAAAAAATGATGCTTGAAAAATAAAAGATAGGCTATGAGAGGAGCAAATGAACATGGAGGGGAGATTTCCAGCTTTAACTGGAATTATTTTTCCCTAGGTTGGAGGATATTCTGGGAGGGTCTCAGGTGCTCTAATCTTGTAGAGATATTACAGATCAGCTTCACACTGAATTAATATTTTCTTTAAGACATGTTTTGATCATAATATGTGTATATATATTTTCTTTGGAGTCCTCATAAAAATACACTGACTCAACTATCTTTCATGTGTATAAGCTAAAGGTATTTTTTCCCTCTGTTGTCTCTTGAGTGACTCACTGGGACATGAATACATTTGGTTGAGCTTCTACTTGGGGGATCCATCTCTGAAATGATTTCCACTGTAGCCACTTTGGCTTAAAAGATATTAGTATTTTTACATGTGTTAAGTACAACTGCAAACATGAGATTAAAAAGGTGACTTTCTTCCAACTTGTACCTGTTGGTGATGGTGTTTTTCTTCTTTTAACAATAGGAGTTTCTCCCTCTGGAATGACTTCCTTGAAGACTTCAAACTCTTTAAAGATATTAGTATTTTTTTTAATTGAGAAAAGGCAAAGGCATAAAGACATGACATACTAAGAAAGTTAGATATGTTAATATCATTTCAGATATCTTTATGTTAGAAATGTTATTTTTGTTCTAATATTTTATCTTTGTATATTATATGTGTGGGACTTGACTTTCTTGGGGGCAAGTCATAGGTCATTCTTTGTTGTGGGTATATCAGATCCTTTAAACACAGTATTTTAACATTAGAGGTTGTGAGAATGTATATTAAACATTAAATATTTTGCAGACTGAAGACAGTATATTTTCTTCTTTAGATTTTCCTAACTAGAGAATTATACCTTCAGTTGGAGGATGTTCTGGAATTTCAGGAATAGCCTCAGGTGGCTCCACCTCTGGAAAAATGCCTCTGGTTGTATCAGGTTCTTTAAAGATATTAGTAGGTTTACATTTAAAAGTTGTAAAAACAGTAAATTATAAAAAGCATGCAATGTTTGAGTCATAAAGCTAAAGATACTCATCTGGGTTTGATGTATTTGAAATATACCTTTAGTTGCTGGTGTTTCTCTCTTTTTAGGAATAGTCACATATATTTTGTCTTCTGGAACAACTTTCTTGGGTGGCTCAGGCACTTAAAAGATATGAGTATAGTTATATTTATAAATGGTGAAGAAAAATATTGAGCTTTTTAAAAGGGGCCAAAAAATAATTTTTCTTCAGAGTGGATCATTGGTGTTATATACCTTTTGCTAGTTTGGGTTTTGTCTTTTGAGGTTGAGTCACAAGTACTTTTTCTTCTAGGACTGCTTCTTCAGATGCTTCATAAACTTTAAAGATATTAGTATTTAAATAATTAGGATGTTTCAAGGTGGATAAAGAAGTGTATTAAGAAAAATATAATATATAATACCACATTCATCACCAAAATTAATAGTAGCACATAGAGGCAAATTAGTGGCTAGAATGCATTGGCTGGGGATAGCCTCACTCCCAGTTTCATGATGTAAGACTCTAAGCATTTCTCTATGATGATGATAATAAAATGGAGGAATTGTTCAGGCAAGGACTATATAATTCTTCATTTTGCCTTAAGAAAGTTATTGGTAAAATTGTCCTATTGGTCTTATTTTTAATGGATTTGTCTATAAAGAACAGGGAAGATGCTGAATTGCACATTGAGAATTCTCCGATATTTGACCTACTAGAAATTCATGTAAGTCTTTTCCCTTTCTAGAAGCCTCATTATCTATATTTTCAAATCACATCTAATATATGGTTTCACAGTTTAATATGAATGTAAAAGCCATTTAGGGTTTGGAGGCAGAAAATTAAAAAAATTAAATACTTAGAAAATAAGGCAAATAAAGACAACAAAAATTTCTCCAGCCTTTAGAAAGAAAAACTGTCTGAAAACAATAACTAAAGTCAAGAATAGAAAGGATATTCAAAGGAGGAAGTGATTATATTATTTTATCCCAACTTAGTATAACAGGATGAACAACAAGAAAGTTGAGTTTCAACAGGAAATTTTTTAGATTAAAAAAAATGGAAGCGGGTCTGGTGTAGTGGCTCATGCCTGTAATCCCAGCACTTTGGGAGGCTGAGGTGGGCGGGTCACCTGAGGTCAGGAGTTTGAGACCAGCCTGACCAACATGGTAAAACCCTGTCTCTACTAAAAATACACAAAATTAGCCGGGCCTGGTGGTAGGCACCTGTAATCCCAGCCACTCGGGAGGCTGGGGCAGGAGAATAGCTTGAACCCAGGAGACGGAGGTTGCAGTGAGCCAAGATCGTGCCACTGCACTGCAGCCTGGGTGCAGCAGAGTGAGATTCCATCTCAAAAAAAAAAAAAAAAGGAAGAATATTTTGACTACTGTCACTTTTACTATTCAGGTTGTTGAACAGTATTCTATTCACAATATTTTACTATTTGGATTATTTCATAATTCAAATTATTTAAACCTAATTTTGTATGAAACCCCCCCCCAAAAAAAAAGGTCGTGAGAATTCTTTTGAGGTTTGAGTGGCCTTGTAAACCTAGGGTCCTTTGAGCAGTTTTGCCAAAATGTTTCCAATTATGGTTATCAAGAGTAAAAAAAAAAATAATGGTGAAACATTTTGATTTTATAAAATCCAATTAAAATATTATGGAGTTAAGTTACTTCATGATCTGAGAAAATAAATTGCTTCAAAGCAAAAGACACTTGTATACAGAATAGGTTAGGAAAATTTAACAAGACAACTGACTTTTCTGAAATCATACACTCTGATAAGTAGAGTATTTCTTTTTTAAATTGGTGAGGAAATATAACTTGTCTGAGGATAATAGACACTAAGATTATTTGAGTCATATATTTGTGGCATGTTAGGCTTTTATAAGAGTTTAGTATATTTACTTTTCAAAGCTAAAAAGACAAACATAGTGAATTTAAGGACATAAATGAAACGAAAAAGAACCACTAATTTTTCTACACTCACTGTACATCTCTGTGTCTTCAGAAATAACAATAGGTGATTTTTCTTCTTGAACACTTTTCTTAGGCATCCCAGGAACTTTAAAGATATTAGTATATTAATTGTTACAGATAACAAATATAAGATACGAAATACAAGGATTTAATGTCACACACATTCACTTTAAACCATGAAAAACTAAACCAAGAATTATTTCATGTTCTGATTAGCATCACTGTATACCTTTAGCTGGTGGAACTTCAGGCTTTTTCAGAACAGCTTCACGAACTTTTTCTTCTGGGACAATTTTCTTGGGTACTTCGGGTGCTTTAAAGATATTTATTTATCTTATTTTTTCAGAACATTATAGTTGGGTGTAAACATAGCAAGCCTAGAAGGGGCATCTAACAAGATGAACGCCAAAAACCCCTCAATTATAAGTCAACTATAAGTCAAATGTAGTCATTGCATTTCTCTGAATTGCTTTGTCGATGAGTTCTTGATTCATTATATCAGAAACACTTTGCTCTTTGGAGATAGTATCATTTTCTATTGCCATTTAGAGCACACTTTTTTTTTTCCAGAGCTACTTCAGAAGAGCTTCCAAAATGAATTATTTTTGAAAGAGAAGTTGAGGGATCAATATTATTTAGTTATTAAATAAGAGGATCAATACAAATGATAACTTTGGGCTTATGTCTTTACGCCTAAAACATTGCCTCAAAAGGCAGGATTATGTTATAGAACATAAATTGAAGTTTATGTCATTCATAGCCATCTTGTGGCATTGAGAAGAGAAAGGTCTCTCTTACATAGTAAGTGAATAAAAAAGGATTTTATATTAATGATGAATGAGAAAAGCCAGTTACCTTTAGTTGGTGGAACTCTGGGCTCTTCAGGAACACGTACTTTTTCTTCTACCACAATTTTCTTAGGCACCTCCGGTACTTTAAAGATAATAGTAATAATTTCTTTTATTTTTAAATATACAATTTTTTAACAAGCAGAGCATGAGAGATATAAACACAGAACAGAACACAGCAACAATATAAAATGCAGACAACACTTTATCAAATACATTACAGTATTTCAAATGCATTGAATTTAAAAAATATATAATAACAAAAATCCAGGGAAATTTCCCATGTTAGAATGGTAAGAACTTGAGAAGAAAAATTAACAGTACACCTTCAGCTGGTGCTATTACTGTTTGTTTTTGTGGAAGAGTTGCTACCTTCTCTTCAGTGATAACTTACGCACATGCTTCAGAGACTTTAAAGAAATAAGTTTATATTATTTATTAGATACTGTTTTTATTTCTATTGTGAAATTTAAGAGATTTGCAAAAATGAACAAAGCAAGAACATTAAACACATATTCACTATGTATTTATATTTGCCAGGTTAATATAATTAATAATAAATAGAAAAACATGTGTTTATCAGTAAGCATGTTAGTGAATATATAACCAAATAGCACCAAAGGAGGAAATTTGGGCTCACTATTTGGTTACTAGAGATATTTGCTTTGGTTGTTTTAGGTATAACAACAGTGACTGTCTTTTTTTGGTAGAACTTCCCTTGGACCCTCAGCTGCTTTAAAGATATTAGTTTGTTTTAGACATGTCAGAAACAAGAAATACAGAAGAAAGACATCAAGTGGAATGCAAACTTGTGCTTATAAAGCAACCAAGGTGCTATTGTATGTAAAGTTAAGTAGTAATTTTTCACAAAGAAGATACCTTTAGCTGGTGGCTCTTTTCGAGGAACAACTTTAGTGGGCGGTTTTTTTGGAGGGATGATTTTCTCAGATATCTCAGGCCCTTCAAAGATATTAGTATTTTGGTTTAGAATGAACTCTTGAAGTATTTTGGAGCACTACTACTAACGTTAGTACAATGAGGGGTCACAAAATTCTTTATCTATATTTTTTTAATTTATAACACACTTATTTCCAAAAGAGATTTGATTTGCTAAATATCATGTATATTGTAATTTGCTATATATGCTAAACACACACACACACACATTCCTTCATATTACACATATATTGTTAATTTGTGCAAGATCTAGAGTGGTATTGCAGATAACTTATTTGTGCTATGGCTTGTCTTCACAGTATGCTAGAATACAGGTGCCATTAACAATACTTCACTTCCTTAATGTTGTTTCTCTAATGAAAGTATCATAAACTGGCAAAAGCTTTTGGTAAGTATTTCTCAGTTTGTGAACAGTTGACTAAAATGTTAAAGCAGTGATTATTTTGCCTGAACATGTAAATTCCTCAGTGAACTGAGGAGTTTCTTTTTCACTTAACCAATGACACTGGTCAGTTATTTTGGTACCTGTAACAATTGTGTAACATTCTTAGTCAGATTTAAAAAATAATCCCCAAATTCATACAGTGACCTCCTTAGATAAGTAGATATCAAATATTACTATCATCTACTAAAATTATACTCCGTGTGGTTAAGAGATATTAATCTTTGTGTCAACTAGTTTAAACTCATGTTTAAAGTATTTCATGGGGTTTCTAATCTTCCAAACTGAACACAAAATTTACTTTCAAAGGAAAGTTAGAGCAAGATATAAGAATTTGTAGTATTTGAAGAATTCCCTATACCTTTAGGTGGAGCTTTTGGTTTTTCAAATACTTCCACTTCTTCAGCCTCAAAAACTTCTATTACCCTATGAACTTTTTCAACTCTGTGTTCTTCTTCAACTCTATGTTGTTCTAATTTGATGAATTCTTCTACTTCATGAAACTCGCCTTCTTCAAAATATTCTTCAACTTCATGGAACTCTTCTTCTTCCGGAATTTCTTCCACTTCTGCTTCTACTACTTCTAATTCTAGTCTTTCTTTTACTACTACTTCTTGGCGGAAGGCAACTGATACTTTTTCTTCAAGGACAGTTCTCCCTGAAAGAGCATCTATTTTAAGACTTATTTTTTTAAACACTGAAGAAATAAAGATGTACATTCAAAATATATATTTTTAAAACTGAATAAAGGATTGCATGCAACAATACACGAAAATCCAGGATCTTTCCAAAAATACCTTTAGCTGGGGGAACAGCTTCCTTTTTAGGCACAAGGACTTTCTTTTCTGGGACTTTCTTTGGTACTTCAGGCACTTTAAAGATACAGTTTTAATATTTAGGACTGTCGAGAGCAAGCTTTCATAGACAAAAATCATCAAAAACAATCAAGACACAGAGACATGAAACATAAAAGTCTTAACGAAAAAAGACAGAAGAGGAAGTCAGGTTTAAAAGAGAAGATGTACCTTTGGCTGGGGGTGCCTCTTTTTTCTGAACAGGAACAGGTACTTTTTCCTCAGGAATTTTCTTTGACACTTTAAAGATATTAGGTGTTTTAGTTAGCTGAGAATGTTCAATAACACACATGAAATAAAAACACCAGAGACAACGCCAACATTACAATAATTAAAGTTTTTCAGAAGTCACTCTGTACTGTGGGACATCCATTTTAGAGGCAATAAAGATACTTTCTCAAATCACTCATTTGTTCTAACATTCCTATAGAAGAAGAAATGTCCACAAAGTACCTGTGCCATTCTTTTTTTTTTCTTTTAATAACAGGGATTACCAATATGGACTCACTTTTACTATTTTTAACTTGATGAAGACTTTTTTGAAGTGATTACCATTGTAGAGTATTTAAGCCCTGACACTGGCCTCACTTTCTGCTGTGCACTCTTCTATTAGCTGAGGAGTCTACTATGACAGGGACAGCATAATCTAACTGCTTAAGAGCACTGTCTGAAGCATTAAGTGAATTAGGAAGCAGGGAAAAGTAGACATTTTGTAATAACCTTGAATGCTTGGGCTAAACATTACAAAAGGGACGTGAGGCTCTTTAAAATAGTTATTATCCAAGCATTAGGTTTGTTCCATAAAATAATAAATATAGTAAAATAATTATTATAACACAGAAGAAAACTCCGTTCCACTTATGGAATAAAATCTAAAATGTGGGGAAGAGGGATCCATTGCTATGTGTATAAGTATATAGAGACATACTAATATATTAAAATTCTCAGTTAAGAAGCTTCTAGAATAATTCATACGTAAACACATGCACACAATTATTCGTTAACATCCTAGAAAAGATTAAAGAAATGGAATGAGTTATATTTTTACTGGTCCTTAATCAGTTCACTATCTAAATGATTATAAGAAGGCAGTCAAAAAAGAAAATGTTGCTTTTAAGAAAGAAAATTAATGGGAAGTTAAAGATATTAATAATGAGGATTTGATATACCTTTAGCTGGTGGTGCCTCCACTTTTTTAGGAACAGGAGTAGGTGCTTCAGGTACTGCTTTCTTAATCACTTCAGGCACTTAAAAGAAATTTTATGAACATTTTGAAAAGTGGCATGTGATGAGCAGAACACCACCCATATACCAATAAATAAATATCACAAAACATTGACTTATTTTTAAAAGATATTAGCAACCTAAATGGTAATAATAAATGTGGAGTAGGAACCCTAGAGGTGTAAAGGATATTACTTAGAAATCCTATAAGCAAATGTAATACCAATTATGCAAAATATTATCACACTCTTCAGGAATAGTAAATTAAAGATTTTTCTTAAAAAATGAACACTTTCACCAGAGAAATAGATTCCCCCCATATTAATATTAAAAACAAAATTAAGGATTGAAATCTAGGAGAAACTATTATAGTAGGGCCTGGTCAGAAAAAAATTCAATCGCCAATAACAAAATAGTAATCTCTCATTCTTAGTTGTATTGCAGATGTTGTAGAAAAATTTAGGGTAAAAAAAGGACACATAGATTCAGGTGCCAGGAATAATTAATCTTCACTTTATCATGGATACGATATAAGAAAAGCATACTGGTGAATCTTAGATTTAGCTACTGAGAAAGATTTGGAACACCAGGAATTTTAAATGTTCAATCCTTAAAAGCGGTTATACCTCTAGGTGGTGCCACCTCTTCAACTTCCTCTATGCTAGGTGGTTCTTCTGGGATTTCTTCTTCTGAAATAGGCTCTTCTTCAGGCTCCTCAGTCACTTTAAAAAGATTATTATTTTGTAAATTATTTTTATAATTATTTTGAATATTAGACTACAGTGATAATATCTGAAAACTGCTCAGCCTTCGAAACGCTTGTGTAAACTCACTAGTCCTTAAAAAATCTCTACTGGGTCTTCAAAATATGTTAGGCATATCCCAGCATTTGTGAACTGGAAAGGACTTCAGATAATTTATAATAATAAAAAAATTATTATTGTTTTTTTTTTAATGAAAGACTTGTTTGAAGTCAAACAGCCACTTGGGGTAGAAATCAGATTTTCTGCACCAGTTACTCAGGCTTAACTGGAATTTCTCTTGGATAAGCTTATTTTACAGTTGCCTACTAAGTCATTTGATGAAAAATTTCCCACAGCAAATACAGTTTCCCTTCATGAATTCTAATTAAAATAAAACAAATAGCAAACAGACAAACAGGCTGAACATGCAAAGAGATTCAAATAATATTAATTTGCCTGCCCAATTTCTATTAGGTTAATAATAATTTATTTTAGAATCTGAATATGTTGATTTCCTGGGGTAAATTTTACATTTACCTACTTCAAATATTAGACAATAATAAGACAAGGATGACTTTGAAATGTTATTTTCTTAGAAAGTTATCTACCTTCAACTGGTAGAACTTCCTCTTCTTTAGGGAGAATGATTCGTTTTTCTTCCACCTTCTTAGGCACCTCAGGAACTTGAGAGACATTGATTATTTTAGACACTTAAAATGCAAGAACCAAAGAAGAATAAAGACCACGTTTCCAGTTTCCAACATAAGAGAGTAAATATCACAAGGCACATACACAAGATGAAACATTGACATTTCACAGAATCGGTTAATGAGAAAAGAATAAAAAGGTTTGTGGTTTAAGATTTAGGGTTTATTAAAGAGAAATTCTACTTTTTACTGCTGGAGCCTCTATTTCTTTTTTCTTTTGTCTTTTTTTTTTTTGTAGGAAGAAATGGGTATGAAGAAATGGGTATTTCAGGGACTAGTTCCTTAGTTATTTTTGGCTCTTTAAAGATATATTTTTATTTTTTAGAAACAACATACATAGAGAAACGATGTAAAGCACACCAACACCAAGTGAAAAAATGGACACAACACAAACTTGGGTGCAAAAGAGTCAGAAATGACGAATGTGAATGACAGACCATACAATGCACACATTTATGTTGAGTGTCCTGTGTGGATAGAACCACAGTTCAACATCGGTGCAGCAAACATATCCCTGTTATGGGATGATGTACCTTTGGCAGGAGGGGCCACTGCTTTCTTAAGACCAGGAGGAGGGACCTTCTTTTCTGGCTCAGGTTTCTTAGGTACCACAGACACTTTAAAAATATTATTTTATTTTATAAGTTCAGTTTCACACACACAAAGACAAGTAGACACAGCAGTAATATAAGTTGTATTAACAAATACGGAAACAGGACATTTTGACTTTTATAGGAGAAGGAAGGAAATGGCATAGTCTAATTTACTTCGGAATAGCAATACCTTTGGCAGGGGGAGCCTCCTCTTTCTTGGGAATGACCACTTTCTTCTCTGTCACTTTCTTCTTAATTTCAGGCACTTTAAAGACATCATTTCATGATAAGGATTTATTTTGAAGGACAAAAAAAGAGAAACCAAGAAGACCCCACACCCAGAAAGACCAATGTGTTAACAGTCGCTCAAGACAGGTCTGTCATGTTAGTTGGGAGCCCAGATATTATAATGTAATTGGGATTTGTAAAGCAAGGGACCAGCAGCATATGTCATTATCAGAGGACAGATGCTATTAGGGTGGTGCAAAAATAATTGCGGTTTTGACATTACTTTTAATGCTAAAAACCGCAATTACTTTTGCACCAACCTAATATCATTTCATACATTTAAATTTCACTAGTAATTTATTGTCTAGAAAGTATTTCTGAATCGTTGATATCCAATAAAAGATCAGCTTTACTATTTCATTTGATTATATAACTATATGGCCTGATGCGAGGGTTATGCTGATTTTAAGCAGCCATGCCAGCATCTTTTGTAGAAAATATTATTGAGCTTTAAAGCACAAATATATTAATTCTGTCCTGTACTATGAGCTGATTGAATATGTTAAATCTGGATACTATTCATTCAATGATAGACTACTTTAATACCTTACTTTATTTAATTCTCACCATAATAGCTGAGCCCATTAAGACTGATATTAGCATCCCCAATTTACAGGAAAATAACTTCAGGCTCAGGTTGGTTAAAGGACTCGCTGAGAGTAATACAACAAGGTGTAAAGTCAACGCTAAAATCAAAACCTGTTGGGCTGCCCTTTATATATATGTATTAGAAGACATAACTATTATTCTGTGTTTTGATAAATACATTCATCTTTTTTTCTTTTTAGCCTGGTGTTAAAAAGGCATTTAATATAAATGGTTGAAGGAAGAAATTTAAGAATATTTATTCATAATAGTTTTCAATACATTTAAATATATAGTATACTTATTCATATATATTTAAATATATCTCCATGAAAACTATGATGTTTAATCAAATGATATGAAATCAGAACTTTTGTATCAGTTCTGGGACAATGCTTCCTTTCATCTTTGTTCTTGAATACTGCTTTGTATCAGTGAAAAAAGTAGATATCAGTGTTCCTGAACATCGTTAGAAGTAAATATGTAACTGTGTGATTATCCATTTTGTAAATATAATTTTCCTAAAACCCAGTTTCATCATAATTTATGTGACCAAGCTATGGGTGAACAATGTGTATTCACTTTGGGGAGGTGTACCTTTGGGTGGTGGTGGAGGTTCCACTTTTTTAGGGGCGGGAACAGGGACTTTCTTCTCTGGTACAGGTTTCTTTGGCACTTCAGGCACTTAAAAACATTTCATTTGAAGGCATTAAAAACCACATATACATGGTCATATATATATATATATATATATATATGAAAGAGACACGTGAGGATAAGACCACAAACATGTAAACATAATATGTGATTTGAAAAGACATTTAGATAATTTACAATAGACAGATA
This sequence comes from Homo sapiens, assembly GCF_000001405.40. Lineage (NCBI taxonomy): Eukaryota > Metazoa > Chordata > Mammalia > Primates > Hominidae > Homo > Homo sapiens. Next base: position 178,677,450 of record NC_000002.12, read on the forward strand.
CACAAGGCAGATACACAATAAGAACACACATGTCTGGAATGTTTTCTAAGATTTAGGTGGTCAATCACAGAGGGTAAAGGATTATAGATAAAACTGGAGATGAACAAAAGGATGGGAAAGCAGAATTCAACACAAAAGAGGCCTTGATGATTCCAAGAAGAGCTGCTATACCTGGTGCAGGTACTGGCACCTTAGGTTTAACTTCTGGAAGGACTTCTTCTTCAGGTACAAATTCTTCTTCCTCAGGTACATATTCTTCTTCGGGAGGAACTTCCTCTTCCTCAGGTGGAATTTCCTCTTCTTCAGGTAGAACTTCCTCTTCTTCAGGTAGAACTTCCTCTTCCTCAGGTAGAACTTCCTCTTCCTCAGGTAGAACTTCCTCTTCAGGAACAATTTCTTCTTCAAATAGAACTTCCTCTTCCTGAGGTAGAGCTACAGGAACTGGAACTGGTTCACGTTTCTTTGGCACTTTAAAGATATTTATTCAAGGGTACAAACATCACTTTTATGTAAAATATTCACAACAATGAAGAAGCTTATGAAAGGCAAATATTCTGTGATCACAAAGCATCAATTATTATCAACATAAATACTAAGCATTAATTATAATTAGTAAGGCTGTATAACACCAGTTAGTTTTGTCTTTTACCATGGCTCTGTTACAGATTAATGTACCTTTGGGTGGTGGTGCTTCCACTTTTTTCGGAACAGGTGTTGGTTTCTTTTCTTCTGGGATGAGCTTCTTGGGCACCTCTGGCACTTTAAAGATATTATTTATATTTAGGAATATGTTCTTTTAAAATGTCTTAGAGCAATAGATATGAAAAAGAATCACAAAATATCTGACATATTTCTAACCAGATAGACACTTTAAAAATGTACAATGTAATGGGGAAATTTGTATGTGAGTATACATAGATGTGAGTTTTTTCCCCCAAGTACTCTAAGTGATGAAATTATGTACCTTTTGCAGGTGGAGCCTCCACTTTCTTAGGAGCAGGAACTGGCACCTTCTTCTCAGGCACAGGCTTCTTGGGTACCTCTGGCACTTTAACGAAATGATTTAGAGAAAAATTTTATACGACATAAAAATACTGATTCCAAGCATAGTTTCAAAAGATTAAGATAAGGTAATAAAAGTATGACAAAGGTATTCCAAGAAGCATTTTATTTTTAAAATAAAATATTTAATTTTCTCTAAAGAGTTGCATCCCAAAGAGTACAGAATTAAACCAATTAATTTTTACCCATATGCAAATGTGAAATAAAAATATTGCAACATTGCAAGTTCATGTACCTTTGGCAGGTGGAGCTTCCACCTTTTTAGGAACTGGTACTGGTACTTTCTCCTCTGGCACAGGTTTCTTGGGCACTTCAGGAACTTCAAAGATATCAAATAGAGTTAGTGTCACATTTTTTACCCATAGCTAAGATTTTAAGGCTGGCAATGTAAGGCCTTAACTGAAGCAGCATAGATATTCTATCAATTTCACTTTAAGACTGAAAATTATAATAGCCACAAAACAAAGGCCAGAAAATACACAAAAATTAAAATAAAAAACACCGAAAAAAACGTGGACTGGTGATAAAGACAAGACACAATGCCTGGTAAATGATGGTTTTGTCCATTTTGATATGCAAAAGGAATGTATTTTACTTGAAGAACTTTCCACTAAAGAGGAGGAGCCAACCATTGAGCATAAGCATAATTTGATGGTAAAATTCAGAGATGAATACCGGGTAAACTGCTCCTGTGGCCAGTTGAGAGGCGCTTGTCATGGCATTAATGTTGTTAATATTGTCATGGGGAAAGATCTGCTATGGCTCACCAAGTTATGCTGCATGGGTGAATTATCATGCTATTCCACTGATGGATTATAAGGATGTACCTTTTGCTGGCGGAGGCTTCTCCTTTTTAGGAATAAGCACAGGAACTTTCTCCTCTGGCTTCTTAGGAACCTCAGGCACTTTAAAGATATTGTTTATTGTTAAGTTCTAACTACTAGTAACAACACATCCATATAAAACACAGCTAATGTTTTTTAACAACGGACAGTGACACACACACAAGGTTTTGAACTCAGAAGAAAGTTAACTATTTCTAGGCAGATGAAGTCTCTTAGATACCCGTCAATGAATGGTGGTGTACCTTTTGCCGGTGGAGCTTCCTTCTTCTTGGGAACAGGAACAGGTTTCTTCTCTTCTGGAACAGGTTTCCTGGGTACCTCAGGCACTTTAAAGATATTATTAAGAATGTTGGAAATTTTGCAGGAAAGAAATAAAATGTGAAAAGCACCTGTAGAAATCATATTTCAGCATCTAAAAATATCTGCTTTAAAGTAAGCAATCATTGGTGCTGCCAATAACCCCCAGAATCTGACCAAATCAGACCCCCAAACTCCAAAGATGCTGTTGCACAGCCCTTTGCAGGAGGCATCATCTACCTTTGACTGGTATCACTGGCACCACTTCTTCCTCAGTTATGAACTCCTCTTCTTCATGAATGTACTCTTCTTCTTCTTCTACAAGATATTCTTCTACATGGGTTACAACTTCCTCTTCAAAGGCAACCTCTTCTGGTTCAAGTTCTTTAGGCACTTCTGGCACTTTAAAGATATTATCTTTAAGTTGGACATTTGCCAATGACTCAACAAAATTAAGACACCTTAGAAACACAGGCCCATTTATAACAGAAGAAAGGACAAGATTTACTTTTCCCACAAAAGAAGTTTTCACACACAGAACTGAAGAGGAATTCAACAGCAAAAGACGAACAAAACATTAAAATGAGTGCCATTAGGTACCTCTAACAGGTGGTGCTACTTCTTTTCTAGGGACAGGTACTTTTTCTTCTGCGACAACCCTCTTGGGCTTCATGGGCACTTGAAATATGAAGTATAAGGAAATTTTATTGTCAGTAAAAGGCCACCCAGCCAATGCTTGTTTTGCTGTACTTTAAGCAGATAGAATAATGTATCTTCCTTTAATGAGATACATATGCGATTGTTCATCTTTAAGAAACTATATACTCTCTGTGGAAAGGATTCTGAGCTTCATATAAATACAAGTACACAGAAGTACCCAAGTAAACATGAAGTAGCAGAGCCCAAATGTGAAATGAGGTTTAGTGTTCAAATATCTCTGCTTGAAAGAAATATCCTTCCTGAAAAGTGAAATTTACTTCTCAATTAGTATACTTCATACTTAGTATGAATCAGGGGGAAAATGACTGGAAACTGGTTAGCTTTAAAAAAAATCTTCAAAATGAATTTAGAATGAATAAACAGTTACCAAAGCTTGGTGAATATTATGGTATCATTACATCATTTAGGTAAATCAGGAATATGCCAAACGGTCACTGATTTTAAACCCAAACATTCTATTTTATATGTATTGTAGCCATGTGGCAGGACACAGCCACTGGCTAACAGGCTATGGATGTATTTAGAAATAATTTTTCCTTTTAAAGGCATTATCTTCTTATCCTGTATTTACACATTTTTACATCCAACATTCTGCTGACAACTAATTTAAAAGACATGAAACAACAAAATGAAATGAATCATAGTTACATTAATTTCAAAAGAGGCATCAGAAAAGATCACAATCGAGGAAGGAAATCATTATACCTTTAGCAGCGGGTTCAGTCACCTGCTCTTTTTCACGTTTGGTAATTGAAATACGTATTTTTTCCTCAAAAACTTTCTTTGGTTCTTCAGGCACTTTAAAGATATTAATTATTAAAGAGCATTAAAACCAACTCCTTGAATACTATGTAATAAATACACATAAAAAACTGAAATGTAAGAATCAGGACAAGAACATCCTACTCAGCAAAAACACAGACCATCAGACGGGCTAGGAAGACATGATTTTAGAACATACATAACAAAGTTGTTTTTGGTGATTATTACTCAGTAATGTACCTTTGGGTGGTGGAGGTTTGAGTTTCTTAGGAATGGGCACTGGTACTTTTTCTTCAGGGACAGCTTTCTTCAGCACTTCAAAATATCAATATTAAGAGATTTTAAAAATTGAAACAGGTTTCTCAAGGCTAGCAAGAACAAAAAGTTAAGAAAGACAAATACAACATAATATTCCCAAACACACACATAATTTGTACACTGCCACTTTTACATATATTTTTATAGTAGGACAGACATGGAGGAAACAAAGATCTCTTACAGGTAATAATGTTTTTTTCACTCTACCTTTAGCCGGTGGGGCCTTTGGTTTTGTGGGAACTGGTTCTTCTGGGACAGGCTTTACAGGGATAGGCTTCTCTGGTTCTTTAAAAGTACATACAAGGTATTTCATGTTAGACTTAGAATATAAGTTTAAACATTTCTTAAAAGGAATCAAATAATTGAAATAATATCTTTTATCTACAGTATAGCCATAGCCTATTGAAGTAGGCAAGAATCAGAGATCCAAGCAGAACAAGCTCATATTGCCCTTTCCTTCTTGCTATTTTCTTTAATTAGGTAATTCTTACATATTAAAATTCTCATTTCATTTCAGGTAGATAAATTCCTGGCTGAAACTCCCCTATAATATGGTTTTTTTAAAGCTATCAGTAAGACTATGTAGAATGTTCTCAAAGTTGGGCTATGAAACATCAGAGACTGAATAAGTGAAATAAGATTGATTCATTTCAAAATTTCAATAGAGATTTATTCTTTGAGTAAAATAAACAATTTGAAGCCCAAACTATATGCCAACAAATTTGACCTTCATTAGGTAAAACACAACAGCTTGTGTTAGCTTACATCTCTATCTTAACTTTTGAAGCAGTCATTGTCAAGTTTTGATAATGGGAACCCTGTGGGTAAATACATTTTCTCAATAGCCTATCATACTCCGTAATAGCAAGTTTTAGAATAAAGGATGTTCAGAAATTTTTAACCATGTACTAGAATGATCACGGGCACTTGAAGATAAACTTGTAACCTTTTTGAAAAAGAAACTTAGGGACATTTGCTATTTTGCATACGAGCAAAAATGAGGGGGGTATTAGATTATTCCCGGAACAAAAGTCTAACAATAACCTTAAGATTTATAGAGGGTTTTTAAAATTTTTTCTAGAAGTTATCAAAGAAGAAAATTCCGCATTTGCGAAATGAAACAAAGTTCTTTCCAAATTTCTTTGGGTATCCAAATTTTTATCTTGTTATGATTTATCTTGTTTTATCTTGTTTGAGTGTGCACATATTTAGTGTGGTTTTGAGTTTGCAGTTTTGCTCATACCTGTGATGTATTCTTCATGCTCTTCATATCGTTCATACTCCCGCTCCTCGTATTCTTCATATTGGTCATATTCTTCTGTTGGTTCATACTCCTCAAATTCTTTATAATCATATTCTTCATATTCCTCATATTCTTCTTCCCGTTGTACTGAAACAGCTTCTTCTTCTAGGGTATAAGCCCTTTCTTTCTCTTCCATTATAGTTACTTCTGAAACAATATTAACAACAGGCAGCACTTTACTTTAAAGCACTTTTAAGGATGACTGATAGTAACAATGTGCTTTGATTTTATTCTTTTGCGTTTGTTTCATGCACTGATTATGGGAGACCCTGACTGTTCTTTTTTGGCCAGTCAAGGTATCATAGAGTATATTTAGCAATTGTGATTTCAAATGTTATATACCCTGCCCTTAATCAACAATAAGCTAATAAAGTATAGGAGTCAGATTGGGAACTAGAAGGCAAAGAGCCAGATAGTTTCATGCCTCACATTACTTAATCAAAGTTCAATATACCTTTGATGGGTTGAGGTTCTCTTTTTGGAGCTTCAATTGATACTTTTTCTTCTTTAACCACTCTTTTTCTGAATTCAGTCACTTTAAAGGAGTAATTATTAAAAGTGAATTGCAAGATTCTGAAAATGTGTGTGTGAAGAGAAATTTTGTTCAAACAATTCAAGGACAAAGACAACCATAACAGTGCCTGATTAAACTTTCATTTAAAAAGCAAGAAAATCAATAGACTTGGAAATAAACTTACTCTAATATACATATGAAGTACGTCAAAGACATTGAATAATTTTAGGAAAATCAAGTAGTATTTATAAAAGTTTAAAAAGACAACTAAACAGCATAAATAATGACTATCAAACTAAGTAGAAGCATTAGACAGAAACCTATGTTACATGAATAGTTTCTTCACCTCACTTCTAAGACATTTTCCTTAGCTCTATTGGTACAATGTAGAAAATTCAGAATTGAAAAAATTAAAAATTTCATCAGAGATTGCCACATAAAGCAAGCATCTAGGCAGATGAGTTTAGTATATGGAAAAGACATTAGAAGACAAATACAGATTAAGGAAAATTATTCACATACGTTTAGAAGAAGCCTCACTTTTTTTTAAGAAAAAAGTACTTTCTGTTATCAAAAATGTTTAGTTTTGAAGTGATATGCATTAACAAACTTATATTGCTTACTTTATACTATGTCTTTTTTTTTCTAATGGAACCTATTCCACTAGATTAGTTTTAGTGTCTGGATGCTTATTTTGATTTTTTTTTTTTTTTTAAGAGTCAGTATACCTTTAGCTGGTGGTTCCTCCTCTCTTTTAGGTTTGAGTTTCAGAACTTTTTCTTCTGGGACAGCTCTCTTCGGTTCCTCTGGCACTTTAAAGAGAGATTTCACTTTAAAGTATTGTTTCCCTCTTTCAAACCACAAAAAGGCAGCCATAAAGTAGTAGCCCAAACATAAACACTTGACATTTTCATTATTTCAAACATAAAACAACAACTGTAACAACAACAACAACATCAACAACAACAACAACAACAAAAACCAGCCCCCATAACCAGTGTATTTGGTAAAGAGAGTAGGGCAAGTACAATATTGTGCATAATGGAAGGGCGGATGTACCTCTTGCTTTTGGAGGCGCCTCTTTTTTAGTTACAGCAACAAGAACTTTTTCTTCCTGGGTAATTTGCATGTGCCTCTCAGTCACTTAAAAGATAATTTTAGGATTAGGGAGTTATATCAAAGTGGACGTAAAAAATATACTAGCCAGAAAGTACTGTGATTTTAGAATAGAAGAATTTACAAGGCACACACACAAAAACATCACAAGTAATACTCTACCCAAAGACACCATTGTCACCCACCAACATATAAACAGTATGACCCAAAGAACAGCAGCAGAGAGAAAGAAAGACAAGCCATATGTTCCTAGTTTTTCTGCTGGGGAGGTTTGTTTACCTTTGGCTGGGAGAGGTTCTTCCATCTTAATGACTTTTGGAGGAACCTTTTTTTCTGGAACTGGTTTCTTTGGCTCTTCTGGCACTTAAAAGATACCAGGCAATACCATCAAACATACGATATGGAAAACACTAAACACAGGCACACTTATTTTCTGGTTAATGTTTAAAAAATCTGAAGAATGTATCAATTTAAGATTAAAAAAAGACAGTCTTGAGAATAAAATAAAATCCAATATACCTTTAGGTGGGGGCACCTTTTCCTTTTTAGGAACTGGAGCAGGAACTTTCTTTTCTGGCACAATTTTCTTAGGTGCTTCAGGAACTTTAGAAAGATTAGGTTTAAGAATATGAGTTTGCCTTACATATGAAGTGACACAGTTGTGGGGCTTAGCATTCACTTTTTGAAAAGATTGCACATATATACAAACGTTAATGACTATACTCAGTAAATACGTTCATACATGTGTTCTGACAAAACGTAGACAGTTATGCAAATTGTTATGCATAAGACAGTTATGCAAATGTGAAGGTATTATTATATACATTAAAATAAATAGTGTTGCATTTCTTTGAAAGAAATCATACCTTTAGCCGGTGGAGGCTCCTCTATTTTAGCAGGAATTTTTGGTTTCAGTACAATTTTCTTCTCCTGCCTCTCTGTCACTTGAAAAGATTATAAAATATGTTTGTAGAAATGTCTAGATTTCTTTTCGATAAAAGTGTAAGGGATCTTTTTATTAGACATGATATTTATCAATATTTGCAATATGGATGACAAATTAGCTATAAGGAAACATAAAGAAGGAGACAAGCTAACATAGGGATAAAACTAATTAAAGAGTCAGCATACCTTCAGCTGGCTCAGCTTCCACTCTCTTAGAAATAATGTGCAGCTTTTCTTCCACAACATATTCCTCAGGCTCTTCCATCACTTTAAAGACAGCAGTTTTAAAGAAGATAAATTACAGTGTTTTTCATGTTTATTTTTAGCTTTAATTTATCACTTCAAAGAGTAATCAAAATAGCAAAAGTTTAACCCTTGCCAAACCCCTGCTTGTTCCTATTTAAAATACTCAAAGAGCATTTTAATCAAAGCACATGCGTTAATGAAGAGTATGGGAAATGGGAAATAGGTTTCATTAACTTAATTTTCAAATGTGTCATACAGATAATAATGCTTATATCCACAGCAACGACAGGACAAGTACGGGACAAGAAACGATTATAATAGCTGAGTTAATAAGAACAGAAGAATTTGAAGATGAGTTTCACAAATAGCAGAGCACTGTAGATTTGAAGGCCACAGGGCAGAAACATACTTGAGGATTTAAGTGAATTGTAAGATAATATTCCATATTGTTTTCCCCGCCAGTTTTGTGGGGCAGGTATGGTAGAAGAGGCAGGAGGCTTCACATGATTTTTGAGCCTAAGTGTATACAGTTTTAATTTTTTTTTTTTTTTTTTTTTTTTTGAGACGGAGTCTCGCTCTGTCGCCCAGGCTGGAGTGCAGTGGCGGGATCTCGGCTCACTGCAAGCTCCGCCTCCCGGGTTCACGCCATTCTCCTGCCTCAGCCTCCCAAGTAGCTGGGACTACAGGCGCCCGCCACTACGCCCGGCTAATTTTTTGTATTTTTAGTAGAGACGGGGTTTCACCGTTTTAGCCGGGATGGTCTCGATCTCCTGACCTCGTGATCCACCCGCCTCGGCCTCCCAAAGTGCTGGGATTACAGGCGTGAGCCACCGCGCCCGGCCAGTTTTAATTTTTTTTAAGACAATGTCTTGCTTTGTTGCCCAGGCTAAAATGCAGTGGTGTAATCACAGCTCACTGTAACCTCGAACTCCTGGGTTCAAATGATCCTCCTGCATCAGCCTCCTGAGTAGCTGGGACTAGAGGTGCATGCCACCATGCCTAGCTGTTTTTTTAATTTTTGTAGAATGGGGCTTGCTATGTTGCATAGGCTGGTCTTGAACTCCTGTGCTCAAGCAATCCTCCCTTCTCAGCCTCCCAAAGCACTGGGATTATAGGCATGAGCCACCATGCCTGGTCAAAGTTAAATAAGGAATAGAAGTGTCTGGTTAAAAACATATCTGCTCCTTACGCTGAAAGTAAACCTAACAAGCCACCCATCTTTGGGGCATAATGAGAACATAAAAATAATCACAGTGTTTCTCCTTTTAACTAGAGTCTGGAGTACTACAGGAAGTTTATAGTGTCAAAAGTTGAAATCAGACTATGTTTGGTTTTACAAACACTTTTAGAAAAGATGGAGTCGTCTTCAAATCTACCAGCTTCCTGACTTATGTCCACCATCATGGCCTCTTCCAGGAAGCACAACAGAGTTAATGGATTTCCTCCTGGGAGTCATGTCCCATCTTGGCCTATTCCAAGGCATTCCACTAAGACTATGGCACCTTGGATTTTTACATGGGCTTTTGTTCCAAGTGAAAAAAGGGGCATGGTGTGCCATCTTTTATTAGACAGATAAAAACAGATACTTGGGACATCTAAATGTACTTCAATTCTACTCATCTTCTCACTGGGGAGAGAGTTAGTTTGGTTAAGGAGCTTATTGATTTCTCTTTAAAAGCAGACCTTAGGAACTTTCTTAGGAAAGTTCTTTTGGCCACATGGCTCTAGCCAGAATGCTGGATTTTAGTTGGAAACCTGGTGCTGCCTTAATTCATTGAAAAAATATCCCAATGGAATAGTTTGTTGGTTCTGTCCTTAAGAAACTATAGATAATTAGCATTATAGGTATGAAAAGATCTGAGTAACAAGTCAGTCTGATCCCATATATAACACAATGGTTTTCTCCATATGTAAAATACAGGAAAGCCTTATGTGTTCAGGGCTTCAGACTCACAAATATGGCATTGACTCCTGGAATGTAATGAGGTAATATATTTTCTTGCTCATTTTAAAACATTTTAAGACATTATAGTGACTTCTGCAATTGACTTAATGGATTATAACTTGTATTTTTTAAATGCCTAGAATAAAAAAATTAAAGGATTATAATATAAAATATATTTCTGTCTGTGGATTGTGGTACAAGCAATGTTTGAGAAACACCAATTAGGCATTAGGCTACTAAGGTAAAGCTTATGCCAGCCCACCATGCTGAAGCCAAGTCCTGTTTAATGAAAGGATATATGTATATGGAGATACCTGCCCTGATTAATTATATATAAATATGAAGCCTCTTTTATTCTATGTAGGCAAGTAAGAAGGGATGCAGAAGAAATACACTGGATTTCTCTAATCTAGTATAATCCTCCTGAATCTTGTGTTTTGATCAAAATATTCATTTAATGAGACTGGTAGATGTTCACTGAATTTGTGTCACTTTTTTCTGTCTCTTTTCATTGGTCTGTAGACAATTTGTGAAAGAAAACACCTCATCAAAACCCCAGATCATCTCTAGCTTATTTGCATTGTTTACCTTCATATTCTGTAACCTCTGCTTCTTCCTCCTCCTCTCTTTCTTCTTCTCTATAAACTGAAATGGACACACCTTCCTCCTCTTCTGAGTAACTCCATTCCTCCTCTGCAGATACTTTAAAAGATAAGGTTTCATTTAAATTCAGCCTGCTGAGATACAGATGTATATACAGCCATGTGGTCACTACAGATGGATAACTGTTCTTCTATCTGCTTAGGACATAGCTTCATGGTACTTCCTCACTATAAGAAGGAGGAAGCTAATTTAAGATGAGGGCAAGTACAGCCCAAGACTGAGAATGATACTTGAGTTATGTCCAAGTGTGGCCACTTTCAAAATTATAACATTTTCGGGACTCATCCACTTCCTTCGAATGATTCAAGGCCAACATAGACACAAAAGACTCAGTCCCAGAAGGCTACAAAAGGTAGACACATTCTAATACCAACATAAGGAGAAATAACTGATGAGGACATGTTCTAAAGTAAACAATCACATGTGGAAGAAGAAGAGACTTTGAGGAAACACACACAAACTCATTTATCCCCTGACTTCCGATTATATACCTTCGTGCCGCGTGACTTCCACTCTTTGAGGAACTGCGAAGGATAGTTTTTCTTCAGCAACAAATCTCTTTTCTTCTACAACAGTTTTCTTAGAGACTTCAGCTTTAAGAAAGTGTTAAAGTTGAAGTTTAAAATCAAGAATTTTAACAATTCTCACTTTCTAGAATTTGGGGAAGAGTTGCACAGTACACCACTTTGACTAGCAAAATGGGAAAACAAGTTACATATCACAAGGACATAAACACAAAAGTTTCACTGCAAGTGAGACAATGGATCAGTATAAGCACAGACCAGATGGAAAAAGCAAGAATTTAACACACTCGAAGATTTTTTTTTTTTTTTTTTTTTTTTGTCAGAGGATTGAGGCAAATCCTACCTCGGGGAGGAGGAGCTTTCTTAGCGACAGGAACTGGCACTGCAACTTTCTCCTCTGGGACGGGTTTCTTAGGCAGAGCTGGCACTTTAGAGACATTATGCACTTTTAGAAATTTAATGTGATCTCATTGAAGCCCAGTGCAAAACAAAGAAATACACCCACAGTGCACTCATATCACAAAACTAACAAAATCACTGGAACATAAAGACAGTTCTTGGGAAGATGGAGAAACAATACCTTTTGGTGGTGGTGGAACTTCTTCCTCCTTCCGAGGAACAGGTTTCCTTTCTTCAGGAACTTTCTTCTTTGGTATTTCTGGCACTTAAAGGATAGTATTGAATTTTAAAATTTGTCAAAAAGGCCAAATAAATGAGCAACATAGAAGTGGCAATTAAAGAAGACATGCAATTAAAGAGGCTTGAAGGAAAGACAAGGTTATTTCATGGAGATGGGATTAAGTACCTGCTGGTGGTGGAGATTCCTCTCTTTGAGTTACAATGGTTATTTTTTCTTCTGTCACAACTCCCTTCTGTACTTCAGGAACTTGAAGAGACATTTTTAGAATTGACTTTATATTTTCTAAAGTAGCTATGCACAGTTATTTTTTTTAAGAAAGCAGACGGGTGGACAGACACTTTTGTTCAGTTCTCACCACAAAACATTCATTTAGAATTAAACTAACTCAATGAACAGATAATTAAACACAACATATTTTGTATCAAAGATAAAAGATAGGGCTTTACGTCGAAAGCCACTGTACCTTTAGCTGGGGGAGCTTCCTTTTTCTTTGCAACAGGAACGGGAATCTTTTCTTCAGGGACAGGTTTCTTTGGCACCTCTGGGACTTAAAGTTTTTGAAACACAATGTTAGTTCAGACATATATCACTTTTATGAAAGAACATAGGCACATGCACAAATCTTTATGTAGTACATTAATGTTGTTATGGATTATCTATGCATCAGCAAAATTATCCAGAAAATTAAACTAACTATACTATTCCAAGGATCACAATGTGATAAATATCACAAATAATGTTTTAGAGGCATTTAGGCAAAAATGAGTTATGTAACAAAGTTGTGCACAGAATTCATCCTTTATATATTGTATGACCTTGCTAAAAACAAATTAGTGATGACACAAACAATCAAGAATGTGGATATGGTATATAGAAAACTTCTTTACGCTTTGTATTGAGAAATGGAGTACTTAATAACAATGGCTTTAGTTTATCTAAGACTATTTTAGACTAAGACTAAGAAGTCTTAGAATAGTTGAATATGTGTAACTTACTTCTCTTCCCCACATTTCTCCTCTCATTTTTGGGGGGTGTGCCTGTAGTGAATTCAAAACTCAGGAAACACTCTAGAGTAGGTCTCTCAATCTGATACCCATGTGTTAATGACTTTACAGAGCTTTGTGTGCAGAATTTTGTGGGTATGTGTATTTGTGCTTTTTTTTTCTAAGGGGCTCTAGAGTTTTGAACAGGGTTTTCAACCTAAAAAATGTTTACAGTGTATTTGATTTATCTATTCTAAGAATGGATAATGTTGACTTTTTAATTGGAAGATGAATTTTAACAGCATGCATTATTGGCAATAATTGTTCTCATTTTAAATACAATATTGGCAGCTTTTGTGAATCCCTGCACCTCTGCACGTGCATTTGTAATATTTTGGTGCAATTATATAGCTGTTAATTTATATATGTATATGTTATGCTATATATACATGCAGTATTTATATATATATACGTGCTATTATACTATGTGTATTTGTTTTTATGAGTAAATGAGAGATGCCTCTGTGTCTCCTTTAGAAGACATATATGACTTTGCTGAAAACGAATTAGTGATTACACAAACAGTCAAGAATGTTCAGATAGTATATAGAAAAGGTTCTTTATGCTTTGTATGGGGAAATGTAGTACATAATAACAATGGATTTAATTTATCTAAGACGATCTGTCTCAAGTAGCTTTAGTATTAGTATTGGTTTTACTAACATGACCTTTGTATTTAATGGTTAGATAATCAAAAGAATTTTGAAAGAGCCAAGAGTTTGAGAAAGAGAGAAGCATATTTGATTCAGGAAGAAAATAGAAACATTGCAAAGTCAGGCCAAGGGAACACTATTCAAAATGTACTATTTTAGTTAGGTCTGGTTTCTCCTAAATTGGATAATGTTGAATTCTTGCTGAGTCTCTCTATAACTGAATGGATGCGTGCAATTGTAGCTTCAGTGCTTCAATAAGATAGTGCCTTTTATCGCCAAAAAAATCCCAAACAAACCAAAGCAAGGGATTTGTGATATACCACAGCAGCACATTTTCATTCAAACATACCTCTGTGAAAGGTACTTTGACTAGCTAATTAGATAACGGAAACATTTATGGCAAATACTGAAGCTCAGTTAAGGTCTCAAGAAAATGGTGAAAGTAAACTTCAAAAAATCTGTATGTTCCCCACTATTGAAGACTCGCCACTATTGACTTTTAAGAAGCGTGGTACTATGTACGTCTTTATGTAATTAACATTCAGTTCTGCCAGACACTCTCCAGTTGTCATTGCCTGTCTCCACCTCTTCATAATGCATGAAACTGCTTTTATTAAGAAAAAGTTACATTTATGAAGGATGAAAGGTTTTTTCCTAGAAACATGTCAGTAGAAAACAAGTTTCACAAACATTTCCTCTTTCTCTAAAAGAGGGAAGATATTAAAAATGTAAGATAGCAGTTTGACATAGTTACTTCCTTTAACAATACTTTTTGGTGATGTCTTAGGAATATTCAGTATAATAAATAAAGTATGTCAAGAGCATGGCACGGAAGCTGACAAACAGTAAAAACACAAGAAGAATGTAAAAGAGACAAAAGACAAAGGCAGCATAGTACATATGAAGATCGTAGAAAGCAAAAGGCTGGCACTTGGAGCAAAGAGTCTCCCCATCATTGGCTCTGGCGTACCTTTTGGGGGAGCAGCAGGTTCCTTCTTAGGCACAGGAACTGGCTTTTTCTCCTCTGGCACGGGTTTCTTGGGAACCTCAGGAACTTTAAAGATACAATTGTTGAAATAATGTGGAATATTCTAGTCACCTTCTGAGACATCTAAGATTACATTAAAGCATAAATCTTCACTAACAGTGTGAGAATTAGGAAGTAATTTAAATATGCCTACTTGTGGTAGAAATGAAAGCTAAATACCTCAACACCATATAGACATTACATACATTACACAAGCAGACAAAGACCCAGTTAGCGTGATCTGGAGTTTAGAAATGTTACCAATACTTGTATAACACATCACCACAAATAAATGAAATCAATATACACAGAATTAAATATATTATAGATGGTTTACAGATGCTATTTTGTTAATACACAGATCTTATAGAAAAAGATACAAGATGGATGCTAAGAATTATTTTTTTCACAAATATTATTCTACCTTTTGGTGCTGGGGGCTCCACTTTTTTAGGGATAGGAACAGGGGCCACTTCTTCTGGAGCTGGTTTCTCAGGTAGCTCAGGGACTTTAAAAGAAAAGTGCCATTTTTGAGAAAGTGTGCATTTGACAAGGCATATGTTGTTGTAAGACTTAGAATTAAATAGAGATTCCCTTTTTATACCAACTGAATGCAAGAAAATTATGCTTTAGAAATGAGAGTAAATGAAGATGGCTGAATGGCTAATTAGAAAATGTGACTGCTGTCACCTTTAACTGCAGAAGCCTCTACTTTGTCAGGAACAGGTAGGAGCAATCCTCCCTCGGAGGTGCCTGTGTCAGTTCCTCAGAAACCAGCTTTTTATGAACATCGATAACTATGAAGTTAGTTTTTTTTTTTGTAACCTTTACTTTTATAAAGCAGTTTCATAAATACAATTGCATTAGATTTTTTTGTGTCTTAAATGTTTAACAATTTGGGTGGGATGGAGGGGGTGGAGCCTTGATCTATAGTGCTTGCAGATTTCCGATTTCCAAGGTGGTATAAACACTCCCTCCCACCCTGGCTGTCAAGGTGATGTCATTGTCCTGGAGTTGGAAAGAGATGTGCAGTAGTACATTATATGGCATTTCCACCACACAGACACAAAGATGGAAACAATCTCAGAAACACAGATAAGAACAAAATGCAGTAAAATAGGAGTTTTGAGTATTTATTAATATTTAAAAATATACTTTATTGGACTGTAAATTTACATAATCTAATTTTTAATAATGGTGGTGTTAAACTACTGACTGGCAAAATTCCTGAAAATGTAACCATAGGCTCTGGTGAGCTAGCATGAACTGGCTCCAGGACACTGTATTTCCAAGTAACAGGTTACGAGATTGCAAACTCTCTGAAGCAGGGAATGGAGCCTCCCATAATTTTCACTTTTTTCCCCCTGTGCCTTCCTCATGGTTCTTCCCGTCCCCCATCACATCCTTTGTACATAGTGGCTATAGGTATGCACACTGTGACTAAATCTATTATTTAATACTAACATAAATGTTTTACTATGGTATTTGTACTAATTTTTATTAAAAGAGTTTAAACTTAGAATGAATTACTAATACCTTTAGGTGGTGGTTCAACCCTTTTGGAAATGGCAACGTGAATTTTCTCTTCAGTAACAATTTCCTTTTGTACCTCGGGGACTTAAAAAAATGTACATTTTAATTACTGATATGCCATGTTGTGGGTGGTAATTGTAATTTACAAAGAACATTAAAATAAAAATGAAAACAGAGACAAACATGAAATGAAAAAGATGACAGAATTTACAAGGAGACAGAAATGTCTACACGATCACAAATTAGACAACAAGAGGGATAAAAATCTGCCTAAAACCCTTCCATTTGAGCCCCCACATTCCAGTTTGCCTTATACCTGTGACTGACACCTCCTCCTCTGTGTGAGAAGCAAAGAACATCTTTTCTTCTGAAATAACCATCTTCTTTGTATGCACAGCTGGTACTTTAAAGAGAGTATTTCACATTAGTATTCCTTTTTTTTAGTACAAGACATCAGATCAAACACATGGATTTTATACTCAAGTATTTAGACACAGAATGAGTGGGTTAATATGGTAGCTTGAGAACAAATTCAGTATTGACAAGAAAACAAATCATGTTTTGATCTATAGGGACAAACAATGCATGCAGCCTTCATCAAACATTCTTAAATGAGAATCAAATAGACACAACTTCTTCACACACAATGTTGTGCTTTTCCAAATCTGTTAGGGTCTATTTCTATAAATAAGAGGACAGGGAATATTATATGCAATGGAATGCATTGCATAGTGAAGTTAGCAAACTACTAATTAAACACAAACCTTCTTTATAATAAAAAAATGTAATTTTTAAGCAGAACTAGAAACAAAGTAGATAATGTTACTATTTAAATTAAACATATGTGCAACTCAACATAAAATTTGTATTATGTAAAAATGTGCTGTTTTTGGTCGTTTCAGATTTGTGAGTTACTTAGCAATATATGTACACATGTCCATACACATAAATAAAAAAATTTTGAACTTGTAGCTGAAACACAAAGATGTATACCTTTCACTTCAATAACTTCTTCCTGTACTGGAGTCCGGGAAGGTTTTTGTGGAACAATCTTCTTTGAAACTTCAGGTACTTTAAAAATATGTACAAATATATTTGTATTTTGAAGAATATTGCTTTGCACAAAATTTAAAAGTATTTGATTATATAAATAACTAATGTGAGTATAGATCAGTAAACATATTACTTGTGTACATGGGTGCTAGGAATGTTTTAAATAATACCTTTGGTGACTTGAACTTTTTCTTCCTCCATTCTTCGAGAAGTCTTTTCAATTTTTTCAATTACTGGCTTCTTTATAACTGCAAGCATTTTAGAGAAATTGCAGTACTTTTAGAATTCCTATTAAAATTCTCTCTCTCTCTATCTCTCTCTCTCTGTGTATATGTGTTTATACACACCTATAAGTGTATATGCAGATACATGTATCATTTTTTAAAGAGAGAGATGAGTTCGGTTTTTTTTTCTTTGACCTTTACGCACAACTTTGAACTCTGGGTACAAGTTTCTGTACTTAACATATTTTGGTTATATTTAAGTTTACCATTACAATTTTTATCATCTTTTGATTTTTTAATGAAATCAATTAGATAGAAATTTTAAGAAAAAAAAATCATTCACAATAAAGCTTAGAGAAGAAGTTGTGCCTATTGGATTGAACTGCTGATTTATACATTGCTGCCAAACAAGCCATGATAATGATGTTGATGCTCTAGTCTATTTAAATATTTCTAATTACTTACCTTTAGGAGGTGGTGGTGCTTTCTTTTCAGGTACTTTGGCTGGAACTTTTCTCTCATGTGATTCTGAAATAAAAACACAGGAATAAGAAGGGATGCTTAAATAGGTAAGTTCTCTTAGGTTGTTAATTGCAAATGAGATAAGGTAAGGATAATATATAATCGTGTGAAGTATTATATTTGGGATCGTTATTACCAACACAATTCTTAGTGCTAGGATTTGAAGCAGGATCAAGCAGAGATGCAACAAGGCAGTAAAAGTAAAACTTGAACTTCTGCATTAGAAATTAGCACTTGGAATTTAGTGTTAGTAATAAGACTAAATGATTTAGCTTGTAATGTCAAAGCATGAAAGTAACTCTGAGGAAAATAACTTTTAAAAGATTTCTAACCTTAAAAAAATCTAAGATCATTTTAACTATTTCACATAAACTGCAAATCAGGTTCATAGCATTGAAAATTTAATGAACTGAGCAAAAATGAAGAAAAGAGGGAAACAAGTCATTCAGTTTATACATACCTTCATAGACCTCCTTTTGAACTTGAATTACTTCCCTTTCTTGGTAAGCCTCTTCCCACTCTTCCTCCCCTTCGTCATAGCCTTCTTCCCTTTCATAGTATTCTTGCCCTTCTTCAAAATCTTCTTCCCATTCCTCGTGAACTTCTTTTTTAGCTTCTACCTTAATCTCTTCATAGTCTTCATCTGGTTCTTCATAATAAGGTTGTTCAAATGGCTCTGTGTATGGTTCTACCTCCAGTTCGTCATAAGGTTCTTCGAAAGATTCAATGAAGACTCTCTTCTCCTTGTGGACTGCTTGCTTTTTCTCATACACAGCTTCTTTTTCTTTCTGAACCTCTTTCTTTCTGGTTATAGTCATTATTTTTACTTCTTCAGCTTTAGAGGATACATCAATGATTTCAGGAGCTAAAATAGATAAAGATACTATTAGCATATTAATTCTATCCATCCAACTGCTTCACTAAACAAAAATCTACCTAGTTAAACAACATCAGTATTTCAGATCTATTTTATTGATAATTTGTTTTTTTTTTTTGTATTGGTTCCATTTAAATTTTTGACTATGGAACATAGTAGAGTATCAAGATGCATTCTACTCTTGATTTGAGGATTTTTCCAGTATGAAAAAATGGATTCAATAAATATTATCAAATGGACACACCTTCTATTATTCCATGAGAGCTCCAGTTTGCAGAACCCCTAGTTTCTTCCAGTGGAATAGTTTTAATATTCGATAAGTTCATGGAATTTATATTTCATATTTATACAGTTAACCTTTTTAAAAAGTTCTGATTATTATTTCAAAAACATTTCTAATTTTAAACCTAGGTTTTTGACTATTGCATATGATCCCTTAGTCAGTTTCATAAAAACAACATTTAAAATTATGTAACCAAGTTAATTAGGTACTTTTAGATAACAGATTTTTAAAGTTCTTAAGGGCTCTCATTATTTATATGACTCTTAACATTTGTGTTAACTACAATAAAAAAATAAGGAATGGCCCTTCCTTTCTAGCCCTCACTTCTTCTTTCTCTGAGACCATTGCACAGAGGCAGCATAAACATCTGCCTGGGTTTGTTTTCCTGGGAAAGGGGCAATATGAAATAGCCATCATTTCTAATGCTAAATTTAACACAGCAGAGGAGACTCCACAACTTTCAATAAGTTGGAAGCCTAATATTTAAAATAAGAATAGTTAGCAGAAGTGCAAATCTCAGGAATAAACAGAATAAAAATAATTTATCTTTATTTACCTTTTGCTGGAATTAAGGTAGTAGGAGGTGGAGGCTTCTTGACAATCTCTGGGAGTTTAAAAACATAAAAATGTGTGTTTATTTTTAGATTACATTATTATTAATGTTTACTAATCCTCCACATCATTGTTAGTTGTTTGTAGGAGCTATGACTACTACTCATACACCAGCCCTTCCAGGAATCATAATAATGCTTCTATAATTTCCAAATCTAGCTCATTAGAAATGCTATGCAAGGCCATATTAACAAAAATCAAACATGCAAAAGGCCAAAGTTTGATTCTAGTTTAGATTGATTTAAGATCATTTAAATTGGTTCTAGTTTAGATTGATTTCTAATAAGTTAACATTAAGCATGAAGAGAATGTTTAATATGTCCAATGCTAAAAATAACACATTAGACTTTTTCAATTATTAACTATGAAGTTCATGAAATATCCATGCTTTTTGAGTGTCCTCTTATTCCATGATGTTTCACAAATGACCACTCAGAAAAGTCTGAATGATGAATGATGCCTTGTGTTTCCATATTTTCCTTCTTTATGGAGGTTGCTGTACTCTAATCTTAGTCAAATGAGTTAAAACTATTTGTTTAAATTTAGTTATCCAACTGTTTTCCTAAAAATCTTCGAGGATATATTGAAAGTTAAAGTGATTTGAATTGATCCTCCTTCATAAAGTATTTTTTCTTCAAATATTGATATTTAGATCACCTAAATCAGGAAAGATACTGAGGTGGGTTGCAGCAACCTCTTAAAATTAGCAGCAACCCTTGATCTTACATTGATGTGACTTTATCAAGACCAGCTGTTGGGTACTTCCATGTTCATTGCAGCATTATTCACAAAGACCAAGTTATGGAAACACCCTAAGTGTCCATCAATGGATGAATACATAAGGAAAAGGTGGTATATAAATACACAATGGAATACTATTCAGCCTTATAAAAAAAGGGAATTTTGTCATTTGTGACAACATGGATAGAACTGGAGATTATGCTAAGTGAAATAAGCCAGGCACAGAAAGACAAAGACTGTAAGTTCTCACTTAGATGTGGAACTAAAAAAGTTGAATTCATAAAGAGTAGAATGATGGTTACAGAGGCTGGGGATTTGAGGGAATGGGGAAATGTTGGTCAAAGGGTACAAAATCTTAGACAGAAGAAACATGGCTTTTCTTGAGATCTGTTGCACAGAGTGGTGAATATAGTTAATAATAGTGTACTGTACATTTCAAAATCGCTAAGAGTAAATTTCAAATATTCTCACCACAAAAATGTTAAGTATTTGAGGTGATGGATATGTTAATTGGCTTGATTTAATTATTCCATATTGTATTCACAGATCATAACATCACTTTGTACCCCATAAATATATACACAATAGTAAATAGTCAATTTACAATAAAATAAAAAAGAAAAAAAAAGAATAGCTGTTGGATTTCTGGGCAAGACCTTCTTTAAATTTTCATCCAGAAATAACCAGAATACACTGGTGTTGTCATTGGTTCCCAGGGGCTCAGGAGGACAGGAAAGAGAAAAGGGGGAAAAAAGGAGTTGAGAGAGTGAGGACTGAGTCAAAGACGAGGGCGAAAGTGAGTGAAGGGAGAGGTACCATTTTGTGATTGCAAACTCTTACCCTTCCTTCACCCTCCACTGTTTAGAATTTAAAAGTTTTGGCCAAGAAAAAAGTGTTAAGACTGCTTTTTGATTAATTATAATACCTTCACGTGGTGTCATCTCTTTGGGCTTTGCAACAACTTTTTTGGCATCTTTCTTCACAGCCTTTTTGGTAACTAAAAAAAAAAAAAAAGAAAAAAAAAGAAAAAATATTTCTGGTGTAAGTAACTAAAATGCTTTCAGGAAACTAGGAATTTTATTGAAATATTTTATTTTTCCATATGTTGATAGTAGCGAGATTCTGCATATTACTACAAGATATTTGTTTTGGAAAGATCTAGGACTAGATGCAAAAAAATTGTTTTGGAGGGATATAGAAAATGTACTGTGATCTTACATCTTCACTGATTTTATGTCTGCTGAGAGTTAAAGTTTTCAGAACATGGAGTGTGAATCTAAGTGATATCATAAATAGTAAAGTACACATTTTCATCTTTGCTTCATCCTTAGGGACGAACACAAATATGTTAGGAGGAAGAGTAACAAGTGGGTTTAAAGTCCTTTGTTGTGCAGCTGTTATACCTTAACCACGGTTCCTAATCATACTTGATTATGGCCTTTTGTATTCATGAATAAATAACACTCTTTTTTTTTTTTTTTTTTTTTTTTTTTTTTTTTTTTTTTTTTTTTTGAGACGGAGTCCCGCTGTTTAGCCCAGGCCGGATTGCAGTGGCGCAATCTCGGCTCACTGCAAGCTCCGCCTCCCAGGTCCACACCATTCTCCTGCCTCAGCCTCCCGAGTAGCTGGGACTACAGGCGCCCGCCACCGCGCCCGGCTAATTTTTTGTATTTTTAGTAGAGACGGGGTTTCACCGTGTTAGCCAAGATGGTCTCGATCTCCTGACCTTGTGATCCGCCCGCCTCGGCCTCCCAAAGTGCTGGGATTACAGGCGTGAGCCACCGCGCCCAGCCCACTCTTTTTTAATTTTTTTTTTTTTTTTTTTTTGAGACGGAGTCTCACTCTGTCACCCAGGCTGGAGTGCAGTGGCTCGATCTCGGCTCATTGCAAGCTCCGCCTCCCGGGTTCACGCCATTCTCCTGCCTCAGCCTCTCTGAGTAGCTGGGACTACAGGTGCCCACCACCACGCCCGGCTAATTTTTTGTATTTTTAGTAGAGACGCGGTTTCATCGTGGTCTCGATCTCCTGACCTCGTGATCCGCCCACCTCGGCCTCCCAAAGTGCTGGGATTACAAGCGTGAGCCACCGCGCCAGGCCTCTTTTTTAATTTTTAAAACATTATTTAACTTCTCAAGTTTCACAGTGAGTACCAAACTTAGCCATGTTGATACTACCAGTCAAAGAACAAATCATTCATTAACATAAGTTATTATTTTTGACAACAGAAATAGAAATGGAAATCCAATTTATGATTGTTGATTCTTGTTCCTCTCTGTTCTCACAGCTAGATAAAATGCTTATGTTCGTATGAATCATAAAAATGCTTCTCTTTGTTAATGAGGTTGCATTAGTCACAAAATTGGAAGTTTCTAATTGAATTTCCTCTAAGGCTGGCTGAAAAATAGGTCAAGCGTTTAATGCCAATTATAGCGGGTGTTAAGGGCCTACCATTTCCACCCCTTGAATCTAATACAGTAGTAGTGACTTAGCTATAGAAAAATGTGATTTTGACATACAGAATTTTTTCTGACCATGCTGGGAGAATTCTGACAGCATTTCTGAACTCCCTATAACTCCAGAAAGTCCCAGGAAATCTGTTGTCTAATTTAGTTGAGAAGCTTTGGGACACAAATACTACAACTTCTCTACTGAGTATTTGAGAGGAGCAATTCCTTGGAACACTTAAGATCTCTTTATTGGTGAGATCATGCCTTAGGTACAAAAGAAGTCAAATATTTCATAAGTATTCTAAATCATATTTTATGTGACAAAATAGTAAATTTTTAAGAGTAGTTAATACTATAAATTGAGAAAAGCCACAAGCTATAATTTGCAATTTGGCTGTAAACTACTATGGTTTATTTCTATAAGCTGCACTAGAAATTGGTTCCATTATTCTTTTTGTTATACATAGTAGTTAGGAAAATATGAAACATTAAATTAGTTCTCTATTAATGTTTCAGTAATTTCATTAAAATAAAATATTTTAATACCAAAATAGTATTTTGTTTGATGATTTTCAGAGTTTTAAGCACATAACTTACACATTTAGTTAGCTAATACTTTGAGAAAGTAATTTACATTTTGAAAGGCAATTCCACCTCTTGACCACTAGAGGGCCAATGCGTTGTATTAAGCAACATTTTTCGGGTCAGCAGAGTGAAATTCTTATTTCGACATCTAGGTAGATGAGGTATAATACCTTCAATACGTTTTGGTGGTGGTTTCTTTTCTTCGGGTGTTGGTAGCAAAAGGGGGATAGGAGGAGCAACCACAGGAGGGATTTCTGAAGAAAATAAATGCCGTTAGTAACATGTTTTAGTTTCTTATTTTGCGTAAAATATAATGAAAAGTCTCATGCATTTCTTTCAGTACTTCATAGGTATTATAGTACGAATTCATCAGTCGGAACAAATAAAAGTAGCATTTATTTATAACTGGAACTACTTTTTTTTTTTACTTTAATTTCTAATTGCTCACTGAAGAATATGACATGGAAGGTTTTGTTCTGACTCTGCTGCAGTTTGGTCGCTGGTATAAAATTTCGTACAGATTCCTAGTGCTAGAATATTGCTGCTCCAAGCTCAGATGTTGAGGTTCTGGGTCTTACCTTCTGGTGGCACTGCTCTGATAGGCATGGTTGGGATTGGAACTCTGGAGTCAGGAATATCTGGAAAGGGACATGTAATAAGCATAGAGAGACTGAGAACAAGCTATTTATTAGAAAACTAAGGTGTGTTTGATTTATTAGATCCTGAGATATGTCAGGCATATCTAATGGCAGAATCTAATATACAGACAAAATAATATTAGTATTCTTTTGTATGCAACCACGCAGGTAAGTTTTGTTCACTGTCAAAATTTGTTTCATTCTGTGGCTATTCTATTTAACATGATTCTAGCATCAGCTGAGTGAGACCTTATTATCTCTAATTTGCCAGACTCACAAGGTTTAACATTTTATTATTTGACTGAAAGTAATTCTACTGCATAACAGTTTTATTGAAAAATATTTTACCCAAAAGAGAAAGATATCTTATACATTTTAGTTTGGCTTCTGTGATTTACAAAATTATGCCAAATTTATTGTAAGCAAGGATTGATTTTTACAAAACAACTTACCAGGAGGCTTCAGCTCAAGTTTGATTTCTGCAAAATAAAAAAAAAATGATATTTTTGTGTTCAGAATGGTATAGGTAGGCTACGTGTTTCGAAGATGGCAGGGTGGCTTTCTGATGGCGCTACCTCACCTTTCGTCGTTAGGTACAGCTCTGCCGTGCTTCTTGCTTCACCTCTTGGCTCCAGCCGAGCGATGACCGAGTAGACACCTAGGGTGAAAAATCATCCAACTTTTGTTTTCTGATATGTTGCAAATAACACTTCTTTACTTCAATATACGTATGTGTTTATTTACACTTGTCTTTTCTAAAAAAGCATTCTAGATAGAATGAGAGCATGAGCGCATACAGGGTAGAAATACAGAAAACAGACGAGGCTTAAATTATACATTCACTGGAAAACTGTCAATGAAATCACCTTCATCGTCTGGGGTCACATTGTGGATGGTCATATAATGGCAGCGGCCATCATTCCTGAAGTTGTATTTCTGGCTCTCTGTCAGTTCTGTTGGTCCTTTGTACCATGTTACAATGGCATCATCAAAGGACACTTCACACTCAAAGGTGGCAGACTGATGCTCACTCACCACGATGTTCTGTATGCGCTTTGTAAACTGAATTGGTTCAGCTGTTTAAGTACAAAGAGGGTTCAAAGTTAGATTATATAGAGAGGAATTTCTTTTACTTGCTTTTACCTCAGATACTTAAAATCTCCATCTTTGTACCCAGTTATAAAATAGCAAGAAAAGTTCAAAAATCCAAAATGAGAAGAAATGCACTCTTCTTTGCATCACTAACAAAAAAGTATCCCAATTCTTAAGTGTATTCATGCTGGTCGAATGTAGCAAAGTGTAAAGAAATTATTGTGAGTTCTTAAAATATTTATATAAAGAACATACTAAAGAGAGCTAATGACCCAAAGTCAAATTAAATTTTAAAAGTGTTAGGGAACACAAACTTGATTGTACTCTACAACTTATTCCTCTGTGAAATTCTTTCTTGCCTCAGTAAAATAATTTTTGCTATTCAGGATCTATAATTGTTTATCTAATATGTATAACTTTTCCTGTAAAATAATTTCAAACGCAATCGGAAATCTGCACTTCTAAATTTCAAAAAGAAAAATTTTAGAGTTCAGAAATCTGCTAAGTACATATGGGCACAAACAAAGTATGTGTGTGGATGGCAGGAGTGCTTTCTAGAAGAGGCTGGAGGGGAGGGTCTTATATGTATAACAGTACCATAAAGTCTTAGAAATCACAGTACTCTGGTGAGCTCTATTTACTAAAGAATTATATTAAAAATATCAATTATTTAAAAAATAATTAGTACTTGCAGCTGGCCCTTTAATTTGAAAACCATTTAAAATACAACCAGTCACTGATATTCATTGTAAGGTAAGTCAGAAAAGTTGACATGCTTATGTAAATCCAATGTCATATATTTGTGTTTCAGCAACTACGAATGGGCACCAATAGCTGAAAGCAGATGCTATTATCATAGCCAAAATTTTTCTCAATACAGTTTGAGGGTGTCTTTGGAAAATGTGTATAATCAATTAGGAAATGAATGTTGTTACTCCTAAATTCTGAGATTTCACTTAATTTCAGAGATTCAGAAGGTTGAAACATGATCTGAAAATGAAATAAATATTTTTGAAAAATAGTTGCTAATTGCACATGACATGTTTATGTTATCTATATAATTTTGTACAGAGAAAGTCAGACTAAGTCCTATAAACAAAATATCAATTCCTAGCCAAGATCCTCCAGATTTACATCTATGAGATCTTGTCCTTTCCTAGCTTTCTTTCTACAATCCTAGATATGAGAATCATGAAATTTAGACTTTAGACAGAAATAACTGTTAAAGATTATGTCTTAGACTAGATTAAAATCTAAAAGAACGATGCAAAAGAACTGACACTCATTTGAATATTTCCCTTGTGCTTTTGTATGAACTTTGAGATGAATACTATGAGAACGTGTGTTGGGAAATAAGAACACATGACCACTTTGGTGTGTGTCTACAGGTAGGGTTGCAGGGGTCCTGCACAACATTTGCCATTGACCTATGCTGTACCCACAAGGACTCCATAGTGTTTCACGCACCTTCGATTCTGAGTTCTGCTGAAGTTTCAAGGTCTTCATATTTGCAGGTGTACTGACCCTGGTCTTCTGCTCGAACATCTGCAATGGTCAATTTATGGACTTTGTGTTCCACTTCTGTTTTATGTCTACCTTGGGGTTTAAGGATTCTGCCATTTCTGAACCATTCAGATTTTACATTTGGTACAGAAAATTGGCATGTCATGGTGCAAGTCTGGCCTTCTTTCAGAGTCACATCCTGAAGATGCCGTTCCCATGCAGGCTCTGTTCATGTGATACAACACGCATTTTGTTCAATATCACACGCAGATGTGCTCAACAGTAATTTAAATCTCACAAGTATTTCATAAGCCTTTTCTAACTTACCAATTACAGTTAGTTTAGCGCTAGCGATGTGTGGACCACAAACCAATCGATAATTGCCCTGGTCTTTAAGTTGACAGTTTTTGACTCTGAGTGTATGTCGGTCACCATCAATGCTTATTTCAAATTTATCACTGGGTTCCAGTTTTTCAGTTCCTTTGTACCACGAAAGCTTGATTTCTGGATAATTAATTTTAATGTCAATTTCAAAGACAGCATCATTATCTTTCAAAACTGTCTGATTTTCAATGTCCTTGATCAGAGTGACAGGCTAGGAGAATAAAGAATTAAAACACATTTGTTACTCCTTCCCTTATAATAATACTCAATAATAACTTGTTCATTTTATTATCAACATAATTCTTTTTACCTCTGTCTGTGACAGTCTTTGCTGAATAAATGATACAAGTTCCTCAAATTCCTTTTCGTCCCTCTCTGACCTCTCTATTTCCTCAATTTCCTGAGAAGAACAAAAATGATAGGCATTACAGATGAAACAAAATTTGATTTAGAGGACGCATGACTATATTCAGCTTCCATTCTGGATGCTGGTTAGGTCATATTAAATGACGTCATATAACTATAGGATTCTGGTAATTCAAAGGGAATATGTGAGATGTTTTAAATGTGACTTTTTTAGCATGATGCTATATATGAAGGAGCATACCAGTCTATGTGTCTCTTCTTCTTGGCTTTGCTTGAGCAGTTCAAATGCTTGAAGAAGACCTCGGAAGTCAGTGATTCCATACATGCGGGCATATTTTTCATATTCTTTAGGATCAACATTTTTGAGAAGTTCCATGATATCAATTTCCTCTTCTTCTCCAGCTCCTTTCTTTAAGATTGGAGTCCTAAATAAAATTTAAAAAGTAAGGATAAAACACCTGTCTTCTACTTATTTTTAATTGTCTATCATCATTCAAAGATTATATACTTCATTAAGGTTTTCTATGTTCTTTATTCAATAAATATTAATTTTACCATGTTAGCTGTGAAACAATTTAAAAATGTGGGTTTGGAGATGGAGTCGATTAAGATCAGATGGATTAGGACCATTGTAATAAAATATAGATGTAGGAATGAAAATTTTAAGAAGGGAAAGGATAATAGAAGTATTTCTGTAAACTTTATAACCAAAGAGCCTAGCTAATGAATTATAATATCAGAAAAAATAATAATAGCAATGGAAAACTTTAATAATAGAATAGTATACATATCACGGAAACGATGTGTGGAAATTGAGTGTGGATTTAATTTAATAATTATGTTGAAAAATGAACCATATTGAAATGAATGATAATTATGGAAAATGTTTAAAACAGTTGTTTTAGAGAACCATTCATAACATAAGAAATCATATATAGAAAAAAAGTTTCATACCTAGGCACAGACAATACTGGGGTTTCTTTATAGGCCATTTCTTTTTGTTTAAAAATCTTAATAGACATTCACCTCATTCTTAAAACTTTCTCTTAAATTCGGAAATTGATTCTAATGAAACAAGAACACCCAGATGTTGTGTATTTGCTTATCTGCTTCTGTGAAAATGTCTATATGCCTATGTTCTTTAACAATCTGAATCTTGAGATGGATGGCCCATGACTCTTGAGAGATTCTTTTTGTGAATGGGACATTACAGTCATCCCTCTCTATGCCTGGGAGATTGGCTTCAGGAGGCCTGTGGCCAGATGCTCAAGTCCCTGATGCAAAATGGCATAGTATTTGCATGTAACCTATGCACATCCTCCCATATGCTTCATCTCTAGATTACTTATAATATCTAATACAATGTAAGTGCTGTGTAAATGGTTGTTATGCTGTATTGTTTATTTGTATTTTTAAATTTTTTGTTCTTTAATACTTTCCACTGGGGCTGGTTGACTGTGGATGCGGAACCCACTTATATGGAGGGCTGATTGTACGATTTGTGGTTTTTATTGAACTCACTTTTTCAGCATTGCTCTAAGATCGCCTTCAATTTTCTCTTGTTTCTTCCTTTCATCCACCTGTAAGTTAACATTACTTTCAATTTCACCATGTTCGTTAAATGCCACGCATCGGTATAACCCAGAATCAGTTTTTGTGGTGTCCCTAATCTCCAGTTTTGCTTCATCGCCTTTTTGGTGGATGAAAACACGACCTCCTTGGTTCAGCTGTCTCCACTTCCCTTTTGTCCATTTAACATTTGGGATTGGGTCACCTCCAACTTTTGCAATGAAGGTCGCAGTGGTTTCTAAGGAATAATGAAAACAAGTGAATAAAAATTTAATTTTCTAAAATCAGTTCTTCCAAAATTAAATCATAAGTAAAAGGTATAAGATAGATGAAGATGTACTTCTCATGAAGTGCACTTACTTTCTACGACTCTGATACTCTGAGGTTCTGACACAAAAAAGAGTCTTCCATCTACCGCAGCTTTCTTGGTTGCTGG
This sequence comes from Homo sapiens, assembly GCF_000001405.40. Classification (NCBI taxonomy): domain Eukaryota; kingdom Metazoa; phylum Chordata; class Mammalia; order Primates; family Hominidae; genus Homo; species Homo sapiens. The sequence goes on from NC_000002.12 coordinate 178,706,938, forward strand.
GGCCACAGCTGGTTTGTCTGAAAAAACATTTACATGTTTTGTTACTACAATCACCTCAGAATTACAATACATATCCCCCTTTGTAAAATAAGCCTTAGGAGGTTGGCAGTTTGATAAGTAAGTACTGCAGAATTCTCTTTCTATGTAAGGGTGGGTTACAGAAGATAAAGCAGCTTCTCAGACATTTATGCTAATGATAGCTATCAAAGGTTGAACTATAATCATATTAGTAGTGTCAATATTTTTAGACTTGGTTTTATTTTTTCCAGGTGTATCACAACAGCCTACTTTCTATCGCATTATTATAGCATCATTTTTGGAACTGCGTTAATTACATCTTAATGGATATGGTGAAAAGAAGTTCAAGAAATAGGGTGGTAAACTTGTAGTAATTTCAGATACTTTGTATTGACATTATTTCTGTTAAATTACCTAATATTTCAATTATAATAAGGAGCCTACAAATTGCAGATGAGCAACAACTGATATTTCTAAAAATCTAATTCCATTTCTAGGGAAATCATAATAAGCAAATAAACATGAGTGGTTGCTGGCTTGAGCTGCATAATACTTTTGAGGTGTCTGTACCTTTAATGGTCACTTTTGATTTGGTAGTGTCACTTCCAGCCACATTTGAAGCTTTACACACATAATCTCCCGAATCTGCTTTAGCCACATCTCTGAGTTCCAGTACAGCTGTCCCACTAGCAAAGCTGAAGCTGCATCTGTCTGAAGGCTTTATTTCCCTGCCAGCCTTCAACCACTGGATCCTAATTGGCTCAGATCCCTGGACATGGCAGCTGAGCTGCACGTATTCTCCTTCACTCACTGTTACTGGAGTAAGGTGCTGATCAAATACAGGTGGCTTCTTAGGTTCTGGAATTGAAAAGGTATTTTCATGAGGAACATAAAGGCAAAAAAGTATTAAATTCCACAAGAGAAACAAATAAAGAGAAAAACTGGCCTCTAACAGGTAACACTGTTGCTGTAGTAGGACAGAATTATGTGCCTGGTTTATTCCTCTCTAAAGACAATAGTTTAAATTTGTTGGATTTTTTAAAAAGATAAAGGTTTAAAAACAAGCAAAGAACACATCACATGCTGCCCACAAATTGCCCCAGCCTCTGTGTCCTTACTAAGCACTGCAGACATTGGCAGTTACTATGAACTTCTTTGCCATATAGCACACTATTAATTCTCTCAAACCTGTGTACAGCGGTGTTTTTGCTGAACCCTGAAAATGAAGGGCTTATTTGGGAATTCTGCTTATCTCCAGCGGCAATGATTGCTACCCTCTAGGAAAGAAAGCTAGCATTTGAGTAATACATGAGCCCACATATTTATATGTGATTTTCTCTGATGTTCATCTTTAGCTATTAAATGCAGCCACAGTAGCATTTAAAATCCAATCTTAGCCCAAGGGAATTAGGAGTTGAGGCTCAGTGTTTAACTGAAGACCAATGATGAAGACATTGATGAGTAACATGATAGGAAGGCAATGTACAACTCAGTATTATGTAATGATTTTGTTCAATGGTTCTGAGACCTGTACCTAGAAAGAATAAGGCCATTTTTTTTGTTATTGCAAAGATTAAAACTTCTGATGTCTATCCTTTAAAAACATTTTATAAATAGCTTCAGAATTCTATAGAAAGCATTTATCTGCCCATGGTAAAACCATCATGAGTGTAAATCATGAAGATAAGCCACTGCTAAGTATATATTTTTCATTTTATAAAATGTGTTTTAAAACTAAATGCATCTAAATTCCACAAAATGAGTGGTGAAACTGGAATTTTAAGACAACTCAGTGATATTTACTTATTAGTGATATCAGCCTATTAATAATAACTTACTACCTGTGCACTGTGAGATAACTAACCAGATCATAAGAGTTGGTAATTAATTCCAGGCTGCTCTAGGAGGTTAGTTTTTAATGTGATTTTGATGAAGCTATGTTGTAATTACTGGAAGCCATTACAGTGAAGAGAAACAGATAAAGATATCCTTAAACAACATGGTCTATTTCATTTTCTCAAGCGATGATTGTGTATTTAAATATGTCTTCCATAATGATATGCAATGTTTTCTACCCATTATTTTTCTTTTTGGGCAAATGTTACCCTTTTGTCTGGGATTAATATTTGTTTGCAGGTCAAACGCTTTGGGCAATATACATTAAACAATAATCCTTTAGAAATACACTTGGAAAGGAGAAAGTTTCAGACTGTGATATAATATATAACTCAATAATAGTCAAGTTAATGTGATATTTGGTGATGAACATTAAAAAAATTTCAAAACAAATGTGCTTCATAAAAATATATGTCACATATGCACACATTTCAGAGTACGCTGAAACTTCTAACTACCTAAAGGAATTTTAGGATATGATTTAGAAACCTAAGATATTAGTCCGTTAAATGACACCTCCTTCGGGAAGCCACATAATTAAATTACAATAATTTATATTTTTAGTAAACATATGGAGTGATAAATACACAGTTAAATAATGTGTATTTATATTTGTTATAACTTACTTGGTCAAGATATCATAAGAAATGCTCATGGATATATAACAGGCAGTGAAGAAAAACACAACAGGTTGGGGCTGTGAGGATAACTCACCTTTGATGACGATTGAAGACGTGCACAGAGCAGAGCCTGCATCATTGGACACTTTGCATGTGTACAAACCAGCGTCGTTCATGCCTGCTTTCCTGACTTGCAGCACTAACGTGTTGTTCTTGAATGTTATTTCACAGTTAGAAGTTGGTTGTATCTCTATATTATTTTTGTACCAGGCAACAGTTATAGGTTGGGAACCAGCCACACGTCCCTCAAGTTTGAAAGAATTCCCTTCTGTTTCTTCTACTGTCTCTGAGAGTCTTTTAGTGAAACTTGGTGGGATGAGCCGCTCTATAAGAAATTGCAAGGATATATGAAGTAGAAGCTAGAAGCAGATTACTAATATGAAGCTTTTCAAGAAAAAAAACCCTCATATTTTTAGTTAAAAATCAAGGCTAACCAACTAAATACACTATATCAGAATATGTTCCTAAACATTTCAGCCTCCTTCTACGAGCTTATTCTAAACTGTTCTTTGACTTACAAGGTGGATGATAAGAAGTAACTCATGGCCATTTAGAGAATCACAAATTTGTAAAAAGAAGGGGTAGTCTCAGTATCATAGGGAATATATAAAGTTTTAGAAATATAGATTATAAGCTGGGTGTGGTGGCTCATGCCTGTAATCCCAGCACTTTGGGAGGCCAAGGCGGGTGGATCACTTGAGGTCAGGAGCTCCAGACCAACCTGGCCAACATGGTGAAACCCCGTTTCTACCAAAAAATACAAAAATTAGTTGGTCATGGTGGCAGGCGCCTGTAATCCCAGCTACTCAGGAGGCTGAGGCACAAGAATCACTTGAACCCAGGAGGCAGAGGTTGCAGTGAACTGAGATCACGCCACTGTACTCCAGCCTGTGCGACAGAATGAGATCCTGTCTCGAGGAAAGAAAGAAATACAGATTTAAAAAATGACTTCTTCTCTAGATAAACTTATTTCCTCTTAAACATTTTCTTTTCATTTGTTTAAAAATGTCCTAAATTGCATTCATCATCATAAAAACGACACCTTCAGGCTATACTACAAAATGATTACACTTTTGTTGGACCACTTGCAAAATAAACGATACCTTTTATATTCAGCTGAGCTGTGCAAGAGTCTTTTCCCACTTCATTCACAGCATAGCAGGTATATTGTCCAGAATCTCCTTTGTCTACTTTGAGGACTGTCAGGTGGGCGCTGTTTTCCAGATAACTAATCTGGTACTTTCCGCCACTTCGTATTTCTCTGCTGTCTTTGGCCCAGCTGACCTTTATCGGTTGTGTGCCCGTGACGTGGCACTCAAAGTCAGCACTTTCTCCCACCACAGCATCCACAGGGGCAAGACGGATGTCAAAGAAGGGTGGGTTCTTCCCCTCTAATAGTAGAGCAGAAAGACAAGGTTTCAGGCTCAATATCTGGACCATGTCAGTTTACTGAAATAGAAATTTCTCCCTAAGTTCATATTTGATTATAATACTTTAATTCTAGAAATGAAAGTTTAAGAATCCACAAACCTGTGAGAATGAGCCTGGCACTGGAAGAAGCAGAGCCTATAGGGTTTGTAGCTGTGCAGGAATACTGGCCTGCAAGGCTCCGGTCAGTTTTAAAAATATTGAGTGTGGCTGTATTGTCTAAAAATGATGTTTGTACATTTGGGCTGTCTTTCAATGGCTTGCCGTCTTTATACCAAGACACGGAGATAGGTTCTGATCCACTTATGGCACAATCAAAAACAACTGGCAGTCCAACTGTTTCTTGAACATCTCTCAATTGTCGAGAAAATGATGGTGGAAGTTTTTGCTCTGTAGGAACAGAATAAAAGTAACAAATACTTTAATTTACTAAATGCTCTTCTCACAATTATATATATACAAACGCACGTATATATGCAATTTCTATTAAAAATCAGGAATTATTAATGTCTCTTGAATTAACTTGGAGATAAAGAAAAGCATATAGATTTCTGGAGCAAAAGTATCACTCTGAGACCAACCCTAATGCACAGTAGGTGCAAAACAGTATGAAAACCAATAAAGCAATTGGTTGGCTGAAGGCATGTCTCTGGGCAAGCAGCAGATTCCTGTAATTTTAAAGACTGCCTTCTAGCAATTTGCATGAGATACTTACGGGGTGGAATTTAAAAATATATGGTCACTTTTTAAAAAAGATTTAATTATAGAAGCAAATGATTGCATAATCCTTCCAATTAAAGATTTAGTCATATTATCTCTCTGTAGAATCCATAGAAAAAGATAAGCCACTAACTGTAAATAGGATTACTTAAGCAGAATTTTAAGCCTTTGGAAAGATTTTCCTAAAAAATAGGCCTCCCCAGACATTTTAAATCTTGTTCAAAAGAAACACAAATTCGTTCACTTTAAAAATATTGCAATCACCTTGAACGGTAAGGAAAGTTGATGCAGAAACTTCTCCCACGCTGTTTTCAGCTTTGCAGATATATTCTCCACTATCATTAATATCAACCTGGTTGAAAACCAGTGTAGCAACATTATTCCTAAAATGCATTTTGTAAGTCGTAGTGGGTCTCAATTTTGTATCTCCTTTATACCAGGATACCCCAATTTCAGGGGTTCCAGCAAGCTGGCATTGTAGAGAGGCAGAATCTCCAACAGACACCTTAACCGGCTCCAACTGCTTGACAAAATACGGTGGTTCTGCAGCCAAGAGAGATAATCAATCAGTCATGAAGGAGACATGCCAGATCATCGATTGTATACAAAGATAAAAATGTGCAATCATGACAAACCTAGTATGAGTATTTGTGCTGAACAGGAATCTTTTCCAGAGGCATTTTCAATGTAGCAGTTGTATTGTCCTGCATCCTCTACTGTGCTACTTGGAATTTCCAGGATTGCCGATTTTTCAGTCGTAGTTATATTACACCTCTGAGAAGGAGTTACATTTATGCCATTTTTCTTCCAGGTAACCGAAATGGGAGGAGTTCCAGTGAATGTACCCTCTAGGATCAGGGGTTTTCCTTTCTCTATGCTGTAATCATTCAGCCTCTTCACAAATTTGGCTGGGGCTAAAGTGACCAAATTGAAAATATAAAATCAAACACATATACATACAGACAAAGACACATCTAATTACTAATCGTATAAATCTAGAAGAGCAGTCTGACAAACCTTTTATGTAGAGATGTGTTGTACAAGAAGCCTTGCCAGCTTCATTGCTAACTATGCAAGTATATTCTCCACTTTGTGATGTATCTACATCGAACAACTCCAGTTCAGCAACTGAATCCTCCAAAGACACGTTGCATCTGTCACCTGGTACTAGTTCACTGCTACCTTTGAACCAGCTAACACTGAAAGGAGGTGTTCCTTTTACGATACTTGTGAAAGTTACATTGGTCCCAGTTAAAACATCCATGGGATCAGGTTTCTGAACAAAAGATGGTGGTTCTAAACACAAAAGCACATATCAGAAAAGGTTTAGTATTTGTGAATTGTTATGACAAACATGCTTAATAAACTATGAAATGCAATTCATTTTACTGTTTTGTAAACTGACCTCTCACAGTCAAAGGAGCACTACATTCATCAGAACCAGCCATATTAGTAGCTATACATGTGTAGTCACCACTGTCTGATTCTTCCAGCATGTTCACAGTTAAAGCACAAGTATTATCTGTCAGGGTGGTCTGGTATTTCCTTCCACTACTGATCTCATTTCCTTCATGGAACCAGGAGACAGAGATTGGAGGTGACCCATAGACTTTACACTCCATTACAACTGAGGAGCCGGATAGACCATTTGTCTCTTTCAATTTTCTTGTGAATGAAGGAGGAACGGTTCGGTCTGAATGATACAAAACAAAACAAAACAAAACAAAACAAAAAAAACAAAGGACAACAATTATAAAATGACTTGAAGAGAGAACTGTCTTTTTGATGGACTATCCCTAGATCCATTTGGCTCTTTTGTGACGGTATTAAAAACTCCTCTATGGGTTCACACTATCAAAAGCTTGGAGAATCAGTGGGCAGAATGTGATGGTTGACTTGCTAGGGATTTTGTTCTCTCTTTGCCGTGAAGAATTATGTGGTGAATTATTTCAGCATAAATGAAGACTGCTTTAACCTTATCCAGGGACTATTTTTCATTCCTATCATCATTTTGGAAATTCCTCAAAAAGAAAGGGATATAACTTTTGAACATGGTTTTCTTCTAATTCTACAGATGGTATTGCCTCTGAATTTGCTGATTCAGAAGATGTCGGACTCATGTTATCCTATAGAAGATGTAACAACCCATATACATTTATGAAAATCAGGAACTACATTATTATAATGATGAAGGAAAAGCCCAAGAAATCAACCAACCTGAAACCTGCAATGAAGCTGTGCAGCTGTCTTTGCCAACAGGGTTCTGCACCTCAAAACTGTATACCCCACTGTCACTCGGTGCTACATTGATGATCTTAAGGCCGGATACTTTGTTGAAGAAGCTTATTTTGTATTTGTTGTCACTTGTTAGCTCTTTTCCATCCTTAAACCACTTAGTACTGAGTTCAGGGGTGCCAGCTACTGTACACTCCAAGGTACAGGTGTCTCCCGTGGTAACTTTTATGGATTCTGGCTTTTCTACAATTGTTGCAGGCTCTGGAATGAAATGTAAAAGATATCCATATTTTAAACTCAAATTGAAAAACTAAAGAAAATACAGATCCTGGTGAGTGTGTGCCTTGTATCTGTGATAACATCATCTTTTTACTAACCGAGAACGGATAGCGTGGCGAAGCACTCTTGCATCCCAGCATCGTTTTTGATCTGACAAGTGTATTTTCCAGCATTGGCTGGTTCCACTCTTGAAAACTGTAAGGTTGCAATGTTTTCTGAATAAGAAATCCATATGTTGTCACTTTCTCTAACGATTTCTCCCTTATCTTTGAACCACACCACTGAAATGGGTTCAGCGCCTTCAATGGTAGTCTGCAGCTGAACTTCTTTACCAACGACAGTAGATATGTCACTGAGCTTCTTCACAAATCTTGGTGGTGCTGATGAAAAAGGAGGAAAGCCTGGGTTTTAAAATTTGTGAGACTGACAGCATTTTGCTCAAATCGTGAATGCCGGGAATCAAACTAGTGATAATGTGTTATTTCCATTTAAGAGGCATTTTTGGTGGATGCGAGCAGGGACACATTAAAGTTTGTATTCAGTAGGAAAGTTGAATATCTCATCTACTCCAGCTTTCTTAATCCAATCAAAACCTAATTACAACATTATCTAAAAGGATATTCAGTAGGATTTGGAAAAGGGAAGCAGACTAAACAGAAAAGGACTTGGAGAGGAAACAAAGGGAAAGTGGAATAGGCTGCTAGTGATAAGACTGGGCTGGGGTGGAGGGGGCAACAGAGTATTACAATTAGAAGGGAAGTAGTGAGCAGAAGTGAATGCAGTCCATCTAACCTTTGAGAGCGATGGAACCAACGCAAGTGTCGCTTCCCACATCATTTGTGGCTTTACACTGATATTCCCCAATGTCTGCAGCATCGACATTCAGGATGTGGATACTGGTTAGGAAGTTCTCAGACATTATCTTGTACTTCTTGCCGCTCCTAAGTTCTCTCTTGTCTTTATACCAAGAAACGTGAAATGGGGGAGTGCCCTGAAGCTCACATTCAAGGTGAACATCAGCTCCTTTCAGTGTCTCTATAGGATGAGGCTTTTTGCGGAAAATGGGTGGTTCTAAAATTGGAAAAAAGGAAAATACGGATGTATTCTGTAAGTATATAGTTAAAAGTAAGAATCAATCTTCCACTCCATCAGAGAGATAGAGAGTGAAAAAAACACTTTCAATTCTTTGTTGTGTCCTTTCCCTATTTTAAAACATCGTTGAAGAGTCAAACAGGAAGTTAAGAGGACAATTAAAGAGGAGGCTAATGTGAAAAACACACAGGTGGGGAGAGCGCTGACCTTTAACTTTTAAGGATGTGCTGCTGCTGGCACTGCCTGCTGCATTGTGGGCCTCACAGGTGTAGTCTCCACTGTCTTCAACACTGAGATTGTGCATTTCCAGCACAGCCACCGAGTCAACGAATGACATTCTGAATTTACTGCTCTCTTGAATTTCAGTCTCGTCCTTATACCATAAAACTTTGATTTCTGGAGACCCACCGATTTTGCATTCATACCTTGTGAATTCATCCTGTTTCACAATTCTTGAAGGTTCTAGCTTCTTAATGAACCTGGGTGGTTCTATGGAACCAAGAGGAAAAACACAGGGTAAGGGATGGAACAGATGCATATAATTCAAGATGAGGTGGAAAAAATAATCTTTGCTAGAGAGGTCTTTAGCTCTGGAAAACAAATTTATGCAGTTCAAGGAAGAAGAGTTAAATGAAACCTAAATAGAAAATTTCTAAAATAAAATATGCTTGTTTTTGTAAGCATCCACATCAAGTATTATTACTAAAAGAAGGAGAAAAAGACATTACTCTTTATTGTGCCATCCTCTCCCCAGCAAAAGAGTCCCTTCTCTAGTGCCAAGATCAGAGATAATAGCATGTATCTGTCAGTGGAAGCCCTCTGAGGTCCACGGGGAATGAGAATTTGATTACTGTCTTGTATATGAACCAGTGGAGAACTATTTCCTAAGGCTGCAATGCTATCAGTTACATAGCATGAAGAGCCGGAATGGCAAAGTGGGTCAGATATCTTAATATTTTTAAAATGCCATTTTCCTCTTTTAGGTGTTAAATGGGTATTTCCTCAACCTTCATAATTTTCCTTTGAAGTGTGTGAGAGTAATGATTTCCTCATTAACTGAAGCAAAAAATTCAGGCATAGGGAAGTAAAAGTGATTAGCTATATGTCATAGAGCAAATGGGCTGCTAAATCTAATTATATTTTAATTTCAAGATATTTATAAACCACCACTACAAAAACCCTTAAAAATACTCTAATGGACTAGACTAGCAGTCCATTGAGTGAACTATTTAATTTCTGACAGTAGCAGCGATAAACATGTGGCAGAAACACATGACTGCCTTCCATAATAGCAGATACTGATCTACTTACTCCCCAGCCCCTGACCTCCACTATTATTTAAGTGGGGCTAGTGGAGGAAAGTAAGTTGAACTTATCATTCTCATCTGAATTCTCCTTGAAGGGCTTGATAGTTTGGCTCTTTGCTATGCCTTAGAGGGACAAAATCCATTCATTTACTAAGTACTGTGGGAAAAAAGTCATTTGCAATAACTTCGCTTTTGTCCTATGATACCGTCTTTCAAACTAGGATTTTCTTGCAATTTTGTAGAGTTTCGGTTATCTCTCTCTAGTCTCTATTTTTAGTCTCTTAAAATGGACTTTTGGTCCATGTTTTCCTAGTTTTAAATTTTTTTTTTAAAGTAATTAAAAAATACTTGTCTCCATTTGGAAGGTCCTTGATCCACTTGATCCATTTTCATCACTAGACCCTGGTCCTAAACATAGCTCTCTCTCAAGCACACCCACCCTCCTATATTTTAAGATACTGAAAATGTAAAAGAGATCTTGCTCCTTCACTCTAACAAGTACCTTGTACACCCAGCTGAGCAGAACAAGAGTCTTTTCCAGCGATGTTGCTTGCATAGCAGGTGTACTGCCCGGCATCGCCTTTGCCTACTTTGAGAACTGTCAGAGTGGCAGTATTTTCTACCAAAGTCATCTTGTAGTTGCCTCCAGGGCGAATCTCTCGGTTATCTTTGGCCCAAGTGATTTTGATTGGTGCAGTCCCAGTTACATGACATTTAAAAGTACCACTTTCTCCAAGAGCAAGATCTACTGATACAGGCTTTAGATCAAAGAAAGGAGGCACTTCATGCTCTGAAAAGAATGAAGACCAACATGGTGATTTTTATTTCCATGCTCTCACATACAGAGCAGAAACTAAATGGCACCAGCCTTTTGGTGGCCTGGAGCAGTGAAGCTGCTTTACAATGAAGAGGGTACTGTGAGTTACTCACCTGAGAGAATGAGCTTGGCACTGGATGAAGCAGTCCCAAGAGGATTAGAAGCAGAGCAATTATACTGCCCTATGTGGCTCTGGTCAGTTTGTAAAATCTGAAGAGTTGCTACATTATGAACAAAAGATGTCTGCAAATTAGCATCATCTTTCAAAAGAACCCCATCCTTGTACCAAGACACTTGAAGAGGTTCTGAGCCATTGATGCGGCATTCAAATGCAACTGGGAAGCCTAGAGTCTCATGAACGTCTTTCAGTTTTCTTGCAAAGAAAGGTGGAAGTTTGCGCGCTGTAAAGAAGTTACAGATAATCCTTATTTACAGGTGAGAAGGCATCCACAACATATTTCAATTCATAAAAGTTTTAACGTTTTTAAGAAAATGAATCTGTTCACACACACTAGGTTAAACAACACCATCACCTTTGATAACAAGCACAGCTGAAGAAGCGACTGCCCCCACACTGTTGTCTGCCTTGCATGAATACTCTCCCACATCACTGTGATCCACTTTGTTGATTACTAAGGAAGCAACGTTATTTTTGAATTGCATTTTATATGCAGGAGCTGATCGTAGCTTTGTGTGTTCTTTATACCAAGAAATTCTAATTTCTGGAGTTCCATCCACTTTACACTGTAAAGTTGCAGGTTCTCCAATGACTGCTTCCACATGTTCCAGAGGTTCAATAAAGTACGGTGGTTCTATGGTACAAAGGATGGTAGTCAGCAAGTCAGTCATGCCATGTAAAAGAGGATGTTTGAAAAGAAAGAGAGCAATAAAAAGAGGTAGCTGTCAACACACCTAAGACAGACACCAGAGCTTCACAGATATCTTGACCAGCCTCATTTTCTATCAGGCAGCTGTACTGTGCATAATCCTCTATTGTGCTCTCAAGAATTTCCAGTATGGTAGATTTTTCTGTCATAGTAATACTGCATCTCTCAGATTGTGAAATAAGATACTCGTCCTTTATCCAGCTCACTGAGATTGGAGGTGTGCCAGTGTATGTGGCCTCGAGAACTATGGGGCTTCCTGTCTCAACACTGAAATCAGCCAATCTTTTCACAAAGGTGGCTGGTTCTATAAGGAGAAAACATGTGGGTAAAATTCTTGCCTTCTAATGAAGACTTAAGAGAAATTTTAAAAGATGTATATATTGGGGGAAAGAGCAAACCTTTCACAAAAAGATGTGTGGTACAGGAAGCACTGCCAGCATCATTTGTAACGAGGCAAGAATAGTCTCCACTTTCTAATGGCTGCACCTCAAACAACTCCAGTTCTGTGACAAAATCTTCCAGAGAGATGTTGCATGACTCCCCAGGCACCAGTTCCCTGCTGCCTTTAAACCACTTGACCTTGAAAGGAGGGGTGCCTCTGATGACACTGGTGAATGTGAGGCTCATTCCAGGCAAAACTTCCACAGAATCAGGGGTTTGTTCAAAAGATGGTGGTTCTAGATATTGCAAGGCGGAAGGGGAGATAAAGAGAAGAAAGAAATCCAAGTGAGAAGTGCTTTTGCTCCTTAAAAAAAGGGAGCTAAGACTAAACATGAAGACAAAATAAAGAAACTCCAGGGAAGGCAGGCACCACGTCCACATGAAAGAGGTGTTAGAGAAGCAGCAGCTTTATCCTTGCACACTGACCTTGCACAGTCAGGACTGCTGAGCACTCATCGGAACCAGCTACATTGGCAGCCACACACGTGTATATGCCTGTGTCGGAGGGCTCCAACAAGCTCAGATTCAAAGTACAGACGTTTTCCGAAAAGCTGGACTGACATTTGGGCCCACTAACAATCTCATTTCCATCCTGAAACCAGCCAACTGAAATCGGGGCTGAGCCAGAGACTCGGCACTCCAAAACAACTGAGGCCCCCAGGATGGCATTCACGTCTTTCAGCTTGCGGATGAAGGAAGGAGGCACAATCCGATCTATGTGGGGAAGGGTAGTTTTGCGTTTAAAGAGAAGTTTTATTCTGTGCCCCTCCACCCCCTGGAAATATTGTATATTCATAAAAATCTCATTCTACTCACCAGAAACATGGACGGATACAGTGCAGTTACTTTTGCCAACACTGTTTTTCACTTCAAAGCTATATAATCCTTTGTCACTCATTTCGGCACAGGGGATTTTAAGGGAAGCCACTTTATTGATGAATGTAATGTGATGTTTGCTGTCTGCAGACAATTCTCTTCCATCTTTGAACCACTTGGCTGAGAGTTCTGGTGTTCCAGTCACTACACACTCTAATGCAAAAGGATTTCCAGTAGTGACAGTCATGGGTTCGGGCTTCTCTATGATTCTTGCTGGTTCTAAAAGAAGAAGTATTTTGCATTGAAAACAAAGTAACCTTTCAAACTCAAGAGTGCAATCACTGAATTACTGGATAAGAGGAATATTTGAGGAAAATGATCATGGATCAAGTAAATTGATTTTTTCTCTGGCTGTGCTTTGCTACTAACCTAGTACAGTCAAGACTGCAGAGCATTCTCTCATTCCAGCATCGTTTTTGATTTGGCATATATATTTTCCAGAATTAGATGCTTCTGGACTCCCCAGCTGGAGGGTTGCAATGTTATCAATGAATGAAATCCTGGTATTTTCACTCTCTCTGATGACTTCACCTCTATCTTTCAGCCAGACAACAGAAATTGGCTGGAAGCCCTCCACTATGGCCCGTAACTCAACAGCATCCCCAATAAGGGTTGAGGTGTCACTTAGCTTTTTCACGAATCGTGGAGGTTCTGATGAAAGAAATTTGTGGTTAGAGGAAAAAATGTGAGAATCATGGCCACACAAGTTATTAGTTAGGCAAGAACAGATAGGAGGAAGGGGCATATATTTTTGTGTCCATGTATACAAACCTTTGAACTTGACAGAGCAAGAACACGTGTCACTTCCCACCTCATTAGTAGCTTTGCAGTGATATTCCCCGACATCGGAGGCTTCAAGATTAAGGATATGAAGACTTGTATCAAAATGTTTTGAAGTGATTTTAAATTTCTTGCTGTTTCTAACCTGCTTTCGATCTTTAACCCATACTACTTCAAATGGGGGAGTTCCCGAAATTTCACATTGGAGAATCACATCAGAACCTTTAAGAGCTCCTACTGGAGAAGGCTTCTGGGTGAAAACAGGAGGTGCTACCAGAAAAAAGGAGATAAACAATGAGAACACTTGCTTACTATAAAGGAAAAAAAAATTAAATCTAGAACCTTGAAGAGTGACTGGTGTGATCATATGACAATACATGCTGACACAAGAAATGACAATTCATTAAAACTTGTTGAAGAATTGCAACCAAATAACCTTAATTATCCTTTTATTTTGGAACTCATAACTTTGCTAAGAGCCCAAATCAGAGGAGAATAAAGAAACAAAGAAGCTTAGTGTGTCTAACCTTTCACTGTCAACGCTGTGCTGCAGCTGGCGTCACCAACACCATTATGAGCCTCACAAATGTAGTCCCCGCTGTCTTCAGCACTAGCTTCATTGATCGTAAGCAATGCCACAGAATTAATGAATGACATGTTGTATTTCCAACTTTCATGAAGTTCGCTGTCATTTCGGAACCATGAAACTTTGATTTCTGGGGAGCCACTTATTTTACATTCCAGTTGAATGGATTCTCCCTGCTTTGCAACTTTTGAAGCTTCTAATTTCTTAACAAACTTTGGAGGTTCTAGTAAACCAAACAAAACAGTCAGTAAGGGATATTTATTATACATGTTAAAAGAGCTTGTTTTTGTAGCTGAAGATCCCATAAATTTATATTTAAACTGGTTTGTTATTAAGAATATACTTTCTGAGGATTTTACAGTAAAATAAGTTATCTTTTAAGTTAAATAATCTCATAACATTTTTTTTTTAGTTTTTTAAAATTTATTATTATTATACTTTAAGTTTTAGGGTACATGTGCATTTTTAATAGAGAATTTAGTTGATTCTTTTTTTTAGTTTGACTATGTAAGTTAAAACATAAAAGTTAATGTATTATAGATGTATTTGATCAACATTTAGTAATGATAAATCAGAATGCCATATAACAAGAAAGCATTAAAAAATGGACTAGATAGTTAAAACAACATTTAACAAATTTCAATTAAACAATACTTTTTGATAAGATTACACTTAGAGTTACACTAATGTAAAGAACAATATAAAGAGAAAACACAACTTTGATTAATGTTGCCTCCAACACTAATACACAAATTCTAACATGTCCAGTTAGTTTCTCTCAAACATTTAAAAACCAAAGAAACTTTTATAAGACAATTATGCAAATATGGTAAGGAACAAATATTGTCAAAAGTCATGGAATGATACCTTTTACACTGAGCTGAGCTGAGCACATGTCTTTGCCAACATCATTGGTTGCTTGGCAAGTATATTGACCAGAGTCTCCTTTGCCTACTTTAAGAATTCTCAAATGAGGAGTGTTTCCCACACATGTGATTGTATAGTTTCCTCCAGGACGGATCTCCTTGTTATCTTTTGACCAAGTGATTCGCATCGGTTGAGCACCAGTAACATGACACTCAAAATCAGCACTTTCTCCAGCAATAACATCTATAGATACAGGCTTGATGTCAAAGAAGGGAGATTTCTTGGGTTCTGGAGGATGAGAAGAAAGGCAATGTGTATTTTTTGTTTGTTTTTTTGCCATTGGTCGTTTCTACTTTGACAATGAAATATGAAGCCACAGTTTGCAAAGAAAAAGAGTGACGTGTGAACAAACCTCTTGCTGTGAGTCTAGCACTAGAAGATGCTGTTCCAAGTGGGTTGGAAGCTGAGCAAGAGTACTGGCCAGAGTGACTCAAGTCAGTTTGCAAAATTTTTAAAGTTGCCACATTATCTACAAATGAAGTCTGTAGATTTTCATCGTCTCTTAAAAGTACTCCATCTCTATACCAGCACACTTGGATGGGTGCAGAGCCATTTAATCGACAAGTGAGTGTAACAGGTAACCCCACAGTTTGTTCAATGTCCTTTAATTGTCTTGCAAAAGAAGGTGGGAGTTGGCGCTCTGTAGGGAGACATGTAATACTTAAGGTGTTAGGAGATGAAATGAGAAGTTCACCATAAAGATACAAGAGTTAAGGAAAAAAGAATTTTTTTAATTTGTAAAATATCATCACCTTGAATTCTGAACACAGTCTTAGAAGAAGCAGTTCCTATACTATTTTCTGCTTTGCATGTGTACTCTCCACTGTCATTGATGTTCACTTTATTAAAAACAAGTGTGGCCACATTGTTTGTAAAGTAGGTCCTGTATTCAGGAGTTGGCCGTAATTTGGTATCTCCTTTGTACCAAGACACTGTAATTTCTGGTGTCCCAGCAACTTGGCATTGTAAAGAAACCGAATCTCCAACTGCTGCCTCCAGAGGTTCCAGTTCCGTAACAAAATAAGGCGGTTCTAAGGAAGAAAGGCTCACAGTTAGCAACTGGAATTAATGAATATCAAAGAAACTATGCTACATGTTAGAAGAATGCAAATGATTTAAGAGACAATAAGACAACACACCTAATGTAGATACCAGAGCTCCACAAACATCCCTTCCTGCCTCATTTTCAATCTCGCAGGAATACTGCCCTGCATCTCTTTTTGTGCTATTCAGAATTTCCAGGATACAAGTTTTCTCTGTTGTGACTATGTTACATTTTTCAGAGGTAGTTATGTTAAAACCATCCTTTTTCCAAGTGACAGAAATTGGAAGTGTTCCAGTGTAGGTGCTCTCCAGAATTATGGACTTCCCTGGTTCTACAGAATGATCACTTAATCTCTTCAAAAATGCAGCTGGTTCTAGTAAGTGACAAAGCACAGCAGTTAAACACAAGAAAAACACAAGGATGTCGGTATACAGAAAACAGAAAAAGTGAATCCACTTGAGCAAACCTTTCACAAAGAGACGGGTAGTGCAAGATGCTTGGCCAGCGTTGTTAGAAACCACACAGGTGTATTCCCCACTCTGAGATATGTCAATATTAAATAATTCCAGTTCTGCCACAGTGTCTTCAAAATAGATGTTGCACCGGTCTCCTTTCACTAGTTCTCTGGCACCTCTGAACCAGTTGACTTTGAATGGAGGGGTTCCTCTAATAACGCTTGTGAAGGTTACATTTTTGCCTGGTAGTACTTCCAAAGGTTCAGGTTCTTTCACAAAAGAGGGTGGTTCTATATAGACATGGAGAACAATTAAAAGATCCTGTAAGCTTCAGATGGAGTTGCAATTTTGAATAAAACATTAGAGCACTTTCAAATGTTTGTCAACATAGATGTGCACCTGAAGAGGAATTTGTAAGAAATTCCTTACAAGTTTGACTGTCTACTGACCTTGTACAGTTAGCACTGCACGACATTCATCAGACCCAGCGACATTAGCAGCCACGCATGTGTAATTGCCCATATCTGAGGAATCCAGAGAATTCAACTGCAATGTGCAGACATTATCTGAAAATGTGGTTTGGTACTTTGCTCCACTGACAATCTTGGTTTTCTCATGAAACCAGGCAACTGAAATAGGTGATGATCCAGCTACTTTGCATTCCAAGATGCAAGAAGCACCTAACACCCCACCAGTATTTTTCAGTCTTCGTGTGAAAGAGGGAGGAACTGCTCGGTCTGTGTGAGGAAAGGTAAGAGACTCATCATGATTTGAAAGAATAGAAGAGACTTGAAAGAAGGAAACTTGTAAAAGGAATTTGCATAAGCAACCAGAAGAAAACAGCAGAACTAACCTGAAACATCAACCACAGCTGTGCAGCTGCTTTTCCCAACATTATTTTGAACCTGGAAAGTGTATGTGCCTGCATCTTGCCTTTCAACTGAGAGAATCCTTAAGGAAGAGATTTTGTTGTAGAAGCTAAATTTGTGTTTTTGGCTGCTGGTCAACAGCTTTCCATCCTTGTACCATTCAACAGAGAGTTCCGGAGTGCCAGCCACCTTACACTCCAGAGTGCACGTTTCTCCTACAGTCACCGTCATCGGTCCTGCCTTCTCAACAATGACTGCGGGCTCTGAAATAAAACGTGATATCCATCTGTCAAAGTCTGGGATCTTTACTCTGTCTCTACTATCACATTCACTAAGATTGTTTCTCCCAGTGAGATGGTTATGTTAGGGTGCTCTCTCTCTCGACTTTAAAGTGTGATTCCATAATTACATGCAGTCATAGAATTATAGCTATTTTTTATTTTAATATTTTTTCTTTTCAGTTTTTTCTTTATTTTTTGTTTTTCCCACCACTCTTGCTGTCGTCTTATGTAGCAATTATTCTTAAGAAATATATGTTCGTGCATGACTCAACTTCAAAACAATTTAAACAATGTGCATTAGATAGTATATATTGATTTCCACTTGACCCTCTGTAGATCAAAGTCTACAGGTTATTGTGAATTACTTGGTATTTTTGCTCTACCTTAAGGTGCTAAAGACAATTCTTTGAAAGTTGTTATTCAAACAATTGTTTAATTGTCATTAATTTTATGTGGAAGCTTTGCTATCAAATGCCAACCTTTGGAGTTCTTGTTAGTTTTAACAATTACTCTTGTAGCACATGCTGGGCTCTGTATTCTTTCATGCTTAATCAAAGAGAGTCATGATTGTATCTGCTAATTGATATAGACAGGTAGTTATTAAACAATAAAACAGATGTCTAATTTTTGTTAGAATCACAGAAACAGAAAAGAGTGTTTGAAAGATCAACTATGTCTTTCCTCTAGACCTTTCAAATAGATGAGGATAAATATAGTTCTAGAAGAAACTCAGAAAAAGAATCTGCCAGTAACTCTTAGTAATTCATTCCAGCATTTGGCACCAGTTTCTATCGTGGGCTATTGTACCAACCTAAGACCATCAGTGTGGCCATGTTCTCCCTCATTCCACCATCATTCTTGATTTGGCAGATATACTTTCCAGCATTAGCTGGCTCTGCTTTTGCAAACTGTAGAGTTGCAACATTTTCCACAAATGTAATCCTGATGTTTTCACTTTCTCTAATCACTTCTTCCTTCTCTTTAAGCCACTGGACAAAAATAGGCTGGGCGCCTTCTATGGATGCTTGTAATTCAGCAGGC
This sequence comes from Homo sapiens, assembly GCF_000001405.40. Taxonomy (NCBI): domain Eukaryota; kingdom Metazoa; phylum Chordata; class Mammalia; order Primates; family Hominidae; genus Homo; species Homo sapiens. The sequence goes on from NC_000002.12 coordinate 178,725,598, forward strand.
TCTCCGGCTACAACAGTGAGGCTGTTCAGTTTGGAGACAAATCTTGGTGGTTCTGAACAGGAAAAGATGGATGGAAATTGTTGAAAAGATTGTCCAGATCATGCGAGAGTGAAAAAAGTAGGATTTTGCACATTTATGACATTTCTGCCATGTGGATGAACTATATTTACCTTTCAATTTTACAGTACAAACACAAGTATCACTTCCCACTTCATTCTGTGCTTTGCAGTGGTATTCACCGATGTCTGAAGTGTCCACATTGAGAATGTGAATACTTGTGTGGAAGTTTTTGGATGCAATCTTGTATTTCTTGCTGCTTCTGAGTTGCCGCTTGTCTTTGTACCATACCACCTCAAACGGTGGTGTTCCCGAAAGTTCACATTCAAGACTGACTTCAGCATTTTTAAGGGTTTCTACTATAGGAGGGAAGCTGCTAAAAACAGGTGGCTCTGCAAAAAACAAGAATTTCTCATGAATTGGGCTACTGAATTTCACAAAATGAAAATTTTTTATTTGTCTTTAAATTGGAAGAAAGGTTTAAGATATTCTAATGGGTAAGTAGAGTCCAGCACTAACACTCTCATGGGATAACAGCCTCAGAAGCCATTTGCCTTCACAAGATAACCAGCTAGATGGGCAGAGAACCCAGATAGATCCTAGATGTCGTTACTGAACAGTTCAACATTCTATCTACTACACCTTACTGATGTATCTTAGGCTACAAAGATTGATACAAAAATTGCAAACAAGCAAGTATAGCAATAAATAATGATTTGCATGAAGTATGGAATTCTAATTTCAAGGATGATTTTTTTTGTATATGTTCTATAACAGACACTTGGAAGTCATCACAACATCCGTGATCTAAGTCTTCCATTTCAGCAAATGATTACTGCAATAATTGTCTTAAAACAAGACAAACTTGGCCTTTGTGACAAAAAAAAAAAGCACTGGAAAATTGCAGCAAAAAAACACAGATACTATTTGTACCAAGGTATAGTCATATAATTTTTAAAGGATAGGAAGTGATCCTTGAGAGAGAAGGAAAAAATATTATTGTCCTGTTTTAAACATAAGTTTAAAACCTGTATTGCTTTCACTTTGCATAGATATAGTAAAAGTGCTTGTTATTAATGATATAGATTATAGTGAGAATGATATATCTGTAAGTTGATTGAAAGCAAAAGACTAATTTTAAAATGCCTACTTCATTTTTTTGTGCAGTTTTGAAACATCACGTTTGATGTTTGGCAAATGTGTTGAGGTAATCAGAATTATGACACTGGAATAACAAAAATATTTCATAATGACTAGTTACATGTAAGCAAAATTCAAGAAGGAAACCATCTAAAAAGGGAAATAATACTAGCTCAGAAAAATATTCTATGATCTCAAATGGAAACTAAAATGATAGTAAATGAATAAAGAGCTATAATACCCAGGGGAGAAGGTGGTTTTCATTTAATGAGAAACACAAGAACAAGATGTCTACCTTTTACTATAACCTTGGTACTGCAGCTTGTGCTGCCAGCGGGATTCTGAGCCTCACAAATGAAATCTCCACTGTCCTCAGTACTGAGATTGTTCATCTGTATGACGGCCACTGAGTCAATGAAAGTCATTCTGTACTTATCACTGGCTGGAAGTTCATGTTCATTTCGGAACCACACAACTCTGATTTCTGGGGATCCAGCTATCTTGCATTCAAGTCGTGAAGAGTCACCTGCTTTCACAATTTTGGAGGCTTCTAATTTCTTTACAAACTTTGGTGGTTCTAAAGAGTCAGGAAAGAGGAGAGTATCAGGGAACAGAAATAAATAACAATAGTTAAATTAGATAGTATACAGGCAAGAGAAAAACATGAGCAAATACTGTTTACTATGTTAGAAAGAATACTACTTTCTTGATTGTTTAGAGACATTGTAACTGAATACAGAGAACCAAAGACACAGTCAGACAGAAACATAAAGGAATCAAATTTGCACACCTGTCACAAGCAACATCGTAGTACAAGAGTCGCTACCAACATCATTGGTAACATGGCAAGTATACTGTCCAGTCTTAGAAGCATCCACTGAGTAGAGATTTAAGAAGCTAGTCGACCCTTCCAAGCCAATGAAACATTTAGGACCTGAGACAAGTTCCACATCATCCTTAAACCATTTTATTTTAAATGGTGGTGTTCCTTTTAGTATTGCCTTAAATTCCACTGTAGAATCAGGTATGGCTTGCTGTCGCCCAGGTTTCACTAGGAAGCTTGGTGGTTCTATAGATTTTAAGAGAGATATATTTAATTAAATTGCTTGCAGTTGAATTATTGTGACAGTTTTATGGACATTTAAGAAAACACTCTTGGAAAGAGGCAATGGCTGAATATTTCTTGAACACAATGAATATGTATCTAAAGAACCAGAATCATAGAGATTTTAGCTCTAAAGGATACAAAGGCAAGAGTGATACATTTAAGAAGCATTCGCAAGGAAGAATCAAGAAGAGGTAAAGAAATTCTAACCTTTCACAGTTAAGATGCCACTGCATGCATCATCTCCTGCTACATTTGACACTTTGCATGTGTAATTTGCAGTATCTTCTAATTCCAGATTATTAACTTCCAGAGACACAGATCTCTCATGGCACACAAGTCTGTATTTTGCACTTGTAGATATTTCTTTTCCATCCTTAAACCACTGAGCACTAATGGGAAGTGAACCAGACACCTTGCACTCCATATGAATAGAAGAGCCCAGAACTTTATCCATTTTGGTTAATTTTTTGGTGAATGATGGAGGAATATTTTGATCTGTCCAATGCAAACAGCAAAACACATCCATTAATCTCTTGCTATTTGTTTACAAAGGACATACTATAAATAAGGGAAGCTGACTGGGGTGAAGATACAAACCTAGCACTCTTAAGTAGGCATCACAGCTACTGCTTCCGAAGTCATTTTCCACCTTGAAAGTGTACTGACCGCTGTCCTGCTTCATTACTGACTGAATTCTAAAACTGGCCACGTTATTTTCAAAACTCATTGAAAAGTATCTACTGGGAACTATTTGTTTCCCGTCTTTAAGCCATTTCACTTTGAGTTCTGGTGTTCCAGCCACAACACATTCCAAGGTCATGGGATCTTTCTCCGTAACATCAACTGATTTAGCTTTCTCTACGATTTGAGCTGGTTCTGTAGTAAAAATGAAAATGTGGATGAGTTACATTGGTAACTCCACTAGAAATAATGTCTGCTAATGAAACTGTCGCTATAGACTATCTTTGAAAGAGAATAGCTTACAAACCTTGTACTAAAAGGAAAGCATAACACCTCTCAACTCCTGACTCATTCTTGGCTTGACAGGTATATCTCCCACTGTGTCCATTATCCACACTTCTGATTTGAAGTGTGGCCACACTGTCCACAAATGAAATATAGACATTATCATCTTCATCAAGAATCTGATCATCCTTTAGCCAGGTTATAGAAATAGGAGGAGAACCTGCCACGGTACTCTGAAAGGTGGCAGAACTTTTCAAAACAGTAGTGGTATTTTCTATCTTCTTAATGAATGATGGTGGTTCTGTGATTAAATAAGAGAGTGTGAAAAGAAGAAACATATTGTAACTCCTACCCATAATGATAAGATTTAAAAGCGTTACAGAATTTTTATTTGATAGGCTGCTTCTTGTATAACTGACCTTTCAGGGCAACTCTAGTACTGCATGAGCAGCTGCCGCCTTCATTGGATACAATGCACTGGTATTCCCCAGTGTCTGAAGGGTCACACTTGGTTATATGGAGGTTAAACACAGACACTCTGTCGGTCAATGTGTATTTTTTGCTGCTTCGAATTTCCCTGTTATTCTTCAGCCAAGTGACTTCAAACGGAGGTGTTCCCGTAACTTCACACTCCAGCTCCACGTCACTATATTTTACTACCTCCACAGGCTTCAGCTCTCTGATAAAGGTGGGGGGTTCTAAAGATTCAAAAGGAAGACAGTAGCTTACTCAAGGGAAGACCCCAAACTTATCAGGCAGCACAGCCAAAATGGAGAATAGATTCCATTCACGAACCTTTCACTTTGAGTTCAATGCTGCAGCTCGCCGTGCCTGCGTCATTTCGAGCTTCACACACATAAGTCCCACTATTTTCTACCCTGGCACCAGAAATCTGGAAAGTGGCTAAACCATCAATGAAGGAAATGCCATGTTTCTGAATGGCTGTTATTTCATTCCCGTCTAGATACCAAGACACTCGGATTTTAGGAGTGCCTGTTATTTGGCATTCAAATGTTGTTGACTGTCCATTCCTCAGCACTAAGACTGGACTGGGCTTCTTAATGAATTGAGGAGGTTCTAAAGATGGAAAAAGAATTGTGATGTTGAATATTTTTAAAAACAGGTCACTGGGCAAAACTGCTGTCTTAAGCGTCCCCCGCCCCGGCCCACCCCAGGCAAGAAAATCTAGACAAGCAAGAAAGTGAGGAGATGTAGAGACCAGACCTTTTACAAAGAGAGTGGCTTTGCTGGTTGCTGTGCCAACATCATTGCTTAGTTGGCAAATGTAGGTTCCAGAATCGGTAGCTTTGGCTGCAAAGAGCTCTAGACTGGTAGAGGTGTCATCCTTCCAAACTGAGCGGGCTGCTCCTGAGTGTAACTCTTTGTTATCTTTAAACCACTTTATTGTCATGGGTGCAGTGCCACCCACAAGAGCCTTTAACTGTACCCTTGTGTTGGGATTGACATCTTGTGACTGTGGCTTTTCCACAAAGTAAGGGGGTTCTGAGGTGAAAGAAAAAACAAGCAAAAGAAAATAGGAAGTTTTATTTTATAACTTAGCAATAAAGGTGAAAATTTAGAAATGAAACAAAAATATTTTGTAAGTTCTTGATAAGTGGAAATAAAATTTGCCAACCTTTGACTGTCAGATGCCCACTGCATTGGTTGTGCCCTGCCTTATTTGTGGCAGAACAAGTGTATGTCCCACTGTCTGTACCTTCCAGCTGGCTGATTTCCAAGAAGGCAGTATTGTCATGAAAAGAGAATTTGTACTTTTCACTAGCTGATATTTCTTGGTCATCTTTGAACCACTGGATGCTTATGGGATGTGACCCAGCCACTATACATTCTAAATCAATGAAAGAACCTTTAATGCTGTCCATTTTCTTCAGCTTTTTGGTGAATGAAGGAGGTATGATAAGATCTATTCAATGAAAAAGCAAACAACAACAAAAAAAGGTCAATCTACTAATTTGTTTTTGTTTTTTTTTTTAAATTTTAAGGGAAGAAGGAGCATGGAAATGCCCAATCCTCTCTGTAGAAGAACAATACCAACCTAATACATTAATTCTAGCCTTGCAGCTGCTCCTCCCAACATCATTTTGGACCTCGAAAGTATATTCTCCACTATCTTTCTTTTCTGTAGAAATAATCTTCAGTATTGAGACTGTATCAGTGACACTGATTTTATATTTTGAGCCCAGGGTCAGTTCTTGGCCATCTTTAAACCATTTGGCTGTAATCTCCTTAGTCCCTGAAAATTTAACCTGCAAAGTGGCTGGGTCTCCTTGGGTGACATCTATAGACACAGCTTCCTCGGTGATTGTTGCAGGTTCTGTAGAAAACAAAGGGATAGATGTGGGTTGTGCATTACCCTGCTGAAAGGCTTACATCTGCATTTCTTCCTCAAACCCAAGGCAAACGTTCTGAACCAACCTTTTACTGAGAGTAATGCAGAACATCTTTGTATTCCTGCATCATTTTTGGCCTGACAGACATATTTCCCATCATGCTTGACTTCAATGCCACTGAGGTACAAACTGGCCACATTGTTCTCAAAGGTCATTCTTATATTATCGTCTTCAGTGATTTCATCGCTGTCTTTTAGCCAAGTCACCGTAATTGGCAAGGAGCCCTTCAGAGTGGCCTGGAAGGCAGCTGTGCCTCCCCGGAGGGAGCTGGTACTCTCGATCTTCTTTATGAAGGATGGGGGTTCTAACAGAAGAATGAATTCTCAATCAATATTATCCCTATAGCAAAAGTGGCTTAAAAAAAAGAATTGACTCTTCAGAAAAGCCAGTCCCTCACTGGAACCAACACTAACCTCTTAAAGTCACCCTGGCACTGCAGATGCTGCTGCCCACCTCATTGGTCACCCGACACTGGTATTCGCCAGCATCTGCAGCTACAAACTTGAGGATCTGCAGGCTAACCAGATGATCCTGAATGAAAGTCTTATACTTTCTACCACTTCGCAGGATTGTGTTATCTTTGAACCAAGTGATCTCAAAGGGAGGAGTGCCTGCCACCTCAGCCAGCAACATGACATCGTACTCCTTTAAGACTTCAATTGGCTTAAATTCCTTGGTAAAATAAGGTGACTCTACAGTAAAAAAGGAATGATTTGCATTAAGGGAGGAGGGGTCTGTGCCATGGGCCATAACTTTGGCAACACAAGAGGCAAAGTGAACACAAACCTTTGACTATTACAATGCTACTGCAGTGGTCACTGCCAGCCTCATTTTGGGCCTCACACATATATTCACCACTGTCTTCGATGCCAACATCTGTCAGTCTTAGAACTGCAGTAGACTCCACAAAAGACATTCTGTGTTTGCTGCTCTCCTTAATTTCTCTATCATTTGCAAACCATGTTATTTTAATTGGAGGGGTACCAGTTACTTTGCAGGCTAGCTGGGTGGCATCTCCCTTCTTTAACAGCTGTGATGGCTCTAACTTTTCAACAAATGTGGCAGGTTCTGTGGAAGGAAGGAAGTTATTAAGAAATGTGAGAAAGAGGAAAGAATTTATAACAAGGTTAGCACAAAGATGTCAAGAAAACAATGCAAACCTTTTACAAACAAGTTTGCACTGCATTCCACCCCTCCAGCGACATTGCTGACTTTACATGTGTACGTGCCCGAATCAGAGGTTTTTACTAAATAGAGTTCCAGGGAACTCTCTAAAGCTTCTTTGGTAATATAGCAGCTTCCACCAGAAACCAGCTCTTTGTTGCCCTTAAACCATCTGATTGTGAGAGGAGTAGATCCTTGGAAAGTGCTCTTCAGGCAGACTGCTGAGCCAGGCAGAACATCCTTTGAGCCGGGTTTAGTTACAAAACTGGGTGGTTCTGAAGAAGGGGTATAAGAAAGAATTTCAAAGAGTTAAGAGGGTTGATCTAAGGGAAGATGACTTAATTTGAACATAATCTTTAATAAGGATAAAATGCAAAGTCTCCAGCCAACCTTGCACAATCAGGGCTCCACTGCTGTCTTTGCTTCCCACGGAATTTGTGGCTCGACAAGTGAAATTCCCTGCATCATTCATGTCTACTCTGATGATCTCCAAAGAGGCTGTGCCTTCCACAAATGCTATCCTGTATCTGTCAGAAGCAGCTATTTCTTTGCCATCCTTAAACCAGGACACCCTCATGGGGAGGGAGCCTGCAATTTTGCAGTCCAGTCTGCAGGTACCATTAACAACACTATCCACGTTGCGCAAGGGTTTGGTAAAAAATGGAGCAATGTCTCGATCTGTGTGTTGCACAAGAAGGGAGAAAAGGTCAATATAGAAGAGTGCTCAGTGATTGACTTTAGGCCATTTGTTGGGTTTCAAATGCATATGTAGCATCATTTTCTAAAAATACTAACCTAATACAGTGAATGTAGTCTCACAGGAGCTGCTGCCCACTTCATTGGAAATCTCAAATGTGTATTGGCCACTGTCGTGCAGCTCAGCTGAATAAAATTTGAGCTGGGCAACATTGTTTTTAAAACTTATTCGGTATTTTTTACTGGCGACCAAGGGTCTCCCATCTTTGTACCATTTGGGCTTCAGTTCTGGCGTGCCTGCCACTGTGTACTCCAGTGTGGCGGGATCTCCTGCTGTCACCTGGATCAGTTCTGCTCGCTCAATGATTTTGGCAGGTTCTACAATGGTATGAAATAGTTAGCACCCTAAATGCTTGTTAGGGTTTCACTTTAATTCTAAATAGCAATTTGAGGTTTAAATGTTCCTACACAAACCTTTAACTATTAATTCCCCAACAGATGTTTGGCTTCCAGCTTCATTTTCAGCCAGGCACGTGTATTTGCCTCCAAAACTAATCTGAACATCAGGGATTATCAAGACTGCAACACCATTGGAAAAGCTCATTTTGATTTTTCCGTCTTCTCTGATGACCTCTTGACCTTTCATCCATGTGACAGAAATGGGCTCTGACCCTCTCACAGCAGCTTGCAGGGTAACGGTTTGTCCTCCTAGTGCAATCAAATCATCTACTTTCTTTACAAAGGTTGGAGGTTCTAGTTAAGGAAAGAGAGCATATAAAACATATCAATTCCCAAACACTTTCAACACCATCTATATTTAAGAGTTTTTTCAAGATTATATTTATCTTGTCCCAATACTACTATTTCATAGTGTTAATTAGAAGAAGAAATAAAAGTTAAGAATAATTATAATTCCATCCAAGAGACAGAGGCATAGATGATACATGTTTGTCAGCTGACAAAATGGCTTATTATTCCCTTTTGTTATCAGATAATAGATATTTACACTAGTCTCGGGAAAAAGACCAGGTGAAAGTTACTGACTTTGTTCCCAAGGTCCCAGGTCAAACCAAGACAAAACAAATTTAAAGGATAGGACAAGAGAAGAAAGTACCAGTTTTTCTTCCATGGGGTAAGAAAGCTAGTTTGACAATTTATTAAAGAGACATTAGTTTTTCAAGCACTAACCTTTGAGTAAGTGGGTTGCCATGCAGCCACACTTGCCGACTTCATTAGCAACAACACATTCATATTCACCAACATCTGCACTATTAAACGAAAAGATCTCCAGACACACAAGAGACTTCTGAGAAAACAATCTGTATTTTTTACTACTTCGAATTTGTTTCTTGTCTTTGAACCAGCTAATTTCAAATGGTCCAGTGCCTGAGACTTCACACTGAAGTAGAGCATTTGTTCCTCTCACTATGTCTGCAGGCTCAAGAGTTTTGATGAAAGAAGGAGGTTCTACAAAAGCATGAAAGCATTGTGTAAGTAATGGGTAATAAGTAATTAAAAGGGAAATCTTTTCTCAGAAAAATACTGGATGGAAACTCAGTAAACAAACCTTTGATAACTATTTCAGTACTGCAGCTATCACTGCCGACGTCATTCACTGCTTCACATGAGTAACTCCCACTGTCTTCAACTTTTACATCCGTAATATCAAGTATAGCCTCAGAATTGACAAAATACATTCGGACTGTGTTACTTTCACTGAGTTCTTTGTTATTTTTAAACCAAGTAACCTGGATCACAGGTGAGCCTTTCAGCTTGCAATGGAGGCGTGCTGATTCACCTGGGAGCATTAAATAAGAGGGATCCACCTTCTTCACGAAGGATGGTGGCTCTACATGAAGTTTACAAAAAAGAAAAAGGAGAAGATATCTGAAACATAAACTCCGCAAAAGAAAAGTAGACATATACAACAAAGAGACCCAACACACATAAAATATCTCCACAAAATTTCTGTAAAAGCTGTGGTGCATTTAATAGGTTCCTATCATTCTAAGACACTTTCCCAGTCTCTTGATTTAAAATAAAACAACAATAAACAGACTACCTACACAAAGAAGAATTTTATAAAAGAAGATAGTTAAGAATTGCTCAGACACTTGGAGTTTTTTCTTAGAAGAAATTTTAAGCAAGCTTTGTTAATAGCAGACAATTTAAAAGAACAAAAGTTAAGTGAACTTTGAAGAGGATTAAAAAAATAAAATCAAACAATGCCAGGACTTTCCCAAACCATAATGTTTGCTGAATGACATTATTTTAATAACAAAGTGTACTGACTGAATTGTTTGCCAACAGTTTTTCTACTGAGGATTCCTTGCAGAGAAGGGACTAGAAAATACATTCACACGTTTCTTACCTCTGACAGTGACTGTGGCTGAGCAGGAGCTGCTTCCAGCCTCATTTGAAGCTGTACAGACATAGGTTCCTGAATCTTTCAGTTTGGCCAAAGGAATCTCAAGTGTTGCTATTTTATCTTCAAAACAGATCTTATAATCTTTCCCTGGGGGGAGTTTTTGCCCATCTTTGCTCCACGTAACTGTGACTTTTCTGTCTTCATCTACTTGGCACTCAAGGTGGACCTTCTTATTGATAGCGGACTGCACAGGCTCTAATTCTTTAATGAAATGTGGCTTATCAATGATGATCAACTCTGCTTGGCAGATGTCTGCTCCAAACTTGTTGGAAGCCTTACAAGAATAAACTCCTCTATCTTGAATGGTAAGGTTTGAGAGTTCTAAAATGTGTTTGTTTTCTGCGTCGGAAATCCTCCAGTTAGGTGAAGGTGAGAGTGCAGCACCATCTTTCTGCCAAATGGTTTCTATCACAGGAGTCCCTGTCACTGTGCAGATGAACTTGGCTGCCTTACCCACAAAAGTTGTAAGGGACTTAGGTCTGGAGAGAAAGGTTGGTGGATATGCCTCTGCAAAAGAAATTTTTCCAGCATTACATTTAGTCCCCACCAAAGCACTTGCTGTAATTATATATTCCAAGACAGAGAAAAGATGAGTTAAGTCTTTAGATAGACATGAGCCATAATTTAAAATGGAGTAATGTGTTAATAAGAACAAAAGATTGTCAAAGGAAAGGGATGAGAGTGTTCTTTATAAGGGAGCAAGACATCACTTTACTTGTCTCTATCAAAGAAAAGACAAGCGTTCCTTTATTAAGTAACATTACTAAAGATTTGTCCATTTTAGTGGCTGCTTGTTTAATTATTTGATAAGCTATTGAGCTGATACTTTAATTCTGCAAATTAGAAGATTATGTAAGGAAGATAAAGAAAATGTATTTGACTCTTCTGAAGAGTAGGGATATTAAGTGATAAGAAGATTGAAGTAGTTTTGTAATGTCTTTCTAACCCTCATGTCAACTGCCTGGAAATTCTTATATGGCTTAACTATGAATGCATCCTCTAGGCCAACTCAAACTTGTAAAAATATTTAATAGCAGCAACTTCCCCTTTCCATTCTGCATCTTGAAGCCAGACTTTCAGAACCTCTCTTTTTAATTTTTTTAAGTCATCCTCCTTATCCTTTCCTCTTATTATCTGAAGCTTCAATATTAGTCGCATTCCTAAATTGACCTAATTTGAGTAAAGAAACTTCCAAACGCGTCAGTATGAATAATATCATGTACTTGGTTTTATGGAGACATTTTGACCAGAGTGAAAAGCACTGGTTGGGTCATCATGGGCCTGGGTTTTTCTTAGGATCACGTAAAAGGATTGTAGAGAAGAGGAAGCTATAGGGAACCTCATCGTTTTCACATTCAAGAGATGTGCTGCATTTGCCCTTCCCCTTGATATTCTCATTGACAAAGAAGACCAAGGGACAGCCTTCCCCAACAGTCCAAGTATGGCTTGACTGTACCTCTACCCCTGTCCTCAAACCACAGTTCATACTCACACTTTCTCTTGGGAAGAGGGAAAGAAAGAAAAGAAAGAAAGAAAGATAGAGAGGAGGGAGGGAAGGAGGGAAGGAAGGAAGGAAGGAAAGAAGGTAGGAAGAAAGGAAGAAAAGCTTGCTACTAATATTTTGGTTAATGAAGGCATTCAAGTATTTGATGAGTGTTAACTATTTGAAAGTCACCCTACATATCAATTAGAAAATTGGGAATAGGATATTTGTGTAGTTGTCTTATTTTCTTTCTTTCTTTTTTTTTTTTTAGGTGGAGTCTCGCTATGTTGCCCAGGCTGGAGAGCAGTGGTGCAATCCTGGCTTACTGCAACCTCTGCCTCCTGGCTTCAAGCAATTCTCCTGCCTCAGCCTCCCAAGTAGCTGGGACTACAGGTGCGTGACACCACGCCTGGCTAATTTTTTATATTTTTAGTAGAGATCGGGTTTCACTGTGTTAGCCAGGATGGTCTCGATCTCCTGACCTTGTGATCCGCCTGCCTTGGCCTCCCAAAGTGCTGGGATTACAAGCGTGAGCCACCGTGCCCAGCCGTCTTATTTTTAAATTAGTAAAAATGCCTAGAGAGAATCCTAGTTTTCAGTCCTATACTAGCTCCCTGTCTTACATTAGGATTTAATTTTAGACTTAGACACTGACTTTTTTAAGTTTGTAATTCTGTTCTTAATTGGTTATTTGATTTAAAATTTTTAAATACATTGAGACATTATTTTTTTTTAGTGGCACCAAACTGTCCTGATATGTTTTATATGAAGGGCCAAGCTGAGCTCATTTGATTACTTAACTTTGTTCTCAAATAATAAATTATTTTTTCTTTGGTCAGTAGTAGAAATGTGACTGTAAATAATGATTTCTTATCCCATATAGGCTCTGCAGTACCTACCTACCATGTTACTGTCTTGGTTGTTGGTCTCTCCAGTTGGTAATACAAGCATTTCCCACACATGTACAGAAAGCAAAAAGGACAACAATATGAAATGAAGTGACAACATCTGTGCCAATGTATGGCATTTACCTGTCACAGTTAGTGTGGCTGTACAGCTGACACTGCCATACTCATTGGAAGCTTTGCATGTATACTCGCCGCAGTCAACCACCTGGGTTCTCAGGATTTCAAGGCTGGAGATATACTTTGAAGATCGAATAGAACACTTGTCACTCTCATAAATTTCTCGGCCAGCTTTAAACCACTGGAACCGGACATTGGGAGCACTTTGGATCTCACAGGTGAATTTGGCTAGGTGGCCCAGTGCTACTTCCAGGGGTTCGATTTTCCTCTTGATCACTGGGGCAGCTGCAAAGGGAAGTAGAGTCCATTAACATGCCTCCTTATCAGGCATATGACATTTTTGTTTTTCTTCTAACTTTTGTTGCTGTTAATGGAGTAAAACAGTTGAAATTGGTGAGATGGATTACAGCAGTTTAAGGCAAGTGACTGGAAAATGAGAAAGATCATTGAAGGCAAAAGAAGACAATAAGCTTTTTTTAAAAAAAACCTATTCAATCATTGCTTTGCAGTGAATTGTGAAAAAATGTGATGCTATTGGATTATATGCATAACAACATGATATATTCTTTAAATATACCATGCTGAATGGGAACACTGAAAATAATGTGAAGAAACATGATATACTAAATAAAGTGATGAAGTGAAACAACAACAAAAAATAAACAGAAAAAAGAAACAGACAACTAATCATGGTTATTTTAAATCTAAGGGTGAGACCAGTGATTTCAGAGTGGCTAGGTGTTCACTGATACTTTTTATTACATATTATGAAAGTTATCTTCATATGAAAATTAACTAAAAGCTTATCTATTGGTATTATGAAACATATGAAAATATGTTTTATTTTTAAAATAAATAGTACCATGGATATGATAGCATAGCACCCAACAGGGCAGTAAGGGAAAAGGTGAGTTCATAACCATGATTATGTCTGTGATTTCATTCTTACTCTAAATAAATTACATTCTGGAAGTGGCAGATAAGTGAAAATTTAAGTGATGCAAGCTAAATCATTACAATCCAGTGAATGTTAGCATTTGATCTATTTTATCCTTAAAATCCAACCTCTTTTTACTACAGTGAGTTTGGCTGAAGTTGCTGTTTTTCCGCTGTCATTCAAGGCCTCACAGACATACTCTCCTTGATGGTCTTCGGTATTTACTTTGTCGATGACTAGCGTATATGTATTTTGATCTTGTAAACACTTGAACTTTTCATCTGAAGGCACCAGTTTATTCTCAAAATACCAATTCACCTCTTTAGCATTTGTTATGGATGTTGTGAGGTGTACAATATCACCTTCCTCAGAAACAGTGTCCACTAAAGGTGTATGTATCATGGGGCCATCCTCTTTGATTAAGCCACCCTCAGCTTCCTGTATCTTTACTGTAGCAACCTCCTCAGTACCACTTTCAGAGGAAGACTCCTCTTTTTCCTCTGATGGTTTCAGACTCTCATCTTGTTTTTCGTCAGAGACAACAGCTGAAGCAACCCCTTTAGTGACAGGTGTGGCATCCAAATATTTAACCCTACTTTGCACGTTAAAATAACTGACCTCTTCAGTTGAGATCAGATATTTAGATTCAACTTCTGGTTCAGTAATGGGTTCAACCTTCTGTGAACCTGAAAAAGAATCCATTTCTTCTTGCAAACTTGTTTTGGCTCCTTGCTGAATTCTAGGACCCTCAGCTGTTAGGATGTCTATTTCCTCATATATAATAGCACACAAAGCATCCCTAAGTTCCATTTTCAGGTTAGCCATTTGAGGATCAACATCTTCAATAATGATGGTTACTTCTTCTGTTACAGACTTTGCCGAAGTAACAAGGTACATGCACATGATGTGTCTGGGCTCTTGGGTGATGTTTACAGCCTCGACCTCCACCTTTTCAATATTTCTTAGCCACTCAGAGAAAAGACCTGGCTGCTCGCTGGCCACGGCTGCTTGCAAAGCCCGGCAGATTTGAATTTTCAGGTTTAATCTCTGCTCTTCTGGAATACCAGAAAGCAAGCTTTCCTTAGAAAGAAGGTCCCTTCCCTGTACCTCCTGCACTTTCTTTATTGCCACGGGCTCTCTTTTAGACTCAATGATTTGGTCTGGGGGCATCACCACGTTGTCAGAATGCTCTTCTTTGAGCAGTACCTGCTTTTCTTCAAGTGCTAGTGGAAATCTTAAGGACTTGCCTTCCTCAATTCTGACCGCAGAATCTTGCCCTGCATTTTCCAGTGGATTTGCACTTTCTATCAAAATTTTACCTCCTTCTGTGCATGAGTGTTCTGAAGGGACTAGGGGCTCATAGTTTACCTGAGAGATCATGACATCAGGACTCTGGAGACTCTCCACGTGTCCCTCAGCTAAGCTCTGACTCAAGATGAGCGCACTTTGTGCCTCTTGCTTTTGAAGAGTCACTCTTTGCTCTCTGTTGGTGTCAGATACTGTCTTTTCTTTTGGTGAAAGTACTTCCTCAGCCACAGAGGTTAGATAAGAATGCATTGGAGGTTCTATTGAAGACTGTGGATAATTCCCTTCAGGTTCAGCTAATAAAGTTTTCAGAGGCTCAACTGTTAATGAATTAATTTGTTCTATGGACATGGCACTTGGGAAGATTTTCTCGGTATCTGATAGAACTGCCTGTGTCTCAGGCTCTTCAGGCATTAGAATACCTTCTTTGGAGAAGGTTTTCTGGGACTGTACAATCTGCAGCTGTAGGTTGGGAGATGGTTCCTTGAGAGGCTGAAAGTGAATACTGCCATTGATGCAAAGAAATTCCCTGGTGCTTTCAGGAGTGAGCTTGTCTTGCTCCAAAATGGATTGCAATTCCTGAGCTCCCAAAGGAAGCTGACTGCTCAATTCATTGGCTTTAGCAATATGCTCATAAGATAGTTGCTGGTTTTCTTCTGTAATTAAAGCAGCTTTCAAAATGGTGTCTTTTACAAACGTTGCAATTTCCTGCTCTGAGTCAAGTGCTTCAACTGCGGGACCCTTTAAGGGTGTCTGTGGAAAATCCTCAGGAGCCTCTGGTGTGGACTTTGCTTTGCAGGGGGTATCAGTCATGTCTGTGTCTTCCAGAAGCACAAGCAGCTCTGCTGCACAGGTGGACTCACCCAACATATTCTCTGCTTTACAGATATAGAGGCCACTGTCTTCCCTCTGAGGGTCATTGACAATGAAAGTTCCAGAGCCATTAGGGTTATGAATGATAGTGTAATAAACACTGGTGCAAAGCTGCTTGTTTTCTTTGAACCATGTAACAGTAGGGGCAGGCTCTCCAACCACTGTGTACTCAAAGATGGCAGGAAGCCCTTGAGCACAGCGAATTGGTTTTAACTCCTTAAGGAAGTGAGGAGGACAAGGACCTCCCAGCTTTTCCAGAGATTTTGCCACTGCTGATTCTGTTTCAGTGTCTTTGTGACCCTCTCCTTTGGAATTAATTTTTAGATAGGCACTACATATTGTCTTTCCATAGTCATTACTGGCCATACATGTATACTCTCCCTCATCCTCCAATTTGGTGAACAGAATGATCAGGCTATGATCATCACCGTCAAAAACAAATTTGTAGTCAGCAGAAGGGGTTAATAGCACTCCATTAAAGAACCACTGAATTTTAGGTTTGGGGATGCCAATGACAGTTACAGACAGTGTAGCCACATCCCCCATGCTTATATCAGCATTTGACACTTCTTTGATGAAAATTGGGCCAGTGCCTTCCTTTTCGGAATCAAATTTAGTTGGGTAAACTGGAGATTCAGACAAAAGTTCAAGTGTTTCATTTATTTTAGATAATTGAAGTTCGGCGCTATGAAGTCCTTCTTCCTCGGCAGACAGAAAAGAACTAGAAAACTCTGTATGGGGAAAAATGATTATTATTTTACTATAAAATTTTATTTAATATAAAAATAGAAATCAAAGAATTAGACACCAGTTGATGGCCTTCTTCTGCTTTATTCCTGGAATGATTAGATTATTCCAAGATTAATGTATCAAAAAGCACATTTCTAAATTTTTCTTAGCTTAACATATAAAATTATGCAAAATTATAGATACTGTACAAAAGCAATTTTTGATCCACTTCATCTGTGATAGAGTTCATGTTTTAAAAATGCTCTCATGAGTTTTTCTTGAGATATAATTCCAATTTTAAAGTTTGAAAAACTGCTAATTAAATAGTTATAATAATCCAGCATTATTTAAATCAACTTCTAAAAAGATCCAGAATTGTTATTTATATTTAGAGTTTTCTTGAGGTTAAGAATAATCTTCTTTGTTAAAGACTGATTATTTCCAAAATAAACCATTGATGTTCTAATTACTGCCTCTAAAGTCATTATTAAAAATAAGAGGCTACAGGAAATGTTTAATTTGGATTTGTAAGAGAACCACTGTTTTCAGTTTCTAGAAATGCAGGCCTTCTTTCATCTATGTAAATCACCATATTACTTGAACAAAGCCTTTGTAATAAGGCATTAGCCAAGAAAATAAGATAATCAAAAATAAGAGAAAACAACTCCAATATTAAAAGTTCATTGTATTTTATTGTATAAGAAAACCTATACAGAACCACTGAGCAAGAAACAAAGCAGTGCATAACAGAGACTCTTTAAACAGTATCCTGGATGACAGGATGAAAGACATGTAATTTTAAACAAGGAATTCGATTTTTTATTAAACCTCTTAGCTATGTAGAACAGGCCTGTTATTAGTAGTTTTATTGCCTTAGCAAAAGGCAGTTTTATGATTTTATTTGGTGACTTCACTTGCATCACATGAAATAGACTTACACCTTAATTCCTTTCTGTTCTAGCATATAAGCATTAGAAGACAGGACTCAAGTGTCTGCTGGCTGTAAAAATACTGGAGAAACTCATCTATAGCATGCAGAATACATATTCAGGTATTTATTATTTTAAGTAAACCATAAAACCATTGATAATTTTACATATTAATGGTGATCACTTAACTTCGCATTTAATCTACAATACATAATTCGCGTTACCTTTCCCTTCACTTGAACTCACAAAATATCTGTAAAGGGAGTGAATGTGAATACAGTTAAAATACCCTTACTCACTACTATGTTGAACTATTTGCAAATATTTTACTTCAAGCCATGGTATTATTAGCCATAAAAAGGATAGTAAATGAAATTCAAATGTGCTGAAACTTGAAAGGCATAGTTTAAAAAATTACATGTTGTGGTAGCAGCTATTAATTGTCTAAACTCAACTATGTGCAATACAATAAATTCTTTATCCAGAATCAGAGAAATTAATATTTTGGGGTTTTATGTTACGTGCCATTGAGTCAGAAAATAAAAAATTCCATTTCATTATCTATGACAATTAAAGTAAGCCAAGGCTTACTTTTCTTTATTCAGTCACTGTTATTCTGCGTATACTCAAGCTCACCATACTTGAAACTAACAGAATTACAGAATTCTAATGAGCAAAACCAAACAAAGCCCTCTTTACTATATGAATAAGAGTGTTTTTCAGCTCTTCCTGAAATCCAGTAGGACATAAAAACATTTTTCTATTTCTCTCTTTCTCTTTTTTTAAGAAACAAGGTTTGAACTGTTGCTGTGCTGTATGATGTTTGAGTAAAGCATGCTTGTCATGTTTGCCTCAATCTGAGTTTCTCGTTAATTTTAACATCCATTATGTGACTAAGTGCAGAATAAATCTCTAAGTTCCTAATCTATAGAATTAGTTTTATTTCAGGAATTTGTGATGTGATATATTACATTATGTCTATAATTATTATCACAGATATTGTGTGCTCACTGGTTGGAACAGGAATGATTGTTCTACAATAGTGTATCTATGCTGATGAGTTATGGTGGCTCAAACAGATAATTCAAAATTTTTTTTGTGAGGGAGGCAGGGGAGGCCTGGCTGCTCTGCCTATTTTCTGTACATTGTCTCTATTGCTTCTTTAATTTGGATAGCTGTTAGAGAATTCCCATGTTGAGAATAAAGACTGATAGATGAAAGAAACATAATAAACATAATTGGATATGAATTCTTTTGAAAATTAAATTTAAATTGTTTACATTTCTAATTAAAATTAGCATTTTAAATATGATAATGGTACTTAAATATTGCTAAATGCAGGTGACAAATGTAGCCATTAAGTAACAATAAGTAATTTAAGAGGTGGAGGGAGATAAAATTTATCTTTCATTGTAATATTATTTCTCTCGTCCTTTGTTACAAAATTAAAGTTTATTCTAAATTGTATTAAGAATAATTACTATTAGCTTAACACAGAATTGTATTGTTGAATGATCACCTCTAAGGTCTTTTGGTCCTACCCTTCATTTTCAGAATTTTTTATATTTGTCGAGTCTTATATGAGAAGACTTGGGTCCACATTAGTATATAGGTAAGATATTAAGGAGTATGTTAATTTACTGTTATTTTAATTTTAAAAGACAAAATTAAAGAGTTACTTTAGAAACATAAACATCACAATAAAAATTGAATGCTTATTAAGCTATATTCGTTTTAAAGATGAAATTCAGTGAAACTGATAGGAAAGCTTGTTATCTTGTTATTTATATATAATCTGAAATACAAATTACCATATTGTCTCAATTCTAAAAATATCCCACCTTTTTTTAAATTTTAAAGATTCTGAAATCAGAATACAGTTTTAAAATCTATATGTAAACACAATATGATAGTTTCCCTTTTTTCCCCAGGCCAATACTAAATTATTGCTGCATTTTACACTTGATGTCATCTCAAAAATGGAGAAAAATAAGGTATCTCCAAAAGTGGAAAGATCTATTTGCTTATTTTGCAAATGTCTAGGTGAACCCTGCCCACAAAGAGCACAATTGGTCCCTTGAAGCCAGTGAGAATTAAAGCACTTATGAAGAGGAATATTAATAACGAAAACATTTTTAAAAGAGATGAAGTTAATATATTAAGATTGAAATGTCAAACAGATTATAGAGTTAGTTGCCAATTGGGAGAAGCTGGTTTTTGTTGTTTGTTTTGCCTATTCTAAGTCAAAGTAAATAAACATGAGTTTGGATGCAAAGGGGTTAAAATTCCAAAAATAACTTAGAATGGGAGCAGAGAGATTTGCCCTTACCAATTTGTCTGCGTGGTCATCTGATATGGTCTCCACTTTTACATTGTACTTTTGCATATATGGTTTATCTGCTAAAAGAGAGTCCATTCCACTGAAACACTTTGTGGAGGAGGCATGAGGGTAAATAGAAGTACAAACAATTAGGTAGCCAAGGAGAGATTTAATTGTGTTTGATATTACACAGCATGATTGACACAAGTGATGATTCCACAGTTCAGATAACAAAATATTTACATGTATTACAAAGATGAGATTTCTACATAGAGATTATTTCTTTAGGGGTCTCCAAGGTAATGAATTCAAATATGGTGGACCTGTTTGGAAGTTTATTAGATCCACATAATTTGGAAAATATGAAAGCACTCAGATCAATGCTAATAATTACTGAGGCACTAAAACATTACATTTTAAGTTAAGGTGAGTGCTGCAAAGCTCTCAGCCATTCCTGATTTGTTTGTAGCTACACACCTATACTCTCCTTCATCACTCTTTACTAAGCTTGTTATAAACAGGTTATGGAACCCTGTGCCACTTTCCTCAACAGTGAACCTTCTTCCTTGGACTAATTTTCCATCTTTGTACCAGTAAACCGTGGGTCTTGGAGAGCCACGAACTAAGCACTGAAAATATGCTGCTGTACCTATTGGTGCATAACAGTCAGAAATACCTTTGATAAACCTGGGAGGCCCTTCCACCACCTGAAATTCAAAAAAACTGTCTGTGTAGTTGCTCTTTAAGACCAATTCTTCCATTAAACTGCTTAAAGTCACTTTGCTTTTCTTTGCTATCACAGCAAATATTTCAGAATCTCCCATGGTGAGGAATCCCCGACAGATAGCCTCTCCTACACAATTCACAGCTCTGCACCTGTATGTTGCACTATCAGAAAGACAGACATTTCGAATTTTAAGAGTGTGACTTCCCTTCTCCTCGCTAATCACGTATTTAATATTATCTGGCTCAATACACATATATTCTTTATACCACTTAACTTCGGGAGTCGGGATCCCTATGACTGAACATTTGAATACAGCATCTGAATTTTCTGGAATTTTAAAATCACAAATAGGCATTATAAAGCGAGGAGGCATTTCAAATACTTCTAAATCAATTTTTAGTTCTTTGTCTTCTCCCTCCCTTGAATCCATATTTGGATCTACAAAATTAAATGGAAGAACATCTAGACTCACAATCATACTTTTATGGTCAGGAGTAAATTCGGGAACTGTCACTATTTTCACCTGCTTCTCAAATTCTTTAACGTCTTTTTCACTTAATTCAACTTCCAGGACAATTTCTTGAGGAGAAGGTGTTCTTGATGATGTGGTGTGTTCCAAATCAAACTCCATGACATGCTGATGTGTTACTGGAGGTGGTAGTGCCACCACTCTTTCTTCCTGGGGCATTATGTCTACATTTGCAAAGCTCTTTGCTTCCCCTATGATGTTTACAGCATGACACATGTACTCTCCCCCTTCTCCTTTTTGAATGTTAGAAATTTCCAGTGAACACACATTACCCACTCTTTCCATTTTGATTCTTTCATCTGGCTCTAGTAAAGATTTATTTCGATACCATTTCACACCAGGAACTGGAAGACCTTCAACTTCAACAATGAAGCCTAGTGTTGTGTTTTCATATACCTTCCTTTTGGTCAGAGGTTCAATAAAAGATGGAGGCATTTCATTGTCTTTTGGCTCAATGGCTTCATTGGGTGTACCAAATGAATCGGAACGCCATATTTCATAAGCTGAACCCCTCTCTTCTGTAGGTGTGTAGAAATGCTCATTTGGTGTACCGTCTTCCCTTTCTATTTTTGATGGATATGTTTTAAAAGTACCAGTGGGGTTTGGTCCTCCAGTAGGAATAGAATATCTCTCTAGTGCCTCCCCTGGGGGTGTGGAATATCGCTCTAGAGTCTCTCCTGGGGGTGTGGAGTATCTCTCCAGAGTCTCTCCTGGGGGTGTGGAATATCTCTCTAGAGTCTCTCCTGGGGGTGTGGAGTATCTCTCTAGAGTCTCTCCTGGAGGTGTGGAGTATCTCTCTAGTGTCTCCCCTGGGGGTGTGGAGTATCTTTCTCCTACCTCACCTTCGGAAGGTGTTGAATATCTTTCAGCAACTTCCCCTAAAGGTGTGGAATATCTTTCAACTGTCTCACCTCCTGAATGTATTGAGGATTGTTTAGTTATATCTGAAGGATTAAAATATAAGTCAGGGGACTTTGGAGATTCAAAATATTCAACAGATGATGGTGGGGTATAAAACTGATCTAACTCAGATATTTCTTCACTGGTTGTACTTCCCACACCAATGGAAATGTCAGACTCAGGAGAAAGTGGACGACCTAGTGATTCCTGTTTCTGGTTGTAGTATTCATACACAGTGTTGAAAGTTACTTCTTCCACCTCCATTGAAGTGATTGATTCACTCTGGACAAGCTTTGCCTGGTCTCTGGTGTCTTTAGTTTCAGGAACCTCACGCTTTCCAGCAGCAAGTAAATATTGTGTTAGGGAGGTCTCAGATTCTGCTGCCTCAGTGGTATGTGCCTCATCTAATTTAGGAATATTTTGAGAAAAACTAGTTTCTATCATTTCTCCTTCTAAAGTGGAGAAAGAAGCTTCATTCTGAACTTGAACTTCTTCATAACATTTTTCTTCTCCAGAGGCATGAATGTTTGTACTTATTTGTTCACCTGGATTCTGTTGTTCTTCAGTCATCAAGAGTGGGAAGCACTGACTCAGGGAGAGCTGTCTATGGAGTGTGTCAGCTTCCTGAACATCACCTCTGTGGTCTTCCAAAGTGGCATCTGTATATTCCTGTGTCCCACCATCCTGCTTTGGAAATGCTGCCAACTCTGGTTCTAGAGTGCATTCTTCTTCCATTTCACCAACCCCTAAAGGCTTTTCCTCACTTGCTGCTTTTTTCAAATGTGAGATGGAACTTCTGCCTCCATTTTCTAGAGGACAACTTTTCTCAGAAAGATCAGTTTCTTCTATATCTGCAGATGAGGTTGGAAGTAGGGCACATGATTCACTATAGATTTCTTCAGAAAAGGATTTAAGAGAAAGATCAGTTTTTAAAATGTCTAAGTTTTGTTCCTGTACATGTCGGACTTCTTTTTCTAAAGAAATGGAATTTTCATCAATACTACTTTTCTCCACCATAGTTCTATTTGAAAGCTCTTGACTGGAAGAAATTTCTTGACTGGCAAATACATTATTTTGCACACTTTTAGAGATATTGTGTGTGTCAGGTTGTAACGTTTCAGGGCTAGGAATTTTTTCTTTATAATGTATTTCCTGCTGTTCCCTAGTTTCTTGCCCTTGGAACTCCAGAGCTGGATCTCCTATATGAGAATACATTTGTTTTAGATCAAATACAATGTTCTCAGTGTCAGCAGGATGTTGGATTTTAAAATAAGCTTCTTCTGGTTGACCACTATCTAATTCTTGGAATTTCACATCTGTGTGTTTTATTTGAGTGTGAAACTGCTTTAAGTCAAATGTAATAGGTGATTCATGTTCAGCTCTTTTAGAAATTGCAGGTTTATCTATAAGACTTATTTTTTCCTGTTGTTCCCTTTCTTGTGCGTCAAATTCTTTATGAGTTTGAGAGGAAAGCAGCTTTAAATTTATTGCAATGTTAGATGAATCTGATTCAGTATTTGGAGACATTTTCTCTGCCTGATACATATTTGCATTTAGATTGCTTGATCTTGATTCTCTTTGCTTTAATGAAAAGGCTTTGTCATCAATCTTCTTTTGAGGAGGATTAACAATTGATGTTCTGGTAGGTCTTTTTTCTAGAACTCCTTTTTCTACATGTAATTTTTCAAATTCGATAATTCTATGCTTCACCTTTTTCCCCGGGTAGTGTATCTCTTCACCAAGGGATTCTTCATATACAATGGCAGATGAATCTTTTGTATTGTAACTGTCAGAAATTCTCTCAGAGTGAATATTTGGTAAATAGTCACTTTGGGCACATTCTTGTACATTTTCCTTTTCTGATCTACCAAGTTTTCCAAAATTATTTCTTATTTCTTTCTTAATAGTGACATCACTGAAATCATCAACAAATGGATAAACAGTACCCTCTGCTTGGTGCAGCTTTGATTTTTCACTTACATGTCTCTCTTTCCCTTCAGCCTGACATTGTATGAATTCAGCCCTGATGGGCTTGCTGATTTTTATGGTTCTTGAAGCACCATGCACAAATCTGGGAATTTTTTCTCTAGAAGGTATGCAACGCACCTGCTCTTTCTGGTCTATTTGCTCAATAGTCTCAAGGCTTTGAAAATAGTCCCTTACTGAATATTCTTTTACATTTGTCCAGGGAGTAAAGGGACCAGCTGGATAATCATAAAAATGTGCCCTTACAGATTCTCCCTGGTCTTGCAGTTGCTGATCTCTGGAATATTTTCCATAAATTTCACCAATATTTTCGAATTGACTATTTTCTCTATAAGTGACAGGCTCCACTGTTAGATCTGAAACACTTTCAACTGCCCCTGAATTGTTTTCAGCAACACATTTATATTTTCCAGAATCTTGAGAATTAACATCCTTAATATATAATTGGTGGCTACAATTAACTTCTTCAAACTGAAACTTCTGGTTCTGCTTTAAAAGGACTCCATTTTGAAACCATGTTACAACTGGCTGGGGCTCACCAGATATTAAACATTCAAGAATGATGGAATCCCCTTCTCTACACCTGGCATGCTTTGGCATTTCTTGTAACATTTTTGGTGGTTCATTAGTAATATCAGACAAAAATACAAATCTGTGTTTTGGTGATTGAGTAACTTGATCTTGAGGCATTGCTTTAGGTTCCAGCTCCTCAGTTTGAAACACTTCTTTAGACTCTTTATCCTGTTCTGGGATAGGAGTAGCTGCTGTTACCTGAATTTCTACAGGAAAGGAAAGCAATTCTGTGTCTCCAGAGGGAGGAACTGGTGGGTTAGTTTTTAACAAATGAAGATTTGTTTGGCCCTCTTGACTCATAGATGGATGGGCGCCTTTTGCTTGGTCAAACACCAATGCTAACTCTTCTTCCTCATCCAAGTAGTCATGGAACACTGGGACTTTATGTGCTTTGACATCATGTTTTTGTTTTGCTTTCACTTTAAGCATACTGGTTGTTTTTACTGTTCCATATTGGTTAAATAGCACACAAGTAATAGAACCTTCATTCTGATGATGAACAGATGAAAGAGTTAATATTGAATAGTTTTCCAACGAATGAATGATAAAGTTTTGATTACGTGGGATTGGCATGTCATTGTTATACCACGTCACTATAGGTTGAGGATATCCTTGAAAATGACACACAAAATTACAACTGTCACCTTCATAAACTTCTTGAGATTCAATTTCTTGAAGAAATGAAGGTGGGCAACGTTGTGGGCGTTTTCGAAAAGAATTTTCAAAAAATCTCATGTTTTCTTCCTTCTGTTCGGTTTTGAATTCATCAATTCGTGTAGAAGCAGAGAGTTGTAATTCTCTCAAATCATCCTTTTTTATTCTTTCACTAGCTATTTCTTCACTTTCTTCAACATTTACAAGTGTACCAAAAGATTCGCTGGCATGTGGTGTAATAGCTTGAGACACATTTTCAGGAGTCTCATATACTTCCTCCTTCTCACATACATTAGTGATATATGTGGATGACTCTCCAATTGTAGTATTGGCCATAATTTCTTCCAGCTGTCCTCTTGCTTGGGTATTTTCATTTACTAGAATTTCACCATATAAATGGTCTTTTGGTAGACTTTCCTTTACCAGTGCTTCTTGGCTCATTCTTATTTCAGTCTGGAAAATTTCTTCATCAACAATAGTTTGAAAGCTTGTGGGAAGTTCCTCAGATTCTATATTTTGATCCATTTGATTAGAAAGGGCATGTGGATTTTGCACAATACTCTCAGCTGAATGATCTACCTTATAACTTTCAGCTAGATCAGACATAGATCTGATTTTCATGTCCTCTCTAGAGAACAGAATATCTTTATCACTAGCTTCACTTCTCAAAGTTCTTGAGCTTATTTCAGAAGACGTATCTAAAAGAGATAATTTCTTTTTCTCCATTAATGTTTTTCTAGCCTCCCTTAAACGTTGCAACTTCACTTTGGTCTCCTTGTCCAGGAAACTTTCACCTACATTAAGCCAACCTCTTATGTCAGATTTACTTTCTAAATATTCTTCATCATACATGTAATCTGTTTTCTTGGCAGAACTCATTGTCTTAAAATGTATAGTTCTCATCATTCCCTTTTGTTCCACATCTTGTTTTTTGTTAAAGGGAGAGCCAGTAAACCTCAGGTCAACCTTTATCCTATCTTCTCCCCTTTCAACTAAAGCCTCCACATTTTCATGTGTCCGTTCTGCTCTTTTCAGAAATTCTAAATATTTCTCATCTTGCCCTTTTTGGATAACAAGCAATGATGCAGTTGATTCTGCAGACCCTTCACTATTAATTGCTAGTAACCTATAACTTCCAGAATCTCTGTCTTGGACCCTTTTAATCTCTAAGCTGGAAGAGTGATGGTGTAAATCACTCTCAGCTTTTATAATCCGACGAAGACCTGTTGGGATGGGCCGATTGTTATGAAACCAAGTCATTTCTGGAGTTGGACAGGCAATTAATCTACATGTAAAAACAACCGGTTCACCCTCTAAAACATATTTAAATGTAAGTTTCTGGGTAAAAGAAGGCTTAAAATATTCAGGCCAGGAGCTTGTAGATGATATTCTACTTGCATATCTTTTAGCAGCCATGGATTTGTGGTCTATGTCTTCAGAATCTGAAAAGGCGTCACGTGTATCCCTTTCTGAATGTTCAGATTCCCCCTCAGAGAATAATTCTGGAAAAAAAAAAAAAAACCTTTACTATTTTCCATAGAACTTGAAAAAGTTGAAAGTAAATAAAATTGCAAAATAGGAAATGAAATAAATTGCATGCTACAGATCTCACAAATCCATAGAAAAATTCACTCACCATATTTGTTCGAATAAACGCAACACCATGCTCTGTTTAAAAGATTCTGACACGAAAATCGTTCGTTGTCTGGTCTTTTCTTCAAACTGTTGAAATTTCTTCTTGAACAAGCAAAAATGCATTTCAAAATAACATGTTCCTGTGCATATTTGTTTTGAGAGCAGGAAAACTTTGTTCTTTTGATGGCTAAGTGGAAAATCTTACCTGACTTGCAGAGAGTGGAATAAACGCCCTTTCTGATTCTTTTGATTGTAGATTAAATTATTATATTTTTGAGAATCAACTATTTAAAGAGTATATACAAGAACTATAACCATAAATAATTAGCTAAAATAAAATGAGAAGGCGTTTATTCGAACTAATACAGCCATAAAGTCACAATGTTATGCAAAGAAAAGCAGGCAATAAGGATCACATAAGGCAGCTATCTGCAAGCCAGTGTAAGAGACATATCAATGTTAAAATGATATATGTGAATGAAGTGTAAACCAGATGGGAATGTAATGTTTTCACACAACCTCAGTAAAGTAGCATTTCAATCATAATTCATTCATGACATTGCATTCTGAGAATGACAGCTAGGTTATTGT
Organism: Homo sapiens; assembly: GCF_000001405.40. Lineage (NCBI taxonomy): Eukaryota > Metazoa > Chordata > Mammalia > Primates > Hominidae > Homo > Homo sapiens. The sequence continues at coordinate 178,752,764 of NC_000002.12, forward strand.
CTATTTTCAATGTAATTCACCGTGATTTTGAAAACAAACTTCTACTTCATGATTTCATGCATTAAGATGACAACTTCTCCTAATATACACTTTTGGAAATGACTGCAAACATAAAGTTGAATTTGGCTGATAAATTTTAAATACAAAATTTTAAATTAACTTACAATAAATTACTGTGAAATGCATGTAACCATCAAAATTCTAAACCAAGCATGCGACATAGTAATATATACTCTAAGAGATATATTTGTATATCTATGTCATTTTTTTCTCAATAATACTAAGAGAAAGAAGGCAACTCAAGGATCCTATTAATCCTTTAGAATTTCTACTTAAATCTCACATCCATTATAACAATACCTTTCATTTCCATCTCAATCTCTTGTTCAATCCTCTCATGCAAAATTGATTCAGGAGCTAAAATAGAAAAACATATAAAGAGATTTTAGTGATTAATTGCATATATTTTCTGCATCAATTCATGACTTGTATGATTAAAGTTTTCTTTTTATTATAACAACAGAAAACTACATTCCCCAAATTTACCAAAAAGTCCATGCCAAACAAACTATTGAGCTGATAAAACACATGACAATGTTGACAGAAAGATTTAAAACATTTTTATTTTAGGTTCTTCATGAAATTTCCACTTTTAGTTCTATAATTCCCCATGCCTTTACATGCATGCAGAAAGCAATCTACAAACCGAAGGAATATTATTTTCTAAAAAATGTCCTATTGACTAAACACTTGCTAAGAGATGAAATCACATTTAGAAAGAACATGCATTTTCTAAATTGCTACTTTAGCAGAGGGCTATTCTCAGTTTTTCCTGCTAGTAAACACTCCTTTGATTTGAATCACCTTTCAAACTTTGAACTACATGAAGTCCAAATTACATATTAAGAAACAAAACAAAGACTTATCAAAACTGTTTTTATTCCACAAGGAATATGCACAGCTTTTAGACACAGTCATATCTAGGGCAGCTCCTTGGGAAAGGCTGGGGCTCTCGTATCACTCTCAGTCTTCAGTCCACGTGGTATCCTGTCAGTAGACTTTATTCCCTTGTTCTCAGTTTCTTACGGTTTTTGGCATGAAGTTAATGACAAACTTGATGTTTTCTTTGACGATTCTCTTTTTACTTCACGGGTTGTTTTAATTTGTGACTCTCTGAGTGTTTTAATACTTTTAGTGTCAGAACCCAGAGTAATTTTTGTAAGTGCTCTGGCTTGCGATTCTTTTGCTAGGTAAGAATAAAGTTAGGGAAAGGCATAAATTAGCTGTGTTTGTAAGAATGAAAAACATGCTGAATGTGGAGAAGATGGAATGTCATTAGGATGAGAAGGAAAGGCAGCATGTTAGTCATGAAACTTATATATGATATGTTTATGTTTATTATGCACATAATAACTGTATTCAAAAAGACTTCCAGGGGTTTGACATTCCTACTTGATCTTGGTGGATAACTCTGTAGCCTATATGAACTTATTAAGCCAAAATAAAAAAGGAACATATAAAGACTGGCCTATGTCAAATAATTAGACAACTGTGCCTGATCTTTCACTCTTCAAACATCTAAAAATGTCTTATCTTTCAACTTTCTTAGGTACAAGTAAGGCAGTTGGATGTTCAAAAAAATTCTTTTGCTTCAAGAACACTTTAATAATATTATCAATTGGAACTGAATGAACTGGAGATCCTAGGGCAAAAGAGCCGAGTTCAAATCAATTCTGGGAATATGACAGTCAAACACCGCACTATAGCACTAGATTCTTTAGGAAGTGAGTTAAGAGATCTACATTTCTCCCACCTTCACAACACAGCCAACTCCCAATTACATTACTGAAAAAATTGTCACACTGTCACCTACAGGACTTGTAGACAACACCTCCAAATAAATAGTGACTCTGTGTGATTACTGTGCTAGCCAGCAGCTGTAGTGAAATTGAGGGTCAACTCTCTGGCTGGTGGAATTTTCTATCTAATTTACATAACTAGACCTCAGTTCTTGAGATATTGCCTTTGTAGGCTACGGTGACAGAATGAGAGATAGCTATAGAACAAAATCTCATTAAGAAAGAATAAGACCTCTTTTTGGTGAGTAGGTGTTGCGGATACATTATATGAATCAATAAACTGTATTCTCTGTACTGGGTAGGAAGAAAGGCCACTGTTTCAAAATTCTGTGCAGAGATGGCTGTGCACCTACATAGCACTGCATTGCCCCCTTTTCATCCCTAACACCACTATGGCCAGGATCAGGGAGGAACTTGAGGCCAGAGCTTTCCACAGACCCCTGGAGATGCCTGAATTTATTCCACCAGCTTCCTTCCATGAGACTCAGTGAAGCTGTTTTGACTACGGGCACACAACACAGGCTTATGGCACCTGAAAAATATTTTTCTCATTTCATTAATATCCAAAAGGAAAGTCCATGGATAAGAGGAAGAAGTTATTACTTGCCCAGACAAGTTTATTCCTGCTCTTCCAGACATAATGGAGAATCAAGCCCAATAACGACAAAAATTGTGATCTTGCCATGAGAAAATTATACAATTCCAGGAGGATTTTAAGCCTGTAAAAGCAGCATCATTTATGGAGAAATATCTAGAGACTTCTAATTTTGGTCCAGAGAGAGCTTTGTTATTTTCAGTGCCCAATTTTCAATTTTCTATTTTTCTTTTTTGGAGATGGAGTCTAGTTCTGTTGCCCAGGCTGGAGTACAGTGACCCTATTTCGGCTCACTGCAACCTCTGCCTCCTGGGTTCAAGCGATTCTCCTGGCCTCAGCCTCCTGAGTAGTTGGGATTACAGGCATGCACCAACATCCAACATGCCTGGCTAATTTTTGTATTTTTAGTAGAGATGGGGTTTCACCATATTAGCCAGGCTGGTCTCAAACTCCTGACCTCAAGTGATCTGGCTGCCTCGGCCTCCCAAAGTGCTGGGATTACAGGCATGAGTCACTGTACTTGGTCCCAATTTTCTATTTTCATGGCCCCTTTGTAAACAACTAGAACCTCCAGATGTGAAAATAAAGAGGAGATAAGAATTGTTGAACCTCTTGCTATTAAAACAATTAAACTGAAATTTACCACAGTATCTGGCACAATAATAAATACCCAATAAGTACTTCTCAGAATACAACATTTTAACTTTGCTACACTTTCTTGGTAGTGCGTTGGTAAATATTAGAAAATGCAGCACATAGGAAATAAACCTTTGCTTCCCGAACCTACGTTTAAAAATTAAACTTTCTGAATCTAGACTGGTAAGTTAAATTTTCAGGATAATCATGGCCAATGACTTGGCTGACTTTCAGAAGTCACTTATGAATAGGGTGCTAATTTAGAGATATTCTAATTAATATATTCGTCGATTGAATTTGCATGGCAGAAAAGCTGCATAAAGCGATGAGGATGAAATGAAGCAAGTCATAGCTAAAAATCAATTAACCACCTTCTACACTTAGTACTGCTGACGTTGTCCTCTCTCCACAGTCATTGTGTACAATGCAGCTGTATAGTCCTTGGTCTACCAGCTGAACATTACATATGGTAAGAAACTGAATATTTCCATTTTGTGATTGTTTCAGTCTCTCGGATTCCTCTATCTTTGCACCTTCGTGAGTCCAGGTTACATCAATGAAAGAATCATCTTTTAAAACACAGAGGAATTGAGCCGTGTCACCGCACTTTACAGTGACGTCCTGAAGATGCAGGAAAATCTTGGGCGCCTCACCCGTGGACTCTTTAGCACATTCCTTAGATAGCTCAGTGCTTTCTGCAATTTGTGAAAGGGATGCAGTATGGCACAACTGTGTATCTTGAACAGATGCAGCTGTGTGGATGGAACTTTGAGATACACTTTCAAAAACCTGCACTTCATATTCATATGATGATCCTTGAAATGACTTAATTTCCTTTTGAGATATTTTGCTCTCCTCCTTTGTGAAAGAGGAATCTGCCACTGCCTGGGACTTGGTGGACTCTCTTACATCTTTCCCAGAACTTTGCCTATCTAGGGCTTGCACTGTATAATCAAGTGACAAGAAAAAGAAAAGAATATTAAGATCTAAGCTTTGTCACTTGCCCATGTTAGTAACACAAAATGGCATGGAAGATGAAGATGAAAGACGTAGTTGTCACTTGAAAGCAGCATGCCAGATGCAATATGATCTAGATGTCAGGATCACACAAAAGAAAATTCATTCCTGGTGATTCAGTGCTGAGTGGTTGATGAAGACTCATGCAGATGCCATGCAGTATCTGGTTCCTTCTTTCTGTTGTCATTTCAGCTATCCAAAGTGACCCAGTCTGTCTTTCTCTCTCTCCCTCTAGCTGACTGTATTTGGGTTAGCATTTGCTCTCCGTCCACTGTATGCTTTAAGTACAGTAAGTAATACTGTACTTACTTTAAGTACAGTAAGTAATACTGTACTTACTTTAAGTACAGTAAGTAATAATCAGCAAATAGATCATTTAATGATGCAATGATACAATATTGCTTAGAAGAGTAAAGAAGCCAAGCAAAGGTGGTGCCTAATAAAATAATTATTGGTTCTCTAGTGCATAGAACACATACTTCAGTGAAATTTAAAGTATGTAGGTTAACCCATAATTGAGGACCTAGCGGGAGTTATTGCATGTTATTTTATTAGTAAGTTATGGACTGACCACAGTATGCAATAAAACAAACAGCAGAGACTCTCATTAGTAACAGTGGGACTGAGAGGTATACAGCAAATCAAAGTCCTTGAAGCAAGATGGGCTTTACCTTTTGGAGTCACTGTGAGTGTAGCTGCACAAGTGGCTTCCCCAGCACTATTGGCTGCTTTGCAAGAGTACTGCCCAGCATGCTCTGAGTAAGCATCAACTATAAGCATTAAAGCCATGCCTGTGGACTCCTCAAAATGGAAAACTACATCTTTTGTTGGTAGAATTAGCTGCTGGTTATGAAACCATTGGATTTCTGGCTTGGGAATGCCAGAAACCCTCGCATGAAATCTGACTGTCTCCCCGTTGTGCACCCTGAGGCTTGACAGAGGCTGGATGAAGCTGGGCTTTTGGCCAAGGGGCTCCTTCTTAAATGAAACTGATAAAGAGACATGCCATTGGGAGTTTGATGTATTTTCTTCAAATTTGCTAAATCCTGAAAAGAAGCATACCAATTTTTAATGTCTTACCTTGCACTGAAACCAGAACTCATTTGGAGTTGTCTACAGATTTGTCACAAATTTCAATAATGGACTAGAATTCAGTCCACTCCTACTGCCTTGTCCTTGTATGTCACTATTGACTCGAAGTCACACAAGTTCACTTCCATTTCCCAGAGAAGCAAGCTGAGACATGAATGGGCTAAGGAACTTCACTACATTGTTCATGAAGGCAATAGTGGAGTACCCAACAGGGTTTTGGATATTCTTTTCTTTCTTCCTCTTGTTGTAAAGTCAACTTTTTAATTTTAAACCACTTTAAATTCATTATTTAAAAAAACATCTAGTTACAGTTAATGCATAAGGTTAAGAAAAAAATAGTTTCTCTAAATCCTTATGTATTTGTATGTACTTAATACTACATAGACTATATTTGCTCAGGAAAAATAGTACCACTATATAAAAATGCTATCCTTGTTTGAATCAAATTCCCCATGTTACTGAGGAAGTGTTTCTGATTACAATTTAAGAGCCCCAACTAACAGAAATGTTAAACCACTTTAGGACTGGACTTCTTAACACTAAGACATTCTTGAGAGGAGGATGAATATAGCTCGCTGGTGTACAGACCTGAAACGGTCTAGCTTTTGTGAAATCAAAATTGTGTCAGCATGATAGGAGGATGATAACACTCTTAGATGTTTTTAAAATTTAATTTTTATCTTAGCCAATTGAGAAAACAAATCTACCTATTTATGCAGCATATTTCGCCCCCTTCTGATTCATGCTGATTAGGAAGCATGACAGCTGGTGACAGCAGCAATACATTACAAATTGTTACAGAGAAAAAGCGGGGCCAAATGAAACGTGATGGTCTATGATTCACAATGAAAAGTGGTAAAGGAGAGGCGAGACCATGGCATATAACAGGGAAATAATTAGTTGAATTAGAAGAGAATGGTAGGAACAACAATGATTTACATGAACTCTTGAGTAATTGTTACAGACATTGTTAAGATTCGATCTATATTTAAATGGGGTTCTGAAAGTTGTTTTACTTTACCTTCCAGACTCAGGTTGGCTGTGCTTGATACTTGGCCTACAGCATTACTAGCAACAAACGTGTAAGTTCCTTCATCTTCTGGATAAGCTTCGGCAATTTCCAGTTGATAAGTGTCTTCAAATTGAGTCATTCTAAAGAACCGAGATGGCTTGATTTTCTTGTCTTTGCTGTACCACGACACTTTTAGATCTGCGACACAAAAGAAAAGAGATACTTCAACCACAAAAATGAGTGGATTTTTACAATTTACCTGCAAACACAATGTTAATAATACTAGTGCCTACATTTCATATTTGACTTAATAACATGATACTTTTCTCTGGGCATGCCATATCTACTATTGTTAAATGATTTCCTTTCATCTTCAAGAAGGAAATGTAATGATAGAAAAATATAGCTTGTCCTAAGGTTGAACTGGTTGTAATGTTTAAAATGATAGAACTTCAGTTACATTCTCTTTAGACATTTGCATGTCATGCAGTGGAAGCAGAGACAAGATTTTGACATATTCAGTGACTTTGAGAAAAAGACAGTCCTAAGAAGAGTCATCAGGAAAGGTTTGATCTGGGCTTGTAGTTGCCTTCTGGGACAGGAAATGAGAAAAATCTCCACTTTTGGTTTGCAGAAAAATCAATCAAAAAGAGAGCTGAGAAGATCAAGATATGAAAAGTCTAAAATAGATACCTTTGAAGGCTGTAGAAAAAAAATCTCTATCTTTGTTACTAATGAGCAAAAGGTTTCAGTACGCAGTATATATGGCACAAATAATTGTAGAGAAAATAATTTTTTAAATAAAGAGGGTGATTTATTATGGTATTTGAGCATCTTAGATACATTTGACTCTTTTCAGAGTGGCAGTTATAAGACATTATAATAAAGCTAGCTATTTCTATATAAGGATTTGAACCATCTTAAAATAATAGAAAGTAAAAACCCAAATTACAGTAAAGTAGCAGGTTATTGTGTTGTAATAATTGTAGGTGATATGCACTTTAATTTTAGTTAACTGTTTGAATAGCCAAAATCAAAGCCATCTTGTTTTTGGAGCACAGTCACTATACCACTTCTTGGTCTCAAAACCATCCAAGATGATCTTCTAATAGTCCAATCATCTAGCATTTGTCTGCATTTTAATGCCAATACTTGTCTATAAAAGTTACTCTCCTGCCCATGATGGTAGATGTGTATAAATGGCAGGTTCTCCTCTTAGAGTAACAAATCTGTTCAGTTCCTTAGATAGTAAGGTAAAGTAGAAGATGAAATCCTGGCCAGGCGCGGTGCTTCACACCTGTAATCCCAGCACTTTGGGAGGCTGAGGCGGGCAGATCACGAGGTCAGGAGTTCGAGAACAGCCTGACGAACGTGGTGAAACCTAGTCTCTCCTGAAAATACAAAAATTAGCCAGGTGTGGTGGCACACACCTATAATCCCAGCTATTCAGGAGGCTCAGGCAGGAGAATAGCTTGAACCCGGGAGGGGGAGGTTGCAGTGAGCCGAGATCTCCAGCCTGGTGACAGAGCAAGACTCCATCAAAATATATACATATAAAGAAAATGAAATCTTGACACTACAACTTGTCAGCTGTGTGGCCTTGGAAATGTCATTTAAGCTTTCTGGATTAGTCTTTTCATTTGTAAAATGGCATGCGTAATAATTTATGGGCTATTCGTTGCATATAATTGCTGTGAGAATTAAATGATATAACACACATGGAAGGGCTTTATAAGCCACTGGCACAAGTCAGTCATTATAGCAAGAATATCTAACATCACAGATGGAAGCAACGTTGTCTTCAATAACACGCCAAAAGACAGTGCCATGTGATATAACATGAAACACCACCCCTATTTAGTTTGTGTGAAGGGGTGTGTGTGTGTGTGTGTGTGTGTGTGTGTGTGTGTGAGATCATCAATGGTACATCCTCTTACAAGGTTCTCTGCTTATTTCTACTGACAGCTTCTTCCTTTGGTGAACTGAATGAGGCACCAGGATACACATGAACTGCCACTGGACATGAACTGCACACAATAAGTGAGTTAACAGGTAAAACTTTTCTTGGTAGTGGACTTGGTGCTTGTGGCTGTGATGCCATGATCTGCGTTACTCATTAGCCTCTCGTGTCTTCTTTGAGGCCATTCTTCTCCCATATTACTACTTCTGCAATACCCCACTTGTCTCTCCTGACTGCCCTGGCTGAGGGCCTCATCCACGCTCTCCAGGCCTATTGTAATAATCTCTCTCCAGTTCCTGACTGCCAGTCTTGCCTCCCACATCTGTCCATCCCTTCTTTCCCTATCACAGTATCACTTCTAAAAAGTAAACCTGATCATGGTACCCAGGGGCTTAAAAATCCTGCAGTGTCTCCTAAATGTAAACAAGATCAATTCCAAAATCTTCAGCATAGAATACCAAAAACTTTAGCACGGCCTTTGCTGTATTATCCAGCCTTCTTACCCACTCATGATATCACTTTCCAACTGTACTTAAACCACTTGCTTCTAGCACATGAAGCATTATTGCAAGTTTTGATGACTTGGAGATGTTGTTTTCTCATCATAGGATGCCACTGTGTTCAATGATCCTACATATTTTTCAATGCTCAGTTCACACATCTTTCTCTGGCTCTCTCCCAGACAGAGAATGATGAGTACGTGGGCCTGTTAATAGCACTTACAACCTTGGGATATAGTTGTGTGCATGCATCTCCTCACCTACATGTCAAGCTCCTTAAAGGCAAGAGCAAGATCTGCACCCCAGCACCTAGGGTAATATCTCAATAGCAGGGAAACAATAAATGGTAGAATTAAAATTGCACAGATGCTTAAATGAATAACAGACAATATCATTGTTAAACTAATTATTCATCATTTCTGTTTAGCTAGCTGTCACTCTGTAAGCCTCCAAATGACACTGACTCATCATCTGTAGAATAAACAGCAAAAAAATAGCTTTTTTACATTTTAAGATTCTGCTTTTCCAAATTACTCCTCTACCAGTAGGTGGCACTGGAGACCTTCAATAGGTAACATTTTCGCTGTTAGAAACAGCACCTGGTTGCTCAGGGCCACGTTTCATGCTTCAGAAAGTATTACAACCCCCAAGAACATGGGAGCTTCTGAAGACTCCCAATTTCTTTCCAATTTGTGGAAAGCAGGGCTACACTTACTTAAGGCAATACCTGGCCAGAGGAAGTTCTGTAAATATTTTTAGTCCCAGTGGTATGAAACTATGTGAGTTGGCAAGTTTTTGAAGGGTCATTCTATTTAATGAATTTAATTTCTTTCATATAGAAAACAAATTTATAAGAGGATGCTAAAACCACTATATGTGTACAGATATTACCACACATAGGAAGTTAATGATCTTCTCAGTTTACAAAGCCTATTCAAACCTTTTTAAAGACATTGGTTATGCAGAAAAGATAGTGAAATTTTTCTCTTTCTACCCCAATTGGTGTCTTGTAGAGTGCTTCAGGTGTATTTCTACAACACTTTAAAGGCAATACTACCATATGTTAATATGTTATAGACTTAAAAGCACTATACCAATATAGTTAAGACAAATATTACTACTTTGAATGATGTACATATATGTTTATATTAAAAAATTCCTCTAAAAATTAAATAAATGGATAAATTATTTAGTGTAGCTTTAATGAACTTGCTTTTAAAATATATTTTGTATTATTGTGTTAGTAGGATATTATCAAATCAGTCCTCATTTATTAATATTTAGCATTTCTTGAACACTATCCCTCAAATATACAGTCTATGGTATTTGTCCATACTGGCCATACAATACTAAACATTGATGTTTATATAATTCCTCTCTATGGCTATAATAAAATGAATGTATTGAGCCCCAGTTACCTGGCAGCCATGCCTATAGGTGCTTTACATACATTATATCTTTTAATTATGCTCATAAAATCAAATAGGTCTATTAGATTTCTAGATCACCATCTCCATTCCTGAGGAGGAAATAATTGGGTCAGAAGACCAACTGAAGTACTAACCTGTTGAGAAAAATAAATCTTGACAAGGTAGAGATTGGATTATAAACTAATGGGAGAAGCATAATAAACAAAACAATACAACTTTGCAATTACTTTTGCATCAGCCTAATAAGAGGGCTGGGAGATGCCCAAGCTTTGAGAGTTTCCCTTTGGCTGGGAAACTCTCAAATAATTGTGATTATAGACAATCAGTTATGACTTGAAGTGGTTCCACATATATTGTCTCATTCTACCAAGATCAGATTCCTGGGATGAGGAAATTGGCTGGTGGTACTTGAGAAGCATGCCCCAATTAAAAATGGTAGCAGCTAACTCTGATTGATTACTGTATGATGAGCACTGTGCTATGTGCTGACTTGAGTTACCTAACTTAATCTTGATAATAATCTTAAGTGTTTGGTAACAGTCATTTAACCATCATTAATTAGTCCAGTCAACAATTACTTATGGAGTATCTACTATGTATCAGGTGATATTCTGGGGCAACCATCCACTCTTGTTTTCATAGAGCTTACCTTCTAGCAGGTACTATTTTTCAGATGCCAAATTCTAGGCACTAAAACGGAATTCCTAGCCTCATAAAATATATTTTCTAGGATTGAATGCAATCATATACTCAATGTATTCATGACAGAAGGAGAACGAGAGACATGATATATATTGAAGGCAAGATTCAAATTCAGCATCTTTGACAATGAAGCCCCGACTTTTGACCACTATAGGATATTGTCTTCCAAAGGATACCTTTCACACAAGCATTGTCCATAGACTGAATAATGTCTTATATAAATGTATTATTCTTTTGAATTATATGTAGATGCTATTATAATCTAATAATTTTAGTTTTGTCATTGTATTTTATCAATGAAGAAATTAAAGTGCAGCTACAATCATAAAGGGAACATGACCTTTTTTAATATTAGTGAAAAACACTAATTTTTTTATTGTGATAAAGAACACATAACATAACATAAACAACCATTATTAAGGGCACAAAATAGTGAAAAACACTTATCTAATTCTTAATTTAATAATTGAAATAAGTTTTCTGTTAGATTTCCATTAAGCTTCAAATTATGCATGAGAGATGTTTGTGATGGAGGAGAAGCTGACAGAATGTTTTTCCCATGTAATTATTTGTAAGTATTGGCAATGACACCTTTTGTTCTTAAACCTACCTGTTCCAGAAACCCGGCATTGAAAACGGGCTGGCTGCCCTTCAGAAGTGACAGTGTCCTGAAGCGGGGTGATGATGGCAGGTGGATAAACAGGCATTTCCTGATCAGGAGACACAACTTCTGGAACTAAAGAAAGAAACCACAAGATTTGTCATGATTAAGTCACCATAGAGACCTCACAGAAGGGAGCATGTAGGTTTATCTTAATTTATTTCACTGCAGAGTGCTTTCAAAGTTGGGTAGCAATCTACTTTTATGAGCTCCAAATTGTATTTTTAAATGCACTGGGAAAGGACAAAAGCCTGCTTCTTAGGTTTTATTTTCAGCTGGAAGTAGCGAGGCATTCCTACCTTCCACTGAGAGTGAAGCTGATGTTGTGGCAACACCATAGTCATTCTTGGCTTCACAGGTATAGACTGCCGCATCCTCTGGGAAGGCTTCAATTAGCAAAAGCGTGTATTCTTGCCCATCATGAAGAAATTTGCACTTGAAGCCAGTGGAAAGCAGCTGCTCTTCCTTGTACCAGGAAATTTTGGGCTGTGGTCTTCCGGATATCACGGCACAGAAGCGGGCAGGCTTGCCAGACTGCACAGTGACAGGCTGGAGCTCCTGCAGAACTTGGGGCGGTTCAGGAGCTAGGAGTAAATGTTGACAAATAGCCCATGAAAAAGTGTAAAAACACAAGAGAGCATGCAAAACTCTACATTAATTTGTTGCTGGCTAGTTATACATCCAGAGACAAAATTTTGGAATTGTGGTATTTTTACTTGCCTCAGAATATTAGAACATTCTTTGTGCTAAGAATGAAGAAAGCACTTGGAATTTGTCCACATGCAGAGGGAATAGCTTCAGAAAGATATTTTTGATATTTGGGGGGCATGCTGAGAGTGCCGAGTTAACCTGATTATCCCAGTTTCTGTTTGTGGTGGGGGCTTAGCGATGGACACCTGAATGAATTATACAATAACTTCCGTGTGCTACCTATTTTTAAAATTCATTTGGACAAATCATGTGGTGAAGAGGCTCATATCATTCCAGTTTGTTTGTTTTGCAAGTATTTGTGTTTATGTCATAGTCATTTTGTTATGTACCAGTGCCAGTAAAATGCAATCAGTAAGTATTGAATGAATGACTGAATTAACACTATTTCAGATCTAGTTAAATGCCATTAGGTAGACTTAACAAATTCAGCTTTCCTGTTTTGCTAACTAAAGCATATTCTCAGTGCTGTGATGAGTGAGGGGACCTGGTTAGTTCATGGAACCCAGAAATTAGAAGAAATGACTTCTGTGAGGCTGGTTTCTGACACTATCATAGAAAAGATCTTTACTTTTCTGTGCCTCAGTTTCTCCACTACTAATACAGAGATAATAAGAACTGGATGCCATGACCATTTGGTCTTCTAGGAACCTAGGGAATGCTGGCGATATGGTTCATCTTTGTGAATCTTGAGATTACCCCTGGAGTTCCTGCATCTGCCTCAGGGGTATTTTATTCAAAGAGATATGGCCTAGGATGAGAATAGGAAGGGAGGTTCCATTTTTCTCTTGCATCTAGGTTAGACTCAAAACAAGGTCAGCTTGAGATTCAGCCTTAAGATTTCTAATGAGGAGAGCAGAGGTTTAACAGCACTTCCCTGGGGACTGCTCAGAGGCTCCTCAGGAGTGCTTGGTAGCATGTGGAATTCCCTGTCCAAAGTAAGAGCCCCTGTTCTTAGAGCTTGGGGTAGAGAGGATCGAGTTCCACATTGCCTGAGGCTCTCTAGGCCTTCCAGGGTCTCAAAGAGGACTTTTGAGTTCTCCCAGGCACTCCATATCAGAGGCTGGAAACACCCCTTTCACTTGGTAGTGCTGCTAGGACTTGAGCAGTTCAGGCAGAGGGCAGAGAACTAAAATAGTTTAACAGCGAATCTAGAAGCTCATCTGGGGTATATGAAAATGGACACCCAATGGGTGTTCAATAGTTTTGAGCAACCAGATGAGGATCTGGCCATCAGGTGCTTTCTGAAAATAACTTCTCAATAGGTCTTTTAACAGCTGCCCTCCCTTTTCCATAGATATAATGTGAAAAAAAATGTAGCTGGAACCACATGAATACCATAGGTTCTTTAGAAATTTCCTTCAAGTTACAAGAATTTAGTGACTTAAACAGGAGGATTATTTCTGATGGATCCACAAAATATGCTGAAATCTGTCCCTACATACCATTGACATAGAGAGTGACAGAACTCCTGTTCCTTCCTGCCACAAAGGTGTATTCTCCTGCATCGCTCTGTCTGGTCTCAGAGATAAACATTCGGTGGATTCTTCTTTCCACTACATATTTGTGTCGTTCTTGAACTTGGAAATTGATTTCAATGCCATCTTTATACCAGTGGGCATCAACATCGTCTTCATTGACCTCAAATTCAACAACAGCACGCTGTTTCTCAATGACCTGTTGATGGAACAACATAAAAAAACAACAACAACAACAAAAACTTGAAGCTCTGGTTTCCTCCCAGTTAATCAATTTCTAAAACTGGTCAATGAATGGCATGTGAAACCAATATATTATAATGTAATAAGTTGGCTGATTATAGCACTCTCTAATTTTTCCTGCCTAGTATTGGACAAATGGTACATAAACTTCTCTTGTAGAGAATTGTGTTTACAGCTGCATGGAGGAAAGGAGCTGCCCCAAAGAGACAATTATTTCATCCTTAAATGTTTGCTTCTTATTTACTAATAAGGGATATAATGATGCTTTACCTTTGGGGGCTTTTTATTGTCTAAAAAGTTATTACTTAATTTGATTTCATTTTATATGAATAATAACTTTGTGGGCTAGGTAGGAATTATTATCCTCATTTTAAGAGTGAGAACACTGAGGTTCAGAATTGGCAAATAAATGATGGAAGACATCTCCAGGTTATCTGAGTCCTCATTGAAGCCTTTTTCATTATAGTCCACAGTCTGTAAAGCCTGGTTTTCTTTGGATGAGCAATATGATAAAGCTGAACTCAACTGGTATTTCTCTAGACATGTTTCCTCCATTATATCATTTGGGATGGTGGACACTTATGAGGACAAGCTCTGTAAATGCAGCCGACAGCAAGAGTGCCCAGCATCCTTGCCAGGAACCCAGCACGGCTTGGACAGGGCTTTCTCTTAGACTTCACAGAAAGTATTTCTAGCCACTAAGTTCCTTGACACTTGCCTCTCCACAGATAGAAACCTTCTGAGAAAATATCACCTTGTTCTAAATTTCCTTAATTCTAATTGATGTGTGAACCTCACGATTTACATTTTAATTCTTTTCTGGTTGGTGCTGCTTGGCAAGCAGCCATTTATTAGACAGTGAAATTTCTACAGCTGCTTTAATTAACGTATTTAGACAGCTGCTAGGGACACCCTTATTCCCTGAGTGGAAACTGTGACTAAATTGAGGTCAGCATAAGAGAGTCTAAGCCAAGTAAGAATGAGCTGATTTAATTCTTTAAAGGATGGTGGTTAGAAAATGTAAAAGGGAAACATTAAAATATAAAATGATAGATTATGGACTACTGATGATTTTTCAAAACATTTAGTATGTAGACAATACCTGAACCTCCTTTTTAATACTTCGGATGCGAACATCTCTGCCTTCTACAAAGAGTTTTGCAGTTGACACGTTGCCTCCTGCCACCACTGTGTACTTCCCAGCATCAGACATCCGGGTGGATGGGATCAGAAGGCGGTGGACATATTTCTCCTTCTGAATCTTTATTCTATGGATGAAATGGAAATTCGAGTTTACCGTATGGTGATTCAGAGGAAACTGGGAATTACTGGAATGTAGCAAGACAAAACAACTGACCTGTCTGTGATCTGCAGTTCCTGGTCATCTTTCATCCACTGTACAGTGATGTCAGGTTCAGAAACTTCACATTCAAACATGGCTCGCTTCTTCTCCAGTACCTTAATGTCCTTAATGTGTTTCCTAAATTCTATATGACGAGCTGGAAAATAGCATGTAGAAAAATTAACATTTTTAACAGCTTTATTGAGATATAATTCACATACTGTACAATCCACCAATTTAAAGTATACAATTCAATGAATTTCCATGTATTCATCATTGTGTAGCCATCACCATAATTTTAGAACATTCTCATTCCCCAAGAAGAAATCATGTAACCCTTAGCCATCACCCCAAGGACTTTTCTATTGTCTCCCCTGTAGACCTAAGCAACCACCAATCTACATCTCTATAGATTTGTGTATCTTGGACATTTCATATAAATGGAATCATACAATATGTGGTCTTTGTATGGTCTCTGGCTTCTTTCACTTAGCATAAAGTTTTAAAGGTTCATCCATGTTGTAGCATATCGTAGTGCTTCCTTTTTATTGCTGAATGATATCCCATCGTATGGCTATCCCACATTTTATTTATCCATTCATTAATTGATACACTAAATTTTATAAAGCATGTATGACATTTTTTCTATGGATCTAATATGTATGAAACCATACCTTCCACATAAAGTGTGGCTGTTGATGTTGCTTTTCCAGCCACAAAGGTGTAGTCAGCAGCATCCCCAAAGTGAACATTCCTGATGTTCAGTGAGTGTGTGAGCTTTTTGGTTCTCATCTGGCACTTGTCAGTTGATTTGATTTCCACACCATTCTTTAACCATTTGTAAGAGATGCCTTCATAGTTCACTGTCACCTCAAAAGTAATAGTGTCTTTTTCTTCAGCGTTGATGTCTTTCAGCATGGAAGTAATCATGATTGCTGCAAAGGAGAAAAGAAAAAACACCCAAGGAGACTTTACGTAAATATGATGTGGGTTATAACAGGTGCAGAATAAAAATTTGGAATGTTTTTAGTGCGTCTGTTGAGGAGATTACAGTTTAGAGATATAAGCTTTGATACCTTCCATGTACTATACAGGACAGTGCCAACTCACAGAGGAACAGAAAGATCAAGTGATAGACACTGAGGCATCTTTCCAGGTAGCCTTTCAATGCTACTCTAACTGGAACATTTTATCCAGGTGGAGATACTAGTGCTTTACTCAGTGTAACCACATACTAGATGTTTCAATTAACAATTTTTTTTCTTTATTTTTTGAGGCAGGTTCTCACTTTGTCGCCCAGGCTGCAGTGCAGTGCCGTGATTGTGGCTCACTGCAGCCTTGGCCTTCTGGGCCCAAGCGATCTTCCCACCTCAGCCTCCTGAGTAGCTGGGACTACAAGTGTGTGCCACCATGCCCAGCTAATTTTTTTTTTTCCTTTTGTCTTTGCTAGAGGCAGGATCTCATTGTATTTCCCAGCCTGGTCTCAAAATCTTGATCTCAAGTGATTCTCCTGCCTTGGCCTCCCAAAGTGCTGGGATTACAGGCTTGAGCCACCCTGCCCACCCAATCAAGGATTTTTGAGTGGTCAGCAAAGTGTAGGATATAGAATATCAATGAATCTACTGAATATTTGATATTTTATATATATGTGTATATATATATATATATTTTTTAACTTACGGGTGACTGTCAGGGTGGCACTGACTTGGTCATTGCCACAGACAAATGTGTATTCTGCCGAGTCCTCTGTGCTGGTGTTCATGATGATCAGCTGATGGAGTTTTCCCTGCACAACTATCTTGAACTTTTCACTCATCTCAATTTCCACACCATTCTTCAGCCACATGGAAGGGACATTGAAGTGGGACACCTCACACTCAAAAGAGGCAGTTTTGGTCTCAGGCACCTCGATATTTTTCATGGTTTTTGTAATATGTAATGCTTGGTAAAATCAAAGAGCACTTCAGTTAATACAATTTGTTTAAAAAGTAGATGAAACCAAACAAATAGATACATGGGGTTCATTAAGGAAAGGGCTGTAGGGGGCTGCCTGATACTTACTCTCCACAAACAGTTTTGCTTTGCATTCCAATTGCCCGACCACAGCTGTGTATTCCCCAGCATCTGAGGGGGAGATGTTCTGCAGCATCAGCTTGTGGACTTTCCTTTCTGAGACCAGTCTGTGTTTGTCACTTGGCTTAATTTCCACACTCTTATGGAACCATTTTACTGGAACAGTGTCATGGGAAACACTAACTTCAAAGGCAACAGTGGCATTTTCCAAGGCTGTCACATCCTTTGGCTTTTTAATGATCTTGACAGCTAAGAGGAAAATTGGAGCAATTCAGTGATAGGGTTAACTTAATGGTAACCATGGGCTGACTGCTTGAAAAGTGTTTCTAAATCAACTTACTCTCCACGTGCAGTCTGGCACTGGCTCCAAGCCTTCCAAGCCTGAAGCCATAAACAGACTCATCCACGATGGCACAGTTTTTAATCCTCAGAGAGTAAATTGTTCCTTTGACAGAGATAGCATACTTTTCATTGGATTCCAGCACAACTCCATTTTTGATCCACTGGACACCTTTGACATTAGGGTGTGTAAGCTCGACAGTGAAAACAGCATCCTGTGTTTCTGTCACTGTGAGGTTCTTCAGAGTCTTCTTAATTTTGACAGCTAAAGACAAATTTATGATTGGGTTAGAAAATATAGATGACATCATCAAGGAAAAGAAGTCCTGAACAAGATCATTGCTTACTCACCCTGCAAAAGAATGGCTACCAAACATTTTACAGTTATGCAGCACCTCTGTTTTAAAAAACACCTGAGATTATTTAGGGGAACCTGGGATCCAACTGGACATGTACATCGTGAAATGATTTTTCTATGCTTTAGTAGTATGAAGTTTGCATAGCTATGTATTAGCAGCATAATAGACTGATTGGAGAAGGGTGAAAGACGAATGGAGAATCAGTGTCTGATTTAGCTGTTTCACAGAGCTTTAACCTAAGAAATGGCTTTTTTGCATAAACGCATTTGATAAGCAATTTTGTACCTTGTGGAATGTGTCTCAGGAAGGTTTAGAGGATCTAGAATGACTTTATGAAATGAAAATTTATGGTATCCAAAATGGCCATATCGTTTGTCTTTTAAAACGATAACGATCAAGATTGTAATATGATTTGAAAAGGACAAATCCTATGTTACTTGCCTTCAACTTTGAGTTTGGCAGATGTTTTGGAGGTGGCCACCTTGTAGGTATATTCTCCAATGTCATCTAATTTGGTGGCAGCAATGATAAGTCTCCTTTTGTGGCCATCAGACTCACTTCTGATGTTGTTAGTCAGTGGTAGGTGTTTGCCATCCCTCAACCATTCGCCTTTGGAATCTGGGTTGGCAACTTCACATTCAAACACAGCTTCCTGGGATTCAGCTACGGTCTGATCTGTGAGTGGCTTGGAGATGGCCCCACCTTTGGAACAAGAGATGTACAGTATGAGTCCTTTAAACATATTCACACAATGGGAAAATCTTTGCAGAAGTAAATATAAAATATCAAATTTAAGAACATGATTTTGAAATCATGAAATGTCTATGATTGTTTTTACCCATATTGAGAAGGTACCAAAGAAATCCCTTATTCTAAGTATGCATAACTGATAATTAGGAGAAATACTGGAATCAGAAAAGTTTTGTGAAGAAAAAATAACTGTTGAATTAATAGGAAATTCTTAGAACAGTATACCACCAGGATAGTCTCTAACCCAATTCCTTCTTCTTCAAAAGCATTTTACTTGGTCTTTTAATGATTATTTCCTGGGAATCTGATATTTTGACTACATAAAAATTTGCTAAACAAAATGTACGAGTCATCAATGTTTCTACTACATTGAGGATTTCTATATATTAAAAATCACTGTGTTGGCAAATGTCGCCCATTCTATGAAGTTTCACCCCATTGCCTCCACTCTTATCATCCATTAGCAGAAATAATTACTGCTTTAACAAGCTAGTTGCTTATGTATCTGTCCTCTCTAAATTATGAATTTCTCAAGAAAAAAATCATTTCTTATTTAGTTTTGTGTCCTGAGTTTCTACAAGTGTCTGACCAATGGTAGGTACTTTAAAAACACTGGGTGAAATCACAGAGGAGTTCATAGTTTATTCCTGTTTCCACACATTTAAAACATGTAATTTATATTAAATGTATAAAAATGCTGAATCTGAAATTTTGTTTTACAAGTCTTTTCATGGTCCGATCTCTGAAGAAATCTTATAACGTAAGTAAGTATAAACCATGAAACTTTCATACCAAATAAGACAAATCATTACCATATGACTTGCTTCAATACTAGATGTAATGGACAACACGATCTGAATGTAACATCTCAACTCCTCAAAATTTAAACTGTAATGAACCAAACAAATTAATGATGACTTCTAGTTTTTTCTGGCAATTGATTTACATTTTTTATTCTTCATTGTAAAGCTAAGAAATTCTACTGAATGATGGTCTTATTTCTACATGATATCATAAGAAATACAGTTACATTAAGCTGTATTTTGAAAATATTTATTGATTTCATTAAAAAGTAGGAAGAAAATAAAAGGCACAAAGGCTAAAGAAGCAAGAATGGCTAAAAAAGGAAATAATTCTTTAGAGTAAGGAAGTTTAAATAAAGCTCAATACAGCAAACACCAATTGATTATCTGTCATTTGCAATATATTGGAATATACAAATAGAATTCCAGATTTCAGGAGTTTATACACTGATATTGAAAGAGGAAATGGGGAATAAGACAAGTGCATAATAAACACTAGGAAAGAGGCACATATAAAGTGATCCTGGGGTTGGATGAGGAAGAGATCATATACAAATGGAGAGATTAAGGAAGGTTTAATGGAGAAGGTGACGTTTGAGGTAGGCCTAGAAGAACATTTGTAATTTAGGCTGGTGGGAATGGTGTTGCAAGTACTATTGGCTTTGGGAACAGCATAAGCAGAGGCATGGAAGTGGGAAACTGAAAGGAATTTTGGGGGAAATGAATAATAATTTCTTAAAATAACAATCACTCCTCGTAAGAATTTAGGTTAATAAATATACCAACCTGCCACAGTAAGTTTTCCAGATGTCATATTTTCTCCCGCGTAAAATGTGTATTTTCCTTCATCATCTTTCATCATATTTAGAACTGTCAATTTATATATTTTTCCATGTGCTTCAATTTTATATTTAGAACTGGGCTTGATTTCCTTGTCCTTAAAATTCCACAGGACATCAATTCCAGAGTGGGACAGCTCAACCTCAAACACCACATTTTGAGTTTCTGTACAGGTAAGGTCACGAAGACCTCTGATAATTTTAATTTCTGGGGAAAAAATAAAATAATCTCTTGGTTATTGTTACACTGGGAAAGTAGAATGCTTAAAGTAATTATTAGATAGGTAGAATAATCCTTACTTTCTACAGAGAGATTACAGTTGGTTTCAACTCTGCCAACTATCAGCTTGTAAGGTCCTTCGTCTGAAGCATGAGTTCGGTTAATGACTAGTCGCTGTTTAGTACCTTTCACAATGGCCTGTACACGGTCATCAGGCTTGATTTGTTCATCATTTAAGTACCACTTAACAGAAGTCACATCAGGGACTGACACCTTACATTCAAGCACAGCCTTGGTGCCTTCAATCACATTAACATCTTTTAGAGGTGTTATCACGTCCACACCTGCAAAATCATACACACACAAGATGAATGAATTTTGTTGAAATTGTCTGCTCCTTGAAGTTCTTTATGTTGCTTAATAGTGTAAACATAAAATTTTATAATTAGGACTCACTATAGACAGAGACACGCCCACTGGTGGAGAGGCCAAGGGCTGGAATGGTGAAAGAGTAATTTCCAGCATCTTCCTTAGTCATGTCTTCAATGAGCAGCATATGAGATTGTTTGTCTATCACAATGTGAACCCTGTCACTGGGCTGCACTTCTTGGCCGTCTTTCATCCAGACGCCTTCCACACTTTCCAAGGAGACTTTAACTTCAAGCTGAACAATGTCACCCTCACAGACTTTTTGGTCACTAAGTCCTTGTAGGATAGCAATGGGGCGGGCTGTGAAATATGGGGAGAAAAAGAATGTTATGATCATTTTTTATCAATAAACCATAATGATGCTCACTGCAGGCTGACAGGAATGGGAGGACTTACGTTTCATCTTTAATTTACAGGTTGTCTTTTTCCCGTCGATGACAAAGCTGTATTCTCCCTGGTCCTCCTTGGTTACATCCTTGACCGTGAGGTTCTGACGTCCACGACGAGATGTAATTGTATATTTGCCATTGGATTTAAGCTCCACATCATTATGATACCATTTTCCTTCTATATTTTCTGGGGATACAATGCACTCTAATTCTCCTGAATATGATTCTGGAACTTCTATGTCCTGAAGTTCTTTCACAAACTCAACAACTGCACCTGAAGTGTATAACAGAAAGATAAATCAATTTTTTTGGAGAGGTATGCATCTAGACTTAGGATAGAGATGATGTCTTGTATGTCTTTTATCTCCCCCATACTATCAGGTGTATTCTTAATATCTACCCGCTGATGGGCTGAGAGATAAATTTTCAATAAGAAGCAGTTATTTTATTTTAATTTTTAAATATTTTTGAAAGTAAAGAATTATGCTTCAATAAAAAACTTAAAAGCTAAAAATCAAGATAATACTACTTTAAAAAATCCAAATGGTCAAATTGTTAACATTCTTAATTACGAACATAAATTTATGATTCTGGCTATGAAACTTATAGTCAATTTCCAAATAATTGTTTCATGAAAGAAAAATTGCATAGCTAATTTTACCACATGCTAAGGGTGACTTTAGAGCTTAGGTAAACAATGAAATCCTTCGTTGTTGAATACCTTCAACAATAAGTTTAGCAGTCGTTTTGACATTTTCATCTTCCACAAGTACACAGCTGTAATCTTCAGCATCAGACGTATCAATGGTCAGTATGGAGAGGAAGTGAACCTTTCTGTCAGAGTGCATCCTGTATTTATCTCCCTCATGAACCTCCATACCATCTTTATACCATTTCACTTTGACAAATGGTTCTGAAGTTTCACATTCAAAGGTTGCCATAGTGTCTTTTTCCTTAGCAACAACATCTTGTAATTCCTGTGTGAAAGTGATCAATTGCTTGGCTACAAGAAAAAGGTGGGGGAAAAAGGGGAGAGCACATTATATTAAATTAAATTCTCAACCTGAGGAATGGGGAAAGAAAATAAAAGTAAACACACTCATGGATATTCTTGAATACAAAGACAGGTCCATCAAAGGAAAGACATGCAAATTACCTTGGACAAGTAAGAATGCGTGACTGGAGGTTTCTCCAGCTATGTTGATGGCTTTTACCATGATGCTGGCAGAGTCCTCAGCAGTCACATCTCTTATGACCAATTCACAAACATTGTCTTCGGGCCAGTACCAGTAGATCCGGTCAGACCGTTCAATTTTGACACCATTTTTGTACCATTCACATTCGGGGTCTGGTTTCCCCACGACTCTGACCCGGAAGTGTGCATCAGATCCTTGGCCCACTGTTTGGCTCTGGATTCTTTCGAAGATTTTTGGAGCCTCCATACTAGGACTTAGTTCAATCTTGTCAGGTTTAAAAGTTGGAATCGTGATTTTGCCTTCTTCGGCAAGAGCTTTCTTTTCCTCTTCAGTTAACTCTTTGGTCCAGTGGAGAAGTTCATCTTTTGTCTTCCTGAGGAGTTCCTCATAGGATTCATCCTTCTTTCGAGACTTGAGCTCCACAGCGGTAATGGCTTCATAATAGCCCTCTTCTGTTCTGCGCTTGAATTTACTGCGCAGCTCTTCCGACTCTTCAGGCACTTTTTCATGGGTAATTCTTTCAGCCCTTTTCAACTTCACAACTTCTTTGGTTTCAGTGGTGTCAACAGGTCTATCCACTTTTTGTACTTCAAACTGAAGCTTTCCTGGTTCATGTACGTGAAACTCAGGCCTTGGTTCAGGAGCTCTCCTAAGGACAGACCTAAAATCTTCCCTCTGTTGAATCTCAAGCTTCACTTTATGCTCTATCACACCTTCAGGATTTTCCGCGGTGACCTTCACTTCACCTGTGTCATATGATTTGCAGTCCACGATGTCCAGGTAATGGATACCATCATAGCGAACTCTGAACCTTTTGCTTTTGCGGATGAGCTGTCCATTGAGGTACCAGTTGACTTTGGGCTGAGGGTAGCCTGTTACCCTGCAGCGGAACCTTGCAGTCTCCCCTTCAAGTACTCTAACTGGCTCTGGGTACAAGACAATGTCTGGCTTTTGCTTTTCTTTCTGATCTGTTGTTACACCTGTAAGTGCACCTTCATGAGCCATTCTCTCTAATTCTTCAATTCTCTGTAAGCCTTTCCTCCCCTCAGGCAATTGGGATTCTTCCACAAGACTTTTCTCATCTTTAACAATAAGGGTAGCAGATGTGTGATCTGTTCCATATTTGTTAGTGGCTCTGCAAGTAATGATACCACTGTCTCTAGAATATGCAACGCCATAATCAAGGCTGCAGTACCCAAATTCATTGATCATACGGAGCCTGTTGGCTGCTTCAAGTGGCTTTCCATCATGGAGCCACTCCACCACCATCGTTGGGTCACCAATGGGTGTTAGCCTGCATTCAAAGTGGGCAGGCCCAAAGCGCTTAAGTCTTAAGGAAGTGAGTTTTTTCTTGAAAAATGGTTTCTGTTGTTTCTCTTTGTCATAGAGATCACCTTCTTCCCATTGCTCTTGGCCATATCGCAAATGGAGGGGCTCCAGTTCTGGGGCTGCAATCTCCTTTGCTCTATATGTCCCCCGTGGGATGATTAACTTTCTCTCTGGCTCAGGCTCTGCAAACTCAACTTCAACATTTACTTTGCATCTTGTAGTGTCTCTGCCAGCTTTATTAATAGCAGTCGCAGTATACCAGGCAGAATCTTGGCTGACAGTGGAATCGATTTTAAGGGCAGCTTCTCCCTTGGTTCCTTCAATTCTATAAAAAGTTGGGGGAGGGAATAATCAATATAGTGGTATAGCTTCCCTGGTTATTGGATTTGTATAATGAGCTTAGCTTTATTATTTCCATACTTACCTGATTTTGGGATATTTATGAGGCACAATGATGTCACTGTTTTTCAACCATACAATGTCAGGGTTGGGGTTACCCGTAGCTCTGACTTTCATTTCAAGTCGGGAACCTTCCTTTATATTGACATTTTTCAGTTTTTCTACAAACATCGGTTTTACCTGATGTTCCACAGCTGAAAGAGAAAGGTCATGATTTAGAGGGAGTAAGGCTGAAATACCTGTTTATAACCCAAGTGATAAGAAAATTCATTTATTTTTATTTTATCTCATTTTACCTTCCACAGTTAAAATCACTGAAATTGAAGATCTGCCTGCCCTGTTTTGGGCAACCACAGTCCATTCCCCAGAATCACTGGGTGTGGCAGGGACAATAATTAGTGATTGAGTACCATCTTCTTTAATGACTACTTTATGGGTATAGTCATTGACAATTTGCTGGCCTGTGAAAATATGTTTAAAAGAAAGTAGATTTTAAAATAGTTTTTAAAAATTGTTAGATGCATACATAAGCTTGTTTTTGTGTTTTTATGATTCATGAGCAAAAACTTATCACGCTTACCATCATGAAACCAGAACGTCTCTGGCATAGGTCTACCAACAACCTTTAAGTCAAATCTGGCAGTTTGCCCTTCTAAACATTTGAAAGAAACAGGTTTTAACACAAAGACTGGTTTATATAGTCTCTCAAGTTGTGACTCATCTGTCTCCTCCAGCCTACGTCCAGGGGACATTCTTGCAGGGGACATCCGTGCAGGAGACATCCTTGCAGGTGACATCCGTGCAGGAGACATGCGTATAGGAGACCTGCTCACTGAACGTGGAGAGAGAGATCTGCAAAACAAAGACACACAATACTTTCGTGAGGCATAAAGAAAACTCAGCAAAACAAACTTCATTTTGTCTTATTCATTATTCATGTTATTTTAGAATTTACTTCTTGCACGTATTAGAAGGCACCTCAAACTCATTCAGATCTAAAATAGAATATATTATTGTTGCCCCCACAACTATGTTTTTCCTATATTCTCAATTTTAGCTGGTAGTCATTCAGTATATCCAGGTACCCAGGCTCAAAAATCTTGGAATAATCCTCAATACTCTCTTTTCCTTACCACTTGGATTTAATCAGTCACTAGACTTTTTTGATTTAACTACTAAAACATCCTAATAAATGTTGGTTGGATAAGTAAACCAATGAATACATTTATGGAAAAATAAAAAATACACATTCTTTATCTCAGAGGAGGAAAACATAGAAATGAATTTGGAAACAAAACAAAGCAAAACAAGACTCCATCTACACATTGCAGCCAGACTGACTTGGAGTTTGAATGCTGGCACCACCGCTTACAGGCTGGATGAATTAAGACAATTTTCATAGATTCCCAGGGCCTCAGTGTTCCTATTTCCAAACCAATAATAGTCATCTTTTTATTGCAGGGCTGTTGTATAAATTTACATATGTAAAAATCAGGTGTCAAATAAGAGCTATTGTGATATTAGCTATAGCACTAGGAAAATAAACAGTATGTTACACTGATGAAAATTCTTTGCTCATCTTACACAGGGGCAAGAAATAAAAACTTCTGGCAATTGTTGGTGTTGCCAATGGTAAGTTTCTGTGCCATTTTAGCCCTCGATTTTCTTCTTACACAATAGCAATTTGCTACTATTTGATGTTTTGAAAACAATTTACATACTAAATAACCCAAATTATTACAAGTCTTACCTGATTCTGCTCACTGGCTCTAGTGTGGGAATGTAAGTCGGAGCTCCAAGTGGTGCAGCAGGCTCCACATACAATTTCCCTGAGCAAATTGCATTTCCTTTAATATTGCTGGCAAATGCAGTGTAGATTCCTTCATCTTCTGGAAGAACAACAGGTATACGCAGACTAGCTCTGCCATCTTGTAGAAAGTCCATTTGGTATCTTTCTCCATGTTTGATGCGCTTGCCATCTTTGTACCAAGCAATCTGCAAAGAATACCATGCATGTATGAATAAAATTTACATCAAATAGTTATATTTTAACCAATTTGTATCTTTACTGTGGCAAGGAGCTATGATAAATGTTTATATTTTACCTTTGGTAATGGATATCCAGACATCTTGCAATGAAAAGTGACACCCATCCCCTCAAGAATTCTATAATTCTTGATTCTTGAATCAAATCCTGATTCAACAGCTTCAGATTCAGAAATGTCAACTGCCATCTTTTCTTCTCCATCTTCTTCAAGAAGTTCTTCTAATGTAGTCTTTATTATTCTATATTCAATTTCTTTAATAAGTCTCTCTTCAAAGGAAGAAATATGGAATTCCTATGCAAAAAGATTATGGTCTGTTAAAAATACATATCCTTACTGATATAAATTATTTAAGGAGATGTATCTGAGCTAGACTGTTGAAGTTTTTAGCTGGGAGAAGAATCTAGAGGACTTTTTGGTTTGTTTGTTTTAATCTGCATTATGGTCATCTTTCCCAGTGAATGTTGTGGCATCTTGGGTAGAAAGGTATTCCAAAAGCAGGAGTTAGATTTGGGTTAGAGGTTACATTAGCTTATCACACAGATGAAGAGATCTTGGCATGAATGAACTCAGCTGTGCTAATATTGGTGTTTTCCTTAATATATTATAAGCCCTATTTTTAAAGTCACATTTATGGCCTATATGTAATCTCTATTTCTAAACTCACAGGTGCAACATACCATGAAGATTAAGGAAACTTAGCAACAGTGAACTTGGACCTTCTAATAGCTGTCTAACCCCGAGCTCATCACTTGAAAATGAAAATATCAAATAAAAAAAGGAAAGTATAATTTATGAAATTGTTTGGTTGGTCATTACTTTTATACTCACCTGATCTTCTACATAAGTTCTGACCACTACAGTATCTTTGGCCATTTTCTTCCTAATTAAGGCTTGTTCTTTTTCATACTCTTTTTCATACTCAGAGTATACAAATCCAGGTGCTGTTTCTCCAACTTTAGGTTCTTGAACAAATGCAGTCACTTGTGTCTGATAAAGCATTTCTTGCTGGGACTTCATCAGTAACTCATAATCAGCTAAGAGTTAAGAACATCAGTTAATTTTTAATGCTCTTATTAGAAAACAGTCATACCACTATGCATTCAGGTAAACTCTACACTGGGGAAAGTTGATAACCAAAAACCAAATTTTCCAAATATCTACTATTGAAGTGCTCAATATTTTCTAGATGGAATTTGGAAACCAAACTAACACTAACAAATCCAACCAGCCATTACAATTGTAGAAAGAATTTTATATTAGCAGTCAGTTTTGGGGGGATCTACCACGGAGGACTTCCTAATTTGCTGTGTGTCTTTTAACAATTCATTTACCTTCCTGAATATTGAGTGCTTTATCTGCTAAATGAAGATAATATTGTAATTTCCTCTAAGGGATACTGTGTAGGTCAAGTGAAACAGAGTGTGAGCCAGTTCACTGTAAATGTGAACAGTCTAGCATGAAAGCTGTTACATTTGTTTTCAAGTTATAAACATTGAAAATCCTGACTTCCAGGTTTTCTTTAAGATATCAGGAGCTCTAGCAACACTGAGCCTGGTAACAGCCTGGTGCATGCCTGGCAACAACACAGCTACTGTCTCTTTGAGGCAGGGCACCTACTCTCCAGTTTGCTACTGTTTTCATTGAGCTCACTGTTACCTGCCTGGGCCTGGAAGGCAACCGGATTTAGAATCTCTGCATTTTCAGAGGCATGATATGCCTAGAAACAAATACAACAAAAAGAAACTATTGCTAGAACCTCAGAAGTTTAATGACAGTATAGTTTTTGAGGCCATGTGGTCTAAAACATTTTCCATACAACTGAGGCAAAGACACTGGGGCAAAGTATCAGAACCAGTAAGTGGCAACAGGTTTTTCAGCAAACGGACAGCACTGCTATCTCCTTGTATTTCAGTTCTTATCATGCACATAGAAACTGGAGTTGCACTTACCTTCTTCAAGCAAGGAAGCAGATGCAGAAGTTTCTCCATGCTTATTGCGAACAACAATAGTGTATTCTCCAGCATCATCAGCAAAAGTCATAGAAATCACCAGCTTGCATTCACCGGTTTGTTTGTTGTAACTCACTTTGTATCTTTATGTAAATGTACAAAATTTAAAAATCAGTTATCAACAACTCTTCTGTGGGTAAAATAATTGGACTTATCTGTGAGTGGATCTGTGGTATAAAATTCAATGACCCTAAACATATGACTAAGCTCCACAATAGATTATAAGATTGCTGAAAATTGAGAAAAATGCAAGAACATGAGTAATTAGGGCCAAATAAGTTAAAATATTCATTTTAAAGAATATTTATTGCTAGAATCAGTCATGAAATTAAGTGGTTTTCAGTGTTTATGTTAGCAAATGATCAGGTCACTTAAACAACAGGTATTTTCTCTTTGTTCGTTATTTTTCTCATTATTTCATTCAGAGATCAAATGAATAATTAAAACAATAAATTCCTTCAAATATTTCAGTATTAACTCTCTGGTACATTATATTTATTATTATGAAGGTACGGCACCTACATTTTTAGATTACCAGGTTGCTCTTTTTATCTTAAATTGCAAAATATTCAGAGCTAAATTTTATATTGAATTGAAGAAAAATTACTAGCATAGATTTTTGTGCATAACTAGCTTTCTTCTTCATTACATGGCTATTCTTCTATCTTTTAGTCACTTAGTTATTACATGTTTTTATTGAAAATTGTCTCAAATCTTTTCTGGAAGTGTGTGTGTGTGTGTGTGTGTGTGGGTGTGTTTGTGTGAAAATCCATATTTTCTCTACTTTCACAAACTCAATGAATTAAACTATAATGTAAAGAAATATATCTTCCATCCACTTTTGTCACATAGCTTTATTTCTTAGGAAGACTTTGCACAAAAAAAATGTAAAAATACCTCAAAACAAACTAAGAAGGCTCCACAATGAAAGAGCCTATGCTCAGGGTCGGTGGGGTGAGTAAATTCTACTCTAGGCTTCATGCACGTATTATACAAGTCACAGAGAACTCTATATTCAGCCATCAAAATACCTGTATCCAGTGGTTAGAGGAACACCAGATTTTTTCCAGTATACATGGGGCTTTGGGTTGCCGCCAACTTGGCATCCAAACACCACGCTCCCACCTTCCACCAGTTTCTGGACCACTGGTTTTGTAATAAAGTAAGGCGCGGCAGGTTCTCCAGGCCCTGCTTGTTCCTCTGTGAGGCTAGTATCAGTCATAACCACATCTCTTGACTCAACAAAGCTGGAAAGAGAATTCCCCTCATATTAGCTTCCGGGTTGCAATTTGCCAATACTGGTGGGGCTGAAAGTCAAAATGGTACTAGAACAGCTACTAATTAGCAAAATATTTTACCGTTTCTCTTCTGTAGTAAATTTCTCAGTCACGGCTGTGGTTTCCTTTTCAAATTCTTCTGACACTAAAAGAAGACAAAAGTTTCTCATTGAGATGAGATGTTTAGTGACCCCTGCTTAGCACTGACAGTTAAATTGACCATATAATCTCCCCCCAAGTTCCAAAAAGGGACATCATTTCAAGGTGCACAGAAACCATATTGTGGAAAAGAGTGTCAGATGAAAGTGATGGCATGTGCATTAGGACTGTGGGAGGGTGGCCACTAACCCTGCACAGCCAGATAGCAGGATGTGCTGACGGTTCCAGCCTCATTTACAGCACTGCAAGTAAATCGCCCGCTGTCTTCCGCAAATGCTTCGCGAATCATAAGACGAGCAATTCCACTCTGGAAGGTTATCTGGAAGTCAATGGAACTTTCGATTTGGTAGTCTTCCCTGTACCATGTCACTGTCGGGGATGGGTATCCAGAGATGTGGCACTCCAAGGTGACAGATTCACCTTCTATGACAGTCACATTTTTTAAGCCCTGAAGAGAGGAGAAAAAATAAATAATGATACGTGTGCATATTCATTAATCACTTCTGTTTTGTAACAAATGTAGAGTTTGAACTTATGCATTTCAACTGCCACAAAATGGCCTTTTAATCAGGACTCCAGAAATAGTAGTAGAGAAACTAATATTTATATAATATACTAATATATTAGTAAAGAGCTGTAAGGCTCAATAGCAAATGCTACCTATTCAACAAAGCTTTGCCATGGTATCACCAACTGGAATGAATCTATGCCTCCCATGGATTCTCCTTCTGTTGTGATGTTTATCACCTTATATATTTTATTATGCTTGTTTGTGTACATTTTCTCTGATGGCAAAGAAAATATTTCAAAGAGGGATGGATTGGTCTTTATGTCTGCACAGCTCCTGCAATAATGCCTTCTGCATATTAGAAGCTCATTAAATCTTTTGAATCCATGAATGATGTACCACATAGAATTCCCTTCTTCCTTGCCAAATATGGTCAAATATGGTCTTCCAGACCAAATACGGTCTTAAAATGAGCATCTGTAAGCTCACTAATGTCATTTTTGTATTAATTTGAGAAACTGATCTTTGCAAACGTGTATTAAAATGATTTGAGGAGATATGAATAGGGTCCAGCATTATCAACTTCTTTACTCACCGAGACCAAAGTTGGTGGAGTAACAGGAATTTCAACAGGTGCTGGTACTCTTGCTGTTTCTGTTACCTAGATTTTTACAAATTATATTACAAAATGCTCATGAAATTAAGGGAAATCTCATAAACTCTTAGCTCATGCAACATTATATAATTATAAAAATATAAAAATAATTATAAAAATAATTTGAGAAAATGATCTCTGACCCATACTATGCTCCATAAAAATCAAGTCTTAGTATGGCAAAGGAGAAAGGCAAGACTCCACTGGCTACTTTTCAGTACAAACTAGCCAACCACCTGGCCCTGCTCAATGGGAGTGGACCATGTAACAGCGGGTAACCAGTGACCAACCTTGGCTTCGCGTCCGTGCAGTACTTCAAAGCGCTCTTCACGGACGGTGGTGCCAGTGATGCTCACCCCTACTTCCTTTTTCACCTCAACGCCAGCTTCACTCTTGTAAGTATCTGGTGTGTCAGCGAAGGGGAACTGTGGCAAGGGTGTGGGCTCTGCCCTTACTCTAGTCTCACTGGGCTTCACAGTAGGAGCCTTCACCGATTTGGTGATCTTCTGAGCAGAAGATGTGGCTGACAACTCTTTTTGTAATGTGGCAATAGCACTACCGGCTATTGATGCCTACATGGAAACAGAGTCAGAAAATAAAGTCATTTAACCATCCTCCGATGGCTAGCCCTCTTGGACTGAGTCTGAGCCTATTTTCTATAAGGTCTGTTCTTTAATGTTCTCATTAGCACTCATTATCACACAGTTAATGAAAAGTCATTTAGAGATAAGCCAATTATAAAGCTCCTTGTCATGCCTGTTAGTTTGTAAAACAAATTTTAAAATATCTTTTTTAAAGAGTTGTATTCAGAACTCCTTATTTTACAGCTTTTATCATAAAAGGACAGGATCTTCTAAAGCTTAGTCACGAATTTTCACTTAACCATTCCGATGAATGCCACTTTTGAAAATACCACAGTGGGAGATTCAAAATTAAGAAATTATTGAAATTGTTGGTAAATGCCTAAGAACTACTTTGCAATAGTACATTTGGGTTTTAGCCACAAATCTATGTGAAAGGTAAACATGAAGACATTCAGAAAAAATATTTTAAAGGTTTCCTTACTGCTTTTATTCTGTTGTGGTCTATGGTTATTTGTTTTGTAATTTGGGACTAAATCAAATATAGGCATTATATGTAACTTACAGTTCTTTGAAGGCATAGAAGGTTTGGGTTCTATTTCTTGGATGTGTATAATAACAATAGTGACTAATATCAAGGATTTATTACATGCTGACAACTGCAGGTTTTTATGTCCTTTTTACTTGCATTTTACATGTATGCTTACTTTCTCCTGATGACAGAGATTATAAGGGAGAAGATAGGGCACTAATCCAGAGCTATTTGATTCCACAATCCAACCCGACCACCATACAGTACCACCTCTCCATCTTGCTATATTGAGTATATAAATATATGATTTCTCAATGTCTGTCTTTATTATTGAAACACATTCACAGTTAAGTTACTCTGAAATGTCTCACAGCATAAGTAAAACTATGCTGTGTAACACACTACCTTTCACAAAATCATTAGAACAATAGTAATCAAAACAATTGAGTTTGAGCTGTCCCTGAAATGTGAACTAGAGAGAAGCCTGTGTGGATTTGTCTCTCCTCAGAGGTATAAGATAACCACTTGTGACTCTAGGCTCACTCCCCTGGGCGAGTTTCAGAAACCAAATCTTTAGGGTGTCTGGGCCCACTGTGAATGCAAACACACGCACACACACATCACCAAAAAAGAATCCTCCATTGGCCTACCCCAGAGATGCTCTGTTTCACAGGTTAGATACTTATTTCCTTTAAACATTTCTGTATCATGCTCTGTAACTTCTTACCTCATATCCATGTTCTGTCTTAGGAACAGAAATTTTTGAAACAGTAAAGTGAGGGCTAGCTGTGCGGGGGCGTTTATCCACATGGACTAATCTTTCCGTTGTTAGATCTGTAGTTTTCTTGATCTGCATTGAAATGAAACTCAGTGATACCATTGATCACCAGATGACCACAGCAGTGAGGCTTGCTTTACCATGAACAAGGTGAAAAATCAGCAGGTATAGACTCACCTGTGATGATATGTGCATTCCCTTTTGATCAGTAGTTTTGATATGAGTCTCAGAAGGAGCCTGGATTACTCTAGGCTTGACTGCTTTAGGGACAACGTGGGGTTCTGAGGCTGGACGTTGGGGAGGCTCAGCTACCTTTGCGGCGGAAATGCGTTCCTTATATCCGTACTCCAAAGTGGTCTGCTGAGCATAGGATTCTTCAAGATGCCCAGGCTCTCTGGGCTCTCTGACTCGGGCCTGGTCTACTGCAGCAACAACTGTTGCTACAGCTTCAGCCTTTTTTCCAACGTCCACCTGGAGACAAGGTTTCCAGAATTAATACATAGGAATATCGAGATCAGGCTGGAATATCTCCTGGGCATCAGGACAGGCAGATGGCGTCCACATTATACAGCAGTGTTAACGTGTCTAGAAATGTATCTCAGAAACACTTTTAGGGACTATTTCATTGATTATTATATTGTACAGACATCTATTTAGATATACTCTCTGTACACCTACTTAATTATACTAGACATTAAATCACATATACACAACATAGGACAATCACAATATGAACATAAAATCACAAGAAGATTTTGAAATTTTCTAGAATTTTTCCAGGCAGACAATCAATCAGCAATTGGAAAATCAGAATTTTGGAGCTGGTTCTTTTCACTGATTATTTTTATTATCTTGTTGACCATTTAGTCTGGTATTAATGCAGTGACAGTGATGATATAAGTGCACTCAAATACCGTCATCATCCTGTCCAGAAAAATCAGTGACTACAGAGTTATATGGTTGCATGCAAATCGGACATAACATGAAAGCTCACAAACACAGAGTGAGCATATGAATTTACTTATGATTCCCTAAGGGTAAGATTGTTTAATCTATCAGAAAATACCTTTCTTAAAACACACAGATGACAAAGAGAACCCCGTGCAAATAAAAATATTGTGATTAAAATGAAAGTGTTATCATGTTTGGATTCAAGAGAACAACCTTTCACATTGAAGTTTAATTTACTTTCATTATTATGGAGAGTTAAAGCAAAGAATGAAACAAATATTATTTTCTCGTTTCTGAGTCTGATGAACATTAATGGAAATACAATTTGCAGAGGAGGTTCTCTTTTAAAGAAGGCAAACTAGCTGATGTGGCTTAGATATTATGATTCTATGTGATACTTGGAAACAGCATACCTCAAAAATCACATAGCCATGTTCATTTTAAAAGTACATTTTAAAAGTGCATTTTAAAAGTAAGATTGGAAAATTTTATTAATATTCAGTTTTCTATACCTGTGAATAGAATCTAGAATGCATCAGAAACATTCTTCAACTATGCTACCTGCATATCTTTAAAAATTATTCTCTGAACCATTCAAGATATAAATGAGATTTTTCTGAGATGGAATTGGGTCTTTAGTGATCATGGGCTTTATCCAGGGCTTCCTTTTAGGAAGACACAAACAATTTCATCTGCCTCGAAGGACTGCAAATACCATCTTCACTTTAGATTGCATCATCTCAGAAAAAAACATAAAATACACATGAGGCTTAGGTGAGTTAAGTTTGTCCATTTATTTTTTTCTTTTTTAAAAACTATATTGGCAATGAGCTGACTTTAATTGTATAGACATTTTAAAATGTTAACATCTTCGACAGATAACACTAAATAAATAAATATTATTTTGATTGTAGTGTGATCACATTTCCACTATATCTCATTTGAACCTTTTAGCCAGTCTGCTATGAAGTAGTCAGCTTAAGTCTTAATTTTATTTTAACAATGATAAAAGAAACTGTCAAAGAAACTGTCATATGACTAAATATCACACAACTGAAATATTTAAATTTTGTTCTTGATTTTAAACATATGGAAAAATCTTAATCATGGTAAAATATTTTAAATTGAGGAAGCATCTGTCTGTTTTTTCCTTGAATTATTGTATATCAGATTTATATACACACACTTATTGGTGGACTACAAATGAGTATGCTGGTAACCGCTTTTATTTCTTAGTGGACTTTGATATCTCTCACATGTTTGTAACCTAGAGAAGCAGGAAGACAAATTGGACTAGAATACTCCAATTCATACGAGTTAAATGCTGAGAATAAATTTAGGAGACATAAAGAAGAGTATTATTTGGTCTGACTTTTCACTACTAGAAATGCTCACTGTTCAACTGGAGGATGGACTGAATCTAACCATCTCTATTGTTTTATTGATCAGTTAAACAATTAGATGGAACACTAGAAGCACAATTCACGACGGATGAAAAGTTATGAGAGTTGATGATGAAATGGGATGAAACAATACTTTTCACCTCCATAGCATCAGTTTTCATCTCTTCTCGAAAAAGATGTATTTGTTTTTGTTTAATAGTGAATCCTTCTCTAGTCATTGGCGGTGTGGCTGGTTCAGCAGATTTTGCAGTGGTAACTACTACTTCAGGTATAAACATTTTCTCAGCTTCCATCCTTAGCTAATTTTTAACAAAAACAAGATAGTCAATTCATGACAAAATTTGAATGGAAACAAAAGTAAAAAGTTAATCACTCATGAAGTATGTTGCATAGTGGAATTTCTGTCATTTATGAGACTTCTGAAAGGCTGATATGCCATTAAATGTTAGATTTGAGTAAAGGTTTAAAAAGTTTATCTTAAATCATATCTTAGAAAAAAAAGATGTAGAGTCAGAAAATGACACTGAGGGAAATACAAATAGGATTCAGGCCATCCTGCTAATGAAATGGAAAAACTTTAGTTGCTAATTTTCAAGTGGTATATTAGCAATAAAGAATACAATTAGGTAAATGGCTCATTTGGAGTAAATGACAGAGTCATGGGAAACAGTTTAATTCATGGATATTTCATAGCTACAAATAGATACGGTAATCTTTTCATGGCTTATGTGTAATTGTTCTGTTTGGATACTTCCTTCTCTAGATTTTAATATGCATCTTGTTTAGCTTTAGTGGGAGCTGCTACAGCATGCATTATAATTTTTTCAGCTTATCTTCTCCTCTGATATTTACAGGAGGGAAAAAAGATAAAGTTTCATACAAAGAAAATTATGGGTAATTTACTGAAATAAGTCATACTCCATAACATAATATACTGAATTTATGACCCTTCAAAACACACATCTTCTTGACAGTGAGTAAGAGTCATCATTTACTTATACATCTTCCGTGTTTTTAAAAAATGTTCATGGGCCTCTTAAAATTAGCCTGCATGCAATTTTAATCAACTTCTGGAAGATTCCCAGATGTTAATAAAATGTTGACAATAATGGTGAAGAGATAAGTGGAGAAAGGGATATGTAGTAATATTAACAATAATAAATTTTTTTAGTTTCCAATTATTTAATTGTCTAAAAAATAAATTTGGTTAATAGTGACTCATACATAAGAAATTCAGAGACTTGATATTAATGTATTACAATAAGGAATTTCACATGATATGTGGTATTAATGTATTATAATAGGGGATTTCACACTTGGAACAACAATAGTCACCTTTCCATGGGTAACTTGGATTTGTTCTTGTCTAGTAGCCATAGTTTCTCTAGTTCTCAGTATTGTTTCTTGTTCTTTGGCTTTAGCAGTAGCAACTGCTATTGTAGACAAGGCAGTTTTCTCGGCTTCCTTTCTCATCTGATTATTACAGTAAAATCAAGATTTAAGTTGAACAGGGCTTCAAACACACATAGTATGACCCTTCCCCCTTCCTCATGGGGATGCAAGATGGTTATTCAGGGTTAAATACACAAGAGAAATAAACTTTCACCGGCAATGTCTACATATACTGACTGAGAATCACAAAACTTAGAAATGTTAGCTATTAAAAAACCTCTAGATGAGTCCCTGTGTCACTTTTTAAAAATTAAGCTAAAAAATGCTAATCTTCATGCAAAGAATAATGGTGAATAAAATGAATTATAAATGTTACAGATGGATGAAAATCAAATGTGCAGATAAAATTAATGATAATCAGTCTCATATTTACCATTTTGTTTTTAGTTAGGGATTTTAAAAGGCAAATACAGATTAATAATTCATACCATATTGTAGTTAATAGTTTACTAGAAATTAGTTTAAAGATGAACTTTTCACAGCTCAAATATCTGTATTCACCTTCTCCTGAGTTATTTGCACTTGTTCTCTTTTGGTAGTAATGCCTTCTCTACCTCTTGATACTAAATCTTGTTCTTTGACTTTGGGTGTGGCAACTATGACTTTAGGTACAACTGTTTTCCTAGTTTCCTTCATTATCTGATCATACAAAAGAAAGTAAGAAAATAGTCATTAAATTCCATAAATCTTTAATAAAAGAAACGTAAGTCAAAAAGAAAGGAGGCAAAATTTCTTCCTATTCAAGGAAATTTTAATTGCACTAAAATATATCATTTGAGTTACTTTGATCATCCATACTGTTTCACTGGCAAAAATATCAAAACAATAAGTCCAGTTTAAAAGAAAAAAATGTGATTAGCAATAAAAGACTAATGAGTGCTATTTTGTACTTTTCACATTTTTTAAAACTGCAATCTCTGAGACATTTCAGTAGCACTGTAAATAGCACATAATTTTTTGTATTATGAATTGACTTGTTTACGGACATCTGCTTCAATAGGAAGATATTAAAGTGAATTATTATATTATATTAGTAACAAGCCAAAGAAAGTCTGAAAGTTAGGAATGAATTGACAGTGAAAGGTAGCTGTGTGGGAAAAGAAATTTTCTATTTGCATTATAAGAAGAGGTGGAAGTGAAGAAGTGATGATTAAGATCCATGATGAAAATGTAGGTGATTTGCAAATGAAATGGTGCAAGAGTGACTTTCACATTGGCAGGAAGTCATCACCTTTTCATAACTTAGGTGCATTTGATCTTGTTGTGTGGTAGTTTCTTCTTGAGCTCCCGGGACTGTTTCTAGTTTTGTGGACTTTGCAGTGGCAACTACCACCATGGATGCAGCAGTTATCTCAGTTTCCTGTCTTATCTGATGTTTAGAGTAAAATAAAGATTTGAGTTTCAAAAGATACAAAAGCAATGGGAAGACATCCTTGAAACACTCAGGAAAATACAGGATGCTTAGTGGTGAACGATAAAATGTCAGATTTCCATTTCAGGGGCCTACACTTGTGCTTAATACATAGACTGCTTTCCTGAGGAATGGGCTTCTTTTCTGCCCACATGCGCCTTAGCAAATTGTCCTAGAACTGAACATATCTCATCTTGAGACATGTCAACGTGTTAGGGAACCCGGTGGGTGGCTGCTGACAAGTGGCTGGAAAACCATAGGCCAGCTGAACTTGCCAGTCACCAGCATTGCAATGGCAATGGGGATTTCTATGCCTTTGATTATCCTAAGTAGGGTTCTTGCTGCTTTCAAAATGTCTCACTCACAGTAAGGAGAGGGAAATTCAGTCAGCAGCCTCTGGTCAGCCTTTTAAGTGTACAAGGTTCTCAACTGGACCTTTAAAGAAAGTAGCTCTAAGATCAGCAAAGAGCTTGAGTTCAAGGAGGATGAGCACAGGCGCCCTCTTTGACATGGAAGAATTCAAGATAAATGCCTCTCTCCTGACACTTAAAGGTTTGATTTCACATACGGGAGAGATGTGGATTTTAGTGACACTGAGATTGTCCTCACACAGCTCTACGGCACAACAGCAGCAAATGCTTCTAGGTCACTGTTTATCAACCGTGAATTGAAGGAATTTTTTTTTTTGAGGAAGTATTTGCTTTCTCCGATGTCTGGCATATCCTCACTTTCCCTTGCTATTTATTCGGGGTGTTTATGGCTGATGTATGTGTATATGTGTGTGTGTGTGTGTGTGTGTGTGCATGTGTGTGTGCATGTAAAGTTTGTGCATTACAATCTAAGTGACTGAGGGCTTAGGCTATGCACGAAGAAACCAACTGTCCCGGTGGGTAACTGGACTGGCATGATATCTATCATCCATTTATGTATGTTCTAGAAAGTTCATAGATGTGCCCTAAACTGTTCTGTAGACAATCTCCTGAAAACTGATCAAGTGAGTGGAAAATAGTGCAATGTGAACATAATTTCCATCCTGAGTTTCAATACTAGACATAGAGGAACAATAACAAAAAATATACAACCAAAGACTTCTCCATTTAAGGGTTTTGACTATAAGCTACCTGCAGCTGGCTGTAATGTGATATTGTCAACAAACTACAAAATATTTAGAAAATCAGACTTACTGCTTCTTGAGTTACTTGTTTCTGTTTCTTAGTAATTTCTTCAGAAATTCTAGTTTCTTGTTCTTTGGCTTTAGCTGCGGAAATTACTACCTTTGGTACAAATGTTTTTTCAGTTTCTTTTCTTATCTGCAAAGAATGATTTAAGAAAAAACTTTATTTCCTGATGCCCAATGAAATAATATGGTGTTTATTAAATATAACAACATAGGAATTTGAAGATGTAAAATCCCTTTTCTGCAGATGTCACTAAATAAAATAAATAATCCCATGTTCATAAATAAGATCATGCTCTTTCTCTCCTTAAACTGTAAATTATGTAGGCTGCTTAGAGAAAACAAAGTTGAATTCAACACTTTGTTTTGAACAGCAGAATTGTAGTCTTCTTTAAAATGACTTCCAATGTTTACAAATAGATCTATGGCAATATTATTCTGTACTAATTCTGTCATCTAAAGGTAATCTTAGAATATATATCAGAATGGAAGACTTTAGAAGTAATTTTGTCTGATCTTTTTATTTTACATGTGAGAAATCAAGCATGGATAATTTATAATCTGCATTTATACAATATTTTTGTTTTGTCAGTTTTCCTAAATACTGTGAAGAATGCTGTTTCCATCTGGGCACCTAAGGTATATGCGTATGTAGGGGGACAGTTTTCTCTATTTGCCTCTTTGCCATTCTCAAATATCTCATCACTGAAACACAGGATCTCAAGGCTGAAAGGGACTTGAAATTCATCTTCTCAAACCACCCAACTGCCAACTGGTTCCACTGGCCAAGAGCTCTACTAACTGGCATTTTCCAATCTGTCCCCAAATGCCGCCAACCATGGGGCTGTCCTTTTCACCTTTTCTGGTCATTTGGCTTGTTAAAGCCATGCTGTCCATTCCACTTCAAACTCATGTGCAAATGTCTTCCGAAGGAGCCAGGAAGCAGTTGCTAAGATTTCTAAAGCAAAGTGAGTTCAGTGTCTCCTCCACTTTTCCCCATTCCTGCCTCAGCATCTATTTCTTCCTCCTGGTTTTAGCCATCTGTCCTCTCCCTATAGTCTTATACTTAGTGCATCCCCAGATCAATGTGATGAGACCCCTGTTTCTACTCCTGGTGTATGTTCACAGAGTTCTTTTTCATACTCACAAGGGGAGCATTCAGGGACACTACCAAACTTTGGTATCCAGTACCCAGAAATTTACACATACAACAAGGGGATCTTATTAGTATGCTAACAACCATGTGGCCCAAGGAACAACACTCTTCATGGTAAAGGTGATTATCTGTGTTGACCCCTGTAAGAACCTCAGTGAATTTAAAATACAAACCCATTTTCACCTGCTCATGAGTTACGTGCATCTGCTCTTGCTTTGTGGTAATTACTTCTTTGGTTCTTGATTTTAATTCTTGTTCCTTGGCTTTATCGGCGGCCACTACTACCTTAGTTACAGCAGTCTTCTCCGCTTCCTTTCTTACCTGCTTTTCATAGAGAAAGGAAGAAAACACCTTAATGCATCTTACATAAAAATTAGTTCAAGACCAGCCTCGCCAACATGGTGAAATCCTCTACTAAAAAATACAAAAATTAGCTGGGTGTGGTGGCGCACACCTGTAATCCCAGCTACTCACGAGACTGAGGCACAAGAATCACTTAAACCCAGGAGGCGGAGGCTGCAGTGAGCGGAGGTCATGCCACTGCACTCTAGCCTGGGTGACAGAGCGAGACTCTGTCTCAGAAAAGAAAAAAAAGTTACAATAATCTGTCAGGATTTAGACATAAATGTCACACAAGAGGATAAGGAGGAAAGCTGGAATGATTTTAAACTGTAACAGAAAATCTATTCAAATGCGAGGTGGGACATTATCCTGGATTTATGACACTGTTCCAGCTATGAATCAAGTGTCATGTTT
Organism: Homo sapiens; assembly: GCF_000001405.40. NCBI lineage: Eukaryota > Metazoa > Chordata > Mammalia > Primates > Hominidae > Homo > Homo sapiens. The sequence continues at coordinate 178,793,977 of NC_000002.12, forward strand.
GTTTTGAGAAAAGTAAAAACAAAAGTCCTTTGGGGAAACTTAGAGAAATGTAATGCCTTCCCTGAAATAGTAGTTTCCACATCCAGTGTGTGCAGTGACTGAGCTCTGGAATTGACTGGTCTCTGTTTCTCTGGCCACTCTTTGCCTTCCTACCTTGAATACCATAGTTGACTTTTGCCTGCTCATATAGCCCAGGTATTTCTGGCCTACTCTGCTCTTGTGATACTCACATTGTCAACACCTTTGACATCTCCGACCACCTTTTGCTCAGAAAGTTCTAAAAGTCTGGGCCCTGCTGGGCTCAAGGCTGTCTTCAGAATGAATTGAGCACAGCTGCATGCCAAGCTCAGTGGATGGTGGTTGAGTTAATGTGCACTGAAGGACGTGGCTCTGCGGGTGCCCCATGGCAGCCTCGCACGTACCTGTTCTTGAGCAGGTTGGATGTGCACAGCAGTCGTGGTTGTCCTCTGAGCAGTCTGCTCTACAGCGCTGATCACTGGTTCTCTCACTCTGGCCATATCAACGGCAGCAACAACAGTCGCAACAGCTGCACTTTTGTCAGCATCTTGTTTCACCTAGATTAGAAATGACCAAGTAGATTACTTTTTTAAATGACATGCCCAGTAGAAAATAAAAAAGCATACTGGAAAACTGAGCCACCTAGAGCAAAATACACTCATACATAAGCATTTATTATTGCCAAGAAATACAGAGACTGTATCATTAAAACCTGTATATTATGGAAACTTCACAGATTGGAGCTTTTGTCCTAATTAAAAATGGTTTTACAAAGCATGACTACTGAATTTGGTCTTCAGTTGCTGCTATATTTTTATGTTCATATGCATTTTTCCTCCAATTTATACAGACTGAGTTTCATGGCAGAAATCCAGTTGGAGAAACTAGAATGTGAAATAAGGAAAAACAAAACCATTCTGACAGTACCTCTTTAGCACCAGTGGCAACAGCCTCTGCTGCGTAGCTAGCACTGGCCGACACACTGGCGGCAGCACCCGCAGCACCACTGATGGTCACTTGCTCCTGGACACCGTATCTCCCTTCCCATCTCTCTTCTGTCCTGATCTGAGTAGAGGTTGTCAGCGTTGTCTCTCTCATCTCAGCCTCAGATGAGGAGGCCACGTAGCCCTCTTGCTTCCAAGGGGGAGGCACTTCAGGACCTGTGGCCACGGTGGATGCCTGAGTCTTACGCATGAGCAATGGAGACCTAACAGACCTGATGGGGGATGTGGAGATTCTTGCTGCTGGAGACACGGACCTGAAAACCAAAAGGCAGAGGTCAAGAATGTCAAAGCAAGGAGGGGTAACTGGATGTGAATCATGAGATGAAAAGCTGGAAGTGCTTTAAGGCAGAGTTTTAAAATGTGTGCCTCCATAACCCATTCAGAGGGTAAATAATGTACTTGGAAGTAATTTGTTTTAAATCTCAATAAACCTATTCTTATCTGCTGTAACCCTGTAAGAGAATCAGCTTTAATTCCAAATAAGCTGGAGATTTTGTGCCTTGCACCTTCTCACATTAAAAAAAAAAAAAAATCACAACAGAAAAAGCTACTTCTTTAATATGCAGCCAAAGGAAAGACATGTCAAATCCAGCAACCTCTGTATTCCAAATTCATCTCTGTATTCCAATTCTGGGGGGGTTAGAGGATGTCAAATAGGTGTTATAAGAAGAAAGGTTTCTGTAATCAAAATGCTTGTGCCACTCTTGACTAAGCAGCTTAAGCCATTTTTTTTTTTCCCCTGCAGGACTTCCCACAGCCTTTACTATGTCAGTATGCCTTGTGAATTTCCAGGACAGGGGGACACATCCTCAGGAAGCTTTCTGCAGCATGTTGCTGGGTACAGGTTGTGCAGTGCACTTTGCAAATTGCTGCTTTAGCCGAAGTGTTTGTGGACAGCTACTTTTAATTTCCTCCATATTTGTTTACACTCGCCCCCCTTGTATTGCACTCTGGACTTATTTTAAATATCTTTAGAGTTATTGTGGGAATTGACTAACTTAAAAACTAATGATTCTGTGATTTTTGGGTAAATTGATAAAGTTGCTTCTTCCAGAATAGTTTTCATTGTTTGCTTTTTAGGTGTATCCAAAGTGCAAGTAGCATCAGTTGAAGAATTTGGGTGCTAAATCCCAGCACTGATGGCCAAAAAAGACTATTTCTGATCTATAGCAATAATTCTGGGGATTGGCCAACTATTGTAAGGTAAAATTTTTTTCAGAACTGATTTAATTCTTAATAAGGCTTATTACATTTTCCTCTCTAGGTGGCAGTATTGCCCTATCATTGCATTTTATTAATTCTGCATATAAGAAAATGTTTATAAATGCATCTTGTCACTATCTAGGATATTTAGCTTACACTGATCATACATGAAATGATTATTCTAATTAAGCTCAAGGTACAGTTGATATTTTCTCTAACTTACAGAGTACCCTAACAGTACATTACAACATTAACCAGTTTCACGAAGAAATGTTTATTTTCTCGAAGAATGGCTTTTTTTGTGTGAAAATCCATTTACATTTTGTAAATGAAGTTGTAATCAAACTAAAGGGAAATCTAGGGAATAAGCCTCTTTTCTGAACATGACTGCCTTTGAAATATAACAAAAACCAAGTTAGAATAATGTGTGGTTTCCACTAACTGAAGAAAAGCAAAGAGACATGTGCTTTTAAGTTTCACCCTGTGCCTTGTTCTTGCTGTACTTAGTAAATGGGTTTAATTCAAAAAGAGTTAAAGACATGATTAGCATGACATGACTGATTAACAGCAGGACACAGGTAAGCCCATAACTGTGAAAATCATTGTAATTTTGGTCATTATAGGAGAGTGCTTATTTCTGTACTTACAACAAAAAATAATCACCTGGTCACAGCGAGATACAATGCACCTTATTCAATGAAATATGTTTGCCTTACTCTACAACAAAAATCAAGATTAAACTATGAGATATTTAGGAAGCAGTCTATCTTTGATAACCATTATTTTCTCTGCAAATTGGCATTTTATTTCTTAATTATTGGAAAGCAAAATTTTGGGGCAATTTGGATGGTTATTAATGAACTTTCAAAACTGCTAAGATGGTCAAAATGCTCCATGGGATCAGGGACACTCCATGATTCTAAATGACCCTTAGGCTTGGGTTTTAAAATATAGTTAGGTTGTTATCTCCTCAAGAAATTGCATTTGGCTTGTGTTGTGATTTCATGGTGTGCAAACTTGGATTTAGCCTGAGACTGAACATTTTTTTTTATTCGACTGCTAGACATGTTTTTTAAAGTAAGCTTTTTGTTCAAGGTTTCATGTTAGTGTTTGCCAATATCTTTACATTTTTGTGGCTAAAACAATAAAAATTGGAAAACATCTAGCATTTTTTTTCACATGTTTATTGGACTTTTACATTGCCTCTTATGTTAAATACTTTTTTGTATCTTTTGTCTTTTTTTGTGTTGCATTTTTTTCCTTTAAAAATTAATTTGTGGATGATTTTTAATGCATTTAGTGCATTTATTGGTTATTTGTCGTAAGTGTTGCAAACATTCCCCCAGATCCATTTCTTTTAATCCATTTCAATATTTTGCTTGTTTATGGGTCTTATCCAGCATAAGCTTACGTAATTTTGTATGTTATATACTGTTTCTAGGCTGGTGTTGTCTACCTTGTAGCCATTTTATGTTTATTGTGATACTTTTATGGCAGAGGCAATGAAGTACCTTGAGGAGGAGAAAGGTCTTAAAATTTTTTCACAAGTGCTGTTTGGTTTAGAAATGACTTTTTGCTTTTGCCATACATACATGTTGATTTTTATGTAGTTGAATCTGTAACTGTCTTTTTAAAAGCTTTCACCCATAAATGCTTTTGCAGATTGTCTTCTCTTTTTTTTTCATTTTTTAACTATTTAATCAAGCTGAAATTTATTCTGTAAATAGTGAGAGGCAGAGGTTTATGTTTGTTTGCTTCCAGATGGATAGCTAATTGGACCAGCATTCTTTATTAAAATACCTCTCCCTCCCCTGAATTGAAAGGCCACTTTGCTTTTTGAATTCCCTATATACTTGGATCTATTATACTTGGATCTCTTTCTGGACTCTCTGTTTTGTTCCCCTGGTGTATTTTTCTATTCATTTACCAATACCATACTGTTCTGATTATAGTAACTTTACAGTATGTTTGAATATTATTTAGGTCAACTATCTCCTTATTATTCTTTTATAAAAAATTTTCTTGGCAGGGAACATCCATGTGTTTTTTATTTCATTTAAATTGATCAATAAACACTTCTTTGCTCAAATTTTGTACATTTTTCATTTCATCATATTAAAAGTTTCATCATGATAAACTAAATCCCAAACTTTCAAAACTGTTGTGGACAATTTACACTTGATTATATAATTTCTGAGCCCTGATCATGATACATGATCACCTTCTAAAATACTTCCATATTAAGTAAGCATAGAAGTCCATTTTATTTTCTAGATAAAATAACACAAGCATATGCAAAATATTTAAAAGGTTTTACTTACCATCTGAATATAAGAATATTGGCATAATTATTTTCTATTTACAAGGCACTTTCAACTAATTATCTCATTGAAGCCCCAAAATGCAGCTTGAGATCATTCTTATTGTGACTCTCTTTAATTTACAGATGACACAACTGAAACCTTAAATAAACTGCTTAACTTCTTTAATTCCAGTTACCTATCAATAACATTGAGGATAATAATTCTTACAGGTTGTGAACATTTAATGAGATAATGTATGTATAGTTCCAATCTGATAGAGGAAGTGATCCATATATAATAACAATTATTTTATTATTTATACTTATTGCCCTAAATCAAACTGTTAAGTGATCAGGCTGATTTGTCCTTAGGGCTTTGAACTCTAACTTCTGTGCTCTTCTCCTTTCACTGTGCCATATTTTGGCCCCTAAAGTAGATATTTATTACATGAAATATAAATAAGAATTCAGAAGTTTATAAGGGTCTTCAATTTACCTGTGGACAGTGAGGATTTGTGAAAATCATATTCAGTAACTTCTTGGTTTACCTCCTTTGTCACCTGCTACATTTTTGAGTGCATGAAACTTACACGGGAGGAGGGCAGGGAAGTGCTGGGAAGAGAAGTGCGTGGTCCCTAGCGAGGCCTGTGCCCATGGACCTAGGTGAGGACAAACACTCCTGCCTTCCCGCCCAAATGTTGCATTTCCCAAGATCACCCTGACCTGCCACGCCCACACCCTATGCCTATAAAAACCCCTGAGACCCTAGTAGGCAGACACACAAGCGGCTGGATGTCCAGAGGAACACGGAGCCCCACAACCTGCCCGTTTGTATGCTCCCCTAGAGGTTTGAGCAGCGGGACACTGAAGAAGCGAACCACTCTCCGCGTCGCATGCCCTGCGAGGGGGACAAGGGAATCTTTCTCGTTTCAAAACCTAGTTCCAAAATGTGCAATAATCTGCTCTCTCTATGGCAGCTTTACCTGACCGGAGATGGGGTCGGTGCCCGCACGTGTCTGACCGGGGAAGGGGAGTGTCTTATGGGCGATGGGGACTGCTGCCGAGCCAGCTGTGCTTTGGCAGCAATAGACGGTGGTGTTGGGGATCTTGACTTTGGCTTCGGAGGAATCCTGGGAGGTGTTTTATGTGGCAGCTGTTGCCCAGCGGCACCATCTATGACCATCTCAACTGTTGCAATTGATCTGGCATCAAAGTGGGCTTCAATCTTCTGTAAAAGATTAAAACAAAGCCCACGTTGAGGAGGAATAGCTGGGGACGCAACAGCCTGAAAGGCTTGAAAACCAACAGTATAGAAAAATACCTTTTCAATTCGGGTTTGTCTTGATTCTGAGATCTGAGCAGTCGAAACAATTGTCTTTGTCTTTTTAGCAGGTACTTCTTCTTCACCTGTGGGAAGGGAAAGATGAATGTTTGGGAGGGGGCACAATGACCCATTTTAAAAGAGATTCTGTTAATTCTGACTACAAAGTCAAAAAGATTTTCTGGATATCCCAATGGAGAAAATTGCAGAAAGTTTTGGATTTTGCATGAATATAAATTAGGTTTAAAAATAGAAAATGTTCATTACAAGATAAAAATTTACTTAGAATGATTTTTTAAAATTTCATTATTTGCCAATAATTTGGAAATGTAGATCACTTAATTGAAACCCTTTCCAGTTTATAATGAGATTCATAAGCACAGATTGCTTCTATTCTGCGCTCCTGACTAGAATCTCAGGGACTTTTCATGGGTGTCGAAAAGCCAGCTTTTATATCAGCTCACAGCATTCTTCCCAGGGCTGTGAGAGGTGGCAAGTGGACGCTTGGCCCCATTTAGACACAAACCAGCTCTCTCCCCTTCTCTCTGTTCCTCAACCTCCAGCACGTACCTTGAACCAGTAATTCAGCAGTCGAAGTAGCTCTTCCAACGCTATTGGTGGCATTTACTGAATAGGTCCCTGAGTCCTCAGGGTATGCTTCTGCAATCAGTAAGCTGTAGAGGTCGCCTTCTTGTGAAATTTGGAAATCAAGGGAGCTCTGGATTTCGGCTCCATCCCGGTAGAACTTCACCACAGGTGTAGGGATTCCAGTCACTCTCACTTGGAGTCTCACTTGGCTTCCTTGTCTCACGGTCATGCTCTGCAGTCGTTGAACGAAGTTGGGTGGTGCTGTCTCAGCTGCGGGGACAAGAGAACAAAGTCAAGAGTGAGAGCCAGGGTGCTCCCTACAAGGTATTTTTAAATAATCACAGCTCCAATTCCAAAACCAGGTGATGACTCGCCAATCTAAACATCCTTGAATGTCCTTGAACCCAGCTCACCCAGCAATGACAGCAAGAATGGGAGCCAGGAGATTACAGAAGGCTTTCTCACCACCATATTTTATTTTATTTGCTTTGTTTTGCTGAGCAGTTTAGGCCACCACCTTTTGTTTCTTTGTTTTAAATAAAAGCTCTAGATTTTGTTATAACATTTCTTGAGAATCTTTCTGGTACTTCCCCCTCTACCTCACATCTAGCGCTCTATTAATATGTGAAAGCCATGTTGCATATTCCAGTAAGTTGCATTAAAATGAATTCCAGTGGTTGCTACGATGGGTGTACCTGTTACTTAAAGAATCATTACATTTTTAATTTAATTTTTAAAATTCTAAACCTTCTCCAACTTGATAGGTATTCAAATAACCCAAATATTTACTTGCATTTAAAACGTTAATCCCAATAATAACATTACTTCATTTTAATTGTGTTACAGAAAGGGGATTTTTTTGGTTATGTTGAAGGAAATTTTTTATAAGTGTGAGGAGTGAGTGGAATTAACTTTGACATGATTTTGAGTAATAAACAACAGCAGGTGCTGCCAACCCTGTGCATTTTCCATTTGTGAATTTTCTGGGTGCATGCTAAAGTTCTACCTGATGTTACTTGATGTGGTTTCTGCTTAGGTCAATTATAGCCCTATAATTGAACATCATTGAAGGTAAAGTTTATTGGATAAGCATATGTAACTTTACGTAGCTCATGTAAGATATTGTTATAAAACATGTAAAGGCATGCAATATTCTGTATACTAATGTCTCACTAGGTAGTAAAGGATAGAGAAAAACAACAGAGGCCACTAAGATTGGTGATAAGTTTTCTGGGGAAACAGTGTCATGCATTTGAATAATAAACAAGCATTTATTTTCTTCTGGGTATGTTTACATGCCTCTTAAATGGGTGGTCTGTAGACTACCGGCATCAGAATTATCTGGATGCTTGTTAAAGTGTGAATTCCTGGAGATTCACACTTCCCTGGAGAATATGTCTTATTCCTTAAAGGACTTATAAACAAGGCTCCAAGCTTTTCTACTTGCTGAGAAACATGATTTTTAATATTTCCTTAACATACTTTTGAGTGTTTAATATGTGTATTGAGAAACTGATTCTCAGTCACTTTTACGATGTACTCTAGAGGAAAATTAAATTCCAAAAGGCAAACAACTTGGTTATAAATAATTCAGCCTCCAGTAGACCCTTCTGTAGTTTAAGAGCTGCATCTACCTCTGCCCATAGCTTTTTCTGGACTCCTTTCCCAATTTGCTGGAGATGTCCTCTGGGGGAGCAGAGGATTGGCAGGTCCCCAGCAGCCTACCTTTCACGAGAAGCTCAGCAGTACTAGTCGCTTGTCCAGATCCATTGGTGGCTTTCAGGGAATATCGTCCACTGTTGGCTTTAGTCACGGCGGGGATCGTCAGTTTAGCGCGGCCATCGCTAAAGGAGATCTGCACGCCGGGCAGAGTGGAAGTGGAAATCACCTGGCCATCCCTAAACCAGCTCACCTCAGGAACTGGAAAACCTGAAGAGCAAGAACAATTCACCTTTATGTTTGAATGGGCACCACAAAGTCCTCTGCTCTGTCCCATCATGTTCACTGCCTTGTCCGAATCTGTAAAAGCTTTCCAGCATGGAATGCCACTTAATGATAGGGAAAACCCTACAGTTGCATGATCAGTGTGTAAACCTGCAGACCATTAGGAAGGCAGGAAGGGAGGAAACTGAGACCAAAAGAGGCCTAATGATTTTTCCAAGGTCCTTCAGCTAGCAGTGACACAGAGGGGACTAGAATTTCCATCTCCTGCCTGCCTGCCTAGGGCTCTATCTGATGCAATTTAATAGACAACATTAAAATCATGAAAGGGACTTATAAAAATGAAGAACCAAGGAAAATTTGAAATAAAGAGTGATTGTTGTCCTCTTTGAGAGCAAGTGAAGAACAAAAGCAGCAAACTGATCTCCAGTTTCTGCCTGACAAGCCCAGGAGGCATGCCCTCCTCCCTCCTCTGTGGTTACAGGGACACTGTCTTCTTGGACTCTTCTGCTTTCACAAGTGCAATCAGTAAAAACATTGTAACATGGACAAGCAATTTCTCATAAGAGACTAATCCAAACCTAGTCTTCCAGAACAACATGGATCATTGGAATTGCAGGTAGAAAGCCAAATTCTCTTTATCTGCCATAAATTGTAGAGCCAAGAACTACATGTCCATGGTTTGATGTTTTAAATATATTAAAACTCTGTACATTGAGAATGTACGAGGCACATTCAGGGCATGATTTATTTCACACTTGGCATAAAGGTTGATGCTCTATCTACTTACGCTGGTAGGTAAAGATAATCTAGAGAAAGTCTATTTTGTTGTTTATACATTAGCCCATCTCCCACTATGGCCAATTAAATAGTTTATTGGACTGATTTATGGGTATTGGATATTTTCAGTAGTGTCTTTGTAATAATTTATTTGCATATAGTTTGAAGGAACAAGAAGATATGAAGTAGCCAGATTCCACTACTTCTCAAGGAGGCAAATTCCCACTGAAGTCATATGTGTTCTGCTCAGTTCAGAAGTTACTGAGTGTTACCAGATAAATAGGTAAATTATTTGGAAGTCGGTAAGACTTATTTTCTATTGTACATATATAGACCAATGAAAAGGGAATTTCATTGGTCTATATATGTACAATAGAAAATAAGCAATGATTATATGATATTTGTACAATGTAAAAGAAAGTATTATCCAGTTATGAATAAGATTGGTGCATATAATAGAAAAAAAGAGAAAAAAAGAAATTTTATTTTATATCTTTATTATAAGCCATAAAATTTTAAAAAAGAAGTGGGCAATGAACCATGGAAGTGCACTAAATTAAGAATTAAGCATGATTTTTTTTAATCCGTATCCATCTTACATGGCTCGTTACAATACTACAGAAAGAGAAAATATTGATTAATTTTAAAATTATTTACAATATAGTTCATACACTACTCTCCATTTTTTCATAAGATGATACCATGCATTTTTTTGAACCATCCATAAACTGAGTTATGAGGAAGAAAAAGAAGGCAAAAAAGAGATGAACTTCCTTTCAGATAAAATTCTAGGGTTAGTGTTTGCTTCCTTTTAAATAGAGACACCCGAGAAGCATATTATTTTCTGTCATTTCAAAACGATTGGAAAGTCTTTTAATTCATTAGAATCACTCAATAAAGATTGAAAATAAAATAATAAAATAATGAGGAGTTGGTTAATTACTGAACAGCTCTGCCTCTGAGGAAAATTAGATGCACTGTTATTTTGCGTGTGAACCAACTGAAGTTCAGGTGTCCAGAGCAGGCAGCCCAGACTGCCTACCCCATGGCTCTGTGGCTGGCTTCTATTGGGCTTGAGTTCTTGGCTTCCAGTCTGGCTCTGCAGCTGAGCCCAAATATAGAATGACTAAATTTGGTCCTATTTAGTTGCTGGATTCTAACGGCAATTTTAATCCAACACTAATTATTTTTGCTTTGTGGAATAATAAATATGAATAAAACATTTCAAGCCATTATATTGTCAGATTTTGTCAGTACTCTGTGAATGGTATACCCTTAAAATGACCTTTCCATAGTGTTGGACTAATTTTCCGAAGTGAAAGCAGGGCTTAAACTTGGCGTCAAGTCCTGCAGCAACGTTAACTTACTGGAGAGGAGGCAAAGGAAAAAAAAACAAAAGTGTGAATGTGTGAGCTTACCACTAATGTGAGCCTCAAAGGTTGCGGTACTACCCTCCAGTACCACAACGCTTTGTAACGGCTGCGTAAACGTCGGTGCTTGAGTTGTCATCTTTCTAGGCACTCTGAAAAAGAAGAGAAAATAAATTAGGGTGTCCCAGCTAAGGGTCACTCTGGAGCTGCTTTGCAGATAGCAGAGACACACGTTTCTCCAAATGGATTGCTCCATAGGTCATCTGTGGGCCTAGAGTGATGGGCAGGTCTTCTCTTTTGTGGCTTGAACAGTTTTGCATAGTTCATCATTGAGTTGACTTAAAGCCTAACCCAAAGTAGCAAGTGTAAGGGGAAATGGAAAAAAGTATTAGCCAAACAGAACAAGGAATGAACCCTAGTGGTCAAAGAGGGAATATACAGTCTTACCAATGGTGGAAAACCAGGTTCAGAGTTGAAGAAGAAAACCACAGCAATGCAGGGTTAGTGAAGTGTAATTAGAGAGACAAGACATGTGATAAATGTAAAATAAACCTCTGGGCCTGGCGTGGTGGCTCATGCTGGTAATCCCAGCACTTTAGGAGGCCGAGGCGGGAGGATTACTTGAGGTCAGGAGTTTGAGACCAGTTTGGCTAACATGGTGAAACCCCTGTCTCTACTACAAATACAAAAATTAGCCAGGCGTGGTGGCCCATGTCTGTAGTCCCAGCTACTTGGGAGGCTGAGGCATGAGAATTGCTTAAACCCAGGAGGTGGAGGTTGCAGTGAGCAAAGATGGTGCCACCACACTCCAGCCTGGGTGACAGAATGAGACTCTGTCTCAAAAAAAAAAAAAAAAAAAAATTAAAATAAATAAACCTCTGCATCAGCTTAGTAAGTGAAAATTATTTTAAAAATTTTCCTTCTCCCCAATATTTTTCGTTCACTCTATATTTATAAAGTTGACATTGATTCAGACATTATCTGATTACTTAAAATAGTTGCCAGAAGTAAAAATCTGAACTTTGTAATCTCTTTCCTGACTGGAGAAGCTTTGGCAAGCCTTATCAAATATGCAAGCTTTTTGTAGACGGCATACGGTGCTTTCTATTTCTTAACATTTCTTCATACTGTAACTGTGCAGTAAATGTTGTTACTGCTGAAGTAAATATTCAGAAAAATTTAAATTTTAGTGAACAGGCCAAAGTTTATTATAGTTCTGAAAGAAAAATGCTGGCTTGAGTTCTTAATATGGAACAATTTGCAAACTTTGAATAATGGAAGGCTGGTGTAAAATGTAGATGAAGTGAAAAGGCCTATGCTTTCATAAAGTAAAATATTCAACATCAAAGAAACGAATATAAAATTTGCAGTTAAGTCATTTTGTTAAGTGCAAGAAAGTACTTTGCCTATCAGTTTCAGAGACATTATGTGAAGAATTTTCTGATGCATAAATACCTAATTATTCAACATGACTATTCTGTTCTGAAATAGAACATTTCTGAATTGTCAATCACTTCATTACTATTTTTCATTAAATTCTTTGTTTACTAAAACTTCATGGAGCAATAATCTTCTTAGTGATAATTCTGTTCCTTACTGTAACCTTCTACTTAGTTAAAAAAATGAAACCAGCATTCTCTGAGACAATAAAATTTATATTTGGAAAAATCAGATAATATCCAAAAGCTTTCATAAATTTTTTTTGTCAGAAACTCCTTTTTGTAGCATATTATCTTTGGGATGAACAACTTTCTGTGTCTAACTTTGTCTGTTTATAAGTTAGTATATCTAAAAATAGCTGTCCTCTTAGACATAGAATACCTAATTATATATCTATGTATTTACAGGCATTGACAATTAGTAATCAAATTCTAGGAAGATGAGAAATCAAAGTGTATTTAGAAGTAAGAAACCTTTCCTTTAAACATTATTTCTTACCCTTCTTAGTGTCAACATTTATCTCAAAATATATAATTGGACTGTGTGCTGAGTTAAAATGCATGAAGAGATTCTGAATATTTTAGAAAACAATTATATCATTTTATTCCAAATCTCCAACTATGTTGCAATTAACCAGCTTAAATTGATCTTACATTCCTATTGTCTAGGTAAATTTTATTGCCTTAGCACTTGCTCTTCACAGGCCTTTGTCTAACTGGGGCTGAAGGTATGCGTCTAAAATGTCATGCTCTTAAAATAAACTCTCCTAAACTCTCCAAGGTTGACTGACAGCAGGCAAGTGTTCTGTCACTGTCCTGCAACTGATACCTCAGCAGTTGATTCCCTTAAAAAGTCATCAGGGTGTAGCTGATACCACATGCATTTTATCAGAGCTATTCTTGGTGTGCTTAACTTTATCATTGAGTAATATAACCTTGAACATTCTCAACAGGCAAAGAGAGTCTAGAAAAGAAGTAAACATTTCTCTCAACATTTCAGACCTCAACTTTTAGAATATTAAGTGAACTTAAACAATTTGAATCATGGAATCATTTAGCTGATATAATAAAGCTTTCAACTTTTTAAGGAAAAATGTTCAGACATTTTAAAATAGAATTTAACAAGCAGATTTAAATAATGGGTCAGCACTGGCAAGAAATAGTCATACAAACACTTGTACATAGGCATTTAGCACACACAAATAATCCAGAGCCAGAGATCAATAAGAAAGTGACTCTACTATTAAAATAAGAAAAGTTGCTGCTCACCTGATTTCTCAAGAGTGCCTAAAAAGGGTGGGACTAAGCCCAAGGTTGCTTCTGAAACGACGTCCTATGGAGAGTTGGTTTTTCTGACCATCTCCGACATGAATCGGTGAGCCTCTAATCCTAAAAACAAAACTACACAGTCAAGACTGTGTAGTTTTGCTTTTCTATGCAATCCCTACACCCGAGGCGAGGCTGGGAATGCACGACTGCTCAAGAGCCAGGGTCTGGCCTGCCCTTATATTCACCAGATCTGCTGACAGCCCCACATCCTTAGGCAGGGCCCTGGGTGATTGGCTGTCTTAGGAAAGCATGATGGGAGAGGACCTATTTGGTAGTGTCACATACCACCTGTTCTTCTGATTGACAGTGCTAAATTTAGTACCTCAAAGGAGACTTCACCAAGGAAATAGAACTGTATTTAAAGAATAACTGTGTTGAGGCTCAGAGAAGAGCATTGGTTGCTGATGTTAAAATCCGAAAATGCAGGTTTAAAGAGGTGTGACAGTAGATAGCACTTGTGGGCAGTCATACAAAAGAGCCCCAAACCTGAGGACTGTGCCCTGAGTCAGGCCCCAGTCCTGTTCCCTTCCCCCATAAAACAAACCAAATGGACCTGTCAATCATGACAGCAGATGAGGAAATTTATCTCAAGCATAAGGCTTCATGTTCTCTGAAGAATCAGTTGCTATAAACCTTAACGTTGAAGAGAGCTCATTTGTACTACCTACATTCTCCAGAATCCACTTGTATTTCGGGGACAGTTACACTGATGTTAATGAGCTTATTGCTTATACAACCCTGCAAGATATAATGTTGAAAGGCAAAATTGGAACTCTGCTTAGGTTAGTCTGTACAGTACAATGATTTCACCTTTGTCAGATTTCATTTTTGTCTGGCATTAATATTTACAAATATGTGTGTACTGCTCCTTAGTAAGTAGCCAGGTCTTATGCTTAAATCATCCATAAGGTTCCTTTTCCAGACACATGAATGCTGTTCTGCTAATCTCTGGAGTTTGCTGTTACTAATGGGAAGTGGATAGGAGGTGATATAGTTGCTATTTTAGGACTGAATTTAATTTCAAGCAAGAGATATTTCAAATAAAAAAGAGCACACCAAAAGATCTTTATAATGACTCAGCTGAGAGATTTGTGAAACTCTACTTAGAGGGAGGAAAATTGTCTTGTTGATAATGGAAAGAGACTTTTATCAATAAAAGAGACTAAAATTTTTAATTTAAGTTAAATTTCTTTATGTCTGTAATAAAAATATTCCCTGTTATGGAAGAATTTGGCCATGCATTAAACTTTTCAATTTCTTGAGTATTTCATATCTTGTATTTATTTATATAGTGATTAATATGTTAATGTTTAACAGTTTAAATTTACTGACAACTAATGTAGTATAGTTATGTTAACAAGATGACGCCATGTACTTATTTAAACATTTTTCTCCTTTACTTAAGTGGTGGTATCTGTATTGGTGGCACCATTTCCACCCCCATAGATGGCATCTGCTATAATTCTATTTGATTGCTTTATTCAGAAACAACTGGTTTCATATTATATACTTTGAAAATTATTCCCACTGAGAGATTTGTGTTACAAAGAATCTGCCAGTCATAAGGCAAAGAAACACTAGAAATGTATGATCTTTCTGTTTTGGAGTGTTCACCAATTGGCTATCTATTTAAGATACGTTTGTGCATATTTGTGTGTGGGTATGTAGTGTGCGTGTGTGTATTTTTAGACTCATTTGACCTAATGTGAAGCACATTAATGTTACGTTATGTTTGTTGGAACTAAAGTCAAATCATTTTAATTCTTACGGGAACTAGAGGGAAGAAGTGACTATAATCTGGAAGCCTGCGTCATCTTGACATGATGCAATTCAGGTAACTCAAGAGCCAAGAAGATGGACCATATGTTATAAACATAAAGTCAAGTGTCTGTCCTCTTAAGCTGATTGTCTAGTCACTGTTCTTAGACTTTTCTAGACCCTGCCTGCCAGCCTACATCTTTCTCCCGAGCTGGATGCTTCCTGCCCTCGAACATCGGACTCCAAGTTCTTCAGTTTTGGGGCTTGGACTGTCTCTCCTTGCTCCTCAGCTTGCAGACAGCATATTGTGGGACCTTGTGATTGTGTGAATTAATACTTAACAAACTTCCCTTTATATAAATATATATATGTATGTATATATTCTTCCCTATATACATATTAGTTCTGTCCCTCTAGAGAACCCTAATACACCTTGCAATATTGTCAAGATCCTTGCCTTTAGGCCTTTATATGTTTATGTGACATTCAGAATTAAGAAAAGAAAAAAATGAATGAACAAAAGAAAAAAGAAGAAAGAAAAGGAAAGAAGGGACCAGTTAGTAAATAACTAATATGCTGCTCTGAAAAAGAGTTCTTATTATTGGAATAGTAATGGACAGTATATGATATCATGGTATGCATTAGTTTTAAAATTAAATATGCCATCGTTAGAATTAGTAAACTAGTCTTGTGGAAACCAAATACTAGGCAGATTTGGGGAGTTTGCTGATGGAGTAAGATCTCAATTTACCACCCTAACAGTGGGGAGGAGCCACACAGATAATCCCAAACAGCTGATAATTCAAATGTAATGCCTACTTAATTTGGAATGCATGGCATGATTCTCTCTTTAAGCACAATATTCAATGAAATTCAATAAATATTTATTAAACATATAGTCAGTGCTGAGCACTGGGATAAATTATTACGATTTTGGATTCTGTCATTATTTATTGATTTGACAAATATCTACTGAGTGGTGACTTTGTGCTGGGCATTGTGCTAGTGATGGCTAGGCAGAGCTGACCAAGAAAAGACAGTTAGAATTATTGTGCTCTTAGAGATCATGGTCTACATCAACTCTTAGTGAATGCTCATTAATCTGTGACTGAGACCAAGTCTAGGATATATGTAAAACTCAGGCAGTAACTCCAACTACATAGTCAGACTTTGTTTACCTTATATAGGACCATTTACAAAGGAAGGACTTACTGGGAGTTATTCGAGAAATGGGTACAGTTTTGAAGGCCAATGCAAGGATACTAGAAGAGAGTAAAACTAATGTATCTTATGACTGATTAAATTTTTTTGTGTGTTCTTTTATTGTATTAAACACAGTTTAGGCACAGAGATCATAGCAATGCACACAACACACAAAAATACCTGCCCTCTAAGAGTTTACATTTTTGTTAACACAGTAATATTAAGTGATATAATATCTGTAATTTCCTTTCCACTCATAAAATATATCAAAGCTGAAATATAGGCTCATCATGGAGCTATTTTTAAACAAGGAAATAGAAAAGCAAATTCAAGAAGTGCACAGGGAAAAGCGTGCTGACAAAAACAATTTATTCTAATGGAAGACAGTCGTGTTCTTTGAGTTATAGAGGCGGAAAAAGCTACACTGGGAATGTGGGAGGCAAGAAATTGTTGCTTACAATTTAAAAGACTTATTGTCCCATTTTTTTCTACATCCAGTTATAATTTCTTTAGAAGCAAGATCAAATTAGGTTTCCACAACTATTTACAAGTGTACGAATAGTCACAGATGCATTTAACACCACATCGAATACAAAAAGATTATTTCAGACACGTAAGATATTTTTACCAAAGTAAGAAAGATAAAAAAATTAAAGTCTTGAATGTCTCAGTAGCACTGCTGTTAGGGGCACTTGGAATTTCTCTCCTATTCTACCTGGGTTTAGGCAACTCACTTGAATCTCTGTCTCAGATTTGTCAGTTGCAAATTGGAGATTATTATCTCGACTTCAAAGAGTTATTAGGAATATTAAATGACAGAATGAACGTGACAGTGTCCAGGACCATGAGAATCTGACACATGGTAGGCATTTTGTTTGTTTGCTGCTGCCAGGCATGACACTAAGAAAATAATTTCTGTGCTTGGTAGTATTGATTTGCTCAATTATCTCTGACTACCTGATAAAATATACAAGATAGTATTTTCTAAGAAATCTTTGAGAAGTCCAAAAGTGAGCTCATGGAATAAAGCACATGTCACGTCCTTCCCTGAAGGCCCTCAGAAGGTGACATGACACTTATATGTGGATTAAAGCAAAGCCCAAGAAATACTGGAATCTTAAAAAAGAAATAAGTTGGACTTCTGAAGGCCTGTGGCAGGAATCTATAAACCTGATTAGATCTAACCACCAGCAAATGCTCATTGGAGGTGATACTGCTGTCAAATATCAAGCTTTACACATGCTGAAGGGAGGCAACCAGGCTCATTTTTTCCAGTAACCACTGCAGACACGGCACCTGGGGACAGGGATTAAGGGCTCTTTCAGGGCCAAAAACATGTTTGGGAGCTGAAAAATAAGTTTTGCTTTGAAATACAAAAAGAAATCTGCAACAATGAAAATAATGGATATTTATCAAATACCTACAAAAGAAGATATGTCAACTAGTCAACTGCACTTGAGATTGGTATATTTCAATGCGTCTGACAAGCTCAGGGATGGATTTTCCAAAACTGAAACAGTCTCTGTGGGACAAAAATCTAAAAATGGCCCTCAAAGCTCTACAGTCTCAAAAAACAAAGGTTAATCTTTGTTTTTTTAAAGTAAAGGAAACTACTCAGTGCCCACACAGCCAAGTGCTGATTTTTCTCCAGCTTCCATTATCACCTCCAGAAGTTTACTTTTTTATTTCTAAACAAAGTCTATTCTTCCTTTGAAGCTAAAGATTCTTTAGCTACCACTTTCTACCTATCTTCTCCAGGCTTTCAGGGTGTTTTCTTCAAAGGCCTTCTCAACATTTCCTGAAGACATCAGCATCAGAACCCCTAGTGTAAGCCTTGCCAACACCCTGAGGGACTCCCACATCCATGTGTAACCACACTAGAGGAAAATGATGGATAGCACAGTTTCTAAATCAGACCGACTTTGGATCAAATCCCAGATGCACCAGTTATTAGCAAAATGACCCTGGATTAATCATTGAAGCTTCATTTCTTCCTTGTAAAATGGGAATACTCACTTCTTCGTAGTGAATATTCTCCTTTACTGTTGTTTTGGTTTTCATTAACTAGATTTTGTAAGTTCTTATTTGATTTTTTATTTTTACAAATAGTTTTACATACTAGTATTTTTTTTCATAGCACATTTTATAACAAATGCTCAATGTGGAAGCTATTGCTGGTTATTGTTGTTATTTGAATAGCCCTTTCTACACCTTTAGCCACACAGTTCCTGCCTGGCAGGTCTGAAATGGCATTCATTTCTTCTTTCCCACTTCAGCACCTTACCTCTGTGACCATACTTTGGGTCTTGCCCTCTTCAGGTCTTTCTTCTGTGGAGTTGCTTCTCTTCTAACATCAACAGAGAAGTTAAAGATACATCTCTTTTCATCAGTATTATCATGAGTAGAGCGTAAACATTTACTCTATAACCATATACATATGCTTATCTGTCTTCCTCCAGTGTCAGGGGAAAATGGGTCTATTACTCTTCAAGGCTAGACCAATATTCAGGATCCTTCTACTCTTGTTTCTTCCAAGACACACACTATTCCATATAATATGTTTAACTTCTCCTATCTAGAAGCTTCTTCCCCTTACCAGCCACTCTACTTGATACATTGTTTTCCCATTTAATTATAACTGAGCTTATTGCTGTATTAATTTCTTTATTTCTTATTGTTATGGTCTAAATGTTTGTTTCCTTCCAAAATTCATGTTGAAATCTAACCCCAAAGGTGATGGTTTTAAGAGATGGGGCCTTTGGCAAGTGATTAGGTTATGAGGGTTTTGCCCTCATGAATGGGATTTGTACCCTTATGAAAGAGGCTTGAAAGAGCTCCTTTTTCTCTTCTGCTATGTGAGGTCATAGCAAGAAGGCCTTTTCTATGAGAAAAGTGCCCTTGTTAGATATACAATCTGTTGGTGGCTTGATCTTGAACTTCCCAGCCTCCAGAAATGTAAGCAATAAATTTCTATTGTTTATAAATTACCTAGGGTAAGGTAAGTTGCTACAGCAGCCTGAATAGACTGAGACACCTATTCTTTCTGAACCCTCTTTCAGCTTCTTTTCTCATTGTTCTTGCACTATTCATATTGTGTTTTCCACTGCCTTTCTTATTTCCAAATCCAATAGGCAGAGTTTTTTTTTTTTTTTTGCAACATTTTTGGTTGTCACTTATTAATCCAGTGGATACTTAAAAATTGTATTTTCATAATGCATAATAGTAAGTGATGTGTTAGGAAACTCTTCAAATAAATTCACTTAAAGGACAACTATTTGTGTTGAGTGACTGAAAAGTCAATGAGTTCATAGCACTAAACTTGAACTATTTCTCAGGCTATGTCTTCCTTTGGCCTTGGCTTTTTGATAAAACAGCCAGGAAGAATCACCCAAGATACATTTTTTCTACATCCCATCACTTTCACCAGTTCACCTACTAACTTTTATACTTCATCTTTCTAGAAGCTCTCTCCAAACTTGAATTCCATGGCACCAGCCTCTCTGGACTCATACAGTTCTGACTTATTCATGAGCAGTTCTCCTCCTGTTGGTCTTCATCAGGTTCTACCTCTTCTTACTCTTGTGTTTTCCCGGGGTTAGCTCATCTCCTTTCAAGGCTTCAACTACATTCTGATCACTTCAAGATGATTATCTCTGCCCTATTCATCGCTCGCATGTTCCAGACTTACATTTCACTCTTACTGGCTATCTCCAAGAGAATCTCAGACTTAAAACACCCAGATTAGACTCCTTATAAATCTGTCCTTCTCCTGGATTTTTCCATCTGAGTTAATAACATCACAATCTATTCAATCACCTAAGTGAGAACTCTGGGAATTTTTCTTAATGCTTCCTTCTCCTTATTACCTGCCTCTGAGATGTCAATAAATTCTTTTAATTCTACCACCTAAAAATAGCTTGAATCTTTGTAAACTTGTTTATTGCTACTACCGTTTCCAGGTCCTTATTTCTCACTTATTCTATTGGATTTAGCCTCTTAACCGTTCATTTCTGCCTCCAATCCAAGTCCACCTCAAAGCCCAATAAGCACTCCATGATAAAAATTTCACATAATTTCTCTGATTTAAATCTTCAGCTAGTCTTGGGAGCCCTACATCACCCAAGATACTGACTGAATCTATTATCCTCCACTCCTGGCTTTTTGGTCCTGTTTTGATTTTGCCCAGCCCATTGCCTTTTTGCAGCACTGACTAGAACAACGATCGACACATAGTAGCTCCTTGGTATGGGCTAAAATGTGAACCCTCCAAAATTCATATGTTGAAATTCTAACTCCTAGTGCCTCACACTGTGACAGTGTTTTGAGATTAGGTCTTTAAAGAGATGATTAAGTTAAAATGAGCTCATTAGGGTGGGCCCTAACCCAATACGACTGGTGTCCTTATAACAACAAGAGATAGGACCAGGAACAGTAGCTCATGCCTGTAATCCCAACACTTTGAGAGATGGAGGTGGGCAGATCGCTGGAGCCCAGGAGTTCAACACCAGGCTGGGCAACATAGCAAGATCTTGTCTGTCTTAAAAAAGAAAAACAAAAACAAAAAATCCTGGGCATGGTGGCGTTCACCTGTAGACCCAGCTACTCAGGAGGCTGAGGTGGGAGGATCACTTGAACCTGGGAGATTGAGGCTGCAGTGAGCCATGATCACAACACTGCACTCCAGCCTGGGTGACAGAGTGAGATTCTATCTCCAAAAATAAAGAAAAAAAAAAAGAACAAGAGATTAAGACAAAACAGGAACAGAGGAAAGGCCATGTGGAGACAGGAGGAAGATGGAAGTGAAGGAGAGAAGCCTCAGAAGAAATGAGCTCTGTTGGCACTTTAATCTTCGAACTTCAAGTCTTCAGGACTGTGAGAAAATAAATTTCAGTAAGTTTAAGTTGCCCAGTCTGTAGTACATTTTTATGGCAGTGCTAGCAAACTAATGATATGCTCCATAACATATATCTTAAGGACATGAACAACTTTATCAGATAAATATGATGACAATTTGAGCTTTTGGTGACCAACTTTCTCAGAATCCCTGAATCATATTTTAAGGAAATGAGAGTGGAGCAGGCTGGAGAGGACAGGACTTCCTAATTGCTTATTACCATATCTCAGCAGCAAAAAACTGCTCATCTCTAGGCCTTCACTTTGGATCTAAGTGTTAATGTGTACTCTTCCATTTAAAATGAGGAAGCTTTAGCAACAGTTTCACCTTTGGCAAATTCTTTGTCAAAATGAAGGAACACTTATCATCTGTAATGTGAATCTTTGTCTCCCTCCATCTCTGCTGATAGATTGTGATTTGGGGACACTTGCAGTATAGTCGTCCTTCAGTATCCTTGTGGGATTGGCTCCAGGACCCCCTAACCCCCAGCGGATATCAAAATATGTGGATGCTCAAGTCGCTTATATAAAATAGCATAGTATTTGCATTTAAACTATGCAGATCTTCACATATGCTTTAAATCATCTCTAGATTCCTTATAATACCTAATACAATGTAAGTGCTATGTAAATAGTTATGTTGTATTTTTTATTTGTATTTTTTTTATTTTGGGGTTTTTCTTTTTTCAGTATTTGTGATATGCATTTTGTTGAATTCATGGATGCAGAACATGTGAGTAGGGAGAGGCAACTGTATTGTTAACCCATCAGAGACTACATTCATTAGAGGTTAGTTGAGTAACAACTGTTGTAAGAGTATATGTAAGTTTAAAAAACAGTAAGCTTTGAAAAAGATAAAAGTAAGTCCTGGCATCCAGAAGCTGGCCTTTGTAATAAATGATGAGCCAATATTGATGCATTATTACTAAAGTTCATAATATACATTAGGGTTCACTGTTGTTTGGACATTCTGTGGGTTTCGATTGATGTTTAATGACATGTATCCACCATTGCAGTATCATACACAGTAGTTTCAATGCCCTAAACATCCTCTGTGCTCCACTTGTTCTTCATCTTCTTCCTTCTCTCCCTAAAGCCTGGCAATCACTGGTTTCTTATTGTCTCTGTACTGTTTTCTTTTTCAGAATACCATATAGTTGGAGTCATACAGTATGTAGCCTTTTCAGATTAACTTCTTTCACTTAGCAATATGCATTTAAGATTCCTTAGTGTCTTTCCATGCCTTAGTCGTGTACTTCTTATTGCCTAAGATTCTACTGTATGTATGTATCTCAGTTTGTTTATCCATTCACCTATTAAAGGACATCTTGTTTGCTTCCAAGTTTTCGCCATTATGAATAAAGCTGCTATAAACATCTGCATGCAGGTTTTGTGTGGACACAAGTTTTCAGCTCATTTGGGTAAATGCCAAGGAAACTAATTCCTGGATTGTATGACAAGAGTATGTTCAGTTTTGTAAGAAACTGCCGAACTGTCTTCCAAAGTGGCTCTGCCGTTTTGCGTTCCCACCAACAGTGAGTGAGAGTTCCTGGTGCTTCACATCCTCACTAGCATTTGGCTTTGTCAGTGCTTTGGATTTTAGCCATTCTAATAGGTATGTATTCTGACCCATTTTTTACCATAATAAAATAAGTACTTTGGGATAATTAGGGAGTATTCTACAATAAGAAGAGAATGAGGGAAATAAAACAATAACTTTAAACGTGGCTCCTGGGTGGTAGACCAGGCTCATTCCCTGAGTAAATCATTGGTTTTCATATTCTAGCTTTCTAGGATGAGATTAAAATCTGCACCTAAGAGAAATAAGGAATGAGAACTTTGGGTTACTCATTAAGGTTATATCTGCACATTAGATTTCTAATGTACTTATAATTTTACAGTAATAGCTCTAAAAGTAGAAAGGACAACAAAATATGTAATATTCACATGGGTTATGGATACTTCCACATATGAGTATTTATACTTAGAAACAGGATAACCTCCACAAAAGAGTTTTAGTTCCTGCCCCTTTACCTAAGTGGACAACTGGTTCTTGCTAGTACTTTTTCATACTTCTAGTACTTTTGTTTCCTGTGTTGTATTTTTGGGCAAAAACTTTTGTGTTTAGCTTCTGTCTGAAATGTGCCACATGTTTATTTCTTTAAGAGAAAAGGGTGCATATTGTCTTGTGAATAAATATTTCATTCATTTATGTGTTGTATACCTGAGAACATGGCCTCAAATATAAGAATTTAGCTGAAACTACTGTTGGTTTAGGACAGAAGTACTTCCTAGAATCAGAAAGACTCATGCTCTTTTTCTGTGGATAATATAGAAAAACATAGAGTTATGAAACACAATATATTCTTCTGAAAATAAAGACAAAACCACATGACCTACTTCAGTATCTCCAGGTACCACTTAGAAGTCATCTTTGAACCAAGTGACACATGGTCCTGATCTTCTGGACACTGTGCAGTGTGGAAGCAGATCTCATCCTTCCTGGAGGTTGACAGGTCTAACACTTTCTAGGAACGTTAGAATTTTGCTTCATACTAAAAGGAAAAGGAAATTTGAAGTTGCTAAGATACACATGTGTAATATTTTCGTTCTCTTTTTCTTTATCTCTTTTCTATTTCTCTCTCCCTCCTCCCTTCCTTCCTTCCTTCCTCCCTCCCTCCCTCCCTCCCTTCTTTCAATGGAGTCTCATTCTGTTGCCTAGGCTGGAGTGCAGTGGCACAATCTCCACTCACTGCAACCTGTTCCTCCCAGATTCAAGTGATTCTCCTGCCTCAGCCTCCTGAGTAGCTGGGATTACAGGCATCCGCCACCATGCCTGCCTAATTTTTGTATTTTTAGTAGAGACGAGATTTCACTATGTTGGCCAGGCTGGTCCCAAACTCCTGACCTTAGGTGATCCACTCCCTTCAGTCTCCCAAAGTGCTGGGATTACAGGCGTGAGCCACCGCACCTGGCCCACATATGCAATATTTTCAATGTGTTCGTTTTCAGAAGTCTTTCTAAACAATGTCAAATTTCTTTTTACTGCATTCTTACCACCTCCTAATGTCTAGCAATGATCAATAATTCCCCTGACTGAAAAACCAAAAGCAAAAGTAAAAACAAAAACAAAACCCATAAAGGTGACTTTTTAAAATTTTATTTTAAGTTCCAGGATACATGTGCAGGATGTGCAGGTTTGTTACATAGGTAAACATGTGCCATGGTGGTTTGCTGCACCTATTAACCCATCACCTAAGTATTATTCCCCACATGCATTAGCTATTCATCCTGATGCTCTCCCTCCCCCAACCCTCAACAGGCCCCAAGGTGTGTAGTTCCCCTCCCTGTGTCCATCTGTTCTCATTGTTTAACTACCACTTATAAGTGAGAACATGTGGTGTTTGGTTTTCTGTTCCTGTGTTAGTTTCCTGAAGATAATGGCTTCTAGTTCCATCCATGTCCCTGCAAAGGACATGATCTCATTCCTTTTTATGGCTGCATAGCATTCCATGGTGTATATGTACCACATTTTCTTTATCCAGTCTATCATTGATGGGTGTTTGGGTTGATTTCATGTTTTTGCTATTGTAAATAGTGCTGCAATGAACATACATGGGCATGTATCTTTATAACAGAATGATTTATATTCTTTTGGGTATATACCCAGTAATGGGATTGCTGGGTCAAACGGTATTTCTGGTTCTAGATCTTTGAGGAATCACCACACTGTCTTCCACAATTGTTGAACTAATTTACACTCCCCAAAACAGTGTAAAAGCATTTGTAAAGGCGACTTTTATCAAGACTCTTGAATAGAGTCATCTTGTGAAATTCCACTTTCCTCACATATAAGGGAGAAAGAAGGGCAGACAGAAGGAGGAACTTGTTCTTAAGCTACTAAATTACCAAGCTTTACTGGGGATCTGTCTGAGTAAGAGTTTCCAAAGTAAAAAAGCTACATTCTTGGAGACTATTCTAGAGACAGATTTAAACAGAAGTAATAAAGACGACATTTGGAACTACGCATGTAGCCATTGATTGCAAGTGTACTTAGGGGCCTTTTTGCCAAAAAATGATAACCTACACAACTTTTTTTGCTGTCAAATTCCAGAATATAGACTTCAGTCTGTTGAATTTTGCAGGCTTTTATTTGATACATTTAATTGAACATCATCATTATCATTTTGCTGATATGTCAGGGCAGTGGTATGTCAGGAATTTTAGCTCTCATAACAAATTTATTCAACTACTTAAAACTATTTAGTAATCTACCCAGGATAACTAATCCATTTAAGAAGAACAAAAATAAGAAAAAGTTTCAATAATTAAGAAACAGTAAAATAGCTTTGTGAAGAGCACATTATTTGCTGGATTTTATTTTCTGAATTGTACTGACAAAACACCAGTGTGTAATCTTGACCAAGCTTATGCTATCTTGTTTCCTTAAATAGTGGTTCTCAACCAGGGATGATTTTCTGCCAGGGGATATTTGACAATATTTGGAGACATCATGGTTGTTACATCTGAGGGTGGAGGTGCTAATGACATCTAGTGGGTAGAACCCATAAATGCTGCTAAACATCCTACAGTGTATAGGACAACCCCCCAAACACACAGAATTATCTAGTCCCAAATGTCAACCTTGTATCAAGGTTGAAAAATCCTGCTTTAGAGAAATACACCACAAATACCACATTTTCCTCATATTTAAATAATTTTAATACATATACAGATATCTCATGAAACATTCATCTCAAAACCTAAGCAAAATACAGTTTTTTATATAGAACATTTTCTGGTCAGTGTACACACAAGTTGAATGGTTTTTGAAAAGCATTCTACTGCATTAAAGGACATAAATAAATAAATATATTTATTAAGCTTCTCTCACTAAGTAAAGCACACCACTGATACTTCCTCCTGCTTATCTGATACATAAAAGGACATTAAGCCATCATTTCCTGCAGTTTATGTTCCATAACACGGCAGTTGATTAGAAAGATGTAGTTACTTCTGTTTGAAAATGTAGCTGCTGCTCTGCCCTCTGGCTCACTTTGAAAATCTGTGGTTCTGAAAGCTCAAGGTACTATTTTTACTCTTCGTATTTGGCTCTGACCTGTGAGCTACATTCCTGCTTCTCATTTCCCTTGGTTTGGCCACACCGGTGGAGAGTGGGGCTGTGGTGTGTTTTTTTAAGGTTGGGGGAGGGGTTGTAGTTACTCAGACAAGATTCTGATAAGTTCACGCTCAGGGTGGTTTTGACTGAAAACTAGAATTTATAATTTTACAAATCGGATTCTCCTTTTAGATATGTATTTTTATTAAACATATTATATCTTCCCATGAAAACAGAAACATGGCAAATAATAACTGAATATTGTTGGGCATTTAAAAATATTTTTATTGAGGCTCAAGCTTAATTTGGAAGAAAATTGTGAACTATATTCTATTTGTAATTACTTTACATGCAATAAAGTAATTTTTCCCTGAGAATGAGATCTAAAGTTTTCAGATTAAATTGAAATGAAAGAATTTTTTTAAAAAGTTATTAATTCATATGAGCTGTTCTGAAGAAAGCATTAGAAATGTGTTAAAGCTTATTTCAAAAGGGATCATAATAGAAAAATAATTTGACTTAATGTCTATATAATAAAGGCTAAGATTTTTAAATTGCCTGAAACTGGTACTGAGCTCTTCATTAAAGCAGGTACCATGTGCGTGGACATTTTGATAGCCCTTTTTAGAGTGCTACAGTCTTATAAGGGTATCTATCTATGAAGTTCCTCAAGGTTCCACATGTTAAAGATGTCAAAGTGACTTTTTATTTTCTATGTTCTATTATACCACTATGCATTTTTATAATACTCACTGGACACAAAACAAATGTTAAACTAGGTTTGCATTTGTCTAGAGAATGACAAGATCTATGCTGACTTTCTTTTTTCTAACATAGGAATAAATTTTTCATCAACTAGCTATATTCCCAGTTATTTCATCACTCAACAAAGCCACAACTGCATGAAAGGGCTTTAAGCCTGGGACTTTTGGGGGTGAATAAGAGCCTGATTATTTGTTTGGGTATACCAAGTTTTTAGTGAACCATATTTGAAGTCCTACAATCATATATATATTTATATTTTTTCTTTATTGAATAAATAGAATTTGTTATGACTGCCAAAAAGTACACTATTCTGAGCAAACAAAATTATTACCTTATCTGTCTTCTGCTTCCCAGGAAATTTCCTTTAAATTTTGTTCTAAACCTTGACTGTTCTCTTGATCATTTGGCCCCAAACACCAAGTGCTTGGCAATATCACCTGCCTGTTCCAATGAGAAAATCAAGAACACACTGTGTGTTTAATACCCCTTAGAGATCAGTGAGAGCTAGACGCACATTTAGAAATGGTCTATTTTGCACCATAATTCACAGGCAAGGAACATGAGGGTCAAAGATTTTAGTGGCCTAAATCCTCAGAGTTCTTCTGTAGCAAAGCTAGGATTAGAATTTAGGTTTTTACACATGAAAAAATGCTCATCATCACTGGCCATCAGAGAAATGCAAATCAAAACCACAATGAGATACCATCTCACACCAGTTAGAATGGCAATCATTAAAAAGTTAGGAAACAACAGGTGCTGGAGAGGATGTGGAGAAATAGGAACACTTTTACACTGTTGGTGGGACTGTAAACTAGTTCAACCATTGTGGAAGACTGTGGTGATTCCTCAAGGATCTAGAACTAGAAATACCATTTGACCCAGCCATCCCATTACTGGGTATATACCCAAAGGACTATAAATCATGCTGCTATAAAGACACATGCACACGTATGTTTATTGTGGCACTATTCACAATAGCAAAGACTTGGAACCAGCCCAAATGTCCATCAATGATAGACTGGATTAAGAAAATGTGGCACATATACAACATGGAATACTATGCAGCCATAAAAAATGATGAGTTCATGTCCTTTGTAGGGACATGGATGAAGCTGGAAACCATCATTCTCAGCAAACTATCGCAAGGACAAAAAACCAAACACCGCATGTTCTCACTCATAGGTGGGAATTGAACAATGAGAACACTTGGACACAGGAAGGGGAACATCACACACCGGGGCCTGTTGTGGGGTGGGGGGAGTGGGGAGGGATAGCATTAGGAGATATACCTAATGTAAATGACGAGTTAATGGGTGCAGCACAGCAGCATGGCACATGTATACACATGTAACAAACCTGCATGTTGTGAACATGTACCCTAGAACTTAAAGTATAATAATTAAAAAAAAAATCCCTCCTGAAAAAAAAAAAAGAATTTTGGTCTTTAGCTCCTCCAAATAGTAACATTTTAAGAGGAGTAATACAGAATACTCCAATTCTTTAAAACAAGTGCTCCCTTCTCTATGAATACAAGATTGAGAATGGGCTCAAAAGCATGACATTTTATAAAATTAGTGTTCCACTATTTTAATGAGCAATATTTAGGATTTCAATTTACTTGCATAAAGGTACATGATAACCTCAACAAAAAGCCTACATTTACCCAATTAAAAAGGATTCAGATGGCCCTATGTTTCTCAGGGCAACATCAATGGAGGGCCGTTTATCTCATCTATGTTATCTCTAAATGGAAATGTTTATATCAGACATATAAAGGCATATCCATCATTAGAAATTTAAAACAAAAGTGAAGATTGTAATTTATTTTCAGTAACATGTACAGCCAGTGTCATATAATTTAAATATCAATTATACTCTGATTTCAAATATGTCTGTTAATGTTATTAAAATAACCATGTAATCTTTGCACTGTATATGGAGTCTGTTTGAGCCAACCTGCAAAGTTTCAGATTGGTGGAAAAAGAAATATTTCTCCATGTGTCCACATATGAAAAGGAATATAGCACAATGAGAAGCCAGTACATTTGACTGCAGAAAACTGTCTTAACTTGCTTTGATTACTATCCTTCCATAAAACAAACCACTACTCTGCAATGGGATGTTTAATTGGTGTACGTTAATGGTGGTTAAATATTAACCACCATGATTATTTTTTCTCTGAGTTGGAGAAATTTCATTTATTAAGTGCATTTTGAGTCAATAGTTATATAAGAATAAGCATCCTCTATCTGCAAAAGTTTGAATGAGATAATCAGATTAAATTTATTACCTTTAGAGGAACTTAATGTCAAATTATACTTTAAGGAATTCCCAGTAAAGCTAAGAAACAGGCAAGCAAATTCTGTTGTTTCCAGGTATTTAGTAGACTTAATATACATTTTATTATTAGCATATAAACCATTAGCAATAAAAAAGAAATAAACACACAAAACATTTGTTCCCGCAGTAATCATGTATGCTTTAGTAACCTTAAGATATGAGCTAGAAAAATTCATCTTTAAAGATCTAGATTCAGTACTTTTATGGAAGCTTGAAATACCATAACTAATGGATTGAAAAAACCAACAGCTGCTTCTCAACTAAGATTTATGATGTTATGACGTTGTTATTACATTAAAATTAAAGTAACTTCAAAGTTCTATTTAGAAATAATTCTTTTTGGTTTGCTATCAATGAAGAATTTAAATGAATTTATATCTGAGGTTGCTATATGTGTACACCTATCTTAACAATGTTTTCCCCCCTTCCAACAGCTATCTGGAAATCTTGTTTGACATATACAGATTTTTAATTATCTATTTTAAAACTGGAATTGTGCTGAGTCTTTTATCCAGAGCATGCATATAAGTAACTCTCTGTATGATACCACTGTTAAAATGAGAGAAGCTTATTTCTTCATCAAATCTAGGCCATAAGTTGCTAATGGCACTGGCGCCATTAGCATGAGGTGTTTTTCTAACCTGATCACATCATATATCACCTGGGCATTTTATGTATTACTGAATTCATACAAGAACTCATACAGAGAAAAACACACACACACACACACACACACACACGTATAGCAAAGATTCAAATCTCTTGAAATAGTTTGTATTCATTCACAATGATCCTTATGGCATGTAACACACTCTGCTATATAATTTTGATTAAGTTAACCAACAATTTCTTATATTTAAAGAAATGGTATAGGCTTTTCTAATTCTGAGATTCTCTACGAGATGGTATCATTCCGCTAACTGATTTAATTTTTGCCTACAATGGATTAGAGTCAGAGCACAGAGGAATGAAACTCATGTGCCAAGAAAAAGTCAGCTGTGGCCAGGCACAGTGGCTCACGCCAGCATTTTGGGAGGCTGAGGCAGGCGGATCACCTGAGGTCAAGAGTTTGGGACCAGCCTGGCCAACATGGAGAAACACCATCTCTATTAAAAGCACAAAAATTAGCCAGCATGGTGGTGTGCACCTGTGCCAGCTACTCAGGAGGCTGAGGCAGAAGAATCGCTTGAACCCGGGAGGCAGAGGTTTCAGTGAGCCAAGATCACGCCACTGCACTCCAGCCTGGGCGACAAGAGTGAGACTTCGTCAAAAAAAAAAAAAAAAAAAAAAAAAAAAGTCAGCTGCAACTGAGGACCAGCCCCTGTACCTTAGACTGTGCTCCTGACTTGTCCAGGAACATCCTGTTAAACCTGGGCCATCTTTCATGGTGTTCATAATCCATTTTGGGTTCTCAAAGTAAATCAGTATTTGTGCAATTATACAATGTATTGACATAGGTTTGAACAAAACCTATAATAGGTACTTTGTATATCCATTTATAAGTCCTGGATGGGGTCTTTACAGTGCTCTACTGTTTATACTACTATATTTACAAGGCCTTCGATAAAATACAAGTTTAATACTTGGCTTTTGTGGTACATCAGTTAGTTTTCTTTTAAGTAATAAAGTACAATGCCATAATAATTTAGAATATTGACATATAAGACCAAAAATTACTCTCAAGAAAATGTTTAATGTAAATGAAGAAAATAATTATACTTAACATTTAGACAATACAAAACAATTAGTTGCATTGAAAAGTTTCCAGTTAACTAAAAGTGCCAAAATAGCCGTTTGTATTTTATCATTTAATTAATTAACAAACTAAAATATGACTTTATGAAATACTACTTTTAAAGGTGTAATACAGTGGTTGGCATATTTTAGCTTAGGTTTCTAAGAAGAAATCTTAGAAATAATACTAGCAGCCAGGGCCCATCCTTGCTGATAGAAAAGTACATACCCACAGTAGCTACATTCATTCCTGCAGCACAGCAGATGACCAACTGGTAAATCATCCACTCCAGGATGTGATGTCAGAGGCCAAAAGGACTTCTTTTATTTTATTTTGATCATGTTATTATTGGAGAAAGCCCAGCTCAGCAATCCTGTAATTACAATTTCCTTCTATTTTTTCTCTCTTGATCTGTTGATAACGACAATGGTAGTTAATGATCAAATTTGATTTATGTTTCACATCAAGTATTCCCTCATTCTGTTGAGCATCATCTTCTCCAAGTAATTTACCTCTCCCAAATCTGCCCCCCACCCCCCACCCCCCACCAAAATATCAGAGGAAGGTGCAAGAAAAAGCAAGTGTGACATGTCGCAACTAGATTTCAGGTTTCCATAATGTCTGCAACCAACATATGGAAAAGGGGCAATTTCTTACAGCCTGCCTTTGCCATGGTCTCTGGAGATGCCTGATCACTGCACTGACAGCTCCCAACTTTTTCTTGAGTGCAGTTGTTGCAGATCTTCTGCTTTGGTGATTTTGCTATACTCTGATTAGTTCCAAGAGTTTTTTGTAGATTCTTTGGGATTTTCTAGGTAGAAAGTCATGATATCTGTAAATCAAATTAGTTTTCTTTCTTTTAAAATCTTAGTAACTTTTATGTTTTCTTGTCATATTCACTAGTTAGTGTTTCCAGTCAACATTGAATAAGAGTGGTAAGAGAGGATGTCCTTAAGTATGATGTTAGTTACAGGTTTTTATAAATGTTCTTTATCAAGCTGAGGAAGTTTCCTCTGTTACTAGTTTTCTGACAGTTTTTAAAAATTATCATGAATACACATTAGATTTTTGTCAAATGTTATTTCTGCATCAATTGACATAATTACATTATTTTTCTTCTTTTGCCTGTGGATGTGGTGGATTCACTGATTGATTTGTGAATTTTGAAAGAGCCGTATATACCTAGAACAAATCCCACGTCTTGTGTGGGATTCTTTTTATCCATTGTTAGATTTAACTTATTAGTGTTGTGTTGAGGATTTTTGTAATTATATTCATGAGAGATATTGGTTTTTAGTTTTCATTTCTTGTAATACCTTTACCTGGTTTTACTATTAGCATAATTCTGACCCAAGAGAATAAGTTTAAAAAGAGTTCTCTCTGCTTCTATTTTCTGGAAGAGACTGTGGAGAATGGCTATTTTTTTCCCTTTAAATGTTTGGTAATTTACCAGTGAAATCATCTGGGCCTTGTGTTTTCTTTTTTTGGAAAGTTGTTAATTATTGGTTCAATATCTCTAACAGATAAAGGGCTTTTCAGGTTTTCTATTTCTGCTTGTGTGAGTTTTGGTAGTTTGTCTTTCAAGGAATTGATCTAGTTCATTTCAGTTATCAAATTTGTGAGCTTAGAGTTTCTTTCATTTCTATTATTAGTAATTTGTGTCTTCTCTCTTTTGGTTATCCTGGCTAGAAGTATATCAATTTTATTGATCTGCTCAGAGAACAAGCTTTTGGTCTCATTGATTTTCTCTATTATTTTCCTGTTTTAAATGTCATTGATTTACACTCTCGTTTTTAAGTTTTCTTTTATTCTGCTTGCTATAGGCTTAAACCACTTTTCTTTCTCTAGTTTCCTAAGGTGACAGCTTAGGATGATTTTAGATTTTTTTCTTTCTAATATATGCATTTAATGCTATACATTTTCCTCTACACACTATTTTTCTACATCCCACAGATTTTGATAAGTTATATTGGTAATTTCATATTTTTCAAAATATCTAAAAATCCTTATTGAGATTTTTTTGATCTACATGTTATTTAGAAGTGTGCTGTTTAATCTACAGGTATTTCTGGATTTTTGAGCTTTGTTATTAATTTCTTGTTTCATTCCATTGTGGTCTGAAAACCTGCTTTTGTATAATTACTATTCTTTTAAATTTTTAATGGATGATATATGGCCAAGAATGTGGTCTATCTTGGAAAATGCTCCACGTGAGCATGAGAAGAATGTGCATTTTGCTGTTGTTGGATGGAATATTCTATGTGTCAATTAGATGAAGTAGATTGATAGTGCTGTTTAGGTCATGTATTTCCTAATTTTTGACTGTTAGTAATCCCATTTTTTGAACTTCTCTATTCTCCTTCCTTATATTGTATATATTCTTACTTTGGTTATATGTCTAAAGACAACTTTCCTTCCCCCTCCCTCGACCCCTGTTGTGAATAATTTCAGCTTCCTCTAGAACTCTTTGCACCATAGTGCACTTAGGGGGTGATGTTCACATAGAAGATGAAAAGTTACTGATGGACTGAAATGTACTAGGGTGATCCCTTCAAATCAGCAAGGAAGCTGAGGTATTCTAGCACACCCCAGGAGTGCTGGTTTGAAAGGCTGGCTGGTGTCTAGCAATGGTCTCTGGGAATTTTATTACCAGAGACTTGTATTGGTTCTTCTAAAACATGGTCATTGTAGTAGCTTCCTAGGGCTGCCATAACAAAGCACCACAAAGAGGGTGGCTTAAAACAACAGAAATGTATTCTTTCATCGTTCAGAAGGCTAGAAATCCAAAAGTCCAAAGTCTAAGCCAAAACAAGCATTCTCTGTCCAAGGGCTTTAGGGAAATATATTTCCTCACTTCTTTTAGCTTCCAGCGATTGCAATCTCTGGTGCACCTTGGCTTATAGCAGCTGCATTACTCCAATCTCTGCCTCTGTTGTCACGTGTCATGTACTGCCTCCTCCCTGTGTGTCTCCTCTGTGTCTCTGTGTCTGCCATGGCCTCCCTTTAAAGACACCAGGAAATGGATTTAGGGTCCACCTTGACACTACTGAACCCGGTAGAGTCCTCTTACTGGGTAACAAAAATTGTCATGTAGAAACATTTTATTGTGGTCTCTAACTTCTCGGGGAGTTCCCTAAAAACGTTTCCAGAATCCACAGGAAATTCACACAGACAGAGAAGCTGAAAGCCAAAGCTGACACTCAGCGTCCTCACCGTGTTGCGTAGCCAGTTTATCCCTTCCAGTTTTACATATCCCCAGTCACCACCCCTAAGTGGAACATAGCATACAAATCTTTCAGCTTTCCATAGACCCCATTTTCTCACCAGAAATTATGTTCTTTGGGTGGGGAAGCATTCTTATTTAATCTACTAACCCAGACCAGAATGTGATAAGAAATACTGTTACTCTTGTAAGAGTAATAGAAATGAATAAAAATGCATTTTAAAAGGCACCTTCTGGAGCTGCATTCACTTGAATCAAAGGCTGACCCTGCAGGGTTGGCACGGCAGCAGCTGCTAGAGGAGCGGTTCTGGAGCAAATGGGCATATTCCCCTTTCTGACCCTGCCAAGTAAGTGGTTTCCTACCTTGTCTGCATTTCCAGCTGACTCTGTTTTCCAACAGCTTGTTTGTGTGTGGGTGTGCATAATACTTATTACAAAGCGAGGTGGCTGTCTGCCATCATTAGCATAATATGCGTTGGAGACAATTTGCCATGGATAAAGTAGGTCCCTTTATATTTCACTGATTTTTTTATACTCAAAAGATTTTATTGCATGTTTTTTTAAAATGCATACATAAGATAAAAATACCATTTTGTAGATGCTTGAATCAATAAAGTTCTTGTAAAAAGAACTGTTGTTGAATGGGACAAAGGAAAAGGATTTCATTTTATTACCTAGTTCTGGAGCTGCTATTTTACAAGTATTGATGTTTACATGCATTCTAAATGGAAAAAGAGCCACGGCAAGCAGCCATGAGAATACAGATAGAAAACTTCATGTTATGTAACTATTATTGTTCTGGTTTAAAGAAAAATTGGATTTGATCTATTTTTTTCATCTACTCCTATGGTTAAAATATATTTTGATTTCACCCAGTTTTTATTGTGCTAATTGGGAATACACACACATTCTTGTCTATACAATTATTTCTGCACTCTTGCTCTTTAAGGAAGATAGGAAGTTAATTTTGTGGTACAAAAAGGAGGATCCAATGAATCCGATTTGCCATGTCCTGGGTTACACAAATGAAACTGCTGTTGAACAGAAGGAAGAGTGAGCAGGCCAAATGCTCAAACTCTCAACACAAAGGCTTGTTCACCCTGAGGAGGGTCATGCCTCCAACCTGCACTGATGCTCAGATGGTTCATGATGTTATACAAACTCTCACCATCAAAAGGAACAGTGCTGTGGAGATTCATGGAAAAAGGCCAAAATCACAGCTGTGTGCTTCCTGTTTTTGAGGTTGAATTCATGCACAACTGATAACATTCAAATCTCATCTCCTGTGATAAGCACAGAGAAAATGAATTGTTTTTGCTTTAAAAAGGACACTTTCATTTAAGTCAACGCAAATCTTTTAGCTTTCCAATGCAACTCAAGATTCCGCTTATTATAAATGGAAAACAGTCTGTCATGCCTTGGCATTTACATTGACACAATATCAGAGCATACTGGAAGGAGATATTTTATTTTGTTTCAACTAACTTATTTCATGGCTGCACTTAAAATGCTGTGCATACAACAGGAGTTTCAAAAGCTTCAGATGGTGATTTTTAGTAAGAAATGGTCATGAATAAAGACAAACATAAAGCAGAACAAAATAAGATATTCTTTCCTTTCTTCATTTGGAATTCAAATACTCTTAAGTTCTTGGATTTGGCTTTCTTTATATTTACAAGTTTGTATGAAATACTGGTTTCAAATAAGATCTGTTCACAGCCCAGACTACTGAGCCCCAGCTACAATTAAATATTGATCATTTACGTAGTGTTCTAAAGAAGTACATAAATTCTGGTTTTGACAGTTTGGATTTAGTCATAGAGAGTGGAGGCATCCAGTTCCTCATACCGGATGATGATTTATGCCTAAGTACATATGTTTTAAAATGTTGGAACACTTTAAAATGTTGGAACAATATTGATCCAGGAACAACAATCCTGGACCTTTCCTCTTTCCTCCTTACTATTATTTTAGTCCGTGGAGCCAGCATCTATTTTTAAATTCAAATTTTCAATCAGGGTCTAGCCCAGAGGGTCTGGAGGGTTCTCACACAAGTTTTGCAGATGAGGTGAGAGATTTTCATGAGTGCTTCATTGTTAGGGCCTGATTCGGATTGACTCCTGTCTATAAGAAGGGAGAATCATCTTTGTCTTTTTACATTTCCCCTCTCCTCCCTCTAAAAAGGGGAGAAAAACAAGCTAGGTTTATCTTTGTTTACCTTTGGCAACAATTCAATTCAAAAGAGTTTACTGAGTGTGACTGTGTCTTAGGTACTGGCAATACAATGACAACAGGGCTGTCATGAATCCTGCTGATAAGGTTCTTACAGCCTAGCCAGAGGAGACTGATGCTCAAACCTGCGATTCCTTTGTGTATATTCAGGGGCGTGGCTGGGCAGTGCAGGTGCTGACAGTGCACATGGCAGGACCATCTACTCTGGACTTGATGGGTCAGGAGGCTTCCCAGGGGAAGTTGTGTCTCAGCAGAACTGGAACATAAGCAAGAGTTAAGTCACATGAAGATAGGGTGGTGAAGATAGTAAGAGAGTTATAGGAAGAAAGGGCTGGAGAGAAGAGCATGATATGTTAAAACCCTGAAGTTAAATGTCACTTTACTAGGGGTTGGGGGTAATAGGAGGGGATCAAACCGAGGCCAGAGAGGGGAGGCCAGGTTGTAAAGGGTCTATGAACTACTTGAGGAAATTTAAATTTGAGCAAAGCAGTTAGAAGGGTCTTGTAGTCATCTATTTTAAGTATGTGTCTTGATTATGAGTGATAGAGGTTACCATTATTGATTAATATAGCTAAAAAATTTTCTGCATCTTGTTCAAATATTTTAAATATCATAGAATATTCAGAGATTCAAATGTACAGATTCCTACAGTAAATTTCTCTTGGAATTGAGTGTGAAAAACTACCACCAAATATTTATACATCCTTTTATTGGAAAATCAAAGCTGGAAAACTCAATGATTTTGCCTTATGAAAACTTAAAAACATTTTGTTTTGCAGTTCTTCAAAGTATCAAGTATTTATAATTTGTTTAAGAGTTTAGAAGTTTTAAAACGTTTTCTGGTGAAAATCTTGAGTTTAATTTTCACCAGAAAACCTGCTAGACAAATTCTAAAAGAGCTGTAACACATGTAATTTTTAAACTTTCTTTTCATTTTAGTTTTCTTGTTGAAAATGTTTTGATATTACTAACCATTCAGGATTTTCTCTAGAAGTAAATGGTTATAAATTATGTATATACCTTAAAATAGAAACAACACTTAAATTTCCTAGGTCTTACATTTTTAACCAGTAACTGCAATTGATACTTTCATAAGAATAATTATTTGCTCAAGACAGAAATCCCAGCAAAAAGGAAAATCACACTTAACTTTTTGAAATTAAAACATAACCAGAAGAATAACTGCGTAATTATTCTTTACTGCTGTGGGAGTCAATCAATAGCCCAGATGAATAGGTAGATGGATAGGTACACAGAAAGCTATCTGTACTATATCTTGAATATCAGCATAGTACTCTTCTGATCTTTGTGCTCCCCCACCCCCACCTTTCTCTTTCTCTCTCTCTCTAAAAATGGATTTTGCATGCTTTTTTCCATCATAACCATGGATGCATATGTATCTCATTCTGCTCCCCAAAGAGTTAACATGAACAAGCATGCAATAGAGAAAGCAAACCAGGAATTCCCATGCCCTAACAACCCCAACACACAAATTCAACCATGTTGACAAAATGGGAAGGGAGATCCTGCCAAATTAATAAGAAAGAGAAAGTGGGAAGAGAGACAGTTTGTTACCGGGTCTCACCTGCCTTCTTTGTTCATGAATAGGTTTTTACTCTTTAGCTTCAACGTGGGCAACAGCAGTTAGGCAAGATTCACACATTATTTGAAATTGGACAAAAAGGATACAAGAGGCCGGCTATGGTGGCTCATACCTGTAATCCTGGCACTTTGGGAGGCTGAGGCCCAGCCTGGCCAACATGGTGAAACCTGGTTTCTACTAAAAATGTAAATATTAGGTAGGCATGCCTGTAATCCTAGCTACTCAGGAGGCTGAAGCAGGAGAATTGCTTGAACCCGGAGGTGGAGGTTGCAGTGAGCCAAGATGGCACCACTGCACTGGGCAAGAGAGCAAGACTCTTTCTCAAAAAAAAAAAAAAAAAACAAAAAAAACAAAAAAAAGATAGTTAAGAGAAATTTCCTAGAATGCTGTGTATACAAGCTTTTAATATAGTTCTATCAAAATTTAGAAGGAAACTGAGATTTAATTTTTTAATTAAATTGGATATGCAGCCCAAGAAAGTATACGCCAACTTTTTACTTGACTACACATTTCACATCTTCAGATAACATTCAGTAACTTTTTAATAACAACTTGAATACATTACATTTAAATATTTTGATTATTTGTAGACAGTCTTCCAGCAACATAATTAATTTCTTCCCTTCATCAAAAATCTGTAATGAATTATTCTTTCAACTAAAGATTTTCCTCAGCATAATAAGACTACATTTAAAATCTAAGAAGCAAATGCTTCCCTACTTCAAGCTTATTTTTAAAAGGAAGCCAAAAAATGATCTTTTCTGAATAAAGTGTTTCAGAAAGGCATAGAATACTTCAATATTATAGTAATAATTATTGTAAAAGGATAGAATTCATCTCATACCATTCTATTACGTTTCCCCCTAGAACAAACAAAATGTATCCTCCTGAGTTTAATTTCAAGTCTTTGAAAAGAATGCAGTCTTCAGAAATTAGATAGGAATTTAAGCTCTAATTCATAAAACATCACTTTCCTCCATGGAACTAGTTGAAGATTACATATTAACAGCACTCCTTTAATTTAATATTCTAAAAAAACAGCATCTAAAAAAAAAGAAATAGTGAGCAGGAGGCCGGTCTGATGACAAATTACATTAAACAATATCATTATCCTTAGCCCTCAGTGTTTTCCATTTTCCAGATGTTTAAAAGACACAAAATGAAAACTCTCAATTGCCCAAGAGGTAGATGATGAACTCATTTTCCAGACAGGAAACTGAGGCAATGAGGCTTTGCCATAAAGTATAAAAATGGTCATCAGCAGAATCAAGATTAGAAGCAGAAACACCTGGTTACACATTGCTGCTCAAAACACATCAATAGAATGTCAGGAATAACGTTGGTTCTTTCTTGCAACCTGTGTTCCATCTTGCTGTATGACATGCAGAGCTGACAAAAGATGGAAACTCTATTTAAAGTTGATGGCACATCTATCCTCCAATGTCAAACCCGTGAGAGCAACATGAGGAATGATTATTTACAATGACATCATCAGACTCAGGAACGTAGTCTACGTTGAAATTACACAGAATGCATTTCGGTAACAAGATCAAGACATGGAAAGCAAAATTAAAGGACAGCTAATGCAAAAATACAACATCAATTCAATAGTTCTACTGATATTCCCTACAAAGGGATGTTTTAAAATACAATTAAAAATATATTATTGAACAACCATATTTGAAATTTAGCACATTTCTATGCCGATGTCAGCCTTCATCTGCACGCCCTTAAATTAGGAGGGAATAGGCATAGAATAATTTTGCTGCATATTATGTTGAAAACATCTGTTTCTAGAGTACAAAAATCTGTTCTTATCCACTACAGATAATTTACCAAGCTTCTCAAATATATTAAACGCTCCAGAAAATTTGATTATTTCACCTAGCAGTGGTATTAGCCAAACAAGTATGGTGATCAGACTGGAGATACACTTGGTGGGAGATGCTTTGCAGGAGGTGCAGGAAGATAAACGGCGGCACTTTTCTTTAGGCACATGAGAATGATGTCCATTGGTGCCAACACCACAGTTATTGTGTGAGGAGCCAGTACATTAGGGACACACTAACATAGACGACACACAGGGTTATCCAGTTTACTCTTGTGATTGGCAGCCTGCAGTTACCTGTCACGTGGAGGATGACATTGGAAGAGAGAGCGCCGCTAGAGTTTTGGGCCCGAGCCACATAGAGGCCTGCGTCTGCCTTGCATACCTTTGGAATGAACACCGAATGCCTTGTCTCCTTGTGTAAAACCTGTAAGTGCCCATCTGCAGACAATTTCTGGCCCTTCTTGTACCTGAAGCAGAGAGGCAGTTTTTAAAGTCAGGATTGCTGTTTATTCACATTATTTCCAAGTTCTAATAATGCTTGCAAATAGGCCCATTACCACTGCAATATTCTCTTAGGATTAGTAGGAACCTTGTAGCCACAACAAATTCCAGTGGGGCTCTTTATCTTTTTTTCTTTAGTAGGCTAGATTGCAGTAGCAGAATCAGAGATCATTGCGGTCTCAAACTCCTGGGATCAAGCAATCCTCCCACCTCAGGCTCTCAAGTAGCTGGGACTACAGGCGCTTACCACCATGTGCAGGCTAAGTTTTTTATTTTTTATTTTTTTTAAGAGATAGGATCTCGCTATGTTACCCAGGCTGGTCTTGAACTCCTGGTTTCAAGCAATCTGCCTGCCTCAGCCTCCTGAGTAGCTGGTATTATGCGCTGTTTATCTTTCAAGCAGAAGTTGGCAACTGGTGGCGAGAGAATTGCTTTGACTGGCTCAGACAATGTTTTTGGAAAACTGAATTTTTTGAAATCCTTTAAAAATTGGAATATTGCATATGAAAATTCAGATATCCAGCTACCCCTAAAAACAAAAACAAAAACAAAGCAGACCATTTGGTCACACTAGGCCACCATTTGCTCATAGTAACAATTACCTAGGGTGTGAAATGGCACCCTCATGTTGTCCAGCTTTATTCTTTTTGCCACTCTGGAACAGCAGCTGTGACTCCTTATAAACTGCATGGGAGTGAGACTCATCTACCCCATCATATTCATACCACAGTATCCACAGGACAATACAGATGTGCTGTTTTAGAGGACTGTACTTAATATCACCTCCTGATGAGATCACTTCATTTAATTTTTTTGAAGCAATTTCATTAGAAGAAAATGACTTCTAATTATAAAAGGTATTTATGCAACTGTATTATGACTATTAATAACATATTTCTAGAAGGTTCCTATGAACATGAGTGCTTAACTGCATGGTTTTATAAAGAAATAATTTTATTTTGTATGTCTGAGATTCTTGTTTATTTATTTCTACCCACAATCTATCACTCAGGGGTGATGACAAATGTGAATCGTTTTCTGTTCCCATTGCCTAAGTGATAACTTTGCCTTTTCTTGGGTATCCTAAGAATGTATGATATCCTGAAAGCTTGTCAGTTATTAATTGAGCACAGTTGTAAATCTGACGACAAAACATTTGTTTACAACATTGCAATATTCTTCAACGACACGTATGTAGCAGTGCTTCTTTAACCACACACATACTAACCAAATTATTAATATTTACTGTGTGGACAAAAACAAGAAACACATCTGACAACATTTTTCTTTGGAGTGAACTGAGATTTAATAATGAATTAAATATCTTTAAAATTCATAAATATGACACTCTTGATTTGTAAAAAACATGCAACAGTAAAGACAATAAAACAAAAAGCAAAAGTGACTGCACTAATATAGCACAAGTGCAGTTTTTTAAATAATTTGAGAAACCAAAGTTTTCTCATAAGTTCCTTAGATAACTGGTTCATATTTCAAGTACCATCAATGGGCACACACAATAACTGAAACTGATCATTTAATATCTACTGAAACATTGTGATCAATAAATGCTATTTTACTTAATCTTAGTTTATAAGTATAAACTGGCTTTTGCAGATTTGTAACTTTGTCCTGAAATAAATTTACTTAAGGATGAGAATTTTCTAAATGTTTAAAAGTAACCCACATATTGAGAAAGAACTGCTTTTGTTACCAATAGTAGGTGATCCAAAACCAGTATTCTACAGTTTGCTTTTACTGAAAAAAAGAGGCTAAAAAATAATGATGTCTCCAGAGTGAAATCATATTGTTTACAGCTCAGTTATTATACTACCTTTCAAAAATGAGTTTATTGCCTGTCACCTGGAGGAACTGTGACAGAAATATTTATATTCCACCTCTCACATTGAAAAAATTTGTAAAAAGAAATCCTAGTAAAACAAAATGTTACAAAGATGACACGTGTGACTCTGTTGGAAAGAGGAAAAAGATGAAAGAGGTAAATGAGAGTAAAGGGAAATAAAAACAAATTCTTATATTTTCAATTGCATAAAGGTAGTTAAAGCAAGCAGATGCCATGCTTATATGGAAATAGACAATAAAAAATAATTTCAACCCACAATCTTTAGAAATGTGGAATGTTAAACACAGAAGAAAACAAGCACAACCAACCTACAGTGCTTTGGAAATTTGTTAAATTATTAGTACTTTATATGGTTACCTTTTATTTTTCTTAAAGGTATTAACTATGCTGCTACTAAAATGAGAGGGGTCTGATGTGAGATTGAATCATGCAGAGTTGCAGTGTCATAGAATATTAATCAGCTAGCCCTAAACCTTTCAGTTAGTGCTCACAGAATGATTTTTCTCTGTGATTGAATTTGTTTCCATTTATGGCTTGTCATTATAGGCTACCCACCATGTCAGTGTAGGCTCTGGAAATCCTGTTACTTCAACTTCCAAAGTCACTGGAGAACCTTCCATGACAGTTACATTAGACAGGAGCCTGGAGAAATTAGGTGCCTGGTCAGCTAGGCTGACCACGCTGCTCTTTGCTGATGTGCTTTTAATCTCTTCTCGAGGAACCATTTGCCTCTGATAGCCCCTGCTGGTGCCTGATTGAAACCTGAGGCCCGAGAATGCATCAGAGGAAGCATGCAGCCTATCTTGGGTTTTAGTGAAGTTATTATCAGCATGCATTTTCTCCCGTGTTTCTAGCAAACCACCCTGAGCCTGAGGGTGCTGCTGTAAAGCTCTCTCATGCACTTCACTCATCATGCTCTCTGGATGTTCAGCACTGATTCTGTGTAAGGCAGTACTCTTTTCCACG
Organism: Homo sapiens; assembly: GCF_000001405.40. Classification (NCBI taxonomy): domain Eukaryota; kingdom Metazoa; phylum Chordata; class Mammalia; order Primates; family Hominidae; genus Homo; species Homo sapiens. The sequence goes on from NC_000002.12 coordinate 178,837,305, forward strand.
AATCCTCTGGAGGTTAGTGGGGGCTCAGCTTTGAACTGGAGGTAAGGCCTCTCAAAATGACTTGAAAATGTTTCTCTCTTATCATTGCATGCATCCGCAAAGGCAACAGGTGGTGGAAGAACAGATTCCTGGGCATCCCCTGGGCTGCTGGTCCCAGCCTGCACCCCATAGCTGCTTATGTGAAGGCTGAGGGAGGAGCTGACAGGCTCTTCCACCTCCATGTCAGATGGTGCAAGAGGGGACTCAGGGCTTCCTGGGAGAGGAGGCAAGGAGATGTCATCAGGTGAGACACACTCATATTCTTCCCCTGAGAGCATGTCTTCAGGCAGGAGCAGGTCCTGGACGCCACCCTCCTTGTCAGTGGACACCTTCAGGTCTTGTGGTAGTCGCTCTTCCCCTGTTCCATTGATGCCCAAAAGATCTGCCACCTGCACCTGCCCCTTGAAAAAAGAAAAGCCAAATCATCCTTATTCATTCATTTTTCTTTTTCCAGTTTCAATTACAGTAAAACTCAACTTCAGAGAGATAACTCGAGACAACCTACAAGGTTAAAATTTAGGGGGCTGGAGCAAGAATTACGGATGAGAAACCATTTGTCTGTCGATCCTGAGCACAGTCCCACTTCTCATGACTAAGGAATCATTATAAAGACCTCAAGTTCTGAGTAAAGTGTGATAGACATTGTGAACAGAAGAGAGAAAGCCCTAGTTTCCATCTGTAGTGAAGGGGTTGGACTAGATCAACATCTTTCAAACCATGATCTGGGGAGTCTTCTCAAACAGCAAAGTCAGCTTAGGTCTGGCTTGTCTACACACACATCTATAAACACACAGATGCTGACCATCAGAGACTCCCTTGTTAGGTGATTCCTTGGACTCTCCCGGAATAACCTGTCCTTTCTCTCAAGAAAACCATTTCTTTTTAAAATAAATTGTAGTGAAATATACATAAAATGTACCACTTCAACCATGTTTAAGTGTACGGCTCAGTGGCATTAAGTGCATTCACATTGAGTGTAACTATCACTGCCATCCATCTCCAGAACTTTTTCATCTTTCCAATTGAAATTCTGTATCCACTAAACACTAACCCCCTAATCTTTTGTCTTCCCCCGACTCAGCCTCTGGCAACCACCATTCTATTCTCTTGCTCTATGCATTTGACCCCTCTATGTACCTCATATAGAGAAAGCAATTCTTCATGACTAGTTTTATTTTCTTGAAGTCCCTTAGTTTATTCTTGCATTGAAAAAATATTTATTGAGCACCTACTGCTATACACTAGGAACCATGCTAGTATTAGAGGCATAATTTGGTGAATACAAGTAGATCAGTCTCTGCAGTTGAGGAGATGATATCCTAGTGGAGGAGCCAGATATTAATGGAACAATCAGACTTGATGGCCTTTCCCAAGAGAGCACATCAAGATACAATAGGAAAGCACCTGCCACTTGTCTCTGCTCCAATCTGAGTGTAGTCCTGCTAGGAGTGGTGAGTAGCAGTACTTCTTTCTCTGCTTCCACTGTCCTAGTCTAATCCACATCCATCTCTGGTTTAAGAAGAGGCTCAAATGTCCCTGTTGCATAGACTCAAAAGAACATTGAAGCTGAAAAGCGATCTTATCTATCCCCACCTGCTGGTTTTATATCTCCTTTCTGTGCCGTTCCTCAGCATTTTGGGTGCCTACTTACTTAGTATGTACTGGTTTTTGTCCTGCAGTAACTGATGCATATAGGAAAGTCACATCTTGCCTTGCCTTTGAGTTTTTCATTTTAGCCCGTAGTCCTGCTGTTGATATACATTTTGTAAGTGATTTTTAAGAAAATAAGACTGGGTGCGGTGGCTCACACCTGTAATCCCAGCACTTTGGGAGGCCAAGGTAGGGGGATCACAAGGTCAGGAGATAGAGACCATCCTGGCTAACATGGTGAAACCCCACCTCTACTAAAAATGCAAAAAATTAGCCAGGCGTGGTGGTGCGCACCTGCAGTCCCAGCTACTCAGGAGGCTGAGGCAGGAGAATCTCTTGAACCCAGAAGGCAGAAGTTGCAGTGAGCCAATATTGCACCACTGCACTCCATCCTGGGCAACAGAGTGAGACTCTGTCTCAAAAAAAAAAAAAAATAGCTATGTGTGGTGATGGGTGCCTGTAATCCCAGCTACTTTGGGAAGCTGAAGCAGGAGAATCTCTTGAACTCAGGCAGAGGTTGCAGTGAGCCGAGATCGAGATCGTGCCATTGTACCCCAGCCTGGGCAACAAGAGTGAAACTTCGTCTCCAAAAAAAAAAAAAAAAAAAAAAAAAATGTGTTTTCAGGTTGAAGAGTCGAAGCAAAGCAATGTTGCTTCTACTATCCCACAGAGATTATCTCTCCTCAGAGAAACATTAACCCAACTTAGCGAAAGTGGTTTCCTTCAGCCATTTACTAAAAGTTTAAATTCTGAGTCTAAAACCCAGATGTTCTTAGAAGTTCCCCTCATTAAAAAGAATATTAAATTACTAATTGCCCCTCCCTCTTTTGGCTGTCGTGCCACAGCTTAGCTCGGTCTCTCTGTCCATCTCTTCATGAAAGTAGAATGCTTATTTTCCTCCTTATGGGGACTTTGATTAACCACCTATTCAGTCTAAGAATCTCCACTACAACATTTTGGCAGCCTCTATTTGAACACTTTTTCTGAAAGAGTACTTTGAGAATGTGTGCCTTACTTGTGTTAAGAATATCTTCCTATATGTAGCAAAGATCTGCCTTCCTGCAGTTTCCACCAATGGATCTGAATTGGCCTCCTGGAGCTACACAAAAAGTCCAGCTGCTCTCCAACTTTAATAGCTCTTTGACTGTTTGGAGAATTGGTCCTACAACCTGTCTAAGCCTCTTTCTCTGTACCAGACACTCTCAGGTCTTCTTTTGCCTCAACTCTCTCTCATCATCTTGGTCATTTCTGGGAGGTCCCACTCCTACTGCGCCACAAGATCCTTCATAGAAGAGCAGGGACATTTGTTGACTTGTTGGCCTTCCAGGGGCAGACAATGACAACTCCTTAATGACTTCTTCAGGTAACCTATGACTCTCCACAGAAGAATAATGTTTTAGAATTGTCTGAAAACTTACAACAAGCTTAGGAGAGAAACTTGAATACAAGTCCAGACCCATCTCCCAACTCCTCAATCCCTGCTGGGGAGGAATTTATTTCCTAATTGAGGGTTTGGAAGAAGGTACTGAGCATGCTCAGATCTGTCTCTATGAGGCCCTCACTTTTGGATTTGCCTTTCATGAAATGCATGGGTTCAGGTTGGCTCTAAGGCATGAAAATCCCCCGGAGGTGAAGTCTGTGGTCGTCTAGATGGGCACCCAAGTGGACTGGGTACATATTTAATCTATTTAAATCAGGCATGAAGTTTAGGGAAACCCACTAGAAAAGTCCAAGCCATCCAGCTTTAACTGGTTCCTGACTCCTGTATCTTACTTTCAGCTGGTGCCAAACACATGAAAGGAATATAAGGCTATCATTTTTTCACTTCTAACAATTCCTAAAATAGAAAAAGTACTTTCCTCAAAAAATAACACTACCCAATAATTTCTACTATCAATAAGAGGAAAAGAGTTTTCTCAAATCTTTTTCTGGAACCATTTAACTTCCCATTAAACATGTTTGTTTCTAGAGTTGTTTACTTTCCAGATGGTAAGTAATCAGTGGAATCATCATCTTCTTGACTTATATGATATGTTTTTATTAAGGTGATTGTATTAGTTCATTTTTTAAAATAAAAATCACATGGGACCATTGACTTATGCTGAATTTGTAGTCAACTAAAATGTCCTACCTCCTCTGTCCATTAATGCTATTGATGAAAATGTTGAACACTGCAGTGTTTAGAACAAAGTTAGATATCTCCACAAGACAGATTGTCTCCAAAGTTGACGTTGATGAACTACTTAACACTCTTGAGTACAATTATAACTTGGCCAAACCCTCATTCAGTACACATTTCTCCACTTATCTTAAGAGAGCATCATAAGTGTGTTTATCAAATGACATCTTGAAACCATAATAAATTATGCCTATGGCACTAACCTAGAATTACTCATTAAATAATCATCTCGGGAAGCAAGATAAGGTGAGTTTAATATATATGCAAGTGGTCTTCTGAGTAAATCAATTTGGCTCTTGGCACTACTGCTTTTATTCTTAAATGCAAAATCGAATGCATTAAATTATCACAGGTACTTCAAAACTATGTACATCTATTATGTATCATATAAAAATTAAAAAAATTAAAAATGCAAATAAGATTTCCGTTTTTAAGTCATTATGGAATTTTATGGAAACATTATTTTATTTTATTCTCATTTTTATTTTTGAGATGGAGTTTCACTTTTGTTGCCAAGACTGGAGTGCAATGGCACAATCTCGGCTCACTACAACCTGCATCTCCCAAGTTCAAATGATTCTCCTGCCTCAGGCTCCCAAGTAGCTGGGATTACAGGCACCCAGCTAATTTTTGTATTTTTAGTAGAGACGGGGTTTCACCATGTTGGCCAGGCTGGTCTTGAACTCCTGGCTTCAGGCGATCTACCCGCCTTGGCCTCCCAAAGTGCTGGGGTTACAGGCGTAAGCTACAGCACCCAGCCAGAAACATTATTTTAAAACTCACTGAGCTATATTTTCTAGAACTGTCTAGTTTTCAACTATGAAAATGCTATCCAAACATTTACATATACTAATTATTTGTTAATATTTTTTCACCATAAAACCATGTTTGTTATTACCAAAAAAAAAATGTGTGTGTGTTATTTACCCAGAAAAGTTTAAATAAATTTATGGTTTTCAGTACAGACAGGGCATATTTACATCAGTCTAATGAGTTCTGGCAAAATAGCTGGGAAACTCTGATCTAATTCACCAAAACATAGCTCAACTCTCAATCTGCTTTTCTTATATCAAATTGAGAGGCTGATCTTTGTCTTTTTGTTGATTCCTTTTTCTTTTCCCACCTTCTAAATATATGAATGGCCTGCAGTCTTATCTTTAAGTTCTCTAATTGTCTCTATATTCCTTGCCCCTCAAACATCTTACCCACTTACATATCTAGTAAACAATTAGCTTTTAATTAATACTAAATCTATTAGCTTCAAGTCTTATCTCTGTCAGGACTTCTGAACTTTCATTTCTGCTGATGGGCATAATCCCTTGCATTTAAATCATTGCCCTGTAGGCAGAAAAAATGTCTAGAAGGGAGAATACAGTGATATTCCTACATCCATTCAACTAAGTGGGCAGAACCAATCCTCAAAGTCCATAGAGCAGGGAACTACATATGTGGTAAATTTGAAGGAACACTACAAGATTTTATCTTCCAAAATACCTCCATAACAGATAGCCTTACTTTAGGGTAAATAAGATTTAATGAAAGTAAGTAGGAAGAACACAAAGGAAGATATTAAGCATAGGACTTGGTCTGTAAAACACATTTGTAGAGAAGGCCCTTAGCGGGGGCTTTAGACAAAAAGGGGTAATGTGGTATTTTGGGGCACTTTAGGTGGACAAGGTAAAAGAAAAGGGAACAGAGAGGTGGTGAAGAAGAACACTAATTTTCTTCCCAATTTCTTTCAAGGCAAGTGTTTCAGGAACATCTTCCTGTACCTGCCGGGTGATCAGGATTATTGTGTGTGTGTGTGTTGAGGGTAGAGGGGGAGTGCAGGGACCCTCCTCACCTAGTCTGATAAGAGCACTCCACTGAATTCTTTGGTGCAAAAAATATTTCCATGCTATTGCTTATAAGCAGATAAATAGGAAGAGGGGAAAAGTTTGTCATGGACATCTACAGTATCATTACAAAGCAGCTTATGTATACGCAATAGTTCCTGGGAGCTCCCATTTTGGTCTTGCGGGAAAAGTGTATGGCTAAAATTCAGGAGAATTGGGGTGACTGCCAGTTCTTACACTACTTTCTGTAATTTTTGGAGGACAATATATTCAATCCCTTTTGGCCTCAGTTTCCTCAACTGTAAAATGATATTTGATTAAATCCCTTCTAGCACTAAAATTCTATAACTCTAAATGCTGGCATCAAAAGCCATCATCTTCCACCAAATAGTTGCACGACTTTAGGTGAGTCTGTTAATACTGTGTGCTTCCATTTAACCTTAGGAGTTTTCATATCTTCAGTGCTCACATTGGGAATAAAACACCATCACTAATCTGTTAGCAGTGCTACGTGTGTTGCATTTAGTGAATTGCCTAATTCCACCTGCTGCATTTTTGGGTCTGAAAAATGAGAAGTACTTTGCTATCTCCAGGAAAAAAAATCCCTGCATTGAATATATTCTTATAGTAGTTCAGTGGAACTATTCTTTCCAACTCAAATAATTTCCTCAGGAATTCTACCATCATTTAAGGGTATCAGAATTGACTGCAATAATACCAGGACAAGCTTTTCACTTGGTGCTTCCTATCTGCCCACATGGGGTTGTGGAGAATCATTACATCTGATCTACATATAAATAATACAGACAATAAGAGGGTAAATGTGATTGAGCTACTTAAAAGTGAAGATTACTGCCACCTTTTCATTTTGCTGTCTACACCAATTGCACCAGGACATAACATGACGTTAATAACAATTCTTGACAGCTGTAATTGTAGACCTTCACTTACACCCAAAATGACTGATGCTCCAACCTTTTAGTTTGTATTAGAATAAAAGTTATTTTTCCATGAAGGTAAATCTTGCTTTTTTTTAATTTAAAGGAATCTGTTTCTTCTAACAAGAAAATAAAAGCAAGAAAAACTACTTTTACTAAGTATAAATTATTTTTGTTTGCTTTGGTAGCAATAACTTTTGTTTCTGAGTTCTTAGTAAGTGTGTCTAGTTCACAATGTAGGAAATTGTGCAGAACTAAATAAAATAAATGATAGGGTGTTGGAGTTAGTAACTCTTAGAAACCTTTTTAAGAAAATGTGGTGCATTTAAGGCTATTCTTTATTGTGTCGACCACTCATTCTCAAATGAAGTGATTTTAGTATAATAGATGCTACTGGCATCTAGTGAGCAAGGCCAGGAATACTGCTAAACTACAATGCGTAGGACAGCTCCCCACAACAGAGAATTCTCTGGCCAAAATGTCAACAGTGCTGTGGTTGAGAAACCCTGATTTAGACCAATCAGAGTAACGTAAAACCATTTGATACAAGAGTAGCATCCAGCAAAATGACCAAAGTTTGGCAGCTCTCCTTTGCCTCAGAGAGGAATCTGGGTTTAAGTCGCTCAAGACCCTACCACAAAAAAAGACAGTTTGCTTAACACTACTTGCTGCCTGCTGGTTGTATAACTGCACCAGGCCTTGACATAGATTAACCTGTGGAAAAGGACCTATAAGAAAGCTGAAAGAACCATACTGACTTCAAGGAAAGATAAATCTTTCTCCACAAAATAACTGTTACAAATGGAGAGGGTTTTTGTTTGTTTTTAACTCTCATGTCACAAGAAGTGTATTTTATTAATTTGAGCACGGTTCAGAATAATGTTGACTTTGATTGTTCCTTCAGCTCCTCAGGAGAGAAACACTGGGAGCAGGCAACTTGGCAAAGCAAAAAGTCAAAAGCTAATTATAGTCCAGCAGCTGTGAATAGAGAGTGAGCAACTTATGCTGAAAAACCATCTTGATGTTGTGATTTAAATAACACTTTCAAAATCATGATACATTTGCATTTTTGTGAGTATCTGTAGTCGTTACATGCTTTATCAGTAAGTGCATAAGTGTTACAATAATTTAAATATTTCTCTAAATACTTTAGTATTTATATTTCAGCTGGATTCTATGGTTTGATAAATGTGCCTGGAAATATCATCTTAGAGGTAGAGTCTATGGGAACAAGATATGATCTAATTTCACGTATTAAGCTTTGCTAATGGGTTGTGTAAAACATAAAAATCATGGCTTGGCAATATGATAAAAAGGGATAAGTAAAATTTGAAGTTGGATTGGATATAAAAAGACAATGGAAAAGGCAGCTAGAGATGGGAAAAACAAGTGGTTTGGGGTGACATGGCATTTAAATGGCTGTCCCAATGCTACTGTGAAATGTCATGGTTTCCAGTACTCGATAGTGAGAAGCTCAGAGGAAACAGCACAACAGAGAGAAGAAGCACCAATAGAGGAGCAAAAGGAAGCAAGGGAGGAGGAAACTCACATTGCATTTACACTGGGAAATTCTATTTGGATAGATAAGAAAGCTGCAATTCACTTTTATTTTGCAATGGACAATGACTTTAACCTCAAAGCAAAAGTCCTCAATAGCTGAGGTTAAGTAGTTTTCTTTACCTTATTCCTTTCTTCATTGAATATTGTCTGCTTATTTTTTGCTGGTTCCTTTAGCAAGTCAATGTAATCATAATGGAAGTCTTCCAAATTCGGATTCATCTTTAAAACATCTCCCTGCTGTACAAAGCAACAGTTAGTGAGAGCATGAGCCAGGAAAGTTGGAGAACAGTGCCATACACTAACTACTTGGAAGAAAACATAGACCACTTGCAACCTTTCAGCAAATATATTCCACAAGAGACTGGTGTACTCCCATGATGTGATTTATAAAATTATCCCTCCCAGCTCACAGTTTCCCTCCTGCCTCATTCCTTTGATAGAGTTCATTGCCAGTAAAAATTGGTTGTTGAAAGACCCAGCAGGAAAAAAGTAATCATTATAATAGGATGCTTCTGCAGGAGCATTCTCTAGAGAAAGGAATCATTATGCATGGCAGTGTAAACCATTAGGAGAGTCTGGGGAGCAGCAGTGAGGTAGAAATGATTAAAGATCTCTAGGGGAGAAGAAAGTAGGAAATCCAGAGAATCTACACAAGCAAAATACTGGGGAGACTCTTGAAAAGAGGAATAAAATATCACTGAGTATAGTAAAGAAAAACAGCAATTGAGAACACAGGATGCTTCATGTGGTTGAAGATATTTTGTTCCCTGCATTTCATGGGGCTCAGTTTTAGTCATGGAGGTAGTGGGGGTTTGCAAAGTACTGTGGAGTCAGTGCAAGAGCCGAGAAGACTTTGTAAAGGTGGAAAGAACCACTGGTATCACACATGATAGAACACACCAGTTTAGAATGATGATTATACTGCAATGGAAGAGTCTCTATTCCACCTGGAATAAAATCCTTAGATGAGTCTTAAACAAACATGCATGCTCATCAAAATGCATATGCAACACTGGCTCGGAGGATTCAGGGAGACCCACTACTGGGGAGATTCTGCTTTCAGTCCCAACTCTAAACCGAACTGGTTTGTGCTGCTCAATGAGTCACTCTGCTTTGGTATGCAGCTGATATCTTATTCCAAAATATCAGCTGGTGTGGAAAGAATGCTAGATTTTGAATTAGATCTAAATTCAAATTTCAGATCTACCACTATTGACTATTGGGGCCCATGTAAAGCACTCTTACCCTCTTTGGACTTTTCCTTTCACCTCTACACAGAAAACATTTGCCTTCTTTTCGTCTCAACATTATTTGGAAATCACTGGAGATAATGTATATGAACGTCCTTTGTAAGTCTCAAATTGCTATACATTAGAAAGGATTTCTATCACTATTTAAGCCCTGACAGGAATTGCTGAGCCCATTTTCTATAACTTTGAAAAGAGAGCCATAGCATCAACCTTTATATTTAATAACATAAAAAATAGACATTTGCTCTCTTCATACAAACACCTGTAAAGTGCTGGTAAGCATTCTTTGGGAAGCGTTTGTTGCGGCTGTAACTCATAAAGATAATGCTGATGCCTATTTCTCTTGCCAGAGAGACCCTTTCTCATTTCTACATCCACCCAAATTAAACATCTTCAAGCAATGAATGATAGTTCTTCTCTGTACCAATCCATTGGGCATTTACTACAAATGCCAAAACTCTTTCTGGAGTACCTGCTTTAGAAAGCAAAGCAGGCCAGGTGCGGTGGCTCACACCTGTAACCCCAGCATTTTGAGAGGCCAAGGCGGAAAGATCACTTGAGCCCAGGAGTTTGAGACCAGCTTGGGCAACATAGTGAGACCTCAACTTTACAAAAAAATCAAAACATTAGCCGAGTGTGGTGGTGCATGCCTGTGGTCCCAGCTACTTGGGAGGCTGAGGTTGGAGGATTGCTTGAGCCTGGGAAGTCGAGGCTGCCGTGAGCCATGATAACACCACTACACTCCAGCCTGGGCAACAGAGCAACACACTGTCTCTAAATAAATAAATCAATAAATAAATACAAGGCAAAGCATAGTGTTAAATATTGTGTGGGACACTAAATTTAGCAGCGCCAGAGGGTTTCCTTAAGTATAATCAAGTAGGGAGGGTTGGGATGGCAACAGCAGTTATATGTGATGTAATTATATGTAGTAGTTATATGTGGGATTATACTAGTGTTATAGCCTGAATGTTTATGCTCCCCCAAAGTTTATATGTTAAAATCCACATCCTTAAGGCGATAGTATTAGGAGATGATGCCTTTGGGAAGTGATTAGGTCATGAGGGTGAAGCCCTCATGAATAGGATTAGTGCCCTTAGAAAAGAGGCCTGAGAGACACCCCTCATTCTTTTACCATGAAAGGTTAGAGTGAGTAGACAGCTACCAGGAAGTCCTCACTAGACACCAAATCTGCCAGCATCTTGATCTTGAACTTCCAGCCTCCAGAACTATGAGAAACAAATGTCTGTTTTTCATAAGGCATCTTGTCTATGGCATTTGGCATAGCAGCCAGGATGGACTAAGACAGGTAGGAAGGCACACAAGTGGCATGGGAGATCAGGGAGGGAGTGATATAGCTAAGGAAGGATTTATGGAGGAGGCAGCATTTGGGTTTGGCTCTGAGAGATGGTAAGATTTCGAAAAACAGAGACAGAAGGTCGTGTCCTTGAAGTAAAGGTTTAGAAGTGAGAAATCCCAGGGAGCATAGTAGATCAGTGGGACACAGACCTACAGTGAATGCAGAAGCACAATGGTTTGGAAAGGTGACCAGCTTCAGAACATTGAAAGGCCTTGAATTGGAACTTGACTTGGTAAGGAAGAGTTTGTAGTAGAGTGTTGTGAATGTGAAGATGACACTAGCAGAACTATTTAGGAAGGGTAATCTAGCTGGGAGTATAATTAGGGGACTCCTGACTACTGCAAAAGAGAATCCAAGTGACAGGTTGAGCGTGAGAAAGAGAGAATGCAATCCTGACTACACTGAGGGTGTAAGGAATGGAGAATGAGGAAGTGGGAGAGGCTGTGGAAACAGCTCTTTCAGGAAGAATAGCCATCAAGGTAAAAGCTGGAAAGGGATATAACTTGAAGAAAGTAGATTTTATGAAGCTGACCCTCACTTGAAGATGTGCAACGTAAACGGGAGGAATATTGTAGACAATGAAGAGCAAAGAGTCGGAGGAAGCACTGATTTTCGGCCTTCGTATTGGAAGTCAGAAGCAGCAGCAGCTCCTCGGTGGTGGGGTGGAGGTGGGGAGGAAAGAATAAATGTTGAAAAAGATAACATGAGATATGTGGTTTATTATCATTGTGAAACAATGATGGGAAGCAAATAACATACATATTAGAAATATTAATCATTTCATATATTAAAAATTTCAGTTTTCTCAAACCTGATTGTAGAATTTATGTGTGGGTAATAATACAAAAGAAAGAAAAAGCTATGCACGAAGATGTTCATTGTAGTGTTATTTAAAATGGTAAAATGGTAAAAAAAAATCTAGATTTTTAACCAAAGGATAAAGATAATTTGGTTGGGCACCCACTGAATTAAAAGCCTCACAAACTATTTGAATAGAAGAGGCACATAAATTTATGACATGGAAATTCCTACAGAAAAAAGAGGCTGCTAGAAATAAACATAATTCTGCTCTGAACTGCAAGACCACCACTAGGCCTCAATAACAATTATCACAACAATAATCTTGAGTATCTTCACAGTCAATCCTCCGGGCTACCCTGGGATCCACTTTGTAGATCAGGAAACAGGCTCAGGGAGATTAAATAATTTACCCAAGGTCACAAATCCAATTATTTAGGGAGTTGGTATTTCAAGGCAACTGTGCTTTGCTCTACAGCCTTTGATCTTAATGACCTTGCTGTTCTCCCCATCCTCAACAACCAGTTCTTTCAGCCAGCTATAAAAACAGCATTAATCAAACCAGTTTTTGACATGACATTGACAAAGAAACATATGTATTTCACTTTAACTGGTTTTGCTTAGACATAAACATATTCTCCATATTTGTTACCATCAAATTTGTATTCTACGAAAAGTGATCATGATTAGTTTACTATTTCCATGAGGAAAAGTGTTGAATGAATATAATACCTGAAGATTACTTGTATTTTCTCTGGTGCCACAATTTGGAGAGGAAAAAAAAACCCTGGCATCTATTATTTATGAACAAAACCATAGGCTACTTAATACAAAGTTTACTGGCAGAGTCTTAATGGGACACATTTTTTAGGATATGATCCATGAAAATGTAAACCAGACACCTTAATTGTGTTTAGCCTTCATTACCAGCAATATTTTTCTCTGCAGTGATGGGAAAGAAATAGAATTAATTATCACAAACACCCAGATAATTATGTTTGAAAGCTGTAAAACAAATGTGCACATTATGTACCCTGAGAAATTCTGTTAAAATGTCTTTGCACCAGAAGACATTTGATTAACACATTTTTATTTATTTTGCTTGAAAATACATATTCTAGGAAGAAGAAATTACCTTCAGTTTTTCTTCGAGCTCTGTGAGGGACTCACATAATTCAGTCACAGATTCAAGAACCTCTTTGTGTTTTGTCACTATTTTCTCAATATATTTCTGTCCTTCTTCCAAACCTGGGGAGGAGAAGGATGAAACTAGTTTTAAAGGTCAAATTTTTAGCAAGAAGAAAAGTCCAGGTATAAATTCATCTCCCTGTCCAGTGTAAGGGCTGATAAATTGTAAGTTCTTAATAAATATTTGCTGAAGAGATAAATAAATGAATAAAGACAAGTTTCTAAAAGCTAGATATTCTAGGAAAATGATTACATTTGCTGTACCACGCCACTTGCATGTAACCTAAATAATGTTGCTACATGAATAGTCTTAAAGCTCAATTCTCCTTAGTTTTTCCTGTTCAAAACATTCAGTGGTTCCTCTCTGCTTAGAGAAGAATAAATTCCTCAGGATGGCATTCAAGTCCCTTCCATAACATGGCTTCAATCTGCCTCTCCCAAATGTATGTCACTCTAGTTCTCTCCTGTATTTTATCTCCAGCCAAATGGAACCAGCAACTCCTCCCTGAAGATCCACACAGCAGCTGAGTATTCCTTCCTCTACCAGGACTACTGTCCCTCCACTCTCAATTTCTGCTGTCAAAATATAACCTACTCTTTAAGGTCCACCTGAAATGCCAACATTTCTGTGAAGATATTCTTAATCTTTTCCAACTGGGTTTCTCTCTATATATTGTAATAAAAATAGCTACCATGTAGCACATGCTTATTATTTGCCTGTGCCTAAGCACTGTATAACCATTGCTCAATGTAATCCTTGGATAGATTCTACTACTATCCACATTTTACAAATGAGGAATGTGATGCTCAAAAGATCTTCTTGCCTCGGCATAGTGTCTCGCGCCTGTAATCCGAGCACTTTGGGAGACCGAGGTGGGCAGATCACTTGAGGTCAGGAGTTCGAGACCAGCCTGACCAACATAGTGAAACCCCATCTCTACTAAAAATACAAAAATTAACCTGGTGTGGTGGCACATGCCTGTGATCTCAGCTACTCGGGAGGCTGAGGCAGGAGAATCACTTGAACCCGGGAGGTGGAGGTTTCAGTGAACCGAGATCATGCCACTGCACTCCAGCCTGGGTGACAAAGCAAGACTTTGTCTCAAAAAAAAAAAAAAAAAAAGGACTTCTTTAGGTGACCCAGACAATAAATGGGGGAACAAGGATTTGAACCCAGAACTATCTGACTCTACACCCTAGGCCAAGATTGTATCACACATTGTTATGGGCTGAACTATGTCCCCCCATCCTGCCAAGTTCATATGTTGAAGTCCCAATTCCCAGTACGTCAGAATGTAACTGTATTTGGAAATGAGATCTTTAAAGAGGTGGTTAAATTAAAATGAGGCCATTGGGATGGGGCGCTAATCCAATGTGACTGGTGCCCTTACAAGAAGAGGGAGAGACACCAGGGGCATGTGTGTGCAGAGGGATGACCACGTGAAGAGGCAGCAAGGGATCAGCCATCTGCAAGCCAAGCAGAGTGGCCTGAGATGAAATCAACCCTGCTGGCATCTTCATCTTGGACTTCCAGACCTCAGAAGTGTGAGAAAAGAAGTTTCTGTTGAAGCCACCCAGTCAGTGGTATTTTGTTACGGCAGCCCTAGCAAACAAGCACAAACATTTTATGTCCTTCTCACTCCATTTACCATACCATGACTTCAAGGACTAGACTGTGGTCTCTTGAATGGAGGAACTAGGTCTTAATTGTCTTTATAACAGCCACAGCTCTTAGTAGATAACAGGTATGCACAAATTTGTTTGAGATAATTTTTTGCATGAAAATTCTGAGTTCAGTAATGCTTGAGTAGCTTGCAAGAGTTGATACAATCTTAAAGTGCCTCCCTTGATGCAAATTTTAAAAAATATATAGCTTCCCTACCAAACAGACGGAGACTCATGTCATTCATTTACTCATTCAGTGATTCATTTATTTATCAAATATTTGTTAAGCAGTTGGTATGTGCCATTAGACAGTGAACTAACAAGCAAAATCGCTCCTCAAATACAGCTTACACTCTGGTAAGGAAAGTCAGGCAACAGACAAATACCTATATAAAATGTCAGTTGGTGATAAGTGCCAGGAATATAAACAAAGCCAGATGCAGGATCTTGCAGGACGGGAAGGGAATTTAACTTTTTAGGGTCTTTGTCAGCACTTCTCATGCTCTGAGATTGAATAGGCACTGATCCAGGCACAAATACAGTGAAAAAAATATACTTTCCTCAAGTTTATGGGTAGTAGAGAAGACCAATAGGTATTTATACTACAACGTAAAAAGTTCAATCGTGGAGGAAACATATATCAGGCTATGGGAGCAGAGTGTCTCCAAAATATTTAGTGCACTCACACGGTAACTCCAGCAAGAAGATGTCACCTTAGTTTCCATTAATTTTTCAATCCATATTTTATTATTTTTATGTTTCTATCCTTTTCTTCTGGAATATTATGAATAATTCATTCTCAACAATTTAAGTAGTATACTACAAAATTTATGGCTCTCCATGGATAGTGTTTCATGTTATAAGAGAAAATACCTGGCAGCAGCCATGGGCAGGCAAATTAAGCATTTTGTACCAACTGTTGTGTCTTCTTTCTGGGCTGCATTTGCCTGGTCACTGGGAATTACTCTGGGTCTCACAGGACCGATACCAGGGAATTCATGGAACTTATTCCTCAGAACCCTCAAGAACTATCATCCTCCATGGACTTCTTAAATGGGGGGCCTCTTTTAGGAGGAAGGATCTCTCAGGCTGACATGACATTATCTTTCCTAGTCATGGAAGAGAGGAAAGCAGAACTTGTAAAATGGCAATTTGAGTTCTCCCATTTATTCCACAAGTGAGAGGAAAGTGAAGGAGAATTTTCCAGGTCTTTCTCAAATATGTGAGCCAAAAGCCTCATAGAAAGGAGAGGACTGGAGACTTCAGTCTTAGCTTTATGTCTTCTTAAAGTATTACTGAAATTTTGTATGTTTTTCAAGGAATCACTCTAGTGGAAATTAGATTTTGTTTGTTTGTTTGTTTATATAAGCTGAGTATTGTTCTGGTGTTATTACCCTAGAGATGAACAACAGGGATGGAGGAGAAAAGAGAATAGAGAAGGAAGGCTTACACAAAGTAGGTAAAAATCTGCAGGCTTCATCTGCTGTCAGAAATTCCTCCCTCTGTTCCCTGTTTGCTTTCCCTGGCTGTGGGCTCTTACCTTGAACATTTTCCCTGAATACACTGGTGTGCTGAGGACCCTGAGGACTTGCCACACTCTTGCTGTCTACTGGATTAGGCTCAGTATAGATTTGTTCAATGGCCAATCACTGGATATCTTAAAAGAGATCTCACCATATAAGTGCTGAGCAAGGTCAGTGGCCTCCTGAATCCTTTCTTCTTGCTGCGGCACTGAGGGTGCAATAAACTTATTAAACTGCTGGTGGAGAATTTTCACAGCTTCCTTTGTCTTGCACTCTGTGGAATATTTTCCAACTCTTACAACTGTGGCACTTGCATCTTCGTACCAAAAATGACACTAAATTTAAATGGGATAAAGCACAGATGAAAGAAATACCATCCTTCTAAAGTTCTTAATTTTGACCAGTGAAGTATCAAATTTTAATTCCCTCAACTTAATGTTCACATTGGCTTGAACTTTCTAAGTCATAATAAAGAAAATATTAAAACATGATCGTATTCTACAGCACTTAAATGTTAGCAGCAGAAATAAATACAAATGTGAAAATATGTATAAATAAAACTATAAGAAAGTAAAAATATGAAAATATATTTGATTCTCCTACCTTCTTAGGTTTGCCTAAAATATAATTCCTAAGAGGAATGTTGCAGACTTATAAGAACAGGCAGGATAAAAAGCATCTGGCACTAAAAAGAATCCAAATACATGCTAAATGGCAAGAAAAAAGCCAAATGTTCACAATCCAGCATAAAGAATTGATATCATTAATCATACACTGCTAAAGTATTGCCTGATGAATACTCTAATAAATAAATTATCTTTGAAGAATAAGATTTAGTTTATGAATGGGAAAATATCATCTAACAAATAGCATTTCACCTTTGCTTAGTAGAAAATGGTTATAGTTTCCAAACACAGTGGAGAATGAGACAGTTTCTCATTAAAAATAACTGTGGCTGGGCGTGGTGGCTCACGCCTGTAATCCCAGCACTTTGGGAGGCCGAGGCAGGCGGATCACGAGGTCAGGAGATCGAGACCATCCTGGCTAACACGGTGAAACCCCATCTCTACTAAAAGTACAAAAAAGTAGCCGGGCGTGGTGGTGGGCGCCTGTAGTCCCAGCTACTCGGGAGGCTGAGGCAGGAGAATGGTGTGAACCCGGGAGGCAGAGCTTGCAGTGAGTCGAGATCACGTCACTGCACTCCAGCCTGGGAAACAGAGCGACACTCCATCTCAAAAATAAATAAATAAATAAATAACTGTGATGGAAGGAATGTCTGACTCAGGCCTGAAGCACTTATGCAGGGTGAGAAATAGAAACACATGACTCTGTTAGAAGTTGGTTTTAAATAAGTGCCACAAAGGGACCACAAACTTATACATCATATGTAGAAGACTGATCATTTTGATTCTCCTTAATCTGGTGTTAAATCTAAAAACTCAGCTGCATTAGTGGTAAAGACGTTCTGTATCTCAAACAATAATGGGCAACAAAGAACACTCAAGAACTTCAAGTGCAGAATTTCTTCAATACAAAGTGTTCAAACAATAACTTTAACTTGCCAAATTTCATATATTTTATGTATACTCTACCATTTATCTTCTTGACAGTAATAAAAGAAAACACCAATAACAACTTTTTGTAGCTGAAAAATCACAGTATCACTTTTTAAAATAAATATTTTCAAGTTCTGTGAAATAAATAAACCATTCTGAGCATTTTAAACAGATATCCAGCAGTGAACATAATTTCATGATAATTAAACATCTTCATCTGATGAGGTTATGGAGAAACAGGAACTCTCACACATTGCCAGTAAATTAGTAAAGACTTTTCTCAAGAGAAATTGACCAATAAAATCAAAGACCTTATAATATTCATCCCCTTAGGTCCAGCAATTCTATTTCAGAGAATTATCCTAAGGAAAAAAAATCATGAAAAGGAGCATGATACATGAATATAATGAGAATAACAGCTAATGCAACATTGCTTTAAAGTTGCAAAATGATTTTTGAAAACAACATTACAACATGGATACCACTGCAAAAAGAGAATACCTCTTCTATCACCTCCTGGAAATGCTCAGTCAGGTCCAAATTCTTCTTGTAATCTGTCACAACTTTGTCAAAGTCATCCACATGTTTTTGCAAATCCTTCATGACTTCCAAAAGGACATTAACTTTATCACTTGGATAATTTAAGAAAGAATCAGAGGTTTTATTACTAACTTTTTCCATTTTCCTTTTCAAAGCCTGTGTGAAAAACAAAAAGTTTTTTAAACAACATTCAATTTGTATTTATGATGCTAGTGATTAAATACTGAGAGAAAAACTGGTAAAAATTTTGCAGCTTCCTCCAATCTATTAAAATAATAATTATTACAAATATATTATGGTAAGAATGGGTTTCCCCCCAAATTCTATTGATTTAGCATTCAGCAAATAAATAGAAAATGTACACAGGTGTATTCCAGATTTTGAGACTAGTAATATGATCTTTTTTAAAGACATTGATGATTAAATCAAATACTTGTCCTCAATAAGCTCACTGTCTCCTGGAAAAGGCATTCAAATAATCCAGCCAGTACATGTAATAATCAAGGTAAGAATAAGAGGCTATAGGAGCAGCAAAACTGATGACATAGATGGATGCAAGAAAAGGAGGAGGAGTGTAGAAGGCACGTGCATGCATCCATGTGTGTGTGTATGTGTTGGGGAGAAGAATGGAAGTAGACAGGTTGGGTTTGGCAGAAACCATTCTGGATCTGCCTCAAGAGGTAAATCAATTTATTATGTATTTTTACATGAAGGATAAAATTGTTATAAAAATAGAAAAATACCCTTTGAGTCCCAATGCTACAAAAAGCCAGAGTTAGGTATCTAGATTTGAAATTCAAAACAATTTTGCAATAATTGTGTAGTACATGCATACACATGCGCACATATACAAACCATACTTTCTTGTTACCTGCATTTTTTCAGCATACATATCAACTTGCTGAATTTGATATTTAAGCGCCTTCAGATTCCGAGATTTTTCATTTTTCTTAGTGTAATTAAACTTCAAATTATTGAATTTCTTTTTGATATCTTTGAATGAGTCTTTGAGCTGTAGTTCAATAAAAAGAAATAGGTGGTTTCCTTAAAATGAGAAAACAAAGTCACTTGCAATAAATCAAAGCATCTGAACACTTCAAAATACTCATAATCTTAAAAAGGTATTTAGGGTAATTTTCCCTCCCTCCCTCCCTCTCTCTTTCTTTCTTTCACTCTTTCTCTTTCTCTCTTTCTTTCTTCTCTCTCTCCCTTTCTTTTTTTGAGACAGGGTCTCACTTTGTCACTCAGGCTGGAGTGCATTGGCACGATCTTGACTCACTGCAACCTCTGCCTCCTGGGTTCAAGCAATTCTCATGTCTCTCCTAAGTAGCTAGGACTGCAGATGTGTGCCACCATGCCTGGCTAATTTTTGTATTTTTAGTGGAGACAGGTTTTCACCATGTTGGCCAGACTGGTCTCGAACTCCTGGCCTCAAGTGATCCACCTACCTTGGCCTCCCAAAGTGCTGGGATTACAGGCTTGAGCCACCGCGCCTGGCCTCAGAGTGATTTTCATTATAAAACAAATCTGCCAAGTGGACATACCAAGTGAATTTAAATATATCTTCCAAATATAAGTAATTATAAAATGTTAATACTTTTCGATTTGTAATTTTTAATTAGGATTATAGCTATAGAATATTCCTTTGTCCCTCAAGTAAGAAAATTTCTCACATATCATACATAAATTTTAACAACTCTAGTTTTCTTATTTGAATTTATTTGATATCTTTTTTCCCATTCATTCTGTTTTCGATACACTAATATTTGCCCCAGATCTCTCTATCTTTTAATACTCTCTCACAGCCATCATGTATACATTTATTAAGGCTCCAAAAAGCTATCCATGTTGAAGAGGTCAAAGAAGCGTTGACATTTAGACCAGCCAGGACATTGGTGGGGTGGAAGAGAAGACCCAATATGAGATTTAGTAGAAAAATAACTATATCTGCCCAGTTAAAAATTATTTTTCGTGAGCAGTTCTGAAAAGAGTTTTACCCCTTAGATATAGACCATTAACTTCAGAGATCCTTCAAAAACAATAAAAGTAAAGTGAGAGTTGTTGCTAATGACGGCTATGCTAACTTGTGTATAAATAAAGCATATAGCTATACATAGGGGATAGATTTTGACAGTCTTAACAACAGTTCAACTTTACCAGTGCACCAAATTTCTAAGCAGTGCAGTTCCATTAAATGCACCACTTTCTGTCCCTTCTCTATATTTAAGAAGGATAAGCATATCGACAGGCAACTCTCTCTTTGTATTATCACCAAAGAGAAGTACAGAGAAAAAAACACCTTCTCAGATTATATGGAGGCATTTAACAGCAAGAGTGAACAATGTCATGGTTGATAAATTTGAGCTAAGATAAGAGAAGTCAGAAAAGCATTAAAATTCTTTTCAATGATAGCAAACAAATTATTTGGGAGGGAATAAAGACTGTGCATGTGCTAGATTATAGAATTGTAATGCAGAAAAATATACTTGCCCTACAAAATGCATGCTTTCTCAAAATGCTTATTTCAAATTCTGCAGACTGTGAAAATAAAGCCTTTATCTTATCTGTAACACATCTTAGAGACATCAACTTTAAAGCCCTAGTGGAATTGCGAACGGAAATTATTATACTGATAGAATTTTTGCATCTGATACACATATACTTAATCAGTGTTGTTTAGTTTATATGGTAAATAAAGTTGTTGAACATTACTTTAAGTTACAAACTAAACCAAGCATAGAGACCGCATGAACCACTTTAACTGATAAATAAATCAGTAATGTTCAGAAAAAGTGAAAAGCTTCAGAATTTGAACATTATTTCTCTATTAGAAACTCAGGGGAATATTTAAAAGATCATATTCAGTTGATATATTTGTGAAATAACTAGTAAGTATTTACATTCTACGGCACTCAATGTTTTAATGTGCGTATGTTTGGTTTTAACAGGAAAGGATAAATAATGTCAATTTTATAAGATTGAGATATAAAGGCGTTATATCCTTAGTAATTTACATAAAATTTTGGCAGGAGTTTTTGCAACTACATATATAATAAGTACATCTGAGGAAACCAGACATTATTGTTTTAAAAAACATCTCAATAATGAGTTACTATTTAATGAGTGCAGAGTTTCTGTTTAGGTTGATAAAAAAGTTCTGCAGATGGATGGTAGTGATGGGTTCACAACAATGTGAATGTACTTAATACCACTAAACTATACACTTAAAACAGTTAAGCTGGTAAATTTCATGCTATGTGCATTTTACCACAATTAAAAATAAAGGGAAAAAATGCCCTGTCACTAACACTTATCCATTGGAAAATAAACTTATATATTCTTCTACTTATATATAAGAATATATAAAATATAGTCATATATTTTTCTCTACTGAAATGTGACATATATCAGAAAACCTTAGTCTAGAGAAAGGAAGAGGGGCTCTGTCATTAACCTGATAACCATTGGATTACATCTGCTTTAAATGGGAAAGTTCAATGTCTATTTGAAACCTATATGATAGAGAAAGGCTGAGATTTAATACTTTAATTCTCAACCATGAGATTTTAAATCTACTTTGGATTAAGAAATTTAAGACTGATAAATGATGAGTGTGATTTGATTTCTGTTTGCTTCAGAACGTGTGCACTTCCACTGAAGATGATTTATAAGGTCAAAGAATGTTCATGACACTATGAGTATGTGAAATGGGATCAAGTTCTTTCTGACACATGAGCTCCCTTGACAAAGTTGCTGGCACTTTTCTCTTTTGGTTTCACTGGAAATCCATTTTAAAACTAAATCTCTGTGCCTTTTTCAACTCAAATTCAGGACTACTGCAGATACAAGTGGAAGGCAGTATGCATGAAACTACCTTCAGCGATTGAAAAATCTTGCCATTCTTAATTTTCTTACCTGCACTTTCCAATATGAAAACTTAACTTCCCATCTAATCCCCACATAACTTGTGGTCATATTTTTAAAGGAACTGAGTGCCATAGTCGCTGGGCTGTGGTATCACTGTTCACACAGCTGTTTCTAACTTTAGTCAACTTGTCAACAATGGGGAATGGCGGGATGGGGCTGAGACAACTGCTCAAGTTGAGCACATAAGTGGAGAAAAACACCCCAAGCTTGGGGTGAGAAAAAGTTTACCCTGTTAGAAATCTTGAAATGGTGTTATAATTCATATTAAAGTTCCTCAAAGTCTTCAGAAAATTAGGGAAAATATATTTTTAATGAATAATTTTATTTTCCCATCTTTTCACATGTTCAGCTCTTCTATATTTACCATAGAATAAACAGACTGAGTTAACATAGCTATAATTAGAAATAAGTTATTAAGATTTAAAAACTATAGCTATTTTGAAATTAGCAGAATGAGCATCTTTGCCAAATTTTCCAGCATGCCGTAAGCCCCTTCTCAGGGTTAGGAATAAACAAAGCTTCTTTGGAAAGAAGCAGAAGGGAAAGAGGCTGATGCCAAGTGAGGCTGGCTTGCTATTGTTAGTCTTGACGAAGCTGGTTGAGCCAGCTTTGGCATAAGAATGTATTATTTATAAGTTTGCTGCTGTCAAGGCCAATTTGTGTGAGGGACATGGGATATTTAAAACAGAAATGCATTTAATGCATTTAAAAAGAAAGCCTTTCCTTAGAACTATGGCACATGTTTGGCCAGAAGCAAAAATATAAAATGACTGGTCAATCTCCACAATGTCCACTTCATGAATGTCATTTCTTGCCTGTCATTTTATTCACTCCAGAAAAAAAGCTTTTTGATGCTCATATTCAGTAACAGAAAGCTGTGATGTTATCACCTCCCAGGGATGCTTCATTCAAAATCAAGAGACCCAAAAGTTCAAAATTTAACCCAAATCATTTGCTACAATTATCAATTATCACTTAGGGAGGCTGAGGCGGGTGGATCACCAGAGGTCAGGAGTTCAAGACCAGCCTGGCCAACATGGTGAAACCCCACCTCTACTAAAAATACAAAAATCAGCTGGGCATGGTGGTGCATGCCTGTAATCACAGCTACTCAGGAGGCTGAGGCAGGAGAATTGCTTGAACCCGGGAGGCAGATGTTGCAGTGAGCCAAGATTGCACCATTGCACTCCAGCCAGGGCAACAGAGCGAGACTCAAAAAAAAAAACAACACTTTTTTTTTTTTTTTTTTTTTTTTTTTTTGGTAGAGGCAGGGTCTCACCATCTTGCCCAGGCTGGACTTGAACTCCTGGGCTCCAGCAATCCTCCTACCTTGGCATCCCAATTGTAGAATATTCAGACTTAGTACCAGAGAGATTTCAGGACAAGACTTTTTGGCCTCCTTCCATTTGGCAACCACTCCCTTGTCTTCTTGTGCTTGAGGCCAGCCGCTAGCGGCTGAAAGTGGGATAACTTGGGAAGACGTGACAATTGCTCTGTCTTAAATTGTAGGTAGCAACAGGCATCAGTAATACATATTTTATCCATTTTGCATGTTTTGTGTCTTCATAATATGTTAAGTTTTGTTTTCTGAACATGATAACCATAATTTTAAACTTCAGCTCTGTTTATTGTTCAGGAAGTTTCCACAGTCATTTTGCAGATGTTAAACACCAAAATGTTAACATTTTAACCTTATGGAATGGATGCTTTTAGAGCAAATTGTAATCTTTCTTATCCTCTTACACATACCATCCAGATGGACCCAGGATGGGGCCCACTAGAGGAATGGCTGTGACTGTGAAGTCCCATGGGTTTTAATGCTATCTAGACTCGAAGTTTCCTGAGGATGTTTGTGCTTTTTTTTTTTTCTTTTCAATAGAGTCTCACTCTCTTGTCCAGGCTAGAGTGCAGTGACGTGATCACAGCTCACTGTAGCCTCAAACTCATGGGCACATGGGATCCCCCTGCCTCAGCATCTCAAGTAATTGAGACTACAGGCACACATCACCATGCTCGGCTAATTTTTAAAAATTTTTTGTAGGGCCGGGCACAGTGGCTCACGCCTGTAATCCCAGCACTTAGGGAGGCTGAGGCAGGTGGGTCACCAGAGGTCAGGAGTTCAAGACCAGCCTGGCCAACATGGTGAAACCCCATCCCCACTAAAAATACGAAAATTAGCTGGGCATGGTGGTGCATGCCTGTAATCACAACTACTCGGGAGGCTGAGGCAGGAAAATTGCTTGAACCCAGGAGGCAGAGGTTGCAGTCAGCCAAGATCGTACCATTGCACTCCAGCCTGGGCGACAGAGTGAGACTCAGTCTCAAAAAAAAAAAAAAAAAAGTTTTTTTTGTAGAGGCAGGGTCTCACCATCTTGCCTAGGCTGGACTGGAACTCCTGGGCTCCAGCAATCCTCCTACCTTGGCATCCCAAAGTGCAGGAAACACAGGTGTGAGCCACTGCTATTTGTATTCTTATGGCTTGGTACACAGAAGCCACATTAACACATTCGTTGAGTGAATATAATGGAGTCCTTTTTAAAGAAAATAATGAATTCAGGTTATAAATCTTGAAAAATAATTATTGTCTGCACTATACCATTGTGCTGCCCTGTTGGGTGTTTTGCCGTCTGTGCAAACTCTTTCTCTGCTTCCTTTCCTGCCAGTGGGTAGCAGTCCATGGTCATTTTGTCAGTGGCAAAGCACTATACAATGTCAGACGGTTTTAATTTTATTGCGTATGTGTCTATAGCAACACTATTCCTCTATTCTAATTTACTGCTACTAATCGACTTGTATCCCTGTAACTCATTTGACTGATTTATTCGAATTGAAAAAAGAATTTGTGCCATTAGAACATGTGACCGATACATGGAACATATATACTAAGTCCTTTTCTGCATAATTCCTGATGGGTAAGATGTTGCTACAGTGGAAAATTTCAGGGTAAGGTAAATAATTATCTGGAAGTTCTATGTGGAAAACTTGAGAACACGGATACCAACCCGATTCTGTCATTACTATTCTTTTCAGCAAAGTAATTGTGATCTGTAATATGAGCCTCGAGTTACAAATTTCCATTAACATCATGTAAATGTAAAGGTACTGTTTTTGGTCAGGTTCAAAGAAGAAAGCATGCTTGATATTTACTTATTACATTTCTAAATGTGGATGTGTAAAGAATGATGTTTCTGTGTCATGTAATATGGCAGAGAATATGTCTACTGTGCTTTGTGTATGAACAACTTATTTATATAGTCAGGCAAGAAAAAATATGAATTATATTCAACATTCAAGCATACAAATGTATCTTTGTGTGAAATGGGTAGGAAAAAGCACAAAGTCTGGCAGTCTGAAGATTATTTTTCTAGTAGGTAGACATGAAGAAAATAAGGTTCTACAATTTCCTATGTCTTCATATGAAATTGGAAAAAAATGGTTTTTTCTCAAAGATAAAGCACAAACTATCATTCGTTGTCTCTAAGGCACATCACATTACATTTTTAAAAATTACATTTAGAACACTTTATTTTGCCTTGAGGTATTGAGTTCTTTTCTAAGGGCTTTCAGTGAAGTTAAGACCATGTAAGTTAGCTACAGCACAGTCAAGAAAGAAATTTTTTTGAAATAACCAAATGAACTGTACTATTATATCAGATCATACAAACATCTTAGATATACCAGAAAATAGGGATAGAAGAGGAAAGCATAAAAAAAAGAAGATATTTAACATCAGACCATGCAGTGGTTGAATGGCACTGAAATATTATGTAAATGGTGAATTCTGAGTTTAACAAATCATAAGCATGTTGGTGCCCAACAAATGAGTCTGTGGCCTGAAGTTGATCCCCTGGAACACCCTGAGCTGAAACTCTGTTGTCCTGTAGCATATTCATAACATGAAAGTCATATGCTCCTCAGTTTTCCCATCTGAAAAATGAACATACTGAACTGGACATTCTCAAAAATCCATTGCAAGTCAGAGTCTGTGAACTTTCTAACAGTACTTTAAGCACATTGAAAGTGAAACTGTGTTTAAAAATCAACTTTAAACATAAATGCTATACTTGGTTTAGTCCTCTGGCATGTTATCTAATTTTAATTGTTTATGCAGAAAAAAATCAGTATAACGTATCATATTTAATTTTACGTAAGTTTTAAGCAGCTATACCCAAAGACTAATAATGATAACAACGATAATAATGTCTAGATAGCAAATATTATTACCACTGTGGAAACTGCCATCTGTTTGGGCTCTGCTGTTCACAATATAAACTGGAACACACATATTTTTATTTTCCTAAGGGACACGGAAAATATTCCTTCTGATTATTTTCCCTTAGGCCTGTGGTGGGAAAGTCCAGGGTGTGCACACGCACTACATGTCCACAAAAAAGGAGAAGTGACAAAGACTCAAAGTTCTCAGAGGTCATTTAAATGTGAAATTGTAAGTTACATGAAAGATTAACTGGATCAGTAGTGGAAGCAAATGGGAAGAATATCTCTCTTAAAATGTAAGAGCATGCTAAAGTGATACCTGATTCCTAAATCAAACCCGCATGTATCTGGCTGCTCATTCCTGACACGGTACAGACAATCCTGGGGCGTACCTACTATTGACAGGAAGGGAAATTTGTCATCCCGGCCGGCTGGCTCCAAACACAGTCTCATCATGAGGCAGTCCCTATAAATAGAATTCCTGCTGGAAGGGCCTGAACAGGGAGACCCAGCTTCATAAATGTCACAGCTCTACAGGGAGCTAGAAACGGAGCCAGAGGGGGCTGGGAAAACCCCTCAGCCTGCTCCACTTGCGCTTTAGCAAATGTAGAGCCCAACCATCACTGCAAAGAGGGAGGATTTTGGCAAGACAAAGGTTTACAAATAGAAGTAGAGGAGGAGGAAGAGAAGGAGGGAAAACGGGAAGAAAGGGGGAGGGGAGGAAAGAAGAGAGAAAGAGGAATAAAGAAGATCACTTTAAGGAAAGACTGTAAAGGAATAGCTTCCATAACCATGAATCCACATTTTGTAGCCTTGGGGAGACCAACGTGCTCTGACGGTTTTCCTTAACAAGATGTGATTGACGTGTAAGCAGCAGCATAGGAACCGGAAGTGGCCATTCTATCAAGTAGAGGGCAAATTACACTACCGGTTCAACCCCGAAGAGTCGACGCCTCTCTAGCCAAAAGTAACTCCCTGGAACACAAATTATGAGCTGAAACTCTACAGTCCTGTAGCACACCGCTGAAATGAACATCATTATCAGATGTCAGTTCCTGCTTCCCTCCTGTTTAACAGAATCCAAGTAGCCACTCTTGCTCTCTTCCCCTCTGGTTTTCCTTCCAGCCATGGTCCATCCTGCACCTGCCTGTGGTCTGTAAATGTGTGGCCTACAGGAACGGCCACTTCAGAGCCAGGCCACCATTAAAGTTGAGTTATTTATACTTATTTCTGTGCTTTAATGTTGTTGGATAATATTTGATACTTGCTGGGTCTAGTTGATGTAAACTGGGCATAAACAGAAAGTGAAGAAAGTTTACTGCCTCCTTTTCCACCACCTTCTTTCCCAATGGACTTATGGCTTAATGGGCTCAGAAACATTTTGCTCTAAATGGAGATAAATCTAGAATTATGTGTACCCTTGTGTTCTGCTATCACTTCCCAGTCAAGAATGAGAACCATTGCTATCCCAATCTGTGAGTTGTTTTCTCCCAGAACAAGTAAGCCTTTCAATGGAAAGCTTAGCTAGGAGCAGGTGGTGGTTGTGATTTAGTGAATATCTAGGTGTTGTGGATTTGTTACAGTTGAGGGGGAGGAGATAGAATTAAGCATGTGGAGGTGCATGGATGTAGAAGATCACTTTGATCTGTTATTTCTTTTTTCTTGAAGAGTTGTTTTGCCAGAAAAGCCAGTCAGTTTGAATAAATATGAAACCAGCCACTTGACCTCAGTGCTAATACTTCGTAGCCTCCAAAGCAAAGTGTCTGCTCCCTGGCCCCTGGCACCATTGATTCACCATGAGTCAATGACCCTTAAATAGAATTTCAGCAGGCTGGAGTTGGCTGCAACGAACTGGTCAATGTCACCCCTTCCTCTGGGTCCTGAAAAAGCTGTATCCACTGAAGCAAATGACTGCTATACAGGTTTGAGGGAGAAGGGGGAAGCAAAAAACAAATAAACAAAAGCAACCAAAAAAACTGTACTACTGAATTATAGGTTTTTCTATGCATTGACATCATACTGACTTCAACAAATTTGAGAGCTTGAAGTTTACTCAAACTTCCAGATCCCTGAGGTCACTGCTCAGTGGATTAAAAGAAATAAGTGAGAAGAAAGTCTCCTGATTCATTGTGTGTTTGCATGTGTGTGGGAGTGTGCACAAATGTGGACATTTAGACACATGCTTTAGGTTCAAACAGCTTTTTGGCAATGTGCCAGTTCTCACCCCTCCCACACCCACCTCATTTATCTCGTCTCTCATGGCGCAGTACTCCACACTACGGGACAGGGTCCGTCCATACTCCTCAGCTTTGGCACGCCACTTCATGCTGTCCTCCTCAAGGAGCTCCAGCTGCTGCTGTAGGTTCTTTGCAGAAACATTAGAGCAGTGCTAAAAGAGACAAATGGTGGTAACAGAGAGAAAGGACGAAACAGCAATAAGACGAGTAGGCTATTTACCTGAATTATGAAACTCATAAATGACACTTTTTAAAAAAAGAAATAGGTTCCTGATTTATTTTACCTTAAACATATTTGAACATAATTATTTCAGAAAGAAGCCAGTCACCCAACATTATGGAAAAGACATTTCCCAGCTCAAATCTCTAGTGTTGAAGATTCGCTCATCACACCCAACTCCTCAGAGACGCCATTCATTATAGGGTATAATTTTTACTTCAAAAGGCATAAAATATGCATTAGAAACATTTGATTTCTGCACTATAATTTTCCTGTCAACTTGAGCCTAACCTCAGGTTCATTATGCAAGTGCTCCAATCTCAGCTCAGCACAGTGGGGCTGCCAGGGCCAAGGCCAGAAGAGGATTGGAGAACAATTTACATTATTTGCACAAAGTGAGACTTCTTGCTTTCTTTTTCTTTTAAAAATAAATGTACTAATAAAATAAACTCTTTAAAAAGAAAGCTCTTTCCTGGCAAAAAACCAATTCCATTAACAACAACAGATAATTTGTATTTCTATATCTTTCAGTTTAAAAAATACATATTTTAGATTCACTGCATTTCATATAGTTTAGTGGATATCTTACATGTATTTTAAAATAAAATGGGCCATTATGATTTTATTAATGTTATACCTATTGTTAGAGTAAACATAATCTTTTCTCCCCTCAAGTTAGAAATCTGGAAAAGGATTTTTTTGTTTTGTTTTGTTGTTGTTGTTGTTTCTGTTTTTTTGTTTTGTTTTGTTTTTTTGAGATGGAGTCTTATTTACTCTGTCGCCCAGGCTGGAGTGCAATGGCTGGATCTCAACTCACTGCAACCTCCGCCTCCTGGGTTCAAGCGATTCTTCTGCCTCAGCCTCCCAAGTAATTGGGATTACAGGCACGTAATACCACGCCTGGCTAATTGTTGTATTTTTAGTAGAGACGGAGTTTTGCCATGTTGGCCAGGCTGGACTTGAACTTCTCGGCCTCCTAAAGTGCTGGGATTACAGGCATTAGCCAATGTGCCCAGGCTAAAGAAGGAATTTTTTTAAAGAATCAATGTCCAGTGTATTATTGATGAAAATTTGATCTGGGAATATTTCCTTCTCTTTTAGGCCTCTCTTTTGAAGTCCGACAGTGGCATCAAACAAATCCAACCAGCCCTGGCTAGAATCAGGAGGCTTGGACTCCTCCATTCTGGGCTTTTATGGGTAAGGTGGGAATTTCTGTTTGCCTCAAATTCTTCATCCATAAAATGATAGCTCTGGCCTGGATGAACTCTAAGATCTAGATGGTCTTCCAGATCTGCAATGCTAAAACAGCACTGGCCAACAAAATGTGAACCACACAAACAATTTAAAATTGTCTAGTAGTCATATCAAAAAATCAAATAAAAAGATAGAGCAAAATTAATTTTTATAATACAATAACCAACTATGTCCAAATATCACCATTTTAACATGTAAGTAATATAAAAAATACTAATGTGATTGCTTTTCATAATACCTCTTTGAAATCTGGTGTGTATTTCATACTTTGAGCTTCCTCATTTGTTGCTAAATTTCGATCAGAAATATTAGATCTGTATTTTAATTTTTTAAATTTACAGTTTCGAAAGTTGATTCCCATACCCAAATTGCTCCCAACATACTTAAAAGTTGTCCCATAACTATACTGAAGATCAATTTTTAAATTTATATTTAAATTAATGCAAGTTAAATAAAATTAAAACTTTAGTTTTTTAGTTGCATTAGGCACACATCAAAGGCAAAAAAGTGACTGCCACACTGGACTATACAGATCTACTATATAAATACTCTTTAAAAATTTTTTTTCATGAAAATAGAGGTATTCAACAAGACTTTTACATTCAGATTTTCTACTTAAAATTTTTTCTTTTGTCAGAGGGTAGAAATGAATCACAAATAACTACCCCAATGGTTTAGTTTATTTTTAAATTTAACATATACTAAGCAATCTGCCTGGTTTCTTTCATATGCTAGCCCAAGCCCCAGCTAGAACTGAGTCTAAATGATAGTGTTATTAGATGCTTACAGGCCGCTGCACTGATGAGATGATGTCGACTCCTAAGGAAAGGGCCAGTCTGTGGAGATGGTCTACACGGGCTTGCTTTTCCTGAGAGCACCGGAGGTGAATCTGCACATCATGGGCATCACCCAGTTCCTTCGGCTGCTCTACAAACTCCAGCTCTCTTGATTTGATGAGACGTCCCAGCTACAATTTAGGGCATTAACAATTAACCTGGGTTTTATATGAAGACAAATTTTTTTTTAAGCCTAATTTCTATAGCACATTTTGCTAGCTGGTCGAAATGCTGCCAAGCCCATCTTTAAACTGTTGGCATTAGCCAAATAAATGTTAGAATGCTGCAAATCCAATGGTGGTAAAATTGAACTGCTAACGTTGTCAGTTCCATTAAAGAAGGAAACAGTCTTTTTGGTCATGACCCAAAACCTTAGCAAGATCTAGGTCTGTGCTCTGAGTAAATTTAGAGGCTATTTTAAAGGGATATTAACGAATATTCCTCCATCTTATGTTAATAGAGACCATAACTATGAAGTTTTTGTAAAAATGCCACCAACAAATAGCACTCCATGATGTCAGGTACTTGAAGTGCAAAAAAAAAAAAAAAAAAAATCTAACTTGGTTTTCGCCCTCAAAGAGCCTAGAATTGAATTGGGGCGGGGGAGAGGGGGTGGGCGGGAAGCTATGCTTATCAAAAAGTAATTAAGAATCAAGATAGTAAAATGCAAGATATGTGGAATACACAATGAGCTGTAGGATTTTTGAAGAGAGAGAAATCATTCCAAGTGAGGTAGGATTGTTGGAAGGAGGTATAGGATTTAGATAAGAGGGAGGAGAAAGACAGACTTGTCAAATAATGGCAGCCTGAGAGTCAAGGGTTGGAGTTAGGGATGTGTGCATCATCTCTGAGGGACAAAGAGCTCAGTTTGGCTGGAACAAAAGGAAGAATAGGAACATAGTGAGAGAAAAGATAGGGGCCAGATTGTGTAAACTTCTGATACTAGAAGACACAATTTGGCCTTTATTTATTATATAATAATTCATTTTTAATTGCATAGTTTAAAACTCAGGATTTTTCAGACATCCCTTCTAAGCCTTACCTCTTCCTTGACTTGATGGAACTGGACCACCTTGTACAGGATATCCTCGTAATCCTGGATTCTCTCTTTCTGTTTTTGATGGAAGTGAATAAGGTCCTTCAGTTGTTGAGACTTTTCTTTTACAGGGGCTCCTCTGCCAGTTAACTCCTCTGATTCTTTCATAATGTACTGAACCTCATCATTCAATTGCTAAAACATTGAAAGCAATAAAAAAATCTTGCTATTAAAGAACTTTTTTACTTTACAACTGACAATATAAAGGTCTAAACAATGAATCACTCTTTCATTTGTTAACAAATACTTATTATGAATGCCCCCACCCTCCAAAATATTTGGGCATTGTGCTGGATGATAGAGATATGTTTTTCTATACTCACCTGAGAAATTTACAAAAAAAAATAGCATGAGCAATGCAACAAAGGTTTCAAAGCTAGGTGGAAAAACAAAGTCATACATTTCTATGGCATACCAAATATTCTATTCATCTGTTAAGTAAATGTATTTTAGATATTTTATGCAGCCCCATGATTATCTCTGATATTTAATACAGACTAGAATCAGGTGGTATGGTAAAAACACCATGAGAAGATGGGTGTAAAAATATATCAGGGGAATAACTTGTGCTCTGTGATAAAAGAATGATCAGAATGAACCACCAGCTGAACAGCATAGTAGATAGACTGCTTCAAAAGCGGTCATCCCATGATCCACAAATAGCCATCACATGTAGGGAGGGATAAACTGCCTTGCCTTTCACCCAGCATTGCTCAGATAATCCAGATTCTGGAATAGAATTTGCAAAAGGGGCATACTTTAAAGAGAATGCTACTATAGGCTGGGCATGGTGGCTCACGCCTGTAATCCCAGCACTTTGGGAGGCCAAGGAGGGTGGACCACCTGAAGGCAGGAGTTCAAGACCAGCCTGGCCAACATGGCAGAACCCTGTCTCTACCAAAAATACAAAAATTAGCTGGGCGTGGTGGCACACACCTGTAATCCCAGCTACCCCAGAGGCTGAGACACGAGAATCACTTGAACCTGGGAGGCGGAGGCTGCAGCAAGATAAAATTGTGCTACTGCACTCCAGCCTGGGCAACAGAGTAAGACTCTGTCTCAAAAAAAAAAAAAAAAAAAAAAAGACAGTGAGAGAAAGATAGAGAATGCTACTATAATTTCAAGTGTAGATCTTTTGTATGAAAGGTAAAAGTAATGGAAATGATTTAGACTAAGGAGATAATTTTCAGAAGAGTGACCTAAAAAGGGTCTTCAAGTTCAAGCATTTGGGCATTAAATATATGTGCATC
Source organism: Homo sapiens (assembly GCF_000001405.40). Lineage (NCBI taxonomy): Eukaryota > Metazoa > Chordata > Mammalia > Primates > Hominidae > Homo > Homo sapiens. The sequence goes on from NC_000002.12 coordinate 178,870,421, forward strand.
ACAGTGACAGGGCTAAAGAGGTGTGACAATGGTCCTGATTTAGAGGAACTTACACGTACATGCAAACGTGCACACAAACAAAATGCATATAAGCAGATAACGCAGGGTGTATTAAAGAGCCTAATATAGGCCAGTCACATTTGCTGAGAGTTTTATAAGAGTTTGCTGTGGATTACAATGGTGGGTGTGTTTCTGTGTAGCAGGTGCGGTGGTTATACTTACATCGGTTTTTGTCTTAAAGGAACCTACAATTAGATATTCCCTAAAGGAATCTTCAATATTCTGATTCTGGGATTCTTTGAAGCCCACATTTATGAAGCAGTGACAGCTAGAAACACAGGTATCTAAATTTTGCAGCAAAGCATAAGAATCCAGGCAGAAGTATAATGTGACTAGCAGGTGGCAATTTTTGGCGGTTGTGTCACATTTTGGAGAGGCAGGAGGTGGGGAAATAGGGACTGTGTTAAGCAGTCAGGGTCAGGAACATGACTCATGGTTTTATTGCTCATATCCTGAAAGGTGGAGTGGAGGGCACAGCAAAATTCCTGGGGTGATGGTACGTGCCTGGGGTGCTGGTGGGTGAGGACAGTGACATAACAGTGGTCACCTCAGGGACCCAGGGCAGCAGAGCCTCTGGGTCCGAGGTTGCCCATCCTTGTTCTGAGATGTCTCAATTTAAAACACCTCTGCACTCCCAAGGAAAAGAATTAGAGTGAAAATATAGGATAAATATATTACTAGTTTAATTAGCCATGTGAATTTTAAAAATCTAATATAAAAATCTATTTAGGACATTGTATAGCCCTAATGCTGGTATATCATCAAATTCAAAAGAATGCAGGAAAAAAGTAAGAAAAATGTCTCTACAGTGGATTTTTAGACAAGCAATACTTTTGTTTAAAAAAATAGAAATTCACCAGCCTGTTACAATTAATCAGGTAAACTGCAACCAAACAGTTTTAAGTATTTTTTCCATTCACCCAAATCCAGCAATATATTTCTTCACCTGGAACTGAGGCTTCATGTCATTCCATTTTTGTCGTAGATCTAAAATGAACTGGAGGCTCCCTCCGAGGTCAAGTGCAGACACAGGCATAAGTGCTTCCTGAAGAAGTTTTAAGTTGTGAGAAGTCTGAAATAAATATTGGACAGTTACACATGCATTTTCTTTGACATCTCCAGCAAATTTGATCATTCTAGGTATGACGCAGAGTGTGATCAAATTTTTCAAACCCCATGAAAACACTCAGGATGTGGCATGAGCTCAGGGTTCTAAACCACCAAGAAGTAAGGCCCTTGGTTTCTGCTGCCTTTTTTGGTTTTATTGTGGTAAAATACACATAACAAAAGTTACCATGTTTACCATTTTGGGGTGTACAGTTCAGAGGCATGATATTTAATACATTCACATCAATGTGCAATCAACATCACCACCAACCACCTCCAGAACTTGTTTATCATCCCAAACAGAAACTCTGTACCCATTTAACAGCTCCCCATTCCCTCCCTCTCTCTCCCAGTCCCTGGTAACCTACATTCTGCTTTCTGCCTCCATGAGTTTGACTACAGGGACCTCATTTATAAGTGGAATCACACGATATTTATCCTTTTGTGTTTGGCTTATTTCACTTAGCTAGTGTTTTCAAGGTTCGCTCATGTTAGCCTGTGTCGGAATTTCATTCCTTTTCACATCCCATTGTTCCTTGCCTCACCTTTTTAAGTTGCTCTTTGAATGCCGCCCACTGCTGTTTTCCAGGCTTGCTTTCCGTGGCTTTAAGCTGCCATGCCAGCCGAAGGAGGCTAAGTTCTTCCCGTTCTGCTTTCTGGTTTTCCATGGTGTTCTTCATGAGGTACACTTCATTTTTCACATCTAATATCTCGTTCTCTTTTGCCTGTTAAATTAATAATTCATATAATAGCTTTTCTTTCCCAAGAGATACAGCTTTTTGTTGTATATAACTATTTTACGAGGCAAATTCTTTATCACAACCAAAGCCGAAGATGGTTCTGACATCCAAGCAAGTCCGAAATCCCTGCGCAGAGGCACAGTTCAGCTCTCGGAACCACATGCTGTGCTTAGACATCCGGTCCCGAGTTCTTCAAGACCCAAGGGGTGTTTGAATTCCTACCTAGGGTCTGGTTATTTCCTGGGGTTTGAAAGATTATTTAATGAGCAGGGGATCCATAATTTTTGAAGTGAAGATTTAAAAAATGCGTATACCTATACGCATTTTAAGTATACTCCATCTTTTATTTTAACATGCTCATTGGAATACGTCAAAATATCAGTATCAAGGCATAGGAGGGGACGGATTGTTCTGGACTGTTTTGTTTTTTCTTTAAACTATTCCATTGTATACATTGCAATTATTTTAAATGTCCTTTGCTGTTTCTCGAGTTCCTCCATTTTGTGAGAACTGAAATGAGTCTGTATCTCTGTATTCAGAACTACATCATACACCGGAAGCACAGTATCTAAAATCAAAGATTTCACTTCCCAACTTTCAGATGTTCTGCTTGACTGGTTTGAAATCTTTTAAACAATGGTTTGAAACAAGGGGAAATTCAATTAGAGGTAAAATGATAATAAGAGCAAAGAGTAAGACTATGCGTGCTTTATTTCTGTAGAAACATTTAAAAAATGCACAGGAACATTCATTTGGCGAAACAATTCTTATGTTTTTTACTTTAATAGCCAGGCTTTCTCAATAAATCTTCAAATTTCTATCATCTCAATGACAGCAATTGACAGTATCATAAATACTTAACAGGATATTTTAAAGATAGGCCATTTTATTTTAAAATTATTTTAAATGATATTGATGTTGCACACTTATATTTTTATGTTATTTTACACATTATAAAGTGGCAACTCCAAAAAAATATATATCTGTAGGTCCTAAATGAGATTTCCCCCATGAACTTAAGAATCTAGTAATAAAACGTTATATTCCCTCATTATTAATAATGATACATAATAAATTATGAAAGATATTAGACAACTACAGCAGAATTCACCCCAAATTATACTTTTATCATAAATAAAATTATCTTTCACATATTTTAAAGAAATGATTAACCAGAATGTAATGTATTATATAATTTAATATAAATTTTGAAACTGCAGCATGCCAATGACAACTTTAATCAGAAGGATATGGTGGTCTGAGTGAGGTCTAGAGAAAGGAGAGCTAAAGTAGGATTTGTAGATGTCTAGCTAGTAGGATCTGTGAAAAGTGATCATGTATTTGGCAGACGAATATTTTGGCCACTCAAGAAGATTGAATAATTTGCCTGAGGTCTAATTAGTAAACACAGTACTCATTTTACTTCTGTGTAGGACATGGAAAATGTTTGTCATAATCCAGTCTAAACAGGCCACTAAAGCATTCATTTTTCGTTTATATTCATGCACCATGAATGGTTTTCTGATGTCTTGCTTTTCAGATACCTTGATAATAGGAAGGCTGTATCCCAGATAGCATTCTTGGTATTGGCCATTATAAATTAATAAATTAGCACTTTCATCAAGATGTCTGCCATAATTTGGGCCTGAATCAGTTTCTCTGATCTTAATGATTTTTAGATGAACTGAAATTTTTTCTATTTCTGGCTTGAAAATATGAGCCACGACAACCCAATAAAGAACAGAACACTCAACTGAATATACCAGCTGGCCTCTGCCTTCTTAGCAAGCAAACTAGTCACCATGATTCAACAATAATGTTTGTTTAAAAGCCTAGTGGTCCAAAAGATATAAGAATAAAAAAAATCGTTTTACTTACTTTACCAACAATTTCATCTCTCCAAATGTTGCTAACCAATAAATTTCCTTAGTACGTGGGCTTTAATTTTATCAATAAGGAGGAACTTATTTATCATATGATAGTGGTAAAGACCTTAGGGTAGAGTGACCGTGTTTATGACATCAAGATAAAAGAACACCAAAGCACAGTAGTAAAATATATGCTATTTCTGGGAGATCTAAGTGGGCATTGAATATTATGATAACCTAAGTTTATTTAGATATAGATACAAAATATAATTTGGAATAAGTTATTGTTGCAGATCTTTAAAAACAAAAATCTGACTGTACAATCTTAAACATTCTAAATAAGTAACAAAGGACTTCTGAGTAGAATGGGGTAGCCAGTGGCAGAGCAGTGCTTTTGCTTAGAATACCTAGAAAAGCTGGGTAAAATGCAGAAGGAATCCATTTGAAGGAAGCAGAGAACTGGTCGGACAACCGGAACTAGAGAGGCTGACTCCAGAGAGGGAAGAACCTGACAGGGGTGAGCTCACCTATCATCCCAGGGGGATTTCCCAATTCTGTGCAGACAGGAAGCTGATAATCGAGACTTCCCTGGAGCCGAGAAAACACCAGAGATTTTGGCAGACACTTGGAGGGCTTCAAGCACAATGATCTTCTAAAGACGTTGACAAAATACCAGGGGTATATCGGGCAGTGGATTAAAAAACCTAAGCAAAAGGCCTCTGAAAAGCAGAGTGGAGTTTTTCAGCAGACTACCCAAACAAAGATTGGAGTTTGTGACCTGCCAGGGGCAGAGACGTCAGAGAAAGCACTTGGCTCTCAATACAAAACTCTGGGAGCCTGAGGGGACAGGACTACACTGCAAACACAACTCTGCCAGCTTCTGATTGGCTTGAGTGATTGCCCACCAATGCCTGCCTGGAGAAAGAAGGGTGACCCTTTCTAGAAGAAGAAAACACCATCTGCTGATCCTCCAATTTTTTATACATAATGTCTGGCATTTGATAAATATTCGCTAGTTCTGCCAAGAAACAGGACTACAGGACTGGAAACCAAGAGAAAAATTAGACAACAGAAACAGCTCCAGATTGGCCGGGCGCTGTGGTTCATGCCTGTAATCCCAGCACTTTGGGAGGCAGAGGTGGGCAGATCACTTGAAGTCAGGAGTTTGAGACCAGCCTGGTCAACATGGTGAAACCTCGTCTCTACTAAAAATACAAGTATTAGCCGGGCATGGTGGCAGGCACCTGTAATTCCAGCTAATCGGGGGACTGAGGCATGAGAATTGCTTGAACCCAGGAGCTGGAGGTTAAAGGGAGCTGAGATCGCACCACTGCACTCCAGTCTGGGTGACAGAGCGAGACTCCATCTAAAAAAAAAAGAAAAGAAAGGAAAGAAAGAAAGAAAGAGCTCCAGGTACAAATGTTGTAGCTAGCTGATGAACACTTTAAGTGCCTAGGGTTAATATAGTTCAAGAAAGTATTGGAAAGATGGGAAAAGAGCAGACAAGAAACAGAATTTCATCAGTAATTTAATAAATAAAAGTACCGACTGTAGATTCCAGAACTAAAATTTCTGAAATGAAGTTAGTAATAAAAAGGTAGACAAAATTACGCAGTTTGAAAGTATTTGAATTCCCTTAGGTAAATCAGAAACATACATCATCAACAGATGGGAGAAGACTGATTGAACCACGTAGAAGTGTGAGAGAGAGACAGAGATAGATAGATAGATAATACATGTTCTAAATGTTCTAAACGAAAAATAACTTTTCTTTTTTTTTGCAGTAAAGCACCTAGATCACATAGGAACATGGGCAAATTGCTTAGCAAGTTTTCTTTAGTGCTTAAGAATCATGTTGAATAAATGAGAATCAGCTAATGCATATTTTATTTCCAAGTAGGTTTATCAAGAATGGTCTTCAAACAACAAAAGTTGAAACAAGATAAAGAGAAAATTGCAGCTCCAAGTAGATGAGGGTAGTTAGAACCTAACTCTTCCAAATGAATTCAGGCTCCAGACTGAGATTAATCACATCCCAGGTACAGAGAAAATTGCAGCTGTCAGTTATCTTTGAAAATCTACAGAAACTAGAAGAGCCATAAAATTAGAGAACAGAAAATGCCCTGATTTTCAAAAGGAGGAAAGGATGGACTACACAATTTACAGATTGGTAAGCTTCACACTGAAAATCAGTGCAATAAGTTCATTACTTATCAAGCACTTTGTGAGCATTTTGGAAAGAATGCCTTGATCGCTAGGAGCCAACCTGATTTATGTCAAATTGTCTATGTCATTGATAAGATACTAGGTAGGTAAACCTTCTTTTGAGCAGTTTATTTGAGAAAGTCTCCCATTATAGACTTAATACAAAGATTATGAAGTAGCGGCTGAATGAAGTACTATTGGGAGCATTCATGATTATTTTAAAAACTGGTTTAATCAATAGACTGCTTCATGAACTGGAATGCCAATCTGCCCTTTAGGCATTTATATTTAAGAACTAATTGCTGCCATAGAAAGCTTACTTGTCATATCTACAGAATTAAACCCAAGACAGATGGCTAATATACTAGGTAGGTTCAAATTAGTTTAGCAAGATGGGATCATGTGTGAAGACTAACAAAATAAAATTAAATAAGAAAAAATATAAAGGCCCACATTTGTATAAAAAAGGTAAATGGCTGACACAGGTATAATATGGGAGAGACATGGTTTGACAGAAGCTGCAATAAAAATATTATGAGAGTTTTGTTCTATCACAAGCTTAATATGTACCAGCAAAGTGAAACTACTGCTAAAAATGTTAGCATAATTGTAGGTCTCATTAGTGAATAATAATGTCCAGTTTACTGTACTCTGTGTTGCACCTGTAGTTCACTTTTTGGTTACATTTAATGAATGATCTTGACAAACCATAGAAAATCCTGAGAAGGGGGGATCAGCATAGAAAGAAAAATAAAGCTCCTTCATAAATGATGGAAAGGATTTTTAATGCTGCAGAAAAAACTCAGACATAGCAACTGTTTTTAATGTTGGAAGGACTTTCATGTGTAAGAGAAATTAAATATGAATACTTTTTGTCCCTGTGTAGCTACAGATGATTAGGAGTAGATACGGAAACAGATATATTTAACATTAAAAAAAGAAGGTTTCTAGCAGCTGGCATTCTCCAACAATCAAATGAGCAGTTTCATTAGGAAAATACTTGAGGTATTGAAAGAGAAGTGGACTATCTTTTAAGTATCCTACAGGGAATTTTATATGGGTTATGGGTGGATATAAGGATTCTAAAATATTTTACAGATATAATTCAAGACAGTTAAAGGTTAGGGTATTTTTCTAAATGCAATGGATCTTCACTACAAAGAGATCTGCTATGGTAAGAAACTCTTCAAAAGAAGATTCATCTTAGAAGTTGTCTTTAGCCCCTAGAAATTTTGAAAGGACCTTGTTGCATGCTTTCAAAATAACACAGAACTTTTGGGTGGACTTCTGAGGACTCTATTTAATAATAACAATGTTGCATTTGGATTACAGTCACTTTCTTCTTAATAGTTAAAACAGCCTTCCTGTTATAAACTAACCAAAGTTCTAGGCCAAGCAAGCATTTAAATGTTGGGCTTCAGGACTGGTCTAGGTTGAATGAAGCTAAAGAGAACTCCCTAGGAGAGAACTGCTGATTAATAGACAGCTGAACCTTTGAAATTATTATTTTGACTTTGATGAGTATCCCTGCAGAAGGTGTGATCCATTTAATGCCATTCTTACCATATTTATTAAATTAAGGAACTCAAGCCCTAGATCTTGTGTTATAAAACTCTTCTTTAAAAATAGCTGCCACTGCTTCTCAGCCGAGTCAGAACAATGCTTGGCTTTAGCATCATCCTGCTCCTTCTGAGGGATTTCGGTTTCATAAAATTCTTTTAAGCTCTGAAACTGCATCTCTACCTAAAAAAGAAAAAAGAGAGTTAAGAACACTTAAACACATTTTTTTAAAGAAAAAGAACAGTAGATTCCAATAAAAACCTATATAAAACCTAAAACTACATTTTCTGAATTTTTAATTTGTAAACATATTTATTTATTTATTTATTTATTTATTTATTTTATTTATTTTAAGAGATAAGGTCCTTTGCTCTGTCACACAGGCTGGAGTGCAGTGGCACCACCATAGCGCACTGCAGCCCCAAACTCTTGGGGTCAAGCAATCCTCTCTCCTCATCTTCCAAGTATTAATGGCTAAAAACTGCAGACTATAGGCACCCGGCACCAGGCCTGGCTAATTTTTTTTTTTTTTTTTTTTGGTAGAGACGAGGTCTTGCTATGTTGCCCAGGTTGGTCTCGGACTCCTGGGCTCAAGAGATCCTCCTGTCTTGGCCTGTCAAAGTGCTGGGATTACGGGCATGAGCTGCCAACCCCAGCCCATTTTCAGAATTATTTAAATAATTATTGAATATTTTCAACTTATTGAAAAGATTCAAAAAATCTATTTGGATTGTTGATTGTTTGGGTAGAACACTGAGCTGACAGGTTTAATAAGCATAAAAACTAATTATTGAAGCCAAAATCATATTTATAAATTCTGTGTTTGTATGTTTTTCAATTTGGGACAATTTATGTCAAAGACCTGTGTGGTTTCATTTAAAGCCAAGTTTTATAATTCAGAAGAAAGATGCATACATGGAATCAGACGATACAAATCAGTAAGAAATACAGGCCAGTGAAAGATTATTAGTAAATCACAATTTACTTCTAATCAGCAATAAACCAGAATAAAAAAGTATAAATAATTACTAATTTTCTGCCAAAGTATAATACTAAACTGCCTTCAAGAGCTAATCTCTTATTAAGGTAAATTACTATGCCTCCCTGGAATTATATTTTCTCATTTGCTAACCAATGTAAGCAATATTAGATCATTTTAAATCACTCCCCTTGATCAGAGTTTATGTAAAATCAAATGTGTCTGTAGACCTACAGATTAATATGTAATTGGATGACGTAGAAATAGTAGAAATTATTTGACACAAGTTTGTATGCATTTTCAATAATACTAATGGCTGACAGGACCAGACTTAAATAGCTTGTAACTCCCAAGAGCAATCTAAACAGGGTAAGAAATTTCAGGCAATGGTTAGTCACTATATTTTAAAGATTTTCACATTTTTCTTAATTTAACTGAACTTCATAGGAGAGCCTGCAAATAGCTCTCAGAAACAGAAGCTGTCTCCTCATTTCCATATTCCATTTATACATGCCTCTATGTTTTGCTGATGCTTGTTCCCTCAGCCCAGAATGATCTTTCCTCAATTTTCTTCTCTTATTTATCCTTCATGAGCAGTTAAAATGCTACTTCCTCCATGGAGCCTTCTAAGATGCCCTAGTAATAATTAACTATTTTGGGGGGTACTCAAAAATAGCTCTAGGAGAAAGAGAGCCATAATCAAATTATTACAACACAAAGACACATATACAGACAATATTATGGGCACACTGAGGAGAGACCACCAACTCTATATGGAGTAAATAGGGAAGAGCTTCCCAAAGGAAGTGACGTTTGATCTGTGTCTTGAGAAATTGTCCACAGTGAGAAGGCGTCAAAGGGGATCCCAGATGGGAGGGATAACTTGTGTAAAAGTGTGAAACACTAGCTGTGAAGACACTCGCTGATTCAGAGGACAATACATGATCTTAGTGTGAGTGAAGTACAGGTTGCACAAGCTGAATGGTAATAGACAGAGGGATATTCGTGCTGGGATAAAACTGGCCAGCAGGTTTCAACCTGTTTCCTGCTGTAACCAATATAACTGAGATACATTCTCATTAGGTTGAAACTACCGATAGATGAGTCGGAATCAGCATGGCAATCATCAGGGCTTCAATAAGATCATCCATTATAGGCTGGGTGTCAATATTATGGGCAGTCAGTTATGTGCAATTCTCAAAACATAAACTTTAATTCATCCTTCTTTTCCAACTGTTCAAAAAAGACTCCTTGAATGCAAATGAGAACCATATTATTATAGAAATTCCCTTAACTCTGTACTAGTTGATTTAGGTGAATTAATGATAAACTTTAAGACTTTATTCATTTGTGATAAAAGTTATTTGCAATTGCTTTATTACACTTGTCAAATTACCTGAATTTCAGGAGGTAATGTGATCAGATTTGCCTTAGAATGTCTTTTGTTTTGGCTGCAAAAAGAAGGGGAGTGTGAAGGGGGAAATATAGGAGGCAAATTGAGCAGGCAGAAGATGACGTCATTAAGCTGGATAAGAGATGATGACAGCCTGAACCGAGGAAGTGATGGTACAAGTGCCGAGAAAGGGGAGTTCAGAAATCTTTTAGGTTGGCTCAATAAACAGATATGGGAGAGCATGGCCTTTGAAATAGAAAAAACAAAAGGGAAAGAATTGGGGATTAAACTTCAGCTTTGATGTTTGCTAGTGCTTGATCCTGCACACCTCACCCCTCAGATCCTCAGTTTCCCACATTTACAAAATGGGGATCATAGTAACTAAAACATAGGGTGTTATAAGAATTAAATAAAATCAGGAATGAAAAGCACAGTACCTAGTACAAAGTAAATGCTCACTGAGAAAGTGATTAAAAGAGACATAGAAGCTTCTACATAGGATTCCTGAAAGGATGGTGGAGTCATTAACCCAATGCCAAAATACAGAAGGAAAAGCATATTTGAGGAAAAGACACCAGCTGTGTTTTGCTGAGTTGGAGGAGTCTACAGGATACATAGCTAACGGAAAGCATTGGTTTGGAGCTCATGACAGTTGGGGCTGAGGAACCACTTTTGAGTTATTGGTGAAGAAACCATAGGTAGGAATGTGGTTTTTGTAGAAAAAGTGGGTACAATGTGCAAAAGAGAGGGCACAGGCAAGAATTCTATGACCCACCACGCTTTAAGAACAAAAAAGGAAAGTGAATTAGGAGAAAGGAGAAGGAACAGACAAAGAAGTAGACAGGATTATTCCACTTATGTGAAATATCCAGAAAAGGCAAACCTAGAGGCACAGAAAGTAGTCAGTACTTGCCTGAGGCTGGGGGTGGGAGCCAGGACTGACTAAAAATGTATGCCAGTGCTCTTCTGGGGATGATGGACATATACTAAAACTGGAGTGCTATGGTGGTTGCATGATTCTATAAATATAGGAAAAATCATTGCATTATGAAATATGTGAGTTTTATGCTATGTAAATTTTACCTTAGTAAATCTGTTCTTTCAAAAAAGAAACCCAAAGGAGGTGAGAGTGGGTAACTGGGTCAAATAAATACGGCAGAAAGATTAAGAGGATGAAGACTGAAAATATGCCACTTAATTTGTCAACCAGTAGGTAGCTTAAAAGAACGTTTTTAATGGAGTGAAGAGGTCGCAAGTGGAAGGGTTGAAACAGGAATAAAGCGAATTGCAGTGGGACAAGGACAGGATGAGCAAGTAGAGGTGAGGAATATCTTCTTCCCATTTCAAGAGTCCAAATTTGAGCCTGGGCATCATGAAGAAACCCCATTTTTACAAAAAAAAATACAAAAAAATTAGCTGGGCTTGGTGGCACGTACCTGTAGTCCCAGCTACCTGGGAGGCCGAGGTGGGAGGATCACCTGAGCCTGGGGAAGTCGAGGCTGCAGTGAGCTGTGATCATGCCACTGCACTCCAGCCTGGGTGACAGAGTGAGACCCTGTCTCTCTCTCTCTCTCTCTCTCTCTCACACACACACACACACACACACACACACACACACACACACACACACCAGTCTACATTTGAAGGGAAATAAAATGATGGAGTGGTAGCCTTGGTGAGGGCAAGACTGTAAGGACATCACTGTAGAACAAAGGAAAAGAAGCAATGGAAAAGAAACCTGTTAAAAATTAGAGGATGGCCAGGTGTGGGAACTCACACCTGTAATCCTAGCACTTTGAAAGGCCAAGGTGGGTGGATCACCTGAGGTTGGGAGTTCAAGACCAGTCTGACCAACATGGAGAAACCCCTCTCTACTAAAAATACAAAAATTAGCCGGGTATGGTGGTGCGTGCTTGTAATCCCAGCTACTCCTGGCTGAGGCAGGAGAATCACTTGAACCTGGAAGGTAGAGGTTGCAGTGAGCCAAAATCGCGCCATTGCACTCCAGCGTGGGCAACAAGAGCGAAACTCTGTCTGAAATAATAGTAATAATAAATAAAATTTTAAAAAATAAAAATTAGAAGATGATTGCTGGAGCTAGATGCTGAAGGACGTAGGAATATTCAGGAAAGAACTAATCACAGATTTGTGCTGAACAGGAGCAAAGACTTTAGTTTATTGGAACCCATGGAGGACAGGTGAATATGTCAACAAGTTTGGAAGTCAAGGCCATTATTCTCAATGGCTTCATTTTTTTTTTCAGGGACGTATGAGTTAAGAACATTGGATGAGATTTAGGGATAGAAACTAAGGTGAGATGCTTGAGAATTGCTACCAAATGGGAGCCAACTAGGGAGCATATGGGAGACCTAGCTGAAGCAGAGGCCCGTGCATTTGTAACGGGGCCAATCAGCACAATTGTATGATTTTCCACTGGAGCGTCTGGAAGCTTGGAAGGAAAGGCTGAGTAAACAGAGTATTGGATTGATCTCGTATTGGGAGTTGGCAGGGTTAGTCAGGGTGGAGGGCAGGGAGTTGAGGGGATGGAGGATGGAAAGGAAATGAGTAACCATTAGCTGGTGAGGAAGAAAGGAAAGCCAGAGGAGGAGTGAAGTAATGTACGGGGAGCATTGCCAGGATTGGAAGGATGGAAGACTCTGCCAGGTAGGAAAACAGATTTAGCAGAAAATAGAAAGCAGGAAGCTAAAATGTTTTGATTAAATTGTTGTTTGCAAAGCTAAGCCTCCTGGTCCAAAGGCCAGAGTGGATCAAAGTTGATGCTTAAATGAAAGCTAAGGAGGTTCATTTTCGGCAATGAAGATGCAGAAAGCAAGCACTTCTTTGTAGCTTCTCTACCATTTCATGTCCTGCATTATAATATTCATCAACAAGATAATTCTGTCAGTTGGGAATAGTTTGGAACTTGCCAAACCACAAGAGTTTAGGGTCAAGAACTAAAAAGAACACAAAGGATAAATGCTTGAGGGGATGAATACACCATTCTCCATGATGTGATTATTACACATTGCATGCCTGCATCAAATCATCTCATAAATATATATACCTATGTATCCACAAAAATCAAAAATTAAGAAAAAAGAAAATAAAGAGAAAAAGCTAAAAAGAAGTCAGAAAGGACAAACCGGTTGAGTAAAAATGTAGAAAAGGATGCAGTGGTGAATTGAGAATATTATAAAGGAATTGGATAGAGGAGAGATGTGCCTGCAGGACAGTGGTGGTGAGAGGTAAGAAGGAAGGTGTTGAGAAGGTAAAGGTGAGAAGATGGAAAAAATCAAGCACATACTTATCTTGGGTTGGCTCTACCCCTGAGTGAACCCTACTGGCTCTGCCTCCCACTAAACCAGCACCCATCTGCCTGAAGAGGAGTGTGATCTACATTTGCATGGGGATTACTAGGATTGGGGTTAAATAAACTGGGAAAATAAAATAGGGCTTTTCTATTACTGATGACAGCTTCAAGAAGCAATGACCTTTGAGATGGAATCCAGTGTACTAGAGGGAATATTAGAGGTCATCTAGTATAACCAGACAAAATAAGGCCTCAGAAGAAGCTCTGAGGGGTAACATATGAAGACACATCACACAAGGCAGATTCGAGACTGAACCCAGAGGCCTGTAATTTCCAATTCTGTGTATTTCAAATGAACCACACTAACTGCTAAGGTATTCAAAAAGATCCATGGTTTAGAAGATGACTGTTTTGAAATAATTTTGTTGTATGTTTAGGATATTGTAAATATTTGTAGGACGTAGTAAAAATTATTCCAATATAACCAGTTTGTTTATTTGTGCATATACCACAGTATCCACATGCACAAATTTGTATGATTTTTAATACAACAACTTATTTTTTGAGCCTTTGTATGGTGCCTTGAATAATGTGAAGAAAAAAAAAAAAAAAACCAGAATCTCGGGACCCCAAACTCACTATGACCAAGGGAAAGTTAAGCTTGGGAACTGGATCACACACAGAAAAACTGCTTTGCTTTTGTTTCCAAACAGATAACTGTAATTTTACAGCTTTATGTCATAGCCTCTACTCCCTATTTTCACATGTTTACTTTATCTTATGTAAAATATAGATTTACTAGGTGTGCAACAATGCATAATTTACTTTTTCCCCATGTAAAAATGTAGGTTTTCACATGTAAAATGTAGATTTGCTGAGGCTAATCAGAGCCTCACAAGAATGTAACCAGCTGCCTCACTGCCTATCCTCCCTCCTTTTTGTTTTCCTTGTGCTTGCCCTTTCTCCTTTAAATACTGAAGTTCCCCAACCCCCCTTTGGAAAACGCACAGGTCACAGGTGCTCCTGGGATTTTAATTTTTTCCCAGGCATATCTCGACCTTGGCTAAATAAACCTTTATAGATTGAGAACTGCTGCAATCACTCTTTGGTTTACAAGAATACAGGGCCTATAAGTGAGCCCACGCACAGGGGTAGAGGATATGGACCTACCCACCAAGGCAGAGCATATATCCCCACAGAAAGCAAGGACATGGGCAGTGGCCACCTTGCTGAAGAAGGTTAACACATAGTACCATACCTCCTCTGATGACTTCAGAAATGCCACGTAAGTTTGCAGGACTTGCGATCTATAGTCAATGCTTTGGCCAAATAGGTTTAATTCTTCTGCTAGCCATCTAGCTTTAGAGGAAAGTGATACCATTTCATCAGATACAAATTCATTTTTCTCCATCATGGTTTTTGCAGCTGCTTCTAATTCATGTGATGTCTCCTGTAAAAGCAAAGCACTGGAGGTCAGAAACTGACAGGGGAATCATGAACATTCACGTTTCATTATCTTCTGCATATCCACCAATTATGATCACTAATTGAACTTATACCAAGAATCTCCTCAATAAAGAAAGACACAACTTCCAAAATTCTAAAAAAAAAAAAAAGGGCACTTTAGAATGAAAATCATTTCAAATTCTTCTTGGTTCTATCAGCTATACTTATTTTGAGCACTCTATTTTCTGTGTCACAAATAAAAGAAAGGTTGTTTGGTATGAAAGGTTAGAAATGTTTTAAATAATTTAAATGAAATAATTATACATGAGATAGCTATTTGAAATTTAACAATACCTCCAGCAAATTCCTAAACTAATTTTATTATATGAGATGGCAAATTTATAAAACTTATTTATTAGTTTTTAATTTACAAAAAGATGACCTATCAATAGTGCAGTCTTATTTAAATCTCTATCTAGAAGGGCCAGTGGGGAAAATATTACATATCAGGCCTAAATAACCTAAAAAATCAGTGACTTTGACTTGCTCAGGGATGTTCTCCTATGTTTTCTTCTGAGTGTAATTTCTGTTATGTGAACTCCAACCACTGATTAAATGGATGAATAGAAATTGTGGGCATGACGATTATGCATGTCATAGAAAGAGCCATGTAAAATTTCATTGAGACCAACCTAAAAACCAAGCAAAATGAAAGAAAAAGCTCTGCAGCAATGAGAGATTGCTTCCCTACTTGTGATTAATATGCTTCCCAAGTACTACATTGAATGAAGGTAACTTTAATTTAGAGGCCCTGCTTCATGATAGCACTCTGGGAAGGAAGGAAGCGGGGAATTTCTTCCCTTGTAATCTCCTCCCCAGTTCTAAAATGTTTACAATTAAAAAATGAAATGGAGTTCAGACATAAGTTCTAAGTATTCTAAATAATAAATAAAAAATACCCAATTTAACAAAAAAATGGGTGTGTTTGTGAG
Organism: Homo sapiens; assembly: GCF_000001405.40. Taxonomy (NCBI): domain Eukaryota; kingdom Metazoa; phylum Chordata; class Mammalia; order Primates; family Hominidae; genus Homo; species Homo sapiens. Next base: position 178,886,081 of record NC_000002.12, read on the forward strand.
TTTCCGGTGGGGACATAGTCCATGAAGGAGGCTCTTCTGCTGAGAACTGGAGTCACAGGCCTCTTCCTGCTGACCTGGGAGAACCAGGGGAGGGCACTTGACTCATGTTCCTTAAACTTTGCTGGAGCAGACAGAAACTTCAGGGCAGGTTTGGAGCCAAGTGCCAAGTGAAAGGGGTAGGAGGGAGCTGGAGAAGGTGCTGTGGTGGGGGTGGGGCACTTTCTGTCTCTGAATGTTAGGTAAGCAAACAAGGTTGTTTTTATTTATATCCTTGGAATCTTGCAATAACGCACGTTGCTTCTGGTCATTTTTTGGTAACTTGCTCTTGCAAAAAAAATTGCCAATAGTCAGAGAAGCACTGTCCCTGCCTCCTCTGCCACCCCCAAAATGAGGCTTTTTTTGAGAAACTGCCCAGGCAAGAAAAGGGAACCAAATGAGTGTTTAATACCCAGCCGTAATGCTGACTTTCAGTGAACACAACTGCCCTAATAAATGCACATATAAATATAATTTAGACACATAAGAATATGAGTTTTTAAGTCATTATGTGCTACATATGAATTTAGAATTGTAAACCTCAAGTGAGCTAGGATTAAGTTTATAGCTATCAAATATTTTTAAAATTATCTTTACAAAATTATAGCCATAATAATCATTCTCATTTTATTTACCTTAGCTTGGATATCTAGTTCCAGATATTTATTCAAAATCTTCTCTGATTCAGAACGGGTAGAACCAACATCCATTGCATTAGAAAGTACTGGACTGATTTTCTGAATTGACATTTCCACCTTTAGGAGTGAATAATATATGGCAGTCTTAGTAATATATTTTTGCATATATGTACGCACATGTGTCAGGAAGATAAATATTATTTTATAGATTCTCATTATACTTGAAATGTATTTTATCAGTATTAATCTAATATAGTTTTAAATATTCAGAATTTCATGTTTTAATAACGCTGCTCTTCATAGGAGGTAATACTTGTGGTCTACCAACAAATGTTTTATGTTGAAAGATATTTCTTTTATTAACAGCTATTAGATATAAGCAATCATCCACATCCTCTAAGAACTTATCTATATTACCTATGAAGGATAATGCACTTGCTAACACATCAACAGAGATGAATTTATCTGTGAGTTGAATAGGACCCAATTTACAGGCACGTTTTAAAGGCAAGATCCAGAGCATGAGCATTGCAGTATTTTGGGAAGAGGGACTCTGGGGGAGCACCAAACCCTGGACGTGTTATAGTAAAACACAGGGACATACTTAGGACATTTAATTGATGAGCTTGGAGGACTATGATTTGATCCTCAGTGGACATGAGTCATTGACTAAAATGACCCTTGAAGGGTTCTGTTCCATTCAAGTTACATGCTTTGTCCCCTCGCTCTAACTCTAGTCCATACTCCCCAGACTCAAATTGGCTCCAAATTGGCAATAGGACAAGCAGCAACAGCTGAGGTCCTACTGTTCCACTGCCACCAAATTAGCTTGGGTCTCAAGCTCCAGGCAATGCAGCACCACAGCTGCCACCATATTTGGAAACTCCCTAAACCCAGGCACCAGAACAAGGATAAAATCCCCAAGTTTCTGGATTAATAACAGGTGAGGAAGCAATTTAAATACAGACATTGATATTTAATGCCTTCTCCAGTGAAGTCTACTAATTCTATTCATGTAAGTTCAGGCATATAAGTCCACCGTATCAAACGAAAACATCATTGAAAATTTGAGACCAAGCCTCTGCAGCAAGATTCATTAGCATCAATGCCACTGAGATATTACTAGTTTTTACTAAAGATAAATAATTTTTTTATTTAGTCAAATTGTAGCTCCTTAGTCTTATTCCCCTTTGGAAACAGGAAGTAAAATTCTTCCATACCAAGCCATCATGTTCACTCTGCAGAGAGGATTTTCACATGTATGTTTATATGCAGAATGACTGTGTTGCCTTGCACTGGTCTAGTTCAATAAAATATAATAATGGCAATTTATTCCTTGAAAAACCTAAAACTCATAATATTTGGGATCTGTCTATGTATCAATCTATCTACCTGTCTACAGTCCTGGTGTTGTATGGTACCATGGTAACAGAAACTTGTGCATATTTGAACCATGCTCAGAACCATGCAAATGAAAGATCCACTCTATTCCCATCTGTACTTGGTTCAGTTAACACAGTACTGTGCAAAGCGGGAACTGCCTTTGTGTGTATACCTTCAGGCCAGAGGCGCAGACAGGCCACCTGGGTCAGGGATGGTTGATGAACAACAGTGAATTACAACTCTGTTTAGTTCAATTAAAGGACCCAATGTGGTACATAAGGGCAGCCTAAGGAGACATGCCCCTGTCCTCCCGCCATGCCCACATACTGCCCTACCATATCATCTATTATCACCAACTTAGATATTTAAGTTTTAGTTTACGAAACTACCTTCCGTAGGTAACCCTCCACTGAGGCTGTTAGTTGTTGTTTCTTAAGAGCATATTCCTTGTGCGCTGAACACTGTTCGGTCAGATGATCCACTCGTCTCTTAATGCACCCCATCATCTCATGGATGCCGGACACCTGAGAGCTGAACAGAGCAAGCCAGCTGTTAATTCACTCCACCCCAATATAGAACACAGAATATTTGAAAACAGATCTGCTCTCATGTTAGGTAGGCGTTGGTAAAAGGCATCAGCTTTAGGATAACAGAAGTTAAGTAGCTATCATCTCGGCATAGCAGGAAGCAAAAATTATATTCTTTTGTTTTGTCTGTCAGTCCTGAGGGAAAAGATGAGTTATGGGTTTTTGCAACAAGGTCTAATCTTCTTTTCTAAAGGCTTACTTTTTAATATTTCTGTAGGATATTTTGAAAACCTTATGGCAAAGCCACAGTATGTTTACCACGACTTTTCCTTAGGATGTTATTTAAAAACTTCATTTATCTAAAGATGCTCTTTGAATAGAAATGTGGATCAGCCAATTAACAAAGCATTTACTAATCTAATAGGGTAAAATATTTACATAACACTAAGGTCCTTGTTCTCAATGATTATGAATGCTCAAGGCTGTATTCATTACATGAAAACCAAGTTATCACCAACAATTAGAAATCAAATATACTTGTTGATAAAAAAAAAAAGAAGCCATGCCTCACATTATCATTTTTTCGCCTGTGTTGGCCTCATGAGACAAAGAAAAGTGACGTGAGAGCTCCTACAATGAAAATGCCTCTAAAACAATGCATGAACTTTGAGATGGACCCTAGCTCTAGTCCAAAGATATCTTAACAAGTTTCCTCATATTGTTGATGGAATGAACACTTAAATTTTCCAACCTATCCTTAAGACTATTTAAGAAGTTGATGTCTTTCATTTCCCCTCAGTCATTTCCTTCACATACTGTATTAATAAAGATGAACATGATAACCCTTAAATTTAATTACCCAGAGTTTAAAAAGAGCTCAGAACAAGGTACAGGTTTCAGTCATTTTACCTCAAAATAATTAATTTATGACTCTGTAAAAATGAATTTAATTAGTAATGAAATGAGGGCAAGATCCTAAATGACCGAGAGGTAAAGTAACCTCACTGGAGTGATGACGATGCCACTATAGAGCTGGAAAACACTGAGGTGTGTCCTGTGGACCACAGAAGTCCCAGGTAAGTTTAATTGGAGGAAAATATGAAACCACTATGAGTAATCTTATTCCTGGCACATAATGTTTCACAGATGTTACATTTTAAACATTTAATTTTGCATTTTAATACGTAGAGACAGTGAAGAATATAATCAAGACATCAGGAGATTCTTCACATTTATCATTAAGAAATAGTTCTTAACAACACTAAATTCCATAATTCTACAAAAGCAGTGTATTGGTAATATGAATTGTATTTTGACTAGGCTTTAGACTTTGAAATATTATATGCTCAAAAGGCATTTAAAAGCCCAGCTTTCCTATATACTGTAGGCTCCAAGTTTTCTGCAGAATATGGAAACCTGGAATGAGAAAAATAAATTGAATAAAGGGCATTGTGGAAAGAAGGTACAGAGAACAAAGGTTGTGAAAGGAAATGGGCAAACACGTAGAGAAGAAACATAGCTGAAAATGGCAGAAAATGCCATTATTGAATAAAAGGAATTTGGAAATGATTAATACAATTCAGAAAGAAAAGCCAAGATAAAAGGTGCCCACTCCCACCTCTGAGTTGCCCTGTGTGGTCTCACCCCAAATGCCCTCAGTGTCTATTCCAGTTAGGGGCTATTTTACCAACTAAACTTAGAATACAGGCCTCCCTGACCCCAAGAAGCTGTAGCTTGGAGGGGAGTCCAAATTTTGAAAGTTTCCCTAGGGGAAACTAGATCTCAGTAACCAGCTCCAGCCAAGCCTCTTGATTCCTGTTCACATTACTCTTTTTTATTCCCTGGCCTTCTCCAAAGAATAAGACTGTTAGCCAGCTTCTTGCAGTTATCTATAAGTCCTAGCCATGATGTCTCAGGTACCAGAAGTACCAGAACTCAGACCCACTCTCTGACTCTGACCTGAACTTGCTCTAGCATCCCCTCCTGCTCCCAAATTTCCCACTTGAATCCCTACTTTGTCTTAATTATGTTGCTCTAATTCAACACTGACACTGAGCCCAGCCTCCTCTTTGGCCATTTGAATACAAAATGAACTCTCTTTCTAAAATGGCATCACTCAATTGTACAGTGTCATGGGAAATATAGATTATAGATGCACACTTCTTATAAATTTGCATATAGTCATAATAGCTACTATTTAATACATTCTCGCAACAGACATGCCACTTTGTTAAGTGCATTAGATGCATTATTTGATAGAATCCTTAAAATAACTTTGTGAAGTGTCAGAAAAGTAGCAATAACTTCAATTTTTAGCCAATGAAACTGAGCCTTCACAGGTGACATAACTTGCCCTAGAGACACACAGCTAATATAAGCAGCAAAGACTTGATTTAATTTCAAGTCTCTTTGCTACCTGAATAGACTTATATACTTAATAATTTTATTAAATTCATGATTAGTTATACATGTTACCTTCAGGAAATTTAAGGAAAAACAGATTACATTGGTTTAGTTTGTACCATAAAATTCCATAACGACAACTAATAAAAACAGTTATTGAGCTCTTACTGTGATAAGGCACCATTCTTAAAAAGTAGTCTGTTTTCTAATCTTCATAACAACCCTGTGAGCTGAGTAGGATTGTTATCCCCATTTCGCAGATAAGTAGACTGAGGAACAGAGACAGTCTCAGTAACTGGCCCAGTTCTGAAATGGCTGACATCTGATCTCAGAGGTCACACTCTGCCACCTCATAGTGCTTTTTCTGGGTCTATGACACATGATGTGGGGTAGGGAGTATTTTCTCCTCTAAAATTTCACTTTGCCTTGAGTTGAGTGTTCTCGGCTGTCATAGAAACAGGGATGGCCTGGCTGACAGGCTCCTTTGAAACTGGCTGGCTTTTCTAAGTAATGCAATGCCTGCTGTAGTTTTCAAAGTGGCCACTAGAGGGTCATGGTAGCTTGCTCAAATTACTACGTTTCTTGAAGGTCCCTCCAGCACAAAAAATAGGTAAACAAAACCAAACCAAGCATTCCTTCCATAAAACTGTTGCTTTTTAGCAACCTGCAATTTTAATTTAGGTGAATTACAACCAATCATATAGGATCTCTCTCTCTCTCTCTCTCTCTCTGTTTTTCAGTAACCTTGGAGATTCTGTCTCATTTTGTGGTGATTTATGCCTTATTATGTGTATCTATTGTGTTGTAAATTCTTTGAGGGAAATAAATGGTGTCCTATTTATTCTTATATCCCTTGTAGCCCTGAACACATAGCCTTATAAGTAGTAGAATATCAATGCCCATTTTCAAATCAAATAAAATAGTCTCTGGTCATTATTTAAGGGAAGAAAACACAAAAAGATTGAGAAGAACATATGCGCAGTTACCATATTTGAAATGTCGTAGTAACAGTGTCCAGTAGTTTTAAACAATGATGACTTGCACTTTTGGCCACTTGTAGAAGTTTTAGGCTATCCAAAGACTGCCCAATTTCTTCTTTGGTATGCTTTAGCATTTATAGTTACGTTAAACCAAATTTATCATGTGTAGTTTGGCTCAATACTTCCTTCTATTTAAAGCCTTAGAGGGACAGACTGAACTGCCTTGTCATTCTGTGCACCATTGCCCGTCCTGTGTGTACTCCACTCTCACATGTGGCTTAGATCCTTTTCTCGGGAAGAGAAGTTTTCATTCATCTTGGTTACTCTAGCCAGTTCCCATTTCCCTCTCTCTATGCCCTTATAACTAGGTCATCTCTGTCTGATTGGGCAGTAACCAGTTCCTTTTCTCTCATTCCCAATTAGAATATATCCATCACATTCCCAGTCCTAGGGCTTTTTCTATTCCTTCTTAGTGACACCCTAATCTGCGGGTTACATTCAGCCCTGATTCCATCCTTTTCCATTAGAAACTTTATACGATGATACCGGACTTTCCTTTTGAAAGTTCTGAAACATTTTAAAACCTGCATAGCATGCATATTAACAATTTCCTCAGCACCTGAACGGCAGGTGGTCTGATCAAAAGAAAGGTATGACCCCACTCTTTGCCAGCAATTCTTACATGAACTGAAAATAAATTGATAGAATCTCATCAGTCTCCCAGAAATGAGTCCTATTACTTTACAGTCCTATTAAATTAATGATGAGACAAGAACTGACGGTGGGTAACAGACACTTGGTTGAACCAAAAACGTGGTGGCCTGTCATTTTGTTCTGATTTGGAAGTAACACTGCTCATGTGCAGCCTGATTGGGTGGGAGAGGGGCTAACAATGGGCTTAGACTTCTAGCTCTAACAGTCTGTGGCTTTGTGATTTGCACTGGAAATATTGATTGACCTTTGGGCTGTCTCTGTAAGAATGGATTAGAGGATGCCTGTCTGTAGTGTGAACATGCGGTAGATCAGATTATTCCTGAGGTTGACTTTGACTTTTCCAAGCATCACAGACTGTGAAAGCTTCTTCAGGCATTTGTTAGAAACTCCAAATGAGAACATTCTCTCCCTTATTCATTGAGCCAATAGAGGGAAGTGGAGGGGGAAGAAAAATAATTGCTTTTTTTTTTTTTCTCAAAGAGCACAGACGTATTGACTTCTGGTTCAAGAATAGACTGCTCTATTTACTGTATGGAAGCAGTTGCCCTATCTTTGCATTTGTTGTAAATTGGGGCTGGAGGAGGGAAGCAAATTCCAATGTTAATGTGTTCTAATGATTATTTCTGAAGAATGGCAAGTTGCTTTCAAACCTTTCATAAATTACTATTGTCAGCCCATCTGGATTAGGAGCTGAACCAGATGGTAAGCACTTGACAGCTTACTCTGTCTCATTGGGAGGGATCAGCTGACCATATTTTTCTTTTTGTCTATGGACAAATTATACTTTAAAGATGGAAAAAAATCTTCCTTATCTTTAGCTTGCTGCTTCTTTTAATGGGAACCCGAAGAGTGTCTTTTTATGTTTATGGTTGTCTTTATTTTTGAGGAAACAACTGCTGCTCTCTAGTTTTCATCCCTACTTTGAAAAAGTGCCATTTATACTGTAGAAGTGAAATGCATATGTTTCTACAATAAATTTGATTCTTATTTAAGCTATATACTTTGAAAATTTCTCCCACCAAACATTTCTCTCTCTCTCACACACACACACACACACACACGCACACACACACACACACACACACACAATGTTTTATGTATAGATAACAAAGTAGAAACAGAAAGCAGTAAGTGTGGCTGAAGCTACAGGGCACCTGGGTTCTTGTTCAGATGCATGTAGAGATGGCTAGAAGTTCCATTTCTATGAGGCCATAGAGACCAACATATATGTCCTATGTGAAGGGTACCATTGCTAGGATTCTTCCTGAAATCAGTAGCAGAGCTGAAATTCTCTGCCCTCATTAGGGGAGGCTGAAAATGCTGCAGCCAACAGCTATGAGGGCCATGGAATTAAACATGGCAGAGCCATCAGGAACCACCTCAAGCCCTCTTCTGGTTTCCTGACTGCATCTTCAAGAGCCACAATATCTCCACAGACGCTTGTGTGACCCTGATCAAATAACAGAAGTACATTTTGATGCTGGACTGAAGGTCCTATGAGTCCAGGTGGTCACTGCAAAGCTGCTAAGGAGGAAAGAGCAAAGAGAGAAGCAAGCAAGCAAAAGAAAGTCAAAGAAAAAAACCCTCCCACTCCAAATGAGAGTGCAATCCAAAATCTCAAAACACATGAAGAAAAGCAAATCCAAGATATGTTCAACAACCAAGAGATAAATGTACTCTAGCTGTAAAGAAAATAAGTACAGCAATCTGACAATGACTTTAAAGTAAATGCCTGAGATCATCAGAGAGATTAAAAAAACCCAACACCCACAATAAAAGACCAAGAAACTTTGAAACAAAAAGTCAGAAATAAAACAAAATTAGACACACAAAAAAATTAGAAATCACAGAAATGAAAACAATATATTTTCTAAAATAAGAAATCAATGAATGAAAACAAAGGGAAAAAGGAAAAAAGAGAAAATACCCTGAGGACCCATGGAGAGTGCAACACAGAGAGTTAAAATAGTGAAAAAATACCAAAGACAGGTAAGAGACTGCAAAGAGACCAAGAGGCTCCAACATTCTTCTAATAGAAGGTATAGAAGAGAAAAAAAAGGTAATAGCAGAAAAGTAATATTTAAAAAGATACTTGCTGAAATTTTCTCATAATTTGCGACATAATACTGAGATTAAAAGGGCACAGCAAGAGCTAAACAGATAAATGCACACATTTGAGATTATTTGGAAAACATAAAAATATCTTTTAATGTATTTCCTTCCAAAAAGACTTTCTTTTTGGTAGTCCCCTGGCCCTCCTCACCTACTCTACCCCACATTAGTATTATGCCTTATAGAGAAATTGGGTCCCACTTGTACCTGCTTACCGTTATATTGTGAGGATACTCTGTCTTAAAATATTCTTCAAAAAACTATTTGATATGGACTTAGAATATTCCATTATGTGCTTTCCCTTAAACTATTCAAACATTTCCCTAGTTTCTGGAAATATTTAGCTGGTTTTCGGGTTTGCACTATTATAAATAGCACTGTGATGAGCATCTTATTCATAAATATGTCCCCTCACATCTCTTCCTGTCTCTTTTCTTTGTCCTCTTCTCCCTAAACCCTGTAATATGAGAGGAGTCCTCAATCACCCAGGGCAGGGATTTCTGCCTCTTTAGTCAGCCTTCCTCTGGAGGTTCTGTAGGTCCAGATCTTTTTACTCTGGGATCTTTGCTACTTCACATCATCAGCATTATAAATGAATACATTCATATTGCCGTGATAAAGATACTTTATGAGAACCTAGTGTAGTTAATCCTGGATTTAATGGGAAGTGTGAGCTTTTGGTACTTTCCACACTAAGAGTTTTAGAATGATAAAATCCTTAACGGTGTTAACAAGCCAGGATTGCAGTTATGACATTTACCCAGCCTCTAAAAAGAACAGCTTAATATAGACATGAAAATATTTGGAAAGTGGCTGGGTTGACTGTCATAAGAACTCAACTTTGTAATTTCCTAAATTTCACTATCTGACATTTACCATCTAAATGCATCATCAAAGTCTTTTAAAAGCAGTTATTTTTAAGTTCTTAAATGCTTAGTACAGTTCATATAAAATGCAGGCATAGACAAATCTACTAGGCAAAGGAAATGTGTTTGTCTTGTTGGAGAATGGAGATTGTTTTTGTTTGTTAAGATCTTTGTAAATATTTTCACTGTGTTAAGGGCTTTCCTTCAATGTCATGCCAGCCCCTTAACATAAGGTAAAAAAGAGGTTTCTTGGGTGGTTTCAGCCCTGAGTTGATATCATGGTCTGAATGAGGACATGATACTGTCACAAATGAAATAACTAAAGAATGATTCAGCCCAGCCCAGAATGAAAAGTGGAGCCATGAGATAGACGTGACAAACAAAAAGGAATTCAAGAAACTATTATGTGGCAGGTATTGATTCAGTTCATCTTGGCTCGAAGATGTAGACCCTTCACCCATCTCAGCCTACCAAATACAGCAACTGTTCATAGCCCTCTCAGATTTCACCCTTTCATTTGGCCTGTCTTGATCTCAGACTTTCGGATTGTGTCTCCCTTCTCTGAAGAAGTGACCGCAACATCCACTGTACTCATGGGCCCCTCGTGCCTGGAGCACACTTCCTTGATGTGCAGCTCCCTGACTGGACGCGGGACAGGTTCTGGGGATTTGGGGTCAGTTTTATATGGCTTTGATTGTCCCTGAGGCCTGGTGCTGGTATGCCATATAAGATGCTCATATGTACATTTGATAACTTCCTAAATGAACTGAAAGAAAGAAAAACTTTGCAGAGAAGTTGGGACTTGAGCTGAAGCTAGAAGCTAGAGTAAATTTTAAGTGCACTAAAATATATATTTTTAAAAAAGGATCTATGTTCATTTAGCCAACAGGCTTCTTGTTATTGATTAAAGCTGAATGAAAGGAGTAGAAAGACAAAAACTGGCAACCTAACAGAGTAGTTCAGATCAGCTTTCAAGTACTCACACCAACCCTTACTGCAGTGTGACAGGCAATAGGGCAAGTTATTAAACTTCTTTGTGCCCTAGTTTCCTCATCTGCAAAACAGGGACAATGATAATAGTAGTACCCATTTCACAGGGTGGTTTTGAGGATTAAATTAATTTATGTCTAGAGCACAGAAGTGTTTGCCATTATTGCCAATGAGTCTTTGAGCATAGTGTACCTCCCCCCTCACTTTGTAGTCTTGTCTGACACCCTTCTCCCCCTGCCACCCCCTCCTCCAGCCACACCACCCTTCTCTCTGTGGCACCCTTACTATTATTGCTCTGCCTGTTCCACTCATCTCCTAGCTGCTTGCAGGGTAGCCCCCTTTGTTCTTAGAGAGTCTTTCTCTGACTACAATGTCTAAAATGATCTCCTGCTCAGTCACTCTATCTCATTTCCCTTTTATATTTTTTCATAGTACTCATTGCTGAGTAAGAGCATCTTATGTATTTGATTTATCTGTTGGCTATTTCTTACCACCAGAATAGCATAAGCACCACAAACATGGACACTTCACCTGTCACATTCGATGCTTGGAAACAACTGATTTACAAAAGACACTCAATAAATATTTCTGAATAAACAAATGAAGAAAGTGATCATGTCCTGTTCCAAAAAGTTCAAAACCATGCACAATATCAACCAAAGGAAGTAGCAGTAGCCAACACAAATGAAAACTGTGGGAAAAGAAAGCAAAATCCAATTAACTCCTGTTTTATGTCTCTGTAAAATATGAAAATATGAAGATCTACATTAAGAAGGCAGTAAGTGTTGGATCAAAACAGATAATGCTTAATTAAAGTTACACCAAAGCAAAATATTCAGTTAGGATGAGGCATATAAGCTTAAATCCGCCATGATGAGGTAGAATGAAACCTTATACAGTCCTTTAGGCAGGTATAGAAATTGAGTTAACTCTGAAGCAAGTTTATTTGTCAATTATATCAGTTAATTTTAGCAAACAGGAAAGGCAAATCAATACTTCACAAGGTAGCCTGGTTTTGCTGGGTTTTTGTATGTTTTTGAGCTCTGAATTGGTAACTGAACTGAGAGAAAAAAATGAGGTCCTCATTTTTGTCCCATTATAGAAAACTTTACCCTCACACAAGGTCCTGGACCCAGCATTTCCAATCACCACAGATTCCTGTGTCTTAATAAATGCAAAATTATGCTTGGTAGCAGGCCATCTTTGGTTTTTCTTTAGACTTGGTTCTCAAGGATGATGCTTAGGGAGAGATGAGGAAGGCTGGAAGCCAGGGGCTTTCAACCTCACTATAAGTCTAAGTTTGGCCATTTCTATGATTTAAGTATGGTTTGTGCTCACCAAAACTCATATTGAGGCTTGGTTCTCAATGAGGTGGTGTTGGGAGGTGGTGTCTTCAAGAGGTAAATAACATGGTCATTAAGATGGATTAATGTATGTTTCATAAGACTGGGTTAGTTCTCTCAGGAATAGATTAGTTCCCACTACAGCAGGTTGTTATAAAACAAGGCTGCCTCTTGTGTTTTTCCCTTTTTTCACACATACCTGGTTTCCTTCCAGTTTTCCATCACGTTATGAGGCAGCATGAGGTTCTTACCAGAGGCTGACCAGATGTGGCCACCCAATCTTGGCCCTCCAGCCTCCAGAATCATAAGCTAGCTAAACTTCTTTCTTTTATATATTACCAGTCTCAGTTATTCTTCTACAGCAACAGAAAATGGACTAAGACAACTGTTATTACATACACTTGTAAGCATCATAAAGAATGCACTAAAATGCCTTTAAAATTAAAGTGGTTATGTGACAGATATTGTACTCCAAAAGGATAACAACTATTTAATAATGACTTGGAATTACCATCAGATTAGATGCAGGAAATAGAAAAGGCAAGAAAACATGTAAATAACCACAATTTGCTTTCTGAAGCTTCTCAAACTTCAAATGTATTTGATTCCATGATAGTAAAACAGTGTAAGTCTGTTCCTAATAAAGTAGTGATTACCGAACAATAATGAAAGGGTCTCAGATTTACTAAGGAGGCTTCATCTCAGATAAATGTAAACTTCTGAGGTCCTATTTTTTGACTAACAGAAAAAAAATCAGATCAAAGGGCCTCTGAAATTCCTACCTGCCTCAATACTAAATTAAGCCTTTTAATACATTAAGATAAGTGTTTATCTTCCCTATTTCAAATATTACCTTTCCAGTTAGTGAAAATGAATAGAATTTGATACAACTGACTGTGCTGTAATCATTTGAAACAACCATATTACCCTCAGTATTTTTTTAAGCTCTTTATATAGAAAGTAAAAAAGTACAGTTATACACTGTATAACATTTCAATCAACAATGGCGGTCCGACAAGATTATAATGCTCTATTTTTACTGTACTTTTTCCAGGTTTAGATACATGAATACCATTGTGTTTCATTTGCCTATAATATTCAATACAGTAACATGCTGCACAAGTCTGCAGCCTAGAAACAATAGGCTAGCCTAGCTATGTAGTAGGCTATACCATGTCTAAGTATGTGTAGGTATGTGTGTAAGATGTGTGTAAGTGCACTCTATGATGTTCACATGACAGCAGAATCACCTAAGACTCATTTCTCAGAATGTATCCTCACTGTTAAACAATGTATCACTGTACTTGTTTATTGAGCCCTTTCTATGTGCTGATGGTGGTGCACATAGAGAGGGCTCAATAAATAAGTGAGTTTGTGCTCAACTGGTGGTGCTGTCTCATTCAATTTAAAAAAACTCTATAAAATGTATATCTTCATTTTACAAAGAGAAAACTGAGATTCAGAGAAATTAAGTTTAAATGTCATGGCATTGTTTTGGCACTCAGAATGTATGAACTAAAATTCCTTTAACGTGAAGTCTTGGGTTTCTTATCCATACCAGTTTTTTGGTGTCTGGTAATAGGAACCTTAATAAACTGTGTCCCATGAGTGTGGCTGGCACTCAGAAGTCTCAGAAGCTATTGTGATGTTCAACAATATCTGCTTTGCTCTGTTGAAATTTACATTGATTTCCATTGCCAGCATTCTAAACTCCATCTTCACTCCAGCAGTGGCTGCACTTGAAATATTATCCTTACATTCTATTTCTTTCCTGTGATGATGACTCAGTTCATTGAGCACATAAATTATTAGATGAGGAAAGGAAGCAAATCCCAAACAGAATGCATGGGATTGAGGTCAGTAGCAATGTATGGCTCTAGTTTGCAACTGACAGTCTAATGCATTTCAGTTCAATTTTTAATGGGTTTTTATTCTAGATCTACCTTCTGAATCCAAAAATGTCCTTTGCCAAGAAACAATTTTATTTTATCTTCAGCTCCTCCTGCAAAATGAAAATAGTATTGATTTATAAAATATTATAATATCTCGAGGAAACCAAATACCTTGGAACTACAATGTTGACAGAAACCATATTGCTAATGATTTTCTTAAACCCACTTACCTAAGCATTAATTCAAGCTTTTGAAATGGTACCTAATTATTTCTTCTTCTGTTGAAACCAGTCTGCATCATGAAAAACAGGATTGTAGATGTCTCTTTGAAAAACAATAATTATGTAAAAATTAAGACAAAAAGAGCAAAAGAGGGGAAAAGAAAACTGGTATGGATAAGGAAACTAAGACTAGTGTCAAGGGAGTTTAATTTCATACATGTAGAGTGTCAAAAACAATGCCATGACATTTAAACTTAACTTCTCTGAATCTCAGTTTCCTGTTTATGAAATGAAGATGTCCATTTCATAGAGTTTTTTGTTTGTTTGTTTGTTTGTTTTTTGTAGTTGAATGAGACAGCACCACTCTTGGCACATAAAGAAGCAAATAAACGTATCAGCCATTACAAAATGGATGGCTAAAAATAGTCAATAGAACCTCAAACACAGAATGTATAAAAAATAAAAGCAGCTTTCCTCTTATATTTAAGTTTTGAAAACAAAGAATTACTGATTAGAACAAACAGGATAAAATTCAGCAGTAAAAAGCTGTTACTACTTTTCTAACTCCAGGAGTTCAGCATCAAAACTAAATAGGGAACTTCAGTTTCTGGTCAAGAGGCCGGGACTGGATTTACCCTCATGCCTTAACCAACTAGAAAAACAAGTACATGAGCAAGGGTTTTCAGACACTGAACAATTAGTAGCACAGGGCAGTGATCTGTTAGAGAAGGAAAATACATGAGATGAGCCTTATGATTGCATTAGTTCATTGCCTGGAAGGTAATTTTTAGATCAAAGCTCAGAGAGGTGGAACTAAGCAGAGCCTGGATTTCTTGCTGAGTTGAGAAGACAGGAACCAGGCTTTGGGTCAAGGCATCTCGAATTTGTGGGCAGGGTACCAGATAGGAAGGAGTAACCCATAAACAGAACTCCAGAGATTTGGGCAGAGTTCTTCAGCTACATGGTGATCTCCCCATGCGTGGCCAGAGGTACAAGGAGGAGCTGGTACAATTCCTTCTGAAACTATTCCAATCAATAGAAAAAGAGGGAATCCTCCCTAACTCATTTTATGAGGCCAGCATCATCCTGATACCAAAGCAAGGCAGAGACACAACCAAAAAAGAGAATTTTAGGCGAATATCCTTGATGAATATTGATGCAAAAATCCTCAATAAAATACTGGCAAACCGAATCCAGCAGCACATCAAAAAGCTTATCCACCATGATCAAGTGGGCTTCATCCCTGGGATGCAAGGCTGGTTCAATATACGCAAATCAATAAATGTAATCCAGCATATAAACAGAGCCAAAGACAAAAAGCACATGATAATCTCAATAGATGCAGAAAAGGCCTTTGACAAAATTCAACAAACCTTCATGCTAAAAATTCTCAATAAATTAGGTCTTGATGGGACGTATCTCAAAATAATAAGAGCTATCTATGACAAACCCACAGCCAATATCATACTGAATGGGCAAAAACTGGAAGCATTCCCTTTGAAAACTGGCACAAGACAGGGATGCCCTCTCTCACCACTCCTATTCAACATAGTGTTGGAAGTTCTGGCCAGGGCAATTAGGCAGGAGAAGGAAATAAAGGGTATTCAATTAGGAAAAGAGGAGGTCAAATTGTCCCTGTTTGCAGACGACATGATTGTATATCTAGAAAACCCCATTGTCTCAGCCCAAAATCTCCTTAAGCTGATAAGCAACTTCAGCAGTCTCAGGATACAAAATGAATATACAAAAATCACAAGCATTCTTATACACCAACAACAGACAAACAGAGAGCCAAATCATGAGTGAACTCCCATTCACAATTGCTTCAAAGAGAATAAAATACCTAGGAATCCAACTTACGAGGGATGTGAAGGACCTCTTCAAGGAGAACTACAAACCACTGCTCAATGAAATAAAAGAGTATACAAACAAATGGAAGAACATTCCATGCTCATGGGTAGGAAGAATCAATATCATGAAAATGGCCATAGTGCCCAAGGTAATTTATAGATTCAATGCTATCCCCATCAAGCTACCAATGACTTTCTTCACAGAATTGGAAAAAACTACTTTAAAGTTCATATGGCAACAAAAAAGAGCCTGCATCGCCAAGTCAATCCTAAGCCAAAAGAACAAAGCTGGAGGCATCACGCTACCTAACTTCAAACTATACTACAAGTCTACAGTAACCAAAACAGCATTTTACTGGTACCAAAACAGAGATATAGATCAATGGAACAGAACAGAGCCCTCAGAAATAACACCGCATATCTACAACTATCTGATCTTTGACAAACCTGGCAAAAACAAGCAATGGGGAAAGGATTCCCTATTTAATAAATGGTGCTGGGAAAACTGGCTAGCCATATGTAGAAAGCTGAAACTGGATCCCCTCCTTACACCTTATGCAAAAATTAATTCAAGATGGACTAAAGACTTAAACGTTACACCTAAAACCATAAAAACCCTAGAAGAAAACCTAGGCATTACCATTCAGGACATAGGCATGGGCAAGGACTTCATGTCTAAACCACCAAAAGCAATGGCAACAAAAGTCAAAATTGACAAATGGGATCTAATTAAACTAAAGAGCTTCTGCACAGCAAAAGAAACTACCATCAGAGTGAACAGGCAACCTACAAAATGGGAGAAAATTTTCGCAACCTACTCATCTGACAAAGGGCTAATATCCAGAATCTACAGTGAACTCAAACAAATTTACAAGAAAAAAACAAACAACCCCATCAAAAAGTGGGCGAAGGACATGAACAGACACTTCTCAAAAGAAGACATTTATGCAGCCAAAAAACACATGAAAAAGTGCTCACCATCACTGGCCATCAGAGAAATGCAAGCCAAAACCACAATGAGATACCATCTCACACCAGTCAGAATGGCAATCATTAAAAAGTCAGGAAACAACAGGTGCTGGAGAGGATGTGGAGAAATAGGAACACTTTTACACTGTTCGTGGGACTGTAAACTAGTTCAACCATTGTGGAAGTCAGTGTGGCGATTCCTCAGGGATCTAGAACTAGAAATACCATTTGACCCAGCCATCCCATTACTGGGTATATACCCAAAGGACTATAAATCATGCTGCTATAAAGACACATGCACACGTATGTTTACTGTGGCACTATTCACAATAGCAAAGACTTGGAACCAACTGAAATGTCCAACAATGATAGACTGGATTAAGAAAATGTGGCACATATACACCATGGAATACTATGCAGTCATAAAAATTATGAGTTCATGTCCTTTGTAGGGACATGGATGAAATTGGAAATCATCATTCTCAGTAAACTATCGCAAGAACAAAAAACCAAACACCGCATATTCTCACTCATAGTTGGGAACTGAACAATGAGAACACATGGACACAGGAAGGGGAACATCACACTCTGGGGACTGTTGTGGGGTGGGGGGAGGGGGGAGGGATAGCTTTAGGAGATATATGTAATGCTAAATGACGAGTTAATGGGTGCAGCACACCAGAATGCCACATGCATACATATGTAACTAACCTGCACATTGTGCACATGTACCCTAAAACTTAAAGTATAGTAATAATTTAAAAAAAAATTAAAAAAAAAAAGAAAGGAACCTTTCCACAGCCAGGGAACATGCCGCAAGCAAAGAGTAGCCTGACCAGAGAAATAACATCTGTCTGTGCTTTGAGACCCATTTGTTAAACTGTGACTGGACCATTTTGAAATTATAACTGGAAACCTCACCGCTTAATTCAGTCATCATATGACTCAAATCAATGTCCGACATGTACCCCGAGTCCAGGCACAATAAGTGTCTCTTCTACCCCATAGGATCTTTTCTGTATTGTTCAAGACATTTATACATTCTGGAAAAGCTGGAAAAGAGGAGGAGGAGGAGGAGTTCCTGTATCCATATTTTGTTCCTGGATGGGAGGAAACACCTTGAAACTGCTGAAGCCTAGTGGACACCCCTATTACCTAATGCACAGCTTGGAGCTAAAGTAAAGAAACTTAGTAAAAAACGTAGTTATTCATTTTTCAAAGGGGAGAATCCCTTGTCTTCATAGCCTCAACTTTTTGGCTTTTATTGGAAGACCTTGGATTATTTCTAATCTTAGTTGTGCATGTAGCACAAGTTGTTTGTAGCAAACATCACAAACCCTGGGTTAAATACCCCTGTCCAGATTCAGACTGTCTTCTGGAAAGAATGTTCCCCAAACCCAAAGTTACCAAATCAACACCTTTAAACTCGTCTAAAATAGAACAGAACAAGGGTTTAAACAGAAATAAAATGATTTTATCACATTTCACCTATTTCATGGTTCTTCAAATTGAATGTCTTTGAGGTTTCAAGGAGATTGTAGACATGGAAGGTGAAAAACTGGGTTTAACCCATTTATAATTTTTTTGTTCTCTCTCTGTGAAAAATGTAAGCCCTGCTTTCATTTCTTCCGGGTCGATATGCATTCCACTATCTGCTCTGTCATTTCCCCTTTGTCTTTCTGTTCTTTCCTATACTTTCCTACTGCATTCTCTCTCTGTTTCTCAAGGTCTTTCTCTCTCTTCATGCCCACTAAGCTCAACATTGATGCATTCACCAAATGTGCTCATAAAACAGGCCCACCTAGAGCACTGTTCAAAAGCATGGGGTCTGGTGCCCATGCTGTTGGATTAATAATTGTCACTGTTTACTTAGGGTTTTGCATGGTGAGCCACCAAGGTCATAACTGGAAGGAAATTCTGGTATTTTATTTTCTTCCAGTAAGAAAAAGACAGGACAGGATAGACTCAAGACTCATGAACCAAAGGGAAGGAGCTATTCCATAAAGATGCTAGGGTTTGAAAAGCCTTGGGAACTAAAGCTCTACTTCTTACTTTGTCCATTCCCTTTCCCCTCCTCAGAAACGAGTAAACAGAAAGCTTTAGCATATGTAAGTCTCCAGGCTCAGAATATGGCCTCACTTCTGGATGAGCAATGGATGTGTTCAGAATAGCTGTTGATCAAACTTCAATAGATCCTTTTAAGCCATATCATAATGCAGCAAAACATCAGAACCAGAAAAAGACAATCATGCATCTTATTTTTAGCACGTTGTGGAAACTGTGAAAAAGCTTGTTACACTGAGAAAGAAATCAACTTTACTCACCTGCAGGAGTCTACTTGGCTGATTAAGGTTTGTCCCTTTTGCAAAGCATCAGTTGTGCAGTCTTTAATTTTTCTGTGTAATTCCTCATGCCTCACTGCCAAAACAGCCAGACTTAAACCCTCTGATTTAAGGAGCTTAAGGTAAGCTTCAACTCTTCCAAGTACATCAAATGCCTGCCAAAGAAAACATACTTTTATTTTCTGCTTCTCTAGTTTAAAATCTACATCAACGTGTACACAAAACACTGGCAATTAAATCAGGCCAAACAATTTGTTAGTTTCATTATAACAAAAAACAACCATCTTAATCTTGGAAGATTGTTGGAAAACAGCTGTATAGTTTTTTAGGGTTCCATTTAGGAAACTGATCATAGCTTAGATGAGCATAACTAAATGTCAATACCATAAAATCACCAAAATAGTTTACATTGAGAATGTATCTATACAACACAAAGAGTTATAACCGCATAGAATTTGGAGAGTCAGTCTGGTTTATTTTGTGCATTTTACACTGTAAACAAATAATAGATGAGTTATTTAAAAATATTATACAGGCTTTTATGGCAAGAATGTTTCTGTAATATTCTTTAGAGGAAATTTCCCAGTAAATTCCACTTTGCTCTTGAAGCACTGTAGAGAAATATTCAAGAAATTATGAATGTCCTTTTTTTCTCTTGCTTTTGCAGATATAAGACCTTCAGCCTACTCCATCCAAGGCATCCATCTGTCTTCAGAAGAGATTAGAATTTTGTTCTGAAGCCATGCAAAGAGTAAGACCAAGGTAATATTTAGCTTCTGACATGCAGAAATAGGATTATGCATAAAAAACATAGCCTTGCAAACCAAGATATTGTCTTGAGAGAAGATTTTAAAATTCCTTTATTTTCTTCCTTTATTAGCAGATCAACAACCCAGCATGCAGGATTAAGCTTATAGAATTAACATAAAATAGAGAGGAGTTAGCCACTGGGCCATTAAGGCTTAGCTGGTATTAAGATGGAGGAGTGTATGATACAAAGGCAATGAAAGAATACTGTGGGTATATGAGGAGAAAGGGAGAAAGCAGAGCGCAGTCATCTTTGTAGGTCTCCTGATATCTCACCTAATGTCTCTAGGAATAATTTTGACCTAGAAAACAAATGGTACATTGAAGAAAATCTGAATGGCATGGGAGGTCTTGCCACATTGCCCTTTAGCACTACTGAAAGAAGCCACCTTATGGAATGTTCCATACCAATCTGGAAAATAGTCCTAACACAGTCAGCTGGGCAGTGCTGTGTAGTCAGGCAGGGCCTTGAAGTGTAGCCTCCCTGGGTTGCTGAGTTGGAAGCCAGTGAGCTTGCCAGGAGCTGACCAGTAGAGCAGGAAGACCCCACAGAAGACTCTAGGTAAGGATCCCAGAGCAAAAGAAATGAGAACAGGTGGGCTCATGAGTCCAGTACCACTAAGACCTGAAGGAGACCAGGCGAGCAAGGTTGAGCTGGTGCTGGGGCAACACAGGCGAAGCCAAATGTAGAGGCTATGGTCATGGAGGTACACAAATGCGCTCATGCCCCTGTGCCTGCTGCCATCTCAGGGGGTGAGATCTAGTGGCAGAATTGGAACTGGACAAAATTCAAAGTTATGAATGAAATCACTCAAACAGCGTCTTACTACTTATACACCGATATTCTATTTTCCCACCAATGTCCTCATGTCTCCCATGTCTGCAATTCTGTTTATTTAGAATATTTAAAACAAAATCATTCTCACTTATTTAGCAGTGAAGAGAAAGTTATAATAATAACTATAGTTTAATAAGAACGGACTACATGCTTGCTTCAATACTGTGTGTTGCACAATTCTTATTCAGTCAATGAATATTGAATGCCTGCTTAGTTCCAGGCACATTCTCCTTAACAGTCCTAAGAGGAAGTAAGAAATTATCCCCATTATATGACTGGGAAAACTGAGTCTCAGAGAGGTTAAATAAATTGCAGAAAGTGACACTTCTACCAAGGAGCAGATTTGGGATTTATACCCAATTTCCTGACTCTGAGACCACTGCTCTTAAATCCTGGGCTGTGGTGCCATGTGGCAAAAGATTACCTTGGAAGACTTAAGAAGGAAGGGCTATGTCAGAGAAAGTTGTAATCTTGGGCGGAAAAGGAGGGATTTTAAAACTTACTTTTTGTAAATATGTCTCTGCCTTTCCTTCTTATAGGTTAGAAAAGATACAGAGAAAGGTTGAGAGATTTCTCTTATACTATAGGACTGTAAAAGAAAGAGAACTTAATTAAAGAAACTTTGAACTTGAAGAACTCTTCTTTATCTGATTCTTTTGCTTTCCTGCAGTTGGCAATGGAGCCAAGTGCAACAAAATGTTGATGTTAGAAAAGATGATTAGCCAGGCACGGTGGCTCACACCTGTAATCCCAGCACTTTGGGAGGCCAAGGTGGGTGGATCACTTGAGGTCAGGAGTTCAAGACCAGCCTGGCCAACATGGTGAAGCCTCGTCTCTACTAAAAATTAAAAAAAAAAATTAGCCAGGTGTGGTAGCACGTGCTTGTAATCCCAGCAACTTGGGAGACTGAGGCAAGAGAATCACTAGAACCCGGGAGGTGGAGGTTGCAGTGAGCTGAGATCACAACATTGCACTCCAGCCTGGGCAACAAGAGTGAAACTCCGTCTCAAAAAATAAAAAAAAAAATAAACAATGAAACAAAAAAGAAAGAAGATGATTTAATGACTTTCCCTATCCTTCCATAACCCATCGAAACATCATTTGCCAATAACCACTGTTTCTGAACATTTTAAATACATTTTAAAATTTGTATTACTTATTTTGAATAAAGCGGAGTTTGTTGTTAACTGAGGGTTAGGTTTTTTGTTTTGTTTTGTTTTCTGAGACAGAGTCTCGCTCTGCCGCCAGGCTGGACTGCAGTGGCGCCATCTCAGCTCACTGCAACCTCCGCCTCCTGGGTTCAAGTGATTCTCGTGCCTCAGCCTCCCGAGTAGCTGGGACTATAGGCACACACCACCACACCCAGCTAATTTTTGTATTTTTAGTAGAGATGGGTTTCATCATGTTGGCCAGGCTGGTCTCGAACTCCTGACCTTGTGATCTGCCTGCGTCGGCCTCCCAAAGTGCTGGGATTACAGGTGTGAGCCACCGCGCCCAGCCGAGGGTTAGTTTTAAAGTCAAATGCCTAAAGCAAAAATCTGGCATAGTCAAAATCATCTTCAACTCCCTTAAATCACCCTTAAAGTTTAATATATGTGAATTAGTGCATGTAGTAACACATATTCACATTTAGAATTGAGAACCCCTGAGCTACACTAAAGGAAGAAATAAAATGAAAGTCTCTATGTAAATGTCACAGCCTTCTTGCCTTTCTTCCTTAAGATAATTCTCAAGTTTTCAGTGTGAATGGAGAAAGAATAGAAAATTCCAAAGTGCTTTTTCTTGCCTACACATTTAACCCCATTTTCTAATATAAAGCTACTATAACCTTAATACATGTCATGTTTGTTGTTTTGAGAATTAGGAAGAAAAATATATAAAAGTAAGTGGGTTTCATGGCAAACATATAGTAGGTACTTGGAAAATACTGGCTGTTATTCTAAATCCTGATTGATTGAGCCCATCTTTAAAAAGTGACTGAGAAGAGCATGGCCACCTGGTGCCTGTCATTCATCCCACATGGGCCTTTCCTCTGTGGCTCCACTGAACATCTGCCACTCTCAAATCCTCAGGCATTGGTCTCATCTTTATTGGAATTAGATGCCAAAACCACAACATCATTGAATGCATGTGAGATACCACTCCACCCTCTTCTGAATGTTATAATAAAAGTATTACTTCCTAATAAAATGGAAATAAATTGAAAGACTAAGCATTCACTAGAAGGAGGGAATGATATATCAAGGACAAAGATAGCCCATAATGAGAATCAAAATAGTCAAATTATCTTCCAGAGCTTTTTCTCAAATGTGTAAGGAAAATATTTACTATAAATTGTTCTGTGTATCACACTTAATAGAACTACAGCAGTAGAAAGGAGGTAAGTGATTTTACTCCTTCATTAGCTCAACAAATACATTTGTAGAATACCTATTGGTACGATGGGCTGGATACTGACCTCAATCCTAACCAACCCGTAATAGGAATAATCTGCAGACATAGAAATAAGAGTTAAATTTCTGGACTTTAACAGGAAGCTACTTTCAAGAAGACTGTACTGTCTGTGATTGTCTGAATTATACACAAAGCTCATCTCTCTTATTCCCATGCAGAATTTGCCAGTTCCATGTGCCAGTTCCAGAAATGATCTAAGTATCATTGCTCTCACTTAATCTACCCTCAAAATAGAACTGAGTGCTTTTCTATTTACCATACCCATAAAGAACCTGATATATCGGACCCAGCCTGGAAAGACTCCCTTTGTTGCACACACAGTACAGAACATATTATTTCTGGCAATAAGAACACTGTGACCCCCATGTAAACTCCTTTGGAAGCAGTGTTTTCCCTTTGGTCTTTTTTCCTTCATATATCTCTCTTCAAACCTTATACGTGCAAGTCAAATAAAGCTACTATGACTGGATTGGGAAAAAAGGATATAGGACAAGGATAATATTTTATCCCTCTGGTTCCTAGCTCTTCTTGAACATTTTATATGTACTATTCAGTTTTTAGGCAGATAAGAAGATGAATCAGCTCTTTTCGGTCTTGTTTTGGTAAAGACTAAGGAGTTGCTTGGTGTTTGTTCTTTACAAAACCAATAAAGACCTTTCCTTTTTCACTTGTTTAGTACAGGACCCAAGGCAGCCTGCACCAAATCAAATAGAGATAGTATCAGGACATGGCACATTTCATTCTTTTAA
Source organism: Homo sapiens (assembly GCF_000001405.40). NCBI lineage: Eukaryota > Metazoa > Chordata > Mammalia > Primates > Hominidae > Homo > Homo sapiens. Next base: position 178,910,195 of record NC_000002.12, read on the forward strand.
AAATATCTGCAAGACGAATTCAAACAAGAGCCGTGAGTCATCTAGCAGAATTCTATCATGCTGTTTCACAAAGGTGTTTAATAAGTAATGTTGTTTGCTTCTTGACTAATCAACTTGAAGAGAGTCAACATTAAACACGAACAACAACAGAAAGAAAACAGCAGAACCTAGAAAATTTCCTTCCACGAGTCTAGTGGCTGGAGAGAGTTTTGTTGGAATGCTTATAACTATCAAAAACACAAAACTCAGCTAAGTGCTGAGTTGAGTCTAATTAGTGCTTCTAATTAGAGCACCAGATTCCATTACCTGTAGAGATTCAGATTTCCCTTAGGTTCTGTTACAAAGACCAAAAGCTTCAGTTTCCTTTCCTACACATCACCTGAGAGAACTTCTGGTGGTTCCCACTCTGGGGAACTGATTCCTAATTCAGGTCCTCCCCACATCTGCCCAAGCTTTCAAATGCCCTGAAGGCCAGAATATAGGGGTGATGTGATTTTTAAGCTCCCAATATTTGCTGTCCTCTGCTGCAGCTCCAGCTTATTCCTTGCCTGTCAAAGGCAGTTGCTGCTGGACCTCAGAGCTCCCTCCTTGTTCCAGGGTGAATTCATGGTATTAATGAGAGGTATTAAATGCCATTAGCACCTATGGAAGCTTTTGTCTCATAATCTGGAAAGCTGAGAAAACACTGGAATAAAAGAGGTTTGGGATTGAAAGTGGTATGTATCTGAAGCATTTTATCAACAAGGAATGGAGGAAGTTTATGCATTGACCATCTCTTGTTCTGAGGAATACAACTAGACCCATTCAATAGCACTTTAGGCAGCTAGTCACTATTTATAATTTCTGTTTTCTTTTCTCTAAGTTGACCTAAATGACTTTAAGATGATCTTGGGAATATTAATGTAGAAAATGTCCATTTATAATGTGTAAAGCACTTATTTTTACACTTATTCAAAAAACATTGAAATTTATGGACTATGTACTCAGCTACGTGCTGGGAATGTGAAAATGAACAAAAGCATTACATCACATTAGAGATATAAAGACAAAATACTGCCTAGCAATTAGTGAGTGCTTAGCAGTTCTGTGCTGTAGCCACGTATTAACTTACTTAGACAGCACAATGTCCTTGTAAGGTACCAATAGTACTTCTATTTTACAGGTTAAAAAAGCCAATGCACAGGGAAGTTAAGTGACTGCCCAAGGTCATAGAGCTAATAAATGTCCAAGATCAGATTCATACTCAGGCATTCTGGCTCCAAAATCTACTGTTATTTTGGCAAAGTGTAATGCTAGCAAACATTTCTAATTTTCACTTAATACCCTACAATTCCATTTATTTTACACTCCAACTGTATCCCAAAAAGAGTGTGTACAATTTATCACCAACTATAAGAACTTTTATTATTGAATGAGACTCTCTGAAGTAGATGAGGAATATTAGACTGATTTTATAAAAGAGAAAACTCAAGCTCAAAATGTAAATTGATTTGTCACATGGCCAGTCATTTATTCATTCATCCGACAAAAGTTTTTTGAACCTATGTGACACACAAAGAAGATTAGGACACAATCTCTCTCTAAGGCATACAGAGAAATATTATGGAAATGATACAAAACAAGCAATTAGTGCTGCCTGGAGATGTCTCAGAGGAGGCACTATGTGTAGATGACAAGCCCTTTACACAGCAAGACCTGCCTTCTCAGATATGATGCAGAGATGAAGCTTAAAATTTGTGTTCCTTGTATATTAAAGTAATTAAATTATCTTCTTTCAAAATGGTCAAGTCCCAAGTACCTTGGATCAATATAATCTCCTATGAACAATTTCATGTAGTTGGCCTTGAAACTCTACAGTTTATAATATTTCACTGCTCTTAGTCATTCAAATAATTATTGAACACCCACTAACTAGAAGTCACTGTTCTAGGTGTTCTGGTGAACACAAAGTGAAAAGGACATGTTTCTTACCCTCAAGAAATTTTAATTTAGCAAAAGAAATCTACCCAGAAATAAATATCTATAATACTAAGCAGAATGTGCTTACTGCCAACAGAGAGATGCAACAATCTGATACTGCACATAGAAGAGAAACCAATTAATACACTCTTACGTTAGAAATCCATTGACAGCTTAAATGTGAAAGGTATTCATGAGTGAGGACAATAAAATTGAATGTCTTGATTATCAGACTATTAGATATGAACTGAGTTGTGAGCTCTCATGAGACACTTAAGATGTTAAAGATGTTTCTTTTTCTATAATTTTTCTATGATATATCTATTTTAATAATTGTATGCTAATAATGTAGCCATATTTATCAAATACTTGCTGTGGTTTAAACAGCCTGACCTCTGAGCTCTAAAATCAAAGGTTTCTAAACACTACACTCATCACTCTGTCATAGGGAGTACAGGAAGAGGGTAAATTAAGACATCATCTGTTTCTTGTGGTGAGGTTTGCATCATCATGACTTTTTCAATTCTTAAATATCTCTGCATATATAAAGACATGTTCAGCATAAAATAGAAACTCCTTAGCATGCTATTCAAAATGCTTCCTGATCTCCCCACCTGCTTCTACCACCTTTGTCTCTCATCACTTTAGGTGTACACCCTACATTCCTGGCGAATTGAATTATCTTAGGTTCCCCAAACATGGCATGACTTTGTACCATCCAGCCCTTCCTCGGCCCTTCTTGCCCCATCCTTTCAAACTTATCTCAGTGATCACCTCCTCTGGGGAGCCTTCCTTGACTCTTTTTCCCTGAGCCAGGTTAAGGGTCTCTGCTCTGTGTGTTCTAATGCTTTGGGCTTTCTCCATCATAGCTTTCCCACAACCCAGTGCACCTCTGTTCCCTGGCCTCTCATCTAAACTTGACTGAGAAGGTCTGGAAAGCAGGGATTATATCTTTCATTGCTTTCGCTCAAGTACCCATTTGATGCATGGCAAGAATAGGAACACAACATACTAGCTGAATGCAAATATGGAAGAAGAGAGGGAGGGAACATAAGTGGCTTTAGTTATTTCTAAGAGAAAGGGGAGTTGTTCTGAAAAAGAGGAATTTAAGACAGGCTGCTGAGGAATTATGAAACTGAAAGTAATTATATTTTCCTTGATATCTAATAACATTTAGCCTATTACTTGAATTCATTTATATTACCTCAATAAATTCCTTCTGCATAGTATTTTTTTAGGTACTCTACTTGGGCAGGTTTTCTTAAAATTTCAATCTATACAACAACTGGACCATTTTAATTATTTTTTTTTCATCAGCTGGGCCTAAAATGTGTTTATTTTGAAAATGTTAATATCCCATATATATCACGTATATATAAATGAAAAAAGTATACAAATTCCATGCTTAATTATTTTGTTTGCATCTGAAACAATGATGTTGCTATAAGCATTACTATGGATCACTGTAAATATCTTGAAAAAGCAACATCATCTTCTTAAAGGACATTAATGTTTCAATAGCTATGGCAGAAACAACGGAAGCTATGACAATTGTTACATTTCGAACTACTTTTTGTGTGTTTCTTTGGCCACCCCAACTTTTGCTTCATCTTTGCTTTCAGGCTGACCACCCAAAAATCAGACCATGTTCATAAAATGGATTTGGCCTCAGTTTCCTCTGCTTGCTTTCTTCAATGAAATCATGTGCCTGGAAATGGAAGGCATAGGACACGATACATTATGACCAATCAGTCATGTTTTACAGTTTTGGGTTCAATTGCAGCTGTCCTGTAAATACAGGCTCACCTCATTCTGTTTTTGAAACATATTGTATATTTATCTCTGATTCAAACTACATTCCCTTAACAATGATAAATACGTTTGGGGTGATCAATAAATATCAACCATAGCTTAGCTTGTTTTCTGTGAACACACTAGAAGTATAATAAATAAGATAATCTATAATCCCGAAGGATGAATATTTTGGAGGATCGAGATGAGTTATTCTAATAGGTGCTATATTCATATTTCATGCCATGTTCTCATAAGTCTTAGTAACATCTGATAATTAGAGGAACTTTTCTCCAATCAACTATTAGTCAATGTCGACAACTGACACTTACTTGTATATTCTGCTAAGCGATTTGACAAATAGGTTCATTCACCAAACACATTAGGAAACTCTAAAAAGAACAGGAAGTATATCAGATTCTTGAGTTATATGGCTCACTCCACTTGAATCCAGTGGTTGGTTTACAGCAAGCAGCAAGTTCCTAATGCTGTCTCAACATCGCCACCTGCTGCTCACTCCAGGTCCAAACATCCGTATCTCAAGCCACAGGCTGCCAGACACTTCCTCTGGGTGAGAAACATTCCTGAACCTTGGGTAATCATCAAACCCTAGCAGAATTAAAGGTAATCAATTGCACTCCTGGAGCCACTGGACAAAGGCAGTGGGGGAACTGTTGTCAATGTGGGCAATTAAGTGATAATTATATTTTACTGAATTTCACAAATTTTGTAAGTTTTGTTCTCTGCTATTTATTTTCTAGCATTTAGAACAATGCCTGACACATAGCAGTGGCTCAATAAATATATACTAAATAAGTGAATATCTAAAGAGAAGGGTAATTATTCTCATGAATTCACCTTTAAATAATAAAATAAATTATTGTAAAATATTTCTAGTAAATAATAATATCCCTATCTAGAATTGTTAGAGAGGGGAATGAATGAAAATGAAAGGAGGTGGGGTGTGGTGGCTCACACCTATAATCCCAGCACTTTGGGAGGCCAAGGAGGGTGGATCCCTTGAGCCCAGGAGCTCAAGACAAGCCTGAGCAACATGGCAAAATCCCATCTCTACAAAAAATACAAAAAATTAGCCTGGTATGGTGGAGTCCCAGTTGCCTGGGAGGCTGAGGTGAGAGGATTACCTGAGCCCCGGAGGTCAGGGCTACAGTGAGCTGTGATCATGCCACTGCACTTCAGCCTCGGTGACAGTGAGACCCTGTCCCCACCCCCTGAAAAAAAAAGAAAGAAAGAAAATGAAAGGAAAAGGGGGAAGAGGGACTCCTCAATGATTTTAACCAGGAATATGATAAAACCTGGATGAAAAAAGGAATATATATGATATGAGAAAATTACTAAGTCTATTCTGCAGATAAAATTGGATATTTATTCTTTTTATTTTAACTAAATTCAAAAAAGTAAAAAGTATATTTAAAAAATCATATATTTCACTTTTTACCAAGCAGATATTCAAGCTATCCCACTCACTCATTTATATATTGCCCATTACACTAACAAATTTGATACATTAGTATTTGACATAGAAATTGAAAAAGTATATTGACATAGCTTCAACGAATTTGGAACAAGAAGTTGTTTGCTGAAAAATAATTCCACTTTTCAAGAATGAAATTGATTTTCAAGGAAAGTACCTTTTTGTAAAGTGCTGACTTCACCTTTTATTCCTGCAGTGCTAACATCCAATTTGCATGTGCCGGGAGAGAAAATTCTTCATGGATCTCTGGTGCTCCTACACATCTCACTGGTAGGTCAAGAATACAAGACTCTGATCCCTTTATATCTGGGCCACTTCTCAGTGTTGGGTCTGCAACTAGCAACCTTCAGGATTGAGGTGATGTTGCCCTTCAAGACAAAGAGCAGGCATGCTTCCTATTTGCTGTAAAACTACAGATTCCCCAAGCTTAGGGTTCCTCTCCTGAACCCCACCTGCTGCAGTTGCATATATCCATCTGGGTCCATCTGCATCACTCAGGGGGATTTGGGGCTGGGAGAATTGATGTGGCATGCTGACACTCTGGCTGCTGCTTTGCTATAATCAATCACCTCTGAGCCAGAGGTCAGGTGTCTTCTGCAATCATCCATGAAACTGTGATAAGTTAACATGTTAGCTTGAATGTAGGGTAAAATCTCAAACCCCTCACAGTTCTTGAGAGCATGACTTCCTCTAAGAACAGGAATGTTCACAATTAGGAAACCCAGTGCACTCAAGGCACAACGAAGTGAATTTTCAAGAGGAAAATTCAGTGTTTCGGAGATAATTCATTATATAAACTGAACATAGCTTTTCACTAGTGTAAACAGAATTTTATTCTAGAAAAAACATTTTAAGGGATTTTGAAATTATATTAATTTTAAAACTTCAGTTCTTTATTTAAACTAGGGCTATAAGTGTCAGGCTAAAAATTGGGTAAAGTGGTCAAATTTTTATAAAATTTGGAGGTTTTACAATATAAATAAAAAAGAAAAATACCATTTATAAGCCACAAGAAGAGTTTTCTTCTTTGAGTAGATTTACACGACATAATTTCATCATTTATTTTACTTAATAATATAGTATAAATAATATAGTTATTTTACTTAATAACATAGTAAAAAATTCATTTCAACAGTCATGATTAAACATCTACATTCCAAACTCCAGCTTCTATTTTTGCTGAGGTAGAAATATCCATCATCTTTCACACTGAGTTCTTAGATTTGGAGTCAGAAATTATTTCCTTGATGCTTTGAAAAGGGAGAAAGGATTCTAACACTATTCTGAGTGCCACTTGTCTATAGAACCTGCTATAGTATGGATAAATCCCAGTGGAGCTTATTATAATTTGTATAGTTAGCATGCCATGGCTTTCAAATGATAAAATGGGGAATCTAGAAATCGAAAGTCTTTGTGATTATGAAACATAAATTCTCTACTCCAATCTGACCTGAATTACTGTATGAGTTTGAGAAAGTAACCACTCTCTTCTTCTTCTTCTTTTTTTTTTTAAAAAAAAGGCTTTTGCAGGAGATATTTCTTCTCTGTTAAAACCCAGAAAAATATCCCAGCAAAGTACAAAATAATGAGAGCAGAGAAAACAAAAGTAAGAGAATGGGAATGAAAGAGAGAAACTACATTTTGCAAGGCTGTAAACTATAGGGTTTGTACTGGAAGCATTGCTTTATAGCAATATGTTTGATAATGGTTTTCCTTAGAAACAATATTAACTGACTTGTAGATGACTCACTCATTTTGAAGAATGAATATGCAGTTTAAATTTAAAAGTCTCTTATTCAAAAACAGAATTACTGAGGAGAAACTTAACTAGCACCTAACATCTAATTAGTTCAATAGCTCCAGTAATATGGTATATCTGTTTCCTCTCTTAAAGAAATCCCAAATGACAAATAATCTGACAATAAATCTTTCTTTAACATTTTACCACAATTTAGCAACTCTGTTTTGAAATTTTACTATTTATTTTTTCAAAAAGTTTCTTATTAGTAAAGAAGTTCAAAATTAAGTCACTATTTTGATATACACCAGGACATTGTATTCAGGGTGTTGATGTTGTGATTTTTAGATCACAATGTACCTAGGTTCCAGGGTTTCCTCATTCATTTCCTGCCACATTGTCCGTTTTGAAAACATCAGTGAAATTTAAGGTATGAAACAATTCTAAAAACACCGTTTGAAGGTGTATATTACATTGGAAAAGGTAGAAAAAATTTTCAAATAAGATCACCAGCCTCTTACACTGAGCCGTACTCAAGTGATGTGAACAGGTGAACATTGCCACTTAGCAGGAACCACCTGCTGCAATCAATGTCCAATGAATCAGAGAGGAGAAGCAGAGCACTCCTCCAACTCAAGACCTGGAGATGGTCCACAGCCAGATTTCACTCTGGCTGACTTAAAAAGGCAAGACCAAGGTGGAACAATCAGGCTAAGGCACTGTTTCTAGCCTTACGGCTTGTGTGCAAAAAGGCTTGCAATATTCATATGTATTTTACCTGGTAAATTAAAGAGGATGAATAAAAGGAGGCCTTCGGTAAAAATTTTAAGGTATTTTTCAGCCTTGATACATTTATGATAATTCTCTTCCTCCATGGGAAACACTATAATGTGGGCACAAGTGTCCCCCCGAAACAGACCAGTGGCAGCTGTAAGATAAAACCCTCATGAGGCTAGGCATGGTGGCTCATGCCTACAATTTCAATATTTTGGGAGGCCAGCGCAGGAGGATCACTTGAGCCCAGGAGTTTGAGGCCAGCCTGCACAACATAGCAAGACCCTGTCTCTACCAAAAAAAAAAAGTAGTCAAGCATGGTGGCATGTGCCTATGATTCCAGCTACGTGGGAGGCTGAGGTGGGACAATCACTTGAGTCCAGGAGGTCGAGGCTGCAGTAAGCTATGATCACGCCACTACACTCCAGCCAGGGTGACAGAGCCAGGCCCTTTCTCAAAACAACAACAAAAACCATCCAATGAACCAAACCAAACCAAACAAAACAAAAAGACAAAAAACCCTCACGAGGTTTGTTTGTTGTTTTTAAAGTCACCTTTTACATGTGAAAACAGTCTTTCAGTTTTGAGAATCAAATAATGGCCATAATAGGAATATATGTTAAAAGCTCTCTTTGCTGCTATCAGTTTTGAAATTTTACATGGCGTTTTGACTTCTGTGATGTGCTCCAGTCAGTTGAAGTAATGGGTCTTTTACTGGTCTGCCTGATTACCGAAAATTATCAACTTGACCTCACACTGACCTTGTTAGCACTGTTAAAAAATTCATTCGCCTTCTTTAACCAGGTATTCCTTTCCACCATGAGTTGACCAAATTCTTCTTGAAGCTGACTGAGTTTCTGGTGAGAGAGCTGGAGGTGTTCTTTCTCCACGTAGTCCTTTGACAGCAGAATTCTCAGTGCCTCACTCTTCAGCTTCTCAACAGCAGAATTCCATTCCTGCAAGAGATTATTCTTATTATTTTATACATCTCCTCTGTTATGGACCGAATGCTTGTGTCCCCCCGAAATTCCTCTGCTGAAATCTAACCCCCAAGGTGATGATATTAGGAAGTAGGGCTTTGGGAGATGATTAGTGACCTTATGAAAGAGGCCTGAGAGGGCTGCCTTGCCCCTTCCACCATGTGAGGATACAGTAAGTTGGCAGTCTGCAACCCAGAAGAGGGTTTTCACCACAACTCTACCGTGCTGGCACCCTGATCTCAAACTTCTCACACCCAGGACAATGAGACATAAATATCTATTGTATACAAGCCATTCAGTCTATGTTACTTTGTTATAGAAACTCAAACTGACAAAGACACCTCTTTTTATAATTTCTGATAAGATTCAGAGAATATTTAGATATGCTGAGTATATCAAAAATCTGCCATTCGATTTTCAAATCATGAAATTGTAGTAAATATTGTAGTGGTAAATGCTTCACTACAGGTTTGAGTACCATGTAGATGTAGTGGGAAAAGACACAGAAAGAGGCTAAAAAGGGAGAGTAGAAAGAGGCAGGAAGTTGGGATGAGTGACTGGCAGAGCTACCAGCTGACCTGAATACAGGTCACTTCCATTTCTGTGAACTCCACCTAAAAATATACCCCCTATACAATGAACAACAGTTTTAAATCTTGAACTCATTTTGTCCGATGTGTATTCATTTAAGTATAAAAACATATCTTTCCCACAATTCAGTCTCACTGTCAATGCAGGTAAATGTGTACAAGAAATGAAGAGAAATCACATGTCTTATGACTGTTGTTTTTGTGTCTGCCTACAATTACAGCTATTAGGTTGGTACAAAGGTAATTGTGGTTTTTGCCATTAAAAGTAATTACCTTTGCACCAACCTAATAAAATGAAGTTCTGTTACTCCTCATAAAATGAATAGCTGTTATTGTTCGGTATTTTCTCCTTCATGATATCGGTTTCACCTCTCAAGGCTTCACTCTTAATGGTATATAGACCTTTCAGAAAATGAAAAGAGGTAGCTTTTTACTTTTTGTTGCATGAGAATGGAAAAACATTAAACAGAATTAAAATATGAGTTGGAGTAAACCAAACATATTTACATTCAATTTATTTGAAGGGAAATTCAAGTTTCTTGCAAAAGTCCTGAAGTCAGACCCACTGTCATAAAAGAATGATTATCTCTAACATGACTGTCTTGTTAGTGAATCTTCTGGTATCCATATAAGCTGCGGTTGAGTGATAGGCATAGGCTACTTGTGAAGCGTGGAAAATTTAGCACAAGATTTCAGAAGTCTCAGTCTGACTCCATCCTGCCTTGTTCTACCAGTACAAAGTATCCTATTATTAAGTTACATTTGTTATATTACATTGTGTAAAATCAGCACAATTTTAGTGCAATTTGCCATTATTGTTTCCATTCATTCATTTTACAAAGTAACTACTATGGTACTACTATGTCCCCAGCACTATGCTAAGACAGATGCCTTGGGGAATATAAAGAAAGAATAAAATGGCTTGTGTGGTGGCTCACGTTTGTAATCCCAGCACTTTGGGAGGCCAAGGCAAGCAGATGGCATGAGCCCAGGAGTTTGAGACCAGCCTGGGCAACATGGCAAAACCCTGTCTCTACAAAAAATGCAAAAAATTAGCTGGGCATAGTGGCGCATGCTTGTAGTTCCAGCTACTCGGTGGGGCTGAGGTAGGAGGATCGCTTGAGACCAGGAAGTTGAGGCTGCAGTGAATTGTGATCATGTCACTGAACTCCATACACACACACACACACACACACACACACACACACTCAATACAATAGTATTTTAAATAACAATTAGCAGATGTTAAGATAGAAACTGTACATATTATTTTGTGGTGTCCATGGAAACTGTTATAGTTTTAGGTGCAAAAGAAAAACATTTTGATCAATGAATACAGGAGTATAAAATGTAGAGTAAGAAATTTGAATTATTTGAAGTATCAGTTATATAAAATTGTGGCTTATAACTATAATCCTCAAAAACCCTTAAATTAGATATTATTATTTTTTCTAGTATTGACATAGGTTCAGAAGAGTATGCTACTCAAGGTTACGTATCCAGTAAGAGGCAGTACCAGGACTAGTTCACAGGTCTTTGTCTCATGCTACCTTCCAGGGAACTGAGGATAGACTCCAAAATCTGCAATTTCTCAGTGCATGCAAAAGCAGCACTCTTAAGCATGGATATGGGCTACGTGAGTTCTCAAGATCTTTCAATTTTTAAAGAGCTATTGTGTCCCCACTTAAGGAAAACTAATATGTGCCAAGATGTTCTTTCATAAAGCACTTTTATTACCGTTACCACTTAAAAACCATTACTTTAACCTACTGGGAATGAGCAAATATTTTTAAAACAGTACAATTTCTGGCACACATAATAGGCACTCACTAAGTGTTAGTCCCACTTTTCTGAGCATCAGTTTTGGTTCATTAGCTCTCCAAATGTGTTCTTTATTTATGGGTATTCCCATTACCCACTTGTAAAATAATGGCAGTGAAATATTTCCCAAAATGTTATTGATTAGTGTTAAGTATTGAACAGTCTTATGAGATGAAACAAAGTAAAACAGGTTTTTTTTTGTGGTTTTCGTTTGTTTTTGTTTTTTTTTACTGCAGTACTTCTTGGCATCTTTAATGTATTAATGTGCATTGAGACTCTCCTAGAGGAAAGTGTGGTGTGGAATATTTTGGGCAAACTCTTTTGATTAATAAACTGTTTGTAGTCATCTCAGGGGACCAATGCTCCAGTTGGAACAATGTTGGGGAAAAACGTTCTATAGCTAAGAGCAGCTGAATCACCAACTGGGTTCACCAGCTCCCACAAGTCTTTCTGTTTCGTTCTTTGTTTTGTCCCTGTTCTCCAGCTCCTCTGTTAGTTCATTTCCTCTCTTTGTACCATCCTTTCTTCTTCTGTCTGTTCAGATCTGTGGGGCATTAATACTCAAACTCAGGTGGAGAAATAATGTGTAAAGATGCAGAATAAAGCAGGTAATTCTTTAAAAAGATTTGGCATTGATCAGAACTTTCTGTGCGATTAGGGGAGACTACTTAATGAATATGGAGAAGCTGGGGAGGGCCTAGAAAAACAGGGGCAAGGAAAATGCAGAAGTTAGGATATGAAGAAATGAAATATAGCCATTGCGTGCTCAGTCTAACAACACTAAGCTCTAGGATGTTGTCTTAACTGTCTGCAAGATGGTAAGGGTTGATTTTTCTTTCTGTATGTTAGTGGTGTGCTAAATGCTTTACATGCATTATGTCATTTAATTTTTATCATATCCTTATGAGGTAGGAACTGTTATTATCTTCATTTTACAGATGGAGTAACTGGGGCCAAGGGAGATTACCAACTTGCCCAAGATGTCAACATTAGTAAGAGAAAGAGCCAAATTTCAAACTCAGGTAGTTTGACTCTACAATCTGCTATCTCAACCAGATTTCCAGCCCAGCTCTTCTCAGTCTTGACACACTGTTTTTCTCATCAAAGAATGATTAACCATATTATTTTGGAATTGCCTAGGTAAAACTTCCACATGGCCTGGACAAGACCTCGGAGGTGATAAAAATCTTGTATGACCCTGGGATTCTCAGATTTGAAATCAGAAGGCTCGCTATTTCAGAATAAACACAAAGCTAATATAGATATAGTTGAAAATTTACAGCCCAAACTTAGACTTAGTTTTGCTTAGCAACTGGACCAAAATAATAAACAAGAAGAGAAATACCTGTTCTCCAGCGATTTCATAAATCTGCCTTCAGTATAAATTTTGCAGACAACATTAAAGAAAGACCTTTGGAGTAGAGCCAAGCCTTTGAAAACCCACTTTAACCTTGTGCTTGGCACTGTGCTATAAAAAGTTTACTGTGACCTTCCAAAGAAACTGTAAGGGGCCATTTTGTGGCTCTTATCTTTTTTTGTTCTCCATCCCCAGTCTTCTTAATTACATTTTCACATGAACTCTGTGGGTATTAAATGAAGCTGGGTCCATTCAGTATTTCTGTTCAATCTTCTCAGAAAATTGGTTCTGTTTTCTTTGGGCAATCTATAGGCAGTTTCTGATGCATTTCTCTACCATTCTGGTAATGTATTTATTTCCCCAGCCATTTTTCATAGGGGACACTTCCACCAGTTTATTTTTTTTTTTTCTTTTTTTTTTTTTGAGACGGAGTCTCGCTCTGTCGCCCAGGCTGGAGTGCAGTGGCGGGATCTCGGCTCACTGCAAGCTCCGCCTCCCGGGTTCACGCCATTCTCCTGCCTCAGCCTCCCAAGTAGCTGGGACTACAGGCGCCCGCCACTACGCCCGGCTAATTTTTTGTATTTTTAGTAGAGACGGGGTTTCACCATTTTAGCCGGGATGGTCTCGATCTCCTGACCTCGTGATCCGCCCGCCTCGGCCTCCCAAAGTGCTGGGATTACAGGCGTGAGCCACCGCGCCCGGCCCCACCAGTTTATTTTTAAGATGAAACTTTCCAGAGCAATTTGAATCCATCACACTATTTAAAAAATATAGTTGTCACCCTTGTCAAGGCTAGAGGAGCCCAATGGAGAAAATCTCGTTCTGTTTTCTCTAAGCCGTTGCTGCCTGCCTGCGAAGTGTTAAACTTCTAACAGGGTCTCAGTCACTTTGCAATAAAATATTTCCAGTACTTGTCCCCACCAGCAGAAAGCCAAAGCCTTCCATTTCCTTGGCTTTTCAATTTGACAGAGATGCGTGCGTATCTCCGACCCGATACAGACGTGAGGCCCTGTGTGTTTCCAGGTTTGTGGTGTCTCCATAGGTCACTCCGTTATTTTCATTTTTCACTCACAGTAGGAACCTTTTTAACTGTACCTTTCAGTATTCCATTTCCTGAGGAAATTGAGCTTTTCTTGGATCCCTTGATTGAAAGGGTACTTTTAAGAGGATTAGTGCTGACAGACAAGAAGGCGAAAAAGATTTCTTCTTTCCTTCCCCCCACTGCTAGTCCTAGCTTAGCTCTTTAAATGAAGTTATGAACTGGCATAACAATTATCCAGCAAGCAGATCCAAAAAGTAAGAATGTTAGCTGCTCCAACTGAAAAGAAAAAATAATAATAACTACAGTATGTTTAGTAAGCTTTTGCTCACACAAAAACTTCCCTGTGTATGAGGGGATTTTAACCATTCAACATCAGGTGGTAAATTTTCGTTATAAGCTTGACTTCAGAATATAAGTTTTAAGTGGGGGAAAGGTGGACCAAAAAACAATTGGGAATATATTTGAAAACTACTAAAAAATATTAACTGTGGAGATTACTGGCCAAAATCAAATCTGGGAGAAGCATGTGTTGAGTTCATGTATAGTTCCCAAAGCATGGCTGATTCCTAGACCATCTCATTAGACATAGCCTATTTCTTGTTTAACCCTCAAGTCTACAGTTCCATTCAGAACAACTAGAATTAACTCATTGACACAAAATCATAGAATTTTACATGATTGTATTAACAGATGGTAAAACAAACCTGGCAATTTTAATCATAGAATATTTGAAAGTCTGCTTAAGATTTTTTTTTTTTACAGAAATGTTTATGCTTTTGAAGAGTGGCATTGAGCCCTTTAGAAGTTGAAACTCTGATTATGTCAAGTTGGATTATAAATTGGGTGGTAGTCTCTTCTCATGCTCCCTTCAGGGGCATTTCTATGCTGACCTATACAAATGTCAGGGTCATTCTGGAGAGAAGTGTCTTGCCTCAGTCTCCCATGCTTGCTGAGTTCAGTGTCTACACGCCATTTAAACTTCACCCTCACTATGATGCAGTCCAGCAAAGGCACAGATTGCAAACAGGAAGAACTGTGATTTAGCATTTCACCTAGAGATGAAAGAAGTGTGCTGTTTCACCTCCCAGACATATGGTAGAAAATCATTGCGACTGAACCAGGGAGAGCTTGTGGGTAAGAGCAAAGAACTCCAGCTAGAGTGGTACACTTTTTATTCCAAGCTTGTTAAGTAGCTTCAGGAAGAAGATTTTGCTTTTTGAGCCTTGCTTTTACTTCAGTGCAATGACAGTCACCACCAGTTGGTACATTTCTGCTTCTCTAGTGACTCATCTGTTAATTCAGTGACAAATTAGCTGTGCTTCAAGTTCCTGGATTTCATGCCCTCCTAAAATGTGGGATACTGGCTGTTTGATCCAGAAATCAACCTTACCAGAATTGGAATTGCAAGTCTATAATAGAAGTGACAGATATCACCAAATTAATTTCTGAGTATTAGCTGCTGCTTTCTTATCTTAGTTCATTTAGATATTTTAGTGTTAGATATTTAGTTCGTTTATTTTAGTTCATTCAGATATTTTTAAAGTTGCAGGAAAATAGCCTATGACTTGGAAATCTCTTGTTTCCCTTATTCTCTTCGGTGTTTGGCCACTGAGTGGACCCACTAAGCAGCACTTTAGCAGCGTGAAGCACAGGGTGCTTGTTGCTAATAAATACTGAAGCAAATGGCTATGTGGCAAAATACAATTTGAAAATGAAATCACAACACACTGTGCTCATAAACAAATCTTCAAAATAGTGATTGGAGCACAAATGCATTTCTTCTTTCTTCCTTGGTTCAACATAGATGAAAATTTAATTACACAGGAATTCTGGGGAAAATATTCCCAAGATTTGTGTATTCCAAGAACCATTTTCTTCTTTAGTGTCTTGTCCCTGTTTTTCTTAGATTTCTTGTTCCTATTAATCACGTTTTCTTCTAGTTAAGTAACAGAGCCTGGTTGGTGTTTCCATTTTAAATTAAATTTAATAAAAGTCTAGCTGGCCAAAATACTTGCATCTAACACAATTTGCCTACAATCAGATTGTGCCATGGACTGACCAGGTGGTCCTAGTTTATCTTAATGTTCTCGGAGGACTTACTTTTTCATTGTCTACACAATCCATTGAGATCCATTTCAGGATCTCAACACATCTAACTCAGCTACAGGGGAAATTATTAGGTTGTGATGTTTACCTTTTGTGGTGATTTCCCTAAATGAAATAGGCTAACTTAATAGAAGGGAGGGTCTGTTTATGTTTTATCCACAATAAACCTC
This sequence comes from Homo sapiens, assembly GCF_000001405.40. Classification (NCBI taxonomy): domain Eukaryota; kingdom Metazoa; phylum Chordata; class Mammalia; order Primates; family Hominidae; genus Homo; species Homo sapiens. The sequence continues at coordinate 178,926,018 of NC_000002.12, forward strand.
AAATATAGACTTTTTTAAAAAGGCTCTTAAATCTGATTGGCTGTTATTATCTCCTGGGAAAGTTTTAAAAACACATATTTCCAGGCTCACCCCCTATCCACTGAATCATAATTTATATTGGTAGGGTGAAAAAAATAAGGATTTAAAAAAAAATCTGAAGCATTTTATTTGCAATCACGGACAAGGAAATGACACTTACAATCAGACAAATTTTGGAACCACTGATCCAGAATATTCTAAGGTATTTAATGAATAGGTAATATTTGATTTAGAATAATTGATATATAATTATACCAAAAATTGGAAGATAGATTCTATAAAAATAGTAGTTTAAACCTTAAAACTTTCAACTAACTTGACTCTGAAAATTACATTATTGGATTAATGACTTCTAAATCTAAAATTTAACTTTAGTTTTACAAATTACTTCATTCACTCAATAAGTATTGAGCTAGCCTGTGGAAGATAGAATGACAAATAAACAAAATCCTCACCCTTAGGCGCCTTGAATGATTGTTACACCAATCCATCAGGAGTTTAAACAGCCCTGTGCAATATTGGATATCATTAGTCTTAATTCATAAAGATGAAACTGACGCATTTCTTCCTACTTTCTTCATTCACATCATTGTCTCAACAAAGGTGCCACTAATTTAAAAGGGAAAAGGATCCAAAAGTACAGCTGGATATAAAGAACAAGTTCTAATGTTCTATAACACTGTAGGATGACCATAATATATATTTTCAAATAGCTAGAAGAAAGGATATTGGATGTTCCCAACACAGAGAAATGATAAATGTTTGAGATGATGGATTTGTAATTAGCCCAATCTGATATACATACATATGTTATATGCATTGGAACATCACTATGTACCCCATAAATATGTACAATTATTATGTGTCACTTTAAAGAAAAAAGCTAAGAAAAGGTAAAAAATATGATCAGGTTTTTCTTTCCCAAAATTGTCTATATGCCCATGTGGTTATTTTTACCTTCCTTGTAAAATTTGTGTAACTATATTTATAATAGCTATGTACTCTATTATAGGAAAAATCCTTACCTCTAATGGTATGGAAGAAATCACTTGTCTTCTAACAAAATTCACTGAAAGCTAGAATTTTTTCAACTCATCTTTTTGCAGGCTCTGGTTTTCAGCTCACCACTAAGTATATGCACAGGACTCTCATTCTATACTCAATAATCTGTGAACCAGCTGCAAATGATACTGGGATGGGCATTCCATAACTCTCCTACACTGAATGTGGAACCATCTAAAAAGCATTATTCAGCACCTTTTATGAACACAAGCTCAAACAGGAAGCAAAACGAGTGTGTAGCAGAAAGTGAAATCAGTTTCTGCTTTGGGGTATCTGAGAAGCCGTCTTATTGGGTCTTAAATACGTGCAGGGATTTCAGCTGGTGAGCGTAGAGGTGGGCCTGGGGAGAGAGCAAGGATGACACACCATGTCCCAAGCAGGAGAGACAGCTCGAGCCAGAGCACTGAAGCAAGGGGGTCGGTGTTATCAAGAGAATGTGGAGGACGATTCTGGATCATAGAGCAATGGAGCTAATGGTGTCTGGAGAATTAATAAGAGTTTCCTATAGGAAGCAATATCTGAGCTGAGACCTCAAACAAGCTGTGGGAGTTATCCAGGCAAAAAAGGAGTGGAGGTGGGGTGGGGAGTGAAGGGTGACAGAAAAATGAGTTATTAAGAATGAAAAGAGATATAAAGTGAATAGGAGATAGAACCAGTGAGATCTAGAATAGGATCCATTTCTCCCAGAAATGAGGAGAAAGAGAAGTAAAAGAGAGAAGCAACGAAGAGACAAAAAGTCTGGGCACCGAAGAAAAGAACAAGCAATTTCACTCTGTGTGACTAGGCGACTTTGAGGTTAGTTAAAGCCTGGCTCCATAGTGGTTGAGAATTTTAAAAGAGCACGAAGGTTTTGGACTAGTTGTTATGGGGAATGGAGCAGGGAATTAACAGATGATAAATAAAGGGATTTGTAAGGCTAACTGGTAACAGATAAATTACATTTTAAATAGAACCAATCAGAATAATTATGCTAATTGTTTCAGAATTAGGAAGAAACAGAGAAACCGGGTGACTGAGTTTACTCACAACAGTCCTGGTGGTCCACGCTGAGTAGCACAAGGACAGAGGCCAGGAAAAGACAGAAGGCAGGGAGGTTGTGATGAGTGCAGTTTTGGGTGATGTCATAAAACAAAGTGTGGTGGCCACAGGAGTGGGAAGCTGAAGCTAGCTGAAAATAGGCCTTTGGAGTAAAGAAGGTCAAGGACAGCGAAGGCTAGGGCATTAAATAAGTCACTAAATGGCTAAATTAGCACAGGAAGGTTGTAGGCGGTTCACAGATTGACTGTGTTAAGGTATAAGAAGTCCTCTCAGGTGTTCACTTAAAGTGGATTCAATTTCACTCTTATTATCATGATAGCAAAATACCATGCAATATAATAGTATTAACTGTAAAAAGCCATGCTTTCCGGGACATTTTATTTAAGGGCTGACAAATGCCAGGAAAAAAAAAGATATATGAGGAATTTTTGTAAAAGTCAAAACTAAAAATACTTTTCTAAGCATTTAAACTTAACGAGCTGGTAAAGATTCTGTAAGCAAAATAACAGCAGGTAGTTTTAAACCTCATGATCATAGATCATAGAGCACAATGTTCTTTATTTGCTTTCTTAACTCAGCCCTTTCTTAGATGGGCAAAAACATTTTGGAGGGACTTTCTAAATTCAGCTTTCCCTTGGAAATTAAAACACAGGGTTCACTAAGCTTTAAATTGAGCTGCAAATTAAGGCTAGAATAGGGTTACCAATATGAAAACCCCATCATTATGTGGACATTCCCAATGCTTGCTGGCAAATTCAATACTATTTGTATATATTTTGCATGTTAGTAATAAAATGATTTCTAATTTATGTTCTGTGAAAAATGACATCTGCTTTTACCTGGAAAGTTCATTAAAGAATCAGACAAGTAAAACAAATTATTCACTAAAATGAAGACAGGGGAATTGAAATGCTCTGATGCAGGTGTCTTACTCTTTGGAGAACTCATTTAATTTCTGCCTTGAGACATTTCAGATTCAGACCCCACTTTATTTTTTAAATTAGATGAAACATTATAAAACAGACTCTCTTTCATTTTATTGATTTTCTTTGTAATCATCAGATATGTGAGCTGATTTACTGAAGCAATATATTTTATAGTGATTTTACAATTTTTTCACATACCTTTGGTGAAGGAATTTGGGGAGGTAATGAAAGTTCAAATAGCAGAAGCGTCTGCTTTTTTATACAGGTTAATAAATGCAGCAATGAGAAGAAAATTGTTCAACAATGCCTGTGAAACACTTGGAAAATATGTGGATATCCTGGACACTATGATTATACAAACTCTGGATATTGCTACATACCTCTTTAACTACCCACGAGACGTATAAGTAGCTCCTTTTTTAATAAATATAAGTGCTACTTCTGAGGAAATATTCCTATTTTTGAAGATAAACAGAACATTTAAATACTTGTCTTTTGATCTTCAATTACCTCAGTAATGTATCTAGGACTAAATACAAACAACAACAAAAAAATTAAGTTGTAAGCTTGGTCAAACATGTCCACACCTTAAGAGACTCAAAGATTTATTTTGACTTATATCTTCTGAGTTTTAACAATGACCCAGTATTCTGACTCTATCACTTACACTCTCTTTCATTGTGCAATTATTTCCCTCATAACCTTTGTTATCCAAAAGGGAGCCCCGAGACCAGCAGCATCATTACCCTGGAGATTGTTAGTAATGTAGATACTAAGGCCCCACTCTAAAGCTGATGAATCAGAATCTGCCTTTAAAATATATGGGTAATTCATGAGTACACTGTAGTTTGAGAAGCTCTGGTCTAGAATACACTGAAGTAGCAGCTTTTTACAACTAGACAGATGAGCAAAACACAAGTGAACAAAGAATATAGAAGGGGAAACTTGCAGATGATATGATCGTACATGCAGAAAACCCTAAGGAATAATTTTTAAAAATTAAAGCAAATAAATTAAATCAGTAAAGTTGGAGAGTATAAAATCAACGTTAAAAAAAAATCACTTGTGTTTCTATAGAATAGCATTGAACAACCTGAAAAGGAAATTAAGAAAATGATTTCATTCATGGTAGCATCAAAAAAAGTAAAATACCTAGGAATAAATTTAATCAAGGAGATGGAAAACTTATACAAGGAAAATTACAAAACATTGTTAAAAAATGAAAAACCTAAATAAATGGCAAGATATCACATGATCATGAATTGGAGAACTTAATGTTGTTAAGATGGCAATACTCCCCAAAGTACTGTAGGGATACAATGCAATCCCTATCAGAATCTCACTGGCCTTTTTTGAAGAAATGGAAATGCTGATCCTAATATTAATGTGGAATTGGAAAGGACCCTGAATAGCCAAAACAATCATGATAAATAAGAAGAAAATTAGAGAACTTATACTTCCAGATTTTAAAACTTACTACAATCCTACAGTAATCAAAGCAGTGTGTCAAACTGGCATGAAGATAGACATATAGATTTACAGAATAGAAGAGTCCAGAAATAAACCCACACATCTGTGGTCAATTAATTTTCAGTGAGTGTGCCAAAGTCCTTCAACAGAGAAAGAATATTTTTTTCCAACAAATTGTGCAGGGACAATTGAATATCCACATGCAAACTAATGAAGTTAGACCCTTACCTCACACCATACACAAAATTTAACTCAAAATGGAACAAAGATCTAAATACATACACTAAAGCCATCAAATTCTTAGAAGAAAACATAAGGGATAAATTTTCATAATTTTGGATTTGATGATGGTTTCTTAGATATGACACCAAAAACATAGCAAAAAATTTAAGATAGATAAATAAAACTTTATCAAAATTAAAACTTTTACTTATCAAAGAACATTTTGGTCAAAGGGCTTGAATAGACATTTTTTCACAGAAGATATACAAATGGTCAGCCAGTAAATGAAAAGATCTGCAACATCATTAGTTATTAGGGAAATGCAAGTAAGAATCACAATGAACTAGCACTTCATGCAGACTATGACGACTATAAAAATCAAACAAAATGAAAAATAACAAGTGCTGAAGAGGATGTAGAGAAATTGGAATCTTCTACCTTTCTGGTAGAAATATAAAACAGAGCAGCTGCTATGGAAAAATAGCATAGTAACTTCTTGTAAGTTAAGTACAGAAATACCACATGGTCTAGCAATTCTACTCCTAGGTATTACCCAAAAGAATTGAAAAGAGGTATTCAAAAAAAACCCATATACATGAATGTTCATAGCAGCACTATTAACACTAGAAAAAGGTGAAAACAACCCAAATGCCTATCAACTGAGGAATGGCTAAATGAAAGGTGGTATATCCATACAATGGAATATTATTCAGCCATAAAAAGGAAGTTTTAATACATGCTGCAACATGGATAGACCTGAAAAACATGCAAAGTGAAAGAATTCAGACACAAAAAGCCATTAAATATTATTTTATTTAATGGTATTTCCAGAATAGGTAAATACATGGACACAGAAAGCAGATTAGTGGTTGTCAGGGGCCGAGGGGAGAGAGGAATGAAGATTGACTGCTTAATGAGTGTGGTGTTTCTTTTTGGAGTTATGAAAATATTCTGAACTAGGTAGCCATGATAGTTACACAATACTGTGAATTTACTAAATGTCACTAATGATAAATTTTATGTAATATTTACTTTACCATTTTTTCTTAAAGCCCATATTATGTTGTGTTTCTGTTGTGTGAGGCATTGTGCTAAGAACTGTTATATATGGCCAGATATGGTGACTCACGCGTGTAATCCCTGCACTTTGGGAGGCTGAGGAGGGCAGTTCACTTGAGGTGAGGAGTTCGAGACCAGCCTGGCCAACATGATGAAACCCCGTCTCTACTAAAAATTAGCTGGGGCATGGTTATGCATGCTTGTAATCCCAGCTACTCAAGAGGCTGAGGCAAGAGAATTGCTTGAACCTAGGAGGCAGAGCCTGAATAAGCCATGATTGTGCCACTGCACTCCAGCCTAGGTGACAGAGTGAGACGCAGTCTCAAAAAACAAAAACAAAAACAAAAAAACACACACACATGCACACAAAACTGTTATATACAACCACGTTTAATCTTCACAACAAACTCTGTAAATTAGGTACAATTGTTACCCCTTTCACAAAAAGGGACTGGAACCTAGGCCCAAATACATAAGAAATTTGCCCAAGATTATATCAGAAGTAAGCAGAGATGCTCAAATTTAACTCCAATTCCCTTGCCTGAGGGCTGCCATGCTGTATACTGCCTGGGAGTGTCCCATTCACTCTCTGCTAAGTAGTCTAAGATGCTATATGTTGCCACTTCAAATAATGTATATCTACACGGTTTGGTAACATGTAATCCTTAGAAAACACATTTAAAATATGTGTTAAAATGAGGAAATGCTTATGATATAATGTTAATTGGAAAAAAATCATTGAAAAACAACACATACAATTTTTTGTGTATACATACACACATATAGTGTATATGTGCACACAATACACAATTTTGGAACACTCATATGTAATTGTTTTATATTTCTTTCCTATTTCCATATACACCCACATACGGTGTGATTTTAATTTTCTTTTGTTTAGTTTTATGTCATTTCTATTTTTTCTAAAATGAGAAGGTACTGTGTAATCAGAAAAATAAAACAATAAACATATTTTGAAAGAGACTTTCTTGCATTGGCTCTACTGATGACAATTATGCATTTAAATTACTTAAATAAGCTTGTGGGAGATTCTGCTTTACTTCCTTATCCTATATTTATAAATATTTTTTAACTTTAAACTGAGCTCTTTCCTTTGACTATAGTTTCTGTGGGACCTAAGCACTGGTATTTTCTGAAGATCTCCAAATAATATTATTTGAAGGAACTTGGGGCCAAGATCACAAATCCAATTTATGAAATCACTCAGTAACAACTAGAAAATATTTTCAATGACTTGGAAAATCGGATTAGATGATGAATTGTGGAAGATGGTTTTAATCTTGAGGCTGAGATACGTGAATGCTGCTATATTAAAACATTTAAGATGATGTTTCTATACACAATTTTCAGTTTTGCTTCTCTCCCATAACTTTAAAAATTATTATTAATCAAGAACTTCATGAACAATATATGTCATAATATAAGACAACAATATAAGAAGTCATCTATAAAAATTAAGAGGGACATGTACATACATGAAACACATGGGCAAAATGTCTAAGTTGGTGCCTCTTAAATTTTAGCATGAATACAAATCCTCTTGGGGAATTTGTTAAAACACAGTCTCATTCAATAAGTGTGATGGGTGGATTTGAGATTCTTAATCTCTAACAACTCTCTGATGTTGCTGTTGTTCTATGGGAGTCACACCTTGAATAACAAGGCTATAAGTTTCCTTTAAGCCTTAAAGATGGAGATTAATAACCTCCATCTCGAAAGAGATCATGCCTTTCCTAAAGTCACTCCCATTCAAACCGCAGTAGTTTCTTAAGTGATTTTCTGTCTTCTGTCTCCCTCCCATTACTGTCATTCACATTGTTTCCAAGGTAATCTCCTAAAATGCAAATCAGTTGAAGCTATACTTTGCTTGGATGATATTTCATTGCCCATCTGGTCTCAAATCCAAATGCTTACAGCAGCCAGGCACATAATGTGAATGAGTGAAGCAAGGGTAAGAGGAGGGGTAGGTCATGAGGAATAGTGGCAAACTAAGGACTGTGGCAGACTGATGTGTGCATACCTTTTCTAAAAGAAACGTATTACTGGGCTCCAGCCAGGAGTCACTATGTCTATGTGGGAAGATGAGTCTGATAATGCCAAATCTTCTAGTTTTTTTAAAGAAACAGGAAATCTAGATTTCTTTTTTAACAGAAACTCCAACATTTTAAGATTGACATTTTTTTTTAGGCTGGATGCCCACCAAAACCTACATAGAATCTCTAGGAATGAGATGCAGACATCAGTATTTTTTTCAACACCCCCCAGGTGACTCCAGTGTGCAGCCAGAGTTGAGAAACACTAACCCACACATTCCCCATGGCACCAACTACAGAGGGCCTGAACTTAACCAAGGGTTGAAGCTATAGAAGTACAGATTGGTTCCTGAAGGGAGTTCTATTATACGAACATTATTTCTGATGTGTAAGAGAAGGACTGATTATGCCTTCTCAAAAAAAATAATTAGCAAGTATTTGTTTGCATAGTATTTTAATACCTCCTACAACAAATTCTGAGTTTCAAAGGTTGAATTCAAGCTTTGGGGCATCAAGTTGATTTATAATACAATTTAAGAGTATTTAAGGTTTTAAACCAAAGGATGGTTTATAATCATCCATGTCTGCTATTTCATTGTCTCTTATATATGCAAAAGAAAAAAGAATTTTCATATTCGGTAAAGAAAGTATAATTAAAACAATTACCCAGAGTCAAAGGTCGTATTTAAAAATCCTTTAGTTCATTTATTTCAACACATCCTGAATAAAGTATCACATTTATTAAGAGCTATGAAAGTTGCTGTGTTTCTTGTTCTGAATGTATTCCAGTAAGAAATGATAGAGGCATTTTCAAAGTTTACTTAGAAAGAACTTACTGAGTAGACTAACAAGCCATATACACCAGCTTCCTGCTGTTGAATTGAGCTGTGGGTAGCAGAGAACACCTGCTTTCTCTGTGTTACCACATTATTTATAGGAGCTTCACTAATGAATCCTCAGCTTGATGCCTTATTTCTATGTTAAATCTTCTTTGAAAGGAACATTTCCTATTCTGTGCCTCATATCCACACCCAAACAAAAGTCCAAAATGTAATATGCTGCTTACTATTTAAGGACACATAAAATTGAATTTCTTTTCCATGAACAAGAAATTAGATTGTTGAAAAACCACAGATAAAAACTATTTGGAAGTTTACACTATGGATGGGAAAGGAAACAAAACAATATTTTTGGAGTCGCTACTAAAATGTGGATACTTTCACAAACATTTTCTTTTTTTTAACTTTTATTTTATGTTCAGGGATACAGTGAAGGTTTGTTACATAGGTAAACTCCTGTCACGGGGTTTGTTGTACAGATTATTTCATCACCCAGGTATTAAGCCCAGTCCCCAATAGTTATCTTTTCTGCTCCTCTTCCTTCCCCCATCCTCCACCCTCAAGAAGACCCCAGTGTCGATTGTTTTCTTCTTTGTGTTCATAAGTGCTCATGATTTGACTCTCACTTATATGTGAAAACATGCAGTATTTTGTTTTCTGTTCCTGCATTAGTTTGCTAAGGATAATAGCCTCCAGCTCCATCCATGTTCCTGCAAAGGACATGATCTCATTCTTTTTTATGGCTGCATAGTATTCCATGGTGTATATGTACCACATTTTCTTTATTCAATCTGTCATTGATGGGCATTTAGGATCATTTTATGTCTTCCCTGTTGTGAATAGTGCTACAGTGAACATTCACATGCATGTGTCTTTATGGTAGAATGATTTATATTCCTCTGGGTATATGCCCAGTAATGGGATTGCTGGGTTGAATGGTAGTTCTGCTTTTAGCTTTAAGGAGTCTCCATACTGTGATTTACACACTCCTATCAATGGTGTATAAGTGTTCCCTTTGCTCTGCAACTTCACCAACATCTGTTATTTTTTGACTTTGCCATTCAGACTGGTGTGAGATGGTATCTCATTGTGGTTTTTATTTGTATTTCTCTAATAATCAGTGATATTGAGCTTTTTTTTCATGTTTGTGGGCTACATGTATGTCTTCTTTTGAGAAGTGTCTGTTCATGTCCTTTATCCACTTTTTAATGGAGTTGTTTGTTTTTCTCTTGTACATTTGTTTAAGTTCCTTATATATGCTGGCTATTAGGCCTTTGTCAGATGCATAGTTTATAAATATTTTCTCCCATTCTGTAGGTTGTCTGTTTACTCTGTTGATAGTTTCTTTTGCTTTGCAGAAGCTCTTTAGTTTAATGAGATCCCACTTGTCAATTTTTGCTTTGTTGCAATTGTTTTTGGTGTGTTTGTCATGAACTCTTTGCCTATTCCTATGTCTAGGATGATATTGCCTAAGTTGTCTTCCAGGGTTTTTATAGTTTTGGGTTTTACATTTAAGTCCTTAATCAACCCATCTTGAGTTGATTTTTGCATATGGTGTAAGGAAGGGTTCACCTTTAATCTTCTGCATGTGGCTAGTCAATTATTCCAGCATTTATTGAATAGGGAGTCTTTACCCTATCACTTGTTTTTGTCAGCTTTTTTGAAGATCAGGTGGTCATAGGTTTGCGGCCTTATTTCTGGATTCCCTATTCTGTTTCATTGGTCTATGTGCTTGTTTTTGTACTAGTTCCATGCTGTTTTGGTTACTGTAGCCCTGTAGTATAGTTTGAACTTTGGTAACATAATGCCTCCAGCTTTGTTCTTTTTGTTTAGGATTGCCTTGGCTATTTGGGCTCTTTTTGATCTTATATGAATTTTAAAATAGGTTTTTCTAGGTCTGTGAAGAATGTCATTGGTATTTTGACAAGAATAGCATTGAATCTGTAAATTGCTTTGTGAAGTATGGCCATTTTAATGATATTCATTCTTCCTATCCATGAGTATGGAATGTGTTTCCATTTGTTTGTGTCTTCTGTGAATTCTTTGGGCAGTGTTCCCTAATTCTCATTGTAGAGATCTTTCACCTCCCTGGTTAGCTGTATTCCTAGGAATTTAATTTGTTTTGCAGCAACTGTGAATGGGATTGCCTTTCTGATTTGTGTCTTGGCTTGGCTGTTGTTGGTGTATAGGAATGCTAATTATTTCTGTACATTGATTTTGTATCCTGAAACTTTGCTGAAGTTATCAGCTGAAGGAGCTTTTGACCGAGACTATGGGGTTTTCTAGATATAGAATCATGTCATCTGCAAAAAGAGAGAGTTTGACTTCCTCTCTTCCTATTTGGATGCACTTTATTTCTTTCTCTTGCCTGATTGTGCTGGCTAGGATTTCCAATACTATGTTGAATAAGAGTGGTGAAAGAGGGCATCCTTGTCTTATGCCAGTTTTCAAGGGAAAGGCTTCCAGCATTTGCCCATTCAGTATAATGTTGGCTGTGGGTTTGTCATAGATGGCTCTTATTATTTGGAGGTATGTTCCTTCAGTATCTAGTTTATTGAAGATTTTTAAAATGAAGGAGTGCTTAATTTTATTGAAAGCCTCTTCCACATCTATTGAGAAAATCATGTAGTTTTTGTCTTTAGTTCTGTTTATGTGATGAATCACATTTATTGATTTGCATATGTTGAACCAACCTTGTATCCCAGGGATGGAGCCTACTTGATCGTGGTGGAATAGCTTTTTGATGTGCTGTTCAATTTGGTTTTGTAAGTGTTTTGTTGCGGACTTCTGCATCAATATTCATCAAGGATATTGGCCTGGTTTTCATTTTTTGTTGTGTCTCTGCCGGGTTTGGGCCTCATAGAATGAGTTGGGGAGGAGTCCTTCCTCCTCAATTTTTGGGAATAGTTTTTGTAGGAATGGTTCCAGCTCTTCTTTGTACCTCTGGTGGAATTTGGCTATGAATCCATCTGGTCTTAGGCATTTTTTTTGTTGATAGGCTGTTTATTATTTGTTCAATTTTGGAGCTCGTTATTGGTCTGTTCTGAGAATCAATTTCTTCATGATTCAGTCTTGGGAGGTATATGTGTCTAGAATTTATCCATCTCTTTTAGGTCTGTATAGAGGTGTTCGTTGTAGTTTCTGATGGTTATTTTTATTTCTATGGGGTCAGTGGTAACATTCCCTTCATTATTTCTAATGATGTTTATTTGGATCTTCTCTCTTTTCTCCTTTATTACTCTAGCTAGCAGCCAATCTACCTTATTAAGTTTTTCAAGAAACCAACTTCTGGATTCATTGATCTTTTGAATGTTTTTTCATGTCTTCATTTCTTTCAGTTTAGCTCTGATTTGGGTTACTTCTTGTCTTTTGCTAGCTTTAGGGTTGATTTGTTCTTGCTTCTCTAATTCTTTCTGTTGCAATGATAGGTTGTTAGTTTGAGATCATTCTAACTTCTTGATGTTAGAAAGACATTTAGGGGAGAACACTAAATGTTGGGCATTTAGTTCTATGAATTTCCCTCTTCACACTGCCTTAGCTGTGTCCCAGAGATTCTAGTATGTTGTATCTTTGTTCTCATTAGTTCCAAAGAACTTTTTGATTTTTGCTTTAATTTCACTAATTACCCAAAAGTCACTCAGGAGCATGTTGTTTAATTTTCATGTAATTGCATGGTCTTAAGTGATTCTCCTTGTCTTGACTCTATTTTCATTGTGCTGTGGTCTGAGAGTGTGTTTGGTATGATTTCAGTTCTTTTCCATTTGCTGAGGATTGTTTTATGTCCAATTATGCGGTCAATTTTAGAGTATGTGCCATGTGGTGATGAGAATAATGTACATTCTGTTGTTTTGGGATAAAAGGTTCTGTAGATGTCTAATATATCCATTTGGTCCAATGTTGAGTTCAGATATTAAATATCTTTGTTAATTTTCTGCCTTGATTATCTGTCTAATACTGTTAGTAGAGTTTTGAAGTCTCCCACTATTATTGTCACAAATATTTTCTAATTGAATTTTCAAGGCTCTATCTTACAAGTGAGGAAAGTGGGGCTCGCAGGGATGTAATGTATCCAAGGTATGTCATTCATTATGTAGTGAATGACATAGCAGGGGTTTAAACCTGTTTTTCTCCATGTAGATGCAACCAAGTATAGCCTTATAGTCAACTTCTAGATATTGCATTGCTCCCAGAACGTATTCTGTTCTGGAGTAAGGGAAGACAAAGAATATAGAACTATAAACATTTGGTCATTATAATTCCCTTTTCTCTAATCTAATCTGCATGGTTTTTTTTCTTTTGGTTCGGTTTGTTTTAGAAAGCCTGCTAATTCAAGTGAGAAGAGGCTAATAAAGTGGCTAAGGAAAATGTGTATCCAGCAAAGGCTGCTAGGTCTTTCCAGAAATCCTAACCCTGTATATAGGACTGGCTTCATGGTCAACTGACCTGTGCAATCACACAGAGCCTTACGTTTAAAAGGGGCCCATGCTGTCCCCATACTGAAATTCTCAATAATATTTTAAGAAAACCTTCCATAATTTTATTTTGCACTGGGCCTCACAAATTATATAGCTGGTTCTTTCTGTAAAGTGAAAAGTAAGGTTTTATAGATCACAGAACTTTTCTGTGGGAGACAAAAGGTGGTTGAGTCTCAGGGCACATGGCTGTCTACATACAATAAGGTTGGATGCCATAGTCAGGAGATATGCCAGGGGAGAACTTTTTAGGTGTGATGCTTTCTCTCCTTACCTCCCTGGTCATTGCTCACTTTCTACCTTTTTTGGATAGAAAATAGTACCCTCAGTCCAGTACCAGTAAGAGAGAAAAAACAGGATCCCATGGAAATCTAATCAGATGGATAGTTGATATTAGAGAGGTAGGCAACCTGATTTGTTTCTTCATGTGTCCACACCAACTCTCCACCATGTGAGGTGGGTAGAATACCACCCAGAGAAATAGGTCATGGATAAAAGTAAGGTCCAGAATCTAATCACTGGGAGGTCGTCCAAGGGGTATACTCTTTTGTGTGTGTGGTGGAGGGGGGGTGTTGGGGGACAAATGGGAATGGTTGAATCCTAATTGTAGCAAAAGAAGTCAACTGCACTTAGGGGTATCTCCCCAACTCACCCACAAGGGGTAAATTAAAGCACTGGCTTTCATATCCCCACTATACCAAAGTTACTGATATCCCAATGGAACATTAATTCACAGGGATAAACAACATCTGTTGACCACAAGCAACACTGAAATACAGAAGAAGCAGAATTAATGCACTGGACAGACCAAAAATTTAATATGTTAAAAAGAATATCTTAAGATATGAGGAAATACATTAGATAGGTAAAACAGAAAACCATTTATGAAGAAGAATCAATGTCAGCAACTGGGCATGAAAAATGTAATAGCTGAAGTGAAGAACTTGGCAGGAGGGCTGAATGGCAGAAGGAGTACAGCAGAAGAAAGAATGAGTGCTCTATAAGATCAGAGATTAGGAAAGAATAAAGAAATGGGGGGAGGCAGTGATAAGTTAGGAAGGATAGAAGTAGAACATCATCTACGTAATACAACTTTCCAAATTTACATTGCAACTAGAAATTAGCATACTGAAGAACACAAAGAACTGTATAAACTAGATGCAAACAGTGTTATGGCAAAAAACAATATGAGATCTATGGCTTCATTCTATTTATGCAAATGGAAACACGTAACTCTGTATTTTAGAAATAGGACTATGTCTAAAGACATATGTTGAGCCCATTAGAGTAGGTCCCTGTGAGAATGAGAATGTGAGGGATAGAGAGAATAAAGGGGAAGACAATAAGGTAAACCAAAAGGGAAGTGTAACTCTACTCTGAGGGCTAAAAAAATGTTTTTAAAGATATTGGGTGGATAGATAGATAAAAGGAGGTTAAGTGATTATCTAAAGTCACAAGGGAATCACAAAAAAACCTAAAAGGATGCTTCTTCTTCACAACGTAAAAGACTTACTACACAGACATTAATCAAATGTCCTTTTCATATCAGGCACTGTCCAATGTGCTGGGAATACCAAGGTAAGATACTGTCTACTTTAAAAAAATACTGCTACTTCCCCCGCCCAGACTTACTCCTTTCAACCAGCTCTGGAAAGGTGTTTTCTACACTCATCTTGCTTTCAATATAACAAGCATAATTGATACTGAAATGTACATCCTATCTCCTTTACAGGATTTGAAAATTAAAGAAAGTTTTGAGGTCATCTAGGCCTACCTCTCGTTGCTTCAGGAATCTCTTCTATTTCCCAACCTGTGGAAGTCTATTTTTCTGTCATGACCATGGATTATTATTTCTTTCCTACAGAATGGCTGTGGATAAGTCTATTGCCTCTAAGACAACTCTCCTTAGCCTCTCTTCTCTGGCTTACACATTATGAGGACTTTAACTCTCATCATAGACAGCCTGGTCTGATTGCTGTTTGCCTTATTCTGCCATATTCTGGTTTGACCACCCCCTCCTAACCAACAACTCATATTCCATCCATCTGTTCAAACCCCATCCTTCCAGAAAGCTGTCCTGGATCACCCCAGAATAAAGCACCACTCCCCCTTGTGCATATACACTGATGGGGGTCTCTCTAACCCCATATGATTCGGAGACTCCTGAAGTCTTAATAGCCAGTTATCTTGCCAGTGAATTATCTAGTGTCTGAAATTCATGGCAAGTATCTTTAGAACCTTTTTGTATCTACAAGTTATATGTGAGCATTCATCTTCATTTGACTGAATCAGTCTAAATAATTAGTCAACATTTTTGTAATTTGTAATTAAAGATGGATTTAAGATTGATGGCTCTATAGCTCAACCCATAGTTTGGAAGGAAAATCTTACATTGGAAAGAATGCTTCACATAAATAAATAAAAAAAGAAATCCCAATAAATAAACGAACCTCCCCCTTTAGAAAATAAATTTGCCAGGTATGAGAGTTCATGCCTGTAATCCCAGCACTTTAGAAGGCTGAGGTGGGAGGATCACTTGAGGCCAGGAGTTCATAACCAGCCTGAGAAACATAGCAAGACCCCGTCTCTACAAAAAAAAAATAAAAACAAAATTTGCCAGGTATGGGGGTGTGCAGCTGCAGTCCCAGGTGCTCGGGAGGCTGAGGTGGGAGAATCGCTTGAGCCCAGGATTTCGAGGCTGCGGTGAGTATGATTGCACCACTGTGCTCCAGCCTGAGTGACAGAGAGAGATCCCATCTCAAAAAAAAAAAAAAAAAAAAAAAAAAAAAAAAAAAAAAAAAAAGGGAAAAGAAAAGAAATTTACTCTCAGGGATGCTGTAGAGAAATAGGTTTCTATGCCTCACTTTTCAAAAACAGTTTGGCTTGAAAACTACTTGAGTACATGGGGCAATACTCAGCTTCTGCACAAGATGCAGAGTAGTTCAGGACCCTAAAGGAAGTGCATATACTTGTCTGGAACCTCCCAGGCTCAAACCATCCTCCCACCTCAGCCTCCTGAATAGCTGAGTAGCATGCAACACACCTGGCTAATCGTTTAAATGTTTTGTAGAGATGGAATCTCCCTATGTCATGCAGGCTTGTCTAGAATATTATTTATTTCTAAACACGAATGAGCTATCAAGCCATGAAAAGATATAGATAAACTTAAATACATATTACTAAGTGAAAAACACCAATCTGAAAGCCTACATACTGTACGATTCTAACTACATGACATTCTGGAAAAGGCAAAACTATGAAGACAGTAAAAAGATCAGTGGTTGTCAGGAGTTGGGGGTGTGGAAAGGAATGAACAGGCAGAGCGCAGAGGAGTTTTAGGGCAGCAAGAATAATCTGTATAATTCAATGATGTTCAATCATTCAATACATATCATCATACATTTGTCCAAACCCATAGAATGTACAACACCAAGAGTGAACCCTAATATAAGCAATGAACTTTGGGTAATAATGATGTGTCAATGCAGGTCCATTAATTGTTACAAATGCGCCACTCTGATGGGGATGTTGATTATGGGGGAGGCTACGAATGTGTAGGGGCAGGGTGTATATGGGAAATCTTTATGCCTTCCTCTCAATTTTGCTGTGAACTTAAAACTGCTCTAAAAATAGTCTTTTAAAAATTATTTTTTACATCCCTTATACCTGCAACTTAATAATATTGATGGAAAGAATATCTATATGCTTTTTTGTTTATGGACATCAGAGGTTGAAATATGAGCTATAAACTATGAGAAAAACTGTGCCCTACTAAGGTCAAACATTAACAAATATTCTACTCTAGACTGTCTTCAGGGCTAGAGGAAACCATAACTCTACAATTTATCGTGAATATAACCCCAAGGGATGTCTAAATTATGTGTACACTATATACTGCTTTTTTTGGTATTAAAGGAAGTAGCATCCTATGCAATTCTGGTGATCTCTTGTGCTTGGCATTTGGGGCTTTCGATAGAATTTTCACTGATAAAACTTGAGTTTGATACAAACAGAATAAATTGCCATATAATTCAATGAAAAAAGTTAACCTCCTAAACAGATAAACCAAATGCTGAAAAATTTTAAGAAATTAAAAAATAATCAGTCATTATTAGTCAACAGTCTTCTGTAAGTGCACCTTTTATCAATCAAATATTCAAACCAAAGACTTTGAATGCCTACAAGACACTGGAGTGTTCAAACAGAAGCAAGAAACTGAAACAAATGTGTCATGATCCCCATGAAAAGATTTAAGTCTAAATAAATGCAATCTACTGCCTCCATCCTCATCCTGCCTACTCCTAACCTCCCAGACATGTGAATATTTGACTTGTCTAGCCTGTATTCAACTACTGTCTAGTAGTGTTGGCCCATTGTTTTCTAGAGCTTTATGACTTAGCTCTACTTACAACTATCATAATCTAAAATATTAATATACAAAGTTCCCTAAATCTTGATAGTGATTATTCACTGTTCCCATCCCATCTACTATGACGGACTTCTGTTTTCTTGTGGATCAATATGGAGCCTCTGTAAAGAATTTTGGAAAGTATTTACAGACCCCCAGATGTATAAACGCACTGATTTTCAAATAACAAGACACAATGGAGAGAAGGTCAACCAAAACACTGGTGCTTTACTCATCTTGCTTTCAGCACTTCATGCTTGCATTTTAATGCATTCTATATACCTATAAGTGGCTGCCTGGCTGGTAGCCATTACTTCTTGTAAAACTGAGAAATCTGAAGCAAGTTAAAGAGCAAAAGACATGTAAATTGGAACAGCAATCAAATTATATCTGGAAGTCATAAAAGTGATGACTCATAGTGACATCTCAGTGTAGAAAAAAAATTTTTTAGAAAGCTAAAATGTATAATGTTTAAGAGCTTGGGCCTTTGTATTAGACAAAACCTAGAACTGAATTTCAAATCTGCCACTGACAAGATATATTACACTGGTCAAGTGACTTGGCATTTCCAAGCCTTTTTGTTTTATTTGTTTTGATGCATAAAATGGAGAAAATAATACCTCCCCCTTAGGGGTTTTATGATAATTTAGATAATGGATCTCATATACATACTATAGTGCCTGGCACATAGTAACTATTCAGAAAAATATAGTTATTGTTGTAGAAGCTGTTAATTTGTTTATCATTATTCTGGAAGCCCTGTCAATGCACAGTGGTATTTGCTAATGTTATTGGGATATTTTTTTACATGAACAGTAGATTAATCAAAGACAGTTCTCAGTTCTCCTCTAAATTACCCACAGAAGTATATTCAAGAAAAGTTAATGCATTTTTCAATTATTTTTAGTGTGTCTAATATATCTCTTACCTTTGCTTTTATTATCAGTTCCTCTTGCTTATGAATTCGATCCTCATTGTCTGAAAGTGATGAACCTAGACTTTGTTCCTGTAAATTTCTTATAGTTTTCTGAAACCAACAAGTAACCTAGGTAAAAGGCAACAAAGAAAGATCAAAATTCAAATGATCAGAATAAGTGAGTAAAAATTCAGAAATAGTCCCTCAACCTTTCAAAACTTAAGCTACTTTAATTTCTTTTTATATAAACCATCTCATGTATTAAAATAATATGAACAAGTTTAGAATTTTTTCTTCATTTAACCTCTACATGCATAAAAGAGAAAAAATCCCAAAAAGTATGAAAATGACTAATCAGTTCAGTAGATTACATGGCATGAATAAAATGAAAATCTCCTAACAAAGAATCAAAATAGATTCCCAAGCAGTCCAAAAATCATGAATTCATTTAAAATATATCTTCTTTCCTGGAAATGAATATGAATCTAAGTATAGTTACGTAAACCCATATGAAGATATTAAACAGCAGAGGTAGAATTATATTTTCTGCCATAAAATAGACTATGCAGAAATATTTAGTTTGCTACAAGTGCTGGAAATCTGTATCCAGAAAATAGAGAGGTTATTAACATTTACATTGACTTGATTTATAATACATGCCATATACAGTGCTGAAACTACAAATAGCAAAGGACTTGAAATAATCTGTACCTTTCTAAATGATGCCAACACTTGACATGGGGGCCCTGGATGCAGATTCCTTATCTCAATTAAAGGAGACTTAGATTTTTACACTCGAATCCTGTATAGCATTGTCCTTATGATCACATCATAATGACTGATTCTTAAGAGACTACTACAAGCTAGTTGCTTTTTGGGCATCATCTCTATTTCTCTCAACAACTTTATAACAGTCATGATATCATCATTTTAGAGATGCGGTAACTGAGTTTTGAAGAGGCAGCTTATCCACAGCCACATAGTAAGTAGCAGAGACAGAATTTGTCCTCCAGTCTGCAGGATTTCAAATCCATGCTCTTTCCATTGTGCCCTGCTGCCATGCTTGAGTTATTTAAGGTCTTACAGCCCTGCCATCAGCGGGAATGACTTCAAATCTGAAAAATGAACACTAGCAGCCCATTCAAAATAATGGGCATATAAATCCCAAGCCTGATACTATGTCTTTCCCCAGCCTAGGTTGTCTTGCCTGAAGCAGTCTCAGGATTTCTCTGAAATCCTATAACATGGAGAAATGTGTACAACAGGTAGCCAAGGAGAACTCTACATTAGATCAGAAGTTCCACACAATAAATGCACATGACACATGCGTGCACACACACACACA
Organism: Homo sapiens; assembly: GCF_000001405.40. Classification (NCBI taxonomy): domain Eukaryota; kingdom Metazoa; phylum Chordata; class Mammalia; order Primates; family Hominidae; genus Homo; species Homo sapiens. Next base: position 178,945,868 of record NC_000002.12, read on the forward strand.
CACACACACATCAGAGTTAAGGGCTCACCTAGAATAGGACACACCATTTATAGGGCTGATATCACAAAGCTGACTATGCGATCAAAAGGTCTACACCAACTCTTAGTATTTCTCAGCATGGAATGGGCATTTAAAATACAGGATGGAAGCATTTCTCCAGCTTTCTGCTAATTGGAAATGTCTTTGTTAACCAGCATTTTAGCCCATCATTAGTGCAAAGAAAATAATACTGGTGACCTTATAGCAGTTTTCATGTGACATATATCTCATTTTCTTCCGAATATCTGGTAATCTATGCACAAAATACACATTATCTAGTTAGTCCCCACGATACACAAGTATTGTGCTTATGTATTTACAATTATTTGAAGACAGTGTTTTTCTGGTATCCAATTAGAGCTAGATGATATGTACAATGTGCCTATGAAAACACAGAGAATATTTTATCAACAGCTATAAAATTTATTATTTTATTTTGTAAAACAAAATAATTTTCTCCCAAAAATTCAGTGAGCCCCCATAAAAACACAACTAGAGCAATGATTTAAGGGTTTCCTCAAAGTAAAGTGGATCACGAATACAACTGACTTCCAGAGATAATTTATCTTATTAAACAAAAGTGAGTTTTATTTATTCTTAGCTAAAGTGGGAGGGACTTGACATCTCAAGAATGCTTTAATAGGGACAGTTAATATAGAATCAGAGTGGATGAAAAATGGGTACAAACAGGTGTTCTCTAATCTCTAAAAACAGGTGAGAAGCCTGGAACCTCAGATAATCTTATTAAACTTTGTGAGTCAAAGACTTGTCATCTAACACATGCCAGCAGTGATGAAAGCTGGGAAAGAGTGAGTTGTTTTGATTTTTAAACGGTATCTACTGACCTCATCTTCTAGATTTGGCATATACTATTTCAACTCCCAAAAGATACTATTCCTGTAAAACAATACTATTCCCTTTAGGAGAATGTAGTTAAAGACATACGATAATGTTCAGTGTATCCTGTTCACGTTCCTGCCTGTTAAATCATGCTGACTCTCTAGATCTACAAATTTTTACTACCAGATGCACCCTGGAAAGAAACATAAAAACAAGTTGGCATAAAACTCAGAAGTAAGTAGATCATCAGGAGGGTGTTACATCTCATTATGAGGTATTCATACACAGGAGCAGACTCTTCGATCAGATTTACCATGTATGCTGTGGGATGCACACAAAATAGGCTCTCAGAGTCCTTCTGATGACAAAATAAGACACCCTAAATAACCAGGAGCATGTCAATCATAATATTCTGCCACCCAGTAAATCAGTCATTGTGCCCAGCGAGTAGCTACTGCAGACAGCTGCATAGATATTCTAAGTGCACTTTTTATAAGCTTTTAAATTATGTCAGCTGCTGTCCAGAAGCCTGAGTGGTAAGTACAGTAAATGATGCACCAGGACATTTATGTAGAACATGGTCCCTGCAAAACTATGAAAACATGAGCCACAAGCTGAGGAGATGTACAAAGGAAGGAAAACAAAAAGTATTCGAAGTATGCACTGGAAATTGGTTCTGGGCAATGATGGATTAAAGGGGTTAATTAGAATATTTTTCCTTTCTTCCCAGTTTCTATCTTCCAGTTTCATCTGAGCAATGTGTTCATGGTCATCCCATTAATTTGATAGGGCATTCTAGGTACTTGATGCCCAGAGGAGATAGAACTCAGCAGAGGAGTGAGGCAGATCTTTGTGTGTGGTGTGTGTGTAGTGATGGGATGACATCTATCACAGAGTGAAAAGAGATGGAGAAAAAGGAAAGTCAGCAAAGATGCAGAGAGGAAACAATCAGGAATGTTCAATGAAAACAAAGAGCTGCCTTGAAAGTTAAAGTGGGGTGGCAGGGAAACCTGCACTGTCCAATACGGTAGCCTCTCATCATACATAGCTATCTTGTACTTGGAAAGTGACTAGTCCTACTTGAGACATGCTCCACGTGTAAAGCACACAGCAGGTTTCACAGACTTAGCATAAATATAATGAAAATATCTCATTAAGAATGTTAGTATGAATATGAGTATGGTGGTTCATGCCTGTAAACCAAGCAGTTTGGGAAGCTGAGGCAGGTGGATTCCTTGACCTCAAGAGTTTGAGACCAGCCTGGGCAACATGGCAAAACCATCTCTACTAAAAAATACAAAAAATTAGCGGGGTGTGGTAGCACACACCTGTAGTCCCAGCTACTCAGAGAGGCTAAAGGAGGAAGATCACCTGAACCTGCAAAGTTGAGGCTGCAATGAGCCAAGATCATGCCACTGCACTCCAGCTTGGGCAATAGGAGTGAGACCCTATCTCAATAAAAAAAAAAAAGTTAGTATTGATTACCTATTGAAATAACATTTTAGATATGTCGGGTTAATTTAAAAATATTATTGCTTTTCATCCTTTTATGTGGCTTTTTACTTTTTAATTTTTTACTTTTAAAATGTGGCTACTAGAAAATTTAAAATCACATCAGTAGGTTGCATTATATTATTATTGGATGGTTCTCCAATTAAAATATATTTGGACTATATTTGTTAAATGTAGACTTAAGGACTGAGCTTTAATTAAAGGTATTTTAAAAAGTGGAGTCAGGAGAAGAGCGGTGTGAGATATCAGTTGGTAGCATTTATGAACATCTAAGTGGGAATGTTGGCTGCTACAGTTTTGATGTGTGTCCCCTCTAAACCCTATGCTGAAATTTGATCCCCAGTGTTGGAGATGGCATCTAATGGAAGGTATTTGGATCACAGGAGCGGACCCCTCATGAATAGATTAATGCCCTCCCTTGGTGGGGGCTGTGGGTGAGTTCTCCCTTTATTAGTTCCCAGCAGACCTGGTTGTTAAAAACAGCCTAGTGTCTCCACGTGTTCTCTTGCCTCCTCTCTTGCCATGTGTTCTCTGCACATGGAAGCTCCCCTTCACCTTCCGCCATGGGTGAAAGCAGCCTGAAGCTTTCAACAGATGCCCAATCTTTCAGCCAGCAGAATCATGGGCCAAATAACCCTTTCATCTTCATAAATTACCCAGTTTCAGGTGTTCCTTTGTAGCAATGCAAAATGGACTAAGACATTGGCTACATTCATTGGCTGAGTAAAGGATGATAGCTTTCGGGAAAGCAGAAGTAACAAAGGGGCTCCTTCCCACATTTTTTTTATTTGATTAGGTAAGACATGCATTTCTTTGCATGTCTTGTTCATCACTGAAGATGCATGCGGAAAGTTGATACAGGGATGTACCAAAAAGAGTAGGAAGGTTGGAAGAGTGGGACGGTATTTAGTCTTTGGCAAAGAAGGACTCCTTTTTTTTTCTTGTTGGAAGTCCCACTTTGGACCCCTGCTGGTAGATAAGAATGAAGAAGGTAAAAGAAGTTAACTAGCCTTCCTTCCAACAGAAGTATTAGGTACGAATTTAGGCAGGTTACAACATAATTTCAACCAACCTTTGCACCCCTCCTATGATAGAGATATTTGCCTTTTCAACAGATGAGGTAACAGTTCAATAGACAGTTCAATAATTTGCCTAATTTCACACAACCAATAAGAGGAAATTCTTGTAGGTAGGGACAGAAATGCCAGTGTCAGAATTCATACTATGCAATATTTTTCCTGCTCATTATATACATCTGCAGAAAGAAAGGATTCTGGAGAAGAGAAATGGTTCTCATTAGGCTATATTTATGAATGTTCTTAAAATAAAAACCAAAATGCAAAGCTATGGTTATAGAATCCAATTTTAACACAGAAATAGGTCCCGTATACAATCAGGGGCTCCGTGAAAATAGTTCATTAGAGAGGAGAATGGATGTGTGGGTCAGGCCTGTCAGGAGGAGTCTCTGAGAGCAAGAAGCCAGCTGTGGGCAGTGGTGACAGCAAGAGCAGGCTGAGAATTTCAGTTCCCAAATGACATGTGCCAAAGACAGGACTGAAAGATGGGTCATGCAAGCGGTAGAAAATGCTCTCTGATGGCCAAGGATAAACAACTCAGGCGGCAAGAAGGTGAACTTCTGCTGCAGCCCAAAGCAACACATCAGAATGCCATAAGCCACTGCAGTTTATTTTTCTGCAATTTGTTCTACAATATGAAATCAGATCTCTTTTATCTTTATTTAAAATATGCTGGAGGAGGTGAGCTAGCAATAAGCAATTCAAACGACCTTAACAGAAATGCTTAAGGGGAGATGAAAATCTCATCAAATTACTTTCATTTTCTTTTCCATGTGCAGAACTTGCTGAATAACCAGGTTCTATTAAGTACAAAAAACTGATAAAGGAAAAAGGCATCAGTTATTTATCTTCTTTAACCCAAGACTTTTTGACAGTCTCTCTGGCAATTACCAAAAACACACACATATACAGAAATGTTTTCAATTGTAGTTGATGGTCACAGGTGACAGTTCTAATGCCTGCTTTGATTTTGAAGGCATGTTTCCATAGGGCTTTGGGTTTTTTTTTCTTTTTTTACAGTAGGGGAACCAGTTGCCTTTATTTTGTATTAGACAATACAGTCAAATGAGCTCTGGACTTAACTAGCGATGACCAGATTTGAAATATCCATTTGGTCCATTAGGTGATTCTAATGCACATTAGAAGAGATGCTAAAGCTGTGTTGCTGATGTTTGTACCTGCAGACTTGGGAGGAGAGCAGGAAAAAACAATTACTGCCAAAAATGTGGATCGGGTTTCCATTTTTAGACGTATTCTGGGACTGATCTAGTTATTGGCCTGTTATTATTTGGACTTAGAGATTCCAGGAGGACAATGCTCACAATTTTCTTCTGTTGAATTTTGGAGCCCTTTGTGAATTACTGAAATCAACTGGAAGGTATCAGTATCTCCTCAATAAATTCCAGTATCAAATCCCGGTATTCTCTGTTGATGGGCAGTAGGAAAGCTAAAATATGTTATTTTAAGGCAAACTTGTTACTTTATGAACAGCTTTACATACAATCCTTTTTCCTGTTTAGAATAATAATTTTATGTATTTAACTATTCTGACTTGTATTAGCATATAATTTCTCTTCTCACGTCTATATTTCATGAAAAAATGGCACTAAGGACTTCCCTTCTTAACATTGCCCACAACAGTTATTTGTGTTTAGGTAGGTTCTTTCTTCCAACCACTTAATGGATGGAAAGTTATTTAGTCCAGTGGACAAAATCAGTACAGTAGATGTCTCTGGACCTAAATTTTATTTCTAGCATTACCTCCGACTCATTGAAAATAACTTCCCCAGCAGTGGAAAGACATTGTTTTTCAGGAGAGGAAACAGAGCCCCATCCAGTGTCTTGGCAATGTGTATCCCTGCCAAAGATATCGAAGGCATGGTTTTCCCAATATAACTTAAAGTTCTATCCTAAGTGATCTTCAGCCAATTATATTCACTGTGTGTGTGAGATAAAGAGAGTGAGAGACAGACCGACAGGCAGTACAGAACTACTTAGGAGTGGGACCAAAGTTTGACATTTTCATTTTACCTTTCCAGTTCCTAGGTCAGGCAGCTTAATGGATTTCCTACCAAAGTTTTGGCCTGAACCTCTGGTTGTTGGGAAAAACAATGAATCAGAAACTGTCATATCGACAAAATAAATAACTGGTAAATTTTAAAAGATGTCTTAATCTTTTTAAAGCATGCCATTGATTGTTTGTTTAACAGTCTCCCTACAACATTCATTAAAATTAATTCATCCTTTTGAGTTGTCTTTGGGGATTGGATCATGAGAATGAGGGAAGAGGAGAAAATGATTTCTACTCCCTGGCTAGTTTGGGATGGTGGCAGGAGAAAAGAAAAGCCAATGATCACCAGGGGCAACACCAGGGGTACGGAAGGAAAAGAGCTTAGAGAGGTAAAAGGAGACCCACAGGCAGCCCCAGGGCTTAGCAGATAGCTCAGGCAGCAACAGCTAATTCTGTCATACAATGTGCATGAGGGTTAGAAGCAACCGCAGAGCCTTCCAAAGGAGGCACACTCATCACTTCTGAGAGTGAATATGGTCACAGTGTGTGTCCCCATCCCCCTTACCAACCGACTTGGGGGCTTAATTAATAACCAAAATGTTGTTAAGCCATCAGTTCAGTTGAACAGTATACAGGAATGGCCTAATTTAATGAAAATGTAATCAACTATAATAAGTATAAGTGATCTAAAGAAATAGCTAAAGGGCGGAGAAAGTTAAGGAGGGGAAAATTGGTTTTTGACTCTATCTTGCAGCTAAAACTGATCTTTTGAGTAAACTAGACTGGATATAAAGCCATGAAATGGCATTTATGCCCTGTTCATATCAGAACATTTTAGAAAGTTAAGACTATCTAGTGGTTTATGGAATTGGTGTGGGATATGGCCAGTGTGTCTGATTTTGTATGCTAGTGATTATCCAGTAAAGCTCAGAAAGTGACCATCAAAGTATGTAGTGACATGGTGAACATTTGAAAATCATTGGGCACTTACAATATGCCAAGCTGTGCTCAAAGCATTTTAAAATATATAATATTTTTTGTTTTTACAATAAATCTATAGGTAGATACTATTATTATTCCCATTTTACAGAAAAGGACACTGAGGCACAGAGGCCAAGTAACTGGCCCCAAACAACATCCCTAGTAAATATAAAAGCTAGGATTGGTATCCATGCCATCTGCACCAGAGTCCTGTTTCAACCTTTGAACTGCAGTGCCATTGGAAGCAATAGTCATTCGCATACATTCCAGTTAGAAAAGGTTTCTTTTTCTGTCAAAATTACATGCTCCTTCTACAAATACTATCAGATCCTTTGCATTTACTGTTGGTGTGCCCTAGAGAGAATTCTAGAGATAGCCTATATACCAAAATGAAATTCTGTGATAAATTTTCATCTATGGACAGTTAGACAGTCATTTATACCTGTTACTGACCCAACGGTTTGATACCAGTGTCACCAAAATAATGCAACCCTTATTTGGCCTTATGCCAGCCAATGTATGAAAGCTGCCTTCAGAGAAGGAATTTTTTTCTCTTCTTTTTTTTGAGGCAGCAGCTCACATTTATTGATACACAAATGCATTATAAATAGATGCATTTTTAATGCAATCACTACAGATTTAGGAAATACTTCTTAACTTAAACAAGAAGACCAGATTTGCAAACATGAAAATAAAAGGTAATGCTCAACATTGACCAATGTGGTGGGAACCAGTACTCAACTCCAAGTAGTTGGAGTCAAATTTGAACAACTTTTGTGGGGGTAATTTGACAAGATGGCTCATGGGCCTTAAAACATGTTCACATTCGGCTGGGCGTGGTGGCTCACGCCTATAATCCCAGCACTTTGGGAGGCCGAGGCAGGCGGATCACAATGTCAGAAGATCGAGACCATCCTGGCTAACATGGTGAAACTGCATCTGTACTTAAAATACAAAACAATTAGCCGGGTGTGGTGGCAGGCGCCTGTAGTCCCAGCTACTCGGGAGGCTGAGGCAGGAGAATGGCATGAACCCGGGAGGCGGAGTTTGCAGTGAGCCGAGATTGCACCACTGCACTCCAGCCTGGGCAACAGAGCGAGACTCCCTCTCAAAAAAAAAAAAAAATGCTCATATTCTATCAACCCCCAAATTCCACTTTTGGGAATAACACTGTTTATCCAGGAATACTACCCCTTGGAATATGAAAGATACACTCAAGAATGCAGCCGAAGAGGCTGATCGTGCATCATTACAATCATGGGACCAGGACTTTTTGTTGATATAAATGTTTCAAAGTATTTTCACTCAAACCTTCTCATTTATTTCTCACAAAATCTCTTGGTGATAGGTTTAGTATCCCCATTTCAAAATTTCCAAAGCAATAGATAAGAAGCTCAGGTAAGTCAAGGAACTTCCAGAGAAGGACTTTTAAAATTATGCATTTAAGCTGTTCAGTCATTCAAGTTCTAAATCCTAGTTAGAAGGTGGCATCATGTATAAGAGATTACACTCACATGTGCCTGTATGGGTGCACAGTTTTACAGATGCCCACCAGACACAAGATTGGTGCCCAGAGGCTATGCTCATATATGTCATCTCTAATATCATTTACATTGCCCATTGACAAGGAATATACTGCATGATTATGATACACATTTCACTCAAATTATAAAACCACAAAACCTTCTGATATGAATTCTATTATCCTTCCTGCCCCTAAAGGTGTATATCTTATATGTGATCTGGGTGGTAAAAAGAGATTGTCTGCCCTCATGTCTTAATTCTCCTAGACGTCCTTGACACTGTCGTGTACGCAGAGACCATGAATAGCTTAGTTTTAATATATTTGTTTTTCTCACTTATGCCTGATTGGAGCAATTGAGAAAAATTACATTCATAAATCTTCTTGCCAAGATAATTAATTATGCACGAAATACTTCAAGCTGCTTCTGATTTTCATTAATGAGGCAGATTATCTGCAAAATAAGATGCTGCTGGAGCTGAATAGAAAGGTCAGCTGCTTATCATTAAATGTAAAACAAGAGTGCATTTTTATATCTGAAAAACAATGATGAAAGAACATGCTATAATTATCTTTATGAGGCTATCACATCCCACTTAAGATAGGAAAGTATGTGTTTTTCGTTTACTGTTTTCCTGCAATTGATGTGAATCCTAAGTCCCCATCATGCTGGTCACCTAATTTCTTTTCCAAAGGAGAATTAGCTGAACTATTTTAGTTCAAAAGCATTAGGCCACAGCACTTAGAAACAGAGAAGCACTAAATGTATCTTTTAAATGGCCCTTATGAGAGAAGACACATCACATATTCAGACATCCACATTATTATTCATCAGTAATCTTTGTTCTAATTTTCTACTTAATTTCCCTTTTTCTTAAGTGGTTAAAATGATTGACAAAGCTGATATTTCATTAATGTAAAGATTGATAGCTCCTGTGTTCCCTTAAAGTAAGACAGAACTGACAAAAAAAAAACCAAAAAACTTTGCCCTTCAATGAAATGTGGTTTCATATGTTCTAGAATTATCAGGTAGATCATCTGAGAACATGATAACTATAAAACCCAAATTACTAACTGAGTGACACTCAGCTTAGTGTTCCTGCTGCAATTCTTCACCACTGTACCATCAACAACGCTTTAAAATAGAACATTCAGGCCAGGCACGGTGGCTCATGCCTGTAATCCCAGCACTTTGGGAGGCCAAGAGCAGCAGATCACTTGAGCCCAGGAGTTCAAGACCATCCTGGGCAACATGGTGAAATCTGGTCTCTACTAAAATACAAAAAATATAGCCGGCATGGTGGCGTGCATCTGTAGTCTCAGCCACTTGGGAGGCTGAGGCACGAGAATTGCTTGAACCCCGGAGGTGGAGGTTGCAGTGAGCCGAGACTGTGCCACTGCACTCCAGCCTGGGTGACAGAGCGAGACTCTGTCTCAAAAAGAAAATAATAATAATAATAATAATAAACAGAAGTTCAGAAAAACTGAAAAACTCAGGTGAGATAATTTGTGCTTATACATACCTGGACTTTAAAATGATTCCTTGTTCATATAATTATCAACAGAGTAAGCGTTAATTATTGTTTATAATATTAAGAAATCGAAGCAACTCTATTTCCTCATTAATACTGTTTAAATTGTGTTATATTCAAATAGCAGAATACTATACACTTATTAAAATTAATTGATCTATTTAAACACAGAATATGTTTATGATTTTTTTCAATGTAACAAAAAAACAGGTTATAATACAGTATATATAGGCTAACTCAATTAATTTTCATTTGTTTGTTTAGTTTTTTTTAATAAATGTGTGTGTGCCTATGACTATGCTCACGCTTGGATAAAAGTCTAGAAGGTGGCAGTATGCCAAATTTCTAGTAGCAATCTGCTTGGAGGGTGATGTCTACATTTTAACAAAGTATTTTTAAATCACAAGCAGAAAAAAAAGATACTACTTTTTGTTTTAAACTATCAATTCAGTGCCCATTGAACAAGGGTAGCTGTTAACATTATTAAACTGACTTTTATTTTATCACATCCTGTGAACTCAAATAATAAAACTGGTCTTCAATCTGAGACCAATCGTCATCTGAGCATGACATTGCGGGGGCAAGGAGTGGATCAGTATGTAATATGTTGGGCCTTCGTTATCTTTTTCAGACATGATGGTAACAACTGCTAACACTAAGATAGTAGTTGGTATTATTATTCATATTTTTACAGAAAACTGAGCCTCAGGGAAGTTAAATAACTGCTGTTACTCAGCCAGTAAGTGGTGAAGCCAGGATTTGAACCCAGCCAACAGTCTGGCCCCAGGATCCGTACTCTTACAAGCATAAAGAGACAATACTCAGCTTTATTAACTAACTACTCCAACCACTGTCGCTGCTGTTAACAAGAGAAAATGTAACATAGGTGTTTTAAGATTCAGAGTCTAAATTTTATTTTTATTTTATTTTTTGAGACAGAGGGTCTCACTCTGTCACCCAGACTGAAATGCAATGGTGCAATCTTGGCTCACTGCAGCTTTGGCCTCCTGGGCTCAAGCCACCCATCCATCTCAGCCTCCCAAGTATCTGGGACTACAGGAGCATGGCACCATGCCTGGCTAATTTGTGCATGTGTGTTTTTTGTAGATACAGGGTTTTGCCATGTTACCCAAGCTGGTCTCGAATTCCTGGGCTCAAGCAGTTTGCCCGCCTCACCTCCCATAGTGCTGGTATTATAAGCATTCACCACCACGCCCAGCCTAAGAGCCTAAATTTTATATTTAAGGAAATGACTATCTTGTTTATTGACTGATTATATTTACTATAATGTTTATTGTTCTTATTATAGTTAATTTTTGTTCAAGTGCTGTTAGGAACGGAATCTAAATGACAGCCTCATTCCCTTGACCATGAATGTGCATTCTTAAAGCCTAACTATACTTGTAACAGCCTCCAATAACTAAACAGTATTAAGAGACCTTGACATGTATAACAACAGTAATGCTACACCTGGGGGAAAGAATCTGGGCTGAATGAGAAAGCTTTTTTTTTTTTTGAGATGGAGTTTTGTTCGTGTTGCCCGGACTGGAGTGCAATGGCACGATCTCGGCTCACCACAAACTCCGCCTCCCAGGTTCACGCAATTCTGCCTCAGCGTTCCGTGTAGCTGGCATTACAGGCATGCACCACCATGCCTGGCTAATTTTGTATTTTTAGTAGAGATGGGGTTTCTCCATGTTGAGGCTGATCTCGAACTCCTGATCTCAGGCAATCCACCTGCCTCGGCCTCCCAAAGTGCTGGGATTACAGTCGTGAGCCACCGGGCCTGGCCGAGAAAGCTTTCATAAGTTGTAAGGTTTAATCACAGAGAGGGAGGGCAAAGAAACTAATACGTATTAAGTACCTCTTAAAATGCTATGCACTGTGCTACATGTTTTGCACTTATTTCATTTAATCCTTATAGCAACTCTGTGAGTTAAGTATTATTCCCAATTTAAAGGTAAGGCCCATTGAAACAGCAACGAGACACCACAACACACCTATTAAAGTGGCCAAAATCTAGAACACTGACAATGCCAAACACTGACAAGGATGTAGAGCAACAGGAACGCTCATTCATTGCTGGTGAGAATCCAAAATGGTACAGCTGCTTTGAAAAATAGTTTAGCAGTTTCTTACAAAACTAAACACACTCTCACCATATGATCCAGCAATTGTGTTCCTTGGTATTTATCTATATAAATTGAAAACTTGTGTTCACATAAAAAGCTGCACATGGATGCCCATAACAGCTTTATTCATAATTGCCAAAATTTGGAAGCAACTAAGATGTCAGTAGATTAATGGATGAACAAACTGTGGTATATGCAGACAATGGGATATTTATTTATTTATGTTTTTTGAGACAGAGTCTTGCTCTGTGTCACCCAGACTGGAGTGTAGTGGCATTATCATGGCTCACTGCAGTCTCAACCTACCAGACTCAAGGGATCCTCTGACCTCAGCCTCCTGAGTAGCTGGGATCACAGGTACACACCATCACACCTGGCTACTTTAAAACATTTTTTGTAGAGACAGGGTCTCCTTACTTTGCCCAGGGTTGTCTAGAATATTATTTAGCTTTAAGCATAAATGAGCTATCAAGCCATGAAAGGACATGGAGGAAACTTGAATGCATATTACTAAATGAAAAACGCCAATCTGAAAAGTCCTGTATGATCCTAACTATGACATTTTGGACAAGGCAAAACTATGGGAACAGTAAAGATTAGTGTTTACCAGGGTTTAGAGGGAAGGGAGCAATGAAGAAGCAGAGCACGGAGGATTATTAGGGCAGTGAAAATGGTTTCTATGATGCTATAATGGTGGATGCCTGTCATTATACATTTGTTCAAACCCATAGGTACATGGAATTGGACATTTGGAATGTACATCATCAAGAGTGAACCTTCATGTAAACTGTGGACTTTGGGTTATAATGATGTGTCACTGTAGGTCCATTGATTGTAAACAAGCTATTCTGAGGGGGGATGCTGATAAAGAGGGAAACTGCAGGTATGGGGGCAGGGAACATATAGGAAATCTCTGTACCTTTCTCTCAATTTTGCTCTGAACTTAAAAGTGCTCTAAAAAAATAAACTTTACTTTTTAAAAAGCACCCCTCCCAAAAGCACTCACCTCTAAAAAAAAATGAGACCCCGTAAGTTAGAGAACTTACCAAGTCAGAAACCTTCTGCTATACCTTACTTTACTTATTAGCAAATGTATTTCTGCTTTCCAGGTTTAGCAAGGTATTTAGATTTCCTTCAAGCATGTGGCTGGGTTAGAATGTTCACTTTGAATCTTCTAAATTTTCAGGTGATTTTTTCCCCTTTTTTTTGTTTTTTTTACTACAGAGGATTCAAGTGGATGATTACCGCTATAGTCATGGGGCAGAAAGGCAAAATTACTGTTTTAAAAATAAATAAATAAAACTTACTGTAGCTATTTTCTTACTCTTGGGAAAACTGTTCTGTTTGGGAAGCCTCTTTGATGAGCTTTTTTTTTTTTTTTGGAGAGAGAAGGTCTTTGTGTTAATCTGGATAAGAGATGTTGAGGTTTAAAAGATAAATACTTCTCTGTATGATAAAGCAAGAGGAGTTTTTAATGTATTTTTGGAAGCACTAGAGGAAGGGGCTTGGGGTTGTAAAAACGTCGCAAGGACAAAAAACCAAACACCCCATGTTCTCACTCATAGGTGGGAACTGAACAATGAGAACACTTGGACACAGGAAGGGGAAGATCACACACTGGGGCCTGTTGTGGGGTGGGGGAAGGGGGGAGGGATAGCATTAGGAGATATACCTAATGTAAATGATGAGTTAATGGGTGCAGCACACCAACATGGCACATGTGTACATATGTAACAAACCTGCATGTTGTGAACATGTACCCTAGAACTTAAAGTATAATAATTAAAAAAATAAAAATAAAAAATAAAACACTACAGAAAAAAAAAAGAATGAAGAGATAAAAGGAAGGTTCCTTTAAGGGGATAGCAGCTCTGGGAACACGGTGGCTGGTCAGGATTAGGGCAGAGAGAGACAGACAGCGAGGAGCAAGTGAGCTAAAATATACCCACTCATGCTCAGAAGGACAAAGAACTTTGGAAACAGTTGTCTTACAATTTTAAGTTGTTTCGTGTCCTGAGGATTAATTTCCTTCTTGTTATGCCAGAGTCTTCAGGAAAAGACCTTTGCATTGGACGATAATGCTTTGGGGAATGAGCATGTGAAAGTGCATGTGAGAGTGTATAATGGCTAGAGCAGAGTCAGCAGGTAAAGCACAACAGAAGCAGGACAGGAGAAGCGGCAGCAGTCAGGGTAAAATGATAAAAGCAAGGCAGCTTAGAAAGTGTATGGTGACTTAGAAGGGAATGGCAACAAAATGCAAGCAGGAGAATAAATGACTGGCATCTGCATTTGGGTCTCTGCTCTATGCCACTTCCTCGGAGAGGCTTCTTTGATTCCTTCTTTGATGAAAAGTTGACCAACACATGTCAAAATTCATTACCTTATTCGATTTCATCATCAGGTTTATCATCGTACTCATCATTTATTATAAGTCCTTCTCATCACATTAGAACAATGGTTCTTAACTGGTATTAATTTGGTCCCCCAGGGGACATTTGGCAATGTCTAGAGACAGTTTTGGTTTCTCACAACTGGGGATGTTATACTGGTATCTCGTTGATAGAGGCCAGCAATGCTGCTCAGTATCCTAGAGTGTGCCAGACAGGACAGCCTCCCACAACCAGGAATTACTTAGCACCAAATGCCAATAGTGCCAAGGTTGAGAAACACTGAATTAGAAGAAAATTTCCTAGAGGAAAAAGGCACTGTCTTGTGGTCTAGCATATCCCCAGCACTTATGATAGGAACTGGTACATAGTAAGTGGTCAATAAGTATTAACTGAAAGGTTGATCATCATGGATAAGCTCTCATTTTTCCAGCTTGAAATAAGAACCAGTTTCTCTTGGACTCATATGCGCTTCCAGCTATATGAATGTCTCTTCAATTTGGATGGAGTAATAATATTAAACATATGAAAAAACCTCTTTCCTGTGTATCTAGGCCAGGAGACCTCCCTCCACATAATTTCTCCCTAAAAATTCCTTCCACTTAATCTGTACAGATTTAAACATGGAATTAAGACAATCAGAATTGTTGTGACAAACATCTCACTTATTTGAGTTGGGGGTTTGCAAAGAGAGTTCTGCCCACTCTTCACATCAAATAATTGTAGCAGAAGGAATGCATGTCAAGCACATTGACGACCCATCAGAAATGTGCCTGCAGCCTGGGTAATGAGCTCTAATGAGCCTGCAAACTCATCAACCCCCAAAGCCCTCTGACCACAGATCCTGCAGCTATGGGCCAAGGTCATATTTTTTGATTGGCATCAGACTACTCTTCTAAGAACATTATCTCTATTTTGGGCTGACAGACTTTTTTACTGATGTAAGCAGCAATCTAGCACAATTCAGCAGCATCATGCCTCTTCAACTTTTAAGAAAATTGCAATTAACATTTCAAAATGTCAAAGCAACATGTCTAAAAGTAGTGACCTAGAAGGAAGGAAGAATCCAAAAATAGAATACATTCATTCTCAAAACTACCCACAGGTGTTCTCTCATTTATACAATCAACAGTATAATGAAAAAAATGCATATATTTGTTTTTATGTTACTTACAGGGAAAAACAACATGGTAGTTTGGATGAAAGCTTTTTGGACCAAAGACCAAAAGATTTGACCATGAAGACTGACAAACTGCCCCAGGGAATGGTTAATCCATATAACAACTAATCAGCTGAGGCTGGAACATCATCCAATGCCCCTTTGGGTTACCTGGTTTTCTTGTTGGTCCCACTGACATATCTGCAGAACTTGACTCAATTCTTGCCACTGTTGCTTCAAGTACTTGTCTAGTTGTCTTCTCCTGTCTTGTAGAAGTTCAAGAAGGCGGTCAACCTTCAGACAGCTGCTATGAGCTCCCTGAGTCAACTCAGGATTCACATTAGGTCCTTCACACTTGAATTTTTCTATGAAGTCAGTGAGTTGTTGACTTTTGTTTAAAAGGGCTAAAGACCGTTCCAAGAGTTCTAGAAGAAAATTAGAAAGAAAAAAGAATAATGATATTAGCAAGCTTTTATACAGCAATATTCAGACTCTTCATAATTTAAAATATATGTAATTTTTATGTTAATAAAAAACAAGTTGTGCTGCAAGGAATTAAAATATGTAAACAGAAACTGCCTACAGTACTTCAGAGAAAAAACTGGTCAAACACCTTAGCCGAACAATTGTGATAGTGCTAACTGCCAACTGATGGGATGCTTTGTTCAGCAATTGTGTGATTCAGGACAGGGAGTAGAATGAGCGTGGGATTTTGACATTGCTGCAGTTTTCAGCGGTATGATGCTGGGTGAGTGTTCTACATTCTGAGGTGATTGGACTGAAGCTGAGATTTAAAGGCTAGTGCCTGGTATGACCAAACAAAAACTCAATAAATGTGGTGGCCAGGTGCCCAGATATCAGGGACTATGACAAAGTGGAAAATGCTTGCTAAAAGGGTCAGCTGTCACTCAGTTCTGGCGAACAGTTGACATGAGGAATATGGGTTCAGTGTTGATGGAACTTCCAATTATTAAAAGAGTTTCAAATGCAAATTTTATATGAAAGTTCTGACTTCTAAATCTTTCATAATTCATATTTTTAATTAAAAAAATCACAGGATAATGAAGCATAGATATCTGCCAAATGGACTACCAGTATGTGATCTCTGGAGTAAATAGCATTGTAAGTTTAGGTAACATCTTGTAGAATTGGGATGTTAAGCCTAAAAATTGAAGAACTACCAAGGGAGAAAGTGTAGAAGGAGAAAGAGTTGAGAATAGCACATTGAGGAGCATCTACACTTGGGGATCAATTGAAGGAGCAGTTGGGGAACTGTCCACTCTCCATCAGGCAGAAAGAAGGAGCTGTCCATGACATCCCTCTCCTTCATCCCGCCATCATCAAGACCTGTTGATTTTACATGCTATCTCTGGCATCTGTCTACTTCTCTCTGTCCTCACCATGGAAAGCATCATTTGTTGCCTGGATGTGCAGTCTTCTCTTAATTGTATCCTCTCTCCAATCCATCTATCAATGCACCAGACTTTAGCCACAGCGATCTTTTCTAAACATAGCATCTCTTTCCCTCCCCTTCTTTCTTTCTTTCTTTTCTTTCTTTTCCTTCTTTCCTTCTTTCTTTCCTTTCCTTCTTTCTTTCTTTCCTCTGTCTCTCTCACACACACACGCATGCACACACACTCACACTTACAACAATGGCACCCCAATGCCTTAAAATTAAAGACAGACCCCTTAATGTAGATTACTATGTCTGACATGGTCTAGTCTCTTCCTTCCTTTTCAAATTGTCTCAGTCTCTCCACTTTTCATTCTTATCTTCTTTAAATTCCTCACACATGCTATACTCTCTCCTGACCCTGAACTTTTCACTATGTCCACTCACATCCTCAACACCCTCCTTCGTTATCTTTACCGTACTCATATTTCATGTCAACTGTCACTTCCTCAAAGTACAAATCAGATGGGATCAAATACTCTCACACTTAATGTCTGTCTTTGCCACTAGGCTCCACTGCAACATGAGGATAGAGACCATGACTGCACCCAGCACTTAGCACAGTGACTGGCACAGGAAATTTGCAATCATTTTTGTAGAATGCTTGAGTGAGAAGAAATGTTTTGAAAGAGGGGTTGGAAATTGGGGGAGCTACAAATGTTAGAGATCAGAAGTTCCCCAGAGATGTAAAAAAGAGAAGTTGAGAAGAAGATTTTGGGTTTTGTGATGGAAACAGAAGCCAAGTTACCAGGTTGAGGAGTGAGAAGGCAATGAGAAGTGAGAAGAAAGTGAGCTGAGAAGTGGGAAGGCAACACTCAGGACAATCTTTGAGACATTTGTTATTAGAAGAAAAGAAAATGCTAGGACAGTATCTCGAAAGAATAACAGCGTCAAATATACTGTTTTTTTTTGTTTTTTTCAGGTTGGGGGAACTATGGAGAACACTCAGAGACTAAGCATCTTACCAAGCCAGATACTAATAAAAATGGACTGAACTGGTGCTGAAACTCAAGACTTGTGATTAGTATAGCTCAGTGTTCTTTCCACTATAGGGATGCACTCAACTACAGCATTATAACTTTTGGCAGTTTATTACACCGCAATGATGTAGGCTGAGGTAGTTGGGCCAGTTTTCTCTTTCAATTGACACTTTTTTTTTTTTTGGAAAGCTGGAGGAGAGAATGAGATAATATATTGTAAAAAGGCATTTTGAGATGAAAAGGAAATAATTTGAAGTAGTTTATTCCACATGACCTAGATCAGTCCTGTAAAATATTAGCTAGTAGTATCTGCTCAGAATGACGAGAGTGTGATTATGTTCCCTGGGCAATTTGATTGTGAGTTAACAACGTAAAGAAACGAATGACAAAAACAACCACAGAATTCAACCAGGTGAGAAGAATGGGAGAATGTAAATAGCGTAAGAAAAGTCAGGGAGAACATTATAATTCAAGTCAATTTCTTTGGAAAAAAGAAATGGAAGCAAACATGAACAAGATGGGGCTGGGGGTAGGGTTCAGGAAAAGATCTGTCTGTTCAGAACAAGTTCTTATGGGGAGGTCCAAGACACACCTGGTGAAATGAGGTAAAAGCAGCTTATAGCAGGCCTTGCCTATCAGACTGAATAGTTTAATTTGTATAGCCTTAATGAAGTAAGAAGTATGATGGAGTCTCCTTTTATATATAGAGGGAAATAGTATTTTTCCTTTGCATTGAAGAGCTTGTTATGATATTGTGAACAGCTACACGCAAACACACACACACACATACAGCCCACACACGAGAAGTTTGGGAAGGCAACAGGGTCTCCACAGGGTTTCCTTCCTCTAACTAACTCTTACACATTAGACTTTGCAAATGAGAGGGAGGCACAACTTTAGGCCCTCAGGGTATTGCAGACTAATGGTCAACCTGTTATGGTTCCCATGAGAATATGAACAATTAGCCAAAATTAAAATTCAAATTTTTTTTCTGGTTTTCTGTTTCACCCTCTGCCAAAATAACATAACAACTACCACAGTATTGCCAGGCACACAGCCTCCTGAGCCAGCATTAACTTGTAAAATGTATCCAGGCTGAGTCAGTCTGTTACCTGCTACCACGATGGCTGTTGAGGTGGATGGATTCTCCCCTCAGTTTCCTCTGCCAGTTCCCTTGGTCTTTCAGTTTCTTACGTTTTTCTTTTTCACAGTTTACATTTTCCTAGCTATTTATTCCATCAGTTGATCTTACAAAGTGATGTGTTTTTCCCCAAGAGTAAACTGTCTAGATATACTGTGACCTTCAAGAACAT
This sequence comes from Homo sapiens, assembly GCF_000001405.40. Classification (NCBI taxonomy): domain Eukaryota; kingdom Metazoa; phylum Chordata; class Mammalia; order Primates; family Hominidae; genus Homo; species Homo sapiens. Next base: position 178,964,805 of record NC_000002.12, read on the forward strand.
CTTTACAGTCAATTTATTTTAAAGACTGTATATCAGCACATACGAAATCCTACTTACTGACACAATACCTTGTGATATGAACTTAGAAGATAGTCGATAAATTTTCATTAATTGTTTTGATTAATTTTCAATCTATCTAAAAAATTATCATTAAAGTTCATAAAATACATCATATTTTATATTAATACCTCTATAGTTTGCCACAATTATTAAGTATAAATAACCAATTTAAGATGGTATAATAGGTATACACAATGTGGATAGGTTTACAGCTTGTTAAATAAACTTTCCAAATGAGTACTTTCTAAAATGCATCAAGGTCACCATCTTGGTCCTGAGATCATGTAAGATATTTCTTCCTAATACTTTAAAAAATATTCTAAATGTTCCCCAGTGGGATGGTTTCTCTTGAACATAATTAACAGGTATTTTCAAATAGAGACAAAAGTAGAGATAATAGTGTAATGGGCCACCAGGAATGTATGCCCTAGCTAGGTTTAAGATACAAAAAACATCCACGATTGCTGGCAAGATAGCTGAATAGGAACAGCTCGGGTCTGCAGCTCCTAGAGAGATTGACACAGAAGGAAGGTGATTTCTGCATTTCCAACTGAGGTACCCGGTTCATCTCATTGGTACTCGTTGGACAGTGGGTGAAGCCCATGGAAGGCGAGCCAAAGCAGGATGGGGCGTCACCTCACCCAGGAAGCACAAGTGGTAGGGGAATTTTCTCCCCTACCCAAGGGAAGCCGTGAGGGACAGCCTGAGGAACTCCGGCACAGATACTGTGCTTGTCCCATGGTCTTCGCAACCCACAAACCAGGAGATTCCCTCCAGTGCCCACCCCACCAGGGCCCTGGGTTTCAAGCACAAAACTTGGCAGCCATTTGGGCAGACACCGAACTAGCTGCAGGGATTCTTTTTTTCCACACCCCAGGGCACCTGGAACACCAGCGAGACAAAACTCTTCACTCCCCTGGAAAGGGGTGCTAAAGCCAGGGAGCCAAGTGGTCTGACTTAGCAGTTCCCACCCCCAGAGAGCCCAGCAAACTAAGATCCACTGGCTTGAAATTCTCACTGTCAGCACAGCAGCAGTCTGAGATCGACCCGGTACGTTCCATCTTGGTGGGGGTAGGGGCGTCCGCCATTGCTGAGGCTTGAGTAGGCAGTTTTACAATCACAGTGTAAACAAAGCCACTGGGAAGTTTGAACTGGTGGGAGCCCACTGCAGCTCAGCAACGCTGCTGTGGCCAGACTGCCATATTTCTCTTCTCTGGGCAGGGAATTTCTGAAAAAAAGGCAGCCGCCCCAGTCAGGGACTTAGAAATAAAACTCCCATCTCCCTGGGATAGAGCACCTGGGGAAAGGGGCGCCTATGGGCGAAGCTTCAGCAGACTTGAACATCCCTGCCTGACAGATCTGAAGGGAGTAGCAGACCTTCCAGCACAGCATTCGAGCTCTGATAAGGGTCAGACTGTCTCCTCAAGTGGGTCCCTGACCCCTGTGTATCCTGACTGGGAGACACCTCCCAGTAGGGGGTGACAGACACCTCATACAGGAGAGCTCTGACTGGCGTCTAGCAGGTGCCCCTCTGGGATGAAGCTTCCAGAGGAAAGATCAGGTGGCAGTCTTTGCTGTTCTGCAGCCTCCACTGGTGATACCCAGGCACACAGGGTCAGGAGTGGACCTCCAGCAAACTCCAGCAGACCTGCAGCAGAGGGGCCTGACTGTCAGAAGGAAAACTAACAAACAGAAAGGAACAGCACATCCACTCAGAAACCTCATTTGAAGGTCACCAACATCAAAGGCCAAAGGTAGATAAATCCATAAAGATGGGGAAAAACCAGTGCGAAAAGGCTGAAAATTCCAAAAACCCGAATGCTGCTTCTCCTCCAAAGGATCAAAACTCCTCACCAGCAAGGGAACAAAACTGGACGGAGAATGAGTTTGACGAATGAAAGAAGTAGGCTTCAGAAGGTAGGTAATAACAAACTGCTCCGAGCTAAAGTAGCATATTCTAACCCAATGCAAGGAAGCTAAGAACCTTGAAAAAAAGGTTAGACGAATTGCTAACTAGAATAACCAGTGCAGAGAAGAATATAAATGACCTCATGGAGCTGAAAAACACAGCAGGAGAACTTCGTGAAGCATACACAAGTTTCAATAGCTGAATCGACCAAGCAGAAGAAAGGATATCAGTGATTGAAGACCAACTTAATGAAATAAAGTGAGAAGACAAGATTAGAGATAAAAGAAGAAAAAGGAACAAGCAAAGCCTCCAAGAAATATGGGACTATGTGAAAAGACCAAATCTACGTTTGATTGGTATACCTGAAAGTGATGAGGAGAATGGAACCAAGTTGGAAAACACTCTTCAGGATATTATCCAGAAGAACTTCCCCAACCTAGCAAGGCAGGCCAACATTCAAATTCAGGAAATACAGAGAACACCACAAAGATATTCCTCGAGAAGAGCAACCCCAAGACACATAATGGTCAGATTCACCAAAGTTGAAACGAAGGAAAAAATGTTAAGGGCAGCCAGAGAGAAAGGTCGGGTTACCCACAAAGACTAACAGCGGATCTCTCTGCAGAAACTCTAAAAGCCAGAAGAGAGTGGGGGCCAATAGTCAACATTCTTAAAGAAAAGAATTTTCAGCCCAGAATTTCATATCCAGTCAAACTAAGCTTCATAAGCGAAGGAGAAATAAAATCCTTTATAGACAAGGAAATGCTGAGAGATTTTGTCACCACCAGGCCTGCCTTACAAGAGCTCCTGAAGGAAGCACTAAACATGGAAAGGAACAACTTGTACCAGCCACTGCAAAAACATAACAAATTGTAAAGAACATTGACACTACGAAGAAACTGCATCAACTAACGGGCAAAACAACCAGCTAGCATCATAATGACAGGATCAAATTCACACATAACAATATTAACCTTAAATGTAAATGGGCTAACTGGACCAATTAAAAGACACATACTGGCAAATCGGGTAGAGTCAAGGCCCATTAGAGTGCTGTATTCAGGAAACCCATCTTATGTGCAAAGACACACATAGGCTCAAAATAAAAGGATGGAGGAATATTTACTAAGCAAATGGAAAGTAAAAAAAAAGCAAGAGTTGCAATCCTAATCTCATAAAACAGACTTAAACCAACAAAGATCAGAAGAGACAAAGAAGGGCATTACATAATGGTAAAGGGACCAATGCAGCAAGAAGAGCTAACTATCCTAAATATACATGCACCCAATACAGGAGCACCCAGATTCATAAAGCAAGTTCTTAGAGACCTACAAAGAGACTTAGACTCCCATACAATAATAGTGGGACACTTTAACACCCCACTGTCAATATTAGACAGATCAATGAGACATAAAATTAACAAGGATACTCAGGACTTGAACTCAGCTCTGGAACAAGCAGACCTAATAGACATCTACAGAACTCTCCACCTCAATTCAACAGAATATACATTTTTCTCAGCACCTCATCACAATTATTCTAAAATTGACCACATAATTGGAAGTAAAATACTCCTCAGCAAATGCAAAAGAACGGAAATCATAACAGACAGCCTCTCAGACCACAGTGCAATCATATTAGAATTCAGGATTAAGAAACTCACTCAAAACCGCACAACTACATGGAAACTGAACAACATGCTCCTGAATGACTACTGGGTAAATAAGGAAATGAAGGCAGAAATAAAGATGTTCTTTGAAACCAATGAGAATAAAAACACAACGTACCAGAATCTCTGGGACACATTTAAAGCAGTGAGTAGAGGGAAATTTATAGCACTAAAAGCCCACAAAAGAAAGCAGGAAAGATCTAAAATTGACACCTTAACATCAAAATTAAAAGAACTAGAGAAGCGACCGCAAACAAATTCAAAATCTAGCAGAAGACAAGAAATAACTAAGATCAGAGCAGAACTGAAGGAGATAGAAACACTAAAAAGCCTTCAATAAATCAATGAATCCAGGAGCTGGGTGTTTGAAAAGATCAACAAAACAGACCGCTAGCCAGACTAATTAAGAAGAAAAGAGAGAAGAATGAAATAGGCACAATAAAAAATGATATAGGGCATATCACCACTGATCCCACAGAAATACAAACCAAATCAGAGAATACTATAAACACCTCTATGCAAATAAACTAGAAAATCTAGAAGAAATGGATAAATTCCTGGACACATACACTCTCCCAAGCCTAAACCAGGAAGAAGTCGAATCCCTGAATACACCAATAACAAGTTCTGAAATTGAGGCAGTAATTAATAGCTTACCAACCAAAAAAAAAAAAAAAAAAAAAAAAAAGCCCAGGACCAGACGGATTCACAGCTGAATTCTACCAGAGGTACAAAGAGGAGCTGGTACCATTCCTTCTGAAACTATTCCAAACAATAGAAAAAGGGGGAACCCTTCCCAACTCATTTTATGAGGCCAGCATCATTCTGATACCAAAGCCTGGCAGAGACACAACAAAAAAGAAAATTTTTTTCTTTTAGAGCCCACAAATGGGACCTAATATTCCTGATGAACATCGACGCAAAAATCCTCAATAAAATACTGGCAAACCAAATCCAGCAGCACATCAAAAAGCTTATCCACCACGATCAAGTCAGCTTCATCCCTGGGATGCAAGGCTGGTTCAACATATGCAAATCAATAAACGTAATCCATCACATAAACAGAACCAATGACAAAAAACACATGATTATCTCAATAGATGCAGAAAAGGCCTTCAACAAAATTCAAAACCTCTTCATGCTAAAAACCCTCAATAAACTAGGTATCAATGGAATGTATCTCAAAATAATAAGAGCTATTTATGACAAACCCACAGCCAATATCATACTGAATGGGAAAAAATTGGAAGCATTTCCTTTGAAAACCAGCACAAGACAAAGATGTCCTCTCTCAACACTCCTATTCAACATAGTATTGGAAGTTCTGGCCAGGGCAGTCAGGCAAGAGAAAGAAATAAACGGTATTCAAATAGGAAGAGAAGAAGTCAAATTGTCTCTGTTTGCAGATGACATGATTGTATATTTAGAAAACCCTATCATCTCAGCCCAAAATCTCCTTAAGCTGATATGCAACTTCAGCAAAGTCTCAGGATACAAAATCAATGTGCAAAAATCACAAGCATTCCTATACACCAGTAACAGACAGAGAGCCAAATCATGAGTGAACTCCCATTCACAACTGCTACAAAGAGAATAAAATACCTAGGAATCCAACTTACAAGGGATGTGAAGGACCTCTTCAGGGAAAACTACCAACCACCGCTCAAGGAAATAAGAGAGGACACAAACAAATGGAAAAACATCCCATGCTCACGGATAGGAAGAATCAATATTGTGAAAATGACCATACTGCCCAAAGTAATTTATAGATTCAATGCTATCCTCATCAAGCTACCACTGACTTTCTTCACAGAATTGGAAAAACTACTTTAAAGTTCATATGGAACAAAAAAAGAGCCCACATAGCCAAGACAATCCTGGGCAAGAAGAACAAAGCTGGAGGCATCCCACTACCTGACTTCAAACTATCCTACAACGCTACGGTAAACAAAACAGCGTGATACTGGTACCAAAACAGATATATAGACCAATGGAACAGAACACAGGCCTCAGAAATAACACCACACATCTACAACCATCTGATCTTTGACAAACCTGATACAAACATGCAATGGGGAAAATATTCCCTATTTAATAAATGGTGTTGGGAAACCTACTAGCCATATGCAGAAAACAGAAACTGGACCCCGTCCTTACACCTTATATGAAAATCAACTCAAGATGAATCAAAGACTTAAATGTAAGACCTAGGACCATAAAAATCCTAGAAGAAAACCTGGGCAATACCATTCAAGACACAGGCATGGGAAAAGACTTCATGTCTAAAACACCAAAAGCAATGGCAACAAAAGCCAAAATACACAAATGGGATCTAATTAAACTAAAGAACTTCTGCACAGCAAAAGAAACTATCATCAGTGAACAGGCAACCTACAGAATGGGAGAAAATGTTTGCAATCTATCCATCTGACAAAGGGCTAATATCCAGAATCTACAAATAATTTAAACAAATTTACAAGACAAAGGCCGGGCACAGTGGCTCACGCCTGTAATCCCAGCACTTCGGGAGGCTGAGGCGGGCAGATCACGAAGTCAGGAGTTTGAGACCAGCCTGGCCAATATGGTGAAACTCCATCTCTACTAAAAATAAAAAAATTAGCCGGGCCTGGTGGCGTGGGCCTGAAGTCCCAGCTACTCGGGAGGCTGAGACAGAAGAATCACTTGAACAAGGGAGGTGGAGGTCGCAGTGATCTGAGATTGCACCACTGCACTCCAGCCTGGGTGGCAAAGCGAGACTCCACCTCAATTAAAAAAAAATTTATAAGAAAAAAACAACCCCATCAAAAAGTGGGCAAAGGATATGAACAGATACTTCTCAAAAGAAGACATTTATGCAGCCAACAAACATATGAAAAAATGCTCGTCATCACTGGTCATTAGAGAAATGCAAATCAAAACCACAATGAGATACCATCTCACACCAGTTAGAATGGCAATCATCAAAAAGTCAGGAAACAACAGATACTGGAAAGGATGTGGAGAAATAGGGATGCTTTTACACTGTTGGTGGGAGTGTAAACTAGTTCAACCATTGTGGATGACAGTGTGGTGAATCCTCAAGGATCTAGAACTAGAAATACCATTTGGCCCAGCAATCCCATTACTGGGTATATACCCAAAGGATTATAAATCATTCTACTATGAAGACACATGCACATGTATGTTTATTGCGGTACTATTCACAATAGCAAAGACTTGGAACCAACCCAAATGTCCATCAATAATGGACTGGATAAAGAAAATGTGGCACATATACACACACCATAGAATACTATGCAGCCATAAAAAAGGATGAGTTCATGTCCTTTGCAGGGACATGGATGAAGCTGGAAACCATCATTCTCAGCAAACTATCATGAGAACAGAAAACCAAACACCACATCTTCTCACTCATAAGTGGGAGTTGAACAATGAGAACACATGGACACAGGGAGGGGAACATCACACACCGGGGCCTGTCTGGGGGTGTGGGTTAGGGGAAGGATAACATTAGGAGAAATACCTAATGTAAGTGACGGGTTGATGGGTGCAGCAAACCACCATGGCACATATATACCTATGTAACAAAACTGCACGTTCTGAACATGTACCCCAGAACTTAAAATATATAATTTAAAAAAAAACCTAAATAAAAATAAATTTAAAAAAAGATATATACAACATCCAAGAAGGAAAAAGAAGTAATATGATCCTTCCTGTGAAGCAGCTTCTCAGTTCTTACATTCATTTTAAGAAGACCCTTAGAAAACTGGAGGGTGCAGTTGTCATTCTTTGGAGCTTAGAGTAAATTTTCTTCTCCTTAATGTCCCTAAAGCACTTCGTTTGTTGCTCACTTTTGCATCATTCTGCCATGTCGTACATTGGAATTATATACAAATAACACGCAACAAATATACTTTGGGTTAGACACTATTCTCAGCTTTGGAGATCTAGGGTCTCACAACCTGATGATGAAGATAAATAAGAAAATAAATTATTACTACACAGTGTGTGAGGTGATGTACTGAAGTACCCACAGGAAGTATAGAGGGAGTCACCAACGAATGTGTACATGTCCTGCTAAACTGCAGGCTTCCTGAGGAAAATGGCCACGTACTCCCCTGACACATGGCCCTGGATTTCTCACGAGGTTATGGGTTCAGAAAACAGTGTTTAATTATGTGTTTTGGATTGAGGGCAACCAGGCCAGTAAGTAATCCGGAAACCATATTTGCTGGAAAAGACTTTAACTAACTAGGTAATTTTAACCCCAAGGAGAGAAGTCAGGAGAAGGTATATTATTCCCTCTCTTTCAAGGATTGTTATGTGGTGGAGGGAACCAACTTGTTCTGAAACATTCCAGGGGGCAGAAATATCAACCCATTAATCCTGGTTCTAACTTCCGTAGTGTTAAAGAATAAGTTTCTTACATATTAGGGAGCCTTAGCACTGCTGAATAAGGAGAAAGCATAGGTGAAGCTAATTGAAATAAAGTGACTATTAGGGGTAAGTTTGATTATAGTTTTTCCAGCTTTTGTCATCCTAACACTCATGTTTTGTACTACTCAACTGATTAACATCTCAGAAACTTACTAGAATGGCTAGCTGCACTTATAGACATATTTTATTTCCTTAAATTTAAAGGTAATAGATATGAAGCACTCAACTAAAAAATCAGAATTTCACCCTTTAATATGCATTTCAAATCAGCTAATCTTAATCATATCCCATGGAATTAGTTGGTTAATAAATTGCATCAACTTCATTTTTTTGTTTTATGAAAACAAAAACCCTTGAAGCCACCACTGGGCATATGAACTGGGAACAAGTATCCTGACCAGAGTTCTCTGTCATCTCTGTGCTTCAAGTATCACACAGAAGGGCACAAACTCTCACAATAAATATGTCATCAAGATGGAAGAATATTTTTTCATCATAAAAATAAACTATGTTTCCTGTCTTCCACTAGCATTTTTATCCATCTCTTCAGACTAAGGACACCCAGTGGACTCTTGAAGGCTGGTACCCCTGAAAAGCAAGACATCAGTTTCACTGTCAGCTGGATGCCAAAGAAGTGCAAACAAAGCAGCATGTGCCCCATATAAACTGGCCCACAGTGCCGCAGATCCTAGGAACTTGAAGGAGCCAACAGCAGTAGCAACAACAAAACAGCATTAAGACTACATTCCCCCTGCCAGCTCCATTCCCAAACATGTATGGAAAAGCCCCTACTTCTACAAGCCCCCAGTCCCTCTGGAGAATGCTTTCATTTGATTGCCTCAGTATTGAAACTCTTCAATAATAGCATCCATCATTGTCAGGTTTCTGGAGGTAAAACTGCTGTGTGATGATCATGTTGGTTGAAAGAAGATTGAATTGAGACTACAGAACCCATCTGTTGCCTTCCAGTCTCCTAGGAGGAATTTCACGTGATTCTACTCATTTCCTTTGGACCTAGCTAGATTACTACTGCTGTATAATAATGGGCAACTGTTGCTTTAAAGCACAAACTTTTGATGCTTTTTATAATCCCTATTAGTGATAGGTCCTATAGAACAATAATCAGTGGAAATTATATATATGTATTTGGTAGGATCTCATAAGAATTTACATAGGAAAGATTGAGTCCTTTAATCTTACATAGGAAAGATTGAGTCCTTTAATCTTTGAGTTTTAGAAAGTTGTAATAAGTAATTTATCATAATGATCTATTGTCTAGAGTCTTTTGAAGGGTAATATAAACACTAAATCTATTTGTGACTTTAAAACACCTTTTGGTCCTATCCAGAATGACAGGCTGGTGGAGCTAGAAGTCAAGTTAGAACTGTGACAAATGAATTCAAGAAACCTTTCTATCCAGACCCTATTCTATTTGGCAGTAAAATTAGAAGACATATTAGGCAGAAAAGAAACGGTTGTTTCTATCAATTTATCTAACCTCCTTCCATTGCAAAAGATGACAGGTAACTACTACTTTTCCACAAATGCGTTTCCCTACTCCACTCCTGGCCCACACCAAATTCTTGTAGAAAGGCTTGGCATACAAATTGTTGGTTAACAACTAGACTATCTTTCTAGTTGTTCAGAGGGAACTGAAAATCTTTTTGTAGAGTGTTTTATTAGATTTTCATCTGGAAAAATTCACTGTTCCATTTTTTTAACTGCAATGGTGAAAGAGGAATTTTGCTGATTCAGACCTGCTTTTTAAAGAATTACCTTCATTTATTGACCCTTAGAAGGAACATTCACTGAATTCAATGATTTATTCAACTAAGAAAATTTCTTTAGGATCTACCATGTGGCAGGAACCTTGCTAGATGCTAAGGGTAAAGGGATGAACAAGGTAGAAATGGCCTCTGTCCTCAGGAGCTAAACTCTAGCACACCAAATAACAGAATCTCCTGGAGGCATATCCTCTACCATCCTCTCAGAATATTCACAACTAGTTCTTTCTTTCAGAAGATGATTAAAAATGAAGCTTTAACTTTTCTTGGAACAAGCTGAGGTAAACATAAATAGATCAATTTAAAATACACTATCATACATAAGCATTCTCACATTAACATCTTTTAAAACCTCTAAACACTTCTGTGAGAAATAAACATATTTCTTGCCTTTAGTATGATGTTCATGAAGCTGAAGAAGTGATTTTAAGGACTCAGCACTCTCAAACTCATGAGTATTCTGGAGGAAATCTTCAGCTTGGTCTATTTTAATAGCAAACTACAATAGAAATACAGAGGAAAGACATTTGACATTTGTATAAAAATTAACGTGCCATTGTTAGTTACCTGGAGATGTTTTTCATAAATTAGTAGCCCAACTGAGGATGTGTGATTATGCAAGTGCATATGTTTGTATGTGTTTGTGTGTGTTTTGGCTTACAGTGTTTGCATGAGGGTGTGTGTTTGCATGTGGTCAATTTACAAAGTGTCATTGGTAAGAACTTTCTTCTCCTTTCATACCTAATTATATAGGCTGAAATAAACCAACCTGTTTACTGTCCAAATGCCTATTAAATTTTTCAACCAAAATTATAGTGTCCTATGTATACAGTCACTTTCAACATTCTAAGGCACTTAGTTAAGAATAAGCAGAAAGTTAGCTAAGGGAAACCAAGAAAAGGTTAACTAAAAAGCAGTCTATACATTTACAAGTAAATGTAGCTTAGGAACTCACTTAGAGAGAAGGTAGAAGTATAGTTATTTTTTCCCTCTAAAATTGAACTTAGCAGTGAAATATGCAAGTTTCTGAATAATACATAGTCTAATCCAATATTTTATACAAAGCAAAAAAATATATATTTGTATAGAAATTGGTCTCAAAAAATACACACCAAATGGTGACTTAATGAGAAGAAATGAAATTAAGGATGAGTGAGAGGAGGTAAAATTTTAATATTTAAATCTATAATTTGTAATTCTGTTTGCATTTTTATCAATAATTTGTATGCATTACATCTATAAATAAAATGAGATTAGATGGAGCAAGAATGACAAGTGAGAAATTTATTCCCTGTTTCAAGGAAAATGCATAGTAATTTCACACTCTAAATGGTGAGGAATATAACTGGTCTGTCTTTTTTCTTTTTCTCCATAGAGGCAGTGGGAGATTGAGAGAGATGATTAACGTGATGTTAAAATGCTCAGGAAAATAATCTTAGAAACAAATTTTAGAATGGCAAAATATATTTGATTATCCTGTCACAGTATGTCTATAGTGGTAGACAAATAGTTGGCTTGTTTTAGCACTAAGATTCAACAGTAATTATCACAATTTATATGAGCATTTTAATATATCCACCTTTGGATTGGGTTTAGAATAAACTAATTAAGGAAAAGTATCAGACATAGAAGCTTACCACGGTACTTATCTTCTGTTTCAAGTCTTCTCCAAACTATCATTTTTGAATTTGGGGATTCTTAATATTTTAATGTAACTATTTGATTAACACAATCGACTGTAGTTTATTACAACAGCCATATGAAATCCAATTATAAGTGAAACAGAATGATGAGAGAGAGACTGAAGAGCATGGGACATGTTTTGGAAATGCAAGGAAGGCCTCTGTCATCCTATTAGAACAACCTGATGGACATCTGCTGCTGCCAATCAGGGGCAGTGTTCCTAAATTATAGCACAGTGTTCGAGGTGAGAATAACCCAACTGACAGTTATGTCTGTGAGCCTGAAATAATCTTGTAATAATGATCAGCCATGCAATTATTAGTAATTTTTCATTTCTCAAAAACTCCTACATGCACATAATTCAATAAGGGGGTCATATCCACATCATTTACATCTCTAATTCAATTTCTAATAACTGATTTTTAAAATATTATTTAAAGAGAATCTTCAAAAAGAAAAGAAAATTCCTAGCAGGTAGTTTGTTTGTTACCTGCAGAACATTAGAAAAAGTTCCAGGGTCACTGTTTAACTTATATTTATATTTCAGCTTGTTATAAAATTAAAAATAAATAAACCAATAAGCAAACAATGCTTTACTCAGAAAAAGTTTTCCTAAAGTTCTGTTTACTTTTATCAGTATTTTCCTTTCTCCACTCTCTTATATCACTAATAAAAATGGCTTTGGCATACAAAGGGGACATAAGGATTATATAGGAGTTTGTCTTCAGTTTAGTATGAAGTGATCCACAAAATTGGAAACAGGATAATACAAAAAATAATTAGTCTTTTCACTAGATTCAATAAAAGCTCACGCAAGTGTAAGTATAAGAGTGTTGGGCTTAATTATGGTTTGGCCTACTATTTCCTTTTACTTCATGTTATATCTGAAAGGAATTTACTCATCATGGAGAAAATAAGCTACATTAACACTAAAACACAGTGAGAAACAAATATTGCTCCAATGCTAGAAAAAAAGAAAATTTCCTGGGCTCAAAAGAGCTGAGTTTCAAGGACAGTTGACACCTATACCCTACTTACTAAGATAGAGTGAATCAGATATAGCTATAATTTGGCCTCTGTAGGTGTATTTCAGCTGTTTCATTTCTTTTCAGGGAAGAAAGATGGTGTATGAAACTTTTTCCAAGATGGTCTCTGAAATGAGTTAAACTTCGGTGTTCAAATTGTGAAAAACAAGCCTTGAAAGTTATAATAAGGTTTTTATTCCTCCCTTTTGCTTTTAAACAAGTTCATGATGCATGAGATTGCCTACTCCAATTTTTAGTTTCTATTACTAATCTTCTTTCCTTCATTATTTTGGATTTAAGTCCTGAATTTCTAGTTTAAAATGTCATATTTTTCAAAGCTAATGCTTTATCATAATGAAGCAGTGCTCTTACATCAAAATGAATGGGCTGCCACCTGACACAGAAGTTAAAAGTGAAATTTCCAATAACTGTCTTATACCAAATATAACACCTCTTTTGATAATGTTCTTTGAACTCTCATATTTTGAAATTAGAAACCTCAAAAAATTGTAGAATTCGAGAAAAATCACATGGAGACATGACCTTCTTAGGTCTAGGAGGACTTTTTCCTTCTCTTGTATTGTAAGGTGTTCAAACTATGGAAAATCAACTATACGCCTTAGGAAAGTACTTATAAAATGCTATATTTATGAATCAAATATCCTATGGAATATTCTATAATTGCCTTTTTAAAACATAGGCAGCAAAAGGAAATTTTATTCTCCAACTTTTAGCCAAGAACCACACTCTAGACCAGCATTTCTTAGTAATCCTACCATCAGGTAATTGTTTGATTTAGTAACTGTATTACTACCTTCTATAGAGGGAAATAATCGTAATGACTTATGAGTGTTCCCATTATTACTTAATATTTTACCAAATTTTAGTTATTTAACTGTACTTTGTTTTTGTTTGAAGATCTACTCTTAAAATAGTAATAATTTTGTTTTTTGACAATCAAAAATTAAATATATTGTGTATGTATGTTTTGGTTATTCTGCCATTTTTTTAACTGCTTGCAATGTCTATTTGTGAAAAAATAAACATTTTCAGGAGTGCTATTCATTTGCTCTGATGTGGGGAAGGGAGAAGTTTTTTAAAGTACAAACCTCTAAGGCATTTTCAAAAAATTCAGAAGTCAACCTAAGGAGCTCTGTTCTTCTTTCAAGCATGGACACCAGAGCTGCCCATGCTTCACCCAGAGTCTCGGCCATGGCATCATAGACCTGACTCTGATCCTTGTTCTCTTCAGCTGTCTTGTCTGCTTCCTGCAAGAGTTCCCATACCCGATCTTCCAAAGCCTAAGTACAAAAGAAAAAGGCATAAGGCAGGGTGTTAACTTAATGTAAGAACACAGGATCACATTTTAAACACTTGGATAGTAGAAATTGCATGTGGTCTAGGAAACAGAATTTATAAACACAAACTGTTATGCAAGAAGGTGTATCAAACAGGAAGGAAGGAGCGATCAGGATTGAGGTGAGCCAGGAAGCATGGCCAGGCTAAGGGCGTTCACATTTAAACATTGTCCAAACACTGCTGACATCTGTCAAAGACACATGTCTACATTCCCAAGGGGTATAGAATATTATGTTAATCTAACAGTTCCAAAAAAAATAAGAAAAGTAATAAGAACACACCCTGAAGAGTGATCAAGAATAAAGGTTGTGAGAAACAAGCCCAGTAAAGCTTAGTTTATTGCAAATAATTGTCATTAGTTGTTAATATGACCGTGACGATTAATGTAAATATTAAGAGTAGATTTTTAAACCAGAATAGTCATAATTTAAAAATTAAGATATCTATAACCAACATTATCTACTGTTTGAACAAAATATGAAAAATGAAAAGGAACATGTGCTTACATAATTGTCTCATTCAGGGATAGGAGGATTCAATAAGATCCATATAATTCTTGAAGTTGACACCAAAATAAAGGCATAATTTTTAAAGAGTACAGTAGACTAAAATAGTATGAATAAATTCTAAAATATCAACATAAAAAGGAACTTAAAACGTGATAAAGAAAAATACAACAAAGAAAACAAAAGAAATAAGAGCAGGTTCATAAGGACACACACAAACATAATGACAAGTACATAATTAAATATCAATTAACACAAAAAATGTGGATGAGTTAACTTTTTAAACAAAAAGACAAACACTATCAGAGTGAGGAAAAAAAGGCAACAAAATTCAACCAATTTGTGTTTGCTAGAGTATCCCTAAAAAGAAATACTTTTTGAAAATAAAGAGATGAGCTATATCAGGCAAAGACAGACAAGAGAAAGCAGGACTATAATACTGAATAAATTAGAATCAAAACAAAAATCACTGATGCTTTAAAATGGCATTTATAATGATAAATAGTGCAATCCACAGTAAAGACACTCATGAACCTTTGTATCTGTGGCACTGAAATATTTCAAGTAGATATAACCAGTCTTACATCAAACAAATAGATAACAAGAACTACAATTATGGACTGCTTTTAAAAGTAATAATAAGGCTACTACATTTAAAAACTTTAAATATATAGCTAACCTTATGCTCAGATAAAATACGTAGTATTAGACAACTTGTTTTTAAAGAAAGAACATAATCTCAACATCTAGGACTAAATTATTTAAAAAATAAACAAATTAAGGGGGATAAACTGATTTAATACAAAATCAGAAATTAGCAGGTTAGATTAAAATATTAGAACTGATTTTTTAAGTTTTGATTAATTAAAAACCCAATGAAATATTAAAACAGCTGAAAGATGTCAATAAAAATTGGAGAGTAGATAGCTTCAAGGGACCATTCCTGTAGAGAAACATCAAAATACGCTGGGAGACCGAGGCGGGCAGATCACGAGGTCAAGAGATGGAGACCATCCTGGCTAACACAGTGAAACGCCATCTCTACTACAAATCCAAAAAAATTAGCTGGGCCTGGTGGTGGGCGCCTGTAGTCCCAGCTACTCTGGAGGCTGAGGCAGGAGAATGGCATGAACCCAGGAGGTGGAGCTTGCAGTGAGCTGAGATCGTGCCACTGCACTCCAGCCTGGGCAACAGAGCGAGACTCTGTCTCAAAAAAAGAAAAAAAAATGCAAGCAAAAACTGTCCTAATTTTGTTAGAACTCTGGAAAGTAGTCAAAGATTTACAGCAACAAAACTAAGGCTGAAGCAAGAAAAAGGTGACTTAAAAATGGTAGAAAAGCTTTGAGATATTTTTACGTGCCCTTGCTCTACCCCTCCTGGGTTCAGCAGAAACTATTAGAGTGGATAAGAATAATAAGACTCAAGTATACATTGTCTACAAGAAACCTACTCCAAATATAAAGGCAGAGGTGCATTAAAAGTAAATAAATTGGAGTAACAATGTGAAGTGATATGTCAATTAGCTCAATTAATTTAACATGTGTTAATTATTTTGCAATGTATACATACCTCAAGACATCATATTGTACAACTTAGGTGTATACAATTTTTAGTTGTCAATTATACCTCAATAAAGCTGGATGAAAAAAAAGGTAAATGGACAGAGAAAGATGTACCATGCTAACACTAGTCTGAAGAAAGCTGAGTAGCTATGTTAATTCTACACAGAGAATATTTTAGAGCCAGGAATATTATTTGAGACTAAGATGGGTGTTACGTAATAATAAAGGAGTCAATCTACAAGAAGGCATGACAATTCTAAATGGGTATGAGCCTAACAACAGAGATTCAAAATATATGAGGCAAAAATTAATAGAACTACATGCAGAAATAGATAAATATACTATAATAGAGACTTCAACATCCTTCTATCAGTAATCATTATATCCAGCAGGCCGAAAATTATGAAGCATATAGATGAACTGAACAGCACTATTAGTCAACTTGATCTAATTGGCATTTATAGAATAATTCTTCCAACAATGCATAACACACTTTCCTCTCAAGCTTACATGGAACATACATCAAGATAGGCCATATCCTGGGCCATAAAACATACCTTACCAAAATTTTAAAAACAGAAATCATACGAATATACTCTCAGACCACAAAAGAATTAAACTAAATGTCAATAACAGAAATATAGCCAAAAATACCACAATATTTTAATATTAAACAACACACTTTAAAATAACACATGGGTCCAAGAAGAAGTCTCAGGGAAATACAAATATTTTGAACTAAATGAGAAAATGAAAATATGATGTATCAAAATTTTTAAGATGCCACAACAGCAGTGCTTAAAGAAAAATTTGTAGCATTGAATGTGTGTGTGTGTATATATATATATATATATATACATACATATATACATATATATATATAGAGAGAGAGAGAGAGAGAAAAAAAAACCTAAATCAGTCTTCTGAGTTTTTACCATAGGAACTAGAGAAAGAGAGTAAATTAAATCTTAAGTAAACAGAAGAAAATAATAAAAATTAGAGGAGGAATCAATAAAATGAAAACAATAGAGAAAATCAATGAAAGCAAAAACGAGTTCTAAGAAAAGATCAATAAAATTGATAAATCCCTAGTCAGGCTAATCAAGAAAGAAAGAAAGAGAAAAGAAACAAATTACTAATATTGGAAATGAAAAAGGGTCCATAACTACTGATCCCATGGATATTAAAAGGATAAAAAGGAATACTATAAATGGCTCTATGTCCACAAATTTGATAACTGAGATGAAATGGACAAATTCCTTGAAAGCCACAATCTACCAAAACTCACACAAGAAAAAATAGGTAATCTGAACAAGCCTATATCTATTAAAAAATTAAATCAATAATTAATAACCTTCCAAATAAGAAAGCAGTAAGCCCAGGTGACTACACTGGTGAATTCTACCAAATGTTTAAAGAAGAAATGATGCTAAAGCTACTAAATAAATTCAGCAAAGTTACAGAGTATAAGATCAATAACAAAAAAATTGGTTGTGTTTCTTTATAAAGAAATGAACAATCTAAAAAGGAAATCAAGAATTCCACTTATAAGAGCATCAGAAAGAATAAAATACCTAGGAATACATTTAACCAAGGAGGTGAAAGACTTGTACATTGAAAACTAAAAATCATTACTGAAAGAAATTGAAGGAGGGAGGAGCCAAGATGGCCGAACAGGAACAGCTCTGGTCTACAGCTCCCAGCCTGAGCGACGCAGAAGACGGGTGATTTCTGCATTTCCATCTGAGGTACCGGGTTCATCTCACTAGGGAGTGCCAGACAGGGGGCGCAGGTCAGTGGGTGCACGCACCATGTGCGAACCGAAGCAGAGCGAGGCACTGCCTCCCTCGGGAAGCACAAGGGGTCAGGGAGTTCCCTTTCCTAATCAAAGAAAGGGGTGACAGACGGCACCTGGAGAATCGGGTCACTCCCACCCGAATACTGAGCTTTTCTGACGGGCTTAAAAAAAGGCGCACCACGAGATTATATCCCGCACCTGGCTCGGAGGGTCCTACCCCACAGAGTCTCCCTGATTGCTAGCACAGTAGTCTGAGATCAAACTGCAAGGCGGCAGCCAGGCTGGGGGAGGGGCTCCCACCATTGCCCAGGCTTGCTTAGGTAAACAAAGCAGCCTGGAAGCTCGAACTGGATGGAGCCCACCACAGCTCAAGGAGGCCTGCCTGCCTCTGTAGGCTCCACCTCTGGGGGCAGGGCACAGACAAACAAAAAGACAGCAGTAACCTCTGCAGACTTAAATGTCCCTGTCTGACAGCTTTGAAGAGAGCAGTGGTTCTCCCAGTACGCAGCTGGAGATCTGAGAACTGGCAGACCGCCTCCTCAAGTGGGTCCCTGACCCCTGACCCCCGACCAGCCTAACTGGGAGGCACCCTCCAGCAGGGGCACACTGACACCTCACACTGCAGGGTACTCCAACAGACCTGCAGCTGAGGGTCCTGTCTGTTAGAAGGAAAACTAACAAACAGAAATGACATCCACACCAAAAACCCATCTGTACATCACCATCATCAAAGACCAAAAGTAGATAAAACCACGAAGAGGGGGAAAAAACAGAACAGAAAAACTAGAAACTCTAAAAATCAGAGCACCTCTCCTCCTCCAAAGGAACCCAGCTCCTTACCAGCAATGGAACAAAGCTGGATGGAGAATGACTTTGACGAGCTGAGAGAAGAAGGCTTCAGACGATCAAATTATTCTGAGCTACGGGAGGACATTCAAACCAAAGGCAAAGAAGTTGAAAACTTTGAAAAAAATTTAGAAGAATGTATAACTAGAATAACCAATACAGAGAAGTGCTTAAAGGAGCTGATGGAGCTGAAAACCAAGGCTCGAGAACTACGTGAAGAATGCAGAAGCCTCAGGAGCCGATGCGATCAACTGGAAGAAAGGGTATCAGCAATGGAAGATGAAATCAATGAAATGAAGTGAGAAGGAAAGTTTAGAGAAAAAAGAATAAAAAGAAATGAGCAAAGCCTCCAAGAAATATGGGACTATGTGAAAAGACCAAATCTACATCTGATTGGTGTACCTGAAAGTGATGGGGAGAATGGAACCAAGTTGGAAAACACTCTGCAGGATATTATCCAGGAGAATTTCCCCAATCTAGCAAGGCAGGCCAACGTTCAGATTCAGGAAATACAGAGAATGCCACAAAGATACTCCTCGAGAAGAGCAACTCCAAAACACATAATTGTCAGATTCACCAAAGTTGAAACGAAGGAAAAAATGTTAAGGGCAGCCAGAGAGAAAGGTCGGGTTACCCTCAAAGGGAAGCCCATCAGACTAACAGTGGATCTCTCGGCAGAAACCCTACGAGCCAGAAGAGAGTGGGGGCCAATAGTCAACATTCTTAAAGAAAAGAATTTTCAACCCAGAATTTCATATCCAGCCAAACTAAGCTTCATAAGTGAAGGAGAAATAATATACTTTACAGACAAGCAAATGCTGAGAGATTTTGTCACCACCAGGCCTGCCCTAAAAGAGCTCCTGAAGGAAGCACTAAACATGGAAAGGAACAACCAGTACCAGCCGCTGCAAAATCATGCCAAAATGTAACGACCATCGAGACTAGGAAGAAACTGCATCAACTAACGAGCAAAATCACCAGCTAACATCATAATGACAGGATCAAATTCACACATAACACTACTAACTTTAAATGTAAATGGACTAACTGCTCCAATTAAAAGACACAGACTGGCAAATTGGATAAAGAGTCAAGACCCATCAGTGTGCTGTATTCAGGAAACCCATCTCACGTGCAGAGACACACATAGGCTCAAAATAAAAGGATGGAGGAAGATCTACCAAGCAAATGGAAAACAAAAAAAGGCAGAGGTTGCAATCCTAGTCTCTGATAAAACAGACTTTAAACCAACAAAGATCAAAAGAGACAAAGAAGGCCATTACATAATGGTAAAGGGATCAATTCAACAAGAAGAGCTAACTATCCTAAATATATATGCACCCAATACAGGAGCACCCAGATTCATAAAGCAAGTTCTGAGTGACCTACGAAGAGACTTAGACTCCCACACATTAATAATGGGAGACTTTAACACCCCACTGTCAACATTAGACAGATCAACGAGACAGAAAGTCAACAAGGATACCCAGGAATTGAACTCAGCTCTGCACCAAGCGGACCTAATAGACATCTACAGAACTCTCCACCCCAAATCAATAGAATATACATTTTTTTCAGCACCACACCACACCTATTCCAAAATTGACCACATACTTGGAAGTAAAGCTCTCCTCGGCAAATGTAAAAGAACAGAAATTATAACAAACTATCTCTCAGACCACAGTGCAATCGAACTAGAACTCAGGATTAAGAATCTCACTGAAAACAGCTCAACGACATGGAAACTGAAGAACCTGCTCCTGAATGACTACTGGGTACATAACGAAATGAAGGCAGAAATAAAGATGTTCTTTGAAACCAATGAGAACAAAGACACAACATACCAGAATCTCTGGGATGCATTCAAAGCAGTGTGTAGAGGGAAATTTATAGCACTAAATGCCCACAAGAGAAAGCAGGAAAGATCCAAAATTGACACCCTAACATCACAATTAAAAGAACTAGAAAAGCAAGAGCAAACACATTCAAAAGCTAGCAGAAGGCAAGAAATAACTAAAATCAGAGCAGAACTGAAGGAAATAGAGACACAAAAAACCCTTCAAAAAATTAATGAATCCAGGAGCTGGTTTTTTGAAAGGATCAACAAAATTGATAGACTGCTAGCAAGACTAATAAAGAAAAAAACAGAGAAGAATCAAATAGATGCAATAAAAAATGATAAAGGGGATATCACCACCGATCCCACAGAAATACAAACTACCATCAGAGAATACTACAAACACCACTACGCAAATAAACTAGAAAATCTAGAAGAAATAGATAAATTCCTCGACACATACACTCTCCCAAGACTAAACCAGGAAGAAGTTGAATCTCTGAATAGACCAATAACAGGAGCTGAAATTGTGGCAATAATCAATAGTGTACCAACCAAAAAGAGTCCAGGACCAGATGGATTCACAGCCGAATTCTACCAGAGGTACAAGGAGGAACTGGTACCATTCCTTCTGAAACTATTCCAATCAATAGAAAAAGAGGGAATCCACCCTAACTCATTTTATGAGGCCAGCATCATTCGGATACCAAAGCCGGGCAGAGACACAACCAAAAAAGAGAATTTTAGACCAATATCCTTGATGAACATTGATGCAAAAATCCTCAATAAAATACTGGCAAACCGAATCCAGCAGCACATCAAAAGCTTATCCACCATGATCAAGTGGGCTTCATCCCTGGGATGGAAGGCTGGTTCAATATACGCAAATCAATAAATGTCATCCAGCATATAAACAGAGCCAAAGACAAAAACCACATGATTATCTCAATAGATGCAGAAAAGGCCTTTGACAAAATTCAACAACACTTCATGCTAAAAACTCTCAATAAATTAGGTATTGATGGGACATATTTCAAAATAATAAGAGCTATCTATGACAAACCCACAGCCAATATCATACTGAATGGGCAAAAACTGAAAGCATTCCCTTTGAAAACTGGCACAAGACAGGGATGCCCTCTGTCACCACTCCTATTCAACATAGTGTTGGATGTTCTGGCCAGGGCAATTAGGCAGGAGAAGGAAATAAAGGGTATTCAATCAGGAAAAGGGGAAGTCAAATTGTCCCTGTTTGCAGATGACATGATTGTATATCTAGAAAACCCCATTGTCTCAGCCCAAAATCTCCTTAAGCTGATAAGCAACTTCAGCAAAGTCTCAGGATACAAAATCAATGTGCAAAAATCACAAGCATTCCTATACACCAACAACAGACAAACAGAGAGCCAAATCATGAGTGAACTCCCATTCACAATTGCTTCAAAGAGAATAAAATACCTAGGAATCCAACGTACAAGGGATGTGAAGGACCTCTTCAAGGAGAACTACAAACCGCTGCTCAAGGAAATAAAAGAGGATACAAACAAATGGAAGAACATTCCATGCTCATGGGTAGGAAGAATCAATATCGTGAAAATGGCCATACTGCCCAAGGTAATTTATAGATTCAATGCCATCCCCATCAAGCTACAAATGACTTTCTTCACAGAATTGGAAAAAACTACTTTACAGTTCATATGGAACCAAAAAAGAGCCCGCATCGCCAAGTCAATCCAAAGCCAAAAGAACAAAGCTGGAGGCATCACACTACCTGACTTCAAACTATACTACAAGGCTACAGTAACCAAAACAGCATGGTACTGGTACCAAAACAGAGATATAGATCAATGGAACAGAACACAGCCCTCAGAAATAATGCCGCATATCTACAACTATCTGATCTTTGACAAACCTGACAAAAACAAGCAATGGGGAAAGGATTCCCTATTTAATAAATGGTGCTGGGAAAACTGGCTAGCCATATGTAGAAAGCTGAACCTGGATCCCTTCCTTACACCATATACAAAAATCAATTCAAGATGGATTAAAGACTTAAACATTAGACCTAAAACCATAAAAACCCTAGAAGAAAACCTAGGCATTACCATTCAGGACATAGGCATGTGCAAGGACTTCATGTCTAAAACACCAAAAGCAATGGCAACAAAAGCCAAAATTGACAAATGGGAACTCATTAAACTAAAGAGCTTCTGCACAGCAAAAGAAACTACCATCAGAGTGAACAGGCAACCTACAACATGGGAGAAAATTTTCGCAACCTACTCATCTGACAAAGGGCTAATATCCAGAATCTACAATGAACTCCAACAAATTTACAAGAAAAAAACAAACAACCCCATCAAAAAGTGGGCGAAGGACATGAACAGACACTTCTCAAAAGAAGACATTTATGCAGCCAAAAAACACATGAAAAAATGCTCACCATCACTGGCCATCAGAGAAATGCAAGCCAAAACCACAATGAGATACCATCTCACACCAGTTAGAATGGCAATCATTAAAAAGTCAGGAAACAACAGGTGCTGGAGAGGATGTGGAGAAATAGGAACACTTTTACACTGTTGGTGGGACTGTAAACTAGTTCAACCATTGTGGAAGTCAGTGTGGAGATTCCTCAGGGATCTAGAACTAGAAATACCATTTGACCCAGCCATCCCATTACTGGGTATATACCCAAAGGACTATAAATCATGCTGCTATAAAGACACATGCACACGTATGTTTACTGCGGCACTATTCACAATAGCAAAGACTTGGAACCAACCCAGATGTCCAACAATGATAGACTGGATTAAGAAAATGTGGCACATATACACCATGGAATACTATGCAGCAATAAAAAATGATGAGTTCATTTCCTTTGTAGGGACATGTATGAAATTGGAAATCATCATTCTCAGTAAACTATCGCAAGAACAAAAAACCAAACACCGTATATTCTCACTCATAGGTGGGAATTGAACAGTGAGATCACATGGACACAGGAAGGGGAACATCAAACTCTGGGGACTGTTGTGGGGTGGGGGGAGGGGGGAGGGATAGCATTGGGAGATATACCTAATGCTAGATGACGAGTTAGTGGGTGCAGCACACCAGCATGGCACATGTATACGTATGTAACTAACCTGCACAATGTGCACATGTACCCTAAAACTTAAAGTATAATAATAAAAAATAAATAATAAAAAAAAAGAAATTGAAGAAGACCTAAATAAATGGAAAGAGAACCCACGTTTATGAGTTGGAAGACTTAGTGTTGTTAAAAAGCAATACTGTCTAAAGTAATCCACAGATTCAATGTAATCAATATAAAAATTTTATTTCACAGGCTTTTTGACAGAAATTGAAGAGATAATCCTCATATTTATGTGGACTTGTAAGGGGATCATAATAGTCAAAACAATCTTGAAAAAGAACAAATTCGGAGGACTCACACTTCTAAACTTCAAAACTTACTACAAAGCAACAGTAATCAAAATGGTGTATTGACATAAGGATAGACATATAGGGTAATGGCCTAGAATTGAGAGTTCAGAAATGTACCTATATGTCTATGGCCAATTGATTTTCAACAATGGTGTCAGGACCATTCAATTAGGAAAGAATAGTCTCAAACTAGTGGAACTAGAAGTACTAGATATTCACATGTAAAAGAATAAAATTGAATTATTACCTTTCATACCATATAAAAATTAACTCAAAATGTATCAGTGATCTCAATGTAAAAGCTAAAACTATAAAATTTTTAGAAGAATTTTGTAAGTAAATTTTCATCACCTTGAATTTGGCAATAGTTTTTTAGATACGACACCAGTAGCATAAGCAACAACAACAACAAACAGATAAATTGGACTTCATCAAAATTAAGACTTTTGTGTACAAAGGACATTATCAAAGAAGTAAAAAGAAAATCCTTAGAATGGGAGAAAATGTTTGCAAATGATATATCTGATAAGCATCTAGTATTCAGAATATACAAAGAGCTCTTTCAACTTAACAATAGAAAGGGGCTGGGCGCAGTGGCTCATGCCTGTAATCCCAGCTCTTTGGGAGGCCGAGGCAGGCAGGTCACTTGAGATCAGGAGTTCGAGACCAGCCTGGCCAACATGTTGAAACTCCATCTCTACTAAAAATTCAAAAATTAGCCAGGTGTGGTGGTGGGCACCTGTAATCCTAGTTACTCAGGAGGCTGAGGCAGGAGAATTGCTTGAGCCCAGGAGGCAGAGGTTGCAGTGAGCTGAGATCATACCACTGTACTCCAGCCTGGGTGAGAGAGCAAGACCCTGCCTCAAAAAAAAAAAAAAATAAATAAATAAATAAATAAATAAATAAATAAATAAAACAATAGAAAGGACAACAATACAATCATAAAATGGGCAACGGACTTGAAAAGACATTTCTCCAACAAAGATATATAAATGGCAAACAAGTGCACACAAAGATGCTCAAATGATTAGTCTTAGAAAAATGCAAATCAAAAGTACAATGAGATGTCACTTCACACCCACTAGGATAGCTATAATCTTAAAAAAAAAAAAAAAAAAAAAAAAAGGAGGCCGGGCACAGTGGTTCACACCTGTAATCCCAGCACTTTGGGAGGCTGAGGCAGGCGGATCACCTGAGGTCAGGAGTTCACGACCAGCCTGACCAACATGGAGAAACCCCATCTCTACTAAAAATACAAAATTAGCTGGGCATGGTAGCACATGCCTGTAATCCCAGCTACTCGAGATGCTAAGGCAGGAGAATCACTTGAACCTGGGAGGCAAAGGTTATAGTGAGCTGAGATTGCACCGTTGCACTCAAGGCTGGACAACAAGAGCGAAATTCCATCTCAAAAAAAAAAAAAAGAAAGAAAGAAAAGAGAAAAATAACAATTGTTGGCAAGAACATGGAGAAAATTGGAATCCATGTACATAGCTGATGATAATATAAAATGGTACAGCTGCTTTAAAAAAAAAAACATGTTGGCATTTCCTCAAAAAGTCAAACACAGAATTACCATATGACCAAGAAATTATGCTCCTAGGCATATATCCACAGGAATTAAAGCATATGTCCACACAAAAGCAAGCACACGCATATTAACAGCAACAGTATTCACAATAGCCAAAAGACAGAAACAATCCAAGTGTCCATTTACTGGTGAATGGATGAACAAAATGTACTATATCCATATGAAGGAGTATTGATACATAGTACAAAAGAGAGAGAGAGAAAGAAAGAGAGAGAGGAAGGAAGGAAGGAAGGAAGGAAGGAAAAAAGAGAAGGGGAGGGGAGTGGAGGGGAGGGGAGGGGAGGGGAGGGAAGGGAAGGGAAGGGAATGGAAGGGAAGTGAGACCAATACATGCTACAACATTGGTGAACCTCTAAGACATGCTAAGTGAAAGTGAAACGCCAAAGGTCACATAATGGATGATTCCACTTACATGAAATATGTAGAATAGGTAAAATCTTAGTAATAAAGAGCAGAATGGTGCTTGCCAGGGGCTGGGGGAAGGGTGAATAAGGAGTCACTATGTAGTGGGCACAGGGTTTTCTTTTGGGCTGATGGAAAGGTTTTGGATCTAGATAGAGGTGATGGTTGCACATGTGAAAGGTGATCATATGAATTGGGTCATTCTTGTCATACTCAACAAAAACGGATTTCAGAGGTCAGGGAGGAAAACCACTCGGCACAAAACATTGCCCCAAAAATGTAATTCCCTGCAAGTCTGCAAGCTGAAACTGCCTACCATAACCTGAAACCAGTTTTAGCTATTGGCTACTGAAACAACCTGCTGCAACTCTGAGACTAGTTTTGCCCACGACTGTCACTTGCTAATCAGAGCTTACCAACTCCTCAAAACCTTACTAGTGGCAATGAAATTTATCAAACAGCAATACATATTCTCCTTTTTATAAAACCTCTAACTTTCTCTTTGTTTTTCAGACATACTGAAGACCAGCCAGTCTGCATTTATGCCCTGAATTGCAGTACTTTCCTCCCATATAAAACATTTTAATTTCAGAAGTTCATTTCTATATTGAACTTTTCACACGCAGCACTGTGAATGTACTAAATGCCACTGAATTTTACACTTTAAAATGGTTAATTTTATGTTATATGAATTTTGTCTCTTCAAAATTTTTTTTAACTTTTGACATTTTAAAAAGAACAAAATGTTACACAAAAAACGTAAGCAGATCTCATGAAGGTAGAGAATAGAATGATGGTTACCAGAGGCTAGGAGGGTAAGAAGGAAGAAGGAGGTAAAGAGAGGTTGGCTAATGGGTACAAAAATACAGTTAGATTGAAGGAATAAGCCTTAGTGTTTGATAGTAGAGTGACTATAGTTAATTATTATATATTTCAAAATAACTAAAAGTAAAGATTTTTAATGTCATCAACACAAAGAAATCACAACTGTTTGAGGTGACGGATATCTCAATTACCAAGACTTCATCATTATACAGTGTAGAAATGTACCAAAATATCACATGTACCCCATAAATATGTGCAATTATTATGTATCATTTAAAATATTTTATTTAACATAATTATATAATATTAAGATTGAGGGCTATAAATGCATATAGCAAGTTTTGGATTTTCTGCAAATAAAAACAAAAACGGGGATAAAATGGAAAATTTTCTTTAAAATGTTACCAAAATTGTCCCAAGAAAATCTTATCATCATCTGCCTCATCATCACTATTATCACTGCCACCATCATGGAAAATATTGAATAATTTCTCAAGTATGTACCCAAAAGAATAGATGAATATGCCAATTTGTTTATTTAGTTGCCTGTAGAAATTTGGATGTTTCCAATTTTTGACTACTATATATAAACCTGCTATAAATATTTATGTACAAGTTTTTGGGTAGACATGTATTTTCATTTCTCTAGGTATTTACCTAGGGTTTTCCAGTTAATTTCACCTTCTTATTTATATCTTTCTGTATATTTTCAATTTTCAATTTTTTATAATAAAATATGTTATTTTTATTATTGGAGAAATTTTTATATTTTTGCAATTATGTAAAATAGACCTTTTTTTTTTTTTTTTTTAAATAGACCTATTCTTAAAGGAAAAAAAAAACACATGCCATTGCTGTACTGGAATCATGGACCTAAGTTGTCTCCAATTATTCTTCTTGAACAGTCCTTTCCTTCCTTATCCTTCCAAATTATACTCTAAGACACATTACACACTTAATTATATTATTGTTCCCAGTTATTTGCTGTTTCTCTCTGTAAGAGGACTGTACTTCTATGCCTCCTAAAGCCAGACTTGTATGCAATTAGGTTAGACTAATAAACTGTGAACAGTTTTGTGTGCCATTTCTGAGTAGAAGTATTAAGAACTAATGAGTGAGTCTATCATTGCTCTTTCCATAAATAGGGGTTGCATCGTGATATGGTTTGGCTGTGCCCTCACCCAAATCTCATCTTGAATTGTAGTTCCCATAATTCCCACATGTCATGGGAGGGACCTGGTGGGAGATGATTGAATCATGGGGGCAGTTACCCCCAAGCTGCTGTTCCTGTGATAGTGAGAGAGTTCTCACAAGAGCTGATGGTTTTTAAGTGGCTTTTCCCCCTTTTTGTCGGCACTTCTCTTTGCTGCCACCATGTGAGGAAGGATGTGTTTGCATCCCCTTACGCTGTGATTGTAAGTTTTCTGAAGCCTCCCCAGCCATGGTGAACTGTGAGTCAATTAAACCTCTTTCCTTTATAAATTAGCCAGTTTCGGGTATGTCTTTATTAGGAGCATGAGAACAGACTAATAAACTCCTTCAGCCTGGATTCTAAAATAAAGGAAACACACAAACCTGAACTGCAGTTACCATGCAGCCAACATGGTACAATAAAATCTGTTATTTGTAAGCCATTGCTATTTTGGGGTTATTTGTTACCCTAGCATTACCTAATAAAAGCTATGCATTAGTCCATTTTTACATTGCTGATAAAGACATACCCCAGACTGGGGAATTTACAAAGGAAAGAGGTTTAATGGAGTACTCACAGTTACACGTGACTGGGGAAGCCTCACAATCATAGCAGAAGGCAAGGAGGAGCAAGTCACATCTTACGTGGATAGTGCCAGGCAAAGAGGGCTTGTGTACGGAAACTCCCATTTTTAAAACCATCAGATCTCATGAGACTTATTCACCATCATGAGAACAGCACAGGGAAGACCTAACCCCATGATTCAATTGCTTCCCACCAGGTCTCTCCCACAGCATGTGGGAATTCAAGATGAGATTTGGGTGGGGACACATCCAAACCATATTATTCCACTTCTGGCCCCTCCCAAATCTCATGTCCTTATATTGAAAACCAATCATGCCTTCCCAACAGTCCCCAAAGTCTTAACTCATTTCAGCATTAACTCAAAAGTCCACAGTCTAAAGTCTCATCCAAGACAAGGTGAGTCCCTTCTGCCTATGAGCCTGTAAAATCAAAAGCAGTTAATTACTTCCTAGATACAATGGGAGTACAGGCATTGGGTTAAATACAGCCATTCCAAATAGGATAAATTGGCCAAAATAAAGGGGCTACAGGCCCCATGAAAGTCCGAAATCTAGCAGAGTAGTCAAATCTTAAAGCTTCAAAATGATCTTTTTTGACTCCATGTCTCAAATCTGGGTCATGCTGATGCAAGAGGTGAGTTCCCATGGACTTAGGCAGATCTGCCCCTGTGGCTTCACAGGGTACAACCTCCCTCCTGGCTGCTTTCACTGGTTGGCATTGATTGTCTGTGGCTTTTCCAGCTTCTATTTGCAAGCTGTCAGTGGATCTACCATTCTGGAGTCTCGAGGACAGTGGGCCTCTTCTCACAGCTCCACTAGGCAATGTCCCAGTAGGTATTCTGTTTGTGGGCTCCAACCCCACATTTCCCTTCTGCACTGCCCTAGCAGTGACCTCCATGAGGGCCCTGCCCCTGCGGCAAATTTCTGCATGGGCATCCAGACATTTCCATACATCTGCTGAAGTCTAGGAAGAGGGTCCGAAAGCCCAGTTTTTGACTTCTGTGTACCCACAGGCTTGACACCATGTGGAAGCTGCCAAGGTTTCAGGTTTGCACCTTCTGAAGCTACAGCCCAAGCTCTGTGTTGGTCCCTTTCAGCCATGGCTGGAGTGGCTCGGTTGCAGGGCACCAAGTCCCTAGGCTGCACACAGCACATTGACCCTGGGCCTGGCCCCCGAAACCACTTTTTCCTCCTAGGCCTCCAGGCCTGTGATGGGAGGGGCTGCTGTGAAGACCTCTGACATGCCCTGGAGACATTTTCATCATTTTCTTGGGGATTAGCTCCTCGTTACTTATGCAAATTTCTGCAGCCAACTTGAATCTCTTCTCAGAAAATGGGATTTTCTTTTCTGTCGCATTGTCAACCTGCAAATTTTCCAAACTTTTATGCTCTGCTTCCCTTATAAAACTGAATGCCTTTAACAGCACCCAGTCACCTCTTGAATGCTTTGCTGCTTAAAAATTTCTTCCACCATATGCCCTAAATCATCTATCTCAAGTTCAAAGTTCCACAAATCTATAGGGCAGGGGCAAAATGTCAGCAGTCTCTTTGCTCAAACGTAACAAAAGTCATCTTTGCTCCAGTTCCCAACAAGTTCCTCATTTCCATCTGAGACCACATCAGCCTGGACTTTACTGTCCATATCTCTATCAGCATTTTGGGCAAAGCCATTCAACTAGTTTCTAGGAAGTTCCAAACTGTCCCACATTTTCCTGTCTTCTGAGCCCTCCAAACGGTTCCAACCCCTGTCTATTACCCAGTTCCAAAGTCACTTCCACATTTCAGGTATCTTTTCAGCAGCATCCCGCTCTACGGGTACCAATTTACTGTATTAGTCCATTTTCATGCTGCTGATTAAGACATAACTGAGACAGGGAAATTTAAAAGAGATTTAATGGAGAACTCACAGTTCCACCTGTTCGGAGATGCCTCGCAATCAAGGCAGAAGGCAAGGAGGACCAAGTCACATCTTACATGGATAGCAGCAGGCAAAAAGAGTGCTTGTTGTAGGGAAACTCCAATTTTTAAAACCATCAGATCTCATAAGACTTATTCACTATCATGAGAACAGCACGGGAAAGACCTGCTCCCATGATTCAATTATCTCCCACCAGGTCCCTCCCACAACACATGGGAATTCAAAATGAGATTTGGGTGAGGACACAACCACACCATATCAAGCTGACATATACATTTACACATGTAAAGTCCTTTATTGGCACATTATGTCACCAAGGTTCTCTTATACTTAATAAAGAAATAAAATTTATAATGCAACAAAACAAAAAATCTAGATTATAGACTGATAATTTCAGAGCTAACTCAAAAAAAGTCTCAGGAAGATTGGGTAGAAACGGCAATGAATATCCACTAAGAGATAGATGAGTATGTGCCAGCTCTGTTCTCTTTGCTATTTAGAATAAACAGACAACTGAGTGTCTAAATTAGCAGGAGAGTTTGACCAAAAGTGTATATTTTCTTACCTAGCTATTTAAGAGCATAATAACTGGATATTTGATTCTTGTGTGACAAGTTTTAGACCATAGTAAGGGCTGGTTAATTTTGTATTGTGCATATTTTTCATTTTATACTTTTTAACATTAAAATAGGTTAACCTGGCCTCAATCTCCACTTATGATGGTGTTAGTTCAAGAATATATAAGATGAAAACATTATATTAAAAGTTTTAGATTCTAACTTTTTTCCTATGACAATGAGTGTGGTAAGAACTGAAACTACAAATTCCATGAAATTTTAAAATTCTTTTTTTTTTTTTTTGGTGAGATGGAGTCTCACTCTGTCACCCATGCTGGAGTGCAGTGGCTTGATCTTGGCTCACTGCAACCTCTGCCTCCCAGATTCTCCTGCCTCAGCCTTTGGAGTAGCTGGGATTACAGGCATGCACCACCATGCCTGGCTAATTTTTGTATTTTTAGTAGAGACGGGGTTTTGGCATGTTGGCCAGGCTGGTCTCAAACTTCTGACCTCAGGTGATCCGTCTGCCTTGGCCTCCCAAAGTGCTGGGATTAAAGGTGTGAGCCACCGCACCTGGCCAAAATTGGAAAATTCTATGGCAGTGATAGAGGGAAGAATAAGAAATAACAGACTATGAATTCATTCTAGGGAAAACCAGGTAAACATGTAACTTCCCAGTAATATTTCTCAGATTTGGCACAAAGGTGTTAAAATAAATCCAAAAATGGGCTATTTCTATATCTAATAGGGTTGCCTTTGGAACCTGTTAGGCTTGTTAAACACATAAAATAAGCTCCTCTTAATATTTTTATTTTCCTACTCAAATGACACTTTATAAATCAGTGATATAAAGGCTTTAGGGAGAGCAACTTAGCTATGATTATGGCTTCCAATATTTCGTTGGGACTCTCCCATGACCTCCACTGTGAACAGCAAAATGTTCTATTCATTGCGGATCCAAGGCCAGAACATTCTTGCAGAACCCTCTGGATTTAATTTGATACAAATTACACTTGGTATTTTCTCGAAGAAAGTCAGCAGACATTCTGCTTTGGGAATCTGTAGAAAACTGTCTGATTCAAATTTCCTTGGAATTTTAGATCGCTCTTAAGCTGCTGGGATCAGAGGCCAGGTATGGCCCAATGCTTCCCAAGACCTATCAAATACCATCTGAAATACTGAAGGAGACAGGGACTCAAACAGAATGAACTAGACATGATTAATAGAACAGGGATATTTCTAGCAAATCCAAAATCTCAGGAGTGACCAGTTAAAGTGTGCCTCCTATGAGATTCTTGAAATAGAACATGATCTTGAACCCAAAGGCAGAATGTACCCTGGCAGTTTTTTGATGTGGAGAAATTGGGTCTCCGTGATACTTCTTCAGCCTTGGTAAAGGTGTTAGGAAGGCCTTGTGGTTCTTTTAGTGGTCCAGCTTTCTGTTTGCCCATGTGCCACATCATCCTGTGGGCCAGGCCTTCCCTTCTGAATCTGGTGATTGCTCATATGCTGTCAGCACTCAGGAAATACTATTTTATTTTATTGTCCATTGCTGAGCCTCCATGGAGGCTACTTCTTTCTTTTCTCTTCCCCTAAGGAGCAGTATGTATCAGTTAGTCAGCCTGAAACACAAACACAAGTGAGGTACTAATGGAGACAGCTACAGGGCATGATACCCCAGCATGCCAATGATAATGATTTCAGATCTGGGAAGGAGACACAGAGGCCTAAGTTGTCTCACTCACATTTACAGCTCCAGCACCTGTCACTGGTTCTCAGACATTTTTAGTTGTCACGTGTGTGTAGTAGTGATTGGAGGGGCTTGAGGAAGGATTGTCCCACCAAATAGCATCCCTATTAGACCAGACCAAAATTTGCCTCCTCATTCCCCAGAATGCCATGATTCCCAGTTTTCCAATGGTGGGAAAACCATTGATAACACCCTCGAAGTCTTCTCTCTCTCACTTCCTGTTTAGAGCTATACAATTCTTTTAGCAATTTCATAAGATGTGTATACTATGGAATTTAAATCAGGCAAACTTGAGGATAGGATTTTGAACACTTAAAATGAGCCTGGTGCTCCAGCCTTTAACCCGTCCCCCCTCAAGTGGTCTCTCTCTATTGCTGTCGGCTGTAGATGGATTTCTTGTCTAAATGAAGAGAAGCAGCTCTTCCCCATGGATGATCATCAAAAACCATAAGGTATGGAAAGACAACTTCATATCTGAAAATGCACTTAAAAGCAAGAGAAATCTCATTTTTGCATGTCTTATTTATAAATTCAGCAATAATATTGCAATATAATTAAGAATATTTGTATATT
Organism: Homo sapiens; assembly: GCF_000001405.40. Taxonomy (NCBI): domain Eukaryota; kingdom Metazoa; phylum Chordata; class Mammalia; order Primates; family Hominidae; genus Homo; species Homo sapiens. The sequence goes on from NC_000002.12 coordinate 178,998,122, forward strand.
GATTTCTAGTTTAAAAATTTATACAGTATTCTACAGCACTTAGAACATTCTCAATCAACAGGGAGCTGTAGAAAGTACTTCACTAGAATGGAAAGAGTGCTCCTTATCCTCTATTAAAGCTAAAACCAAACTGTCACTTGTTCAAATAAAATAATACTCTTAATGACCCTTACAGTTCAGGGAAGATAATACCAAATGGAAGCTGAAGTTATTAATGAATGTATTCACTCAGTCATTGTCTCAGTTATTCAGCAAGCATTTTTCAAATATCTCTTAAGTATAATAGTACATATTGTGGTAACAAATATAAAAGATTGAGGAGGAATCTAGCTATTGTATTGTTTTCATTTCCTCCATGCTTCAGTTTTTTTTCTTAATACCTATCCACTTCTCTACTCACTCCTGAATGGTTTCTGTCCCCATCATCTTACTGAAATATTCTTGTATAGGTCTATATGACCTCATTTTGGTCAACGCCAGTAATCTTTATTTAATTATCTCTTCATAATTAATACTGTTGCATGGTCCATTAAAATTTTTTTTTCTTCCACTGACTACCAGTGCACTCTGATTTTTCTTCTGTTTTCTGCACTCTTTTACAGATTCACTTTCTCTTCCTATTTTTAAACATCTAGGTGTTTCAGGATATCACGGTCTTTGATGTCTTCTTCTCAAGCAAGTGTCAATGGTGGGTCTGAGAAGCATATATCAAAATCATTTGGGCAACTTTTTCAAAGTAGAGTTAACTTACTCCAGAAATGTTAATGTGTATTTAACATTAAATACACATTAATATTAAATACATTATGTGAGAGCTGAGGACAAGTGATTCTAAAATTTGAATAGACTCACAGCAAGTCGTGAACATTGATTGGATTGCATCTCTGTACAGTCCAATAGGAATGGTGGAGAAAGTGTAGCGGTCATTATTCAACACCCTCTTTCCAAGTGAACACATGAGCTCTTAAATCTGCAACCACTGTCTACTAACTTATTTCTCCTGATTTTCCGTATTGAAAAGCTCCATTCAAATTTTCCACAACTACCTCAAATTCAAACCATCTACAAATAGATCATGTCTTCTTTATTTACACTGAAACTCACCTGGCTGTCAGGAGCAAAAACACAGAAGGGTATCTTCATTCTCTCCTGTGCATCTCCTCCAGCTCCAAGATTTAATCAGTCACCAAGGCCCACTGAGTCAACTCCTACATATCATTTGAACCCTTTCCTTTCTCTATTTCCATCCCCATACCTCAGTTTCGTCTTTCAACGCTTCTCACCCGAATTCCTACAACAGCCTTTCAACTTGTTCTCCTGCCTCTAGGTTCACCCTCACCCAATCCATTCTCTACCCGTATGCCATATAGAACTTTCTAAATCAGAAGTATGAGCATGTCACTCAGCAACTCACGAATCTTTCCATGCTGCCAATTGATTTTAAGATAAAAAATAAAATTCCAAGCATACCAAATAAGATCCTCAGTGCTTGATTCTTTTTTTAGTCTTATCCCTGTTGGCTGACTCCCTAACACTGTTCTCTAGCCTTCTGAAATTTTTGTGGTTCCCTGACACTCCTATGGTCTATCATCTATTTCTCAGCCTAGAATACCCTTCCTTTTGGCCTCTCACTCTCCTCTCTTTCTCCCGTGACTCACCTATCCTTGAACAACTCTTCATCATCCTTCGCAACACTATTCAGAAGTTGTCTCAGCAAACCTTCCCTGACCCTCATCCTCCCCTCTTACTTGGGGCAAGGGTATTAGCCCCTTTAAAGCACTTTCCACCATCATAGTCATTATTATAGTGCATTTATTTTTTGCTTTTCTGATTATAAAAGTAATGTAAGTTCATATTTTAAAATGGAGAAATAGAAGAAAATCATAAAAAATAAAAATTGCTCATGATTCCACTGCTCAGAGATTCATCACCATACACACACACACACACACACACACACACACACACACACACACAATTAGAATCACACAGTATAGATCATGGATCAACAAACTATGGCTTATGATCCAAATCTGTCCTGCCATCTGTTTTTGTATGGCCTGTAAGGTAAGAATGGCTTTTGCATTTTTAAGTGGTTGAAAACAAAACTTAAAAAAGAATATTCCATGACATATAATAATTATATGAAACTCAAATTTCAATGTCCATAATAAAGTTTTTTTTGGAACACAACTATGTCTACTGGTTAACATATTGTCCACAGCTACTATCACAATACAACAGCCTAGTCTAAATAGTTGCAACTCACAGAGTAATATGATTCTAAAATATTTACCTAAAATAATTTAAAATTTAGATAAAATATCCTAAAATATTCACCATCTGACCCTTTTACAGAAGAGGTTTGCTGACTTCTGGTTTAGAGAGCTGTTCAGCTTAAAATAGTATTATGAGTCCTTTGTTTTCAATACTTTGTAGAAATAATATTTTTAGTGGCTATTTAAACTCCCATCACATGGGATGCCATAATTTATGCAATTATTCCCCTGTTGTTAAATTTTAAATCTGCTTTGCATTTATAACTATTGTAAGTAATGTTGAGCTGAGTCAATTCCAATAATCCTCATTTAATTTGACTTCTGGGTCCTTTCATACAAATCTTTGTAGACCCCTCTTGTGTTCATAAAATAAATTTTTAAAAGTGAAATTACTGGGTTAAGGATTATCCACAAGGCTTGATGCAATTGCTACATTGTTCTCCAGAAAGTTTGTACCAATTGACTAGCAATATCATAATAGATTAAAATTGTTTACTTATCTGACTTCCCCACTAACCCTTGAACTGTTTTTTATTCCTTGTGTGTAATGCAGTGTGTAACATAGAAAGTACACAACAGATGCATGAGGAGTGAATAGCCAGGCCTGGGTGATGCTCATTTGCCCAGGTCCATTTCAAGCACTGCAGAGCAGTGTTTCTCAATCTTGAGAACACAAGAACTCAGAGAATAAGCTATGGATCCCCAGTTTGAGAAAATATGAAAAAAGTCAAACACTGCCATTCCTTTAGCACCAGTGAAATGAAAATACAAGCACAAGTGTAAGCATTGAAATTTGGTAGCATATATTAAATATTTTTAAATCAAAATTTGAGATTATTTTAGATACTTACGCATCTCTCACAGTATATTTGTGAACTCTTAGGGACATGAGAAGCACAATTTGAGAAACAGCTTAATAGAGGAAACGAAGAAAGGAGTGTAGTCTTGGGAGTATCACCTAAATGTGCTGATGTGCAGCTGCAGTGTCAGCAACCAACACCAGAGATAATCTATGCCAATGAACTGTGGAGTCAATATACTCCAACTGGCTAGAAACCACTTCTGCCTTTCCAGGCTTATGGTTGCAGCATTTGTGGAAGGTAAGAAGAGAATAGCAGCTTGAGGTGGAAAAAAAATCATAAAGTTGAACTAAAAAGATCAGAGGAGGAGGTAAAAAGAGATGGAGGGCTGTGCTAGATAGCAAAGCATCTGGAAATCAGAGAACCTTGGGGGGCACAGGCAGGAATGGCAGGATTAACAGAGCCAAGAAGACAAAAGACATTACGGAGTTTGATGTAAGAAAGTGGAGACCACTTTTTTGTGGCACCTCGGAGGCAATCAGCTGCTTCTTGAAGCAGATGAATATCTCCTTCTCAGCCACTGGCTGCCAGAAATTCACTGAAGTGGCTGATCAACGCAAAGTTCTTTTTTTCCTTTGAGACAGAGTCTCACTCTGTCACCCAGGCTGGAGTGAGTGGTGTGATCTCGGCTCACTGCAACCTCCGCCTCCCAGGTTCAAGTGATTCCCCTGCCTCAGCCTCTTGAGTAGCTGGGATTACAGGTGTGCACCACCACACCTGGCTAATTTTTGTATTTTTAGTAGAGACAGGGTTTCGGCATGTTGGCCAGGCTGGTCTCTAACTCTTGACCTCAACTGATCCACCCTCCCAGCTTCCCAAAGTGTTGGGATTACAAGCATAAGCCACTGCTCCCGGCCAAAGTTCATACTTTTTATGACAAGCACATGGCCACAGAAGTAGCTGCTGATGCTCTGGGTGAAGAATGGAAGGATTATGTAGTCCACATCAGTGGTAGGAATGACAAACAAGGTTTTCCCATGAAGCAGGATGTCTTGGCCCATGACCATGTCCACCTGCTACTGAGTACAGGGCATTCCTGTTATACAGCCAGAAGAACTGGAGAAAGAAAGTGTAAAGCTGTTCAGGATTGCATTGTGGATGTCAATCTAAATGTTCTCAATTGACTTATTGTAAAAAAGGGAGAGAAGGATGTTCCTGGACTGACTGACACCATGACGCCTCATCACTTGGGGCCCAAAAGAGCTAGCAGAATCCACAAACTTTTCAATCTCTCTAAAAAAAGATGATGTCCAACAATATGTGGTAAGAAAGGCCTTTAACAAAGAAGGTAAGCCTAGGACCAACACACCCAAGATTCAGCATCTTGTTACTCCAAATGTCTTACAACATAAATGCTGCTATGTTGCTCTGCAGAAACAGTATACTATAGAACATGCTAAACTTTTGGCCAAAAGAATGAAGGAGGCCAAAAAAATATGCCAGGAGCAGATTTTCAAGAAAAGCAGCCTGTCCTCTCCAAGAGCGTCTACTTCTGAGTCCAGTCAATAATAATATTTTTTGAGTAACAAGTAAATAAAATCAGACTACACTCCCCAGAAAGAAGGTTGAGACCAGAAAGGACACTGTAATGAATGGGGTAAAGCTCCCAGGAAACATCACAAATACATCAAAATAATAACTCTCACAAATAGAGTAGGACTGATATTCTTTTTGTGAACTCAAAATAGTTATAAAAGCTATTCTGCCAGAAACATAAGTAAACAGTAGAGCAATTACTCATTTAACTTGATTGATGTATTGAGTCAATCCGGAAAATGGGATAAAGATCTATTTTGCCCAGTGATTGTTTTTGGGTGGAATTAACCTTATATTGTCATTTATATTAACTTTCTAAAATAAAATTGAAAATTTTTCTTCTCATGAAAAGGAGACAATTTTGGTCATGAAGAAAATGTTGACATAATATTATCTTTCATGTATAAAGATTATGTTTTCCAACAACAAAAAAAATCATGCACATTGAGCTGTTTCTCCAGTGGTGGAGATGAATTTGCCTTGAGTGGCCACATTGTGAAATAAACCTCCTGTCAAAGCATGGCATGCAGCGTAACATAGTGATTAAGAACCAGACCCTGGAGTCCACATTCTGGTTCCACCAGGTAGTAGCTCTGCACATTTTATAAATTACTTTTTCTCACTAGGCCTCAGCCTGTTATAAAATATGAACACTAATAATAACTATCTTATAAGATTTTGTGAAGATTAAATGAAGTAATCCATGGAAGCTCTTAGTAAAGTGCCTCAAATATAGTAAGTATGTAATAAATATTAGCTATTATTTTAATTATGTTTATCTTTTTGTGTACCTTCTAACTACTATTATTATTGTGTATTTATCAACCACTTGTAGGGAACATATTGAAGTCACAGTAGGAATAAACTAAGTGGACACCATACCCACAAGAGGAAACAAAAACTTATTTCTGATTTGAAATGTCTACATGGAATGCCAATCATGATAGCTTGCAATGACAATTTCAGAAATGATGAAAGTTCAAAACATAAGATATTTTAATCTGAATCCAAGTAACAATGATTTACTGTCAAGAAACATGTATGTTAGAATATGTTTTTAAAATAATTGCTTTTTTTTCAGAATAAAAACGCAATCATTCATTTTGTTCTTAAACTTCATACTCATTCTCTATGATGAAATGATTTATTTTTTGTATATGAAAACAAATAATTGTATCACATATGCTGATGAGGTGGAGGGTACAAACATCTACTACTTAAAATTGAATGTAGAAATGTAGTAAACTTGGCAAAAGTCTACATTGTATAAAGTCCAAGTCTTGGCATTTGGGGCTTCATAGTAAATACAATTACCTCAACAAATTTGGTCTATTGGTTTCTGAAATCCATGTTAAAATAAGAATGAAATGTTGCATTTTGGGATTTGTAGTTCCTTTGGGCTGAAGACTGCATTAATGATTAGGGAGATACTGATATATTCCTCTCTATGCATCCTTGGGTCATCCCTCCCTAAAATAAAATGAACATATGTGAGAGCAAACATATGTTGTCATTATTGCTACCATATTGCCAATGCTTATAATCATCTTCTGCTACTTCTTCTAATGCTAATAATTTTTCTAATACATTTGTTTCAAAAAATCATACAATGCATACAAATGATCAATTTTTAAGAATAATAGTCGTTTGCTGATAGGTAAATTATATGTCAAAATTGTTCATGGAACTGTTATCCATGGTATTTGATAGAATTGTATTTGAATTAATAAATACTTTATTGTCAATTTGATTCTAATTCTACTGCCAAGCATTTCTGTAATTAATCTTTCAGAGTCAAGATGAAGATGCCATCTGAAATTTCTATTCTATGAATGACATCTGGATATTGATTTCCTGAAATTTTCTTGAAACTACACCTTGTCCTCTCTAGTAAGTATCTAAAATGCTTCCTAAATAAAGAACATTAAAGACTAAATTTTTTTTTTGTTTTTGAGACAGAGTCTTGCTCTGTTGCCCAGGCTGGAGTGCAGTGGCACGATCTTGGCTAACTGCAACCTCTGCCTCCCAGGTTCAAGCCATCCTCCTGCCTCGGCCCCACCTAGTAGCTGGGATTATAGGCACACGCCAGTGTGCCTGACTAATTTTTGTATTTTTTGGGGAGATGGGGTTTTGCCATGTTGGCCAGGCTGGTTTTGAACTCCTGACCTCAGGTTATCCACCTGCCTCGGCCTCCCAAAGTGCTGGGATTACTGGCATGAGCCACCGCCCCCGGCCTAAAGACTAAATTCTTAAAAGCCACAAAAATTTTTTTGGCTTCTTGAGAGCTTTTAAATCACCAAAGAGCTTACAATTTAGGGAAGACTTTAGGAATGCTCTATTCAAACCTAATATGAACAAATTTCTTTAAATATTTTCAACTACACATGATTAATTGACAGTGATTTCCCTCCAATTAGACTATCTGTAATGAAAAATATGCAGGTAAATGGATCTAAACTATTCCACAAAAACTCATTCATAGGTTTTCTTATACTTGTGAACATTATTTGGAGAATTTAAAAAAAAAGGTTTAGAAAATTATTAAACAACGTAACACACTGGGATTGTTTAAATAGTTTTAAAATACGTTATAATGTATATATTACAGGAGGAAAAGACAGCAAATTAATTCAAAGATGAGATGCATTTAGAGATTATTTACATATGTGATTCATCTATTAAAAAACAATAAAAAAGTAACATTGTAATGAACAAGCATATTACATTATAAACAATCTTTTTACCAGAAGTTACAAATAACACTACAAGACTGTGTGGGACCTATGTTTCACCATCCTATCACTGCTTCAATACTGTGTTTGTGTTTCTTTCTTTCTTTTCTTTTCTTTTCTTTTTGAGACAGAGTCTCACTCTGTCGCCCAGGCTGGAGTGCAGTGGTGCGATCTCAGCTCACTGCAACCTCTACTTCCCCCGACCCCCATAGCTGGGACTATAGGCATGTGCCACCAAGCCTGGTTAATGTTTGTATTTTTTTGTAGAATGGGGTTTCACCATGTTGGCCAGGCTGGTCTCGAATTCCTGACCTCAAGTGATCCACCCACCTTGGCCTCCCAAAGTGCTGGGATTATAGGCATGAGCCACCATGCCCAGTGGTATTTGTGTTTCTTAATACAAGATACATCTCTGGATACTCTGTACCTCTCTACCTTCTAGATCACACAGAACCTTATTTTCCTCTTCTCTGTCATTCCAGTGAGGATACACCTCCAACAGCCACAAAGAAGCCAGCCTAGCTCTCAGTCCAGGTACCAACTATCCAGGAGAATCATTACTTCCTCTCAGGCAGCTTCAAGGCTGAAACAATGGCCCATGACTTCTGTCTCTCCTCAATCAATTCCCTCACTGGAGTTCTTCCCCTGAACAAAGACCAGCTTGTTCATTTGCATTTCATTGGCAGATAATATTACTTGAGATATCATTCAATTTGTTATTTTTATCTTAACATACACGGGGGTGGGGAGGAGAAAAAGAAATTAAGCAAACTGTGAATGTCCCTTTGTTCAGTGTTATCTGTTTCTGTTAACTATGTAAGATGTTGGTAGATGGCAAACAAACTCCCTGAGAAAAAAACAGTGGGAGTTTTCATATGAAAGTGTTCAGAGAGTGGTTCAATGATCACTCTGCAAGATATTGTAGGAAATATCTGCACCCATCTGAGAGATTAACTGGATGCCTTCTAAGGACCCATCTATTTCCATGGTTTAGTGATACAATAATTAATTAATTTATGCAACAGATAATGAGTATTTACCATTTGCAAGGCACAAGGAGTAGCTGAAATCTAGAAACTTTGCATGTGAAATGTTTAACTTTTTTGTCTAACACATTTCGTACAAGGGTTTAAAATTAGATCCAGGGTTGGCGAGAGACATATAATATCTAAGACGTTATTGAAATACAAGAATAAAACCATTGTTTTCACTGTTGAAGAGAAGGAATGTTTCCTCACTTGGTAATGTAAAATTTGTTTTTGCCATTAAAGACTGATTTTTCTTTCTACATTAAACATATTAAACTCTAATAGGAAAATTAAGCCACCTATTGATTTTTTTCTTTTCTTTTTGCCAATAGAATAACACTTTTCTTCTCTCTCAGTAGAACCCTCCTTCCATGTGAGAAACCAATGACACAGGATTTTGGGAAGGATCAACCTGCTCCTTCACCCACTGACAAGGGAAAGTAATGACATAGGGCCAGCTCCATAAGAGTTGCCATCCCCCTTGTCAATGAGTTGATGGGCCCAAGGATGAAAACATGATTGATTCAAGGATGGAAAATGATTAAAGTCTGGAAAATCAGGTTCCACAGAATCTTTTCTGCTGAGGGTATCTGTAAAGATTCTATTCACTAGTTACAAATTTGGTAAGATGTGAGCTTGGTGTAGCTGACTGGCCATACCATCAGCTATGTGTAGACAGACTGTCCATGAGCTGGAGAGACAGAACCTTGACAATGTTACAGTATTCCTGTATTCAGCCTTCTTCTAACTTGGTCTCCTACTTATGCAAATAAACACAGAGACCTAATCCACATTTTTCATGGCTTCTCCAAACTGAACTTAATAAACATGTGAAGTAAATTGAAATCTTTAAATCACCTCTGTTTATCAAAAGTATTGCATCTGATAAACATCATTATTTAGCTGCTTTAAAATGCATGTTACTTTGGAACATGGTTTTTGAACAGAGTCAACTGTCAATTCCTGAAGATCAGCTCTGTTTCCCCAATATCCACCTTCTGACTGCCCATTCAGCACCTCTCTAGACACAAAATGTCTAAATGAGATTTTTATTTTAAATGGGTGAGGGTCAGAAACAAATAATTTTTTTAAAAAATTTAATGTCAAATAAGGGTCTTGGTTTTGACATCTATAATAAAACCTCAACTAATGAATGCAATAATACTATCTCTTCTTTTACCAAGCAAAAAGATTAAATGTTTTAAAACATTTCTTTCAAAATATGTTTGAAATAAACAACATGCCGTGACTGTCAAGTTTGGCTTCAAATGATTTTTCCTGTCTCCATTATTTAATATATGTCTGAATTAACTACCAATATTATGTCCAGTTGTCATCACTTAGATTATCTATCACAATCACGCAGTGATGTTAATTGATTCAGAAGTAGTACCAGAGAATACATTTTCTTAGTTTAGCTCATAAAATCTCAGGGTAACAGTGTTCACAAGATGACTGATGTCATCGTCTATGTTCTAAGATCTGTTTTCTTCTTCAGAGCAGATATTTTATCAAAATGACTGAGCCCTAATTTTAAAATTAAAATGAACAGAACTGCTGAAAGTCTGAATAAATAGATAGGCTTTAGGCTATATGTATCTCTTGTTTTAATAAATTGGTATTTTAGAGTATTTTGGTCAAACAAAAATATACAACCACACTGTTAGTCATACTGCTAGTCTTTGCTAACATTAGAGTTCAGCCATGCTCATTCATTTATCAAATACTTGAGGAGCCTCCACCATGTGCCTGACTTTGCAAGACTTTCCAAGGACACTAGGAGACATATGACATGGCAGCTTCAGCAAGGCAGGCTAATATAACCAACCTGCTCCCGCAGCATTTGGTAGGTGTCACGGGCACTGAGCAGCTGAGCCCTTTGTAAGACCTCTGAAGCCAATCCTTCCTATTCTCCCTCTACAACTTGATGTGCTCAAACCTCACTCAGTGAACTGGCTGCACCAGTGCTACCTGGGGGAAATTTTGGAAAATACAGATCCCCAGGTCCCACTTCAGAGGATTCTGACTCAATAGGTTTGGAGTAAAAGCTGCGAATCTCTTCTTTTAAAACTCCTCAGTTGACTGTAACATACAACCACGTTTTGGAAGCACCACTCCACATATATATTCTGGGGTGGAAAAATCAGGGCACCAATTCATGAGTAAGATATTAGGGCATTTGAAAAGTCTTGAGTCCCCCAAATATCTCTACCCACAGGACTATCAGGGTACCTGAAAATGTCCCTCTTCACTGTTGTTCTTTTAACTTTAGATGTTCTCTCTATAAAGTTCTGAATACAGAGCACAATCAGGTCACTCCTCAGGCTATCACTTGTCAATGATTATTCATCAGCCATAAGATAAAGAGAAACCTCCTTTTAGTGGCATATGAGGCCTTCTGCATTTCAGCCACTGCCTACTTGTCCATCCTATCTTTCTCATGACCCTTTTCCCAATCTTTTTATCCCTAGCACATGGGCCAACCATACAAAACTACTTACTGCTCTCCTAATGCTGTGCATGGGGTTGGTCCTGGGACCTTGATACATGCTTTTCCTGTTGCTCAAGCTGTCTTCCCATCTCTAATATACCTGGCAAAATCATCTCTGAGGAAGACTTTCTTGATTTCCCCCTATACCCTCCTTTTCCTTGTAACTATATTTTATATGAGTTTCTGCTGAAGCTGTTACAACTTTATTGGGCTTATTTGTTTAAATGTCCAACTTCTGATGTCTGAAACTTCCTTTTAAATAGTTCTCCCCCCTGGGGGTTGAAAAGCCTTGTTTTGTCATATTACCATGGTTGGTTTTCTGGATACTTCTCATTTGGGTATGCTCTCTCAGAGGGAAGGTCTAGGGCTGAAGGCTGTTGTTCAGATTCTTTTATCCCATGGGGTGTTCCCTTTTCCTATGTATTCTTCCCCTTTTCCTATGGATGTGGCTTCCTGTGAGCTGAACTGCAGTGATTGTTTTCTCTCTTCTGAGTCTAGCCACCTAGCAAGTCTACCTGGCTCCAGGCTGGTAATGGGGGTTGTCTGCACAGAGTCCTGTGATGTAAACCATCTATAGGTCTCTCAACCTTAGATACCAGCACCTGTTCTGGTAGAGTGGCAGGGGTGGGGGGTGGGGGTGCAGTGGATTCTGTGAGGGTTCTTAGCTTTGGTGGTTTAATGCTCTATTTTTGTACTGGTTGGCCTCCCCAAAAAATCACATTAGTTCACCAGCAATGGATGAAAACCAACAAGAAATCCCTTTACCTGAAAAAGAATTCAGGAGGTTACTTATTAAGCTAATCAGGGAGGGATCAGAGAAAGGTGAAGCCCAATGCAAGGAAATCCAAAACATGATACAAGAAGTGAAGGGAGAAATATTAAAGGAAATAGATAGCTTAAAGAAAAGATAATCAAACATTCAGGAAACTTTGGACACACTTTTAGAAATGTGAAATCCTCTGGAAAGTCACAAAATAGAATTGAACATGTAGAAGAAAGAAATTCAGAGCTCAAAGACAAGGTTTTTAAATTAACCCAATCCAACAAAGACAAAGAAAAAAGAATAAGAAAATATGAACAAAGCCTCCAAGAAGTCTGGGATTATGTTAAATGACAAAACCTAAGAATAATTGGTGTTCCTGAGGAAGAAGAAAATTCTAAAACCTTGGAAGACATATTTGGGGGAATAATCGAGGAAAACTTCCCCAGCCTTGCTAGAGACCTAGACATCCAAATACAAGAAGCACAAAGAACATCCAGGAAATTCATTGCAAAAAGTATTCACCTAGGTGCATTGTCATCAAGTTATCCAAAGTTAAGACAAAGGAAAGAATCTTAAGAGCTGTGAGACAAAATTGCCACATACTCTATAAAGGAAAACTTACCAGATTAACAGTAGATTTATCAGCAGAAACCCTAAAAGCTAGGAGGGATTGGGGTCCTGTCTTCAGCCTCCTCACACAAAACAATTATCAGCCAAGAATTTTGTATCCAGCAAACCTAAGCCTCGTATATGAAGGAAAGATACAGTCTTTTTCAGACAAGCACATGCTGAGAGAATTCACCATTACCAAGCCACCACTACAGGAACTGCTAAAAGCTCTAAATCTTGAAACAAATCATGGAAACACAACAAAACAGAACCTCTTTAAAGCATAAATCACATAGGACCTATAAAACAAAAATACAAGTTAAAAAGCAAAAACAAAAAACAAAACAAACCGAAGTACACAGGCAACAAAGAGCACAATGAATGCAACAGTACCTCATATTTCAATAATAACATTGAATGTAAATGCCTAAATGCTCCACTTAAAAGATACAGAACCGGCTGGGCATGGTGGCTCACACCTGTAATCCCAGCACTTTGGGAGGCTAAGTTGGGTAGATCACAAGGTCAGGAGTTCAAGACCAGCCTGGCCAACATGGTGAAACCCTGACTCTACTAAAGATACAAAAAATTAGCCAGGTGTGATGGCACACACCTGTAATCCCAGCTTCTGGAGAGGCTGAGGCAGGAGAATCACTTGAACCTGGGAGGCAGAGGTTGCAGTGAGCCGAGATCACACCATTGCACTCCAGCCTGGGCAATAGGGTGAGACTCTGTCTCAAAAAAAAAAAGAGATACAGACTTGCAGAATGGATAAGAACTCATCAACCAACTATCTGCTGCCTTCAGGAGATTTGCCTAACACATAAGAACTCACGTAAACTTAAAGTGTTGGAAAAAGGCATTTCATGCAAATGGACACCAAAAATGAGCAGGGTTAGCTATCATTATATCAGACAAAACAAACTTTAAAGCAACAGCAGTTAAAAGAGACAAAGAAGGACATTATATAATGGTAAAAGACCTTGTCCAACAGAAAAATATCACAATTCTAAACATACACGTACCTAACATTGGAGCTCCCAAATTTATAAAACAATTACTAATAGACCTAAAAAATGTGACAGACAGAAACACAATAGTGGGGGACTTCAATACCCCACTGACAACACACACTAGACAGATCATCAAGACAGAAAGTCAACAAAGAAACAATGGATTTAAACCATACCTTGGAACAAATGGACTTAGCAGATATATACAGAACATTTCATCCAACAACCACAGAATACACATTCTATTCAACAGCACGTGGAACTTTATCCAAGATAGACCATATGATAGGCCATAAAACGAGCCTTAATAAATTGAAGAAAATGGAAATTATATCAAGCACTCTCCCAGACAACAGTGGAATAGAACTGGAAATCGACTCCAAAAGGAACCTTCAAAACCATGAAAATACATGGAAATTAAATAATCTCCTGAATGAGTACTGGGTCAAAAATGAAATCCAGATGGAAATTTAAAAATTCTTCAAACTGGATGACAATAATGACACAACCTATCAAAATCTCTGGGATACAGCAAAGGTGGTGCTAAGAGGAAAGTTAATAGCTCTAAACACCTACATCAAAAAGACTGAAAGAGCACAAACTGACATTATAAGGTCACACCTTAAGGAACTATAGAAACAAGAACCAAACCCAAACCCAGAAGAAGAAAGGAAATAACCAAGATCAGAACAGAACTAAATGAAATTGAAACAAACAAACAAACAAAATACAAAACATAAATGAAACAAAAAGCTGGTTGTTTGAAAAGGTAAATAAAATTGATCGACCTTTAGCAAGATTAACCAAGAAAAGAAGAGAGAAAATCCAAATCACCTCACTAAGAAACAAAACAGGAGATAGTCTAACTGACACCACTGAAATATAAAAGATCATTCAAGGCTACTATGAACACTTTCATGCACATAGAAAACCTAGAAAAGATGGATACATTCCTGGAAAAATACAAACCCTCCTACCTTAAATCAAGAAAAATTAGATACCCTGAACAGACTAACAACAAGCAGTGAGATTGAAATGGTAATTTAAAAATTACCAACAAAAAAAGTCCAGGACCAGATGGATTCACAGCAGAATTATACCACACATTCAAAGAAGAATTGGTACCAATCCTTTTGACACTATTCCACAAGATAAAGAAGGAACCCTCCCTAATTCATTCTATGAAGCCAGCATTACCCTAATACCAAAACCAGGAAAGGACATAACCAAAAAAGAAAACTACAGACTGATATCCTTGATGAACATAGATGCTAAAATCCTTAACAAAATATTAGTTAACCGAATCCAACAACATATCAAAAAGATAACCCACCATGATCAAGTGGGTTTCATACCAGGGATGCAGGGATAGCTTAACATATGCAAGTCAATAAATGTGATATACCACGTAAACAGAATTAAAAGCAAAAATCACATGATCATCTCAATAGATGCAGAAAAAGCACTCAACAAAATCCAGCATCCCTTTATGATTAAAACTCTCAGCAAAATCAGCATACAAGGGACATACCTTAATGTAATAAAAGCCATCTATGACAAACCCACAGCCAACACAATACTGAATGGAGAAAAGTTGAAAGCATGCCCTCTAAGAACTGGAACAAGACAAAAATGCCCATTCTCACCACTCCTCTTCAATATAGTACTGGAAGTCCTAGCCAGAGCAATCAGACAAGAGAAAGAAATAAAGGGCATCCAAATCAGTAAAGAGGATGTCAAACTGCCCCTGTTTGCTGACGATATAATCATTTACCTTGAAAATCCTAGGGACTCCTCCAGAAAGCTCCTAGAACTGATAAAAGAATGCAGCAAAGTTTCCAGATACAAGATTAATATACACAAATCAGTAGCTCTTCTATACACCAACAGCAACCAAGCGGAGAATCAAATCAAGAACTAAACCCCTTTTACAATGGCTGCAAAAAAATAAAATACTTAGGAATATACCAACCAAGGAGTCAAAAGACCACTACAAGGAAAACTACAAAACACTGCTGAAAGAAATAATAGATGACATGAACAAATGGACACACATCCCATACTCATGGATGGGTAGAATCAATATTGTGAAAATGATCATACTGTCAAAAGAAGTCTACAAATTTAACGCAGTTCCCATCAAAATACCAGCATCATTCTTTACAGAATTAGAAAAAACAATTCTAAAATTCACATGAAACCAAAAAGGAGCCCACATAGCCAAAGCAAGACTAAGCAAAAAGAATAAATCTAGACAGGGCGCAGTGGCTCATGCCTATAATTCCAGCACTTTGGGAGGCCGAGGCAGGTGGATCACGAGGTCAGGAGATCGAGACCATCCTGGCTAACATGGTGAAACCCCATCTCTACTAAAAATTAGCCAGGTGTGGTGGCGGGCACTTGTAGTCCAAGCTACTTGGGAGGCTGAGGCAGGAGAATGGCGTGAACCTGGGAGGTGGAACTTGCAGTGAACTGCCAAGATCACACCACTGCACTCCAGCCTGGGCTACAGAGTGAGACTCCATCTCAAAAAAAAAAAAAAAAAAAAAAAAAAAGGACAAATCTAGAGGCATCACACTACCTCATTTCAAACTATACTATAAGGCCATAGTCACCAAAACAGCATGATACTGGTATAAAAATAGACAATAGACACATGGAACAGAGAAACCACAAATAAACCCAAATACTCACAGCCAACTGATCTTCGACAAAGCAAACAAAAATGTAAAGCAGGGAAAGGACACCCTTTTCAACAAATGGTGCTGGGATAATTGGCTAGCCAATGTAGGAGAATGAAACTGGATCCTCATCTCTCACCTTATACAAAAACCAACTCGAGATGGATTAAGGACTTAAACCTAAGGTCTGAAACTATAAAAATTCTAGAAGATAACACTGGAAAAACCCTTCTAGACATTTGCTTACGTAAGGATTTCATGACCAAGAACCCAAAAGCAAATGCAATAAAAACAAACATAAATAGCTGGGACCTAATGAAACTTAAGAGCTTTTGCACGGCAAAAGGAACAGTCAGCAAAGTAAACAGACAACCCACAGAGGGGGAGAAAATCTTCACAATCTATACATCTGACAAAGGACTAATATCCAGAATCTACAATGAACTCAAACAAATCAGCAAGAAAAAAACAAACAATCCCATCAAAAAGTAGGCTAAGGACATGCATACACAATTCTCAAAAGAAGATATCAAAATGGCCAAGAAACATGAAAAAATGCTCAGCATCACTAATGATCAGGAAAATGCAAATCAAAACCACAATGCAATACCACCTTACTCCTGCAAGAATGGCCATTATCAAAAAAATCAAAAAACAGTAGATGTTGGCATGGATGCGGCAACCAGGGAACACTTCTACGCTGCTGGTGGGAATGTAAACTAGTACAACCACTATGGAAAACAGTGTGGAGTTTCCTTAAAGAACTAAAAGTAGAACTACCATTTGATCCAGCAATTCCACTACTGGGTATCTACCCAGAGGAAAAGAAATCATTATTCGAAAAAGTTACTTACACATTCATGTTTATAGCAGCACAATTCACAGTTGCAAAATCATGGAACAAACCCAAATGCCCATCAATCAATGAGTGGATAAACTGTGAGAGAGACAGAGATATATATATATATATATATATATATATATATATATAATATATATATAATCATATATATATATCATATCATATATATCAATATATCTCATATACATCTCATATATATCTCATATACATCTCATCTCATAAATATCATATATATCATATATCTCATATATACCTCATATATATATCTCATATATATCTCATATATATCATATATATCTCATCTATCTCTCATATATCTCATATATGTATCATACATATCTCATATATGTATCATACATATCTCATATATGTATCATACATATCCCATATATGTATCATATATATCTCATATATGTATCATATATCTCATATATGTACCATATATCTCATATATGTACCATATATATCTCATATATGTACCATATATATCTCATATATGTGCCATATATATCATATATGTGCCATATATATCATATATGTATCACATATATCTCATATATATGATATATATATCTCATATCTCATATATATCTCATATATCTCATATATATCTCATATGTATCTCATATATCTCATATAGCTCATATATATCTCACATATATCTCATATATATCTCATACATATATCTCATACATATCTCATATATATCTCATACATATCTCATATATATATCTCATACATATCTCATATATATCTCATATATATATCTTATATATATCTCATATATATCATATATATCTCATATATGTATCATATATATCTCATATATGTATCATATATATCTCATATATGTATCATATATATCTCATATATCTCATATATATCTCATATATATCTCATATGTATCATATATATCTCATATATGTATCATATATATCTCATATATATCATATAATTTCATATATATCATATATATCTCATATATATCATATATATATCTCATATATGTATGATATATATGATGGAATACTACTCAGCCATAAAAAGGAATGAATTAACAGCATTCACAATGACCTGGATGAGATTGGAGACTATTATTCTAAGTGAGGTAACTCAGGAATGGAAAATCAAAAGTTGTATGTTCTCACTGATACATGGGAGCTAAGCTATGAGGACACAAAGGCATAAGAATGAATACAATGGACTTTGAGGACTTGGGGGGAAGAGTGAGGGGGGTGAGGGATAAAAGACTACAAATATGATGCGGTGTATACTGCTCGGGTTATGGGTGCACCAAAATCTCACAGATCACCACTAAAGAAATTACTCATGTCACCAAATACCACCTGTACCCTAGTAACTTATGGGAAAAAAATAAAAGTAAATAGTTCTCCCCTCACCATAAAAAATGTATACATATAAACATATATTTAGAGGCAAGATGAGAAAGAGAAAGAAAATATGCAACAGCATTAACAGTTAGTAAATCTAAGTGAAGGATTTCTGCAGGTCTGAAATTTTTCAAAATAAAAAGTTGCTAAGAATGGTCCATCTTCACATAAGCTTCTAGAGTACAGGAGTCACGTCATAATCATAGTTGTATTGATCGAATCTAACCCAGTACCTGACACAGAGTATGCTTTTACTAACTATTGAGTGAACTGATAAGTGGTAGGAATGACACACTGATGTCTTGATACCTTTCGATGCATAAGCAAGAATAAACTTCTTTCTTTTTTTAAGAATGTACTTATTTCTTATTTCCCTGGTTAATTTTACCTAGTGGAAAACAAGTGGAATTCTGGTTGAGGTTGGAAGGTGAGGTTTGGCATCAGGGTGGATGGTAAAGAGCAGAGTAGGCTGGGCTTTATGAACTGCTGAGACTTCATATTTCTGAAGGGTAAAAGGTGCTACGTATGCTGAAGTTTGGGTGAATTGGTCCCCAGGCAAATATTTGATACAAAATATATTCCCTATGTGGGTCACCATGCTTCAAGAAGTGTTTTTTCTTTTTCTTCTTATTTTTTTAATAGAGGAGGGAGATTTCCCACACACAAAAATGTATTAATCTATTCATTTGGCAGATTTTATTTTCATACAGCACGAATATTTGTAAGTTATGATTATCAAATTTTCTACTTTATCCAGATATTTTGAACTTTTAAATAATTATTTACAACAAAAGAAAGTGCATACTGGTGGCCTGTTTATCCAATGTTCTCCACATCTTTCTTTCTTTCTGAATAATAGTTGACTTTTGAAAAAAAATAATACTTATAGTTCTATCTTTTGATAGAGACACCTGTGTTAAGGAACCACACCATTCTATTGTAAACTAAAGAAGCCCATCTTACAAATGAGCTTCCACTTCTTACTTACATCTGATTTTTGAAGAAAGATGCTTTATAGGGGTGTATCTGGGGTGGGTGATAGCCCTTCTTTTCTGTTCCTTGGGAGTTAAGCACACTGGGTTCCCACCTTTCAAATCATTTCTGTGCCCTTCCTTAAATCCTCATTCCCCTGTTTTAAAGAGTAATAAAGCTCTCTCTTCTTGTTGGTGCCATCTTTAAACTTGAAGAAAGTGGCAGCTAGTTTACACAAACTATCCTAAAAGAAAATTAGACACTGTCTGAGGTGAAAAAATACACTTCAATCTATTTGCAAAGTATAAAAAAATCAATTTTTGTCCTTACCTTGAAAAAGAACACATATTCTCAGATATTTTTTAAAAATCAGGGCAGTTACCAAATAAAGCCCTTAGATAAACTGACATCAGCAATAATAACATTTTTTAAAACTAGTTGTTTAAGGGAACAAAATGGAATGCCCAGTTTACAGTGTAAGCAGACTTTGTGTTGACGATGAGGTATGGCACTTATAAGAAGAGCAGCCCATGAAAAATGGCTTGCCTCAAGACTCAGTCAAGCCCAGCTTGATTTAAGTTTTCCTCTCCTACTTGCTTAGTCATTAAACTAAGGAAAATATTTTGGAATTGGATCTGAGAAAAAGATGTTCTGGCCAACATCATAAAGCTGGTTATTTAAAGAAATGCTAAAAGACACTACTTCCCTTTTGCTTCCAAAAGGATAGGAAACCAAGGCTGTGCTGCAATACTTGAAAAATGCACTCTGTCTTTTTAAGTGTGGCTTTGAAATTGCTACTTTTAAGGACAGCCCATTTTATAGACGTTGCACCACCTCAACTGCTATGCGGACCACAAAAAAGGATTATGGACTTTCTCTTCAGTAGAGTGTTAAATGGTCCCCTGAATAGCAATTTTCTAAAAGAGCAAACATATGTGGCATATCCTGCATGTTTTCCTGACACTGGAGTCTATCTGTAACATAAACTGTGGGATACAGGTAGAGTCTCTAGTTTATAGAAACGCACTTAGTTTTACCACTAAACTGGAGGTAATTAATTTAAGACACTTAAAAGTAAAGAACACAAATTTTTAAAAACTTGGGGAACAGTAAATGGTTAAGTTCTATTATTTTTTCAGTCTCTTTCAAATAATGTCACAAATTTCTTTTAGCTTTTGCTGTTGTTTTTCTGAAGGATTTTAGCTAGAATGTTCTACACTTTAGCATCTGCCTATCTAAAACCTGTGAGCCTTCAAGTCCCAATTACAATGCTGCCTTCTCCATGAAACCCTTCTCTCCATAGCAGCAAAAAGTAACTCCTTCCTGTGGGCTCCTTTGTCACTTTCTTTCCACCTTCCTAATGTGGTTGTTATGTTTCACTCTTTGGTACAATTGTGAGTGAGCTAGTTTTAAATTCTGTAGATTACAAACTAGGCGAGAGCAAGAACAGTGTCACTCATTTTTGTACTTATTGGACAGTATAATATTTCTTTTTAAATACAATATGAAGTTAGTGAAAAAGGTAAGTAGCAAAAAAAGTACAAATCAATGTTCTAAAATTCATATTCAGAAAAGATAAGTCAATGAAATATGTTTCAGATAATTCTTTAAAAGCAAATATTAAAAAACAAAAATAAAAATCCAATTTCCATTTGATTATAATTTCCCAAAAGCCAGACCATGGCCCTCTTCTTTGGACACCCACAGCTCCAAGTTCAGAGCATTGCTTTTTGTCAGTGTTAATTACCATTTGGTTGCTCAAAAATAAAACTGTGTCCACTGAGCCAATGTTCCAAAGTCCAGCAAGCCAATATTATATTAGGAGACGAAAGTCTTTTTGGTTCCCAACATTTATCCAAATCCAAATACTTAATATATTTCCAAATATTTCTATCATCTTGATGCATCTCCCTGAAGACTCCAGGAATCAACAAAATATATTCACGGTCTACGTTGCTGATAAGTGAAGCACCTTTATATTTATAAAAAAAAAGAAGACTCCCATAATCGTTATTTCATCTATGCAGAACACTAATGATGAGAGAGAAGCATTCATGTGAAGACATATCAACACCAGGGTCTCACTATTGTACCCTTTGATTGCTCAATACTTACTGCACATCACTTCTTGTATCAGTAATTCTAGTTTAATGACGTAATATTTATTTCATACAGGAAAGCTTTTAGCAGTGTTCAGAAAGAAAAATCTACTCATAAACCGCTTTTATTTTCTTTCCCTTTCTATCCCCTTTACTTCACACTTTGCCTCATATCAAAAGTAAAATGATTATTCTATAGTAGGAAACTACACTTTAATAATTAATATTGACTTTAAAGTTGAAACAACATAGTTCCAATACATTGGTATAGCTCTTAGTCTATTTTGCGGTGATGGTAAGATCATTTTTATAAATATTTATTATTTATTTATTTTATTCATTTTATTGAGACAGTATCTCACTCTGTCTCCCAGACTGGAGCGCAGTGGCATGATTATGGCTCACTGCAGCCTCAACCTCCTGGGCTCAAGCAATCTTCCTACCTTAGCCTCCCAAGTAGCTGGGACTACAGGCATGCATCACCATGCCCAGCTAATTTTTCGAGACAGAGTTTCACCATGTTGCCCAGGTGGGTCTCAAACTCCTGAGCTCAAGCAATCTGACCACCTGGGCCTACCAAAGTGCTAGGATTACAGGCATGGACCACTATGCCCAGCTGGAAAGATCATTTGATAGATAAGATAAGAGAAAATAGTTTCATATTTATTAGCAATAAAGACTGTTATAACCGTCATGTAGAATCCAAAAAGTTCCATAGAACGGGCATGTGTATTTCAAATACAGGTGTGTGGTTTTTTTTCTCTCACTCAACAATGTAAGGAGCTTTAGGGTTAAAATCCAAAAGCATAATTTTACCTAAATATTTTCCTACTCTTTGTCAGTTATGTAGTCCCCACACTCCTATCCAGTGTGCCAGAGTGCTACTCTGGGCTGATCAACACTGCCCCACGCAGGGGAACTAAGGATCTGCATGTCAGAATCCTCCAAGCTGGAACTGGGCCAGTCTTAGGCTTACCTAGAAATATACACCTGATCCCATGAGACCACGTTGGCTGTGATATGATAGCACTTCTCATGGGATCAGGTGTATATTTCTAGATAGCAGCAGGCTTCCATGCTCAGCTTGTGCCAGGAAGCCACAGGATCCAACATCATGGAAAGATCATGAAAATGAGATTTTAATCAGAGTGTGAGTCCCAGCTCAGCCAGTTAATAAACCTGAGCAAGTCCCTTAATCTCCCTGAGACTCAGCTCCCTTACCTGTGAAAATGAGTCCATACCACACTGGCCCTTATTATATATACTAAAATGAGACAATGATATGAAAGCAGTCTCTAAAGTAAGTATGCATGCATTTATGTAATGTTAATTATTCTAATCTAGTTTTATGTGGATTCTATGAAGATATTTTAGTGGTTACAGCTCAGTTACATGCAATGCTTATATTTCTACAGGCTTCAACATTTCCTGATGGCAGTTAGGGTTAGCCATAAATGTTGATGGAATAAATAAGCAAATACGTGGTATGATTTCAGGGATGTAAGGAAAACCTTGATGTTGATAACAAATCCTTTCTCACATGCGGGCTGATTAGCATGTGATTGTTAGCACATCACCTGGCTACTGTTCAGTCTTCCATAAAAGTTAGTAACTTAGCATAATCACCATCATTAATAGTAACCAAAATGTAAGATAATTATAAGATAATAAATACTTTGGAAATTACATACTTCCTTTTATAGGCATTTTATGCCTTTATTTCACTAAGAAGTAGGTTGTACCTTCCGTTGTAAACCATGCTGAATTTGATTTTGAGTTTACACATACTGCTGACAGGCATAATGAATTTCTGGCTTCAACTATTTTTTCTGGTGAAAGAGAAATGAACATACCACCACTTAATTTTAGCTATGCAAACCTAATTGCCCATGCCTATCTGAAGGGGGTGTTACCCTGTCCTATTTGTATAGGCTGCCCCTAATCCAAACTGGCACACAAATAACAGAACTAGTATTCTGATTGGCTTCAGTTTGAAATAGAAGCTGCAGCTAATGAGCTGCTGAAAACCTGAGGGTCACAGCTGTCCCGAGTGGAAATCACCTCTAACTGAAAGCTAGACCACAGCCCTCAGTGAATTGAGAATTCTTGTGTCAACTCTTTAATTTTCAGGGGCTCCTGTGCTAAAACCAAATGAGTAAAAGATGAAATGGTTCTGCCGTCAGTAGGAAATGTCAGTGACATACACAGTAACAGAAAGAGACAAAATTATGAAAAGCAACTTGGAAAATTCTGACATTGTATTGAATCAGTCCATTTGGATTTAAAAAATAAGGATTTGTGTTTTCTTGGTCACTCTTCAAACTAGAACCATTTATTAAAGGACCATAAAATCTGTTTATAATGGAAATGCCAGCTACAACTTAGTCCCTTTATAATTATGAGACTAAGTATAATGTAAATGGAACCAGATCAGATATTTTCTTCTCAGTTTACTGCAAAATAATTGTTCCAAAAATATTTCTTTTGCATAGGCCTAATAAAAGATAGTATTTTAAAACATTTCAATGCATCTAAAAGGCTCTACAACATTAATTCTTATAAATGCGTCTCCTTAATTTTTTCTTTTTGGATATTTGCGTACAAATGACTCTTCCATATCTGTTCTGTTAAATGAAGTAAATAATGTAATTAGAAATAATCTACAGGTGTATGGACCAAATAATTAATAGTAGTTTCTGCTGTTTGAGGGAGTGGTCTGTACGCTTGGATTTGTTTGGATTTCACTACCTTTTTTGCAGAGTTCTGTGGCCTTTCAAGTGACCGAAAAAACAGTCCTGGAAGCTTATCAAGAATACCATTGTGTGTTTTACTGGGGAATCTGAACTCTACCATGCTTGAATAAAATACAAAAATAGCAACAAAGAGAATAACACATTCCCTAAGACTTGATGAAAGCTAGAACAATAGGAAGTTTTTGTACCAAACAGAAAGATAAATAAATACGAGCACTAAGCTAACGTCTGTTCACAGGATGAAGCCAAAGCCGAGGAAAGAGGCAGCTTTTCTACCTTGAAGACCTAGCTCTCTTCCCTGCCCCAAACACTGTTCCGTCTCACGCCACTTATTCCCACAACCTTGTATTAAATTCTACCTTCCCCATGAAACCACTCCAGCTAAATTAATTTCTCTTTCTCCATGAATATGTCTATGGTACTTTCACGATCAGTGTCTTTCATCTGGGGACTTAATTACTCAGATAGTGCCTTGATGTTGTGACTTCACTGTTATTTAACTGCTTTGTGAGTCTACCAGGGTCATTTTGTTCTCTATATATTGTACATCATATATTTCTGGAGGCCAAGAATGCCTTTTACATTTTGTGTGTGTGTCCCTTCCAATGCCAAGGACAGAGGCACACAGTAGACAGGGAAGCTAGCCAGGTGGAGCAGAGCCATCTTGATGCTATGTGACGTGGTTCCTGCAAATCCTATGAGATCCACGGCCTCAGTATTGCTAACTGAGTGGTCCTTTTCAGTCAGCTGAGAAGTGACGCGTACCATCCCTATGACTCCCCCAAATAAGTGGGATCTCATACTACAGTTAATGATTGAAGGGCACACAGCATGCTGGGTATGGGGAATCGCACAAAGGCACACCACTGGAGTGGGAGCCCCAGCTCCATGGCTTCCTAGCTATATGACCAGGGCAAATGACTGTATATACATTTGTATATACACACTTGTGTATGTATTAGTTTCTTCAATTGTAAAATGGAGATTAAAAATAATAAGAGGTAATCATTCAGCACTTACTATGTGTGAAGCCTTGTTTCAAATTCTTTAAAGGTTTCAACTCACTAAATCCTCACATCCACCTTCTGAGGTAGGTATTACTACCTCCATTTCACAGATGAGGAAACTGAGGCAGAAAGAGGATAAGTAACTTCCCCAGAGTTACACAGCCAAGCAGCAACACTGGAATGCACATCCAGGCAGGCAGAGCATACATACAAAACTGCTAAGTTATGTTGCCTGTTATGAAATTTAACTCATATGATTTTTTAAATATTAAACAGATTAATACATTTAAAACATTTAAAATATATGTAATGTTTGAAATTAAATATTAAATTTTTAAAAGTGGTTCTCACTAGCAATCATGCAATAAAAGTCCACTGTGTTATGTTTATACATATATCACAACTTGGGCTCTAAATTTCTTACAACTAATTTAGACAAAAACTATCTTGAAAAGAACTTAATGTGCACCAACACAATCTCTGTCCTGAGGAAAACTTACACTCTTATGAGAAATATATACATATGTAAAAATATAAGCAAACTAACATTAAAAGCAATGCTAAATGATGAGGAAGAGCCTTGGAGCTGCAGGTGCCAAGTGCAAATGGCCCTGCTCTACCCACAGAGAGTCTTATCTCATAGAGGTCTGGAGAGCTGCCCTTTAACAGGTACCCAAGATTATATGAATGTAAATACTTCATAAACCATGCTTGATATACATTATACAGGCCATGCTTGTGTAAGTACCACATTAATGTGACACTGTACTGTGCATAATGAGACATTGGTTGAGAAACTCGGAGGAAACACAGTAGAGAAAGACAGGCCCGGCTTAGGTGAGGGCAAAGCTCAGGAGGCCATAATGGCATTCCAAAATGAGGACATCTATAATTTACAGGGAAATCCATCCTCTGGCTCAGTTAAAAGAAGAATAATGACACAAATCAGAAAAACTAACAGCATTAATTATTCATCCGTTCCACCATGTTCTCTTAGGAGCCCAAATGTTCCATACATTAATAATTGAATCTTCTTCAAACCCTCAGAACTGTTGCAAGCAAGAACAGCAAGGTATGTGAATACCATTTAAATCATTGCTATTTTGTTTCTTTACCCACATTCCTTTTTCGCATGTTTCTTTTGTTATTACACAGAGATGAACTGTTCCTGTGATTATGTCATGAATATATGTATTCATTCATTCATTCCTTTATTCATTCATTCCACAAACATTTGTTGTACATGTAATCCAAGCATGGTGCTAGGCTCTATGGATAGAAATATGTCCACAATCTCACAAAGATGAAAATGAAACACTCATGGTCTGTCATGAAACACATACTACAGTAGAAGTAGGTAGGCTGCAAGTTATAGAAGGTACTCAGAGGAGGTCATGGCCAGTAAGGTAAGTGGCAAGCTCTCCAAGAAGGTTTCAGAGAGCAATGATAATTTCCTCATTGTCAGAGCTCACGTCAGCTTCCTCAAACACACTGCTGTTTTCGACACTACTCAATACTTCTGTGTTAGAATTTCCTTTTCTCCAAATGTTTGTGATGGGACCCTGAATATTTTTGCCTCTAACTTTCCATTAGTCTCTTTTTCAATTCCATTGATGGCACTTTAATGTTGTTGTTTAATGGAAAAATGTTTCTTTGGGTTATAGTCAGAGCTTCTTATTCCTCATTGTGTTTTAGAATTACTGCAAAAACTTTTTAAAAAAAACATACAGGCACTCCAGCCTTTCTTTGCCTCTTTGGGTTTGGGGCCTGAATATATGAGTCCTGTGGTTTATTTTTTTAAGTTCCTCAGTTGATTCTGATGCCAGCCCAGTTGAGAATCACCTACTTAGGCCTTCCTTCCTCTTCTCTACTGCTCCTTACAGAGATTGTTCATTTTCTTTTTCTTTTCTTTTTTTTTTTAACTTCTACTTTAAGATCAGGGATACATGTGCAGGTTTGTTATATAGGTAAACTGTGTGTCACAGGGGTTCGGGATACAGATTATTTTGTCACGCAGGTAATCAGCATAGTGCCTGATAGGTAATTTTTTGATCTTCACCCTCAGATATGGTTTGGCTGTCTCCCCACCCAAATCTCATCTTGAATTGTAACTCCCACAATTCCCAGGTGTTGTGGGAGGAACCCAGTGGGAAGTGACTGAATTACGGGGGTGGGTCTTTCCTGTGCTGTTCTCATATAGTGAATGACTCTCACGAGATCTGATGGTTTTAAAACGGGAGTTGCCCTGCATAAGCTCTCTCTCTCTTCATCTGCTGCCATCCATGTAAGACATGACTTGCACCTCCTTGCCTTCTGCCATGATTGTGAGGCCTCCCCAGCCACATGGAACTGTAAGTCCATTAAGCCTCTCTCTTTTGTAAATTGCCTAGTCTTGGGTATGTCTTTATCAGCAGTGTGAAAATGGACTAATACAGTAAATTGGTACCAGTAGAGTGGGACATTGCTGAAAAGTTGCCTGAAAATGTGGAAGTAACTTTGAAACTAGGTAACAGGCAGGGGTTGGAAGAGTTTGGAGGGCTCAGAAGAAGACAGGAAAATGTAGGACAGTTTAGAACTTCCTAGAGACTTATGGAATGGCTTTGTCCAAAATGCCACAGTGATATGGACAATAAAGTCCAGGCTGAGGTGGTCTCAAATGGAAATGAGAACTTATTGTGTTTTAGCAAAGAGATTGGTGGTATTTTGTCCCTGCCCTAGAGATTTGTGGAACTTTGAACTTAAGAGAGATGATTTAGGGTATCTGGCAGAAGAAATTTCTAAGCAACAAAGCATTCAAGAGATGAATTGGGTGCTGTTAAAGGCCTTCAGTTTTATAAGGGAAGCAGACCATAAAAGTTTGGAAAATTTGCAGCCAGACAATGTGATAGAAAATAAAATCCCATTTTCTGAGGAAAAATTCAAGCTGGCTGTAGAAATTTGCATAAGTAATGAGGGGCCAAATGTTAATTCCCACACAATGGAGCAAATGTCTCCAAGGCATATCAGAGGTCTTCATTGCAGCCCCTTCCATCACAAGCCCAGAGGCCTAGGAGGAAAAAGTGGTTTCATGGGCTGGGCCCAGGGTTCCTGTGCTGTGCATAGCCTAGGGACTTGGTGGCCTGCATCCCAACCACTCTAGCCATGGCTGAAAGGGGCCAACATAGAGCTCAGGCCATGGCTTCAGAGGGTGCAAGCCTCAAGCCCTGGCATCTTCCATGTGATGTTGAGCCTACAAGTGCACAGAAGTCAAGAACTAAGGTGTGGGAACCTCTGCCTAGATTTCAGAGGATGTATGGAAACACCTGGATGTCCAGGCAGAAGTTTGCTGCAGGGGTAGGGCTCTCATAGAGAACTTCTGCTAGGGCAGTGCAGAAGGGAAATGTGGGGTCAGAGCCCCCACACAGAGTACCCCCAGCAGCAGTGCCTAGTGGAGCTGTGAGAAGAGTGCCAGTCTCCTCCAGGACCCAGAATGGTAGATCCACTGACAGCTTGCACTGCGCACCTGGAAAAGCCACAGACGCACAATGCCAGCTCATGAAAGCAGCCAGGAGGGAGGCTGAACCCTGCAAAGCCACAGGGGTGGAGCTGCCAAAGACCATGGGAACCCACCTTTTGCATCAGCATGACCTGGAGGTGAGACATAGAGTCAAAGGAGATTATTATGGAGCTTTAAGATTTGACTGCCCTGCTGGATTTTGGACTTGCATGGGGCCTATAGCCCCTTTGTTTTGGCCAATTTCTCCCATTTGGAATGGCTGTATTTGCCCAATGCCTGTACCTTCATTGTATCTAGGAAATAACTAAATTGCTTTTGATTTTACAGGCCATAGGTGTGAAGGGACTTGCCCCACCTCAGATGAGACGTTGGACTGTGGACTTTTGAGTTAATACTGAAATGAGTTAAGACTTTGGGGGACTGTTGGGAAGGCATGATTGGTTTTGAAATGTGAGGACATGAGATTTGCTAGGGGCCAGGGTGAAATGACATGATTTGCTGTGTCCCCACCCAAATCTTATCTTGAATTGTAACACCCACAATTCCCACACGTCATGGGAGGAACCCAGTGGGAAGTGATTGCATTATGAAGGCAGGTCTTTCCTGCACTGTTCTCATGATAGTGAATGAGTCTCATGAGATTGGATGCTTTTAAAAATGAGAGTTTCCGGCCAGGCATGGTGGCTCACGCCTGTAATCCCAGCATTTTGGGAGGCTGAGGCGGGCGGATCACAAGGTCAGGAGATCAAGACCATCCTGGCTAACACGGTGAAACCCTGTCTCTACTAAAAATACAAAAAAAATAGCTGGGCATGGTGGCGGGTGCCTGTAGTCCCAGCTACTTGGGAGGCTGAGGCAGGAGAATGGCATGAACCCGGGAGGTGGAGGTCGCAGTGAGCCAAGATCGTGCCATTGCACTCCAGCCTGGGCAACAGAGTGAGACTCTTACTCTCAAAAAAAAAAAAAAAAAAAAAAAAAAAAAAAAAAAGTTTCCCTGCACAAGCTCTCTCTCTGTCTGCTGCCATCCATGTAAGATGTGACTTGTTCCTCCTTGCCTTCCACCATGATTGTGAGGCCTCCCCAACCATGTGGAACAGTAAGTCCATTAAACCTCTTTCTTTTGTAAACTGCCCAGTCTTGGTATGTCTTTATCAACAGCGTGAAAACTAGCTAATACACCCTCATCCCATTGTTCACCCAAAATTAGCCCTGGTGTTTGTTGTTCCCTTCTTTGCATCCATGTGTACTCAATGTTTAGCTCCCACTTATAGGTGAGAACATGCAAGATAAGATTGTTCATTTTCACCTCCTTTCCTCTCATGGTTTCCTGAACTGCCTAGAAACAGTCATCAGACTGAGAATACTGGATCAAGAAGTCACCATCCCAGACTTCCCACCCAGGATACCATGAGATCAATTCCACTATGAGCACTGGGCATTACAAGGCTGGTAACTCCACCTTGCCTTACATTCCTCCTGTTTTTGTTCACCTAAGAACTGGTCATCTGTCTGCTTTATAATCTTCCTATCACTGCTTCCCTTCCTTCCAAACTTCACAACTGTATCTCATGGAAATTCAGATTCATAGCAAATGAACTCTTCACTAACACTCACACTATACTTTATAAGTGCAGTCTGCTCATTTCCTGAACCCTCATCTCTCCCATACTAACAAAAGCTTCGCAGTCAGCATCTTCCATTTGCTTCAGTGGAACAACAGTTTACCCTTACTACTGCAGATTTTTCTCTTTACATTTGTTCATTAAACAATTGCAACTTTGGATCCAGCACCACTGCTCCCCTGAAACTATTTTAGCAAATTATGTCAGTGACCTCCAATCTGCCAATATAAAGGACATTCTGATTCAAAATGGTACCCTTTGGCAATCATGTAATAATACCAGTGGGATATCTGTTTTTCTTATCCTATAGGATTTAAGGTTTGGGATTATCTTCAACTTTTCCCTCACTATCTATGTAAAATTATTGATTCTAAAATATATTCTTTATAATTCATTACTTTATCAAAATATATTATAGAAATATACTATGTTGCTATAACAAAACCTTTAAAATTTTATCCTGTTCACTCTCACTCAAAACCCCAGTCTAAATTCCAACGTCTATTAATAGTCTCCAAATACTTATTTTAACTCCCCAAATTTCCCATTCAAGTCCATCCCACATATAGTTATAAAGGCAACCTTCGTAAAACTCTATTTTGTTAAATCTACCCCCGCTTTAAAAACCCACTCTTGGCCACAATCAAATCTAACTGTGTAGCCCGGTGGGTACTGCCATTCAGCCCCAGCCCCTATTCTCCATAACAATGTAGCCTCATCTCATATTTGCTGACAGAGATCTTCATGTGCCCCATGTGTATTTTGCTTATATTTGTCTCAGCCAAATATCTCAGGATATTTGCTAATCCTGTACTCTAATCTGGAATGCCAGTCTGATTCCTAATCTTTACCCATCACTTCTTTTGAGATCCAAATAAATACTTCCCTCTCTTGGGCTGATGACTATGAGCCATCTGTCAGCATTTTGTATATAGTCTTCCATATATTATCTTGCCATGATTGTATTTTAAATATTAATAATACCTCTTTAAATAAGTTAGAGTAGCAATGACTAATAGTATTGTAGGCCATTGTGGGACTTGGGCATAGCCACTTCTGAATTTGTTTAATCATCTGTGAAATGAAAATATTTCCTATCTCACAAGGTTAATTTAAAGATTAAATATCTAATGCATCTAATACAATGACTGGCATATAGTAGATGATTCATAGATAGTAACCATTATTGCTTCTATAAGTTTTTCAAGGGGGTAAAAACTTTATTTTGCAATATTTCATATCCACAATCCTTTGTGTACCAACTCTGAGCTGGATACACAGAGGGTGTCCCATAGTTACATATTGGATCCATAAGTTAATCATGAACATTCTAGGAATTACAACAAAATCCTATTTGCAAGCTTAGCTGGGATTTTTGGTTAGAAGTATAAACATGATTTATTAAAAGGAATCACTTACAATAACTAATAAATGGGTTATGATGGAAATTTCAGGGTTGAAAATGTTGTTTGATATCCCTGTGCTTAACTAACCCTTTTTGCAGGCCAGTTCTAAGTCTCAGGTGATATAGAAAGTTTTCTGTTCTTGGAAGAAAAAGAAAATCCACAATTTATAATTTTTTGTCTTTCTAATCTTGATTAATTATCCAATACTTTTTCCAGGTGTCTTGCTTAGTCCTGGAGAACAGGCTTTACCAGAGATTTAAATCTTTATCCCATTTGTATATGTAATATCCAGAGCATGATTCTCTCTTCTCTAAGCACAATACATTAAATGGCTATAAACACTGATAGAACACTGAAGTTATTAGAGATCATATTCTTAAATAACATATATATCTCCCCCTTTGCTTGTTATTCAGAACTTAGGCTGTCATCTACAACCACAAATGAAAATTAGTCATATGTGAAATATTTATAAATAAATTAATACCAAAAACAATTTTTAAGTTAATTCATTTTCCAAATATGCTAACAGAAAGCAAATTCTTGCTTTGTATTATGCATTCGTCACTCAAGTAACAAAATACACAATCTTTAATGACCCGTTAACCAACATTAAGCAAAACTAACTATGGCATATTAACAAAATCCTTTTAGCTATTTTTAGAATCTGAATTGCATTTGGCCTCCCGTGTTGTTATCATTAAGAAACATAACCATAAAAAATCCACTGAGCAATATTTGAGCAATGGATGAACACTGAACAACAAATTAATTACATATAATATTATTAGTGAAATGTGCATTAATGCTCCCAGAATTTGTAAACAGACAATTCACCATTTAATTACTGTCTTTTACTGCTAGCCTTTCAAACTGGATTAGTATATTTTCATTTCATTGTTGCAAAATGCTTATATAATTCATTCATTTTAAAGAAATTACTTTTCTAAGTAAAATAATTGGAATAGTTACTACATACATATACAAATAAATTTACACACATACCTATTTTTGAAAATATGACATTAGGAAAAATATTCCTACTCATCCTATGACAGTGTCTAATAATACTGCTTTATTAATTGCCTTCAAACATTTGCTACTAGAAATAATTTGGCCTGGTTTTCTTTCTTTTCTTATCCTTGAAATAAATCTCATCTCACAATTTTCGTTTTCAGGCTCTGTATGCATTAGTTTGGTAAGCAGGCTTTTCCTGGGCTAAAAAAATGAACTATTTTCATTCCCAAAAGATTTAGTCTTCTTTATTCTCTAAATCTGCATTACCCAATATAGAGGGCCACTAGCCACCTGAAAAATGACTTGTTCAAATTCTGATGTGCTATGAGTATAAAGTGTATACAGGACTTTGAAGTTTTAATATAAAAAAGACTAAACTATCTCAATTTATAAAGATTAGATGCTAAGAGATAATATTTATATATATTGGGATAAATTAAACATATTATTAAATTATTTTCACTTGTTTTTTTTTTTCTTCTTGAGTAGTTTTCGTAGCTTATGATTTTTAAGGGTTTGGTTTCTTTCATCTAAGTGTTGAATATGTGCACAGAGTTGTTCATAGTATTCCTTTATTATGCTTTTAATATCTGTGGGGTTTATAGTGATACCCATCTTTTACGCCTAATATTAATAATTTTTGCCCTCTTTCTTTCCTTTCTCAGTCTGGCTGAGAAAGCATTTCAAAAAACCAGCTTTTGTTCTTACTGATTTTCCCTGTTGGTTTACTATTTTCAATTTCATTGATTTCTGCTTTTATCTTCATTTTTTCCATCATTCTGCTTGCTCTGGCTTTAATTTACTCTTATTTTTCTAGTTCCTTAAGGGAAAAGCTTAGATCATCAATTTGAGACATTTATTCTTTTGTAATGTAAACATTTAATGCTCCAGAATTCATATATGGAGTACCAAAAAATTTAAATTACATATGCAGCTGACATTTGTGGCTTGTCTTATGCATTTCTATTTATTGCTGCTCCAAGAAGTATGACACACTAGCAAAGTGTTTTCTTTTCAACATGTTAATAAAAGTTTAATAGCCTATGGTATCACTGAACCTAAGAATCTCAGGCACTCAAAGCAGTCAGCAATAGCCTTGGGTGGTTTGGGTTTCTCCAGTTTCAACTACGGAAATACTTAGGATGGGTTTTGAGTTGGCTGTTAAAGTGCAAAACATGTCTTATGAAACTGAATTTGAGAGCTTGTGGTTCTTCAGAGTTTCCTGTCTACTGACAGAGTAGTTAAACTTACTTTTAAAAAAAATCACAGAACCATCTATACAATATGAGTTATAGAGCTGAAAGGTGAGACTGCTCTCTCACCTTCTCTGTCTTCCCACTTTACTGGCTTGACTCAGTGCCTGAAATTTGTACCCTGGAAACCCCCCTTACTGGTTCTCTGGCATTAAAGCAGGGGCTTTAGGTTCCTCACTCTGCTGTGCACATCCTCTCATGGCACCTGTAGGACCAAGCAGCAGAAAGGATGGGGAGAGAAAAAAAGCAATGTGAATTCATTCCAAGCTCTGGGACCATTGATCTTCTGGCCAGTTTTCCCCTCTCTTGGAGGTTTAGGCATCTGCCTGGTTGCTTCCACTTTCACTATCACGACTGCCATTTGGGGATGGGGGTGGTGGTGGCTTGGACTGAGGCAGAGACAATAGAAACACAAAAAGCAAAAAACAAAAGCAAGGGATTTTCCCTCTCCCTCTCTGACCCTTGGATCCTTTTTCCTCTGCTCACAACTAAAAGAGAGGGCTTTTCTGGAACTTTTTCTGTCCACATCTGGTACGTATATCAGGGTGTCAGTTTGTCTTTGAATTCAACCGGGAAATACCAGAGCAAGGACATATGAAAACACTGCTGGTTTGGTGGTATTTGGATTTCTAATCCTTTCCCCTAATCTATCTGCCGGCATTAACTCTTCATCATCCTTGTCATACATGTATTCCACCTGGGTTTATAGTTGCAGTTAGTGGAGACAGGGTGGAGGATGATCATTTCATCTTTCCTGGTACTAGAACCAGTAAAAAAGACAAAAATTCTAATTTCGCTCAAGGACCTAAGTTTCAAATATATGGTAGCAAGGAGATGGAGGACACAGAAAATTTGGAGAACAGGGCTAATCATAGAGTCAGAAGTTTGCTTTATTCTCCAGAAGAGTAATAGCTAGATGAACTTGTCATGAGAATGACATAGCCATGCCACTTGAAATCTCTAGTGTTTTACACATTTATACATTATTATATATCTCAGAATATTATATATATATATAATATATAATATTATATATATTATAAAGTCTATAGTTTAGAAAAGATGCATTCTGGCTAAGGCTAATCAGGCAGAAGTCATAGTGGACTTAAAACACACAGACAAACCAAAACAAAAGAAAAGAAAATGCTCTCATTCTAGGCTAAGTCCAATACATATGGACAGTTGGTTCTTCACATCCACATCCACAGATTTGATAAACCATGTATAAAAATATTCAGAAAGAAATAACATAACAAAAATTAATACAAATATGAAACCAATGTGCTATGATATTTGCATAATGTTTACATTATTTTATATATTGTAAGTCATCTATAGATGATTTAAAGTATAAAGGGGGATGTGCATAGCTTATATTGCAAATACTATGCCATTTTATAAAAGGGACTTGAGCATCAGTGAATTTTGATATCTTCAGAGATCCTGGAACCAATCCCACACAGGTACTGAGAGACAATTTTATGTCTTTTCTAGAGTAGAAAGATCTGTTACCTTCTGGACAGAATACAAAAGTATATTTTTATCCTAATATTTAATCTTACTCAGACATATTGAAGACTGGGAGTAGGGGATGGATGGATTCTGTGTCCACTTTATCTCTGTCATTTTCATTTATATTGAACTGTCAGAGTTTTGTCCTGTCTGTCTAAATCTCAGACCTAGAACCTTTTTGTCATACTAATAAGAACTATGGGTTCTATTTTCCATGAAAAAATTTTGTTTGTAGGTTTATATTTTAAAGGACTACCTTCTAAATAGAAAATTAATAGCTGGAGACTACAGGCCTATGATTTCAAAAATGCTAGCTATGATCCTGGCCTTTCAAATAGAAATGTTTTTAGTGACAAATAACATAAAGCCCAACCAACACTGGCTTAAACTTCTGAATTTATCTATGTCACAAGTAAGAAGCCTGGGGCTCAGCATAATATTTCACAGTATGAAAAAAGCATAAATTACTAATTTAAAACTTTATTTCTCCTGTTATTATATATTGTTTTGTTTCTAGTTAAGTTGTTCTACTAAAAACACATATGTTCATTGCGGCACTATTCACAATAGCAAAGACATGGAATCAACCTAAATGCCCATCAGTGGTACACTGAATAAAGAAAATGTGGTATATAAACACCATGGAATACTATGCAGCAATAAAAAAGAATGAGATAATGTCCTTTGCAGTGACATAGATGGAGCTGGAGGCCATTATCCTTAGCAAACTAAAGGAGGAACAGAAAACCAAATTTTGCGTGTTCTCACTTGTAAGTGGGAGCTACATGATGACAGATGGAAATGGACACATGGAGGGGAACAACAGACATTGGGTCCTAATGGAGGGTAGAGGGTGGGAGGAATGAGAGGATCAGGAAAAACAACTAGTAGGGTGCTAGGCTGAATACTTGGATGATGAAATAATCTGTACAACAAACCTCCATAACACAAGCTTCCCTAAAGAGCAAACCTGCACGTGTACCTCTGAACTTAAGTTTTAAAAAATGTGAAAACATGGTCAATATGAGAGCAAAAGCATCTTTATATCAATATCTCTATGAGTGCTTTCATTTCCAAGGATAGTTTCCTGGAGGTGAAGCTAGTAGATCACAGAATGCATGCATTTTACATTTGAATGCTTTCCGGTTTCCAAAAGGTTGTGTCAGTCCAAAGTCTCAACCAGTCTTTCCTCGCATTCTTACCATCATTGGATGTTATTGATATTTTGAATTCATAATGGTATATTAGGCAAATAATGGTGTATCTTTTTAATGATTGTTTCATTTCTCAGGTAATTCTGATGTTGATCTTCTTAAATGTTTACTGGAAATGTATTTCTCTTTTGTAAATAGTCCATTTTTATTGATTTTATTTGTATTTCTTATCAATATGAAGGATTATAACCATTTGATTTCCACGTAAATTGCAAATATTTTTCTCCCTATCTATTGTTTGTCCATTAAATTAGTCTATGGGTTCTGGAAAACTCATATTCATCTCCAGGACAGTTCAAATATCAGTTTTTCTGTCAAGGTTTTCCTGGAAGAACTAAATACCCTATTTTCCACAATATACCCATAATAGTTTGTGTAGATCTCTGTGTGCTGAATTATAACTACAACATTTTTCTGTCTATCAAGAAACTATATCAGAATGCAGGTCAAACAGTCTAACATTATGATAGTCATATCTTTGAATCTGTCCTCATTCATTCTTCATAAAGAAAACCTCTCATAAATTCAGAATTTTCTTTTTATTTATCATTAGGATTATCACCCCATCTTTCACGTTAGAGAAACTCAGTTCCACTTATCCACTGTCTTCCCATAAAAACTCTTGTTTTCTTCTGCCTGTGCCTTTTCATTTATAAGCACTGCCTTCAAAGTCCCTATAGGGTGCTCCTTCTGTATTTGCACTCTGTTCCAGTTGTGGCTGTGTAACACACCACCCCAAATTCTAGTAGCCTGGAATAGCAACCATTTACTTTGTTCATGATTCTCAATTTGGGCAGGACTCAGTGGAAAAGGCCTGTCTCTGCCCCATGCAAGTCAGCTGGGAGGCTCAACTGGGACTGGAGAATCTACTTCCAAGGTGGCTCATTCACATGACTGGAAGTTGATTGACTGTTGGATTTCAGCCAAAGCTGTTACCTGGGAGCCTCAGTTCTCCTCAACATGGGCTTCTCTACAGTGCTGTTTGACTTCCTCACAAGGTGGGTGGGTTCCCAGAGTTACAATTCCAAGTTTCAGGAAGTAAAAGCAGCCAGTCTCTTGAGGCTGGGGCCCAGAATATGGCACAGCATCATCATATTACTCTAAACAGTCACAGAGTCTCCAATTTTAAGGGAAGGGACATAGATCCCACTTCTCAGGAGGAGACATTTCAAAGAATTAGTAGCCATCTTTCATCTACCATAATATTCCTGAGTACTGGGTCTTTTCAAAGTTGCCAAAAGAGTTGACAGTATTCACTATAACCAAGCCAGGTTCTGTTCCTTGCAGAAATATGGAGGACACCTCTCTTTTTTGCCCACTCTGTGTCATTTGGTGTTCCAGCAACAAAGGAGTATGGCGTGTGCCTCATCTTTTTCAAAGGCCCATCAGCCTCTGCTAAGAAGTCCAACCTTGATTCCTGGGCCAGGACAGGGCCGAGGTCAGGAGTGTCTTTTCTAAATTTTCTTACTCTTCAGTCTCTGCCTACAAAATTCTCTCCTTCCAGAATTCTTGCCCCTTTGGTAAATCAACTCCCATCAACACTTCATTGGTTATGGTCATACTCTAAACTCCTGCTCAACCTGAACCGGTAACAAATTATGTGTGATATCCGGAATATTATGTGCCCTAACTCCATGTTGAAGAAGCCTATTTTAATGGACACCGTAGACTCTCTTAAATCAACATGTCTCACATCCACTTGTGAAAACTATGTTTTACAGAATCGGCCAAGGCACTTTTCAAATGTAAAGAATGCTATTTAAACTTAAGCCCCTTGGACCACTGCACTGCTCCCTTCTAGTCACTGGAAATGAACCAGGGAAAGAAACACTGTATAAACAAGGAAGTGCCAAGCGAGGCAGGGAAAGTCACCAGGAAGTTGTGCTGCCTCATAGTTGTGAGAACACTATTTTCATTTTTTAGTGGAAAAAGTTCTCCATTTTCAAAACCCTAAAAGAGAAATTAAAGCACTGACTAATTCCCACTAGACCACAATTCTGGCATTGTTCCCATGTTGTTCCAGTCACCTTCTTCAAAATGCTCCATGCAAAATAAGGCCAGAACTTTACATACATAGAAGATGAGAACACCATCCATTTCAAACACAGATCAATACGTGTTTGAATTTGGAAGGTGCCAATTGATCTCACTCCTTTCTCTTCAAGATTCTGAATCAACTGAGAAATAGAAATCAGGGTGAGGGAAGGATAAGAATATATGCTGTTATTACTGGTAAAGCTGGACTGGAGGATGGGGTTGATTTGCATTTCTGCATTTTCTCCCTGTAACCTATCCCATAGAACCTCCCTGTGGAGACAGGTGGATCTGAGGCACAGATACATAACTAGCTGCCCTAGGTGGGACTCTGGCCTGTGTCTGCCAAGTGGGGACATCTGGCCAGGTGAGGAGAAACAGAGAGAGAAGAGAACCTGCAACCCATAGTTCAGTGGATCTGTGGAAAGAGCCCTTGAGGCTTCCCCAGTCTCACCAGTCAGGTGACACAGGCCTCCCTACTTGTGTAGGAAAGAGAAAGTGAGGAGATATAAGTGGAAACATCTTCCCTAACACTTCTGAGAGAGTAAATTCTTGAAGGCGTGGGTCAACAGGAGCACAGGGAAAGAGATAAAGTGGCTCCTGTATAAACTAAGCATTTAGAGAAAAACACTGCTATGACATAGGTAATGTGAAACAGGTTAGTCCTCTTCTAACACTGTCTGAAAGTGTTTCTTCACATTCACAACACACATGCTATGAAATTTCCTCTAATATGTAAGTATAAATAATTCGAGTCACGCAGCTTTGGAATACATTCTTAAAGAATATCATCAAGAAAATGAGAAGCAGCCTACAGAATGGCAGAAGATATTTGTAAATCATGTATCTGATAAGGCATTAATATCTAAAATATAAAAAGAACTTCTACAACTCAACAACAGAAAATCCAAACAACGTGCTTTAAAAGTGGACAAAGGATTTGAATAGATATTTCACCAAAAAAGATATACACTGGCCAATAAGCACATGAAAAGATGCTCAACATCATCCACTTTAGGGAAATACAAATTAAAACCACAATAACATATCACTTCACACCTAATAGGATGGCTATGACTTTTTAAAAAAGAAACAAACAAGAAACAACAAGTTATGGACAAGACGTGGACCAATCGGAACACATATAATGTTGGTGGGAACAAAAGTTGATGCAGTTGCTGCGGAAAATATTTTGGTGTTTCCTCAAAACACTAAAAACAGAAATACCCAGCACAGGACCCAGCAATTTCACTCCTACATATATATTCAAAAGAATTGAAAACAGATACTCAAACAGATACTCGTACACCAATGTTCA
The DNA here is from genome assembly GCF_000001405.40 of Homo sapiens. Classification (NCBI taxonomy): domain Eukaryota; kingdom Metazoa; phylum Chordata; class Mammalia; order Primates; family Hominidae; genus Homo; species Homo sapiens. Next base: position 179,038,070 of record NC_000002.12, read on the forward strand.
TTGTAGCAGCATTCATAAGGGCCAAAAAGTGGAAACAACTCAAGTGTCTATTGACAGATGAATGAATAAACAAAATGTAGCATGTCATTACAATGGATTATTATTCATTATTCAAAAAGGAATGAAGGTCTGATACATGCTGCAAAATGGGTGAACCTTGAAAACATCATATGCTAAGTGAAATAAGTCAGGCACAAAAGGACAAATATTGTGTGATTCCATTTATATGGGGTACCTAGAATAGACAAATTCATAGAGACAGAAAGTGGATTAGAGCTTACCAGTGGAAGTAATAATTAGAGTTATTTTTTTACTGGGTACTGAGTTTCTGTTTGGGGTGATGAGAAAGTTTTGGAAATACATAGTGGTGATGGTTGCACAACATTGTGAATGTAATTAATGCCACTGAATTGTACATATAAAATGAATAAAATGGCAAATTATATGTTATGTATGTTTTACCATAATAAAAATATTTTCTAAATGCATTCTTAGTAAATATTTCAGACGAACACCAGAAAACCTCACTATCTCTTATTTAAGGTAAGTTTTTGTAAGACTTTTAGTTTTACTACTAATATATTCTATTTATAGTACATTCATTTCTAGCACAGAAAATAGAAATAGGGCAAAAATAAGCATTCCCTGAATTGGAGATTTAGTCAGAAGAGGAAACCAGTAAATTTATGAGAGTCAAATTAGAGGTGAAATTTTCCAGTGTTTTACCACTCTAAAGGGTCATTCTTCACTGAATGCCAACTGCAAATACAGTTGCCAGTGCCCAGGAGGTTTTCTTGACTCTTACAGTCATAATTCCCCTAGACAATAGCAATGTAATGGAAAGTCAGATGTTAAGAAGAACATTCTTGGCAACTTCCCTAAGGAATTTCCAACCTTTTTTCCTCCTTTAACACTCTGCACCTCACCTGAGGATGTAATGTCAATAGTAGCCACAGGCAGATCTTCTTTACCTGGCTTAAATCTGCCTTTTCTGGAATCCTTCTTTTTCATTATAAATGACTTGAATATGGTTTGGAAATCTAGACGCCTTTTGGGAGTTAAAGTTTTTTCCACTTGATTTTATTTTCATCACTGAAAACAGGAAAATATTTTTTCTTTGGACACTCCACTAAGATTAAGTACATTGCAGAAGGGAAAATAAGATCTCTAGCGTACAGATATTACCAACATTAGAGGCCCTTATAAAAATTCTCAGTTTTCGGAATTTTTTTCTTTAGTCTATCTAAATTACTAGGGTTTGAGATAATTTTCAGTGGAAAGCAGAAAATAGCTTTTCTATTAAATTAAACATTTAATATACCAAATTACTCTGAAACACTCATTAACATAATAATTATGCCACTTTTTCTTTGAAAAGCAGCATGTACTTCCATATATTATTGTATTTCTTACCCAAATTTTCTTTTTAGGTGTGTGAAGGTAACCGTTATTATTATTCTAATTTCTCAAATAAAGACCCTGAGACCAGAGAGACTTAAGTGTTGTGCCCAAATCAGAGTTGACTCAGCACCGAATCCTACACCCTTCCAATGCCATTTTCACAGCATTCTTTATGATTAGAACAAATTGCAAGACCCTGTACATACAAAAAGGACTGGAATAAACATTAAATATTAAGTATTATTGGCTTATTGAACTACTAATGTCCTCATCCTTCAAAAGCTCATATTCAAACCAACTTGGATCCAACAATTTTCTGCTACAGGTTAAGTTTGTGCCTATCTTGACAGCATATTAGCTAGTAAATTGGTTGAATTTATGATCTATCCATTTGTGAAATGGAATTTATATTTTCATTATTTTTAAAAGTCTTTTGTCAGCAAATCTGAAATAGACTTTAGACTTCTTGATAATTTTTTTCTTTTCTAGACTCATAATATTAGAATTAGGTATATCTAGATGATAAAACTACTAGTTAAAGTTTGTTAGGGCTGAGTGGCTGGATTGAAAGTGGTGAGTGGTTGGGGGAGAATATGAGAGATGAACCTTAAGAGGTTATGGCTAGAGGTCCAGATGAAGGTAAAAGATCTTTTGGTTTGAGACCTCATTTTCTTAGACCCATGTGCAGGGAGGGAGACTGGCACATTGTGGTAAGATCCACAACAAATATGAAGCTTCGATCTGTCCTGTTCCCTCATTTTAAAGATAAAAAGCCTAAAGTCCAGAGAACTTAAATGGCTAGTCCACACATAGCCTGAAGGGCATCAAAGAACAAGATGTTTAATTCTAGAACCAGTGTCTTCTAAAGAGCATAGAAAAGGAAACCCCTCTTCTTTCTTTTATTTCCAACTTTAATTTTAAGTTTAGGGCTAAATGTGCAGGATGGGCAGGTTTGTTACATAGGTAAATATGTGCTATGGTGGTTTGCTGTACAGATCATCCCATCACCCAAGTATTAACCCTAGTATCCATTAGGTATTCTTCCTGATGCTCTCCCTCCTCCCACCTCCCACCCTCTGACAGGCACCAGTGTGTGTTGTTCCCCCAACTGTGTCCATGTGGTCTCATCATTCAGCTCCCCCTTATAAGTGAGAACACATGGTATTTGGTTTTCTGTTTCTGAGTTAGTTTGCTAAGGACAATGGACTCCAGTTCCATCTATGTCCCCGCAAAGGACATGATCTCATTCCTGTTTATGGCTACATCATATTCCATGTTATATATGTACCACACTTTCTTTATCCAGTCTATCATTGATGGGGATTTAGGTTGATTCCATGTCTTTGCTATCATGAATAGTACTGCAATGAACATACTCATGCATATAACTTTATAACAGAATGATTTACATTCCTTTGGGTATATACCTAGTAATGGATTGATGGGTTGAATGGTATTTCTGCCTCTAGGTCTTTGAGGAAATGCCACACTGTCTTCTACAATTCAACAATGATTCAACTAATTTACACTCCTACCAGCATGGTAAAAGCATTCCTTTTCTCCAAATCCTCACCAGCTTCTGCTGTTGTTTTGTTTGTTTGTTTGTTTGTTTGTTTGTTGAGACAGAGTCTCACTCTGTCACCCAGGCTGGAGTGCAGTGGTGCGATCTCGGCTCACTGCAAGCTCCGCCTCCTGGGTTCACGCCATTTTCCTGCCTCCACGCCATTCTCCTGCCTCAGCCTCCAGAGTAGCTGGGACTACAGGCGCCCACCACCACGCCTAGCTAATTTTTTGTATTTTTAATAGAGACGGGGTTTCACCATGTCTGCTGTTTTTTTGACATTATAATAACAGTCATTCTGACTGGTATGAGATGGTATCTCATTGTGGTTTTGATTTACATTTCTCTAATGATCAGTGATTTTGAGCTTTTTTTAATGTTTGTTGGCTGCATGTATGTCTTCTTTTGAGAAGTGTCTGTTCATGTCCTTTGCCTATTATTTAATCGGGTTGGTTGTGGGTTTTTTTTTTTTTTTTTTTTTTTTTGCCAAATAACCAGCTAGCATCATGATGACAAGATGAAATCCACACATAACAATACTAACCTTAAATGTAAATGGAAATGCCCCAATTAAAAGACACAGAATGGCAAGCGGGATAAAGAACCAAGATCCATTGGTATGCTGTCTTTAAGAGATCATCTCACATGCAAAGACTCACATAGGCTCAAAATACAGGAATGGAGGAAAATTTGCCAAGCAAATAGAAAACAGAAAAAGCAAGATTTGCATTCCAAGTTTCTGACAAAACAGACTGTAAACCAACAAAGACTAAAAAAGACAAAGAAGAGCATTGCATAAAGGTAAAAATTTCAGTTCAACAAGAAGAGCTGAATATCCTAAATATATATGTACCCAATACAGGAGTACCCAGATTCATAAAGCAAGTTCTTAGAGACCTTCAAAGAGACTTAGATCCCCCACACAATAGTCGTGGGAGACTTTAACACCACACCGACAATATTAGATCATTGACAGAAAATTTAAAAAGATATTCGGCTCAGATCCAGAGCTGAGTACAGCTCTGGATAAGTGGATCTGATAGTCATATACAGAACTGTCCACCCCAAAACAACAGAACATACATTATTCTCATTGCCACATGGCGCTTACTTTAAAATTGATCACATAATTGAAGTAAAACACTCCTCAGCCAATGCAAAAGAAGTGAAATCATAACAGTCTCTCAGACAATAGCACAATCAAATTAGAAGTCAAGATTAAGAAATTCAGTCAAAATCATACAACTAAATGAAAATTGAACAATGTGCCCCAGGATGACTCTTGGGCAAATAATGAAATTAAGGCAGAAATCAATCAAGAAATTCTTTTTTTTGACAGTCTTGCTCCGTCTGTCGCCCAGGCTGGAGTGCAATGGTGCAATCTTGGCTTACTGCAACCTCTGTCTCCTGGGTTCAATAAATTCTCCTGCCTCAGCTTCCCAAGTAGCTGGGATTACAGGCACGCACCACTACACCTGGCTAATTTTTGTATTTTTAATAGAGACAAGGTTTCACCATGTTAGCCAGGCTGGTCTCAAATTCCTGACCTCAGGTGATCCACCCACCTTGGCCTGCCAAAGTGCTGGGATTACAGGCATAAGCCACTGTGCCCAGCCTAAGAAGTTCTTTGAAACTAATGAGAACCAAGACACAATGGACCGGAATCTCTGGGATGCAGCTAAAGCAGTATGAAGTGAGAAATTTATAGCACTAAAATGCCGACATCATAAAGCTAGAAAAATCTCAAGTTAACAACCTAACATCACAACTAAAAGAAAGAATCAAGAGCAAACAACCCACTTAAGCTGGCAGAAGACAAGAAATAACCAAGATCAGAGCTGAACTGAAAGAGATAGAGACACAAAAAAACCTTCAAAAAAATCAATGAATCCTAAAAGCTAGCTTTTTGAAGAAAAATAAAATAAAATATGATAGGCCACTAGCAAGACTAATAAAGAAGAAAAGAGAGAAGCATCAAATAAACACAGTTTGAAATGATAAGGGGGATAGTACAACTGACCCAACAGAAATACAAACAACCATCAGAGAATACTATAAACACCTCTATGCACATAAACTAGAAAATCTAGAAAAAATGAATAAATTCCTGGACACATGTACCCTCCCAAGACTGAACCAGGAAGAAATTGAATCCTTGAATAGGCCAATAATGAGTTCTGAAATTGAGGCAGTAATAAATAGCCTGCCAACCAAAAAAAGCCCAGGACCAGGTGGATTCACAGTTGACTTCTATCAGAGGTATAAAGAAGAGCTGGTACCATTCCTACTGAAACTATTCCAAAAATTGAGGAGGAGGGACTCCTCCCTAACTCATCCTGATGCCAAAACCTGGCAGAGATACAACAAAAAAAGGAAACTCCAGGCCTTGATGAACATTGATGCAAAAATCTTCAACAAAATACTAGTAAACCAAATCCAGCAGCACATCAAAAAGCTTATCCACCACAATCAAATAGGCTTCATTCCCCAGATGCAAATCAATAAATGTGATTCATTACATAAACAGAACTAAAGACAAAAACCACATGATTATCTTAATAGACACACAAAAGGCCTTTGATAAAATTCAACATCCCTTCATGTTAAAAACTCGGAATAAACTAGGTATTGAAGGAACATACCTCAAAATAACAAAAGCCATATATGACAAACCCGCATCCAGTATTATACTGAATGGGCAGAAGCTGGAAGCATTCTCCTCGTATACCAGCACAAGACAAGGATGCCTATTCAACACAGTATTGGAAGTTGTGGCCAGGGCAATCAGGCAAGAGAAACAAATGAATAGGAAGAGAGGAAGTAAAACTATCTTTGCAGATGACATGATCCTACATCTAAGGACATAGGAAAAATCCCACTGTCTCAGCCCAAAAGCTTCTGAAACTAATAAGCTACTTCAGCAAAGTCTCAGGATACAAAATCAACGTGCAAAAACCGCTAGCATTCTTATATACCAACAACAGGCAAGCTGAGACCCAAATCACAAATGAACTCCCATTCACAATTGCCACAAAAAGAATAAAATACCTAGGAATACAACTAACAAGAAAAGTGAAGGACCTCTTTAAGGGGAAGTACAAACCACTGCTCGAAGAAATCAGAGATGACACAAACAAATGGAAGAACATTCCATGCTCGTGGATAGGAAGAATCAATATTGTGAAAATGGCCATGCTGCCCAAAGCAATTTATAGATTCAATACTATTCCCATTAAACTACCATTGACATTCTTCACAGTATTAGAAAAAACTATTTTAAAATTCATATGAAACCAAAGAAGAGCCCGAATAGCCAAGGCAATCCTAAGCAAAAGAATGATGCTGGAGGCATCACTCTACCCAACTTCAAACTATACTACAGGAAAACCCTTTTCTAGCTAAGCTACTGGATGGATTTAGGTATGCAAATTTGAGCACAGGGTAGGAGGCAGGAGCTGAATTGCTGCACCTAAGAAGGCATTTCCCTTCTGTAGTCCTGGATGGAGTAGGGATGAAGGGAGAAGTGAGGTAGCACAAGAGTTCCAAACTGATGTGAGCTCACCCACCACTACCCACAATTTATCAGTGGACTGGGAAATGCTGGCTGGGCATGAATTATTAACAGGAACTGGGGAAAAGATGTGGTTTCAAGCCCAGGTTAGCTTCAGCAGAAACAGTTGGCAGGTGCATACAAAGGAGCTGGGGTCACAGGAGATCATGAGAACGCAAACTTCTGGGAATGGTCAGAAACTTCAAGTAAGTATTACGTTTCTACAGTTCATGGAATTGGGGATTCGTGACAAGTTTACACAGCTTTTTGTGTAGCAGGAAGACCTTGAGTTATTAGCCAAATCACACTAGTTTGTGACATAAGTAGAGCTAAACAATAGGTGTTTTTATTCCTGGCTCATTGCTCTTCCACATCATAATGGGGTTTTTCTTTTTTTTTCTTTCACTTTCATTTTTATTTCATATTTCATTTCTTTTTTATTATTTTACTTTAAGTTTTAGGGTACATGTGCACAATATGCAGGTTAGTTACATATGTATACATGTGCCATGCTGGTGCACTGCACCCACTAACTCGTCATCTAGCATTAGGTATATCTCCCAATGCTATCCCTCCCCCCTCCCCTCGACCCCACAACAGTCCCCAGAGTGTGATGTTCCCCTTCCTGTGTTCATGTGTTCTCATTGTTCAATTCCCACCTATGAGTGAGAATATGTGGTGTTTGGTTTTTCGTTCTTGCCATAGTTTACTGAGAATGATGATTTCCAATTTCATCCATGTCCCTACAAAGGACATGAACTCATCATTTTTTATGGCTGCATAGTATTCCATGGTGTATATGTGCCACATTTTCTTAATCTAGTCTATCATTGTTGGACATTTGGGTTGGCTCCAAGTCTTTGCTATTGTGAATAGAGCTGCAATAAACATACGTGTGCATATGTTTTATAGCAGCATGATTTATAGTCCTTTGGGTATGTACCCAGTAATGGGATGGCTGGGTCAAATGGTATTTCTAGTTCTAGATCCCTGAGGAGTCGCCACGCTGACTTCCACAATGGTTGAACTAGTTTACAGTCCCACCAACAGTGTAAAAGTGTTCCTATTTCTCCACATCCTCTCCAGCACCTGTTGTTTCCTGACTTTTTAATGATTGCCATTCTAACTGGTGTGAGATGGTATCTCATTGTGGTTTTGATTTGCATTTCTCTGATGGCAAAAAGTGGGTGAAGGACATGAACAGACACTTCTCAAAAGAAGACATTTATGCAGCCAAAAAACACATAATGGGGTTTTCCTACATAGAAAAGACTTACCAATAACTAGGGACTTCTGCCTTGCAAGACAACCTAAAACCCAGAGTAAGGAGCTGTCAAACGGGAATAAATTCTGCCTTCTAACAGCCTTCTTCTTTGTACTAATTCTTTCTTCAACTTCTTGGTTTCATTTACTCAGTTACTTTTACCACTGTCCAAGCAGAAAACCACTGTCTATATATCAGATGCAGATCAAATCTGCTTCTAAATCTAGAAAGCAAGTATGAATTTCAGCCTAGATGTACAAAGAAAACAGTAATATTAAAGTACTAAAAATGCAGAGCATCCTAGTCTTTGCAGTTCTCTGAATCCGCATTAAATCTCTTTGAACCTCTTTGATCTTAGTGAAGATATTTCATTTGTCTATGAGCTTATTACTCACAGGGCTGGCTCCCTCAGAGGTTCCTCAGAATGGAACACCATTTAGGGCTTAATGCTGTACCTGTTCCTGTGTTGAAATGCCTTACATTTGTGTTTTGTAAATTAAGTCCAATGGGACAACAGAGCAAGTGCTGAGGGCTTGGCACCTCATCAGACATGTGGTCCTATCTCCTGGATATAAGTCGGCTGTCCTGTCTGCTCCGCAGCCCCACTCAGTGACCGTTGCCACCTCTTATAGCTGGAGCTGTGGCCAAGGTGAAGCTTAAGAAGGGTGGGGTAAAACCCATGTCCTTTGCACTGAGTCATGGATGAGGCCATGTACCTGTGAGGTCTGCACTCATCTTACACATGAAGGAGCCAGACATTAAGTAGTGAATAAAAAACACCATGATGGGTCAAGAAAAAGCTTTTCCTTGCTTTTTGAACAAATGGCCCCAAATTTGTATTTGCCCTGGGTCCCACAGATTATGTAGCTGGCTCTGATCTTACCTGGCCTTTATCTGGCAACCTCAAACCAATGTTACTTTTAGATTTCTAACTAAATACTCTCAACATATATAAAATAGTATGTCTGGTTTTACCAGAAGTATTATTTGGTTTCAAGAACTCTTAATACTAAGCACAGAATCAGATATTTTCAATAGTCCAACGGGGGAAAAGTCTTCTAAATTATTTTTACCAGCAGGTATCATTAACAATAGAAATTGTGGATCTGTTTTTGTGACTTGATGGTGTAATGCATGAAATGAAAAAATGATGGAGTTTTTTTCCCACTGAGGCAGCCAGGAAAAAAAAATTACTCATTTCTCCACAGTGAAAATATTATCCTTCCATAGTTTCTATCACATTAGGGAAAATTTTTAAAAATATTGTTACTTCTCTCTGATGCTGTTTGTTCATAAATAACTACTGATTTTTCCATTATCTACCTGGTACCATATTAAAGTGGCCCTAGGCCAGTAACAGCAGAGGAATCAAGAAGTATAAGAAATAGTTTTTTATGTCTCTTTAATTTTGTTTCTGCTTCACATCTTAGTATCTTACCTTGAGCTTGGCCAAAAGAAGTTCATGATCATGAAGAAGTTTTTTGGTTTCATCTTGACTGCTGCCAATTTCTAGAAGATTGGGCTGTGATTCAGCCAGTTGAAGTTGTACCCATTTGCCACACTAAAAATAAAAATTAAATAAAATGCACTTTTAGTTCCTCTTGTTCCTTCCTCTTCACCCTTCTCATTTTTAATATATCGTTTAAATTTCCAGTTATACTGTAAACACTTTTTTCTATTTTCTATTTTTTTCCATTCTTTCCATAGAGATGGGGTTTACTTAAATTGAAACACAACAGATCTAATATAAATCCATGCCCTGTCTTTTATTTTTTATTCTTAGCATAAATTATTCTCTCTTGGCATATTGGATTTGAGTTAAAAATTCCCAAGTGAGGAAAACATACAATGGATTACGTATTATTGAATATTATAAAGTTACAGAATAATTTACACAACTGTATCCTCTCTCACTCACAAAACTGAACTCAATAAAAATAGTGAAATTCCACTTGGGCAGGTAGGATGCAAATTTCACCATGGGGAAAGTTCTTGTAAATGCAATTTAGGCTGATTAGTGTCTTTACATTGGCCTTGCTGGTTTAGCTGAAAATAATAAATATCAGATGAAGAAATTGATTTTTATCTTATTTCAAAGGTAAAATATGCTGTTTTCCAACCTTAGTTGTTGAATATTCATTAAAGCGTGTAGGAAAATATTAACAAAATTAGATGCCTGTGACAACTGCCATTTGAGCACAGTCAACTTGCTTTCCACACAAGATTTACACTGCTCTAAGATATAATTTGTCATTGCATTTCCTGAGGAATTGCTTTTCTAAGAAGCAACAACTCATTAAGCAAAATGAACCACTAACACGCATACGCATGTAGATACCTGAATTACTAAAGAGAAATTAGAAAAATGTATTTCTATTTTAGAATATATTCAGTCCCCTGAGACAGTTTGGACAGTCACTATAAATCACACACAGGCACTTCCATTCCATTAAGGTGGACTTTATACTCTGAATTGCTTGGGGTGTATTTTGTATGGAGATGGCAGTAAGGTAAGAGGGCTGAGGAGAGGGTAGTGGGGGAACATTCTTAGAAACACAATTCAGTTAAAATAAGAGTTTCCAGTGTAATTTTCCAGTGTAATTTCCAGTGTAATTTTTTTGTGTTCAATCTACCTCTGATTCTTCTGTAATTTATCCTCTAATATTATTCCTCATCCTGCTCCAAGAATGTTCATATTTGAGGAAATGGAAAGTTAACTTTTTGAAAAATAGTGAGTTTGCCTCTTTTCCCTCATTGCTGAAATCTGCAGTTAACTCAAAGTATCATTAATCCCGTGCAAATGATCTGTTTGCCCTACTTCTGCATCAGGCTTCTTTTCATCTCCTCTCTGGGACTCTGAAAAGATGGGAGGGTGAGGAAGTCAGCAGAGGCCTGGTTCCTGTGGGAGAGAAGTCTCACAACACCAGAAAATCCACCTCGGCAGGAATACTTTCCATTCTGTCCTTCTATAGTGAACTGTTTTGCTCAGTATCAAGTGCTCTTTTCCTGGTATGAATTTTCACATTACCATAAAATTCACAGCAATTAAGTTAAAGTAAACATGGCTTGCTGTCCATGCTCTAACAAAAGGCCAGAAAAGTCATTCAATTAAACCTGGTGGGGACCTGAAAGTAACTGGTTTGTGACCATCAGCTTGTTTGCCAGCTTTCCCTTCATTAAACACTGAATTATTTAGGTGGAATATCATCTAAAGCCCAAGCCTAGTGCTTGAAAGCTTTTTTTTACAGGGCATTTCCATGGAGAATAAAATCATGGAGTTCTTCTTCAGCCTAAAGATGTGTGGTCATCTTTGCAAATGGGCAAATGGGTTGTCATAAAACATGCAGTAATTGTAAACCCTAAGTGGCTTCTACTTCCTGCTGTTAAGAGCAAATTTGACACAAAGCTTTTGTACCTTTCCTTGCATGGTCTTCGTTACTGGACAAGGATTTAGTAGTTTCTTTACCATGTCAAAACCAGTGTGGCAAAGGGCACATGTCGGAGCCCTTTACTTGGTGTTTTCTGAGTTCCATCGTGCTTAAAGCAGTGCCCTCCCCCTGTCTGTCGGGACCTGCCTCCTCCCACCTCCATCACATCCACTCTCAAAAATCACAAGCATTCCACAGGTCCATTGGACTCTTTAGTCAGGCAATCATGAACTTCCAGTTACCAATGCCTTGCTTTTAAAGACCAAATTGACAGTATATGCTAGAGGTTTTCTTTTCTTTATTTTTCTTTCTTTTCTTTTTTTTTTTTTTTTTAAATCAAGCTGCTATAGATGCTTTCTGGCTGACTGAAAGGAAAGAGAATCTCTGGTAACTGCTGAAACTTGTAGAGGTTTCTCTTAGTAGCCCATTTTAGAAAGCAGTAAGAGTGCTTGCTGCGTTGTCTTCTCTATGCTGTGTCCTGCCGATTGCATGGAATGTTCTTTAGGGTTTTCAACACACAGCTAGAAGCCCACAGCCGCACAGAAAAAAGGAAGTTGTTAGCTTACCTTTATGACAGCTATAACGATTTTGGAGTCCCCAGCCTGCACAGCAACTGAACTGACTGTCGTCGTAGAAAGCGCAACACTAGGACTTCCTTGGCTGGACATGGTACTTTAGAACCAGAGTTTATACTTTGGGCAGCCTCTGGACAGTTGTGTGTCTGCTGGTCATTTCAGAAGGCCAGGGTTACTTGGATTCATTCAGGGAAAGAGCTCAGCTCACACTGATTACTCTGCCAAAAGGAAAGAACAGGAGGTTAAAAATAGACAACCCCATTGAGTTTATCGTGAGAGAGAAAGGAGCGAACGAGAGAGAATTGCCACGCCCCTAGTATGGTGACACTAAGTGCCTGTTATTTTTGCTGTTATCTTAAATGTGGAGGACAGCTTCAAGCTCTTTCCTTATCAGCTGATGTTTGATAACAAATGGAAAAAAAAATTACATCCTGACAACCCAAATTAGTTTTGCCACCGAAACTATGCCATTGTAACCATGGACTTTGAAACAAGTAAGTCTTTGACCTGGTTATCAATCTTTTCAAGATTTTTGAAATCTCTCTGATGCAAAGAGAACTACCAAAGTGTACTTTAAAAAAGTTTTGGTATTTGTCTTGGGGTTAAGTCACAAATTGCTTAAAACACATTTTTAGATTAATCTGCTTTTCTAAAACTTACTGTTCTTTGCTAAATGAAGTTTAGATGGAATAGCCACATTTTCTCAGAGCCTCAGATTTCTTAGGAATTTTTAAAAAATATTTCAACCAGCATTTATAAATAGGTGCCTATCATTTCAGATTTTCTTTGTGACTATTCTGCTCCATTGGACAAGGTTTTCAAGTTCAGTTATTAATACCATGAGAAAGCAAAATACTTTGCTGTTACCTTTTAATTGCAGCAAGAAAATGTTTTCTGTGTGGTTAAAAGTTATTAAGACATATATTTTGCTGCAATTAAAAACAAAAACAAAAAGGAAAGTACTGTGCTTCAGGCTTTTTATTCCCTACCCCCACCTCCTGTTCAGGAAAATTATAGCCAGCTTCAAATCAGTGCCCCACATTGGTAGATTAATCCTATTGCTAGAAACTCAGCCTGTGTCACAAGTTGTCTGTGGTATTAAACAGCAGCTGTTGGATTCCCTGTCAAAGAACAGCTGAAAATAACACTAAAGTTTAGGTCAGAAGTCAGATGCAAACATATCAGAGTTACTAACTCCAAAGCTGCTGGAAGCATTGGAAATCTCTGGGACAAAGCCACAACAGAGAATATAGCAAAAAACAGTTTTAATGAATCCACTTGCTCTGTAAACCTTTTAGCCCAATTTAATAGTAGGTTCAGGTTCAGGGCCAATGTTTAGAAGACTGAGTCAGCTCCATTGCTTTGTTTTGCTAAGGTTCATGATCATATTCTTGATTCAAAGGGGAAAAGTACTTTTACACATACTTCAGTGTTCAATTATTTTTGTTTCCAAGAGCATGTCATGGCTGCTCTGCAGCTGTGTAGCCACCACCCATGTCCTCTGCGCTCAGCATCTGCCTGCTGCCCCAGTGAGATGGAAACCATACCTAGATCCTAGTCCCTATGCAACACGAACTTCACCTGACCCCATGAAGGGAACAATTGGAGCGAGCTCAGGAAAGCAGATGCCGAGCAAGCTATGATGTAGCAACTATTGCAAATGGTTTCATTTTATGGCAGGGCTGGAGAGCTTGCAAAGAGGTAACTGACCTGGAAGGTTGCAGGCAGGCTCCTTCTTTCACTTGCATCTGTGTGAAGAGACCACCAAACAGGCTTTGTGTGAGCAATAAAGCTGTTTATTTCACCTGGGTGCAGGTGGGCTGAGTCTGAGAAGAGAGTCAGCGAAAGGAGATAGGGGTGGGGCCGTTTTATGGGATTTGGGTAAGTAAAGGAAAAAGGGGGGTTGTTCTCTGGCAGGCAGGAGTGGGGGGGTCACAAGGTGCTCAGTAGGGGAGCTTTTGAGCCAGGATGAGCCAGGAGAAGGAATTTCACAAGATAATGCCATCAGTTAAGGCAGGAACAGGCTATTTTCATTTCTTTTGTGGTGGAATGTCATCAGTTAAGGCAGGAACTGGCCATCTGGATGTGTACACAGGTCACAGGGGATATGATGGCTTAGCTTGGGCTCAGAGGCCTGACATTCCTTTCTTATATTAATAAGAAAAATAAAACGAAATAGTGGTAAAGTGTTGGGACGGTGAAAATTTTGGGGGATGGTATGGAGAGATGATGGGGGATGTTTCTCAGGGCTGCTTCGAGCGGGATTAGGGGCGTCATGAGAACTTAGAGTGGGAGGGATTAAGCTGAAGGAAGACTTTGTGGTAAGGGGTGACATTATGGGACTGTTAGAAGAAACATTTGTCATTTAGAATTATTGGTGATGGCCTGGATACAGTTTTATATGAATTGAGAAACTAAATGGAATAAGAGAGGGAGAAAAACAGGTATTAAAGGTCTAAGAATTGGGAGGACCTAGGACATCTGATTAGAGAGTGCCTAAGGAGATTCAGCATAGTCCTGCCGGCAAAGATTATTTATTTACTTCAAGAGTTAAGAGTGGCAGTTTGGGGATAGCACCAGGAGATATCAGCTGTGATGGCTTGGAGAAACAATGTAAACCAGCAGTGTAAACAAGAGCAGAGCATGTATAAGTAGTTGAGAATGGTGAATAGGAGTATGACTAGACAGAAGATAGTAGGGATGACAAGATTTTGGGGGCAAAATCTAAGTTGGTCTGGTGTCTGGAATGAGACTGGGGCTAAATAAAAAGGAGCGTCCACACAGGAGCTCAAATGGGCTGTACCTTGTAGCATTCCGAGGACAGGCCTGAATTCTGAGAAAAGAAAGAGGTAAAAGTATTGTCCAGTCCTTTTTAAGTTGGTGGCTGAGCTTAGTGAAGTGTGTTTTTAAAAGACCATTAGTCCGTTCTACTTTTCCTGAAGACTGAGGACTGTAAGGGATATAAAAGTTTCACTGAATACCAAGAGCCTGAAAAACTGCTTGGCTGATTTGACTAATAAAGGCCAGTCTACTATCGGACTGCGTAGAGGTGGGAAGGCCAAACCGAGTAATTGTGTCTGACAGAAGGGAAGAAATGACCGTGGTGGCCTTCTTAGACCCTGTGGGAAAGGTATCTTCCTATCAAGTGAAAGTGTCTACATAGACCAAGAGGTATTTTAGTTTCCTGACTTGGGGCATGTTAAGTAAAGCTAATTTGCTAGTCCTGGGTGGGGGCAAATCTCTGAGCTTGATGTTTAGGGAAGGGAAGGGGCCTGAATAATCCGAGAAGTAGTAGAATAGCAGATGGAACACTGAGATGTTATTTCCTTGAGGATAGATTTCCACGATGGAAAGGAAATGAGAGGTTCTAAGAGGCGGACTAGTGGCTTGTAATATAGGATAGCCTGCCTTTGCTGGTGTGTGGTGATTAGGCCTGGTGGAACTGCCATCAATAAACCAAGTGCGATCAGGGTGAGAAACAGGGAAGAAGGAAATGAGGGGAAATGGGGTGAACATCAGGTGGATCAGAGAGATTCAGTCATGAAGGTCAGGTGTGGTATCAGGAATAATGTGGGAGGCTGGATTGAAGTCCGGGCCATGAACAATGGTAATTGTGGGAGACTCAACAAAGAGTGAGTACAACTGAAGGAGCCGGGGAGCAGAAAGTATATGCATCAGGTGTGAGGAAGAAAATAGATTTTGGAAATTATGAGAGCTGTAGAGAGTGAGTTGAGAATAGTTTGTGATTATAAGGACCTCTAAAAGTATTAGGGTGGCAGCAGCTGCTGCACGGAGACATGATGGCCATCCTAAAACAGTAAGGTCAAGTTGTTTGGACAAAAAGCCTACAGGATGCGATCCCAGTCCTTGTGTAAGAATTCCAACTGCACAGCCCTGCACTTCTGCTGTGTGTAATGAAAAGGGTTGGGATGAGTCAGCAAGAGCTAGGGTGGGGGCAGTCTCTAAAGCTGTCTTCAAGGAATGGAAAGAGGAGTGGAGAAAGGATTTAGGATCTATGGGGTCAGCTAGGTTTCCTTTTGTGAGTTTATATAACGGTTTTGTTAGGATGGCAAAACCAGGTATCCAAAGGTGAAAGTATCCAACTATGCCTAGGAAGGAAAGGAGTTGTTTTGTAGAAGGGATTGGGGTTTGGGAGATTAGCCGGACACTACCAGCAGGGAGAGCACATGTGTTTTTATGAGAATTATGCTGAGATAGGTAACAGATGAGGAAGAAATTTGGGCTTGACTGAAGTAATGGGATCTGTCTGTGCAGCTTTGCGGCAGTACAGCCCAGGTAATTTGCTGAGCTTGATGGGTGTCAGGGTCAGTCCAGGTGAAAGCAAAGAGAGGCTGGGATGAAGGGTGCAAAGGAAGAGTAAAGAAAGCATGTTTGAGATCCAGAACAGAATAATGGATTGTGGAGGGAGCTATTGAGGATAGGAGAGTATATGGGTTTGGCACCGTGGGGTGGATAGGCAAAACAATTTGGTTGATAAGGCATAGATCCCGAACTAACTTGTAAGGATCATCTGGTTTTAGGACAGGTAAAATGGAATTGTAAGGAGAGTTTATAGGTTTTAAAAGGCCATGCTGTAGCAGGCGAGTGATAACAGGCTTTAATCCTTTCAAAGCATGGTGTGGGATGGGATATTGGCATTGAGCGGGTAAGGGTGATTAGGTTTTAATGAGATGGTAAGTGGTGCATGATCGGTCACCAAGGAGGGAGTAAAGGTATCTTATACTTGTGGGTTAAGGTGGGGGGATACAAGAAGAGGACCCAAAGGAGGCTTTGGATTGGGAAGAAGGGTGGCAATGAGATGTAGCTGTAGTCCAGGAATAGTCAGGGAAGCAGATAATTTAGTTAAAGTGTCTCGGCCTAATAAGGGAACTGGGCTGGTGGGGATAACTAAAAAGGAGTGCTTAAAAGAGTATTGTCTAAGTTGGCACCAGAGTTGGGGAGTTTCAAGAGGTTTAGGAAGCCTGGCTGTCAATACCTACCAGTTATGGAGGCAAGGGAAACAGGCCCTTGAAAAGAAGGTAATGTGGAGTGGGTAGCCTCCGTATTAAGAAGGGGATGGACTTACCCTCCACTGTGAGAGTTACATAAAGCCTGGCGTCCGTGATGTTCTACGGGGCTTCCGAGGAGATCGGACAGCATCAGTCTTCAGCCGCTAAGCTGAGAAGATCTGGGAAGGAGTCAGTCAGAGAGCCTTGGGCCAGAGTTCCAGGGGCTCTGGGAGTGACTGCCAGGTGAGTTGAACAGTCCGATTTCCAGTGGGGTCCTTCACAGATGGGACACGGCTTAGGAGGAATCCTGGGCTGCGGGCATTCCTTGGCCTGGTGGCCAGATTTCTGGCACTTGTAGCAAGCTCCTGGGGGAGGCGGTTCTGGAGGAACCCCTGGCCACTGTGGTTTTGATGTTTGGAAGTTCTTGTGTGCTGGAGATGTGGCTGGGGTTTGTCTCGCAGTGGAGACAAGGAATTGCAATTCAGAAATGTTGCTACTTGGCTGCCTCTATTATTGTACACCTTGAAGGCGAGGTTAATTAAGTCCTGTTGTGGGGTTTGAGGGCTGGAATTTAGTTTTTGGAGTTTTATTTAATGTCGGGAGCAGATTGGGTAATAAAATGTATATTGAGAATAAGACGGCCTTTTGACCTTTTAGGGTCTAGGGCTGTAAAGCGTCTCAGGGTTGCTGCCAAACGAGCCATGAACTGGGCTGGATTTTTATATTTGATGAAAAAGAGCCTAAACGCTATCTGATTTGAGATAAAGAGAAAGGAGCATTAACCTTGACTATGCCTTTAGCTCCAGCCACCTTTTTAAGAGTAAATTGCTGGGCAGGTGGGGGAGGGCTAGTCACGGAATGAAACTGTAAGCCGGACCAGGTGTGAGGAGGGGAGATGATAAAAGATTTATAGGGTGGAGGAGCGGAGGCTGAGGAAGAATTAGGACCTAGCTCGGCCTGGCGAGGAGGGGAGAGGTCAGATGGGTCTGTAGAAAAGGAAGATTAGAAAGACTCAGCGACGCTTGGGGTTGGGACTGAGGAGACTGGTGGGAGGGAAAGAAGGAAGATTTGGGGTGAGTTGCATTGGGAACAGAGACTAGGGGGAGGGACCGATGTGTAAAAGAATGCCTGGGCGTTAGGCACCTCAGACCATTTGCCTATTTTACGACAAGAATTATTTAGATCTTGTAGGATGGAAAAATTGAAAGTGCTGTTTTCTGGCTATTTGGAACTACTGTCGAGTTTGTATTGGGGTCAAGCGGCATTGCAGAAGAAAATAAGACACTTAGATTTTAGGTCAGGTGAGAGTTGAAGAGGTTTTAAGTTCTTAAAAACACAGGCTAAGGGAGAAGAAGGAGGAATGGAAGGTGGAAGCTTGCCCATAGTGAAGGAGGCAAGCCCAGAGAAAAGAGTAGAGACACGGAGAAGGGGTGGGGGGTTCTTGCCTTCCAGAAAAGCAGAGAAGGGGTTGGGGTGTGGAAATAAGGGGTTGGGGCACAGAGATAAAAAGGCGGGGCATAGAAATAAGGGATGGGGCACAGAGATAAGAGGTCGGGGCGCAGAGATAAGAGGTCAGTGTTCCTACCCCTCCTCCAGAAAAGCGGGACTTGTTGCTAAGGGTTGAAGGACTAAGGCAGGCGTCCTTGTGTGGTCTGACACCTCTGAAACCTGGGTGAATAATCAGAGAGGCGGCATCCCTGCAATGATTAAACACCAAGGGAAGGCTGCCTTCCCTAGTCCATGACCGGCGCCAGAGTTTTGGGTCGGTCCACAGATAAAACGTGTCTCCTTTGTCCCTACCAGAAAATGAAAGGAATTGAAATTAAGAGAAGGGACAGATTGAAGCGTGGCACGAAGATTGAAAGGAGAAAGAGGTTGAGGGATAGAGAGAGAGGTTGGAGAAGAGAGTGAAAAGAGGCCGCTTACCGGATTTAAAATTGGTGAGATGTTCCTTGGGCTGGTTGGTCTGAGGACCAGAGGTCGTAGATGGATCTTTCTCACGGAGCAAAGAGCAGGAGGACAGGGGATTGATCTCCCAAAGGAGGTCCCCCTATCCGAGTCATGGCACCAAATTTCACTTGCATCCGTGTGAAGAGACCACCAAACAGGCTTTGTGTGAGCAATAAAGCTGTTTATTTCACCTGGGTGCAGGTGGGCTGAGTCCGAAAAGAGTCAATGAAGGGAGATGGGGTGGGGCCGTTTTATAGGATTTGGGTAGGTAAAGGAAAAAGGGGGGGTTCTCTGGCAGGCAGGAGTGGGGGTCACAAGGTGCTCAGTAGGGGAGCTTTTGAGTCAGGATGAGCCAGGAGAAGGAATTTCACAAGATGATGCCATCAGTTAAGGCAGGAACAGGCTATTTTCTTTTGTGGTGGAATGTCATTAGTTAAGGCAGGAACTGGCCATCTGGATATGTATGTGCAGGTCACAGGGGATGTGATAGCTTAGCTTAGGCTCAGAGGTCTGACACCTTCCACTTGAGCAAATAGTTGGTCCAAACAAACCAAAACGAACTGATCACAACTAGTTTTTAGCTAATTGTCCTCAAGAAAGGCAAGAGTTGACACTTGCGTCTCAGAATATCTATACTGTAAACTAAAATGCCCAAGGAGCATAGCTTGTCATAGTGTACTTTGCCAACTGGAATGGCAAATAGTGACTTGCACTCAAAATACTCAGTGCAGGCCAGGCATGGTGGCTCACACCTGTAATTTCAGCGCTTTGGGAGGCCAGGCAGGAAGATTCCTTGAGCCAGGAGTCCAGAAAATTTAAAAATCAACCAGGTGTGATGACATGCCCCTTTAGTCCCAGCTACTTGGGAGGCTGAGGCAGGACAATCCCTTTGTTACCAGAAGGAAGGCCAAGTGTGAGTTGTCCAGGTCCTTGGCATTTTGAACAAAGAATTGAACAAAACGCACAAAGTAACAAAGGAATGAAACACAGGAACGAAGCAGCAAAAGCAGGGATTAAAGCAAGAAAGCATTCCACAGTGTGGGAGTGGGCCCACCCTGAATAAGGACCCAGTGACAACGTTTTCTGGGTTTTAAGTACTCCTTTTGAGGTCCCTAGCGGCTGCCCCTTATCTGAATGAAGGATTTTGTCTGTGGCTAGTTAAGGGCTGATGTGAATTGGCGCCCTATGAAGATGAAGTGATGGCCCACACTTGGCCCAAATCCAAGGCACTCTCCCTTTCCATCTGAGCCCTGGGGAAGGGGGAGGGTTGCAGGGAGAGTAGCCTTTGATCCTTTGCTACTTGGTGTGAGGAGATGGGGTCTTTCCTTTTGGTTTAGCTTTTGGAAGTTGGTGTTGATTGGCCTTAGGCTCCCTGCCCCCAGGCCCAGGTGTTTTCGTTTTGATCCAGCTTTGGACAGTCAGCATGAATTGGCCTTAGATTCCCTATCCCCAGACCTTTGTGTTCTTCCTTGATTTAGCTTTAGGAAATCAGCACAAATTGGCCTCAGATTCCCTGCCCCCAGACCTTGATGTTTTTCCTTGGTACAGCTTTAGGAAGTCAGCACGAATTGGCCTTAAGTGCCCTGCCTCCAGATCCTATTCTCCTACCTCACCTTGAGCCCAGAAGTTGGAGGCTGCAGTGAGCTATGATAGCATTACTGTACTCCAGCCTGTATGACACAGTGAGGCCTGTCTCAAAAAAAAAAAAAAAAAAAAAAAAAAAAACAAAAAAAACAACTCAATGCACTTTCACCTAAAATTAATGCTATTTCTAGAAACTCAGTGTGTGTCCCAAGTTGCATAAAGGCCATCAGGTGGGAAAGGGTTTTGGCAGCAGGCTGCAAAGACCACAGGCTAAGAATGGCTCTGTCCACAAAGCCCTAGTTAAGATGGATGATTGTGTAAGGGGCGTGGAAGGTAGCATGGAATGTCTGGAATTGCAGGCCCAGGCAGAGGGAAAAGGAAAAGGGAGATGAAGAGGAGAGAACACATGGCTGGAAGTCTGGTTAATTCCAAGGCTTAAGGGCAAAGGGAATTAGAAAAATATAATACTTTGTTAAAAGATTAACCCAGCTATTCAGCAACAAAAGTAGTGCCTTTCTCTGTGTGTGAGTATGACCTTTCTTTCTGTTAATTAGATGGAGCAGGTCCAGGCTGTTGCACAAAAGAAGTGTTTTCTATGTTTGCAATAATGCAAACTGTGTACATGAATTTAACTGGCTTCTGTTTTATTTTAAATTTAAACTCTTGACTTTAAAATCTTCAAAGGACTTGAATCATGTTTTTCTCCTCTGTTCTTGCTTTCTGTTCCTCTTTTCTTTCCTCCTAAACTTTTTAGTCCTTCCCTCTACAGAAGCCCTGTGGCTCAGACCTCTCCATCCACATCTAGCTTATTTAGAACTTTGGCCTTGTTGTCTTCATCTAGAATAATATTTAATTATAAGTTGCACCATTAACTCATATAAACAGCTTGAAGAATAGTTAGCGTGGAATATATTGTACTAATGATATTGGTACACTATACTTAGCTGGATTTTTTAATGTTAAAGAACTGAAAGCTTCTTGAGTTACAGTTTATTTACACTCTGCCTCCCCTATTATCACCAAAAAAAAACCCAAAACAAAGCAAAACAAAAACCTTCCAGGCATTCTCATACCTTTGAAATTTATAGAGGATCTTGCAGAGGCTATTATGCCTTCTCTGTTTATCCCTCTGGGAAATGCCTTTTTTAATACCAACTGAGTTTTAGTGAAATAGCCTCCATGGGGAATCATAAAGCTATAACTGGATTCTGTAGAGTCACAAATAGCACATTTTTAATGAAATAGTAGACTGAAAACTTTTTCATGTGATTATTTTTAACTCCATCAATGGTGACGCCATTAAAATAACACATTTTCTTTGCTGGAGTATATGTGGGGTCTGCTCATTTTTATGTAAGATCTTAGGTGTTTGTCTTCATCAATAGTATTATCGGTTAAACTATATTCAACTTTATAAAGACAAATTAGATAGACCTTGTATAGATAACCCAGAATTAGTCTATTTGTCCAAATTAAAAATTCAAGGCAAATTATCATAAGTGAAGCAAGTCAGACACAGAAAGCCACTTATACGCAGGAGCTAAATAATATGTACACATGGACATAGGGAGTGGAATGATAGACAACGAAAATTTGTATAGGTGAGGGGGGTGGGAGTGGGTAGATGATGAGAGATTACTTAACGGGTACAATGTATTTTATTTGGGTGATGGATATCCTAAAAGCCCTGACATTACCATTACACAATGTATGCATTTAAAAAAATTACACTTGTACCCCATAAATTTATACACATAAAAAGAAAATAATTTTTTTTAATTCAAGGCAAATCTTTCTCTGCTGTTATCACTAATTTAGTAATAATGGCTACTAATTAGTGACTGCTTAATACAGGCCAGGAACTGGGATAAGTGCTTTACACTCTTTATCCCATTTAATCTACATAATACAGCTGGAAAAAAATATTTCTTTAATTTTATAAAGGATACACACATACATGCACACACATATTCACACACAGTGATTCACTAATTCCAGTCACCTCTGGTTCAACTTCTTCTGCCTAGGTTTCAAACCTATCTATGGCTGGCCTCTCCCTATCTGCCCAGTCATGTATACCATTATTCCCAGACCCCAAAGGTCATTCTTGTTCTCCACCTAAATTCAGTTGTTCTATCCAGGAATATCATTCCCCTCTTCCCTTCATCTATCCAAATTCCTCCCATCTTTTGAGGCCAAGATGAAGTATCAACTTTTTTAAAAATTTGAAATATCTACCTATATTCTTCCTGTCAAGCACATCCGTGTGAAGAGACCACCAAACAGGCTTTGTGTGAGCAATAAAGCTTTTTAATCACCTGGGTGCAGGTGGACTGAGTCCAAAAAGAGAGTCAGCAAAGAGTGGTGGGATTATCATTAGTTCTTATAGGTTTGGGATAGGTGGTGGAGTTAGGAGCAATTTTTTGCAGGCAGGTGGTGGATCTTACAAAGTACATTCTCAAGGGTGGGGTGAATATTACAAAGTACCTTCTCAAGGGTGGGGAGGGTGGACCATACCAAGTACATTCACGGGAGGTCAGGGGAATATCACAAACTACATTATCCCAAGGGCGGGGAGGGTGTATTGTCACAAAGTCAATTGATCAGTTAGGATGGGGCAGGAACAAATCACAATGGTGGAATGTCATCAGTTAAGGTGGGAACTGGCTATTTTCACTTCTTTTCTGGATGTTCAGTTGCTTCAGGCCACCTGGATATATACCTGCAGGTCACAGGGGTATGATGGCTTAGCTCGGGCTCAGAGGCCTGACACTTCTTTCTTTTTTTATTTTATTTTATTATTATTATACTTTAAGTTTTAGGGTACATCTGTACAATGTGCAGGTTAGTTACATATGTATACATGTGCCATGCTGGTGTGCTGCACCCATTAACTCGTCATTTAGCATTAGGTATATCTCCTAATGCTATCCCTCCCCGCTCCCCGCAGCCCACAACAGTCCCCAGAGTGTGATGTTCCCCTTCCTGTGTCCATGTGATCTCACTGTTCAATTCCCACCTATGAGTGAGAATATACGGTGTTTGGTTTTTTGTTCTTGCGATAGTTTACTGAGAATGATGATTTCCAATTCCATACATGTCCCTACAAAGGACATGAACTCATCATTTTTTATTGCTGCATAGTATTCCATGGTGTATATGTGCCACATTTTCTTAATCCAGTCTATCATTGTTGGACATTTGGGTTGGTTCCAAGTCTTTGCTATTGTGAATAGAGCTGCAATAAACATACCTGTGCATGTGTCTTTATAGCAGCATGATTTATAATCCTTTGGGTATATATCCAGTAATGGGATGGCTGGGTCAAATGGTATTTCTAGTTCTAGATCCCTGAGGAATCTCCACACTGACTTCCACAATGGTTGAACTAGTTTACAGTCCCACCAACAGTGTAAAAGTGTTCCTATTTCTCCACATCCTCTCCAGCACCTGTTGTTTCCTGACTTTTTAATGATTGCCATTCTAACTGGTGTGAGATGGTATCTCATTGTGGTTTTGACTTGCATTTCTCTGATGGCCAGTGATGGTGAGCATTTTTTCATGTGTTTTTTGGCTGCATAAATGTCTTCTTTTGAGAAGTGTCTGTTCATGTCCTTCGCCCACTTTTTGATGGGGTTGTTTGTTTTTTTCTTGTAAATTTGTTTGAGTTCATTGTAGATTCTGGATATTAGCCCTTTGTCAGATGAGTAGGTTGCGAAAATTTTCTCCCATTTTGTAGGTTGCCTGTTCACTCTGATGGTAGTTTCTTTTGCTGTGCAGAAGCTCTTTAGTTTAATTAGATCCCATTTGTCAATTTTGGCTTTTGTTGCCATTGCTTTTGGTGTTTTAGACATGAAGTCCTTGCCCATGCCTATGTCCTGAATGGTAAAGCCTAGGTTTTCTTCTAGGGTTTTTATGGTTTTAGGTCTAACATTTAAGTCTTTAATCCATCTTGAATTAATTTTTGTATAAGGTATAAGGAAGGGATCCAGTTTCAGCTTTCTACATATGGCTAGCCAGTTTTCCCAGCACCATTTATTAAATAGTGAATCCTTTCCCCATTGCTTGTTTTTGTCAGGTTTGTCAAAGATCAGATAGTTGTAGATACACGGTGTTATTTCTGAGGGCTCTGTTCTGTTCCATTGATCTATATCTCTGTTTTGGTACCAGTACCATGCTGTTTTGGTTACTGTAGACTTGTAGTATAGTTTGAAGTCAGGTAGCGTGATGCCTCCAGTGTTGTTCTTTTGGCTTAGGATTGACTTGCTGATGCGGGCTCTTTTTTGGTTCCATATGAACTTTAAAGTAGTTTTTTCCAATTCTGTGAAGAAAGTCATTAGTAGCTTGATGGGGATGGCATTGAATCTATAAATTACCTTGGGCAGTATGGCCATTTTCACGATATTGATTCTTCCTACCCATGAGCATGGAATGTTCTTCCATTTGTTTGTATCCTCTTTTATTTCATTGAGCAGTGGTTTGTAGTTCTCCTTGAAGAGGTCCTTCACATCCCTTGTAAGTTGGATTCCTAGATACTTTATTCTCTTTGAAGCAATTGTGAATGGGAGTTCACTCATGATTTGGCTCTCTGTTTGTTATTGGTGTATAAGAATGCTTGTGATTTTTGTACATTGATTTTGTATCCTGAGACTTTGCTGAAGTTGCTTATCACCTTAAGGAGATTTTGGGCTGAGACAATGGGGTTTTCTAGATATACAATCATGTCATCTGCAAACAGGGACAATTTGACTTCCTCTTTTCCTAACTGAATACCCTTTATTTCCTTTTCCTGCCTGGTTGCCCTGGCCAGGACTTCCAACACTATGTTGAATAGGAGTGGTGAGAGAGGGCATCCCTGTCTTGTGCCAGTTTTCAAAGGGAATGCTTCCAGTTTTTGCCCATTCAGTATGATATTGGCTGTGGGTTTGTCATAGATAGCTCTTATTATTTTGAGATACGTCCCATTAATACCTAATTTATTGAGAGTTTTTAGCATGAAGCGTTGTTGAATTTTGTCAAAGGCTTTTCTGCATCTATTGAGATAATCGTGGTTTTTGTCTTTGGTTCTGTTTATATGCTGGATTACATTTATTCATTTGCGTATATTGAACCAGCCTTGCATCCAAGGGATGAAGCCCACTTGATCATGGTGGATAAGCTTTTTGATGTGCTGCTGGATTCGGTTTGCCAGTATTTTATTGAGGATTTTTGCATCAATGTTCATCAAGGATATTGGTCTAAAATTCTCTTTTTTGGTTGTGTCACTGCCAGCCTTTGGTATCAGGATGATGCTGGCCTCATAAAATGAGTTAGGGAGGATTCCCTCTTTTTCTATTGATTGGAATAGTTTCAGAAGGAATGGTACCAGTTCCTCCTTGTACCTCTGGTAGAATTTCGCTGTGAATCCATCTGGTCCTGGACTCTGTTTGTTGGTAAGCTACTGATTATTGCCACAATGTCAAAGTCTGTTATTGGTCTGTTCAGAGAGTCAACTTCTTCCTGGTTTAGTCTTGGGAGGGTGTATGTGTCAAGGAATTTATCCATTTCTTCTAGATTTTCTAGTTTATTTGCATAGAGGTGTTTGTAGTATTCTCTGATGGTAGTTTGTATTTCTTTGGGATTGGTGGTGATATCCCCTGTATCCTTTTTTATTGTGTCTATTTGATTCTTCTCTCTTTTCTTCTTTATTAGTCTTGCTAGTGGTCTATCAATTTTGTTGATCCTTTCAAAAAACCAGCTCCTGGATTCATTAATTTTTGAAGGGTTTTTTGTGTCTCTATTTCCTTCAGTTCTGCTCTGATTTTAGTTATTTCTTGCCTTCTGCTAGCTTTTGAATGTGTTTGCTCTTGCTTTTCTAGTTCTTTTAATTGTGATGTTAGAGTGTCAATTTTAGATCTTTCCTGCTTTCTCTTGTGGGCATTTAGTACTATAAATTTCCCTCTACACACCACTTTGAATGTGTCCCAGAGATTCTGGTATGTTGTGTCTTTGTTCTCGTTGGTTTCAAAGAACATCTTTATTTCTGCCTTCATTTCGTTATGTACCCAGTAGTCATTCAGGAGCAGGTTCTTCAGTTTCCATGTCGTTGAGCTGTTTTCAGTGAGATTCTTAATCCTGAGTTCTAGTTTGATTGCACTGTGGTCTGAGAGACAGTTTGTTATAATTTCTGTTCTTTTACATTTGCTAAGAGAGCTTTACTTCCAAGTATGTGATCAATTTTGGAACAGGTGTGGTGTGGTGCTGAAAAGAATGTATATTCTGTTGATTTGGGGTGGAGAGTTCTGTAGATGTCTATTAGGTCTGCTTGGTGCAGAGCTGAGTTCAATTCCTGGGTATCCTTGTTAACTTTCTGTCTTGTTGATCTGTCTAATGTTGACAGTGGGGTGTTAAAGTCTCCCATTATTATTGTGTGGGAGTCTAAGTCTCTTTGTAGGTCACTCAGGACTTGCTTTATGAATCTGGGTGCTCCTGTATTGGGTGCATATATATTTAGGATAGTTAGCTTTTCTTGTTGAATTGATCCCTTTACCATTAGGTAATGGCCTTCTTTGTCTCTTTAGATCTTTGTTGGTTTAAAGTCTGTTTTATTAGAGACTAGGATTGCAACCCCTGCCTTTTTTTGTTTTCCATTTGCTTGGTAGATCTTCCTCTATCCCTTTATTTTGAGCCTATGTGTGTCTCTGCACGTGAGATGGGTTTCCTGAATACAGCACACTGATGGGTCTTGACTCTTTATCCAATTTGCCAGTCTGTGTCTTTTAATTGGTGCATTTAGTCCATTTACATTTAAAGTTAATATTTTTATGTGTGAATTTGATCCTGTCATTATGATGTTAGCTGGTGATTTTGCTCGTTAGTTGATGCCGTTTCTTCCTAGCCTGGATGGTCTGTACAATTTGGCATGATTTTGCAGTGGCTGGTACCGGTTGTTCCTTTCCATGTTTAGTGCTTCCTTCAGGAGCTCTTTTAGGGCAGGCCTGGTGGTGACAAAATCTCTCAGCATTTGCTTGTCTGTAAAGTATTTTATTTCTCCTTCACTTATGAAGCTTAGTTTGGCTGGATATGAAATTCTGGGTTGAAAATTCTTTTCTTTAAGAATGTTGAATATTGGCCCCCACTCTCTTCTGGCTTGTAGAGTTTCTGCAGAGAGATCAGCTGTTAGTCTGGATGGGCTTCCCTTTGAGGGTAACCCGACCTTTCTCTCTGGCTGCCCTTAACATTTTTTCTTTCATTTCAACTTTGGTGAATCTGACAATTATTTGTCTTGGGGTTGCTCTTCTTGAGGAGTATCTTTGTGGCGTTCTCTGTATTTCCTGAATGTGAATCTTGGCCTGCCTTGCTAGGTGGGGGAAGTTCTCCTGGATAATATCCTGCAGAGTGTTTTCCAGCTTGGTTCCATTCTCCCCATCACTTTCAGGTACACCAATCAGATGTAGATTTGGTCTTTTCACATAGTCCCATATTTCTTGGAGGCTTTGTTCATTTCTTTTTATTCTTTTTTCTCTAAACTTCCCTTCTTGCTTCATTTCATTCATTTCATCTTTCATCACTGATACCATTTCTTCCAGTTGATTGCATCGGCTCCTGAGGCTTCTGCATTCTTCCTGTAGTTCTTGAACTTTGGCTTTCAGCTCCATCAGCTCCTTTAAGCACTTCTCTGTATTGGTTATTCTAGTTATACTTTCGTCTAAATTTTTTTCAAAGTTTTTAACTTCTTTGCCTTTGGTTTGAATTTCCTCCTGTAGCTCGGGGTAGTTTGATCATCTGAAGCCTTCTTCTCTCAACTCATCATTCTCCGTCCAGCTTTGTTCTGTTGCTGGTGAGGAACTGCATTCCTTTGGAGGAGGAGAGGCCCTCTGCTTTTTAGAGTTTCCAGTTTTTCTGCTCTGTTTCTTCCCCCTCTTTGTGGTTTTATCTACTTTTGGTCTTTGATGATGGTGATGTACAGATGGGTTTTTGGTGTGGATGTCCTTTCTGTTTGTTAGTTTTCCTTCTAACAGACAGGACCCTCAGCTGCAGGTCTGTTGGAGTTTGCTAGAGGTCCACTCCAGACCCTGTTTGCCTGGGTATCCACAGCGGTGGCTGCTGAACAGCGGATTTTCGTGAACTGTGAATGCTGCTGCCTGATCGTTCCTCTGGAATTTTTGTCTCAGAGGAGTACCCGGCCATGTGAGGTGTCAGTCTCCCCCTACTGGGGGTGCCTCCCAGTTAGGCTGCTCAGAGGTCAGGGGTCAGGGACCCACTGAGGAAGCAGTCTGCCCGTTCTCAGATCTCAAGCTGCGTGCTGGGAGAACCACTGCTCTCTTCAAAGCTGTCAGACAGGGACATTTAAGTCTGCAGAGGTTACTGTTGTCTTTTTGTTTGTCTGTGCCCTGCCCCCAGAGGTGGAGCCTACAGAGGCAGGCAGTCCTCCTTGAGCTGTGGTGGGCTCCACCCAGTTCGAGCTTCCAGGCTGCTTTGTTTACCTAAGCAAGCCTGGGCAATGGCGGGCGCCCCTCCCCCAGCCTTGCTGCCGACTTGCAGTGTGATCTCAGACTGCTGTGCTAGCAATCAGCGAGACTCCATGGGCATAGGACCCTCTAAGCCAGGTGCGGGATATAATCTCCTGGTGCGCGGTTTTTTAAGCCCGTTGGAAAAGCGCAGTATTAGGGTGGGAGTGAACCAATTTTCCAGGTGCTGTCTGTCACCCCTTTCTTTGACTAGGAAAGGGAACTCCCTGATCCCTTGTATTTCCTGGGTGAGGCAATGCCTCGCCCTGCTTTGGCTCACACACGGTGCACTGCACCCACTGTCCTGCGCCCACTCTCTGGCACTGCCTAGTGAGATGAACCCGGTACCTCAGATGGAAATGCAGAAATCACCCATCTTCTGCGTCACTAACGCTGGGAGCTGTAGACCGGAGCTGTTCCTATTCGGCCATCTTGGCTGCCTACCTACCGAGGTTCCTGACACTTCTTTCTTTAAAGCATAATTGTAATTCAAAATTTAATAATTAAATGCTTGTTGATATAGTTTGGATGTTTGTCCTCACCCACATCTCATATTGAAAGGTAATCCCCATTGTTGGAAGTGGAACCTTGTGGGAGGTGATTGGATCATAGGGGTGGCTTTCTTATGAATGGTTTAGCATCATCCATCTTGGTACGGTCCTCATGATAGTGAGTTCTTGCAAGATCTGCTCATTTAAAAGTTTGTGGCCCCTCCTCCCTTGCTCTCCTCCTCCTGCTTTTCCCATGTGACCTGCCTGCACCCCCTGCCTTCTGCCATCATTGGAAGCTTCCTGAGGCCTCCCAGAAGCAGATGCTGCTATGCTTCCTGTACAGCCTTCAAAACCATGAGTGAATTAAACCTCTTTTCTCATGAACTACTCAGTCTCAGGTATTTCTTTATAGCAATGTGAGAATGACTTAATATACTTGTATTATAAGCTTATATCATTTTCTCATTATTTTACTTTCATTATTATTATTTCTCAACTCTATTTTAAGCTCCTTCTGGAAAGGAGCCATGTCCTAACATTTTTTGGACCTTTGCAGATAACCTCATAGAGTTACCATAGAGATTAAGAGTTGCTTTACATAAAGTGCTTGGAAGAAGACTTGGCATTTGTTAAGTCCATATGTGGAACATGGTGCTAGGCATGGAATTGGTGCTTATAAACATTGGTCGACTGAATCACATGAGTCATATAGTAAAAGGATACAACTAATTAATATAACTCATTCATTCAGTATTTATTCATGAAGCCAACAGTTACTGAGCATTTGCTACATACCAGACACTTTGCATTCGTAATATAGCAGTGAGTAAAATGAAAAAATTCCTACCCTCAAGAAGCTGACATTTCAGTAAGAAAAGATAGACCATAAACAGTGAAATAAATAACCAAAATAAAAACACGCTGTCATAAAAGTTAAGAGAAAAACAACTGGTAGTGGTTTAAGTAGACTGAATCACAAAAGGTTACATTTAGAATTTGCCAGGGAAATCAGGGAATTCTATTAAAATATTTCTATTGGAATACAGAAATTAATGGGAATAATAAACGAATAGTGATTGCAACAACAATAAAAAGCAAACAAATTGCACAATATGACAAAGTTGATGGACTCTGAAGTCAGACTGCCTTAATCTCTCCATGTTTCAGTTTCCTCATTATAAACTGGGGATAATGGGAATGCCTACACCATATAATAAGTTGGGAAGATTAAATGAAATAGTACTTAAAAACACTAAAGATAATGCCTGGCACATAGATGATGGTCTGATAGGTATATATTATTCTTCAAAAGACGACAACATCATCTGTTAAGGGATTTCCTAAATCTAGTGGCTGCCACAAAATTTGAAATGAGTTTTTAAAATTAAGTTGAATTAAAACACAAGGTAGGCAATCTGAGTGGATTCAACATGTTATAAAGACATAAAATATGCATTACCAGGGAGTAAGTTATTTTACTGCAATCAGATGTAAAAATATTTCAGTGAGTTATCATTTCTAGAATACCTTCATCATTCACATTAGCCAGAATTTTCCCCAACTCATTCTTTATATCATGTAATGCTCCTCCTGGTACTTCTCACTTATTTCTTAGAATACAAGCATTCTCACTTAACTGCCATCCAAAAGTAAATGGAAGTTGCTCTTTCCCTTTAAAGATGCCTCCAATTTTAAACAGCAACTTATTCTTTCATGCATGCACTCATTTGTTCACTTATCAAGTATGATTAAATATGTACTCAGTGCCAGGCACCATTCTAGATGCCAGGCACGCAGTAATAAACAAAACAAAGTTCATCTACAGATGGAGCTTGCCTTCTGTGAGGGAGACATATCCAGTTAGAAAAGAAAGACCAGGTACAGTGGCTCACGCATGTAATCACAACCCCTTGGGAGGCCAAGGCAGGACAGATGCTTGAGGCCAGGAGTTTCAGACCAGCCTGGGCTACATAATGAGATCCCCATTTCTACCAAAAAAAAAAATTAAAAATTAGTGGGGCATGGTGGTGCATGCCTGTAGTCCCAGCTACTCCATAGTCTGGTGGAGGAGGATTGCTTGAGTCCAGAAGGTCAAGGCTGTGGTGAGTCAGGATCATGGCACTGCACTCTAGTCTGGGTGACAGATGAGACCTTATCTCACACACACACAAAAAAGGAAGAATATAAACAATAAAAATGTACATATATTTTATGTCAGGATGTAATAAGTATTATGAAGAAAAATCAGGCAGAGTAAGGTGGAGAGGGTGAACAGAGGAAGAGGGATGCAATTTTAGGAGGGCATCAGAAAAAGTCTCTTTAACAAATGGGATTTGAGTAGAAACCCTGGATTAAGTGAAAATGGCAAGACCTGCACAGGTATCTTGGGGAAGAACATTCCAGGCAACTGAGGCATGTTTGTTACATTTGAAAAGCATCCAGTAAGTTGTTGTGGCTGGAGCTAATTGAGGACAGAGAGAAGGACATAGTGGTAGAACATGAGATATGACGGGAGGGGAATACTAGTTCATCTAGGGCCATCTAGGCAGGTGCCTCTAGGTCCTGGTTTGCTTGGGAACAACTCTGGTTTACACCTGTTGCCCTGGAGTGATTGCTCCTAAGGCTCTTTTCATTTTCAGAGGAATCCCATTTGTATGATGAATTATATGATAATCTTACTGTTAAGCCTAGGTGAGGACTTTGGATTTAATTCTGAGATAGAAAAGTACTGCAGGCTTTACATCCAAGAAATGACATCATTTGACTTAACATTGTTAAAAACTATTTGTGAAGAAGAGACTGGAGCAGGAAGTAGGATGAATTCCATAGCACCTAATCCACAAATGCCAACACAGTGCTGCTTTGGGATGTTTCTTTATGGACATTTAGGTTTTCCTTAAGAAGAATGACATGTCCAAAATATCATGACTCCTATTGGCCATTGTATTCTATGTATTGACTTTCATAGATTTCCTTATAATTGAAAATGTTTAATGACATATGAATCCTCAGCTTCTCTATAAGAACTGGTAGAATAATTATAAACAAGCAACTTTTATATCTAGCAAGTTTCCCTTCTATAAGTGGTAAAGAAAACAAAACAAAACTTGGGCAAATTTAAAGAATACTTAACTTGGTCAAAAGACCAAGATGGCTGTATTTACTCTAGTTTTAACCAACGGTTTGCCAAAAATGATATCCTAGGTAATATCAATACTTGTTAAATTACTATGGACATTTTTCTTGAATAGTCTCTAGTTAGAGTTATGCATGATCTAGAAAACTGTCAAATATAAGTGTAGACTAAAGTTAAAATAAATGGTAAACATATGGTTATTATTGATTTGAGCAAACTCCATTCTAAATGGAAAAGATGTATACAATAAGCCAGAAAACATCTTTTAAAAATTGCTGAAAAGCTTTCATGTGCAAAATTTATTTTTTTTAAAGTTCAAGTCACCTGCCTTCCTACCTGTGTTGAGCTGTGTACTTAAGCTCCAACATAGCAGGGGTGTCTGTTATAATTCCTCTTCACACAAAGAAGTGTGCCAAGAGTTAGTCTTTGGGAGGCAGGGAGATTATATGTAATGATAGAAGGAGTCTTAGTCAACTTGATTTTGGAAAACTGCATTTCTTTTGTTTTTCCCCTCTGTGGCCAAATTCCAGTCGGGGCTGAGAATTTTCCATCTCAGAGTAGTCCCCAGGGAGACCTAGACAGCAGCAGTCATTCCAGTGGCTTGGGAAGATAGCAGTGACACTGAGGCTAAGCCACCACCTCCTCAAGCAGCAATAATTCTTGCTAAGGAAGAAATAATGATGTAATATGAAACCCATGGACATCAAAATAAGATAGCCTAAATGGCATGGTTATCATCCATGGATGGATTCGAAGCAGGAAGTATGTAAAAAGTTAAAAACAGAAAGTTTTTAAAATATAAGATTTTATTAAGAAACACTAAAACTTGAAGAAAGTAATGTATATATGTGTGTATAGATACATAAGTTATATAGAGACTGTTTTAAGTAATGTTATAATGGGCTGTCTCCGTTGTACAGTGGTGATGTTTGATGATTCACTTATAGTTTATTGGCATCAGTTTAGTGAAAAACGCATGTTTTAATATGCTTTAGTAAATCAGTTTTATACAGTTTAACTGAGTTTTTAAAAATCTGGCTGAGTGCAGTCTCATGCCTGTAATCCCAGCACCTTGGAAGGCCGAGGCAGGTAGATCACTTGAAGTCAGGAGTTCGAGACCAGCCTGGCTAACATGGTGAAACCCTGTCTCTACTAAAAGTACAAAAATTAGCCAGGCATGGTGGCACATGCCTGTAGTCCCAGCTACTCAGAAGGCTGAGGCACAAAAATCACTTGAATCTAGGAGTTGGAGACTTCAGTGAGCTGAGATCTCGCCACTGCACTCCAGCCTGGGCAACAGAATGAGACACTGTCTCAAAAAAAAAAAAAAAAAAAATCTATCTATCTATCTATCTATCTATCTATCTATCTATCTATATAAATTATATAGTTTTTCAGATCTGCATCTTCATTCCAAGCAAAAACACCTCACACCAGCATTCACATAGCTATCACTTGCTATGGGAATCTTTTCTGTTATTACATCACTCACCTCGGTCATAGAACCCACATGAAAGGCAATAATTACTGAGACTGTCCGGAAGGAAAAAGAAGTTAGAAACACCTGCAGGAAAAAAGATATTTATATACTCAGGCTTTTAGGAAAAACAGGAAACAAGATGAGAGAAACTCACAGAAACCTGGAAATCCAAAATGGAAACAAAAGTAGCAGATCATCTGCACCCCACCCCACACCACCCTCGCCACTCCAAGCAAACCAGTTTCCTATCACAAATTCCACCCTCAGAGGAAGGACTTCAAAAGCAAAGTCAGCCTGTATTATGGAAAGTTTGGATTCTGTTTCTGGCACATCCCTGCTTTGAGCTCCTGCTAGCAGGGAGAGCCAATGGCCTCGCTACCAATGTTTGCTGAGCGCCCACTGTATACAAGGCCCGGGTTCATCCAGTCATTTTAGGTTTGTAAAACATGTAGCCATTTAACCTAGTTGAGCCCCTCAACAATGCTGTACTCTGGGCTTGTATTCTAGACTATTAGCTCTGCCATATAAGTTGAAAAGGTGAGGCAAGAGAAGTAAAGTGACTTATCTAAGTTCATGAAGCCAGTAAGTCGAGACCCCAGCCACTCCCCTCTTAGTTTCTTGCTCCAGTCTCACAGGGAGTAAGTTCTACTATCCTAATGCTATATCCAAATTTGCACAGATGTCCAGACATACTCATCACTCAGCTAATCTACACAGTTGAACACCTGCAACAGAGTCATTTGACTCAGAGCACTGCACCGAGATCCCTTAAAAGATAACAAAAGAAGTACAAAACTGTCTCTGTTTTCAGCGACCCCTGTACCCTACCCCCACAATGGGGAAGACAAAATACACACATGAAGCACTTTGAAAGGAAGATGTGATGACAACATCTAGGAAATATACCAAACTGAAATGCCTTAGAAATGAGAAGAAGCCTCTTAAATAATTCCCCAAATCAATGTGAGCAAGGTTAATACAAGAACAAGTTTTATACATGGATTTAAATCAATCATTATAATAAAACTGCTCCGGGTTTGTGTCATAGTTCTTCTTCTTACCTTTAAAATCACTTTTGCTACCTGGCTTGATAAGGACATGGACAAGATGTGAAGGTAATATGGTTTGGTTCTGTGTCCCTACCCAAATCTCATCTCGAATTGTAATCTCCATGTGTCTAGGGAGGGACCTGGTGGGAGGTGACTAGATCAGGGGGGCAGTTTCCCCCATGCTGTTCTCATGATAGTGAGCAAGTTTTCACTCACTATCTGATGATGATATCTGATAGTTTTATAAGTGTTTGACAGTTCCTCCTTCACACGCTTTCTCTCTCCTGCTGTGTTGTGAAGAAGGTGACTGCTTCCCCTTCCACTATGATTGCAAGTTTCCTGTGGCCCACCAAGCCATGCAGAACTGTGAGTCAATTAAGCCTCTTTCCTTTATAAATTACCCAGTCTCAGGCAGTTCTTTACAGCAGTGTGAAAACAGACTAATACAGAAAGTTGGTACCAGGAGTGGTACTAGAGGAACAGAATTTTAAGGATGGATCTCTTTAGTCGGTTTTGGGGTTTCTGGAGTTGGCTGCTTAATCTGATTAGAGACAAGAGTGCTAAGGACTGTACTTCTAATAGTATGGAGAACACTGATAGTCCTTGGCATGAACAGTTATGCAAAATAAATGCATTTGATACTCCTGATTCACTCCTCTTGAGAAACAAGGAGTTCAGTGACCCTATACATAATACTTTTGACTGTATGTGGAGAAACAAGGAATGTAATGAAGTTGGTTGGTTGGTTGCTCCTAAGCTTGCATAACAAAGTGATGAAAGAAAAAAGGATAAACTCAGGGATTCCAACTCCTGCCTCCAGAAGCACATATTTAGGCGCAAGTCTTCTAAGATTGCCCTGAGTGAGAGTCTTACCCCCTGTAGACAAAGGGCTGAAATTGCAGAAAATCAAACATAAGCCTTATGATGTGAATGGCTGGGACCTACAATGGAAGGCGCACACACAGACTCGCCAAGTGTCTGCTGTTAAAGTGAGGGCATTGATTGGAAAAGAATGGAACCCTGCAACTTGGATGTGTGGGAGAACACTGATGAAGTTGGCTTGCTTAGTCTTCTATCTTTCTGTTGTGCTGGATGCTTCCTGTCCTTGATCACTGGACTCCAAGTTCTTGGGCCTTTGGGCTCTTTGACTTACACCAATGATTTGTCAGGGGCTCTTGGGCCTTCAGCCACAGACTGAAGGCCACACTGTCAGTATCCCTACTTTTGAGGCTTTAAGACTCATACTGAACCACTGCTGGCTTCTTTGCTCCTCAGCTTGCGGACAGCCTATCATGGGACTTTATCTTGAGACTGTGTGTGTCAATTCTCCTTAATAAACTCCCTCTCATATATACATATATCCTATAATAGTTCTGTCCCTCTGGAGAACTCTGACTAATACAGATTTTGGTACCACTAGTGGGTGATTTGGCTGTTCTCAAAAGTCCTTCAAAAGTCACAGGTGGATTTGGCTGAGCAGACCAAACATGCCAGGTGAAACAGGTGGTGGAACATGTGAAAAAATAATACAGTTAAACAGGAAATTTGAGTTATTGCTGTAACGGGGGACCCCTCTCCCCACTGGCATCCATAGACTGGCTAGGCTTAAGGACATCTGGGGTATAGCACTATTTATACAGTTTTCTACATTTCTTCCTTCATGGTTGTTAAGAGGGCTGGGGAGGTGCAATGGCTGAGACCAAGGCACATTTCAATCAAACTCAATAAGGAATTCAAACTCAGTTCTTTAAAAGCAAAACCTTGAGATCACAGGACTGAAAGAAAGCTCTTTAGTTCAGAATCTACCCTCCAGGATAATGAATAATCTGTATTTTATAAACTTCTCCACAGAATTCCATCTCATGACTACCTTTGGATGTACAAATTTTACACAATAAAATAAATAGAAAAAAAAAGAGTTCAAGGAGAATTTCACGGTAGAGGAGGTCAATTCTTGTGCCCTCCTGGTCTCCTCTTCCAGGGCACTCACCACCTGCCATGGCCTCTGCCCTCTGTCCCATCACTCCTGCCCTCACCTGGTCACGGGCCAGACCTCACTTGAGGGGTTGGCACATGGCCTAATGTGTTAATTAATGCTGATTTAAAGTCTGGTCTGTTCTACATGATGTTGCATTTAAACGGGATTAGCAGCAAGAAGAAAGAGAGTTTTTACAAGGGGAGAGTAGACCCTCAATAAGCAAACTTGTAAGCCTGGTCCACTCTCTCATCTCCTATCATCATACTCATATCTCTTTTTAAAAAGCTCCCTAAAGGGATCAAACTGGCTAAAAACAAAAAACAGCAAAAATTTGCATGGCATTTTATTTTATTCATTTATTTTATTCATGTTTCATTTTTTACTTATGGGTACATAGAAGGTATATATATTTATGGGACATATGAGTTTATTTTAATTTAAAATTTTTGTGGGTACATAGTAGGCACATTTATTAGCAAGGTACATGTTTTGATACAGGCATGCAATGCCTAACAATCACATAATGGAAGATGGGGTATCCATCCTTTTAAGCATTTATCTTTTGTGTTATAAACAATCACATTGAGTGGTGGGCAAGATGGCAGAATAGAAACAGCTCTGGTCTGCAGCTGCCAGTGAGATCAATGCAGAAGGTGGGTTATTTCTGCATTTCCATCTGAGGTACCTAGCTCATCTCCCTGGGACTGGTTAGACAGCGGATGCAGCCCACAGAGGGTGAGCCAAAGCAGCGTGGGGCATCACCTCACCCAAGAAGCACAAGGGGTCCAGAAACTCCATCCTCTAGCTAAAGGAAGCTGTGAGGGACTGTGCCATGAGGGATGGTACATTCAGCCCAGATACTATGCTTTACCCATGGTCTTTGCAACCCACAGACCAGGAGATTCCCTTGGGTGCCTACACCACCAGGGCCTTGGGTTTCAAGCACATAACTGGGCATCCATTTGGGCAGACACTGAGCTAGCTGCAGGAGTTTTTTTTCTTTATACCCCAGTGGTGCCTGGAATGCCAGCAAGACAGAACTGTTCATTCCTCTGGAAAGGGGGCTGAAGCCAGGGAGCCAAGTGGTATATCTCAGCAGATCCCATGCCCATGGAGCCCAGCAGGATAAGATCTACTGGTTTGAAATTCTCCCTACAAGCACAGCAGTCTGAAGTTGATCTAGGATGCTCGAGCTTGGTGGGGGGAAAGGCCTCATACATTACTGAGGCTTGAGTAGGCGGTTTTT
The DNA here is from genome assembly GCF_000001405.40 of Homo sapiens. Lineage (NCBI taxonomy): Eukaryota > Metazoa > Chordata > Mammalia > Primates > Hominidae > Homo > Homo sapiens. The sequence continues at coordinate 179,076,261 of NC_000002.12, forward strand.
CCCTTACAGTGTAAACAGACCTGCTGGGAAGTTTGAACTGGGGGGAGCCCACCGCAGCTCGGCAAAGCTGCTGTAGCCAGACTGCCTCTCTAGATTCCTCCTCTCTGGGCAGGGCATCTCTGAGAGAAAGGCAGCAGCCCCAGTCAGGGGCTTATAGATAAAACTCCCATCTCCCTGGGACAGAGCACCTGGGGGAAAGGGTAACTGTGGGCACAGCTTCAGCAAACTTAAAAGTTCCTGCCTGCTGGCTCTGAAAACAGCAGCAGATCTCCCAGCACAGTGTTTGAGCTCTGCTAAGGAACAGACTGCCTCCTCAAGTGGGTCCTTGACCCCCTTGCCTCCTGACTGGGAGACACCTCTCAGCAGGGGCCAACAGACATTTCATATAGGAGAGCTCTGGCTGGCATCTGGCGGGTGCCCCTCTGGGAAGAAGCTTCCAGAGGAAGGAAGAGGCAGCAATCTTTGCTGTTTTGCAGCCTCCGCTAGTGATACACAGGCAAATAGGGTCTGGAGTGGATGTCTAGCAAACTCCAGCAGATCTGCAGCAGAGAGGTCTGACTGTTACAAGGAAAATTAACAAACATAAAGGAATAGCATCAACATCAACAAAAAGGACATCCACACAAAAACCCCATCTGAAAGTTACCAACATGAAAGACCAAAGGTAGATAAATCCATGAAGATGAGGAAAAAACAGTGCAGAAAGGCTGAAAATTCCAAAATCCAGAATTCCTCTTCTCTTCCAAAGGATCACAACTGCTCACCAGCAGTGGAACAAAACTGGACACAGAATGAGTTTGATGAATTGACAGAAGTAGGCTTCAGAAGATGGGTAATAACAAACTCCTCTGAGCTAAAGGGGCATGTTCTAACCCAATGCAAGGAAGCTAAGAACCTTGAAAAAAGGTTAGATGAATTGCAAACTGGAATAACCAGTTTAGAGAAGAACATAAATGACCTGATGGAGCTCAAAAACACAGCATGAGAACTTCATGAAGCATACACAGGTATCAATACCCAAATTGATCAAGTGGAAGGAAGTATATCAGAGATTGAAGACCAACTTAATGAAATAAAGCGTGAAAACAAGATTAGAGAAAAAGGACTGAACAAAGCCCTCAAGAAATATGAGACTATGTGAAAAGACCAAACCTACGTTTGACTGGTATACCTGAAAGTGACAGGGAGAATGGAACCAAGTTGGAAAACACGCTTCAGGATATAATCCAGGAGAACTTCCCCAACCTAGCAAGACAGACCAACATTCAAATTCAGGCAATACAGAGAACAGCACAAAGGTACTCCTTGAGAAGAGCAATCCCAAGACACATATCATCAGATCCACCAAGGTTGAAATGAAGGAAAAAATGTTAAGGGCAGCCAGAGAGAAAGGTTGGGTAACCAACAAAAGGAAGCCCATCAGACCAACAGCGGGTCTCTCTGCAGAAACTCTACAAGGCAGAGGAGAGTGGCGGCCAATATTCAACATTCTTAAAGAACAGAATTTCTCAACCCAGAATTTTATATCCAGCCAAACTAAGCTTCATAAGTGAAGGAGAAATAAAATCCTTTACAGACAAGCAAATGCTGAGAGATTTTGTCACCACCAGGCCTCTGTTACAAAAGCTCCTGAAGGAAGCACTAAACATGGAAAGGAACAACTGGTACCAGCCACTGCAAATTGTAAAGAACGCCCGCCGACACTATGAAGAAACTGCATCAACTAACAGGCAAAACAACCAGCTAGCATCATAATGACAGGATCAAATTCACACATAACAATATTAACCTTAAATGTAAATGGGCTAAATGCACCAATTAAAAGACACAGACTGGCAAATTGGATACAGAGTCAAGACCCATTAGAGTCCTGTATTCAGGAGACCCATCTGATGTGCAAAAACACAAATAGGTTCAAAATAGACTGATGGAGGAATATTTACCAAGCAAATGGAAAGCAAAAAAGCAGGGATTGGGCTGGGTGCTGTGGCTCATGCCTGTAATCCCAGCACTTTGGGAGGCCGAGGCGGGCAGATGACGAGGTTAGGAGATCGAGACCATCCTGGCTAAGACAATGAAACCCTGTCTCTACTAAAAATACAAAAAAATTAGCCGGGCATGGTGGCAGGCGCCTGTAGTCCCAGCTACTCAAGAGGCTGAGGCAGGAGAATGGCATGAACCTGGGAGGTGGAGCTTGCAGTGAGCCAAGATTGTGCCACTGCACTCCAGCCTGGGTGACAGAGCAAGACTCCATCTCAAAAGGAAAAAAAAAAAAAAGCAGGGATTGCAATCCTAGTCTCTGAAAAAACAGACTTTAAACAAACAAAGATAAAAAGAGACAAAGAAGGGCATTATATAATGGTAAAGGGGTCAATGCAACAAGAAGAGCTAACTATCCTAAATATATATGCATCCAAAACAGGAGAAGCCAGATTCATAAAGCAAGTCCTTAGAGACCTACAAAGAGACTTAGAATCCCACACAATAATAGTGGGAGACTTTAACACCCCACTGTCAATATTAGCCTGATCAACGAGACAGAAAATTAACAAGCATATTCAGGAGTTGAACTCAGCTCTGGACCAAGCAGACCTAATAGACTTCTACAGAAATCTCTACCCCAGTTCAACAGAATATACATTCTTCTCAGCACCACATCACACTTATTCTAAAATTGACCACATAATTGGAAGTAAAACACTCCTCAGCAAATGCAAAAGAACAGAAATCATAACAAATAGCCTCTCAGACCACAGGGCAATCAAATTAGAATTCAGGATTAAGAAATGCACTCAAAACCACACAACTACATGGAAAGTCAACAACCTGCTCCTGAATGACTACTGGGTAAATAACAACATTAAAGCAAAAATAAATAAGTTCTTTGAAATCAATGAGACCAAAGACACAACATACCAGAATCTCTGGGACACAGCTAAAGCAGTGTTTAGAGGGAAATTTATAGCACTAAATACCCACAGGAGAAAGTGGGGAAGATCTAAAATTGATACCCTAACATCACAATTAAAAGAACTAGAGGCCGGGCATGGTGGCTCACACCTGTAATCCCAACACTTTGGGAGGCCAAGGCAGGTGGATCACTAGGTCAAGAGATCGAGACCATCCTGGCTAACATGGTGAAACCGCATCTCTACTAAAAATACAAAAAATCAGCCCAGCGTGGTGGTGGGTGCCTGTAGTCCCAGCTACTCAGGAGGCTGAGACAGGAGAAAGGCATGAACCTGGGAGGCAGAACTTGCAGTGAGCCATGATTGTGCCACTGTATTCCAGCCTGGGCGACAGTGAGAGACTCCGTCTTAAAAAAAACAACACAAAACAAAAACTAGAGAAGCAAGAACAAACAAATTCAAAATCTAGCAGAAGACAAGAAATAACTAAGATCAGAGAAGAACTAAAGGAGATAGAGACACAAAAAGCCCTTCAAAAAATCAATAAATCCAGGAGCTGGTTGTTTGAAAAGATTAACAAAATGGATAGACTGCTAACCAGATTAAGAAGGAAAGAGAGAAGAATCAAATAGACACAATAAACACCACTGATCCTACAGAAATACAAACTACCATCAGCGAATACTATAAACACCTCTATGCAAATAAACTAGAAAATCTAGAAGAAATGGATAAATTCCTGGACATATACACCCTCCCAAGACTAAACCGGGAAGAAGTTGAATTCCTGAATAGACCAATAACAAGTTCTGGAATTGAGGCAGTCATTACTAGCCTACCAACCAAAAAAAGCCCAGGACCAGATGGATTCACAGCCAAATTCTACCACAGGTACAAAGAGGAGTTGGTACCATTCCTTCTGAAATTATTCCAAACAATAGAAAAAGAGGGACTCCTCCCTAAATCATTTTATAAGGCCAGCATCACCCTGATATGAAAACCTGGCAGAGACATGACAGAAAAAGAAAATTTCAGGCCAATATCCCTAATGAACATTGATGAAAAAATCCTCAGTAAAATACTGGCAAACCAAATCCAGCAGCACATCCAAAATCTTATCCACCATGATCAAGTCAGCTTCACCCCTGGGATGCAAGGGTGGTTCAACATACTCAAGGTGGAGTAAAGACTTAAACATAAGACCTAAAACCATAAAAACCCTAGAAGAAAACCTAGGCAATACCATTCAGGACATAGGCACGGGCAAAGACTTGATCACTAAAACAACAAAAGCAATGGCAACAAAAGCCAAAATTGACAAATGGGATCTAATTAAACTAAAGAGCTTCTGCACAGCAAAAGAAACTATCATCGGAGTGAACAGGCAACATACAGAATGGGAAAAATATTGCAGTCTATCCATCGGACAAAGGACTGATATCCAGAATCTACAAAGAACTTAAACAAATTTACAAGAAAAATACAAACAACCCCATCAACCCCATATCCTTTTTGGACAAAGGATATCAATAGGCACTTCTCAAAAGAAGACACTTATGCAGCCAACAAACATATAAAAAAAAGCTCATCCTCACTGGTCATTAGAGAAATTCAGTTCAAAACCACAATTAGATACCATCTCATGCCAGTTAGAATGATGATCATTAAAAAGCCAGGAAACAACAGATGCTTGAGAGGATGTGGGGAAATAGGAACAATTTTACTCTGTTGGTGGGAGTGTAAATTAGCTCAACTATTGTGGAAGACAGTGTGGTGATTCCTCAAGGATCTAGAATGAGAAATACCATTTGACCCAGCAATCCCATTACTGGGTATATACCCAAAGGATTATAAATTATTCTACTATAAAGACACATGCACACGTATGTTTATTGCAGCACTGTTCACAATAGCAAGGACTTGGAACCAACCAAAATGTCCATCAATAATAGACTGGATAAAGAAAATGTGGCACATATACACCATGGAATACTATGCAGCAATAAAAAAGGATGAGTTCATGTCCTTTGCGGGGAAATGGATGAATCTGGAAACCATCATTCTCAGCAAACTAACACAGGAACAGAAAACCAAACACCGCATGTTCTCACTCATAAGTGGGAGTTGAACAATGAGAACACATGGACACAGGGAGGGGAACATCACACACCAGGGCCTGTCGGGGGGTGGGGGGCTAGGGGAGGGATAGCATTAGGAAAAATACCAAATGTAGATGATGGGTTGATGGGTGCAGCAATTCACCATGGCACGTGTATACCTATGTAACAAACCTGCACATTCTGCACATGTACCCCAGAACTTAAAGTATAATAAAAAAATTAATTATATTATTTTAGTTATTTTTAAATGTAAAACTAAATTATTATCGACTATAGTTACCCTATTGTGCTATCAAATACTAGGCCTTATTCATTTACTCTAACTATTTTTTTGTATTGATTAACCATCCTCATGTCTTAAACCCCCACCCCCCCACTGCCATTCCTAGCCTCTGGTAACCATCTGTATTAGCCTGTTCTCACAATGCTAATAAGGACATACTCAAGACTGGGTAATGTATAAAGGAAAGAGGTTTAATTGACTCACAATTCAGCATGGCTGGGGAAGCCTCAGAAAACTTACAATCATGGCGGAAGGGGAAGCAAACACATCCTTCTTCACGTGGCAGCAGCAAGAAGTGCTGAGCAAAGGGGGAAAAGCCCCTTCTAAAACCAAGAAATCTTGTGGGAACTCACTCACTATCACAAGAACAGCAGCATGGAGGTAACCAACCCCATGATTCAATTACCTCCCCCTGTGTCCCTCCCATGACATGTGGGGACTATGGGAACTATAATTCAAAATAAGATTTGGGTGGGGACACAGCCAATCCATACCATTCAGCCCCTGGCCCCTCCCAAATCTCATGTCCTCACATTTCAAAACACAATCATGCCTTCCCAACAGTTCTCCAAAGTGTTAACTCATTCCAGCATTAACCTAAAAGTTCAAGTCCAAAGTCTCATCTGAAACAAGGCAAGTCTGTTCCACCTATGAGCCTGTAGAATCAAAAGCTAGTTAGTTACTTCCTATCTACAATGGGGGTACAGGCATTTGGTAAATACAGCCATTCCAAATGGGAGAAATTGGCCAAAATCAAGGAGCTACAGGCCCCATGCAAGTCCAGAATCCAGCAGGACAGTCAAATCTTAAAGCTCCAAAATGATTTTCTTTGACTTCATGTCTCACATCCAGGTCATGCTGATGCAAGAGGTGGGTTCCCATGGTCTTGGGGAGCTCCACCCTTGCAGCTTGTCAGGGTACAGCTTCCCTCCCAGCTGCTTTCATGCCTGGCATTGAGTGTCTGCAGCTTTTCCATGTGCACTGTGCAAGCTGTGGTTGGATCTTCCATTCTGGGATCTGGAGGATGATGGCCCTCGCCCTCTTCTCACAGCTCCCCTAGGCAGTGTACCAATGGGGACTCTGTGTGGAGGCTCCAATCCCACATTTCCCTTTGGCACTGCACTAGCAGAGGTTCTCCATGAGGGCACTGCCCCTGCAGTACACCTTTGCCTGGACATCCAGGCATTTCTATACATCCTCTGAAATCTACGTGGAAGTTTTAAACCTTAATTCTTGTCTTCTTGTACCAGCAGGACCAACATCACGTGAAAGCTGCCAAGGCTTGGGGCTTGCAGCCTCTGAAGCCATGGCCCAAGCTGTACCTTGGTCCCTTTAGCCATGGCTGGAGGTGAAGCAGCTGGGACACAGAACACCATTTCCTGAGGCTGGACACAGTAGGGGGACCCTGGGCCCTGGCCACAAAACCATTTTTCCCTCCTAAGCCTTCAGACTTGTGATGGGAGGGGCTGCTGAGAAGGTCTCTGACATGACCTGGAAACATTTTCCCCATGCCTTGGTGATTAGCATTTGGCTCCTGGTTACATATGTAAATGTCTGCAGCAGGCTTGAATTTCTCCCCAGAACACGGATTTTTCTTTTCTACTGCATTGTCAGGCTGCAAATTTTCCTAACTTTATACTCTGTCACCTATTGAATGCTTTGCTGCTTAGAAATTTATTCCACTAAATACCCTAAATCGTCTCTCTCAAGTTTAAAGTTCCACCAATCTCTAGGGCAGGGGCAAAATGCCACCAGTCTCTTTGCATAGCAAGAGTGACCTTTGCTCCAGTTCCCAACAGGTTCCTAATCTCCATCCGTGACCACCTCAGCCTGGACTTTATTGTTCATATCACTATCAGCATTTTGGTCAAAGCCATTCAACAAGTCTCTAGGAAATTCCAAACTTTCCCACATTTTCCTATCTTCTTCTAGGCCCTCCAAACTTTCCAACCTCTGCCTATTACCCAGTTTCAAAGTCGCTTCCATATTTTCAGATATCTTTATAGCAGCACCCCACTGCCAGGTAAAAATTTACTGTATTAGTCCTTTCTCATGCTGCTAATAAAGACATACCGGAGACTGGGTAATGTATAAAGGAAACAGGTTTAATTGACTCACAGTTCAGCATGGCTGGGGAGGCCTCAGGAAACTCACAATCGTGGTGGAAAGGGAAGCAAACATCCTTCTTCACATGGCGGCAGCAAGGAGAAATTCTGAGCAAAAGGGGGCAAAGCCCCTTATAAAACCGTCAGATCTCATGAGAACTCATTCGCTATTATGAGAACAGCCTGAGGATAACTGCCCCCATGATTCAACTCCCTCCCACTGGGTCTCTTCCAGGACACTTGGGGATTATGGGAACTACAATTCAAAATGAAGTTTGGGTGGGGACACAGCTAAACCATATCACCATCCTTCTACTCTCTATCTCCATGGTTTCAATTGTTTTGATTTTTAGACCCCACAAATAAGTGACAACATGTGATGTTTGTCTGTCTGTGCCTTGCTTATTTCACTTAACTTAGTGACCTCCAGTTCTGTCTATGTTGTTGCAAATGACTGAATCTCATTCTTTTTTATGGCTGAATAGTATTCCATTATGTATAAGTACCACATTTTTCTTATCCATTCATCTGTTGATGGACACTTGTGTTGCTTCCAAATCTCGGCTATTGTGACAAAAGCTGCAACAAACATGAGTACATATATCTTTTTGATATACTGATTTCCTTTCTTATGGGTGTGTAACTAACAGTGTGATTGCTGAATCACATAGTAGCTCTACTTTTACTTTTTGGAGGAGCCTCCAAACTGTTTTCCATAGTGGTTGTACTAATTTACATTCCCACCAACAGTGTATGAGGATTCCCTTTTCTCCACATCTTTGCCAGTATTTGTTACTGCCTTTTTTTTTTTTTGGATATAAGCCATTTTATCTCAGATGAGATGATATCTCATAGTAATTTTGATTTGCATTTCTCTGGTGATCAGTGATGTTGAACACATTTTCATATGCCTGTTTGCCATTTGTAAGTCTTCTTTTGAGAAATGTCTATTCAAGTCTTTTCTCCATTTTTAATCAGATTTTTAGATATTTTCCTGTAGGGGTGATTTTCTTAAATATTCTAGTTTTTAATCCCTTGTCAGATGAGTAGTTTGCTAATATTTTCTCTCATTCTGTGGGTTGTATCTTTACTTTGTTGATTGTTTCTTTTGCTGTGCAGAAGCTTTCTAACTTGATGCAATTCCATTTGTCCATTTTTGCTTTGGTTGCCTATGTTTGTTGGATATTACTCAAGAAATCTTTGCCAAGACTGATGGCCTGGAGAGTTTCCCCAATGTTTTCTTGTGTTAGTTTCATAATTTGAGGTCTTAGGTTTAAGTCTTTAATCCACTTTGATTTGATTTTTGTGTATGACAAGAGATAGGGGACTAGTTTCCTTCTTCTGCATATGGATATCCAGTTTTCCCAGCACTATTTATTGAAGAATCTTTTTCCCAATGTATGTTCTTGGCAACTTTGTCGAAAATGAGTTCACTGTAGGTGTGTGGATTTATTTCTGGGTTCTGTATTCTGTTTCATTGGTCTATGTGCCTGTTTTCATGCCATTACTATGCTGTTTTGGTTTTTGGTTACAATAGCTCCGTAGTATAATTTGAAGTCAGGTAATGTGATTCCTCCAGTTTTGTCCTTTTGCTTAGGATAACTTTGGTTATTCTGGATCTTTTGTTGTTCCATATACATTTTAGCATAGTTTTTTTTCTATTTCTGTGAAGAATATCATTGGTATTTTGATAGGCATTTCATTAAATCTGTAGATTGCTCTGGGTAGTATGGACATTTTAACAATGTTTATGCTTCCAATTCATGAACATAGAATATCTTTGTATTTTATGGTGTCCCAGCCTGAATTTCTTTAATCAGTGTTTTGTAGGTTTCATTATAGAGATCTTTAACTTCTTTAGTTAATTCCTACATATTTAATTTTATTTGTGGTTATTGTAAATGGGACTACTTTTTAATTTGTCAGTTTCTTCAGTTTCAGTTTCTGTTAACATATAGAAATTCTATGTATGTTGATTTTGTATCCTGCAACTTTACTAAATTTTTTAAATCAGTTTTAATAGATTATTTTGTGGCTTCTTTAGGTTTTTCTAAATATATAATTTGCAAATTTGACTTCTTTGTTTCTAATTTGGATGGCCTTTATATCTTTCTCTTATCTGATAGCTCCAGCTAGGACTTTCAGTACTGTGTTGAATAACGGCGGTGAAAGGCATCCTTGTCATGTTTCAGATAATAGAGGAAAGCCTTTCAAATTTTTTCCCCTTCAATATGATACTATTTGTGGGTCTGCCATATATGGCTTTTATTATGTTGAGGTATGTTCCTTCTATATCCCATTTTCTGGCAGTTTTTATCATGAAAGGATGCTACATTTTATCACATGCTTTTTCAACATCAATTGAAATGATCATATGATTATACTCCTTCATTCTGTTGATATAATGTATCACATTGGTTGATTTGCATATGTTGAACCATTCTTGCAGAGTAGGAATAAATACCACTTGGTCTTGGTCTTTTTTTTTTTTTTTTTTTTCTTTGAGATGGAGTCTCGCTCTGTCACCCAGACTGGAGTGCAGTGGCATGATCTAGGCTCATTGCAAGTTCCGCCTTCTGGGTTCACACCATTCTCCTGCCTCAGCATCCCCAGTAGCTGGGACTACAGGCACCCGCCGCCACCCCCGGCTAATTTTTTGTATTTTTAGTAGAGATGGGGTTTCACCGTGTTAGCCGGGATGGTCTCGATCTCCTGACCTCGTGATCCGCCCACCTTGGCCTCCCAAAGTGCTGGGATTACAGGCGTGAGCCACCGTGCCCAGCCAATGAATAATCTTTTAAATGTACTGTTGAATTTGGTTTGTTAGTATCTTGTTGAAGTTTTTGTATCAATATTCATTAGAGATATTGGCCTGTAGTTTTCTCGTTTTTGATGTGTCTTTGTCTGCTTTTGGTGTCAGTGTAATACTGGCCTTGTAGAATGAGTTCCAAAGTATTCCCTCCTACTCTGTTTTTCAGAAAAGTTTGAGTAGAATTGATATTAGTTATTCTTTAAATATTTGGTAAAATTCAGTAGTGAAGTCATCAGGACCAGGGTTTTCTTTACTGGGAGACTTTTTATTACGGCTTCAATCTCATCACTTGTCAGAGGTCTGTTTAGGTTTTGAATTTCCTTATGGTTCAACCTTGGTAGTTTGTAAGTGTCTAAGAATTTGTCCATTTCTCATAGATTTTCCCATTTATTGGCATATAGTTGCTCCTAGTAGCCACTAATGACCCTTTGAATTTCTGCAGTATCAGTTGTAATGTCTCCTTTTTCATCTCTGATTTTATTTGGATCTTCTCTCTCTTTTTTTTTTTTTTTTTTTGTTAGTCTGGCTAGAGGTTTGTCAATTTTGCTTAACTTTTCAAAAAAACATCTTTATGTGTCATTCATCTTTTGTTATTTTCTTAATTTCAAATTCATTTATTCCTGCTCTGACCTTTATTATTTTTTACTTCTACTAATGTTGGGTTTGGTTTGCTCTTGCTTTTCTAGTTCTTTAAAATCCATTGTTAAATTTTTTATTTTAACTTTTTCTTATTTTTTTGATGTAAGCACTTATAGCTATAAAATTCCCTCTTAGAAGTGCTTTTGCTGTATCCCATAAGTTTTGGCATATTGTGTTTCATTATCGTTTGTTTCAAAAATTTTTTCAATTTCTTTCTTTTTTTATTGTAATATCTACTTTATTTTTTTATGTTTTTAAATTTTATTATTATTATGCTTTAAGTTTTAGGGTACATGTGCACGAAGTGCAGGTTTGTTACATATGTATACACGTGCCATGCTGCTATGCTGCACCCATTAACTCGTCATTTAGCATTAGGTATATCTCCTAATGCTATCCCTCCCCCCTCCCCCCACCCCACAACAGTCCCCAGAGTGTGATGTTCCCCTTCCTGTGTCCATGTGTTCTCCTTGTTCAATTCCCACCTATGAGTGAGAACATGCGGTGTTTGGTTTTTTGTCCTTGCGACAGTTTGCTGAGAATGATGGTTTTCAGCTTCATCCATGTCCCTACAAAGGACATGAACTCATCATTTTTGATGGCTGCATAGTATTCCATGGTGTATATGTGCCACATTTTCTTAATCCAGTCTATCATTGTTGGACATTTAGGTTGGTTCCAAGTCTTTGCTATTGTGAATAGTGCCACTATAAACATACGTGTGCATGTGTCTTTATAGCATCATGATTTATAATCCTTTGGGTATATACCCAGTAATGGGATGGCTGGGTCAAATGGTATTTCTAGTTCTAGATCCCTGAGGAATCGCCACACTGACTTCCACAATGGTTGAACTAGTTTACAGTCCCACCAACAGTGTAAAAGTGTTCCTATTTCTCCACATCCTCTCCAGCACCTGTTGTTTCCTGACTTTTTAATGATCACCATTCTAACTGGTGTGAGATGGTATCTCATTGTGGTTTTGATTTGCATTTCTCTGATGGCCAGCGATGGTGAGCATTTTTTCATGTGTTTTTTGGCTGCATAAATGTCTTCTTTTGAGAAGTGTCTGTTCATATCCTTCACCCACTTTTCGATGGGGTTGTTTGTTTTTTTCTTGTAAATTTGTTGGAGTTCATTGTAGATTCTGGATATTAGCCCTTTGTCAGATGAATAGGTCGTGAAAATTTTCTCCCATTATATGGGTTGCCTGTTTGCTCTGATGATAGTTTCTTTTGCTGTGCAGAAGCTCTTTACTTTAATTAGATCCCATTTGTCAATTTTGGCTTTTGTTGCCATTGCTTTTGGTGTTTTAGACATGAAGTCCTTGCGCATGCCTATGTCCTGAATGGTATTGCCTAGGTTTTCTTCTAGGGTTTTTATGGTTTTAGGTCTAACATTTAAGTCTTTAATCCATCTTGAATTAATTTTTGTATAAGGTGTAAGGAGGGGATCCAGTTTCAGCTTTCTACATATGTCTAGCCAGTTTTCCCAGCACCATTTATTAAATAGTGAATCCTTTCCCCATTGCTTGTTTTTGTCATGTTTGTCAAAGATCAGATAGTTGTAGATATGCGGCGTTATTTCTGAGGGCTCTGTTCTGTTCCATTGATCTATATCTCTGTTTTGGTACCAGTACCATGCTGTTTTGGTTACTGTAGCCTTGTAGTATAGTTTGAAGTCAGGTAGCGTGATGCCTCCAGCTTTGTTCTTTTGGCTTAGGATTGACTTGGTGATGCGGGCTCTTTTTTGGTTCCATATGAACTTTAAAGTAGTTTTTTCCAATTCTGTGAAGAAAGTCATTGGTAGCTTAATGGGGATGGCATTGAATCTATAAATTACCTTGGGCAGTATGGCCATTTTCACGATATTGATTCGCCCTACCCATGAGCATGGAATATTCTACCATTTGTTTGTATCCTCTTTTATTTCATTGAGCAGTGGTTTGTAGTTCTTCTTGAAGAGGTCCTTCGCATCCTTTGTAAGTTGGATTCCTAGGTATTTTATTCTCTTTGAAGCAATTGTGAATGGTAATTCACTCATGATTTGGTTCTCTGTTTCTCTGTTATTGGTGTATAAGAATGCTCGTGATTTTTGTACATTGATTTTGTATCCTGAGACTTTGCTGAAGTTGCTTATCAACTTAAGCAGATTTTGGGCTAAGACAATGGGGTTTTCTAGATATACAATCATGTCATCTGCAAACAGGGACAATTTGACTTCCTCTTTTCCTAATTGAATACCCTTTATTTCCTTCTCCTGCCTGATTGCCCTGGCCAGAACTTCCAACACTATGTTGAATAGGAGTGGTGAGTGAGGGCATCCCTGTCTTGTGCCAGTTTTCAAAGGGAATGCTTCCAGTTTTTGCCCATTCAGTATGATATTGGCTGTGGGTTTGTCATAGATAGCTCTTATTATTTTGAGATACGTTCCATCAATACCTAATTTATTGAGAGTTTTTAGCATGAAGAGTTGTTGAATTTTGTCAAAGGCCTTTTCTACATCTATTGAGATAATCATGTGGTTTTTGTTTTTGGTTCTGTTTATATGCTGGATTACGTTTATTGATTTGCGAATGTTGAACCAGCCTTGAATCCCAGGGATGAAGCCCACTTGATCATGGGGGATAAGCTTGTTGATGTGCTGCTGGATTCGGTTTGTCAGTATTTTATTGAGGATTTTTGCATCAATGTTCATCAAGGATATTGGTCTAAAATTCTCTTTTTTGGTTGTGTCTCTGCCAGCCTTTGGTATCAGGATGATGCTGGCCTCATAAAATGAGTTAAGGAGGATTCCCTCTTTTTCTATTGATCGGAATAGTTTCAGAAGGAATGGTACCAGCTCCTCTTTGTACCTCTGGTAGAATTTGGCTGTGAATCCATCTGGTCCTGGACTTTTTTTGGTTGGTAAGCTATTGATCATTGCCTCAATTTCAGAGCCTGTTATTGGCCTATTCAGAGATCCAACTTCTTCCTGGTTTAGTCTTGGGAGGATGTATGTGTCGAGGAATTTATCCATTTCTTCTAGACTTTCTAGTTTATTTGCGTAGAGGTGTTTATAGTATTCTCTGATGGTAGTTTGTATTTCTGTGGGATTGGTGGTGATATCCTCTTTATCGTTTCTTATTGTGTCTATTTGATTCTTCTCTCTTTTTTTCTTTATTAGTCTTGCTAGCAGTCTATCAATTTTGTTGATCTTTTCAAAAAACTAGCTCCTGGAATCTAAAAAACTAGATTCATTAATCTTTTGAAGGGTTTTTTGTGTTTCTATTTCCTTCAGTTCTGGTCTGATCTTAGTTATTTCTTGCCTTCGCCTAGCTTTTGAATGTGTTTGCTCTTGCTTTTCTAGCTCTTTTAATTTGATGTTAGGGTGTCAATTTTAGATCTTTCCTGCTTTCTTTTGTGGGCATTTAGTGCTATAAATTTCCCTCTACACACTGCTTTGAATGTGTCCCGGAGATTCTGGTATGTTGTGTCTTTGTTCTCATTGGTTTCAAAGAACATCTTTATTTCTACCTTCATTTCCTTGTTTACCCAGTAGTCACTCAGGAGCAGGTTGTTCAGTTTCCATGTAGTTGAGTGGTTTTGAGTGAGTTTCTTAATCCTGAGTTCTAGTTTGATTGCACTGTGGTCTGAGAGACAGTTTGTTATAATTTCTGTTCTTTTACATTTTCTGAGGAGTGCTTTACTTCCAACTATGTGGTCAATTTTGGAGTAGGTGTGGTGTGGTGCTGAAAAGAATGTATATTCTGTTGATTTGGGGTGGAGAGTTCTGTAGATGTCTATTAGGTCTGCTTGGTGCAGAGCTGAGTTCAATTCCTGGGTATCCTTGTTAACTTTCTGTCTTGTTGATCTGTCTAATGTTGACAGTGGGGTGTTAAAGTCTCCCATTATTATTGTGTGGGAGTCTAAGTCTCTTTGTAGGCCACTCAGGACTTGCTTTATGAATCTGGGTGCTCCTGTATTGGGTGCATATATATTTAGGATAGTTAGTTCTTCTTGTGGAATTGATCCCTTTACCATTATGTAATGGCCTTCTTTGTCTCTTTTGATCTTTGTTGGTTTAAAGTCTGTTTTATCAGAGACTAGGATTGCAACCCCTGCCTTTTTTTGTTTTCCATTTGCTTGGTAGATCTTCCTCCATCCCTTCATTTTGAGCTTATGTGTGTCTCTGCATGTGAGATGGGGTTCCTGAATACAGCACACTGATGGGTCTTGACTCTATCCAATTTGCCAGTCTGTGTCTTTTAATTGGAGCATTTAGCCCATTTACATTTAAAGTTAATATTGTTATGTGTGAATTTGATCCTGTCATTATGATGTTAGCTGGTTATTTTGCTTGATAGTTGATGCAGTTTCTTCCTAGCCTTGATGGTCTTTACAATTTGGCATGTTTTTGCAGTGGCTGGTACTGGTTGTTCCTTTCCATGTTTAGTGCTTCCTTCAGGAGCTCTTTTAGGGCAGGCCTGGTGGTGACAAAATCTCTCAGCATTTGCTTGTCTGTAAAGTATATTATTTCTCCTTCACTTAGGAAGCTTAGTTTGGCTTGACATGAAATTCTGGGTTGAAAATTCTTTTCTTTAAGAATGTTGAATATTTGTCCCCACTCTCTTCTGGCTGGTAGAGTTTCTGCAGAGAGATCAGCTGTTAGTCTGGATGGGCTTCCCTTTGTGGGTAACCCGGCCTTTCTCTCTGGCTGCCCTTAACATTTTTTCCTTCATTTCAACTTTGGTGAATCTGACAATTATATGTCTTGGAGTTGCTCTTCTTGAGGAGTATCTTTGTGACGTTCTCTGTATTTCCTGAATGTGAATCTTGGCCTGCCTTGCTAGATTGGGGAAGTTCTCCTGGATAATATCCTGCAGAGTGTTTTCCAACTTGGTTCCATTCTCCCCATCACTTTCAGGTACACCAATCAGACGTAGATTTGGTCTTTTCACATAGTCCCATATTTCTTGGAGGCTTTGTTCGTTTCTTTTTATTCTTTTTTCTCTAAACTTCCCTTCTCGCTTCATTTCATTCATTTCATCTTCCCTCACTGATACCCTTTCTTCCAGTAGATCGCATTGGCTACTGAGGCTTCTGCATTCATCACATAGCTTTTGTGCCTTGGTTTTCAGCTCCATCAGGTCTTTTAAGGACTTCTCTGCATTAATTATTCTAGTTATCCATTCGTCTAATTTTTTTTCAAAGCTTTTAACTTCTTTGCCATTGGTTCGAATTTCCTCCTGTAGCTCGGAGTAGTTTGATCGTCTGAAGCCTTCTTCTCTCAACTCGTCAAAGTCATTCTCCATGCAGCTTTGTTCCATTGCTGGTGAGGAGCTGCGTTCCTTTGGAGGAGGAGAGGCACTCTGATTTTTAGAGTTTCCAGTTTTTCTGCTCTTTTTTTTCCCCATCTTTGTGGTTTTATCTACCTTTGGTCTTTGATGATGGTGATGTACAGATGGGTTTTGGGTGTGGATGTCCTTTCTGCTTGTTAGTTTTCCTTCTAAAAGAGAGGACCCTCAGCTGCAGGTCTGTTGGAGTTTGCTAGAGGTCCACTCCAGACCCTGTTTGCCTGGAATATCAGCAGCAGTGTCTGCAGAACAGTGGATATTGATGAACCGCAGATGCTGCTGCCTGACCGTTCCTCTGGAAGTTTTGTCTCAGAGGATTACCCGGCCGGGTGAGGTGTCAGTCTGCCCCCCTACTGGGGGATGCCTCCCAGTCAGGCTACTTGGGGGTCAGGGACCCACTTGAGGAGACAGTCTGCCCATTCTCAGATCTCCAGCTGCGTGCTGGGAGAACCACTACTCTCTTCAAAGCTGTCAGAGAGGGATATTTAAGTCTGTAGAGGTTACTGCTGCTTTTGTTTGTCTGTGCCCTGCCCCCAGAGGTGGAGCCTACAGAGGCAGGCATGCCTCCTTGAGCTGTGGTGGGCTCCACCCAGTTGGAGTTTCCCTAGCTGCTTTGTTTACCTAATCAAACAGCTAACTCAGAAATGGTGGGCACCCCTCCCCCAGCCTCGCTGCCACCTGGCAGTTTGATCTGGGACTGCTGTGTTAGCGATGAGTGAGACTCCATGGGTGTAGGACCCTCTGAGCCATGTGCGGGATATAATATCCTGGTGTGCCATTTTTTAAGCCAGTTGGATAAATGCAGTATTAGGGTGGGAGTGAGCCGATTTTCCAGGTGCCATCTGTCACCAATTTCTTTGACTAGGAAAGGGAATTCCCTGACCCCTTGCACTTCCTGGGTGAGGTGATGCCTCGCCCTGCTTTGGCTCGCACATGGTGCGCTGCACCCACTGTCCTGCACCTACTGTCTGGCACTCCCCAGTGAGATGAACCTGGTACCGCAGTTGGAAATGCAGAAATCACCCGTCTTCTGCATCACTCTCGCTGGGAGCTGTAGACTGGAGCTGTTCATATTTGGCCATCTTGGCTCCTCCCCCCCAATTTCTTTCTTAATTTCTTCTTTGACCCAATGGTCATTCAGGAGCATATTGTTTAATCTGCATGTATTTGTATAGTTTCCAAAATCCCTCTTGTGATTGTTTTATAGTTTTATTCCATTGTGGTCAGAGAAGATGCTTGATATTATTTTAATTTTGAGGGGATATTTTAAGGCTTTTTAAGTGACCTAATATATGGTCTATGTTTGAGAATGATCCATATGCTGTGGAAAAGGATATGCACTCTATAGTCATTAGATGAAATGTTCTATTAATATCTATTAGATCCATTTGGTCTATAGTGCATTTTAAGTCTGATGTTTCTTTGTTGATTTTCTATTTGGAATATCTGTCCAATGCTGAAAGTGGGGTGTTGAAGTCTCCAGCTATTATTGTATTGGAGTCTCTTTCTTTAGCTCTAACAATATTTGCATTATATATCTGAGTGTTCCAGGGTTGGGTCCATGTATATTTTAAATTGTTATATCCTCTTGCTGAACTGACCCCTTTATCATTATATGGTGACCTTGTCTTTTCTTATAGTTTTTGTTTTGAAATCTATTTTGTCTGATATAATGATAGCTACTCCTGTTCTTTTTTGGTTTCCATTGGCATGGAATATCTTTTTCTATCCCTTTATCTGCAGTTTATGTATGTCTTTATAGTTGAAATGTGTTTCTTGTAGAAAACAGATCAATAGGTCATGTTTTGTGTTTCTTTGTATCCAAAACTCTGTCTTTTATTGGAGAGTTTAGTACATTTACATTCAATGTTATTGTTGATAAATAATGATATAATTCTACTGTTTTGTTTTCTGTTTGCTTTGTGGTCTTGTTTTCCTTCTTTCCTTCCTGTCTTCCTTTTAGTGAAGGTAATTTTCTCTGGTCATATGATTTAGTTTCTTGCTTCTTATTTTTTCTGTATACGTTGTATGATTTTTGGTTTGAGATTAGCTGATAAAAACACTGTTTGCATAAACAAACATGCAAGCAATCAAAAAGTAAACTAATATTGTATACCTTAATATTCCCCTTGCTTTTTAATTTTTTGTTGTTACTCTTTATGTCTTACTGTACTGTCTACATCATAAAAATTTGTTGTTGTTACTATTTTTCATTGGTTCATTATTTAGTCTTTCTACTTAATAACAGTTTACACACCATAGTTATCATGTTATAATATTCTTTGCTTTTCTTTGTACTTCCTATTACCACTGAGTTTTATACCTTCAGATTATTTCTTCTTGCTCCTTATTGTCCTTTTCTTTCTGACTATAAAACTCCCTTTAGCATTTCTTGTAGGACAGCTCTAGTGTTAATAAAAATCTCTCTCCTTTTTTTTTTTTGGTCTGGGAAAGTCTTTATTTCTCCTTCATGTTTGAAAGATAATTTCACCTGATGTACTATTCTAAGTTTAAAAATATTTTCCTTCAGCACTTTATATATGTCATGCCACTCTCTCCTGGGTTGTAAGGCTTCTACTGAAAAGTCTGATGCCAGATGTATAGGAGCGATTTGTTTCTTTTCTCTTGTGGCTTTTAGGATGCTTTCTTTAGCCTCGAGCTTTGGGAGTTCATTTATTAAATACCTTGAGGTAATCTTCTTTGGGTTAAATCTGTTTAGCATTCTATAACTTTCTTGTACTTGGATATTGACGTCTTTCTCTAGGTTTGTAAATTTCTCTCTAGTTATCCCATTGAATAGACATTCTACCTCTTCTTTAAGGCCAATAACTCTTAGATTTCCCCTTTTGAAGCTATTTTCTAAAATCTGTAGGTGTGTTTCATTGGTTTGTATTATTTTTTGTCTCCTCTGACTGTGTATTTTCAAATTGCCTGTGTTCAAGCTCACTCATTCTTTCTTCTGCTTGATCAGTTCTGCTGTTAAAAGACTATGATGCATTCTTCACTAAGCCAAATGCATTTGCCAGCTCCAAAATTTCTCCTTGATTCTTTTTAATTATTTCCATCTCTTTGTTCATTTATCTGATAGAATTCTGAATTCTCTGTGTTGTCTTTAATTTATGTGAGTTTCCTCAAAACAGCTATTTTGACTTCAATATCTAAAAGGTCACATATCTCTGTCTCTCCAGGATTGGCCCCTGGTGCATTATTTAGTTCATTTGGTGAGGTCATGTTTTCCTGGGTCATCTTGATACTTGTAGATGTACATCTGTGTCTGGGCATTGAAAAGTTAGTTTTTTTTTGTTTGTTTGTTTTGTTTTTTTTTTGTAGTCTTCTCAGTCTGGGCTTGTTTGCAACTGTAGTTTTTGGGAAGGCTTTCCAGATATTTTAAAAGGCTTGGGTGTTCTGATCTAAGCTGCATCTGCTTTAGGGCAGACCCCAAACCCAGTAGTGCTGTGGTTCTTGCAGACTCATAAAAGTACCACCTTGATGGTCTTGGCCAAGATAAAGAATTCTCTGGATTACCAGGCAGAGACTCTTTCTTGTTCTCTTCCCTTACTTTCTCCCAAATAGTCTCTTTCTACCCTGAGCCACCTGAAGTTGGGGGTGGAGTGACACAAGCACCCTGGTGGCCACCATCCCTAGGATTCTGCTAATTCAGACCTGAAGCCAGCACAACACTGCTGTATGCAAAGTCTGCTGTAACCACTTCCTGGCTAACACCTATGTTCACTCAAAGCCCTGGGGCTCTATAATCAGCAGGTGCCAAGGCCAGTCACACCTATGTTGTTCTTTCATTTAGGGTGGTGAGTTCCCCCAGGCTCCCGGGTGAATCCAGAGATGCCATCCAGGAGCTATGGTCTAGAGTCAAAAACCTTAGAAGTGCACCTGGTATTTTATTGTACTACAGCTGAGCTGACACTGAAACCACAAGAGGCTGTCCTTCTCATTCTTCCTTCCCCTTTCCGAAGGCAGAGGAAGCTCACCCGGTGGCCATTGCCACCTATTCCATTGTGGTCAGAGAAGGTGCTTGATATTATTTTAATTTTAGGGGGATATTTTCAGGCTTGTTATGTGACCTAACATATGGTCTATCATTGAGAATGATCTGTGTGTTGAGGAAAAGGCCCATGGGGAGTACTGCCAGACTACCACTGATGTTCTCTTAAGGCCCAAGGGCTCTTCAGTCAGCTTGTAGTGAGTGCTGCCTGGCCTGGGACTCATCTTTCAGAGCAATGGGCTCTCCTCTGGCCCAGGGCAGGTCCAGAAATGCCATCCAAGACCTAAGTCCTAGAACTGGGGGCCCCAAGAGCCTGTTTGGTGCTCTAGCCTGCTGTGGCTGAGCAGGTATGTAAGGTGCAAGACAAAGTCCCCTTTACTTTTCCCTCTGCTTTTCTCAATCAGAAGTCTCACCCTTTAGACACCACACCTGGGAATATGCTGAGACTCATTTGTGGCTGGTAAGGCTCTGTCTCACCCAAGGCCCTTGACATAGTACCTGGGTATTGCTGCTGGTTATTCAGGACTCAAGGGCTATTCAGTTACCGGGTAATAAGCCCTGCCAGTACTGGGTCCTTCCCTTCAAGGCAGTGGTTCCCTTCTGGCCTAGGGTTGTGTCTAGAAATGTCCAGGAGGTAGGGCCTGGAATAGGGTTCTTACGACTTGGATTGCTGCCCTGTTCTGCTGTGGCTGAGCTGGTATTTAAGATGCAATACAAAGTCTGCCCCACTCTTCCATCTTCTCTCTTCAAGTGCAAGAAAGGGTTCTCTTTTGGAGTTGCCTGGGGTTAGGGGAGGGGTGATGCTAGCACTCCCTTAGTCACCCCAGCTGGTGTCTCAGTATGTCCCATGTCCCTCCAGGCCACAGGCTCTGGGCCCAGTTCAGACCCAGGACTCATTTATGTATTACAGTTCTTGTGGCCTAGACAGCCTTTCAAGTTTATTTGGGACCCCAAATCCCTTAAGCCTACAATGATGAGGTTTGCAGGAACTCATGTTCCAACCTCTGGGATCTGCGATTCCCCTCTGGCTAGGACTGGTTTACATGCACCCTCCAGGGTGGGCATCAGCTGAGTTGGGTCTGGTTTTGCTTTCTGCTATAAAAGCAGCACTGATTTCAATACCTCACAATTGCTGTGCTTTCCCTCTCCCCAGGGCACAGAAGGCACAAGGTTCTCTTCACCTTGTTGCCACTTTCAGGGGATAGAGGAGGAGGTGGTGTCAGTAATCCAAGACTGTTCATTCTACCTCTTCATTGCCTCTTTTAGCGATATGAAGTTAAAACCAGGTACTTACTGTGAGTGCTCACCTGATTTTTTGTTCTTATGAAGGTGCTTTTTTTGTGTGTGTAGATATTTTTTAAACTGATGTCCTTGCAGGGGGCTTGAGGGGGAACAATTGGTGAAGACTTCTATTCCACCGTCTTGCTTTACCCACTCCACCTGCCTCACGTTTTAAATGCCATGCAAATTATCATTTTCTTTTTCAACAAATACTTACTGAGCACTTTTGATGTACCAGACATTGACTTAAGCACCAGGAAAACATCAGGGAAGAAGACAAATGGGATCCCTGCCCTCAGGAGCTTGCTGTCTAGGAAGCTCAGAGAAAATAATATCAATATAGGGCACTGATCGTGTGCCAGCTACCCTGCTGAAGATTTGTTTTACATAATGTCACTTAATTACTAGAGAAACACTGAAGTATTTTCTATATTAATGCCATTTTATTGAGGACATTGACCTAGAAACGTTAAATAACTTATCCAAAATCACAAGGATAATATGGCTTAACTCATGCCAACTTAACACCAAAAATAGAATTCTGAACCACTGGCTCTAAATTATGAAACCCCAAAGCCTGTGTTCTGTTTTCTGTGTCACACTGTCTAAAGTAAATCTGATTTTGAGTAACTATTGGAACAATGATAAATGATTTTACCAAACTGAAAAATTAAACATGTATTACTAATTTCAGGATAGGTCAGGTGAACCTTGTACTTGTGAATTCTTTCGACCATCAATCCAACTACAACAGAATCTGTTGCACTTTGTTAGTGTGAGCACCTGGGTTTCTGTCTCGGTCTATTTCTTCTGTTATTAGTGTTGATACACCATTCTGGTTTTGTATGTCTTTGTTGATCTCATGGGTCAGGCCTTATTGTTTGTGTGTTTTGCATGTTATATTCAAATATACTACTGTAAATATGCTTCATATGTTTGTAAATATAATCAGTAAATGAAATACTATAATCATTACTATTCCATTCCTTTCACAAATCTTGTTATTTCTCCATTTTTTTCCTTCCCTTCCATTTTGTGCTATTCTCTTGCTGTTTGATCTTTTCTGTTGTACTTTTTCCTCTCTGCATTCTGCACAGGTTCTCTCTCTCTGCTATACAGCTACTACTTCTTCACTTCCCTTGTTTTGACTAAAATACCTCTAAGCCTATAACCTTTTTCTTTACTACATAAATTCGCTGGCATCTATACTCACCATGCCACCAAAAAAATTCTTTCAGTAGGAAAAGCTGTTTCTCTGCAATGCTACAAAAAATAACTTTTTATTTTTTGTTTGTCTTACTTTTAAAGCAATACTAAAAGCACTATGGTATAGGCAAAATTATAAACAAACTGATCAACAGGACAGAACAGCTAGCCTAGAAGTAGCCCCAGAAAACTTAAGAACTCAACTCTATATATTTTCAAAGGAGTTTCAGAAATCAATGGGAGGGATAGATTATCCAATAAGTTATGTTGAGAACATTTGATATGTGGAAAAATGTATCATATTATATCACCACCTCACACAAGGCACCAAAATTTTTTCTGAATGTAGGAGTCTAGAGTAAAAAAAAACTGCACAGGAGAAATAAAATTTAAGCTGAGGAAAGATTTTCTAGTCATTAAGGCAATATAAAAATATCAAGGTCTGTAAATAAATTTCACCATAAATATGAGCATAACATCACCAAACTTCATAAAGATAGAATAAATAACAAACTAGGAAAAATACTTGTTCAAATATGATGGATTATTAGCCTTATTTAAAAAAAAACTCTTCAAACAAATAAGAAAAAAAGCTAACTCCAAAGGAAAAGTATGCAAAAATAGTAACAGACAAGTCACCAGAAGGGAAACACAATGGATAATAATAAATCATTAAATTTGTTTCAGCCTCACTGGTGGTTAAAGAAATGTACAGTGAACTGGTTTTCTCAAAGATTTGTAAAGACTTTAAAAAGAACACCACTTCATGCTGGAAATAGTGCCATGAGACAGGCACCCTGTTTTTTTTTTTGTGTGTGTGAGCTTCTTATTATTATTATACTTTAAGTTTTAGGGTACATGAGCACAATGTGCCGGTTAGTTACATATGTATACATGTGCCATGCTGGTGTGCTGCACTCATTAACTTGTCATTTAGCATTAGGTATATCTCCTAATGCTATCCCTCCCACCTCCCCCCACCCCACAACAGTCCCCAGAGTGTGATGTTCCCCTTCCTGTGTCCATGTGTTCTCATTGTTCAATTCCCATCTATGAGTGAGAACATGCGGTGTTTGGTTTTTTGTCCTTGCGATAGTTTACTGAGAATGATGATTTCCAATTTCATCCATGTCCCTACAAAGGACATGAACTCATCATTTTTTATGGCTGCATAGTATTCCATGGTGTATATGTGCCACATTTTCTTAATCCAGTCTATCAGGCACCCTAACTGTTAACAGACACATACATCTACCTAACCTTCTGGAAAGCAATTTGGCCATATCTATTAAAAGCCTCAAAATATGCATACATTCCAATCCAATATTTCTACTTTCAGGAATCAATCCCAAGGAGAGATGCTGTCAAAAAGTTAAGAGCAAGGATGTTCATTGCAGCATTACTTATAGTACCGTTAAGAAAGAAAGAGAAAGAAACTAAATGTTTCACCTAATAGTTTAATAGTTAAATCATGGTATTTACATATTATTGACTATTACACAGCTATTGACTTAAACTGGAAAAAAGTTTAATAATTTTTTTATGATATAATAGCTGTAAAAAGCAGGAAATAAAGTTGAATGCTAGCATACTCGTTAGGTTAAATACAAAGGAAATGTATCAAATATTAACTATGTTCTCAGCACTGATAAATAATGGGCAGTTTTCACTTTTTATATTTTTCTCTATTTACTAGAGTACTTTAAAAATAATAACTACACATTATTCTTAAACAGAAATTTAAATAATAAAGCATAAAGGAATTAGTTATTTCCAGTTGAAAACAACCTTCCCTTAGTGATGAGATGCTGGAAAATGACAGTTCAGGCTTCACTCTGTTTTGAATTTGCTAAAATTTACCATAGATTGGATGTGCTAATCTTTCAGAACGTGTTAATTTCATAAACATGTTTGGTTTCTCTAGTCCCTATAAGTATATAATTCCCAAAATGCCATCTCTGTATTCTTCTATTCAAATTAGAGAAATTAGGTAATTTGCAGGATGATCAGACATTGTCTCTGAAAAGTTTATATATTGAAGTTTTTATAAAAGGTATTCTAGAATCTTGCAGTCAGAAGTGTGGTCTGCAGACTGGCAGCAGCAGCAGCAGCTAGAAACTTGTTGAAAATGCAAAACTTTTGGTCCTACCCCAGATTTACTGAATCAGAATCTGCATTTTAGTAACACTTCCAGTTGATTTGTAGGCACACTCATATTTGATAACCACTGGTATAGAACACATATTCTAGTTCTAACTACATGGCTACAATGCAACTATAGTCCTCCTTCAAAACTTAATCTATGTTCATGTCCTAAGTACCATCTTTATGGTCTATGAGTTCTAAACATTTTCTTAGAACAAGAGTGGCTTCCAACTAATGAGTGGGATATATCCTAAAAATATATTGGTAGGTCAGTTGTTAACTTATACAGTAATATAATTAATGCTAGATTTCTAGGTCATCTTACAGTAGCTTGCATAACCCATAATATAGTTGAAGAAGAGGACTAATTGCATTTTAATCATTTTTTTATGGGAAAATATGTTCCCAGTTCTAACAGAAGATTCTAGGAAAGCCTGATACTGCCATCAATACAGGACTCCCAGATGGATGCAACTATTAGTATTTGTGTATGTGTAGACAATTAGTAGAGCTGATTTTCCGATTCTGAAAATTTTCTAAACAAAAGAATAAAATGTATTAAAAAGACAGGAATGTCAAGTGTTGATATTGACTCATTCACATTTTCTCCCAATTTTATTTTGAACAAACACAATGGTAAGATCACTTCAATGGTTTGAAACAGGTTTGTGGATACAATGAAGCATCTAATGGAAAACCTAGAGATGGATGGATACTCTAACATGTAAAGTAAACATGTCCATTAATAACAAATGTACAATGTCTTCTATATATTTTTTTGCTTGTATGTTGAACTGTCACTCAAATGTACTTAACTTCATTGGACAAGGTATAAGGCTTGCCAATTTCCAAAGTCTGGCAGTCCAAAATCCTTAGTAGCCATTCTGGAACTGCTATTGTTTATAGCATGATATGATTGTGTTATTTTAAATACAGCTTTGTTGTAATATGCCTCCTCCATCCCTAAATACACATTCACCTTTGATGCCTTAAAAATGGACTTCTCAGTAGGAACAATGGAAATTTCACCACTGTCTATTATGGTGAGAACCTATTTCTGACAACATGAGACGTAGAGAAAGCACTGAACTTCTGTGCCAAGCCTGTGGGAAGGGATTGTTGGGGTCACGGGAGAGGGAAGCAGAAGCCTCTGTCTTCTAAGACTCCAGGTTATTTCAGAATATACAAGTTACATTTTTGATTTAATGAAAGGTTTTAGGTAACACTGTTAGAAACAATTTAAACCTTTACAAAAAATAACTCAAATTGATTCAAAGATGCAGAATTCATCAGATTATCTTATAGAGACCAGTGTGACTTAATTCTCCCTAGATTTTATGAACAACTTTTATTAACAGAAATCAAACTTATTGTCCAAAGTGACAATATATCAAAGAAATACATACCAAAACCTGCTGCCATTATAGTTGTTAACATTTTTATTGCATATTTACAATGTGTGGAACATTATAAGGATTTACAGTAGAAGCCAAATTTCCCAGCCCTTAAAATTTTAATAGGAAAAATCGAATAAACCATACATATTTTTGAAAATGAGCATTAGAAACACACAGATGATTATAATTCTATAGACTAATACAGGTGAATGCTGTATGTAATAGAACAGCTGGGAGAGGTAAAAGAGTGGATAAGAGAGTCATCAGAGTGTGAAAAAACTACAGCTGGGTGGTATTGAATAAAGAGACAATATTGAAAATATTTTTAAACGCTAAAATGTCCCGTAAAAGCATAGCTATCCCCTATGCAAAACTGTGAGGTAGAATTTTTCCCACCCCGTTTTCTGCTCTTCTGGCCACCATTTGGGGGACTTCCCTGTCCAGGTGACTCTCTCTCACATAGCTGTACCTGGGGCTTACTAGCAATACATGCTTTCCACTACCCCCTCAACCTCATCACAGAAATAACCTTTTCTGTTCAATGATCAGTCTTACTTTACCTACTGAAAACGGGTGGTGAAAGTTAGTAACATAAACAAACCAGTGCTGTTTCTTCTAGCTAACATATCACCATGGTTGGGCTTTAACCTTTCAAGGAGTGAAATATTGCTAAAGTTTCAGGCATAGGAACCCCTTGAGGAGCTGTCTGGGGCAGACAGGTCTTTGCTTTCCTCAGATAGTTCCAATTGTCATCCTTGACCATGAACAATGCCATTGTTATTCCAAACTCACTTCTTCTAATACTTCAATATGGATCATAAAAATAGTTTACACCTTTATGCACATCAAAATACAAAATACAGGGCACAATAAAACTGAACTGGAAAAAGGTATGGCAGTTTCTTTTAAAACTACCCTGTGACCCAGCAATTCTAATCCAAGGAATTTACTGCAAAGAAATGAAAACCTATGTTCACAAAGACTTACGTAAGAATGGTCATAGCAGCTTTATTTATAATGGCCAATCCTGGAAACAGCCCAGGTATCTATCAATAATAGGAAATTAAGAAAACAAACTGTAATATTGTCATACAGTGGAATACTACTCAGCAATAAAAAAGAACAGCAATAAAAAAATGAAGCCTTGTAGAAAAGCGTACATGTTGCGTGACTCTATTTATATAAAGTTTTAGAACAGAAAAATCTTATGGTAGAAAAAGGAACAGTGGTTGCCTTTGAGGGTCAAGTAGGGACAGGAATTGACTGGAAAGGGCAGTGTGGAAACTTTCTAGGGTGGTGATAACGTTTCCTATTTCCATAGCACTATATGCATTTGCCAAACCTCAGTGAACACATATTTCTATGCACTTCATTGCATGCTAATTTTATGTAAAAAAGCCAACAATGAACTCTAGTTAATGATATGCAATTTAAAATGCATCAAATAATAATATGAAATGATGAATGGATATGTGACAAAGCAAGCATAGGTAATGCTAATTAGCATCTAGGTAGTGAGTACACTATAAAATTATTTTAACTTTTTAATGTATTTGATAATTTTCATAACAAGATGTTGGGTAAAAATACAGGGTGCAATGTTTACCAAATAGTTTTGCTGAGAATTTCATTACTGATTTTATGACAGTAAGATCATCAAATTCTTCTAAGTGTCCATTGAGAAGTAAGTTTCTCTTAAAGGCTTCTGAGACTATTCGTAAGTGTGATGTGAGCAATCAGTTCTCAAATCTACTCTGGTTTATAACTGTCAAAGTGGTATTTCGATCCTTTCACCTTTACAAAATACAATACATATATTTTGATGATATATTCTGAGCAAATCTGTTGGCCATAAAGATAACATAAGAGTTAAGATGAGAAAACATTCCTAAGAGAAAAATCAAACATACAAATTTTATTTACCCTAACTTCCAGACTAAAAAAGAATCTGTAACTGTAATAGAAAAGAAGTGAGGCTTGGTCATAAATAGTGAGTGGTCTACTGTGTTCTGAGTGGAAAGGCACCCAGTCATCTCTCATCTCTCCCCCAAGACAGAAGCATTTGGACACCCTAAAGACATGGTATTCAGCTTGTGAAGACTTCTAAGGTGCCTCCTGGAGATTCACTGGGAACTGGCTGGAGTTCAATAGCCCTTTTGTCAGAAAGTTTTCTACATGCCTAACTTAAAATCCCTAATAACACTGCTCCTGATAAGTAGCAGTTGATAACTACTTTCAGTTAAGAATTCCTATAAAATTACATATAGGAATTATACATACAGCCTCATAAAGTTCTCCAAAAAAAATCTTTAAAAATGTGCCCACTGCTTTCAAAATATTTCATCATAGTTCTGGCTGTCTTTTGATCTCTAAGTTCTTCATGTTCTAGTACAGGTTCTGCTTTTTCTTGAAGTAGAGGGACTAGTGTTTATTCTCAAGCTTTCATGTTTGCTTTAAAATTCTGCAGTAATGTTGAGTCATATTAAGTGTCATACCCATGAACTTTTTTCAGTCTTAAAGACTCCCCTGTATTTATGCCAGCTCACGGAGTGTCCTTAGTTCTATGCCTCTATTACAGTATCAGTCGGCCATTTTCTGTTCATCATCACTGCCTGAGTTTACCAAGAGACTGCTCCTCTCTAAGCATAGCCAGCACTAATTGTGGTCTTTTCATGCTTTGTTCTGTTTTTTTTTTTTTTTTAACCTCATTATTGGGATACTTAAATAACAGATTTATGCTGTTGTTGTTTCTACTGGTCGGTGCTCGCTCACTAATATCCAATCCTA
The DNA here is from genome assembly GCF_000001405.40 of Homo sapiens. Lineage (NCBI taxonomy): Eukaryota > Metazoa > Chordata > Mammalia > Primates > Hominidae > Homo > Homo sapiens. Next base: position 179,105,280 of record NC_000002.12, read on the forward strand.
GTATGATTTTCTTTTACTTGTGTCTATTAACAGGGTTATGTCACACCTTGTCAACCTCAAAACAGATGATACTCATCACTTGTCTTCCATCTTGCTGTTCTATTATCTTCCTACAAAAATAGCTAATTTGTCAGATTTCAAAGCCTTGTTATTTACTGATGAGCTTACCAACTGGACCTTTTGTATCTTCAGTGTGTAATTCTGAAGATGCATTCTGATACACTAGTGAACTGGGGGTGACGGTGAAGGGGTGGTGGAACTAAGGGGGTGGGGCGGCGAACATAGGCAATATGCCATTTCCTCACCATCCCATGCTTGTCATGTGAGACAACAGAAAGGATAAAGAATACTCTATTTTTTATTCTGAAAAGATAATTATAGCAATGATACCTTCCATTCTGTTTATTTCTGGATATTTTGGCTTCAACAATTCTTTATATCATATTTTATTCTTGAAATTGGTATGACTTCTCTGTTTTACAGCCTGAGATAAATTCTCAGATATTTTTTTAACAGTAAATGGCAAAGCCAGATTTTTGAAGCCAAGTATTCAAGCTCCAAACACTTTCCATTATATTCATTACAGTTCTTGTTTTAGCTGGTATGTTCTTTCCTCTACAAGTACTGCCATTATTTATGCTTCTTAGCTAAACCTAGACTTTTCAGTAGCATGTATGAAAGTCAAATAATGTCAAATGGTAAGTTTCTACTTCATTTTATCTCATCAGGGTATTTGTTGCTCTATATACCAGCATAGTATATTTTCTACTCCCAACTGAAGCTTTTCATTTTTAGGACTGAACGTTAACAATAAGTCTACTAATTAGGTTAACTGCTTAGCTATGTTCCAGCCATGTTTTTAATGCTAGAGAATTTTTCCTTTGGGGGCTTAAGCAAAGATATCCTAATCATACAGATCTCACTACTGATGATAATATACTTAATGGTGCTTGTTTCTGCCTGTACCATTCCCTATAGGCTGAAGATGTAAAGGACATTAGCAACCACAGTATGTTTAGTTTTTAGTAGCAACAGTATTTTACTACGGCCTTGTGTACTTTGGGTAGGATGTGAGAAGGGGAGTAGTACATAATAATGCCCAATCTCTATTAGCAAGTAACTTACAATGTAGTAGAGAATTCTGAACTATTTCTTCAAATGTAGACCATAGATTCAGCTAACTTCATAATCACATCATTGGTAACAATGGGTTTAGATCAGAGTATGGTTTACTCATCACTGTTAGTAAGGTAACTTAATTGTCATGCTCACGCTAAGGAGTACGACACTAATAATACCACTCCGTATGTCAGCTAATAAGATAACGAAATAACAAACATGTTAAGACTAGCTAACACATGGGAGCAATAGCCAATGTAAATTTGTATAAAGTGAGAAGTATTCAATCTTCTACCTAACAATGAAGCCTAGACCTGCCATCAATATCCCAGCTGGCAGGCTGAGCAGTTTCATCAACATCACCAATGAGTCACCAGAACTGAACAAAGTGACCAACAATGAGGACTGGGAACAAAGCCAATTTGACCTAAAATGAAGTCATCATTTTTGCATAACTCTGCTGGGTTAGACATGTGCGAAGAACAGATGCCAAACTGCCATTATATATTAAGCTTACACAGGAGCAAACAAATGATAAAAGAAAAAAAAAATCCTCAAACAAACAAAAAAACCCAAAAAAACCAAAACAAAATGAAACTAACCCTGCCAGCGTTTCAATAATTCCCTGAGATGGGCTAAAGGAATGTGGGAGGTTGTGACATATATACCAATTACAAATGAGTGGTTCTTTCAGAGACTTGCAAGCTGATGTTAATTTATGACATAGAAACAGCTTGTGGTTTCAAACACACTGCAGTCACTTTTTTCACACGTTTACCTTAAGTGAGCTTTGACCCTATGGAAGAAAGTTGCTTTAGGGCATTACTGGATTTTCATTCATAACTCTATGTACAGATACACATATGAAAGCAGCAGCAAATTTACAGATGAGGAGCAATGATATTCATTATGTTAAAATCATACTTGGCCTCATGTGAAACACTCAATTTACAAGTAACATTTATGAATCCTGCCTTATTTTACTTTTTGTAGGCAAGATAGCTTAAGGTATATAAAAATTAACTCATTTGGCAATTATAACTCCATGAGTTGATGGCAGAATTACTAACAAACCAGTTCCTTTCTAGCAAAGTCTTAAGAAAAACATTCTAACTACTCTGAAATTCAGAAGAAACAGATATTGAGTATTGATATTTAGTTATTGAGTATAACTAAATATCTAAAGTAGTTAGTATCTAAGAATCTAAGAATAGATTCACTTGTAAGTCAGTTCTAACTTTAAAAAAGTATGTTTAAAACATACTTCAGACTGCAATGTAACAGGGATTATTACTAATGCCTATAATACAGCATTCATATTTAGGAGGAATGGGCATCTGTTATGCATGAGCAAGACTGGGAATAGGAGAAGACAAGATTCCTTCCCTCAAAAGAGCTTACTGGGTACAGACATAAACAACTGTAGAATGTGATAGCACCATCATGAAGACTGAAATAAATAATCACAAAAGTTCATACTCATAGCAGTAAAGCCCCAAAGGACTGAGAAGATGATTCAAGTATAGAAAGAACTTCCTGGATGTTCTCAGAAGCAGTGACCACATAAGACAAGAGGGAGCAGTTGAACTTTGCCCTGAACTTCCTGGCATGTTTGACTAGGAAAAAAGGCTGCACCATTAACCTAAATTGTTCCAGGAGGAAAAGGTGATAAATATTGTCAATCTTTAATCAAGGTTGAAATGTCAACTAGGCAATTAAAAAGAAGTACAAGTCTAGATTTCTGGACCAGGTATGTAATCCAGAACATTGGTATAAAATAAAAACTCTAAGGATGAGATACCGAGAAAAGAGCCAAAAGCATTCTGAGGACAGGATCTGAGAGAGCACATGTTCAGCAGGCACATCTTAAATTAGGGTTATGCGACTGTACTCACAGTTATTTCAGAGGATAGCATCTTCAAGGAAGGAGACACTGTCTAGGAAAGGTTGCTCAATGGTGTAAATGTTGCAGAGAAAAGGGTAAGGGATTCAGACGGAGAAAAAAACCATTCAGTTTGGTAACTGGGAGGCCATTGCTGACTTTCAAAAGAACAGTTTCAGTAGAGTGCTGTGTAAAACCAGACTGCAAGGTGCTGAGTAGTGAGTGATGAGGATGTAGGGGCACTGGATGTGGATTTCTCCAAGAAGTCTGTCAGTCAGTGAAGAAGGCTGGAAAAACTAGCAGGTTAAAAGGGAGGGGTTTTTTTTTTGCATTGGAAGATACACGAGCATGTTTGTAGACCTCAAAAAGGAACCAGTATACAACTCGTTTATAATTTTGTAATGACTACAAGACTAAAAAATAATTTTTAATATTTTAAAAAATGTTCTGAAATAAAAATACATAAAATTTAAATTATATGCATTTTACCATTTAAACTTAATACAAACTTAAAAGAACTAGCATTTCATGATAAATTTTATTTCTAAAGGGGTCATACAGTTCTGTTATTGGACTACTTCAGAATTTATTTTGCTTTTAGACTATAATGAGAAACTAAATTTTATTAACAATTGCTATTTTAGTTCCTGAAAGATTACTCTGATATAAAGGATTACACTGAAGTAATTATGTATGCCTTCTTCCTCAGCCCTCCTCCCCTAAAGACAAAGTATCTTCAGGGTAGTTAATAATTTTGAGAATATTTTTCAAGTTGAAAAAGAGAAAAATTAGAAATAGTATTCCATTATTAATAAGTTCTTAAAGATCTAAATTGTTCACAATAATTTTTCATGATAAAACATGCTTATTTATTATATACACATGCTTACATATGTATTTCCTGTCTAAAATACATGCAACCACCATGAAAAAACAAATATTAAACCATCCTCACAGTCCTAAGAATGCCCTTTTAAATAAGGCACTCATGTTTGGAAATAGGATGTAACTACTAAATTAAATAAGATGTTTAAAGAAGTCTTTTATTAAGCACAAACAACTTTTAATACATTATCAATACAAATAGGAAAAGGTCTTTTAATGACTATGATATATCAAAGATCTGAAAGGCTTTCTCTGTATTGACACAATAAAAATAATCAATTCTGAAGAATTACAAAGTAAAATTTTGAGGACACCACTGTCTACTAACAAGAGTTTAACTACTGTCTAAATTTACTAAATCACCTGTGGAGGAAGGGCAACTTTTTTTTTTCTTTTTAATAGAGAGAATTCCTACTCTTATTAGCACCATTCAAAGCTTATTATCAGTTGTTTGTCTACAAACTGACAGGTCAGGTAAAGCTTTAAAGCAAGTTTTCAGTGCAATGTTTATAGTTCCTTCTTTTAAGATACTTGGAATCTACAGCCTCGAAGCATGTTAAGTAATTATGCCTTGGTAGTAGCAAGGTGTTAACATGTAAAGAGAAATGTGTCATGAAAAGAAATGAGACTTATTTTGGCTGTGAAATGCATCTTAAGGTGTGGTGGCTAATGCTGTAGTATGTTGACAACATGCGGGATTATGAACTGCAAATCTGTAGGTAGCTGGTAGCTATTAGCTCTCTGTGGTCACCATTTCAGGATGTCTCAGCTGCTGCCTTTTGAGATTAACTAGTTTCATCCTGTCTCTGATGTTTTCTGCAGTAGAAGCCATGTCACTTGGACTCCCAAAATATTGTTCGGTTCTAAAAATCAAAACACACAGAAAAACCTCAGATTAATACAAATCTATTAACTGCAGTGAATACAAATAGAAGCAAAAATTTACCATAAAAAATCTACATGAGATAGCCTATGTGTAAATATCAGTTCATCGGTGATCATACTGTTTGAGCAGGAAATTCAGCAGGAAAAACATTTTTTAAAATGGCATAAAATACATTAAGACATGATGAGAAAAATATATTGATGGTATAAAGGTTATATCATGTGTAGTTATGATAATAGCAACAAATTGAACAATGAAACACTGGAAATATGTGGGTCCAGAAGGATGCACAAACATAAAATTTATACAGGTACTTGAGTGCTACCGGCTGGGGACACCACTTGTCTATAGAGCTGGCAAGCAAAATAAATATTCTTTTTAATGTTATGACATTTTTTGGTACATTAACAGATAAAATTATTAATTTTATTCTACTCTCAAAGATACTGTATTCAGAATCACAGAATATTTTTAGAGCTGGAAGATTTCTTAGAAATTATCAGGTTAATCTCTTTATTTTTCAGATCAGAAAAGTGGAGCCTAGCAAGTTAAATGATGTAAGCAAGGTCACCCAGGGAAAAACCAGAATTTGAACCTAGGTCTTTGAGCAGTGAATCCAGAGAGACCATCAATCTCTTTTATTTTACCAGGAGAAGGTATAAAAGAGAAATCTGTCTAACCTGTCAAACAAACTATACATGGCATAAACAGATTACCATTATATTAATAATTATGGAAAACACTACACACAACTTTGGGAAATATTTAATTCAGCAAAATACCTAAAAGAGATATACATAAGTTTTAATATGAATATAAAGTGGAATAAAACAGCAATTCCAAAATATTAAAGGTGGGTGTGAACTTTGAATATATAGTACTAACATTCTTTTATCTTAAAAGGATGGATGAGGAAATGACACATGGACTATCTGTGAAACACAGACGAGAAGCTGAAGCAAGCATACCAGGGAGAGGTGTTCCTAGGCTGACATGGGTAGAACAGGAGACTGACTGTGTGACAACTGGCTGTGAAATGTAGGAATCAGGGAGGGTAAGGGATCCTGGAATGGAACAACCAGAAGCACGCCTGTAATTCTGCTACTAGCTGAATTTTGTTGTCTTTTATTGCAGATGTGTAATACAACTTTAGGTGACTTTAGGCTACCTCTGATTGTTCAAGTTTAGGTGGGGCTTGAGATAACGTAAGTATAGACTATGAATAATATTATTTCAAGGGAATAAAATGCCATCTTTTCAATATCAATCCCAAATAATCACTGGAAGATCATGGCACAGTAGTAGCAGTGCTTATTATGTGTCAGATCTGTTTTAAGTACTTTATACTTATTTAGCTCAGGTAATTCCCACACCCCCATAACCTGAGGAAGGTATGAGTGTTACATGGCAGTTTTTAGATGAGGGAATTGAGGCACAAAGGTTAAGTGGCTTGCCCAAGGTGTTACAGTGAGTAAGTGGTAGAGCTGAGACCTCTGGCTCCAGAGTGCACAGACTCATCACACTATACCACAACGTTAAAGGTACTTGTATTTTTATTTACTGGTTTGGTTACTCTATCATTTGAATTAAATATCCTCTGGATTATCTCTAAATTATTTTCAGTAAGAATCAGGTCTAAATCACCAGGGATGAAGCTCCTCCTGATTCTTTTTTTTTTTTTTTTTTGAGACGGAGTCTTGCTCTGTCACCCAGGCTGGAGCGCAGTGGCGTGATCTCGGCTCACTGCAAGCTCCGCCTCCCAGGTTCATGCCATTTTCCTGCCTCAGCCTCCCGAGTAGCTGGGACTACAGGCACCCGCCACCACGCCCAGCTAATTTTTTGTCTTTTTAGTAGAGATGGGTTTTCACCGTGTTAGCCAGGATGGTCTCCATCTCCTGACCTTGTGATCCGCCCGCTTTGGCCTCCCAAACTGCTGGGATTACAGGCGTGAGCCACCACGCCCGGCTGAAGCTCTTCCTGATTCTTTTCCTGATCCATTTATTTTGCATCAGATTATTTCATATTTTTATCACTATTTGAAATGGAAAGGTGTAAGATAATCAGGACCCCATTCCTTCACACATAAAGAAATTAGAACGCCATATAACACAGTACAAAGGGAATGGGTTTGGAGCCACACAGACATACCTGAGATTGTAAGTTTATGCTAACTCTTAGAAGCTGTGAAATCCTGAGAGCCTTACTTAATCTCTGTGGGCCTCAGTTTCTTCATTTGTAAATCAGGAATAATCATACTGGTTTGGTCCTCTTTGGTCAAAAGTAATGAAGGTGAAATGTTTCACTTGGTACTTGGCATATATTGTGAACTCACTAAACATCAATCCCTTGTCCCCTCTTCCTTTTCCTGAATGAAGCCCCAAGTCACACTATTCCCCACCATCATAGCCAAGGCTAGAACCCAGTGTCTTAATCTAGTCAATGATCATTCTACAACAAGCTGTCAAGAAGTAACGCATCTGTTGTTGGCAAGTACCATTACTGTGGCTAAGAGGTGTGGATTTCTTTTCATTTTAAACTAATTCATCGTAGGAGTTAAAGATGTGGACCAAACCTAATTTACTTGGCTTTTTAAAGAATAGATTTCCTCTTTTAATGATTTCACTTTAAGACCACACCAATAAAAAATAAAATTATAAGAACATGCCCCATACCCATCAGGATAAACTACTGGAACAGTTAATCTATCCAAAAGTGATTTCCCAACTGCTTCAATTTCATCAAATTGCTCCTCATCATTAATAGCTTCAGGCTCTTCTGGACAGTCCTGCAAAATCTGCAACAAATAAAAGAGCAACATCAATCAAGAGACACAGACAGGTCTGCAGTTTCAGAGGATCACCCCACCCCACAAAAAAAAAGAGAGAAAAGAAAGACACAGAAATGGAATCAAGCTCATACAAATTTGGTAGATTAAAGGCATTTTCTTGTTCTTAGCATCTTCAGGTATACCACTATATAAGATTGATCTATTATTGGCAAAATTCTTCAAGAAATTCAAACAAACAAAATGAAATACATAATTCCTACTAACAATATGGTGATTTCCAAGAAAGAAAATAACTAGACTACTATTTGGAAAATAAGTTCAATCTGTCCTTAAGAAGTATTCTTTCATTTATATTAAGTAACCATTTATTGAACAGTTTATGTTTATGTAGCAGTCTGGAAGGTGAAGGAGGTATAGACTGTGTTCTCAAAGAGCATATAGACATTACAAATGAAAAATTATATAAATAAAAAACAACAAAGAGTACAAATAAATAACTGATGTGACAACTCAGCTAGATGATAATATTTAACAACTGATCTGCTGGCTTGAGTTAACTGCCATAAAATGATTAGGTTATAATTCAAATATGGTAATCTCTATAGTCCTTGATGAGATACTGTTCTTCACTCCACCCTAACCATTACCATTTAAATTAAACCACAAGAACTGCAAAATTTGAGAGAGAGAATAAAAAGTATTCATTTTTACAACTTTTTTTTGCATTACACTTTATCTAATCATGTTTACTTCAGCATTACTCATGAACGGACATTTTTGTATTTTAAAACTCAAGATTTAATTTAGATATTTTTCTAATCATTATACTATACAATTTGCTTATAGTTGTGGTTATTTATATTTATGCTTATGGTATAAAATAGAATACAGTCAAGAGGAAAGTAATATCTGATAACAAAGGGCTTTACTTAGGTTTGTACAACAAGCTCCAGGAGGTGGAGCCTGCAGTGAGCTGAGATCATGCCACTGCACTCCAGCCTGGGCAACAGAGTGAGACTCTGTCTCAAAAAAAAAAAAAAAAGTTATCAGTGGTGCTAGACATTGGGCCAATTGTCACCCTTTGACAGTGAGGTGATTGGGGGAGCAGTACTGTGATTACACAGGGTGGGGGGAGCTTCTGGGTGCTGGTAATGTTCTGTTTTTTTTGAACAGTACACTGAGTACACAGGTGTGTTCACTTTATGAAATCTCACTGCACAGAATACTTGTGGTATGTTTTCTATGTTAATAGTATACTTCATAATAATAAAAAATTCTCATTGAAACAATCAGTAGATAAACAAGTTACACTATTTTGTATACTTCCACTTATCATCATTAGGCCCATGTTAATCAAACACTGATCTACGGAGTTCAATGACCAGCTGAGAATGAGTTAACTATGGACCCTTCCCAACAGATGTACTTCATAACTCAGATAGAAACTTTAATTCCTGAGGTTCCTTGCAACATCTGTTCCATGGATCAAGTTAGGTTTGCTAATATCTCAAAGTGTATCGAACATTCCCTACATATAAACTTTTATTGTAAGAGATCAAAACAAAATTAACTACATAATAAAGTTCCTTTTCAGAATGGATATGTAAGGCTTGGGTAGAATAAATTCTTACTATGAAGAGTAAGAAAAAAGTTCTATTGAAAATGTGTCCAAATAACCCTGCATATTTTATTTTTTGTTTCTGAAATTAATGACCTTAATTCATTGAATAATAAATTCTAGAATGAATCTTTAAAGAACACATATAAAAAAGCATTTTACTTTTGTCCTTATTCTTATTTTTTTAATGTCCCGACTTTATAAAATCACAAGGTGCCTTTTAAAAAATGTGTGACAATTAATAGCAGTTGCCAAAGCAAAAAGTTTCCCTTCCAGGCATAACGAAAGAGATTGAACTCATGATACTCTAAAGAACAGAGGGCATATTCTGGACACCAGGCTTGGTGAGGAGAGAAGTGTAAAGAGAAGAAGACTACCAGGTGGTTCTGGATTTCTCCAATCATGGCTCTCCAGCACTGGTAAGGATTAAGGAAATTTAATTTGAACTCTCTAAGGCAATGTATTATATCTAAACAAACCGTAACAACGGAACTAATATAAATATTGAAAAATAGATTAGTCATATAGTTACATTACTAAAATTAACATATTTTAAACACATATAATCAATACCACTGAGAATAACATTTCAAAAACACAAGCAAACCTTTTCAGCATTTGAGTGAAATGCAATAGCCATTTCCAATCTATGTACTCTCTCTTCAGATGCTATTGTAAATTGTTTCCATACTCTGTTCAGTCGAGGAAGTGTATCCCCAGATGACCGAGAAGTGCAGCGCAAAGATTGGCATAACACAACTGTGGCCTGTAGCAACTGCCTGCCATAGTCATAAGTGCTCTAAAAAAGAAAAGGAAACATAAAATTGTAATAAAAGAATTCTTAAGAGAAGGATGGGGAAAGTGTGCAGGAAGATTGTCGTTACAGTTAAGTGACACTACTAGAAATCAATACTGAATAAATCTAGTGGCACTTATTACTACAAATCATCTGTGTGTATAAGTAATAAAGGGGAAGCTATGTTTTTGTTAGTTTATAATAAGTTTCATGGCCAGGCACAGTGATTCATGCCTGTAATCCCAGCACTTTGGGAGGCTGAGGTGGGTGGATTGCTTGAAGTTAGGAGTTCAAGACCAGCCTGGCCAACATAGCAAGATCCTATCTCTAAAAAAATGAAAAAAATTAGTTGAGTTTGGCCACACTTGCCTGTAGTCCTAGCTACCTTGGAGGCTGAGGCAGGAGGATCACTTCAGCCCAGGAGTTTGAGGATGCAGTGCGCTATGATTGTGCTGAAACATCATATCCTAATTGACAGAGCAAGGCCTTGTCTCAAAAAAACAAAAATTGTTTTAAAATTTTTAATTAGAAAAAAGTCTCCTTCTGTTAGGCTTCCCCACTTTATTCTGTTTCCCCCATCGCAGTCTGCTTAAATTTCACTGGCCAGAAAGAATGTCTGCTTATGAATTAATCAAAACTACTTTCAAAAGTAGGTGAAATTAGGCACTTTATATTCCATATAGGAAACTACATCTGTTAAAACGTGAACTCATTATTAGGGAAAATAAGATACTTTTTGGCTTGGCGCGGTGGCTCACTCCTGTAATCCCAGCACTTTGGGAGGCCGAGGCGGGTGGATCGCTTGAGGTCAGGAGTTTAAGACCAGCCTGGCCAACATGGTGAAACCCCATCTCTACTAAAAAGACAAAAACTAGCCAGGCGTGGTGGCCGGTGCCTGTAATCCCAGCTACGCAGGTGGCTGAGGCATGAGAATCGCCTGAACCTGGGAGGCAGAGGTTGCAGTGAGCTGAGATTGCATCATTGCAGTCCAGCCTGGGCAACAGAGGAAGACTGTGTCTTAAAAAAAAAAAAAAAGACACTTTTCACCACAAAAAAGTTCTGTATTATTATGCTAACACTAGTGTGATGCAGAAAGTGAGGTTTCTTATTTACTGATATTAACATCCATTTCATATTAACTTCTGTGGATGAACAGTTGGATTGCCTTAAAAATGCCGTAATACATAGCATAAATCAGAGGGACCATGCAGAACATGTATTCAGGGAAACGTAAACCCTCTCAAGTTTATGCAGGCTAGTTTTGATGCACCAGCTGACATTTTCTTAATTCTGTGACACTTCTGGAATAACAAAACTAACCTTCTTGTACTTGGAAGGTAAAGTTACATTATAATCATGCAGAAAGCTATTCAAACACTGAGCTTGTGGAAAAGGAAGATAACCAGTTTTGCACCTGTGCAACATCAACAAATTTTCTATGCTTTTCCAGCAAAACTTTCGTTTCTTGAGCATCATCGCCCAATCTGATGTGAGTCTTAAGCAGAGCATCCAGAAGTTCACTTAGCCATTCTACTGCCTAAACAAAAAGACATAACAATGAAGCTGGATTCAGAACTCTTTACTTATTGTATCAAAATGTCATTTATACAGAGATTACTATCATGTGATTAATAAATCCGTTAATTATAACCTAAAGTCTTAAAAGCTTATTTCATTCAATGATAAGCTACATGAATTAATGACCTGTCCTACTCCTCAAAATTCTTTAAATCTGAAGGCAAGACATACTGAAGAAAAGCATTCTTTTAAAATTAATATCACATAATAAAAGATCATGTATTTCTGTATGTAGATCCATCAGGATTGCATTACAGATTTGTGTTACTACATAAAATCAAAAATTTTATCTATATCTAACTGAAATGATGTTCTCTGATGATAACGACAAAATATATCAAATTGTTTATCTGGTATTGAAATTTCTCTTGCAGATGCAAGAGAGCAAAATGCAGTGTGCTCCACCAGATTTTATCCTGGATGTAACTGACAACCTAATCAACAATAATAAATAATAAACGATCCCAATCTCTAGCTCAATAGAGGATTATAGAGGATTTCATTGAGAAAATTAAGTTAAATGAGATCAATCAACTAGCTGGGAATACCAAAGTGTATTCTTCAACAAGATAGATAAACTAGAACCTGACTTCAAGAATTTACTTTTTTAGGACCATGAAAAGTACACTTTTGTTTGTAGTTAGATAAAATCAATCTTCTAAGAAAAGTTAACTACATAATGTAGCTGACTGCTCCTTACCTGGGCAGCATCTTCTTCACATTTAAACAACTGCACCATCTGAAGCATCTTTAACCTTCGCACATCTACCATGTCTTCACATCTAATGAACCCAAACATAAATTTAACTCATCATTTCTGTTTTATTGATTACTATTGTAACATCATCATTTGGTACATGTATTTTATAGTACACTAAAATACTTAGTCCTAAACAATGGAGAATGCAAGTATTTTGTATTGATTTGTAAGAATTTTAGGGATATTTATATCAATGTTACATCAAAACATCAAAATACCCAAATGATACTCAATGACAAACCCTCTTAAAGATAGCATGGATTCTGCAAAATATTAAAGCAAAATGTAAGGACAATAGTACACTAAAACCCAAAAAAAATCTCCATTGCTGTTTAGCATCAAACAAGTTTCAAGGATAAAAGTGTAATGTTTCTCAAATACAGGATGATATTTTTTTGAGACAAGGTCTCACTCAAGCACCTAGGCTGGAGTGCAGTGGTACCATCATAGCTCACTATAACCTCAAACTCCTGGGCTTAAATGATCTTCACATCCCAGCCTCCCAAGTAGCTAAGACTACAGGTGTGCATCACTATGCCCAGCTAAAGAAACATTTAAACATTAACGCTTTTCATTATATTATAGTACCTAAAATAATATTTAATTCTGATTTTTTTTAAAACCCTCCATCTACATTCTTAAAAACTAGATGGAGGGCTTAAAAAAACAAAAAAACTCTACTGACCTCTGGGTGTAGAGAAACACAATTCAAATTATTTTTTTAATCTCATTGTGGTCTTTTTGGATAATATAACCATTTAAATTTTTAAGGCAACTTAACCTAACTTAACTCTGGTCCATTTCCTTCATTTCCATGAAATTCTGCGTACTGCAGGTGGGATGGGGGACTCCCACTGCAGTCTCAAATACCGATAATATGTTACCAGACACTGTGCTCTACTATACTTGATGTCCTTAAAGAAAGCTTAATAACAATATAGAAGTAGGTATCACAAGGCTTTTTTTTAAAAAAAAATAAAGATGCTCTGAATAAAAGCTATAACATGACATTAAAATTCAACTTGGTTAAAGTAATTCTACAATGGACTGAAGGGAAGTGATAATTATTTTTTAAATATGAAACTAAAAAACAATGTAGGCCACTTTGATGAAGATGGTATCATACATATACTGTATTCAGGTATTAGATAATGTGTGCTGGGGAAAATATAAGATATGGTCTCTACTATCAAGATGCTCCCATTTGCAGAGATGTTATAAGTACTATTATAAAGCTATTTAAAATGTTTTATGAGAGTAGGGAGGAGCAAGTGACTAACTTGCCTTAGAAGTCCAAAAAGGCTTCCTAAAGTAAAGTAAGTATCCCTGAGTCTTGAAGAGTAAGTAGGAATTCACTGAGCAGAAAACAAGGAAACAAGTATTCTTAGTCATGGATGCATGAAACAGCATGATGCTTTCAGGGAGATAAAAACAACTGTGTGATTTTATGGGAATGTTATAGAAGATAAAATTATGCAAGAATTGGATTATGAAGGGTCTCCTACATTATTCCAAGAAGACAAACTCCATCTGAGCAAACAGGAAGTCACTGAAGGAAGTTTTACACAATTGTTGTACTTTATGAAAATTACACTTATATACAAAAAGCTGGAGAGTAGCCAGGCCAGAGGCAGATAAGAGTTTAAGATCTTGACCATAAATGTTTGAGATTCAGAGACAGCAGAACCTGGACATTTGATTAAGCTATAAGGGATGAGAAAGATGAAGGATTTTAGGATAAATCTCAAGTTTGGTAGCTGATGGTAACTTTAACCTAGGCAGGAAATTAAAAAAGGAGAGCAAGTTTTAGAGGAAAATGATTCCAGTCTGGACATACTAGGTGATCTGGTTTGGATCTGGGTTTTGGATTTGTGTCCCCACTTAAATCTAACATCAAAGTGTAATCCCAATATTGGAGGAGGAGCCTGGTGGGATGTGATTAGATGCCTCCCCTTCCACCACGATTCTGTTTCCTGAGGCCTCTCCAGCCCTGCAAAGCTGTGAGTCAATTAAACTTCTTTCCTTTATAAATTATCCTGTCTTAGGTATAGCAGCGTGAGAATGGACTAATAAATACAAGGGGCCTGGTGGGAGATGACTGGATCATGGGGGCACATATCCCCCTTGCTGTTTTCATGTCAGTAAGTGAGTTCTCATGAGATCTGGTTGTTTAAAAGTGTGCCGCACCTCCCCCTTCACTCTTTTCCTCTTTCTCCATCCAAGTAAGATGTGTCTGTTTCCCCTTCACCTTCCATCATGAGTGGAAGTTTCCTGAGGTTTCCCCAGCCATACTTCCTGTACAGCCTGTGGGACTGTGAGCCCATTAAGCCTCTTTTCTTTAAAAATTACCCAGTCTCGGCCGGGTGCGGTGGCTCACGCCTGTGATCCCAGCACCTTGGGAAGCCAAAGTGGGCGGATCACGAGGTCAGGAGTTTGAAACCAGCCTGGCTGACATGGTGAAACACCGTCTCTACTAAAAATACAAAAATTAGCCGGGTGCAGTGGCACCCGCCTATAGTCCCAGCTACTCGGAAGGCTGAGGCAGAAGAATCGCTTGAACCCAGGAGGTGGATGTTGCAGTGAGCCTTGATCATACCACTGCACTCCAGCCTAGTGACAGAGCGAGACTCTGTTTCAAAAAAAAAAGAAAAGAAAAGAAAAATTACCCAGTCTCAGGTAGTTTTTTATAGCAATGCAAGAATGGACTAATACACTAGATTTCAGCAGTACATGGGGCATCCCGCAGGCGACACTAAGTAGGCAATTGGAATTATGGGTCTACAGCACGGGAGAGCTGTAACTACTAAACCATGATCTATTAAAGAAAGTAATTCAAGTAGTGAGAATGTCCAGGGAGAATATATAAAGAAGGGAATCTGGCCTCAGAACAAACCCTGGAAGCAGTAACTTTAGCTAGTGGCCAAGAAATCAGTGACAAAAACCAAGAAGAAACAGAGAAGGATCATAAATGTGTTTTCAAGAAAGATGAAATCGAAAAGTCAGTTGTGCCTAACGCTAATCACAGTTAAGCAAGTCAAGACTAAAAGTATTCTCTGAACTTTAAGTAAGATACAGCATTTATTACGTTGGTAATGCTGGTAAGAGCAACACTGAATGAAATAGTTAGGGTAGAAGTCAGACTGAAAAGAGTTGAAAATAAATTGGAGGTAGTGGGGGAAGTAGTATGAATGTACCGTAAACCTATCCAAATGACTTAGCTGTGAGGAAGAGTTCTAATGCTAAAAGACAAAGAGTTGAAGAGGAAGACGTACCCATATGTGTGATTATTATTTTTAAAACAGGAGAAATTTAAGCATTTAAGTGAGGGCAGGAACCAGAGTAGAGAATGGGATTTGATGGAGTTAGGAGTCAGGAGGGTGATCAGAATCAGAGCCTAAATGGAAGCTCAGCTTTGATATTTTTTGATATAAACGGAGAGCTCTATCATCCTCTGTGGTGACAGAATAAAAGTAAGTTTGCAGATATGAGGGAAGAAATTTCTGCCTCATGACTGTTTTCTCTGTGATGCAGAAGGAAGCTTTCTGTGAAGTTTTGTTGATGATCATAAAATTTTTAAGTGTGCAAAATTTCATATAACCATGCTAGATTGTGTATATTGCATAATTTTAATCCTTTACTTTGCAATACTTTGTAGTTGCTATTGCAAACTGAGTTTTCAAAGAATCTTTTGAATTCCTAGTTTTATAGAAAATGAAACTAAACATCACTAGTCCACTGTTTAATCCTCCTACAGCAAATATGAGAACAATGAATGTGTGACATTCTGTAAGTTTAGATGAAGAAACAGATCAATGTAGATGACAAGTTTAATGGCAACTCTAAACTAAATGAAATTTAAAAAGCAAAATTATTCTTCAGTAAGTTTTTTTTAAAGCAGAAGAGTCATAGACTACACTGGGGATATGGAATTTGAAATAGTTGAGTATAATTGAAATTTTTACAACCCAATAAAAAGGAAAATGGTACCTAATAATTGAATAAATTATTACTATGTTAGTAAAATTATATACAGTAATTATCACATTCACCAAAAACCTACTACATGTCTTCTATATAACAGTTAAGAACGTTTTGTCTGTATATAAAATGTTATATAACTTCATTTTAACTAATATTGTTATTATTTTAGTAAAAAGTAATTAACGGTCAAACTTTGCCTTTGTTTTCTAAGCTGCATATCTTCCATCACTCCTTGTATGTGGTCCACATTTTCTTTATTTTCAATGGTTACATCCTTTCCATAGGCCCAGGATGCCTGATTGGAGATCTGATCCAGGAGACCTTGACCTTTTTCACGCAAACCTTGCAATCCCACATCTAAAACAAAAGTTACTAGATTTAATCTCTTACACAACTAAGGCGCTTTCCCTCCCTCAAACAAATCGTCTCATCAGATATTGTACCTGGATCCCAAGTATAGGAGCTTTGTACAGTAAACCACCTTGGGATGGAATCCCAAGACTCCATCCTATGAACATTTCAAGCAATAAAACCCTTTAAATGTAACTCGAATTGGAGCTCTCTCTCATGCCAAATTCTCCCTAAAGGGAATTTTGAAAACATGGGTTTCCATAGACAATAATTACTTTTAAAAAATGAAAGCAGAAGAAAAATATGAAAATTCCTATTTCTAATAGAAAACAATTTTCTGTTTTTTCTTCCTGCTTTTATGCTGTCCAACTTATAGGAGAACAAGGCAAACATGTTGTTTAAAAAAGCGCATAAGCCTTGCAAAATTTTAAGACACTCCAGCAATGTATCATCAATGTCAAAGGATGTTGAACATTGTGACTAAAGATACAGTCTAGCTTCTATACCATAGGAAGCAACAATTAGGGTATATTTACAATTCTCCAAATTACATGTGTAAAGGAACTTTTTTTTTTTAAACAAAGACTGTGGCTCAAGAAAACTAATATTTTAAAAGAAAATTCATTTGTCATATTAAACACTAAATATGTATTATGCATACCATCTGTTAAAATAACAGAGGCTGGCCAGGTGCGCTGGCTCATGCCTGTAATCCCAGCACTTTGGGAGGCTGAGGTGGGCAGATCACCAGAGGTCAGGAGCTCGAGACCAGCCTGGCCAACATGGCAAAACCCCATGTCTACTATAACTACCAATACAAAAATTAGCCGGGCGTGGTGGCAGGTGCCTGTAATCCCAGCTACTTAGGAAGCTGAGGCAGGAGAATCACTTGAATCGGGGAGGCAGAGGTTGCAGTGAGCCAAGATGGCACCACTGCACTCCAGCCTGGGCAACACAGCAAGACTCCATCTCAAAAAAATAAAATAACAAAGGCTGTAAGCAAGTAAAATGTCAGTACAAGTGTGATTTTTCAAACCAATTCCCTAAGGCAGTTTTCAATAATTTGGTTTAGTCATGTGCAACCACTTTTTACTAGTTCTCTGCCTTAAGTTCCTGTTTCCTCTCTTCCATTGCCATTTCCCCTTTTGTCCCCCCTTGATACGACTCCCCACCTTCCCATTGTCACATCCTGACCTTTTAGGAAAGTTCACTGTGCTTCCTGCTGTAGAAAAATTCTAAAGGCCTTGATGTCAAATGACATCAAGCCTACATCAGCTTAATGTAACTGGACCCCTTAATGTAAATGTACCCCACTCCTTGGAGAATGGGTAATCTGACAATATTCCCAGTTTGGTGAGACAAGAACCAAAAAACCAAACCAACTATTTTTTCACAAGGTTAGGATAAAGCAACAACAAAAATCATTGCATAAAACACAATTTTGGGCATACAGGATTTACCACAGAACATTTCACAGCTAATTACAGTTCATGCATGCACTACAAATAATTGTTCATAGTATATGCAAGACACAGCACCTGTAGATATAGCTGGGTAAACAGGCAAGGGTAAAGGCCCAGTGAAGGGAGGAGTGACTAACTAACGATGAAAAATAAAATTTTCAGCATAAATTATAACCCCTCAAGGGAATAAAATCTTTTTATACTATTTTTCTGTTTCCTGAAAATAATACTAATTAGTTCAGTGTAAGTTGACTTAATTGTCTAACCATGGTAATGATATTTAAAAAAAAAAAAACCTTATGTTTCAGCATTTTTAAAATCTGCTTACCAACACTTTTCAGCTTCTCTTCAAGCAGTTTTAAAGTTTGCTGAATCGATGCTCCATCAGCTGGTGCTACATCTACGCACAACATCCCTAATAAGCCATCCAACTGCTGAGACAACTAAAGCAGAGGGACACCAAAGAGATAACCCTGATGTAATCAGCATCTAAAGTGTTTAATGATTAATGAGGTTTATATCTAATGAGGTTATCACAATTACACTTGAAAAGACTACACTGTTACAAGACAAGGACGAATCATTAGAATATGCATTATCTGGAAGACAGAACACACAGATGCATGCACCAGGAAGACAAAGAAGTACATTCAGGTCAGCAGAATGCAAAAAAGTATTGAGACTTCCATTTCCATCTAAGTTATAAAGCATAAACATTGAGAAGGAGTCAAAATAAAATATTCTACTAGATTGGAACACTCTAGTTAGACAATAAAAGGTTGAATTGCATGCAGAATGACTTAAAAAATACTTGTTTTTAAAAAAAATCAAAGAATTTTATCTCATTACCCCCACCAGTAATTCATTTTATTGGTTCAGAAAAATAATTTAGGAGGCATGCAAACCTGAAAAAAATTACGTGTAGGTAAGTGTTCAGATAATTTGAAGAAAAGAAAAGAATCAGAATAGACACTTACATCTTGGGCAACACCATGAAATTCAAGAGCTGCTTGTAAGAGATTTTGCCTAAATTCCAGCTGACTGGCCTGTCGATAACAAACATCACTAAGTTGTTGCTGCAGTGACTTTAGTTCCACAAGATCTTCCTCATCGCCAGCATTCAAGAGTGCTGCAATTTGCTGATTAAGTTCCACATACACTGCAAACCATTCCTGTAATCAAGATGTTACAAAGTAAACTAAGGCTCAAATTAGTTCCTGGAAGAGATTACATTTTATAATTTCTCCAGATAAACTAAGTAATACATGATTTTTTTTTTCTAAGGCAAAATTATTAAAATTGAGGGTGGAAAGTTCCTAATCCTGTGATCCCTGGAACTCAATCCCTGACCTCTAAATGTTCTCTTCTCTTCCTTGCTCTAAGTGAAACCTGTCCGCCCTCAGTCACCCCTGCAGCCTTCTCAACTGATTACTGTTTCCATGTCTGACATACTGCAAGCCTGAAGGTGGGTTTGGGTGCCTCGTTCCTCACTACTTGCAGACCATTTATTTTCCCTCTTCTTTCAAAAAACCGTATCCCCTTTGAAGTGCATGCTGTTAGATTACATCTTTTCAGCTTTCTGTGTGGTATCACCTCATCCACAGAAGGGTTTAGCAAAGGTCACACTGCCTTCCTCTCAGCATCAGCCTTCTTAGTGACTTCCACTACATAGGCACCCACCACCATCCTGAACCTCCAGTTCCTTGACTCCCTCCCTCACCTCCAACTAACTTGTCCTCACCTCAACTCAGCTACCTCTTCCACTGGCCATAAAAACGTGTCATCATATACTACTATGTAGCTCCAAAAATCTGTTTCATGAAACCCATTTTCTGACCACCTATTGACTCTCCCATTCACCTCTGTTTGTAGGCTCACACCTACAATCCCATGGAATCCACCAATCTACTGACCTCTCTACCATCCAGCACATGAGAACCTCTGTCCTCACTTCCATCCTTGATCAAAGGCTATAACCACCTCCCAGCATATAACCCATGCCCCTGCCTGGCTTTCTTTCCTTCCATCAGAATGACCTGTTGAAACCTGAGATCTGTTTTCTCTGCCTAATGTGTGCCTGTACCAGAGTAGCCGAACATGGGTAGACTAAAAACAACTAGGTGGATAGCGCTCTCTCTCTTTTCCCTCACATCAGAAGGGTAACGTGCTGATGTTGTTACAAGGCTTAGAGGGAGACACATCTCAGATGAGTGTGAGCACCCATCATCATGCTTATAAACTACAAAAGGATTGACAGATCTCTTTTTAAAGTTATGACTAAATAATCTCAAATGAGTCTTTGGCAATCCTTTTATGTTTCTCTAGTAAATTCACTTTCTCATTCTCATGATCATTTATGTTTTTTTCACTATCAGTCTCCAATTCCCTTTTCACTTCTTCATTCTCAGCCAAAGATCTTAATTCACTGGGAAGTAATCGGAAAACTCTTTCATCTTCCCACCAACAAATCCCCAACCCTCCGTTCTTCTACAGCCCTATGCTCTGCCCTCAGAGCTGTAATAATCAGCCGCCTGTCTCTTCTTCTAAGGCCAACCACTCCACTTGTGCATTACAGCCTATCTCTGTTGCCTACACAAAGCTTTGCTCTCACAGTTATCTTCTCTGTCTCCCATCAGTTCTTCTGTCTCAACTGGATTATTTCCACCAGCATATAAATAAGCTGTAATTTATTAAACAATAAAATACACATTTAAGATTTGTGCATTTTACTACGCTGAAATTAAACCTCAGTTAAAAAAAATTTTTTTCTTAAAGGAGTTCTCTGTATTTACTCTTTTCTCATTTTTCATTCTTTTTTTAATCCATTCCAATCAGGATTTTGTTTTCCCACCCTTCTGAAACCAATTGTCAAATTCACCAAAAAATTCCATCTTGCCACAAATCCAATGGTCAATTCTCAGTCTTTATTTTATTGAACCTCTCAACAAACAGCTGCATTTGGCACAAGTAAGCACTTCCTCCTCCTTCAAATGGCCTTTTCTCTTGTTTTCTGAGACACAACAGCTCCTTTTAGCCTTCTTTGCTGGCTCTCCTCCCTCTTTTTGCACTTAAAGTTTAGGTTGACCCAAGGCTCAGTTTTCCAGAGGCTCTCTTTTCTTCTCACTGGGTTTGGATGACTTCACCTAGTCCCATGCCTTTAAATAGATCTATAGGCTAAGAATTACCAAATTAATATAGGCTTTAAATATATCTATAGGCTAAGAACTACCAAGTTAATATAGGCTCTAAATACATCTATAGGCTAAGAATTACCAAATTAATCATCAACACTGACCCCTCCCATGAACCCCAGATACTGATACCCAACTGCCCACTAGCCACCTTCATCTGGATGACTACTAGATATCTAAAATCTAACCTGCCACCAAAGACACTGATTCACTATCCTCCCAACCTGTTCCTCTCGCAGTCCTCCCTGCCTTAGTAGCTGCTAAGGCCAAAAGCCTGATTCTTTCATCAGCAAGTCTTGCTGGCTCAACCTCATCAACTTCTATCAATTCTCATTACTTCTAATGCCTCCATCTATCAGCCCCCCGCCTTCCATTTTCATTGCTAGTCTCTGTTCCCTATTTTCCACACAATAGCCGGTGATTTGCTTAAAACATAAATTAATTATCTGTCCAAAAGTTTCAAATAACTTCACATAACATTTAAAATAAATTTCAAGTTTCTTTTCATGGGCTAAAAGACATTACATGTTTTGGCTCCTGACTTCCTCTAAAACTTTATTTTCTGTGACTCTCCTTTGCTCCCTGTACTCTAGCCACACCAACATTCTTGCTGTTCCTCAATCATCTTCCTGTGCTGGGGTGTTTCTACTGCTGTGTCCTCTATCTGAATTGCCCTTTGTTTGGATTACTTCTCGACATCATTTCAAGGTTTCTGATTAAATGTCATCTCCTCAGAGAGGCCTTTCCTAAAATCTATACCTATATTGCTTTCCGCTCCCCAACTTGAATGTAAATTCCATATAGTAAGACAGTATTATATGGCAAAAGCCTAGAACAACACATGACACATAGTATGTGCTCAATTAACATTCATTGATTGAAGGTATAAAACATTAATCACTGTAGATTTACTGACATTACATTAAGTAGGTAACAGAGGGTGATTTTGTCACTCAGGGAACATGTGGCAGTGTCTGGAAACATTTTGGGTTATCACAACTGAGGAATGGGGATGCCACTGCATGCAGTAAGTAGAAGCCAGTGATGCTGCAAAATACCCTACCATGTGCAGGACAGCCCTTACGACAGACATTTATCTGGCCCAAAGTCTCAAGAGTCTGCTGAGGATGAGAAATCCTCCTATATCCAATGGTGATGATAATATCTGTCTTACCTTGTTTATCAGTTATTGTTTGGATTTAACTCAATAACAAGCATAGAATATTTTTAAACTACATAGTTTATAATGGTTAACAGAGACTATTTTAAAGTAGAAAATATTACCTCAGAAAATTATCACTGTCATGCTCTAAAATATAAAAGGATTTCAATACCTTATTCATAGTACTTACATATCATTAAATGCTCTAAATAAATAGGCTTAACTCTTTGAAGACGTAATAGCAACGATTCTGAGAAAAGCAGTGAAGGATTAGAGTCCTAGAATAGCACTTTTCAGAGCTACCAGCATTAGACCACTTGGGGTGTTTATTAAAAATGTCTAAGCTTCACTCCTGACTTACTAAATCAGTATCTGGAGTTGGCCCTGGAATATATATTTCAACAAGCATCTCTGATGACTCTTATGCCTGTTAAGGTTTAGGAATCACCACTGTGGAGCTAATTATTTCCTGGTTTGAATTTGTAAAATATAGGCTCCAGCAACCTGACCAGGGATGTAAATACATTGTGAGGACTAGTATGTCTCAAGAAATTAACACCTGAAATTAGAGACATTGATATTACCGATTGAGGTTGCCATAAAGAAATAGTCTCTCTGGGATGTGGAGAGCAAAAAAATCTGGCTAATACATTTGCATGTATTTAAAAAAAGTCATCCAAATGTTTCTTCCTAAAAAACGGGTATGTACGGCCGGGCACAGTGGCTCATGCCTGTAATCCCAGCACTTTGGGAGGTCAAGATGGGCAGATCACGAGGTCAGGAGATGGAGACTATCCTGGCCAACAGGGTGAAGCCCCGTCTCTACTAAAAATACAAAAATTAGCTGGGTGTGGTGGCGCATGCCTGTAATCCCAGCTACTCTGGAGGCTGAGGCAGGAGAATCGCTTGAACCTGGGAGGCAGAGGTTGCAGTGAGCTGAGATAGCACCACTGCACTCCAGGCTGGCGAGAGAGCTAGACACTGTCTCAAAAAAAAAAAAAAGAAAAGAAAAAAAAAAAAACCCAGTAGAATGTAGACTGCCTAGAACCTTAGGTGTATTTTGTTCACTTACAGCCATTCTCCGGTCTGTCTCTTATGTATATTTAACTGTGTAGAAAATGATTATTTTATAGCAAAATAAAAAAACACCAATATATGGGATTTGGATTGAGATGGTAAGAAAAGGGCTTGAAGGTTCACATTTAGGACACAAGCAGTCAGGATTGACAATGCAATCATGTTGGCAGTGACGCATACTTGGTGAAATGATGGATATTTATACTTTATACCATGAAATGTGAATCCATATGTAGGCAGAAGGAAACAGTGCCAACTCGGGTTAAAAAGGTGATTATACTCAGACTACACATTAGGAGAAATGAGTCTTGATTCGCCAGGTAGACCTGTTCTGCATAATGCACCAGAGAAAGTGGTTTCTTTGTAGACCAGAACTCAGCACTATGAGATGGTGGGATAGTGACAAAATTCTGAAGTAGTTTCAGATATTTATGCTCCTCGATGTTCCTATCACACACGCTTTTCCTACCACACACTTTCTTCAACCCAAAACATAAAATTAGATTTTTGAACTAAACTGCTTTTAAATTTATTGTCAGTTACTATAACCATTTTCATGTACCTTATTTTTTTTGTTGTGTTCTATTAAAAAACCAAGTTAACTTCTAATTACCAATCCTTGAACTAGAACTACAGGTTGGCAGAAATTTCATTTTTCTATGTATTAAAACTTAATATCCTAACAAATTTGGGGTTTTTAGCTTTATTTCTGCATTATGCTTTTATATGGACTCTAAAATTTAATATATGACATAAAATTTAATATATGACATTGAGCTGGTAATGCAAGATTGTATGTTAAAAGTTTTCTCAAATTCTACCGTTAACAGCTGTCAATGCCAGAAATTAGTCATACTTTCACAAGACTTGAACAATTCCAATAATGCTTTAATCTGTTAACTCTTAGTTACAGAGAGAAAAGAAAGCTTTTAATAAAATATTAGAATATCTTAAACATCATAAGCTAAAATATTCATCCAGCATCAACCAACCTATTCTCAGGGTGACAATGCAGTGCCACCTATTGGCTAAAACAGCACAACTGGCTTTTTAAAAATATGTCAAAAGTGGGAAGAATAGTGTAATGAACTCCTTCCTATCCAGCTTCAATAATGATCAATTCATGGGTAATTCTGTTTCACATACACTCCCATCCATTCAATCTGTTCCTACCTCCCAATTCTGAAACAAAACCCAAATATCACACATGATTTAAGGAAATAAAATCTCTTGATAGCCATCAATGTTTCTTTAGGTCATGTCTATAAATGCAGATGTCAATGTATATGTACATTCCTAAGTATTAAAAGTACAAGAATGAAAAACTACTGTAGCTTAACCATATCTGTAAAATTTAGTAGCTTTCTCTAAGAGACAGCTAGAGAAAGGATCCCCCCTGGGTATCAAGAGATCTGTGTCTTAACAATAGTCCAACTATTCACTGATCAAAAAACGTAGCTTCCCAGTTTTTTCATCTATAAAGTAAGATGAAGATATTAGAATAATCTATAAGGTATTTTGCAATTCAAAAGTTTTATATATTGGTTCCACATTATAAGTAAGCTTAAGCACATGGGAAGGGCCACCCTTAAGCGATGTTTCTTTAAGCTGATTTTGAAAACCTTATAAATATATTAAAAATACAAAACCAACATCTGAACATAGCAATTTCTATGTACATCATCTGCAATTTCATCCATACTATACGCAATATGAAATTTGCTTTTGAAGTCTTTTTGTAAACTTAGAGTACAGTACAGTATGTATACAATCCAATTTCTAACTGTAATTATTTATCTTGGCATTTAAAAAAAATAATAAAATATAGATAAATCCTGTCTTTAGAATCCTCATGTGCCATGTGTCCTTCCTAAAAAGAACTTTTGGAATACTTTCATAACTAAATCCCCTTAGGTGAAGTCTAGAATGTTCTAGAGTAAATACAGTTTTTTAGGAACTAAAGAGAGGAACAAATTGTAGACTCTAACTATAGTAACATGTTCTAGAACAGTCTACCAGGTTCAAACAAATCACAATCCATGTTAAAAAAAAAATCAAAACATTATTTTAAAAGTACCAAGAGAATTAAAAGATTATATCCTCAGGAACAGGGTTTGTAATATGATTATTTTAGTATAAAAGGAAGAACCATTATGTTGGAACCTGTGAAATGCATAAAATAAATCGATTTTCAATTATGAGATTTCATTTTCAAGTTTTTTACAAGTACTAATTAGAAAAATTGCAAGGAATATATATGTAGTGCCTTTAGACAATTCCAAATCTTGTAATATCTCTTATTATTCCTTCAGCTAGATTACAACTGCTTTAGGGTATAGTAGTAGATTTTCTGCCAATACCAGTAATTGCTATACCTGATTTACAGAACATTACAAAGAAAGCAATATGAGGAAACTAAGCAAAATGGAATACATTTAGAAGAAAAATAAGAATCAGATATTGTTAAATTCTAGTAAAGATGAGATTTACTCATTCATTCAAATTTATTCCCAAGCAAACCATATTACTTATTCTTTAATCTTGTTTAGTTAAAAATGGACATTTCCTAATACTATCCAACATAATTAGAGGAAAGAAGAAACGTTGCAGAAATTAATGTTCCGACGGTACTTAATGCTCATCTGGGTCCAGAGTTTAACATTTTGACCACCTTTTTTAAGACAACCTAAGGAGAAGGGAATTAATGGATTCAAATTTTATTTTTCCAATTTTGTATTTAATCTATTTTAAATTACCAAAGTAATATGACCTTAGGGAGAGGGGGGTGAGCTACCCCGTCCACAAACTGGATGATCTCTTTCTCAGTAATGAAGAATTAACTGTAACAGAGCAGGAGATTAACGAACACCAGCTTCTTTCACATAACAAGTTGTTAAATTTTAAATTATCTTTAACAATTATTATCTATAATCTGCTTAAGAATCTATTTATTTCCCAATTTTATACCTGTGATTTGTCTGATTACCCCTTTCACAAATACAAAAGGGACCCCTAAATGCTCAGAGAATGGAAAAATATTCTGCACCCTCTGGACTTACTCTCCATCAGTTGTGTTTAATGCAGCAATTCTGCTATCACTCTCAGGCATTTAATTGTACTATATACTCCCAATAAAGTGGGGGTGAGGGGGACTTGAAAACAGAAGTTTCTGTCACAGAGACTACAGATGAAAGCTCTATTTTTGTATTATCACTCTTTTTTCTGTCACTGTAGCTTTTAAAATTTCATGCAAATTGTGCTTCTATAAAAATATAATTAAACTGCATTAGAGACAAAACCAAAAACAACCTTCTAATTAACATGTACTAAGTAATCAAAATGTACTTTATGACCTCTAGGCACTTAACAAACTGTACTTCATGCCCCATACCAAAGTTTGCAGCAACTTATCACTCAGTACCACATATGCTACTAATTACCCACGTTCATAATATCATTGTAACTTGCAGAGGAAAAAGCCTCTCACACTGTGCTGGCTCTCAATCTCTTCGTGTTTCTGCTGTAGGGCCTGGGAGGCCCTAATGGAGTCTCCAATGCCCCACTGGGCTCTTAGTTGTTCTGATCCAGGCCCTTCTAGCCAGTTCACCACCTATAAACAAAAGTTGAGATAACATTTTTTAAAGAATCAGAAACTTTTCAAACTTTCATTCTAACTTATTTTTCCCCTCCCAAAGTTCCCCAATTATTTTTAATGTAAATTATTTACATTCTATCACATAGGCAGTAAATGTTTCTTTTGGAACTACACAGCTATAATGTGACAACATTTTCAAAACTTAAATGTGGAAGAATGTACACTGTAGCATCACAAGCTTTCAGCTATCTGATTATCTTTCAGGCTAAAAGAAATCTGGAATGCTTCTATAAAAGAGGATTAAAAATTAACTTACGAAAAGAGAATCAGAGAATCATAAGATTTAGAGTTGGAAGAAACATCAGAAATGATATCAGTCAAAGTTCTTAACTAACATTTAAGAAAACTGAGTTTCAAACAGATTAAGTGACTTGCCCAAGATAACATAATCCATTATTGAAAAACTGGACTAACAGCCATATGTTCTAACTCATAGTCTAATGTTCTTCCCAAGCATTGAAAAAACTGACTGAATTAACTACTATAAAGTTAATATACCACTTTATCACTTCAAAAATAAAATTAAAAACTAATTAGAATTATGCTAATGTAATAAATACCCTCTTGGACTCTTCTTAGGATCAACCAACATTCAGACCCACAAAAGGCCCCACTGGCACCAGTCTGCTAGTAAGGATATAGGGTGGGAACTATAGTTTGCCAGGATGACAGCATCAGGAGTTCTTCAGCTGAGTCCCTCAAGCAGGTATAAGGAGATGAGATCAGTATGGGGCAGATATGGGAGACACTCTGGCATCAAAACATGATACCCCACAGGACTATGCCCATTATGAGTCACTAAACTCAAGGATCCCCACCCCAAGTTATGCCTTCCATCATATATTAATAATTCTCCCAGTCCAGATCTGGAATAATGTTTACTATAAGCAATATTGCCTAGTAACGTAGTTGACATTCCAATTTTTAATCAGGTCTTCAGGGGAACAGAGCTAAAGGGTTAAGCAAAGATCAAGTTCTCATGCAGAAGGAGAGGATTGTGCTGACACTCTACCCACAATCATATACACTCTGAAACTACAAACACATTGTGGAGTAATTTTAGTGGAAAAAATGGTATTACCAAGCTTTACCTTTTGCCAAATTAGAAAAAGGAATTTAAGAATAGATGTATGGTTATATCCTAAATCTAAACTCAGGATAGCTCCCAAGAAGTGAATGGGGATATCTCTGCAGCATAATATTATAGACCCAGTGGGTAGGCTTAACGTAGAAAAGAGCAGTGCAGATATACATTTCTGCTTTTACCAGGTTAAAAAAATATATTTCTAAATCTAACAGTTTATGGATCTTTTTATAATTATATAAAAATACCACATCATAAAGAAAAATCACATAAGCGCTCAGCCCTGTTTGGATATCCACAGATTTTCATGCCTGAATTCAACCAATCACAGATTGAATATATTTGGGAAAAAAAATCAAGCACAAAAAAATAACAATACAACAATTTAAAGATACAAATAATAAGCCAGTACACTATAACAGCTATTTTCATAGCATCTGCATTGTAGTAGATATTATAAGTAATCTAGAGATGATTTAATGTATATGAGAGTATCCATAGGTTATATGCAAATATTATGCCATTTTATATGAGACTTGAACATCTTTGATCTTGGTATCCACAGTCTGCAGGGCGTCCTTGAACCAATCCACCACAAATACCAAGGGACAACCATATTCTATTTCCTTCCATTAATTTTTCACCTGCGTAAGGGTTTTCATATGCTACTCCAGATTTCAGTGTTATAGCCAATTCTCATAGATAACAAGTAGTTTTCATCCCGTTTTTCACTTAGCATTAAACTATAATACTTTAATGATTTTTCCACTTGGCTATTGTTATTATAACATAATTTTCAATGACTTTGCAAATCCTTTTTTCAGAAGGCCAATCCTGTTGCCTGCCTGCCTCCATCTCTTCTATCTGTCCAACCAAGCAACCAATCAACCCACTCTTATTAAGAGCTAAGTAACGTACTGCCTCAAATAACTATTGTACCTGCTATCAATACTTCAATTCTCTATTGTCGGGAACATAGGATGTTTCCAATTTCCATCAATTCTAAGTAATTCTATGACTAACACATATATAGCAGTTATATATAATGTTTTTTTTTCTCTGTTTTATTTTCCCAGAAAAGGTTTCCAATAGAGATTGGAATGGTTTTCCAATAGAGATCTTCTTGGGTCCAATGATGATGTAATACTAATGCTTGTTAATATACTTTACAAAATTGCTCTCTAAAGCTCTTGTTTCTATCTGAAATACCCAATTAATGACAGTTTGAACTGTAAATAACCTCTACAAGGTATACAAACTATTGACTGTTAATATACTTTATAAAATTGCTCTCTAAAACTCGTTTCTATCTGAAACATCCACCAATTAATGATAGTTTGATCTACAATAACCTCTATAACATATACAAACTATTGGTTTTTTTGTTGTTGTTTTTTGTTTGTTTTGGAGATGGAGTCTTGCTCTGTTGTCCAGGCTAGAGTGCAGTGGCATGATCATGGCTCACTGCAACCTCTGCCTCCCAGGTTCAAGCGATTCTCCTGTCTCAGCCTCCTGAGTAGCTGGGATTACAGGCGCCCGCCACCACACCTGGCTAATTTTTCTATTTTTAGTAGAGATGGGGTTTCACCATCTTGGCCAGGCTGGTCTCAAACTCCTGACCTCGTGATGCACCTGCCTCGGCCTCCCAAAGTGCTGGGATTACAGGTGTGAGCCACCGCCCCCCGGCCCAAACTGACTATTGTTTTTAAAATACTTCTGCCAATTGAAAAAACAGAAATCTTTCCATATTTTTTAAAGATTAGTGATTGAATACATTGCAAATGTTTGCTTATTCAAGGTATGTGATATTTTGTGATTTATCTCTTCATGTTCTTTGTTCATTTATGTTCTAGAGTCTTAAAGAATTAATATATAAACTTGTCCCTTCTCTT
Source organism: Homo sapiens (assembly GCF_000001405.40). NCBI lineage: Eukaryota > Metazoa > Chordata > Mammalia > Primates > Hominidae > Homo > Homo sapiens. The sequence goes on from NC_000002.12 coordinate 179,135,448, forward strand.
TATAAGGCTTAATACTAGAGAGAAGGCTAGGCACAGTGGCTCATACCTGTAATCCCAGCACTTTGGGAGGCTGAGGTGGGCAGATGGCTTGAGCTCAGGAGTTCAAGACCAGCCTGAGCAACATAGTGAGACCCTGTCTCTACTAAAAATACAAAAATTAGCCAGGCGTGGTATGCACATCTATAGTCCCAGCTGCTCAGGAGGCTGAGATTGGAGAATCGTTTGAGCCTGGGAGGCGGAGGTTGCAGTAAGCTGAGACTGCACCACTGCACTCCAGCCTGGGTGACAGAGTGAGACCCTGTCTCAAGAAAAACAAAACCCAAAAATCTAGACAGCAAAACTCAAAAACAAAAAAGTCAAAGTATTATTGTTGACTCAGTGGAACAGCCTAAGTGCTATAACTTTCTATTGGCTAAACACTGTTTACACAGCGCTAAGTTCATTTTCAAAACTGTATTATCAGATGCTCTTTAGAGTGCAATGGTTTTTTCCTCAACACATCCACTTTTTCTGCTTTACTCTTTTGTATGAGTTATCTTTGGAGGGCTAGGGTACTAGGATTCTGTTTCTCTCTGCTAGCTTGGGGAAAGTATCATTTTTTCACGAAAGAGACAGGTAAGCAGTGCGATATAAAGAAAGCCCTAGCCATGATTCTGAATTCTGAATTCTCATTCTGCCACTACTGGTGGGTCTGAATTCCGGCTCTGCTTCTTCTAGTTGAAAGACTTTGGTTTCTCATCTTTTAAATGATGTTAATGATACCTACAGTACAGGGCTGTTGTCAGGATTATGACACTCATTATATGTAAGACAGCACATTAATGATACTAATAATTGTTAGCCTCTATGCTTTTCTTACTTTTTCTGTAGCCTAGTTCCCTCCGTCCACTAACTCTTTATGGAGTTTATTTCACATCTGCATTTTACAATAACAACCCTGAGTTTCTTGAGAAAGTCCCTGAACTACTGTATCCGACACTTTAAGAAACAGAAATAAAAAGAACGAGTTTTAAGGAAACATAGGTAAACATTTTAGAACAATTTTCCATGTCTTTTTTGGGAATCAATTGCTTCTCATTTATCACTATGTGTTACAAATACAGATATAGAAACATAGTGATAAAATGACTTTTAAGTATTTTAAATAATGTAATTATTTTACTAGAAATATCTAAGTTCTAAAAATAAAAGTGGAACAAATGCATATAAAAAATTTCACTAACAATGTATAGTTTTTAGAAACTTAAGACATCATTAAACATTTAGACTTTGATTTTAGAATAATCTAGAAACAAAAGAAGCAGGTTAATATAAATCGTGATAGCTGGGGATAAACAATTCATTAACATGGAACTTTTAAAATGCTGTAAATTGAAAAATAAATCTTAAATAAAGCAAAGATATCTCTTTGCCTCAAAAAACCAGTTACATAGTAATGGACATATATATGTATATATATATGGCCTTAATATAGGCTGAAAGTAATTTCCCTTAGTATACAACATCAGTAATGTAGACACAGTAAATATGCCTATTTCTAATAAAAATGATGCAAATTGAGGTTGATGCCCCAGTAAACAAGTCTATTTAAATGCATTAATAATGGCAGTTTGCCAAACTAGGTTATAACTTAATTTCAACCAGGACATCTTGCTCAATCAATCTGAATATTAACTTACTGGAAAAACAGTTCTATCCCCAATCCATATCAATGTGACCCTTCAAATGGTTACATTTACATGCAAAGTATAACCTTGGAGCCATGCTTTTAGAATCCACCATGAAAAATATTTACACTGGCCAAAAATGCTTGTGACTATCCATGCTTCTTGCATGGCTAGGCTCATTTTTAAAAACTGCATGACAGAACATGTAGAAGTATGCAAAGTCAAACCAGGCAGAAGGGCATGTCAAGCAAATGTCAACCATCTAACCTGGAGAAAGAGTATGGAGAACTGAGAATACAGCCTCCAGCTGTATGCTTATGCAATGCAGTGTATTCTATTTGGCATCTATGATTCCTCTCTACAGAGGAAGAAAAGCACATGGATGATTCTAGAAATAACATTTGCAGTGCTGGCAGTAATTACTGCCACAATAAATAATGAGCATAATGATAGCACATTTCAGTGAAGTGGCACTGTGTGCTATCCAGAAGCATGTGAAATCTAATTTTTAACTGTAACAGCAGCAGCAGTATGGAGAATCTCTGCATACCACATGAAGTCTTGTGCTACCAATTTGAACTGTGGGGGAATCACGGATAAATATCATGGTTATTACTTATATAATTTATCCATCAAAGCAATTGATTCCTCTTGCATTGTTTTCAGTGATGAGTCATTAAAAACAAAAGAAGTTTGAAACAATTCAATTTTCACTGATTTAACAGAGATACTCAGTTTATAATTATCTTTAAACAAGCAAAAAAATTTTCACATTTTCATCAAATTTGTAAGACTGAAAATAGTATGATTTGTGCTCTGTGTGACCAACATATGATCAATGTTACTATATAGTTCAATATATATTATCATATAGTAATCATTTTCGCAAGGGATATAGATATTTCCTTAAAATGTGACCTGTGAAAAACAGAGTACAGAAAACATTATATGCTGAATATTATTGTTCAAACAAATTCACTTGTTATCCTGATAAAGAAAACTGAATATGAAGTTTACCAGTTTTTAACAGTAATCTCGTTACCATCATCACCATCATTATAAATATAATAATCGTCATCTCCTTTCTCCAGTTTCTTCCTTACCCAGTTGAGCTGGTCTGTCATTTAAAAATGTGTTTGCCAATACATTAACGCCTTTGCCCCTCTGTCTTTCTGTCATAATCACTTAACCCATTTAGCAAAGTAAAAATGCTGGATAAATCCTGTCACCCATGTTTTTGGTGCCTGAACCTCAACAGCCAGCCATGAATTGTCAGATAGGGTTACATAAAAAGCCAGAAAGGTTCTGCAATACATTCAAGATCAACACTACCCCAAAATACAGCTACATTTTTGTGATGTGAAAGTTGTCCGAATCAAAATGGAGTCACTAATATTGGGGGAAAAATAAAGAACCCTGACAAATAGTGCCAGAGAAAGCCATGGTGAGAGGTTCTCAGGCTTGTATGCCTGCTAACAAAAACTATCACAAAGGACTGCAAAAATCAAAACTATACACAAAGGCATTGCAACTTCACACAAAAAATACTTCTGCAGCCTGGGAAGCATGGTGAAACCCCATTTCTACATAAAATACACGCCAAAAAAACAGCTGGGCATGGTGGCATGTGTCTGTAGTCCCAGCTACTCAGGAGGCTGAGGTGGGAGGGTCACCTGAGCCTGGGAGGTCAAGGCTGCAATGAGCCATGATCAGGTCTCTGCACTCCAGCCTGGGTAATAGACTGAAACCCTGTCTCAAAAAAAAAAAAAAAAAAAAAAAAAAAAAATCCTTCCACAAGGACATCTGTCCAGCAATTGCCTGTCCAATATCAGAGGCTCATCGCCCTTGTTATTGATCTTTAGAACCAAAGACAATTATTTCAAAACAATTATGTAATCCTCATTTTTTTCCTTTAAAAATGTTTGTCTTCCTTTACCTCTCTGAATATGCACACAGCTTACCATGACATGCATATTCCCATTGTAATGTTCTATTCTCTAAAACAAATAATATCTTCCTTTTAAAGAGCCCCTCACTGTTATTTAGGTTGACAGTGATAATTTCACTCTTCGATTCCCCACAAAGAAAATGTTTAATCACCTCCACTCTATTCAAACCACTGATCCTCTTTAACCATCACCCCTGCAATTTGTACCATCAAGCAGATGGCCTTTTCCTCTTTATGAAAAAAAGACACATCACACAGTGACTCCTTCAAACTTCCTGATGCCTGATTTACATACAGAGCACCTCTGGACTCATCTAAAACCGCCCCTATAAACTTTATAAAATTAATCAGGGAAGAAAGAAGGGGGAGAAATGAAAATATACCAAGCTTGCAGCATGTTGAACATTAATTGTTAGGTCAGATCAGTTTCACCTGCTTCCTCATAGTTGTTTGGTGCCTATTGACCTAGAATCATGGACCCTGTTTCAAGATTATAGTTCCCCTTAACTGTTCTATAGATAACAACCTAAACATTATGAATCGTTAAGTTTTCACTTTGAGACATTCCTTCAGGTCCTGCATACTGACAAAACTACTGTGCCAGTTGGTTTGAAGGACCCCACTGACTCACCTGGTCTGAGGGGCCCCACAAGACACCGACTCACCAATGATGCAGTTTCCACATCCTGCTGACTTCATCTCCCTTGCCTCAACCAATCAACAACCCCAATTTTCCAGCCCCTTACCCTACATGATCCCCTTAAAAACTCCAGCTCAGAACTCCTCGAAGAGATGGATTTGAGGGTCTCCTCCCATTTCCTTGCTCGGTGCCCTGCAATAATTAACTTTGCTGTATTCCTGCTGTCTGTGTAACTGGTCTGTTACTGGCCAGAGGAACCTCATGGTCCTATGGTAATCCTAGCCATCCTTCCTGCGACACAGAAGGAGCTCTCGCTCTTACATTCTAAAGCGAATCCCTTCTATTGTGCTTTGATTCCGTTTACGTCCACCTTGTTGGGAACTCGATAGTATTAATTATTCCTTCTCTCTTGTGTATTCAACCTCTCCCCCTCAACACTTTCAAGCAATCTTTAAAGTTTTTCATATCATGAAAAGAAAGAACAACTATCCTTACCCCTCCTATAGGCTGAACTGTGTCCCTCCCCTCAAAAATACATCTGTTGAAGTACTGACCCACAGTACCTCAGATTCTAACAATATTTATTAGGAGACAGTCTTTAAAGAGGTAATTAACCTAAAATAAGGTCTTTAGGGTGGGCCCAATCTAAATATATGACTGGTATCCTTATAAGGAGAGGAAATCTGGACACAGACACATACAGAGAGAAGACAATGTGAAGACAGGCAGAAGATGGCCATCGTCAAGTCAAGGAGAGAGGCTGGAACAGAGCATTCCCTCACGGCCCTCAAAGGAACCAATCCTGCTGACATCCTGATCTCAGAACTGCAAGAAAATAAATTTCTGTTGTTAAATCACTTAGTCTGTTTGCTACGGCAGCCCTCGCAAAGCAATACAACCCCTCTTCCACCACTTATAGCCATTACTCTATTTCTCATCTTTCCTTCAGAGACAGTTATCAACGACTTGTCTATACTCATTGCTTCCTTCACCACACCTCCCTTTCATTCCTGAATTCACTCCACTGTTGCTCTTGGCCTTGCCACTCCATGCCCTGTGGTCACCAGTGACCTCAATCTTGTGCTTTCTAACAGACATTTTAAGTCCTTTTACTCAACCTTACAACAGCGTTTGACAGGGTTATAACTCCTTCCCTGAAATGCTTTCTTCCCTTGGTTTCCATGACAAAGAACTCTTCACACTTTCTCATCTCTGGCCAGTCCTTCACTGCCTTCTTTTCAGGTGTATGCTCCTCTACCTTGCCATGAAATGTCAGAGTTTCTCAAAGTTCAGTTTAAAGCACTCTTCTTACCTCTCTCAACTTTCTCTTCGGACAATTTTCAATCACATCAATGCTTTTAATTACCATTCACGCACAGATGACAAACAAATATACCCCAGCCCAGACTTCGAAGTCTGGACCTGTTGTGGACTACCCTTCTACATATTCTCTTAGAAGTCACAGTCACCTCAAACTTAACAAGTCTGAAACCAAACTCATGATTCTCCACACTATTTTGCATCCACAGTAATATCCAAATCTTGCCCAATGTTCCCTAGGTGGGCAACACCATTATCTTGCAAACTAGGACACCAAGTCTTACAAGTCAGAAATATGATTCGTCTCTAATATCTTCTTACTCATCCTAATCCTACTCCCATCACTCTCCTTGTTGGCACCTGGCATAGCTGCAATTTCACAGCTGTTTGTGTCATCATGTAATTATCTCCCATGAAGCAAGAACCCTATTTTTACTCATCATGACATTGCTGAGCCTAGGACAATGTCATACTATTGTAGACATTTTTTTTTTTTTGAATGGATGAACTAATAGATGTTATTAATAGAAGACTCATTATGTGCCAGACACTAAATATTTTATAAAAATTACCTTCTTTAATTCTTGTAACAGTCCTATTAAGTAGGTATTATTGTTGTTGCGGTTACTGTTGTTATCCTTTGCTTACTGAAGAGGAGACTATGACATAAGGACCTTCCTTTTCCCCAAGGTCAAGCAGCTTGGAAGTGGTAGAAGAGGGTAGATTCAGATTATTTGGGTTCAGAATATGATTTTTGTACTGCTCTGCTACTCTATCTTAGTGGTTTTCTAAGATAAGCTAATGGGCTAAAACTTACCTGAATTTAAAACAAACCCTTTAACTTATGAATGAAGTCCATGGAAAAAGCCACATACAATTAACGTATGCTCAGAAATCTCCAGTTTATATGTGGTTATCATGGAATAAATTCTAAATCCTTTTGCCTGAAATTCAACATCTTCCATGATCCAACTCCTTCCTTCCTTCCTTTCAAATCTTTTTTTCCCATGACATCTTGATGCTCTAATTTGAGAAGCCACGAACTAGATCAATTGTGCAGGCCAATTCTGGCCCACCACCTGTTTTTGTATAATAAATAAAAGTTTATTGGAGAATGGCCACACATATTGGTTTATACAATGTCTATATCTGCTCTTGTACTATAATGGAAGAGTTAAGCAGCCACAGCTGCAAGAAAGACCGTATGGTCCACAAAGTCTAAATGTCTGGAATTTTACAGAAGTTTGCCAGCAACTACACTAGACCTCTAGAGTAGAGTCTAGTTCAAAAGAAATACATATAATAACTACCACTGATTGAGAGCTGGGTTCTTTCCAAACACTAGCCTTTCAAAAGGGGTATTATTATTCCTGTTTCAATTAAGCAAAGAAGGCAGAGAGGGAAAGAAAGAGAGGAAAAGAGGAAAGAAAGAAGACAGTTCAAGCGAGGCTCAGGGGTGAAGTATCGTGAATGGTCACACAGCTAAGTGAAGAAACTGGGATTGGGATCATGCTCTATGACTCAAAAAGGCCATCCACTTCCCACTGTGCCTACTGCTTCCTTTTTCCTCAACAGAACTTGGGATTCTACGCTGCTATGATTTACCATGCTACTCTTCATCCTCCACAAAATGCCAGTTCTTTCAAAACCTATCACTGCCTGGTGAAATCAGATACATTCTGGGAGGACAATCTCAAATGCTACTTCCCCCACTAAGTCTTCCCAGATTACCTGAAGCTAGAGAAATAATCCATCCTATAATTGCCCATAACCTCTCAGTCATGTCCTTGTGACCCTTAACACTTTCTCTCCCTAAACTTATTGATAGTAAAAACCAAGTCTACCTTTATATCCTGTAAAAAACCTAGCACAATGCCTTCCACAGAGGAATCACTTAATAAATGTTTATCTAATGAGTAAATGAACCTAGATTTAAAAACTAGGACGTTTCCAGTTTGCATTTTTAAATAAAATATTCGAAGATTTATTTTCTTAATTATTCAACATAAAAATCCAGAGTGTAATCTAAATAACAGAAATGTCTCCCTTTAGTATTTTAGCCTACTTTTCTTATAAAAATAAAGTTTAAAAGAAATTAAAATTCCTAATAACTAAATACATTTAATATTTTCTATCAATATTATAAAAAATTTGATATTAGAATCATTTGCATTACATGTGTTATTTTGTTAGGATAGAAATACTCTTTGTAATACCTAAATTAACCAAAAAACTAAGTTATTAGAAATTAAGAATAAATCAAGTATCAATAATGAAATGTTATTTATTGCAAGAATACACTGAGACCACTGATGACGTTTCCAAGAACCAGTTATTTTTGAAGTTCATTGTTACACTAAGCTGAATGCTCAATGTCATCACTGTGAAAATAACATAACTTTTAATTCAAATACTATTTGTAAAACAATACATAATTTAAAAGTTTTAGAATCCAGTTTGATGTGTTCTAAGGTTTTCTATATAGTGTATATAAGACTTAATAGTCAGTCACATAGTAGAAATTATAAGGAATTAAAAAGAGTTAAATATATTCAAATCAGACACCTACCTGCATTACCTTCTGTTGAATCTCTTCTAACTGTGTGCGCTTGCTACGTTGCCTACAAACTTCCTGGTAGCGGGTATATTGCTCTCGGAGTGAATCTAATAATTTCATAACCTGTGGCTGTGCAAGAAGTTCATCATCCATAGGAGACCATGAAACCCCTCCGTCTGAGCCATTAAATCGACGCTGCTGTAATTCGGACAACAATTCATGCCCTTTACAAATAAAAGATACTTGAAATTAATATCTGTAAAGAAATGTAATTCTCACTTCTCAATATTCCCAATTCTAGTCCCTTGTTTTTAAAACCTATCTACCTACATATCTACCAGGTTATAAATGGAATTTAAAAATGTATGTATCACAATAAGTAGGAAAACTGTACATATTAATATATATATGTGTGTATGTGTGTGTACATATATATTATGTAAACTAGATAGTATATTAAAATGCTATATCATATATCATAAATATACGCACCTTAGAAATACTATACTACATATTAAATATGGCATACATACGGTTTATATTTTTTTTTATCAATCACATTTTTGTTATTGGTGAATTCATTACTCAGGATACTGTGCCAAACAATCCTATTTCCCTGTAGAGCAAAATTATACTGTGGGATTTCTGTCTGATGGTACTAATCCAAGTAATATGTTGTAGGATTTCAGTATTAATCCATATTCTCAATCACAGCATTTAAAAAAAAGGTGACAGTATAATAAATGAATGATTAAAGGGAGAAAAGTTTTTATTACAAGTACAAAATAATATTTATATAATCTCTATTTATAAGAATCTTCACAATATATTAACTGTGAATAATAACGGGCCATACTAGTGTTAGAACTGCAATGAATGTGACTCAATTACAGCAAACTCATGTAGAAAATCCACTCATACATGAGAAACTACAATTGTAGAATGTGCAACAACTAAAGCTGTAGATATTAAATAATTTTAAAAGTAAATAAGGTAAAAATTGTTTTTGTGACTAATATTCAGGCATCAAAACAATACACATATTTAAATTCTCTTCCTTATTTAGAATAATATCTTAAATTTAAATGGCTTTCAATATATAGCAACTGAACTTTTATTATGGTTTGGAGGTATTTCTAATTTCTAAAAGTACCCATGATTGTTCTAAACCTTTTTGTTTTATACTCTCTTTCAATACTTACTTTAAAAGTTAATAGCATATAAAATAGGACCTAGTAGCATATAAAATTAAATTTACAATAGAAATTGTAAAAGCTTCTTAATTCAATGAATTAAAATAAAAAGCTTTCAAGCTGCTAAACATATATATGGAATTAAGTTTTAAATCTAGAGCAGTATTTTTACTGACAGTCTATTGTACCTGCTAAATATATAATAATTCAGAGATTACAAGTATTTCTTTGTTCTCTAACAAAATAAGCTGTATATCATACTGGAAGAACTTAGGACACCTGAATCAATACAACAAATATATTCAGAATTTACTTCTTTATTATTTATTACATTTTATAATTGGAAAAATAATTGTTTTAAAGGTTTGTGCAAAGTCTTTTTATATATATTCATAAAAGCTATGAATATCAGAATACATTTATTTTTTTCTACTTTGACAATTGTCACCCTTGATTATTTTTCTTGTCGATATCATTTTCATTAGAGAAGCAGCATAGCATAATGATTTCAAAGAGCATGCCTTGAAATCAAACTGCCTAGGTTCAAGTCCCAGCTCCAGCATTTACTAGCTGTGTAACCTATATAAGTTACTTAACGTTTTTATGCTTCAGCTTTCCCATCTTAAAATTGGAATGACAATAGTATCTATTTCACAGGACTGAAATGAGTTAACATATGTAAAGTGCTCAGACAGTATGTGGCACACAGTAGGATTAGAATTATGAGCTATTATTAAAAAAAAGATCAGAAATAAAATTGAGGTATTTCAATTGGAAAAAATTACAATTTGATTCTCTTAGAGTTTGTGAAACTGCTACTAGAGATATTTGGGTTGGAATATACATATCAGGCAGCACTATGTGCTTGCACTATGTGCAAGGCTTTGCAAGGTGATAAGTGTTTTTACATCGATGATTATAAAACAGTAGAGCTTTGGCTTTGGATTTAGCTATGGAGAGAGAGCTTAATAGTTACTTGATCTTCGGCAAGTCATTTTGGCTTCCTGCAGTACAAAATAGATAAAATAATACTAATTATCTCAAAGGCTTGTTAGGAGAATGAAAAATAAAAATACATAAACACAATGTCTGGCACATAAGGAGTGTTCAATAATTCTCATAGCAACCCAGTGAAATAAAAATTTTCATCTTCATTTTATAGATAATAAATTAAATCCAAATTAAGAGAGAGATTATTATTAATTTTTAAAAATATTATAAAGCTGCGGTTCCCCCCACCCCCACCCTGGGCCACAGAGCAGGAGGTGAGCGGCAGGCCAGCAAGCATTACTACCTGAGTTCTGCCACCTGTCAGATCAGTGGCGGCACCAGATTCTCATAGGAGCACAAACTCTATTGTGAACTATGCACGCGAGGGATCCAGGTTGTGTGCTCCTTATAAGAACCTAATGCCTGATGATCTGAGGTGGAACAGTTTTATTCTGAAACCATCCCTCACCCAGTCCACAGAAAAACTGTCTTCCACAAAACCAGTCCCTGGTCCTCAAAAATTTCCCCTTGAGTTCCTTCCACATGTACCACATTCATGCTGAATTCATGTTTATTTAATGAACGAATCAATCCAATTGGTTTACTGGATTATTATCACAAATATTTTTTAAATCTTACCTGTCTGAAGAACTGTTTCAGGATCAACCGATGGAAGAAAGTTTAAATCCACAGACCTGGAAAACACCAAAGGAGTAATTTTCAAAAGGCATATTTCTATCAATGTAACTTTAAAAATTCCTTTACATATAAAAAAACAGAACAGGGGCACAAAAGTATGAAAATCTGAAGCATACCATCCTACCATGCTAACTTCTCTCAAGCATAAGGAAGCCCATTAGGAAAAGTAAATACTAGTAGCCAGAGAAATACCAACGTAATAAATCATAAAATAACTACTTGGAAAAATATAGTTTACTGTTTTTAGTCATAATATTATTTCAAATATATCAAAGAAGTCCATTTAGTATTTATCCAATGAGTATTTGTTTCAAAATGAAGTTTGTCATATAGTAACCCAGAAATGTAACATTAAAAAATGCATGCAGCCATCCTCCAGACAAAACTTTATTTACCTACAGCAATCTTTGATAGCTGTGAATATTCTGTCTTATATTCCAGGGGTGTGTGTGTGTGTGTGTGTGTGTGTGTGTGTGTGTGTCCTAGCAGTTGTACTCTCTTCCCTAATCATACTTCTTGTGCAGCTGGACATCTGCCTTTATTTTCCTAAACACATACAGGAAAGAAAAGATGAAGGAAAGAAAGGGGACAATGACCTTGCTGCTCTAACTGACTGGTCTCATGCTAAATTTTTCACTTTTTGTCAATGGATCTAGGCCCTCAGATGCTTCCTGAGGATTGACATAAAGAAGGTTGAAAAAAAAAACAGACAGCTGATAAAAATTTGCAAGAGGAGGGACTCTATTATCTGGGATCTGGGGTTTAAAGGAAACTAAGCAATAACACGTCAGTTCCTTGAGGAGGAACTGGCAAATATAAGATTTTGATATTTCATGTAGTCATGGAAACCAGGACTTCCCAAAGTGTTTCCCAAAACACTGAACAAGATATGTTTGTTTTTTTGTTTTTTTTTTTTTTGAGACGGAGTCTCGCTCTGTCACCCAGGCTAGAGTGCAGTGGCGTGATCTCGACTCACTACAACCTCCGCCTCCCAGGCTCAAGGGATTCTCCTGCCTCAGCCCCCTGAGTAGCTGGGACTACAGGTGCGTGCCACCACGCCTGGCTAATGTTTGTATTTTTAGTAGAGATGGGGTTTCACCATGTTGGCCAGGATGGTCTTGATCTCCTGACCTTGTGATCCACCCGCCTTGTCCTCCTAAAGTGCTGGGATTACAGGCATGAGCCACCGCGCCCAGCCTGAACAAGATATGTTTTAAGGAAGCAATTAAATAGGTTTCTTTGCTGCACTGCTTCTTCAGAACCTTTAATCTGCAATATTCACAGTCATTCTCAAAGAGGGAAATACAGTCAACAGCATCAAACTCTTTGATCATGGACTCATTTTCTATAGTCACCAACATGGGATGTCTTTCCCAAGGAATATAACTAAGAAACATCAAACTTACTCGGATGGACTATTCAGAAAACAAGTCCAGCTAATTTTCATCAAGTAACTCATGATATTTTCACTTCCTAAACCACAGCATATATGTGTGTGATATCTACAGACACACAATCACATATTTATATACATATACAAAATTTCATAATTTTACATTTTTATACGGCATCTGTAGGATGGAAACATTCCTAACTGCTTGTGACTTTAATCAGATTTACATTCAAACCGTTTGTTTTCACAGTTTGACTTTGTTTTAATCAAGATTTTGTGTTAAAACTATGATCTTACACTTGAAAACTTGATATGTGACTATATTTGGATTCAAGGAATAACAACAAGCATTTTATTAAGGTTCCACTGTATCTTCAAGGTCAGATTCAAAGGAGACAGATCGGATGACAGGGAACACCAGGATTCTTTCACATTTCCTAATGAAAAATTACTGTTTTAGTGACCAGTAATAATCAAGTGGCCTGAATAGTTAATTTGCTTGCTAAAGTGCTTTTTATCTGAGGAGGAGGACTTGCTCTACCAACAGAAAAGTGAAAGCTGACAAGGTTGTAAAGTTCAAGGGAAATCTGTTAACATGATAAATCTAGGTAGTTACATTCAGATAATACCACTCAACTATTACTTCATTGCATATCATAAAACACTAAATTCCCCAATTTGAATTCATGAATATCACATATTTTACAAGAGCAGAAAAAGTTCTATAAGCTAGACATTTAAGTGCTAATGTATTCAAATAAGGTTATAATAATTGTATTTCAAACTGCAACTTTTTTCATATTCTTAACCAGGAAAGAAGATAACTCTAAAAAGGTAGAAAAGTGTTTCTTTTGAAAACACGTTCTTGAAACATTTTACATAGTGTCAGAAAAAAGTAAATACATTACTATTAATTTAAAAATGGGCCGGGTGCGGTGGCTCACGTCTGTAATCCCAGCACTTTGGGAGGCCGAGACGGGCAGATCACGAGGTCAGGAGATCGAGACCATTCTGGGTAACATGGTGAAACGCCGTCTTTATTAAAAATACAAAAAATTAGCCGGGCGAGGTGGCGGGCGCCTGTAGTCCCAGCTACTGGAGATGCTGAGGCAGGAGAATGGCGGGAACCCAGGAGGCGGAGCTTGCAGTAAGCCGAGATAGCGCCACTGCACTCCAGCCTGGGTGACAGAGCAAGACTCCGTCTCAAAAAAAAAAAAAAAAAAAAAAAAAAAAAAAAGGCTTTTGTGAAGAAACTCTGATTCAAACCAATACATTTTACATGTAAAGCAAATTCAAATTCTCACGAATATTGTACGTCAATTTTGATTGAATGAAGACTTTGTTTACTGTAGTTCTTTTAGCTTGCATTAACAATAGAGATATCTTTTATCAGAATAATTATAGTTTTGCAAGGATATAATTGCATGCCACTAGCCACCTACCTTTCTTTCTCTTGCTGATTTCCTTTATCACTTCCATTGTTAATCAAAGCAAGTTCATCTAATAATGATGTAGATTCCTTTGTAAACTTCTCAAAAACCTACAATATGAGTTTTATTAACATACTAAGAACAGTCTTAAAAATTAATATGTAATAAGGATTGTCAGTTAAGAGTAATAGAATTGGCCAGCTAGGATATGTTTTCCTTCCCCAGCAGTTCGTGCAATTCTACCACCAGAGCACAACAATGTACCCAAGAGAAGACAAAACTGTTTCCTAAAGCAATGAATAGTTTCATGGATAAATAATTTTTAAAATTTAAATACATCAATAAATTATCTTCATTCTCCATTCAGATACGTGTTTCTTTGAGAAACATTTGCATCGATAACAGTTCTAACTACATACATGTAATTTAGAACACGCTAAGTCTCTAATAACAGTTACAGAACACTTCTTTATGTTATTCTATCACCAACACATGTTGGTTTCACATAATAGTTGTTATATACATGCATGTAGCATTTAAAATTAGTTATAATTTTAATGATTTCTTCAAATATTTCTGAAAAGGAATTTGGGCAAGTCTGTTTAAGTAATGAAGTAGACAATCACTTGACTAACACCACTTTTTAAATATGGTGGAAATAGGCTGGGTGCAGTAGCTCATGCCTGTAATCCCAGCATTTTGGGAGGCCGAGGCAGAGGGGTTGCTTGAGCCCAGGAGTTCATGACTGGCCTGGGCAACATGGAGACTCCATCTCTACAAAAAATAAAACCTTCGTCAGGCATGGTGGCATGCACTTGCAGTCCCAACGACTTGAGAGGCTGAGGTGGAAGGACTGCTTGAGCCCAGAAGTTAAAGGTTGCAGTGTGTGGTGATCATGCCACTGCATTTCAGCCTGGGGTGAGACCCTGTCTCTAAATAAATAAACTGGGTGGAAACAGAATTAGTTATCCATTCAGAGATAACCAAAAGTTCACCATTCTCCAATAAAATTATTATTTAATCTAAAATGAGTTAATCTGACGTTTGTTCTTTCAGTAGTTCAATAAAAAAAAAAAATCAAATTACACAGAGTTGCAGATTTCAGAAGTCTAGAATGCCAAAGACGATACATTTTCACAAATGAAAATGCTTAATCTGTCAAACTGCTCTTCAAGTTGATAATTCAAATTAATGTTTAAATATCCTCTGAAAATGGTATAGCAACTAGATCACCTCAAGAAATTATGCTACTGTTGGCTGGGAGCAGTGGCTCACGCCTGTAATCCCAGCACTTTGGAAGGCCGAGGCAGGTGGATCACGAGGTCAAGAGTTTGAGATCAGCCTGACCAACATGGTGAAACCCCGTCTCTGCTAAAAATACAAAAATTAGCTGGGCGTGGTGGCGCGTGCCTGTAATCCCAGCTACTCACGAGGCTGAGGCAGGAGAATTACTTGAATCCCGGAGGCGGAGGTTGCAGTGAGCTGAGATTGCGCCACAGCACTCCAGCCTGGGCAACAGAGCAAGACTGTCTCAAAAAAAAGAAAAAAAAAAATTATGCTACTGTTATTCTAATTAAAAATTTTACAACCTTTACTGATGCTACTAATGACAGAACAGTAATAGCTAAAACTTATACAGTGCCACTATATCATGTCTGGTGCTGTTCTAAATGCTTTATATGTATATTCATTTCATTTTACCCATAATCACACAAAGGTAGGTACTATTACTATCACCATATTACAGATGTGGGAATCAGGCCAAGGCAAGATTAAACGCATTGTTGAAGGCCTAGCAACTAGAATCAGGATTCTAATCAAGTAAGTCTGACTTCACAGTATTTGTCTATTATGCTATAATGTGGTATGCACATATTTCTCCATTTTTGTAAAAAGAAAAATAATCTATATTTTAATAGACTAAAATGATAAAGTTATCAAAATATATCTTATTTCTATGCAATAACATTTTATCTCATTGTAATATACCAACCAGCCTCTTATTTAACCAGTCCATGTGATCATAGGTGAGACTCCCACCAAAATCTTCTGTTAATTGGCATGGTTCTATATAACGAGTCAATTTGTTGGCGGACACTAAAATAACCTATAAAAAGGTTAAAAGAAAAGAAACATTTAGTAACCCACTATTAAAATCCACGAAAGTAACCAGGAGGTAAAATTAGGTTAAAATATGCAATATTGTTTCCAACATGATGACACATTATCATTTACTTAATACAATATTTAAAACCAATTCAATAAGTTATAGATACCTGATAAAAAATTCATCAAAAATTTTTTCTAATACCACATTTTAAAAAACAACAGGTACCAGCAGTTCAGATGAAATATTTTCAAAAATATTTTATCTTGTTTCTTTGTAATAAAAATCAATAATCAATTCCTTAATGCAATGAAGTAATAAAAAATTTTCACATCATCTTAAAATTAGCTAAGGACATTAAAATGATAAGCCCTATGAAGAGTAAATCTGGCAATCAAAAAGTTATCCATTTTAAAGTTTTTCTAATGTTCCTTTGATTACATATAAACAAAACAAGTCCTCCGGTTGTAGAGTATAACCCACAATAACGTATGCCAATATTTAATTTTTAGTAAAAATTAGAAGATCAGAGTATTTATAAACTTGAAACGTACATATTAAAATGCTAATCTTTTAACTCTAAACTTAAAAAGATTTCAAATACAAATTAAATAAGTACCTAAGAGACCACTGCAGAACTAAATAAAACTTCAGTGAAGATACACATGCATAAAAAACAAAATACATCTATGGAAGAAAGATATTCAAATGGTAGTGTTAATACTAAATGACATATGGAAATGTGAATTTATTAAAAATGACTTGATAAGAAAAATAATGTGTCTGGCTGGAAAGAGCATCATTGCCACTCTCACAATAACAAAAGCCAGACAATCTGCAAAATTATAACTTTTTCTGGAACTCCTAAGAAAGCTGAGGTTACAGGGAAACCTGTAACTAGTTTGAAGTTGAAGAGAAGGCAAGCACCACAGAGAGAAAGGTGAAAGGGGCTACCACAGAGCGCATGTGCGAAATTTTTGGAACTCTTCTGTATCTTGATTATGGCAAAAATTATGTGACTATATGTGCTTGTTGAATCTCATAAAACTATATGCTAAAGTATGAATTTTACTTCACATAAATTATACCTCATAAAACTGACTTTAAAAAAATTTAAAAAACAACTTAAGGAGGACTTGTGGAAGAACTCAGAAGGAGACAAATGAAAAATTTAGAAACAGACACAATATGTAAAACAAGGTACATCCATACTGTATATGAAGTTATAATATCAACAATAAATAAGGAGAAATTACCAAGACTGCTTTGCCGGAAGAGGGAAAATTTCATCCTCAGGAAGACACCAAAAACATTGCATGAAAAATTCATAGAACTATGAACTCTATCAAATTTGAGTGTACAACAAATTGCTATTGATAACAATACATTAAATGGAAATTAAGTCTTAAATATTTATATGAGGAAACAAAGCCTAGTGAATAATGAGCTAAGTGACCCATCTAAGAAGTCAGGAGAGGAAAAAGACAGAATAAGTCCAAAGAAAATAGAAGAAAGGAGGTGAAAAATCAGAAGTAAATATAAATTAAGATATTACAGGGGCTCAAAAAAGCCGAAACTTATTTCTTGAAAAGACTAATGAAATCAACAAACTTCTGATAGGAGGAAGCAAGAAAAACAAAGTACAAATAAATAATGGTAACAACATAAAGGAGAATACCATTTCGTTGATAGCAATGGTTTAAAAGACATTAAGGACACAAGACAATTTTGTGCCAATACCTATAAACTCAGAAGAATAGACATATTCCTATTAAAAAGTGTAACTTATCAAAACTGACATAAGAAAACAATACCTACAACCAATGAAGTGAATCATTAGATTCTTTATGTTTTCAGTAATCATGCTGTTAGTGATAGTTTTAGTATTGCCATTCTGCAATCACTTGATGAGGAACAAAGCCAGTGAGTGAGATGGGATATTATAATTCTGCCATCCCCAACAACCTTAAGAAAATGGCATTTTTGGCAAGGGAGGAAGGAAGATGTGGGAGAGAAAAAGCATCCTTACAGTGCTCGTTTTAAATTGGAAGTATCAGTTTAAACTCCACAATATATTTCATTTTAAATGAACACACACACACTCTCTCGCTCTCTCTCTCACACACACTTATATGTATGTGTATTTTCTAGTTGTGTCCAATGGAAGGTTTAGAAATAATGACCAATTTTGTAGAAATGTATGTTCCTAGCATCCAGACTGTGATCTCTGAGTACCATTTCTCATAAAAAAGAATCAGGTTTTGTTAAAATAGCATTAGTCAAAAAAATAATAATTTTAAAAGAAAATAAAAGGAATCACACCATGATGAGTGAGCTTGGAACATCTTACCCAGACATCAAAAAAGCTATCAAAGACTACTATGGTTGTGACGAAAGGACATGAAAAGGCTTCCACTGACCAAATATGTGACAAGTTACACATCAATAAGAATAATAAATGCCATGAATCGAAACATTAAATACGCTTAAATCAATGAGTGCATACTGACACAAAAGAAATAATCACCATTGGACTAAGCTAGAGAACACACTTATTATAATGAAAACGAGACTGGGCACGGTGGCTCATGCCTATAATCTCGGCACTTTGGGAGACCGAGGCAAGAGGATTGCTTGAAACCAGGAGTTTAAGACCAGCCTGGGTAATGTAAGAAAACCCAATCTCTACAAAAAAAAAAAAAAAAAAGGTGTGTACTTGTAGTCCCAGCTACTTGGGAAGCTGAAGCAGAAGGACCACTTGTTTCCAGGAGTTAGGCTGCAGGGAGCTATTATTGCACCACTGCACTCCAGCCTGGGGGTCAGAGAACCCCATGAAGAAAAGAACGGAAGGAAAGGAAGGGAAGGGAAAGAAGAAAGGGAAGGAAGGAAGGGAGGAAGGAAGGAAGAGAGGGAGGGAGGGAGGGAGAGAGGGAGACAGAACAGCAATAAAGAGAAACAAGCATTTATTTCACTTTTCATATACAAACTGTATTACTGGATAGACAAATAATAAGTTTCTCATTATAAAATGATTCCAGCTAGTAAATGAAGGAATAATAGAACTAGATTATCATTTTATAATTTTTAATGAAGTAAGAGATCTAGACACTGAACATTAATGGCTGCTAACGTCACAAAAAAGACAACTATTACAAATCTCATGATCAAGGAACACATCACCACCTGTGAAGAGCCTTAGAAAAAGGAAATCAACTCTAAAACTAATCACTGTCTAAATCCAACTATCAATTTATAAAAACACATGTAAATTATACCACAGGGATACTTTCAGAAATATGCAGACTACTGGAAACTCTATAGGACAAACAATTTGGTCTCTTAAAAAAAATGTATACGAGAAAGAGAAGTTAAGATTAAAAAGCTGCATTTAATAGACATATACAGAATCTCATAACCAATAATAAGAGAATTACATGTTCTTTTCAAGCAAGTATGAAATATTTTAAAACTTGACTGTATATTAGTGCATAAGAAAGCCTCAGCAAATTTCAAAGGAATATATAATATAACCACAAAATTAAGCTGGAAATCAATAATCAATCATATCAGCAATCCGTATTACTGATTTCTAGCTCACTGTAGTCTCTGCCTCCCAGGTTCAAAGGATTCTCCTGTCTCAGCCTCCCAAGTAGCTGGACTACAGGGGCGTGCCACCATGCTCGGCTCATTTTTTTTTGTTTTTTAGTAGAGACGAGGTTTTACCATGTTGGCCAGGCTGGTCTCACATTCCTGACCTCAAGTGATCCACCTGCCCTGGCCTCCTAAAGTGCTAGGATTACAGGTGTGAGCCATCGCATCCGGCCCACAACTCTTTTTTTGGGATCCACAGAAAGGCTTTCACACTAGGGAAATTAAACACAATCAGATCCCAGAAAAGAACTTTTCCTTTCTCCAAAAATGTCAAGCAATATATTAATAAGATATATAACTATATATACTAAGAATGAAACCAAGCAATATACATTTATTCTATGAGTAAATAAATTACTTGCTAAATTGAGCATGAATTCACATCTGAAAAGATAAAATCCCAGAGCACTCTCTCCTGAAAATGCAGGCCGGGCATGGTGGCTCATGTTTGTAATCCCAACGATTTGGGCAGCCAAGGTAAGAGGACTGCTTGAGCCCAGGATTTCGAGACTGCAGTGAGCTATGATCGTGCCACTGCACTCAAGTCCAGGCAACAGAGTGAGATTCTGTCTCAAAAAAAAAACAAAACGTAAGGATGGTCTTTTTGCTCTTCAATTGCATCTTATTTAACGTAATATTCTATTTAAATACTGACAAAAATCTCTCTTTTGAGAAATCCCACTATCATGTCCCTTATTTATTTTTAATTTTCCATAGGTTACTGGGGTACAGTCAGTGTTTAGTTACATGAGTAATTTCTTTAGTGGTGATTTGTGAGATTTTGGTGCACCCATCACCCGAGCAGTATACACTGCAGCATATTTGTAGTCTTTTATCCCTTGCTTCCCTCTCACCCTTTCCCCCAAGTCTCCAAAGTCTATTTTATCATTCTTATGCCTTTGTGTCCTCATAGCTTAGCTCCCACATATCAGCGAGAACACACGATGTTTGGTTTTCCATTCCTGAGTTACTTCACTTAGAATAATAGTCTCCAATTTCATGCAGGTCGCTGTGAATGCCATTAATTCATTCCTTTTTATGGCTGAGTAGTATTCCATCATACGTGTATATATATATATGTGTGTATATACGTATATATGTATATATATGTGTATATATGTATATGTGTGTGTATATATACACATATATATATCACATATATACATCACAGTTTCTTTATCCACTCATTGATTGATGGGGACTTGGGTTGGCTCTATGATTTTGCAATTGTGAATTGTGCTGCTATAAACACGCATGTTCAAGTATCTTTTTCGTATAATGACTTCTTTTCTTCTGGGTAGATACCCAGTAGTGGGACTGCTGGATCAAATGGTAGTTCTACTTTTAGTTCTTTGAGGTATCTCCACACTGTTTTCCATAGTGGCTGTACTAGTTTACATTCCCACCAGCAGTACGGAAGTGTTCCCTGATCACGGCATTCACGCCAACATCTGTTTTTTGATTATAGCCATTCTTGCAGGAGTTAAGGTGGTATCACATTGTGGTACTGATTTGCATTTCCCTAATCATTAGTGATGTTGAGCATTTTTTCATATGTTTGTTGGCCATTTGTATATCTTCTTTTGAGAATTGTCTATTCATGTCCTTAGCCTACTTTTTGATGGGATTGTTTGCTTTTTTTCTTGCTGATTTGAGTTCATTGTAGATTCTGCATATTGTCCTTTATCAGATGTATAGATTGTGAAGATTTTCTCCCCCTCTGTAGGTTGTCTGTTTACTCTGCTGACTGTTCATTTTGCCATACAAAAGCTCTTTAATTTCATTAGGTCCCAGCTATTTATCTTTGTTTTTATTGCATTTGCTTTTGGATTCTTGGTCATGAAATCTTTGCCTAAGCCAATGTCTAAAAGGGTTTTTCCAATGTTATCTTTTAGAATTTTTATAGTTTCAGGTCTTAGATTTAAGTCCTTAATCCATCTTGAGTTGATTTTTGTACAAGGTGAGAGATGATGATCCAGTTTCATTCTCCTACATGTGGCTAGCCAATTATCCCAGCACCATTTGTTGAAAAGGGTGTCCTTTCCCCACTTTATGTTTTTGTTTGCTACCCCTTTTACATTAGCTGCAAAAAAATAAAATACTTAGGGATATACCAAACCAAGGAGGCAAAAGACCTCTACAAGACAAACTACAAAACACTGCTGAAAGAAATCACAGATGACACAAACAAATGGAAACACATCCCATACTCATGGATGAGTAGAATCAATATTGTGAAAATGCCCATACTGCCAAAAGCAATCTACAAATTCAACACAATCCCCACCAAAATACCATCATTCTTCACAGAATTAGAAAACACAATTCTAAAATTCATATGGAACCAAAAAAGAGCCCGTATAGCCAAACCAAGACTAAGCAAAAAGAACAAATCTGGAGGCATCACACTACCTGATTTCAAACTATACTATAAGGCCATAATAACAGTGTCATTGTTTCTTTGTTTTCATATTTAGAATCATAGGATGATTTATTTCATATTTAAAATCGTAAGATGATAAATCACAGGATGAGTTATTTCTGGGTTCTCTATTCTGTTCCATTGGTCTATGTGACTATTTTTATACCATACCAGCACAGAACCCAGAAATAAATCCAAACACTTACAGACAGATGTCCCTTATATTAAACTTAATTTTTAATAATGTGTTATTGATTCACTTAACAATCATTATTTAGTGGAGCTAAATTTATTTATTAGAAGACGTGTATTTTAGTGTTGGGAATATGAGGATGAATAAGATATGCTTCTGGCAAAGAAATTATCTTTTCATTTGTTTCTTTGCAATATTTCTCTGCAATATTCCAGAGACAGTTGTGTAATGCACAAGATGTAGAATAAAATTTTCTGCTTTGTTCTAAGGCCTTTGTTGAAAATACCCTAAATGTCATGGCTGCTTTTGTCATAACAGCATAGAGGGCCAAAGGCTTTACTAGAATACCCCAAATGATTTCCAAACCCTTTTACTAGGGAAAAAACACCATTATTTTACAACTGAAAACATACAAAACTAGCAGCCATTCATTCCAGGTCTGTGCCCTAGTTCTGCCACAAATTCACTAAATTTGTAGAAGACAATCTAAAGGAATTCACCACTCCAAGCTTATTCCCCAATCTTTTGAAGAAGCCACCTTCATTAAATTATCTATGATGTTTCTTTAAGCTCTAAAAGGACATAATTCTAATGAGTTGTTATCTGATACATTTAATTTGGGCCATTCTCTCTCTTATATTACCTATCTTGTCCAATGAAGAGCTCTCGTCACTTTTCTATCCACACTGGTTAGCCTTACCATATGTATTCCTTTCTACTTTTATAGTTCCTAAATGCACCAAAATCATTGATAAACATGTTTCAAGTTTAATGAGCCACACGGAAATTTTCCAGTTAACAGTTACATACAACGGAAGTTTATTTCCATGTGAATAATTCTCTTAAAAGCTCTTTTTCCTAAAATTAACTTAAATGTAAACAGTACAGATTCACCTTCTTTTATGACATAACACATATTTAAGAGCATATTATCCTTTAATCAAAATAATTTTTTTAAAAAAATTGACCAAGATTACTGCTATTATGTTTTTACCTATGCAAAATAGTTTTAAATAAGGGAAGGACACAATTATGGAGAGCTACAGAAAACTCATTTTCTCCATTATTATAAAACATTTTATACAATCCATATTCTTATAAAATTCACTGGTGGCTATTAAAAGTTAAAACAGTAGCCCTGCCATGTAGACATACAGAATTGTATCAACACCAAAGGTATCTCAAAGTTAAATAACGTATGTGGGGGAAAAGCAACAGTTTACACAATCGGCAGACTCACAATCACAATAATTTCCAATTGACAACTTACAGAACTATCTACTGTGATGAAACATCTCAGTTTCCACTGCAATAATCTCATTTTTGTTTAAGAGGGTGAAGGTGAGGAGAAAGGGCAGAGTAGGCTGGCTAAAGAGCAATAAATGTTTCCATTTTACTAGAAACATTCTTTTAGAAAAAGAATGAAGGGAAAAGACATTTAAGAGTGTGCAATAGTAGGAAACATCTTATTCTATGCATACGCTTTTCGCCTAACAATCACCTTTATAAAGTGGGTCAGGATCAGCATGTGTAAGAGGAAAGAGAATCCCTCCTTCCAGTGCACTGCAAAAATACACTCTGTTTACAAAGGTGAAAAACTGTCCACCTGCTTTTGGAAAATTACACCACTTACTAGGATACAACATATAAATAACAGACAACTGCTTCCCAGAGGACAAACCAAGTTTGAATAAACAGACAATTCAACTCCACTCCAATGATGGCAAACATCACAGAAGGGTGTGATTTCACTGCTGTGAATTTGCTCGTGAAGACCAAATTCAAATGTGCAAGCAAAAGTAAGAAACCATTTGCAGGGCGGGATTTAGGCCTGAAGTAGAACTGGAATGCTGAAAAAGGAAAACTGTGTAGAGATTTCTAGATGTTTGAAAAGCAAAAACTCGAAGAAAACAGAGAAAACTGACACATTTCAGGGTAATGCAACAAAACAAGATTAGGAATCCCAGACTAGGTGATTTTCTATAAATTGTTTCATTACAGCTTTTTAAATTACAAAATACTGGTAGGGCTTCCTATATTCCTTTCTGTTACAGCCCTTGAAGAGACCACTAATTTCCATAGATAGCAAACCTATATGAAAGTTTAAATATAAAGCAATGCAAATCAAAGGATCAGTTTTATCTTATTGGAAATGTTCTATGACCCGGCAAAGAAGAAAAAAACAAAGAAAGAAACATAATGAAAAAAAATTTTTTTTGAGAGTTTTGCTCTTGTCACCCAGACTGGAGTGCAATAGCACGATCTCAGCTCACTGCAACCTCCAACTCCCAGGTTCAAGCAATTCTCCTGCCTCAGCCTCCCGAGCAGCTGGGATTACAGGTGCCCACCATCACGCCCAACTAGTTTTTCTATTTTTTTAGTAAAGATGAGGTTTCACCATTTTGGCCAGGCTGGTCTTGAACTCCTGACTTCAGGTCATCCACCTGCCTCAGCCTCCCCAAGTGCTGGGATTACAGGCATGAGCCACTGTGCCCAGCCCATAATCAAATTTTTTAAAGTCCATCCTCAGAGAGCAATTATCAACTAAAAGTAAGAACAAAATTAGAAAAGATTCCCCCTCAAAATCATATTGAGATCACATGTATTACGTATAATTCATTTTCATCCTATGATTCTAAATATGAAAACGAAGAAACAATGACACAATTGCTGAAAATTCTAAAGAAATATTTTCCAAAGCTACAAAAAAAGCTTTGAAAATCTTCAGTGAAGTGATTAATGAGTAAGAAATAACACCGTGAATTAGAGCACAAATATTTAAAAGTACAAAATGGCACAAATATATATAATTATATTAGATTATATTAATTTAAAAATTATATGGTTCTTTATTTTCTGCAAAACCTTCTTTTAAATATTTATTGACATTGTCACCTGTTCTAATTAAGTGACCAATTGATAGAAACATCATATTCTAACCTAAAGATAAACCTTCTTTAAAAATCAAACAATCCATTGCCTGTGAAGAAGATGGAACCACAAACTCAACATTTTCATTTCTCAGAAAATATTTAAAAGAGTAAATTTTCTAAAAGTATCCAGCATTTCTTTAGACTAGCCTATTGTGACTCTCTAAATCACTATTTCCCAGTTATGAAAATCTCATACACTCTCCATATCATTCTACTTTTTTTTTGCAGAACATAATGAAGTAGTATATATAATAAGCTCATTTTAATTTTTTTAAAAAAGGATTTACTTATTAGTACTACAAAATACTAAATTAAAGCAAACTTCATAATAACACACCTTAAACAATTATTTTTTTTTAGAGACAGGGTCTCTCTCTGGCACCCAGGCTGAAGGGCCACTGCACCTTGACTCTTCAGCTCAAGTGATCCTCCCTTCTCAGCCTTCCTAGTAACTAGGAATACAGGTATGCACCACCATACCTAGCTTTTTTTTTTTTTTTTTTTAATTTTTTGTAGAGGAGGGTTCTCATTATGTTGCCCAGGCTGGTTCCAAACTCCTGGGCTCAAGTAATCCTGCCATCTCAGCCTCCCAAAGTGTTGGGATTACAGGTGTGGGCCATTGCTCCTGGCCTTAAATAACATATTATACCAAGATAAAAATGTAAGACCAATTTGTATTTTTCCCACCTAACAAATGACATTAAGGCTCTTCAGTTAATTTAGAAACAGTTATGTAAAATACAATGATTCATCACAAATCATTTATAAAGTTACCTTTCATGTTGAATTTTAAGATTACACATACATCACATTCAAAATGGTATTATGTTGGGAGGCCAAGGCGAGTGGATCACGAGGTCAAGAGATCCAGACCATCCTGGCCAACATGGTGAAACCCTGTCTCTACTAAAAATGCAAAAATGTGCTGGGCGTGGTGGCACATGCCTGCAGTCCCAGCTACTCAGGAGGCTGAGGCAAGGAGAATCGCTTGAACCCGGGAGGTGGAGGTTGCAGGGAGCCGAGATCACGCCACTGCATTCCAGCCTGGCAACACAGTGAGACTCCGTCTCAAAAAAAAAAAAAAAGGTATTATGCCATCAAAAATACAGCGGAAAAGCTATTTTCATGACCTGATATTTGAAATTTTAACTTTTATACTTTTAAAAAACCTAGCTGGCTTGTTTTTGTAATTTTCATATTTCTTTTTAAGCAACTATATATGAGAAAAAGTTTGCAGTCCTGGACTGGTAGATAACTCTTTGAATGTGTAAAGTCTTTTATTCTCCAAAAATGAAGAACCAAATTTGATTTCATCACACTGCATACTATGTTTTTTACCATTATTTTTAGAGTACTAAAGACATCTTGATATGCTACATAACAATTTTATGAAACGAGTACAATTTACACACTTAGTAATAATTGTCTTGAGGCAAATTTATAGGATTATCATCCTTATTCTCCTTAAGTTGTCATGTATCAATTATCAGTGACTCTTATGGTTTGTTATTCACCAGTGGTTTATTTGAAATTGTTTAATAGAGAAAGTCACCAAACTGATTATGATTTCCAGCTGAGTGATAAATCTGAGCAACTGACAAATCTCCCAAACTAGTCAACTAATATCTGAAAGTTTTCCAATTAATATATTTTAAGTAAAAAAAAAAACCATATTTTTTAAAAGATAGTATTAAAAATATGATTCCTTCATTAAGGATATAAATCCTCTGGAACAATTTACAAAATCATGTAGGAAAATGCTAAATAATGTTGCTCTTGGCTTGGAATACAAAGTTTAAAGAGAGACTGATACTTACTTTGATACTAAAATATCAAACTTCAAGAAACAGCTTATATTATCTTGCAGTGATCAATGCAGTATGTCACTGATATCCAAAATCAAGTTTTACAAAATATCCTCCTATTAAAAAATAAAATTCATCTATAAGAAAAACTACCTAAATCTCAGAAACAGGCAGACATTATTACTGAGTGTTCTTTCATGCAGTGGTGGGTTTGTATCTTTGATTGACTCTCTATAGACTGATCAGTAGGTATTAAGCTCTGTAGGAGTAGAAGTTAACTTGTAGATTCTGTTTAGAACAAAGGCAAATAGGCTGGGCACGGTGGCTCATGTCTGTAATCCTAGCACTTTGGGAGGCCGAGGCAGGTGGATCACAAGGTAGGAGTTCGAGATCAGCCTGGCCAACATGGTGAAACCTCGTCTCTAGTAAAAAAAAAAAAAAAAAAATTAGCTGGGCGTGGTGGTGCATGCCTGTAATCTCAGCTACTCAGGAGGCTGAGGCAGGAGAATCGCTTGAACCTGGGAGGCGGAGGTTGCAGTGAGCCAAGATTGCGCCACTGCACTACAGCCTGGGCAACAGAGCAAGACTCCGTCTCAAAAAAAAAAAAAAAGAATAAAGGCAAATAATTGTTGTCTAACGAGATTGATATATTTCCGTCCAGTGGAATAAGAGACAACCTCAAAGTTTATAACTTATGGATCTATAGAACAATAATTAGTTTTGTATCTAATTTGGTTGGCAATCTTTTCCTATAAAAACCTGCAATTCCTCAAATGCTCTTTGAACCACAGCTTACAAATTACTAGTAACCTCATTTATCAATGAATTGAATAATGTATTTGACTTATGCTCATTTTATATTTGCATTAGAGTCATGATTTCACCTTTAGGAAAACGACACTTTAACATATGCTTTATCAATTTAAGAATGTGGAGTGGATGAAATTCTGACTTTCATCAACTATTTTCAAATAGCCATCTCCATGAACATTCTAATATTTATGCGTACCATTAAATTTATGAAGAAAAACATTACTAGTTGCGTTCAAAGTAGCTATCATTTTACTAAGCAGAAATCTAAATCTCAAATCTATCCTCACATTACCAAAGAAATCTGAAATCTAATAATCAGCATAAAGGGAACAAGAATAAAAATATGTATATTATATATATATATAAAAGAAGGAAAAAAAAAAGATCACTACCCTGCACAAGCATTTCAAACTTTTGCTAAGTCCTTTCAAAGGCAATACAAAACATAAAGTTTTAAAAATAAAGCCCTACATAAATATTACTTTTCCCCTTCATTTTATACATGCTAGAGAAGTTAAGACAAGACAAATTAAATGACTAAACCACAATATTGTATTAACTAGCACATATCATGGTTCAACAAGTTTGAAGAGAAAGGTATTTACCATATGGTCTTTAATAAAACATTTGTGCAGGTTTTCTTTAATCTCAAATTTTAACTTGCAGAAAGATTAAAAACTTGTTTCTCTTTTACTCTCATTATTCCTTCTGTAACTATAATACTTATCCTTTCCTAGTAAAACATTCCCCAAAAACCTACCACTGAAACTTGCATTTTGTAGGCACTGAGATGGTTTATTATTATTTCACTATTGCTAAGAATGTGCGTGCAAGATCCAGAATGAAAATCTGCCTTTGTATGTATTTCTGCACTTAGTAAAGATTCATGTGTGTATATATGTTCATACACATACTATTTTGATGTGTATGTCTGCTTGTACCTGTTTGTTGAAGAATATTTTTCTCACTCAAGGAAAATAGGTTTCTATAAAAACTGGAAAGAATCAGAATAAATGGAGCCAGGGGTGTTCTTGAAAGAAGAGCATCATGGAAGTCTTTGGTCCTGGATCCTACAATTATGTATAGTCTCAAAAAAGAACATGATTAGATCCAGTATTAACAGGTAAGAGAATAAAGCAATTTAGAATGGGTGCTGGTTAACATTAAATAAACAACACTTTAATGAGTGACAAAAAAGGAGAGTGGAGATCCCTTTGATAATTAATCTCTCCATTTGAGGACAAGATTAATGCTAGTATGACCTCAATTTTATCTTGTCATTAGACAGAATATAGACACTATCATCAAACCAGCAAAACCTATCATAGTCACCAGGTACAATGCTGCTGAAGGATACGAAGTACTTGAATATAATATCTGAGTTGCTAAAAAGGAAAATGAACAGGTAGGTATCTATGTCAGAGATAGGAAGGATATACAGAGAAATATTAAGGTTAGCAATGAGAGATGAATATTCAATTCCTGATGAAAAACATTGGAGGAGTGAATAGTAAGGAGGTTACCTAGAAGAAAAAATTTAGAAAGTATCATGGGCAAGAAAACAAGAAATCATGTGGGAACAAGGTGTCACCAAAATGACCACTGGGTGTATACTTGATGAGCATTGTGGACAGCTGGTAATAAATCTTTGTTGCAGATAATTTAATTTTAAGGTAAAACATACATTTATGCTTACAGGATCACCACTACTCTTAACGAAGTTTTTAAAATATTTTTTTAAATATTTACAAACACAGGCTTAATTACAACAGCCTAAATTATCCAAAATAATACCAAGAAAAATAATTTGCAATTAAACGAGCATCTATGTTGGATTTAATTATATAGAGCTCTAAGTCTCATTTAATGGATAGTGTTGAACTGCCCCCTTAAAGCCGGGTTTGCCTGGCAGCGTATTAACCAGCATTTGAAATTACTCTCAACTCATTAGGAAATTGGGCTTTTAATAAGTGCCTAGCGCTTTCTTGAGAAAATATCCTAGCTGAATCTCTTCAATGTCTAAGAAAACATATTGATATAAGAAGTTTTAATGCTTCTGTTTTAAAACAACAATCTATGACACCACATCAAGGTAGACAGAAATTCTGTCTTCTATTTTATCCTCCAAGATGCAGGGTATTTAATCACTATTAATTTCTATAACATAAGACCCAACT
This sequence comes from Homo sapiens, assembly GCF_000001405.40. Lineage (NCBI taxonomy): Eukaryota > Metazoa > Chordata > Mammalia > Primates > Hominidae > Homo > Homo sapiens. The sequence continues at coordinate 179,165,386 of NC_000002.12, forward strand.
ACCAGAGCATCTCTGAGCAGATGCCTATTTAGTTTAAGCAGGATGTGACAGGTGCCTCATAAAAGGGATCTTCCGTGGTACCGGGTGTTCACAGCTTTAGTTTCGGCTATTTACCCCTGGTTCACTTTGCATTGTCTCAGAGCAACATTCCCTGCATGCCCCAGGCCATGAACTGCAGACCTTACTAGCTGGCTGAAGTCTTCACTCACCATGCTCCTGACTCTTGAAGCAACATTCAGACCTCCTGGCTTCAGCTTTTACTTTCTTCCCTCACTATGCTTTTGTCTCTTTTTGTTGGGGCATAGTTTTCCAATCAACTACCAGGGCAACACCCTTCCTAATGTGATCCAGCAGCCTTGGTCATCTTCCCTTACATTACTGGCACACATCCTTCCACAAAGTCTACATAATAGTCAAGTCTACCAATGACAAAAGTTGAAGAGAAAAGTGGGAAAAAATTCTGGCATCTACTTAGGATGTAGAAAGTTGGAAAGAGCATGGCTCCAACTCTTACATAACAATGACCAAAAAAAATGCAAGTTAATCTGAAAAACCACAACTTTTCTGAAGCCACTGGAGAGCTAAATTCACAAGGAAACCAATTAACCTGGAATCTAAGGAAAGATCTGCATCTTCAAGAAGATGGAACTGGAGTACTTGCTTACCTGGGAAAAATGCCAGACCTGATGCCAGCCAGGTAGGAATTTAGGTTAAAATTTTTAATGAATCACTAAGGCCAAATGTGGGCTAGTGTGAAAGTACAGAACCCATGGGAAGTATAGACACAAGAATTCATACTCACTTGGAGGCTGAATCTCTAGAGGAAAGATCTCTGCAGGAGTCATGAGAAAGACTGGAAATAAGAGGAATAAGAGATTTGAAAAAGCCTCTCTTGGAGCACAAGCCTGGGTGAGGGGAAGAGCAGCCACTAATGGAAAGGCATGAAGCACAGCCCAAAATCTTCAATGCTATCTCTCCTATGAAAAAAAAAATCTTAGAGTGCTGCGGAAAGGACTGAAAATCCTGCTGACCTTAGAGGACAACTGAAGTCCCACCACAGGTGGAAGAAGGGAAAAGAAAAGACTATCACAGGGGAGGGAGTAGACCCAGGAATATATTATAAACCCGAACTATCATAGGTTCCCAAAACTGGGGGAGGGGCAACATTACCCACTAGGCTGAGGGACACAGAGCCTGCCTAAGATTGAGGCTGAATAAGAACAACAGAGAATGCCTCTCTAACAAATACTGAATAACAAGGAACAGCAGCCTATTGCTGAGAGTCAACTGTATACAGAAAGACTTTCTCTGAGGCGCAGGTACAAAGGAAAGACCTAGAGCAGAGGGTAGAACAAATAATGAAAAAGCAAAATTCTCTGGCAAACCAGCCCCCATCTTCAACACAAAGTAACTCTAGAGAAATGAGAAGCCTGTGGTGCACTGAGGAAAATAATAGCAACAACAAAATCCAAAGCCAACTCAATTCCTGGTTAGAACTCAACCCTTCTCTTATGCTATCAAAAGCCTAGGAAAAGGGCAAGATGAGCCCATGTGCAGGCACAAATACTACCTACACCTCAGTCTTTACTGTCCTAAACAAGATGTCTAACATTCAATAAAAAATAACAAGGCACACACAAAAAAGGAAGGAAAATGACCCACTGTCAAGAAACAAAGCAAACAACATAAGTGGAGTAAGACAGATGCAGATATAGGGACTATCAGATAGGAAATTTAAGATACTGATGCTATAGAGAATGAAAAATAACATGCAAGGACAGACGAGGAATTTCAGCAAAGAGATAGAAACTCTAAAGAAAAGTCAAATAGAAATGCTACAAATCAAAAGCATGGTAATTTTCAATGGTCTCATCAACAAACTTAACACAACCAAGGAAACAAAGAGTGAACTTGAAAATGGATCAAGAGAAAATACCTAAACTGAAACACAAAGAGAAAGACACAGGGATAAAAATAAAACAGGAGACCAAAGAAAATGGTGAGAAAATTTCAAATATTTTATCATACATCCAAATGGAGTTCCAGAGGAAACAGAAAAAGGGCAGATAAAATATTTGAAAAGAGAATGTATAAGCATTTTCCAAAATTGATGACAGACATCAAACCAGGTATCTAAGAAGTACAGAGAACACTAAGTGGAATAAATACCAAATAGAACACACAGAGATACAGCAAAATAAAACTGCTAAAAACCAAAATCAAAATGAAAAATCTTGAAAGTGCCTGAAGGGGGAAAAAAAGGCAAATAACATACACAGAGGACCAAAGATATAAATAACAGCGGCCTTCTTGTCAGTGACCATTACAATGAGAAGGCAAAGGCAATGAGACAGCACTTTTAATTTTATTTAATTTTTACTTTTTTTTCTTTTTTGAGGCAGGGTCTCACTCTGTTGCCCAGGCTGGAGTGCAGTGGCATGATCTCGGCTCACTGCAACCTGGGCCTCCTGGGTTCAAGCAATTCTCCTGTCTCAGCCTCCCGAGTAGCTGGGACTACAGGCACATGCCACCATGCCCGGCTAATTTATGTATTTTTAGTAGACACGGGGTTTCACCATATTGGTCAGACCAGTCTCAAACTCCTGACCCTCAGGTGATCCACTGCCTTGGCCTCCCAAAGTGCTGGGATTTCAAGAGCCACCGCACCCGGTGAGAAAGCACTTCTAAATACAGTTGACCCTTGAACAACTCAGGACTGAATTGCACAGGTCCACTTATAAGGGAGTTTTCTTCTGCCTCTGCTACCCCTGAGACAGTAAGACCAACCCCTCCACTTCCTCTTCCTCCTCAGCCTCAAGACAATGAGAATGGAGACCTTTATGATGATCCACTTCTACTTAATAAATAGTAAATATATTTTCTCTTCCTTATTATTTTCTTAACATTTTTTCTCTAGCTTATTTTATTGTAAGAATACAATGTATAATACATATACAAAATTTGTGTTAATTGACTGTTTATGTAATTAGTAAGGCTTTTGGTCAATAGTAGGCTATTAGCATTTAAGTTCTTAGAAAGTCAAAAGTAAGTTAGACACAAATTTTCAACTGCACAGGAGGTTGCTGGCCCTAACCCCTGCATTGTTCACAGGTCAACGGCATGATTAAAGTGCTGAAAGACAAAAAAAAAAACTTGAAAATAATTTTCAAAACTAAAATAGACATACAGATTTTCTTTAGGCAAACAAAAAATGAGACAATTCAATGCCAACACACCTGCACTGCAAGATACATTAAAAGAAGTACTTTAGGCAGAAGGAATGTAACACCAGACAAAAAGATGAATCTCCAAAAAGAAACGAAGAATGCCAGAAATGGCATAAATGAAAGTAAATATGAAATTAATTTAAAATTTTTAATTGCTGTAAAAGAAAACAGATTATCTGTAGCAAAAAAATGCAGCAATGTAGTGTTTGTTTATAGCACAGTAAAAGTGAAATGCATAACAATAATGGGATGGAAGTATTGGAGATATACTGTTTTAAGGTCCTTCTATTTCATGTGAAGTGGTATAATTGAAGGTTAGACTGATTATTAAAGACGTATACAGTAAACAGTAAGGTAACCATTAAAATAATTAAGAGACATAAATTACAAGCCAATAACGGAGTGAGGTGTAATTATAAAAAATACTTAGTCCAAAGGCAAAAAAGAACAAAAAACCCCATAAAATCTAGCAAGATGGTAGATTTTATAAACTATATCAATAATTGCATTAAATATAAATAGTCTTACCCATGAAAAGACAGAGATTGTTAAACTGGATATGAAAGCAAGATCCAACTATATGGTGTCTACAAAAAATTCATTTTAAATATAAAGAAGTTAAAAGTAAAAGAATGGAAAAGATACAACACACTAACACTAATCAACAGAATGCTGGAGTAGTTATATTAATATCAGACAATGTACATTTCAGAGCCAGATATAGTATCAGGAATAAAAACATTCAAAAATGATAAATTGGGCCCTACTCACCAAGAAGACATAGCTATCCTAAATCTTTATGCAATAAACAATAGAGCTTCAGAACACATGAAGCAAAAACTGACAGAAATAAAATAGAAATAGTTCCACATATAACAGTTGGAGGTTGCAATATTCCTCTTTCAGTTATTAAAAAAACAGGCAGACACAACATTACCATGGATAGAGAAGACCTGAAAAACATTAAGAATCATCTTGACAGTTACAGAACACTCCATCCAACAACAGAATACTTATTCTGGGAATCACCAAGATAGAACACATAGTGTGTCACAAACCAAACCTTAAACTTAAAATGACTGAAGTCAGCCGGGCACGGTGCCTCATGCCTGTAATCCCAGCACTTTGGGAGGCCGAGGTGGGCAGATCACCTGAGGTTTGAGACCAGCATGACTAACGTAGAGAAACCCCGTCTCTACTAAAAATGCAAAATTAGCTGGGTGTGGTGGTGCATGCCTGTAATCTCAGCTACGTGGGAGGCTCAGGCAGGAGAATCTCTTGAACCTGGGAGGCGGAGGTTGCAGTGAGCCGAGGTTGCACCACTGCACTCCAGCCTGGGTAACAAAAGCGAAACTCCATCTCAAAAAAAAAAAAAAAAACCTGAAGTCATAAAATACATATTCTTGACCATAGCTCACAAACATTAACTCAAAATAGATCACAGATCTAAATTTAATGACTAAAACTATACAACTTTTAGAAGAAAATATCAAGGACAATCTTTGTGACCTTGAGTAAGGCAAAGATTTCTCAGATTATGACAACAAAAGTCTGATTAATAAAAGAAAACTGTTTCTCCACCTGTGAAATCAGAAAGCAAAAAAAAAAAAAACTGAAAAAGAGGACTTCATCATAGTTAAAAAAATTTCTTGAAAACTGTTAAGAGAATGACAAGGCAAACAATAGACTAGGAGGTAATATTTGTAAATTATGTGTCTCATAAATGACTTCTATACAAAATACATAAAAAACTCTCAAAATCCAGTAACAAAAAAGACCTTATTTTTTTTAAAAAATAGGTAAGAGATTTAAACTGATACCATCTGTGATACTGTGATATAAGAAATATGCATTTGCTCTTTGTCCCCGGTTCCTGGCACAGAACTCCTGAAACCCTTGTAATTCCTAGGTGACAGGAGCATCCTTTATTACAGTATTTGGTCTCAGTCCCCAGTTATCGACACAAGAGTTACAAGATCCTTGGCATTTCTGGAGTGATAAGTGTTTTTTTGGATGTTAGTAAGATGAGTGGTGGCTGTGGGCCTCTAAACAGATTCAAGATGAAGGCTTGTCACCAAAAAGACCAAGGCATAATTAGAGAGTTGAAACTTTCATGGCCACTCCTCTCCCTCCAGGGAAGGGAGAGAGGCTGGAGACTGAGTTAGTTAATCACTAATGGCCAATGATTTGGAGAGTTTCTGGGTTGATAAACATGTACACAGGCCATGAGGGTGGTGCACCCCAACTCCCTAGGGTTCGAAGCTCCTGCGCTCTGGATCATTCTAGACCTTGCACTTTGTGTATCACTTCATCTGGGTTGTTCATCTATATTCTTTATATAAAGCCAGTAAATGTTAGTAAAGTGATTCCCTGAATTCTATGAATCAATATACCAAATTACTAAACCTGAGAAGGGGCTTGTGAGTACAGAAACAGTTTTCCTACCACCAGTCAGGGGCTAGAAATGGAGAAGTTAACTATAGGAGCATATAGGGGAATTCTGGGGGTGAGGAGACACTTCCTGATTTCTTGATTGTGGTTTTATATGTTTTGTCAGAACTCTCAGAACTACACACTAAAATGAATTAATTTCACTGCACGTAAATTATAGCTTAATTTTTTTAAGTAAAGAATAAAACCATGTATTTTTAAGAAATTTCAAGCCATCTCCTTTAAGAATAAACTAAGTTTTCTCAAATCTTTCTATCCAATATACATTAACAACCTTTTCTCCATACCAAAAATACACTGATATTGACCTCGGTAAAAATAAAAATGAGTGTATAGCATGGCAAGTTCCAAAATGAATCTTTATTATCTGACTGTAAGCATTCCAAGGGCCTATATTATACCAGGTTGGAGTTAGTCTTTGTATTCTTCAAAGTTCCCACACTTTATTTAGACAATGTAAAGTCTGTTATTTATCAACTCTCCTACTGGGAAGTTGAGAATTAACAGGTGTGGAAGAAAGAATATGACAAACTGCTTAGATTTACATTCCATCATAGTGCTTTTTTCTAACCTACAGTAAGATGCACTATCACACAAGGAAAGTAAAAGAGAGAAATAAAAAGTCAGTAGGAAAGAATGGATAACTGTGTTCATGTATTAAAACTGGCCAGATACTAAAAAATAATTATGACATGTCACAAAAAATAGACTATAATTTCAACTCCAAAATGTCCAGGATTTCCTAGTATTTGTTAAATTTCCTCTCCATAATGCAATAAAAAAATTTAAATACAAAGGTTCTACTTATTCAAAGAAGTTAACAAAGAATGATACAATTGAAAATGGAAAACAAGAAAGCTTTCATGATCTTTAACAAAATATCATACTTCATTCAGCAAGTATCCAAATGCTGACCATATACTAATTATTACTTAGGCACTAATTAAGCATTCCTTAAGCACTGCTTAGTAACCAATGCTGAACGGTCAAAAATAATTTCAGTAAAATACTATTTTTAAAGATATAATGGACTTTAAAAAAAGAGATTACATTTACCTCAAAGCCAAGTCTATCCTTCTCCTTCCAAAAACAAAAATGCGTTACTTTCTTATCCCAGAATTCATCTGGCTTTACCACACAAACAAGGGACACCTCAGCTGGAACAACATTCTATAAAATACAGAAAAATAATTACAAATTACACATGTAAAATGAATAATTTACTAAATTTATAAATTACCAGACAGTCAAGATTATGCTACATAAGAGATTTTTGGAGAAGAATTAAAATAATAAAGAAGAAATTCTCTAGACTTCAAAACATACATGGCAATAAAGAAGAACTTGAAAGACAAGGTGATTCAGAAAATACTTCAAATAAAAAATGCAGCATAAATTGTACATGTGAATTACTTTTTGTTTTACTGAATCTCTGTACTAGGAATATGTTTAGCTTAAACTGTAAGAGTTAATTTTTAGTTGGGAAATTATTAAATTTGATTTTTCTACAGTATGAAAAATTTTTTCTAACACAATCATCTTGGAGAATTTCTTCAAAAGACGTAAAATCAATTTTCTCACTAAAATAAGTTTTTTATCAGTCATTATACAATGAGACCAAGATTTTACATGATTATTAACTTGAAGAAGAGGACAAAAAGCTAATCTTTGACGAATACAATTTCACATTTACTTGATATGGTTACTTATACTACCTAATGAACTGAAATGAACATTTATGGAATTAATAAATATTTCACATATATTTTATCAAGTCCTATAGAGTCTAACTTTAAAATGCATCTTAAATCCAACAAGTTCTACCGCCTGCATTGTTAACAACGCCAAACTATCCAGCTTTCTGAAATATCATCATTACAAGGCTCCTTGCTTGACTTTCTCTTGCACTCTGAATGAAATTCAAATCTCTTACCAAGACCTACAAGGCCCTTCAAGCTCAGGCCCCTGTTGGCCTCTCAGATCTCATCTTACACCTTCCCCTGCTAGCTCACTCCTCCACAACAGCTCGCTGCTCCTGCAATATGAAAAGTCTGTTCCACTTCAGGTCTTTGTCCATGCTATTTCCTCTATCTGGAATGCCCTTTGCCTTATACCTAGGAGTGCTCCCTCAGTTTATTTAAGATTCTATTCAAATATTCCCTCTTCAGAGAGGCCTTCCCTGTCTACCCTACCTAAAGTGGCATCATCTGACTCAGTCTCTTTCACTGCTGTATTTTTCTTCATAGCATTTATCACCATGGGCTGTTACGTTTGCTTAACTGCTTATTGTCTAACTCTTCAAGTAGAATATAAAATAATAAAGATAATAAAACCTTCCCAATGGCAGGTACCTTATCTATCTTGTCACCCCTATATTTCCAGTGTTTATGACAAATATCTCACATATATAATAGAACACATGCTATAAATATTTGTTAAATAAATGAATCCTCATTACTAAGTAGATCTCATTCTCTTAATTTTACAGGAGAGTAATTTGAGCTTCAGAGAAACAAAGTCACTTGTCTAAGATAACAGAGTTAAAAAGTCATTGAGCTGAATAGAAACCACCTCTGTCTGACTCTAAAGTTCTACTACACTACTTCGTATGCTCTGAACCTGGGTTCAATACATTCTTTCCGAAAGGTCCAGATAATAAGTTATTCCAAGCTTTGCAGGCCATAATGTCTCTATTGCTACCACTCGGTTCTGTCAGGATAGTATAAAAGCAGCCACACACCACACAATATATAAATGAATGGGAATGGCTGAACTCCAATAAAACTTTATAAATTCAAGGGCCCAACCTCTGTTCTAGACCATAAATTGCAGCACTGAATAATTATAATAATAATTACTATTATTACTATTCAGGGAAAAATGGAAAACCTTTGGAGGTAAACATGCACACATCATAAATCTAGCATCCTCTGCAACAACTGGATTGTGACTAAGGTAAGTAAAATAAATTCAATGATATCAAAACTTTTACCAGAGGGGCTGGAAAATTTAAGATAAAATTGAGCTTTATTCATATATTGCCTTGTGGAAGATTATTATTTCAAAATCATTGAATATGAAAGCTGTGAGAAAGAAGAGAAACCACACCCCTCATTTTAGAGAATACCAGTTATAGGCACTGTGGGGTCCCAAACAGCTGGTCCCAGTACCTTCGGAGATGAAAGCAATGAATGACTTCATATGTAGAAACTGTTTGACTAGAAGTAAAAAGGCCATTGCAACTTCTGAAAATGTTAACTATTAATAAATCCAAAAGCTGTTAAAATACCTATCAGAAAAGAAATCGCAAGAGGGGATTAAATCATCCATTGATTGTTCTTCAAAACTGCCACTGATCAAAGTCCAGTTCAAACAGCAAGTCCCAAACAGCTCATCTGTGACACAGTTGAAATGACAGGATGAAAGGAAGAACACAAGGTCATAATTAATGGATTTCTTACCTAATAGTTATTTTAACAACTTTCACAGAGAAGAGTTAATTCTCAAGGCTTGAAATATAAAAGTGCTGGAAGCACTTTTTTTTCAAAGAAAAAGTTATTTTAGGACACCAATTTGTGCTCCCTTAAACTGATCCTGCGGAGGCTATGTCCTTTCTAACCCAAAGAGTGATTCTAGCCTGTAATCTCAGCGATTTGGGAGGCTGAAGCAGAAGGATCACCTGAGCTCAGGAGTTTGAGACCAGCTGGAGCAATATAGTCTCTACAAAATAAAAAAAGTAGCCAGGTGTGGTGGCGCTCGCCTCCAGTCCCAACTACTCAGGTGGCTGAGGCAGGAGGACTGCCTGAGCCCAGGAGCTGGAGGCTTCAGTAAGCCATGCAACTGCACTCCAGGCTGAGTGACAAAGTGAGTCCCTGATATAAAAAAAAAAAAAAAAAGGTGGGATGGGGGGATTCTCATGATGAAAAGTTTAAGCCAAACATTTAAGAAGAATGAGGCAATGGGTAGAAAATTCAGAGACCACCTCAGCAGACACATGCCACTGGTAAATACACATTTTAAAATGGATAAAGTCAAGGCCTGGGGCTTACTTAGACTATACTAAGTTCCAATTTTAAGTTATTTAAAATCCTTGAGCCTCGTTGACCTCTGTAAGGTTGTGAGGCCAAAATTAAATGAGATAAATTTATATAGCAAGCTTAGCACAGTACCAAAAACATAATAAGCACTAAAACTAGAACTAAAACCTAAAATTACCACTTTGTTCCTATCCCTTGAATCCCTTTCTCCCAATTAACCTAAATAAATGATAAAACGTTAAAAACCATTCTCCTTAATTATCATTTAAATTTTAAAATTATATGCCTTTCCACAGAACCCTAAAGTAGCTACCTTATTTGTTGAATTCATTTAAAATTCTTGATCTTTCTTTCAATATCACTGATATCCACTTAAGTGAATTCTTATGATTCCATGTTACTACCAACTTATGTTTCCCCTAGACTGGCCTGCCATCAACTACTCTCATTGTATTTGCTTCATTATGAGCTATATGTAAGTCAGAGTACCTGTGAGGAAGGCCCTCTTGACTTTCATTTAAATTGGATAATTAAAATTTTACCTCTCTAGAAGCCCTTCTACAGAAGGCCAAGTGCATGAGAGCAATCTGCCCTCCGCATCACTCAAATGTTTTCCTTTTCCTTTTCAAATCATATCTTCAATACCCTTAAAATAAATCAACAAATGTCTACTGGGTGCCTACTACATGCCAGGGGATCACATAAACATTCTGTGTGGAACATGAGGAAACATAAAACACAAGACTGGCATCAGATCTCAAAAAGTTTGTAATCGTAGATGTTTATTAAATGTTAATTTGTGAGGGGCTGAAATTCCTGAGGACACAGCTGGTAAGTTTCTTCTGGGCTACAAATAAATAAGATCATCGTGAATCCTGATGCTTTATGTAGGAAATAGGGGACCAGAAGAGAAAGACATGCCAGAATCACCTGAGAAGTTTCTTCAAACTACACTTAACCAATCCTACCACCCACCTATAGTTTCAGAATGGGGTGCAAGAGGGAGAATGATACAGACACCAGAGCATGCAAGAGCTCCCAGGTGAGTCTCATCATTTCAATGCTCACACATTTAAAATCACTGGCCTCCTTTCTTAAATTACTTAAACATGACATATTATTTTCATTTACAAACCTATTAGAATAGAGGTGAGATATACTTAACTGCTTAAATTCAAACCTAAGGAGTTGAATTTGAACAATCCAATAGTGATAAGTGCATTTTCACAACTCAGTCACTGCTAGGAAGCCAGGCACAGTCCAATAAATTAAATGCATTTGCCATTTTCACCAGGATCTGTTGCTGTAAAATAAAAACCATTTCCTGATAGACAAAACCAAAATTACCTGTAGCATTACGACTACTGTTTTCACCACATTCCACTGTGATTTTCTGCCATCCACAATCACGGTAAATCCTCTAGCCTTACACTTCTCACTGAAACAAAATAAAATTACAAAGCATTAAAACAAGCTCCAGATTTCGTTCTTCATAATTCTAAATAAAGAAGGTTTAAAACTTAATCGCATATGGAGTAGAATTAATCTCACTTGGTTTAGTTTACATTGTCAATAAATAAAATTCTTGAGAGTATCCTTTCATTTTCTCAAGCAATTTATTTTTCTCATTTTAGGAAATGTTCACAATTTACAAACTAATGTGGCAAGAAAATTATTCTAAAAGCATAAAAGTCAATGTCTTAAAAAGTAAAGACATCAAAGCAACATTCAAACAGTCCTACTAGTCTCTCAATTTCTTCGTCTGTAAAATGGGATCACAGTGAAGTAAGTTACTAATTGCCAAATGTGTTATATATTTCTTGTCTCACCTACCTGCCAGAAGTATAAGATTTGTGAAGTCATAGTTCAAAACAGATAGAAAATAAAGTAAGTTATTAATAAACCACAATAATGGGCTTCTTAGCGTTCCTTTGGAGAAATTTAATGAGATGAGGTAGAACTTGCTGATTCAAAAGCTTGGACAGACCATGTCTAACCCACTTATGCTCTCACTTTTGCATTGTCAGTCACAGGACCAGCAAAATATTATCTTCAGTGTTGGATTCCTGTATTACATTGAGTGATTTAACTATTAACTAAACACTTCCCAGAAGTCTAACCTAGTAAAACGCAACAACTTCTGGAGGGAAAAACTCCATTCTAAAGGCCAAAACTACATACCTATCATTATCATTGTTATTATTATTGTGTTTACTTATCAACTTAATGTAAGGATCTCAATTGCTCTCCTTCCAATACAGTAAATGGAACTACAGCTTTGCTTATCAGAGCAAGATTTTGGTAGTGAAACCTGTCCCCATCCAAACTGTTCCCAGTTACATACATTATAGGGAAAAATAAACAGACCTTTTCCTGGGATTTAAATCCACCACCAGTTCAGGGGACTTTACTAGTCCTCCTCTTCTCCCTCCAAGCATGCACGCTAGTTCCAAGAAGGCTCTTGGAGAAGTCATGCCCTGTTCTACCAAGAAACACTAAGACCACAAGAAATGAGGATGATATTGCTAAAAGTTTAGAGTGGGAGGGAACAGCCAAGCACTGAAGCTGAGCTTCCAAAGTAAACAAAAGAGTATTCAAGAGGTAAGGCAAACTGATGCATATGTTCACACAAAAACCTGCATGTAAATATTCACAGCAGAATAATTCATAATAGCTGAAGAGTAGAAACAATCCAAATGTCCACCAACTAATGAAGAGGAAAACAAAACACAGTATAACCAAACAATGAGACATTATTCAGCCATAAAAAAAGAATGAAGTACTGACAGTTGCTAAAACATGGCTAAACCTTGAAAACATTATGCTAAGTAAAACACGCCAGACACAAAAGGACACACACTGAATGATTCCATTTATATGAAATGTCCAGAATAGGCAAATCTAGAGACAGAAAGCAGATTAGTGGTTGACAAGGGTTAGGAGGGAAGAATGGAGAGTGAGTGCCAATGGGAACACAGTTTATTTTGGGCTGATAAAAATGTTCTGAAATTAGATAGCATAATGGATGCACAACCTGTGAATATACTAAAAATCACCGAATTGTCTACTTTAAAAAGACGATTTTTGTGACATGTGAATTATATCTCAATAAAACAAAAGTACTCTATTTTTGGATGCGCATCACAAGATAAAGGATCCACTAAATATTCCTTGGGAAAAACTAAAGGTAAGGCCAATACAGTGATCACTTGTGGGTTAGCAAAAGAAAATAAAAGACTTGCAGAGGGGGCTAGGCGTGGTGCCTCATGTCTCTAATCCCAGCACTTTGGGAGACTAGAGCAAGAGGATGGCTTGAGCCAAGGAGTTTGAGGCCAGCATGGGAGACCAGCAAGACTCCATCTCTATTTAAAAAAAAATAAAAGACTTGGGGAGAGAAACAAACCTGACACACAATGACTATCTGTGGGCTCAAGTAATGAGGGGACTCCTGGAGTTCTCCACCAACAAAACATCTAAGAAGACCACCATGACATAGGAGAGGATACAAGCCCAAGAGTGATCAGCTAGGCAGGGTAGCTGGCTGTTGAGCGGTCTGGAGTAGTGGCAACAATGCAGGGATTCTACCAATGCCTTTTTCAGGAAGGAGAGCTAAGACACAGCAGTCCAGGAGAGGGCCTTCCCACCAACAGAAATGTGCCATGTGCCATTCTCATAATGTGATACTTTCTCAACACTGGCATCTGTATCCCTGAGATGCAGGTTACACAACCGTTTTGTTAAATACATTTTATACAAGCAATACATTTATATTTCAAAGCACACTATAAATTAATCTGTACATTAAGACTAAGAAAGTAATGAAGCTTGCAAATACCATCTGTAGTGATCTTAAAGGAATAAAATACTCTAAATTTATCTTTCAGAGTACTTAGAAACACGCTTAACTCTGTCACATTCTCACATTTTACTAAGATGGATAATGAAAATACACAGAATCCAAAGATAACTATTTCAAAATTGCCAGACCAAGTGGTCTTTCAGGTACTTGAAAGGAAATAGTTTTGTTTTTTGCTTCATCCCTGTAAGTGGAATGATGGCTTAAACTGCTTTTAACAACATATTTAATTTAGAAGCATGTTATACCCTTTATAAAGGGCCTGTTGTAGGACCTGAAGTGTCATTAATAACAAATTCCTATAGCCACTGTTAGCATGTTTATAACTATACTTTAAGAACAGTAATAGAAAAAAAAATCTAAGACCCAGCCTCCTAGTTCCTAGTCCAGTTGAGCCTTTCAAGGGTGACATAGCTGAGTTAAAACAGCTATGTAAACGTGAAACTGTCTAAACAGTCCACTCACTTTTGACACAGAAGACAATGTTAGTGGATTTCCTGGGGCCAACATCCTGCAGATCTTCACTCATTTCTTTGATTACAACTAAAGGCTCCTTCTCTTCCACTCATACAGCTCTGCTGGTACTTACATAATGGCACTAATTTCACTTATGCTTTTATTATAATTACTTGTTTACAATTCATCTTCATTAGATAATATGCTTCCAGAAAGCAAGAATGTTATCTTACAAATGTCCTGGCAGCTTCTAGCACCATGCTTTAAATATGGAGTGCCTTTAATAATGTTAGATGACACACATCACATCACTCCTCAGACACGACAATAGCTTTCCATCTCATTCAGAATGGAAGCCATTGCCTACATGGTCTTCCATGACCTGACTCCTGACTCTCTTCTGATCCCCCTCCCAGCACTGTGCTCCTCTCTCAAACTGTTCCAGCCACACTAGCCTCCTTGATGTTCCCAGAACATGTTAAACCTGCTCCTGCCTCAGGGCCTTTGCACTTCCTGCTCACTCTGTCTTCAATGCTCGTTGATCAGATTCTGTAGGGTCTGCCTCTCCTTTCAATCATCTCTGGTAAAATATCTTCTTATTTTGTAAAGTATCACCACTCTATCACTCTGACTCTTTTCATGCTTTGTTTTCATAGCACTCATGAATATCCAAAATACTGTACACTTAGTATCTGAAACACAAAACAAACTTAGGGCCAACCTGTGTAGAAAAGAGTCAAGAAATGCTTCCATTCTCAACTGTGCTAGGTTACCCACTTAAAATAGCTATGTATCACACTTTGTCCCTGTGTTCATTAAAAATAAGCACAAAGTATAAGAAATTGAGTAATTTCTTTTTATTTTTGCAAGAATTTTGAAAAGCTATTATTATATTCAAAACGTTAAGATAGTCATTGCATGAAAAAAACAATTTTGGACATCTCCTATTAGGAAGAGGCTACCTTAGCTAGCTACACTGCTGGAGATGTTGGCAGATGTTCACAGCTGGAAGGAGTTAAACATTAACAGCTGGAAGCTGGGAGACAAAAGCAGGTCACAAAAGAATGTAGATACACCAGAAATGAAAAAACCTTTCTAGACACATGCTGGGCCTGATCTGCTAGGGTAAACTTAAAAACATTCCTAAGGACAAAAAGAGGGGTGAAACATGGGAGATAACGTGATAAAAACAAAGTACATTATTAGTTTTAGATTTTCTAAGTGGTGGACATATGGGTGTCACCGTATAATTCCTTCAACTTTCCTGCATATATGAACATTTTAATAAAATGTTGGGGGGTTACGTTTTAAAAGCACTCCTGAGTGGTGGAAATTCTGAATGAAAAACATTGGTTTTAAGATCACACATCTAGTTAACTGCTCTCTAGCATCGCAATGGAGAGATCAAAAACACCTTAGCTCTCTAAGGAAATGGCAAGTACGGATAAAAAGCTGACAGCCATGTTTGTTAATCCCAAAATTATGGGAGGCTGATCCAAGAAAGCAGAAGGATAGAGTTTTCATGAATATTTGAGAAGGCCAAACTTTAGCAAAACAATCATAAGAAATAAAGTATCCAGGTATCTATTTTGCCTTGCTAGAATGAGTTCTTTCATCTTGCTTCAACTTACACCTTCTCTGCTAGTTGGCAGGTACGTGTAGATATGCAGAAACTGATTCATCATTTACACTGGAGGAACATCATATGCACATTTACATGAGAAAGAGAAAGAAAAAATTTAAATAGTATAGGCTATTTTGCCTTCCACTGTACTTCCTGCTTATCCACGCCAGAGTGAACATGAGCCCAGAGATGTGAATGAATCTGCTGGTCCTTTAGCCTCCCTCAGTTACCCAGTGCCTCGGACAGGTGAGCATCCTGTTGAACTGAATGTGATTCCAGTATACACAAACATGCATTTTCTTAAAACAAACCTAATCACAAGCCAACTATGTCTTCTGGAATTCAGTGTGAATAACTTGCTCCAATGCTGAAGGAAAACCTAACATGTTCATGGAAAGATAATACAGTCTCTGATCCACCCTCAGGCATTTTTCAAGAGTAACTTTGACAATTAGGAGTTTTTGCTTTTCATTTGAACCTCAGAATTGGACTTCACATGAGATGCAACTACACTGAATTCTACTCATCTGAAGTACAAAAAGGCTCTAAATTGGTGTCAGGAATCATGGACTCTCATCCCAGCTGTGCGACTCACTAGGTGTGAGATCTTGGGCAAGTAACCATAACCTCAGAGTTTCAATTTCCTCAACTACAAAATAAGGCACTTGGCTCAGATGGCACTTGACATATTTAACCTTCTATGAATCCATCTATGAATATTTTTTTCATAATTTGTAAGCTATAAGTCTGGCTAACCATGGTTACCTAAAAAGCAGTTTGTTATCTAATGATGAACAAGTTAGCAATCCACAGCTTGGGGGATTAGCAAGATTACTGCTAATGCAATTAGCTAATGCTAATACTAATGCACTGACTACAGGTTCTCATCATTTTCACCCCCAGAAACTGAAAAAATTGAAAATTTTCACATGAAGACCGCTGTTTCCACAATATTAAAAAAAAAAAAAAAACAGCAACAGAATCATTAAATTATAGAACACTATTGGATGCAGGTGCGATTAAAATCAGTTGTTTTAACCCCATACTCTGCAAGGTGGTTTAAATGGAAAAAAGCTATTGTGTCAATAAAATGCAAATACAGGAAAAACATACAAAGAATTGTTTACTCTGATGAAAATGTTTAAAATTCACTAGCTAGAACTTAAGAGCAGTATATGAGATAGTCGTGTTCCTTTTTCTACCTCTACATTGTACACACACAAACACACACACACACACACAGAAACCTGCCCTCATTTACATGCTTAATTGTAGTGGTTTACAAATCTGGTTGCACATTAGAAATACACAGGAAGCTTAAAAGACTTTTTAAAAATTCTGATAAGCAGGCTTCCCAAGAACAATTGGATCAGAATCTCTGGAAGTGAACCCTCCATCATTAGAATTTTGAAAAAAATCTCCAGATGACTAATACGCAGTCACAGTTGTGCCTCAGTCCCAATTATGGGAGAAGCAGATGGGGAGGAAGCTTTATTTTTTTTTGTTGAAGTCATGGGTAGACTAGGACAAATAAAGAGGGTTAAGTTGGGTCTTCACTGAAGAAATGTGAAAATTAAAGTTAAAGGCCCTTTAGATTAAAATATAAACAAACATTTTTGACATTTTTTAAAATAAAAATATTTATAAACTCCTAATAGACTTCACTCACTTAATACATTAAAACCTGCAGACGTATTTATATCAATATGGTGAAATAGCTTACCTAAATAAAAGATGTTTTCTACTGATTAAATTCTCCAATTTTCCTAAAGTTACATGATATAGATGCTTAGTTACTGGGTTCCTTAAAAGTCGACAATACATACATTTTGGAAATCTGTATATCCTTAAATTCATCAAGAGCATAAAATAAGCATTTTATCTGCAATGATGTTATAAGTCATTGATTTTAGTATCTATAATTATAATTTCACTGCGAATAAAAGCAGATAAGATAGCAAAGTATAATTCAACAATAGAAAGAATCATTAGTAACTGAATGAAAACATACTGAGATTTAAGAAAAGACACCTTTAGAGTCACCTTGGAATGCTGAGTAGGTAGTCTAAGGTGACACTCAGCTCATCCATATTTGTCTGTTCGAGGCATAATGGAATTGTCAAAATGAGGCCACTCCGTCTGTCTTTTCCTCCTATTAAAAAAGAGATTTAAATTTAACATGTAATACATATTAAGGCATAATCTGAATAATATACATTTGAATCCAATCTTACTAAAATAATGATAAGTTTAAGATATAATTTGGAAAATATCTAATGGCTACTTATAGATTGTAAATTTTTATGATAGTATAGAAGAATTACAGAAAATTTAGAAAAAAGGAAAAAAATTCACCCATGAAATCTTCACCCAAACATAGCAAATATCACTTTATTTAAATTTCTTCCATTTACTGTCCTTAATGTAATCAATTCATCAAACACCTCTCACGTGCCCAGCACAGTAAGTATTTGCAAGTAAAATAAAATAAATTTCCAATCAACCTAGGAAGAAAATATTTAGGAGATAAGAAATATGATAGTTTGTTATGTTCTATAAGATATATAAAATTATAAAAAGGGATTTAGAAAATGATTAAGAGCTGCAGTAAATGTGAAAAGTTTCACTGAAAAGTTAAGACTTGAGAAAAACAGAGCTGGGGGTATTGGCGTGTCTGTAGTCTCATATCCCAGCTACTCAGGAGGCTGAGGGCGAGAGTATCACTTGAATCCAGGAGTCCAGTACTGGCCGGGGCAACATAGCAAGATTGCATGGAAAGAAAGAAAAGAAAAGAAAGGAGAGAGAGAGAGAGAGAGAGAGGAAGAGAGACAGAGAGGAAGGAAGGAAGGGAGGAAACGAGGAAGGGAGGTAGGGAGGGAGGGAGGGAAAGGAAAACGGGTAGAATTTGTAAACCAAGTCAAAAGAGTATTCTGTGATGAGGAATGATCTGAGTTAACTCACAAAGGTCAGACAGGCATATACTGTTCATAAGACAATAAAGATAAAACCCTGCCCAGCTGAGAAGGGTACATGGGAACTGGATATTGAAGTCTGAAATCCCGGTAGTAGAATACAGTTACATTCCATGTACGTTCAAGTCCCTTTCAGTGTGCCAAAAGTATAATGTAACTTTTAAATACTTTTATGCCCACATCATGTCTTTGGAAGTTTCCTACATGTTTGAATTTCATACTGAAGCCCATCTTCTGACCAAACTGACATTTGAGGTAATTTGAGAGGCTTAAAAAGCAGCAAATACTGAAAGAAACAATTCCACATGATCGCTAGACATCTATCACTAAAAACTGAAAGGTGTGAAGAAAAAGACTCATATTAGTGACACAAATGCAATTCATAACATATGAACCATAAATGAACCTCTGTCCTCCATTAGGTCAACGATTACTGCCATCCAACCACTTTGTTTAATGTCAACAAATTATCATCTAAGGTGATTCAACTTAGTAATCAATCAATACGACTTCAATTGCCTATTTTTTGTTCAGAATATGTGTCATTTCTCAAAAAAAAAAAATGGATTAACACAAGTGGTTTTCAAACTGCATCCCCTGAATGACTCTGTTGGTTTGAAAAAATTTTCTCTATTACTAAAAAAGTTTGAAAATTACTGGCTTAAATCATCAATGGTCAAGAGAGGGCGTTAATAGGAACAGGCTAAGAAGTCTTTCATTTACTCCTCAAAATTGCTAAGCTTTATCCACCCATTAAGCCAAGCCCCAAAAAAGGCTCACACCTGGACTATGGCACTCTGACTCACTGTAGAATTGTCTTTAGAAGATAAATTTAACATTCAGGGCTATATTTAAATCCATTCCCTCAGCTTTCATTCAGGGACAATAAAATAATCACCAGTGTAAAAGTACCAGAGGGGTGAAAGCCAACAGGAAAAAGACTTTCAAGATAGTTATGGTCAAAAGCATCAAATGCTACACAGAGACAAGCATCACAAGATGCAAAAATGTCATGGTAAAGATTATAAGAGAATAATAGTGTCTACTATTGAAAAGAGTGTGAGAACACAGGCATTTTCACACACCATTGGAAAAAATAGGAATTGAAACAATCTTCTTGGAGGGCAATCTGACAAAACCTAACACAAATATAAATGCATATTATCCTTATACCACTTCTACTCATAAAAATGCATACTGCTGAACTTGTACAAAATAGACAAAGCTTTCCAGGTATAGAAGAGAAAAAACTGCACAAAGCTATGAATAAGAATATTTACAAAATCATCATTCATATCAGAGTATAATATATAATATAGCATATATTAATATTATACATTGTATTAATATAGTATTATAAATTCAATATATATTACATATTGTATATATAGTATATGTAATGTATATAATATAGTATATTCTATATTGTATAATAGTAATATATAGTATATGATATACTATATATTACTTATCATATATACAATATATATTATATCGTATATTGTATATTATATATTGTATATATGTAATATATGATATGTACATATGTTATATATGTATATAATATACTATATTATATATTGTATATTATATACATATATAACACTATTATACAATATATAATATAGCATATTATATACAATATAGCATATACAATATATAATATAGCATATTATATATAATATAGTATATTATATACAATATATAATATAGCATATTATATATAATATAATATAGTATATTATATACAATATATAATATAGCATATACAATATAGTATACAATATATAATATAGCATATACAATATAGTATATTATATATAATATATAATATAGCATGTACAATATAGTATGTTATATACAATATATAATATAGCATATACAATATAGTATATTATATACAATATATAATATAGCATATACAATATATTATATTATATACAATATATAATATAGCATATACAATATAGTATATTATATACAATATATAATACAGCATATACAATATAGTATATTACATACAGTATATAATATAGCATATACAATATAGTATATTATATACAATATATAATATAATACATACTAGGAAAACATGTCAATTATACAGAGACATAACATACTTTGAAAAAAGGACATTAGTATTATCAAGGCAATTAGGACAGGACATAAAAAAGAATAATAGAGAAAGCAAGATAATGCAGTCCAAATAACTCTGAGTTGGCAGAGCTACAGTATCTATACTAAATCATGTAGAGATTTACTCAACGATCTAAACTCCAGAAGATCACTACACCCAATGTACCATACATACATGCTCCCACTCATAGCTTCCCCTTGACTCATCTTAGCTGATACACACTTCAAGTTGATAACTGAAGATAAATTCAAGTGTATATAAACAGTTTTGAACAGCAAAGAGTGAAAACAGAATAATGGATATTAACTCCTCCAGTGTACTGAAACTTTCTCAGAGGAAGATGGAAGAAAAAAGCTAGAAGACAGTTATCATAAAAACTAATTATTCTGTATTTCAGAAACAATTATTTGGATGCCAGTTAGTCAATTATTATTACATTTTCATATCAGAAGTGAGACATCATGACATCTACCTTGTAGAGGTCATTTTAATGAAATTACAGAACAGGATAAGTATCAGAAGACTGTATTTTCAGGGAATTTTTTTTTTTTTTTTTTTTTGAGACGGAGTCTTGCTCTGTCGCCCAGGCTGGAGTGCAGTGGCGCGATCTTGGCTCACTGCAAGCTCTGCCTCCCAGGTTCATGCCATTCAGGGATTATTTTTACAGTTCATTCCTAGAGAGCTTTCTCCAAATGTGTAGAGCATCAAAAATCTTAAAGGAGGCTAGAGAAGAGTCAGATCACACACAATGGGAACCCTGTCAGGCTAACAGTGGACTTCTCAGGAGAAACATTATAAGCCAAAAGAGACTGGAGGCTTATTTTCAGCATTCTTAAAGAAAAAGATTTCCAACCAAGAATTTCACATCCCACCAAACTAAGCTTTATAAGTGAAGGAGAAATAAAATCTTTTCCATACAAGTAATTCCAAAGGGAATTCATTACCACTAGACCAAAGAGATCCTTAAGGGAGTTCTAAATATGGTAACAAAAGAACACCTGCTACTACAAAAACACATTTAATTACATAGCCCACAGACCCTATAAAGCAACTACGCAATTGAGACTACAAAGCAACCAGGTAACAACTTCAAAATAGGATTATAACCTCACATATCAATATTAGCCTTGAATGTAAAAGGTCTAACACCCCACTTAAAAGACACCAAATGGCAAGATGGATCCAAAAAAAAGATTTGGCCAAGCACAGTAGCTCATGCCTATAATCTCAGCAATTTGGGAGACTGAGGTAGAAGGATCACTTGAGCCCAGGAGTTTGAAACTAGCCTGGGCAATATATAAGGACACCTGTCTCTACAAAAAAATTAAAAATGAGAAAATTAGCTGGGCATGATGGCACATGCCTGTGGTCCCAGCTAGTCGAAAGGCTGAGGTGGGAGGACTGCTTGGGCCCAGGAGGTCAAGGCTACAGTGAGCTATGATCGCACCACTGCACTCCAGCCTGGGTGGCAGAACGAGATCCTGTCTCAAACAAACAAACAAAAAACAAGACCCATCCATCTTCTGTCTTCAAGAGACCCATCTCACATGTAATGACAATGACAGGTTCAAAGAAAAGGGTTGGGGAAAGACCTATTACACATATACAAAACAAAAAAAGAGCAGGGATCACTATTCTCATATCAGAAAAAACAGACTTTAAACCAACAATAATAAAATAGGACAAAGAAGAGCATTACATAATAATAAAGGGTTCAATTCAACATGAATACTTAATCATTCTAAATATATACACATGCACCCAACATTGAAGTACCCAGATTCATAAAAAAAGTAATTCTGGACCTACAAGATGAATTAGACAGCCACACAATAATAGCAGGGGATTTCAACACTCCACCGATAGAGTTAGACAGATCATCGGGGAGAAAACAAACATATTCTGAACTTAAATTTGACACTTGACCAACTGGACCTAATAGACATCTACAGAACAGTCTACCCATCAACCACAGAATATACATTCTTCTCATCTGCATATGAAACATACTCTAAGACCAACCACAGGCTCAGCCATAATGCAAGTCTTGATAAATAAAAAAAACTTGAAATCATACCAACCATACTCTCAGATCACAGTGTAACAGAAATAGAAATCAATACCAAGAAGATCTCTCAAAACCACACAATTACATGAAAATTAAACAGCTTGCATTTGAATGAATGTTGTGTAAACAAAATTAAGGCAGAAATCAAAAAATTGTTTTGAGATAAATGAAAACAGTGATACAACGTATCAAAGTGAGCGAGTCACTTGAGCTCATGAATTTGAGATCAGCCTGTGCAACACAGCAAAACCCCATCTTTACAAAAAATACAAAAATTGGCTGAGTATGGTGGTACACACCTGTAGTCTCAGCTAATTGTCAGGGCTGAGGCTGGAGGATCGCTTAAGCTCAGGAGGTCAAAGCTGCAGCCAGCCTTGTTTGTACTACTGATCTCCACCCTAGACTGAGTGACAAAGTGAGATCCTGTCTCAAAAAAAGGGGTGGGGGGCTGACAACACCAAATGATACACAAGATCAACAGACCACTAGCTAGACTAAGAAAGAAAAAAAAGAGAGGAGATCCAAATAAGGACAATTAGAAATGACAAGGTGACATTACAACTGATCCTACAGAAATACAAAAGACTTCTGTGCACACTAACTAGAAACTCTAGAGAAATGGATAACTTCCTAGAAACACAGACCCTCCCAAGGTTGAATCATAAAGAAACTGAAGCCCTCAACAGCCCAATATTGAGTTCTAAAACTGAATTGGTAATTTAAAAAAATCTACCAATCAAAAAAAGCCCTGGACTAGATGGATTCACAGCCAAATTCTACCAGACATACAGAGAAGAGCTAGTACCAATCCTACTGAAATTATTCCAAAAAATTAAAGAGGAGGGATTCCCTCTTCTGTAAAGCCAGCATCATCCTGACACCAAAACCTAGTGAGGTCACAACAACAAAAAAAGCAAACTAAAGGCCAATATCCCTGATGAACAGAGATGCAAATATCCTCAACAAAATACTAGCAAACGGAATCTCACAGCAAACCAAAAAGTTAATCCTCCACATTCAATTAGGCTTTATTCCTGGGATGCAAGATCAGTTCAACATGCACAAATCAATAAATGTGAGTCACCACATAAACAGAATTAAAAACCATATGATCATCTCAATAGATGCAGAAAAAGCCTTTGATAAAATCCAACATCCTTTCATGATAAAAACCCTCAATAAACTATGCATTGAAGAAATACATCTCAAAATAATAAAAGCTATCTATAGACAAACCCACAGCCAACATTATGCTGAACAGGCAAATGCTAAAAGTATTCCCCTTAAGAACTGGAAAAAAACAAGGATAGCCACTCTCACCACTTGTATTCAACATAGTACTAAAAGTCCTAGCAAGAACCATCAGGCAAGAAAAAGAAATAAAAGGCATAGAATTAGAAAAAGGAGGAGTCAAATTATTGCTCTTCGTTGACTTTATGTTTCTATACCTAGACAACCCTAAAGCCTCCACCAAAAGGCTTCTAGAACTGATAAATTACATTAGTAAAATGTCAGGGTAAAAAAATCAATATACAAAAATAAGTTGCATTTCCAAACACCGATGACACTCAAACTGAGAGCCAAAATAAAGAACATATTCCCATTTATAATGGCCATAAAAAATACCTAAAACTACACCTAAGCAAAAAGGTGAAAGATACCTACAAAGAGAGCTATAAAACACTGCTGAAAGAAATAACAGAAGACATAAAGTAATGGAAAAACATTCCATCGTCATATTTAAAATGTTAAAATGGCCATACAGCCCAAAGCAATCTACAAATTCAATGCTATTCATATCAAACTACCAATGTCAATTTTCACAGAATAGAAAAAAACTAAAGTTCATATGGAAACAAAAAAAAGCCCAATTAGCTACAGCAATTCTAAGCAAAAAGAAAAAATCCAGAGATACTACATTACCTGTCTTCAAACTACACTACAAGGCTGCAGTAAACAAAACAGCATGGTACTAGTACAGAAACAGACACATGGACCAATGGAACAGAATAGAGATTCCAGAAATAAGGTCACATACCTATAGCCTTCTGATCTTCAACAAAACACGCAATGGGGAAAGAACTACCTATTTAATAAATGATGCTAGGATAACTTGCTAGCCATATGCAGAAGAATGAAACTGAACCATACCTTTCACCATATACAAAAATTAACTCAAGATGAATTAAAGACTTAAACCTAAGGCCTAAAACTATAAAAATCCTAGAAGAAAACCTAGGAAATACAATTCTGAGTATCGGCCTCAGAAAAAAAATTATGACTAAGTCCTCAAAAGTAACTGCAACTAACACAAAAATTGAAAAGTAGGACGTAATTAAACTAAAGAGCTTCTGCACAACAAAAGAAACTATCAATAAACAGACAACCTACAAAATGGGAGAAAATATTCACAAACTATGCCTCCAACAAAGGCCTAATACCAAGAATCCATAATGAACTTAATCAATTCAACAAGGAAAAAACAAATAACCCCATTAAAAAGTGGGCAAAGGACATGAACAGACATTTCTCAAAAGAAGACACACAAGTGGCCAACAAGCATGCACATCACAGATAATCACAGGAATGCAATCAAATTGACAATGAAATATCATCTCATACTAGTCAGAATGTCTATTATTAAAAAGTCAAAAAAATAACAGATGCTGGTGAAGCTGCAGAGAAAAGGAAATGCGTATACACTGTTGGTGGTCATGTAAATTAGTTCAGTAACTGGAGAAAGCAGTTTGGAGACTTCTCAGAGAACTTAAAACAAAGAATCTACAAAACAATGTATTTTCCTTTGGGTATATACCCAGTAATGGGATTGCTACCATTCAATCCAGCAATCCCATTACTGTGTATATATCCAACGGAAAATAAATTGCTCTATCAAAAAGACACATGCATTCATACGTTCCTTGCAGCACTATTTATAATAGCAAAGACACAGAATCAACTTAGGTGCCCATCAACAGTGGAATGGATAAAGAAAACGTGGTACATATACATCATAGAGTACTATGCAGCTGTAAAAAAACAGGGAAATCATGCCCTTTGCCACAACATGGATGCAGCCAGAGGCCATCATCCTAGGTGAATATTGACACAGAAACAGAAAACCAAATATTGCACATTCTCATTTGTAAGAGGGAGCCAAACATTGGGCACACATGGACATAAAGATGGGAGCAACAGACACTGGAGACTACTGCAGGGGAGGGAGAGAAGGGGAAAAGGGCTGAAAAACTACCTACTGGGTATTATGGTCACTACCTGGGTGAGGAGAATCAATTATACCCCAAACCTTAGTATCATGTAATATACCCATGCAACAGACAGGCACATGTACCCCCTGAATCTAAAAAAATGAAATTAGAAAAATAAATTGGCCTGCCAAGAACCAGTACAGAGTTAGCTCTCCTAGCTCTTCATTCTGATTTAAAGATGTCTTAGAAATACCTTTTAAACAAAACTTTCATTAAAAAAAAATGCATCTGTCATACTTAACAAAGAAGAAACTATTAAAAAGTTTGTATATCAAACACTTCAAATTTTAAGAAGAAATCATACCTGAAAGGAAGGCTAGTTTTTTCTTCAGAATGGGTAATATTACTGAGGCCTCCATTTTACTCCAGTGAACTTCCTTAATTCTGAAAACACAGAAAGTCAAATGTCAACTACAAGACAACAATTATTCCACGAAATATATCCTAATGATGGTTTATCCCAGAGTTTCTAAACCTGAGAACTACTGACATTTTGAGCAAGATAATTCTTTTTTTGTAGGGAGTTATCCTGTGCATTGTAGAATAGTTTGCAGCATCCCTGGTCTCTCTCTACTCACTAAAAACCAATACCACCTCCCTTTCCCAGCTGTGACAACCAGAATGTCTCTAGACATGGCCAAATATCCTCTGGTAGGCAAAATCACAAGTGGTTGAGAATCACTGGCTTAATTCTTTCTCAGAGCAATACTCGGGCTAAAACACTGCCTGGTACATACTAGTAACTAAAAAATTAATTTGTTGAATAAACAAATGAATCAATCAAACAGGCAGTCAATCTTCCTTTGTGTTCCTTATTAATTACACAGCTTAATGCCAAATATCTGATTCTTTCCATTTCACTATTAAATGGCTTTTTCTGATTTCTCATATTTTTGCTCCCCTATAACACATGGTACCACATCTTATCCTGTTTATCTCACTACATTTTCTAATACATTGTTTCAATTTTTGCCCCCATTGTTAACTGCCTCCATCTCTCTACATTTTACAGTTTTTAATTTTCCAGGGAAAAATTTGATTAGGCCAGCTCATCTTTTTGTACCAGGCCACAATTCACTATTCTTTGATTCAGTTTTCCAGGGTCTACTCAGCCATAGCCAGGGGTTATAGCTAAATACAAAAAGGGACTACCCTTATAGCAAGGGCTAAGGGCAAGATAGTTTCCCTTAAATGGAGGTTTTGCCATGGCAGGCATTCAGGCTTGGCCAGCCCAGTATACCATCAAATTTTGATTTTAAGGAGAGCAGGACCTTTCAAACAAAACAACAACAAAAATGAACAAAATCAGATTCAATTCTATTATCCTCTTATACTCATGTCTGAGAGAGTATTCTCAATCACATTTTATCCCTTCCTCCCCTATCCCATCTCACACCCACCCACCATCACAACACAGAGCAGTTCCTTGAAGTACACTGTGAAATTTTATTGTATTTAGTGAAAGCATATTCTCTTGAAGACATTTCTAGAACAGCAGAAAATATGACTCTTTGTATGAGTATATTACTTATTCAGCAAACACCTGCTATTAACCTATCCCACCTAAGGCTGTGCTACCAGCTAGAGCTAAAAACTCCAGAAACAGCCCTGCTCTAGGGGGTGGGAAAAAAAGGCAGTCTTTAAAAAACAAACAAAAAAATAGATGTTGAGGAAAAAAAAAGATGGAGTTGTAACATTGGTCAGATAATGGCTAATTAAACAAGACTAATTAAACCAGTATATAATTTTATAGCTTTTGAGTTTACAACTTAAAAAACACAACCATTTGCATCTGTCTTCAAAGAAAACAAGTTGTCCATCTAGATGATATATTCAAGTTCCCTTGAATATTTGCGATTTGTTTATTCAAGTTTGTTCTATATTAGCCCGGCAAACAGACTAGTAGGAAGTAGAAGGAAAAAAGCTCACAATTT
Organism: Homo sapiens; assembly: GCF_000001405.40. NCBI lineage: Eukaryota > Metazoa > Chordata > Mammalia > Primates > Hominidae > Homo > Homo sapiens. Next base: position 179,193,417 of record NC_000002.12, read on the forward strand.
ACATCTTTAATCTAAAACTAGTAGCACTTCATGATGAGTTGTTATCCAGTTATACAAGAACCCAGACAGCTTGGATTCACATCTTAAATCTCCTGTCCTGTGACCAGCTTGTTGAAGACCTGATTTGAAAGTTTGATAAAGGGGTGATAATAATTATTATAATTAACATTGACTAAGTGTTTATTATAAACTATGCACTGTTTTAAACGATTTCTTTTTATTATCTTAGTCTTCACAACATTTCTACAAGGTAGGTACTATTATTTTATTAGCCCCAAACAGCTTGTTGTTTTCCAGTCCCATCATGGGACAAACCCCGTCTATTCCTTCAGACTTATCTCTGGGTTGCATCCTAAAATAATGGATAAATCTGACCCTCAGACTCTCAAAAACAAAGTTTAATTTTCTTGTGTAATACAACATGGCCACCTTATAAACTTTCAGATCAGGAATCCTCCCGGCCACCAGGTGGGACCCTTGCCCCAGTACTATTTTACAGCTTGACCTTTTCTGTTGCAACTCTTTTAAATGGTCTGAAGTTCCTATTCCAGGCTTTCATAACTCACTCTCTCGGGATCCTGATCTCCACCAAATCTGCTGAATGTGCATGACTATATTCTCTGGCCCCACTGGCTCTTTTGACATTTTGGATGGCCTTTCTTTTACTCTCTCCCATTCTCCCCAACTAGCTGGATGGGTTGAGGCCACACCTTCTTCCCCTAACAAACCACCTTCACATTCAATTACACCTACTCCATCTGCTCCCTCTCTCTCACCTTCCCCTCAACATCCCAACCTTTGATGTTGTTTTCCAGTGCCTCCTCCTTATCAGGGATTCTACTCCCCTTCTCATACTAGGTCAGAGGCCACCTATGATCTCATTTTGGCCTCAGAAAAAGTTCTGCTGCTCCAGGACGTGGCAAATGGGGATCTAGGAACCATCAGAGTCCATGTTCCCTTCCTAATGTCTGATCTTTCCCAAATAAAAACTAAGCTTTGGCTCTTTCAGTAGGGGCCCTCCTCATTTCATGAAGGAATTTACAGGACTATTGCTTCCCTCTACCTCACTTGGCAGGACATGTATATTATTTTTTACCACATATTGCACCCATGAGGAAAAATCCCACATATGGTCTCTGGCTCAAAGGTGAGCAGATGAAGTGCATACCCCAAACCCCCAGGAGTCCGGCCCTGGGAGAACGGCAATGCCTTACACTGATCTTAGGTGGGGTTATCAAGAGGGAGACCACAGAAGGAAATATCATAATCACATGATCACTTGCCTGATTCAGAGCATGAAAAAGGCCACATAAAACTTGTAAATTATGCCAAACTAAGGGAAATAAGACAGGGGTCAAATTAAAACCCAGCCCTATTTTATACCAAGCTGGCTGAGGCTATGAGAAAATATACTAATATGAACCCCCAGAGCCCAGAAGACCTCACTGTCATAGCTGTTTATCAGCCAGGCATCCCCATACATCAGACATGAACTCCAAAAGCCAGATCAGAGACCACAAACTACTTTCCCAACATTGCTGGACACAGCCTTCAAGTTCTTCAGTAATTGAGAACAGAATAAGGGGAACAGAGCTACAGAGAAAGAAAAATGCAAGGACAAGAGACAGGCTTAACTGCTGGCTGCTTTAGAAGCCTCCAGCCCATTCTAGATTGTCCTAAGGACACTTCTCCAAGTAAGTGTTCTTGATGCAGAAGGACAGGCCACCGGATATGGTTTGACTCTGTGTCCCCACCCAAATCTCATCGTCAATCCCCATGTTTTGAGGAAGAGAATTGTAATCTCCATATGTAGAGTGAGGGAAGTGATTAGATCATGGGGGTGGTTCCCCCATGCTGTTCTTGTGATAGTGAGTTCTCAAGAGATCTAATGGTTTCATAAATGGCAGTTTCCCCTGCCCTCCTTACTTCTCTCTCCTGCCACCCTGTGAAGAAGGTGTCTGCTTCCTCTTCTACCATGACTGTTAAGTTTCCTGAGGTCTCCCCAGCCATGCAGAACTGTGAGTGAATTAAACCTCCTTTGTTTACAAATTACCCAGTCTCAGGTATTTCTTTATAGCAGTGTGAAAACAGACTAAATAGAAACTTCAACTTAGATAGTCATACTTCAGGGGTTTAAAATATAGCCCACACTTATTCAAACAAGCCCTAGCAAGAAAGCTAATTGAACAATCTCTTAAGAGGGGATAACTTCTACAGTATGTAAATTACCTCCTCATTTGATCCTCCTTCACAGAACTCACACAGCAAATGAAACGGAAACCTTAACTTCCCAACAAAAGGAAAATAATTTTTCCCTAATTCACAGGTTACGTAAAGGTTACATATGAAACAAGTTAAAAGGAACCAGGGAATAAGAGAGACATGAAGAAGGTTATAAAGGTAAAAAGGCATTTTGGGAAAGGAAGGTTATTTAAAAAAAAAAAAAGACTTCGTATGAGAAAAAAAATCTCGTATGGTAAATTCTTGTCCTAAAATAGAATAACTGGTTGTTTAAGACAGAGGAATGTGGGAGGAGCCAAGATGGCCGAATAGGAACAGCTCCGGTCTACAGCCCCCAGCATGAACGACACAGAATACGGGTGATTTCTGCATTTCCATCTGAGGTACCGGGTTCATCTCACCAGGGAAGGCCAGACAGTGGGCGCAGGTCAGTGGGTGCACGCACCATGTGCAAAACGAAGCAGGGCGAGGCATTGCCTCACGCAGGAAGCGCAAGGGGTCAGGGAGTTCCCTTTCCTAGTCAAAGAACGGGGTGACAGATGGCACCTGGAAAATTGGGTCACTCCCACTCGAATCCTGCGCTTTTCCGACGGGCTTAAAAAACGGCGCACCAGGAGATTACATCCCGCACCTGGCTCGGAGGGTCCTACACCCACGGAGTCTCGCTGACTGCTAGCACAGCAGTCTGAGATCAAACTGCAAGGTGGCAGTGAGGCTGGGAGAGGGGCGCCAGCCATTGCCCAGGCTTGCTTAGGTAAACAAAGCAGCCAGGAAGCTCAAACTGGGTGGAGCCCACCACAGCTAAAGGAGGCCTGCTTGCCTCTGTAGGCTCCACATCTTGGGGGCAGAGCACAGACAAACAAAAAGACAGCAGTAACCTCTGCAGACTTAAATGTCCCTGTCTGACAGCTTTGAAGACAGCAGTGGTTCTCCCAGCATGCAGCTAGAGATCTGAGAATGGGCAGACTGCCTCCTCAAGTGGGTCCCTGACCCCTGACCCCCGAGCAGCCTAACTGGGAGGCACCCCCCAGAAGGGGCAGACTGACACCTCACACGGCTGGGTACTCCAACAGACCTGCAGCTGAGGGTCCTGTCTGTTAGAAGGAAAACTAACAAACAGAAAGGACATCCACACCAAAAACCCATCTGTACATCACCATCATCAAAGACCAAAAGTAGATAAAACCACAAAGATGGGGAAAAAACAGAGAAGAAAAACGGGAAACTCTGAAAAGCAGAGCGCCTCTCCTCCTCCAAAGGAACGCAGTTCCTCAACAACAACGGAACAAAGCTGGACGGAGAATGATTTTGATGAGCTGAGAGAAGAAGGCTTCAGACGATCAAATTTCTCTGTACCTACGGGAGGACATGCAAACCAAAGGCAAAGAAGTTGAAAACTTTGAAAAAAATTTAGAAGAATGTATAACTAGAATAACCAATACAGAGAAGTACTTAAAGGAGCTGATGGAGCTGAAAACCAAGGCTCGAGAACTACGTGAAGAAAGAAGAAGCCTCAGGAGCCGATGCAATCAACTGGAAGAAAGGGTATCAGCTATGGAAAATGAAATGAATGAAATGAAGCGAGAAGGGAAATTTAGAGAAAAAAAAATAAAAACAAATGAGCAAAGCCTCCAAGAAATATGGGACTACGTGAAAAGACCAAATCTACATCTCACTGGAGTACCTGAAAGTGATGGGGAGAATGGAACCAAGTTGGAAAACACTCTGCAGGATATTATCCAGGAGAACTTCCCCAATCTAGCAAGGCAGGCCAACATTCACATTCAGGAAATACAGAGAACACCACAAAGATACTCTTCGAGAAGAGCAACCCCAAGACACGTAATTGTCAGATTCACCAAAGTTGAAATGAAGGAAAAAATGTTAAGGGCAGCCAGAGAGAAAGGTCGGGTTACCCTCAAAGGGAAGCCCATCAGACTAACAGCAGATCTCTCTGCAGAAACTCTACAAGCCAGAAGAGAGTGGGGGCCAATATTCAACATTCTTAAAGAAAAGAATTTTCAACCCAGAATTTCATATCCAGCCAAACTAAGCTTCATAAGTGAAGGAGAAATAAAATCCTTTACAGACAAGCAAATGCTGAGAGATTTTGTCACCACCAGGCCTGCCCTAGAAGAGCTCTTGAAGGAAGCGCTAAACATGGAAAGGAACAACCGGTACCAGCCACTGCAAAATCATGCCAAATTGTAAAGACCATCGAGACTAGGAAAAAACTGCATCAACTAACGAGCAAAATAACCAGCTAACATCATAATGACAGGATCAAATTCACACATAACAATATTAACTTTAAATGTAAATGGACTAAATGCTCCAATTAAAAGACACACAATGGCAAACTGGATAAAGAGTCAAGACCCATCAGTGTGCTGTATTCAGGAAACCCACCTCACATGCAGAGACACACATAGGCTCAAAATAAAAGGATGGAGGAAGATCTACCAAGCAAATGGAAAACAAAGAAAGGCAGGGGTTGCAATCCTAGTCTCTGACAAAACAGACTTTAAACCAACAAAGATCAAAAGAGACAAGGCCATTACATAATGGTAAAGGGATCAATTCAACAAGAAGAGCTAAGTTCCTAAATATATATGCACCCAATACAGGAGCACCCAGATTCATAAAGCAAGTACTGAGTGACCTACAAAGAGACTTAGACTCCCACACATTAATAATGGGAGACTTTAACACCCCACTGTCAACATTAGACAGATCAATGACACAGAAAGCCAACAAGGATACCCAGGAATTGAACTCAGCTCTGCATCAAGTGGACCTAATAGACATCTGCAGAACTCTCCACCCCAAATCAACAGAATATACATTTTTTTCAGCACCACACCACACCTATTCCAAAATTGACCACATACTTGGAAGTACAGCTCTCCTCAGCAAATGTAAAAGAACAGAAATTATAACAAACTATCTCTCAGACCACAGTGCAATCAAACTAGAACTCAGGATTAAGAATCTCACTCAAAACCGCTCAACTACATGGAAACTGAACAACCTGCTCCTGAATGACTACTGGGTACATAACGAAATGAAGGCAGAAATAAAGATGTTCTTTGAAACCAACGAGAACACAGACACAACATACCAGAATTTCTGGGACGCATTCAAAGCAGTGTGTAGAGGGAAATTTATAGCACTAAATGCCCACAAGAGAAAGCAGGAAAGATCCAAAATTGACACCCTAACATCACAATTAAAAGAACTAGAAAAGCAAGAGCAAACACATTCAAAAGCTAGCAGAAGGCAAGAAATAACTAAAATCGGAGTTAAACTGAAGGAAATAGAGACACAAAAAATCCTTCAAAAAATTAAAGAATCCAGGACCTGGTTTTTTGACAGGATCAACAAAATTGATAGAGCGCTAGCAAGACTAATAAAGAAAAAAGAGAGAAGAATCAAATAGACGCAATAAAAAATGATAAAGGGGAAATCACCACCGATCCCACAGAAATACAAACTACCATCAGAGAATACTACAAACACCTCTACGCAAATAAACTAGAAAATCTAGAAGAAATGGATAAATTCCTCGACACATACACTCTCCCAAGACTAAACCAGGAAGAAGTTGAATCTCTGAATAGACCAATAACAGGATCTGAAATTGTGGCAATATTCAATAGCTTACCAACCAAAAAGAGTCCAGGACCAGATGGATTCACAGCTGAATTCTACCAGAGGTACAAGGAGGAACTGGGACCATTCCTTCTGAAACTATTCCAATCAATAGAAAAAGAGGGAATCCTCCCTAACTCATTTTATGAGGCCAGCATCATCCTGATACCAAAGCCAGGCAGAGACAAAATCAAAAAAGAGAATTTTAGACCAATATCCTTGATGAACATTGATGCAAAAATCCTCAATAAAATACTGGCAAACTGAATCCAGCAGCACATCAAAAAGCTTATCCACCATGATCAAGTGGGCTTCATCCCTGGGATGCAAGGCTGGTTCAATATACACAAATCAATAAATGTAATCCAGCATATAAACAGAACCAAAGACAAAAACCACATGATTATTTCAATAGATGCAGAAAAGGCCTTTGACAAAATTCAACAACCCTTCATGCTAAAAACTCTCAATAAATTAGGTATTGATGGGACATATTTCAAAATAATAAGAGCTATCTATGGCAAAAACTGGAAGCATTCCCTTTGAAAACTGGCACAAGACAGAGATGCCCTCTCTCACCACTCCTATTCAACATAGTGTTGGAAGTTCTGGCCAGGGCAATTAGGCAGGAGAAGGAAATAAAGGGTATTCAATTAGGAAAAGGGGAAGTCAAATTGTCCCTGTTTGCAGACGACATGATTGTATACCTAGAAAACCCCATTGTCTCAGCCCAAAATCCGCTTAAGCTGATAAGCAACTTCAGCAAAGTCTCACGATACAAAATGAATGTACAAAAATCACAAGCATTCTTATACACCAACAACAGACAGAGAGCCAAATCATGAGTGAACTCCCATTCACAATTGCTTCAAAGAGAATAAAATACCTAGGAATCCAACTTACAAGGGATGTGAAGGACCTCTTCAAGGAGAACTACAAACCACTGCTCAATGAAATAAAAGAGGATACAAACAAATGGTAGAATATTCCATGCTCATGGGTAGGAAGAATCAATATCGTGAAAATGGCCATACTGCCCAAGGTAATTTATAGATTCAATGCCATCCCCATCAAGCTACCAATGACTTTCTTCACAGAATTGGAAAAAACTACTTTAAAGTTCATATGGAACCAAAAAAGAGCCCGCATCACCAAGTCAATCCTAAGCCAAAAGAACAAAGCTGGAGGCATCACATTACCTGACTTTAAACTATACTACAAGGCTACAGTAACCAAAACAGCATGGTACTGGTACCAAAACAGAGATATAGATCAATGGAACCGAATAGAGCTCTCAGAAATAACGCTGGATATCTACAACTATCTGATCTTTGACAAACCTGAGAAAAACAAGAAATGGGGAAATGATTCACTATTTAATAAACGGTGCTGGGAAAACTGGCTAGCCATATGTAGAAAGCTGAAACTGGATCCCTTCCTTACACCTTATACAAAAATCAATTCAAGATGGATTAAAGACTTAAACATTAGACTGAAAACCATAAAAACCCTAGAAGAAAACCTAGGCATTACCATTCAGGACATAGGCATGGGCAAGGACTTCATGTCTAAAACACCAAAAGCAATGGCAACAAAAGACAAAATTGACAAATGGGATCTAATTAAACTCAAGAGCTTCTGCACAGCAAAAGAAACTACCATCAGAGTGAACAGGCAACCTACAGAATGGGAGAAAATTTTCGCAACCTACTCATTTGACAAAGGGCTAATATCCAGAATCTACAATGAACTCCAACAAATTTACAAGAAAAAAACAAACAACCCCATCAAAAAGTGGGCGAAGGACATGAACAGACACTTCTCAAAAGAAGACATTAATGCAGCCAAAAAACACATGAAAAAATGCTCTCCATCGCTGGCCATCAGAGAAATGCAAATCAAAACCACAATGAGATACCATCTCACACCAGTCAGAATGGCAATCATTAAAAAGTCAGGAAACAACAGGTGCTGGAGAGGATGTGGAGAAATAGGAACACTTTTACACTGTTGGTGGGACTGTGAACTAGTTCAACCATTGTGGAAGTCAGTGTGGCGATTCCTCAGGGATCTAGAACTAGAAATACCATTTGACCCAGCCATCCCATTACTGGGTATATACCCAAAGGACTATAAATCATGCTGCTATAAAGACACATGCACACGTATGTTTATTGTGGCATTATCCACAATAGCAAAGGCTTGGAACCAACCCAAATGTCCAACAATGATAGACTGGATTAAGAAAATGTGGCACATATACACCATGGAATACTATGCAGCCATAAAAAATGATGAGTTCATGTCCTTTGTAGGGACATGGATGAAATTGGAAATCATCATTCTCAGTAAACTATCGCAAGAACAAAAAACCAAACACCGCATATTCTCACTCATAGGTGGGAACTGAACAATGAGAACACATGGACACAGGAAGGGGAACATCACACTCTGGGGACTGTTGTGGGGTGGGGGTAGGGGGGAGGGATAGCATTGGGCAACATACCTAATGCTAGATGATGAGTTAGTGGGTGCAGCGCACCAGCATGGCACATGTATACATATGTAACTAACCTGCACATTGTGCACATGTACCCTAAAACTTAAAGTATAATAATAATAATAATAATAATAATAATAATAATAATAAAGAAAGAGGAATGCTTAGGACAAGTCACAAAGTCCAAGCATGTCAAAAATAGTCTGTGTAAGTCATAAGAAGGTTTGTAAAGGGAAATTTAGGAAAGGAATTTTGTATGTGATTAAGTTGGTTATAAATGAAAGGGAATTATTTAGGATAGTCTTTCTAACATTGCCTCTCCCCATGTTAAAACAAGGTTTTCTTACGGTATTAATCTGTTCTTAATAAAACTGCAAGTTTTACTTTTCATTTTGTAACGTTTATTTTTAAAACTTCTCAGAATCATCTCAGTTTAACTTTTGCTGTGTCCCGCTACTTTCTGCTTTTTCTCCCCTAAAGAAGGCCTAATAAAATAACACTCCCCAGTTTTTGTCACCTCCTGTCACATTTTCCTCCAATTCTAACTGTTATTATGGCCTAATGTTAACATTAGCATAATATTTTAATGTTTCAACTTTAAGTCAAAAAATTTAAGCAATGTTTTCCTCGAACATAATTTAATTCGGACCCTTGGCTTTTCTTGATATGTCTAAATTCTCAATGTAATCAAAAAAACAACTTATGCTGTTCCTAAGAGTCATGTACTCCCCTGCTGAACACATACTTTCTGTGTCTAATTAAATTCAAACACTTTTTCCTTGAGTTTAATTTTCAGGTTACCTAAATGGGTTTCCAATAAGGAAAAACAGTCACAAAGCAAGAGGTTTGTCTCCCTTTTTGGCCAACGGCTTTAAAAAACAAAACTTTATCTTCTAGAATTCAACAGTTTCACTTTTAAATGATACTGTGAATGGAATCATTCTCTCCCCAAAGATGCCTGCTACCTTCACGAATCTCTCCTGGATTCAGCTGGTCACCAGTTTCATCTTGACATGCTTCCCCTCTCTGATGAGTGCCTTCCTCCAGAAAGATCCAATATCCTAAGTCCCACAATCTGGGACAATGACCCACAGGGTCTCCTGACAAACCAACAACCATAGGTAGGGCCTACTCCATGCCCTAGGCATGCCAGACAGCAGTTGGAAGATGAGACCTCCACCTCATTGCCAAAGATTTGTCACTGCTGTTCTGTCAGAGGGGGTGGGGGAGATGTGGAGTCCTGATAAGTAAGCAACAACAAGGAAGGGGTGATCCCAGATGGGAAACAATGAACAACTCTTCTGACAGATGGTTAATCACAAACAACCTGCAGGCACAATGACCTTTTTCCCCTTGCAGATAGCCCCCTTGCAGCATGACTCTATACAATTTCCCTCCAGCCCCCACCTCTTGGCAGACAACCCTTTCTCTGCTGTGCTGCCCATTGCAACCTTGCAGCATATTTTTATACTTTCGCTAATAAATCTGCCTTTCTTTACCTACAACTGTCTTGGTAAATCCCTTTAAAAACTGCAAAGCCGGCCCCAGGCAGTACCACCCATGACACCCAGGAGTTCAAGACCAACCTGGGCAACATGGCAAGAACCCCACTCTATTTTTTAAAAAAGGGGAGGGGAACAGTTCAGAGAGCTTCCAGGTGGGTGAACACATCAAGGTGCTGAGACGGTAGCACACCCAGAGAGGCCATGGAAGGTCCCCATGCCTCCTCCCCCGATACCTTGCATTAAACATCTCTTCTATAGGCTGCTCCTGAGTTGTATCCTTTATAATAGTCCAGTAATCATAAATAAATTGTCTTACTGAAGTCTGTGAGCTATTTTAGTGAATTATCGAACCTGAAGGGGTTGTGGGTGATGAGAACCTTGATTTGCAGCCAAGTCAGACAGAAGTGTGGGTAACCTGCGGACCCAATACTTGTGCCTGGCATCTAAAGAGAGCACAGCCCAGCAATGGCACCTAAAGTGAAGACAGCCTGAGCCTGCAGTCCCAGCTACTAAGGAGGCTGTGGTGGGAGGATTGCTTGGTCCCTAGAGTTGAGTCCAGCCTGGGCAACATAGCAAGATCCCTGTCTATAAAAAATAAAAAGAAACAAATAAATAAAGTGAGGACAGTCTTGTGGGATTGAGCCCTTAAACCCTGGATCTGATAACTCCATGCACTTACTGCTAGAATTGAACTGGGTTGTAGGACACCCAGGTGGTATCTGGAGAGCTGGAGAATTGATTGGTGTGAAGAAAAAACTCACACATTTGATGTGAGAAATATTGTCATTGAAAAGTTTCATATATATATATACACACACATACACGTGTGTACAGATGAAAAAAGAAAGAACTTTTATCTGAGGAATGCAAGTCCTTTTAATTATCAGACCAAGAGAGACACTAAAATGAGACCACAATCATGCCCTACTCCACGTCTTGAGCTGTGTATTCATCTTCTGAAATTGCTTGCTATTGCCATAAGTAGCTAAAAATAAATCTAATAATGCCCCACCAGACATTATAACCCACACCCTATAGCTTAACAATGTAGAGCCAATCACTAACAATGTTATTTCTGTGAACCAATGAGAATTTCTGACAACTTTTTTGCCATAACCCATACCTTATAGCTTAACAACGTAGAGCCAATCACTAATCAATGTTATTTCTGTGAACCAATGAGAATTCCTGACAAACAACTTTTTTTGTCCTTAAAAATCTACTTCTAACTGCTACTAATCAAAGTGCATGTTCAGGACAATTTGAATCTATGCTCCCAGGTTGCAGTCCTTGAGCTTAGCCAAAAAAACCTCTCTACTTATATTAATTTTGCCTCAGCTTCTTCCTTTTAGGTTGACATGCATACAGACATGCCACTGCCTTGATTCATGCTAAGGCACCAGCACTTTTTCCCACCAATGCTTTTACACCATCAGCACAAATGTCAACACAGTAAACAGGGCAAATAAAACCTAAGAATTATAAAAAACAGTTTTGACCTCAGGGACTCCTGAAAGCTAGAAACAAGAGAACTACTGATCTCAGTTGTCTATGGGATGTTCCCCCAGAAAAAAAAAAAATTCAACCTTGAGGAAGAAATGCAGATACAGAGACAACAGTCACAGAAACGGAACTGGCTTCCTAACCAGATTTTCCTTATGGTATATGAGCAGAGACAAATTCTCAGCTGCCTTTAATTCCTTCCTATTTTTTTGAACTTATTTCTCCATCCTTCTCATCAATTCTGTAAATTATACAAAATAAATCCCTTTTCTCCTTAAGGTGGCTAAAATAGGCTCCTCTTTTAATCAGTGGAGAAAGTTGGTAGAAGCAGCAAAACTAAAATTGAGAGTTTAGTAGACAGTCTCCAACCACACTTAAGGCTTTTTTTTTTTTTTACTCTGTTGCCATTTAATTTGAATAAAAATGCACATCAATACATTGAGATTTTAACCCTTGCCATAGTCAAACCTAATTAAACAGCATCCAAGAAACAGGAACATCTGGAATCCCTACGACAAGGCATAAGAAATGATAGATGCAGGTGACTCATGGATAAAATCTATTAATATTATTGAAGATTTCCAAGTCAAATTATTGATCTTACACCATCAAATGCTAAAACTTAATTTTTCACAACTGCATTCTCCACATCTCTAAAAGGGAAAAGGAAAATGGTTTTAGTTTCTCGGTCTAGATTTACTTTGGCAAACTATGATATCCAGAAGCAATCTTCCATTTCATCACTAACTATCTCCTGAGAGATGGGTGCTTTATCCAACCTTTCCTTTACACAACCACTTTAGCATGGTAAAATGCTGGGTTTTAAAAAAATTAAACAGCTTTTAAAAATTGTTTTAAGAATAACTTGAAAGTGATAAAAATGCAGCTTAAATACTAAAGAGAAATACAGTTTTGTGGGTGTATAAGCCAAGATCAAATGAACTGATAGATAAAAAGTAAAGCAGTCAAGAGATGAAAACAATTGTATTTACTCTGTATCTCTTCCTCCCTTCTAGAGTCTCCTTTCCATCAATCTCTTTCACTGTTGTCACAAAAGAGATGGCTAATAAAAAATAATTATCACTGTACCACTAGGTCAAATTTAATTTAATTTTTCAAAAGTTATTTGCTCCAGTTTTTCAAGTGTTTAGCACAGTCATTAAAAAAAACAAAAATCTTTCTCTTTCTGGTTATCTTAGTATCTAATAGAAAAATTTAAATAGATAATGTACAAAATAAACAACGGAAAAATCTTGCAAAATACAACCAACACCACCACCACCTCCACAATAAAATGTTAAATAACATGAAGGTGGAAAATGGCAAATAGGAGACAGGACTAACGTGCAGCTCCCACTTGGACAGACAGTACAGCATCTGGAGACGCATATTGTTAACTTTTGTTCCAAGAATGACCACAGGAACATAACAGGAAAACTAAAGAGTTCACAGAGCCTTCAAAAGAAGTGGCTTGCTGCTGCAAACACCACAAAACAGCTAAAAAACTGTGAATCAATGAAGTGTGAGAGGGGGAAAAGTCAGCCTCTGAACACACATCCCCACTGGGGAACCCAAAAATCCAGATCATGGGAGAAGAATTTAATCTTACATAGAGCTGAAATGGATTTAGGGAGCTGTGTGAAATATAAAAGGAGAAGCAGCAGCTGGAAGAGCCCTGTAGGCACTCCTGGTCCCCAGCATGAGCCCAGGGAAGCCATTCCTGACCTCATTTCACAGAGGTCCCTTAGGGAAGGTAAGGCAGCTGGTGAAATTGGGGGAAGGGCCACAGGGTGAAGGATGCTCCTAGCTGAACTCTGTAATAATTGCAACTGAGCACAAACTTTCCTAAGCAGAATCCAGGGAGTAGGGGGCAAATGGGAAGTGCAGATACAAGCACAGAAGCCACAGCTGACCATGCAGGTGGGCAGGCAGGGAGGTGAGAGACCTGAGAGCCCTGCTTGTTTTCTCAATGTGAAGGCTTGTACCTGAGGGCAAGACCCTAGCCCTGCTCTCTGGCTGTCTGGATACAAACTCAGTGTGGTTGGTGGGGGCAAGGTGGGAGTGAGACTGGCCTTGCTGACTCTATGGGAGCTGGGTGAGGCCTGTCACTGCTGGCTTTTCCACTTCCCTGGTGATCTATATGATGCAGCAGAGGCAGCCATAATCACCCTGGAACATAACTCCATTGGCCTGAGAACCACCCACCATCCCCCAAAGTGACCACAGAAACCCCCACCCAAAGAGAGTCGGAGCTCAGACTAGTCTAACCCTGCCGATGGTTTTGCTCTATCTGCCCTGGTAGCCAAAGACAAAAGATAAAGCTCTTGGGAGCTCTATGGCCACAACCAAACCGGAGAAACCAAAGTACTCATCCTGGCCAATGTGGGGCAAGATTATATCCACCTCCTACCACTGCAGCTGGCACTCTCTTGAAAGTGCCACCTCCTGGCTGGACGCCAACCAAGTCAAGCCATTACAGTAACTCAACAGAATAACCCTGCTCCAAAAAAGGAGAAAACAACAGCTAATTCCACCACCTGCAACACTCTGGCTAAACCGAGGTCCTGATTCTGTCCACATGACAACTTCACTACCAGCATAACCAGCATTCAGGAAAACCAGCACCAAACAAAACTAAAATCAAGGACTCCCACAGAGTCCACCTTATTTACTCCCCTGCCACCTCCACCTGAGCAGGTGCTGATAACCACAGAGGGGAGACCTAAAGACAGATGACATCACAGGACTCTTTGCAGACATTCCCCAGCACCAGCCTGGAGCCTGGTAACCCCAATGGGTGGCTAGACTTAGAAGGGCAATAACAATCACTGCAGTCTGGCTCTCAGGAAGCCCCATCCCTAGCACCACACCAAGGGATCACCCTGTAGGACAAAAGAATCTGAACAGCAGCCCCTGAGTTCCAGATCTTTCCACTGAAACAGTCTAACAAAATGAGAATGAACCAGAAAAGTAATTCTGGTAACATGACAAAATGAGGTTCTATAACACCCCCAAAAGATCACACTAGCTCCTCTCTGGCAAAAGATCCAAACCAACAAGAAATCTCTGAATTGCCAGATAAAGAATCAGAAGGTTGATTATTAAGCTATTCAAGGAGGCACCAGAGAAAGGTGAAAACCAACTTAAAGAAATTTTAAAAAATACAGGATATTAACGAAAACGTCTCCAGAGAAATAGATATCATAAAGAAAAGACAATCACAACACCTAGAAATAAAAGACCCACTTAGAGAAATGCAAAATACACTGGAAAGTTCCAACAATAGAATTGAACAAGTAGAAGAAAGGACTTCAGAGCTCAAAGACAAGGCTTTCGAATTAATGAAATCCAAAAACGACAAAAAAGAATTTTTAAAAATGAACAAGCCTCAAAGGAATTTGAGATTATGTTAAAACAACCAAACATAAAAATAATTGGTGTTCCTGAGGAAGAAGAGAATTCTAAAAGCTTGGAAAACTTATTTGAGGGAATAATCGAGGAAAACTTCCCTGGTCTTGCTAGAGACCTAGACATCCACTTACAAGAAGTCCAAAGAACACCCAGGAAATTCTTTGCAAAAAGATAATCACCTAGGCACATAGTTTTCAGGATATCTAAAGTCAAGACAAAGGAAAGAATCTTAAAGCTGTGAGGCAAAAGCATCAGGTAACCTATAAAGGAAAACCTATCAGATTAACAGCAGATTTCTCAGCAGAAACCCTGCAAGCCAGAAGGGATTGGGGTCCTATCTTTAGCCTCCTTAATCAAAATAATTATCAGCCAATAATTCTGTATCCAGCAAAACTAAGCTTCATAAATGAAGGAGAGATAAAGTATTTTTTAGACAAACAAATGTTGAATTTGCCAATACCAAGCAAGCACTACAAGAACTGCTAAAAGGACCTCTAAATCTTGAAACAAATCCTCGAAATACACCAAAATAGAATCTCCTTAAAGCATTCATCTCACAGGACCTGTAAAACAATAACACAATGAAAACAAACCAAGGTATTTGGTCAACAAATAGCTTGATGAATAGAATAGTACCTCACATCTCAACACTAATGTTGAATATAAATGGCCTAAATGCTCCACTTAAAAGATACAGAATGGCAGAATGAATGAGAATTCACCAACCAAGTATCTGTTGTCTTCAAGAGATTCAACTGACACATAAGGACTCACATAAACTTAAGGTAAACAGGTGGAAAAAGACAGTCCATGCAAATGGACACCAAAAGTGAGCAGGCGTGGCGTAGCTATTCTTCTATCAGACAAAACTAAAGCATCAGCACTTTAAAAAGACAAAGAGGGGCATTATATAATGATACAGGACTAGTTCAACAGGAAAATATCACCATCCTAAATATATATGCACCTAACAGTGGTGCTCCCAAATTTATAAAACAATTACTACTAGACCGAAGAAATGAGACACATGGCAACACAATAATACTGGGGAAATACAATACTCTCCTGACAGCACTAGACAGGTCATCAAAATGGAAAGGCAACAAAGAAACAATGGACTTAAACTACACCCTAGAACAAATGGACTTAACAGATATTTACAGAACATTCTACCCAACAAATGAAGAATATAGATTCTTTTCATCAGCATATGGAACATTCTCCAAGACAGATCATACGATAAGCCAAAAAACAAGTCTAATACATTTAAACAAACTGAAATTATATCAAGTACTCTCTACTACAGTAGAATAAAATTGGAAATTAATTCCAAAAGGAATACTCAAAACTATACAAATACATTAAAACAATCTGCTCCTGAATGATCTTTTGGGCAACAATAAAATCAAGATAGAAAAAATTTCTTTGAACTGAACAATAATAGCGACACAACCTATCAACACCTCTGGGATACAGCAACAATGGTGCTAAGAGGAAAGCTCATAGCATTAAATGCCTATTACATCAAAAAGTCGGAAAGTGCACAAATTGACAATCTAAGTTCACACCTCAAAGAACTAGAGAAACAAGAACAAATGAAACCCAAACCCAGCAGAAGAAAAGAAATAAAGATCAGAGCAGAACTAAATGAAACTGAAACAACAACAAAAAAAGATAAATGAAAAAAAAGCTGGTTCTTTGAAGAGATAAACAAAAATCAATAGACCATTAATGAAATTAACCACGAAAAGTAGAGAGAAGATCCAAATAAGCTCAATTAGAAATGAAATGGGAGATATTATAACCGAGATCATTCAAGGCTGCCATGAACACCATTATGCACACAAACTAGAAAACCCAGAGGAGATGGGTAAATTCCTGGAAATATACAACCCTCCTAGATTAAACCAGGAAGAAAGAAAAACTCTAAAAAGACCAATAACAAGTAGTAAGATTGAAACAGTAATTTAAAAATTCCAACGAAAGAAGTTGAGGACTAGATGGATTCACAGCTGAATTCTATCAAACATTCAAAGAAGAATTGGTATCAATACTACTGAAAGTATTCCAAGATAAACAGGGAATCCTCCCTAAATCATTCTGTGAAGCCAGTATTCCCCTAATACCAAAACCAGAAAAGGACATAACAAAAAAAGAAAACTACAGACCAATATCCCTGATTAAGATACATGCAAAAATCCTCAACAAAATACTAACTAACTGAACCCAATAGCATATCAAAAAGATAATACACCATGACCAAGTGGGTTTCATACTAGGGATGCAGGGTTGGTTTAACATACACCAGTTGATATATGTGATAACCACATAAACAAAACAATTAAAAACAAAAATCATATAATCATCTCAATAGATGCTGAAAAAGCATTTGACAAAATCCAGCATCACTTTATGATTAAAACCCTCAGCAAAATCAGCATAGAACAGACATATCTTAAGGTAATAAAAGCCTTCTATGATAAACCCACAGCCAACATTATACTGAACAGGGAAAACTTGAAAGCATTCCCCCTGAGAATTGGAACAAGATGTGGATGCCCAATTTAACCATTTCCATTCAACATAATACTGGAAGTCCTAGCCAGAGCAATCAGACAAGAGAAAGAAATAAACGGCATCTAAATCGGTAAAGAAGACAAACTGTCACTGTTTGTTGATGACATGATTGTAGACCAATACAACACTAAAAAACTCCTAGATCTGATCAATGAATTCAATAAAGTTTCAGGATACAAAATCAATGCACAAAAATCAGTAGCACTGCTACACACCAACAGCAACGAAGCTGAGAATCAAATCAAGAACTCAGACCCTTTTAACAACAGCTGCAAAAAAAAAAAAGGAATATACCTAACCAAGGAAGTGAAAGATCTCTACAAGGAAAACTACAAAACACTGCTAAAAGAAATCATAGACACAAACAAATGGAAACACATCCCATGCTCACGGATGGATAGAATCAATATTGTGAAAATGATCATACTGCCAAAAGCAATCTATAAATTCAATGCAATTCCCATCAAAATACCATCATCATTCTTCACAGAATTAGAAAAAAAATCCTAAAATTCATATGGAACAACAAAAAAAAGAGCCTGCATAGCCAAAGAAGACTAAGCAAAAAGAACAAATCTGGGGGCATCACATTACCCAACTACAAACTATACTACAAGACTATAGTTACCAAAACCGCAGGGAACTAGTATAAAAACTGGCACACAGACCAGTGGAACAAAATAGAGAACCCAGAAATACGGCAAATATTTACAGCCAACTGAACTTTGACAAAGCAAACAAAAACATAAAATGGAGAAAAGGACACCCTACTACCCTACTAAACAAATGGTGCTGGGATAATTGGCAAGAAACGTCACACACACATGCACACACACACACACAAACACATCATGGAATACTACTCTTCAGCCATAAAAACGAATGAAATAATGGCATTTACAGCAACCTGGATGCAGATGGACACCATTATTCCAAGTGATGTAACTCAGGAATGGAAAACCAAACAACATATGTTCTCACTTATAAGTGGGAGCTAAGATATGAGGATACGAAGGCAGGAGAATGATATAATGGACTCTGGGGACTCAGGGGGAAGGGTGGGAGGGGGATGAGAAATAAAAGACTACACACTGGGTTGAGTGCACATTGATCAAGTGATGGATGTACCAAAGTCTCAGAAATCACCACTGAAGAACGTATTCATGTAACCAAACACCACTTGATCCCCAAAAACTATTGAAATAATTAAAAAATATCTTCCGTTCCAAGATGGCTGAATAGGAACAGCTACAGTCTGCAGCCCCCAGTGTGATTGATGCAGAAGACATGTGATTTCTGCATTTCCAACTGAGGTACCTGGTTCATCTCACTGGGACTGGCTGGACAGTCAGTGTAGCACATGGAGGGCAAGCCGAAGCAGGGCGGGGAGTTGCTTCACCTAGGAAGCGCAAGGGGCCGGGGGATTTTCCTTTCCTAGCCAAGGGAAGCCATGACAGACTGTACCTGGAAAAACAAGACACTCCCACCCAAATACTTCACTTTTCCCAAGGTCTTAGCAACTGGCAGACAAGGAAATTCTCTCCTATGCCTGGTTCAGCAGGTCCCATGCCCACGGAGCTTGCTCACTGCTAGCGCAGCAATCTGAGATCAAACTGTGAGGCAGCAGCCTGGCTGGGGGAGGGGTGTCCACCATTGCTGAAGCTTAAGTAGGTAAACAAAGCAGCTGGGAAGCTGCAGAGCCCACCACAGCTCAACAAGGCCTATTGCCTCTATAGACTCCACCTCTGTGGGCAGGGCATAGCTGAACAAGAGGCAGCAGACAACTTCTGCAGACTTACAAGTCCCTGTCTGACAGCTCTGAAGAGAACAGTTGTTCTCCCAACATGGCGTTTGAGCTCTGAGAATGGACAGATTGCCTCTTCAAGTGGGTCCCTGACCCCCGTGTACCTAACTGGGAGACACCTCCCAGTAGCAGCCCAAAGACACCTTGTACAGGTGGGTGCTCCTCTGGGACGAAGCTTCCGGAGGAAGGATCAGGCAGCAATATTTGCTGTTCTGCAGCCTCCGCTGGTGATACCCAGGCAAACAGGGTCTGGAGTGGACCTCCAGCAAACTCCAACAGACCTGCAGCTGAGGGACCTGACTGTTAGAAGGAAAACTAACAAACAGAAAGGAATAGCATCAACATCAACAAAAAGGACATCTACACCAAAACTCCATCTGTAGGTCACCAACATCAAAGACCAAAGGTAGATAAAACCACAAAGATGGGGAGGAACCAGAGCAGAAAAGCTGAAAATTCTAAAAACCAGATCACCTCTTCTCCTACAAAGGATCACAGCTCCTAGCCAGCAAAGGAACAAAGCTGGATGGAGAATGACTGTAACAAATTGACAGAAGTAGGCTTTAGAAGGTCAGTAATAACAAAGTTCTCCGAGCTAAAGGGGCATGTTCTAACCCATCGCAAGGAAGCTAAAATTCTTGAAAAAACGTTAGACAAATGGCTAATTAGAATAAACAGTATAGAGAAGACCTTAAGTGACCTGATGGAGCTGAAAACCATGGCACAAGAACTTCAAGACGCAGGCACAAGCTTCAATAGCCGATTCGATCAAGTGGAAGAAAGGATATCAGTGATTGAAGATCAAATTAATGAAATAAAACAGAAAGACAAGCTTAAAGAAAAAAGAGTAAAAAGAAACGAACAAAGCCTCCAAGAAATATGGGACTATGTGAAAAGACCAAATCTACGTTTGATTGGTGTACCTGAAAGTGAGAAGGAGAATGGAACCAAGTTGGAAAACACTCTTCAGGATATTATCCAGAAGAACTTCCCCAACCTGGCAAGGAGGCCAATATTCAAATTTAGGAAATACAAAGAATACCACAAAGATACTACTCAACAAGAGCAACCCAAAGACACATAACTGTCAGATTCACCAAGGTTGAAATGAAGGAAAAAATGTTAAAGACAACCATAGAGAAAGGTTGGGTTACCCACAAAGGATGGAATCTCCTGGCAGAAACCCTACAAGCCAGAAAAGAGTGGGGGACAATATTCACCATTCTTAAAGAAAAGAATTTTCAACCCAGAATTTCATATCCAGCCAAACTAAGCTTCATAAGTGAAGGAGAAATAAAATCCTTCACAGACAAGCAAATGCTGAGACATTTTGTCACCACCAGGCCTGCCCCAAAAGAGCTCCTGAAGGAAGCACTCAACATGGGAAGGAACAACCGGTACCAGCCACTGCAAAAACGTGCCAATGTGTAAAGACCATTGATGCTACAAAGAAACTGCATCAATTAATGGGCAAAATAACCAGCTAACATCATAATGACAGGATCAAATTCACACATAACAATATTAACCTTAAATGTAAATGGGCTAAATGCTCCAATTAAAAGACACAGACTGGCAAATTGGATAAAGAGTCAAGACCCATCAGTGTGCTGTATTCAGGAGACCCATCTCACATGTAGAGGCACACATAGGCTCAAAATAAAGGGATGGAGGAAGATCTACTAAGCAAATGGAAAGCAAAAAAAAGCAAAGGTTGAAATCCTAGTCTCTGATAAAACAGACTTTAAACCAACAAAGATCAAAACAGACAAAGAAGGCCACTACGTAATGGTAAAGGAATGGTAAAGCTCTTCTTCAACAAGAAGAGCTAACTATCCTAAATATATATGCACCCAATACAGGAGCACCCAGATTCATAAAGCAAATCCTTAGAGACCTACAAAGAGACTTAGACTCCCACACAATAATGGGAGAATTTAACACCCCACTGTCAATACTGGACGGATCAACGAGACAGAAAGTTAACAAGGATATCCAGGACTTGAACTCAGCTCTGCACCAAGCAGACCTAATAGATGTCTACAGAACTCTCCATCCCAAATCAACAGAACACACATTCTTCTCAGCACCACATCACACTTATTCTAAAATTGACCACGTAATTGGAAGTAAAGCACTTCTGAGCAAATGTAAAAGAACAGAAATCACAACAAACTGTCTCTCAGACCACAGTGCAAACAAATTAGAATTCAGGATTAAGAAACTCACTCAAAACCACTCAACTACATGGAAACTGAACATCCTGCTCCTGAATGACTACTGGGTAAATAAGGAAATGAAGGCAGAAATAAAGATGTTCTTTGAAACCAATGAGAACAAAGACACAATGTACCAGAATCTCCGAGACACATTTAAAGCAGCATGTAGATGGAAATTTATAGCACTAAATGCCCACAAGAGAAAGCAGGAAAGATCCAAAATCGACACCCTAACATCACAATTAAAAGAACTAGAGATGCAAGAGCAAACACATTCAAAAGCTAGCAGAAGGCAAGAAATAAGTAAGATCAGAGCAGAACTGAAGGAGATAGAGACACAAAAAAACCTTCAAAAAAATCAATGAATGCAGGAGCTGGTTTTTTGAAAAGATCAACAAAATTGATAGACCACTAGCAAGATTAATAAATAAGAAAAGAGAGAAGAATCAAACAGATGCAATAAAAAATGATAAACGGGATATCACCACTAATCTAACAGAAAAACAAACCACCATCAGAGAATACTATAAACACCTCTATGCAAATAAACTAGAAAATCTAGAAGAAATGAATAAATTCCGGGACACATACACCCTCCCAAGATTAAACCAGGGAGAAGTTGAATCTCTGAATAGACCAATAACAGGCTCTGAAATTGAGGCAATAATTAATACCCTACCAACCAAAAAAAAGTCCAGGACCAGACGATTCACAGCCGAATTCTAACAGGGGTACAAAGAGGAGCTGGTACCATTCCTTCTCAAACCAGTCCAATCAATAGAAAAACAGGGAATCCTCCCTAACTCATTTTATGAGGCCAGCATCATCCTGATTCCAAAGCCTGGCAGAGACACAATAAAAAAAAGAGAATTTTAGACCAATATCCCCGATGAACACTGATGCGAAAATCCTCAATAAAATACTGGCAAACCAAATCCAGCAGCACATCAATAGCTAATCCACCACTATCAAGTTGGCTTCATCCCTGAGATGCAAGTCTGGTTCATCATATGCAAATCAATAAACGTAATCCATCACATAAACAGTACCAACAACAAAAACCACATGATTATATCAACAGATGCAGAAAAGGCCTTCAATAAAATTCAGTAGCCCTTTATGCTAAAAACTCTCAATACTAGGTATTGATGAAACATAACTCAAAATAGTAAGAACTATATGACAAATGCACAGCCAATATCATAGTGAATGGGCAAAAACTGGAAGCATCCCCTTTGAAAACCTGCACAAGACAAGGATGCCCTCTCTCACCACTCCTATTCAACACAGCGTTGGAAGTTCTGGCCAGGGCAATTAGGCAGGAGAAAGAAATAAAGGGTATTCAACTAGGAAAAGAGGAAGTCAAATTGCCCCTGTCTGCAGATGACATGATTGTGTATTTAGAAAACCCCACTGTCTCAGCCCAAAATCTCCTTAAGCTGATAAGCAACTTCAGCAAAGTCTCAGGATACAAAATCAATGTGCAAAACCACAAGCCCTTCTATACACCAATAACAGACACAGAGCCAAATCGTGAGTGAACTCCCATTCACAATTGCTTCAGAGAATAAAATACCTAGGAATCCAACTTACAACGGATGTGAAGGACCTCTTCAAGGAGAACTACCAACCACTGCTCAATGAAATAAAAGAGGACACAAACAAATGGAAGAATATTCCATGCTCATGGATAGGAAGAATCAATATTGTGAAAATGGCCATACTGCCCAAGGTTAATTTATAGATTCAATGCCATCCCCATCAAGCTACCAATGACTTTCTTCACAGAATTGGAAAAAACTACTTTAAAGTTCATATGCAACCAAAAAAGGAGTCCACATTGCCAAGACAATCCTACGCAAAAAGAACAAGGCTGTAGGCATCATGTTACCAGACTTCAAACTATACTACAAGTCTACAGTAACCAAAACAGCATGGTACTGGTACCAAAACAGACATACAGACCAGTGGAACAGAACAGAGGCCTCAGAAATAACACCACACATCTACAACCATCTGATCTTTGACAAACCTGACAAAAACAAGAAATGGGGAAAGGATTCCCTATTTAATAAATGGTGCTGGGAAAACTGACTAGCCATATGTTGAAAGCTGAAACTGGATCCCTTCCTTAAACCTTATATAAAAATTAATTCAAGATGGATTAAAGACTTAAATGTTAGATCTAAAACCATAAAAACCCTAGAAGAAAACCTAGGCAATACCATTCAGGACATAGGCATGGGCAAGGACTTCATGACTAAAACACCAAAAGCAATGGCAACAAAAGCCAAAATTGACAAATGGGATCTAATTAAACTAAAGAGCTTCTGCATGGCAAAAGAAACTACCATCAGAGTGAACAGGCAAACTACAGAATGGGAGAAAATTTCTGCAATCTACCCATCTGACAAAGGGCTAATATCCAGAATCTACAAAGAACTTAAACAAATTTACAAGAAAAAAACAACCCCATCAAAAAGTGGGCAAAGGATATAAATAGACACTTCTCAAAAGAAGACATTTATGCAGCCAACAGACACCTGAAAATATGCTCATCATCACTGGCCATCAGAGAAATGCAAATCAAAACCACAGTGAGATACCATCTCACGCCAGTTAGAATGGCGATTATTAAAAATCAGGAAAAAACATGCTGGAGAGGATGTGGAGAAATAAAAACTGTTTTACACTGTTGGTGGGAGTGTAAATTAGTTTAACTATTGTGGAAGACAGTGTGGTGATTCCTCAAGGATCTAGAACTAGAAATACCATCTGACCCGTGATCCTATTATATCCTGGTTATATACCCAAAGGATTATAAATCATGGTACTATAAAGACACATGCACACGTATGTTTACTGCGGCACTATTCACAATAGCAAAGACTTGGAACCAACCCAAATGTCCATCAATGATAGACTGGATTAAGAAAATGTGGCACATATACACCATGGAATACTATGCAGCCATAAAAAAGGATGAGTTCATGTCCTTTGCAGAAACATGGATGAAGCTGGAAACCATCATTCTCAGCAAACTACCACAAGGACAGAAAACCAAACACCACATGTTCTCACTCATAGGTGGAAACTGAACAACGAGAACACTTGGACACAGGGCGGGGAACGTCACACACTGGGGCCTGTTGGGGGTTGCGGGGCTGGGGGAGGGATGGCATTAGGAGAAATACCTAATGTAAATGACGAGTTGATGGGTGCAGCAAACCAATATGGCACATGTATACCTATGTAACAAACCTGCACGTTGTGCACATGTACCCTAGAACTTAAAGTATAATTTAAAAATAAATTTAAAAAATAACATAAACATACTAGTCCACATTCTTCTACAATGGGATATCTGACCTAAATACATCTGAGTGGATTATACTCTCAAACAAGGAATGAAGCCAATAACAGACATTCACCTAATATGAAATAATAAAGAGTAGAAAGAAAAATACCTTAAAAAAAAAACTTGTCTTGTAAAGCAGGCTAAGAAATGAAAGAATTAAGGAATTCACAACATTCGTAACAAAAAAAATACACAGCACTTCACTTATCCTATTTATATGGTCATTTAAAGCAGCACCTATTTTAAGTCATAGTTCATTAAATAGAAAAGAGGCGGAAAGCCACACTTCATGACAAATTAAATGCCTTAGAGACTGGTAAATATAAAGGAAAATGCAACCATGATTTTGTGTTACCTTCAACCAAAAGCAAGAAGCACCAAAAAAAACTAATATCATTTCTAGGTGCAAAATAAGTACTTCTTAGAACAAAGCCCTTCTACAGTTAGGGACAATGAATTCTGAGAACTAGAAATACAGGGAGACTAGGTTTCCATGGATATTTGTATCCATTTCCTAGTTTAACTATCTTTCCCAGTATTGTGGAGATTTAAAGAGGAAAATAAAGGCAACCAAGGTGTATTTAAGTTTGTATTTTGTCTCCCCAAGGGCAGAGACCACGTCATTTATTTTTGTATTTATTTGCTCACTCAACAAATCTATACTTAGAACCTAACAGATTGACAGAAGTCCAGGCAGTGGACATTTCTGGCATTCCCAAACATCTGATGAATTAATGGATAAATGAACAATAAAATGAACAAATGGTAAAGCAAAACACTTACTCTAAGAATCCTAACATTGTCACAACTACCTGAATGCCAACACCTTGACGGGAAATCACAGGATTCACATGTGCATGCTTTTCCTTCCAGCTGTCTATCTACTGGGAGAGCCACCCAAGATCCCGCAGCTACATAAGTTGCTGGATGCCAAGAACAGCAAGTTCTTGGTGGTTAAGATGGACATCAGTGGGTGCCATCAATGAGCTGCCATTAGAGGGCAGCAGAGGATGTATTCAGCAGCAGAAAACAGAATTGCAGGCCTTTTAATCAAGACTGGGAAAACTGCACTTTATGAGAGACTGTAATTGATGATGTGAGTGGGTACACTAGAACTCCCCTCTCAATAAATATAAATCAACCAGTTTATTTGGAAAATTTAGTTAAATTCTTCAAGGAGCATTTCTTAACAACCAGTGAAAACCCATTAGGGTAGCGTAGGGGTAACTAAATCATCTCTAGTAAGTCTACATCACGTAGACACAAAATGGCAATGAACAAAATTAGAATGCAGGCCCTTTGGCCTTGCATTTCCAGAAGAAATACTATAGTTATAACTATCCTTAAGTTGAGATTAGAAATATTTTCAACTGTTGTTACAAAGTAAGAGCAATTTTAGAAATTAACAAATACAAGTACTCAGTGCTCTATCACTCCACATATTCATATATAAAATTATACAGAAATAAACATTATTCAACTTTAGGATAATAAATTGGTGAAGCAAGTCAACAATGGAAATTTTATGTAATTTGTGTGTTATTGCAGGTGCCAGTGCATGATTACTAATCTGGTTTTGCAACAATATTGACAGTTGTAGAGGAAACAACAACAATCCTTTGAGTAGACCTAAAATGAAAGTTATTTTTTAAAAGGGCTTTCACCAAAATACAGATTTATCCAAATGTATAGCTCCTCTAAATTAATTTGAAAGTTAAAGTTTCACCGAATAATATCATTTTTACCATATGAATCAAGAACTAGTTTATTCAGTAAGAAATGGAGAAAAGGAAAAGAAAGCCTCTGAGATTTCAAGTTTTCTATAAAACTACTGCTAATCCACCTTAAGAGACAAAAAAATCTACATTAAGAAGTCTAGTGGAACATTAAAAGTCCTATACTATATTTAAAATTCAAAAGTCTACTGAAAATGGTAATGACAGCCCACCACTTAAAAACCCTTTTCAAAAACTACAATATAAGCCACTACCCCTAGACCATCCTCCTCACTCTGTCCCTTCTCCACCCCTCTAGGCATTCTACCAAACCCTTATCAACAGCAAACCTCCATTTTTGAAGGTCCAGATTTAAAGTTCCTTAACTTTCATATTAATATATGAAAAAATTTTAAAAATCTTTGGCTCTTCTTAATTTACAGATAAATCCTTAGTTTGACTGCTTCTTCACCAAAATAGGAGCAGCAAAAGGAAAAAGGAACATTGCACTAGAGGAGCAAATCACACTTGTGGAATTCCAGGAGGGTCAAGATATTCCTGGAACCCCCAGCTTTAGAGTATCCCCTATGGCTAGGACCTCATTATCTACTGCCACAGTTCCCTTAGATGAGCTCTCTACCTGTACATTTTCTGCATCTAAGCCTTGTGTTGAGCTCTAGAAACCTGAACCATTTCCTTTTCCTTTTCCAAGGCATGCATGTGTCCACTAAATTCACCTAGCTGGGTGAGGTCTCCTTCCATCACCAGAAGAGGAAATGGATACAGCCACAATAACTTCACAAATTCCAGCATCTAATTTCCAGATTCCAACCCCTCTTCACCTACTGTAGGTGTTTCCTCTCCTCTTCTTCAACTCAGAATTTCTCTGGGTCATTACAAAACCTCATTCTCTCCCAATCTTCCTCCTAGAAAGAAGTGTTCTTCCTCTCTCCTTGGTTAAAAACACACATGCCTTCCATTGAGTTAAGACTAAATGTAATATTCCAGATATATAAGATTTAAATGCATTCGGAACAGAGGTTCAGATGTATTTCAGGGCCCCTAATTCCACATAATTGGCATAACAAATTAATTTTTAGTGCCCAAATGTTTATATGTTCACTACCACAAATACATAAAATAATACTTTTGTTCAAATGAAATAATATACCTGTATCATGAATTGAGATTTTGGCACTAAATTTTTTTGTCTGTATAATGTAAATATTTGGTATGTACCAAACACTACATTGGGGAGGGGAGGAAATGTAAAAATAGTTTTTAAAAAAGGTTAAAAAAGTTTTAACTTAAAAAATGGAATATTGCTTTAAAATGGAAATTATAATAGTGTTACCAAGGCAGAAAAAAGCCAGTGAGATGTATGAGTTGCTTTCATCAGAGTGAAAGTCCCATTAAAAAAAAAAAAATGGGGCTGGGTGCAGTGGCTCACACCTGTAATCCTAGCACTTTGGGAGGCCGAGGCAGGTGGATCACCTGAGGTCAGGCGTTCAAGACCAGCCTGGCCAACATAGTGAAACCCCATCTCTACTAAAAATACAAAAATTAGCCAGGCGTGGAGGTGCATGCCTGTAACCCCAGCTACTCGGGAGGCTGAGGCAGGAGAATCGCTTGAAGCCAGGAGGCAAAGGCAGAGGTTGCAGTGAGCCAAGATGGCGCCACTGCACTCCAGCCTGGGTGACAGAGTGAGACTGTTAAGGAAAAAAAAAAAAAAATGCCCCAGGCATGGTGGCTCATGCCTGTAATCTCAGCACTTCGGAAGACCAAGGTGAGAGGACTGTATGAGCCTACGAGTTTGAGACCAGCCTGGGCAACACAGTGTGACCCCATCTCCACAAAAAATAAAAAAATTAGCCAGGCATGGTGGTATGCACCTGTGTGGTCCCAGCTACTCAGGAGTCTGAGGTGAGAGGATCCCTTGAGCCCAGGAGGTCAAGGCTGCAGTGAGCCATGATTGTGCTACTGTACTCCAGCCTGGGTGACGGAGTTAGACCCTGTCTCAAAAAAAAAAATTAAAAAACAAAAAACAACATATATTGTATTTTTTGTAGTAAAACTACTGAAACAATAGAACATTCTGCAAATTTTCAATCTGGTCAACTATTAAACTTGTTCAATTATTAAAATGTCATTTTGGAACAAACATAGGACACATGGAAAACCAAGTATTTATAGAGTGACCACCTCTTTTCTCTCTCATAAGGACTGTAAGCGATATTAGCTATCTATCCCAAAAAAAGACTTCCCCCACCAAAGATCTCTCTACTATGGGATTCTGTTCCAAAGAGTTGTTCTCCCTGAAATAAAGTTTAGTGCAGTGGCAAAAAACATGGCCTTGGAGCCAGGGTGTGACTCCCGGCCAGCCACTTACTAGCTATGTGGTTTTGGCAATTCCTTTAATTTCTTTTATGAGCAAATCACTGAACCTAACTCACAGGACTGGGACTTAAGTGAGCAAATTTGTATATATAGTTTAGTATACTCAGGATAAGCACCCAATAAATGGCATTTATTACTAGCAGCTAAATCTTCCTTCCTCCACTAATTACTGGTTTACCAGTTTACTACCAGTAACTCCACTGAGGCCACCGTGAAAGCATTCCCACTAAGGCATTCTTGATCCAGAAAAATAACAGTCCCAGCCTTATCCTGATACTTTTTTATATTCCAAGAATATTCTTTCATCCTCATATTAATACTTATATATGATTCTATTAATAACCCAATGTTCTCACATGAAAAAGCTGAGGCACAGAGAAGTAATCTGCTCAAAATAATATAGAAATTAACAGATTTATAAATCATAAGAGATCATTTAGTCTAACCTTTCCATGTTGTAGATAAGGAAACTAAAATCTGGAGACACAGATTTGCCATCCTAAGGCCACAAAACAAGAAAGTAGCCTGTGAAACCTAGGCTCCTGCAACTCTGTCCAGTGCTTCTCTCCACTATATTACATTGTCACATAATAAAATCAAAATTAAAAACACTTAAATAGCAGATAACTATTATTCTATTCATTAATTTTAAATAAACAAAAAATATATCCACCCAAAGACTTGTACACGAATGTTCACAGCAGCACTGTTCATATAACAGCCAAGACATGAAAGCAACCCAAATGTTCATCAATTCTATATGGATAAACAAAACATGACACATCCATATAATAGGATACCATTAGGCAATACAAATGAATGAAAACGCTGATATACGATATAACGAGGATAAACTTAGAAAACATACTAAGTGAAAAAAGCCAGACACAAACATATATTGTATTTTTGTATAAAAAAAATTCAGAATAGGCAAATCCAAACAGAAAGAAAGTAGTAGGCCAGTGGCTGCCTAGGGCTGGAGTGGGTATGGAGAGTGACTGGTAATAGACACTAAGTTTCTTTTTGGGGTGATGGAAATACTGTAAAATTAAATTGTGGTAATGGCTGCACAGCTCTGAAATCTACTAAAAATCAATCTGTATAATTAAAATAGGTGAAATTCATGATACGTAAATTTCACCTTAGTAAAGCCATCAAAAATAATTTAAAAAATAAACAACTGAATTGGTCATTTTGTAAATCAGGATAATCTGGATGAAAATGATGTACACTTTATTAAGATATAAAAACTAAAAAAAAAAAAGTAAGCAATATTCTCTAGAAAGTCTGTAAAATGAACTGCATATGGTAAGCAATTTATCCCCAAGTGGTACTATAATCAGAACATATTGCCATGAGAAACTTCACTTTGGCAAAGACAAATTTCTTCCAACATTGTACATCCTGGATGGTATAAAACAATGACAATAAAAGACTAAATGGATTAAATGAAGGGAAGAAAGGAGAGTATAAGCAGTATTGTTGATAACATTTATGTTCATAGATTGTCCAAACTATCTATTACTCTATATTGGAACTACAAAAGGAACTAAGATTTGCATTTTATTTTTAATCTCAAGGGAAAATTATAAAGGTCTTATATCTTAGGGTATCTCAAAGTTTTCACATCAACACACATAAAGACATCCAAGGTTTGAGTAAAGGTTAAATTTATTCCTTTCAATGCTATTACATGTTTTAAAACAAATCAAATTTGCTTTTGAGAAAAGGATAAATGTGCCTATGGATTAAAATGATATTATTTTGTATTCCCTAAAAATAAACTCTGAAGAGCATGATTAAACACAAATCACTTTGAAACATGGCCTAATCTAAAAAATGGGATCTCAAATTAATTATGTGTATTTCCTCACACCTCCAAATAAAAATAACAATAATGCTAACATTATTGAGCATGTTTTACATATAAACACGATCCTAATCGCTTTCTGTGCATTGTTTCATTTATAACTCACAACTATCCTACTTAGTTAAAACTATTACTGTCACCATTTAACAGCAGAGGAAAACAGCAGCCTAGTGAGATGGAGAGAGGTTAACCTGCCCAACGTTATGCAGCAAAACTGGCATTTAAACCTAAGGCTAAGTCCAAGGATACAATATTGTGACATAAGAAATATACTCTGTATTTTGTCTCTGCTCCTGATTCTTGGCACAAAGCTCATACAACTCTTGCAATCTCTAAAGTGCTAAGTGTCTTTTGTATGCTAATGAAATGACTGATTGCTGAAGGCTCTTTTGAAGGATGGGGGCCGGTTGCCAGGGAAATCAACCCTGTGAATAAAGAGTTGGAACTTTCAGTCCAACCTCCCCCTACCCCCACTAACTCTGAGAAGGAAAGAAGAGCTGAAGGTTGTGTTGATCACCAATGGCCAATGATGTAATCAATCATGCTTATATAATGGAACCTCCACAAAAACCCTACAGGACTGGATTCAGGGATCCTCCATATTGTTGAACACATGGAGGTTTCTGGAGGGTGGAATGTCGACCAGAGGTCATAGAAGCTCTATGCCCCTTCCCATACACCTTGCCCTGTGTATCTCTTCCATGTGGCTCTTCATCTGTATGTTTTGTAATATCCTCTGTAATAAATGGGTAAATGTACATGTTTCCCTGAGTTCTGTGAGCCATCCTAGCAAATCAAAACTGAGGAGGGGGTCACGGGAACCCCAATTTATAGCCAGTCAGTCAGTAACACAGGTCACAACCTGGGGCTTGCAATCAGTATCTGAAGTAGAAGGGTAGTCTTGTGGGACTCACCCTCAACCTGAGGGATCTGATGCTGTCTCCAGGTAGGCAGTGTTAGAACTGAGTTAAATTACAGGATACCCAGTTGGTGTCAGCTGGCAAATTGATTGGTTGCTGGTGGGGGAAAATTTCCACACATTCTGGTGACCAGAAGTGAAGCGTTCTATGTTGACTGTGTCAGAGATGGAAAAAACAACTTAGGGTTTTTTTTCCCGTATCTCCTACAGAAGCCCTACTCTTAAGCTCTAAGTTATATAAATTCTCATGCTCGTGGTAATTAATGTAGTAACCTTTACTGTAATATAAATAATAAAAGTCTTTGACATCCCTTAAATATAATTATTCATTTTTTTAAAGATATGACATTAAGGTTATATTTTTTAAAAAGAGATCTTTATATTTTAAATGACATATACTTTAATGAAATATGTCTGGGTATTTTAATCTGTTCATGCTACTGTAACAAAAAAACCTGAGACTGGGTAATTTATAAATAATAGAAATTTACTTCTCACAATTCTGGAAGTTAAGAAGTCCATGATCAAGGCACCACCAGGTTCAGTGCCTGGTGAAGCCCTGTTCCTCATAGATGGTATCGTCTAGGTGTCCTCACATTGCAGAAAGATGGGAGGGCAAAAAGGGTGCAAATACTGTGTCTTCATGTGACAGAAAAGTGGGAGAGCAAGAGAGCATTCCCTTCAATCTTGAGCCCTTTTATAAGGGTGCTAGTCCCATTCACGAGAGCATAGCCCTTCTGACTCAATCACCTCCGAAAGGCTATATACCTCTTAATGCAACCACAGTTGGAACTAAGTTCCAACACATGAATTTTGGGGGACATTCAGACCATACCATTAAGATTTGCTTCAATAATGGAGAAGGAAGAATATGCATAAAACAGGATTGGCCACTTATTGATAATTGTTAAAAATGGATGATGGGTAAACAGTGGTACCTTTTATTATTTCCTATGTTTCTGTATGTTTGAAAAGGTCCATAAAAATTTAGGAAAACTAAATCCTTAAACATATCAAAAATGTATAAGAGGGAGCTATAATTCTTAAAACAGTTTTTCATTTTAGCAATATTTTTATTTCAAAATCTCAAGGGAAGGCAGAAAATAGGCTACACATACTCTTAAAATATTCTCATATTCACCAACATATTCTAAAGCCCAGTGTGGGGAAAAATCTGAGTATCTGGACCCCATTTAAGACTGCTGAGAAGACAGGAGACCAATTCTGATCACTGCAACAGCCGTAAGATAAAAAGAGGCAGGCAGGCATGCCGGCAGAACTCCAACTTCTGCCACTCTGTTGGCAATGGAGACATTTATTCCTTGTCTTGTTAGGCCTTTCTCACTTTTGTGACCGCAGTCGTTTTCCCAGCAGTCTCCTTCTCACTATCACTATCACCATTATTATACTTTTTGTTAAGTGATTAAATTACTATGAAAAACAACAATTTATGTCCACAATATCCACTCACGCTGATATGTGCATAGAAGTGGTTGGTCAGAAGACCAGGCAGATCTCCAGGTTAATAATCAATAAATGTCATATTGCTTGACTCAGAAAAGAAACAGATTCCAAAGATTTTGGGCATGATGCATATTAACACTAAAGAGCATACCCAAATTTAATAACAATCTATTTTACATATATAGTCAATAAAACCAAAATAGTTATTTCTGAAATCTAAAATAGATGTTGGCTATGTCATTTGAATGTGTCTATTTGTTTGCCTAGGACAGTGCCTGGCAGATAGCCAATGCGCAATAAATATTTGTTGAATAATGATCCTGCCAGCTTTCTCAGTTAGGTGCCACTTAGCAGAATACAGAGGAAGCAGGAGAAAAAGGAAGGAGAAAACAAGCTTAGATAATTTTCAACTTGCCAAAGAACTATGAATAGAGCATTATCTACTTTGAGCAGAATGTTAAATTACATAGTTCAGGGACATTTACTGAAATATTCTGAGACCTGGCCCATTAGGATTATGAATGAAGAGGGGCACTTTATAAAGCCTTCTTTATGCTGAGTCAACTCCAACTTCTGGCTTCAGAAATGGCTTACTTGACTTTACTACTTTTACAGCCTAAGTGAGTTTTCATTATCTATATTTCAAAACTTGGAAAAAGTCACTATTTAACATGCAGATGTTTCCATTTTATAAAATTACATCTTAACTTTTATTACAATATTCACTATTACCCCCCACCTCACTTTCTCACTTTAGTTATCTATGAAACCTTTTCAGTTCCTAGTACATTCTCAAAATATTTAGATGGCTCCTGACTGCCACTAACCTCTCACTTGGCAGATTATCTGATACCATCCACAAAAGAAGCACAGAGAAAATTTTGGGATTCCTCTGGACAGTCAAAAATAAGAGTTTTTGCTAGCAAGTATTTCTAAGAATTGAGGTAACAAAATTTTTGCCATCCACTATCACTATACTCTAAAACAGCTATTTGAACAAATAGTATTTTTTGAAAGAAAAAGCACAACACAAAATCTAATATTTAAAAATACGGAACTATGATAATTGTTTCCTTTACAAAAAATGATTTAAGGTTAAAAGAGCTTTCTTAAAGTCTCACTGCTTTTAGTACAAAGCTTAGGTAGGAGGCACCGAAGTAGCAATTCCCGGTTTTCAATGACTTCTGCACTGCCTGTGGAGCTCTTGACATTACTAGAAATTTTGGGGGGAAAATGAGCAGAGGCAGCAGGGTGTCATGATTAAGGCTAGCACCAGGCTGAACTGGGATCAAATGTGAACTCTGCCGCTTATTAGGTGTGTGACCTTAAGCAAGCTACTTTACCACTCACCCTGGCTTCAGTACCTTAAGAGGACCTGGCTGCCATTTGGTATGGGGTGATATGCCAAAATTATTCCACTAAATCCCCCTTTTAGCTTAAGCCCACTCACATTGGTCTCACTGCTTAAAGAACTAGAAGTGAGACAATCATCCTTCCTGAACAGCCTCCTTATGATCCCTTCCCTCGTAGGAATCTACCATCTATCAATCACTGAGACAATAATCTATGTATAGTCCCCAGACCCTCACACTGTGTAAGTATAGTGTCATTTAGTGTGTTACCAGGCGGCCTCTATAACATGACAGACATCAAATATGTCACGGATGTATGTGTCTGTGTCTGTGCACGCATGTGTGTATGTGTGTGTGTTGCAGATGAGGAAGTTCCTCAACACTACTCCCGGCCTGAATATTATACCTCTTACCTCGATTACACATTTCACATTTTGGGGAGTTATATATCTCCTTTTTAACAAATATGTCCATGTGTGTAATGGAAGGTTAAAGGAGTTCCATCTTAGGGCTTGCAAATACAGTGGCAGAAAAGATGTTGCAATGACTTTGCCTTAAGATACAAGCCTGTGGTGGGAATGGGGTCTGTCTTTAATGAAGGCACATACTGTAGAACTAGGGACTCATCCTACATCAGGAAAGAACACAGGCTTCATCTTGAATGCTAACCCAGGCCGTTGGCATTATACGGACACACTAAGTAACCTACTCTGGTTTCAGTAGGGAAAAAATTATCAACTGAAATGAAGTTTCATAACTCATGGGTTAATCAAGGTGTTAGTGGCCATGTAAATACAAATCCTCCAATATAACCTTCAAAAGCTAAAAAGACTAACAAGAAGAACAAATAAAACCATACAAATTTCACGCTTTTAATACAAGACAAACTAACTTCAAATTATGTAAAGTAGAAAACATAAACTCCATTCTAGTGGAGATATTAATCAAGCTCTTCCCCTAACCTATTAGAGAGGACAGATAGATCTAGGGGGAGAAAAATTTTGCAAACACAAAGTGGGGGCTGGAGGCAAGGACAGAAAGCCTAAAATTAAACTAAAATCATCCACAGAAAAAGAAAGCCCAGTCTACGTGAAAAAATCCTCAAGAAGACCACTCATAGATGAGAGAAAATTATAGGGAAGGGATTTAAAAGTGCAGGGAGGATTCAAGGAGGTAGTCTTGATAAGGTAATGCATCAAGGGTGTGATGGTAAATTTCACGTGTTAACTTGACTGGGCCATGAGATGCCCAAATATCTGGTTAAACATTATGTCTGGTTATGTCCATTACAGTGTTTACGGAAAAGACGAGCATTTGAATTTGTGGAATAGGTAAAGCCATTACTTTCCCCAATGTAAGTGAGCATCATTCAACTTGTTAAGAGCCCAAACAGAACAAAAGGAGGGAAAAAGGCCGAATTCTCTCTATCTGCCTTATAGCTTGAAACATCAGTTTTCTCCTACCCTTGGGCTGGAACTTACACCATTGTTGCTCCTAGTCCTCAGGCCTTCAGACTGACTGGAATTTACACCACAGGTCTTCCCAGGTCTCCAGTTTGCAGATGGTGGGACTTCTCAGCCTCCGTGATTACATGAGCCAGTTTCTTACAAAAAAATCTCGTTCTAGATATAGATATACATATGTTTTTAGATATATATCTATGTAACTCTCCATCCTTTTGTTTCTATTTCTCTGGAGAGCCCTGAGTAATACAAACAAGGACGGCGGTAAAAAGAAAATAATGTGTGTTTTTGGAAATTAGATGATGAAAAAAGAAACGAAAAAGAAAGTTTCAGATTCTGTAAGGTTCTTATATACATAAAGAAATTTAAGATTTTGTAAGAACTTATATATATATATATATATATATATACTCAAATACACACACACACACACACACACACACACACACACAACCCTACTTGAGAAACACAAAATCCTCTCCCTCAAAAGGTGAAAAAAAGCCATCCAACAAACAAACCAAACTGTGCTACACTGACAGAAGAGGACATTCCTGAATTAGTAATCTCATAAAACCCCCTAAAACAACAGCCCTGCTCATAGTCACACATAGTTGTTGCAATCTTCATCTATATAAAATTTCTAAAATAAAAAATAACGTTAGGACAATTAAGCTAATGAAAAGCACCCCCAAAAAACCAACAACAAAGTAGAAGATTTTAATAAATATTCCAAACTGGATTGTATCTCTTTTTTTTTTTTTTTTTTTTTTTTTTTTTTTTTTTTTTGAGACAGGGTCTCACTCTGTCACCCAGGGTGGAATGCGGTAGCGCGATCTCAGCTCACCCCAACCTCCACCTCCTGGGCTCTCAAGTGATCTTCCCACCTCAACCTCCTCAGTAGCTGGGGCTACAGGCACACACCACCATATCCGGCTAATTTTTGTATTTTTTGTAGAGAATGAGTTTTGTCATGTTGCCCAGGCTGGTCTCAAACCCCTGGGCTCAAGCCATCTGCCCACCTCAGCCTCCCAAAGTTCTGGCATTACAGACATGAGCCACTGCACCCGGCCTGAATTGTATCTCTTTAAACAAGCACTTAGGAGTATGAAAACCATCATAAATCAGAAATATAAACCTGAAAATAGAATGGGCAAAAATAAATAAATAAATAAGAGAAAAGGTGAGGACTAAATTCCTGCTCAAAAATAGAGTAAAACCTTAATAAAAGGCACTGAGGAAAACAGGAAAAGAACCAAGAGAATGAAAATGAGATAACGCGGTAAAAAAAATAATCACAGGAACAGTTGGTAAAATGGAAGCTAAACAGAGAAGGTATAATTATATGAGTAACTGAAGTCCCTGCAGAAGAAAAAGAAAATATTAGAACAGAATTAAT
This sequence comes from Homo sapiens, assembly GCF_000001405.40. NCBI lineage: Eukaryota > Metazoa > Chordata > Mammalia > Primates > Hominidae > Homo > Homo sapiens. The sequence continues at coordinate 179,230,762 of NC_000002.12, forward strand.
ATTTAAAACTATAATCCAAAAAAAAATTTGCAGAAACAAAAAAAATCTGATTCTACATATTAAGAGAACCCACTAATGTAGCAAGGAAAATTGACCTGTTAAAATCAATTCTAAAATATATTATAGTAAAACTATTAGACTTTAAAAATATGAGAAGGGAAAGATCCAAGAATTCCAAACAAAAGATTCAAGCAACTTACAGGGGCAAGAAAATTAAGACTGGCATCAGACTTCTCAAAACAACAAAACATATAGAAAGCAAGGCCACATTATAAAAAGGGAAAGTGTGAACCAAGGACTTATTTCCACCCAACCTGTACTACCAATATTAAGGCTACAGGAGAACAATTTTTAATATGCAGGAACTCAAGGAAAATTGTGGTCACCATGAGTTCTTCTTAAGAAATCCACTAAAAGCTGAGCTATATCTAACCAATAGGTAAACTTCAGCAAAAGAACTGGTGGTGAAATTTTAATATATTTAATTGTAGATCTAAGAGCAAAACGAAGTTGCAGTTAAGGATTGAGGATGAAACAGACATAATGCAACTGAAGAAAATGGAAAAAGAGAAAAAGAAAAATGTAAAATAAACTTTTGTTGAAATAGCAATAGATAAGAATTATAGGACACCATTAAAAACAACATAATAGATAGTATAAACTTAAATAAGAAAACAAAGAAATGAGGACATTTAAAAAAGGCATAAACATACAAGTAGCTGCTACAACAACAAACAGCAAAGCCTAAATATCCAAAAAAAAAGAAATTTAAAGATGAAAAGGCAAAGAAAGCACATCATAGAGAAATAAAGAAAAATAGAACAATGTACACAGTATTTATAACATAAGAGTTGAAATCAAACATAAGTCATTAAAAATTTTTTCATTTGGCTATTAAAAAATACCTAATAAATGCTTATTCAAGAGATAACCTAAAACAGTATAGACCAAAAAGCTAAAAAAAAAAAAAAATTTAAAAAATTTAAAAAAAAAGGGATAAGCAAAGGCATACAAAGCAAATAGAAACAGTAAGGAAGCAAGAGTAATGATCTTGATACTAAAGAAGACTCAAATCAAAAAGCCTTAAATATGACACAGAGAAACACTGTTTAACGTTAGAAGCTGCAATTCACATGAAGACATAACCATCGTGTATGCCTATCATCACATAGCAACTACTTTTAAAAAGCAGAAACTACAGGGATGTACAGACATAGGAACATAACTTTAATAATACGTAAGACTGAAAACACTTATAAACTGAACTGAAAACTACATACCCTGATAATAAAAACTGTACCTCCTTCTCAAATGGACATCAATATTGACCAAAAAAAGTGCACACATATTAGGTAATTTAAAAAGCAACAGTATATTTTATGAAGTAGTAATAATGCAAACACTCTGATCATAATTCTAACAAAACCAGATATTAACAAAACTAAAAACAAAAATGGCATTCTACCTCAAAATTATACATTTTCCAAAAAAAGATACAAAATTATATATTTAATAACCTGAACAGAGGAAAATCTGTAGCTTTGAACATTTATATCAATAGTAAATTCATAATTCAAAAAGAACAAACTAAACTAAAACAGAGACTAGAAATAATAAAGACAAAATAAATCAGCTGGGTGGAGAATTTTAAAAATCACATCATAAATCAAAATCCTGGAATTTTTTTAAGTAAATGAACAAGGTTAATCCAGAAAAAAAAGAGAAAGCACAAATTCAAAGTAAGAAGCGACAAGGGAGACGACACATTTCAACAATATAAAAACACGTATTACAAAGATTATTTATTGCAGTGTCATTTATAATTGGAAAATACAATCAGAAATAACCTGAATGTCCACAAATGGGAAAGTGATTGAATAAACAAGCTGTAGATCCACACAATGGAGTACTATGCAGCTCTAAAAATTAATAAAGAGATCTCTATATCATTATAAAATATAGATATCCAGTATATACTGTTAAGTCGGAAAAACAAAATACAAAAGAATATATGCAGTGTTCTACTTTTTGTATAGGAAAGAAGATATACATTTATCTGTCCATTTTGTGTACAGAGAACCAAAAGAACTATATACATGAGAAACTAATCAGGATAATCGCCTAGGAAGCAGAGGATAAGGGATGGAGAAGATGAGTGGAGAAGTGGTAGAAAAGATGGGAGGTATGATCAACACTTTTCTGTGTATAGCTTTCTGTATGGTTCTGACTTTTGGAACCATGTTAATGCTTAATATACTCAAAGAAATATGGAGATCCACAAAGATGAGAAAGCAAAAAAATTCTAAGATGGAAATCAAACAAAACAAATGTCTCTATTGGTATTTCAAATGACTCAGGGAAAATTTAGGAAGAAAGGAAGACCTAACCACCAAAGTAACTTTTGAACACAGTATTTTTACTACGTATTCTCAGGATGTAAACAAAAGAGAACCGTAAGTAAACACTGAGTTCCAGTAAGTGGGTTTGCTTTTTATAGTGTTAAGGATTAGCAATTCTAAATTACTTTTTGTATATTCTAAGATTGAGCAAATAAGTAAATATACTGTGAACAACAGAAACCAGACTTCCTACTGTTAAAGGTAGTTACAAATACGGAAAGTGCAGAAGGAGGCTAGAATGAAACCGGTAATGATGGCTGGCACAGGAATATGTCTTCATAGTTTTTTTTTGCTTTTGCTTTTGTTTTTTTAAGATGGAGTCTCGCTCTGTCACCCAGGCTGGAGTGCAGTGGCAGGATCTCAGCTCACGGCAACCTCTGCCTCCTGGGTTCAAGCAATTCTCTTGCCTCAGTCTCCCAAGTAGCTGGGGTTAGAGGCGCATACCACAGTGCCCAGCTAATTTTTGTATTTTTAGTAGAGACAGGGTTTCACCATGTTGGCCAGGCTTGTCTCAAAATCTTGACCTCAACTACTCCACCTGCCTCAGCATCTGAAAGTGCTGGGATCACAGGCATGAGCCACCACATCCATCGTATTCATAGTTTTTATACAGAGATAGATACAGGGATACATGCATGCATGCATGCGTGTGTGTGCACATGGCCTGGCATGTGTGCATGTGTGTATGTGTATGCATGCCCTGGTGTGTGTGCATGTGTGTATGCTTACCCTGGCTCTGTACACTTGGGGGGCTCTGATGGTTAATTTCAGTAATTTCAGGTGTTGACTTGACTGGGCCACAGTGTGTCCAGGTATTTGGTTAAACATTTTCTTGTTTTCTGTAAGGGTGTTCTGGATAAGATTTACATTTTAACTGGTAGAGTAAATCAGTTTGCCCTCCGTAATGCAGGTGGGCCTCATCAAATCAGTTGAAAGCATGAGTAGAACAAAAAGACTGACTCTCAGTAAGAGGCATTCCTCCAGCAGGACTGCCTTCAGACTTCATTTACAACATCAGCTCTTCCACAACATCAGCTCTTCCTGCCTGATGGCCTTCAAACTAGAACATCGGCTCTCTCTGGGTCTCCAGCCTGCTTGCTGACTCTGCAGATTAGACTTACCAGCCTCCATGATCATGTAAGCAAATCCCTTTAAATAAATAAATAAATAAATAGACATCTCTCAGTAACATGAGTGCCCAGATCTTGATTTCTAAATAACATTCACACTAAAAAGAATTAGGGCTGCTTGAAAATATGACAGATTTCAAGGCTGGATAAGGTAAGTACAAGATGACTCTGAAACACTTATTGCCAGAATATAAGAAAAGGCTCAGGCCGGACGCAGTGGCTCACACCTGCAATCCCAGCACTTTGTGGGGCTGAGGCGGGTAGATCACTTGGGGTCAGGAGTTTGAGACCAGCCTGGCCAACATGGTGAAACCCCGTCTCTACTAAAAATAGTACGAGTATACATCACCAGTAAAGGAACAAAACAATAGTATGGGTGTCCTGACAAGAGATTCTGAAGACACATCACTTCTGTAGTATTCCAGCCAGAAACGCATAACCTGAATCTAATCATGAGGAAATAGCAGACAAACTCAAATGGCAAAAATATTTCTAAAAAATAACTGACTGGAATTCTTTAAAAAATGTCATTTATCAGCTGGGCACAGTGGCTTTTGTCTGTAATCCCAGTACTTTGGAAGGCTGAGGTGGGAGGATTGCTTGAGGCCAGGAGTTCAAGGCCAGCCTGGGCAACATAGTGAGATCTCATCTCTTTAAAAAAAAAAAAAAAAAGTCATATTATGAAACACAAAGGAAGACTGAGGAAGTGTTCTGTATTAAGGAACCTAAAGAGACATGAAAAACCAAAAGTAACACATATAATCCTGAACTGGAACCTAAACCAGGGGAAACAGTTTCTCTTTCACTTAAAAGGAAATTAGGAAATACTGCAAAATTTAAATAAAGTCTATAGAGTACTGCATCAATGTTAACTTCCTGATACTGACGATTATATTGTGGTTATATATTTTTTAAAAATCCTTATTTAGGGAGACATACTTAGGAATAAAGGGACATAAGTATTTAGGGGCTAAGGGGCATAATGTCTACAAATTACTCCCAAATGGTTCAGAAACAAATACTGTCTCATGAAAATATGAAACCAAATATGGTAAAAAGTTAATATTAGGAGAATGTGGAGTGAAACCTATACAGTAATTCTTTGAATTATCTTTGCAATTTTTCTATAAGTCTGAAATTATTTCAAAATAAAATAAATTTAGGTAAAATTACAGTCATCTGTGACAAGCTTTTCTACGTTATTTCTCAACATATGTCCAAACCCACATACGTATTATAAAAACCAAAGGCAAACACTTAAGAAAACCCTCAAGTTATTCTTTTCCTGTACCCTCTACATGCAATGGCACATAGCCTGCTGATTCTACCCTCTTCTCAACAGCACTATTGCCTCAATTACCATATTACCTTGGAAACATTTCCTGACTCCACTCACCCGCCTTTACGCACTTGCAAAATTAATTCTTTCACTCCATTTGAAAATCCCGAATGGTACTCCACAGCCAATTCTTTTACAAGACTTAAGTCTTTTCCAGATCATCCTCCTGCCTCTCTCTCCACTTCATGTTTTTCTCATTAGCAAGAAACCAAGTGCAACTCTCTGAACTTGCAATACTGTTTCACGGTTTGAGCCCTGGCCTATGATGTCATCTTCGCTGAAATAACATTACTACAATCCTTTGTCCATGAAATTCCTACTCATGCTTTAACCCTATCTTAGATTCACCTTCTCTGTGAAACCTTCCCTGACACAACACTCAAGGTGAGGATGAGTACCCATTCTCTCCCTCCTCAGTGCTACCATTTACCTTCCACTCTATTATGATTATCATTCATCATTATCCATCTCCCCTTCTAACAAGAGCTCACTGACAGAAGGAACCATGTCATTTTTACTTGTTGAATTACTTAATATGAACTCAAATAGCGTTTATTACAATGAGTAATTATATGTAGCCAGGTGTGGTGGCTCACACCTGTAATCCCAGCACTTTGGGAAGCTAAGACAGGAGGATTGCTTGACCCCAAGAGTTCAAGACCAGCCTGGGCAACATAGTGAGACCTCATCTCTTAAAAAAAAAAAAAAAAAAAAAAAAAAAGCTGGGCATGGTAGCACATGTCTACAGCCCTAGCTACTTGCGAGGCTGAGGTGGGAGGACCACTTGAGCCCAGGAGTTTGAGGTTACAATGAGCTACAATCGTGCCACTGCACTCTAACCCGGGCAACACAGAGAGATCCTGTATCTAAAAAGTAATTTTTTTAAATTATATGTACATATACATACACATGACCTGAGCATATAGCAAAGGGTAGATGTTAAGAAAGCCTCAATCTGTATGTTGACAAGTAAAATCTAAGAAAATGAAAAAATAAATTTCAGTCTGAAAAATATTTAAATAGGGGAGATGACCCGTGCTCTTACTTGTAATTTAATATGTAAGAACAAGTCCTAGACTTAATTATTTTACACTCATGTTTGAAAAAAAATCTGATGTAGTTTTTTTTTTTTTTTTTTAATTTTTATTTGCTATCGTTTGATGATCCAGAACACTTTGTGGTTCACAGGCTTTACAATCATGAGTTGGGACCAAAATAAATGTATGTAAATAGAATAATATAAAACCATATTTTACCAAGTAGTTTTACTTGGTAATATTTAATTACAAGGATCATCTTTTTGGTCAAAGCGTTTTAAAAGCAGTAATTACTGATTTAAAATCAAGTCTATAAAAATATCTAATTAGGTCTTAATCGTATTTTCTTGATCTAAAACCAAACTGATTATATAATCTTCTATCAGAAAAATGTTTAAAAGAAAACATTGCAAATGTTGCACTTGCCCTCCTTTCTAAGGGACAAATGAAATTATTTTCTAATAATGTACATTATTACAGGGACAAATGAAATTATTTTCTAATCCTAAAACAGAGATCCTTAAATCAGTAAAGACATGATAATCTATATGAAAGCTTCTGTGAAAAAAAAAATACCATGACACACAAATATCCATAACCATACTTACAGAAATTAGCACTGCTTTTCCTGTCTTCTTGTGTTTTAATACCCCATTCTCCTGGTTTTTCCGATGACCTTCTGATGTTCACTTTGTGTTAGTCTTTTTGGGGGACTTGGCGTAATTTGATCCTTGTTTACCTGGCCCTTCCCACATTTCCATCGTAGCCTACATTTCCAGGCATAAAATTTAGCATCTATTAAAAACATGTGCTTTACAAAGTCAGGCACTGAGCCAGTTTTTATTTACCATTGTGTGTGTGTCCCTTCCCTACAAGTCCCAAGCATACTGTCAGTGAACATAAGACAAATGGCTAAGTTTGGAGATAATTTTAAGGGCTAATTTTTAAAAAGATTTATTTTCTTTTGAAATAAGGAAAGTGATTTTTTTCCATGGTCCCTTCTGTCAGTAAGCTCATTTTCCAAACTTGTAATATGACACATATGCCAAATATAGAAGCATAAAGGGTAACTTCAAAATCTGCCCTCAATGTTTGAGTACAGAGACTTGCCCCACCCCTGCTCATCAGAGACTCCATGGGAGTCAGTATCTTTATCTCTTGCCAGAATAACAGAGATCCAGTCATGGCATACAAATTTGGAAATGAAACTGTAAGTATTAATTGTAAGTGGACCTTTGAGCAATACAGGGATTATGGGCACCTGCCCTCCACATAGTCAAAAATCCACATGTAACTTCAGACTCCCCAAAAACTCAGCTACTAAGAGCCTACTGCTGACCAGAGCCTTACCAATAACATAAAAGCAATTAACATATATTTTGTATATGTACTATATACAATATTCTTACAATAAAGCTAGAGAAAATAAAATCTTATTAAGAAAATCAAAAGAAGAGAACATATATTTACTATTCATTAACTGGAAGTGGATCATCAAAAATGTCATCATCCTTGTTGTCTTTACATTGAGTCAGTTGAGAAAGTGGAGGAAGAGGATAGGTTGGCCTTGCTGTCTCAGGGGTGACAGATATAGAAGAAAAGCCACATAAAGTGAACCCATCTGGTTCAAACCTATTGTTCAAGGATCAACTGTACAATCATACTAGTAAGTCCACAGAAAACTGTTGGCATAATAAAATTAACGCCTTCTCATGGCCTTAGAAATCCTGTCATGATCAAATTTCTTCAAAATTCTTAGATTCCATAAAAATATATATTAAATAAAAGTTACAGCTTATACATTTAGAAAAACAAAATTTGACAAATACTTTGACAATTATCTAATAATGTTCTTATTACCATTCCTAGAGATTAACCTAATATGAAGCATCAGCCCCTTTGAAGTAGTCCCCTCAGTCATGCCAGTTTCTGTAAGAAACTAGAAACTTATTGCTCAATAAATTACTATGTGTAGGGAAAAAGGTCAGTGTTATTTTATAATTCTTTCTGTGCTTTGGAGTCATAATATAATAAACCAAATTGAGTATATGGCCCTAAAATAAATAATGAACTAGAGCACCTAATTTCTTCTTCCTCAGAGGAAAGGCTTTGTTGTCACAAAGTTAATTGAATTCTTATCTTTGAGTCTATTTTTTCTCTATGTTCTTTATTAACTGACCTCTTTTCTCCTTCTTTTCTTCCTCTGCCTTGCCCTCGTTTTCTTATCCCTAACTGCTTTTATTATTAGAAACTAAAAGTCTGTCAGTCTCTTAAATTAAATACATTAACTACTTACATGCCAAATGTTTACACCAGTTTTATCATAAGAAATTCAAGAGTGTCTCATTTATTAATCACGACTAATGTTTGATTTCTCTGCTGTAGCAGTAAATTATTTATTATCTATATTTGTGCCAACTATGTATCTTAGTATCTGACAAAAGTAAACACTTGAAGTGAGATTAAGACTATTAATTCAACAAAAGTCTACAGTATCAATGGATTATATAGGATGCTATAAGCTCTGTACTGTTCCTGCAACCACCTTTTAAAAAAATGAATAGAGAATTTTTTTTTAAATCTTTGAGAGAATAATCCTGAATTCTGTTATTTCATATTGTCTACAGAAATTTAATTACTGCCACAAAATGTTTTCTTCCTTTTGCAAACCAGCTCATAGTTCATATAATGACTCTCCTGGATGAGTCATCTGCAGGAAGTACAAGGTTTTTTTTTTGAATCTGCTAAGGTAAAGACTTTGAAGTATAAAGTTAAAAGCTGCACAGCTGGAAGCATTCTGGGAAAGAACTTTAAAAGTGACTGAAACCACTGGTATTCACTTATATTTTAACCCAGCTACACATTAGAATCATGTGGGGAGCTTTTAAAAAATATAAATGTGAGAGCCCCAGTTCAAATCAACTGAATGACAATCTCTGGGTTTAGACCTAGGCACAGGAATTATTTCAGAGCCCCCCAGGTAAACAACATATGCAGCTAGGATTCAAAACCACTGGCCAAGTCTTTATCATTATTAAGATAGATTAAAACAATAAGGCATCATTTAGCACTACTAACGCTTTATTCTTAAAGAAATGCCATTTAACTACATGCAAACCTTAAATTATCTACTATTCCAATGTTTAAGTCCAATACTCAACAAAGAGTAGATGCTCCACAATCAGTGACTGGTGATACTGATATATTAACAACCAATTTACAATCATTACCTTACTTTAGAAGGACAATCAAACTATTCTGGTGCAGAACATATTATTTTGACATTTTTCAATAGTTCCAGCTTCACATCTTCTGAAACAACTGATGATCCAGTCAAATACCTAACAGCTTGCAGATTACAAGGTGATGAGACACATGGCCTTGAGATGAACGATTGGTGCATTTCAGACAGAAGAACAAATTGATCAAGGTCATGGTATACAGACAGTAGAAACGCAGAATCCTATAGAATAGAATTCTATAGAACATCAAATGGTGTAACAGAGACACACAGGAGTAGTTGGAAGAGGAGAGAAAAGCTAAGATTCTTCACAGATTAAGAAGCTCTCTGAATAACAGACGAAGAAACTTAGATGATGATCTACAGGCAACAGAGAGTCACTGGAGGTTTTCTAAAAGGAGTGACTTGGTGTTCTACTTCCTGGAAGATGGAGTAGATACAATTTTTCCTATTCCTCTCACTAAGTACAAATAAAAGTGCTACACATTACATATAAAACAAGCCTAAGAAGTCTGTGAACGGTAGAGAAAGGAACACAGACTGACTAGGGGCCTCAGGACCTAAGATTAAGTTTCCCTTGAGTTTTCTTTTTGCCTAATTACATCTCAGACTTGCAGCTGTAAAACCGGCAACCTGGAAATAACAATAGGAGAAGACAAAAATAAAGCCCCAACAAAAGCCGCCAGTCAAAAGACCAGGAAGGAGCAGTCCAGCAAGAAAAAAAACTTTAGACAAAAAAAGTGCTACTCTAGCCCAAAATACACAAAACACTGGCCTCACCCTCACCCATGCCAGAAGGTCAAGTGGAGGGCCTAGACTTTCATTCTTGAAAGTCTGTAAGGAGGCATATAACACCCCTCAGGAGTGTGAAGTGAGAGAAAGCCAAGTAGGGATCCAACACATTCATCTAGTAATGATCTCCCACCTCCAACATCCCCCATCCCTGTTGTGTGAGTGGAGCCCAGTGGAGCCCACAAGGGGCGCTGTTAGAATGATCTGACAATGATTTTAAAGCAGCCATGATGAAAATGCTTCCACAAGGAATTATGAACATGTTTAAAACAAAAAAAAAGAAACCCTCACTAAGAAAACAGACAATCTTGGCAAACAAACAGAAAATATAAGTGAACCAAATGGAAACTTTAGAACCAAAAAATACAATAATTAAATAAAAGTGCAGTAAATGGGATAAAAAGCAGAATGAGGGCACAAACAAAGGAAATCAATAAAATAGAATATAGTAGAAGTTGCATGATAATATCAAGAACACAGGTGGAAGAACAAATGAACAGATCCTCAAGGACCAGTGAGACTATATGAAAGATCAAACATTTGTTTCACTGGAGTCCCAGAAGCAGAGGAGAAAGGGAGGGGAGGACTGAAAAAGTACTTGAAGAAATTAAGGGCTAAAAACTTCCCCAATTTGGCAAAGAACCCAAACATAAAGAAGGTGAATGAAGCGGAAAGAGGAGGGACACACACAAAAAAAATCTGTGCCAAGTTACACCCTAATTAAACTTTTGAAAACTAAGGACAAAGAAAGCATTCAGAAAATAAATGGAATCTTATCTACAAGAGAAAACAAAAATAATTCAAATGAAAGCAGATTGCTCATCAAAAGCCACCAAATGAAGTGGCTCATGATGGGGGCTCAAGCAGGAAGATTGCTCGGGCCAGTTCAACACCAGTCTTGGCAATATAGCAAGACTCTCATCTTTAAAAAAAAAATTTAGGGCCGGGCACAGTGGCTCACGCATGTAATCCCAGCACTTTGGGAGGCCAAGGCAGGCAGATCACGAGGTCAGGAGATCGAGACCATCCTGGCTAACACGGTGAAACCCTGTCTCTACTAAAAATACAAAAAATTAGTCAGGCATGGTGGCGGGTACCTGTAGTCCCAGCTACTGGAGAGGCTGAGGCAGGAGAATGGCATGAACCCAGGAGGCGGAGCCTGCAGTGAGCTGAGATCATGCCATTGCACTCCAGCCTGGGTGAAAGAGCGAGACATTGTCTCATAAAAAAAAAAAAAAAAAAATTAAGAACAGGCAGGAAGGCCTAGAGGGAGCAATTGAGCAAGAGGAAGAAATAAGAGGCATATATGTAAGAAAAGAAGTCAAATTATCTGTTTTCATTATAATATGATTGTATACCTAGAAAACACTAAAGCCTTCATCAAAAGGCTCCTAGAACTGATAAATGGGCTCAGTAGAGTCTCAGGATACAAAATCAATGTACAAAAATCAGTAGCACTTCTATATGCCAATAACATTCCAGGTGAGAGCCACATCAAAAATACTATCCCATTTACAATAGCCACACACACACAAATAAAATACCTAGGAATACATCTAACCAAGGAGGTAAAAGATCCCTACAAAAAGAACTACAAAACACTACTTAAACAAGTTATAGAGAACTAATGGAAAAACATTACATGTTCATGAATTGGAAGAATCAACATCATTAAAATGGCCATACTGCCCAAAGCAATCTACAGATTTAATGCAATTCCTATCAAACAACCAATGTCATTTTTCACAGAATTAGAAAAAACTATTCTAAAATTCATCTGGAACCAAAAAACGACCCAAGTACCCAAAGCAATTCTAAGCAAAAAGAACAAAGCCAGAGGTATTACATTACTCAACTTCAAACAATACTATAAGGCTACAGTAACCAACACAGCATGGTACTGGTACAAAAACAGACACATGGACAAATGGAACAGAAAAGTGAACCCCAAAATAAAGACAAACCTCAGCCATCTGCTCTTCAACAATACAAGCAATGGGAAAGGACTCCCTATTCAAATAAATGGTGCTGGGATAATTGGCTAGCCACGTGCAGAAGAATGAAACCGGACAGTACCTTTTACCACATACAAAAATTAACTCAAGATGAATTAAAGACTTAAATGTAAGACCTAAAAGCATAGAAATCCTAAAAGAAAACCTAGGAAATACCATTCTAGACATCAGCCTTGGCAAACAATTCATGACTAAGTCCTAAAAAGCAAGTGCAACAAAAACAAAAATTGACAAGTGGTACCTAATTAAACTAAAGAGCTTCTGCACAGCAAAAGAAACTATCAACACAGTAAACAGACAACCTACAAAATGGAAGAAAACATTCACAAATTATGTATCTGACAAAGGTCTAATATCCAGAATCTATAAGGAACTTAATCAATTCAACAAGCAAAAAACAACCCTATTAAAAAGTGGGCAATAGACATGAACAGACATACAAGCAGCCAACAAACTTGAAAAAAATGCTCAATATCACTAGTCATCAGAGAAATGCAAACATACCTGTCAGAATGGCTATTATTAAAAAGTCAAAAAAAATGACAGATGCTGGCAAGGCTGCAGAGAAAGGGAAACATTTATATACTGTTAGTGGGAATGTAAACTGGTTCAGCCAGTGGGGAAAGCAGTTTGGAGATTTCTCAAATAACTTAAAACAGGACTACCATTCGACCCAGCAATCCCATTACTGGGTATATATCCAAAAGAAAATAAATTGTTCTACCAAAAAGACACATGCACTTTTATGTTCATTGCAACACTATTCACAATAGCAAAGACATGGAATCAATCTAGGCACCCATCAATGGTGGACTGGATAAAGAAAATGTGGTACAAATGTACCATGGAATACTATGTAGCCATAAAAAAGAAGGAAATCAAGTCCTTTGCAGCAATATGGATGCAGCTAGAGGACATCATCGTAAGTGAATTAACAAAGAAACAGAAAACCAAATACCGCATGTTCTCACTTGTAAGTGGGAGCTAAACTACGGGTACACATGGACATAAAGATAACAAGAGACACTGGGGCTACTAGAGGGGAGAGGGTGGGTGGGGGCTAAGGGCTGAAAAACAACCTATTGGGTACTTTACTCACTACCTGGGTGACAGGACCATTCATACCCTAACTTCAGCATCATGCACTACACCCATGTAACAAACTACATATGTACCCCATGAATCTAAAATAAAAGTTTAAATTATTAAAAATATATATATATGTGTGTGTATATATATATATATATACACACACACACACACACACAAATGAGGTGGTGTACACTTGTATCCTAGCTACTTGGGAGGCTCCAGCAGGAGCCTCACTAAGCCCAGGACCTTGGGGCTGCAGTGAGCTATGATCTTGCCACTACATTACAGCCTGGGTGACAGTACAAGATTCTGTCTCTAAATCTCTAAAAAACTGAATGAATTAATTAATTTTTAAATAAAACAAAACCAGCTGGATGTAGTGGCTCACACCTGTAATCCCAGCACTTTGTGAGGCCAAGGCAGGTGAATTGCTTGAGATCAGGAGTTCAAAACCAGCCTGGCCAACATGGTGAAACCCCGTCTCTTACTAAAAATACAAAAAATTAGCCAGGCATGATGGCCCACGCCTGTAGTCCTAGCTACTCGGGAGGCTGAGACAGGAGAATCACTTGAACCCAAGAGGTGGAGGCTGCAGTGAGCCGAGATCACACCACTGCACTACAGCCTGGGAGATACAGTGAGACTCTGTCTCAAAAAAAACAAACCAACAAAAAAAAAAAACATGGAGGCCAGAAGGGAGTGGTACAATATTTTTCAAGTGATGAAGCAAGACTATCAACCCAGAATCCTCTACTCAGTAAAAATATATTATAGGCTAGAGGGAGAAATCAAAACATTCTCAAATGAAGAAAAACTAAGCAAAACTTTTTCCAACATACATACCTCAAAAGAATGGCTAAAAGAAATTTTCTAAATAGAAAGATAATGGTAAAAGAGGAAACCACAGAAAAGCGGGAACAAACAAAAAAAGGTAGTTAAGCAAAAATATGGGAAAATACAATAGGCTTCCTTTGTCTTGAGTTGTCTAAATTATGTTTGACACCTGAAGCAAGGATATAGCTGTCTGACATGATTCTAAATGTGTGTACAGGAAACACTGTAAGATGATTATATTACAAATGGGGTAAAGAGCCATAAAGGAGGTAAGACTTCTACACTTCACTCAAACTGGTTAAATGATGACAACAGTAGACTGTAATAAATTATGTATATACAATTAATAGCTAGAGCAACCACCAAAAAAGATACACAAAGAGATACACTCAAAAACGAAACACATGAATCAAAATAGAATTCTAACATCGCTTGCTGGGTATGGTGGCTCATGCCTGTAATCCAGCATTTTGGGAGGTTAAGGCAGGAGTATTGCTTCCGTCCAGGAGTTTGAGACCAGCCTGGGCAACACAGCATGTTGGCAACATAGCAAGACCCTGTCTCTACAAAATATTTTTAAAAATTAGCCAGATGAGCTGGGCACGTTGGCTCACGCCTGTAATCCCAGCACTTTAGGAGGCTGAGGCGGACGGATCATGAGGTTAGGAGTTCCGAGACCAGCCTGGCCAATATGGTGAAACCCTGTCTCTATTGAAAATACAAAAATTAGCCAGGTGTGGTGGCACATGCCTGTAGTCCCAGCTACTCAGGAGGCTAAGGCAGAAGAATCACTTGAACCCGGGAGAGGGAGGTTGCAGTGAGCCGAGATTGTGCCACAGCACTTTAGCCTGGGCGACAGAGTGAGACTCTGTCTCAAAAAAAAAAAAAAAAAAAAAAAAAAAGTAGCCAGATATGGTGGCACACACCTATGGTCCTAGCTACTTAGGGGGAGCTGAGGTGGGAGGATCACTCAAGCCCAGAGGCTGCAGTGAGCTGTGATGGCACCAGTGCACTCCAGCCTGGGCAACAGAGTGAGACCCTGTCTCAAAAAAATAAAATATGCTCAAATAACCCATAAAAAGGGAGGAAAAAGAAAACAGACAAAAGAGAAACAGGGATGAACAGAAAATAAAATGGCAGACGTAAGCCCTAACATAGCAACAACTACAGTAAATATATTACTCTAAATATATTCATTAAAAAACATGTTAATAGAGTAGATTAAAAAACATCACCCAACTAATTGCTCCCTACAAGAAACTCACTTCAAATATACTAAAAAGGCAACCTCAAAGTAAAAGGATGGAAAAAATAAATCATGTAAACATTAACCAGGCTGGGCACAGTGGCTCACGCCTATAATCGCAACACTTTGGGTGGCCAAGGCGGGCGGACCACAAGGTCAGGAGTTCGAGACCAGCCTGGTCAATGTGTCGAAACCCCGTCTCTACTAAAAACACAAAAATTAGCTGGGTGTGGTGGCGTGCGCCTGTAATCCCAGATACTCAGGAGGCTGAGGCAGGAGAATTGCTTGAACACAAGAGGCAGAGGTTGCAGTGAGCCAAGATCATGCCACTGCACTGCGGCCTGGGTGATAGAGTGAGACTCCATCTCAAAAAAAAAAAAAAAAAAAAAAAATTAACCAAAGAAAAGTGAGAATGGCTATACCAGAGATAGAGATGTACATTTTATAATGATAAAAGGGCCAATTCATCAAGAAGACATAGCAATCCTAAATGTGTACGCACCAAATAACAAAGCTGAAAAATATGTGAAGCAAAAACTAAAGAACTAAAAAGACAAATGCACAGTTATAACTGCAGATATCTCTTCAGTATCTCTCGCTCTCTTTCTCTCTCTCTCAAGTGTTTATCACACAAGTGTCTATCGAACAACTACACAGAAAATCAACAAGGATACAGAAGAACTCAACACTACATCAACCAACCAGATCTAATCAACATTTATAAAACAGTCTACCACAAAACAGGAGAATATAAATTTCTCCCCAAATGCACATGGATCACAGACTAAGATAGATCAAACCAAGATAGACCTGAGCAATAAAGCAAATCTCAACAAATTTAAAATAACAAAATCATACAGAATCTCTTCTCCGACCAATATGGACTCAAACTAGAAATCAATAACAGAAAGATAAAAGAACAATCTTCAACCACTTAGTAACCAAGTAACATTTCTAAAAAATCTCATGAGAAGGTGGCAGAGTGAAAGTAGGTTAATGGTAAAAACTTGTTGGAAAGATCTACTCAGCAGTCTGACCAAATCCAACTTTGAGGAGTTTATGAAATAGGAATTATTCTCCCATTATATATATTTTTTATTTTTTTCTCTGCTTTGTCCATGTTGAGGATGGTCTCCCACTTTCAGATTCCACTTGGGCACATATTCTTTTATTACCTACCCAGGTAATATTTATAACTACAATAGTGGTGAAGGCTGGGCACATATTTTTAAAGTATTAATTTTACTGATTTTTCTAATTGACAAATAATTGTACATATTCACGTAGTACATAGTAATGTTTTGATATATAATGCATGCTGATCAGATCAGGGTAGTTTTTTTTTTTTAATTCCAACTTTGTTTACATTATATAAGACCATTTTATCTAATAAAAGCCTAAGTCTAGATGCTGTATGAGGGATAAGCATATTAAAAAATAAATAAATGAAGCATAAGTTCTTATAACATTTACAAAAATCTAGAAAACTCAGCTTTAGAAGATGGAAGCTGCCCAAATATTTTGTTTGTTTTTGTTTTTGTTTTTGTTTTAAGAGACAGGGTCTTTCTTGCTCTGTCACCCAGGCAGGAATGCAGTGGCACCTTCTTAGTTAACTGCAGCCTAGAACTCTTTGTCTCACACAATCCCTCCCACATCAGCTCCTAAGTAGCTAGGACTACAGGCATGTACCACCACACCTGGCTAATTTGTTAAATTTTTTTTTTTTCTTTTTTTGTAGAGACAAGATCTCGTTATGTTGCCTAGGCAGGTCTTGAAGTCCTAGGCTCAAGGGATCCTCCTGCCTTGGTCTCCCAAAGGGCTAGGGTTATAGGCATGAACCACCGTGCCTGATTAAAGGATGTTATTTCTGACAATATTATTTAGGATGGTAAATAATTAGCAATGACTTAAATGTACAGCAGATACAGGAATAAACAGAAATTTACACTACCTAAGAGCCAAACAGGAAGTCTCAAGGAAAATAAAAAAATACATTGAACTGAATGAAAAATGAAACTACAATATATCCAAATATATGGAACATAGCTAAGGCAATGCTGAAGGGAAATTTATAGCACTAAATGCATACATTAGAAAAGAGAAAAAATCTCAAACCAATAATTTAAGCTCCCATCTCAAGAGCAAAATAAACCCAAAGCAAGCAGAAGGGGGAAAAAAGGCAAAGAAAAACAGAGACGACACAGATTACCAGTATCTGGAATGCAACAGAGATCTCATGGCAGACTCTGCAGACAGCAAAATAGAGTACTATGAACACCTCTACACATTTTTAGACTAAATGGGCCACTTCCTCAAACTATCACAACCCATCTAATATAAAATAGATAATTTGAATAGTTCTTTAGTTATCAAGTAAAATAAATTCACAGTTTATAAAACTCAAAAAGAAAAAAGAAAAAAAGAAATCTCCAAGCCCAGGTGGAGAAGTCAACAAAATACTTTAAAAGGAATTAACACCAATTCTACACCAGATACAGAAGAGGAGGAAACACTTTCCATTTCATTTTAAGTTAGTATTACCCTGATGCCAAAACTAGGCAAAGACATGAATATAAACCTAAGAATCCTAAACTAAATATTAGCAAATAGTATTCAGCAATATACAGCAAGATTATACAAAGTAATCAAGGGGGGTTTATTGCAGGGATGGCAAGTTGATTGAATATTAGAAAATCATGTCAACAAGCTAAAGGAGGTAACAATCACATAATCATGAACTCTTGCAAAAAAAAAAGCAATAGGCAAAATTCAGTACCTAAGAAACCTCTTAGAAAAATATGAATAAAGGAGACTTCATCAACTTGATGAAGAGTTTGCATTAAAAACTTAAAGCTAATATTATACTCAATTGTGAAAGACTGAATACTTTTTCCTAAGATAAAGAATATGGCAGCCAGGCACAGTGGCTCAGACTTATAATCTCAGCACTTTGGGAGGCCAAGGTAGGAAAATTGCTTTAGCCCAGGAGTTCAAGACCAACCTGGTCAACGTAGGGAAACCCTGTCTGTACAAAAAAAAAAAAAGAACAAAAAAATTAGCTGGGTGTGGTGGTGCCCACCTGTGGTCCTAGCTACTCAGGAGGCTGAGGTGGAAGGATCACTTGAGCCCAGGAGGTCAAGGCTGCACTGAGCCATGATCGCATCACTGCACTCCAGCCTGGGTGACAGAGTGAGATCCCGTCTTTAAGAAAAAAAAAAAAAAAAAAAGCATGGCAAGTATGTCTACTTTCACCAATCTTTTCAGTACAGTTTTGGAAGTTCTAATCAGTGCAATAACAAGGAAAGGAAATAAAAGGCATACAGATTAAAAAAAAAAAAAAAAAGAAGACTACCCCTATTTGCAAATAATTGCCTATGTAGGAAATCCCAAGAAATCTAGCAAAAATTCCTAGAACTAGTGAGTTCTGTATGGCTGCAGGATATAAGACAAACATATAAAACCCTATTGTATTTCTACATACTAGCAACGAACATATGAACAATGAAATTTAAAAAACAATACCATTTATAATCACTCCAAAAAATTAAATACTTAGTTATAAATCTAACAAAACATGTATAATACTTGTATGCTGGAAACTACAAAATACTGATGAGAGAAATCAAAGAGCTATAAAACATTGAGAGACATAACATGTTCATGGATTTGCAGACTCACTATAGAAACGTGTCAATTCTCTCTGAATTTATATGAGTTAAATGCAATTCCTAGCATAATTCTATCAAAATTCTTTGTAAATACAGAAAAAAATTATCCTAAAAGTTACGTACAGAGGCAAAAAAAGAATACCTAAAACAATTTTGGAAAATAATGCAGTAGAAGGAATCAGTTAACCCAATAAATGAATAAAACAGAAGAGAGAACTCAGAAATAGAAACACACAAATATGCCCAACTGCTTTTTGACAAAGGTACAAAAACAACTCGATGGAGAAAGACTGCCTTTCCTACAAATGGTGGTAGAGCAACTGAATATCCACAGGCAAAAAAAAAAAAAAAGAACCTTGACCTAAGTCTCACACCTTACACAAAATCGATCATGGACTTAAATGAAAAGTGAAAAACTGTAAAACTTTTAGAATAAAAGTCTTCTAAAATTTTCAGGATCTAGAGCTGAAATTTCATCAAAATTAAAAATATTTGCTCTGTGAACAACATGTTAAAACAATGAAAAGACAAGCTACAGAGTGGAATAAATTACTTAACAAACCACATATTCAATAAAGAACTAGTTTCTAGAATACATAGAGAAGGCTTGAAACCCAACAGTTAAAAAAAAAATCCAAATAGAAAATGGGCAGAAGGGCAGAAGTCACAAACAGACAACTCATCAAAGAGGATATACCGATGACAAGCACATGAAAAGATGTTCAACATCATCAGCCACCAGGAAAATGCAAATTAAAACCACGGTGAGACATCACTACAAACTTATCACAATGGCTAAAATAAAAACAGTGAAGAACCAAATTGCAAAAACACTGGATCACTCATTGTATTATTCTCCTAGAGCAATCATAACAAAATACTACAGACTGGGTAGTTTAAACAGCAAAATGTCTTTTCTTACAGTTCCGGAGGTTAGAAGTCCACGATTAAGGTGTCAGCAGGTTTGGTTTCTTCTGAGGCCTCTTACTTTGGCTTGCAGGTACTGCCTTTTCTCTGTGCCCTTTCATGGTCTTTCCTTTGTGTGCACATATCCCTGGTGTCTGTGTGTCCAAATTTCTTCTTTTAAGGACACCAGTCAGATGGATTAGGGGCCACTCTAAAGACCCAATTTCAACTAAAATCACTTTTTAAAAGACCTGTTTCCAAATACAATCACACTCTGAGGTACTAGGGGTTAGAGCTTCACACAACCTATGAAATTTGTGGGGATATAATTCCACCTTTAACATTCATATAGTTAGTGGCAATTTAAAATATTAACAGTACAGACACTATGGGAGACAGTTTGGTAATCTCTTTAAAAACCTAAACATTCAACTACCATACATCTTGGCAACTGCACACTTAGGCATTCATTCCAGAGAAATGAAGACTCATGTTCACACAAAAACCTATACATGAACATTTACAGCAGCTTTACTCCTAAGAGTCAAAAGCTAGAAACAGCCTAGATATCCTTCAATGGGTGAATAAACTGTGGTACATCCATACCACAGAATACTACTCAGTAATTAAAAAGGAACTATGGAAACAGAGTAACCTGTGTATGAATCTCCAGTGAATTATGCTGAATTAAAAAAACCAATCCCAAAAATATATATACAATAAGATCCCATTTATATAGCACTCTTGAAATGACAAAACTATAGAAATTGGAGAATAATGGCTGCCAGGTATTAAGGAGGAAGCAGTGGGTGAGAAGGAACTGGGTGTGGCCACAGAAAGAAACTCTTTATATCTTGCTACACATGGGTGGGAAACTTACCCGAAACCTCTTTTGTACTTTCTAATATTTGAATGCTGTGTTCTAAAATAAAGTACAAGAATAACAATGGTCACATAGGGGTGGATGAAGATTTATTAGTTACCATATGTGGAATGATTAAGGAGGGCCAGGTTCTGTCTAATCCAGACCTGTCCTTGCTCCAACACCAGTGCTTCCAATCACCAGTCTATGCTCAATGTTTAAATGTCACCCAAAGCAACAACTGCAGTGTCCAGCATGATCCTGCACAAGAGATGCACTATAGACTGAATGTTTGTGTCCTCCCCCACAAAATCATACGTTAAAATTCTAACATCTAATGTGAAGGTATTAGGAGATGAAGCCTTTGGTAGGTGATTAGTTCATCAGGGCAGAGACCTAATCAATGAGATTAGTATCCTTATAAAAGAAATCTGGAGAGTTCCCTTGCCCTTTTTCCCATATGAAGACACAGCAAGAAGATGGTCAACTACAAACCAAGAAGCTGGCCCTCACCAGATACAAAATCTGCCGTGCTTGGATCCTAGATTTCCCAGCCTCCAAAACTGTAAGAAATAAATTTTTGTTGCTCATAAGCCACCCAGAATATGGTATTCTGTTATAGCACCCTGAATGGACTAAGACCAGATGTAAATTATAAAATTCTCTGTCCTATCAACATTCTTATTTCCACAGTATCTGATGTCAGCAAAGTATTACAGAGAAGAGCAATAATTTGCTTAAATGATTCACACTAAGGTATGAGTAACTGATAGGCTTAAATATTCTCTCAAGGTTCAAAAGCAGTTTAGCTCAAATGACATTTTAACAGAAACTGTTATGTTCAGAACAGAATTAAACTGTAGTCCAAGTGCTATCACCTGCTTAATTCAGAGGCCCTAATGCATCCACTCACTCTATTTCTAATCTTGGAGTTCTTAGGTATTTTGAAAGTAAATGGGATATAAATCCTAAATTATAAAGTAGTAGTGGCTTACGCCTCACCATAACTCAAGAAGCATTATCTGGTTAGCTGCCTGTCCTACTAGGAGAAATCTGTGGTATTGAGCTTTCATCTGGCTGTGAGTAAAGGTAATTCAAGATCTAGTAAAAACTATAAAAATCGCTGTTTGTCTTCTGAGCTGCCTGTAAGCTCTCTTTTCTCTTGTCTTAAGTTCTCTATAGTATCCTTCCTATCTGCTGCCTCAGGAGTCCACCATCTTCCACCTTCCTCTATCAAAACAGAAAAAGATTTAAACAAGGACTGAACTGTCTTTTTAAATGCTTGTCTTGCACTTCGAGGCAGCTAAGAGGTATTTTTACCTTTTGGTTTGACTTGGTTAAATTGAGGAAGTAGGGGCTTTGCTTTTTATTTTGCTGGGTCCACTAGAAAAATTGTTTTAGTACAGATACCACACCTGGGAGAATCTGGCCCAAAAAGTTAATAGGTGACTTGACCTCTCTTTTGTCCCTGCCACCTTTTAAACTTAATTATTCAGAACCCAAGACTCAAGCTGCAAAGATCCAGATGTTATTTTCATAGTGTCTCCTTTCCTCTCCTGGTTTGATACCCCTTTCTTTCTTTCAGTGTGGTGACCATTTTTGCATATCTTCCTCCCTTCCAACCCCCAGGAATCTGTTCTCCATCCCAAAGTTCATACAGCCTCCATCCTGTGAGAAGTAAATGAATTATAAAAGTCTGGGGAGAAGAGAGGCATAAAATACATAGGTGGCTAGGCTGACCTCACAGACTTCCAAACATAAAACTCAAACATGGGAAAAGAGCAAAGGACCACCACCACTACTACCCCCATCCAGCTGACAAAAAGTAAGGTTCAACACTTTTGTTTTTTAGTGTTTGTGTCTTAAAATAAATCACCAGTACTTCTTAAAACTATCATTTAAAACAAACAAACAAAAAAAAAACACCTCTGAGAAACTGTCAGAGGAGACTAAGGAGAAATGACAACTAAATGCAATCTTGTTTTCTAGATGGTTCCTGAAACAGAAAAGAACTTTAATGGAAACCCTGGTGATATCCAAAGCAAGTCTCCAGTTAACAGTAACATACTGATGCTGGTTTCTTAGTTTTGACAAATGAACCACAGTAGGATACTGTTAGTGGAAACTGAAACTGGGTGAGGTGTATATTGGGACGTTGTACTATTTGGCAACTGTTCTGCAAATCCAAAATTATTCTAAAACAAAAAGTATATTTAAAAATAGAAAAGATGAAAGCTTTTAATGTAATTTTCCAAGAAGTAAAAAAAGTAAGGTACAGAACACTATGTGATACAGAAGCAGCAATATAGGAATAGGTACTGAAGTATCGTTTGTATAAAAAGGATGGGAAATCATATGCATATATATAAAATATTTCTGAAAGAATACATAAGAATCTGATGACACTGACTTTGTGGAGGAGAGAACTCAGCAGCTGAGTAGGAATGAAAGGAAGAATTTGTAATGTGTCCTCTTACACCTTTTAAATTTTGAGGCCAGGCACAGTGGCTCACACCTGTAACCCCAGCACTTTAGAAGGCTGAAGCAAGCGGATCTGCTTGAGCTCAGGAGTTTGAGACCAGCCTGGGCAACATGGCATAAACCCTGAGTCTATAAAAAATACAAAAATTAACCAGGTGTGGTGGCATGCACCTATAGTCCCAGCTACTCAGGAGGCTGAGGCAGGAGGATCACCTGAGCCCAGAAGGTTGAGGCTGCAGAGAACCCTGACTGTACCACTGCACTTCAGCCTGGGTGGCAGAGTGAGACCTTGTCTCGAAAAAAAAATAAAATAATAAAAAATAAAATTTGAAACATATTAATGTATTATCTATTCAAAAAATAATTAACTTTTAAAATAAAAAGGATGACCAGGAACTGAACTAAGACAAAGACTATGGAAATAATGTAGAGGATTAATGAGAAAAAAAATTTAGGAGCTAAAAAAGAAAACCTAATCTACTCCATCTATCCATTAAGGCTTTCTACAACCCCTTCCTCACTTTTTCCACCAACCTCCTTTCTCCTTAACGCACTACAGACTTTTTATTCTAGCTGAACCAATCTGACTGCTAATTCCAAAGAGTCACCAGCCATTTTTCCTCAAATCCACATCTCTCCCTGCAAAACCTAACTTTAAACTTAAAAGCCACCCACCTATGTGCTATTTAGCATTCTGAATATTCTGTCTACACCAGGGACAGCAAATACAGGCACTAACGCCATCACTACTCCTACTCATAACAATAAACACTGCTCAATGATCACAGTATCCTTTCCCACTAATCCAGAAGCTGCGTCCAACTAACTTCTCAATGCAGTCTTCCAGGCAGTCTTCACTATCAATCAAAGCTAGCCCATGAAATAAAACCTACTTGCCATATCTAGTCCCCACTATATTAATCTGTTTGCCTCGATATATTTGCCATGAATTTTAGGTATATTTACATGCATATCTCACTTTAATACACTTTATTGTGCTTTGCAGATATTGTATTTTTCATAGATTGAAGGTTGGTGATAATCCTAAGTGGAGCAAGTTTGTCAGCTCATTTTTCCAACAGCATGTGTTCATTTTGTGTTTCTGTGTCACATTTTGGTAATTCTCACAACATTTCAAGCTTTTTCATTATTATTATATCTGTTATGGTGATCTGTGATCAGTGATCTTTGATGTTACTACTGTAATTGTTTGGGGGCACCATGAATCAAACCCATATAAGATGGCGAACTTAATCAATACATATTGTGTGTATTCTGACTGCTCCGCTGACTGGGGCTTCTCCTGTCTCTCTCCTTCTCCTCAGGCCTCTCTATCCCAGGAGACACAATAATACTGAAATTAGGCCAATCAATAATCCTACAATGGCCTCTAAATATTAAAGTGAAAGGAGGAGTCACATTTCTCACTTTAAATGAAAAGCTAGAAATGATTAAGCTTACTCAGGAAGGTATGTCTAAAGACAACAGAGGTCAAAAGCTAGGTCTCTTGTGACAGTTAGTCAAGCTGTAAATGCAAAGGAAAAGTTATTGAAGGAAAGTAAAAGTGCCACTCCAGAAAACATACGAATGATAAGAAAGTGAAACAGCCACATTGTTAATATGGAGAAAGGTCCAGTGGTCTGGATAGAAGACCAAACCAGCCATAACATTCCCTTAAGCCAAAGCCTAATTCAGAGCAAGACACTAGTTCTAGTCCATTCTATGAAGGCTGAGAGGTGAGGAAGCTCCAGAAGGCAAGTTTGAAGCTAGTAGGAGTTGGTTCATGAGGTTTAACGAAAGAAGCCATCTCCATAACATAAATGTGCAAGATGAAGCAGCAAGTGCTGATGTAGAAGCTGCAGTATGTTATCAAAAAAATCTAGCTAAGATAATTGATGAAGGTGGCTACATTAAACAACAGATTTTCAATGTAGATGAAACAGCCTTCTATTAGACAAAGATGTCATCTAGGACTTTCATAGCAAGAGAGAAGTAAATGGCTTCAAAATTTCAAAGGACAGGCTAACTCTCTTGTTAGGGGCTAATGCAGCTGGTGACCTTAAGTGAAAGCCGATGCTCGTTTACCATTCTGAACTGACTGAAATCTACTCAGTCTGTTCTCTATAAATGGAATAACAAAGCCTGGATAACAGCATATGTGCTTACAGCATGGTTTACTGAATCTTTTAAGCCTACTATTAAGACCTGCTGCTCAGACAAAAAAAAAAAAAGATTCCTTTCAAAATATTGCTGCTCATTGGCAATGCACCTGGTCATCCAAGAACTCTGATGGAGATGTACAAGGAGATTAATGTTTCCATACCTGCTGACACAAAAGTCATTCTGTAGCCCACAGATCAA
Organism: Homo sapiens; assembly: GCF_000001405.40. Lineage (NCBI taxonomy): Eukaryota > Metazoa > Chordata > Mammalia > Primates > Hominidae > Homo > Homo sapiens. The sequence goes on from NC_000002.12 coordinate 179,256,165, forward strand.
GGAGTAAGTTTGACTTTCAAGTCTTATTATTTTAGAAATACATTTCAAAGGCTATAGCTGCCATAGATAGTGATTTCTCTGATGGATTTGGGCAAAGTAAATTGAGAACATTCTAGAAAAGATTCATCAATCTAGACTCCATTAAGAACATTTGTGATTCATGGGAGGAGGTCAAAATATACTGACATGAATAGGAGTTTGGAAGAAGTTGATCCCAACTTCCATAGATAACTTTAAGGGGTTCAAAATTTCAGTGTAGGAAGTAACTGCAGATGTGGTAGAAATAACAACAGAACTAGAATTAGAAGTGGAGCCTGAAGATGTGACTGAATTGCTGCAATCTCAAGATAAAACTTTAACAGATGGGGCCGGGCACGGTGTCTTACGCCTGTAATCCCAGCACTTTGGGAGGCCAAGGCAGGCAGATCACGAGGTCAGGAGATCGAGACCAACCTGGCTAACACGGTGAAACCCCATCTCTACTCAAAATACAAAAAATGAGCCGGGCATGGTGGCAGGAGCCTGTAGTCCCAGCTACTCGGGAAGCTGAGACAGGAGAATCACTTGAACCCGGGAGGCAGAGGTTGCAGTGAGCTGAGATCCTGCCACTGAACTCCAGCCTAGGCGACAGAGCGAGACTCCACCTCAAAAAAAAAAAAAAAAAAACTGACAGATGAGCAGTCACTTCTTACAGAGGAGCAAAGCAAGTAGTTTCTTGAGATGGAATCTACTCCTAGTGAACGTGCCATAAACATTGTTCAAATGACAACAAAGGATTTAGAATGTTACATAAACTTAGTTGATAAAGCAGTGGCAGGGTTTGAGAGGACTGACTCAAATTGTGAAAGTTCTACTATGGCTCAAACGCTACCACCCAGCATCTCATGCCACAGAGAAATCTTTCATGAGAAGAAGAGTCCATCAATGTGGCATACTTCACTGGTGGGTTGTTGTTTTTTTTTCAATTTTATTTAAAATCAGGACACATCTCATTCTATGTCATAGAATGAGGGAGTCTATCTTGAACCTATTCTGGTTCAGGGGGCTGCCCTTATGAAAAAAAAAGAAAAAGGCAAGAAAGTAATTACCATAGCTACCCCAAACTTCAAGCAACAACCATCCTGATCAGTAGCTATAAACACTAAGGTAAGACCTTCCACCAGCAAAAAGATTACAACTCACTTAGGCTCAGAGGATCCGTAGCACTGTTAAGCAATAAAGTATTTTTAAATGAAGATATACGTAGATCATTTTTTAGACATAATTCTATCACACATTTTGTAAACTACAGTGTGAACATAACTTTTATATGCACTGAGAAACAGAAAATCGTGTGACTTGCTTTATTGAGATATTTGCTTTACTGTGGTGGTCTGAAACTGAACTGGCAATATCTTAGAGGTATGCCTACATTTGTATATACCCCATTTTGTTCTGCAAAGGATTAAAGACACAATAAATGAACTATAACAAGTTAACAAACTAAAGATAAAGGCAAAGAATAGAGAAAAGAACCAAAAATGGTGCCAAGAAAAAGGCTAAAAATTGTATAATATAAAAACCTATTTACGGTATGGAGTGGGCCACAAATCTAGTTCTGGCTTTCTAGTAGCCATAACAAAAAGGAAAACCCAGGCAATCTAAGAGATACACAGAGAAGTACTCAGAAGGGGAGCTACCTTGGTAGTTAAACCAAACAGTAATTTCGTATAGCAAAAAGAACCCCATAGAATGATCAAAATATAGGAGACACATAACCACCAGTCTTCAAAGGGTTAGATGTTTCTCATATTGTCCCTCAGGAGAGACCTATGACACCTTACCAAAGCCCAATGTGGCAAAATTGATTTTACAAAGACAAGACACAAGCTTTAAGAGCTCTTTATTCTTTTACTCAGTTTCTTCCTTCATTGCCTCCCTAATCAGATTATAAACTCCTTGAAAACAGAACCATGTTTTCTAATTCTTATATATAGCTCCAAAGTATTTTGTATTCTGCAGAAAAGATGCAACGTCAGTGAGAATTTACACAGTGCAATTCAAGACTTTTCTGATAAAAATTATCTAACCTAAACTCAGTAATTCCCACTTCTACTACAAAAACATGCTAACTGAAGCCCCAATAGATAGAATTCCTAAACTTTCTAAACTATTACTGAATCACAATTCATGACCTCTCAAAAGCATTTTGTTTCATACATCCCTAGCACAAAGCATGCAAGGATACCAAATCAATATCACTGAACCTGATCAAATAAAATGAAACTCATAAGCAAAAGCTCTGGCAATACCCACTAAAGGAAAGACAATATTACTATCTTTCAAGAATATAATCAATAGGTCTTTACAAACCAATTGACAAAGGCAGGTTCATTTTCTAAATGATTCTGCAAATCTACTAGAAGGCAATTAAATTATAACGCAGATTACTTCTTTCCAAGAATGTGCAGTTTCTGCATATGCCAAGCTGCTGAAGAACTGTACTTCTCAGCTCTCACACACACATGCACACGCACGTGCATGCATGCACACACACACACACCACTATCAAACCAGCTCTGACCACTAACTTACAATTTACTTCTGTGCTTTACCTGGTCAAACTGAAAATGAAATTAGGAGTAGGTAATAAATTATTTAGATAAGGTGATTATGGGAAAATGAAGTATCATCTTAAATTACTACTCTTAAGCACTGGCATTGGGACACATTAACAATCCTCTATTTGTATTTTATTAATGGAAGTCATTAATAAATAAGTAGTCTCATCCAACACTGGCTTAGTTCATTCATACACTTAGTATTTCAGTTTATAGTAGGTTCCCCCCTTGGTATTCCCTGTACATAGGGGCATGCCCTATCATCCCAGGAGTGAATACTTGTAATGAGCCAAAGAATATTCCCAGGACTGGGGGAGTCCACCAAGTAGACCTTGGAAAATCCAATTCCTGCACCTTTGTTTCTTTATCTATTAGAAAGGGAAATGGAAATCATCTCTATCTGATAGGATTATTGGAAAGATTAAATGAGATAAGGTTGTAAAGTGCCTAGTGTTAGTTCTCTAGCTTTTTGTTTGTTTGTTTTTGAGACAGAGTCTCACTCTGTCGCCCAGGCTGGAGTGCAGTGGCGCGATCTCGGCTCACTGCAACCTCCACCTCCCGGGTTCAAGCAATTCTCTGCCTCAGCCTCCTGAGTAGCTGGGATTACAGGTGCCCCCACGACACCCGACTAATTTTTGTATTTTTAGTAGAGACGGGGTTTCACCATCTTGGCCAGGCTGGTCTTGAACTCCTGACCTCGTGATCCACCTGCCTCAGCCTCTCAAAGTGCTGGGATTACAGGTGTGAGCCACCGCACCCAGCCTTAGTTCTCTAGCTTTTTTATAGGTAAGGAAAACAGAAGGATCTAAGCACTTAGGCGACTCATCCACAGCCAATGGCTAATAAACATAGGACAGAACAAAACTTCTGACTTAGGGCTTAATGTTCTTTCCACCTCACCAAGCAGCCTTAAATTAATAGAACTCAACATCTCAGGTTTGTCACTGTTGGGTATTCACTACATGCAAAGAAAAAAAAAATTGACTATTTTGAACATCTATTACATGCTAGAAACTAATGTCTTTCTTCATAACTGCCCTATAAGTGTTATCTCATGTTACTAAGAAATTAACTTGTCCACAGTCACAAGGCTAACAAGTGACAACACAAGATTCATCCAGATCTGTTTAGTCAATGATTTTACCTACCATCCTTCTTAAAGAGTGTATTTAGATACCATTGTCTACCAGAATCAAATCCCAAATGGCCTGTGAATTTTTATAGATACTTGTGATTTATTAGTGGAAACTGTCCCTAGCTCCACCATCCTATCTACTTAAAAATTTGTTCCTATTAGGTTAAAACATAATTATAATAACTGTAGTAACAAATTTACATTTGTATAGCATGTTACAGTTCATTACATTTTTTTCATTTTTGTTAGATGCAACTACTGAGCCTTTTCATATATTAGCTCACATATCATTTAATATTTCAAGACTCTTATGAGGTAGGAGTTATTGTCATTTGACAAATAAGAAAACGGGCCAGGTGCAATGGCTCATGTTAAGAAGGCCAACGTAGGCAGATTGCTTGAGCTCAGGAGTTTGAGACCAGCCTTGGCAACATTGAGAAACTTCATCTCTACAAAAAATGCAAAAATTAGCTGGGCATGGTGGCACATGCCTGTACTCTCAGCCACCTGGGAGGCTGAGGTGGGTGAATGACTTGAGCCCAGGCAGTTGAGGTTGCAGTGAGGTGTGATCACACCACTGCACTTCAGCCTGGGCCACAGAGTGAGACCCTGTCTCAAAAGAAAAAAAAAAATTAGAAAGGTCATCTCAGATCTCTCTCTGCCCCCACAGTTGTCAGATGATTTCTAGTAAACGTTTAAAGGGCAGATATTTTAAACTGTTCCAGAGCACAGAAAAAAGTGAAAAGTTTCCTAATCATTCTTAATCCTGACTTCATCTTGACACCGAAGCCAGGCATGGATAGCAAACTTAAATGAAAACATAATATTAGATTTATCCTTTGTAATTACAGATGGAAAAGTTTAACATATTTAAGTGAAAAACAAAGGAATATGTGTAGTATAATCCCATTTGTAAAAGAAAAAACATTATGAAAAGAAACATGTCTGTATGTATGGTAAAATATGGAAATGTGTATTTATAGATAAATACACACATAAATGCAAAGATACAGGTTTGGAAATATAAACCTCAAACTGTCAACAGCAGTTTCTCCAAGATGGAAGTGGTCTTAGGAGTGAAGAAGGGGAAAAAGACAAAAAGTGAAGGGAGATTTTCAGCTTTTACTCTCTCTATATATATACACATACATACTATTCAAATTCTGAAACAGTGGGTTCTAGGATCGGCTATGCTATTAAGAAGCTGTTACTAGGTTGAATCACTCTGACTCTGTTTCCCCATTGGAAATGTGGAAAGCAGACCTACCTTATTATGACAGAAGAAAAGGAATTTATTTGAAAATGCGTAATAAAATCTGATGAATATGTGGCAGTGTTGCCACAACACCTTATGGTTTGTTATTGTTTGGTTTGATTTTTTTTATTTTTCCCTCACTTTGTCACTAATCAACCAGACATTCACAAACACAATTTAATTTCTGTATGCCTCATTGAGTGCAGGAAGTAGAGTCAGAAGACCTGAGTTTACACTCAGACCTTGCCTCTTATTAACTGTAAGGTTAAAAAAACAAGCAAATGATTAAACAACTTTGCACTTTAGTTTCCTGGCAGTAAAATAGGAATAAACCTACCTTACAGCATCATTTAAAACATTAAATGAGAAAATTATATACAAATGGCCAATAAAAACATGATAAGATGAAATACAAATGAAAATCACAATGCGATATCACTTCACAGCCACTAGGATGGCTATCATCAAAAAGACAAACATTAACAAGTGTTGGCAAGGATGTGGAGAAAATGGAACCCTCATTGCTACATTGCTATAACCCTACATTGCTAGAAGGAATGTAACCCTTCTAGCAATGTAGAAGGGTTACCCTAGAAAATGGAACCCTACATTGCTAGAAGGAATGTAAAACAGTGCAGCAGCTATGGAAAACAGTCAAGCAGTTCCTCAGAAAGTAAACAGAATTACCATATAACCCAGCAATTACACATCTAGGTATACATCCAAGAAAATTGAAAGCATATATACCATACAAAAACTTGTAAATGAGTATCCACAACATTATTTATTATGGCCAAAAAGTAGAAACAACCCAAATGCCCATCAGTTGAAGATTGGATAAACAAAATGTGGCATAGCCATATAACAAAATAATATTCTGCCATAAAAGGAATGAAATATTGATACATGGTATAATATGAATAAACCCTGAAAGCATTATGTTAAGTGAAAGACACTAAAGGCCACATATTATGATTCTATTCACATGCAATGTCCAAAATAGGCAAATCCATAGAGACATAAAGTAAATTAGTGGTTGTCAAATATGGGGAAGGGGGAATAGTAACAAAAGCTACCAGGTACAAGGTTCTTTTTAGGGTAATAACGTTCTTGGATTAGTGCCGACATTTGCATAATTTTGTGAATATATTAAAACTACTGAATTGCATACTTTAAAAAAGTGAATTCTATGGCATATGAATTATATCTCAAAGAAAACTATTATAAAAATTTAAGTCTCTGCTTTTTTTTCTTTTGAGACAAAGTCTGGCTGTCACCCAGGATGGAATGCAGTGGTCCAATCATGGCTCACTTCTCTGCTTGCTACTTTTTATTAGTAAATATTCTACTTTCCTCAAGAGGTTGCTCATGTTGCTTGTAACAGCTTTAAAAGATCTTTGAAGTTAGCTACTATACAGATGAATGGTATTTTTAGTAAAGTAAAACTACTATAACAGAGAAACTTTCTAAAAATCGGATTAGTTTGGTACAATTTCATTTTTTCAAAAGAAATGTCATTAATACCAAGTTCATTTTTAGAGAGTGGAAAAGCTTCAACAAGTCCTTATAAAAATACATTTTTTAAAAAGGTCAAAATGCAATACTTTGTTTTCTTAATTATTGGACATTTCATTTTCAGATATATCATTAGTAGATTACCTGTTTAAAATGTCATTAAATGCCTAGCAATGAATTAAAACCCAAGTAGATGCAACTTTGTGACCTCTACTTACAACTTTCTACATTCTGCATTCTGTTGTCAGATTCCTAGTCCATCACTAGCTCCTAATCTCTTACATCAATTATTCCATTCAATTCTTATTCACAGGGGCTAAAATGTTTGGTAAATGCAATCAATTCATTTTTCTAATGCTGGGGAAAAACTAGAGTGGGCCCAATTTTTAAGGTTAAATTTAGTCCAGAATGTTTGAATAAATATTCAACAAAACGATTTCCTGGAATTTGGAACATAAAAACAGCCTATAGAGTTGTGAAATGCTTTCTAGGTCCTTGGGGAATTTTTTCACGTATTTAGTCATGGGGCAAAGTATTACGTATAAAAGCTTCCTGGTCCTAGAACAAAGACGTATTTTACTGCTCAAAGCTAAAGGAATTAGTATTGTTAAACTAAAATAGCATACCAATGAAACCAGCTAGGTATTGGCATAACTTAACCAAGGTATGTAACCAAAGATAAATTGTACCTTATTATGCATTCTTCCTTGGGAGGAAAAATTCTCACATTAATAAGATTTAGCCAGCCAAAACAGAAAAAGTATATAGATATATGTGTGTCTGTGTATGTAGGTATGTATAAGGATTAGGATTTTGAGTGGCAATTTAAATTTGACGGTTTGCCAAGCTATGCTGGGATACATAGTGGGCATGCTTGACACAAGCAAAACGTGAAGTAAGAGACGACCTGTCAAACAGCTGCTATCTAGTTACTCCCTCGGCAGCACTCCCAACTTCTCCCGCGATGTCTGTGTGTAAGAGAAAGATGTCAAAGCACCAAGAAAACCACGGGGGCTGTCAGAGCAACAGCCAAGTCCAAACCGTGCATCCCAGGGTGAAATCCCACCCGTACCCTCAAGAGCTGGTCAGACTGCGGCTCTTTTCTAATATGAGTCTACCTAAAATAGAAAAATAAACACAACCACAGACCCTGGCCAACCCTCTCTCTCCTCCCCTTTGTGACTCTCCCAAACGCTGGAGGGATGTTAACCTCTGGCAGGCCCGTGGAAGCCAAGCCCCGCGACCTGAGGAGGCGTCCAGGAGCCTCGGCGCAGCCCTGGGGCCTCGAGCCCGTGTCCTCCACCCACCCGACAGGGCCGGTCACCGGTCACACAAAGGAGCCAGTCGCGGGCGCTGGACGCGGGACTCGCCCGAGAGCAGGGAGCCACATCTGGTTCCTGCACGCTGGCAAAAGAGACCCGCTGGAAAATAAGGACTAACGCCCAAACCTGTTGCACAATTCGGGTCCCTTTCACCCAGAAATGAACAAGGGCGCTCAGGAACGGAAAAGCGCGCGGCCCGGTCTCTGCGGGCCGCGGCCGCACCCGGCAGACGGCGCGGAGGCAAAGGCGGCCCGCAGGGCTCCCACCTCCGGCGCTTTGTCTGTGGCGGCAAGGCGGTGGGGGCGGTCGGGGCGTTGGGAGCAGAGGCGGTGGCGGGGCGGGGGCGCCCCTCCTTCACTGCGTAGCCCCTCCGCCCCGCGGCCCGCGCAGGGGAAGAAAGCCGGGCCCGCTACCGCCGCCGCCGCCGACTGCACCGGCCCAAGCCGGCCACCCGGCCGCGGGGCCTGCGCGCTTCTCCCGCCCGGGCCGAGCGGCGGCCACACTCACCTGGCTGGCGCTGACGCTAGCGGCCGGCGGCTCCGGGGCGTTGGGGAAGACAGGGGAACGCTAGCGAGGTGCGGGCGGAGGCGGAGGGCGCGGCGGGAGGAAGGCGGGCTGGGGGCGGAGCGGGCCCGGGCGGCGGCGGCAGCAGCGGCGACGGCTGCGGCTCCAGTCACTCGCGGCAAATCGCGTCCCGGCCCCTCCGTGCGTCAGGCGGGGAGCGGGGGTGCGGGTGGCCCGGCGACCTCTCGGCACCCGCGGCCCGAGCCGCGTCCGCGCGACCCCGCGCGCGCCCGGGTGACGGCGGTACAGCAACCCGCCCGGCGCGGGAAGGAGGAAGGAGGCGGGGCGGGGCGGGGCGTCCAACCGGGCCTGGGGCTGAGGGCTGGGCGCGAGTGGGACTCTGGCGCTCCGGACGGACCCTGCCGTCCCCACCCCTAGCCGAGGCCCAGGCTCCCCAGGCGGGAGGCAGTCTTGGAGAGTGGAAGGGTACCTAGATCTGGAGTCAGAAGTCTGGGCTTAAGAGAGGGTCCGTTACTTGACACCCTGGCAGGTCATTTATTTCCTCTGGCCTCATGCTGGAGTTCGAAGGTTCGAGTACAAAGTCTCCAAGAGCTGCTCCCAAGTACTCACTGCCAAGCGGTGGTGTGGCTGAAGGATGAAGGCAGATGAAAGGGAAAGGGTTGCGGTGAGGAAGGGCTGGATTCAGGGCATTTGTTTTGCTTTGAGGATCTTTCCACTGGACAGTCCAAAATTAATCCACAATGGGGCTCCCTGATAATGGCTACTTCCCCATTTTTACCAACCTAGTTATTTTTCTCCAAGTATACTGACTTAAGAGTCCTTGTTTTCATTTTATTGCGCAAATCATTTGTATGTCATTTCCTGAATTCAGTTCAAAAGAGTCATCAGCAAATTCACACCAGATCAGAGCAGCTGTGTGGTCCCAATTTCAAGACTTCCATATTATTCACTCAGCCACTCACTTCAGTATCACCTAATTCCGTTGATAAAATCTTCCTATTCCAACAACTAAGCAACCAAATTTCTCTCCACTAAAGTTTTCTGACTTAAAATCCCGTGGATTAATTCTTCCTCTTAATTCTGTGAATATCAGTCTGTCTCCATGACTTCCACCTCTTTGCCACTCTAGGTCAAGCCTTTAACTTCACTGCTGCTTCAGTTCCATATAACTGCCAGAGAGAATGCTCCAAAAAGACAGAGCTAAGCATGAAACGTCCCTCTTTAAAATCATTCAAAGTCTCTCCACCTGGTTGAATCAGGTTCAAACTCATTACCATGGTTTACAAAGCCATTTAAAATCTGATCTATTGACCTCCTTGGCTCCAGCTTCAACTCCTAATATATCTACGTATCACACAAATTCAACAGACTTTGTCTTTGTGCCCTTGTAGTTTTCCCCCACCTGAAATCCATCCCTCATTTAACCAGTTGAACTCCTATTGTCCTTCAAGATAATGAAGATAATGCATCCCTTCCTCCTTGGAATCTTCCCTGACATCATCTCCTTTCACCACATCTGTATCCTTACCCCACACATTTACAATGAATTAAATACTCTTTTTCTCTCTGCTTTCATAAAATCGTCTATCTACAGTATTCCCTATGATAATCTTTAATACTTGCTTTTTTCCTGTTGCTTTGCTTGGTGGCCTTTTCTTCCTAGACTGTGTGTTCCTTAAAAGGACAGGGATTTTGTCTAGTTCATTTTTTTTGCTCCCCAGAACATAGCACAGTGCTCAGCACAAAAAAGGTTCTCTTTAACTGTTTGCTGAAGCGTTGAAATAATTTTCCATCCCAACAAATAGATGTTGAGCATCTACTCAACGAAAAGAAAATACAGGGAAGTCCACAGTCCCAGCCTTTTTTAGCCTTCCGTGGTATTCTGTTTTTCCCTTCTCTACTATGTGGCATTCTCTGCTTATCATTTTAAACTCTCTCCAACTACCATTCACATTCTTTGCTTATCCTAGTAAAACAAGAGCATGCCAAGCAATCCATTATAATAATTCACAAAATATCCCTGCCCTTCCTCTTTACATACTTCTGGTTCCACATTGTATTACCTAGGTGTTAGATAAGAGGTAACTGCTATAATGGAAAAAACATTAAACTATAAATTCAGAGAATGAAATTTGGATGCTACGTTTTCCAATAACTACTGAATGAACTTAGCTCAATCACTTATAGTCATGAGGCTTTACTTCTGGAGTTTCTTTGGCTCTATGATTAGCATTTGTTTTTAATATTTTATTATAAAAGTAAATATATATATGCTAGATCCTTGCAATGTAGCTATCCAGCATATGTTTGAACTCCAAGTGATAGGAAACCATTCATGACCTCACAACAGTTTTCATTTTTAAACAGTCCTGCTAGTTTCTATGTTCAACTAAAATCTGTCTCTGTATACATTTGGTAAGTAGCTACAGTATTGGTAGAAACACCACTGGACTTAGACTCCAAAGAAGTTGGTCAAATCCTGGGCTTATAACTTCCTAATTGTGTGACCTTAGAAAAGCACAAAACTGCTCCAAGTATGAGTTTGCTCCATTCTAAAAGGAGAAAATGATAATAATAGCACCTTAAATCATTATTGTAAATATGAATGCAATGCGTATGAATGTGTCCAGTGAGTCTGAACCTAGTACTAACATTGTTTAATACAGAACAGCATGGTTCCCCCCCATATGCAGCCTTGTAAACATTTGAAGTCAGCAGTCACAATGTGTGCCTTCTCCACCCACTTTTTATTCACATCTCATTCGTCTCCATACGCATTTATCTAAACATTCTCCAGTGTCTCTTAAAATGTGGCACCTAGAACTGAATACAATATTCCAAGTATAAAGGAAGGAGTAGAGGAGTACAATTTTCTGCATCCTAATGAAGATATTTCAAAATTCAGTTTGATATCACATTATTTTTCTACCACCCCATACCGTTCATAAATATCATGTTATTGCCAACTAAAAACAAGCAAAAATTACCCCCAAATCTTTTTTAAGTCTTTAACATATATACAGCTATAAAACCATATCTTCTCCAACCTGTATTTTGCAATTTGTTTTTGGAAACTGTGCAGATCTTTGCATTTATTCCTCTTAAATATCACTTTGGAAGTTATGTACAGAAGCCCCTGCCAACTAGAAATCAATGTGAAGTGAGAGTAACATTTTAAAAACATTAAAGGGTGGAGAAAAAGAATCCAAAGCCACCTCAAGCAACAAGTTTCTAAATTCTTAATTTCTCCTCTACTACTTCTTTTAGATTTATTAATTATTATTATTATTATTATTAATTATTTTAGAGGGAGTCTCACCGTGTCGCCCAGACTGGAGTGCAGCAGCACGATCTTGGCCCACTGCAACATCCACCTCCCAGGTTCAAACCATCCTCCTGCCTCAGCCTCCCTACTAGTTGGGACTACAAGCATGTGCCACCTTGCCCAGCTAATTTTTGTATTTTTAGTAGAGACGGGGTTTCACCATGTTGGCCAGGCTGGTATCGAACTCTTGACCTTGTGATCCACCCACCTCAGCCTCTCAAAGTGCTAGGATTACAGGCATGAACAACCGCACCTGGCCTAATTTATTTATTTTTAAGAGATGAGGTCTTCCTGTATTGACAAGGCTGGTCTCAAACACGAGGCCTCAAGCGATTCTCCCACCTTAGCCTCCCGAGTAGCTGGAACTACGGGAGTGAGCTACCATACCAGCAAGCTTTTTTTTTTTAAGCCACATTTGAATGTCATCTAAAATTAGATAACTTCCCATACTCATCTTGTTTTATTTATATCATAAATTAATAGTGAAAATGCCTTCTATGAGTGTGTTCCATACATTGTTTGCTTGAACCACTGAAGAATTCTCAGTCTGTCTCAAACTGGTATTGTTACTGCCAATTTCCTGAAACTCAGCTCGGTTAGGTAATTTGCTACACAGTCATCCTGCACCAAAGTTGGCTTGGAGAAACTGCCCCTCCTCCAGCCCTTGCTGAAGGGTGGCCCCAGGCAATATACTCTTTTGTGTTGTCTGTGTAATCCCTGAATCACTGTTGATTGCCCCTGGGTGGGCACTGACCTAGACACAGGCAAGTCATACTCATTCAAAAAATGACCTGGGGGGAAAAAAATCAGTCCAAAAAAAAAAAAACCCTGATCCAATCAGGCAATCAATTGAGGAAGCTGAAATCCAGAAGGACTCACAGAGGGTGTTCATGGGCAGGAAGGGCCCTGGCAGATCACCAGTAAGCAGAAGCTAATGTCTACCAAACAATGACTGAGCAGAAAATATCCATTCATATATTCATTCAACAAGTATTGATTAAGCATCTCCTGTGATTTAGGTGCTGGGGATAGAGTTGGGACAAAATACACAAAAATTCTGCCTCATGAATCTTGCATTCTGGTGGGTGGGACAGGCAATAAACACAAAATAAGTAAATTAAATCGTGTATTAGGTGATAAGTGCTGGATAAAAATAATGCAGGGAAGGGGACTAGAGAGTGCTGGGGTTTGGGGTGCAATTTTTACTATCAGAGAAGGCCTTGCTAAGAAGGTGAAGTCACAGATAAGGCTTGAAGGATCCAAGGTAGTGAGGCTGTGAAAAAAAGGTAGGGGAGAAGCTGAGGGAGCCAGATAGTGGCCGGGTCATCACGCAGCAGGCACCAGGATAAGGAGCCACAACATCAAACTATACACAGAGCAGGACATTGACAATCTAGCTGGGAGCTTTTCCCCCGGTCAACTAGACCAGAAACTTTGTAGATGGGACCTCAAAAGTCTGTATTTTCAAACACTCCTGAGATGATTAGGACATTCCACCAGGATGAGAATCCCTGCTCTTAAAAAAAGACTGCAAACTCTCACTGATGCCTTGGGTTCTGAACACCCGTTAAATTCTGTCTTCCAGAATGCACAATTTAATTTGCATTCCTCTCCTCTTAGGGTCTATATTAGTCCATTCTCACACTGCTATATAGATAATACCTGAGACTGGGTAATTTATAAACAAAGGAGGTTTAATTGACTCACAGTTCCACATGGCTGTGGTGGTCTCAGGAAACTTATAATCGCAGGGGAAGGGGAAGCAGCCACGTCTTACATGGTGTCAGGCAAGAGAAGAGTGAGCGTGTGTGAGTGCAGGAAAACCTACCATTTATAAAACCATCAAATCTCATGAGCATTCACTCACTATCACAAGAACAGCATGGGGGAAACCACGCCCATAATCCAATCACTTCACTCCCTCAACATGTGGGGATTACAATTCCAGATGAGATTTGGGTGGGGACACAGAGCCAAACTATATCAGGGTCTTTGATTGTTCAACTTTTCTGTTGTTCATGGAACACTTGATTTCATGGCTGAGATTTCATAGGTATTCTTTATAAACTAAATGAAAAGAAACCAACACCCTAATCCCCAAAGTAACATGGTTGAGTTCTATATCTTGCAACCGCAATCACCTAACATACCAAAGTCACAAAGCCTTGAGATGGTGATGCCAAAACTGTAGCATCCCATAACTCATATCTTTAGGGGCAAAACTGAAATTTGGGGCTATCTCTTTAACACTTCAAAATAAATTTTTGAAAATTGTTGACATATTATATAAAGGTATATAACATTTATTTTAATAATGTACATTTAATTAATCTGAGTGTCCAATTTATCAGTTTTGACTGGTTTGACATTTTAATTCCCAGCTCAAAATTTCTCTCTTTCACTGAGGCCGTTAAAAAGATCTTATGTTTCCTAAAAAAAAAAAAAAACTTTCATGATTCTGAAATTATACAAATGATATTTTTAAGTATTTTTGTTTAGTTTTAGTCTCCTGTTAGTTCATTATCTAGGCCAGTGTATTCTGAATCCTTTAGGTCAGCCGTCCCCAACCTTATTGGCTCCAGGGACCAGATTCATGGAAGACAATTTTTTTCCATGGGATGAGGGGATGGGGGATGGTTGTGAGATGAAACTGTTCCACCTCATATCATCAGGCACTAGATTCCCGTTGGAGTGTGCAACCTAGATCGCTCGCATGTGCAGTTCACAATAGGGTTCGTGCTCCTCTGAGAATCTGATGCCACCACTGATCTGACCAGAGGCAGAGCTCAGGGGGTAATGCTTGCTGGCCAGCCACTCACCTCCTGCTGTGCACCCGGTTCCTAACAAGCCACGGACCAGTACCTGTCCACAGCCCAGGGGTTGGGAACCCTTGCTTTAGGCAATAGAACCTTTTCTAAGACCAAGAGAGTTTGCATTCACTTGGGTCAGGTGGCTTTCTTCCCCCCGATCACACTTTCAAGAAATGTTTTTGGTAAACTGTCCAAAGGGAAAAATAAAGAGCAGTGTTTGATCTTTTTTGTAAAATCAGCAAAACTTTTTTTTAACAAAACTGATTTTCTTTTCTAGTTGTAAAATTAGGATCTTAAAACTGGAAGACACCCATCTATTTCATCCTCTTCTCCCTGAGACTCAGAGAAGTTAAGCAAGATACCCAGCCCTAGAGTTAGTTAACAAAATATCAAACACTATAATTCAGGCCTCTTGACTACTTGTTGATATAAGCCTTGGAAAATATTAGAATATTTGCAGTATTATCTGTATGTGTGTGGTACATAGATGTGGTGCATAATTTAGGCAAAATACAAGTTTATGTCTTAAGCATTAAATGTGCTTTAAAAGTATTGTGAATTATAGAAAATAAAATAGCATTTCAGACAAGGGAAAAGCTTCTAATTTCAGTGATCAATTTACTGTCACTCTTAATTAATATGAACGTTGTGAGAGAGGTCAACAAAGGAGGCCAAGTGAAAAGCAAATTGTTCAGGCAAATCATTTTAAATGCTCCTGGCAATATACAATATATTACATAATGGAATACAGTAAACAGGCTATGCCAATTTTTATAGTTCTCTTCAATCAATTTTTTTTTCCATAAGAACCCTTAAATGCTACAATATATGCTCAAATGAGCGTTCCTGAGTCAGAACTCTTTGGTTGCAAGTGCCAAAGCCAGTTTGAACTGGATTGAGGTGGAGGTATGATGGCTTTTCTGGATTAATACTGAGGTAACTCAGAGCATTGAGGAAGAATTGCATTTCTGGGGACCTCAGAGACCAGCATCAGAGGACCTAGCAAAGTTAGCATCTTTCTTTTTGCCCCTTCTATCAAATCCATTCCTCTCGGACTTGTCTTCAATCTGTCCAACAGGAAATCAGTCTGTTTTAGACTACAAGGAGCAGAGGCCCAAATAGCACTGGCTGTACATACATCCCCCAGCTTGAATAGCTCATGCAGAAAAATATCAGGAATGGCTGATATTTAGTGTCAGGTGAAATTTCAAACACTGTGGCCAGTAGAACAAGATTGGCCTGGCATGTGGGGAGCTGGGTATCCTAACTGGCAGCTCTAATCTTGGGAGAAAGTTTATCCCAAAGAAGATGGGGCATTACCAAAGAAGGAGAGAAAGGGATACCAGGTAGATAAAAAAAAAAGATATTCATTGCAAGTTGTGTGCTTTTCAAAGCCTCACACTGGAAAGGTGATTTTTGTGAAATATTTTATTACCCACTCAAATGTTAAAATTATAATGTAAATTACTTCTAGTCTCATCATTTTATATTAAAAACCTATACTTAATTACATTTTTCTGGTTTGTGAATGTTCCTTTAAAATCCTAGCCTAGAAAAAATCCTTCAATTTATTCATGATGATGGTAGAAAAACACAATTATATTTGATCAGAACATTTTTACTTATTGCTTGCATTAGAAAATTTGAATCTAAAAATATGGTATTCAGAGCTAAAGAGGTAAAAATACTTGATTGTCAAATTCAATCTGCATAGTGAAATACTCAGATCTCATTGAAAAAGTATTAGTTAAGTTACAGAGAAAGCTCTTTGGTTTCTGTTACATGATATTTCAATATGGGGCTGGGTCCTAGATATTAGTAAGACAGAAAAGAATGTTAAAAACAAGCTTGGTCCAAGTCATAAGGTTCTCTGTTGTTTTTCTAATGTGTGCCAGTTATCAGATTGAATACAAAGGTCAATATTTATCTTAGCCATCAAGTAATGTGTTCTGCTCTGGACTCTAACACTCTAGGCCAGGGACTAAAGTGTTTTCCTCCTAGCTTCAATTCTCTGGTGGTAAGAAATGGTTCTCTTGTTTATCTACAGTTTTTTGTTTTTTTTTAATCCTGTGTTTTTGGACAAAATAGGGACAAACCACATTTAAAAATAATCTCTACCCATGCCCAGGCTCCTTCCACTCTGTCACTCCTTCCAGCTGCCCTGGAGAGGTGTGTACAACTCTTCTGTTAACGAGCAGCTTAATGGCAGCTCGTGAGAAGTCTCATTGCATAAAGTCGGAGGAGGCACTAGCAACACAGAAGCAGAGTTGATTTGGTTGTGGGATAAAGTAGAAAATGGAAAGAATTGCCTTTTGTATCAGTCTAACTTTTCCTCTCCTTCTGAATAAAACATTATTGTGTAACAAAGGGCTTTTAAACAATTTCTTTCTTTCTTAAGTTGGCGATTTGACAAATACAGATTGTGTCATCCTGGGTTAAAGCCACTTCTTAGGGTGTGGAGTTACTTGATTCCGGCACTGTGGATCAGTGTGCTCAAAACATCTGACACCAGCTAGCTTTATGCCTCATTAATATTGTCTTAGATTTAGGGGGAAAAAAGGAATGAAGAGTAGGTTTCTCTTTGGGGTCTGGAAGAAGGGGAGCCACCGAGTTAACCGTCTTACCTAGTTAACCATTTTATAATGAAATCATAACTTTTTGTATAAAAAAGGTAGATAGAATGAATATATTCTATCATCATTTCTAATGATGGAAAAATTTGTCATCTAGACTTCTCCACTTAAAGTAGTAGCAAATTTGGGGCAGAAGCTATTGCTGCTGTTTAGCTTCCCCTCCTGACTACCAATCCTGGGTGTCTTGTCTGTACAGAAACTGTGCCTTGATGCTTCCAAGCAAGAGTATCTGACTCTGGAAGTATTTAGAGATGCTGTGTGCAGGCATCAGCTTGGTTGTATCTGGGAAGATGTATCATTCTAATGTTACGTGGCCAACTTTTAAACATTTTACTTGGAAAAAAGATAAGCATGAAGAAACATAGGAAAAGACATTCAATGACTTCTTTGTTCATGCAACCAAAAACGTCAGGCCAGCACTGTGTTTGAGACCTGGAGACAAAGACGGGGATGTCATGTGTTTGCTCTCATTGTAACTGGGAGACAAGAACCCAAGCAAACACTCAATGCAACACGATATATACCACAGTTGTAATTAAATTCTACGCAAAACGTTAGCAGGACCCAAATAGGAGTCACTGCCAGGGTGTTTAGTGAAGGGTTCACTGAGCCTTTGACATTTGAACTGAGTCTAGAAGAAAGTCATTAACTCAGCAGAGAAAGGGGGGAAAAAGCAGAAGAAAAAGTATACAGTGGTTGAGAAGCACCAAACAACATGCTGTTTGGAGGAGAATTTAGAGTATTCTTGCTGTGGCTGCATGAGGATCATTTAAGAGAAGGATCAAAATGGGAAGTACCTGTGGGCCACGGGTGGAAAACTCAACAGGCTGCAGAGGCCAGGCAGGTAACCTGAGGCCAGGCAGGTAATGTAAATGACGTAAGTTAAGCAGCTTTAGGCACAAAATGTATTTGCTGTGTGTGTCAGAGCTGATAGCTCACTGTAGGACACAAAAACCTCTAAAAATAGTGCATAAATTATATTTTCCCCCACAATGTGAGAGATTGTCTTTTTCCCCATACTCTTTCCAAAAATGAGTATTTACAGTTTTTTTTTTCATTCATTCATTCAACAAACATTTATTGAGTGCCTTTTATGTTAAAGTATTATATTGGGAATTGAGGATGCTACAGCAAATAAAACAAAAATTCCTATCTTATGGAACTTACATTGTAATGAGAGAGGAGACAGAAAAAGAAGTAAAATGTGCATTTGTCAAAGAAATGTTATGGAGAAAAATTAAGGAGGGAGAAGTAATAAGGAATGGGAGATAGTTTGGGTTTTAGATTGGATGACCTGGAAGGTCTCACCAGGAAGGTAGCCACTGAACAAAGACTGGAGAAGGTGAGGGGAGGGAACTATGGGAATGTTCATCTGTAGGAAGAACATTTCAAGCAGAGGAAACAGCATATGAAAGGACCTGAGGTGAGGTCATATCTGCCAGGGCAAGGGGGAAAAGGGAATGGGAGGAGGGAAGAGAGATTGTATAGAGCCTTTTAGGGAATTGTAAGGACTAAGGCTTCAGCTCTGAGCAAGTTGAAAAACTTTTGAGCAGAGGAGTGATAAGTGGGGTTTGTATTTTTAAAGACTCACTCTGGCTGCTGCGTGCAACCAGAATGAATCCCTTGGGGGAAGGGTGGAAGTACAGAGACCAGCTGCAAGGTGAGAGCTACTACACAGGGCAGACATGATGGTGGCTTGGCCCAGTGTGGTGGCAGCAAGGGTAGTAGGAAGTGGTTAGATTCTGGTTATATGTTAAAGATAGAGCACCAGCATTTCCGGACAGATTGGATGGGAGGTGTCACTAAAACAGAAATCCAGGGATAACTCTGAGGTGTTTGGCCTGAGTTATTAGAATGATAATATTATATTTACTATGGAGAAGATTATGAGGAGGAACAGTTTGGGAAAGAGGCAGAGCTCAATAATTTGGCTTTGAAAATGTTAACTTTGGGATGCCTATCAGACAGTAAGCACACATTTAGAATAAGCAGCTGGACAGATGAGCCTGGAGTTAAAGAAGGAGGTCTGGACTATAAATATACATTTGGAATGTGTTGGTGTAGCAGTGTATATATAATGTTAAAACCATGAGACTTGGTGAGATTAACTAGAATAGAGAAGAGGTCTAATGACTCAGCTCTGGAGTACTCTAACATTTAGAAGCAGGGAAAATGAGGAGGAATCAGCAAAGGAGACTGAGGAGAAACAGCCAGTGAGGTTGGAGAAAAACCAGGACAGTGTGTTATCCTGGAAACCAAGCAAATAAAGTTTTCAAAGGACGAGGGAATGAACAACTCGGTCAAATGCGACTAATAGGGCAACTGTTTCAGTCAGACTTTTTCTGAAATAGAACCAATAGGATGTGTGTATAGAGACTTTTTTTTAAGGAAATTAGCTCATGCAATTATGGAGGCTAGCAAGTCCAAAATCTATAGGGTAGGTGGACAGGCTAGATATCCAGGAAGAGCTCATGATGTAATTCAAGTCCAAAGGTCATCTGCTACACAATTCCTTCTTGCTCAAGGAAGGACAGTCTTTTGTTCTATTGAGGCCTTCAATTGATTGGATGAGGCCCGCCCATGTTACAGAGGGCAATCTGCTTTCCTCAAAATTGACTGTTGTAAGTGTAAATCTCATACCAAACCATGCTCACAGAAACATCCAAAAAGTGTTTGTCCAAATATTTGGACAATATGGCCCAGCCAAGTTGACACATGAAAATACTTATCACATAAAGGAAGGGTGGAACAAGATGGTGGAATAGAAGCCTCCACCAATCTTCCTGCTACAAGGATACCCATTTAAGAACTATCTACACACAAAAAAAACCTTCATAAGAACCAAAAATTAGGTGAGCACTGATAGTACCTGATTTTAACTTCATATTGCAGAAAGAGGCACTGAAGAGGTAAGAAAAACAGTTTTGAATCACTGATGCCACCCCTCCCCCATCCCCCGGGCAGCAGTGGCGTGGTGCAGAGGACATTTCTATGCACTAGGGAGAGGGAGAGCCAGCATCTATGAGGCATTGAACTCAGTGTTGCCCTTACTGTAGCAGCAAAACCAGGCCAAACTCAGCTGACATCCGCCCATGGAGGGTGCATTTAAAATAGCTCTAGCCAGAGTAGATTCACTAATGCTGGCAGTCGGAACTTGAGTTCCTGCAAGGCTTACCACTGCAGGCTAAAGTGCTCTGGTGCTTCAGATAAACTTGAAAGACAGTGTAAGCCACAAGGACTGCAACACCTAGGACAGCCCTAGTGCTTAACTGGGCCAGAGCCAGTGAACTGGGTGGGGCAGAGGGTTGGGGGCCACGCAAGCTACTGGGACATCATCTGGGACAGCTAAGGGAATGCGAGCATCACCCCTCCCTTAACCCCAGGTTGCACAGCTTGTGGCTTCTAAAGAGACCTCTTCTTTCTGCTTGAGGAGAGAAGACAGAAAAGTAGGGAGGACTTTGTCTTACCCTTTGGGTAGCAGCTCAGCCAGAGCAGAATAGGGCACCAGTCAGAGTTGTGAGGCTCCTGTTCCAGGCCTTAGCTCCCAGATGACATTTCTAGATACATCCTGGGCCAGAAGGGAACTGACTGCCTTGAAATGAAGGATTCTGTGTGGAAGGATTTATGATCTGCTAACTGAAGAGTCCTTGGGCCCTGAATAACCAGCAGTGATTCCCAGGTACATCAGAGAACTTTGGGTGAGACTCTGAGACTTCCTGGCTTCAGATGAGACTCAGCACATTCCCAGCTGTGTTGGCTACAGATTGAGACTCCATCTGTTTGAGAAAAGTGAAGGGACAAGTGAAGGGGACTTTGTCTTGCACCTTAGGTACCAGCTCGGCCACAGGTGGGTAGAGCACCAAGTGGGTTCCTGGGGTCCCCAGTGCTAGTACTTGGCTTTTGGGTGGCATTTTTGGATTGGCTCTGGGCCAGAGGGGAGCCTGTTGCCCTGAAGGGTGAGTCTCAGGTCAGGCGGCAATCACCATAAGCTGACCTAAGAGCCCTCAGGCCTTAGGAAACATCAATGGTGGTCTGGCAGTACTCTTTGTGGGCCTGAGGTAGCAGTGGCCATGGGGTGAGGCCCCTCCACCTTTGGAGAGGAGTAGGAAGAGTTGGAAGGACTGTGACTTGTGGTTTGAGTGCCAGCTCAGCCACAGAAAAATTGAGCACCAGGTAGACTTCAAAAGTTTTTGACTTTAGACCCTTACTCCCACATGGCCTCTATGGATCGTCCCAGGACCTGGGAGAACTTGCCACCCTGAAGGGAGGAACACAGGACTGGCTGGCTTTGCACCGGCTGACTGTAGAGCCCTGGGGCTTTGCATGAACATAGGTGGTAGCCAGGAAGTGATTACAGCAGGTTTTGGGCAAGACCCAGTGCTGTGCTGGCTTCAGGTTTGACCCAGTGCAGTCATAGGGGTAGTGGCCATAGGGGTGCTTGTGTCACTCCACCTCCAGCTCCAGGTGGCTCAGAGCAGAAAAGAAACTCCATTTGCTTGGGAGAAAGTAAGGAAAGAGAACAAGAGTTTCTACCTTGTAATCCAGAGAATTCTTCCAGACCTTGTCCAAGACCATGAAGATGGTACATCTGTGAGTCTGTGAGAACCACAGCACTATGGTGCTTGGGGTTCCCCTTAAAGCAGATACAGCTTAAATTGCAGTACCCACATTCTTTCAAATAGCTGGAAAGCTTTCCAAAGAAAGACAGGTATGAACAAGCCCAGACTGCAAATACTGCAATAAATACCTAACTCTTCAGTCCCCAGACACCAGTGAACATCTACAAGTATCAAGGCAATCCAGGAAAACATGAACTCACTAAATGAACTAAATAAGGCACCAGGGATCGATCCTGGAGAAACAGAGATATGTGACCTTTCAGACAGAGAATTCAAAATAGCTATTTTGAGGAAACTCAAAAGAAATTCAAGATAACACAGAGAAGGAATTCAGAATTCTAACAGATAAATTTAACAAAGAGATTAAAATAATTAAAGAGAATCAAACAGAAATCCTGAAGCTGAAAAATGCAATTGGCATACTGAAGAATGCATCAGGGTCTTTTAACAGCAGAATTGATCAAGCAGAAGAAAGAATTAATGAGCTTAGAAACAGGCTATTTGAAAATACACAGTCAGAGGAGACAAAATAAAAAATTAAAAACAGGCCAGGCGCGGTGGCTCATGCCTGTAAGGTGGCTCATGCCTGGGAGGCTGAGGTAGGCAGATTACCTGAGTCAGGAGTTCGAGACCAGCCTGGGCAACATGGTGAAACCCTGTCTCTACTAAAATACAAGACAAAAAAAAAATTAGCGGGGAGTGATGGCATGTGCCTGCAGTCCCAGCTATTCAGGAAGCTGAGGCAGGAGAATTGCTTGAACCCGGGAGGCAGAGGTTGCAGTGAGCCAAGATGGTGCCACTGCACTCCAGCCTGGCGACAGAGCAAGACTCCATCTCAAAACAAAAACAAACAAAAACAAACAAAAAATACAAAACAATGAAGCACACCTACAAGATCTAGAAAATAGCCTCAAAAGGGCAAATCTAAGAGGTATTGGTCTTAAAGAGGAGGTAGAAAAAGAGATGGGATAGAAAGTTCATTCAAAGGGATAATAACAGAGAACTCAAACCTAGAGAAAGATATCAATATTCAAGCACAAGGAAGTTATAGAACACCAAGCAGATTTAACCTCAAGGCATTTAATAAATAAGCTCCCAAAGGTCAAGGATAAAGAAAGGATCCTAAAAGGCACAAGAGAAACAAAACAAATCACATACAATGGAGGTCCAATATATCTGGCAGCAGACTTTTCAGTGGAAACCTTATAAGCCAGGAGAGAGTGGCATGACATGTTTAAAGTGCTAAAGGAAAAATCCTTTAACCTAGAATAGTACATCTGCTGAAATTACCCTTCAAACATGAAGAAGAAATAAACACTTTCCCAGACAAACAAAAGCTGAGGGATTTCATCAACACCAGACCTGTCCTGTAAACAATGCTAAAGGGAGCTTTTTAATCAGAAAGAAAAAGACAATAATGAGCAAGAAGAAATCATCTGAAAGTACAAAACTCAGTGGTAATAGTAAGTACACAGAAAAGTACAAAATACTGTAACACTGTAACTGTGGTGTGTAAATTTTTTTTTTTTTTTTTTTTTGAGACAGAATCTCGCTCTGTTGCCCAGGCTGGAATGCAGTGGCGCAATCTTGGCTCACTGCAAGCTCTGCCTCCCGGGTTCACGGCATTCTTGCCTCAGCCTCCTGAGTAGCTGGGACTACAGGCGCCCACCACCACGCTCAGCTAATTTTTTGTATTTTTAGTAGAGACAGGGTTTCACTATGTTACTCAGGATGGTCTCGATCTCCTGGCCTCGTGATCCACCCGCCTCGGCCTCCCAAAGTGCTGGGATTACAGGCGTGAGCCACCGCGTCTGGCCTGTAAAATATTTTTATCATAGGTAAAAAGACTAAACAATGAACCAGTGAAAAATAAGAGCTGCCACAACTTTTCAAGACATAGAGAGTACAATAAGATATAAACAGTAACAAAAAAAGTTAAAAAGCAGGGGGACAAAGTTAATGTGTAGAGTGTTGTCTTCTTTTTGCTTGCTCCTTTGTTTGTTTTTTTATGCAAACATTGTGTATTGGTCCATTTTCATACTGCTGTAAAGAAATACCTGAGCGTGAACCCGGGAAGCAGAGCTTGCAGTGAGCCGAGATTGCGCCACTGCAGTCCGCAGTCCGGCCTGGGGAACAGAACGAGACTCCGTCTCAAAAAAAAAAAAAAAAAAAAAAAAAAAGAAATACCTGAGACTGGGTAATTTATAGAGAAAAAGAAGTTTAATGGACTCACAGTTAAACATGGCTGGAGAATCCTCACAATTATAGTGGAAGGTGAAGGAGGAGCAAAGTCACATCTTACATGGTGCACACCATTAGATCTCATGAGACTTATTCACTGTCATGAGAACAGCACGAAAAAACCCACCCCCATGATTCAATTACCTCCCACCAGGTCCCTCCCAAGACATGTGGGGATTATGGGACCTACAGTTCAAGATAAGATTTGGGTGGGGACACAGCCAAACCGTATCACAGTGTTAAGTTGTTGTTAGCTTAAAATAATAGGTTATAAGATAGTATTTGCAAGCCTCATGGTAACTTCAAACCAAAATCATACAACAGATACACAAAAAGTAAAAAGCAAGAAACTAAATCATATAACCAAAGAGTATCACCTTCACTAAAAGGAAGACGGAAAGGAAAGAAAGAAGGAAGAGAAGACCACGAAACTAGCAGAAAACAAATCACTTACTTATCAATAATAACATTGAATGTAAATGGATTAAACTCTCCAATCAAAAGACATAGATGAGCTGAATGGATTTTTAAAAAACAAGATCAATGATCTGTTATCCATAATAAACACACTTCACCCATAAAGACACACACAGACTGAAAATAAAGGGATAGAAAAAGATACTCCATGCCAATGGAAACCAAAAAAGAGCAGTAAACCAATAGAATAACTATACTTATATCAGACAAAACAGATTTCAAGACAAAAATTATCAGAAGAGACAAAGAAGGTCACTGTATAATGATAAAAGGGTCACTTCAGCAAGAGGATATAACCATTTTAAATATACATGCACCCAATACTGAAGCACCCAGCTATATAAAGCAAATATTATTAGAGCTAAAGAGACAAATAGACCCCAATACAATAATAACTGGAGACTTCAACACCCCACTTTCAGCATTGAACATATCTTCCAGACAGAAAATCAACAAAGAAACATTGGACTTAATCAGCACTACAGACCAAATGGACCTAATAGATATTTACAGAGCATTTCACCCAATGGCTACAGAGTACACATTCTTTTCCTCAGCACATGGATTATTCTCAAGGATAGATCACAAAACAAGTCTTAAAACATTCAATAACACTGAAATAATATCAAGCATCTCTTCTCATCACAATGGAATAAAACTAGAAATCAATAACAAAATGAATTTTGAAACTGTACAATTCCATGGAAATTAAACAGTATGTGCCTGAATGACCACTGGGTCAATGAAGAAATTAAGAAGGAAATCGAAAAATTTCTTAAGACAAATGATAATGAAGACATAACATACCAACACCTATGGGTACAGCAAAAGCACTACTAAGAGGAAAGTTTATAGCTATAAATGCCTACATAAAAAATAAGAAAAACTTCAAATAAACAATAGAATGATACATATTAAAGAAATAGGAAAGTAAAACAAACCAAAACCCCAAAAAACAAAAGAAAAGAAATAATAAAGATCAGAGCAGAATAAATGAAATTAAAATGCAGAAAACAACACAAAAAATTAATGAAACAAAAAGTTGGTTTCTTGAAAAGTTAAACAAAATTGATAAACCCTTAGCCAGATTAGCTAAGTAAAACAGAAGACATGCAAATGGCAAACAGACATATGAAAAGATGCTCAACATCATTAATCATCAGAGAAATGCAAATCAAAACTATAATGAGATGTTATCCCGTCCCAGTTAAAATGGCTTATATCCAAAGATAGGCAATAACAAATGCTGGTGAGGATGTGGAGAAAAGGAAACCCTCGTATACTGTTGGTGGGAATGTAAATTCGTACAACCACTATGGAAAACAGTTTGGAGATTCCTCAAAAAACTAAAAATAGAGCTACCATACTATCTAGCAATCCCACTGCTATATATACCCATAAGAAAAGGACTCAGTATATTGAAGAGATATCTGCACTCCCATGTTTGTTGAGGCACTGTCCACAATAGCCAAGATTTGGAAGCAACCGAAGTGTCCCATCAACAGATGAATAGATAAAGAAAATGTAGTATTTATACACAATGGAGTACTATTCAGCCATATAAAGAATGAGATTCAGTCATTTGCAGCAACATGGATGGAACTGGAGGTCATTATGTTAAGTGAAATAAGCCAAGTACAGAAAGACAGACATTGCATGTCCTCATTTATTTGTGGGATCCAAAAATCAAAATAGTTGAATCCATAGAGATAGAGAGTAGAAGGATGGTTACGAGAGTTTGGGAAGGGTAGTGGGGTGGTTGGGGGGAGGTGGGGATTGTTAATGGATACAAAAAAATAGAATGAATAAATAAGACCTAGTATTTGATAACACAACAGGGTGAGCACAGTCAATAATAGTTTTACATTTTAAAATAACTAGCAGAGCATAATTGCATGGTTTATAACACAAAGAATAAATACTTGAGGGGATAGATACACCATTTTTCATTATGTGATTATTATGCATTGCATGCTTGATCAAAACATCTCATGAACCCCATAAATATATACACCTATATGTACCCACAAAAATTAAAAATAAAAAAATTAAAAATATCATCACAGCAAGGACTATATGGTTTGAATATTTGTGTTCCTCCCAAAACTCATGTTGAAAGTGAATCTCCTATGCAACATTATTAAGAGGAGGGACTTTTAGGAAGCGATCAGCCCATGAGGGCTCTGCCTTCATGAATGGATTAGTGTCCTTATAAAAGGGCTCAAGGGAGGGAATTTGGTCTGTTTTGTGCTTCCATACTTTGACCTTGTGAGGGCATAAGGGCATAGTTGGTGTCACCTATGAGAAATAAGCCTTCATCAGGCACTGAACCCGTCAGTGCCTTGATCTCGGACTTCCCAGTCTCCAGGACCATGAGAAATAAATTTCTGTTACTTATAAATTACTCCATGTCAGGTATTCTATTATGGCAGAACAAACAGACTGAGACAAGGAGTAAGATGAGGTGCAAAAGTGACCCTTGCACTTGGAGATTATTGGTGACCTTAGGAAAAGCAGTTTTGATGGAATGATGGGAGAGGAAGTTTGATTGAAAGGGGTTCACAAGAAAATGGGAGAAAGGTCTTATTTTGCTACAAAACGATAATGCCATGCACTTCTAGGCTTACACGATTTGGGGGAATGAAAGCAAAGCAGTGGGCTATAAGTCACCAGGTCAGACTGACCCAGAGAAAGTGTCCTGGGGCAAGTTGGAGAACTGATGAAGAGCAGCTCTCACAAAGCCAGAAACCTGGAGAGGAGTTACGGTGGTTCCAGATTACTAGTGGGGCATGTGGCTCCACACAGAAGATGAGTTTTGGAGAAACACATCTTCAGATTAGGACTCCAGGATTCCCACAGATTAAAATCAATTAAATGGGAGTTCATAATCAACGGTTATAAAAAATATAAACAAGCAAATTCATGAAAGTATCAGAAATAACCAACATCACATTTAGTTCAATCGGAGTTTCACATACTGGAATGATCAGACAAAGAATATGAAACAAATTATATGAAATGTTTAATGTTTTAAAAGATAGAAACACAAAAATTAAGCAAGCAATAAGAGGCTCTTCTATAAGACCAGGCAAATTTGAAGACAAACCAAATAAAGCTCTTAGAAGTTAAAAAAATAGAATTGCTGAGGTAAAAAGTTTCAATTGATTGGTTAAAGCACACATTAGGCAGAGCTAAATCAAAATATTGGCAAATTCGAGGACCCATCTGAAGAAATGATACAAAGTGCAGCCCAGAACACAAGCAGATAAAATATATGAAATGTTAAGAAATATGCAAACAGTCTTATCAAATTAATAGGAAGAGAGAAAGAGAAAGCCCATTTGCTTCAAAGGCCTAGCAGCTCACCAAGCAGGTGGGCAGAAGATAAAATCCATAGGCTCATGCACACTAATACTGAACCAGAAAATCTGAGGTTGATCCGACTAATATTTTTTCCTTTGCGGGCTGTGGAGGAGGGGGTGGGAAAATGCAGAGCCAGCAGGAGTTTCTCATCCTAGTTATTAATAATAAATGAAATGCATAAATTGTGGAAGCACTTGCAATGTGCATGCTTTAAGATCTTCCTGTAAAATTAATCTTGCCATGTGACATCAGAATTCTCCTGTGAGTAATTTCTTTTTCTGTAGCTACAAAATATTTATGTTTCTGTTATTTATAAAAACCAAAATTCAAATATTCTTTCAAGCCATTATCTTCTTTTTCCTTCCATTCAGTGACAACTTCCTTGTGCGTGAAAAATATCCAGAATTGAAATGATTACTTGTTCACCATTCATTCACTACTTGCAGCCTCCCCACTAAATCAACTGACATAGTTCTTTCAAAGTTAACAATGACTACTTAATTATCATATTCAGTGATTTTTTCCCTCTCTTCCCTCTTTATAGTACTTGATACTGTTAACCACTCATTCCCTTTTTCTTTTAATCAACAAATAGTTATTAGGTTTTCACCAGTCTCTAAACTAGGATCTGGGGATGAAAAGGACATTCTCTGATGTCAAATGTTGTTCAGTCTATTTATCAAAGAAGATGTGCACAAACTATGTGATATAAAGCAGTAAAGGCAAAAAGTAGAACCACAAATGAGGGAGAAATTGCCTCTACCCAGGGAAGTCATGAATGGCTTTACACTTGAGTCTTCTAGAAAGACAGTGTGTGTTGACCAGGTGGATGGAAACAGGCTATGGCATCATTAGTGGCAGAGGAAGTACATGACCAAAGGTGCAGAGACATAAAGCATCCAGGTCTGCTGAGGGCACTGCAAATAGCTCAGTATGTCTAGAACATGGGAACCAAGCTGGGCTTCACAGCTAGAATGAAAGGCAATGCAAAATAACAGAAGACTTTGAACTTATCAAAGGAATTTGGACTTAAACCTATAGGCACTACACAAGGTGCTAACAAAGTTCTCCTTCTCCTTTTTGCCCTTCTTAATACACTAGTATTTTGCAAATAACACACTTACTTGCAAGTAGATGGAAGCTGGATTGGAAGGCTATAAGACTGAAGGTAGAAGACCATGTGGGAAACTTGAACTTCTGAGTGAGAAAGGATAAGCATCTGAACTAAGAAGGAGGCAGACAGATGTGAGAGGTGGTGGACTGAGTGAATGACAGTCCCATTGGGAGAGAGGGTATACAAGGCAAAGGAGCAGGGTTTGGGAGGATGTTCTCAGGGATGAGGAGTGTGGGCTAACTGGGCATCCCAAAAGGGGACTAATCCAATTGGTGACCATGTATTTCTTTCTGCCCTTTTGTTGCTATAATATTTATCACTTTCTTCATTATAAAATACATACCTTTCATTGCAGATGATTTCAGCCATTCTGAAAAGCATAAGGAAAAGAAAAACCACCAGTGATCTCATAATACAGACATTTTGGAATATTTGAAAAGATCACACCACTGCACTTCAACCTGGGACAAAGAGCAAGACTCTGACTATAAAAACAAAAACCAAAAAAAGGTGTGCACTATGCACATATGTACATTTTTAGAAAATTGTTTCTTACCCTATGTAGAATGTTATAGCCTGCTTTTAACATTTAATCTGCACCATGAGCACCGTTCTGCATAATAAGATAATCTTTGGATATATCATTTTAATGACTATATAGTGTTTTATCCTATGAATGAACCACCTTTTTTTAACCTATTGATTAACATTGCAATTGACTTATGTTTTGCTCTCAGATATAATGCTATAATGAACATTTTGCATATAATATTAGACAATTTTGATTATTTCCTCGGTACAAATTCCTGGAAATAAAAAATACAGTGTCAAATTTAAGAAAAAACATGCCAGGCACGGTGGCTCACACCTGTGATCCCAGCACTTTGGGAGGCTGAGACGGGTGGATCACTTAAGGCCAGGAGTTCGAGACCAGCCTGGTCAACACAGTAAATAAAACCCCATCTCTACTAAAAATACAAAAATTAGCTAGGCGTGGTGGCACACACCTGTAATCTCAGCTACTGCGAAGTCTGAGGCACGAGAATTGCTTGAACCCAGCCAGCAATGGTTGCAGTGAGCCAAGATGGCACCACTGCACTTAAGCCTGGGTGACAGAGTGAGACTCTGTCTCAAAAAAAAAAAAAAGTTTAAGAAAGAACAATTATAAGGTCTCTTGATACATGCTAACAAACTAATTTCCAAATATATGTCCCAATTCATGTTCCCATTGGCATTGAGAACTTCATTACAATTTTTTTTTACTAAATATATAAGCAAAGATTTCTTCTTTTTAAATTTGCATTTCCTGAATGATAAAATAATATGTTTATTGGCAATTGTATTTTCTTCGTGAATTGTCCCTTCATTATTCATAGATAATTTTTCTATTAGAATGTTGGGTTTTTTCCCTTGATTTATATTAGTTGTTTTTATACTAAGTATATTGACTTTTTTAAAATTCTGCCATACTTTTTTGCAGATATTGATATACAAAGTTTTATAATTATTTTACAGATAATGGTATTTATCTTTTCTTTTGGAACCCTTGATTTTCTTCTCAAAACTCTTCTCTTTCAATGTCCATGACACTGTTTTATCCTGTTTTTCACTTCTCAGTCTATTTCCCTGTTAATGGTGTCTAGCTGACATTTTTTCCTTCTTCACATAGAGACATTTGTCAGTCCTTGGTCCTTTTCTGCCAATATCCTTATACTCAGAGACCTAATCTATCTCAATGCCTCAGTGTTTTTAAATACTGAGTCTCTTAATCTAATTTTTTGAGTACTATATGTACATAATATTAAATTCAAAACCACAAAATAATATACAGTGAAAAATAAGTCTCTTTTTTCTCCCTGACCCTGGGCCATCCAGTTTCTCTCCTAGGAGCTAACCACCACTATTAGAAATAATCTTTTGTGGAACCATCTAAGAATAAGTTATGCATTTACAACTATTCACAATAGCAAAGACATGGAATCAACCTAAATGCCCAGCAATGGTAGACTGGATAAAGAAAATATAATACATACACACCGTGGAATACTATGTAGCCATAAAAAAGAACAAGATCCTCTCCTTTGCAGGAACATGGATGAAGCTGGAGCCCTTTATCCTTAGCAAACTAATGCAGGGACAGAAAACCAAATACCACATGTTTTCACTTAGAAGTGGGAGCTAAATGATGAGAACACATGGGCACATACAGGGGAACAACAGACACTGGGGCCTAGTGGAGGGTGGAGGGTGGGAGTAAGGAGAGGATCAGGATAATCAGGATAAATAACTAATTGCTATTAGACTTAATACCTTGGTGATGAAATAATCTGTACAAGAAACCCCCATGACAAAAGTTTACCTATATAACAAACCTGAGCATGAACCCCTGAACTTAAAAAAATAAATTTTTACAATACAAATTCTGAGCTACATTGAAATCTACCAACAAAAATGGAAAACGTTTATTGTTACCTTGTTAATCTTTAACTTAAATGAAAATACTGATATTGGCCGGGTGCAGTGGCTCATGCCTGTAATCCCAGCCCTTCGGGAAGCTGAGGCAGGTGAATCATTTGAGGTCAGGAGTTCGAGACCATTCTGGCCAACATGATGAAACTCTGTCTCTACTAAAAATATAAAAATTAGCCAGGTAAGGTTGTGCAAGCCTGTAATCCCAACTACTCAGGAAGCTGAGGCAGGAGGATCACTTGAACCTGGGAGGCGGGGGTTGCAGTGAGCCAAGATCGCACCACTGAACTCCAGCCTGGATAACAGAGAGAGACTCTTGTCTCAGAAAAAAAAAAAAAAAAAATTTTAAGGTATTTAGTCAATCCCTTCTTTCAAAAGCTCTTAAGTTTAAAATGTGTTAAATTGTCAAGTTTGAAAATACGAATTGACCTACAAAGTAAAATGAAAATATTTGGATCCTCAATTAATGGCATCTGAAAAAGATAGGATATTATTTAACAGAATTAGAAGTATTTTAAAAGCAGGATACATCTAGAAATAAATTATTGTAATGGCCATAGATAACATCCCCTGATTTTTATGGCAATCACATAAACAATTTGTTTTTCTCTCTTTCAATTCTGTGTCTACATATTTTAC
Source organism: Homo sapiens (assembly GCF_000001405.40). Taxonomy (NCBI): domain Eukaryota; kingdom Metazoa; phylum Chordata; class Mammalia; order Primates; family Hominidae; genus Homo; species Homo sapiens. The sequence continues at coordinate 179,288,207 of NC_000002.12, forward strand.
CCCTCCTGGCAATTTTAAAATAAAGACCAAATCTTCAAAAGAATATTCTATCCATTTACAAACATCTGAGTACATACATATGTATGTATATGTGTATAATTTCCCCACACAAATATTACCATACTATGTACTATTCTACACATTACCTTTTTTTACTTAACAATAGATTTTGGGCCAGGCATGGTGGCTCATGCTTATAATCCCAGCACTTTGGGAGCCTGAGGTGGGAGGATCGCTTGAGCCTAGGAGTTCAAGACCAGCCTGGGCAATGTAGTGAGACCTTGTCTCTACAAAAAATGAAAAAAAAAAAAAAAAATTAGCCAGGCGTGGTGGCATGTGCTTTTAGTCCCAGCTACTTGAGAGGGTGAGGTTGTAGGATGGCTTGAGTCTGAGAGGTTGAGGCCACAGTGAGCCATGATCATGCCACTGCACTCCAGCCTGGGCAAAAGAGCAAAATTCTGTCTCAAAAATAAAAAACAATTAAAAAAAAAGCAAACACAAAAATAAAATCAAAACACCCCAGAAAAACAATAGATTTTGGAGATCTTTTCCTACTAGTATTGTATTTCATTGTTTGAACATGTCATATTTTTTTAACCAGTCTTCTAATGATAAACATCTACTCTGCTTCAAGTCTCTTATAATCTATCATAAACAATCATTTTGTACTTACAGGATAAGTACTTAGGACTAGAATTACTAGTTCAAAAAGTATGAGCATTTGTTATTTTGATTGGTTATTGTGAAATTGCCTTTTGTTTAGGTTGTACCAATTTACAACCTCTCCAGTAATACTTGATTACTGTGGTACAAAATGTTTTAGTTTTTGCCAGTCTGATAGGTGAAAGATAGCATCTCAGTGTAGTATAGTGAGGACTGATATCTTCATATATATGTTTAAAAGCCACCTGTACTTCCTTTTTAATAAACTATTTTCAAAATATTCTTTAGCTCCTCACTCATATTTTACATTGAATAGTTGGTCTTTTAAAAATAATTTATAGGCCCGGCGTGGTGGCTCATGCCTGTAATCCCAGCACTTTGGGAGGCTGAGGCAGGTGGATCACCTGAGGTCAGGAGTTTGAGACCAGCCTGGCCAACATGGTGAAACCCCATCTCTACTAAAAATACAAAAAATTAGCCAGGCCTGGTGGCAGGTGCCTGTAATCCCAGCTACTCGGGAGGCTGAGACAGGAGAATCGTTTGGACCTGGGAGGCAGAGGTTGCAGTGAGCTGAGATCGTGCCATTGCCCTCCAGCCTGGGTGATAAGCACAAGACTCCATCTCAAAAAATAAAATTTATAGCAATTTGCTTCTGATATTTGGTGTATATATTATTTCTTAGTTTTTAGTTTATATAGGATGGTTTTATTTCACTAATTTGCCTGCAGAATTTTTATGATTATTATGTAGTCAAATTTACCAATCTTTAATAGCTTCTGAGTTTTATGTTATCCTTAGAAGCCCTTCCCATGCTGATATGATTTAATATAAAATTATTCTATATTTTTTTCTGGTACTTTGGATTCATTTTTTTGTCTAAATCTTTGATCCATCTGGAATTTATTTATATGTAAAGTGTAACATAGGAATCCAATTTTTTTTCCAGCTTGTCTGAATATCATTTGCTGAATAATTTTACTTCTTCCTCAATTTGAAGTGCTGTAAAAGTAGCACTTGTATCATCTCCTTGTATGTTTTGTGGTCTTCTACTGGACATTCTGTTTTATTAATGAACATGCTCCAAACTATTTTAATGACTGTAGCCTTTCTGTTATAGAATAGGAAGTCCCTCATCTCTCCTTTGAAATTTATGATTATTATTTATATATTTTTACATATGAACTTTAGAATCAGCTTGTCTACTTCCAAATTTTAAAAATTCTTATTGTTATGTTTATGGGGATCAGGTTAAATTTACAGAATAATTTAGGAAGAATTGACATTCTTATGATGCTGAATCTTCCAGTCTAAGAACATAATATGCTTTTGATTTGTTCAAGCCTTCTTTGATGTCCTTCAGAAGTTCTTTTCATTTTCCTCATATAAATGATGCATATTTATTTTAAAGTTCATTCTCATGTTTTTCATATTTTTGTTGCTATTGAAATATTTACTATTATAGTTCTGTGCAATTCACTTTCAAATTTCTTTTAGATGTACCGCACACACATGTTCAGCTATTTTTTAGATATTTTCATCTGAAAGTTCTGCTGTTATTTTAAACTCAGCAAATCCCATATTTGATTCATCATTCTCCACTAGCCAAAGTGCAATCTGTCTTCTTCAGTTTTGTATCTTGCCAGGGTCTGGTACAGGGCCACATGCCTGGCACATGGTATGTTGACATATGTCTTCTGAGTTGAAACACTTGCATGTGTGCCTTCCCTTTCTACTCCTCTCTTTTTCTCTTTCACATAGACATACACACACTGAGGGCCAGGTACATAATTTGTGGAACCTCACATAAATGAAAAGTGAGGAGACCCTTGCTGAAAAGCAAGGAAAAAGTGCCATTCAAGGTATTGAAATAAAAAGCTTTTTCCTTTTTCCTGTGGTCTCTCTTTCTACTTGTCATGGTATTTTAATTTGATATTTAATGTCATCCCAGGTAAAGACAAATTAAAATGTTTAATGATTAGCATTTTGCCACTGACTTTTATGTGTGCAGTGCCAGTTTCAAACACAAATAGAACATTTAATGTATGCAGAATCACAAAAATTTTGCGATTTCAGTGTACATACATATGTACTTTGTTATTACCAGAACAGTGAAAACATTACACAAACCTAACTCAATTTTGATTTCACTTTTTTTTTTTTTTTAAGACAGAGTCTCACTCTGTCACTTAGGCTGGAGTGCAGTGGCACCATCGTTTCTTACTGCCACTTCCGCCTCCCGGCTTCTGGGTTCAAGCAATTCTCGTGTCTCAGCCTCCTGAGTAGCTGGAATTACAGGTGCACGCCACCATGCGCAGCTAATTTTTGTACTGGGGTTTCACCATGTTGGCCAAGCTGGTCTTAGCTCCTGACCTCAAGTGATCCACCTGCCTCAGCCTCTCAAAGTGCTGAGATTACAGGTGTGAGCCACCGCACCTGGACTATTTCACTTCTCAATACACATACATCCTGCCTGCACTGTGTGCCTTTGACTTGCTGATTAGTTAGGAAGGATTGAAAAGAAAAAGAACTACGGGTTACCTGTTTTCCCTTTTTCTTTTGTTTGTAAGTAGCTTCTATAATCTCCTTTTCTTTTATGTTCATATTTTCAGCTTAAGTGGGTGACTAGTAAGAAAATTAACATGAATAGGAAATGATATAACAGCGTTCCTTGGTCATTCATGTTTCTTAGAATGCCATTGTCTTTTTTCTGTGTTTGAAGTAAGTTCTGGTTCAAAGGGAAGGTTTGGCCTCTTAGAGCTGTCAGCCCCTCCTCTTACTCAAGCATAGACATAATATGCTTGACTTTTTTTTTTTTTTGAGACGGAGCCTCACTCTGTCTGGAATGCAGCGGTGCGATCTTTCCTCACTGCAACCTCCGCCTGCCGGGTTCAAGTGATTCTCCTGCCTCAGCCTCCCAAGCAGCTGGGATTACAGGAGCCCACCACCACACCCGGGCTAATTTTTTTTTTGTTTTGTTTTTTGTATTTTTAGTAGAGATGGGGTTTCACCATGCTGGCCAGGCTGGTCTCAAACTCCAGACCTCAAGTGATCCGTCCACCTTGGCCTCCCAAAGTGCTGGGATTACAGGCGTGAGCCACTGCGCCAGGCCATTTGCTTGCCTTTTTCTTGTTTCAAGTCTCATTGACCTTCACATGTTGTAGGTCCACCAGAATTCTGTGCTCATGGGCCATATGAATGCTAAGGGCACATAGGGCAGCAAAGAACAGCAGGCACATATTTGTACATATCTCGTCTGCCCATTCACATGCTCCATTGTCTCATTGAGCTTCACTTACAAAACATAAGTTAAAGGATAAAATTATTAAGAATTTCAAGACAGGGACAGCAGAGCATTAAACCACACATGGCTCCCTTCTGGGAGCAGGGTGCAGTTGGACTGAACAGGTCTTATGCCTATGAAGCCAGCCCTACACACACCCAGCTTCGCTTTCTTCCTACTTCATCACGGTTTCCAGTAGCAAGGGGTCATGCTAACTTAGAATTTTGAAGTTAGTTTTGGCTTTTTCTTCTTTTCCTTGCTGTTCCACCTTCTTCTCTCACTTCTATTTACTAAATCCTATGGCTTAAATCTATCTCTAGCATCTGCCTTTTCTTTCTATTCCCACTGTTATCATCCAAATTTGAATAATCTTATTTCTCTGTAGTATTTAGTAAAAGTAACCACTTGCTATGGACTAAATTATGTCCCCTCAAAGTTCACATGTTGAACCTTACTCCCCTATGTGACTGTGTTGGAAGTAGAGTCTTTACTAAGATGAGAGCAATTAAAGTTAAATGAGGTCATAAGGATGAAACCCTAATCCAGTAGGGCTGGTGTCCTTATAGGAAAAGGACCAGAAGCGCTCTGTTTCCACCATGTGAGGAAACAGCCAGAAGACAACCATTTGCAAGCCAAGAAGAGAGCCCTTGCCAGAACCCAACCATGCTGGCACTCTCATCTCAGACTTCTAGGCTCCCAAACTTTGAGAAAATAAATTTCTCTTTTTTAAACTACCCACTCTGGGTTATTTTATTTTATTATTTTATTTTGAGATGGAGTCTTGCTCTGTCACCCAAGCTGGAATGCAGTGGTGCAATCTCGGCTTACAGCAACCTTTGCCTCCTGGGTTCAAGCAATTCTTCTGCCTCAGCCTCCTGAGTAGCTGGGATTACAGGCTCACGCCACTACACCCGTCTAATTTTTGTATTTTTAGTAGAAGCATGGGGTTTCACCATGTTGGCCAAGCTGGTCTTGAACTCCTGACCTCAAGCGATCTGCCCACCTTGGCCTCCCAAATTGCTAGGATTGCAGGCATGAGCCAATCTGCGCAGCCCAATCTGGGTTATTTTGTTATGGTAGCAGGAGAAAGACTAATCCATCGCCTAATACTTTTCCCCTATTTTTAGTTTTTATCTGCTTCCATCAGTATACTTTCTCTAGATTGATTATCTTAAACTTATAACTCAAAGTATTACCCCATTTAAAAACATTGGTGATTGAATTGAATGTTTGCTTCTCAGCCTGGCATTCAAAGACCTCCACATAAGTGGCTTTTACCTACTTTTCTGTCTTTTGTGCCTCAAGAAAATTGCATTGCTCATGCTTTCAGGAACAGGTCTCCTCTTTCCTGCCTCTGTGTTTTTGGAACTCTTCTCCTTCCATCTCTGCCTATTGAAATCCTCCTTCCTTTTATTCAAGGTCTGTTTCTAAATGTCTTTTCTTCCTTGAAGCTTTATCAAACTGTGTTATCTCTGTTCATTTTTGGTGACAGGGAGGAATCTCCTTGGTATTTCATTTCCAATCCCATATAGAATTTAAATAAAATTCAGGGCAGAGTAAGATTTTGGTATTTTTCTTATCTTTCCTATTACAATATTTATTTCATATGGATAGTAGCTGGGTCCAAACTTGGGTTTTGGGAACTACGTGCCTTATTGTGGAGTCTAATAACTGTGTGAACTCACTGTGAAGTCTGTTTTTATGTATCTGTTTAAATAATTGTTATCTAGAGAGAGAAAGTCAAAGATGTTCTAGTTTAACTCTTTGCTTATCGGTCTGTTTTTCCCCAAGGATGATGAGTTCTTTGAGGGCAGAAATAGTCAATTCAGTTTTCTGTAATCACCAAAAAAAATTTCATATTGATTCAATAATATTATCTAATATTCATTCCAAGTACCAAAAATATCTTTCAATTTTTTTAGGTCCAAGATCCAATTAAGGTTCATCCATTTCATTTTGGTGTCATATATTTTTCTCCTATAATCTAGAACAGGCTTTACCTTGTTTCTTTTTTTTGTTCAAAGTCTAGGTCCAATTATATGACAGAATGTCCTATAATTTGAATTTGTCAGATTATTTCCTCATGATTGGATTTAGTTTAAAGATTTCAGGCAAAAATATTACATAGGTCATGTCATGTCCTTCCCATTATATTACAAATGGAGGCACATAATTCCAGTTTATTCCATTATTGATGACTTTGCTTTTGACCATTTCATTAAAGTGGTGTCCTCCAGCTCTTACTACTGACAGGTATATTTTCTCTTTGTAGTAAGTAGATTAATTTGTGGGTCATACTTCAGGACCAGTGAATATCCTCTTTTCCAATCTCTTTTTATTTGATGGGTTTAATGTCCAATTAATGATCATTTTCTGAATTATTATTGTTACACTGAGGGTAGTCAAATGGCAGTGTTTCACATTTGGAAAACAAAAATGTATGACAAAAATCTAAATATTTCTTTTAGAGGCTCCAGTAACAAAAAAAAGTATTGATCTTGCTAAAAAGAACGAGAAATTGGCACCCAAGGTTTAAACCCAGGTCTGAGAACTGGGTAGAAAGGCAAATAAAAAGCTATAGAATAAGTAACATACCAAAAAGGAGTCTTTTCTTCTAAGAGTTGTCTGTGCATGCAGGCAAGAATAGGAGCCATTTCCTGCTAAACTAAAGCTGTGCACAGAACAGCTCCAAGTAACTCGGATGAATAAAAAAGGAGTAAGACTGTGGAATGGGAGTTAGCAAACTATGGTCCATGGAACAAGTCTGACCCAGGGCCTGCTTTTGTAAATAAAGTTTTAATTGGAATAAAGCCACGTTCATTTGTTTACTTTGTCTATGGCTACTTTTGTGCTAAAACACTGTATTTGAGCTTGCAACAGAGACTTAGTGGCCTGCAAGGCCTAAAATATTCACTGTCTGGTCCTTTACAGAAAAAGTTTGCCAGCCCCTGGTATAGAATGTCTCCAAATGTGCGTTTGGTAAAATGTGATTTTTATTCCAGCCTTGTAGGGTGGGGCTCCAAGCAAGTGAAGAATGACACATTCAAATAAGAAGATGCGGCCCTTTAGATGAGAAGCAATAAAGCCTATTGCTTAGCATTAGCTCTGGAGCTAGCCTGCCTGAGTTCAAATCCTGGCTCTATCATTTATTAGCTGTGTGACCTTAGGCAAGATTTTAAACTTCTTTGTATCTCATGTTCTTGTCTGTATAATGAGGATAATCATCATACATATCTGATAGGATTGTTGTGGATATTAAGTTAATTGCATATAAAGTTCTTGGACTAGTGTCTGGTACATAGTAAGGTTCTTTAACAGCTATTACTATGTAAAGCAACTCTGACATAATTTTTTATTTCCTAAAATACTTAATAAAATGCAGAAATATTAACTGAATACATGTTCTTATAATCAAGATAAAGTGGAACTTGTCTGATAATGGCCCAGGTGCAAGAGGAAACTGTGATACATTTTGAAGGTCACAGGCAGAGGCCTGTCTGGTTTTGTATAGGTAAAAGGACAACCATAAAATATAATCTCTGAAACAAAAGGAAAATGACAGATTCCATAACTGGGTATTTTTTTACATTGCAAAAGTAATGTGCAATTCTAATATTTAGTAATTATTTTAATTCTTTTTAAAAGATTATCATTTGATAATTTAAATAGTAACTAATATATTTGGTTGAAATCACTTGATGAGTTTATATTTTTGTTTATGAAACTATACATCTTTGAAATTTAAATATAACTATGAAAATTTAAAATTTATTTATCATTTGTAGACATTACTGGCTTTAATATATTTTTAAAAACATGATTTAGTATAATAGAAGTTGATCCTCTGTTGCTTTTAGCTTTATTCGTTCCTTCAACGAAAACTGATTAAGTACCCAAAATGTGCTATACTCTGCACATTACAGGGTTCTGTTAGCTGATATATTTATGTGTGTGTGTATTTGCATTTGGGTTTATATGAATATAAAATGTTTTCTACAGAGCTAAAAGGACTTTACATACATATTGCATCAGTTAATTTCAAAACCATGTTCTAATGTGCAGAGAGAAGACATAGCTTTTACTTGCACTTACAAATAAAAGAAATAAAAAACAGTACCTTGTTTTTCTTTTTAGTTCTCAAATCATGCTCACATCTTTTTTATTTATTTAATTTTAGAGACAGGGTCTCGCTCTGTCACCTAGGCTGGCATACAATGGCATGATCATAGCTCATGGCAACCTCAAACTCCCGGGTTCAAGGGATCCACATGCCTCAGCCTCCAACCACCATGCCTGGCTAATTTTTAAATTTTTTTGTAGAGACAGGGTCTCGCTATGTTCCCCAGGCTGGTCTCAAACTTCTGGCCTCAAGTGATTCTCCCTCTTCAGCCTCCCAAAGTGTTGGAATTACAGGTGTGAGCCACTGTGCCTGGCCCCAACATCTATTAATGCATGTAACCAGTTCTCTGAGACAAAGTAGGTATAATTCCATCTAATAGATTAAAAAAAAAAAAAAGCCAAGGCTCTGAAGATTAAGAGATTTACTGAAGGCTGTGAAACCACTCAATGAGCCCTGGAGGCCAGAGTTAGGTCCCCACCATTTTCCATTTTCTAAATTAAGTCTATGTAGAAAAACCTTTCAAAACTTGCTTCTCTTTTAGAAACTTATCATGTTATAGGATCTATTCCTTCCAAGGTCCATCATGCTAGTCTACACATGAATCAATTTTAGAGTCAAGAATAAATTCAGATCTGCTTACTCTCAAACCACTGTACTTTCCACATGTTACAAAACAAAAGGATCCTTTTATGCCATTTCTGACTCTGTACAGCTAACATTGTTGCAGTGTAGACTATAAATACAACTAACCTTATTAGTTTCTAAACATTTTTAATGAGGCCAGGTGCAATGGCTCACACCTATAATCCCAACATTTTGAGGGGCTGAGGTGGGAGAATCATTTGAACCCAGGAGTTCAAGAACAGCCTGGGCAACATAGTGAGACTCTGCTGCTACAAAAATTAAAATAATTAGCTGGGTGTGGTGGGATACACCTGTGGTCCCAGCTACTTGGGAGGCTGAGGAGGGAGCATCACTTGAGTCTGGGATGCTGCAGTGAGCTATGATTGCACCACTGTACTCAAGCCTGGGTAACAGACCAAGACCTTGTCTCAATAAATAAATAAACATAAAGGTGTTTAATTACATAAAAATTCATATATACTCAGAAAAAACTCATATGTCAGGGAAACTTATATTGAAAGAGTTGGCTAAAAACAACATTTAGGATGGGTGTGGTAGATCATGTTTGTAATCCCAGCACTTTGGGAGGCTGAGATGGGAGAATCACTTGAGTCCAGGAGGTTGAGGCCAGCCTGGGCAACATGGTGAAACCCTGTCTCTGCAAACAATTAGCCAGGCCTGCTGGTGCACACCAGTAGTCCCAGCTACTCGGGATGCTGAGGTGGGAGGATCCTTGAGCCTAGGAGGTTGAGGCTGCAATGAGCCAAAATCACAGCACTGCACTGCAGCCTGGGTGAAAGAGTGAGACCCTGTCTCAAAAAACAAACAAACAAAAACAACAGTTAGAACTGAGGGATAAAGAGCCTCTTCATGCACATGATAGAGTGGAGCTGCCACCTACTTAATATTTTCCTATTCATCATTTTCCTACGGAATATGAATTTGGAGTCTACTGTCTTCCTGGAAACTCTTCAGTGAAGCCTGAAATATAAAAATTCTGGACATACTAAATGCAGTTAGTATATTTCCCGGGCAGCTGGACATTTAGGTTGGTGTGTGTGACTAGAAAGGAGATAGTTGTTTCCCCATTTGATGTTTTCTTAACCCCCTTATCACTGCCTACAAATGCTGGCTCCACTGGAAATTAAGTTTCTGAGGTATGCTGGAGTAAGCCATTTATTACTGAATATTTTCTGGAAAATGACTCATAGACAAGTAGAATAAAACCCTTGAGGGCAAGAACTTCCCTTTTGCTTGTTGCTCTTTGATGTACCTACTTTATTTAAAACAACTGGCGTCCCAGTAACACAATGGAATTCGATGTATGATATAATCCATCCAAGACCTAGGAACTTCTTGAATTAGCTGAAGAGTTGGTCCACCTACTCCCCACATTTGGAGACACAAAGGGAAATGCCAACTCTTCAGCAGACCTAAAATTTTCTGGTTGGATTATAGCCTAGTTCTCCCAACCTGTGCAATAGTAGCAATGAAGCTCAGAAAAACAATCTGAAGTAAGCAATTAAGAAATTTCTGTATTTCTATGTGTGTGTGTGCACAAAAGGGAGGTGTGGAGCACAGTTGACCCATGGACAACGTCGGGGTTAGGGCCACTTTCTCCCCAAACACTTAACTACTAATAGCCTACTGCTGACTAAAAGCCTTAATGATAACGTAAACAGTCAATTACTCATGTTTTGTATGTTAGCTGTATTATATACTGTATTATTACAATAAAGTAACCTAGAGTAAAGAAAATGTTATTGATAAAATCATAAGGAAAAGAAAATATCTTTACAGTACTGTACTATATTTCTTGATACCGTAAGCTTGCATCATCTGTTTACAAGATAAATCATCTCTCTAACATGGTAGGCAACCACAGCTGTAGACCTCAATCTACAGAATATATCAAGCTATTCAACTTTTTCTTGTAATGTTATGACTTCTCTGCTTCTTGGGCGCAGTTTCAGCGCCAAGTGCCTAGTGGCATTTCCTGTGGGTCGCATGGTGTTATTCGAGGTTTACAGTATTGCACTACATGTGATGAAAAATACTTGAGAACCAGGAGAGATCACTTTTACTACAATAACCAATTTACTAGAGAGATGAACTGCTTATGCAGAGATAATTAGCCTCATACAGTGCTATAAGTGGATACTTGCATCACTTGAACTTGCTGCAGTAGCAACAGGAGGTAGCTATAAAATAATTACAGTTGTGCAGTATGTACTACAGTTACTTTTATGCAGTTATAATTTAATAGCATCTTTTTGGTTGCTTACATTTCTCTTGGCCCCTCATGGCACCATGCATGGTCTGTAAATATTTGTGTAGGTTTTGATAAATTTTAACTTTTTATAATAGATTTGTGTATATTTTGTGGTAGTAAATGATAAAATAATAGACTAATATCTACCTATATTTTATGCATCATGACATATCTAAGTTTTTCTTATTTTTTTTCCATATTTCTAGGCTATCTTGGAGCAGGAAGTTCCCTGAAGTCAAGAGCAAGCACCACTGCAAGACATAATGCAAGCCTAGCGGCACACAGGAGGGATCATCAGCCCTGGGGAGAGGATTTGGGTGGAGTTCCATTGTATGCACTACGAGGCCGTACATGATGTGACCCCCTCATATCTCTGACCTCATCCTCTCTACAGCTGCACTGGCCTCCTTACTAGTTCCTGAAACTGCTAGGCATGCTCCCACCTCAGAGCCTTTGTTCTTCCTGTTTCCTCTATCTGGAACACTTGTCAGGTGACCAACTGTCCTGGTTTGCTTGGGCCAAGACTGCCCTGGTTTCAGCACTGAAAGTCTTGCAACCAAGGAAACCCCTTAGTCCCCAACCAGCCAGGATGGTTGGCCACCTACACCTCTTCCAGATACCCACATTTGGCATAGATGTTATCTTCCTTGACCATCCTTTTGAAAACTGCACCCCTTTTCCCTCACATGCAGAATCCCAACTCTCTTTCCCTGCTTTTATTTTTATCCATAGCATTAGTACCTTCTAATGTAGGATATCATATAGATATCATATATTTATTTTCTTTTTCTTTTTTTTTTTTGAGACAGAGTCTCGTTCTGTCACCCAGGCTGGAGTGCAATGGTGCAGTCTTGGCTCACTGCAACCTCTGCCTCCTGGGTTCAAGCAATTCTCCTGCCTCAGCCTCCTAAGTAGCTGGGACTACAGGAGCATGCTGCCACGTTCGGCTAATTTTTTGTATTTTAGTATAGAGATGGGGTTTCATCGTGTTGTCCAGGCTGGTCGTGAACTCCTGAGCTCAGGCAATCCACCTGCCTTAGCCTCCCAAAGTTCTGGGATTACAGGCATGAGCCACCGTGCCCAGCTTTGCTTTCTTTACTTTAGGAATATAAATTCCATGATGACAGTTTCTGGTACATAGTATGTGTTGAATGGATAAAATAAATGAGTATATCTAATATTTTATAGAAAATACATACTTCCTGTTCTCAAGTATATGTTGTCCTTTAATAATTAGTTAAATATATTCCAGATCATAATCATTTATCATTGTTAATTATTTGGCAATTATGCTGGCAAAAGGTCAAATTGATCACAGAACCATTTCTTCAGTAAGAGAGTGAAGAAAGACTTTAAAATTAAATCATTCTACTTGGTGGCTGATGGTAATGATGTGCTATTTTTAAATTATGTGAAATAATGTAACAGATTACTTATTTAGAATTTGCAACTTGAAAAAAATAGGCTAGAAAAAATGGGGCAATCTAACTGACTGACAGCATTGTGAACTTAATACACGGTAGTGGCCATATCTTAAACACATCTTTATAAGCAAATGTTTAAATGGCAACACAGGACAGCTCTGAGAATGAAATTCCAACAGCTATGAAGTCAAAGCATTAGATTTTGCTTTATCTTCAGTGATCCATATTTTCTTGAATAGAAGGGCAGAGAAAGAGAAACAAGTATCATTTGGAGAGATAGATATTTATTTGCACTTGAAAGAAAAGTTTTTAGAAAATAAAATGGATACTCAAACACACATTTTCATTTCCATAGAATGTAGTAGATGCTTTGACTCCTATTTCTAAGAACTTAGCTCAAACTATAGTTCGCTGTGCTCCACAAACAGGAAAGTATGATAATAAATATGAAGTGGTCTCTCACAGTATCTGAAATGAACTTTTTTGCTTTGGGTTTTAGTAGATAATTTTTTTTTTTTTTTTTGAGATGGAGTCTCACTCTGTCGTACAGGCTGGAGTACAGTGGCACAATCTTGGCTCACTACAACCTCCGCCTCCCGGGTTCAGTTGATTCTCCTGCCTTAGCCTCCTGAGTAACTGGGATTACAGGTGCCCACCAACACACCCAGCTAATTTTTGTATTTTTAGTAGAGACAGAGTTTCACCAAGTTGGCCAGGATGGTCTCGATCTCTTGATCTCGTGATTCGCCCGCCTTAGCCTCCCAAAGTGCTGGGATTACAGGCGTGAGCCACCACGCCCAGCTTAGCAGAGAATTAATATACCTTCAAACCCCTTTATCAGCCAACCCATAGTATGGACAAACAATTATTGTCCAGCCATGGAGAATTTTTAAAACAAAGAATGAGGAAAATTTTTCTTTAATTTTATTTCTGAAATATTTTATCCCAAGAAAATGTAGGCCAGACGTGGTGGCACACACCTATAATCCCAGCACTTTGGGAGGCTGAGGCAGCAGATCACAAGGAGTTCAAGACCAGCTTGGGCAACGTGGCAAAACCTTGTATCGAGAAAAAATAGAAAAATTAGCCAGGCATGGTGGCACCTGCCTGTAGTCCTAGGTACTCGGGAGGCTGAGGTGGGAGGATCATTTGAGCCCAGAAGTTTGAGGCTGCAGTGAGCCATGATCATATCATTGCACTCCAACCTGGGTGACAGACCTATACCCTGTTGAAAGAAAGAAAGGAAAGAAAGAAAGGAAGAAAAAGAAAGAAGGGAGGAAGGAAGGAAGGAAGGAAGGAAGGAAGGAAAATATAATAAATGAAATCCAATTAAACACATTGCATTATGACAGAAGTTAGTATTAGTTTCCCATGATTTATACATAGATTCACACACAATATGGTTGAGTTAAAATAGGTCACATATCTTTGTTCTGTGTATAAAACAATAGAAGAAGCTAATTCATCTAAATACTTTATCTGAAAAAGCCTATAGTTGTAACACATATAGTAATTCTACTAAAGACTAAAGTATTTTACTTTATGCTTAATTAGTTAGTTTGCATTCTCTTTAAAGTTATGATACGGTTTGGCTGTGTCCCCACCCAAATCTCATCTTGAATTGTAACTCCCACAATCCCCGTGTGTCATGGGAGGAACCCATGGGAGGTGGCTGAATTATGGAAATGGATCTTCCTGTGCTATTCTCGTGGTAGTGAATGAGTTTCCTGAGATCTGATGTTTTTAAAAACAGGAGTTTCCCTGCACAACCTCTCTTTTTGCCTGCTGCCATCCATGTAAGATGTGACTTGCTTCTTGCTTTCCACCATGATTGTGAGGCCTCCTCAGCCATGAGGAACTATAAATCCATTAAACCACTCTGTTTTGTAAACTGCCTAGTGTTGGGTATGTCTTTATCAGCAGCATGAAAACGGACTAATACAAGTTATAAATTAAACTCCAACATGGAGTCAAAGAAAATATGAAGATTTTTTAAAAAATTAAATGAAGCTGGTTAAACCCACTGTTAGGGGTTAAACTGTGTCCTACCTCCATCCTCAAATTAGTATTTTGAAGCCCTAACCTCCAGTACTTCCGAATGTGACTGTATTTGGAGAATGGGCCATTAAAGAGGTAGTTAATTAAAATGAGGTCATTAGGAAGGGCTCTAATCCAATCTGAGTGGTGTCATTATATGAAAAGGAAATTTGGACACAAAGAGAGACACCCGGGTTTCCTGAGTACAGAGGGAAGACCGTGTGAGGCTGCAGTGAGAAGGTGGCCATCTACAAGCCGAGGAGAGAGACCTCAGGAGAAACCAGCTGCCGACACATTGATCTCAAACTTGCAGCCTCTAGAAGTGCGAGAAAATACATTTTTGCTGTTCCAACCACCAGTCTGTGGTATAGTCATGCATCACTTACTCATAGGGATACATTCTGAGAAATTTGTAGTTAGCCTTTTTGTAGTTGTGTAAATGTCATAGACTGTACTTACACACACCTAGATGGTACAGCCTACTGCACACCTAGGTATATGTTTTAGCCCATTGCTCCTAGGCTACACACCCATACAGTATGTCACTGTACTAAATACTGTAGCAGCTGGAACACGATAGTAAGAGTATGTGTGTATATAAACATATGTAAACATAGAAGAGGTACAGTAAACAATGTGGTATCATAATCTTATGGGACTACCTTCTTGTATGTGGTCTGTTGTGGACCAGATCATCTTTTAGTCCCCAATTAAAGTGCTATTTAAGTGTTTTGTTTGTTTGTTTTGTGGACCTTGGCATGGGGGCTGGATGAATTTTATCTGCCTGGAACCCTCACCAAGCATTTCTTGCTTCCTTCCTCCTTACTCATTCTCCCTGCTTTGTATTTTGTCCTTTGGTTCACTTCAGCTCTTTCCCTTCCAGGGCTTTGGAAGTGATCCACATGCTGCAACCAGATGTCTTTAAATGTATGAAAGGGGAACAAATGTCATTCTATTCCAAATGGAAACAATAGAGAGAAACTGAAAGGTAAGGGGAAATAGATGGTACTAGACCTGAAAAAAATTAGGATGGCATTCTTCCTCATCTTAGAAACAAAGTTCTTAACGTGTGAACGGATTTCTAATTAAATTACTTCTAAGTCATTTAATGATTTTACATTTCACTACCTTTGTAAGCCTTTATCTTATTTTCTCTGAAGAAAAACAATTCACTCATTTCCCTATGTGTATATCCCTAATTTTTGCTTCAAATCTATTTACATTTCTATTTCCCCCTCATTAAAAGTCATGGCTTGGTAAATAGTAGGCACACAATAATTGCTTGACAGATGAATATGTAAATACCAAAATGCATCTTGACATTTTCCACCTATTGCTATCCCCAGCTGTGGCCCACATCTGAGCCTCATTATCTCTCTTGTATCATAGTCAGGGGACCCCTAACTGGTCTCCCTATTCCCCTTGTTCCTGGCAGTCTGTTCACAACACAGCAACCAATGGTTCTTTTAAAACATAAGGCAAATGTGTTACTCTCTCCCGAAAGTCCAAACGCAGTTCTCCATTTTACTCAGTAACACACCAAGATCTTACAATGGCCCACAAGGCTCTAGTAATCTGCCTTTCTCCACAGTCCCACTCACTCCACCTTACCCACCTCCCTGCTGTTCTCCAGCCCTCTAGTTTCCATTTTAGAGCCTTTGTACTAGTTTTTCCTTTTACATGGAATATGATATCCTTCCTATGGGCTGAATTGTGTTCCCCCAAAATTCATATGCTGAAGTCCTAACCCCAGTACCTCAGAATGTGACTAGTTGGAGATAGGGCCTTTAAAGAGGTATTGCTTTAAAATGAGATCATTAACATGGGCCCTAATCCAATATGATTGTGTCCTTAAAAAGAACAGGAAAGCTGGTCACAGACACAGAAGAAAGACTGTGTAAAGACATAGGGTGAAGAGGGCCACATGCAAGCCAGAGGGGGTCTCAGAAATATCAATCCTGCTGACACCTTAACCTCAGACTTCTAGCCTCCAGAAGAGTGAGAAAATAAACGTCTGCTTTGTTGCAGCAGCCTTAGGAAACTAATACAACCCCCAAAGCTCACTTCTCACCTCCTTCAAGTGTTTTTGAAAATGTTACCTTCTCAAAAATACTACCAGGATTGTCCCACTTAAAGTTACAACCTCCCCCATTCTCAACATCTCGACTTCTTCTCCCAGTTCCCTTTACTACATTCTACTTTTTTTCACAACAGCATTTATCACTGTCTAACACACTCTAAAATTACTTATTTATTGTTTATTTTTTATTATCTATCTTTCCTTGATAGAATTTGAACTCCAGAAGGGTAGAGATTGTTGTCTTTTTCTGTTCCCTGGTATATTCTCTGTGCCAAGCACCTGGAATAGTGTTTGGCTTATAGTAGCTGCTCAACAAATATTCATTGGCTAGTGAATGAGTAACTGACACAGAATACTTGCCTGTGTTCCTAAGTGAAAATGTATTTTCTTTGATCAACACAATGCATTTCCTCAAATTAATTCAGTCTGTTTTGTTTCAAAATACAAGGCTTCTCCCATAGTAATTTATGTATTGTTTAATCCAGAAATTGGGAAAAAATTCAAAGATCTATTCCAGCATTTATTGAGCACTTACAAAATATTACTTTTATATATAAATTTTATATATAGAATTTTATAATTATATATTTAAATATTAAATATATTTAGTTTAAATAATATTTAATATTTAATTCTAATTAAAAAGAGATATATTACTATTAAAATGACTCCCATTTTACGATTGGAAAACAAAATAATAAAAATGTTTAATAACTTGTTCAAGGTTCTTGTGTTAGGAATGATGAAACAGAATCTGAACCCAGGCAATCCAGAAGTCTAGGCTTATAACCGCTATATTATACCGCCTGGTACAGGGATATTATTGATTTTCAAGTCTGTGTGTTATAACCCTATGTGCTGTGGACCTCCAGTACCAACTCTTAAGATTCTCAGGCCAGGTAGAGTGGCTCATGTCTGTAACCCCAGCACTTTGGGAAGCCAGGCAAGAGGATCGCTTGAGCCCAGGAGTTTGAGACCAGCCTGGGCAACATGGCAAAACCCTGTTTCTACAAAAAAAAAATAGCGGGGCATGGCGGCACACACCTGTAATCCCAATTACTCAGGGGGCTGAGGTGGGAGGGTCACTTGAGCCCAGGGGACAGATATTGCAGTGAACCGAGATCGCACCACTGCACTCCAGCTGGGCGACAGAGTGAGACTCTTGTCTCAAAAAAAAAAAAAAAATTAAAAATGATTTTCAAAGTTGCAATAGGAAGTATAAGCATATATACATATATATATGTATATAGTTTATGTAAATAAGTAATAAACTATAAATTCTGATTTTAATGGGAATATAATTAAACTTCTTCTTTTAAAGATTCCTTTTACTTGGTATCAAATTTCTCCCTTAAGTTGCTTTCTCACTCTGAATTACTTTTTTTTCTTCTAGAAGCAGTCAGGCATGCCTAATAGCATTATCACATTCTTTGATGTCTCCATTTTATATTTTGGAGGGCAGTTTTAGCTAAAAAACAAACAGAAACTTTTCTTAAATATCAGAAAATAATATTCATATGAGTAAATTTTAGGTTAATGGTATTCAACAAGGAGGTAAAAAATCTCAGTCACTTAATCTGATAAAGTCAAAAGGCAATTAAATATATTATCTTGAGACTATGACCCTTGGGTAACTTTGGTCTTTAGACTTGAAGGATTGGGATGATTTATTTCCTCCTCTGCACCCAGACTGCAATCTAGGTGTCAATAGAACTAGGTGAATAGTGGCGTTTTAAATTATGATTGCTTAACTCTACTGAACATGATTATTTAAGGTATGAATGATTGACCAAAAGGAAGATGCTGTGCACTGAATGTTTGTATCCTCCAAAATTTATATGTTGAAATCTAATATGCAAGGTGATGGTATTTTTACATGAGGCCTTTGGGGAGATAATTAGGTCATGAGTGCCACCTTCATGAATGGGATTAGTGCCCTTACAAGAAGAGGCCAGAGAGCTAACTTGTTCTCTTTTTGCTATGTGAAGATACAACAAGAAGTTGGTAGTCTGCAACCTGGAAGAGGGTCTTCACTAGAACACAACCATGCCAGCACCCTGATCTTGGACTTCCCAGCCTTCAGAACTGTAAGAAATACATTGCTGTTGTTTATAAGCCACCCAGTCTATGGTACTTTGTTATAACAGCCTGAGCTAAGACGGAAGACAGAAGCTTATCAAATGTCTATAAAAATTAGCACTCTATTTAAATACATACATTATGGACCAGGCCCCCTCAACATCTTGGAGCCCATTGTAGCTGGGGCATCAATGACGTGCAATAGTCATTATGAGTCTGCTGTTGGTGGCTTGCTCACTTATTCTGCACAGCATTTGTTGGCAAATCTTCACTAGTCTTGTTAACTCCCCTGAAATACTCTACCTCCCTCTTTGTCTCAGAAAACAACTTGCCTCTATTTTATAGAGAAAAAAATGGCTTTTGAAGAAGAATAAAAAATCCCTGTTTCTGGCCCTCGTTGCTGATAACTTAGATAGACGTTTCAGTTCTCATCTTACTTAACTCCTACCTCTTGGACCATTCCAGGTTCTCCGTAGTTAGTTGCTGCTTTGTTTCCTGCCCTTGATATTCTGTGTTTTAAGCCTTCTCTTCTGACTTTAAACACAGCATCTGTGTTATATGCTTAGCATTTCCAGATTAATATCTCTAGCCCAAATTTCTCCTTGGCACTCAACACTTGTATGTCCAATCGTTGATGTGCCATTCTCTTGAATGTCTCACTGAACAAGTCCAAAACATGTTTTCTCCTAATCCTGCTTGTCTTTTAGCTCTGCAATAAGAGAAAAGAGCACCATCATCTGCCCAGATGTTTAAGCCAGAAACCTGGCATTGTGCTCAATTCCTTTCTCTCCCTGTCTACACCCAGACTATCTAGTCTAATAGCAAGTCCTATGATATTACTTCCAAAATACATCTCAAACCAACCCACTCTCCATTCTCATTTTCCTCGTTTAGTTCCAGGCTGCATTTATCTCTCTCCAGAGGGGGGTTCCCTGCTTCTATTCTTGCTCCTTATGAGCTCTTGACCCTAGGATTCCCTGTCCATCTCCCATATCATATTTCGGGTCCTCATCACTTTTCCTTTGGACCACTGCCATAGCCTCTTGTCTTCTTTCATTCTAATCCCTTTGCTATATTGCTGCCAGTTGGGTCTTTTTAACATGTGAGATCTAGAATCTTTAGCACTGTATTGAAGTCCTTTCATGATCTGGTGTGTCTCTTTGATCCCAAATGTATTTCCCTGCCTTGTTCCTATCAAAGCCACACAACACTATACACCTCCCCTACTTCTAGACGTTTGCTGTGCTGCTCTCATGATGTCAAGCCATTATGCATCTGCCTTTGTCCTGTTTGCTCTTTGAGAGAGTCAGTTAAGGTTCTATTCTTTCTGGAAAGGTTCCTTTGATTTCTCACAATTCAAGAAATGTGGCCCCTGAGTTTCCTGTCTAATTTCTGTCACAACACTTATCACAGAATATGCTATCTCTCCCACGAGACTGAGCAATTTTAGGGCAGAGACTCAGATTCTGATGGCTGGCACATGAGCAATGCTCACTGAATGATTGTTGTATAAATTAATAGATGAATAATACAATTTCGAATAAAATTAGAGAGGTACAGATATTGAGCACAAAATAAAAATGCAACATAAAAACTTAACTCTGGAGAATATTGTGAGATAAAGGGTTGAGTGAGGGAAGAATTTTCATTTTTCTCTTTCTGTGTTTAATTTAAAAAAAAGAAAAACAACAGAGGCCAGGCTCAGTGGCTCATGCCTGTAATGCCAGCACTTTGGGAAGCTGGGGCAAGAGGATCGCTGAAGGCCAGGAGTTCAAAACCAGCCTGGGCAACATAACATAACTCCATGTCTACAGAAAAAAGATAAAATAATAAAATGAAATTAAAAGGCCGGGCGCAGTAGCTCACGCCTGTAATCCCAGCACTTTGGGAGGCCGAGGCGGGCAGATCACAAGGTCAGGAGTTCGAGACCAGCATGGCCAACGTGGTAAAACCCTGTCTCTACTAAAAATACAAAAAAAAAAAAATAGCTCGGCGAGGTGGTGCATGCCTGTAATCCCAGCTACTCAGGAGGCTGAGGCAGGAGAATTGCTTGAACCTGGGAGGCGGAGGATGCAGTGAGCCGAAATTGTACCACTGCGCTCCAGCCTGGGTGACAGAGCGAGACTCTGGCTCAAAAAAAAGGAAAAACAACTGGCCTGTTATATGGGAATTATGAGAGTATGCCATGAGCATGATCAGAACTGGGCTCATTAGGCTCCTAACTAATTGAATAACCTTGCACAAACCACTTAAGTGATTTGGGCCTTAATTTCCCCATCTATAAAGTTAGAGAATTGATGAAATGAGAAGTTCTATTAAGATCTTTCCAAGGTTTAAAATTTTACTATTTTTTAAATTGTATTAGTCCATTCTCACACTGTTATAAAGAACAACCTGCGACTGGGTAATTTATAAAGAAAAGAGGTTTAATTGACTTAGTTCCACAGGCTGTACAGGAAGCATGGTTGAGAAGCCTCAGGAAACTACAATCATGGCAGAAGGTGAAGGGGAAGGAGGCACATCTTACCATGGCAGAGCAGGGGAGAGGGAGAGAGAGAGAGAGACAGAGAGAGAGAGAAACAGAGAGACAGAGAGAGACAGAGAGAGAAGGGGGAGCTGCTACACACTTTCAAACAACCAGATTTTGTGAAAACATATTCACTGTCATGAGAATAGCAAGGGGGAAGTCTGCACCCATGATCCAATCACCGCCCACCAGGCCCCTCCTCCATCACTGAGGATCACAGCTGGAGATGAGATTTGAGTGGGGACACAGAACCAAACCATATCATAAATGGAACAAATTAACAGCTTTATAATAGAACTCTGAATTCTCTTGTTCTGTTCTAATACTTAATTTTTATATACTCTAGATGTTAAGAAGCTATGCCATAGTTTTCTAGAACCAGTTTAATGCCTCAGGGTGGTACCACAGCAGAGCTCCCAAACTTCCTGCACACAGGATATCAGAGAACATTCATTTGCTCTGTTGGCACACCTGACTTTTTAACAACAAACGTCTAAATAACTACATGTTTATTTTGAGCTGTGTTCTCTAAATCAGTGTTTCAGGAACTAGAAATAGGTGGCCACATTAGAGGTCAAGTAAGTTTGGAAGATTGCCTTTCTTGGAGGTCCACAATCTATTTTGGCCCACAGAAGCCTCAGAGAAGTCCTGCAGTATAGAAATGTGCTTAATCCAGCAACTCCCTAACCAGTGTGAACACGGAACACTTTTCTCTTGGCACACATGTTTGCATCCTGGGGCAATTTCTTCTTTTGGTACCAGTTTGAGAAATGCTGATTTAGAGCAGCCAGTTGATTTAGACAACAGTTGGTTTAGAGCAACTGTTCCTTTTAGTTTTTTGTTTCATTAAAGTTCCTTGTACTGGCCAGGAGCGGTGGCTCATGCTTGTAATCCTAGCACTTTTGGAGGCCAAGGCAGGTGGATCACGAGGTCAAGAGATTGAGACCATTCTGGACAAAATGGTGAAACCCTGTCTCTACTAAAAATACCAAAATTAGCTGGGTATGGTGGCAGACACCTGTAGTCCCAGCTACTTGGGAGGCTGATGCAGGAGAATCGCTTGAACCTGGGAGGCAGAGGTTGCACTGAGCCGAGATTGCAGTGAGCCGAGATTGCACCAGTGCACTCCAGCCTGGCGATAGAGCAAGACTCCGTCTAAAAAAAAAAATAAGTTCCTTGTCCTATGAGCAGGTTGACTTAAGATAGGACAGTTTCATGGCCTGGTAAGTGCCCTCGATGATTCCTTTCCAACCTGATCATGATCTCTACCTATTTCATTTTTCTGTCTTGGTCTGTCTTCATGTCAAAGTTAATTTGTATGGAATTTCTTAAATGTATCTATACACCACCTTAGAAGACGTCCGTTTCACTTTCTTGCTACTGATTAAAGTGGCTATAACTTTTTCTGTACAACATTTTTAAACATTTGTATAGATATATCGTTACAGAAAATTTCCAGCTGATCTAGTTGGGATTTAAGCTTTTCTAAAAAAAAAATACATTATCTTGGAAATTACTTGAATTTTTGTCCTATCACACTTGAACTATACTTTATTGGTAGTTAAAACACTTAAAATACAGAAGAATATATCTTTTCCATATTCCTTTGCACAAAATAGATATTATTCTATTCTGAGAAGCCAGTTGAATACCGAGAATGGTATATCATTCTGTTGTCGGCAGTACAAACTGAAAATCTGTAAAATGTCTCTCTCATGTTTTATTATTCAAGCAGCTTCTCACCTCTTTTCTAAACAGATCTGCTAATGCTTCATCATCTTAAGAACAGAGTTGATGCCTCAAGCCGAAAAATTACAAAGCTTCAATTACTTGTCCTACTTTATAGGGATTTATTTTTAAAGCAGGCAAAGAACAGTGTTTTGATGGCCTGTGCTACTGGACCTCTCATGCTCAGCATGACTGCAGACAGCTGCAACCAAAGTTAGCAAGAGGCTAACCAGCTTTGACCTGACTGCAGAACTCCATCAATAATCTGAAGGAAATGCTGGGGCTGCAGCCAAAGGAGTTGACAGCTGTCTTCTTAAGAGCATTTCACAGCAATTTCAGAGAGCCTGATTGTAACTTCTTTTTAGAATTCTCTGGTTTTGAATTTTGGAAGACTGAGTAGTTGAATGGGGCTAATCTGAAGAATGTCATAATAGCCCCATTTAGGACTCAAATAAAACAATACATTTGATGGAGCTGTGAAATAAATACTGTTTAGAGAGAAAGCAGGGTATCATTATTATTGGCATTGTTTTCAAACGACAGACCCAGCTCTAAAAACCAAACTGTGGTTCTAAGATATATGAGTAAAATAAACTGACCCATGTTAAAAACATTAAAATCATAAGTATTTTAACATATATTTGTAGTTAGGTTATTTTATAGATATGGTAATTAAAATAAACAAAATATTGGCCTAAGAATTGATAGGTTAGTGAAATATAATATGTAACCCAGAAATTAACTGTGTAAAACTTTAAAATCAGATAAAGACAGTAGCACAAATCAAAAAGGAATAAGAGTTATTGAAAAAATACTGTCATGGCAATTGAATAGACACAAAAATAATTATTTTATTGTAGTTATTCTAGTAAGGATGGGTATATTAAAACCAGGGAGCATTTAGAGCTAATTAAATAAATACAAACACTCAATAATAGGGAATTGCTTTTGTAAATTGTGGCATATTCATGAGATGAAGTTGTAAACTGCCGTTAAAACTTGTAGTTACAAAGATTATTTGGCAATTGAAAGTATGATCTAATAAGTTAAAATGATAGACTTTAGCAAAATTCATGTACCTATATTACTTAAGATTAAGTTCACTCAGATGTGGTGGCTCATGCCTGTAATCTCAACAATTAACAATTTGGGAGGCTGAGGTGGGAGGATTGTTTGAGGTCAGGAGTTCAAGAACAGCCTGGGCAACACAGCGAGACCCTTGTCTCTAAAAAAAAAAAAAAAGATTAAATTCAGGTATGTGTGAAGAAAGCCCTAAATAACAGTGGCTTAAAGTAGATAGAAGCTTATTTCCCTGTTAAATGAAAGTTCATTTGGCAATCCAGGGCCGGGATGCTGATGGCGCGTAGACATTAACCTTGTTGATCCACTATGCATAGACTGAACATTGAAGCTGAAGATGGAAGCATTTCTGTGTTCCAGGCAGCATAGGACGAAGGAATAAAGACAAAGGGTCTATGTGCTGTCTCTGAAGGATGATTCCCAGAAGTTGCCACATGACCCTTCTGCTTTGAGCCCTCTGGCCTGAATTCGGTCAAGTGGCCACTCATGGCTGCAAACTAGGAAAGGCAGTCTCTAATCTGGATGGTCATGTGTGGAGACAAAAGTCAGGAGCTCCATTACCAAAGAGGAAGGGAGAAGGGATTTGAGGGGACAGCAAAAGTCTCCATTATAACATCATTTACAACTATGTAAAAAAGGAAAGAGGGGAAAGAAAGGAAATAAATAAACCACTGAAAGAGGACATGTCATTGGAAGGAAAGACACTCAACTTGTACTTTTGTTCATGTTTGTTTCTAAAGTCCCTTCCTTGGCGGTGCCACCAAAAGGAGTTTCTTTGCCCTGGCCTCTTCTCTTCACATTGTCCTTACCGTCCATAGCTCCTGTCTTTTGGGTTACTTTCCCCAAATACCCAAACCCTCTGTGCCTCTTCCCCTCTTTTCAGTTCTGCCTGTTTTAGGGATCAGTATGTACACAGGTGCTCAACAACAAAAAGACCTACAGGGCAATCATTCTTCACATGGCAATGATATTTTGTTACCTTCACTTATGGGCATTATTTTCCCTGGAAGGAAGCTTTAGCAACTCACAGAGAAAGCATTACACTAGTTAATCATTGTGCCCAGCTTGCCCACAAACTCCATTTGAGGAAAGCTGCCTTATCCCTAACCTGGACCTGAGGGAGCAGCCTAGAGAACTTTGACCCCCATTTCCTGCAGACCACAGCTGGTTGGACCAGAGATAAGCACCTGGCCCAAGAATTGTCTGGAAAGAATAGTATAGGCCAAAGAGGTGACAATGGAGGTGAACTGGGCCAACTGGAGGACATATGCTGAAGGCAAGCAGAAACCTATGAGTGAGAAGAGTTGTAAGGCCCAATAAAGATGCATCAGTGGGGCCGGGTATGGTGGCTCACACCTATAAGACCAGCCTGGGCAACATAGTGAGACCCTGTCTCCAAGAAAAAATTAAAAAATTAGCCTGGTATGGTGGCACACACCTGTAAGACCAAGGAGGGAGGATCACTTGAGCCCAGGAGTTTGGGGCTGCAGTAAGCTATGATTGTGCCACTGCACTCCAGCCTGAGCAACAGGTTTTTTAAAAAGTGGCATTGGTAGAGAGAGGGATTAGAGGATTGGTTGGTCATGATATTTTCATATGGAAATTCCTTCCTACCATTTCTCAGGAAATTTATGTTTTCCTGAATGCTGAATCTCTAGAAAACTCAGTTGAGAAATCAGGAAAACAGGGAAAGTATTCAAATTCTCCTGTGAAAATTAAAGCATAACAATCAGCATAGAAACATTATTGATCCATGGAAATCACTAATGTCAAGTCTAAAGCAAGAACAGGAAACATTGACACGTCCAGTCAAAGGTTAAAGTCGACATTTCCGGGAATGGGACAAGAGCACATGGAAGAGAAGTGGTCACAATCCAGTCCATCAGTCTTGCTTGCAGCTGTTACAAGTGTATTTGTTAATGTTACAAGTGTATTTTCATGGCCCCATCTCTTTTTGATGGTGAGTTGTTCTTGCAAAAAAAAAAAAAAGTTTATATGCTTAGTATACTTAATACAAATCTTATGAGTGGTGTTCCAAGAAATAAGTTTTGGAAGCAAAATAAGTTCTTAAATTGCCAAACTGGTAAAATCCTATAAACCTTGCTAGGAGATCTGAATGAAATTACTTGAATATTATCCAATAATGTTTGCTGGTGTTTTCAACGTTTAAATACTCACTGCAGGCTATAGATCTCTGTAAATACTGTAATAGGAAAAAGCAGAGAGAAAAAATGTGAATGCTCCCTATATAAAATGGGAAACAGATCCAAAATCTGAATTATCAAAAGCAATATTGATTTCAGCTGCAAAACTAAAACCAGAGCAAACAGACAAAATATTTTCATCGTTAAACAATGACATAAACTTAAGGAGGAGGTTCCAAGATGGCCAAGTAGGAACAGCTCCAGTCTACAGCTCCCAGTGTAAGTGACACAGAAGATGGGTGATTTCTGCATTTCCAACTGAGGTTACAGGTTCATCTCACTGGGGCTTGTTGGACAGTAGGTGCAGGACAGTGGGTACAGCCCATGGACTGTGAGCTGAAGCAGGGTGAGGCATCACCTCACCCAGGAAGCACAAGGGGTCAGGGAATTCCCTTTTCTAGCCAAGGGAAGCCGTGACAGACGGTACCTGGAAAATCGGAACACTCCCACCCTAATACTGTGCTTTTCAAACAGTCTTAGCAAATGGCACACCAGGAGATTATATCCTGCACATGGCTCAGAGGGTCCCACACCCACGGAGCCTCGCTCACTGCTAGGACAGCAGTCTGAGATTGAACTGCAAGGTGGCAGTGAGGCTGGGGGAGGGGCGTCCGCCATTGCTGAAGCTTGAGTAGGTAAACAAAGTGGCCAGGAAGCTCGAATTGGGTGGAGCCCACCACAGCTCAAAGAGGCCTGCCTGCCTCTGTAGACTCCACCTCTGGGGGCAGGGCATAGCTGAACAAAAGGCAGCAGAAACTTCTGCAGACTTAAACGTCCCTGTCTCACAGCTTTGAAGAGAGTAGTGGTTCTCCCAGCACGGAGTTTGAGATCTGAGAATAGACAGACTGCTTCCTCAAGTGGGTCCCTGACCCCCCGAGTAGCCTAACTGGGAGACACCTCCCAGTAGGGGCCGACTGACACCTCATACAGCTGTGTGCCCCTCTGAGACAAAGCTTCCAGAGGAAGGATCAGGCAGCAACATTTGCTGTTCTGCAATATTTACTGTTCTGCAGCCTCCACTGGTGATACACAGGCAAACAGGGTCTGGAGTGGACCCCCAGCAAACTCCAACAGACCTGCAGCTGAGGGTCCTGACTGTTAGAAGGAAAACTAACAAACAGAAAGGACATCCACACCAAAACCCCATCTGTATGTCACCATCATCAAAGACCAAAGGTAGATAAAACCAAAAAGATGGGGAGAAACCAGAGCAGAAAAGCTGAAAATTCTAAAAATCAGAGTGCCTCTTCTCCTCCAAAGGGACACAGCTCCTCACCAGCAACAGAACAAAACTGGATGGAGAATGACTTTGACGACTTGAGAGAAGAAGGCTTCAGATGATCAGTAATAACAAACTTCTCCTAGCTAAAAGAGGATGTTTGAACCCATCGCAAACAAGCTAAAAACCTTGAAGAAAGATTAGATGAATGGCTAACTAGAATAAACAATGTAGAGAAGACCTTAAATGACCTGATGGAGCTGAAAATCATGGCATGAGAACTACATGACACATGCACAAGCTTCAGCAGCTGATTTGATTTAGTGAAAGAAAGGGTATCAGTGATTGAAGATCAAATGAATGAAATGAAGCAAGAAGAGAAGTTTAGAGAAAAAAGAGTAAAAAGAAATGAACAAAGCCTCCAAGAAGTATGGGACTATGTGAAAAGACCAAATCTACGTCTGATTGGTGTACTTGAAAATGACAGGGAGAATGGAACCAAGTTGGAAAACACTCTTCAGGATATTATCCAGAAGAACTTCCCCAACCTAGCAAGGCAGGCCAACATTCAAATTCAGGAAATACAGAGAACGCCACAAAGATACTCCTCGAGAAGAGCAACCCCAAGACACGTAATTGTCAGATTCACCAAAGTTGAAATGAAGGAAAAATATTAAGGGCAGCTAGAGAGAAAGGTCGGGTTATCCACAAAGAGAAGCCCATCAGACTAACAGCAGATCTCTCAGCAGAACTCTACAAGCCAGAAGAGAGTGGGGGCCAATATTCGACATTCTTGAAGAAAAGAATTTTCAACCCAGAATTTCATATCCAGCCAAACTAAGCTTCCTAAGTGAAGGAGAAATAAAATGCTTTAAAGACAAGCAAATGCTGAGAGATTTTGTCACCACCAGGCCTGCCTTACAAGAGCTCCTGAAGGAAGCACTAAACATGGAAAGGAACAACTCGTACCAGCCACTGCAAAAACATAACAAATTGTAAAGAACATTGATGCTAGGAAGAAACTGCATCAAATAACGAGCAAAATAACCAGCTCACATCATAATGACAGGATAAAATTCACACATAACAATATTAACTTTAAATGTAAATGGACTAAATGCTCCAATTAAAAGACGCAGACTGGCAAATTGGATAAAGAGTCAAGACCCATCAGTGTGCTGTATTCAGGAGACCCATCTCACATGCAGAGACACACATAGGCTCAAAATAAAGGGATGGAGGAAGATCTTCCAAGCAAATGGGAAACAAAGAAAGGCAGGGGTTGCAATCCTAGTCTCTGATAAAACAGACTTTAAACCAACAAAGATCAAAAGAGACAAAGAAGGCCATTACATAATGGTAAAGGGATCAATTCAACAAGAAGAGCTAACTACCCTAAATATATATGCACCCAATACAGGAGCACCCAGATTCATAAAGCAAGTCCTTAGAGACCTACAAAGAGACTTAGACTCCCACAAAATAATAATGGGAGACTTTAACACCCCACTGTCAACATTAGACAGATCAATGAGACAGAAAATTAACAAGGATATCCAGGAATTGAACTCAGCTCTGCACCAAGCAGACCTAATAGACGTCTACAGAAATCTCCTTCCCAAATCAACAGAATATACATTCTTCTCAGCACCACATCACACTTATTCCAAAATTGACCACATAGTTGGAAGTGAAGCACTCTGCAGCAAATGTTAAATAATAGAAAACACAACAAACTGTCTCTCAGACCACAGTGCAATCAAACTAGAACTCAGGATTAAGAAACTCACTCAAAACTGCTCAACTACATGGAAACTGAACAATCTGCTCTGGAATGACTACTGGGTACATAACAAAATGAAGGCAGAAATAAAGATGTTCTTTGAAACCAACGAGAACAAAGACACAACATACCAGAATTTCTGGGACACATTTAAAGCAGTGTGTAGAGGGAAATTTGTAGCACTGAATGCCCACAGGAAAAAGCAGGAAAGATCTAAAATTGACACCCTAACATCACAATTAAAAGAACTAGAGAAGCAAGAGCAAACACATTCAAAAGCTAGCAGAAGGCAAGAAATAACTAAGATCAGAGCAGAACTGAAGGAGATAGAGACACAAAAAACCCTTCAAAAAATTAATGAATCCAGCAGCTGGTTTTTTTAAAAGATCTACAAAATTGATAGACCACTAGCAAGACTAATAAAGAAAAAAAGAGAAGAATCAAATAGATGCAATAAAAAGTGATAAAGGGAATATCACCACTGATCCCACAGAAATACAAACTGCCATCAGAGAATACTATAAACACCTCTATGCAAATAAACTAGAAAATCTAGAAGAAAGGATAAATTCCTGGACATATACACCCTCCCAAGACTAAACCAGGAAGAAGTGGAATCCCTGAAAAGACCAATAACAGGCTCTGAAATTGAGGCAATAATTAGTACCCTACCATCCAAAGAAAGTCCAGGACCAGACGGATTCACAGCCGAATTCTACCAGAGATACAAAGAGGAGCTGGTGCCGTTCCTTCTGAAACTATTCCAATCAATAGAAAAAGAGAGAATCCTCCCTAACGCATTCTGTGAGGCCAGCATCATCCTGATACCAAAGCCTGGCAGAGGCGCAACCAAAAAAGAGAATTGTAGACCAATATCCCTGATGAACATCGATGCAAAAATCCTCAATAAAATACTGGCAAACTGAATCCAGCAGCACGTCAAAAAGCTTATCCACCATGATCAAATCAGCTTCATCCCTGGGATGCAAGGCTGGTTCAACATATGCAAATCAATAAACACAATCCATCGTATAAACAGAACCAAAGACAAAAACCACATGATTATCTCAGTAGATAAGGAAAAGACCTTCGACAAAATTCAACAGCCCTTCATGCTAAAAACTCTCAATAAACTAGGTACTGATGGGATGTATCTCAAAACAATAAGAGCCATTTATGACAAACCCACAACCAATGTCATACTGAATGGGCAAAAACTGGAAGCATTCCCTTTGAAAACTGGCACAAGACAGGGATGCCCTCTCTCACGACTGCTATTCAACATAGTGTTGGAAGTTCTGGCCAGGGCAATCAGGCAGGAGAAAGAAATAAAGGGTATTCAATTAGGAAAAGAGGAAGTCAAATTGTCCCTGTTTGCATCCATGACATGATTGTATCTTTAGAAAACCCCATCGTCTCAGCCCAAAATCTCCTTAAGCTGATAAGCAATTTCAGCAAAGTCTCAGGATACAAAATCAATGTGCAAAAATCATAAGCATTCCTATACGTTAGTAACAGACAAACAGAGAGCCAAATCATGAGTGAACTCCCATTCACAACTGCTTCAAAGAGAATAAAATACCTAGGAATTCAACTTACAAGGGATGTGAAGGACCTCTTCATTTTTTTATTTTTTATTTTTTTTTTATTGATCATTCTTGGGTGTTTCTCACAGAGGGGGATTTGGCAGGGTCATAGGACAATAGTGGAGGGAAGGTCAGCAGATAAACAAGTGAACAAAGGTCTCTGGTTTTCCTAGGCAGAGGACCCTGCGGCCTTCCGCAGTGTTTGTGTCCCTGGGTACTTAAGATTAGGGAGTGGTGATGACTCTTAACGAGCATGCTGCCTTCAAGCATCTGTTTAACAAAGCACATCTTGCACCGCCCTTAATCCATTTAACCCTGAGTGGACACAGCACATGTTTCAGAGAGCACAGGGTTGGGGATAAGGTCACAGATCAACAGGATCCCAAGGCAGAAGAATTTTTCTTAGTACAGAACAAAATGAAAAGTCTCCCATGTCTACTTCTATCCACACAGACCCCGCAACCATCCGATTTCTCAATTTTTTCCCCACCCTTCCCGCCTTGCTATTCCACAAAACCACCATTGTCATCATGGCCCATCCCCAATGAGCCGCTGGGCACACCTCCCAGACGGGGTCATGGCCGGGCAGAGGGGCTCCTCACTTCCCAGTAGGGGCGGCCGGGCAGAAGCGCCCCTCACCTCCCGGACGGGGTGGCTGGCCGGGCGGGGGGCTGACCCCCCCACCTCCCTCCCGGATGGGGCGGCTGGCCAGGCGGGGGGCTGACCCCCCCACCTCCCTCCCGGACGGGGCGGCTGGCCGGGCAGAGGGGCTCCTCACTTCCCAGTAGGGGCGGCCGGGCAGAGGCGCCCCTCACCTCCCGGACGGGGCGGCTGGCCAGGCGGGGGGCTGATCCCCCCACCTCCCTCCCCGACGGGGCGGCTGGCCGGGCGGGGGGCTGACCCCCCACCTCCGTGAAGGACCTCTTCAAGGAGAACTACAAACCACTGCTCAACGAAATAAAAGAGGACACAAACAAATGGAAGAACATTCCATGCTCATGGATAGGAAGAATCAATATCATGAAAATGGCCATACTGCCCAAGGTAATTTATAGATTCAATGCCATCCCCATCAAGCTACCAATGACTTTCTTCACAGAATTGGAAAAAACTACTTTCAAGTTCATATGGAACCAAAAAAGAGTCCACATTGCCAAGACAATCCTAAGCCAAAAGAACAAAGCTGGAGGCATCATGCTACCTGACTTCAAACTATACTACAAGTCTACAGTAACCAAAACACCATGGTACTGGTAGCTAAACAGAGATATAGACCAATGGAACAGAACAGATGCCTCAGAAATAACACCACACATCTACAACCATCTGATCTTTGACAAACCTGACAAAAACAAGCAATGGGGAAAGGATTCCCTATTTAATAAATGGTGCTGGGAAAACTGGCTGGCCATATGTAGAAAGCTGAAACTGGATCCCTTCCTTACACCTTATACAAAAATTAATTCAAGATGGATTAAAGACTTAAATGTTAGATCTAAAACCATAAAAACCCCAGAAGAAAACCTAGGCAATACCATTCAGGACATAGGCATGGGCAAGGACTTTATGACTAATGCACCAAAAGCAATGGCAACAAAAGCCAAAATTGACAAATGGGAACTGATTAAACTAAAGAGCTTCTGCACAGCAAAAGAAACTACCATCAGAGTGAACAGGCAACCTACAGAATAGGAGAAAATTTTTACAATCTACCCATCTGACAAAGGGCTAATATCCAGAATCTACAAAGAACTTAAACAAATTTACAAGAAAAAATCAACCCCATCAAAAAGTGGGTGAAGGATATGAACAGACACTTCTCAAAAGAAGACATTTATGCAGCCAAGAATCACATGAAAAAATTCTCATCATCACTGGCCATCAGAGAAATGCAAATCAAAACCACGAGATACCATCTGACACCAATTATAATGGCGATCATTAAAAAGTCAGGAAACAACAGGTGCTGAAAAGGATGTGGAGAAATAGGAACACTTTTACACTCTTGGTGGGACTGTAAACTAGTCCAACCATTGTGGAAGTCAGTGTGGCAATTCCTCAAGGATCTAGAACTAGAAATACCATTTGACCCAGCCATCCCATTACTAGGTATATACCAAAAGGATTATTAATCATGCTGCTATAAAGACACATGCACACGTATGTTTATTGCAGCACTATTCACAATAGCAAAGACTTGGAACCAACCCAAATGTCCATCAATGATAGACTGGATTAAGAAAATGTGGCACATACACACCATGGAATACTATGCAGCCATAAAAAAGGATGAGTTAGTGTCCTTTGTAGGGACATGGATGAAACTGGAAAACATCATTCTGAGCAAACAATCACAAGGACAGAAAACTAAACACTGCATGTTCTCACTCATAGGCAGGAATCGAACAATGAAAACACTTGGAGACAGGGTGGGAAACATCACACACCAAGGCCTGCCGTGGGGTGAGGGGACAGAGGAGGTATAGCATTAGGAGATATACCTAATGTAAATAATGAGTTAACAGGTGCAGCACACCAACATGGCACATGTATACATATGCAACAAACCTGCACGTTGTGCACATGTACCCCAGAACTTAAAGTATTAAAAAAAAATGAGATAAACTTTTAAGAAGCTACGTGTACTCAATGCCCAACTTGAGGATGCTTTTTTGGACCTACTTAAAAATCTGACTGTCAATGCAAAAGGAAAAAATATTTTCTGTTGAACAAGACAGTTAATTCTAGATGTGTTTTAAAGTTTTACTTTAAGAATGATAATTTAAAATATTAAATAGTTATGGTATTATTTTTTAATTTTAAAATTATTTTATTGCATGTTATTTTTGTGTTATTCTTGCCTTCTTTTAGTGTTTTAAAAAATTATCAGGTAGAGTTTTTTTTACGTATTATTAAAATAACATGCTAATATATTAGGGTCATAATAATAACAAACCATAATTTATTATTATAACATTTTTATAGAAAAACTCTGAGAGGTTTAGTATAAGCCTATCACAGAAAAATGACTTACTGCTTATTACTATGATAATATATTCTTAACAATACAGAAAGTGTTATGAAAAATATCGATTACTTATAATTTGGGGAATTGCTGAGAATTTTCAGAAATTCTTATTTTTTGTGTTTCTGAATCCTGAAGAGTAATATCTGTTGGGAATTTAGTAGGTCATGGTAAGAACCACAGAAGCAATGACGGGGAGAAATAAGCCACTACCAAGGTGGGAGGTGGAGCGACTCTTGCTAATTGGTCTTGCTAATGAATCTTGCCTTATGCTGAGAGTTGTCCAGTGATCTAGTCCCAAGCCGCTTTCTTCCGTTCTTGAGGCTCATCTGCAATGGAATTCTTATTCCTTCCAAGAGAATTCTGCTTTCTTTATCGCCACATTTTACCATACTGTGAATTACTGGAGGTAACCTGAGTATGGCAAAAAGCCCTAACATGTAGCCTGGGAAGCACGGTGAGATCCCATCTCTGGAAAAATAACAAATTAGCCAGACATGGTGGCGTGTGCCTGTGGTCTCAGCTACTCAAGAGGCAAAGGTGGGAGGAGTGCTTGAGCCCCAGAGGTCAAGGCTGCAGTGAGCTGTGATTACGCCACTGCACTCCAGGCCAGGCAAGAGAGTGAGACCCTGTATAAAAAAAGAAAAAAAAAGAAAGAAAGAAAGAAAGAAAAGAAGACGCTAATATGTACAGAAATTTAAAATGGAAGGATCAATCAGGCTGTGACTGAAAAGCATTAGGATTTGTTTTCAAGTAGATAATTAATGAACAAGAAGTGATTTTATTTCGCCTCCTAATTAAATAGCTTTATTTACATTAAAATATGATTTAATCCTAGGTTCTACTATTTCAGAAGCCTGAACTACCTCAGAAGCCTGTGTCTGTCTGGCTTCAGTCTGATGTCAGAATTATTAAACAGGCTAATGAATCATGCTGATTATACAGGTAGCACTGTGAACTGTAAAATACCTACTACATTGTTTACTACTATAATACAAAATTATTTCTTCAGTCTGAAGTTGTGATCAGAAGGAACGCCAACATTTCCAAATTAGAACTAACCATTGGAAATGGTGCAGGTGTGTGGAATTCAGGAAGTGTTTCACAACTTCACCAAGCATGTTTCTTCAATTATAACTCAATTGTGCTACTAATTATGCTATTTATCTCTCTATAATCGGAATTTAGTTATTTCTTTACTCTTTTTTTTTTTTTTTTTTTTGAGTTGAAGTCTCTCCTGTTGCCCAGGCAGGTCTTGAAATCCTAGACTGAAGCAATCCTCTACTTCAGACCCTCAAAGTGCTGGGATTACAGGCTTGAGCCACCGTGCCCAGCCGCTTTACTCAATTATTTTCTGTTCCTTGGTTTTTTGAGTTACAGCCAAAAGAACTTTTGTATCACACACAACAGTGCTCCAAAATGAAAATGATATATAGATTTGTTTCCACATCTATTTATAATTTTTTTCTCTTTTATTGAAAGAATAATGTCACTTTATTTAAAAATCACCGATGTATTCACCATGTCAACAGGACTAGTTTCCATTTCAAATATTAGACCTTATGTGTCCACATAATTTATACATTATTTCAACCTCAGACAACTTTATAATATTTTGGTATTTCATTTTAATAAAATATGAATACTATTCTTTATTGCTAGGCTATTTCTTATGAAGATATAAACTCTCTTATACCTTATATACCAAATATCAGTAAACATTTTCTGTAAAGGGCCAGATAGTAAATATTTTAGGTTTTTCAGGTGATACAGTTTCTGTCAAAAGTATTCAACTCTGCCTTTAAAGCATGAAAACAGTGGTGGATAATATATAAACGAATGTGTGGCTATGTTCCAATATACCTTTATTTATGTTCACTGAATTTAAATTTCACATTTTTTTGCTTCACAAAATATTGTTCCTCTGTTGAATGTTTTCAACCATTTAAAAATTTAAAAGCTACATTTGTGGGTCATACAAAAACAGATGGTGGGCTGGATCTGATCACTGGGCCAGTTTGCCAACCCATCTACTATGCTAGATTCATATATACATAAATATTTTCAACATGATGCTTCTACCTACTTTTGGTGGTAAGAAATAAACATTACAGTGTTAGTGGGAGCCAGAAATTCATTTTCATAGGTAATAAGTGAATTCACTTATTTATATGTTCCAATACTGTATATCAGAATGATAGATAATAACTAGGTTTCATTTGAGTCAAAGTGGTTTAGTTAATAGTATATAGAAATAAAATTGGATTAATAATTCTTCCCTTTCGTCCTCAAAGGGGAATTGGAAGAAGTGATTAGTGATTTTTACATCATATAAGAAGTAAAATTGCTATATAAGTATGGAATTTAACAAGGCATGTGAACTTGGCTTTCATCAAACCCAATTATAAATGTCTAGATTTACACACAAAGGAGACTGCAGGGTGATTGCTGACTTTACCAGACAATACACAATTGCATCTCTCTATTCAGCAAGCTCAATGAATGCATTTAAAATATAATTTGGCTTGCACACAGCTTTCCCACAATTTGTCTATTAAATATAGTGAAGAACTGCAAAATGATACAAAAATATCTATGAAAGTTTCCCTCAATGAATGTATCATCTCATTCTCACTTCAGAATGATCAATGGAGCCCTGGAAGTCCTCTAGCTGTCACTGTACAAAGATTTTTCGACATGCATCAAAGAAGCCATTGGTATACATGAAGCATAGTTTATTTGTATATTGCATTTTTGCATTTAGAAAATTCCAAAATGCTAAAAAATCCTTTTACTCTCATCACTTGCTAAGTCTGCTTTCTTGACCAGCCTTTCCTATCCTTTCTACTCTGCCGCGGCCACTTTTTAACTTAAAGCCTTTAGAGCATGGCTCGAACTACAACCAGGGACTGAACTTCTAGCTATGGATCTGCTCCCTTTGCCTTTGGGAACAGAAGGGTTGCAGCAGTTGCTTGATGCCATATGTTGGTGCTTGCTAGGAACTAGATGCTTTCTCAGTGGTGGTAAAATCTTTGCTCTTGCTTTCTGTTTTTAATGCGAATTGTAAAGTGGAAATTCCTACACATTTTGAGCGTGAGTATGAAGTGACTAGTCTGAATTTGGGCCAGCTTCCACTTGTTCCTATGTGGTAGAGGAGCCAGTAGGTATGACTTGGTGGTTCTGGAGTGAAAGCCTGCCACATATCTCAAGGGTTTTATTCTGGTGGAAAAATCTCAAGCTTCTTAAATCTCAATATTCAAATTAGAAGCATTTTTAATGAGATATTTTGTGTTTGCTGAGTCTGACCCTTTTATTCTTCTTTTTCATGTTGATTATATCAACATGATACTCACATAGTCTCAAGTGGGATATTAATTTACTTTCTAAAGGAACATTAGATTTTCAAATTCCAGATTTCTATAGTTTTCCATCAAGCACTTTATCTGATAGTAAGGCTTGCTGTTATTAAAATCCTTACTGGCAAGTAACTTCACAGACTTGGAAAGTGCCACAGGCAAATGAAGTCACTTGTCTAAAAATTGTCAGGAAATTCTGGGTTCCTTGAATTATAATATTTTTCTTATCCTTTTGAGCTGCTTCCCAGCTTAGATTTTACAAAACACCTTAAACTACTTTTGGGTTAAATAGAATTTTCTTATGGTTGAGTCAAATCTCTTTGGACATTATAAAGTGTTCAAAGAAACATTATTAGAAATAACACAATTTTTTTCCTGTTATAGTTTTTATACTCAATTTCACTTTTAACCTTAAAACATAAAATAGCCCTTTAACGTAGTGGCGGGCGCCTGTAGTCCCAGCTACTTGGGAGGCTGAGGCAGGAGAATGGCGTGAACCCGGGAGGCGGAGCTTGCAGTGAGCCGAGATCCCGCCACTGCACTCCAGCCTGGGCGACAGAGCGAGACTCCGTCTCAAAAAAAAAAAAAAAAAAAAAAAAAAAAAAAAAAAAATAGCCCTTTAAGTATACTCCCTAATTGGAATTTAACTTTTTTTCCCCTTTATCATCTATTTAAAATGACATTTCTGATGGATGTTGGAAAGGTTCACTATTCCATTGACTATTCAAAAGGACTCACTTTTCATTTTCCAGATGAAGTCACTTTTTCAGAGTGAGCTTTGGAAATCAATGTAAAAGTCTGTTCTCCTTATATTCAGGGCTTAGACCATTGAATCATACAATGTCTGTAAGGCATATAGAAAATGATGTACGTAGTAACATCATTTTCTTTATGTGAATACTTTTCTATGTTTCTATAATGCTCATAAGAAAGACTAGGTTTTCAATTTTTAATTCAGAAGTTATCACTAGTATTAACATCCTACATATGTCTCCAGGTTCATCTAATGATTAGATATTGAGACTCTTACTAGGTCAAGGAACAGAGAAGATAATACAGTAGACACCTAGTTTTACAAATTCTTAGGGAAGAAAGAAAACTATTGTTACATAGAAACCGATGATGAACAACATAACCTAGAAACTGGAGATGAGCAAAATAACCTAGAATATGATGATAATTGTTAATCAGAAGACTAAACCAAATAAAGGCGGGTTATGACCTGTTCAAGAACCAAAATTATGAATGCTACTTACAATGTAGTTTTCTAAGAAGTAGACCAAGCAGCTACTATTCTGTTCATTCTTTCCATCAATAGGTAAGGATTTTTTTTGACATCTACTATAAGCAAGGTGTTGTTTTATGTTCTGAAAATTCAAAAACTCTTGCCCTCTATGATCTCATGATCTAATGGGCAAAGTACCTAGTCCATAAGAACAAAGCATTTTCTACCATTTGTAATGAAAGACCTCTCACTGCCCAATTCAAAATTTCAAAGGATTTCTTAAATGTATTAGTAAAAGTGTATTGAATGTTCACAGAAATTGCTTTGGGTGTGGTATGAAATGGCCTAACTTTTGGTTCTCAATGGTTAAGGGTAAGATGCTTTATTGGATTCAGATGTGCAGAGAGCTATCTCTGGGATGAGGAAAGTGCTCAGACATATTGAGGTAAATCTGAGGGAGAGAAACGTGTTTTGTCAGATAGCAAATATATCGATTCCTAGATTATATTTCTGGATCCATCACTGAAGCATTTTCTTATCCTTTCGATTCATTGGTTTTCTCACCTATAAAATAAGATGATTTTAATCTCTGTAAAGTAAGGATTTTAATCTCTAAAATCCTTTCTAGAATATAATACAATATACTTCAAGAGTTAAAAAATGGGAAGAAGTTGGTTTATTCATCATGTACCAGAACTGATATGAACTAAACAACTACAGGCTCTATGGCTGAAATGACCAAGAAACCATGATAAGCAAAAAGAAAGGAAATAACATAGAAAATAAGAACATTTTTTCCTGAGGACTGGGAGCTGGACAGAAACATTAATAACAATTCATAACAACTTGGCTGGAGCATGCTTGAGTTGAGTTTGTAGAGCATGCACCTTAACAAAATAAAACTCTTTTGACTACATATTCCCTTCCTGCCTCAACCTCACTTCTTTGCTTCAGATTCACAGCACATACATTGAAAAGACATGCCTCACTTTGTAGCTCCATAATCTCATTGCCATTGGGTTTTTGACTTTTTCTCCACTAAAATGGCTTTTTAAGTTACCGGTGCTCCCCATGTCGCCAAATTCAGTGATTACTTCTTTGTCCTCCTCTTCTCTCAACAGGACTGACACACTCAATAACCTTCTCTTTTCTCTTTTTGTCCTCTTTAGCCCAACTTTCCTGATTTATGCCTACCTCACTGATAACTCTACAGTTCCTGCCTCTGGTTCCTCCTCCTATGCCTCTTCTCTAAATATTGAGTGTGATAGAATTCAGTCTTCTCTTCCCTAGCTACACTACTCTCTGTCTCTTGATCTCATTTGCTCCATGGCTTTAAAATGTATTTATGTGAAGATGACTTCCAAATATGTATCTCTATGCCTCAAGTTTCAGATTTGTAGTGTTCACTCAATACCTGCTATCTTCCCTTGGATGTCCATAAGCATATTGAACTCAACATATCTAAAGAGAATACTGGAAACGATCCTCCACCACCATCACTAGGAAAGCTGTTTCTCACTCGGGCTTTCCTACCTTAGAAATAAATGAGCTGAGTGTCAGAAAAGTGAAAACAGGTAAACTGGTCACTTAATCTAGTTACATAGCTAGTTAGGGGCAGAGCCAGAGATGTAACTCAGATCACCAGAATCTCAGTTCAAGTTTTAAAATATATTCCACACTACTTTGATATTTTTGAATCAGATATCAGGTATGATTTTTGCTGTCATTGGTTTCCGATGCATCTTTTGTAGTCATTGTGTGACGGATAAGAACGAATTCATTCTAATCTTCCCCTGCCTCCAGTTGCTCACGGGCTGCTGGAGGAACTTGTGTAGTGATATAAACTATATCATTACAATGTGTATCTTCCAGCCTCACCTGGGTTTTCAAGCCCTCCTAAATATTTTTGCTTTTTCTTAGTTGCCTCTGTTTTCCATTTTTGCTCAGCAGATGCCCAAACTTTTATAACCACCCCATTTATATTTATTGAATAAATTTACCTTCAACTTGCCATGGAAACAAAAGTTATCTGGTAAATAGTTCCTCAACTTCCCACCATCCTATCTCTAAACTTTCCTTTACCTGCCTTACACTTCCCTCTTCTGTCATCTCAATTGGAATCTACTATAACGTAAAACTTTTTAAAATTTTATATTGTTTTAGAGACAAAGTCTCACTCAGTTGCCCACACTGGAGGGCAATGGCATGATTATGGCTGACTGCAGCTTCAAACTTCTGGGCTGAAGTGATTCTCCCACCTCAGCCCAGCTGGAACTACGGTGTGTGCCACCATTCCTGGCCAATTTTTAATTTTTTGTAGAGACAGGGTCTTGCTTTGTTGCCCAGGCTGGTCTAGAACTCCTAGCTTCAAGCGATCCACCCAGCTTGACTTCTCAAAGTGTTGGGATTACAGGCTTGAGCCACCATGCCCAGCTAAATTAAATTTTATTAAAAAAAAAAAAAAAGAAAAGTTGAATGAGCAGAGCTGTTCCTCCTTCTTGGAACTATGTTTTCTCTTGAGTTCTCTATCACCATTACCTCCTGGTTTTCTTTGTACCTCTCTCACACTCCTTCACTGAGCTTATCTACTACTTAAACTGTGTTTCACTCTGGAGTTTCATCCTAGGCCTTTTCTAATGTTTAACCCTTTCTCTTTGGGGAAACCCCATTTATTCCATATCTTTGCATAATACCTATAGGTGTGATCCATATATCCAGTGGGGATGTGAAACTACTATATCTTCAGCTTGCATATTTTATCTGACCTTCTTTTTTTTTTTTTCTCTCTGTTTTTTGAGACGGAGTCTCACACTGTCGCCCAGACTGGAGTGCAGTGGCGCGATCTCGGCTCACTGCAACCTCCGCCTCCCGAGTTCATGCCATTCTCCTGCCTCAGCCTCCCAAGTAGCTGGGACTACAGGCACCTGCCACCATGCCTAGCTAATTTTTATTGTATTTTTAGCAGAGACTGGGTTTCACCATGTCAGCCAGGATGGTCTCGATCTCCTGACCTCATGATCTGCCCGCCTCGGCCTCCCAAAGTGCTGGGATTACAGGCGTGAGCCATCGCGTCCAGCCCTGACCTTCATATTTATGTTTCTAACTAGACCTGGTTATTAGAGCGATCTGCTTACCACATGGCGATGGGGTGGCCAAACCAACATTTTCATACCACACTTCACCAAGGTTTGCCTGCAGACATCAGTTTTCATTCACTGCCATCAAACGCATTAGCAGATACGTATGAAGAAGCTACCTCTGTTGGAGAAGTATGTGTGTCAAAAATTATACTTACCACACTTTGTCTTAAGGAGAGTAGAATATAAGATGGTAATGTTTGTGGTGTGATGGGTAACAGCTGGCAGGATAAGCTATATTCTAGGAGGATGGATTATTTAATTCTAGGCTTTTGTTTTGCTGATTGGGGAGTGCAATTTTGGGCCAAAAGCCAGACTCTTAAGAATAATACATGAAGGCTGAGAACCTGCCTTGGTTTCTCTAGCTTTCCCCACACTGTACTTGCTGCCTCCTCTAAAGAAAAAACAAAAACAAACAACAGCAACAACAGAAAACTTCAGTAAAGTTTCAGGATACAAAGTCAATGTGCAAAAATTAGTAGCATCTCTATACACCAATAACATTCAAGCTGAGAGCCAAATCAAGAATGCAATTCCCATTTAAAATAGCCACAAGAAAAATAAAATACTAGGAATACACATAACCAGAAAGTGAATGATCTCTACAAGGAGAACTATAAAACACTGCTAAAAGAAGTTGCAGATGACAAAAACAAGTGGAAACACATTCCAAGTTCATAAACTGGAAGACTCAACCTTGTTAAAATGGCCATACTGCCTGAAGCAATCTACAGATTCAATGCTTTTCCTATCAAACTATCAATGCCATTTTTCACAGAACTAGAATAAATGATTCTAAAATCCACATGGAACCAAAAAAGAACTCAAATAGCCAAAGCAATCCCAACCAAAAGAACAAAACCAGAGACATCACATTACCTGACTTCAAACTATACTATAAGGCTACAGTAACCAAAACAGCATGGTACTGTTACAAAACCTGGTACAAAAACAGACACACAGACTAATGGAAC
This sequence comes from Homo sapiens, assembly GCF_000001405.40. NCBI lineage: Eukaryota > Metazoa > Chordata > Mammalia > Primates > Hominidae > Homo > Homo sapiens. Next base: position 179,330,630 of record NC_000002.12, read on the forward strand.
AGAATAGAGGCCTCTAAAATGAAGCTGCACACCTACAACCACCTGATCTTTGACAAAACAAGCAATGAGGAAAGGACTTCCTATTCAATAAATGGTGCTGGGATAACTGTCTAGCCATGCACAGAAGAATGAAACTGGACTCCTACATTTCACCATGACCATAAAAAAAAAAAAAAAACTCAACATGGATTAAAGATTTAAATGTAAGACCTACAACTATAAAACTCCTAGAAGAAAACCTAGTAAATACCATTTCGGACATCAGCCTTGGCAAGTAATTCTTGACTTAATTCTCAACTGCAACAAAAACAAAAATTGACAAATGGGACCTAATTAAACTAGAGAACTTCTGCACAGCAAAAGAAACTACCAACAGACTAAACAGACAACCTACAGAATGGGAGAAAATATTCAGAAACTGTGCATCCAACAAAGGTCTACTATCCAGAATCTATAAACAATTTAAGCAATTTAACAAGCAAAAAACAAACAACCAAATTTTAAAAAATGGGCAAAGGACATGAACAGACATTTCTCAAAAGGAGACATACAATTGGCCAAAAAAAACACATGAAAAAAATGCTCCACATCACTAATCATCAGAAAAATGCAAATCAAAACCACAATGAGATACCATTTCACGCCAGTCAGAATGTCTATTATTAAAAAACAAAAAAAACAGATACTGATGAGGCTGTGGAGAAAAAGGAATGCTTACACACTGTTGTTAGAAAGTAAATTCATTCAACCACTGTGGAAAGCAGTTAGGAGATTTCTGAAAGAACTTAAAACCGAACTACCTTTTGACGCAACAATCCCATTACTGGGTATATATCCAAAAGAAAACAAATCGTTCTGCTAAAAAGACACATGTGCTTGCATGTGCATCACAGCACTATCACAATAGCAAAGACATAGACTTAACCTAGGTACCCATCAACTGTGGACTGGATTAAAAAATATGGTACATATGCACCATGGAGTACTACACAGCCCTAAAAAGAAGGAAATCATGTCCTTTGCAGCAACATGGATGCAGTTGAAGGCCATTATCCCAAGTGAATTAACACAGAAACAGAAAACCAAATACCTCATCTTCTCACTTATAAGTGGGAACATTGGGTACTCATAGACATAAAGATGGCAACAGTAGACAATGGGGACTACTAGAGAGGGGAGAGAGGGGAGGGTCAAGGGTTGAAAATCTTTTGGGAACTATGCTCGGTACCTGGGTGATAGGATTATTTATACCCCAAACTTCAGCATCAAGCCACATGCCCAGATAACAAACCTGCACATGTACCTCCAAAATCTAAAACAAAAGTTGAAAAATAAAATAAAATGGAAAAGAAACAAAATAAAGCAACAAAGAATCTACAACTGTCAAGACATTGTGCTAAATCCTTTATCTGCTGCTTCCAATAATCGTAGCAAGGTCTGCTTGACTTCGATGAAACTAATACAATTAGAACTTTGGTGAAATGAATCTAAAGAAAAATAGCATATAGGCATATGACTTCTAATTAAATGTTAGAGATGTATGTTCTAAACCAGGTGTGGTGGTGTGTGCCTGTAATCTTAGCTACTTGGGAGGCTGAGATGGGAGGTTTGCTTGAGTTGCTCAAGAGATTGAAACCAGCCTGGGCAACATAATGAGACCTTGTCAAAACAAACAAAAACACACACACACCCCACAAAAAAAAAAGGAAGAAAGAAAGAAAGAAAGAAGAAAGAAAGAAAGAAAAAAGAAAGAAAAATATTTGTCTTTTTATCACTGTAATTTATTATGCATGAATTGATGTAGTCTACGTTGTTGCTGAACAAATGCTGAAGAAGTTTCCACATTTCAACCTGAAGCAAATAAACCCATTAGAAAAATATATCAGAGGGATAATGCCATTCTGTTGTAAATAGAATCCAAAATTCATATTTGTGTCTGGAGGCTGATCACTTCTGACCAGCTGAATCTATTTTAAGCAACATGGGAGAGAAAGCATATATTCTGGACATGAAAGATAACAAATACTGTACTTCGGATTTGATTGGTTTAAAAATATTCTAAGAATGCATGAGGCAGGTGCATATAAAGATATAAAAATGTAAGACTGCATGTTTATCTTGTGATTTTGATTCCATGTCTTCACTCAGAAAATGCCTAGATTAAATTTTTGTCCATTTTTGTCAGACAATGTGTAAACTAAACCTCAGGACTAGAATTCCTATTGGGAGAGCTTTTTCCTCTATAAAGGAACCCTTGTCACAGTGAATGAATATCACTTTCTGATTCACAAGAAAAATCTGTTAAGGTAGGAGAACATCCAATCAGGTAGAAAAGCATCCTGAAACAATTTGGTTATAATAATTAAAGAAAATGAAGGGGATGAATTAATCTCTGGCATAGTTTGGCAAAAAGCTTTTATGCTGAGTTTGCATTAGCAGTGGATGTCTGGTGTGTGGCATTGAGAAGGATTCCAAGTACAACCGCAGGCTAAACAGGAAAGATCAATGAGTAATATTTGCCTTGGGTGTAGAATGGGGGAATGATAGTCCTCACACAGTGTATTTGCTGACCCGAGTGTAACAGTGTGACTGTAATGCTGAAAAAGCATCTGGAGAGAAGACATAAATAAGAATTCTGAACATGAAAGGAAATATCAATTTCATGGCCTCCACAAAATATGTAAAGCATTGGTTAGATAAAAGATAAAATCTGGTCTCGAAAGAGACAATTAATAGCACTTGAAACAAATTCCATACTCTAGTATTATTTGGAATTTGTGTACTTTGATATAGTTGAAATAGGATGATACAAGAGGCTTATCAAATAAGTAATGAAAAACCTGTAAATCAAAACAGGGAACGTTGCCAGGCATGGTGGTGCATGCCTGTAATTCCAGCTACGTGGGAGGCTGAGGCAGGAGAATCCCTTGAGTCTAGGAGTTCAAGATCAGCCTGGAGAACATTAGTGAGACCCCATCTCAAAAAATAAATAACTAAAACAAAATAACATTTAAAAAAACAGCAAAAGTTCACATTGTTATTATCCAGACATATGCAACCCAAACGACATGGATTACTTTCATTAAATCCAAGATTCAGAATCTTGAATGAGAAAAACAGTATAAGCTCAATGTTTAAACAGGTATCTAACGTTCAGACTTCTTTTCTGTTTTCTCTTTTGTTTTTATGCTGATTCCAAGTAGAGCTTTTTACCCACAACTCACCAATCAGGATCTTTTTTCTCCCTCTCTCTTTCTAATTTAGTTTCTTTTATAAAACACTTCTGAGATCTTTCTAATTTAGTTTCTTTTATAAAACACTTCTGAGATGAAGTGTAACAGGAAAGAAAGAAAAGACAAAGGAAATTAAATGACTAATCACCCAATTAAATTAGAGGCTTATCTTCTGTCTCTACTCGTCTTCCAGTTGGTTATCTATGCATTTATGAAGAGTTCAGTGTGCCTTATGAAGAGTTCAGTGTGGTGCAACACAATAGCACCACAATTAAGCTTAATCTATTTATTTCACAACTAGCCAAGTGAAAGTGTTCAGAAAATAGATGTTCTTACAGTGTTTTCTGGCTTAATTTCTGCACCTAATTTCTGGCTATTTTCTCAAGAGGGAGAGATGATAAAAGTACATGCACATTATACCATACATGTTGAAATAAAAGTTTAAAATCATCTCTAGGGCAAAAATTTTTCTATTCATTCTGTATTAAAGCCTAGTAAAATTAACTCTGTGCTCACCCTTCTCCCTGCCATTCATTTGTGCCTTCTTCTTTGAAGAAACCTATACATCAGAACAGGAAGTTCTTTCTTCCTCAAAGAAGAAGGCACATATTAAGTATTTGAGAAGTTACATTCTTGTGGAAAGAGTAGAATCTTAGCCTCTTTAAGCAAAGCACCAGAGAGTAGGTAAAAGCACAACTCTGAGATGATATTTCTTAGGGAACAGATGTAAATGAGGTCTCCCCACATTACTTTATTGGTTCTCATAATACCAGCACACTGTAGCTATTTGGAAAAAAACATGTATTAACAAATTTGATTAAAGAGATATTCACTGAACACGTACCTCAGTATGTCAAGGTATTATAAGTACCATAGAGAAATATCAGGATAAACAAAAGACTAACTTTACTATCAAAGAAGTCACAGGCTAGTGGAGAACTTAGGTATTTTTAGAAATCTGTCTCTCCATCAAAAAATGTAATAAAAATAAACAAAATATGACCAGAGAAGTAAAGTCAGTGAATTATCTGGCTCAAGATGATTTATCTGGTAAGTGGTGGAGGTAAGCTTTGACTCCAGGCTTTCTGATTTCAAAGGCACCTCTTCATAACTTACAAAATAGCCATTTATGCATTAGAAAGAATCCCATTAAATGGTAGTGATAAGATAGGAGTTGGGGTGTGGGGGAGGGAAACAATGGAATTAGAAGGCATTTATCCAATGACATTATTTACCAGAAATAATGTTAGAGAACAATTCTTATTCATAAGCAAGAGAATGGTACTAGGTTATATACATAGAGTAATTTTTTTGTTTCTAAGGTACCTGTTTTTCATTGTTTTAATATTTCTGAATTCAACCTTTATCTTACAAGTTTACATTTAATGTAAAGCTGTTATTAAATTGATATTACTTTTTATAATCAGTGACATCATAAACGAAGAAATCTTGGTTCTGCTACTCACTCACCATATAATCTGGGCTCTCTGGGTCTCACCTCAGATTCCTCATTTACAAAATTGGAGTGATGATACCTCATAGAGTTTATGAAGATCAAATGAGATAAAGTGTGCAAATCACTTAGCAGTGCCTGGCATATGAAAGGTCCACAGCTAAACGCAGTTATTGTCATTTTTACGGCTGTTGGTGTTTACCAGTTCATAGGCTGAGCATTGTTTATCATTTACTTTCTGTAAGAATTTTATCATTGCACAAAAAACATGACTACCATCAAGATACAAGCCTGGTTTTTGAAGAAAAGGAATTACTGTAGGGGTTGGAAAGGTGAGGCAAATGAGATGGGGAGGGTTGCCACATACTGAAAATCTTCTTTGGGAATGTAACCTCTAAGAGAGGAACTATTTCTCTGAAAGCATGCAGATGCATCATAAGAACATGTCAATTTTCTATTCTGTGTAGGGTGAGCAAATTGTGGCTTATCATCAGTGAATTCAAGAGTGACAACAATGCACTGACAGCTATCCAATGACAATGGCAACCACGAATGGGGAGAGAGACTTCAGAAGAAAAACAATTATAATTAGACCACAAGAAGGAATCCAGAAGAATGTAGAAAGTAGAGGGCTATGTGCAATATTGCTGAGGTTACCTAGCAACAGGGTAGCTTTTACCGTTGTTAGAAAATGGCAAATGGAATAGTAAGAATACAATACAACATTGAGCTCAGGAGGGCTGAAATACATGACTTATCAATGAGGTTAGAATTACATTCATAGAAACATCAGTGTATGATGCTGTTTTGTGGCACATGCTTCAGGGAATTGGTTACATAAACAGGTGGGGTGTGTGTGTGTGTGTGTATGTATATAATAATTTCATAGTCAAGCCTATAGGAATAAAGAATAATTCAAATATAAAGAATTCAGATAGTATGGAAGAAAATGTTAGGTACCACCCCTAACTGGAATGTGCAAGAAAAAGAATTATAAATTCAAGGAGACATTCTATATAAACCAGATGTGAGTTGGCAAAGTATATGACTTTTCCAAGTAATATTTACATTTTAAGAGGGGGCTCCTGGAAGTGCCTTCTTCCAAGCTATAAGGTACAGGGGTAGGGATTTCAGCACCTGCAAGGCAGATATTTTTGAAGTAGAGAATCTTTGTAGCAGCTGAGAGGGGTTTACAGCACACAATCTGTTCTTCTGTTCAAGGTCAGTGTGCCCAGATGAAAAACTGTCCTCCTTTAGAAGAGGCTAACACGGTCTGAAGCAGCTACAGAACAGCGTACGTTATCTGTCAATCCAAACCAGCATGATGAAAATTATTCAAATCAATTAATTAAAAAATCTCACATAAATAATGCATTTGCCATCCAACTTTGTTCTGTTTTCCTGGCTGGGTTAATAATCAAGAGAGTTAATATTTTTAAAAATGCAAATAGTCTTGTTTTTAATCTTTAAAGATCTTGCTAAATAGACAACAGATAAAGTTCTACCTGGTGAAGTTCATGAAAGCTTTTAGAAGGAAAGCATTTGCCAGATCAATTTAGTGTGAGTCAAAAAGAGATAAAAAAGGAAATGACTCCCACCTCTTCAGAGTACTCCAGGATCTTTGAAAGTGCCATACAAATATTCAACGGTTGCATACTGGCAAAGTAGAAATAAGCAATGGACAAATCCTTCAGGAAGTGAGGGAGGTACTCTAAACTTTAGCCTGCAGCTGAGCCCCAGGGTCTCCTGATTCCTAGAACCATCACCTTCATTATTCTTTAGTTCTTTCTTCACTGTGGTAAAACAGATACAACTGAATTTTTTAATTCATGTCTAGAAGGGCACCAGCCACACACCCTCTTCAGTCAGCAGGCATAAACATCTAGCCTGTTTACCCCAAGCCGATCTCCCAGCACACTGAGTCTGTACATCTGGAAAATATTGTTTGCTGCTTAAAGGATCACTCCAACTGTGTGGCTGCTGGCAGGAATTCCTGCTACTCAGACTTTTGGTATTTATTGGGAGAGCCCCCGTATGCTGGTGCAAGGATGCCCAGAGGGAGTCCTAAAAATCCTTTTGAGTCTCACAGCTGGGCTCCTTTTTCAGGCTGCACAGCTGGCATTATATTTGGGCAGCATGCCTTGGCTTCTGACTGTGGGGTTGCAGAGGCCAATCCCCCTCTGCGGTCTCAAGAACTGCAAGTTCCTCCAGTATCCAGCTTCTGCCTTCATGAGAAGTCTTGAGTTGCTTGAGTCTTAAAAGTTTTCAAATTGCTATCAGTTTATTAAAATATTCAGTTCTCAGTACGGTAAGTTTCACTAAAAATACTATAGATTAAATGGGTTTTGGCTAACTCTGAAAAAATAGCATTGCTAAATTTAAGATAATTTTATTATGTAGCAGCTATGGAAAGAAAACTAAATTTGGAGTTTCTTGAGCAGTTAACTGAAATTTTAGTGGACCGTAAACTTCTTCCTAAGACTCTTCCCAATGTAAAAGTTCAGCAAGAGTCTCACTCTGTCGCCCAGGCTGGAGTGCAGTAGCACGATCTCGGCTCACTGCAACCTACGCCTCCCGGGTTCAGTTGATTCTCCTGCCTCACCCTCCTGAGTAGCTGGGATTACAGGCGCCCACCACTGCACCTGGCTAATTTTTTGTATGTTTAGTAAAGAGGGGGTTTCGCCATGTTGCCCAGGCTGGTCTCGAACTCCTGAGCTCAGGCAATCTGCCCGCCTCAGGCTCCCAAAGTGCTGGAATTACAGGCCTGAGCCACCGTGCCCAGACGATAGTAAGATTTTCATAAAGGACATCAAAGTTATCTTCCAAGCATTCTCCCTTCTTCCCTCATAATGCTTGACTCCATTTCCATGGCAGTCCTTAGCCCTGACATATCAAAACCAACCCGGGTAGCCCAGTCCCCTCGACATCTTTATTAGCTCAGGTAATGTAGGCCTAGTAATCGACACATGACATTTCCCTTGTTCATTGGTTGGAGGAATCCAGCCTCTTCTTTTGGATGTGACTGAGGTGCAGGTGGTCTCAGTTGATGCTGCAGTCACCTTACGAAGACAGCCTGAGGGCAAAGCTGATGTACGCCAGGAAGAAGATTCAAAGACCCATGTCTCAAAGAAGCTGTACCTGACCAAATCTCACCTTAACTCCCATAAAATGTTTGGACTTTTTAATCTATTGAACTAAAAATTCCCATTTATTGTTTAATCTAATCAGGATACTTTTTTGCTACTTGCATCCAAAAGAATTTCAACAGAATAAATTAAGGTGCAAACTGAATATCCATAAATTTCCCCAGCCTCCTGGGATGACTCTTTCTTTTAGTACTGTAATTCAAGGCCCTTATCCCAGGAGACTGCTGGAAGTACTGTGGTGCTTGTTCCAAGTCCTCCGAGGATCGCTAAGGAGGGATTTTTTATTTTCTCTTTTCACCTTTTCTCTTGTGGCTAGGGTCACTCTTGTACAGATCTAAGTCCTCATTCTCTTTTCCTCTTTAATTCCTGTATGACAACTCAGCTGTTTCTGGGGCAACTACAACCCCAACCAGAAAGTTCTAAACAAGTTATTGCAACATTCTCTACACTGAGGAAGACAGCCTTTTATGGAGAGTCGCTTAACTTTGGAGAGTTAAACCACTCTCCAAAAATCCATGATTTTTTGGCTGGACTTTGAGAACCTCTTTTTCCTCCATTGCCACCTTTTTGACTCAGTATTCACTGCCCACCACTCCACCATCCCCAAACACTGTTCCAGTGCCAAGTTTTGGGCCTTATCTTGCCTAACCAAAAATTTATTAGAATATTTTCCCAAAATAATGAGCAACTTTCCCCAAATAAATTACAGTCATCCTCAATAACGAAGAGGACACTTTGGTTTTCAATGTTATTATATATGTAGATACTAAACAAGAAAACTGTGATTGTGGCTAAACTTTTTCTAAGGCCTAAGATTTTATTGTGCATTTTAAATAGTAATAAATAAAATTTGGGAAAACTAGTAGAGGTTATGCGCTTGATTTTTTGGCTAATATTTATAACACACAGTGCACGAAACACTCAGAAGTTTAAAAAAATATTACTTAATGTTTAGATATAAAGTTGGTAAAATACATTTCTTATTTTATTGGGATCCTCTTTTGAATATGACTTAGCAGATACAATTCTTTCTATACTTTCTAGTACATTATTTTTTCATTAAGAAAGGCTTTGGTTAAATCTCTCTATTCATCAAAAATGCTTTCATCTGATTTATTTTTGTATTTCCTCAGCAAAGGTCTACATAAGTAAACATCATTGGGGAAGTATTTGAGTCGGAAGATAGTATTATGATTAATATTATGCTTTAATTAAGTTACATTGACATTCATAATAGATCTCTATCTGGCTAATAAGAACTAATATTTTCCTGGATAAAGAACAATGCAAATTATAGACAGACAGTGATCAACTACTAGTGCTTGGTTTTAGCACTTCAAATGAAATGGATCATATTCTATGGGAAATTATAGAACTAATTATGAAGAGTGATGATGCTTTGGAAAAAATAGATTCTCAACAGAAGGTTCTTATAAAAGTTACTGATAGGTCTAAATTTTTTAATATCCAGGACTTTTTCATGAGTGGGTTCGATTTCTGCCTCTCTTCCAGAGCCACCGTGATAAAGCACTCCAAAATAACTCAATGTGCAATATACAACATAAAGTGATGGGATCAGATACATTTCTGTCCATGACAAAAATCATTCAAATAGGTCCATTTCTGAGCATCAGCAGGAATCTCAAGTCAACCCAGCCCCAATATGCAAAGCATTTCTCTTCCCCTACAACCATTAATTAACTCCAGGCAGTACAAATATGTACAAATATCACAGCAGAGCTTGGAGCCTCTGGGCTCATCACATTGTGCTCTCACATCACCTTGACCTGCACCACACAGAAACACATTCATTCACCGAATCTTTGCCAACATAGTTTTATACATAGTAATCACTACCTTGATTAGTCTGATATAGGTGCACTGATTCTTTTTGTTCCTCAAGCATGCCAAACTTGATCTTGTTTTGGGGTCTTTTTGCTAGCTGTCCTCTAATTGGAAGTTTCTTCCTGCAAGGCCCTGAGCAAATGTCACATTCTCAGGTCTTGGAGCAAATGTCTCATTCTCAGAGAGCCTTTGCCTGATGACTTGCTCTAAGGTTGTTCACTTTCCACACTCACAATCATATTATTCTGTTTTGTCTTTTTGTTGTTGTTGTTTGTTTGTATATGTCTTCTCTCACATTCTAGAAGTCACTTCCCCCAGAGCAGAGACCTTGTTTGTCTTGTTCCTTCTATATCCCTAGCATTTAGACGGTGCTCAAAAATATTTGTTGAATGAAGCCAGGTGTGGTGGTGCATGCCCTTTAGTCCCAGCTACTCAGCAGGCTGAGGCACTAACTTTAGCTTTTCAAACTTTAATGTGCATGAGAATTGCTTAGGAAATCTTGCTGGAATGATACTTATGCTGCTGGTCTGTGGAACACATTTTGAGCAACAATGGTATTAAGTAAGAAGACCTGGTGCTGCCCAAATTGTCTTTACAGTTACTGATTCGCTGCCCTCATGTGGTTCCTGAAATAATTGCCCTATGCGTTAGCATTTCTTTATCCTTAAATATCAGAAAGCATTCTCTAATTATCCGAGTTAAATGCCTTTCAGACTGTAGTCTTCTCATAATACATTCTTTCATATTTTTGCCATATTCACGTATCAGTACATATTACCATCATAATTTTTAACATATCTCTGTACAATCTCTTCTCTAAATTAATTATTTTAATTGGCTTTCTTTTTCTTAAATCGATATATTTTCAAATGAAACTTCATATTAATATTTCAAATGGAAAGACCAATACTGCTTATCACAAATACAAGATAAGTGTAAAAATAATTGAAGGCAAGCAAAACAATGTTTGAAAGTCCAGATATATGCTCTTCAAAGCTCCAAAGGGAGATTAACAAGTGTGAGAGGGTAGTAAACACTCAGCAGTGAACTGGCTTTCATTTTCATAGTATCGTGAGGACTGAAAAGGGGCTGAATAGAGATTAACTCTTACATAATTTAATGTCATTTAAGGCAGTGAATATGCACCCTCTAAATTATCTCTTGAGGAACCTGCTGTAGATAATGTGTTAAGAGTCTTGTTTTCCTTCTGCACATTCATGTCATCTGTACTTGAGAATTGTATTTATAGATGTAAGTTAATTAGTGTCACAACAGGATTGGTCTAAGGTGAAAGTGTGTGTAAGCATGGGTTCCCTTACCACCCCTTTCTGCATAAACACTGGACATGAGGCATTGCGCACTTGGAAACTGGACAAACTGGGTTTATTTCTATGCCAATTTACTGTCAACTTTCTGGGTGTTGCAAGAGTTTCCATTTGTATTCTTAAATAAGCTTGTTCTAATCCATTCAGCCATTCATGGAGTAGGAATTGGACCCTAATATATAAAGCTTTGAGCAGGGTAGTGGACAAATTCTGCTTCTCTTCAGATGATTAATCAAATTAATCCTGAAAATCCATCTCCCTTTACCAGTGAGTGGTTCAGGATGCCCAAGCTAAAGTTAGTGCAGGCCAATGAGATGCAAGGGGAGACTGAATAGCTGTGTGGGAAATAAGCTTTCTTATCCTTAGAACCAGAGGGAGGTAGCCTTCCTCTCCTCTCAGACATGAAGGAAGTGTGATGGCTAATAGTTACTGTAGGCCACCATAGCCCTCCTTTACCTTGGAGGGTAACAAGCCTTAGGGTGAAGCAGAGCCTGTAGTTGGTGGATCAGACAGAAAGAATCTAGGTCCTTAATGGCATTGCTGATTGCTGAATCGACCACTTCTCAAGCCTGCTCTAGTCATCCTCCTATGTGAGGTGATTGATTTAATTCTGTTTAATCCAGCATAAGTCTGGTTTCCAGAACTTGTAATCAATAGCATTCTAACAGATACAAGGAGGATATAAAAGATTTTTAATCTAGTTGGGGGAACCATAACACACTTTAAAAAAGTGAAATATCAGTGCATTTCAGTGTAAGTTAAGAATGGTATGGTTTTGTTCTGATACTTATTAAGCACCTAATGTGAGCCAGGCACTGTACCCCATGTTTTACCTGCATTATCTCATGTATGTTCCAACACAGTTGGTGGACATTGTTATCCCAATTTTAGAGCTGAGGAAATTAAGGTTCAGACAGCTGTGTACCTGTCTAGTTTCATGGTGAGTGAGCAGAAGTGTGATTCTAAATTTTATGCTTTTTCCATAGAGTTGCTGGGAGCATGAAGCTCAATAGAAGTCAGTGTAGCAGAGTGATCAGCTGAAAAGTATGAGTAGAGTGGCTTTGTGTTCAGATAGACCAAGTATTTGCTTCTTACTATAATATAAGACAAATTACCTAATTTCTCTGAACCTCAGTTTTCTTATTTAAAATATGAGATAATTTTAAATAATTTCTTATTTAAAATATGAGGCCAGGTGTGGTGGCTCATGCCTGTAATTCCAACACTTTGGGAGGCCGAGGTGGGCAGATCACTTGAGGTTAGGAGTTTGAGACCAGGCTGGCCAACATGGTGAAACCCCGTCTCTACTAAAAATACAAAAATTAGCTGGGTGTGGTGGTGGGTGCCTATAATCTTAGCTACTTGAGAGGCTGAGGCAGGACAATCCTTTGAACCTGGGAGGTGGAATTTGCAGTGAGCCGAGATTGTGCCACTGCACTTCAGCCTGGGCGACAGAGCGAGACTCCGTCTCAAAAAAAAAAAAAAAAAAAAAAGAGAGAGACAATTATACTTACTTCACATGGTTCTTGCCAGGATGGGTAAGATTATATATTTATAATGAGACCATATTATTGGAATGATAGATGGTGTGATTATTGCAATACAAGGATTTGAGGAGGGTCTTGTCATGTATCACAGTCACACATTATTTTATGGGAAGGCTCCCTGTGTTTTAGTAGGACGAATACTCATTTTTAAACCTTTTTTATTTTGAAATATTGTTTATTCACAAGAAGTTTTCACCAATACCCGTTTTTAAAGGCTTATAGTATCAAACTTTTACTGTATATCCTGCCATACTTCTTCTTTTTTTTTTTCAAGAGACAGAGTCTTGCTCTGTTGCCCAGGCTGGAGTGCAGTGGTGTGATCATAGCTCAATACCTTGACCTCACATAGCCTCTACCGCCTGGGCTCAAGTGATCCTCCCACCTTATCCTCCCAAATAGCTAGGACTATAGATAGGCATGTGCTACCATGCCTGGCTAATTTTAAACTTTTTTTGTAGAGATAAAGTCTCACTGTTAACAGTGGAGGGTGTCCAGGTTCTTGGCGTCTTGAGCAAAGAATTGGACAAAACGCACAAAGCAAGGAAGGAATGAAGGGATTTATCGAAAATGAAAGTACACTCCATAGTGTGGGAGTAGGCCTGAGAATAGGGGCTCAAAGGCCCTGTTACAGAGTTTTTGTGAGTTTAAATACCCTCTACTTGGGGTACGCCCTATGTAAATGAAAAGGATGAAGTAAAGTTACAAAGTCATTTATGGCGTATGCCCTGTGGAGAGGATATTTCCTGTTATAGCTCAAGTGTGAATTGGCCTTCTGTTCCCTGCCTCCAGACCCCATTTTCTTGCCTCATCACTATGTTGCCCAGGCTGGTCTTGAACTCCTGGCAGGTGATTCTCCTGCCTTGGCCTCCCAAAGTTCTGGGATTACAGGCATGAACACCTGTGTCCAGCCTGCTTCATTCTTTTACTTAAAAAGTTTACTTTTAATTCATTGACCTTTGGGAAATTTAAAATGGAAAGTTTGAATCCCAGACTTTGGTTTTGAAGCAATAGCTGTTTGAAGATCAAGAGCTAAATCAAGGCATTCAGAGGCTCAGAACTTCACACATTCATCCTTTCAGTACCCTTCTATTACAGGAGGAGCAAAGGTCATCTTCCCATTTAACTGGTGAAAAACTCAAAGGTGGAGACCAGTAGGAAAGGATGAGAACAAACAGAACTCTCTGCAGTCCCAGCCCAAGGCTGATGAGCTACCTCCTTGCTGCTAAATAGGGAATTTTCCATTCATGCCATTTTAATTTATGAAATATGATCTTCCTCAAACTCTGAAATAGACTTTGTGCTTTTTACCCTGCATGAACTTCTCACCCTCTTTCCTGATCCTCCGGAGTTTGCTCTCTTAAAAGTAACCTTTTAAATCCTGGAAAATGATTCTGTTTTCTCAATTGACTATGGCTGCTCACAGAGTGTCTGTAGCTCTCTTCAGTGACTCAGCACTTTACAGAGAAAAATTGTTCTGGAGGGAATGTTAGGGCAGTCCACATAGCCGCTTACAGGAAAGAAAGAGATCAAATCCTGCCTACAGGGAAAGCTGAAACACCAAACTTAAATGCTAAATGGAAACAATAACAACAATAACAACAACAACAACAACAACAAACGACCAACAGATGATGAAAACCCCGTGAAGCAAGGTAAAGAAGGGAAGAGCAGAAGTTCTCCTAGGTATGAACAGGGCAGGTTCTGAAAAGCTGTGTGTAAATCTCTCAGTATCCATGAGCAAAGAGGCCCTAATCAGGTGATCACACTGCTGTGGCTGGTAGGTAGAGCCTACTCTCCCTTGTTCTGATGCCTGCTTTATCCTCACTTTTCTGAAGTTGGAAGTTTGTGTGTAAAGATGCAGTATAGAATTTGAACTTAGAAAATTGCAAAGGAACCAAGGAAAAATCACTCTTCACTGCCTCTCTCACTTGTTCATTTGGATCCAATGCACCTGGCCTATTTCCTAAGAAAATAGTCTGTTTTAGGTTGTTTCTATGGTCACAGTGGGTCTTGTCAGAGCTGTATGTGTACTTGGGACTTGGACACTGTCATTCTTCTTGAAGCCAAGTAGTAGAGAAAAATCTTCCATTTGTCATGTTTGCCTCAGGGCAGCTCCTCCTGAATCACTGTAGATTGTTCTAGAAACACAGACAAAGCAATAAAACCCTCTTTCATATTGCGTTGACTTGAAATCATAACCATAAGTTCCCACCACAAATTTCTTTCTTCATTAATTCATTTATTTCCTCCCTTCCTCCTTCTTCTTGTACAAAGGCTTTGAAGGAGCATAGTAAAATCTTAAAGAGGAGAAAATGAGTGCTAGGGGGAAATCTGGGCCTAGCACACCATGCATACACCTGGACATTTGCTAGAGGAGCACCTCACATTTGGTCCAGAGCTTTGCAGCAGCTAATACAGATTTGTGTGCGAGATCTCTAATTTGTAAATGGATAATACAATTGAAGTGTCCATAAGAAGAAAACAAATCTATTTTTTAGAAGAATCATAACAGTTTTTGACCTGAGAGGAATTCCCTCCTAAAGTGTAATGATGTGGTGGACAACTGTTCAGTAGCACTGCACATATAATGCAATAATGGGTTTCATAGGGTTGTTACTTATAAGGTCCAGCAATGCAAGCTGATGGTTTCATGGCCAAATTTAGCTCAGAAAAGGTAATCCTGCAAGGAGCTCGACAGTGTGGTTGTAGGATACTAGCTGTAAGATTTGATGGTTAAAAAAATGTTAAGTCCCATAGAAACAGATTTACTGTATGGGTATCTGGGAATTTTACCTGATTTTTTTTCTTTCTTTTCTTTTTCTTTTTCTTTTTTTTTTTTTTACAAGAAGCTTTTTAACTCCTTTGAGCATCTGAGTTCAAGGTTATCCTCTCTGGAGAGCTGCTCAAGTATAGATAATCTGTGATGTTAATGAAGGACACATCCATTTGAGCTGGTGGTAGAACTGACATTTTCTTATGAAAACTAAGGAATCGAATCCAGACAAGGCCAGGATGGGAGGCTACCTTACCTTTAGATAGAGGGGGCTGTGATTATTACAGAAGAAAATAAAAACAAAACAGACTACTTTTTCTTCAATGCTAGAAATTAGAGAGCATTCACTTTAGGAATTTTTATGCATTACTGTGTCTTAACTTTTGGATTTTAAAGGTGGAATATAGTCATACAAATTGAAAATAGAAACATAAAGAAAAAAATTAAAATCACCTTTTTATCCAATCACTGGAGACAATCAGTATTGGCATTTTCTAATTTTTAACTACAGAATTGGGGTTTTACTATGCAGACAGCTTTTATATACTTTGTTTCATTTAATATTATATTATAAACATTTTTCCATATCATTAAATATATGAAAAATAATTTATAGTCATGATTTTGTTATATTTGTTATATGTTGATTTGTTTATACTGTTTATATACTATATTTTATATTTCATTGCATGTGTAAGTCATAACTTATTTAGTCACTCCACTATTTTGGGCATTTCATTTTTTTTTTTTTTGTAGACATTCTGGTTAGGGGACTACCTCATTTGGTTTCTGCAAAGATATTCTCTGCAGTTGGACTGCTTGGGTCCAAATCTCAGTTAAACTATTGTGTGACATTGGTAAAGTTATTTAACCTTGCTGATTATCAGTTTCTTCTGTCAAGTGGGTATAATATTGGTGCATCTCTCCTAGAGTTTTTGTGACAAGTGATGTTTGTTAAAGAGCTACCACATAAAAAAGGCATACCACGTGATAGCTGTTGTCATAATTATATTCCAGGGGTGTAAATTCAAAGTTTGTGCAGTCAACAATCCAAATTTAGATCTTGAGTGCCAAACCCCAAGCGTTGCAGCCTGCTTCTAAGACAGTTATCATCTCACAACTCAAGCTTCACGGAAGAAGGGAAGGAGGGGGCTATCACAATGAACACTTCACTATAGAAAACAAAGATATTGGGTGAAAGGTAAAGAGGAAAGCAATTAAATATAACTGGGGCTGGTTGCTCACTGGTTGTGAAGTGGTGGCTCACACCTGTAATCCCAGTGTTTTGGGAGGCTGAAGCAGAAGGATTGCTCAAGGCTGGGAGTATGAGACCAACCTGGTTAGCATAAGGAATCCCCATTTCTATTTAAACAATAACAACAACGACTGGGCTCTGTACTAGTTTGCTAGAGTTGTTGCAACAAAGGACCACAAAATGCATGGCTTTCACAACAGAAATTGATGGTCTCGTAGTTCTGGAGGATGAGAAGTCCAAAATGCAAAATGTGTCTGCAGGGTTGGTTCCTTCTGGGGGTCCTAAGGGAAGGATCTGTGCCAGGCCTCTCTCTTTGGTTGTAGATGGCTACCTTCTCCCTTTGTCTCTTTACATCATCATCCTGCTATGTGTGTCTGTGTCCAAATTTCCCTTTTTATAAGGACACCATTTGTGGTAGATGAAGGTCTTCCCCTAATGACTTCATTTTAACTTGATTATCTCTGTAAAGACTCTATCTCCTACTGAGGTCACACTCATAGGACTTTGATATATTAATGAATTTGGGGGCAGTGGGGACGATACACTTCAACTCATAATGTAATCCAAAGTGAGTTTTAGTTTATTTTATGCTTTGGAGAAAAATCACTTTACCAAGAAAGACAAGATTCATACTAGTTCTAACTTTTTTATAGCCCACGATAGCATCAAAACGATGTGTGCCCAATATAAGCTCTCTATGACAGCCATAGTAGCTGGTGAAGGAGGTAGATGTGGGGAAAAAATCTTAAATTAGATAATAAAGAAGACTTCAGGGCCTCTCTCTCAAATTCTCCCATTCAAATGGTCTGTCTCTTTATCAAGCAGTTCTTTTTTTGAGACAGAGTCTTAATCTGTCGCCCAGGCTGGAGTGCAGTGGTGCGATCTCGGCTCACTGCAACCTCTGCCTCCTGGGTTCAAGTGATTCTCCTGCCTCAGCCCCCTGAATAGCTGGGATTACAAGTGCCCGCCACTGCGCCTGGCTAATTTTTGTATTTTTGGTAGAGATGGGGTTCCATCATGTTGGCCAGGCTAGCCTCGAACTCCTGACCTCAAGTGATCTGGCCTCCTCGGCCTCCCAAATTGCCCGGATTATAGGCATGAGCCACCATGCCCAGCCTCAAGCAATTCTTTCATGAGTGAGGTGTTCATTATATTCTTGAGCACTACATGAACATTTTAAAAGACATGCATGGTAGCATCTCAGAGGGTAAATCTGAAGGGACCTCACTGCCTTGATAAAAATCAGAGAACAAAATTGAACTTCTAATGTGACCGCAAAATGGCTTCATCAGATAGGAGAAGGGGAAATCATGAAGAAAATGCTTTCTTTTCTACTCTTCAAAACTAAAATAATAAACCAATGTGTACCTGTAGACTTAATTGGCTGAAGAAAATAAGTGTTCTAGAAATAGATCATACAAATAACTCAAATACCTCAGGAATATATAAGACTGGGGTTTCAAGGCAATGGAAACCCAACTGATCAGCAATAACTAAGAGCAAAAACCCTTGGGAGGTGGATGGGTCATTCTTCCCAAATACCAAGTAGAGAATCATGATTCATGTCACCAAAATGATCCAGGGTTTTGCAGAATTTGAAGAGGCACTAAATGCGAAAGCGGCAAGCAAAGAACAATTGACAGAATTATAATTCAGATCTCAGTTCTTGGCATCTTTGAAGAGTGTTCTAAATTTTGCAAGTGATACCAGGCAGGGACACAAGCTATAGTCTTCCTGCTTTAATCCGCAGTCTACAGGCTCAAAACTAATCCTGTGAAGTCAATGAGTATGAAAGATCCAAAGGCTCCTCCTGTGATTAGATTTCCGACTTCCCTTGGAGCTGCCATTCATCACAGCTCCCTGGCCTTGTGCATGACTTCAACATGAAACATTTCTCAGGGAATCGTTTATGCTGGAACTCTGGCCAGCATCCCTCCAGAAGCAGAGCTGAGAACTGAAGAATCTTTAGAAAGGAGAGGAAACTGAAAGTAGGACAGCCCTTGAGAGCACATTTATCCCAATGGCTTTTGGTGTGTTGTCAGATGCAAAAATTTCCAGTCTGAAGAGTTTTAATATTCCTATCCTTTCTAGCTGAAATATGGTTTCCTTCTTTTCTAAGCATCAAAGGATGATGTCACCATCCTTCCAAGTCATTTAGGAACAAGGCAATAAAGTAGATATTTGGTAATGATTTCACCCAGACTTTGATGAAAAGCAGCAAATCATGGTTCTTCCTGAGAAATATTTGCTTTTGTATTCTATGTCCAGATTGCCATTTATTCTGGTGTGTGCAAACACAGAGGCTGTTTGATAATCTTGTTGCCTCCAAGACAACCTTATTCTCAGTTTAGGAATAAGCCAAATGCATAAATATCCTTTTCTTGCCTTTGAAATGATGGTATTTATAAATACTTCATGATTTATTTCAGACGCACCCAATTTAGTGGTTGGGCAATTTAAATCTCCTCACCAGAAGATTCAAATGCAAAGATATCTACCAGAATTTTAGTTTTATAGTTGAGATATAAATACACACAGAAAAGTCTATAAATACAGGGGCATGAGTAACTCCATATCATAAATATTTTATTCTCAAGTTCATATTTTTCTTTCCATCACATAGACCTGTGATATGTGGCTGAGATGTGCATGAGTGACAAATCTTTCCAGCAGATACATGATATGAGTAGTGAAAATTGTCTTAGTGAGTTAGTTGTTGTTTGTAAGGTGGCAAGGACACACTCTCTCTTCCTGAAAAATTAGTCCACTGTATCCTTAATATGTTTAAGAATAAGAATGAGTTAACTATTGCCTTCTGCTTAAAAGTAAAAATTAGGATGTCTTTTCTCAGTAATTTATATCATGCTATAAATAGTATTTGCTAATAATATTAACAAGGAACTGACCTACTTCCTCTTTTTAACCAAGAGATAAAAGGTAACTGACTTTCCAATTACTGAGTACTGCTTTTGCTGGAAACTTGTCTCATTTCATAAATATATTGAAATAATTTAAATTCTAAGCCTAGAAAAAAAAACTGGTAGAATTAGAATTCTCTGGCTTTCTTATCAGGACGAGCAGAAAAGTATGCCTAATCTGGCTCCTTGGCATTGGAGGTCCAGAGGAATTATTTGGATGTTTTCAATTAAAACCTGACAAAAGATAAATTGCTGTGTGAATGACAGGAAAAATCAAATGCTGATTTTATTAGAAGGAACTCATTAGGGAAACACATTAAAACCAGGAACTGATGGGACCTTATGGTTCTGGGAGACAGAAAGTGGGTCTATTGCCACTTAGAAAATGTTTTAAAACAATATAAAATGAGTTCCACAAAGTACAGACAATGATAATGCAATTAGATGTTTCAGTTCTTCGGATGGCCAGGGACTAGCCATACTGACCAACCATAGCATACCAGGCATGATGCCTGGGCTGCGTGTACTGGACTAGGAGTGCTCCGAGGGCAGGGGCTTCGTCTGTCTCACCTTTGATGTTCCAGTGGAAAATGATATATGCTTATTATCAAAATTCAAAAATCATTGAAAATACTCAATAAAGAAAATGAAAAGAATTCAGTCCACTCCCTTATAGATAATTTATTGTTGGCTCTTTGGTAAATCAGCATTTGATTTACTAAACCAAATTACTTTTGGGGGTTAATCTCTTTCTATCATTTATCCATCTATATTAGATATCAAGGTGGAAATATTTTTTGTTATCTCAACCACTGGTCTGAAAATTTATTATAGATTGAGGCCAGTTTTTGTTTGGAAAGCCAATACATGATTGAGTTAAAAGAAAAACCTTAAAGATGTTGAAAAGATATTGGTTGATGCACAAACTTCAGAGAACAGGGTAGAATTGCTCTGCATGAGAAAAGGAGAGGAGTTCTTTTTTTTTTTTTTTCCTTCCAAAAAAGGGCAGAGAGAAGAGTAGAGAACAAATAATCCAGGGAGAAGTAAATGAGAGGGAGGGAAGGGGAGCCAGAGGAGGCTGTGAGACTAGGAACTGTATGGAGGAGGAGTAAAGAGAAGAATTCATGTTGCCGGGGTGCCCAGGAAACATTTGGAGACCAGCAATTTCTTATAGGGGCATCATGGCATTAGCAGTGCAGCAGGCAGTGCCATGTTTCCCCTAATGGCTTAGTAAAGACTTTTATATCTACAGAATAGTTGGTGTGAGTGAGCTTTTCCTGTGGGAACAGGGGTGAGTGTCAAGACCATATTGAAGCGGTGTGGAAAAAAAGCCCATATGTGTGGAAGCAGGCACCCATGGGCTGAGAGACAGAGGTGGCCAGGAGACACAGCCCCTTACTTCTTTGCTGCATGATTCCCCCTAAATTCACAGAACACTTGGAAACGTTTTAGACTCTACAGGACCTGGAATTGGCAGTGTTGAACCACTTCTACCTTTAAGAGTCAGAAAGACCCTAGAAGATATCTTGTTTATAATTACGCTAATCCAAACCATGATGGTGAGACTGCTCCCCCAGTCTTATTGATTAAGATGCAATCTGCTCTAAAGAATGTGTCTCAGATATCTCTAATGGATTTTGGTACCTAATGTGTGCTAGGGAACACATCCCTGGCATTCCTCTCTTCTGGTCCTGACTTCATGTTAGTATCCCTCTTGTTCCAGTGATGACTCTCACCATCTCTACTCTGGAGGACATGGCTGCTATCTGGCAGTGACCGCTGCCCACAAATATGGATGTGGGCTCTACCATAATTTCCCCTTACAGAAGAACAAAGACTAATGGAAGGAGAGTCCAACACGGAAGATACATTGCTTCTGCAGTTCAAGTCCATTTTGCTGTAGGTCACCTATGGGCCTAGCCACCTTCCTGACTTGTCATCAGCTTTTCTCTGTGTTGTCAGGCCCAGGTCAGGACACCTGGCTCCTCACAGTCACCGAGTCTCAAACCCAGAGAAAAAAGAAAAAATTTCTCCTCACCTCAGACTAATTCCTACTCACTAAGTCCTCATTTTTTGTCCCAGGATGAATATCTTCCTAGTATAATGGACAGTGGAGAACTTCTATCTGTTATAGGGAAACCCAACTACTATATAAAAGAGTGAGACTGGCTCTGTGATCCCAAGAAGAAAATAACAAAGATGATGCTTTTTCTATCATGTGGGTTAGACGGCCTTACCCTTGGGCAACTTGATGTAATATTGTTTTTACAAAAGAAATATGTAAAGTAGGTCGAATACAATTTTCCATTTCCTCTTTCACTTGACAATACATTTTGTATATCATTCCATATATGTCAACTTTATGCTTTTTAATAGCTGCATGCTGTTCCATAGTTGCATGGTTATACTATAGTTTGTTGATGAACATTTTGGTTGTTTAAACAAATACTGCCACAAGTATTTATTTCAAAATACTTTAATAGATGATGTAAATCTAGTAAGTATCCCAACATTTACCATACAACACTTTTTAAGTTGTGGTTAAATATATATATAACATAAAATTTATGATTTTAACAATTTTAAAGTATAGAGTTTTGAGGTATTACGTACATTCACATTGTGTGCAACAATCACTACCATTCATCTTCAGGACTTTTTCATCTTCCCCAGCTGAAACTTTGTACCCTTAAAGACTAACTCTGCATTCCCACTTCATTGCAGCCCCTTGCAACCACTCTTCTATTTTCTGTCTCAAAGAACTCTACTCCTCTAGGTACCTCATATAAGTGGAATAATACAGTGTTTTTCCTTTTGTGACTGCCTTATTTCACTTAGCATATGATTTCTTCAAGGTCCACTGATGTTGTAAGCATGTATCATCATTTCCTTCCTTTTTAAGGCTGATAATATTTCACTATATGTATATACCACATTTTGTTTATTTATTGGTTGATGGAACTTGGGTTGCTTTTGACTATTGTGAATGATGCTGCTATGAATGTAGGTATACAAATATCTGTTTCAATTCATGCTTTCAAGTTTTTGGGGTTTATATTCAGAAGTGAAATTATTGGATCATATGGTGATTCTGTTTAATTTTTTAAGGAACTGCTACATTGTTACCCATAGTAGCATTTGAGTCATTTTTAATAAAATAAAAGCCATATATATTTTTTTATTTATTTATATGTATCTGTATTATATATATTTATATATCTGTATTTTATATATATAAATAGCTTATATATATATAAATAGCCATATATAAATGGCCCTATCCTACAGAAATGCTTTACATAAAGGTACAGATATCTGTAGGATAGGGCTGGGAACAGTGGCTCACACTTGTAATCCCAGCACTTTGGGAAGTCGAGGGGGAAGGATAGTTTGAGGCCAGGTGTTCAAGACTAGCCTGGTCAACATAATGAGACCCGGTCTGTACAAAAAATAAAAAGTTAGCTAGGTATGATGGTGTGTGCCTATAGTTCTAGCTACTCAGGAGGCTGAAGCAGGAGGACTGCTTAAGCCCAGAAGTTCAAGGTTACAGTGAGCTATGATAGCACCACTGTACTCCAGCCTAGGCAACACAGTGAGACCCTTTCTCTAAAAATAAATAAAATGAAACAAGATACTATATATTACTGTTTGTTTTTTGCTGTTCCATTGGAATACATCTCTTTTACTGAGCTGAGAACATGCCATTTTATTTATTGTGGCTTGGTATCACCTTTAAACATATATTAAATCTAATCCTTCTCTCTATAACTCTTATTAAAATTGTTGTTGTTCTTGGCTATTCTCACTTGAATATTCTCTCAGATAAACTTCAGAAACATTTGTTCAAGTTTATTAAAATTCCATTAGGATGCCATTGAATTTACAGATTAATTTAGGAAAATTGACAACTGAAAATATGCAGTCTTCTTATTCAGGAACAAGACATTTTATGTCTTTATTAAAGTCATTTTAATTTATGGTTATCTCTTGATTATTCTCAGTAGAAGACAAATCTTAAAGTTTTTGTTGAGAACCACCTGTTCAGCTTGATTATCTCCTTTGTGTTTCTTAACTGCATTTATTCTCATCCTCTACATATGAACTATAACTCATTAGAGTTTGGAAGCAAGAACTTTAGAATAAAAATATCTAATTAAATTTCTACCTGAGAAAAAAGGACACAGAGCGATAGCTGTACTCTTGGCAGCAGCTCCTCCAAAGCACACGCTTCCTCTCATTTTAAAGACTCGCCTTGATCCACCTTGGGGTGGGGAGAAAATGGAGAGCAGGGAAGGCAGAGAAAGAGAAGAAAAAATGGCAGAATACCAGAGGAGGAATCATGTGGATAAATTCTTAGTTCTTGTAGAGTCAGAAATTCCATGTGTGGCCTCTTTGTTTTATTTCCAATGTTGTGAATTCTTAGAAAGTGAAATGTACTATGACTAAACATGAATGAAAAGGTCCTGTAAATTCAAATATAAATGATATTTTGGGAGATGCATAGTGCTATGTATACTTCCTCCAGGAGTGTGAATAACTGAGTACTGACAATACGCTAAAATGAAAGAATTTAAACACTTTGATTTTAATTGAATAAAATTTGGGTTAACAAATTTTGAGGAAAATAAGATGTTTTCCTATGAAACAATTTGTGATGCAATTGCAAACACCATCACAGTGTAATTTCATCATTTGTATCTCCTTAAAGATTGATGAAATTCTTTCATACTGTACATTAAATTTTTAGTAAAAGGCCAAAGATGGAAATAAACATATATTTCTAAGAGAATGTCACAATCACCACTAGAGGGTACAGTAAGCAACCTTTCTTCCAGATATTTGAGCAGAAGAATATTACCAAGAAATAAAAGGCAATACAGAATCACAGTACTTGAAACAACCTCAATAGGTGATCTGAAAGAGAAATGGCTTTCAGAAATGGTCAACGTATTTGACATCTATCCAAGGCAAAGGATATCAAGTGATTTTCAAGGGCAATGTGTGTCTTGGGTAAAAGTAAAGTGAATTTATCTAGGAATATAGAAATGTTTCTGAAGTAATTAAACAAAAAAATAAGCCTTTTATACATACATGGAACTCTGTAACCATCTCCCTCATTAAGCCTGTTGATTAAAGCTGCTTCTAGAGTGATTTTATTCTAAAAAGTTGAACTTAACAAGGTCTTAGAAAACAAAATGATGACATAGGATTTTAGAACCTCAGTAAGATCCAAGTTGGCAGTAAAAGAAAAAGACAACATTCTCAAACCAGCAGTGACATTGGCAGAGTCAGATGCAGAGGGCATGAATTCTTTACTTCAGATACATCTCCAGACTAGTGGATCCCATGTTGTGCAAAATAAACACATTCCTCCTTCCTTCCAATCCTAAAAAGAGCAGTTTTTTTGTGTATTTAAATTGGAGCATCTCATCCCATACGCTACTGAATCTACTGTAATGTTTCTGGATGAAAAAAATCTTTCTTTAATATAGGATTTCTCCCACATCTCACTATAAAAATGCATCCAACCTTTAACTTTCAAATACTATTATGTATTATATTACAGAAATATTACGCTTCTTAAAAGAAATACACCAAGCTTTGCACTATAGGAGAAAATAAGACAAGCAAATCTCATGATAAGGAGAAAAAATTAATCCTTTTATTAACTATTTTTCTAGGCATAATATTGCTTAACAGGTACAGAGTACTTAGCAATTTATGATATACCTTTATAATATTCTTTTAATCTAGTCAGGTAGGTATTTTTATTCATATTTTCTGAGTGAGGAAACAGAGACTTGGAGAAGTAAAAAGCCTTCCCCAAATTCTCCCAGTTAATAGAGGACAGAGCTAGGAGAATGAAGCTTTGGATTCCTTCCTAATCTAGTCTTATTGCTGCTATTCTCTGGCTCCCATGCAACAGAGATGATTCAGCGTCAGAAATCCCCTAAATATTGCACATTTACATCTCTCTGAAAGAACCTCAGAATTAATATGTGAAGGATTTTTTATTCGGCTGTGAGTGTTCTGGTACTTATGCCCAGCGTGTCCGGTCATCCCTAGTTTTGATTTCTTGGTCATTTTCCTTTCTCAGGTCCATTTCATCATATGGGTGTGAAACTCCAGGCAGTACATTACTAAAGGCTCATTATATTTCTTTGGTGGTTGAAGTTTCTTGGCCTTCATTATAACATTACCCTGTCTTATTCTGATTACCTGGAAAATTTTCTCAAGATGTACAAAGTTCCCAAGTGCATGCTTAAAACTTTTTAGCATTTGTTAAAGCATTAGAGTAGTTTACAGAGTTGGTCAAGGTGCAGTGGCTCATGCCTGTAATCCCAGAGCTTTGGGAGGCCAAGGTGGGCGGATCACTTGAGCTGAGTTCAAGACCAGCCTGGGCAACATGGTGAGACCCTGAGTGTAATAAAATAGAAAAAAAAGTAGTTGGGCATTAGTCTGTTCTCATGCTGCTAATAAAGACTGGGTAATATATAACGGAAAGAGGTTTAATTGATCACAGTTCAGCATGTCTGGGGAGGCCTCAGGAAACTTACAATCATGGTGGAAAGCACCTCTTCAACAGGGCAGCAGGAGAGAGGATGAGTGCCGAGCGAAGGCGGAAGCCTTTTATAAAACCCTCAGATCTTGTGAGAATTCACTATCATGAGAACATGATTCAATTATCTCCACCTGGTCCCCCTTGACATGTGGAATTACAATTCAAGATGAGATTTTGGGTGGGGACACAGAGCCAAACCATATCAGGCATGGTGGTGTCCACCTGTGGTCCCAGCTACTTGGGAGGCTGAGGTGGGAGAACCTCCTGAGCCTGGTGGGTGGAGGTTGCAGTGAGCAGACATCATACGACTGCACACTAGCCTGGGCAACAGAGCGAGACCCTATCTCAGAAAACAAAAACAAAAACACAAAACAAAACAAAAAAAGAGTTTACCTATATTGTTACTTAGCAATTTTAATGTACATGTATTAAATTAGAAAAATATTTATTATACTTTTATATTGAATATTGATGACAATAAGATTATTTTTATATTGAATATTGATGACAATAAGATTATTTTAAAATGTAATAATGTCTTCTGCACATGAATAATTTCAAAATCATATGGAGATCAAATACTACAGGTGTATTCTTCCCTAAAAATACCTTATCTACATCCAAATTTTAAACTTAATATGGCCATTGGATCATTTTTGAACATATTGTCAAGTTGTGAATTTGGTGTGGTGAGGGTTTTTCAAACTTTAATCATTTATCTTCAATATTTTTACCATATCTATATGCCATCTGTACTATTATTTACTATATATATTTATAAAATTGGATTTAATTGCATTTCCAGTATATTAAATAAATGTGTAACTTTAAACATTTTTTCATAATCTATTTAAAATACTCTTTGGTACCATATTTGATATGTGTACTATATTTTGAGAGATACTGGCCTAGTAGAAAGAGTTCCGAACTAGGAAGTAGAGACCAGGATTATGGTATAAACATTACTATTTTCTAGCTCTGATCATTGAGCAAGTTAATTAACCTTTCTGAGTCTGAATCTTACAAAGCTGTGAAGATTAAAGGGCTAATGTCCATAAACATCTTTGCCTGCGCAATACTTTTAATAAATGTTAGTTTTTAATCCCTAGAAGGGAGTTTAGCTGATTAAAGACTCTGTTTACCTAAGTCAAGACAGGGTGAAGTGAGTCCAAATACCTTCTTCTCTGTGTAATTCTTATCCACACAATATGACCTAAAATGCTGATAAAAGATACAGAAGCTATTTCAGAAAGGCCAGGCTATTGATGAAACCAAGCGAGAAGGCAGATCCCCATTGTAAATGCTTTGTATGGAAGTTTACATGATTATTAATCATATTATCTTAGAAACTGTATGTTTCAAGATGCAACAACAGAGTGCCACTAAAATAAGCCAAATCAAAGGAAAGGAGGGCTATTATAGGTGCTTGGAAGTCTTGTGAACTATAAGGACACCCAATGGCATTTAAGTAGGTCTTATGTCAACTAGGACCAGAAGACCAACTTCAGTCTTTCAGAGGCTTCGTGATCTCTTCTCTGTCTCTGTCCTGTTTCTACTCTCCTGTGGCTCATTCTCATCACAATTTCCTCTGCTCTGTCATCTTGCTCATGACCCCAAAATGGCAGTAAGAGGAATCTATACCAACTTATACATTTTCATGGAGTCTAAGGTCTCTGGCTAATCAACAGATAAGCTCCTCTGGGAATGCACTTCAGAAAGAATGAGCTGTTGGCACCCTAGAACATTGAGTGGAGGGAAAGTGCACTTCATTCATTCAGTCATGAGCGTGTCAACCTCTTCCACTGCCCAAACCTCCCTCCCAAAGTATTAGTAACACCTTGCTAGGGGTTGTGGGGCAGACTAAAGACCTATAAGAATATATGGTTTTAAGATTGGGGTGTTTACATGACATGTAATATAAAAGAAAAATGCCCTTTCAGTACAATACACTTTATTCTTTTGAATGCTAATTGTTACCTCAGGGTTTCTTGGCTCTCAAGTTAAATCAACTCTCCTTCCCTGGGCTAAGCCATATTCATACTTTAAAACTTATTATTATTATTTCTGCAGAGAAATTTGCTCTGTTAAGTCAGGCTCCTTTATCTGGAGAAACAACCCCATCAAATCCTTCTAAAGTGGGAACAGAGGAAACAGTTTCAACACTTACTACTTTGTGACACTGACTTTGACAAATGTTGTGATGAAATATCTTATTTCTTAAGCAAGGAATCAATAATTGATTTCCCCCACCCCCAAATGTTGATATCCTGTCATGTAGACGTAGGCCAGGAACACTCAAAACCATTAAAGAAATTAAAAGCTATATTTTCAGTATGATTTTATATACTGGAGTGAATTCCACACAAAATAAGTAATTTTCTTATGCAAAATTTTGCTGGACTTTTAACATAAAGACACAGTTCATAAATTATAGCATGCCTAAAAAAATCAAACTAAAAATTCTTTTCCAGTAGGTCTGAGGGTACACAGGAAACTGCCTCTTTAGTAAACACCCCAGATTATGTTGATGCAAGTGGTCTAAGAACTACATTTTGAGAAAAGTGCTATGTATGGATGAAAACAATCTAAATGACCTCCCTGGGGATAACCTGGTTTTTGCTTTTTGCATAGGAATCATCACATCATACACTTTATATTTGGGCATTCATTCACTAGTTATGCTAGCATAAGTCCCACTTACCTACTTGGAAATAATTACATAAGAACTGATTTTTAGAAACCAGAGTTGCCCAATGTCCAGGGAGAGAGCCTGGCCTCTACCTAGTTGAGCATAACCAGGCCGGCCTAGTGCAGTGGAATCTGGTGTTGGTCTTCTGTTAGTTGACAACATTCTGTTAACATACATTGCTTTAGTGATGTTCTGTGCTTTCGGAGTATTCTGTGAAGTAAGGAGATTTGCTCCATTTCGAAACAGCAGTTTTGCCAAGGGAAACATGTCTTTTGAAATCAGGTGTATTTTCTTGAGTGTTAGAATACACAACTGTGGCAAATGATTGTAGAAATTCTATGATAGTCTTTGGGCTATTTAAAAATGTCATACTATATGATTTTTGAATCATAAAAGCTTATAAGTGATAGCAGTTCAAATTGAACATTGTGTGACTAAGGTACTTAAGATATTCTGAAGCCCACGGGATTTTTTGTGTGTCTTTACAGGGAAAATGTAGGAAAATTGAATGCATGTGATAGCATAAGAGACTTTCAGTTGTTTATCATAAGGACCTCCTGGAATTTCAAAAAATGATTGTTTCAATCTGAAAAAGATTTTAGAAAACAACAAAGGCAAAACTTATTTTCCAAAGTTTAACTTATGTTTTCTCATCGTATGCTGGTGATAAAGCCTCTTTATTCTTTATCCGTACATTTAATGCTGGCCATGTATCCTTAAAAAGCTGTTATCGGCTTTAAATCTTTTATTCTCAGCCATGGCCAAATTTGTTGTTGTGTTTCGTGTGTTTTATATTTTTAATCTTTGGACCATGAAGAAGTTACATTCTGAAAACTTGTTTAGTTTTCCTGACATTTCCTTTGGAGATTTAAATTACCAGCCATTGTACTTTTTCCAATCAAATTTTCAGAAGCCTCCAATGATTCCACATCTGATTCAACTCCTAATTGCTTCATATACTATTAAAGGAGAGCACAATTTATTTTATAAAACTAATTGGGCTTACATACAAGTCAAGCCTATTTTTCTCCAGCTTCCAGTCTGAAACATATTCATATAGTTTCAATTCAGTGCCTCTCCCTTTTGAAGTCTTTCCTGAAAATCCCCTGCCTACTTTAGTATTCTTTGTCCTATTTTCCAGTCTCCAGTACTGCTGTTATCCCATAGTACTATAATCGTTGACATGTCAATCTCCACGTTACATAACAGCTCACAGAAGTCAGGAAACTTGTGAAATCCACAGTGCCAGTGAATTGCCTACTGCTAATAAAATAACAAATAAATACCTCAAGAAATGTTTCTTTATATTTTAGACTGAAACCCACATGTTGCGATCCACATAAAGATTTAACATTGTATTACGGAGAAGAAAGTTTGAATAACGAAAGTTCTCTCCAAATGGAAGAAGTTATGACTTTGCCAAATCCCTTTAATATAGTTGCCTCAGTTACTCTAAGATAGGGTTTCCCAACCTTGGCACTACTGACAATTTAGGCTGGATAATTCTTTGTTATGGGAGGCTGCTTTCTGCATTATAAGACATTTAGCAACTTCCAGTACATACCAGCAGCTCCCCCTGCCCCAAATGTGGTAACCAAACATGTCTCTGGTCATTGCCAAATGCACCTTGGAGGACAAAATTGCTCTTAGTTGAGATATACTACCCCAGAATGATACCTTTTCC
Source organism: Homo sapiens (assembly GCF_000001405.40). Taxonomy (NCBI): domain Eukaryota; kingdom Metazoa; phylum Chordata; class Mammalia; order Primates; family Hominidae; genus Homo; species Homo sapiens. Next base: position 179,361,060 of record NC_000002.12, read on the forward strand.
AATTTTGGGTCAATCAGTCAGTATCTGAAAGAGATTTCAAACATCATTTTAAAATCTTATCCTGTTAACTCTGTGAAACATTTATTTTTAAGTTTTAATTGCTTGTTAAACTTCTAATCAGCTTACAATGTGAATTTACAATTTCTGTTTAATATTTGTCCCAGTCTGATTTTTTAACCACTCTCTCAACATGTATTTCAATTATACCTATTTTTGCTCTTATCTATTGCTTCTTAACAAACCACCTCAAAATTTAGGGCATAGAACAACAATTTTATTATATACATGATTTTGTGAGTCAGGAATTTGGATAAGGCATAGCAGAGGTGGCTTGAGATACTTAGGACAGCTCAACACTGAGCCATATGTATGGGGCCTTTGTTCTCCCTATGGGTTGAGTTTCTTTTCTTTTCTTTTTTGTTGTTGTTTTTCATGTGGCATCTGCTGATACAGGAATGTCCAATATGGCTCTTTAGCTTATGTGACTGGTGCATGGGTTGAGATGGCTGGAAGTGTGGGGCTGTTGGACATCTATCTTTTTCCATATGGCCAGCTTGTGCTTCCTTACAGCATGGCAGTTTTGGTAGTCAGACTTTTTATACTCTACCCAGACCAAACATTTCAAGAAACTTGAACAAAATCTGCAAGGCTTCTTATGACTTAAAGTCTGCAAGTCCCAGAATACCAATTCTGTTGCATTTTGTTATTTAAGAAGTTTACCAAATCCAGCCTAGATTCAAGGGGTGAGGGGTGAGGGGTGTGGGAGGTGGAAGGAGAGGAATAGACCCTACCTCTCTTTAGGGGATTAAATGTACATACAGGAAGGGAGAAAATTGGTGGTGGCCATCTTGGAAACAAGCTACCAAATCTTCCTAGGTTTAAACAAGATTCTCCCTCTTCTTTTCCACCCTGCTATGATAGATTTCACCACCCCTCCCAGGTTTCTGGAAGCCCAATTTCTGGAAATGGACAAAAGAGGACAGATACTCCATTCAGGTTCCTAGGATATTCCTTCACTTTGGACAATAGTTCCTTCTCTCCCCTCCCCCTTTTGTTGACAATTAGAATTTGGTGGCCTACTGTACACAAATCTCACTTTGCAGGAGGCATGTTAAGCTTGTTTATAAAGTTTTGTTCTAGTTTTTCTAGGATATCTTTCATGAAATAGCATTTGCCACCCTGGGGGGCATAATAAGCTGACAGAAATTTTCCTCCTAGAATGGTCTGTCATGATTTTTGGCTTATCATAAACATAAACCATAAACATGGATGGGTCTTGGCAGTGGTTTAGTGGGGAGAGGCCATGGAAAAACAAAGTCTTGGGTATAAATTCCAGCTGCACCACTGTGGGGCCTAGTATGAGTTCCTTAACTTCTTTTACTCTCATTTTCCTTTTCTAAAAAGCAAGTAAAATCCCTACCTTGAAGGTTTTTAGTAGGTATTGATTGTTGGAACACAGTCCTGTATAGGTCTCATGTTTTTGCACATCTTGTAAACAGAGTCTCTGAATGCCTTTGTTCCAGACTATCTTTTCAAAGTTGAGTATATAGTGAAAGACTTGGAAGATAGTGACTCTCTCTGGGACAGAAAGCACATTTTTTTTCCTGACCAGGGTAATAAGACAATGTCTGCCTCTGGAACAAATGTCAGGTAGACTCACTGCCTATCATAAAAGATCCAGGTTTCCTAAGCTCAAAGTTTCTCTTACAATGTAATCAACTATGTATAAAGGAGTGAAGTAGCTTTCTTTATGTCACCCTGTGGGAATTCAGGCTTGAGAAACCTATGCAAATGCTGCCCCTGTGGCTACTGCTATTGCTATGATTAATAAAATCCTTTGGTTTTTGACCCAGGAGTTTGGTGTATTCTGCCAGTATCTGTGAAACTGTGGAAGGTTTATTCATCAGCTTGCAAGTAGGGTAAACATTTAACCCTTCACAATTTTTGACACTGATATGGCTCCAACTAAGAGTATGAATGTGGGGATATTGCAAGTTTTTATTCCAGACTGCTGACCTCCCATACTGTATCCTCTAGAAGAGGGAGGATACATATAGACTCTGGTCTATTTCTCTTCTGTTTAATTTCCATCTCGCTTCTGAGGTATCTATGGAGCCTGTCTTGCTGTTGTCTGTAGATTGACAGTAATTACGAACTCAGCATCCAAGCATGTTCTATTTATTAGCTTCCTCAAAGACTTTTTGCTTATTTCCGTGGATTTTTAGATTCTCAGGTTAAAGCTCTAAAATTTTGAGGCTAAATATAGTCTTTACATCTAGATGTGGGCTTTGAGAACCAGAACACTGGGAATGGCCAAAATTCTGGTAATCGGATTTCACAGCTGGCTCCCCTATTTCTAGAGAAAGAGAAATGTTTTTCTGGCAGATACTGTCTGTTAATTCACACATGGTTCCTTAGGGTTAAGTCTCTTAGTAAACTGTAGTTAATGTCTTACCAGTTATTGTACATCTAAGAAATTTGTTAAAAGTTACTAATTAAAAGACATTAATTAGAAATTACCATAATTTATCTGAAGCTGGGCTGTACCTATCTCCTTGTCTATTCCAAGTAGCTATTCCTCTTACTTTCCAAGTGTTTACATTAGTTGCAGGTCTTGAGGTCCAAGCAAGAGGAATCAACTTTGGCTAACAAAAACAGAAAAGCAATCTATGGAAAGATAATAGTAAGAAGGTAGAGAACCAGGCTTAAAAAGTAACAGCAACAGCTATCTCCAGGAATCAGATAGCACTGAGTATACCACATTGTTTCAGGATACTGTTCCAACCATTCTCCTTTCTTCCACTTAAAGTTCAAAGTCTTGGAGGAGAGAGGCCAAGTAGCCATCTTTGGTTCCTGGTCCACCCCTGAGCTAGGGAAAGACAGACAATCTTGTTTTATGGGTCCAGGATTGCACACATTGGAGTCAGTAATTTTCCAAAAGACACCAAGAAAATAGAGACTAGGGTAGCAAAAAATAACATACATCCCCTATAGTGAACAGTGAAAACATATCTTCTTCTTTGAATAGCTCTTGCTATTTGGTGCCACAGAGAATTCCACCACACAGAGAGCAGACTCAGTAGGTCTGGGATGGGGTTTGGGAATTTGTTTTTTAAAGGCTCTCCAGCTGGGGGTAATAAATAATCAACCAGGGTAACAAAGAATAAAAATTTTTATGCATAAAAAATTCTGAAGCAGAATTATTAAACTCTAAAATTATATTCTTGACTATTTGTATTAGAAAATAATTAAGAATTATAACATTTTAATTCTTATTTATATTTCTTTTTAGAGATAGTCTCACTCTTATCACCCAGGCCGGAGTGCAGGAGTGTGATCATAACTCACTGCAGCTTTGAATTCCTGGACTCAAGTCATCCTCCCACCTTAGTCTCTTCAGTAGTTAGGACTACAGGCATTTGCCACCAGCTAATTTTTTTTATTTTTTATTTGTAGAAACAGTGTCTCGCCATGTTGCCCAGGCTGCTCTCAAACTCCTGGCCTCAAGCTATCCTCCCGCCTAGGTCTCCCGCAAGTGTTGGGATTACAGGCATGAGCCATCACACCTAGTCACTACTTTTTTTTTTTTTTTTTTTTTCCTGATGGAGTTTTGCTCTTGTTGCCCAGGCTGGAGTGCAGTGGCGTGATCTCAGCTCACTGCAACCTCTGCCTACTGGGTTCAAACAATTCTCTTGCCTCAGCCTCCCAAGTAGCTGGGATTACAGGCAACTGCCACCATGCCCAGCTAATTTTTTTGCATTTTTAGTAGCAATGGGGTTTCACCATGTTGGTCAGGCTGGTCTTGAACTCCTGACCTCAGGTGATCCACCCACCTCGGCCTTCCAAAGTGCTGGGATTATAGGCATGAGCCACCGCACCAGGCCCCTAGTCACTAATTTCTGATTGTTTACTATGATGGTCTGAATTGTGTCCCCTACTCCTCCACCAAGTTCATATGTTAAAGTCCTAACCCAGTACCTCAGAATGTGACTCTATTTGAGATAGGGCCTTTAAAGAGGTAATTAAGATCAAATGAGGTCATTGGGGGTAGGCCCTAATTTAATATGACTGGTGTCTTGATAAGAACAGGAGATTAGGATAAACACAGGCAGAGAGGAAAGACCATGTAAAGGCAGGAAGAAAATGGCCCTCTCTAAGCCAAAGAGAAAATCCTCAGAAGAAAATAACACTGCCACTACCTTGATCTTGGCTTTCTAGCCTGCAGAAGTGTGACAAAATGAATTTCTGTTATTTAAGCTACCGAGTCTCTGGTACTTTGTTATAGCAGCCCTAGCAAACTAATGCAGTTACAAACTGGTATAGCACATTCAAAAATGTATTGTCATCACAACTGTCATGGAGAAATTAACAATAGCTCCTGTATTTTTCTAGGATTGCCCAGTCACTCTAAAACAATCCAGAAGATGGCTGGGCATGGTGGCTTACGCCTGTAATCCTAGCACTCTGGGAGGCGGAGGTGGGTGAATTACCTGAGGTCAGGAGTTCCAGACCAGTCTGGCCAACATGGCAAAACCCTGTATCTACTAAAAATACAAAAAAAAAATTAGCCCGCATGGTGGTGTGTGCTTGTAATCCCAGCTACTCGGGAGGCTGAGGCAAGAGAATTGCTTGAACCCAGGAGGCGGAGGTCACAGTGAGCCAAGATCGTGCCGCTGCACTCCAGCCTGGGTGACAGAGCAGGACTCCATCTCATTAAAATAAATAAATAAATAAATAAATAAATAAATAAATAAATAAAATGATTCAGAAGATACTATATTTTTCCAAGCACTGTTCTAACAAACCCCATAACACTACATAAGATACAATCCTTTCTCTTTCTTCACATCTCATCTTAAAGAGGGGCAGAAGAGGGTGTATAACACTGCACTTACCTGGTCAGTAGTCAGACCAGTAGTCACCTGCTAAATCTGGTCACTGTTGGGACTCCACAGATCTCACTGGCCTCTTGGGGATTATTTGTGATATCTCTCCCACTGGCATCTATGGTCTTGGCCATTTGTTCTGGACCTGAAGCTCTCTGTTGGTTCAGCAGTCTTCACTGCCTCTCCGTACCTTTATCAAGATGTGGAGGGTTTTCTGGATTTCTGACATGAATATTCAAGCTTCCATATCTACTTGCTTTCTGCCTCCACCTCCAGTATTTTGCTCTTTCCTACACTGAAAGTGGTTGGGTGCAGGCCTTCTCCTAGGCTTGCAGTGAGAGATGCATACCAACAGTGCTGAGGTAATCAAGTGCCAATATATTTATTAGGATATTTCTAAAGCCCCTGTGTGCTTTCACATTGGGCACTGGAGGCATGAAAGGGATCAACGGTCTTGATGTTTCCTCTACTCACTGCCTCTGCTCCCTTCTACTCTGCCTTATTCACTTCCTATTAACTGGGCTGAGGATGAATTTGTTTGCTCAGTCTTCCTAAATTGATAGGATCTTCCTTATATAAAAAACATTATGACTAAGATTACCAATCTTGGCTCACTAAAGGAAGCAATAAAAGAGTCTCCAAAATCCTTCTGCTCTCTTTTTCTCTAAAACAAGTTGCTGCATTTCAGATAGCAAGAGCTGAATATTAACACTGTTTTTTTTTCCTCTTTACATTCCTGTTTTAACAATGCTAAATCTTCCCTAGGCACATTTTTTGGTAGAATAGAAGCAAGATTAGCATAAGAAAATGTAAAACAGAAAACTTCATTAATATTTTAGAAAATTTCATGTTATTACTACCTCTCAAGAACTGCTATAGAGTGATTCCTATCTCATACTAATGGATATAATTATGTTTAACATAAATTCAGTACATTGTGGATCAGTTTGGTAAACCCCCTTTGCTCAGAATGCTTCTTTAATATAGTTCTATCCCTTTAGAAAGCTCAGTGTCCCCCCTACCAGATAAAGGAACTAAATCAGTAGAAACTCTTTGAGCAAAGCAGTCGGTATGCTCTCTACCTGCTCTCTCCAATCACATCTGAGAGCTGAAAGAGAAATCTCACTCAAATTCTCAGTGCCATAGTTTGTTCCCCTAAGCACAGCTTAAATTGGTTAAAAAGCAGCTGAAAGAGAGAGGACCCAGTCTGGCGACGTGATCAAATACCTATTATTTCTATTTTGAGGAGCATGTCACTTCAGATTTTCACCACGATGGAGCTGGATTAATTTTACCCATTTATGTGTGGTGTTCAAATGAGAACTCACATCACCTGGGGGTAAAACTTTCTTTATGAACTCCAAACTACATTGCTCTCCTGAGCCTAAAGCAAATCAAATTGTTTTTCACAGGATAGGGCTAGGGGAAGTCAGTCAGTGTGTTCAACAGCAACACCGAATCACCTTCTCCCTTCTCTTGGCTGCCTACTGAAAGTCATTTGGCTACTTATTATTGTTCTCAATTTATCTCAATTCAAAATATTGATTATCTACTAGTCAATTAGCATGGGGATGAGCATTGTGTGGAATATTAAGTAAGTACCTGGATCGTATAAACTTGTTGGGTCAACTTGACACTTGAATGGAAAAAAAAATAAGGCAAAATAAAAATTTAGTCAAAATATATAGTAAACCTAAAGAAATGAAAGCATATATTCATACAAAGATTTGTTTACAGATGTTAATATCAGCTTTATTTGTAATAACTCTGAATCTGAAATAACCCATATTAGTTTTCTCTTTCTGTGTAACACATGAACCCAAAATTTAGTGACAAAACAGCAAACATTTATTATCTCATAATTTCTGTGGATTAGGAATCCTGGAACAGCTTAGTCAGGTGGTTCTGGCTCTGGGTTTCCCATAAAGTTGCAGTCAAGCTGTCAAGGGCCTGTGGTCATCTGATGTCTGGACTGATGTTAGAAGATCTGCTTTCAACTTGGCTCACTCACATGACTGCTAACAGAAGACCTCGGTTTCTCACTACATGGCCTTCTACATGAGGCTATTTGAGTTTCCTCACAGCATGGCAGTGGGCCTCCTCCAGAGTGGATGACCCAAAAGAGCAGGGAGGAAATCCAAAATCTTTATATGACTTAGCTTCACAAGTTGTATATCATCATTTCTACTTTATTCCATTCATTAGGAATGAGTTGCTAAGCCAGTCCATACTGGAAAGGAGAGGGAAATTAGCCTCCATTTCCTAAGTGTCAAAGTAGTATCAAAATAATATTCTTGGACATATTTTGAAACAGCCACACAACCTAAATGTCCATCAATAGGAGAATCCATAAAGAAATTGCTTGCATGTTCATACAATGGAATACTATTCATCAATAAAAAGGAATAAAGTTTTGATACATGCAATAACATGGATGATTCTCAAAATAATTATGAGAAGTGAAAGAAGTCAGACAAAAAAGAAGACATACTGTAGGATTTTGTTTATATAAAATTATATAGCCACACATTAAACTGTACATATAGAACCCAGATCAGTGGTTGCTTGGGACTGGGGCTGGGCGATAGAGTGATAAAGGAAGGGAGGGAGAAAGGGATTTCAAAGAACCATAAGGAAACTTTTAGGGTTGATGGATATATTCATTACCTTGATTGTGGTGACTATTTCAGAGGTGCGTAAGTACATCAAAACTGATCACATTATATGTTTTAAGTATACACAGTTTATTATATGTTGCTTATACCTCAATAAAGCTGAACAAATTATGGTGAAGACAAGAAAATTTTTCATTTCATATGCCAATTATATTTTCCAGAACCTTAGTTTTTAGCTCTGTCTCTTTAGTCACCAAATATAATTAATAAGTCTGTGCCTTTTATCTATCATAGGATAGTTTTCAGCATTGAAGGAACTTATTAACCTCTTTTAACATATGTGAATAATTTCGGGACTCTGAGTTTTTATTTGGTTAATCAACACAGTTCAGGTTGTTGTCATATTGTCTTTTAAAAATATCCCCTGAAATATTTTAAATATATAAAGCCAAAAATATCTATTTTGTTTTGTGGGTTTGTCCAAAATCAAACTAACTTCTTCCTCCACAAATATGCTCCCTTATCTCAGTTTATTTAGTCACCATTCACCCAGCATCATGACCTAGAAATATCTACTATTTCTACTTCATTCACATCTTCTTCAACCCATCCCTCATAATTTATTTTTTAATTTAACAAACATTCATTGAGCAACTGCCACACACCAGACACTGTACTTGTTAGGTGTACAATGTGAGCAAATGCACCTGATTTTACCCCGATGCAGCTTACATTTAAATGTAGGATATAATCTCTAACTCTGGTCAATTGCATACCAGCAGCATCTCTTACATCCCTCGGTCCTCCATCCCTACTGCTACTGATTCAGTTTAAACATGAATTGTCTCTTGGCTAAAGTAATTTACTAACTGGTCTCTTTTTAAAAAAATCTCCTCAGACTAGTTTGTTCTCCATATTGTTGCCAAAGTCTGCTTTCTAAAACATTGATTTGATTATGTTATTCTCTGATTCAATGTTTTTTGTTTTTTTTGTTTTTTTTTTGAGATGGAGTCACACTCTGTCGCCCAGGCTGGAGTGCAGGGTGCAATGCAATGATGTGATCTCGGCTCACTGCAACCTCTGCTTCCCAGGTTCAAGCGATTCTCCTGCATCAGCCTCCCGAGTAGACGGGATTACAGGCACGTGTCCACCATGCCTGGCTAATTTTTGTGTTTTTAGTGGAGATGGGGTTTCACCATGTTGGCCATGCTGGTCTTGAACTCCTAACCTCTCTGGTGATCTGCCCGCCTCGGCCTCCCAAAGTGCTGGGGTTACAGGTGTGAACCACCGTGCGTGGACTCTGATTCAAATTATTTTTGATGGATTCATATTTACCAGCTGAATGAAGTCCAAACTCCTTCATGACTTGACCATGACCTGCTGACTCAGCCTCAGACTCACCAATTCAGCTCCCTTGTTCATTCTAGCAGTGCTGCTCCGCTCAAAGTTCCCCATCATGCTGTGTGTGCTTGCACACTTTGCTTTTGCTTGGAAATGTCCTCTGACTTCTCCTGAGCCCAGTAAATTCTGTTTCTTCAATACACTATTCACATAAACCTTTTTTCTAAAGAACACCTATTCATAAGCAAAATTCATTAGTTTTTCAAACTTGTGTGTATTCTTGTAGTTTAGCACGTATCAAGGTATGGTGTAGCTCACAACTGAGGAAGAAAAAACAACTTCACTCCCAAGCAAGCCATGGTTATCCTGCTGAACATAGCTGAACATACATTTTATAGAAAAACAAAATCATATGATGTTACTGTGTGCATAAACCACATAATGGATCAAAACAAAAACAGGAACCTTCTATAATTAACATCAGAGCCCAGAAAAAAACAAGAACATAGTGCTAACCATAATAGTGGCCACATACGCCCCGTTCCCAGCTAATAGCTCCTGCTGCCTTACAAATTGCAAGTTTAACCCCGTTTTATTCTTTCCTCCTCCTCAATAAAATTTAAGATAGCCAATCACAGAATTGCTCCCACTTTCTGACAGCACCTGATATGGACAAAAACCACTGTTTCCTTAAACCTTCTCTTAAATTACCTAATGCAAACCCAAACTCAAACCCTACAACAAGTCCTCGCTATAACCCTCTGAGACTCCTCTTTGTTCCTCATGGCCTGGAGTCTCCCTTGTTGCAGCAAATAATAAACCCAACTTTGAATACAGGTATATTTCTGGTGGCTTGGCTGGTGGGCATCAACATATTCACATATTTGATTTTTCTACCTGAATATGAAGACTTTACTTTGACATCTGGGACTTTTTTTTTTTGTATTCCCTATACCAAATGTAGTGTCTGACCATAATGAGTACTGTTTACAGGATATGTTAATACATGTGTATTTTATGATAAAAGGAATACAGTTCAACAAATAGATGAAACTGAATCTAATAAAACATGTTACTTTTCATCAAAATGCTCTGCTATTTGGCTTCTGATTGAGTTTTGCTTTTGCATGTGAGAGTGCTCACCTATGGTTTTGATGCTACTGTCTTTGGCCAGTTCCCACCATCCACAGAGCTCATGTCTTCATTTTGAAGTTATGAGGGCTTGTATTGTACCTCCCAGTTTCCTAGAATCCTTAACATTCACAGCGTGGATAGCTATGTACAGCCCACCAGGTGTGTGGATGCTGTGATCCAAACTATACATTACTGGAAATAAGCCACATAGGAAAGCAGATTAGGACAGTTTAAAGAGTGGAGAAAGAGAAGCTATGAAAAGCTAGAAAGAAAATTGATTTCTGACTACAGCTAGATATCATACTTGTTTTGACTTCATGGGTGATTCAAGGTATAGTATAGTATGGTTGCCCTCTCTCTCCAGGAATTATTTCTATCTGTAGATTTCCAGAGGCTTCTCAGCATTAATATTATGAATCTTCCTGTTTTGTGCTTTAGTAACCTACTATTTGAGATAGAATAACAAATGCTAGATCTATTCAAGGCACTTATCTCATTTTTTTCCAGTATAGCAGAGTAGTTAAGAATTTAGGTTTTTAACTCAGAAGGACATGGAATAGAATCCAGTATCACCAACTTTCTGTCACTTGACCTTTCTGAAGCTCAATTTTCTCATTTGTAAAGTAGGGATATCAATAGTAAATACCCTATAGAGTTGCAGTGAAGTGAAATGAGATAGTATATAAAAACTTTCCTTGGCACAAAAGTTGCTAAAATGAATTATAGCTATAATTAGCTACTTTTCATTTATATAGAAATTGCATTTATAAATACAGGGTAGAATACTATGCAATGTTACATTATATAATACACTATTATTTTACATATTATGATGGTATATAATATTCCATATATATTATATAATATAAACTAAAATAGAATAGTTTATGTGATAAGATTTAGTCAAACTCATTATTTCAGTAATAAAAACTTTGCAAAACTGGTTTGTGTATTATGTCTTGTCTGAAATAAACTTCTAGCCTAGGAAAACAAAATAAACTCTTTATAATATCTATCACTGTTGGAGTTTTAGTGATTGGACTGGATGACTTTCAAGGTTCCCTGTTGTCAGAAAGAGAATAGCGAATTTGATAAACATCAGGACAGACTAAACCAAGTGGGAAAAGAAGCAGAAACTAGGCTGGCCCTGGGGAGGGATCATAGTCAGCAGAGTATGGCAAAAGAAAGTTCAGTCAAACTGGATGTGTTGGCAAAAATAGTGAAAATTGGTTCTTCTAAGCAGATAGCTAACAGCTGGGAAATCAAAAGGGAGTTGGAGCACAGCAGAGAAACTGGGTGAAATATGTAAATAAGATATATTGCTAATATTATTAGCTAAATTAATGAATTCTCTTTATGTGCCAAGGTCTGTTCTGAATTGTACTTGTTAGCTCATTTAAGCCTTATAATATCCCAGTATGATGGACACTATTATTATCACCATTTCACAAATGAAATGGAGCTCAGTTGGATCACCTAGAACAGAATTTGGTTCCAAACAAAGGCATTATTTGTCAGGTGCCTTTGTGTTGCAGTTTGTTTTGGTGTATTTTAAATCTCTGACATTGTATTGTTCATATCTGGATGACCAGTCTGGATCATTTTTACATATTTTATGTCTCTCCTTATCATGCTCATGTTTCGCTCCACATTTGTGAACATATGGAATAATTTATAATAACTTCTTACATGTTTATGTTTACTAGTTCCATCATCTGTTTCTATTTTGATTGATTTTTCTACTTACTAAGGGTCTTATTTTTCCTGCTTCTTTGAAGGCCTGATAATTTTTTATTACACACCAGATATTGATAATTTTACTTTGTCTGCTACTGTATATTCATGTATTTAAAACAATATTCTGGAGCTTTATTCTAGGACATAGTTAAATTACTTTATAACAGTTTAACAAAACAGATTTTTGTTAGGTGGGACCAGATTAGCCTTTAGGGCTAATTTTGCCCACTAGTGAGTCAATACCCTTCAGAGTGCTCCACCTAATGCCCCATATATAATGCCATTTTTCTACTCTGACAAAGGGAAACAGTAACTATTACTAGCCTTGTGGGACCTCCAGGGATTGTTCTATCTGCCCCTTTCAGATGGTTCTTTCCATGGCCTAGGGTTGTTTTCTCATATACATGCAATGATCAGGACTCAGGTGAAGAGATGCTGAGGGAAAGGGGACCTCTGAAGATCTCCAGAACTCTCTAGACCAGAAGTTCTCTCCTCTCTGATTCCTTGCCCAAATTCTAGTTTCCTTGGCCTCTGCAAACCCTTAATTCTACCTTTCCAACTCAGGAGACTGTGGGGTTCTGTCTGGGTTCATTCTCTTTGCACTGTATCCTAGAAACTGTCTCCAGGCAGTTTCCAGAGTTCACCTCATTAGTTTTCTTTTTCAGGAATCAGTGTCCTGTGATGCCTGCTGTCCGAAATCTGAAAATCACCGTTTTTTACATATTTTTCCTATTATTTAGTTGTTTGTGGCAGGAGGGCAATTCTAGTCTCTGTTGCTCCACCTTGGTTGAAAGTAGAAGTCTCTGAATGTCTTTTTACTAAGTTACTAATGCTACGGCCTGAGTAAGCACATGATTTGTATCCTGAAACACAAGACACATAGTTTAATTAGGTGTCTCAAGACAACATAAATTCCACCTGGACTCAGCCTACACCTCATTTTAAGGTTTATTGCCTGTCATATCCCATTTTCGTATACTTATTTATCTGTTAGCCATGGCTCTTTCAGTTGAAATCTTAAAAATTCTACTCAAACTATTTAAGGGAAATTTATTATTATTATTATTTTGGGAGATGCTCTGTCACCCAGGCTGGAGTGTAGTGGCATGATCTCTGTTCACTGCAACCTCCGCCTCCCATTTTCAATTGATTCTCCTGCATCAGCGTCCCAAGTAGCTGGGATTATAGGCATCTGACACCATGCCCGGCTATTTTTTTTCTTTGTATTTTTAGTAGGGATGGGGTTTCACCATGCTGGCCAGCTGGTCTCAAACCCCTGACATCATGTGATCTGCCTGCCTTGGTCTCCCATAGTGCTGGGATTACAAGCATGAGCCACCACGCCCTGCCTAAGGGAAAATTATTTTTAGCTCATTTAACTAAAAGTTCAGGACTAACAATTTCTGTTAGTCCATTTAATATAAATTGTTTTATGTGTGGATAAGATTGCGGGGGGGTGGGGGTGGTGTCCCAAGTAACTATGAAGGTTCTATATCATTATTTCTTAAAAATGTACTCTCAAATGGCAGGCAAGATTGCTGTTGGCACTACAGGACTTACATCCAAGCAGTTAACTTCTTCAAGACATATATCTTATGAGTTTAAACCTCCCCAAAGAAAAGTCCTCAGGTTAGATCAGGTTGGCCAGGCTTGGATCATATAGCCAGTTTAGAACTAATCACTCTGGCTTGGGGCAAGAGGCTCTCTTATTGACCATGGCTGATTATGTGCTCTACCTAAATCATATGAAATGGGTTATTTATAGGAAAGTCGGGTACTATTATCAGAAGAAGATGAGTCCCTATGCAAGACAGGGATGCACATATTACACTTGGGATATAAAGTAGCAGCTTAATTTCAAGAATAATGCAGAAACTCAGTACCATATTTGATGGAAGTCACAAATGACCTCCATCATCCCAAGTCTAGTGGTTATCCGATCTGATTGTATTTGACTTTTCAGCAGCTTTTACCATAAACATTCCTTCTTTCTGGAAACATTTTGTTTATATACAAAATAAAGGACTTACTTCAACATGAATGTGTCAGCTGAGCTATTAAATGAAGGGCTAAATCTGTCTCTAAATGAAGGACAGATTGGTCAAAGAATATTGGGTTTGCTGAAGTCTACTACTATCTGGACTACTAACTGGAGTCAGGTAATCTCATCTATGAAAAGAAGATAATATCAGGGCAGAGGTAATACATTTATACATTTAATATTGAGATTCTATAATTCTATTATAACGTAATATTAAAATAGTGCTTTCATTAGTGAAATGCTCCTGGTGCATAAACTCCTGGTACAAAAATACGAAATGTTACTATTGATTTTCAAATTGTAGAAAGAAATCATTCCTGGTGTTTCTCAATATGAGTTTTCCAACATCGAACTGTAGAGGTTATTAAAAAGCATTTTCAACTTTAAAATGAGAAAGAAATCTTGTCATCCTTAAGAAAAAGCACTGGGATAACAACTGTATTCCATGTTATTCAACCAACAGGGCTTTCTCATCAAATCCAGTTCATGTCTCTAAAAGAGCCAAGCAATTGGTAATAACTGCTTGGTGCATTGTTATAAAGGATTTGAGGTTGTGTTTGAGTTAAGCTGGAAAGACTGCCTTTTCCACAGTGACTTTATTTTCTAGTACTAGCTCTTGTGAGTATTAGCATGAGTTATGATCCGAACCAAGAAGGAATAACTACATCTGGCTCTGGTTTTAGTTGGTTTCTTGGCCTTTGGTAAATCATAATCACCTAAGTTTCTATTTCTACAAAGAAAAAAGGCTTGTAACACATATGCTGCAAAGGTTGACTAACAAGGAAATAATATGTTGTTTAGGAATATATATGTATATTATAAGACTTATTTTTTAATCTAGAGGAAAGTAAAATTTAGGGTAGTTTTTATCCTTGGGGAGAGCTGGAGTCAGGAGGATGACAGAGGGAAGGATCCCACAGTGAGATGCAAAATAATATTAATAATTACTAGTTCTTAGGTTAGGTAGAGGATTCATAAGTATTATTTCTCCCATAACTTATCATCCTTCATAATATATAACCTTTTGAATATATTAAATATTACCTAATAAAATATAGGATAATAATAAAATAAGTTCCTTTGGAAAAATACTCTAGTGCATTGAATAAAGGGCGTTCGGAAGAGCAAAACGATTCAGCTCAATTCTACAACTTCGTGTATCTAAGTTAGAATCTTCTCTAGCTTAACACATATTGAAGAGGTTGTACAGAGTAACATGAGAAAGACCTTGGTTGGCACAGCCTAATTTAACTTTCTTGAGGGCACTTTATTAGAAACACAAAATGTACCTACAACTGTATCCTCATGTACAGGAATACAGATACTATAAGCACAGAATTCCTACACTTACTGTTTCTGCTTTCTCACCCTTCCATTCTGTCTTCTTGGACTTGATTTTCCACTACTCCAATAAGTAGCTTTTATCAATATCACAAATGACTTCCATCTTACCAAGTCCAGTGGTTATTCAATCTTATCTTCTCAGCAGTTTTTATCATAAATACTCCTTCTTTCTGGAAACACTTTGTTCTCATATTTGTGGGTATTTTTTTTCTATTTCATTTGCTGCTATTTCTGAGTATCCTTTGGTAGCCTGACCTCTCCTCTAATTTTCTTTTTCTGTTTTTAAAAAATATTTATTCATTTGTTTATAACTTTTACTTTAGATTCAGCAGGTTCATGTGCATACAATATACAAAGTTATATTGCGTGATGCTAAGGTTTGGGGTATGAATGATCTTGTCACCCAGGCACTGAGCACAGTACTGAATAGTTTTTTAATCCTTAACCTCCCTCATCCCTCCCCTATATAGTGGTCCCCAGTTTCTATTGTTGCCATTTTTATGTCCGTGTGTACTCAATATTTAACTCTCATTCATAAATGAGAACATGCAGTGTTTGGTTTTCTGTTCCTGTGTTAATTTGCTTAGGATAATGATCTCCAGCTGCATTTATGTTGCTGCAAAGGACATGGTTTCATTTTTTATGGCTATGTAGTACTCTATGGTGTATATGCATCATATTTTCTTTATCTAGGCCACCGTTAATGGGCACCTAGGTTGACTCCATGTCTTTGCTATGGTGAATAGTCCTGCGATGAACATGTGAGTGCATGTGTCTTTTTGGTAGAACAGTTTGTTTTCTTTTGGATATATAGCCTTAATCAGATTGGGGGTTGGAATGGTAGTTCTAAGTGGTTTGGGAAATCTCCAAACTGCTTTCCACAGTGGCTGAACTAGCTTACATTCCCACCAACAGTATATAAACATTCTCTTTCCTCCACAGCCTCAACAGCATCTGTGGTTTTTTGACTTTTCAATAATAGCCATTCTGACTGGTATGAGATGGTATCTCATTGTGGATTTGATTTGCATTTCTCTGATGATCAGTGATGTGCAGGATTTTTTCATATGTTTGTTGGCCAGTTGCATGTCTTCTTTGAGAAGTGTCTGTTCATGTCATTTGCCCATTTTTAAATGGGGTTATTTGTTTTTTACTTATTCAATTATTTAAATTTCTGATAGATTCTGGATATCAGACTTTTGTCAGATGCATAGTTTGCAAATATTTTGTCCCATTCTGTTGGTTGTCTGTTTACTCTGTTGATAGTTTCTTTGGCTGTGCAGACACTCTTTCGTTTTCTTAGATCCCATTTGTCAATTTTTGTTTTTGTTGCAAATGCTTTTGAGAGCTTAGTCATAAATTCTTTGCAGAGGCCAATGTCCAAATATTTCCTAGGTTTTCTTCTAAGATTCTTATCCTTGAGGTTTTGCATTTTAATCTTTAATATATCTTGAATTGATTTTTATATGGTGAAATAGGGGGATACAGTTACTTTCTTCTGAATATGGCTAGCCAGCTATGCCAGCACCATTTATTGAATAGGGAGTCCTTTCCCCATTGCTCATTTTTTATTGAATTTGTTGAATTTGAAGGTCTGATGGCTGTAGGTGTGTGGCTTTCTTTCTGGGTTCTCTATTCTGTTCCTTGGTCTATGTGTCTGTTTTTGTACCAGTACTGTGCTATTTTTGTTATTGCAGTCTGATAGTATAGTTTGAAGTTGGGTAATGTGATGCCTCTGGATTTGTTCTATTTGCTTAGGATTGCTTTGGAAATTTGGGCTTTTTTATTTTTTATTTGAGACAGGGTCTTGCTCTATCACCCCTGCCAGAGTGCAGTGGCATGATCATAGCTCACTGCAGCCTCAGCCTCCTGGGCTCACTGCAGCCTTGACTTCAGCCTCCCTGTGTAGGTGGGACTACAGGCACATGCCACCATGCCTGGCAAATTGTTTCTTTTTTCTTTTTTTGTAGAGATGGGGTTTCACCATGTTGCCCAGGCTGGTCTCAAACTCCTGGCCTCAAGCTATCCACCTGCCTTGGCCTCCCAAAGTGCTAGGATTATAGGCATGAGTCCCCGTGCCTGACCTGGGCTCTTTTTTGGTTCTATATAGGAGCCAAATAAAGAATGCAATCCTATTTAAAATAGCCATATATACAAAAATGAAATACCTAGGAATATATCTAGCCAGGGAGGTGAAATATCTCTACAAGGAGAAATTGCAAAACACTGCTGAAAAAATCATAGATGACACAAATGGAAAAACATTCCATGCTCATGGATTGGAAGAATCAACACTGTTAAATCATCCATACTACCCAATGTAATATACAGATTCAGTGCTATTCGTATCAAACTATCAATATCATTTTTCACAGAACTAGAAAAAACTACTTGATTTCTAAATTTAAATGACTTAGGTCTTATCCTATGTTATTACCCACTAGGTGAATCTTGTAATAAGCTAGTTGATCCCCAAATTCTGTCTCAAGCTTGGGCCCCTCTCCTCAGCTCCAGATTTGTGTATCTGACTGCCAGACTGACATACTCACACAGGCATCAGACAACTTTCAAAAATCTGCTCATCCACCAGATTTTCTCCTCTAAGAAAATGCTATATCCACCATGCAAGTATCTCAGGCTACAAACATCCTTGATTCCTTGCTTTCTTTCATACTCCACAATCCATCCTTTATTAAGTACTGTCAACTCTATATTCCAAGCATGATCACTTCTCATCAACTCTACTGCTATAATTCTAGCTCAAACTTCCATCCTATCTTACTCAGACCCATGCATCCTACATAGCAGGCAGAGTTATTTTTTCGAAGCAGAAATCTTATCATAACAGTTCATTGCACAAATCTCTGCTGGTTTCCCATTGAAATTCCAAGTGCCTTGCCATGTCCAACAAGGACTACTTAATGGGGTTCCTGCTAGCTCTCAGACCACATCCCATACCAGTCTTCCACCTTCTTTAGTCTCCAACCACTCTGATTTTTTGTATAACCCACAATTACAGAAAACTCTATCTCTTCTTGGTATATTTGCATTTGCTATTTCCTTGGCTTGGATTGTCTCCCTACCGCCTCATCCCATCCCATACTATCATACCATTTCTTCTTTGCTTTATTCAAGTCTAAACACAATGCCAGATCTTTAGAGAAAACTCCATTAAGGAGCTAGGTAAACTAGAACATCCTTTCTTCCTTACCACTTCCTCTAGATGCTGTTTTGTTTTCTCTGTGATATTTAAAATTATTTGAAGTGATCTTGTTTGTTTCTTGATGTGTTTCTTTTCTGTGTATCTCCTTATTTAAATGTTGACTAACGTTGGAACAAAGACTACCTTATTTTTTTGCCCTATCGTAGGTACCTATCATATAATAGGTGATTAATACATATTTATTCAGTGAATTGTTCATTGTTGAATGAGTAAATAGTTTAAAGTCATGTGGGTCTTGCCTGTAACCCAGGGTTATTTTATATTATATATAACTTGATAAAATAGCCCAAGAGGGTGATGACTTAATAAACACAAGACTGCATGCATCATTTTCGTTTATGTAGAACAGGTAAATTGTCCCAGAATTCTACCAGTCTTAGTCTTTTATTCTTACATGCTCTTTGCCTCATTCTGATGAGATCTCTTATAAGACATTTAAACCTAAGCAAAAAGACAAGGAAGAATTATGTTTTACCTTCTGCCAGATTTACCTTCTGCCTAAAACAAACTAACAAACAAAAAAGGGCAAAAGAAAGAAAACTAAACAGAATCTATTCAAAATAGTTTTCAGTTTTTAAGACACTGGACATCAGGCATTGAAAGTGAGTAATCCTTAAGAGATAGGAAACAAAAGAAGTCAGTCTTATAATTCTTCCAGTTTTACTGCCCAGGGAGTTTCTAGGCTGTGGCACAGGGAGAAACGAAAACACTTTTAAATAACACATAGGGGAATTAAAACACCAAAAGGGAAAATAGAAATTATTTAAACTGAATAAAAATGTAAATATAATGTATCAGAATTTGCTAAAGCATACTTTAAATATGGCTATTTTATTTTATTTTTTTGAGAGGGAATCTTGCTCTGTTGCCCACGCTGGAGTGCAATCCTGTGATCTCGGCTCACTGCAACCTCCACCTCACGGGTTCAAGCGATTCTTCTGCCTCATCCTCCTGAGTAGCTGGGATTACAGGCGTGCGCCACCATGCCCAGCTAATTTGGTCTCGAACTCCTGACCTCAGGTGATCTGCCCACCTCGGGCTCCCAAAGTGCTGGGATTACAGGCATGAGCCACCATGCTCGACCTAAATAGGGCTTTTAAAAAATAATATATATTTAGGCCGGGCACGGTGGCTCACGCCTGTAATCCCAGCCCTTTGGGAGGCCAAGGCGGGCAGATCATGAAGTCAAGAGATCGAGACTATCCTGGCTAACATGGTGAAACCCCGTCTCTACTAAAAATGCAAAAAAATAATTAGCCAGGTGTGGTAGCGGGCGCCTGTAGTCCCAGCTACTCAGGAGGCTGAGGCAGGAGAATGGCGTGAACCCGGGAGGTCGAGCTTGCAGTGAGCCGAGATCGCGCCACTGCACTCCAGCCTGGGCGACAGAGCGAGACTCCATCTCAAAAAAAAAAAAAAAAAAAAAAAAAAATATATATATATATATATATATATATACATATGCTTATTTTAGAAAAGAAAAAAGGTCTCAAATCAACCTCTGCTTCCACCTTATGAAACTAGAGAAGGAAGAGTGAATGAAATCTGAAGTTAGAGAATTAAGAAAATCAGAAGAGGAGGAAGAAAATAAAAGATATAGAAAGAGTAAAGTGGAAATAATAAAATAAAAGACAGAAAAATAGAGAAAATCAATGAAACCAAAGGTGGTTCTTAAAGATAGTCAAAAAAGTTGATAAAATTCCTGCCACACTGATTAGGAAAAAAGAGAGAAGTCATGAATGACCAATATTTGTGAAAGAGAAATGTGACATCACTACAGAATTTACAAACAGCAAAAGGATGGCGAGGGAATGTTATGAACAACATCATACCTATAAATGTAACAACTTATGTGAAATAGGCACATTTCTCAAAAGTCACAGACTATGAAAGCTTGCTTAAGAAAAAAATAGATAACCTGAAAAACCTTCTATCAATTAAAGAAATAGAATATTTTGTTAAAAACATATCTAAAATGAAAAACTCCAGGCCAAGACAGCTTTGTTCACAGATTCTTCCAAATATTTAAGAAAAATTAATACTGATTCTGCCCAAACTCTTACAGAAAGTTGAAGAAGGAATATTTTCCAACCCATTCACTAAGGACAACATTATTCTCAGACTAAAAGTATACCAAGACATTACAAGAAAAAAATTATGAATTGATACTCCTCAAGAACATAGATGCAAAAATGCTAAAGCAAATTTTAGAAATTAACTGTACCAACATACAAAAAAGGATAAAACATCAGGATGAAGTGAGGCTTATTCCAAGAATGCAATATGGGTTTAACATTCAAAAAATCAATTATTGAATGTTGATTAGCTACCATATTAATAAACTAAAAAAAGAAAACCCATGAGATCATGTAAATAGACGTACAAAAATTTTTGATGTTACAGTTATTATGTAATAATAATTACATAAATTGTGAGATGTTAAAATAATGTATGCTTGGAAGAACTGTATGTGTTTATGTGTGTACACGTACTTTTTTTCTGGAATCATTCAAGAATAAGATGCTTACCTCATGGTTCTTTGCCTTCAAATATTTCAGAGTCTATTTTCTTAGAGGTATTCTCCTTCATAACTACAGTATTGTTATCAGCATCAGTAAATTTAACATTGATATAATACTTTTACCTAATATATGATCCATATTCTAATTTCGCCAATGGACCCAATAATGTCTTTTATAAAACTTTTTCCTCTTCAGAACAGGGTTCTATAACAGTCCAGAACTGCATTTAGTTTTATCTCTTTAATCTCCTTTAATCTGGAATATTTCCACACTCTTTGTCTATTATCACACCAATATTTTATTTTTAAATACATGACTGATGTCATTAAGATGGCGGGTTAGAAGCTAACCTGTTCATATACCCCCACAACAATAAGAATTCTGCATCCATCCACAGTTAAAAGTCTTTGTGCAGGAGCCTCAGAATTCAGGTGGGAGTTGGTGAAGTCCTAGTAGAACTCAAGACCTACAAGAGGGTTGTTTTGAGAGTGCAGACCAACACCCAGTTGGCTGATCTGCCTTGCTGAGTTTGCTTCCAGGTTCAAACCTGGAAACAGTCGAGTCCCTCAAAGGGCTAGGCTACAGCCCTGTTTGGCATTGAGCTTGCAACCAAAACCATCTGTGAAAGGGTCCAGAAAGAACTATGCACACTACTACCTTGGTGGACAGGCTGGCTACCCATTGATATTGGTTTCCACAGTGAACCTGAAAGTTTCCTTGTGGGCTGCTCCAGCTCTCCTCAGCTGAGGTCCCAGCTCAGAGATGCTCTGCCTTACAGCAGATGCTAAGAGGCCCCAGTCTCAGCTCCGGCCCCTCTTGTTGTAGTCAGGGAGCTATCCCATCTGTGCTGAGACCTGCTGGAAGACATGTACCCATCTGGGCAAACAAGATGGGCTCTCTAGCCTTTGTTTCTTAGCAGATGCTGGAGAGGTGAGGGGAGGGCAGTCTCAATTCCAGCCCCTCCTGCTAAAATTGGTGGGCTATTCTTCTATGTGGGAACTTACTGGATGACATGCACCCATCAAAGCCAAGACTGGGCTCTCCAGCCTTTGTCCCACAGCAGATCTCAAGGGGGCCAAGTCTTAGTACTAGCCCTTCCTGCTGCAGTTGGGGCACTATCCCATTTGTATGGGGACCTGCTAGGAGATTCATACCTATCCAAGCAAATATGATAGTCTTGTCAAGCTTCATCCCACAGCAGGTCCCAGAAGGCTCAGTCTCAGCTCTGGCCCTTTCTGTACCAGTTAAGGAGCTATCTGACTTGTGCAGAGACCTTATGGTGATACATGCCCACCTGTGTCAGACAAGCACAACAGCCTCTTTCCCACAGCAAATCCCAATGGGGCCCAGTCTCAAATGCAGCTCCTCTCACTGGAAATGGGGACCCATCCCACCTATGCAGAGAACTGCTGGGAAGCATGCTCATCTGGGACACTGGGACACTCTTGTTGACTCAGGTCCTTGGCCAGTGTTCCTACATAGTCCCAATATCCCCCTTATGTCTTCCCCAGGATCATTTGGGCTAGAAAGTTGCATCAACCTCAGAGCCTCAACACTCATGGTAAGCCTAGCCTTATAGTATCCCCTTGTGCTGAGATGGCTGCAGTGATCACAGACTCAGGTAACACAGTAGTGAGTTAGCTTACAATCCCTGGAAGGCCCTGTGAAGAAGGATAGGCACAAACAAAACCAGACTGCAAAGCTAAAATAAATATCTGATTACTCATTATGCAGGCATTGTCACACTTCTGAAGGACCAAGAATGTTCAGGGAAATACAACCTCAAAATAAGATGCCAAAGAACAACCTAAAGTTGTGAAGGTTTATAATAAAGTCAATATATTTTAATACCTTCCCTATTAATTAAAAGCATTATTTTAGCAATAATGGAGATAGATTTCCTGAGTCTAAGTTTACCATTTTCTATCTCCCTTCTATTCTTTGTCTTAATAGTATTAGAAAGCTTTAAAGTTATTTTCTCTTATAAAATAATTTGTGTTGATTGTAAAAAGGAATTAAAACAATGAGACAGACATAAATAAGCAAAACAACCAAACCAAAACCCAAAAAACTCCTGAATTTTCACCAACCAGTTATTACTCCCTATGAACATTTTGGTGTATCAGTTTCATAACTGGATATTGTGCTGAAGATTTAGAGGAAATAACCTATTGACTAGAAAAACTGTGTTTTTTTCCCCCTCTGTTTTAACAAAAGAAGGTCCTTTGGCCAAATCTTGGGGCAGAGGGGATGGATGTAAGGGTGTGGTGGGAATGACTTGTCCATGAGGAATTCAAGGTGCACCTAACAGACGAACAGTCAGATTTATAAAATAAGTTCTTAGAGACCTATGAAGAGACTTAGATAACCACATAATAATAGTGGGAGTCTTCAACACCCCACTGACAGTATCAGACAGATGACTGAGGCAGAAAACTAACATAGATATTTGGGACCTGAACTCAACACTTGACCAAGTGTACACAATAGACACCCTCAGAACTCTTCATCCCAGAACAACAGTAAATACATTCTTCTTATCTGCACATGGCACATACTCCAAAATTGACCACAAAATTGGCCAGAAAATAATTCTCAGCAAATTAAAAAAAAAAAACCAAATCATATTAACAATGCTCTCAGACTACAGTGCAATAAATATAGAAATAAATACCAAGAAGGTCACACAAAATCACACAATTACATTCCGAAGTCTGCCTAAAGGACTTCTGGGTAAATAATAAAATTAAGGCAGAAACCAATAAATTCTTTGACCCTAATGAGAACAAAGATACAACATGCCAGAATCTCTGGGACACAGATAAGCAGTGTTAAAAGTTTATAGTGTTAAATGCTGACATCAAAAGTTTAAAAAGATCTAAAATTAACAATATGATATCACAATTAGAGGAACTAGAGAAACAAGAGCAAACCAACCCCAAAGCTATCAAAAGACAAGAAATAACCAAAACCAGAGCTGTACTGCATGAAATTTAGATGCAAAAAGCCATACAGAAAGATCGACAAAACCAGAAGCTGGTACTTTGAAAGATTAAATAAGACTGATAGGCCAGGTGCAGTGGCTCATGCTTGCAGTCCTAGCATTTTGGGAGGCTGAAGAGGGAGGATCACTTGAGGCCAGTAGTTTAAGACCAGCCTGGCCAACATGGTGAAACTCCATCTCTACTAAAAAATACAAAAAAATTTAGCTGGGCTTGGTGGTGCACACCTGTAATCCCAGCTAGCAGGAGGCTGAGGCACGAGAATTGCTTGAACATGGGAGGTGGAGGTTGCAGTGAGCCGAGATCGCACCCCTGAACTCCAGCCTGGGTGACAGGCCAAGACTTTTTCTAAAAAAAAAAAAAAAAAAAAAAAAAGGCTAGACTAATAAAGAAAAAAAAAAGGAGAGAAAATCCAGATAAACACAATCAGAAATGACAAAGGGCACATTACCATTGACCCCACAGAAATAAAAAAACCCCTCAGAGACTACTATGAACACTGCTATGCACACATACTGGAAAACTAGAAGAAATAGATAAATTTCTGGAAACATGACCTCTCAAGATTAACCAGAAAGACAGTGAAAATCTGAACAGACCAGTAACAAGCTTGAAAGTTGAGTAATAAGAAGCCTGCCAATCAGAAAAAGCCCAGGATCAGACAGATTCATAGCTGAATTCTATCAGACATGTAAAAAAGAACTGGTACCATTCCTACTAAAACTATTCCAAAAAATTGAGGAGGAGGGACTCCTCCCTAACTTATTCTATGAGGCCAGCATCATCCTGATGCCAAAATCTGGCAGATTTTATATATATTTCATATATATATACATAGGAAAACTTCAGGCCAGAGGGGGAGGAGCCAAGATGGCCGAATAGGAAGAGCTGCAGTCTACAGCTCCCAACGTGAGTGATGGAGAAGACGGGTGATTTCTGCATTTCCATCTGAGATACTGGGTTCATCTCACTAGGCAGTGCCAGACAGTGGGTGCAGGACAGTAGGTGCAGCGCACCGTGCGCCAGCCGAAGCAGGGCGAGGCATTGCCTCACTTGGGAAGCAAAAGGGATCAGGGAGTTCCCTTTCCTGATCAAGGAAAGGGGTGACAGACGGCACCTGGAAAATCGGGCCACTCCCACCTGAATACTGCGCTTTTCCGATGGGCTTAGGAAAAGGCACACCAGGAGATTATAACCCGCACCTGGATCAGAGGGTCCTACACCGACGGAGTCTCGCTGATTGCTAGCACAGCAGTCTGAGATCAAACTGCAAGGTGGCAGCGAGGCTGGGAGAGGGGTGCCCGCCTTTGCCCAGGATCACTTAGGTAAACAAAGCAGCCAGGAAGCTCGAACTGGGTGGAGCCCACCACAGGTCAAGGAGGCCTGCCTGCCTCTGTAGGCTCCACCTCTGGGGGCAGGGCACAGACAAACAAAAAGACAGCAGTAACCTCTGCAGACTTAAATGTCCCTGTCTGACAGCTTTGAGGAGAGCAGTGGTTCTCCCAGCACACAGCTGGAGATCTGAGAATGGGCAGACTGCCTCCTCAAGTGGGTCCCTGACCCCTGACACCCGAGCAGCCTAACTGGGAGGCACCCCCCAGTAGGGGCAGACTGACACCTCACACGGCTGGGTACTCCTCTGTGACAAAACTTCCAGAGAAACGATCAGACAGCAGCATTCGCAGATCACGAAATTCCGCTGTTCTGCAGACACCGCTGCTGATACCCAGGCAAACAGGGTCTGGAGTGGACCTCTAGCAAACTCCAACAGACCTGCAGCTGAGGGTCCTGTCTGTTAGAAGGAAAACTAACAAACAGAAAGGACATCCACACCAAAAACCCATCTGTACATCACCATCGCCAAAGACCAAAAGTAGATAAAACCACAAAGATGGGGAAAAAACAGAGCAGAAAAACTGGAAACTCTAAAAAGCAGAGCGCCTCTCCACCTCCAAAGGAACGCAGTTCCTCACCAGCAATGGAACA
This sequence comes from Homo sapiens, assembly GCF_000001405.40. Taxonomy (NCBI): domain Eukaryota; kingdom Metazoa; phylum Chordata; class Mammalia; order Primates; family Hominidae; genus Homo; species Homo sapiens. Next base: position 179,386,888 of record NC_000002.12, read on the forward strand.
AAGCTGGACAGAGAATGACTTTGACTAGTTGAGAGAAGAAGGCTTCAGATGATCAAACTACTCCGAGCTACAGGAGGAAATTCAAACCAAAGGCAAAGAAGTTGAAAACTTTGAAAAAAATTTAGACGAATGTATAACTAGAATAACCAATATAGAGAAGTGCTTAAAGGAGCTGATGGAGCTGAAAGCCAAGGCTTGAGAACTACGTGAAGAATGAAGAAGCCTCAGGAGCCAATGCGATCAACTGGAAGAAAGGGTATCACCTATGGAAAATGAAATGAATGAAATGAAGCGAGAAGGGAAATTTAGAGAAAAAAGAATAAAAACAAATGAGCAAAGCCTCCAAGAAATATGGGACTATGTGAAAAGACCAAATCTACATCTCACTGGAGTACCTGAAAGTGATGGGGAGAATGGAACCAAGTTGGAAAACACTCTGCAGGATATTATCCAGGAGAACTTCCCCAGTGTAGCAAGGCAGGCCAACATTCAGATTCAGGAAATACAGAGAACACCACAAAGATACTCCTCGAGAAGAGCAACTCCAAGACACATAATTGTCAGATTCACCAAAGTTGAAATGAAGGAAAAAATGTTAAGGGCAGCCAGACAGAAAGGTCGGGTTACCCGCAAAGGGAAGCCCATCAGACTAACAGCGGATCTCTCGGCAGAAACTCTACAAGTCAGAAGAGAGTGGGGGCCAATATTAAACATTCTTAAAGAAAAGAACTTTCAACCCAGAATTTCATATCCAGCCAAAGCTTCCTAAGTGAAGGAGAAATAAAATACTTTACAGACAAGCAAATGTGGAGAGATTTTGTCACCACCAGGCCTGCCCTAAAAGAGCTCCTGAAGGAAGTGCTAAACATGGAAAGGCACAACCGGTACCAGCCACTGCAAAATCATGCCAAAATGTAAAGATCATTGAGACTAGGAAGAAACTGCATCAACTAACGAGCAAAATAACCAGCTAACATCATAATGACAGGATCAAATTCACAAATAACAATATTAACTTCAAATGTAAATGGACTAAATGCTCCAATTAAAAGACACAGACTGGCAAATTGGATAAAGAGTCAAGACCCATCAGTGTGCTGTATTCAGGAGACCCATCTCACATGCAGAGACACACATAGGCTCAAAATAAAAGGATGGAGGAAGATCTACCAAGCAAATGGGAAACAAAGAAAGGCAGGGGTTGCAATCCTAGTCTCTGATAAAACAGACTTTAAACCAACAAAGATCAAAAGAGACAAAGAAGGCCATTACATAATGGTAAAGGGATCAATTCAACAAGAAGAGCTAAGTATCCTAAATATATATGCACGCAATACAGGAGCACCCAGATTCATAAAGCAAGTCCTGAGTGACCTACAAAGAGACTTACACTCCCACACATTAATAATGGGAGACTTTAACACCCCACTGTCAACATTAGACAGATCAATGACACAGAAAGTTAACAAGGATACCCAGGAATTGAACTCAGCTCTGCATCAAGTGGACCTAATAGACATCTGCAGAACTCTCCACCCCAAATCAACAGAATATACATTTTTTTTCAGCATCATACCACACCTATTCCAAATTGACCACATAGTTGGAAGTACAGCTCTCCTCAGCAAATGTAAAAGAACAGAAATTATAACAAACTGTCTCTCAGACCACAGTGCAATCAAACTAGAACTCAGGATTAAGAAACTCACTCAAAACCACTCAACTACATGGAAACTGAACAACCTGCTCCTGAATGACTACTGGGTACATAATGAAATGAAGGCAGAAATAAAGATGTTCTTTGAAACCAACGGGAACAAAGACACAACATACCAGAATCTCTGGGACACATTCAAAGCAGTGTGTAGAGGGAAATTTATAGTACTAAATGCCCACAAGAGAAAGCAGGAAAGATCCAAAATTGACACCCTAACATCACAATTAAAAGAACTAGAAAAGCAAGAGCAAACACATTCAAAAGCTAGCAGAAGGCAAGAAATAAGTAAAATCAGAGCAGAACTGAAGGAAATAGAGACCAAAAAAACCCTTCAAAAAATTAATGAATCCAGGAGCTGGTTTTTTGAAAGGATCAACAAAATTGATAGACTGCTAGCAAGACTAATAAAGAAAAAAAGAGAAGAATGAAATAGACGCAATAAAAAATGATAAAGGGAATATCACCACCGATCCCACAGAAATACAAACTACCATCAGAGAATACTACAAACACCTCTACGCAAATAAACTAGAAAATCTAGAAGAAATGGATAAATTCCTCAACACATACACTCTCCCAAGACTAAACCAGGAAGAAGTTGAATCTCTGAATAGACCAATAACAGGATCTGAAATTGTGGCAATAATCAATAGCTTACCAACCAAAAAGAGCACAGGACCAGATGGATTCACAGCCGAATTCTACCAGAGGTACAAGGAGGAACTGGTACCATTCCTTCTGAAACTATTCCAATCAATAGAAAAAGAGGGAATCCTCCCTAACTCATTTTATGAGACCAGCATCATCCTGATACCAAAGCCGGGCAAAGACACAACCAAACAAGAGAATTTTAGGCCAATATCCTTGATGAACATTGATGCAAAAATCCTCAATAAAATGCTGGCAAACAATCCAGCAGCACATCAAAAAGCTTATCCACCATGATCAAGTGGGCTTCATCCCTGGGATGCAAGGCTGGTTCAATATATGCAAATCAATAAATGTAATCCAGCATATAAACAGAACCAAAGACAAAAACCACATGATTATCTCAATAGATGCAGAAAAGGCCTTTGACAAAATTCAACAACCCTTCATGCTAAAAACTCTCAATAAATTAGGTATTGATGGGACGTATCTCAAAATAATAAGAGCTATCTATGACAAACCCACAGCCAATATCATACTGAATGGGCAAAAACTGGAAGCATTCCCTTTGAAAACTGGCACAAGACAGGGATGCCCTCTCTCACCACTCCTATTCAACATAGTGCTGGAAGTTCTGGCCAGGGCAATTAGGCAGGAGAAGGAAATAAATGGTATTCAATTAGGAAAAGAGGTAGTCAAATTGTCCCTGTTTGCAGATGACATGATTGTATATCTAGAAAACCCCATTGTCTCAGCCCAAAATCTCCTTAAGCTGATAAGTAACTTCAGCAAAGTCTCAGGATACAAAATCAATGTACAAAAATCACAAGCATTCTTATACACCAATAACAGACAAACACAAAGCCAAATCATGAGTGAACTCCCATTCACAGTTGCTTCAAAGAGAATAAAATACTTAGGAATCCAACTTAAAAGGGATGTGAAGGACCTCTTCAAGGAGAACTACAAACCACTGCTCAATGAAATAAAAGAGGACACAAACAAATGGAAGAACATTCCATGCTCATGGGTAGGAAGAATCAATATAGTGAAAATGGCCATACTGCCCAAGGTAATTTATAGATTCAATGCCATCTCCATCAAGCTACCAATGACTTTCTTCACAGAATTGGAAAAAACTACTTTAAAGTTCATATGGAACCAAAAAAGAGCCCGCATCGCCAAGTCAATCCTAAGCCAAAAGAACAAAGCTGGAGGCATCATGCCACCTGACTTCAAACTATACTACAAGGCTACAGTAACCAAAACAGCATGGTACTGGTACCAAAACAGAGATATAGATCAATGGAACAGAACAGAGCCCTCAGAAATAACGCCACGTATCTACAACGATCTGATTTTTGAGAAACCTGAGAAAAACAAGCAATGGGGAAAGGATTCCCTATTTAATAAATGTGCTGGGAAAACTGGCTAGCCATATGTAGAAAGCTGAAACTGTATCCCTTCCTTACACCTTATACAAAAATTAATTCAAGATGGATTAAAGACTTAAACTTTGGCCTAAAACCATAAAAACCCTGGAAGAAAACCTAGGCATTACCATTCAGGACATAGGCACGGGCAAGGACTGCATGACTAAAACACCAAAAGCAATGGCAACAAAAGCCAAAATTGACAAATGGGATCTAATTAAACTAAAGAGCTTCTGCACAGCAAAGGAAACTACCATCAGAGTGAACAGGCAACCTACAAAATGGGAGAAAATTTTCACAACCTACTCATCTGACAAAGGGCTAATATCCAGAATCTACAATGAACTCAAACAAATTTACAAGAAAAAAACAAACAACCCCATCAAAAAGTGGGCAAAGGATATGAACAGACACTTCTCAAAAGAAGACATTTATGCAGCCAAAAGACAAATGAAAAAATGCTAGTCATCACTGGCCGTCAGAGAAATGCAAATCAAAACCACAATGAGATACCATCTCACACCAGTTAGAATGGCAATCATTAAAAAGTCAGGAAACAACAGGTGCCGGAGAGGATGTGGAGAAATAGGAACACTTTTACACTGTTGGTGGGACTGTAAACTAGTTCAACCATTGTGGAAGTCAGTTTGGCGATTCCTCAGGGATCTAGAGCTAGAAATACCATTTGACCCAGCCATCCCATTACTGGGTATATACCCGAAGGACTATAAATCATGCTGCTATAAAGACACATGCACACGTATGTTTATTGTGGCACTATTCACAATAGCAAAGACTTGGAACCAACCTAAATGTCCAACAATGATAGACTGGATTAAGAAAATGTGGCACATATACACCATGGAATACTATGCAGCCATAAAAAATGATGAGTTCATGTCCTTTGTAGGGACATGGATGAAATTGGAAATCATCATTCTCAGTAAACTATCGCAAGGACAAAAAACCAAACACCGCATGTTCTCACTCATAGATGGGAATTGAACAATGAGAACACATGGACACAGGAAGGGGAATATCACACTCTGGGGACTGTTGTGGGGTGGGGGGAGGGGGGAGGGATAGCATTAGGAGATATACCTAATGCTAAATGACGAGTTACTGGGTTCAGCACACCAGCATGGCACATGTATACATATGTAACTAACCTGCACATTGTGCACATGTACCCGAAAACTTAAAGTATAATAATAATAATAATAATAATAATAATAATAAAAAGAAAACTTCAGGCCAATATCCTTGATGAATATAGATGCAAAAATCCTCAACAAAATGCTAGGAAAATGAATCCAGCAGCACACCAAAACAGCTATTCCACCATGATCAAATAGGCTTTATCCATGGGGTGCAAGGTTGGTTCAACACATGCAAATCAATAAATGTGATCTATCACATAAACAGAACTAAAAACAAAAACCACACGATCATCTCAACAGATGCTGATAAGGCTTTTAATAAAATATAACATCCCTTCATTTTAAAAACCTTCAAGAAACTAGGCATTAAAGGAACATACTCAAAATAATAAGAGCCATCTATGACAAACCCACAGCTTACATCATAGTGAACAGGCAAAAGCTAGAAGCATTCCTCTTTAGAACCAGAAGAAGACAAGGATGCCCACTCTCACCACTCCTATTCGACATAGTACTGGAAGTCCTAGTCAGAGCAATCAGGAAAGAGAAAAAAATTAAAGATATTCAAATAGGAAGAGAGTAAGTCAAACTATCTTTCTCTGCAAGTGGTATGATTGTATAACTATGAAATCCCATAGTCTCCGCCCAAAAGATCCATGAGCTGATGAACCTCAGCAAAGTTTTAGGATACAAAATCAATGTACAAAAATAAGCATTTCTATACACCAACAATGTCCATGCTAAGAGCCAAATCAATAATGCAGTCTCGTTCACAATAGCCACACACACACAAATACAATACCTAGGAACACAGCTAACCAGGGAAGTGAAAGTTCTCAACAACAAAAATTACAAAGCACTGCTGTATCAGGAATGACACAAACACATGGAAAAACATTCCATGCTCATGGATAGGAAGAACAAATATTGTTGAAATGGCCATACTGCCTAAGGCAATCTACAATTCAATACTATTGCTATCAAGCTATCAATGATATTCTTCACAGAATTAGAAAAAACTATTCTAAAATTCATATGGAACAACAACAACAACAAAAAAGCTCAAATAGCCAAAGCAATCCTAAGCAAAAAGATCAAGGTTGGAAGTATCACATTACCTGACTTCAATCTGTACTGTAAGGCTACAGTAACAAAAACAGTATGTTACTGGTACAAAAACAGACACATAGACCAATGGAACAGCACAGAGAGCCCAGAAATAAAGCCACAAACCTAAAACCATCTGATCTTTGACAAGTCAACAAAAGCAATAGGGAAAGGACTTCTTAGTCAATAAATGGTACTATATTAACTGCCTAGCTATATACAGAAAACTGAAACTGGATGCCTTTTTTACATCATATACAAAAATCAATTCAAGATGGATTAAAGACTTGAGTTTATAAAGTCAAACTATAAAAATCATTGAATAAAACCTAAGAAATGCCATTCTGAACATAGGCCCTGGCAAAGATTTCATGACAAAAATGCCAAAAGCAATTGCAACAAAAACGAAAATTGACAAGTTGGACCTAATTTAAACTAAAGAGCTTCTGCACAGCAAAAGAAACTATCAACAAACAATCCATAGAATGGGAGAACATATGTTTAAATTATGCATCTGAGAAAGGTATAATATCCAAAATCTACAAGAAACTTAAAAAAATTAATAAGCAAAAACCAAGCAATCCTATTAAAAAGTGAGCAAAGGACACGAACAGACACTTTCAAAAGAAGACATACAAATGGCCAATAAGCATATGAAAAATGCTCAGCATTACTAATCACTAGAGAAATGCAAATCAAAACCACAATGAGATGCCATCTCACACCAGTCAGAATGGCTAGTATTAAAAAGTCAAAAAAAATAACAGATGCTGGCAAGGTTGTGAAGAAAAGGGAAGGAATGCTTGTACACTATTGGTGGGAATGTAAATTATTTCAGCCACTGTGGAACGCAATTTGGAGATTTCTCAAAGAACTTAAAACAGAACTACCATTTGGGTACATGTCCCATTACTGGCTATATATCTAAAGGAGTTTATATTGTTCTATCATAAAGACACATGCATGTGTATGTTCATTGCAGCATTATTCACAATAGCAGAGACATGGAATCAATCTAAATGCCCATCGGTGGTAGACTGGATAAAAAAAATTGTAGTACATATATACCATGGAATACCATGCCGATCCTATCCTTTGCAGCAACATGAGTGGAGCTGGAGGCCACTATCCTGAGTGAACTAACACAGGAATAGAAAACTAAATACTGCATGTTCTCATTTACAAGTGGGAGCTAAACATTGAGTATACATGGACGCAAAGAGTAGAAAAATAGACACTGGAGCCTACCTGAGGGTGGAGGTTGGGAGGAGGGTGAGGATCAAAAAAGTACATATTGGGTACTATACTTATTTCCTGTGTCATGGAATAATCTGTACATTAAACCCTTGTGGCATGCAATTTACCTATATAACAAACCTGCACATGTACCCCTGAAAGAAAAATAAAAGTTGAAAAAAGAAAAATAACAATTATGATATGATTATTGTCTCATAAATAAAATCAGAGGGGTTAAGTGGCTTGCCCAAGGACATGGAAGTTGCCAATGCAGAGTAAAGACACCATCCTGGGACTGAACTTCAAGATCAGTGCTTTTTGTTTCTTTAAAATCGTCAAGGAAAGACTGGCCCTGACTTTATCTGTTCCCTACAAATAATTACCAAATTAAAATTGGGCAGAGACAACAAAGGAGACTAAACAAACTTTTCTTGGCTACCTTTTATTGCTTTGGGTTTCCTTTTCTTTTTCAGTGCTTAATGAAACTGAGAGTAAGGTCATGGAAGGAATTGGGGAAGGTCTCCAGCATGAGGCATTTAGAAGGCAGAAGTTACAGAAGGATCATTTGTGTGTCCCCATCTAGTGGGAGGGAGAGCCCTGGGCAAGGTATGTAGGGAAGGAGGATGGGCCCTTATGGCTAAGGGCCCTTATGGATAAGGATAGGCCCTTATGGACTACAGATGGACCAATATGTAATTTATGACCAAAAATTATTTTTAAATTGTTAGTTCAGCTAGAATCCAGGTTACATCCCTGAGGCTTGTGTGTATGCATGGAGTATTTCTTAAATAAAGAAATAATATTTAAAAATGAATGACAGCCAGATGCAGTAGCTCACGCCTGTAATCCCAGCACTTTGGGAGGCTGAGGAGGGTGGATCACCTGACGTCAGGAGTTTGAGACTAGCCTGACCAATGTGGTGAAACCCTGTCTCTACTAAAAAAAAAAAAAAAAAAAAAAAATTAGCTGAGCATGGTTGTGGGTGCCTGTAATCCCAGCTACTTGGGAGGCTGAGGCAGGAGAATTGCTTGAATCTGGGAGGCAGAGGTTGCAGTGACCCGAGATTGCACCATTGCACTTCAGCCTGGGTGACAGAGCAAGACTCTGTCTCAAAAAAAAAAAAGAAGAAAAAAGAATGATTAAATTCAGGTTCCATTAAGGTTTCTTACACAGAGATTAGGTAAGCAGGTAACCAAATCAATAGTTGCTTTACTTTCCATAATCAGATAGTCAAGTAAGTTGAATGGAAAAAACTCAGTCAATCATATAGAATAACAACAACAAAATCAGTATTGGATTCAAGAAAAGTTCTTTTTTGAGAACAGTTGGGCTAAGATAGCTTAAAAGAGCTGAGGAGTTAGAGGTAAAAAGATAAGAAGTATTGATTTCAAAATTTTTTGGCCAAATTGTTTTGGTCTGGTCATTTATCCAGAGGGCAACTGTTTATTTTTACAGAGGTTTCTGGGGAACAGGATGTTGAAGGGATCAGGGTAATGGAAATAAATCATTATTTTTTTGTGTTTTCCGAGGAATATAATATAGCATGCATGGACTTCCTCTCCTGAGAGTGTAGCATCATGGCAAGAATTTGCCAAGTAACTCTAATTTTGCCACATAATTCACCGACTTAAACATATCATCCCACATCAGATCCTCCAAAGTAACCTAAAGGATTTACAGCTTTTTCTGTCTGAGGGATTTAAAGTATTTTCTGACCTGAATTCCTAGTCTATTGAGGATTACTTTGATGATTTCTTAAAAGTAGGATTTGTGTGCCTAAAAATCCACAAGATTTCAAGAGAGCTAACGAATTCTCTGGGCCCTCTTAATTACAGAGTGCCCAGGTGCTTTGCTGGCAGAGCCAGCAATCATACAAATATTAAATTAGAATCTTATCAGAGAAACACAGAAAAGGAACTAGTGAAATTAAGACTTTAGCCAAAAATACTCAATGAAATTATAATGCTGGCATCAAGAAAAGCATTTTGTCCTTAAGTGTTTAGAATTTTGTCTGTATAGACACCAACCAAAGGAGTTTGTCAACATAGCTTGTCTTCATAGCTCTAATATAAAGCTCAGGTTAGTGAAATAGGTATCAAAAGATTTGTGTATCACCTTTTTTTTTTTGAGGCTGGAGTGCAATGGCACGATCTCAGCTCACTATAACCTCCCCCTCCCAGGTTCAAGAGAGTCTCCTGCTTCAGCTTCCCAAGTAGCTGGGATTACAGGTGCCCGCCACCATGCCTGGCTAATTTTTATATTTTTAATAGAGATGGAGTTCCACCATGTTAGCCAGGATGGTCTCCACCTCCTGACCTCTGGTGATCCACCTGCCTCAGCCTCCCAAAGTGTTGGGATTACAGGTATGAGCCAACGTGCCTGACCCCTATCACCTTTTCAATTTTGTTGTTTTTGAAGTATTTATGAAATAAAAATCCATAATATATGGAGATGGTTGGAAAATTAAAAAGTACCATAAACTTAAAATGAAAAATAAGTCCCAGACCCTTCATGTCTTTCTACCCAAAGACAATTTTTTGACTTTTTTTTAGTGGTTTCTTCTATTCTCAAGTCCTTATTTCTAAATCAGAAACATACTTATTTTCTCAAGTTATTAATTTTAGGCATTTGTCTCCCTTATACCACCTTACTCCTCCTCCTACCATTGCCTATTATATGTCAGTATTTTTTAAATTGTCTATACCTAGTATAAATTCATTATAACTATAAACATACTATTTATTGTGGGCCAAAATCATATATATACATATACATACATATACATATATGTGTATATATACATATGTACATATATGTACATACATATATATGTGTATATGTACATACATATATATGTGTATATGTATATACATATATATGTGTATATGTATATACATATATATGTGTATATGTATATATACATATATGTGTGTATACATATATGTGTATGTACATGTGTATATACATATGTACATATATGTACAAACACATAGATATGTGTATGTACATACGTATATATGTATATATGTATATATACACATATACACATGTACATACACATGTATGTACACATATACACATATACGTATATACACACATACGTATATACACACATACGTATATACACACATGTATATATACACACATACGTATATACACACACGTATATATACACACATACGTATATACACACACATATATACACACATACGTATATACACACGTATATATACACACATACGTATATACACACATACGTATATACACACATACGCATATACACACATATACATATATACACACATACGCATACACACACATATACGTATACACACACATATACGTACACACATACGCATACACACACATATACGTATATACACACATACGTATACACACACATACGTATACACACACATACGTATATACACACATACGTACACACACACATACGTATACACACACATATACGTATACACACACATATACGTATACACACACATACGTATACACACACGTACGTACACACACATATACGTATATACACACGTACGTACATACACATACGTATATACACACGTACGTACATACACACATATACGTATATACACACGTACGTACATACACACATATACGTATATACACACGTACTTACGTACACACATATACGTATATACACACGTACGTACGTACACACATATACGTATATACACACGTACGTACGTACACACATATACGTATATACACACGTACGTACGTACACACATATACGTATATACACACGTACGTACGTACACACATATACGTATATACACACGTACGTACGTACACACATATACGTATATACACACGTACGTATATACACACATATACGTATATATACACATGTACGTATATACACACATATACGTATATATGTGTGTATATATACATACATACTATGATACATTCCCCCCCTTTTCAGTAGTGTTTTTACCTTATCAAATTTTTTCACATATAATACTTGCTACCCATGTATTCTCCCCACACTGCCCAAGGAGTCCTTCAAAATGCTCCATGATATCCAGTATTCTACTGAATAGCTTCTCCATAAAGATACCCAGTTAAGGTCTCTCTGCCCTCTCACTCAACTATGGGCTGCAGAGTCAGTGATCTGGGGCTCCTCTTGGCTGTACTATTGGGTTGGCTCCTCTTTTGGTTTGACTTCCTGACTTTACTGGAGTCTATTCTCCAGTAGAAGGGTGGTTCCCTTTGGAAGGGCGCCTGGAAGGTAAAGTATACTCTGCGTTATGTATACGTCTTCATTCTGTCCTCATTTTCAAATAAAAATGTGGGACTGAAAATTATTTTGCCCCATCAATCATTTTTTATGTGTTACTCCATTGTCTTCTAACTTACAAAGCTATCTCTTTTATAAGTCAATGCCATTCTCAGCCTACAATCTTTTTAATGTGAGCTAAGGTTTTTACCTGGAGATTGTAGTGTCTTCTCTTTTCCTGTTGATGTGCACTGATGTGGGTCTTTTTCTAGTCAATGTGTTAGGAATTTGGTGCCCTCCCATTTTTTCCTTTACAAGTTTTAAAAATAGCTTTACTAAGATATAATTAACACAGCACACAATTCACTCCTTTAAAGAATGTAATTCAATGATTTTTAAGTATATCCATGGCTATCTGCAACCATCACCAAAGATAAATTTATAACATTTTATCACCACAGAGAACCCATACCCTTTAGCTCTCAAGCCCCTATTCCCTATCCTCCTCATCCCTAAGTAATTACAAATCTACTTTATATCTCTATAATTTTGTCTTTTTGGGACATTTCATGTAAAAGAAATCATATAATTTGTGGTATTTTGTGACTGGCTTCTTTCATGTTTTTAAATTCTGTGTTGTAGCATATATCAGTACCTTATTTTCTTAGGGCAAAATAATATTCCATTAAATAAATATACCCTATTATTTTATGTCATAAACCCATAAGTGAGTTTATTTATATCAAATGAAGATTGTAGCCTGGATTGATACAAAGCAATAAAAAGCAATACTCCAACCTTTTTCCTGTCATGATCCTCATTGCTTAACGTGGACAACATTAAAGGCCTTGTACCCTAAAGGAAAGAAGGCAGAGGTTATGCAAAGCAATTGAATGTAGGTAATTGCTGAGGCAGGTGGTTAGTAATAAGTCCGGCCTATATTGCTTGAGGGCAAGCAGCCATTGGTGATTCCTAAAATGTCCATTGGTGTTAACATAATAGTTTAGAAATAAATAGTGGGAAGCCTCACAGGCCAAAGAAAAGGTATTTCATCTGTCCGGAGCGTCTCCCAGCTAGAGTGTGGGATGAGGTTTTTAAAAGTGCTCAGCTCTAACTGCAGTGGGCTCTCAGTCAGATCCTATTGATGAGGTTCAGAATGAAGCAAGATAAATCCTTAGCAATAAAGGTAATTCTTCACGAGTGATGAACAACTTCATGACTAAAAAGTAGTTTTCCAAAGTCCCTTTGCGACAGAGTCCAATGATGTGGCCAGAGGCTCAGTTAAGATGGATCCAATTTCCTTTTCTTCATGTCCTGGCCCTTCCTATGAGATTCCCAGTTTCCTGTTATGCATTGGTCAGTGCTGTAAGTTTGGAGGTCTCAAGGTCCAGATTTTGCTTGTGGTTTCTGACAGCAAAGGCTGTGTGGAGTCCTGTTCTGGGTCACCATCTGGTTGTTCAAGGCTGGTGTGTCAGAGGTCTGGGGTGGTTCTTCTCTAGACAAGGCTTGACCACACCATCCCCTGCATCTGGAGTCACATCCCACATTTCAGAGTTGTCTCCAAGAGTCTCCTCACTCTTCTCAACTGATGGGGAAAAGGTGTGGACTTGCTGTTTCTCCATCTGCTCCCAGAACTGCTGCAGCAGCTGCTTTTGCCAGAACTTCTGCTGGTTCGTGGCCTCTCTCACCAATAGTGGATGAGCTCAGAAGTCAGGAAGCTGCAGTCCTTGTCCCCCTGAATCACAACGTGGCTTGATCTGCAAGGGGAGGTCACATCTTGAAGCTGTGGGTATCCCAGGGCCATGTTCAGTTGGCAGCTGTTGTATCTTGCCTCTTCCACAGATGGTTCAAAATCTTGTCTCTTTGCTTTAGTTTAATCCACTTCAAGAGGCAGCTGGCGTGGAAGCTTGTTTAGTGACCTCAAGTAGTCTCTGTCCAGAATACAATTTCCAAGTGCGTTCCGAAAACTCCTGGGGGCTTGCTTTAGCCCGTCTGTCACCGCCTCCTTCCTTGCCTTCTCCAAAGATGAGGCCTTGGACTTGAGGCCCTAACACCATAACCCACAACTTCATGATATGAACCATCCTACAACTGGACCCTCACAAATGCACAGACTCCCATGTAGAACTTGCCATTGTTTAGGTCAACAAAATCCACATTCTGCTGCGTGATGGAGTGTGCCCTGCCGTTGTAACCAAACATGTCATTGGCCAGATTAATTACCCAATGACCCTCAATGTAACACACCTTCTGGCCTCCTCCAGTCATGGGCTACTTATGTATTCTGGGCCCAGCCTCTGCCTCGGGGCCTTCTGGATGGCCTGGTACTCTTCTGCTGTGTACTGGCACTGTCCAAAGCACACCAAGCTGCCATGAGCAGCAGTATGGCTGTCACGCTCTCCAAAAATTGCTTCCTCAGTGCCAGACATCTTGATTCTGGTTGACCTCTCTGGCACTGCACAGTGCATGCAGGTAGCTCAGTCTCCCCTATTTTGTTTATCCACTCACTTGTTAATGGTCATTTAAGTTGTTTCCACCTTTTGGCTGTTGTGCACAGCGCTCCTATGAACATCCATCTATACATTTTTGTTTGAATATCTGCTTTCAAATACTTTGTGTATAAACCTGAGTTTAATTGCTGGGTCCTATGGTAATTCTATGTTAAATTTATTGAGGAACTGTCAAATTGTAGCTTAGAGTGGCTGCACCATTTAAATTCTCATCAGCAAAGTACAAGGGTTCCAATTTCACCATATCCTTACCAACACTTATTTTTTGTTGTTTTAAAATTATTATTATAGCTATCCTAATGGATGTGAAGTGGTGTCTTATAGTTTTGATTTGCATTTTCCTAATCATTAATGATGATGAGCATCTTTTTTTATGTGCTTGTTGGACATTTGCATGTCTTCCTTGAAAAGATATCTATTTATGTCCTTTGCGTCCTGTTTCTTTTTTTTGTTGAGTTATAAGAGATTTTAAAATATGTATTATTGGTACTACATCCTTATTAGACATACAATTTGCAAATGTTTTCTTCAATTCTGGAGATTGTTTTTTCATTTCTTGATAGTGTCCTTTGATATACAAGAGTTTTAATTTTTAGGAATTCAAATTTATCTTTTTTCTCTTTAATTTCTTGTGCTTTTGGTGATATGAGAAATCACTGCTAAATAAAAGGTCATGAAAATTTATGCCTATTTTTACCTCTAGGAGTTTTAGCTCTTATGTTTAAGTCTTTGGTCCATTTTGGATTTTTTTAAAGATGTAAAGTAAGGGTCTAACTTCATACTTCTGCATGTAGCTATTGAATGGCACTGGCACCAATTGTTGAAAAGACTATTATTTTCTCATTCAATACTCTTGGCATCATTGTCAAAAATCAGTTGATCACAGACACACAGGTCTATTTATGAACTCAGAATTCTATTCCATTGATTTGTATGTCTATCCTAGTGCCAGTACCACTCTGTCTTGATTACTGTTGCTTTGTAGTAAGCTTTGAAATTAGAAGGAATAAATCCTCCTACTTTGTTAGTCTATTTTAAGATTGATTTGACCCTTCTGGGTTCCTTGAAGTTCAATGTGAACTTTAGATTCAGCTTGTCACCTTCTACAAAGAAGCAGCCCAGAGTCTGACAAGGATGATGTTGAATCTGTAGACTAATTTGGGGAGTACAGCCATCTTGCATTTTTAAAATTCATTTATATCTTCTTTAATTTCCTTCAACAATATTTTGTAATTTTGAAAATATGTGTTGCACTTCTTTTGTTAAATTCATTACTAAGTGTGAATTACTTAGTGGCCTCTTACAACTTGGAGACATATCCTTCTGTTGTAGGAAATTTTATCATTATTATTTCTTTGACCATTTCTCTTCTTCCATTTCCTCTGGTCTCTTTTTCTGGAACTCATCTTGGCTGAATGTAGGACTTCCTAGCTTGAACCTCTGGACTCTATTGCTTTATCCCTCTCTTTTAAAAAAAAAAATAGTTTCTTTGTTTTACTGTGTGAGAGTTTTCCATGACTCTATCTTCCAACTCTTTTATAAAATTTCTCATTTTGATGATAACATTTTTAATTTCTAATAACCTTAATCTTTCTTATTCTATATATTTTTTCTTATTTTATGCATGCATTATCTTCTTATCTTTCGATGATTCTAATTACAGGTTTTTAAAAAGTTCTTTTTTTCTTCTTTGCACCCTGTTTCTCCTGTATAGTTATATATATACACACAGCGCATATTATATAGGCAGTTGTCTATGGTCAACTGATTTTTGACAATAATGACAAGAGAATGCATGGGTGTGGGTGTGTGTATATACACATACATAGATATGTATACATATATATAAATACACCCATATGTATACATACATATACATGGATATATTAATATATATATACATATCTATGTATGTAGATATATACCCTTATGCATATACATAGATATATACATACATATACATACATAGATATATATACAAACACACAAATTTTTTTATAGAAACCTCCTCTCTCCTTCTTGGGACTAGATATTCAACTTTTTTTTTCTCCTTCCTAACTCATAGTTTCTTTAGCAACATCATACAGACAGAGAAGCTATGTAAACATTTAGAGATGCAGGCACCAAGTAATGAAAGAAAGCATTTCTATACATAAAACATTACTTATGCCTGTTTTTATTTTTTACATTAAGATGTAAACATTCTCTTATCCTAAATAGCTGGTGAAAAAACAGAAACAGAAACAAAAAACAAATTAAGGCTTTAAAAATAACTGGTAAGAAATTTCCAAGTGTTATTGCTGAATGTATCCAAACACCAAACATTATTAAATATAACTAATCAATTCAATGATAGGGAGGTAGCTCCTGACCAAAGGGGTAGGAGCTATAAAATATCAATACATAGCAAAATCACAATTAACCAGAATGTTCCAAAGCTGGAAACCACCATTCTCAGTAAAGTAACACAGGAACAGAAAACCAAACACCGCATGTTCTCTCTCATAAGTGGGAGTTGAACAATGAGAACACATGGAAACAGGGAGGGAAACATCACATGCTGGGGCCTTTTGGGGGGTGGGGGGCTAGGGGAGGGATAGCATTAGGAGAAATACCTAATGTAGAAGTTGGCTTGATGGGTGTAGTAAACCACCATGGCATGTGTATACCTGTGTAACAAACCTGCATGTTCTGCACATGTATCCCAGAACTTAAAGTATAATAAAAAAAGAAAACTCTTTAACTATTAGTTTAGAAAACCTTTCTAAATTGAACCACTTCACTTTCCTGGCTCAGTAAGTACAAAATGCCAAACACAATTCAATGTTGTTTTGATGATTTAGGATCATGTGATGCCTGGGGCATCTCCTAGAATATTCATAATTTCTGTGCAGCTTTGTTAGAGGCATAAAACTGGAATGAACTACAGTTTCTTGTTTTAAATAACTCTCTGATATCATGAGCTTATTGTTTTTCTTTTACCTCATTTTCCTAAAAGGAGGATGCAGACAAAGATTGTAGTTAAGCAAGATTTTATAGTTCTAGACATATCCACATATTCCAGTTCAGGCAGTACACTGCACAAAGATGTAATGAGGATGGGGTTTGGAGGAGCTATGTGCAGCTTGTAAATTAATTCTCTATTACCAACCCCATATCCTACCCCTTCCTCTGCCAGTCTGATTGTCAGACCTTAATGTTTCTCATTCAAATTCTATAGAGAAAGAATCCCAGTCTCCTGACTATGCATTATTGAAGGTATCTGCTGCATGGGAATTAAAGACTTCTGAAATTCTGCTTATCAGCAGTCGGGGGGATTGACCACTCCACACAACTTCAACCCATATCTTTTTTTACAGCTCCTCACCTTATCCCCACCCGCAGCCATGCCAGGTGATGCAAAGTCCTTTCAGATGTCACTCTCTGACCACACCTTAGGCTTTGGCATCTTCCAACAACATGATTGGTTCTCTTCTTCTATTGTTTTTTTGCCTTCCAGAATTGTGTTGAGCTCTCTCACCCTTTACTTCCTCCAATCCCATAATTTTTTAAAAATCAGTTTATTCCTTCATTTTAGTGGGGTTTGGAGAAGGACAAGAGATAAACATGAGTGGGCAACTTGGTGTGTTTCACAGAAATCTTACACCTCTTGTGTTACTACTTGGGAAATTGCTTCCTTACCACTTCCATCTGTTCCAAATTCATGGGGTGCTACTGAGATCATCAATTGCAAGAGGCTTCTTTCTGACTGCAGAGGTGGGCATGTAACTCGGGGCTAGTCAGTCACAGACTCTATATATTTGCCACATGATTTTTTTTCAGGTGTAGTTATGAAGGGATAATCAGAGTGCTTGGGGCTGGAGGAAGCATAACCTTTTATCTAAAGATCATAAAAATGTGACTGGTACGCAGTTCTGGAGCTGCCAGATGTTACGTTATCTCCACGTGGAGAAAACCTGTCAAGGGGAGAGAATGATGTCAAGCTGAAAAGAGGAATGGGTGGACAACTAGAATATGGAAAACTAGTAGTTGAAGTTCTGGAACTCAGCCATGCCTGAGCCTAGCTTACCTCTGAAACTTTATAGAAATGAGCAAACAAATACCTATTTACATTTAGACAAGATTGAAACTGGTTTCCATTTCTAGCAATCTGGTGTATCTTAACTAAAGCAATCTTGTTCTAATGGACACAAATGTAGGATTTTGTTAGGAATATCTTATTGAATGCAAATAAAAATTTTTAAAACAAAATAAGATATTGGAATGCTTCATACAAAACCAACATGATTCAAAGTGGTCAAAGCATATCATTGCTTTCATATAAATGAAAAGTCAAGGGATTGATCAAGCATAACTGGATCTAGGTATTCAAAAATATCTTTAGAATCTGCCTCTCTTACTCTCTTTGCTCTGTTCTTTTCTGTGTGGTGGCATCATCCTCAGACAATCTCTTCCTGTGTGGCAAAGTGGCTTCCATGAGCTCCAGTCTTAAATACTACCAACCTAGAAAACCCCGAAAGAAAGAAAACTTTCTTTTTCCAGATTAATTCAGCCATGGTCTTGTACCTATACCTGGACCAATTGCTATGACTGATAAGTGAAGGTGGTGGAGTAGGCTCTGCCCAACAACATTGACACAGTCAGATTTGGTTCTGAATGGAGTTAGAAAAAACAATCAAACCTGGCATATGAGGATTAGAGATGGAAAAAAAGAATGAACTGATAAATGCCTTATAGAAAGGATATCAAGAAAATGATGATAAAGTAGTAGAAAGAACAAAGTGGTGGCCAAAAAGAAAAAAAATAGGAGAAAGCAGAAATGCTGGGCTGAGGTAACTCCCACATGGAAGTTATAAAGAAAGCAAAAAGAATTTTGCATGGAGAATACAAATAGGTGAGAACTATAGCCTTGCTTGGGCATGTGTTTAAATGTATTGAATGGAGAAAATGCTTTAATGAAGGGTAATTTCTTCTATCACATGCATATATAAGCTTCTCTCATCTACCCAGAAGTGGATAGTGAAGTAAATTTATAATTATATTTGCTGATCTGTCCAAGTACTATATAGATGAATGATGGCAAACTAGGCAAATTATGAACTAAATCACAATTTATTTGTAATAGAGAAAGGAAATATATTCATTGAAAGAAAGGGGTAGATATTTTCAGTGCTCTAGAAATAGAGTTCTAATTAATTTATAGATTTAAAAGGCCACTCTGACTCAGCCTCATAATTTGAGTAATAAAACTCTTCTAATAGCTTTACAGCAAATTTATAAAATAAATGAGCAAACTTAATCAAACCACAGTGCTTGGTCAATACAAGCATTTCTGTTGTTAGCAATTTTACTCTATCAATTCAGAAATTTAGCAATGAATTTGGGTGGACGCATGCCTCATATTCCATGAATATATTAGCAGGATCTTCATAAATGCATTCTCTATAGTAAATTGAGAAAGGCATATGCTTAGTGATCAGCTGAAGTGAAAAAATATTCTTTCATGTTTTTTGTAAAATAGACTTCATTTTCTAGAGCAGCTTTACGTTCACAGAAAAATTAAACAAAAGGTACAAAAACTTCCCGTATGTCCTCTACCCTCACACATACATAGCCTTCCCTATTATCAACATCCCCCACCAGAGTGGTACTTTTGTTACAACTGATGAACTTACATTGATCCATCATAATCACCCAAAGTCCATAGTTTCATTAGGGTTCACTCCTGGTGTTGTACATTCTACGGGTTTGGACAAATGTATAACAACGTGTATCTATCATTACATTATCATTCATTACATTACATTCTATCATATTGAGTAGTTTGAAACTATCATACTGAGTAGTTTCAAATGCCCTAACCATTCTCTGCATTCTGCCTATTCTTTCTCCTTTTTCCTAATAGTGAACAACAATTTCCTTGAAGCCCCATAGAGATATGTATTAAATTAATGTTTTAAAAAGTCTATAGGATATGTATTATATATAAAGGAACGTTTTGCCATTTCAAATTATTTCAGTTGATTAGAACAATATATAGAAATGTCTTCTTACAAGTTTTATGTATCTGTGGCTTTAAACTGGAAACATTTACAAAGGCAGACATCGTTATTAATTTATAATATACATGATAACATTATAGACCAGAAAGATACTTTAATTGTAACCCATAGTCTAGAGTTTCCCTGAAGAAATAGGCCCAGACTATGCAAAGGGGCTATTCACAGTGAGGGAAAGGTGCCAAGATACCCTGTGTACCCATTAGGCTCTGGTGGGGCTGACCTCATCCATATGTACCTGAAATTTATTACATAGGTGGAAAGTTGATTATACATTATTATGAGGTCATGGCTTCTTTGAAAATCTGACAACAGTTGTAGACCTTCCCCCAAGCAAAATGCACATAATGCATGTACACACATAGTGTATATAATTTCAGGAGTTTTGTGTTCTCCCTTTGAAGGTCAGCTATGAAGCCCAGAAGTTTTGTATCAGAGTAAGTCCCTTTGTATACTAAACAAAAGAATTCATATTTCCTCTAGAATATGTGTTGAAATGAACATACAAAACATACCTAAGAGAACACACACATTTATGTATTAACTTGGGAAGTCACTTGTGTAAGAATTTAAATAATTTTATTCATGAGAGAATTTCCTATATTAAAATGAGTTAGAAAAGGAGAAAAAAATCTTTACTTACGAGGTGGCTGGGATGTTTACCTTTACCTTCACGGGTCAAGGGCAAATGGAAGGTGGTGAAGCCAACCAAGTACTCCTGCTATCCTAAAGAGTTTCAGCCTATGAGAGTAAAAGACCTGCAGAACGTTGATAAGAACATGCAGAGATTTGGGAGTTGGGACTTTAGAACAGGAGAAAGAGTTTAGTAAAGCATCTGTAATCCATGTGGAAGGTATTGAGAGGGAAACAAAAGGGAAGGAGAATTTGTAAGATGTTTACAATACATAGAGGAGGCACTAAATGTAAATTTTATATAACAACTTTACATAAATCTGTCAATTTTTAGTAAAGCTAAAAATGCAAATGTTCTACAAGTCAGTATATTCACTCCTGTAGAATTCACGTACACATACACAAAAACGTTCATAGCAGCATTGTCAGCAGTAGCAAAATATTGGAAATACCATAGATATCTGTTGATGTGAGGTCTTAGTGTTTTGTGTTAATATAACAGAATATCACAGCCTGGGTAATTTACAAGTAATAGAAGTTTATTTGGCTCACAATTCTGAAGGCTAGCAAGTCCAAGATTAAGGATCTGCATCTGATGAAGAATTTCTTGCTGCATTGTAAGACGGTGGAAGACATTGCATGGTGACACAGCATGTGAGAGAGAGAAGAGAGAGAGAAAGAGAAAGAGAGAGAGCGCCAAACTCATTCTTTTATAAGGAACCACTCCCATGGTAACTAACCCATTCCCATAACAGCAATAATCCATTCATGAGGGCATCTGTTCATCACCTCTGAAAGATTCTACTTCTCAACACTGTTGCATTAGGGATTAAGTTTCTAATATATGAACTTTGGAAGACACATTCAAACCATAGCCTATGAGAATAGATAAATAATTGTGAAATGGTCATAAAAAGGAACACTATACAGTAGTGAAAATTAGTGAGCCAGAGCTACATATTTTAACATGACTGAATCCAAAAACATAGTGTTGAATAAAATGAAGCAACTTAATGTGGTACTATATGCATTCACACAAACACATACACACACATATATGTGTATATATATATTTTAAACTTTATATGTATATAAAGTTTATATACATATAAAGTATATATAAAAATATAAATATATAATATTTATATATATTATATATATAAAGTTTAGATATATACAAAATTTATATATACATAAAGTTTAAAATATGTATAACCATGCCATTAAGGCTATTTAAGAATATAGTAAAAGAATAAAGAAATATATGGAAATAATCAATACTAAAATTATGAAAAGGGTTATTGCTGGGAAGAAGAGAAGGGTATCCTATTTGAGGTAGGTACTCAGTGGCATAACCTCTATTAGCACTTTTTTCTTAAGATGGGTAGTGG
The DNA here is from genome assembly GCF_000001405.40 of Homo sapiens. Taxonomy (NCBI): domain Eukaryota; kingdom Metazoa; phylum Chordata; class Mammalia; order Primates; family Hominidae; genus Homo; species Homo sapiens. Next base: position 179,409,040 of record NC_000002.12, read on the forward strand.
GGACATTTGTGTTTGTTGCATTATTCTTTGTTCCTGTATATATATCTTATTTTATAAGAAGGATTCAAAACATTAAAATTAAAGGCAAACTAGCACTCAAAAGACTGAGTGAGTATTAAAACATATTAAAAAAGAAAATTCATTGATGAAACTTCTACCAACACGGTGATCTACATTAACATAGATGAGGTCTTCATAATATAACCCATAAAAATGTTTGATAAAAGATACACTTAAAACATTTGTAATATATAATCAAGCTCAAAATAAAGAGAAATCTGTGTACCAGATGAAAAGAGAAAAATCAAAACTAAAGCAGTGAGCAAAGACTGTAACCAGACTGAAGCTTCTGCTGGGATTCTAATGCTTCCTTAGAGCAGGTGACATGGCCTCAGTCCTGAGAAGATACAGAAAATGGAACTGACACTGCTGGATAAATGTTGGATCTTGGATGTACTGCCCTATTTGTTAAAGGGGGACCAGAAAAACTCTGCCCTTGACTGGGAGAAAGAGTGAAAATGTTTTTATTTGTCCTGTGTTTTCAGTAGAAAAGAAGTCATGTATTAGAAATTATAACCTCAAGTTTGTACCACACTTAGATATGGGGTATACATTTGTAGTACTTCATGGCTTGGGAACTCACAGCGGAGAACATAACATAAAAACATAGTTGAATCTTTGAAATCTATTGGGTTCTAGAAGAAACAAGTGTAAAACTATTCTGTAAGATACTTTCATGACAAAAGAATTCAATAATAATAATAATAACTCCTTCTGGAGATTATCTCACAATAAAAAATATAAATGACACACAAAATAAATTAGCTGAGCATCAGCAAATACAACAAACAAGATAATTAAGACCTTGAGAATTGCAGATACTAATCCAAAAAGAATTAACATAAGACTTTCAAAATACTTAGAGTTAAAAAGGAATAGGAACTATTGTGAAAAAGGACACTATGAAAAAGAGAAGGGGTTGATTTTTGTTGTTTTTTTTTTTTTCAGAGACAGGGTCTAGCTCTGTTGCCCAGTGATGGACATGTTGCCCAGTGATGGATAGAGTGGACAGTAATACTGTATCACCCACCATGGGGCAATAGTGTGGTGCGTGGAGCCTTGAATTATTATTATTAATTAAAATAATTTCTTTAAAAATATTTGTATCTTAATATCATCTGTGAATAAACAATTCATTTTCTTAATTTCCAATCCTTATTTGTTTTTATTTATTTTCTTCCCTTACTGTGCTAAAAGAGGACAATATAGGTGGGCTAGGAAGGGGTATCTCAATGTGCAAGAACCCAAGCATCATGTTGAATAGAAGTGTTTATAGTAGTTATCTTTTTTCTCAATACTGATTTTTAAGTGAAAAATTTATAAAATTTCTCCTTTGAGAAAATTTATCCTTTAAGAATGCCATTGAGTAGTTTTTGGTAGATACAATTTTTCAGATGAGGAAGTATATTTTTTACATGAATTTTCTAGTATCTGGTTGTTTTCTAGCAGGAGGAGACTTTAGATTTATCTAGTTAGTGAGAATGCTTGAACATTCATTTTTTTTACCCAAACTCCACACTCACCTAGTTCTGAAGAAATCGATATCATTCATGGAAGGAAAGAGGAAGTTGGTGACTTAACTGCTCTTATAATTAGAAGTTTCTGGCCAGCCCCACTGCTGGGTACTGGATCCCCTAGACACTTAGCGGCTCTTGCAGTGTTCAGTAATTGCTATTTGGGACTTTTTTGTTTTTTCAAAAAGTAGCATGCTAGGGACTGGAGAAGTAGACTTACAGTGGACAGTAGAAACATCAATAAATGATAAGTTGTGGAAACTGCTGATGATTGAGAAATACTGCCAGTTAAATGAGGGTCTAAACTGCCTGGTCTATGGCAAAATACTTCACTGTTCTAGAGAGAGCGTAGGTTAGAGTAGGCAGTTACTGCAATTCATGTATGAAATTAATAACCAAACTTGAAGAAATATTCCATCTAGATGTTCAGCCTGGAAAAGCTACTTTACTCTATCATCCACCAGGGGGCAATAGTGTGGTGCTTGGAGCCCTGAAGCTCTTGAATGCTAATGTTGAACCGCGATTTGGGATCCAGGCAACAGAGCCATCTTGAAGCACAGCCAGTGAGGCCGGTATTCTTCCTCTCCTATTAAAGTGGGGCTCCCAGGTAGGTGTCTCAACACTGACCAGGCTGACAGTGGGGCACGATGTGTCACAGGGGGATCATAAGTTTCTCTACCACTCAATAGGCATTTTTCAAACTCTTCTGTGGTTGAGACAGCTTCGGTAATCATTCTTGAGCTGCACAGAACTTTGGAGGTGGGAAATAGCCCCAAGTTTGTCTCAACTGTGGTGAAGAGTGACATGACTTAAAGACAAAATGGAGTCACTTTCTAGACAGGACTTGTAAGGGGCCAGGATTCGATCCTTACGTTTGCTCCCTGGGAAGTCCCCTTTCTCCCAGCTCCCAAGTTTGTGATGGGTTAGGCACACTCAAGAAGAGACCTGCTCACTAAGTAGAAGGTCTACTTAGTGACCTTCAAACAAAGTAGAAGGGAAGAAAGGAGAGGAACATGAACAGATGTAGCAAACTTCCCTCTCTGAAAAGAACCGGAAATATTTAACTGAAAGGCAGAGTATTTTTTTTTTAAGGTGGAGTCTCACTCTGTCTCTCAGACTGGAGTGCAGTGGCACGACTTGGGCTCACTGCAACCTCTGCCTCCCAGGTTCAAGTGATTCTCCTGCCTCAGCTTCCCTAGTAGCTGGGACTACAGGTGTGCACCACCACACCCAGCTAATTTTTTGTATTTTTGGTAGAGGTGGGGTTTCACCATGTTGGCCAGGCTGGTCTTAAACTCCGGACCTCAAATGATCCACCCGCCCCTGCCTCCCAAAGTGCTGGGCTTACATGTCTGAACCACTGTGCCCGGCCTGAAACACAAAATGTTTAATTACCTGGATGTTGGAGTTTTAGGCTGGGAGTAAGGTTGGTTATCTGTTAACCCCCACAGCAGGTATGACACAGGACAGGAAGATGTAGATGGGGGAAAAGGGGGTATCCCCATGCGCAGCAACAGAAGTGCCATGAGTATCTCACTACACACCCACTGGGGTGTAGTGGATATGAGATCAAAAGGTGTGTTCACATCCTTGTTACAATAACGCTAAGATGTAAATGAAGGCATTTAACCTACTCTTAAACAGGTCGATGACTTCAGCCTTTCAGCATTAATTTTGTGTTCTACTGCTTACTCATCTCCCTTGGTTGCTTTACCCTCCCCCTTCTCCAATTTCTCAGTAACAGCTGAAACTTGGTGCTTGTGGAAAGATAAAAAGCTCTAGGTTGGTTGAATAAATAAGAAAATAAACTTTTGTCACAGTTAGAATAGTTCAGATTTTAACAAGCCTGGCTATATTGTGTCTGGGGCTCAGGGCAATAAGAATGTGGGCCTCTTGCTCAAAAGCAGGAAAGATTTCCATTGAAAATACTAATATATAAAGCTTTTCCTTTTGAAGTAATTTTATTAATTATGATACCCAATAGGGGTAATCATCATTTTAAGAAAAATTTTAAGTTATTAGCATAAATTTAACTATTCAACTTGATATTATGCAATGCCAGTTTTAATAAGTGTATTTAACTCATTTGCAGAATTACCAGTATTTTGTAGTTCGTGTATGCATATGTGTTTAATTCCTGCCTGAACAGTTGAAATACAAAAAAAATTGCTCTATTCACTTCTTGTTACACACACATTCTGCCAACATTCTATCTTTGACTCACTGATGAATAAGAAATATCTCAAAGAAAAAGAAACTTTAGGTTATTCTATCTTTTCCTTTAAAAATATTTTTAGGCCGGGTGCAGTGGCTTATGCCTGTAATACCAGCACTTTGGGAGGCTGAGGCGGGCAGAGCACGAGGTCAGGAGATCGAGACCATCCTAGCTAACATGGTGAAACCCTGTCTCTACTAAAAATACAAAAAATTTTAGCCAGGCGCGGTGGCGGGTGCCTAGTAGTCCCAGCTACTCTGGAGGCTGAGGCAGGAGAATGGCGTGAACCCAGACGGCAGAGCTTGCAGTGAGCCAAGATCGCACCACTGCATTCCAGCCTGGGTGACAGAGCGAGACTCTGTCTGAAAAAAAAAAAAAAAAAAAAAAAAAATATATATATATATATATATATATATATATATATATATATATATTTTTTTTTTTTTTAATGTAAACTTTAGCTAACACAGGGAAGTAATGTGAATAAGAAAGGATATGATAGCATTCTTTGGATATTTGTGTTTTTAGATTAGTTATTTGGATTACTTTCTTTGTTTGAAGCAAGTTCTGGTTTAAATTAATAGCACGGACTCTCAGGGTCCCCACTTACTCTTAGAGTCTTAGGTGTGTTTATATAGAATGAGCATGAATTCTGGTAAACCCACAATGGATGTGAGTTCAGTAATAGTATATTATTGTCATGTTAATTATATTCCCTGATTATGAAGAAATATATAGCATATTTTCATATGCTTATTGGCCATTCAAGTATTATTTTCTCTGAATTGCCAGTTTATAAAATTTACCACTCTCTCCCTTTTTCTTTTTTGCCTGATGCTGAGGTTTGGGCTTCCAGTGATCCTATCACTCAAGTAGAAAACATAGCACCTGGTAAGTAGTTTTTCAAACCTTCCCCAACTCCCTCACCTCTTTCCCCCTTTTGGAATCCCCAGTGTTTATGTTTCCATCTTTGTGTCCATGAGTACCCAATAGAACAACTTCAAATGAACAACTTAACCTTACCCCTAAAGGAACTAGAAAAACAAGAACAAACTAGATTCAAAGTTAGCGGAATAAATAACTAAAAATCAGAGCAGAACAAAATGAAATTGAGAACCAAAAAAAAAAAAAAAAAATAGGACCAACAAATTGAAAGTTGGTTTTTCGAAAGGATAAGCAAGATTGATAGAGCACTAGTTAGATTAATAAAGAAAAAAAGAGGGATGATTCAAATAAGTACAATCAGAAATGACAAAGGTGACATCACACCAATCCCACAGAAATACAAAAGATCCTCAGAGACTATTATGAACACCTCTATGCACACAAACTAGAAAATCTAGAGGAAATGGATAAATACTTGGAAATACACAATCCCCCAAGACTGAACTAGGAAGAAACAGAAATCCAGAATAGACCAATAATGAGTAATGAAATTGAATCACTGATTAAAATAAACTACCAACTACAAAAAGCCCTGGACAAGATGGATTCATAGCCAAATTTTACTAGACGTACAAAAAGAGCTGGCACCAATCCTACTTAAACTATTTCAAAAACTCAAAGATGAGACTCCTCTTTAATTCATTCAATGAAACCAATATCATCCTAATACCAAAATCTTGCAAAGATGCAACAACAACAACAAAAAAGAACACTTCAGTCCAATATCCCTGATAAACCTAGATGCAAAAATCCTTAACAAAGTACTAGTAAACTGAATCCAGCCTTCGCACATCAAAAAGTTAATTCATCGTGGTGAAACGATCAAGTGAGCTTTATTAGTGGGATGCAAGGATAGGTCAACATGTGCAAATCAATAAATATGATAAACCACATAAACAGAATAAAAAACAAAAACTGTATGATTATTTCAATAGACGCAGAAAAACATTCAGTAAACTCCAACATCCCTTCATGGTAAAACCCTCAAACTGAACATTGATGAAACATAACTCAAAATAGTAAAAGCCATCTATGACAAACCCATAGCCAACATCATACTGAACAAATACAATTTGGAAGAATTCCACCTAAGAACAAGACAAGGATGTCCACTCTTACTTCTTCTATTGAATATGGTACTGGAAGTCCTAGCCAGAGCAATCAGGTAAGAGAAAGAAATGAAAGGCATCCAAATAGGAAAATAGGAAGTCAAATTATCTCTTTGCTGATGATATAATTCTATACCTAGAAAACCTGAAGATTTCACCAAAGGACTCCTAGACCTGATAAATGACTTCAGTAAAGTCTTAGACTACAAAAATCAACATACAAAAATCAGTAGCATTTCTATACATCAATAACATTCAAGCTGACAGCCAAATCAAAATTGTAATCCCAATTAACAAAAAATAAAATACCTAGGAATACATCTAATCAAGGAGGTGAAAGATTTCTACAAGTAGAACTACAAAACACTGCTGAAAGAAATCATAGGCAACACAAACAAATAGAAAAAATCCCATGCTTATGGATTAGAATAATCAATATTTTTAAAATGTCTATACTACCCAAAGCAATTTATGAATTTGGTGCTATCCCCAACATATTACCAAAGTCATTTTTAGAAAAAACTATTCTAAAATTCATATGGAACCCCAAAAGAGCCCAAATAGCCAAGGCAATCCTAAACAAACACAACAAAGCTGGAGACATCACTCTACCTGACTTCAAATCATACTACAAGGCTACAGTAACCAAAACAACATGGCACTGGCACAAAAATAGACACATAAAACAATGGAACAGAGTCGAGATCACTGAAATAAAGCTGCATTCCTACAACCAACTGATCTTTGACAAAGTTGACAAAAATAAACAATGGGGAAAGGATATTCTATTCAATAAATGGTGGTGGGAAAACCAGCTAACTGTATGCAGAAGAATGAAACTGGACCTCTACCTATCACTGTATAAAAAAAAATTAACCCGAGCTGGAATAAAGATTTAAATATAAAACCTAAAACTGTAAAAATTCTAGAAAAAAGTAGGAAGTAGGAAATACTCTTCTAGACACTGGCCTAGGCAAAAAATTTTTGACTAAGTCCTCAAAAGCAAATGCAACAAAAACAAAAATTGAAAATTGGGATCTAATTAAACTAAAGAGCTTCTGCACAGCAAATGAAATTATCAATAGCATAGACAGACAACCTACAGAATCGGAAAAAAAATATTTACGAAGTATGCACCCCACAAAGTCTAATATCCAAGGCTGGGCATGGTGGCTCATGCCTGTGATCCCAGCACTTAGAGAGGCCGAGGCAGGAGGATCACCTGAGTTCAGGAATTTGAGACCAGCCTGGCCAACATGGTGAAACCCCATTTCTACTCAAAATACAAAAGAATTAGCCAGGTGTGGTGGCGCCCGCCTGTAATACCAGCTGCTCAGGAGGCTAAAGCAGGCGAATTGCTCGAACCTGGGAGGCGGAGGTTGCAGTGAGCCAAGATAGCTCCACTACACTCCAGCCTGGGTGACAGAGTGAGATTCAGTCTCAAAAAAAAAAAAAAAAAAAAGCCTAATATCAAGAATCTATAAGGAACTTAAACAAATCAACAAGAAACAAACAACCCTATTAAAAAGTGGGCAAAGGACATGAACAGATATTTTTCAAAAGCAGACATATAAGTGGCCAAGAAATATGAAAAAAATAGAGACCATCACTAATCATGAGAGAGATACAAATAAAAGCCACAATGAGATACTACCTCACACAAGTTAGAATGGCTTATATTAAAAAGTAAAAAAAAATAATAATAATGATAACGGGTGTTAGCAATGTTGCAGAGAAAAGAGAACACTTATACACTGTTGGTGGGAATGTAAATTAGTTCAGCCCCTGTGGAAAATAGTTTGGAGATTTCTCAAGGAAATAAAAAGAGAATTACCATTTGACTCAGCAATCCCATTACTGGGTATATACCCAAAGATAATAAATTGTTCTACCAAAAAGACACATGTATTTGCATATTTATCACAGCACTATTCATAATAGCAAAGACATGGAATCAACCCAGGTGTCCATCAATGATGAAATGGATAAAGAAAATGTGGTACATATGACACCATGAAATACTATGCAGCCATAAAAAAGAACAAAGTCATGTACTTTGCAGCAGCATCGATGCAGCTGGAGGCAGTTATTCTGAGTAAATTGATGCAGAAACAGAAGACTAAATACTACATATTTTCACTTCTAAGTGGGAGCTAAACATTGGGTACACATGAACACAAAGGTAAAAACAATAGACACCAGGGATCCCAGAAGGGGGAAAGGAGAGAGGGAGAAAAGGCTTGAAAAACTATCTATCAGGTATCATGTTCATTGCTTGGGCAATGGGATCATTAGGAGCTCAAACCTCAGCATCATACAATATACCCATGTAACAAATCTGTACAAGTATTCCCTGAATCTAAAATAATAAAAAAAATTTAAATAAAATAATCTCCTAAAAATGTTATTGTGGTAGAAAATCTCCAAATATAGCTGCTGGCAATTCCCCCACTCTTGTATGTTGCCCCTCACATCAAGAAGCTGAGTCTACTTTTTCTCCCCTTGAGTCTTACAAATAAGATGTGCTGAAAATAATAATATTCTAGGACTTCTAAGACAAGTTCTTAAGAGTTCTGGCAACCTCCGCTTTTTTTTCCTTTGGATCCCTGCCACCATGCTATAAGGAAGTATAGGCTGGACTAATAAATGATTAGTGGCTACAAGGAGAGAAATGCTAGGGGTGGAAGAGCATCTCAGATGTCAGCCCCAGTCCAGATTCCAGATAAATGCAGGTTCAGTAGCTGACATCATGTCATGCAGAACAAGCCAGGTGAGCCATGCAAATTCTTGACTCACAGGATCATAAGAAATAACAAATCATGTGGTTTTAAACCATAAGATTGTGTTTCACAAAAATAGATAATTAAAGTTATAATAATTAACACAGCATGGTACTGACATAAAAGCAGACACAGATTAATGGAACTGAATAGAGAGCCTAGAAATAAATCCATGCATTTATGGTCAATTGATTTTTGACAAAGATGCCAAGAACACACAATGGGGAAAGAACAGTTTATTCAATAAACAGTCCGAGGAAAACTAGATATCCACATGCAGAAGAATGAAACTAGATCCTTATCTCACACCATATGCAAAAATCAGCTCAAAACAGATTAAGGATTTAAATGTAAGACCTGAAACTGTAAAGCTATTAGAAGTAAACATAGGGGAAAAGCTCCATGACCTTGGTCTAGACAGATTTTTTTTGGATATGATCCCTAACATGTAACATGTTTGCACAGATAACAAAAGCAAAAATAGACTGTTGGGGGTTGCATCAAACCAAAAAATCTTCTGTGCAGCAAAGGAAACAATCAACAGAGTGAAGAGAGAACTTACAGAATGGGAAAAAATATTTGTAAACGATAAATCCGTTAAGGGGTTAATATCCAAAATATATAAGGAACTCAAACAGATCAATAGCAAGAAAATGAAAAATCCAATTAAAAAATGGGCTAAGCACCTGAATAGAAATTTCTCAAAGAAAGACATATGAAAGACCAACAAGTATATGAAAAAAATGCTCAACATTACTAATCATCAGGGAAATGCAAATTAAAACAATGAGATATTACATCATACCTGTTAGAATGGTTATTATCAAAAAGACAAAAGAATTACCTAGGCATCGTGGCATGTGCCTGTAGTCCTAGCTACTTGGGAGGCTGAGGCAGGAGGATTGCTTGGGCCTAGGAGTTCAAGGCTGCAGTGAGCCATAATCATGCCACTGTACTCCAACCTGGGCCATGGAATGAGACCTTGTCTCTTGAAAACAAACAAACATAAAAGACAAAAGATAGAAAGTATTGGTAAGGATGTGGAGAAAAGGGAACACTTGCATACTGTTGGTGGGAATATAAAGTAGCACAGCCGTTACAGAAAATAGTATGAAGGTTCCTTTAAAAATTAAAAATAGAGCTACCATATTATCTAACAATCTCATTGCTGGGTATATGTTCAAAGAATATGAAATCAGTATATTGAAGTGATATCTGCACTCCCATGTTTATTGCAGGATTAGTCACAATAGGCAAAATATGGTATCAACCTAAGTGTTTATTAATAGGTGAATGGATAAGAAAATGTGGTATATATGCACAATGGAATACTATTCAGCCTTTAAAAAGAAGAAAATCCTGTCATTTGTGACAACATGGATGAATTAGGAGGATATTAGGTTGATTGAAATAAGCTGGATGCAGAAAGCTGAATACTTACTTACATGTAGAGTATTAAAAAGTCTAACTCATTGAAACAGAGAGTAAAATGGTGATTACCTAAAAATGTTATTGTGAACATTTTTACGCTGGAGGGGAGGGGTACTGGGGAGCTGTTTGTCAAAGGACACAAAATTTCAGTTAGGTAGGAGGAATAAGTTCAAGAGATCTATTGCCCATTGTGGTATTAACTACAGTTAATAGAAAACCCAGAAATAACACCACATGCTGCAACTATTTGATCTTCAACAAACCTGACAAAAACAAGCAACGGTGAAAGGATTCCCTGTTCAATAAATGGTGCTGGGATAACTGGCTAGCCATATGCAGAAGATTTAAACTTGACCCCTTCCTTATACCATGTACAAAAATTAACTCAAGATGGATTAAAGACTTAAATGTAAAACCCAAAACCATACAAACCCTGGAAGATAACTTAGGAAATACCATTCAGGACATAGGCATGGGCAAAGATCTCATGACGAAGATGCCAAAAGCAATTGCAACAAAACAAAAATTGACAAATGGGATCTAATTAAACTTAAGAACTTCTGCACAGCAAAAGAAGGTATCAACAGAGTAAACAGGCAACTTGCAGAATAGCAGACAATTTTTGCAAACTATATATCAGACAAGGGTCTAATATCCAGCATCTATAAGAAACTCAAACAAATTTACAAGAAAAAAATAAACAACTCCCTGAAAAAGTAGGCAAAGAACATGAACAGACACTTTTCAAAAGAAAACACACATGCAGCCAACAATCAATGAAAAAAAGCTCAACATCACTGATCATTAGAGAAATGCAAATCAAAACCACAATGAGATACTATCTAAGGGTCAGAGTGGCTATTATTAAAAAGTCAAAAAATAACTGGTGCTGGTGAGGTTGTGGAGAAAAAGGAACGCTTATACACTGTTAGTGGGAGTGTAAATTAGTTAAGCCAATGTGGAAGACAGTGTGGCAATGACCTCAAAGACCTAAAGACAGAAATACCATTTGACCCAGCAATCCCATTACTAGGTATATACCCAAAGGAATATAATTTGTTCTGTTGTAAAGACACATGAACACATATGCCCACTGCAGCACTATTCACAATAGCAAAGACATGGAATCAACTTAAATGTCCATCAATGATAGACTGGGTAAAGAAAATGTGGTACATATATACTATGGAATACTCTGCAGCCATAAAAAAGAAAGACCATGTCCTTTGCAGGGACATGGCTGAAGCTGGAGGCTATTATCCTTAACAAACTAATGTAGAAACAGGAAACCAAATTACCCATGTTCTTGCTTATAAGTGGGAGCTAAATGATGAGGGCACATAGACACAAAGGGGAACAACAGACACTGGGTTCTATCAGCGGGTGGAGGGTGGGAGGAGGGAGAGGATCAGGAAAAAAACTAAGGGTAGTAGGCTAAATACATGGGTGATGAAATAATCTGTACAACAAACCCCCAGGATACAAGTTTACCTATAAAACAAACCTGCACATGTACCCCTGAACTTAAAAGATAAAAAACAGTCTTCTTAATTAATTTATTTTAAAATATTATGGTAAAATATATAACATAAAATTTACCATTCTATTTTTAAATGTATAGTTCAAAGGCATTAAATACAATGACATTGTTGTACAGCCATCATCACCATCCCTCTCCAGAATTTTTCATCTTATACAATTGAAACTCTGTATCCATTATACAATAATTCTCCATTTTTCTCTGTGCCCAACCCTGGGCAACTAACATTCTACTTTCTGTATGAATTTGAGTACTCCAAGTACCCTTACTTGAAGAATCATACAGTATTTGTCTTTTTGTGACTGGCTTATTTCACTTAGCATAATGTCTTTAAGGGTTTATGCATGTTGTAGCATGTGTTAGAATTTCCTTAATTTGCAAGGCTTAATAATATTTCAGTGTGTGTATGTATGTGTGTATACATTTGTATACATAAACCACATTTTGTTTATCCATTCACCCATCAAAGGATATGGGTTGCTTTCACCTTTTGGCTATTGTGAATAATGTTGCTATGCATATGGGTATACATATATGTTTGTGTTCCTGTTTTCAATTCTTTTGGATATATATACCCAGAAGTGGAGTTGCTAGATCATATGGTATTTCTATTTTTTAATTTTTGAGGAACTGACAAATTGTTTTTCATAGCAGGTATGTCACTTTACATCCCACCTGCAGTGCATAAGGATTCCGATTTCTCCACATCCTCACCAACACTTGTTATTTTCTCTTTTTTTAATAGTAGCCATGCTGACGCATTTGAAGTGATGTCTCATTGTGGTTTTGATTTGCCTTTCTCTGGAATATCATTTTTATGACCTTGTCTGCAATATTTGTTATTATTTCTTCTAAAGGATTCAGACATAGAATGTTAATGAGCATAGAAATAAAGATAACTACTCTATATGAGAAAATAAAAATGAATTTAGTATCAGACGACAAAAGCTTGAGAAAATTTTTTGTTTTGTTTTGTTTTACTTAGTTTTTATGGGAAAAAATACACAGAACATGATATGCCAGAAATAAAAGAAACAAAAATTAGTACCTAATTTATTATATACATGGAATATGCTGAGAAATTTCAACACGTTTAACACTTTGGTAAAAAGCATAGGCCAATCCTTATATTTTTGTGACTTTCCAAGGTATTAGCACTTAGTCTTTAGATACAAACCAAAGTATCCAAAGACTACGTAAAAAGTATAAGGTTATAAAGTAATGGTTACTATGTCCATATTAAAGGTATAAAATAATGGCTAATATGTCTAGCTTTAGATCAGGCTATTTGGGTTTGAATTCTAGCTCTATTACTCATTTAACTGTGGGACACTGTGAACTTAGTAAACCTCTCTGGGTTTTGGCCTTCTTCATCTAGAAATGGGTATGATAATTTTAACAATCTTATAGACTGTAGTAAAAATTACAAATGTCAATATATTTCAAATGCTTAGTGTAGTGAAGTTTCCTATTTTTTTATATTTTTTTATTTTTTATTTTTTTTTACTTTAACATGTGTAGGAGTGAGACCGAATTTCCCTTTTTTGCCCTTAGAGACAAGTTCCTTGCATTATGAGGCACAGTGTTGGTAGCCTCCAGGGGGCACCAGAAAGCTGTGAGTTTGCTTGCGTCCTGGCCGGCAGATGTTGATAGCAGATTTAGGAATAGAAGTTTACCTGGGTCCCGTTTTCAGTCCCATTATTTCTCATTACTATATAGACTTCCTATGTGGGTAATTTGAGAAAGAAAACAGTTTCAGGAGTTCCTGTTAATTCCGTTGGAGATCTCAGGAGCAGATAGGAAAATTACCACTCTCCTATGTTCTTATAAACTCAGTTTAACCCTCAAGAGAATAACCTGAAAACCTGAGGGCTCTAGGATTGCACCAAGGTTATAGAATCTTTTATCTCAGGGCCCTAAGGAGAAGAAATATGTATTATGTGCTAGATATTGGGTTAGATGTTTTTCACACAGTAGCTTATAAATTATGTGTTATCTTGTTTAACTAAAAAAAATAATGTAAGTAATTTGTCAAAGTCACATAGCTAATGAGTGCCAGAGACAACTAAAATCCAGGTTCAATTCCAAACCATGCTACCCATGGAATTGTCTATCATTCATTGGGCATAATTATGGTTATTTTTATTATATTCCCCGTAATGACTGAAAGGGAGATAATCTTTGCAATTCACAAATTAGATGATGTTGGTGTCCTTGGAAGTATCAAGGAATTTTGAGATACTCTAAAAACAGCTCTATTGAGAAAGGATACTGATTCTGGCTTGATGTTTATTAAAAAATGAATAGCTGAATGTTCTATGATTTACTTACAAGTGCTTGAGCCTATCCAAGTCACAGAAGTAGACTTGGCATGGCCTTATTTATCAGAACTAGGTCCCAAAAATTGTAAACCTCAGAAAAATTAGGATTTTTGTTTTTCAAACTCTTTGTGCAGTCAGTTGACTACAGTAAGGCAGTGCAGGTCAGGAAGTAATTATACCACTGTTCATGAGCTTCTGTTCAAACACCACTTGTTTTCCTCATCTCACATGTTGACCCAGAAATGCGTTTAAAATATATTAAAAATATAAAACCTGACCTAAAGTAACAGTCGATTTCTTGTCATGTGATAATGATGCTCAGGGGCCCCTTTTATCTAAGGATTTCATAGTGCTTTATACACTCATTATCTCACAATCCATCTGTTCTACTTCATTTTATAGCAAAAAGATGGAGGCAACACAGAAATCACACAATATGTTGGTGTAGTGGCTTGAAAGGAAATTATTCAAATTCTGAACGCTTAGCCTATTCATCCTGATTTAATATGAACTTACTGGATATGGAGAGCAAGAAATATAATGGATGCTCTTATTGAGAGCTTATTAAGTCCTAGATTCTGTACTAGCTGTACTAAATACATACAAAGATCCTATTAGATCATTTAGACCTTTAAGACTTCAATGAGGTAGAAACTATTATTATCAGAGGGAAAAACTGAGGACCAGAGAGGTTATGTGCCCTCAACTGACAGTGAGGGATGAAACTTGGATTCAAACCAGGAAGGGCGCATGCTTCTTACTCATTATATGACATATTGTCTCTCAACATAGCAAAAGGTCTTGGATTTTTAAACATATTAAAGCTTAATGGTTACAGGGAAAGCAATTTTTTTTTGCTCTGATGTGTCTGAAGCACTGTATCAGTTATGAATTCTTGGATGTAAGCTATAGAAATTGATCCTGGCTAGCACAAAGGGAAATGGGAATTTATTGGTAGGAGAAGACAGAACTACTTACAGAATCTAAGAAAAGATGAGAGGCTGGGTCTTGGGAAGGACAGTTTCAGGGATCTAGAGACAACAACTAGTGGGAAATGCTTTCAGGACACCACTGCCCAATGAAGGATCCCTAATTCTCTCCATTTCTCAAGCTCCAGTTTAGCAGCATGAACTTGGATCACATACCCAATGTAGCCAGTGGTGGCCTAGGCATACCTACACTACACAGATGGGGAGATGGAAGTCTCAGGTGATGGCCAGGTGCTGATTACCAGCATTAGTAATTAGGGGAAATGACTGCTAGGCAGGACATGCACTAAACAAGATATTCTTGAGAAATAATGTGTGATGTGAAGCAGGTGCTCAAGAGGATCTGGAGCGAGATGAGGCAGGAAAGCCAGAGAAAATAAATCAAATGGTAAATAAGGGTGCAATATAAATTGCTAATTTTTGAAAGAGAGTGGAACTAAAATGTCTTCATAGCTTTTGCAGCCCTGAAACTGTAAAAAATAAATAAATAAAATCTCACACGACTTTATGACAATATCAGGGAGCAGTTTTCCTGATGATGAATACGCCCTCATCTGATCCTCCACTCAGAATGAGGAAGTTCCAGTTGCTATGTGTAATTCAGCATCTAGAGATCCTTGTCTTTATAATATCATGGGCTGTGTGAGATCTAGGGCTGGTCCCAGGACAAACTGACCACTGTTGGTTTTACTTATTTTCAGTGAATTATCGGGAATCTAACCCTGCATTCAGGGCCCATTTTTCCTCAGCTGCTTTTTCATCTTAGTTCTGCATTACTAAAGACCATCACTGTTGGCTGTTTCGATCATTTGAATCATGTACTGGTATCTTCTTCCATTTCACTTTCTTTCTGAAACTCAGCTGTTTTTGGTTTCTTGTTCTCTGTCGTAGGTTCTCTCTGTTTTTCAAGGCAACAGCTAATCTAGAAATCTAGAAATTTTAAACACAATTCCTAACCTCCAAGGGAAAAAAAGAAAGTTAAATTGTAAACTCCTCTAAATGTAGGTCTTCTATTTTAAGCCCCCAAAGAAGACCAAGCTGAGCACTTATTAATTGCTCAGCAAGTCAATAAGTATGTTTGTAATTTTGGCCACCTCTCAGCTTCTCTGTTTCCTCATCTGTAGATTGTGATAAGATTACCTGGTCCTTCAGGTGCATTGGAAGGTGCATATGAGAATAATCACATTAAAATGCCTTGAAAAGTAAATGTTGTGTGTACAGTGCTTGTACTTTCTAGAAGCAGTACCTTCCCTATTGCCCCAAAGCAGTAAGTTATACCTTAGTCACCAAAGCAGTCACAGTGTTTGTTTCAGACAAAATAGGAAGAGAAAGAAACACTGATGCCGATAGAAGGATGAGGTGGTTAGTGGGACCTATTTGAAATAGGCAGCTTCTTAGTGACCCTTAAATGTCACTTTATAGGTGCTTAGCCATCTTACCTTCATGGAAGAGTCGGTGGGTTCCATAAATAAGTTGAACTATTGGATGGATTCTATTTATGAGCAAAATAAACTACTTAAGACACTTGGAGACATATGACTGGTACAAGTGGGAGAAAAGAATAGTTTCAAATGACATCTCAATGAGTATCAGCTTTAAACAGTATCTCAGCACACAACTAAAGGATGCCCTTAAGTTGGCCATCACAAATTCAAATTTGTTGACCATATTAAATTATTTCACAAGAGATTAAATGGAGTAAAAAAGATGTATAAGAAAAAAGCAAAAGAGGTAAATCAAATGAAAAATTAAAAGAAAGCACCAACTCACATATTAAGTTTTTAAATAAATACAATTAACATTTATATTTATTGAGCAGTTGTGATATACCATGCATTGTTCTAAGCTCATTGTATGCGACAATTCATTTAATCCTCATATCAATCCTATGAGGAAGGAATTATTATTGTCACTTACAGATGAGGAAACCAAGGCACAGAGAGGTTAATACTTTGCTGTAGGCCACACAGTAGGTGGTGGAACCAGAAGTTCCAGACAGGCAGTCTGCCTCCAGAACCTATGTTCTCAACCACTAAATAAGCTACATTAAAGTAAAGAAAGTGCTCTG
The DNA here is from genome assembly GCF_000001405.40 of Homo sapiens. NCBI lineage: Eukaryota > Metazoa > Chordata > Mammalia > Primates > Hominidae > Homo > Homo sapiens. The sequence goes on from NC_000002.12 coordinate 179,426,012, forward strand.
TGAGTATCAAAGATCCATACAAAATCAAGGTATTATGATCATGGTTATATCTACAGTACTATTTTTTTCTGAGACAAGGTCTTACTCTGTTGCTCAGGCTGGAGTGCAGTGATAGGATCATGACTCACAGCAACCTTGACCTCCCAGACTCAAGTGATCCTCCCACCCCAGCCTCCTGAGCAGCTGGGGCTATAGGTATGCTCAACTGGCTGATTTTAAAATTTTCTGTAGAGACAGAGTCTTCCTATGTTTCCCAGGCTGGTTTCAAAACTTCTAGGCTCAAGTGATCCTCCTACCTTGGCCTTCCAAAGTGCTGGGATTACAGGCATGAATAATATTTTTCAACAGAATGTACATTAGAGATAATCTAGCTGAAATCCTATTTTGCGTCTAAGGGAACAGGACGGGTTAACTGACTTGCTCAAGTTTACAGGTGACCTAAAGTAGAGTCTAAATTTGTTCTATTTTAGTCATTGAATATTAATTTGTTCTATTTAAGATATTGATAGCAGCACCCCTGCAACATCCCCCACCATTATATGGAAAGCATAGATTCTAATAATTTTGTTGTAATTCTGTTTTTTGCCAACACCTTTATAAGGTAGTTCAATACATTGAAAGAAACAAAATGCCAGTAGACTAGAAGAGGTAAATACATGAATATAGAAGCAAAAAGACAACAATCTCTCAAGTACTGAGCCTGCTTTTGGGTGCAGATATATTCCTAAGATTCAGCAAGTCAGTGCAGCTTCCTACCACTGGACCAGGGGGAACATCTGCATGTATTATCCAAGACTGCCTCCCACTCCCATCCCCTCCAACACACTTATCTACATGCCTAGCCCTTCAGTATTCTCACCTTGGAAACACAGCCACTTACTCCACCACCCTTCTCAGAGTTGTGTTCGGAGATGTCTGCCTCAAGGGATGCTTTCAGTGTTTAACCGTCATGACAATATGAAATAAATAAATGCTAAAAAAATAATTAGTTGTAATAAACTGAAGTTTTGAAAGAACTTTACTCCAGAAATGCCCCTGTATCTTAGACTAACATTGTCCAGTACCAAATCCCAAATAATGATGTAAAGGAGGTAATTATCAGGTATAATGTACAAATGAGATCACTGTACCATTATACTCACATTTGGTTGGCTTGGTGCAGGTGCCCTTGCCTGGGTGAGTCCCCAGCTCCCCAGGCTTTGGTGGGTTCTCCCAGAAGTGTTCCACATGTGTGGCACCTCCATGGCACGTGCACTGTCCCACCTCTCTGCTGGGCATAGATGTCCACTTCTGGTGGCTGTCCTACGAGTGCCTGAGGTGAAGTGGGGGAGACCAAATCTTTCTCCTTGGAATGAATCCAGACACAGGAGGCCAAAGCAGTGTCACTTGGTGGCCAGTGCTACTGAATTGAGAACAGTGGCCTCCTTTCTGTCCAGGACCAGACCTGCATCCAGGGAAGTGGGCTGGAGACAGGGTAGGGATGCTGAGCTATTTCCAGTTAATTCTTGAGAAGCAGAAACTCTAAGGAAAGTGTTTCCCTGAGTCCACAGAACCATCAGTGGTGATCCACAGATGGGTTTGCTGGAATCTGAGAATACATCTGGTGTGGTATAAGAAATTGAGTGTTGCAAATGCATAGGTAAATGTTTTCTGTGGTATTGGACAGGGTCCAATACCAATACTTTCAGCAGGTTCTCAAAGGGGTCTATGAGCCAAAAAGATTAAGGACTGTCTCCCCCTCCAAGGCTTTGCTATCAGGTTAAGCTTCTCAACCCATAGCTGCTTCCTCACTTGCCAGGGGTCCTTTGGGCCCTTCCTCTTTGGGACAGCTGACTGTGAGAGAAGGCCATTTGCTCTGCTCTGCAAAGAGATTCCTCCCTGCAAATTCTCCAAATATGCCTAAATATGCCTGAACCCAATAGAAAACTATGGCTCCAAAAGACATCCTTGCTACATGAGTTTAATTAAATTTAGAAAGGTAGGTTTGCACATCTTATTGCCAGCCCTCCTGCGTTTGTAGCAGAGGTTGTATTATCATTTTAAAACAGCCTTGGGGAAAAAATTCTTTTTCTTAGAGAGAGTGACAACTTATTCTGGGGAAATAGCAAGAGTGGTAATGGAGAGTGTTGATTTAATTAGTTTTACTGCCTATCTGCATCGCCTGGGAACAGGTAAAATAACTAAATAAAATGGTAGCAGTTCATCTTCGTGATCCCCACAATCAAGTCAGAAGGAACTTACTAAATAATGGAAGCCACTGTGCAAGGCACAGTTCAAATAATACTAAGAAGGTTTTAGGTCCCAGGATTCAGAGGCACACCTGCCATGGGCCCTCTGAAACCAAAGTCTAAAGGGATTGCACACACCGGTTTAAAGCAATAAAATGGCTCCTGCCTGGGAGAAGGCACCTTTATGTTGGAGTAGTTGGTGATGGGAGGGGGCAGAGGCCAGTATAAAATTTGGGAGGAAACACTATGTCGATAAGAATCTCATATTTCTATAGTTTGTATTGATTTGTACTTAATCCCACCCTTTCCCTGTTTTTTTGCTTTGAAGTGGTTCAGTTAATTAAATGGCTTGTTTACCTTTTCAGACTTATGTCCTAGAACATCCTATTTTCTTCCAAACATCTCTGGAGAAAGCAGGAAACTGCTTCCCACTTACTTGCAGGGGCAGCAAAACAACAGGCTTTCTTTTTCCTTTGGCTGTTTTTGTTGTAACAGTTCCCATCTGCTTCCTAGAGAAGAAAAAGAAAACTGCATTGCATTCAACACATGCTGGATCAAGGTTTCACACTGATTATTGAAATTAGAGCCAAGCGCATTTGCAATTGCTCCAGACGGGTCCCTTTATCGACTGAACTGCTCTTAGGAGGGAGCTGTGCCGGGAAGTCAAGCTTACCAGCGTCAAAGCTCTAGCAGCTAAAACAGTGCACCCCCTGCTCGTCGAAAATGACTCCTGATCTTCCTAAATGCCAAACTGGTCTTGTCTCTAAGGATTTTGACTTATCCTAAATTGTCAAGTTCCAGCATTGCCTAATAGCTTAGCTCCACTCCCTGTGTTTGCTTTTAATGAGCAGTATTTTACCTACGTCTCCAGATAGTGAGAGTAGGCGAGCAGGTTGCGTGGAATCAACACCGACTGGGACACCTGTGGATGACTGCCTCCTGCCTCAGTTACTAGCAAATCAACCCCCACTTCTGCCTCCCTGCTCGCGGAGGCCCCCACAGCAGCTCCACCTGTTTGGGGATGCCAGGCAGCTTACATCTACCGGCTTTATTAGTTGGCTGGAAACCTGCTCTCCCCCTCCAGGTCCTGGCACTCACAGATGATGGGTCTTAACTTCTGGGTGTGACGGTATGCAAACACGTGCACGGCATCCTTCCATTATCTGTTGGTTTCTCTCTTCAGTGGCTAATTTGCCCGGGGGCTCTGTAATGGGAGTCCAGGCATGGAGTTCTCGGTGAACAGGATTGCATTTCCGTCTGCAATGCATGTTTCCAGCTTTATTTTAGAAAATGTTCTAAGGGATGCAGAAAAGGGAATCACCCTGCATTTCTCTGAGATAGTCATGGCCAGAGCACAACATATTAGAGTTATCAGGGATGTCCCTAAATGAGAAAGCCCTTTGCCAAGGGTTTGTATTTGGCTAGCAAAATTCAAAAGAAGGAAAGAGAAAGGAGGGAGAGAGTCTCTGTCTCATAAAATATGGTTACTGTCCTGCTGTTGTCATGCTCTGTGTGAGGTTCCCCCTGTGGCTCACTTTATAGAATCTGATAATGGCATGAGGTTTCAGAAAGAAAACCAGATGACATCACCCCATGGAAGCAAAATTCACACTCAAAGCAGATAGAGATGATTTTTAACCTGTTCGAGATTTCAACAGACATCATGATTCAGAAGCATCTATGACTTTTTAGCATTAGTGTCTCCAGTCGTCATTTACTATTATTTATTAAATATGTGGGATCATCTTTCCCTACCTTCATCACCATAAAGATATAGCAAATGGACTAGGGTATCCAAATACTGCTATGTGATCAGAAAGCCATTTCATGAAAACCAATTCACGATTTTCATAAATTTAATACATGCCAATTTCCCAGTAGAATGCTGGTTACAGAGGCTGGTGGGTGGAGGGAATGGGGAGACGATGGCGAAAGGGTGCAAAATCTCAGAAGGAATACTGTTTTTTTCTTTTTTTTTTTTTGAGATCTATTGAACAGTGTGGTGAATATAGTTAATAATAAGAGTACTGAACATTTCAAAATTGCTAAGACAGTAAATTTTAAATGTTCTGACCATAAAAAATGTTACTTATTTGAGGTGACAAATATGTTAACTAGCTTGATTTAATTATTCCACATTGGATTTATAAATCATGAAATCACTTTGTACCCCATAAACTTATACAATTATAAATTGTTGATTTACAATAAGATATTCTTAAAAATTCCTCTGGTAATTTTTGGAGCCAACCATATAGGAATGTGTCAATTGTGGGAGTTAATTAATTTTTTTTGTTGTACTGCCATCAATGGTGGGACAGATTACTCTGTACCACTTTAGGAATTTTATGTTTATATAAATCATTTTAGCAGACTAGTTCCTAGAGTTTATTCTTTTCCATCAGTTTAGTAATTAATAAAAATGTTCTTCTTTCCAAGTCCTCATGGACACAACGCCAAATAAGAATGGTCTGGAAGCCCACACATGGGTAAAATTGGAAGATAATCTGATTAAGAAAAGCAAAAATCATTTAATCAAAATCTATTCTCCTCTCCCACCACTCACACACCTACTTACCAGGTTTATTTATTTTTTCCCCTGAGCTTGGGAGACACATTTTGCTCTCAAATAGAAGTGATCTGGGGCACCAAATGCCTCTGGGCTTTATATTTGTGGTCCTTCTTCTGCTCTGAATAACAGAGGGTTTCAAGCCTTTTGATGATTGTTAGGTCTGCTCATGAAGGTCACCTGGGGAGTCTCTTTGTTTTCCTGTCAATGCCAGGGGCTCATCATTTTAGATTAGGATTTAGTTGATCTAATGATGAGGGCATGGCTTTGATATTTTTTGGAATCTTCACAGGTAATTCTTAGCTAGGTTGAGAGCCCCTAGATTAAACTCATTTCAGCATTATCAGAAGGAGAATAAATCAGTTCAAGTTAAAACAAAGAGGCAAATGAAGGTAAAAGGAGCCTACTACCCCAATAACTGACTTTGCTTTCTTTGGGAGTCTTAATAATATCCTTCAGAGCCAGGTGGGAGTCTCATTTATTTCAGTATTCTTAGCACAGCACCTGAACATTTTATTTGTAGAATGAATTAAGAAGATTATGATTTATTTTCATGTTATAATAGTGATTCATAATAAATTTCCAGAAATCATTTATATGACATCCTCAACTTACAAACACTATGGAACAACGAAAAGTAAGAAAGAAAAGAAATGCTGTTGAGCAGCCAAAATAGATGTCAAAAAGACTAGGATGATTCTAGTACACTTTATTTCTGGGAGCATCCCTCAGGCTGCTCTGGGAGCTCTGTTCCTTTTTTACACACAGTTTTAACAGTCTTCTTCTCTGATTTCTCCATTCGTAGAAACTAAAAAGGGTAAAAAAATGACTACTTTGCAATTTGACACTAAAAAAATTATGCATTATAAAAGTAAATAGGGCCGGGCATGGTGGCTCACGCCTATAATCCCAGCACTTTGGGAGGCCGAGGTGGGCGGATCACAAGGTCAGGAGTTCGAGACCAGCCTGGCCAATATAGTGAACCCCGTCTCTACTAAAAATACAAAAATTAGCCGGGCATGGTGGCAGGTGCCTGTACTCCCAGCTACTTGGGAGGCTGAGGCAGAAGAATTGCTTGAACCTGGGAGGTGGAGGTTTTAGTGAGCTGAGAGCACATCGCTGCACTCCAGCCTGGGCAACAAAGCGAGACTCCATCTCAAAAAAAAAAAAAAAAAGTAAATAGTGGAACTCAGAGAATATTACAATCATGCTGGATACATGGAGATTATAAAAATAAACTCTTTGAATGAGTATCAAGTGAGCTTCTACCTAGTACCAGGCCCCAGTGTTCTTGCTCTTGAGATGCTTCAAGTGTAATAACATTATAAACATGATGCTGTCATCACTGCTGCTACTGCTGCTGCTTGGTTTTTGTTGTCCAAAACATTTCATAGTTTTTATTACTGAGGCCCTAGTTCAGGCCATTCTCATGGCCTCAGAACTCTTTCTCTGATACGTATAACTTCCTCCAATCCCTCTTTTATATTGCTTCCAGAAAGATCTCCCTAAATGCAAATCCCATCATATTAGTACCAATTAGAAACCTCTAGCAATCCCCACAAGCTACAGGATTTAGCATAGACCACTGTATAAGTCTCTTCATGATTGATCCATATCTATCTCCCAGCCTCCTTGTACCTCTCCTACTTCTCATTTCAAGCTCTATGAACTGCTCTGGTTCTCTCCATACACTGTACTATCTTCATGCCATGCTTTCTCACTGGATGCCTTTTCTTCTTGCCATTTTAGCTACCTGAATCTCCAGGAAGTTTTTCTCAGCACCTACTCAAGCCACACATATGCCAACCACCTAGCTAGGCTAGTTATCTTCCCTTTTATCTTACCATACATTGAAATAATGTTCATATGTGTTTACTTTCATGGTCACTTCCTCCTCTCCACTGCCCTTCTTCCTTTCCTACTTCCCAGCATTTTAAGAAACCAGAAGGTGGGAATCATCTGTTTACCATCTTTTCAGTGTTTGATATAAACAATAAGTGACAGTTGAATGGAACTAAATTAAAAGCTCTTTTCCATTCATTTTTCCATTTTTGTAACTCAGATGTCATGTCTCAGCAGGAGTCTCTGTACGTAGTTCACAAGCTCTGTGTTTTTACAAATGGTTTCCAGGATTTGGCCGTGGAATATGATGCTCTGACAGTGATACGGCAAAGTCATGGGGAGCATTGGAGATGGCATGAGCTGCCTGGGATAAATTTGTAAAAGTTTTAGTTTCTGTGAGCCTTGATTCCTTGTCTGTTTTTTGGATATGTGCAGTGCCTGACATGCCAAAGATAGAATAGCTAAAAATGTATTGAGCACTTACTATAATTGTTTTTATTTGATCTCCACAATACATTTTGGCAAATGCAAGGCAAGTAGTAGTATTCCCATTTTATAGAGGAGGACGTGGAGTCTCAAACTGGCTTAAGGTAACATGCCCGGTAAGTACTGGTTCTGCTGACAAAAACTTAGAAATTCTGATTTTTAGTTCATTGTTTTTTCCATGACTATATGACATCCACATATGTGCCACAAATTATGGTTTTAATGATGAACTTGACTCATCAAGAAAAGATTGTAGCCAGTATACCATGTTGCAAATGATATACTTGCTATAATATACTGCACAGGCAAGACCATAGGTAATAACTTTTAGAAAGTGTTCCAGCCAAAAGTTTAAATAAAACCAAGAGAAAAGAAGTTCTGAAGGGACTAAGATTCATGTATTATAAAAAATAAGCTTACACTGAACACCTTATCCCCTGAGTTATAAATCAAGTATTATTATAGCCAAATTTTAGTATTATTGTAGTAGATTTATTAAGAAATTAGGATAATAGGACAGAGAGGTTCCTTCAGTTGTGTTCTCAATTACTGATTGTCCTTTAGTTAAAGTCATGCTTTGCCTAGTCCATAATAGCAATGGGCAAATTTTAGAGACCTTGCATTGAAAGCCGTCTTCAGTAATCCTCCTGTTAGTTTTCTAGAATTGCTACCTAAGAACTAGCCTAAATCTTTCATAAATACCTAAAACCACTTTTCTTTTATTTCTATTCTTAAATTAGAGGTTATCTGGTTCCTTTACTTGTCTTGACTCACTGGGTCCTCTTCCATATTATAAACTATTTTTTTTTTGTTTTGTTTTGAGATGGAGTCTCGCTCTGTCACCAGGCTGGAGTGTGGTGGCACAATCTCGGGTCACTGCAACCTCTGCCTCCTGGGTTCAAGTGATTCTCCTGCCTCAGCCTCTGAGTAGCTGGGACCACAGGCACCCATCACCACACCTGGCTAATTTTTGTATTTTTAGTAGAGACAGGGTTTCACCATGTAGGCCAGGATGGTCTCGATCTCCTAACCTCGTGATCCACCTGCCTTAGCCTCCCAAAATGTTGGGATTACAGGCATGAGCAACTGTGCCTGGCCTGGTTTTTTTTGTTTTTTTTTTTTTTTGTTGTTGTTTGTTTGTTTTTTTAAAGTAAGGGCTATAAACCAGATTCTGTTTGTGAGGGGGAAACAAGTGAATTGATTCCCAGGGCATTAAAAAATCTTTATTTTTTACCAAAAAATATTTGGTTGTTTGAGATGGACCTCCTTGGAGCCCTAGTCTGAAGTTGGGTCTACTCAGTATAATCTTTGGAAATGTTTATTGCTTTAATCTGGGCCTCACATACAGCACTGCCTAGATGCGGCAGTATAATAGGTATCCTTTCAAATGAAGCTAATAAAGCTTCTTTAATCTTATGAGCTAGACTGTTCTGCCTTCTCCTGGTTACACTAGGGGGCACCTGCTATGATGCAGATTTCTGGGAGCCACTTACACCTTCCTGAATAATAATCTCTAGGGTGGGACTCTGGCATCTGCATTTTAATAATCTTTCCAGGTGATTGTTCTACACACTATCTTTGAGAATCTGTGATCCAGGTTGTATTTTGCACCTCAGTGACTAGTGGGTCAGTTTATGTTTTTTGCCTGTAGATGAAGCAAACAACCACCCTATTGAAAAGTTCTCGCGCTCTGGCCTGAGAGTGGTACTTTTGCACTCTTACTTGGTGTTCTGCTTCCAAACTGATTTCAGTGCTTAGCTGCCCGCTATATTGATTTTAAAATGGGCTCAGCCATGTTGGGAATTCTAAGAGTGAGAGTTAAAGCTAGCCTTTTGTTTTAACAAAGGCGTGAACTTGGCTACCAGCTATCCATAATGATACTGCCTCTCAGGAGAGACTCTTATTACCAGGAGCCATGAGGAAGAGTCTACTGATCTTTATCCTGAAGAGCTAGAAATCAAAATGCAAAGTGTTTCTTCACTAGAGGGTTCTCTTATTTATCATGCAAGCTTTGATTTTAACATTCAGTCTCATACGTGCCATGTGTTTATATTTAGTGGAAAGTGAAACCATCATTGGCATCCAAATTGTGAATTCTCTTAGGGAGGGCATCCGAATGGAATTCCGACTCCTTGAAGGAAAGAGAGCTTGTGTTTTACAACATCCTTTTATCATTTGAAACTTTTGGGTCCTGTAGGTTAAATGTTGTCAGTTGCTCTTCAAGGAGATTTTACCAGCTATTTGCACTCCTCTAGTCCGTGCTCTTTTCATGTCAGACAAATATGCCTAAGATGGTAGGCATCTCAAAGAGGAAAAAGAAAGGCTGCCTTTTTTTTTCCAGTTCACCAAACTATATATTTTATAGTACAAATGCACTTCCAATCAACAGTAAAAGACAAATGTATTTTATTCTAATAACAATGTCATTATTAGCATAAATAGGCACAATTTCTCAGTTTTTAAAAATAGAGCCATATGAAACTATGCCCTGGTTATACAATTCCCAAAAAACTGGTGCTTAGTTATAAAAAGCATGGCATTGTTGGGGCAAGAGAAAAGCCCAGAACCTAGGAGAAATGTGGGAAAAGTCCGTGTGAATGGCATTGAGAGTCATAGGCCTCAAGAAACCATTTACATTATTTAAGCAAATTGGGTGTTTCCTCTTTCATAGTAACTGTATTACAGTTTCTTAACTTGTAAGGAAAACAGAAAAAAAAAAAATCTGAAGTAACACTAAACGTCTTAACTTGCTTTTTATATTTATAACCAACCATTCTTATTTGATATTTATTATATGCTTATTTTCTAATTATAATTTCATAGAGTCCTTTGAAATTGTCACTGTGTCACTATAAGTGAAAAGTATATGTTTTTATTACAGTGGGACAACTGATTATATTTGCGTGATTCTGAAACAGTGACATATTCATTGTAAAAAATTCAAACTGTACCAAAAATTATAATCAAAATATAAAGCCATAGAGAAATCTACAACTCAAGGGTAACTTCTTTTATCAGTGAGGATTAACCACTTTTATCAGACATCTCTCCATGCATAAATACAAACACGCAGGTGTAGTTTTAAAATTTAGGCCAGGTGCAGTGGCTTACGCCTGTAATCTGAGCAATTTAGGAGGCTGAGGCAGGCGGATCTCCTGAGGTCATGGGTTTGAGAACAGCCTGCCCAACATGCCAAAACCCCTTCTCTACTAAAAATACAAACAATTAGCCAGGAGTGGTGGTGGGTGCCTGTAATCCTAGCTACTTGGGAAGCTGAGGCAGGAGAATCGCTTGAACCCGGGAGGTGGAGGTTGCAGTGAGCCAAGATCAGTGCCACTGCACTCCAGCGTGGGTGACAAGAGCGAAACTCCAAAAAAAAATTAACGGGAATGTGATCACACTCAGGATGCATTCTGCAACCATTTATTTTTCCCACTTAGACATATATGATTGATATCTTTTCATGTCAATAATTGGAGATGTTGTCATTTTTAATGGCCTTGTTGTTTCCGACTGCATGTTTGTTCCCTAGTTTTTTTTTTAACTCCTGTCCTAGGCATGAACTTATTTTTTCCTATTTCAAAGCATACTTGTGCATAAATCTTTTTAAATTTACATAGTTATAGTCTTAGAATAAAATCTTGGACATGGAATTTCTGGGCCAAAATTTAGGCATAACTAACATGATGATTGATACATACGACCAACCATCCTTCCAGAAAAGTTGAAGCAATTTTCATTTACTACGAACAGTGTATGGATATGTCTATTTCCCTACCCTCTTTAATACCAGGTTTAAAAAAATTAGAAAATTTATTTGCTAATATGCTAGATCAAAAACATGTTGATTTCATTCATATTACTTCAGTAAGGAGAAACATCTTCTCCTATTAGGCATTTGTGTATATTTTATCTTTTTTGGTTTGCCTTTTTGTCTGGTTTTCTATGAGATAATTTCTTTTTTGAAAGAGTTCACCTACCGCATTTTATGAGTTCTCTGTATACGAATATGAACCTTTGTAAGTCAAAAGGATTGTAAATATTTTCCCTAGTTTGTTTTGTATGTTTAAATAGTCTTCATAGTATTTTAAGTTTTTTAAAACAGTGTTTTTACACAGTGTTTTACAGGTTTTTACATCAGTGATGAGTTTTTTATTTTTCGTAACAGGAGTTGTGATTTTTTTTACAATGTAAGGAAGTTTTTTATTTTTTAAAACTTGAGATTATGTTTTTCTTATGTGGAATATAAGATATAAAATTCAAACATTCTTGTGATAAGCAAACATTTTGCATTTACTTTGGCTCTGTTATCTTATTACTTCAATTTGGATTATACCTTTGAGACTAGGAGCATAAACATACAATTGATGAATTTGTTATTTCTTCTTTACAGATAAATTTTTCTCTGAGTCTAGGTCACCACTAAAGACTTAAAATTGGCTAATTTGACATAAAAAAGAATGAAATCATGTTCCTTGCAGCAACCTCGGTGCAGCTGGAGGGCATTATCCTAAGTGAAATAACGCAGAAACAGAAAATCAGATTCTGCATATTTTCACTTGGGAGCTAAACGATGAGTACACATGGACATAAAGATGGAAACACCAGGCACTGGGGACTCCATAAGTGGGGAAGAAGGGAGGGGGGGCAAGTTGAAAAACTGCCTATTGGGTCCTATGTTCATTAGAAGCCCAAACCCCCAGCATCATGCCATACATATATATATAAAATTATTATATATAATATATAAATATATATTTTATATATATATTTGTTCATTAGAAGCCCAAACCCCAGCATCATGCCATATATATATAAAATATTATATATATAATATATAAATATATATTATATTTGTTATATATATATAATATATATTATATTTGTTATATATATATAATAAATATAATATATATTTATTATATATATATAACAAATATATATATTTGTTATATATATAAAATATATATAACGTTATATATATAAAATATATATAATGTTATATATATAAAATGTTTTATATATATATAACAAACCTACACATGTATCCACTGAACCTATAATAAAATAAATAAATGCAAGGTAGCAAAAAGTTGGCTAATTTGAGAGAATCTTATAATTTACAAATTTAAAATGAAAAAAATTATTTGACTTATCCATTTACTATGCAAATTTATATAGCATGTAATAATGTACAAAAAACATTCTCACATGTTTAGTTATATGTGCTTCTTAGAATCACCCTGTGAGTTGAATACTATTATATCTATTTTATATATGTGAAAAACTGAGGCTTTGGGGAAACAACATACAATATTTTTCTGACATAAGATCACTGAACTAATGTGCGTATGACATGATCAGGATTTGAATTCAGGTCTTTGCAAATTATGTATTTTTCTTATTTACTTCTGCTATATCCTAATTTTACTTTTTCACTATAATAAAAATAAACAGCAGATGCTTAATGTCAAGCTTGTCGAATTATCTGTTAAGTGACTTCTTAAAATGAAAAATATGACATGAAGATATTTTCATTGCACCTACAGAAGGAATTCTGACGACTAGAGGTTTTATGCATTTTGAGCACTTAGCTAGGAATAGAAGAATACATCAGTCATTCTGGCTGTAGAAATGTTAGCCAAAGACATAAAGGCAATTACCAAGTCACACTCCATAGCTGCTGAGAACCTGCAATGACATGTCCTTGATGAATTCCCCTATGGAGCTAATTACATGGAGGAGGGAAGGAGGCAAACGTAGCATCCCCTGTGGAATTTGCTCTTGCACTGCACAGCTTCTCCTCAACCCACCACGGTACTAGAAACTAATATTTTCCCAAAGAGACATGACACCTCTGACATCGAGGGACATCATATTAACAAAACAAGGATCAGATGGAAGAAACACTGTTAAGAAAAGCCAGAATCCACACAGACCTGCAGAGATGGAGTGAAATCCTTCACCCTGTCACCTGAAGATGCCTGTGCTTATCTACGGTGTATATTCCTTGAGGCTAACTTAATCTTTATCCGTCAAACAGCTCCTGGACACTTCTTTCCTCCCCGCATGTTTCTTCTCCCTGATGGCACCCCAGGCAGTGGGTGCCCATTTTCCAAAAGATCCCCAAATTCAATCTCCTTGGTCAGTCTCTTTAGGCTCCCTTTGGGAGTCTGCACAACAGGATTTCCATCTGATGCTCTGCCAGGTCTTTCTCCTTCGTTTGTTCGTTTTTCCAGTGGGAATTTTCTTGGTTCTCTTTCCCAGTGACATTGAATGCAGTATAGTTTTTTTGCGTTTTGTTTTAAACACTATCTGAGAGAAAAATTCGACATAACCGTATCTATTTCTGCTCTGAAAAGCCAGAATTCATTTAGGGTAGAAAAGAAAATCAACGGTGCTGTGGATGGTGAATAAGACAAATTAAAATTGTTTTTTCCTTTTACAATAGTTTAATTTTGATAGACAGCTATCACTGTAGCTTTAAGTAAGAGGCATCTGCAGTTACATTTTCCCCCTTGCTGGTCCTATGCAAAGTCAATATATCATTGACTTTTACTTCACGCAGGTTCCTTCCTCTGCCTATTTGTGAGTATATATTACAATGTGCCTTTAAAAAACTCATTATTTTCTTTTTAATACTCAAGAGGTTGTTTCTCTCCTAAAGCATCATGGTTCTTGAGATGAGGAGAAATCCTCCTGAGAAAAAGGTTGCCACATTTAGCAAATAAAAATATAGGATGCCCACTTAAATTTGACTTTTAGATAAACAATAAATAATCTTCTAGTATAAGTAGGTCCCAAATATTGCATGTGTATTTATGAAACATACTTCTGCAATGTGCAATATTGTACTAAACATTATTTAAAATATTACACCAAACAATTATTCATTGTTTATTTGAAATTCAAATTTAACTGGGTAGTTTATGTTTTATCTGGCAACCCTACCTGAGACCGGTTTTCCGATTCTACAGAGACCAGAACTAGACTGTGTCAGAGGAAGCAGTATGTTTTTTAACTTTCACAATAAGTGAAGTAGAGTGGCACTCTTTTCTCATTAGAAATAGCATAGGAAGAGGTGTTAGTTCAAATACGTATATCCTTTCCAGGGTTGACCCACACTAGCACTTCAGAATCAGGGTGGACGATGAGATATATGTGTTTAATAGTGTTTTATAAATAATTGCTTGAAGCTACTCACGGCTTCTTTTGAAAGCATTCATTTTAATTAACTGGCATTCTTTTGTACTTCTTCCCTGAGGTAATTTTAACAAATCTTGACTCTATAGATCTAATCAGTAATTTCCTGAGTCTATTTAAATACTGCCATTTACAAATTTTTGAGGATTGCAGTAAGCTTTAATGAAATGTAGGATAATGAAAGGTAAACAAAATATCATGGCCACTGAAGTCCCTAAAAATAAAAATAAAAAGTACTCCAAAGTGTTAAATGGAAACACAATTCCTTCAGGGCATGCTGTCTATAAATCACAACTGAAGGTCCAACCAAGGTTAAGTGTAACTAGTATTGTTAGACTTCAAATGAGTCATATTTTTAAAAAACACCAAATTCTGAATATCAAACTGAAATCTTACTAGAGTCTGAAAGAAACCTGATTATAAGACTAAAATATTAAGGTCAACAATTTTCAGTTGGATAAACTCAAAGAGGAAGTCTATTGCCATGCATCACAGCTACACTGCCACCTACTGGCCTTAAATTTTTAGAAATGAGAATCTAAGTCCCACTAATTCTCATTTTTAAAAACTGACAGGGTTTGCATGCAGGGTAGGGAGAAACAGGATCTGTAATGGTTTTGTAGCCACTCCCCTCCAAATTCTATAACAGTGTGGTCGATTAAAGATGGTGGCAAACTCTTTTTCTTCTTCACATTGGGAAACGACGTCTAATTTTCTTCCCCTTGAATCTGAATTGGTCTTAGTGACTTGCATGATCAATGGAATGCAGCAGAAGACGTGCTGGGAGTTTCAACACTACTTCTTGATTTTTACCCAGGACTCTTAAAATGTTCTCTCTGCTACTATGTAACTAGCTGCTACAACAAGGAGGATGCTGCGGAGGCCACATGGAAGTCCTTTGGTAGATGGTTCCAGTAAGGCTCAACCTTGCAGTCATTTTTGACTGGGCAGACATATGAGTGAAGTCATCCTGGGCCCTCCAGCCCAGCCCGCCTGAGAGCCGAATACTAACAAAGGTACTCTATTGATGCCACCGGGAAGAGAAGAACAGCCCGGCCAAACCCTGCTGGAATTCTTGACCCATGAAATTCTGATATAACTAGTTATCAAATGGCTATTATTTTAAGCTACTAAGTTTTAGAGCAGTCTTGTAAGCAGCAATAATTTACCAGAACACACAGTGATATATTGATCTTTGTACTTAAAAGCAACAGAATGAGGTGGAAGAAAAGGAGGATGTGCTGATTGGAGAAGGCAAAGGAGGAGAAGTGGAAAAAATTCTCTGAAAAGAGATCATAAATGCCACGGACACCAATAAAAGATGAACTAGAGATTTAGAGGACCCACAGTAAGTTAAAAAAAATCCGAGTCCAAAGTTTTTTGCAGGCTGCTACTGTGATTTTGGGTGACTCAACAACTTTGGCCCAACTTCTTAGAGATTCAGAGAGAAAATGGCAGTAAAATTTCACCTCATGCAGATGCTGTGAACAGTAATGAATAAACATGACAAATAAATATGCTGCAAACAAGAGCTAAAAATGCTATGTAAGAAGCAATCTTTGCACCTACTAAAAATCTTTCATCAGATGATTTCAAATTGGAGGTGTCTCAGGAGAAAAAAAACACTGAAAATACAAACAGATTTTATTTTTTGTACTTTTATTGAAAAGGTACATTTAAAAAAATACACAGACATTTTACCATTTACAGGTTGCAGATATAGATGCTCTAAAAGAGTCCACTCTATTTTGTTGTTCTATGATAACTCTTGCCCCTGATATCACAAACATTCCAGTCTTGTTGATATCGGCTTAGAAAGGGGGGCATGGGAGCATGACCTGCAATATATTCAGCGAACAGAAAGACAAATTGTTCAATTATAAATTTTTTTATCTTCTGTACATTATTGCATTAGGGAGCCACAAAATTATGTAGCATCATTACAAATGAAAACAGGTTAAAAATGAAGAAGATACTTATATAGAAATACATGGATTCATTGTCTTCTTGCAGAATGCACAAGAGGTGCAAAAATGTGCAATTTAGGAAGCTCTTTTTCTGTTTGTATACGTTTGCTTAGCAACACAAACCAGTGAGGAAGCTACAAAATAAGTTAAACAAAAATAGCAAACAGGTAGTAATTATAGCTATGTTATATGGCTTTCTATTTCATTTAAATATCTCCAAATAAAATGTGAAATAAAGAAAATACATTATTTTATCTTTTATTCTCTTACAGAGAAAATTCAAAGCTACTTTGCTTCCTAACATTTACACAGCAACTAAAAATGTTTAATTCAGACAAGAGATACAGATCTAGTACTACACAGGATACAGCAGTACTTGGGTCGAAACAGTACACAATCCCTGTCAACAACAGTACACCAAAAAGAGAACTTTGTGATCCGTTGGTAAGATAGTATCCACAAGTAAGCACTTGTGTTCACTGTTTTTTGTTCCACACTAGAATACACCCAGTTGGATACCAGAGTTATTTACAGACATCTGAGGAAGATCCTAGTTTTCAAGTCTGTCAGGAAAATATTCCATATTGTTTTAAGCCAGATCATACCCATGGAAAAATAGAGAATGGTTTTCTTTCTTTTTCTTTCTGACCAATACATGCTCAAGAAATCAAATATCTGAGATACACAAATTGAACGCGGTAGGGTGGGGGAGGAAGTAGGGAGATAAAGCCTATGCTGCTGATTCCTCAATTATAGGAGCAGTCTCTAAAAGCCCTCGTCAATCTAGTGATGTGTTTCTCTCTGGAATTGGGGGACTGGGTGGTGGGCTGCATTTTGTGGGTGAATGGGGGGTACTGCAACACAAACTGCTTAAATTGCTGAATCCTTGTGGCTTTCTTTCTCAACTTCCTACTGGCCTCAAACGTCTTGGGGTTTGCAGACGTTAGTACGGAGCAAAGAGGATGGAGGCAGGAGTGGCGCGGATGGGCCCATGCCCAGGCCTCAGAAGAGCTGGAGGAATGGCTGGAGCCTGGAAGAGCGAGGCAGAGGGCCGGGGTGGGAGTGACAGCGCTGAGGACACGGCTGCCGCCGCTGCGAGAGGTGAGGACAGGAAGGCTGGGGCCAAAGGCTTCATCATATCTTTCTGGAATGCAAGTTTTGCCTAAGGGAGGGAGAAAACCAGGAATGGGGTGGAGATCCTGTTTTTGAATAACAGCACCACAGGCATCTTTTCATAAGTAAAACACCAACATTAAGAAGTCTTAAATTTTGAAAATCTTCACTCTCAGAAGTCAAGAAATCATTATTTTCACAATGCTGGTTTCAGTGGCTCATGGCATAGCTTTCTTTTATTTGGTGGTCTTTGCTCCTGTGTGCTAGGGCACAGGGAAAGGCCTCTGAATAAATTCTAAAGCTATTTTATGCTGCTGCTCACCAGGAAAAAAAACATGCCCAGAAGTTTCCTGCTTAGATGATGAAGTTCAATGCAAAATTCAGGCTTGTCTTAAACCATGACGAGACCTAGAGACTTTTGTTTTGTTTTTTGAGAATAAGTGTGATCCTTCCCTTCTCTTAGATAAGCTGCATTGAGGTTAGGTAATGAGTTCAGGACTTTAGGGACCCTGAAGAGTCAAGAAAACAGTCAGTTCACACCTCTCTCACTGGCTACTTAATGAGTAGTCCTTGAAAAATCACAGCTAAATCAAATTTCTGTTGTTGAGAATGATTGTAAGTGGGTAGAAACTCTCTATTTAACGGAATGCCAGGATGGAATCCTCCTGTGAAGAAATCAATCCTTAATTTCTCTCTCTTGCAATCAGGAGGAGCATTGCAAGCTGGATTTGCTTAATGCAGGTAACACCTGCTTGCAGCATCAGACAGAGGCTTTGGAGAAGCTGGAAGGTAATCTCAGAATTGCCTCCAGCTGGACAAGCTCAGCTTCATCCTCAGACTGAACACTGCACTGGGCCCAGTCCCAGGGAGATTGTGAAATCTATCCATCTTGGTATTTATATGACACTTATTGCTGGAGTCCCTAGGTGTTTTTGCAAAGACACTGAAAATAGCACATATTGAGAGCAGATAAAACAGGCTAATTACCAACATGCCTGCTAGAATGGAGAGAGCACACGATACAGACACCGCTTTACCTTCTCATGCCAAATAATAATAATAATAAAAAACAGAAAGCATGAGGATATTAAATTAAATGGATGGATTTTTGTTTTATGAAAGAAATCCCTCTTTCCAGGTTCAGCATTCCAGGATTCCTTAGGCATCACTTGTCCTTGTTCTTGAGCCTTTACTTTATATGCTAAAGAGGATAGTCTTTTGAAAACAACTTGGTAAAGAGTAAAATATTAGCTCTTAAAGAGGTTCAGTTTCTGTTTTCTAAGTAAGTTGCCCTATAGCAGGAACTAAGCAGTTCATTCTAAAACTTCTGTCTATGAGGGCTATTTAAATTTGAAACCTTTCATGACATTAGACTCTATGCCCTCCTTGCCCACAATGGCTGCCCAACCCAGCAAGGCTGCCCCACAAAACAGGTGAGCAGGTGAGGTAAACTTACTGCTAGAATACTCGGGCTCCGCTGGAGTTTGTTGTAAGGGCTGTATTTTGGCTTCAGTGGTTTCCCTGCAACTCGATCTTTATGCCTTCGGCTAGAAATGTGCTGAAAAAGTTTGATGCATTAGCTGGACTGAAATGTGAGTCTTATTCCATGTAAAACGTATTTCTAGGTAGCTATTTTCTCCATTGCCAACTCTAGGTCCATAGTTCCACGATGGTGTGGGTAAAATCATTATGATTTCTAAATTAAGACTTAGTCCTCCCTCAATTGTAATGCCCCTCTGTCCCCCTCCTGTTCTCTATAGCCCTTATCAGATTTTGCCTGGTATTACCACTGTTACTGATGAGTCTCTCTAATCAGATTTTGAGCCTTTGGAAGATAGGCTTAACATCTTACCTTACCAGAAGCTCCTGCTCAACTGTAGGCTCCAGTGACTACTGTTCCTATCTCTCCAACATCTAGCCTGGAACCTGACATATAGTAACAGTAGATGCTCAAATATTTCATACTGACTTTTTCTTCCATGTTAGCACCTATATGTTGCATATTGTCTGCATCCTACAAAAGTTAGTCAACTTAACTGTGAGCACAGTAAAAACCATTCTATAGATGAGAAGATACACAGTCAAGTGGTGACCTAAAACAATAATGTTTACTAATTCAGGATACGTTACCTGTTTGAGTTGAATTTCTGAATTAACATGAACATCACAGATTTCACAATGAAATGTCTTGTTCTGTAGTCCTGACCCCTTACTGCCATTCTGCATCTTTAATCTTGATCCAGGTCTAGGATAGGATTTAATTGGACCAGCCCCATTACGAGCTTCAACCATGGTCTTGTGTTTAGATCCTAAGACAGAAAGAGACACATATTAAATAGCTATCCAAGAATTATATAAAGCTCTTTGTTTTCTTATCCTTGAGAAGTTTACCTGCAGGCTAAAATTCCCAATGCTTTTTTAAAAATGATCACTTTAATGCTGATTTTAAATTTAACACGTTATTGTAAAAAATGGAAAAATGTAAGCGTATATAATAAAGAAAATATACAGAAACATAAGGAAATAAAGATGACTCATATTTTCACTACTCAGAGGTAACCACTATTATCATTCTAGGGTATTTCTTGTCAGTTTCTTTTTTTTAATGTACTAAAAACAGTTTTCATAATGGGGATCATACTAATTAAATATCCTGAAAATTTCACATAGCAAATCATGTACATATTTTCTGATCATTATGTTTTAATGGCTGATTAACATGTATCATATTGGGTTACTATATTCAGTATTTCCCTACTGGTGGGCTTTAGGTTGTTTCCATTTTTTTCTCTTTTAAGTGTATTGCAGTGAACACTGTGCATAAATATTTATCTTCATCTTTGTCACTTCATCAAAATGAGTTTTGGACAGTATTAGATGTTTTTAAGAAAATAAAGAATAGAACAAGTTTGATCTCCAAACTGCTTTTGTCTTGCTAGTTCCAAAGTCATATGATCATACTTTTCTAAAATCACTCCTTTGAATCAAAAAAGTAGAGAAGCATGGAACAAACCTAAGGTCTGAACAACAAAAGATATGGTATTCTGATGGGAAAAGTTGGGTTTTGTTATAAACATTATTTAAATGCAAAAGATAGCTGCTAACCTGTGTTGTGTGCCTCTAGCTGTGACAGGGAGTTCACAGCCACTTTGCATAGTGAACAATAAAGTAATTTTTTGGCTTTTTCTTCTTCTGATTCAACAACAGTACCGGGAGCTCCATTTGTGCTCTTGGAGGGAGAAGTGGCTGCTCCAGGTGGCAGGGGTGTTGTGCCAGATTTGAGGAGAAATGAGCCACTTTCAGAGCTTGATGGCTGACTGGAACTGCTGGCTTTTAACTTCCCTTTATCTTCTAAGAGAAACACAGAGAGATCTTATTGAAGCCTCATATATCATATAAACAAAGATAAATCACCATAGATGAATTAAAAATAGAAATTTGATTCTTATGTGAAGTTTTTATTGCAGCATAGATTTCAGTTTATAGAGGTTAAATCAACCTCTATGTTTAAATCAAACAGAACACTATGCCATCAGTTTCCATATTAGGTCATCCCAAGATAAGGATGACTTATGAAAAATGACTTTGTTCTCCCAGTTGGAGCAGGTAACTTTCTGTCTGAAATCCTTGAGTCATAAATTACTCTACAAGGAAATATTTATTATTAAACAAAACCACCTTCCCTCTGATACAATTACATGATATGAAGGTAACATGAAAGAAGCCATTAGGCCATGTTAGTTTCATTTGACTACTTATGTTTAATTATGACAGAGATAAGTTAAACTTAATTTTTATACCAAGTTAAAATTTTAACTGTGGATTGTGGGATAGAAGAAACATGGTTAATTTTGATTATGATTAGTTAAGTTTTTGCTGCTCTGTGGATGGCAATGCAATTTATCCAAAATATAAGAGACCAAGCTTCCATTCATTATCTTTATTAATTACCACCAGTCTAAATCAAAAGTTTTAAATAATGACATTAACCATAAGCACAATATGAAGATTAGCCAAGTCATTTAAAGACATTTTGGCAGTTTGATCATGTAGCTATTAAATGCTTATAATCCTCAAGGCCCATGTGCAGGCTATGAGAGTTAGAGTGACTTTAACAGAATCTAACTCATTGAAGTTCATTTGCTATTCAAGACAGGCTCTGTTCAGTGACTCCTTTGGGAAACAAACTGGGGCTTTGTAAGCAACAGCAAAATCCATCACACATTTAATCCTAGTAGAGCTGGTACTCTTAGAAAATGTCTATAGATATGCTGATTAACTCTCATAAAGAGAGAAAGGGAATTAAATCTGAGAATATATTTGCTAATTGCCTTAGCTAATTTGGAATTGTATACCATTGGCCTAGAAGACTAAGAGGGAAGGAGAGACTAGGCAACAGCAATGTGGTGTGTGTTTCTGTGTGTATGTTACAAGGTTCTGTATATGGGTAAACCTAAGCTTTTAGAACACATTGCAAATGATGGGAGATCATATTTCTACTAAAATATTACATAAAGAAAAGCCAAATTGATTTAGGAATCAGCAGTTGATTTCCATCCTTTTTTTTTTTTTTGAGTTGGATCCATTCAGGTTGAGACTAGACACAGCTAGAGGGTGCTATGGAGGGATTCCAAATCTGGGTTTACTTAGAATAAATGAATACTGAGATTCTTTTTTATTCTTAGGTTGCACATTCCATATTCCCTTTCAGTGACTGTACTAAAACTTCAGGATGACAAAAAATATGATGGAAAAGCTCTTAGACTTTTATTAAACTGACCTGTATAGTGTGAGAGAAGGACATAAAATGATTCTTCCTAATTGGTAATAGTCAGCAAATTAGATTGGATAATATTTTAGGCCTGGAACCCTCTCATCTATAAGGATCCCTCAGATTGAATTTGCAATCTTACAGAACTCATAAAGCAGCAAAATAATTCAGTAATCTTAATATTTGGAATTACTCAGTTTCTTGCGATGAAAATTAAAGTTATTACATACTAAAATCTTTCCTTGCTTCAAGCATTTCATATGAATTTGATCTAAAAGAATCTGATCTGTTTCAGCCATTGACAGCATTCTCTCATATTACTAATAATGTCCCTTATACTAATGTCCCTCATAAACCCTTAAATTTATATAGAACTTTACAGTTTACAAAGTGCTATCACTTACATTGTCTTATTAGCTCTCACAGAAAACTTGTGAAATAGGTAAGGCTCAAAATGATTATTCCTATCTTAAAGATGAGGAAACTGAGCCTTTTCAAAATTAAATAATGTCCCACAGATTAGTAAGTGGCATAAATGAGCATGATGTTTTCTCTAACTGATCAGTCTGTGGTACACTAATATTTCAGCACAAAAGGAGGACTTAATATATCACTAGTGATATAAAAGTACACAACAGTCACCCTAGATGTGAAATAGCAGTTGCTTTGTTTTACAATTGTAGGTTAGTTTTTAAAGTATATTTATTTGGCGTAAGTGAAAATATCTATCCTGCTCAACAATCATTTGATTTAGGTTATATTGAGAACATGTATAAAATTATATATTTTCTCTATGTTCCTATTTCTTTAAGAAAAAGATTTCCTTTTCATATCTTGTTTTCAAAGGGGTAATTTATGAATTAACAAGTACATATTAACAATATGTTAATTGCTGACAATGTGCTAGACACTAAAGAGAATAGTAAATAAAGTAAGTATGGACTATAAGAAAATTACAGCATAGCAGGAGGAAATGAGACAGTCATTCAAAGATCTCTAATTTACAACAGAAACTGGTAAGAGGCGTGAGAGCATAGAGCAGAAAATGATTACTTCCGCTTGGGAAGAATGAGACATTTTTCATTAAAGAAGTGACATTTTTAAGGTTTCGAAGGTCAGATTTGGATAAGCATAGAATAGGGTTGAAAATGAGTGAGAAGGCCATCGTCTCAGCCCAAAATCTCCTTAAGCTGATAGGTAACTTCAGCAAAGTCTCAGGATACAAAATCAATGTGCAAAAATCACAAGCATTCTTATACACCAATAACAGACAAACAGAGAGCCAAATCATTAGTGAACTCCCATTCACAATTGCTTCAAAGAGAATAAAATACCTAGGAATCCAACTTACAAGGGACATGAAGGACCTCTTCAAGGAGAACTAGAAACCACTGCTCAATGAAATAAAAGAGGATACAAACAAATGGAAGAACATTCCATGCTCATGGGTAGGAAGAATCAATATCGTGAAAATGGCCATACTGCCCAAGGTAATTTATAGATTCAATGCCATCCCCATCGAGCTACCAATGACTTTCTTCACAGAATTGGAAAATACTACTTTAAAGTTCACATGGAACCAAAAAAGAGCCCGCATCGCCAAGTCAATCCTAAGCCAAAAGAACAAAGCTGGAGGCATCATGCTACCTGACTTCAAACTATACCACAAGGCTACAGTAACCAAAACAGCATGGTACTGGTACCAAAACAGAGATATAGACCAATGGAACAGAACAGAGCCCTCAGAAATAATGCCGCATATCTACAACCATCTGATCTTTGACAAACCTGACAAAAACAAGAAATGGGGAAATGATTCCCTATTTAATAAATGGTGCTGGGAAAACTGGCTAGCCATATGTAGAAAGCTGAAACTGGATCCCTTCCTTACACCTTATACAAAAATTAATTCAAGATGGATTAAAGACTTAAATGTTAGACCTAAAACCATAAAAACCCTAGAAGAAAACCTAGGCAATACCATTCAGGACATAGGCATGGGCAAGGACTTCATGTCTAAAACACCAAAAGCAATGGCAACAAAAGCCAAAATTGACAAATGGGATCTAATTAAACTCAAGAGCTTCTGCACAGCAAAAGAAACTACCATCAGAGCGAACAGGCAACCTACAGAATGGGAGAAAATATTTGCAACCTACTCATCTGACAAAGGGCTAATATCCAGAATCTACAACGAACTCCAACAAATTTACAAAAAAACAAACAACCCCATCAAAAAGTGGGCGAAGGATATGAACAGACACTTCTCAAAAGAAGACATTTATACAGCCAAAAGACAAATGAAAAAATGCTCATCATCACTGGCCATCAGAGAAATGCAAATCAAAACCACAGTGAGATACCATCTCACACCAGTTAGAATGGCGATCATTAAAAAGTCAGGAAACAACAGGTGCTGGAGAGGATGTGGAGAAATAGGAACACTTTTACACTGTTGGTGGGACTGTAAACTAGTTCAACCATTGTGGAAGTCAGTGTGGCGATTCCTCAGGGATCTAGAACTAGAAATACCATTTGACCCAGCCATCCTATTACTGGGTATATACCCAAAGGATTATAAATCATGCTGCTATAAAGACATATGCACATGTATGTTTATTGTGGCACTATTCACAATAGCAAAGACTTGGAACCAACCTAAATGTCCAACAATGATAGACTGGATTAAGAAAATGTGGCACATATACACCATGGAATACTATGCAGCCATAAAAAGTGATGAGTTCATGTCCTTTGCAGGGACATGGATGAAGCTGGAAACCATCATTCTCAGCAAACTATCGCAAGGACAAAAAACCAAACACCACATGTTCTCACTCATAGGTGGGAATTGAACAATGATAACACATGGACACAGGAAGGGGAACATCACACACTGGGGACTGTTGTGAGGTGGGGGGAGGGGGGAGGGATAGCATTAGGAGATATACCTAATGTTAAATGACGAGTTAGTGGGTTCAGCACACCAACATGGCACATGTATACATATGTAACTAACCTGCACGTTGTGCACATGTACCCTAAAACTTAAAGTATAATTAAAAAAAAAAAAAAAGAAAGAAAATGAGTGGGAAGAAAATGAGTGGGAAGTGAATGGTTGGAAGCAGAAACATAAGGAAATACCTAGGTATTAGAAATCTTGGGGTTTTCTTGGTGAATACCTGGTAGTTGAGCATAGAGCTGGCAACAAGTGTAATGGGAGATATTATTATAGATGTCAATTGAGCCAGAAGGCAGAGAATATCTTAAAACTATTAAAACATATACTAAGGGCAGACACTTTCCTTTTAAAATTGAGATGTATAGTATGTTTAACACTTACATGGTCTAAAATTCAGATAAATTATGTTTTAAATTTTTTTTCTCAGATAGGCCAGAGTCTTAATCTTTGAGAATATTAAGGAAAAATGTTGACTTTGGAAATGTGTAAATGATTTTACCCTATTTAGGAAATTCTGTTATTGGATAGATACTATCTAGTCAATAAAACAGATCCTAAAATTTGAAAAGTCACTGATATATTTATATATTTGAATAGTGGCATTCTTTCTCAATATGCAAATGTATAAACTTCAAAGCCTAATCTTATTATTTCTTATCTTAATTGCTTGATATTTTTATGAAAATCCATTGTATTATTCCTCATTCCTTACTGGTATTTTAAAAGCCTCTTCGTGTATTTGAAAGTTTAATTAATGTACTGTTTACTTCTGTTTCTCTTAATAAAGATGCATGTCATCTGGAACTTCTGGTTAAGATGAAATCCATTTTCAAGTATTCCCTCACCTAATGTTAATTAGCAGGTTTTCTGACTGTCCTAATTATTTCTTGATTACTCAAACACATTTAGAAGGCTTTATCCTACAGGATTTTGAAGGAAAATTTGCTTAGCTACATCAGAATTGTTCGTTGTAACAAATATCCATAATTTATGCATCCAAGTGAATTTATTTCTTCAAAGTAGTGTCCTTGGGAAGTTCCATACTGATTCATTTATTTTCCAAAGCTCCAAATGCTTGAAAACTCTTTTCTTTGATACTCCTTTTATGTCCACTTCATAAGCCATGTAAAGAAAACCAGTCTTCAAAATGTATCACCCTTATTTCTTACTCCAAAATCTTTACTCAAATTAATCCACCTTATTCATCAAACTTAGCACTATACTACTCAAACACAGCCTCAGAAGACTAATATGCTAAGATAAAAAGAATATACCAGAAGCTCTAAAAAGAAGTTTTAAGAAACCAATCCTCTTGGCATATGGAAGAGTCATGTCCATACCTAGGTCTTAATTTTAAAAACAATAAAAAATTAATATTCTACCTACAATGTAGGTCCTATATTTTGAATTAGAACTTTGAAAGCTGTAATCAAATTTTTATTATTTGACTTGTAAGATTTGCTTTTGAGTTTAATTTTATTTATGTAATAAGATTTTCTAATCAGAATTCAGTGGTTAATAACAGATACATATTTTATACAATAAATTCATGCTCACTGCAGAAAATTTAAAAAATGAAGTCAGACAAAAATTTTAAATTATTAAAATTACTCATGATTCTATCATCTAGAATAAAAGTTGGTAAACTTTTTCTGTACAGCCCCAGAAGACACGTTAAGCTTTGTGGCTATACTGTCTCTGTTGTAACTACTCAACTCTGCTTTGTAGCAGGAAAGCAGCCACTGGCATGGCTGTGATCCAGTAAAATTTTACTTATGAAAATAGGTGGCAGGCAATATTTGGATCACAGGCAATAGTTTTGAACTAGCATTATGATATTTTGGTATACATTACTCTACACTATTTTTTACATAATAGCAAATATGAATATACAGAAACATACTGTTCTGTAACTAATATTTTTCACTTAGGAATAAATCAAGAACATTTTCCATGTCAATAAATGCAGAACTGGATTAAGATTTCTAACACCAAATGATATTTATTTATATGAATGTACTATATTCAGCAATCTTCTTTTGATATTTTGGTTATCTCTGGTTTGCACTTTTGTTAATGTTAAAAGGATACCGAACGAGACTTCTGTGGCCTCAATGAAGGACACAACTGAGAATTGAAAGCAACTGGTATTTAGTATTACAGCATGTTAGAGAAAGTTCCTCAGAAACCCCCAACACAGTCCTGCAGGATTTATAAAATTTAGTAGAACTGGTCCAGCTGCCAGCACCCTATCACCCACCTGTCCAGGCCTTATAAAGTAGTCTGAAGATGGGAGGACTCACTAGAGTCATGAATTTCTGGTCTGGTTGGGAGCTTCTGAATCCCAAACTAATAAAGCTAGAAATGGAGGTAAGAAGGGGACACTGGGATTTCATTCCCCAGTTAGACTACTGCAGGTCTTGGCAATTTGTTCCTCACTTGTGGTCGGAGGGAGATTGTGTTGGAGCAAGAAAGGTAAGAAGGAGAAGAACCTATAATCTCAGTTTGGCATAACAAAGTTGAGTAAGATTTCTTTGGGCCAACAGGATGATTTGAAAGGTGGCCTGGCTCAAATCATGTTGTTAGTGCCCAACGTAAGAAGTCTGATCACTAGGACCTTGGCAGCAAGAGGCTGAAGTGTGGACCTTTAGTGGCACAAGCTGAGGAAGGGTTGTAAGAGGTCAGGGAACAAGCCTTATGAAGAATTCACACATTGTCCCTGAGAGAGTCAGACAGCATCTGGACATCTGTCACTCAGAGGACAACCATAATTGTCATTAAGTACAAAAGCATTTGCCCCTTTTTCTCCTCTAATTCCTCCTCTTATCCCTAACAATGGAAAGCGCAAGAATCAGAAAGCATGGAACACGGAAGAAAGAGCAGACCATGCCCCTTTTCATGGTTCAACCTGAGCCAGAAAAAAGGGAGTGTTCAATTGGATAAGAGCCTAAAGTTTCAAATAAGACCAGACTTTCTGATATCTGACAATGTCTTTGAGGAATGAGAAAGGGAGATTCAACAGAGTGTACAGTCATGTGTCACATAATGACATTTCAGTCAATGATAGACTGCATATACAATGGTGGTCCCATAAGATTATAAAGGAGCTGAAAAATTCCTATTGCCTAGAGATGTGGTAGCTGTCATGATGTTGTAGTGCAACACATTACTCATGTGCTTATGGTGATTCTGGTGTGAACAAACCTACTGTGCTACCAGTCATATAAAAGTATAGCACACACAATTATGTAAGGTATATAATACTTGATAATAATAAATGACTGTGTTACTAGTTTATATATTTACTATACTATGCTTTTTATAATAATTATTTTAGAGTGTACTCCTTCCATTTATAAAAAAATTAAAGTTATCTGTAAAATGGCCTCAGGCAGGTTCTTCAAGAGGTATTCTAGAAGAAGGCATTGTTATCATTTATGACAGCTCCACTGTGTAATTGTGCCTGGAGACCTTCCAGTGGGTTAAGATGTGGAAGTGGAGGACAGTGACATTAATGATCCTGACCCTGTGTAGGCCTAGGCTAATATGGGTGTTTGTGTCATAGTCTTTAATAAAAGAGTGTAAAAAGTGAAATAAATAAATAAATTTAAAGATAGAAAAGAGCTTAGAGAATAAGAATATAAAGAATTTTTGTAGCACTCTACAGTGTGTTTATGTTTTAAGCTAAGTGTTATTACAAAAAAGTCAAAAGTTTAAAAACATTTGGAGTTTATAAAGTAAAAAGGTTACATTAAGCTGAGGTTAATTTATTGCTGAAGAAAGAATTTTTCTAAAAATAAATTTAGTGTAGCCTGAGCATATAGTGCTTATAAAGTCTACAGTAATATCCTAGTACAGTAAGTGTATAGGAATGTCCTGGGCCTTCACATTCACCACTCACTCACTGACTCACCCACAGCAACTTCCACCTCTACAAGTTCCATTCATGGTAAATGCTCTATACAAGTATGCCATTTTTTTATCTTTTATACAATATTTTTATGGTACCTTTCCTATGTTTAGATACACAAATGCTTATTGTTGTGTTGCAATTGCCTACAGTATTTAGTACAGTAACCTGTTATATAGGTGTGTAGCATAGGAGCTAAATAGTTCATATGGTTTGGCTGTGTCCCCACCGAGATCTCATCTTGAGTTATAGTTCCCATAATCTCTGTGTGTCATGGGCTGGAGCCGGTGGGAGGTAATTGAATCATGGGGGCATGATTACCTCCATGCTGCTGGTTCTCATGATTGTGAGTGAGTTCTCATGAGATCTGATGGTTTCATAAGAGTTTTTTCCCCCTTTTGCTCGGCACGTCTCCTTGCTGCCACCATGTGAAGAAGGGCATGTTTGTTTCCCCTTCCACCATGGTGGTAAGTTTCCTGAGGCCTCCCCAGCCATGCTGAGCTGTGAATCAAATAAACCTCTTTCGTTTATAAATTACCTAGTCTCGGCCAGGCGCAGTGGCTCACACCTGTAATCCCAATACTTTGGGAGGCTGAGGCAGGCAGATCACTCGAGGTCAGTATGAGACCAGCCTGGCCAACATGATGAAATCCCGTCTCTACCAAAAATACAAAAAAAAATTAGCTAGGCATGTTGGCGCATGCCTGTAATCCCAGCTACTTGGGAGCCTGAGGCAGGAGAATCTCTTGAACCCAGGAGGCAGAGGTTGCCGTGAGCCAAGATTGTGCCACTGGGAGATAGAGCGAGACTGCATCTCAAAAAAAAAAAAAAAAAAAAAATTATCCAGTCTCGGGTATGTCTTTATTAACAATGTGAGAAGGAACTAAAACTATTTAGCTTAGGCCTGTAGTAGGCTGTACTGCCTAGATGTGTGTGAGTACTATACACTGAATGATGTTTGCACAATGACAAAATAGCCTAAAAATGCATATCTCGGAATGTATCTGCATTGTTAAGCAACACATGGCTGTAAAGGCTATCATGTTTGTACCTCATTGAATTCATATATTCAATAAACCAGTTATATAAACAGCATTATATTCAGACATCTCTGAAAACTCATCTGATAATTTCCTCAGGACATGAACTTTGAAGAAAAATTGCTGGGACAAAGATCGTGTACATTTCTGAGCTTTTGATGCATATACCAAATTGCCCTCCAGAATGGTCATACAAATGAATACTCTTAGGAGTGTCACAAAAGATCATGGCTTCCCTGTGCCTTTATCAGCCTAATTATCTATTGCCTTTACCTATCCAACAGACATAATATGGTATCTCATTGTTAATTTGATTGGTATTTATTTTATCACTAAAACAGAAGAATATTGTTTTGTAAGATTAATGATGCTTTGTACCTCAACGTAATTTTAAAAATTTTTATTACTCTGAAAGGAAACAAAAATCTTAAATACAGTTTTAAATGTTAAAACATTGTACACTAAAGTAAAAAACTTTATAATAATAAACTTCCTTTATACAAACCTAATAATGTTAAGTTGGTTGAACCATTGTTCTTAAAAGCTGAAATCAGTATTGCAGTCATTATTTGAAAATTTGCTTTACGCAGAGCAAAAATACTAGCCTAATGGCTGTTCCAGGCAATTATATCTTACAATAATGGTAAATGTAACAATAATAATCACAAATCAACCACTCATAGTAATTGAGCACTCACTATAGACCAAGCACTATTTTAAGAATTTATAGTCATTATCTAATTTATTTTTCAAACACTATGAGATAGAAACTGTTACTATCTGTACTTTTAAACTTTTTTCTTTTTCTTTTAATTGCGATATAGCATGTACTATAAAATATATAAATTTAATACATTTTAATGTATGTATACATTCACGTAAATACAATACACCTGATGATATAGAGTGTTTTCACCACCCTAGAAGCTCCCTTGAACCCCTACCAGTTGAGATTTCCCCCAAAGATAACCACCTCTATTAACCTAGATCAGTTTTATCTATTTTTAAGCTTCATATAAGGAAATCACACAATATATTTCTTTTGTGTCTGGCTTCTTTCACTCAACATTATGTCTGTAAGATTCATCTGTATTATTATAGACAGAAGGATATTTTTTCACTGCTGGGTAGTACCCCATTGTATGAGTATGCCACTATTTATTTATTTATTTTGCTACCGATGAAAATTTAAAATGTTTTCAGTTTTTGGCCATTTTGAATAATTCTACTATGTACATTCTTTTAAGTGTTTTTTGGTAGACATAAATACTCATTTTTGTTATGTATATATACATAGTAGAATTATTGGGCCACAAGATATTCATATCTAGCTTTAGTAGATTCTGAAAACAGTCTTCCAAACTGATTGTACCAATATATATTTCTATCAGCAATGTATGAAAATTTCAATTGTTTCACATCTTGTCTAATCCATGGTATCAGTATTGTCAGTCCTTTTGATTTTAGCCATTCTAGTGGAGGTGTGGTGGTATCTTCTTGTGGTTTTAATTTGTATTTCCCCAATAGCTAGTGATAATGAGCTCCTTTTCTTTTTTTTATTGGCCAATTGTATATTTTGTGAGCGTTTGTTCATATCTTTAGCCCATTTTTAAAACTGGGTTGTCAGCTTTTTCATTATTGATTTATAGGAAGTCTTTAAATATAGCCTGAACAGGAGTCCTTTGTCAGATATACACATCACAAGTCATCTTCCAGGTTGTGGCATGCTTTTCACTCTCTAAATGTTGTCTTATGATAACCCCAATTGTTTAAAAAGACAAAGCCCCAAGGCTTAAATAGAGTAAGCAACTTGCCTGTAGTCATTCAATAAATGATAGAGCATGGATTCAAACAAAGGCTTCCCGAACCCTGAGCCAGTGCTCTTATTGCTCTTCTGTTTTAAGGAATATTAGACTAAGAATGCTTAGTTTTAGAAATACCTTCTTGAATGTTTGTCATGTTGACTAAAGGTGAATGGATGGTAATATCTTCGTATATCTAAGTTACATGATGCCATAGAAAGCATACCATATGATATGGTTTGGCTGTGTCGCCACCCAATCTCATCTTGAATTCCCATGTGTTGTGGGAGGGACCTAGTGGGAGGTAATTGAATCACGTGGGCAGGTCTTTCTCATGCTGTTCTCGTGATAGTGAATAAGTCTCACGAGATCTGATGGTTATATAAGGGAGAGTTTCCCTGCACAAGCTCTCTCTTTACCTGCTGACATCCATGTAAGACATGACTTGCTCCTCCTTGCCTTCTGCCATGATTGTGAGTCCTCTCCAGCCATGTGGAACTGTAAATCCATTAAATGTCTTTCATTTATAAATTGCCTTTATCA
The DNA here is from genome assembly GCF_000001405.40 of Homo sapiens. NCBI lineage: Eukaryota > Metazoa > Chordata > Mammalia > Primates > Hominidae > Homo > Homo sapiens. The sequence continues at coordinate 179,458,448 of NC_000002.12, forward strand.
GCAGCATGAAAATGGACTAATACAGAATATTACAGGCACGTCTTGTAGAGAACCAGATAAATAAGTCTGCTTTGATGTGATTCTTTAATGGTTGTGTAGCAGGCCTAGAGTATGTCATCCTTGTAGCAGCTACAGAAGCTCTGAAACCAGAGTAGAGGTCACTCTTTTGTAAGAGAAGTATATATCTATTAAAAAAACCTCTTATCTGTTGGGGTGTCTCCCTCACTCTACCAAGAAAAGAAGGAATGACTCTAGCCTCCAGACACTCTTAGTAAATGGAGAAGGCACTGATTTAAATCCACTTAACAAACCTTACCCTTGTTTACTGTGTTTTTCCTAGTTACTTCCTCATTACTGGCCTCCCTACACCCTTCTTTGTTATAGCTTAAGATTGTATTTAAGCCTGAATTCAAAGTCACCTCTTGGAGATTTACTCATTTCTCTGGGTACCTCCCATCAATACATGAGGTATACATGTTAATAAACTTCTTTGTTTTCATGTTAATCTGTCTTTTGTTACAGGGATCGGTCCCAACCAAGAACTCAGAAGGAGAGAAAATTATTTTTTCCTCCCCTATAGTTGCAAGTTTGCATGTACCTAAGAAAGTAAATGACAATAGTCTTCAAAAGCTTCTTTTAAGAAAAATTTTGCATAGGTGTTTTCTCTGAATTTTCAGGTCTTCTCTGATTCCCAGAAGAATTAATGGACACTCAAAAGGAGGTCTCTGATTCCCTATATTAGATAAAAATTTCTTTGCATTTTTGTTTTTGATAATGTATGTCTTGGTTTATTAAGTTGGTTTAATTAAGGCCACTAAGAAGTATCATTTTCTGCCTCTGAGAGATGGCAAAGATTTAGAAATTACAATAAGTGGGGCAGATACAATATAGGCATCTGGGCTTGGTGGAGTGGAAAAGTAGTATAACTGTTGTTAAACAATATATGAAATTAATATCATTTCACCAAGAAAGTCTCCCTCTAGAAATCTGTCCTAAGGAAATAAACATCCATCCATTCAACAACTACTGATTGAGCACCTATTATGTGCTATATACTATATCAGGCATGGAAGTTAGCAGTAAAAATACCAAGTCTCTGACTCAGTGGAATTAATCATCTAGTGGGGGAGAGAGAAAATAAGTGTGTGTGTGTGTGTGTGTGTGTGTGTATGTGTGTGTGGATTTATATATACAAATGTATTTTAATTAATTTAAATGTAAATCTTAATTTATAAGTCTATTTATTAAATAAAAAATGTGCATTATAATAATAAATGCATAAACTTTTATTATATGTAATAAATATCAAAGCACATATATTCAAAACATATATAAAACTATATATAAATTATATATGTAAAAAATATATATAGCGGCCAGGCGTGGTGGCTCACGCCTGTAATCCCAGCACTTTGGGAAGCTGAGGCGGGTGGATCACCTGAGGTCAGGAGTTCAAGACCAGCCTGGCTAACATGGTGAAACCCCGTCTCTACTAAAAATACAAAAATTAGCTGAGCATGGTGGCACGTGCCTGTAATCCCAGCTACTAGGGGGGCTGAGGCAAGAGGATTGCTTGAACCTGGGAGGCAGAGGTTGCGGTGAGCCGAGATCTTGCCACTGCACTCCAGCCTGGGCAACAGAGTAAGACTCTGTCTCAAAAAGAAAAGAAAAGAAAAGAAAAAAAAATATATAATGTCTCATAGTAGTAAGTGCACTAAGAAGAAAAATAAAGCTGGTCATGGTAAAGAGTCAGCTCAGGCCTATCTGAAGAGGTGATATTGAAACCTCCTTTGCAAAGATTGAGACAGAGATATCTAACATGGCTGACTCCATCTTGCTTCTATTCTCACAGGCTGGCTGTCCTCACTCAGTCCTGGGTGTAGGCCAAGCTAACCATGGCAGGAATTTAGTTTACAGTTTAACTTTGAAGCAAGGATGATAATAGTTCCTCCCTAAAATTGACCCTCCCTGCCTTGTTTTGTAAGTCTACTGAAAGGTGATAAGATTAAGAGTATTAAAGGGGCCTGAATTCTGCTAAGATATAGGTGTAGTTAAACGATAACCAGCCATTGTTTCTTAGCTTGCTTTTCTACAATCCCTTACTGCTCAGAAGTCCTGTGGCCAGAAGTTACAAGATTTGTGACTTTCCCAATCTTTCTTATAGACAACATCACTGTTGTAGAACCTAAGATGGGTTTTTTGAGATGTTTTTCAGACTTTTCAACTGACTGACTCCACTCAGACCCATGACTCATGACTCAACCAGTCCTGTGGTCCTGACTCAGAGGCTGACTCAGCCACGAGGACAGTTTTCCATACCTCTACGATTTCATTGCCAAACAATCAGCATTTCCCATTCCCTAGCCCCCTGCCCATGAAACTATCCTTGAAAAACTCTAACCTCCAAGCTTTCAGGGCAGCTGATTCGAGTAATTACTCCCATCCTCTCACTTGGCTAGCCTTGCAACTATTAAACTTTTCCTACCACAGTACTGCTCTCAGTGGATTGGTTTTATCTGTGCAGCAAGCAAGATGAACCTGTTAGGCAATTACAATATTTAACAGATATGTGAATGAAATAATAGGAGTTCTGGGAGAAAGAGTGTTCCAGGAAGAAAGCATAGTAAGTCTAAAAACCTTGAAGCGGGAACAAACAAGGACAAGAAAGTCAGTGAGACTGGGGTCTGATTGCAGGATGTGAGGTGGAGGAGTTGGAGGCACCAGATCACATACAGCCTGGTAGAGCATGAGAGAAATTTGGATGTAACATAAGTATGTTTGCTGAGTAGGGGAGAGAGATGATCTGATTCCTGTCTTCATAAGACCATTTTGCCTCTTGCGTGGAGAATAGACTGTGAAAGGATAAACATGAGGAGATCAGTCAAGAAACGACTGCAGTTGCCCATGAGAGAGCTAATGGTTGCTTAGACAAAGGTGGTAGTGGTAGAGAATTGAGCAGTGGTTTCAGAATATATTTGTATGTAGAACCAACTAGACTTATTCATTAGGTGTGGGACATTAAAGAAAGAGAGGAATCAAGTCTCATTACCATGGTTTTAGCATGAGCACTTGAAAAATAGTGGGTGATGTCATTTACTAAGATTTGAGATAACAGTATTTAGGATGCTAATAAAACTTCCTGGCCTTTTAGCCAGAAAAACCTGGCTATTTCTAATTCCATTTTTGACTGATTGAGTCATCTTAAGCAAGTGATTTATGTGATTGGGACCTTAATGCTTACATGTGCAAAATACTACCCTTTTCTTATTGACTTTAAGAACCAAGAACACTGTAAAAGTGAAGTGAGGGCTTCAGGTGGAAAATGCAATGGAAAGGTAATAGTTGTAAGAAGTAAGCTCAGATAATGAGGCCAGGGTCATGAATTCTATTCCACACTCCCCAGGACCTGTGAATTTCTAAATCCATGCCATTTATCAGGGAGGACTCATTAGGCTCACTGATACCTGTTGACATCTTCTGAAATAAGCCTTCCAGAATAGCAAAGAAGCCCCAAAACTTGAAAAAAGTTCTCAGGTCACCAAGGCCACAATTTCAATAGAATTGCACTTTGTGCTTTCTGAGGTCTCTGAAGAATAATGCTTGTCAACTAATACAATGAATTTTTCCTTTTTATACTTAATATTGCACTAAACAGAGGCATGCAGTGAAAGGACTGATGGTCACATTCTTTCCTGTATTCACAAGCACCTTGTACAACATCTCATTATTATTCCAAAAAACAAAGCAATGCCCATATTACTGTTTAACACTCATTAAACCAAGTTAGCTCACTTTGATAAGGAATTCTGAAATCATTCTCTGCTTTATCTTTCCACTTTCTAAATAATAAGAAATTAATGGGCATCAGTCAGAGTACCTACTTTCTTCCAATTGTGCAGTCTTGTGAGAAATAAAGCTGAAAAGCTCAGGGGGCTCTACAGCAGACAAAAGGGGGAAAAACCACACTGCAAACCTGTATGTATGTAAACTGGTGTGCTGCAGGAGACTTAAGCCTTTGCCTTGTTCGTCTCCTCCTTACCTACACATTTGACAAAATACAACTGATAGAAGCCACCAACTGATGACATATATTTTAAAAGTTTAAGGTAGAATTCCATTAAGATAGTTAATGGATTAAAAAAAAAAGCACACAGGCTGCAAGATGAACAAATGAATTCAGTACCTTGGAGTTCTCTGCAAAATAAAATGTTGTAAGAGATGTAAAGATGCTAGAGTATCATCACTATATTGTTAGATGCACAAAAAAGGAGTATTCATTTGTAGTGTAATGGGACTACACCTATCTAAAGGAGCAGGAAGAAAAGGCCAACATTGCAGATAATGATCAGATACAACTCTCAGATTGCCTTACTTTATTAGATATTTTCCTGAAAGGTTATGTGCATAAAGATCTTGGAAAATTTAGTGATAATTTGAACGCACTATTTAAAAGATGTGTGTGTGTGTGTGTTTGTGAAAATAGAGCTTTCTTGGCAGTGCAATAATCACACACAATTATTTTAAAATTCTATATTCATATGGATTAGATTTGCTTAAATTAGAAACATATATAATAAAAAGTTATATATACCTCAGAAGAGGTCAATAAATAAAACAGGGAGAAATGATTATATAAAGACATGATTATATAAAATGATTATATATACACATCAATCAGTGTGTATAGTCCATGCAGATAAAACTTCTGCATGGAAGTTTTATCCTTGTTCTAAAGTCCCTACCATTGCTCCAAATCTCTTATGAGCTAATGTCTGGTCTCCTTTTCCTTAGAGAAATGGGGAAGCTGGATGAGATCACCTCAATATTACAATTTCTTCCATCTGCACCCATTTTCTTCACATCTCTGAGGAAAAGGTGTATGCTTCCACTTGGCCTCTCTATTTCTTTTTTTTATTCTTATTATGCTTTAAGTTATGGGGTACATGTGCAGAACGTGCAGTTTTGTTACGTAGGTATACATGTGCCATGGTGGTTTGCTGCACCCATCAACTCATCACCTACATTAGGTATTTCTCCTAATGTTATCCCTCCCCTAGCCCCCAACTCCCCAACAGGCCCCAGAGTGTGATGTTCCCCGCCCCATGTCCATGTGTTCTCATTGTTCAACTCCCACTTATGAGTGAGAACATGCGGTGTTTGATTTTCTGTTCTTGTGATAGTTTGCTGAGAATGATGGTTTCCAGCTTCATCTATGTCCCTGCAAAGGACATGAACTCATCTTTTTTATGGCTGCATAGTATTCCATGGTGTATATGTGCCACATTTTCTTTATCCAGTCTAATATTGATGAACATTTGGGTTGGTTCCAAGTCTTTGCTATTGTGAATAGTGCTGCAATAAACATACGTGTGCACGTGTCTTTATAGTAGAATGATTTATAATCCTTTGGGTATATACCCAGTAATGGGATTGCTGGGTCAAATGGTATTTCTAGTTCCAGATCCTTGAGGAATTGTCACACTGTCTTCCAATGGTTGAACTGATTTTTACTCCCACCAACAGTGTAAAAGCATCCCTATTTCTCCACATCCTCTCCAGCACCTGTTGTTTCCTGACTTTTTAATGATTGCCATTCTAACTGGCGTGAGATGGTATCTCACTGTGGTTTTGATTTGCATTTCTCTAATGACCAGTGATGATGAGCATTTTTTCATATATTTGTTAGCTGCATAAATGACTTCTTTTGAGAAGTGTCTGTTCATATCCTTTGCTGACTTTTTGATGGGATTGTTTCTTTTCTTGTAAATTTGTTTAAATTCTTTGTAGATTCTGGATATTAGCCCTTTGTCAGATGGCTAGATTGCAAAAATTTTCTCCCATTCTGTAGGTTGCCTGTTCACTCTGATGGTAGTTTCTTTTGCTGTGCAGAAGCTCTTTAGTTTAATTATATCCCATTTGTCAATTTTGGCTTTTGTTGCCATTGCTTTCGGTGTTTTAGACATGAAGTCTTTGCCCATGCCTATGTCCTGAATGGTATTGCCCAGGTTTTCCTCTAGGATTTTTATGGTCCTAGGTCTTATGTTTAAGTCTTTGATCCATCTTGAGTTGATTTTTGTATAAGGTGTAAGGAAGGGGTCCAGTTTCAGTTTTCTGCATATGGCTAGCCAGTTTTCCCAACACCATTTATTAAGTAGGGAATCTTTTCCCCATTCTTGTTTGTGTCAGGTTTGTCAAAGATCAGATAGTTGTAGATGTGTGGTGTTATTTCTGAGGCCTCTGTTCTGTTCCATTAGTCTATATCTCTGTTTTGGTACCAGTACCATGCCGTTTTGGTTACTGTAGCCTTGTAGTATAGTTTGAAGTCAGGTAGCATGATGCCTCCAGCTTTGTTCTTCTTGCCCAGGATTGTCTTGGCTATGTGGGCTCTTTTTTGGATAAAACCTCTTTCCTATAGCTTCAACTACTTCCTTTACACTTGATTCTTTTTTTCTGTCTACAAATGCTGAAATCTCCATGTTCTAAAAGTCACTCCTTAACTCAGTTTACTCCCAGGGCTTCCCACCTATCTTCTCTCTGGTGCTGAACTGGAAGTGGGTGTGTGAAATATGCCTTTCTGCTTCCTGTCTTCCTATCCATCCTTATCCTCCTGTCAAAGGCAAAGGTGTCTCTTCTGTCTTCTCTTGAACTGGACATGATTTTTTTCTGGAAACTTTTTCCCTTCAATGTCCACAATATTTTTCACCTTTGATGTTCATGAAATTTCCCCTGACTGGTTCTCCTTTAGCTTCTACAACAGCTCGTTCTAGACCCCTTCACCATCTCCTATTCTTCTGCCTGTCCCTAAATGTTGGCATTCCTCAAGATCATACTCTAGTCTTTTTCTTGGGCATTACATGATCTAATTCAATTCAATGACTTCCTCTACCACACTGACATAGATTCCTAAATCAAGAGGTAAATTCTCTACTTTTCTCTCAAGATCAAGACCCTTTTCCACCAATACTCTATAGGATGTCTGCTTTTAGATATTTCATGGGTATTTCAAACTCAACATGCCTGATACTGAATGTATAAGCTGCTCCACACAGGGGCCTTTCCAAGTAGTCCTCACGTCAATTGATGGTATTGCCAGTTATATATTAGAACTGTCAGCAATGATTCTTAAATTCTCTCTCTTACATTCTGCAGTTAACTAATTATCCTCATCTATCAGCCTTATTCACCGTTTAAACTAGCATTTATTCAGCATTTACTATGTGCCACTACCTCATTTTAGGCCCTAATCTATTCTCTCTGGATTACCATGAAATTTCTTTACTGATCTTGACCATTCTAGTCTCTGAGCCCATGTCTTCCCTTCTTCCCTACTCCATACCTTTATAATCCTCTTCACATAATTATATTATGATCTTCCATTAATTATAATTATTTATTTGCACTTAAAAATTATTACCAGGAGAGATTCTTGAGTCCTGGAATCATGTCTTGATTTACCTTTATGCCCAATGTACAGAAAGCCATAGGTGAGCAATACGTTTGCTGAAATAAGGAATGTCCAATTCAAGGCAGTGCTCTCTAGCCTCAGAAATAAAAATATAAGAAAAATTCACTGCTAATAGCTGAATCATAACTAGTAAAACAAATATACATAGAACAGACACATAAATGCATTTTAGCTGTTGACTATGTAAATTACGCATATCATTGTTGTCAAGTCTATATATTCGCAATATATATTTAATGTCACTTGAGGTTAAAACAATTCTCTTGAGTGGATCTCCTTGCGATGTACTAGACAGGGTCATAACAACAAACACATTCCTTTGTGGCAGGTCTAGTATTTTGATGTTTGATGAAATGAACAAATCTGTGATTATCTCCTTTGTTATAAATCCTATACAAACATACATATAGATAAAAAATGTACCTCTGATAACGATATAGCTAAGGCATATACCTCTGCCTGACAATCTGAAGCACATGTGAAAAAAAAAATCACCAAAATATAGCCATTCCTCTTTGCAGCTAAACTCATGTTCTGTTCTTTGGCAAGATTTCTCTTGAAACTATAGGTATTCTGTTTGGAAATTCATCAGAGGCTTCTAGCCCAAGAACCCATCTCTGCAATGGTCTATATAGTCAATATTAAATTATATTATACAATATCCATTTGTGTTATCAACGATTACATGGTTGATATACTTGTGTAATAATACTCTTTAAGAAATCCCACCAGGTGTGGTGGCTCATACCTGTAATCCCAGCACTATGGGAGGCCAAGGTGGGCAGATCATTTGAGGTCAGGAATTCAAGACTAGCCTGGCTAACGTGATGCAACTCTGTTTCTACTAAAAATACAAAAATTAGCCAGGTATGGTGGCACACATCTGTAATCCCAGCTACTTGGGAGGCTGAGGCAGAAGAATTGCCTGAACCCAGGAGGCAGAGATTGCAGTGAGCTGAGAACGTGCCACTGTATTCCAGCCTGGCAACAGAGCAAGACTGTCAAAAAAAAAAAAAAAAAAAAAAAAAAAAAGAGAGAGAGAAAGGGAAGGGAAGGGAAAGGGAGGGGAGGGGAAGGGAGGGAAGAAATTCCACATAGAATGTCCTGTGGCATTATTTAATTTCCCCTACTCTTTAGGTAATAGATGTGCATTACTGAGGGTGTCATTATAAAGACTTCGTGTGTTGGCGATGGTACCACTCACAATTAACCCATATCCCCAGGTGCATAATTTTACATCTGGTGGCCCAAGAGTGATTCTGAAGTACATTGGGAATCCTTCAGTCTATCCATTTAGGCTTCCTCCAACTAGATGCCTCATTTAAACTTGGTCTAATTCCAAATGTCCCCAAGGGTTACCTAGTATAGTATAGTACAGGCTGCTTTAGCTCATAACACCCACTAGTTAGCTGACTTGCTTTATTAGTCATAGGATTTCCTGTTGGAAATGTCTCATCTCAATTCCTCACTGGAGGGTGAACTACTGGACCACCTTTGGAAACAGAAAACATTTTCTATATGGTGTCTGCCATTTTGTAGAAGTGGAAAACAAAACAGAATACTTAAGTCATAAGCCCAGAAATACTGAGTAGCCAAGGACAGACATGGAACTTAAAGCTAGTTTTTGAAATTCTCCGAGCATTATAATATTACACATTGGGTCAATCTAAGGCAGTCAGGCCCTTCTTATCCAGTGCCCACATTATCATGCCTGTAGCTAAATTCCAGAAACCCTCTCTCTTCAAGCATGGTTCATGACTGTGAAGCTTGCTAAATCCTAATTAGCTACATTTATGTCTAATTTTCATATCTTGACTTTTAGACTAATCCTGAAAGCAGGGAAAATTGTCTATAAAGTGACTCTTCACTGAATCAGAATCTGCATGTCCTTTAGAAAAAAAAAAACAACAAAATAAAAAGCATATTCATTTTAAGTAACTTAGGACCCATAAAAGTTAGGCAGTGAACTTCAAAAGTCTAAAACCAGCCCTGCATCATACTCACATCTTCTGGTAATTCTCTGCCAGGCTACAATCCTGACTTAGGATGTCACTGCTCTTTCCATTTGAAAGCCTCTATCAATCAGGTTCTGGCCATTGGTTCATGGCCTGCAGAGATTCTGTGGTTCAATAGAAAGTCAGCCATTGCCCTCCTTGTCTAAGCATCATATGACAACTACCCTGTTGTACCTTGTGCCACTTTGGAAGCACAAGCTGCCAGCCTCACACTCAGATAAAACAATGGCATCTCCAACTATCTCCATGTTGAAAGCTGGCAGCCTACCTTCTGTATCAGTGAACTGGCACCGATGTTAGTGAACTTGTCAGCTTTTCTGAGTGAGCATAAAAAAGGGCTTGTTTACTAGAGTTTGAATCTAATGAACAGCTTTCTCTTATTTTGTGTAGTTTTTCCAGCCATTTGACTTGCAGAATAGAGAAATCATATTTCAACTTCTCCGGGTTGAAAAACTGCCCCTTTTCCAATTTGTCACCAAGAGATGTGAAACAGTTATTTCTGAGGCAGCTTTATTATGGAAAATAGAATGAGTAACTCATGTCGCTCAAATCAAATTCCTCAGGGAGTAGGTTCAGTAGAGATTCAAAAGCTGGGAGTAAGATTAAAAACTAATTTTCTAGGTGAAATGAGAAAAGGTTCTTTTTCTTTGAAATGAATGGCTCTTTATAGAGGAAACAGATTCACAAGGTACAAGTAAAACATTTGAATTCGGGTCTCCTCACCCTCTTTCCTCTCTAGATTCAGAAAACAGCAAAGGGTTTTAGCTTTGATACTTCAGGCAGGATGAGGTGGACACTGGCAATGGAAAAGTCAGCCTGAGAGCTAGGGAGGAAACTGAGTCTTTCTTCATCTAGTCAGGGAAACTTCCAGGAGACAAGCTTTTTGCCTCAGGCTGCTTCAGGGACTCAGGTACCAGGTTCTTACTCTTTATGGACCTACGTACTTACTGCCTGCTCAAAGGAGACTATGTGGACATTCAGGGGTTGGACTGCCCAGGCATAAGAAAGATACCAATCCTTTAAAAATATATTTCTAAAAGCCAATTATAAAAAAATTCTAATGTATTTAAATTCAATCTGCAGCCTTATTACAACGTTGTTAAAGCGGGCTTTATATTTAAGACCTAGAGGTTACAGGAGAAAGTCTGTTGGCCATAGGAAGTCTCCTTTAAAAAGTGGTATCAAGCTGCTCTGCTCTGCCTATGGAGTAGCCATTCTTTTTGCTTCTTTCTTAATAAACTTGCTTTCACTTTTTTCTAAGGCAGTGTTGTCCCATCTTTGGGCTTCCCTGGGCCACACTGGAAGAAGAAGAATTGTCTTGGGCCACACATAAGTTATACTAACACTAACGATAGCTGATAAACTAAAAAAATTAAATCGCAAAAAAATCTCATAATGTTTTAAGAAAGTTTACAAATTCGTGTTGGATTGCATTCAAAGTCTTGGGCTGCATGTGGCCTGTGGGCTGTGGGTTGGACAAGCTTGTTCTATGGACTTGCCCCGAATTCTTTCTTGTGTGAGGTCTAAGAACTCTCTCTTGGGGTCTGGATCAGGACCCCTTTCTGGTAATATCTTCCTGGCAAACCACGAAGGGACTACACTATTAAGAGATCCCTGACCCAAAGGAAAATCATCAGCAAAGCACAAATTGGCCGACTTTGGGTAAGTGGTGGGGTACATTTTACCCAGGAAAAGGATGGGATTGGGTTAGAGGTCCAATTTAGGAGAGTTAGAGTCCCTCCTAATACAGAGAAGGTTAAAGGCCCTTCTTAGTAAAAAACAAGGATGCTTGACCGAACTTGGGTTTGAGGCCCAACTTAGGAAGGGTAGAGTCCTTTCTAAAATGTTAAGGGGTTAAAGGCCCACCTCAGTAAAGTCTCTCTTTGATTAAAAATGGACTTGGCGCTATGAGCTGTTAACCACTATTCTCTTTAGATTAATCTGCCTTGTGCCCTTCGCTGTCAGCTGTGGGTGACTGGATTAGGCATGTACAGATCATAAGACATGGGCAGCTTTTTTCTCCCCAATGGGGGAAACTTGATGGCTGATGGGACTGCTGGAAGAGATTCCTTTGCAACTGACAAGCGGCCGCCTGAACTTTTGACTCAGTGTCGTTGGGATCTGTGGGTCTTTCCCTGGCCTCCCTGAATTCCTTGCCTTCCCTACCCCACCGCAGGCCATGCTTTTCTCTCACTTTCTCTCCTTTCCCTGTTCTGTCTTTTCTGTTACTTGGGGACACTGTCTGCTCTTCCATCTTGTACAGAGACCACATGTTGAAACTTCTAGTCTGAGGTCATTCCATCCCACTTTGAATGGATTAAGGATGACAGGCATCAACCAGGGCAAGTTTTAACCTTGCCAGTTTGATATTGGGTGCTAAGTGGAGTGGCTAATGTCTATGTTTTGTCATGCATATTTTGCTCTGGCTGGAAAAGAAAATGTTAATCCACTTCCTCCGTGCAGCCTGTTGGGCCGCATCTTGCAAAACTGAGAGGATTTTTTGCCTATGGTCCCATGAAACTGAAAAAAGATGATTTTCCTTTGTGATATGGTTTGGCCCCCCCGGGCTATGGTGCAAGAAGCAGGGTCGCTAGGGCCACTCAGGGAGAAGGAACCCAGAAACCTAGCATGCTGGTGAAAGGTGAGAATTTCTTACCAGTCAGCCTTCTAGCCTCTCTCTCTGTGCAAACTGGTTGAAGGAATGGTAAAAATCACTGTTTGTCTCCTGTAAAGTTTTGATTCATGGGAAAAAGGATTTGTGAGGCTAGTGTTAGCCTGTAGCAAATCTGATGTGCTTTACCGTATGAATTTATCTTTCTGCTTTGTTCTGTCATAAAAAAGGTACCCTAGAATAAAATGTGGATCTAGGACCCCTGTAAGCCTGCTGTTCAAGCCAGCCCAGCAAGCTGGTCAGTTACAAACTTTGCTGTATGTCCCTGAAACAAACAAACAAACAAACAAACTGGATGAGGTTTCCCTCTCCTCTTGTTTTATGTCCTTGAGAGCTTGACTTGTAACCATATGGTAGTACTTTCTCTTGGTCTTTGCCACCCAGAGGACAGGAATTTTGGAGTTCATGTCATACATAGCTCCAAAAATCATCTTGAGCAGTTAAAAGCCTTAAAATGATATTATTTTAAGAGGGCTGGTTCCTCAAGGGGGCTTAGGGGTTTGTTATCATGCTAGGTCTCTTAGGAACGTTGTTATATGGAGATTTATGGCTTTGCAATTGTGACCATAAAGAATTGGGCAAGAAATAGATATGACGTTGCATTGCAAACTATGAAACTCACAATAACATAACATAAATGACTAAGAGTTTCTTGCCTATCCTACCTTTGCCCCATGATACATACCTCATCAAGACATTAGAAGTTATTATAAAAATAACTTCACATGGAGAATAGAGAAAAATAACTCATAATCTTGTCACACTAAACAGGAGTTTTCAAACTGGGCTCTGTGGACTTCCAAGAGGCCCATGAATTCAAGGGATCCAATAACTTGGATGGCTAAAAACACATTTTTATTTTCTTTTTTTCTCAATGGAAATTTAGCACTTTCTTCAATTATACTTGAGGGTGACAAACTATAGTAGTCCTAGCAGTACCTGTAACTTTGTCACCAACACAAATCAGATATTCTCATCAGACATTACAGTTGTCATAGAATGCTTGAAATATTTATACTCTTCACCACTTCAAAATTACAGTAGATATTAGACCCACTGATAAATCTTATTTAATGCATTATTGCTATATTACTATATCATAACTAAAAACTGACAATTGGATTTCAATAGAATTCATTTTCTTTGAAAAGCTGTAAATTTCATTTTATAGATTTTATAGTTTGAGAATAGGCTTCACTAGCCAGCCACAGGCATCCATGGCACAAACAGAGGTTAAGAACCTCTGTGTCTGTGCCCGTCATTTCATTCTGCCCTAATATGTTACTTGCTTTTTCTATGTTGCTTCTTTTATTTACTTTAAAGCTGCATAATACTAGTACTTTAAGTAATTCCCCTAGTACTAATAATCTTGTTTCCATTTTTCATTGATACGAATGCTACATTAGGCATCTTAATGCATAATATTTTATTTTTCTTGCTTTGTATTTAGGATTATTACCTTGGTATAGAATCCGGGAAGAGGAATTAACTGGTCTAATGGAATACACATCATTATGGTTCTTGATTTATTCTATGAAGTTGCCTTCCAAAAGGGTTCTCTCAATTTAAAAATACTGTAAGTGATATAAGCAGGACAGCTGCTAATGATTTTTCAAAGTACTTACAAAACTTCTATTGGATATTAATCATATGTCCTACAGGTTAGTCAAAGGATTGGGTAAAATTTTGGCTGAAAAGAAATAAGCAAATAACTTTTCCTAATCTAAAAATGCAGTATATGAATTAATTTCCAAATTGAGTAGAATTATTTTACTTTTTAACAGGGAACTAAGAACAATGATATTGTGCTAGGGAAGACAAATTATTTTTAATGTGGATATGGCCATTTTGCTTGTTAAATGGGCAAAAATCATAAGACACTGATAGAAGTTCATATATTTCAAAGCAACGAATAAGATAATCTCTACTGTGGTAAGAACTTCTAGTGTTTGATATTTTATATTCAAAGGAAACAAGCATGTATTTTTTAGAAGCTAAGTAATTAATAGCCGACAAGGATTACCAAAAAATTGTTTACCAAGGAAAGTGTTTTGCAAAAGCTGGAAGTCAAATATACGGGCTGACAAGTTTCTGCTTTTTTACTGACATAAATTCAGCAGGGACTTTTCAGGCAGGGGTGTGCTTCTCATTTGGATCATACCCCCCCTCCCTAGCCTTTTGGATCTCAGTAGCCAACCCTGTCTCCAGGCAGGGCTGCTTCCCCACATGTGGCATCCAGTATTCTCTTTCCACAGATGGGGATGTGTTAGATCGTTCTTTCAATACTATGGCTGTACATACAGCAACCTGTCAACCTGTGAGGTGGGCATCCACCTTAATGAAAACAAAGAAAAAGAGCTAAGACAGTGTCTTCTTCCTCTGTCCATATTCTAGGGAGGGCACCAGAGCTTCCCTCTTGCATGCCACTTAATGATATTCACTTAATATGTGCTAATTATGTTACTACTATGAAAGAATAGAGTGCCAGGGGCTGCAGGGGACATAACAGACGAGACACATTAACCAGTGGAAGGATAGAAAGACATCTCCACCATTTCATATAAAGGTGAGGAAGACCAAGAAGGCCCTTCCGCATCTTTAAATGTGTCACTGAAAAAGTCAGGCTCATGAAACCTTAATATCCTGAAATGAAACCACAAGTGCAAATAATTACTATGAGGCAAGAAAACAAGTACATAAAGAGGAATGTAAGTGCAGGTCACTGTTGCATGCCAGCATGTCATGAAACGATCATAGAGTCAAAATATAGGCAGGACCTGGAAATTTCTTTGAACAAATGGTTACTTTTTATGGCTACCAATTTACTGAGTGTCTGTGGCATGACAGGCATTGAGCCAGGCAGCTTCCATGTATTAGTTCATTAATCCTTACAACAATCCTAGGAGGTAGGTATTAGCACTCCCATTTCTGAAAAAAAATTATGCTTTAAGTTCTGGGATACACGTGCAGAACGTGCAGGTTTGTTACATAGGTATACCTGTGCCATGGTGGTTTGCTGCACCTATCAACCCATCATCTACATTAGATATTTCTCCTAATGTCATCCCCCCCCATTGCCCCTACCCTCTGACAGGCCCCAGTGTGTGATGTTTCCCTCCCTGTGACCATGTGTGTGTTCTCGTTGTTGAACTCCCACTTATGAGTGAGAAGATGCGGTGTTTGGTTTTCTGTTCCTGTGTTAGTTTGCTGAGAATGATGGTTTCCACCTTCATCCATGTCCCTGCAAAGGATGTGAACTCATTCTTTTTTATGGCTGCATAGTATTCCATGGTGTATATGTGGCACCCCCACTTTACAGATGAAGAAACAGAAGCTCCATGAGCATGACTTAGTCAAGGTTATATGAGTTCAGTGAGAGGCAGAGCTAATCTGTCCGACTTCAAGCTCATGCTCATTCTACTATGCTATGGATGTAAAGTAGGTAAATGGCACTCGGGAATCATACCTTCATTAATATAGCTTTATATAAGGCCTCTCACAATTTGATTTAAAAAAAAAAACAGTTGTAAAATAGGGTAGGGAAAGAAACACACATTTCTGGGATGTCAGACTTCCAGAAGTGTCATCTAGTAAATAAATCTCAAACAGCCTTCAAAAAGCATAAGCAGTAAGTGTAAGTTCACAAACCTTCATCCAGATGTAGTGAGTATATGTATAATGGTAGTAAGTTTGATGGACAGCCCGAGTGAGACTCTGGCATTGAAAATATTTGGTTGGTGCAAAAGTAATTGAGGTTTTTGCCATTACTTTTAATGGCAAAAATTACTATCTTTACATAGTAGTAACATAATTAGTATGTTACTTAACATTACTTTTAATGGCAAAAACCATGATTACTTTTGCATTAACCTAATACTTTCTATCTGAATAACTCTGGGCCATTGTTTTCCCCTCTCTGGGTGTCACTTTCTAATATCCATCAGAATACTATTATAATCATTAAATAAGATAGTACATATAAAATATTTAGCATGCTATAAAGCACACAATGCTCATTCAGTTACATGTTATTATTAGTATTGCTATTAAAATTATTTTTTGCATATAAGTCTAACAAACTTGGATCTACTTTTCTAGAATATAGGATATTAGGTGCTGCATAATGAAAGATGATGATAGCTGACCACTACAAGGTGTCGCTGTCATCTTTTGCAAAAAACAGAAAGAAGGGTAGCTAAAATAAGCATCACAGGAAAAGGAAGGAAAAAAAATCTGCGAGAACATCAATAACAGGCATTTCTGTTAAAATCTATGTTTTGTAAACCTCTTTTACAATCATTTCATTTGATCCATACAACATATCCATACTCCCTACTGCTGTGAAGTAGAGAGGGCATTATTTCCACTTTACAGATTAGAAAAGAGGGGCTCAGAGAATTGAGTAACTTCTCTGGAATCACAGCTAGTTAAAAGAGCAAGGAGTATCAAAGAGTAGAGTTATGTTGTACAATATGGTAGCCACTAGCCTTATGCGGCTACTTAGAATTAATTGAAATGAAATACAATGAAATATTGACTTTCTCAGTAACATGAGGCACATTTCAAGTGCTAAAAAGTCACATGCTGTTACATGCTGTTAGTCATAGCCATGCTGGACAACACAGATTATAGACCATTTCCATTATCGCACAATTTTTTTTTTTTTTTTTTTGACAGAATCTCGCTCTGTTACCCAGGCTGGAGTGCAGTGGTGCGAACTCGGCTCACTGCAACCTCCACCTCCTAGGGTTTGAGCGATTCTCCTGCCTCAGCCTCCTGAGTAGCTGGGACTACAGGCGCCCGCCACCATGCCCAGCTAATTTTTGTATTTTTAGTAAAGACAGGGTTTCACCACATTGGCCAGGCTGGTCTTGAACTCCTGACCTTGTGATCCATCCGCCTCAGCCTTCCAAAGTGCTGGGATTACAGGCGTGAGCCACCATGCCTGGCCCACACAATGTTTTATTAGACAGTGCTGGTCTATAGAAATGAGAGCACCAATCCATTACTGCATAATATTATGCCCTGTGTTCACAACAGGGAACCTGAGCCTCAAGGAAAGAGTCAGGGAAGAGGAACAGACTTTACACATGTTTCATTGAAAAACACTTTAAGCATTATACTATAAGGCTTAAAGTGTTTTTCACTGAAACATGTCGAAAGTCTAAAGCACTTTGGGAGGCTGAGGTGGGCAGATCACTTGAGGTCAGGAGTTCGAGACCAGCCTGGCTAACATGGGTAAACCCTGTCTCTACTAAAAATACAAAAACTAGCTGGACATGGTGGGGCACACTTGTAATCCCAGCTACTTGGGAGGCAGAGGCAGGAGAATCACTTGAATTTGGGAGGCAGAGTTTGCAGTGAGCCAAGATCATGCCACTGCACTCCAGCCTGGGCAACAGAGTGAGCCTCTGTCTCAAAAAAAAAAAAAAAAAAAAAAAAAGCGGACCCAGAATCCCCCAAAATGCCTGCCACATGTGCCTCGCACACAGAATATACACGTATTTATTGAGGAGCTCTATTTGATCATCCACCTGTGTCAGAAAAATATGTCATGTAAGAGAATTCTTCCTGAAGCAAGTAAGTAGAGTGTCATAAAAATGTAAGTAATAACCTTTGTTGAAATCTCAAGGGCATTTATGGTTATACATTTACAGAATTATTCAATGTACATACAAAATCCTTTTATATTCCAATATCTTTTTAAGGAAGGAAAGTTGTATATAAATGTAATAAAAAGAGATAAATACTAGTTAAAATAAATTCGAATGAGGGTGAAAAAAGTTTTTAATAGTGATATAAGCTTTAACAACAAGTAATTTAAGGCTTTGCTTTTTGGAGTGGTTTTTAATGTATCCTCAGTAAATCCTAAGTTAACAGACACTCAGTAAATCACAAATCAGCCTCAACTTTTGGTTCACTTTTCTTAGACCAACACTAAAAAATAGCTTTCAAAAGTGAAGAAACTGACAGTAAATGTTCAGCATTATTTGAAAGCAATATAAAATGCTGTAAAGTTTCAGAAGTTAGTTCCCAGAGGATGACAAACATTTAACTACTAAGAATCTTCAGCCTTACCTGGAGGGATGCTACTGTCAAATTCAAGGTGCATGGGTAAAGATGGAGGCAGTTCTATTTTTTTAAGTTGACCTTGAAAGTCATAATGATATATGTGTATTTCATGAAAATATGAGCTTTAGAATAATGGTCTGTTCTCTTTAGACAGATGGGACTCATTTATGTTCTACATGACTATACCCCAGAACTTCAGACTTAAGATGTTATAAATATTGTTAATCTATTATTTTATGAAGGATATGAAATTTTGGCCTCTCGGATTTAGATAGATGTATGCCAAATTTATGAGGGTGCTTTTCTATAAATGACAGATGCTGCCAAAGCAGAAAACTATTTTTCTTCCATTCAACATCACAAGGTCCTGTTACTAGAGGCAGATAAGGGTGAGGAGGCAGCTAAGAAGACCTTGCTGGCTAACTGATGGAGTCCTGTGGCAGTCAACAGAAATGAGAAATTGTCAATTGGAAAACTTGGCCCCATTTGTAACAACACATAAAAACTATGAAGTACACAGGGGAACCCATAAAAATGATGAGGCGAGGGTCTCCATTTGTATCTATGGTGGAAAAACCTTAGACAAAATTGAAAATGCACTTTCATATGGCAACAGGGTGACCACAAAAAGCTAAACTGCTGCTTTTGAGGCAAATCATACTGATATACTCATTGATAACGACTCTGGGTTTACACCTGAAGAACTGCCACCATGCAAAAGCACAATATACTGAAAACTAAAATGAGCTGCTTCAAGGTGTCTTATCTTCTTTCTCTTCTTCTCATGTCTTTTCTAACACTGTTACCTCACGGTCTCCATAGGGCATGGGTGTGGGATAAATAAAACTATCTCCCTGCCCTCAGTGGAAATATTTTAGGTAAAATGATTCAAAATGCATTGAAAATGGGGAGCGTGTTCAAGAGAGCTCAAGAGTACCCCTTTGGAGGCAGGGCATGCCTTCTAACATGCTGCAATGCCCTGTCTCAGTGTTAGCCTCTATTTCAGTGAGTACATTTGGCTCTAGACATGTAAAGTCTGTAACTGTCAAGCAGGAACTTTGAGAATATTTATCATTTGCCATTTACCTAAAATGAGTGCTGTTATTCAAATTTGTTCTTGAAGAAATTTGTAACTTCTAAAACTTTTCTTCTACTACACTGAAACACTACAGATAATGTCCCGCATAGAAATTAAGGATTATCAATGAAACAAAGCCTTGATGGTCCCTTCACTGCCACAGCTTATACCAAAACGGTCAGCAAGAAATTTAAAAGTCATATATGGTCCTACTCATCAATTATTTAGAAAATGGTTAGTGGTTTCTTCCTTTGCCCATTGGAATACGTGCATTTACTCCTCCAAGTCACAGAAGTTTAGAAGTAATTGGAATAATGAAACAAGCGTGAAACAAGAAACCCCAAGTTTCCATCCTGACTCTACTGGGATTTGAGTTGTGCAACCTGACATAAACCACCTAACCTTCCCATAACCCAGGTTCTTCATTGTTACTATAGTTTTGGGAGCAGCTTGAAGGTGATGACTACATATTATTTCTCTTTAAATCCGATATATCCAACAATGACAATAAAAAACATCACTAGGTTGAAAGTTTTTGAGGGCGACAAATGTCCTTCTGTTCACTGTTGCACCCATATGTACTATGCTATTTAGTATAGATAATCAATATTTGTTGAGTGAATAAATGGATATCAAGTTCGTTGCATGAATGAACAAACAATGGATACTAATTTCAGCCCTATCCATCAAAGGGTTAAGAAAGTCAAGTGAAAACATATATGTAACTGCGTCTTGTAAGCTGAACAAATTTAAGGTGTTTCTATTGTTATATTTCAACAGAAGATGCTGGCTCAATTATCTTTGCTCTTAATTGCATTTATAAATACATCTGTGGCATTTCGAATCATTCTATATGCATTCATCTGTTTAGACAGCAACTGATTAAAGGCTGTTTAGCTCTAAGTAGCTTTACATACTTTAAACTAGAAATGTCATTTCCTCATATTGATATCTAATTAATTTTTTTAAAAAATCCAATGCGAAAGCCCAGACATATGGACTATTAGGTTGACTCTCATAACATTTTATTATTTTTAAGAAACAGGATTTTTCTGGAGGCTCTGTATTTTTTTAACCTGGTGTGAGTTGTTAAATGCTGTCACAAGAGAGCCTTCAATTTGATGTATTGGGCATATTATCACAGGGAAGTGTATTGTCATATGGCATTATGACACTTGAACTCCAGGGGGAAATTTGGGTAGAGTGTCTGGCCAATATGTTCTAGCCATCTTCCTGAAGCTGCCTAATGCTTGCTGTGTTTTGACCCCAATTCTCCCAAAGCATATTTTTCCTCCCTCCCATTATGTTTCCAACTTCCTCTGATGCATCATTAAAAGTTGGGACAGATCCTGGGAGACTATAAAGCCATTTATTTGGATTTTACATGTAACTCTACCTCAACTTCCAAAAAGTGAATGGACAGCTATTTTGCATAACTGAAGAATAGCTTTAATGAAATATATCTAATTTTTTGAATCATGTAGTTAGAACTTCTTATGATAAATGCAATTCATGCTATTATAGTTTAAACCCATTTTGTTTACTGACCTGAAAGAAAAAAAAGAAAGCTTGCCATGATATCCCGAAATTTTTATACACAATAGCTCCATTATAACAAATCTCTTTGCATTGTACAGATCTGGATACAACATGAACCAAATTATGTCTCCAAAAGTAACATAAAAGAGAAAAATGGTTGTGCCAAGTGCCAAAATAGCAGGTAAGAGGGCTTCCTTAGCTCTTGGAAGCCTTTTAGATTACTTCTTAGAATAAATAATGTGTGCTCTCGAGGAGCAGAAAGAGTTCACCAGCTGGGCACAGTAGCACATACCTGTAATCCCAGCATTTTAGGAGGCCGTGGCAGGCGGATCACTTGAGGTCAGGAGTTGAAGACCAGCCTGGCCAAGATGGTGAAACCCCAACTCTACTAAAAATACAAAAATTAGCCTGGCTTAGTGGTGGGCACCTGTAATCCCAGCTCCTCGGAGGCTGAGGCATGAGAATTGCTTGAATGTGGGAGGTAGAGTTTGCAGTGAGCCAAGATGACACCACTACACTCCAGCCTGGGCAACAGAGCGAGACTCTGTCTCAAAAAAATAAATAAATAAATAAAAAAGTTCATCTGTGGGTCACAAGTTTCTTGTTGAATACCCTGAAATCACACCTTGCCTTAAAGGATGTTCCCAGAATGCTGCTCTCCCAGAAGCTCCCTCTGTTAACTCCTGGCTATTCCCTCTCTTTCAAAATGTAAACAAAACTCTGCTGCTCAGCTACTGATGCTAAAACGCGAGAATGGAAATGGAATTAGTCAAGCCTATGGATGTTGTGAGTGCCTGCATAGTTGAAATCTGGCAGCTGAAACATCACGTGAGTAACATTTTCACTTTTCATTTAAATATCTGAGAATCACAGATACTACTTAAGCCCACTTGACAGGAACTCTTCATTCAGAAGAAAAAGACCAATGCTGGGGAATTTCAGTCCCATGAGATTTGCAAGTGAGCCATGAATTTTCACTGTGACTTTTACTCTAATTTTTGTCTGACTCCTTAAAGCAACATTGTCTGAAATAAAACATTTCAGTCAATTATCACAGTCACCATTCCTCTTCCCACCTTCTTTCTCCTTACATTTTACCTAGACCTTTTGTGAAGCACTGATTTTTGTGTCTTGTGTTTTTCTAAAACAGGATTTTAAATGAAATGAAAGCCAGATATCAACAAAAATCTATGACTCTGACAAAGCTGTGGGAGCTTTTCAAGAATTTAGAAACAGGCAATTAACAATACATTAGGTATTACGTTGTTTGGACCAGATTTCCCATCTGGGCAAAGCTTTTAATTTTCCAACTTGAAAATTCCATAAAACTCATGTGGGAATTCTTGCTTAGAAGCTGACATATGGTTGATGGTGACAAAAGAACATGTATCTATTTAGCAAATGCACTCCTTTTTTTTTTTTAAGTGCCATCTTTCAATGACTTTGGTGTAGCTTTTATAAGTATAATAGAACAAATACAATATTTTGTTAGTATTAATACTTATACCAAACACAGAGAAACAAAAAGTAATGGCCCAGCAAATGAGTTACCAAATAATTTATACAGATTTTGAGTAAGGAAACATGAAAAATGAGATAACCTCCAAATATAGGTGGTTTCTATTACTTCTAGTCCAAATCTGTAGTCACAAAGTGAGTGACATCAATACTGTTAGACTACAGGTACTAGGAGGTGGGTAAAAGAGTGGCAGAGGAAGCAGAGAATGCAGGAAGAAAGACCACCACATAGGTACTGAAGAAGAGATGCTGTGGTTGAGATTTGTTTTCCTCTCTCCTGGGTTTTAGATCTTAATTCTCGTTCCTTGTTCACACCACTGGTATGCTTTATCCTGGTGTTTTCCAAATGCTCTGTAGGCAAACACAACTGCTTAGAAAGTGTCTTTGTTTTACTGAGCACCCGCTAACATTTGAGTATTGGAATGAAAGCCTTGAATCCTTAAACTTTATTTCAAAATATACTCATTGAAATTGGTCATCTCATAGGTATAAGGCATGCTGTAACTATAATCCGGGCCCCTTTATTTCGATTTTCTATTTCCGTATTGCTCTTTGCTTGGTTTTATCTCCTCATCTTTGACTTTTTTTTTTCTATTTTTTTCTCTTCTTCCACACCTTTCCTTCTCCCTTTAATTATCTGCTTTTTTAAAAAATGGATTCTTCTCTGATTGTTCCATCTCTATTTCTGATTTTGACACTATTTTCTGCTTATTACTTTTACTATTATCCCTACAGCCAACCCAATTTTCAAATAATAATATAACTTAAGTGGAACACTGAGTTCACTCAGTAGCAACGTTGTAACATGTATGGTACCTACCAACTGTTCTATTAGCTGAAAGAATAGAGTGGCACTAACCTCCATTGTTTTATCATTTTACTTATATGTTTTGCTGGAAGGTAAAGAGCATAATTTAGATAACAAAACCTTTTGCAGAGTATTATTCCATAAAGGCAGTGATATCCTGCATTAAACGAAACCAGGCAAGAAGTCAGCAGGCTCCTGCTCTTCCAAACATTGGGTAGCCTCCAGCAAATAACTGCCACATTGTGTACCTCACCAGTTTGCAATTTTGAAAAATAGAGATAATATTTGATATTATACCTGATAGATATTGATTAAAGACTAATTAGATAATATATGTCAGAAGGTTTTGTTCTTTACAGAGGGAGACATACTATGTAATAATCTGGCATTTATGACTATATCTGTTCATCAGATAACATGATTTAGTGATCCTATTGTACAAAGAACAAAAAGTCTTTATTACCAAATTTAGCTTAGCTCAATCCTTCTACGCTGAAGAGCTTTTGGAGCCAGCATCTACAGGGCCTAATCAATAATGGTCCCTTTTTCCATAGTCTCTTTGTTTGAACAGATTTTCTGAACCTTCCTCTTACAGTAATGGATTTGATCATCTCCAAAAGCCACGGGAAAGCAGTCTTAAGTCTCCTTCAAAAATTCTCCAATGATTTGAGAAGTAGAAAAGAATCAGAAATGTGTGTGTTTCCCACAAGAGGGAGGCCCCTAAAGAGAACATCAAACATAAGAAAAAGGGACATATTCTCTCAGTCTCCTTTAACAGACACTGTTCCTCAAAGAGTCACTGAAACAAGATGACATATCCGTCATGGGCCCAGAGGGGCAGATGTGAGAATTGTGGAAGCCTATTAAACATCCAATTTCATGGTATCCATGCTACAAAAATGAATTTTTTTTCTCTTTCCACTGAATGAACCTACTCAGAAATTCTGCCGATTCACTGGGACTATGAAATATAGACTCTTCTTCAGAGGCATTTCACCTAGTAATCCATTTCCATTTATATATAAAGGTCTTCTGTTAATCAGTTTGTAACGTTGGAAATCATTCCCTTAAAATATGTAAGTCCATTTGTAACTCTGAGGGGAACTCTGAAGATCTTCAAAAAGCATCATCTTTTATTACTAAGCACATTTCCAGATTCATTTAGTAATGCTACTCTCTCAGAAAGTTCCCCCCTTTGGCTCCTCAACTCCTTTTTACTACAGTAAGAGAACATAAAAATATCTATTAGTAAACAAGTTTAAGGAGTCCTTCAATAAAAAAGTCTATAGTAAAAAACACACATAAAATAAATAGAAAGAAGTAATAAGCTCAGTATTTTAGATCCATTTCCTGATTTTAGTCTGAACACATTGTGATCAAGTAGTCTCTACTTGTTTTCATGCATATATACTTATATATATATATATTTACATATACACATATATACTTAAACGTATATATTTAATAACATGGAATGGAAACATATCAAATGCTTAGATTCTGTGCAAACATATAATCCTTCCCGTGAAGAAAACATATTAATATCACAAAAACAAATCATGGAGAGTAACATGCAACAACTGAGGGCAGGAAAACGGGGTCAGGGCAGGGGAACAGGAGAAACACAAAGAATGTAAAGAACAAAAAGTGTCATTGACCTGATTTGTCAGAGTTGTTGCCTGTGATTGGAGTGATGGAGCAGCTGGGATTAGCCTTTGCGCTGTCCTTGGAAGGAACCATTTTGGGTTTATTTTTCGTTGCGTCTAGTGCTTTGACCTTCTTGGCATGTTTACTTCCTTTGTAGTGGGCCTCGGCCTGGCTCTACAAAGGAGAACAAATCAGGCTCATTTTTTTGCTAATTACAAACACCACAGTGGATGATCATGCAGGAGAAAAATACATTCTATCATAGGCACCACAGACATTTACAACTCAGTACCTGACTATGTTTTTGGCACTTCATGAAATGGTAGACCAGTTCCTAAGAGGGTGTAGCATATCAAAACCTCCTATACAATACAAAGGACCTGCATCTTTAAAAAACCAGACATTATATGAGTGGACAAAAGGATTAGGGCAAAACTGTGACACAGGTGAGCTTTGTCATCAGTGCCCTCCCACCAGTGCCCATTGGGGCTACTTTTCAAACATTGGCTGGCAGCAGGGGCTTTGAGTGTCCTACCCATGCCTGTGGGTATGACCTTCCACAGTCATTTCCCTTCAACTAAAATCCTGTTTGCCACGTGTCTACTTTCTTCTGGGCTCTGCTCTGAGACCAACTGGTGTGATAAAACATGTTAATAGGTGCTACTGAGTGAAAATGACACTGAATTTTTTGGTAAGCTCTACATGCACTTCATGTACCATTTTGATGATTCCAGTTACAAGAACAGATAATGTAAGCCACAAAGGAGGTAGGAAAAAACCCTTGTTTCTGATCTCAGATGTGATTCTGAAGCCTAAGTTGTTAGTGTTAAATTCATTTATACACAAAGCATATGTAGAACTCTAACTTCAGTACTAGATCAAAAGGAAAAAGAAAGAGCAAGACAAAACACAAAAACAAATTACAACAAGCCTTGAAAACATTTAATCAACTTACTGACATTTGGAAAATTTTCCTCTGCCTAAACAACAAGGCTTTTCTCTTATTGGCATCTAGTATTAATATATACATTAACAAAATAATCTAAATATATTCACTTGAATTGAATTTTGAAAAGACTCTGAAAAAACATAAACATGTATTTAGTGAAAAGAAACAAAACTAAACATAAATGGTATATTAGCTTAGTTATAAAGTGAAATGGATGACAAATCTTATGCAAAGCAAGATGAACTTTTGTTAGAGGATTTCTAAAGAAATAATAACTTTAAAAACCATCAGTTTTCTTTATATACTTGTATGTGTTTGAAGAGGATTAAATGAACCTTTCCACTCATTCTCCTCAACAAGCAGAATACAGGTGATAAGTGTGTGTGTAGGTTGGTAGTTGGAAGCGATAGTTGGACAGACAGAATGGGTCTCTGTCTTTAGGGTCCAATGAGGTTTCACACATACATGAGGTAAGAAGTTCAATGGAGAGCTATCCATATACAAGGGTAAGCTAAAACAGCGAAAGATGCATGCTATGGGAGATACAGGACAACAAAAAAATGGACCAGAGGGGAGTGGTATTAATGAAGACTTCCTAAATGGGTAACTTTTGATTTGAGATTTGAGGAAAGGGATGCATATACACTAGTAGCAAAGAGTACGTTTCTAGTTGGAGGATGCAGGCCTAAGGAAAGTACTGACGCTAGAGTGCCGGAACAGTGAGGGCTATAGCTGGAGAAGTGCTTACATAGGCCTCTTGGTGGAACATCATCAACATGAGGTTAAGGAAACTAGATGTGTAGTTATGTAGAGAAGGTCACCACTGAGGTGAGATTCTCAAGCAGAGGCCTGATGATACACACAAATTCCAAATGGGGAAGACTTCTGCAACAGCTATTTATTACATGTTTGTTGGATTGAATATGAGAGAAAAGAGATGACACAGAAAGGAAGGCAGCAGAAAGAATATATGATTCTTCTGGTAAGATCATTAGTGGAGAGTATGACTATAATAAAGTCCCTTTTATAATAATATCATTGATTGCTTGAAGCCTTGGTTATTATCAATCCTCCTTCTGCCCTTTGCTTAAGTGGAACCATTTCACTACTAACTACTAGAGACAAAGCACTCTTTTAACATGCCATGATTAGATTAAGCCATCTAAGGTTGATTATTGTGTGTTGTTGAAGTGTTTCTTCTGACTTTCCTGCTTGTTTCACTCCAGCTTACCAGGACATGTTGCTTTGCTATCTTCAGACATCCAGCCATAGCTAGTTCAGCAGAACTGGTGATGGTGAGCACCACTTCAATGCCAGCATTACTTCCAGATCTTGGTGGGTGATAGGCCTACTTTATCCTAAGCTTATAAATGATGATGATGAATTTATTCATGCCAAATATTATAGATGATATAGTCACAAGTGTTAAGGGTCATGCAGTGAGTTAAACATCATATCTATATATTTGCTCTCCCATTTAAATGGAAGCTTGGTGATAGATTCATGCCACAGTCTGTTTTTCAGTGTACCTTGATTCTGCTGTGTTATTTCTTGTAGGGCGGGAGGTGGCTGGGGAAAAAAATATTGCTTTGGTAGTAGTGTAATCTAAGGATAGGTTTTGGACATATTAGTGATTTCCCTAGCATATAACCCAGGTCACCCAAGGTCTATAGCCTTTTACTGACTATACATGGTCCCTAACTTCCTGAATATCTTTTCATACATATCTTTTTAGATCTTCATTGACTTGGCATTGCTCTTACTTGGTTTGCTCAAGGACTTCTCATGTTGTTCTCTGTCAAGTTGGAAAAAAAAATAATCACGTGGGGAGAAAAGTGTAACATTATTTTAGGGCCTTTATTTATTACCAACCAAGAATGTTTGAATCCAACTAATATAGTTTGGTAGTTATACATTAAGAAAATATGCAAATAAAAATTAAAAATTGATAATGTAGTATAATAATATAATAATGATTAATATTACTGAGCTTACTCTTTCAGGCACAATTCTAAATGCATTACATATTTTAGATCATTTAATCCTTATAATATCCTATGAAATAGGCATTATTGGCCAGCACTTTACAAACGGGAAACTGGGAATAGAGAAGTTAAATAACTTATAAAAAGCCACACAGGTGGGTGGAGAAGCCATGGTAGATATAAAATGCTTACAAGCATATCCCTATTTAATTATATACCCACATTATACATATACATACCTACACTAAGTTAATGTTATAATTTTATTAGAAGTAAAAAATATACACAAAGATAGCATGCTGCTTTTAATGACTCAGAGAAGGATTATAACTTAATCCTATAGAAATTTCTATGAGTAGGAAATACGTACTTAATTCATGGGAAATATGCTAATATTAAACACCAGGTCTGATCCTTCTGTTGAGTAAAGAAAGTTCCACTTTTAGGCCAGGTGCAGTGCCTGTAAGCCCGGCACTTTGGGAGGCCCAGGAAGGAGTATCGCCTGAGCTTGGGAGTTTGGGATCAGCCTAGGCAACATTACGAGACCTTGTTTCTACCAAAATTCAAAAAAATTAGCTGAACATGATGGCACATGCCTGTAGTCCCAACTTCTTGTGGGGAGGAGGTGGGTGGATCACTTGAGCCTGGGAAGTCGAGGCTGTAGTGAGCCCTGATTGTGCCACTGCACTCTGGCCCGGGCAACAGAATGAGACTCCGTCTCAAAAAAAACAAAAAACAAAAAACAAAAAAAAGTTCAACTTTTTAAATATACAACAATTTCTACAACGTATCATAAGACCTGCTAAAAACTCATCTTTCACAGTACACTAAATAGTGCAGCGTTACTTTAGTGCCCTTTGGCTAAAGAAACATATGGTTCTCTAAATAAAACCTCCAAGTACAAGATAAACAGTGTCATTTCCTCATTACTATTTCTTGGCATCAGTGCCGAAAGTTAACAGCGTCAATTAACACTTGGGATGAGGATCCAGCTAAGTGACACTTCACTGGCCAAGATGGAAAAAACTCTCCATAGCCATGATCCACTTCTGCTTCGAGTTCAGGGTCAGGGAGAGAAGTGCAACAAGGCTTTTTAGCTTTTATTGACTGTTGTTTGGGAAAAATGGAGTGGAAGACTGTGAAATAAAGACAGAATGGCAAGTGCCACTTCCTTATATTTGGCATCTTTCCCATTCTCCTGTGGTATTCTTAGTAGTGGCACTTTGCTATCCCTAGTACTGTGTCTGAGGCAGTGTCAACAGTTTCTAAATGCTGGGCAAATCTTCAAGTGAAACTGAGACACTGTTAAGTAGCAAAAGATTAACCTGACTTCATTATCTAGGAATCTTCTTAATTGAGGAGTGAAAGAAACAAGGACAGGAGCCAGAAAACCCATGAACTAGGCAACACACGTCAAGCCCATCAACAATGGCTCTTGTGACACTTCTAAGAGACTAGGTTGGCCAAGCTGACTTACTTTATACCCAATGAGTAATTAGCAGACACATGCTTGTCTAGCAGTAATGGCTTGCATTCTGCTTCCCCTCCTAAAGTGCTGCTGTGCCCCTAACTGGCAGTGACCAAAGAAACCTCTTCACAAGAATTGCCAGAATTAGAAAGAGTCGCCCAAACCACTACACTGACCTTCACATAAGAATTCATCAGCATATAGGTTCTTCTCTGAAGGCCACTCTGGTAATTACCTGACACCCACTGAAAGAAGAACAGCTTTGATAGGAAATGACAACTTGGAATGTTTTCTTCCATTAATAACCTTTGTTGCTAAAGCTCTTCACTTTCTCAAATCCTCTGAATTTCTTAGAACCCCATTGTTGCAAACAAAAAAGATAAAGAATGAGATAACTTAGTGCTTCAAAAACAAAAATGTAACCCAAAAACTTCTAAACTTCACTGTGCTCTCATTTCTGATTTTTACCTTACTTATTTCTTTTCTTTTCTTTTTTTTTTGAGACGGAGCCTCACTCTGTTGCCAGGCTGGAGTGCAGTGGTGCAATCTCAGCCTTACTGCAACCTCCACCTCCCGGGTTCAAGTGATTCCCCTGCTTCAGCCTCCTGAGTAGCTGGGACTACAGGCATGTGCCACCACGCCCGGCTAATTTTTTTGTATTTTAGTAGAGAAGGGGTTTCACCCTGTTGGCCAGGCTGGTCTCTATCTCCTGACCTCGTGATCCGCCCGCCTCGGTCTCCCAAAGTGCTGGGATTACAGGCGAGAGCCACTGCGCACGGCCTGATTTTTACCTTATTTCTAATTTGGACTTCAGAGACATGGCTAGAATCTTGAATGAGGACATTAAACTGTGCTCACTTTGCATGGAAAAAACAGTCGAAGGAAAAACTCACAAAGTGACTGGGGAAAGACAATGGCCCTGGAGAAAGTACTTACCTATATATTTACCAATAGAACCAACCTTTTTTTGCATTTTAAAAAGTAATTAGAACTGTTCCCTTAATTAAAGAAAGTGCATAATTAAAACTACTGGCATCTGTTTTTTTCCTGAGACCTTAGATTTCAATGTGTTAAGCAGTGTTATAAGGGAAATAGCAAAGGTCAGCTAATTTTCAGGAAAACCCAATATACTAAAATGCCAAATAAAACATATGTCAAATGAGCGACCATAAAACAGGCTAAACTAACAAAGGGGAAACCTGATGATTTATTCTGCAAAAAATTATTTAGTACCTGCCATGGGCTAGATATTGTAAACGATTAAAAACAAAGACCCCTACTTGCCAGAATGGTGGTTGGAAGAAAAGACAAGCATACAAATAACTATAATCCAAAGCAGAAGGCAGAATTATAAAATGGGAGGTACCAAGAAACAAAGAATATGAGAATCAGGAGAGAGGTAAATCTCTTCAGATTGAGGAAATCAAGGAAGCTCCATGAAAAGAGGGTATCAGAGCTGGGTTCTGCTGCAAGGGCCGGGCTCCGAAGTGGCAGAATGGAGATGAAGGTATTACGGGCAAAGGGAACAACATGTGCTAGGGCACTGAGTCCTGTGTATTATACAGTGTTTCCTGGGCACATACACTTTTCAGTTTCACTAGAATAGACATATTAAGGGAAAAACAGGGAAAGGTTGCTACGTTGTGCTACCTTGAAAATGGTTCCCTGTACCACAAAAACATACCATAGTGTTTTCAATTAAAAATCAAATATTCTATTTGTAGGCATTTTGTATAGAAAATGATTAGGATGTAAGATGCTGCTCTTACATCACAGATTTTATCCTCTGCTCCAAACCATAATCTTACATTAAATTAATTAAGTTATTTATATTGAAGCTTTAATAATTATTTGAGATAAAAGCAAGGCACTTAAAATGCTATAGTTAAACATACTAAGAAACTAAAGTTTTCTGAGAAATAAATAATTACTTGAGTCACTGTTTCAAGATAAAACTGTTTTTACTATTACAATGCTTTCTGCATATATTTCTGGCATTCATAAGATCACACACTCTCAGAGACAAAGCTACAATATAGGAAGCATGAGCTATACCCAAGAGAAAGGCTTACATATCCAAAGGTTGCTAGTAAGTTTTTCTGCTGATATTTGCAATTGTAAGGCCTGCAATATCAGTAATGACATACTATTGGCTTTGATATTCACTTCATTCAATTCTCATCTATTGGGATTGTTGAAAACAAAGTCCAGACAAAATTATAACTATTATGAGCTTTTTAGCTTAAAAAGGTATAATGTCTTTGCTAATTGCTAATTTATAGCTAGTGAAACGCTACAAGTTGCTATGGCCTGTCTAGGGCCATCACACTGCATAACTCTGCAGGGCACTATTCACATATATTTCAACATTCGTAGTATCTTCTGGATTGTGCCAGGCCAGAGTTGTACCTATGACATTCTATATTTATTGGCTTTATAATATAGATGTAAATAAACCCATCAACTCCAAATATTTCTATGTTACTAAAGTGAAAGTGGTTGCTTTCTAAGAAGAAAATGATGTGTACTCTAGACTGCTAATTCTTTTTGGGCCCAATTTAGATTCTAACAATATTATAAGATAGAATTACAATTCTTGTGTTATGGCTGCTTTGAAATACCACTATTTGAATATATGAGCATTACACACACAAACACACACACACACACACACACATATATATGTTCAATCACATTATCAGAAAACTTCAATGTAGGCAAAATTCACTTCTTAAAATGCTGAGATCTTTAGAGGGCTTGAAATTAATTTTTCAAATGTGTTTATTCATCAGCCAACAGTCTTGATGCTCATGTTTCTTGCCCATGACTCATTGGTGGAATTACTTACACACAGAAACATGGAGAAGTTATAAATGGACCAAATAACTACAACAGAATTTACATGATGAATTAGAAAGGTGCTGCAGTTTGAGTTAAAAATCAGCTGGAATATAGTAAAAAAAAAAAAGTGCTTTTAAAAAATAAAATCATTTCTTACAATGGAGTTTCAAGTGAATAAAATTTTGTCTCATTTTCCCAGTAAGTTTTATATTTCACTTTCAATTACTGGAAGGCAGATTATTAATTTAGATGATTCCCAGCAATCTACATTTCTTCCCCTAGATATTCACTGATGCTATATGTTACTAGTTTGGGGTTGAGTAGCACAGCGCATAAGAGAGACAATTATTTAAGCTTGGCTGTATCAACTGTGATCTGAACACAAATCTTTCCATTTGTTCAATTCTGTGCTCTCTCTCTCCTCTAGTTCTCTCCTGTATTTCAAATCAGGCCATAATGAAAAATCATCTTCTTTTATAAATAAGTTTATTATATATATACCAAGGTAAAGTTAATCTCAGATGATTAGTTCCTTAATTCTATGAATGAATACTGTAAATTATAGACATTTTATTTTTAAAAAGATTTTTCTCTCACAAACCTAATGGAAGTAGTTTTATATGAATTTTTCAACATAGGTAATGAGTAATAAAATGATTTTTATTTAATGTCACAATTTAACATCATCACAATTTATTTAAGAATTCATCAAGAAGTATCTTGCTTAAGAAAGCAAGACTGCTTAACTCTCCATTTAAATTATATTACAATTTTAGAATTTCTAAGAGGTATATTTACTTCACCTTCTGGATTGGGATCAATATCTGAGTCAATTTAATGACAAATGTATATGTAAACTCTTAGTATATGCACTACATCTTAAGGGAGGCCACATGAAGTAAATGAAACCTGGCAAAGCATGCCTTTAGCCACTCTCTCAAATCATAAGAGGAGGCAAATCACAAACTTCATGAATAATGCACTTGATGAACTATATTCTTTGTTATACCAGAGTGAGAAAATGAGTTCTCTGTCTACTAACATAATCTTAAATATGAAATAATGGGAACCATTATAATTTATAAAAATATCTAATTTTCTCAAAGAATTATGTATATAAGGACCTCATCTTTTAGAAGTTCTGACCTTTAGAGATTTAATAAAACACATGGATAATATCTTTTATTTTTCATTCGCTTATTTATTTATTTTAGAGACAGGGTCTCACTCTGTTACCCAGCTTGGAGTACAGAGGGGCCATCATAGCTTGCTGCAACCTCAGACTCCTGGGCTCACGCTGTCCTCCTGCTTTAGCCTCCCAAGTAGCTGGGAGTACAGGTACATGCCACCATTCCTGGCTATTTTTAAAAAATTTTTTGGAGAGGTGAGGTCTTGCTATATTGCTCAGGCTGGCCTTAAACTCCTGGTCTCGAGTGATCCTACTGCCTTGCCCTCCTAAAGCGCTGAGATTCAGGTGTGCAACACCATGCCTGGCCATCTTTTATTTTATAATATGACACAAAATATTATAATTTGTAATTACTATTTTTGAATTATTTTATGATTTTCCCAAAAGGATTTAAAAATAGAAATTGCCCATCTCCCTCAAATTAATTCACATCTTATTTTAAACTGGGAAATCTTAGTTGATAATTCTCAGCTACTTTGACATACAAAGGAGGATATTTCAGAGTTTATAGTGTTTTCACAGTTATATCCCAAGTTGCTAATGTGTTTGAGAGTACTGCTATCTTTCAGTGGGAAAACAGACTGCCATTGTGTGCTTCATAAGAGCAATTTTTGTTACTCAATGATAAGTAATGCAATATAATTCAAGTTTATGCATTAAAGCTGTGACTCTATAGCTAACTGATTCAAGTCTTCTGATGGTCTTTTAAATTAGGCTCCCAGGCTTCCACACATTAATTTTTAATCAGTCCAGAAGGTATTACACTTACTTTGATTTCCACTTTAAGGAAATTTACATAAATAATACAAAATAAATCTGAAATTAGAATTTACATTGTGTCTCCTTTTGTTTGACAAACAATATCCTTAATGTAGATGAAAGTGGCAAAGTAACTTTGAAAGTTCAATGCTCAGAGAATTGGTTGACAAATAGCATTAGTAATATTTTATATATGTTTAATATATTAGTTATTTATCATTACTCATTTGAAAACCTGTTTCACAAAACAGGTTTTTGTAAAATTCATACTCCAAAACCGAAACCAATTACTAAAACCTAGAAGATATCTTATAATTCAAAATTAAGTGGAATATGTAAATGTGAAGACTAATAACAGATACCTTCAAAACACAATATAACTAAGAGAAAATAATGAAAACACATCTTTAGTAGTCGCTTAGCCCATCTGAGTCATGCTAAGGCCGTTTCTGTAGTAAAGTGCCAGATTAAACTAGAAGTTTTCATTCAAAATTAATTGGGTCAATCTTCCACATATAAGAGATTGGTCTGCTGGAGGCAAAACTAAAATAATAGTATCTATAACTTTGATTCACCGATAAAATCTAAAATATTTTAATAGAATCAACAAATGCTAGTGGGTTTCCACTTTCTGATTCTGTGTGATATTGTCTAAAAGTTCTACTCACCAATAATAGTCATAACAAAAGTCATACATATAATATATGATATCATCAATGTGAATTGTTTTAATTCAACTCAATTTAGCACTGTTTTATTATGTATCATGTAATAGGTGTTTCAGAAGACATGCTTTGTGACTTCTAGGAGCTTATAATCTTGTGTAGAGGATAACAAAAGTGAATACCATATATAGGCATATGGCATGTATATGTGTACATATGGCATGTATATGGCATGTATATATATATGTAGGTTTGTGTGCGCGCGCACATATATGTATGCATACATATATGTACACAAATGCATGTGTACATATATGTACGTATATGCATGTGTACATGTGTGTACATATATGCATGTGTACACATATGTATAAACGTGTGTGTACATATATGCGTATACATATGTGTGTACATATATGCGTATACATACGTGTACATGCACATATATGCGTATACATATGTGTATGTGTACATATATGCGTATACATATATGTACGTACATATATGTATACGCATATGTATACACATATGCGTATACATATATGTATATGCATATGCATATACATATACACATATATACATATATGTATACACATATGCATATACGTATATACATATATGTATACATATGTGTATATACATATATGTATACATATATGTATATACACATATGTATACATATATGTATATATACATATATATATAGCAGAGGGAGAAAAACATTCTAAAAGGAGGAATGTAACACTAAGGGTCCATCCATTGTTCAATGCAACAAATATCTATTGAATACATATTGTATTCTAGGCATTATTCTAAGTGCTGTGGAATACAGGTCTACTGAAACTTGTGTTCTAATATGGGGACATAGATAAGAAATTATAAATTTTTATATATATATTAGTGTTAACAGATAAGTGATACACCTATGAACATGTTATATAATGCTATAAAAAAATAAAGACAAGTAAGGGGTAGACTATGGTGTAACGTGCCATTTTAAGTATCAAGGAAACTCTGTTGAGAGAGCATTTTCACAGAGACCTGAATGAAGTAAGGGAGTTAACCAGGTAGATATCTGGGAGAAGAGTACTTCAGGTTCAGGGAACACCAAATATCCATTGTAAGGATTTTGATTTTTATTCTGAGTAGATGCAGAATCACAGGGGTGTTTTAAGTCAGAAGAGCAACCTTGTTTGGCTTCCATTTATTAAAGGATCACTTTGGTTGCTGTATGGAGAACCAACCATGTGTGTACAGTGGAGAGGCTCGGGGTGAGGCAAAGTAGAAGAGGAGGCTCATCCAGGAAAGAGATGAAAAGGGTTCAAAATTAAATCCCACTGACCAATCAGAAAGGCTTCAAAAACATAATTTTCTTAACGGATATTTATAATTTTTCACATATCTGCAATTTTTGGACATAAATCATCCATAATTTTGATGGAATTTTATGTTCAGCTAGCTAGCAATTACTTTTGTTTCTTTTAAATTTAAATTGTATTTTTAAAAATCTATGTAAAACAATTACGTAGTTAAAAGTATAAAAAAAAAAGCAGAGAAAAGTTACCTCTTAGATTCAGCAACCAGTTGTTATCACTTTGTTGTGTATCCTGCCAGGGATTGTTTACATGCCTATCAAGCAAATGTATACATATATGTGTATTTTTTCTTTCTTTTATTTGTAGACAAGTGCCTACACACTACATATGCTGTTCTGCACTTTGCCTTTTCTATTTAGCAATAGGTTTTAAAGATATTTCATATGAGTAATTAAAAAGTTTTCTAATTTTTTAAAGTGGTTGTGTATATTTATTTTATTATTGTGTGGTAGCTACAGGGCAAAATTCCTTCTGCTTGAGAAAAACAGAGGGAAAAGTAAAGGCGACTTTGTCTTGCACCTTAGATATCAGCACGGCCACAGAGGGATAGAGCACCACGTGTACTCCTGGGGTCCCCAGATCCAGGACTGGACTCTTGGATAGCATTTCGGGACCTGCCTTGTGCCAGAAGGGGAGCCCACTGCCTTTAATGGTGAGTCCCAGGCCAGGCAGCCTTCATGACAAGCTGACTTAAGAGATCCTGGGCCTTAAGGGAACATTGACAGAAATCTGGCAGTACCCCTCATGGCCTAAGGTGGTGGTGGCTATGAGGTGAGTCTCCTCTGCTTTTGGAAATAGGAAGGAAGAACTGTATTTTGTGGTTTGTGTGCCAGCTCAGCCTCAATACAATAGAACACCAGGTAGACTTCTAAGGTTTTTGACTCTAGTACTCAACTGACAGATGGCACTTCTGGACCCACCTGGGAACTGGGGGACCTCACCGCCCTAAAGGGAAGAAAACAGGCCTGGTTGGCTTTGCCACCGGCTTATTGTAAAGTCCCCAGGGCCTTGCGTAAACATAGGCAGCAGCCATGGAGTGGCTGCAACAGGCCTTGGGTAAGACCCAGTGCTGTGCTGGCTCTAGGTCTCACCCAGCACAGTCACAGTGGTAGTGGCCACACGGGTGCTTGTCATGCTACCCCCAGCTTTAGGTGGTTTAGAATGGAGAGAGACCCTATATGTTTGGGAGAAATTAAGGGAAAAGGACAAGTCTCTGCTTGGTAATCCAGAGAATCTTCCCAGATCCTGTCCAAGACCATCAAGGTGGTACCTCTATGAGTCTGCAAGCACTGCAGCGTTATAGGGATTGGGGTGCCCCTAAAGCAGTTACAGCTTAGATCACAATACCCAAGTCCTTTCAAATATCTGCAAAGCCTTCCCAAGAAGGACGGCTACAAATAAGCCCAGGCAGTGAAGACTACCTAAATACCTAACTCTTCAATGCCCAAAGAACATCTATTAGTATCAACACTATCCAGGAAAACATGACTTCACCAAATGAACTAAATAAGACATCAGGCACCAATCCTAGAAAAACAGTTTCAGACACAGAATTGTAACTGTGTTGAGGAAACATAAAGAAATTCAAGACAACACAGAGAAGGAATTCAGAATTATATTAGATAAATTTAACAAAGAGACTGAAGTAATTAAAAGGAATCAAGCAGAAATTCTGGAGCTGAAAAATGCAACTGGCATTCTGAAGAATTCATCAGAGTTCTTTAATAGCAGAATTGATGAAGCAGAAGAAAGAATTAGTGAGCTTGAAAATGGGCTATTTGAAAATACATGGAGAGAGGAGACAACAGAAAAAAGAATTAAAAAAACAATGAAGTATACCCACAGGATCTAAAAACATAGCCTCGAAAGGGCAAATCTAAGAGTTATTGGCCTTAAAGGGGAGGTAGAAAAAGAGACAGGGATAGAAAGTTTATTCAAAGACATAATAGCAGAGAACTTCCCAAACATAGAGAAAGATATCAATATACAAGTACAAGAAGGTTTAGAACACCAAGTAGATTTAACCCAAAAAGACTACCTCAAGGCACTTAATAATCAAAGTCCCAAAGGTTAAAAATAAAGATTCTAAAAGCAGCAAGAGAAAATAAACAAATCACATACAACAGAGCTCCAATACATCTGCCAGCAGACTTTTCAGTAGAAATCTTAAAGGCCAGGAAAGAGTGGCATGACATATTTATAGAACTGAAGGAAAAAAATCTTTTATCCTAGAATAGTCTATCTGACAAAAATATCCTTCAAACATGATGGAGAGGCCAGGAGTGTTGGCTCATGCCTGTAATCTCAGCACTTTGGGAGGCTGAGGAGGATGGATCACTTGAGGCCAGGTGTTCGAGACCAGCCTGGCCAACATGGCAAAACCTTGTCTCTACTGAAAACACAAAAATCAGCTGGGTGTGGTGATGCAAATCTGTAATCCCAGCTACTTGAGAGGCTGAGGCTCAGGAATCACTTGAACCTGAGAGGCAGAGGTTGCAGTGAGCTGAGATCACACCACTGCATTCCAGCCTGGGCAACAGAGTGAGAATCTGTCTCAAAAACAAACAAATGAACAAACAAACAGAGAAACAAAGACTTTCCCAGACAAACAAAAGCTGAGGTATTTCATCAAGATCAGACCTATTCTGTAAGAAATGCTAAAGAGAGTATGTCAGAAAGAAAAGGACATTGATGAACAATAAATAATCACGTGAAGGTACAAAACTCACTTGTAATAGTAAATACACAGAAAAACACAGAATAAGATAACACTGTAACTGTGGTATGTAAACTACTCTTAGCCTAAGTAGAAAGACTAAGCAATGAATCAATGAAAAATAACAGCTACAACAACTTTTCAAGACATAGTACAATAAGATATAAATAGAAACAACAAAAAGTTAAAAAGTGGGGGGATAAATTAAGACATTAAGTTTTTTATTAGTTTTCTTTTTGCTTGTATGTTTATGCAAATAGAGTTAACTTCTTTTCAGGTTAAAATAATAGGTTATAAGATACTATTTGCAAACCTCATGGTAAACTCAAACCAAAAAAAAAATACAATGAATATACAAAAAAATAAAAAGGAAGAAACTCAATCATATCACCAGAGAAAATTGACTTCACTAGAGGAACACAAAAAGGAAAGAAAGAAGGAAGGAAGGAAGAGAAGACCATAAAACAACCAGAAAACACATAAAAAAATGGCAGGAGTAAGTCCTTACTTATCAATAACATTGAATGTAAATACACTGAACTCTCCAATCAAAAGACACAGACTGGCTGAATGGATGAAGAAACAAAACCCATTGATCTGCTGCCTACAAAAAACACACTTCACCTGTAAAGACACACAGATTGAAAATTAAGGGATGTAAAGATATTCCACACTACTGGAAACTAAAGAAATAGTAGGAGTTGCTATATCTTATATTAGAAAAAGTAGATCTCAAGCCAAAAACTATAAGAGACAAAGAAGGTCACTATATAGTGATAAAGGGGTCAATGCAGCAAAATATAAAAATTTTAATATACATGCACCCAACATGGGAGCACCCAGATAAATAAAGGAAATGTTATTAGAGCTAAAGAGAGAGGCCCCAATACAATAATACTTGGAGACTTCAACAACCCACTTTCAGCACTGGGCTGATCTTTCCAGACAGAAAATCAATAAAGAAACATAAGACTTAGTCTATACTATAGACCAAATGGACCTGTTAGATATTTACAGAACAATTAATCTAATGGCTGTAGAATACATATTCTTTTCCTCAACACATGGCTCATTCTCAAGAACAGACCACAAAAAAACTACATATAACAAGTCTACATATAGACCAAATGGGCCTATTAGATATTTACAGAACATTTAATCTAATGGCTGTAGAATATATATTCTTTTCCTCAACACATGGATCATTCTCAAGAACAGATTTAAAAAACTCATATAACAAGCCTTAAAACATCAAAAAAATGAAATAATTTTGAGCACCTTCTCTGACCACAATGGAATAAAACTAGAAATTCATAACAAAAGGAATTTTGGAAACTATACAAATATATGGAAATTAAACAATATGTTCCTGAATGATGAGTGGTTCAATGAACAAATTAAGAAGAAATGAAAAAGTTTCTTGAAACAAATGATAATGGAAACACAACATACCCAAACCATGGGATACTGCAAAAGCAGTACTAAGAGAGTTTATAGTTTTAAGTGCCTACATCAAAAAAGAGAAAAACTTCAAATACACAATCTAATGATGCATCTTAAAGAAACAGAGAAGCAAGAGCAGACCAAACCCACATTTTGTAGAAAAAAAGAATAGAGTAGAAATAAATAAAATTGACATGAAAAACCAATACAAAAAAAATCAATGAAACAAAAATTTGACTTTGAAAAATGTTACGGAAAATTGGCAAACATTTAGCCATACTAAGAAAAAAAGACAGAAGATCCAAATAAGTAAAATCAGAAATGAAAAAGGAGACATTACAACTGATTCTGCAGAAAGTTAAAGGGTCATTAGTGGCTACTATAAGAAACTATAAAGCAACAAATTGGAAAATCTAGAAGAAATGTAAAAATTCTTAGATACATACTAACTACTAATGTTGAACCAGGAAAAAATCCCAAACCTAAAAAGACCAACAACAAGTAATGAGATAGAAACTGTAACAAAAAGCTCCCCAGTAAAGAAAAGCCTGGGACCCCATAGCTTCACTAATAGATTCTACCAAACATTGAAAGAACTAATATTAATCCTACTCAAATTATTCCAAAAATAGAAGAGGAGGGAATACTCCAAACTCGTTCTACAAGGCCAGTATTACACATTACAAAGACATAAAAAAATTGTGTGCCAATATCTCTGATGAATATCAATGCAAAAATCCTCAATAAAATACTAGGAAATTGAATTAGACAATACATTAGAAAGATCATTCATCATGACAAGTGGGATTTATCCCTAGGATACAAGGATGATTCAACATATGCAAATCAATCAGTGTGATACATCATATCAACAAGATGAAGGATTAGAACTATATGATCATTTCAATTGATGCTAAAAAAGCATTTGAAAAATTCAACATCCCT
This sequence comes from Homo sapiens, assembly GCF_000001405.40. Classification (NCBI taxonomy): domain Eukaryota; kingdom Metazoa; phylum Chordata; class Mammalia; order Primates; family Hominidae; genus Homo; species Homo sapiens. The sequence continues at coordinate 179,499,597 of NC_000002.12, forward strand.
TCATGATAAAAACCCTAAGAAAACAGAGGATAGAAGGAACACACCTAATAATAAAAGCCATATACTACAGACCTATGGCTAGTATTATACTGAATGGGGAGAAACTTAAAACCTTTCCTCTAAGATCTGGAACATGACAAAGATGCCCACTGTTACCACTGTTATTCAACATAGTACTTGAAGTCCTAGCTAGAGTGATCAGACAAGAGAAGGATATAAAGGACCTCCAAATTGGAAAGAAAACTGTCAAATTATCCTTATTTGCAGATAATATTATCTTATATTTGTAAATAAAGACTCTCCACATAAAAACCTATTAGGACTGATAAAAAAAATTCAGTCAAGTTGCAGGATACAAAATTAACATACAAAAATCTGTAGCATTTTTATATGTGAACAGTGAACAATGTGAAAAAGATATAAAAAAGTAATCCCATTTACAATAGCCACACATAAAATTAAATATCTAAGATTTAACCAAAGAAGTGAAAATTCTTTACAAAGAAAACTGTAAAATTGATGAAAAAAATTGAAGAGGACACAAAAAGTGAAAGGATATTCCATGTTCATGGATTGGAAGAATTAATATTGTTAAAGTGTCCATACTACCCAAAGCAATCTACAGATTCATTGCAATCACATTTTTCACAGAAATAAAAAAAACTATCCTAACATTTATATGCAATCACAAAAGACCCAGAATCACCAAAGCTATCCTACACCAAAAGAACAAAACTGGAGGAATCACATTATCTAACTTCAAATTATATACTACAGAGCTGCTACTGGCATACAAGCAGATATATAGACTAATGTGACAGACTAGAGAACCCAGAAACAAACTCAGATATCTACAGTGAACTCATTTTTAACAAAGGTGCCAATAACATACACCAGGGAAAAGGGAGTCTCTTCAGTAAATGGTGTTGGGAAAACTCGTTATCCATATGCAGAAGAATGAAACCAGACCCCATCTCTTGCCATATATAAAAATGAAATCAAAATGGATTAAAGACTTAAATCTAAGACCTCAAACTATAAAACTGCTACAAGACTAACAATGGGGAAAATCTCCAGGACATTGGTCTTGGCAAAGATTTGTTGAACAATACCCCACAAGCACAGGCAACCAAAGCAAAAATGGACAAATGGGATCACATCAAGTTAAGCTTCTGCACAGAAGAAACAATCAATAAAGTGAAGAGACAACCCATAGAATGGGATAAAACATCTGCAAACTACCTATCTGACAAGGGATTAATAACTAGAATACATAAGGATCTCAAACAACTCTATAGGAAGAAATCAAATAACCCAATCAAAAAATGGGCAAAAGATTTGAATAGACATTTCTTAAAAGAAGACTTACAAATGGCAAACAGGCATATGAAAAGGTGTTCAACATCATTGATCATCAGAGAAATGCAAATCAAAATTATAATGAGATATCATCTCACCCCAGTTGAAATGGCTTATATCCAAAAGACAGGCAATAAATGCTGGTAAGGATGTAGAGAAAAGGGAACCCTTGTGCACTATTGGTGGGAATGTAAATTAGTACAGCCACTATGGAGAACAGTTGGGAGGTTACTGAAAAACTAAAAATTGAGCTACCACATGATCCAGCAATCCCATTGCTGGGTATATACCCAAAAGGAAGGAAATCAGTACATCATACAGATAAGTGCACTCCTATGTTTGTTGCAGCACTCTTTACAATAGCTACGATTTGGGAGCAATGTAAGAGTCCATCAACTGATGAATGGGTGAAGAAAATGTGGGATGTATACAGAATGGAGTACTATTCAGCCATTAAAAAGAATAAGGCCCAGTCATTTGCAACAACATGGATGGATTATGTTAAGTAAAATAAGGCAGCCACAGAAAGACAAACATCACATTTCTCACTTATTTGTGGGATCTAAAAATTAAAACAATTAAAGTCATGGACACAGAGAGTAGAAGGATGGTTACCAGAGGCTGGAAGGGTAGCGGGGAGCTGGGAGAGAGGTGAGGGATGGTTAATAGGTACCAAAAAGAAAATACAAAGAATGAATAAGACCTAGTGTTTGACAGCACGATAGGGTGACTATAGTTAATAGTAACTTAATTGTACATTTTAAAATTACTTAAAAGTATAATCGTATTGTTTGTAACTCAAAGGATAAATGCTTGAGGGGATAGCTACCCCATTCTCCACAATGTGCTTATTTCACATTGCATGCCCATATCAAAACATCTCATGTACCTCATAAACTTATACACCTACTATATACCCACAAAATAAAAATAAAAGCAAATAAATAAATTTTATATGAATGAACAATAATTTATTCAATAATCCCTTACTGGTGGATATATATGTTGTTTCCAAAGTTGTGCTATCATTATACAAAACATTATACAAAGTTGTGCCATCATTATACAAAATTGGCATTAGATCCTGACTGCCCTGCTGGGTTTTGGACTTGGGTGGTGCCTATAGCCCCTTTGTTTTGGCCAATTTCTCCATTTTGGAATGGCAGCATTTATCCAATTCCTGTACTTCCACTGTATCTTAAAAATAACTAACTTGTTTTTTATTTGACAGGCTTACAGGTGGAAGGGACTTGCCTTGTCTCAGGTGAGACTATGGACTTGGACTTTTGAATTAACGCTAGAGTGAGTTAAGACTTTGGGAGACTGTTGGGAAGGCATGATTGTGCTTTGAAATGTGAGAAGGAGATGAGATTTGGCAGAGGCCAGGGGAGGAATAATATGGTTTGGCTCTTTGTCCCCACACAAATCTCATGTTGAATTGTAATTTCCAGTGTTGGAGGAGAGGCCTAATGGGAGGTGATTGAATCTTGGGGGCGGACTTCTCCTTTGCTGTTCTTATGTTAGAGTTCTCATGAGATCTGGTTGTTTGAAAGTCTGTAACACTTCCCCTTTCTCTTTCCCTCTCCTGCCATCCATGTGAAGACGTGCTTGCTTCCCCTTTGCCTTCTGCCATGATTGTAAGTTTCCTGAGGCCTCCCCAGAAGCAGAAGCCTGTACAGCCTGCAGAACCATTAGTTGATTAATTCTCTTTTCTTCATAAATTTCCCAGTCTCAGATATGTCTTTATAGCAGTATGAGAATGGACTAATACACTCTGCATCTGTTGAAGGAACCAAATCCAGGGAGTGTCTTCATTGCCACATTCTACCTTCACCCCCACATTCAATCCATCACCAAGTCCAATAGATTTTACCTCCTAAATATTTATCTACTCAAGCTGATTCTTTAGATCTCTACCACAACAATTTTGGTTCAAACTGCCATCATCTTTTGTTTCAACCAGGCTGCAGTGCAGTGGTGGGATCATGGCTCACTGCAGGCTTGACCTCCCGGGGTCAAAGCAATCTCCCCACCTCAGCCTACCAAGTAGCTGGGACTACAGGTACTTGTCGCCAGGCTCTGCTAATTTTTGTATTTTTTATAGAGATGGGGTTTTACCATGTTGCCTAGGCTGGTCTGGAACTCCTGGGCTCAAGTGATCTGACTGTCTCAGCTTCCCCAAGTGTTGGGAAGACAGGCATGAGCCACTGTGCCTGGTAAGAATTATTTTGTATCATATCTTTGTTTGTGTTTTAATTAGTGCCCTTAAGTGCTTAAGTATGATTGAAAAAGTGGTTCTGCTGGTGCTCTAAATCTCTATGCTTCAACCTCCTTTGCGACAATCATTTGCATTATCTTTGAAGAAAGAATTTGGACCAATAAAAGTACAATTTGCCTACACCTGAATGATCACAAATCCCTAATTAATGTAGTCCAATTTAATAAGAATTTACTGCATTTATGAAAATGAAAACTAATGCAAAAGACAATTATTCAATGTTTAAATCTCTAGAAAGCTAGCTTACAAAGAATGTCTTCCACATATTCAAATTTTATATTTTTGTATCTACATCTGCAAATTCAGTAATTCTATTCTATTTTACAAATATAGACATTCATCATTTGCTCAACATTTACAGATTTTAATGAATATCCCCTTCTATAACTATCTGTGTAAATGTTTAAGTCTTAAAAAGAGATTGTGATGTTCCCCTTCCTGTGTCCAAGTGTTCTCATTGTTCAATTCCCACCTATGAGTGAGAACATGCGGTGTTTGTTTTTTTGTCCTTGTGATAGTTTGCTGAGAATGATGGTTTCCAGCTTCATCCATGTCCCTACAAAGGACATGAACTCATCATTTTTTATGGCTGCATAGTATTCCATGGTGTATATGTGCCACATTTTCTTTTTTTTTTTTTCATTCTTTTTTTTTTTTTATACTTTAAGTTTTAGGGTACATGTGCACATTGTGCAGGTTAGTTACATATGTATACATGTGCCATGCTGGTGCGCTGCACCCACTAACTCGTCATCTAGCATTAGGTATATCTCCCAGTGCTATCCCTCCCCCCTCTCCCCACCCCACCACAGTCCCCAGAGTGTGATAGTCCCCTTCCTGTGTCCATGTGATCTCATTGTTCAATTCCCACCTATGAGTGAGAATATGTGGTGTTTGGTTTTTTGTTCTTGCGATAGTTTACTGAGAATGATGATTTCCAATTTCATCCATGTCCCTACAAAGGACATGAACTCATCATTTTTTATGGCTGCATAGTAAACCATGGTGTATATGTGCCACATTTTCTTAATCCAGTCTATCATTGTTGGACATTTGGGTTGGTTCCAAGTCTTTGCTATTGTGAATAATGCCGCAATAAACATACGTGTGCATGTGTCTTTATAGCAGCATGATTTATAGTCCTTTGGGTATATATCCAGTAATGGGATGGCTGGGTCAAATGGTATTTCTAGTTCTAGATCCCTGAGGAATCGCCACACTGACTTCCACAATGGTTGCACCAGTTTACAGTCCCACCAACAGTGTAAAAGTGTTCCTATTTCTCCACATCCTCTCCAGCACCTGTTGTTTCCTGACTTTTTAATGATTGCCATTCTAACTGGTGTGAGATGGTATCTCATAGTGGTTTTGATTTGCATTTCTCTGATGGCCAGTGATGATGAGCATTTTTTCAGGGCCTGTTGTGGGGTGGGGAGAGGGGGGAGGGATAGCATTAGGAGATATACCTAATGTTAAATGACAAGTTAATGGGTGCAGCACACCAACATGGCACATGTATACATATGTAACAAACCCGCACGTTGTGCACATGTACCCTAAAACTTAAAGTATAATTTAAAGAAAAAAAAAAAAACCAGATCTCAGGAGAACTCACTCAGTATCATGAGGACAGCACCAAGGGGGATGGTGCTAAACCATTCATGAGAAATCCTCCCCCATGATGCAATCACCTCCTACCAGGTCCCACATGCAACACTGGGGATTAGGAGTCAACAAGAGATTGGGTGGGGACACAGATCCAAACCACATCACTGTATAATTCCATTTATATGAAATTCTTGCAAAAACAAAACTTTAGGAACAGCCAACAGATCAGCAGTTTCCAGAATCTGGGATTTGAGGATGGTTGAATACAGAGGGCCGCAGGGGAATTTGAGAGGATGACGAAATTGTTCTATATCTTGACCGTGGCAGAGGTTACTTGACTGTATACATTCGTCAAACTCATATTCATGAATCTCACAAACTTTTGTATACTGAAAAGGAGTGAATTTTACTGTATGTAAATTACATCTTAATTTAAAAGTGTAATAAAAACTGTAAAGCAACTATAAAAAAAAAAGGAGATTGTTAGTATTTTTAGTTTAGCAGTGTATATAGGACATTTTGTTGGCCTAAACAATTTAAATTACAAAACTATAACAACCTAACTACTCCTTTAGTGAATCTAGCCTTTTCCATTCCTCTCAAATGATATAAGAAAGGGCCAAAAAAATTCATGACATATAAAAATAAATCATCACATAAAAAGATTTCATAGCTGTCCCTCATATTATAGAATGTTATTTCTTTCCAAGGAAAAACTGGGTAACCACCTTAAGCTCACAGTTGAGAGATAATGAAAATTACTTTTCAGAGAACATTCAGTGAGAATTATTGAAGATAAAAAGGAAACTATTTGGTGATTATAAGTTAGCACTACGTACCTCCTGTGCTAAATGTAACACGTATTTAAAGCAGAACTAGAATTCCTATTAATCGAATAACAAATGTCACTGGTATACGGAAGGTAGGGATGTGGGACAGTTCACTTCAGGTGCAGGAAATAGGGTTTGCATTTGTTTAAAAACAATAAAAAAACGGACCAAAAATCAGTCTACTTTTTATCATCATAACATACTGGTAGTTTTAACGAATAATAAAATAGTTTTCTCTGAAAAACAGTTTTTTATTGGTCTAAGTTTTAAATAAATGATTGCTGTGATTGCAGTTGAGTTTTAATAATATATATGTAAGACTAAAATGAGAGCTTTTTCAAATTTTTAAATTAACTACATGGAAGTTAATACAGAGAACTTGTAGTTACATGACGGAACTTCCAATTCACAGTGACTCCTCTACATCCATTTAGTATAAGTTCCTAATGGTGAGGAATCCTTCAAGCTTGTTTCAGATGCAGTTCAAGTTTGCAAACCTTGTGCCACTCAGATTCTTGCATTTAATAGTTGATTTGAAATCAATAATGATAGTATAGTGAATTTAAAGGCAAAGAAACAAAACTTCAGAATTTCAATTCTTTCATTTTGTGATTACTTGGAATTTTTGTGTTTTAGACTTAAGTGAGACAGTGGCAACTGTAAGGTGTATTAACTTATTTGGTAAATATAAATTGTAGCTCATACATAAAATATTTTACCGATTTTGGCTGGTAGCATTAAAATGGAAATGTATGCATCTTTTAAAGTTATGTGCTTTAAAAATAAGAAATAAACGAAAATAAAATGTAATATCAGTGGTATAATTAATAGTTATCTAAACTCTATATTGTATAATTTTGATTGTATTAAAATTCACTTATTTGTTACTATAATGGTATTATTCATTACTGTGATGGACTAATATACATATTTTTCTCCATTTATAAAATACATTAATGTAACACAAAGATTAACTGTTTACCTTTTTCTCTTTTGTGCACTGGTAATATTTAGTGGCATAGTACTGTATTCAAACTTTAATTTAAAAAAAGTTTATGAGTTTTTTTGTGGCTATTGTTACTAGTCATGTAATTTCACAATTATTTCTGAAAATGCCTTTTTCCTAGAGAGGAAGGAGTATTAAAAATGACCTGCAATGGGAGTGTCAGATATGTTAGGTATACCACTGATAAAGTAAGGAAATTATTATTTATTAGAACTAAAACACATTTTCTAATTTGAAGGAAGCACAAACTAATGAGTTGAATCATATTCTCAGCCCCCAAAGTAAGAGCCTTAACAGGGTCATATATTCTCCGGGGTCCTTGTCATTGACATGTTTTCTAAGTAGCAAACCCAAAATTTGCTATGAGCCCTAGAATGCAGAACTAAAGTGAGAGAAATAAAGACAAAGATTTCTTTTCATTTTTTTAAAAAAAGATTTAGGTAAGATGGAGTATTAATAACTAAAAGTGATTAAATCCTAGAATATGTTGCCAAAGGAAGCTGTGGAACATTCATCCTGTGAGAAGGGAAGATTCAGTCATATGTCTTAAGTGATCATCATTCCAGATATGCAGACACACAAAATTTTACATAGTTTTAGGGAGCCCATAGGCCCCCTGCAGCCTATTCATGGGCCATATCCTCAACAAGCCCTGGTTTAGCTCTAATATTTTATGTCTTCAATTCTCTCTCCTTTAAATCCTGACCATCTCTCAAGTCTTTCTCAGTTTACCTCCACCAGGAACCTTTGTGCAAATACAAGGATAACATGTAGAGAATACCTAGTACAGGGCCTGGCAGAAGAGAAGGCATTAATCAAATGATAGCTTTCCACTTGTGTGATTATTCTATCCCATGTGCTGTCTCCATTACTAAATTTATAATTAAATTTATATTACTGTATTAACATCATACAGTTCAGCAGTATTTATAATTGTATTAGTTTTGTTTCCCTAGCTAGATAACCAGATATAGGAGGGTATTTCTCAGATCTTCCTTTCAAGGCAGGAACTACTTTGACTCTCTTCTCCTAACTCCCTGTTCAAGTTCACTGCTTTTTTACTCTCCTTAAATAACTCATGTTAACCAGCTACAGTATTTTGCCAACAACATCTTCTTAGCTTGAAATTTTAAAATTGGCTAAGGTGATACTTCCTCATATGCTGTCTCCACCTCCACCCCATCCCCAAGCCACACATCATAAAGTTCCTTACAGCCAGTCAGACTTTCCCAAAAAACTGCTCTTTATGCTGACCCACCACAACTAAAGTTCATGGCTTCCAGGGCAAAATGCTGTCGCTTCATTTAAAGAGCGCTTGAGAGATGAAAGTAGCTAAAGGGTACCTCTTCTGCAGAATGTTCTAAACGGTATTAAATTAGTCTCTTACTTGAAAGCAGTGTAGTAAACTTATTTTTTTTGTTCCATTCAGCTTCACTTTTGTTTTTGTCTTAAACTGTAAAAACTATAGCCAAATGCCTGCTCAAGCATACTGAATAAAAGACAAGCTACAGCAAACCAAGTATGTCTTAAAGCCTGAATTTAAACTTAAAACCAGCAACTAATCATTTTGGAAGGCTACAGGTGTTCAGTCTAGCAATTCTACCTGTTGTTAATTGTATGTTGAATAAATTTTCAGCTGAAGAATCCCAAACCACAAATATATAATGAAACATCTTATTGTTAAGGATTCTGCAACAAACCTTCACTAAAGAAATCCATACCAAGTAAAGAAGGAAAATACACAAACCCTCAACAATCTTTTTCCAACTCCCAAGTGGCGAGACAAGTTTTGGCTGAGAAAGGTCACTGACAAAAATGACTTAAAAATCCTTCCAGGAATCTTTTACTTTTGACTAAAAGAGTTATTAACACAGGAATTTTACACAGGAAAAAAGAAAACCCATAGTACTTTCAAAGCTGTTATTAATGTTTGATCAGCAAACTAATATTTAATGGAAATGTACCAAAACTTGCAATTTCGATGGTGAATCATGGATAATCATTTTCTGTTGAGACTGTATTATAATAAGTGAGGGTGAGTATTGCTACTTTCCTAGTAATGTTCATATTTTCTTTTTTTCATAACATCATATTAGGCTGATCACCAACTTTGAATATCATTGAACACATATAAATAGCTAAAATAACATATCATGTTAGACATCTATGTATTTAAAGAAAAGCCAGAAAAATATTGAATGATGTGTATTGTATATTTCCTTGTTAGTTAAATATAAGATTTGATGAACATTTATGCGTCATCATAATCACTTTTTTTTTTTTTTTTGAGACAGAGTCTCGCTCTGTCGCTCAGGCTGGAGTGTAGTGGTGTGATCTGGGCTCACTGTAAGCCCTGCCTCCCAGGCTCATGCCATTCTCCTGCCTCAGCCTCCCAAGTAGCTGGGACTACAGGCACCCACCACTACGCCAGATTAATTTTTTGTATTTTTAGTAGAGATGGGGTTTCACCATGTTAACCAGGATGGTCTCGATCTCCTGACGTCGTGATCCATCATAATCACTTTTTTAAACTTCACATTTAACCTAGTCTTTTCTTTTTTTTCATTGATAAGTTTAATATCAATCCTAAATTATCCAAATACCCATTTAAAATAAGGTAATGCTGAGAAAGGCTGTGACTTTTTAAATAATATTATAGTGCTGCTTTGGAAACAAGTTTATATTTAATAAGTGACTACTATATGCTTCAAAAAAGATGACTGAACTTTGTTATGAGCTTGTTAAACAGCCGCTATTGAATGAAACTTTTAGCACAATATGTCCCTGCTCCCTGTAATCATGCTATAATTCTGTCATATTGAAGCAAAAAATGTTCATCATTTTGTCAGCTCTGTCTGCAAAGCAGAGAATTACCTTCCCAAGTTCCTGAGATTTATGCTTTTAATTACCTCCTATCTGCTTCACTACTCTTTAAACCTAAGAATCAATATAAATAGTCTTATTTATGGCAAAAATGTAAAATGTTTGACAAAAGCAGGTTATCATTTTCTAGATTTCCATCTGATGCTATTGATTCTATTTTCAGTATTATATTTCTTGACAGAATCAGTTGGTTTTTTCAAACTTACAGTATTATTCATTTATTCAACAATTTGTACTGCTGAACAGCAGATGTAAACTTTGCAACTAGCTTTTTGGTTCCTAACCCAGCAATGAAATTATCACTACTGTGGTTATCTCTTTATTTAATCACCTGCTGCAGAGTTCAGTTTATATGTGACTTTCTCCAAATCCCCTTATCATAAGGTCACTTTTCTGTGAGGGTCAACTTCCTTGGCTTATTTAGGTTTTGCATGAGAGGCTACTATTTGCATGGGTGAAATCTAATAGCTTAGTCACTAGTATTCTTGAACATACACACACATATACATACACTTTATATGAAATTGTGTATATACAATCTAGAATTATATAAATATGCTACAAGTGTATACACTAAAGAAGCTGCTATCTATCTTAAGGGATTTCAAGAGAAATGCAGTTGATGTGTATGTGTGGCCTGCAGTGAGTGTGTGTAGATATACATGTGTGTATATATATGTGAATGTTCATATATGTGAATATGCTATCTATCTTATATGTTCATATATGTGAAGCTGCTATCTATCTTAAGGGCTTTCAAGAGAAACACAGTAGATGTGTATGTGTGGCAGGCAGTGAATGTGTATATGTGTGTATGTGTGTGTACATAGGTGAATGTTTATATATGTGAATATACATATATATATAGGTGAATGTATAATATATACATAAAAGTGAATGTTCAAAGTTTTTTTTTGACAAACCCATTAGGGTAAACTACCATCAACTACAGAGTATCTGAATATTCAGAAAATATAAGGTAAATTTATTTTTTAAATAGTATGTTGGTTTGAGTTTCAAGTAACATGCTCAATATATTTTTTAACCCTCTAAAGGCCTTTTTAAGTAAAATACCTCTGATTTAAAACAATGAATCCAGTTGTTAAGCTAAAAAAACTTCATAAATAAATTACAAATGTCCAAGAAAGACAGGGGAAATTGCATTTGTTGCATTTTTGTGCCAGAAAAAGAGGAACAAGGGATAAAGGAGAAGAGTTGGAGGAGAGAGAGAAGAGAAAATTGAGTAGAGAAGAAAGGAAGAAGAAATGTGATAGTTTAGAAGAAAACACAGGGGAAGAGAAACATAACATGCAGATAGAATTTCTAGAGTTAAAAGCAAGCACCAGGCAGTCAATAGCCAAATGTGGAATCCCCTAGGAGAATGTTACATAATGACAAATAAAAAGCTTGATCCTTCAGAAAACCCAAGTGGGTACCCTTGCAGCTGTGTGCCTCTTTTGCTTTTGCTGCAAGGGACATCTTCAAACATGGTGTCTAATGGGGTTCCTGTTTCCCAGTTGATCTGATTTCTCAGGAAAAAACATAGCTGCTGCAGGGACTTGCTGCCTCATGGCAGCTGGTGGAGAGAGGTGGAGTTAGGTCTGGTGGCAAAGGAAGATGCAAAATCAGCCAATAGCGTGTGGAAAGGGAGTTATGTGGAACCCAAAGTTGTGGCTTCCTTCCTAATCTCTTGACTGCTGAGGTCTCTGCTGGGTGACAGAGAATGCCAGCGCCTCTAGCAGAGACAGCACTAAGGCCTTCTAAATGGCAGATGGTAGATGGGGAAGTTTGTTCAGGCAAGACAAATATGAGTTGGTATTGTATTATATTAACTGCTAAAGAAACCAGGAAATTGGAATAAAATTAAAACCAAAGAAGAGATATAGGCAGAAAGACCGAGGAGGGCATAACCTAAATTGCCTTATCCAAATGAAAACTGCTGAGATGACAGACACAAAATGCATAGTGAGGTGGTATTATGGATGTACCAATTACACACTAACTGTAGCACATGGGAATTGAGGGAGGTCATTGAACGACTGCAGTTTCTGAAATCTTATAGAGATTTATAGTAAAGAGTAGCACAGTCAGGTCACCCACAGAAATGTTTATACAAGTGGTTGATTACCCTACCATTTTAACTTCTAAGCAAACCCTTAATATTCTGTCTATTTGTACTTAATCATTCTAATGTAAATCAATGAAATGGCATGAGGTTGTCACCTTATGTCTTCAGACATGAGAAAATAGAGCACAGCAAAAAGAACAGAAGGCTAAAATGAGAGATAGGGATATTGGATAACCTGACACCAAAAAACAAAATAAAAAATATCAACAGATCACAAACCTAGAGGTACCATACAAAATAAAATATAAACTCTAAGTGATTCAATGTTTATTATGTTATTCAAAGATAATAATGTAAATTTGAAAAATCAAATGGGCTAGCTCCAAATGAGTAATAAAAGCCTATGGGGTCAACATTTAGGGACAATGTATCTCATGCTTAATTACTTGTGGTATTAATGCTGAGTACCAAAATTTCAGGGTCAATTCTGACTTAGAGTATATAAAACTTGACTAAAAAGATCACCATGCTTTCATTTTGATTTGCTTATAAGGCATAAAAGACTCAGAAATACATTAAGGGTATTTATAATAAACTGTTCTGAGATCAATATTAATAATAATAATAATATAATCTCTGTTTTTAAACATTTAAGAGAATCAAGTTGCCCTGTTTTGTGTAAGAATCTGTTTAAGAATTTGATTTTGATTCAATTTTGTATAAAGATTTGATTTTGTGTAAGAATCACTTTCTTTCATCCTTCTGCTACTATCCTCCAAGGAATTGAAATGAATATGTAAATTAGAAATTATTTGGGATCTGCCAATTTCAACTTAGCCAAAATGAGATAAATGTTAGTCTCAAAAAATTTTCTGAAGTGTATGTTAGCTCATTTCCCCGGCAAAGCTTAACTTTGGAAATGGCATTTTCCAGCTAAAAGATCAGGATTCAGATTTAGGCTTATCAATTTATGACCATACTGCAGTTGCAGTATACTCAGTTACTGGAGAATAAAGAAACATTCAGGGTTAGACAGCCCCATTCAGCTTAGATACACCATGTTAGAAAAAAGGTGGTCAAGAAGAAAGCAGGGCTTGAGGTGATACACACATTTGTGCAAATGTCTGGGACTCAGTTGGAAAGCATATTATTCCTGGACTGCAATGCCTGCTCCCTGGCAAAGTTAATGGTGTTAATTTGTAAAGGTTCATTTGGGAAATGTTTGTGATTAATGCTTGCTCATTTACATAACTGTGTATTGTGTAAATAAAGCTGTAGCATTTTGCTTTTCAACAGGGTAGTTCTACTGAGATGATATAAGCTAGACAAAGGGGGGTACAGGAACTTAAACTAGGTCATATTGAATTTTAATGCATGAAGCCAACTCTGGTACATTTTATATGGATAATGAAGAACCGCAAAATGCAGTCTGTTTACTGTGCATCTGCCTTCCATATTTTTCAATAAACGTATTTTCTACACTGAAGAGTGAAGCCAATTTCAGTTTCAGGCTGATTTAGAAATGTTATTAAAAATAAGGATGAGCATCTTCTTAATTCTTACATTAAAATGTAAATAGGGTAATTATAAAATAATAAACTCCCCCCCAAATAAAAAATGCTCAGTTTCAGAGCTTGGTTATGCAGATTATAGCACCATTACTAAACACTGAGAACAAGTACATGTCACATTTGTGAATTTGCCATCCAGACTTTGTGGCTTTACTGCCCAGAGTCTAAGAATGACTCAGAAGTCTAATTTCTTTCTTCATTATCAAAGGAACTTTGGAGCTATAGCAAGGAGGCTGCTGGTCATATGCTTATGTGTGCACATATGTCCACATCCCTATTAGTAAGTACAAAGAAAATGGCTGACATCAAATGGAGCTTAAGACAAAAGTGGATGTACTCCTGGAGTAATTGTGGGGCTCGAAAGAAATTCTTATGCCTTCCACAACCCAACCCATTACACAAATAAAAAACAAAATTCATAGTCATTCTTTCTGGGTCTTAGCTGTTGACTTGTAAGACGGAGATGTTTATATCCTATCCTCCTGACAGAGGTACTGTGGAAATGATTTTTAATTATGGAACTTCAATGGTCCTTCCAAAGATCATGTGGTTCATTTTAGGCCACATTGTAGAGATTAGCAAAGTGCTTATCATACAGGAGGAGTTCAGTAAATGCTTAGGAAATGAGTAAAGTTTTGTGAGGCAACATAATATAATAGGAAGAGCTGTGGATTTAGAGGCAAGAGATCCAGACTTATGTCCTAGCTCTGCCATTTATTGACTGAAAATCTAGGAGATGTCAAAAGATGAGAACCAATTTAAGTGTCCACCTGTAAGGGATGAGTTAAACTATGAAACGTGCACAAATAAACTACTGTATTAGTTTTCTGTTGCTTTCATCACAAATTTTTATAAACTTAGTGGCTTAAAAGCTTATTATCTTACAGTTCTGGAGGTCAGAAGTCTGGTATGGATCTCACTGGGCTAACATCGAGGTGTCAGCAGGGCTGCATTCCTTCTGGAGGCTTTAAGGGAAAATCCATTTCTTTGTCTTTTCCAGCTTCTAGAGGTTGCCCACATTCCTTGGCTTGCGGCTCCTTCCTTCCCCTACAAAGCCAGCAATGGCCAGTGGACTCCTTGTCAGATAGCATCACTCTGACTGCCTATTCTGCATCTCTCTTCTACTTTTAAAGACCTTGTGATTACCTTGGGACCATGGGATGATCCAGGACAATCCTTTTATCATGAGGTCAGAATATTAGCTCCCTTAATTCCATCTACTACCTTAATTCTGCTTTGCTATGTAAGATATATTAACAGGTTCCAGAAATTAGGATATGGGCATCTTTGCCTACCACATCTATAAAAAGAGTATGGGAGCTCGCTATGTTCTGATAGAAAAAAATTCTTCAGCATATATTGTTACATAAAAAATGCAAGGCAAAGAAGAGTGTCAATAGTATGCTACCATTTACATAGAAAAGGGAAGAAATAATATGTATTCATACTTAGTTATATTTGCATAAGCAAGCCCTGGAAAGATATAAAGATATGCAAAAAAATTAAAGTGATTACAAATAGGGAATGACATGGAGGTTGGGAAGATGAGGAAAGGGATAGTTTTTTCAATGTGTGGTGGTTTTTTTTTTTTTTTTTTAGATGGAATTTTGTTCTTATTGCTCAGGCTGGAGTGCAATGGTACAATCTCAGCTCACTGCAACCTCTGCCACCTGGGTTCAAGCGATTCTCCTGCCTCAGCCTCCCAAGTAGCTGGGATTTCAGGTGTGCACAATCACGCCTGGCTAATTTTGTATTTTTAGTAGAGACAGGGTTTCACCATGTTGGTCAGGCTGGTCTCGAACTCCTGACCTCAAGTGATCCACCCGCCTCGGCCTTCCAAAGTGCTGGGATTACAGGCGTGAGCCATTGCACCCAGCCTCAATATGTTTTTTAATATTATCATGATTTTGAACTATGAATATGTTATTTTTTAATTTGAGAGATTCATAATTGTCCCTAAACCCCTATTATTCAGTCAGTGTTCAACATCTCTTGTTTTGAAGAATCTATCTATCATCAACCTTGTTATTTTACTCTTCTTAAATTAACTCTTCTAATAGGCAAATCCTTATTTGTGAGTGGCTTTAAACCAAGCAGTTCTCTATTACATTAGTGGACTTCATAAAATGGTGCATCTTTTGCACGATTTTTGCAATTTAATTCTGAAATCTATTATTTGCATTGTACTGAGAGATGTTTTCAAGCATCTGGCCTTATGGCACTGAGAATGCCAGTGTTAAAGATGCAGCATGTCTTTAGGTGGGCATTTGTTTTATAAGTGGTCAGGTAAGTAGTAAACATTTTCATGTCATATTTATATAACAACAGACTTTAATTTCTCCGTATAACTCTAAAAATTTGAACAATAACTGAGCAATACTGTAAAATTTACTTGAATCTATTTCAGTATTTATTATTGTGTCTATTCTTACAAAAGTCTTATCATACTTTCATTCTAGTAGTAAAATTGTAGTTTAATATACTTTAGTAGTTATATCTCTATCATAAATTAGTCTCCTATTTATAAAATATTTTGTGGCTCATATCATTAATTTTTTTCTAGTTAGGTTTACTAAGGTATACTCTATATATAGTAAAATTTTTTTCAGGTATTCAGCTTAATGAATTTTGAAAAACAAAGACTGTCATGTAAACATCACAACAATAAAGTTATAAAATATTTTCATCATTCAAAAACGTTCCTGCATTTCCCTTTCTGGTCAATTCCCTAACTTAACCCTTAGCCCCTGTTAACTACACTGATCTGACTATCCCCATAGTTTCATCTTCTGCAGAAAGTTATCCGAGTGCAATCAAATGGCATATAGTCTTTGTGTCTTACTTCTCTCACTTAGCATACTGTCTTTGAGATTCATCCACATTGTAGCATGTATCAGTACTTTCTTTTTACTTTTACTTTATTTCTATTTACTTTTATTTCTTTATTTCCATTGTATGGCTTTAACATAGTTTGTTTATTGATCAGTTGATGGACATTTGGGTCAATTCCAGTTTTGGGCAATTATGAATAAAATTAAGCAGCACATATGGATTAATATATGTTTTCATTTGCCTTGGGGATATACTTAGAAGTGGGACTGCTGGATCATATGGGAAACGTATGTACAACTTTATAAAGTTTCTTATTAATAATTGCTAAATTGTTTTCCAAAGTGGCTGTACCATTTTGTATTCTCACTGACAATGTATGAGAGGTCCAGTTGCTCCTCATCCTAGCCATTTGATCCTATCAATTTGTTTAATTTTCACCATTCTAATAGGTGTAGTGCTATCTGATTTTGGTTTTACTTTGTATTTCCTTAATCGTTAAACATGTTGAGCATTTTTTTATGTGCTTATTCATCATTCATATTTCTTCTTTGGTAAAATGCCTGTTAAAATTGTTTTCCCATTTTATCATTTATTATTGAGTTATAAATTATTTATATCTGTATGCAATTTCTTAAGCAGATACAAATACTTTCTAGTAGTCTATAGCTTGTTTTTTCATTTTCTGAACAGTGTAAAAGTGTCTCTAAAGAGTAGAAGTTTTAAATTTTGATAAAGTCCAATATATCAATATTCACACTTCTTTATTTTCTAAGAAATCTTTGCCTAATGCAAAGCCAAATAGATTTTCTACTGTTTTCATCTAGAAGTTTAATAGTTTTTTTAAAGTTTTTATTTTATGAATGATCCTATTGAATTAATTTTTATGTTTTGTATCAGGTAGTAGTCAAGGCGTTTTTTGAATTTACATATGAATACGTACTTCTTCTAGCACTGTTTGTTGAAAAGATTAGCCTTTCTTCATTGAATTCACTCTGCAACTTTGTTGAAAATCAACTGACTATATTGGTGTGAGTCTATTTCTGGACTCTGTTCTGTTCCATTGATCCATGTGTCTACCATTCTTTCACCAGTTTCACAGTCTTGATTATTGTAGATTTTAGAGTAAGTATTAAAATCAGGAAGCATTAAGTCTTCAAAATTTGACCTTTAAAAAAATGTTTTGACTATTCTAGGGCTTTTCTTTTCTATGTATATTTAAGAAACAGCTTGCCATTTTCCATAATAAAAAAACATTTTGAGATTTTGATCAGGATTGTGCTGGATCTATAGATCAATTGGGGAAGAACTAACATCTTAACAATATTAAGACTTCAAATGAATTAACACTGTATATTTCTCAGTTTATTTAGGTACATTTTGATTCCTGAACATGAAGTTTTATCATGTACCAAAAAATTCATTGGACTTTTGATTAAAATTATATTAAATATAATTTCATAAATCATGATAAACATCTCTTTTCCAATGACTATGATTTTTTATTATGCTTCCTATGTAGAATTATCGAAACATAATTTAATGGTATATGCAAACAAGAGAGATTATTATTTTAGTATTTCTAAACAACATTAATTCTGTAACAAGCTCTTTGCAAAATGGCTACAGGGGTCAAGTAACTCAGGAAATACCACATATTATATGCAGCCTTCGGATTCTGATTTACATCGGTCATTGGCTTTACTTGGTAATTGGATATTGCAAATATTCTAATATTGTTTATTTTGCTTTCCTGCTATTTTGTTTATAAATTTAAAAACCCATTTTCATAAAAGAGAGTGATTTGTTCCATTTTCTTGTTATCTTTGTTTAGCAGGATGGTTATGCTTGACAGATAAAATAGTTTATGAAACTTTCTCTATATTTTATGTTCTGGGAAAAATATAGGAAATTAGTAATTCTTTTAGGTATTTAACAAAATTTGACACAAACATGAAATGTGGCAATTGATATCAAATAGTAAAAATGGTTTTCTTCCACATTTATTGCATTTTAATTTTTAAAATCTCTTCATTGCATTTTAAAACTTTTTTCATATTTTCTGATATTCAAGCATTTTTGACAAGTGAATATAATTAGTGAGATTAATTGTAAAATGGTATAGTTGAGACTGATTGCATAGATAAATTCTTAATTTTTGATCTTAGCCACTTATAGACTATTGTCTATAATCCTCTATTGGTTTTAAAATTTGTATTATTTTTTATTGTTGTAATGTTATTCTAAAAAATATTTTCGATGTGATCTAGGTTGAATCCATGGATATGGACCCTGTGGATTCAGAGGGCCAACCATACTCTATTGTTCAAGTTTTAGGCATTGAACCCAAATCCTTTGGAAATCTGGCATCCTGAAATTAGTGGGCTACCAATAGGAGTGGCTGCTACAGTATGTAAATATGAAGAAATGTACGTATTTAGATCAATCAGACTTTTAGCTCTGACAAACTACAGAGAATAATGAAAAGGTGATACTCACATCTGAGTTAAAGCGAAGCTGACAGACATTACAAGAAATAACTTGTTTCTTCTTTGGGGGAATGGATACTCCAAATGTATGGTTAATAACCGCTTTTTGCACAGGATCCATCTGAAGAACAAATGAAAAAATAGTCAATTTGTAACTTCAAAGAAAAGACAACAGTGTGAGCAAATAACAGTAGTTGAAATATTCCATAAAGTTTAAACTTTTAGTTCCTAAACAAAGATAATAAAGAGTCTCCTTCAACAGTAATATATTTGTCTCCAAAAATTAAAAACAAAAACAAATGACAAAAATGAAAACAAAAAATGGCTTTGAAAACATAACTCAGAAAAAACCACGAGAGAATCACCATATTTCCAGAAACCTAATGTCTCTAGAAGGAGCCTTGAAAAACCTTAGAAGAATCATAAAACAAGAAAACTTAAGATCCAAAGGTCAAGGTTAAAATTAACTTTTATTTTTCTTGAGACAGGATCTTGCTCTGTTGCTCAAGCTGGAATGCAGTGGCGTGATCATAGTTCACTGCAGCCTCAACCTCCTGAGCTCAAGTGATCCTCTTGTTTCAGCCGCCCGAGTAGCTGGGACTACAGGCATGTGCCACACTATGCCCAGCTAAAAATGTTAATGTTTTCCCTGTATGAGGCAACAATACTTAAGATGGCCTCAAATGATGTCAATGACAATTATTACACATATATTTATGCTTCTTAATTTTTGATTTATGGTAAAGTCATAAATGACAGGCTCTTATCAGAGCACAGAAAGTATTGACTGAATATATATTTTAAAATAATTTGTTAACTTTCATGTGCTATAGACTGAAATTCATTCTACTGAAAATGCATGTCAGAACTGTACACTTAAATGCCTAAAATAGATTGGCTGACATGCAACCCTTGGTTAAATATTAATCAAGTAAAGTTTTGATTTATAGCTTGTGATTTTCCCCTTTTGGCTTGCATGTATTATATATATTCAGAGAAATATACAGTGATACAAGTACTCCAACAGAAAAAGTATGGCACATAGTCATTAAAACACTCAGGAAAAGAAACACCTAGATCTGCAGAGCCTATGAAAAGAGACACAGCAGTGATTCTCTTGTGTACTCCAGATAATAATCTCCAACATTTACATCAGACAACTGGTAGTTCAAAAAACAATGCAGATGATGAGCAAAACATTACATAACAGATGTAATATGAATGAGGACAGATCTATTGATACCATTGTCTAGGAAATCTCCTGAGGTTAGAGATTAAGATTGGATTAGTTGATGATATTTGATAGAGAGGAGAAATGAATACTATCTCTGATCATGATTATAAATCGACAAAATGCAAAATTAGCCATTAGAAGAAGCTAAATACATTAGAAAGGCAAGTGGATTGAAGAGTTATTGAATAATAAATTAATCTATTTTTTGGCTACAATTTCAAGAAAGATGACAGGACAATGTATTCCTATTATAAAGAACAGTTATGGTGATTTGGGACACTTAAAAATTTTAAGAGGGTTCCAGGTGCAGGGGCTTATGCCTATAATCCCAGCACTTTGGGAGGCTGAGGCAGGAGGATCACTTGAGCTTAGGAGTTTGAGACCAGACTGGGCAACACAGCAAGACCCTGTCTCCATCTTAAAAAAAAAAATGCTAAGAGGGGAGTTTTCTGGAGAGATAGCCTAACTATAATGTGATGGTTACACAAATCTATACATATATTAAATTCATAGACCTTTCCCCCTCAAAAGGTCAATTTTATATATTATAATTTAATAAGTAAAAAAGAAAAACCTTCTTAACATTATTATGTTTAACTACTAAATCTAACATATCATTACTGGAAAATCTAGGGATTCATACTGTTGAAGGTCATAACTGATTGTATTAAATTTTATTCAATGAGAATAATAATTTAAAAAACTATGTGACAAAGAAAATCTCAAAAGGTCAGAAAATAAATTCCTAGTTCACTTTCTTATTTTATTCACAAACACAAATACTTAAATCCCATCTATCTATTTGCAAAATAGGAAACTATACTTTCTGACAGTTACCAGACATGGCGAATCAGTTTATGCAGGCTTAAAAATAAAACAGGCTAACTTATCTTGGCAGGATGAAAGAAGCCCACTGTTTTGCAAAGTTAAAAAACAAGAGCATTTTATTGAGATAGTTTCTGATCTCAGGCTCTGAAAAATACTTCCCATCTGGTGATATGTGAACTACATGGGATTAAACTATATGAATATTCCCTAAATACCGGTTTTATGCATGCTATTTTCATTATTTTTTGCCATATCCATACACTAATATTTTTCTTTAAATCAAATTGAAGTACACTTAAACAATAAATCATAGAAATAATGTACACTTTCCTATTACTCCTTTCAAAAAATACATTGAAATTAACATCAAAATTAAAACTTTCCTCAAAGTGAATCCACATATCCTAGCTGTTTCCATGCCCAAACATAGAAAGACAAAAGATACATTTACGAATATCTAGTTTCAAGTTCTTAGTAGACTATTGTATCTATTGACATCTCCAAAAAAATCTTTGAAAATAAATATTCCCATTAAGTTTTAAAAATTGTTAGCTGCCTACATAATTTTTTACATAACTCCTAATACAGTTTTTTTTGTTTTTGTTTTTGTTTTTGTTTTTGTTTTGAGGCAGAGTCTTGCTCCGTGGCCCAGGCTGGAGTGTAGTGGTGCGATATCAGCTCACTGAAACCTCTGCTTCCTGAGTTCAAGCAATTCTCCTGTCTCAGCCTCCTGAGTGGCTGGGATTATAGGCACCCACCACCGCACCTGGCCAGTTTTTTTTTTTTTTTTTTGTATTTTTAGTAGAGACTGGGTTTCGTCATATTGGCCAGGCTGGTCTCGAACTCCTGACCTCAGGCGATCCGCCTGACTTGGCCTCCCAAAGTGCTGGGATTACCGGTGTGAGCCATTGTGCCCGGCCCCTAATAGTTTTATTCTGCCCAAATCTCACATTTGCACCACATTGGCCTGAAAATATGCCTTTGTGTCCCCAAGGCTGAGAGCTCTCCATCCTGAAAGGTAAGTTGAGACTGAGCACTCCAAATAGAAAGGTAGGCAAGTTTCCATCCATCTGCTCTCTAAAAAGCACCAGATTAAGAAGGTTCCTTCATGAAACTCTCCTCAGAATTGGCTCCTCCAGTTTATATATGTAATCCTAATTTTTCTCATAAAATCAACTAAATAAGCACAGCCCTTTTACACTTTCTTTGCTACTTGTCATTAACTTTTTCTGCCTTTTCATCCTTTGGATAACTTATCACTAATTGTATCAAGATTGTACCCCCATCTGTCTCACTTGGAACAGATTTCCTTTATTTTCCTCTTGATTCTGTATTTCCTTAAGGTTTCTGGAAAAGATTCACTTTTTCTTCTAGTCTAAATCTCTTCTTCTGCTGTTTATTATTAAATTCTATAGTTATATTTTTATATTTAAATGTCATTTTGGGGGACATGATTTAGATGATTTAGTTGAATAGAGACTTTAATTGGAATAAAAAAGAATGCCCCACTTGTCACTTTATCTGATTTTGAAACAGACACTGTCAAGCTAATGTTTTGAGTATTTGCCCTCTGATGCAATAACTACAAATACTCGAGTCATTTCAATGGGATCCAAATGTGACAGTAATGAAGAGGGCTTTCAGATACCTTTTTAAAAAGTATAAAGTGGTAAAATTCTCAATTTTTGTTCTCAGCATTAGTACAATGCTCTAAAAGCTAGATAAAATAACTATGATGTTAATTTATGTTAACTTAAATTTTTTCCTTTGCTAGTGCATTACTAGTTCTCTGTAGTCATAATGAGATGCATGTAACTAAATCGATGATAATTCTTTTATTCTATCACTAAGTTTCAGGATGAATAAAAAGTTCAGGATTAATAAAAACATTATCATAAATCTTAAAATGTGATAAATGCAAGTAACTCATTTTAGTACAGTCAAAACTATGTTCTATATCATAATGATTTCATGTGTAGACTACTCAAAAATTACTGGAGGTACTGCAACTACATAACAAATTCTGATTTTTAAAGATTCATTTGGCATTTTATAGACATTCGATTGTTAAAAATGAACAAGTACTTTCAAAAATATTTCTTAAATGTTTATAATATATCTTTTACATTAACAAATGTCTTATTAAGTAGTCATATTAAATTAGCTCATGTTAGTTCACATTGTGCAAATAAAGCTGTCTATGGATTGAGAAAAGTATAATTCATTAGGAAATAATACTAAAGATGCTTTTTTAAAGAAAAAAATACCCTATCACATAGATCTAGCTACCAATATTCCTTACCTGGCAAAATTTATTGGTCTCAAATAAGCCTCTTCTTTTCTAAAAAAGTAAAAGTTAGAAGCAGTCATCTGGAATTTTGAGGCTAGGAAGCACAATTACATGAAAATTTAAAGACCCATTTTCCTTGCTTTTCTTTGAGTAAAAAGCCTGAAACACTAACTAAAAGGCAGCAAAAGTTAACACTTGCCACTTTTTCTAATGAAAATCATGCAGAAATGAAAAGCAAGACCTATTAGTGCAATTAACTGGTAGGTAATAAAAGTGAAAGATGAGGTTGCAGCTGTTACCAGGAACTGAGGAGGTAATTGGAGGCCATGTACAGACAAATTAACAATTATACTGTAGTACTTATAAAACAAATTAATGAAGCTGGCCTTATATCATCTATCATATTTTCAATATCAAAATAAGAACAATTTTTTTTTTTTGGTGTCTTCAAGATTACAGAGACTACAAATCTGTGTGCGTTTTTTTTTTTTTTTTTTTAAAGAGCATTACTTTCTCTGGGTAAACCAAAAAGTAATTTACATCTCCACAGTGTAAAAAGTCATATAAAAATATGCAGCTGCAAGTGAAACCTAGACACAGGGAAAATAAACACACTGCAGCACTTCACTAAAGGTAGGATGAATCTAAGATGGGGGCTGTGTGCTCAAGCGACTTGACATAATACTAGATTATATTTAGACTCTAGAAAATTCTGCTACATGGGACTTTAGGCAGAGAAAATAGAATTATAAACTTGTTCAACTATCCCAGTACTTTTCAAGAGGCATGAAATTTGAGTTCTATTCTTATAAGAGTCTTAAAAGGATTTAACTAGCCATCAGGTAACACTGGGATGGGAACTGGGCATCACCCCCATTACGAAACAAAAAGACCACTCGAGAATTGTACAGGACTTTCTTTTATCTGTACTATTTATTTTATTCTCAGAGACTTATTGTGTTGCTCAGTCTGGAGAGCAGTGGCATGACTGAAGCCTTAAACTCATAGGATCAAATGATCCTCTCACTTCAGCCTCCCAAGTAGCTAGGACTACAGGCATGTGCCACTGTGCCCAGCTAAGTTTTTTTTTAAATTTTTATTTATTTATTATAGAGACAGGGTCTCACTATGTTGCCCAGGCTGGTCTTGAACTTCTGGCCTCATGTGATCCTCCTGCCTTAGCCTTTCAAAGTGCTGGGATTACAGACGTGAGCCACCCTGCCCAGCCCATACTATTTGTAAAGATGGGGAAATCTTACCTTAAACTTAACGAACTATTTTAACCAATGTTCTAAAAAGCATTTGGTAGGCATTTATTACTTATCCAGTATAGTAGGCCCTGGTAGCTCTTCTATTAAACAGAAATAGAAATCAGGTTCTTTACTTTTAAAATTTAAAGTCGGCCGGGCACGGTGGCTGACGCCTGCAATCCCAGCACTTTGGGAAGCTGAGGCCGGCGGATCACGAGGTCAGGAGATAGCGACAATCCTGGCTAACAAGGTAAAACCCCGTCTCTACTAAAAATAAAAAAAATTAGCCGGGCGTGGTGGTGGGCGCCTGTAGTCCCAGCTACTCGGGAGGCTGAGGCAGGAGAATGACGTGAACCTGGGAGGCAGAGCTTGCAGTGAGCCGAGATCGTGCCACTGCCGTCCAGCCTGGGTGACAGAGCGAGACTCCGTCTCAAAAAAAAAAAAAAAAAAAAAAAAAAAAAAAAAAAAAAATTTAAAGTCAGCCATCGAGCAAATATTTCTAGAGGTCCAATATGTTTTAGATGCTGTCTCAGACTGGATAGGAAAATGAGTAAAACACAAAAAAGGGCATAATTTAAAAAGTTAAAAAGTGAAAAAGGTAGTACAAACTCTACTCAATTGGAGGCTGGGAAAAGAAGTTGCCATTAAGCAAAACAATGAGGCATGAGAGGCACAAAAAGGTCTGTCTCCTCTTCCCCCACCCATACTTTGGGTTTTTTTTCCCCTCTGACAGTGACATCCATGTGTTATTCTCCCAGGGGTATTTTCTTTTTCTTTTTTCTAGCTGTGTAATAACAATAATAAACATCATTGTAAGAGGAGCTTTGATTTACTGAGGTTTGCTGGGAACTATACTAAGGAATTACCTCCTGTAGTCTCCATCATCACTCGAGGCAGACATGATTATTATCCTCCTTTAACAAACGAGGAATCAAAGGCTTTGAGAGGTTCAATAATGAATCACCCTCAAGTTCATAGGTCGGCATTCAAACACAGGTAGGAATCTCCCCCAACATTGTTCCCTGCTAAAGAAACACTGCCAGAATCATGAGTGTATTGCATCGCACTGCTAAAGGGTATGGGTTTGGAGAAGAATGGATAAGACTTCCTGGAACTTCTGCAGTCTGGAAGGTTGCTGCCTACACAAACCTAAGGTGCTTAAGGAAAAGTTTTCTGGAAAAGCGAGTCTAGGTTTTGTCTTTCTGACCTATTTCTCATATTCTTAGGATAAGCCCATTACTTCCTGTGCAACTTCAGGAAAGCCATAAATAAAAATTTGGGCTGTCCTGTCCTCTTTCCTCATTATAACTGTTGGGTTTGCACACAGAAAAAAAAAGTCCTGGGAATATTTAGAAATTACGTGTTTGCAAGTGGCAGTCATCATTTGCACCTGTCCTTGATTTGCTGCTAAGCAGACCGCAGCTACAAACCCTTGTGACTTTGGGCCTTCTGGAAGTTTGGCTAAGTATCAACTTTTAAACTGTGATATTGTGGTATTACAGTCTCCATCATCACATGAGGCAGACATGATTATTATCAGTATCGTTATTATTATTACAGTAGTACAAAGAGAATAACTATTTTTTATCCCTTCCTTCTTGAATATCAGCCTTATGGGAAAGGATGTGACCATAGGGTCTCAACAGAACTTCAAATATTCATGAAAGAACATGTTTAAGTGATAGCTGTGTCGCTAAAGAGCAATATTTCTCTAAAGTTACTTTAAAATGGGTTTTGTCTTTCATATTTAAAGACTCTGACCATATGCTTTTATGTTGATGTTTTACTTTTTAAAAATCCTTGAAAACTTCAATAGAAAGAAAACAGATACAGCAACAACAAAGATAATTTTTTTCTCTTAAAGATCAAGAAATACAAATGATTGCATATTGTTGGCAACACTAGTTTAACCACAGATTTTTTTTTTTTTTTTTTTTTACACAGTGTCTCTTCTGTCACCCAGGCTGGAGTGCAGTGGCTCAGTCTGGGTCACTGCAACCTCTGCCTCTTGGGCTCAAGTGATTCTCCCAACTCAGCCTTCTGGGTAGCTGGGATTCCAGGTATGTGCCACCATACCCAGCTAATTTTTTGTAGAGACAGGGTTTCACCATGTTGCCCAGGCTGGAACTATAGAACTTTGTACTATTTTGGATTTCAATTCAGAAGGCTCATTAAAAATACACCATATGGCCAGGCGCGGTGGCTCACGCCTATAATCCCAGCACTTTGGGATGTTGAGGCAGGCGGATCACCTCAGGTCAGGAGTTCAAGACCAGCCTGACCAACATGGAGAAACCCTGTCTCTACTAAAAAAAAAAATACAGAATTAGCCAGGCATGGTGGCACATGCCTGCAATCCCAGCTACTCGGGAGGCTGAGGCAGGAGAATCGCTTGAACCCAGGAGGCAGAGGTTGCAGTGAGCCAAGATTGCACCATTGCACTCCAACCTGGGCAACAAGAGCGAAACTCTGTCTCAAGAAAAAAAGAGAAATAAAGAAAAAAAAATACAGTAAATAGAACATTACACAGGGAGTGCATGCACCATGGGATCTGCATGTTTGCATCTGGAGCGTGTAAAAGCTGAGGCTTGCCTTGCTGACACTGCTTCTCCTACCCAGAGCACCCTGACAAGGGTCCACCTGAATGCTATCAGTTCTGCTGAAAGGAAGATGAATGGCATGTCACTCTCTCCACAAACCGTTTATTAAACCAAGGGTCAAATGTTTGGGGAGATGGTTTCTTCAAGAATCCCCAGCTCTTTGCTGAAACCACATATTGGTTGTGGCTTGCAACATTAACTGGTCCCCTCTTTCACTGGGATACAACTACCCAGGCAGAAAGTTAACCAGTCACTCAGAACTGTTATAAAGGCAATAACAACACAACACATACTTCAGAAACTAACAGACAGGTTACATTACATCTAAGTCCTGGATCCAGTGAAGCTTCATTACTATTGCTACTACTACTATTTTATCAAAATGTTGCAGGCTTTTAAGTATTTTGAGGCTGGTTGACTACAGGCAACATCTAATAGCTGCTGAAATTAAGCAGGACCCCAGGATTTCAGTTTTTCCCAATTTTCTAGGGCTTCCTTAATGGCAGTATATATTCCCGATAGAAAACACAAGGGAGTCAGCCCAGAGATGAGGCAGCCTATCAGAGTAGAGTACAGAATAGCATTTCATTTTTTTCCTCTGTTTTCTAAACTATGAATTTAGAAAGCTTGATATATTTCACTCTAATTCCATATTGTTAGGTCTCCTTTGAAAAGCTCTGGGATTCACCAAACAATATTTGTATATTCCATTGACAGAAAGGATGACTAAAGTCAAGAAAAAAAAAATCCTGTGATGTATCTTGAAGATCTGTTTTGAAAAGAAGACTGAACTCTGTATTTTCTGGTCATTTTTTTTTTTGGAGAAATTTCATCTTCATTTTATTTTGGGGTTTCTGTCATAAAATAATGTCCTTTTTCTAGATGACTCTGGTTGTAAGAAGTGCAACTCTTTCAGAGGTAAGGGTTTCATATCAACTTTAAATATTCAGTTCTCTCCTTAGGAATTTTTGCTCCTTTTCAACATATTACACATTTATAAATGTATGACTTCCAATTTGTTTATATATTTACTATATTTTTCTTGAA
The DNA here is from genome assembly GCF_000001405.40 of Homo sapiens. Classification (NCBI taxonomy): domain Eukaryota; kingdom Metazoa; phylum Chordata; class Mammalia; order Primates; family Hominidae; genus Homo; species Homo sapiens. Next base: position 179,527,767 of record NC_000002.12, read on the forward strand.
ATTTTATTCACATAATAAAAGTTTATTAAGTACCTATCATACATTGTTTTAGGAGCTTGACATACAGTGGAGAATAGGCTTTCAAATATCCAACATTCTAGTTGGGAAGACCCAGACCCAAATCTCTAACATAATAAATAAGGTATTTTCAGAGGGTTGTAAGTAGCATTGAAAAATAAAATAAAATAGAAGAATGGGAAAGAAACAATATTTTACCAGGAAAATTTTTAAAAACACATTTTTGTTGCCTTGATACCCACTGTAATTCAGATACTTTTACATGTAAAGTCATACCAAATATGCAAAAAAACAAAACAAAACAAAAAAACACTCTTCCATGATTTAGAGAAGTTGATACAGAATCCAGACTCATACAAGTGGTAAAACCTGTAGACTAAGAGACACGCTCCTCAGCTTCCAACACAGTCTGTCAGTCTGTGAGATGTCTGCAGAGGATTTTTTCAACTACCAAGTAGCAAGACAACTGATCTCAGAGCTACCACCATCATCATAATCCCAAGAAGAAAGGTAAACTAAAGTAATCTGCATTTTGAAAGTTCTCTAAGGATGAGTACTAAGTACTAGACACCTTTCATCTGGAGACCTTTCTAACAGGTTTCTGCACAGCGTGGTTGGCCTGGAACTTGGTGAGTGAATAGCAAAATGATCATGAGTTACTTCTTTTGTCTTTAAAATAAATACATATGTTGTCTAAGAGCTAACAGTTTTGTGTGAGGATATTACAACAAAATAATGTTTTTCATCTTTTATACTTTTAGAACCATAAGGAGTTACCAAATGGTAAAAGTAAAAAAGCTAAAAGCAAATGAACTGGTGATTTCACCATCTCCTTCTCTTTAGTGGAAACCTAGTAATGCTTTCGACAGATAACTTTTAAACTGTTCTGAGTAGAAAAAAAAATTCTTAAGTTCTTCTTCAGACAATAGTTACTTTGTTAATAGGAGATGCCATAAGGTTAGGCCTGGGTACCTGACTGGAGCTGAATGTCTAACTCTCACAGTAGATCCTTGTGTGTAACAAATATGGTCAGTCCAAATGTTAAAATGTTCCATTTTCCTGGCTAGCTCTACATGCCTGGTGACTTTCCATGCTGCGGGGATCAAGAGTGATGCAGCAAAGCTGTAGTTATGCTGCTGGGTAATTTAAGAAGCCACTTCAAAGAGCTTTTCAAAAAGTTCAGTTTAACAAATAAGACTTTCAGTTTATTTCTGAAATGGGTATGGGACTTAATTAAATGTTTACTTATACCTCATAGTCACTAACACACAACACCCAGCAATGTTTTTGGCGTTGATGTTCCTATTTGAGTTTTAAATGAGTAAACTAAATAACTGAAATTCTATCGCATAGGTGTTCATATTCAGGTTTTAAATGCACACTGAAAGGTCTGGTTGGTTAATGTGATTTATTAAAGAAGCCCAGACCACCCTCAACCCCAAATGCAACTGCTGTTTTCAATGTAGGGAAAAAGAATTAAGGTAATGAGCCGAATTATGTCTTCTAAGAAAACTCTGTGCTTTTCTTTGTTTGTTTCCATTCTTGAATAAGCAAATGCTTAGATATGACTGGAAATCTTTAGGGGAGACAGGTATTTTTCCATCAGGATGCTAAGAAAGTTCTTGATAGGGTTTTCATTTTATCTTCAAGATTTGATGTTCCTAATTTTTGGTCAAAGTATACATAAGATTTTAAAGATCTGTAACATCTTTCAAAGATCATGCATAACAAAAAGTTCATATGATATTAGTAGATGCCCTTTTGAAAAAAATATGAGAAAATTATAGGTGTTTCAAGCAAAATGAAAAACTACCTGGAAATCTTTCAGGGAATTAATAAGAATTTACCTCTGTTGTGAATTTTAGTAGCCTAGAAGAAGAACTAAAATGATGATAAGTGCTATCAATATGTTTTGTATGTGGAGAAGTTACTGTCCTCAAAGTACTTATACTTTATACTTCTCAGTGAGATATATTCATATTTAAACAGCAACAACGAATAGCTCAAGACTTATATAATTGACAATAAACTCTATCACCCAAAGATAAATATGAACAAAACTGGTTATAGTATACTATTCTGAGTGATAGGAACAGAAACTAGATTCACCAAGATAATCTAAATAAAATGGGTTGGGTGTTTCCTTATTTAGTATTGTATCTCCTTCGGGTGAAATGAAATGAGAAATATTTCAGGAATACAGACTAAAAAATAATTTTTCAGTAGATGTGTAAAATGTGAAATAGAGATTCACTGGAGTGTAGGTCATGAGAAATGGTTATTCCATAGCACATGTGAAGAGAGATCCATCCCAAAGTTTGAAAGGACAGGCCAAATATCTGAGCTAAAAGACAGTAAACAGTTTTTGGCCTTTTGTTTTCTTTTTAAATAGTGACTTGAAAACAATCCCCAAAATTGTCCTCAAATTAAATTTCCATAACATAAAATTCAGTGCCAAAAATAAATCTGAGAAATATCTTTTTATAAAATAGGATTCTTTATTTTTTAGGAGAGGAAAAAAAGTATACGAGTAACTGAAGAATACTTGCTGATACTTATAGATGTAGTTTAAAAAAACACTGGTGCTAAATCTCCAAATCCAAATAGGATACAATTGCTTGTTTTTTGGTAAACGAGCTCAAAAATATGTTACAAGGGCTTTCTAAGAGACTAGAGGAATAATAAACTTTCTCGATCTAAAAATCAATACATCTCCTGAACAGCCACATGCATTAACTGACATCCTTTCAAAACCATTCTGTCAAAGCTAAGTTTGAAAGGCTGTTCAGTAACTAATCAGATATATCCTGATGCTGAGGTCCATGACAAAAATTAAAAATGTGTAACATGAAAAGAAAACTCCTCCAGGCAGGAAGAAGTGCAAAAGAGAAACCTGGACCTTTGAATATATTTCTGTTCGAATATATTTCTTCATTTTGCAAAGCTAAGTGGAAATGAAGCATTTTTCCCCATAATGGGGGCCAACACATTTCTTACCCTTTCACTAAGAAGAAATATGACAATTGAGCACTAGTAAAGCTCTAGACAAATTAACAAATGTGCAGTGTTCTAATCTTAAACATTTTGGGCCCTTAATTCCACATGCCACATAACCGTTACACAGTGGTAAAATGTCAGGGATCATCTACATTTTCAAACTTCAAAAAAAAATTGTTTTCGTTTAAGCCCCAGAACCTCCCCACCCACCCAAACAAAATCCTAACTGGAAACTCAATAGAATAAAACTCAGTTTTTAGAAACTGAGTTCTGGTGAAAGCAGACAGATCAGGCCCCAGATCTACCAGCCTGATTTTAGTCTTTCTCGCTTGAAAATGAAGAAAGATTTGGAGAATTTTAGTGACTTGTTTGAGCCTCCTCAGGTAACACCTGAACCCAGATCTCCTTCTATGTTTGCCAGATTTAGCAAGTAATAATATAAGATGTCCAGTTAAAGTGGAATTTTAGGGGTAAACAGCAAATAATTTAAAAAAGTATGTGCCAAACATTGCATGGCACATACTGACATTAAAAATGATTTGTTTGCTGTTTATCTAAAACTCCTCTTTAGTCTGGGTGCAGTAGGGCTCATGCCTGTAATCCCAGCACTTTGGGAGACCGAGGTGGGAGGATCACCTGAGGTCAGGAGTTTGAGATCAGCCTGGCCAACATGGCAAAACCCCATCTCTAGTAAAAATACAAAAATCAGCTGGGTGTGGTGGTGGGCACCTGTAATCCCAGCTACTGGGGAGGCTGAGGCAGGAGAATCGCTTGAACCTGGGAGGTTCAAGTGCAGTGAGCCGAGATCATGCCACTGCACTCCAGCCTGGGTGACATAGTGAGACTCCATCTCAAAAATAAATAAATAAATAGAAATATATAAATAAATATCCTTTTTAACTGGGTATCCTATAGTTAGAGCTGTTTCCCCTTCCCTGATTCCCACCCAAGGATGTCACAGTGATATCAATGTTGATTCTACTGCTTCTCCTCCTCACAGGCTCACTTTGTCACACTTAACATTTTAGGGCTTTAGCTAGGAAAGTGGTCCTTGAGTGGTTCTGTGGAAAGTTGATAGCAAAAATATTTTATGTCTTCTGTTCATCTGCTATTGCCCTTTTGTATAAATAGGTATGTGTACACATAATAGCTCTTCTTAGTGGAAAACATTTTTGGTTTAAATTTGTCTCTGCATTTATAGTGTACAAAATATACAATAGTTGTAAAGTAAAATAAAGACCTTTAATAGAGTGCTTCACTCTGCTCTGCAGTGATAATCGCTTTATCGAATAAGGCTCTGTTAATGGTTCAGCTTGACATTCAACATTTGTCCATTTGATTTATAATTATTCTCACGTGACTGCAAGGAGGCTATGGTTCAAACCAAAAGTAGTTTAAATTGAACTGTCTTTTCTTCTGAATTTGTAAGGAAATGTAGTTACTTCCAGGCAAAACTATTTCATTTACCAAATTTATTTCAAATATACGCAAAGCCCTCTCTGCCTCTATATGTTCTGAATAGACTAACACATATGTAAGAGGAAAATAAATAGAGCAAATGAAATCACCAAGTTAAAAACACATCCAGTTTGCTTATATGTTGGCCATGGATACGGCACCAAGAATTCCTAATCAAACAATGAAGAGAAACCTACATGAACCACGTAGCAAGTTGTCATGAAACATGTCAAGTGTCTCCGTAACATTCACAAAAAGGCTGTTAAGAGGCAAAAATCATTTGTATTTACAATCTATTCACTCCTTATAAAGATTTTCAGAAATGTTTCTGAATTATTCTGCTTTCTTTCCTGAAATTCAGTCTAGCAGGATGCTTGGCCCTTCAGTCTTCATGAAACTCATCTGAAATTTTTATTCACCTTTCTGCCTCCCCACAACCTGTAATACTAATTATAATCAGACAAATACCTACACCTGACAACACAAGACGCTGATATGCCACTTTATTAAAAAGATTTTGTATAATTAGTCAAGAATCACCAAATTTCTGCCTCACAATAGAACAATATCACAATGTCAGTTGTTGGCAGTTATCAAACCACTACAGTTCCATTGGCCCTCCCAAAGCTGAGGTTAAAAGCTGGCCTCTGGAAATCAATCATGCTCTCGGCAGAGGATATTTCAGTGATATGAGAGCTGAAATGGAGACTGTAATCTTTTGTGATTACCCTAGAGGCTGAAGCAAATGTAAAAGGGAGTCTATGAATTGCTGATAATTTCCTGTGATGACCGACTCCAGGAAATTCTGACATTACCCTTGCACTGTAACAAAATGAAGGTTCCCCAGATGCATAGCTTCAAAGAACTCTACATCTGGGTGTCACAATGCTTCTTTAGAAGCTACTCATCCATTAAAGGGGCCAGGCCTGTGAGGCAGCAGCACTCTCTGAAAACAATGGAAGGTCTGATTGCACAAGAAGTAATGAGCTCTATGCTACAGGCTGTCTTTCTACCTAGTTCTTTTCTGAGGGAACTGATGTAAGATGTATCAGTTTTACTCCCCCCACCACCTCAGAAGTCTAAAGACTGGTAGATTTATCTGCTGTTCTAACAGCTGTAGAGCTATGAATATCTTAGTCTGTGTAATTTAAAATTTTTTATTTAGGCTGATATTTGCATTCTGAGAAAAAATATTTTTTATGCATATGTACATACCCTTGAGGTCTATATAATACTTTGGGATAGAATCTAAGACTACTAATCTTTTTTGAGTAGGCAGCGAACTTACAATTAGACGCCATGCTCGGAGCACAGGTTAAGGGGGTCCTTTTCATGTGATTGGCAATTTAAATTCAGGAAAACAGGTGTGTGGGAGGGGGAGGAGTGGGTAGGGTAAAGGGAGATGTGTAAGAGTCAAAGTTCAAGGGATTTTTGGAATAAATTTCTATTATCAATACATGAAGGATAATTTGATATATTGATTATTATGACTTAGTTTAAAATGTGTTTTAAATTGCCATTTTAACCTAGTTGCAATTTGATTAATGAATAACATGGGAATAAGGGGTCTATATTTGGAAGTCAACAGTATTTTAAAAATATAGCAAGAAACATTATGTCTTACTACTCTATGACAATGTATCATAGGGACACAGCTCTCAGGTTCAAAATGGCATGTAGCCTTTGAAACCTAAATATCACTGGAGGTAAATAGGGTAAAATAGAATCCATTCAAACTGGTTGTGCTTATTCCCAACCTCCACTTAATATATTCTCTTCCAATCCCTGCTCCAAATTCAGCGGCAGCACCTCTGTACTGTTTCCAGGCAGTCAAGTGACTGTGATCTTTAAGTATGCTCTAGCATTATCTCATTCAGCTAACATAAAATGAGCACCTGCTAAGTACCAGGAATAACTATTTTAAACTGGAGTGTTATGTTCTTAAACTCAAGGTCTTAGCCATATATATATCTTTAGCATCTACCTTAATTAGGATTGCTGTAATGTACACAGCCAGCCCAAGTGATAAATATAAAACTTGGTTTATTTGAGGTAATTAGGAAAAAGAGATAAAAGGGATAGAAATATTAATTAAACTATCAATATTGTAAGAATAGAGCTTTGCTGTTTTAAGTATCCTTTCGTAAACATAATCTCATTTGATATTTATAGGTATTTTAAGTTATTAGAAATAGCATGGGGATATGTTATATACTTATAATTTTTTCACAGCCTCTCATTAAATTCCAAAAATTTTCTAAATATTCAGTCATATACCCTCAATTCCTCATAAATATAATAAACTCAAATCTTCATGATGTAAAAATAGGAAGGTATTACATCATGAAAATGAGGAAAACTGGCACAAAGTGACTTTCTTGAGATCAAAGACTATGAGTCTAGACATCAGTCTTCTAACTCCTAGTCCGGTGCTTTTTTTCCCTATACAATGAAGTGAATCACCTACCTTGTTCTCCCCTTTATTCTGGTTTCTGCTTCCCCGGACAGCATGAACAGAGGCAAGCCCAGGTAGGACGGTCAGAAGTTTACTTTAGAACAAAGTAAGTAGAGTTACTTTTCTGAGGTCCCAAAGAACTCTCCAAATGGCTTTTTGGAGAAGGTAGGATATAGTTGATGAATGAGTGACTGACTAAATAAATAAATGCTACTAGTTCCTTCAAAAGGTAAGTGCTTCAAAAATGTGCCATGTGATAGCAGTCATTCATAATCATTTTAGCATCTAACAGCTTCAGCTCATTTTGGGAAATGTAGATATTTATGGATTTGATCATACTATAATGGCAATGGACCATCTTATATAGAGAAGTTTGGGTCTACCTGGGAAAAACACAGAAATTAAGTAGGCCCCAGACATGTGTTTTGAGAATTTCATTCTATGCACCTCTACTTATTTGTAAATCATAAGCCTGTGAAAAATATCGGGTATATTTTCTATAATACCACTCAGATCTTTAGTTGGCTCAAGAAACTGTATTCACAATAAGAGAAAACAAGTACAGGCTGACAAGATGAATCTATCTCCTGAATCAAATACACTGCAAAGGAGAATTTTCAACTTGACTTTAGAAGCCATGGGAATTATTGGGTACTTAAAAAAATATTTCGCACATGAATAACCTGAGAGAAGTACACATATTTAAGTTCAAGATATAGTATGGTGGAGACCAGCTTTTGCTTTTCTGATATTTAGATTTTTTGTTTTTCCTTTTCAGTGGTAGGGCTCTCTACTAGAATAAATGAGAAGACTCAATTCTATTCTTCAATCTTCTGATTTGCAAAAAGGGCACAACAATGACACATGTAATCTATTTCATATGTGGGTACATTAAAAGAATCAATGTAAAACGTCTTTGAAATATGCTAAATCCCTCTGATACTAGAATTTCATGAAAATGGTATCATTTATATGATTTGTGTCTTTCAAAAATTTCAAGTATCAGAACATAAAAAGGAAGGTAAACCTAAATTGAAAGCAAATCTGTAAAAAGTGTTTTTTCAAGATTCCTACTGAGCTCTACAAAGATGTTGAAACTTCACAGATTGCTAAACAGCACTCCAATTCATCTTTAGCACCCTCAAAAGCAACTATAAAAGTAAAGGAACCAGAATATTCCAAAGCATGTCTCTCCAACCCCCAAGGGATGTGAGACTTAATTCTAAACACAAAAATCTAGAAGGTGGAAGTAAAAACAGATCTGCGTTGTTGGATGGGTTCGCAAGCTTTTGATAAAAGTTTTTCAGAGGCCACTATCACTGATTAAAGTTTATAGAGCAACTAATTTAGAAATACATTTTCTGAGCTGGTGGGAATGTTTTATACAATAACATTTTGCTACTTTTTTGTATTTATTAGGCTTGGCTACCATACCACAGAGACATAAAGTTTTGGTCACTGAGAGAAGCTAAGAATTTTTCTCTTAAAATTTTCCTGTTTCCTCTTCTTCTTCTAATTCTTTTTTTTAATTATCTGTAGATTTGTTAAGAATATTAGTGTAGAATAAGATACAAATTTTTAAGAAGAGGGCCCAACATAGACACTTTTTCCAAGTTGACTCTACTCTTGAAAAATGCTGACCTGGGACAGCGCCAAGACTAAAGACTTGTCTTGCCAGAAAATCTGATGTCCCCTCCAAGTACACATAATCCTTGAAACTCTAGCACTGAAGATGAGGCCCCAGAACCATGTGACATTGGGACTAGGATAAAGAAAGGGACATACAAGAGGACACAGCATGGTGGGTCTACAGATGCCTCTTTTCACAGGCTCCTGAAATTTTACATTCTTTTACCTCATAAAGGACCATCAAAGTCTCAATCTGATATTTTTAGGCAGCTTTTATGAAATGAATTGACTGTTCACTATGACCACAATCCTCTATTATGTTATGGTGAATTATACAAGAGGAAGCAATTTCTATTAGACAGAGAGCAACTTCTGTCTAATTCATCACAATAACCTTTCTCCTTAGCACAATGCCAGGGACATGTAGACATGCAGTAAATGGTTGTGAATGAGTGACTTTTACTAGATGCCCTGAAAAAGCAATTTATTAAAGAGAAAAAAATGTGACTATGCATTATACAAACATACAATAAATACATACCATATAAATAACATCTGCATACTCTAAAGGTGTTTCAAGAGTAAGTAGAGAAGAGGGAGATTTGAAAACAAAGCCCTTAGTAAGATAAATCTTGAGGCTTTTGAGTAAGGCAAGGGACATGAGTTAAAGTTTAAAAGGACATGTAGTTTGAAAGGGTGAGGGACGGCCGGGATAGGTGGCTCATGCCTGCAATCCTAGCACTTTGGGAGGCTGAGGCGGGAGGATCACCTGAGGTCGAGAGTTCGAGACAAGCCTGATGAACATGGAGAAACCCTGTCTCTACTAAAAATACAAAATTAACCGGGCACATGCCTGTAATTCCAGCTACTAGGGAGGCTGAGGCAAGAGAATCGCTTGAACCTGGGAGGTGGAGGTTGCCGTGAGCCAAGATTGTGCCATTGTACTCTAGCCTGGGCAACATGAGCAAAACCTCTGTCTCAAAAAAAAAAAAATAAATAAAAAAAAAATAAAAAAGAAAAGAAAAGGAAAAAGAAAGGGTGAGGGACACAATAGTGCAGATGGTCACTATGTGTTTTTTCCCCATCCATGGTATATTTACATACTTTTTCTCTCTGTCAAATTTAATAGAAATGGGCCGGGCATGGTGGCTCACACCTGTAATCCCAGCACTTTGGGAGGCTGAGACAGGCGGATTGCCTGAGCTCAGGAGTTCGAGACCAGTCTGGGCAACATGGTGAAACTCTGTCTCTACCAAAAAATACAAAAATTAGCCAGGTGTGGTGGCGTGCATCTGTAGTTCCAGCTACCTGGGAGGCTGACGCAGAAGAATAGCTTGAATCTGGCAGGTGGAGGCTGCAGTGAGCTGAGATTGTACCACTGCATGCTAGCCTAGGTGACAGAGCAAGACTCTGTCTCAAAAACAAACAAACAAACAAACAAACAAAAAAAAAAATTAATAGAAATGTAAAATTTTCTAGGCATAGAAATCAATGCTTAAATATTTGTACAAAATCTTTGTTAGTTTTGTACCACATTTCAAAGATTCCCTATAACTATTTTTTTTTCTAATGATCTGGGGAATGTTGCTGTTGAGTTATCTAAGCCTAACAATAGGCCATCAACCTCTCCCCTCTTCAAGTGATTTTGAGTAACCATGGAAAATTTCATCTTGGCATATTTTAGTTCTATGCACTCCTTTAGAAAACATAGAACAAGATAATCCTTCAATATATTTAAAAGCATGTCACAAAAAATAAAAACTCAACCATATTTTCTTTTTTATTTGACTGGGATAAATGTGTCAGTTCAAGCAGAGTCAGTTGGACATACTAGTATCCTAAGAAATATGGAATACATAATTTTTAATGACAGCAAGCACTATTAGAGTGACGAAGACTCAAAGGGCAAAAATTAACATTTGGGTTGCAAAAGTATTCTACTTAAATTTAAAAATATACAAATAAGAGAAAAATACATATTCATATGTTTAAATAAAGACTTCATTAAATAGATAAAGATATTAAAGGCAGGGTAAAAAGTTAAATGTCCTAGCTTTAGGTTTCCTTACAACAACACTTCATGGGAAGCATAGCACGAATTAAAAGCAAAGCAAATGTGAATTTGATTCCCAATTTCTTTATTTAGAAACTCTCTGATGAATATATTATTATTTATACTACAAGAAAAAAATTTTTAAAAAATATTCATCAATATTGCCAAACCACAAATGAGTCAGAATCTCAGAGGTTCTAGAATGATAAAATAAATGGTAATCATATAAATCATTTCATAACTTGTCATGGATGATTCACAGAATCATACAGTGGTTTGGAACTTTATACTTTGAAATCATCTTTATCCTGTCCCACATATTTGCTCATGTCTCAGGAAAAAAATAATTTCAAGGTAGGCAGTAAAAATCAGATTATTTTTCACAAAATTAAGATTGTTGAGCCTCCTGCAATAAAGTAGTAGTGACTGCCCTTGTACTTGTGCTTTCCTAGAGCAGTTGTAAAAACATGGCAGGACTCACAAAAACATTTCAAATAAATAGGCACATAAAACACCTGCCAATTGGCAGAGAAATTGACAGGTGGCTGTGGTCCCAAGTCAGCTCTTGATTATAGCTATAGCTCTGAACAGTTACACAAATACATATGCATGTACACAATGTGCAGGTGCTAAAAATAAACTTCACTTACTTACTGTCACATCATGTAAGTTGGGTATGTGTTTCAGTCTGCTCAGGCTGTCATTACCAAATACCATATACTGGGTAGCTTAAAAAACAGAAATTTATTCTCTCATAGTTCTGGATGCTGGAGGTCCAAGATCAAGGTGCCAGTATGGTGGGGTTCCGAGTGAGGGCTGTCTTCCTGGGCTTGCAGCTGGCTGCCTTCTTACTGTGTGTTCCCATGGCAAAGAGGAGGGAAAGCTCTCTATGCTCTTCTTATAGGGCACTAATCCCATCATGAGGGCCCCACCCTCATGACCTCAACTAACACTAATTACCTCCAAAGGCTCTATCTCCAGATACCATCACTATCAAATTGGGGGTTATGACTTCAACATATGAATTTTGAGGGGACATAAACATTCAGTTCATAGCAATCTACATATGTAAATATGTCTTATAAATGTACTTACTTTATCATATTAAATTAATATTATCCATCTTGGTAAGTATTCAATTTATTTCAATTCAGAAGAAGTCTCTTCTTAAGGGGAACTAAACACCAAGTATTATCCCAGTTGTTTGTGAACAAAGATGAAAATTTAATCCACAATAAAGGAAATAGGAGATCCTAATTCTAATGTAAGAAACAATTGTGTGTATTTTGGCAGCTCCCACAACATTATATACAGTCATTAAAGAATGACCATGGATAAATTGGCAAATCTAAAGAAAAATTAATAACAAAAAATGAAAACATCTCTACTAAGATAGAAAAAAAGATTTTTTCTGTTGTTTCTTGAACACTATAAACTTTGGTAGCGATTTTCAGTTTGCTGATGTTTCTTGGTTTTTATCTTGCTTTATCAAGTCTGTTTACTTCATTTTTTCCTTATAAGTTTATTGGGCACAAGGGGGTTTTTGTTTTATTTAATTTGCTTATCTTCTCCCCAAACCCAACACTCTTTATTACATATATTTTCAATAAAACTCAGTAACTAACAATTTTGTTTTTAACTAAATACTCTTAAAGCTGGGGTCTGGGACAAAGAATGTAGTAAATACTTGCCAATATTCATACACCAGCCAAACAGAGAGAGCTGGGCACTATAGCTGGAAGACAGTTTATAACTATTGCCTTTAGATTAAAAAACAGTGACAGTTTGGCCAGGCGCAGTGGCTCACTCTTGTAATCCCAGCACTTTGGGAGGCTAAGGTGGGAAGGATCACCTGAGGTTGGGAGTTGGAGACCAGCCTGACCAACATGGAGAAACCCCATCTCTACTAAAAATACAAGATTAGCCAGGTGTGGTGGCGCATGACTGTAATCCCAGCTACTCGGGAGGCTGAGGCAAGAGAATCGCTTGAACCCGGGAGGCAGAGGTTGCGGTGAGCCGAGATCCTGCCATTGCACTGCAGCCTGGGCAACAAGAGTGAAACTCTGTCTCAAACAAACAAAAACAAAACAAAACACCAACCAAACAACAACAACAACAACAAAAAAAACCACAGTTTTCAGGAAAATATAAATTAAGTTAAACACTTGGGCTTATCGCCTGGTCTTAGAAGGGACTCATAAATGTTATTATTCCCTTTAATAGATGGGGGAGTATGAACATTGAAAACCAAGGAACTGGGACCCTTTCCTCTCTTCCAAAAAATGTTGTTGAGCACCTGTGTCAGACACCCATCATACTAAAATGAATAAGATAGAGCCCCTGTCCTCAAGGATCTGATGTTCTAGTGAAGAAGACAGATTAACAGGTAATTAAACTATGGTGTGACAACTGCTATAATTAATGTAATCTGGGGCTACTTTGGAAACACAAAGGGTGGGACTTAATTCAGACTTGAAGAGTCACAGAAGACTTTCTGGGAAGGAGGTGATATCTAAGTTGAACTTTGAATGACACATAGTTGAAGGTGGGGTAGCAATGGTGAAAATGAGCATTAGTGGGTAGCCAGGCACAGGCTTTGGAATATTAAGATCAAGATCTTTAAAACTTTATGTTTTGGTCCACACAGGCTTTTACCTATAAATGACTCAAAACTGTGTCTCTGTAAAGTACACTGCTGAAGCACAGAGTTAACATCATCATCCTCCAAGCATGTGTCCTTGACATGTACTCCATCATAAATCATCAACGATTCAAACTCCGTCTTCCTTATCATGTCTCTTTAAACTCTGCTTATACAAAGACTAAAATTTTTTGCTTATTTTTACATACATATGCATTGAGAGAGATTCTGTCAGTTGTGGTGCATAAGGCAAGGCAACCACTAAAAGAACACCATGAAGCATATTTCTTCATCAGGTACAACTTAGCATAGAACAGGCATCTGTTCTATTTTGGAATACAATAAGATCTCATTTCATTCTTGCTATGTTTATCATATAATGTTATCATACTTCACTATAAGAAAGAGGAAAACATTATGTTTTTAAAAATCTACTTAAAGAGAATAACAAAACATCAAACCTCCAAAACTTTCAACTATGGTCTCAGAGCATAGTGTTTTCATTCTTCTGATAATAATTATAAGATTAAAACTGACCTCATTTCTTATATTTGCTAATATTAACCTTGGTTAAAAATAAAACGATAAGGTAGATTTCACCTAGTTTTCAAAGAACAAGTGGACAATTGAGTACAATATACTTTAAAAATTTGCCAACAAGAAATTATAGCTGTTTTTCAAATATATTCTGCTTCGTGTTGTTTGTAGAGGTCTATTATACACATTCAAAAAAACCATTTCCTCCTTCTAGTTAATGATTCTGCTGAAAATTGCCTTCCACACTTCCAGAAAAGAGCACAAAGATTTCTGATTGAGCTTTGTTCACAATGAATGAGGTGGAAGGTGATATGGGCCAAAAGACTCAAGGACGTAAAGAGCCCGAATATGAATTTTGAAGTTAAAAAGATTCTAATTCAAGTCTCAGTTCTTCCTTCAATAACTCTCTTTCTTCCTCTAGACAATAAGAGTAATAATGACTGCCTGCCAAAGTGTTTCAAGGTCTAAGTACTTTGAGAGATGTAAAACATCACAAATATACAATAATCCAGTATACTTATTAGTGGTGATGTAATAGCGTTTTCCTAGGAAAATGTGGACAATAACTTTCATGACATTCCCTTAGGTATTCTATTGGGTGAGTTGGACACTAGAATGGAAATGTCTGTAGGAAAAGAATTAAGAGTAATTTAAATTGCAACTCACAGGGAAAAATCATAGGTCACCCAATGATCTCATAAATTTATTTCCTGCAAGATGATAGAGGGTGCCACTTGGAATGACTTAATATTTAATACACTACTAGAAGGGCTCCTGTTTGATAAATGCCACACATGTAATACAGGGAGAGTAAAATAATTATTTCATGTAGTTCTTTGTGGTATTCTTCACCTTAGCCAAATAGTATTTTTATTTGAAAATTATGTTTATACTCTTCCAAGAAGGAAAAAAAATGAACTTCTATTAATATAATTATTCTTTGGGTTTTCTCAAATATATCATAAGATTAATTGCTGTGTACAATTAATCAAACAAACCAAATGACATGTTAGTGCATCTGTACCCTCTATGCAACATGAACAAACCATTATGAAATTGTAATTTTATCTTTAAAAATCCTTTATGAAGGTATTCTCTCCATTTTTGTTTTACAGCTCTTCAAAACAGAGAGGCAGATGTAAGACATTTTGATAACAAAAAAAGTGACTAACAGATTAGTGCTAATCATATGATCGCAATTGTAAAAAAAAACTGTGACTGGGTACCTTTTAGGTATATGTATAACATACTTCCAGAAGGGGATTAGAAGGATGGATACCAGTTGCTGACCACCTTCCGCTAGTGAAGGAAGTAAAAGTATGTGCAGGGGTATGGAATATGACTTTCTAATTTTACCTCAAATGCTAAAGTTTTATTTGAATTTTTGGAGTAAGTATTCATGTATTATTTATGTTAAAAAAATAAATAAATAAAGAGGTCAGAGCAATGGCTCACATCTGTAACCCCAGCAGTTTGGGAGGCCGAGGAGGGTGAATCACCTGAGGCCAGGAGTCTGAGAACAGCCTGGCCAACATGGCGAAACCCTGTCTCTATTAAAAACACAAAAATTAGCCAGGTGTGGTGGCAGGCGCCTGTAATCCCAGCTACTCAGGAGGCTGAGACACAAGAATCACTTGAACCTGGAAGGTGGAGGCTGCAGTGAGCCAAGATCGTGCCATTTCACTACAGCCTGGGCGACAGAGCAAGGCTGTCTCAAATGAATAAATAAATAAAATAAAAAGTAAAAGAAAATAAAATAAAGAGAGGTGAGCCACAGTAAGCCATTTATGACTACTTGCATCATGAATGCTGCTTCCTGACAGCAACTAGACTTCAGCAATGGCTATAAATGCTAACTTCCAAAGGCACATTAATCAAAACACAAATACCTCATAAATGTTCTATGAAGTATAGCTTAATTCAGTTATGATTGGAATGTGTCACACATGTTTGAATAGAGGATACCACTGGCATCCTCAAGTTTGCATTCTTTGAAATGGCGTAATGTGGTGTTCTGGGATGCAGCGGGTGGATCAATGAAACCAAGGCAGGCATGATTTATCCTATTGAGCCACTCCACTGCTCTAGGAACAATGCTCGCCTTTTGTAACTTTTTTTTTTTTAACTGTTTGACTTGTCTCTGAAAAGCTCAAAGAAGACAAAAACATTTAACTGTTTACTCACTACATCAAGGCCAGTGCTCTGTAAAAAGCTGGCTGATGCCCTACCCCCTAATTACCTTCCAGCACTAAGCCCTGACAGAGGGCCTGTCAGCAGATTTTATTGACAATCCTTAAGGAAAAATCCTCTTGCTGTTTTCACTTCATACAGAAGATAGGTTTGCAAAATGAAACATTTGGCAGTACTTCAGATGCTTGCTGTCTGGTGGTGTTGATAATGCAATTTTTTTTTATTACAGCAGCATTTACAATGCTGTATCATTAATGTAGACTGTCATGCCCCAACTAACTGTATTTAACAATCAAGCAGACAATGTATGCATTCACCTGAACTGTGAACATTTTATTTTACTATAAGGTTTAGAATCTGGCTACAGATTGATTTTATGCTAAATTATATTGTTGAAAGATGTCATGCTCCACTTGACACACCTACAAATGTTTTTCATTCAAATAAAAGAAGGTCAGCTGAGCTGAAGCACATCAGTAATTATAGGTAATTCACTAACACTTATCCTATGTTTTAAAATGTCAAAGTGTCTTGCAGATCACTAGTATGTAGATTTAAAATGAGTGTTTTTCTTTTTCTTAATAGAGTCAAATTCACGTCATCTACAATAGCCCCCAAATAGAAATTTTGTTTGTGTAGGATTCACATTTTATCTAAAGTATCTCCCAAATAAAAATGCAGCCAGAGAGATAAATCCTACAGTCATTTTTTTTTTTCTAAGAGAAGGGAAAAATCAATGAGTCTTGGTATCTCTAAATTGTATTCCTGAGCATGTGAATAACATCCCAGAAATGATGTATGTTCTAAAGCCACTGGAAATTCTATGAAAATTGTGCAACACAACAGGTGAAAATTTTTCAGAAAATATTTTCTGTGGAAATATTTGTATAATAAACATACTGGCTATTGTTTGGGCTACTCCCATGGGTGAAGCATCATCTTTCATAGCACAACTGAGCAGCATAACCAATATATGGTCTAAAATTACACACTTTGGAAACAGGCTGTATCTATTGACTATTCACAAATGTAATGAAATTGATGGAGGAGGACACAAATAAAATAGAAATGAATTTACTCACTGTGTTAAAATTTGGAAAGAGCCCAACAGCAGAACTACTGTCCACTGGAAAAGACATAAATGGTTTGATATCCAGTGAAGGCTGCATCATCAGGGTAGGTGTGCGCACAAGAGCAGGAAGGGTAGTAGTGTGGCATGTACTGCCTGCCAAGAACAAAACAAAAATGAATTCAATTTCTTGCTCACATCCATCTCCCTCCCAAACCTACAGTGCAAGAACAAGTCTGTTGAGCTGCAACTTGCAAGCAAGAGAGTTATGCTGTAAGTAAGCAAATGGCACAGGAGTAGTAAACACAATAAAAAGGATCTTCCTCCTCATTATCCAAGACAGTGGTGCACAATGCTTCCCTATGGGCAAGGGCTGAGGGGTGCTCAGATTCAGCCAGGACACCTAGTAGACAGATCCTACTGGCAGGAGGGTCAGACAGAATGAGAATGTCCTGTTGGCCAACGCTTTGCCTCTGACTCGCCAAAAGTGCAGGAGAGAAGAGGGGAGGAACCCCTTGAAGCCAGACACTCTTTGCTATTAAGAATTACTGAATGGCTAGTGGACAGGTTTTATGCAAATCAGAGATAAATATAGGGTTTTTACAAGAAAAAGAAAACTTGAACCTGTATAGTTACTGTCTGCTCTCAAAGTTATGATTCAACTTGTTCTCTTAAAAAAAAAACAAACTTTCTGAAAGTTGCTCTTACTTTGAAGTAAATGGGTAGTCTAGACATTGGATAGTTAAAGACTAAAAGGGTTGATTATGGCTTGGCTTCAGACAGGGTGTTGGGGGACAGGTAGTAGTTAGGACAGGGATTCAAATTTTTGTTTTCAACTTTTTATTTCTAATTTGTTTTGTATTATTGTAGCAAATATCCTTTTTAGCAGTTAAATTAACTGTCACCTCTATTTGTTTTGTTGACTATTTTTAAATTTTGTTTTAACTTTTGTGGGCACATAATAGGTACCTACATTTATGAGGCACACAAGATATTTTCATACAGGCACACAATGCATAATAATCACCTCAGGGTAAATGAAGTATCCATCCCCTCAAGCATTTATCCTTTCTCTGCATTACAAACAATCCAATTATACTCTTTTAGTTATTTTGAAATGCACAGTAAGTTATTGTTGACTATAGTCAGCTTGTTGTGCTATCAAATACTAGATCTTATCCATTCTAACTATATTTTTATTTTTTTAATTTTAATTTAACTTTATTATTACTATTTTTAAAGACAAGGTCTCACTCTGTCACCCAGGCTGGAGTGCAGTGGTGTGATCATGGTTCACTGTAGCCCCGACCTCCCTGGGCTCTGGTGAGCCCCCAACTTCAGTCTTCCAAGTAGCTGGGACTACAGGTACATGCCACCACACCTGGCTAATTTTTGTATTTTTTGTAGAGATGGGGTTTTTGCCACATTGCCCACGCTGGTCTCGAACTCCTAGGCTCAAGCAACCCATCAGTCTCGACCTCCCAAAGTGCTGGAATTACAGGTGTGAGCCACCACACCCAGCCTCTAACTATATTTTTGTACCTATTAACCATTCTCACTCCCCTGCCCTCTTCCCATCCTCTAGTAATCATCATTCTATTCTCTGTGTCCAGTTCAATTGTTTTAATTTTTAGCTCCACAAATAAGTGGGAACATGTGAAGTTTGTCTTTCTGTGCCTGGCTTATTTCACTTAACATAACGTCCTCTAGTTTCATCCATGTTGTTACAAATGCCAGGATCTCATTCTTTTTATGGCTGAATAGTACTCTACTGTATATATGTAACTCATTTTCTTTTTCCATTCATCTGTTGATGGACACTTAGTTTGCTTCCAAATCTTGGCTATTGTGAATAGTGTTGCTATAAACTTGGGAGTGCAGATATGTGTTCGATATACTGATTTTCTTTCTTTGGGGTATATACCCACCTAGCAGTGGGATTGTTGGGTCATATGGTAGCCCAACTTTTAGTTTTTTGAGGAATAACCAAACTGTTTTCCTTAGTGGCTGTGTTAATTTACCTTTCCACCAACAGTGGAGGAGGGTTCCTCTTTCTCCACATCCTTGCCAACATTTGTTATTCTGTCTTTTGAATAAAAGCCATTTTAACTGGGGTGAGATGATATCTCATTATAGTTTTGATTTGTCTGTTTTTGAAGATCAATAATGATTGAACACATTTTCATATACCTGTTTGCCATTTGTATGTCTTCTTTTGAGAAATGTCTTTTCCGATCTTTTGCCCATTTTTTATTCAGGTTTTTAAAATAGACTTGTTTGAGCTCCTTATAGAGTCTGGTTATAATCCCATATCAGATGGATAGTTTGCAAATATTTTCTCCCATTCTGTGGGTTGCCTCTTCACTTTGTTGACTGTTTTCATTGCTGTGCAGAAGCTTTGTAACTTGTGATCTCATTTGTCCATTTTTGCTTTCCTTGCCTGTGCTTGGAGGGTATTACTCAAGAAATTTTTGCCCACTCCAATATCCTGGAGAATTTCCCCAATTTTTTCACATAGTAGTTTCATAGTTTGAGGTCATAGATTTAAGTCTTTAATACATTTTGATTTTATTTTTGTATATGGTGACAGATAGGGGTCTACTTTCATTCTTCTGCATATGGATATTCAGTTTTCCCAGCACCATTTATTGAAGAGACTGTCCTTTCCTCTATGTATATTTTTGACACCTTTGTCAAAAATGAGTTCACTGTAGATGTACAGCTTTATTTCTGGGTTCTCTATTCTGTTCCATTGGTCTATGTGTCTGTTTTTATGCCAGTACCATGATGTTTTGGTTACTATAGCTCTGCAGAATAATTCGAAGTCAGGTAATGTGATTCCTCCAGTTTTGTTCTTTTTGTTTAGAATAGCTTTGGCTATTCTGGATCCTTTGTGCTTCCATATACATTTTAGGATAGTCTGTTCTATGTCTGTGAAGAATGTTGTCATTGGTATTTTGATAGGGATTGCATTGAATCTGTAGATTGCTTTGGGTAGTATGGACATTTTAACAATATTGATTCTTCCAATCCATGAACATGGAATATTCTTCCATTTCCTTGTGTGTGTCCTCTTCAATTTCTTTCATCAATGTTTCATAGTTTTCATTGTAGAGATTTTTTACTTCTTTGGTTAAATTAATTCCTAGGCATTTAATTTTAGTTATAGCTATTATAAATAGGATTACCTTCTTGATTTCTTTTTCAGATTGTTTGCTGTTGGTACATAGAAATGCTACTGATTTTTGTATGTTGATTTTGTATCCTGTAACTTTACTAATTTTGTTTATCAGTTCTAGTTCTTTGGTGGAATCTTCAGTTTTTTCCAAATATAAGATGATACCATCTGCAAATAATGATAATTTGACTTTTTCCTTTCCAATCTGATGCCCTTTATTTCTTTCTCTTGTCTAAATACTCTGGCTAGAACTTCTGCTATCACCTCTTTAGATATCTGGTTTAATGCATGAGTAGAAGATTTATAATGCTCCTCTCCAGTAACAAGCATCCTTCTTTAGTGTATAACTTTCATGTAGTATAGAAAAGTAACTGCTGGTGCAGGTAGCTCTCTGGTAGGCAGACTCTGGCATGTAAGGTTTGTTTGTTTGTTTGTTTGTTTTAATATAACAACTTTATTGAGGTATAACTCATATACCAGACAATTCATCTGAATTGTAGAATTCAATTATTTTTAGCATATTAACAGAGTTGTTATATTATTCCATTTTCATACTGCTATGAAGAAATACCTGAGACTGTGTAATTTATAAAGAAAAAGAGGTTTAATGGACTCACAGTTCTACATGGCTGGAGAGGCCTCACAACCATAGTGGAAGGCAAAGGAGGAGCAAAGACATGTCTCACATGGTGGCAGGCAAGAGAGTGTGTGCAGGGAAACTGCCTTTTATGAAACCATCAGATCTCATGAGACTTATTCACTATCACAAGAACAGCACGGGAAAAACCTGCCCCCATGATTCAATTACCTCCCACCAGGTCTCTTCCATGACATGTGGGGATTGTGGGAGCTATAATTCAAGATGAGGTTTGGGCTAAACCAAATCAATTGTAGAACCATCACCACAATCAATTTTAGAACATTTTCATGACATCTAAGGGAAACTTATCCGTTAGCAGTCACTCCCCATTTCCTCCTAATATCCCTAGCTCCTGGCAACCACTAATCTATTTTCTTTATCTTTAGGTTTCTCTATTCTAGACATTTCATTTAAATGAAATCATATAATGTGTGATGTGGTCTTTTGTGACTCACTTCTTTCATCTGACATAATGTTTTTGAGGTTTATCTATGTTGTAGCACGTATCAGAATTTCATTCATTTTTAAGGCTTAATAATATTCCATTGTATGGATTTCCCAAATTTTGCTTATCCATTCATCAATTGATAGGCATTTGAATTACTCCCACTATTTTGCTATTATAAACAATGCTACTTTGAATATTCATGTACAAGTTCTTATGTGGATATATGTTTTCAGTTCTTTCAGGTATATACTTAGGTGTCAAATTTTGGAAATTGTTTGGTCATCTGATAACTAAATGGCTTAATATTTTGAGGAAGTGGCAGGCTGTTTTCCAAAGGGTCTGAAACATTTTACATGATTACTATCAGTGTAGGAGGGTTCCAATTTTTCCTGGCCTGCCTATACAGGACCACACAATAATTATATACCTAACATCCCCTATTGACTTCAAGGAGAAATGAACAGTATGAGATAATGCTCCAACTATTAAAATTTCCACCAATGTTTTACACAGTTTCCCAGACTCATTAAAATTTCTATTTCAATGATCCTTTTTGGTAATGAATTTTCTTAATAAACTCTGCATCATATTTCAAATCGTTCCAGAACATTATTGGCAATAGTGTTTAATGGACTGTCATACTTCATTTACATTGATCCTAAAAACAGAAGAGAAAAAAGAGAGAAGGGTGCCTGAAGCATTTATCTGTAATGGCAAGTCTTCAGGTCAGCCCCATCCATTAGGGAAGACAGAGTAGCATTCAGCAAAAATAGAACCAGCCAAAAGTATAGATTGAGAGTAATTTTTTTTTTTCTGATGCTCAAGTAAATACTCTGATCTCAGCCTGTCATTCATATAACCACCCTGTATTTAATTACACATTACTCTTCAAATTAGGTAATGTTAACTTCAGTGCTTGTAGATCTAAGATGATGTATTATATAAATATATCAAATGTTGCAGGGGCACTTATTAAAATATTTTAAAAGTTTTGCTTTAAACTCTTAGCTAAATTAAAAAACAGAGATATTTCTTATGTTAGCCCAATGGCCTATTTTATTATTACTATAATCATTAAAAGTCTAAAGTAAGGTATAGACTAATTGTACTTAAAGCTGAATGATAAACAAATGTGTAATTATTTTGCCATTGTGAGTCTCCTGGAGGGAAGCAAAGTTCTTTCTCTAAGCCCACAATGGTGGCTCTGATAATACTGTGTAATACATGGCTCCCTAGGGCCTGGTGAGAGTCACTTTGTAATAACAAACCCAAATCAAATAGAATGCAACAGGGAACTTCACAAACAGATTACTCCATCAACAAAGGTTGGAATGCGCAATGATCCCCCTTACCCAATCAAATCTCTATGCTAATAAAGACAAGGCTTGAGAACTACTTAGCTGCCACTACTCATTAGCATAAAAAACTTAGCAGCTGTTTACCATTTCATTAGCATTTTAATGACAGACAATTTGCCATGTTAAACACAGATTGTTTTAAAGTACTGGTAGATCTTCTGAATAAATATAAACTATACTTTCATTAATCCTTCACCTCAACCTTGCTGTTTTCAATTTTAAAACCTACTTTTTAATACTGCTTCACCAGGACTTATTGCTTGTTTTTGCAAATGGTAAATAAATAGGGACAAAGTGCATTTTTTTGAACAAGTTATTTCATGCTCTGATCTCTCTGTCTTCATATTTCAGATTTTGCTGCTGCTGCTGCTGCTGCTAAGAATCCTTTCTTCTCACCTCTGGGTGCCTGAAAGTCAGCAGGAGTTACAAGCGGAAATTTGGCCAAAATGCATTGCACTCTGAAAGAAAATGCTTAATTTCTCTAAAAGTGAAGGACTTGCTGAGAAAAAAATGTTGAAAATATAATGAGCAGGCATTTCAATGCAAAAGGTGATACAATATACCCATTACGTTGCTATTCTCATGGGACAGAACCAACCTTTGACTTTTGTATAAACTATCTGGCAATATTACGTAAGACACCTCCTATTTGTAGTTCTGTTTCAGAACATAGTATATAATCTGGTATATATCATAATGAATAAAGTCATAATGAATAAAATCAAAATAGGGTGCCGCCCTATTTGATAATAAAACTTTTCATGTCACTGAATGCATATATTTATCAAACTTCCTGTACTAAAATGAAATACACATATATAAGCAGGCATACTCCAAAAATTTAACAGGAATAATTTAACACTCTTGAGACAGGAGTAATACAAGGTGGTCACAGGAGAATAGAAAATTCCAGACAGCAGTTTCACATGTTTAGCAGAAGAAAACTGTTGAAATAGCTGCATAAGGTAGGGGCTGATAAGACCCTGAAAAACGAAGGTGTGGGCCAAGCTGGCTAAGACTAACTGGACCCAACATGGCACTGGATTTGACCTAGGTTTCACCTAAGATCTCATTATACTCTCATTAACATACTAAATCACACACCCACCAGTGTAATGACAGTTCTGAGACCACCCATATTGGGTGTAAAAATGGGTAGCACACAGTTCCAAGAAATCTTCATATCTTTCCAGGAATCTTCATGAATATCCCACCACTTGATTAAAGATACCCATAAATATAGAAACTCCAAACCCTGTGGTGTGACTCACTTCTCTTGAGTATGCCCACAATCCCCTTCCTTAAGTGTGTACTTTTCACTTTGCAATAAATCTGTACTTTCACTCTATCCCAATTTGTCCTTGAATTCCTTCTCACAACAGCATCGAGAGTCTGGACACCAGACAGAGTCCAGGTCTCACAGGCATTTGGGGATCTCCTTTAGTCCACCAGTTTCACTCTTATCATGGAAATTCCATGTATTCATATGAATATGAATTCCCATTAGAATGTAATTAAATTTCTTGCATACATTTCACTTTGATGGTAAAATACAAGTTGATTCATCTATAGCTATGAAACCAATAATATGTAAAAGACAATTTCCTAATATGATCATAAGAAAACTATTATTTCAGCCAACTGCCTCTGTAACATAATAGGTACCTTATTATGTTAATGGATTATGTCATAATACATCACAATACAACCTTACTTAAGGACAGATGACACCTGAAATTATTGCCTTAGTCTTTGGCCTTTAGATATATAATCTTAAAAGCCCATTTAGATTATAACTTTGAGACTTCCTAGTGGCTCTTCTTTATATGCCAAAACAGAAGCAAAGAAAACACCTCATTCTTCAAAAGAGTATGCCAGAGTCAACAAATATGCATGAAGAAGCATTTGCAGAATGAGATCAAATCTGTATATATTCTATATCCTGCAGGAGTAGTTTCTTCTTATGCCATTATTATGCATGTTCCCATCAGTGAGTACTGAAATTAAAAACTTAACGTATTATAAAAACCTGTTAGGGGAGGCAACATCAATTATAGAACTCCAAAAGATTTCTTTAAAGAAATTTAAATGAGTGGCATTTCAGATTTTCTGCCATACTCAGTTTTCTTTTTTCATTGCTTTCCCAGCTTTGTTACACCTAATACTGTATATTTTTTCTCTCATCAGGATAATTGCCATCACCGCATCTCCTCCACTTCTCTCAGCATTTCTTTTCTTTCATAAATCTGCTAGGTGAAGAAAATAATTTACCAAGAGACTATCAAAGCATGGCCACTAAGAGGTGGCTATATGAATAGGGGAGGTGACTGATAAAGGATTTTGCCTTTGAAAAGGTCTCATAATAGCAATAACAGAGATAACATTTTTATAGAACATACTATGTAACAGGCACTATCCTAAGTTCATTACAATTGTAGGTATATATACTCATTTACATATACTCATATATATACTTATACATATTTAGTCCTTGCAATCTGATTAACAAGGTATTAGCCCCATTTTACAGATGAGAAACTGAGGCACAGAGAGATTAAGCCCAACTTCATATAGTTTGTATGTAGAGGAGCCAGAATTACAACCCAGGCTATTTGACTTCTGAATTCTGCTTTTCACTACCATGCTATGGTCACCAAATTGTATAGGTGAAAACATTCCAGTCATATAGATACATTCTCCAGCTGAGGGAGAAGCATTTTACCATAAACCTGAGAGATTTAAAATACTGGACCTCCAAACAGATATAGTATTCAACTGGGAATTAGTTGAAACTTATTTGACCTTAGTGTAGTATCTGATACTTAAATAACCAAGATATATAATGAATATATTTATCTAAAAAGAATCTTCCCCAAATAATAGTATTATTTGATTCAATAAATACTTATGAGGGACTAACAAGGCACAGTGCTAGCAATGACAGGGATTATGAACTGTGTCAGAACTTATTTTACTTTTTAAGATAAGAAAATAATAATAACAACTGCTACCATTTAATGAGATTTTACTGCATGCCAGGTAACGTGCTAAGTGATTTATGTCCCTTATTCTTATTAAATTATAATGCAACTCTATGATATTTATATTATTATTCCCATTTTACAGATGAGAAAGGTGAGGTTTAGAGTGATTAAAATCACTCAGTATGTGGCAGAGCCTGGGTCCAAACTCCTGTCCATCTGACTTTAAAGCCCATGTCATCATTCCCTAAAGTAGGTTATATGTAAAGCTGTTACATGAAAAAGATTCTGTCATCAAATACATTTAGAAAATGTTGCTTCAACAAAGCTTAAAGCGGTTCTTTTCTGCAACGCATCTTAGAGTTTTTAATATACTAACAGGCACTGTGGACATCTAGGCAGAAAAAATTTCTTCCCTCAATTTTTTTAGCATAGAATCAAGCCTTAAATTTTTTTTTAAATTAAGATGACACAGGCAACACTGTTCTACACCTGTTAAAAGCACCAACTCAGCAGACAGATATGTTAGAAGCTGAAGACTCCTGGGAGCACTGCTTTCTTGTGCAACCTTGGACAAGTTATTTTACTTATTTATACCTCCACTGTCTTTTCTATAATTAAGAAAAATAAGAGTAGCTATATCATAGGATGGGTGGGAAAACTAACTGAGGTTTTTCTATGCAAATTTCCTCAACCTGTGCCTGATACATAGCCAGTATTGTATAAGCTTCAGTTACTGTGGTTACTAACTACTCCTAATCCTTGACACTATGCCATATCCCAGGAGAGCATGAATAATTAAATCTATTAATACTTACCATAAACGGCAGGGGTCATGTGTTATCAAAAAAATGTTAAGTAGGTTCAAGAGAGAAAGAAATTGCATCTGGTTCATAAATGGGGTTCATAAATGTTTCGACAGATGAGATATCTCTTAAGATAAACTTTGAGGAATGGCTTGTGTTTGAGGGGTATATATGGAAGAATGGTGGAGCGGAACTGTATAAACAAAAAGTATAGAGAAAACAGAACATGTTGAGGTTAACTTTTTTTAGGCTTTCAAGGTATTCTTAGGGTTTCTGGATTAAAAGGTAAAACCGAAAATAGAAAAACAGAGTATCTTTGTGACCTTGGACTAAGCGAAGGTCTCTTAAACAGGAAACAAAAGATGTTAATCATAAAAGAAAAAAATTGATGAATATATTCTATTAGTAAGAATGTAGAACTCCTACAGATCAATAAGAAAATGATAACACTAGATAAATGGGCAAAAGAGTTGGATACTTCACAAAAGCATATATTAAAATGGCCAATAAACATACAAAAACGGTGCTTAACTTCATTAGTAGTTAGGAATATGTGAATTACAACTACAATGAGGTATCACTACATATCCACAAGAATGGTTCAATTTGATGAAGAAAGATGAAGATAATATTAAGTGTCGACAAGGATACAGAGCAACTAGAACTCTATATTAAAGTGTAAATTGTCACAGCTACTTTGAAAAACTACCTGGCAATATCTATTTAAGCTGAATATATAAATACCCTATGACCCAGAAATTTCACTTCTAGGTATATAACTAACAAAAATGATTTGTGCTAGAATGCTTATGGCAATATTCTTCATAATAGCCTCAAACTGGAAACTAGCCAGTTAATCTATCAACAATAGAAAGAATAATTTTTGTATGTTTGCATGATGAAACATTCATGCAATGACATACAGCAATGAGAACAAATGGCACATTCTTACATGCAACAACCAATAGATCTTGCAAGCATAACGTTGAAGAAAAGAACTAAAATAAAGGAGTACATGCTGTATGATACCATTTATATAAAGCGTAAAACCAGGCAAAGTAATTTATTCTGTTAGGATAGTGGCTTTCCTTATAGAAAGGATGGGATGAGGTGGAGGGTGAGAGGACTAAAACAGGGCATTCAGAGTGTCTTCTAGGATGCCAGAAATGTTCTTTCCTTGATCTGGGGGGCCAGCTACACATGTATGCTATATTTGTGTACATTCATTCAACTGCACACTTATGTGCACTTTTCTGTATGTTATAAATGAGCAGAATTTTTAAAAAATGCAGTCAATGCTATTAATTCTAATAAAATGTTTTGACAAATATAGGCAAAATTTCCCAATAAGAATATCTTCAAATACTGTCAAGTTTGTATAATTTTAGGATGACAATGATGCTTTTTGAGTTCTTTTTTTTCTACTGCCAGCTTGATTTTGCTCAAAATGATTTGTGAGCAAATAAAATTTCTCTTTAATGCTGATGCTTCCTTGCTGAATTTAGGAAGTGAATAGGGGAGACTAACACAGACTCTAGTGATGCCAAAGAGAAAAATGTATATCTAGAACTCTGAGTCTATAAAATCTAACAATTGGCAGTTACGTGCCTGAATTTCCCTTAGGGAAGCTCAGGGTTCTCCCTAAAGAGCTCCGACAGCAGCCACCATGGCAGCAGCCTGGCAGAATGTTACATTTAAAAATAAATCCTTTTGAGCACTGCACTGAAGTTGATAAGCAATAATGAAGTGCTGCATCAAAAAACATCAAAGAAGCCGCATCAGGAGGGATTTAAAGCCACAATGTCCTTTGGGTTTTGTAGTAATACACCAGCTTTTACACAAAACGATGAATCTTTCACCGAGATGCAACAGATGGCTTTTCAGATGCTGTGGCAATAGAATATGTACAGCCAAGTGGTGATTCATTTATACCTGAATATCTTGCCCACTTGGATTTCTTACATTTAAGTGTTGTTAAAAAAAATGGATAAGATTTATTTGCTATACTGTACAAACTATAGTTTCGTCAAACATGTGACATACTTCACTGGCTGCAATCCTTTTTCAAAGCAGCGTTGAAAAGTATGAGAATTTAAGAATTTAAATAAATTTATGGGGTTAAAACTGAATTTAAAATATTTTTCCTTTATCGTAGTTTCTCAGCTTATAACCCAATAGTATTAAGCATGATCATGCAAAAAAAGGAAATTGAAAGAAGAAAAAACGGTATTCTAACAAATGCTTTCTCAAGTTTTCTGCAATAATTTTTAAACACCTGACTTATCAAAAGGGAATGTCATGTGCTTAGTTTCTAAATTACTAAGTCTTTGGAGAAGCCAAAATTATCTCCAGACAGGGCTTTACTAAAATTGTCTGAGGTCGAGAACGGATTGGGAGGTCACAGCGCCTGATGAAATTTACTGGCAAAAAGACCTGGGGCGATGGTCCTGAGCTACATTTGCCTGGTGACTCTCCTCAATGGCATTAAGACCCTTTCTTGAAGTCTGAAGCCTCTTTCTATTACAAACAGAGGAACTACGTGTTGTCTCTGATGCTGATGCTTCTTTGCTGAATTTAGGAGGTGAATAGGGGAGACTAACACAGACTCTAGTGATGCCAAAAAGAAAAATGTATATCTAGAACTCTGAGTCTATAAAATCCAACAATTGGCAGTTATGATGGCAGTCTATAGCATGCTAAAGACCTAACGGCAGTGCAGAACTATCATTTATTTTGGAAACCTCCCTAAAAAATACAACTTTTCCTAGGAAAAGTGTAACAATGTTACTCAAGTCACTGAATAGTTCTAAAAGAATTATATTTAATAAAATTTTAGAGGTAAGCATAATTAGGAATCTACCCTTCATTTTGTATAACAAAAATGGGATTTGGAGAGCTTAATCTACCATGGTACCTGACTGATGTTAGAACCAAACCTAGAGCTCACTGCCCATGAACACTGTTTTGAATATTTAAGTCTGTACAATCAAAGATGTACAAGAATCATATATTGTCATCATTACCTTCTTTAAAAATTCAAGATTAGCATTTGGTGTGTTTTCTTTTTCAATTTTGACTGACATTTTAAAGAGAGTATTCATTTAATTAAATGAGATTTTAATTTTACTGTTTTATCAACATGATTAATGGGAGAAATTCAATGAAAGAAAAGCCAGTGTGGCCAAAAGCCAACATTTCTTTCCAATTTATAAAATAGCACAAGATTGATTATAACAGTTTATTTTATTTTATTACATATATAAAACATATGTGTATATAACATATATACATGTTATATGTGTATGTTATATACATGTATATAACATATATACATGTTATATATGTATGTTATATACATGTATATAACATATATACATGTTATATATGTATGTTATATACATGTATATAACATATATACATGTTATATATGTATGTTATATACATGTATATAACATATACATGCTATATATGTATATATGTCATATACATGTTTTTAAGTATATATACATATTTTAGATTCATAGGGTACATGTATAGGTTTATATAATGGGTATATTGTATGATGCTGAGGTTTGGGCTGCTAATGATCCTGTTGCCCAAGTAATGAACATAGTACCTGATAGGTTTTCAACCCTTGTCCCCCTCACTCCCTCCCTGCTTTTGGAATCTCCAGTATAATGCCTCATTTTAATACTTCTTTTAATATTCCCTATGGGGAAAAAAAGAGATGAACAAAGCTCATTACAACTATGCTTTAACCATACTGTTTTGATCAATATAACTAATTTAAATAGCCTCATGGTAGGAGGCACACTCACATTTGTGTTGTTGGTTTTTATACCGAAGTACTATCACAATCACAACAACAAAAATGCTATCTGAGAAGACACATTTTTTCAAGTAATGGCAACTGACCTTCTATTTGAGATCAAAGCAGCAGGCCTATTTAGACCTCTGGCTCTGTCTTTAGGCCTCTCCTCTGCAGTTCACACTAAGAGCCAGGCTAAAGGGATCTGGATACAGCAACTCTGAGGTCAGTGCACCCAGCTGCTGCTATAAATTCTAGCTCTAGGGCACAAAATGTTTTTTCTCCTAGTTTCAGAGAATTTCAATTCCTGCTTTCAATGTCTAGGCTGTGGTATTTAAGAAACAAAAGGAGGGAAAAGAAAAGAATAGTGGTTTATACAAATTATCCTTTTTAAAAGGATATTTCCCCCATCCCAAGCCTGTTTAATTTGAGAAAACAGAGTTAATATTTGCTCTGCTAGTGCTTTCTACTCCCACTTTGGCAGAGAAAAAAGGTTTCTTTAGCTTAAATATTAACCAAACACTTCATAGCTATTCAAAAGTAGGTGCCCATGTTAAAAATAACAAAAAAAAGTAATAAAATCCCAGAAAGCACAACTTGGGAATAAATAGAAACAGTAAAATCTGCTCTAAACCCTTTTTGCATATGTATCCCAAGGCCACCAGAATTACAATGCACTATAGAGTGTTCATAAAAAATTCTAGTAAAGTATGATAGTCATGGTGGCCATCATAGAAAAGGCCACTCTTGGTCCTCTATCAGCAAATAAGCCATTCTCACCCAGGAGCGGCAGAGATGGCTTCCACCTGGCAGCCAAGGTTGCTGTGCAAACAGCATGAAAGCCCCTGTTCCATCCCTATGGAAACCTGGTATGGGGTGCCTGATCTGGCCATGCCAAGGCCAGAGTGAGCAGAGACTGTGAGTATGGGGTAAAATTGGAGCTACAATGGGAAAAAATGGTGAGGGATGATCTGGAGAAGGAAGAAAGAGCAGTGAGTTTGGCTTAGTTTTGCAAAGTGGATTAGAATTAGTACGAATTTCTTGTTAGAAATTTCCTAATATCTTACTCCCAAAATGATTTTCCTCCCTTTCGCCTCTTCACTGTATGACAGAAATCTGTATAAAATGAAGTAGAGTAGAGCAAAAACTGCATGAGCAGGAACAACCTAGTGAAGCAGGGCATCTAAGTTCTTCAAACACTCCTGTGGGCGACTGGAAGACAATGTGAGCTCACCCTTTTCCTGAGAAACATGGAGTGTTCTGTGACCCAAGGAATGCTGGTACTCTAAAAGGTCTCTAGTGGGTATTTAACAGATTGGGCCAATAGTTGGCCTGGCTTCTTGAAACTCTGCCATTCTCCTGACATCCTAGAGCTTCAGTCAGGTAGGCAGCTTCTGGGGCACTAGCGATGTGCAAAACATCTCCAATGAACACCCAAGTATTTTCTGCACATGAAGGCCCTCATCATAAATGACTGCCCCAGCCCTGTGCATCATGTTACTCTTGTACTATTATACTGACCTTGTACTAGACTTTCTTACATGAAATTTCTTTTTCTTTATTTTTTAACATAGTCATCAAAATTTTTACTTTACAACTTGACTGTCGGGTTTTTTTTAATATCATATAAAATTTATAGTGTACAATGTGATATTTTGATGCATATATATATAGTGAAGTGATCACATAGTAAAGCCATTTGACATATCCATTATCTCACATGGTTACTTGTGTGTGTGGTAAGAGTACCTAAAATCCACTCTTAGAAATTTTCTAACATACAAAATATATTAACTACTGTCCTCATGCTGTACCTTAGATCTCTAGATATAGTCATCCTACATAATTACAACTTTCTACCTTTTGACAATATTGGCCTACATCTCCCCATATTCCCCTCTCTCCCACAGTCTGACAGCCACCTTTCTATTCTCTGTTTCTATATATTTGACATTTTAAAAAAGTCTACATATAAGAGAGATCATGCAGTATTTTTTTTCTGGCTTATTTCATTTAACGTAATGTCTTCCAGTCTCATCCATGTTGTTGCAAATGGTAGGATCTTCTTTTTAAAATCTGAATAATATTCTTTATATGGAATTTCATTTTGGCTCCCCAAATAATTCCCTCCTATCCCAGCAATGAACACCAAAAGTCAAGGCCATAATGACTTCTTCATAAGAAGTCCCCCTGAAAGTAGAGCATTTCTTCACAGCACTCATTATTTTCCTTTTCAATGATTTGCTTTATAAAGCAACAAAGGAATGGAGATATTTTCTTTTAAAACATTTGTTTTAACTATTGGTCTCTTCTGAACTTCAAACAGACTGTTAAGTTCCCTTTGCTTTAAAAGACACCAAAGGAAAGTAAACAATTCACAAAAATGGACCTAGTGCTCAATGTATTTAACTTGAGAAAGCATGTTTCCAGCTAAAAGAAATGCAAAAAGAATCCAAAGTTCCAAAACTGCACAATCTCTACAACTTTCCAAACTCTGATTGACTTGTATCTCTGTCTCCTTTTCTGTAACACCTCTTTCTCTAACTCTCTCTAATCACTGTTTCCATAGTCTCCCTCTTTCCCACCTGTCTTTTCTGCCTCTCTCATCTCTCCTGTTTCTCTCCTGTATGTAGCATCTCTGTCTCTGTCTCTCTCTGTTTCTGTACATTTGCGTACCTGTCTGTGTGCCTCTTTCATCTCTTTGTCTTTGGCTCCCACCATAATACTTCCAGGGAACTAGAAAGCACTCATAAAATTTGTCATTTGCCTTATTTTGCAACTACATTGTATTAGTTTTCTTTTTAATATTTGCTTCAGGACAAGTTTGTCCCTGTGACAAGATTTAACAAATTAGACCATATCTCTAGTTCTGTCTCCAGTAGTCATGTCAATTGCAACAAGTGAGGATTGTTTTTATTACGTGCTCCCACGACGGTATCTGCCATACATGTGAAGGACAGGGACAAGTTAGAAACCTGAGTGCACCATAGAATTTTACAGTATATTTTTACGGAAATTCATCATTGTGTCCTGGGTTATACAAATACTATACCATTTCATTGGACAGCACAAGGTGCTTTTACATATATTAAGTAGCTTTTTACATATATTTTACACACACCACAATAAGTAGTTTTCTAAACTTTACATGGCTTATGATCATCCCCTGTTTTTCTGATGAAGAAAATGATGCTTGGGATAAATAATTCTATGAAAAGCAAACATAGAAAACAAAGGCCATGATGAATACAGCACTACAAAAAATTTTCCCTAAATCAGGTATGTAATAACTAAACTGAGCAATATTGTCTGCCAAGAGGTCACACATCAGTGTCTCAAGGACCTTGGAAAAATTAATCAATTTCTGGCTTTAACCTATTCATTTTTTGCAAGTCCACTGAACCCTCAGTGTTTACACCTCTAACCCATGAATAAGATAGAATAAAAGAAGTCAATGCTCTTTCAATATTTTTCAAGCCACCTGAAATCCCACTGGAGACTATGAGATAAAAATATCTTCCTGGTGCCAAGAGTTCTTAAGTCCTTTTCTGATAATATATTTATCCATGTTTTACAAATGGCAAAATTGAAAAAAAAAAAGGTGGGGAGTAAGGTGGGGTAAATAAAAGGTGGGGGAAAATAAAGTGATAACATTAAAACAGAAATGAGAATTTCACAAGTACCTACTGTATACATACAAATTATACCTACTCTTATAACAGACAATACTCCCTCTTGAGGAGCTAAACTTACCTGGTTTCCAGAGAGATTTCTATGCCCAAGGGTCTAAACAAACATGAAACCATTGAGCTTTGACGTGAACTAGATGGAACATTAAAACTTGAAATGGTGCCTATCATAAAAATCATGTGACAAGAGTGCAAATCTCCCACGTCACTCAATTTGATTACAGGCTACCAGCCACTATTCTGTCAATCTGAATGTGGATTCTTGGACATTTATAATCAACAGCTTAAATATACTTTCTGAAAAGAAGATAAAAAGGAGAGAGAGTTCTAACATAGTTGAATTGAACATGAATCTCATTTTTACCTAGTAGTTATTCCCACACAAACTCTGAAAGAAAGGGGAACGGTAGCTTATAAAGATTAAAGAAATGTGGGAAATCAGTTACCTCGTCATTATAGTTAGTAAAGTGGCTCAGTAGTACAAATGAAATACAAACAGGCTAGGAAAGTCAAGATACCATTAGACAAAGGAGTTGCAAAATTAGCAAATTCTATTTGTCTTAATTCTGATACTTTTCTCTTTTTCTGAAATTCATTTGACCTGTTTTATATTTTTGTCACATATTTCATAAGAAAGTTCCTTAAGATGTAAATGTGGGTCAGTTAGCAGTGCTTACCTTTGTTTTTAAGGTTACAGTCCACGTTCACGTCTGCATTTGAGCACTGTACGAGATGTTACATTTAAAAGTAAATAATTCCATCATCTCAACCTGGTGCTCCCGTGAAATGTGGTGCTAGGAAACAGCCGGCAGGCAGTGCTTCTGAACAAATCATACGTCCTGTAATTGCCGCTTAGCTCTAATTACTATTGAGGATCGTGTTTGCAACTTGATTCCAGGGAGAGGGCAGAAAACCTTCTGATGACACAGAACCAAATATATCCTAAAAGACTGACAAGTGGCTTTCTTTCATGTAATTTTTCTGAGTATCCCCCAGCTACTCAAAAACTACCACTCTGTCATAGTAAAATGGAAATAAAGCAAACTGACACCCACATCTCCCTCCTAACAAAACAATTCAATTCTCTCAAAATATCTACTTATCACAACAGTTTGGAATTTTCAGTATCACTTATATGTCAAGGGATTATTCCCCCTCAGGTGGGCAACTAAATCTTTTAAAATTGCTTTTTATTTCAAAGAGAAATGTGTTCTCACAACAAACTTTATTTATATTCTGTTAGACTAGAATAATTTATTTGCATTCTATTAGGCCTGAAGAATTTGTTTCCTTTCCCATGGATTTTTAGGTTTTAAATAAAGATTCATATAGTTCAAAAAGACTAGGGCAGATGTCAATTTGATGTTGATAAAATTAATAGGGACGTGTATGCATCTCAACTCAAAAACCTAATTTCAGTTATATAGGGTATTATGGTAAAATTGAAGTTATACAGGCTTGGAACTAAACTGATTTATTATTGCTCTCATATCTAATTAATTTAACTTTGCATCTAGTGGCATCTGACCATGTTGTCAGAATAAAGCATCTGATATATCCATGTTACACAGTGTGGCTATGACTGAATGGTTGTTTTGCTTATGCTAAGCTGATTGTCATTGATACTGATGAGTTAGCTTAGTGGGCATTTGAATGAATAAAAGAAACTTGAAATGACTGATGCTTGCAAATGTCAGGAAGGATTTTGCACCTTTGGTTGGGCAACTTAGCACATTTACTAACCACAGCCAACACTTTAGTGACGTACAGAAAAAATTATATTTATCCAAGTTCTGAGATTTAGTATATCTGCTTATGTCAGATTTGCACAGTAACTATCAGGGACAGGTAAACCTAAGTGAATAATTAGATGCAGCAAAGAAAATGGTAATTATAAAACCAGCTCTTAGAAATGGTACATTTTTTCCAGTCTCAATCATCTAAGTTATGAATAATAACAAAATAATATTCTAAATGAAACATAGTATGCTAGCTCTATACTTACTTCCCCCCAAATAACAACTGGGCATTCCTTATGATTACAGTATAATTATAGTCATGGCTGTGGTTTTCACTCAAAAAAAAGTCTTCATCTATGATAGCTCTCCCCTAAGAAACCTCTGCTCTGTAGAGATTATGTTGATGGCCTCTTCAAAATATTTTTCTTTCATGAAGAAGTGTTTCATTCTTTCTTACCTGCTGTTGAATCATGACTGATTCTTGGAGTATTTTTTCTAGAACATTTCCCGGTCTGGAATACTAGTGCATCCTTGAACTCCCAAGCTCTTTATTTGTACGTCTCACATATTTTTAGTTTAGTTCAGTAGTACACAAAGTGTGGTCCTCAGACCAGCAGCATCAGCATCACCTGAGAACTTGTTAGAAAAGCAAATTCTGAGGCCTCACTCCAGATCTACAGAATCATAAACACTGGGGATGGGGCCCAGTAATCTGTGTTTTAGCCAGCCCCCTACATGACCTGAAACATGCTGATGTTTGAGAACCACTGGTCCATAGTGCAGGTATGTACCAAGACCAGTGGGAGAATGGGATAAGGAACACTTAAGCCTCTACGGGGAAAACTACAGGAGAGACAGAGGCTCCACAGAGAGGTGACATTTAAATGGTTATCTAAAAAATGAGAAGAGCTTGGATGGATCCAAAGGAGGCACCAGGCATCTCTTACCTAGCTAAGTCATCACCTTGAGTTAGTTAATACAGCCCGCCCTCTCTATAAGACCTTACCCTATCAATCACCGTCTTTCTTTAGTCAGTCCATTCTTAAGGAAACAAAACTTGCTCCATTCTTGTTAGCCTCTTAGTCTACCAACTATTTGCTCTTACCTTTTAACTTCTTTTAGAGTAGCCTACCCTTCCTTTATTTTTTACTATCCCCTTACTTCATAAACACTGTAATCTGGCTTATGATTTCTCCAGCAAAATAAAACTAGGGTTCTGAAGGCCTCTATCAGTCCTCCTTGACCTCTCTACCATTGGTAGAATATAATCCCATTTCTAAATCACCTCTTTTCCAAGCTCAACTTTTGTATTTCTAACCTTAACTTTTGCATTTTCCCTCCCACCTGTATCCCATTGGCACCTCAAGTTCAACTTGTACAAAATTAAACTACTTATCCCAGCCTCCCTGCCCCTATCCCCTCACCTCACTCCCTAAAGGATATTTCTTCTCTGCTGGTCTTTACTTCCTTACATGCAGACTCTAAAACTTGAAGCTGTATTTGACTTCTCCCTCTTCCTTGTCCCTGAATCCAGTTAGTAAGCTTTATGACATCTGTCACCTCCTTTCCTTTTTCATACCCATTGCCATTACCTTCATTTAGGTCCTTATTAGCTGTTCACAAGCATAATTCCTTAATCATTGTATTCACCTTGTAGTCAAATGAATTCTTAAGAAGAACAGCTCAAATCAATCATTATCCTACTCAAACATCTCCTGTGGCTTCTCTCAGTGAGTTACAGGCTCTGTAATACTATACACCTGTCTAAATCTCTACTCGGCTACTTACCAGCTGGGAAACATGACATACATTAATTGACTTAGCCCCAATTTTCTCAGCTCACAAGTAGGAATAAAACAGTAATCATATCTCATGAGGAGCTCTGAAGGAAATAATGCATGTAAATTCTTACTATGGTGGCTAGAACACTGAAGGATTTAGTGAATGGTGAGCATTATTATTACCATCACCACAGAATCCAATTCAAATGCCGCAGTTCAGCATCCAACACCATCCTCAAACTTAAATGAAAACTGTTTTCTCACACTTTGTAAGATTTATTAAACCAAATTCTCTCTCAAGGACAGGACCCACATCTTATTTGTCTTTTTGTCTCTGGCCCCTTAGGCAGTGCCTTACACTTCGTAGTTGCTCCAGAAATGTTCACTGCACGAAGCACTAGCTGGTTCTTGGACATACACACTTTATGCGTTCTATCACTTTTCTCATGCTGTCATGCCTCCCAGGATGCTCGTCCCTTTTTGTCTCCTTTTAAATTCTCTCGATTTTCAAGTGACATTTTAAATGCCATCTCTTCCACGAAGCCTTCCCTCTTTTTTCAGAAGAAAGCATTTTGATTTCCTCCGAAGCTGCAATGCATTTTATTCACATCTCCATTACAGTACTTAAGACTGTTGATAACCTGCAATGCATTTTATTTACATCTTCATTACAACACTTAAGAATGTTGATTGTGTATTACTTGTGCATGTGTCTTCTTCCCCAAAGAGCTCTAAGCTCTTCTGGCTTAGAGACCAGACTTAATTTACTGCTGTTTGTCTAGGGCCCTGCCCAGAGAAGGCACTTAATGAATGTGTTGAGTGAATGTAGGCGTAAGGGAATAGCATCTGTGTTTTTAATATAAGAACTGTGCTGCTGCATACTACCTGATTAAAGGTTTTATTGCTCATTGATAATTATGATCATCTTCAAAGAGTACATGGATTATGAGAATTACAGAAACAAGTTTAAGACCTCTTATAAATGAAGTATGTTCCTAATTTTGGCTTTAAGTCAGTACTCTAGAATCCAGAAGCATTTTTCATGGAAATAATAATTCCTGGGATAGTCCTCAAAAGCTTAATTAACCTGCAGGACAGCTGTGTAAGATACAGCATTGCATTAGCAATAGCACCTCAATGCCAACCCTACTATAAGGGGTCTTGAAAAGGAGTCAATAGCCTATGAGTGTTTATGAGGATACTCAGTCTTCCTTGCAAAACATAAAGCCATGACTTTTGTTTTCTTTTTTATATTTTAAGACAAACTCAGAAAGCCATAACCTGAAGCCAACTTAGTTGTGTATTCGAATGGTTACTTTTCATTGCTAGGATGAACGTGACTTGGTTAAAGAATTAATTTATAACTGTTGATTATAAATTGTAAATGTAGAAAATGGAAGTCCTCTATAAAGTCCACATATTTGAATTTTTAGAACTCAGAAATAATTTTCTTTTTAATTTACAATTCTAAATTATAGTTTTGATGTCTTCACTTTGAATTAATTTTAAATGGACTATGGCTTCTGATTCTTCAGCTTCAGTTCCTTCATCCGAATCCCCCTGACAAATGCATAATGACTTGTTGACAAATTTTTAATTACATTCATTGGGGAGGGGAACTGTTATTTTAGAGTAACTCTTGAGTGACTATATAATCTTTTTCTTTTCTTTTCTTTTTTTTTTTTTTTTTTGAGACGGG
Organism: Homo sapiens; assembly: GCF_000001405.40. Taxonomy (NCBI): domain Eukaryota; kingdom Metazoa; phylum Chordata; class Mammalia; order Primates; family Hominidae; genus Homo; species Homo sapiens. The sequence goes on from NC_000002.12 coordinate 179,566,941, forward strand.
GTCTCACTCTGTCACCCAGGCTGGAGTGCAGTGGTGCGATCTCGGCTCACTGCAACCTCCGCCTCCTGGGTTTAAGTGATTCTCCCTGCTTCCGCCTCCCGAGTAGCTGAGATTACAGGCACCAGCCACCACACCTGGCTAATTTTGTATTTTTAGTTGAGACAGGGTTTCGCCATGTTGGCCAGGCTGGTCTCGAACTCCTGACCTCAAGTGATCCACCTGCCTTGGCCTCCCAAATTGCTGGGATTACAGGCATTGAGCCACCGTGCCAGGCCCATAATCTTTTTTAATGAAAAAATTATGGCCCTTCTAGTCATCTGAATTGCAATTTTGGATTTTCACAAGTTTACTTATTTAAAGCAGCAGGCAAACCTAGAAACAAGCTATCTGTGGGGGGAAAAACAAACAAACATATTTTCACTGTTACTTTTGCTTCCACCATCACTGAGCAAGACATTATGGTAAATTGAAAAGTGGGGTCACTGGTCCTAAAGGTGCTTTTCTATTTAGAGAACAAAAATAATATATCCAAAACAATTAGAGACTAATACAAAGACACATAAAATTTAATGCAAATTAGTGGCACAGATATAGAAGTGGTACAGGACAGATCATAACATCCACAGGGCAGGAAGCTTTGTTTCATTCACTAATGTATCCTAAGCACCAGGAACAATGCCTTGCACATATTGTCAGCTCAAAGCCACTGCAATCAAAGGAGAGACAAAAGTGGGCTAGAAGAGCTGGAGAAAGTTTCACTGTGAAGGCAGGACTTGAGCAAGACCTTAAAATTTGTGATTCTTTGATTCCTCCTTAGCTTCCACCTACATCCAGACTATTGGCAAGTCGTGTTGTCTCCAATTCCAACATAGGCTGCAAATCTTCCTGCTTCCATCCATGTCACTGTCACATACTAGTCCGAGACACCAACATTTGTCTGGACTACAGCTAATGGCTCTTAAGGGATCTTTCCGGGACCACTTACGGTCTCCGACATTTGGTTCTCACACAGCAGCCAAGCAAACTGTTTAAAAATACAAATCTGATCATGTCACTCCAGTGGAACAGTTTCCCACAGCACCTGGAATAAAATCAAACCCCTTGCTATGGCCTGCAGTCACCACATGTTTAATTAAGCCCCTGCCTGCTCCAAAACCTCACTGAGTACTGCCTCTCTTCCCCCAAGATCTAAGCGTCCTTCCTCTCTCTTTCCCAAACACATCACATTCACTCTGTCTCAGGCTTTTGCCTCTGCTGTTCCCTCAGCATGAAACTCCCTGCTCCCATTTCAGTTGTGCCTCAGCTCAGTTATCATCTCAGTGAGCCCCTCCCTCTATTACACTGCTCGGTTTATTTACTTCATGGCACTTACTTGTCTCTAAAATGATCATGTTTTACTTGTTTACTTGTTCATTATCTCCTGTTACTAAAATATAATCTCCACAGGGATAAAAACTATATTCCCAGTTTCTAGAGCAGGGCCAGGCCTATGGTAGGTACTCAATACATATTTTGAATGAATGAATGACCATACTTTTCCAGCATTTTCAAATGTGAAAATACAATTTTAGCATCAAATAGTTTCAAGGACTTCTCACATAGTATTAGTGTTATTTTTTCCCTCAGTATTCACTGATCATATTCAAAGCTGTTATGAAGTTAGCAACATTTAAAGTATGGTGGTATTTCATTATCACAGCAGGGCTGACATACATTTGGCAAAAATATGTTGGGTGTGTGTGAGAAATGGTATTTATTCAATCTGTCAAACTGAAATCTATTAAACTTAGTACACATTTCCATTTACAGGTATGTGAGGATCCTCAGCCCACAGATGTCAGTGAAGCCATTAATTGATACTCAGATTTGATATAAGAGGACAGAAGGAATGGCAGAGGTCTTAGCTAGAGCTTTCTTAAGACCAATATGAGAATAAACTCTATTTAAACACTTATCCTAAACTGAGGATAAACTAACTTATTTTTTAAACCATCTAACACCTAGAGTTTATTAGTCATCTTTACTCATTTGTATAACAATGTCTAACACTTACATAACATTTATTATGCACCAACACTGTTCTATACACTTATGTATATTAATTCACCCAATTTTCAAATTAACACAGTAAAGGAAGAACTTGCTATTACCTGCATTCTCTAGATGAGGAAACAGGGCACAGAAAGACAAAATATCTTCCCCAAGATCCTAAAGCAGGCAAGCGTCAGAGCTGGGGTTCAAACACACGTAGTTTGGCTCTAGAGTCCATACTTTTACCACTATGTTATGCTGCCTTGCTGATATAAGGAGGTATCAAATTTACACTAATAAAATATCTTTTGCACCATCCATAGCATACAAGAAAAATTGCTTATCAGATGTCAGTTACTCCTAAATATGCATATTTTACTTTTAAACATTAAGTAGTATCTTCCTGATTACCGCCAAATAAAGCTCTGAAATACTTCACAGCAAGTAACTTTATGAAGCAGTTCTATATCATGTGGGAAATCATGAGGAAAATCTAAATAAAATACCAAATCTCACGGTGCCTTTAATATCACTGTGAAAACAGCATAATTTTCTAGGACATGTTGTGAAGGCTGAGGTGATAAGATAGCATATCTTAAAATGACTTGAAACCAAAAATGTATTTGTGAGCATATTCCCAAATCACCACAAATGTTTTGTTTTGACAGGTTAGAACATGAGGACACAGAACTCACCTTACTATATAAGGTCTTTAAGTGTGCAAAGCACAGTGCTTTCTGCACAGTATTGGGTCAAGCTGTTTATGAAGAAAGGTCAATATTGGCTTATAGCACCAAGGCTATAGATACAGTCCAAGAAAGAATTCCAATAAGACTTAGGTTGTTCTGCCATTCATATAAGGCCCTTCATTTATTTCCTCATTTAGTCCCTCCTTTTTGAAGGGAGTATCTGTCTTATGAAATGTGAATGAGTCAAGGAGGAGTTGAGTATCCTGAACATAGTTATGCAACATGACCCCTATGTAATAAATCTTCCTAGAAGCAGTTCTTTTCCAAATGGGGCCTGTCTTCACTATTCTCATGTGATACTTGGCAAATGAGGTATTCTGAGTCTGACTGGACACTTCTCTGCTCCTCAGCTGACAACTCTTCAACACAGATGTCAGCCAGAAAACTTTACTGGGGCATGTAGGGGATCAGAACTTTTGAATCATATCCAGCCAAGAGAGTCCATCATCTCTCAGCTCTCTGCTGCCCTGACCCATCCCAACACCAACGTACCACTCCTGCAAGTCCTCCCAGCTCTGATGACACAGAACATGGGAGGGGGAAAGGATGGGCTCTCAACATGAAGCTGGTTCCTTTGTGAGTTCACTAAGGCATAAAAATCTGTACATTTCTGTGATCTATTCTTTAATAAAAATCTGGGGGCTTGGGAACAAATGTGAAGGAACTTAGGGCCTTTTATCACAGTGTATGTAGCCTTAGAGCCAGACCCCAGTTCAAATTTTGCTTTTACCATTTAATAGTGAAAAGACTTTGGAGAAGTGCTTATTCTCTGAGCCTCAATTTTCTCATCAGAAATAATATCTGTCTTTTTTAGATTTGGAAGGGGAAGGACACTTATACAATGCTTAACACAGTGTCTGGCACAGTTCGCATTCAATAAATGTTAGTTCTCTCTTTGTTTCTCTGATTCTGAAGAGAGCCAGTTGTTTGGAGGCTGGCATTTAGAAATGCCTATAATATCCTCAACATATTCCATTTTTATTGGTTTTCTCTTTATTTTGGCTTTATGCCAGGGCTTCTTAAATTAGGATCCATGGACCACCCCCTCTCCAGGAATTGTATGCAAATATTTGCAACCATGTTCATTTCTCAGAGAGAGGAATCAGAGTTAATCAATTCACAAGGGATTCTGTGATTCAAACGGATTAAAAATGTCTGCATATGTTTCTGAAAAGTTGCAGGCAAACCGAATATCTTTTTTTAAATCAAATTTTATTTTTAATGTACTAGAAGAGCCTGTGAGTAAAAGGGACTCTACAGTGAATCTTTCTATAAAGCAAATACTTGTTTCATAAACTGCATATTTAATCCAGGTTTTTTGCATACTACATTTGATTAAAGTAGAATATATAGTGATATTACATGCATAGTAGCTAACTTTCATTAACAATTTAAACACTGCTTGTGGGGTCAAGTTCAAGTTCAGTGTACACTGAAAGAATTCCAGAAAGTCCTTGCTCTTAACTGGACAAAGTCTTTGTTATCCTCTGCTCCAAACATCTTTTTATGGAGGAAGAAATTGAGGTTCTGAGAGGTTATGTGACTTGCCCAAGGTCATTACAACAGTTATGGACAATAAGGAATAACAGCTGTAAAAATAATGACAGTGATTATGATGATGATGACAGCACTGTGATCTATTGAGCATTTACTTAAGCTAAGTCTTTTAAAGAGTCTAACCTCATGTACTTTCACTACAAGCCCGAAGGAAGATTACCTCTATTCAGCAGATGAGGCACTCTGCCCAGGGCTCCATAGCCAGCAAAGGGACAACTTAGAACAAAATCCAGCTCACAACTCATATCCCTGTTTTGGCTTTCCACATTGTACTCTTAATCAGTACTTGAAACTGCTTCACAGAACACAACAGAACAGAGAGTCATGTGGTCTTGAAATACAAACAATTAAAAGGTTAGTTAGGAAAGATTCAGTTACAACCTTTAAGTTCTATTCATATTTTCACATGGCGTTTCTCAAATACAATATTAGACAGTTCTTGCTAATGCTACACTTTCACAAATATACACTAGGAGTACAATCTCTAGAACAAATCCAGATCATCTCCTGCTTGTAGTAGGGCTCTTAGACACAACCCTCCTCTGGCCATATTCCTACCCAGTTCGTAGGCCAAAGGGATCGGCCCACATTGTCTATGCCTTCCCTACCCCTCCTTCTAGACCACATCCTGGGTTCCTGGGATTCTGTAAGTTGATGCCCTAATGGCCCTCGGACTACTTCCAAGTCCTGTGTAGGTCTCTTTTCCAGATCCCTTCCTGTGAGGTGGAAAACGCCTGTGGGGGCCTGGGAGTGGCCTCAGGGTGGCTATTTTCAGGAAATGTAGTTGGAGGTTGGCAGTGAGGACTAGGGTGTCTACCTTCTTGTTGAACAGGACAGGAGGTGGGCCAGGAGCCACTTTGTGCTTCCATGTTCTGGCAGAGAACTTTGAGGTGTCTAGGAATTCTAAAATAATACCTGGCCTTCTCAGATATTTATGAATAAAAAAATCCATGTATTCAAAATCCAACTGATTTTCAACGATGGCTAAAAGCCACATAGTGTACTAGGTGTTAAGTATATAATGATGGACCAGAAACCTTCAGTCCCTGCCTTCATGGAGCTAACTGCCTCGTGAAGGGTTTACCTGAACACACAGACATTTAAGATACAGAGTGCTAGTGTGGCAATAGGAAAAACACTGATATGGCAAAGGCTGGGTGGGAAAAGAGAGGCTGATAGAGCTAAGAAGTTCAAGTAGAAGGCATCATAGTAACCTATGTGAGAGACAATTTGAGTATGAACCGAGGGTTAGGCTGTAGTGAGAAAAGAATACAGACAAAAGAGGTAGACTCAACAGGACATGACAACTGATTGGAGACAGGGCTAATATCCAATGGACTATTCAGCAAGGCTCCCAGCTTGGGTAGATGGAAGGGCCTATCATGGAGAAAGAACACAGAACGAGAGGTCAGTTTGGAGGGAAATGTCATTTCTAAGCTTTGACCTGAAAACCCCTCCAACTCAGGGATTTTGGTTTCTACCTACCCATACTACCACAAAGACTGAGGTTGTGCAAGGCCTGTGTGCTAGACTGTATGGTCCTCCCCTTCCCACTAAGCCCTGTTTATTCTGTACCGCCAAAAAGAAGGGCAGACAAACAACAGCCATGAATAAAGGGAATTCTTGAATGAGGCTCTCATTTATAATTCCTCTGTCAAAGATAATCATTTGTTTAAAATATGTGGCTATCATTAAAGTTACTAGGACTATTTAATAAATAATAAAGTAGCAGAATTTTCCCAATTATATTTGATTTTCAGATATTTCAAATCTTATAGCAAGAATTCAGATTTAGTCAATATTTCAAGAATCTGCTCTCAAGTATTTAATGTTAACCTAATAAATGTTGATACTTTAAAGTTGAAGAAAGTGACTTAGGAATGGCGAATTCATATCTTCTGTAACATATCTTTTCAGACGTTGCATATGCATTTCACAGTATATCTCTAGCAGCAATTAATCTTTATTAATAGATCTGAATTATTATCTTTTCTCAATCTCCAAGAATTTCACATGAAAAATTCTGGAAGAAAAATTTTAAGCAATAGCACCTAGACTTGGATGAAAGGAATAGTATAATTTTTAATTTTTATTTTGCCAAAACACCAAACTGATATGCTAACAATACTTTGTGAGGCCAGCAGCTATCAGGAAAAAAGAAAAACCAAAAAAACAAAAAACTAAAGGATAGGTTCAGTTTTTCTTGAAAACAAACTTTTCAAAAGTAAAATTTATCATTTTGCTCAATATTGATGAATATTTGTTTGTTTTATTTATTAGTTATGTCATGTGCTGTAAAGTTAGGTCTTTTTAAAAATAAAAAATTTAGATTAAAAGCTAAATTTAAGAAAGTTACTTTTGAACTTTTTAACAATTGTGCTATGTGAATTTTTGAAGTTAAAAAAATAGAAATCAATACTCTGTAAGGGAAAAATAAAAAACGGATGAGAAAGCTTTCAAGGCTTCATAAGTATTTTAAGTAAGCTCAGAGGAAAAAGACAAGTTGTGTGTCAGCAGTGCCAAAGTTACTCAGATCTAATGCCTATGTGGCTTTGGATAAAGTCTTAATTTTTTTTACATTTCAGTCTCTGTGAATACGAGAACTAGAATAAAAACAAACTCACCAAAATGCCATAAAAATAAGGTTAATTATGAGTTCTGACATAACTTGATAAAAAGTATAGCATTATTATTATAATATCTATTTCATTTTCTCTTTCCACAGAAGGGTATCCTTGTGAACCCAAAGGAATGACTTTCAAAATCACTCCTTTACTATAATGCTGTTTAAGATCCGTAACAAAATCTTTACTCATGAGGAACGGGCAAATAAAAATTAACAATTTGAGGGTGATGATAGAAGTATGACTCAGGCCTGAATTAAGGGGTTTGAATCCTGCACATAAACTGCATTTTACAATAGGGAAAATATAGGTAAACCACAATCTATTTGGGGAAAAACAAAACTGTACCTTTCTGTGGTTAAAATACAGATCAGAAGTGATACTAATCAGATAGGGAGTATTGTACTTGCTCAGAACAATAAATGAACTCAGTACAATTAAATGAACTTTTCTGTTTATCCTTCTCAATATTTTTAGGAGCCAGTGCAAACAACAAAGTACAAAGTCTATGGAAGCAGAATCTAAAGTATCCCTGTTTGGCTCTGAGCAAGATATTTATCTGCTTTATCCTGAATAAGGAGCAGCGTGGGCTAAAAAATATCTCTGAATAAACAATGATAAAATCTGCTGGGTAACTACTAAAATAATGAATATTGAAGCACTGGCATTACAGTCAAATCAACTGTAGCTACTTACAGGAAAAGACCATTAAAAGCCACAAAGCCTAGAAACTAACTAGATGGAAGCAATACTAAGGAAGTTAATCTGAAGTCATACTTGTACATTGAAGAAATTATATTCTTCACATAGCATAGATTGTGAACATTTATAAGTATGGACACAACAACAACTAACTACTGCCTTCTCTTAAGATTCTGAAGAGTTAGGGAAGGAAGGAGGGATGTTAGGGGGGAAGGGCTTTACCTAAGGAGAGAAGCTCCTTGCTTCCCTTGCTCTCTCACTCCTTCCTTCTTGAACTTCTTAAAGCCCTGCCTTCTAGGATATTTCTCTCTCCAGGCCCTCCTCCAGTCTCTCTAATCAAATTGCTTTCTCTTTTTAGAACTGCCCTTCTTTCGTTTCTGTGTATGTTGATGCTGCTCAGGTACCAACATCGGTCTTCTGCTGGTGGCCCTCTACCCTCTCTGGATGGTCTGCTTGCCTCTCAGGGTATTATCTCTCTGCCAATGACTGCTACTCAGAGCTCAGGCCTCTGCCCCAGGCCTCAGCTCTGTATATGCAGATACCTCCTGGGTATTGCCAACTGGATGTCCCAGAACCACGCTGAAAGCCAAATTTATTTGGGCTGGGAGAATTCGCTCTGCGATATGACAATAAAATTACTCATCCTGTGATAATAAAACATATATGTAGAAGAAGAAGAGAGTCAGTGCCAAAAAGTGAGAAAAAAATAAAAACAAGATTTCGTACAAATCTTCACTATACCAGAATTATATATTTCAACTATAGTTATAATGATCTGATTACAAATTAAATGTAACATTATTTGAACTTTAAGTTCAAATGAATGATAGCACTTTGGTTGGGTTTGTTTTGCCCCTCACCAAATGTTAAAACCAGATTGAGAAGCAGAAGTCGAAATGCTATTTATTTGGAATTCTCATTGGCCTGCAAGCATTGCTCCTTTCCTTGGAAAGCTTTTCTTCCTACAGGAGAAGCTTTCAAAGGCCACTTGTCTGGGAGTGAGGCTCCATGTGGTAGCTGATTCTACCTACTTTACTGCAGAATGCCAGACCCAGGGGAAGAATATCAAGAAAAAAAAGAAAGCAAAAGGGAGGAAAGAATTAATATAGTTCTCTCTCTACCAAAATTTCTGCATGAAGAATAAGTGGTAGTTATGCCCAAGTGTTTTGGTATTCTTAAAAGACTTTTGTTTTTTTTTAAAGGGAGGTACCCATGTTTTTAGTTTATATTCTTGACCCAGTGCTGGTATAATGCCCATGGGATAGTTAAAAATTTTAAAGTGCTACAAGATTTTCATTAAAAATCTATTAGAATTTCCTCAAGGGTTCATTTTAAAAGTAAAAGTTGGAATACATTTAAATGATAATATGTTGCATAAAAACTTTAACTTGTTTCTTCCCTTAGATAACTCCTCTCCTTGTATTCTTTAAGTTAGACGATGGCAACTCTGGCACAACACTTGCCCCGTACCTCTCCTTTTCTTCCCACAGGCACACAGTTACCAGGTCTTACATGTGTAACCCTCCAAAACGTCTCAAATCCATCCCTGTGACTGACTTCTGTCCTAGTTCAGACCCTCATCTCTTCACATCATTACTGGACTCCTTCACTCCAGTTTTAATCTCTTTGGATCCATCTCCCATGCCGCTGCCAGATCAACGTATCTAAAAATCAAAAGTGAACCACATTACTCCTCTACTTAGAATCCTTTTTTTCCATTTATCCATTTGACACATATGTCCTGAGGGTTAGGGCCTATGAGCCACATCTATGCGTGATGTTGGGAATGTGGCCTAAACAAGACAGTTGGGGTACCCATGCCCATGGAGCTTCACCTTCATCATGTCATTTACACTAACATGGCCTACATGGTCATAAATCTGACTATTTCTATGCATTTTTAAGAGAGGAAGTATCTTTTTGACTCACTAAGGTTGGATGAAGTATTCCTTCACTTTGTTCCTGTAATACCTATATTCCACATCACCGTAGTTACTGCATTATACTGTGAGCATCTTTCTATAAGTGCACAATCATATACCCAGTTCTGGACAAATATTTAATGACTAACAAATTTGAACATGATTCATAAATTCTATATAGTCTATAATGACTTCAGAGAAAACTGGTGGCAAGAGATACCGATAATACAGAGATGTAATTCAGGGAAGAGACCAGGAAGCAGGAGCTGTTTGGATCTCAGCTCTAAGCCATATCCACATGGGCTTATAAAATTCAGGCAGTTCAACAAACACAGGGTAAGTCCAATTGATCATCTTGTTCCAGGAATCTCTGCTGCACTGTTTGCCTCCTTGATCAAGGTGTTAATTAAGTATGTTATGATAAAAACCGGTCCTTTTGCTAGAGAAAGTTTGAGGAAAATCTCACAACAGACGGCTTTAAGCATTCCTCAGATAAGATATAAGGAATCCAGGAGAAAACTGGATATAAAAATATATTGAGGCAGTAGAAAGTATCATTATCTGCAAATGAATATTTGTGGCATGGAGAAGAGCCCTGTAACATTGGGCTAATAGAGTAAAACCTAAGACTTTCCAAGAAGCTTTAGAACCCTCTATGAGAAAATAAGCAGGCCACCCAGGCCCAGGTGGACTAAAGGGATCTTATTTTTTTAAGGTCAAAATTAATAGGGAATAAGCCAAAACTATTTTCTGAGATGCTAGAATAATATTTTTTCCATTTAAAGCTACTTCTAGTTCATTAGAACTCATTAGAGAATACTTGATATAAAGTTGATTATGTATCAGATATATAAATCTCACACTGAAACATAAAGTTTCTCTAATAGTGTATGCCAAAAAGTATATATGAATATGGTTCCTTTTCTTCTGTAAGACCCATTATTGTAATTCTCTAATTATATAGTGTCAGCATCTACTTTAAAGAGAAACATTGCCCATGCATGCCCAGTATATTTCTGGTAGAAAATGTGATAAGTGGACCTATGCTCCTTTATAATTATTAATCTTGGGGAAAAATAATTTAAGGGCTTATTAAAACCTTATAAATTGAAAATTTTCTTTTTCTTATCAGAAAAAAACTATAATCGCTTTTTACAAAAGTTTGGATAATTATGTGTCAGTATTCCTAATAAATTACTAATATGAATACTAGTTATGGCCACAGTAAGGAAAACAATGAATAAACTAATTGTTTAGTGGTTTGTGCTGTCTTTACTAAAAAAAAATACTGATGACTATGAATAAGTGTCAATGTGTTTGCTTTTCTGTTATTTTTCATAGGCTGATATATTTAACTCTCATAATGTTTTTAAGCTAACATATATCCATTTTTTATATTAAGCAATCAGTAAGTATCTAAATAGTTTTTCCTTCCTTCACAATTACTTATTACTTAATTACATAATCATATGCTATTATTGTTGGCTAGGCACCTTAGACATTAATCACTTTCCTCAACTAGTGACAGTACTCTGAACGTGGGATGTATATGTGTGTTTGTGCATCCATATACACATTGATAGATTCTTTGGATAATGTTTATATTTATGTATGTTGCACATTTAAGTACTATAGACTTCCATTCAGAAGCTCTAATTCATTTATAAATTCATTCAAATATTTCTTAAGCATCTACTATGAACCAGTGCCTGTGTTCATTCTAACGAAGACAGGGTCCCTGCTCTTAAGAGGTAGTTGGGAAAAGAAAACAAATATGTTACAAGGGCAATAAATGAGTTATGTACAAGGTAATGAGTAACTCTCCTTTCTGAGTACACACTACAAGTTAAGCCATATCTTAAAACTGTAACAATTATACACAAAAGCAAACTAATGTAGTAGGCACATTCATCTTGCCCTCTCAAATCAAGATGGTTAGAGGATGTGTGTGGTGCCTATGTGTATACAGTCACTCTGAGACTATGAGGCATAGAATGAAAATAATTTTGTTATAATCTACCTCACTCATATACACATTCATAGTTGCCTTGCCCAGATACTGAGAACCATTTTGGATCAACACAAGTCATTTGCATTATTAATTGCCAATCATGATGATGCTCAGAATTGAATCACTTCCATCCATACCTAGTGGGAAACAGTTCTTTTGCCTTTTAAGGTCATTAGATTCTGTTCCTAAAGCTTGAAAGTCACAGTGGCCCTTCACTGTTTGTTCAGCTGATCACGAATCAGAGGTAATGACATTTACATTGCTAATAAACTTTGCATCAAGTGTGTTAACTCTTGGTTTGGTATAGTTTCTTCTACCTGAGAAAAGCTTATTTGACCTCCTCTATGAAATCTGAACATTCTCTTACTTATATATCCATAAACACACACTCATATTAAATCTAGAAGTGCATGAAATTCCCTAATTATTTCCATATGAGAATCAGGAATGATGTGCAAAACAAATTAAAATATGTGTTGTTACTTTATCCTGACATACACAGTAAATTACCTGACAAATCTGGGAACACTAGGAGAGCACCTTCCAGTCATTATGGTTGACATAAGACTGTGTGACAATGACCTCTTATGTTGGGTTTGTAGAATTAGACTAATAGAAAAATATGTATTTTGATGGAGATTAAATCCTGGCTAATGTGGAGAAAAACTGAAAATTTTATTAATTAGGCTTTTCAGTATACCAAATTTCAAGCAGCTAAATCTTTGTTTCCTTAATATTTCTTTAATCATAATTATTAGCATATACTGAGTGTTACTGGCTTACTGGTGTGAGATAAAAACTAAGAATACCAAACTCAGCTTCTTTTATTAATGAGAACAAAATGACCTCAATCTAAAACTAGATAACTAAATGACCTCATACCAAAGTTAGATAACTAAAAAATCCCACTGGCTTGCTTAAAGTATAACTGACAGCTGTTTAAAATATCTGCTAATTGTTAATTGCTTTAATCTGTTGCTTGACCAGGCATGAATATATACATGAATAAATATATAAATAAATGTGCACAAATGTTGATCATTAAGATGCTCATATCTCAATAAAATCCATATCATAAATTTTATAACATTTATAAACTTGTAAAGTGTTTGGAGATCTGTCAATAGCTCATATAATTTAAATAACACTTTATCCTAAAGTCCAATAAAACATAAATTCAGAGTTAAATTTAATGAATAGGATTTGATATGTGCTTAAAAATAATAACCAACAATTTTGAACAATTTTCTATGTAGCAGATGTTTTGTTATTTCTATGCATTATATAATTTGATTTTCATTAGAACACTATAAGGTGGACTCTATTATTTGCATGTCACAGAGAAGATTGAGAAATTTTAGTGAGTTAAGTAACTTGCCCACTTACTGTTAATAAGTGACAGAACTTGGATTGAAACCAAATTTTAGTGGCTCCAGAGCCAAATTCAGCTCATATTTGGTTTAATGTGGTTTAGAAATTTGAAGGCCTGGAATGGAATCTCAGTGTTAATCAACTATTAGTCCTAAGACCTTAGAGAAATATTGAACATTCCAAACTTCAATTTTCTAATATATAAAATAGAGCCACTGCACCATCCCAATCATTTTCACCAAATTACCATGAGGATTAAATAAATAATGTAAGCAAGAAAAGTGCAGAGTGCTCTACAAACATCATTTTATCACATTTTAATTTCTTAACATCTTATAACTCCCAGGGTATTCTGTGGGTCCAAACACTGCCATTAAACCAGAGATCTCATTAGAAAAAGAGAGTTTAGGAAGCCACTAACGTAATCTTCCACCATAGAAAACTTTAGGCAGGTTGCCCAGAATGGCATAGGGAAAATACTAGAAAAAACACTCACTCTTTGTGGGTATCATAATAAATGAAAGAAAGACCAGTGTTATGGACTGAGTATTTATGTCCCCCTTACCCCCATAATTCATATTTTAAAGTCCTAACCACCAACGTGACTGTATTTGTAGACAGGCCAGGAGGCCAGGTAAGAACGTGATAAAGGTCAAATGAGGTAATAAAGGTGGGCCCTAATCTAATAGGGCTAGTTCCCTTATAAGTAGAAAGAGATATCAGAGCACTCTCTTAACATTGGAGCACACAGTGAGAAGGGGGCATCTGCAAGCCAGGAAAAGAGCCCTCACCAGAAACTGAATTGCCTGAAGACTTGTTCTTGGACTTCTCAGTCTTCAGAACTATGAAAAATTTGTTAAGCAAGTCTATGGCATTTTGTTACAGCTGCCCAAGCAAACTAATATAGCTGGTATCATGTTCATCCGTCACATTGCAAAGAGCAGGGCCAACTGAACTCTGTCGAGCTGCCAGCTAGGGAGCAGTGTGGTCTGACAAATCACATGAGGGGCTGACAACCTGGAGTTGTGGCCTATGGAATGTAAGAATGTCCTAGGCAAGGTTAGCATGAATGGGGTTCAGTATAAACTACTTTCCCTGGAATGAAACTGTCCAAGTTCAGCAGGTTACTGTAAATATCCTTAGGAAATAATTAAACCAAACCAAGAAAAATGGAAATAGATCCTTAAAGGTGCAGTCCCATGTATGTAAATACAAATTATGGCAAAAGCTTGAAACTGAATCCATGCAAAGAGTAGACAGGAGCAAAATTATGATTACAGAATTTACAACTGTGCAACAAAAGAATTTCTACATTAAAAATAAGTAACAGTTTACTTTGTATCTTTCCTTTTTTACCAAGCATGGTTCCTTCTAATTCTACTAGAGTTTCCTGAACTAGAAGGGAAACTAGTTGTTACATATAAAAACAAGTACAGTTAAAAAAATTACTTCTGCAGCTTATTTTCCTCAGGCTGAATAGAAGATCTTATTTTTTGTAAAGCTGTGTTTTAATTTACAAGAAGATGAGCAAATTTTCAAATGCAAACATAGTTTCCTAGGAAGGTCTATCTTTAATTCTGAGTGATTTAAAAGTCATAGCTGGTAAAACGTTTCTCCTTACCTATTCCTTTCACACTAATTATCTTCCAGATGATTTAATGAGAATGTCATTTGGTGAGCATTTATTCCATGTAAGGCACTACTCTAGGTACTTATGGTAGGCACTGCTAGTTGTCTTTCCAATCTCCAAAATATCAGAAGTATGAGCTCAGCAAATTGCTTCCCAGATACAGAAAGCATTTCCCAGAATTCCTTGCAGCTAGCTGGGACCACATGACTGGGTTCTGGCCAATGGGATATGAGTAGAAGTGATAACTTCCAGGTCATGCCCTTAGAAAGGTGTGTTTCCTCCTTTTTTCCTTCCTGTAATCTGGAATGTGGAAGTGCACACCAGAAGTGCCTAAGCAACAACATGGAGTAGACTGGGCTCCCGATAAGCTGTAATACCATTTCTGAATTGTTAGGTGAGACAGAAACAAGCCTCTGTCTTATGAAAACCACTTTATTATTGTGCTCTTGTTATAGTAAACTATCCTGTATTTTCATTAATAGAGGACTGTACATATGCCTTGTAAAGTCTCACTACTCCAAGTTTGCTAGCAAATTTAGGCTTAGAGAGATTTTAAAACTTCCTCATAACCACTTCGGTAGTAAGTGGTGAGGCTGGTTTTTAAATCAAGTACTTTTCTCATTAGATATTTTTTACACTAATAGAGAGAAAAGACTAATTTATAGAAAATTAGAACTGTGCAGTTTTCAACCCCTGATCTATTAATCTCACAGGATTATAAAAAGACTTTAATTTCCTTAGATTAGCATTAGTGCTACAGACCCTTATTTTTCTAATAAAGTGTCTAGCAGTTGGTTACCAGCTCCTCCAGGACTTATATTTCATAAAATGTTCCATTAGGAAAATTATGGAGAAAAAGTATGCTGATTCTCCTGGACTATGAAATGGAGAGCTGCTAGTCAGGATGCTATAACAATTTACAGAATAATACACTGAGCATGCACGATAACTCAGAAACAGATCAGATGGGGTTTTTTGAGTGTGCGCTCTCTTCCCCGGTATTATCCTTAGGTACTCCTTTAGTTCTTGAGGAGACATCAAGGAACAAGTTAGACAAAGTCCCTACACACATGGAGATTATACTCAAATGCATCCACTATAGATAATGCCCTACAAAAATTAACAAGTTTTCAATGTGTGCCAGTAATTTGCATTTTAAAAATAAACTTTGTAATTTGGAATAATTTTAAATTTATAGAAAAATTACAAAGATAGTAAACAGAGGGTTCTCATATACTCCTTACCTCATTTCTGCTAATGTCAACATCTTATGTTATCATGGTAGTTTTGTCATTAAGAAACCAATATTTTTTGTTGTTGTTGTTTTTTGAGATGGAGTTTCGCTGTTATTGCCCAGGCTGGAGTGCAGTCATGCAGTCTCAGTTCACTGCAACCTCTGCCTCCTGGGTTCAAGCGATTCTCCTGCCTCAGCCTGCTGATTATCTGGGATTACAGGCATGAGCCATCTCGCCTGGCTAATTTTGCATTTTTAGTAGAGACGGGGGTTTCACCATGTTGGTCAGGCTGGTCTCAAACTCCTGACCTCAGGTGATCCACCTGGAAGGTTCTTTCAAAGAGAGGAGGCATGACCTTCTTCACCCTGTCCTATAGTCTGCTGCTTGCCACATAGACATGACAGGCATTTTGAGTACCACGGTCACACTTTAGGCATAGTAAAATGTTGAGGCTAAAAAGGGCTGGGATTTCTTAATGACTCTGAGGAGTCATCAAAGCAATCCTGTATTTCAGACCTCCAGACTTCTTTTATGTGGGAGAAAAATAAACTATCAATTTAAGCCATTATTATCAGGGCTGTGCTTCTGTGTCAAATGCAATTTCTAACTAATATAGAGAGTTTGGAGAAGAGGCAGAAGGAAGTAACATTTATTGAGGACTTGCTATATATTAAGTACTTTATATATTTTCATTTATGTAATCATCAAAACAACTCTATGCTTATTAGTTGAGAATACTGAAGATTAGTGAGGCTAAGATTCTTGCTTAGGGTTATATGGCTCAGTTTTCAAACTAAGCCAGAATTTAAACCAAACTTTGTTTTCCCATAACAGCATGCTAAAATATTTTGCATATAATAGGTACTCAGACCTATTAGTGGTTACTAGCAATGGATACAAACATGTACATAGTTATACCTCACTCAGCAAGTAATACAGGTAAATATCTAAATAAATACAATTATATATCCTTAAATAGACAACAAAATAGAGACACACATCCATAGTTTCAGTCTTCCTACTATCCCCATGATCAGTATCTCAAACAGTGGAACTGGCAGCAGGGCCATTTCAGGAGTGAAACCTCAGATCTTACTGCCCTCAGTCCACATATAAATTATACATTTTCTCTCTGGGCCAGAATGAAAAACCATTCAAACCATCCATCAACATACCCACTCAGTTCATACATTCATATTTACCGAGCATCTGCCATGTGCCAAACAACCTGCTACTTGTTGTGTACACATTGTTGAAGAAGACATAGTCCCTGTTTTCCAAAAGCTTATAGTCTACTGGGAGAAACAGAAAAATAAGTAGGTAATTACATTAGAGCAGAGTTTTTCAACCTTGGCATTAATGACATTTTGAACTGAATAATTCAGTGTTGTGGGGTGCTATGCACTGTAGAATATTATAGGGATGTAGGCAGCATCCCTGGCCTCTACCTACTAGATGCCACTAGCATCCTAACCCCTTGTTATAACAAAAAATATCTCCAGACATTGTCAAAAGTCCCTGGTGGGGTGGGGAGGGCAAAATAATCCTCCTACCACCTATCCTCTCACTCCCTAAGCCACTGAGAACTGCTGCAATGCAGTATAAAATACTATAAAATGACAAAAGAAAGACGGGCATCGAACAACATGAGTCTAGGGGCAGGAAAGTTTTCTGAAGGAGGCAACACCTTCACAAAGGCCTGAAAGTTCCATAAAATTCAGCCAGATGAAGAAAATATATATTTCATATGTGTATCAGGAAGGCCTCTGAGCATGTGCAAAGACTCAGAGTTTATAATGAGTACAACATATCTGGAGGACTAAAGGTGGCTTAGAAGGCATGGAGTGGGGAAGTATGCATGAGGTAAGTAGGAAAACCTACATATGCCTACCGAGGAATGCAGAGGAGAAGAAAGAAGGGGTTCAGTTTTGGATATGTTGAATTTGAGTTGCCTGAGGGACAACCAGGTGTAGATGTCCAAAAGACAGTTAGATTTCCATTTCTGAAACATAGGGGCATGACTCAGGCCAGAAGAATGAACACCACCTATATATAGATGCCATATGTATAAATGAAATGACCCAGGGAGAGTGTAGTGTTTGAAAGAGGAGCCCATGGACCTGACAGTGACAAGGGAGACAGAGGTGAAGGAAAATCAGGGCAGTCCTGATGTCACACACAGAGAGCAAATGAGGAGAGTTTCATAACATAGCATAAAGGTCAAGTAAGATGAGGAGTGACACACATCCACTGGATTTGGAAATTAGGAAGACATTGGTGACCTTTGCCAGAAGTACCTTATTGGTATGTTCTGGGTGGCAGCCAGCTTACAGTGGGCTGGAATCAATGGCATGGGATAAAAGAGAGATACCTTCAAGACATTTGGCAGAAAGTAATGGAATGATGTAAAGACAGTGCTTATGGTAGGATAAGTAACAAATGTGCCCAGAGTAAAAAAGGAAAACATTAGCATGAGTTCTGTCTTCAGGTTATGTGGATACTGTTTAGAGGCTGCTCTTGTTTCTGGCTCTCAGAGTCTCCTGGGTATTTATATTGACCTACCTCATGGAATTTCTGAATGTAAGCACCAATGGATTGTTTTTGCCTTTTAACAGAGCACCACATGATTCAGGGTGTCTTTATAGTACCTATTTACTTGCCTACGGTATGTCTTCTAAATGACAAATTAACTTTAATACCTGACTCATTCTGCACTATGATTATAGGGCTCCCTTTAAAAAGAGAATGACTCCAAAGTTGAAAAGCAATGAATTCAAAACAATATGCCATTATATCTGTCAAGATCTAAAAATATATTTCCATTAAGTGTGTTTATGAAAATCCTTCCTTGAATTGAGAGGTTTCAGTATGTAATCTAACAGTCTTGGAATAATTGACTCATGGGAGATGAAAACTGAAAGGATGTTACAGACTTTCCTCCTCTTCCCTCAACCCTCATTTAATCAGTGATTTGATAGGAATCACTTTCCTCACATCTTATAGTTCTGTTCCTTCTACTCGATGGCTACACTGTGACCTTTATCATCTCTTCCATGTACCTCTGTAATAGCCTCCTGAATGGTTTCCTTGCTCACCTTTGCCAAGCCTTTGCCATACTTTGCAAGAATGATCTCTCTAGAACACATATACGAACAGTTCACAAATTCTACTTAGAACCCTGTCATAGCGTCTCACAAATTCTGGAATCCTTATGTCACAGAAAGACTTTTCCATTTGTTCCAATGATCCTTTGCATATTTTATCTTATACTTATATTCCAGCCATAAAGGACCACTGTTAGGTCCTGGGGCTTTATGCTGACTCACTTCTATAGACGGGTGCTCTTATAGTTTCCATCCCCATGTTCATCTGGGTAGTGGCATTCAAACTCAGTTCAAGCATTTCATCTGTTAAGTCTTTGTGAATTTCATCTCTCTCACCTAAACCCAGATAGGATTGACAACTTTTCTTTTGGTGCCCCCAATGTACATAGTACAAATTTATGTAACAGTCTCGAAACCACTTTTTTGCATGCATTTGTTTTTATAGATGTCTTTTCTATTAAACTGTCACTTCCTTGAAGACAGGGGCTGCTTTTTACATTTTTATGTCTCACCAAAACATGGCATATCAGCAGCCCTGTAGTATCTGTTTAAAGGAATTTAGTCTAAGCCTCTATTATTACCAATAAGGAAACAAGGCCCGAAAGAAGCTAAATGACTCGCCTAAGGTCACTCATCTAATGAGTGGCTAAGTGAAGAATAGAAGCTGTAGCTGTTGCCTGACTTACAGCTCTTGTGTTATATTCGGCTGCCACCCCATTGACTTAAAAGGAGGGCACCCAGGGCCCAGCTCTGTAGGTTGCCAACTTGGTTCAAGAAGGTTTTAATGTGAAATATTTAAGTAAATATTTAATGAGGAGCTATTACTCTTTTTTGGTTGAAAGAAACAGTGAGCTAGATCATTTTAAAATGATGTATTATTGGCTGGGCATGGTGGCTCATGCCTGTAATCCCAGCACTCTGGGAGGCCGAGGCGGGCGGATCACGAGGTCAGGAGTTCGAGACCAGCCTGATCAACATGGTGAAACCCTGTCTCTACTAAAAATACAAAAAAATTAGCCGGGCGTGGTGGCACGTGCCTGTAGTCCCAGCTACTCAGGAGGCTGAGGCAGAAGAACTGCTTGAACCTGGGAGGTGGAGGTTGTAGTGAGCCGAGATCATGCCATTGCACTCCAGCCTGGGCAACAGAGTGAGACTCCATCTCAAAAAAACAAACAAAAAAAATTATGTATAATTTTACTTTATATTCACCTTCCTCCCTACTCCCCACTCCCTTCCACCTGGTTGACCTTACCAATTAGCACTTAGGTATTTTTAAAGGCCTTCAAAATCTTTAAATACATACCAGCTGAAGACAAACTAATATGTTACCACATTCTTGTTGGCAGAAGAAATACTTGTCTCAGATTAAGAAGTTACTCTAAATATTTCATAAAATAACCTATAATAGGTTAAATTGTTTTAATTTATTTGGCTTCTAAAACATATGAATAAAAATGAGAGAGTAATAAACTCTCTAGGACTTCCCCAGAATTATGTGACTAAGTGGCTTTTTATGAGAAAACTGTCTTTGGAATAGATTACAATTTTTTAAGTGACCATGACGATAACTAGTTTGTCCTTTTCGTTCATGACCACAGTAAAACAGAGCACTTAACTGATGAATCTGTTTTATTTGGAATGTTTTAATAGTTCTTGGTATATAACATTAATATGTAAAGACCTTAAAGAGCCCATTAAAACACTGCACAACAAGCTGCATTTTAATAATGCAGAGACTATCTCAGATGGAGGCTAATTTCTGTTGTTTAGGTACCATAAACAAAAATAAAAACTTTCCCAAAAAGCTGAAGCTCTAAGTAAAAGGTTTAAAATGCACATGTCCTACAGATGGCAGAACTTAAACATCACTCCCAGAAGCACAGGAAAAAAGAGAAGATTTAAAAAATTCCCTCCAAGCCCAGGCTTGTTTCAAGTCTTCTGTTCATAAGAAGATCAAGGGTACTATGAACATTTAACTTCTATTTTCTCCTAATAATAAGTCCCGTTCTTTAATCTGTGAAATAAAACAAACTTGCCCCATGCTTAGGGTCTCTCAAAAGATAAAATGGTCTTTCATATTCCTTTAGGAGTTGATAGCACTTGAATACAAAGACCTGACATACTGAGGTGAGGTGAAAAAATGAGGGCCATTTGTCAATGCCAGTTTCTAACCTCCATCGGAAAGGCAAGCATTTGGCAGGCCCTTCTCTCTTTTATTTTTTTTCCCCCCAAGACAGAGTCTCGCTCTGTCGCCCAGGCTGGAGTGCAGTGGCACCATCTCGGCTCACTGCAAGCTCCGCCTCCTGGGTTCACGCCATTCTCCTGCCTCAGCCTCCCGAGTAGCTGGGAATACAGGCGCCCGCCACCATGCCCGGCTAATTTTTTGTATTTTTAGCAGAGACGGCGTTTCACCGTGTTAGCGAGCATGGTCTCAATCTCCTGACCTCGTGATCCGCCCGCCTCGTCCTCCCCCTTCTCTCTTAATGAGCAAAACTTCTGATATTAAAAAAATGCTATTCTGCCTGGGCAAACTTTTATCTCAAAGAGGGGGAATGAATAGGGAAGATTATTTTACTCATCTTTTATTGAACATGCTAGAAGTTAAGACTCAGTCCTGCCATTCCCCATGCAAGCAGGGAGAAAGGGGGTGGTATTTGAGTTCTGTCACACTTACCCACCATGATTGCTAAAATCATTTTCCAACTTAGACTCTCTCTCCTGGGAAGGAGCCCGAGGCCATGAAAACCACTCATTTATCATATGCCACACCACAGTGATCCTCTGAGCAGACATCCCGGACTGCCATAATTTGCTTGACAGCCCTGAGGTCAGCCTGCCTAGTGACTGAAGATTCTTTTCTTTTCCATCTTCAAATGTTACAATGCACTGCCCTTTGTGTATGTGGATGATGTTTCTGACCCACCATCAATGGTGGTGAGTCTGAAAAGGAAAATGTGATGATACAATAGGGCTGAGCTTTAGCGGCTATACACAGAAGGCAAATGTCACAAAAAACAAGAACTCTTGCAAAATGCTGCCCAGCACTGTAGAGAGAGCTCTGCAACAGTCTACATGTTAGGATTTCAGAAACCTGCTTCCACCTGACCTGAAACCTCTTGCCTCTGTGGTATTTTTCACATTTTGGTCTTAGTTTTCAGGCCAATTTCTATTATCTGAAACTGTTTCATGAGTTAACTGGTACCCCATATCTTTTCAGTGACAAAGAAGCATTAAATAATAATCATACCCAAGCACCTTGGGAAGAATTAAGGAAGGTATGTCAGCTTTAATTTTGAATTTTCTTGTTACTTGTCAGTTTGCCTCTCAGACTTAATACCAGGAGGGAATAAAAATCATCATTACTCTCTAGCTGCTCAATGGCATACATGAAATGAATAGGAGGCTTAACTCTGGTCTAACTGGCTCAGTTTCTGCTTGTATCAGCAGAGAGCCAGAGACTGAATGATCCAGCTTCCTGTCCATTATCCCATCAAGTCCAAACCAGGTAGGGATGCCCAGACACATGTATTCCATAGGGAAAGAAGAACACCAAAGAGGAGAACAAAAGAAGTCTCGGAAAAGGGAGGGATGAATTTATTTTTAAAGTGGGCTAGTTGAGAAGTAGTGTGAAGATTTCTTTAATCCACAGCTCTTACCTGTTGCGCAGAGAAGGGGAAAGAAATGGTAGCTCTCTCTTACACCAGTAAAAGCCTAGATTACATGCCTATTTCCTATTTGTATATACCCACTGATGCTGAGCCTAATATGTGACTATCTTAGAGGGTCCCAGAGTTTTAAAATAATTAACCAAGTCTCACTTTACCTCACTAGCTCTATGATTAAAAGGAAAAATGTCAATGAGACACCATCAGTTTAGTCACTGGATACAAGCAGGTTTGTGAAAAGTCCCACTGTGCATGTCTTATGGAAAGCTATGTATTGGGCCAACTTGAAAAGAGGATGTTATTGTGATGTGAATGCTTATTACTAGTCTGAAACCTACTGTTGATCTGCTAATTTTTCTTTTGTGAGGCAGATCTAATTATAGTCAGATATACAATTCTGTATTCATTAAACCGTCACCAAAGTGATAAAAATGACAATGGGAAAAAATTTAGCATGGCATAGCAGAAAATACATGTTTAAAAAGGCCTGGGTTAACATCTCTGCTATTGTGTGGGGTCTGTATGTGACCCTGGAGAAGTCACCTAACTTCTCTGATCTTCTGCTGCCATTCCCTGTAATGGGGAAACCATTATTTACCTCAGTGGGTTGTGCTCATCTTATAGGGTTATCAGCATTGAACAAGAGAGGGCACATACCCTGGAGTCAGACCACTGGGACTTGAACTAATGTTCCTCAACTTCAGACAGCTTAGGCAAGGGAGTGAACCTCTTTGTGTCTCTGATCTCTCATTTGTAAGAGACGGGTTATGTTAGAATTTGTTTCATGGGATTAAACGAGACAATGTATACATGGGGTTTAAGCCCAATGCCTGGCAACTGGTACTTCTACCTGCGCCATTTTGCCTATTTTACCTGTGACTGTTGTTACCATTATTTTACCATCCAGAATATACTAGTATTCACTAATTTGTGGCTTTATTTCTTTATTTCTCCATTTTAGATTCTTTTTCTGCACTCCTGAGAATTTTACGTGTTTAATGCTACACAAATATCATTCGGTTATTTCAGCTTCCCCTTGAGATAAATGTTTTTACCTGACTGATATGGTTTGGCTCTGCATCCTCACCCAAATCTCATCTTGAATTGTAATCCCTGTGTGTCAAGGGAGGGACCTTGTGGGAGGTGATTGGATCATGGGGGTGGTTTCCCCCATGCTGTTCTCATGATAGGGAGTTCTCAGGAGATCTGATTGCTTAAAAGTGGCAGTTTCCTTTGCGCTCCCTCTCTCTCTCCTGCTGCCATGTAAGATGTCCCTTACACACCCCTTGCCTTCCACCATGATTGTAAGTTTCCTGAGGCTTCCCCCACCATGTGGAACTGAGTCAATTAAAACTCTTTCCTTTATAATTATCCAGTCTCAGGTAGTATCTTTATAGCAGTATGAAAATGAACTAATACACTGACCTACATTTACTTATAATGACTATAGTACCAACAGTCCTAGAAAGTTAAGGTTTAATGGGATGTTTGGGATTTTCTAATTATTCACTACCTGTTACAAAGATAAAGTATCTTAGTCCCAGAGTGGTTCATGATTCATTTACACACACACACACACACACACAATTCAAACCCCTAGAAAGTTTCTTTGTAATAATAGAAAATTATTTTATGTTATTTTTAAACTTCTTTTAATTGTATATTTCCTATTATTTTCATATGATTACAAACGTTCCCTCTGTTCTTTCTATATTATCTGTATAGTGTGGTTTCAAAACTTTTTTTTTCAGCTTTCCAGTAGTTCTTAGATTAAGGAAAAATGGGAATATTTATATTAGAACATGTCTTACTTTGAATAGAATATATACCTTATTGACCAAGGAAATACAGAGAGCAATGAAAGGGCTTTGGGTATATGACTCCCAAGCAGTATTACAGAACCCAGTGGGAGGAAGGGGTTGGCCTGGCTAATACTGCTTTTCTTAAATGACTTTTCTTAAAAGTCATTTAATGTTCATCTCTAGAAAGCTGTTCTTTGCTGATGAAATTTTAACTTAATCTTTTCTAAACAGGGCTAATTTAAAAGCACCTCAAAACTGTTCAGTCCAAATGGTGACCTCAGTACTTGGTGAGGCTTCAGGGTAGAGAGTAAAGCCACTGAACTTTCTCTCTCTGCTTGGTTTATACTTTGCCTAGCTAACATTAGATTCTCTCTTTTTTCCCCCCATAAATTGGATATGATGGAATGTGTGGACTGTCCTCATTAATAGATAAACTGAGGCTCAGGCAGAACCTTTCTGTGATTTATCAAGTGTCAGAGCTGTAGGTTGAATCTTGAGCTTCCCTCCAGGGCCATTCTGTAAGATCACTTGGACCCCAGGGATCCTTCCGCCCCAGTGACTTCAGGTAGCAGCTCATTTTCTTTTTCCTTAGTGAAAAACAGGCCCAGAGCATGCCCTATATAGTCCATAGTGTGAAAATGAGGTGTTGTTAACAGCAATATAATTAGGTATCTTGTGATTACAAATTAGGCAGAAACAATATCTTTTCAAAAGTTACACCACTAAACCTGCACATGCTCCATTTATGAAGAATAAATAGCTACGAATCCTCTAAACACTGAGACAAATCTCAAGACTGGCAGATTCTCTTTCCCTGCTCTTCTACCCCTTTACACTGTCTTCCAGAAAACACGTTGCTCTCTCAGCAGTGGTGCAGTTAAGAGCTCTCTACACCCTCTTCCTCTGGATGTTCAAGCAGGCAAATATAAAGTCTATTTGGAAAAAAAAACCCTGTTCATTTAAATAACTTAAATGCCATTTTTATAACTCATAAGTATAGCACTGACCACTGTAATTTAATAGCCTCAGTTAGCTGGATGGCTAAAATACACAATTCAATCATAACATGGGCTGTACTATTTTCGTAGAAGGCTTTCCTTTGGTAATAAGTACACCTCACTAAAAAACTGAGAATGAAAGCATGACACTGTGATTAACTCCATGTCGTCTTTACCACAGCAGGAACTCACAGCAAATTCTACCCTAGGAAAGTGCTAATACTTATTAATTGGGAAGAACACTGAAGAAAAGTATACCGTAAGATGTTTGGACACTATTTTTTTTTACAGAAAAGAATATAATATGAAAACTGCTTTGGAATTATGTTCTATTGTTTCATGGTCCATATGGGGTTGTTGCATTATGTTAATTATTAACAAGATTAAAAAAATTAAACGGAAGTATGTTAGTTCTACTTGAAGGCCGTATGTCTAAACTGCTCATGGAAGGTTTTTGGCAACTCTAATCCTCATATACTTTATTTCTCTGTGTCTTTTTTGTTATTGAGAGCAGGCCCCAATGGATTCTCAAAAGTCTCTACGACCTTATATTAAGTACATTATAAGGGAATGTCAATTTTCATATGGGAATATGGTCTGTTACAACCTACTTGGGGATTCTAAAACCTAAACTTTTGCAGTGAGCTTTATCTATCCAACCCACCATAAAAAGTTACTGTTCAAAGGGAAGACAAAGGAAATAACTTCCCCAGGATTGAATAGAATTTTCCCCAAACATTAAGATTGCCTTCAATTATGATAAAAATGGATTACTTGCTGTCAACGGGAATGATAGCAAAACCTGGATTGAGGGAAGAAACACTTTTTTGAAAAACTATAATAAACACTGAAATAAAACAAAAAATAACATTCAGAAATTGTAAATGAAAAAAATATTAAAGTTTCTGAAAAAGACATTATTAATTGTTATTCTGTTTGCTGAACATTCCAAATATTCAGTTTTCCATTTCAATAGTTTTTCCTTACCAAAAATTATTAGCAACAATGGTATTCTTGAACAACTTATTTTTTAAAAAGCCACAAGGAATACGTTTGATGAAATCTCCATTTATATTTCTGAAATACAATTTCAAATAAGAATTCTCACTAGGATTATTTTTCTTAAATTACTAAATTGAACATATCCTCTCATTTATTATACATGTACAAGAATGCTGAGTAGTTCAATTTTCATGCGTAGAACAATTACTTAAATGCTTTAAAACACTCCCAAAAGATAACATAGTTCTGAAGAGTACACAGGTACTCAAGTATCAAGAAAAGCAATTCTGTCCTTATGGTTATTAACAAGAGACTAGCTAAGCCTGCTTCTACCAAAATGTCAACTACTGTCAACATTTTTAGAGAAAGTTCTTACGCTTATCTATACCATCCTTTAACTCATCCAAGTTATAACTAGGGTGACGATGTAATTTATTATCCAAACCAGGAAAGTTTAGAGAATGAAAGGGGATGCTTATTAATAGTCATAGGCCAGGAAGGCCCCAAGAAAATCAAGCTAAATGGTCACCTTAGTTATAGCCATCCCCCTTCATAATCTTTCTCCTGTCAAGAGTGTACACATGAAGTAGTCCCCTTCTCCCAATTACAATTTTCATTTCCAGGGCATATAAGTCAAGATGAGAAAGGGAATAGGGGAGGGAAGATCAGGCAGACTTCTTTCAACTTTGTAAAAGAAAAGTAGGCAAAAAGAAACAGAAGACCAAGGAAAGCAAAATCAGTTACTAAGGGAAGGCAAAAGTTAAAAAAATTCACTTCACTCCCCCAATTATTTGTTTTCAGCTTGTTTTTGCTTTCCTTTTAGCTCTTAGCCTAGTAGTATAGATTAGTAGTTCGTTTAGATTAGTAATTTGTTATTGTTATACAGCAGTTGTAACTTCAACTTAATTTGGCAGTCACACAAATACATCTAAATAAACATTAGAATAAGAAGTGGTTAATTCCATCAAGTTTCATTAATGAACAGTACTCAAAGCTACTGAAAATGGTCCAGTGCTCTCAAATGGCAGTATGCTAATTTAGTCATGGTCAACTCATCATCATACACTTTATAATATACCTACTTTTTTGCGTATGTTACAGCAGGGAAGAGACTGTTCACCACTACTGATTTCTACTCTTCTTTGTGACTACCTATATCTAAGCCCCAATGTTCTGATTGTAAGTCACAGAAAATAATACCCTAACATATGACTTGAGCCAGCAAATGGCACTTGGCCTAAGGTTGACTCAGTTACTAAAACTACCATCACTGCTGTAAGCCCATTATATGCTGATGTTATTTTTGACACTAGTATTTTTGAAGCCAGTTCAGATAAAGAGGAGGCTCAGTGCCAAAACATGCTTGTAAGTAAGTAGGACTCTCCTCTCAGGACAACAATATCTTATTCAAACCATGATACCAAGCCATTGTCTCAGTTGATATAGGTAAACTCTTTTTTTTTTTTTCTGTTTTGTTTTTTTTAGACAAGGTCTCATTCTTTCACCCCAGCTCAGTGCAGTGGCCTAATCATGGTTTACTGCAGGCTCAACCTCCTGGACTTAAGCAATCCCTCCACCTCAGCATTCTGAGTAGCTGGGTACAGGCACATATGCCCATGTGCAGCTAGTGAACTTAAGTTAGAAACGACTAGAAAAAAACTTTGTAGACCTGTGATAATATGATAAAGCAAATTTTATGTAGGCATAAGATAAATGCCAATAAAAATAATCTTTTATCTTTACTTACTTTACTATTAATCACCCAATAGGAAATTTATAGTGAAAAAAATGAAAACTATCACTTAAAAGAATTAATGAAGATCTGAAACTAGGAAGATTCAAAGGAAAAAAATCATCCATAGGGTATCTGATCTTTTTATTACTACTTCCAAAATGAAAAATTTTGCCTTCCTCAATGAAATGGCTTTCTAAGGCCTTTTTAATTTAAATCATTATGTCCCTGTGGGAGATACTTATGGATTATTCAACAACTATGCCAACTTTCTTCTAATGTTTCTTCCTGTAAAGCTTAAAAACTACATTTCCTATATGTTCTCCCATGGATGGTTTGGGTTCCATCATTCAGGAATGCTAAAATAGGTCACATGGGCCTAAGATCTGGCTGTAATGCTGTGGGCTGTGGCAGAGGTGCAGGGTGGTGATGCTTCCTAATGGTGGCAGCAGCTGCAGCTCTTTGAGCAGCCCAGTTCTCTGATAGGGCTTTAGAAGTCATATCTAGAAACTCAAGCTAAAGGTTGTTTTTCAGCCATCCCAGATATTCTTTTTTTTTTTTTCTTCCAGAGACAGGGTCTCACTCTGTTGCCCAGGCTGGAGTGAAGTAGTATGATCACAGCTCACTACAATCTTGACCTCCTGGGCTCCAGCGATCTGCATACCTAAGTGCAACCCACCCCCAAGTAGCTGGAACCACAAGCACATTAGGCACGTTATCGCACCATTGCGCTCCGCACTCCAGCCTGAGCAACAGAGTGAGACCCTGTCTAAAAAAAAAAGAAAAAGAAAATAACTGGTGAGTTCCTGAATCCAGGAATATGTGCATTTATAACTTCATAGAAACTATCTACAGAATACAGCATTTTAAAAAAATTGTTTTCAGAGCAAGCATTTTGTAAACAATTTAGGAGTGGGTATATATAAAAATTTCAAGGAACTACTATTTTCTCTACTAAATTCTTCAAAATCTTTAGTGGATGGACTTTTAATATCTCTAATAGGTTTCTATTGCTGCATAACAAATTACTCAAGAAAAAATCAGTGGCTTGGAACAATACCCATTTATTACCTCATAGTTCTGTAGGTTAGAAGTCTGAGTGGGTGTGACTGGATTCTCTGCTTAGGATGTCACAGGCGTTGAACAGGATAGACTCTTACTTACAGGCTCTCAATTCTTTCCCCTGGACTACTGGTTCTGCTTGCTGAGTCATTCATCTTTTTTGAACAGTAGTTTGAAACTAAGTAGTTTTATCAGCCTGCTTTCTGCAAGTGGAATTTTGGTATCTAACAGCCTTTTTTTCACTTTGTAGTCTCCCTGTTCCTTTCAGTCCAAGCTGGCAGTTTTCTGCTGATATAATTTTCTCAAAAACTTAGTGAATCTCTTGTGGATGACACAGAGATGTTCTCTATCAGACTGAGGCCACATCTACAAATCTTTTTGAGACTTCCTCTATCGTTGGCTTCTGTTGAGATGGCTGAGGGCAACATTCTTAAGGTTTACTGAAGCCCTCTAAGTTGGTATCTATTAGGCACAACTTTAGTGTCTTAGGGCCAAACACTAATCTTTTGATCTTTCAAAGTTTCAGCAAAGAGTTGTACAACCACACCCTTGGCTTTTCTTTTTCCTATGCCACACTTTCAGAAGCAATCTCTTACTTTTACCATCTTTTGTCATCTGAATAGACTGATAATATCTCAAATTGTCAAGACTGAGTTTCTTTTTGTTTAATAGTTTACCCCAATTTATCTCTCTGACATTTTACTCTAAGCAGCAAGAGTAAAATGGTAGTAAAAGAGTAAAACTCTGAGCAGGCCACATTTTCAACACTTTGCTTGAAAATTTCCTTAGCTAGATATCCTTGCTCATCTTTCACAGGTTCTCTTTTCCACATAACTGAAGGAGACAATTCCACTAAGCCTTTTTGCCACTATGTAACAAGGATCTATCTCCATTCTTTCAGTTCCCAATAATTTGTTTCCCATATCTTACTGAGCCCCTACCAGCAGAGTCTTTAATGTCCATATTTCTACTAAGTCTGTTCAAAGCAATCAAGGATTTTTCTATCATGCTCCTCTAAATTGTTCCAGCCTCTATCCACTTTCTGATTTCTTACATTTTTAGCTACTTGTTATGGCAGCACGCCACTTCAGGTACCTAATTTATATCTTCAGAAAAGTTCTACTTCCCTTGGTGGTTATATTTTTAACAGCCACAAATCTGGGTTTTATATTTTTATGGTGAGTTTACTGCATCATTTTGTCTTAAAAGGTACAGCAACACTTTAATACAGTTTAGTGGTAGCCAAAGTCTAGGATGTATATATTACTTTGACTGTTTTTTACATATAAAATGTACTATGTTGACACCTAAGTTTGGATACAGGCATAACTTAATATGTCAATGACTGCATATACAAAGTTAATCTGTATCCTTCACAGTCAGTAGCTTTACTCTTGAAATTATGATTTCATTAGTCTTTCATGTTCCTTCCATCCACCTTTCTTGTAGTCACTCCATCTGAGCTTTTCACACGACATACGCACAGATATCTTTGTGCCAATTATTCATGGGTCCTATTGATACAAGTTATATAATACCATCTTATTTTGCATTTTAATGTGGCCTGGGAACATTGGAATGTTTTATGAGGTTGATATGAAATATATATTATGTTCATGTCTTACAGTCAGAAAAAGAAAGATAAATAATATTATTGCCCCATAAGTCTTTTTTTCTTGGTTTGAAGTTCAAATTCTAAGTTGAAGTGTCCCAATACCAAAAATTAACCATATGAAAAACTCTCTGAAAAGATTAATTCAACTTTCACAATGTGAAGAAGTAAAAATCATCTTCACTAGAGCTCAAGATTTGAAAATGTCAGTCCAAAGAGAAAATCTTGAAATAATTCCAAGTTAGCAAGAATAAAAAAAGATGTCTAATATAATTGCCATGGTAATTACAGTATACCCTGTTACAAACTAGTTTGTGGTTAGTAAAGTGCTTTTTTTTATATTAGATTCTTTAGGATGAAGACATACTCAATGAATACAAAGTTTTGAAAACTAAAAAATAATATTAGTAAATTGTGACATGCTTTCAGAAAGATATTTTAAAAATACAGCCCAAACTAAAACCCATTAAAATGAGCTTGTTTTCTTAATATTCCTGAGACGACTCAACTGCCTCCCCTGCCGTGTTTGTTTGTGGCGCTCTAGTTCATGTGTTTTCTAGTCTGCATCCTGCTCCACCGTGATGAGAAATACTATCTTGAATGGGGTATGGACTGGGCTTTTCTGTGATTAAGGTTAATTGTTGTTACATTATGCAGCTCACTACAGATGTTTCCTTGTTCTATATCCTCCTCATCATGGCATGGTTCTAACGTGCTTTAGTCTTAAGTGTTCAAAGCATGTTACAGACTTTTTTTGATGAGTAAATCGTGATATATTTGAATATGTCAAATATGAAGTCCATTTATTATATATATAAAACCTGTAATATTCTGATATGTATTTATTAAAAAATAAAACCTCTATGTATGAGGTGGTGGTGAAAATATGCACGATACACCAAAAGCATGAATCATATATTAGAATTTGGATTCTGAAAATCCCATAAAGTTGTAATAAATGCCATAATAAATTCCATGAAACTAAGGTTTTGCCTGCACAAGAACTTTTGAAATTGTGACATCTTATACCTGGATGTTTGGTACATAAAAATATTAGCCTTAACTTTATTGTTCAACTTTCTAAAAAGAATTTACTAATTCTTATGGTTCAGAAATTTTATTTTGGAAACAAAAAGGATTTGTTATATTGATTCTTTTAATAAATTAGTGGGACACCTTGCTATAAGCAACAGATTTTTATATTAAGTGCTTTAGATGTTTACAGTAAAAAGAAGAGAATGATCCCTAATTAAAGACATTTATTGTGAAGAATTCTAAAATATGTGAGGAATCATGATTTAATCTATACAGTCATGAGTCGCGTAATGATTCTGTCAATGATAGATTGCATATACAATGGTCCCTTAAGATTATATAATACTGCTTTTTTGCTGTACCTTTTCTATGCTTAGATACACCAAAGTTTCTGGATTTAGAAACAGAGGTCCAAGAAGACTAAGGGACTTGCTCAGAACTATGCCCTTTGAGTTTCATGATCAGAATATCAGACCCAGATCTTCTGATTCCGAAAATCACAGTTCTATACAACTTGCCACTTTTGTGACTTAATGTCAAGTTTGTGTAGATGGGAAGTATTTAAAACAGTAAAAAGCAATGGAAACAAAGTGATAATTTTTGATAAACAAATGTTTAGTTTCAACTAATTGCCAAAATGTATCAGTCACAACAGAATTAATGGGAGAAAACTTAGGGAAATGCTTTAATCTTCCTTAATTAATATTTCATTAAAATAACTTAAAAATAAGAATGTTTTTATAGTTTTATGTGGAACTGTTTTCTCTCCAGCTTTCTGTCTGTTAAAATATCTCCATTAAGTTATTTAAATGTCATGGCCTTCCATGTCGATACAGTGTTTTTCCTTAAGTAGGTACCCAATAAACATGCTGAAAGACAAAAGCAGATCCTGGGCATTCCTTAAAACACCAACAAGGATACCAGTACTAACTAGATCAAACAAGTGATTGTGTAGAAGAGAAATAAGAGAACCAAGCAGTCTCTTGAAAATTCAAATAACATTCTGAAGACTGATGGTAGCCAGGTTTGATGACTTAGTAAAAAATAGAATATGGAAGTATATATCAGTGATTCAGGAAGAAATTTCTTCTATGGTGAGGCGTAAACACCCTTCCCCCATCCTATTGGGCTACGAGGCAAAGCTGCTGGCTCTGGGCTGCTCTGTCCAGGTGGATGCTTCATGGTACATGGATTGCGTTAACCATTTTGAATATGCCATTATGACTATGTGGAAGAAAGAAGTAATCATGAACTGCATCCACTAACCTGTATTGTGATCTCTCATTTGTTTATTGGTTCATTAGTAAACCTAAATGGAAACAACTCTAAATGATGTCTGATTCTTCAATTGTGCCAATCTTCCAGCCCAGAACAGATTTAATGGTCTGGCTTAGCCTAAGGCCAACCATCATTGCTTAGAAAATGTCTGCAAACATAAGGGTTATATAATGACAGATATAATCTGAATTGCAACAATGGGCTCAATAAAGAAACGCCAGCATGTTGAGAACTAAAGACATCACTTAAAAACAATTGACATTTCTTTAAAATATCATTTTGATATGCAATTAAAGAAGGAGGTTTAGCATCGTGACTAAAAAAACTACAAATGTAAGTTGGATGCTGACAAGTTTGACAATAAAGTGAATTACTTCTGCAGGCAAGTCAACAAGGAAATCTAATAATATTCTAGTCAAAGGAGAGTTGCATAGCTTCCTAAGGTAGCTACTCCAAATGAGAAAATATTTCTCTGAATATGTAAGCCAAGGTATCCATTTCTATATCTTCTGGGTCAAATAATTTATCTCTCAAATCTCTGCACAGGGAGACTCCTTCATACTGAAAGAATAATTAATGTAATATTTTATTTTTGGTCCTACAGGGGCATTGCCATTTAAGTTGCTTAACAGAGCTAAAGTAATAGTCTTGCAATTATTATTTTGTATGATTCCATTTGTCAGTCTTAACTACTTCATTGTGAGCTCCTTGAAGACAAGAACCAACCCCGTGTTATTTACTTTTCTTCCTCCATTACAGAGTGCCTAAAGAAAGTTCCCAGAATTATATTACTCTAGTAGAAAGACCCACATTACATTTAGAAAAAAACATTTCCAACTCTGACTTTCTTACATAATAGCAGCATTTAGACTCTCACTGAAGGAAATGGTGTAGTACAGATGAGTTTCTCAAAAGTTTTATAAATATATGTGGATAGAAAAGAGGACAAAGTGAAGGTGACATTATAAACACATAGGCCATTTCATTCTTGGATGAATGAATGCATATAACCCAGTTGGGTATCCCAGTCAGCATCATTTTCTTGTATATAAAAGACAAAAATGCATATTCTTACAAACCTTTGAAATATATACATTAGAGACCCTGGGTATATTTCTAAAGCAACATCTAAAAGCTGCATTTAGGTTTGGGGATGCAGCCAGCTTATTTGATAGCTTTATGCTGAGGGAAGAGGAGTAAGCGTTTTGGGCTGGGTGAAGCAAGAATGAGATTTTGAAGTTCACTAAGCAAATTCTGAAAATATCTCAAAGCAATAATGAAATATTCATTTTATGTATAAAATTCTTGGTTATAATATAGGATTATCATTTTTATGCCTTATGAGACTGGGTAACAGCTATAGAGTAAACATTTTTTTCTGACTTTTAACATAATAGCAACTACACTATAAAGTTTCTAAATCTAAGTATGATAATAGTTTGCAGTTTTATGTTGCTAGTTCTACTTTTTCATAGCTCTGGCATTGTGTATAAAATAGAACCTGATATAAAAACTAATCTTGCCTTGTGCCCCAGTGACTTGAAGAATCCTTCACTTTCAAATTACAGTTACCACTTGAATTTGGGACACTATTTTAGCAATGTATATATTTACATTTATATATATGAGTTACTTGAAATTTTGTATTAATTGCAATGTACTCATTACAAATATTCTTTGAGGTCAATAACTATAAGGTCCCTTAAAGAATCAAGAGAGCCAGCAATATTATTACACTAAAATGTAATGATCAAAGAAAAAGTTTCAGCTTTTAAACACCTTTTGCCCCAAATATGCCATGAGGACTATCTGAATTTCTCCTGTTAAAGCTATGATCTGCTATGCTTTTCACTATGACAAGCTCTCAGAGTCAACAAGAAAAAGATTTTAGGGGCAGAATTAAAATGATTCTGTTTTTACTGCTTAGTAACTAACCTACAATTCTCATCACATTGATGGGAAATGTATATAAAGTCTATGGCATCAAATAAAATTAAATGTCTCTTTGTAGTATATTCTACAAGAAAGAAAAATATAAACATAGTATATCAAAATTTTCAAAGATATTTATGCAATACTCAGAACTGTCCACTAAGAAAAGGTGCAATTAGAATTAGACTATTTGTATGAGCTTATTTTAAAGACACCATACAATTATAGGTTCAGTCTCATTAACTAAAACACAACATGTATGCTTTCTTTCTTGAGACAAAGGCTCTGTCGCCCTGGGTTCAAGCGATTCTCGTGCTCAGCCTCCTGAGTAGCTAGGATTACAGGCATGTGCCACCACGCCTGGCTAATTTTTGTATTTTTAGTAGAGACAGGGTTTCACCATGTTGGCCAGGCTGGTCTCAAACTCCTGACCTCAGGTGATCCACCTGCCTTGGCCTCCTCCCAAAGTGCTGGGATTACAGGTGTGAGCCATCGCACCCAGCTTCTTTTTTTTTTAAGTTAAAATAATTATGAACATTCTACTTAGCATAAATCACCTAAGACTGCTAATTGGAATTACATTTTTTAAACTACGCAAGGGTTTGTTTTTCTATTAGCTCATGTAAATGACTAAATGACTCAGACATTTTTGCCTTCTACAGTGGTAAATACCACGTAAGTTTTCAAGAGAAAACATCATATATATTGGCAACAAATGAGAGTCTGGGAAACCAGAATGATTTTCCAATGGAGTAATTTTATTTTTTAATAGAAGTTATGATAATTCAAATGTTACATTAGAGAACAAACTCTTGACACGGGAACAAACATTACATACTTGAAAGGTACATGCATTGCCACAGGTATGTCTTAAGCAATAACTCATTAAAGGAGTGCTTTTTGGTATTTATTTTTCACTGTTGATTAGTATTTTAAAAGCTTTTTCTGTGTAAAGATGTTAAAATTTTCCTTAAATACCTCTAAAGATCAATATAATTCCACAAGTATTTTCAAACCAATTTGAAATTAAACAATGTGATTCTTACTATTTAATTTTCTTCCTCATCGATTTGGATTTCTCTAAAATTGACTGGGCCTTAGGTAACAGTATTGCCAGGACAGAAAAGAGGAGGAACACATTGGTGCTGAAGTAGGACAAATGTGGATTCAAGTTTGGCTCTGCGTTTTTTGATCTGGGGGCCCCAGACACATCAGTCTATCTAAGCCACAATTTCCTCACCTATGAAGTAAGGATAACAGTATTACCCATCTTTATAGGGCTGCATTGATTGAGAGATAGCGTGTCTCTCATTTAAAGCCACACAGGGCTTAGCAGAGTGCACACACTCAATATATGTTAGCGATCTTCCAAGGCAGCCCAGATTAGTTTGGTTGCAGTAGGGTCTGGTTCAGTATATAAACATTGGTAAAGCTTTGGTCTTTTAAAATAGGGTTTCAGAATCTCATTTTTCAAAAGAAATTCTTTTCCATCCCAAAACCAAGACAATGACCCAGGATCTTTAAACAACAATTTTGTTTTATAGCTTTCAGTGTATCATGGTGGAGACTGGCATAATCACAGTGTAGATTCGTATGGTTCTTTATAGTATTCAGAGTGCTAGCTCCTATATTATATCATGTGATTGTAGCAACAATTCTCTGAGGAAGGTAAAGAAAATAGTGTCTCCAGTTGACCCATGATAAAAACAGATTGACAGTAGTTACTTGAAAAATCTCACAGGGTTAGTCACTGATGAAAATAGGACTAGATTCAGTACTTTATCTTAGGCCAGTAATTCCTCCATATACTCGCTCTCCAAATGAACTACAATAATTCTATATTTATGGGAGAGTAAACAGGAATGCATCAAATAAAATTAAATGCCTCTTTGTAGTAGATTCTACAAGAAAGAAAAAATAACTATAGTGTGATATATTAGGATTTTCACAGACATTTATTCAATACACAGAAGAATCTACTAATAAAAGGTACAAATAGGATCAGACTATTTTAATGAGCTTATTTTAAAAAATAATGCTACATTCTTCACCAATATTTCTTCTACTGCAGATAATTTATTGGAAATGAAATCCAAGTATCCATTCAGAAAGTGCTTTTGTGGTAATTTGTGACCAGTTTTAAAGCCAAGTCCATTCTGAACACTTTTATCAAAAGCCTTCTCTAAGGATTGGCACAGCACCTGACCTGGTGGGAGAAATCAAAGCAAGGTTGCAGAGACTCTGCTCTCAATAAATTTAAAAGCTGACTGGAAAAAGCAAAACAAAAATAAAAAACTTTAAAGTATAGAACTATTAAAAATTTAAGACATAAAAATTTTTAAGTGGATTCCTAAGACGGGGCTAATGATGGCTAGGAAAAAGGAGCAATTTTAAGAAGGGGAATAACTGAAAAAAAAATACAAAAATAATTCTGGCCCAATAAAAGAATGTCCTATTATCTAGAACTTGGAATTAACTGCCAAAAGATAACTAGTTGGAACCCAGAACTCCCAACAATCATTTCTGCAATTTAAAAATATTTATGTTGGTAATCTTTTTTGAATCCTGTTCATCACACAAATTAAAATGCAAATAATCTACAAGTAGGTCTTGCTATCCAGAGAGGTTTTTCCTAAGTAAATATTTTTATATATTATAAATATTTATAAACTGTATTACAAGACTTATATAGATATTAATTTGTTGCAAAGTAAAATGGCAAGGCTGTTTTTGAGCAAACTTTCTTGTCTACTTATAAATACTATCCTTGTCAAAGTGGTTTCTGGAGGGAATGTCTCCAACTATATTTCCACAGAGTGCTATAACATTTACAATTGTGAAATGTCACTGTGCCTACAAATACCTTTTAACTGAATCCAAGAACATTTTATTTTCAGTAGCACAAGAGAGTAATAAGTGTTTTCTTTTCAAGCAAGGTACATAACTGACAAGTAATTTGTTTCCCACATTGCAAATTTTAAGAAGTACTCATATGATGTTGTTTGTTTCTGGCTCCTTATTTATTGAAAGTATATCCTATATCTTTAATATAATAACGTCTGTCTCCCCTATCTCAAGGATTTTGGATGCCTGAGAGAGACATGTTTAAAACACACAATATGATTTTTCAAAATGCACAGCAATGTATTTTGACATGTTAAATGTTAATAACAGATTTTTTATAGAAGTATTTTAATTTTACCACATGCCACTTTACCTACTTCTCTTAGATTCACTAGAAACATGATTTTTTTTTCAGTAAGATTTACTTTCTGATTAAAATAGGATATCAAGACACACTGCTTCCTGTGCTATTTCATTTCTGTCATATGCTCTGGTTTATAAACTAGCCTGAAATATCTACAAACTTGAAGTGTCACTTTCTAAATGTGAAAAAAACTGAAAATTGTATTAGAATCATCAATTGTTAATAAGTATTTTTTTAAATGAGAGGCCAAGACATGAGTTTGGAGTGTATTTATGCATAGTCAGTTAGGAAGGTGGGATCTAAAAACTCATTCACATTGAGTCATCAAAATGAATTCCATAGTTCACTGTTTAACAAATAGAATAGCAGCAGGTCCCAATGGCTATAATATGTATGCAGTGGCAGGCTCTGAATAGCTATATTTACTGCGTGATTTGATTCAATATGAAAAGTGAATTGTCAGAAATCATTATCTCTTAAGACGCATTTATTTTCATAAATTATCATGTGAGCATAATAATTACAGAGAGGTCAAATGCCCATTACTAATTCATGTCCTTAAGTATGGTATCTCAAGTGAATTAACCAGCTTTCACTATCAAAGATTAACAGGATTAGAGGCTGGAAACCTCTAGGGTCCCAAATCAAGGCAGTAGACACAATGAGAAAGCCAACTTTCCTTCCTTTTCACAGAGATAGTAACCTGAGACGTAAGAAATTTAAGGTGAACATTAATATCTAGCTGAGAAGGGCTTTTCAGCACCAGTGAATTCTGAACTGTTTTAGAAACTATGTTTGGAAGATAAGGATCCATTATCTCATAAATCTGAGTACAAATTATTATATTTTTGTAATAGCATAGGAAGTAGAAGTAGTAGCTGGCAGTCAAAAAATTTGTAGGAATAAACTAACCATATCTGTTAACATTTACACAAAATTAACTCTGACATCTGATCAGAGTTGATAAAATGATCAACTAGCAGAAAACATGGTTCTGCTAGTTGTGCAGTATGTAGGTTAAGACTGGAATTTGAAGTAGAATTTGGAAAGGACACTAAGCACTTCTTTAAAAGGTGTCTAGAGTTTAGAGCTGACCAACATCACGTGCCGACATTTCTAAAGGCCCTTCTCATTACTTTAGGGCTGGACAGTAGACTGCCTGTGTTTCACAAGTACAAGGAAGTTACAGACTTTCTTGAAATGCCTCATTAGACATTTGGCAGTACAGTATTGCCTTCAGAAAGCACAATTTCTGCTTTCTGACTCTTCACATATTTATCCCCTTTTGGTCTAAGGAAAATATTTTTTCCTTTAGGTTGTGGGTGCTGTGGAAATTTAGAGTTTCCTAAACTCTAAAGTTTGGGGAGATTTACTATCTATGAACATGCACATAATTTAAAATTTAATAGCTACATGTCATTCTGGTTTTTCCTTATTCTGTTTTTAAGAGAGTCTCCTTGCCAAAATATATTATTTCATAAAAATAATGGAAGAGTTCCTCATTATAAAAGCAGTACAGCTTTATCACCGAAATTTTGAAAAGCAGAGGAAATGATAAAAATGAAAGAGAAAATCTATATTCTCATTGCTAGGGATAACTATTCATGACATTTAGGTATTGGTTACATTTTTGTAATTTTCATAGATTACAGACCAAGTCAAATCTGGATGGTCTGGATGAGAATTTCTCATAGTGGGAGTACTCTGGGAGGGCACACACCTTGGGGAGTGTGTGCTATGTATCTCCTGGGTCTTGGACTTGCCCCACTCTGGGATCTGTGGCTTCTCCTTTGATACCTCCTCCCATTTGCTTATCTGGATTTATCGATCCAGATTATTTGGTTACGTCTGGACCTGATTTTTGGCTTATCCAGGGAGGATGTCAGCATGATGATATCAAAATAGACGTGTGCAGGGTGTGGTTTGGATCAGGACATGGGATGAATAAGAATGGGCCTGAGTATTCGAGATTCACAAATGCACCACATGTATCAATAAATGTGGGGAAGCAGGGTGAGTGATATGGTTTGGCTCTGTGTCCCCACCCAAATCCTATCTTGAATTGTAATCCCCATGTGTTAGGGGAGGGACCTGGTGGGAAGTGATTGGATCATGGGGGTGGATTTTCCCCATGCTGTTCTCATGATAGTGAGAGAGTTCTCATGAGATCTGATGGTTTAAAACTGTGGCACCTCCTCCCTCACTGTCTCTCCTGCCAGCATGTAAGATGTGCCTTGCTTCCCCTTCACCTTCTGCTGCCATGATTGTAAGTTTCCTGAGGCCTCCCCAGCCATGTGGAACTGTGAGTCAATTAAACCTCTTTTCTTTATAAATTACCCAGTCTCAGGTAGTTCTTTATAGCAGTGTGAAAATGGGCTAATAAAACTAGAAACCTGGAGATAGAGGAGGAGCTAATAATGGTTATGCGGAAATCCTGAGTGGTCTCAAAGGAACAGGAGGTCATAGTCAGGGAGTCAGGGAGTACTCATGAATGTCAAGAAAGACCAGTAACTCCTAGTCATGATAATAATTTCTAATATAACATTCACAATTTTATGGTGAATTACCTTGTCTGGCAGAGAGGGTTTTCTGTGTTTCTGCTGACAGACAAATAAATATTACTTCGATTTACTTATACAAACTTATCTGGATGGAATTTCCCATGTACACTATTTTGAGACACAAACTTTGTCTTCTCAGAAACTCTTTTTTTTTTTTTTTTTTTTTTGAGATGGGAGTTTTACTCTTGTTGCCCAGGCTGGAGTGCAATGGCGCAATCCTGGCTCACTGTAATCTCTGCCTCCTGGGTTTGAGCGATTCTCCTGCCTCAGTCTCCGAGTAGCTGGGATTACAGGCGTGCACCACCATGCCCAGCTAATTTTCATATTTTTAGTAGGGATGGGGTTTCACCACATTGGCCAGGCTGGTCTTGAACTCCTGACCTCAGCTGATCCACCCACCTCAGCCTCCCAAAATGCTGGGATTACAGGCATAAGCCACTGTGCAGGCCCTTCTCAGAAACTCTTAACTGCTCCCTTCTTTTTCTTTTTCTTGGTCTGCACCTGCTGTTCCACTTTCAGAGCTGGACTTAGTAATCCAGAATAGAAGGGGTGCAGAAACCATGCAGTGGTGTGAACTTCAATCTGTAGAAAGCAGGATTCAGGAGAAAGAGTTTGGTGGAAATCTTCCTTGCCAACTGTGTGCAGAAGGAGAAGTTTCACATGCAGAACAAACCCACCTGCTGAGTGACCTGCTGTGCCCCTTCCAGACTCATTTTGAAGTCATAGCCAGCACAATATTTCATCGTTTTACAGCTTCCTTTTCTTCATTTATCTTTTCCCCTATTTTTACTCTCCTGGGCTTGTGCTTCTAAATAAAATCAGAATTTTAATCTTTACCTCAGGCTCTTTTCTAGAACAGCGATTCTCAGATTTTAATGTGGATGCAAATCACTCGGGGATATCATAAAATAACATACAGATTCTGTTTCAGGACATCTGGAAATGGACCTGAGACTCTGCATTTTAACAAGCCCCTAAGTGATGACTCACTGTTGGTTTTTTACATAGCAAAGTTCTCAAAGATGAGAATAAGACAGACCTCATCACCATTACAATGTAAGTTCCTGAAGGGCCAAGACTGTGTGTGTGTGTGTGTGTGTGTGTGTGTGTGTGTGTGTGTGTGTGTGTGTGTATTTAATTTCAAATGACCTGGCTTTATTTTCTTTAAAAAAAATTTTTATGAGTACAAAGTAGGTGTATATATTTATGGGGTACATGAGATATTTTGATATAGAAATATAATGCCTAATAATAATATTAAGGTAAATGGGATATCCATCACCTTGAGCATTTATTCTTTCTTTGTGTTACAAATATCTTATTATACTCTTTATAAGAGTATGATATTATTGTAAACTGTAATCATTCGGTTGTGCTATCAAATACTAGATTGTATTCATTCTATCTAACTACATTTTTGTACCCATTAACCATCCCCACTTCCCCTCCCCAACCCTACTACCCTTCCCAGCCTCTGGTGACCACTCATCATTCTACTCTCTGTCTCCATGAGTTCAATTGTGTTAATTTTTAGCTCCCACAGATATGTGAGAACATGTGACGTTTGCTTTTCTGTGCCTGGCTTATTTCACTTAATGTCCTCCAGCTCCATCCATGTTGTTGCAGATGACAGGATCTCATTCTTTTCTATGACTGATTAGTACTCCATTGTGCATTGTGTATATGTACCACATTTTCTTATCCATTAATCTGTCAATGGACACTTAGGTTGGTTCCAAATCTTGGCTATTGTGAACAGTGGTGCAATAAACATGGGAGCACAGGAAACTCCTCCATAGACTGATTTCCTTTCTTTTGGTTATATACCTAGCAGTGGGATTGTTGAATCACATGGTAGCTCTATTTTTAGTTTTTTGAGAAATCTACAAACTATCCTCCATAGTAGCTGTACTAATGTGCATTCCCACCAACAGTGTACAAAGAGTCGCTTCTCTCCATATCCTTGCCAGCATTTGTTCTTGCCTGTCTTTTGAATAAAAGCCATTTTTACTGGAGATATTTCATTGCAGTTTTGATTTGCAGTTCTCTGATGATCAATGATGTTGAGCACCATTTCATATACTTGTGTGCCATTTGTATGTCTTCCTTTGAGAAATGTCTATTCAGATCTTTTGCCCATTTTTAATCAGAATTTTTCTATAGAATTGCTTGAGTTCCATATATATTCTGGTTATTAATCCCATGTCAGATGGATACTTCGCAAATATTTTCTTCCATTTTGTGGGTAATCTCCTCACCTTGTTGATTGTTTGCTTTGCTGTACAGAAGCTTTTTAACTTGGTATGATCTCATTTGTTCATTTTTGCTTTGGTTGCCTGTGCTTGTTGGCTATTACTCAAGAAATCTTTGCCTAATCCATTGTCTTGGATAGTTTCCCCTATGTTTTATTTTACTAGTTTCATAGGTTAAGGTCGTAGTCTTTAATTCATTTTGATTTTATTTTTGTATATGGCAAGAGATAGGGGTCTAGTTTCATTCTTCTGCATATGTATATTCAATTTTCTCAGCACAATTTATTGAAGAGATTATTCTTTCCCCAATCTCTGTTCTTTGCATTTTTGTCAAAATGAGTTCCCTACAGACTTAATGGATTTGTTTCTAGGATCTCTATTCTGTTCCATTGGTCTATGTGTCTATTTTTATGCCAGTATCTTGTTGTTTTGGTTACTATAGATCTGTAATATAATTTGAAGTTAGATACTGTGATTTCTCTAGTTTTGCTTCTGTTGCTCAGGATATCATTGGCTAATCTGGGTCTTTTGTGATTTCATGTAAATTTTAGGATAGTTTTTCTATTTCTGTGAAGAATATCATTGATATTTTGCTGGGGATTGCATTGACTCTGTAGATTGCTTTGGGTAGTATGGACATCTTAACAATATGATTATTCCAATCCATGAACATGAAATATCTTTCCCTGTGTGTGTATTTGTGTGTCTACTCTTCAATGTTGTATAGTTTTCATTGTAGAGATCTTTCACTTCCTTGGTTAATTCCTAGGTATTTAATTTGTAGCCATTGTAAATAAGATTATTTTCTTGATTTCATTTTTAGATTGATCTCTTTTGGCATATAGAAGTGCTACTAATTTTTGTATGTTGATTTTGTATCCTGCAACTTTATTGAATTTGTTTATCAGTTGTACTAGTTTTTTGGTGGACTCTTTAGGATTTTCCAAGTATAAGATTATATCATCTGTAAACAAGGATAATTTGACTTCTTCCTTTCCAATTTAGACGCCCTTTCTTTTATTCTCTTGTCTGATTGCTCTGTCTAGGACTTCCAGTACTATGTTGAATAACAGTGGTGAAAGTAAGCATCCTTTTCATGTTCCATATTTTAGAGAAAAGGATTTCAGTTTTTCCCCATTCATTTTGATACTAGCTGTGGGTCTGTCATATATGGCTTTTATTGTGTTGAA
Source organism: Homo sapiens (assembly GCF_000001405.40). Lineage (NCBI taxonomy): Eukaryota > Metazoa > Chordata > Mammalia > Primates > Hominidae > Homo > Homo sapiens. Next base: position 179,611,206 of record NC_000002.12, read on the forward strand.
GTATACTCTTTTCATATCCAGTTTTTTGAAGGTTTCTATCACGAAGAGATGTTGAATGTTATCACATGCTTTTTCAGCATCAGTTGACATGATCATATGGTTTATGGTTTTTGTCATTCATTCTCTTGATATATCACATTGATTGATTTGCGTATGTTAAACCATCCTTGAATCCCTGGGATAAACCCCACTTGGTCATCATGGATAATTTTTATCATTGTCATTGAATTCAGTTTGCTAACATTTTGTTGAGGTTTTCTGCATCCACGTTTATCAGGAATATTGGCCGATAGTTCTCTGTTACTGATGTGTCTTTGACTGGTTTTTGTATCAGGGTAATACTGGCCTCGTGGAATGAGTTTGGAAGTATTTCCTCCTCCTATTTGTTTTGAATAGTTTGAATAGGATTGGTATTAGTTCTTTAAATGTTTAGTAAAATTCATCAGTTGTCTCAGGCTTTCCTTTGCTGGGAGACTTTATTATGGCTTTGATCTCATTACTTGTTATTGGTCTGTTCAGGTTTTGAATTTCCTCATGGTTCAATCTTGGTAGGTTGTATGTGTCTAGGAATTTATTGATTTATTCTAGGCTTTCCAATTTATCAGCATATAGTTGCTGATAGTAGCCTCTAATGATCCCTTGAGTTTTTGTGGTATCGATTGTAATGTCTCCTTTTCCACCTCTAATTTTATTTATTTGGGTCTCTTCCTCCTTCCCTTTCTCTCCCTTCTTATTCTCCCCCATCTCCTCTTCCACCTCCTACTTCTTCTCCTCTTCTTGTTCTTTTGTTTAGTCTGGTGAGAGATTCTGATAAATACTGCAGTATTTCAATTGCATTTTTTAATTCCAGAATTTCTGATTCTTAATCATTTTAATTTATTTGTTAAATTTACCTCCTAGGATTCTGAATTCCTTTTCAGTGTTATCTTAAATTTCATTGAGTTTCTTCAAAACTGCTATTTTTAGTTCTCTGTCTGAAAGGTCATATATCTCTATCTCTCCAGGATTGGTCCTTGATGCCTTATTTAGTTTGTTTGGTGAGGTCATGTTTTCCTGGATGGCCTTAATGCGTGTGGATGTTTGCCAGTGTCTGGTATTTAAGAGCTAAGTATTTATTGCAGTCTTCACAGTCTGAGTTTGTTTGTATGCATCCTTCTTGGAGAGGCTTTCCAAGTATTTGAAGAACTTGGCTGTTGTAATCTAAGTTTTTGGTCTCTGCAGCCTGTCTGAATTAAGGGGCACTCCAAGCCCAGTAATGCTGTAGCTCTTGCAGACTTGTAGGGGCACTGTCTTGGTGGTCTTGGATAAGATGTAAAAGAATTCTCTGGATTATCAGGCAGATACTCTTGTTCTCTTCCCTTACTTTCTCACAAACTAATGGAGTCTCTCCCTCTCTGTGCTGAGTTATCTGGAGCTGGGGGATGGGTGACACAAGCACCACCACTGGGACTGCGCTGTGTCAGACCTGAAGCCAGCATGGTGCTGGGTCTTGCAGAAGGCCTGCAGTAACCACTGCCTGGCTATCACCTATGTTTGCTCAATGCCCTGGGGCTCTAAAATCAGCCCCAGGTGGGCTGGCGGCAAAGCCAGCCAGGCTTATGTCCTTCCCTTCAAAGTAGTGAGTTCTCTGCAGCCCTGGGAACGTCTAGAGATGCCATCCAGGAGCCAGGATCTGAGTCAGAAACCTTAGGAATCTACTTGGTGTTCTATGCTATGAGGCTGAGCTGAAAGCCAAGCCACAAGAAAAAAATCTTTCCCATTCTTCCTTTCCCTTCGCATAAGCAGAAGAGTCTCTCCCTGTAGCCATCACTGTCCTATATCCACAACAAGTATCGGCTGGCTACTGCCAATGTTCACTCAAATCTTAAGAGCTCTTCAGTGATCTCATGGTGAATGCGGCCAAGCCTGGGATTCTCCCTTCTGGGCAATGGGCTCCCCTATGGCCCAGGGAAGGTCCAGAAATGCTTTTCCAGAGCCAAACCCTGGAACTGAGGACCCAAGAGCCCTCTTGGTGTTCTACCAACTGTGGCCGAGCTGGTACCTAAGCTCCAAGACAAAGTCTCCTTTACTCTTCCCTCTCCTTTTCTCAAGCAGGAGTGTCTCTCCATAGCGACCACAGCTGGGAATGTAATGGATCACACCTGAAGCCAGCACATCTTTGAGTCTCACCCAAGGCCCATCTCTGAGTCTCACCCAAGGCCCACGGCAAGTACTACCTGGGTCACTGCTGATTATTCAGGGCCCAAGGGCTCTTTAGTCAGCAGGTGATGCATCCTGACAGGTCTGGGTCCTTTCCTTCAAGGCAGTAGGTTCCCCTTCTGAACCAGGGTGTGTCTAGAAATGTCATCCAGAAGCTAAGGACTAGAATGGGGCCTTAGGACTCTGCTTGGTGCCCTATCCTACTATGGTGGAGTTGGTGTCCAAGTTGCAAAAGAAAGTCCTCTTTACTCTTCCTTCTTCTCTCAAGTGGAGGAAAGGAGTCTCTCCAAAACTGCAAACTGCACTGTCTGTGATTGGGGGAGGGGTAGTGCAAGCACTTCCTTGGCCAACCCAGCTCATTCCTCACTAGCACCAGGACTTGCCCAAGAATTGCATTCTTGGTGACCTAGACTGCCTTTTAAGTTTATTTAGAACCCCAGAACACTTTATTCTGTGGTGGCAAGGCTTGCCAGAACTCAGCTTCTGACTGCTGAGATGTATGATTGCCCTCTGGCTAGGGCTGGTCTAAACGCTCCCTCCTTGGGCGCCAGCTGAGTTCTGCCTGGTGTTGTTTTCTGTTGTGACAGGGCAGCACTGAGTTCCAATGCAAAGTCCTATATCACTATGGTCTCCCTCCCGCAAATGCACAGATTCTCTTTCTGTGACACACGGCTGCTGCCAAGGGATGGAGGAAGGGTGGTGCTGGCTACTCAAGATTATCTTTCCTACCCTCTTCAGTGCCTCTTTCAGTGATATGAAGTTAAAATCAGGAGCTGTGATCACTCCCCGGATTTTTTGCTTTTATGAAGGTGTTTTTTGTGTGAATAGTTGTTCAATTTGGTGTTCCTGTGGGGAGAGCAACTGACGAGGGCTTCTAGTCGGCCACCTTGCTCCACTTCTGTATTTTTTTTCTCACTGTTCTATCCCCTGAATCTACAACAATGCTTGGAATGTTGGAAGTGCTCTATAGATACTTGTTGACTGAATCATAAATGAATGAATTTTCCTAGATGACTTTTAGCAGTTTGTAGTCATAATGAACATTTCTAATTTTAACATTTAAACTTCTAGGGTAAATTATATTGTCTGAAAGGGGTTTTCTGTTTTTCTGCTGATTGACAAGTAAATGTCAAATGCCAAATATAGCTATACACTTGTATTACTCCAGTATCAAGGAGGTAAAGCCAAAAGCCAATAAAATGGTAGAGTTACATTTAGAATTTGGTTGCTGGTATGAAAGCACAGATTGACAGTACTGAGGTATCTAGTTCATGAATGCTTCTGCTGGATTTCCAAAGGTCAACCCTACTCTTAAAAGCTTGGTCTTCCGTCAGGGGCTAGAGAGCAAAGAGAAGTGTGAAGTATGCTTAAGATCCATTATATCAGTAGCATCTCATATTTACACACCCAGCACTTCATTTTTCATACAATACCTTTTATTATAGAGGGTAAATGGCAGTTTTCTGCTGAATTTTAAAATAGTGCATCATGTATAATTCATAAAAACTGCCAGTAGCATCAACATCCTCCTCTGGTATTTGTCCTACTTAAGAAATGTCACATATTAGACTTCTGTGATAGGTGTTATGCCTGCTATTGGGTGCAACTGACCTTGTCCTCCTGTCCCTTCCATCACTACCAACAATCATCTGGACATTTAAGATTTTTTAGCTGACAACGTCAGCAGCTATCCTTTTCTTGTTACACTTTTACTGCTGTCATAGAGACATGGAAGCAGCTGAATAGTTTTCACATATGGAGTTCCTGAGGAAGGGATGATATTAATCATGCTAGTATATGTCACTAAATTTGTTTCTAAATGATGGCATCAAGGTCAGGATCTTGTACTTGAATCTTAAGGGATTTCCAAAGACGATAAGAAGAGTTTCTACCAGGAACTCTTATTTGGAAGTATTCTCTATTATATAGTGTTTCTTAAAGTGTGGTCCTTGTACCAGCAGGAGAAGCAATATCCCAGAACTTGTTAAAAATGCATGTTATTGGGCTCCATCCCAGACCTAACAAATCAGAAACTCTGTAGTCCATGTTTTAACAAGTCCTCTAAGTAATCCTGATGCAGACTAATGTTTGAAAACTACTTCTGTATTAGGTATTTTCCTGGTTCTAAAATAAAATAGCTTTAATGGGAAAAATCAAGGTGCTCTAGAATCTAGAGATAAACTAAATACAGGATATTCTGCACAGAAATTTTTGAAAATCTGTTATAGAACAGTGTTTTTAGAACCGGGCTTGTAAGTTATAGAACAGTGTTTTTAGCACTGGGCTTGAACTATGGCTCTGTAGAAGAGGTACTTATTGAAAATACACAAGCCTTGACCTTACCCAGACCTAGGGAATCAGACTGTCTGGGCTGGAGCTGATTTCCTGCTAAAGGGCACCTTAGATGGTTCTGAGGCACCAAGTATAAAAATAAAGTACAGCACATGTTAGTTACCATCAGTAATCTCTGGGTGATGGGACCAAGAATGATCTTTATTTTATAAACATTTTTGAATTTTCTGAGTTAGATGCAATGATCGCATATTCATTTTATAATCAGAAAACAATAATAAGACAATTATTTTAAAAGGACGATAGCATATAGAATAGTATTTAATCATCTTGGAGATCTGATAAATTGAGGAGTTTATATGTGAAGAACTCAGATCCTGGAGTAGGATTGTCTGGTTCAAATCCTAGAGGCTTACATATTAGCTGTGTAACTTCCCTTCTAAGAACCTCAGTTTCCTCATCTCTTAAGCAGAGATAGTAATAATAGTGTTTGTTTCATAGGGCTATTGTGGGAATCAAATGAGAGTACTTAGTACAATGCTTGGCACACAATGAGAACTCAAAATGTTAGTTACTAGTAATACAAGGATATCTACATTTTATGGTTTTTTATGACAGTATGTTTTATAGCTAGTCTTACTCTCCTTCTCTTTTTGAGACAGAGTCTTGCTCTGTCACCCAGGCTGGAGTGCAGTGGCACAATCTTGGCTCACTGCAACCTCCACCTCCCAGGTACAAACGATTCTCTCGCCTCAGCCTCCTGAGTAGCTGAGACTACAGGTGTATGTCACCACGCCGGGCTAATTTTTTGTATTTTTAGTAGAGATGGGGCTTTCTCTAAAAGACATATTAATCAATGAATCAATTAGGTTTGTTTTTTTCAGACAGTGTCCCACTGTGTCACCCAGGCTGGAGTGCAGTGGTGCGATCATAGCTCCCTGCAGCCTTTAACTCCTGGGATCAAACAATCTTCTCACCTCAGCCTCCTGAGTAGCTGGTACCACAGTTGCATGCTGCCAGGCCCGGCTAATTTTTTTTATTTTCTGGGAAGACAGGGTCTCGCTATGTTGCCCAGGCTCATCTTGAACCTCTGGGCCCAAGAAATCCTCCTGCCTTAGCCTCCCAAAATGCTGGGATTATAGGCGTGAGCCACCGCACCTGGCCCAATCAATCAGTTTTTATTGTAATTAGACTCCCGCTCCCCTCATCTGCCTCTTATTTCTTGCTGTGACTCTCACTCCACTCTCCCTCCTCTTTACAAAAAGCTGCATCTCAGTTCTCCTTACATTTAGTGACTACAGCCTTCATATTTCCACTTGTCCCCCTTTTAGTGTGGTGTCTGTTACCTTTGCCATTTTTATTTGATCCCCAAAGTTGCAACTACCAATTTTCTCTTGGCATTTAATAAACAGCTGCTAAATTCTCTTAAAAGTTCAGCATCAACAGCTATATGTTTGTCTTGGATATAATTAATGATTCAGTTTCTGAAGCTCTGTCAAATAGAAGACTTCTGAGTCTCCGGTTAATAATTGATTTAAAAAATATTCTTTCTGGGTTTGTAAATCCAAGGCAGGGACTGATGCTGCACCTGATGCACCCCAGCTGGGTGCTCTTGCAGTTGCTGTTTTTAGGTCTGGAGCACAGCTACGCCTTTCTTTTTCAAAGGAAGAATAGTGTGTGTTGAAAGCCTAGTACCACCTGATTGGGTTCTTTTTATTTCTCCTAGATTTAATCAGAAAATTGTAAAGCATTGAGAAAAGGAGCTTGGAAGAAAAATGCATCAACTTTCTATTTTCTGGAGTACTTTTATATTGAAAAAAAGCTTTAAGGCAGTGTTTTTCGATTTTAGTGTGCATGAGAATCACCTGGAAGGCTTATTAAAACACAGACTGGTGGGTTCCACTTCAGAGTTTATGCTTCTGTACGCCTAGGAGGAGGCCTGAAAACTGGCCTTTCTTACAAGTCCTCATGTGGTACTGATGCTGCTAGTTCAGGGACATCAATTTGAGAACTATTCTTTAAAAAATGTAGATTCAGGGGGTACATGTGCTTGTTTGTTACATGAGTATTACCTGCATACTGGTGGGGGTTGGGCTTCTAGTATACCCATCATCCAAATATTGGCCATTATACCAAGGAGGTAATTTTCAACCCTTCTAGAGAGAACTACTCTTAAAGAATGTACCCATAAGAATCTTGAGAACTTGATCCCCCTAAATAGGGAGGAAAGTTAGCATTAGCTATGCTAGGAGCCTTCTAATCACACGTTTCTCCCGTGCTCACTCTCTCTTCTTCTTCCTGATTATTATTACTCATGTCTGCCAATTGTAGCCTGAGAAAGAGGGAACAAAAGAAACATGTGATTAGAAGGCTCCTACTTTAGCATTAATAATACTAATTTTTCCTCCCTGTTTCAGGGACCAAGAAAATGATCACTCTTATACTCATTAAATTCCCAAGCCTTATCAAGGAAGAATAAAAAAACATTTTATCTGTTACCTTAGAGAGATTATCAGTTTACTAATGATTATAATTTTAGTAGCAAAGTCTAAAACTGAGCTCTACTATTGCCAACCTCTGTATTCTTGCCTACTTATTTCTCAGCCCTACATACCTTTTCATGGTCAATATCTATGGTTCATTTCCACTATAAGCTTTTGCACTTGCAGTCCCCCAGCCTTAAATGTCACTCTTTCCTGTTTATTCATATTCATAACTCCTTTCAGAACAGTTTCCTAAGATTCAATTTCCTCCAAAATGTCTAGAAACTTTGACTGCTACAAATAATTCACTTGTTTTGCTTTCCAGTTCATAGTTCCTTATCTCATTTTCTCCTATTTTCTGGTATCTTCTGGTTGATTTGTCTTATTTTTCATTTTGCCATCTTCCTGTAACCATAGCACTCCTATCTAAAACCAGGAGGTTATGGAGAGAATCAAAGCTAATGATAGCATCTCCTGTCACTGCCTGAACTTCTTGGCATGTGATGCATGGAGTAGGGGCAGCCAGGTTATCCCTAAATAGGAGAACAAGAGGAATCAGGAAAGCACTAAACTTCGCTTTGCTTGCCTCTAAGCTAAAACTTCCATGTTTCTGCTGCCAGTAGTGACAAGGTACCTCAAAAGTTCTTGGCTTCAGCAGCCCCCAGATCCTAAGCTTAAACTGCTCCTTCTTCTCTTCTACTTACAATAGACACAGTTACTATGGTTAGGAAGGTAGCACAGACAGAAGTGTAGTGGCTTTTGTTTTGCTTCAATTTTTGCTTCAGTGTTCAGCGAATATAATGCAGTTACTATGAAACAACACCTGGTCTGTTTACTAACAAAAAATTTTAAAACATGATTTAAAAAAAAGAATTAAATGACTCAGCCCCAGGACAAAACTCAACAACAAATTATCACTTCACACTCATAATTACCACAAAAATTTGAGCATGGAATAGATGCCAAATGATTCAGGCCAGACAGGTTAGATTCCTCTGCTGTGTTGATGAACACTTCAGGTGCATGAAAACATTGCATTGCTGTGAATACTGAAAACACAGCAAGGGTCTCCATGAAGCTGATAATAGCCAATACACTTATGAACTTAAGTCTTCCAAGAGAAATATACATATACAGGCTTTGTTTTATTAAAATAACTGATTCTCTCAGATTAATAGTTTTCACATTTTTATTACCTTCTTTACTGAGTCTTTTTTAACTTTCGAATTCAACATGTATACCCAATAGCTTAGGCTGAAGCTGGGGAACCAAGCCCTGACGGATTCCTGTCCTGCTCCCCCATCCAGCCAAAAACTTATGTGAGGATCTCAAAGCACCTCCTGCAAAACCTCTAGGGTTCCACACAGCAGAGCTGAAAAAGAAACAGTGATACTTTCTATCACTACAGCTTATTGATTTATAGCAAAAGTAATCACTCTAAATATTAACACACTAGAATCCTATATTTCTCCCTATGCAGTCACTGAAAAGGTAGATTTTCTTATGGGGAACGAGGCATGTTCTTACTATAAACCAGCTTGTGAACAGATACCTGTCATTTCTAAACATTTACACCTAGTTCTCTGAAGACCATTATTTCCAAACTAGGTAGTATGTGTATAAATACATAGAAAATAAATAAAAGTCACATTAACCATAAAAATTACTGTTTAAGCATTCATCCAACACAATGTGAGTAATGTGGCATGATAAAAAGAGAAAGCCAGAAAGATATAGGATGAAATTCTGTCATTTACTAGCTATGTGACCTTAGCAAGTTTCTCAACCTCTCTGAATGTCAATTTCTGACTTTTGGTGTTAATATATTTCAGAGTAACTCTGTGGTTTAAATATTGACAGAGTCACAGGCCTTTCTCCTTTTGCCTAAACCTGATGACAAGGCTAGCCACAGACCCTTCTCATTTTGCCCCTAGTCAACTTCCTGTTCTTTGTCTCTTGAGTGATTAGCTAAGATTATGATTGCTTTTCCCCCAGAAACTAGCTAGACACAGAGATAAACTTTTCCTGTTCATCTAGCTGATTGAGGCTTCCCCTGATTGCAAAATCCCTACTGTAGATCCTCTCACTTGTAACTTGTTGACTCCTATCTATAAAAGTCTAATGCAACACCACTCTGCAGTGATACTCTGATCTTCGGATCTGGGGCACTCTCCTTATTGTGATATCCTGAAAAAGATGAACTTTTCTGGTTTTAGTATTTGACAATATCATATATGAAAAAGTGCCTGACATACAATTAGTCATTGGTAATTATAAACTTTTATTACAGACCTTCTATAAACAGTGCTCTGAGAATAACCTATGGAGGCCACAAAGATGAGAAAAATGCATTCTCTAAATTGGCATCTTCTGAATCTAGTATCAGTTCCATGTATTTAGGACTTTAAAATCTTATTTTTGCTAAGTTTTCCTAACTCCTATGACAATAAGCTAATTTTGGCAGATCGGTAAAGAATATGAACTAATTTACTAACTACTTTAATGTGAGTCTTACAGTCATATATTCATAAAAAACTAAAAAGTTCAGCTTCAATATGCATACCAATTATTTAAGACTTTGTTGAGATGGCTTTGTATTCCTGAGGCCTTCTCTAATTTTTGCATTCAGAAATAATCTCTTTTCTCTGTGCTTCAGTTTGCATTTTCTTTGTACTTTTTTAAAAAGCATCTTTCACATTATGCTCTGCACTAGTCTTAGTTGTATACATGTCTGGTGTTTTCCCTAGATTTCAAGTTGTTTGAGGACTAGATACTGTCCTTTATTTTCTCTGGCACAGTGTCTTAGGCAAAGGAGATAGTTAGTGTGTTTGCTGAATTGAAAGAGTCTATAATACTACTTGATGTCTTGGATCATACTAACCAGGTGGTATGCATACAAATACTTCATAATATATCAGGGTCTACACTGAGAAGACCAAGAAATCATGAAAGGATAACCAAGAATGGGGTAGAAAAAAAGGGGAGGGGGAAAAAGATAACTATGCAATTGAGGAAATCTAGCAAGTTAAAATAGCACAGGAAACAAAGGCATACTGGATAATTTTAAAATAGAGAACAAATTCTTCCAACCTGGAATATCTTTAGTACACAAAGGTATAAGAAAGATAGGCTATAGTCTAGGTCTTTATAAATTTTACATACCTTGAAAACTCAGAATCAAGAAGTGGTAATAATGTTAAGGTTGTGACACACAATGTTCCTTTTAACAGCAGGTCACCAGTGGAAAGCTAATAAATGTTAACAACAAAGTATTTGGGAAGAGGGAGCCGTGATTTGTAGCACTGCCAATGTCTATAGTGTAAATTATTCCCATCATGGCTGATTTTAAAGATCAACATGTCACTTAACGTAAGTTTGCAAAGAAATGCATGCAATTGGTTCCCCCAAGCCAGTGAGAGCTGGTTTCATCACACCCCTGTAAGTTCCCTTTCTCCCTACCTTCCTTTACTTCCTCCCTGTTACAGCAGGTCTAGGTGAGAGGGCACATAAGAAACAAGATTTCATCTGGAATTCTGCTCCTCAGTCGCCCCTTTGGGATTATGTTTTGGGGACAGTGAATCACCTCCGTGTCACACCTTTGATCACATTTTTCAGTGCAACCTGAAAATCCAATAATTACTTCGGAAACAAAATGAAAATCCACTATCTTCTTTTAGGCCACTGATGAAAATGGTAGAAAGACTTGCCTCATGTTAAATATTACCTTCAATTTGACAACATGATGAGAGTTTAGCATCTCTGAATCTTGCAAAAACTACAAAATTATACAAGGGAGACACTGAAGTCACCAATTTACCAGGATTTTTATCTCTTCCACTGTATACTAAGCTGTAACTTTTTAGTTACAAGTTACAGCTCCTCAGCCTGGCCACCATTTGCTTATCAAAAATCTATTTGCTTGTTTTCCCTTAACACAAAATATACTCAAATAAAAAGAAAAAATTAGCATGGCTCTGAGCCCTTATGCAAATTAGTAAGGCTCAAAGGCCTATGACTAGAAATGAATCAGATCTCAAGATGTGCAACTATTAATAAAAATGTAGTATAACAGCCCAGTCCCAGAACTCATTCAGGGTCGTCATTCTCAGATGTATCATCACCCTGACATCTTTTAGCCTAGCTTGGGTTGGTATAAACAGTAAGCCCATGGAGTTTCCTGGATTTATCTTCAAGGATAATGCAGAAAAAATCTGGCTTTGTGCAGCACATACTCTGTCTGTGGTATCTAATGACACTGGAAAATCCCTAAGAAAAATCTTCCTGGAATAACTCAGAGAGGTAACAAAGTTAAAAATAAACCTTATTTTCTAAGTTTAGGCTAGAATGGCTTGGGAGGGCATCTTCCCAGGAAGGGTTATAGAAGTTACTTAGGTTCCAGCTATGTATTTTAGAATCTTATAGCAGTTATTTACTCTGCATTTCCAGAACCTTGTGTTATTTTAAGCCACACATATAAGAATAAAAATTTTTAATCACAACTAGTTTGATAATCTTTCCATGTCTCCACTTGTACAACTATCACATTGGAGTGTGGTCTGGCATGAATTTCTGTAACTGGCATTGTCAACTAAGAGGAGACAGAAAGGAGCTTTGCCTGTACTCTGAAAGAGAAGCAGCTGTAGAGAGGACAGTGGTGGCTGGCAGGGTGCCTAGCAAAGGGAGGGACATGCCTACAACACTGGCACCTGTGAGGGCCAGTTCATGCACTACCATCATTATCAAGGCTTTCGTGAAAGCCTTCAGAGGGCACACACAAGCTAAAATCTCACACATTTAGATTCATTTTCAATTATGCCACTTAAAATATAAGCACCAACAAAAGAATAAATTTAATGTCAAAACTGAAAATGTTGGCACTTGGCGCTAAGAAGTTGTGATGCACTTGAGGCTTAACTGGATCTTCAAACTGGCAATGGCTTGAGGCATGTTTGGATTGCATTATTTAAACTAGAACAGAAAATCAAGATTCACTGGATTGCCTTTTCTAGGTCCGGAGAATTTAGCTCCAAAAATCAATCAAGAACTCAAGAGTAAATGAAAGCTTGAGAGGAAATTCTAGTGGACATTTGTCTTTTTTTTTTTTAACCTGGATTCCCAGAATTTAAACCTATGTCTCCCTAGGAATTCTGCACCTTCATAAGTTTTGAGAGAAGACAAACTACACTTCTCACTATGAGAGCACAAATGGCTAAACTCTCACTTTCTCAGGGATCCTTGAGGCTAAGATGTGAGTACATGACTTAGACTCAGCTGATCGGACATATTTTATCCCCCTTCCCTGATCCTCCACCCCGTGAATCCTGAACTAGTGATATCAAGAGGCAGGAACAGGGAAGATGCCATTTTGAAGACGGCACAGTAGCAGCAGATGCATCCTATCTCCAAGATACGGTCGGGGCAGGAATGTAGTCCAGTGGTGGGGTGCAACTGTGGTAGGCAGTACTCAGTGGCATCAGCAGCCCTGCTCTTACCAGATGGGTTTCATGGCATGAATCCAGGCTCTGGTTCTACTTCCCTGCTTACCTTTGCTTTCTCCAATGTCCTGAACCTGGTTCTGCAGGCTTCTAGTGTTTCCATGAGCTCCCCAAGGCCTTTTCAACAAATTTCTTTTCTGCTGCAAACAGCCAGTCAGTTTCTTGGCTAACAACTAAACCTTCTGATTTTACAAATAAATTATAGCCAAACATTTTCTTTTTCAAAAGAGTTGTTAGACTTAAAAAAGTTAGAGAATATCCTATGTTTCCTTCTAAAGGGGCTTTCATCTGCAACCATATTTTTTAAAAATTGGCAGCCTGGTAGTTGTTTCTATGCTTTCCTCAAGATCACCTCTCCTTAGGTTCACTAGAACCAGCCCAAGTACAACTCATTTCATCATCTCTTCCTTTCTCTCTCACCTCTCATTTTTAAGAGCCTACTTGCACTTCAAGTAAATTAGCAGTAACATTTATCAGGTCTTTCCTATATATACACCTTTATTTATTTTCTCTAGGTATTTGCTATCTTTCCACTTCCCCAAGTCCAACACCCTGTACCCCATCAGCTGTGCTTAATCCCTGGCTTCTTACAGTGATTCTTCCCAGAAGGGTCTGGAACTCCCCACCATCACCCGCATTTTGTGGCTTATCTTTACTAGGATGTTCTTTACTATGAACTTTCAAGGTGTAGAAGTGATTCTTCTACCTCTGCACAAAGTAGACATTTCACAAATACCTAACCATTTTAATATTTCTGTTTGGTGCTCCAAATACTAGGTCTTCTGTCTTTCTAGTTTACTGCTAACTCAATTGTGGATTGTTGTAGGAAAACTAATAGGACCTCCTCACATACATGAAGCAAGAATAGTACTACTAGAATCAGCAAAAGCTGGTGATTAGCAGTAATCTAGAGAAGAGATAAAGCAAAATACGAGTAAAAAATTATTCCCATGTGCTTTGAAACTGCCCTGAAATGATACTGTGGATTCAAGCCTTCAAAACATTTGTTGCAGAATGGCTCATCTTTGTGTGGAGGTAGAATTGCTCATCCCATCACTCAGATAGGGAAGTCGGTAAACTTGCTAATTTCTACCAAAGGATATTGACCAGAACCCCTAGTCATGATTTTTTCTAAAGCAGATGAATTTGCTTTCAACCAACAATCATAAATGCCTATCATCTAGGCCCTTGCTAGGGAATGTAATCTTATACTCTCTACCATCCAGTTCCGTTAAATTCTGGTTGTGATAGGTGGTATCTGGGGAGAATTGTTTGAACAATTTCTTCTAAATGTTCAAGTGATATTAGAATAGGCAAAAGATTCTATACTGGACCATAATTTCCTGTCTTCTTATAGATTGCTGGATTTTATCATAGTCTTCAGCATTTACAGAGGAGCAGAAGAAACTGAGAAATAAAATCCATTACCTGGAGTGGTGATGTAGATATTTTCTAGTCCAGACTCACTGTCTCCTCCATAAAACTTCATGTGAGAAATGATTTTTGGCCATGTATACAATGAAAATCTTTGTTTTCCCTGAGAGTGTCTCTCTTTTTCTTTAATAAGAATTCATGTAACTGATATGCAGTCTTTATCACTTTGCCTACTGGGAAGTTCAGATGCAAGAATAAGACTAAGAGAGAGAGAACTATGAAATAACTTAGAGCCTGATTATTTATATTTTTTTCCTCTAGCCTTACTTATTTTATGATCTATAAATACATATATATTTACATATGTATATATTTTTATATATTATGGTTATTTGTATTGACAATTCAGCCATTATTTTCTTATTTATTCATGCCTTAATAAGCGGCTACAATCCTTTTATATGCATAAATATATAAACAGATGAATAAAGGTGGCTAAATAATGTTGGGTGAACTTTAGCCATTTTCACTATTAACAATAATCAGTTAGTAAGTATATACTACTGTGTGTGTGAGGTGCTTGATGGGTGGAAAGATGCCAGATCCCTAAGGCAAAGTCCCTGACCTCAAAAGTCTTGAAATGTAATTGAGATAATAGGGCTGGTACAAGGAAAACGATATCATAACTATGTTATACTAAATTATGTATGTGTATATAAATTACATATATATCTACATAAATATAAAATGGATGGACAGGTCATGTAGTAAGATCCTTCCTGCCTAAAAGGATAAAATAAAAACAGACACAAGATGCATCTTCACAAACATGTCTCCTAAAGAGTGCAACTCCCCTCTCATTCTCTGCTGTCTCCTAATGCCTAGGCAGTACCCTGCCCACTTCTAAATCTAGGATGACTTTATTTTAAAAATTTCAAGGATGTATAGATCACAAAATGGAGAACTGTTATTTTATTTTCAGTAACTTTTCTTATTGTACATTTTAAAGCATCAATGTTTTAACATGCCTCAGAAGTAAATTTTACTTCACAACTCAGAATGTATACACATAGACATGCATGCACACCTGAAACATAAGTTTCACAAAACAGTATCTTTTCTATGTGTGGCATACTAATATTTTCTATTTTGTTCCATTTTCTTTCTTAAAACATACTTCTTAGGAGCCACTGAATTTATGATAAATAGTACTGTTTTAAGAAAACAGGAAGTTCAAATTTCCAATGGCCAAATATTTTAATTTTCTGAGGGTAAAACTATTCTTTTAAAGATCAAAGGAGATGGGATAGATGATACAGCACACTGCCTCAGATGGAGGATACAGCATACTGCTTCTTATCTCCTAAGTATTTGCTCAGAAATCCAAAATACGTAGATTTATGATTCATGCAACTCTTCCTTAGAGGGGAAAATACATCCTTAAGTTGTATTCCCAGTAGGAACACATCAACCCAGATACGTAAATCAAATTTCAAATGCTTTTAGTATTAGTGTCTGCAGATTGTAAAAATGGGCTTAACTTATAATTCAGATTTTCTCCAGCCTGAGTTATAATAAACTGAAAAACATTTGTATATGCATATAATTCAGTAATCTTGAAAACTGCATTATTAGAGACTAATCAGTGATTACCTTAACCTTAGATTTCTTCACTAAAGAAATAAATTATTCAGCAAGCAAAGCAAAAGAAAAAAAAGACCCAACCCTCTTTCATGAACTGAGACGTTGTTAATCACCCAACTTAAAGAATTTGGGAAGTAAAATGCTATTATTAATAATTCTGTTGAAACATGATCAAAATTATGAATGGAAACACTTCCAATGTTCCAATATAACCCTTAGGCTTATTCATGCCAGAAACATCTCCTCTGGGCCTCAACATTCCCCAGAAGAAGATTAGGAAAGTTATAATCTTTTCACCATGTCAAGTCTAAGATAATACTTAATTGTTACTGTGTACTTGCAATTCCAGATCACATTGGACAGAAACCCCTACCTTTAACAAATAGTTCTATTCTAGCTGCAATCATATCACATTCACTTCTTAGCCTACCAATTAATATCCAACCAAATTAGAGCTTGGTGAGTTTCTGGCAGGTTTGTGACACTGTGCCTGAAACCTGTAATTTTAACTAATTATAGAAATTCTGGGCAGGAAGCCTTCTGAAAAGATGATCAGCTTCATTCCCTTCATTTGAAACTTTGAAACTGCCCCAGACCAAGAGTTCTTCTCCCTTCTATTTTAACCTGAAGAGAAGAAACGATATTAGCATGAAGGATCACTCATTGCAACTGGAACCATACTAGGTCCATAACATGGATGATCTGATTTAATCCTTGTCTTGATGTAGTAGGAATTATCCTCATTTTAAGAGGGGGAAACTAATGCTCAGAAAAACTTAGCTGAACAAGAGGAAACAGAGGGTTCACTTTAGAGCTGGGATCTTACCCAAGATCCATAATGTGATTCCAGAAACTAATGCTTATCTGTCATCTCTCCAGATGTGGGCTGGAGCTGGCTGCTCAGAGTACACATCTCTTCTCAACTCCACATTCCACGAGGTCCCATCAATAGCTTGAAATCAGCCTTGGTGGGAGTATTCACATGTTGCAAACTGGTAAATACTACAAATCAGGGCTTTTTTCTTCAGAGAGCTATTTACTAGCACACTACTGCCTATAATATTTGTATTTAATATTTTACAAATGTCAAAATTGGGTGTTTCTATTGATCAAGTTTTTTTTTTCCAAAAACAAATAGTAGCAAGAAAGTGTAGGTAGAGTATATTTCAGCATTTGCTTCCCACATTTACTTTCTATGTCTCTTTGCCTACCATGAAACAAACTTAGATATTTTAGTTATCTAAAAGTAGTTACAATAATAGAAATCCTCATGCCTCTGTTATCGAGATTTAATATTTATCAACATATGGCCAACCTTATTTCATTGTACTTTTCAAACATGTTTTTTTCCTTCTCCCCAGCTGGATTATTTTCAAGCAAATCTCAGACATTATATCATTTTATTTGTAAATACATCAGTTTGTATTTCTAAGAGATAAGCTCATTTTAACCATTATCACAATACTATTATCGCATGTTAAAATTATCAGTAATTCTTTAATATTATCTAATAATTGGTCCATATTTAACCTTCTCTGACTCCCTCAAAGTTCTTTTTTACAAAGTTGCTTTGTTCAAATCAAGATCCAGACTATCTGGATGAAATGTCTTTAAGTATTAATTTATTTTAATCTGTTAATTAATTTTTTGATAGTCCTCCCCCTTTTTTATCTTTTGCCACTTATTTCAGTCATTTGTCCTGTAGAATGTCTTACATTTTGGATTTTGCTGATTGGTTTCCATGGTGTCATGTGACATCTTCCTCTTTCTTCTGAGTTTCTTGAAAATGGGTAGACCTAGAGGTTTGAACAGATACATGTCCTATTTTTTGGCAAGTATATTTCATGAGTGGGGTTGTACTTCTATATCACATCAGAAGGTGAGTAATTTCTGCTGTCTTTCTTTTGCTAATTAGTAGGTTTTGTTCTTCTCATCCTAATTCATCTTATAAAAATTCTCCATCAACCTTTCATTTAATTGTATGGGCAGTAATTGATGATCATTTCCTAGATTCATTAGTTGAGAAACCGTGACAAAAGAGTGATGGTTTAGGTCTTTTTTTCCTTCTCCATGTATTGGCTGGAATTCTTCTGTAGAGCAGACATTTTACGTATCAACTATTTGGTTAACAAACTGAATTACAGTTTGTACAGGAACGACAGCATAAATGTTTTCTTTCCCTTTACTCATCAGTTTACAGAATGAATTTATACCCTCATATCCTTCAAGGGTAACAGAAAGCTTATTTTCTTTTTTAAAACTTTTTGCTATCATTATGCACTAACAGATGTTAATAAGTTTGATGTGTTTCCATAAATTGCAGTCATTATTTTTTTGATTATTGGAAATTATTTCCTGTGTCTTTTTGACATGACCCCAGTATTTCTGATAGTTTCCTTGCTTTCAGGTATATTCCAGGCTCTTATAAATTTCCAGACCCAGTCCTAGAAATAGACATTTTTAGGAGGAGACTGATTTCTTACAATGGGAAGTGGCTCTGCCCACCATTGAAACTGATTATGTCTAGGAGAAATTCTCAGCCAGAACAGGCCGAGCCCTCACAGAACACAGATGACACCTACAGAGTACTGTCAGCCAGCATCTGAAATTTTATTACTTAGAGCAAATGTTGCCAATTTATTACAGGATCTGTCATGGTAAAGTATACAATATAATCTTTACTCATAACCTAACATTTTACTGATAACCTCAAACATATGAATGAGTGGCTGTCTAAAAAACTACACTGTATGCATCCCTTATATATGAATAGAGCATTGGGCAAATTCAGATTTTCAGAGACCTGAAGTCTAAACAATTTTTGGGGTACCCTCTTTTAGAAAATTAACATGAAATTGCAAGATGGCCGAAAAGGAACAGCTCCAGTCTGCAGCTCCCAGCGTGATCAATGCAGAAGACGGGTGATTTCCACATTTTCAACTGAGGTACCTGGTTCATCTCATTGGGACTGGTTGGACAGTGGGTGCAGCCCATGGAGGATGAGCCAAAGCAGGGTGGGGCATCACCTCACCCAGGAAGCACAAGGGGCTGGGGGATTTCCCTTTCCTAGCCAAGGGAAGCCGTCACAGACTACCTGGAAAAACAGGACACTCCTGCCCAAATACTGCGCTTTTCCCAAGGTCTTAGCAACTGGCAGACAAGCAGATTCTCTACCATGCCTGGCTCAGCGGGTCCCACACCCATGGAGCCTTGTTCACTGCTAGCACAGCAGTCTGAGATTGAATTGCGAGGCAGCAGCCTGGCTGGGGGAGGGGTGTCTGCCATTGCTGAGGCTTGAGTAGGTAAACAAAGTGGCCAAGAAGCTCAAACTGGGCGGAGCCCACTGCAGCTCAACAAGGCCTACTGCCTCTAGACTCTGCCTCTGCGGGCAGGGCATGGCTGAACAAAAGGCAGCAGACAACTTCTGCAGACTTAAATGTCCCTGTCTGACAGCTCAGAAGAGAGCAGTGGTTCTCCAAGCATGGCGTTTGAGCTCTGAGAATGGACAGAATGCCTCCTCAAATGGGTCCCTGACTCCTGTGCAGCCTAACTGGGAGACACCTCCCAGTAGGGGCTGACAGACACCTCACATAGGTGGCTGCCACTCTGGAATAAAGCTTCCAGAGGAAGGATCAGGCAGCAATATTTGCTGTTCTGCAGCTCTGCTGGTGATACCCAGACAAACAGTGTCTGGAGTGGACCTCCAGCAAATGCCAACAGATCTGCAGCTGAGGGACCTGACTATTAGAAGGAAAACTAATAAACAGAAAGGAATAGCATTGACATAAACAAAAAGGTCATCTACACCAAAACCCCATCTGTAGGTCACCAACATCAAAGACCAAAGGTAGAGGAACCACAAAGATGGGGAGAAACCAGAGCAGAAAAGCTGAAAATTCTAAAAATCAGAGTGCCTCTTATCCTCCAAAGGATCGCAGCTCCTCGCCAGCAATGGAACAAAGCTGGACAGAAAAAGACTTTCATGAACTGACGGAAGTAGGCTTCAGAAGGTCGGTCATAAACTTCTCCGAGCTAAAGGAGGGTGTTCGAACCCATCGCAAGGAAGCTAAAAACCTTGAAAAAAGATTAGAGGAATGGCTAACTAGAATAAAAAGTGTAGAGAATACCTTAAATGACCTGATGGAGCTGAAAACCATGGCATGAGAACTTCGTGACACATGCACAAGCTTCAATAGCTGATTTGATCAAGTGGAAGAAAGGATATCAGTGATTGAAAATCAAATGAATGAAATAAAGTGAGAAGACAAGGTTAGAGAAAAAAGAGTAAAAAGAAATGAACAAAGCCTCCAAGAAACAGGGGGCTATGTGAAAAGACCAAATCTACGTTTGATTGGTGTACCTAAAAGTGACAGGGAGAATGGAACCAAGTTGGAAAACATTCTTCAGGATATCATCCAGGAGAACTTCCCCAACCTAGCAAGGCAGGCCAACATTCAAATTCAGGAAATACAGAGAACACCACAAAGATACTCCTCGACACGAGCAACCACAGGACATGTAATTGTCAGATTCAACAAGGTTGAAATGAAGGAAGAAGTGTTAAGGGCAGCCAGAGAGAAAGGTCAAATTACCTACAAAGAGAAGCCCATCAGACTAACAGTGGATCTCTCTGCACAAACCCTACAAGCCAGAAGAGAGTAGCGGTCAATATTCAACATTATTAGAGAAAAGAATTTTCAACCCAGAATTTCATATCCAGCCAAACTAAGCTTCATAAGTGAAGGAAAAATAAAATCCTTTACAGACAAGCAAATGCTGAGAGATTCTGTCACCACCAGGCCTGCCTTACAAGAGCTCCTGAAGGAAGCACTAAACATGGAAAGAAACAACTGGTACCAGCCACTGCAAAAACATGCCAAATTGTAAAGACCCATTGATGCTATGAAGAAACTGCATCAACTAAGGAGCAAAATAAACGGTGAACATCATAATGACAGGATCAAATTCACACATAACAATATTAACCTTAAAAGTAAATAGGCTAAATGCCCCAATTAAAAAACAGACTGGCAAATTGGATAAAGAGTCAAGACCCATCGGTGTGCTGTATTCAGGAGACCCAGCTCATGTGCAAACTCACATGTAGGCTCAAAATAAAGGGATGGAGGAAGATCTACCAGGCAAATAGAAAGCAAAAAAAACACAAAAACAAACAAAAAAAACAAACAGTGGTTGCAATCCTAGTATCTGATAAAACAGACTTTAAACCAACAAAGATCAAAAGAGACAAAGAAGGCCAACACATAATGGTAAAGGGATCAATTCAACAAGACGAGCTAACTATCCTAAATATATATGCACCCATTTCAAGAGCACCCAGAGACCCAGGTCTCTAAGCAAATCCTTAGAGACCTACAAAGAGACTTAGACTCCCACACAATAATAATGAGAGACTTTAACACCCCACTGTCAATATTAGACAGATCAATGAGACAGAAGGTTAACAAGGATATCCAGGACTTTGACTCAGCTCTGCAACAAGTAGACCTAATAGACATCTACAGAACTCTCCACCTCAAATCAACAGAATATACATTCTTCTCAGCACCACATCACACTTGTTCTAAAAATGACCACATAATCGGAAGTAAAGCACTCCTCAGCAAATGTAAAAGAATTGATATCACAACAAACTGTCTCTCAGACCACAGTGCAATCAAATTAGAACTCAGGATTAAGAAACTCACTCAAAACCACACAATTACATGGAAACTGAACAGCCTGCTCCTGAATGACTACTGGGTAAATAAGGAAATGAAGGCAGAAATAAAGATGTTTTTTGAATCCAATGAGAACAAAGACACAACATACCAGAATCTCTGGGACACATTTAAAGCAGTGTGTAGAGGGAAATTTATAGCACTAAATGCCCACAAGAGAAGGCAGGAAAGATCTCAAATTGACACCCTAACATCACAATTGAAAGAACTAGAGAAGCAAGAGCAAACACATTCAAAAGCTAGCAGAAGGTAAGAAATAACTAAGATCAGAGCAGAACTGAAAGAGATGGAGACACAAAAAAACCCTTCAAAAAATCAATTAATCCAGGAGCTGATTTTTTGAAAAGATCAAGAAAATTGATAGACCACTAGCAAGACTAATAAAGACGAAAAGAGAGAAGAATCAAATAGACACAATAAAAAATGATAAAGGGGATATCACCACTGATCCCACAGAAATACAAACTACCATCAGAGAATACTATAAACACCTATATGCAAATAAACTAGAAAATCCAGAAGAAATGGATAAATTCCTGGACGCATAGACCCTCCCAAGACTAAACCAGGAAGAAGTTGAATCTCTGAATAGACCAATAACAGGCTCTGAAATTGAGGTAATAATTGATAGCCTACCAACTAAAAAATGTCCAGGACCAGACAGATTCACAGCTGAATTCTACCAGAGGTACAAAGAGGAGCTGGTACCATTCCTTCTGAAACTATTCCAATCAATAGAAAAAGAGGAAATCCTTCCTAACTCATTTTATGAGACCAACATCATCCTGATACCAAAGTCTGGCAGAGACACACCAAATAAAGAGAATTTTAGACCAATCTCCCTGATGAATGTCGATGCAAAAATCCTCAATAAGATACTGGCAAACTGAATCCAGCAGCACATCAAAAAGCTTATCCACCACGATCAAGTCAGCTTCATCCCTGGGATGAAAGGCTGGTTCAACATATGCAAATCAATAAACGTACTCCATCACATAAACAGAACCAATGACAAAAACACCTGATTATCTCAATAGATACAGAAAAGGCCTTCAACAAAATTCAGCAGACCTTCATGCTAAAAACTCTCAATAAATTAGGTATTGATGGAATGTACGTCAAAATAATAAAAGCTATTTATGACAAACCCACAGCCAATATCATACTGAATGGGCAAAACCAGGAAGTATTCCCTTTGAAAACTGGCATAAGACAAGGATGCCCCCTCTCACCACTCCTATTCAACATAGTGTTAGAAGTTCTGGCCAGGGCAATCAGGCAAGGGAAAGAAATAAAGGGTATTCAATTAGGAAAAGAGGAAGTCAAATTGTCCCTGTTTGCAGATGACATGATTGTATATTTAGAAGCTACAGTAACCAAGAGGCTACAGTAACCAAAACAGCATGGTACTGGTACCAAAACAGAGATATAGACCAATGGAATAGGACACAGGCCTCAGAAATAATACCACACATCTACAACCATCTGATCTTTGACAAACCTGAGAAAAACAAGCAATGGGAAAAGGATTCCCTATTTAATAAATGGTGCTGGGAAAACTGGCTAGCCATATGTAGAAAGCTGAAACTGGATCCCTTCCTTACACCTTATACAAAAATTAATTCAAGATGGATCAAAGACTTAAATGTTAGACCTAAAACCATAAAAAAACCTAGAAGATAACCTAGGCAATACCATTCAGGACACAGGCATGGGCAAGGACTTCATGACTAAAACACCAAAAGCAATGGCAACAAAAGCCAAAATTGACAAATGGGATCTAATTAAAGAGCTCTGCACAGCAAAAGAAACTACTATCAGAGTGATCAGGCAACCTACAGAATGGGAGAAAATTTTTACCATCTACTCATCTGACAAAGGGCTAACATCCAGAATCTACAAAGAACTTAAGCAAATTTACAAGAAAAAAAAATCAACCCCATCAACAAGTGGGCAAAAGATATGAACAGACACTTCTAAAAAGAAGACATCTATGCAGCCAACAGACACATGAAAAAATGCTCATCATCACTGGTCATCAGAGAAATGCAAATGAAAACCACAATGAGATACCATCTCACAGTAGTTAGAATAGTAATCATTAAAAAGTCAGGAAACAACAGATGCTGGAGAGGATGTGGAGAAATGGGAACGCTTTTACACTGTTGGTGGGAGTGTAAATTAGTTCAACCATTGTGGAAGACAGTGTGGCGATTCCTCAAGGATCTAGAACTAGAAATACCATTTGACCCAGCAATCCCATTACTGGGTATATACCCAAAGGATTATAAATCATGCTAGTATAAAGACACATGCACACGTATGTTTATTGCGCCACTATTCACAATAGGAAAGACTTGGAACCAACCCAGATGTCCCTCAATGATAGACTGGATTAAGAAAATGTGGCACATGGCCGGTCGCCATGGCTCACGCCTGTAATCTCAGCACTTTGGGAGGCTGAGGCAGGCAGATCACAAGGTCAGGAGATTCAGACCTTCCTGGCTAACATGGTGATACCCTGTCTCTACTAAAAATACAAAAAAAAAAAAAAAAAAAATAGCCAGGCGTGGTGGCAGGTGCCTGTATTCCCAGCTACTTGGGAGGCTGAGGCAGGAGAATGGCATGAACCCAGGAGGTGGAGCTTGCAGTGAGCTGAGATTGCGCCACTGCACTCCAGCCTGGGCAACAGAGCGAAACTCCGTCTCAGAAAAAAAAAAAAGAAAGAAAGAAAATGTGACACATATACACCATGGAATACTATGCAGCCATAAAAAAGTACGAGTTCATGTCCTTTACAGGGACATGGATGAAGCTGGAAACCATCATTCTCAGCAAACTGTCATGAGCACAGAAAGCCAAACACCGCATGTTCTCACTCATATGTGGGAATTGAACAATGAGATCACTTGGACACAGAGTGAGGAACATCACACTGGGGCCTGTTGGGGGGTGGGGGGGCTGGGGGAGGAATAGCATTAGGAGAAATACCTAATGTGAATGATGAATTGATGGGTGCAGCAAACCAATATGGCACACGTATACCTATGTATCAAACCTGCATGTTATGCACATGTACCCTAGAACTTAAAGTATAATAATAATAAAAAAAGAAAATTAACATGAAATCCCAAATACAAAATTAGGCAAGAAAGTGAATATTTATTAAGGTTGAGGGAAAGAAATCATAGCAAGTTATTTAAATATAAAAAAGCTAGAAATATAGAAATCACAAAATATGAAAAATATTTTTATAAATGTATTGCCTGCTATACTTCTATATTATTCCTACATTTTTTGGTTGCCTACTCTTTGATCCCCTTTTCATATTGTAATAATTTTGTGATATCACTCTTTAAAGATATGAGAAAGATAATTCAGTCTTTCCTCTGGTGCGATTGACCAGACCTAAATTTTTGATAGTTGGAACACATAAGATCTTGTGACCTACACAAACATACTCTTATTTGTAGGACTCTTATGGTTTGTGCCTTATCAGAAATTTTATCCTATAAATTTATTTAAAATCATATAAAGTTTTATAAAATATGTAAATTCTATTTTAAGCAATAACCCCCAAAGAAAAAATGTATGATGCATTTATAATTGTATACACCAGCATGTTATCTAGCATATTTTTGATAGGTGAGAACTTACATTTTTATTAGAGATCAATTAGAACAAAATCATCCAGTTGCAAGTTTACATGTTTGGTGGTTGAAAATTTTCCACAGAATAGCTTCTGGTTCTGTACATTGCAATAACCATTTCTCCTTTACTGACTACATACTTCTAGGACTGGGTGCTGTAGAGTACATTCATAATACAACATAGCCACTGTCCTTGCTGGGAGAGTCAGCTGAGTGTGTGGTAGAATCTAGAAGCCATTCCTTCGCTGGCATGGCTGGCAATAGCTTAATTATACACAGAAGTGACTGCAGAATTTATGCACATCCCACTAAACTCTGAGTAAATATATCTGCGACCCTTAGTCTCTTCTGCCCAAAGCTACCCCCAATACCACCCAACATGAGGAAAAGTGAGATGAAGGAAAAGCTGGAATGGAACAAAACAGTTGTCTTAGCCAGTTGTGGTTAAAATCCCTCACTTTAGCAAATATTACGAAAACATATGATCACGTGGACACACTTCTCAGGCCCTCTCAGGGCCTTGGAAGAACCCATACAAGTGAGGGCCCCTGAAGTTTAAGCTTCATTGGCTTCACAGCAATCATTTGTCTTGAGAGAATCATCACCTCACTGTTGAATCTTTTCCAATGGTTAATCAAAGCATTTTGACCTTCCTATCTCGAATGTTTTGACAATTCCTTTAATATTTAACTTTGACTCTTTGACTGCATCCTCAGGAGTCCTCAGTACACACACACAGAAGCCAAGCACATAATTTTACACTGTTTGTGGAATAAAAGAGTAATCATGTCGATATAGTTTTTTTCTTATTGCATTGGTGGAGTGAATAGTTAATATGAATCTACAGCTTATAAAAAGCTATTTGTGTATTAAAAATACATCTATATAAATATATCTAGCCACTCTTGGCTGAAACCCAAGAGCACTACAAGTAAAAACATAAAAAACTCATAGCAAGTAATTTCTAGTTATTATTTTGATTAGTACTCTAGCATACTCACTAGCAAGAGGAGAAATGATGTCCTTGCTCTAGTTATAGTAATCTATGTCTGTCAAGCCTGGGAGTTGCCAGCAAATATTTCAGGAAAATTTCCAGAGCTATTATTAGATATAATACAGACTTTCCTACCTAGTTTTCAGCCATGAGATCTCTGGCAGATGCCTCAGTGATTATAGTGGCAGTAATGCTCGGCATCCCGACACAGATAGCCTGCCCTAGGACCAGCAGCAGCAACTGACTGGGATTTTATAGGGGGAGTTTTTATTTTTATTTTTCAGACACTTCAACACAAGAACAAGGTCATTCTCAATGCCAAAACTTCTAGTTAAGCTTTGACTTTTCCTTATGCATCAAAAGTACTGAGATAGAGAAAAACAAACAACTCCCAAACCCACAGAAAGCCCAGTTACCAAGAAAAAAAAAAAGTCTTTAATTTAGTATTAGGAACTCTGGATATCTAGAATACAGTTTCAAATTGAACATCATCACCACTGAAATCACAGGTAACATTTATTTGGGACTTACTATTCATCAAGCATCGCACCGAATGCCTGCAGTATCCTGATTTTACAGATGAAGAGGACAAGGCAGTGAAAGGATAACAAACTTGACCTGGTTGCAACTAGCAAATGTGGGGTGGGGTGGGGTGGGGACCAGGATTTGCCTTTAGGCAATCTAATCCCAGAGACAGATTGTTAATCACCGCTCCATATTGCCCTGCAGTATTAGTATGCTTGAAAAAACTCTTGATTTTAAAGTTGGAGAGGTAATAATAATTAAAATCTTTGTTAGTACAAGTAAGAAAAATATTTATGCTTTCTCTTTCTTAAGTTTCTAAATAGATCACACGTATGAAGACAACACTGAATTTGGACTGGATTTTCGTATAGCTGGCAATGTAACATTTAGATTTCTTATCACTTAAAAGCAGCATTTATCTGCATATTCAAAACAGATTAAATCAACAACGTTGGAAAAAATTCTTCAATAGACTATATTAAAAAACAAATATGAGAAAAATTGATTATGAAAGATGAATAAATTCGAGAGGTCTTCTGTACAACATTGTACCTATAGTTACAATACTATATTGTGCACTTAAAATTTGTTGAGTGTCGATCTCACATTAAGTGTTCTTATCACAACAAAATCAAATGAAAACAATGACAACAAAACCCCTAAGCCTCTATCAACTTGTTAGAAGAAAAAGGAAGAACTAATTTACAAGTTTATTTTTTAAAAATCTTCTGACTATATGTAGAGAGACAAATATTCTAAGGACAAAAAGAATTTTAAGAATTTTCGAATCTGGCTCAGTAAGTTTGTTCTTGGTAGCAGTCCCGGTGTAGCAAATCTGAAACTATTTCGTGTGTGTTGTAGGACTGAGGAAATAAATAAATATGTTGATATTGTGGTGTACCAGGATTCTTACTTGGGAGAATGGAAATGCAAATATGAAATGTAGACCCAGTAATGCTGAAATGAAATTGAGGGTAGCAGTATAGCAACACTATACCATATGGCTATAATACTGCTGTGTATGTGTGTGTTCATTCTATTATCCACTGAGAGGACCTAGAAGCAAGCCACTCCAGGAGCAATACGCAAACCGACTATCTAGATTTGGGTTTCTGAATACCATTCCCTCCCTACTAAAAGGGACCAGGGATGGGACCAAGTTAGGGCTGAAGTATCTGAATGTACCATGGGGGATGAGCTCAAACTGATGAGAACAAGTTGAAAAGAAACAAGCCAACTCAGAAGGGCTCCTGCTGATGATCACATCTGGCACAATTTGAGTATCAAAATGAAAAATTACAGAAATGGATTATAATACTATTGAATTGGGAAATGGTCAGGGTCAGTGGCTCATGTCTGTAATTCAAACACTTTGGGAGATTAAGGCAGCCTGATTGGTTGAGCTCAGGAATTTGAGACCAGCCTGGGCAACATGACAACAATCCCATCTCTACAAAAAATACAAAAAATTGTTCCAAGAGTGGTGGTATGTGCTTGTAGTCCCAGCTACCCAGAAGGCTGAGGTGGGAGGATCACCTGAGTCCAGAATGTTAAGGTTAAGGCCGCAGTGAGCCAAGATGGTGCCGCTGTACTCCAGTCTGGGGACAGAGTGAGATCCTGCCTCAAAAAAAAAAAAAAAAAAAAAAAGGGGGAGAAAGAAAAGAAAAAAATGAAATGATCAAAAATGGTCAAAGGGTATCAAGGTTTAGTTAGACAGGATGGAGTCCCAGAGATCTATTGTATAGCATGGTGACTACAGTTAATAATAATGTATTATATACTTGAAATTGCTAAAGGAGTAGACTGTAAATCTTTTCACCACAAAAAATAAGTATGTGAGAGTTGATGAATGTGTTAGTGTGATTTAATCATTTCACAATGTATACAGATATCAAAATATAATATTGTACAAGTTACTTGCCAATTATACCTTAATAAATCTGAGAAAAAACAAAATTATCAAGCTAAAAAAGTAATAGTAAAAAAGAAAAAATATATCCATAAGTACACAGTGATTCTAAAAATTTAAGGGTAGAGGAAGGAGGGAAAGCCAGGCAAATGAACTAATACATGTAAAAGTAATGGTAGAAACAGAAAACTAGAATTTCACTATCACATAGTAATAGCCAATTCAGGCAATGATCATCAATGGATGCTAAAACCACTAGGGAAAAATCTGGGAAACAGAATATTCACAAAGTTTCAAAGTATCACTGTGCAGATAATGTTTGAATTTTTAAAAAGTTTCTTTACAATGAAGCAATCATGCAGACACTATCTTTATCTCAACATTGCCAGTAATGAAACACATTGACATCTTACATACTCTGAGAATGACACTGGGAAGGACACAGCATTACCTGTGCAGATAGCCTGCCAAAAATGCTTAATCTTAATCTAATCATGAGGAAAGAATCAAACAAATCCAAAAGGAAGGACATTTTGCAAAACAAATAGCCTAGATTTTTGAAAAATGTAAATGTTATACAGAACAACAACAACAACAAAAGTTGAAGAACTGTTTAGTTTAAAGGAGATCACAAAGACCTGACCATTAAATGTAGAGCGTAATCCTGGATTGGATCCTAGGTTGGAAAACAATTACTTAAATGATATTATTGTAGCAATTGAGGAAATGTGACAAAACGGCAGGCTATATAGTAGTACTCTATCACTACTACTTTATCAATATTCCCAGGTATTTTGCAGAGAATGTTCTTGTTCTTAGGATGTCCATGCTGAAGAATTTGGGAGTGAAGTGTCTTGTTATCTGTAATAATTCTCAAATGATTCAGCATGAGTATATACGCATATTAATGATATATAAATGTATGAACAAAACTATATGAAACATTAATCAACATTCTATAGAGTTCGAGAGAGTAAGAGAACAAATGCAAGTGTGGAAAAACTAATATTTAATAAAGTTATATGAGGGAGTATATGGGTATTTTCTTGTACAATTCTTGCAGTAGGATATGGTTTGAAATTGATCAAAATAAAAAGAAAATTATAATGGAAGCCATTTAAATTCAATTTGAAAATGATGATCAGCAAATTGCTAAGTGGAAAGAATAAGACAACTGCTGCTTTGAAACAGCTTATGGGGAGCAGTGGAATAAACTAATGAACTCAGGAGGTCCCGTTTGGTATTACACTTGGTTAATTGAGTAAAAAACAGAACAACAACAAAAAAAATCTTAAGTAACATATTTTAACGTTAGCCTGAACAATTTTCAGTTTCTTCTTTGTGAACACAATGGTATAATAAACACCACCTATGTCAAACACATGGATCATTTGGCACAAAATTCTTTTCTCCGATTTCCAGTTTCAAAGTTATGAATGTACTTTCTCTCTGAAAAGAGTTATTTTCCCTTAACTTTTATTATGGATCTATTCAGCACAAATTTTCCTAAATCCTCTTTGAATCTTTTTTAGAGGTCTGTATCTACATTATGTCCATAATGTGACCACTGCATAAAAAAGATTCTTTTTATTTGTTATATTTTATTTTCTGACTTAGAACTCCACAGGTTTTTCTTTGTGCTGCTTTACAGAGATTTGATGAACAGGTGTGTTTGGTCCTAGCCATCTGCTATAAAACGTTTTATAGTCTTCAATCATATTCCTTTGTTTTTTTAGCCTGAAGGAACGACATTCTAATCTTTTTAATCAGTCTGGTTATTGCCACTTCAATGTCACCCACTCACTTTTAATTGCCCTTCTCACACCTTCCCCATGCAGTTATATTTTTCTGCAGGCAAAACAACTGAAATAGAACTTATTTCTCCAAGTCTCTTTATACAGGCTAAGGTGCATTTACAGTTTCATTTCCCAGACTCAGATAATTTCTGACAGCTTTGTTTGCAGCTGTACTTCAGCTTGTTAGTTCAAGGGACAAACTGTAGGACTTTTCTTGAAGCAGAAATGGACTCTTGGAAATTACCATTTTATAAATATAAAATATAATTTAGATTTTCTCCCCTAAAAGCATTATGTTTCACATGCATACAACAAAATTGAACCTCTATGGTTCCTAAACATTCAGAATCTACTTATGATACTTTTAATTCTATGACATAACCCTTAAGTAAAAAAAAAATCAATTTACAGCCAACTGGTCCCTGTAGGGAAATCTTACCAGAGCAAATCTTGTTCAGCCCTTGAAGTAGCTGAGCTAAAGGAAGGACGAGCCCTTTTGTCCCAGAAGCCACAGTGTAGAATGGACAATGATCAGAGGCTCTCTTGTGTCCTGAGATGCTTTCGATGAAGGTGGGAAGAAGGTACATCTGTTAATGATTATCTGTTTCCCATTATTCCTTAGCATGTGTGGGAACAACGTGTGGCTCCCTTAGCAGCACTGTCTGTCTCAAGGTTTGATTCAATTTTAATGGGCAAGTTATTAAGCACAGCATCTTGCAAGGGGCTCTGAGAAACCATATGAAACTGACGACTGATTTAGAATGAAATTGAGTTTTCAGAGATATTGAAAACTTTGGTCTGAAAGAAAAAAATGTCTACAATAAAGATAGGTATACTTATAAGCCACACATCCTTAGTACCACAAAATCACAATATTAGAATCTCACGGAATCATTTGGTCTTGTCTTCTACCTTCAGATATTTAAAATAACAGATGTCTTAAGGGAGTAAATGGGAGTCTGTTTTGAAGATCTCTAGGGCATAAGACACATCAGCTTCCCTTCTGATGGTCAATAATGTTCTTCCTCTAGTTTCATTTACATCCTCAAACATGGAGAACAAGTGATCTTCAACTAACTCATACACCTGAAGACATGAATCAAGCCACTCCTTCATCCATGTCCTCTCCTGTCTCAACAACTCCATTCCTCTTTTTTTTCTCATAGAAACTATTTTCTATATTAATCTTAGTTACTCTTGTTCGAACCAGCATGAAGCATAATCTAGCAATTTTGCAAGTGTAGTCTGTAGACCCTGAAGGGTTCCGAGACACCTTCAGAAGTTCTTCAAAGAGAAAACCATTTTCATAATAACACTGTTTTTATTTGTCTTTTTCACTGTTACTATTTGTGCTGATCATACAAAAACAATAGTGTGTAAAACTGCTGGTGCCTTAGGAAGAGTAAAGGCAGAGCTGCCAACCTACTAATAGTTTTTGTCTTTATCACCATATACTTATAATTTTAAACAGAAAAAGAAATTTCTCTTAAGAATGTCCTTGGATAAAGTAGTAAAAATGATTAATTTCATTAAATCTCAACCCTTCAGTAAACCTATTTTGAATATTCTGTGTGGCAAAATGGAAAGTATGCACTAAGTATCTCTGCTGTGTATCATGCGGAAGTATCATGACTGTCTCAACAAAAAGCCCTTGAATGACTGTTTCAGTTGTGAGCTGACCTAGATCCTTTTCTGATAGAACACAATTTTCTCTCAAAACAGTGATTCACAGACAAGCTATGGTTATTAAGATTTGGATATTTGACAGACATTTTCTCAAAAATAAATGAAGTGAATCTATCACTTCAAGGGAAACTATTTTTGTTTTTTTTTGGTCAATTACAACATTCGGACTTTAAAGCAACAAGATTTTGAATAACTAGTATTCACCACAGTGAGCCTGACAACCTCTCAATACTTAAATACATTGATGATGTCAATAATGTGATTGTTTTCAGTATTACATAAGGAAATGTATCAACATTTAGATGATCTGTGTGTTTCAGAAAACCAATATTCTTCAAATGATCAATGCAAGAAATTACAGTATCAAACATAGTTAAAAGATCCATTCAAAATGCAGACAGACCAATGCATTTAATGTAATAAAGTATGAAAATTCACTGAGACAGTTTCAGATTCCAGATTGTTACTGAGGTTTCCAAAAGGACCACTCATCTAGTTCCACTGTGTTATCAAATGGAATGAAATACTGCTCAGCAATAAAAAAGGAATGAACTATTTATACCTGCAAAAACAAGGATGAATCTCAAAGAGTTTGTGCTGAGCAAAAGAGGCCAGTTTCAAAAGGTAGCATACGGTATGATTCCATATATGTAACATTCTGGAAAAGGTAAAACTATAGTGGTGGAGAAGAGCATAGTTGTTGCCAAGGGTGAGGGATGGAGAGACAGTGTAAGTAAGTACAAGGGTATAGGACAAAATAAGTTTTTAGAGTGATGGAACTGTTTGAATTGTGACTGTGGTGGTAGTTTCATGAATCTCTCTCTATATATATGTATCAAAACTCCTAGTTCAAAAAAGTTCATTTTATTGTTTATTAAAAAATGAAAAGAAATCATATAGCACAATGTTAGCTCACAGATGATACTTCAATAAATGTTATGTTTATAAATGTTAAAAACATTCAAAATCCTGCGCACCACTCTAAATCTGCTTAATTTGATTCTCTGAGAAGATTCTACTCTTACAAACAAAACACCCCCCACCCCACAACTATTTTCCCTGACGATACTAAAGTTTAACCATATTTGAGAACTGCTAGTCTGGCAAAAAGAATATGGAATCTGAAATCCTGGAGTTTGCTTCCAGTTTGGCTTCTAACTACTATATAGGAAAGCAGACATAATCCATTCTATCATCACTTCAAAATATCCTAGATATTTTGAAGCTCGCTTTGTTAGTGCCACCAGCATTCGATGAAGGTAATGTTAGCAGTTCACTTGCCTTGAATGATTGCTATCTTCAGCCCCTTGCCAAGGTTTACACCCAATTATCTCATTTAAACCTCAGAACAATCCTACCAGTTAGGTCCTAAACTTTTACTGTCATATAGCTAGATCGCAATCAGACTACAAAATGCATGCACACAGCCACTGTACAAAACATGCTCTGCATCGAAGTTATCAACTTGTTGATATTTACCAAAAATAGATGTAACAGAAAAGCTGCCCTTTGTTATATATTCTATGAGCCACAAATCTTTTAAAACTCAATTTAAGAGAGATATGTATTTCAAACAGTTTCCAGTGAAAGACTTACTCTCATTGTGAAAGTTCAAATCAAGTTGCCAACTTTTCCAAAGATAATTTTGGCAACTTTTTATTCCTATAATTTCCTGAATTATAGGTGGTAGGACTGGGACGTTAGACTAAAATAAAACCTGAAGAAAGTCTCAGCCCATCACCTGATCAAATAAACATGCTCATTACTCACAGACTCCATCACTTGCTGTGTCTCCTTTTTCTTATTTTCCTAAAAAG
The DNA here is from genome assembly GCF_000001405.40 of Homo sapiens. Lineage (NCBI taxonomy): Eukaryota > Metazoa > Chordata > Mammalia > Primates > Hominidae > Homo > Homo sapiens. The sequence continues at coordinate 179,644,811 of NC_000002.12, forward strand.
CATCCCTTTGAGCATCTCTCTGACCACAGTGTGTTTGAAATGGTGATTTCACTTTGTAAAACTTCCTGTCTTACAGTCCCATTTTATATACTTTGTTACATCTCATATAGACCACATAATTTGTTCAAAGTTTGTTATAACCTGTTTTAAAAATGTAACATATATACATACTATAATTTCCCATTATTATTTATTGGCAAGAGATGGCTTTATGCTGAGGCAGTGTCATCCATCTCTAGAACTCTTGTCAGAGAAGGGGTTGTCAGAATTTTAGTGGCAGAGAAGTTTGTGAAAAACATTAAAATACTACAGGTACACTCCAAATTACCACTTTATTAGACTTACAGCAAATGAAAGAAACGTCTAACTTTAATGTGGCTCAGCACGGCAGCTGGAACAAATTCTGTCACTTCCAGGAATCATGTATTGTGACACCCAATCTTACAAAGCAGAACTTTGTAATTTCTGACAGTGTGTTTGAGAAATGTTAAGCCTTCCAGGGCTGGCTCTTAACCCATTTTTATTCCTAATACTGGGGACTGCTGATACAATTAAGCCATCACTGTCAAATAACTATCAATCTGGAAAAACATCCACACATCACAAATCTTTTATGTATTTTGATGTACTTAATAATAAAAAGAACTAATATTGACTGAGGCCTACCTAACAGGCAATATATTATGGGTTTCATTTGCACTATTACATAATGTAATGAGGAAGAATTCTGAGGTGGCCCCTGGGAACCAATTACTCTTAAGACTCGAGCTTTATGGTTCTCCCAATATAGTTCATGAAGACTTACACAGTGCTAAAAGCCTGGAGACTGCTTATGCGATCTAAAGTGCCTTCTCCATCCTCATCTCAGGTCCTAGCTCATGTACCCCTTCCTCTGTGGGGCTTTCTTTCTCATGAGCCCAGCCTGATGCGTGCTCTCCTTTCCTGAAGTCCTATAGGGCAGGGCTCATTGATGGGTCTCAGTTGAGACCTCTAGAATCCAGGCCTGTGCCCTGTTTTCCTGATGGGGATAACGAAGGGCAGGCCTTGTGAAACTGTATTTTTTTTCATGCCCATATGCACTCTTCTCTCTGTAGAGGTCAAAGGTTTTCATCTGATGATGAGAGTGGCTCACAACCCTGGGGAAGTTTAAGAACCACATAGGGTATAATCTGTCTCCTTCTTTCCATTGCCATCCCCACCTCAAGCCAGCTTCTTCCCCCAAACACTGTAATGATCTCTAGCTGGCTCTCCTGCCTTTGACTACCTCTCCTGAATTCCATCCTCCACAATGCTGCCAGAGTGATCTTTTAAAACCTAAACCTGGCTGAGTGTGGTGGCTCATGCCTGTAATCCCAGCACTTTGGGAGGCCGAGGCGGGCAGATCACCTGAGGTCAGTAGTTCAAGACCAGCCTGGCCAACATGGTGAAAGCCCATCTCTACTAAAAGTACAAAAATTAGCTGGATATGGTGGCAGGCACCTGGAAACCCAGCTACTCAGCAGGCTGAGGCAAAATAGCTTGAACCTGGGAGGCAGAGGTTGCAGTGAGCCGAGATTGCGCCACTGCAATCCAGCGTGGATGACAAGAACGAGACTACGTCTCAAAAAACAAACAAACAAATAAGCAAAAAACCCTGAACCTGATGTCATACTTCTCTGTATCCTGTTACCTACTTAACAGTATTTTGAGCACAGGAGGTGCTCATTAATATCCACTGAATAAGTGAATGAATAAATGAGCTCCTGCTGACAGCCTGAGCCCTCAGCCCAGGGCCCAAAATAAATCTCCCTGACTTGCTGCCTGTAAAACCTTCAGGTTCTCTGAGCCTACGGGCTTGGCACTTTATTTGGTGTAATGAAAGACACTTTAACATGCCAAATTAAAATCGTAGCCTACAATTTGCAAAGTGAGTACATTTATAAAAATGTGCTCCTAGTTTAAATGTCATGAATAAACAGATTACAATCAGGTCAATAGGTATGTGATTTTTGAATTTGCTTAAAATGGCAAGAGTGTCCTACTCTGGGGAAAATTTTCTGTGATCTATTGCATGAATAAATTTATAAACTATTTAATATGCAATCAGAGACATAGATAAAGCTATAACCCATGAGCAGCAAACTTTTAGGGATTAAAATTTCATACAAACATTACTTTTTGTTATCAGTGTCAGATGTCACAGCTTTGACTTTTAGACAGACAGAAACAGACTGCCTGCCCTCCGGGTCAGGCTGACACAAACTCACCCAGCAGCACAAACCTCCCACACCATGTATTATCTATATGTGAATAGAACACCCAACAGCTGCAAACTTCTATTGCAGTCTGCAGCATTCCCCAGATACAATTGCCTATGTTCCATAGTTAGCATGAAAGAATCTAACAAACCTTAATGTGGCTAAAGTTGTCACTATACTATCTGGGAACTCTCAAATTCCCTGAGCCCTGAAGTTCCTTTAATCTTTTTTTTTTGATACATAATATTTGCACATATTTATGTGGTACATCAACATTTTGTTACATGCATATAACAAAATCAAACCATGCTATGGATGCCCTGAAGTGTCCAGCCCATTGCTACTTAGAGCTGTCTAGAGCCCTCCTACCCAACCCCGGCCATATGCCTCTATACCATACTGCTGAGTCCTGGTCCTGAGTCTGACCAGGAGATCACTGAGCTCTAAATAAGTAAGAAGTGACAAAAGAGGACCACAGTCTCCTGCGTTAGTGAATATGGTATTGGAATGAGGTTTCCCTTAATAGCAGCTATACCAGAAACAAAAAGAGCAGGTATGTGGCTAGGAGTTCCCAGGGATAGGGGAAACCAGGAGAAGATATTCAAGTATACAGAATGTTCCTATAGGGTTCATAAGTTAAGGACTACCTACATTAAAAAGGCAAAACATACACTAACAACATCACTAATCACTGATTACTCTCACTGTGGGGAGAGAAAGAGACTCAGAAAAGAGAGATGAGGTGGTCTAAGCCACTTTTTTTATTCCTCCTTTATCATTATTCAAATTAAAATACTGGCAGACAATGATCTTATAGGAATTCACTCTCTCCTTAATTTTCTTGAGCAATTCCTTTCTAAAGTTATTAGATGAAACAGAGCAAGGTATAGTCTGCTTCACCATGGGGGTGGGGGACCCTTGGGGACTTAGAAAAGGGGGGTCAGAACAGAACAGAGAAAGGTGACTGTGGCAGAGCAGTGCCCAGCATGGGGAGTCAGGGCCTCCAGAGGACAATGAAAGTATCCACACATGGGGGCAACCCGAGTGGAGTGAGGAGGATGTCCATGCTAGGGGGTGGGACTCAGCTTGCCATGGGGTATTGGTGCATGGGTGGAATAGAGAGGACTTCCACATGGGGGTAGAAGAGTAGGGTGCTGGCAGCCCCATGTGGTGTGTCAGAGCCCAGTTGGGATGAGGAGGCATCTAATAAGGAAAGGTGGCAGTGGCAACGAGAGATGGTTACATAGGGGTGTTGATCAATTTCATAAATATATTAGGATAATGAGAACCAGCTTCTCAATCTTGGAGAAGTTATAAATAGGGAAAGGGAGAAAATAAGAGTATACTCTGTGGTGTCAGATTGGAGGTATCAGTGTAAAGTCATGGTTTTCAACATACACTGACAGATATAAATGGATGCACATGTGCACATGTTTGTGTATGTGCATGCACATATATACGTTTGCTCCGAGCACTGGCCACTAAGAAGGTTTGAGAGCAGCAACACCCCCGAAAACACCCAAATCTTGGTTTCCAAATACTACCCTCCATTACAAACAACCAGGACTTCTTAGAGAAAGGCTGACATCAGGGCTGGGATAAGGAAAGTACAAAATGAGCCTGAAATGTCTTACTGTGAACAGATAGCAAGGAAGTGCTCAAAAAATGACAAGGCTCCTGAGTCAAAAGGACACAGGAGGCAGCTTGAAGGAACTCCCTCTGGCCCAATCTGGGAAAATTTGCACATCAAAATAATTGATGATAGTAAGGGGTTATAACTCATTGAATAAAACAGGAAGCCATCATCCATATGGATAGAAATAAATGAGTAAATGGAAAGTTTGACAAAGAATGAGATATTCATAAGGTTTCAAATACCTCTGCATAAAATGCTTATTAATTATAAAGGATGAAAAGATTATGGTAGAAAAGCCTGGAAAATATGAGCTTTAACAAGGGACCAAAGTGAACATTATCAGTAATGGGAGAAATTAAAATTACCTGAGATCTGATAGGATATAGTAAAAGGAATATAGCATCATTTTCATGATATTCCTACCAAAGATACACAACCTGAAGTCAATCAAGAGGAAACAGCAGGAAACACAAACTGGGCAGTAATTTTCAAGAGTCAAGATCATGAAAATTAAAAAACAACAACACCACAGAACAAAATGCAGAGGAATTTTCCAGACTAAAGAAGGCTGGATAGGCATGACAATGACACATAATCAGTGATTTTGAAATGGATTCTATATCTATCTATATTAGGGCAAATGCCAAAACCTGAATGAGGTCTGAGGATTGGGTATAGGATGTATCTATGTCTATTTTGATGATTGTTTTAGTAGTTGTATAGGAGATTGTCTTGCTTATAAAAAATCCATACCACAGCGCTCCAGGGTGATAGGGTAACTCACTTAGAAAAGAAAAAGCTTATTGGTTCTATATTGCAGATTTTCTGTAATTTTGAGATCGTTTCAAAATTTTAAAATTATCTTATGGGGTAAATATGTCATACTATGAAAAAGGCTACAAGATGATACACCAGATATAGTACTAAGTAAAAATATAAAGGTGCAGAATATATCATATAATACAATTTGTGTGCATGTATATATGTTTGCATGTTGTGTGTTTTTAGTTTTGATTTATTTTGTTTTACTCTGAAACAAAGCACAAAATCCATTAGCAAAATTTATTTGGGGAAATAAGCATTGGAGGTTTGGGGAAGAGAAAAGAAAGTTTTGCTTTTTGTTACATTTCTTTCTAGATTCTTAAGTTTTACCATGTTACATTTTGCTTTAATTTGAAAAAAAAAGTAATGTTAAGTTTAATAAAATAAATTCAGTACAAAATACATTTTAAGAACATAATTCTAATCATAAGACCTGTTTACGTTTCCCAGTATTAGCACCCTTCCTTTTCCTGCTGTCCACTTTGCTAAGAGAAAAGAAATGTCATGCCTGGAGACCCAGTGCTCAGCACAGAGCCTGGCACAAGGCGGGCAATAATGACATATGGTTAAATAAATGCATAAGCCAGTACCTCATATACATAGCCAGTTCACAAATGTGTGATTTCAACATTTTTGAAGCACCTACCTGTGTTTACTGTCATGTATGTAACATGTAGACTACACTCAAAACAGTTCTCTAGGAGATTCTAGAACACTAAACAAGTAGAGTGAGAGATTTCACCTGGAAAGATTTGGTATATATATACATATTTTGGGAAAGGATGCATGTGTTTGAAGTAGGAGAAAAGGAAATAAATTCTAATTTACATTTAGTTCCATTATATCAAAGCTTCATGTTCAGGACACTGGTCCATGGAGAATGTTTCCTTGATAAATAAGGTTTATTCAGAGGAAATCACAAAAATAGGTATGTATGAGAGAAAGTGACATACATTATTCAAGATAAGGGATACTTGGAGACAAATAAAAGCCCAAGTAAAAGATACTATGAAATGCTGAAAGGATAACATGATATCCTTCATGCTTGAGCTTAGTGCAAAGGCTGTAGGGTTTTATTGTTGAAAGATGAATCCTGTAACAAGCTGTCATGTGGAGAGTGGCACTGTGCCTTTGGCAGTCATTTGGTTATATCAGTAACTCACATCTATTCCATACAGGATAGATATTTCATTGCCTTTATCAGAAGTAGAAGAAAAGCAAATCAATAAGGTAGGGCAGTGAGAAACCAAGAAACAAAAGTCTTTTGTGTTTATCTATACAACATTATGAATTTTCTTTGATTCAATGTGTCACAGCACAAGACTTGGCTGACTGATAGGTAATCCTTTCCCTGCCTTACCAGACAGTTAAGACGCATTAAATCCACTAGACAATTGATACAATCATACCCTATTACAATGTAAGAATTTATTAAGGTAAAATATCATAATAGTTATCATTAGCATCAAAATGGCAAACATTTGGAAACAATGCCTTTTGAGTCCCCTGTGCCGCTGGTATTACTCGAAGAAAGGACATGACTTACCTTAACTGCATAATGTAAGAGACAGACATAGAATTGTTTAAATAATTCTGACTTCAATGTCTTCAGAATACATGTTTTCTCCCAAGATTTTTTTTTTTAACCACGTAAGGAAAATCTGGCAAAAGGGTAAAATCACACAAGTTGCCTTCAAATTAGGTAACTGACACAGGATACACTTATTTTTCAATACTGTATATGCTATATTTTGAAACAAAATGTTCAATAATATATTTTCAGGTGAGGGATCAATAAACGTAAAGCAGTGCATTCATTCAATGGTTCATCTGAAAAAGAAAGTTGATCAACAAACACTAAGAATGTCCAAAAAGTCCAGAAACAGGAAAAATAAGATATTTGTTTCACTTTTTTAGATTAATAATTTGACAAATGGCTTTACATTTAAAGGTCCTTCACTGGAAAAGCTGTCTGGAGACAAAAGAAAACACACCACGCATAATATTTTAAAATATAACCAACATACTATATAAAAATAAGTTTACACTGTTTCCCAGTTACTTGAATAGACTGTACATTCTACAGTATATAAACACTCAACCTCGTTCACTACAAATAAAAATATTTTAAAAATAAAACCCCAAATTCCAATAAGACAGTCCCCGAGACTGATTTTTATGAGAACCTCCAAATATGGATCTGTAAGTGGATGAGGAGAATCTGAATGTTGCCTTGCAGAGACCTCCTTGGTGTCTGAGTACTAAACCATCTGTATGATGAGCTGGTGTTAACAAAGTCAGAGCTAAGGTATGAATCCAGTCTCTGTGGATGTTGTGGTGAACCTGAAGAAGATAGTGCTCCTAACGGAAAATGGCTAAGATTCATTTCCCTTATCTTTATCAGGGACACCTTTTCTCCAGAAAACAACGGAACGGAAAAGAGAATCAAAAAGTCATTTAGAGAAGACAGAAAGAGCCAAATTGTGTGCCAAAACTGTACTGCCAGAGAAAATTTTTAGTCCCAGATTAAAAAACAGAACTGAGCTCCATTTTTAATATGTCAGAGGATCAGCAAACTCTTGTCTAGACAAAGCATTTTAAGATATAGATTTGGAAACATGACAAGAGCTATTTCCTAAGTAGCTATAAAGAGTCCATAGCTACCGTTAAGATACACAAATAATGCTATTATCAGGAAAACTTTTTCATGATGTGGTTTCATTTTTCACAGTTTCAATGAGTATGGTTCTAAAGTATAGGCTATAGGACGAATAAAAAGTATACATCCAATGATGTCTAAAAACATACTTTCTTCTGACCTCCCTAATTCACAGTCACATAGTTTATCCCAAACAGTGTTAACACTGTGACTGAATTGTTCTGTGTGTATGTCAAGGAGTTGAACAGTTTGTGCCAATGGATTCTGGGAAACCCTGCTTTTTACAAGTGAGTACTTACGGGATTCCCATTAAATAAAAGCACACATTACTAGCAGTGAGTCTTTAAACTGCTCGTCTGAGCAGCCAGGAAATTGGGTGTTATGGTTATTACCATAACTCTCAGTCACCCTCATCCAAAACAATGGAATCATTTGCTAGTCCCTTGCTCTTGACACTTTGCCATTGTAGTTATTTGCATATCTGCTTTTAGCTAGATGAGCAGAACCCTAAACCCTAAGATATTTTACTAATTTATCAATTTCTACATATACTAACCATAGTAGATGATCAGAAGTAATTTTTTGAATGAATGAATGACAACGATACATAATAGAGTACTATAAATAAATACCTTACCTATTGATTTGGTCATCTCAATTGTTTAGAATTGAGCAAAGCACCAAAAAAAAAAAAAAATCATCAGAAGATTAAGGATTTCTAGAAGAGTCTCTGAGTTCTTAAAGTCTTAGTTTAGGCAGGGAAAAAAAAATTGAGACGTAAACTGCTTAAGGACAGGGTTCTTTCCTGCTTCGTTCACTTTGATATCCTTGGGGCCTTCCTAACATTGTATTTAGCCCATAATATATGCTCAATAAAAATTTTTTAAGTAATTGACTAAAGTAATGGTTATCTCTGTTCTAAATGCATAGAAGAACGAAAACAGTTGAGTTCAGAACTAGGAGCTGGTGCTGCTATAGACAGGTTCATGGCTGGCTGTGACACATGCCAGCTGATTGATGTCATAGAACATCAGGAGACCATCAAAAAGCATATCAAAATGCAAAAGGACAAGTTGGGACCATTTCTTTCAGGAGCCAATAGATCTCCCTCACTAGACCCCGTGCACTACTGCTGCACAGAAGAAGAGAGAAGTCAGGGTATTTCTTTTGAGTTCCTTCTGTGCCTGCATTCTGGCAATGGCCTCTCTCTAGAAGAACAGCTCTTGTTGAGTAGTTTCTATACAGCCTCCAGTTTCAGCTCTTAATAAACTTAGGCAACTCCATTACCTCCCCTTCCTTTTCAGGAATGGGGAGACTTATGGCGGGTTAATAAGTACCTTAACATCAGCTACTCACTCCCCTAAACCTGTCCACATCTCTGTAAGTAGGTCCTTAAATTCTAATTGAAAATCTGGCTGTTTATGCCTTCAGTGTTCAGTCAAAACTCTGACTGATACCACATACAATAGAATCAGGTCCTGCTACTTTATAAGAGACATAGAACCAATATAGCAGGAACAAATCAATTATCAAGCCATCTATTTCCTTCTACCACACTGAAGTACCCTAAAAGGCCTGAGACAGTTGTAAAGGAGAAAAAAAGGACAACGAGCAGCAGTGACAAGTGTTCACTCATTTAACAATACCCCAGCTAGCGAACAAACTCAGACGAGCCAGTGCCTTCCCCACACTAGCCAAGGCCACTTTAATCTTTCTAAAGGAATGAAAAATAGTTGACAATGTTTCTCCAAATTATTTTGAAATATTTCCAGAGAAAGACATAGAGATGCACAATGGTAAGGAGAAACAAAAACAGTTTTAATAGAGAAGGGTTATGGGTCTGCCTCAATTAATTTTTTAGTATATTTCACAGGAGGAAAGACCTTGGATTTGGTGACAGAGGTGCAAACAGAATCAACGGATGGATTTAGGATCATTCTCCTAAATCACCAACATCACTTATTTCTCACCAATGGCACTGAATCTTAACCTAAAGGGAGATCCCATGTGAAAAGGTTGTCCTTGTTTAAAATATCCTGTGTATTGTACACAGGTATACCGTGTCTCCAACATGACAGGATCATGGAAGCCAAGAAGGCAGAAGTGGAATTGCAAAAATAGAGTAAAACATTAAGAAGTTTCATAAAAGAAGTGACCCAATGGTTAGAAGGAGTCTTGAGAAGCCAGGATGAAAACTTAGGTCTCCTATTTCCTATCCCCCTACCCCCTTCGAGTGCAGGAGGATAGGAGCCTGTCACATGGGCCAGGGCTCTTGTCCAGCCTACTACGTAGGAACAGAGGGAAGCAGAATAAATGTTTGGAAAGAAGACTGTATTTTAATTCAAAAATTCCTAGATAAGACATCTTGATTAGGTCACTTTCCCTGTCTTAACTAAAATAAATAGGAATGAAGAATACCATATTAATTCTTCATGATACTTTAGTTCCAAGTTCAAGTATGTGAACATCATTCTAACCTCTTGGGGATGGCACTTTTAGATTTCCAGGTTTGGGGAAATTATTTCACTGGGAGGTTCTCAAAGGAGCTCTATTTCAAATATCTGCTAAAACATTTGCCTCTTACTGTCTTAAAAACTCAGATTCTTTCATTGAAATGGCATTAAGTAAACTTAAGACAATGCTACATGGATTAGAGACTACCTATAGTGCACCCAACTTGCAGGATGTCATTTAGTATGCGTGTATTCTTAACCCAACTTGCAGCCTAATGGCTTTTTAAAGTCAAAACTTCCATAGTCCTTTTGCAGTATGATTTTTGAGGCATATGGAGACAGAATCTGAGCCAATATATTTTATTCCAAATGAGGCTCTTTGATTTCTCACATGCTTTTGAAATGTGATGTTTGTCTACCCTGGAAAACTCTGCCGTTTCAACTCTCTGGAAAGCTAGGAAAGGTTTTGAATAATTGTATCATGGGTAGTTTTTGGATTCCACTACTTGTGGGCTACTTCTGCTGGATAAATGTGTTGCCTACATACAGTATTCTCTTAACCCTGCTTCTCAAAATCCTATATTTTCTGTTGTCAAGTCAAGAATTACAAAGCCACACTTTGGCATGGAGAATACTACTCTACAGTTACTCATCCTTAATGACCTGTAGTACAGAAAAGTGAAAACATTGTGGAGGAGATAAATTACCAAAATAGAAGATAAGCTGAAAAGGCAATGGAAAATATATCATACATATCAAAGTTGCTCATTTATGCTATTTTGCCATAACAATGCATACAACTGAAGCACTTCCCTTCTCCATTGGAGTTTTGTCTCTAGAGGTATTAAATATTAATCTTATAAAGAAAAGAAAGCAAAAAAAAAAAACCCTGAACACATGTTAATAGGTTAGGGTTTTAAGAGCAAATCACAAAAGCAGAATAAGTACTTGGAGGAAAAAAACAGGAAGAGAGAGAAAGAGGGAGAGAGAGAGAGAGGTGGGGTAAATTGTGGACCCTCCTTTTAAAGAAACAAAATTTTCCACAGAGTTGCATTAATACTTAAATTGGACTAACTCCATGTGAATCCTCGTAAGAAATACTATTTCCTTTCAATTAACTCATCTATCCTACAATTACATGTCATGAAATCTAAAGGCAAATATGTTTACCCAGTAAGGGAATAACATTCGAGGCAAAAGTGATGTCACAAACAGATGGGAATTCCAAGTAATACTGAGTCATGGTTCTAGGGGAATAAAACAATTACTTTACAGCTCAGTGCAATGTAGTATTTAAAGAAAAGGTATTTCAATAGAATAGCCCAGACAATTATTCAACATTTAACAGAGATTATATTAGTCTAGATATGTTAATTTGGATTTTATTCTGTTTTTTATTTATGTTAATAGGTTTGGTTACTGGTTTAAAGAAATATTAGAAGTTTATCTTTTATTTTTACAAATAGATTAACATTTGTCTTAGAGGGAGTTCTGCCCTTCATGGATAATACCTTTACCTGCTAAATCTAGATTTCTTTTTCTATAGTAAGTTTTAAACCAGTAATTGATGTAAAAAGATGCAACAAATAAAATTATAGCTACTAATGGGCATGTATTTATTATACAGTAGGCAATTTGCAGAAAGTTTTATGTATATTATTTTTATTAATCTTTATGACATTGGAATTCCATCAGGTAGGCATTTTGATTCCCAAGTAAACTAAAGAGAAGAAAACTGAGGCTTAAAGAGGGTAAGTGATTTGCCAAGGGTCACAGAACAAGTAAGAGGTACAGCTGGATTCAAATTTAAGTATATCTTGTCCTCAAGTCTTTCCTCTTTATTTCCTACTAAAACTAAAAAGGGTAATGGCACAGCAGCTAATCATATTTGATGTATTAAAACATAAATACTGGTGTCAAATATAAGTACTAAATCAGGCATCAGTTCCTTCCTACTAAAAACATTAAAAAACAATTCAGCAAAAATTCGTACTCTGCAGGATCATAGAGTGCTTTGATACCCTCATCTACAGCAGTGTTTCTCAACCTTTTTATTCATTGTTGCTCTCCTAAGGGACCTTCTTAGACATTTTTTTCATACTTGTCTCCCAAGAAATTTTAATACTATAGATATACCATATATCTATGTACCATATGTATATCTGTGCTCATACATAAAAAGAATAAGTTTTTGCTCCTTAGAATAATTTTTTTGCCCTTTGGGAGCAATGAATATGTATGATTTAGATATTATACCTCTATGTTTCTCCAAAACCTTTCAAGTCACTCTTATTGCTTACAATTGTATGGGCTTAGAGCTTTAGATTTTTAGCTTAAAGTTTTTCAGTGTGTTAAAATGCAAATATATAGAAAACGTTGATGAACCACAACAAGCCATTTGTATCCTGGTGTAAAATAGAAGCTCAGAAAGCCAGTTTGATAAGGGAAAGGAGAAGAATGGGAGGTCACTCTGTATTGGGGCAGGGAAGGGGAAGAGCGGAGAGCCTCTGGTGTTGAAATGCCTGCGTCACAACTGTACTTCAGTCCAGTCCCGTTGAACATATTAACACAAGTATTTGAAGAAAAGATGCTAGCTCCTATTCATGATGAACAAGAAAACTTAGTCATAAGCCACCTTAGTGGCCATCACCCTATTATTGTGTAAATATTAGGTTTCCTGCTTGTAAAGAATTTGCTGTTTGGTTCCTTTCAGGCCTGTTTGCGTGTTCCCAACTGCTATGTGGCCAAGAATAAGTAAGTTTATGTAACGTTCCAAAGAAACTGCTCAAAACCGTGGCTCATTTTAACTAAGATATGAATAGAAGGCAGAAATGAATTCACAAACACTTCTTTCACATGCACTGCAAAATATAACTTTTTACTCCTCCAGGCCAAAATGGTCTTAACCATTGAAGTAATTATAGCTCACAACTATAATTTAAAGTTAGATCTGGTTGATTCTAAATTCACACAGGAAAATAATTCACTCATCTTACTGGAACATTGACGTAAATAACTTTATAAAACCCATACAGTTTCAGCAATCCTAGAAAGTGTTGTGAATCCAAATAGAAACAGTTGATAAATTAATAAGACAGTTGATAAAATAATTTAGTAAGACAACAATAATTGTCTACCATTTATTGGTTAAAGTATTATGCTTGACACTTTATAAATATTACCTATTTAATCGTTACAGCAATCTTTAATATTGGTATCCTTATTTACAAAGAAAATGAGTGCAGAAAGGACAAGTAGTTTTCGTGAAACCACTTGGAAGTGGAGGAGAAGGGTTTTGAACTCCCATCATCTCAAGCTCATGCTTTGCCATCTCACCACAGTGAAATGATGGAAAACTCAAGTCTGCAAACCTTAAATTTTCAATCAAAGGGAGGAAACCTTGGGCAAATGAAGAGGTCATGGATATGATATGAAAATATTTTATGATTTTGCATGTGAGAAGCTACTGCATAGATGAATTCAACTGCAGGATCCCTTTTAAAAAATATGTATCTTCAAGGTGGGTATTGGTCAGAATTTTCTTTGAAGGTCATGAAACAGCATGTCTCAGGACCTTGGTAAATGATAAACAAAATGGTGAACACTTCACACAAGCGTAGGTGCTCTTTCCAGAGGCAGGGATCATTCTCCTAAATCACCAACATCACTTATTTCCCCACCAATGGCACTGAACCTTATGACCTAAAGGGAGTTTCCATGTGAAAAGACTGTCCTTGTTTAAAATCTCCAATGCATTTTACACAGGTATACAGTGTTGCCAATATCACAGGATAATGGAAGCCAAGAAGGCAGAAGTGGATTTGCAAAAATAGAGTAAAACTTTAAGAAATCATTTCATACAGGAAATGACCCAATGGTTAGAAGCAGTCTTGAGGAGCCACGATGAAAACCTGGGTCTCCTATTTCCTAGACTAGTACTCTTCTTTACTTATAATACTGTTACCAAGTAGAATAGTGGGCTTGAAATTAAGGCAAAACTTGAACTGCAAATACATAATCAATTATAGACTTTCTCTGTGCAGATTGACCTAATATGTTAATTACTTAAATACACTGAAAAGTAAAAGTATCATTTAAGCTACTAATATAGTTATGTTTACTATATCCCCAATAGGTTATCAAACATTCCTTAAAATAGTTACATTCTTATTTTTTTTTGAGATGGGGTTTCACTCGTTTCCCAGGCTGGAGTGCAGTGGCGCAATCTCAGCTCACCGCAACTTTCGCCTCCCCGCTTCAAGTGATTCTCTTGCTTCAGCCTCCTGAGTAGCTGGGATTACAGGCACATACCACCACAGCCAGCTAATTTTTGTATTTTAGTAGAGATGGGGCTTCACCATGTTGGCCAGGCTGGTCTTGAACTCCTGACCTCAGGTGATCCGCCTGCCTCAGCCTCTCCAAGTGCTGGGATTGCAGGCGCGAGCCACCATGCCTGGCCAAAATAGTGACATTCTTTATACCTCCAAAATAAAGACTGAAATTGTTCTCACACATGAGGTAGTGTTCACAACTGTTCGAAGTATAATCACTGCAATAAAATATATTTTCACCTAAATTTCCTGGAGATTTCAGATATCTGTTTAGCCTTTATTAACTGGAAAATTCCTCAACTCAATGTGTACTTACCAATAGATTCTCTTACGAAAATGTTTGTTTTCCAAATAAATAATCCAAGCCCTAAAATTTCACTAGTATTTTACAATATTAACTTGATAGTAAAAGAAGCATTTTATCAATGAAGCATTTTTAAAACATTTATATATTTTCCAATGAAATTCTTATTATGCTCTTTTATAAAATGAGAAAGCTTCCTATATCATCTTCTTTGAAAGGTTTGTCAGATTTCTATTAAGACTAATGCATGCAAATGTTATATTTAAAAATATTTTATATTGTATAATATACAATTATGAATATTACTAAAAATATACAGCATATTAAAATTTTACCTTTTCATTGTTCCACTACTTGAAACTAATTTTAAAACTGACAATCTAGGGATTTCCATTTATCTTAAGTATTATAATAATCACATAGAACCAGTCCTTTTTAGAATACGTATCAGAGCATTTAACAACATATAGACGTCCAAAATATTTTAAACAAGAAGTTGTGCTAACACTTAGATCATGAAGACTCTATTGTCTTTAACAACTACTGATTAAACCCAAAAATGTTATGCTGATTTTAATGGAACTAAAAAATACAGGTCAAATACTGATCATGACTGCTTCTTTAACTTATATACACATTTCCAAGATTATTCTAAATTGCCAAACCTTGTCACCTAAAAATCTAGTAGGACAAATAATACTAAACACAACATTGCCCAGCACTGTATGAAATCTGTATAACTCTGGAAAATTACAACAAAAGCCAAATATGTATATCTCCTATCATTTTAAAACAAATCAACATTTGTAAATTATGCTACTTACCAAGAAGCATGTTTCTTAGCAATAGTTAAGTCAGCCGGTCTATAATTTCTGTATAATAAATGTATCAGGAGCTGAGAGGTACATTAACCTGCCACCGGTTTTATTGCAGATTGAGTGTGAGCCTTCACAAACTCCTCCTTGTATCTTAAGTCTGCTGGAGTACTGGCCTGACTCCACTCACTCACTGTGTACTTCGTTTGAAACTAACAAACAATACAGTGACTGTCAGTAGATGTTGCCTCCTCAGTCTACAGAGCCAACAAAAATTATGGAAAAGTAAGTTACTTCACTGGAGTTTGAGATGTAAATTCTGAATTGATCATGCTGTTTCTTTAAAATTCCCAAGTAAAATTTTCTACTCAATTCACAAAGTATTTTTAAAATACTTGCTTTATTTTTATTTCTTCTGTTTTCCATTCCACTAATATTTGCTTATCTTTATTAATGTCTGCTTCCAAGTTCTTTTACTTTGATAAACTTTTTCCAGTTTTTATGATGCATCTTATCTCACCAATGATAAGAAAATACAGATATATTTATTATTCGGTGCTATGAGCTTGAACCTCCAATGATATTTCAGTTTCATGATGGATTGTTTGTTTGACTCCAATACAAAGATAATTATTTCTGAAATAGGCTTCTCCTGAGAGAAGAACAAGCCTTACAGTTACAGGCATGTGTATTAACAATTTTTAAAAAAGAAAATTTGTCTGGGCCCAAAAGAAGAATACATAGCATGCAAGCCAGCACTAAAGCCAATGAGATGAATGTGATTTCTGAGACTATGTTTTCTAAAATAGAAAATAAAATGACATGCACAAATATTAGCATATTTTAGCAATTGTTTTTATATTATCCTCCAATAGATACTATCTTTTACTTGTTATAATGACAGAGTACAGCAGTTTAGCTTCCCAGAGTCCTAATAGTGAAGTTTTATCGGTACTTGTTCATATTTCTATATTTCTCTATTCCTTAATTTGGAGATTCAATGTTAACATGACTAGTTACTTTTATTTTGGTTAAAGCAAGGTTAAAAAGTTAAAAATAGGAAAACTGAGGGAAAGAAAGTTTCAGAAAACTGTAAAAGGGAAATGAATCTAAGTTGGTAAAAGGAAAATGGGGAAGGACTATGAAAACAGGATAATTTAAAGCAAAGGGAACAAAGAAAGAGAAATGGCTAAGGATGACAATTACAAAAGAGACCAAGGCCTATTTTTGCCATTATGAAATTCAGGCCTCTTGCATATTCAATAGATACATCAAATATATGTATATTCCCTGGTTCTGAGGCCTTGAACTTGAACTGAGCCATGCCACTAGCATCCTGGGTCTCCAGCTTGCAGACAGCCTGTCATAGACTTCTCAGCCTCTATAATTGTTGAGCCAATTCCCTTAATCCCCCTCATATATCTATATCTGATATCTACATCTATATCTTATTGATTCTGTATCTCTGGAGAACCCTGTCTAATATACCAGGTGATGCTGGTATTACTTGTCCTGGGACTACACTTTGAGAACCATTGCTCTACCTTATTAGGTTACCCTAACATCTAGGATGAGGATAATATCCATTATAAATTGTTTTATTGCCATATTAATTAGAATCTAAGACTTTTCAAACACATTTTCACAGCTCTAAATCAGTGTGCATCCATAATCATTTGCGTCTTATAATAACTACCCACAAGGAAGTATTCACGACTGTGGTGGTCAATATCAGTGTGTGCATGAACTTGTGTCATAGCTGTTCATATTGTTCCCTCAGTTGAGTGATATCATTTTTGAATCACATAAATGACATCACTTTTGAGTCATATACCATGTATTGAGTTTAATTGCCATTTAAAAATGGTTTTGAAAATTTACACTTAAAAAGAAGTACTATGATTTGGCATTAAAGTCACTTTTTAAAAACCACTGTGATTTGGCTTTAATAATAAAAGTCATTAAATACTAAGCCAGCATATAAACAGGTGTGGGATATAGATTTGTTATTAGTGAAGCAGATGTTCATTATTGGAGGAATTACAGCAGTTTCAGATTGTCTTGCAAAGTAGCAATCCATTGCATGAAAGGACAGGAGAAAGGTAACCACAAGTGGAGGAAGCTGTGGTATATACAAAAGTTTGCCTATCACAGGCCCAGCAATGCAGCTAACTGAAGGCAGAAGAAATTGCTAATCCTTCTGAATAGAAATATCAAAAAGATAAGTGGCTGGTGTGAATAACAGATCCAGAGGGGCTTTTTTAAACGTCTGTGTTATAGTTTATGGGTAATTTTTTTTTTTTTTTTTTGGTGGGCAGTGGGTACTTCTTGCCTCTAGAACTTTGAAACAATACATTTCTGTTGTTTAAGGCATTCAGTCTGTGGTACTTTATTACCACAGCCTTAGCAAACTAATACAGCATCTTTACCAGGCGCTTGATATTAAGTATATGCTAATTTCATAAAAGGAAATGGAGAACTGAGCATCCGGCTCTTTCTCTAACAAGTTTGAATAGCAGTAGGATTATCTGTTTTTGGAAGGTTAGATGGAACTGGGATGTTTTCCATTTGTACTCTCCTTAATTCTTCCTTAATCAGGTTGGCCATGGATGTCTATTTAAGTGAATCCCCCCCAAAAGAATCAGCTGCTTTTTAAAATACTTGCTTTATTTTTATTTCTTCTGTTTTCCATTCCACTAATATTTGCTTTTTATCTTTATTAATGTCTGCTTCCAAGTTCTTTTACTTTGATAAACTTTTTCTAGTTTTTATGATGCATACATGGCTCATTTATTTTCAATTTTTGTTTTTTATTAAATACTAAAAATCATTGAGGAGCACAGTTTTAATAAGAAGTTTTCCCTTCCATTAACTTTTAGATACTCTATCATTTTAGTTTTGATTTTCCTCTTCTCTCCTTACTTGATGGTTAAAAGACTTAACTGAGAGAGAAATAACAAGGTATCTTTCAATTCTGTCTTTAATATTAATTAGTTGTTTTTGCCTAAGGCCAATTACTCACCTTGCATGAACTTCTGTAATATTGACGGTGTGAGGATCAAACCAACTAAATATGATGGTACTTGAAACCATAAATTGCTACACATATTTAAGTTATTGTTTTCATTATTTTTTGACCAATTAGCTACACACAAAAATATCAGAGTACCTTAGGGACACCAGAATTGCTTAACTGAATTTTAATTCTTCATTTATGTTTAGTGTATTATCAGTCATCCCTCAAGTTGTCTACAGGTTTATGATTTTATGGAAAAATGATAACCATTCACCTACTAGCACTCAGTTTTAGTTGCTGTCTTTCATCAAGGAGAGCAATTATTTTAAAAATTTATCTCATGAACGCTAGGCGCGGTGGCTCACGCCTGTAATCCCAGCACTTTGGGAGGCCGAGGCAGGCGGATCATGAGGTCAGGAGATCGAGACCATCCTGGCTAACATGGTGAAAACCCGTCTCTACTAAAAATACAAAAAATTAGACGGGCGTGGTGGCGGGCGCCTGTAGTCCCAGCTAATCGGGAGGCTGAGGTAGGAGAATGGCGTGAACTCGGGAGGCGGAGCTTGCAGTGAGCCGAGATCGCGCCGCTGCATTCCATCCAGCCTGGGCGACAGAGCGAGACTCCGTCTCAAAAAAAAAAAAAAAAAAAAAAAAATCTCATGAAAGAATCTCTCATTATCATTTAAAAGCAGGAACAGAAGAAACTAAGTGCTAGCTATGCGTCAGGCATCCTTCCGGGGACTTTACATTCAGTTCTCATACAGTCATTGTACAGATTAAGCCAATGAGACCAAGATAGCACAAGCAAATTGTCCAGGGTCACAAATCTTCAAATCCAGTGGTCCTACCCAGCTTCCTCCTTGTAAAATCCAGAGAATTGAGGCAGCAGAATTAAACTAAAGTTTTTCTGTAATGATTTCCAGAGAATGTAAAATTTCATATTTTTTGGAATTATAAATAGTTTTAAGTAAAAAATATTTTTTTTTTTTCAAAAAAGCAAGTGGTTCTTTTGGTTTCTCTTTGGCTTTTTTTTTTTCCTTCAGGGGATTTTTTTTTCTTTTATTCCCCTCTTCAGAGTAGAACTAAAGTATCTAAGAGTAGATTGTTTAAACCACACCAATATTTCACATTTTTCTATAATGCTAAATATTAAGTTCTTGAATTATCCATTAATATTTCATATTTATTGTCTAAAATAAGTGTAAATTGTTCAATTGCATTCATTTTAATACTTAGGCTTCACTTAAGACCATCTAAAGGCATTAACTAATATTATTTCTGGTGAAATTATGCTTAACTGAGGAAAAATTGTAGCCGAATAGTTTTTCAATTTTTCACAAGTACAGCTCTCTGTAGATACAGATAATTGCTATTAACTAGGCTACTACTTATTTGAATAGATTGAACATTGAGGGAGTTACATGAGTTCTGAGTCTGAAAATCCAGAAGAGAAAAATAAAGAACAAAAAGAAAAAAATTGTTGTGTGAGTGAAAATGTTCATTACATTATGTATAATCACAAACATATGGACACATCCTAAATGTCCAACAGCAGAAGACTGGATGTGTCTTGTATTATGAAATATTATAAAATATATTAAGTGATATAAGAAAATGTACATACACTATGTAACAAGTGGGGAAAATAATGTAGAACTGGATATATAATAGAAGTCAACTATGTAAAAATATACATATCATATATTGATGTAAATGTTTGTGCACATTTACAGAAACATATTTGGAAGGAAGTACTCCAAAATCTGTTAACATTGCAGGATTTTTGTTTATTATTTACCATTTTCTGTGTTTTTACTTTTTTTGCACTAAATTATAAAAACCCTCATTTAAAAAATGATAGTGGGAAGTGTTTGACTATGAAAAAAATTTTAAACAGTTTATAAAAACTTGGATTCAGAATTAGCTAATTTAAATAATCCCATTTAAAAACTTTATAGTAAGTAAATCTTGAGAACTAGACAAATTCCCAGGTTTCTTCTGGGCCGTACTGATCCTCTGGTTCCACAGGAGTAAGGTGCTAGGCCTGTGCAAGCACGTGGACTAAAGACACACGGGAGGCTCACACTGATCACTGTCACAATGCTAATGTATAGTAAGTGGTGTGAAATAAACAACATAAAGGAAATGAGGATAATGATAATACAATATTTATAGTGAGCTACAATGATCAATTCCCGCAACTCCTCAGTGACTTAATCTTTTCACCTGTAGTATCTGCATCTCTGCATCCATATAGATGAGCATCAGAAGCTTTCAGAGAGGTGATGACGAGAATCCAGCTCAGAGACTGGCTTACATGCATGATTTTTTTCAAGGCACTAAATCTTTTTCACCACTACGGTGACAATGCCATTTCTACCCAGACATTTAACTTGGACAAAGGCAATAATTTATACGTTTGGAAGCTGCGGCTCCCCAGAAACCTTTATAACCTGGCCCTCATTAAACTATTTATTCTCTATCAGTGTCATCAGATTTCCATGACAACATCACGCTGTATAATCAACATGGTTCGAACTAGTCACATCTTTGCACAACTGGACACATCAAAATAATTGTATTATGTCATCAGTGATGCCACCAGACAGAGCACCAGCTCCCTTCCTACACTGGATAGCAGACGTTCAAATAACGCAATGTAGGTTTTCCTAAAATAGATGCTCAGATATGTCAAGTTTTTCAACAGGGTTAAATTAGAAGTGCTATCTTTTTTTTTTTTCTTTTCATTTAAAAAAAAATCTCTACCTGCTCAATGTATACCCACTCTACCTTGCTTATTTCTATGCAAAGCCAGCTGGTCCTCTCAGGCAGAGTTTGCCTAGGGCAGCAAAATGCTCTGACTGTTTATCCCATGTGAGTGATTGCCAGCTGGGAGGAATGTGTTTTTCCTAGTTTGCCCATGGCATATATTCAGAGGGAGATGGACAAGACCATGAAACTTTGTACAAGTCGCACAGTTTTGTAGTGAGATGATATTTTGCAAACAAAAATGTTAAGATACATCTAATGTTGGGAGATGAAAGCCCAAAAAGATTTTAAGATTTGCTCCCTATTAACATAAAATCTAAAAAAAATTTCATTAAGGAAATCACCATAGGTTTTTGTTTTATTTCCAGAGTTGGTTACAATAGATGTTTGCCTATGAGACTGAAAATCATGTATTTTATAAGAGTTGAGTTAGCTGAAGTCAAAACTGCTGAAATATCGTCTGAGAGGCATATGGCAATAGCTTCCCCTCCTGTGATTTAACATTGTTAAATTAGCTATAAAATATTTTTATCAGTAATATACTGTTTTCCAAGATAATTCACACATATAAATTCCAAACCATCTTACTAATGAAAAGATAAAGGATTGCTTCATTCAGGGGAATTACTTGCTTTCAAATGGAGAATATAGTTTTAAGAAAAGATTTAACAAACAGATGTTTCAAAATTTTGAATACATGTTATATAATCATAGAATCTCAATTCTTAAAATGACTCCAAAACCATCTCATTTTATTAATGAAGAAACTGACACCAAGAGAGGAAAATCATCTTTTTTTTTTGTCAAATAATCATAAGAATATTTATTCATTCTTTTAATCTTTATTGAGTTTCCATTCTGGGCCAGGCCCTGCTCTGAGTGCTGAGGCTACGGGAGCTCTTGCTCTCATGGAACTTATGTTAGACTAATGTTTCCTGATTCTGATCACAGAGCTCTTTTCATTTGCTCACATATTTCTCTCACCAAAAGGGCTAATCTACAAAATGTATGAACAGACTCCAACATCTGACAAAAATACCTGTAGCTGTTGTTGTTGTTTTTTGTTTTATCTAGATTCATTTATCATGGTTATTTTTTGAAGATTATCACATTTATCCATATTAAGATGAAAACTCCCAGGTCTTTATGTGTCTTTCAGTTAACAACTTGCATAATAAAATATGTATTACATTTCTTATATTAATTAACATTTTTTGGGTTTGGTGGCATAATACAATTGGCAAAATTTTAGTTTTTCATCTCTGCTGCCCTCTTCCCCCCACCAAAAGGGAAAGATTCTGAAATTCAGAGATATTGATATGCTATTTCTGTGGATTTTTTTCCCCAACTCAATCTTAATACCTACATTAACATTCAGTAATGCAACAAAATAATTTAGAGAATAGCCATATAGTATCGAGTGAGCTTAAAACAGTCTGGAAACACAGTAGTAAACCAGGAAGACTTCTGAGTTTTTGTCACTAATATTCTGCAGAAATCATGTACTATGCATGTGCTGCAACTTTTACCTGGAAAAAACTTAGTCTCCCTCCCCCCCACCATTTTGTAGTTAAGGCAGAATACAAGAAATGTGTCCAGTGCTTGCCAGCCCCCAGCCTCTTCTACCTAATCTAACCCCTTTTTGTACCACATGACTCTATCCCATTCCAGCCATAGCTGACTGGACCAGGTGTGGGTCACTGATTTCGGGGCAGCTAATCAGACACAATGTGACTGGTGGCCTGGTTCAAAACGATGTGCTAATCCATCCCTCAGGAACTGGGAAGATGTGGAACAGTGGAGTAAATGCTGGAAAGTGCCAAGCTCTGAACAGCTTCATTGGCAGCTATGTTTAAGCCAGAGTTTATAGGGAAGAAGGAAAGGTCCCTAGAGAGAGGAGAATACAACATACAGTGCAGAGATGACCAGATATCATAAGAGAGGTATACACTGACTTGAGGGAAAAGATGATTCCCTATGATTTTCCAGGTAACTGACATCAGTTGTATTTAAGTCCCAGCCAGCTACAATCACTGACCTTAGATTTCTTGAGATTCACTGTTGTATTCTCAAAACAGACCTCCTCCTCCTTAAGTTGGCCTGAGTCTGTCTATTCCTTGCAACCAAACAAATCCTAATCAAGAGAAAATGACTTTTCACGTATCTAGACTTAGTTTTCTCCACAAGAAAAGAGCAAAAGTTAATCACAAGTGATGGTACTCAATTCCTCTTAAGTCTCTGAAGGATCATCCTATCCATAAGTCAATTTGGAGTACTGGTTAATATGCATTAATATTAATGACACCATGATATTTAATAATTTCTACAACCTTCTATATATAAAATTATGAGGGTCACAGAAGACCATAGTACTGAATTAATCTTTTCCATTTTTTAACCTCAAAATATTTGTTGGTAATACTCATATAGTTACCTTAATTTTTCCCTTTTCTCTATCAAAGGTGCTGAAAAACAGGCATCTGAAGAGACCACAATATACAGTAGTCTGTCCTTTTGATTTGCCATGCCCTCATATTCTCCTTTATCAAACTACTTTTTAGCTACTTCTTCCAGTGAATTTTGCTCCTAAAATAGTATATTCATGATGGGTTCCTCCTTTATTTCTATTTCATTAGTCATTAACCCTCCTTAAGCTAAATGGATGGAAACAGTGCATTTTCTCTATTTTTGTTTGCACATAAAGATTTGGTTAAAGTGTTTTGCTCTACAAGTTCATCTTATCACACAGTTCCTGGAGCCAACACCTTTCTTTTTTTTTTTTTTTTTAACTTTCTATATTTGATTAGTTTCTGCTGAGAGGAGGGTCTACAAAAATTCATTGCTACTACCTCATAAGCTAGGGGAAAAAAGGGACAATTTTAATTTTTTGTGATGTAAAGGAAACATCATTTTTAGCCAAATCATAGTTTTAATTCTAAAGATTTATTAAAATGATACAGTAGATATTGTGCAGCAATGGCTTGGAGCCATCTGAAGCACTTTACCCTGTCTGGGGTTTTCCAACTAAAAGGAAAATAAAGAATTTTGGGCAGTTAAAAGGGGAAATATTGATATAATTAAAAGGCTAGAAAACAAAAGGAAAGCTTAAAAAGTATAGTAAAAAGAATATCAAGGTACAGCTTCAAGTATGTAAATGGCTGTATGTTACAAAGCATAGAGACAACACAGAACTATGAAGAGAGCATATTTATATTTAGTTGTACTACTGTCAAAAAATACTTGAGTGTCAGAAGATGCTTTAAAGGTTCTATCTGTATTAACTAATATATTATGATTATTCTAATTTTACACATGAGGAAACTGAAGCCCAGAGACTCTAGGTAACTTACCCAAGGTTACATAGCTAGGGGAAGTTGAGGAGTGGGGATTTGAAAGCAGGAGTTCTGGCCCTGCAGCCGGACCCTTTAATCACAGACTGTCCATCCTCTGTAAATATCTTGAACAGTAGTTCTCAAATTGGTTACATATTAAAACCATCTCAGGAGCATTTCAAAGTACACCAACACATAGGCTCGAACTCCCAAAGATTCAGACTTAATGGGCTTAGGTGGGGCCTGTCATCAGCATATTTAAAATTCCCAGCATATTTTTTAAGTCTCCAGATGATTCTAAAGTGCAAAGTGACCACTAAGCCCAGATCACCTGGCTATTTAGTGGCCTAGCCAGAAGCAGCCTCTAGGTATCTTGACTTTTTCCTCTACATGATAGTGGCTCCCAGCTTCAGCAAATTGAGGGGGAAAATGAAAAAACACATTTTTACTCTGGAGTAATGAATTTGAGTTTCTTAAACCAAGAAGCTTTCATTCACTGGTGATCATGAAACACAAGGATGGGGTTTCTTTGGAGGTTATTAAAGCTAAGATGGATTCTCAATTTTCTGAAATAATTATGTTAATGAGAAACTGATGAACATTTCCAAACTTCTTTTAGGTACTGAAGAACTAATACAGTTTAGACACCAGAGGTCTCACAAGTTAAACCCTCTATATAATACAGAGCCCTCCTGAGAATCAACTTAAGGTGAAATGTTTTAAAGAAGAGATAATGGTGGTGGTGTGGTGGTACATGTTGAGCAACCAGCTCTCTGGAGGTGAGGGAAAATCCCTGATTAGCAGTGTTTACAAAATCATGGTGCTGGCCGGGCGCGGTGGCTCACGCTTGTAATCCCAGCACTTTGGGAGGCCGAGGCGGGCGGATCACGAGGTCAGGAGATCGAGACCATCCTGGCTAACACGGTGAAACCCCGTCTCTACTAAAAATACAAAAAAATTAGCCGGGCGTGATGGCGGGCGCCTGTAGTCCCAGCTACTCGGGAGGCTGAGGCAGGAGAATGGCGTGAACCCGGGAGGCGGAGCTTGCAGTGGGCCGAGATTGCGCCACTGCACTCTCGCCTGGGCCACAGAGCGAGACTCCGTCTCAAAAAAAAAAAAAAAAAAAATCATGGTGCTAATACTTTCACCATTGCCAATTGACAGCTAACAGCATGACATTATTGAGTGTGGAATTGGGAGGAGATGTACAGTAGCATGCTACTCTCTAGTACTTCCACCATACAGATGTAACAGTCATAAGAAAAACTCAAGAGCATGGATAGCAGTAGAACGTAAAAACAAAAACAAACAAAAAAAAATAGGAACTAATAGGTCTTGAAAATTTGTTACTCACTTTGAAATACAATTCATTTAATGTACATTTATATAATTTATTTTAAAAACAGCTATATTTAATAACTGGCAAAAGTTCTGAAAAGCTAATGATTGGTTCTCATGAGCTGGTCCAACATACCACTGAAAAGGCATCCGTTTAATCACGGAGTTTTCTTGGAGAAGGACAATATTTAATTAAATAATTTGAACAAGAATGAGTGAATTTAGGGGGTACATACAGTCTAAAGAGATAAATTTTCTTCATTAATTGAGATTTCTCAAAAATGAGAACTTTTGATTAAATCCTCCAGAGCAAATCCAGCCTTCATTGTGAGCAGTGGAGGATAAAGGCTAAGAGTGTGGGCTCTGGGTCAGAATAACTGGACTTAGTTTTCCTAGCTTGCCCATCTGTAACTCTGTGACCTTGGAAAAGTCACTTATCTATAGTTTCTCCATCTATGGAATGTGATGATAATGGCACCCACCTCACAGAATTGTTGAAAGAATTAAATGAGATACTACATGTGAAGCACTTGCAACAGTGACTGGCACACAGCAAATGCTTGGTGAATATTAGCTACCACTATTGTATCAAAGTGCCTTCAAGTATAAAAACTTTGTCTATTTGAGATGGTTCTGGCGACTGTCAGCTGCTTAATGTTCCTCAACACAATAAGAACTTCCAAGAGTGTCTTTGGCTTTTCTTATGCTCCTCCCGCTTGAAATACTGAATTCCTGCATGTGATTTCCAGCTCAGCTCAAAAATATTCTCTTTTTCTGATTAGCCTGCACCATGGATGCAATCTGGTCCCTCTTGAGGGATTTTAGTAAAATGTGAGAAGAGAGAGCTAATTTAAAAATGGAATTATTAATAAAAGGGAAGCAGAACTTAAACCTTTGCGAAATTCAGAACCTATTATATTGAAAAGCATATTCAAGACAAAACACGAAGGGTGTGGCCAAATGATGATGATCCAAGAAGATGAGTCAGCTGTCTAAACAAAATCCAGGACCTATTATTGTCCAAGATGCTAAAACAAATGACTCCAAAAGCAATTCAGAAATCATCAGGGCTGCCACCCTCATCATAGGCACACAGTAGAAGGGAGGTAGGTAGTACAATTTCAACGAAGGGGCTACAGGCACACATGAAACTTCATTGTAGCCCTGTTCCCCCAGCCCCTCTGTCTCAAGGCTCTGCCACCTGCACTCCACTCTCTGAACTCCATCCTATGTTCCCCAGCTGCCCCAGATGTAGCATGCACTGCAGCCAGCAAAGCAGTGGGGGTGTGGCTGCCTCCACCTAGATTTGGATGCCCTGGAGGACTGTGGGAACCAGGCAAAGAACTGTCACCAGGACAGCACCACTGCACAGAGCCCCTACTAGGGCAAGGCCTAGCAGAACTGGGACAAAATGGCTGCTCCTGATACCCTGGGGTGGTAGAGACACCCGGGTAAGATTCCAGCTCAAGAGAACTGCAGGTGTCCAATTCAAACTCTTGAGAGCTGTGACATGGGCTATGCCCTACAAAGCAGTGTGGACAGGGCTGCTTGGAATCCTGCAGATCCAACCTCTGCCCCAATGTGTCCAGAAGGTGGGACCACAGCTCCAGTGGGTCTGGAAGGCAGAGCTTTGAATCAAAGATTATTCTTGAGCCTTAAGATTTTGTTCTCACTCAGAATTTATCACTTATTTCTTCTTTCCTATTTCTCTCTTTTGGAATAGGAATGTTTGTCCAGTGCCTACCCCACCACTACAGTTTAGAAGCACAAAACCTGTTTGATTTCAGAGGCTCACAGCTGAAGGGGAATTTGCCTCAGAATAAATCATACCTTAAGTCTCACCCATATCTGATTTTGATAATATTTAGATGAGACTTTGGACTTTAGACTTTTGAGTCAATGCTGAAACAAGTCAAGACTTTCGGTTCTCTTGGGATGGGATGAATGTATTTTGTATGGAAGAAAGACATGAGGTTTAGGGGAGGAGTGAGAGGTAGAATGCTATGGTCTGAATGTTTGTGTCCCTCCCAAATTTTATGTTGAAATCCTAACCCCCAAGGCGATGGTATTAGGAGGTGAGGCCTTTGGGAGACATCTGGGAGTAGAGGCCCGATGAATGGAATTAGTGCCCTTATAAAAGATGTCTGAGAGACTCCTTACCTCTTCCACCAAGTGAGGATGCAGAGAAAACTCTTTTTCATCTATGATGAAGTGGGTCCTTACCAGACACAGAATCTGCTAGCCCCTTGATCTTGGAATTCCCAGCCTCAGAACTGTGAGAAATAAATTTCTGTCGTTTATAAGCCACCAAGTTTAAGACATTTTTTTGTTATAGTAGCCAAAATGAACTAAGACAGCTGAGGGCATTCCAATGTGGGTATCCTAGAGACTTAGGTCTGACAGCTGAATAGAAGCAAAAATCAAGGCTCTGCTCCTCTGCAAGGTGGGGAGTTAAAAAATGAAACTCAAGGCCAAATCCTTTGCAGAGAAATCTACTCAACAGCAAAGCGAGACGGCAAGAAAAGCCGTCTGTTTTGGTTAGATATTGAGGGGAGAGAGTGGCTTTCTGAGAATTTATAACCATAGTCCTACCCTTACATGGTTCAGGATTTAGATATTCACTATCTTCCTGGTCCAAGAAACCCCAAGCCAAGCGAAGTAACATATATGTTCCAGGGTTGGTTGCATCCTAGAGCACCTGGAAGTAACTAAAGTGATTCTTTCTAAAGAAGTGCATCCTCAACCCATGGCTTGAAGTTCCCACAGAGAAAGCCCAGTGGAACATGAGCTCACAATCCAAAATTATGAGCCACCATGAGCAAAAGACAGAAACAGAAAACATCATACGCTTTTCACAAATCTCTTAATTAAAGTTATAAAGTATAGTATACAAAATATGAAATAATTGAAGAATTATGGATAGTAGACCCCATAATGATCATTAAGAGATTAAATAACTGGTATTAATGTTTTATGTGGAAGAAGAATTTAGAAGAAAAAATGAGAACATGTGTTGGAATTATGGCAGTTTTCAAACAAGACCCTGAATAAAATTAAAAAGGCAATTTTTCTCTCAGGCCTACCTGTTGCCCCCCTTCCTTCTGCCTCCTTCACTTGACTTTCCTCTTCTCCAGCCCCTTTGGAAAGCCTACTATATTCATATGTATTCTGACTCATCTCAGAATGACATCAACTCAAACTACAAAAGCATCACTGCCAACAATTAAGTGGAATCTGTTTAATCTAAAGACAATACTCATATTCTAGTTTTATTTGAAGATACTATTTCATAACTTTTTAAAATACTCTCACAATGGAATATTTCTTAAACTTAATAAAGAACCACATTATTTCATTTACAGCAGTAAATAAGATTTATAAACCTTTTTATGCAACATAAAATCATGCAGACTTTTATCTGAAAATGAAATGTTTGATATAACTATCAAAAGATTAAATTAGATGTATTGATCTTAGAAGCACAGTTACTATATATGTTATTATATATCATTGTTTATACAGAACTATATCCTAAATTATCAATAGTTTTTGTAAGGCCAGGGACAACTTGCAATGCTATTATTATATATTAAAGGCTAATATTGCATTCCTTTGAAAAAAAGTATTTATCTATTTAACAAGATTTAAATGAACATCTACTCTATGCCTGGTACTACAATATGCACTGTAGATAATTAATGAGCAAAAAATGGTCGCAATTCCTGCTCTCATGGAGCTTTTAATGTAGTGAAGGAGACGGATTATTATTAATCAAGTAAATGTAGAATTGTAATTGAGCAACTATGACGTATTTTTCTTGACTGTAGTAAAAATACATTGGCTTTATGACCTTTTAAAATAATATTTAATTTGTCAAAAGTTAGGGGGCAGTGGGTGGTTTAGTCTTATGAATGAATTCATTCTTATAAATATAACCCAAATTTCACATGGGAAACCTTCACCTGATACTGATTTCTATTGAATTATTTTAAAGTCATTATCAATCTTGCCAATATTCTAGAATTTTCAGGATCCTTTCCTTATAACTCCAAAAGACAAACTGAATTTATCAGCTTCAACAATTTAGCAAATTGTGTTTTTATCTGCTTACAAACTATGAAGTCACACATATTATGTGAAATATTTTAATAGATTTTGAAGATTTCTTCTTTTCCTTATGTTACCATTACTGCATTTTAAGGAATTTTAAACTTGATTCTGACTCCAGCTGTCTGCTAGATGGAGACACAGGTCAGCACATGGGTGGTCTAGTCCCAGAGAGGGAAAACTGAATAGAGGGACAGGGCTCACAGGTAGGGAGAAAGCCTTATAACCCCCAAATCCCCAAATACTAACTCCTCACAATCCTCATAGTTCCCTAAAATCCTATCTAACCCATGCAAAACTCACTGTAGGAAACACTATACAGAGTAAAAAGAAAATCAAGGTTGTGTTAAATTTGTATACAGTTACCCTTGAATACTATGGGAGTTAGGGGCAGCAACCCCCATGCAGTC
Source organism: Homo sapiens (assembly GCF_000001405.40). Lineage (NCBI taxonomy): Eukaryota > Metazoa > Chordata > Mammalia > Primates > Hominidae > Homo > Homo sapiens. Next base: position 179,675,040 of record NC_000002.12, read on the forward strand.
AAAAATTCACAAGTAACTTCAACTCCCAAAAATCTAACTGCTAATAGTCTACTGTTGACCAAAAGCCTTACTGATAACACATTTGGTTAACAAATATTTTATATAGCAGATGTATTATACATTATATTTTTGCAATAAGGTAAGCTAGAGAAAAGAAAATCTTATTTAGAAAATAAGGAAGAAAAATATATTTACTATTCATTAAGTAGAAGTGGATCATCATATGGTTCTTCACCTTAGTCGTCCTCATGTAGAGTAGGCTGAGGAGGAAGAGGAAGAGGAGGCACTGGCTTGCTGTCTCAGGCTGGCAGAGGTGGAAGAAAATCTGCATGTAAGTGGACCCATGCAGTCCTATCCCACATTGTTCAAGGGTCAACTGTATTTGCTGACTTAGTTCAATAATCGGGTCTTTTGATAAAGTAGTTTTCGGATAATTGACTCTAATCCAATTGACCTAGAATTACCAGTACCTTGTCAATCTGATTTGTTCCTACATCGTCAAATAAGAATACACTGGCAGCTTGAGGCTGAAGGCAGAACTGAAGAGTGAGTGTGAGTCATGCAGGTGAGAGGAAACAGGTGGAGTAAGGCAAGAGCAGGAGGAAAAGGGCAGGTATAAGGGCCTGAACTGGTATGAGAAAGTGGGTTGAGGTGAGGCCAAGGAGTGCTTTGTGTCCAACTAGGATGAATTTGGTAGGCCACTTTCAAGAGTTGTATCTGTGTACTAAGTCATTGAAAAATACTGACAGTAATTTTTTTTTTTTTTTGAGATGGAGTCTCATTCTGTCACCAGGCTAGAGTGCAGTGGCATGATCTCCGCTCATTGCAACCTCCGCCTCCTGGGTTCAAGTGATTCTCCTGCCTCAGCCTCCCAAGTAGCTGGGGTTACAGGCGCCCACCACCACACCCGGCTAATTTTTTGTATTTTTAGTAGAGACGGGGTTTCACCATGTTGGCCAGGCTGGTCTCGAACTCCTGACCTCGTGATTGGCCCACCCTCAGCCTCCCACAGTGCTGGGATTACAGGCATGAGCCACTGCGCCTGGCCAACAGTATTTTTTTTCTTTGAGACGGAGTTTCGCTTTGCCGCCCAGGCTGGAGTGCAGTGGCACGATCTCTGCTCACTGCAAGCTCTACCTCCCGGGTTCATGCCATTCTCCTGCCTCAGCCTCCCGAGTAGCTGGGACTACAGGCGCCCACCAACACACCCGGCTAATTTTTTGTATTTTTAGTAGAGATGGGGTTTCACCGTGTTAGCCAGGATGGTCTCGATCTCCCGACGTCATGATCCGCCTGCCTCGGCCTCCCAAAGTGCTGGGATTACAGGCGTGAGCCACCACGCCCAGCCTAATTTTTTTGTATTTTTAGTAGAGATGGGGTTTCACCGTGTTAGCCAGGATGGTCTCGATCTCCTGACCTCGTAATCTGCCCACCTTGGCCTCCCAAAGTGCTGGGATTACAGGCGTGAGGCCGACAGTATTTTTAAAGGGAGTAACATGATGAGATTTGAGTTCTGAAAAGATCATTCTGGCTACAATATGGAGAATGACCTGGAGAGCAGCGGGGGGACAGGCAGAACAGGCCCACAGGGAGCTGTTGCCATCATCTGCTGAGAGATGACAGTAGCCTGGACTGTGGCAGTAGTGAAGGAGTTGGAAAGAAGTGGACGGATTAGAGTGGAAAGTGGTTCTTCACTGGGGGGGATTTTGTCCCTCAGGGGTCAATTGGTAATGTCTGAGGCATTTTTGTTGTCACCACTGAGGTGGAGAGAAGTGCTTACTGGTATCTAATGAGTAGAGGCCAAGGATGCTGCTAAACATGCCAAATGGTGCTGAGGTTGAAAAACTGTGGAATAGAGAAATACTCAGGGAGTAATATGGGCTTAATGTCAGAAATTAACTTTTAGTATAACCCCAGGATTTATTAAAATAAAATGCAATGAACACACACACGAAACACCACAAGTGTCAGTAACCGCTTTAAGAACAACAAAACTTAAGTGACCAGTTGCAAATCAAAGCAGTCATGAAATACATATGTATAGCTATAAAAATGCTTAGAAGGGCTGGGAGCTTCAAACTGCATTCCCAGCTTGACAAAAATACACAGAAACTAAATCTAGCATTGTCTGCAAAAGAGACATGCACTCACTCCAGCAACAGTCAGCAGGATCTAAATTTAGTTTATACTCTTAGTGCATTAAAATAGCATCATGAAGCACAGGAAGTCTAAAACCATCACACTCCAAGTTTCTGTCTATACCGTTAATAGCTACTTGCCAAGATCTCTGTTGCCCGTGTGATTATAGCCTATTAAAAATATGTTCTCTGCAAAGTCTTCCCAAACAACAGGAAGTGAAGTTAAAAGAATGATTCCAGAGAAAATAATTGGCAACACAAATGTCACAATGTTGGTATTCATAAGGAATATATCTTAACTTCTGAAACGAATGAAGTTGTTGTGAGAAGCTTTATGAGGCTTTTTTATTGTTTACTATAAAAGTTAAAATGCTTTCTCTGAGTTCTAGTGTTACAATGGTAAATCAGAAAGGCAAATAAACATTTTTTATTTGAAAAGATCTACTAATTGCCTAGCATGTGACTTAGATAATAGTTGAGATGGGAAGGGCAGAGCCAAACCTATGCCTGAAAATGGGAAAAGATGAGGATGGTGCCTCATGCCTTCATTTATATGTTTAATCTCTCTTCTACATAAACAAAAAGCAGACTAACCTGAAGAGATTCCATTTTTTCCCCGTCCACTTCACAGGGTCCTTCTTCTAAAACACCATTTGAGATTTTTTTTACAGAATTGTGTTATTTTCTGAAATTCTAGTTCAAGATGCATTCCTTCTAGTAGAGTTCTCAGTACTTCCAATTTGCATTGTGTAATAATCTGAGCAGATACATACCACAGAAGAATGAACCTAGAGACCTTGCAGAATTAGTCCCCCTTAGCAAGGATGATATAAATAGCTCTTTTTTTTTCTATCAAGGGGCCACAAACCAAAAAGAAAAAAAGAGTGACTTCATTGTTAAAGTCAAACTGAATAAGGCTGGATTTTTCTTTAAGAGAAATATCTGTGATTCCCTTCACTCATGACCAAGTTATTTTCTTGTGTTGGATATATGAGATACAAAAATTATCTGTTTCAGTCAATCTGTCTCCTCACACTTGTCCAACATTCCTCACACCTACGCTCCTGTGCCAATAACTTTGGCAGAGTTCTCTTACTCTCTCAGTATATGTTTGTTCCTTCTTTATAAATAGATCACTAATCTTTAGTTAGGTGCATGGCTACCTGGAATAAAGCCTATATTTCCCAGCCTCTCTTTCAGGCAAGTGTGCCATGTGACAAAGCTCAGGCCATGAAGGACTTCTAGGTACTATATTTCCTTAAAGGAAGAGGAAGTGCCTGTGCTTCTTTCCTTCTAGTGCTTGGGATGTAATTACTGGTGCCTGAGAAGCCATACAGGACACTGAGGTGAAACTGTGTGCTTGAAGATATCAGAGCAAAAGAAAGTAGGAACCTGGTTTCCTGATACCTTGGAATATCATGCCAGACACAGATGATTGACAAACTAGGAAAAGAAGAAATACATTTCTGTTTTGCTTAAGCCATTGTTATTTTGGGTTTTCTGTCAGTATAGATGACCTTAATCTAAACAAACACAATGCCTTCTCAAGTCCACTTTCCTAACCAGCTGTGTCCTCTGCCATACTCTCTGTTATTTTAAGTTTTAAACAGTTATCAGTGGAGTTAAGGTTATATGCTCTTTGGGAAGTCATCCAACCTCCTATCCCCACGGAAATTTCCCTCTACATTGAACTAAGATTTGCTATCCACACATTCCCACATGATGTTGAGCATTAACAATAATGTGTATGAAAATTTATTAATTTGAATTTAACCAATGTTCCCACAACCAAATTATAATTTCCTTAAGGTTAGAAATTGTGCTTTCTTAGAATACAAAGAACACTTTGTATTCTCAATGCTTTGCAGTGTTAGACGCTCATGTAATTGTCAGTAGTCTAATATATAGAAGGAACTACAGTCAAGTACCACATAATGACATTTCAGTCAATGACTGAACTGCAGTTCAAAGACACCAGTCAATGACAGAATGACAGATCCCATTTTAAATGGTGGTCCAATAAGATTATAATAATGTATTTTTATAGTACCTTTTTCATGTTTAGAAACTTTTAGATACACAAATATTTACCAGGCTATACCATCTAGGTTTATGTAACTACACTCTATGATGTTCCCACTGCAAAATCGCCTAATGACATATTTCACAGAATGTATCCCCATCATTAAGTGATGCATGACTGTAATTTTGTTTCAAGCAACTGAAAAATACTTCTAATCTGGCAAATTCAGCGAGAAGACTGAGTTCCTTAATTTCTGTCAGCACCAGTGAAAAACTGTCCTAAACTGACCCTGGCTTACAGATGTACCACTGGATCTTGGACTAAATGGTAATGGTAATCATTCTGAGCTTCCATTAAAATTCTAAGCCTTCTTCCATTTTATTTCTTATTAACAGCTATTATTGTTGTTGTTGTTGTTGTTGTTGTTGTTGTTGTTGTTATTATAGCAAAGAAGAACAGCAGAATGGTTGGTGGAGATTCCTATGCTTTCGACCCATGGCGGGGTCACTAAGTCAGGTGAATCACCTCCCACCCCTAAAGATTCCCACCCAGTTATGCCTTCTAATGTGCTGTTCACAGTTTATCAACTGATTCTGAAATTCTGAGACTTAACAGTTTTAAACTGACTGTTTATGTTTCTTATTTATGCTTTTGCCTACCCCATCAGTCTAAACCTGATCCCTGATTTCTCTCCATTTTGTTTTAACTTCATTTGAAACTCACGACTTTAAAGTGACTGTACGTTAGTTTTGACCACAACTAAACCTGGCTAATAAATGGCTCCACTTTCTTTCTCACTTTCTTTCTTTTAAGAAATAAACTTTTCACTTTGAAATAATTATAAAATTTGTACCATTTACTTTGGATAATGAAGTTATGTTTATTTTAGGAATGCAAGATTGGTTAAACATTCCAAAATCAATCTAATTCTTACTATTTCAACAGAATAGAGGAGAAAAATCATGTGATCATCTCAAGAAATGTAGAAAAGGCATTTTAAAAAGTGAAACTTCCACTTTTGACAAAAAAGCTTAGTAAACTATAAATAAAATGGAACTTCCTTAATTTGAAAAAGTATTTCTGAACAGATTATAGTATATTTGAAATATGAAATACTGTTTAGTAATAAAGATGACTCAACTATGGTTATACATAACATCTCTAAAAGGCTGATTTTTAAAATACATATTGTATAATTCCATTTATATAAAAGTCAAGAAAAGGCAACCCTACATTATAAAGTTAGAAGTCAGGATAGTAGTTATCTTTGGAAAATAGGATAGTAGTTATTGGTTTATAACAGAGCATACGGGGACCTTCTGATTGCTGGTAATGTTCTATTTCTTGACCTGGCTAGTAGTTACTTAAGTTTGTTAACTTTGTTATAATTAATTAGGACAAACGATTAGGATTTATAAACTGTTCGCAGGTATGTTATACTTCAATATAAAGCTTACTTAAAATATTCTTCTTTTTTGACTTTCCTTCAATTTCCTCTCACCTTTACTGGTTTTAACTTAAGAATGTTAAATATTAAAATCTAAGATCTTGATGTCTTGAGAGAAAATATCTTACCCTAATTATTAAAAGTAGTAAGTAATATTAGAGGTGTAAAACAGTTCACAAATTATCAGTCCTTTATCTCAATACTCAGAACCATCCTGTGAGAGATAAGAAGCACTGAAAATTGTCTTCTAAATATAGATATATGAACTGAGACTCAGAGATGGTCAAATTTTGTTCCCCAAGTTCACACATCTAGAAAGTGGCAGTGTTAAGTCTAACACTTCAATTCTTGATCCCTGGATCCTTTCTATTATACATGCAGCTGTTTAAAATAATGTGAGACCAGAATAAATTATCTATGACTTAAACAACTGTTTTTTTTTTTTTTTGAAACTTTTGATTCTAACTAGACTCATTGTGAGTCTTCAAAACTGGCATTGATATTTTCTCCTAAACCTCTTCGTTTTTAAAACTACATAAATTTATTAAGGTCAATAACAGAAAGGACATTTTCCATTTATTTTTATTTTTTTCACATTAAATAACGTACATGAACAATGTTTCATATTTTGTTAAATAACAGTAAAAAATTTCAGTTACAGGTAGGATTCTGTTTTGGACGCTCTTTTAAAGCTGAATCATGGTAGCATAACCAAACTGTTCAGGGACTCTATGTTCTGAAGTTCTTTAGTTCATTTTTCTAGTCTTAGGGCAAGAAAGAATTGTTAATTTCCTTAATGTGGCTACACAATAAGAAGTATGAAAGAAAAATAAGTGTTTTACATTATGGTTAGACAAATGGATTGAAATACTTTGGTAATAAAATAATTTAATGACTGTGATCCCTTTGTATAGCTTAAATACTCTTCAATCACTATAGAATACAATTCTAATAACCCCCAGGTATTTTAAAATTGCATACTTTTGATCACAATGGGTATCAGGAAAAAGAGTTCATGTAACTTAATTGACATCTTCTACATTATTAGAAAAAATAATTCAGAGTTTTATAAAACTGATCATGTGTTGGCAGTCTCATCTTTGACTGTGGGAAATGGATGCAATTCCATTGTTGATGGCAGTATGCAGTGGCACAAACTTTATGGAAGAACGTTTGGCCAGAAGTATTAACAGTTGAAAATGTGCATGACTTATGGCCCTGTAACTCAATTTATAAGAATTATTCAAAGAAAACAACTAATGACATGCCTATAATCTTGTAAGATTTACATATGAGGATGTTTGCTGTAGCATAATTTATAATAGTAAAGATATAGCATTTGGCTGGGCAAACCAATAATACTCAAATCGTGTCCTCAACCAGTCACTGTTTACCTGTAATGCCACCAAAGGTCATATATGCACACATGCCAGGGTCAAGTAAAGGAATACATTATGCTAAGGCTCCCATAATTTTCAATACATGACAGCAGAAACTGTTCTTGCTGACACCTTTGTCCTGCATCAGTAGGACCTGCTTTTACTTATTATAGTGTTCCTCTTCCCCACCTTCCCCTTTCTGTGACTCTCTTCTCTTTCAGCAGATCCAGAATGCAATTTTTGAATTTATGCTCTGCTTTATTTAAGATCTTTCCCTCTATTTCCACATGCAGGGCAAACAGGATTTGCTGGGTCTACATGTCCTCCTAGCTTCTATTTCCTACTGTTCCTGTTATAACTGCAAAGTAAATATCCTTTTCTCAAATTATTTTTAAAACTGATCTCTTTTATGCCTTCTTTCTGTTCCTTTATGTTCTGATCCCAAAATCCTGGCAATCATTTCCGTGTTCACTTACCACATTCAGATGACTTTTGCCTTCTCACTGTGGTTTAACTCTGTCTCTGAACAAATTTATGTAACAGAATTTAGACTGATTATGGCACAGGCCTGTGTAATCTCCTTCCTAGCATTGGGTTTGTGATAGTTTCACTGAGTTTTTATTCCTCCTGAATCCAAGAAGAAAATAAACCTACTACCCTCCTCCGAGGATTGGGGTCTCCAATCCTCTTACATTTGTATGTATGTGATATATAAGTACACACACACACACACATACACACACAGACATTTTTTAAAAATTGACTTCACTGCCCCATGAGGTTGAATCCATACTTCGGGTCTCTGAACTTCACAGCTGAGATCACAGCTTGTGTACTGTAGGTTAAGGGTTCCTGGTCAGGAAGCACAGTCATCCCTTTAGCTGGTAGAGGAGCAGCCTGGCTATGCAAATTCCCAGCTTCCTTCTCTCTCAGTTTCTCTTTTTGAATGTGTTTTAATGACGTAATATAAACCAATAATAGCAAATAATTAGATGGGACAGAAAGTACCTGCCAAATATTAGGTACAATTAAAAAAAGTCCCCCACAGTCACACATAAAGTTAAGATGAGAAACACCAGGCCAGGCGCCGGTGGCTCACACCTGTTATCCCAGCACTTTGGGAGGCCGAGGCGGGCGGATCACCTGAGGTCAAGAGTTCGAAACCAGCCTGGCCAACACGGTGAAACCCTGTCTGTACTAAAAATACAAAAAAATTAGCTGGATGTGGTAGCTGGCACCTGTAATCGCAGCTACTCAGGAGGCTGAGGCACGAGAATCACTTGAACCTGGGAGGTGGAGGTTTCAGTGAGTCGAGATCATGGCACTGCACTCCAGCCTGGGCAACAGAGTGTCTCAAAAAAGAAAAAAAGGAGCTAAGAGTGGCTATCTCTGAGTGGTGTGTAAGAAGCACAGTAGGACCGTTGTTGTGGTTTCATGTTTACATTTTTGAATTTTTTTTTTTTTTTTAGATGGCGTTTATCTCTTGTTGCCCAGGCTGGAGTGCAATGGCGCAGTCTCAGCTCACTGTAACATCTGCCTCCCGGGTTCAAGTGATTCTCCTGCCTCAGTCTCCCGAGTAGCTGGGATTACAGGTGCCTGCCATAATACCCGGCTAATTTTTGTATTTTTAGTACAGATGGGGTTTTACCATGTTGGCTAGGCTAGTCTCGAACTCCTGACATCAGGTGATCCACCCGCCTCGGCCTCCCAAAGTGCTAGGATTACAGGCGTGAGCCACGGTGCCTGGCCTTGAAATGTTTTATAACAACAAAACTGCATTACTGTTACCATTAGAAAACATTTATGTTTGTTTGTTTGTTTTCTAACCATGTCATTGGCAACTTTATCTCAAATGCCCTGAACAAACTGTGCTAAGGGCTTAAATTTGTTTTTTTCTGTTTTCAATTTTCCCTGATTCCCCAATTTCATCACATTTTAGCACTATTCTCATATTAATTTTTTTTACTTTAAAATAAGAAACGTTATAAATTTAAGGTAAAGTAGTTTTTTTCTCATTTCTGAAAGATGGACCTTGGAGCCGTCTAATAATAATGAGCACATACAATTTAGTTTTCAAGACTGAGATTTTAGAAACCTCCCATTTAAATTCACAATCTGCTATCAGGAGCCTCCGTTAGCATATCAAAATCATAAAGAATATCAGTGACTATTTCTAATCATTCTCAATGTGTGTTCTGAATCGCCTTTGTGTTCACATTAGAAATAATTCCTGGACATATTTGTACTCAGAGTTTAGCTTGTTGGTGAACCACAATCGGAGTGGTTTTCATTTTATCCTGTTGAGGTAAACAATTACATCTTCATTCTCTGGTTAGTAGCAAATAACAAGAAACACTATCTCCTAAAGAAAACAAGAAAGCCTTAGGTTACCTAAACTCACCTTCTAAACTTGTTTCACTTCAAAAAGGTAAAATAAAATATTCATGTGCTACCATTATGTGGTTTAACAAAGAGGAAGGCATTTCCTCTTACACATATTAATCCATGATTGTCCATAGGCTTATACCAAGTCAATAATTTACACTCACATCTACCTTATTTATGAATGAGGAAGGAAGAAAAAAATCATTATTGTGCAAATGATGCTTGTCAAGTGATATTAGAACCAACAAGTGAGACAACTAATCAATATTCCTAACATCGTGACATACCGAATCACACTTCCAACGTTCACTGGGACTTTGAACAGCAAACCCTACCTAGTTCATCCACAATAACCTATTTCCCCAAGGAATGTCCAAAGACACCCAAGGCAACCTACCCTCTCCGAGGATTTAGGAAACATACATGAACACTGAATGCAAGTTTACTTTCTGAGCTAAAATTTTAGGCACTTTAAGTGAAATAGCAATACTGAAAATAATATAACATCTTTTAAGATAATTCAAAGTGCTTAACTTATTTAAAATAATTATGTCTTAACGTTGTTAGATTTGTCTGTATTTTCCTAGTGCTCTTTAGAAAGGACAAAATACTCTGCCTTATACTATAATTTTCCCCTTGTCTATATCTAATTGAAGAGTTTTCTATCAAGAAACTTGAAAAATGGGTAATTACTGCTTTGGGGCCTTTCATCAACTATGAACTTGGGAATTAGAGTTTCTGGCCTTGCTTAATGAAAAGTGGCTGAATTAAATTTTCTTCATTTAACAAGTATCACTTTTTTTCTTTCGGTAAAAAGTTTCTTAGAGAGGCTCTCTTAATAGCCACTGGCAAAACCCATAACTCTACTACTGAAACAATGAGATCTATTTTCCAGATCATCAATCTTCATTCTCCAGACAGATACAATTGTTTGAAGTGTTGCAATTACATTATCCCTTGATGCTTCTTCAGCCTCCACATTTGACTGATTCCATAGTTAACAATTAAAAGGCCAAAGGAATTGAGGTTTAATTTTTATCTCTAATAATAAAAAGTTCATTGCATTGAATTTCTTGGTATCAGCATCACTGCCCTCCTAATTAAAAGTGCAATAGTTATATAATCATTAGGAAGGAGAAATGGAAGTCAATACCCATTCATGGACTATAGATGGAGTATAGTAACTGCTATCATCCTGACTGTACAGACAGCACAATTTTTTACTGCCTATTGATAAATGCTACATTTTAAGTGCCCAGCACAGGGCCTGACACAGAAAGTGCTAAAAAAAAAAATAAAAAAAGTCAGTTCCCACTTCTCATTTGCTAGGCTTAGCCTGTGTACCTACAACTTAATCACCCTCTGATGCTAAACATTACATGATTTTGAAGAGCAAACCATATTTAGCAAAGATAGGTCTGGTAGATTCCTAATAAAAAGTTGATAACCAGGATGGACTACACACACCATCACATATATGTTCCACATTAGCTGGCATCAAAGGCCAATAAGACCCAGTGTAAAGATGATATGGAAGGCTCTGACCTGGCTGCCTTCTATTAATTGGGAAGGGAGTGGAGACCACCTCCTCTCTATTTTCCCTTCTTCCCTTTCAGCACCACTGCTCCTTTCAGATACATGCTTTCTTTCATTTGCCCACTTGAATCAAGGGTCATAAAAAAACCTTCAGCTAACATGACAGGAAGAGTTTACAAATCCATTTATATAAACATATTTCCCTCCCTTTACTTGAGCACTAACCATCAGTTGTTCATGTTGCTGTGTCCCCTTTAACAGCTGTAGTGAGGGACAACCTCTCCATAGGTGCTGATTCCTTAGGCCTCTATATTATAAGCAGCCCCAGTGTCACTGAGCTGTGGTCTTTGGGCTGTTCTTAAAAACAACTGCCCCATATTGTGAGCTTCTGGAGCACTCCATGCTCTCTATATTCTAAGTGCTTGCCACAGTGCCTACGATGTTATAAAAATTCAATAAAATTGACATTGAAAAGAGACGTTAGCCTGGAAAGGGGAGGATTTACATTAGAAATTGGCTTGGGGAAAGGAAGGCTGAAGGAGATCTGGGTTCTACCATGTGCTCTTTTATACACTATGTCCCTGAGTCTCACTTCCTTCACCTGTAAAGTTAGGTGGTAGGACAGGCAGAAGGGTAAACAATGTGAATGACTGGTCGGCAGTTAGGACAATGTTTTGAGTTTATGATTTAGTATACCTTTCCATGATCCCAAAAGCATGGTTCCTTCAACCTCTTCGCTCCTAAAATCAGGAGAGAAAACCTGAATGCTCCATGAATCTTGTGAGAAATCAGCTAAAAAGTATTTCTATTTTAACACTAAAAATTATCTTAATCTACTAAAAACTGAATACCTTTCAACTAAAAAAATTGAAATTTTGTTTAGAAATACATATCTTAGAAAATTACCTGAACTCTACAGCACAGTTCATCTGTGGGCTCCTGAGATTTATTTCACAACTTTTGTGTGTGTGTCAATTCTCTCGAGGTAACTGACTAGCCTAGCCAAAATTTGTACTGTTTTTTTTTTTTTCAAAATATCTTCATATTTTATTCACTTCAGAATTAGTAGGCTAATTTCAGTGTCATGACTCATCTTCCACAAAATTATCACAGCCATATTTTCAACTGAATGCAGTATACTTCCTTACCTTCTACTCTGATATTATTTGGTGTGACTAAGAGCTGTCAAGAATACCCATGGGTGCTTGAGTGCAGTCCAGCACAAAACAGGAGCCAATCATGGAGGAAATGATCCACACAACTGGGAAACTCTCCAGGGGGAAGACGACTATTACTAGATGATCTTTAAAGGAATATTGTGAATCTTCAACCTCTTCCAAATCTGAGAATGGGCTAACTGATAAACATCAACTTGAGGAATCTACATTTTGTAATTTTTCTTCTAGTTCCAGGTCCACAGACTCATCTGCTATTTCTGATTCTCTTCATTCACATTATAAACTCCAAATTTCTCTATTTCAATTATGGGCATGGACTTTGTTGTATGACTAACTGGCTTGCATTACTTCAAGCTATAGCTCAGTAGGACCTACCACACTGATTTTTTCTCACCTCTTAAAAATATCCCCCAACCCCAGTGAATTATCTAGAATTATCCAGGGGATGAAAAAGGAGCTACTATATTATCCCTATGTTCCTAGTATGTAATATCATAAAGCGGGTATCATGGGAACATTGAGCAGTGATTTGGAGTCAGATCTGGAGTAAGATAGGCCTTAGTTCAAGTTGTGGCTCTGAAGCACACCATCTGTGTGGCCAACAAAGTGTCAAAATTTTTCCATACCTTAGTATCTTCATGCATAAAATAGTAGTAACAATACTACTACCTCATGGGGTTTATGTGAAAATTTAAAATGAAACATGCATGATAGCACAGGACTAGTGAAAGTATTTGTTCAATTACTAGAAGCTACTATATTGCTATTATTCATGAAAATGGCACATACTGGAGTCATAATTAGTTCAAATCATGGCTCTGTATTTCAACTTCTTCATTTATAAGCTGGAGATAGTACCATCTACCCCATAGATTTGGTTTGAACATTAGGGTGGTCTTTCTAATCCTCTAGCTACAAACTGGGACTCTGACTCTGCCAGCTCAGTTTCTGTCCCTTTTCTACCCTCAAGGAGGGTTTTGTTGCCTGGCAAGTTCTCCAGGACTTCTGTGGTCTAGAAATGAAAGAAAGAGGGAAGAGTAGAAAGAAAGCAGGTATATGAGTTAGAGGTGGGGAAGGGGCTTGGGGACAATTAGAGAAAAGATGCCTAAGGATTTAAGGGATGTACACAGAAGTTTAGGGAAGTACAAAGTTTGGAGTGGGGGGTTATGGATCCTTTTCAGAATATTCAAGGAAAGTAAGTAAAAACCTTTATTTTTAAAAAGAGCTTCCAGGAGCAGTAGTGCCCATCTGAAATCCCAGCTACTTGGGAGGCTGAGGCGAGAGGATCTCTTGAGCCCAGAAGTTCAAGACCAGCCTGGGCAACAAAGTGAGACCACCCCACAACCCCACCCTGTCCCCCTGCAAAACAACAACAACAACAACAACAACAACAAAAACAGAAAGAAAGAAGAAAGACAAGCCTTTCATTGTTGAACTATCTCCTTTGAGTGCCAATGCTCTGAGGCTGTGCCAAATGTGTCCTGGATACTACTGGGCAATAAGTTAAAGGCAGAGGGACTTCCACTGTTCCTGGGACAGAAATGTCACAGGACACTTAATATCGACCCTCTAGCATTTTTTGAGGATACAATACATTGTTATTAATTATAGTTACCATGTTGTACAATAGATCTCTTGAATGTACTCCTCCTCTGTAACTGAAATTTTGTATACTTTGACCAACATCTTCCCAACCCCTACCAATTGCCCTAGACCCTGGTAACCATGATAAATACATACAATTTTATCGTCAATTATTTAAAAAGACTAGGTTTTAAAAATATATTATCATTCTGAATTCTTGCATTTATTGTAACAATCAACCTAAAGAAATATGTTGAATATTTGTATGGGAAGAGAACTCTTCCTGGGCTTTTGGTGATGAGCAGAAGTGTATGACATTGCCTCTAACCGCAGTGAGATCTATATTTAGAGGATGATGTGTCAATAATACTTCAGTGCATAATAAAATAAATGTAGTTTTAAAATGAAATGTAGGAAATCAGGACTGCCATGGAGACAGAGTCTACTTAATTTCCTAGGAGTGTGGCTATTGGAGGGAAACACCTTTAGGACTCTAACACTCTAGGGTATGCTGAGGCAGATAAACAGTCTGCCAATGGTTATGACAAGGAAGAAAAGCTTTACGGGTAAAAGCCGAGAACCAAGGAATTAGGTGATGGTGGAGGGGGCTCCTAGTGAGAACTGCCACAGCATATGCATATGCATCTCTGCATGGACTTAAGAACAGAGTTGGAAAGAACCTGAAGCTTTGTGGACACTCAGTCCAGTATTGGGCTAACATCACTTAAGTGAAGGACAGAGCACTAATGGCCCTCGTGCAGAGCAGCGCATGGAGGGACAACTGCAGGAGAGAGAACTTGGGAGAGAAAAGGAAGGGAACATGGAAAACAAGAGTGTAGGAGAAAGGAAGGTAAGCTTATTGGTCTACAGGACCATGGCAGTGAAGCTCTATGCAATGGATATTTTCCATTTGCCCTTCTAGATCGAATATTCCCCATTCCTCACCCTGCACTGTGCCCAGGAGACTGACTACATCAGTGCCTCCTTTCTGCTCTGGTTTCTCATTGAGTTCCATTAATGTTAGCCACCAGCAAAAGACAAGACTACATGAAGAAGAGCGTGAGGGCAGGGGCATGTGTGTGTGTGTGTGTGTGTGTGTGTGTGTGTGTGTGTGTGTTTATTTGTTTTTATCCCAGACTTTGGTTCTACACTTTCCTGATGTCAATGAATTAGCTGTATCCTTTCCTGGAAGACAGCAGCTCCTTACCTGTTGGTTTTCTCTCTCCTATAGCTAAAGCTCTCTTTGTCTTCTAGTAACGTCAGAGTCTAGGAACAATAATTGATTCCAGCATTGCTAGTCTCTGGTTCTTCACTCTTCCATTGGTTCTCCTAACTCTGCCCATACCTTAGAAAATATTAACTTCATTAAACTCTCTTCAATTACTCTATTTGAATATACCATCTGTTGCTTGCCCAGGCACCAGCTGATAGACCCAGGTAAGATGATAACGGCACAATGAGAAAATGCAGAGGGAGTGTGTCGCCTTCCTAGAGATGACAGAGGGGAAAAAAAAGAGAGAGAACTGAGATACTGGACTGATGACCTTGGGTTAGAGGATGCTTATTATCTTCATGTGAACTCGGAGCTAGCTTCACGGAAAAGTGATCTAATTGTACAGTAGTCCCTCAGTATAAATAGGGGATTGCTTCCAGGACCATTCACGTCTGTGCATACTCAAGTCTCACAGTTGGCCCTGCAGAACTTGTATATAAGGAAAGTTGGTCCTCCTCATATGCAGGTTTTATATCCCATTAATACTGTATTTTGATCTGCATTTGGTTGGAAAAAGCCATGTATAAGTGGACTATGCAGTTCAAAATCATGCTGTTCAAGGGCCAATTGTAATTGTGTTCAATTGCTGATTTTTTAAAAATAAGGCAATATTTTGCAGGACTGTATTATTCTAAGAATTAGTTGATATGCAGTGTTGTAGCATAGAAAGAAACTTAGGGTCAAATTCCATTTTCACCACTTACTATGTCAAGTCACTTCATTTTTCTATGCCTCAGTTTTCTCATCTGAAATATGGGGTCACACCTTCTTCGCAGGAGTCTTATGAAATTAAATGAAATCATGCTTGCTCACAGTAAATCCTTAACAAATGACAGTTGTAATTATTCGTGCACTTCACCAAATCCTTTTCTGCCACAAGTCTCAGTTTAAGAATTCTTACAAGATTATGGTTTTATCAAAGGTGCTTGAATCTGGGTGCACTCGATCAGTTTCCTGAACACTGATTTAGATCTAGAGGAAGGTGAAGATGACTCTGATCTACTCCATCTGCACCTACCTTGCTGGCAGGGAGGCAGTGACAAGGCTCCAGCTATCAGCACCTCTGTCATGTTTCCCTTTGGTGAAAAATGAGTTCTGAACTGTTTTGTTTTTTCTTTTTAGAAATACATCCCAAATCACATTGATTTGTGCTATATGCCACATCTTAAATCCTTAGGTTATTAATCAATTAAAGTCCTAAGAATTAATCTTGTAATTCTAATAAACTAGTCATCCAGAACTTTCAAACCCTATGAAAACGAACTCAAAAGTTCATTTTCAAAATCTATCCTTTGTATCATTTATGTTACAGTGAACATTCTTGAGAAGTTCACCCAAGATCTGCTCTGATAAAAAAAATGAAATATGAGCCCCAGAGAATATTCTTTAAGAAGAAATATCTAAATGTCAGTTCTGTTGTTTATTATGTTAAGCATCCTGCATGCCACAATATTTTAACCATTACCATTTCACTGTCTCATTCAATAAATATTTACCAAATGCTATGAGTGATCTAGATACTGGAGAAACTCCGAGGAACAAAAACACACAGAACCTCACATCCTGATGAAAGTTGTATCCTAAATACAAGGTGAATAGCAGCTCAAGAAATTTATTTTCCTCATCGCATATCTCTACTTACTAAAAAGTACTGAAGTTTCAATGAGTCTAGTATTGCCAGGTAAAATATAGGATGTCCAACTAAATGTGAATTTCAGAGCAAAAACAAGTAATTTTTCAGTATATCACATATACTGGGCCTTATGAGAGGTGTTCATTGGACACATTTAAACTAAAAATTATTTTTGTTTATCTGAAATTCAAGTTTAACTGGGTATCTTATTGTTTTTAAAATGTTTTATTTTTTTAAAAAAATATTTTTAAAATTATTATGAATACATAATAGTTGTACATATTTATGGTATACATGTGATATTTTAATGCAAGCATACAATGTGTAATGATCAAATCAGGCTAACTTGGGTATCCATCTCCTCAAGCATTTATTATATCTTTGTGGTAGGAACATTCCAATTCCACTCTTTTAGTTATTTTGAAATATGCAATAAATTATTATTAACCATAGTCACCTTATTGTACTACCAAACACTAGATCTTATTCCTTCTATCTAACTGTATTTGTGTACCCACTCACCACATCCCTTCTTACCCCTCTACCCCTGGCCTCTGGTGACCCATCATTCTGCTCTCTATCTCCAAGTGCTGAAGGGGTGGGTCACTGCTCTGCTCCCCACTTGCTGAGTCATTTTGTGCACATAATTTAGCTTTCCTGGACCTCAGTTTGCTCACATATAAAGTGTGGGATCTGCCTCAAGAGACATTTAAGGTCCCTTATAGCTCCCTGGTTCCAGTTCTTCCCCAAGCAAAAGATCTTGTCACCACATGTATCCTTCCCACTCC
Organism: Homo sapiens; assembly: GCF_000001405.40. Lineage (NCBI taxonomy): Eukaryota > Metazoa > Chordata > Mammalia > Primates > Hominidae > Homo > Homo sapiens. The sequence goes on from NC_000002.12 coordinate 179,692,404, forward strand.
TCCATTCTCTACGTGGACTTTAAAACTAGCTGTTCATTACTGCTCCAAATCCCCGTTTCCCTCAGTATCCCTTATAGATAATCTTGATGTGACCTCCCCAACCCCATGTCAGTTGATTTGCCCAAGGCTATTAGATTAATGATAAGTGCCCTATATTTGAGTAGCACTTTACGTTTCACAAAGTGCTTTCACATGTATTACTGCACTTTGATATGCCAATTTCCTGTATTTCACTCAGAAGCTGGTTGCTAAAGTTGTCTTTCATGCCACTGTGTAAATAATGTTTCTCATTTACCTCTCCAAATATTAGCAACTTTCTGAGAGACCATCTCTCAAAAGAAGTCTGCTCTCATTGGTGAAGATTTTGCAGGGATTCTGACTCATCACTCTTCCATGGTTAGTGCCTCTCCCTCAGTGCTTGCTGGAGCTTCCTCCTTGCCCCTTCTGTTCACAGGAGCAAGTACTTGCCTCCTCCTGCAGCAGGCCCTGTCATTTCACCTTTCAACTCCAGTACCCTAAGGGGACCACTGCAAACCTGGACCTCATAGACCCTGGCTACTCGGTGTGGTCCCTGCACCAGCAGTGTCTATCTCCTGGAAGTTTGTTAGAAAATGCAATCTTGGACTTCACTCAAGAACTATTAAATCAGAGCTTGCCTTTTTAAGTTTGAGAAGCACTGATTTAGAACAACTCTAGTCAGGCACAATTTTTTCATATTTTTCTAAGAGATCAGAAGTGTTTAATTTGGTCCATATTTATTAGCCTATCCCAGGAGCAATGGCTCCTAACCTTGTTTCTACCAACTGTCAGGATAACGCACACTCATTTAAAGAAGAGAGGCTCACTTATGTTAGCAATTCTCATCTAACCCACCACACATGTTCCTTTTGTGAGTTATACTCTTTTAGTTAATCAGGTGGGATGCTGAATGACTGAAGGGAGAAGGGGGCAGAAACATGGCCACCATGTCTCAATATCTGTAACACTATTCTCTAAATATATGAATAGAGAAATATGAATTATGATCTTCTATTCCTACTGGCTGTCTGACAGGGCCAAATAAATAGACCCAATATAAAAATGGAGAGAATAATGCAATAATGAATTATTTCTGACACAGAAATGTTTAAAGAATAACTTAAAAACATAATTTCAAAGTTCTTAGAGTTCGATAACTAATTAAAAAAATCCAGAGTTTCATTGGCTACGTTTTTTTGACATTGGTGTCCTGCTCCAGAGAGCTGTTCCTGAAACTGATAAACATGTAACATCATTCAAAATACTTTTTATGAAATAATCACAGGTACGAACAGATTGACAGAACCAAGAAAGCAATAACTGCCTGTCTTGGTAAATTACACATTTGGTCCCTCCATCTCCTTCAGCCCCAGGGGACAAAGTCAAGCAAATGTGAAATAATCAGATGTTTGTCTGATTGTAATATTAATCTTTGGATTTTATACCAAAAGACAGAAAAAGAATTCTGCTCTAGACTAAATCCTTAAATAACTCAAGTTTGCAGAATCAAAAATAAAAACACATTTTTTTCTTACAATCAGAGCAATGTCATCAAAAGTATGTGACCCAATTTTATATGAAGCCTGAAAATACTAATACAATGATTAATAGACTCATTTATCTTCAAATATAGAACTTTATCTGTTTTAAACTATATGTTAGAAATGGGGAAACACTTCTTAAATATTTAAATTTATTATTGTCATTAAATTCTAAACAGGAGTTTACCACATGCCATCGTTAACTCATAACTAAGTTGACCTGATAACCAATTCATAGCCATGTAGATTGTTTATCAGGTCTAAACTTCAATACTGTAATTCATTCAGTGGAGTTATACAGTTAGGACAATGAAGCTGATATCCTTAGAACTGGTAGAGAGATGACACATCTAGAATTTGGAATAGCCCTCAGCTTAGCTGCATTAAGCTTTTTTTTTTTTTTTGACTGCGAATTTATATCACTAAAGCTAGCTGTGTAACTATTAGTCACTAATTCCAGCAAATTATGAAATTCACTTGTAAAATATATTTAAATTACTTAAGAGAAAATACAAAATTGCCTTTAAACTGACATTTTAAAGTTAATAGACACCCTACTGAGCATGTTGACACATAGCCACACTGTTTCAACAGCAAAAATTGAATACAATATTCTAGGAATAAAAAAGGGATTGGACTTTGAGGCTTTAAAGTATAGTTATAGGCTTTTGAAAGAAGACATCTGGGCTGGGCAATGTGGCTCATGCCTGTAATCCCAGCAATTTGGGAGGTCAAGGTAGGCAGATCATTTGAGGTCAGGAGTTCAAGACCAGCCTGGCCAACATGGCAAAACCCCATCTCTACTAAAAAATACAAAAATTAGCCAGTGTGATGGTGTGGGCCTGTAGTCCCAGCTACTCGGGAGGCTGAGGCAGGAGAATCTCTTGAACCTGGGAGGTGGAGGTTGCAGTGAGCCGAGATTGCACCACTGCACTCCAGCCTGGGTGACAGAGTGAGACTCCATCTCAAAAAAGAAAAAAGAAAAAAGAAAGAAGAGGAGGAGGAGGAGGAGGAGGAGGAGGAGGAGAAGAAAAAGAAGAAGGAGGACGTCTGTGAGCTTTGGTTTCTCTTCTTACCCTCTGATGCATTCTATCTATTATAAAAATGGTTTTCTCTATATTTCCTTAGTGTCATATGACTCTTACTTTTATATGTGGTTAATTTGAGTTGGTAAACCACATTAGAGTATGATGCTCTTGAGATTACAACTAGAGTTATGATATCATCATAGATCAGGGAGTTTTACTGTACTTCATTGACTGCACTGCTAATTAGGGTGACCATATAATTTACCACACAACCAGTTTGAATTTGGTAAAGGATTTTTAGATATGATACCAAAAATATGAGCAACAAAAGAAAAAAATAGATAAACTGGACTTCATCAAAACTAAACAATGTTGTGCCTCAAATGACACCATCAAGAAAGTGAAAAGACAACTCACAGAATGGGAAAAAATATATTTAAATTATATAACTGAAAGAAACTTGTTTCTAGAATATATAAAGGTATTATATATTTATTATAACTCAAGAATAAAAAAACCAAAAAGTACAATTGGAAAATGGGAGAGAGATTTAAACAGATATTTCCCCAAGGAAGATATATAAAAGGCCAAAAAGCACATTTTAAAAATGTTTGACCTGGTTAGTCATTAGGGAAATACAAATGAAAACCACAATGAGATATCACTTTACACCCAGATGCCCAGAATTAATAAGTCAAATAATAAGTTTTCATGAGAACATAGAGAATTGGAACCCTCATGCAGTACTACTGTGAATGCAAAATGATGCAGCCACAGACACACACAAAAGCTTGTATGCAATTGTTTACAGCGGCATTGTTCATAACAGCCAAAATGTGGAAACAACCCAAATGTCAATCAACAGACAAGTGAATAAACAAAATGTGGCATATGTATACAAAATGTGGTATATGTATACAATGGAATAGTATTCAGCCATAAAAAGGAATGGTGTGTGGATACGTGCCACAACATGGCTAGGTCTTAAAAGCCTTACGCTAAATGAAAGAAGTCAGTCACGAAAGACCAGACACTGTATTAATCCATTTATATGAAAGTCCAGAATAGGAAAATCTATAGAGACAGAAAGATCAGTGTTTCCTTAGCATTGAAGGTGTTGTGGGGAGTGGAGACAGGGGATAAGCAGGTGGTAGGTCAAGGGTACAGGGTTTCTTTTTGAGGTTATGAAAATATTGTAAAACTTACTGTGGTGATGATCGTATGTATCTGTGAATATACTAAAAAACACAAAATTGTATGTCACATACATTATATTTCACTAAATATGTTTAAAAAGAAAAGAAATTATACTGGGACACTAGGTACAAACTGGGACTTTTTTTTTTTTTTTTTTTTTTTGCATCCTAGGCAAATTTGGATGCATTTTGACTCACCTCTAACCTCACCCAAGTGTCTGACCAACTACTTTCCACTCTTCTGGAGAAGGACTGGTGGTGAGAAAGCCTGATCAGTTCTAATAGCTATACTAATACTGTTTTGAAAGCACAAGTAAAACAATATATCCTAATGAAATGGCTAGGAAAATGTCTTCAAATAAGAAGAAATAATTTGTAGTCACTTAGTGATACTCCCATGCACAGTAGCCCCTAGGCTACTTTTAATACACCTATGAGCAGCACTGGCCCACCTAACAGGTAGCTTAAGCATGTGCTTAGAGTACACACAAATCCAGGTTTGGTTTTAATAAACTTTTCAAGAACTTTGCATTTAAAAAAACTATAGAAGGAAGCTATTTTCATATCAACATACGTATTATATATCACTACCTGAAATCCAACAGAACTCAACATTGATATACTAGGTTTGGAAAGCTTAGTATGACTCTTATGTTAATTATAATATTCTCAATGCTGGGACCATCTACCATTCTTAATTCAGCCCCGTAAAGAAGGAAAGGGACAACAATAGTCGAACCACAATGCCGAAGCTTGGCATGGTCACAGACAGAAGCTCACAGCAAGGACCAGTGATAATCAAAGACCAAAACAACATTCCCATTCCCTAGTTTCTCTGTGTAAGAATTTGGTATTTTCCAGAGATCTTCGGGGTGTGTGGGAGCCTCCAGTTAATTAGGATTAAGTGTCCCCACCCCTTGAAGTCTGATTTAATTTTGCTTACGAAAATAAGCATATGTGCCTTTTTTGTTTTGGACAACTGATTTTGTGAAGTAAAATTCATACTCGGTCCACTACCTATGTCCATCTGACTATGACTGTTTTGTGTTCCCACCCAAACCTCCTCTTGAATTGTATTCCCCAGGTGTTAAGGGAGGAACCTGATGGAAAGTGATTGGATTATGCGGGCTGTCTCCCCACTGCTGTTCTCATGATAGTGAGTGAACTCTCATGAGATCTGATGGTTTTATAAATGGTAGTTTTTCCTGTGCTGTCATGCACTTCTCCTTCCTGCTGCCTTGGGAAGAAGATGCCTTGTTTCCCCTTCGCCTTCCACTGTGATTGTGAGTTTCCTGAGGCTTACCCAGCCATGCTGAACTGTGAGTCAGTTAAACCTTTTTCCTTTATAAATTACACAGTCTCGGGCAGTTCTTATAGCAATGTGAGAATGGACTAATACAGTAAGCTAAGGCTTTTGGCTTTCTCCACAGTCCAACTGGAGATTAGAATGGAAGATCCCTGCCTGTGCTATCTGATCCCTACTTGTTTTAAGATGATCCTAATCAAAAGAAAGGATGTGCTCTTTTCCTTTTTTTTGGTAAATGGAAACGAAATTTGTAAATGTGGGAATTGTACAGTTGAATTCTGTAAGGAATGAAATCATTAAAAAGAACATGCTTGATAGACTGGATTAAGAAAATGTGGCACATATACACCATGGAATACTATGCAGCCATAAAAAAGGATGAGTTCATGTCCTTTGTAGGGACATGGATGAAGCTGGAAACCATCATTCTCAGCAAACTATTGCAAGGACAGAAAACCAAACACCGCATGTTCTCACTCATAGGTGGGAATTGAACAATGAGAACACTTGGACACAGGGTGGGGAACATCATACACCAGGGCCTGTCGTGGAGTGGAGTGAGGGGGGAGGGATAGCATTAGGAGATATACCTAATGTAAATGACGAGTTAATGGGTGCAGCACACCAACATGGCACATGTAACAAACCTGCACGTTGTGCACATGTACTGTAGAACTTAAAGTATAATTAAAAAAAAAAAGAACATGCTAACCAGATAACCATTTACATATACAAAAGATAGTTTTTAGTGAGTCCTTTCAGAAGGAAACATAGTTTGATATTAGAATACACAGCTAGCTATCTTTCAGTAAAACACGGTTAAAGCAATAGGTATGGTAAAAATTATTTCTATCACAAAGGTTTTAAATTGGGTTTTAAAATAACCATAATTATACTGAAGATTCTAGAAGGCAATTATTATTTATCCAACTCTGACATCTCAAAAAAGCATTTCAGCATCTGAAAGGGCAGAATAACTTAGAGTATCCCATAAATTCCAGCATCATTTATTCAAATCAAATATCCATTTTTAAATCAAGGGCAACTACTTCTTCATAAAAGAATTGTGTAATATATTACCTAGAAATGAATGTTACATATTTATAACTCTGGCTGGTAAATCCCAGTCATACTGTTATTATGCCATTAAACTGGAAATATATAGAGTTGAAAAGAGGAGTGATCATAATAAAAGCACTTTATTCTGCACATAATACCAGAAATTCAATCTAATACAACTTCCAGATATCAGAAGTTTAATGTTTATGGTTTTTATTGAATAATCTCCTTCTCTGACTAAAGTCAATAAAAAGTCATCTCTAAACTTTGCAGTCAAGCTAGCAACCATTACATTAAACTACAAGTTCATGAAGATAAGAATAAAATCAAAAGATCATCTTCTGATCCCAGCTAACTAATGCTTTAGTGTTTTTCTTCTCAATACCAAGACCAGTTTATTTAAATAATTTCACTATTGAAGTTTGACAAATGTTTTTTGTTAATGCATTTTTTACTTGCATATTCATATTGGATTTAAAGTCATTTCAAGGAAAATGATATTATCAAATAATGTTATAAATATGCTGGAAAGCTCTTTGGGAGACAATTAAAAATTTTGTGTTAAAATATATATATATAAAATTTACCATTTTAACCATTTTTAAATGTACAGTGCAATGGCATTAAGTATATTCATATTGTTATACAATCATCACCACCATTCACTTCTAGAACTTTTTCATTTTCTCAAACTGAAACTCACTCCATTAAATAATATTTCTGCATTCCCTGCTCTCTTCATTGAGGAGAAAATTTAAATAACATACACTCAAAACATACACTCATAAGCTGGAATAACACTCAAGCAGAAATCCTCAAAGGGCTCTAGTATTTCTGTTTTGCACTTTAGAAACAATGATTTAACATAGTCATTTGTTGAAATATTGCTGGCACTAGTGACACACGCCATTTGTAGACATAATTGTGGATGTTACAGAGCAGTTATATATTTTGGGTTTTTCACTACACAATTATTAAATATGTAAATAGTAAAGAATAATTTCTTATTTGATTGGATAATTCCTGCTTTCAACAAAAGATGCAGAATATATGTAGGGGGTGTGGCTATAAACAGTACATGACACCCTGATCCACTTGACATGATACCCACATGACAACCCTGATCCACTTGAGCAGGGAGGTTTCTTGTGTAATTTCCCTAAAGGTGGCTATATATTTATATGAGTTCATCTATACTTCCATATCACGTATCCTCTGTTGGCGGTTGATGGCATATATTTGTGAGTAGATGAATACCAGAAATGGTGTATGAACAGGGAAATTCAATAATTGGCAGTAAAAACTAACTTAAGAAATAAACGAGGAAGAAAGAGTTGCTCATAAATGTCAGATTGTTATACAATCATCGACACCACTCACCTTCAGAACTTTTTCATTTTCTCAAACTGTAACTCACTCCATTAAATAACAATTCCCCATTCCCTGCTCTCTTCATTGAGGAGAAAATTTAAATAACATGTTTTTCAAAACATACACAAACAGAAAAACACACACACACACACACAAACAAAACAGATCTTGCCAAAAAAAAAAGTTACCATTTTCATCAAAAAAGCCTCCAAAAAGCACCTTATGCAAATGACTTTCCCTGAATGGAAGGGAGCATATATCTATCTGTCTTAAATGATCCTTCTCTGTACTAACTCCTCAAGTTCTGCAGCCCATGACTTCAAAATGTACCCTTGTATTATGAACAAATTGCTGACTGTGTCCTCACAGGTCACGTTTATTCCACTGGATCCACATTCCATCGCTCGTATGGTATGGAATCCTTTCCATCTAACTTTTCCAATGCCTGAGTATATACCATATTCATTCACTCTAGGTTTTGCATCCTTATTCTTAAATCCAAACTGCCACATCAATATGCTATGTGCCAGGGGCTCCCTGGTCTTGAGTAAATGTTGCTTTCTTTAATGTTGCTCTCTTTAATGTCATCTTTTGATCTTCAGATTATATATCTTTACCTAAAGAACCTGGAGACACTCAGAGATGATGATAGAGAGTAGAGTGCTATAGCAAAGAAAGACAATTCGTCTTTGTGGAATGCTGAATAAATTCAGTTTCAAGAATGGTGGAAATGATAAAGCAGAGACAATGTGTCCCAATTTTCAGAGTAAATCATGAGTGCCATTTTTACAATAAAGCTCATTGGTATTGGCCAGGCCCGGTGGCTCACACCTGTAATCCCAACGCTTTGGAAGGCTGAGGCAGGCGGATCACGAGGACAAGAGATTGAGACCATCCTGGTTAACACGGTGAAACCCCGTCCCTACTAAAAATACAAAAAAATTAGTCGCACATGGTGGCACGCGCTTGTAGTCGCAGCTACTCGGGAGGCTGAGGCAAGAGAATCTCTTGACCGGGAAGGCGGAGCTTGCAGTGAGCCGAGATCGTGCCACTGCACTCCAGCCTGGGCGACAGAGCAAGACTCCATTTCAAAAAAACAAAACAAAAACAAAAACAAAACAAAAAAACACTCATTGGTATCATCTATATCATGTTTATTTTTCAGAACTAAAAATCGTTACAATACAAACCACTATTAATTGTCTAATATTTTGTTAACATTGATAGAAACTTTTATAAGTCATACACTTTGAAAGTCTCATATGAAGGTTAGACATCCTCCCCACCTGGCTTCTGGCAAGAATATCACCCAGTGATGAATATAAAACAATCCACTAAAAATAGCCAGGGTAAGGATTCCCCGGAGCTATTTTCTTTCTCTGTTTCTCATCTTTCTACACATTCTTCTTAAGATGCAATTTATAGGTAAACTCAAGAGTTCCATTGTATTCTTAGACAATAATAACTAATGACTACTGAGAATTTACAGTGTGCTAGAAACTAAACTGTTCATCTTCACAACAATCTTGTGTAGTAGAAACAATTATTATTCATATTTAATATACAGTGTAAAGAAAGCAAAAAAGATATTAAGAAGCTTACCCAAGTTCACCCCGACATTGTCCAAAATCATAGAAATGCCAGATCACACTCTTAAGCATCAGTTTAAAATGTCAGTATTATTTTCCACACGTGAGTTATTTTCATTTTTTATTTCATCATTTTTTAAATATTCTAAAGAAGTGAACAGCATGCATATTGTTCCTCAGAAATGCCTGGCATTTGTTAGTCATGCCTGAGATTTCTGCCACCTCAGGTGCCTTTGCTGGGTACCTTGGACATTTCAATTCAGTAACTGGCATCTCAACAATGTTTTTAAAGCCAAAATTTGAAAATCCACTGGAAGCCATTCTGTCACACCTAGAAAATAGGTACATCTCTAGCTCTTCCACATATAAAGGTATCCCGTGGAAAGGAATGGGCACCAATCCAAGTATAAACTGTCTGTTCCATCCTAAGCCTCCCAGAGATGAATCCTCAGCTAAGGAATGTGAGTGAAAGCAGACAAATACCCGTTGTATCTAGCAGTGCCCAAAGAGACCAGATTGCTGCTTCAAAAGACTTTTCACGTTTTCATTTTTTTTTAAAGTGACATTCCTTGAATTAAGATGTATACATATGTAACAAACCTGCACGTTGTGCACATGTACCCTAAAACTTAAAGTATAATAAAAAAATGTTTTCAGGGTATTTTAACATTTAGATAATTTTAAAAAAAGATGATTTTCATCTTGTATTTCTAAATAAATCATACCCAAATTATTTTAAAATACATGCTAGTGAAAATCTATTAATATTACTCTGTATTTTAAAACTTGCAATTCTGTGATTGCTTAAAGTAATTTAATCAAAATAGAAAACAATGATTATTGTACGTACTTTATTTCAATTTATAGCTATTAATATTATTAATATAGTCACTAGAAAATTTGTGAGTAAAAGGCAGGCTTGCTTTATCAATAAATTCATTTAGAGTCATCTGGACTCGTTTATTGAAAAGCGATCCACGTGCTAAACAAGTGCAGTTACAAAATTCAGGAAAATTGTATTACTAGAGCACCATGGTCCAAGACATTTTATGACAAATATCAAAACTAGATTTGGGTATTGTATGTGATATGCTTATCAAATAATGAGACTGGTTCCTGTAAGATACACATAGCCAAAATAGTCTCCACAGGTTACAGTGACACCACATAAACAAAAACAAAAGTATTCAAAAACAGAGTTCTTTATGGGACAATTTCCATTAAATATAGTTAAGATTGGTTAAGTATGAGTCTGAAATTAGGCCAATGGAGCAAAAATAAGTAATTGCTCGGTAAATAGAATTTTTATTGTTTTTAAGTTTTGAGGGATGGAGACTCTTGGTGTTATCTGTGATTCTGCTCTTTCTCCCGCATCCCGTGTCAGTATCATAAACAAACATCTTCAAAAGGAATCCACAATTCAGTCATTCACTGTCACTCTCACTGCCACCATCTTGGTTCTGACAACAAAAACTTCTGTCTGAATGATTGCAACAGCCTAACTGTTCACCTTCAGCCTCTTTTCAACACAGTAGCCAGGAAGATTCTGTTAAAAAGAAAGTTATGTTATAACCTTGGCTCTTCTTTTTAGCCAGGGCAAAGGCCAAAGTTCTAACAATGCTATAGCCATCTGGCTTGCTGTCTGCACTCTGACTTCATCTACTCGCCCTCTAGTTCTCTCTGAAGCAGCACCACTAGCCTCTTTGCTACTCCTCCAACCTATCTGATATGCACCTGCCTCAAGACCTTAGCACCTAAACTCTTTTCTCAGCTTAGAATGCACTTCCCCAGAAACTACATGACTAGCTTCCTCCCTTAAGGAAACAGACTTGCCCTCCCAGCCTGTCTTAACTATCAACCCCACTCTTTCAACATACACGCACTTCAAAACCCTCTTCCTTAATTTTCTTTCCTTAGTACTCACCACTCTTTAACATAGTATATATGTCATTTATTTACCTTGTATATTGTCTGTCTCCCCATTAAAATGTCAGGTCCAGAAGGTTTTGTTCACTGCTTTCCAATACCTATAACAGTGTCTGGCATATAGTAGGTGCTCGATCTGCTTTTGTTAAATGGAATGAACTAAAGAATGAGCAAATTCAAGATTACAAGAAAACATAATCTATAATAAAAAAGACAGTACTGGTTAAAATACCTCCAGGGAAGGAGAATGAGAAATAAGGAATAAAATACACATGTGTGCATGCATTCATTGCCTTTCTTGCAACCAAACAAATATTGAGTGCCCACATATAACTATTCTCAGAGATAAAATACATAGTCCCTTAAAGAGTTTACAGTGCAGCTGGGAAGTTGTAAACACACATTGATAATGCCTCATGATGGAGGTATTAATGGGCACTTAAGCAGGGCTCCTGACCACAGTAGCAGGTGTGGAGGTGTATTGAGAAATCAGGCTAGAAACAGACCAAGTCAGATGATAAATGACCTTTTCTGTCATGCTAAGTGATTGAATTTAATCCCAAAAGTCACAGGCTAGAGAGACACTGATGAATTTCGAGCAAGAAACTATGACATGATCAGATTTTTGTTTTATAAAAGTCATTAGTATAAGAATGTTCATTATATTGTTACATATAGTAGCAAATAAATATAAACCAAATCCAGTGATATGGAATTGGATAATAAATCATGATAAAGCCCTATACCAGAATACTGTTGGCTTTAAAAATGATATAAATATTTATTGAAAGAGTTTGATAATCCACTGTTAGAAAATAATAAATTTTAAGAAAGTGCTCATATAATACGGTTCCACTACATTTTTAAAAAATGTATCTGCATAGAGAAAGTCTGTAAAGACATATAGAAAAATGTTAATAGTAGTAACTCTAGGATGTAGGATTTGTGATAATTTTGCATTCTTTATTATACCTTCTGTGTTATCTGAGTTGATTTTACAGGAAGCATGTATGGCTTTGATAAGAAAAAAATAGACTTTTCATTTTGGAGAGTAACAAAAGGAAACACCTCTGGGAGATTAGGCTAAAGAAGAAAGGCCTACTAAGACACCATGACAGTGAATCCAGGGAGAATGTGAAGATGAAATATAAAGAAATGAAGAAGGTAGACTGGAGGTACAGGTGATTGTAAGATTTCCAGCTTGAGCAGCTATGTGTTTGGTAGAGTTATTGACCAATGAGCAGATGCCAGGGCCAAAGGTACTCTGAAGATGCCAAAGTTTCTTCTCCACCAGGATCTGTTGTCAATGTGTAACACCAACTTAGAATTGTAGGAATTAACTAATATCATGGCCTGCCTGCTCAGCTGGCTGGGATTACCATATGGTACAATCCCTCCAGGCATTTTTGAGTACAGTGTTTTTATAAAACCAGACTATTCCTCTGTGCCCACCAGACAATCCTTGGTGCCAATTCCTTAGAATACTTGCAGCTATCTAACACTTGGTCACCTCCATACAGAAGCACACCCTGCTATCTATTCTTTCCTGTATTCTCATACCTATACTGCTCTGCCCCCTTTTTTTCCCCTGGCCTAAACCCATGGAAGGTATCTCATTCATAAATCTATTTTTTTTTGTTTCAGAATTCTCATTCCATAGAAAATAAGACAAAAAAACTCCCTACTATCCTCCATCTCTGCCCTTAAGTCTTCCTTCACTTCCTGCCCCAAAGGAAGCCTAGATCTCTGAAGGCATTGCTCTCCTGGGCCCCTCTCAATGAGTACCACTCATCTCTGGGCTAGGAGTGGGTTCCTGTCCTCATTGCTCCTCAATTATACCTTAGGACTACTAGTTCTCACTCTGTCTGTAAACACAGTTTATGTTAACAGGCCATATCTTCTTCCATCCTTCCTTGTTTCTGGTTTCCAAAGACTTACCAAACATTTGTTTCCAAGACTTTGGTGTTGGGTTCACCATCTTTCTCACCACCCACAAAACCATCAGTATCCTACATGATTTCAACATCCACATGGGCAGCCCATTTCATACTCTCAGGTCCTTTATTGAAGAAAAATTTGAGGAATTTCAGAGACTCAACTTCACCTCACCTGTCTATTCTCTAGATCACCCTGGGCTGTGGTAACCCCTAGAAACTTTTGCTCTTTTCTATTTTACCTCATCTTCCTATTCTTTTCCCTTAGACATTATGTATGTTCTTTGACCTCAGTAAGAGAAATGAAGAAGATGAAACCGACCAAGGGTTAGCACACTTTGTCTATAACAGATCAGAGAGCAAATATCTTAGGCTTTGCCAACCTATTGTTGCAACTACTCAATTCTGCCATTCTAGTGCAAAAGCAGCCACAGAGGATGAATACTAAACCAATAGGCAAGTCTGTTCCAATAAACTTGATGTACATACATAAGCAGTGAGTTGAGTTTGGCACACAGGCTATAGTTTGGTGACCACTGAAACAGATCATGTTCTTCCCTCTCTCTGTCCCCTTTCTCCTTATCTATTGATTCCTAATCCTCCTTTTAGTCCCTACCTCCAGCATTCTTTCATTGTACAGCAGATGCTCCTGAAAGCAATAGGTTAACCCTAAGAATGGCCCTATGGTATAAAAAGAATGTGTGTTTGCAATTCCAAGCAGAGAAATCTGGAAGTGGCCAACCCAGAGACTCATTTCTTATTTACGGGGAATACCAGACCTCGGTTGATCCCATGGAATTCAGTCTGTACAAGGGATCAAGTCCCCTTTTTGGGTTAAATGAAGGTTGCCAGGTAGAGGTTTTTGTAGAGGTTTTGCTAGGGAGAGGATGCTAAGTGAAAATGCCATATAAACTTGCATGTTTTTTACAAGCGGTAGCAGTTCTCCTGTCCAGCTCACTGCCACTGGAGTCCCCTGTATGTAAGTCCCCTCAATAAACACTGGGTCCTCTTGACCATGGTGCCATCCCTATTTGAAGTCAATAGGGGTTTGGCATAACAATTGACATGACAACTAGGGCATCAAAGAAAATCCTATGAGCATCAAGATGATGGGATTGGGGAAGGGGAAATCCATGGGGCAAATCCTGGGCTGGCCATCCATGTCTATGTGGGTCTCTGTCTCTGCCTGCTTTCCATCCATCAAGGACAACAGCTGCTGTCCTTGATGGTTGGTTCCCACCGCATGAGTACAGGGATGCCCTGAAAACACTGAAGGTTCAGAAAGAGCTGTTACAGGGGTTGAAACTGACTGAGCAAGGGTCAGATGCCTGAGTAGTGGCAACTGTGGTTCACTGGCTGTTTCTGACTGCACTCTGAGCAGTCACTGAAGCTGAGCTTGCAGCATAGGTGGGGATTGGTCAGTTACAAGATGAGCTATGACTAGAAAGAGATGCCAGATTAGCTCAGGCTGAAACATCAGAGACCTTGCTGTCTCACCTATGGACACGGGATGACAAAATGGAGACCCTGGCTTGTTGGGTAGCCTGTTTGAAGGGTTGCTGACCCCCACAGCAATGAGTTAGGGCTATTATGACTAAATCATCCTGGGACCCCAAGATACCTGGGACCCCCATGATGTGCTATCAGTGGGGAGAAAAGAGAGGGGTGAGATGAGCCCATAAAGGTTCCTGTCCTAGCTGCACATCCAGTAGTCACCATCAAGATAAAAGCTGATCAGCTGCACTTACAGGGGGTAACCCCATAAGACTTGCCCGCATCTAAAAGACGGCAGCACACTACAATGCAGTACTGCACGCCCGTGGAATTAGTGGAGCTGCGAAATAGGTTCAGGAAGAAGGGAAGAGAGTCTATTGTGGTGGCTTCTCCATCTATGGGACATGGGGGCGGAGAGTATTATACTCTCCAGACTCAAGATGAGTTAAAATGGCATCCATCACAAACCACCTGGCCCTGAGGAAGCACCTCTATGATGCCAATAATGAGGACCAGCCATCCCCCTCTTAGCTGAGTGGCTGTGGGCTGCAAGGAAGCCTGGCTAAATGAGAGCAACATCCTCACATCTCCTTTGTAATTACAGACTATGGAGGAATTGCAGGACATCCCCCAAGAATTAGAGATGAAGCATGCTATCTATGCTGGGCATTACCAAGCTCCAATGAGCTTTTCACTGCCAGCATGAAAGACACTATCTTAGTTGGCACCCAACCAATAGTATAGTTCACCAGTGTCTATCCTAAGTGCCCTGGTAGGACAGCCAGTGTCTTGGGCAGCCCAAGCAGCCCCCAACTTAGGGGAAATGGAGAAACTGCATAGGCACAGGGTATGCGCTGCCAGCAAGAAAGACAAAGGAGCCAAAGGAAAGGAGACAGCTAAAGGATCCACCAGGGTGGTCTGGCAACAAATGTGTTATGACCTGGTAGTGGCAGGGACACCTGCTGAGAAAATAGATAAACAGCCTAATGCTTTTCTGGTCAGACTGGGGCAGAAGCTCAAGCCAGAACAGTGGATCGCTAAGGAGCCTCAAGTTCAGCCCACTACCCCTTCTGCAGAGGAATAGCAGGCACCAACCCGTTAGACTAGGATGAAGGCCAAGGCTCCAGAATCTCAATAAGAGCAGTGGTTGCCAGGGTGTCCAGGGGTCAGAGGCCACAGGTGGAACTAGCTACATATTGGTCACCTAAGAATAGGCAGATTGTGCATGCCCTTACTGGATACTGAAGCTGATATGGTTTGGCTCTGTGTCCCCACCCAAATCTCATCTCAAACTGTAACCCCTAGAATCCCCACATGTCGAGGGAGGGACCTGGTAGGAGGTGATTGGATCACAGGGGTGGTTTCCCCCACGCTGTTCTCTTGATAGTGAGTGTTTGACAATTCCTCCTTCACATGCTCTCCTCTCTCCTGCTGCCTTGTGAAGAAAGTACTTGCTTCTTCTTTGCCTTCCACCCTCCCCAGCCATGTGGAACTATGAGTCAATAAAACCTGTTTCCTTTATAAATTACCCAGTCTTAGGTAGTACCTTTATAGCAATGTGAAAACAGACTAATACAAGAGCCAAATGCACTCTCACACATGGTGACCTTCATCATCAGTTCCAAGGGCCTATAATAGCAATAGATGGTTAGGGAGGGTGGCTGTGATCAACAGGTTCAACTAGCATTGTAAGTGGGAAGACCGCTACCAAAACCATATTTAGTATACATGGCTCTCATCTTGGAATACCTCTTGGAAATTGATAACTTATCAAGTCTGACTCTCTAAACAATGGGCCTGGGAATTCAAGTGAGAGTTAGGATGGTGAAGCATGGGATTCAGGGAAATGTGAAATGGACACTGTAGTACAGCTGCCAGTCCCATGGTGAAGAGTGGCACTGAAACAATACCAATACTCACTGCCAGGCAGGTGAGGGGGCATGATGGAATCACAAGGATTGTTAAGAATTTAGGCATTATAGGGCCAGAACATACCCCAAACAAAACAGCCCTGTATGGCCCCTGTGGAAGCCTGATGGGACATGGAGAACAATAGTAGATTACTGGGAATTAAATAAGGTGGTCTCTGCAATGTATGCAGCTGTTTCCAATACTGCCTCCCATCTGATGATAAGAGAGGCGTTTGGCACATACCATTTTGTTGTAGATTTAGCCAATGCCTTCTTCAGCATCCCCCTTGCCCCAGAGAGTGAAGACCAATTTGCATTCACCTGGGAAGGAGAACAATGAACCTTTATCATCTTGCCCCAGGAATATTTACATAGTCCCTACTATCTGTCTTAGCCTAGTGGCCACAGATCTCAGCGGATGAACCACCCTGAGCGGGTATGTGTTTCTGTTACACTGATGACATCATGCTAACTTCTGAGTCTTTTTCCAGCTTACAAACTGCAGCCCCCACCTTGCTGTTTCACTTGGTCAGTAAGACTAATGTTGTTCTGTCTGCCATTATGGGTAAGGTATAGGCCTCCTTTAAGGGACTCACCAGGTGGCCACTGCAATAGGAAGCTCAGGATTGTAAAACTGAATGGTAGTAGGGCACCCCCTTTGGGGTGCTGACACATGGAAGGACATTCCCCATTATATCCAGGGCATGCATATAACAGTCTACCATGAGGATGCCCACACTGCATCTACACCACCTGGAAATCAACAGGCAGATGAGCTAGCCTGCATATGTCTTCTTGAGGAAGTTCCCACAGAAGACGTGGCCCATTGGCTACATAAGATGACACTGGGGACAATGTACCCTTTGAGCCACAGTGAAGAACTGGGGCCTGCTACTACTAAATAAAAACATAGTAGGTGTCTGACAGTAATGTTCTACTTGTGCACAGGGAGGCCTCCAGGCCCTTGCCACATGATAGGCACAGATCACTTGGGGCCAGAGCCCAGTGCAACAGTGGCAGGGAGACTACCTAGAACCTTTGCCTCTACCTGATTGCTATGCCTTGACTTGTGTGTACACCTGCACAGAGCTACTGCAGGCATATCCCAGCAAGCATGCCACACAGAAAAGTACCATAGTAGGACTAGTGCAGCTGTGTGTGACCTACGGCATCCCCACGGATTTCAACAGTAACCAGGGCTCACACTTTACCAGACACAAAGTGCAGGAATGGATGGAGGCCCTGGATATTCACTGACATTTCCACCTGCCACACAATCCTACAGCAGTGGGGCTGATTGAATGGATGAACGGACTGTTGATGCAACGACTCCGGAGAAGATGTGTTCTCTGGCTCTGTGGATGGACATGCCACTTACCAGCAGCTACTTGTACCCTGGATGAACATGCATGTCTCATCACCCCAGCGCTTACACTCTCCTGACACAAGGACTAGATGCCACCCTTGGGATCCAGGTAGACAGTTTGAGGGACAGTATACCTTTGCCCCAACCTGGGACTCAAGGAAACCTCTATTGCCCTTGCCACAGGACTACCTACCCAGGAGCACATCATTAAATGGCCCTGGAAATAGCAAACCATTCCCCAATCGTATGGTACTTCCACTCCATGGAGGAAGGGCCTAGAACAGAATATACAGATCACATCTATTTTACATCCTACTCCCCGTCGTACGATTAAAATAATGAATGTTAGTCCTCCCTTGTGCAAGAGGACTGTCATCCTCCCATTACGGAACATTTTAATACTTCCATTGTCTTATTCTGTCCTCCTACCATGTGCTGAAGAGCGGGGGCCAGTCCATTTGGTATTGTAATCCAGGCACCAGGCTGCTACCAGTGGTGTTGGTCTCAAAATGACAGAACTTCTTGTGTCTTGTTAAATGGCCATGACTTGCCCTTTCTTGTACCCACTAAACATCTCCCCGTCCACCCATAGACGGTGTGGTGTGCAGCAAACCTCTTCACCGACTGAGCACAGATGCTGGTCTCTCCCTATAACAAACAGACTGTTGTGACTGCAGAGAGCTGCCACTCTCTTCCATCACAGGCCTGCTCCAAGCACCTCACCTGAGTACCTGGAGCCACTTCTGTACTTAGTATAATGACCCTCATCTATTTCCCTTTAGTGACAATTGCACCTCGTGTAGTGAGTTTCCCACCATCAACAAGATGAGACAACATATTTTCCTCCTAGTATGGAAGCAAGTTAATGTTACCCCCACTGTGGGGTAGGCTGTACATGATGGGACAGGGTGGATAATGGCAGAGCAGATACAGGTAGTGGGATGTGCACCATTCTTAGCAAAATCACATGGCCCTGGACATCTTAACTGCCGCCCAGGTGGAACCTGAGCAATAATTAACACCAAATGTGATATATCTATCACTGATTTACTCTCGCAATGTAACCCAAGCCATGCAGGCCCTAGGTATACATATTCCTGCTATAGAATCTCTGTCTTGCAGCCCTATAACCATGTGGTTTAATCAATTCCCCAACACTTGACAAAACTTTCTAAGACTATTATTATATACGTTATTTTTTTCTGTTGTTGTAGTTTGTATTGCTGCTGCAATGTCTGACTGCAATGCTCCTCTTTATATACCTGGCCCCAGGGAAATAGTGGAAGAATGACATGAAAAGAATGTGAGGTCCATTCGAGGGTATGCTGGGGTGGAATGTACGGCAGATGTACCTGATAGCAAGAGTTTAACTTAAGCATATGCGGAGAATGACTCCATGGTATAAAAAGAATGTGTGTTCAGAATCCAAGCTAAAGAATCTGGGAGTGGCCAACCCAGAGATTCATTCCTTATTTATCAGGAACATCTAAATCCCGGCCCATCCCATGGAACACAGGCTATAGAGGGAATCAAGGCCCTTTGTTTTGGGTTAAATGAAGGTTGCCAGGTAGAGGTTGCTAGGGGGAGGATGCTAAGTGAAAATGGTATATAAACTGCATTTTTTTAAATAAGTGGTAGCAGTTCTGTTCCCTACTGCAAAAATGCTATATAAACTGCATTTTTTTTAACAAGCAGTAGCAGTTCTGTTCAGCCTACTGCAAAAATGCTATATAAACTGCATTTTTTTTTTTTTTTTTTTTTTTTTTACAAATGGTAGCAGTTCTGTTCGGCCTACTGCCACTGGACTGCCATGTATGTAAGTCCCCTCGATAAACTCTGTGTTTTGGTTGCCGGCTCTGGGTCCCTTCTTTGGCCTCTCAAACATGGTGCCATCCCTATTGAAGTCAATAGGTTCTGGCATGACACTCATTAACATGGATAACTCTAATGATACACTATCTTTGGTCAACATTCACAGAAAAATTTAAATCTTACACTAATTCAACTATTACATTCTCTACTTCTGGGTTGCTAAGTTTTGTTGGATAAAATTATGCTTTCTCCCACTGATAATACTATGATTTCTAGTCTCCAATCCCCAATCTTCAAAATTTCATAGTAAACTTTCTACATTTTCTTAATCCATGTTCTCTTCAATACTCCCTGGTAGCAACTTCAAACCATTTCCACTTTTCTCAAGAATTCTACCCTACTACTAGCCTCCTTGTTCATGCACGAAACAGAATATGTTAAACTCCCTAAGCATTCTGGAGTGAGTAGCACTATCCACAGCCAGTTGTATAAGCCCGAAATACAGACACCGTCCTTGATATCTCCTCTTTTCACCATGGCTCTCATCTTCTTCTTCAATAGGCTCTGTTGCTTTTGTTTCTCTAATCTGTCTTGAATCTGTCCCTTTCCATCTCCACCACCACTAGTGTAGTTTCATCCAGGTACTCATTGCTCAGAGTGAAATCTCAGGACAAGAATCGCCAGCATCACTGAGGGCTTGTTAGAAAGGCAGATTCTCAGGCTTCGTATCTGATGTACTAAATCAGAATTTGCACTTTAACAAGACCCCCAGATGCTTTATAGGAACATTAAAATTTGAGAAGCATCTCTCCTAATAGTCTCCTACTAACTTTTCTTGCCCTCCCTTCAATCCATTGTGTAGACAGTCCTCAACTTATAATGGTTTGGCTTATTAACACAATATTTAGACTTTGTTATGGTGTAAAAGTGAATCACGTTCAATAAAAGTCATACTTCAAATTTTGACTTCTGATCTTTTTCTGGGCTAGTAATATGCAGCACTATACCCTTTCGTGAGGCTGGGCAACAGCAGTGAGCCACAGCATCCAGTCAACCACGTGATCAGGAGGGTAAACAACCCACACTCCACAGTGGACTGTGTTGCCAGATGATTTTACCCAACTGTAGGCTAATAAAAGTGTTCTGCGCATATTTAAGGTAGTCTAGGCTAAGATATGATGTTCAGTAAGTTAGGTGTATTAAATGCATTTTCAACTTACAATATTTTCACCTAAGATGGGTTTTTGGGGATGCAACCTCATCCTAAATCAAGGAACATTTATATTTTCAAGAGTGGAAAATAGGATAAATGCATTGGATGAAATGGATTTAGTTCTTACCTATATTTACCTCTCCTACATCATTTCTGACTCCTGTTCCTCTCTCTCGGCTCCAGCCACGATGGTCTTCTTTAGTTCTTCAAATACATCATCACACTTTCTCCTTCTCCTTAGAATGCGTATTTCTTTTTTCAACTAGTTAGCTCCTATTTAATCTTCAATCTCAGCTAATTTCCTCTCTGACCACTATAACTATTCCCTCTCCCTGTAACCTAGACTCATTCTCCCTGCTATTTATTCTA
Organism: Homo sapiens; assembly: GCF_000001405.40. Lineage (NCBI taxonomy): Eukaryota > Metazoa > Chordata > Mammalia > Primates > Hominidae > Homo > Homo sapiens. Next base: position 179,713,536 of record NC_000002.12, read on the forward strand.
ATTTTTCCCTAGGTGCTTTCTTCACAGTACCTATCACATAATTGCATGATTATTTGATTAATATTGGCTGCACCCATTTCACTGTAAGCTCCATCAGGGCAAGGTCCAAATCTGCTTTACTTACCATGTATCTTCACCGCCTAACATAAGGCTTGGCACAAAATAGGTTCTTAATAAGTATTAATGATTGACTGAATAAATGCATGTTATAAAAGCCTCTAGTTGGGTAAGGAATGGGATTAGATGAATCCTAAGTGTTATCTAAAACACTGAGCTGTGTGTTTCCTGCTTAACTCATAAATCTTTATATTGGTCCACTCACAGTGTAAGAATTTTCTTGTAATTCCAGTCCCCTATTTTTGCCCTATATAAGGTTAGGACATACTAATTTTCTTAATAATCTAGCCTCCAGAATAGATATCATAAAATAATATTCCTTGATAAATACTTATCATGTCAGGAAAGGTTCTAAGCAAAATGGGTACAGTGGTAAACATTTGAATGTTGGAAAGTCAAGCAAAATGCCAAGTCAGTTTACTCTGCCCTGCAGAGAGCCATGCCCAGTCAGACAAACCTATGAAGAACTGAGCTACTTAGAAAGTCTAAGGCATAGGAGGAGGAATAGGAAGGACCATGGAAAAAGTAAGGGGCTGGAATAATACCACTACAAATAATAACAATAACAATGACCAGAGTTAATATTTATTGAGTACATGTGCCAACGTCTGTTATTCCAGCAACATTATCTCAGTTAATTCCATGATACCTTCATAAGCAAGGACTATTGTTATTCCCATTTTATGTACATGGCAACTGAGGCAAAGAGCTCTTAAGTTACTTATCGAAGAATATCCAATAAGTAGGTGGTAGAGCTAGGATTTACACCCAGCAGTCAGCTTTATTTTCAACCATGCAATGCCTCCTTAACAAAGGAGATAGGTTAGGAAAGGCAGATCTGGGCAAGTGTTGTATTATACAACAATAAAAAGGCTGTGGGGTCAAAAGCTATGGCTGTTAAAAGGTTAGGGTAACAGCCAGAAGAATCACCCTTAGGAAGGTTAAAATTTAGGACAACATCTATGATCCTTCCCAAACCTTAAATCTTCATGCTTTTAAAAAGAATTTCCTGCCCAGGCGTGGTGGCTCACGCCTGTAATCCCAGCACTTTGGGAGGGGGAGGCGGGCGGATCACCTGAGGTCAGGAATTCCAGACCAACCTGGCCAACATGGTGAAAACCTATCTCTACTAAAACTACAAAAAAAAAATTAGCCAGATGTGGTGGCACTTGCCTGTAATCCCAGCTACTCAGCAGGCTGAGGCACATTTGAGCCCGGGAGGTAGAGGTTGCTGTGGGCTGAACAGCACCACTGCACTCCAGCCTGGGTAACAAAGCGAGATTCTATCTCAAAAAAAAAAAAAAAAAAACAGTTTCCTGAATGTAGAACTGTTCTAATGCTGGCAGTTTTGTCTCCCATATCTGTCAAAAATTTTCCTGTTTATACCTACCCCCAAACCATGCACATCCAAGTCATCTGTTATTGCTGACAAAATTAAACACATCTATACACATGCAAGCCATTAAGACAAATAACCTCACTCACTCACAAATAACCTAATTCTAACTCTCAGGAGAATAAGGATAACTTTTATGTGATAACAGCTCATGCCAAATCCTATACTCTTAGTACTACTTGAACCCTCCCCCAAACTGCCCATGTCCCACCACCATAGGTGATGACTTCCAAATTCACATCTCACTTGGAACCACTGATAATCCCAGAGTCCATACCCCACCTCTGATTTCTTAACTTCCAGATATTTGCTCTTTAGTCTAAATGTCTAAGATGTCATATACAGAGTAAACAACCACAAACCACAATCATAATATTAGAAGTGTGTTTGCATGAGGATTGTAGGTAACTCCAGAAAAAGGGATTTACTGAGAAAGCACTGGGACCAAAAATAACATTTACAGCTGGTTCCATGAGTTAAGAATGTATGCTAATGAATATCCCATACCTCGATATTTATAATAAGTTCAGAGTCTACTGCAGTGAACATGTAATAAAATCTAGGACATATGAACACAATTTCTTTGCCCTGTGTGATAAAATACTAAATTAAGGTTGATATATGCAAAATACCCTTTTACTTTATAAGGGTAAATTAATATTTACCCATTATAAAATAATGATAAATGCCCATCATAAATAAATATTAAACTATTAAATAATGTTAAATAAATATTAAGTTTTACTTTATGATGGGTAAATGACTATTCATTATTTACCCATCATAAAGTAATGATAAATACCCATCATGAATAAATATATATTGTTAAATTTTGCTTTTATTCTTCCTTTCATTAAAAATGTGGGAGTGGTATGCCCATTTAAATAATTTATGCCTGTATTTTGTCTGCTTTTCAATATCGTTGAATTCCATGGCCCATAATAGCTACATAATGCAATGCAAGGCATAATAAGGACCACCTCAAACATTTTGTCTAACACTCCATCAATCCTAGCAAACACATGATTTTGTTAAGTTCAATGGGTTGTGTTTATCTTCTTGCTTTTGAGGAGTTGCATTTGGAGACATCAGTCACTATTTTTTTTATCCTTACCAAATTCATCTAAAGAACTGAGCCAGTCAATGCTCTAGTGACAAATAGGCCCAGAGAAAAGGTTTAAGTAAGAGGAGAGGCATCATGAAATTCTCATTTTGGCTTAAATAATGGTTTTCATAATAGAGTAGGTCATATTTTTTCATTCTTAAAATCTCAGTTGTGAAGAAATATGTCTTCAATAAATCTTACATGCTTATAAATCTATGTGTAATCCCTGACCTATTTTCCATTTTCTGTTGTAGTTCTATTACAGGGTAATCTAGACAGTTTCCATATTTTCTTGGGAAAATGCTTTAGAGGCACTAAAAAAACTTGAGTTAGATTATGTTCATAAAAATGTTGCATATAAATTATGTATCTGATTTACTTAAAAATTGTGTAGCAAACAGTATATTCCAAAGATATCTTGTCCCTTTTATTCCACAGTCTCTTCTAGAACCTTCAATTCTAAAAGGTAGTCTAATTCCTCTCTTTTTTATTCTGGGTGAATTGGCAAGTTGCTTTTAACCAACAGAATGTGGTAAAAGTGGCAGTGAATGTCTTTCTGAGGCTAGGTCATTAAAGGTGATGAAGCTGAGATATAAGCTGAAACACTTTGGCTTGGACCCCTGAGCCACCGTATCAACAATCAGATTCTCCTAAGGCCACCATGCAGTAAGGAAACCCACACTAGCCTGTATGAAGAGACCACATAGCTGAGACAACCTGAGCAAAACAGAGAGACATCCAGCTTGTTTCCAGCTGTTCTAGCACCAGCTACTGCCTACCTATAACCATATGTCAGCCTCTGAGTCTGAACTGCCCAGCTGAATTTTTGTTGAATTTTTCTTGAATTACCAACCCACAGATACTCTGAGATATAATTAAATGACTGCTGCACATTAAGCTACCAAGTTTTGCGGTACTCTGTTATGCAGCAATGGTAACTGGGAAAAAACTGTTTAAATGTTTAGGCCCTCAAAATGAATATTCAAAAAAAAATTAGAACAAAAGTAGAAATGTTTATATAAAATGAGAAATCAAAAATTATTTCCAAGTGACTGCTTATTTTCTCATAGCAAGAAAGTTTCCATTTTTGGCTTCCATGAAGGTAACAAAGTCAAACAAATATACACATTCTAAAGCTTAATCTTTTGAGGAGATAGACACCAATTTTCTTTAGATTTTATGTAAATATTTTCCCCTGCTTAATGGCAGCACTTCTACCTTGTTCTGCCAAGATAGATGGATAGGTGGAGAGAGGGAGGGAGAGAGGGAGAGACAGAAAGAGAGAATAAGAAAGTATGGCTGGGCACAGTGGCTCATGCCTGTAATCCTAACATTTTGGGATGCCAAGGTGGGAGGATTACTTGAGCCCCGGAGTTTGAGACCAGTCTGGGCAACATAGTGAGACCCTGTTTCTATAAATTATTTTTTAGAAGCTAGCCAGGCTAGGTGGTACACGCCTGTAGTCCCAGCTATTAAGAGGTGGAGGATCAACTGAGCCCAGGAGCTTGACGCTGCAGTGAGCTGTGGTCATGCCATGGCCCTCCTGCCTGGGTGACAGAGTGAGACCCTGTCTCAAACAAATAAACAAACAAAAACCTTCTCATGATAGTTTCAACTGTTTCTGAGTTGTTTCCTACCTCTCATTATACCTACAAAAACAATTATGAGGATGAGGAAAGCGAAAAGCATAGGACATCATATATAATTTGTTATTACGTTGTATGTAATTATTTGTTATTACATCATATGTTGTTTATTAGCTGTTATTACTTGCATAAATGTATCAGAATCCTTGAAAGTGACTTTTCCTTACATAAATTAATATTGTCATCCGAAGACATTTTTGCTACTAAATTTCTTGGCAAACAGGTTTCTCATTAGGTAGCCTAATGTTTATGCTATGCTGAGCCAATGACATTCATAATATCTCATTTAGTAAATCCTGAATTAATGAGACTTCATTATTCTACCAATATTTTAAATAGAATATGATATGAAGCATCAGTATTTCTTAAGAATAATCTTTACTACTATTGCAAAGGATATTGTTCTTTAATGTAGAAAGCATTTATCTAAGATTTTATTTATCCACACGCATGTTGACACATCAATAGTGAGAATTTTAAATACTGGGTCTTAAAAGTGTTTTGCTTACTTTATAATCAATGATATATATTATCATAAAGATATATATATAATCATTTATATCTTTTTATCTTATATATTATATATTATAATCCTACATATAATCATTTATTATCATAAAGATATATATATTTCTTCCAGCATATTCCTTACTTTATGATCAAAGACATATAATCATATATATCTTTATATATTATATATAATCATTATATATTATATATATTATCATAAAGAGAGAGAGATATATATATTTCTTCCAGTATAGGACGATTCTAACATCTGTACTTTGAGCTATACTTAAATGTACTACTTTTACAGTTCAGTACACACTAAATTATCAAATTAAACATTGAGAATTATGAATGCCTGGCTTTTAAATGACTCCTTCTACATATATCATTTCTTTACAAATTTCTATTTTCAGCCAAATGTGGTGCCTCATGCCTGTAATCACAGCACTTTGGTAGACCTAGAGAAGAGGCTAGGAGTTCGAGAACAGCCTGGTCAACATAGTGAGACCCTGTATCTATTAAAAAAAAAAAACCCAAAAGCCAAATTTCTATTTTCATTTTAAAGGTAATCACTCATAGAAGCAGACAGCAGAAGGAGAAGATAATGTGAAGATTACAAATCTACTCACACTTTAAAACTCTGTGTGTGTGTGTGTGTGTGTATATATATTTTTTTTTTCTATAATCTACCTGATCTTCCTCAGAAATCCTCCTCACAAGCCAGCTTATCATGAACTGCCAGGAACTTCTGCATGTCTCGCCCTCCTAACCATACCATGCCACCATTTTCAGTCTCCTAAGTTTCTATATGTTGCCCATGGACAACCTAGTCTAGTAAGTCTCCCCTTCCTGCCTCCACCCATGAGCCCACCCCAGGTTTCAAAGGACATCCAGGGTAAACATCCATTGTTTTCTGGCTTTCCTACTAACCTATTTAAGATGACCATTCCTATTGCATGAGCCGACCAAGCTGGAGAGGAGGCAATCACAATACCTATGAACCCCTTGCCACCTTTAACTTTACCTGTCACTTTCAGTGCTCCCTGCACCCAGGTGAAAGGTGTAGTTTCTCCACCTCCTCTTTCATTATATATCCATTACAAATACATCATGCTCCCTCTTTGTAAGCTGACATTTTACACTATGTTTTCCCCAGAGGCTATAACGGCAGACGAAGGACAAGGAAATACTAGCTTACTAACATCTGAGCTTCAAGAAGGGAAAACCAAAGCTATTGGCAAATATACGGGCTGCATTGCCCACTTGGTATGACCAGCAGTGGTTTGGATTCAGACTAACTTTCATACAGGAAATAATAGATTTTAACTGCCACCAGGTTTACTAAGAAAGATAACAGCAGTGGGAACAGCATGTTAACATGATTGCATCAAATACATCTTCAATAGATGTTCTTGCAGCAGCCTAGCTATTGCTTTCCTGATCCTATAAAAATATGCTCAAGTGAATTTTAAGAAATGAGATCTCACAAATATATGCAGGCTACTCTACATAAGGAAGTTTCATACATGAAGGGGACCATATCTTCTAATTACCTGTGAATGTATTTTCCAAGTCCCCGCAAGGTATACACTCAGTTAAGAGGGAACCATCCAAGGAAGCTGAGGTTATGTTTTCTTCAACAGATTTTCATATATTCGTAATCAGATGAGCTCCCAGGTCTGTATGTTAATTAACAGTTCTTTCAGTCCAAATCAGGAGTTGTTTTCACAGTAAACAGTATTGAACAGAGCTAATGTTCCAAACTTATCTTAAATAAGTATGTTCCTAAGGAAACAACATTGGGAGAGGGTAAAGCGACGGTCATCTCATGCAAAACAGATTTAGGCTCAATAATGCCTTCTCTCAAAGGGTAAATCCAAAAACATATCAACAATTTAAAATAGTGATAATAATGCCTAATTTTTGGGAGAAATAGCCTGAAATTAAAATATCTGGAGTAACCACCAAAAGAATACATTTAGAATAAAAATTTCCAAACATGTAGAAAGCTGAAATGAAATTTTAAGAACAGACACAGGGTATTCCATCCAAAAGCATGAAAAAGGAGTAGAGGAAAAGAGAGCAGGGGAGAGGGGAGGGGAGGAGGGGAGGGGAAAGGAAAGGAGAGCAGGGGAGAGGGGAGGGGAGGGGAGAGGAAAGGAGAGCAGGGATGAGGGGAGAGAAGGAGGGGAGGGGAAGAAAGGGAGGAGGAGAGGAGGGAATGGGAGGGGAGGCAAGGGGAGGAGAGGGAGGGAGGAAAGAAGGGAAAGAGAAAACACATAAGATGGTAGAAGAGAAATCCAAGCATATCAATTATCTCTATCAGCATAAATGGACTCAACTATTTGGATTCAATTCAAAATAAATATTAGGTTAAATATAAAACATAAAAGCATAACAAAGTTATATGCTCTTTATAAGAAATATAAAAGAAAATACCAAAGAACCTTTAAGTAGTTTTATTATTATTATTACAGAGTTTGCTCTGACACCCAGGCTGGAATGCAGTGATGTAATCACACTTACTATAACCTTGAATTCCTGGGCTCAAGTGATACTCCTGCCTCAGCCTCCCAAGTAGCTGTGACTACAGTTGTGTGCCACCATGCCTGGCTGTTTTTTTTTTTTTTTTTTTTTTTTGGAGAGACAAGGTCCTGGTATGTTGCCCAAGCTTATCTCAAACACCTAGCCTTAAGTGATCCCCCCACTTCAGCCTCCCAAAGCACTGGGACTACAGAAATGAGCCACTATGCCCAGCCCCTTGAAGTAACTATATTAATGTCCCAAATAGACTTTAAGGCCAAGGAATTACTACAGATGAAAAGGTAAGTAATGATAAAATTTCAATACATTACAAAGGAATACACAAATCAACAATGTTAGCAATGAAAAGAAAAACATAGAGATGTTTCAAAATTTTAAGTTGGCTATTAAGGGCTATAATTAATAAATTTATAATACAATGTGGAAAACATAAACGCAATGAAAACATTCTGAGGAAAATACAACTTAACCAAAATTGACTCAAGTAGAACTAGAAAACCCAAATCATTTATGTAAGATTGGTTATAAAGGTGAGTTTTTCTAATCTTTTAAGGAATAAATTCAATCTCACAAATTTTCATCCAAAGAATGAAAAAGGAAGACATATTTCTTAACTTACTTATCAGGCTATTACATACTATAACAAAACCATATCAGCAAAATACAAGAAATTATTTCATTCTTCCTCATAACAGGTTGAACAAAATCATCAGCACACTGAATTCAGCAATGGATTAAAAATTAAATATTGTGAACTAAATATATGTAAAACCATACAATTATTTCAATAAAGAGAGAAAAAGTATTTAATAAAATGCAATATTTTTTATAACAAAAATTGTTAGTATACTAGTAAGAAAATTTCATAATATTTATAGGATAGCTATTAAAAAAACTCATACCTATTGATGAAACTTGAAAGTATTCCCTATAAAGTAAAGAATAAAGGCAATAATGCATACTTTGACCATTTCCATTTAAGTTGCTAAAGGTTGTGGCCAGTGGAATAAGACAAAAACAAACAAACAAAAAACAATACAAGGTCTAAGAAATAGAGAAGATGAAACAAAGACACTTAACATTTGTAGATTACATGATTTATATTTATATACAATATAAAATAGTCTAAAGATAAATATTAGAATTATTGGACAATTTAACAAGATGAATACAAATAAACAAAGTCAATTGCCTCTCTATGTATTAACAATGATCAATTAGTAAACAGATGTTATAAAAAGATATCACTTAAAATAGCAGCAGAGCATGTAAAATACCTAGAAGTATATATAACGAGATGTGTGAGCCATTTTTGAAGAAAGTTATAAAACACATATGAAGATTTTAAGGAAGATATAAATTTATGGAGAAGTAAACCATGCACTTAGATAAAAAGACTCAACATTTGCATGGAAAAGCAAATGGCCAAGATAGATATCATTCCTAAAGAAGAAAAACAATGTGTAGTGCTTTGCTCAGTCAGCTGTGAAGAATTTTTATACATTCACAGATATTAACATATTATGACATTGGTGTAGAGACAAACAATTCAATGGAATGGAATAGAGTATAAAAAGAAACTTGCACATACACAGAAACTTGGTTTTTGGTACAGTGAATACTGAAAGCCAGAGGGGAAGAAGAAACTATTCACTAAATGACTCTGGAACAACTGGTTATCTATACAGAAGAAAGAAAAATGCATAAAATTGACTGCACAAAAACAGTTACTGGTAAATTCAAGATTTAAAGCCAAATTATAGCAATTGTAGATTAATATATTTGGGATCCATATAATCTCAAGGTAGAGAAACACTTCTTAAATGGAGTATTAAAAAGCACAATTCATAAAAGCAATAAAAATACTTGATTATATTAAAATTAAAGATTAATTTTACTAAGAGTCACCAAAAATAATAAAAACCCAAGCCATTCCACGTGAGAATTTATCTGCAACATAGAAAACTGAAAAAGAATTAGCTCTACTATATGACTACTACAAATAATTTTTTTAAATTAGTGATTCTATTAAAATGGTCACATGATATGAATAGGAATTTCACCAAAGAGGAAACACAAATGGCCAAAAAACATGAAAAGATGCTCAGCCTCATTAGTTACCAGGGATATGCAAATTAAATCCCCAATGAGATAGCATTTCACAACCACCAGATTGTCAACAATTTTAAAAAGTCAGACAGTCTCAAGTGTTGCAGAGGATGTGACACAATAGACTGATCATCTGCTGCTGGTCAGAGTGTAAACTGATACTATAACTTAGGGAAATACTTTGGCATTCATTCATTCACTTAATATATAATAATTGACTATTTACAATGCATCTGGCAGTATTCTGGGGCTATAGCATAAAACAGAAAAAAAAATTTCAAGTTGAACATGCACATCTCTTAAACCTGAAACTCACTTCCTGGAGATTATATGCCCTCAGAGTATAATTATATAACTCAGAGAAAGCTGTACATATGTATATACGTGAATGTTCAAACCAGTATTGCTTCTAATTAAATTAAGAAAGGTAATAACCAAAATGTGGATTATCAGTAGAATATATAAATAAATTGAAATGTAGGATATACAAAATATATTAGGTTGATGCAAAAGTAATTGCGGTTTTTGCCGTACTAAATAAGCATTCAAAATGAATGAAATACAGCTACACATCAAAAAGTATGAATCTTAAAAATTATATTATGGATGAGTATGTGACAGTAGGCAAAAACTAAATATATTTTAAAACACGCATATTTAGTGGTAAACTAAAGAAAAGCAAGAGAATAATTAACACACAATTCCAGACAGGAATTACTTCTGGGAACTAAGGAAGAAGCAAGGGTTATCTGAGGTTAAGGTTTTATTTTTGAATAAGGGGCTAGATACATTGATGCCTAATTTTTCAAAGCTACGTAAGTTTTTATATACTTTCTGAAAATATTATATATTTTTCATTTAAAAATACTCTACATTCTTAACATACTAATTAGGCTAAGTTTCTTTGCTTGGTTATCAATTGGGACCAAAACAATAAAGTAGTAAAATCAAGGACTCACAAATGTCACTGCTCATACATCATATAAAAACTAGTATATTCTAGTATTACCAATTAGTACAATCTTATGTTAGTGAAAATTAAAAGAAGCAATTTAAAGGCATTGGGTGGGGCACAGTGGCTCACGCCTGTAATCACAGCACTTTGGGAGGCCAACGCAGGCAGATCACTTGAGGTCAGGAGTTCAAGACCAGCCTGATCAATATGGTGAAACCCCATCTCTACGAAAAATACAAAAATTCACCGGGCATGGTGGCGGGCGCCTGCAATCCCAGCTACTTAGGAGGCCAAGGCAGGAGAATCTCTTGAACCTGGGAGGTGAAGTTTGCAGTGAGCCAAGATTGCGCCACTGCACTCCAGCCTGGGTGACAGAGCAAGACTCCATCTCAGTAAAATAATAATAATAAATTAATTAACAAAGGCATCAGAAAACTAAATGAAGGCTTTGTGATAATATGTGGTTATCAAGAACGAAATCTACAGTATTGAAAGAAACTGTCTAAATCTTCAATTAAATTGGTTCTCAAAAATATTTTAGTTATGTAAATTCTTCCAAAGACATGCCAATCAAGGTAGAATCACTCTATAATTTACCCTATTAAGAATTAAGCCTCAAAATTCACTAAAATGTTAGAAAATACTTTGTAAGAGTTTATCTAATGGAAAGCCATTCATATAGGCTGACTCAGCACAGCAGTTACAATGTTACAAATCATATTTAGTGAACATTATTCTAACATAATTTTAGTTTAAGACTAGCACAAGAAGCTAAGGTGATACTTTGCAGGATAAAAATATTGAAATAGAAGCTCCTTTTTAGAGGTTGATAATTATTTTGACTCTTTAAGACAAATTCTAATAAATAACTGTTCTCTAGACAGTAAGCTGGGAAGCTAGGGAGGATGGGAATGTGTCTGTCATCCTTGATGCATACAATAGTGTCTGCACAAATAAATGAATGATTTTTATAGAAATTAATGTAAGATTTTTATAATTTAAACCATTTTGCTATGAATTTAGCTTATTTTGAAAGTAAATTCTAAATCTATGTTGCTGTTGGTAGGCATCCATAAATATTAGTATTTAACTTGAGAAAAATTACATAATTCACATAAAAAATAAGCATTGTAATAAATACTATCACTACTGTACATTTATGGGAAACTACACAACAGTAATTAAACTTATATAATGTATATTTAATTTCACCTATCAGATCAGGAGCCACAGCTATTTTTCAAAACATAGTAAGAAAAGAGGCTTGTGTGATCAAAGGTTCAGTGTATACTGTTCAATCAAGTAATCTAATTTCTAAACACCTACGTATTCAGAAATGTCAAGTGAAATTACTCCAGCCTAGGAAAGTTGTAGATTTTCAATTAATAGGTTAGTTATAAATGAAAAACTGCTTTAACTATACTTCTCTATGACATACTTTGTATAGTCAACAAAAACAAGGTTCAGTTACCTTAAAATTACTCATCACATATATATAAAAACACATACGTGCATGTATATATATTTATGAATATATATATACACACATTTTCTTCCAAGATATATAAATGTCATATATATTATATATACATGAAGGTAATTTTTAGACATTTTCTTTGGATTCTATAAATTAAGTGTTGTCTTTTTCACAGTATAGTTTTGATATGTATTCATAATGTTCTGTATTTCTCTAGCTTTGTCAGTTTCACACTGCTCTACAGTGTGAAATTGACAAGAAATGGTGCAAAACTGACAACTGAAAGCACAGAAATTTAACAAAAAATTACTATGCAAATTGTTTGAGAAAGGCTAAAAGGTAGATATTTGATAGCAATGACTATGTTCCAACTGATAAGATGTTTCAAAGAAACCCAGATTCTTTTAAATATATGAACCTATATAGATATACATCTCAGATATATCATATATACATATATCATATATCTCATATATACATACATGATATATATATGAATATATGTGTTTGTGTGTGTATATATATATATATATATATATGTGTATATACAGAGAGAGAGATAAATCTAGACAATAGCACACTACCTTCCCACCTTATAGGAAAAGATCTACAGTGTTCTTAAAATGAAATCTTAGAGTCATAGCTTCTGCATATCTCCCTAAAGTGGTAGCTCCTACTTTTGCATTCTTGTGGACAACTGTCATTTCAAACTTTCTCTCCACAACAACCTTCTCAACTTCCTTTACAACAAGTATGAAATACCAGTTTAAAAAAAGGAGTAGTGTGGTAGGTTCACCTTTGGTGTCCTGTATCTTTCCCTTCATTAAAATCTCATTGATTTATTGCCCTAACAAACCAGTTACCATTATTTGAGGGCTTCATGCCTCTTTTTATCTTCTTAATGCATGTCTTGCACCTCTCCATATCCTTTGTGTGTTTCCTTCTATCATCGGCCCATTCCAATTCTGGATATTGTTTTAAAAATATAATTATATAAGTTTGGAATCACATGTCCTCACTCTTTCACTTACTAGCTGTAAGACCTAGAGGCAGTTATTTTCTGGGCCTCTGTTGCTCATTAGGATATGGGAGTATTAGTACTATACTGAAGCAATTTTTCATACGGTAAATGTGATTATACATAAAGCACTTAACATAGTAGTTGGCACAGGGTAAGACTTCAATACACTGTAGTGGTGGCGGCCTAGTGTTTTTATTACAAGTCACCCTTGAGTGCTCCTGTTCTAGGCTTTCTACATCATTTCACATTGACAAAGTCCAATATCAACACACAAGTAGTCAAAAAATTGTGGGCTACTTCTGTTTAATAAATAACTTGTGACAATGATGAGGAGGAGATAATATAGTACTATTACTGCATTTGTGCTTTACACATCTATAGACATCATCTTATGTAATGCACATAGGATATCTGTCAGTTTTGTAGATGTATAGCATTTTTCTTATTTGAAGCATGAGATAAAACACAGAGATGTTAAGTAGTGCAACTGGATGTTGACTGGACATTGAGCTAGTTAATGAAGAATGGAGATTAGAATCCACATTACTTTAACCCGAGTACTTTAACCACAATGTGTGACTTAAATGAGTATATCACATTGTCTTGAAATAGTCATCTTGTGGTGCAAGTAGAGTTCCGTGTGTGTGTTTCAGGGAGCACTCAGACTATAGCGATGAGTTCAGATGAGATGAACAGATACTCAACATTAAAAAGAGATCTCAGCTGCCTTTAAAGATGAGTTGAATGAATCAGAAGCAAGGTATTTTATCTGATAACCACTCAATTTTATGACTTTATTATTTTTATAAACTTAAAATATTTTAAAATAAATCCTCATTTCAATTATCCCACTTTTGGAAATCCATCAGTTTCAGCTTTCCAAAAATTAATCTCCAAACAATATAAAATACCACCGATTTAATTTCTTGTCCACAGAATTTTCAAAGGAGTTGTGCTATCTAAGCAATCTTAGGATCTTGCAGCATGAGCTATCTTATAATGACACACTTGGGAAGTCCTATATAATAAGGAAAATAATATCTGAAAAATGTGTGATTGCTACAGCTATAAATGGCTACATCTGCCCTTTTAAGGAGTAATCATGGGAAACAGCAACAACGTTTGCCACCTCAAAACATTTATAATCTACTTAAGTAGACCATAGCAGTGTAGCCATTCTGCTTAGATATATTTTTCTTGCTACAAACTTAGAATTATATACAACATAAGAATAAACTGGGAATTACATGATTAAAAATGTAACCAATGAATATGACCAAATAAAAACTGATTTGAATAACCACTATGGAAAAACAACATGTCACACCTAAATCCTATGTATTTAAGACATATGGAGTGCATCAAAAGATACCATAAAGTGACAGAAAAGATTTATTTTGAACATTGAGGAAATCTTATTTGTGAGCAGATGCCCAGACTAGCTTGGAGGCAGCAGGTTTTCACTGGGTGACAAATCATATCACTGGGGCATTTTTGTGAAGTCTATAAAAAGAATGTTTAATAGTAAAATGCATGAATATTGATAATAACAAACAATATGGGCACTTCAAGATGTTTCTGTAGAACATCATAATCACAAAAAATGCCCCGACTCTTGAAACAAATGTAGCTCATTCCCATTCCCAGAGAGCAACTGCCTTTTTGTCAGATTTGACTCTTTCAGACAAAAATCAATGAGAAAGTTGTCTGAATAAAATGCATATGATTAAACCCTCTGAATGTAGTTATCTCAATAATAATCTCCATATAATCCTTTGTGTTCTTAGAACAGCTAATTCTGGAGAAAATAAAAAACATTACCCATTTTCTTCTCTCTTTTTAAACTGTGAGTGCAGCCGAACTTCAAGCACCTACAAAATCACATAAAAAGTTTCCTTAGAATTTTCCAGCAAAAGTGGCTCTTAAAGGATACTAAAAAAAATTAGTCTCAATTCCTTGTTTTGGAGATGAGGACTTTAACACCCACATAACTACGTGACTTACTGAAGGTATCAAAATCCATTGGTAGCTCAAGATGAGAATCCAGAAAACCCAACTCTGATCTGGTGTTCTTTCCACCACACCATGACCTCTTTTATATGGAAGAGAGCAGTGAGTGTGAAAAATACACATTTGTGGATCTTGGGTCTTGAAAATTTATGTTTCCCATAGTTAATATGTTTTTAGCCCAAAATTTTTTAAAACTTTGATTTTAAATTTACTATTAGCTGGTCCCAGTATATTGCACTTTCTTCCCAAAGGACTGATGTCATCAAAAAATCTTTAATACTGGTTTGCAAACTCTAATCTTTAGGGAAGACTTTGGGACAGGAAGAAAACAACACTGAAGAACGAGTAATAGAAATCAATGGGAAAATATTCCTCAGAAAAAGCCATTCCATTTTATATATTTATAACTTTAAAGCCCATTATGGATTCTTGATAAAAGATTAAGTCAGGAAACTATTGAAAATTATTAAAAACTCAGGTAGCACAAGTACTTTTTAAATTTTTCTTAAATCCAACTCCCAAAGTAATGTCTTTTAAAAAGATTCAAGTAGATTATGCTTTAGAGTATTAGCCAAATAATAGGCCAAATTCTAATGACATAGTGAAGTAAAAACACGACTTCAAAGAAAATTTAGTTCACATAAAATATTTACTCTAAAGTCAAAACTGTATTAAAGAAAACTAATGAAAATATTCTATTCTCAAAAAAAAAAAAAAAAAAACCAAGGAAATTAACTTTCTTTTTAGTTCCAGTTCCCTGAAAATCCCAAAAGGAAACATTTAATTTTCTAGGACATCCTGAAAGACACAGGTAAAAACGAAACACAGTTAGAGCTGAATTAATCAAGCAAACATCATTGACAATCAACAGAACTTTCCTGGTGATTAAACACAATTTGAGACAGCTGGAGGTGGACCCAATCTAGTAGTAAATTCCAAGGAAACAGAATCTTATGAGTGCAAAATGGTGTTAGACAAACAGAATTTGTAAACAGATGTAAACCTCTCAGAAGTTTCAAGACCACGGGGACAAAATCAGAGTGAAAACCAAAAGGATAAACCTTGCATTTTCAAGTTCAGAGATATATTATTAACTTGTAGCTTCTTGCCTGGTCTTGTTCTTACATTTCAAGTTGCATTAATGCTTACATGAAGTACTCATCTTCACCAATTTTGTAAATATTCCAAGGGTCACATTACTATTAGTTTTCAGGAAGGCAGAAGATTAAATACCATATGATATGGTTGGGCTCTGTGTCCCCACACAAATCTCATCTCAAACTGTAATCCCCATAATGCCCATGTGTCGAGGCAGAGACCAGGTGGGAGGTGATTGGATCATGGGGGCGGTTCCCCCAAGCTGTTTTCATGATAGTGAGTGAATTCTCATGAGATCTGATGGTTTTATAAGTGTTTGACAGTTCCTTCTTCACACACTCTCTCTTGCCTGCCACCGTGTAAGATGTATCTGCTTCCCCTTCCGCCATAATTGCAAGTTTCCTGAGGCCTCCCCAGCCATCTGGAACTGTGAGTCAATTAAACCTCTTTTCTTTATAAATTACCCAGTCTCAAGTGTGTCTTTATAGCAGTGCAGAAACAGACTAATACACCATAGTATCCCCAGGCTAGGGTTGCTTTAGTTGTTAATTCTAAATTGTTAAATCTAAATATATCTGGACACTTGCTCAATCTATTTAACACTGCATTGGGACAATTTTAAGATTGATTACACCCTGCTTAGAGTGACCACACATTCCAGCATGAGGTAACACTAAGTTTATGCCCGGGTCCTGGCTTAATCATT
Organism: Homo sapiens; assembly: GCF_000001405.40. Classification (NCBI taxonomy): domain Eukaryota; kingdom Metazoa; phylum Chordata; class Mammalia; order Primates; family Hominidae; genus Homo; species Homo sapiens. The sequence goes on from NC_000002.12 coordinate 179,730,230, forward strand.
AATAACTCTTAAAAGTGTCTAATTTCAATGACAAATCATATTACCACCACCTGTGAAGAAATTTAAGTTACCTCTTCTCTCATTCTTCTGGTCTTCAAGAAGACATTCTTCCATGTTATATAATTCTAGAAAAGGAGTTAAATGTTGACCTCACCATAATAGGAACATTTCAATATATACCTTGACTTCTTACGTTCTATCTCCTGTCCCCGTTTCTTCATTACTTTCTATTAGCAGTATAAACTTTAGTTCTTCCTATGGAAATTGTGCACTACTCCTTTCTGCAAGATTCTTCCTCCATCCTTAGCTAGCTTGGAAGTCTATGCCTAATTTAAAATAGTAAATGTATGAGAAAATGCTTCAAAGCCACTAATTAACTTCCAAATCAATTATTGCAATAAAGTCCATTTGTAAATTATGTACTACTTCTATACTGATAAATAATTTAGTACAAAATTTAAGCTCAATAAATGATATTGAATGATCATGTGAATGAATGAACAATTCAGAAACAAATATATGTACATGCAGCTTAGTGTGAAGTAATAGAAAAATTATTATGATACAAAGGGAAATAGAATGGTAACAAGATAGAGGAGAAGCAGCCTAAAATCAAAAGTATAATTAAATTTGAAAGAGTCCTTGCCACACACTGATTGTCCACAATGACCAGCATATTCTAAAGCAACAAAAGTTATAAACTCAGTTTACTGGGACCTTTTTCCACCTTTTTACCAAACACCATCAAAATATAACTCAGACTTTATCATAAAAGTCACATGTTAACATAGATTAAGGCTTTGAAAATACACATTTACCTGACCAAAATGCAACTATTTCTTCAAGCAAAATATGTATACATTTGGTTTCAACCTGTATGTTCAGATTTGGCTAGTACTGTTCCCACTTTGTAAAAAGAGGTAGCCAAGAATTCAAACTTAGAAAGGTGTACCTCTGCTTTTACTTTTTCCCACAATTACCACGTTTCTAAGCATTGTGCTATATTCTGTGGCATATGTAACTTCATTTGATCATCATACCTACTGGATGAGGTACATTTCATAAATGAGAAAACTGAGTTTAGGGAGGTAAGAGAACTTTCCCACACAGATAGCAAGAGTCAGGGTCAGTGTTCGAACCTGTGGCTGCCTGATACCAAGTCACAAAATCTTTGCCATGTGTACTTTCTTAATTCACTCGTAACTGTTTCTTCACAATCAATTCATTTGTGGTGCTTCTTTCAAAAACTCTCCAGCACCTGCACTGCAGAGCGCAAATCAACCCCTTTAACCGGTGATTCTCAAAGGTAACTTTAGAACAAACTGAGGAGCTCTTAATAACACCCATGCCAGCAATTCTGATTTAATTGATCAGGGTGGAGTGTGGGCATGGTATCACTTAAAAATCTCCTGCCAGAAGTGGTGCCTCATGCCTGTATTCCCAGCTACTCAGGAGGTTGGAGTGAGAGGATCATTTGAGCCCAGGAGTTCAAGGAAGCAGTGAGCTGTGATTGTGCCATGGCACTCCCACGTGGGCATCATAGCAAGACCCTGTTTCTAAAATAAACAAACAAACAATAAAAGTTTCCCAGCTGATTCTAACATGTTGCCAGAGCTGGGAAGACTACCGGAAATGTGCACACCAGGCCCTCTGCAACCAGCTTGCCTGCTTTGCCAACTCTTATTTCTTGACAGTCCCACAAAGCCACCACACCCTCTAGGCATGACACGAACAGACCACCATTTGGCACTAATCTGTATGTAAAGAAAGAATGCCTAGCAAAGGAAAGAAACTTTTTTGGATTAAGATCGCTCTCTTTTTTGCACAAATGCTCAGCCTTTATAGTTTGAGGTTATAGTCTCTGAACCTATTAAAACTGTCTCACAGCAGGAGTTTAATGAAGTATCTTTTCCTGCTCTGTTTTTGCTGTCATTTTTCATGAGGCAAAGAAAGATGGAAATTCACAGAATTTTAGAATTAGGTCAACTGATTGTGTCCCATTGGCTCAGCCAATTTAGAGCATGGCACTGAGACTAATATCATGGCTTTTCTGTTGTCCAGTTGGCTCTTTATAGATTCACAAACACTAACTTTACCCTTAATCCTGTGTAGGAAATACATAAATGCCAGCAATTATGCAGCTGATCATAATAGGAAAAGGGTATGTATGACTTGGTGAAAATCCAATAGCATCATCTTGAAATGCAAAGAAGAACATATTTCAAAGAGCAGCAGTCCAGCCAATTTGGACCAATTAGAAGACAGAAGGAAAATAGCTAGATAATCAATAGTCAGCTGATCATAATATTAATCAAACCTTTCATGCTTCAGTTCTGCAAGCTGATGTTGAATATAAGATAAAATCACTCCCATTTGGGCTCAGCTGGGATTTTGAGCTTATTAAACAAAAAGAATGAGTTAAATTAACATTCTAACTCAGCATTAAACTCCTAGAAGCAAGAGAATTCATCATAAAATGTCCATCATCTCATCATGATTCTGTATTACAACCCCAAAGGTAAGATCACCCAGTGTTATGCGTTTCTCCAACAGAGAACTAAATGTATGAGATTAAAAAACAACACGGTGAGCTCAGTGCAGCATTGAATACTGTCACATTTGCAGATTTAAGGTATGCTTTATTATTATTTTAATGTGGTTTTGGTCATTCTTCCTTTATTTTTTAATATGGTGGTGTGACTTGCATTGAGCTACCTTGAAAATTTTCATTTCCAACACAAAGCTGAAATTCCCCAAGACCCTTAATGTTTTACATAGACACTCAAAAGTAAGAAAAGTAGAAGTTTTAAAGGAGGGACATTCAGATGACTATGTACAATCATGAATTCTTGCAGAGTTATTTCCAGCAAGTATGGAAGGTAAACATGCATTATCAGTTAGGCTAAACCTAGATACCAGAAATGATCATAGAGGGTCAGCGCAACTCCTGCTCAGGACTTGACCAAACACCAGCTTTCTGTCTTGACCTTCTAGGCAACATACACTTAGGAGGACAAGGGCAACAGGCTGGATCATCATCCAGTTACCTGGTGGGATGACTTCTCCTCTATATCTTTTCCCATCCATTAACTGTGACTAGAAACCACAAAGTCATCATCTAGCAACTCTACAAGCTTTTTCTGTGATAACTTTTGATCACATCACATTCCTTCCATTTCCCCTCCACTTCTTTCATCTGTTACCTTCTTTTTAATGTGAATATATTTGTTATTCTCAAAGTGAGCCATGTGTATGTTAAAAAGTTTAAAAGTACAAGAGTTGGTGGCTCACACCTGTAATCCCAGCACTTTGGGAGGCCGAGGCGGGCGGATCACGAGGTCAGGAGATTGAGACTATCCTGGCTAACAGGGTGAAACCCCGTCTCTACTAAAAATACAAAACAATTAGCCGGGCGCGGTGGCGGGTGCCTGTAGTCCCAGCTACTCCGGAGGCGGAGGCCGGAGAATGGCATGAACCCGGGAGGCGGAGCTTGCAGTAAGCCGAGGTTGTGCCACTGCCCTCCAGCCTGAGTGACAGAGCGAGACTCCGTCTCAAAAAAAAAAAAAAAAAAAAGTACAAGAGTATAATAGTTAAATATAAGTCTACTTCAAACAGCACAAAGAGCATACAGTTTAAAGTAATTCTACCTTGAACCCATTCCCCAGTCTCCCATGAAATAAATTCATTCTTTTCTTCTTTTTCCTGATCCCCTCCTCCTTCCCCCATATGTATGTATATATGTACATACACACATACAAACATACACACCTTTTACACAAACAATATATACTTTGTTCTGCATATTGCAAATTTTTCTTATATTTTGCACATTATTCCATATCAGTTCTTACAGACATATCTTATTATTTTAAATTACTGCATAATATCACATGGCATGGATGAACCATAATTATTATCATCTATTGCTGAGTATTTTTTCCTGTATTTTTCTACTACAAATAACATTGCAATAAAATCTTTATGTATATGTATATACACACATGCAAGGAAATTTATTATTTTATGTGTCTTTGTATACATATGCAAGTATATCTGTTAACTAAATCTGGTAGTGAAATTGCTGGGTCAAAAGAGATACACCTTTTAAGTTTTAATAGTTATTACCACATTGCCCTGCAAATATTAAATGAATCAATTCATACTCCACATAACAATGTATGAGAGTGCCCCATGCCCACATACTAGGTAGCTCATTGTGCTACCATACGGTTTGATCTTATCCATCTGACAGGTAAGTAAAATAGCATGTTTTAATTGAAGAATGAATCTTTTTATGAACAGCAATATCAAATAAAGTATTGAGTTCTGCACAAGTATTCACAGATTCTATATTCAAGTGTTCTGTCCTTTAGTCAACATTTTAAGTCTATGACTTATTATCATATGCCAGGTATTATATTGAGAGTCACATATTTAAAGACTCAAGACATAGACCCTATCCTCAAAGTACTCATATACTAACAGGTGAGAAAGATATTGTAAAATAAATAATACACAGTATAAGTACAATAATAGAATATGTATACTGCCTGAGTGTAAAAGTGGCTATGGACTAAAAAAGCCTGTTCCTTAGCCATATGTAGAAAGCTGAAACTGGATCCCTTCCTTACACCTTATAGAAAAATCAATTCAAGATGGATTAAAGACTTAAACGTCAGACCTAAAACCATAAAAACCCTAGAAGAAAACCTAGGCATTACCATTCAGGACATAGGCATGGGCAAGGACTTCATGTCTAAAACACCAAAAGCAATGGCAACAAAAGCCAAAATTGACAAATGGGATCTAATTAAACTAAAGAGCTTCTGCACAGCAAAAGAAACTACCATCAGAGTGAACAGGCAACCTACAGAATGGGAGAAAATTTTCGCAACCCACTCATCTGACAAAGGGCTAATATCCAGGATCTACAATGAACTCAAACAAATTTACAAGAAAAAAACAAACAACCCCATCAAAAAGTGGGCAAAGGACATGAACAGACACTTCTCAAAAGAAGACATTTATGCAGCCAAAAAACACATGAAAAATTGCTCATCATCACTGGCCATCAGAGAAATGCAAATCAAAACCACTATGAGATACCATCTCACACCAGTTAGAATGGCAATCATTAAAAAGTCAGGAAACAACAGGTGCTGGAGAGGATGTGGAGAAATAGGAACACTTTTACACTGTTGGTGGGACTGTAAACTAGTTCAACCATTGTGGAAGTCAGTGTGGCGATTCCTCAGGGATCTAGAACTAGAAATACCATTTGACCCAGCCATCCCATTACTGGGTATATACCCAAAGGACTATAAATCATGCTGCTATAAAGACACATGCACACGTATGTTTATTGCAGCATTATTCACAATAGCAAAGACTTGGAACCAGCCCAAATGTCCAACAATGATAGACTGGATTAAGAAAATGTGGCACATATACACAATGGAATACTATGCAGCCATAAAAAATGATGAGTTCATGTCCTTTGTAGGGACATGGATGAAATTGGAAATCATCATTCTCAGTAAACTATCTCAAGAACTAAAAACCAAACACCGCATATTCTCACTCATAGGTGGGAATTGAACAATGAGATCACATGGACACAGGAATGGGAACATCACACTCTGGGGACTGTTGTGGGGTGGGGGGAGGGGGGAGGGATAGCATTGGGAGATATACCTAATGCTAGATGACGAGTTAGTGGGTGCAGTGCACCAGCATGGCACATGTACACGTATGTAACCTGCACAATGTGCACATGTACCCTAAAACTTAAAGTATAATAATAAAAAAAAGCCTGTTCCTTAAATATACCTTATTTTATTATTTTTATGTAAATATATTTAAATGTGAAAAAGAAAAATAAATACCTTGGCCAGCAAGAACCATGACTGTGACAATTACAGCTAATAATTATAGGTTCTGATTAGGTGAAGGACTATTTTTACTTACTACTCATCTATATTTATTAAAATAAGAGTAGGCAGAATAATTTATAAAACTCTCCATCTTACTTGATACTTGCTTTGGGAGCTTACAACTTTGTCTAAAAAATAAATAATGGGACTTTTTTTTCTCTATCAATTTTGCAGATTTTTTTTTAGCTCTTATTTTGCTTGACAAATCAAAGCACAAACTTTAGTCCCTGTTGTTGGTCCTCCCTCAACTCATTGGACCATTAAGCTTTTACTATATGGTGATTCTTATTAACTATTGGATTTGCTATGTCATGCTAAAGAAGTTTGCCGTTTAGCATGAGGTGTGTCAAGGACAGTTAATCGTATTACACAGAAAGCCCTTTCAGTAGTCAGATATGATAAAATGTGATAATAACGTTAACATCATTGACTGGTAAAGCTACTTCTTGAGCTTTTAATCATCATTCCAGACTTCTTTAAATGCTGTCTTCCAATCAATAGAAACACTTTAAAACTTTATACCAGGGCCAGGCGTGTAGGCTCACGTCTGTAATCCTAGCACTTTGGAAGGCCCAGGTGGGTGGATTGCCTGAGCTCAGGAGTTCGAGACCAGCCTGGGCAACATGGTGAAACCCCATCTCTACTAAAATACAAAAAATTAGCCAGGCATGGTGGTGAGCACCTGTAGTCCCAGCTACTCAGGAGGCTGAGGCAGGAGAATCACTTGAACTCGAGAGGCGGAACTTGGAGTGAGCAGAGATCATGCCACTGCACTCCAGCCTGGCGACAGAGCGAGGCTCCGTCTCCAAACAAAACAAAACAAAACTTTATACTGGAGTAAATGCAACTCACTAATGCTGTTCTCTTTTCACGTCTTGCCTTCATTTCCAAACCTCATCACATTGTTTATTTATAGTCTTTACTGTTAAGTTGTCATTCAAATGCAAACATTCAAGCTGGGTTGCACATGGAACTGGGCAGAATTTGGTGTGACATATGAAAGCTGTTGAGTGGCGGTGTGGGGCTTGAGAGGTCTAGGTTTAACTTCCAGTTATCCTGTCTTCAGCGAGTCACTTACCTTTTTGATGATGCTTATTTATTATCAAGTATAACGAGAAAATGTTACTTTTCTCTACTTCTCAGGGTTATAGTAAGGATCAAATGAAATAATAGTTGGAAATGGGTAAAGAGTTAAAAGCAATAAAGTTCCTCAATTCCCTTTCAGAAACTCCCTTTTTTTTTCCTGCCCAGGCCCATTCTTTATGTGGCCCCCACCTACTCAAAACCTCACATGTTGTGCCATCTAACTTGTGTCTCCTGTAATCCGGCTCCATATCGCCCATCAATATCTACCTGTTTTAGGTTTTAACTTTCAGACCCTAACTTTTATTAAGACATCTATGATTGAAAAAAGAATCTAAAAATAACAACAGCTGAATTTATTGAGTACTTTACCACATGCCAAATCATAAATTCAATTGCAACCCCACAGCTTTTACTAGGATAATTTCTGATTACATCATATTCCCCGCATGTTCTCTCCACTTGCTATGCAAAAACCTTTATATATATTATTCTCACTTAATCTTTGCAACAAATAAAATTGAGTCTATTATTATTCTTGTTTTACAGATAAGGAAACCGAGACTTGGAAAGTGAAGTAATTTGTCCATGATCACACAGCTAAATTGTGGTGGAGCTGCGCTTTGAATGCCTCAGAAACTGTTCCATAACTCCACTACTCCACTGCTTCTCCTGAATGCAGAACTAATGTAATGAACAAATGGTCACTCATGCATTACCTTTGAAATTTAACATGCTCATATAATCATAGAGTCTGAAGTTAGAAGATCATCTACTTTAATGATCTATCCAACCCTTAAACCTCCTTTATCATATGCCTAAGTCACAATCTGCCTTTTGCTTCAGTAACACCCATGAGGTATCTGTACCATGTCCAAAGAAAAAAGGAACGCCTTCATCTTCAGACTGCTCTATTGGGAAGTTCTTTATATCAAGCAAAAATCTTTCTTCTTGAAAACTCTGTCTACTGACATTAATTTTACCCAAGAGCTTTATTGAAAAAATATAATTCGAATGTTACATAAAATAAGTCCCCTGATAATCTCTTCCCCTTGATAAGGTACTCAGTGCACCTTGACCAGGCTGGTCACCTTCAAATGAAAACACCTAAGGCCCTCCTCTGCATTTCACCCAAACTCCAGGCACGCTCCTGCCCAGCTGAGCAAAGAGCAGGACTCCAACCTTCATTGTTATAGATACTCTATTTCTACAATTCCCATCTAAGAGACCACTAAGATTGTGTGAAACAATCATATCACGCTTTTGACTCATATGATGAGTTTACATTTTATCAATATTCCTACATCGTTTTTCACTACTTCCTCCACTTACTGTTAGTTGAAACTGATCATGTTGGAGTTGGGCCACTTTTCTAGAATAGTGGTTTTAACTGAGGCTGCACATTAGAATCACGTTGGGAGCTTTAAAAATACTGATTCCTAGATAGCAGCTGCAGAAATTCTAATTTATTTAGTGTGGGAGGTGGCTCAGGATTTACATCAATTGTGTCTTCCTATATATGTATTATCCCAGTTTGATAACATCTACAGATTTAATGGCTAAGTCATCAATGTTCTCACCAAGTCATTGCAGAGTCCTGGAGCCTTCCCTTAAGTTAATATTGGCCAGGTAGATTTTAGGTATAGATATTCAACCAGTTACAAATCCACGAAATTACACTGTCATTCAGTCCAGAGTTTTCTACTTTGTTCACAAAATAATATCAACAAAGACTTTGTTAAATATCTCACAGAGAACTAGTCTAGGGCACTGGTTAAAAGCATGGATTCCACCACCACTGCAAATTCAAATCTCAGCTGAGCTAGCTAGATTACTTTGGGAAGGTACCTTAATCTCTCTGTACTTCAGTTTCCCTAATGCTTACCTATAGGATTGTTGTAAAGATTAAATGAGTTTATACATATAAAACGTCTTGCATATGGTTAGCTTGAAAGTCAACTATCATTCCTGTTATTATTAAGTCTCATTATACACCATTTATTGCATCCACTCCATTTTAAAAGGACAATGATAATATTTGCTGCTGGAGAGCTGATCTGATGCGGTATATAGGCTGAGTGGTGAGAGATGATGAGGTACCTCGGGGTTTATCGATTATAGAACAGGCTCCTCTAGAGGGATATAAAGCACTGCCAAGTCTTTTGAGTCTTAAGCTGTTGCTTGTAGTACTCTGGTGAATAGTTTTGTTGGTTGAACTATTTGGGTTTAGAACTAAGCATAGTGGGGTATCTAATCCCAGTTTGAGTCTTAGCTATCGTGTTTTCAGGGTGTTAAAGTCACTTTTGTAGTTTATTTTTACTTCAGTTGAAGCTTTTTACAGCTTAGACGGAGTTTAGCTTTACTGTAGGTTTACCTTAAACACGCTTTTCACCAGATTTTATTAGTTTGGGTTAATCGTATGATCATGGTGGCTGGCACAAAATTTACCAACCCTGGAGTATTAGTATAGCTTAATCAAACTTTTGGTTATTGCTGGTTAAATCAGTTGTAGCTGAAGCAAGTGATAAGCATCAGAGATCATTTCCAAGCCATACCCATTTTCTCCTTACCCCCATTAAAGCATGATTCAGAGCCCATTACAGGATTTCTAACTACTGCAAGAGTGGTATTCATTGCTTACCTTACTAAATCACACAAAAGTAGCTACGTACTTAAATTACACAAAATCCAAAAGCTCCTAGATTAAGAGTTAACTAATTTATTATAACTATACTATTACCCATTGTGCAATAATAAAAAATACAGAAAGTATGGAAAAATGACAGAAAAAGAAGCCCTTACAGATTCATTTCTGAATCTGCTTACTCCTGGATATTTTGAAATTTCTTCAAAATGTAGCCTGCCCTCTCCCAGCACCCAAGAATCCTGAGTAAAGAAATTCCCCTTTAACTTGCTGGAAGGAAGGGAGAGTTCTAGATGTAAAGTCATTTCTTCCATTGTCTGCTTAAAAACCACCACTAATGGAAAATGAATCAGAGAAACAGAAAACTGGCAGTACTATAGATCTCCAAGTGAAATTCACACATCAAATTTGAAATGTGAGCAAAAAGATGATTTGCTAAATGTCCCAGTGGCATTTCAGAGTCCCTGGAAGAAGTCAGGGACAGAGGGCTCCTCATCTCTGACAGTCTAGGTGTTCCCTGGGGGAGGCATCTTTTTGTCATTCAATTGCCATTTGCCAAGAAAAGATAGCTATTGACCAGCATCACCTTTTAAGAAATTAAAAGAAATAGAATTCTTCAAATTAGGAACTTTAACTTACCTTTCAGCACCTTTTCCAAAAATTTGAGGACAAACGTTGTTGGAAGATCTTTAGGGATTGAAATTTAGATTATGGATTCACATTGGTATTTTGCGATAACAAACACGTCACACAACCAAATAGGACTGAAGTAAGTAGGAGGACATTGATGCCAACATGGGGACGGGAGTAGACTATTTAAGGTAAAAAGGGATCAGAATCTTTTCCTAAAGAGCATAGTTTAAATACAAGAAAAGGCCACCAACATCAGTTTAAACTAGTAGAAGAAGTAACGCATAACACAATAACGTTTATGACTAGTCAAAAGTGGGAAACAGATTGATGAGTGGAGGCAAAAAATATCTTGAGAGATTTAAAATGATCAGATTGAAATAAGGGTATAGTGTTAACAGACAAGAAAAAAAGGGAAGAAAACAGGAATTTGTCCACTAGGGCAATAGACACTGAAAAATGAACTAGATTATTTGGTGGGAGTAACATTTAATTCAAAGAAGATATGGTTTTGTAAGAAGTACTTTCTTGGGATGGTAGACTTAATCCATTTCCAAAACTTGGGTTAATGGCACTCACATTCAACTGATCAATTCAGGCTCAAAACAGGTTCCTGGTTTGAATGTTGCATAACTGACAGAGAACTGAGGTGGCATTTTAGACTGGAAACAGAAAGGTTAGGTTTAAGAAATTACTCCAAATATGTTGTCCATATTATTTGTTAATCAACTGCAGGTTCTCCTAACACCACATTCTGTTATAGTACATGTGGTTCACTTCTGTGATTTTTTTTCTCATTTTGAGAATCAAATTATACACTGATGTCTAGTTTTGACTGTTAAGGATATTAACAAAAAGGAGGAGGGGAATATTAGTAAGTGAGAAAAGAGAAGAAAGGTAATACAGAAGCTGAGTGGGCAAAGGGGATTTTGCAATATGGCCTGAAGTGACATGAACACTCTCAGCAAAGGACCCTTTATTCCACAGGGAGGTTGCCCAATATCTAAGAGTAACATTCAGATCCAGGATAGAACATTCTGTTCTGTTCCAGTGTGGTTAAAATTGGGATAGCTTGGGTGTGGGAATGGAGTTTTGGTAAACAGCTGAGCATGTGCACAATTAATATTATATTAATATGTTATAAAGTTGTTAAAAGAATTCAATAAAAATCTACCTATAAATATTTTGACATCATATGAGGCACACAGTAGGTATATAATAAATATTGTATCTATTCTATTTTATTCAGCTATGGTAAATGGAATAATTAAAGGATTCCAAAGATTTTCTTCTAGGTCAAGTTTGCAAGTTACTCTGCCTCTCGGAGAAATCTAGTGGGTGGCAGTCAGAACTAAGTCCTAAAATCAAAAGGGTAACAAATATTTAAATAAAGGCCAGATGAACGGGTAGGGGAGAAGGCATTGAAAGAGGCACCTGACATTACGCATCTTAACTACAACAAAACAAAATGAATTAATAAGTATCTCAAACCTGCTAAAGAAGGAAAATCCCGAAAATATTCTAGTTGACAAGGGATGACAATTAGAAATTAATTGTATAATACTCATTAATTATTCAAAATGTTACTGATACTTATTTAATGTGCTGCCTTTATTATACTAGTAATTATAGAAGGCTTTCATTTATTATTTGTAATTTAGATTCCATCAGTCCTTTATTTCTTGACACCATTTTAAGTTTCTCAGATAGTAACTTTCTTTCCCTAGGAGTTTTCAGGCATAAACCCTAACAGTTAAAACTGATCACTTTTACAGGAATGTGCAGCCTCCATTTTGGCACTGGTAAAACCAATTTTCTAGGCCATTACTGGAGACTCACTTTTTTATTTAGAAAGTAGGTAGAGTTTCCAGATGCAATACAAGACACTTAGTCCAAGTTGAATTTCAGCTAAACAACTAACAATTTTCAATATTAAGTATGTCCCAAATATTGCATTGGATATATACTAAAATATTATTTATTGTTTTAGCTAAAATTCAAATTTAACTCAGAGTTCGATATTTTTATATACTAAATCTGGAAACCCTAAAACTTGAAGTTCCTAGTTCATTAATAGGAAGTAGGAAAAAAAGTAAGTGAAAAGACTGAAAGTAAATAAAGCTTTAAGGTAAGAAGCAACTTTCTCACTAAAGTATACTCATCTTAGCAACATACCTCAAAAGAAAGTACAAACTCTATAAATTGCCCAAATTATTGTTGGATTTATACAATCAGGAAAGCCAAATTTGGATAGTACTTTCATTTTGCAATCATGTTTCTCAACTAAAACAGGTTTGTATCTGCTATTTTTTGTAACTAGTCATTTTTAAGAACTGCTGAAGAATAATTCAAGATGCTATACCTTAATACAAAAGTGAAAAGATGCAGGCAAATCACTGAGATTTATATCCTCATGATTTCATAAATCCTACTACTTCTGAAGGAGAAATTGCTACTAAGACTTCAGGCAGATATGCCAAATTAATCCCTTCTTTCTTCTGAGTGAATGTCCTATGTTCTATGTAATACGACAAATGTCACTATTCTAAGAGAATTCTAACATTCTAAAACTTTTTTAAAAAGATTTTCATTTATTAAACATGTTATATCATCAGGAATTTCAAAGAGAAAATGTCAATGCCCTCTAAGTTTCTAATTCTCAACCCACAAATTCAATTTGTTTCATGGGCTTTGGGGAATTAATAAATATGAGATATTTATTTGTAAGTCAAAATCTAAAACTGAGTCCCCCTGACAATCTGATGATGATTTGTGACATAACATTCCCAAAAGAAGAAAAAAAAGTTTCACATTTTGCTTCATCTAAAAACACAAAATTGTTTTCTAATTATAATGGCACATATTACACTCTGTATTTCAATAATATTTTATCTTGACTCTTTACATGTGTAATCACTTAACCCAGGCAAAGATCTAATAATTAACAAGAAAAAAATCATGAAATTCAGGATTTATGAAGTGTTTTCAGTTCCCTTGTCAAGACCACATGAGGGAAAAAGTATAATAGCAACATCCAAATATGTACTCTATTCCACCTGCATATCCATTACCACAATGCAAAGAATCAGCACAAAAATAAATACTCCACTAAATGTCCTGGTAATTTTGATCACCTCTATTTCAAAATGCATTATTCAACCAGGGTTATCTTCTGATAGAAAGAGAAGGTTAAGGAAAGCATTCTTAGCACATTGACAAATGCATTTCATTTTTATTATGTGGAAACAAACAAAAACTGTATTTAATATTAATATCATTTTAGCATTTGAGAGCTTTTGCTTTTCTAAATGAGATGATTGCATGAAAGAAGGCATTTTTTGGGTCAAATTTCCAATGTATCTACAGGTTGTTTTAATTTCATTATTTAACTCGCCGTACTCATAGCACATACACGTACAACTAAGTACAAATCGCTTATATCAAATATAAGATGTATTAAAGCCTTTCCCTCTCTCCAACAGTGCTCTAGGATGCATTACCAGGCAAGCAGATAAGTGTAATGATGAATTGCATAATATGGCCAACATTAATAGAGTGGTTTTCTACAAATGTATTGCAAAAAATAAATACTTCACATTTCAGAACATAACTATTTGGATGTCACATGTTAGCAAAGGACAAAGTGGCAGATATTAGCAACTTTAAATCTGTAGGTCCTGGATTAAACAATATAAAGGAACTTGAGAGAAATGACAATGCATCTAGAGCACAGATGAGGTTGAAGGTAAGAGTCTATTCTTGAGGGTCTAATTAGGTTCTTCCCATCTCTCCATTTTTTTTTTTTTTTAAATCATAGAGACGCCTTAGCAGAAGCTATCGGCTTTGACAGTACACCGAAATCCTGGCAGTGAACCATAAATTGACCATTACCATAAAAAGAGCTGCTAAACGAGAAACCATGTGCTCAGTATAAAACTAATTTCATGCTTTCAAAAGCACACAGTGGCTTCTAGCAAGATAGTGGCCCTGGGACTTGCCGAGACAGATTGGTGAACACAAATGGTTTGCTCCTGATGCGTCTGCTTAGCCAAGCTTTACGTGTACTGGCAGTAAAAGAGGTTCTCGAGCCTTCTATCAAACAAATACACACTTAGCTATAACTTTAAAGCTGAAAGCTATAAAACAGCTGCCTCAAATAAATATAGCAGGAAAAACACATACACTTATATACATACACACCCCATGTGCCATGCTAGCTGCTTCCAATCAAAGAAAAATAGATTCCCCTGCCAACCTAATATACTAAACAGACACTTAATAAGCACAATGCTATTTAATACATTATAACCCTCACACTCCATTCATGCTTAGAAACACCAGAATTAGAGTTTAGCCAAGCCTAAGCAATAGCACTCCATCTACTTGGAGGCTAACTTTGTGTCTGCCCTTATCTAGTTGGCTTTCAAATACCATATACTTACAAGGCTACATCAAACCTTTCCAAGCATGATGATCTAGTAATTTAACCTCTCCAGGTGAGCACAGGTATTTTATTTATATTTAAATGATACAATCTGCTACATTTAAAGCATCTCAGCTAATAAGAACACACTTCATGAAGAAATACTGTTAATTTCCTCCCATTCTCATTCGGCACACAGTCGTTAGAAATTAATTACTGTTGGTTGTCCAGTACATGACCGGTCATAACTTTTAATTATTAATAATGTCTAGCTTCACAAGTTGTCAACTCCAGTATGTAATCCACATCACTTACTTTCTTAGTTATCTCGAAACATGACTTGTCTCCTCCTATCTGTCTTTCATGTCAAAGATTCTACAAAGTACATTTTGTTTATAGCCTTTTTAATAACATCTGAAACACATAATAACACTGCTAATTACCTACTTTCAGTAATGGTAGCAAATTGCATAATATCACTGACTTGTTCAGAATGTTTAAAATGCAAAGGAAGTCACCTACTGGTAAGATGTCCTCGGCAAACAGCTAGCACAGAAAGAAAGGGATGGTTATCACACCCATGTAAGGAGTTACTTCGCAACAAAATTAAAGAATCATATATTTTGCTCTTCAGCTTTGCTCCTTCAGATGTGTCAGCACAATGTGATAAACACAATTGAGGACTCCACAGGATTCAGCATAACATACAAAAGAATCTGTTACTGACATCCCAGACCCCAGCATCCAAGTTTTAGAATAAAAACGCTCACCTCTGCTAGGAAGTCCACTCCACATCCTGGCAGGGCTCTCACCAGCTTCAAGAGCAACCAAGTTGGATAAACAAAACTTCCAGTATGTGACCAGGATAATGCACAGCGCTACCGAGACTTGGCTCCAGCCCTGATTATCTGTGTGACAGCACCACGTTATATCAGTGCCGCTCCAAGCCTTCCCAGTTGCTGGCTTATTGCACTGCTCATTGAAAATCCTTTACATGCTGGCAACATTTTAGGGAAGGACAAGCACACTCTGAGTCATTTGTAAAGAAAGCAGAGCAATTTCAATTCTATATCTCCATGTGTGCTGAAACCAGAAGCACTGTCAATGTACAAGTCTGAGGTGGATTTATGCTGAGAAACAGGCAACCTAAGCCTTCATTATCAATGCATGAAATCAGCCACTGTGATCAAATTCAAGCAAACCACAAGAAGGATGTGATTATGAAAGTCTCCACAGATTTAGCACCAAACCTTGTGGAATAAAGAATCATCTATTGAAATTGTGTAAATGTTAAAAATAGCTCTGGCTTTTCAACAATGAGCAGGATACAGGGAAGAAATCAGTAGTCTATATTACGAGGACTTATAAAGGCTGCATAAATCAAAATAGCTGTAGGTTCCTGGGACTTCGCTATAGACAAATGAAATCACTGGAGACTATGACAATTATAACAAAAATAATTCCATATATTTGACATAGATGTCCATTAAAGGGCAAATCAAACATCCTTTAACTCCTAAGTGCCCATCTCTAAATTAAAATAATGGTGATAGTTAAAAATGTGCGATGCTATGCTAGCACCAGGACAAAATACCATCAATTTTATTCTAAGATAATTTCATAAACAATAGAGATTTAAATCTATTCTGTGTAACAATAAACATGCAAGATAGATATTTTAACACTATAATCTTTGCTCATTATTTTAAAAAATCTATAGTTCATTAAACCCATGTATTTTTATCCCAACTACCCCCAAATTTATACTTTTGCTTTTTATAATCCTTTCTGTTTTGTTACTAAAATATAAGATGCAAGAGCTACTGGACATCGTCTTTAGAAGACACAAGGTCAGAAAGCAGTATTAGATATACCCCAGAAATACATATACCCCAGAAAGCAGTAGCAGTGCTTTGAGATCACAAAATATACAGATTTGACATGTGCATGCAAACTGCAAAGCAAAAAAGAAATAAAATGTTTATTAAAAATCACAAAAGTAAACTGGAAGAAATTCCTAGGAGGCAACATTGACAACACATTTAAGGTTCTATTCAATTTTTTAAAAAGGGTTTTAGGTTCTCATTGAGACTCTGAAGGCCAGACAAACTAGAATCCAGTAAAGGCAATTCCTGATTTGAGGATCTCCTATAAATGACTGGGTTCAGTTCTAGTAATCCTACCAGCTCTGAGATGACACATTTAGAAGTGTCTACAATATGAAACATCTGTGTAAAACTAAGCAGCACACATTTACGTAACACAGCATTCTGGAGCAACATTAAACACAGCACTCTCATGGGCATTCTCACTATGTCCCCATATGGAAAGTTGACTCCTTACGGGCTGCTGGTTAGATGCCCTTGCTTGGAGACAGATTAGACACACGATTGGATATGCACATGCGTGTGCGTATACATATACCTATGCCATTGAACACAATTGCCCCTCACAGTCACTTTTGCCACCTGAATTCTATTTGTCACCTGAAGCCCCTAGGGCAACATTTGAATGTATTATGAGAAAAGGCATTGGGCATCATTGACTTTGCAATTGTTCAGTGTCCTCTCTCTCTTCTGTCCTCTCTGCCTCACCCAACACACACATAAACTTTCCTTCGAAAATAGTCATAGGAATAGTTCATGAGAGATTGTATGCCTAAAAATCTTTTTATTATTACCACACATGAAGCTCCCTAGTAATAAGATAAAAGTTTAAAATTAAACCAGGATATTTGATTATACGCCAATCCCTTATCTAAAACCCTTCGGGCTTGATGCATTTCAGAATTCAAACGTTTTCAGATTTTAGAAAGGTAATACTCTACGTATGCCAGGAATTATATAATGCCTCCAGTGGCAGATGTTATATAATGCCGCACTGGGGTCTGGGGCAACAACTCTATAATCAGACACATTAACATTCTATAGCAAAACCTGTGCATATTCATACTCATTGGGATAAATAAATGCTATAATTTAAGCTCACATTAGTTCATGTCACGTTTTCCCATCAATATGAATTATAAAATCTTCCAGTTCTCACTGCTTCTTGGATTTCGGAAATTGCAAGTAAGAGATTGTGGACTGTATAAATGTTTACCTAAACTGCTAGAAAGTTATGGATTGGGAAATGGTACCTAAGCAGATGTTCTCTTGCTTAGGCAAGAAATCTGGAGGGTAGTGTTACTTTAATGGATGGGCAAAAATATGAGGGAAGGTGCTGTTAAGAATGAGACACAAAGCAGAGCAGATATGTGGCAATAATGCACGATGACAAAACTAGGACATGGAAAAGATAGGCAAGAAGAAGCCACTTAAAATGACTGAATCAAAAAAAAATACAAAACATAATAATAATAGTACTCATTGATCACCTAAACTCTATACCCACTAGTGTGAAAGGCACTTGACATAAGTATTTTTTTAGCAACCTACCTTAATTTTCAAAAGGAAATTTTAAAAGGACACATGTATTTCAGAGGGAGGCAAAACATTGGGTTATCTCACCCTCTTCTCATTGTACCCAAAAGCAAAATATCCATAATGTTAAACAGTGCATGTGACACTGTCAGACACAAACAAAAAAATAACCTTTGCCTTATGAAGTAAAGATTTCTGTTTTATTTGTATATGCTATAAACTACTTGCAATAGAGGTTCTTTAAAATCAGTTTTAGAAAAAAGTAGCAATATTTTCTGCCATCAAGAGCCAACTGTTTAGTTTTAAAATCCATTTTAAAAACAAATGTTCTCAAAAAACAAGAATAATGTGTTGCATTTGCTTGGAGTCTTTCTTATGACTACACTTCCCAAATAAATACTTTTCTTTCAGTACATTAAAGAACTTTAATATAGCAGAGCATTGACACTACACTTAAGATTTTGGGTCAATAGAACATCCGCTGTCTTCAAAGAGCATTTCCTGGGTGCCTTTTGGGGCCTAGACCTGCACTGGGGAAGTGTCCAGGTGGCATTTATGTGAAGAGGGGTCTTTCTATTCACTGAACAAACTAGACTGGAATGTGTGGCTCTTAGTATCTAGAACACAATCACAAAGTCATTTTCTATCTGAAGAAGGAAACTGCATTTATTTTTTTGACAATACAACATAATTTGGTGAATTCTTCTTTTTTTTAGCAACCAAAATGGTGCCCTGAAGGTTTGATGGAGTTACAGCAGCTTCCAAAAGTAACTTACTATCCTATAAGATGAGTAACACTTCAGGGCTATGATTTAAAAAAAAAGCTCCCTATACCTTTCACATCAAGTCCATTAAATAATAGATAAATACTCAGTGTCTACAGGACAACAGTCTCTGGATTGCAGTGCAGGCTCACCAGAGGGCAAGCTCTTGAAATGAAGTGTGTTAACATTATGTGTGAGTGCCAGCACACTCTGCCCATTAAAAAGTACAATATCCAGCCCTTCCACCTCCTCCAAACTCCATGTAATCAGAAGAGCAAATATGTTTCACAGCTGGCCCAAAAACCAGCTCGAGAAAAACCATTAGGTGCCAAGGACATATACCAACCATATGGTCAGCTGTAACATTCCAGAGGGATGTCTAACCCAGAACACTGTCCAACAGCCTCCTTGGCTGTAACACTGTTAAGATGTGAAAGTCAAATGTCTGTGTGAAGAAAGCTGGTCAGTCCAAGTGAAAATACATTCATCCCCCCAGTGGAAATTGAACTCACTAATTACCACTGGGCTTGGCTCACTACTGAAAACCCTTCTCCCCAGATTAGTTTAAAATGGGTAACACTTCTATTCCAGGCAGACACCAAGGTTTTAAATATGCCTTTGATGATTTAAATCACTCAGACATGTAAACACTTGCCATGATTGTCTAAGACTCAGTTTCCACACTGAAAGGTGTATTTGGTTTTCAAAATCTAAAAACCAAGACTTAATATTAAGCAACTCTTATCTTTTAATACATATAATATGTAAAAGTTTATATTCAGAAGCATTCTTAAAGAAAAAGATAATCCGTCCTTCACTAAAAAAGGGTCAACCACTCCTTTTAATCATTTTATCAAACTTCCATTCAAACTCTTTTATGTATCAATCCCTTAGAGTTCTGTACTTAATCCACACACTTGTATAATCCACACCCTTGTTTGACAGTTTTTAACCACATGTACAGAATATGGAGATGTTCTATAATGACTTTGCCAAGTCTATGTCAGGTATAGTTTTAGATTTCTGACACCATTGAAAACGGCTGGAGCTCTGTCTCAAATTCAAAGCATTTGTGCAGCAGGAGGTGGTTAGAGTTGTAACTTGAGACTTCATCCTATTTCCAAAATTCTCTACTCTCATTCCCAAGGAACTTCAATCTCAATAAACCCTACAATATCAGTCTCAATTAAATTTATCTGGGGAGAACAGATAAAGGGTACCAACTCTTATCCTTGCTTTGAAGAATAGAGTCAGGATTTTGTAAAATACTTGGAAACTAAACAGTGATCAATTCTCAGTAAGACAATGACTTAGAAAAGTATATCAGTATTCCTTCTACTATATGTATCATCACCAGGTCTGAAGTACTACAAGTGAGAGACAATTCCTGAGTGCTCTTATAAGGACCTGTGACTTATACAAAGAAAAGCGGATGCCCTATTTTCAAAGGTGTAATCTGACATATTTTGACCAAGGCCTTTTCCCCTTCTAAGTCTGTCCCTTCACTAAAAACCATAAGTCATATGGGCTCTATCCAATACATGGATTGTATAATAATTATTCTATGAAACGAGTTTTCTGAACTTACTAATTAAGAGGTTTAAAGAAATAAGTATATTGTAAATACTTTAACCCACCTACCTCACACTGAAATGATTTACTTATCTAGTGCACTTACTGGTAGAAACGCAATGATTTGTTATACATTCACCATGGTAATTATATTTGCAAAAGTCAGATATTTTGGTTGAATGATAAATGGCAAGTTGATTCATCAAAAATTAAGTGAAAGCAAGCATTTAAAACTATGTGTTTCTACTGAAAAGGTAAAATACATTATCATACTGATGCATTCTAGCCTTGTCTCTAAATCTGTCATGCAAACCAAAGGTTGCATCATTTAAAATTAATGTTCATTCCTGATATCTCTTAAAATGGAGATTTTTTCCAGACATGGACAATATTAATATATTTAAGTAGTAATTTTTATTCCTGAAAACTAAAGAAAGATCTCTCCTGCTCTTCCCACCCTCCCCACCCCCTGCCATGTCTCCCCTACAGATTCTGCCTACTGCATACAAGGTGCTCAGTCTTTCAAATGAGCATGATCCTGCCCACACATGCATGTCCACACATCCTCACTCCTTGGTGTGGTATTTCTTGCTTTCCATACTCATTAATAATAAGTTCCATCAGAATATTGATGTGGGCAAGGGAGTGAAGAAACTATCATACTTTCAATATACTCATGGCACCATCTTGTGGTAATTCTGTGGTATCGCGTTTTCAAGTTTAATTTTTAAAGTTCTTCAAAAATTTCTGGGAAAACATATTTGAGGATAAATTTAACATTTTAAATATGCATGAGATGCAATGTGATAAATCTGGCCTATGTATTTAAAACCCTACACACATATTTTAAGAGTTATAATACCTATCATTAATGTCCTGACCCCAGAAGCCATTTAATACCAATAACTGTTTCTTGAATGTAGAATAGGAATGAAATTAAGAAATCTTTAAGGGAGACGGGGAAAACAATAACAGAGGATCCTGGGGGCGTCAAAGAACAGTACAGACTATAGCAGCAAGAAAAAAATAAAATTATGTATAACACTCCAACTGACAACCCATTTTCCAATCCTGCTGTCCATTCCCACATCCAAACTACTACTCCACTTCCTGCTGCAAAATACCCAGGTTTTATTACCCTTATCTTCTCCCCCATCCAAAATGTCCTGACTTTAAAATCTACTCAAGCTCATTTTAAAATCTCTTTTTTTAATTTATTTACTAATTGAATTTTAGTTTCTTTTTATTATTATACTTTAAGTTCTAGGGCACATGTGCACAACGTGCAGGTTTCTTACATATGTATACATGTGCCATGTTCGTGTGCTGCACCCATTAACTCGTCATTTACATTAGGTATATCTCCTAATGTTATCCCTCCCCCTCTCCCCACCCCACGACAGGCCCCGGTGTGTGATGTTCCCCTTCCTGTGTCCAAGTGTTCTCATTGTTCAATTCCCACCTATGAGTGAGAACACGTGGTGTTTGCTTTTTTGTCCATGTGATAGTTTGCTGAGAATGATGGTTTCCAGCTTCATCCATGTCCCTTCAAAGGACGTGAACTCATCATTTTTTATGGCTGCATAGTATTCCATGGTGTATATATGCCACATTTTCTTAATCCAGTCTATCATTGATGGACATTTGGGTTGGTTCCAAGTCTTTGCTATTGTGAATAGTGCCACAATAAACATATGTGTGCATGTGCCTTTATAGCAGCAGGATTTATAATCCTTTGGGTATATACCCAGTAATGGGATAGCTGGGTCAAATGGTATTTCTAGTTCTAGATCCTTGAGGAATTGCCACACTATCTTCCACAATGGTTGAACTAGTTTACAGTCCCACCAACAGTGTAAAAGTGTTCCTGTTTCTCCACATCCTCTCCAGCACCTGTTGTTTCCTGACTTTTTAATGATCGCCATTCTAACTGGTGTGAGATGGTATCTCATTGTGGTTTTGATTTGCATTTCTCTGATGTCCAGTGATGATGAGCATTTTTTCATTTGTCTGGCTGCATAATTGTCTTCTTTTGAGAAGTGTCTGTTCATATACTTCACCCACTTTGTGATGGGGTTGTTTGTTTTTTTCTTGTAAATTTGTTGGGAGTTCTTTGTAGATTCTGGATATTAGCCCTTTGTCAGATGAGTAGATTGCAAAAATTTTCTCCCATTCTGTGGGTTGCCTATTCACTCTGATGGTAGTTTCTTTTGCTGTGCAGAAGCTCTTTAGTTTAATTAGATCCCATTTGTCAATTCTGGCTTTTGTTGCCATTGCTTTTGGTGTTTTAGTCATGAAGTCTTTGCCCAAGCCTATGTCCTGAATGGTATTGCCTAGGTTTTCTTCTAGGGTTTTTATGGTTTTAGGTCTAACATTTAAGTCTTTAATCTATCTTGAATTAATTTTTGTATAAGGTGTAAGGAAGGGATCTAGTTTCAGCTTTCTACATATGGTTAGCCAATTTGCCCAGCACCATTTGTTAAATAGGGAATCATTTCCCCATTTCTTGTTTTTGTCAGGTTTGTCAAAGATCAGATAGTTGTAAATGTGTTGTATTATTTCTGAGGGCTCTGTTCTGTTCCATTGGTCTATATATATCTCTGTTTTGGTACCAGTACCATGCTGTTTTGGTTACTGTGGCCTTGTAGTATAGTTTGAAGTCAGGTAGCGTGATGCCTCCAGCTTTGCTCTTTTGGCTTAGGATTGTCTTGGCAATGTGGGCTCTTTTTTGGTTCCATATGAACTTTAAAGTAGTTTTTTCCAATTCTGTGAAGAAAGTCACTGGTAGCTTGATAGGGATAGCATTAAATCTATAAATTACCTTGGGCTTTATGGCCATTGTCACGATATTTATTATTCCTATCCATGACCATGGAATTCTTCCATTTGTTTGTTTCCTCTTTCATTTCGTTGAGCAGTGGTTTGTAGTTCTCCTTGAAGAGGTCCTTCACATCCCTTCTAAGATGGATTCCTAGGAATTTTATTTTCTTTGAAGCAATTGTAAATGGGAGTTCACTCATGATTTGGCTCTCTGTCTGTTATTGGTGTATAAGAATGCTTGCGATTTTTGCACATTGATTTTATATCCTGAGACTTTGCTGAAGATGCTTATCAGCTTAAGGAGATTTTGGGCTGAGACGATGGGGTTTTCTAAAGACACAATCATGTCATCTGCAAACAGGGACAATTTGACTTCCTCTTTTCCTAATTGAATACTCTTTATTTCTTTCTCCTGCCTGATTTCCCTGGCCAGAACTTCCAACACTGTGTTGAATAGGAGTGGTGAGAGAGGGCATCCCTGTCTTGTGCCAGTTTTCAAAGGGAATGCTTCCAGTTTTTGCCCATTCAGTATGATATTGGCTGTGGGTTTGTCATAAATAGCTCTTATTATTTTCAGATACGTCCCATCAATACCTAATTTATTGAGAGTTTTTAGCATGAAGGGCTGTCGAATTTTGTCAAAGGCCTTTTCTGCATCTACTGGGATAATCATGTGGTTTTTGTCTTTGGTTCTGTTTATATGCTGTATTACATTTATTGATTTGCATATGTTGAACCAGCCTTGCATCCCAGGGATGAAGCCCAGTTGATCATGGTGGATAAGCTTTTTGATGTGCTGCTGAATTCGGTGTGCCAGTATTTTATTGAGGATTTTTGCATTGATATTCATCAGGGATATTGGTCTAAAATTCTCTTTTTTGCTGTGCCTCTACCAGGCTTTGCTGTCAGGATAATGCTGTCCTCATAAAATGAGTTAGGGAGGATTCCCTCTTTTTCTATTGATTGGAATAATTTCAGAAGGAATGGTACCAGTTCCTCCTTGTACCTCTGGTAGAATTTGGCTGTAAATCCATCTGTCCTGGACTTTTTTTGGTTGATAGGCTATTAAATATTGCCTCAATTTCAGAGCCTGTTATTGGTCTCTTCAGAGATTGAACTTCTTCCTGGTTTAGTCTTGGGAGGGTGTATGTGTCCAGGAATTTATCCATTTCTTCTAGATTTTCTAGTTTATTTGCATACAGGTGTTTATAGTATTCTCTGATGGTAGTTTGTATTTCTTTGGGATCGGTGGTGATATCCCCTTTATCATTTTTTATTATGTCTATTTGATTCTTCTCTCTTTTCTTCTTTATTAGTCTTGCTAGTGGTCTATCAATTTTGTTGATCTTTTCAAAAAACCAGCTCTTGGATTCATTGGTTTTTTGAAGGGTTTTTTGTGTCTCTATCTCCTTCACTTCTGCTCTGATCTTACTTATTTCTTGCCTTCTGCTAGCTTTTGAATGTGTTTGCTCTTGCTTCTCTAGTTCTTTCGATTGTGATGTTAGGGTGTCAATTTTAGATGTTTCCTGCTTTCTCTTGTGGGCATTTAGTGCTATAAATTTCCCTCTACACACTGCTTTAAATGTGTCCCAGAGATTCTGGTATGTTGTGTCTTTGTTCTCATTGGTTTCAAAGAACATCTTTATTTCTGCCTTCATTTCATTATGTACCCAGTAGTCATTCAGGAGCAGGTTGTTCAGTTTCCATGTAGTTGAGTAGTTTTGAGTGAGTTTCTTAATCCTGAATTCTAGTTTGATTGCACTGTGGTCTGAGAGACAGTTTGTTATAATTTCTGTTCTTTTACATTTGCTGAGGAGTGCTTTACTTCCAACTATGTGGTCAATTTTGGAATAAGTGCAATGTGGTGCTGAGAAGAATGTATATTCTGTTGATTTGGGGAGGAGAGTTCTGTAGATGTCTATTAGGTCTGCTTGGTGCAGAGCTGAGCCAAAGTCCTGGATATCCTTGTTAACCTTCTGTCTCATTGATGTGTCTAATGTTGACAGTGGGGTGTTAAAGTCTCTCATTATTATTTTGTGGGAGTCTAAGTCTCTTTGTAGGTCTCTAAGGACTTGCTTTATGAATGTGGGTGCTCCTGTATTGGGTGCATATATATTTAGGAGAGTTAGCTCTTCTTGTTGAATTGATCCCTTTACCATTATGTAATGGCCTTCTATGTCTCTTTTGATCTTTGTTGGTTTAAAGTCTGTTTTATCGGAGACTAGGATTGCAACCCCTGCCTTTTTCTGTTTTCCATTTGCTTGGTAGATCTTCCTCCATCCCTTTATTTTGAGCCTATGTGTGTCTCTGCACGTGAGATGGGTCTCCTGAATACAGCACACTGATAGGTCTTGAATCTTTATCCAATTTGCTAGTCTGTGTCTTTTAATTGGAGCATTTAGCCCATTTACATTTAAGGTTAATATTGTTATGTGTGAATTTGATCCTGTCATTATGATGTTAGCTGGTTATTTTGCTCATTAGTTGATGCAGTTTCTTCCCAGCCTCAGTGGTCTTTACAATTTGGCATGTTTTTGCAGTTTCTTCCTAGCCTCAATGGTCTTTACAATTTGGCATGTTTTTGTAGTGGCTGGTACCCGTTGTTCCTTTCCATGTTTAGTGCTTCCTTCAGGAGCTCTTTTAGGGCAGGCCTGGTGGTGACAAAATCTCTCAGCATTTGCTTGTCTGTAAAGGATTTTATTTCTCCTTCACTTATGAAGCTTAGTTTGGCTGGATATGAAATTCTGGGTTGAAAATTCTTTTCTTTAAGAATGTCAAATATTGGCACCCACTCTCTTCTGGCTTGTAGAGTTTCTGCCAAGAGATCCGCTGTTAGTCTGATGGGCTTCCTTTGTGGGTAACCCGACCTTTCTCTCTGGCTGCCCTTAACATTTTTTCCTTCATTTCAACTTTGGTGAATGTGACAATTATGTGTCTTGGAGTTGCTCTTCTCAAGGAGTATCTTTGTGGCATTCTCTGTATTTCCTGAATTTGAATGTTGGCCTGCCTTGCTAGGTT
Organism: Homo sapiens; assembly: GCF_000001405.40. Classification (NCBI taxonomy): domain Eukaryota; kingdom Metazoa; phylum Chordata; class Mammalia; order Primates; family Hominidae; genus Homo; species Homo sapiens. Next base: position 179,756,539 of record NC_000002.12, read on the forward strand.
GGGGAAGTTCTCCTGGATAATATCCTGAAGAGTGTTTTCCAACTTGCTTCCATTCTCCCCATCACTTTCAGGTACACCAATCAAACGTAGATTTGGTCTTTTCACCTAGTCCCATATACCTTCGAGGCTTTGTTTGTTTCTTTTTACTCTTTTTTCTCTACACTTCTCACTTCATTTCATTCATTTGATCTTCAATGACTGATACCCTTTCTTCCAGTTGATCGAATCGGCTAGTGAGGCTTGTGCAGTTCTCATGCCATGGTTTTCAGCTCCATCAGGTCATTTAAGGACTTCTCTACACTGGTTATTCTAGTTAGCCATTTGTGTAATCTTTTTTCAAGGTTTTTAGCTTCTTTACAATGGGTTTGAACTTTCTCCTTTAGCTCCGAGAAGTTTGACCACCTGAAGCCTTTTTCTCTCAACTCATCAACGTCATTCTCTGTCCAGCTTTGTTCTGTTGCTGGCAAGGAGCTGTGTTCCTTTGGAGGGGGAGAGGTGCTCTGATTTTTAGAATTTTCAGCTTTTCTGCTCTGTTTTATCCCCATCTTTGTGGTTTTATCTACCTTTGGTCTTTGATGATGGTGACGTACAGATGGGGTTTTGGTGTGGATGTCCTTTCTGTTTGTTAGTTTTCCTTCTAACAGTCAGGACCCTCAGCTGCAGGTCTGTTGGAGTTTGCTGGAGGTCCACTCCAGACCCTGTTTGCCTGGGTATCAGCAGCGGAGGCTGCAGAACAGTGAATACTGCTGAACAGCAAATGTTGCTGCCTGATCGTTCCTCTGGAAGCTTTGTCTCAGAGGGGTACCCAGCTGTGTGAGGTGTCAGTCTGCCCCTACTGGGGGGTGCCTCCCAGTTAGGCTACTCGGGGTCAGGGACCCACTTGAGGAGGCAGTCTGCCCGTTCTCAGGTCTCAAACTCCATGCTGGGAGAACCACTAGTCTCTTCAAAGCTGTCAGACAGGGACATTTAAGTCTGCAGAGGTTTCTGCTGCCTTTTGTTTGGCTATGCCCTGCCCCCAGAGGTGGAGTCTACAGAGGCATGCAGGCCTCCTTGAACTGCAGCGGGCTCCACCCAGTTCAAGCTTCCTGGCCACTTTGTTTACCTACTTAAGCCTCAGCATTGGAAGGCGCCCCTCCCCCAGTCTTGCTGCCACCTTGCAGTTTGATCTCAGACTGCTGTGCTAGCAATGAGCGAGGCTCCGTGGGCGTGGGACCCTCCAAGCCAGGTGCGGGATATAATCTCCTGGTGTGCCGTTTGCTAAGACTGTTGGAAAAGCACAGTATTAGGGTGGGAGTGACCCAATTTTCCAGGTGCCATCTGTCACAGTTTCCCTTGGCTAGGAAAGGGAATTCCCTGACCCCTTGTGCTTCCCAGGTGAGGCGATGCCTCACCCTGCTTTGGCTCACGCTCGGTGGGCTGCACTCACTGTCCCGCACCCACTGTCCAACAAGCCCCAGTGAGATTAACCCCGTACCTCAGTTGGAAATGCAGAAATCACCCATCTTCTGCATCACTCACGCTGGGAGCTATAGAGTGGAGCTGTTCCTATTTGGCCATCTTGCTAGTTTAAAATTTCTAAGGCCAAATAAAAGATGCCACTTCTTGAATCACAAGGCAGGGTCTATTTTTCCACCCCTCTAATTTGAGCTGGCATTGTGTCTTAGGCCATTCCTGCTGCTATAACAGAATACCACAGACTGAGGTGATTTTTAAATAATAGAAATTTATTTCTCACAGTTATGAAGGCTAAGAAGTCCAAGATCAAGGTATCAGCAGATTTGGTGACTGGTAAGTGCTTGCTCTCTCCTTCCAAGATGACGCCTTGTTGCTGCATCCTCCAGAGGAAACCAACACTGTGTCCTCAACTTGGTCAAAAAGCAGAAGGAGCAGGCAGATCTTGAAGCCTCTTTTATAAGAGCACTAATCCCATTCATAATAGTGGCACCCTCATGGCCTAATCACCTCTCAAAGGCACCACCTCTTAATACTGTCACGTTGGGGTTTAAGTTCTAATGTATGAATTTTAGAGAGACACAAACATTCAAACCATAGCACCTTGTGACTAGCTCTGACCAAAAGAATGCAGTAAGTTGCAGCTTCTGTTCTTGCTGTCTTGCAACACTGCTCTGTGACTGCTAGGTAACAAAGCCTGGTCTAATCTCCTTGAAGAGGGGTCTACTGGTAAGAATTATCCAGCCTACAGCCAGCAGCAACTGCCACATGCATGTGTGAAGCCATCTAAAACCATCTAAGACAGTTACTCTGTAGCAGCCTGCAGCTCCACGGGTGTGCACCAATGAGTCCGGCACAAGAACCACCTAGCTGAGCCCAGCCCACATTTCTGACCCACAGAATCATAATTAAAAAAACATTGTTTTAAAATTTTTTCTGAAAGCTTCTGCCGACCTTTCCAAACTTCTCTTGTGTTTCCTTCTATTAATAATTGTCTTACTCAGTTTCAGCCACATCTCAGCTTTTTAGACACACCAAGCTTTTCCTCAAGTTGAGATTTTGAGCATTCTCTTCATTCCCTTTGGATCACTTTTCTCCATTCTCTTTGCTTGACTAACTTTTTTTTAGTCTTAAAATTTTAATATTAAATGAGAATGGATAGCAGAGAGCAGGATGTCAGTCACTAGCTATATTAGTTCTACATAGAGAACTAATATGGTCAGTTTTATCTGGACTTGGGAAGCTGTGGATGGGTCATGGAAAATAAGCTCTGCAATTGTGTGGTACCCTGGGGAAGCAATACCTAAGTGAGATGTCTGGAATTGATGCAGAGGCTCCTAGTTAACATAAACCAGAATGACAGAGAGAACTCAGGACAACTTAGCTCTGAATTCCAGCAGCTGCCTGTGACTTTCTTATCTATGTCTTTGCAGCTGTTTTTCCTGTACCTCTGTTCCCATAGGACCAGAAAACCCTTTTTCCTGTTCTGATTCCTTTCTACCTTTGCAAAGGGATCTTCCTCTTTTCCCCCAAATCATACTTCACTCCAATAATAAGAAACTATTTATAGTTTGTTCCTACATGCATCTGCATTGCCATTGCCTATACCTGGAATGTTTTTTCTTGAATAATTTGAAACTCATCTTTGAGTACTCATCTCAAAGATCACCTCCTCTGAGAAGCCTTCCTTGACCTCCATAAAGTTAATCATTCCTTTTTCTGTGCCACATCTACGTTACATGTAGATCTGTCATTGTTCTTAGCATACCATATTGCAATTCACTTATTTAAATATTTATTTTCTCTTGATACTTAAGACATTGTTCTGTTAATCTCTGTAAAATAGGAACTTGGTAATATTTAAAATAAGAAAAATCCCCAAGGGTTCTGTTTCCTATTATCTCTAATTATGCTACTAGAAAACTGGGGGGTTTAGGTGGTCATCATTATTATAAATTTTAACTGAAATTTTTATCAAGATAATCAGAGATTCACATGCAGTTGTAAGAAATTATGGAGTTTTCTTGAACACCTTGCCCAGCTTCTACCCATAGTAAAAATTTTTTTTTTTTTTTTGAGACGGAGTCTCACTCTGTCACCCAGGCTGGAGTGCAGTGGCGTGATCTCAAAATTTTTTAAAGCTATAGAATAATAGTGTAATCAGGATATTGACATTGATCTGATGTACAAAGCTTATTCAGATTTCTCCAGTATTACCTGGATTCCTGTGTGCGTGTGTGTGTGTGTGTGTGTGTGTGTGTGTGTGTATGACCTGTGTAGATTCATGTATCCCCCACCAGGGATCTCTCATGTTGCAGTTTTGTACCCATATCTACTTCCTTCTTGAAACTCACCCCTATCCCTTACCAACCACTAATTTGTCCTCTACTTCTACAATTTTGCTATTTCAGAAATGTTGTATAAATGGAATTCATACAGTATGTTACTTTGGGGATTGGCTTTTTCCACTCAGTATAATTCCCTGAAGATCCATCCAAGTTGTTGCATGTATCAAGGGTTCATTCCTTTTTATTGTTGAGTAGTATTCCTTAGTACAGATGTACCACAATTTAACAAGTCACCCCCAAAAGATATGCATGTCAAATCCTTGGAACCCGTGAGTGCTATCTTTTTTACAAAAAGGCTCATTGCAGATGTGATTGCTAGGAATCTTGAGATGAGGAAACAATCCAGGATTATACAGGTGAGCTCTAAACCCAACGGCAAGCATCCTTATGAGATGAGGAGAAAGGAGATCTGAAGAAAAGACATAGACACACAGAGCAGAAGATGTTGTGAAAACACAAGCAGAGACTGGAGTGATGCAGCCACAGGCCCAGGAATTCTAGGGCAGCCACCAGAAGTTTTAAATTTTTATGTTTTTTACATTTAAATCTATAATTCACTTTGAGTTAATATTTTTATATGGTGTCAGAATTTAGGCCTAAGTTTATTTGTTTTGTTGCCTATAGCTGTTCAATTACTCCAGGACCATTTGTTGAAAAGGTATTCTTTCTCCATTGACTTGCTTTTGTACCTTTATCAAAAAATCAATTGAGTATGTGTGTGTGGATCTATGTCTGGGTTCTCTAGTCTTTTTCATCTCTCTCTCTCTCTCTCCAATAAAACCACTGTCTTGATTACTTTAACATATAGTAAGCCTCAATATTGGGTAGAGAGATCCCTCCTTTTTTCTTCTTTGTCAAGTTTTAGCTAGTAGCTAAACTAGCTAAAAGGTCTGTGCTTTTTCATATAAATGTTAGCATAATCTTGTCTATGTCTACAAAAAGAACTTGCTGGGATTTTGATAGAAATTGCATGAAAATTATAGATCAGTTTAAGGAGAACTGGCATCTTAATCTTGTTGAGTTTTCTAATCCTGATTTCTAAACACGTGGTATGTCTCTCCATTTATTTAGGTCTTCCATTTCTTTTCTCAGCATTTTGTAATTTTCAGCATACAGATCCTACACATGTTTTTTAAAGTATATAAGTATTTCATTTTATTAGGAAGTGATTATAAATGGTATTTGCATTTTAAAATTTTGATTTCCATATGTTCATTTTTAGTATATAAATATAATATGCAATTGATTTTTTTTTTTTGAGACAGGTTCTCACTCTGTCACGCAGTCTGGAGTACAGTGGTGTGATTGCAGCTCACTGCAGCCTCGACCTCTTGAGCCCAAGCAATCCTCCCACCACAGCCTCCTGAGTAGCTGGGACTACAGGTGTGCACCACCATGCCTGGCTAACATTTTTTTTCTTTTCTTTTTTTTTTTTTTTTTTTTGCTTTTTAGAGACAGGTTGTGTTGCCCAGGCTGGTCTTGAACTCCTAGGCTCAAGTGATCCTCTTTTCTCAGTCTCCCAAAGTACTGGGATTACAGGCTTTTATTTTTATTTGTTTTTCTTGCCTTATTATAATGGCTAGAACTTCCAGCACCATTTTGAATAAGAGAATTGAGAGTGGACATCCTTCCCCTGCTCTTGGTCTTAGGAGAAAAACATTCGGTCTTTCACCATTAAGTATGATGTTACCTGTAGGCTTTGTTTAGATGCTTCTTTAAATCAAGGTAGTTTCCCTCTATTCCTAGCTTGCTGAAAATGTGTGTTGGGTTTTCTCAAATGTTTTTACTGCATTAATGGATGTGATCATGTGACTTCTCTTCTTTAGCTTGTTGATATGGTAGATTTTTTTGTTTTTGTTTTGGTTTTTAGAGATGGAGTCCTGCTCTGTTGCCCAGGCTGGAGTGCAGTGGCGTGATTTCGGCTCACTGCAACCTCCACCTCCCAGGTTCAAGTGATTCTCCTGCCTCAGCCTCCTGAGTAGCTGGGATTACAGGCACTCACTACTATGCCCAGCTAATTTTTTAATATTTTTAGTAGAGACGGGGTTTTGCCACGTTGGCCAGGCTGGTCTCAAACTGCTGACCTCAGGTGCTATGCCCACTTCAGCCTCCCAAAGTGCTGGGATTACAGGTGTGAGCCACCATGCCCAGGTGGTAGATTATTAATTTTTAAATGGTAAGCCAGTTTTGCATACCTGGAATAAATCCCACTTAGTTATGGTATATAATTCTTTTGATACATTGCTGGATTCAATTTGCTCACATTTTGTTGATAATTTTTTACTCTAAGTTTATGAGATACTATTCTGTAGGGTTTCTAAAAATAATGTGTTGTCTGATTTGGGTATTAGGATAATACTAGCCTCATAAAATAAGTTGGGCAGTGTTTCCTCTTCTTCTATTTTCTGAAAGCAACTGTATAAAATTGGTGTCAGTTTAAAAAATCCTTGGTAGAATTCTCCACTGAAACCATATGAATCCAGAAATTTGTTTTTCAAGTGCTTTGTAATGATAAATTCAGCTTATTTGATGGCTATAGGCCTATTCAGATTGTCTACTTTTAAATTTATGTTTATGTTTATTTGAGATGGAGTCTTGCTCTGTCTCCCAGGCTGGAGTGCAATGGCACAATCTTGGCTCACCACAACCTGTGCCTCCTGGGTTCCAGCGATTCTCCTGTCTCAACCTCCAGAATAGCTGGGAATCCAGGCACTTGTCACCATGCTAGGTAAATTTTTGTATTTTTAATAGAGGTGGAGTTTCACCATGTTGGCCAGGCTGGTATCAACACCTGACCTCAAGTGATCTGCCCACCTCAGCCTCCCAAAGTGCTGGGATTACAGGGGTGAGCTGCCACACCTGGCCCAGATAGTCTATTTTTATTTTAGTTGAATTTTAGTTATTTATGGTTTCTGAAGGACTGGTTCATCCTTCTCACTTGTCAAATTTATAAACACAAGTTTTTAGTATTTGCTTATTATATTTTTAATTGCTGCAAGTTGTGTCATAATATCATGTATCTCATTGGTATCTTCTTCTTTCTTCTTGTACTCATCAGTCTTGCTAAAAGCTTACAAATTTCATTGATTTTTCTTTCTTAAAGAATAAGCTTTTTGTTTTATGGACTTTTCCTCTATTGCTTTCCTATTTTCAACTTCACAGATTGTTGGTTTAGGTCTTTATTACTTTCTTCCTTCCATTTGCTTGTGGTTTGGTTTATCTATTCTTTTCTAGCTTCTTGGTCGGGAACTTACTTATTTGAGAACTTTGTTTCATTTCAAATATAAGCATTTAAGGCTATAAATTTCCAGCTCAGCACTGCTTTAGCTTCATCCCACATATTTTACTATGTTGTGCTTTAATTTTCATCTAGTTTTTCCTTTGAGACTTCTTCTTTGATTCATAGATTATTTAAGAGATATATTGTTTAATTTTCCTGTTGTTTTTCTACTACTAATTTCTACTTGATTTCATTATGGTCAGAGAAAATATTGTATATGATTACAGTTCCTTCAAACGCATTAAGGTTTGTGTTATGGTCCAATATATGGTCTACCTTTGTGAATAGCTGTATAGGCACTTGGAAAAAATAGTGTTATACTGTTATTGAGTAGAGGTCTATATAAATTAATTAGATCCTTTTAGTTGATTATATTGTTCAGATCCTCTATATTCTTGCTTATTTTGTTTAATAATCCTATCAGTTGCTGAGAGTAGGTCCCCAACTGCAATTGTAAATTTATCCATTTCTTTTTTCTGCTCTATCAGTTTTTGCTTCATGTATTTTGAGGCTCTGTTGTCTGGTGCATGAACATTTAGGATCATTAGGTCTTCCTGGTGAGTTGAATATCTTATCAGTACATAATGTCTTACTCTGTCCCTAGTAAATTTCTTTACTCCCTACTTCATCAGATATTAATATAGCTACCCCTGCCTTTATTTTTTAAATTACTGTTTGCATGATATATTCTTTTCCATCCTTTTACTTTCAACATACCTCTTATTGATTTTGAAGTGAGTTTCTTGTAAGCAGCATATAGTTGGGTTTTTTTTTAATGCATTTTTTCTTTTGATTGGCTTATTTAGGCTATTTACACTTAAAGTAATTATTGATGTTAGCCTTTAAGTTTGACATTTTATTATTTGCTTTCTGTTTTTTCCTTTGCTTCTTGGTCCTCTGTTTCTCTCTTCTTTCTGTCCTGTGGTTTACTTGAACACTTTTTAGGACTCCATCTTTATTTATTTATATTTTGGTTGTATCTCTTTGTATAGTTTTCATAGTGGTTGCCATTAATATTATAATGATATACACATGTGACTTATGGCAGACAATTTATTGGTATCAGCATTTAACTTTCCTACTTTCAAATATCACTGTTTTTAGCATCAGATGATTATATTTTGTTTCAGTCATCAAATATGATTTACAAAACTCATGAAGAAAATGATAATGTAAAGATTAATTTTATGTGTCAACTTGACTGGGTCACTGGATGTTCAGATATTTGGTTACACATTATTCTGCGTATTTCTTCCTGCCTCACTGCCTTCCACCTGTGACATTAGTTTCTTTTCCTGCCTTCAGACTCAAATTGAAACATCAGCTCCTCTTGGGTCTTGAGCCAGCCAGTCCTCAGACTAGAACTATACCATCAATTCTTCTGAATCTCATGTTTTTTGGACTTATGCTGGAATAACACCATTGGCTGTCCTGGGTCTTCAGATTTCCTACAGATCTTGAAAATTGGAGGCCTCCATAATTGTGTGAGCTAATTCCTTTCTCCTACTGGTTCTGCTTCTCTGGAGAACCCTACTACAGGTAGTTTATTATGTACCATATTTCTATTCTTTCCATTGTTCTTTCTTCTTTCCTTCTCAAAGCTCCAAGATTCATTTTCATTTCCTTTCTAGTTGAAAATTTTCCTTTAGCCAATATTTAAGTATAAACCTGCTAATGATAATTTATGCTGCCTAGTACAAACTCCAACTCATGTGATGATAGATATTTAATTTCAGGCAGTATGGAGTGACTTTCCCCAGAGCTGCATCCAGATTTGGGGTGGGTTGAGGAGGGTACTTATGGGCTTACATGGTTCCAGGGCTCAGGTAGCAGTGTTTATGGCCTGGCTGTCACTTCTGCACATGGACATCTGCTGAGGCATGTTTATTTCTGTCTGATATTTAGTCATTAGTTCATGCAGGAACTGTGAGGTATTTCTTTGCTGTGGTACATGTAAAATATTGTCCTGCCACTGTCCCAGTCTAACAGAAAAGACTATGTCCCTGTGGTTCCCAGGTTCAACCAGCAGCTTCTGTACTCCCTAAACCCATAAGAAATTATGAGACAGCCTCAGGTCCATCTGCCCACCCTTGCTAGGGGCCAGGAACACCAGGATCTTACTGCCTTTGTGGACCCTGTGAGACAAAGAAACTCACAACTACTTTTTCCTTTCTGGAAGCCAAGACCCATCTGCGGTTTCTGTTATTTCCACTTACCCCTTGGAACTGGATGGGGAAAGCATTAGGGATCTTTTATATGCAAACTAAGTTACCTCAGCTCTTTTTGCTTCCCCTTTGAGTCTCTCTTTCACCGCCCAGAGTATTCATAAAACATTTGGCTAGGGAGACACTGCTGGGAAAAGGATTTTGCTGCTACTTTTCACAAGTCCCTTGCTCACTTTGGTACATTGATCACACACACACACACACACACACACACACACACACAGCAGACTGGTTTCAGGTACACTCTAAGAATCTTCCTGTTGTTCTAAAGCTCAGATCTAAAAGTTCTGTAAATACCCTGAATACTAAATTTGGCAGAAGAACTTCCAGTGGTTAGGGGTCAGCCACCTTTTATTACTAGAAACAAGTCTCAACCATCACCCTGTGGACCCAATTCCCATCGATGCCAACTCCAACACTACAAAACCGACCCAGAAGAGGGGAAGTCACCTCTTAAATTAACAGTTCTTGGGAAGAACATCTACTACCACATATTTTTCTCTGTGGGCATGAAATGGGCTTCGATTTTCTTCCCTGTGTTTGTTCTCTGGGGCTGTTGTAACAAAGTACTATAAACTAGTGGCTTACACTACAGAAATTTATCATCTTATAGTTCTAGAGGCTAGAAGTATAAAAAATCAATGTGTTACTTGGGTTGGTTCCTTCTGAGGGCTGTGAGGGAAGGATCTATTCTAGGGCTCTCTCCTTGGCTTGTAGATGGCTGTCTTCTCCCTGTATCTCTTCTCACATCATCTTCCCTCTCTGTGCATATCTGTCTCTGTGTCCGAATTTCCGTTTTTTTGTAAGGTTATCAGTCATATTGGATTACAGCCCATCCTAATGACTTCATTTTAACTTAATTACCTCTGTAAAGACCCTAGCTCTAAATAAGGTCATATTCTGAGGTACTGGGGGTTAGAATTCCAATATATTTTTTTGTGTGTGTGTGAAGAAACACAATTCAACCCACAATATTCTCTGAAGCCAAGTGATGGGCAAAAAAGGAAGACTGGCATTTTGTTTCTTATTTAGGCGCTTGCTTTGTCAGTGGGCTTGCCAGCCTCCCCTGTGTTACCTGAGCAGGAAAGAAAAGCCCCCCGCAGTCCACTCCACCTGTACTTGCCTGGGCCCCAGCAGTTCCAGGTTTTCAAGAGGAATGTTCATTCTCAGATGGATTCTGACCTCAATCCCCCAGCATTGAGGCATATGAGAACAGACGACACAATCTTGCCAGGACTAACACAGTGTGGAAGAAAGAGGCACATACAGTCAAGGAATGAAGGCTTCTGCTAACAACTATGAGTAAGCTGGAAGATGCAGCTATCTCACAAGGGACTCTCAATGCCTAAGGGACAATCTGGGGGATCCCTTCATCCACAGGGTCTGTTAAGACGATGTATGTCCCACAGAGACAGCCAAAATAGTAGTCATCAATTAAGAACAGCATTGCCACCTTGCAGAGGCTGTAAGGTAAGGTAAACCTCCGCCTTTCTATCCTTCTATGGTTTCCCACCACTAGGCTGAAGAGCAGGCTGAGGCAGGGGGAGGGTAGAAGCTCATGTGCCCAGCCCTCCACTCTAAGTTCTAGAGTCCATCTAGACAAATCTTAATTTGGCAATAAAATGATGTTTTTATAAATAGAACCGAATCTTCTAAATCAAAGAATCTTTCTGAATACACAAAAGTGAGAAGTTATGAGTTGAGAGAGTGTTAAGAGAGTTGCTACCCAGCAGGAAACACAAATTTGATAGATCAAAAGTGAGGAAAGTGACCAAAAAAAATGAAATGATGTCAGGCTTGAACCTCATTCAGTGGAGGCTCTAAACAGTAGATAGTGTACGCATGCACACATGATAGCACTAGGTATATTCCGCTTTAGTTCCTGCTGTTTCACTTAGCATTATATCCTGGACAATTTCCTCTATCATGAGATATTCTTCAGAAATATAATTTTTAATGACTATGGTATTTATAGACATTTACACCATAACAGATGTAATTCAAACTTTTACTCAGGCTATGTGTGCTCTAACTTAGGTATCAGTTTTGAACCTAACACTAAATATATATATAATATTATTAATAATATAATATTATATATTTTATATATATATTTTGCTTTTTGAGATGGAGTCTCGCTCTATTGCTCAGGCTGGAGCACAGTGGCGTGATCTCAGCTCAATGCAACCTCTACCTCCTGGGTTCAAGTGATTTTCCTGCCTCAGACTCCTGAGTAGCTGGGATTACAGGTGTGTGCCACCACACCTGACTAAATTTTGTAATTTTAGTAGATACAGGGTTTCACCATGTTGCCCAGGAGGGTCTTGAACTCCTGACCTCAAGCGATCTGCCTGCCTTGGCCTCCCAAAGTGCTGGGATTACAGGCGTGAGCCACTGCGCCCGGCCATAACATTAACTATATTTTTAATATATAACTATAGGTAAATGAATACACCTTGGAATAATTATAATAAATAGAAAATGGAAAAATAATTTTTCTACTATTATAAGTGTGTACCTTAAATGCTGTAAGCCCCTTTACTTTCTTTCACAGCATGTTAAATATTGACTTAAGAAAACAATTTAATGAAATTAAATCATCAACTGAGTAAAAAGTAGTTAGATTTGGCTTGAAATATAAAAATAATTTATTTACAACACACCAAGAACCATGTAACAGCACTGAGTGAAATTCCAACAAATGTTTTCTCTGTATCATCTCACTTCAAGCTGGGGCCTCATTACAGAGCAAACCCTTGCTAGAGTAGAATTTGGAGCTCTTCCCCCACATTTGGGAGGAGGCTTATCTTGGCCTCCCACCTCAAACCTTGGGAGGAAGACTGTCTTTTGTAGAAATCTTCACCATGGATAACAATAAATTTCACATTTTTCTTTAATTCTGTCACAGTGAAGATACCCAGTGACCAGCAATGTGGAAGAGGAGGGGCTGCCCAAGGATAAGATAAAGGATTTGAAAGATTGTTTAGAATTCAGGGCAGAGGCAGAAATGCAAAAATTCCTGAGCTTCTGCTTCTATCCAGCCCACAAGGAAAGGGTGAGAGGCAAGTGAAAGCGATGGATGATGGTGCTGGATTTCAGAGGGAAGCCTTGTTGGTTTTGGCAATGCCTGTTCCTATTGTTAGAACACCCAGCACACTGCTGGCAACTCTCTAAAAGAATATGACAAGTTTAACATGCAAGATTAATGCTCCTCTCCTGCATCACAGGATGTTATAAATAAAGCTGTAGCTTTTTATATACTATCAAGTGGTATGCCACCCAATAGAAAGCAGATAAAGGAAACCCAGGAAAGCTAATTTTAAGAGAGGGAAAAAATGACATCACTGATGCATTTTAAACACATTTCAAAATACATTCAGAAGTGTTCACACATTGTGGGGATACAGGAAGTCTCTGGACCCATATACAAATTGTGCATATGTGTGTATGTGTGTGTGCCAGTGTGTATGTCAGTGGGTGTAACAAATATTTCGAGAGGTGACAAACAGCTCATGTATTTTACCTGTAGGAGAAAGAGTACATGTTATCATGGTAGCCCAGTTTTAAGGTAAAAATTAAGTCTTGTTCTAAATCCTTCATTTTCCAGACCAGGACCATCTCTCCCCGCAGCACATGGAACCCGGGACCCTGCCTCCTACCTGTGCTGCTGTTGCTGCTGGGGCTGGCCTGGGCGGGTGGTGGGGGCTGCCCATCACTCAGCTGCTTCACTCGTTTGCGGTGGGATTTGCCGTTGGAATGCACCTGAGCCTGGGCTGCAGAGTTCAGCTGGATGTTGCACACCTCACAGAAGGAGAAAAGAATTTTCTTTTTCTCTTTGCTCAACTGGTCCTCAGGCCTGTCGTTCTTTATCCCCTTTTCTTCAAAGCCCCGTAGAAAATTTGCCATATTCATGATTCCATCTTCAAGATGGTTGTCAGGGCTTAAGGAGTACCTCATGCCTGAAAAACAAAACAAGTACAAGTGCTTCTGAAATGATATATGCCTTATTTTCTAGTATGATTACAATTAATCTTTAAGGGTTTGTTTAAGCTAAAAGTTGCCCAGCTACCCAGTGGTTACTACTAGAAAAAAAATCATCAAAAGTACCTAAGTAAGCAAGTATGGTCTTTGAATGTGAGTTCCTTGTGCCTGGGGGTTTTTGAACAGAAGTTCCTTTCACCTGGAGCACTTTATACCCCATCCTTGCCCCTCTTCCCATCACCTCCCACCCTCTTTACTCTCTTAACTTCCCACCCATGAGATCTCAGCTGGCAAATTACCTTCCTCATGAAACCCTTTCTGACCCTGGACACAAGGCAAGATCTGGTTATATGCTCACATAGTGCTATGTGACACCTATCAGAGTATGCATTTCTTAGGCAATTGTGCAATTACTTGGCTTATGTCTGTCTCCCCATTACAGTATGAGCTCTATGAGGACAGTCACCTCGTCTCTGGATATCCCTTAGGCCTACAACTGCACCTGTTACATAATAGGCATTCAAATTTTATTGAAGAAAGGAATAAATGATGTCATGAATCTGGAATTGTGAAAATATTCATGTGTAGACACAAATATATATACAATCAGCATACACCTGGGCATATACAAACAGATACATGCCTTAACTGCAGGGCAGGTAACAAAGAACAAAATACTGTATGCCTGCAACTTACATTGGGTTGTGTTCTAAAAGTCCCTTTATAAGTCAGCTGACAGGAATTTGGACATATTTTCTTATTCTTGTAGTGAAACAAACTGTTTTTCGGTTTCCAGGTTAGCCCATAAACATCAATTTAATATTTGATGGAGTTGAAATGTAGAACATCTGAAATACAAAATAATATAAAATTTTAGTAAACTGGTAATTGAAAAGGAATGAAATAGAATAAGAAATAATTTTTTATATTTTTAAGTGTTGATGTTTTCTTCGTTTGTTTAGATAAGAGTACAGACGTAGATTATAAACTAAGGGAAGATTCGAAAGGGATTTTCAGTACTTTGAGACCCTTGGTTGATGAAGATTGCCTTGCCATTTTATTTTTTTCAGTGCCATTTTATGTAATTTTTCATTTTAGTTAATACCAGGAATACCAGCATTTTCAAAATTATCAGTGGGATTATAACAATATTTTGGTTTACAATTCGAATAAATAAAAAGACACTTCCCAAAAAGAAAGGGGAGGGGAATTTGGCAAAAATTAAGGGAAAGGGGTATGTGTGGGAAAGAATGGCTGAGGTGGCAGTGCTGTGCCATAAGAGATGAGGGGTTTATATGAAGGAAGGATCATGGCTTGTAAGGGACTTCTTATAGAACAAACTCAGGGGGAATGCAAGGTATTGGCTTTCAACAGTCCTTTTGATCCAAGTTGTCTCAGAGCTCTAAGAAAAGGAAGGAGCTACTAGAGACAAGACCCTATCTGGAGTGTTCACAAGCAGGATGTTTAAAATTCGGAAAAGGTATGACCATAAAACCAGATATTGATTCTAATGTATAGTATGCCAAAAAATCTCCTTGTTTATACCCATACATCCAATTGTGAAGGTTGTCTGAACACTGTTAATTTTGATATGCAAAACCTACTTGTCCCTTTTAATACTTTAACCTGATAATGCCATTTTAAAGAACTCTCATACACAAAATTTTCCAAGTCAATCTATTCCTTTTAGCTCCTGCCTTAAAATCTGCTCAAACTATGCAGAAATCAGGTTTAAGCAGTTCCTGTAGCTAAGCTACAGAAAATAATTCAGCTATAATTGAAATGGGGTTTGAACTGCACATAAATATTTTTGCTTTTATTCTTTAAACCTAAGATATTATGTTATCACAAAGTCACTTTTCTCATACACCTTAAGAAAATATCAGTGCCATATTAGTTATGTTCAAATATCTATATCTTCTCTTAAAATATTAAAACATATCATAAGAATTAGTTGAAATAAGTAAGTGATTTTTAAAATAAGCTCATTACTAACATTTTGCACTATCTAGAAAACTAATCCACTGTGAAACATAAGAAAAGCCAATAACGTTTAACCTTGCAGAACGAGGCCAGGCACCATCGTACTCAATCATTGAAACCTAAGCTTATATTTCAACTCAAGGAAGCAAGATCCTTGACTCAGAGGAGAACTGTTGACACTTTCATCTGAAAATTTAACCTGGAGGTGCCCAGGCTTGTCCATATTGCAGATTAACACACGGTATTTCATAGACACAAGACACACATTATAATGTTCCTATGACTTTTTTGTTTGCATTACCTTATTAAAAATAAAGCCATGTTACCTGTGCTTTTATGATTGCCATTTATCCTGGAAATTATTCTACTTTTGATTTATTTAAATATACATATTTTAAGTAGGAAGAAAGATATCTTCCATAAAAAATAAATGGCTCTTCTAGAATTCTGTAACCTCTTCAGAGTACCAGCATCCTCCATAACTTTTCAACCCTATTTTACCTTCTCCAAGAGTTATTCTCACAAGTGGTCTCCCAAACCTCCAACACCGCATTCATGGGCCACTCTAGAAAAGACCCAATGCCTGGGGGTGGGGTATGCATTCTGTTCACCAAATCCCAATTTATTAGTCCTAGTTCTGGCTTCACACTTCCCTCTTTCTCAGGGGAAAAATAAGATCAGCTTCTGTTAACAGCCACTTGCAACCAAAGTATATTTAGCTGCAGAGGTCTTGGGAAAATGACCTAGAGGTGGCAGAGAGGCAAGATATCAGAGTCTCAGCATCCACTTTTGGCCTGAGATGATATAATTTCTAGGCTTATAATATGTGTGAATGTGATAACATTTATAATGTCAGCTTTCTTGCTAAGGGGAAACTAACAGTGAGTTTAAATGGAAGAAGAGAGAAAAATCTCACTTTCTATTTTAAATTTTTTCATCAGACTATCTTAATTACATGTTTCACTTGAGTGGGAGAGAAGGACCTTCGGGGGTGTCTGATTTTAAACAGAGCAGTGGGCAGCACTGTGCTTTGGACTGCCAGGAATGAGTGTAAGAAAAGTCAGGACAACTGAACCAAAAACTCTATGCTTTTTTTTGTATTATTTTACCAGATTAGATGACCAACAACTTAACATTCATAAGAGAATAAGACATTTTAGTGCAGGCAAAAGAATGAGAAAATGTTGGTCCTTGAGTTGCTGCTTTTGGAGGAAAGAGCTGATGAATTCAAACTGGACAGTCAGGGAATTTCCACAGGAGTGATTTTAAATCACTAGGATGCAATCCGTCAGGAAATTTTCCAATGTTACAACTTTCCCTAGGATTTTCCCTGACCTGCATTGTTATCCAATTGTTTTCTATAATAATTTGAAAAAAAAAGGAAACTGATCCAGAGGTAAAGACATCTCTGTTGCATATGTACAGCAATACATTCTTTGACTCAAGAGTGGCCACATCAGATGGAGAACAAGAAACTGCCTCCCTTCTATGTAAGTGTGAAAAGGCTCATTCCTCAACTCAAGTCAATCGGTTTTATCCACTTCCCATTCATTCCTTAACCCCTAACAACTTGGCTTGCAACTCCTTTCCACAGGTAGTGCTTGTCTTTGCAAAGTCACTATAAACACTTCTAATTGCCAATTCCAAGATGGCAGTTTCCTTCCTCCCCACTTTTCCTGATGTCCTCGTGATGCTCCCTCGCTCGAGTCTCTTCTCACCTCTGCACTCCTGAGGCATTGTGTTCACAAAGTTAGCACAACACACAATTCTTATATTATTGGTTTAATTATTTATATAGTTTTATGACATATATATGGTTTTACTTATTGACTCACTCATTTCAGTATATTGTTACAGAATAGGTAGGCAGAGGGCAAGACGCCAGGGAGAAAACAGTGAACACGGTCAAGGAGATGTCTCAGGGGACCAAACAATCCAATGAGAAATACAGAGGAGAAAACAAGAAATTACAATAAACTACAATAAATTCTTTGGAAAGGTATACATTTTCCTCCCTTGCTAGTTTTCAAGCTCCTTGAGTATAAAAACTATGTTTTATTCATCTTTGTATCCTCAGCATCTAAGATTGTGTTTTGTATAAAATAGGCACTTAATAAATGTTGGCTGAATAAATGAATGGCTGTATTTGTGTGGGAGGGTTTAAGGTGAGCGGGATGGGAGGTGAGTGTGATGTGTGTGTATATGTGCTTTATGTGTTTGTGGTCTGTGGTACATGTGATGTGTGGTTTGCGTGTGGGGTGTGTGTGGTATGTGCGGGGGTGTATAGGTGTGGAGTGTGTGTGATATGTGTGTGGTTTGTGTATGGTATATGTGACTGTGATGTGTATGAATGTGGTGTGCATGGGGTATGTAGTATATGTAGTGTGTGTGTGGTCTGTGTGTGGGATGTACGGGGAGTGTAGGGGATATGTGGGTATAGTGGAGGGTGTGTGTGTGTGGTATATGTGGCATGTGTAATATGTGTGTGGTATGGGCATGGGTGTATACGTGTGTAGCACTGGTTGTGAACACAGTAACCAAGGTCAATGTTTTCTTTTTTTTGTTTGTTTTAAGATGGAGTCTCGCTCTGTCGCCCAGGCTGGAGTGTAGTGGTGCCATCTTGGCTCATTGCAACCTCTGCCTCCTGGGTTCAAGCAATTCTCCTTCCTCAGCCTCCTGAGTAACTGGGACTACAGGGGCACACCACCACGCCCAGCTAATTTTTGTATTCTTAGTAGAGACAGGGTTTCAACGTTGGCCAGGATGGTCTTGATCTCCTGACCTTGTGATCCACCTGCCTCAGCCTCCCAAAGTGCTGGGATTACAAGTGTGAGCCACCGCACCCGGCCAAGGTCAATGTTTTCTAATTATTTTAGCTTGTATGTGGGCTAAGCCCACAGCTGTTTGCATTTTGAGATCAGGAATGGTAATAACGGTGTGCTCCCCAAGGAAAAAGTATCATCACTCATCTGCAAACTAAAATCCCAACTGTTTAGGACAGTCTTTCATCTTGTAATTAAAAATAAGGCTTAAAGTTCAAATTCTGACAAAACATGGGTATATTGTGTCAGCATCCATGTGACATTAGCCCTTTCCTGCAACCAACTTTCTCAGGAAATGGAACACTGGGTATTGTGGGAAAGTTTGGGGAATACTTTCTGAAGATTAAAACACATAGATGGAGAAGATATAGGGCTCTGGCATTGCTTTTTACCCATTTAACTATGTTGAAATGCCTTGTACTGCCTCCTGATCTTCTGCTGCAAAGGGAGGCAAAAAGTTGAGTTCTGAGTACCAGATTATACACAATTCCTTTCCCCAAAATAGAGTTTCAGAGAAAACTAAAAGGTCAGTAGAGAGGGTTCATTTCATTGAATGTTTTGGTATATTTCATAATAGGATTCAGATATGGAAGGCTATATTTGATCCAATTCAACTAATCATTTATTAAACACTGATTATAGACAATATGCTATACTTGGCCCTATGGTAAAAGAAATGTATAAAATTAAGAACCTTAAAAAATAAAAAGCTTGTAATAAACCAGAAGAGGCAATCCTTCTGCTACTCATTGTTTAGGAAAGTGACTGTGGAGAACTCTCTGCATAACAGTCCCCAAAATACTTTGAACTTCTTACATTGGAATGAAATTATTCCTTAGCAATTGATTTCACTAGACAGTTCATTGGTCTCATTTTTTTCCCCAAGTACTTACTGGCACTTTATTGAGTGCTAGTGAAATAGATTTTAATTGGGGTGCTCTGGTCTAGTGTGAATCCCAAGAGATTGGGATTATTTGACATCAATGGCTGAGTCAGAAAAACTGACATTTAAATGTTTCTAGCAGTTTGTTTCCCTTGGGGAAAAATTTTGAACTCAGCTTTGGAGGCACACTGCTTCTTTATTTTGGAAAAAGCATCTTAGAGGATCTTCGTATTATGTGAAGGTAAAGCATAGACTCTATTCTGTAATGGAGACTCTGGAGATAATATAGCTCCAAGGAACTTAAACTGCTTTCCACAATCATATGAAAGGTTGTCTTCACTGTGACACAGCTGCTTCTCTGCAAATTATCTTTTCTTTCATAAAATATTTCTTTCCTGCAAGTGGATTTAAATTGTATCGTCCCTGAAAGTTTTTGTTAGATACTGGGAGATGAATGTGTTCAAGCAGTTAACTACAGGAGATCAGTGGAGACTGGAAGCTGCAAGAACATGACCACATCTTACCTCTGAAAGAACAGCCTGGAACTGTTGAAGCTCAAACTGGACTATATTGCATGAACCTCATATTTGGGGTCATTCCTGATTGAATAAACCCAACTTTGGAGAAAGCAGTGATGTTGTTCTGAATTATCCTAAGAACTAAAGAGAAAGATCACACCTCTGTGGATGGGTGCGAGAAGGAAGAGATGTTTTCACTGTCAGTCTTACCAGAAGATTGACAGGGGGCAGGAAATGGACACTGAGAGGTATGAGACTATGACTGTCTCTGGGCCTGAGGGAACAGGAGGCCTAGGATCTAGACATGTGAATCTTGTTCCAGGCATTCCTGCTGTGGAAGGGTAAGCTGACCCTTGAAATGGGGTGACAGGCCTGAGACTGGGCAGAGAAGACTTTGCACAATACAAAACACCTAAGGAGGGTTTTAGTCCATGAACTCAGGGAACCCCCATATCTATTTACAATTGTTGAATTATCCTCTTGTATAACATCCCGCACCTTTTAAAAAAATCTTCAAACCATAACTGTGAAGTCATGCAAACATCACAGTTGGTCTTCCTATTAGTGGGGGAATTGTGCAAGAGTCTGGGATGGCATCTGGGGTGAAAGCCATATATGGGAGAGTAGGAGCAATGGGCTGAGGGATGCTCGTGACCAACAACAAGGAAGGCAGTGGTCCAAAGCTACACAGCTGGTTAAGATGTTGAACAACAACTGGCTTGGGATATCTCAGGGGCTCAAAAAATGTTCAGGGCGGGAAAACTGATAAAACATTGGAATTCTTGCAGCTAGTAGGGGAGATATTTGAACTATTTTTTGAATTAGGTAATATGATGGGCAAACAGGCTGGGACATTTATGTTACCTAAATGTAAAGAAGATAAGTTTACTTTATTCTCACTTATTATTGTAGATCCAAAGCCAATCAGATGTCTAGCACTTAGAAGGTTCTCCATAAATCTTTGACAAAATAAAATAAGTGCTATGATTAATTCAGCTACAGTTCAGCTTCAGCCAAAAGCTGATAGTTAATTTGTTCCTGGCCTTCAGAAGACCCAACTGTTTAATGTCTATGTAAATCAGTATCTTTTCTGGCATACTTGATCATCAAAGTATCTCAAGTTATGATCATATACAAATAGCGTAATGATGTCAATAATGAGAACAAGGAATGGATTTTATTTTTAATGCAAGAATATCAATTGTATATGTGTATTTCAGATAAAACTAGAATTGAAAGTACTAATTTATGCTTATGACATTGAGACTCTATCAGTAGAAGGAAAAATATTTCTTCTTACAAACATAAAATGTCACAATAATTAACATGAAAGCTATTAATTTCATGAAAAAACAATTACAAAAATTCTTAATTAGTTAAATAGAAAAATAAATTGACAGCTAAATGTAGCACTAGCTAAATAACTATGGACAAAACATATACATACTTTGAAATACACATATCTATAAACAAATACTATTAGGATGGAAATCAGATTATACTATAACTAATATTTGTAATGATAATAAATAAATACTTAAGCACTATATTTTTTAATTTCATGATGGCATTAACTTTTCTAGGAAAAAAGGAATCTATTTGAGAATTATTCTCATCTTTTAAAGATGAATTAAAAGCAAAAGACCAGCTTTGCTACCTCTAAATAAATTATTACCTCAAAGAGATAATTAAGTAATACTTAACTCATAATACAAGTTTTACTTCCTTATATCAAGAGGTTTTTTTTTTTTTTTCTTTTTGGGATGGATGCTTGCTCCGCTGCCCAGGCTGGCAGGCAGTGGCACGATCTCGGCACACTGCAACCTCTGCCTCCTGGGTTCAAGCAATTCTCCCGCCTCAGCCTCATGAGTAGCTGGAATTACAGGCATGTGCCACCATGCCCGGCTAATTTTTGTATTTTTAGTAGAGACGGCTTCACCATGTTGTCTGGGCTGGTCTCAAACACCTGACCTCAAGTGATCTGCCCACCTCAGCCTCCCTGTCAAGAGGTTTTTTTTAATCATAGAATTGGGCTTTATTCTTAGTCAAATATTGATTTTAACACTTAGCTTTTGGTATTCAACCAAAATGTGTATACGGTATACCTCTAGCTATGAGAAAGAACAATCTTTATTGGCTGGGCTCCATAGTCTTCTTTATATGAGGAAGTCTAGATTCCATTCTCCATCTGCCCTGCATGGCACTGCTGTGCAGCATGAAACAGCAGCAGAGCACAAGACAGCAAACTGCAAAACATAACCAACATAAAAACCTGGGCAAGGGCAGATCTCGCAGCTCTGTTCCTCCCACTACGACTGCCAGGGCTGGAATGTAACCATAAACACTTTTCTAAGAGGGTCCAGGAAGCACTCCAGCAAGTCAACAGCTGAGTCTTCCTGGGAGGTGGGACCGAGCTCTACCTGCTATGGAACATTCTAGGGGTGGAAGGCAACATAGGCAATTGAATGGATGGATTCCTACAAGACAGACCCATCCATCAAAGAAGTAATATTTTCAGTTCTTTGAATTCTCATGTCATCTTTACAAGTTTACAAACAAGAATGGTATTCTCTGGATTTTGTTTTGTGGGAAAGTACAGGTAGAGTCAAAGAGAACACATTACATAGCTTAGTATTATTTCCAGTCATAATTTCCATGTAGTCCATCTAGACACATTTTTGAAATTATTGCATTTTTATTTATTATAAAAATAATTTTTATCATTCTAGAAATTTTGGAAAATACAAACAACATAAAAAAGATTGGAGAAAAATCTTCCATATTCCTACCAAAGTGAACCACAGTTTGTTACATGTGCATAACAACAACAAAAAAAGGTGAACCACAAACATTACATGTTTACTTCTGGTCTTTTTCATTTATAATTGATACATAATAATCATTCATGTTTATTTCTAGCCTTTTAAACATGCATATGATTTTCACAGAGTTCTGGTTAAACAACACAGACTTGCCAAGGGTTGAAATACATAAACGTATTGGGGCTGAGCTCTTAAATTGATTATATTTACCTACAATTTCATCAATTTCATTAACAAGAAGTTGATGTTCTTTTTTCCTCTGGTATAGATCAAATGCAGCTATAACCAGTATTCTAAAAAACACAGTGCTGTAACAGGGGTTGCCTTGGTCAGGGCAGTCAGACAAGATGTGATGATGATGAAACCAAGAGCTAAAGAATGAAGAGCAGTAGAGGGAAAAACACTGCAGGCAAAGGAGATCCTATGTGCACAGGTCCGGAAGCAAGACGAAAGATGGCAGATGTGACAAACTAAAAGCAGCCCAGTTCATCTAGAGCAGAGAGAGCAGGGCAGAATGAGATGTGAAATAAAGCTGCAGAGCAGAGCAGGGCCTGGTTGGTCATGCAGGCCTTTGCAGGCAATGTGAGCTGTCAGTCTAGGGAAAGTGCAGAAGTGCCTTAAACTGGGGGCCTGATATGATCAGATTTCAGCTGTGAAAAAAATCACAACTGGATTCAAAAACAGGGTGCAGAGTAGAGAGGGTGTCATGTGGATGTGGACAAGTTCAGGACTATTACAATTTTCCAGGCAAGAGAAAATGGCACCTGGACCTGGAGGGTGATTGTGACAGCAGTGGAAAAAGTGGATGAATTCCAAACACTTGGAGAAGAAACATCCCATCCACATGTCTTGCTGGTGGATTAGCTGGGCCTGGGGGCAGAGGGAGAGACTAGTGTCAGGGATGACTCCATGGTTCTAACCCGATTGGGTCTTGAAAGTACCTGGGCACAAAAAAATGATGAGTGTGTGAGGTAATTGATATGTTACTTACCTTAAGTTAGCCATTCCACAATGTACCCATATATTAAAATATGATGTTTATATATTTTTTTATTCATTAAAGAAATAATTTTTAAGTACCTAGGACAGTTTTTAAAAATATTGATGCCAGATTCCCATCTCTAGAGATTCTGATTTAATTGGTCTGCTGCTGGGGTTGGAGGAGAGGGTAAGTGGTTGCGGCAGCTGGGCCTAGGAGCATAAACCTTCCCAGGTGATTCTAATGGGCAGCCAATGTTGAGAACCACTGCGCTAAAGATTGCCGCTATTTGAGAGTAGGTTCTTTTCTAGTCTGAGACTCTACTAGGCAGCCACCAACAGACTTTACCCTGCCACCAACAAGATGTGGAAAGAGCATTTGATTGCTTCATGTTAGAGAATGAACAGCAGTACTTCCAGGGTCTCCTTAGCCCCTAGAAAAGACACAAAAGTCCAGGCTGTTTGTCCCAGAACCCTCTTCTCAGATCATAGATGCTTCCCTCTCATCTCTAAGGCACAGGAGTCCCAGAGGGCTGGCAGGATGGGGCCTCCTGACCCACATCATGGCTGGGAAGCTAGAGTCCCATATAAAATTCTCAGGAGCTAAGCCCAGCTCTCATTCTCTAATTTGCAGAATTTCTTTGAGTAAACATCACACTGCCTCTCTGCTTCCTTCCGTTTTCTGTTTTCCACATTCCATTCTGCCTCCTTGCAGTAATTTTCACTTGGTTCCCAACACATACCTGGAACTAAATTAAATGTGCCATGATCTCGTTTGGACTTCATCCTTGATTGTAGACAACTTCCCTACTAATTCCTTTCTCTCTAAGAAAATTTTTTATTCCAAACATCACAATAGGGTATTCTTCCTAACTCCTCCTGAAAGGTTTGCTGACAATATGTATTTAGAAAATCAAGTATATGTAAGGATAATTTTTCCAAAACTGACATTTAGAAATATTTGAGAAATTTTAATTTAGGATAACTTATTCCCAAAGACAACTGTTTTCTTAGGCAATAAATTTATATTGTACTTGTAATAAAATAATCAAACTTACACAGGCTAGTCAAATGACTAATCAGATAAATAACACTTTTCCCAGGGAAAATGCTAAATTGAACAAAATGCCCAGTCAACAGATTAAACTGGGACTGCCCCAGGTAAAATGGAGCATGTGGTCACCCTATGCTCAAAATTACTTTGCATTTTCATATTACAAAACTAACTTATTTATTCTCCCCAATTAATCTGTAGATTCAATGCAATCTTAACCAAAGTCCTGGCAGGTTTACTTTTTGGAAACTGACAACATGATTCTGAAATGTATATAAAAGGTAAAGGAACCAAGAATAGCCAGGGCAATTCTGAAGAACAATGAAGATGCAGGACTTACACTAAGAGACATCACAGCATATTATGAGGCTCTATTAATTAAGACAGTCTGGTTTTGGCCCAAGGAAAAGTAACCTGACCAATGGAACAGAAGGAAGAGTCCAAACACACACACACACCGACATACATATATTCACCTGATTTATGACAATACTGACAAAGGTAACTTACGACAAAGTGGTAAAAGGATAGTAATTTCAATGAATGGAGTAAGTTGCTTGAATATACATATTGGACAAATTATCTTGATCTTTACCTTCACTGTATGTCAATTCCAGAAGGATTGCAAATCTAAATGTTAAAGAAAAAATAATAAAGTTTTTAAAGGAAAAGAGAACATCTTCATGACTCTGGAGTAGGCAAAGACATAGAAAGTATTAACTATAAGAGAAAAAATTGGGATACACTAAAATTAAAATTGTTTCTTCAAAGAAAAACAACCAACATAAACTACTACGAACACCTCTATATACTCTATATACACAAAGTAGAAAGCCTAGAAGAGATGAATAAATTCCTGGACACATTCATCCTGCCAAGACTGAGCCAGGAAGATATTGATTCCATGAACAAACCAATAACAAACTCTGAAATTGAATCAGTTGTAAATAGCATATCAATAACAACAACAATAAAGCCCAGGACCTGATGGATTCACAGCCAAATTCTACCAGATATACAAAGAAGAGCTGGTACAATTCCTATAGAAACTATTCCAAAAAATTGAGGAGGAGAGACTCCTCCCCAGCTCATTCTGTGAGGCCAGCATCATCTTGATACCAAAACCTGGCACAGGCACATACACAGAAAAGGAAACTTTCAGGACAATATCCTTGGTGAACATTGATGCAAACATCCTCAACAAAATACTTGCAAACTGAATCCAGCAGTACTTCAAAAAGCGAATCTACCATGATAAAGTAGGCTTCATCCCTGGGATGTAAGGTTGGTTCAACACATGCAAATCAATAAATGTGATTCATCACATAAACAGAACTAAAAAGAAAAAACACATGATTATCTCAATAGACACAGAAAAGGGTTTTGATAAACTTCAACACCCCTTCATGTTAAAAACCTGCAATAAACTAGGTATTGAAGGAACATATCTCCAAATAATAAGAGCCATCTATGACAAACCCACAGCAACATTTTACTGAATGGGCAAAAGCTGGAAGCATTCTCATTAAAAACCAGCACAAGACAAGGATGCCCTCTCTCACCGTTTCTATTCAACATAGTATTGGAAGTCCTAGCCAGAGCAATCAGACAAGGGAACAAAATAAACGGCATCCAAATAGGAAAAGAGGAAGTCAAACTATCTGTTTGCAGATGATATGATTCTATATCTAGAAAACTCCATAGTCTCAGCCAAAATCTCCTTCAGCTGATAAACAACTTCAGCAAAGTTTCAGGATATAAAATCAATGTACAAAAATCACTAGCATTCTTATACACCAATAATAGCCAAATTGAGAGCCAAATCAGAAAGGCAGTCCCATTTACAACTGCCACAAAAAGAATTAAAATATCTAGGAATACCTTTAACCAGGGAGGTGGAGGATCTCTATGATGAGAATTATAAAACACTGCTCAAAGAAATGAGAGAAGAAACAAATTAATGGAAAAACATCCCATGCTCATGGATAGGAAGAATCAGTATCATTCAAATGGCTATACTGCCCAAAGCAATTTACAGATTCAACGCTATTCCTATCAAACTACGAATGACATTCTTCAGAGAACTAGAAAACAATCTTTTAAAATTCATATGGAACCAAAAAATAGCCCGAATGGCCAAGGCAATCTTAAGCAAAAAGAGCAAAGCTGGAAGCATCACATTACCCAACTTCAAATTATCCTACAGGACTACAGTAACCAAATAGCATAGGACTGGTACAAAAACAGGTGCTTTGACCAATGGACCAGAATATAGAGCCCAGAAATAAGGCCGTACACCTACAACCATCTGATCTTTGACAAAGCTGACAAAAACAAGCAATGGGGAGTAGAGTCCCTATTCGATAAATTGTGCTGCGATAACTTGCTAGCCATATGTAGAAGATTGAAGCTGGATCCCTTCCTTATACCATCAACAAAAATCAACCCAAGATGGATTAAAGACTTAAATGTAAAAGCAAAGACTATAAAAACCCTGGAAGACAACCTAGGCAATACCATCCTGGACATAGGAACTGGCAAAGATTTCATGACAATGACATCAAAAGCAATCACAACAAAAACAAAAATTGCCAAGTGGGATCTAATTAAACTGAAGAGCTTCTGCACAGCAAAAGAAACTATCAACAGAGTAAACAGACAACCTACAGTATGGGAGAAAATATCTGCAAACTATACATCTGACAAAGGTCTAGTATCTAGCATCTATAAGGAATTTAAACAAATTTACAAGAGAAAAACAACTCCATTAAAAGTGGGCAAAGGACATACCAGTCACTTCTCAAAAGAAGACATACATGCAGCCAAGAAGCATATGAAAAAAAGCTCAATGTGACTGGTCATTAGAGAAATGCCAATCAAAATGAGATACCATCTTACACCAGTCAGAATGGTAATTATTAAACAGTCACAAAATAACAGATGCTGATGAGGTTGCAGAAAAAAGGAACACTTATATATACTGTTGCTGGGAGGGTAAATTAGTTCAACCATTGTGGAACACAGCATGGTGATTCCTCAAAGAGCTAAAAGCAGAACTACCATTTGACCCAGCAATCCCATTACTGGGTATATACCAAAAGGAATATAAATCATTCTGTCTTAAAGACAAATGCACATGAATATTCACTGCAACACTATTCACAATAGTAAAGACATGGAATTAACCTAAATGCCCATCAATGACAGATTGGATAAAGAAAACGTGGTAAATGTATGCCATGGAATATTATGCAGCTGTAAAAAAGAATGAGGTCATGTCTTTTGTGGGAACATGGATGGAGCTGGAGGCTATCATCCTTAGCAAAGTAATGCAAGAACAGAAAACGGAATACTGCATGTTCTCACTTATAAGTGAGATGATAAGAACTTGTGAACACAAACAAGGAAACAGCAGACACTCGGGTCTACTTTAGGGGGAAGAATGGGAAGAGGGAGAGCAGCAGAAAAGCTAACTATTAGGTACTGGGTTTAATACATGAGTGGTGAAATAATCTGTACAACAAACCCTTGTTCATGTGTTTACCTATGTAACATACTTTCACATGTACCCTCGAACCCAAAATACAAACTAAAAAAAGAAAAAAAAACTGTTGCTTCATCTGAATACACCATTCAGATATTTAAGAGACAACTCCCAGAGTGGAAAAAGATATTTGCAATACATATATACAACAAATTACTCTCATATGAAAACTTTAAATCAACAAGCAGAAAACCCAACAGAAAAATGAACAAAAACTGTGAATTCAGAAAAGACATCCCAATGGCAAATAAGCATGTGAAAAGGCACTCCACCTCATTTGTCATCGGGGAAATGCAAATTAAAGCCACAATGTGATATGATTATCTTCACCAGAATGGTTAAAGTAAAAATGACAGAAAATATGTGTTTCATGAAGATGTGCAGCAACCAAAACTTGTATACGCCGGTGGAAGTATAAAGTGGTACAGCCATTTTGGAAATTGCCAATGTCTACTAAGCTAAGCATATGTATCCTCTAAGACCCAGCAATTTTATTCTTAGGTATACTATATCCAACAGAAATATGTAGATATATTCACCAAATGGATACATATTCACTATAATGTTCATAGAAGCACTACTCATAATAGTTCCAAACTCAAAAGTACCCAGACATAATATAATGTATTTACCCATTCACAGAATCTCAAGATAAATATTGAGCAAAATAAGCCAGTCCAGAAGTTTACAAATTATACAATTTCATCTATTTACATAAAGCATGAAAACATGTAAAACAAATCAATGCTCTTAGAAGTCAGGCTAGTCATTAGCTTCGAGGAGTGGAGGTTCAAAGGGAAGGTTAATGACTTGAAGTAAGCACAAAGCAGACTGATACATGTTCAAATTGAGGTATACTCAATTTGTAGAAATCCATTGATCTATACATTTACAACAGGCATACATTTCTGGATATAAACTATACTTCAATAAAATTTTTAAAATCTATATGCTCACAAAGAAAACGTATTATTTAAGAAATACATTTTGAAAGGCTATGGCTGCCATCAATAGTGAGTCCTCTGGTGAATCCAAAGAAAATAAATCTGGAAAGGATTTGCCATTTCGATGCCATTAAGAACATTTGTGATTCATAAGAGGAGCTCAAAATATCAACATTCACAGGAATTTGGAAGAAGTTAATTCTAATCCTCATGGATAACTTTGAGGGGTTCAAGAAACACTTAAGTGGAGGAAGTAACTGCAGGCGTGACGGAAATAGCAAGAGAAGTAGAATTAGAAGTGGAGGCTGAAAATGTGACTGAACTGCTACAATCTCATAACAAAATTTTAATGAATGAGGAGTTGCTTCTTACGGATGAGCAAAGAAAGTGGTTTCTTGAGATGGAATCTTGGTAAAGATGCTGTGAACATCGCTGAAATGACATTAAATAGTTTAGAATATTTCATAAATTTACCTGATAAAGCAGCAGCAGGTTTTGAGAAAATTGACTGCAATTTTGAAAGAAGTTCTAATGTGGATAAATTGTTATCAAACAGCATTGCATGCTACAGAGAAATCTTTTGTGAAAGAAAGAGTACATCGATGTAGCAAATTTCATTGTTGTGGTTTAAGAAATTGCCACTGCCACCCCAACCTTCAGCAAGCACCACCCTGATCAGTCAGCAGCAGTCAACACTGAGGTAAAACCCTCCACCAGCAAAAACATTATGACTCACTGAAGGCTCAGATGATCATTAGCATTTTGTAGCAATATTTTTCAATTAAGGTATGTACATTTTTTAGATGTGATTAGATTATAGCATAAGCATAACTTTTACATGTGCTGAGAAACCAATAAATCTGTGTGGCTTGCTTTATTAGGATAGTTGTTATTTATACTGTGGTGGTCTGGAATCCAACCCATGATATATCTGAGGTATTGCTGTATTTTTAGAGTATATTTGTCTAGTTTTATAAATGTAATTATATATTTACAAAAATCCGATTGCTCTGCATATGATTTTGTTTTCCACTTTTTCAATTATGAATATCTTTCCATGCATTAAATATTCATGTTCAACATCATAAGAACAACAAAATACAATATAGAGATAATTTAGCCAAACTGAGGTCTGATTCCTGGGTTGTAGGGACCCTAGGAGGAAAGAACACGGGTAAGACTAGAGAATCTTAGGTAACCCCCCTAAGGCACTGGTAGCCACTTGTCCCAAATACCTTCAGATGTAAGAGGCTTAGGGACCACCTAAAACCACTTCATCTTCCCTGGAGCCTAAAGGCAGTGATATGACAGGTTTCTTTCTTTTTCTTTTTTTTTTTTCATTTTTGACTATTTAAAGATATTTAGAATATTTTTTGTTTTTGTATTTGTGCCTTCATGTATATCCATGATTATTCCCTTAGGATAAGTTTTTGGAAGTAGAATTCCTAGGTGTACTTTTAATATATATTGCCAATTTGATCTCTAGATTAGCTATACCAATTTACACTTCTATCAGCAGTGTATGAGAGTGTTTATTTCTTACTCTCACAATACTGAGAAAGCTGGTTAAAGAACTCAGTCAATCTGAAAAGCACAGCATATTTTCAAACGCACTTATTTGCAATAATTGAGTAGTTTTTCACACACGTATTAACCATGTATTATAGCTTTTATTTGTGAATTTCCTATTCATGACCTTTGTTTTTTTCCCCACTGGAACTTATATTTCATTATTATGATGGATTTTTTTTGTATATTTAACACATAAACTCTGTCTCTCAAATATTTACAAACATTATCCCATTTATCTTTAATTTTGTTCGTAATGATTTTTGGATCATTATGGATGTATTTAAGTTTTTATTTTTAATATATTCAAATCTACCCACCTTTTCATTTTTGACCTCTGCCTTCAGCTTAGAAAAATTGTTCCCTGCTCTATGTTATAAAAATTCTTAATATTTAAAAATAATTTTATATTTGTCATTATAGTTTTAAACATGGTACGTAGTAGAAAATATATAGAAGTATAGAAGCCTTAAAACCAATACAATATCTCTTAATATTGGTATAGAAGCCTTAAAACCAATACAATATCTCTTAATATTAAAACCAATACAATATCTCTTATAAGGACATATGGCATCTTGGACTACTGTGTAAATGGCTGTGGCCACTATTGGGTATTTACATTGAAAGCCAATCGGGAAGGGGGAAGATAATAGAATGAAAGCTTCTTGTTAGACACTAGTAAAATATTTCTTCTTAAAGACTGTCCTCCTCTTCAACTCGTTGAAACGGTCTAGGCTGTATCTTGGAGACCATTCCAGTGTAATCTTATCAGAAGCAGAACAGGGCTGTCCAGTTTCCATTCTAGGGCTCTGACTCTAAAGGAGCTGAACACATGTTCAATCAGTAACATCTGTCCAGCTTTTCCAATATACTTCTCTCCTTACTTCACCTGCAAGCTGTGGACACTAGGGGTTTGCCTATTTCACTGCTCTGAAAGCTAAAAGATAAATTGTGAAACACAGCAACTATCAGATAAAGGAATGGCTCTATAATTAATTCACTGAAACAAATTTTAGGTATCATTTACCACTTGTTCTTTTTAAAAGTCACAGAAGTTGTATTAATTGTGTAGCAGATGCAAGGTTTTATCTGTAATCATTTAAACATAGAGAGAATATAAGCTTTCTGATAAGCTTCTTCAGGTCAAAAAGTGTAACTTATGACACTAACGTGATTTTCATTCTTTTCCTCTGTTACAATATTTTAAAACTTGGTCTGGAAGAATTGAAAATACAATGTTGGATGTACACACATGCGTGCACACACACACGCACACACACATAATTAGGTAACAGTTAATTTGGAAACATCAGTGAGTTTGAAGTCAGTACCTCCTGTGAGCAATATTTTCTGGTCCTTTGGCAGGTTCTTATCTTCCCCTTGCAGTTACCCTATTACAAGCTACTGCAACTAATAAGTAACAAAGATAGATTTAGACCAGAGACTTTGTTCTATTGGGTCAAAGCATGCAGCAAATGTAACATGCTCAAGAGTAACATGAGAAGAAAATAGCAATTCCTGAGGCTCCCTTGAGAGTTCAGAACACCAGGTCAAGACTAAAAGTGGGCAGCTTTGGTGGGTATGATATGGCTGTCAGGAAATGAACCTGCAAACTTTGCTGAAGAAATTATTCCCAAAAGTACTACAGTCAGAAGATGGCCCAATTACTGAGAAGAAGGTCAGGTATATAAAAGACAATGATGAGAACAGGCCACAAAGACTCAATATCAGAGCAATTGAGATTGTCAGACATTTGATTCTAAGAATCAAAATCCGAGACTGTTCAGAAGAGAACAGAAGAAAATGCCTTGTTGAACATCAGTGTTATGATGGTCCTGGGGCATGACCCACTCTCCAGGCTGCAAACAAAAGAGGATGCTCCTGTGACCTGTTCATTTTGTCATCACCCCGCTGCAAGTTGGAGTTGATGTGAAATAGAGAAGGCTGCCCAGAAAGAGGATGTGTGGAACAAGAGCCTGATGAAAAGCTGATTTTGCTTGAACTTTTAATTTATTGTCACTCCTGCTACCTGTTCTTTCCATATTGATTTTCTTTTGAATAGTCTTTTGTCCTTTTATAATTGATCTT
The DNA here is from genome assembly GCF_000001405.40 of Homo sapiens. Lineage (NCBI taxonomy): Eukaryota > Metazoa > Chordata > Mammalia > Primates > Hominidae > Homo > Homo sapiens. The sequence goes on from NC_000002.12 coordinate 179,789,033, forward strand.
TTAAAAGTTTCCTTGTCAAATATCTCCACTGCCTCTAATGTTACATTTGATGACATTTAAAGTCTTCATGTTCTCACTTTCCCCATAAAAGAAGTGGTCGACTTTGACTTAATTCTATTATAGAAAAAAAAACCCTGGAAAATAGTGAAAAACAAACTTACTTGTTGCCCCTAAGTGTAATTGTTAAATCTACTCTAAAAATGTTCATAAAGTACATTCCCCACTATTTTTAGATAGGTTCTTAAATCAAAGTTAAGAAGTTGTTAAAATCACTGTGACTTACACATAGAAAAAACTTTGAGAAAGAACAGCATGCATAGAATTTGTTCAGCCACTGAAACAAATCTTAATATCCTCGGGTGACTATATCAGACTGTAGACCAATTTCATGATTTTCAAATATATAAATGGGTACAAGGTATTTTCAATATATAGGCAGCTGGCAGTCAACCATCCAATCACCTAGGGACTATAGAGAAGATGACAGGCAAGAATAAACTGGACTGAATTTGTTGTTTTGAATTCTTGGGATACCATGTTCATATCAACAAGCAAAATTTAAATGGTATTATACAACCAAGAAAAATTGAGAGGACTGTAAACCATTTTGAAATGAAGCATCCAAATGCCTGCCTGGTGAAAGCACATTGAAGCATCTGTCAAACTTCTTTCCTCTCTCCTCTCACCTCAATGACGCAGATGAGGAGCATAAAACATACTAAAATACTAAACTATTTGTAGCATGTTGGGATAATTTTAAAAGGACTCGTGCCAAACATAAGAGAAGTTTGCCTATTTGGGGATGGGAGGGCGGAAATGGAAATATAAGGAAATAAATATAAGAAAAGAGCCTCTCATGAACCAGTAATGAGTATTAACATGTTATGATTTGAGGAGCATAATTAACTCAGTTCTCTACATCTGAGGTTAGAAAAAAGAAAAAAAGATCAGAAACAACTTTTCCTTTGAAATCATTCCTTGATGATGAATATTGTAGTATTATGTTCCATGACAACTGGCCCATGTAAGATTCTTGATTAGCTCTAAGTAGGGCATTAAGTAGCTTAGTCTGGTTATAAGCAGAACAAGTGAGAAAACTCCCTGAGGTGTTGCTAACTATGGATCTCAGTTCCTTCCATTCTTACACTAATGAAACAAAATTGAAAAGAGGAAATATTTGCTTTGGAAGATTTCTCCTCTTTTGCCTTTTCATATATTTATTTCCTAATGCTCTTATGCTTCACCCTGCACTACCACTCAAGCTCACCCCTGAATTAATTCACATTGTTGTTATTGACTGACAGTGACATATTTGTCAGAAAGAAATGACTCTCCAGTGCAGCTGTGTTTAATGCAAGTACACATCAGAAACACCCAGTAAGCTTTTACCCAAATCCACATGCCCAGGCCTGTAGTGTCTGATTCAGTAAATTTGGCATTTGTGTAATTGATGGAATGGGGCAGAAAGAAATAAAAGTACTTCTTGAAATGCTAAGAAACTTGTGTGTTCAGATGGTTCTGAGTAGTTATCCAATAGTGTCTCTCCACTTCCCAGTCCCACTATATCAGATGTAAAGACTTCTAAGCCATTCTCCTACTAGGAACAGGAGAACAGTACTACTCCCTATTGTACCACTCACCTGTTCCACCACCTAACAAATACTCTCATGGTCATGTGGAAAAAAGTGACAGCTCTGTCAGTCACTTGATAGTAATCTTGAGAAACCAGGCATCTGTCTGGGCATCAAATTCCTCCTCTGTAAAAGGAGGAGAATGAACCAGATGACCTCTAAAATTCCTCCCTGTTCTAAAATTCCAAAGGTTTACACAGCTTTGTTTGTTATTTGCTTTTCTTAGAGGGGAAAATTATAATGTCCCCCTATTTATGCTGTAATTTATCAGCTGCATTTTATTGCCTTGGGAAAATGATTTGCTCTGATCCTTCTGATCTATAGCTCATCCTTCACGGGGAACCCAACAAGTGCTCCTGTCAGTTCTGGGTTTGCATAGAGATTATTCCTTCTCATCTCACTTGGTGATTGAGTGGGAGGCAGCAGGCAATATTTCAAAATGCAAACTGACATTTAATTATACAAAAATCTCCTTCCGTGATCACTTCTCTTGCCAGGATGATTCCGATCTACATGAACATTTTTCCTTTTTTGTTGACTCCTGGTTTTCCAGTTTTCATTGCAAATAATCGGAAATGAGCCCCAAACAAATAAACAGTAGCAAGCCCTTAGATTTATAGTCTTGCTACTTCTCTACCTAATACAGTCTTTTAGTGACACTGTCATTTGCAAAATCATGTAACTTTTGAAGACTTATCTGAAACCCTGAGAGCTATACTGACATCCTCAAAATGTGGATATTTTCCAATATTTGTATCAAAAGTAGAATATTTGTACAAATGTCACTTAAAAGTGTAAGTGGAGATTCTCCAAGAAAGTGCATGAAAATGAACCATTCTGTTTTAGCTAATTAAATATGAAATGATTCAGCATGAAGATAAACCAAGGCCAGGCTAGTGAGGCAGGTGAGGCGCTTGTCTTAAGTGTGAAATTTAAAAACCTCAGCAATCAAGATAAGCAATATTTTAATGCAGTATTTTTAGACAGTAACAGTGCCATGGCAAGCCATTGGAAGCGGAAACAAAAAGAAAAATAATACTGAGCCTATCTTTATTTAAAATTTTGATTTTTTGTTCTTAATGAGTTATTTGCATTACTTTTTCCTTTTATTTTGAGATGGAGTTTTGCTGTCTCCCAGGCTGGAGTGCAATGGCACGATTTTGGCTCAGTGCAACCTCCACCTTCGAGGTTCAAATGATTCTCCTGCCTTAGCCTCCCTAGCAGCTGAGATTACAGGTGCCTTGCCACCATGCCCAGCTAATTGTTTTTTGTATTTTTAGTAGAGGCAGGGTTTCACCATGTTGGCCAGGCTGGTCTCAAACTCCTGACCTCAAGTGACCCACCTGCCTTGGCCTTCCAAAGTGCTGGGATTACAGACATGAGCCACCGTGCCCGGCTTTACTTTTTATTTTCTAAAATATCAAAATATTATTTCTCCTGATTACTGGACTTTTGGCACCCCCTAAAGTGTTCACTCAAGACAAGTGCCTTTTTCTTTCACCTTCATCCCAGCCCTAGGATAACTCTATGTTCTGTTATAAGCCAAGATAAACATTACTGCTTCTTATTCTTAATAAAGAGGGACCCCCACAACTCTAATTATTTTTATTATAGTTACCATTTGTGTGTGCCTTTTCTGAGTGATTGATACCACTTTAATAATAATTTATTCAAGCAGTGACTGAAGAAGTAGGCCATTTCATTTTCTTTTCTTTTTTTTTTTTTTTTGAGACAGAGTTTTGCTCTTGTTGCCCAGGCTGGAGTGCAGTGGCACCATCTTGGCTCACTGCAACCACTGCCTCCCAGGTTCAAGCAATTCTCCTGTCTCAGTCTCCTGAGTAGCTGGGATTACAGGTGTACCCACCATGCCTGGCTAATTTTTTGTATTTTTAGTAGAGACAGAGTTTCACCATGTTGGCCAGGCTGGTCTCAAACTCCTGACCTCAGGTGATCCACCTGCCTTGGCCTCCCAAAGTGCTGGGATTACAGGCGTGAGCCACCACGCCCGGCCCATTTCCTTTTTACATAAGAGAAAAATGAAACTCTGAAACGTGAAAATAACTTGACAAAAAACCTAATGCAGTTAGTACCTTAAAATTCTTATGCTTCCTGTACATTTTCTTGTTAACTGAGGTAAAGAGAAAAAGAAGGGAAGGGAAGGGAAAGGGAAAGGGAAAGGGAAGAACATGAGTACATATCCTGGAGATTTTTGAGCTCTGTTTGCATAAGGCTGAACTGGTAAATTTGCTTAAAATATAGATACCTGCAGTTTTAAATTAAACAGGCTGAGGGTATCACCCAGTGTCTTCATTTTAAGTGGTTCTGATCCAAGTGTTCTAGGGACCATACATTGAGAAACTTTGAGGAAAAGCATCCATTCTGGCAGAAACTGTGCTATTATCTGGAACACATTTTGTCATAATCCCCCTTCATAGCCTTAAAAGTAAGAATTAATGGCCCCTTTTCTTTGCATATGAGGAGAAAAATTCCAAGACAATAAGGAAATTGCAAATTCACATGTTGAATGATTGGAAAAATCAGACATGAACCCAGATCTGTCTAACTCCAAATCTCAGGCTCTTTCCACTGTACTCTGAAACTTGCAAGAGAAAAGAAATGGATGCATTTGTTCAGTGAGCACTACCACTCAGCAAGGTCACAAGACTGTCTGAAGGAATCCAGCTGTGGCTAAAATGTTAGTGGGTGATAAGGTTAGGCTTTTGTCCCTGCCCAAATCTACTGAATTGTAATCCCCAGGTGGTGAAGGAGAGACCTGGTGGGAGGTGATTGGATCATGGGGATAGTTTCTGCCATGCTGTTCTCCTGATAGTGACTTCTCATGAGGTCTGATGGTTTTATAAGAGGCTCTTCCCCTTTTACTTCCCACACACATGCTCTCTTGCCCGCCATCATGTAAGACGTGCCTGCTTTCACTTCCATCATGATTGTAAGTTTCCTGAGGCCTCCTCAGCCATGCGGAACTGTGAGTCAATTAAACCTCTTTTCTTTATAAATTGCCCAGTCTCAGGTAGTTCTTTATAGTGGTGTGACAGTGGACTAATACAGTTGGCAACAGCTGCCATGGCAGGTGGCTGGGGGCAGATGTGAGTCAGTGGTGCATACAGGTAAAAAGAAAAGATAACAGAAATACTGGAGTTGGCAGGGAGGAGAGGAGGCAGAACAATTCAGGAGGTAGGAAGAAAGTAATGCTTTGCACATGCAATGGCTTTACTTTACAGTTTAAAACTCAAAATGAGATATGCAACCATTATGTCAATGTTAGCTATTATATGAACAAATGACATATTTATAGTTTTGGCAATAATTTAGTTTGGAGAGGAAAGAACAACATTTTGGAGTGAGACTGTTTTCTAGTTTAAACCTACATCTCTGGATTTGTATCCATTATGCCTTTCTGTGTTGCCTCCAATGACTGCCTTCTATATTTGATCCTTAACTCAAGCTGTTCTTATGAGGCCAGTCTTCTGTTTTTACAATCTTAAACCAGAATCTATAGAAATCCATCTCCCTCTGGGAAATCACTCTGGTTAACTCAACATCAGCTTCTACTTGACACCTTACCATTATGCCCACCCAACCTCCACAGGTATTTATAAATTTATGATAGATAATATTTATTATTTATGCACCCATACCTGTGTTGTTTAGTCTAGTAGAGTGTATATATTGTAGCTAAATTTGTAAACAGATTATCAGTTTCTGGAGGTGTCAGAATATTCTAAAACTAGAAATTCTATAACCTAATAAAATGCTATTTACCATGGAAAGGTTCAATGAGCATTTATTACTAAAATAATAATAAAACAGCCACAATTTTGTAGGTCAGTAACTCTAAAATTCTCTCGTCATGTAAGTGACGTTTTCTTCCCCCAAAGGACACATTTATTGCCTCCTAATATTAATAACTGTTTGATTCTTACGATTTCTCTAGATTTGATTTGGCGTAGAGATAGGAAAGAGAAACATAAGATACGGTCTTGAGAAACTTAAAGTCTTACTGGGGAAATAAGAACCAACATCCACTTGTCCATAACTTTAGGCCTAGTTACCTTGAATCTGCAATCATAATAGAGGAAAGAGGGATCAATGTGACTTCAGGAGTCATCTTGGATGAGATGGGGACACCGCTGAGCAGGATCTGATTAGGTATTAAAGAGAAGAAATTGGTCCTTAAACACAGAGAGAGGTTATGGGTGGAGATACATCTGGGGGTATCATCAGTGTAAAGATAGGATCTGAAGCCATGAGAATGTGTAATGGGAAGAGTATGTGAGGAGGAGAATTTTTAAAAAATGAATGAGAAAATAAGGAATAGCAGAGAACAGTAATATGTCTTGCATTAAAGGATTCTGGCTAAGAAAGGAAGAGGCCAGTGGAAGCAAGTGAAAAATGTTTTCTAGAGAGAAAAAATTTGAGTGACTTTGAAGATATAATACAAAGAGCCTGAAATCAAGGAAGCTAAAAAAGAAAAGAGGGGTAACTAGGGTAGAAAGTTCTCAGAAGAAGGAGGTGCCGAAGGGATGTCAAATATAGTAGGTAAGAAAGCTTTAGAGGGAAGAAAAAACTTTCAGGGGAAAAAAAGCAGAAAAATATAGACGCAGGGAACTGTTGGGAAAAGTTAGAGTTATAGAAAGGAACTAACCCTAGAAGGTTTCTACGATTTTCATTTTATGGGGGTGAGATCATCCCTTGAAGGCAAAAAGAGAGTAGAGGTAGATGAGAATACCCTGTTTAACTGTGGTGGGGAGTTTTGTATGTTGTCAGTGCTATCTGCAACATCTATGGGTGCACTGTGGTGTGTGCATTATAAATCATTTTTATATAATGAGATTATAAATTTGATACAAAGAGATAGCCATAGCTTCTCCCTCATAAATTATAAATAATGTAAAGTCTAGATATATCTAAAGATCTAGAAAGAAATCCCAGTTTTCATTCTCTTACATTTTTTTTTCTATGTGAACCAACACTTAAGAATTTATTTTCGCTAATTTCAGTTGTTATTACAGTGTTTTGAAATAAGGAATGGTCTCAGTGACTTGAGTTGGCTGACTTTAATAAGACACAAATTTTACAATAATTAATATCAGAAAGCTGACATTAAATTCCTGTTAGAAGTAATCATATTTTAAATTATGAAGCAATCCCCAGTTTAATTGAATCTCTTTTTGAACGTCCATATATCTTGAAGCCATTCAGCACCTACACACAGTGAGAAGTATCTCCAGTCATAAAGGTAATTTTTCCATTTAAACCAAAAAAATAGACTACTATAGACTATGCCAATTTATTTCCCTCTTTTTTCCATGAAACAGAAACTATGGAGGGTTTAACTTGACTATGCTTGCTTGGGGTATAGAAAAATCCACCCACAAAAAAAGGTGGGGAAACAACTTATTTTAAGATTGAAGAGCATGTACTCTTATACCAATCTTGAGGAAATTTATAGCAAGCAGCAGCAACTTTACAAGAGAGGATCACTTTGCAGAAGATTTTACTAACTTGAGGTTTTTAATTTACTCACCTGGGGATGACTTATGCAAAATGTTCTGACAGTCCACAGATAACTTGAATTTTCGCCTTTTAAAAGATGTTATAAGCTCCCCTAGATCCAAGATGAGGGAGCTATCCCCCTGGGGCAACATCAGTTTTACCTAAGGGCTGTTTTCATTTCTTAGTACTGAAATTGCTGTTTCTTACTAGATTCCCCCACTCCTGTGTGCACATGCATGATAAGGAGAATGTCTCACATTAGGATGCACCATCCTAGCACTGCCTAAAGACAGCAGTCCATTTGAATACACTATACTAAGGAAAACCACTTTGGAACAATTGATCAAGAAAAATGTGAAAACTAAAATTGTGCTTTCTTTTCCCCCCATCTTGTGGGGAAGGGAAACAGCTCGCCTCATTAAGGATTCAGAGAGTGGCTAGTACTGCCTTGCAGCAGGCTGACTAGTTTTGGAGTCTCTTATTTAGCCGAAATGCAAATTATAATCTCTCCAAAAAGTCTTGAGTCTGGGCAAAGAGTGCTGATCAAGAAAATGTAAAAGGTATAACAGCAGACACTGTCACTCAAAGCCTCCACTCCTGTGGACTGTTCAGGCTGAACAGAGTAGGCTTGAGCACCCCAGCACCGAAAGCCAAAGGGCAGCATTCCAAGACAGCACCCTCTACCAGCTGTGTCTTGGTTAAAGACATTTAATCTCTCGGAATGATCTGAAAAGTGAAGACAGTAGAATTTCTTCACAGGATTCTGGTAAATTTTAAGCAAGATAATACATGTAAAGTGACTAGAGCAACTGTCTGGCACATACTTGATATTTAAGAAATGTTAACTACATTTTATTATGAATGTACTTTTGGGAATGGGGTTTAAAAAAAAACCCTAACCAGTGATTCTTCTTAATATAATAACTGTTTCACAGAAACAATTACTTTTCTCCATAATACAACCTCTGAGGTCCATCTTAAGTACACTTTTATTTAAAATCTTATTGTAGAAAATTTAAAACCTACACAAAAGTAGTAAAAATAGTATAGTTCACTCCCAATTTTGACAAATTAACATCTTGTGTTTCATATATACTCCCTGCCACGTCTCCTCTCTCCATATTATTTTGAAGCAAACCAAGAATGATATCATTTTACCTATAAATATTTTAGTATGTCTCTAAAAGATGTAAATTAAAAAATACATAACCACACAATATGTCATCACACTTTTAAAATTAATAACAATTCCTTCATAGCATCAAATAACCAGTCAGTGTTTAAGCTTCCCCAATTTTCATCTGCATGTTTTTCCCCAGTTATTTCCTGAATCAGGATCTGAATAAGGTCCAAATAGTTCAGTTGGTTGATATGTCTTTTAAGACTATTTTAGCCTATAGTTCCTCTTCACATTTTTTTCTTGCAATTTATTTGTGAAAGAAACCAGATTATTGGTACTTCAGAGTTTTCCACAGGCTAGGTTTTGCTGATTGTATCCCTATGGTATATTTTAATGCATTCATTCATTTTTCTTTTCCTTCTGAAAACCGATAGTCAGATCTAGAGGCTTGATCAAATTGAGATCTAATCTTTGTCACCAATAAGTTATGGGACTTCATCAGGAGGCATATGATGTCTTCACGTCTTTTTCTGACATGACCAGCTGCTTAGTGGTCATTACCTCAATCTGTTATTGTGCGATAGTAATACTCTAATCCTACCATTCATTCATTTATGAGCTAATATACTCTTACAAAAAGAAAATCCTGTCATCAATTCTTGATTATCCTGAGGTACAGTTTATAGAGAAAAGAGGAAAATGCTTCATTTTTTTTCCCTGTGTTTATTTCAAAGTACTGAGTTGGGCCACTAGAATCTTCCACAGGTGGCCACGGAGGGATCTTTTTTTAAGTATCATTACCAACTTATGGATTCTAACATATCTCATGTGTTTCGATCTATTACTGATATTATTTGAATTTATAATCAAATTGTTCCATCTTTGGTTAGTAAGAGCCTGTTCAAATGGACTCCTGAGACACAAATCTAGTAGCCTTTATAGCTTCCTTGCTTCCTATCTCTTCTTTATTTCCTGCCCCAGCCCTAGAATCAACCATTTCTCCAAGGACACCCCATTCCTCAGAGTGGGACACGCCTTTTAAATACTACAAGTCTGGTGGCTAGGAGTGCTCAATATTATACAGTCATTGTTTGTAGGCCATTTCAGTGGATAGAGCTAGAAAATATTTTTTAAATAAAATACATCACAAGTTCATACTGATACTGTAATTCAAATTCAGGACTACAAGTTTTCTATCAACCTCATTCATCTTCACTGATCTTCATCTTTATCTTCCTTCTCCAATGCCCAAAATTCCAGTATGCAAGGACACAAACATAATTACTCATCTGCTTTATCTCACAATACTAGTGTCAGGATCACAATATGATTACTAACCCCAATAACACACTCACTGTAAATAATTTAAATTCTTTTTACCTTTTATTTTGTTCCCATGGTATATATTCCTTGGTAAGTATAGTCAAATTACTGTGGTTAAAGCTTTAAGAAGCTCTTTTCCGTGTGGTATGCCATGTACTTGTTACACGGTTGTTTATTTCACTTTGCTTTTGACTTTTAGGAATGGCTTTGTACATTTAATATTGTTTTATAATTATTTAAAACATTTATGTTGTTTCCAAATTTTATCTACATAAAAGGTTTTATTCAGGGAATTCTAACTTAGCTACTTGCCCTTTCTTTCCCTAAAAGAATAATATTTTATATTAATGGTTTATCCATTCTATTTTAGTGATTTGGTGATATTTAGATATTTGATTTTAACCTAATCAACACACTCCCATTTCAGGTGATTGGTAAGAGTAGTACACTATATATACATTTATTTGTCATGCTTATTTTACTCAATAGTTCCTGCATTGTACAGCTTTTCTCATTTATACTGAATTCTATTGTTAATTATACAATTACATAATTATATACAACTATATAATGATTATACTGATTCAGCAACATAGTCGAACGAAAAAGGTGTCCTGCTTCATGGTGAAATATCCATTGATGATTAGTTTTAAAAGCATACCTCAAGCTTTCATTTAAGGCATCAATGTTAAAAGGGAACAACCATAATCTACTTTTTTTAAAAGCTGGCTATTTCTGCTAGAGTCAGTGTTGTATTCCTTTACATTAAAATCTGCTGAAAATTAGTAGATGAATTTTCATCTCCTCTTTAGGCATCTGCAGGAACAAATATTCCATTGATTAAAATGTTGAAATATTGGTATGTAAAAAGCATGTAAGTTATTTTTCTTTTTACCGGTTTCTTGCTTGTAGAAATTTATAATAGAAATATTAAAATGGAAAAACTCGTAGTCAGAAGAACTGGATGGAAATCTTAGCTAAACTGCTAAGTAGCTGAATGACTTTAGGCAAGTCATTTCACTTCTCAGAACTTCAGTTTTCTTACAGTCAAGTGAAAATACTACCACCAATGCCAGAGTACTATTGTGGGAAAAAATAATTATTTGAAAGCAATATATAGACCCCAAAGCATTCTGCAAACTTAAAGCATAATAAGCAGGGAATTAAATGGCTGGTTTGCTAAAATCCAATCTCAAAGTTTTAATTTGTTTGTTTAAAATGATGGTAACGTCAACTGTGAATGAGAGCTTTGCAATCATCCAAGCGGCAGTCCAGAAACTGAGTTTTTGCCTGAGCAGAACTCAGTTATAAATATCTGTCTTTGGATTTGACATTCAATTCTGAAATGAATCGAACATGCTTCAGAATTTTGATCTGACATCCAAGAGCTAAAACTCTAAAAGCAGATAAAACATTTTCGAATAAAGCAACCTGCTAATCTCAAGTGACTTTTAATTCCATCTCTGATTATTCAATATAGAAAATACATCTTCAGATAAAAACCCATTTCTGAAAATTCATCTCCAAAGCTTTTATGTAATCTAAGTTGGAAATAAAATGTATCTATATTTTATATTAAGGGAAAATAAAACAATGAAATTAATCATTTTTTGAAAATATTTTAAACAGGCATAAACTTTGTTAAAGAAAGAATATTATATGACATAAACTTTGAAAAGTGATTCTGCAAATAATAAAGCAATGGGAATAAATAAGAGATTTATTTATAGTTGCCCTTTTTGGACACTACAAATCATATCCATTAAAATTGTTCATTCTTGCCTATGAGCTCTGAACATGATTTCAGTTTGAAATCAAAGCTGAGGAAATTTGCCATTCTGCTTTTAAATGGATATCTGCTTTAGGGATTGCACATTGAAGGGGTATACCTAAGCTCACATGTAAAAATAAAAATATATATTGTATATAGAATTTTTAGTTCTGAATTTTGCAGTTGCCTATTATTTTCTTCTTTTCAATTAAATCTTGCATGCTGCCAATACTTGTATATCTAAGCTACCAATCTAGTTATGAACACTCACTGGGGGAGGAAGAGCAGAGGAGTTTAGCTATGAAACTTTTCAAACACACTCAGAAGCAGAGAGAATAGGTCAATGAGCCTCCACATATCCATCACTCAGATTTAACAATATAAAGAATTTGCCACATTTACATCATCTCTTCTTTAATGTTTTGCTGAAGCCTTTTAAAGCAAAGCTCAGACTTCAGACACACTTCAGCTTATATCTCTTAAAAGGATAGACAATTTCTTACATAACTACAATGTTATTTCAACCATTCTAAAGTTGCCAGTGGTTCCTTGATTTCATCTGTTACCCAATTCATAAGCAAAGTTTCCTAATTGCTTCAAAATAGTCACCTCAGGGTTGGTATGTTCAAGTTAGAATCCAAACAAAGCCTACACCTTCCATTTGGTATCCCTTCCTTTCTTTCAATACATATTTCTTCAGTGTCTATTTCTTGCTAGGTGCTTTTGTGTTTATTACCTAATCTCAAAATATCCTCAGGAGGTAATGAGGCAAATATAGGCACTTTTCTGCTAAAACTTGTGATTTCTCCTTCATACTATGGAGTTGTTACTAGGAAGTAGCTGCTCACGGAGGCCTTGCCAAGGAGTGATTATATGAACCATAATGATCAAGGTTGATCTAAAGTATTTTCCAGTGCTTTAGACCAAGTTTCTCCTGGTCTGGGGTAGAGATAGGCTCCAATGACAAATGTTCCCAGTAACTTCCCCTTACCTAGATGTACTCCCTGTACATCTCCTGTACTTCCTGTACTTCCCTGTACCTAGATGTGGAATGAGGGCATATTTGTTGGTGTACACATCCTCCCAAGACAAAGTTCCCAACTCCCTCCTCTGTGCTAAGGTGCCAGGTCACATTTCAATTACATAACTTCTAGCATTTTATTGTAGTCATGTCTATCTTCAACCCATTACACAGTAAATCCCAATGGTAGAGAAATTATGCCTAATTCAATTTTGAACCTCTAGGGCTTATCACGGCCCCTGCCATATAAAAATTTGTAAAATAAAAAATGAAATGGAACAATTACACATCACATTTTTAGAGTGTGATTTAAGAGGCAGGCATATCATTTTTCTGAGAGTGGTCTTCTAATGCATCTACACAAAATCACAGCACTGTGGAGGAACTAAGAAATGGAAAGTTGCAATATACAAAATTACAGAATGTCTGACAGAAACAAAGGGTGGCAGAAGGAAAGAGTCTGAGAAAATTTTATACTTTCAAGTAAGAAATTGCTATGAAATACTAAAATATAAAGCAAACCAAATTGTAGTTAAGATGTCATAGATCCATCACTTAATCTTTGCATGGGAACATCTCTGGTTGATTAGCAGTTAAGCTATTTCTCAGTATTACCAGGACTGAAATAACGTAATTCAAATCAATGCTTAACAATCTTTATTGTTTAAAAAGCCTACCCCAAATCCTTTACACTTCAGCTTAAGCATATTTCTTATTTCATCAGAGGTAAGCAGCTGGCTGCCATGCTAACCAGATCTCTTTATATACTCTGAGACCCTCCAAATATGTACTGCTTATTCCAATCTTTAAAATAGACAGCCCTCTTCACACTCTTCCTTATGCATCCTGTTGGGCATGTTCGTTTATGTAATTCATCATTTTAAATCATCCATTTAAAATGCTACATTCCTTAGCTTCACCTCTTTCTAAGCCCCTTCTGTTAATGTCTCCAGTCCCATTTACTACATTAATTCCTTCCCCCTCTCAAATTCACATTCTGCTCTCTACATCTTAACAGAAGGGCTATTTTAGATAATAATTTACCCTACATTTCATCCCTTCATTTGAAGTATCCAATGATAAAATTAAAACAGTCCCAATCAGAATCATGAAACCAACCTTAAAACAGTCTCCATCTGTCTTGGGAAGATTTGCGTTGCTCTAGATGTGTTGATGAATTTTTAGCACAAATTAAACCTCACAGACTCATTCCTCAAGTATTTCTACAAGTGTTCTGTGTTCTACCATTATGTCACCCTCTGATACTTTAGAATGGTACAGCTGTTTTGAAGCTGAATGACAGTGATTCAAACAGGCATGCTTACAACTTACAAAACTAGAGGAAATTTCTGAGAGGTAAAGTGACTGGTCCCAGAGAAGGAGTGTTCTCCATGATACTATGCTGCTTGTTATAAGGTCTGCTGTTCTGCTTTCTTTTACTGCTACCCAAAAGGTTTGGCAGATAAAACTACTGGTAAAATGGAACTTAAAATAAAATGTCTTTGCCAGCCTTAGAAACTAACAGTAAATTAAAAAAACGCAATAGCTAAGCCTTATTTACATATCACTGACTACATGTCACGTGCTTTAACAGTAAATTAACTCATTCAACAGTTGACATATTCAATCTTTAGAATACTGTTGTGAGGGAAACATTTTTATCATCCTCATGTTACGATGAAGAAACTGAGGCCAGAGAGCTTAAGTAACTTGCCCAAAGTCATACATGATTTGGATGAAATTAAAATTCAGAGAATCTGGCTTCAGAGTCAGTGTTGTTCATCATGACATTTATTATATTATAAATAGTTCAGTAGATTAATCTTTGTGACACAGGGCATATGTCTTCTAAGGTAACACAGTTTTAGTAAATATGAACATTTCCACAGTAATGTTTCGTTATACTTAACAAAAAAACAGACAAAGTAATCAGTGTGGTATTAATGTGCCACCCATGGGAAGCAATAAACTGCTGAGACCATTTTTACTAGTGCATGACTATATATGCCTGATTTTGAATAAAAATGTTTTTAAATCTAAAAAACAGTCTTAATATAAACATCAGCTGTTTATATAAAATTATTTTAAAGACTCAAATAATGTTTAGACCAATTCTCTTGTCTAATTAATGGAACAGCTCAGAGGTAGAAGCACGATATTATAAGATTTATAAACTGTGCATGATATTTTGCACATTATCATTATTTGACTATGACCAACATACATGTTACAAATCTCAATGGACAGAACAATCAATCAGCAAATATCAGTAGCATTTACTGAGTGCAAAGCCCTGGACTAGAGTCTATAAAGCATCAAAGAAAGATAATTCAGATGTAAAGAGGCTCAGCCCCTTTCTTAAAAAAAAAAATACAGCCAGTAACAGAGCATCTGCTAAGAACTAAATATCCAACTTAGTTGGGATCTTTCGATTATAAGAGTAAAAATTCACTCAGGTTGTGCTACACAATGGAGATTGATTATAATCCTGTATCTGGAAATAAGAAAGACAGGCATTTCCACCACATAATTAGAGCACCCAAGAACTCAACTCAGGCTTGGAGAGACAGAAATGGGTTCAAGATCGGAAGGTCATTTGGGATCCAAAGCAGCTCTGGCAACTGTGTTACCAACACAAATCTGTTTATCCCTGTTCTGCTTATCATCATCTTTGCTTCTCTCCAACACTGGTTTTTGTTTTCAACTGCTTCTCTCTCTGTGTGTATCCAAAGGGAACCTTATTGTCAGTTTTGCTACTACCATTATTGCTGGGCTGAGCTTTCTCACAAATACCACCTTCAGCATTACCAGAAGATGTACTCACATAGAGGGAAGACCTCTTCACTTGACCTACACCTCCTGAAACCATGGAGCCACTATCAACACCTGAGGGACTCAAAGACTCAAGTGCTTCTAAGACATCTGGACCAGTGTTAAGAATACAGCAATTAGAATGCCAGTGGGATTGCTCCAGTTTCTTACTCAGAGCCTGATTTCCATAACATGACATACACAGTCTGTGGGAGGCAAGATATAATATGGCATAAACGTTTTCATGATCTACAGGAGCCTGAATGGAGCAGTGGGGGAGAAGGTACTCTAAAGGCGTATTACCTGTGTTCAAATTTAACTCTGATGCTTTCAAGGTATGTGACCATGTGCAAGTTATTTAACCTATCTGTACCTCAGTTTCCTTGTCAAGAAAATTGAGATAATAGTAGTCTCTCCTTCACAGGATTGTTATGAGGATAAAAGAAATAAATCATTCAAAGAGCAGGATGTGCTGGGCACACAGTGAGCACTTGAATTTTAGCTATTATTTTCTTACTACTTCGAACACACCTTATCAACTACATCCCTTGTGACTCCACAGCACAAAACTCCTATCCAAACACATTATGCTCCTTTGTGCCTCTGTTCTTACCCACTGCCTGGATCTTCTTCCCCTAATACTTTCTAGTGAAGCCCTTCTCATTCCTCAAAGTTCAGAACAAATTTCCTTTTGGAGCAATGCCCTCTGTCATTGATAATCTCTAGAGGGGCTTCCAACAATTCCTCCAGTTCAATATACTCATGACACTCTTCTCATCAAGAGGTGGGCAATTCAATTCCCTCATGTTGAATCTGGCCTTGGGACTGGCTTGGACTACAGAATGAGGTGAAAGTGATATCCTGGAACTCTCAAGCCTAGGCCATAAGAGAATTCTCAGTCTTCACTTTCTGTTCTTGGAACCCGGCCACTGTACTAGGAAAAAACCATGCCATATGGAGAGGTTACATGGGGGGAACCAAGGCGTACTGGTTAAACACTCCAGATTAGCTCCCAGCCTATGCCAGGACCAACCATCAGCCATGTGAATGAAACATCCTGGATGGTCCGGTCCAGCCAAGTCCCAAATGAATGCAACTCTAGGCATCATCACATGCTCAATAGATTTTAGCCCATAGATGTGTAAGGCATAATAAAATGATTGTGGTTTTAAGCCACTAAGTTTTGGGTTGTTATAGCAAGATGAAACCAAAACACCATTCATGAAACTCCTGGACAGGGTAGGTATTTCTTAGATTAAGCTCTCATAATTCTAATCTGTAACTTAACAAATTATATTATTATAATTATTTCTTTTTATGTCTGTGTCTTCTCCTGGTTTCAAGGCGTGGGTTTGAATCCCAGCTATAGGTTTATGTGGCAAATTACCTAACTTGCCTGTGCCTCTTAGTTTCCTTATTTATAAAATGGAAATAATGAGAGTTCCTACTTCATAGGATCCAGTTAAGGATTAAATGAATATGTAAAAAACATAGAATGGTGCCTGGCATTCAGTAAGACCTATATAATGGTTAGCTGCTACTGCTGCTGTTCCTCCTCCTTCTGCTATTATAAAGACACAGTAACAAAGGCAGTGTCATTTTACATAATGGATAGACAAAGAGGACACTGGAGTCCTACAATAAATAGTGCTTGGACAATTAGCTCTCTAACTTATTATGCTAGACATAAAAATAAATTCCAGAGAGAATTTTGCTTTTAAAACACAAAAACTTCATAACATTTAGAGGAAAATATGGGAGAGTATCTTTAATAGCTTGGCTTACAGGGAAAAATATCTTAAACCTGATGAAAAAGCAGAAATCATTAAGGAAGATTGTTAAATATAACCATACTAAAAATTTTAAATTTTGTACCAACAAACAGACAAAAAAATGCCATAAACAATGTTAAAAGACAAGCCAGAAACTGGGAAAATAAATTTACCCAGATTAATGTCCAAAATATGTAAAGAACTCATTCTAATTAATAATAAAAAGCAAATAACCCAATACAAAATGTACAAGATGATAAACAAGCTATTTGCATAAGGAAAAACCAAACAGTTAATAATATAATAAAATTCTAAGACAACATGCCCCTCAATTTTAAATAATAGGATATTTCATGCTTTGTAATTGGCTCCTTGTCTTCTGCCTGGGTCTTCAGCTAAAGTTATCTTTTGAATAAGAAGAGGGAGAAGTTGGTGAGGCATGGAGGTCATGAAGGGAAGCCTAGGCTCCCCCAGTCCCCAGAATTTTTCCATCCCGGTCTTTGCAGATAAGGCTGATTAGAGCCGTTAACCTTTCAATAACGTAACCTGATATTTTACATCACTAAATTTTTACACCCCACTTATCACATCTTGGTAATGTTTTGTAACACTGATATCTTACTTAAGGCTCAACACACTTGTAAGACATTCTCACATGTTAACTCAGAAAAACCCCACAATGTTGGTATGATTATTATTCCTAATTTGTCAATGAGCCACAAAATGGTGGCAAGCCCAAGGTCACCCAGAAGAGTCAAGATTTAAAACCAAGTTATCTGGCTTTTACATCCAGCTCTTAACCCAATACTATTATTGCCTCCAAACATATGATACATGAAAAGATGCTCAATCTGACTAGTAATCAGGGAAATACAAAATTGCAGAATTCAATTTCACGCCATATACAGAACGACAGAACATTTAAAAGTCTAACAATGAATACTATGAGGATGTAGAGCAATGGCAATCCATACGCTTCTAGAGGGCTTATAAATTGGTACAAACACTATCAGGAGGCATTCGGAAGATATGTATTCTTAATGACAGAGCAGTTTCACTTCTAGGTATACGGTTGAGAAAATACTTGCCAAGGAAATAAACAGAGAAATGTCCGTTTCTACCATGTTTGCATTGGTAAATGGATATGAAATATTATTTACATTTATATAAATGTCTATAAGTGAATGACTAGATAAATTTGGTATGCTCACACAATGGAATGCTATTCAACAGCTGAAATGAATAAGTTGAAACTACTAGCTGTATCATAGATAAATCCTAAAATTATAATGTCAAATTAAAAAGTAAATTAAAGAATAAGGCTGGGCACGGTGGCTCACATCTATAATCCCAGCACTTTGGGAGGCCGAGGTGGGCAGATCACCTGAGGTCAAGAGTTCGAGACCAGCCTGGCCAACATGGTGAAACACCATCTCTACTAAAAATACAAAAATTAGCTAGGCGTTGTGGCGTGTGCCTTGGGAGGCTGAGGCCAGAGAATCGCTTGAACCCAGGAGGCAGAGGTTGCAGTGAGCCAAGATCTTACCACTGCTCTCCAGCCTGGGTGACAGAGGGAGACTCCATCCCCTCCCCCGCCCCTCAAAAAAGAGTAAAAAAAGGCCAGGTGCGGTGGCTCACGCCTGTAATCCCAGCACTTTAGGAGGCCAAGGTGGGCGGATCATAAGGTCAGGAGATCGAGACCATCCTGGCTAACACGGTGAAACCCCGTCTCTACTAAAAATACAAAAAATTAGCTGGGCGTGGTGGCAGGCGCCTGTAGTCCCAGCTACTCAGGAGGTTGAGGCAGGAGAATGGCCTGAACCCGGGAGGTGGAGCTTGCAGTGAGCTGAGATCACGCCACTGCACTCCAACCTGGGCGACAGAGCGAGACTCCGTCTGAAAGAAAGAAAGAAAGAAAGAAAGAAAGAAAGAAAGAAGGAAGGAAGGAAGGAAGGAAAGAATACAGCAGGCTACCATTTATATAAAGTTAAACAACATACAAATATCATTTATAATATCGTATATAATTCTTTTTGTTTGTTTGTTTGTTTGTTTGTGACGGAGTCTTGCTCTGTCGCCCAGGCTGGAGTGCAGTGGCGGGATCTCAGCTCAATGCAAGCTCCGCCTCCCAGGTTCACGCCATTCTCCTGCCTTAGCCTCCCCAGCAGCTGGGACTACAGGCGCACGCCGCCACGCCTGGCTAATTTTTTGTATTTTCAGTAGAGACGGGGTTTCACCGTGTTAGCCAGGATGGTCTCGATCTCCTGACCTTGTGATCCGCCCGCCTTGGCCTCCCAAAGTGCTGGGATTACAGGCGTGAGCCACCGCACCCGGCCTATAATTTTTATATGATACATGCATGCAAAGTAAAGTGCACACTCAAGAATGGAGATGGTACACACTAAATTCAAAGCTATGGTTACCTGTGAAGAGAAAGGGATAAAGCAAAGGCACACAGAAACATCAGCTGTAGCTGTAATGTAGTGCTGGCCTAAAAAAAATAACTAAGGCAAATATGTTGAGGTTTAATAAAATTGGGTGGCAGGTGCATGGTGGTAAGCTAGTTTGTATACTTGTCTCTATATTTCAAGTATTTCATAATAAAAATATAAAAACAAATGAAGTGTGGTAAAACAGAGAACATTCCAAAAATAAATGACAAAGAGGAGATTTACATATATTTCATCGAAGACCTTTTTTGAGAAACATTGCTTTACAGGAGCATCTGTTACTGTGTCTAGGCCCTTAACTTTGATGGGTCCTACCTCCCTTTAGAGCCTTAACAAAAGAAATTGTTTCTACTACAGCAATAACATTACAGCTTTGCAAAAAAACAACAAAACACATATTATGATTAACAGGAAAATAAAGTCAGTGGCAACATGTTTATGAAAATATCAGCAATGTGTTCCTCCTAACCTGGAAAAATATGCCATAGGACAGACAGATAACAATAGGTGAAATAGATAAATGAAATATTCTTTAACTACCATTTAATAGAGAATTGGTAGTTTCTCCTCCATGTAGAAGAGAAAACATTCAGGATTAATAATTTTGAATCAGGTTGATAGCTGTCAAGCTATGATTACTGCCTCTAGAATATGAAAACATAAAAGCTCAAGGGCAAAGAAAAAAAATCACTTAGTATCCATGTATTAGTTTACTGGCCCCTTACTCTGTTCATTTATATTACACCATCTAAGTTTCAGGAAAAAGTAATCTAATCTGAGATTCAGTTACATGGAAGGACGGATCAAGAAGTTATGGCATGTAAAGAACTTTGTCTCATGAAGAGAACTCGTAAAGAGTTTCAGTAAAACTCTCTCTCTTCTATCTTTGTGTTTCTTGCCATTGAATTATGCTCTGTTACCTTTATAGCTTATTCTATTTTGTATATCTTCATATTCACGTGCAAACATAGTAATGCCCCACTTAACTAGTCATTAACATGGCAATCTAAATTACATGAAACATGGCCAAGGAAATATACACATAAGACCCAAGAACAATCAAAATACAAGTCACAGAGTTCTATCGTTGAGTCTTATGCTACATACAGTGCTAAAAAATTTAATCATAGATTCAACTACAGATAAAAGCTGTTTAAAAAGACATAAGTATGACATCTGGAAGTATCATTAAAGAAACATGGGAAAAATACAAATTTATTACAGAAATTTTGAAAAACCTAATGGGTCACGTGGGACACGAGCAAAAAATCCATCGTATCTAAATAACTCACAAAAATGCTATAATACTTATGATGATTCACAATGAATCATGACCCTGAATTATCGAGAAAAAAAATTATATTTATTCAGTATACCTTAAGAACTGTGGGAAAATGACTTTAAGCCACTGATTCTAACATTCATCCAGAAAAACAAATATGTAAGCATGTTCTGAAAAAAATAACATTTGTCTTATCAGTTTTAAGATACAATGTAATGAGATAATAATGAAAAGAGTGAGGTAATACCACAAAAATAATGAGACCAATGGAACAGAATTATCTTCAAACAGAAAGATTGATATATGTCAGTAATCTTTGAAAAGGGAACATCAGGAGTCAATATGTAATTATCTAATAAATGTTACTGAAATACTTGGTCAACTATTTTGAATATTGTCTTCTTAGGGGAATTTATAATCTCATCTGAAACTATATATCAAATAAATTCCAGATAGGAAGAGCTTTTAAAAAAAATTTTTAAGTGATTGTTTTATAAAGGAAGGACGTTAAGCATAGAGCAAAATGACTTTAAAAAGAAGAAAAGAAAAACAGACAATTTCAAAATGCAAATACATTTTTATAATTATAAAAGTAATTTGTGAGAAAATCTGAAATCTTAAAATGCATATAAAAATAAACAAGAAAGTTTGTTGATTTTACTAACAATCAAGAGAAAATATTGTTACATTTCAGAATATATTCTTTATTTTTTTAGTATGTGTTTATATACATTGACACAAATATATATACAAAAAATCACAAAAATTATTTCGTGAATGGGATTGTAGTTGCCTTATAATTTAAAGTTTTTAATTTCTACATTAAGGAGTGTGTTCCATGTAAATAAATATGGATCCACATTGTCATCATCATCATCATCATTTCCAATCACTACAAAATATCTTATTCTATTAAAATATCTTATTCTATTAAAATAAAACTTTTGGAAGTAAACACAAATAAAACCAATTTTCTCTTTCAACTACTGGTGTAAAAGTCAATTTTGGTTGTTTTCTCTTCCAAGATGGTGGAATAGAGGCTTTTAACATGCCTCGGCCTTTTGGAAATAACAAGATAGTGCATAAAGATTAAGTGAGCTTTCATTCAAGAAGGAAAATGGGAATATAAGAAGTCAAACTGTCCCTCCTCACTGAAGATATGATTTTATACCTAGAAAACCCTGCAGACTCCATCAAAAGGTTCCCAGAACTGATAGATGACTTCAGTAAAGTTTCAGACACAAAATCAATGTAGAAAAATCAGTAGCATTTCTATACATCAATAATGTTCAAGCTGAGAGCCAAATCAAGAATGCAATCTCATTTACAATAGCCACACACACAAAAATAAAATACCTAGGAATACATCTAACCAAGGATGTAAAAGATTTTCATAGTGATAACTTCAAAACACTGCTGAAAGAAATCAGAGATGGTACAAATGGAAAAATATTCCATGATCATGGGTTAGAAGAATTAATATTGTTAAAATAACCATATCACCCAAAACAATCTGCAGAGTCAACATTAATTCTATCCCACTACCAGCATCATTTTTCACAGAACTAAAAAGAACTATTATTAAATTCATATAGAACCAAAAAAGAGCCCAAATATTGAAAGCAATCCTAAGCAAAAAGAACAAAGTCATAGATATTGCATTACCTGACTTCAAACTATACTATATGGCTGTAATAACCAAAACAGTGTGGTACAAAAACAGATTCACAGATCAATGTAACTGAATAGAGAACCCAGAAATAAAGCTCCACACCTACAGCCTTTTGATCTTTGACAAAGTTGACAAAAATAAGCAATGGGAAAAGGACTCCCTATTCAGTAAATGGTGCTGAGATAGCTGGCTAGCCATATGAAGAAGAATAAAACTAGACCTCTACATTTTAACATGTACAAAAATTAACACAACATGGATTATTTAAATGTAAGACCTCAAACGATAAGAATCCTAGAAAAAAACCTAGGAAACACCATCCTGGACATTGGCCTTGGGAAAAAATTTATGACTAAAACCTCAAAAGCAACTGCCACACACACAAAAAAAAATTGACGAGTGGGACCTAATTAAAATAAAGACCTTCCACACAGCAAAAGAAACTATCAACAGAATAAACAGACAACCTACAAAAGGGAAGAACTTATTTATAAACTATGCATCTGACAAATGTCTAATATCCAGTCTATAGGGAACTTAATTGAACAAGCAAAAAACAACCCATTTAAAAATGGGCAAAAGACATGAACAGACATTTCTCAAAAGAAGACATACAAGTGGCCAATAAACTATGAAAAATGCTCAATATCACTAATCATCAGAGAAATGCAAATTAAAACCACAATGACAACACTATGTTACACCAATCAGAACGGCTATTATTAAAAAGTCAAAAACCAACAGGTGCAGGCGGGGTTGCAGAGAAAGGGGAATGCTTATACACTGTTGGAGGGAATGTAAATTCGTTCAGCAACTGGGGAAAGCAGTTTGGAGGTTTCTCAAAGAACCTAAAACAGAACTACCGTTTAACCCAGCAATCCCATTACTGGGTATCTAGCCAAAAGAAAATTAATTCTTCTACCAAAAACACTGATGTACTCACATGTTCATTGCAGCACTGTTCACGATAGCAAAGACATGGAATTCAAACTAGGTGTCCATCAGTGGTGGACTGGATAAAGAAACGCGGTACACATACATCATGGAATACTATGTGGCCATAAAAAAGGAATGAAATAATGTGTTTTGCCACAATATGGATGCAGCTGGAGGCCATTAATCTAAGTGAAGTAACACACCAACTGAAAACCAAACATTGCATGTTCTCACTTATAAGTGGGAGCTAAACATTAGGTACTCATGGAAATAAAGATGGCAACAATAAAAACCGGCAACCACTAGAGCACAGAGGGAGAGAAGGGGGAAAGGGTTGACAAACTATTGAGTACTATGCTCAGTACCTAAAGACCTTACTGAATGACTCAGTATGTGAGTCATTCACTTACTAGAAAGTATCAAAAACAAAGCACATTTATATATTTCCAAAGATTATGTATTTATTTTACTTTCTTTGAAAGCTAGTAAAGTTTGATTTTTTAAATATTTCTTAGTCATTAATATTTCTTCTTTTCTAAGTTATTCCTTCATGTTCTTTGATCAATGTTCTATTTGGAATTTTAAAATTTATTTGCAAGAGAGCTCTCCTATAATATTTACAAAATCAATAGTTTCCATATTTTTATAACTATTTTTTCCTGCTTGTCATTTGTATTTTATCTTTGTTAATTTTTATTGTGTGGAAGCTTTCAAATTAGTCACATTTAAAAATATTTACTCTAATGGTTTCTACCTTTATTGACGTACTGATAAAGATCATCACTATCTCATGATTATATAAATATCTACTTACATTCTTTCACATGCTCTTATGCCTTTTGGGTTTTTTAACATTTGAATCTTAGTCTACTTGAAATTTATTTTGGTATGACATATGAGAAAGAATTCTAACAGTGTTTGCCCCCAGATTTGGACATCTGTCCCCAATGTATTAAATACCTTAAACATATGCCAGTTTATCTTATTTACTTGGGTCTATTTTGGGGCTTCCAATTTTGTGGACAGTTTAATTTTAAATTGGTCATTTGACTCCTAAAATTTTTAATTAATAAATGCGTGAAAGTAAAAGGCAGAAAACTGGAAAAAATTATTACAGCCACTATGACAGACAAATGGTTGACAACATTAATATGATAAATCATACAAGTCAACAAAAAACTACCAAAACGTCTTCAGGGAAGGTGGAAGATGGGTAAAGGATAAGCAGGGAAAATTCATAATAGAAAAATAAATGACTACTGTAAACATGGTAAAGTGACATCCACCCTATAGTAGTCAAATAAATATGTTTAAAAAATTAGATAACACTTATTAAATTGTCCAATTAGCAAGGACTGTCTCATAAAGCAACTTTTAAAATCTCTTTAAAGTTAAGAATCTCAGGAGAAAGGCATTCTTACACTTCCCAGCAGGCATATAAATTGGAAGAATGATTTTTAAAAACAATCTGGCAATAGCAAACAAGAGTCATAAAACAGTATACATCCTTTGACTCAGCAATTTCCTTCAGACTCTAGCCTAGAAAATAATGTGGAATGTAGTAAAAGATTTATACACAAAGACATTCACCTTAGTTTTATTTAAATCAAAAATAGAAAGTAGGTTAAAAAATCCAGTAAAATAATGAATATATAAATCATAGCATAACCACAGTATCAAATACTCTAGCTATTTAAAATAGTTATTTACAAACCTGTTTAACAACATGTGGAAAGTGTTACAAAGTTATGTGAATGAGGCAGGCCCAGTGTTGCTGGGGGGTTATGGGCAGGCCCTGGGGGTCTTCAGGGACCTCAGGGGCAGAAGGGGCTGGGGAGTGAGGGGCCGGCTGTGCTTCTCACGCAGGGCCCTCATTGGCACCTGGCCTTGGGCAGTGGCAAGTATGTGGGCCATCATGTCACACATGCTCCTGCACCTCCACAGCAGCTGGCAGGTGGACCAGGCCATCCTCCCAGGAGAGGACTGCATGGCTGTCATTCGCTTCGGCCACGGCTGGGACCCCACATGCATGAAAATGGATAAGGTCTTGTACAGCATCATTGAGAAGGTTAAAGATTTTGCAGTTATTTTTCTTGTGAATATTACCAAAGTACCTGACTTCAACAAAATGTATGAGTTATATGATCCATGCACTATCATGTTTTTCTTCAGGAACAAGCACATCATGGTTGTCTTGGGGACTGGCAACAACAAGATTAACTGGGCCATGGAGGACAAGCAGGAGATGGTCGACATCATAGAGACCGTGGACTGTAGGGCCCTCAATGGTGGCGACCTGGTCTTGTCCCCAAAAACTACTCCACCAAGTCCAGATACTGAAGCGCCCTCAGGCTGTGTGGATAAATGTTGTGGAGGCCTTTTCATGTAGAAACCTTTTAAACTATTTCAAGCCTTTGGAAAAGTACATGAAGTCCAGGGCTGGAGGACTTCTGAGATACAATTTACTACATGGCCTTAACTAGCTGAAATAAACAAACACATGAAGAAAAATAATAACACTGATGTTAACTGAATGAAAGGAAGATTTTAAAAGTGTATATATAGTTGCATCACAGTTGGTAAAAATGCATATAAAAAAATTTAAGTAAACACATAATGATCATCTCTGAGAATAAGATTATGGGTGATTATGATTTTCTTCATTCTTCATTCCCTTATTTCTAAAATACTTCACAGTATGTCTCTATCGTTTTTGTCTAGTTAGACGGGAATACAAATTGGGGAAAGGCCTGTGCTTTCAAAACGGGAAGAGCTATGAGCAAACAAATCGATGAGCTGGGAGAAGCAATAGAGAGAGGAAGAGGACAAAGGCTTAAAAGAAAGGAACAATGAATGTCACCAGGATCCTGCAGAAAAGAGACATCAAGAGAATAGGTAGAGAGACTTGTCTAGGAGGGACATCTTTCATTTGATACCTGTGAGGAGGAAGTACTGGAGAGGTGCAAATACAGATAGATTTATATGCAGGTAATGGGAGCAGAACATTCACTGAACTCGGAGATGTTCACTTTTATTACCTAAGTCAAGCATGAGGGAAGCTCATCAGCTGAGACTGAAATAGAACTTGAGAAGAATGATAAAGATTATGGAAACTGAATGGGAGCAGGAGCTAATTGAAAATAGGGAAAAGAACTATACCGGTATTTCTGTTTACCTAAACACATGTCAAGATCATGAAATCATTTTGTTTCAGGAACCAAATACAGTTACTATCTTCTTTACCAGAGAACAATTCTTTTAACATGTCTATGCCATATCTTGATTGATTGCTTGATTCATTGATTTAGATTCTTTGATTCATTCAACACTACTCTAGCGCTTAACCAGGTCACTAATGCCCCCGACATTTGCAAATTCAGTGGTCAATTCACAGTCCTCATGTTATTTGACATTTGTTATGTGTTACAGTACACATTTAGGAATCCTTCATTCTTGAAAATTATAATGTATTTGTTTCCAGGACACCACTCCACTGTACTATTAACCCTTCTTAGATGCCTTTGCTGGTACCTTTTCATCTATCTGATTATAAATGTTAAAATGCTCCAAGGGTCAGTCTTTGTGCCTCTTACATCCATTTATTCACAAGGTGATCTCATTCAGGCTCTTTTCTTTAAATATGTTTGTACACTGACAACTTACATATAACACACACACACACACACACCTGCAGATTCAATGTCTCACCTAAACTTCAGACTCAGTCAGAACTGCCTACTCTACCTGAATGTCTATCAAACTGCCAAGAAGCAACCCCCACCCCAAGTACTCCTCATCCCCAAATTACCCATTTAACTAAACGGAAACTTCATTCATCAAGCTGTTCGGCTAAAAACCTTGGAATCATCAACGGGTCTCCATTTCTTTTTGCCCACTTCAAATAGAGCTGCAAATTCTATTTACCCTGTTTTCAAAATACACCAGGATCTAATCACTTCTCTCCACTTTCATTCTAGTTTAAGCCACAGTCATTTCTCCTCTGGAATGCCTTGGTCCCCGCCGAAGGGACCTTTTCCGTCATCTGTTAAGCCCCTGCAATCTGTTCTCCCCATTGTAATGGGAGTGATTCCTTAAAAACAAACGTAAGTTAGATCATGTCACTCTTCTGCTCACAAGTCTCTAATGACTTCGTATTTCACTTAGAGTAAAAATCAAAGTCTTTATGAAGACCTTAAGGCCCTACCTGATTAGGCTTCCTGGGAAGAGGGCAGAGAGCAGGAGGATCTTCTGCCTAGGTTTCCACATGGGAGACAATTTCTCTAAACACTATACCTAATGGGGGCTTCCTCAAATAGAAGTTCAATGTTTGTCCTAGGTACGGTTTCCTAAAGTTCTCTTATCTAACTAGTAAGACTAAGAAAGTGACTGAATAAAATAAATATCTAAATAAAAGCTCACATTTTTAAACATGAAATTTCAGAAATATTAGTTGTTCCTTTCAGAATATAATATACTGTACTCTAATTGCCATTCTCTCATCTCATTTTACTTTTCAAAAGATATGCACCAACGGACCAGTGTGGTTTATGGAAGATTTTTTTCCCTTTTTCTTCATTAGTAACAAAATCCCAGAAGTATGATTTCCAGATTCTCTTCAAGAAACAAACATCTGATGTGTCCCAAATGTTGCTTTCCAATCTTTTACACATTGTGTAAAAGCTTCATTGTGAATAACACTAGGCATTTTCAATGTTCTGTTGAAAATCGAAGAAGGACAAATATCTGTCCTTATATATTCACAAACAGAAAGCTCTCAATTTCAGAAAAGCAACCCAACTGCCCACCTTTTCATTGTCTCCTATTGAAATACTAAATTGTATCATTGTTATTGTGCATAGTGTTTATTATTATAATCAATGAAAGCAAGTAACTGAAAGTAGCACAAAGTGACATAAGAACATTGATCTACAATTTGGCAAAATAGAGAATTGTTTCTTGAATTTCATGATATATTGTTTGCCAATTTCCCATTTCACCCTGTAGACTCACCAGGTATATATTAAAAGGCAATTTCTTATCTACTTATGTAATCTCTCAACTTTCACTTTCACATATTAAAGCAGAATAAATCCATGAAGTTTTCTTAAACTACATGCAAATAATAAAAGTGAGCCAGTATCAAAACCATTAATTTCACTCCAAATGTAATCACATGAAATAATTGGTCTGAGTCACCCACCTCTAAGTTAAAGATCAAGAGAATGTAAATCAAAGGCAGAAAAGTCAGAGGTCAGCAACAAAACACCGGGGAAGAAAGCCAGAGCTTAACTGTGTGTGAGTAGACATCACTGTCTGTGTGTGTAACCCTCTGTGTGTGTGTGTGTGTGTGTGTGTCAATCTGAATGGGTCTATGTGGTTATGTTCACATGACTGGCTGTGTGTGTGTCTGCATAGGTATGTGTGCATGTCAGCTTGAGCATGTGCATGTGTGTCTGTGTGTGTGCATGCATGTTGGCCTGCAGGAGACAATGTGAGTTTATGTGTGTCAATCTGAGAAAGAGAAAGTTCATGCGCATACGCAATTTTCCCCTTGGAAAAGTGGGTAGAACACTGTTGGCTACACAAACTTTTATGTTGTGTAGGTGTGTCAGCCTGAGCAAGAGTGTGTGTGTTTATGTATGTGTCAGCTCAAACAAGCAACCATGTATGGGGAGAAGGGAGAAGACTGTGTGTGGCAGACTGAATGTGTGTGAATGTGTGTGTGTAGTATGTTGCATGTGTGTAATATGTTGTGTGTGTCAGCCCAAGTGAGTGTGTGCATGTGTGGGTGTGCATATATCAGCATCTATCTGGGAGGAGGAACTAGAGAGACTTTTTATTTCCCTGGATCCTATGTGGTAGGAGAGATTTCTTAAAAAATCATACAAGTGCAGTTTTATTAAAATTTGCCTTTCCGACATAATGACAGGTCCCTCCAAGTATGTTAATTAACCTCAGTAGAAATTAGGTGTGAAAATATCCTAAAATGATTTAGCAGCAGGGCATGGAGGATTCAGTCAATTTAAACATTGCCACTTTATAAGTTAGCAGAATGCTATTTTTCTTTCAGTTTAAAATAACCTGATATAATTAACTAATTTTTCCTTCACTAAGTGGCTCTTTAAATCAGTATTACAACTGATGTCTCTCAATTAAACATCATTTTATTTTAAATTAAGGTTTAACAGATAATTTCTGAACAATCATGATTAATCTCTCGCTAGAGTGTTAATATTACACATAATCATAAAATACAACATTGCAAGAAACGTTTCAGCTTTCAAAACTAAGTACCACGAAGCACTGACACGGTATGCTGGACTACAACTTGTTTTTTGATTCCCACAACACACTTCCGGTCAGTTCGTTCGGCCTCACTATCCAGAGCTGACTAGGAGGAAACACATCACACAAGTGACTCACCGTCTGTCTACTCAATGGAAAGAAGAATAGAAAGGTTCTCATCCTCAGTGCTGGCCCTAATGCTCATCAGATTTTATAAAACCCAAGATAAACCTGGAAAAACATCAAACTAGTCCAGGGGAGCTGCTCTTCCCCAGAGTGCCAGTTCCAATGGCCTCTTCACTGGGTAGAAAGTAACTAAGGTAGGCTTTCTTTTTGGAATTCGGCTATTATTTTGGTGTTTTTTTGCCAATACCTCATAGATATATATGTATAAATATGTGCATGTTTATAAATACACACACACACACACACACACACACACACACACACACACAATTTACTCCACAAAATAGAACTTAATGTCACCTTGCTTTATTTTTCTAAATCAAATAAAGTATGACTCCGAGTATCCATTTGCTAACAGTGTTATTTGGTATTCCATACCCTTTCCTGCTCTGGCCCTGTGAGAGCACCAGGAAATTCAGCAAACTTGAGAAGGGACTTATGGCTTTCAATATGTTGTGGTCACCATTGAGATGTTGGTTTTCAAACCCCAAGGACAGGTGGGTGGCTCCACTTCCGAGCCAGTGCAGACCTTGGAATCTTTAAGTGCCTGGAACACAGTGGCCTCCCTCATGACATCACCTCCCCCTCTACCACATCATCCATCTATCACCCACAGACCCTAGCACTTCCTGGGATGCCCCACAGGATTCAGAGTGGACCTGCCACTGTGCTTCATAATCCAAAACTCTGGGTGAGACCTTTCCACCCCTTCCAAGCCTTGAAACTTCATTCCTTCTTGGCCAACCTAATTCAATGCTGTCCCAGAAGATAAATACAGACAATCTTTACTTTTCCCCTTGGAAAGATGGGCAGAACACTGTGAGGTGCTCAGGCCCTCCGAAAGTTGAGGATGGGCTTATGGCTTTCAGTCTGTCATAGTCACTATTGAGATGATGGTGTCCAAACCTCAAGGACAGGTCAAAGGTCTTTTGGCCTCTCCTTTCTGGGAGGATGGGGAAAAGGTACATTTTAGTCCACAGCAGCCATGTTGTCAAATTCTATTATTACACTATTTTTGCCTTGGTTTACAGACTTTCTGGACACACTGTAGTATACGATTGTATTATACTTTTTTCATATTAACAATTAGACATATTGCACGAGGTACTTCCCCTAACAAGATGTCTGGAGATAGATCGAAATCATAGCACATTTTAAAAAAATGTCATTAGCACACTGTCAAAAATAAGTTTATCTTATGTTTCCAGACTTTTCAAACACCCTTAGAATGTTTA
This sequence comes from Homo sapiens, assembly GCF_000001405.40. Lineage (NCBI taxonomy): Eukaryota > Metazoa > Chordata > Mammalia > Primates > Hominidae > Homo > Homo sapiens. Next base: position 179,820,042 of record NC_000002.12, read on the forward strand.
TGTATGTACATGAGAATATGTGTGTGTATATGTGTGTGTGTATATACATATATTTATTTATATACTACTCAAATTTTTTTCATTGATGTGTTTTCTTAAGTGGTAAGAATTTTTTAAAATAAAAGTTTGATAATTTTCTATAATACCTACTTAAAAATCTCTTTTCCAGTTTACTATGTACCTTTGGTTTTGTTAATGTGGAATAACACGTAGATTTCATTACTTAATTTTTAAGTATATTTGCATAAAGGTATTTGCATAATTTGTAATCTTCTTTGACTCTGACTATAGCCCTTTTCTCATTTCTAAATTTGTTGATTTGTATTTTCTCTTTCTCCTTCTCTTTTTAAAATTTAGTTTACCAAATGTTCATATCATTGTTTGATTTTAAACCAGGCTTAGTCAGTTCTATTGTTTTTCCATCTTCTAACATTAAATTCTGTGTTCTATCTTTACTCTTAACATACTCTTATCTGCCTAAGTTCTGTTTATTGGTATTACTTTGTTTCAGGATTTTTTTTCCTCCCAATTGTCTAGAATTTAATGTTTCACTCATTTTCAAATTATATTTTTAAATAATGAAATCTCATAGGGTGATGAATTTTTCTATAAATATGCATTTGTCTGCCAAGAATAATTTTGACATGAAACTTACTTCTTTGATTATTTTCTTAAAAGGCTATAATTGTATTTTTTATTTCCTCACTTACTATAAGGAATTTCCTTATAGTAATGAATTTCAAGGGTTTTACAAGAGAAGATAAATGGTGGATGTTTGCTTTTTCTTGTAAATATTCTAAGTCAGAAAAAGGAGTTTTGTAAATGGAAGTTCTAGCTAAGACATTAAAACCTTAATGACATTATTAGCTATTGGTAAGTCTACACTTACTATGCCACATTTATTTTTCATATTCCTATTCTAGAAATAATGCTAAAATTTCCTATTTGTGCACTTCAGAGCAACCTATCAAAACTAATAAAATTTGAATGGAACTTTTGGCAAAAGTTTTCAATGAATACTTTTTTCTTTTTCCTACTCAAAGTACATATTAAAGAAAAATTGCCAATCTTTACAGGTAGCCCTCAAATCTTCCTGCAGCTGACCAGTGGACACAAACTCCCAACTGTCAGGGCACAGGGAATTCTCTCTCCTGTTGCCATGCCCTCCTCTCTTTCCAACTATCTATACCACTTCTTAAGTAGTCATCATAAATGGAGTCATTTGGGGGCAGTTGAAAAGATCTTTGTGAGTGAATTTCTTTAAAGCCATTTAATATCAGAAATGCTCATATTACCCATTAAAAATGTCCTCTCAGACAGTTGGATTCCCTCCAACAAAGGATGCAGTGGGGAGTTCAGGAGGTTGAGAACAACGTAGGAGCTGCAGAGAAAATAAATAAAGCCTCCAAATGAGAGTTCCGTTCTTTTACATTTTATACCACACCCCTTGGTTTAAAAGCCATAAATAAAACTAAAAACAATACTCTCGAGTAATGACTTTTACTTTTGGTAAGGACACTTCACAGTTTCCCAGGAGATTCTTCAGGCCTATGACAGAGATCTAAATAAGAAGCAATTTTAAGATGTCATTCCTTATCTAGCCATTTTACCAAGACGTGCTTTACCCAAGATAGACTAAATGACACCTGTTTCCCCTCTTAGTATATGTCAGATAAACTAGCATTCTCAGTTCTGCCTTGACTATAGATTGCAGAATATGATTAATGATATATCCAAGCAGAAGTCCCCAAGGAAAACATCATCTCTTAATTCTGATTATCCTAATGAAATGGTACAGTTCATAATTCATTAATCTGACTGCAGTGACAAAAATAGGATGCAAGAAAAAAGAGTACTTCTATAGTGTCCAAAGAGACAAAGCTGAGATAATTCATTAGCAATAGCATATGCTTAAAATTCACTATGTTCTGCTGCATAGTGCAAGGTTTTCTGTAAAAAAGTAAAAGCAAGAAACACATTATGTTCCTCTTTTTGAAGAAAATGATCACCTTCAAAGAAGCCAACAGAACTCTTATTTAAAATATTCTTGTTTCTCCATGAAAAAAATTTCCTACACAATAGGTTCCTAAAATACAAATTTTATTAAGGCAATAAGTTAAATAGGAGTCCATTGAGCACAGGCTTTTGTCCTTCTTTTTCTTAGCCTTCCCTTAGAGGTAGATTGCCTGTCAACTTATTAACCACACATTTTCCAAGTGGGAGGTCATTTCACTGTTTAGTTTCTTAAATTAGCAGAGCTTAATACATCACTTCACCCAAAACTAGCTGTTATAAAAGGCAATACACTAACGTGTAAAACATTTATTTTGCTAAAGTACTTTAACATTCAAAAATAAATACTACCATTTAATGATGGTAATAATGATGAAAATTATAATATTATATCTGATTCAACATATTCTTAATTATCAGCAGCAACAGCAGCAACATAGACCTTGGTGGTCAACAGAGTCTGATGGAGTCCTGCACTCACCGAAAGTGCCACTCCTAAGCTGTGGAGGACATTTGCACTGTGAATGTCATCTCCACATCATGAACCTAAAGACCCTCCCTAGACTTTTGAATTTTAATTTGTAACTGAGGCTGGCATGTGTTTACCATTTGGGTATAGAGGTAGCAAACCTACACATCTCCCCCTTAAGTGAAAGGCCAAAGAGCCCAGATCATTAAGCCTTAAAAAATGACGTCATTGGAATACCTTTTTCCATTCTAAAGAATTATTCTTTGCACACAAAAATAAACACATAATAATAGGAATTCTGTGCTTATGGGAGTAAGCCATCCATTACATATAAGGCATACCAGTCCTGGACTTTTTGTAGAAATTTTCTGTAAAAACAGCTATAAAGATGTCAAAGTTCTATTAGTTATTATATAACTCTGACCGTTGTGAGGGATACAAAGCAGATTTCAGGCTTTGTTTGGAAATTTTCATCTAAAGATGGGTTCTCTTCTTTTCGGAGGGGAGAAAAACAGTAAGTGTTCAAGAGCTCAAAATTCACGCTGAATCAAAGATAACTTTGCACTGGTCAGAAAGTTCTAGCCGAAAAAATATTCCAATTCACTAACCTTGATTCCATGAGTGAGATAAAGCAGTTGAGGTGATAAAAAGTGAGACCTACTCTTCTGCCTGGGTCTTATCCCCCCATATCAAATTCTTCAGTTACCATAAAATACCACATAGAACTGCTATGCTGTATTACAAAGCTGCAGCACAAGTTTCACAAACAGGTGAATTTTAGTTCTAGATAAAAAGATGAAAATGTTTGCTGTGTCTCAACATAGCAAGTTTAATTTTATACCTACTTTTCTTTTCCAGGCTATCCAAGGCCACAAAGCTGAGCTCATTTATAAATCCTCCTTTGCCTTTTGTCAAAATTTGGTTCACTATCAAGTAACATTTTCCTTAACACAAATTTTTATTTGTTCCCATTTTTTCTCTTAGTACAGAATACTAATCTACCTAAGTTCTGTTTATTGGTATTACTTTGTTTCAGGATTTTTTTTCCTCCCAATTGTCTAGAATTTAATGTTTCACTCATTTTCAAATTATATTTTTAAATAATAAAATCCTGTAGGATGATGAATTTTCCTATAAATATGCATTTGTCTGCCAAGAATAATTTTGACAGAGGCATTCTTAGACAACTTTTCTTATATTTTACTGTTCATTCTTCTCTACCTCCATGACCCAACATCCAACTCTAAGATCTTCCTCTGTCAATCATTGAAATAGCATGTCATTCTTCTCAAAAATGATGGTTTCCAAATATTTGCAAACACAATGGTTTGCAGTTATTTTTAAGTCTTGTTTCAGTTAGAATTGTTTTTGGTTGCAAGTAACTGAAACTCAAATTTAAAAGGCTTGAGCAATTACAGGTATTTACTAGTTGGTGTAATGGAAAATTCCAGTGACAGGGTTTGGCTTGATCCAGCTGAACAGTGTCACCAAGACTATCTTCATACCTTAGTATGAAGATCTTAGATGCTGTATTCACCTAAGGCTTTTTAAAAATCTTTAGATGGTCTCCCCTACCTCCTAAGGGTACAAGTTCAACTACTTCCAGCAGGAAAGTCAGAGCCTGTTTTTACAGCAGCTCTATTGAAATGCTAGTATCTACTCCAGTTGTGCATGTCTGGTCCATGTGACCATCACTAAAAAGATATCACTGTGGCTAAAGGGATGGGGCACACTGATGCTTAAACCAATGAGAGCCCTTTTGGAGCTAGAAGAGAAGTCTATGTTACCCAAATTGCTCAGAAAATTTGGGGCACTGTACTTTAGAAAGAGAAAGGGTGCTTGGGAGTCAGACAACAAATGTTAACTACAAAAGTAAATCTTTGACATTTATCAGATTGTGACTCTTCTGCACTTTTTATGTTTTATAATATCCTACACAGAACAGCATAGCATTCACTACACAGTAGGTGCAATATGAATAATGACATTAGTAAAACATAAAAATACAGAGAATAAATGCTTCCTAATGCAATACATTTCAAAATGACAAGAAGAAAATAAAATTTATGAATAATATTTAAATAAACTTGGCATTTTAAATACTCATTGTGAACATAGGTCTGTGTTTGTTTTGTTTAATTTTGTTTTTGTTTTTTTCATTTCCAAAGCACCATATATTTTGAACACATATGGAAGGGCATATGGTTCCCTAATATCTTAAGTGTGACTTCATCATTTTATTGGAGAATTTTTTTAATATTTAAAGATACAACTTTTAAACAGGGTGGCCATATAAGCTAGTTTGCTGAGGAGATGCCTGGTTTATGCTTTGCTCTTATGTGGGTAGTCTGATTTAAAAAAAAAAAACATTTTGGCAACATGTATATCCTAAAGAAATCTGAGACAAGGGAAGTACCTAATCAAATAAAAGTGAAGTTAAATAGGCATACTCTTTGTGTGAGCAAAGAAATAGTTCAATTTATCATGTTGTAAGAAACACAGCACTGCTTCTAACATACGAAAGAAAATTCATTTGAAGCCACAGCTGTTGTGCTTTAGGGATTTGGATTAAAACTCATTATTATCTTTCTGTTAATACTCTCCCCTGGACCAATCAGTGGTCATATGGTGTTTACAGACCCTGAACACTGAACTGACTTGAATGGCCTTTGTATTACAATACAATCAGATTATGTCTAATCTAAATGCTGTGTGTCCTTTATAGGACAGATGAATCCTAATCCCCCATTTACAAAAGCAAAGCCAGTCTAGTTCCCAATGGCTATCTATTCACCATTTCCTGTTTTGTTTTGTTTTTCAATTTTTGAGTGACAGATATCAAAATAAATTTTAAATTCACTCAATCTAAAGTTAGTGTAAAAAATACTTGGTGGTTTTGAGCAGTGGTCAAAGCACTTCTTTTTTGATAGTCTAAAATGTGTTACTACAGAAACACAATTCTTCTCCTTCTAAAGAATAAAGATTAACAAAATAACCACCCCCCAGTATTCTAACAGTTTAAAGGCAAGATTTAAAAGCATCTCATTTCCTCTTTCCCAAATTACTTGTAAGGTTATCTTGAAGCTCAGATTAGTTAGCTGTGCCTAGGCTTTATCAGTTAAGGAGTAATGATGTTTTAAAGCAGAAGTCCCCACAAGATGACTCACCAAGCCATCTGAGAATGGACCTTTCTGCCTCTTGGAGTTTCATTACAGTGTTGTCAAGTCTTGCTTCACTGTGAGTCTCTGAAATAGGACGCCATTTTCAAGGAAATGAGGGAGTAAAATACCACTGATGACAACAACTCCTCCCTTCCTTAACTCATGGCTTCCACCATCTGCGAACCCCAACTTTCTTCCCGTTTACCACTTCAGGATTGCCCCCCCATCTCTGTCCTCCCATGATTCTAGGAATCATTGTCAGTATTCTGATGCCATCCCCTTCCTCAGCTCGGCAGCTTTATTGACACTAAATTTTGGGTATTCTCCTTTTTAACACCTCTTTTGTCCTCCTTTTTACATCACCTCTGTGAGCCACCTGACCAGCAAATGAGAGCCTAAAATTAGAAGAGAATAGGTAAATAAGTTACCAAATTATGAAAAACAGCTGTCGAAAATTCAGCTACCACCCTCACGTACAACAGAGTTTAGGGTTTGGAATTGTCAAACAAGAATGGAGTTCAATGTTTAAATAGACAAGGAAGAAACTTTTCGAAAGGTATCGGGAAGGGGAGGAGTATTTTAACAAAGACTGATAGTGCTCTGTTTCTTGATACAACTCTATAAAGCCACAAATAAAACAACAACAAAGCATGCAAGAGCTTTGATGCCCTCACGGGTTTTCTTCAGGGATAGAGGTAGAAGGCTGGCTTGTTAACAATGAAAAGACACCATTCTAACTCTCACTTGATGACTGATTTCATTCCTTTTAGAATACTCAGACACCACTTACCCCAGCCCCATCCATCTCTGTGAAGCAAAGAGGGCTATTGATAGCCCTGCAGAGAAGCGAAAATACTCCCAATAGGCACCTTTAAACTATGCAGCACTCTCCCTTAAAGCAGGGGGTCAGCAGCAAGATATTTCTCCACAATGCACACAATAGATCTAAATGGACCTAAAATGAACAGGTAGGTTTTGTTTCATTCTTTTTTTTAATTTGCTTTGTAAATTATTCAGAAAAAAAATTCTTTAACTTGCCTGGATTTCTCTCACTGCCTAGCACCTCCCCACAAAACATATACTAAAAATAAATACCAACTGCTTTTGCATCTATAAATAATGCAATAAGAAAGGTAAATTTGAAGCTAAAAATTTATAAGGCATACATCAAAGACAAATCCAGTTGACTTTGGTGTCTGTATCAATTCAAAACTTCAAATCTTTTGTCCATTCCACACTTAAGTTCCTAGCATGGTCTAAATACTACAGTAGAATAAAGACAAACTGGAAACTCACCCTACACTGAGTCTTAAACCTAACAAAGAGGCACAAAATTATCTAAGAATTTAAGATGATACAGTACACTATAAGAGACTGATAGAGTCTTCAAGCTGTCTTCAATTAACTGACATCCCATCAAGTACCAGATACTTTATTAAGCACTAGAAATACATTAGTCAGAAATATGTAAATATGATAGGCATGCAGGGGAGAAGGAGCAGCTAGAGCAAAGACTAGTTCGTGTGGAAAAACCAATGTCCGAGGAGCTGCAAGAAGCTGGGTATTTTGGAGACAGTGTGATAGGGAGGGTTGGGGAAGAAGGGGTAAATAGACTTGGGGAGAATCCAGATCACCTTGGGCCTTCTATTCTTTCCCAGGAAATCAGAATTCTGTCCCGTAAGCAATAAGTCACAAAAGACTTTTAAGCAAGGATCTCTCTTCTATTAATTCAAATATCTGATAGTTGATTTCATAACAACACAAATACCATTTTAATGAAATGATTATGTATTTCTATCAGTGGGAAATCTGTGTTTTATATTTATGTAAATATAAATAATTATTTATTTGAAAAATATAATTCTCAAATGCAAAATGTAAATAATTTAAATAATGTTAAATAATCTTTAAAAAATAAACCTCACATATCTCTTACAACCAGAACTGCCCCGCATTTCCTAGGTTCCTATCATTAACTGCTCCCTATTAAATGCTGCCTTCACTGGAGCCAAAGTTGATGTAAACATTGCCTTTCTTCTAGCATGCTGTTAAAACATAACATACATGCATACAAGCAAACATCATAGAACCTATGAATTGTCACGACGTGAACGTGTCCCATGTAGCTAGCATCAAGATCGACAAGATTACCAAAACCCCAGATGCCTTCTCATGCCCCCTTATAATCATTACCTGCCTCAAGGGTAACCACTATCCTGACTTTTGATACCATGGGTTATATTTGCCTGTTTTTAAACTTCCTATAAATGCAGTTATGTAGAATTTATTCTTTTGTGAGTTTTGTCTGTGTTGCTGGGTATAACTGTAAATTATTTGTTTTCATTTATGTAAAGTATTGTGTTTTTATGAATATATCATTTTATGAATATTTTATAAATATATCATTTATTTATCTAGTCTACTATCAATTGATATTTGAGTATTTTTCAGTTGAGGGTGTTATAAATGATGCTGCTATGAACATTCTTGTGTTTGGTGGAACATAGGTACATATGCCTATGGAATTGCTGGGTCTACCTTATTTATTTTTTGTAATGTCAATACTTTTAGACAGAGGGCAAGTGTGAGATAATGATATGTGGGAAACTATATAATAGGATAAGAGGTAAAAATACATCCTACAAAGGACAGCTAAACAAAATCCAAATGCTAATCATTAAATTGCCCATTAATTCCTTCACCATGAGCCCACCATATTACACACAACATTTAGCAATAATGGCCTGTATTTGAAAACTCCTTATTAAAAGTAAAAACATGACCTCATTTCTGCTTTGTAGCTTAAGTAAATTTTTTTAAAAGAAATAAATCCTTTATTCACTTTTTGTTTCAGATGATTTGGTTTAATACTAAGCAAACCATCATAATGTGAGTGGCTACATTATTGGAAAAAAGAATACCAAGACAATCAAAAAGGGAAGATTTGGATAAGAAAAGGCTCCTGGTTTTCATGAAGTTTGAGAGTATGAAAATTACGAATCACTTCAAGAACTTTAAAATCTTTTCTTTAAACAGGCCTATGTAACCAAATCACTGACAACTGTATTTCTGAAAATATTTCACAAAACTGGCATGATTTGAAATATATGGGTTTTATGGATTGCCTGGGCCCTGTGCCTAGAAATATTTCCAGAGATCATCTCACGTTTTTATTCCTAGGATCAACAATGTCAGCAGATGTTAAGGTTTGTTAGCCAAGTACAGTGATTTAAAAAGAAAGAAAGAGAATGAGAAAGAAAGAAGAAGAGAAAAAGAAAAGAAAGGAAGCCAGGTTCATTTTAACAATCTTCCAAACCAGTAACTCAAAGGATGGGATGGATTAAAAAAAAAAAAAGTTTTAAGAGAGCACAACTATTTAAACAAGAGCAGTACCAAACATTTTAATTAAGGAATACAACCAGCTCCAAATCATACACACCATTCTAGTCTTTCCAAAACGTCCCAAAATACAGTAAAAGACCAAATGTCAAAATACCTCACTGAGAAAACAATTTTATGTTCTAATAATATTTCTCTTCATAGTGAAGAGACTATTAGCTGAAAAACAATATTCTCCTAGGTCTTCAGTGATTAAAATATCTTCCTATAAATATATCCAAGAATAATGTAAATTCACTTACCAGAGTGAAAATTAAACAACTGTACATACATATAGAAAAATATTAATAATAATCTAGACATTGACCTTACACCTTTAACAAAAATTAACTCAAAATTGATCATAGAAGTAAATGTAAATCACAAAACTATAAAACTTCTAGAAGATAACATGGGGGAAAATCTAGGTAACCTTGGGTTTGGATATGACTTTTTTTTTCTTTTTTTTGAGACAGGGTCTTGCTCTGTCGCCCAGGCTGGAGTGCAGTGGTGCTATCTCGGCTCACTGCAAGCTCCGCCTCCTGGGTTCAGGCCACTCTCCTGCCTCAGCCTCCCAAGTAGCTGGGACTACAGGCGCCCGCCACCATGCCCGGCCAATTTTTTGTATTTTTAGTAGAGACGGGGTTTCACCGTGTTAGCCACGATGGTCTCGATCTCCTGACCTCGTGATCTGCCCGCCTTGGCCTCCCAAAGTGCTGGGATTACAGGCGTGACCCACCGCGCCCGGCCTGGATATGACTTTTTAGATGCAACACCAAAAGCACAATCCATGAAAGAAAAATAATGATAGAAGAAACTTAACTGAAATTTAAAACTTTGGCTCTGAGAAGATATTTTTAAGAGAATGAAAAGACAAACCAGAGATTGGAAGAAAATATCAGCAAAACATATATGTGATAAAGAACTTGTATCCAAAATATAAAAAACTCTTCAACACTCAACAAAAGAGCCCAACTGAAAAAGAGCAAAATGATCTGCATAGGCACCTCGCCAAAGAAGATATGCAGATGATAGGCATATTGAAAGACTCCGTATCATGTCACTGGGGAGATGCAAATTAAAACAACAAAGAGATACCACTACATATCTATTAGAATAGCTATGAATAAAATTCTGTTAGGATGGCTAAAAAACTGACCATACTGTATGCTGGTAAGGATGTGGAGAAACAGATACTCTCATTCATTGCTGTGGAGATGCAAAATGGTTCAGGCACTTTGAAAAATAGTTGGCAGTTTCTTACAAAGCCAAGCATTGTCTTACCATGGGATCCATCAATTGCACTCCTGGATATTTACTTAAATGAGTTGATAATTTATGTCCACACAAAACCCTGCATAAAAAATGATTATGGAGGTTTTATTCAGAATTGCCCAAACTTGAAAGCAACCTAGATGTCCTTCAAAAGGTGAACAGATAACATGTAAATCCAATGTAATATTATTCAGCAATAAAAAGAAATGAGCTGTCAAGCCACAAAAGACTTAGTGGGACTTTAAATGCATATTACTAAGTAAAAACACCCATCTGAGAAGGCTATGCACTCTATGATTCAAACTATATTACATTCTGGAAAAGGCAAAACTAGAGAGACAATAAAAGATCAGTGGTTTCCGGTGGATGGGGAGGCAGAGATGAATAGGTGGAACATGGGAATTTTGGGGCAGTGAAACTCTTCTGTAGGATATTGTAATGGTATACACATGACAATATGTATCTCGCAAAATCCATAGACTGTACAACACAAAGAGTGAACATTAATGCAAACAAGGGCCTTTAGTTAATAATAATGCATCAACATTGTGTCAACAACTATAACAAATGGATCATACCAATGCAAGTTGCTAACAATAAGGGAAACTGAGGGGAAAAGAGGGAGTACAGAAGAACTCTCTATACTTTCTGCTCAACTTTTCTGTAAATCTAAAATTTCTCTTAAAAATAAAGTCTATTACTTTTATTTTTTATTTTCAGGCAGTTAAAGATATGTAAAAATATTTGTAATACTCATGAAATGGGAAACAGAGAAGTTGCACATGAATCTTGAACTAAAAATGCCTGGATTGTATGGACTTCCTTTTCCAGGCAGTATCAGTAGTAATAATTATGATAATAATGATGATAGATAATAGTTACTATGCATTTACAAAGTGCCAGGTACTGTGCTGCAAATTTTATACACTAATTTAATTCTCACATAACCTTATGAGGTAGGTATCCTTGTTTTCTAAGGAAACAGGAGCTTTCTCCAATTCACATAGCTAGTAAATAGTTAGCAGGCTGACTGACTCCGTTCTGCACTCTTAACCACAGTGCTGTATTGCATTTTACTGCCATAGCGAAGATCCAGCAAAACTGCATGAACATTTCCACTTAAGATGCCAAAACTTACAGGATCAAGTTGCTTTGAAAAAAAAAAAAAGGTAAAAATCGCTTATCATCTAAATTAAGATTTTTTGTTTTTAAAAAATCTATCTTTAGAAATACATACACTTGGAAATACGTGCATCAAATGAAAATATAATCTCTAATTTTCCAGAAGTAAACCTCCTTGCAAGCAGATACCAGTGCTCTCATGGGCCCATAACTTTGCTTAAATGCTCCTTCCAAGAGAAGAAAGGAAAGTCAGTTCAGCAGTAGCAAGTACTGGGTATTTGGGCAAAGGGTCCAAGCCCTGGATCAGGAGTGGGGAGGCCATTATTGTAGTCCAAGCTCTGCCACTCCTGTGCCAAGCACATCTGTCTCTTGAGATCTCAATTTATGGACTCATAAAGAGACTGATAGAGAAAATCTCTGACTCCCTGCTATTTTTCTGATTCATGCATTTGGAAGCTTGAAGATTATTAATTCTTGTGACAGAAAGAAATAGTTCAGGCATAAGGCATGAACAAATTATGATAGGGTGTGGAGTTTCATTTCAATTTAGGCAAGACTGCCCGCATATAACATCCAGCTGTGGGTCTGAGGATATGTGGCAGAGCCTCCTTCCATCGACAAGTCTCAGTAGCAAGCACAGCAGTCAGATTAATTAAACTGTGTCAGGATTAGGAAGATGAGAGTTGGACAAGTCTGGCCTTTTGCTATATTTACAAAGGAATCTTCCTTCTCCTACCACGCCCTCTCCCCCTCCTCCCACCTTGGTTCCCCAGGACACTAGGCATCCATTCCAGGATATTCCTTGAAGTTCCCTACGTGCTACAACAGATTCACTTCTCCTTTTAAAATGCAGTCTCACTACAGCTCTTCTAGGATTTAGAAGGAAAGCAATCAGATTAAAATGCATCAGACTACAGTATAAATGACTGAAAGGAGCTTAACACTTCCAGGGTCAGTATTTGCATGTAAAAAAAGTTAATGTATATAAACCTTTCAAAAGTGGAATTTAGATAAAAGCAAGTTTTGTGGAACTTTCAAAAATAATTATTAGGTTTTAGGAAAGGAAAGGGCACTATTCTAGGCATCTTGCCTTAGTCTACCAAGTCAGAAAGCAAATCCAGATGTCAAGCAACCCACCACCTCATTTTCAAAAGCTTACAAATCCACATTCTAGCCACCCTGTGAGATTCCAGGGTATGCATGATCTTCAGGCTAATGATTTAAATAACCAACTTAAATGGCCAAGTATACATTTTATAATAATCATCACATTCCACACTAAATCAAAGCATCCTAGAATTAAAATAAGATATGCTTAGAGAAAATAGTCAAGACCTAACCGAATACACATTATGCAATTAATTTTTGTTGCATGAGTAAATGAACCATGCTGAATTGAAGTGATTTTGCTGACATTACCTTCAACAAGAAATGTTTTATTCATTCGAAATTCCTCTGCTTTGGGGTGAAAATAACAATGTTATATAAAATATTTTTCAAGGTTAATTTATAGCTTCTTTAAAATCTGCACAACCCATTATTTCACATTTCTCAGAGTATATCACTTTTTAATATAGTCCTTATTATACAGAGACAAAGTATCCAGAGAAAAAGTGTGTGTATGTACATGTATATGTGTGTATATATATGTATAAATGTATGTATGTATAGGTGTATATATATTCAATCAGATACTTGGTTATAATTTTATTTAGGCACAATTGAATATTTGACCAGATTTTTCAATTTTCAGTTTTTGTTTCCCCAAATGTGCCCATATTTTGACTATTTCAGGAGAATACACAGAAAAACCACACAAATAAAATGTTCTTTTAAGTTTTCTTTGAAACTATTTCAGATCTCACAAATAAGATGTGGTAGCTAGAAAAACACTGCTCTATAGATGATGTATACCTAAAAAAACAATAAAAACGTATACACAGTATTCTGCTAAAAATTAGTATACAACTCTCAGATATAAATTTAAAAGATTTACAATTAAAGAAGAAAGTAATAATGCAGAATCAAACCAAGAAGAATTATTATTTGGATGGCCCTTTAGAGTTCTACAAATGTACTGATACCCCTTATGCCGTTTGATAAAGCTGTCCTATTCACTGGTGGTTACTATACACAGTTGCCTTATTACATTTTAAAGCTAAAAATGACTAATTTTTTTAAAACACCTGGTAGTACTGAATATGCCTTTTTATACATTTTTGACTTTTGAATCAGGTTAATGTTTTACATATTAAAAAGTTAAATTTAAATAAGAAAGGATGGGAGAAACTAAAATTGAATTCACTCAGAAAAAAATGAACCTAATTATATATCCAATAAATAACATAACTGTACAGAAGAAAATAGAAAAAGAATGCAGGTAACTTGTGGACATAGCGTATGACTTTATATCATCAATGAAATACATTCTAAGGGCAAAAAGAACTGCAGAGATCTTGAACTCAGTGAGTTTGTTGTTGGTATTGATATTGGTGTAGCAATTCTAAAATTAGGGAGTGGGTTATTGTAGCCACAAACAAGTAAATATTAATACATTCATGTTATTGGAATCATGGTTTTCTCTGTGGGAGGAGATACAGCTACAGAATGAGGGAAGGAGAAAAAGAATGCTGTGGTATGGGATTAGAATTAGAGGTGTCAGTAAGTACTCATAATCTTATATATGTATGTGTGTGCACTGAATAGTACTAAAAGCAATGATACCCCCATCCTGGAAGCAATAACATCCCCATAGTAATAAACATAGCTAGTTCCCAGATTTTGGTTTCTAAATACCACTCCCCATTAGAAGAAGCCAGAACCTTTTGGAGAAATCAGTGATTACTGGTCTTGAGCAGGGAAAGTACAAAGTGAGCCTGAACCTCCTTCTAAGCTAGACCAAAAAAAGTGGCTTGGGGAGAGTGCTCAATAACTAATTAAAAATATCAGCCTGAAGGGGCTCTTACTAGTCAAATTTGGGACAATTACAACATCAGAATGTATTATGATAGGAGTGAATGATAAATAATGACTTTTTTAAAAATTACTGAGTCCATACTGATATTTTAAAACGAAAGACGGGGGGAAAGTTTTTCTTCACAAAGGGAAGTCAAATAATGAGTGTACAGGGAACAAGAGAAATGGAGAGTCATCATTTTTACAACCACCATAGTAACAACTGATTCTGGAAAGATGCACCTGTGGATGCTAACCTCATTAGGTGAAAGGCTATTAGAAAACAAGATATTCAGAATCTTAGTTATTGATTGCAAAAGAGAAAAAGATATCTTTACAATGGGGAAATCTGGCAAATACACCTTTACCAAATAATCAAGTTTAATATCATCAACAAACTAACATCATAAGCCTCCTGGTATTATATACTATGAAGGACACAACAACGCCCATGAAGGATGCCTAATACATTTAGCCAAAATCTACTCAGGAGGAAACTTCAGACACGTCAAAATTGAGAGATACTCTGCAGAGCAGTTGGCTTGTCTCTTCAAAAATGTCAATATCATAAGGAACAAAGAAGGCTGGGGGACTACTCTGAATTAGAGGAGACTAAAGAAATAGGACAACAGAAAAATGAGCTATAAAGGACAAAATTGGGACTATCTGGAAAATGTAAGCATAGGCTGGATAGTAGATAGAAGTATTGTATTGTTAAATTTCCTGGACATGACCGGATACACACTGAAGTATTTAAGGGTGAAATGTCATGATGTCTACAACTAGCTTTGAAACGCTTTAGCAAAAACAAAACCAAATGTGTATACAGAAAGAAAAGAGATAAAGCAAAAGTGGCAAACTGTTTCCAATTGTTGAACCTAGTGAAGGGTTTACGCAACTTTTCCATCTATTTGTAACTTTTCAAAGTAAAATGTTGGGCAGGGGGAAGGTGGAAACCCTTGAGGTAATAGGACACTTTTTATATGTTCTGGCCTTAGAACTTTCTAGCCCATATTATTCAGGTAGGGCCTAGACCTAATGGAATACACATAAGCTAAATACGTGCACCATAGCACCTTCGATGTGCTGGTGGTGGGGGGGCCAGGAAAACTATGGCAAAGGTCTAAGGAATACGACGCTTGCTAACATTCCTCACTATGGCCATACCAACCACTGCACTATCTGCCCCTGTCAGTTCTCAATTCCTACCTCTTCTCACCCTTATGCATTAGTCCCCATCCCCACTTCCTTCTTCTGTTTGTCATTATTGTTAAGCTTGTTCTTTCCTGGAACTGGTGTTCTCTGTGCCCTGTGCTTGGGAAGTTCTGCCTCTAGACCCTTCATATCATGTGGGTCCTGGCTGGGGTGTCACTCTCTTGGCAGGCTTTCTCTGACACCAATTCTACTCTAGCCCCTCACTTCTGGCACATGTCTCAGAGCACCTTGTTTAAAGTTGTTATTATGATTATTATTTTGTAGTAAGAACACTCCACATGAGATACACCCTCTTCACAAATCGTTAAGTGTATAATACATACTATTGCCTATAAGTGAACGGATAAATAAAATGTGATACATACATACAATGGAATTCTATTTAGCCTTAAAAAATATAAGGAAATTCTGAAATAGGCAACAACATGGATGAACCTTGAGGATATCAAGCTAGGTTAAATAAGTCAGTCACCAAAAGACAAAAATATTGCATGATTCCACTTACGTGAGGTTTCTGAAATAATTTCATAAAGTTGTTTTCCATAATACTCACCACATTACACAGTGAGAAATTATCATGTTTATGCATTTACTTATCATTTGTTGTCTGTCCTCTGATGAAGGGATCTTGCCTCTCTTATCCACTGCTGTAAGCCCAATCCTCAGTTTAATGTATTTCATAAACACCTGTGGACTTCATAGACCCACAGTGTTAAAACACTGCCAAACCCTGCAGGTTAAACTCTGTATTGCTTCTACTGGAATATTTGCATTTAGAGCAATAAAATAAAAATGTAAAATAAGAGAATTTGAGTCAGAAGCCTCTCTCATATTTCTTGTAAAAAACTATTTCAAGATATCTGAATCAAGGTTCTTGCGTTTTCTTTTTTTTTTTTTTTTGAGACGGAGTCTCGCTCTGTCGCCCAGGCCAGACTGCGGACTGCAGTGGCGCAATCTCGGCTCACTGCAAGCTCCGCTTCCCGGGTTCACGCCATTCTCCTGCCTCAGCCTCCCGAGTAGCTGGGACTACAGGCGCCCGCCACCGTGCCCGGCTAATTTTTTGTATTTTTAGTAGAGACGGGGTTTCACCTTGTTAGCCAGGATGGTCTCGATCTCCTGACCTCATGATCCACCCGCCTCGGCCTCCCAAAGTGCTGGGATTACAGGCGTGAGCCACCGCGCACGGCCTTGTGTTTTCTAATGAAACAAAAGTATACTTGCAAACAATCACAGCAAACTGGGCCTTCCTGTCCTTGTAACAATAAATAAATGAGGGAATCCAATTGCTGCTTCACTTGCCCCCAGCACCCCAGTCACCAGCCAGAGAAAAGCATTAAACGATCAGAGGTGGGAAACTATTCTGCCTTTCCAGCTCATTAAATCATACATCATTTTTACATGTAAGCCACCAGGCTATAAATCACGTAAGACAGAATGAGAGCTAATTAAAGGGTCAGCTGAGCATATAATTTTTAATTCCTAGGCACCTAAAAACTGAGATTGACAATAAAATGTGATAAAACTCAGAATCATTTGCTAACTAATAAAGCAGGGATTTTCAAGCTGCCAATTTGCTAAGCCAAATTTCAAGCTGCCAATATTTAAAGTAAACTATGTGGAATATAATATTTCTATGATAATGAACTATCAATCATTTACCCTAGCATACTTCATTACGATGTGCTTGGATTTTATTTCTTTTATATTTTTGGTAAGGATTACAAGGTCAAAAGAAATATCAACAAATTGTGTTCTCATTTCAGATTGAAATTCACTCCTGACATAGAAAGTATTATTGTTAGTTAGTATTTATATAGCATCTCTTTTCTAAAGCACATTCAGGAAAAGCAGGTTAGTAGAAAGAAATTCACTTGTCAAAAGGAAAACTAAAATGGAATAAGACCAACATGGCCAAGGTCACTAAACAAGTCAGCAACTGTTTTGAAAGCAAAGCCTGAAGAGACAGCTGACTCACCGTGGTTTTCCCTCCTCCAAATATACTGCTTCATCTAAAAGGTATTTTGAGGGTATTCGAGTTTACGCATTTTATATTTGCCCTCCTCACAACAAAGTGCTTGCATGGTTTTAAAAGAAAACACTCATTATCTTACTTAGACACAACAATAAATATCAAGCCTATTTTCCTTTTAAAGCTCTTTATAGTTATAAAATAAGGCGTGTAATCTAACACATAGAGAACAGTAGAGTTAGATATAAACACTAAGGTTATTTAAAAGAAGAAAGGTAATAACGTTCTATCATCACTATAATTTAATAACCAAAAAAATAAGCTGCATTTTCAGAGTTGTTGCATTATAATTGAAATTTTATCTTTTAACTTTAATACTACTTCAGAATCACAGCTAAAAGAAACTAAAATTTTAAGTGCACAATATACCTACAATTTATTAATTCTTTAAAAACATAAATCTCTGATATTTCTTATTCAAGGCCCAGTGTAGAAAAAAAAGTCTTTCACTCTGGAATACAGAGGTGAATAAAATAAGAATTCTTGTGTTATACAGATCAAGGTTCCAATGCTGTGCTTGTTTTTAAATCCTTTTTTTCAAATAAAATGATAAACATTTCTCTCCATGATCAAATAACTATGGGAGACTAAAAGAAACCACAGTCTGAGAAAAACATATTCAAAAGATTACTTGGATCTTCCCTAATCACATGTCCCAAGCATGAACCACTGATTACAACGCTAGTACTTCAGTTTGTACAAAACAAGAAAGCCTGCACAGCAAATGCTGCTTATACAATAGATTTATCTTTTTACCCCTCACACCACAATCTTCATACACATGGAGCGCCTAACTTCTAATCACATGGAAGGTGTGGTTACTATCCTTTTGGTTACTATTCTTTGCTCCACATCATCCCAGTATCATTGTTACAATACATACAGCTCCTTCCCCTCTGCAACTCCAAAGGAAATGCTTGCTATGTTGCCATTTCCAAAACAAGATTCCTCGGGAAAGGAAAGCACATGCTTCTCTGGGATGTAAAGCTATATATAGATAGATATATAAATATCTATATGGCTAGATCTATAAGCAAAAAATAGCTAACAAGAATACTGGAAGCTTCATGATATCTCCAGTCTGTCATATTCAAGCACTATTCACTCTTCTCTGAAAAATAATCAGCAATTTGTAATTTTTTCATGACTAGAATCATGAAAGGTGAAATTATATAAAACTACCTTCAAAATACAAGTTTTGCTTAAAATATGAACCAATAATAATTAAACTAGAGCTAAATATGAGTTATTACTGTAAACCAAAAAAAAAGGGGGGGGGGCATTTTGCTGCTCCTTGCAAAAGTGTGGTCCTTTTAGCCCCGGCACTATATATTCTGTCTTAACTCAGAAAAACAAAGAATCCTATAAACAGTCTGAAGGAGGAAAAATATCTAGAATCAGCCTTCAATCTGAATTCTTTCTGGAGAATTCTTCTAAAGAAGATTCACACCTGGATCCAGAAGAGAACTGCTTAGCTGTAGTCAGCTGACAGCCTCTCTCACCTATCCTTGAAAGCGTATTTGGCATTCATTAAAAACCAGCTACAAAAGCTGTAGCCAGTGAGCCATTACATGATTCCTGGGTCTTTGCACTCCAATTAACCTCCCAACATACCTAATCTCGAGGACCTTACCAGAGAGAACTGTGAGCAGTTGGAGTCTTCCCCACCACTCACACCAACTTGGAGCTCTCTTCCATTAATTTTTATTAGTCAATGGATCACAAAAGAAATGACCTTTCTGGGCCAGAAAAGGCATACTATCCTTATTCAAAGTTATTTTTAAACTTAATATTCCATGCCATAATTTTATGATATTTGAAATATGAGGTAAAACATTAAAATGGACATTTCATAATGTATCTGTTTATTCTAGTTCTTCATCATTTAAATCTTTACCATTCACAGACACTCAAAAATCTCAGTGTTTCAGACGGCCACCTATATAAGTTAGGGTCCCAGTGGGAAGGAAATACAACATTCAAGTTGGAGCAGTCTGAAGAGGGTTTATTTAAAGAACTATTTACAAGCACACAGTCAGAGTGTAGAGGAGCCACAAGGATACTGCAGGAACCAAGGACTAAAGAAGGGGTGTTTTACCACCCCTACGCCCAAGGGGAGAAGAGGAGATGGTAGTTACTCAAACCTGGAGAAGAGAAAATATGGTGGGAGAGGCCACCTTGAGAGAAACAGAGGCCATCACAAGACACAGCCATGATGTGGTGCCCTTCCAGGGAGGGATCTGGGGAATAAACACCCTGATCTCAATCTCTTCCCTCCCTCCCATCTCCCGCCAACATTTCTCATTAGCCAAACCCATTTTAAGTGTTAAGACAGTGGGCAGAGGAATACAAAGAGGTCAGCTTCCCAGAGCACAGGGTAGACAAGGGTGAGGGTCGATCTGGAAGGGCAAATGGAAGATACCTGCATAGGCAGAGATGGACCACACACATCTTCATTCTATGATTAGGTCACATTACAGATATATTTATAATGCATATGGAATCAAGGCATTCACACAGGACAGGAACAGATGTGTGATCCCCCGGCACAGCCTGCCTTGTCCCCCAAAGTCCCTTAAAGGCACATAAGCACTGGCAGTACACAGTGAGGCCTTGCTGAGTAAGAGCCCCTCATTTCTTGCCACCCTAAGTTCTATATATCCATATTCAAGAAGACATTGACAGGGACCTCTGAATACTATGCAAAGGAGCTTGGATTGTCTGTGCAAAATTGAACCATCAAAGTTCAATGATAAGAGCAACGTCATGATTATGTCTTTGTTTGGAAAGATTTTTTTGTTGACCTTGTGGAGCTGAAATTAGAAAAGGAAGTGAATGAAAGCTAGGAGACCATTTAGAAAGCCATTACCATAATCCAGGAGAGAGATAAATTCAGTACCAGCATTTGGTGGTTTACACTTTTAAAAATCCCTGGTGCCTAATATTTTGTGATATATAAGGAATGATACAAAATTTGTTCCTTCAACTTTGAAGTTTCTGTATTTATTTTTCCATTGATTTCTCTTGCTTCCTTACCTCCCATAACCAATCATTCATCAAGTACTAGTGAGTCTAACTTTTAATATCTCGAGAACCTGTACTCTTCTCTCTGCCAATGCATTGATAAAGGCCACATTTATCACATAGACTAACATTTCTCAACTATGCACAAAATGTTCTTAGGGATTCCATGAAAAAAAGAAAAGTTTTCTTGTCAAACACTTTGTGAAGCCCTGGGATAAACAAATTTAAATAGGTTGCTTTTCTGAGCTTTAAAGAATGCTTACATGACTTGGGAATTCCTAGAGAGAAGTTCCCTCTTTTCATAGAAAGCCTATTAACATCTCCAGTGGTCCTCAGAATACAGATTGTAAAATGCTGACATGGACAAATAAAGGTTTTTCTCTGCATTTCTGCAAAACTTCTTTCAGTCTGCTGACTTTCTGCATGTATTGCCCCCAGGAAAGGGATCACATCGTACAAGGCAGAGAAAAAGGTAATCAATTCTTACAGTTTGGATTTCAAAAGTTAAGGGAACAATAATTCATGGGCCATATATTTGAAAGACTAAGATCAGTAGGAGCAAAGCTTTCTATATTCAGACTAGATAAAAGGAAGAAAGGGGGAAAATGGTTGACATTAAGTGGAGAGTTTTGATACAAGAGATTAAGAGGGCCCAGGTCCCAACCCACTCACCAGCCCTGCACTGAGCCCTGATGGAGGAAAAGGAATCAGAAACCCCAGGATGGTTTGGTGGGATCT
Organism: Homo sapiens; assembly: GCF_000001405.40. Classification (NCBI taxonomy): domain Eukaryota; kingdom Metazoa; phylum Chordata; class Mammalia; order Primates; family Hominidae; genus Homo; species Homo sapiens. Next base: position 179,841,421 of record NC_000002.12, read on the forward strand.
AAGAACAAAAGGAACCTGTGCCTACCCAGCAAGACAGAGCTCTGGGAAGAAAGCAAGACTTTACAAATAAAATTGCTGAAATGTAATTTGTGTCTGTATTAGGAATTCTCAATCTCAGCACTATTGATATTTTGGTCTGGATAATTTTTTGCTGTGGGATCCTCATGTGGGTTGTAGAATATTTAACAGCTTCCCTGGCCTCTGCCCTCCAGATGCTTGTAACATACTCCCCATCCCCAGTTGTAACTACTAAACATGTTTCTAGACATTACCAAATGTCTCCTGGGGGCAAAATCTCCATTGAGAGCCACTGGTTTAGGTAAAATCCTAGAGAGAATTTCTTCCTATCCTAGCACAGGTCATGAGTAGTAGAAAGAATCATTTGAGAAGATCCAGGGCAACATACTTGGATGATGTCCTAGAACCAGATGAGATTAAAAGCAAAACACCCCAATGGCAATGGACGCCTGAGAGGACTGATCACTCTCAAGAACAAAATGACACACTCCCCACAAATACTTCCACATTGCAGCTAAATTACTTAAGAACACAGATACCAGAGCATACTGGAAGCCAGGCTGCCTACCTTTAAATCCCAGGAATCACTCAACTTTCTGGACCTCAGTTTCCTCATATCTGTGAGATGGAGATAATGACAGTACATACCACACAGGGTTACAATGATAATTAAATGAGTTAAATTTTGTGAAGTACTTGCTCTTTATTTAATTAAATTTTGAGTAAGTGGTGGTTTTTACTATGTATATAAACACCCCTGGGATTAGTTCCAAGTCAGAGAAGGAGAATGTGACCCTGAATTATTAATATAACTAAACTTCTGCCATCAGATCAAATAGGTTCACACTATTCTATGAAACTGAAACTAAAAATAAAGTTATTTTTACAAAACCAGTTTGTGTTCAGAAATTTCTCCTCATTCACTGGTCTCTTTGCATGCAGTCTAAACTTCCCTGTCTTTGTCCCTTAATGTATCTTCATACCACCATTGTGCTCATCTAATAAAATCTTAAATCTGATCACATATGAGTTTTCCATTATCCACAGCTATGGTCCCACAGAGATGCTCAAGAACTCAGGGTTGTATGGGGAGGGCATGGCATGAAACTCTGGTGTGCTTCTCCATGATTAACTCTTTCATAGATTGAGTTTCCTTGTAAGATTTTATTTGAAAAATTCATATGTTCCTACAAAATGTCACTGGCCCACAGAGACCCCACCAGATGGCAGTCGAGGCCACCATGAGCAGCCCTTACCCCTCCCTCCAGCTGTTCAGCAAAGCCCCTGTGATCCAGATGAAGAGTCACTGGTAGAGTCCATGTGCCGTTAGCCTCATAGTTTTGCACATGCTATTTCATCTGCTTAAAATATTCTTGTCAATTTCCTGCAGATAAGAAGCCATCGGAGTGGTCTTTTACTGGGAAACATGCTTGGATTTGCATTCTTAAAAGGAAACTGATGGACTAAAGGCCTCTCCAGACTTTGGTGTGGAGGGAGCCTGCCTCAGGTGCTGTAGGATTCTTTGCCAAAGCTAGGGATATACAGCTTCCCTAGGTGTCACCGCCCCCACCCCAAAACTCTGCCACAGCATTGAGGGTGCTCCAAAGATGCAGACCATTGTATCCATTAACCTTAGAAAATCAATCTCTCTCTTCCATTCTTTCATACCTTCCTGTTTACCTTCCCAAAGGTCTCTGCTCCTCCTACCTCCCAGGATAGAATCCCCTCAAGGGGCCTCTAACACACCAAAGCCATTTCTCTTCTAGTATGGACAATTTCTCTTTCCTTTCTGCAACACAACTCTCCCCTGAGGCAAAGGGAGCACAGGGGAACTAGCTACCTATGTGGAAAGGGAAAAGAAGTGTACATCTAGAGTAAAAATCACAGCCAATCACCCTTCCACCTGCATATATATCTCAGTGAATCGGAACTTCTTTCTTCGTACCTTCCTTGAATAAGTTTAGATTCATTTTGTTAACAGAAAAATAGAATATTTTTTAAGTCCAATCAAGACACACATCTATATAGAAGCATTACTACACAAGATAAATATTAACTGAGTTATATATTATCCATATACTTGTGACATAGGTATATACCAAAAGCAGTACCTCACACAGTAACTGCCTCTCTCTTTTCCAAATCTTCAATGCTGTTAAATCAGTGATGGAAAATGCTGCTATTTCCTCAGAAGGGTCACCATTCATTGTCTTCATTTGTGCATTGGTATATGTGCCCTTCCAGTTCAATGCTACAACCCATCAGATCACCTCCTTTTCTGTCCCATTTGGCAGCCAGTCTCAGGACTGCTGCTGTTTTTCCATCTGTCAAACTCAATCTACCTTCAACATACAGGCAGGGCCTGGAGACTGGACTGAGTAAAGAACAATAAAGTCAGGCTGGTTTCACCCTGAATTTTATCTACTTTGAGGGGAAAAAGGAATTCTAATAACATGGAAAATTCCCTTTGCAGGAGTCTGCCTAGAACTGGGCTTCCAGCCTTGGGAGACAGCAACCCCATTCAGTGAACAGCTTTTGCAGAGTCTGCCCAGCTACAAGAATTCCTTCCTCTTAACCCCCAGAAAGAAGCGAGCAAGCCATTTTGAACAATTCTGTACAATGAGCCCATACTCCTTTTTATAGCAGATCGGTCCAGAGATGATTCGTGATCCAAGTTGGTCTATTAGATAGAACAGAAAATGCCTGCGTAACCTCCTTAAAAACGGACATCGATTGAAACCGCCTCCTCCATTTGCTTGTTGTATGAACTTTGGGTAAAGAATTTAACTTCTCTTGACCTATTTCTTCATCTGTAAAAAAAATAGTTTGAACTAAATGATTTTTAAATTTCCTTTCTGCTCTTGCAGTATGGTTCTCACAATAAAGGTGGGTTCTAGAGTCAATGAGGCCTTGGTTCACAGTCATATCCTGTCAGTCACTATAGTCTTATGACTTAAAAAGATTTCTCAACTTTCTAAGCATCAGTTTCAAAATGGGGACTATGATAATGTCTGCCTTGCTATTAAATGATATAATACATGTTCTGGGCTTAAAACACTACTACACACAGTCAAGCACCCCATAGTCTCTGGTTGCTACCACTGGTGTTATTTCTACTTCAGCAAGATTTAAAATTAAAGAAAGAAGCAAGGAAGAAAAGGAAACCAAGGTGAAAACATCATAATTGTTCAGCCAAAAGAATTATCTGAATAAAAAAAATTAAACCTTTGATTCACTGATACTGCAAAAAGGTTGGGAGAGAGAGTAAATAATCAATATGACTCTCCAAGCAAGTAAAAATGTACAGGATGTTTAATTGTGGCCCTAAAAAAGAAGGCAACACTACTTATATCAAGCTCTATCACTCTCAGAACTTGAAAATCCAATAAGAAAGGGTCCTCCAAATACAAAGAGCGTTGGGTAAAATCATAACTCTCTCGTGAGTGATAACATCTATAAACTATTAAACTTAAAGAACCATGTCCAGGACTTATTTATCCCATTGTCTTTCTTTGTAACCTTGTCTTGGTGACATGTACAGTATCCATATACCTGGGATATTCTTTTTTTCCATATGTCAGGAGCATAATGATCACTACCCAAACACCATACAAGACTGATGCTCCAATACAATTGATTATCTCAATCCAGAAACTACTCTAATAGCCCTACACGTAGAAATGCCTTAAGATGATCAGAAGAATAAACTGAAGTCCATCATAGAATATTTTCTCCATATAAATATATATGCTGACAGCAAATTATTCCTACAGGTTTACTTAAATATTCAGCCTTTTCCCAGTTCAATTCTTTAGTGGGTCATATGAGCTGACTGGGTGCAATACAATAAATTGAAGAAGGGTGAGGGGATATAAGACAGGTAAGAAAAAAATTAAAGAACCAGTGATATACAATGTGGCATAATATAATGCCAGTCTAAAAAGATGAAAAATCTCAACAGTAGGTGGGCTGTGGTTAGCGTAGGCAGTTCAACCCAGGGTACTCTGCCAGTACAAAAATGTCATTCTACTTGTAAATCTGAGAGCAAGTGCCACCAAAATTGACAGGGACAAGGATCAAGGATAAAGTCATCATCCAAAGGGCATGTCACACCTGCCTCACATACAAAAGAAATATATGGATCACATACATCATATTTTTCAAAACTCATTTGCAAAGATTTGCAGCCCTTGTTCCATTTTCTGAGCTTGTATATGCAAAGCAACATGTGTACACATGACCCTTTCAGATGGTCACGATAGGAAACTGGCAAGAGTTTCACTATTTGGGAGATCCTAGAGACCTCCTAAGGAATGCAAGAACAAAATCATCCATTATCCCATATTTACAACTTGATATATTAGATGCCCTAGAATTTAAAGTATGTTTAAGGTGGTCTGGATATCTTAGAACAAAATGGATCACTATTGTCCATCCCATTTAATTATCGGGACACTATTAAAAGTTGTCATGTCATGTGGCTAGCAGGACTTTTTCAAAGCCAACCTGTTCTTTTGAAAGATAAAGGGGACGTTTCAGAGATTCTCTCTTAGACTACATTCTCTTCACTGGCATACTTGCACATGGTAATGACTGAATACATACTTTTGGTTGGCTATGGAAAGTCATCGCCTTGGAGGAGCTGATGACTTTTGCTGACTATCAAAATAGTAATTACAGCATTTTTAGGTCCCAAATTTGATGCTATTCAGTTATTTTTATGTTTACATTTCAGACCCATAGTCTTATAAAACATCTGTAAAGGCTATTTTCAGAATTTGGAACCATGAACCAATAGAATGTGTTTCAACAGTCTCAGCATCTGAAGTCATTTTAGAAACACAGGTACAAGATTTAATTTAAATTGTTCTAATCACTCAGATGTTTAATCAGATATGTTGCTGGCTTGTTCTGTTACATTTGCATATTTTCAAATGGAAATTTGCCGACACAAGGTGGTGATGTTAGAAACGGGGTTGCCCAGGAGCTAACTCACAAGGCCTCTGAATGAGACAAGAATTCCGTATCCTGCTTATCTATTTGTGTGGTTCTAAATAGCCCATTTACCTGCGTGGAAAATAAAGACAACTCTTTTTGTTTTATTTCACATACCAAGTCCAGAAAGCTGTCCTGGGGGTACCTCAGGCATGCTTCCCCTCTACAGGCTGGCCTCTCAGTGAACCCAGAGGGCCCCCCAGCAAGAAACAGAGAAGAATCTTTAGTGGAGACAACAGTATCCACTAGATTACTGTATTTCTCAGAATTTAATGTGCAAACAAAACCCCTGAAGGTTTAAAGTAGAGATCCTGATTCTGTAGCTTTCAGGCAGGGGCTAAGATTCTGCATTTCTAACATGCTTCCAAGTGATCCTGGTGCTGCTGGTCCGTGGACTCACCTAGAGCAGCTAGGAGACCATGCTCCTCAGTGAGACATGACTCCTGCTCTGCCACCATACAGCTGTGCCATTTGAGCACATTATAGCATGTCAGTGCTTCAGTTTTCTCCACAATAAAATTAGGCAAGAAATAAAGGCTCTTACCAAATTCAAAGAGTTAAAGAGAATGTGAATAAATAAATGCAGGTGAAAGCATTCTTAAAAAGTTTAACAAGCTACTTAGTTAACAGTGTTTAAAATCGCTGAAGAACACAAATATACTCTTCCCCTAAAACTGACAAATTGGGTGCCACTGCTTCTTGTCTGCTACACATTCTATTCTTATATTCTTCATAAAACTGCTGTGCTATGTGCCTGCCCTATGACCAGGCTATAGCTGATAACTTTCTACACAAAGTTATTTCTGAGTGGTCCCCACACTATACCCTGCAGGATAGCACAATTATTTTGGTAACTCTTCTTCCAAAGCCCCAGATTCTACCAGCTTATTCTCAAGACACCTAATTATTGAATTAAAAGAAAAGAGAGAGGTCAATTTTCCATGTCTATATAGTTCATAATTAATACAATTTTCTCTTAAAATGTACCTATTCCTACTTGTTTCACACATGTCAAAAGTGAGGTCCACTAAAGATAAATTCCCTGCCCGATCTCACCACAATAATTAAGAGTAGAAACAGGACCAGAAACTATGTATTTAATTCCCAGTTTTGTATGGCTGTCTCCACTCCACCTTGGAGAAAGTTTTCCTAAACCCTTCTCTTTTCCTAAGTTCCTTGCAGCCACTTTTGGTTTTGTAGTAGCAGATAGTGGCAATGCCATTGGACCAAAGCAACGTTGAACCAGAGGAGAGGGAGAGAAGCCATGGGAGTCACAGGGCCGCATGGATGGATGCTGTGGAAGGGACTAGAGTAAAGAAGCATGTGGTATTAGTAGCAGATTACCCCTTCTCTGACCCCTCAGAGGAGACTCAGAAAAGAATAAGTGAAATATTCATTGCACCTACGTATGTGGTCCACATATGCTGTTATTTGTTATAATCCACTTTAAACAGAGTATCTTTTTAAGAGTCTACTTCAACAAAGAAGCCTATAACTAGAGTAACTGCTTGGCATATGATCATGCACAGCTTGGACAGAGGGTCCATGGTGGAACATAGCTCTAGAAAGAAGCATGAGAGGAGTCTAGCATAACAAGAGGCAAGGTCTGGAGCAAGGAGGAGGTGCTGCACATGAAAGGAGCCAGCCTGGATGTAGACTGATTCGCTGTAAAAAAGCAGTCATGGATACCAAGCAAAGAATGAATTATGGAGCTATGTGGAGAGAAATGGGCTCAGGGCAAATTTATTATGCTCCATTTCCACTCTGCTAGCAGGCTGCACAGTATCTCAGAGGTACAGGTTTACTCAGGACTGAAATTTTACATCCAGGGACAGTATCTCTAATAATCTAATTTGGTGAGATAAGAAAATCATATCTTGTAAACCGATCATCCCTTTCCAAAAGCCCATATAAAAGTTTATAGGCTGTTGAGGTGTCTAGCCTAGCGCAAGCTTCTATTATAGGCAAAGCAGAGACAACACACTTAAAGATGAAATTATTTTAATAAGAATGCTACTACTCGGTATGTGCAGTTTGTTCTTTACAACCTGAACTTCATAAATTTTTATAAGGTGTCTATTTATTGTCAGGCTCAGGAGCTGCTATGTCACCATTGCTCAGTCAAAGCCTTTTCAGATAAAGGAATTTTGATCTGGGTGAGATACATTATGTGATATTAAGATATACGACCCCACATCCATTTCCAGAGTCTCCTCAGTAACATTTGTGTCTTCCATGCAAATGTTAAAATAAATATAGTCTCAACCACTGTGAAATGGGCTGCTCCTTTGGCCATTGTACATGTAGGAGCAGAATGCCTCAGCAGGAAGAACCTTGACTGTCCTCTACTAAGTCTACAACAAGAAGAAATGATGATCAAGAGCAAACCCATGCCAAGGAAGCTTCTTCAGGACTTGGGTGTCGGTCTCTTTCAGGTGTTGTAGAAAAGAGGAATAAAAAAAGAGAGGGGACTATTTCCAAATAATAGCAGCTATCGTTTCTAAGGGCTTATCATGTTTCTGGCACAGGAAAAACACTTAATATACATTATCTCATTGAGTCTTTGTAGTCCTATGAGATACATAATATTGTGCCCATTTTATAATACAGGAATCTTCAGTTTAAATATGTTTATAATTTGCCTAAGGCCGTACAGCAGGGACTCAATCTGGAGGTGTCAGATCACAAAGAATACAGTCTTATCCCAATGCCACCTCCCAAACAGACTTCTAAGCCCAACACTGCTTCCCTTATCAGCATCATTCTGGCTTCGTGGTTATTCAGGAGAATACCATGCAAACGAAAAGGACAAAAGGACTTCAGAAAACCTTTGAAGGGAAACGAGGTTATGAATTACAGAATTTAAGACTGACTGAGCCTTAAAATCATCATGAATGAATAAATGAGGTGGTCACAGGACTAGTTCCAGGTCACACAGCTAGTTAAAAGCAGGAGGATTCCTCCTCAACCTTCCACTAGTGATGCCAAAGGCAACACATCTATTTGGGGAGATGAAGGAGTTGCATAATAGCTGGTTTTCTCTTCTCTAATTTTGGAGATTTGTTGGCATAATTCTTTCCCTCCATCCCTGAAATAGAATGGGTGGGGTAAGCAATTAGGATGTGATTAGTATTGGGAAGGTAGGGTCCAGAAGTGAAAGAATATTCCGGTATTTTTCCTTTTAGTTTCAAACGTTGAGGATAAAAGTTATCACCGGTATTTCTTTTGAGGGAGGGGTGTGATGAGAGGAGCAATCAAATATTGAGTCAATAAACATTAGCATTTACTATCTGCTAGACACTTGAATAGTCATTAACCTGATAAATAAGTCAAGGGGTCTGCCCTCAATTAGCTTACAGTCTAGTGAGAAAAATCAACACAAACATATCATTACAACCTAATATTGCAAGCACCATAAGAGAAACACAGAAAAAGTGAAACAGAAACATGAAAAGACTATCAAGGAGTTGAGCTCAGCTGTGATGGGTATGCAGCACAACCTGTGAGAAGTCACCAAAGATGACCACAGAGCTCAACCCTTGTGTGAAAGGTAGCAAACAGTTGCAGAACTCTGGCTAAGAGGGAACACACTGGGATCTGTGCCTTTTGCTGTTAAATGAGATAATGCTGTGGCATATAGTAGGTGTTTAATAAGTGCAGTGTGCTCAAAAGCTGGAAAAATAATAAAAAGCTGGGGGGGAAAGGTGAAGTAATTGTTCAATCATCTTTTAAGGAGTTCAGGAACACCTTTCTCACTTCCTTTCTTTTTACATATCCCTCTCCCCTAAAGTCACTCCTCAAATTATTTTATTAATAATGCCAAGAAGGGGACAGATTGTAGCAATCAGCTCAGCTGAGCTTCCACTCAATGCAGGAATTCCTTCTGTTATGTCTGGTGGCTGATCCTCTCATCCATCACATATTTTCAGCTAGAGGGAGCATGAAACTTCAAGGCAGCCATACCATTACTGGACAGTGAATCATCTGAAAGTTCTTTCTCATATTGAGTTGAAATTTGCCTCCCTATGATCCCACCCACTGAATCTGGTTGTGCCTGCTGGAACTTTGGAAAAATGAATCTACTTCCTTGTCCACGTATCATCCCTTCAAGTGTTTGCAGGCAACTACCATGTCTGTTCAAAGCCTTCTTATTCGGAACCGGATGAGGAGGCACATGCTTTGTCTGTCCTCTTGCTAAAGGGGGTTAAGAAACAGCAGCCAGGGAGGTGTGGGAGATTCACAAAGATTCTGCTGTATGTCTTTCATCATGCAAGGCTGCTTAGAGTGGCTTCAACAAGTGTTGAAATCACGATCCTAGTGCACACTTTCTCGTGCTTATAATAAGGCTTGAGAGAGAAGTAAAAGTGGGCTAGACCGAGAGATCCTTAGTGTGGTATGACCTTTCCAATTAAACACAGGCCCTGCAGACTCTTAAAAATCCATCCCATGGAGGGATCCTCAAATTACCACCATAGTTAGCCTTATGCAACAGTTCAGATGTTGCCTTTTGTATTTTTTCCTTAACGTTAGAAGATAAACTTGCCATGTGACCAGTAATTTGCCTCTTAAGAAGATCTGGAAAGTCTGACATCTCCTATATGCAAAGTTCCCTCTCACATTTAATTTGGTTGGTTTTATCATTTTCTGAGTAGGTCAACCTTTATGTCAATCACCCCCTTCACCAATCTCTTCAGTTACCATTGAGCCCTTCCCTACAGCTAAAGAAAGAAGTTGAGGCCAGACACAGTGGCTCACGCCTGTAACCCCAATGCTGTGGGAGGACAAGGCAGGAGGACTGCTTGAGGCCAGGAGTTCAAGACCAGCCCGTGCAACGCGGCAAGACATCACCAGTACATTATTTTCTAAATTAGCTGGCCATAGTGGTGCACACCTGTAGTCCTAGCTACTTTGTAGGCTGAGGTGGAAGGGTCACTTGAGTCCAGGAGTTGGAGGCTACAGCGAAATATGATTGCACCACTGCATTCCAGTCTGGGTGACAGAGCAAGACCCTGTCTCTTAAAAAATAAAAAGAAAAGAAAGCTGACATCTATGAGGGCTGAATCAGGCTGAACGTAGGGTTCAATCATAACATGACCCTACAACAAGAAAATGCTAAGCTGTCACTTTATGCCACCCTCCTCTCAATCACTCTCTGAGGTTTTATAGATAACAAAGCATTATTTCACATGATAGAACACTATTGCTGGATTTTAAAATAATCAATGATCAGAGTTAGAGCTATTCATGACAAGATGCTTCAAAATTTTTAATGTCATTTTTGTTCATTTCATATAGCAACAAGAAAAAATTCTATGGCTTGCAACTGTAAATGGATCTACAGAAGTACACACTGAAGGACTCAGAAGAATTGTTACCCATACACAGTAAACAGTTTTTCTTGCTATAATTCTTAATAATTTCTTAATAATTCAGAAATGTGATTTCAAGAATCAAATTTTCCTAAAGATCAGACTACCTTTGACCCATGCCAGCTATGAGTACATTATACTGTTCATTTTCCAATACAATATTAAAGAAAGACAACAGATCTGAAAACCTGTTAAATTCTCGACAAATTTAAACCTTGCTTATGTAAGCTATGCACAGTGAGGCAAGAAAGACTTCAAGGATTTGCAAGGGCTGAAAGAGGAGGTCTCTGCCAGGGCAACAGCAGTTCGAATGTGCACCACCACATCTGTACATTTGGCACAGTCATCTCAGTCTCCACTTGGCAGCTACGGAGAAGGGAAGGCAGGAAGGGACCATAGAGAAAGAAGCCTATTTCTTACCATAAAACCACAAGGACAGAATAAATTGCTTTTCCTAGGATGCAGAGAAGGAAAAAGCAGCCTGCAGACTTGCAAGGGGAGAGACACTGCTGACATTCAATAGCCATAGTGGTCTCAATACTATCCACCTGGTCACTGCCATCAATGTGGTTACAAAAATACGGTGAGTCATGGAGGCAAAGGTGAAACTCTATGTAGTCATAATTATAATCTTGGGAGCCAAAAATCGCTGGCTCCAGGACCTCACCTCCTACCACCTCTTTTAGATTTTGTAGGGTTAGGTTTGGGCCCTGGAATCCATATACCATGAGTGAGCTCACATAGATACTGCGGCAGGCGTCCAGTGGTTCACGTTGGCATGGAAACTCATCGTGGACTAAAACCTGTAAGTAAAGGCCAGTGAATACCCAATGAGAGAGCACAGACTGGTTCTCCAGAATTCACACATGATGGGATCCATGTGGGTGATTTCTCAGAGCAACTTAAGGTAGGAGTGTTCTCCAAGTGTGGTCTGTCGATCACCCGGGATACTTACTTAGATTACTGGGTCCTGCCTCAGACCTAGTGAGTCAGAGCTTTCAAGGGTTAATTCCATGAATCTGTATCTTTAGCCAGTTCCCAGGTCTTCTTTCACATGCTAAAGTCCAATAATGACTACACTAGAGATGGCTTTAGAACCAGCTTGATGACCACATGCATGGGAGAAAAGACCACTGTGCAAAAGAGGAATGAGACTATATCTTGCCTTCTTCATTTTGAGTCTTAAATATTTTACTCCTATGAAAGTTAGATTGACCCTTAAGAACCATACATGCAGTAATGAGGTATATATGGACTTAAGCTCTTTGGTAATCCTCCCCATAGTTTGCCAATTATATCTTTCTCTTACAAATTATTTTTCTTTCTATATTCCAATTTAGAAAATCAAATTTAGATGTGAAAACCAATGCCTATGAACCCAGGAGAGGTGACTATCCAACTATTAATACAATTCTAGTGCCTGAAAAAAAGACTGTCCTTAAATGAGTCTGCCCTAGTTATATAGACCCTGTTTACATAAACTGGCTTCTCTACCTGGATCACTCCCTCACTTGGGTCATTTCCAAGCATTCCAGGTTTATACATGTGTATCAAGTTCAGAAAGCATATTCATTCACAAGAAGCTATGTGTTAAGTTACTTGGTCTTCCAAAAGTTCAAGAACCCAAGTGTACCTGTGCTTCACATGGTTACAAATTTTCAGAAGTCCTTGTAGTGCTTAGAATTCCACATTTCTATGCTCTTTCATTTCATTGTTCTTTTAAAGTAAACAAGGAAAGGCAGATGAGAAAACAGAAAATATATAATTGAAAAATACCTAGTAAGTTTCAAACTGAAGGTTTAAAAGTCAGAGTTGCACAAGTTATCTTGGCAAAGAAATCAGTGTACCTGCAAGTATTTAATATTAATAATTAAATTGTATAATGTACAATTATGGCTACCTGTATGAGTATGGTAGGTGCCAAGAACTTTGTGAAGTATGCTATGTGCATTATCTAATTTTATCTGATGACAACCCCATGGAAGATTCTTTCATTATATCTCTCAGACTTGGTAAACGAAAGCACAGAGAGGTTAAGTAACTTAGTCAAAGTCACACAACTAATAAATAGAACTGAAATTTGCATCCACAAAATATGACTTCAGAACCAAACTCGACATTTAGGCTCTGCTATTTCCCATCTTCAATAGTGCATCACGTGCAGGGACTAAGATGTGTTTAATCATCAGCATTTCCAGATGTCTAAGAACATGTGCAATGGCTAATTTATTTAAAGAAAATTTCATATATATAAAATTGAAATGGCTGTATTTATATACCAGTATGTGTATCTGTATACAAACAATGGCATTTTTGTGCTCTTATTCTAAGCATTAGATTTTTCTCCCTCAGCCTGTGAGAAAAAGTTTTTTCACATCCAAAGTATCAAATCTAAGGAAATCACAGGGTCTACACCATTTCTCTGTGAAGTTTAAATGCTAGTGTTAATGCCAGAAGTTTTCTACTCTTACTTGTAATGTTTAATTTCCCTAGGCTCAAATTTTAAATATTCTAAATTCTCTGGGTCTCATTTTTCTAATTTATCAGTGAGGATTTTGTACAAAGATCTCTTTTAACTCTAAACATACAATGACACTGATTTAATGATTGTCTTTGAATGAATGGTAGTCATTTCCATATCCTTACCTATTATTAGGCTGCCATAAAAAAAAAAAGGCAAAAACTGTAACTACTTTTGCACCAACCTATTTCACAGGAATAGGAATCTGTTAAGCCTAAGAGGAATTTGAAGCTGAGCCCTGGCTTGAAATCAGTATAAACCAACCAAGAGTCCAGGCCTCCAGACGATGAAAACCTTATTTACTACACTATCCGTCAGATGGACCTCTTTAACTAATGCAAATCAAAAATCACAGCTCTCTGTAGAATTTTACACAATTTTAACACTGGTATACTGAAGCAAAGATTTAGAAGAATTCGCTCATTATCTCTCACAATGGGCCTTTTCTTAGTGTAGCTCAAACTACTTTTTAAAATTTCATTATGTCTTCTTAATTGTGTTATTAAAAAAGTACACATCACATCACAGTATGGAAAATAAACATTAGGCTGTTAGTGAAGATTTAACTGCAAATATTGTCCTTGATCCTAAAGTAAATACAGAAATGAAACTTTTTATTCCAAGAGAAAACAATGAAAAACTGTACTCATCTACAGTTCTTTCACATGCAAAGGATATCAGCATAACAATCTCGATAATCATGATCGAGTAGCTCTGCCAGGCCCACTGGAATCACAGAGCACCTCTTTTATTTATTTTCAGATGTGTACAGAAAAAAAAAAGTGGAATATGGTCCCCAGTTAATATTGTTTATGTCCATTTATCTAATCTTCGTTTTGCTGATATAATGATAACATAATAACATAATGGCTATTTCAGAATCTCAGCCAAAAAGAAAAGAAAAAGTTGATTAGCTTTTGCCTGCATAGCACAGGATATCTCTCTCTGTGTGCTTTTCTTATTTTTAAATTCCATTTCCCATTATAAACTCAGAAATGTAAATGCTTTGTACATTCATTTTTATTTCCAAAATAAAATGCTCTCTTAGGTCCATGAATTTCAATCTTTTTTACTTGTTGATGATAGAACTGTCTTTGTTAAAAGACTAAGTCATTTTTCATAAAGTAGGTATGAAAGCCTGGTCATCTTTTGTACCAGTTTATATGTCTTTTAATCCATCTCTGCTATTTATGAGATCATAAAGTTGATGTGGCACCAAATAGATCAAAAGCAAAAGGGCAATTGTTTTGTATCAGTATATATACTTTCTTCAGTATTTTTTCACTGACTTCTAAAAAATATGCTCATAAATTTCTTTTCAGACTGATTACATGGTGCTGAATATCTTGAAACTGACCAGGGTGGGCAAGAAAAGTGTTCACTTGGCTAAGGCAAGATGACCCTTAACCAATGCAGTGAGTGTAAGTTTTAATAGTATGATTATGGTGATAAACAGCTACTACCATTTCTTGAACAACCACAGTGTGCACAGTACTCTACTGCTGGCTCCAGGGTCATTATCCTATAACCAAGTCAGCCCATTTCACAGATGAAGAAATTGAAAGCCAAGGAAGTTAAGTAACCCCTGCCCCAAGCTCTCAAATCTGGTGGTGAGTGGCTAAGCCATGGTTTGACTTGGAAAAACACTGCATTCCTAAATACCGCACTACACTGCCTTTACAGACCAGGTACTATAGTTCTCCATCCAGGCTGGAAAGGGGGAGATTTTTAAAATACTGACATATTAAACCATCCCCTAGAAATGGCTAAGAGCATCACTGTTTTTCTAAAGTTCCTGAAGTGATTACAGTGTGAATCCAGGAGTGAGAACAACTGGATTAGAGGATACCAGGGAATATTCATTTTCTTAAGAAATAAGAATATTTCTTCAATTAGTGCTAGAATAACAACTAAAGTTCAAGTTGTTTATCTAGAACAGGAACCTGAAACAGGAACACCAGACGGGGGCATACATCAGCACCGGGATCATCAGAAGATTTTTGTTTCCTCCCCTCAACCTGCTCCTCCTTCTGCCCCACGTGCAGATCCCACATGGCATTTTAGTGCTTAAGTAGACCCAGGAAGTAACCCACGCCCTTCATCTACAAGTGATACAGGAGCCCAGAAAAGAAACAGCTGTGCCCAACATCTCACCCTAGCAATAAGGAGAGCTTGAGTCTCCTGCGCCCTATTTCAGTGCTCCTTTTGCTAAAAAATTTTGGAAGCAGTAGGAAAACAGGTGGGGCATAGAGTCAGCCAAGGCACCTGAAGAGAATTTTAAGAAACAGAGACAGCAGAGACAAAAAAAAAAAAAAAAAAGTCAAAGCAGAGTGGGAAAGGAGAACAGCCACAATCCGCAATCTGCAAATAATAGGGAAATGAGAAGGAATATTTAACAAAGCAACGCAACTGGCCAGAGAAAAATGTAGTAAGGAGAACTAGCAACTGCAATCATGTATCAGTAAAATGAGGTAAAAATACAAGGGAATAAACAAACCTTCCATTCAGCTTCAGAAAGCATATCCAAGCCCACAGTACTTTCAAAATAGAAAATAATATTGAAGCAAAAACAAACTGTAGGAAAATCTCCAGGCAGAGAGGCAGAGGCTGCTAGAAAATCCCAAGTCTGTTAAGCATCATCTACTGCACCTTGCTTCTCAAAGCGTGGTTCAAGGATCACCTATTTCAAAATTACCTGGGAGCTTGTGAGAAAGGCATAATCCTGGGCTTATTCCTAAACTTGTTCAACCAGAATCTGCATTTTAATAAGATTTTCTTAATGATTTACATGCACATTAAAGTTTAAGAAGCACTGGTTCTACTATAAAAACCATGTTGAGGTGTTAATAAAAGACAGTTATTACACAAATTGGTACTACAGAACTCGGTAAAATTCAATCCAACTAGTTAAATTATTTGTTGATGTCCTATGATATGGCAGGCCCTGAGCTGGGTATTTCAGGAAATGAAGGTCCCATGTTAGGCAAGGTTGGTGCAGTGCCCTTAGGGGAGAATGCACAAAGCACATATATATCAGGAAGACACTGACTCGTAGTCCACACGGAAGAGATCAAGCAAAATATAACAGAGTTTGCTGGAGCAAAAGCTGGAGTGCAGAGGGAGATCAGGAAGCATGTGCAATTGCACTGACTCTCTCGACAAGTGGAAATAATTGTAGGGAAGTGAGAGGGCCCTTCCTAGCAGAGGGAACAACATAAGCAACGACACAGAGCTCAGAGACCTGCTGTGTTAAGGAAACACTGCCTTCAGCCTAGAGAAGTCTCAAATTGTATCAAGGAGACTTGGGACTCTATGACGATGCCTCAGGACTACTAAGGGTAGGGAGGGGGAGCTAGTGGGATTGTTGGGACCCCATTCCAACCATTTAAGATTATATTTTAATAGATTCCAACATTGAAAAATAATATTTGAAATGTATCATGGAGCCAATACACATGGTGCTTTTAAAATTATCACCTAGTGCCGTGCTTGTCATGTAGTAGGCACTCAAATATTCACTGAATAAATTAATAAATTAATGACTGGATCAACCAACCAACGAGATCAAAGTAAAAAAAATGCAGAGCTACTTTGAGGCTGGACTGCAGAGGGTCTTCACTGTTTGAGGAGGGGTTTATATGTCACTTGGTAGGACACTAAGGAAAAGTTTACTAGCCAGTGATTAAGCTTGGTTCTCTTTTGGGAAGCTTATTCTGCACAACCAAGTGTGAAATGAATTGGGAGAGAATGGAGATGGGAAACGAGTCAGGAAGCCACTGTGACAGCCTCTAGAAACAGATAAGAAGACTGAAAAAAATAGCCACCATGGGAATAGAAAGATGAAGAAGCAGGCATCATAAAGCATCATGGAGATGAAGTCTGTGGGACTTTGTGAATTTTATGTGGAAAGCAAAGATACTGGGAGGGTCATCAGTGACTAGGAGAAATATTAAAATTGACACAAAGTCACCCTTGTTCACTTAGGAGAAAGATGTTAATTAGAGCTTAAACCTGGTAGAGTTGAGGCACATAAGAGCAATATAAAGCTGTCTCTTAGGTGGTTCAAAATGTAAATATAAAATTTTGGAGGGAGAGTAGAGCTAGGATGTCACTTCAGGAAGAAATAATCTAGCACTAATAAAAAGAAACAACTGAATAAAAAGTAACATACAAAAGAGCAAAAAGGAGATAACCTATAATCTATAAAACCACAGAGATCAAGAGAAATCCCCAAAAATTTTTTTAAAAAAAGAAAGAAAGAAGAAGAAAAGGTAAAAAGACCATATTGAGACACAGTGGGGACAGAGTCAGGAATTGGGGTGGTGGCAAAATAGAGATAATGAAACGGCGTGGAGGGGTTATAATAAAAACCAGAGACACATAAAAAGCGGTGGGAAACTGGGACAGACACACACTCCCTGTTCTTTAGATCTTTGAAGACATATAGGATATTATGGGAACAGCAGAGCAAATTTTGCCCTTTATTTATGTGAACAAAGACTCACTCCTGTAAGAAGTTAGCTAATTGCTCAATTTTTAAAATATAAATTGTTGCTATGAAAAATCAAGCAATGATATCTTCAAATTCAGCTTGGAAAAAAAGTCTAAGGGCAGGGGAGGCGGGGTGGCCAGTCCAGGGACTTAAGATCCTTGTCTTTTTCATGGTGCCCAACTCCACATAGCATTAGTCTGTACAGGCATTTCACCTTTCAGAATTGTTTTGAAAGATTTTTTTTTCTCTGAATCAGGTCACTTGCCTGAGAAAAAGAATGCTGAGAGCACCTGATATGCTTTGATCGATCCTCATTTAATAGTTACACTTTTTAAAGTTATCTTCCAGCTGCTGACAGGTCTCACTAATTGGCCATATTTGGGTGACAGGTACTAATGACAATTCCCTCTCTGATTTGACTATAGAGGAGACACCTCCGTTTGGTTTCCTTTGTACCTCAGTTGAAGAAAAATACATTAAATTCATTGTTTTCTTTTTGCTCTGTGAATCTGTATATTGTTAAAATGCTGTAAAATATCAACATTTTTTTCAATATAGATGATACTTAGTGGTTATTAAACTTCTATAAAGAGATCATTACTTATGTAATGTAAAATAATATACTGCAAACAAAGCACATAAGAAACTATGCTGCAAAACATTGTATCACCAAGATGATTCCAACATGGACAGTAATTTTTCCTTTGTTAGGAGAATTCACCTTCCCCAAAGCATTTTACTACAAATGCATCCAAGAGAGGTCAAGGAGATCTACAAGAATAGCTATCTGATTTGTGGTTTTTATCCCAAGCTTCCTCAAATCACTTTTGGAAATAGGTAAGAGTGTAAATTATAAATCCACAAATATTTAATTTATGGGAATATAGAATCTGAAAAACAACCAACACTTTGATCAAATAAGCATCTTTTTCATCTTAAAAACCTCAAGTAACAGAACTTGCAATGCTGTATTTTGCATTCTAAAGGCATTTATCTGTTACAGGGAAGGGGCAGCACATACTCAACGCACACATGGCATCAAAATAAGATTAAAGGACTCTGAAAACCAGTGAAATTTGGCCTTGGAACATTTAAGGGAGTTCTTTCAAGCCAAAGCCTTTAACTTACCTAAGATGTAGCTTATTGACTTTATGAAAAGCCCTCTTTTTAATTAGATAAATGCATTTCCTACCGTTTCATGAATTGTGTGGACGCTGCCAGTTTCCACGCTTTAGGCTAGGCCCTATAACAGAAATGTTTTGTTCCTTCTATAGGAACATCTTTTGCTACTACATCTTGACAAAGTTTGCATTCCCCTTGGTGTGATATTCCTCAGCAAAGCAAAACCAAAAGGAAATGCAAACCTCATCTCTGTATGAAAATGAAAGAAGACGTTTCCCAACCCAAGAACTTTTGAGAGCATTCCAAAACTGCGTTATTTTGTATTCATGGGCGTGGGGAGAGGGGGGATACTTCTTGGCAATTTATTTCCCCTGAAGAACAGCACTCCCTATCCAGGTTCACCATAAAAACTGTGTGTCCTCCAGAGTCTAGGGAAGCATCGTCCTGCCAGCTCTCCCTTCTCCCCACAGGCCCCCGCACATAACAGTGGCGAAACAGATGGTCCTCCCCCTCCCCTTCTCCTCGTCCCTTCCGCAGTCCCACAGTGTCCTCCCACCCTTCCCTGACACCTTCACCAGCGCTTAGTGGCCGAGGCCGCCCGTCAGGGCTCCCAACAAGTGCAAACTTCGGGGACCTTCTCTCTGCTCCTCTGCCCCCATCTCATCTGGGTTCTGCTGCAGAACTCTCCCACGACCCCAAGCTTCGACCGCTACCCTCCTCACACACCTCGGTCCCCTAACTACCCATTTCCCGGTCATTGAGAGAAAGACAAACCCCAAACTTCCAGCCCAGGTGACGAGGCGCTGCGGCTAAACATAGCGGGGCACTCTCCTCGTCCTTTCCCCTCTCCATCCGTCCTTGGGAATTGGAGCCTACCCTGGGGAACAGAGGAGTATGCTCCTGTGGCTTCCACGACCTAATCCTAACTCCAGGGACTCGCAGGAGTTAGGATTAGGTCGTGGAAGCCACAGGCGCCTGGGCGCCCTCCTCTACAAGTGGGACCTTGAGACAAAGTGCAAACTCTACCGGGAGGGGGGCTCCTGGCCATTCCCTCGGGCGGCGCGCCCAGGTGCAGGCTCGCTCTGCGGAGGAGGGCGGGGGCCGGGCAAGCAGAGGGCGCCCAGTCCGGGGGCGCCGGTCTGGGCTGGGCGCCCAGAGCTTACCTCGGCGCGCGGGCCGCGGGCGCGTGGGGCAGTGGCTCCTCCAGCCGGGAAGCTGTTGCTCACGCTCCGGTGGTTGCTGCGGTCCCGCCAGGGCTGCACCGGGGCTTCGCGCAGACGTTCTCCCGCGATCTGCTGCAGCCCAGGCGGTGGCGGTGGCGGTAGCAGCGGCGGCGGTGGAGGTGGCGCGGGCGACAGCTCGGCCCGGCGCGGCCCCTGAACTGTCCAACTCTTGCCCGCGCCGGGCTTAAGCGCCCGGCCGCTGCCCCCGCGCTGAGCGCCTGCGCACCGGGCCTCGCCCAGGTGAGGGGCGTGTGCCCGGAGCCCGCTGGGCGCGCCCGGCCCGGCCCGGCCCCGCCGCACGCCCGCCCCCCTGGCCTGGCCGAGGACCCCGGGGTTTGGACGTGCCAACGCCACTCTCGCGCGCCGAAGCTGTGACGGTTTACTAAGCAGAGACTTGCGAGGCACACAGAGAGGGAATGAGGCGGAACCGTTCGGGGGCTCGTTGACACTGCAGAGCCTCCCGCAGCATCGCTGCCTTAAATCCCGCCTTTCC
Source organism: Homo sapiens (assembly GCF_000001405.40). Taxonomy (NCBI): domain Eukaryota; kingdom Metazoa; phylum Chordata; class Mammalia; order Primates; family Hominidae; genus Homo; species Homo sapiens. The sequence goes on from NC_000002.12 coordinate 179,861,654, forward strand.
AGGCGTGCGCGCACAGCGAGCCAGAGGAGGCTCCGTCCCGACCTGGGGTCCCCCGCGGTCCTCAGCCCGGGGGCTCGGGTCCCCGAAGAGATCCTTGGCAATGGCAGAGGTCCCAAAGCCTAGATGCCAAGCCCCGCGATGGGGCGGATGCTTCCAATATTAGTCAACCCAGAGTGAAACTCTCTTCTTGGAGATCGTCAGACCAACTATTTGTTTTTCCTCTTTGACCACCCCTGGGCTAGCAGAGCACAGCTAGCAGCTTCGGCATATTTGGCGGAGCCGGGAAGGCCCGGAGCGCAAGAAGGCATCGCAGCCTCGCAGCAGATCTGAAAGGGTTGTGGGCGGGGGGCTCATTTTCGCCGGATTTCTTTTCCGTGTTTAAGTTTTCAAAACTAAAACCTGTCATCGGTTACCCTGATGTAGAGGGCATCTTCTGAAAATTAGTGCAAACATGGCCAAGGTGCTTGGTTCTGAAAGGGAAAGCACTTAGAACACTTAAGAAAGGGAAAATAATTTTAAAAGAGCAGTTTTCTGAGATTACTTCTTTGGGGAGAAGTTCAATAGTCATAAATGACAAGAGAGTTGTGTTATATAGCAGGGATTTTTTTTTAACCAGATGATCTTAAAATATTTTTCTTTGGTTCTTGTCTCAGATGATTGACACTACGTAAATAATCCTGCAGCTGTTAATGTCTTGGCATAATCGTCTAGAATAAATATCTTAACGTCCAGCCAAAGCCAATGTTGTTCTCCCAGGGTGGGCTTCAGATGTGACAAACAATCACACCATCCTAGAGCTTTCTAAGGGAGCAGGCTGTGTTTTTAAGCACCTTGGAATGTAGAGTTATTGCAAGCACCAGCACATTTGAGGTACCAGCGTGAGAAAGGGCATAAATCTGACTTACAGTTTTTGTATTTTTAGAATCCAAATATCTTCACATCCAGGTCGGCAGTCTCAATACTAAGAACAAACGTTTATTGGTGTGCTTATTCTTAAAACTGTACCTTATTTGAAGTTGCTACAGAAGGACAGCACCAAAATTCAATCATTTTAACCCAAAAGAACATGAGCTATGATAATTGCTTAAATTATCTTTCACAAAATTATGATCTTAAGGTCTCTTGTCATCAATAAAGGTTATGTTGAAAACACGTCTTTCACAAGTCCCTGAAGGTCAGTAAGATGGAGCTCTGGCAGACTGGGACAAGCAGGAAATTCCAGAGGCAAAAACCTTCCATGAGAAAAACACCCAGCTTCCAGTGCCATGCACTTCAGAGTTGGGACAGCGTGGTTGTCGAGGTTGCCTCTGAGCTCAGGTAAGTATTGATATCTCCAGGAATCTAAGATGCAGAGAAAGGGGTGAGGGCCCCTTAAAGTCTCCAGTCAACACCTTGGATTGCACTTGGAGGCAAATGAGTAACCTCTGCAGAGTGGAACACCTGTGAGAAGTGTTCTCCGTGGCTTGCACAGTTTAGCAGCATGTGCATTTTTTATGTCCTGCAAACTGCAACTATATCCTTCCCTCCTCCCTGTCTATTTTTAATCACCTATAGCTAAGACTCACGGCAGAGAATAATTTGAGGGTTGCATTTCCTAACAGCTGAAAGAAGCATAAAATACATGCAGACAACTCCCAATTATTCACCTGTGACATAACTGACTAAGAATCCTGCCCTTCACGTCCTTAGCCAAGGCAGGATTAAGGCCTCTGGAGCCCCAAGCACAAAACAATTGCAGTGCCTCCTTTGTAAACGCACTTCAATATGGAAACAACATTAAATTTAAAAACACAATATTTAAATATATAGAGAAAAAACAGCTTCTGTCTCGATTTTCTGATGCAAATGTGTTTCTATTGTATAATTTGTCATTGAACATGCCTTTACAGTGTTATCTGACATAGGGGATTCTCCTGTCCTCAAAGCCTCCAAGCACCATTTTCCTGGAAACATTCTGGCTCACTCCTGGCAGTAATGGAGTAAACCGACTCAGAGAACTATAGCCCTAGGTTCGGGGCGTTAGGAAAGTGGTCAGGATAGCAGCAACACTGGAAGGGTAGTTCATCAAGGAAAGAGCCCAAATATCAAGGAGGAACATAACAGAAAGGGATTAATTTAAGGTTTTTTTTCTACTTTTGTGTTTATGAAGTGTATAGTGCATTAGTTCCTAAATATTGAAGACCTTAGCTAGACGAACTCCTTTTAACTACATTCACAAATTTACACTTTCCAGTGAATAAAGAACTTGGTGATAACAAGGAACATCAACAAATTTGGAGACTTCATAGTTCCCTTAGTTTTACTATATGAGAAATGGAAATGAGTTCATACATAAGATGTATACTACTCGGGTGATGGGTGCACCAAAATCTCACAAATCACCACTAAAGAACTTACTCATGAAACCAAATACCACCTGTCTCCCAAAAACCTACGGAAATTTTTTTTAAAGATGTCATATTGTAAAACAAGGCCCTACAGACATTTTGGATCACTTTGCAGCCATCAGTGAGACTCTGTTCTCCAGGCAGGGTGCCATATTTTGAAAACCACTCCTGCAATGGAAGAAAACTGGACTACCTAGGAATAGAAAACCCAAAGTTGAGGGGTATAGCTCAGTGGGGAGCATTTGACTGCAGAAAACCCATTTCTTAATAGGCTACTAAATTATATTTGTTTACAAGGGTGCCTGAATATCTTGTGAATGTCAGAAAATTCTGTATTTTATTTCAATGTTCACATGTTGTGAGAAATTAATGGGATAGAGGTTTTATAACATTTGTTCTTAACAGTCCGAACTCAGGCTCAGTTAAAAAAAAAGTATTTCTTCAAAGACACTTATAGTAATTGTCTTAAGGAGGTCTGCCCACTCAAAATAAATAAAAATGAATTGTAACAAAAAAATGGGGATTTATTGATCAGTAAGTTTTCAGTATCATTTTCTTGTATGTTTGAAAAAAAATAATGGAATTGATAGATTTTTAAGGCTAATGAGATGATTTTAGGTAGAAGTTCCAAATTTGACCTAGACTTATATCTCTAAAAATGTGTGAAAAAGTATAGTTTATTTTAACTGTAAATCTGAAAGTTGTTCCTGAGTTGTCAATTTGTGTTTTACATTTGTCTCATTTTTAAATCTGTTTAAAATCTAACTGTAGCATATGTATTTGGAAGGTGAAAGGATATAAAACTCCTTACATCTCAAGCCTACTTGAGAAACTGTGCTATTCTTTTTGTCTCTCTCTGTGTCGGGCAATTCTTTTTATGTGAATCTTTAGTATTCTTTGAAAAAGAATTGTCCTCTTGGCCTATAATTATTTTTTAACTGGAAATTGGGTTCCCTTTCATCTTCCTTTTTTATTTGAATACTCTTAGCAGAGAAAGGCCATGTATTTAAATTCCTTGCTCACTAATACATCTTCCTTTTTTACATTTAACACATTATGATTTATTTTGATATTTCATTATCTTGATATTTAATTATTTAAATATTTTTCTCAAGTGTGACTGAGCTGTTTGTTTTCACTCTTTCCTCCTATAAATTTGCTTTCTTGAGATCTAGTGGAATTGGTGCTTTGCTGTGACATCATGCCCCCTCTCTGGGGCAGTAATATCTTTCATATCCAGAGGTGATCAATATTGTAAAAGTATTCCTTCTAGACTGTAGCCATGGCTTTGCAGTAATAACAGTGCTTCTTGTTATGCATCTGTCCCTTTGAAACCTAATCCAGCACTGCCTTGGGCCCCAAGATGAAGACTACACTGATTTTACAATACCCCAAATCCTTTCCTGATTAGATTGCAAGGTGATTACTGTGGTTAACACACATTCCCCAGTTTGGCTCTTTGCTCTGAGATAAATATAAAATAATTAATCTTCTCTTAACTGCATTTGCAATTTTGATTTTTCTTCCACCTTTTATAAATCTGAACATAGTAACACTCCTTTCAAAAATGCTCCATTATTTTCTAGGCTCAGTTTTTCAATTCCTTCCCTTGGGCAAGTAACTCATAACTGCCTAGTAACTGTGGAAGCTCCCCAATGACTAGTATCTTTTGATTTCAAATTGTATTTTTAAATCGTTTTCCATTTTAACCAATATCATAATTTTAGATAAACTATGTTTATTTAATGTTGAGCTTACTGTGTTGAATAACTTTCAAAAAGCTTTAATGTCTAAATAGGCAACACTTAGCCCTTATCAAAGAATGCTGTGTCCAGACACTGTACACGTGCATTGTCTCATTTTATTGTTATGAGAAGCCTATGAAGGAGAAATTGTTAATACCACTTTACAAATGGGGAAAGTGAGAATCAGTAAGTTTGTGATATGCTCAAGATCACAAATTGGCAGAGCCACAATTCTAACCCAAGTTTATCTCAGCTGTAAAAAGTTCTTTGTATGCTACTTCTTGAGGTTAATCAAAAGTGTTGATTAGACTGTAAGTTCCGCTGAAAGTAGAAATCCTATCCTATTGGTTCTTTTGTCTTTTATAATACCTAATACATAGTGCCTTATAAAGAACAGCTCAGTATCCGTTTGCATAGTACATGGTTTTACATTTTCTCTTCTTCACGTGTACAGCTAGTGTCACCATAGCTTTTGAAGCCATTCTCAACTTAGTTTCCTTAAGGCAGGGTTACCTTAAAGAAGTTGAGAAGTCTGAGGAGAAAGACCCCTATTTATTGATAAATTATGAATACATTGTAGCTTTTGACCTCTCAACATTTTTTGATTATGGATGACCAGCTGGACCTCCCTAAACAACTCCCTAAAGATAGTAGCTATTTCCTATCTCATCTTTTCAATAAGGTTTTCAGACCCTTAAAGCTAGGAACTATTTCTTATATTTTGTTTGCATTCATGCACTACCTTCAGTGCCTAGGACTACCAAACCAGCTGTAGATATTCAATGCAAGCTTAAATGCAGCTGGGAATTTTTCAGTCTTATGCACACACATGTAAATGACAGGATCTGATTTCCTGCTGCAACAAAAGAAGTCACTTTCAAGAAGCCAGGTCCAGGCAGTCATTCAATCATTTCAATAATTATTCTGTATTTAATATACAAGTCTTTCCACTAAGCACCAGGGATACAATAGTAAACAACATGGAGTTTATAATTTACAAGCTGTAGAAATAATAATGGTTTTACTATAGACCAAACAATGGTTGCTTCTTGTCCTATTATCCAGTACTTATCTCCCTGTTGTGTTCCCTTTAGTATGTTACATTTTCACTTTGCTTGTCAGGTCCCTGCTCCTTCCCTCATTTTCTAATTCGGCAATCCCTTTTCCCATCTCTCATTTTTATTAAAGATAATATACTAATAACCCTTTCAATTTGAAAATAGATTTTGCTCACGTTTTCCAGTTTCCAGCTACTGGCCAAAATTCATTTCCCTCTTTTTATAAGGGGCCGGCACTACTTGGCCAGTTTAAGGAGCCATCAAAATCCTAGCAACAACAACAACAAAAAAACAAAATGTTATTGAAGCTGAGCTAATTGATGGTATTTTATGGAAGTCCTTTGTGGACAGAGCCCTTTATCCAAGCACCTTTCAAGAGTTTTCAAGCCATTAGGATCAAGGCTAGAGTATAAGTGACAATCGTTTAAACATCAAACATTACCTGAAGAACTCCATGCTAATATAGGCATATTCTAGGGGACTGGTAGAAATCATTGTAGCTCAGGTGGATTTTCTGAAAAAGGTTTCTTAAAGGAGATGGACCCAGCTGAATTATAATTCAGGGAGCAGGGGTGGCATGAGCAATAGGGTGGGGTTATGAAAAAATCTGAAGCCCGGAGGACAAAAATGCTAGTTTCATCTTCTTGGACAGTGATCTTGGGCATTTGAAATAAATTTCCTGAGCCTCTGTTTCCCTATCGTTCAGCTTTGGCACTATCATGACACTTTCTGAACTGACCTCTGTGAGCCTCTTCACATTTGGAACTGTCTTCACTTGCGGTTTTTTCACACTTATGAATGAAGTTTTCTCACTTTAGATACAAACATTTAAACTTCCAAAACAGATCAACTAAATTGGTAGTTTACTACATTTTAAAAACGTATTTGCTTAAACAAATTTCTTCACAAGGTCTGATTTGTTCCCCATGGGATAATTGGCAATGTATGTGAAGACATTTTTTGATTATTACAAGTCAGGGATGCTGTAAAGGGCAGAATGCTGCCAAATAAATGTGAACACATAGGACAGCCTTCCACAGCAAATAAATGTCCATTAATAGCCAAGGTTGAGAAATTAATTAAAAGGATTATTTTCTATAGACAAAGGAAAGGTATATATAACGTTCATGCCTGCTAAAAATAAACATTGATTTAAAATAGCATGAGATAGCATCAAATTAGCAAACTTTAAAAAAGTTATTAAGATAACAATTCTAGCAGAATTGATATTCATTGGCTCAACTGCTTTTCCTAAGAGCAGTGTACCATATTTATCAAACTCTTACAATGATTATTCCTGTTGACTCAGTTGGCAATTTCAATCTAGAACTATATGTCATGGAAATAATGTTAAATGCGGGGGAAGTGGCCCACCAAAAATATTCATCATAGCTTTATTAATAGGAAAATCTGAAGACAATCTAAGGGGAATGGTTAAACACATCTCATTATAGGAATGTTATGTAGCTATTCTCATACATGATGTTTGTTAGAAATTTGTAGTAACATGAAAAATTATTAATGATAATGTGTAAAGAAAAGGAGAAGGGCCAGGTGTGGTGGCTCACGTCTGTAATCCCAGCACTTTGGGAGGCCGAGGCGGGCGGATCACGAGGTCAGGAGATCGAGACCATCCTGGCTAACACGGTGAAACCCCATCTCTACTAAAAATAGAAAAAATTAGCCGGGCCTGGTGGTGGGCACCTGTAGTCCCAGCTACTCAGGAGGCTGAGGTGAGAGAATGGCGTGAACCTGGGAGGCAGAGGTTGCAGCGAGCCGAGATCGCGTCACTGCACTCCAGCCTGGGCAACAGAGCAAAAGACTCCGTCTCAAAAAAAAAAAAAAAAAAAATAGAAAAGGAGAAGATAACTGGAATATAGCATGATCACAACAAAGCAAAATAAATCAATGCCTGAAAGATTGAAAGAAATGTGAAACACATCCATATAAATTGATTTATAAACATTTTGATTGACAACATTTCAACCACACTGTATAAGTCACATAATACATACATGGACACATCTCCACGATTGTATTTTGTGGCATATACCATCCGATGTTTCTTTCACATATGTTAAGTTTTCCTGATTTAAAAATCTAGGAAGACAGGAGTTTACATTTTATTTTCTTCATCATATTAAGGATGTAGTTATACGTTATACGAGACTATTAAACAATCCAGGATTCTCTCATGCATTGTTGATGGGACTGTAAATTGATACAGCCTCTCGGGAAGTTACCTTATTGATGCGCACGTGCTTCAACACAGCAATCTCACGTTATTCTAGGGTCACAGTAACAGATCTAAGCAAAGCTGTATGTACAAAGGGGTTTATTATATCATAGTTTGAATAAGGAAACTTTGGACGCAAACTAAGTGCCCAAAAACAGAGAAATAATAAAAATAAATTATCCTACTATGCATTAACTAAACTTTTTATAAGTAGAATATATTCACAGATAAACTTTTGTTATCAAAGTAATAAGGGCTTTTCAAAAAGCCATTGGCAGAGATGAGTAGTATACACTATCAGCTTTAGCAGACTTGTGACACTCAAGCTAGTTTAAATATCTGCTGACACCCTAGGGTTTTTGAAACCTAAATTTAATCTCTTCTTATCTATGTATTAATTTTATTTAATGAAAAACCAACAAATATTAAAACACATTTGTACACAGAAGAAAGAGGCATATCCTAGCTAGGTTAGCGGTAAAATGCCACTTAAGCTTATCCAAAAAATAATGGAATTAAATTTCATTTGTTTTAATTGTAACCAATTATTGTATAACCTGGCCTAGATGACCTTCCCTATTGCTGGGAACTTGTGTTTCTCAAGACAACCTGTGTCACCTCTGGACAATTTCAATTATGAATGTTTCTTTTTCATAGTAATTCCAAATTTGCCGTATTGATTTTCCTCACCTCTATTTCAAAAGTTCATTTCTTGTAAACAATTTTCAAGTTGCAAGCCAGGCTCCCTGCTTATCTCCTTCCATTGAAAGAAGAAAAAGTATACCATCAGGTCAGGCTGTCTGAGGTAAAAATTTGGCGGAACATCAGCATACCTTTCTTGCCCTGCATGCACTAAAAAATGACTAAATTATCTAGCCACTAAGCCCTCACACTCTGCTATTCTTAACCTATAGTTCACAATCAGTCTCCTCTTTTCATCACTCCTGATATCCTGATATCCCTACCCCAGGTCCTTTTCAACTATCCATTTCTTATCTCGTATTAACTTCTTATGGAAATTCAAACACATCAGAAACCCCAACCCACCCTCCTATTCAGCAGGAAAAGCTTAACTCTTGCATTCCTGGAAGGTAGAACCCATCTGACTTGAGCATCATCAGCTTTCTTCCTCATGACAAGAAACGACTCAGAATTTCTCTTTTTCTGTCCAAGGTAAGGCCTAGTCTATGTGGTCTTAACGCCAATTTCCCTTGTTGCATTCAGTACAGCCTTCCTCCATAGTATTCTTGACCCCACTTCCTCTTGCCTGGCTCCATCATTTGAGATAATGGCTGCAACTCTGCAAACCTTCCATCTTTCTTACATTATTCACTCTGACCTCTTACAATTAATATATTGAACAGAGTCCTGTTTTTAAAATGAGAAAAGTCTAAAAACAAAAACTTCCTTAAATTTTCTTTACCTAAAGCTGTTGTCTTCCTTTGTTCTTTCCTTTGTCATCAGCACTTATTTCACCAATGTTTTAAGAGTCTGTGTGCACATAATACTCTTCTATACAGTTAGAGTGGAGCTAGTCATAAAAATATATAAGACATAATCTGTGATTTAAAAGTTTAATCTATTTTTGGAAACAAGAAACTTCCTGGGGAAAAAAAAAACTGCCTCCACTTGCTGTCTGCACTTTCTCACTGTCTCGTCAATCAGACCCATCACATCCTCAATCAAATTTCCACTTCCAACACCATCAGGGATATATCGATTCTTAAATCCAAGACTTCTTCTCAGTTCTCATCCTCTTTGGCCTTTCTTCCTTTAGAGATTGCCAATGATTGAAAAAGTGTTTTCATAGATATGATCAAAACTGATCCTCACGATAACCCTGTAGAAGAGATATTCCACCACAACCCTAATTCCCCATCTTTATTTATCAGATGAGGCTCAGAGAGAGTCTCAGTTTGCCCAAGGTCACCCAGCAAGTGCATAACAGAAACTGGACTTGTTCCCATATTTTCAGACTCCAAAGCCACCACACTTCTTACTCTCTACCCCAGGTGCCTTCCATGGTTGACTAAATGAATGAATGGATGCATCTATATCAATCATGCTTGCATACAGAATGCAGAATCTTTGAAAACATTTTTCTTTCTCTGACCTCATCTGACAGCACTTCATGCAGCCCTAGATATGGAATTAGTATCTAGTAAATGTTGCTGTCGAAGTTGCAACGCAAAGTACATGGCAGACCTTAGGTACCCGAGTGAGACTGATGGAACCTCATTGTGCTGAAATGCTATCTTTAGGATTCCTGTCATAAACATACCTTACATGTAAACCAGCTTTATAATTAGGATCTTTTGGTGCCTGAGTAACTCAGAAGCTTTATCTGAAGAGCAGATAAACCTCATTTTATTGTATTTCACTATAAGAGGGTAATGTTTCAGTGAAGTACTAATTTACAAATAATTACCTTTATTCAAATATTTTTGGGTAATCAAATAAATTGGAGAACCTTAAATGCCCAGATTAAATTCACTGCTCAACGTATAAAACCTTTAATTGATGGATCAATTCCCATCATGTTATAGTCTAATCTTTTTGAAACTCTTATGACTCGTATCACCTAAGTGTCTGTATCAGTGATGCTTCTTCCTTTCTTATAAAAATCATGAACTCAGGTTATCTGAAATTGCTGCCTTCTCTAATTTACTTGCAGGTAACTTTTTTAAAAAAACTGCCTACACCTGTTGTTTCAGGAAAATTGTTGTCTTAAAAAGGTAGCTCTCCACCTGCTTTTTCTAAAGAGGCATAGACACATCTGGGTTTTTATCTTCAAACAATCTCTTGCTTATAACCCTAATTAGTCCAGTCATTTACTTTCATTTGTTGCCAGCCTGTTTGAACATTTTACTGCCATTTGAAATGTTTTCTGAAACTTGCTGCTTATTGTCTTTCTCTAGCCTAATATGTAATTTTTCCTTAATTTGGCTTATTTACATAGCTTTCTTCCTACTTCACAATTTCTTTGTAAATGGATATTTTTAAATTTCTTCCATATGTCTACATAACTTGTCTGAGATCTCTGTTAGGTATTTATTTGTGTGAACTGCTGCCTTTTTCTTTCTTTATACTTCCTTGGATAAATCCACCTTCATTTTGTTCTACTTTTGAAGAGTTTATGATTAAACTCAGCAAAATCTTTATGTTTGCAATGTTAGTCCATGAAAGAAACTTTCACTTGCTAGGTACCCAACACGTGCACAACACTGTGCTAAGCTATGGGATAAAAAATCCAGGCAGAAGGAAGACCATGAAAACAGAATGTAACACAAGAGTTCTTATATTTAGGAAAAATTGAAATGTAACAGGGTAGACAGGATGTCTAAAAAATCAGTTCAAAAGAATATGTAAAGCCAGGCATGGTGGCGAATGCTTGTAGTCCCAGCTACTCAGGAGGCTGAGGCAGGAGGATGGCTTGAGCCAAGGAGTTCAAGGCCAGCCTATAGAAGAGCAAGAAGGAGGAGGAGGAGAAGGAGGAGGAGGAAGAGGAGAAGGAGGAGGAGGAGGAGGGGGAGGAGGGGGAGGAGGAGGGAGAGGAGGGGGAGGAGGAGGAGAGATAGGAGGAGGAGGAGGAAGAGGAAGAGGAGAACATAGCAACCAAATTTAAATTGATTCCCTATGAACTCTGAGGGAATAGCAGTGATGGGTTGAATTCATGAAGGATGGTTCTTGGGAATGATAAGAGAAGTATATGGAATGTCAGTGGTCCAGCTGGTGGTGGCAGAAGTAGTCTAGCTAAAGGAAATGGCACAGATGTAGAAGTAAGCAACTTGTTCAGACAATATCCAATTTGTTTTTGGCTGGATAAGGGAATCAGAGTCAAAAATAAAAGAGCAGGGGAAAGTAGGTGAGAATAGAAGACAAGACAGCTGTTTATCATTTCTAATTTGTGGCAATTCTTTATGTGGTTTAATTCTGATCCTTGTCATTTAGGTGTGCTGCAAACATTTTCCCCAAGTATCTGGCCTGTCTTTTTTTTCTTTAACATGACTTGATGAGCACAAGTTCTTAATTTTAGAGTAGTCAAATTTATTAATCTTCCCAAAATTAGTACTTTTGTATCATGTTTAAGAAATCTGGCCAGGCATGGTGGCTCACGCCTGTAATCCCAGCACTTTGGGAGGTTGAGGAGGTCAGGAGATTCAGGCAGATCATGAGGTCAGGAGTTCAAGACCAGCCTGGCCAATATGGTGAAAATCCATCTCTACTAAAAATACAAAAATTAGCCGGGCGTGGTGGCACGCGCCTATAGTCCCAGCTACTCGGGAGGCTGAAGAAGGAGAATCGCTTGAACCCTGGCAGAGGTTGCAGTGAGTCAAGATTGTGCCACTGCACTCCAGCCTGGGCGACAGAGCAAGACTCCATCTCAAAAACAAAACAAAACAAATTTTCTGTACCTAAGTTTAGAAAGATATTCTCCTGTATTCTTCTAAAGATTTTTAAGTTTAGCTTTCGACATTTAAGTTCTTAATCCATCTGTAGTCAATGTTGATGATCCATATTTTTTCCTAGCTCAACTTATTTAATGGTCTCTCCTTTCCCCAGTGATCTACAATATCCCCTCTGACATAAAGAAAAAGGTACACAAATTTACCTCAGGTCCTCTGTTCTGTTCCACTGGTCAATTTATAAAGTAGTGTCCCTGACCATTGACACTTTTAAATACCACCTTAATTATAATAGCTTTATAGTATGTTGTTATGTTTGGTACAATATTAAATCTATAGATCAATTTGGATACGATAGGTAGTTAGGTAGACAGATGGATGAGTCTTGAATGGACGTATGATGATAGTATTCATAAACCCATGACTATAATTAATTCTATATACTTGAAGTCCAAAGATTACAGTGGATGGGGAGTAAAGGGGATTTACTGAGTGCACCTTTGGTAAGGTAAGCATTTTTTTTAAAGCCAGGTCATATTTTAGATTATATAATGATATTGAGGGAAACAAAGTAAACACAAGAAATCCGCAACAGCCAAATCAAAATTAGACACATTGACAATTCATTTGAATAAACTGCAATTCTGAGAAAAACCTATTACTTGCCTTGTAGTCCACATTACTTGAGAGCATGGACTATATATGCCCAGCTTCTAAAGCAATTTCTGGCAAACAGTAACCACTAAATATATTCGAGGCACGAATGAACAATGAAATGGTAGAAAGTATCATGGACAGAGTGCATATTTTTCATTTGAATATTTACTTCCGTTTTATAGACAAAAATTCTTGGCCAGGCGCAGTGGCTCATGCCTGTAATCCCAGCACTTTGGGAGGCCAAGGCAGGCGGATCAACTGAGGTCAGGAGTTCAAGACCAGCCTGCCCAGCATGGTGAAACCCCGTCTCTACCAAAAATACAAAAATTAGCCAGGCGTGCTGGTGCACTCCTATAATCCCAGCTGCTAGGGAGGCTGAGGCAGGAGAATTGCTTGAACCTAGAAGGCGGAGGTTGCAGTGAGCCGAAATCGCAACACTGCACTCCAGCCTGGGTGACAGAGCGAGACTCCATCTCAAAAAAAAAAAAAAAAATCCTTTAGTTAAGAAAAAAAAAAGTCTGCATTTACAAGTACTTGCAGTTAATCAAATTATACTTCTTCTGCATTGCCATGCAATTGCCTTAACGGTCAATGACATTTATCAACAGTCCAGTGGAAGGGACACACTGTGCTAGATCCTGGGAGGAGCTATGAAAGAAGATACATGAGTCAAGCAGGAATGGCCCCTGTTGTTCTAATTTTCACTCAAGCTGAGAATACAAAATGAGCAAAAGAGAAAATGTCAGAACACTTAGAGTAATCAGTGTAAATGAAGCCAGCACAAACGGCATGTATGGGTACTGAGAGAATGTGGGCAAGGCACCAGGTGCCCCTTTGGAAGGTGAGAGGCAGTGGAGCTCCTGTGAGAGCTTTCTCATGCTGTTGAAGGAGTCATCGTGTCTTCTTATTTTTTTTTTCAAACTGTGGTCACAGCCCATTGGAGAGTCATGATTAACACTTATTTAAATAGATAATATCATATTATCTGTATGAATCTATATAGATAAATATATGTGTATTTAATTTTACCTGTAATGTATAGACATCTTTATTACACATTTAATTATTACCTATTGTTACAGAAATAGAAGACAGTTTCACAGAGTAGAAAATAGAGTGCCTGCATGGCAAATACTAAAAATAAGAAAGAAGTGCCAGTTTATTGAACTTTAATTTTGGTTACTTTTACGGTTTCATATTTGTAGGTATGTGCTGGGCTGTAATAGAAACAGTATTTCTTACTGTCAGTTGGCCCAACATGTTTGAAAGCCCCAGTAAATTGAGAAACTAAAGGATCTGCATGGCCAGCCGAAGAGGAGGGCGGAACAAGAAACTCCCCTCCTTTCTGTCCTGTACACATACAGTGATAACTCCTCAAGGCCAGGCAGTAGTCACTCTCTGATAAGTATATATTTTGTTGCCTTGTCTTTTCAGATTTGCAGTCAGATGAGAATCTTTGTTTAAAACAACTTGCCCCATTTCTTATAGCTATTTGCAAAGCTGGGAGTTTCTGCTTGTGGCTTCCCAAATATTTATAGCTCCTCCATCAGTTTAGAAGTTGTTGTCTCATCTTTTTAAGTCTGAATTCTACCTACTCAAGTTAAAGCAACCTTCTTCAGCAACAATGTGGGGATCCTCTTATCCCTGCCTGTTCTGTCATTTCATCTAGCAGAGCAGTGTTATGATGAGCCCTGTAGGCACAAGTGTATCTCATCCTGTCATTTCTGAGGTGTGTATGGTTTATTTTAACTATACTATGTAGAAGGAGCTTACATTCATTAAATGTAGTGCATAAGCAATTTTGCTATCCTTTAAGAGTAAATCTGTAATTATTCTGTAACAACTGTCTTGCATCATTTCTTTTCTAGATATGCTTTGTAAGTTTTCAAAATTGAGAAAACATTTGAACTACTAAAGTTGAACTTGTCAGCACTTTTCCTCCAGTGCTCATTTGTCAAAAGTTATTGAAACAATGAAAAATAAATCTTTGCAGAAACAGGAGAAATGGATTCTATGTATGAAGCCCAGTTGTGTTGGATTTTGTTTCAGTATCTTTTTTTTCACTGCCAGCAAAACAAGACAATTCAACAACCTATGTAAAGTCAGTTTTACAGATTAATCCTGAATATTTCAAATGAGCACATAGTTAGCAGGTATCTGCCAAATGAGGCACAACCTTGAAGACAATCAAAGAGTTGGAGCACAGAACCAACAAAAAGCAGAAGGTCAATAGGTTAGAGGCCTAGTGCCTGATTGTTACCATTGTTGGATATCTCTAACTTCAGTGGGAATTCTCTTTACCACCAGTCTTCATGTGTGCCCATGTGAGCAGGAAATTGCTCCTGTAGGTGGCGAGCAGAATATGAAGCTCCAATTATGTCTATTCTCTGTTATAGGGGAGAATGGCAGAAGCAAATAGTACATGGGATAATGGCTGTTAAGGAAAGCTAATATACTTGAGTAACTAGAAGGTGCTTTGCAATTTTATTATTTATTTTCCATAGAAAGAGAAGTAGAAAATAAGGAGACCTTGAAAATAACATTAAATTTATTCTGGACAAACAAGCCAAATGCATTTTATTATACTGAAAGGTAAAGTTCTGAGGTGATTAAAAAATAGGCATCTTCCTAAGCATATATTCTATTCATAAAAGATCAAGACTTTTCTTTCCTTTTCTAAGTGGAGCTCATGAACATTCATAACAGAAGGTATTTCATAACTCTTTTTTATTGTTTTCCATGCTCGTGAGACATTTCATCATACTGAGTGGCCCATGAATGTCCTCCAGATTGTCCTTGAGATAGTCTCAACATACCAATATTCACAATAATACCAATATTCACAATAATATTTTCATTTTCATCTCTGCAATAATTTAACTTGGATGGCAACCTCCTCTCGAAGATGTGGTAGGTACATCATCAGAGCCTTTTATTCTGTTAAGATGCACCATGATCTCTCTGAATTTAGGAAATGTGGGTTGCCTAATAAGAAAACATGAATTATTCTCCACAAACTAAGTAGGTTTGGTAAATTCATTATTGGGACTAAATATATGAATGCTTACAAAAAAAGGCAATCTTCTCTATAAGTTATTTGTTGGTTTTACAGATGGTCTTCTCTTATTATGTAGAGGTTATTGTTTAGTTAAGGATTAAAATTATATAACTTTATAAAAACCGCCTAATGTCCTTCATTTGTTCTTTATTAAACTTTCTTTGAAGGTTTCAAACTCCATGACAAGATTTTGGAGGAAACACAGAATATTCTAATTTTGAATTTACTGTACTAGGTATAAAAAAATGTAATATTTGATAGGAAAGAATTCATCCAGTATCTCCTTTGTTCTTGGAGAGCACTTTGACCTCTACATTCATAATTCATAGGAGAAATGAGCAGTACCTACCACTATAGTTGTATAAATAAATTGGCAACTAACAGGGAGCACTGCTTCTTGTTAATTAAGAACCACTGAAGAATGGGCTCTTGACTTTCTGTTGAGCATTGTAAATCTTCCCTTTTTAGGGTACACGATTCTTATATTTAAAGAAAACACACATCTGTGTTTATACCAGATGGCATGTTGTAGACATTTGCTATTATTATTCATTCTTCTGTCCATTGCTACAGATGTTATAAGTATCTTTTACACTTCTCCCCTCTCCCACAGGCTAAAAACAGAAGCTAGTATTAAACATAACAGTAAATGAAGAAGCAGAGAAAAGTTGAAGTGAAAACCAGGTGCAAAATAAGATTAACGTTGTCCTTCTACCACTTGCTTACCTCAACGAACAATAAACTTGCAGTGAGGACAAAGCTAATTTTTTTCATAGATAACTCCGAAAGAGAAATCAATTCTTTCATAAATTAGAATTTATATAGTATCATATGCACAGAGGATTGCTGTCAGGCTTAAAATCCTAGTTGAAAAAGTCTGATCTCTTTTTCCAGTCCTTATTTAGTTCTGTTTATAACCTAAGAGTTGTATTAACCTCATAATGAAGAAACATTTGAGTCATATTTTCTGACTCAGTATTTAACTTAACAATGTTATCTGGAACCAAGTAAAAGGGTACAGATTTCATTACCAAAGAATACACTGACAATATACTACCCAGAAATAAAGCTTTAACAGAAGAACCCAGTATTAAGCTACCCACACAGTGGTTCCAATCAGGAGGTAGTGAGGCCATATCTGGTAGCATTCCCCAGTTGCTACACCATCCTCTTTACTCTAGGAAAAGGGCCGAGGATGTAGAGTATGCCCCATTCTCAGTTTCACTGATTAACTGAGCAATATTTATGGAGAATCCACCATGTATAGAATTTCTCCTAAGGACTTTGGTATCTCAGGGATTTTATTTTCTGCATCACTTTCTTTTCATAACTTCAAGGTCATGAAGGACTTTGGAAAAAAGTTATCTTACCAAAAGATTGTGAATTCCAGACTTGAGAATAGATCTTGGTTTATTCTTCATAAAATTCTTCATAATAAGGAGAAAATAGACTGAAGTTGACCTCTCATTGTAGGCCTAGACCCGGAGTACCATATATATATATATATATATATATATATATTTGTTTTGTTTTGAGATGGAGTCTCTCTCTGTCACTCGGGCTGGAGTGCCCTGGCACGATCTCGGCTCACAGCAAGCTCCGCCTCCCAGGTTCACGTCATTCTCCCGCCTCAGTCTCCCGAGTAGCTGGGACTACAGGCGCACGCCACTATGCCCAGCTAATTTTGTTTTTGTATTTTTAGTAGAGACGGGGTTTCACCGTGTTAGCCAGGATGGTCTCGATCTGCTGACCTCGTGATCCGCCCACCTTGGCCTCCCAAAGTGCTGGGATTACAGGCATGAGCCACCGCATCCGGCCACCAAGTATATTTTAAGGATTCCTGAGGAAAATAGAAGCAAAGTACAGTTTTCTTAAACAAAACTTATATCTAATTGGCCAGTGAAAAGATAATGGTTGACTTTAAAATGGTTTTACATAACTAACATTTTCTAAGGTTTACTCTAAGAGAAGAAAAGAGAAATGACACTGCATAAGATCACAGAATAAAAGACTTGTGTCATTGCGGTTCTGTTCTTGGAAATTAATAGGTTCCAAAATCAAGCCAGATGATTAATACCAGCTTTCGTTTGATCTATAAGCCACAATGATGGGCACAGCATGCCCCTGACTTTGTCTGGCATTGTGATTTAATGAAAAGAGAAAGCTTAGAAGAAAACAATGAAGGAAAAGAAACACAAACCCTTCTGTATTGGATCAGAAACTTCTTGATTGATGTACCCAGCTTCTGATTTCTAAATCTTGATCAGCTTTGGTTATGTGGATATTTTCTTTCCAAGATAGCAGGATAAAAGGTGTTAGGTTTTTAGAACACAAGTGACAATTTTATAGAAGGAAAGTGATGTATAGCTTCATATTTTCTAAAGGAAATGCCATTTGCAAAGATATAAATAATAATGCTGCGGAGATTGGGGGAAAGTAGATGTGCTAATTGTGGGTGTACTTTTATGATAAAATCACCATGAAATTTTGGTTAAAAAATATCAGTTTTGCAAGACTGTTTGTAAGGCTGGGTTAGATGATGGCTAAGGCTACAGAATACACTAGTTTGAGTAAATGTACCAACCACAATGTATCAGGGCTCAAGGTCTGATGGAGATGAGACTGAAAAATCTGAAAAATTAACCTTCAGTGGTCTCTTGTCATAGTATGTCTCATTAACCCAAAGCAGTGGATTCAGACCTGGAAGTTATATACCACTGGGGTTGTGATCACTTTGTGGACGTGAAAGATGGAATATCCAAACCTTTATGTTAAAGGTTAAAACCACTGTGGAAACCAGGACCTGTTGGGAAACCACCCTGGAATCACTCCCACTGTCTGTCTTAAGATTCTTACCCTTGTCACTTACCACAGCTCAGAAAATTGCTCCAAATGATTTGATGGTTTACACCCATCAAATCTGCTGAACTTTTATTTCCACCTCTCACTCACTCCTCGCATGGCCCCCGCCTTCATGCTGCACCCTGGGCACTTCAGTCTGAGCCTGATCCAAGGTGATTTGTCTGTCCTGCCTAATTGTGCTTCCAGAGATTTTTTCAGAGACCGCAGTTTCTTCCCTACTCTGTATAGCTCCTCTCCAAGGAATTTCTTAAATCAAAACAAATGAGGATGTATTTTACCAAGGACTTCTCTATCCTTTGATGAGATATTCACATCTGCCTCAATGGCTGTTCTTAGCATGTTTTTGTATTTTTTTCATTCACTCATTCTTTTTCATATTTACTGAGTATCTGCTATATGCTCTAGGTTTCCTCTCAGAGTTAAAGACATAATCCACATTCTCTGGCAGAATTTAACCTGGTGAGACAAACAGCCAACCTAAAGATTATGGTATGTGAGTAACAAGTGCTTTGATAGGTATAGACAGAGGGGCTATGGGACCACTTAAACCAGCCTGCCTGATTAGCAGATTTAAAGGTCATGTAGTACTCTTTTTATAAGCAAGTTTTATCCCCAGATCTCTTGGTATGATTCAATCAAGACTATTGATTGATCGTCTACAATGAGCCAGACAGTGTTCTATGTGTTATTAGTTTAGTATTGAACAAAACATTCATGCCTACATGGAGTTTACATTCTAGTGGAGCAAAGTTCTACAAGATAACACATGAATAAGTGAAATATAGAACAGAGAAAATAATGATATGTGCTAAAGAAAAAATAAATCAGGGAAGAGGAATATAAAATGTAAGAGAAACTTCAACATACGAGGACATCCAGGGAAGAACTCCCTCAGCAAGTGACTTCTGTGTCATTATTTGTTGAAAGATGTGAATGAGCTGTGCCACTTTCTGAGGGATAAGTGTTCCAGACAAAGGGAGTAAGTGCAAGAGGTCCCATAGCAGGACAGAGCCTGGGATGTCAAAAAATAGGCCTTTGGCTTCAGAGAATGAATTGGTGAAAAATCATTTTCCTCTTAAAGAAGAGGAGGTGCATTCTCTTCCCTATCCAGTTTCAGGACTTCAGCATCCAAGGGAATAGAGATGCTGTGATCAGGGACAGCAGTGTGGGAGGGCAAAGCCCTGTTTCCCAGTCCTGGTGTCAGTTAGTCACCTTCAGTCTCAAATCCTTACTCTGGGTATCATTTGATCTGCATACCTCTTCCATGAAGGCAGCATCTTAACAGAAAACCAGAAGAAAATCAATTACCTTAGGCACATTTAAGGAAAGATACAAAAGTGATTGTACGCCTTATGTATTTAATTTTCTATCTCTTCTTCCCCCCTCCCCCAAGGTTCTTTCTCAGTCCAACATTGCCTTGCACAGGAAGTCACCGTGGAATTTCAATGGAAAAACTTTCTACAGGACCTAAAACAATTAGAGTTAAGAATTCAGTCCCCAGGGATCTTTAATCTCAAATTGGCTCATCATCTAAGAAAACATCTCATAGAGGAACACCAATGAAAATCTAAGGAAACTCAAAAACAAACACACACGTGCACACACACACAGGATAAGAAACAAGCCAAAATCCTAGACAAAAGACAGCACCCTCATAGCTGCCTCTGAGGCAGTGGTTCTGAACCTTTCAACAATTACAGACCCTTTAGAGAATTGAATAAAAGATACAGTACCTGGTTCAGGAAAGTGCATATTTTGAATTTCAAGGGGGTTATATAATCCCATGAACAGGATGGCTCCATGGAATTGGGATTCATAATACCTACTTTAAAAGAAAAATTCCCTCCTTTTTCGAAAGAGCTAAAAATTTCTCATATTTAGATTTGTTAACATCTTATCAAACTTCGAAGGTACAGCTTTACTGTCTCCATTTACTATAAACATACTATAATTTACAATTCAGTAATCAGAATCTAATGCCCCTCCTGACATCAGAGAAAGCAGAAGGCTGGAGCTGGGAAAAGGAGCCAGTGATGGAATTCAGTTCAGATTCTCTGCCTTTGGAGATGTTGCCATCAAACAGCTGCAGGAGGTCCCCTTCGGGCACAGTCTCCATGACCCCTCACCAGCATCTCTGTGACCCTGCTAGAAGCCCTGGTCCCAGGAGGAGAAATGCTGAGTTATACAAACAGATCTAGCCATTTTAAAAAGAAGCTTTTTTTCCCCTCTTTATATCAGTGGGTGTTCTTCTGTCCTACCATTTATTCATTGCACTCACCTGGAATGGCCTCTAAAATCTCTTTGTAAGCACTGAAGCTCTGTTCCAGCATGTAAAGAAGGAAATTAAGGAGAGAAGGAAGAAAATGATTCTGTCTGCTGATATTTTTCTCATCTGTGTACCTGCTAATCTACCAACAGCCCTGTGAATTTGAGCTTAAAAACTGAAATATATATATTTACATATATAATATAGATTTACATATATATTCTCATAAAATATACATCTTCACTACTGGGAAATGGTCCAGAAGACAGAAGAATTTACATATGCATATATGCATTGCTTTTTGTTTTTGTATCAGGAAAAAAAACCAGGTGCTGATATTTTAATAAACTGCAAAATGCTTCTCCCACTCTTTTCCTGTTCCCACACACCCTCTTCTCTAGCTGCACTGGTTTGTGAACTCCTTGTTCTCACCAAAGGAGTTAGCTAGGAAGGAAATGGTAATGTGTTTAGGTTGATAGAAATCAACAATCAGTTGGTTTGACAAACCAGTACTCATAGCTTCTACTCATTGGGATGTCACACATTTGTAATCCATGGTATTAGAGGGGTGAACAGTTTTTTTCCCAAAAAATGTATCCCCAGTGCCTTTAAGAGTGAACTTAGATACCATCAGGGAAGTGGGTCAGCCCCTAGAACCAAGAACTAGGCCCCTAGGCACAAAGCAGTCTTCCTCTCCTCTGATGCGACTCAGGGCTCAGCTGGCTTAAGAAGTGCTCTGTCACTGGCAGAAGGGAGAGGGGGGAATCTTCTGATAAGAGTGCCCATGCTCCACTTCCTTTAGTAATCTATAGCTCTCTGGAGATCCTTCTTGTTCTTAATAAGGACAACCTCATCAGAGAAATGCTTAGCATGCTACAGAAAAACACCACGGCCATAGAAACCAGGAAAAGAACTTGGTGAATTTCTTACTGGACATCCCTAAAGAGTCTGTGAGGTGTGGCGCAGGTCCTGCATAGGTTATGCCTATGCGGCATCATGGATTATACAGTCAGCCCCTCCCTACACAATGAGCAGTGGCTCTGAGTGAGAGCAATGCCTGGAGACATTTTTTATTATCATGACTGGAGATGGGGGTGCTACTGGAATCCAGTGGGTAGGGGCTAGGGTTGTAGCTAAACATCCCACATTGCACAGGACATCTCCCACAAGAAAGAATTATCCAGCCCCAATAGTACAGAGGCTGGGAAATCCTGTGTTAGAGGGAATGAGGGGGTGGAGATTTGGGAGATGAGAAAAGCAGAAGTGGGAGAGCAACATACAGCAGAGGGCTGTAGAGGTGGCCCAAAAGTTTGGCCTTTTCAATCAAACCTCAAAGGCTTATTACTTAGAGGGTGATCTCAAAATAGGATGGGGGTATTTTTGATTGAAAATTTCATCCCTGAATCAGACAATAGTATCAATTTGCTGTTAAAAATTGGAGTCATATCCTAGGGCTGCTGGAAGTTAACGACTGCGCTCTCCAGGTGAGTCTTTCCTTTCCTGCGTGTATGTGGGTACTAAAGAGAAGGGCAACACAAACCCAAACACGTGGCCTGTCTGGAAGCAGGCAGCGTATAAATTGCAAAATAAGAAAGCCTGGGTCCTTTGTGCCACAGACAATGCTGATAAAAAAGGGTACACATCCTTCTTTGCGTAAAACATATTATTGACAACTGTGGGCTTAAGATAGATGAGCTGTCTCCCGCCCCTCAAGACTGCAGCACTGGGTCTGAAAAATTTCCTCAGGAGGATTTCTCAGGAGTTGCTTTTCAAAGGACAGGCCCAGGTCCATGTAAAGAGCCCCCTCCCCTCTTCTCTACATACCACCCTGGGAGAATTTACTGACAACAGAGGGCAGGGGTGGGAGTGTGGGGGATGGGAGTGCGCACGTGTGTGTGGAGTGTGTGCGCGCATTTTACTTCCTGTGACTTTATGTACTTTACAAGCAGATCATGCTCTGGCAGTAACGAGAGTGCCACCTCAGCACCCCCATAAGGAGAGGAGTTGGAGCTGATGACCTCTAGGGCCTTTCCAGCTGTACCACTTCTGGATTCTATGTAGGCAATCATTTCCTGCCTGCAGAAGAATGCCAAATGGCTGTGTTCTCTGCTTCCTGTCTTCAGTGGCCTTGTGGGAACTTCACCCGCTCGGCAGGCTGCTCTGTGTGTGACAAGGACAGGGACAGAGGAGCACCCAGGCCATCCGTTTCTCTCATCCCATTCTTGCTTTGAAGTAATGCTTTCTATTCCTTCTCAAGATGATGAGAAGGACTTTAATGGGCTGATTTTATGTAAAGATCCAGTGATAGAAAAACAAATTCTAGTCAGTGCATTACTTACAGGGTCATTCTACAGAAGCTGAGGCTGTTTCTAAAACAGTCCCCAAAGTAGCTTAAAAAATAATGGAGATTCTAAAACCAGATCATTTCCTGATGAAAACACGAGGCCTGTTCAATATTTAATCCTTTCTGAAATCAGCATGGTTTTTCTTTTTCCCACAAAGGTATTTATAATGAAGTCCTTGAATTTGCCCCTTGGACACATTTACATGTTGTGCCTAATTTCCTAATTCTTTTAATCAGGCCTCCCTAGTTTAAATCATGGTAACTGTCTTTTGGTGAACTAGGATTCTTATTCCTATCTGTCTGACAAATATACGGCATCAAATATTCATCATTTAAATGCAATTAAAATATAAAATTATGAAAACATCATTGCAATTATTTAAATTGCACCAGTTTTAATTAAAGGATTAGGGCAATGGGGAATCTGAAACATAATATAATGCGTAATGAAGAGGCCATATTTCTGTGGGTTGTTAATAATTTAAAGGCTTTCTGACTTTAAAGATAAGAGGCATGCGTGTGTATTTGTCACCAATAAGTAATAATGACACTGGAGAAGAATACAAAAATGAGTAAAAAAAAATAAAAACTCAGATGTACCAAAAGATTAAAAAATTTACCTGCCCAGTGAAATGCTCAACAGTCCTCAATTCTACCAGATTAAAAGCAATATATCAGAATAAAACCTCTCATATGAGTGGAATATGGAATTCAGCTATGTTGTTAGGAATCATATCTTCACTTTAAAGAATTCTTACATATATATTTCTATTTTACTAGGATTATCTTAATTTCTTTATGGATGTGGGACTTGTGAGACTACTTTAATTTGAATGTTTGGAATTGATCTGAGATGCAGTCTGTAAATGATAAAACCTAAACACGTGTCTAAAAACTTTAAAATTAATTGACTCTTTATTCAGCTGGCCTGCAAAATGACTCCATATAAATTACATTGCTATATGTAAATTGTTTGAACTTTAGCTGCCATGTTCCATATAAACAAACAGCAGCTATAAACAGTGTTAAGTGAAGTGAAAACTGGTTTCCCTATGGAGGCTCAAAATGTGAAGCCTCTCATGAATTTTAGCCTCATATACTTCTATAATCAACATCTCTTTTCACAGTTTTAATTAAAGTGATAACAGTGCTTAATGTAATACCCATGCTCGTTTGCTACCCGAGGCCTATGTGTAGCACCCGCATCCTATGCAGGTATGCATTGGTTCTCACTTGGACCAACTTCAAATTGCGGAAGGAGTAATCGGGCATTACGTGTATTTGCTCCAGTGGACATGTATACCTTCAGATAATTTTTTTGAACAAAAAACTTGGGAGATCACCTGGTCTAACATTCTAGCTTTTAGCAAAATAATAATAATAATAATAATAATAATAATAATAATAATAATAACTAAGCCACCTATATAAGATAGGTATCTAGATCAACACTACCCCCTGCAAAAAATAATGAATATCATCTAATTTTAAATTTTCTAGTAGCCACATTTTTAAAGTTAAAAAAAGTGAAATTAATGCTAGAATATATTTTATTTAGTCAAACATAGCCAAATCATTATTTCAACAAGTAATCAATATAAAAAGTATTGAATTATTTTTTCATAGCAAGTCTTTGAAATTCAGTGTGTATTTTACATATGCAGCACATCTGAAATCATAGTATAATAGTAGCCCCCCCATTTCAAGTGTTCAATAGTCACATATGGGCAAGGACTACTGTTTTGAAAGTGCAACTCTAGGTTTTTAAAGTGGGCTGGAATGGCTTTTTGGTCATAAAGGGATAAAAAGCCTGGGGAAGTTTAGTGTCCCCACCCCAGAGCATTGAGTAGCTCCAGAGATTCAGACAAAACAATGAGAATTAGATTTTTAAAAAATTTATATAAATTTAAAGGATACCAGTGCAGCTTTGTTACATGGATATATTGCCTAGTAGTGAAGTCTGGGATTTTGGTGAAGTCATCATCCAAATAATGTACATTGTACCCATTAGTTAGTTTATCATTCTCTCCCTCCCACTCTCTCACCCTTCCTTATATATTAGTTCACACTCTATATCCATGTGTAGAAAATTAGATTTCTGTGGCTGGTTGTAGGGACAGTGTTTCTAGAAGAAGGCGTAAATATGTTGCATTCTCATACAATGGAATACTTGCAATAAGAATGAATGATCTACAGCAACATGCAGCAATAAGGATAAATCTTATAAATACAATAATACTGAGTGAAGAAAGAAACCAGACTCAAAAAATACATCTTTTTTTGCATCCAATTATGTGCAATGCAAAAACAAAACACTCAAAACCAACCTAAGGAGTAAAAAGTCAAGGTAGCAGTATCTTTGGTGCAGGGCAGCAACTAGAAGGAGGCACAAGGGGCTTCTGGGTGCCAATAATGTTCTGTTTCTTTAACCAAGTGTGTTTCTTGTGTGAAAATTCCTTGCATTATACGCTTAAAAAGTACTTACTTGTGGTTACATATGCTGTATTTCAATATATTTTTTAAAGAATGGTAAGATTCAAAGGACTAACCCTCTACATATTTCTGTTCTGAATTATAAACACCTATCATGTACCAAATAACATTATAAAAAGTATATGTCAATGTTTCTGATACAATTTTTTAAATTTGGGATTCCAAAATAAATTTTTAAATAAAATTTAAAGTTATAGGTATTGATTTCTGGAGGTCAACTTCACAGGTGGCCAGGGGTATGAGCATAGGACAGAAATGGGACCAGTTTCAAAAATAACCTAATAGATCTCTGTGTGGGTTTGAAGATACAGGGGACATGGACATGGGCAACCCACCACTCTCTATCCTTTCCTCTGAAAAAGGTGTTTAGTTTTCTTGTCCTAAGTTCCTCCAATAAGCTCTGCAACCCTGAATTTGGAGTCTTTGCAACCAAATCAAAGAGACAGAGATCTTTAAGAGGAAAGCTTGTCTATTAGGCCTTGAAAGATGACAAATTGGAGCATCTTGGTAGATTTACTTGAAGCTCATGATGACTACAAGTTCCTTGAAATCAGATATACTTGGAATACTTGTCCTATGTGTAACACTAAAGGTACTTACCTATATTTTTAAGACTTATTCTTGAGAAATATTTAATCTTGAGAAAAATTGGCTAATAATTCTTAACTACCCCTATTTTTTGAATAGCCAAAAAAAAAAAAAAGATTTGTCTTGTAACTCAGGATGCTCTGATTCACAACCAACCCAAAACCAATTCAAGAGAATCCAATAAGGACATGGTCCCTGGGCTGTGAGTCTAATAGGAAAGGGACTTCTACTTATCTTCACATGCTCTTGCATCTTACTCCAGCCTGAACAATTATACTTATGTGCCATTGGTATTAGACGTTAGAATAATTGTAACTTACTGAATATCTAAAATGCCGATTTCTGGAGTGTCTCAATCCTCCTGTCCCTAAATCCCCATAGACCATTATACTGGTATTCAAGCTCCCATATGTATGTGGCTGACACTTGTAGATGTTTTTGAAGGATGTTTTAATAGGGGTTTAGATGTCTGTTGCAGGAAGTCAGGAACTCTGAACGGAGGGACCGGCTGGAGCCATGGCAGAGGAACATAAATTGTGAAGATTTCATAGACATTTATCAGTTCCCAAAATTAATACTTTTATAATTTCTTATGCCTGTCTTTACTGCAATCTCTGAACATAAATTGTGAAGATTTCATGGACATTTATCATTTCCCAAATAATACTCTTAAAATTTCTTATGCCTGTCTTTTCTTTAATCTCTTAATCCTGTTATCTTCATAAGCTGAGATTGTACGTAACCTGTGATGATTGCGTTAGCTGTACAAATTGATTGTAAACGTGTGTTTGAACAACATGAAATCTGATTGTAAAACATGTGTGTTTGAACAATATGAAATCAGTGCACCTTAAAAAAGAACAGAATTACAGCAATTTTAGGGAACAAGTGAAGACAACCATAAGGTCTGACTGCCTGCGGGGTCGGGCAAAAAGAGCCATATTTTTCTTCTTGCAGAGAGCCTATAAATGGACGTGCAAGTAGGAGAGATATCACTTAATTCTCCTTCTAGCGAGGAATGTTAAATATTAAGACCCTAGGAAAACAATTGCATTCCTGGGGGGAGGTCTATAAACGGCTGCTTTGGAAGTGTCCATCTTATGCGGTTGAGATAAGGACTGAAATACACCCTGGTCTCCTGCAGTACCCTCAGGCTTACTAGGATTGGGAAATTCTAGCCTGGTAAATTTTGGTCAGACTGGTTCTCTGCTCTCAAACTCTGTTTTCTGTTAAGATGTTTATCAAGACAATACATGCATGGCTGAACATAGACCCTCATCAGTAATTCTAATTTTGCACTTTGCCTTGTGATCTTTGCTTTGCCCTTCGCCTTGTGATCTTTATTGGCCTCAGAAGCATGTGATCTTTGTGACCTACTCCCTGTTCGTACACCCCCTCCCCTTTTGAAATCCTTAATAAAAACTTGCTGGTTTTGCAGCTCAGGTGGGGCATTACGGACCTACCGATATGTGATGTCACCCCTGGCAGCCCAGCTGTAAAATTCCTCTCTTTGTACTCTTTCTCTTTATTTCTCAGACCGGCCGACACTTAGGGAAAATAGAAAGAACCTATGTTGAAATATTGGGGGCGGGTTACCCTGATAGATATCTCTCATTGTTAGGGTTGAAAACATTATTTAATTATTTTTATCTTATTATGAACCCTATTGTTTAAAATCCTGAACCCTATAAATCTATATTTTGTTTATTTAAATTCATAGGATTAAAAGAATATAGGTCAGACTATATAAAACTTTGCCCTATTTTTAAACACTCCTAAAATATTGGCTTTGCTGGTGTATTTGTTCACACCCAAAGCTGAAGTTACTCATAATCAAATATAAAGCTTAAAAGTTGTGACACATGTAATCCAACCTCAGAATGGAATGACAGTAAAGTCACAAAAATTAATTTCTCAACAATTCAATTCATACGTTGTACACAATGATATTTCTTATTAAATCTCCTTTTAATCCCAAATACTTTTATTATTTGCCACAGCTTCTCCTGCATCTCATCTCATCAGCACTATAATCCTTCTCCCTACCACCTTTCTCCTTTTATAGAATCTCTACAATGTGGTATGCTGCTCCTAGAAGGTTGGTTCAGGAGAAGAAATGAAGCAGGCAAAGTATGACTCCTCTTTAGAGGAGTAGAGGAAAGGAAGGCTGGGAAAAAGTGTACATTGGCCATTTCTGTCCCATTACACAGTGTTAGTATCAGATTAACATTGTCTTACATTGAATTCTGGGGAAAGAGACGCTGAGAGAGATTTGCCTGTGAGCGGTTTATTGCATTAGCTCTCAGGAACAACACCTTTTTGAGCATGAGAAAAGCAGGATAATAAGACAGAGTGAGAAGTTCCAGGCAGTTGCAACAGAGGCCTCCACAGTATTGGAGGGAAAATATGAAGCTGGGATGGCCCTTAAGAGTTGTCCTGAATCAAGACAAGGAGGGCAGGCCTTTGTACCAGTCACTGGATATGGGCTGTGGAGGGGGCATAACCTTGGGCAAAGCAGCTCTTTTCAACAGAGCATGAGGGAATCAGCTCTGAGTTGCCAGCAGCCCGTGTCCTAGGTAGCTGAGAGAAAGAGCACCTTTGCCCAGAATGGGGTGTATACATGGAGCATAAAAGCATCCACTCCAAGCATTGTATTAAAAGTTGTATTTTCATACCATAATAGGAATTAAATGTTCCAATGTTGCTACTGATGACCATCTCTGGGGCATCCTTGTTGCTAGTTATCGTTTTGGAAGGCCTCACATGAAGTAAGTTTGCTTGGTTTGTTGTTTCAAACCAGGTAATGGCTACCTCTTACAGGAAAATTGTTTTGCCAGATGTCTTTGAGGAGTTCTTTATGTTCAAGCTTCATCCTATGAATGTTTCCCTTAAGCTTTTTGCACAGCAGTTTTGACATCTTCTTGCTATTTACCTTCTACACATTTTCAGGCCAAGAAAAGTTTATTTTCAGTAGTAAAACTGCAGTGTAGTTATGCAAGTTTGATGTCCCTGATGGTAAGTACCTGGCACAAATGAAACAGCTCTAGAATTTAACTGCTTAACACTGCATGCCAAAGTCTCCCAGCCCTTTAGGAAATTTGTTTTTTAGCACATCTCAAACTTGGCCTGAATTTTCCAGCTATGTTGATGCCAATCCAGTTTCCAAGCCATAGATCTGTTTGATTCTATTTTCTCCTTCCTAATGTATTTAACATGTAGTTTGACTGGGATTGCAAAAAATGTGCTTTTGTTTCCATTGAAATGCTTAGCTTATTTATCCATAGCAAATAACATGATATATAACTTCAATTTCCTTTAGGCTGTCATTTCTTTAAGTTGATAGTGACTCTATGCTTGTCTTAATGTATATTAACTTCCAGCAAATAGGTATGAACCTAAAGAAGTCCTAAATCAGTTACTAGCTAATGAATGAAAGAACCAGTAATGAATTCTAACCTAGATTTCCTCACTGAATGCAATTGGAACATTACTCATCAACCCTAACGTGACAACCTGTGTTGCCTTGTCACATTTAAATGGCCTGTTGGGACTTTCTGGTGAACAAACCTAATTAGTAGCTGCTAAACTTACCTGAATGTCACTGAGTACTCCCTGTGTTTAGCAACAGAACTAGGCATTGCATGGCACAGGTCAATGGATATTGCATCTTAGCAAGTTCTTTCCTTATTGTGGGGCCACACCCTAGTTGGTGAGAGGTGTATCAAAGGGTGAAACTTCAGATCCATTGATTGCCGTCTATCATAAAGTCAGACTGAGCAGCCAGATCTGAGAGAACCAACACAGTTAGGTCCTGGCACAAAAATAAGTAGGACCCAGTATTCAAAGCCAGCCATCAAACTAATCATGAATTTGAGGCTCAGAAAAGTAAGAGGTAAAGGAGCAGGGAGCCTCTGGAGGTCAAGATGAGGCAATGGATCAGGTAGAAGCTACTGGATTTTATTCAGTAGTGATATGGGGATATCATGAACTCCTATTAGTGTCTCAAAGTCATTGGATAACTTCAGCCTTGGATTTCCACATTCCAAAGCCCTCCAGGAATTTATTTTTCATATAAGGAGCTAAAAAAACCAGTTGCTCTACAATTCTTGGGTATAAAAACTAACTCTTGTTTTGCTACCACAGAGAACTTTTAATAATTGACTAATTAATCTTCACAATATCTGTCCGTTAAGTAATAGATTGAAAGAAAGTACACCGCCACCCCCTACCATCCCACTGAAATAAAGCCCCATTTGGAACGGAAGTTTTTTTGAGCTATAACTAGACAGCAGCTTAAGACGGTGCTAAGGACAACATATGGGACAAAAATCCAAATGGATAAAAGTATGAAAATAGGGCAGGAAGCTAAAATAGATGTGCACTCAATTTCTTTAGTATAAATAGCATTGTCTGTAATCTCAGGTATATGATTCAGCAATTGCTAATGAAAATCATTTTTAGTATTGCAAATGGGCAAGAAACAGGGCCATGCTTTTTAAAATACAAAACTGGGAAGAGTCTCTGAAAAACCTGAAATACTCAAAAGTTTCAGTTGGGCTATATATTTTTCCTATTTGTTAATATAACTGGCATCCAAATCCCCTAAACCAAGTGGAATGGCTGGTAACCTAACTAAATAGTTTAAATCACTGAAGGAAGCCAATCTCAGTAAGGATGGGCACAAATAATCACCAAGCCTTGTTGATTGGCCTGATCACAAATTCATGACTATCACACTCACTGGGGCTCTAACAGCCTCTGCCATCCATCCATTTACTCATCTCAGAATGAATCTCTATTCCACTCACAATCTTTTTTCTCCTCTGCAGCTCTCAGCTTCTTTGTGCAGCCTTCATTCTCAACATAATATCTCACTGTCTAACTTGGATGGGTCCAATTTCCTCCCATCCATATCTAATTTTAATTTCATTTTACCTTCCCTACCCTCAATTATTTATGCTTCAGAAAACCAGTGTCCTTACTCGCTTCCAAGATGACCAGTTCTTCCACCAGACCCTATGCCCACTCACCTTCTTTGGGGCTTTATTCTATCCCTCCACACCTCTCCATCCATATTTTAAAAAGTCACTTGTTACAGTCACATATTGCTGCATATCAATCACCCCAAACCATCAGTGCTTAAAACAATATTTATTTGCTCAAGTCTGCAATTTAGGCAGAGTGGGGGCTCCTCTGTGATCAAGTGGCATCGTCTGTAGCTGGAAAATCCAAAATGGCTTCTTCACTTGTGTCTGGTGCCTGAGTTGGGGTGCCTTGAACAACTGGGGGATGGCTGGACATCTTTCTCTCTCTCCATATGGTGGTTCCACATGGATAGCATAGGTTTTCCCCACAGCAGGGTGGTGTCAGGTAGTCAGACTTCTTCTATGGCAGCTGCCTTCTTCCAAAATACAAGAGCAGAAGAAGCAGAAGCTGCCAGGTCTTCTTAATACCTTGGCTTGGAAGACTGTCTAAGAGCATCACATTCTGTTGGTCACAGGGCCATCCCAAATTCAAGGGGAGTGGAATACACAGGGAATGAATCCCAGGAGATATAGTTCATTGGGGGTCACCAATGTAAGAGACTACTACCCCACCTCTTCATTGTATTTTTAGAATCCACTTCCATTATCCTAATAAAACTATCTTCCCAACCTTATTCTTCCTAAAGAGTTATAACCTACTCTCATTTACACTTCATCACCACTTCTCAAAAATCATTCTTTACTCTTGTTTCCTCCAAGCTAACACTTCTTTTACTCCTCAACCTGCTACAAGCTGGCTTCCAGTCTCATCCCATTATTAAAAACTAACATCAACTTTCTACTTGTTAAATCCATGTGTCTTCTTCGTCCTCCTCTAACAGTATTTATCTGAATCATTTGTTTCTGTTGACCTCTTCTTGAAGCTCTCTCCTCCTTTGACTTCTGAAACATTGTGCGGCTTTCTTCAAACTTTCTCCTTCCCAATACCTTTCTCTAACTCTCCTTTCTCTTTCTCTGCATAAATGTGGGAGGCTTCTGCATCACCCCCCATCCTGTGTTCCTCTGTCTGTCACTAGGCTATCACAATCCTACCCCCGTAAAAATCTAGAAACCACCCCCTCTTTCCATTTCCATTGCTCCTACACTAATTCTGAGCCTCATCTCTTGCTCATTAGGCAAATGCAAGAGTCTTCTATTTCATCTCCAACACTCCAGTTTCTTCCTCTTTCAATCCTACAAACCGGTATAGAAGTTACCTTCACTAAACAGAGTGGTCTATGCTCAAAAACTTTGCCCCGTGACTTTTCCCAGAATGCCAATCATTCTATCTCACTCAAATCACTCAGTGGTATAAATATTAGATTACATCTAAGAGGAAATTTAAAAAAATACGTAGAAGCATCAAGCGAAACAACTCTGCATTTTCCCGAAGTACCTGCTTAACTGCCTTACTTTGCCATCTTGTTTTAAATCATCACTCTAGGATTTATCACCAACCGATGCTCATTAAATTTTAATAACCCTCTGGGATATATGTGATAGAGTGACACTAAACTTCTCCCATAACTAGCATGCATATATATATATAAACATTTCAATTAAGTGTATGAAATAATATGCAAATCTGTACAGTGGGATAAGAAAATATTGGTGAGTATTTCACGTTGTAAGAGGAAAATACTTGGTTACTCTCTGTAACAAAAACAACAAAATTATACTATGTGCCTGGTGAGCAATTAATGCTCTACTTCATTTTCACAAATAGATTTGTTTCTAAGATATATAGATCAATAAATCAATTCTATTTTCATATCTCCTTATAATTTAACATTTATTGTTCACTCATCTTTGTCTAACAATTTTCAACTTTTGTGCATTAGACTGCTTAACCCACCCCTAGATCCTCTATCAAGTAGTTAATGGTCTGGAAACAAATACCAAAGTTCTTGTTTTAAAGGAATATCAGTGTCAATACTTCTGCAAACTGAGTGATTAGATATTAATTTGTAGCTTGAAAATTCAATTTGGCATACAGCTCATGTATGTATTTACAATTTATGATTATGCTGAGTTCCAAAGATGAGTTGAAAATTGATTACTGAAAAATTGGAATGAAATGTTTCCATCAAAATCGTTTTAGTCAAGTTTTCCAAACTGATTCTTTTAAACTCTAATGCTGGTGACCTGCAATATATTAGTACCATTAATAAGTAGATCAATTTCAGGATCCTGGGACCAGAGTGCCTTCGATGTTAAAGGAAGAAAGAAGAGAAAGGAGAATAGTTTCCTCTTGCAATCTTTGCTGGTTGGTAATAAGCAATATTTCAATACTGCAAATTTTGCCAGCAGCACTCTTCTACTCCCTATATTTCTCTTTCTTTCCTATCCAGTTCCATCATCAGGGTCTTGCCCTAAAAGCCTCTTTTTCAGTCCCCTGCTTGAAATGCACTAAAGAATGTATTTCAGGCTTTGATATTACTTAAAGCCATCCTGTCTCTTCAAAATTGCCTTCCCATCCAGCTGGACAAAAATGTAGGGAACAAGGACTCTGGTGGGGAGAAGAGCGAGAGTAACAATCTCACTTAGTACATCTACAACAGGCCTAAGGATGAGAGAAGAGAGTTCACACTTTTTATATCTAGGCAATATTTAACAGCATTAATAATGTAGTGGAATGGACATTATGGATGAGAGAAGGAAATGATGAAAAGGGGAAATGCTATAGGCTCTGCAAAGAGAGGGATGATTATAAAGAAAAAGAAGAGGGGAGAACTCTTTAGTCAAGTCTGACAAGGTGGGGTTGCCATTTGTATGTCAAGGACATTCATTAGTTGGGAACTTTGTGGCTTAAAGCAAGATCCTTCTATGGTCATGATTCAAACTAGCAAAAGCAAATAAATCATGATGTCAGTATTTTTCAGTTTTTCAAATATATCAAGAATAAATATCCAGTTTGCACATTAAAAGAAAAATAATTAGATATAAACAATTTTTAGTCTTAATGTTTAAGTATTTTTCTTTTGAGTTTTAAATAATTCTTGACAATCTATGGACAAACTAGAAAATTTAGTGCATTGATATTCATACATTTTGTGATTTCTTGATTGTGGAATTTATAGAAAAACAAAAGAGAATTTGTAAGTGGGAAATGTGATGATTTAACACAGAATTATAGACAAAGTTTTATTGCCTAATCATCCATATGGCTCTTATATTTCTATAGCATTTTGCTCTGCCCAATGCACTATTACAGTAATGAGCTGTCTCTGTTCCAACCTAAGGCCACGAGTTCCATTTACCCTATTCTCTCTCCGTTACTCAAGGAATTTGCTCCTGCAATTCTCTCCTCTCAATTGAATTATTTCCATCAATATACAAATATGCTTCCACCTCTCTCATTTAAAATAAAGATTCTTCTCCTTGGAGAAATAGATGATTTCAGATGTAAGATAATAATTCTACAAGGTGAGCCAAGAACAGCTTGTTATACCAGATAGCAAGAAAGCTGTAATAAACTATGAGGGCATGTCAAAGGATGGTAAATTGAAGAAGCTTTCCTGCACACAAACAGGAATGATTTCAGTGTCAATAAGAATAATAACTTCAACACATTGAAACACATTAAATATATTTAAATTCATGAGTTCGATATTTTAAAAATTGCTAATTGTTAGAGGATACTACATAACTTATTTACTACCACAAAACTGTTAAAGAGAAAGAATTCAATGTTTATTCTGCCTTTCTTAAACAAACTCTAAGCAAATAAATGATGAAGGAAGTATTCAAATTAATAAATGATGAAGGAAGGATAGAATTAGAATGTCACCATTTTGAAATATTTAGTTGATGAATATATTGGAGCATCGAGCGTCAGTGGCTGCTAACATCACAGAAAGAGCAGCAACCAGACATTACGTTCTTCTTGATGGATAAACATATCACCACCCATGAAACAATCTCGTCCCCACAAAAAAAAATTAAACCTGAATCTGATCCAACTATTTCATCCAACTGTTTATGCTGGGGAAATACAAAAGAAGAGGAACATATTAAACAAAACCACAGAAGTTTAATAAGAAATTCTGCTATAGTCTGACTGTGTTCCCCAGAATTCATGTTTTAAAAAATACCCAATGCATAAGTGTTGGGAAGTGAATTAATGCTGCATTGGGTATTAAGTGTTTGAAACACGAATTCTGAGGGACACAGGTTCTCTTCTTGCTGCTTTTCTGCCATGTGAGGACATAGCATTCCTCCTCTCCAGAGAATACAGAAGGCGTCATGATGGAACCAGACATCTAACCTACCAGTACCTTGATCTTGGACTTCTCAGCCTCCAGAATTGTGAGAAATAAATTTCCGTTTTTAATAAGTTACCCAGTCTCAGATATTCTGTTATAGCAACAGAAACAGGCTAAGACAAATACCTAGACTATAGGTATACCTAGACTACCAATAAACAACCTAGTCTCTTCAAAAATAAATTGCAAGGGGGGAAAAGATAGAGAGAATTTATAGACTAACAAAATTAAGGAAGACACAGCAATGAAAGCCAAAAGGGATTTCAATGGTAGAATCTTGTTTGAAAATTCAAACAAATCCTACAGAATTATAAAATTTATGAGCCAATTTGAACTTTGAACCCTTTCTTGGACATTTGATATTAAGGAATTATTAGTTGTTTTGAGGTGTCATAAGGGTATTATGATTATATTTATTGCAAAAAGTCCTCATCTTTTAGAGATACAGTCTTCAAATGTTTCTAGAAAAATTAGTGATATTTAGGATTTGCTTCAAAATAATATAGAAATACAGCCAGGTGCAGTGGTGTGTGTCTTTGATTCTAGCTACTCAGGAGGCTGAGGTGGGAGAATTGCTTGAGCCCAGGAGTGTGAGTCTAGCCTTGGCAACATAGTGAGACATCATATACCTCCCCTACCCCCCAAAAATGTGGAAGTAGCTAAGTGCATACCAGTACGGATTAACAAGAATGTTAACTCTTAAAACTATTGGTTGGCACAGTGGCCCACACCTGTAATCCCAGCACTTTGGGAGGCCGAGGTGGGCAGATTATCTGAGGTCAGGAGTTCGAGACCACCCTGGCCAACATGGTGAAACTCGTCTCTACTAAAACTACAAAAATTAGCTGGGCATGGTGGCGCACGCCTGTAATCCCACCTACTCGAGGGGCTGAGGCAGGAGAATCACTTGAACTCGGGAGACGGAGGTTGCAGTCAGCAGAGACCGCACAATTGCACTCCAGCCTGAGTGACAGAGAGACTCCATCTCAAAACAAAAACAAAAACAAAAAAAACTCTTGGGGGTTCTGTACTAGTAGGTCTATTTTTGTACATGTTTTAAACTCTCCATCATAAAAATATTTTTTAAATTTGTCTCTTGATCCTGCACTCTTTTTGTCTACGGCTTCATTTTTCTGCTCCCTATTGGAACAAAGTTCTGCATAAAACCTGTCTCCACTTTTTCACCTTCCATTTTCACTCTTTCCAAACAGACATTTTGCTTCCCTTATTCCGGTGAAACTTTTGTTATCCAGTTGCCCTGTGACCTCTATAGGCCAAATCCAGTCCTCAATCTCTTTCCTCATCTCACTCAGCCTCTTAGAACATTAGCATCAATTGGACCATTCTTGATTTTTGTGCTGTCCCTGCCTCACAAGCTTCTAATTTCACTGGCTACTCCTTTGGTTTCTCTCAGAATGCTGGAATGCCACTGACTCCCTGTCGACACATGTCACTAGGTAATCTCTCCCAGTTCCACAGCTTTAGACCTGGTGGGAATGCTGATGGTTCCCAACTTTCCATTCTCATCCCTGAGCCCTAACTCATATGTCCAATGGCATGGCAATGAGTAGCAGGCAGAAATCTTAACATTAATGAATGAGCAATGAGACTCCTGATCCTGCTTCCTCCCACTTCACATATTCTCTCTCCCCACCCTGGTATCCCCCATCTTAATAATGCATCAACATCTTCCCAGTAACTCAGGCAAAAAACAAAACAAAACAAAACAAAACAAAAAACAAAAAACCCTCAAAGTTATGTTTGACCTTTTTTCCCCTACTCTGCACATTTAATTTGTGAGGAAGTCCTGTAAGCTCTGATTTAAATATATTCTAAACTGATGTTTTAGTGCGGTCAGACTACCATAACAGAATACCACAGGCTGGGTGGCTTTCTGTTTACAACAGTAATTTATTTTCTCATGGTTCAAAATTAAAATGCCAACTGGTTCCATTCTCAGTGAGGCCTCTTCCTGGTTTGCAGATAGCTGCTTAATTGCTGTGTCCTCACATGGCAGAGAGAGAGAGAGAGAGCGCACCCTGGTGTCACTTCTTATAAGGACACTAACCCTATTGTATCAGGGCCTCAGCCTTACAACCTCCTTTAACTTTGTAGGCCCTGTTGCCAAAATACAGTCACGTTGGCCTCTAACGCCTCAACATGTGAATTCTGGGGAAGAACACAATTCAGTCCACAGCACCTGAGCACAGTTATTTCAGAGCTCTTACATTTTTCCTTCTGCCTAGAATATTTTCTCCAATGTCAGGGCTATCATCTTTCCAACACTTGGAACTCAGGGCAAACGTCCCTTCCCAGAAAGCCCTTCCCTGAACCCTCTGTCTAAAGTACCCACATAAACCCAACTCATCTCAGTTACTCCCATCATTGCCTCTGCTTTATTTTCTTTATAATTCTGACC
Source organism: Homo sapiens (assembly GCF_000001405.40). NCBI lineage: Eukaryota > Metazoa > Chordata > Mammalia > Primates > Hominidae > Homo > Homo sapiens. Next base: position 179,899,462 of record NC_000002.12, read on the forward strand.
ACTATCTAAAATACCATATAGTTATTTTCTCATCAACTGTATTGTGACTATTCTCACTAGCTTCACAGGAGCAGGGACCTTGTGAAGCAGGAGGGTGGTTGGCAGGAAGTGGTGAACGAGTGGATCATGATGCCCCCACAGTGCTCAAGGCACTTAACAGCAAGACCCTGCCTGTTTTGCCATCACTGAGCCACAGTGCCTACATTATTAGACACAGTAGATGCTGAATAAAAAATTATTGATTAAATGAATGAAGGAGTGTAAGCATCCTCAAATTGTAACTTATTAGCCCCTCCATCTTGGCCCTAGTCTTCTCCAATTTTCTTTGAGATTTGTACAGCTGTCACTAAAATAGAGTCATGCATCCCTTAACAATGGGATACAATTGGAGAAATGCATGGTTAGGTGATGTCATCATTGTGTGAGTATCATAGAGTGTACTTACACAAACTTAGATGGTATAGCCTACCATACGCCTAGGCTCTATGGTATAGCCTGTTGCTCCTAGGCAACAAACCTATACACATAATTACTGTACAGAACACTGTAAGCAATTATGACACACTGAGAAGTATTTGGTATTTAAACATAGAAAAGAGACAACAAATATATGGTATGAAAGATTAAAAATAAAAACAAACAGCACATCTGTATAGGGCATTTGCCAAGAATGGAGCTTGCAGAATTGGAAGTTGATCTGGGTGAGTCCGTGAGTGAGTGCTGAGTGAAGGCCCAGGACATTACTATACACTACTGTAGACTATGAACAAAGCACACTTAGGCTACACTAAATTTATTTTTAAAACTTTCTTTAATATTAAATTGACCTTATATCACTGTAACTTTTTTATTTTATAAACTTTTTAATTGTTTTTAACTTTTTCACTCTTTTGTAAGAACAGCTTAAAACACAAAAACATTGTACAGCTGTATAAAAATATTTCAATGTTTATATCCTTATTCTATAAGCTTTTATCTATTTTAATTTTTAAACTTTTTGTTAAAAACTAAGCTGCAAACACATTCATTGCCCTAGGCCAACACAGGGTCAGAATCATCAATATCACTGTCTTCCACCTCACCTTGTCCCACTGGAAGACTTTCAGGGGCAATACCCCACATGAAGCTGTTATCCCTTGTATCAATGCCTTCTTCTGCAATACCTCCTGATGAACCTGCCAGAGGTTGTTTTACACGTTAACTTTTTTTGTAAGTAGAAGTTCAACACTGTAAAATAATGATAAAAAGTATAGTATAGTAAGTAAATCAACCATTTATTATCATTATCAAGTATTATGTACTATACATAATCGTATGTGTACATAGTTCTGTACAACTGGCAGCACAGCACAGCTGGTTTGTTTATATGAGGATCACCATAAACACATGACTAATGTGTTGCACTAGGAAGTTTTGATGGCTATTACATCACCAGGCAATAAAAATTTTTCAGTTCCGTTATAATCTTATGGGACCACCATCTCATCTGCAGTCCATTGTTGACTGAAATGTTTTGCGGTGTATGACCGTACCTATTTTTTCTTCTTCCATTTTTAATGACTTCATAACTTCCAGATTCCTGCATCTTCTCAATGTTTCTCAAAATGATTTAAAGAATAAGTGACAAGAAATTTATATTAAACGTGTCTTAGTCTGTTTTATGATGCAATAACAGAATATCACAGACTAGTAATTTATAATGAACAGAAATACATTTGGCTCACAGTTCTGGAGGCTAGAAAGTCCAGGAGCATGGTGCCAGCATCTGGTGAGGGTCTTCATGCTGCATCATCCCATGGTGGAAAGGCAAGAGAGGATGAGAGAGAGTGAGAAAGAAAACCAAACTCATCCTTCCATCAGAAATCTACTCCCAATATAACAGCATTAAGCCATTCATGAGGGCTCTGTCTAACTACCTCTTAGAGGTCCCACCACTCAACACTGTTACACTGGAGATTAAATTTCTAACACACAAATGTTGGGGGACACATTCAAACCATGGCAAAAAGCGTAAGAAAATAATGATCTTCTAGTAATCATTGTGTCCAATTTAGCCACATGCTCTAAATTATTTCTATTTCTCTAACACAAAGGTTGAAAAGGGAAAATATATTTCTAACAAAATAAAAATTAAAAGAGGTTATTCTATACCAATCCTCCGATGTTTGTATGATCTATAATAATTCAGTGTATCAGTCTGTTCTCATGCTGCTATAAAGAAATATCTGAAACTTAGTAATTTATAAAGAGAAGAGATTTAATGGGCTCACAGTTCCACAGGCTATACAGGAAGCATGATGCTGGCATCTGCTTGGTTTCTAGGGAGGTAGTCCTCAGGAAACTCACAATCATGGCAGAAGGCAAAGGGGAGATAAGTATCTCACATGGTGGGAGCAGGAGCAAGTGCAGGGTGGGGGACATGCTATGCACTTTTAAAACAATCAGTTGTTTTTTTCTAGTATATTATTATTATTTATTTTAAGTTCTGGGAAACGTGTGTAGAACGTGCAGGTTTGTTACATAGGTATACATGTGCCATGGTGGTTTCCTGCACCTATCAACCCATCATCTAGTTTTTAAGCCCTGCATGCATTAGCTATTTGTCCTAATGCTCTCCCTCCCCTTGCCCACCACACCCCGACAGGCCCCAGTGTGTGATGTTTCCTTCCTTGTGTCCATGTGTTCTCATTCTTCAACTCCCACTTGTAAGTGAGAACATATGGTGTTTGGTTTTCCATTCCTGTGTTAGTTTGCTGAGAATTATGGCTTCCAGCTTCATCCATGTCCCTGCAAAGGACATGAACTCCATGGTGTTTTTTTTTTTTTTTTTTTTTTTTTTTTATGGCTGCATAGTACTCCATGGTGTATATGTGGCACATTTTCTTTATCTGGCCTATCACTGATGGGCATTTGGGTTGGTTCCAAGTCTTTGCTATTGTGAATAGTGCTGCAATAAACATGAGTGTACATGTGTCTTTATAGTAGAATGTTTTATAATCCTTTGGGTATAAGCCCAGTAATGGGATTGTTGGGTCAAATGGTATTTCTGGTTGCAGATCCTTAAGGAACTGCCACACTGTCTTCCACAATGGTAAAACAGCCAGATCTTGTGATAAGTCACTCACTATACAGTACCAAAGAGGATGGCGTTAAACCATTCATGAGAACTCTTCCCCCATGATCCAGTCACCTCCCATCAGGCCCCACCTCCAACGCTGAGGATTACAATTCAACATGAGATTTGGTGAGGACACAGATCCAAACCATGTCATTTTGCCCATGGCCCCTCCCAAATCTCAAGTCCTTCACATATTTCAAAACACAATCATGCCTTCCCAACAGTTCCCCAGCGTCTTAATTCATTCCAGCATTAACTCAAAGGTCTAAAATCTCAAGCCTCATCTGAGACAAGGCAAGTCCCTTCTATCTATGAGCCTGTAAAATAAAAAACAATTTAGTTACTTCCAAGATACAATGGGGATACAGGCATTGGATAAACATTGCCATTCCAAAAGGGAGAAATCAGCCAAAACAAAGGGGCTGCAGGGCCCTCACAAATCTGAAACACAGCAGGGCAGTCATTAAATCTTAAAGCTCCAAAACAATCTTCTTTGACTCCATGTCTCATATCCAGGGCAGACTGATGCAAGGGGTGGGCTCCCAAGGCCTTAGGCAGCTCCACCCATGTGGCTTTTTAGGCTTCAGGCCCTGTGGCTGGTCTCAAGGACTGGCACTGAATGTCTATGGCTTTTCAGGTGCAGGGTGCAAGCTGTCAGTGGATCTGCCATTCTGGGGTCTAGAGGACAGTAGCCCTCTTCTCACAGCACCACTAGGCAGTGCCCCAGTGGGGATTCCTTGTGGTCCAACCCCATATTTCCCCTCCACATTGCCCTAGTAGAGATTCTCTATGAGGGCTCTGCCCCTGCAGCAGGTTTCTGCCTGGACATCCAGGATTTTCCATACACCCTCTAAAATCTAGATGGAGGCTCCCAAGACTCAACTCTTGTACTCCATGCACTGAAGGCTTAACATTACATGGAAGCCACCAAGGCTTATGGCTTGTCCCTTCTGATGTAGCAAACTGAGCTGCACCTGGGCCCCTTTGAGTCATGGCTGGAGCGGGAGCAACTGGGATGTATGGAGCAGTGTCCTGAGGTGAGGCTGTGAAGGGCAGTGGGGCTCTGATCCTGACCCTCAAAACCATTCTGTTCTCCTAAGCCTCTGGGTCTGTGATGGGAGGGGCTGCTGCAAAGTTCTCTGAAATGCCTTTGAGGCTTTTTCCCCACTGTAGTTGGTTTTCTGTTTCTTTGTTAATCTGCTTAGGATAATGGCCTCCAGCTGCATCCATGTTACTGAAAATGACATGATTGTATTCTTTTTATGGCTGCATAGTATTCCATAGTGCATATGTACCACATTTTCTTCCTCCAATCCACTGTTGACAGGCACCTAGGTTGAGTCCATGTCTTTGCTATTATAAACAGTACTGTGATGAACATGCAAGTGCATGTATCTTTTTGGTAGAACGATTTTGGATATATACCCAGTAATGGGATTGCCAGATCAAATGATACTCTGTTTTAAGTTCTTTGGGAAATCTCCACACTGCTTTCCACAGTGGCTGAACTAATTTACATTCCCACCAACAGTGTATAAGCATTCCCTTATCTCTGCAGCCTTGCCAGCATCTGTTATTTTTTGAATTTTTAGTAATAGCCATTCTGACTGGTATGAGATGGTATCTCATTGTGGGTTTAATTTGCATTTCTCTGATGATCACTGATGTGAACATTTTTTTCCCATGTTTGTTGGAAACTTGCATGTCCTCTTCTGAGAAGTGTCTGTTCATGTCTTTTGCCCACTTTTGAATGGGGTTATTTGTCTTTTGCTTGTTGATTGGTTTAATTTCTTTATAGATTCTGGATAATTAGACCTCTGATGGATGCATAGTTTGCAAATATTTTTCCCATTCTGTGTACTCTGTTGATAGTTTCTTTTTCTGTGCAGAAGCTCTTTAGTTAAATTAGATTTTATTTGTCAATTTTTGTTTTTGTTGCAATTGCTTTTGAGGACTTGGTCATCAACTTTTCCCCAAGGCTGATGTCCAGAATGATGTTTCCTAGGTTTTCCTCTAAGATTCTTATAGTTTTGAGGTCTTACATACAAGTCTTTAATCCATGTTGAGTTACTTTTTATATTTAGTGAAATATAGGGGTCCAGTTTCATTCTTCCACCTATGGCTAGCCAGCTTTCACAGAACCATTTATTAAATAAGGGGTCCTTTCCCATTGCTTATTTTATCAGTGATCAAGTGGCCACAGGTGTGTGATTTATTTCTGGGTTCTCTATTCTGTTCTGCTGGCCTATGTGTCTGTTTTGTATCATGCTGTTTTGGTTATTGTAGCCTTATAGTATAGCTTCAAGTCAGGTAGTGTAATTCTTCCAGCTTTGTTCCTTTTGCTTAGGATTGCTTTCGATATTTGGGCTCTTTTATTTTTTTTGCCTCCATATGAATTTTAGAATAGCTTTTTCTAGCTTTGTAAAAATAGTGTTGGTAGCTTGATAGAAACATTTTTAAATCTGTAGATTACTTTGGGCAATTTGGCCATTCTAATGATGTTGATTCTTTCAATCTATGAGCATGGCATATTTTTCCATTTGTTTATGTAATCTATATAATATCTTTCAGCAGTGTTTTGCAGTTCTTTTTGTAGAAATCTTTCACCTCTTTAGTTATATGTATTCCAAGGTATTTATTTTTTGTAGCTATTGTAAATGGGATTGTGTTCTTGATTTGGCTGTTTTAATGTTGATGTATAGAAATGCTGATTTTTGTGCATTGATTTTTGTGTCCTGAAACTTTATTGAAGTTGTTTATCAGTTCCAGGAGCCTTTTGGAGGAGTCTTTAGGGCTTTCTAGGTATAAAATCATATAGTTAGTGAAGAGAGAGAGTTTGACTTCTTTTACTATTTGGATATCTTTTAGTTCTTACTCTTGCCTGATTTCTCTAGCTAGGACTTCCTCTATTAACACTTTGATATTTACCTTTCCCCACTTTTCCTGTTTGTGTACACACACACACATACACACACAAACACAATACCCACTTTTTTCTAATGAAAAACAGGATTTTTCTATATCCACATTGTTTCACAATTCATTTTGTGACTTAACAATATATCCTGATCATCTTTTCAGACCATGCAGATCTACCTTGCTTTTTGAAAAGGTTGTGTTATATTCCATTGCATGAACCACTGATTTTATTCATGCCTCTACTGATGGGCATTGAAATGATTTATCAATTGCTTTAATTATTTATTGTTGTGTCAAATTACTTAGTTTAAAGCTGTTTGTACATGTGTATTTACAGACTTGTATCGTTATTTTCCTAGGTTTCATTTCCAACATTTAGACGGCTCTCTTAAGTGGAATGAACATTTTCCTCCCAAATTTATGTTTCTATTTCAATTCCTGTCAACAATTTATGGCATTGCCCTCATCAGATCAAAATGCTCAAAATATTATCAGGCTTTTACATTTGTATCAAGCTGATGGACAAAATTATCTTGATGTTTTAATTTGCATTTGTTTAATTCTGAATTAAGTAGAACACCTTCATATGAATCCACTAGCCACTTATATGTAGAGAACTTTGATATTCTTTTTTAATGTATAGATAACTAAAATATCCTGCTGATATCTGAGATGGCTTATACTAGAGCACATATTAGAACTATTAAAAATTGATAAAATGCAGAATGGATTAGGCTTCTGTGTTGTATATAAGGCACAAATGCATTTTAATATGTGCATTTCAATAAACATTTATGGGATACTTACTATGAACCAGGCACTTCCTTTGGCCCTTGGAGGCAGAGATTAATATGACATTGTTCCTGAACTTGGAGGTTTTCCATCTAATTTAATATCTTAAGATAGGAAATTAAAATATAAAAATGACCAGATTAGAAGCTTTATGTAAAAAAAAAATTGTAAACTTACAAAAACATTGGATACAGACTCATAAACTGGATCAATGAATACGCTAAAACAAAACTTCTAATGAGAAAAAAATGTACGACTAGGATTTCACCATAATGGGTAAATTGATTGCAGGTTAGCATTAAACACATATTAGATTTGTATAATAAAAATGTGTTGAGGTTTCAGTAGGTGAGAACAAGTTTAATTTCCTCAGCAGTCAGGAGAATATGCATGAAGAGTTGATAAATTGCCTCTCTCACTTCTTAAAACCTCTGCATGGAGATTCTGTGATGGTTTAACAAATGGCTGAGTCCACTGGGAGACTGCGTTTAGTTTCTCAGATGTAGTCACTCATAAAAAAGTTATAGTTTGTAATAAAATCATTTCAAATATCAAAAGAAAATGAGAGTGAAAACCATGTGTGCAATTCTCTGCAAAGCTGAGAAGCAAAATGCTCTCACTTCAGACACCTTATCAAGCACTGCAAAACTGAAAATAATTCAGTTCAGGATTACACCTGGGATGCCAGATGCCTGCGCCATTGGAAAAGTGAGGCTGCCTTGATTCTGGTCCAGAGTGGAAGTATTTATGAGGTTAAATGCAACTTTCCTCCCCTAAAACTGCCCCAGATTATGAAAGGTTTAGCTAAATTGGCCAGGATAAATCTTCCACGTCCAAACAGGACAGTTAAATTAGCTTATCAGTGGGATAGATGAGTAAGGAGTCCTCCCATCTCTCTACAGAATAGGCAGCCATGTCCTTTTCCATATTTTCTTTTCTTTTCTTTTAAGTTTCCAAGAAGCCTTGAAATCATCAGGTGGCAGTAGAATAGATGGAATAAGTTTGAGCCAGGAGATGCTATCAGTAGTTCCTTCTACTGATTTTTGCCCGAGATACTTCCAACACCCTATGCTCTGGCAGGTGCTTTTAAGTGGGAGGGAAAGCAGGATATGAACTCTAATCTGGGCATTCCTGTGGCATCTTGAGTTCGGGTCTCAGCACTACCTTGTTGGCTCCAAGGCAGTCTCAAACTATCTTAAGGACTTGACTTGTGTCAGAGCCCGTGATGGCCAGAATAAAAATGTCAAGCAGCTTATTTGGCCTGAGGCAAAGATTTATGTGACCACTTCAGCTTTCTTTTTTCCCTGCCTTTATTGTATAATTAGTACACAAAAACTTCACATAATTAACGTATAGAATTTGGTGAGTTTGGACACATGAATGCACTCATGCTGTCATCACCACCAAGATAATGAACATATCCATCACCCATCACCTCCAAAGGATTCTTTGTGCCCTGCCTTTTTTGTGGTAAGAACACTTAACTTGATATATACTCTCTTAAATTTTTAAGTGTACAATATCTTCTTGCTAACTGTATTAATGTGTTGTACAGCAGATCTCTGGAACTCATTCATCTTGTATAACTGTAACTTTATACCACTGAACAACAAGTCTTCATGTCTTCCTCACTTCATTCCCTTGGACCACTATTCTATTATCTGTCTGCTTGCATATGTTTGACTATTTTAGATGTCTTCTGTGACTGGCTTATCTCACTTAGCTTAATGTCTTCCAGGTCCATCCATGTTGTTGCAAATGGCAGAATTTCCTTCTTTTTTAAGGCTGAATAATATTCCTCTGTGTGTGTGTGTGTGTGTGTGCGCGCGTGTGTGTGTGCATGTGCGCGGGCATGTGTGTGTTATTCATCTGTTGATAGACAGTTGGGTTATTTTCATACTTTGCTATTGTGAATAATGCTGCAACGAACGTGGGGATTACAGATCACTTTGGCCCTCTGATTTAAATGCAAGTCCTATTCCAGCCTTGATTATATCAGATTGAGCTTTGGTATATGTTGAACTCTTGAATCACAATGTAACTGATTGCAATTTGGAAGACTAACAGAAAACTCCGTGCAGTAGATTGAACTTGGGCTCCCCCCAAAAACTGTCCAAGTTCTAACCTCTGGTACATGTCTATGTGACCTTATTTTGGAAGAAAGATCTTTGCATAATAAAGTTAAGCATCTCAAGATGAGATCATCGTGGACTTAGGGGAGGTCCTAAATTGAATGGTATCTTTCTGAGACGGAAGAAGAGAAGACACAAAGAGAGGGAAGGACCACATGCAGATGGAGGCAGAATTTGGAGTGATGCATCTTTGAGCCAAAGAACACCAAGAATGGCCAGAAGTCACCAAGACCTAAGAGAAAATCATGAAAGGAATTCTTTCTCAGAGCCTCCAGGAAGACCCAGCCCAGCCCTTCCTTGATTTTGGACTTCTGGCATCCAGAACTCCAAGTGTCTAAATCTCCACCGTTTTAAGCCATCCAGTTTGTGGTAATTTGTTACGGCAGCCCTGGGAAACTAATTCACCCCCACGATTCAGATACAAGAGTTTAGTATGCTCTGTGCTGGCACTGTGCATCAGGAACCCTATAAAATCACACTTTAGGGCACAGTGGAATACAGCAGACAGAACACAGGGCTTGGAGCAGACAGATCTTCTTAGTTACTGCTGTCTATACTTGGTAAATTCTTCTCTAAGCTTTCTTTTTGTGAGACCAGGAAAGCAGTGTGGGAATATGGGACAGTAGGCAGGTAGCATAAGTCAAGAATGTATTAGAGGTTATCAATGCTGGCTGTACATTAACATCACCTGGGGAAGTTTTTTTAAAAAGTTATTGACAAGGCCTTGTCTCTGAACAATTAAATCAGCATCTCTGAGCACTGGCAATTTTTAAACTCCCTGGGTACCATTTCACACCCACTAGGATGGCTATTAGAAAAACAAGCAAACAAATAAAAAACAGAAAATAACTGTTGGTAAGGAGGTGGAGAAATTGGAACACTTGTGCATTGCTGATGGGGAATGTAAAATGGTGCAGCTGCTATGAAAAATGATATGGCGGTTCTTCCAAAAATTAAACACAGAATTACCAAATGAACCAGCAATTTCACTACTGGCTATATAGTCAAAAGAATTAAAAGCAGGGACTCAAATGGTTATCTTATGCCAATGTTCATAGCAGCATTATTCACAATAGTGAAAAGGTCAGAACCCAAATGTCCATCAGTGGTGAATGGTTAAACAAAATGTGGTATATACGTACAAAGGAATATTATTCAGCAATAAAAGGAAATTAAGTTCTGATACATGCTATGACATGAATAAAGCTTGAAAATACTAAGTAAAATAACACCAAATGCAAAAGGACTAATATTGTATGATCATTTATCTGAGATACCTAGAGTAGTCCATTTCACAGAGACAGAAAGTAAAGGTGTGTTTTCCAGAGAATATGAAGGGGGGAAAGGGAGATTAGTGTTTAATGAGTAATGAGTTTCAAACGAGAAAAAATAAAATTCTGGCAATGGATAGTGGTGACGGTTGCACAACAACATCAGTGTAATTAATGCCACTGAATTTTATACTTGAAAATGGTCAAAATGGTGAATTTTACCTTATGTATGTTTAACTATAACAACAAAATAAAACCTGCCACCCTCTCTAGGCAATGGTGATATGCAAACAGATTGAGAAACAAGGACAAGCAATGCCAGAGGTCAGAAGGCTAAGCCAGGTCAGGCAAGCCATGAAAGAGACCACCTTGTCAGCGTTCAGGCAGGACACTCAGGGAGATCCAGGACAGGGACTCATGCCTTGGACATAGATGCTGGAGTCAGTGACAGCAAAGTAGTCACTGAAAGCCTGGGTTACCAAAGTCAGAGACCAAGAGCAGCACTGACATGGTGCTGAATCAGTTATCAGTGTTCATTTGCAACACTCTGGATAGGACAGAATCACTTTTAGAGCTTTGTCTTACTATGGGACAAAGTTAAACTTGCTGTGGGGAGAGGGTAGGAGAGCACACCTGCCAGGTGACTCAGGAAATGGAGAACCCCAAAACTGTTATGGCCCCAAGTCTGCTTTGTTTGATTAACATCTCAACTCCATATATTTTCTTTGTGTACTAAGAAACCCCGTGAAACCTCAACTCTTAACCCCTTGGGTAGACTCCCACTCTGATAATCAGTCTGATAGAGGATTAGAGCCTGTAAGCCTTGCATAAGTCTGACAAGCAGTCTATCGATCTATTTCCAGCGCAGTGTGGGTTGCAGGGAAAAGTTGAGCAAGGGTGCGTGGGTGAGGGGTGAGGGCGTATGTGAATAGATGCTGATTCTCTTCATTTCCATTTCAGAGGGAATCATTGCTGACCTTGTTGCTCCCTTCTTTTAAAAAGTAATGATAATGTCAAAAGCAAATTCTAGCCCTTTTATTTGAAAAGATTTCAGTAACCTTGTTAGCAATGAAAGAAAATACTCACACAAAGTTCTTCTGCATCCATGAATCGCCATGTTTCAAAAAAGGAAAAAGAAAATACATAGCTTCCGTTTTACCTCCTGTAAGCATTTAGTCTCAGTCTCACCTGGGGCCCTGACTCCCCAGCAGAGGGGCTGCATACCCTGTCCTCTCTGGCCTTGCTTCCACTCACTTGCTGCCTGTGAGAGGTGGTAGCTTCTTAGCACACCTCATGAAGGCAGCATGTAAGTGAGAAGTGTGATATTACCTTAAAATGCCATCCCTGCCAGCGGCAGATTATGCATTAAGAAAACATATTTCACCTCTCCTATTTTAATGGAGTTATTAGGAACAAGTATAATATTTCCTTTAAATAAACTAAGAGAGAGAAAGAAAAAAATGATGATCTACAACTCTAACGTCTTGTTATGGGAACATAAGAACAGTCTGCATTTTCTGTACCTTTACAGTTATGTTTGTACATAAATGGGGTTTGATTTAGTTAGTCCTGTGCTCAGGGGTGAAGTGAGGGCAGAACACGAAGTCTCATCCAAGTTCAAGGGCTCAGTGAATCCTCAATCCCAAGTAAGACTGCTTTCTCCTTGTTTAGTGCAGAACCAGCAAACAAGCTATGTGAGGTGAAAGATACACAATGGTATGAGTGGATGTGGTTCTCAGGGTTCCTTTGCTCCTTGGGATGCCCTGGCAGCTATGCAGAATGAGGAATTCACCAGGTCCAAAAAGCCCACGTATGTGCTGTCTTTTATATTAAATACTTTATATAAAAGGGGGTAGGCTGGGTAAGGGTTACAGGGGCCCAGCAGTCTACAACACCCAGGTGATCACTCCAGGTTCCAGTTTCAGGATTCCTTGATGGATCATAATGATATTATCTCATGTGTCTTCCTTTGGTTCTGGCTGAGCCATAGAATCTACTTTAGACTTCAGTGCAACTGGCCTGGCCTTGGCCTGTCATGGTTGTTAAGAACAGATAGCTCAACAAATAATTGACTTCAAATTCTCTGCCATTTTCACCAAAGAAATTCTAGCGTGAAGAGTGGCAATCTGCCACAGTAAACATAGTGCAGTGACCCCTTTGACAATGTTTAGAGGTCAGGCGTGTTTGATGGCTAATTTGGAGTGACCTATCAGAGACGTGATAGATCAGATTCAGAGTTAATAATCTGAACTCTATGGTTTTTCTGAGTACTATTTCCTCTGTACACTCCCCCATCTACACCATAAAATAGACTTTCTGAGTGATAGGAATAATCATGTCTGCCAGACAAAGTTTAGGCTAATACTGGCTAACACCTACAATTCCAATTATCTGCCTCCTTTTCTAGATTCCGTGTAGACCCTGACTCATTTATGTAGCTTCCCACACTTTTCTGAATCAACACTTCACCCTGTAATTTTGATATTTTTAATTTATCTCTCAGATCATATTCATTCATATTTATTCATTCATTCACTTCTTCAAGAATCACATATGAAGTGTCTTTTATTTACCAAGCAGTATTCTATGTACTGAGAAAAACAACACAAATGAAGGTCACCATTCTGCCTTCAAGGCACTCAGATTCTAGTTGAGAAGGTAGATGAGCAAACTCCCAGTAAAGGCCTGCAAGTGCTTCCTAAACCAACTCTATTATATATATTTTAAAATCATCCTAATTTCAGATGGTGTTGTATCCAGTCTCCAATATGGTCTCCAGTGAACCTCACCTCCTGGTCTTTATCCTCATCTAAAGCTCCTTTCCACATTAAATCAGTGCTAGCCTGTGTGACCAATAAAATACAGAAGTGACTTCTGTGGTAATAAAAGGCATCACAGCTTACACATTCGTCTCTTGAATTGCTGACCAGCCAGCCACAGACTATGAGGACACTAAAGTGACCTATGCATAGACCACTTGAAGAATTGAAGCCCCTGGCCATAGCCAGCACCAACTTACCAGTCTCATGAGTTGGCTATCATTGAAGAAAATCCTCCAACCCATTCAAACCTTCAGATGGGTGCAGCCCTGGCAGACATGTGACTACAACCTCATTAAGGACCCCAAACCAGAACCAGCCAGCCAAGCCAATCCCAAATTCCTCATTCTTAGACACTATGAGATATAGCAAATGATTATATATTCTAAGCAAATAAATTTTGGGAAATTTGTTACACAGCATTAGATAATTAATACAGATGTTATGTTTTTGTCTTCTGAGTTTTTGTTCTACCTAGAATCCCTCTGTATATGTTTTCTCATTTCATCTTTCTTACCTTTTAAGGTACAATACAAATATTATCTATTCTAATACTATTTTTGTTAAATATACCAATATGAGATCTGATCCAGTTACTTGGCACATCACAAGTATCATAATTACTTGTCTATTTGTCACCACGATTTTTGGATTATGAGCAATTTATAGGCAGGCTGTGTTATATTCAAAGTTTACAACATCATGGCACCAGCCTAGGGTCTTAGACATTGTATGTGTATGACAAATATTAAACACATAATATCAGTGACAAATGGTAGACTGTGGTACATACACAAGAATGTGCTACATTAAATTTTACATTTATATGTTTCATTTCAAGAGCTCTTTTGTTTTTTACATTTATTTTTCTGTATCAAAATTACTCTAGGGCATGAACCTTATCTATTATGTCTTTTCTGTCTGCCTACAGATTCTAATATAGTGCTGGATACTCCATGTGTGCTCAGTAAATGTTGACTGACTAAGCATTTAATACCTTAAAACAGAAATTCAATAAATGTAGTCCCAGTGACCTGAAAGAGTAGTGCTTCTCCTTGCGTTTCAAATGGATTACCAAGGAGTATCTTTAGAGCCAGGATTTTAGAAACAACTATCAATGTCAAACTCAAGGACAAAACTATCACCTGAAAGGGCTTGCCCCAGAGAAAGAAAATTACCACTGGAGAATAAAGAGCTGAAGAAATCAGCCTGCACTCAGTCCATAGAAACCTAGACTCCTTAGATATAAAAAACTCCTAACTGCTACACTCACCTCAAAATCAGATTTTCTTCTAGGAGGGTGAATATTTCATCCAAGGTCAGGGATCAGACAAAGCCTAAAAGTCAATATTAGTGATGAGGCTAAGAAACATTTGAACTGGGTCCAGTGGCAGTCGACTTCATGGCTTGGTACTGACTCTGCTCACCAAGAAGGCTCCATGCATCTTGCTCCTGGTGCTGCCCCTGTGCACGCTATGCACCTCTTCACCTTTTACACTCTAGTGTACAAAGTCCTCACCTCTAGCCCCGCCTGTGACTGGTTATTTCTCTTTTTCTTCTGTTCATGCTGTGTTCTAACCTTGACTCATTGCTTATATCTCCTAGATGAATTCCCTTTCATCTGCTCAAGTATATCTTACGAATTTAGGATTGAATAATTCCTTCTCAACTTCCAAAATTGGAGTTTCATTAATTGGGGAATAAATGCTGATGTTATCCAAGCTTCTTTTTTTTTTTTTTTTTTTTTTTTTTTTTTTAAGAAATGGTTCCTCTTTTTATGACACAGCCTGGAGCACAGTGGTGTAATCATACATCACTGCAACCCTGAACTCCGGGACTCCAGTGATCCTCCTTTATCAGCCTCCCAAGTAGCTGGGATTACAGACATGCACCACCATGCCTGGCTAATTTTTTTTTTTATTTTGTAGAGACAAGGTCTCACTATGCTGCCCAAGCTGGTCTCAAACTCCTGGACTCAAGAGATCCTTCTGCCTCAGCCTCTCAAAATGCTGGAATTACAGGCATGAGCCACTGCACCTGGGCCAAACTTTTAAAAGAAGAATTGGCTGGGTTTTAAAAGAAAGCAGCTGAGTTCTAATGATGAAATTATTCTTAAAAAATATTTCTTTATTATATTTGGTATATTCAGGGTTATGGAAATGATAATATTTTTGTCAAGTGAGAGAAAAACACAAACATAGAAGGCATATAATGAATATTCAAGCCTTATAATATACTAACATTTACCATTTGGATTTTCAATAACTTAATGGAGAACCAAAACACATTTTTATTATTCAACATACTTGCATCTAGTTTATCCATCAGAGATGTATGAATATTCAAGCCTTATAATATACTAACATTTACCTTTTGGATTTTCAATAACTTAATGGAGAACCAAAACACATTTTTATTATTCAACATACTTGCATCTAGTTTATCCATCAGAGATGTAAATGCCTGGTATCCAATCATGTTTATCTTGAAGGTATATTAGTAACTTCACTGTTGATGGCTTTTGTGTTTTGTATTCAACTGTGTGTTTGTTATTATGAGAACAATAAATATAATTTTTAAAAGAAGGACAAAATTACATAAAATGAAAATATTTAAGAGGAATTGAATAAAGTAAAAACTATTAATAGAAACATAACTTTAGAAAACAAATTGATTTAAACATTAACATTATGGTACAGAAGGTTTTCAAAAAATTATATACCCAAAAAAGAATTAAAATGATTCACGAATATCTTTTGGCTCTGAAACTTACTTAAATTGAATAATTTAAATAGCCTGAAAAATTTTTAGTCCGTTTTTACAGTTTGATTTAAAAAATAGCAAATAAAGCATCACAGCCTTTGAGTTATATTTATTAAGTTCCTATCTGCTTCCTTTAAAACTATATCAAGTACATAAATAACAACATAAGGGTGTATTAAAAATTGATCCTTGTGTTGCTTCTATGTTCATTTTCCTCCCTGTTCTCATTTACAGTATTTACTACCACCACCACCACCACCACAATATTTATAGAGCACTCACCATAGGTCAAGAACTCTACTTACTAATGCCTAATCTCACTTAACATTCCACAGTAATCTATGGCTAGGGGTACTTGCCGTGCTGCTGATGGGAAAACTGAGGAATAGGGAGGTTAAATAATGTGTCCTAGATCACACAGCTGGAGGTGGAGAAGCTAGAATTCACATCAGTTCTATTTGACTCTAGCACCTGAGCTGTTACTCTCTCTACTATGTCTTTCAGAGTCTTAAGTCCATCTCCTTCAAAAGATCTGCTCACAGCCATAAAAGGAATGAGATCATGTCCTTTGCAGGGACATGAGTAAAGCTGGAGGCCATTATCCTCAGCAAATTAATGCAGGAACAGAAAACCAAATACCAAATGTTCTCACTTATAAGTGGGAGCTGAATGATGAGAGCACATGGACACACAGAGGGGAACAACACACACTGGGGCCTGTAGGGGGTGGGGGTTGGCAGGAGGGAGAGAAGCAGAAAGATAAGAGGGTCAGGAAGACTAGCTAGTGGATGGGCTTAATATCTGGGTGATGGGGTGATCTGCGCTGCAGACCACCATGGCACACATTTACCTATGTAACAAACCTGCACATCCTACACATGTACCCCTGAACTTAAAATAAAAGTTGGAAATTAAAAAAAAAAGATCTGCTCACTTCTTCAGATCTCCAGTGAGATTTCCACAAAGATCTCACTCACTTTTCTAAACAAAGCTTTTGTCACATATTGTATTTTGATTACATAGAGCCTTACATTGTTATGCACATGTTTAAAATGTGTAAAACTTGTTCCTCAACTAGACTATAAACTTTATGAAGGTAGCTTCATGTCTAATATGTGGCATATACTCTTCCAGTGTACCAAACCACTATCTCAAACGTAAGTATTCAGTGAATATTAGATGAATTGAACTTGGGTGTTACTATGTATAACAGGTGTTGATAGTTAATAAAGTATTTAGCACACTTATCCTCATAATGTGCCAAGTACTTTACATATATTACTTCATTTAATTTTGGAGGTGACCTGTGAAGTTGGCTTCATCATGTCCATTTTACAAATGAAGAACTTGAATAAATGTTAGACAATTTCACCAAGGTCACCCAGATAACTAGTGAAAGTCTGGGATTCAAATCAAAATTTTCTTAAAAATATCTGTGCTCTTATCATCTATAATCCTGTTACATTAGGACTTTGTAGGACAATTGATATTAACAAAATTATTTTTGTTGTTGGGTAAAGAGTAAACAAGAATTGGTTAAACAGAAACATCATTTATCATTGTTATATGTTTGAGTATCTGAGTACTGTGTGTCTGAATACATGAAACTGAATATGAGGGATGTGACTGATAATTTGATACTTGCTTTGGAGTAGAGAAGAAGGAAATGGGCTGAAGAGAGTCTTTCTAGATACATCACTTACTTGGGAGAAAGAAAATTGAGTTCAACAAGAATATTATCTGTAATCCTTCTACAACTAAAGCTTGACATTTAAATAAACTATGATTTCATATGAGATTAACAATCATTTCTTTTGGAGAAGTGAAGTTACTTTTATTTCTATAGCTTAACTTGTTGAGATGACTTAGTTTTAATATAAGAGAGATTCCATAGTCCATTATTATTACATTATTAAGAATGACAGCTTGAATGTTCTCTTTCGACCACCAATTTCTTGGGAAGCATCACCTAGTCTTCCTACCTCAAGTTTGTAGTATATTAAAATATATATTTTATTATTTCTCAGGGTCAACCTATAGTCATTATTTCACTTCTTGCTTTTTTCTTTCCTGATAGATGATTTGCCCCAAAGGAGATTGAATCCAAACAAGTCACAGGGCAGCAGGAGAGATGAAGAATGCTCATGAAGAAAGAACTGACCCCCCATTGGACTTTCTCATAAACTGATGACTCACTCCTGTTGCAAACATTGGCTTCACTGAGAGTGCACATTCTGCTGTCTCTATAGCTTTGCCAAAAGTGGCCACAATGGATTGGCAATATCTTTATTTGCTGAGAAGCAATACTTTTGATAGTTTACAAGGTGGCTATATCTAATAGAGTCATAAACATCTAGGGTCAAAATTGATTTTAGTAAATACCAAATTGGAAAAAAAAAAGACAACAGATTTTTTTTCTTTGGCCTTTTAAAACTCTCGTTTAACCATATATCTTTTCAAGACACCATTTCTTAAATGGCTAATGTATTTGGCTGACAAAGCCAAATATAGTTCTATAAATAGCATTATTAATGATGAGGAAGTGGAGATACAATAGGAGAAAAGTGAATTGTTGCAGAATGAGATACAGCTGAGTAAGGCAGAAATAAGAAAGGGAGAAAATAGTCTAACACCACATAGGAAAATTGTCTCAATTCCAAGGTGGGAGGAAAAAAATGTATTGCCCTGGAAAGATGACCAGAAATACATCTTTTATGTTCATTTCAGCATTATTTTTTATGGGGAAAACACAGAAACAATATACATGATCAGCCATTCTGGCTCATGCATGTGAGAGAACATAATGCAGCCATAAAAATGAGTTGAAGAGAAACATTTAAAGATGAGAAAAATCAATTAAATCATATAAAGAAGTAAAAACCAGATTTTGGCCAGGTGCAGTGGTTCATGCCTGTAATCCCAGCACTTTGGGAGGCCGAGACAGGTGGATCACTTGGGCTCAGGAGTTCGAGACCAGCCTGGCCAATATGGTGAAACCCTGTCTCTACTAAAAATACAAAAATTAGCCAGGCGTGGTGGCGCGTGCCTGTAGTCCCAGCTACTCAGGAGGCTGGGGCAGAAGAATCGCTTGAACCTGCAAGGCGGAGGTTGCAGTGAGCTGGAGATCATGCCATTGCACTCCAGCCTGGGCAACAAGAGCAAAACTCCGTCTCAAAAAAAATAAAAAAACAAAAAAATATAAAAATTAGCCAGGTGTGGTGGTACACGCCTGTAATCCCAGCTACTCAGGAGGCCGAGGCAGGAGAATCCCTTGAACCCGGCAGGCGGAGGTTGCAGTGAGCCAGAGATCATGCCACTGCACTCTAGCCTGGGCAACAAAGCGAGACTCCGTCTCAAAAAAGAAAACCAGATTTCAAAATAGTAGATACACCATGATGCACATTAGCTAAAAACACACAGAAATATTTAAGTGAACACACATATTATAAAGATTAGAAAGATAAGCACCCAAATGTCATCAATACTTTGCTCTCGGTTATGAACTTACAGATAGTTTTAATATTATTCTATGTACTTTTGCATATTTCTCAAGTGTTCTATAATTAACATGTATTATCTTTATGGACACAAAAGCAAAAAATTGAATTTTTAAAAGAGAAGAAGATGGCCAAGAATAGAACTTCTATTTTTGGCAATAAG
This sequence comes from Homo sapiens, assembly GCF_000001405.40. Taxonomy (NCBI): domain Eukaryota; kingdom Metazoa; phylum Chordata; class Mammalia; order Primates; family Hominidae; genus Homo; species Homo sapiens. The sequence goes on from NC_000002.12 coordinate 179,918,936, forward strand.
GCTGACTAGTTACCCTAACCGGCCCTTTTGCTGAAAACAAGAAATTTTGGGCTAAACAACAAATAGAATGATCAAAGTAAGCTTCTCCTTTTAAGACATATTGTCAAACTGGTAGAGATGTACAGAAGCCTAAAACAAAGTCATAATGGAAATTCAGGTAGGTAAACAATTACTCAAATGTCTTTTACTCTGAGAGTGTATTAGTTTGTTCTCACACTGCTAATAAAGACATACCCAAGACTGGGTAATTTATAAAGGAAAGAGGTTTAATTGAATCACAGTTCTATATGGCTGGTGAGGCCTCACAATCATGGCTGAAGGTGAATGAGGTGCAAAGGTTAAGTCTTACATGGGCATCAGGCAAGAGGGCTTGTGAAGGGGAGCTCCCATTTATAAAACCATCAGATCTCGTGAGACTTACTCACTATCACGAGAAAAGCATGGGAAAGACCCACCCCCATGATTCAATTACCTCCCATGAGGTCCCTCCCAGGACACATGGGAATTATGGGAGCTATAATTCAAGATGAGATTTGGGTGGGGACACAGCCAAACCATATCAGAGAGATATGCCAAGTCGTGGTGAATGTAGCTTCATTTTTCATAGCTATGCCAAGTGTAAGCAGTGGTGTGGTGGAGCTGCTTATTACTGGCCGCAAGAACTGATTGTACTCATCTTTTCCCATCTTCACGTTCAGTGACATCACTTTGGTAGCTTGAAATTGGCATGTATTTACAACACAGAAATTGGCAAATACTACAAATCAGAATGTTTTTATCAGACAGGTAGCCCTTAAGCATTTACCAACACATTACTGAGCGAAGTTTAGGGAAAAAAAGTCACAGGATCCTGTAGAAGATGGAGAGTCTAATTGTAGATCCCACATAAAGCTGGACCCCAAAGAGCTGCATACTTGGTATAAGAGAGGAGCAGAGATAAGCCTACTCCACAGAAGGAATCATCAAGGAAACAAATTGATGCTGAGTGGAGAGCAAAAGAGCCTTCTTGAAAATTAAACCACAAGCTCACCCTCATAAACATTTTAGGACCTAAAATTCATACTGCCAGTGTGGTCCACAAAACTTTAAGCCAAAATTTGAATTTGAAAGTGTCCAAGTTGATAGTATCCCCAGGTGTCTGGATGATTCAAACATATATTTTTTAAGTTCCTTTGAATTTATTTTTTGTTTTATTTTATTTTAAACTTTTATTTACATGTACAGGTTTCTTATATAAGTACATATACAGGTTTGTTATATAGGCAAACTGTGTGTCACAGGGGTTTGGTGTACAGATAATTTCATCACTGGGGTAATAAGCATAGAACTCAATAGGTACTCCCACTCCTCCCACCCTCCACACTCAAATAGGCTCCAGTGTGTATTGTTCCCCTCCCTGTGTTCATGTGTTCTCATTGTTCAGCTCCCACTTATAAGTAAGAACATGTAGTATTTGGCTTTCTCTTCCTATGTTAATTTGCCTAGGATAATGGCATCTAGCTCCATCCATGTTGCTGCAAAGGACATGATCTTGTTCTTTTTTTATGGCTGCATACTATTACATGGTGTGTATGTACCACATTTTCTTTATCCAGTCTACTGTTGATAGGCATTTAGGTTGATTCCATGTCTTTGCTATTGTGAATAGTGCTGCAATAAACATACGTGTGCATGTGTCTTTATGGCAGAATGGTTTATTTTCCCTTGGGTATATACCCAATAATAAGATTGCTGGGTCAAATGGCAATTCTGTCAAACATACATTCTTTCTGTGGAAACACATCTACAATTTGGCCTCAAAAATTAGCAGAAATAAATATTAGCTCACATTAACAAATAAAAATAACACTCATGAAAATATGGCAGCTTGAGTAAGAAAAAACAAACAGCAAAATTAATCATGCAAAAATTTTAAATATAATCTAGGCACAAAATTAAACATAAACAATATATTCAATACTTAAAGAAATAAAAGAATATTGTAAATCTGAGAAGGAAATGAGAGTATATTAAAATGATAAAGAGACTCAAGGAAAACAAATGGAAATTCTAGAAATAAGAATAAAGTAATAAAAATTTAAAATTCAGTGGACAGGTTAAACAGAATATTAGACACAGCTGAAGAGATAATTAGAAATATCAGAAGGCAGATTTAATAGAAGTCTCTAGAATGCAGCAAAAATGAGACAAAGAGGTCACAAATACGTAAGCCATATTAAGAAGTATAGTAGGAAGATAAAGGGAATAGATGTGTGGTAAATCCATAAATAAAAACACGAGAATATAAATATCAAATTTAGGATAATGGTTACCTATGAGATAAATTGAGGCATGGATAAAGTGGGGGTACTTAGGGCTTCAAAGATACTAGAACATTCTATTTCTTAAGATTGGTGATGGGTACAGGTGCTCTTTTTTATTGTTCTTATGCCTTAAAGTATATTAGAAATACTCCTTTTTAAGTTGTCAATATTGAATAAAAACCATTTTTAAAGTAGCTGGAAAGGAAATACTCCACAGTGTTAACTATAACTGCATTTGACTCATGAGACTATGGCTATTTTATTTTCCCATCTTTTCTCATACTGAAATATTACTTCATGAGACTATTAAATTTATAATAAAAACATAATGATAAACACACTTAAAAAAAGAAGCATATCTTTTTCCAACATGATAAATATCTTTGCATAAAATAGCAAACTTGGATGATCCTATTATCTCGGACCTTCTCTTTTATTTACAGATAAATAGATATATTTTTAAAATATTACATACCAAAGTGAGAAGGCTCCTTTGGGTTCCAATTTTTCTCTGGTTTCTAATGAATTAAGGAAGCCTTTTAATTACTCTTTAAAACCTATGCAGATTCTTAAACTGAATTACTTCAGTTTCTTAATTGTATTTAATGACAAATTAATTAGAGGTCTGGGACTGGTAAAATTATAATAAGACTGCTGAGGCTTAAACTTGTTTCAAACAGTGTCTGTGGCAGAGACAAGATTGATTTAATTTTTTACTTACTGTGTGTATAGAAAGGTTAGAATGAGGCCCATTGGTAAGAGAGGCACTGACACTGGTAGGTTTTTAAAGAATTTGTTTAGGCTTCAAAGCATTTTATTTTATTTTTTGATACAGGGTCTCGCTGGGTCACCTAGGCTGGAATGCAGTAGCGCAATCTTGTTTCACTGCATCCTCGACCTCCCCTGACTCAAGTTATCCTCCCACCTCAGCCTCCTGAGTAACTGGAATTACAGGCATGCACCACCACACCCAGCTAATTTTTGTATTTTTGGTAGAGATGGGATTTTCCATGTTGCCCCGACTGGTCTTGAACTCCTGAGCTCAAGCAATCTGCCCGCCTCAGCCTCCCAAAGTGCTGAGATTACAGGCATGAGCCACTGAGCCTGGCCCAGAGCATTTTAAATAACTAGGTAATTAATCAAATCTTAAAGACAGACAAAAGACTTTCTAAAGTCCCAAATTTGACCTGCTACAAAATGACAGTTTGCAAAATCATTTAATAGAAACAAAAAGATAAAAATTTTAAAATAATCTTATTGAAAGTTGCTTCAATTTTTCTAACACAAACAATAAGCTATTTTGTAATATATTTAAGGCTGAATACTTTCTATTTGAAAAATGTAACTTTATTAGTAAATTTTACTTATCGAAAATAAATTGTCAGGCTGGGCGCAGTGGTTCACACCTGTAATCCCAGCACTTTAGGAGCCTGAGGCAGGTGGATCTCTCGAGCTCAGGAGTTTGATACCAGCCTGGAAAAATGGCGAAACCCCATCTCCACAAAAAATAAAAAATTAGCCGGGTGTGGTGGTGCACACCTTTAGTCTCAGCAACCCAGGGGGCTGAGGTGGGAGGATCACTGAGCCTGGGAGGTCCAGGCTGCAGTGAGCAGAGATCACACCACTGCACTCCAACCTGAGCGACAGAGCTAGACCATGTCTCAAAATAATAATACTACTAATAAATACATTGTCATAAGTATCTTTTGTTTCCAGCCATATTTATTGAGCTATAATTGATATACAGTAAAATGCAGTTATTAAGTACAAAGTTTGCTTGATTTTGACAAATTCATGCAACTATGTAATTCAAATACCTATAAAGATATAAATTACTTCCATCACCTCAGAAATTTCCCTTGTGGCCCTGCCCCTCAACCCTTAATGCCATCCAACTACTGTCCTGATTTCTGTTACCATTAACTAGATTTGATTTTTCTAGAATCATGAATATTTATCAAGAATATTTATTCTTATGTCTAGCTTCTTTCATTGAACATAGTGTTTCTTAAATATTCTATTTTACACCACTATTTGCATATTCATTTTTATGTTGATGACTACTTGGGGATGATTCCAGGTTTTAGCTATTATAAAGCTACTATAGGCATTTTTGTATGAAGCTTGGTGAACAATATATTTTAAATCCTTTTGGATTACATAGGTGTGGAATTACAGGATCATAAAGTAAATGTATATTTAGCTTTTAAAACAACTGCTAACAATTTCTTAAAGTGGTTATATCATATTATATTATATTTCCACCATGACTGTATGATAGTTTTGGCTGATTCACTCTTTGCCAACATTTGGTATGGTTGGTCTTTCATTTTAACCATTCTTGTGTAGGTAGTGGGCTGAAATTTTCTCTCCTTGAATGTCCTGGTATGGTCTTGATACAGGGGCAATCTGGCCTCCTAAAGCAATTTGGGAAGCATCTCTTCTTCCTGTATTTTCTGAAACTGTGCAAGTTTTATATTCTGTTTCAAATGAAGGTTTTAATTTCTTTGATAGGTATAAGGCTGTGGAGGTTTTCAATACACTGTCATGTTCATTTTTGTAATTTGACATTTGAAATTTGTCTATGTACTGAGGTTGTTTAAATTATTGGTGTAAAATTGTTTATAATGTCCCTTTTTGTGCTTTAACATCTGTATAATTTGTAATGTCCATTAATCTTTTCAAAGAACCAATTTTTTATAGTTCATTTTTTTGTTTGTGTCCATTTTCTACTTTACTAATTTCAAATTACTTCTTTTACTTATATTGTGTTTATTTGTTCTGATTTTTCTAGCTCCTTAAATTGAAAGCATAAATCATTTAGTGTATATATTTCTTTTTTCTAATATAAGCATTTAAAGCCATAGATTAATCTCTAAGTTCAGCTTTAGTATGTATGCCACAAATTTTCAAATGCTATATTCTAATTGCCATTTCATTGCTAAATATTTTTTTACTTCTCTTGTGATTTCTTCTTTGATCCATGAGTTACTTAAAAATTTGTTTATTTTCCAAATATTTGAAGATTCTCTAGATATTTTACTGTTATTAATCTAGCTTAATACTATGGTGGTCAGAGAAATATATTCTGTATTATTTTAATCGCTGAAATTTATTACAACTTGTTTTGTGGCCCAGTATTGTCTATCTTGATACATTTTCCATGTGCAATTGAGAATAGTTGTATTGTTTTGGTTTGGTTATTTTATAACTAAATTAGGTGAATTTAGTTCATAGAGTTTCTCTAATCTTCTATATCTTTCTTAATTTTTTTACCCAATTGCTCTATGGATTACTGAGGTATTAAAATCTCCAACTATATTTTTGCATCTATTTCACACTATTACTTCAAGCATTTAGGAGCTTTATATTAGGTGCGTAGACATTATCTCCTCTTTTATTATTATGAAATATTCCTCTTTTATCTAGGAATACTCTGTTTTACAGAGTTTGATATTTAGATAGCCATACCAGTTTCTTTATGTTTAGTATATGCATTACATATCTTTTCCATTCTTTTACTTTCTGTTTGTGTCTTTACAGGTAAAATTTATTACTGATAAATAGCATAATTGAGTCTGAATTATCTAGACTGGCTTTCACTTAACTGAAAAGCTCACTACTCCATTTATCTTTCATGCAATTATTGATGTGTTTGTGTTTAATTCTATCATGTTTGTGATTTTTTTTCTATCTGTCCCATTTTCTCTTTATATCTGTTTCTATCATCTCTTGAGTGAATCAAGTCTTTTATAATATATTCTATTTTAGCTTCTCAATTGACTTTTTAGTTGCACCTCTTTGTGGAGATTACAATTCACAACTATATGGACTGAATTGTGTTCCCTCAAAATTCATATATTGAAACTCTAACCCCCAATGTGTTAGTATTTGGAGATGAGGCTTTTGAAAGGTAATTAGGCTTAAATGAGGTCATGAGGGTGGGGTCCTCGTGATATAGTTATTACCATTGTAAGAAGAGACCAGAGAACTTGCTTGCTTTCTCTCTCCACTGTATGGGGACATAGTGAGAAAGTAGCCAGGAAGAGAGCCTTCACCAGGAACAAAATTGGCTGGCACCTTGATCTTGAACTTCTCAACCCCCAGAACTATAAGAAATAAATGTCAGTTGTTTAAGCCATCCAGTCTACTATATTTTGTTATGGCAGCCTGAGTCGACTAAGACTGACTGCATCTTTATCTTTCATAGTATATCTTCGCAATTAATTTATGACTTCATCGATAGCATAAGCAGCTTACAACAAAGAACTTCTAATTACTGCCCTCCCTCACTTTGTGCTATTCTTTTCACACATTCAACTTTTATTTATGCTATGAATCCCATAATATACTGCTATTAATTTTTATTTAAACAACCAATAGTTTTTAAATGAAATTTGAATATACATATATTTCTATTTGGTAATTTTTATCTGGTACCTTTCCTCTCTGGAATATTTTTTCTTCAGTCTTAAGAAATTCTCTTAGGATTAATTTAATTGCAGGTCTGATAAAGAGGAATATCGTTCCATATTTTCTACATGTGCAAATGTCTTTATTTCACCTTCATGCTTGAAGATTCTTTTGCTGGGTATAGAATACTAGATTGTAGTTTTACTCTTTCAGCACTTAGAAGCTATTGTTCCATTGTCTTCTAGCCTTCAGTTGTTTCTAATGAGTAGTCTGTCAACATTCTTATTGTCATTAATCTGTATGCAATGTGTTTTCTACTTTCTGGCTGCTTTTAAGATGTTCATTTTATCTTGGATTCTTTTAGCAGTTTGACTATGATGTGCCTATGTGTAATTTAATTTGTATTTATTCAGCTTAGAGTTTGCTGAGTTTCTTGAATACGTGCACTGAGGATTTTCATCAGTTTAGGATTTTTGACCTCATTCTCTTTGTTCTCTTTCTATAACTCAAATTACATGTATGATTGATCATTTTATATTGTTTCACTTATCTCAGACATGTGTTCCACTTTTTCCTCTCTCATTTTTCACTTTGTATCAGTTTATATAATTCCTATTGACCTATCTTCAAGTACACAAAATCATTCTTGTGGTATGTACTCTGGGCTTGTAAGCCCACAAAATAATTCTTCATCTTTGTCATCATATTTTTTCATATCTAGGCTCTTTTAAAAATAGTTTTTACAGCTTTTCTGTTATTTCCTATCTTTTCACAAATACTATTCACCTTTTCTACTAGTACCATTAGCTAGTTTATCATGATTATTTTAAACACTTTGATAGGTTCAACATTTCGATCATCTTTGGGTCTTATTCAAGTGGCTATTTTCTTTCTTGATTATGAGTCATTTTACTTGCTTGTGTATCTCATAATTTTCATTAAATGCTAACATTGTGTATAAAGGAATAGAGATGAAAGCAAATAAAACTTTCACTTAGAAAAGGGTACCTTCTTTTCAGTCAGGCTGTTAATGAGAGAAGTTTAAACTATCTGTAATTGAGATGAGTATAGACTTTCTGATGCTCTAGATTTAGTTCAGCACAGACTTCAAAGGTTTGAGGGTAGGATTAGAATATTCCCTTTAGCACAGCTTGAGATTTGAGTAATTGGAGAGTTTGCCTAAGTTCTCTTTCCCTGACTTTAGCCTTTGGTATGCCTAGTGCACCTGTTTTTCAGGGGATTATCTGTCAGCTCTTTAATTTATCTCTCAGCTCCAGTAGGCTGCTGCTTTAAACTTGTGAGGCCTGAAATGCCTGGAAGTTTTCTCGCAGTTGTCCTGCTTTACCTTCAGGTTTCAGCAGGCCCAGAACACCTGTATCTAAGAAGAGCAGTGACATCTCTCACAAGTGTCCTACCCCTCACCCAACCATAGAAAGCTCCCCATTCTCAGGCCCATAGTGCTTTATGGAATTCCCTCCATTCTCCTGTCTTCCTTCATACTTTAGCCTGTGCTTCTGAAGGATAGATCTCTCCACTTCTCTGTCCTTCCCCAATCTTGCCAGCAATGACTCAGTGGAGGCCTTTGGAAAACATCTGAAACGAGCAAACTGTCTTTGTATATGGGCCACTTAGGGTTTCTGAATCATCATACCAGCCTTTATTTGGCTTTTAAAAATATGTTAAAAAGCTCAGCCATTTTCTTCTTATTTGCTTTTGTGGCAGCTTCCTCCTCCTCCAGCTTTTCTACAAGGATGGAGTAGCTGAGGATTTCTTCTCTCACTTTGATTTAGTTCATTAGTCTTTTCTTGCATCCTCAGCTCTTTTGCTGAATCAAACCTATGAATTTGTTATCCCCTTTCATTCTTATTAGGGTAGGAGCAATGTTTCCTTGTGACTTTCTATATTCTACACCCTAAGTGGATGCAAAGGAGCTAGTATACATATTCAAATAACATAAGACTATCTCTTAAATCTTCCTATACAAAATTAAGTTCTTCAGATAAATTTATGTTATTTCTCCTATATCCAGGCAGGATTATGATTACATTAACTTGGATTTGATCCTAGAGATTCTCAATCTTTTCTTGATAAAGTTACTTTCAATATAATAGAAGTTTTGTGTCCTATCATAGAAATTAGATCTAGTGTAATTAAACCTTATCCTAAGCAAGTCCCTCAACAATGAATCATCTCTCTCCCAATGACTCCCCACCACCTACTCTGTCACTTAGGCACCTTCCTCTAATATGCCTGTTCTTTAATCCAGCCTGCACATTGCTTAGAGAGAAACACTAAATCACAGAGCTGATCCTGTAAGTCCCTGTCTTTGAAGCCCTTCAATGACTCCCCATAGCACAGTTAACGATGCTCTTCATGATCTGGCCCTGCATTATTGTTACAACCCCTCTGCTCTAGATCATAAGGTATACAGTTTTGTTTGCATTCAACACCTATTTTGAATTCTTTTCTGTTTAGTAGTAGAAAAGTTAATCTAGTCAATTTTGGGTAAATCCAGTGAATTCATTATTTTCTTGCTCTTCATTTTCTCCCCTAGGTTGAGTGTCTCATTCCTGATTGTCATGGGCCTATCTTGAAATATTTCAGTTATCATCACTCTTCTACACTGGAAAATCCAGCAGTGTCTGAGTTTTCATTAGTCCTCTAGTCATGGGTTCCACATTATATCTGCTGCTGTGTTTTTTTCCTCCTTGTTATGAAGCCCAGCATCACAAATTCACAGGTTCTCAGTGTCATCTTCACAGAAAAGTCTTTTGGCTACTTCCGTCTCCTGGTTGAGTCTTACAAGGACTCTAAGACTTCCTACGATTCTTCTGTCTATTCATTATATTCAGAAATTTCTAACCTACTCTCTAGTGCTATGGTGATACAAAGAATTCTGTGGGGCTTGTCCTTTTCTAGGCAACCAAGAGGGGCAGCAGAATACAAGCCTCCTTAACTGTATTAGTTTGTTTTCATGCAGCTGATAAAGACATACCAAAAACTGGGAACAAAAAGAGGTTTAATTGGACTTACAGTTCCACATACTGGGGAGGCCTCAGAATCATGTTGGGAAGCAAAAGGCACTTTTTTTTTTTTTTTTTTTTTTGAGACAGAGTCTAGCTCTGTTACCAGGCAGGAGTGCAGTGGCACAATCTTGGCTCACCACAACCTCCGCCTCCCAGGTTCAAGCAATTTTCCTGCCTCAGCCACCTGAGTAGCTGGGATTACAGGCATGTGCCACCATGCTTAGCTAATTTTTGTATTTTTAGTAGAGACGATGTTTTATCATGTTGGCCAGGATGGTCTCAATCTCCTGACCTTGTGATCCACCCACTTTGGCCTCCCAAAGTGCTGGGATTATAGGCATGAGCCATGGCGCCCTGCCAAAAGGCACTTCTTACATGGTGGCAGCAAGAGAAAAATGAGGAAGAAGCAAAAGTGGAAACCCCTGATAAACTCATCAGATCTCATGAGACTTATTCACCATCATGAGAATAGCACAGAAAAGACCAGCCCCAATGATTCAATTACCTCCCCCTGGGTCTGTCCCACAACATGTAGGAATTCTGGGAGATACAATTCAAGTTGAGATTTGGGTGGGGACACAGGAAAAGCATATCATTCCACCCTTGGCCCTGCCAGATCTCATGTCCTCACATTTCAAAACCAATCATGCCTTCCCAATAGTCCCCCAAAGTCTTAACTCATTTCAGCATTAACCTAAAAGTCCACAGTCCAAAGTCTCATCCAAGACAAGGCAAGTCCCTTCCACCTATAAGCCTGTAAAATCAAAAGCAAACAAGTTACTTCCTAGATACAATGGGGGTATAGGTATTGGGTAAATACAGCCATTCCAAATGGGATAAATTGGCCAAAAAAAAGGGGTTACAGGGCCAATGTAAGTCCGAATTCCAGCAGGGCAGTCAAACCTTTAAGCTCCAAAATGATCTCCTTTGATGCCATGTCTTGCATCTGGGTCACACTGATGCAAGAGGTGGGTTCCTATGGACTTGGGCAGCTCCTCCCCTGTCGCTTTTCAGGGTACAGCCTCCTTCCTGGCTGCTTTCATGGGCTGGCACTGATTGTGGCTTTTCCAGGTGCATGGGACAAGCTGCCAGTGAATCTACCATTTTGGGGTCTGGAGGATCTTGGCCCTCTTCTCACAGCTCCACTAGGCAGTGCCCCAGTAGGGACTCTGTGTGGGGGCTCCAACCCCACATTTCTTTTCCTCACTGCCCTAGCAGAGGTTCTCCATGAGTGCCCTGCCCCTGTAGCAAATTTTTGCCTGGGCATCCAGGCATTTCCATACATCTTCTGAAATCTAGGTGGAGGTTCTCAAACCTCAATTCTTGACTTCCGTGCACCCACAGGCTCAACATCACATGGAAGCTGCCAAGGCTTGGGGCTTCCACCCTCTGAAGCCACAGCCTGAGCTCTACATTGGCCCCTTTCAGCCATGGCTGAAGTGGCTGGAACACAGGGCACCAGGTCCCTAGGCTACATACAGCATGGGGACCCCAGGCCCGGCCCACAAAACCATTTTTTCCTCCTGAGCCTCTGGGCCTGTGTGGGAGGGGCTTCTGGGAAGTTGTCTGACATGGCCTGGAGACATTTTCCCCATGGTCTTGGGGTTAAGGCTCCTTGCTACTTATGCAAATTTCTAGAGCTGGCTTGAATTTCTTCTCAAAAACTAAGTTTTTCTTTTCTACTGCATCGTCAGGCTACAAATTTTCTGAACTTTTATGCTCTGTTTCCCTTTTAAAATGGAATGCTTTAGCAGCACCCAAGTCACCTTTTGAATGCTTTGCTGCTTAGAAATTTCTTCCGCCAGATACCCTAAATCATCTCTCTGAAGTTCAAAGTTCCACAGATCTCTAGGGCAGGGGTAAAATGCCACCAGTCTCTTTGTTACAACATAACAAAAGTCAAGAGTCACCTTTGCTCCAGTACCTAACAAGTTCCTTATCTCCATCTGAGACTACCTCAGCCTGGACCTTATTGTCCATATCATTATCAGGCTTTTGGTCAAAGCCATTCAACAAGTCTCTAGGGAGTTTCAAATTTTCTTACATTTTCCTAACTTCTTCTGAGCCCTCCAAACTGTTCCAGCCTCTACGTGATACCCAGTTCCAAAGTCGCTTCCACATTTTCAGGTATCTTTTCAGCAATGCCCCACTCTACTGGTATCAATTTACTGTGTTAGTTTGTTTTCACGCTGCTGATAAAGACATACCCAAAATTGGGAATAAAAAGAGGTTTAATTGGATTTATAGTTCCACATGGTTGGGGAAGCCTCAGAATCATGGCAGGAGGTGAAAGACACTTCATACATGGTGGCAGCAAGAGAAAAATAAGGAAGAGGCAAAAGCAGAAACCCCTGATAAACCCATCAGATCTTGGTGAGACACATTCACTATCACGAGAATAGCAGGGGAAAGACTGGCCCCCATGATTCAATTACCTCCCCCTGGGTCCCTCGCATAACATGTGGCAATTTTGGGAGATACAATTCAATTCGAGATTTGGGTAGGGACACAGCCAAACCATAGCATTAACTTTGACAACTTCAAATTTATATGGGGTCATCTGTTCTCCCTTGAAGTTTAGAGAAATCTTATCTTAAATTGGAGTTATAAAAATGAATTCTGCCTCATAACATTCTTCTCCAGGTATCTCTGACTTACTCTTGTACTACAGCTTTTGAAACTCAAAAGCCAAGACTTGACATCTTTGTTCTCTGGTTCTATAGGGACATCTCCCAGTGAGCACAATGTGGCCCCCTGTCTAATAACTTAAAAGCAGAAAGGGAGTACTGGGTAATAGAAAATAATGGGGAGATGGAAGGAGAAAGAGAACCGTATCACTTAATATTTCAAAACATCCACCACATAAACTTGTTTTTACCCTTTTCAGATTAAAGTACTTGAGACCAACAGAAAAGCAAGATAGCAGCATTCCCTACACTACTCCTAGTTGTTTTTTAAAGGTGATACTATTGCGCCTCTATCAGTAGAGCATATACTTAGGTTGGGTTTTTTATTGTGTCCATATAGTATGTTAACCATTCACCAGAATCTCCTCCACCCTACACTTCTGATCAGTAATACACACCAGATGAACAGTAACCAAGAGATAGGGGCATCGCCTACAATGACACAGCCAACAGAGCTGATTGATTATACAGAGGATTCTCCTAAAAACCCAGATTATGAACCACAAGTCTCTTAGAGTTAAGAACATTATAAAAATTAATGTTCTTAATTGGTAGGACAGCAGTCCTGCTACACTGCAGAGATGCTCTTCTTCTTCTTCTTCTTCTTTCTTTTTTTTTTTTTTTTTTGGAGACAGAGTTTTGCTCTTGTTGCCCAGGCTGGCATGATCTCAGCTTACTGCACCTCCACGTCATGCGTTCACGAGATTCTCCTGTCTCAGCCTCCTGAGTAGCTGGGATTACAGGTGCCCACCATTACGCCTGGCTAATTTTTGGTATTTTTACTAGAGATGGGGTTTCACCATGTTGGCCAGGCTGGTCTCGAACTCCTGACCTCAGGTGATCTGCCTGCCTTGGCCTCCCAAAGTGGTGGGATTACAGACGTGAGCCACTGTGCCCAGCCTTGGCCTTCTTCTTTATGTTGCATTTTGGCATACAATAAAACCATAGGGTCAGTAGGGACCAAGAGCTCAAACAAACAGGAGATGCCTTACATGCTCAAATAAGAGAGAATTCTTTCTTTCAAAGGCTTATAGGAGATTCCACAACCCTCCATAGCCAATTTGTTCAACATTTCTCTGACAGAAAATGTATCCATTAAAAAGAAATCATGCAGCTGCTGAACAAGTTTTGACGGTTATTTTCTAAACCATGGTGATAGAAACAGTAATACCATGGCTTTCAGGGAAAACCTTAACATATCTGAAGGTCATTCCTGAAGCCTTCAAAGAGGCTAATATATAAAACAAAACAAAACTGACAATGACAAAAACAATGAAAGAGGCATTTTAAACATTTAACATTTGTGAAGCTAAATATTGAGGTTTTAGGTTGCAAAACTGACTACTTAGGAGAAAAGACCAGAAGAAGAAATCTCTCTCATGATTAAATAAATTTAAGTTTATAACATTATGCGGTGTTACACTAGTTGCTGTGCAAAAAGTTCAGGGATTATTTTTTGTATCAGACAGCTTTTGTTGTGTAGCAAACTATTAATAAATACTCTAAAACTAGTGGCTTAAAAGAGCAAACATTTATTAGTTCTTGAAGTTCTGAGAGTTGGCTGGGTGTCCTTCTGGTCAGTGCCAGACAGCTCAAGGCTCACTCACATTTCTGGCACTTGGCAGGCTGACTGGTCTGAAGTGGGTTTACTACTGTGTGTGGCAGTTGGCCCAATGTTGGTTAGAAAAATGGCCATGATCTCTCATCATCCAGCAAGCTAACTGGGGCTCATTCTCTTGGTGACGAAAGGATATCCAGCATCAGGAGAGGCCAATCCTCTATGCACAAGAACTATTCGAGCTTCTGCATGCATCATACTTGCTAATGTTCCATTGGTCAAATTAAGTCATATGCTGGATTTAAACCTCTCACAGAGGTGTGAAAAAATATTCCTGGGGTAAAAAAGTTGAAATTCTAATTATGGTTCAGATAAAAACTCAGATTTGGTATTGGGTATCTATTTTGGTACCAAGGGTGAAGTGAAGGAGTATATCTCTTGATGATAAGGAGTATATCTCTTGATGATAAGGAGTATATCTCTTGATGATAAGAGGAATTAGAGAAATTTGTGGCCATGTTATAATCTCCCACTTCATGCATCTTTGTCTACAGTTAAGATGAGGCAACAATTTCAGCTGTATTTGAGTTGAAAAGAAGGTCAAAAGCAAAGGTTATTCTAGGAGACTTTTAGATAGCTTCTTTTGCTATTTCTACTGAACAGAAGGTGTACAAATCCTAAGGATTCACAATTCAATGTAAAATGAATACACTTGTGTAACCAACACTTATGTCTGAGAAGAGAATATTACTGACACCCCAGTAGTTTTTTCCCAACATTTATCCCTTCTTCAACATTACCCCACTCTCCTTCTCAAAGGTAACCACTATTCTGACTCTATTAGTTTTGCCTGTTTTACAACTTCGTGTAGATGGGATCGTATAATGTGCATTCCTTTGTCTGACTTCTGTATTCAGCATATATGCTTGTTAGACACATTCATGTTATTGCATGTAGCTGTGGTTTTATCACTTTCATTACTGTATAGTATATTCCATTGCATGAATATAACACAAATTTGAATGTTTGGGTTATTTTCAATTTTGGCTGTTGTGCATTTCTTTTGTTGCACCTGTGTGCACATTTTTATTGAATAAATATCTAAGAGTAGAATTGCTGAATCAGGTCAAGCACAGTGGCTCACGCCTGTAATCCCAGCACTTTGGGAAGCTGAGGCGGGTGGATCATGAGGTCAGGAGTTTGAGACCAGCTGGGCCAACATGGTAAAACCCCGTATCTAAAAGAAATACAAAAATCAGCCAGGTGTGATGACAGATGCCTGTAATCTCAGCTACTCAGGAGGCTGAGGAAGGAGAAGTGCTTGAACCCAGGAGGTGGAGGTTGCAGTGAGCCGAGATGGTGCCTCAAAAAAAAAAAAAAAAAGAAAAAGAAAAAAAAGAATTACTGAATCATAGGAAACATTTATGTCCAAATTTAGCTGATACTATGCAACAGTTTTCTTCTTCTTCTTTTCTAAGAAATGTCAGGCTATAAACCATTCTTAGTGCTCACTGGTTTGTGAACACTGAGCATAGAAATAGCCACTTTTTCTTTGCTCCAATAGTACAGGCACAGCACAGCAACTGTGTCTATGGGGCTGGCAAGTCCAGGATAGCATCTGCAGGGCAGGGCAATGATTTTCTTTAACACACTTTCATGCATACATTTGATCTTCATTTTGGTGTCCTAGGTTTTAAGCTAATGCATTTTTGCCTTCTACTTTCTCCTGGTTTACCATAAAATGCTTACATTTGGACTTCAATTGGGTAAATAGTAGTTTGCCTTGCATTTAAAATTTCATAAAACCTCAAGAATCCAAAGTGTATCAAATCATCCTGCCTAGGATTCAAGGAAAATAACTGAACTGTTCCCCATTCATTCATCAAATGTTTATTGAACACCTACAAGCAATTTTTTTATTAAACCTGGGGATATAAAGAAATGTAAAATTCAACTTCCAATCTCCAAGAAGTATCTACAGTAGTTGATGACTCTTTCATCAGTAGCTGTCTGCCCCTTTCTCATGCCTTCCTGTCCTCCTGTCATTTCAACAATAGTTGCCTGCAGCATAAGTAAGCAATGCGTAGCAAGCTGGTAGCCATGAATGGGATTATTTGTGCTACTGTAGGCAGCATCTTTCATTTACCACAAACAATTTTCTCTTCTCTCCTTTGGATAACTATCCATGAGTTTAGTCTTTCCCTTTTCTGGACAAAAAATTATATTAAGGAGAAGAGTAAAATTGTTCTAGAAACTTGAGGAATGGTGATAATACTTATTTTTCACATTCTTTCCTGTATTTTAAGGGTCTGTATGTATTTGTTGTACTTGTGTATAATGGGATTTTCAGACTACATTTATATTGTGTAAGAAGATTGAAAATGTTCACAACGTTCCTGCTGTTCAGTATTTCATATTCTAAAATGATCTCCAGAATACATTGGTTGTTAAGGTAATGTGCTCAAGTATCTTTGTGGCTTAAAGGAGGTATTACAACTCCCAAAATAGCTATGCTTAGTCCTTCTCACTGGTAATATAAAACCAATTTTTGTTTGTGAATTGAATTGTTGCACCTGTGCAGTGCATTTCAAAGCCCAGGAAGGGTGCTGTTAAAGGAGAGATTCTCTGTAATTTATAAAAATGGAGCAGTGATTTCTAGTGAAACAATCAACCTCATCTAAAAATCTCTCATTTAGATGTTTCCATAAAATATTAAGAGACACCCAAAGGTCCTTTATTGTATTTTTTCCATAGGCATCTTTATTGAGTCTGTACTTATTTCCATCTACAGTTAAAGAGCTGCAAGCAGAAGTATGCAAGCAAAAGTATAGGATGGTGGGAATAGCTGATTGTACCAAATGATTCAAACTATCCATCAACAGGAAAATCCTTGAATTAATACAGATACTTTTAGTGCAAGTGGTACCAATCCAAACCAAAGTAGCTTAAGTAGAAAGAGGATTCATTGGCTCATATAACTGGGAGGCTAACTTCAGCCACAACTCAATTCAGGGACTCAAACAAAATTGTTCAGATTCTGCTCCTCTCTCTGGGCCCTGCTTCCTTTTGAGCTGCACTAATCCTCTCCTACTGCACCCTACCTTTTTCTATGGGTCAGTGACTGCTCCAGCTGCAATAAACACCCTTCCTGCTCTGCTATGCCTTTAGACATGGCCATGTGTTTCATGGCCAAATTGAAAAACTACGAGAGAAGAACTCCTTGTGGCCCAGCTTAGGTCATATGCTCCTTCCTGAACCAATTACAGTGCCCAGGGGAATGGGGTACTAGGAGTGGCCAGGCCAGAAAGTTATTTTGTTAGCTGGTTCACTAGAATCATTTCATCAGAGAGAGGAACAATCCTCAGACAAAAAAGCAGCAAATGTTCAGTACAGCTCTCACAGGGGCTTCACATATATTAGTCACAAAAATAGTTTTAGGGCAGGGAAGATCTATGGTTAAACAAAATAGGGTGCTATATAAAGAATGGAACTCACAATGACTCCTAACTCATACCAAAGATACTCATTCCAGGATTTCCTGTTACCAGGAGAGAAGCTGACTTGCAGTTGATTCAATCTCATTTGCTCAATCTTTTAGGTATCGTAATCCATGAAATTACTGATAAAACAACTAGGTAATTCACTTTAACAACCACTTGACTGTCACTGAAGTGTCTGATCAAAAATTAAGGTGTTAGCTGTGTGAGGTGGTATGTGCCTGCAGTTCTAGCTACTTGGGAGGCTGAGGCGGGGGGAACACTTGAGCCCAGGAGTTTGAGACCAGCCTGGGCAACATAGCAAAACCCTGTCTTTACAAATAAAAAGATGGTTAAAAAAAAAATTAAGGTTCTTGCAAGAGTGAACCTTCCAAGGTAACCTATGGACTTTGGGTGATGATGTGTCAATGTAGGTTTGCCAATTGTAGCAAATGCACCCCCTGGTGGGGGTTGTTGATAATGGGGAGGCTATGCACACGTAAGGAGCAAAGCGTACCTGGGAAATCTCTGTACCTTTTGCTCAATATTGCTGTGAACCTAAAATTGCTTTAAAAAATTAAGTCTATTAAAACATTAAAAAATACAGACATAACAAAATGAAGGTATTCAGGTATTAGATAACCTAATTATCTAATTCTCTAACATAGCATTAAAATAATTCAATAGTCACAGCTAGTTGTCCCTCAGATAAAAGTTGGTTACAGCTACAGTAAGAAACCAGAACCTGTATGGGACAATCATATTAACAGGCAAATAATAATGCTTATATTTGCAGAAAACCTACTTATTTCCCTAGAATATCAAAGTATCTTGACAAATAAAAACAGTTGGAACATTGCTGTACACCACTCTATTAAATGAGTTCCTCATTTAAAACAAATTTTGTCCTCACAAAAACAAGAGGGCAATATAAGTCTACAGAGCTTTATTTGAGTATACAAAAGTGATGCTGTGTAGGACAAGCACCATCATTGCCATCCACTGGAGTAATTCCTAAATGTTAGGTCTATGACAATGGTAATGAACTGGGACAATCTTTCCTCCCAGGGCATAATTGGCAGTATCTGGAGATGTACTACAGGACTGGGAGATTTGTACTCTTGGCATCTAGCAGGTAATGCCAGGATCACTGCTGAATATCCCATGTTGCATAGGATAGCCCCATACAACAAATAATCAACTGGTGCAAAATGTCAACAGTGCTGAGGTTAAGAAACTCTGGCCTATGGCAAGATGCAGAGGGAAAGGCAATGTTTAAGACAAAACCCCTGCCCCCAATGATTGTATAATCTGCTTGAGGGGGTAAGATAAATGATAAGGGTGTTTCCTAGCTTTTCTTCTAGGACGTTTATAAATTGAGGTCTTACACTTAAATCTTTAATCCATCTTTAGGTAATTTTTGCAAAATTTTTGTAAAAAAGTTTGTAAAAAGTAAGAGTCTAGTTTCATTCCTCTGAATATGGCTAGCCAGTTATCCCAGCACCATTTATTGAACAAAATAAATCATCAACAGAGTAAACAGATAACCTATAGAATGGGAGAAAATATTCACAAATTATGCATCTGACAGAGGTCTAATATCCAGAATCTATAAGGAATTTAAACAAATCAACAAGCAAAATATAAATAACCCCATTAAAAAATGGGCAAAAGACATGGACAGGTACTTCTCAAAAGGAGACATTCAAGTGACCAACAAACATGAAAAAAATGCTCCATATCACAATCATCAGAGAAATGCAAATCAAAACCACAATGAGATACCATGTCATACCAGTTAGAATGGCTATTATTAAAAGTAAAAAAAAAACAACAGGTGCTGACGAGGCTGAGAAAACAGAACACTTACACACTGTTGGTGGGAACGTAAATTACTTCAGCCACTGTGGAAAGCAGTTTGGAGATTTCTCAGAGAACATAAAACAGAGCTATCATTTGGCCCAGCAATCCCATGACTGGGTATATATGCCCAAAATAATGTAGATTATTATACCAAAAAGACACACACACTCATATCATCATCACCATGCTATTCACAACAGCAAAGATGTGGAATCAACCTAGGTGTCCATCAATGGTGGATTGGATAAAACAAACATGATACACACACACCATGGAATATTACACAGCCATAAAAAATGAAATTATGTCCTTTGTCGCAACATGGATGCAGCCAGTGGCCATTATCCTAAGCAGATAACAGGAACAGAAACCAAATACCACATTTCTCGGTCGTAAGTGGGAGCTAATATGGACATAAACATTGGAACAATAGACACCACAGACTACTAGAGAGGGGAGGGAGGGGATGGGGATGGCAGCATAAGTCGAAAAACTACCTATTGGGTACTAGCTCATTACCTGGGTCTCACATACCCATGTAACAGTCCTACACGTGTATCCCCATATCTAAAATAAAAGCTGAGGCCAGTCAGGGTGGCTCACGCCTGTAATCCCAGCAGTTTGGGAGGCCGAGGCAGGCAGATCATGAGGTCGGGAGTTTGAGACCAGCCTCGCCAACGTGGTGAAACCCCATCTCTACTAAAAATACAAAAATTAGCCAGACATGGTGGCAGATGCCTGTAATCTCAGCTGCTTGGGAGGCTGAGGCAGGAGAACCACCTGAACCTGGGAGGCGGAGGTTGCAGTGAGCCAAGATCACACCGCTGCACTCCAGCTTGGGCGACAGAGTGAGACTCTGTCTCGAAAAAAATAAAATAAAATAAAATAAAAGCTGAAATTTTAAAAAAAGGATAAATGATAAAAATGATCTCAATACACAATGCATTAAGTACTGATTACAGGGTCTTTTAACACATGGGGCTTGAATTGCTTACTTTTATGAGAGTAGCAAGGAAGATGTGCTGAATTTTGAAAGATTTGGATAGGCAAACAGAAAAGGATATTTCAAGTGGAGGGTACACTGGAGGCAGACATCCAGAGATGAGAAAGAACAATGTCTTTTCAGGACAGTAAATAACCAGCCCTGTCCAGCAGTGTTTGTGCAGCAAGGCAATCAGCAAAAAACGTTTTCATTTGTCAAGCGGGATCACGTGGCTGATGCAGTCCTGGCTCTGCCATGTCTTAGCTGGGTAAACACCAGCGTGCAAGCTGTAAAATTGGGATATCTCTTACCTTACAGTTGTTCCTGTAAAAATCAGACACTGACAAGCCTGTCACATCGTCTTGCTTAAAGGATGGCAGCTCCTAGAGCAAACATTAAGAAAACACAGGTTGAACTTGGACTTTAAAGAAACTAAAGTAACAGGGTGGAAATTTACATTTATCCTATGGGCTGGAAGAGTCATTGCTTCAATGTATAAGGCAGTGACAAGATGAAAATAATGCTTTCGATTAATCTGAATCTAGGTAGATGATACCTAAGTGGTCTCTCAGCTTTTCTGAATGGCTAACATTTTTCAAAGTATAAGTTTTTATTTTTTAAAAAACTTGACTATTTTCTGCTTCCTCCTGTAATAATTTAGGCTCAACTGAGAAGAGGTCCCCGTTGCTCATGGCTATATCCTCAGCAACTAGCATAGTATATGACACACAGCAGAGATAAACAATAAACTATTGTCTAACAGTTGAAACAGAAAAGAAAAAGTAAAAAGGGCCAGAACTATGGTGACAGCAGTTTGTGTGGGAAGATAGGGGTGCATGCCAAAGTTTTCCAAAGCAATTTGGTGATTTGGATATAGACTAGCAATGAAAACTCAGGTGATGGGAGATTGGTGGAACCAATTGCAGGAGATTAGAAAATATGCAGATTTTAGGAAAAACGAATTGTATTTTACATCCCTGGATTACAAGGAGGGAGTAGGCCAATGAAATGCAGAACTAAAACTTGACAAAAGTTTTAGAGCAATTTAGCTAGCGGGGATTACTGAGGTTAGCAAAGTAAAAGGTGTTTCAAGAAAGATGAAGGACCTTATCTTCCCACTCTATGAGGAGCAGAAACCAAAAAATGACCTTCTATGTCTAACAGTGCCATTCCAAAATTAAGTAATAGTTTTTGAGGGTCTAGAGTGGAGTCACAAATTAGCTACTGTAAAGTTAGTTTGCCTGTAGATCATTTTGTTTGGACAGCTTAATTCTGGCCTATTTAATAGTCAACATTTAAAAATCAGAAGCTCCATAAAAATTCGGATTATTTAATTCTTTCAAATACCAGGGAGATGGTCAACCTTGTCTTCATTTTAACAGGCAGAATTGGATGAAGCTGAGTAAATGGTGCTGCCTTTAAATGACTCCAGTTCACTACCCAATTTGTCTCATTTGTGATTTTCACCTGGCCCCTGTAGGTATTAGAGTTTGCAATTCCTGGTCTAATGGTATTATGTCAGCTTTAATGAAAATGGTTAAGAATAAAACCAGTAACAGCAATAATAGCACACTGAGCACTTAGTTGCAGGCACTAAGTATGCCACAGAGATCACCCACCATTTGAGGGAGGTGCTATAATTGTACCATTGTACAGGTAAAAAACTAAGAGGTTCAAAGACCTGCCTAAATGTCAACAGCCAGAAAGGGGTAATGGTAAGATTAAAAATCCAGTCAGACTTAATTTGCAGTTGCCAAATAGTATTCAAATTAAATGGTACTAAGTTACCCTATATGAAATCTGAGTCTTTTCCTAAAAGCAGATACCTCCATTTCAGCCACAGGAACTTGTGCTCTTTTCCGCAGTAAATACACGGACATGCACACCTCTGTGTGACTTTGGGTTGTTATCTCATTGCCTCTTACCTGTGCCTAAGATGATCTGAGATGAACTCAATAGCTTAGTTTCTTGCCATAAATCATGAACTTTGGGTGGCGGGAGGGGAAGGTGGGAGTGGTAGAGACTTGTCTTCATTTTTATGTCTAGTAAACATAAAATGCATAGATGCAATTAACCAACTTCAAGAAACTGAAGTTCTAATTGGAGATATGCAACAGACTCAGAGGTTTTTAATGAGGTTTAGTAATATGTGGGTGAGTATAAATGGAAGTTGTAGAGCATATTCAAGGTTGAGGGGACACAAGACATCACAATGAGAGCCAGGAACACCATTTGGAGATGTTTCAATGAGTGTTTCAAAGTGTGTAATGTGAAAATGTCCATGTTAAGGGAACAGGTTTCCAAGATGTCACATTGGGCACTCTGAGCTCTCTCCTAAAGTATCAGTGGGTGTTAAAGTTTGCTTGGCTGAATAAATATTCCGTGGAATATACACAGAACAGAATGAAAGAACTTGAAAGATCAGACAGAAAAGACATTTGACTATATTGGAAGAAGTGAGAATTGGATTGGAAAACAAAGGCATCAGGATTCTAAAAAAATCTATGGGGAAGACTTTAATCTGCTAATCTATGAATTTTTTGGGGGGGGGGATTACACGTCAGTTAAGTCAAAATCAAAATGGTGTAAACAAAGCAAGTCAAGAATAAAAACCTCACTCATAACTATCTGGGATAGCCAAAACCTTTGTTTCTGATAATACATTTGAGAAATGTGAAGTAGTGGTATAAGACACAGGAAGTAGGTTGCTTGAGCTAACAGGATACGTACATCTGGGAAACAGGTACTATGATAGAAGTGATGGATAATTACTCTGTCACACCTTAACTCCAAAACAATCAATTCATTTTGCTGTGCTACTTTAACACGATTCTGGTTTTTTTCAACTATAAATGGCATTACAGATGGAATGAAGCAATCAATGAACCAGTTGATGAGCCTGAATTTTCTTCCACATCTTTGCTGTATGCTATGAAAAAGAACTCTGCTAAATGCCCACTGTGTTACATGGTATTCTAGGGCCTTTGACTTCATTATTTCATATAATAATCACTACAACTGTGTAAGGTAGACAAAAGTATTTTAAAGGTGAATCAGAAGGTCAGAAAAGTGAAATAATTTGCCTAAGTTCACACAGCTGCTAGGAGACAGAGCTGATTCTCAAATCCTTCTCTCTGGCTTTTATTCATCCTCCAGTTGTGCTTTGGAATGAAGATGATCTGAGTTAAATACTGCTACTTATCAACTTTGTGGCCTGAGCCTAATTAGTCTCTTTGGACTCCAGTCTCCTCTTCTGTGATGTAGGAAGACAATACCAATTCTCATGGGGTTGTTTTGAAAGAATTAAATTCGTTATTTGTTCATTTATCTATTCGAATGATAGATCACGGAATGAGGGAAGTAAAGAAGTGCTGGGGTGGGGATTGGTAACTGATTGTAACAAAGTCAATGGATCAGAAGGTTTGCTGAGGTGAAGGATTTCTAGAATAGTGGTACTAAAGCAGGTGAACTGGTTGGGAAGTGGCCAAAGTATGATGCTTCAAGGAGGGATTTCAGAGGTGGTATGATTTGAAAGCCAACCTAACGGGGATGACAATGGGAGTAGGTAGCTAGGGATGTAGAATTAGAACTTTGGAAGCAAGGAAATTGAGAACCTGAAAAGGAATGAGCATGCAAAGTATCTAGAATTCAGTTGATCCTTAAAAAATACTAACTCTGAAATAGTGTAAAAATATAGAAATAGCAAACATAGGCAACATGTTTCTTGTTTACACATTAAAAGAGTGAAGGTGAAAAATCTGCCTGAGCGGCAGACAGTACATGTGAATACATCATAGTTGATGCTGCAGAAATGCATTTTCAAAGCAGAACAGAATAGTTCCTCAATCCAGCTTCTAGTCTCTGCTTCTGATATAACTCACTTATACTCAAAATACTTCTGCTAGAGGTAGTTAGGTATTAATTGCTTGTATAAGAGTATAGAACATAGTGAGGAGCACACACACAAGACAAAACACAAGTTAAGTAGAATAGGAAATGTTAACAAAAATTTCCAGGCAATATTTGCTGTCAAAAAACATCTGTATTACAGCTGTTCCTTCTGCCTACAAGGTTCTTCCCAAGCAATCCACATGTCTCAAGCCCTCACTCTGTTCAGATATCTGGGCAAGCATCACCTCATCAAAGAACTGCTCTGTCTATACACCCTGTCCCCCAATCACTCAGTCTCGCCTTTCTCTGCTTTACTTTTCTTCATAGCACTTACCACTACTGGATATATCATATATTTATTTATTTACTGTCTTTGTTTACCATTTCCCTCCCCTGAACTATAAGTCTCAACGAGTAGAGACTCTGTTCACTGTTTTATCTCTAGTACCTAAAACAAACCTGAGCAAACAGTAGAAGATTAATACATATTAATAACATTTTAAAAATAATCTAATAACTCTAAGGTCTTAAGCACTTAATAAAATGAATGGGTTCCCATTTTTACATGTAAAAGTCATGAACTAAGGTTAAAGTGTAGAAAATAAACTAAAATTTCTAGTCTACTGTTTTTTCCTTTTTACCAACCCTGAAGATGAGGGTTCAGGTAAAAAAAAAAAAAAAAACTATTTCCCTTAGGGCTCATGGCCTACATGTTTGTTAAATCCAATTTGCTCAGCTTGTAAGTTCTGTGGAATGCACTGTCCATGATGGTCCCTTCCAATGACACCAAATTTTAACCACCACAAAGGGAGAAAACACTAAAAGGAATTTATCCAAGCTGTCTCATTCGAATGAATGCTTTTTGTGAGTTGGTGGGGAGAAGGAGCGGATATTTCTTTACATGAATTTTATTGTTATTTATACTCAAGTTAAACAACAAAAATAGGAAACATTTTGAATCAGCATATGCCCAAAAACTAAACATTAAAATGGTGGTCCCACTATTCCTGAAACCAAACATTGGCTAAAATGAACTATATGCACCTTTAAGGTGAGCAAACACAAGAAGCCTATATTTAGCAAGGAAGTTAAAATGTTTGTCAGCAAGTCTAATATCTTAGAGGAAATATTTATTTCAAAAGTAATAACTAATGTGGTCATATTAATTAATCAGTTAACAGTTACAATGATGGAAACCCTTAAAATTCATATAAAAAACTGAAATTACATTTAGGCTGCTTGCATATTTCACAACTATATGTTTTCCAATGATCTATTAACCTAAACTAAAAATTAAATACACATTAATTCATCAACAGTGATATAACTTCAAGGCTGAGAAAAATGCACTAATCACAAAGAATTTCAATTAAATGATATCAAGGAGTCCAGAGAGAAGAAATATTTCCTGTGGGAGAAGTTCTAATTATAAATAACTGCGTATTGGTTTAAAGAGTAACATACACCTAGCTTTACCAACACTTGTGAAAAAAATTACACATTACATACTTTGTTCAAAGCCTAATATGAAAATTGTAACAAATCCTCTACTGAAAAAAAAAAAAGTGACTACCTGAAAAAGATTCATAACATCTCATTAACAAAGCAAAACTGTTAAACTGAAAAGGTTCACCTGTTTTGGTCTTCAGTTACAAACAAAAAAGCACTGATAATTCACTATAACAGCTTCTTAAACAACTAAAAAAATATTTTGTCAATTGAAAAAACATCACTGAATCAATGAGCTTTTGATCATTTTATTCACAAAATATAAGCGAGACTTACATCCCTTTCTGGTGAAAGTTTTCAAATAATTTTATGGGTAGGGCCTTGAGATGTATCAATTATAAAACATGTTAAAATGAAAACATTTTTTAAATTTACAAATACAAACCAATACTTTATACAAGAATTCTCTATAAAGTTCGTCAAAGTAAAAAATAATTTGTTTCAACTGAATATAAGGCATGTCCAGTTTATGTCATTTTGTAGAATTATTTTTGTTTTGCTGGAGACTTTTCTCTTCGCCGGTCCTGATTTTTCTTTGATTCTCTGGATTGTTCAGAGTATCTGCTAGATTTTTCCCATCGTCTCTCGGCACCATTTTGATATCTATCTTCATCACTTCTTGAGCCTGAGTGCTTTCTATTCATTTCCTTTGACTTTGATCTATCT
This sequence comes from Homo sapiens, assembly GCF_000001405.40. Classification (NCBI taxonomy): domain Eukaryota; kingdom Metazoa; phylum Chordata; class Mammalia; order Primates; family Hominidae; genus Homo; species Homo sapiens. Next base: position 179,945,310 of record NC_000002.12, read on the forward strand.
TTTCTTCTGAAATTTTCACTGTCTTTAATTCGGTGTGTATGCTTCTCATTTTCAGAAAAAGAATTTCTTCTCTCTCCTCTCTTCTTTTTGGGATCACCATGCTTATTTTCCAAATCTATATGCATTTCTTGGTCTCTGTCATTCGCAACTCTACTGTAGTTATTTCGTTCAGAAGGAACATCTTTGTCTGATGTGTACTTTGTTATAGGATCTCTCCAATTTGAACCACTTGAATTTTGATCTCTGTGTTTTTCTGACCTTCTTTCTCTCTCAGTCCTTGTTTCCTGGTGCCCGTGTTCTTGTCTTCTTTCTTTTTGTTTCCTATCATTTGTTTGCTGGTTTCTGATCAATTTATCTACCTCTTTACTTCTGGTCTTCCCATGTCCCTTCTTTCTTACATCATTAGCTGCGTGTGTAAAATAAAAGACAGTTAGCTTTTATTTCAATCTTAATTTCATAATTATAACAATCACATTTACTGATACAGTGTAGGTTTACTAACTCAGATAAACTAGGTGCAAAGCCAAATTGATTGAATAGAAAGTCTGATGACACAGAGTCTTACCAAATGCTTAATTTTATTTTATTTTTTGAGACAGTTTTGCTCTTGTTGCCCAGGCTGGAGTGCAGTGGCGCAATCTCGGCTCACTGCAACCTCCGCCTCCTGGGTTCAAGTGATTCTCCTGCCTCAGCCTCCCGAATAGATGAGATTACAGGCGTCTGCCACCATGTCTGGCTAATTTTCGTATTTTTAGTAGAGACAGGGTTTCTCCCTGTTGGTCAGGCTGGTCTCGAACTCCTGACCTCAGGTGATCTGCCTGCCTCGGCCTTTTAAGAATATACAATATTTCAGGCCAGGTACAGTGGCTCATGCCTATAATCCCAGCACTTTGGGAAGCAGAGGGGGTGGGGGACAGATTGCTTGCGCCCAGAAGTTGGAGACCAGCCTGGGTAACGTAGCGAAACCCCTTCTCTACAAAAAATTCAAAAAATTAGCCAGCTGTGGTGGCGTCAGCCTGTAGTCACAGCTACTCAGGAGCCTGAGGTGGGAGGATCAATTGAGCCTGGGAGGCAGAGGTTGCAGTACGCCAAGAATGCACCGCTACACCCCAGCCTGGGTAACAAAGTGGGACTCTGTCCAAAAAAAAAAAAAAAGGGGGGGGGGGAAGGGGAGGGGAGGGAGGAAGGGGAATATATAATATCTCAACATTAGTTACCAAAGTACTGTTTTGATCTCGAGATTTAAGACAGTAAACAGAAATTTTATAGCAAATGTAAAAATTTTAGAAAGCGACTCAAATGGTACATTTCTACTTAACAAATTGAATCCAAAAGCTGAAATTCCAGCCCATAGAGTGTTATTCATAGGACTATTAAGTCAGATCAAAATACAATGATCACCCAAACTAGCATTCACTTCCTAAACATAGGAGGAGTAGAACAACTGGGTTTGCTTAACAGCATGAACATATATTTCTCAATGAAAGGTCTCTTCCTGCAAAAACAATAGTTCTCCCCTCTGTTACTATCAGAGAGGCACTAACTGCACCAACAAGAGCAGATATGTTAAGATTTACACTCATGGGCTTTATTAGAGCCACAAAGGCTTAGTTTCTGTAGAAACTCTTCTGAAAAGACCTCAAACAATTTGATTTTGCTGATGTAATCACAACTATAAATACAAAATGGTTATACTGAAATAACCACTTTAAGCAATAAAACAAACTTAATCAGTTTATCTGTTATTTAATTTGGGTGCACAAATCAAAGATGCTAAGATAACAAAAATTTCTCTCAAATTCATACATAGGCAAGAAAGAGAAAATATGATAGAAAAGTGCCTCTTGTCACCCTAATTCTACCTAAATCTCACTGTACCAGCCTCTATTTCTTCCGCTAAATGCATATCTTTGGCACATGGTACAGTCAGTTGGTTTGCCACTAAGGACCTATTTCTCTGGTTCCTATCAAACAGCTCAGCTGAGCTGCAGCTACCCAAGCAGAAACCATCTGGCTCTGTGCTAAACCAGCGTCCCCTTGATCCTACTGTACACCACTGTCGGGCTTTACTGATATTAAAACCCAGCCATGTAACAAGAGGCAATCTCTTCTCCGTTTGCTATGTTTGCATTATAATTTCCTAATTTTGGGGCAGTTCATGCTGCTTTTATGCTATTTAGTATTTTATTAATAAAACAAAGTTCTCTACTGAAATTATATGAGAAGGCAAATTAATTTTGAATCAGCAAGCTTCCTTATTGCAGCAATTCATGCTGTGTTATCATCTGTTCTCAAAATGGATACCATGAAATAACAAATTCTGTAGAATATAAAAATGGTGAATGTTAAATGAACAATGTTTGTACACTTCAATTCATGAATAAAAGTTCCTGTAAGCAAACAATCTTTCTCTGATAATTAAAAAAACAGCCCCACAATTCTGGATGTCACACAGTATGTAAAACACTTTGAAACATAACAAGCTATGGAACAAAGGTGTAAAGATTGGCCTTTCAATTTAAGGCTACAGAGGAAAGTATTGATGCCATATTTGATGAAATATTGCATCCAAACAAAACAAAATGAGAAATGACATGCATGTAGGATAAGCAGACAATCCCTTATTTGGACCAAGATACTGTAATGAAAGAAAGCAGAGCTGACCTTGGGTAAAACAACACAGATCTTTTCAGAAACTGTGAACCAGATCAAACTTTGAAAACATCTTTTACTATAGCATTTCCACTTCCAGGTAGGATAGAGAAGACTGTGGCAAACCTGTGCTCCTGCTGAAAATAACTAGAAATGCCAGATACAATTTTAAAATGTTGCATTGAAAAATGTTGAAAAGCACACAGAAATCAAGTTGAAGGAACTCCTAATTGCCAAAGCTAAGATGATTTGAGCAAAATAAATGACAGTATTGGACTTTAACCCACAGGATAAGATAAATAACCGTGAGTCTATATTGATATTTACAGTTGACTAAATAAATAAATGAGGGAAGAGGGACAATACTTTCTTATAGAAGAAATTCAATTACTAGATGTAGAAGAAAACAGACAAATAAAAAATCACCATTAGGTGATTTTTTAACCATCCAAAGATGGATGTTAAAATTAGTGAGTAAAAGCTGGAGGAAAAAGAGATTTGCATAGTATCAAGTTACCTCCCTACAAGACATTTTCACAGAGAAAAATAGTTTCCCTGAAGACATCCAGTGGACACCACCTTACTCAAGTGATCAAGGTTGTCACCCAAAATAAAATTATGAACCTCTTGATAAGATGCACTAAGAACAACACATTGTTTCTAATGTACTCTTGCCAAAAATGTCTAATCTCATTCTAATAAGGAGAAAACATCAGACGAAACTCCATACTGAGGGACAGGTTACAAAATAAGTGACCAGAGGACTTCAAAAGTGTTAAAGCTATTAAGAACAAGGAAAGCCCGAGAGGAACTATCATAGAATGCAGAAAACTGAGAATACAATTAAATGCTAGCAGAATCCTGAAATAAGAAAAACGACATTAGTGGTAAAACTGGTTTTCAAATCACATCTGTAGTCTAGTCAATAATGCTGTTCCAATGCTAATTTCCTAGTTTGATAAATGAACCAGTGTTATGTAAGATGCTACCATTAGGGGAAGTTGGAATGAAGAGTATATGGAAATTCTCTGTACTGTTTTTGCAACTTTCCTAAATCTAAAATTAGCTCAGAATAAAAGGTTACAGTTACAAAGTAAAAAATATAAAGGCATCAGAGAGCTAGTGGAAAAACAAGTACTAGAGGGGCCAAGATGCAGGAGAAAGCAGAAACATTGAGAAGTAAGTGATGTTCTACAGCTACTTTCTCCCTGGGAGCATCTGCTGATTCAGGGATGCTACTGAGGGACAGAGACACCAGAGGTCTGGTAGCCTTGCAGGGCTAGAGAGACAAGAATGGGACTGGTTATTTGCAATACATATATGTACAAAAGATATCATATCTAGAATATGTAAAGAAAACCTACAAATCAACAGAGAAAACAACTTAACTAAAAAAAATTGGTAAAATACTTGAACAGCCACTTGACAACAAAAATCCAAATGGCCAATAATGGATAAAATGGCATTTAACTTCTCTAGTTGAAATGCAAATTAAAACTAAAACCGCCATGCAGTACCATTACACATCCACCAGAATGGCTGAAATGAAAAAGACGGTCAATTTGAAGTATTAATGAGAATGGGAGCTAATGAAACTCTTATACATGGCCGGTGGGAGTGTAAATAGGAATAACCACTTGGAAAACTGACAGTATTCACCAAAGCTAAATATATGCACATCTTATGACACACTGACTCCACCTATAGGTACATACCCAGTAGAAATGTGAATAAATAAATAAGGTCATCAAAAGATATGTACAAGAATATACATGGAAATATCACTTGAAAATCTAAAGTCTGTTGAGCAAAAATGATAAATATATATTGTGGTATATTCATATAGTAGGAAACTACATAGCAATATTACTGAATTAACTATAACTAAATGCAGTAATGCATCTAAATCTCACAAACATAATGGTAAAAAAATAAGCCAGACATAAAAAGGAGTCCATAATACATAATGCTAAAGGTAAAAACAGGCACAATTAATTTATGAAATTACAAATCAGAATAGTAGCTGCCATGAGGATGGAAGGAGTAGTAACTGGGAGAGGAAACACAGAGAACTTCTGGGGTACCGGTATATCTTGATTTGTGTGCTAGCTATGAGGATGTGTTCCCTTTATAAAAATTCATATAGCATCTGAGATCCACAATGAATGTATGATATATCTCAATTACAAACAGCTTTAATATTAAAAGTAAAAAACTAAAATTTATTTAAAATAAAAACATCAGGATAGCTCCTATAAACTAGATTACAAACATTATGAATGGATGGTTCATATCAGTCATCACTCAGATAAGTATCTGCGAATGAAATATTTTCATTTCTATGATGAGGATGTCAAAAGGTAATCCCAGCATTATAAATGTTGTATTACAGACTGCAAGAATGATAGATGGGACCATTTGTATTAATTGTGGCTTTTAAACAACTGATCTCTAAGACAAATAAACAATCAAATTATTTTCTTCCTTCATATATATCAGCAACATATTTATTAGAAAAGAGCAAGCCAAATTACACATAAGCTTCAATACCTGAGGCAGAGCTATGACTACTGATGGATGAAGAGTCGCTCTCTTCACTGGAAGACTCTGAACTGCTATCACTGCTGTCAGAATCAGAGTCGGATGAGTCAGACTCTGAAGAGGAGGACGCTGAAGAGGAAGAGGATGGGGAGGATTTATTTTGCTCAACATCTGGTTTCTGCGCCACAATGACCTTTGGTGTATTTTTGAGATGCTCCCGCAGTTCATCCCTAATTTAAAATATAATCTGTTAGATTCTATTTCAAAGACAATTATGAGATAATTTTATAATCTGAACATAAATTCTGAGAATAATCCTTACGTTAAACCTCCAAGACCTATAGAAGTAAAGAAGTTGATGGCAAACCGAGTGTTTCTTGGATTATCTCGGGGTAATAATCCTTCAAAGAATGGCTGCAGAGTTCTAAAAAGGAAAAAAATAAACAAAAGAGAACACATTGCTTAAAGATAAAAAGGTAAAATCCTTAGTCATTTTTCAGATTTTTCATATATTAAATTACTAAATGAAATACAACCAAGTAACTAGTTGATGTCATTTATTAGGTTAGGCTACGTGCTATCTAAATGAAATGAGTAGGGTCAAGTAATAATGTACCAAACTTGATTTCTATCATTATACAATGTAGGAGGTTTTTAAAAAACTTTTTTTACACACACACATATAGAAAGATAAATATATACACATATATACACGTGTGAATATATATAGTGTATATATATACACACACGTATATATAGTGAATATATGTACAAAAAATTTTAAAAACCTTCTCTGTTGTGTATGTACACGTACACACACATACATAGAACTGTGCCAAGTACTGGGGGAGAGGTGGAAGTCATCAACAAAAGGGAGAAATCAAGGATGAAGACCATATAATTACAATATATATGGAGTGAGACAACCAGAAAGACACTAACAATACAAGGTGGTTTTGGACATTTGGTTTTCAGCACCACACTGAGTAACTACTCAGTGGAGTCAGAAAAAACTTTCTCACAGAAAAAGGTACAATATAAGAAGAATGATTAAGAGTTTCCCAGATAGATCAATAAGACAGGAGAATGCCAGCAGTGGAAACTGAGGTAAGGAAGCATGAAAGAGCCAGATATGTTTAACAAGCTTGGCAGTGTTGGTATGGCTGGAGTGCAGCTTGCTGAAGAGAGAGAAGACGAGCCTGGTCAAGTAGACAGGGACCAAATAAGTAAGTATATGAAGCCAAGAGAAGTGGATGGAATAGTCCAGAGACAGTGTGTGGAACCCAGGAACACTGAAGAGGCAGGCTGAGGAGAAGACTGAGAGAGGAAGTGAGAAGAAAGTATGGAGCCACAGTGAGTAGGTAGTCAACTGCATAAGTGAGGCAGAGAAGTGAAGAGGCATGCAGCCTGAGAAAGACAACTGAATATGGCAGGTGGTCACTGAGAAATCTGAAAGGATGATTTCAGTAGTGTCAATGGAGTAGAAGTCAACCTAAGTGGCAATCTGAACAAACAGGAAATAAGAAAGGTGAGAGGGGATTACATAATAATCCTGAAATAAGGCTCTAGTTCTATGTAATATTTTGAACAATTATTAATAGATGAAATATATACTCAAAACTGTCCACTGATAATATTAGTTATCATTCTAAGGCTTAAAATTAGGGTAAAAAGAAAATAAAATTATAAATATCACTGGAGAATTCAAGTGAGCATACAAAAACAATTCTGTATTTTCTAAGAAAATCTAAAAAGGCATTAATTTGAACTCCACTTAAACTAAAAACCACCACTAAAAGTTGCATGTTGTCCTGTGTGACATAACATGAAATTCACAGTGATTAATGGATGAAGAAAGTCTCAGGGGGCTTAGCTCTTGTTTTTACAGTCTCGGATGGGCTTATGTCTGCTACAATGGGAGAAAACCAGAGGTCAATAAGAATAAAAAGTGCTTAATGGCAAACTTACTCATCCTTTAATCTTGCATTAAGTTTAGGAAGACCCATGTATTCACACAGTTCCTGGAAAAATATTTTGACAAAAATTCTACTGGATGATGTAGTGGTTTCTTCACTCAGTTTTATACATTCAAGAACCTGAAAATTAAAATAAAAAAAGACAAGTATATTTTAATTTATAAAAGACAGGACATAGTGACCAATATTTGTAGGTTTAAGTGTTTCTCAAAATTACTATTTATTCCCATCTTCAACCAGAGTTATCTCTGAATATCTCCCCTTATGCTGACATAAAGTTTAAAACTACTTCTCTATACTAACTTTCAAAATGTTAAGATGCGACAGAAATAGATTTCATTCTCTGTTTTGAGTAATGTGCTTTTTATAGCAGGGAAGATATCCTCTCTTGAGCATATAATGGTAAAGATTACTAGCTCCTAAACCTTACTCATCAAAATGTGGTGTATATGAAGGTTTGGGGCAAAATGCCACTTAGCACATTAGGCTACAATTTTGTTTAGCACACATAACATACGATTTAAAAAAAGACAGAAAGTATAATGGTTTATTCTGAATATTAAGACTGTGGCTTAAAAACTGAAATGCCTAAAGAAATATTTTTAGGGAAAATAAAAATAAAAGTAACCTCTAGTTTTTATGGGTTATGTGTTTGGGGGGCCCATTAGTTGGTTAATTGTTTAAAATTCTCACTTCATTTTCTCAAAGAGGGGAAAAAAGAAGTCAAAAATTATTACAATTAGTCTCCTAGGTTAGATTACGAATGCCTATTAATGTAGCTGGACATACTTGGTACTTAAAGTACTATAAAAATCTAACCAATGTTTTTAAGTTTGAGATATTGCCTCATTCTACCATTAGTAGGATGGCATTCTACAAGATAATCCTGTTCTTTCCTCCTGGATGTAATTTCTCATCCTTCTCTCTTTCTTTCTTTCAAATTCCTTTAGTAATTTTGCTTTTCTTAGAATCTAAGACTTTTTATTTTGTATCATTGCTATGGGCATATCTTACCTCTGGTCTTATACTGTAACCCTCTTGAAAGGAGGGGCCATGTATAATTCACTCTGAATACACAGCACCTCTCTCAATGACTCAGTATATAAGTGGTGGCTAACTAACACTGGTTGAAAAACAGCTGTAAAATCAATGCCAGCTTAATGAACGCCTTTCAAATTTCAATCCAGTGCACATTTCCCTATCAAGAATATATCTTTCTTTGTTCTATGACTATAGGATATCCTCTCTATAGCTTACCCAACTTCAATGTCTGCTAAAAAGAACACATCCTTCTAGAACAATCATTTTTTCTCAAACCCAACAAGAGAACCATGGAGAGTTATTCCCTCAGGAATCAAGGGAGAGTAATTCAGAGACACATTTACCACCAAAATAGTGGCATATGTGGATGTGAGTGTGCATGCACGTGTGTGTACACAGAGAAGATGAAAATCTGCAGTACTTTTCCTGAAGACACTCCTAGCCATCACTATCGAAACACTGGCATGTTTGGACTGTTAATATAATACAAAGATAGTATTTCTTGTATATTATTTACCTAGCTTTCTGATTCCTTATAACATGATGATAATCTCAAAGACAGCAGTTCTACACATTTCATTTTAAAGCACATTTCATAATAGGATAAATATGGCTAGCTTATACGAAAATCTATTTGAGAACAGGGAATTAGGAAGGAAGTATAAATATTGACCCATGTACTTACACTCCATGGAAGTGAATCAGTGTATAAAAGGTGAGCAAACATCTTAGCAACATTTCGCAACTTGTTTGTTTCCAAGCGATGGATGGTATCATACTGTTCTTTGAATATACCTTCAAAGGATTCCATGTACTCTTTCTTTAGCATGCAAAATCGCTAATAAATAAAAAATCAGTACCATTAAAAATTGAATGTTAATACAATTATGAGCATATTAAATCCTAAATTTACTGAATCAAAACTTTATTAATATGCTTTATATTTTCAAAGAGCATATATCACTAAATCCTTTTGTGCCATATGATGCTCAAAAAAGAAGTTAATATATATGGTTTCTAATTACCTGAGATTTACATGTTAAAACAAAATCATACATGTAGGTGATCACATGAGGGTAGAGCTTAAAGAAATATTTTAGATCATGCTTTAATTGTGCTGCCTGAACATGTACTTGACTTTAGACACTGCTTTGAGATTTTGAAAAGACAGCATTTACTTGTCGTCTATTGGGAAATCATTACAAATCATGGAAAATTCCAAAAAGCTCTGGAAAAGTGATATGCAAAGTTAAAGCACTGCAAAAATGAAGTAGAAAAAGAGGAAGGTGAAGAGAGTGGGAAACCTGAGGAAGGAGAGAATAATTTGCTTTTAGCAAAAGTGGTAATATGTTTTTAAATGAGACCAGACCATAAAGCAGAAATCATTAATTTACAATATTCGTTTTAAGAATTCCCTCAGTAGAGGCTGGAACTCACCCCAGCTAATAAGCCAAAAAATTTTTCGTATGTCCTCTGTTGGGCACAGCAATCAAGTATCATGTTGCAGAGTTCTTTCTATTTGGGAAAAAAAATACATTAATGATTCAAAACACAAAGAGACTAAATATTGTATAATTTACCAGTATGATAGTGACTGCCTGCATTTTTAAATAAGGGTTTAAAACAGTTCAAAAATTTTGTAAATAAAATAAAAACCTCAATCTATGTTAAACTCATCATTTTTTACAGGCTTGGGTCTGGCTGACAGCTTCCACAGTCATTTATGCTAATTACATTAATTATAAAATTCTAAATTCATGATAAGTATGAACCACATCAAGAAAATCTAGTATAGGAAACAGACATATGAGGGAGAGATTTAATACACTGCATTCTTAAAGGATTCTATGCAGAATTCTTTTAAATATAGACTCACCAACACAACATCTAACAATTCAGTTACATATGTCCCAAGGATATGAATTCAATTGCTAAGGAATATATTTAGCATGGAAAAGGCAGATCATTATTAGTCTTTACAGAGGCATAAGTAGGTACAACTTCAACGTTAACATAAAGTTAACGTTGATAAAGAAACATCAAAAAACACCTCTGTGGATGAATTTTCTCACCTCAAAATAAATGTTATTCATATAGACCTATCTATATGGATCTATACAAATAAATGGAATCATTCCATAACTGCTAGTATATTATTCCAATTAGCTATTCAGGCGCCATGTAAACCTCTCTGAAAATTCTGTTAAACTAATGGATAAATGCCCAGTCAAGAAATACTATCATCACAGATGATTTCTACTTAACAAATTAGTTTCTTAATTAATATATTAATTCCTGAAATAATTCAAATGAAATATGTATTGATTATAGCAATGTCATAGATGAAAAAACTCAAGCAACATAAGGTGAATAGAGACAAAATGAAAAAAGGTGTTAATTCATCTACGATCAGTGTAATCTTTTCTATAAAGATTTACCAGAAACTTAAAACAATTTTCCAAATAGAGTAACTGTAATATACTTGCTTTGTGCAAACAGAAAGCAAGCATATAAAAACGTGTTGCTTTTTAATTTTTACCTTTATATTTTCAATGAACAATTTTGACATTTTGTCATATTTACTAACACAGGATATAACCTAACTAAAAATAGTAAATATTTTAAAAAATTATATAATTAAGTATTTACTGCATATGTTAACAGTATTGTCAGAGACTCCAGAGGAGGACTTAGAGCAAGAGGTAGGAAGGGAACCTTGGAGAAGCACAGAACAGATACTCTAGAATTATGCTGTTCAACATGGTAGCCGCTAGCCATTATGGCTAGTGGCTATTTAAATTTAAATTATGTTAAATTATACATAAAATTAAAATTTTAGTTCTTCAGCCACATTACTAGTCATATTTCAAGTACTCAAAAGCCACATGTGACTAGCGACTACTGTACTAGAAAGTGCAGAATATAAATACTTCCATCAGTACAGGAAGTTGTATTGGACAGCACCGCTTTAGATACTGATACTCAAGGAACAATCTACTCAAAGCTCAAAGGCCTCACTTTACAACATAGGGCTGGCTACTTTCAGATGCCATTATATTGTGCTATATATATATATAAATATATATAAAAATAAAGATAAGTCTCAAGTTATCTCAAGTTATCTCCACTAAATGTTTATAAATGTGTAAGTTCTGAAAAGGTGTACTTTATCAAAATTTCATAAAGTACTAAAAACTAAAAAAATAAGGCTTTTCTAAATTCTACCAAATTATGTTAACTTCATATACGAAAATTCACTTTCAACTTTTTTTTTTTACCAACATTACATTTTATAATATAACAGTTAATCAGGTTTTAAACAACAAAACATGGTAATATGCTGATAGCACTGCTATGCACTACTTGCAAAACAAATTACCTTCTTCCCTAGACTAAACGCAATTATAAGAGTTATTCCCTCTAGCTTATAAGAATTAAATATTTTAACATTTTAATTATTACAGCAATTTTAGGAGTCTTTTGAGTACATGAAAATAAATGTACTAAGATACTTTTCCAAATATTATCAAAATATACTGAGGTTATTTCTGGAATAACTATCTTCTCAATGAATATTAATACAATTTATGATGGCTTAATTATCTTCCTCAAATAACATGACAAGATCATACAGTAATTTCAGTGACAATTATAATTTTAAGGGTTTTAATGTATTAATTTCCTTCCAATGATGGCATATCAAGCGTGGCCAGTGTACAAACAAGCACACTATTACTAATATACCAATAACAAAACTTTGAAAGGGAAAAAAAGGAATCTTTTACATTTAAAAAGATAATTTTTTGTCAAAATTCCATATCACTATATTTCAAGAATTAATCTATATTCTAGAACAAAGACTGGCAAATCTTTTCTGTAAAGGGCCAGATAATAAATATTTTAGGCTTTAGAGTCCATATGATCTCTGTCAAAACTACTTATTCTGCGGCTGTGGTGTGAAAACAGCCCATTGACAATATATCAATGAATGAGTCTTGCTATATTCCAATAACACTTTATTCATAAAAACAGGCAGCAGGCCTCCACCGCAGGCTGCCAACCTCTGTAACACATAAACATTTTTAAAGGCTTTGGACAAAGAATTTATATCTAACAGTAACTTAGCTCCGATAATCAAGAAGACCTAGAAGAACTAGAAACTGAACAGCCCATCAGAGCTGATACATTCACTCTGGCATCTGTGCCCGGTTTACCACATTTAAAGCAACGTGAGAAAAATACAATCACCAAAGCTATGGCTCAGTTTTTTCTAAGGATGTAATATCTAGATGGGAAGGAAGCAATATATATAATATACATTAGAAAAAAAAAAACAGAAGAAAGAGCAACTTTATCTACTTAATCTGATCTTTATTATCCTTGGCATTAGGGTTCTCATACTTTGAAAAGTGAAGTATATCAAGCTGTAAGACAGTGAGTCCCATGGAGCCAAGATGGAGCTATCTTGTGGTGTGCCTGACATATAGTATCTGCTGAATACATTTTCATTAAAGGAATTAATGAATGAAGACTGGGAGTGGTGGCTCACGCCTGTAATCCCACTGCCTTGGGAGGCCGAGGCAGGCAGATCACCTGAGGTCAGGAGTTTGAGACTAGCCTGGTCAACATGGTGAAACACCATCGCTATTAAAAACACAAAAACTAGCCAGGTGTGGTAGAGGGTGCCTGTAATCCCAGCTACTAGGGAGGTTGAGGCAGGAGAATTGCTTGAACCTGGGAGGCAGAGGTTGCAGTGAGCCGAGATCATGCCACTGCACTCTAGCCTGGGCGACATAGTGAGACTCTGGCTCAAAAAAAAAAAAAAAAAAAAGAATGAAGAAAATTATATAAATTTTTCTATATCCAACTAGAGCAATGTAATATGTGCTGTGATCTTTATCTTTTCTACTGCAAAGAATGCGTTAGTCACAAGCTCGCCCAACCTGTGGCCAACAGGCTGCATGCAGTCCAGGACAGCTTTGAATGAGGCCCAACACAAATTCATAAACTTTCTTAAAACATTATGTTTTTTTTTTTGCAAATTTTTGTTTTTTTAGCTCATCAGCTATTTTTAGTGTATTTTATGTGTGGCCCAAGACAATTTTTCTTCCAATGTAGCCCAGAGAAACCAAAAGATTGGATACCCCTGCAGTGCATCCAGAAGATGGACCACATAATCCATTAAAGAACAAATTTCCTACTATATTCAAGTCAAAATTTGATTTATAGGCAACAACTCAGAAATTCTACATAAAGTGCAGTGTTTCAGAGACTCTCTTTTTACCATATCTCATTTGAGCAGAAAATTTAATTCACTGGAGTGAGCAATATATCTGAAACACCCTAAGCTTTGTGTTAACTTAAAATGATATAAAACCTACATTAAAAAATAAATATTTAGTACTGAGGTATTGCTTCAATCCACAAAACTTACCCATTAACAGCCTTAAACATTTTTAAAACCAATATATACATTTCCTAATAGAAAAAGTATTAACATACTGTTTGGCTTTCAGGAAACTCCATTTTCAGCAATTTGTGAGCACATTCTTCAAAATCTAAACTGTGGAAATGATCACAATAGGTTAAAAGCTTGCAACATAGACTGTACACTCTTATACACAAGAATCTTACTTTAATAATGGTTTTAAATCATCTTTTTTAACTGTAATTTCATATTGTTGTACTGTGTATATAAGGAAAATATAGCTCTTAACTCTAGAGATAAGTGCCAATACATACAACATGGATGAATCCTTGAATTATGCTAAGTGAAAGAATCCTGACACAAAAGACTACATATAGTATGATTCCATTTATACAAATATTCAGAAGTGACAAATCTATGGACACAGAAAGTAGATTAAATGAGTAGAAAGTGACTGCTAATAGGCTCAGGGTTTAGTTTAGAGTAATAGAAATGTTCCGGAATTAGACAATGATGATGGTTGTACAACTTTGTAAATATAATAAAACCACCTGCAGTCATGCATCGCTTAATGACACGGTTATCTAATGAGAAATGCATTCTTAGGAAATTTTTTCATGTGAGAACATCACAGAGTGTATTTACAAAAACCTAGATGGTACAATCTAATATACCTAGGCTACATGCTATGGCTGTTGCCCCTATGCTACAAACCTGTTCAGCATGTTACTGTACTTCTGAATACTGTAGGCAACTGTTAACACAATGGTAAGTATTTATGTATCTAAACACACTAAACATAGAAAAGGTTTAGTAAAAATATGGTATTATAATCTTATGGGACCACCATTGCCTATGTGGTCTATTGTTGACTGAAAAACCATTATATGGCGCATGACTGTAAATGTACACTTTAAAAGGGTGAGTATCATAGCATGTGAATAACATCTCAATCTTAAAAAGGCAAAAATAAAAATAAGAGGTATATGCATTGAATTGTATTACTTTCTCAAACCAACCAACTTCAAGCCATAACTAATCAGATAAAAGGGTTTCTATTCTATGTGATTTTCTTCATTTTAAGAAACAAAACACATGATGTGTAAGTTTCTCTCATTTCTGCAATCAGATAATGCTTATCGAATGTTTTCCCACTACAAACTGGTCACTCAAATATGACGGTAGTAAATTCTTAAGTGTTAGCAATATCTTTTCCTTCAAGCATTGGAGGATAATAACTGTATATAATGAATTTATTAAATGTTCTGACTTGATAATCCCATATTACAGCACAAATCTAAGTACTCTAAATCTGGGTAATCAGGTCCAGATCTCAAAGAGTGCTTCCCAATGCTCAAGGTTTTAAAGAGACATAGCTGTTCTGTTCTACAATTAGTTGTTAAATAAATCTAAGAAAGAAAAAAATCAATAACTCTATTCAAAAGCTTAGATAAAACAACAGGTAGAATGGTTAACAATGAGGACAAAGAAATAAAAGCTTTTAAAAGTTAATACTTTAAAAAAATAATTACAACTACCTAACATTTTTAAGAAATACATTCTTATTCACAAATGTACACGTAAATTAGAAACAACTGGAGGTAAAAACACCTAAAGGATACTATACTGATTTAGGTTTATACACAGGATTTCAGAAGGATTTAGAGACAATCTAATATGACTCTCATTTTTATAGATGAGAAAAATGAGACTTAGGTATTAGTATTTGAAATTTGCTCCTGGCCACATCGTCCCAGAAGTAGAACTTGAACACAGGAATATTTACACTTTCTCACCCAATATTGCATAAGAAAAGGCTATAATTAATACTTAATTTGAAAAGTCATTTCTTGAAATGTATATCACGTGCTTAGAGAAGCCAGGAAAAGTCCTAATTGAGACAGCAGCAACCACAGGTCAAGTTTCTCTGCTTACATTAAAATCTCAGTGTGGAAGAGTAAATGATATATTATTCTATCATAACTCTATCTACTTTTACTAGACATTGCCGATTTCTTATATTTTTCTATACTGCTTCCAAGAGGTGAAAGGCGTACCAGGAGTTCAGCATAACATTAGTGCTTAATCACTACTTTTACAAGTTAGCTTGGTTCATCCTAAACACAGGGCATCTACATTTTATAAATACCGCATATAAAAATAGTAAATATAAAATAACTTGCAAGAAAAAAATATGCTTTTACCCAGTATTCATATGCACAGAATTTAAAATATCATCAGTATAGTTCACCTAAGAGAATTAGCAAACTCAATTTGTTAATTGTTTATTGATTCAGAAATAATGCTACTATATTTGCATTTCTGTGGAATGACCACACCCTTACTTTTGATAATACAGCATAAAATCATCACTAAGTAATGATTATGGACTTAGTTTTGCAGTTCATCTATATTCCTCAGCTTCTATTACTTAGAGGGTTTCCTAAGCACAACAGGGTAATAATCCAGGATGGTACAAGGCAATGAAATAAAAAAGAAACCTATCAGGAAAGAGATTATATAACAGATAATATTAAACAGTATCTAACATTAAGATTAAAATACTAAACGGTAATTGATACATTTTAATAATACAGCAAAACCAAAAACATTTAAAACAGATGTGACTTTTTCTTTTCCAGCTCTTTTAAAAAACGAAATTAGTACTGAGACAAAATCCTGAAATTTCTGAAAAACAGTCGAGTAGTTGATGAAGAAATGTTACTACTTTTCTTTTATCTACTAAGTGAAGTATCAGGGAGAAAGCTATATGACAGTCTGTTTTTCCTGTTCTTATTTTATTTTGAAAGTATTTAATGACCCCCCCTACACCAAGACAGTTTTTAGGTTGTACTAATTATAAATATTAAATGAATTAAATTTTCTTGATATTTTAGTTCTCATCTTAGGTTGCTAAACCAAATGAGTTTCAGGTTTAACACAAATTAATAGCAATTGAGGAGAGGGTAAAGAAAAAAGAAGACATTTACTGAATTACTGTCTTCTTTACATGATGCCAGATTCCAAGTTGTGTTTACAAATGGTTTTGTTGATGTGTCCAATATCAGAAACTCTAAACAGGTGGGGACATGGCAGTCCATCTCCCACTGATGTTACAACTTCAATAAAATAAAATCAGACTGGAATATCGTTTAAAAGCAAGAACAAAGAGGAATGTTTTATTTTTAATAGCAAAGGCAATTGTGTAGTTTAATGTTTTATGCATATAAAAAAGGGTATTTAAGGAGCCATAACAGAAGGAAGATAAGACTACTGGTGAGATTAGTCAACAAAAACAAATTTAAAAAATAAAATTTCCACACAGTTCAGTTGCCAGAACTTCGTTTTTGTTCACAAGATTTTCAAAAGTGGACTGTTTAAGATGCCCTCATAGCCACCTGGCTTGATTATTACATCCTATTCCTGATTTTTAGCCTGGCATATAATAAACATAAACCTCCCCTTAAGATAATCACTGTTGATATGTTAACATATTACTTCTAGAATCTGCCTATTTTTACAGTTAAGAAAATACTACAAGCACAATTCTATATAGTTATATAGTTTTTATCTGACTTAATATTACATCACACTGTTTGCTCACATTTAAAACAATTCTCTATTAACCTAATTTTCAGTGGTGGCATAGACTGGATATTTTGATTATTTGTGGTAGAAAATAAGATTGTCTCCATTTTTTTTTTGCACTAAACAATTCTGTATATAATTATGTGTCCATATTTATATCTTTAGGAAATACAGTAATAAAAACAAGGGTCAAATAGCATGAACAAAAAGCCCTTGATTCACATTACGTAGCAGGGTGGCTATAGCAAATAACAATGTTGCCAGATTTTGAATGTTGTTACCATAAAGAAATGATGAATGTTTAAAGAGATAGATATGGTAATTACCCTGATTTGATTATACAATGTATAATCACCCTTAGGGTATAAATATGTACAATTATTATGTGTCAATTATAAATAAAAATTAACTAATTAAAATTAATAATGTTTAAAAAAAATAACAAAAAATCCCCACAGAAAATCAACATCTAAGACAGGAGTTACTGCTACTAGGACTGACACCACTATGTAGTAGTGGCTATTACTTGTTTTTTAATGCTTTAATTTTTCAAGTCCTTTGTGTGATTCAGAGATTATCAAGGTTACGTTTCTTTTAAATAATTATTCAAAGAGCTCCACTGTAACTCTTCAAAGTTAATGTAACTGCAATACTAACACAGTAAATCTGCTGCTCACAACTGATGACTGTTGGATTTCTAAAAGGACAAACAAATGAAAGGTCAAACCCAAAGAATATTCACCTCTGAGAAAATATTTCTCACTTTTCACTTTAAGTTTATATGAAAAAATATTTAATACTTTTTTTTTTTTTTTTTTTTTTTTTGAGACGGAGTCTCGCTCTGTCGCCCAGGCTGGAGTGCAGTGGCGCCATCTCGGCTCACTGCAAGCTCCGCCTCCCAGGTTCACGCCATTCTCCTGCCTCAGCCTCCCGAGTAGCTGGGACTACAGGCGCCCGCTACCACGCCCGGCTAATTTTTTGTATTTTTAGTAGAGACGGGGTTTCACCGTGTTAGCCAGGATGGTCTCGATCTCCTGACCTCGTGATCCGCCCGCCTCGGCCTCCCAAAGTGCTGGGATTACAGGCGTGAGCCACCGCGCCCGGCCATATTTAATACTTTTTATGTGAAGAGAAAATAAGTAAGGATAAAGCAAAAAAATTCCCAACCAATGTTTTGCTGTTTAACGTTCCTCTATTTGAAGATAAACCTAAAGCCAAAAAATGTTCAGACTGAAAACAGATGACTCCTACTTATGAATCATTACTGCTATTACATCATCCTAAATGGAAATATACTAAACCTAGTAATGAAAGAAAACTGAGAAAACATTTCTCCTCCAGTGTAAAATGTAAACAGTGTGCCTATTAAATCAATAGGTTGATTCACATACAAACTACCAGATGCACTAAGATTTAACATCCTCATTTATTTCTCTTCAAAACCAAATTCACATCCTTCAAAGGGAATAGGTTTTGTTTTCATGACATCACATCACACTACTTCTTACTTAGCATTACTTCAAAGAGTCCTCAAAATCTTCCTAAGTCTAATTCCTATTTCTGTTTATACTCATTGACATCTGCAGAGCAAATCACTGTCCAACAGTCATCACAACAGTGCTTCTTTGCCTAGAATCAGAACTAGAAACCAAATTTTAAAAATGTTAAATATTACATTTTCATTATAAAATTAGGTACTCTGCTATCTTGTAAAACAGAATTATTTTCAAGTTTTTATTAGTGGCACTTAACTATAAGAAATGATATAGCTAAAAAACCATTTAATTAGGTAACACAATTAGACCTTCCCATTAAGTAAAAACAATTTGCCTATAAAGCAAAGAACCAACAGAAAGGTACTATGAGCTTGGGCATGGGATGGGGGAGAGAGTCTAAGAATGCTGAAATGGTGTCCAGTTTTCTGTTATGAGACCCTAAAATGTATCCCTGATCTCTTTACCCATCCCTTATCAAAAACAAAAAAAGGATGAACTGAGATATGATGCCTTACCTTGACTGAATAGCAAGATAAATTGTACGACGAAATGAGACCAGGTTAATTTCTGTTTTGTCATGAATAGTTACTTTTTGTCCTGAAAGAAACATAACAAAATTACACAACTGCAAAAATAAATGTGATGAAGTTAAAATGTAACTCTGTATAGCATTTTCTTCAAAAATCTATTTAGAATCAATACAAATTTAATAATATTATCTTTTTACTGTGTAAATTAGTATTTATAGAATTGAAAGTAACTATTTCAAGTCTTTTGCTATATGACAATGTTAGCTCAAAGAAGTCCAGTACCAAGCCAAGAAAACTATTTTTGTTTATCTGTTATCTGCTCATTTAGACACTATAAAAGGCTGCACTCATGCTGTTGTTTGGTAAAATATTATTTCTAGAGTTATAAACAATATCTTGGTAATTTAGACGCACTGTATAACTCATGCGTAAAAATTCAGTTGCAGAGAACACTAGATCATCACGACAGGCTGGATGAGTCCAACATAAATACATATATTTGTTAAAATTTTCTCTTATTTAATGCATGAAAACTTTCCTTATAAACATTTAATAGTTTTTATCTGAACAGTAAAATGTAGTACATGGATAGAAGATAATTTTAATAAAAAAAGTTGGAAAAAATTAAATCTATTTTTACAAAATATGTTATAGAAGAAGAATTGTACTATAAGACAGAGTATTTATTATGCCCTAAAAGGCAAATGTATACTTTTAATATCTTCACACATGCAATACATGTAAATAATGACCAGTTTATTTATGTTCTGATGTATTTATTAACTGTGCCTTAACCAAAGTAAAGTTCCGAGCTTATTTCTGTGAAATAAGGTAATCAAAGCTGAAGAGGAAGAACATACTACTTCTGTGTAAATATAGCTTTTGGCATCTTCACTCTATTTTGCCAAAATGAACAGCAAATATGCAGTCACTCTCATTTGTCACATTCCTGCCAGGGCTACATAAATCACATGAACTCAATAAGAAAACATGTTTTTCATTGTCTAGAATATAATCAAAGGCATAATATACTAAATTAAAATTGTGCTGATGTTAAAAAATGAATTTGTTTAATACTTTTTGAGCAGTTTCTCAGTCTTGGCAATACTGGCATTTTGGGCTAGATCATATCTTGTTGTAGGGGGCAGTCTTGTGGTTTGTAGGCTGTTTAACAGCAGCCCTAGTCTTCACCTCCTAGACGCCATCAGCAGCTGTCCTTGCTCTCCCCAAAGATTGAGAACTATTGTTTTAGAAGATTACATTAGAATTAATTTTAGAGTATCTTATAATATTATTTGAATATGCTACATGTTTACCTTCTTCATCTTCTTCTCCCTCTTCCTCTTCTTCTTCCTCGTCCTCTTCACTACTCCCAGCATCCTGGTCTGTGTTCGAGTCAGTATCTCCCTCATCAAGAATTTCTGTAAAGTACAAAGTAAGTTTAGGAAAAAAATGTGCAAGTCATATACATGTATTTCATTCTAAGAAGATAAATTCTCAGTTCGTTGAAATCCACTGTGGTGTAACAGTTTGCTAGCCAACAAAGATAACCACCAAGCCTCGTGTTATTGCCTAGGTTGTCAAAAAGCATTATAACTGATTTGACTAAAGAGAGCTGTATGTATCACTCTTCTGCCACATAAAAAGTGTCCATGAAACAAGGAGATGAAAAAAACAAAGAAAAAGTAGACGATGGTTTTTGAAAAGAGCAAGAGCACTGGCAAATATTAGGAATAGAAGTTAGTATATGGGAGTCAAAATATTGTTTCATCATCAGAAAGAAGACAGTCCATTACAAAAAGTTAAGGCTAGATACAGAAAACAAGAATTTAGGCTAAGAATGTACTTGGAAAGACAAAGAAGGGAGAGAAAATAATTGCATAATTTAGTGTTCACTTGAAATAAATAGTAATGAGATTTTTATTAAAATACATATCTCTAAATTGAACATTACAATAAATTCAAAGACTTTTCATATATAAAACAGAAACAGAAGTTTAAAAGCCTTTAAGACAACTGGTAAGACAAGCACTGTATTAGATGATCACTTTTAAAAATACAAATGATATATTCAGAGCTGGATGAAAATAGTGATGTATATGAGACTACATAAGGCCAGTCATTATGTTAAAAGCAAACAAATGACAAAAACTAAAATTATATTTTGTCCAATGGTGCTCTGTTAGCCTGATAAAAGACTTTGCATACCTGACCAACTCTTTACTTTCGCATTTCTATTATAATCAGAGGGTTTTTAATACAAAGTTCTGGGACCAATTCACTTTAAGAAAAATTCTAATTTCTTTATATTTAAGCAGTATAAATCAGGAGACACATAATGAAAGTTAGCAGAGAACTTCACATTATGAGACACAAATCATTTTACAAAAATGAAGAGTAGTCATGCAGCCCTTATCTGACATATAAATCTCAAGAATATTTCAAACAAATGTGAATTCAAGAGATAATCTGAAGTATCTAGTTTATTACTATGCAACATGGCTTAGACAGACTTTTAAAAGAAACTATTTAGTATTCAATAGTAGGAAGACAGGCATTCCTGCTGTTTTCCCAAACGCTGTTAAGAGCTAAAACACAAGTACACCTGGGTCAGTCGAAGGTGCTAATTACTAAAGCTGTGCCCACTTCCTGCTGGGGCCATTTTTTTATGCCAGCTCTAGAAGAATGTTTTACAAAACAATGAAGGTCAAATGAATTGTCTAATCATTTACATCATCCTCTTCTCATCTCTCCACTTTAGACTCTACTTATTAGTATCACTTAGGCAAGGACAATTGGATTTCATTAACTGAATAAAGGAGTGGTTTCAAAGCATGGTCTAGGAGTCCATCGGGGATCACTGAGACCTGTGAGGTGGTCTGGAGGTCAAAACTATTTTCATAATAATACCAAGACAGTATCTGCCCTTTCACTGTGCTGACATCTGTGATGATGATCCAAAAGCAATGGAGGTTAAAACTTCTGTAACCTAAGCACTAAACAAGGCATCAAACTTCACTAGTAATCAATGTATTCTTTACTGCCACCCTCTTGAAGTAGAAAGCCAGTTTCATCTGAGAATGTCCTTGATGAATTTTATTAAATCTCAGCCCTGAATATAGGACTTTATCCTAATCTGAGTGATGAAATATAAAGTTCATATATATAGCCCTTCTGTTAAAGACATATATACAATGGTGACAGTTATGTCAAGGAAAACCACTTGTGTGACTGCTTGCTTTGCAAGATGAATTAGCTATTTTTTTCATTTTTACTTGAAAAAAATGGCCAACTAACTATAGTTGTTAGATATTTGGCCAACAATTTCTCAAATGCAAACAAACTGAGACTGTCACTTTGGGGAAAACAACTAACAATATCTGCGATGATGAAAACATTAGGGTTTTCAAGAATTTTGAAAAACCTATATCCATCTCTGTGAGCTTGTGAGTTCCCCGACACTTAGATTTTTTTGGACGAGAGCGGTGGTAATATTATTAAATGTGCTATCTAGGTATTATATCAACATGTTAATTTGATCTTGATAATATTAATGTTAACATTTAAAAGATGTGCATAACTCAGCGAATTAGTATTTTCTAAATGACTAATGCAACATTACAAAATCATGCATGAGTAAAAGATTTATTTAAAGTGACAAATGGATTCTAATGCAACACTATCAAAGTTCATTGATATTGTTTCAGAATTCACACTGCAATTAATCTTAAAATTACTAGTTGTTAAATATTGGCATTTATCTGAAAAGGCTGTTAAAATATTGCTCCCTTTTTCTAACTACATATCTATCTGGGGCTAGATTTTCTTCACATACTTCAATTAAAACAACCTACTGCAATAGATTGAATGTAGAAACAGATATGAGAGTCCAGCTGCTTCCCATTAGGCCAGACAGTAAACTTTACAAATAAAATTTTATAAAATATATATATAATACAAAATATAAAAAACACCATTCTCACTAAATTTGTTTTGTAAAATAACAATTTTTCTTTTTTTTTTTGAGACGGAGTCTCGCTCTGTCGCCCAGGCTGGAGTGCAGTGGCGTGATCTTGGCTCACTGCAACCTCCACCTCCCCAGTTCAAGCGATTCTCCTGCCTCAGCCTCCTGACTCGTTGGGATTATAGGCATGCACCACCACACCCAGCTAATTTTTATATTTTTAGTAGAGACAGGATTTCACCATGTTGGTCAGACTAGTCTCGAACTCCTGACCTCGTGATCCGCCCACCTCCGCCTCCCAAAATGCTGGAATTACAGGCATGAGCCACCATGCCCGGCCCGTAAAATAACGATTTTCATAAAAATATGTAATTTATGTTAACATATACTAGGTTTGCTATTATTCTGAAATAATTTAATAAATATTCTTTTATATTGTTTTAACCTTTAATATAGTAAATAGCAATAGATACAACCCACATAAAAAGAAGCTCTTTGGAGTTGCCAATAATTTTCAAGAGTGTAAAGGGATCCTGAGACGAAAGAATTTGAGAACTGCTATAATAAAAGAAAGTACTACTTTCCAGGCATTGGCCAATTGCCTAGATGCTAAAGAAATGGATAGAGAATTCTCAAGTTTAAAAAAGAAAGAAATCAAATCAGGTGTATCTAAGAATTTCACAAAAAACATTTGGCATTTTTCAGGGAGACTGTAGGAAAAGAGGTTCATAAGAAAAGAAGGCAAAATGGATCTATGGAGTTCTCTGTTTGGAAATGAAATTATAACAGAAAAAAAGAATCTGGCATATTACAGTGAAAAGCTCCTAGGAAATCAGCATCTAAGAAGAGAAACTCATTATTATAACAGGTTTTTAGGATAATGCAGAGGAATGGAAGATTTCTCCCAATTTTACTTTTCATTTCAACCTTCTACTTCTAAGCACTACTGAACAATGGAATGCAGACAGAGACAGAGTTCTAGGTTTCTGCTTTCTCTGTATATGAGACTACATAAGGCTGGTCTTTATGTTAAAAGCAAACAAATGACAAAAACTAAAATTACATTTTGCCCAATGGTGCTGTTAGCCTGATAAAAGATTTTGCAAAGCTAACCAACTCTTTACATTTCTATTATAATCAGAGAGCTTTTAATACAAACTTTTGGGGTTTAATACAAAGGTAAATTTTATTGCTTCCACAGCAATAAATACTTCTCCAGTAAAATTACAACTCAAGAGAAATAAGCCCATAAAATTATTATGTAAGTAGGCCTGAGTGTTAGCTTTAGGAGGAAAATAATACAAATGTGAAAATAGTAACTAATAATAGCTATCATTGTAGGTGATAATACACAACACTGTGTTTTATATATCCTTCCATAGAAAGGTAACATTTAGTCTTCCAACAAACAAGTAACTTGCTACAGGTCACTCAGCTAGTAATGTCAAAGATAAATTACACATCAAAACCTGTCCAAAGTTAGTACTTACAATATACCAATGATGTACAAATGAAAATGATCAATTTATTTTATCAGAGAGGCACCAATACTATGATTCATCCTACCAGAAGGATATTAACCTGACCTCAAGAAACAATAAAGTATAGCACTTTACAATAAAGTATACCACTTAATTGAATACTAAACTGGGTGGCACAGAATGTAAATGGTAGAGAAGCTAAATAAAGGCCACCACTAATCTATGAATATTTCTTAAGATGGGTGAGACGTAAGTGTTGCATAGTTTAGAGGGAAAGAGGAAAGAACAATGGGGTAAGTAATTCAGAATGAAGTAAAAAACCCTGGGCAAGCACCAGGAAAAAAATAATGCCCGAGGAAACAGCTAAGAGAATAACTTTATAAGAGCAGCGATTCATTAGGTGGGGATCTCTAAATATTTGCTATCAGTATTACGTAACTACTTAAATTGCTTCTACTTATCCAAACTAAATTATTTTATAAAATTTTACATACCTTTCTTAATAGCTTTGTACTTCTCTTCATTCTCCATAAAATTAGGATCCATCTTGAAAACATCTAAAAAAAATGTAAAAGTTAATGTTTATTTTCTATATTTACATTTGTTGGTAAGCCTCTTTCCAACTAACATGCCCCGGACTTACTAAGAACATCTTCTGGATTATAGTCATCCTCCAGAGGGAGCATATGAGTGAATTGATCATCTTCTTCCACCAAATCAAGACCTTCTAGGATAATGGGGTGGTCCTTGAATCCATCTTTCCGTACAGCAAACATCACTTCAATCATATATTGAACTCTTTTGTCAATTTCAGACTCATGCAGAATGTTTCGAAGGCGTTCAAATATAGCTAAAAGTTAACAGAAAGAAAAGACAATAAAATAAGCAATAAATATAATAAAAACTTAACATCAAACTATGAATGTACACTTACCATTGATTCCTCTTGGTGACACTTGTGTTAATTTGAGGCCACATTCCTTAAGAAAACCAATAGCTACTTCAACGCTATCATCTGTTGGTCTTTCCAGGAGCAAAGTGAGCATCTCTAAGCATAATACTTCGTGTGCCTTAAATAAAATACATATACAAGGAAGAAACAAAATGCTTTTACATACATTAAATTATTTTTATAATTTCTAAAAATTAGTAAATCTGTTTACAATAATTATATTGCACATATGATGGGCAAAGTTTTATAAAGCACATGGAAATACTCCAAATATGGGATACAATTTTTCTATCACTTTTATTATCTGTCTACTAAGAATTTTCAGATGACTGTTTCAAAAATCTTAATTTTCTATGCTGAATACAACTATTTGAATTATCTTCAGAAGAAATATTCTTAGCCATTATGTACGGAAAGTGTCATAGATAAAATATGTTAAAAATCATATACTACTTTCTAATAAGGTAATTATTTTCATAATTACTACATAAGAAATAGTAATATGATTTATAATACCCTTCTCCATGATCACAATTCTTTATATACATTTCCCAATTCATTCTATCAGCAACTCTATTAGACACAAATAGTCCTTAAGTTACATGAATACTAATTTTATCACAAAATATCTTAACAACTTCTGGAACACAACAGTTTTGAATAGTCTATCTTTTTTTAAAAAATTAAATCAAACTATTACTGGCCACGTTCAAAAACTGACATTTATAAACAATGCCAGGAAGAGTGGGAATAAAATTCTATTGAGAAGTTTGCTAAGAGAAGAAAACGAACAACAAAGAATGTTTAAAACACCATACATATGCCTTTCTAAAGTCAGACAGTGATTTAAGATGGTGAGGAAAGAAGTCTAAATCTCAACTCAGGAGATATCTTCTTCCAGCTGTGCACAACATCAAAGACACCCACTACTTCTTTTTACTAGGGGAGGAGGGGTGTCAAACAGTCTTAGGTCAGTGACAAGAAAATACTGCCCTGTACCACAGCTGGAAGATGCAAAAAATTTATCATATCGAGTGTTTCATGGCAATGCCAAAAATCTCTAGTCTAAGTGTAATACACATTTAAAAACGGAAATATATCTCTGGTTACAGATGTGAAATTAAGTTTCCATGGTCTTAAGTAGCAAGTTATCACTGTAATAATATGATGACTAATTAGGTCAAAATCTAAAAGATTTGTAAGAGTGAAAGAATTTTCATGTAAATAAGAATCAAAATATTTAATATTAGTGAAATAAGACTAAGCATGACTTTAAAATTCTTCCTGTTATACATGATATTAAATTGGAAATGATAATATATATCTGAAGGAAACTTTTGAGTATGAGCAAGGACAATTTTAGCATTTTCATGGTTAAATAAAAGCTAAATCAAAACCATCAAATAATGAATATAAAATAAACACAAACTGAATAACAGCATGATAAAATTACCTGCATTTGAAACAGATTAAAATCGATCAACTCTATTCTATCAAGTGATTCTAAAAATATATGACTATACCTGTGTGGTTGCAAGGAATAGAGGTTTTTGTAGAATATCAGATATTTATTAGATTCTCATGAACAGCAGGGAATGAAGTGGAGGAGATACCAACTTTATTGTTTTATAAAAATGAAGGGAATGGTTCTTCAAAGGAATGGTTTGCAGTCAAGTAACCATGTACAGTATTAAGTCAGATTAATTTGATAAATATCTAAAGTGTTTTGATCAGCATCAAAGTGTTATATTAAAGAATATTAAATATGGCCAGGCGTGGTGGCTCACACCTGTAATCTCAACACTTTGGGAGGCCGAGGCTGGTGGATCACGAGTTCAGGAGATCGAGACCATCCTGGCTAACATGGTGAAACCCCGTCTCTACTAAAAATACAAAAAAAACTAGCCGGGCGTGGTGGCAGGTGCCCGTAGTCCCAGCTACTCGGGAGGCTGAGGCAGGAGAATGGTGTGAACCCAGGAGGCAGAGCTTGCAGTGAGCCAAGATTGTGCCACTGCACTCCAGCCTGGGCGACAGAGTGAGACTCCATCTCAAAAAAAGAAAAAAAAAAAGAACATTAAATATATTTATTATAGTTTTAAAATGAAAATATCATCCAACATTTTTATCCCAAGGACTATAAAGCAAAGCAAAAATAGAGAGGTATCAGTGAAGTGGCATCAACCCTCTGGTCTAATGCCACTGAATGGGACCAAGTATTGAAGATAATTACTTACCACATTTTGGTTAATAAGATGCGCCACAAATTTTGAAGCAGTCAGGCAAAGTTGCTGAAAAATAAAGGTGGAAAGTTAACCTATAAACTAAACCCAATTTTCATTTATTTACATAATCTATGGCCTACTAACATCATCTATTTAAAACATGTACCACACAAGTATAATTTTTACATTATAAGAAAGTTACAAAATAAAACACATGAAAGAGTATCCCTTCTGGTTAAATAGTTATAGTTCTACAGTTATAGCCATCATTTTTGTGGCTCATCAATAGTGGCCAGGGATATTTAACAGATCAAAGAAGTTCTCATGAAAGACAGTTTTTAAAAAGCATTATGTTATGTAGCTGTGTCAAAATCAACCTTGCTTACTTTTGTTGATACTGGTTTGTTAGTTTGTTCCTATGTATCATTCTACTTACAAGCCATTCATATATACCTTGTCATTTCTTCGATAGCCTTTTCGAAAATTAAGAATTAACCTTTTGAGGATTAATTCTCCAATTTGTGGAAATTTTGAGTTGATAATTGCCACTAATGCTGCATAAACATGGGTGAAGATTGGAGAAGCACTCTGTGCTTGCAAAACAGACCTGGACAGCAGTCCTCTGTTTAAAAAAGAATTTAAAAAGGAGTCAACAATAATCACCAAATTAATTAAACGAAACAAAAACTATTAAAATTCAGTAATATTTCTCTATAAGTAATCATAAAATCTAAATCAGAACTAACTGGAAAGAGTTTGTCTTACTAATAAATAAAAATTGTTTTTCAGAAAACGAAATGTGAATTTGTGATTTTGTAAAATAGAATGAAGATTTTACTGCAATTTATCACCAAAATTTTTCTCTCTACATATAATTCCTCTTTTCCCAGTCTGTTATATCTAATCATGAATTTGAACCTTAAAAAGGTTCATATAAATAATTTCTTTAACATTTTTTAAAAAGTAAACAAAAGCAGACCTGCTTCAAAAGTATAAAAGGTAGATAACATAAAGTTTCTACTACAGATCTGTCATTTTTATAAAATTAATTTTGTGATTAAAGACAAATTTGGGTTTAAATCTTTAAGTCTAATTTTAGTAGAATAAAATGAAGATGTGGAATACTCCTGTGAGAAATAAAGAAACGAATTAAAAGCAATGCCAGATTAATGCTAAAACAGTAACAGGAAATTAAAAGGTACCTACTTGTAACTCATTTTGAAAATGGTCATGTTTCTATATGCATTTGATGAGGAAGGGGAAAGGCAAATTGGGCAAACTAAAGTTACTTTTAGCAATGTAATGACAAGTAATTATTGGATTGCCAAAAGTCAGGAAAAAAAGTCTTAATGGTAGTTTTAGATATGACAACTGAATCACTAGAGTGGAAAATAAGAAAAAGGATGCAGCTTATAAATTATAGTATCTTTAGCAATCCATAACTCTTCTAAGTCTACTTTTTTTCTAAGTAAATTGGAGAGATCTCTGCCCACTTTTGAGGATAATGGCTGTCTCTTGATCAACTTTCTCTACCTCTAAAACTTGCTGCTCCTACTTTATACCCCCACCTTTTTTGGAGAGGTTGGGGAGAGACAGGGTCTCACTCTGTCACCCAGGCAGGAGTGCAGTGGGGCGATCTTGGCTCACTGGAAGCTCTGCCTCCTGGGCTCAAGCAATCCTCCCACCTCAGCCTCCGGAGGAGCTGGGACTACTGTGTGCCACCACGCCCAGCTAATTTTTGTATTTTTCATAGAGACAGGTTTTCACAATGTTGCCCAGGCAACTCCTGGACTCAAGTGGTCCTCTTGCCTCAGGCTCCCAAAGTGCTAGGATTACAGGCTAGGATTACAGCGACCGTGCCTGGCCACTACATTCCATATTTTTTTAAAGATGAATCATAGTCATGTAAAATGACATGAGAAAACAGCCCTCAGATTTTAAAATAATAAATACAACATGGAGTAATTCTATTTTCTGACCCTTTTAAATATCACCAATTGCTTAAAGCCACATATTCTTATAGAATACGGTGATTCCCTTCTGCTTTTCTAAAATGTATTGCTCATCTTTCCCATTTCTCTCACATTCCCATTTCACTCTCACTAGAAATTAAATTGGAATAAAGGCCATATATGACGAACCCATAGCTAATATACTCAACGGTGACAAGCTGAAAGCTTTTCCTCTAGGATCAGGAATAAGAAAAGGGTGCCTACTCTTTCCAATTCTATTCAACATAGTACTAGAAGTCCTAGCCAGAGCCATTAGGCAAGAGAAAGAAATAAAAGGTATCCAAATCAAAAATAGAGAAGCCTGTTTGCTGTAAACAGGATCTTAATATAGAAAACCCTAAAGACTTAACCAAAAAATTGTTAGAACTAATAAACTAATTTAGTAAAGCTGCAGACACAAAATCAACATACAAAAATCAGTAGTGCTTCCATATGCTTACAATGAACTATCTTTCTGAAAAATCAAGAAAACATCCCATTTACAATAGCTATGAAAAAAAAAGTTAGGAATAAATCTAACCATGGAGATGAAAGAGCTGTACACTAAAAACTACAAATTGCTGATGAAAAAATGGAAGAACATGCATGACATCCCATGTCCATGGACTGAAATAATATGTTAAAATGTCCACAGTACCCAAAGCAACATACAGACTGGACTCAATCCCTATCAAAATTCCAGTTACGTTTTTCACAGAAATAGAAAAAACAATCCTAAAACTCACATGGAACCACAAAAAACTCCAAATAGCCACAGCAATCTTGAACAAAAAGAACAAAGCTGGAGGCATCACACTCCCTGACCTGGAATCTGCTACAAAGTTATAGTAATCAAAACAGAATGACAATAGTATAAAAACAGACACATAGAGCTACAGAGAACAAAGAAACCAGAGATAAATCCAGACATTGGCAGTCAACTGATTTTCGACAAAGATGCTAAGAAGACACAATAGGGAAAAGACAGTGTCTTCAATAAATGGTGCCAAGAAAACAGAATACCCAGATGCAGAAGAATGAAAATAGACCTTAGTCCCACAGCATATACAAACATCAACGCAAAACAGATTAAAGACTTAAACATTAGACCTGAAACTGTGAAACTACTATAAGTTTCTAAAAGAAAAATACAAAGGAAAAGCTCTGAGACACTGGTATGGTTAATGATTTTTTGGATATGACCCCTAAAGCACAGGCAACAAAAGCAAAAAGAGACAAATGGGATTACATAAAACTAGAATGCTTCTGCACAGCACAGGAAAATATCAACAGAGTGAAGAGATGACCTACAGAATGGGAGAAAACATTTGCAAACATACACCTGATAAGGGGTTAATATCCAAAACACATTAGGCATTCAACTCAATAGTAAGAAAACAAATAACCCAATCTAAAAAATGAGCAAACAAGAACAGACATTTTTCAAAAGATGTACAAATAGCATATATATATATATGAAATGCTAAACCTCACCAATTATCAAAGAAATACAAATTAAAACCACAATGAGACATCTCACAACTGTTACAATGGCTGTAATAAAAAAGATGAAAAATAGCAAGTGTTGCCAAGGACATGGAGAAAAGAGAATGCTTGTACACTGTTGGTAGAAATATAAATTAGTACAGCCATTATGAAAATAGTATAGAGGTTCCTTAAAATATTAAAAACAGAATTACCAGCCAGGTGCGGTGGCTCACGCCTGTCATACCAACACTTTGGGAAGCCAAGTCGGGAGGACTGCTTGAGCTCAAGAGTACGAGACCAGCCTGGGCAAGATGGCAAGACCTCATTCTCTACAAAATATTAAAAAATTAGCCCAGTGTGGTGGTGAGTGCTTGCGGTCCCAGCTACTTAGGATGCTGAGGTGAGAGAATTCCTTGAGCCCAGCAATTCAAGGGGGCAGTGAACTATGACCATGCACTGTACTCCGGCCTGACAATAAAGCAAGACCCCCATCTCTAAAATAAATCAATATAAAAAAAATTTTTTTTTATTGTAACTACCATTTGATCCAGCAATCCCACTATTGGGTATATATACAAAGAAAATGAGATCAGTATGTTGAAGAGGTATCTGCACTCCCACATTTATTGCAGCATTATTCACAATGGTGAAAATATGGAAACAACTAAAGTGTCTGTTGTGAATAAATGGATAAAGAAAATGTATACATGTATAATGGAATACTATTCAACCATAAAGGAAATCCTGTCATTTGGGAAAACACAGGTGAACTTGGAGAACATTATGCTAAGTGAAATAAGCCAGGCACAGAAAGACAAATAATGCATGACCTCACTAATATGCGGAATCTAAAAAAAACTGAACTCATAGAATCAGAGTATAAAATGATGGTTACCAGAGGCTGGGGGTTGGGGGAATTTAGATGTTGGTCAATGGACACAAAATTTCAGTTAGACAGGAGGAATAAGTTCCAGAGATCCATTCTACAATATTTTGACCACAGTTAATAACCATATATTATATACTTGAAAGCTGAAAACAGAGTAGATTTTTAAGTGTTCTCACCACAAAAAATGACAGGCATGTGAATGCATGTTAAACAGCTTGATTTAGTCATTCTACAAAGTACATATATATCAAAACATCATGATGTATACCACAAATATACACAATTTTTACTTGTCAATTTAAAAAAGAAATAAAAAATTAAATTAGTTTGAGGTAGTATATTTTAACATTCGTTATTCCTCATGAGTTTAAATTACTGGAGGCATTAAGTAAATGTCTGCAAAAACCATTATGTGAAATCAAAGCTTCTCAAAAAGCAAAAATTCCATACAACCTCTAACAGCAAGGCACAAGTTATTTCTTAGCAGTCTATATTTTTATAAGTCCTGCATTTTAAATAAATATTCTCAATGACCTTTGAAATGAAGTAGCACAATAAATCAATGATTATTGTTCATGTAGATATTATATTCCTTTGAAAAAATACTTAGAAATACTACAAATAAAATAGCCAATACTTACCTTCCTCTAACTATATTTTCTTGAAGAAGCTCTTGAATAATAATACTTATGTTGGAAATGTTGACTTTGTTGATAAGGCCATTAATTGACTTCTTCAGGGCCTCCCAACTCATCCTCTGGTATGCTAAGCTAAAAAGAAGTGATTTTAATAAAGATTAAAACTTAATTACAATAATAAGAAGCTATAAGAACATAAAAACTACATAGTGCTCCTTAATTTTTGACATTATTTTCATGAAACGACCCCCAAGTACAGTAAAATATATGATGCCTATCAGGATAAATAGATTATATCCTGAACCATATTTGATTTTCTATACATATGCTTAAGTATACACCATTTTTCTTTAATAATACAATAAGATTATGTAAGGATATATAAGGATAACATTTTGTTCTTATGCCTAGTACATTTAATTTATTAGTCAAATTCAATACATGCTTATTTTACATATAATGCTTGATTTAAACTTGTCTTTAATGGAAACCTTTAAAATAAATGCAATTAAAAAAATTTAAATGGTAACATGAAATACCCAAATATAAGCCACAAAAAAAATTTGTATGTCCCTTCTCATAAAAAGATGACAGAGACAACAAAATTAAATGTTTTAAGCCACAAAGAAATGGTAACTACAGGAAAAGGGAGTCACATGAAATCATGGGGCTGAATTACCTACCATTCAGTGTATTTTAAAGACAATCTCTATGTTGATGTAGTAGTCCTACAGCTATACCAGTTGAATGTTAGATAGCTGTACTGCTTTTTACCCTAGATTTTGGGGAAATTACTTGGCCTCATTGAGTTTCTTTAGGTTGAATTGGACAATGTCTAAGATCTTTCAATGCTCTACAGTTCTATGGGTTTTGTAACTGCTTTTCTGTGGAATCTGATTTCAGCTGCAGGAAGTCTTAACCTTTTTTCTTCCATACATGTCTCTCTCGGGAAGTCTGGTGAAATCAGTAGACTTTTTGGGATGATATATACAATGAATAGGATTACAAAGGATACTAATCATACTAAAATTCAGTTTTTGAAACATGAGAAGAACAAAAGTTTGATATAATATTCTATGTGCTTCATAACACATTAAACAAGAACTGGCAGTATGCTTAATAACTACTTAAATTTCTAAGTAGCATGGCCATAATCCGTATCATGAAATACCTGTAACAGACTGTCAATACTCTGATCTATTGCCTACATTCTCAAAAGAAAAAAACAAAAGCTAAACTTTAGAGATGAGTAAAAATAAAGATTCAATTTTTTCCCCAAACACATTCATGGACTGATTGCTTGAATTCTATTCATGGACCTCTTGAGGGGCTTGTAGGTTAAGAATCCCTGTTCTGGAGTGGTACAAGGAAGGTTGGTGAGAGCAGTTCTTGGTGGGAACGAGTATTGTATCACTGATATTGTTTAGTATTGCTAGCATGGTGAGGATAAAAAACAGACTCACTTTGCGGTTAATTTTATTTTGTTTCTAAATTCTCTATAAATTATGTACCCCCTTACTGCCTGTACCCAAGGTGGACTATTCCACTGTTTCATAACTCCAACCTTTTGGTATTCCACTATCTCTAGACACAAGATGCATGGCTTAACAAGTGGCCTGATTAATAAGATGTTGCTCATATACAATCACAACCTATCTTATTAAACTAATCAAACGGCTACATCAAATACAATTATACATCCTAATTAGGAAGCCCACAATTCACGTATCTACTGAAAGCAAAGACTATGGCCTTCTCTTACAGATGTCTACTTCTCCTTGTACCCTTTACAGCCTACGAACAGACTTCAACTGTATATAAAATTATCTTAAAGGAATCTGCTTTAAATTGCATGTATTGCTGACTCTCCTGTGTGCTTTATTTAAAAGGAAGCAAGACTTGGACTGACAAAGTTTCTAGTCTTTTACAATCAGGATTGCTTTGGACTGGACTGGAGAAAGTGAATACCTTTCAGTAATGCTGCCACTACTGCCTTGTGCATGAGCAAAACGTTTACATGATAATGAAGGTCCTACTAACCACAGAAGCCATCTCCAAATTCCTTTTCAACCTAACACTTCAAATATCACTGCCAAGCGCTAAAATATGACACATAAAGAAAAACTTATTAGTTTTGAATTTAATGTCACCAAATACCCCTTTCTGGCTCTTAAATTCGGTTTTAATTTATTTCAAATCTTCATAGCTTCTTTTAGATAAATGACATTTCTTATTTTTTTTTTTTTTTTGAGGCAGAGTCTCTCTCTGTTGCCCAGGCTGGAGTGCAGTGGTGCGATCTCGGCTCACTGCAAGCTCCGCCTCCTGGGTTCATGCCATTCTTCTGCCTCAGCCTCCCGAGTAGCTGGGACTACAGGCACCCACCACCACGCCTGGCTAATTTTTGTATTTTTAGTAGAGACAGGGTTTCACTATATTGGCCAGGCTGGTCTCGAACTTTGGGAGGCCGAGGTGGGCGGATCATGACGTTTCTACTTCAAGCTAATCCTTGAAACAAATTTAGATTTAACTTAAATAAGCTTCTCAAGCACTTTTCAAATTGCTACTAAAACACTCATGAAAAGATGTGGAAATATTCCTGTCTGGCTCACCTTGCATCTGTTTTTCTTAAATTATAACTATTAATACCTTCTATCCCAATCTTTTAACTAGTTATCTGGCAACTGAATAATCATTTCAATCTGGGACCATACATTCCCTAGTTATCAACTCATCCTATTAGAGAAAAATATCTTAAAAACTTAGCTGTACTTTCCTAAATAGCTCCTCACCATCTCAATTATTCTGAAAAGGGAAGGAGGAGTGTTTTAAGTGTGATTGTTCATATATAAATTTTGTCTGTCTGCCTTAGAGTAGCAAAAATGTATAGTCTAATAGATCATGATCTGAAGAAAATGTACAAAAAGAGATAATTGCCAGCTTCAGTTTTATAGGTAAGTACAGAGGTTGGCAAACTACACCCATGAGCCAAATGCAGCTGACCACCTGCTTTTGTAAATAATGCTTTATTGGAACACAGCCATGCTTATAATTTTCTACACAATGCCTATGACTATTTTCACATTTCAAGAGCGGAGTTAAGTAGCAACAACAGAGACAAAATGACTCACAGTGTAAAATATTTACAGTGTGGGCTTTTACAGAAAAAGTTTGCTGACTCCTGGTTTACAACAGGAAAAGTCAATTTTAGAACTAAAATGTCAGTATTACTCTTTTCTACAAAAAACAGACATTATCAATAGGAATGCATCCATGAAACTATGAAAGGAACAATAGTTTGAACATACTATAAAAAGGGTAAGCAATCTTTTCCTCAAACTTTTTAATTCATTCATGCAAAAAAAAGAAAAAAGAAGTAATGTGCTAATATAAGGGCACGTAGTGTGTGGCTCTCCAATGGAGCTATAAAGTAAAGAGGTCTCTAATTTGAGGTCTCTATCACTATAGACTAACGTAAATTCTCAAGAACCAGGGTTAATTAAACCACAGTTGACTTATTTTTCAATGACAATTTCATGGCTTTGTATACTGATTGATATAAACATGCCTGTTTTTATCTGTAATCTGTTCCTGCATCATCCTGAGCTTTGCAGGGGGAATATATGCTCCACCAGTGCGAGTAAGAAGAGGATCCAGCTCATCTTTCTTTTTCTTTGTAGCAGGTTCATCCTGAGCAGAGGAACTCTGAGTTACTGATGTTTCTGGGTTTCTCCTCCCAGGAGATGGGGATTTCCGAGACCTTTTCCGATCCGTATCTCTTTCTCTTTCTCTGCGTTTTTCTCGGTCCCTGTTTCTGTAATATAAATTTTTTGAAGAGCAGAAAAGACAATATAAAACACACTCTTAGCAATTAACTGCACACAAATGAGTGAGACCATAAGTGGGTCCCACAAATTCAGACTAGGAAAAGTGGTTTAGAATGGTGACAAAGTGTTTCACAGAGAAAATTCAACAAATTAGGTCCTGAAGGCTTGACAGGATTTAGACTGGGGGCAAGTCGGCAGGAGGAAGGGGAGACGAAGGATGACATTTTGCAACTAGTAGAAGAGGGAATAATTATTGAAAGACTGAGCAGGGGTGTTAAGGTCAGAATGAGTAGGACAATCAGGAAACAAAGGATTATGTGTCATGGTTGTTGGAAAGATGAATTAGAGTTAGACTAAAATCTTAAAACATATGTAAAGACTTTAAGGTTTTTATACTGGAGGTGATGGGGAATCATTAAAAGTTTCTCAGTAGGAGAGTGGCATGAAAAGAGTGTTTTAAGAAGACAAATTAGCCTGTGGTGTATATGACAAATTGTATAAAGGAGAAGAAACCAGAGTTAATCTCCAATAGTGGTTACTTTAGTTGTAAGACTACTATAGAATATAATATTTGAAGTTGTTTCTTGATAGAACTAATATTTTCATTAGAAATCTCAGAATATTGGAAGCTTCTGCTTATTTGAGACAATGTGGGGGGAAAAACTTTTCTAGCCACAATGTCTTCCCTACTAACGTACCTGATTATCCTTTCTTAAGCTGAGGCTTTTAAAACAATCAAGGTACAGTTCTCTGAAACCATCAAGAACTAACGGGAAAGAGCGAATTCTTGCTTTTTGCTATCTTTCCCCAGAGCAAAGTTTATCCACTGAGCTGCTTTTTACATATACTGCCTTGGAAACCCAGATCATTCTGTTTGTGTTTTGGGTAACCATGAGTTATATATAATATAGTAAATAAAAGTAAATTTCATATTATCACTGCATTACCAGGAAACTGTGGTATAGATTTTAGCTAAATCTAAGGAGTATGTTTGAGATGGTCTTTTAAATATATAGTAATAAAACCTACACGGAGATTGAAAAGCAGTCATCTTCCCAGGTAGCTGTGGAGGAACAGATTTTTTTTGTTCATTTGTTTACTTTTATTTTAAGTTCAGGGGTACAAGTGCAGGTTTATTACATAGGTAAACTTGTGTCATGGGGGTTTGTTGTATAGATTATTTTACCACCCAAATATTAAACCTAGTATTCATTAGCTGTTTTTCGTGATCCTCTTCCTCCTCCCACCCTCCACTCTCCCTTCACCCTCCATAAGGCCCCAGTGTGTGTTGTTCTCCATGTGTTAATGTGTTCTCATAATTTAGCTCCCACTTATAAATGAGAACATGTGGTATTTGGTTTTCAGTTCCTGTGTTAGTTTGTTAAGGATAATGGCCTCTAGCTCCATCCATGTCCCTGCAAAGAACATAATCTCATTCTTTTTTATGGCTGCATAGTATTCCA
Source organism: Homo sapiens (assembly GCF_000001405.40). Taxonomy (NCBI): domain Eukaryota; kingdom Metazoa; phylum Chordata; class Mammalia; order Primates; family Hominidae; genus Homo; species Homo sapiens. Next base: position 179,983,474 of record NC_000002.12, read on the forward strand.
TGGTGTATAAGTACGACATTTCCTTTATCCAGTATATCACTGATGGGCATTTAGGTAGATTCTATGGCTTTGCTATTGTCAATAGTGCTGTGATAAATATACACATGCATGTGTCTTTATAATATAATTATTTATATTCTTTTGGGTATATACCCAGTAATGAGATTGTTGGGTTGGATGAACAGTTTTGAAACTGAGGTATAAGAGACTTAAATGACTCCTAGGGAGGATAGACAATCTGTATACACCAAGAGTGAACAGATGGGGGAAAGAGTGATTTCAAATATCAACCTCAATTAGTCACAAAGGCAGATGCTCTAAGTTCTCTACACTAATTTGCAACTGAATTGCTTCTTCTTGTGAATATACATGTTCCAAGAGAGTAGCTACAGCAGGGATTTCCTGACATTGGTTATGATTCTTCTGAGAAACACCAGGTAAGAGAGCTAGCTGGCTGATAAAATCAGATCCCTACCATTATTGTGTTTGTTCCTTTATAGTGCAGAAGTAACAAAATATTCTAAAAGTCTAAATAGAAACATTTTTGGACTGTTAGCCTTTATGTTCTGCATAATACCTAGCCTGCTTACTTCATAGTGTGACTGTGTGGATAACATGAGACTTCATTTTCATATACTAGACCTAACATAGAGTTATACTGAAGTACAACAGTCAGGGATTGTGAAAAATACAGAAGCTTTGGAGCCAGAACTGAGTTCAAATTCCAGTTTCAACATCTACCAGATGTTTAAATGCAACCTCAGGTAAGCTACTTAATAAACTCAAAGCCATTTCCTTATCTGTAAATTGGAAAAAATAGTATCTAGTTTCTAAGAGTTTTAACAGTATTTGGGAAAATATACAAAAAGCTTAGCTTACCAATTATGGTACTAGTAGTCATTCTCATTAAGGTGACAGCAGACAAGCCTGGATTTTGAAGGTTAATATAATCTGACATTATAGGATTAGGTATATACTAGAAAGTGATGAGAAGGAAATTTTTGGCTGTGGATATCAAAGGATGTGCTTAGCTCCAAACTCCAAACTGCAGAGGAATTTGGTCAAAATTCCTGTGGGGGGTATAATATTGGTAGTAAAGGGGTGGATAATATCTGAGAGACATCAAAAAAAGATATTGATTTTAGTCAACGATAAACCATGAGAGTCAAGTTTTAGAAACTAGATGACTAATAAGGGAATACAGGAAAATCAGGAGAAAGCTGGTTTTATGAAAACAATGACAAAGGCAGAAAGATGTCTATGAAGGGATAATGAAAATGGTTGTTACAGAGACAAATCACAGTTCCTTTATAAAATACTAAAATAATGTTAGTTTTGTAAGATTAATTAGAAATACATTCAGAATCAACCACGTTGTTCAACAATAGTTTACCTGAACTCTTCCACTGTTTTCCATATAAAGTGCCAAGGGTTCACCGCTTATCACTACTCAAACTGATATGCTCAAGAAACTAATATTTTAAAGTTGTCATTTTCTTAGTATCTACTATGTTCAGACATGGTAGTAGGACAGACATTATTTTTAAACCTAAACAACCAGACAAGATACATGTTATCATCCTCATCTTATAGATAAGGAAACTGAGGCTCAGAAGAAGTTTGTTAAGAAATTTTACCAAATTTCTGTAACTAGTAACTAAAACTTGAACTCTAATCTGCATGAATATGGAATCTATTCTCTTTCTACTATGCAACACCACCTCATTAAAAAGTGTAAAATATAGACATCCCAAAGTCAATTTCAAATGACCTGGAAATTGTCTGCATCACTACTCCTCTCCTAAGCAAAGATACATGCAAGTTAAGGAAATACTACCCATATAGTGACTTCTGTTTTAAGTACTTGAGAGTATTTCCATCTGCAGAATGCTAGTTAACATCTCTTCCCTATATTGAGCATCTCAAGTATCTGCCCCACTATTTTCTTTGAGACTACCATTACTTCTACCTGGAGAGTCTCTCCCCACATGTACTAAGTAACTTTTTAATTCCATTATACCTTCTCCTGAGCAAATACAGAGGCCCTTTAGTGAAGTTTTAAAGGGAATTATTAAAACGCCGACATCTTTCTAACACAGTAGTCACCCCTTATCTGTGGTTTCACTTTCTGAGGCTTCAGCTACCAGTGATTAACCACGGTCCAAAAATAAGTGACTACAGTACAATAAGATATTTTGAGAGAGGCAGACCACATTCGATAACTTTTATTAGAGTATATTCTTATAATCGTTCTATTTTAGTATTAGTTACTATTGTTAATCTTTTACTATGCCTAATTTATAAATTAAACTTTATCATAGGTATGTATGTATTGGAAAAAACATAGTATATATATATATGGTTCAGGTATTATCTGCAGTTTCAGGCACCCACTGGGGTCCTAGAACACATTCCCCATGGATAAGTGGGGACTGATGTATTCTCACTGTAAAAACTATTACTAATTTCTACAAGGGAGAAAAAGAATTGAAAATAAATACATATCAATAACAAGGGGTTATAATACTCTGCCTAGATTTCAATGAAACATGAATGGCACTTAATGTCTGACTCTTCTTAAATATTACCCCTAGGAGTCTCCAAACACTCTCATTCCAATGTTTCTTACCATCTGCCTTCCATTCAGTTCCCTTGCCCATTTCTCAACCAAGGAAATATTGCAAGTCTTGTTAGCCACAGGAACAGGTGGGTAACCAAGTTCTCTAAAGCTCAAGTAAGAATCCTTCACATGTAGAAAAAAACTACAAATTGGAAACTTAAGTCTCAATGTCCCTCTGCCATTACGCAGGAAAGTAAATTTAGACCACTCTATATCATACAATATAAATTTCTTTCATTGAGTAAAGAATCTCAAAAAATCACATAAACCAACCCCTCTTGCGGTACAATACAATGAATGAGCTTGGGCTTTAGAGTCAGACAGACTTAGGCTTGCCACTATTATGTTTCAAAACATGAACAAATTACTAAACTTCTCTAGACCTCAGTTTCTTCAGCTGTAAAGCAGACATACTAGCACCTACTTCACATATTTACTGCAATAAGAAGTTAATTCATATAAAGCCCTTATTAGAAAGCCTAGCACCTAAAAACATCCAATTAATGTTAGCTAGTATTATTTTTGTTTTTATTACAAATGTAGCATAAAGAGAGTTTAAACAAATACAATTTTCTACAAGTTAGAAATTCCCAACACTAACCGTGACTCCATGCTACTATCATAAGAACGTCCTCTTCTTGAATGCTCATAGTCTGATCTGCTGTAATCAAAGTAATCTCTATCCCGGGGGGATCGTTCTTGTTCTTCATATCTAACATAAAATAAGAAAACCAAGTTGCAAATTAAAAACAACTATGTTATAAATATTTAGGAAAGTCATATATTGGTAATGGTAAAGCAACTCTATGACTGAACAACATCGTGTCAAACTGTTCTTAACAGCTCATTTTGCTAACACCCATTCATTCCATCAGAATTACAAAAGCTTTCAGTTTGTACACAGCAAAACAACTCCTAGGATTCACTTAACCAAACTTACTTGTTTAGTGAATTATCCTGATTCACTTTGTTCTCAGTAGGAGACATATATCTGGATATCATATATAGTTAGCATGAAAAAGGCTATCCTACAAATGACTCCTTTTGCTTAGTTGGCTTGTTTATCAAAACACTGAATGTATGAGACCAAGGTCATTGGCTGGCCTCCATAAGGATCAGTTTAATTCCATACCAAAAGACCATATTCATCAGCTGTTAATCTTGAAAATGCATTACTGGACAGCAATGAGAATGGATTGAAATTATTAGCAAACAAGGATGGATAGCATCAGATCTGTTATTTGAATCTTAAAAGTCAATAAAATCAGAGAACCTTAAGAGAAGTTAAATATATACATAATAGATACATAGTAACATAATCCATATTTTATATACACATCTACAATTAAGTTATACACACAAATACCTGTGTGTGTGTGTGTCTGTGTGTAAAGAGTTTTTTGTTTGTTTTTTGTTTTTAAATATATAGGGAGTAGACAATCGGTGAAAGATAGTAAGTAATTATGAATCAGGGCAATTAACTTGATGTTCACAAAGCAAAGTTTTTAGAGATTATTTAGCAGAGTAGAATAAGAAAGTACATGTGGAGTAAGGAAGCCTAGACAACTGGAAGAAAGTTTGAAGGGTGCTTCTTCCTTCATAAATTATTTTTAATGGGCATAAAAAATTTTTTTTACAGTCATTATTTTTAATAGACCATATGCTTAATGGTCTTTCAATGATCATAAATGAAATAATTGTAGTGCTAATATGAATTCATAATGCACATTAATGTTAACATTTTTGGATCGCTGACCTTAACATAGTTATAATATGATATAATCCAGCGGTCTCAAACCTTTTTGGCAACAGGGACTGGTTTTGTGGAAGACAATTTTTCCACAGATGTTAGGGGGTGAGGGGATGGTTTCAGGATGAAACTGTTCCACCTCAAATCATCAGGCATTAGTTAGATTCTAATAAGGAGCACACAGCCTAGATCCCTCACATGCACAGTTCACAAGAGGGTTTGTGCTCCTATGAGAATGGAATGCCACAGGTGATCTGCCAGGAGGTGGAGCTCAGGCGGGAATGCTGGCAGGCCTGCTGCTCACCTGCTGTGTGGCCTGGTCCATGGCTCTGGGGGTTGGGGACCCCTGTTATAATCTATATAAAAATATTTTAAAGACAATACAGAGCTATGTACATGTAAGAGATAATACTAACAGTAGCAAAAGCAGCACTTCTGAATACTGTAATTTCAACTCAGTTTTCCATTTTACACTTTCATTCCATTAGTCTTTGAAACATTAAAAATTACTCCCTTTCACATAAAAATTACATAATATCTGGAATTATTTACTAGAAACTCCTAGAAGAGTCATTTAAGGATGATTCCTCCTACAGCCCATTCAAGTAATATTGGTTATAAAACCATTAAAAAGAAGTTATCCACCCTAAAATTAGAAATCTAAGAGCTAAATTATTACATAAACCTTACTATAAAAATTTACATTGCATTCAGAGCATATTAAACTATTTACCTGTCTTCTGGAGAGGAGTTCCTCTGATATGAATTAAGGTTTTCCCTTCTGTCATGACCAGAAGAAGGCTTTAAAAGAGGAAAAGGGGAAAACATTTCAAAAATTATTTATGTTAATAACACAGACTGAAATACATGGCTTAGAAAGTTGGAAGTACTTTAGAAATTGTATCAAAACATTTTTTAAATCATTAAGAATAATTCATGTAACCTAAACAGTCTATAAGATAAAACAAAATCTTCAGACCATCCCAGATAGGCCTGTCTGTGGCAGGCACCTGTTTTCATTATGGACCAAAAACTTCTTTTTTTTTCTGTTTATTTTTATTTTTTATTTCTTTTTATTTTATTTTTTATTTCAATAGTTTTATGTGGAACAGGTGGTGTTTGGTTACATGGATAAGTTCTTTAGTGGTGATTTCTGAGACTGTGCTGCACCCATCACATGAATAATGAACACTGTACCCCAATGTGTAGTCTTTTATCCCTAACCACCCCCCTACTCTCCCTGACCCTTTCCGCTGAGTCCCTAAAACCCATTGTATCATTCTTACGGCTTTGCAGAACCAAATACTTCTTTCTAGCCAAAAAAATTCAAGGTAGAAAAAGATAATTCTCAAATTTTTGATGACATCTAGTTTATATTTTACTTCTATGTAATAAGTTATAATAATAATTATTATTATTATTATTATTTTTTGAGACAGGGTCTTGCTCTGTTGCCCAGGCTGGAGTGCAGTGGCATGATCACGGCTCACTGCAGACTCAACCACCCAGGCTCAAGTGATCTTCTCGCCTCAGCCACAATATTGTACTTACCTCCTATCTCCTTTGGCTTATGAAAACCACAACTTTAGTACAGGGTAAAATAGCTGGAAGAAACTGACTCTAACATGTTTATAAAAGTTAATTTTTGTTTTCAACAAACATCAATTGAGTGTCTGATATGTATTATACTGTGGTAGGCTCTAGGGACTCGAACAACATTACTTTTAGGGTATAAGCACTATTCCAAATTTTTTGAAAAACAATCAATATACAAATAAGTAACTTCATGTAACATGAGACTGACATGAGACAGAGATGTGAACCATCCAGTTTGAGACTACATCCTAATTAAAAAATCCAAATACATTAAGGAACCAAAATGTTTACCTCTGTATATAGGTAAAATTTTTTATATAACTGGTCAACATTCAAATATCGACAAGCCTTTTTTTAAGAATTAAAATAATTTTAATTAACCATACTGTAAAGAAAAATAGCATTTAACATACCTTAATCTTGAAATCTAAGATAAACTAAATCAAACAATGAATAACAGTTCTGCAAACTTACATGCTTGCCTCCTTAATGAAGAAAGGATATATTTTAAAAAAGAAAATTATTCTGAGTAGAAATATAAGATCCAACTTCCTCTGATTTTATGACTATCTAATTAACAGCAGTTTGAGTCTAACATAATCACAAGTACAATGCAAAATAGTCTCATTACTGAATTTTTTGAATAGTATCCACTAACTAATTTATATAGGTGAATAAGCATGTAATCAAAATTGATAACTTAAAGTAACCATAGTTTAGCTGTTACTTTGCATTAAATTCAACCATTTTAAAATTCTGTATCTAATATAAGAAAGTTTTAAAAATTATTTCACTCATCAACACAGTGAAATAGAAATGTTCAATATATATGACATAGGTTTCTATAAAACTTCACATAAAGATCTTAGGTCAAATACAAAGCACAAGATTCATTCAATTCAATGGTAACATAAAATACAATATTTATACTGATCACTTATTATAAGACATAGTCCTTCCTGTGTAGACATTCTGAAAGATACAATAGATAAGAAAGGCCAAGGAGCTTATGATCTTGTAGAAGACAGACAGGCTTATAAAGATTTCTATGATTAAACACATTAGATTATATGTTCCCCAGAATGAGAGTGAGTGAGTGAGACAGACAGAGAGAGAGAGAGAGAGAGAGAGAGAGAGAGAAAGAAGAAGGAGGGGGCAGGGAGAGGAGAGAGGAGAAGACAGAGGACAATAAAACTGCATTATCTCCTTTTTCTTTTACAAGGCAAAGAAAGTTATTTTGATTACATTAAGGAGAAGGCCCCAATTCTGTACTAATGATTTTTAACACATCTCCGCAACATCTGTTGTGAGCAAGAGGAAGAGACCAAAAATATTGAAGTTGTGAAGAAGGATTTCATAAATATGATCAAGTAACAAATGACTGGCACACATAGTAAGTGCTAACAGGAGATCTTGAGTAGGAAACAATCACTGTGGCATACAGTGCTAACGGATGAAAGTGGGAAAACGGGGACTTGAATTTGGCTTTGGTAGATGAATAGGATTTCACCAAGTTAAGAATCACTTTCAGGTATGAATCAAATATTAAGAACCTGAATTTCCCTATTTCTTTTATCACAGAGTTTAGATTGTAAGTCAGTGCAGTAGTTGAAAATACTATACAGTCAGAATTACCTTTTAAAATTTTTCGAAATTGTTCATGAAGCAAAACAAATATGGTGACATCATGTAGTAACTCATAGTCTCCAACAATGTAGGGAGAGCAGTACGAGGAGACAAGGGGAACAAGAAGCCTGAGTCCAGTGGCTTTCATGATCCACTAGACTTTAAAAGAAAGAGGGAGGAGGTGCTGGAAGAGGTAGGAGCTTGCTAAGGAAGCTACAGTGAGGTTCAAGGGAAAAACAGGGGATTCTCAGTTGAAGCCTTATGAACCTAATAGGTGAGTCCTCAGAACATCAAGGGAAGAGCTGAGTTTCACCTAAAGAAAGAATCAGCATCAACCCAGCTAGTGGACCCATTGTGGCTAACAGAAAAGAGATAAATGGAAGCAGACCAAAGAGAGCTGGCTGGTAGAGCCAAGCCACTAAGTGTGAAGGGCATGCTAAATGAAGCCACCCACGGGCAGGCTGGGGGAGAAAATGCTACAGGAGACCCATCTGGGCCACAAGAGGGAAGCGTGGAGAAGCAGAGACTAAGAGGAACCAAAAGAGGAGTCTGAGAAAGGCTAAACATTTCTCCCTTTGAGTAAAAGGCATTAGTCTAAAGATCTGAGCGCTCTTGTCTAACATGGCTCTGTCAAGAGCCAGTTCTGTACAAGGTTTCCTTTACGTCTCCAGCTCCTAACCCAGAATCTGCCACCTACTAGGTCCTCAATAAATTAACTGTTTAAGTAACAATGGACCAATGAGTACAAGTCCCAAAAAGGCCGATTTGAGAACAATATACAAGGGTTACTGACAGATGGAACTACCTTAGGAAACTGTGAGCCCCCTGCCAAAAGAGATATGCAAGCAAAGGCTGGATGTCTACTTAAAAGGGAGGTGGGTGAGTGTCTTCTCACACTTGACAGAGGTTGGAAAAGATTGCAGCAGAGGCTGCCTTACTCTACAAGTCTATCAGTTCAGCTTAATAAGCACCTACTACAGGGCCTGCTGTCAAGGAGCTTGCAATCTACTGCTTCTCTTTAAAGAAGGAACTTTAGGTGTGTACAGCTGTAAGAGGATAGGAAGGGAGGAGTGCCTACATTTATAATCAAATAAAAATACAGTTCCCCCTTTACTGACTCCAAGGCCCAAAAAGTGATGTCCTGGTTTTAAATCCATGCAGTTGAAGAGAAAAAGAAGTTGAGTAGTTTGCTCTCCTGCCAAGTCCACTCACAGGCAGAACAGTTTCGAAAGCAGATGGAATTACTGGTCCCTATTCCTGCCCTGATCTCACCTCCTACAATTCTCCCCTTCTGATACCTGCTCCACTCTAGATTCTTTGCCTTTGCTGTTCCTTTTGCCAGGCACACTCTTTCCCCAGATATCGGCATAGTTAACTCTTACATTTTCAAGTCTCTGCTCAAATGGCTATCTTTTCAATGGGCCCTACTCATCCCTCTATTAAAAACTGCAACCCCTCAATGTTGAATCCCCCTACCCTTTTCTACTTCTTTTCTCCATAGGACAATTCTATTACTTAACATTCTAACATACTACATAACTTATCAAGTTTATAATTTATTTTATCTCCTCCCCACAACAACTATAATGTAAACTCCATGAAAATAAGGATTTGTTTTATTCACTATTTTGTTCAAAGTTCTTAGAACAATCACTATAACATCTAACAATCAATATAACACATATAAAACTATTTTGTTCAAAGTTCTTACAACCATCACTAGAACTCAATATGCATTTGTTAAATAAATGAACGCACACTGTCTAAAGTACAGCACAGAATAAAGAGACCATCCATCTATTCATAAGAAATATCCAAGAGGCTCACGTTGTAAACAGATATGCAGAAATTTCCCTGCACTGTTTGTTACTTGTTTTTCTTTTACATGTGATCATTCACATGATATATGCAGGCCCCTGACGCATGCATCCATGTGTATACACACACACACACGCGCACACACACGTACACACACTTCTGTATGTTCTCAACTGCCCTCTTGCACACTAATACTTCCATATAGCTAAGTATCTACATTTAAAATTGTTTAAGTTAGATGGATGTATTAGGTTGGTGCAAACAGTAATTGTGGTTTTTAAAATTGCAAAAACTGCAATTACTTTTGCACCAACCTAAGTGCCATTCTACTGTCTGGCTCTGATGTCCTAATTACATAAATGCATTTATATTTAAAGAATAGGTAATTGACTATAAGTTTACATCCTCCATTTTAAGTTTCAAACACTTACTTTTATCTGTGCCACACTACTTTTCATTTTCTGTTGCCAGTTGGTCCAATAAATCAAAGATGCTTCAAACTGGTCCAAATAACAAGTACCCAATGCTCTGAATTCCTTGACAGTTTACTTTTTCTGTCTGCAAACATCACCTATAAAATATACCAAAGAAAGCTTTATTAACACTAACAAAGTGTGAAAAATGATGATATATTTTTTCTATACAATGGACATTTGACCGCTTTATTTTTCTTAATCCATAAACAAATATAATAAAAATTGTAAAAATCCTTAAGTAGTTACACATAATAATGTATACCTAACACATACAAGTAGAAAAAAAATCCATGAACAAGAGAGCAAATAGAAGGTTTTATTCTAAGGACCAAGCGGAACAAAAGTTAATTTAAAAAGGGATGTCCTATAACTTTATTAAAAATGTTCTCATAGTGAGGGAGATACATACCTACATCATAAAATAGTAGTGTGATATTATTAAAAAAAACCTGAGGAAACGATAGAAGAGAAACTCTATATAAACTGAGTATAAAAATCCAATGTTTCTACACAGACTAAGAATGAAATACCCAATATCCTTGCAATAATGATCATTAAGAAATAAATTTAATCCACATAGAAATTTAAGGTGCTAAACTACAATAATTATGTCTCAATGTGATCTATTAATGGCACAAAGCTTCAGATATATGCACATATGAGAACTAAGTATTTAGCTCAGAATAAACCTAGTCATCAGCATTAAATCTAAAATCTTCAGATGTGTTTTAATACTCTAAGTAAGTTTTAGCAATTTCTGCAAGATGCTAAATTGATACTTATGTTCACAAAGAACTTGCATTCAAATATTTTATTGGAAGTACATATCTAAATGGTTTATAGTATAAGGCACTGAAATCCCAAAAATAAAATAGAAAATAAAAGGATTAAAAGATACAGAGAATGCAGAGAAAGCAACGTGCTTAGTAGCAAAATAACTGAATACAACTGGAAAAAAAAATTAATTTGAGTGTCAGAAAGGGTATAACAGATTATCTGGTCCAATTCCTTCTTTTAAAAGAGAACACTGAAAGCCAGATATCCTATTTCAATTATAATTATAATAATTAAATTATAATGCCAGCTAGACTTACAACTAGAAACCTACCATAAGGACACCCTGTTAAGTATTCCTTTCACTGGCACACACATACAAATAGTCTTGACATTATAAAGTGATACAGAGCGGCTGTCATTTAATGCAGATGGGGATGTATACGAATTACTAAGTCAAGAAATGTTTCTATTACAATGATTGGCATGGTGTCAAGGTTAGTAAAGGCAAACTTATCAATCTATAAAATATAACTACAATCTAAAGCACATCACTGCTTATGTACGAGGCTTACAGTTAAAGAGACAAATGTGTGTAACTTTACATAATACGCTTATTAACAGGCTCTTTCTTCAATTAGTTATTATTGCAGTTGTTTAGAAAGCTCAGCCTTGTTTTCAGCTGGCAAGTTGTCCCCCAATCTTTTCTTTATGTATCTTTTTAAAGTTTATCAGCACTTTGGGAGGCCGAGGTGGGTGGATCACAAGGTCAGGAGATTGACACCATCCTGGCAAACACAGTGAAACCCCGTCTCTACTGAAAAATTACAAAAAATTAGCCAGGCGTGGTGGCGGGCGCCTGTAGTCCCAGCTACTCCGGAGGCTGAGGTGGGAGAATGGCGTGAACCTGGGAGGCGGAGCTTGCAGTGAGCTGAGATCGTGCCACTGCACTCCAGCCTGGGCAACAGAGTGAGACTTCGTCTCAAACAAACAAACAAACAAAAAAAGATTACTCTGGGTCCTAAATCCTGATGCCCACAGACTAGTCTATCTAGGACCTTATTATGCCCACAACTATGACATCATTGTTTGAACTTAGTTTCAGAGTAACTTTTCCTACTCGATGCTATACCTTAGATAAATAATTGAGAAAATCCAGAATAAGTTACGTAAAACACTTCATAAAATCAGACTCTGTGATGGTAGCAGAGAGGAGAGGCATGCCCCTCTACCTTAAACAGTCTATTCTGATATCATGCAAGAGTTACCATCTTAATAAGCCTATGTTATCAAAAGTCAAATAAAAAACATGTTTCAAAGGCGAAAGAGAGGTTCGAGACTAGAGAGAATTACACTGTTTTCCTCTAAGAACTTAAATAATAAGGGTGTTTTGATTCCCAGGGCCACTGGGTAGTTTATGTAGCACTTCTGAACAAATTTTTTAAAACGGTAACTGAACTTCCACTTCTGAAATGGCTAGGAAGTTCCTACTGAACCTAATCCTTTCACAGGTAACAACCATAAACTCTTGACAAAATATACAACAACCACCTGAAGGCACTGGAGAATGAACAAAAGCAGGCTGAGTCTAGAGGAGAGTAGATGCCTTGAGAAAGGAGCAACATGAGTGAGTTATCCCATTTAATATAGCTTTAGTCTGAGGGCAAGCTGCAGTCTGTACCACGCAAGGGTGGCTAAAACTGATGAAAAGCTGCAGCCATTCTCATTTGAAGAACAAGAGGACAGAGTCTGAGGCAACCACAACTGCTGGAAACTGAGGGGGAATCCAGGAGGGGAGAGAGTCAGTGGAGGGGAACCCCATATGCTGGGTATAAATTGTTCCCACATCTCTGACTACCTCTGAACCAACACATGTACAAGACAGATTCCTGCCAAGAACTGAACTAAGATTTGAACTGCTGCTCAAGAGACTAGAGTTTGCAATTTAAGTCCAACCAAGTTAACTGCCTAAAAAGTCACCACTCCTTAGAGGAATGTAAGGAAACCAAAATCTCTATAACATAAAAATAATATCCAGGAGACAATTAAAAATAACATTTAAAAAATGTGGCCCAATCTTAAGGAAAAAGACAATCAAAACAGATCAATGCTGAGATGATCCAGATCCTGGAATTAGTATATAAGGTTTTTAAAGCATGGTTTTTAAAACATATGGAACGATGCAAAGAAAAATATGCCTGGGAAATTTCAGCCAAGAGAAACGATAAAATAGAACCAAACAGAAATTCTAAAACTGAAAAATATATGAAATAAAAAATTCACTGAATACGCTTAACAGTAGAATGGTTAATAGTTAAAGCCAAAGATAAAGAGAAAAATCCTGAAAGCAGAAAAGAAAAAAACAACATATTATATACAAGGAAATAACAATTCAAATTACTGTTGACTTCTCATCAGAAACTAAATAGACCATGTTCTCATTTACATGCAGAAGCTAAAAAAGTGGATCTCATGAAGATAAAGCAGACTGGCGGTTATCAGAGGCCAGAAAGGGGAGTGGGGTGTGGAGGATGAAGGAAAAAAAAGGAGTATAAATGTATTTATTACCACTGAACTGTACACTTAAACACGGTAAAGATGGTAAATTACATCTCTATATATTTTATATCAAAATTTTTGAAAAAGAAACTAGAGAGACTTGAAAATAGTGAAACAATTTTTAAAAGTGTTAAAAGATAAAAAAAAAAGTTAACGTAGAATTCCAGCAAAAACAATCTTTAAAGGAAGACAAAATGAAGACATTTACTGATTAAACAAAAAACAACAACTAAGAGAAAGAAACTAAGAGAATTTATCACCAGCAGACCTGCACTACAAAAAATGCTAAAATAAGTTCTTCAAGCTAAAGGGAAATGATGCTAGATGGAAACTGTTTTTCAGAAAGAAATGAAGAATACTGTAAATGATAACTTTCTCAGGAAATACAAGATACTGTTTTATTTTAATTTATCTAAAATACATATGACTCTTTACAGCAAAAATTATGTCTTGAGGGGTTATAATATATGTAGCCAGAGTATATATATGTATAGTATATAGAACTAGCGACCAAAATGGATCTACACTATGCAAGGTTTTCTACATCTTTCGTAAGGTGATACAATATGGACTCTAAGTAGCACATGAAAAGTTAAGGATATATATATACTGTTCCTTAGAGTAATGACTAAAAAAAAAAAGTACAAAATGTAGCTTAAAAGGCTACAAATTAAAATAGAATTTTAAAAAATATTTAAAACAGAGGCTACCCCCTCCCTCACCTGAGGATGAGAGCCCTGTAGGGATAACCCTTATCTCAGCTGGATTTTAGGACCATTTGCCTCAACAAGATGACTCTGTTGAAACCAAATTGCATGACTCCTTCCAAAGCTCCTGTTTTAATGGCTATAAAGGTATAGAGAGCCATAAAACTCAAAACTTTACTCGACTTACTTTTGCTCAAAGATATTGGTATTTTTTTCCCTACCTCTACTAGCACAACCATTTAACATTTCTAACATATCCTTTATTACCTTTAAACCCAGTGTTATTTATACGTACATTTGTTCCCCAACAAATAATACAGCACTTCTGTTATTTGCCCAGCATCTTTCTAGGCACTGGATAGGCAGCAATGAACTACCGTAACAAAATCTGTTCATGTGAAGCTTACATTCTAGGTATAAGAAACAAATCTATAATGATAAACAAAACACTAAGCCACTCAAGCAAGGTGACAGGTTGGACTTTTTTCCTACAGGTCAGTTTTAAATCACTACTTAACAGTGTAAAACTAGTTTGATGTCACTATATTAAACACAACTTGAATCAAGAAAAAATGCATGACAGGAGAATTACTTGTACATATATTGGGGCCCACCTCTGACTTACAAAATCAGAAAATGGGCAGAAAGTGTAGGGGAAACCCATGCATACTTGTTTTATGAAAGTATTCCCAAGGTAACTCCAAAATCCAACTTTTCCCCAAGTCTCCTCAGCTTTTCAATTTTACATAAGAAACTTTGGTTCTCAATTTGTTCTCAAACCATGAGCCACTTAGGCAGAATATAGAGACCCCACAGCCTACCTACTTTATAGTGAAGAACTTAGTTGTAAATCAATTGGAAAGGGAAACAGAAAATCCAAATGTATTAATTCTTAATAATTCATAGGTAAGAAGTGTTTTTTAAACTTGAGAAATTATGGCCACAATTTATAATCACTTATACAATCTTCCTCAATCCTCATAATTACCCTGTTCTGGTGATTTTTTTTTTAGCCATGTTTTTCAGTGAAACAACTGAAGTACAGAGAATTCAAGCAATTTGTCCACGTAAATTACACCTAGTAAATGGCAGAAGCTAAACTTCAAAGCCAGGTTTATCTGATGCCAAAGCCATATATTTTGTCCCAATGAAAATGCCAACACTAACGAATTGAAGCCAAAATGGTAAATTATAAAATGTAAACAAGTACAGACTCTACTATACAGAAAATTATCCTAGCCTAAACTGATCCATTCGTTCAAAGTTCCAGATAGCAAAGACTGTGATTTAATATAATGAAGCACTACTTCTTTTCAAACATTCATAGTAATTTTAAGGATTCCTTTTTATTTAATTTAGCATACCTAGAATTCACTGTGACTAGGTATACTATGAGCAAAAAATAAAAATAAAAAATCACTTGACCCCATTGCACAAGATTTAGCGTTTTCCTTTGCTACTCTCCTGGAGTCTTACACCCGGTTCCTCTTCCCAACCTACTTACACATTTCAGAACAAGCAATTTCTGTGCATTTTATTTCTATTTAAATTTACATATTTCAATTTACATATTTCAATTTAGTGAGTTTTCTTCTGATCGATATCATCTTTCCCCTTTCAACTTTCATCAGCAAATAATTTCTGGCAATAAAGTACAATCTGTTACATTTCCATGTCTCACAACGTAAGTGTGAAAATGACAATATGGTAAAGTAGACTGCTATCATAGTTCTAACAAAAAATGAATAAAGTATTGTCATTGTCCAGATTTATGCAGAATATGCCTGTTCGGAAATTCTGAGTTCAACATATGCATGCTAATACTTACACTAATCGGAAATTCCTGAAATGAGAGCAATTTATCTAGAGTTTATAGCACTCTCTGCTCTTCTAAGCATCACTATGTGAATTTTATGGTGAATTATTAAATTTCTTTCCCCTTCTCACAAGAAAGCAACTCAACAAAACCACACCTGTTCTCCCGAAGAAAGGATATTTTCCAATAGGAGATATAGTATTCACGAGAGCACTATTAAAAAAAAGATAGTTTTTCTCTCAGTTTCATCAAGCATTAGAAAGCAAAATATTTAATAACATATATAAGTACGTCAGACTGTTAAGCAGAAAACTGTGAATTCTGCAATCATCTCAAAAATTAAGAAAATGAGAAAATATTCAACTAATGGCTGAAATGCACTGCTTTCCAGATGATTTCCGTAGCAAAACACTTCTACCATTGTCACTTCGGTGTTCTCAGTCCAAGTTAGAGGAACTTGCTGAAACATATTGTCATAAAATTGCTAAAGGAAAGGGGAATCAATAGTGAGTTACCTTTAGTTGGCTCCTCTGGCTTCTAAATAGTAAAAACAGGTTTGGTGAATTTCAAACATTTTAACAGAGTTCATATTTAAAACAAAAACAAAAACCAAAACAAAAACCTTAGTTGCCCAATGGGGAAAGTGGTAATATTATACAATACAAAATAAAAACTGTCTTAAAATTATTCTAAATGCCAAAATATAATGGGAGGGGACATAACGGAACGGAATTCTCAGAAAATACCTCAACAACAGCCAAGCCCCCAAGGAACGGATTTTCCTTTTCAGGGAACAAATAGGAGTAACAGATTGGCTTCGCTCTTGAACAATATAAAACAAGATTGCTATGTACTTTCCATATCTGTACTGAAGGAAAACTTACTTGTTTTAGAAAAACCGTTTCTTGCTATTTTTTCCTGTCTTAATTTACATATTAGTGAAAAAATTGCCTCATGATATACCTCATAAGGCCAAAAAATTATAATTTGATGTCAGCATAGAATCACAATTTCAAGAAAATAAAAGGGTCAAAATACTCCTGTCTCTTTCTAGAAAAGTCACCAGGTACAGGTTGAAAATCCTTTATCTGCAGTTCTAAAATCTGTAAAGCTCTGAAAATACAAAGATTATTCTTAAGCATGTGGCAACTCACTTGAGAGCAAAACTTAGCATATACTGACTTGATACTTAATGTGACTTGATACAGTGCAGAAATATTAATGTGTTTTGACTAGAGGATGTTACTCCAGACCCCAAAAGGGGGGATTACTTAATATGTAGTATAGGCACTGCAGTTTTCTAAAATCTACAAGATACTGAAATCAAAACACTTCTGGCTCCAAAAATTACAAATAAAGAGTTGCAGAGCTGTCCTCCCTTTTGCTTCATAGTCATTGCATATGCCAGGTGTGCTGACTCATAACCATTTGAATGACTAGATTGCCAGGTTCAAGTACAGGGCTAGAAGTTGTGCAGACAGTTCTGGACATTGTTTTCTGTAAGAAGTAAGTAATATAAAAGCATTTGACTGGTCTGCAACTCTGTGTGGAGAGTAGACAGCCCAAATTTTCAGACACTTTAAGACAGTAAGACACAGAGGAGTGAAAAAAAAAAAAGACATTTTAATGAACCCAGTGACACCATTATCTATACTGAAAACCTCACATTATAAATTGGGAGGTAGTATTACCCCCATTCATTTCCTGTATCATGAAGCTAGTCTATTTTAGGCTGTTTAAGTAACCAAATAAAGAGTTAAGTGATCCAATCATTTGGAAATACTATTAATTTTTTTACGCATAGGAAGATTCCCCAATGTGCTTCTTTTCAACAGAATGCAGGATCTATGAGAATAGAAATTTGTCTATTTTTGTTAGTTTCAACATTTCAATAAGCTGTCTCTTGATTTACAGTACAGTATTGATTTCTATTTAAGTTGGTTTTAAAGAAAAATTCTACATGTTGAACTTTTTAATGATTCATTTAAAAATAAATTATGATATTTATGGGGCAAATTCCCTTTATCCTGTCCCCTCTCTAGTTTTACTGTCTCATCCCTACACAGCTATTTTGTGATATGTAAGTTCACACTTGATGCCTCTAATTTTTTTTTCTTTTTTTTTTTTCTTGAGACAGAGTCTGACTGTCACCCAGGCTGGAGCGCAGTGGCATGATCTCAGCTCATCACAGCCTCCACCACCCAGGTTCAAGTGATTCTCATGCCTCAGCCTCCTCCTGAATAGCTGGGATTACAGGTGCGCACCACCATGCCCAGCTAATTTTGTGTATTTTTAGTAGAGATGGGGTTTCGCCATGTTGGCCAGGCTGGTCTCAAACTCCTGACCTCAAGTGATCTGCCCACCTGGGCCTCCCAAAGTGCTGGGATTCCAGGAGTGAGCCACCATGTCCAGCCTGATGTCTCTAATTCTTAACCTCTCCTACCCACTGTAATTCAGCTTTCCCTTCCCACTACTCCACAGCACTTACCAATGTTACACAGTAACTTTTTTTCTTGTTGCTAAATCCAGGGGCAGCTTCCTTCTTTTATGGGACATTGCTCTAGCATTTGGCACCTAATCCCCTTCTTGAAGTTCTCACTTGTCAACTTACAGGGACACCACCTTCATTTGTCCATCCCTTTAATATTTACTATGCCTGAGAGTTTAGTATTTGCTCATGAATTTATGTTTTGTTCATTGCTACATTCCCAACACTAGAGGCTCTCAATACATATTTGTTAAATGGATGAATGAATAGTCCTTATCTTTTCTTTCTCCATATTATCTGTGGAAGATCATCTCCATCCCCATAGCTTTAATTAACATGCGAAAACAACTTTTTACTCCAGCCAATCTTCTCTAGAGTTCCAAATCATGATGTCCAATTTGCTACAGGAAACCTCTAAGTGGATGTGCCAAAGGCCATCTGAACTAAAGAAATCCACAGTGGAACTAATTATTTCCTTCTCCCCATCTTAAACCAGCTCTTCTTCTAAGATATGACTTACAAAGCTTCCCAGGTGGCAATTTCCTTTTCCTTACTCCCTGTAAGTCACCAAATCCTACTGATTCTACCAAATCTGCCCATGTTTCCCCCTCATTCTGTCACTGTATATAGGAGGCTGGGGGAAGGTTCCATTTAGGCTAGGGCCATAATTGATATTTATATTCAGTGGCTGAGAAAAGCTGGGTGCAGTGGCATGTGCCTAGAGTCCCAGCCTGGGCAACATAGTGAGATCCCATCTCAAAACAATAGTAAAAGAAGATGAAAAAAGAAAAATGCTTACAGAGAAAATGAGGAAGTATGAAGCTAAGAGAAAAAGTACAGTCATGGTCTTTACTAAAGGCAGTGTCTATGTACGGTGGGGAGATATATACATTACACAACAGACAAGGCATTGAGGACTCTGTCCTTGGGTAAAGAAGAAATGTCTAAGTGCTACAACAATGTCATAAACAAGTGTTACTGGAAAAGAGGGTTTGGGACATACAGAAAGAAGTAGGTCTTGAAGCTGAGTCTTAAAGAACAAGTAGGAATTATCCATATCGAAAGGGGAAAAGGTCATTCAGGAAATACGATAAGCATGTGTAAAGACTCAGAGACAGAGAATTTGGGGATTCCAAGGTGTACATGAAAAACTGAACATGAATAAGATGGAACATGAGAGACTCATTAAGCTAAACTATGAAAGGCTCTGTATGAGTACACTGGATCCTCAAGGTTCTTGGTCACTGCTACATATCCAGAACCTAGGACAGTGTCTGCTACTTAATAAGTTCCAAGTCTAAAATTAAATAAAAAACGGGGAGTGTAGATTTCTGCTGATTACTCCAATTTCTGCCTACATAGAACTTCCTATAATGCCATTTTGTCAACTTGTTCATCAAGGAATACAACAGCAGCGTTGTCTCACCTATTAACTCCTACTTCTTGGAAATACTAAGATTTCCAAGTCTTAGTACATCAAGACAACACTATCAGATGCCACCCCCTATTAGTCTTCACTCCATGTTAACCTGTGGAACAGCTTGAAAACACTTCCTCATTGAGTGAGATGAAAAAAATACTAGTTCCTTTGCAGGCACTGCAAAAGGAAATCTGTCCCTGAAGGTGCAGTTCTTTTAACTTACAAAATCAACCCTAATTACTGAATATGCCATATGCCTTCATCACACATTCAAACCACTCTCTCCTGTCCCAAATCTGTTCCTCAGCTTGCCTAATTAAGTATATGGGTGAACACATTCTGCCAATTTTCAAGGCACAGCTTTGAAAGTCACCTGGTTATTTAATTAGAGAGCCACGTAGTAAACCACATTCTGGTTTAAAGAAAACTTGGAGGTGTTGGCCTCCACAGAGAAATTTAGCCCCTAGACATGCAAGCACTGCATTCTACTACAGAGGCTCCTGTAGCCAGGTCTAAAATAAAGCTATCCTGACAAACTATTTCAGGAAGGACTCACAGGGTAACTTTTCAGGTGGAAGTGCTGAACTCTGTCTAGCTCCACCCATTTATAAGTTAGGCTGAAAGACAGGTTAAACATGAGTCACCGAGTTCCTCCTCCCCACTAGCTAACCCATTCCACAGGAGTTAATATGTCCCAAGGCCAAGGCAGCCCATACCCCGTTTTTGGTATCTGTTCACTAGGAAAGACTTATTAACTTTATTATATAAAGGCTAGCTATAATCCATGCTTAAAGTTTGTACTTTGTTGTAGGTATTCAAATGTCTCTTCCAATGTCCACTTGGGAAATGTACATACTGAGAAAAAGTTTAAGTCTGGGAGTTTGCTGAAACTAGTATGCTCTCTGGCTTTATTGTTCCACCACCCTCCCATGCTCAGATAAACAGAAAAGTAGGGAAATTCGACAAGGGAGGCTTCAAAGTTATAAGAGGGATGCATGAATGTATTACCAATAGCCACTTCTTTCTCGGACTAGCTCCAGGCACCATGAACAAACCATGACCAAGTTAGGGATATGATGAGTAGTACAAAATTCCATTTAAATACAAGTGGACAATAAATTGAAAATATTATTCAAGTTAAGGCATGGGCATCTGAAATACAAAATGCATCACTGTGTTGTCTTTTGGGTGGTCTCAGGTACAAGCCACTGTAGGTCATTCAACAATGTGCAATCACTGGGAAGGAGAGTTAACTTCTTTTTTTCTTCTTCTTCTTTTTTTTTCTTGAGACAGAGGCTCACTTTATCGCCCAAGCTGGAGTGCAGTGGAGAGAGCTCAGCTCACTGCAACCTCCGCCTCCCAGGTTTAAGTGATTGTCGTGCCTCAGCCACCCGAGTAGCTGGGGCTACAAGCGCACAGCACCACACCCTGCTGATTTTTTTTGTATTTTTAGTAGAGACGGGGTTTCACCATGTTGGCCAGGCTGGTCTATCTCAAGTGATCCGCCCGCCTTGGCCTCCCAAAGTGCTGGGAATGCAGGCATGAGCCATCGCCGCCCCCGCCCCTCGCCCCCCTCCCCCCCAGGAGAGTTAACTTCTAAAAATTCAGCAGCTGGGAAAGCTAACAGAGCTAAGAAAGCTGGCTTAGAAAAACAATTAGGTAGTCTAGGAAGTGTCAGAACTCCAAAAAGTGATTGGAGGTACCCTATCCAAAGCAGGGAAGGATGTGGTGGAATAATAATAAATACTGGCTGGCCATGCATCCAAGTACTTTGGAGCAAGGAGGGCAGCAAACATGATTCTGAGGACGGGGGAGGATGAATCATAGCATGCCCCTAAAGGATGAGCCAGAGCAGAAGTTCTCAAACTAATTGGCATGAGAACTACTCGAATGCTTTCGGAAAAAAAAAAAAAAAAGACAGACAGACTGTTGGGCCTCCATTTCCACGTTTCCGATTCAACAGAACTGGGTGAAGCCCAGTAATTTACATTGCTAACAAGCTTCAAGGAGATGATGCTGCTGATTCAGAAGACATTTTTGGAACCAATACACCAGTGTATTAGATCAAAGTTCTTGGCCTTTAACTTATAACCAAGACAGTCTCAGAGCCCCAGTCAACTGAGTTGGGAAAGACTCCATTAAAGTGGCATGGACACTTAAAACTAGGACACTAGCCGGGAGCGGTGGCTCACGCCTGTAATCCCAGCACTTTGGGAGGCCGAGGCGGGTGGATCACAAGGTCAGGAGACAGACACCATCCTGGCTAACACAGTGAAACCCCGTCTCTACTAAAAATACAAAAAATTAGCCAGGCGTGGTGGCGGGCACCTTAGTCCCAGCTACTTGGGAGGCTGAGGCAGGAGAATGGCATGAACTAGGGAGGCGGAGCTTGCAGTGAGCCGAGATAGCGCCACAGCACTCCAGCCTGGGCGACAGAGTAAGACTCCGTCTCAAACAAAACAAAACAAAACAAAAAACAAAAAACAACTGGAAGGACACTTACAGGTGGAAAGGCAACATTCAGAACCAGAGAACAAGAATTGAGGAACAGAGAGAACTCATCAACTGTATCATAGTAGTAATTTACAATAATACAACGCTAACGCTGTGCTCAGTGCCTCATCTGCATTATTTTTCTTTATACTCAAAAAAAGACAATACAGTGAGGCAGGTATTGTATTACTACCTACATGTTTCCAGATGATGAAGCTGACACTAGAGACTTTAGGTAACTTGCTCCAAGTGACAGACCTAATAATAGCTGGATAAAACAGAAATCTTTGGTCTACTAGTCCATCACCCAGGACCAACACAAGTGGCTTTCCTCCACCTACTGATAACGCCTGTAACAATGCTTCTCCTCTCCTGGTCAAAACCACACTTTTAATGTCAATTTTAAATCTGCCCTTCCATAGTAGGATGATAATTTATGTTAACTCCTGAATTCACAAGCAATCCTAAAACAAGGTAAGTCTAAATACAGATAAGAGGTAGGTTAACTGATCTGCTGAGAACCAAGTTTGCTTGCTTATCTGCTATTTCGAGTCTCTGCACATCTAAAAATGCAAAGGAAACTCTTACCTAATTCTTGCATCTAGAATAGCCTTTCTCCAAATCCTGCCTTCTCCACTTACCTCAGAAGAATTGTTAGGATTAAATGGAAATAGGTACCGTGGTTTTTGCAGTTAAACTCAGTGAAATTAACTATTATATTTCCGTTATATAATGCTGTGTTGTAGGACCCAGAGCTCGTTAGAGAGGTGGAGCCTGGAGACCCAAGTTTGGCAGTTATTACCTCACTGGAGATAGTTCAAGTTATGGAAGGATCAAGAATGACAGATGAAGCGGGCACATGAGAAGCGAAGTGTCTTCAAGACTAAACACTAGACACTATCAGTATTTACAGGGCAAATAAATGAAAAAGAAGACGCTAATGAAATTTAAAACAAATAGTCAAAGGGATATAATGCCGGCAAGAGGCATAAGAGTGCAAGTAATTCAACTAACTTTTAATCAACTAGATCTCATTAATCCCACTCCCCTGACCCTGGGACCCGGGCACTAGGAAAGGGGCTTTGGCAAGCCCCAATGGACTCCAGAGGCTCTAAGTATAAAACGCAGTGCACAAGAAACAACACAGCACCAGCGTTGGTGCAGGATTTCAGACAGCTCCAGGAACTTCACAAGGAAGGTCAGCCGGTCCGCTCAGGCAGTCAGTTCATGGCAGCCCATTCCCTCCCCACCTGCTTGGACCTAGCCGCTCTCACACCCCTCTTGCGGGCCCGAGCGTAGCGAGAAGACCCACGCACACTCCAATGCCGCTCACAGCCGTATCAGTGAGCCCGCACCCACTCCTGGGGGTCTTTTACTTCCCACCCGATCCGGCGACCCGCCACCCCCACTCCGCGTCTCTGCCTGCGGGGACTCCACGGAGTTCGATAATTACCTAGAGCTCCACCGCGCCGCCATTACACCGGACGTACGTCACTTCCTCTTCCCGAGCACCGACGGTAGGAAGAAGGCGAATAGTGAAATATTTAAAAACTTGACGCTCAATTGGCTTGACACGTTATCCCTTTAATTTATTTCAAATACCATATCATAATACCAGAGTCAAAGTAGTCGATCCAGGCACACTGTCTTGTTGCCAAAATGGCGACAAAAAAGAGAAGTTGGCATGAACTACAAAGTCCGAAATCCAGCGCCTGTGCTGACGGAAATGAGGAAAGCATAATTGTAGTTTAGCGTGAAATGGCGCGGTGTACGATGGGAATTGTAGTTCATACAGATGCGCGCCAGCGAGTTAACATCCACGCTGCTCACTGGCAGCCTAGTAGTGTTCAGGGTCTAGCCGAATTTACTTTAAAACTATTTCACTGCATTTTGGGGAAATTTTTTTTAAAAAAGCAGTCAGTTGTCACTTTCCTTGAAAAATCTTAAGAGAGAGATTTTCCTGAGACTTTATAAGAGTTTGACCAACAGTTAAGTGCCTAATAAATTCCAAGATATCCAGGCCATAAGAATGGGAGAATATTAAATCATAAATAGAGTGAAATAATGAGGAAAAACTAATTCTATAGAGACTGTGTTGCCTCTCTTTTAGGTTAAGGTACCAACTGGTATGACCTGAGAATAAAGAGATTGCCTGGCTGAGTAGGAAGTAGCAGTTTGTACAGCGTGCAGAACTAGGGCATCAAACAGTTTCTTTAAACTTCACTTTTCACTAGTAACAAAACCTAAAAGTTCAACTACTTGCTATTTTGGAAACTCTCTTCCTAAACCAAGAATATCTTTATGTTATCAAATCTTTCATAAACCAGGACTGGTTTCTCCACACACTTCTCTATTACAGTTTTAGGGTGCTGTGCTTCCACTCCTTTCTGGAGGCAGAGTGTGATGATTAAGAATAAAAACACTGCAGTTGGACTACTTATTTTGAATCTTGAGTCCTTTTATTATTTATGGATGACTGGGGCAAGTAACTTCACATTCTGTGGCCGTTTCCTGATCTGTTAAATGGAAATACCAATAGTATCCATCCAGGCAGTAGTTTTAAGAATTGAATTAGTTGATACACAAGATGCATTTAAGATAATTGCTAGTATACAATAGTGTTATCTATTTTATTTCATATTTAAGATATTTGGCCATTGTTGATGGTGCATTTTGGTGCACCAATACAGGGCACAGGAGATGGATCTGGAGATGAACATTTGTATTCATATATTTAAAAACCCACAATACTACCGGTGATGGTTAATTCTGAATGTCAACTTGATTGGATTGAAGGATGCAAAGTATTGATCCTGGGTGTATCTGTGAGGGTGTTGCCAAAGGAGATTAACAGTTGAGTCAGTGGACTGGGGAAGACAGACTCACCCTTAATCTGGTGGGAACAATCTAATCAGCTACCATCGAATATAAAGCAGGCAGAAAAATATGAAAAGGCAAGACTGGCCTAGCCTCCCAGCCTATATCTTTCTCCCATGCTGGATGCTTCCTGCCCTCAAACATTGGACTCCAAATTCTTCAGTTGTGAGACTCAGACTGGCTCTCCTTGCTCCTCAAGCTTGCAGACAGCCTATTGTGGGACCTTGTGATTGTGTAAGTTAATACTTAATAAACTCCCCTTTTTATATATATATCCTTATATATAGATATATATATTAGGATATATATATAAGGATATATATAAAAAATAGGATATATATGTAATAGGATATATATACGTGTGTGTGTGCGTGTGTGTGTATCTATCTATCTATCTATCTATCTATCTATCTATCTATCTATATCCTATTAGTTCTGTCCCTCTAGGGAACCCTGATGAATATACTACCTCTACAACTATCAACAGAAATAGGAAAGTTAGGGTTGAGCAGAGGAGAACTAGATGGAGCTGGAAAAGAATTGGATTTGTCAGTTGGGTCCTTCAGGAAGCAGACACTGAGAAAGAGTTATGAATAATAAAGGTGAAAGGAAAATGGAGGAAATAGTAGCTCCAGAATAAAGATGAAGAGGCCTACAATGGGATGAAATGGCTAGGCCCTTGTACCAGTTTTGCTCAGTCACTGGCTAGAGCCACCCCAAGAAGAGTGTGGCCTCAACTAAAAACCCAAGGTGGACATGAAGATTCAACAGTTGAAGGCTGTCACCTAACCACACTGCTTGCAGCTAGGCTACAAGCAAGTCCTTTCTTGAAGAGGTATCTGAGCAGCATCTCTCTGTGCCTGTCACAGTCTCCATACACCCAGTCTCCATACACCTTTCAGGAACAACTTTTCCAGGGTTCTAGTGCACATTTCTTCCTAAAAAAAATTTAGAAGTGGCAAGTTAGTGAGACAAACTACACTCCCCATCTTTGGGTCCTGAGGCCACACTGAATCCATTGCCTCTCTTCTCCACTATTCATTCTAAATTTCCCTTGCTGTCAGCTACTGCTCTACTGCTCTCTATGGTAAACTGGTGGTGTAAAAATCCTAATTCCTGGGAAGTCTGAGCGCCTGGTAGTGATCTTCTTTTCAGGCAGGTGCTGCTGCATTTTTTCATTGATGGTCACTATAAGGTAAGGGATTACCAAGAGATGCTAAAGTGGATCGCCTAAGTACCACATATATTCTTACTTGCTCCCATTGTGTAACAGCAAGCGTATCTCCTCCTGCTGTTTGGATTTAGCTACCTCTGACAAAGCATTGATTCCTTTCTTGCCTACTAGCCCCTGAACTCTAGAAGTCCTGTGTTTCCAGGCACCTGCTGAGCTTAGTTCAGTGGGACACTGTGTCCCCTAGCAAGAATATATCACCTTTGGGGATTAGGACCACCAATTCCACAGAGCTCAGAGTTGCAGGAATGGGAAATACTATGTCCCACCGCAGGTCATTGGGAAAAATGGTGAGTTAGGTTACATTCCTGTTTTCATCCCTTGTTTCCTGGATCCAAGTGTTGTTCTTACTAGGGACCCTGCATCCTGAGAGACAGTACCTCATTCTTGCAGAATATTGTCTTCTAGCTGATACTTTAACTGAATCTTCAGCAGGTCATTCCAGTGCTCTATTAGGCCACCAGCTTCTGGGCATGCAGCATGTGATACATCCAGTGGAACCCATGGTCACAGGCTTGTACCACCTTTGCTATGAAGTAAGTCCTGCTTGGATGTTATGTTGTATTATATTCCACACCTGTGGATCAAGCATTGTGGAAGTCCACAGATACTGGTGCTGGATGAGTCTTGGTGAGTATAAAATGTGAATGCATACCCCAAATAAATATTCCCATAAAATTGAACTGCTAGAATGGAAAGATCTCAATGTAGTCTACTTACCACCAAGTGTCTACTTGATCTCCTAAAGATACGGTGTCAAATTAAGGACCAGTCTCACAGGTTAAGCATTCAGATGAGGCAGTAAGTAAGTAGATCAGCTGTGGTAAGAGGGCTTTGTGCTGATGGGCCTGTGCACATATTCCATTTTTGCCACCCTGGCCATTTTGTTCATGTGTCAATTTTACCAGCACTTGAGGTAGCCACTAATAAAGACAGGTTGACATCAACTGAGTAATTTTTCTACTTTTTTTTTTAGTGCTTACTCCATAGATTATACTTTCTTGTGGACATTGATGTGTGATAAAAATATCTTCACACTTTTTGCTCACACCAATGTGTATATCCACATTCCTCCAAGACCCTCAGGATTCTTTATTTGTGATCTTCTAAACTCATTATTTTCAGGCCTCTGACCAGCCAGCCAGGATGTTTGTCATTTCCTGTAAGTATATTTATATTCTAACCCCGGGCAACTTCTCCCTCTACAGAAAGTGGATGACAAGGTGCATCATCCAAAGCTTTGCCCACTAGGAAGACTGTTTCTCTTCACTGTCTTCAAGGCTATTCTTTAATGAGATTGTAATATAAGCTGCTGCCCAATTTCAGCTTTCATCCACATACTTGGGCAACCCATTCGTAAACTAAGCTCAGCCATTTTTTTTCTTTCTTTAGCTTATTGATCAAGACCACACCTCTGCTCCATATGGTCACCAATATGAGCTGAAGGAGTATTGATGCAACTCTAACAGTGATGTAAGAGTGTATGCTGTCTAATCCTATAGATTGATTGTGATCTTCTTTGTGCTTCATCCCAAATGTAATTCTTTTATCTTACGATGGATTACAGTTCAGCTTCCCAGAACTTATAACCTGGTGTGTCCAACAAGCCAATTTTTTTTTTTTTAGATGGAGTCTCGCTCTATCGCCCAGGCTGGAGTCAAGGTACATTTTGTTTTGTGTCACTTAGTGTCCCACAGTAAGCATTTCCTCTTTACCAGTAGCATTAGAAGGGCCATTTTTCGAAAGACTTGCAGCCTTCATCTAGATCCCCAGGCACCTGAACTGTGATTTTCCCACTGAGATTTCTATAAACTCCATACTACATCTTTTTCCACCACTGACACCTCTAACATCATAGGATCTGCCAGATCATATAGCCCATTGTCGAGGCTATTTTCACTACAGCTCAATCCTGCTGTAGAACCCTTTCCTGTGCCAGGCTGCAAAATTGTCAGCTTTTTATGTCACCTGGTTTATGGATGAGAAAAATATTTCTAGGTGTAGAGTATGTGGCTTACAGAACCCAAAGCAGCCTCCTAGGCGTTGTGCTTTTTCCTTTTTCATATTGGAGGTAAGATGCTGCCATTTGTCTTGTATTTTGGAGGGGATATCCTAGCACTCCTCTGAACAATGGGCCCTTAATGTCTTTAATAAAGAACCAGGTCCCTCCATGATTCTTCCAAGGGTTCATTTCTCACTCTCTGGAGCACAAACCTTGAGCATGCTAATAACCTCTCGCTAAACGTGTTTGATCAGCATGATGTCATGATGTAATGAATCAATATAATATTCTACAGGATTTCCAGATGATTCCTATCTCTTTGGACTGTAAGTGTGAGTAGGAAACTTAATATAGTCCTGGGGAAAAGTTTCAATGTATATTGATATTATATTTCATATGGACATGAACTATTTATTTCATATGGACATGAACTATTTTAAATTGTCTTGCTTGATTGGGATAGAAAAGAATGAATTCTCCAAACCGATAGCTGCATACCATATACCTGGAGCCATATTAGCCTGCTTTATCAATGATACTATGCTTGGCATGTCAATCGCAACCGGGGCTGCTACTTTGTTAAATTTTTGGTAGTCTACAATCATTCTTCTATTATAGTTCATCTAGTTTCTGCTAAGGCCAGACTGTTGAATTAAATGGAGATATGATGGAAACTATCAACCCTGCATCTTTTTTATTTTTTTGTTTGTATTTTATTTTTTATGTATATTTTATGGGTATCATTAATCTGCACCATTTTCTAGGCACATTATATTGTTTTAGATGTTGTCTCTTGGGCAAGAGAGGCAGTTTTAAAGACTTCTTTTTAGCTTTGCTCACTATGATAGCTCTTACTCCATAGGCCAAGAACAATACATGGAAGTTGCTCCAACTGTGAAATATGTCAGTCCCAATTAAACACCTGAAGATGGAGTAAATGTCCACTGGGTTGATTTGTGAACCCAGTGGACTCATTGTGAGCAGACTCTGAACAGACTCATGGACATGACTCATGGCCTCCGTATGCTTTCATTTCGAAAGGAGAGTCATGATGTTTCTTCAGATCTTTAGGTATCAGTGTTAATTCTGATCCTGTGTGCAATAGTTCTCAGGAAGTGTGGGTACTCCTTTTCCGAATGTACGGTCATTCAAGTATGTAGAAATGGATCTCTTTGGGGAAGGACTAGGGGAATCATTACATGTCATACTTGACTTGATATCACAGGATATTTCTTCCTGAGACCCAGACAAGTCTCGATAGCTTGACAACTGGCACAGATCCAGGAAGTGGGCAAGATATTGTGACTTTTTATTGGTGTGACCACCCTCAGCCCCCTGTTCATCCATTCTTTCCTTTAATTGCATGTATCAAGCAGCATCCTCATTGGAAGCCCATGTATTTTGCTCCTAGTGACACTATGTTTTATTAACTGTCTTCACAATTCTCTCTTAGCTGCTGCTCTGACATTGTTGGGCACAATGATAATTGTGACCCACCCCACCCCCAGCATTGAGGATTAAGTTTTACTTCAACCTCTCTTGCTCTTGGGCTCCATGATCCTCATTGTTACTAAGGAGCCAAGTTCTATGACAGCCTCTCCTACAGTCAGCACTGACCTGTTGAGAAGAGCCAGTGCTGGATGTCTTGGTGATGTTGGTGCCCCGCTTACTAGCAAATTCCTGATGACCTTGGGGAATGATGTGTCCTCATGGCCTCCTGTGGAAAATAATTTTTTCTAGTAGGCTTTCTGATCTCACATCCACTCCAGCATATCCGCTTTCCTGGTCCTCTTACTGCCTTCCTCCATTGTCCGCAATGACAATTTAGGCATTTCAGTTTTCCTCAGCATGGGCCATCACTTTCTCCAGGTGTCTAGAGGTACCCTAGCAGCAAATTTGCTCTACCTCCTCAGATCCTTTCCAGCGAGTTTAATCTTATATCCCAAGAGAGTGCCCCAATGTCAATAAATTCTTATTTATCTGGTATTATGTTCCAGTACTATTTACCAGTGAAGTATTTTAGCAGCTGGGCTACTATATTGTGCCAGGGACTAACTGTGCCCCATATGCCACCTGCAGTGGGCTCTTGTTTGTCATTCAGATAATGAGGGGTCCAGTGTCAAAGTCTCAACTTACCACTTGTTTTTTTTTTTTTGAATCATTCCTGGAATCACTGTATCAATTGGATCCTCTAAGAAGCAGATACTGAGATAGAAACAGGGGTGTCAAAAGTGTATTAGAAAGTAATACCTGTGAAAGGAAAAGACAGAAAGCAAGATTGAGCAGAAAAACTCAGCAGATCATGATGAAATCTGACAGGTCTTTGAAAGCCCAACAGAGAGGTCCAGAGTAAGGATTGCCTGTTAGAAGAGTCTTACATTGGGTGAAATTTTAGGCCATTTAATATAGTTTGGATGTTTGTCCCCTCCAAATGTCAGGTTTAAATGTGGTCCCCCTTCCCCGACCAAGGTTGGAGGTGGGGCCTGATGGGAGGTGTTTGGGTTATGGCAGCAGATCCCAAATGAATGCCTTAGTGCCCTCCCCACAGAAATGAGTGAGTTCTTGCTCTGTTAGTTCATGTGACAGCTGGTTGTTTAAAAAACAAAACAAAAAAAAAAGGAGTGTGCCCCCTCCTGCTCTCTTTTGCTCTCTCTCTTGCCATGTAACCCGCCTGCTCTCCCTTTGCTTTCTGCCATGAGTAAAAGCTTCCTGAGGCCTCACAAGAAGTCAAGAAGATGCCCGTCCCCTGCTTATACAGCCTGCAGAACTGTGAGCCAAATAAACTTCTTTTCTTTATAAATTATCCGGTTTCAGGTATTCCTTCATAGTGATATAAAACAGACTAACACATCATTATACCACATTCTTGCTTGATCTTTGGCTGGGGTGACCCCAAGAAGAGTATGACCCGGGCCCTGAGGCAGATCTGAAGGAGTTAACAGCTGGAGGCCACAAGTCTGAACATCGGAAGGGTGCATTTCTATGCCTGCCACAATAGGTATTAGCATAGGGAGATGCTAGAAGTAATTAGATATGTTTGGTATGCTCCATATTTTTAAACTAGCTCAACACTATTATAAGAGTTGCATGGGAAGAACTGTCAAATCAGAAGAGATACTCAGCCTCCCCTAGGTTCAGTTAATATAAACATTTCAGAGATTTTAGATTTTAAGGGAAGACTCTGGAGAGTTATCACTGCCCTCACTGTTTATATTAAGTTCTCACTTTATAGGAAGTGTTGATTAAACACTTATGAAATGCTAATGGAAAATTTTATTCTGACTCATTCTGATAGTATTGGTATTATAATAAATCGATCACAGCTATTCAGCCTAATTCTCAAGCAGATTTCTGTTTCCCTCTGAAGCTTGCCTAAAACAACAGGCTAGGCTTTGTTTCTCCAGAGAATATAATCTCAGAGCGCTGCAGAAAAGACTGTGCTAGGTACTCTGAACTATGGATATTTCAAAGAATAGTCTTGAGTATAATCTTCCAAGATAAGATTGCTTAGAAAACTTTCAGGCTGTACTAGTGGACAAAGTCAGGATTTCCAGAACCCCTTTCTGTTCAGAAGCAGTTATGCTTTATCAAATCCAACTGCTTGATCCAAGGCCCAGTGGACTAAGAATTAATTACAGCATACTTAAGCTAATGAGGGAAATTTTAATGTGGTTTATTCAGAATATTTTTGGCATTAATTTTATGGTCTATCTTTTCATAGATACATAACAGATTCTTTTTCTTCTGAAGCTATCTTAAATCCTCAATTAAGTAGACTCTTGGTGTTTTGGGGTTTGATTTTCACTGACATATAAGAATTGAGAAAATTATTTTTACAAGTCTCTTTACTTTTTCATAGCAATATAATTTTTGCATAGGATAAATAAGAATATGTCTTCATTTTTACCAGGGTATAATTGGACAAATCAATTTTGCAATAAGACTGTATTTGGAGTGTTACATTTGAAAATAATTCTCATTTAAGTATATACGAACAAGAGTTGACTTTATATGTGGAGACCAGCTCATAAATGACACCAGCTGTTGTCGTTACTGGGAAGGTCAGTAAGCTGAATAACGACCATTTCCTTGGAGACCAAGGCACCCAGGGACATTGAACTCATCAAAGAAGTCTCACTAATCCCTTTTCCTGTAAAGTTCAGATGCTACTTTGGAGAGGAGGCGGGAAAGGATGGATTGGACACGCTAGAAGCTTTACTGAAATACCTCAGCATCAGTTAGAGTTTTTGTTGTTGCTGTTCAGTGGGGAGGGCAGTACTTACCCTCAAGGGGGTGTTTGGAAATGTATAAGGTCAGTTAAGGTTGCCCCCATGCCAGGAGAGGCAGCTGCTGCCATTTTGTAGGGGAAGGAAGTAGGGTAAGGGAGAAAGTGTGCTGTTAAATCTTACAGTCCATTGGATTTAGGGAAATGGGTTAATAGATTTCTTTTCCTCCCGTTTGCACAACCCAGTGGGTGGAGCTCTTAAGGAAGATAGATTTGTTTAAACAAAATAAAGAATTACGTTTGTGTCCCAGATCCAATTTGTAATATGGCTGGTTCTGTTAGTTACAGGTATATTTAAAAGCACAATTAATCCAAATGCAATTATATCCATATTTTTTAAAGCTGGGAGTATAGATTCCTAGAGGGAACAAAACATACTCTTTAATTTTTTGTTTTAAGATATGTTTTTTTGCACGGCACCTAAATTTCAGAGGATCGCGTTAGTCACACTGAAAAGCTAAAGCTTTGACTCACTGATTTGTCACTTAATTCATATCATATGTTGAATGTTTTAATGAGTCTCCAGTGCTTATGCAACCCACATGTAATAACTTAAAAGTGCTCTTGGAACTATTTCTGACAGTTTCTACAAAAACACTTTAATTGGGGTAGCCAACAGCTTTTAACTGCCATAGGGGATGTTTTGATATGAGAGATGGGTGGGAACAAAAGCAACAACAAAAAACCCACTAAGAAGGTTCTCTTGCCTTGCCCCTAGCCCACCCCCCACCTGTGCTTTTCTTCCTGATGCTGTTTCCAAAAAAACAGTCCTTCTCAGACCAATGTTAATATTTCCAGAAAGTAAATAGTGCCTTCTTCTGTAAGTGAAAGCACAAGCAGGAGAAAACAGTTTACAGGAGAGAGAAGGTAGAAATGAAGAGGAAAATAGATTTAAGGGTAGAAAAGAGCAAAACGGAGTGTGGAAGCAATGAAGAAAAAGAAAGTGGAGAATGAAAACAAATGAAATGGTAGGAAGAATTGACATTTCTGAGTCACAATCCAACAGGAATGATCAATAATGATCTTGTGGTGCAAGCAAGAGACAGGAATCTTTGTTTAGTACCTTAGAGTTGATTGTGTTGTATGCTGTGTGCTAGACTCCCGGCACCACCTGGGCCCCTGGGAAGCAGAGGCAGCACACTGGGCCTGGCTGTAAATGTTGGTCTCTGTGAGGGAAGCCAAGGAGACCGATTCCCAGTGGAACATGGTGGCTATAACATGGTGTTCAATGCCAGGTTATCTAAGTTTAAATTTGTCAACTGTATTAGTTATTGGTTGCTGCACAACACATTAAAACAACATTTATTATCTCACAGTTCCTGTAGGGTGAAAATCCAGGTATAGCTTAGCTGGGTCCTCTGGCCCACCCTTGGCCTCTCACAAGGCTGCAGTTAAGGTGTGGGCCAGGGCTTTAGCCACCTCAATGTTCAACTGGGAGGGGATGGCATCTGCTGTAGTCTATATGCTTGTGTCATCATAAAATTCACATGATGACATGCTAACCCCCAAGGTGATGGTATTAGGAGGTGGGGTCTTTTGAGAGGTGATTAGGTCATGAGGGCCAAGCCCTCGAGAATGGAATTAGTGCCCCTGTAAGAGAGGCCCAAGGCAGCTTGTTTGCCTCTTCCACCATGTGAGGATGCGGCAAGAAGGTGCCCTCTATGAGGAACGGACACTCACAAGCCACCAAATCAGCTGGTGCCTTGATATTATATTCCCCAGCTTCCAGAGCTGCGCAAAATACATGTTATTGTTTATAAACCACCCAGTTTAAGTAATTTTTGTTTTATCAGCCCAAACTAAGACAGCTTTCAAGTTCACTCATGTGGTTGTTGGCAGGGCTCAGGTTCTTGCTGGCTGTTGCCCAGGGACATTGGCTCCATGCCACTGATGTGGACCTCACCCTAGGACAGCTCACAACATAGCAGCTGACTTCCATCAGGGTGAACAAGTGAGAAAGGGCATAGCCTAGTCTCGAAAGTGACATCCCATTATTTTTGCCATATTACATTTGTTAGAATCAAGTCGCCAGGGTCAGCCAATGTTCAGGGGTAGGGAATAACCCAAGGGCATGAATATAGTCACCCTTCTATAGTCACTCGTTCTGTATCTGTGGATTCAACCAACCGCAGATAAAAAATATTCTTAAAAAAACAAAAATAACAGTGCAACAACAAAAAATAATGTAGGTGGGCATAATGACTCATGCCTGTAATCCCAGCACTTTGGGAGGCCAAGGCAAGTGGATCCCTTGAGGCCACTCTCTCATCCCCTGGATACTATGAACCATATCACAGTGGGGTGTACACCCCCCCGTGATATGGGGAGTAATATCACCCTCTCCCCATCTGGATATTACGAACTATATTACGGGGGGCGTGTACACTCCCCGTGATATGGGAAATAAAATCACCCTCTCCCCCCACTGGATATAACAAACCGTATCACAGGAGGGTGTACACACCCCGTGATATGTGGAGTAATATCACCCTCTCCCCCTACTGGATGTTACAAACCATATCACAGGAGGGTGTACACCCCCCGCGATATGGTGAGTAATATCACCCTCTCCCCCACCAGATATTACAAACCATATCACAGGGGGGTGTACACACAGGGTATTTACTCTTTTGGGAGTAATATTATCTCCCTTCATGGATATTACAAACAATATCACAAGGGGATATACACCTTCTGTGATATTGAAAGTAATATCATCCTCTCCCCCCTGTATAATAAAAACAATATTACGAATATTATCACAGGGTGTACACATATGGTGTACACCCACTGTGACATTAGAGGTAACATCCCCCTATAATTATGAGTAATATCACAGGGTGTATACACATGGTGTACACTTACTGTGAAATTAGGAGTAACATCCCCTAAGATACTAGGAATAATATCAGGTTGTACACTCACAGTGACGCTAGTAGTAACATCCCCCTATAATAGTATGAATAATATCACAGGGTGTACAGCCCCTATGACATTACTAGTAACATTCCCTTAGGATATTATGAATAATATCACAGTATGTACAACCCCTTTGACATTAAGAGTAACATCCCCCCAAATATTATGAATAATATCTCAGGGTGTACACATTGTTTGACATTTGGAGTAATATCTCCATAAGGTATTAGGAATAATATCACAGTGTATACACCCCCTGTGACATGAGGAGTAATACCTTTTTAGGATGTTACGAATAATATCACAAGGTGTACACTCCCTGTGACATTAGGAGTAACATCCCTGTAATATACTATGAATAATATCACAGGGAGTACACACCCTGTGACATTAGGAGTAACATCCAAGTAGGATACTATGAATAATATAACAGGGTTTACACCCATGTGACATTAGTAGTAACATTCCCCTAGGATATTACAAATAATATCACAGTGTGTACACCCATTGTGATATTAGGAGTAATATCTTCCTAGAATATTACAAGTAATATCACAAGGTATACACCAACTGTGATATTAGGAGTAATTTCTCCCTTGGATACTATGAATATCATCACAGGGTGTACACCATGTGTGTACACCCACTGATATTAGAAGTAATATCTCCCTAGAATATTATGAAAAATATCACAGGGTGTACACCCACTGTGATATTAGAAGTAATAACTACCTAGGATATTATGAATAATATCACAGTGTGTACACCCCCTGTGACATTAAAAGTAACAAACTTCTAGAAAATAACAAATAATATTACCATGTGTACACCACCTGTAACATTATAAGTAATATCACCTTAGGATATTATAAATAATATTACAGGAGGTACATTCTTTGTGACATTAGGAGTAACATCACCCTTGGATATTATGAATAATATCACAGGATGCACACCAATTGTGATGTTAGGAACAACATCCCTCTAGGATATTACCAGTAACATCACAGGGTGTACACCTTCTGTGACATTAGGAGTAACATCCATCTAGGATATAAAGAATAATATCACAGAATGTACACTCCCTGTGACATTGGGAGTAACATCCCCCTAGGATATTACGAATAATATCGCGGGGTGTACACACCCTGTGACATTAGGAGTAACAATCCTCTAAAATATTATAAATAATATTACAGAGTGTACACCCCCTGTGACATTAGGAGTAACAACCTGCTAGGATATTATGAATAATATCACAGCATGTACACTCCCTGTGAAATTAAAAGTAACATCTCCCTAGGAAATTATGATCAATATCACAGGTTGTATACCCCCTGTGACATTAGGAGTAACAGCACCCTAGAATATAATGAATAATAGCACAGGTTATACATCACTTGTGACATTAGGAGTAATATTCCCCAATGATATTATGAATAATATCACAGGGCGTACACACACTGTGACACTAGGCATGATATCCCCCTAGGATATTACTGCTAATATCACAGGTTATACATGCACTGTGATATTAGGAGTAATATCTCTCTAGGATATTATGAATAATATCACAGGGTGTACACTCACTGTGATATTAGAAGTAATACATCCCCAGGATATTATGAATAATATCACAGGTTATACACACAGGTTGTACAACCACTGTGATATTAGTAGTTAAATCTCCCTAAAATATTACGAATATTTTCACAGGGTGTACACATATGGTGTACACCCGTGGTGACATTAGAAGAACATCCCCCTATAATTATACAAATAATATCACAGGGTGTACACACATGGTGTACACTTACTGTGAAATGAGGCATAACATCCCCGTAGGATTTTACAAATAATGCCACAGGGTGAACACACATGGTGTACACCAACTGTGACATTAGGAGTAATATCCCCCTAGGATATTACAAAAAATGTCACAGACTGTATACACATAGTGTACACCCACTACGACATTAGGGGTAACATCCACCTAGGATATTACAAGTAATATCACAGGATGTACACCCACTATGACATTAAATGTAACATCTCACCAGGATATTATAAATAATATCACAGGGTGTGTACATACATGGTGTACACTCACTGTGACATTAGGAATAACACCCCTCTAGGATATTACTTTTAGTATCACTGGGAGTACCTACACATTGTGAACACTCACTGTGACATTAGGAGTCACATCCCCCTAATGATATTATGAATAATAACACAGGATGTACAAACATCGTGTATGCCCACTGTGACATTAAAAGTAACATCACCTAAGATATTAATATCACAGAGTGTACACCCACATAACACCCCCTAGGATATTACAAATAATATCACAGAGTGTACACACATGGTGTACACCCACTGTGACATTAGGAGTAACATTTTTCTAGGATACTACGAATAATACCACAGGGTGTACACACATGGTGTACACACACTGTGACTTTAGGAATAATATTCCCCTAGCATATTATGAATAATATCATATTAAACATTATTATTATAATTATTAATTGTTATTATTTGTATTATCCAAGGGAGATGTTACTTCTAATACCACACAGGGTACAGCCCCAGTTATATTATTCATAATATCCTACTGAGATATTACATCTAATGTCGCGGTGGGTTTACACCTTGTGATATTATTCATAATATTGTAGGGAGATGTTACTCCTAATGTCACAGTAGGTGTACACCCGGTGAAATTATTCAAAATATTCTAGGATAAGTTTACTCCTAATTCCAAGGTAGGTATTGCAAAGGACTGCACACTCCCTCACAATGTGGGGAGTAATATTGCCCTCTCCCCCCTGGATATTACAAACCATATCGTGGTCGGGGGTATACACCCTACTTCCCCATGATTTGGGGAGTAATATCACACTCCCACCCCGCCCCCCGGATATTACAAACCACTTCGCGGGGTCGGTGTATAATACCCCCCGCCGCGATGTGGGGAGTGATATCACCCTCTCTCACCCTGGATATTACGAACAACCTCGCGGGGGGTGGTGGTCCATAATATCCGGGTGGGGGGAGAGGCTGATATCACTCCCCACATCGCGAGGGAGGGGATGTACACCGCCCGCCGCCACGCGAGGTGGTTCGTAATATCCAGTGGGGGAGAGGGTGATATCACACCCACATCGCGGGGGGTGGGAGGGCATGTACACAGGATATTATGTTGGTTGAGGTTACTGACTCTGAGGCAAGGCGGCCAGAATATGTACCTTGGCTCTGCCACTTACTGCCCCGTTTGATCTTGATCAAGTTATTTAGCATTTTTTTTTTTACCTGTTTTCCTACCTTTAAAGCAGGAATAATAATATTCCCTAGATTATATGAGATAATCTGTGAAAATGTTTAGAACATGTTAGTTCAAAAATGTCTGGCTCAATAAATATGAGCATACTATTTTTAGCTGGTTGTTGCTCACTTTTCTCCACAAAAAGACTGTTTCTGACTTTTCTAGTCATCACCTATTATCATCTTGTAAACACTTCATCTGGTTGCTGTTTGCTTTCTACTTTAGTTATGCCTCAAAGATTGGCATGACTCCTAACCTTTAATTGCCTATAGCACAGCTGTAGCATTTTATAAAAACTTTACTCAAGCTTATTATGAGATGATATATGCATAGATAAGCATATATGAGACTATAATTCAAAAAAGGAAATCCTAAAACAAAGAGGCACCGTTTCTCCTAGAGTTCAATAGTCATGCCCTTCCAAAGAGGTTCCCTAGCAGCCCATCCCTGTTCTTTGTTTCACTTTGCTGCCGTGATCCAGGGTTTGCTTTATTTTCCCTCAGGAGCCGGGCCCCCACTCCAACCCCAAACCAGCCAATATCATCATAATTTCTACATAGATAACACTTGTTCATAAAGAAAACAGAACAGATTTCTTTCTCCTTGTCTCAAGCATTTCCATAGCCAGTTTCTCCTTTGCTTTGCATAACCTGAAAGCCCAGGAAATGCATTTTTACTAAAGAGCTGTCTTTCCTCAAATATAAATATCCTGCCACACGTAGAACAAGAAACACAAATTTCAATCTGATTTCACCTATACTGAACTACATCCAACAAACCCTCATTATAGTTTGTATCACAATTCCTGGATTAGTATTTCAGGGTAGAAAAAGGTGAGGAAGATAATGAATCAAATTCATATCCCAGTAACTTTTATTCTGCATTGGGTCCAAGTCTCCTTTTCTAAGGAGACAACTGAGTGTCTGATCTCTGAAGACAAGTATCAGTTACCATGTCTTTTCATAATAGCCTGTTCTCGTGAGTAAACACCTTCACTTTCTCTAACACATTGAATAAACTAGGAAAACCACTCCTTAATTCTACCAGCTCATGAGCTCTAGGTGAGTTGGAATTTATTGTTTTGCTGGAAGTAAAGCATTTCTTGAACATTTGCCTGGATTCTCAATGTATTTTGTTAGGAATGGTACTCCCATTCCAGAAAAAGGAGCATGATGCTGGGGTTACATTTGAGAGCTTCCATTCAGGATGATTGATTTGTGGTGCAGAATCAGCTGTTAGAGTCTTATAATACCAATGTAGTAAACCAAAGGCCTTCCAGCATTGCAGCAAAGGCTGTTGGTGGAATGGCACTGGGGAAGTGAAAGTGGCCCCGCAGAGATGGAATGACATTTGAACTAACCTCTTCAGTCTGATGGGATGGAATCCCTGGATCCTATCCCATCTCAGTGTAAGAGGGAAGCCGCCTCCTTTCTCCTTTGCAAAGCAAAGGAGAAACTGTGTATGGAAATGCTTGAGACAAGGAGAAAGAAATCTGTTCTGTTTTCTTTATGAACGAGTGTTATCTCTGTAGAAATTATGATAATATTGGCTGGTTTGGGTTTGGGGTGGGGGCCTGGCCCCTGAGGGAAAATAAAGCAAGCCCTGGATCATGGCAGCAAAGTGAAAGAACAGGGATGGCCTGCTAGGGAACCTCTTTGGAAGGGCATGACTACTGAACTCTAGGAGTTCTATAACTTTTGTTCTGAGCAAGCAGCATTTGAGCCTGTGGAATCCAGGCATTCTAGAAAAAGATGAGAAGAATAGTATCACTGAAGAGTAAGGAAATTACAGGAAGAAGCTTCTGAAGCTGAGTAAAAAGAACAGTTTTTACAGATTAACATTGTCAAATTTAACAAATAAAAGTATAGGACACTCACATTTTAATTTGGGGTAAACGACAAAAATGTTTAGTATGTCTCACACAATATTTGGAACAACTTTATACTAAAAAAATTTGTCTGAAATCCCAATTTAACTGGGCATTCTGTATTTAATTTGGCAATCCTACTACAATGAAAACCTGGAAATCTACCCCAAAACTAGATTTACTCATAATAATTTAAGGGTTCTTAGAGAGGATGCCTTCCATGCAGCTAGAAGCTGAAGGATATGAGGGAACAATTACATCAATTTCAATACCTCAGTCCTTGTTTGCCTACAGTATGGGGATGGTGAGATTGAAGAAGCGGACAGTTGGAGTATAGTACGTCTGTATGCAAATGATGAAAGAGGGAGAGTGTGGAAAGACAGATTTTACACTTTTTTAAGTGATTAAGGTTGCAATGACCAGATTTCTATAATTACTGTATTCTTCCTGCCCTCCGACAACCACGTTTGATCTGTGTGACACAGTGGTTGGGACTATAGTTTGAGACAGAGGTAGGCACTAGTCCCAAGCTGATACAACTACATTCTTCTGTTAACTTGGAATTGGGCAGAAAAGAAGACTAGATAGACTTGGAGGAACATGCAAACTTGGGGACAGTGAGATAGTCATTCTCTACAGGTTATATAGACAATATAAAAAGCCAATCTCTAGAGGAAGCAGAATAAAATAGACATGCAAAAAGGAATAAAGACAAAATATTACATGCTGCCAGGGGGGATGTGGGAACCAGAGACAGTCAGATAAAGGTTTAGTTCTTTATGATTTTCTAGATTTAATTTTATATGTCCTTCCATGTTTCCTTATAATAAGTTCCCTTTTTGTATTAGGTAGGGCATAGGCTAAAAAATTGTAACAAAGAGATCTAAAGAGCATAGTGGTTTACTTCTCTTTCAATTTAAAGCTTGACTGGTCCAGGCTGGTGGGGTGTCTGTGCTCCAGGAGGTCATGCAGGATTTCGGGTTCTTCTGCCTATTGTTCTCTTCCACCAGGGCTCATGACCACTCTCCAACTCTAAGTTTGATAATTCTCTAGAAGGACTCACAGAACTTAGGAAAGTGTTCTCATTTTATCAGTTTATTACAAAGTCTACATACAATTCTGAGACAGCCAAATGAAAAAGTTGCATTAAGATAAGGTAAGGGTTGGGGGTGGCTGTGTGTAAAGCTTCTATCCCCTTTCTTGGCGCATCACCCTCCTAGCATCTCCATGTGTCTCACCAACTTGGAAGCTCTCTGAACCCCATCATTTAGGGGTTTTTTATAGAGGCTTCATTACATTGGCATGATTAATCAAATCATTAGCCATTGGCGATTAACCCAATATCCAGTCCATGTCCTCTCCTTGCAGGTTTTAGATGGAACTGAAAATTCCATTTCTAACCCAGGCTTGGTCTTACTGGAGACCAGCCAAATCTTGAAGCCATCTGGTGCCTTCCCTTCAAGTCATGTCCTTAGCATACAAAGGACACACTCTTCACTCCAGAGAGTACAAGAATTGGGGACAAAGAACAAATATCTTCCTAGGATACCATGATAGGATAAAGAGAAAAATCCTACAGGTACAGAATAGAAATATCAGGTTACCTACAAAGAACAAGAATCAAAGCTGCCTCTTCTCTATGGGCCTAAATAACGGAAAGCAGTGAAATCAGTTCATAAGACTTCTATGAAGAAATGTTATGATGCCCCAAATATATATCTGTTCAAGTTGTATTATTGAATGAAAATTATAAAAGGCATTTACAGACCCAGATTTCATGAAATGAGTGCAAAGTTTTCAGTATCCACATTCTAGGATTGCACTTATATATCTGTTTTTCTGGCTTCCTATTAAGAAAAGAGCACGTATATTCCAAATAGTTGATTTTCTTCATACATGTGCACAATTATAACATATATCAAATTATTTGTTCCAAAAATAAGAATAAGACTTTGAGGGAATAGCTAAAGTAATAACATGCATTTTAAACAAATCGATTGACTATTTTAATAGGAACTTATCCATTATTGCTGCTTTTTATGGATTCTGAAATTATACTTTATTCTAATTTTAAATAAAGATTTTCAGGTTTACAGAAAAGTTATAAGACTAATACAACAAATTCTCACACGCTTTTAAACAAGATTTTTCAAAATTAACATTTTACCACATTTGCTTTCTCTTCTCTCTCTCTGTGTGTGTCTCTGTGAGCACTTGTGTGTGCATGCGTGGACACACATATCTGAATCATTTGAGAGAAAGCTCTAACAATGATGCTTACTTATACTTAAATATTGTTTCAGTCTATTCTGGCATTGCCATAATGAACTACCTGAGACTGGGTAATTTATAAAGAAGAAAGGTTTAATTGACTCATGGTTCTGCAGGTTGTACAGGAAGCATGGCTGGGAGACCTCAGGAAACTTACAGTCATGGTGGAAGGCAAAGGGGAAGCAGGCACATCATATGTGGCCAGAGAAGGAGAAATAGAGTGAAGTGGGAGGTGCTACACACTTTTAAACAACCGGATATTGTGATAACTGACTCGCTATCATGAGAACAGCAAGGGGTAAATCTGCTCCCGTGATCCAATCACCTCCCCCAGACCCCTCCTCCAACATTGGAGATTACAAATTCGACCTGAGATTTGGGTGGGACCACAAATCCAAACCATATCAAATACTTTAAAACAAATACCTTCTCTTATAAAACCACAGGACAGTTAACAAAATCAGGAAACTAACATTGACCAAACACTACCTTCTAATCTACACACCTGTACATTTTTACATTTGTCAGTAACATCCTTTGTAGTAAAAAAAATCTTAGATCACAGGTTGCATTAGTTGTCATATCTCCTTAGCCTCCTCTAAAAAAATTTTTTTTGTGGGTACATAGTAGGTGTA
This sequence comes from Homo sapiens, assembly GCF_000001405.40. Taxonomy (NCBI): domain Eukaryota; kingdom Metazoa; phylum Chordata; class Mammalia; order Primates; family Hominidae; genus Homo; species Homo sapiens. The sequence continues at coordinate 180,027,035 of NC_000002.12, forward strand.
TACGTTTCTGGGGTATATGAGATGTTTTGGTATAAGCATGCAATATGTAATAATCACATAATGAAAAATTGTGTATGCATCCCCTCAAGAATTTATCCTTTGTATTAAGAACTATCCTATTATACTTTTCTACTTATTTTAAAATGAGCAATTAAGTTATTGACTGTATTATAAGTAATAACATGAATTTTAAACAAATTGATCTACTATTTTAATAGGAACTTATCCATTATTGCTGCTTTTTATGGATTCTGAAATTATATTTTATTCTAATTTTAAATAAATGTTTTCAGGTTTACGGAAGAATTACAAGACTAATACAACAAATTCTCACATGCTTTTAAAGAAGCTTGTTTTATCACATTTGCTTTCCCTTCTCTCTCTGTGTGCCTCTATGTGCACTTGTGTGTGCATGTGTGGACACACACACATCTGAATCATTTGAGAGGAAATGATTATTATTGACTATAGTCAGTAATAATTTAATGTATTTAATATATAAAAATAATAATTTAATATATAATTGACTACAGTCAATAATAATTCTCTTGTGCTGTCAAATACTACATCTTATTCATTCTTTCTATTTTTTTTGTACCCATTAACCATCCCCATCATCACCCCCCTCCCTACCCTTCCCAGCCTCTGGTAACCAGCCTTCTATTCTGTATCTTCATGAGTTCAATTGTTTTGATTTGCATATCCCACAAATAAGTGAGTACATGCAGTGTTTGTCTTTCTGTCCACCTGGCTTATTTCACTTAACATAATGACCTCCAGTTCCATCCATGTTGTTGCAAATGACAGAGTATCATTCTCTTTTTTATAGCAGAATAGTACTCCATTGTATATAAGTACATTTTCTTTATTCATTCATCTGTTCATGGACACTTAGATTGCTTCCAAATGTTGACTATTATGAACAATGCGGCAATAAACATGGGAGTACAGATCACTCTTCTCTATATTGATTTCCTTCCTTTCGGTTGTGTACACCTAGCAGTGGGATTGTTGAATCACATGATTGTTCTATTTTTAGTTTTTCAAGGAATCTTCAAACTGTTCTCTGTAGTGGCTGTACTAATTTACATTCCCACCAACAGCGTATGAGGATTCCCTTTTCTCCACGTCCTCGCCACCATTTGTTATTGCCTGATTTTTGAATAAAAGCCATTTTAACTGGAATGAAGTTATATCTCTTTGTAGTTTTGATTTGCATTTCTCTGATGATCAATGACAAGGACTTTTTCATATGCCTGTTTGCCAGTTGTATGTCTTCTTTTGAGAAATGTCTATTCAGATTTTTTGCCCATTTTAAAATAGGATTTTTAGAGTTTTTCCTATAGAGTTGTTTGAGCTCCTTATAATATATAAGGAGCTGGTTATTATATAACCCTTGTAAAATGTGTAGTTTGCAAATATTTTCTCCCATTCTCTGGGTTGTCTCTTAATTTGGTGATTGTTTCCTTTGTGGCACAGAAGCTTTTTAACTGGATGTCATCCCATTTGTCAATTTCACCTTTGGTTCCTATACTTATGGGATATTTCCCAGAAAATTTTTACCCAGATCAATGTCCTGGAGAGTTTCCCCAAAGTTTTCATGTGGTAGTTTCATAGTTTGAAGTCTCAGATTTAAGTTTTTAATCAATTTTGATTTGGTTTTTGTACAGGGCGAGAGATAGGGATCACATTTAATTCTTCTGCATATGAATATCCAGTTTTCCCAGCATCATTTGTTGATGACACTGTCTTTTTTCTAATGTAGGTTCTTAGCACCTTTATTAAAAATGAGTTTACTGTAGGTGTGTGGATTTGTTTCTTGGTTCTCTGTCTATTCCATTGGTCTGCGTGTCCATTTTTATGCCTGTACCACACTGTTTTAGTTACTATACCTTTGTGGTGTAATTCAAGGTCAGGTAATGTGATTCCTCCAGTTTTGTTCTTTATCCTTAGGATAGCTTTGGCTATTCTGGGTCTTTTGTGACTCTGTATAAATTTTAGGATTGGTTTTTCTTTTTATCTGAAGAATGTTGTTGGTATTTTGATAGGGATTGCATTTAATCTGTAGATTGCTTTGGGTAGTATGGACATTTTAGCAATATTAATTCTTCCCATCCGGGAACATGGAATATCTTTCCATTTTTTGGTATCCTCTCCAAGTTCTTTGATCAGTGTTTTATAGGTTTCATTGTAGAGATCTTTCACTTCTTCAGTTAAGCTGATTTCTAGGTACTTAATTTTATTTGTGGCTACTGTAAATGGGATTACTTTTCAGATTTTTTTCATATTGTTCATGTTGGCATATAGAAATGTTACTATTTTTTGTTGTTGCTTTTGAATCCGATCTTATCAACTGCAAACAAGGATAATTTGGCTTCTTATTTTCCAATTTGGATACCCTTTATTTCTTTCTCTTGTCTGATTGCTCTAGCTAAGATTTCCAGTACTTCATAGAATAACAGTGGTTGAAGTGGGCATCCTTGTCATGTTCCAGATCTAGGAGGAAGAGCTTTCAGTTTTTCCCCATTCAGTACAATACTAGCTGTGGGTCTGTCATATATGGCTTTTATTAAGTTGAGGTATGTTGTTTCTATACCCAGTTTTTTTTGAGGATTTTTATTATGAAGGGATGCTGAACTTTATCAAACACTTTTTTTTTAGCATCAATTGAAATGATCATATGCTTTTTGTCCTTAATTCTGTTGATATAATGTATCACATCGATTTATTTGGGTATGCTGAACCATCCTTGCATTCCTGAAATAAGTCCCACTTGGTCATGATAAATGATATTTCTAATGCATTGAATTTGGTTTGCTAGTTTGCTAGTATTTTGTTGAAAATATTTGCATCAATATTCATCAGAGATATTAGCCTGTAGTTTCCTTCTTTCCTTCCTTCCTTCCTTCCTTCCCTCCTTTCTTTTTTTCTTTCTTCTTTCTTCTTTTTATGTGCTTTCTTCTGGTTTTGCTACCAGGGTAATATGGCCCCATAGAATGAATTTGGAAGTATTCCTTCCTCCTCCGTTTTTTAAAACAGTTTAAGTAGGATTGGTGTTAGTTCTTCTTTAAATGTTTGGTAGACTTCAGCAGTGAAGCTGTAGGGTCCCAGGCTCTTCTTTACGGGGAGACTTTTTATTATGGCTTTAATTTCATTACTTGTCTGCCTAGGTTTTGGATTTCTTCATGGTTCAATCTTGGTAGGTTGTATGTGTCTAAGAACTTATCAATTTCTTCTAGATTTTTAAATTTATTTGCATATAGTTGCTCATAGTAGCCACTAATGATCCTTTAAATTTTTGCAGTATCAGTCATAATGTTTCCTTTCTCATCTCTGACTTTATTTATTTGGGTCTTCTTTCTTAGTTACTCTGGTTATTTCTTCTTTGTTATTCTGGTTAAAGATTTGTCAGTTTTGTTTATGTTTTCAAAAAACCAATGTTTGTTTTATTGATGTTTTGTATTTTTTCTTCATTTTAAATTTACTTATTCCTGCTCTAATCTTTAGTATTTCTTCTACTAATTTTGGGTTTGGTTTGCTCTTGTTTTCTCATTCTTTAACATGGATCTTTATTTAGTTGAAGTTTTTCTTCATTTTTTTACTGTTGGAGATTATAACTACAAATTTCTGTCAGTATTATTTTCACTGTATCTCATAGGTTTTGATATGTGATATTTCCATTATCATTGATTTCAAGAAGTTTTTCAGTTTTCTTCTTAATTTTTTTATTAATCAACTGGTCATTCTGGAACATATTATTTAATTTCCATGTGTTTGTATAGTTTCCAAAATTCTTCTTGTTGTTGATTTGTAGCTTTATTCTATTGTAGTTACAGAACATGCTTGATATTATTTCAAATTTTTTGAATGTTTTAAGGCTTGTTTTGTGGCCTATCATATGGTCTATCCTTGGGAATGATTCATGTGCTGAGGAAAAAAAATGTGTGTTCTGTAGCCATTGGAAGAAATGTTCTGTAACTATCTATTAAGTCCATTTGTTCTAGAGTGCAGATTAAGGCTGATGCTTCTTTGTTGATTTTCTATCTGGGGGATCTGCCTAATGCAGAAAGTGGGCAGTTGAAGTTTCCAGTTATTATCATATTGGGGTCTGTCTCTCTCTTTAGCTCTAATAATATTTGTTTTATATATCTGGGTAGCCCAGATTAGGGTGCATATATATTTACAATTGTTATGTACTCTTGCTGAATTGATACCTTTATCATTATATAATGGCTTTCTTTGTCTCTTCTTACAGTTTTTGTCTTGAAATCTGTTTTGGCTAATATAAGTATAGTGAATCTGTTCATTTTTGCCTTCCATTTGTATGGAATATCTTTTTCCATTTCTTTATTTTCAGCCTACATGTATTTTTATACATGAAGTGTATTTCTTTTAGGAAACAGATCATTGGGTCTTGTTTATTCATCCATTCAGCCCCTCTATGTCTTTTGTTTGGAGAGTTTAGACCATTTACATTCAATTTTAATTGACAAGTGAGGACTTACTCCTGCTACTTTATTTATTTATTTATTTTTTGTGGTCTTCTCTTCCTTCTTTCCTTCCTTTCTGTCTTCCTTTCAGTGAAAGTTATTTTATCTGGTAGTATACATTAATTTCTTGCTTTTAATTTTTTGTGGATCTGTTGTATGTTTTTTGGCTTGAAATTACCATGAGGCTTGCAAATACTATCTTATAACCCATTATTTTAAACTTATGACAACTTAACACTGATAGCATAAACAAGAAACAGTCATGCAAAAAGAAAACTAATAAAAACTCTACAGTTAAACTTTGTCCCCCTACTTTTTTCATTATTTTCCTTATGTCTTATTGCACTAAGTCTTGAAAAGTTGTTGTAGTTATTATTTTTTGATTCATTTATCTTTTAGTCTTTTAAGTCAAGAGAAGTTTTTACACCACATTTACGGTGTTGTACTATTCATGTTTTACTGTGTGCGTACTGTTACCAGTAAGTTTTGTGCCTTCAGACAATTTCTTCTTGCTGATTAACATCCCTTTCTTTCAGATTGAAGAACTCCCTTCAGCTTTTCTTGTAGAACGGTCTAGTGTTGATGAAATCCTTCAGCTTTTTTTTTCTTTTGGTTTGGGAAGGTTTTTATTTCTCTTCCATGCTTAAAGGATATTTTCACTTGATATACTATTCTAGGGTAAAAGTTCTTCTCTTTCAGCACTTTAAGTATGTCATGCCACTCTCTCTTGGCCTGTAAGGTTTCCACTGAAAAGTTTGTTGCCAGACATATTGGAACTCCACTGTACATTATTTGTCTCTTTTGTCTTACTGCTTTTAGAATCCTTTCTTTATCCCCCTACCCCGCTTTGGGAGTTTGATTATTAAATACCTTGAGGTAGTCTTTTTGGGTTAAATATGCTTAGTGTTCCAAAACCTTCTCGTACTTGAATGTTGATGTCTTTCTCTAGGTTTGAGATGCTCTCAGTTATTATTACTTTGAATAAACTTTCCACCTATCTTTTTCTCTACTTCCTCTTTATGTCCAAAAACTCTTAGATTTGTCCTTTTGAGGCTATTTTCTAGATTTTGTAGGAATGCTTCTTTTTTCCTTATTCTTTTGTCTCCTGACTATGTATTTGCAAAAAGCCTGTCTTCCAGACTACTAATTCTTTCTTATGTTTGATCAGTTCTGCTATTTAGAGATTCTGATACATTCTTCAGCATGTCAATTGCATTTTTCAACTCTAGCATTACTGCTTGACTCTTTTTAATTATTTCATTCTCTTTATTAAATTTATTTGATAGAATTCTGAATTCCTTCTCTGTGTTATCTTGAATTTCTTCGAGTATTTTTATATCTTTTTATATTTAGAGATAGGGTTTTGCCATGTTATCCAAGTTGGTCTTGAACTTCTGGACTCAAGTGAAAACAGCTATGTTTTATCTGTCTGAAAGGTCATATATCTCTGTTTCTCCAGGATTGGCCCCTGGTGCCTTATGTAGTTAATGTGGTGAGGTCATGTTTTCCTGGATGGTGTTGATACTTTAGATGCTCTTTGGTGTCTGGGCATTGAGGAGTTATGTATTTATTGTAGTCTTCACAGTTTGGGCTTGTTTGTGCCTGTTCTTTTTGGGAAGGCTTTCCAGGGATTTGAAGGCACCTGGGCCCCAAGCCCAGTAAGTAATGCTGTGATTTTTACAGACTCATAGAATTTCTGCCTTGGTGGCCTTGGATAAGATCTGGAAGGATTCTCTGGATTACCAGGCAGAAACACTTGTTCTTTTTCCTTTTTTTTAATCCCAAAATATACAGATTCTTGCTCTCTGTGCTGAACCACCTGAACTGGGAATGTAGTGATGCAAGCACCTTTATGGTCACCACCACTGGGACTGTGCTGGGTCAAACATGAAACCATCACAGCACCGGGCCTTACCCGAAACCCTTCACTTCGGTGTGGCAACTTCCACCAAGCCCTTGGCATGTCCAGAGATGTGGTCTGGGATTGGAGTAAAAAACCTTAGCAATTTATGTAATGTTCTATTCTACTGCGGCCAAGCTGGCACTCAAACCACAATATAAAATTCTTCTTATTTGTACTCCCCTTTCCACAGGCAGAGGAGCCTCTGTCACTCTGTGACTACCACCACCACTGGTCCATGGGAGATTTTGCCAGGCCAGTGCTGACATTTGCTTAAAGCTCAAGGGCTCTTCTGTCAGCTTGTGATGAATGCTGTGAGGCCTTGGACTCACCCTTCAGGGAAGTGGGCTCCCCTCTGGCCCAGGGCAGGTCCAGAAATGCTGTCTAAGAGCCAAGGCCTGGACTTAGCAACCCCAAGACCCAGATTGTTGCTCTACTTTACTGTGGCTGACCTGGTACTTAGGGTGCAAGACAAAGTCCCCTCTACTTTTCCCTCTGCTTTTCTCAAAAAGAAGTCTTTCACCATAGCCACCACAGCTGAGAATATATGGGTCTCCCCTGATTTTGTACATCTCAGAGCCCATGGCCCACAGTGCACTCCCTGGGTATCGCAGGTGGTTATTCAGGGCTTAAGGGCTATTTAGTCAGCAGGTGGCAAATCCTGCCACAACTGGTTCCTTCCTCTGAAAGCAGCAAGTTCCTGTTTGGCCCAGGGTATGTCTAGAAATATTTTCTGGTTGCTCAGTGCTGGAATGGAGGCCTCAAAACTCTGCCTGGTCCCCTGTCCTAGCTGGTGTCCAAGATGTAAGACAAAATCGTCTTTATTCTTCACTCTCCTCTCTTTAAGCAGAAGGAAGGAGTCACTTTTATTGCTATGAGCTGTACTGCCTGGGGTTGGGGGAGGGGTAGCATAAGCCCTCCTTTAGCCATGCCACCTGATACCTCCCTTGGTCATGTGCTACTCTCATTCACTGGCTCTAAGCCCAGCCTAACAGTAGGAGTTCCCTAAGAATTGCAGACATTGTGTCCTAGAATGCGCTTCAAGTTTATCTAGAACTCCAGAGCACTTTAGCCCATGGGGGAGGCATAATGGCAAAGTTTGCGAAGAAATTCAAGTTATGACTGCTGGGATGGGCAGTTTCCCTCTGGCTAGGGCTGGTCCCACTTCTCTTTTCATGTGGGGGCACTGGCTGACCCAGCACAGCTTTATTCTCTGCTGTGACAGGGCAGCAGTAAGTTCAATGTAAATTCCCCCAGCTGCCGCACTTTCCCTCCTCAATGTACACAGATTCTCTCTCCATACCATAGAGCTGCTATCAGGGGATGGGGGAGGGGTGGCATTGATGATTCAAGACTCTCTCTCCTGCCCACCTCAATGAGGGCATGATATGAAGTTAAAACCAGATACTGTGGTTGCTCCATGATATGGAGTTAAAACCAGGTACTATGATTGCTCACCTGATTTGTGGTTATTTTAATGGTGCTTTTCTGTGTACAGATAGTTGTTAAAATTTGGTGTTCCAGCATGTGGGTGGTGGGGTGGTGAAGAGTGTAAGCTTCTATTCTGCCATCTTGCTTTGCTCAAGCCTCCTTTAATTTAAAGTAGTTTCTCAGTTTCTTTTCCTTTTTGTCTTTCATAACATTGACATTTTTGGAGAATACACACTGGTTATTCTGTAGAATGCCTTTTAACTTAAATTTGTCTGGTGTTTTGTCATGATTAGATTCATGTTATGTATGCATTTTTTCAGGAATACCACACAAGTGATGAATTGTTTTCTCAGTGGATCATATCAGGAGGCATATGAGGCCAATTTCATTGGAGGTAGTTTTATTATAAAATAAATATTGACTAAATTAAGTAGTCTATTCATTCACATAGTTGACTTACTCTGGTGCAAGTTTTTTGTTTTAATCTTATTGTTGACTGGTAAAAAATAATTCATGAACTGGCATTTTGAGTAGCACTTTTACAATATAAATTTGTTAGTTATATTTTCAATGTCTATTTACCAACTTGTCCCCTTCACAATAGTCTTTAATTTTTATTTGGGGATTTCACCTTTATCTGGGGACACTAACTCAATCCATCACTCTACCAGAGGGCCTATGATCAAGACTAGACCAATAAAAGCATTGCATCCCTCTGGATACTTGTTTTAGTCATGGAATGTGACCAAACGAGTCCAATCACAACAAATCTTGGGATTTGGATGGAAACCTTGGGGCAGAGATGCTATTTTCTTGTGGACAATATGGTAGAAATGTGAAGTCTAGAATTTCTGCAGCCATTGTTACTCTGGGGTCAACCTGAGAACAAAGGCCATTGAAGGAGGAACAGTTGAACAAAGTGAAGAGAGCAGAAACACTGTTAGCCTTCTGAATGTGGAGATTAACCTTGACCTGTAGCATGCTGCTGAACTGTCTAGCAGCAGTTCTAAACCAAGCTTTGTACTATTCACTATGGGAAGAAACACTGCTTGTGTTGGGGGCTGCTGTCACCAGCATTTAGTTCCTAAGGCCAGGGATGGTAAATATTTTGTGATGTAAAGAATAATTAGGAATAATAAAGAATTACTTCAGAAAAAATGTCAATAGCATGTTCCCCCATTAAGAGATACTTTCTAACTTTTTAGATTTAGCTTTAAATTTTGAATTATTTTGGGCTGGACTCAGCGGCTCACATCTGTAATCCTAGCATTTTGGGAGGCTGAGGCAGGAGGATCACTGGAGCCCAGTAATTCGAGGCTGTACTGAGCCATAATCATGCCACTAGTGACAGCCTGGGTGACAGAGACCTTGTCTCTAACAAACAAACAAACAAGCAAACAAAAACCAAGTGTGGCATTGGCAAATAGATCAATGGAATAGAATAGAGAACCCAGAAATAAACCCTGGTTATATAGTTGATGATCTTCAACAAGGGTGCCTAGACTACTCAGTGGGAAAAGGACAGTTTCTTCAACAAATAGTGTTGGGAAAACTGGGTATCTATGTGCAAAATAATGAAGTTGGACTCCTCTTTTACATTATATACAAAAGTTAATGGAAAATGGACTACAGACCTAAATGTAAAATCCCAAACTATAAAACTCTTATAAGATAATGTAGAGAAAAAGCTTTGTAACATAACACTGGACTTGGCAATGATTTCTTGGATATGTCCCCTACAAAGCACAGACAACAAAAGAAAACTAGGCAAATAGCACTGTATGAAACTTAAAAACTTTTGTGCATCAAAGCACACAATCAACTGAGTAAAAAGGCAACTGGCAAAATGGGAGAAAATATTTGCAAGTTTTATGACTGTTAAGAGGTTAATATCCAGAATATATAAAGAACTCCTACAACTCAACAACAAAAATCAAATAATCTGATTAAAAATTGGGCAAAGATCTTGAGCAGATATTTCTTCGAAGAAGAAATAAAAATGGCCAACATTCATATGAAAAGATGCTCAATTATCACTAATCATCTGAGAAATATAAATCAAAACCACAATGAAATAATTCTTCATACCTATTAGGATGGCTACCATAAAAAAAAATCCCAGAAAATAACATATGTTGGAAAGCATGTGGATAAATATGAACCCTGGTGCACTACTGGTAGGATTATAAAATGGTGCAAACCCTATTGGAAACAGTACGGAGGTTCCTCAAAAATTGAACTACCATGTGATCTAGGAATCCTACTTCTCAGCATGTATCGGAAAGAATTGAAGGCAGGATCTTAAAGAAATACTTGCAAACCCATGTTAATAGCAGCATCATTCATAATAGCATAGAGGTGAAGTAACCCAAATGTCCATCAACAGATGAAGGCATAACCAAAATGTAGCATATGCATACAATAGAATATTTTGCCTTACAAAGAAAGAAACTTATCATATGCTACATCATGGATGAATTTTGGAAATATCATGTTAAGTGAAGTAACCAAGTCACAATAAGAGTCCACTTATGTGAGATATTTAAAGCAGTAAAATTCATATAAATAGTACAATGTTGGTTACCAGGGATTAAGGGAAGAGGAAAAGCCACATTATTTAATTAGTATAGAGTTTTCAGATTTGCAAGATGAAAAAGCTCTGGCAATTTTTTTTGCAACAATAAGAACATACTTAATACTACCAAACTGTACACTTAAACATGGTTAAGATAATACATTCTAGGTTTAAGAGCTATTTATAGATTCTGATGTATTGATTTAAGATATGCTACAGATCATTTCACAACTAATTTTGACCACAAAGACATCTTCAAATCTTTATCTGATTTCTTTCTCCTCTAGTACGAAGTATACAGTATTTAGCTGCAGAAGGGAAAACAAAAACAAAAAAGCAAACAAGCACATGGTTTATTTCCAGACTGCATTAGAAAGTGACTTGACTAAATCAAGCCCCAGCTCTCTCTGACGCTAGCTCTTTAAAACTTAACTTTTCAAGGGTACATGGTAGGTGCATAAAGAATCAAAACCTATCTTCTTTACCATGCCCCATTAGAAAATTTTTGTCACTAGGTGTGTGCCATTCCATTATAGGTACAGTGCAGTTTCATAGAGTTGATGTGTGAAAGAAAATGAGGAATAAAAAGAAATGTAAATTGAGAGAGAACCAAAACCACATTTGGCAAATTAAACATTTAGAAGACATCTCTCAACAATTTCATTAACATGTTTTTCTGACCTCAGTTAAGTTGCATTTTCTTTAGTTGTCAGCTGAGGATAACTTGGTCTTTCATTTGCTCCTTTTGTTTATTTTTTTTTTCTGCTTTGCTTATTCATGAATTAATTCAGTAGGGATGGGGTGCCTATAATCAAGTAATGAGTTTCTAGCATATCTTTAATTTTTTAAAATATTTGTGTCACATAATGCAGTTTGAAGGTTAAACAGTACACCAAAAAGCAAGGAATGACCAGAGATATTCTTTTACTATGAGCAAAGTTGAGCAACTGTTGCTTATTTATTGCCAGATGTACTCCAGCGATTGTCGTGCTCTCAATTTTCTTCTTCTCAATTTGCACAGGGAGCTCTATTGGAACTATTTCATTAGGTATCATACAGGGTTGGAGAGTGAGAGGGAGTAGAGAGGGTATACATGTAGACTACCAGTAGTGTGTGGTCTGCCTCTGGTATTTAGAACAGAGAATAAATCTGCCTAGTTACTAGGGAGCAAGCAATATTTCTTGAATGGTTCAATGGTGCCATCACTGATGTTATCAGTTTACATTGAGATTTCAGATTTTCAAGGTAGAAAAGTTTTTTGATTACTTACTATTGTTAGGCATATTCTTGGTTTTCCTTATTAAGAGACAGGTAAATTTATTCTTCCATGTTTTTACAGATAAGGGAACTCACGTTCAAAGAGTTAGGCAACTTGTTCAAGATCGCACAACAAAGTAAATGAAAGATAAGGGGTTTAGATCCCTTATCTCTCTTAGCTTTCTATCTTTGTGATTGGCCAAATTAAAAATATTCAAACAGCTACAATTTTACCTCGAGGAAGAATAATTTCCTATACCATACCTAATTGCACTTCAGCAATCCATAGAATGGTCCTTTAATTCATTTTTTCTTGACACAAAGATATTTGCATGAAAATGAGCTAATTTCTTAGTGGCTTATCTGCTCACATTTTCCTTGTTCTTAATATGAAAGTACAAACATCAGTGCATGAAAGATACCAAATAAAGAATTAGTGGTCAGAACCTGGAAGAGAAAGCAAAAGCTAAAAGTCCCTGGAAACCAAAACGTGAGTTAAGAGGAATAGCATTGAAATCAGTAAGGCTCTTTTACTGGCAAACAGGGTATGAGCATGTGCCTGTAGGGAACAGCATGGTAAAAGTAGAGACATTTTAAGACTTTGTTAGTTCCTAACACTTACTTTTGGAAATCCTGCCTCGCATTATACCAAACTCACTTAAATGTGCCCACATGCCACATTAAATGCAATATCTGTGCAGTGAACAGAATGTAAATGCTTTTTATAGTTTTGTTTTTGAAATTGTTTAATTTATAGTTAGTTCCAATTTCTAAAGAATCATTGTGCTTACTGGGGAATTATTTTGAAATGAGATAATTTGACCTGCAGATTTCTCTCCAGGGTAATGAAATTGTTAGTAATATTAAATTTAATGAAAGAAACATAGCATTCCTTTTGTAGATATATATTTTGCTTTGTGTTTGAAACCAATAACTTTTTAAAAAATAGAGCACTGCTTTTTAACTAGCAGCTTTATTAATATGTCATTCTTATACCACACAACTTACTCATTTAAAATGTACAATTCAATGATTTTTAGTACATTCACAGATATATGAGATCATCATAACAGTCAATTTTAGGACATTTTAATCACCTCAGAAAAACCCCCTGTGCTTTAGCTATTATTGCTTTCACCCTCCATCTGCTCTCCAGCCCAAGGCAACCACTAATCAACATTCTATCTCGATGGACTTTCCAATTCTGGATATTTCATATGAATGAAATAATATGTAATATTTTTGACTGACTTCTCTTACTTAGCATAATGTGTTCAAGATTCCTACATGTTATAGCATGTATCAGTAGTTCATTACTTATTATGGTTGAATGATGTTTCATTGTATGGATATATCATATTTTATTTGTCCATTCATCAGCTGATGGACATTTGAGTTGTTTCTGCCTTTTGGCTGTTGTGAACAGTGCTGCATGAACATCTGTATTCAGCTATTTGAATACCTGTTTTCAATTCTTTGGAGCATATACAAGGAGTGGACTTGCTGTGTGATATAACTATGTTTAAATGTTTGAGAAAATGCTAGGCTCTTTTCCAAAGTGTCTGTACAATTTTACATTCTTACCAGTAGTGTATGAAGGTTCTGATTCTTCCACATCCTTGCCAATGCTTGTTATATTTGGCACTTGATTCTAAATTCCTAGTGGATGCAAAATGGTATCTCATTGTGGTTTCCATTTGCATTTTCCTGATGAGTAATGTTGTTGAGCAACTTTTCAAGTGCTTTTTGGCCATTTGTACATCTTCCTTGGAGAAATGCCTATTCAAATCTTTTGCCAATTTTTAAATTGAGCTATTTGTCATTTTACTATTGAGTTGTAAAAGTCCATTGTATATTTGGTATACAAGTTCCTTATCGGGTATATGATTTGCAAATAATTTTTCACATCCTGTGGTTTGTCTTTTCATTTTCTCAATGGTATCCTTTGAAGCACAAATGTTTCTAATTTTAATGAAGTCCACTTTATTTTTCCTTTTGTTGCTTATGCTTTTGATGTCATATTCCAAGAATCTTTGCCAAATCCAAGGTCATGAGGTTTACTCTTTGGTTTCTTCTAATGGCTTTGTAGTTTTAGCTCTTATTTTGAGGTCTTTATTTTGAGTTAGTTTTTGCATATGGTGTGAGGAAAGGGTCCAGCCTGATTCTTTTCTGTGTAGCTGTCTGGTAAATCCAGCACTCTCTTTTGAAAATACTCACATTAAATGGTCTTGGCATCCTTGTTGAAAATCAGTTGACCATAGATGCATGATTTTATTCTGAACTCCCGTTTCGATTCCATTCATGTGTATGTCTGTCCTTTTGCCAGTGTTGATTAACATTGCTTGGTAGTAAGTTTTGAAACTGGGTCATGTGAGAGCTCCTACTTGTTCAAGATTCTTTTGTCTATTCTGGACCCTATGTAATTCCATATGAATTTTTAAAATTGGTTGGTCAATTTCTAAAAAAATATCAGCTGGGATTATTATGCAGATTGTGTTAAAAGTTGGAAGATCAATTTGGGGAATATTGCCATTATAACACTATTGTCTTCGAATCCATGATGTGAACCTTTTCCCATTTATTTGTATCTTCTTCAGTTTCTTTCAAAAATGTTTATGGATTTCAAAGTATAAGTTTTGCACTTATTTTGCTAAATTTATTCCTACATATTTAATTATTTTGATGCTATTATGAATGGAATTGTATTCTTATTTTCATTTCTGGATTGTTCATTGTTAGTGTGTAGAAATAATATTGATTTTTATATATTGACCTCATATCCTACAACCTTGCTGAGCTAACTTATTAGTTCTAGTAGTTTTCTAGTGGATTTCTTAGGACTTTCTGTACACAGCATCATATCATCTGTGAACAGAGATAGTTGTACTTCTTACTTTCCAATCTGGATGCCTTTTATTTCTTTTTCTTGACTAAATGTCTTTATTAGAACCTCTACTACAGTTTTCAATGAAAGTGGTAAAAGTGAATATGTTTGTCTTGTTCCTGATTTTGATATTATGATATAATAAATACATATTGGTCTCTGCCCCTGGTTCCCGACATAGAGCTCCAAAACCCTTGTAGGTAGGGGTATTAGGATAACCTTTTGTTCTAATATTTGGTCTTTGACTCCAGTTCCTGACACAGAGTTCCTAAGACCTTTGTAATTTCCTGAGTGATAGGAGCATGATATGGTTTGAATGATGGTGTCTCCTCCAAAATTCATGTTGAAACTGAATCCCCAATGCAACAGTATTAACAGGTGTAACGTTAGGAAGATGATTAAATCATAAGAGATCCACCTTCATAAATGGAATTAGCACCCTTATAAAAGGCTCTTCTACCCTTCTTCCATGTGAGGACCCAGTGTTTGTCCCCATTTTTGCCTTCCTTCTCTTCTTCTCTTTTTTGCCATTCTATCTTTTGCTATTTGAGGATGCAGCAAGAAGGCCCTCATCAGACACCAAATGATGGTGCCTTGATCTTGGACTTATCAGCTTTCATAACTGTGAGAATAAATTTCTGTTTGTTTTTTGTTTTAACAAATTACCTTATCTGTGGTATTCTCTTATAGCAGCACCAATAAACTAAGGGCATCTGATACAGAGCTCCTACATTTCTTGGAATGTCCTTCAGGGTAGGAACATCTTTTGTTCTAATAAGGAAACTCTTACTGAGCTCCTTGACAGCCTCATGATGAGAGTTGGTTGCCAGGGGAATCAGCCTTATGGTTAGAGAGTTGGAACTTTCAGTCTCATTCCTTAGCCTCTTGGGAGGTAAGAGGGGTTGAAATTTGAGTTGATCACCAATGGCCAACAATTTAATCAGTCATAACTATATAATGAAGTTGCCATAAAAACCCAAAGGACAGGGTATAGAGAGCTTCTGTATTGCTGAACACACAGAGGTCTCAGGAAGGAGGTATGCCCAAAGGGGCCATGAAAGCTCTGCATGTTTCCCTGAACCCCATCCCTTGCCCTATGCATCTCTTCATCTGGTCATTCATCTGCATTCTTTGTAATATCATTTATAATAAATGTAAACCTAAGTGTATCCCTGGTAACCTAAATAAGTGTTTCTGTGAGCCTTCCTAGCAAATTAATCAGATCCAAATTGGGAGTTTTTAGGAACCCTAATTTATAGCCAGTCAGTCAAAATAGGTGATAGCTTACTAGTTGCAATTGACACCTGAAGTTGGGGGCAGCTAGATAGTGTCAAAATTGAGATAAATTATAGGACACTCAGTTGGAGTTCGTTGGAGAACCCGTTGTTGGGGAGAAAAGCCACACACACTTTGGTGACCAGAGTATTGCACTCTGTGATGAGTTATGTGAGAATAGGATAAAACTTTTCAGTTTTGTTTATCTCTTACACTGATTTTAGGGGGAAGACATGTAGTCTTTTGATATTATGTATGATGTTAGCCAAGCTGTATAGTTTTTGTAGATGACCTTTATTGAGTTGAGGAAATTTCCTTCTATTTCTTGTTTGCTGAATGTCTTTTTATGAAAATGTACTGGATTTTGTAAAACGGTTTTCTACATTTATTGAGATGCCTATGTGATTTTTAAAATTTTACTGATATGGTGCATTATATTAATAGATTTTCAGGTGTTAAGCTAACTTATTAATCCCATGGGGTTATGATGTATAATTTTTTATATGTTACTGGATTCAGTGTACTGGCATTTTGTGGAGGATATCTGCATTCATATTCACAAGAGATATAACTCTGTAGGATTTTTTTTCCCCCTATGATGTCTTTGTCTGATTTTGGTATCAGGGTAATACTGGCCTCATAAAGTGAGTTGGGAAGTATTCCTCTTTTTCTATTTTTCTGGAAGTGTTTGTGAGGAATTAGTATTAATTCATTATGTGTTTTGTAGAAATCACCAGTGAAGCCATATGGATCTTGGCTTTCCTTTGTGGGTAGTTTCTTGATTACTAATGCACTCTCTTCACTTATTATAGGTCTATTCAGATTGCCTATATATTTTTGAGTCAGTTTTGGTAGTTTATGCCTTTCTAGGAATTTGTCCATTTCATCTAAGTAATCTAACTTATTGGCATACAATTGTTCATAGCATTCCTTTAGAACACTTTTTAATTTCTGTAAGGCCAGTAGTAATAGCTCCTCTTTCATTTATGATTCTAGTAATTTTAGTCTTTTTCCTGGATTTATCTATCTAAAGATTTACAAATTTTGATTTTTATAAAAAAACAGGTTTTAGTGCCATTTATTTTCCTTATTGTTTTTGTATCCTCATTTTCCTAATTTCTCCTCTGGTCTTCATTATTTCCTTTCTCTGCTTGCTTTAAGTTTATTTTGCTCTTGTTTTTCCAGCATTTTAGGTGAAAGGTTAGGTTTTTGAGTTGAGATATTTCTTCTTTCTTAATTTAGGTATTTTTAGGCATAAATTTTTCTCTAAGCACTGCATTAGCTACCTCCCATAAGTTTTGATATGTTATATCTTCATTTTCATTTATCTCAAAATATTTTCTTATTTATCTTTTGATTTCTTCATTGACCTATTGGCTATTTAGGAGCATATTGTTTAATTTCCACATATTTGTGATTTTTCCCAATTTTTATTGTTATTGATATTTACTTTCATTCTGTTTTGATTGGAAAACATACTTTTTTTATTTCTACCTTTGACGTTTTTTTGAGACTCATCTTGTGGACTATCCTGGAGAATCTTCCATGTGCAGTTGAGAAGAATGTGTATTCTGGGCTGGGCGCAGTGGCTCACGCCTGTAATTCCAGCACTTTAGGAGGCTGAGGTGGGCGGATCACGAGGTCAGGAGATGGAGACCATCCTGGCTAACAAGGTGAAACCCCGTCTCTACTAAAAGTACAAAAAATTAGCCGGGCATGGTGGCAGGTGCCTGTAGTCCCAGCTACTCGGGAGGCTGAGGCAGGAGAATGGCGTGAACCCGGCAGGCGGAGCTTGCAGTGAGCTGAGATCACGCCACTGCACTCCAGCCTGGGCAACAGAGCCAGACACCGTCTGAAAAAAAAAAAGAAAAAAAAAAGAAGAATGTGTATTCTGTTGCTGCTGGATGAAGTGCTGTATAGACATCTATTGAGTCTGGGTAGTTTATAGTGTTATTTTAGTCTTCTATTTTCTTATTAATCTATGTGGTTGTTCTATCCAGTATTCAAATTTGAGTATTAAAATCTTTATCATTATTGAATTGTCTGTTTTTCCTTTTGTATCTGTCAGTTAATAACT
Source organism: Homo sapiens (assembly GCF_000001405.40). Classification (NCBI taxonomy): domain Eukaryota; kingdom Metazoa; phylum Chordata; class Mammalia; order Primates; family Hominidae; genus Homo; species Homo sapiens. The sequence goes on from NC_000002.12 coordinate 180,044,924, forward strand.
CTTTTATATTCCCACTTTTCTTAGGTCCTTACATATCACAGGCCATGGTCACTGTGCTACCTAATGGGAAAATGGTGCAAGCTAAAAGGTCCCCGCCGGCAAGGCCTGACTATCTCAACAGATATAAAACTATTTTGTGAAAGTTATTGCTGCTGAAACTTCTGAATTTCCAGTGACCTAATTTATAATCTAGTGATCAAAGGGGAGCCCCAAATTCCAGTTGCAAGAAGAAAGGAAGGAGAAAGCTTTTTTAGCTTACTAGAAACTAAAAACCAGAAGACATTCTATGTATGAGCTGGGGAAAAAAGAGAGAGAAAGATTTATTGCTTCGATATGATATATGGAAGAAACAAAATAAGAAAAGAACAAGAAACAATTACAGAACAATGTAATTTATTGTTAGGGGAAAGAACCAGATAACCACTCAAAAGCCTTATTTGCTTCTATCAAACCCACATACCCTCTAGTCACTATTTCCGTACTTAGAGTCTCAGGAGACACAAAAATGAAAACACTCCTAGTCAAATGCACTGTTCATTTCTAAATAGGGTTTCTATGCCAAATCTTTTTTTTCCACTTTTTTTTTTCCAGATGAGTTAGACATACATACCCTTTTAAAAATAATCCTTAAATTACCTTAAGAGTCAGGTCTGGGCATCCCCATACCCTGGTCTCCTCAGCTAACTATAGTCAGGGTTGTCCTGAAACAAAAGGCCGGGTTACCAAATGTTTACCAGGAGAGAATAAAAAGTGTTGGATGTAACATCACATTCCTATAATCTTTTAATTCAATTGATAAAGAATTCCATCTGCTTGTATTTGGGAAAGGAGTGAGTTCAAGGGATCATTTCCTGGTGGTCTCACTGTGTACTCTTTGTGAGCAGCTTTGTGCCTTGGCACAAAACTGAATCTTTGCTTCTGGCGTTTGAAGTTGGGGGTTCTTGGTCACCAACTTGACAAAGGTTCTTGTGGAAAAATACTGGGATCTTATGAACTTGTTTTTAATATATTTGTGTTTAATAATAGAATCACAGAGTTAAAGTTAAGTTAAAATTAACTTTAACTTAATACTAATAACAAATTTTAAGCAAAAAACGTCTAAAAAGAGTAGAATATATAATAAGTTTTTGATTAGAAGTTAGTGTGAAGTAAGAACCTCAGTAATGAAGCCCTGCTTGAGGTGGGCTAATCAGATGAGGACATTACACAGGAGGACTCAGCCCACCAGGCGACATTAAGAGAGATTTGAGTACTGAGGGGTCTTCACAAAGAGACAAAGCAGAGAGTAGATAATATTTTCTGGGGGCCAAAAAACCTTTTGCATTTTCATAAATTTGCTTACAGCCAACTCTGCCTTGTTGACATCAAACTGAACATCACAATTTCTGGATCTTAGGACATATAAAAGTCAAAATATTATATTAGCTAGTTAATTTTTAAGTAACATCACTTGTTACTTTGGGACACTTTCTCAGATTGCATCATCCATGACAGCAAGTAATGGTAGACATTTATTACTTTTAATGATCCAAATGAGTGTTCCATGTACTCCCCATGCTGTTCCCCAGGGTTACTCAGAGTAAGTCTTTGGGAATACAGGGATTCTATGGAACGTTCACTTTGAGTTGCCTGTAGGGCTTTCTGGTTTGAGAAATGAGTCTTTAGAAACCTAGCAATCTTTAGAGACACTTTTAATTATCTGATCATAGCAAGAATTCTAGGAGGAAATATCCTTTGTAGTACTCTAATTACCCTTAGAATCACAATTGAGATGGTATCGATTATAAAAGGTAAAAATAATACCCAAAGATCTGTTCCTAAGGCCCCAAACGCTCCTAGAATACGTTGTCCCACTCCTTGAGGACAAACAAATTAAAGACCAGTCTTCTGAGCTTTGTCACCAGAGTCTGAGCCTGCATTGAGGCTGATGAAGTTAAAGATGTTATGATTTACAGATGAGAATGTTGAATCTTAGTCAGGTTAAGAGCCTGAGGTCTCCAAATGGCATAGCTCAGGGTTTTTGACTGGACTACAGTTTTCTTTCCACTATGTTATGACTATTAACACTTTATTATTTTATGTTTCATTTATTTTTTTAAAAATGGCTGTGGTCAAAGGAATTTCCCTACCATAACATATGAAGTTAGTCTGATTTGAGTCAAAGGAATGAAGTCTCAGGAAAATTTCCAAATAGAAAAGGAAGAGAGAGAGAAAAAAAGAAAAAAAAAGTAGATTAAGTATTATATATCAAAGACTTATTTACAATAAAGAACCAATAGATACCTGAGAGTTGTTTTATTAAATATATTATGTTGGTGCAAAAGTAATCATGTTTTTTGCCATTCAAAGTAATGGCAAAACTGCGATTACTTTTGTGCCAATCCAAATAGATTTAATTTAAAGTTCTACAGGGACTTACTGGAAAAAAGGTGTTGCCTATCATTGAATTAAAAAGAGCCTCAATAAAGGGCATCCAGATCAGTAAAGAGGAAGTCAAACTGTAACTGTTTGCTGATGATATCATTGTTTACCTAGAAAACTCTAAAGACTCTTCTAGAAAGCTCCTAGAACTGATAAAAGATTTCAGCAAAGTTTCTGGATACAAAATTAATGTACACAAATCAGTAGCTCCTCTTCACACCAACAGTGACCAAGATGAGAATCAAATCAAGAACTCAACCCCTTTTACAATTGCTACGAATAAAATAAAATAAAATACCTAGGAATATACCTCACCTAGGGGATGAAAGACCTTTACAAGGAAAACTACAAAACACTGCTGAAAGAAATCATAGATGACACAAACAAATGGAAACACATTCCATGCTCATAGATGAGTAGAATCAATATTGTGAAAATGAACATACTGCCAAAAGCAATCTACAAATTCAATGCAACTCCTGTCAAAATACCACCATGATTCTTCACAGAGTTAGAAAAAACGATCCTAAAATTCATATGGAAGCAAAAAACAGCTTGCATAGCCAAAGCAAGACTAAGCAAAAGAACACATCTGGAGGCATCACATTACCTGATTTCAAACTATGCTATAAGGCCATAGTCACCAAAACAGCATGGTACTGATATAAAAATAGGCACACAGACCAAGGGAACAGAATAGAGAACCCAGAAATAAACCCAAATACTTAACAGCCCCAACTGATCTTCGACAAAGAAAAAAAAAAAAAAAAGAAAACAAACAAAACCATAAAGTGGGGAAAGAACACTTTATTAAACAAATGGTGCTAGAATAATTGGCAAGCCACATGTAGAAGAATGATGAAACTGGATCTTCATCTCTCACCTTATAAAAAAATCAACTTAAGAATGGTAATATAGATTGAGCATTCCTAATCTGAAAATTCAAAATCTGAAATGCTTCAAAATCCAAAACTTTTTCAGTGCCAATTTCCCATCCTCCTGCAGCTGCAATATATCTTTTCTCACATGCCCAGATTTCTCTACACAAGGGGGGATGAAAAGACAAGGGGTAATAAAATGTTATGTGTGCAGGCCAGACACGCTGATGTCCTACATGAGGCCAAGACCTATGTGTATTACTCACTGTTTTTTTTTTATTCTCTGCTCTGTGGTTTAAAGATACTGTTGAAAATGTCAAAAGGCCTACATAACACCCATAGGGTAGTGCAAATGTTCCAAAGTCTGAAAAAATCCAAAATCTAAAACACTTCTGGTCCCAAGCATTTCAGATAAAGGATACTCTATCTGTAATAACCAACAATTATTGAATGCATATACCATGACAATTATTTGCTAAGTCCTTTTTGTGGATTGTGTCTTTTATTCTAATAGTATCCCCATGAACTAGGCTATCTAATCATCTTCATTTCAAAGATGAAACCGAGACACAGAAAGATCAGTGACTTGTTTAAGGTCACACAGCTAGGAGTGATAAAGCTGGATTTGAGTCTAGATCATCGGAGTCTAAAGCTTCATACTCTTAAGAACTGTGAGTTATGATACCTTTATTTATATGTTTATGGATTTATATTTATGTGGTCCATTTGGAGTACTTCTTCTTAAATGATCTATTCCTATCCTTTGCTCTTTGTTTTATTTACATAACAGCTTGATCAAATTTTATTACCTAAGTAAGAGTGATACTTCTTGATTGTGTTTCCAATGCCTTGGACTTGTAGCACATCAAAAGACCAATTTGTAGTGGATTAACATGAAATGGCTTTCATAATGTTTAGACATTTTCTAGCTTATAAAATTATTGTGTTGTAAACTATTAGGAATTACTTCATATAGTTTGTGTTTTCATAATGGAGAAAATTCTGGGTCTTCATTCTCAATGTTCCCAAATAGTAATTTAGAAAATGCTTATGAGATTTTAAAAATGAATATTTAGTGGTTAAGTCTACTTAAGATATTCTTAAATAAAACACTTAAAAACCCACAATTTTATTTTTTCCAAGGATACGTAGTTGCTGTGAATATTTTAATCTTTGAGAATATTGCATAATTTTAACTGGCAGAAAACATAAATGTACCAACCAAGTTAAAAATTATGAAGAGAAGCTTCCAAGAAAAATTGTCAAGCTCAGATGTTGACTTCCTTTATCCTGTTGATACAGTAAAGGTCATTGGTTCCAGTTAATATGACCTGGTTAGTTTTACAGAAATGAATGTTACAGACCAAATCCTGCCCTTTCTCTTCACTTTCTTGCACTGATTTGTTTACTGGTTAACATAATTTTTGCCTTTTGCTGTTTTCACTATTAAATTGGTTTTTCAAAGGAATATGGAAAAATTGCTTGACTTCAGTAATGTAAACCAGCCAGAACACACACACAAACAAACACACACATATGCACACACACACACACGTGCATAGCCTTCTGTCTGAAGCCAAATGAATATTTCAAATGTTACTCTCAGTTGTTTGAGTCTAGAATTATATGACAACAGAAACTGTGCTATTAAGACAGGAAGTAAAAGAGGAAACCTTTGCTAAAGCAGTGGCTAATTATGTAATTAAGTAGTGGAACATTACTTTGGAAATGCTTAGTTAACATCTCTGCTATGATGTTTGCAGAATGTCTGCCATAAATGTAGGTGAGACCACGAAACATTTGCTTGGCTGACATAGGCAACACTGGACTTTGGCCCAAACAGTTGATGGATGTCCCATTCATAAGAGTAGATACAGATATTGCCCCTCAGTTCAGATCTCTACCTTCCTTTTCCCTACATCGGCCCAGGCTATTGTCTCCCCGGTGGCTTTCCTGTCTCTAGCTTTCTCAAAATTGTTTCATCCATTGTTCATTCTCTGCGTCTTTTCAGGTAGGTTCCATGGAGACAGGAGGAGAAAGATTGAGGAGATGTAGGGGAAAGTAAGTCTGTAAGCCACTGATGCAAATGTTTCCTTTCCTACCCTTATCCTCTCTCCACCTCGGGGTAGTTTCAGAGTATTCCTCGTCACCTCTCCACAAGTCTCCCTTTTGCCTGTTCAGCTTCCTAACTACAAACTATGCCTCATCTGCTCTTACGAAATGCTTGGGGATTCTTCTGAACATGAGGCAAATTTTACTACATAAACCTTCCATTATCATCTGCATCATTATTATCTTTGCTACTAGAGTGGAAGCAGAAGAAAGAAAAAAAAAAACCCCTAGATAGATAGTAAGCAATTTTTTTAGTCACATTTTACCTTTAATTACCAAAACTGTGAGAAAAACCATAAAAATAGTTTCATGCTTGCTTTAAGACAAGGAGAATAGGGCAAATGCTGTGAGATTACTAAATTTCTCATTTGTTGAGGGAAAGTCTCTAGACAGAAGCAAAAGATGTGGTATTAAATGTAGAAGTAGCCTGACCAATTCTTGAGGCTTTTAGGAGGTGATAGGGCACTGTCCAAGATGGTAACCTCATTTATCATCATTCCTAGGAGCCTCTGATTTCAGTTAACAAGATCTCTATCAAGCCACCACATTCTGCTGGAGGCCCTCCCTAGCCCATGAGAACTGCATCAGGTGCTTGGATCTAGGAGTAGGAGAAGGTCCTAGGGAGAAAACTGATGAACAACAGCTGATTTTACTGTGTTGATGTGTTTCATTTGGCCAATATGGAGTCCTTTTCTTTGTTTTATTACTTTGAAGGATTTTAGGTGTAGAATATGCACTCTTCAGTTTACCAATCTCCCCACCACTCTCTGGTACCAAATACATTACAGTTTCAGTTATTTATGTTGGTTGCCCAATGTTGAAGACATTTATGATTCTGATTACAATTCCATAGCTGGAAAAGCAGTATAGAGAGGCACATTCTTACTTCCTCCCTGGGTTTATGTAGAGTGGGGTCTTTTGTAACCCTATAGTGAGGAAGAGGGGAAAGGGCTGCTCTCTGATGCCCCTTAAGTGTTGTTTTATTGTTTCATTTGCCTTTCTTCTTCTTATTATTATTTATTTTTAAATAGAGATGGGGTTTCGCTGTGTTGCCCAGGCTGATCTCAAACTCCTGGGTTCAAGCAATTCTCCCTCCTCAGCCTCCAGGGTAGTCGGGACTACAGGTGCATGCTACCAGGCCCAATTTAGTTTTGTTTCTAATTTTGTTTTTCTTAAGCTTAACTCCTATAGGTAGGCTCATAGACTGCATTCTTACCCATGGTCTGTCTCCTTTCACACTCAAGCCTACATTTTGCTATACTAACAAATGTGTTTTTCTGCTATACTAAGTGTTCATGCTGAAATGCTGAATACAGTTCCCCATAGAAATGTGTGTGTATTTTTACATACTTTCTTTTGAAAAATCAACAACAAAATAGAGCAATATAAATTCTGACACATCCACATTTCCCTGACTTCATAAGCTTTTTTCTTTAGCAAAAACAGTTCAACTGAAAAGGACTTATTTGTTGAAAGTTGTAGTTTTAGATTGATTTATGTTTCAGTAAAAGATAATATTTGTTAATTGGGGTTCAAATATGTACTTTTTTCTTAATGTATTACCTATAATTTTAATGTAATAAACAGAAAGTATTACTATAAGAAATTTAAATCTTAACCTCATTTGTTTTGTAACTGAAAATGTAATCTATTTTCTTTTTACTGCTGGCTATTAACTGGTAGATTTTGTGGATAGTGTGACTGTTTGGCTACAAACAAAAAATGAAAGATAAAGAACTTTAAAAAGTCTAAGAATAGCGTAAGAAAAAGTCTTTCTTCTTTCCTAATTTCCCTGTAAAAATCAACAAAGCAGTGAGCTGTCTTAATTTCCAGGGAGAAGTGAGAGAGAGCTAGACACAGTTTGAAGAACCATATGATCCAGCAATCCCACTTCTGCATATATATTCAAAAGAATTGAAATCAATGTCTGAAAGAGATGCCTTCACTCACATGTTCATTGCAGTATTATTCACAATAGCCAAGATATGGAAATAACCTAAGTGTTGACAAATAAAGCAATAAGAAAAATGTGAAAGGTACACACACATACACACTAAAACACACACACACAGGAATATTATTCAGCCTTAAAAAGAAGAAAATCCTGCAATTTGCAACAATATAGATGAACCTGGAAGACATTATACTACCAACGAAAAAACCCCAGGACCAGACAGATTCACAGCCAAATTCTACCTGAGGTACAAAGAGGAGCTGGTACCATTCCTTCTGAAACTATTCCAAACAATAGAAAAAGAGAGACTCCTCCCTAACTCATTTCATGAGGTCACATCATCCTGATACGAAAACCTGGCAAAGACACAACAAAAAAAATTTCAGGCCAATATCCCTGATGAACATTGATGCAAAAATCCTCAGTAAAATACTGGCAAACCGAATCCAGCAGCACATCAAAAAGCTTATCCATCATGATCAAGTTGGGTTCATCCCTGGGATGCAAGGCTGATTCAATATATGCAAATCAATAAATGTAATCCATCACATAAACAGAACCAATGACAAAAACCACATGATAATCTCAATAGATGCAGAAAAGGCCTTTGACAAAATTCAACAGCACTTCATGCTAAAAACTCTCAATAAACTAGGTATTGATGGAACGTATCTCAAAATAAGAGCTATTTATGACAAACCCACAGCCAATGTCATACTGAATGGGCAAAAGCTGGAAGCATTCCCTTTGAAAACTGTCACAAGACAAGGATGCCCTCTCTCACCACTCCTATTCAACATAGTATTGGAAGTTCTGGCCAGGGCAATCAGGCAAGAGAAAGAAATAAACGGTATTCAAATAGGAAGAGAAGAAGTAAAATTGTCTCTGTTTTCAGATGACATGATTATATATTTAGAAAACCCCATTGTCTCAGCCCCAAATCTCCTTAAGCTGATAAGCAACTTCAGAAAAGTCTCAGGATACAAAATGAATGTGCAAAAATTACAAGCATTCCAATACACCAATAATAGACAAACAGAGAGCCAAATCATGAGTGAACTCCCATTCACAATTGCTACAAAGAGAATAAAATAACTAGGAATACAACTTACAAGGGACGTGAAGGACCTCTTCAAGTAGAGATACAAACCACTGTTCAGGGAAATGAGAAGACACAAACAAATGGAAAAACATTCCATGCTCATGGATAGGAAGAATCAAAATCGTGAAAATGGCCATACTGACCAAAGTAATTTATAGATTCAATGCTATCCCCATCAAGCTACCATTTACTTTCTTCACAGAATTAGAAAAAACTACTTTAAATTTCATATGGAACCAAAAAAGAGCCTGCATAGCCAAAACAATCCTAAGCAAAAAGAACAAAGCTGGAGGCATCATGCTACGTGACCTCAAACTATACTACAATGCTATAGTAACCACAACAGCATGGTACTGGTGCCAAAACAGATATATAGACCAATGGAACAGAACAAAGGACTCAGAAATAACACCACACATCTACAGCCATCTGATCTCTGACAAACCTGACAAAAACAAGCAATGGGGAAAGGATTCCCTATTTAATAAATTGGGTTGGGAAAATTGGCTAGACATATACAGAAAACTGAAACTGGACCCCTTCCTTATACCTTATACAAAAATTAACTCAAGATGGGTTAAAGACTTAAACATAAGACCTAAAATCATAAAAACCCTAGAAGAAAACCTAGGCAATACCATTCAGGATATAGGCATGGGCAAAGACTTCATGTCTAAAACACCAAAAGCAATGGTAACAAAAGCCAAAATTGACAAATGGGATCTAATTAAACTAAAGAGCTTCTGCACAGCAGGAAAAAAAAAAAAAGAACTATCTTCAGAGTTACAGGCAACCTATAGAATGGGGGAAAATTTTTGCAATCTATCCATCTGACAAAGGGTTAATATCCAGAATCTACAAAGAACTTAAACAAATTTACAAGAAAAAAACAACCCATGAAAAAGTGGGTGAAGGATAGAGATAGACACTTCTCAAAAGAAGACATTTATACGGCCAACAAACATATGAAAAAGAGCTCATCATCACTGGTCATTAGGAAAATGCAATCAAAACCACAGTGAGATACCATATCATGCCAGTTAGAATGGGGATCATTAAAAAGTCAGGAAACAACAGATGCTGGAGAGGATGTGGAGAAATAGGAACACTTTTACATTGCTGGTGGGAGTGTAAATTAGTTCAACCATTGTGGAAGACAGTGTGACAATTCCTCAAGGATCTAGAACCAGAAATACCATTTGACCCAGCAATCCCACTACTGGGTATATACCCAAAGGATTATAAATCATTCTACTATAAAGACACATGCACATGTATATTTACTGCAGCCCTGTTCACAATAGCAAAGATTTGGAAGCAACCCAAATGCCCACCAATGATAGACTGGATCTGGATAAAGAAAATGTGGCACATATATACCATGGAATACTATGCAGCCATAAAAAATGATGAGTTCATGTCCTTTGCAGGGACATGGATGAAGTGGAAACTTTACCATTCTCAGCAAACTAACACAGGAACATAAAACCAAACACCACATGTTCTCACTCATAAGTGGGAGATGAGCAATAAGAACACATGAACATAGGGAGGGGTATATCACATACTGGGGCCCGTTGGAAGGTGGAGAACTAGGGGAGGGATAGCATCAGGAGAAATACCTAATGTAGATGACAGGTTGATGGGTGCAGCAAACCACCATGGCACATGTATACTTATGTAACAAACCTGCACATTCTGTACATGTATCAGAGAACTTAAAGTATAATAAAAAAAGTAGAGCAGAAAAAAATAATAATGCATTATATATGTACTTGAAATTTGCCAAGAAACTAGGTCTTATGTGGCCTCACATACACAGAAAAGGTAACTATGTAGAAATTTGTTAAAGGATACCAAATTATAGATAGATAGGAGAAATAAATTCTGGTGTTCTATACCACTGTAGGATGACTATAGTGAGCAATAATATATAGTTTCAAATAGCTAAAGGAGGATGGTGCATGTTCCCAACACAAAGAAGTGATAAATGTTTGAGATGACAAATGTGCAATAACCTTTATCTGATCAGTGTATGTATCAAAACATCACCATGTACCTCATGAATTGTACAATTATTTGCCAATTTAAAAGGGTAACTATATAAGTTGATGAATATGTTAATTAGCTTGATTGTGGTAATCATTTCACGGTGTATATTATATCAAAACATCAGTTTATACACCTTTTGCATATATATGTATAAACACACAATTTTTATTGATGAATTATATCTCAATACATCTGGGGAAAATTAATTATTTTAACATTTGAGGTGAAAATGCAATAAAAAAATTGTGTGATTTTTGTTGTGCCTGTGAATAATATCCAGTAGAAATCAGTAATAACTGAGACAAGTCATGAGTCATGAATTGATAGAAAAACTTTAGTTTCTGAAGATCACAAACCCAGTATGAGAATGGCTGTTCAAATAAAAAAAGCAAATTGGCATTTGTTTACATTCTTCCATGTTAAGTAGGATCAAGTTTGGACATTTTTCCCCTTTTAGACTATGATAGCTTTAAATTAAATAGCAGGAAAAGCAAAGCATAAAATTTACAGCAGAGAATATTCTTGGAAACTGATACCCTTCATCAACATCCTGTTCAATTTGAAAGTAAATGGTTTGAGTGAAAAATCAATTAAACATCCATTAAGGAGCTGCTTCAGAATACTGCATCATTAAGTAATAGCAGTTGCTGATTTTTTCTTAACCACAGTGGAAAATGTGAACAAGAAATTGAAGTAAAGGGGACATTTCTGAATGATGTGGTTGACCTATGAACCCTACTCTGAAGTTGTTATAATTCTGTCCAGCTCATTTATTATACTTATTGCAATTTTAGTGGCCCTTAATAGTAGGGAGGAGAGAGACTGGGAGGGATCAGAACAGGAAAAATATATCTGTCTTTTGGATGGTGGAACATAAACTTTTTTGGGGCTATGGATCCTAAGAGACTTTGATCAAAATGCATTTGCATATGACCTAAACTATCCACACATAAAATCAATACTAGGGGTTGAGGGATTGCTTGAAACTTATTCATGGGTAATCTAAAGCTTTTTAGACTTTGCCTTAAGACCATTTGCTCTATGGTTTGCCTTTAAGCTGGGAAGTTTGTTGGGAAAAAGCTGAGTGTTGGGAGGGAAACTGAGGCAGGGCTTGCATAATGTCTTTGGAATGTTTCTAGACTTGCTGGCTCCTTGTTTCTAGCCTTCCTAGGCTCCTATTCCCATTATCTCAAGTAGCAGAACATGTTTCTTATAAATGCTAAACCATCACAGCTGTAAATCATGTGCTTAATCAGTGTGCCCTTTTGACCTCCACATTCTCACCACCTGTTTCTTTGTTGGGTTACCAATAAATACCGTGGGCTCCCAGCGCTACGGGCCTTCGCAGCCTCCGTACGATAGCTATTCCCCCCACCCCAAGCATCCCACCTTTTTCTTTCTCACTGTTTTCTCTTTCTCTGTCTTTTTCTTAATCCTTTGAGTCCGCTGGACTTTGTCACCCCCACGATCTGTTGTTGGGTCTGATCACCTTAACATTCCTGGCTGCCCAGTGTGGGGCGACAAAGACGCCGGTGAAGGAATGCTATGAGCGTGTGAAAGCGGAGAATGTCTAAAAGAAGCTCAGCGGGAAAGCTGAGCACTTGGAAGAAGCAGGGTAACAATGGGACAAAGGAAAAGCAGATATTCTGCTTAAATTTCTTAAGGCATTTATTACGAAGAGGGGAAGTGAAAGTTAGTACTCAGAACTTATTACTCTTTCCTACAGTAAAAGTTTTGCCCATGGTTTCCAAAACAAGGGACTATGGAATTGGGTGAATGGGAGAGAATTGGAAGAGACTTTAAAAAGGCGTATGAAGAGGGAGCAGAAATTCCAGTTTGTTTGGTCAATGTGGACACTAACAAAGGCAGCTCTTGAGCCATTTCAAACATGATGAGGTAGGCTCAGATGAGGAAGAGGAGGATAAGTGTAAAAAATTAGATTGTTAATGTGAGGAACAGGAAACGGAGAGAACTAAAAGAAAGGGAAACTGAAAAAAGTAGGTCTTACTAGACCGTCGGCTCCACCTGCTGAATTAAGTGAAAGGCCACCTCTCTCTCCCCATAATGGGCTAGGAGATGAATTAGCTAGAAAACGTACTGCTCCTATAGTTGCAAAATTAAAACCTGGAACAATTGGTGCTATACAAAATTCTACTCAAAAGGCTACAGCTGAGGGACACCTCGAAGCATGCAATTTCCCGTAACTATAATCCAGCAGGGAGGATAGCAAACGTCCTTCCACTGTGTTTCCAAAATCCATCTACAAAGGAGAAAGATACACAAGCAGTTAAAGGAATAGGGTACACTTTTTTTTCTTTAAAAGCCAGGGTAAATTTAAAAACCTATAACTGAAGGTCTCCGTGGCCCTGTAACACTCCAGTACTACCTTATCAGTGTAAACAAGGCCGAAAGCACTGAGACCACGGACAACCAGTAGCCTTCCTATCAAAAATTCTTAACCCAGTAATCCGCGGATGGCCCAAATGCATTCCATTGGTAGCAGCAACTGCTTTGCTAACAGAAGAAAGTAGAAAAACGTTTAGTGGAAACCTCATTGTGAGCACACCTCACCAGTTCAGAGCTATCCTAAGTCAAACAAAAAGGTAGCTTACTAACTCAAATCTAAAAGTATAGGGCTATTCTGTTAGGAAAAAAGATTTAACATTAACCACTGAAAATTCCCTTAACCCAGCAGGTTTTGTAATGAGGGATTTAAATTTTAATTACCATACAAAGGCCCGATCAGACCCCTAGGAGGAACTCCCTTCAGGACAGAACAATAGATGGTTCCTCCTGGGTGACGGGGGAGGGGGTGAAAACACAATGGGTATATTCAGTAATTGATAGGGAGACTATATATAGAAGCAGAGTTAAGAAAATTGCCTAATTCGTCTGCTCAAACCTGCGAGCTGTTTGCACTCAGAATCAAAAAACTTTCAATCCTGACTCAAAAGGTTACCTACACCCTCTGAAATGAATTTGCTTAAGAACTGTTCATGGGAGTGAATCTTGATGGGGCAGCTGGGTGGGTATGAAATACTCAGGAACCCAGCCCAGCTCTAGGACTCACCTGTGAGCGCAAAGGCAATGTTGGGCATGCTGGTAAAGGACCACTAGAATCTAGCAGCCTGGACCCATTTCTTTGTGGTCAAGAAAGGTGGGAAAACAGGTGCCGGACTGCTACATTGGTAAGAGTAACTAATCTGATAAGCAGAGGTCTATGGGTGGTTACGCACCCTGGAAAGGAATAAGCATTAGGACCGTAGGGAATGCTCTAGGACTAATGCTCATTGGAAAACGACTTAGGGGTGCTGGCATCCCTGTTTTTTCAGATGGGAAATGTTCCCCACAAGGCAAAAATGCCCCTAAGTGTATCCTGGAGAATCGGCCCAGTCAGAGTGTAGTACCTTTTTCCCTCTCAGACTTTCAAACAAAATAGACCTAGGTAAATTCTCAGATAACCCTGATGGCTATATTGATGTTTTATAAGGGTTAGGATAATCCTTTGACATGGAGAGAGATTTAATGTTACTGCTAGATCAGACACTAACCCCAAATGAGAGAAGTGCCACTGTAACTGCAGCCCCGAGAGTCTTGCGATCTCTGGTATCTCAGGTCAACGATAGGATGACAACAGAGGAAAGAACAATTCCCCACAGGCCAGCAGGCAGTTCCTACTGTAGACCCTCATTGGGATGCAAAATCAGAACATGGAGATTGGTGCTTGTAGACACTTGCTAACTTTTGCGGGCTAGGAAGGACTAAGGAAAACTAAGAGGAAAAAGTCTATGAATTATTCAATGATGTCCATTATAATGCAAGGAAAGGAAGAAAATCCTGCCTTTCTGGAGAGACAAGGGGAGGCATTGAGGAAGCATACCTCTGTCACCTGACTATGTTGAAGGCCAACTAATCTTTAAGGATAAGTTTATCACTCAGTCAGCTGCAGACATTAGAAAAAACTTCAAAAGTCCGCCTTAGGGCCCGGAGCAAAACTTAGAAACCCTATTGAACTCGGAAACCTCGGTTTTTTATAATAGAGATCAGGAGGACCAGGCAGAATGGGACAAATGGGATAAGAAAAAGCCACCGTTTTAGTCATGACCCTCAGGCAAGCGGACTTTGGAGGCTCTGGAAAAGGGAAAGGCTGGGCAAATTGAATGCCTTTAGTAGGGCTTGCTTCCAGTGCAGTCTGCAAGGACATTTTCAAAAAGACTGTCCGAATAGAAATAAGCCACCAGTGCCCCTTATTTCTGCGCACCTTATGTCAAGGGAATCGCTGGAAGGCCCTCTGCCCCAGGGGGACAAAGGACCTGTGAGTCAGAAGCCACTAACCAGATGACCCAGCAGCAGGACTGAGGGTGCCCAGGGTAAGCGCCAGCCCATGCCACAGAGCCCTGGGTATGCTTGACCATTGAGGTCCAGGAGGTTAACTGTTTCCTGGACACTAGCACGGTCTTCTCAGTCTTACTCTCCTGTCCCGGACAACTGTCCTCCAGATCTGTCACTATCTGAGGGGTCCTAGGACAGGCAGTCACTAGATCTTCCAGCCACTAAGTTGTGACTGGGGAACTTTACTCTCCTCACGTGCCTTTCTAATTATGCCTGAAAACCTCGCTCCTTTGTTAGAGACATCCTAGCAAAAGCAGGGGCCATTATACACTAGAATTAGGAGAAGGAAAAAGGGTAAATATACATGCAGACTCTAAGTATGCTTACCTAGTCCTCCATGCCCTTGCAGCAATATGGAGAGAAGGGGAATTCATAACTTCCGAGGGAACACCTATCAAACATCAGGAAGCCTTTAGACCCCAAAATTCTCCTTACCTCTGAGTCTGCTTCCTCTGATCCCTGCCTAAAGATAATTTTATGGGGAAGAGGATTTGCTTGCCTCAGGTGCCTGTGTGGGTGCCCACCAAACATCTGAAGATCTATCATCAGCCACAGCATCTAGTGGACCCACCTGTACAGTGCGAATTTGAAGGTTTGAAAAGCCTCGATTTGCTCTCTCTATGCCTTCAGTTAATCACAAAAGGCCTGTCTCATCAGTGGCCGCCTGGCTACAACCACAAAAGTTTTTGCTTCTATTTCAGTAGATTTACTAACGTGGAGATTGAGGGTATGCTTTTGCCAGGAGATGAACGAACCGTGTGGATGACCTCAAGATGTGTACGACCATAGAATTGGGGAGACTGGGGCGGGGGGGAACCCATGGATCCCAACCATGGACCGGGTTCTCCCCCAGCATGAGCCATGAGACAGTTGAATCTGAATGCGAAGATGGAACAAGGACTGACCAGAGTCACAATGCTTAATGGACCAATGCTTTCTGACTCCTCTCTACCATGAATACAAGAGACCCTAATAGTTAGGCAGGAGTATCATTGCCCCTATTCAGCATTTGAAGAAGTTACAGAAGACGGACCTTCATCCTCCTGCAACCCCTAGGATTGAGGGTCCCCTTGTAAAAGGCAAAGTGGGGGAGGTATGTGGGAAGCATTCAAACCAGAGTGACTCCAGTTTGAATAAGGGTTAAAAGAAAAAAGCTGGGTCACCGGCAATTAAGGACTACACAGCCTGCAATCGCCTTGCTAACAATTGCTAGTAATGTAATAATGATACCTTCCCCCTTACAAAAAAAGGCATGTTGGGGGAAAAAGCTGAGTGTTGGGAGGGAAACTGAGGCAGGGCTTGCATAATGTCTTTGGAATGTGTCTAGACTTACTGGCTCCTTGTTTCTAGCCTTCCTAGGCTCCTGTTACCATTATCTCAAGTAGCAGAACATGTTCCTTATAAATGCTAAGCCATCACAGCTGTAAATCATGTGCTTAACGCAATGTGCCCTTTTGACCTCCACGTTCTCACCACCTGTTTCTTCGTTGCATTACCAATAAATACCATGGGCTCCCAGAGCTCGGGGCCTTCGCAGCCTCCATACAATAGTGATGGCCCCCTGGCGTACCACCTTTTCCCCCCTCACCCCGCTCAATCCTTTGACTCCGCTGGACTTCGTCACCCCGACGACCTGGTGTTGGGTCTGATCACCCCAGCAAAGTTGGTGGTCGAATGCCCAGCATACACTCGGGCTGCATGGTGGTCTATTCGGGAAGATGGAAAATAGTGGCAGGACAAGGTAGGCGGTGCTGACATGCATAGCTAGACGTGTGACAAATTCTCTAGATCATATTCCTAATCAGACTACAGACTGCAGCTGAGAGTGGAGGAGAGAGGGCTCCATCTCTCTCTAAATGAGCAGCTTCAAATAGTTAATTATTAAACAGTTCACAATTATTAAACAGGACAGCCCTAATAGTTGACTAGAATACAAAGCAGGAAATTGAGCCAAATCTTCTAGCCTGGGCTAACCCAGCAAGGATTTGGAGAGTGTGCTACCTGGAGGGCAAATAAAGCTAAAGGTTTATGCTGATCATGTACCATACTTTTGGCAGCAAACTACATTTACAATGATGGATATTCTTTTAGCACTTTATGCCCTGGTTATACTTGTCTTGGTAATTCCTAAGCTAAAACCTATAGGTAGAGTTTCAGAGACTGCAGTTCAGCATGGCTAAAGATGAGAAGAGTTACTGGTGCTTGTACATTTTATTTCTGGATATGCACTTGGATTCAGTTGTATAGAAGGTTTGGAAGTAGCTCTCACCCTTACATAAAAGGCCACACATCAAGCTACTTCATACAGAAATGGTATGGTAAGTGCTGCTGTACTCCTTAGTTGAAGAGCAGGTTAGACCTCGTTATATTATGCTGTTTCCCGCAGATTCTCTATTAACCGAATTCTTTGGCATGATCTTTTTTTCTCTTCTAAGTGATTAAGACTGCTTTAAGGAGAACATATATATTTAGTATTTCTTCTTCCCTCTCAATGACTGACATCATCGGACCTATCACCTGAGCATGGTCTGACTCAGTGTGTCATCTGGTGTATCCACACCTGCCACACTACAGCCTGGCTCTCATGCATGTAAGTCCAAGAAACAGGTTGTCTGAATTGCAGCCATGCAAACAGTTTCCTATTCATTCAAATAACATCTGAGATTTGCATGGATTAACATTCAGTTGACAGAAATCTAGTTCTTATTCAAGTAAAGAAATAAGGACTAGTTCATTTTAACCACAGGCCAGTGGAAGATTCCCATCTCATTGGAACTAATCAGTGTCCATTATTTTACCAAAGGTTTTTCATCTAGCCTTACAATGCATTTAAAGCCAAGGTCCTAGTATCTTCACAAAGAAAACATCACAGGGTGTGTAACACTGTTTCTTATTTAAAGATTGCACTCAACTAATTAAAAAGTGTCCTCAAATGTTCCCTCTGCTCACTGCACTGGGAAAAATCTACTTTTGGAATATATAGGTTCATCTTAACTCATACCATACCTACTTAATTCTCCAAGAGAATGGGGTATGAGTCCGTGGAGGATAGAGTGACAGTCATCTTTCCAGGATTGATTTTGGTCAGTAACTCTATGCTCTGTGACCTGAGGGAGGTTGTTGGGAGGAGATGGTGGGAGTCAGGATGCAGAACATGAGGTGCCTGTAAATCTCATCTTTTCTGGGAGCTGATGGCCTTGTCTCCACATTAAAGTGTGGATGCCTTGCAGGGAACCGCTATCTGCAAGTGCAGATCTAGAGACAGTTGACAGAGCACCAGTCACAAACAAGGTGGCTTGATGTAAGTTTCTTTGTGTAGCATAAGCTGAGTAGTCTTAGAAAGAAATAACTTTATTACTGTAAATGCTGAATCATAAATATAAGCCTTGACATAACCCTGAAGTTCTTGAACTCTTTTCCAGGCTATGCCTAGAAAAAATTGTGGGATAGAGCCAGGTTAGTGTTCAATGCCTTCCTGTTTTTCTACTCCCAGTCTCCTCTCCCCCTCACGTACCCTGAACCACAAGTCTTTTTTCCTTATCTCCATCACATCCTATATCTTGCTTTTTAAAGTCAGAATCATATTTGTATTAAGTTTAAAAAAAACTGACTTTTGCTTCTAGCTAAGGTGAAGTAACAGACTTGATTTATAGTTATGCCTGAAATAAACTTGGAAAAATATGAAATGTTTTTTCAAGACATCAGATGATACAAGACATTAATTTCTGAGAAATGAGAAACAAATGAGGTGAAGCCCTACAATTGCCCTAATTTACTGCCTTGAGAGAGTGTCCAGGTCATGGCATGCTGGGACGTGGAAACTTGGAATAGCCTGGCCGACTGCCGAATTGAGGAATGAGAATGTTTGGTTGCCTCTATGACTGAGGATGCTGTAGACATCTAGTGGACAGCAGTTGATGGGATAGTCCTGAATAGTTTTTCTAGTGGAATTGTGCAGGTGCCACTGGTGATAAACAGATAGATGCTCACTGCTGAGAATGCCAAGGAGGGTTAGCAAATGTCTGAGACTCCATACTTTGACCCTGTGACGCTGAGGACAGAACAATTCCCAGAAACATGAGCAGCATACATACTTAGAGAAGAAAATATTCTGAAATGGTGCATAATTTCACCGGTCTAAAGGCTTCAGGGGGAATTTTGTTTAGGGTGTTGTAAAAACCCATGACCTTGGGGCACCCTTTTGTTAGTAATACATTCTGATCTCTTTTGAATTTTTTAATTTTATGCTGGCATTGCCTTTTGTGAACAGGCATCTTTAAATAAACATGGCTTTAATCTGGTTTCATGAAACAGGAGTAGCATTCCTGCAGATGAAACGGCAATTCAAAGTGTAGTCTGTCCACTTTGGAACATTTTATTTATAAGTAAACACTTTGTTCTCTTGGTGACAAATAGAAATTCTTCCTATTTTATGACCATATTAAGGAAGCAAACAAATCCCCTCAGTTATACTGGAAAATAAGTCTTTAATTTCAAAGAATAAGAATCTTGTCATACAACTTAGTAGCATAGGTAGAAATCAATAATTGTGTGTTAACGGATTCAACATGTCAATATGTTGATCTAGTCAACAAAATTACTTTTGTAAATAGATTGCCCTTGCTGAGTAGAGCTGAAGAAAACTGTTGGCAAGTAAGCACTTCACTTTCTTCTCTTGATCATTGCTTTTTGAGTGTGTTCTGTGGAGAGGACAGTGCTCTGGGAGATGTGAACCACACTCTGCCTCTGCGCTTTACCTCCTTTGAGTTGCTTTCAGTTCATAAACGTAAAGTTGCAGGAGCTGGAGAGGCTAATTCTTAAGTGGGTTTGGTGTGGAAAGAGTATTAGGGAGGGAAGTACCCTGGGATAGAGTGGAATTTGGGTCTTGGGAATAGCTATGGCACCAACATATGGCCCTGCACAAATCACATGACCCATTGGGCATCAGTTCCTTCATCTGTGAAATAAATGTATTTCTGTTTGAGCTCAAAGGTTTTTTCAGCTATAATTTATGAATGTAGCTGTTTGCCCCAAGGAATGAGTTTTCTCAACTCTGAAAGCAAAATTTATGTGCTAGGCAGAGAAATTTTACTTTACCTGCCCTGATTCTTGCTCTATGCTACTGAGCAAAGTGCTAAGACATCTGAAATCATCCAGTATTTATTATTTTCTCCTAACTTTTTCCCTAAGATGAGTGCCAAGATTGTTCTAGATTCCTTGGGAAACTTTTCAAAAGGCTGAAGCCTCTTCAGTTCTAATTATTCATTCAATACAATGTATGAACAGGCCCAGTGTTCCATGTTGTGTAGATAGTTGCTCATGTGGTTGTATTTAACTTGGAGTTCTGCTGCAGCTGGGCTGGAAAGTCCAAGAAGACCTCCCTCACATATTTGGAGACTTTAACTGCATCCTAGCAACAATGAGCACAAAGATTGAATGTATGACGCCCAAATTTATAAGTTGAAATTCTAATCCCCAATATGATATTAGGAGGTAGGGCCTTCAGAAGCTAATAAGGTGGAGCACTCATGAATGGGATTAGTGCTCTTATAAAGGTACCTCAACAAACTTTCTCATTCTCTTTTTACCATATGAGGATGCAACAAAGAGATGGCAGTCTGCAGCCTGGAAGAGGGCCCTCACCAGAACCTGACCATTTTGGCACCCTGATCTGACTCCCAGCCCCAAGAACTGTATGAAATAGATTCCTATTTATAAGTCATTAAGTCTATGGTGTTTTGTTATAGATAGAAGGCTGAACTGACAAAGGCAGATGCCTCAAGTCTTATGCACAGGGCCTTCCTGTCCAGCTAGGTAGCTTGGACTTCCTTAAAGCATGGCAGCATGCTTCTAAGTGTAAAAGTGGAAGTCATGGGTTTCTTAAAGCCTGGGCTCAGGGCTGCAAAGCATCACCTTCACTGCATTCTATTGGTCAAATAAAGTCACAAGTCTATCCCAATGCCAAAAGGAGGAGAAACAAATTCTACCTGTTGATTAAAGGAGCAAAATAACATGTCCAGGGAGGGGAGAATTGATGGTGGCTCTCTTTGGGACTACCTGTCAGTCACGTGGGTCTATATCCAGGTGTCTGGTTGATAGGTTGGGACTCATATTGGCTAGTAGGATCAGCAGTCAAAGAGCAGGTCATGGAGCAGAAGAGAAGGGGAGGACAAGCTGAAACTCATTGAAACCTCTGCCCATCACTGCAAATAATCATTGTCAGCTTCAAAGAGCAATAGCTGCTGATCCACTTCCACTTCCCAAATCCCATGCAAATACCTCACTTGGCCAATTCTAATCTGGGAACATGACTCTAGCTTAACCAAGTTAAAAATAGAGTGGTCCAGCACACTATTCAAAAATATGGCATCTCTCTCCATTCAGGTGTACTTTTATACCATTTAGAAGTGTTCTATTAGTTTTGTTCATATGACTTTTTTTATTCACACATGTTTAAAAGTTTTGTCTTTATTGCTTCTGTGAATGGCATTTTTGTTATGTAGTGCCATTCAAAATGTATATAACTAAGCAGGTTATTAATTATGGTCTTTTCATCAATACAATTGTATTTTCTAGGCAGACATTCATGTGTAGACGTTGGGAATTTTTTCTTAGAAAAATGTAAATAAATTTTTAAAGTCTGGATATACTGGTTACCATTGCCAAGGAAGCCCTCTCCTTAAGATTCATGCTTTATATGGCTCTACCTATCTCAAGAACCCATAAGAATAAATTTACTGATGAGCTTGATTGCCATGTCACTTGAGATTCTACACTCAATGCTGATTTAGTATAATCTGTGAACTTAAATGTCCATGTCTTAGCCCATTTTGTTTTGCAGAATATCTAAAGCTGGATAATTTGTGAAAAACAGAAGCCTGGGCCTATCTCGTAATTTATGAAGGAACGAGGTTTATTTAGCTTACAGTTTGACAAGTTGTGAAATACAAGATGTGAGGCACTGGCATCTGCTCAGCTTCTGGTGAGGTCCTTAAGCTGCTTCCACTCATGGCAGGGAGTGGTCGTGTGCAGGGATCACCCAGTGATACAAGCAAGAGGGAAACCAAGGCTCATTACAGTTAGGTGAAAGTACACAAAGATGGGCTTGGCACTAAATTCATCTATGTCTAGATGCTTATACCTCTGAAAAATTGACAGAGTGGGCAAACCTTGTAAAGTGATTAGTTGCAGTTGTGTAGTAATAAATAATTTATAGCAAAGAATCTTAGGCTAAGGATGTCATCAAAGAGTACTTCAAATGCAAGAAGTGAACAAATAAAAAGCTCATATTTTTTTAAAAAGAAACTAAAGAAGCCAAATTCTTTAACACCCACTCTTGGGAACTTGTCTATTCCTGTGAGGGTGGGAACTCACTAACCCTGTGGGAGGTGTATTAGTCTGTTTTCATGCTGCTGATAGACATACCCGAGACTGGGCAATTTGCAAAAGAGGTTTAGAGGACTTACAGCTCCACGTGGCTGGGGAGGCCTCACGATCATGGCAGAAGGCAAGGAGAAGCAAGTCGCGTCTTACATAGATGGCATTGGGCAAAGAGAGCTTGTGCAGGTGAACTCCTGTTTTTAAAACTATCACATTTCATGAGACTCATTCACTATCATGAGAACAGCCAGGAAAGACCTGTCCCCATAATTCAATCACCTCCCAGCACGTTCCTCTCATGACACATTGGAATGGTGGGAGTTAAAATTCAAGATGCGATTTGGGAGGTCAAATCCCCTCCATATTGGGAGGGCATTAACCTAATCATGAGAGATTCAAACAACTCCCACCAGGCCCCACGTCCCGAAACTGCCACATTGGGGTTTGAATTTCAACATGAATTTTGGTGAGGACAAACCACATCCAAACTATAGCAGCCCACTTTTCTAACACAATTAGCAGAGAGATGCTTCTCCCCAACTCCTGCCTCATGTCTTTGAAACAAAAGTCAATAAAAAGTTTTGAGGATTATGCCACTAACATTGAATGGACACTGCTTTGGAGTGAAAGGAGGCTTTGAACAATGTAAGTTCTTGGTCATAGGACACATTAACTAAAATCTTTTCTGTCATAACAGATATAATTGCATTTTGTGTAATGAATTATTTATCAGTACCACTAATCACTGAGCATCTGTCTTCTTCTCTTCATGTTCTCTCATTCACAGTTCTGGAGGTACTTATGAATTACCACAATGTTTGCTATAGTTGCTGATGGCAGCTGGAGGGATACTACAATATTAAACGATTCATATTACTCTATGTATGTGTAGATCTAGATATAATGTGAAAACTAATATGATTCTTTACATCAGCTATTGCTTTAAAAATAGTGAAAATTGCAATTAAAATGTGATGAGTTGCAATGATGAAAATAAGTATTTTCTAGTATTGATACTAATTTGTGATATGTGATCCATTACAATGTTTTAACATAATGTGGAGAATTCACATTTCTGAATCCAAACATTGTTTTAAGATTTTTGACACTTCCAGTTGCAGTGAAATTCTCCAAATTGAAATTGTTGAAAAAAAAAAAAAAATCTAAGATCTAAGGTGACTCAAGGAAGGTTGTCTAATTTGGTATTACTGCCAATAGAATACAAATTAAAGTATTAAACCTAATGTAATTAGTAACT
The DNA here is from genome assembly GCF_000001405.40 of Homo sapiens. Classification (NCBI taxonomy): domain Eukaryota; kingdom Metazoa; phylum Chordata; class Mammalia; order Primates; family Hominidae; genus Homo; species Homo sapiens. The sequence goes on from NC_000002.12 coordinate 180,068,473, forward strand.
TACTGAAATAAAGGGAATGAATTCTTAGAATAAATCCATAATTTATAAACTATATATTTTTATTACTCATTTAAATCTTATTTCACCAATAGAATACCAAGATAGCTGTATAAATAAGCTCAACTGTCTTTGATATTTTGATAACTTATAAACTATGTGTAAACCGATGATTTTATATATTTTTTTGTTACCAGGGCTGGTAAGTAGATGGGACTGCAAAATAGGTTCTAGACTATGGATGCCCTGTGAGTCACTTTTCATAAACTAAAACATTGTGTTAAAAAGCACCCTAAACCAGGGACCTCACTCACTTGGAGTGGTATATTTGTCAAGCTATGGGATAGAACATATTTGAATTAGCATCATTTTAGTTTGATTTGTAACTCCTAATTATGTAGTCTTGTGGTCTGTAGGCCTCATTTTGTTCTTTCATTTTAATACCCACAAAGGTGAAAGCCTGGCCAAAACCAAATTAAAGTCACAATAGTTAAATTCCTGTGTTATTCCTTAATATGACAGAAATGCTGTTGATTTCATAATTTTATCTTGGTTATTCTGTGACTTGAATTTATTTGGTTAATTTTTTAGTCAGCAGGATTATTTGTTTGAGTAAATGTTTTAAAAGTTTATAATTTCTGTATTACCAAATATCTGGGAATCTTTTTGTTATCACATATGATCTCTTGTGAGTCTATTGAATTCTTGTTTCATTATCTTTTTCCCTAAAACATTCCAATTGCTCTTATATTTGAGGAGATATTAATACCAACTTTATTTTTTTTTCTATTTCAATTCATTCAACAATTACTGTGAGCCTACTATGTATAGTGTAGGTAACTGGATCTCTCCTTGGATTCTTGTGATTTTGATAGTTAAACATTGTCAAAATCTTTTTTATCTCATTATTCTTTGTTTAAAGAGAATTTCTTCAAATGATCTCATTCTCGTTTGTGGCATTTCTGCAATGTGCAATCTGCTTTTTACTGTCACCATAATATTTGTAATTCAGCTCTTGCCTTTCATTTAAAAGCAGCTTTTCTTGATAGCAGAATGTGTGTTCCTATTGTAGATGAAATATCCCCTTAAATAGCTTCGGGAACATTGATTTTTTTAAATTATGAATGGAGAATATGTGCTTTATTCCTCATCCATTCAAATATTTACTGAATACCTATTATGTGAAGTATTGCTCTAGGCACTGGGGATACGTCAGTGAACTAAAGATAGTCTTAAATCCCTGCCCTGAGGAGCTTATATTCTAATAGGGAAAGAAACATGATGAACAATGAACATATTTTTTTTGAGGGTTCCATGATCACTCAAGTTTCTCTTGCTTGGAAGACTCAGAGGACACAGAGGTAATTCTATTCACAGCTATGGATTCATATCAGGATCTGCAAGAAGAAAAGACAACAGTCAGACCCTGTAGGAGTTCAGACACAGCCTCCCAACATTCTCTCCCCCAGGGGTTGCCTAGTGGGAGGGGTAGAATAGGTGGGAGGTACAAGGTGTTACACAGGACCCACTTCCTGCTGTAGCAATGAAATGTAGCAACGCATGCTGGGTGGCATTGTTTCCTCCCAGATAATCCCACTTGAGACTGAGTGCAGAGTTTTTATTAGGGGCTCATTATGTAGGCATTCTTTGCCTGTGCAACCAGCCACAATTACTGAGATTCCAGACTCCCTGAAGGAAAGTAGATGTTCACCACAAATCATTGTTTTTACAAACAGCTCAGGCAAACGTTGCTCAGTGCCTCAGGCTCACAAAGCAGCCTTGTCAGTTAGTAAAACAGCATTCAAAAATTCAAGTTCCTAGGCTCAGCCAAGGGTTAGCCCCCACCAAGCAAGTCTTTCTGAAGGACAGTATCAGGTCTTCTTTGTCAACTGTTTCCTGTACAATAACATAATATTACAGTTTAATATAATGTCACAAAACAAAGCAGGATAAGAGGGCATTGGAGGTGCCAGGCGGGGAGGCAGTGGGAGATTATAATTTTAGATAGCCTTTCAAGGAAGGCTTCTTTTGAGAAGTTTACTTGAACAAAGGCATAGAGGAGGTGAGGCAGTGGGCCATGTGGATAGCTACAGAAAGAGCCGTCTACAAAGGAATCATGGTGGGAGACATGTATGCTATGTTCAAAGTTCCTGGAACAGAGTGTAAATGAGATGTGGTCAAAAAGGCAGAGTTTTGATTTTCATTTAATGAAGCTTTTCATATGCTAGTGTTTATCCTTACGTGGAGATGTCTATTAGTGGGAATTGCAATTGGTTCTAGTGAGATTGTATGACTTTCTAATGAAAGTTTTACTTCCAAACAAAGAAGAGGAGAAAATTTTACACTTAAAACTTTTTTATTTTGATGGATTAAAGGTTGTTTTGCCTAGACGGTGAGGGGGGAGAATGAGATTGGGGGCTGTTTAGAGCCAGAGGCGGTATCATAATGCATTACTTAATTGTTATGGCAAATGAGATCTCTTTCATTGCCTTCCCCGAGTGGGACCCCCAGCACTCCTTGTGCTGACTCCCATTGCGCTCTCTGGAATTGAAGGAGGGCTGACCTTTGCCCCTCAAAACTGCCCTTAGGACCAGTCCTCACATCAAGTTCCTGAGCTACAAGATTGGAGTTCCAGTGTCCTGAGGAAAACATAGACCTGGTCAGAAAATGAGTTTCAGATCTCTGCTTATTTGTGCCAGTCTGGAGTGAACTAGGGTAATGCCCTGTTTCTCTCATTGGCAACACTGCCCTCATTTGGGGTCTTTTATGGCAATTCCCTTTTGGATTTCAAGATTTACATTTTAACATGGGTTTTTCAGCCAGGGCTGGTCTGTAGGTGACAATCTCCACCTTTAGGATATATCTAGGAACCTCCTTCAATAGATGGGTGTAATGCTATAATGGGAAGTCCTCTAAGGGTGGAATCCTCACCTGGAGGGAGTGCTGTAATGAATAATGCCTGCTGTGGCACAGGGGGAAAGAACAGGTATTCATCATCTCTGTTCTAGGCCTACTAAAAAGCATGACTACAATTGCAGTTGCAGGCACTGTTAAAAGCAAATTGAGGAATTCTGAGAACTAGAGAATAAGCTATTGTGGTAGTCCTCAAATGATACCACACAACCACCATTACAGTATTATATCTAAGTTGTGTATAACACCAGCAGCAGCACTAAGCTTTTTTGTAGTTAGTTCAGAAAGCCTTGATTTCATATAACTGGACCCCATCACCCAGTAATTGGGAAAGAGATCTAAGTCCCTGCAACCACTAAGGAACAGCACAGGGCTCAAAGAGAGGCAGTTTATAGTGATATGTAAGAGATCTAGAAGGAAATATTAAAAACCAGTAGTAAGTCTGAGATTTTGCTCTAGTTATCTGTAGTTAGCACTTGGGAGAAATTTGGGTTAGAAAGAACATTCCTGGGGACACATGTTTATGGTAACCTAAGTCAAGTGCATAAGTCTTAAGCTTATGCACATGTCCTAACTTACAAGCCCCTTAAGGGCTGCGACCGTGTGTTACCTTTGTTCCGGTTCCCAACCAGGGCCTCTGTGGGTAGTCAATAGACATTTGAATGGTAAGCTCTTGTCAGTGAATGCCATGGCTTTTAAAGTTTGAATTAATAGCTTGGTTCAGGCATTTTTTCCACACAGAGTTCAGAAATATACTATGGAAAGATTGTTGCTCCCAGGTCAGCCTTTTTAGTCACATCAAAAAATAGTATAGCACCAAGATTTTAAATGTGAAGTCCCTCATCAGAAATTTCTGGAAAGTAATGTATCCCTTGCTGGAAAGTTGTGTTAAATGAGAATTCAGTTTTGGCACTTTGCTGAAACATGATGTTAGTTTCCTTTTCTCCTTTCAAACATGACAACTTATGAAAAAATATAGCATAATCTACAAGACAAGAATAAGATAATAAAATTCAAAATGGCTTGAAGTTTATTAAGGTTGATTACTCTTGCCTAAAATATACTTTTGTTGTTTGTCTGTTTTAAAGTAGTTCAAATGAGGCTAATAATCTAAACTTTTTCAATTCATTTTGGCACAAATAGAGATAGTTTGCTTGTTATATCCTTACTCTCTGGGATCCTATTTTCTAGTTTAGTTTGACTCTGGAAAAAGCTTTATGGTCTAATCTAATGTGCCTTTTGAGAACTAATAGGAAACATGGATTTCAGAGAAGAATTCTGTGAACATTTTGACCATTAGTTCTGTATTACTCTTAAAAAGACACCAGTATGTATGCAAATCTTTAAGATAATTAAAATGTTGACCATTTCCTAACATTTGTAGGATTGACAGAAAATTATACTGATAATAAAAAAATATGGTTCTTTTTGCTTTTATGTCATAGACAATATGCTTCTTTATTTACAGCTAGGAAAATACAACATAAGCTGAATGGTGAAATTTCTATAGATATTCAGCCTCTGAAAGAACATCTTTAGCTCTTAGAGCTATCATATAGGACTAATTTTTATGGAGCTAGCTCCTGATTTTGCATATGCACCAAACACCAAGAAGTGAATTATTGAGAAATATAGATAAGGAAGTTTATTCAGCTTTAATGAAGCTAGTTGCCCTATACTTAGTTTTCTCAATAGTAGTTTTATTATGGGGGGAAAAGGCCAAAGTAAATTTATAAATCAAACCATAAAGTCTACTGTGATGATATTGCTACTTCATATATAGAGTAGTAAATACTAAAGATTTTTAAATTTCATTAAACCATTATTCCTTGGATTTTTCTCTAATCCCTAGCATTTATTTCAACTCTGAAATTTTGGCAGTTTTGAAACTTAGTTGAGAGGTCTTTATTTTTGTTTGAAAATATTTTGTTTTTGGACAAGCCTCTGGCAACATCTGAGGCCAGAATGGGAATATGGCAGAAATAAATTGACTTAACGTATAAAAATCTTAAAAGACTTAATACATTTTTCAACTTACAGTATCTTAAGGAAGTATTTCCTTCAAGTTGTAGAAATGTCTAGTTTGAAATTAGATTTAAAAAATTTTAATACTTATGATAAATGTGAAACACATAATTTAATGCTGAATTGATATTCTGTTAGAATAGCTGAAGACCACAGGCAAAAACTGGAAGCATTCTTTGAGAACTGGAACAAGACAAGGAATGCCCACTCTCATCACTCCTATTCAACATAGTACTGGAAGTCCTAGCCAGGACAATCAGGCAAGAGAAAGAAATAAGACATCCAAATAGGAAAAGAATAAATCAAACTATCTTTCCTCTGACGACGATATGATTCTATACCTGGAAAACCCTAAAGACTCTGCCAAAGAACTCCTGGAACAGTTAAACAACTTTAATAAAGTTTCAGGATACAAAATTAATGTACAAAAATCAGTAGCATTTCTACACACCAATAACGTTTAAGCTGAGCCAAATCAAGAAAGCAATCTTATTTACAGTAGCCCCCCCCACCCCACACAAACAACTCCAGGAATACATTTAATTAAGGAAATGAGATCTCTACAAGGAAAACTGCAGAAAACTGTTGAAAGAAATCATAGACGACACAAACAAATGGACAAACATTCCATGCTCACGAATTAGAATCAATATTATTAAAATGGCCATACTGCCCAAAGCAATCTATAGATTCAAACATAATTTTTTTTACAGAACTAGAAAAAACTATTCCAAAGTTCATATGGAACCAAAAAGGAACCCTAATATTGGAAGCAATCCTAAGCAAAAACAAAGCAGAGGTATCACATTACCTGACTTCAAATTATACTATAAGGCTACAATACCCCAAACAGCATGATACTGGTATCAAAACAGACACATACACTAATGGAACAGAATGGAAAACTCAAAGATGAAGCCGTACACCTACAACCATCTCATCTTTGACAAAATTGACAAAAATAAGCAATGGGAAAGGACTCCCTAATCAATAGATGGTGCTGGGATATCTGGCTAGCCACATGCAGAAGAATGAAACTGGACCCCTACCTGTCACCATATTCAAAATTAGCATGGATTAAATATTTAAATGTAAGCTCAATATATAGGAATTGTAGAAGAAAACCTAGGAAACACCATTCTGGACGTTGGCCTTGGGAAATAATTTATGACCAAGTTCTCAAGCAATTGCAACAAAAACAAAAATTGACAAGTGGGATCTAATTAGATGAAAGAGCTACTGTACAGCAAAAGAAGCTATTAGGAGAACCTACAGAATAGGAAAAAATATTCGCAAACTATGCATCTGACAGAGGTCTAATATCCAGAATCTATAAGAAATGTAAACAACTCAAACAAATCAAACAATCCCATTAAAGACAGGCAAAAGACTGAACTTCTTAAAGGAAGACATACAAGCAGCCAATGCCCATGTGAAAAAATATTCTACATTACTAATCAGAGAAACGCAAATCAAAGCCACAATGAGATATCATGTCACACCAGTCAGAATGGCTATTAAAAAGTCAAAAAATAACAGATGCTGGCGAGGCTGAGAAGAAAAGGAAATGCTTATACATTGTCTATGGGAATGTAAATTAGTTTAGCCACTGTGGAAAGCAATATGGAGAAGTTCTCGAACTTAAAACAGAAATACCATTTGACCCAGCAATCCCATTACTGGGATCTAAAGGAAAATCATTCAACCAAATCTCAATCTCAATCTCTCTCCTTTATTTACAACAGCAAAGACATGGAATCTACTTAGATGTCCATCAGTGGTGGATTGGATAAAGAAAAAATGTGGTATATGTACACCATGGAATACTACACAGTCACAAAAAAGAAATCATGTCCTTTGCAAAAATATGGATACAGTTGGAGGTCATTATCCTAAGTGAATTAATGCAGGAACGGAAAACCATGTAACACATGCTCTCACTTATAAGTTGAGAGGTAAACATTGGGTACTCATGGACATAAAGATGAATAATAGACACTGGGGACTACTAGATTGGGAAATGAAGGGGAGAAGGATTGAAAAGCTATTTGATACTATCTAGTCTCAGTACCTGGATAATGGGATCAATCATATCCCAAACCTCAGCATCACACAATATACCCAAATAACAAGTCTGCACATATACCCAAATCTAAAATAAAAGCTAAAATCATAAAAAAATTCAAAGGCCTCTTAAAATGGTTGTAAGATTACCTAATACTAATTTTAATGAAAATGTCAGCAATTGTAGTCAGAATTTTTTTTTTTTTTTTTTTTTTTGCGACAGAGTCTTGCTCTCTCACCCAGGTTGGAGTGCAACAGCACCATCTCCGCTCACTGCAACCTCTGCCTCCCGGGTTCAAGCTATTCTCCTGCCTCAGCCTCCCCAGTAGCTGGGATTAAAGGCTCCTGCCGCCATGCCCGGCTAATTTTTGTATTTTTAGTAGAGACGGAGTTTCACTGTGTTCTCCAGGCTGTCTCAAACTCCTGAGCTCAGGCAATCCACCCGCCTCGGCCTCCCAAAGTGCTAGGATTACAGGCGTGGGCCACCACGCCCAGCTGTAGTCAGAATGCCTTTAAAGCACATGCAATTTCTGTCATGTTATGAAGCTTCTCAAAGTCATCTCATTACTTAAGTCACAGTGGAGGGATTGGAGCCAGCTGAAGCCAGAGTTGTGAAGTTCTGCTTAGAACTTCTATATTTGGTTCTCCATTTACTTTCTTGATGGCAGTACACCCACACTCTTTATAGGCATATAATGCTCATATATAGCCCTCTATATAAAAATCTGTTTGCAGATAAGAGACAGCCATACTTTTATTTAAACAAACTGGTGATTCATTGTATGCCTTTGACAGATATTATAAAACAAGTTTTCTTTGCTGCTATTGGTGATCATAGAAGGCAGATATCTAAACATATAAGACCTTACACTTTGCATCAATCTGATAGCTGCTTTCATAATATTGTAATGAATTGATGAACCAAAGAAAGACCTTGTGCATTATCTAGTTCAGTTCCTTTATGGGGGTGAAAGTGGTGGGCAGTTGGTGAGTGGGGGTGTAGAGGACCCTAAGACCCCAGAACAATGCACTTTTCCCAGCCTCAGAGGTGTAGTGGCAGTGAAGGATTGGAATCCAGGCTACCTAAAAATACTAGTCCAGAATTCAGCCTTGTGATAAGTAGCGTAACATGTATTTAAATGTACAGGCTCTGGAGGTAGACCTTCTAGATTTAATTTTGGTTCCATCCAGCCCTTGCCATTTATTTAACCTGTGCCTCAGTACGAGCGTCTATCTCACAGTCTTGGTGAGAATACATGAGCTAAATGAAGCTTAAGATAGCCTGGCATAGTGAGAACTCTATAGATGTTAATGACACCATGTTGCCTTAAGAAGGCTGGTCTGCTTTGCTATTTGACCTATATTTAGAATCATTTAAGCTGTTGGTAGTTCCATCTCATGCTATAGTGTTATGTATTCTACTTTTTCAGGCCATTAGAGAGGTTATTCTCATTGGCTTATGACTCGACCCATGAATAAAATGCCATTAGGGCTGCCATAAAAAGTATTGGGCTATATATCTTTGGTAGTTGTGTGTAGTAAACTGAGGTTCCTATAATCCAGTGCTTTAAGCATGGAGTAGGGAATTCTTTGCAAGGATTCCTGCTGCCTGTTTCTGGGGAAACAACCATTTTGTCTACTTGATATTTCCCAAATGGACTCTATTAGCATGTTGAGGTAACACTTTATTCTTTTTTTACACTTAATTGCTACTGCTGTTGAAGCAGCAACATGCTCCCTAACCTCCTTCTAGCATGAAGACAGCTTTATGCTGGGGCCAGAACTACGTATTTGTTTTTTCTGTTCTGGTTGGTAACATTCCATCTCTAGTGCTGGGTTAACCCATGAACATTTGATTTTAGGAATTATTCGTGTTTCCAGAAATGTAAGACTGACTTTTTTCAATAGCTCTGAGTTATAGTTGAACATGGAGGCTAAATTATTTTGATCTTGACATCATTAAAAGGTGTTCCTCACTACCTCAGTGAATTACATTAGTCTGTGACAGTGAATTTTTTTAGAGAAATACCATCCCCTTGTGGTATAATGTGGTACACCATTGGATGAGGATAATTTAAGAAATAAAACGTTTGTAAATTCTCAATTCTCTGTAAGTATAGCAAATCCCTCTTAATAAGAACATTAAATAATGTATACTGTGTGCAGTACTTTTTTCACATTTCTGTTATTAACAAGTAATAACAGAAAAAAGACGAGTGTCCATTCCCCAGCATCCTCCTAAAAGCTAAATCTTTATAATATTTAATATTTATAATTTAATACTTAATATTTAACTTTTGCCAACTGGTGAAAATTTTTATGTCAGTTTTATGTTTTCCTGATTAGTTGTGAAGTTGAGAATCTTAACATCTATTTACCATTTATTTTCTCCTCTGAAAATTGCTTGTTCACTGCTTTTGTTTTATCTATTGAGTTTGTTCTTGTCTTTTTCTTGTTGGTCTATAAGAGTAGTTCTTATATTTAGGGTTTTAACTTTGGTATTTTATGTATTGTAAATCGTTCTTTTCTTTGTTTACTTGTTTTAATGTTTGTGAGATCCTTTTTTGGACAAAAGTTAAATATTTTTTATATTCAAATATGTTAATCTTTCTCCTTACAAAAGCTGTGTTTTCATATTCCCTAGGAAGCTCTTCCCCATTCCATGTTTATAAAATTTTCATCCAATGTGTTTTATGGTTTATGGTTTCTTTTGCTTTTCTTCCCAAATGAATGGCTAATGGTCTAAATAATGTTTATTCAGTAGCTTACCTTTTCCACACTGATTTGAAAATGTTACTAGTATCTCAAGATCTAAATTACCCTATAATAGTTTTTAGATATGCTTTTTATATCTTGTGGGCAAGTTTGTATTCTTTGTTCCTTTTAAAGTATTTTGGCCACCCAAGTACTTCTTCTTTCTATATAAATTTTAGATTCAGATTATTTGGTTTTAAAACATCCTGTTAAAATCTTATTCATACTGTCTCAATTGTTAATTTGGCAAGAGTACATATTTAAACCATTGAGTCTTCTTATCTAGAAATTTGGTATATATCTTTCCATTTATGTTCTTGGTACAATTGAATATCTACTGTAAAAACATTGGTTGTCTACCCCATGCTAAAAAATAAATTTCAGATGTAATAGAGAGGTAAATATAAGAGTCGTATGACCTGTCTTCACACCTTTTATTAGAATCTTTCTTAGATAACTTATTTTTATTCTATTATCTATTATCTATTCTAAAATAGTGGCACCTATTTTGTTATTTTATAATTGACCATTGCTAATATGTTAGAGATCTATTGATCTTTAACATTTTAATCTTTATTGGTTCCCTACAGAACTTTCTTCTTAGTTTTTATTATTTCTTGGCTGATTGTCTAAAATTAATTCTTCCATAAATAATGGTATTTACCTCTTTGCAATGTTTTTTTTTCTCTTGCCTCATTACACTGGGGACTTCTAATATAGTTTGTAAAGCAGTGTTGCTAGAAATGTTCCTGATAGTTATTAAATTTCAAGAGGTGGGTGGATCACCTGAGGTCAGGAGTTTGAGACCAGCCTGGCCAACGTGGTGAAACCCTGTCTCTACTAAAAATACAAAAAATTAGCCGGGCGAGGTGGCGGGTGTCTGTAATCCTAGCTACCCGGGAGGCTGAGGCAGGAGAATCACTCGAATCTGGGGGTCGGAGGTTGCAGTGAGCCAAAATCACATCACTGTACTCCAGCCTGGGTGACAGAGCAAGACTCCATCTCAAAACTAAAAAATACTCCATCTTGTTTAGGGCTTTTAATTTATATTTTACCAAATTTTATACTATTTTTTTGAGTCAGTGTCTTGCTTTTTTGCCCAGGCTGCTAGAGTACAGTGGCACAATCACAGCTCACTGAGGCCTTGATCTCTTGGGCTCAAGTGATCTTCCTGCCTCAGCCTCCTAAGTAGCTGGAACAACACACACACACCATCATGGGTTCTTAAATTTTTTTTTTTTTTTTTAAGAAATGGGGTCTTGCTTTGTTGCCCAGGCTGGTTTCAAACTCTTGGCCTCAAGCAAACCTCCTGCTTCAGCCTGCCTAAGTGCTGGCATTACGGATGTGAGTGTATTTTACTAAGAAAATTTTTAACAAATTTTATTAAGCTTTTTCTTGACATATATGATTCCATTTTTTTGATGCTTTAGTATGATATAATTAATTACATTAATAGTTTGGCTACCTTGAACCACCCTAGCGTTTCTCGGATAAAACCCAAATGGTCAAGATAGATTTTTAAAAATCTGCACTTTGGATTTGATTTACCAATAATTTGATTATCAATTTTGTACCTATGTCCTTAAGTTAGCCGCCTTGTTTTGAGCTATCTTTGGGCTTCACCATAAGGATTGTGAAATACCTTAAAGAATGCTTTAAAAAGGTTTCTATTTTATACTCAGAAAAAGTAAGTTTATCTACATAGAAATTGTTTCTTGAAAATTCTTAAAACTATCGGAGCTTTTTTCCTTCATTTGAACATTTTGCAGTTTTTCTGATTATTGACATATTCAGAATTTTTTCATTGGATTGGCATAATTTTGACAACACATGTTCGTACAGAATTTTTTTCAAGTTAAAATGATCAAATTTAACTGGTGGTACATCATATTTTACTACTATTACAAATATATTATGTCTGCAGTTTTATTTTCTTTTGTATTCTTAATATTATGTAGTAATGTTTTTATTCTTTTTATTTTGATCCCACAGGTAAGGATTATTTTATCCAGCTTTTTAAAATGTGGCTTTTGGCTATATTGATGTCATTATGTCTATTTCTACTTTTATTAATTTCTTTACTTTTTTAGAACTTGTTTTGTTATTAATTAGCTTTTTAAGAATTTTATTTTTCATTTTGATTTGTAACAAGTACAACTGAAGCTATCGTCCACAGATTATTGCTTTGACTTACATCCCACAAGTTTTGATATGCAATGCTCTCATTTTGCATTTTTCTTTCCTTCCTCTCTCTCCCTCTCCCCTCCTTTTTCCCTTTCTTCCTTTCATCCATCTTTCTATCCTCTTTCCCTTCATTCCTTTCCCTTTCCTTCCTCCCCTCTTCCCTTCTTTTCTTCCTTATATTTTTAGAGTGAAGGAGGCTTATTAGGGAGTGTCCTTGGGATCAACACGTGCAGAAGGGAAGGAAGGGAAGCAGAAAAGGGTAGAGGGAGAAGTTAAGCTGCAACACAGGGCCCTAGCTGTACCCCCGGGGAGCAAAAATGGTCTGCTAGAGTTGTCCCAAGTTTGGACAAAATGACTGGGCTATTATATTCCTGCCTTGATCAATCATCAGGTGTGGGCTGTTCTTTGACCTTGAGCAAAGTTCTTTGCTTAACCTGAGGCGCTCTGTGAAGGGGCTGGTAGATTAAAGCTGTTCGCTGACAGCTATCCAGTAACCAGTGCTTCCTTGAAAGAGACTGAGAGTGCATCACCATGTCTACCACAGTTTAAAACATGCTTAGCATTTGTTTTGCTTACCATTTCTTCCGATGAGACTCCTTCTTGAAGTGCGTCAATTAGAATTTCCTTCAGTAAAGGTACATTTAATCAAATATGTTTTATATCACCCTCATTCTTAAAAGGTAGTTTGGCTGGGTACAAAAGTCTGGCTAGGTTTTTTGTGTTTTCTCTTCTCACTTTGAAGATACGATTTCATTATCTTCTTACTTACACTGCTACTATTTAGAAATTCTGGTCTCTGTCATTTCTTTTTAGCTAACCTATTTTTTTCTGGTTGCTTTTTCGTCTTTGGTATTTTACTGTTTCACTCTAATGTGTAAAAAAAAAAAAAATTAACATTTCCTCTTACCTGATCACATTTGTCCCTCCTGCATCTGTATTTTCCTCATTAAAACAATTTCCAGGCATATGTACACCTTTTCATTTTATTACCTATGTCTTTCTATTTCTTTGCTGTCTCTATGGCTCTTTCTCTCTGTGTGTTTATCTCTTAGTAACTTTAAATTTATGTATTTGTTTTTAAACTTTAGATTCAGGAGTACATGTGAAGGTTTGTTACATATGTAGACTTGTTACTGGGGTTTGTTGTACAGATTATTTCATCACCCAGGCATTAAGCCCATTACATACCCAATAGTTATCTTTCAGCTCTTCTCCCTCCTCCCACCCTCAACCCTCCAGCAGACCCCTGTGTCTGTTGCTTCCTTCTTTGAGTTAATAATTCTCATCATTTAGCTCCCACTTACAAGTGAAAGCATGCAGTATTTTTTTCTGTTCGTGTTAGTTTGCTAAAGATAATGGCCTCCAGCTCCATCCATCTTCCCCCAAAAGACATGATCTTACTTTTTATGGCTGCATAGTATTCCATGATTTATATATACCACATTTTCTTTTTCCAATCTGTTATTGATGGGCATTTAGGTTGATTCAACATCTTTGCTATTGTGAGTAGTGCTGTAATGAACATTTACATGCATATGTCTTTATGGTAGAATGATTTATATTCCTCTGGGTATAAACCCAGTAATGGGATGGCTGGGTTGAATGGTAGTTCTGCTTTTAGCTTTTTGAGGAATTGCCATACTGCTTTCCAAGATGGCTGAACTAATTTACACTCCCATCGATAGCATATAAGTGTTCCCTTTTCTCTGCAATCTTGCCAGCATCTGTTTTTTTGCTTTTTAGTAATAGCTATTTTGACTGGTGTGAAATGGTGTCTTATTGTGGTTTTGATTTGCAATTCTCTAATAATCACTGATATTAAGCTTTTGTTCATATGCTTGTCAGCCACACGTATGTCTTCTTTTGAAAGGTGTCTGTTCGTGTCTTTTGCCCATTTTTTTAATGGTCTTGTTTTTTTCTCTTGTGAATTTCAGTTTCTTAAAAGATGTTGGATATTATTTTGTCAGATGCATAGTTTACAAATATTTTCTCCCATTCTTATAGGCTGTCTGTTTACTCTGAGTTTCTTTTGCTGTGCAGAAACTCTTAAGTTTAATTAGATCTCATTTGTCAATTTTTGCTTTTGTCATGATTGCTTTTGGTATTTTTGTCATAAAATCTTTGTCCATTTCTATGTGCAGGATCGTTTTGGCTAGGTTGTGCCTTCCAGGATTTGTATAGTTTTGAGTTTTACATATAAGTCTTTAATCCATCTTGAGTTGACTTTTATATATGGTGTAAGGAAGGCATTCAGCTTCTTCTGTATATGGCTAGCCAGTTATCCCAGCACCGTTTATTGAATAGACAGTCTTTTTCCCATTGCTTATTTTTGTCAGCTTTGTCAAAGATCAGGTAGTTGTAGATTGTGTAGCCTTATTTCTGGGCTTTCTATTCTATTCCATTGGTCTATGTGCCTGTTTTTTCTTTTGCTTGTTTTTGTTTTTCACCACTACCTTGCTGTTTTGGTTACTGTAGCCCTGTAGTATAGTTTGAAGTCAGGTAATGTGAGGCTCCCAGCTTTATTCCTTTTGCTTAGGATTGCTTTGGCTATTTGGACTCTTTTTTGGTTTCTATATTAATTTTGAAACGGTTTTTTCTAGTTCTCTGAAGACTGTCATTGGTAGTTTGATAGGAATAGCACTGAATTGGTAAATTGTTTTGGGCAGTATGGCCATCTTAATGACATTAATTCTTCGTATCCATGAGCATCAAATATTTTTCCATTTGTTTGTGTCTCCTCTGATTTCATTGAGCAGTGTTTTGAAATTCTCATTGTAGAGATCTTTCACCTCCCTGGGAAGCTGAATTCTTATGTATTTTATTCCTTTTGTGGCGGATGGGATTGCCTTTCTGATTTGGCTTTCAGCTTGGCTGTTGGTATACCTTAAATTTTGATGTAGCTCAAATCTCTACAAAAAATTGCAAATAGTAAAATTTGTTCTTCTCTACTCTTTACCAGGCTTCAATAATTGCTTATAAATTTTTACTCATTTGCATTATCATGAGTACTTTTTTGTCTTTATTTTTATGTATATGTGTGTACATATGTGTCTGTATTTCAGTTACTATACATACGTTTTCCCAAAGTTTAGTGACATTAAAAATCATTTGTTATACGGATTCTATGGGTCAGAAATTTGTGTAGAGCAAGAGGACATCTGTCTGCCCTATGACGTCTGCAAGACTCAAAAGTTCGATGCTACAATTCTCTGCAGGTTTGCT
The DNA here is from genome assembly GCF_000001405.40 of Homo sapiens. Lineage (NCBI taxonomy): Eukaryota > Metazoa > Chordata > Mammalia > Primates > Hominidae > Homo > Homo sapiens. The sequence continues at coordinate 180,083,632 of NC_000002.12, forward strand.
TACTCATATGCCTGCCAGTTGATGTTGACTGAAGGCTGGTGACTACTCAGTTTCTGTCCATGTGGGACTTCCCATGTCATTCTCTCTTTATCTAAGGAATGAGTATATTCAACTTGGATTTATTTCTATTATGTTTTTCCATTTTCTTCTTCCTAAATTTCCTTCTTATTTGCTTGCCTTTTGTGGATTGATTGTGTTTTAATTACATCTGTTAGAAAAACTTCCTCTGGCTGTTTGAAAGTTACATGCTCCATTTTTCTTTTAGAGGTCACCCTAAAGTTTTTTGAATACACATAAGATCAGTGCATAAGCTCATGATTCTCTAACGTGGTCTAAAGTTAATCTAAAGAAGAGCATGTGCACTTTTTCTGTCCTCTTTCATCTCCTGCTTCCTATTGCTGTTAAGATCATCTACAATTGCCGGGCATGGTGGCTCATGCCTGTCATCCCAGCACTTTGGGAGGCCGAGGTGGGCAGATCACAAGGTCAGGAGATCGAGACCATCCTGTCTAACATGGTGAAACCCTGTCTCTACTAAAAATAGAAAAAATTAGCTGGGCGTGGTGGCAGGCGCCTGTAGTCCCAGCTACTCAGGAGGCTGAGGCAGGAGAATAATGGCATGAACCTGGGAGGTGGAGGTTGCAGTGAGCCGAGATCGCACCACTGCACTCCAGCCTGGGCGACAGAGCGAGACTCCATCTCAGGAAAAAAAAAAAAAATAGACCAGATTATCCATAATTCTATTTGTATTGTTATACTTTAAGGTTTGTTTTGTCTAGGTTAAGTACGTAGATTCTGAGCAATTTTAGAAGGATTGATAAAATAGCCTAAAACCCAAAGAGTTCTCAGAAGTCATTTCTGAGCCTGGGGTGCCCTAGTAAATGGGTGCCTTCCATGGGTAGACAGACAGGCTGAGGGGTAAAGCAGGAACTTTGACTTTTCAGTTGCCAGAGTCAGTTTCATTGCTGCAGCCTTCTATTTTCCTGTCAAATATCTCTGGAGACAACAGTCTCTTCAGTAGTGTGTACAATCTTCCAATTGCCTTTGTAAAAACCAGTAACCCTTATGTCACTATAGTCTCTGTTAGGTTTGGTTTATTTCATAGATTTCATGTTTTAGAGAAACATTTGTAAACCTTTGATTTAAGGGAGAAACTATACCACAGATGGAAAATAAGTTATTTTAGTCACATGGTGATAGAAGCTCAGTTCACTGACTTCTGTGTCCTCAATGTTAAGAAAATTTCTTAAAATTTATCCATGTTAGTTTTCTTATAGGTAACAGAGGAAATAAAACACCCTACCTCTGATGATTGTTACATAGAAATAATGTTAAGCATAGAGCATGGAATAGAGTAGATGCTCAATAAGTGGTTGTTGTTTTCACTCTATCTCTTATTCTAGTATTTTTTTTCTCATGAAGCTTTTAGGATTATTTATGGTCCACACTTTAATAATTGCTTGAGAGTCAATCTGTTGAGAGAACGTTGGCCTGGGATACGTGTGTATATAGATAATTCTTCAACCCTTGATCTAGAGAAGAGCTGTTCTTCTATAGTCTAATAATATAAAAATTATAGTATCATAGAAGAGACCATGAATTTAGGAGAGTGAAAGCCCATATTAGAGATTTAGCTTCTCTTAAATTTTCCAATATTCAGTAATTTTAATGTCATCTTAATGGTTTTTGGCATCTACACCTAATAGTTACATTATTGTGCAATATTTCTTTAAACTGACCTTAACTTATTTTGTTACTTTGCCTTAATAATACTCCTAAAATTATAGGTATGGCATACCTGATAAATATAAATATTTGTGTATGTATGTAAATGTACTTGTATTTATATATTAACATTTCTGATTATATATCTTTATATTAGCTATAATACTTTTTATTTTACTGGTTATAAATTAAAAGTATAGAACTTATAACCAGTAAAATAAAAACTTTTCATTTGTGTATCACCTAAAATGATATTACAGCATAGTTATGAGTGCTATTCTTATTTTGGGAGGCTACATCCTAATGAGTAGAGTACTTGCTCTCACTACATTCTATGATTTGTTAAAGGCTTGAGTGTCCAACTAAACAGCTAACTCCTTCCCTCCCTTCTTTCTCAACTACAGTTCATCTCAACTCCCACATACTCATTTGTCTACAATTTAGAGCCCTGTACTGTACTTGCCAGATGGTAGGTACACAACGAGTAATGGGTGAATAGTGAACTTAATGCTTTTCAAAAATAATTTGAAGCATCTAATTCTATTTAATTTGACTTTCCCATTTTTATTTACACTTTAGCCATTTAAAATATGGCAAATATGTAGAGATTAAAATTGTGCCATGTACATAGTATACTCAGCTTATCTGAAAATTATTTTTTAAACACAACAAAATCCAATTGCGTTATTTTTTGTAACTTGAGGATGTTAATACTCAATGACATGAAGTAATTTGAGAGACCTCAGATGCATTAGTACTATAGCTTGATCTTGTGAACGTAGGCAACTTGACTATTAATCAATTCCGAAATACTTGTAGATATTTCCCAACCACCAGCTTGGATATTAGGAAGGTTATTACCTGTTGTCCATTCTTCACTCCCTCTTCCATTCTCTCTCCAACACAATTTCCCCTCCATGTATTCATACACATACCATACTATGCATTCTCCATTACTCCTGGGACTTCAGCTAGATACTGTGTGTAATCACACAACATATTTTTCAACAGATAATAAAATACGCCATGGCTCATTTTTCTAATTTAAGGTGCTACTTTATTTGCATATTTTACAGTTTAATAAAAAGTCATATACTTTGTATTTATATTATATATTGCAGAAGCACAGCATACTTTGTTCATGTTGATTATAGCAAGTTTGGATTTCAGAGTCAAATAAGGATTGCATTAAGACCTCAAGAAAATATTTCATTGGCTTTGTATTTGAAAGCCCTTTTATATAAACAGATTTATATCTGGCAAAAGACGGAAGGTTCTGATTGCTTTTCAATCAGATGAGAGCAGTATGCACTTATTAATACTGTGTAATCTGTTAAGCTGTTCCCAGCTTAACCCCATTGAGTCCAACGGATGGAAATACGTTCCCCTTGGAAGAGATGACTGTAATTTATTCTAATGCTAAGGGCAAATTTGCACCATGGCGTCCACTGTAGAGAATTTCACAAGAGAAGCCATCTTTGTTAAAATATGTAAAATTCCTTCATTCCTTTCATTGATTAACCTGATGCTCTTTTAGTTTCTACAAAGGACTTAAACCTCTGTGAAAATTACAGCTTAAGACTTTTCTCCAGAATATTTATGATAGATTGACAAAACAAATTATTTCTGAAAGTAAGAAAGAGGGATACCCTCTGCAAAACAGAAGTTTCTTATACAGTTCCTCATTTTATGTTTACCTGCTTTTGTTGCAGGCACAGATATGGATTTTTCCTTCTAATTCTCCATCTCACATGCCTGGGTATGCTTGTGTGCCCACGCATACCACTATCACCCTCTCCCTCTCTTCCACTTGCCTCTTTTTTGGTCTATTGGTCATTGGTCTTTGTTTTAGGTCCCTTCTGGCCTGAGATCTGTCATTTAAGACATATGGTTACTAGTGGTAACACATACATTTATATGTATATGCTCACCTTCTCTGCTACTCCTTTCTTTTTGTATAATTTTATGCTCCTACCAACAATGTAAGATAGTTCGGTTTACTCTGCATTCTCACCAACAATTGGTGCTAGTCTTTTTAATTGTGGCCATTCTAGTGTGTGTGTAATATTTCTTATGGTGGTTTTAATTTGTATTTCCCTAATGACTAATCAGTCTTTCCAGATATCTTCCTTGTTAAGTTTCTGTTCAAGTTTCTTTTCTATTTTTATATAATATTTTGTGTTCTTTGTCAGATACAGCCTTGAAAAAATATTTGAAATACATGTGACCTGTCTACTCTTTTGCTTAGTCCAGTGACAAATAGAAATTTTAAATTTTGATGAGGTATAATTGATCATTGTTTTCTTTTATGGATAATGTTTTCAGTAATTTTAAAAATGTCTGTCCCAAGCTTGTGGAAGATAAGTGATAATGTCATTTAGAAGATTTATTGTTTTAGCTTTTATATTTAAGTCTGTGAGCCATAACAGTTTGTCATAAATGGTACAGATTAGGGGGTGATTCTTTTTTTCCATATGGATATCTATTTGTTCCAGCATCATTTAGTGAAAAGGTTCTACTTTTCCTTTGCCATTGTTGAAAATCAGTTGAGCATATAAATATGGGGATCTTTTATTCTATTTGGATATTTGCTTAACCCTACATCAAGAACACTGTCTTAATTATTGTAGCTTTGAAATCAGTAGTCTTGAAACCAAATAGTAGGAATCCTCTATTTGTCAGGATGGTTTTGTTTTATGGTACAATATAAAAGTTCCGTATACACTTAAAAAGAATGTGTATTCTTTATTTGTTGGATATCATTTAGGTTAAATTGGTGGTGCTTTTCAAAGTTACTTTTATCCTTACTATATTTTTGGTCTATTTAAAAACATCAACGATTGATAGAGAAGTGTTCATCTTTTTCATTTTAGTCATTCTAGTAGTATGTAGCATTATTTTATCATGGTTTCATTTTGCATTTCCATAAGGACTAATGATGTTGAACATCTTTTCATATGCATGTTGGCCATTTTTCTTCTGTACCACTGTTGTAAGGAAAAATTTTGTGTTTGTGAATGAGAAGAACCTGGTAGCCTTAATTTCTCTTTTCTTTCTGTCAATATTTTAGCTTCCTGCATTCCTTAGCATACTGCACATTAGAATGATGCCACCAAAGAAGAAATAAAAAAAGGAAGCTCTATGCTGATATAGAATTAATTCATAAAGCCTGGGGTGGGGAAGTTAACCTCTGTACACAAGACTTTTCTGATTAATAGATAGCTGTAGATCCTGTAGTCCCTGAGGGATTGGATCTTATTATACCAGGTGTAAAACTATCACTGCTCTAGCTGCATCTTTACAGAATTCAGGTCTTAAAGTCTGACATTCTCTTAAAGTCTGTGAATGCTCACATTTTTAACAAAAAGGTATGAAATGGGTTCTTATATTACAAAGAGTGCTTTGTATTATTTTAAAAATATAGTTTGTTAATGCAGTATGTTGTTCCCTGTGAGGTGTTTTTATTTGAAAATGTTAGATCCATTTAAAAAGATTTATAAGATGCTGTTGTAACAGTTTAAATGAGAACTTCTAGGAGGCATTTTCCATTTTCACAAGTTTAGTTCTCATCAGATAACATTGTGTGACAATATATTATTTTTGTAATATTTCCTATTAGGAAATATTAAAAAGAAATATTTCCTTTTATTCACGCAAACATGAAAGACATCAAAATAAAATTCAATGAAATTTTAAGCTCTCCTTGTAGAGAAATTTCTCTAGATATATTTATTTTCTTGCAATATATGTTAACTTATTAAGTTAACCTTCGGCAAGTAAACCTGATACATAGGCTTGGGTTTCTTTTAAAATAAAGTATAATAGTATTAATCTAGTTCAACAAAATTCTTGTGACAGATAGTAAGAAAATAGTATGAAATTTTCACACATAAGGTTTACAGCTGAGCCAGAGATGGGTCTCTCATAGAGTTTTATGAGCCATCCAACTCAGATTTTTCCAGATGCATTGGAAAATCAGTCATAAATATTAAAAAAAATTTAAAGACCCTGAAATAGGTCCCCAGTCTCAGCCCTGATTTTCACTGGGGTTCAGGAGCTTTTTGTGAATGAACTTGGATCTTGGCCATGAAAAAGAACCAGATATCTACCAAGATATGTCTGATGAAAGAGGCTGTGCGAACAGAAGTTAAATTACAGAGGAGGACAAAGAAACTCCTGAAAGAAAAATTGTGCCATCTAGGTTTAAGGAGTCTGGCTGGGAGGGTCAGATGTTATGAGGTTCTGAGATTTAGGAAGAAGCTGCAGTTCAGGATCCATTAGAAAGCTTCTCTTAAACACCCCCTGACTCCAACGCCTCTTTGTGCTTCTCCAAAATCTCAAAAAGAGGGAATTATGTTCTTAGAGGCCCTCTGGAAGAACTGGACATTAGGTAAGAAGGAATGGGGAGAGACAAGACTATGTGCTGCAAGTAGGGATCTATCAGCCCCTGGGGAAAGCTAGAGGAGGGAATGCGCGGGACTAAGTTTAGGTGAAGGCCACGCTAAGGGTGACTGTATTTATTTGCTAGGGCTGCCATAGGAAAATACCACAGATTGGGTGGCTTATACAATAGAAATTTACTTTCTCACAGTTCTGGAGGCTAGAAGTCCAGGATTAAGGTGTTGGCAAGGTTGGTTTCTTCTGAGGTTTCCCTTCTTGGTTTGTATGTAGCTATCCTCTTTCTGCTTCTTTCTTTCCTCTTGTCTGTACTGTAATCTCCTTTTGTTGTAAGGATACCTTTTGTGTTATATGGATTAGGGCCCAGGTATATGACCTCATTGTACCTTAATGAGTCTTTAAAGGCTCTAACTCAAAATACAGTTATGTGCAATGTAACAATCTTTTGGTCAACAATGGACCACTTATGTGATGGTGGTCTCATAAGATTATAACGGAGCTGAAAAATTCCTATCACCTAGTGACATTGTGGCCATCATAACTCAACAAATCACTCACATATTTCTGATTATGCTGGTGTAAACAAACTTACTTCACTGCCAGTTATAAAAAAATCATAATACATACAATTAGGTACAGTACATAATACTTCATAATGTTAATAAATGACAATGTTACTGGTTTATGTAGTTACTGTACTACTTATTATTTTAGCTTGTTACTCCTTCTACTTATGTGAAAGTTAAGTGTAAAACAATCTCAGGCAGGACTTTCCAGAGTTCTTCCAGAAGAAGGCGTTATCACCATGGGAGATGACAGCTCCAAGTGTATTATTGTCCCTGAAGACCTTCCAGTGGGATAAGATGTGAAGGGGGAGACAGTGATATTGATGATTCTCACCCTCTGCAGGCCTAGGCTAATATGTATGTGTGTTGGTTTTTAACAAAAAAGTTTAAAAAGTAAAAAATTAATAGAAAAATCTGATGGAATAAGGATATAAGAAAATATTTCTATGTGGCCATACAATGTGTTTGTGTTTTAAAATTTTTACAAAAGTTTGTAATGTAAAAAATTTACAGTAAGCTAAGGTTAATCTATTCTTGAAGAAATTAAATTAAAAAAATTAAGTGTAGCCCAAGCGTACAATGTTTATAACGTCTACGGTAGGGTACAGTAATGTCCTAGGCCTTCACATTCACACACCACTTACTCACTGACTCACCCAGATCCACTTCTAGTCTTTCAAGCTCTATTCATGGACCTATACAGTGCCGTGTAGAGATGTACCATTTTTAAACATCTTATGTCATATTTTGCTGTACCTTTTCTATGTTTAGATACACACATACTTATCATTGTGCTACAATACCTACTGTATTTAGTAACATGCTATACATGTTTGTAGCCTGGAAGCAATAGGCTACACTATAGAGCCTAGGTGTAGGCTTTACCATCTAAGTTTGTGTAAGTACACTCTAGGATGTTCACACAATGATGAAATCATATATTGATTCCTTTCTCAGAATGTATCCCCATCATTAAGTGATGCATGACTGGACAGTCACATTCTGAGGTACTGAAAGACAACTTCAACAAATGAATTTTGAGTAGACATTGTTCAGCCAATAAAAGTGAACTTGGTGTGACATCAGCAGCCATATTTAACGGCCAGTGCTTTATACTGGCAGTAATGATCAGTTTAGCAACAGCAGGAACAGTTGAGCAGTGGAAACTCATAGCCTATGGGGACTTCCTTGCAATTTTCCTGGGAAGATAGAGAGGGCCATGGCCCTGCTCCTTGGCAGATGAGGCAAATGGTCCAACTTACAGGCAAACTGTGAAAGTGATCCTTTTAAGGATTTGTAATGGATGAGTTCTAGAGTTTAGGTTACATACAAATGCTGGTTACAAAATTATGTAGATAACACTTAATATAATGTCTTAGAATAAATGCACTGAATGTCAATGAAATTTAAAAATCAAATTATTTAAAGATTATTTCTCTTTGCGTTAGTTCTGAGTTGGAAGTATCCTTAGAAATTTTATGAAATTTTCATAAGTGTTTCATATATATAATTTCCTTTTAAGATGTCTGCATGGAAGGCAAAGCAGCATTCTGAGTATTTAACAGACTAAGACATAGAATCTGAAAGAAGTTAGAATGATCTGACTTTGCCCTAAAACCAAGAAACAACAGAGTTGAGACTTGAGTGTTCTGAAACACTACAATATAGAAATACATAGGTAGAATGAACAAAATGAGGGAAAATGATCACAGATGACTACAGAGTATATCTAGACATTAAAGTGTTTTAGAATAATCCTGTTTACTTACATCCAGAAAATGAAAAGTTAGGAATTTTGGTGAAACTTTTTACATACACTTTTTATAAAATTTCCATATGAATGTGGTGTTAAGTCCTGTGAGATGTTTTCTTTCCTCCCTTCCAATTCAGATTAGCAGGAAATGTATATCATTGAGAGCTAGTTTTGAACTCTTCTGTTTGTGTGCTTTATTATTTGCATGGATTTTTCCAAGTACTTTGAGGCACCTGGTAAGTGGTGCCTTACAAATAAGGTGAGTGTTGCCTAATGGTTCCATGTAGAGATGACTGGCAGACATGATTAGCTGGCCCTCTGTATCTGGGATCTGCATGCACAGATTCAAGTCATGGATCAAAAATAGTCAGAAACAATACATATTTTCAAGTGTCTCTGTATTTTTTCTATCCCTTCAGTTTTGTTTTACCCAAAGTGCTTAACTCACTCATAACTGATGGATACCTCGTGTAATGCTTTGTGACTCACGCTGACCAGATAGTTTAGATGTAACACCTCATTCTGCAGTGGCTTTGTTCTGTTCTGGGAATTGCAGGCTTTTCTGACCAAGCTTCCCTAAAAGCAGGATAAAGAATCTACTCCAGGTATAATCAGGGAGAGTAAGAGTTCAAAATTATTTAGGGGACCATTAATGAACCTAGTCCTGAACCTTCACATAGTGAGACCCTGGAACCCCTACTAAGCTGTTTGATTTAGAGACTCTTGAATATACATATAAATTACATATAAATTTCACATATTTATTTATCAAGTATTTAGTGAGTGCCTAGTAAGTGTTGCCCTAGGATTAAGTATTTATTTTTTCTCTATAAGTCTATTTTAAATCTCTGTGTCCATGGATAATATCTATGCTGGTGGCATCTAGCCTTCAGAATAAAAAGCTAACATAACTTTATAATTTAATTTAGCTGAGTGTTTGAAGATCCTTGGAGTCAGAAAGCATTAGATTAGTCCTGGAAATGGGAGGACTAATAGAGCCATCTTACAAACTCAAAAGTATACAAATCATATGTGTATATCTGTCTTAATCTATTCACACTGCTACAACAAATATCCTAGACTGGGTGGTTATAAACACCAAACATTTGTTTCTCACATTGTTGGGGGCTGAGAAGTCCAAGATCCAAGGCATCAACAGATTTGATGTGTTTTGAGGGCCTGCTTTCCAGATGGTCTTTTTTGTTTTTGATTTTTGTTCCTGTGTAACTTCACATGGGAAGGGAAGGGGCTCTCTGAGGCCTCTTTTATAAGGACACTATTTCTATTCATGAGGGTTCCATCCTCATGACCTAATCACCTTCCAAACGCCCCATCTCCAAATAATCTTTCACAGAGTTTTTGAGTGGACCTGCTTACCCACTACTCACAGCAAGAAATAAAACTTTACCAGCACCTAGAAGCACCCCTGCCCTGTTCTAGTCATTAATTGTTCTGCAAACATAACCACTATTCTTTGTTCTCATTACTGGATAGCACGGTGTTACGTTGTATGAATATGCCATAATTTCTCTAGTGTTTATAGACATTTGAGTTCTTTTGGTTTTTGGCTACTGTGAATATTGTAACTACAAACATTCTTTGTATATCTTTTGGTGAATATGTGTGTGCATTTCTGTTAAGCTAATGTACCTAAGAATCATGTTTATGTTCAGCTTTGGTAAAGATTACCATTTTTTCAAAGTGATTATATCAACTTATACTCCTCCCAGCAGTATGAACCACATCTTCATTAAAATCTCAATATTTTCTGCCATTTAAAATTTTAGACATTCTGGTGGGTATGTAATGTTATTCCACTGTAGTTTAATTTCATTTTTCTGGTAATAAAGTTGAGCATTGTTTCACTTTTTTAAACTTTTATTTTAGGTTCAGGGGTACATATGCAGGTTTATTATATAGGTTAATTGCATGCCACAGGGGTTTGGTGTACAGATTTTGTCACCCAGGTAATAAGAATAGTACCTGACAGGTATTTTTTAATCCTCATCCTCCTCTTATCTTCCACCTTCAAGTAGGTTCTGCTATCTGTTCCATTCTCTGTATCCATGTGCACTCAATTTTTAGCTCCCACTTATAAGTAAGAAAACACATTTGATTTTCTGTTCTGTGTTAGTTTGCTTAGGATAATGGTCTCCAGCTGCATCCATGTTGCTACAAAGGAAATGATGTCATTCTTTTTTATGGCTCCATAGTATTCCATTATGAATATGTACCACACTGTTGGTGGGCATTTAGGTTGGTTCCATGTCTTTGCTATTGTGAATAGTACTGTGATGAACATACTTGTGCATGTGTCTTTATGGTAGAATGATTTATATTCCTTTGGATATATACCCAATAATGGGATTGCTAGGTTTAATTGTAATTCTTTTTTAAGTTCTTTGAGAAATCACCAAACTGCTTTCCACAATGGCTGAACTAATTTAGATCCCCACCAGCAGTGTGTAAGTGTTCCTTTTTCCTCTACAAACTTGCCAGTATCTTTTACTTTTTGACTTTTTAATAGTAGCCATTCTGACTGATATGAGATGATATCTCATTGTGGTCTTGATTTCCATTTCTCTAATGATTAGTGATGTTGAGCATTTTTTTCATATGCTTGTTAGTCACGTATATATCTTTGAGGAGGTGTCTTTATATATTTTGCCCACTTTTTAATGGGGTTGTTTGCTTCTCTTATAAATTTAAGTTTCTTACAGCTTCTGGATATTAGAACTTTCTTAGATGCACAGTTTGCAATCATTTTCTCCCATCTTGAAGGTTGCCTATATATCCTATAGTTTATTTTGCTATGCAGAAGTTCTTTAATTAGTGTTGCAATTCTAATTTCAGACAAAGCAGACTTTAAATAAACAAACATCAAAGAAGGACATTACATAATAGTAAAGGGCTCAATTCAACAAGAGGACCTAAGTATCCTAAATAAACACTCAACACAGAAGCACCCAGATTCATAAAGCAAGTTCTTAGATACCTATGAAAAGACTTAGATAACCACACAATAGTAGTGGGAGACATTATCACCCCACTGACAGCATTACACAGATGACTGAGGCAGAAAATTAGCAAAGAGATTTGGGACTGGAACTTAACACTTGACCAAATGGACCTAAGAGACATCCTCAGAGCTCTTTACCCCAAACAACAGAATATATATTCTTCTCATCTGCACGTGACACATACTCTAAAATCGACCACACAGTCAGGCATAAAACAGTCCTCAGCAAATTAAAAAAACAAAACACAAAATCATACCAGCCATGCTCTCCAACCACAGTGCAATAAAAATGGAAATCAATGCTAACAAAATCACTCAACACCATACAATTACATGGAAGTTAAACAACTTGCTCCTGAATGATTTCTAGGTAAATAATGAAATTAAGGCAGAAATCAAATTTTTTGAAACTAATGAGAAGATACAACATACCAAAATCTTTGGGACACGGCCAAAGAAGTGTTGAGAGAGAAGTTTATAACATTAAATGCCCACATCAAAATGTTAGATCTCAAATTAGTAACCTAACATCACAATTACAGGAGCTAGAGAAACAGGAGCAAAGCAACCCCAAGGCTAGCAGAAGACAAGAAATAACCAGAATCAGAGCTGAACTAAAGGAAATTGAGACACAGAAAACCATACAAAGAAAAGAATCACTGAATCAAGGAGCTTGTTCTTTGAAAGAATTAATAAGCTAGATAGATGAATAAAGCAAAAAGAAGATTTAAATAAACACAGAAGTGAAAAAGGAGGTACTACCACTGATACCATGGAAATACAAAAAATCCTGAGACTATTATGAACACTTTCATACACACAAGCTAGAAAAACCTAGAAAAAGATAAATTTCTGGAGACATATAACCTCTCAAGATTGAACCAGGAAGAGACTGAATTTCTGAGCAGATCAATAATGAGTTCTGAAATGAAATAAGTAATAAAAAAAAAAAGCCTACCAACCAACCAGAAAAAGCCTCAGATAAATTCACAGCCAAATTCTACGAGATGTTTAAGGAAGAGCTGGTATGATTCCTACTGAAACTATTCCAAAAAACTGAGGAGGAGGGATTCCTCCCTAACTCATTCTATGGGCTCAGCATCATTCTGATACCAAAACCTGGCAGAGACATAATAAAAAAAGAAAACGTCAGGGCAATATCCTTGATAACATAGATGCAAAAATACTCAATAAAATACTAGCAAACTGAATCCAACAGCACATCAAAAAGCTAGTCCACCATGATCAAGTAGGCTTTATTCCTGAGATACAAGATTGGTTCAACATAGGAAAATTAATAAATGATTTACCACATAAATAGGACTAAAAACAAAAACCGTGTGATCATATCAATAGATGCAGAAAAGGTTTTTGGTAAAATTCATCCCTTCATGTTAAAAAAAAAAAAAATCAGAACAAATTAGGTATTGAAGGACTATACCTCAAAATCATGAGACCTACCTATGACAAACCTACAGCCAACATCATACTGGGTGGACAAAAGCTTGGAAGCATTCCTCTTGAGAACTGGAACAAGATAAAAATGCCCGCTCTTAGCATTCCTATTCAACATAGTACTGGAAGTCCTAGCTAGAGTGATCAGGCAAGAGAAAGAAATAAGACATCCAAATAGAAAGAGAGGAAGTTAAACTATACCTGTTTTTGCAGATGTCATGATTTCATACCTGGAAAACTTAATAGTCTCTTTCCCAAAGCTCCTTGATCTGATAAACAACTTCAGCAAAGTTTCAGAGATAGAAAATCAAGTAAAGAAATCAGCAGCATTCTCCCATTCACAATTGCCACAAAAAGAATAAAATAGCTAGGAATACAGGTAAACCAAGAAAGTGAAAGATCTCTACAATAAGAATTATAAAACACTGCTCAAAGAAATCAGAGATGACACAAACAAATGGAAAAGATTCCGTACTCATGGTTAGGAAGAATCAATATTGTTAATATGGCCATCCTGCCCAAAGCAATTAAGCAATTTACAGATTCACCACTATTTTTATCAAAGTACCAATTATATTCTTTACAGAACTAAAAAAAAAACTACTTTAAAATTCATGTAGAAACCAAAAAAAGAGCCCAAATAGCTAAGGCAATCCTAAGCAGCAGCAACAACAACAACAAAACAAAAACAAACAAAAAAAACAACTCACAAAACTGGAGGCCTCATGTTGCCTGATTTCAAACTATACTACCTACAACCATCTGATCCTTGACAAAATTGACAAATATAAACAATGGATTAAGGATTCCCCATTCAATAAATGGTGCTGGGATAACTGGCTAGCCATATGCAGAAGATTGAAAGTGGACCCCTTCCGTACACCATATACAATAACCAACTCAAAATGGATTAAAAACTTAAATGTAAAAAATAAAACTATAAGGACCCTGGAAGATAATCTTAGGAAATACCATTCTGGACATAGGACCCGGCAAAGATTTCATGAAGACACCAAAAGCAATTGGAATGAAACCAAACGTTGACATATTTTTTCATGTTTATTGGCAATTTAAATACCTCTTTTATAAAGTTTTTTGGTTTATTTTACATGAGTTATCTTTGTATTAATTTTAATGAATTGATATAGTTACTGGTATAGATTCATACTTTGGATACAAATTCTTTGTTAGAAATATATATGACAATTATCTTCAACACTTTGTGGTTTGTCCTTTTCTCTTTTTGGTGGATTAAGTTGAATGGAAGTTAATACAGCTTAATATATACAACTCTACTCTCCATTTTATACTTATGGTTAGCACTTTGAGTCCTGTTTAAGAAACTTTTGCCTATCCCAAGTTAATGATGAATTTCTCTCGTGCTTTATTCCAGGAGTTTTATAGTTTCCTTTTCACATTTAAATCTGGAATCCAGTTGTAATATTTTTGGATGTGATGTGAGTTAGTCATCAAGATTCATTTTTTAAAAAATGCAGATGTCACATTGTCCCAGCATCACTAATTGAAAAGACCATTCTTTCCTCACAATCTTAGTCACAAATTGAGTGATGGTTTATATGCTCCTGGTTCTGGACTATCTAGTCTGTACTTTTGTTTATTTCTCTATTTTTGCACCAACTTCACATTGGCTTAGTTAATAATTAGATAAATTCTATTTATCTCTATTACTTAATTTTTAAGAATATCTCTATTCCTTAATTTTAAGAATTTGAAAAATTTCTTTAGATATGTCTTGATATCTGAAAATATAAGGTCTCTAGCTGTTTCATTCTTTTTCAAGTTTATCTTAGTCATACTTGATCTTTCGGATGTCCATATAAACTTGAGATTCTACTTATCAATTTCTCTAAAAATACTTCTACGATTTTAATTGTAATTGCCTTGACTCTGTGGAGTAATTTGGAGACAACTGATTTATTTATTTATTTTTGAAGCCGAGTCTTGCTCCATTGCCCAGGCTGGAGTGCAGTGGCGCCATCTTGGCTCACTGCAAGCTCCGCCTCCCGGGTTCACGCCATTCTCCTGCCTCGGCCTCCTGAGTAGCTGGGACTACAGGCAACTGCCAACACGCCTGGCTAATTTTTTTGTATTTTTTGGTAGAGACGGGGTTTCATTGTGTTAGCCAGGATGGTCTCGATCTCCTGATCTCGTGATCCGCCCATCTCGGCCTCCCAAAGTGCTGGGATTTACAGGTGTGAGCCACTGTGCCCGGCCAACCCATTTATTTCTAACATTAGGCATTGTAGTAGAGAAACATGGTATGTTTCTCCATTGATTTAGGCCTTTGAAATTTTTCCCAATAATGTATAAATTTCAGAAAAATCTTGCATAAAATGTTTCCCCAACTTATTCCTAGATATTTGATATTTTGCTGCTACATATAACAGTTTCATTTAAAATTTTTATTTTCTGTTGGTACATAGTAAAATACAATTGTTTTAAATATTGACCTTATATTCTTGGCTTTGAAAAATTTATTTATTCTTATAGTTGGTAGACATTCTTCTTGTATTTCCAAAGTACACAATCAGCATATTCAAACAATCAGTTCTTCATTTCCAATTCTTGCCTATTTTTCTTTTCTATTGCATTTTGTAGAACTTCCTGGATAAAAGTTCAATAGAAATCATGATTAAAGTATATTTTTCTCATTCTTCATCTTAGAGGAAAAAGCTGTCAATAATTCACTAATAGGTACAATGTTTGCTGTAATGTTGGAGAGACTTATTAATAAAGAAATCCCCTTCTATTAAATGTTTTTATGCATTTATTAAGCTGATTATATGATTCTTTTATTTTGATATTGTGAATAATTACAGATTTTTTTTTTAAATCTTTTAGGCTTGGGGGGTACATGTGCAGGTTTGTTATATAGGCAAACTCGTGCCATGGGGGTTTGTTCTACAGATTATTACGTCACTCAGGTACTTAGCCTAGTACCCAATAGTTATCTTTTTCTGCTTTTCTGCCTCCTTCCACCCTTCACCCTCAAGTAGGCCCCAGTATCTATCGTTCCCTTCTTTGTGTTCATGAGTTCCCATCCTTTAGGTCCCACTTTTAAGTGAGAATATGTGGTATTTGGTTTTCTCTCCCTGCATTCGTTTGCTAAGGATAATGGCCTCCAACTCCATCCATGTGCCCAAAAAAGATAAGATCTCATTTTTTATGGTTGCATAGCATTCCATAGTATATATGAACCACATTTTCATTATCCAATCTGTCATTGATGAGCACTTAGGTTGATTCCATGTCTTTGCTACTGTGAATAGTGCTGCAGTGAACATTCACGTGCATGTGTCTTTAAGGTAGAATAATTTATATTCCTCTTGGTATATACCCTGTAATAGGATTGCTGGGTCGAATAGTAGTTCTGTTTTTAGCTCTGGAAAATGGCCATACTGCTTTCCACAATGGTTGAACTAATTTACACTCCCACCAATAGTGTATAATAGCAACCTTTTCTTTGCAACCTCACAAGCATCTGTTATTTTTTGACTTTTAAATAATTGCCATTGTGACTGGTGTGAGGTGGTATCTCATTGTGGTTTTATTTGCATTTCTCTAATGATCAGTGATGTTGAACTTTTTTTCATATGCTTTTTGGCCACATGTATGTCTTCTTTTGAAAAATGTCTGTTCATGTCCTTTATACACTTTTCTATGGGGTTGTTTATTTTTTTCTTGTAAATTTAAGTTCCTTAAAGATGCTGGATAGTAGACCTTTTTTGGGTGTACAGTTTGCAGAAATATTTTCTCCCATTCTGTAGGTTGTCTATTCACTCTGTTGATAGTTTCTTCTGCTGTGCAGAAGCTCCTAAGTTTAATTAGATTCTATTTGTCAATTTTTGCTTTTTGGGGGTTTGCTTTTGGCATCTTTTTCATGAAATCTTTGCCCATTCCTATGTCCAGGATGGTATTGCCTAGGTTGTCTTCCAGGGTTTGTATAGTTTTGGGTTTTACATTTAAGTCTTTAATCCATCTTGAGTTGATTTTTGCTGTAGTGACAGGTAGGGGTCCAGTTTAAATTTGCATGTGGCTAACCAGTTACCCAGCACCATTTATTGAATAGGGAGTTCTTTCCTTTATTGCTTGTTTTCGTCAGCTTGTAAAAGATCAAATGGTTGGATATACTGATTTTTCAAGTGTTAAACTAACCTTGCGTTTCTGGAATAATTCCTGGAGTCATGAAGTGTGTGTGTGTATGTATGTGTTTACTGAGACGGAATCTTGCTCTGTCACCCAGACTGGAGTGCAGTGGCACGGTCTCCACTCACTGCCCGCTCCTCCTTCTGAGTTCACGCCATTCTCCTGCCTCAGCCTCCTGTGTAGCTGGGACTACAGGCGCCCGCCATCACGCCCGGCTAATTTTTTGTATTTTTAGTAGAGACGGAGTTTCACCGTGTTAGCCAGGATGGTCTCGATCTCCTGACCTCATGATCCGCCCGCCTCGGCCTCCCAAAGTGCTGGGATTACACACGTGAGCCACCGCACCCGGCCAATGTGTATCCTTTTTACATATTGCTGTATTAAATTTGCTAATATTTTATTTAAGAATTTTGCATTCAAGATCCAAGCTCACGAGAGAAGTTAGCTTGAGATTTTTCTGGATTGTAATACTCATCACATTTTGCTTTATATTGACCTCATAAAATGCATTGAGAAGTGTTTCATCTTTTTCTAACTTCTGAAAGAGTTTGTATTTGTATAACTGTTATTTTTTTCCTTTGAATGTTTCTCTCTGATAATCTCATCTAAACCTATAGATTTCTTTGTGTGAAGATGTAAAGATACAGACCTAATGTCTTTAAAAATATGAGCATATTTATATTTTACATTTCTTTTTGCTACATTAAGATTTTCTAGGAATTATCTACTTCATTTAAATCTTCAAATTTATTTGCATAGACAGTTTTCCATAAAATTCTTTTTCTATACCTATAGGATCTATGGTAGTGTTCTCCTTTTCACTTATGCTAGTCATATTTTAAGTCTTCTCAGTATAATTTTCATTAGTCTTGCTAGGTAGGTATGTATAGTTTTATTATTCATTTTAAAGAATTAACTTTTGGCTGTTTAATTTTCTCTCTTTTGGTTTATTCACTTCCTAAATAATTTTCTGCTCTTACACTATCACTTTTCTTCTACCTTTCTGGATTTAATTTGCTGGGTTATTTTTTTTTCTTGAGAAGATATTTAGATTATTAAGTTTTGGTAGTTCTTTTCTAAAATATTCATGTAAGGCCATATGCTTCATTCTAGGGTAGTTTTAGCTGCATTCCATTAGGTTTTATATTTCCTCTTTTCATTATTTAGTTGAAAATCTTTTCTAGTTTTCACTGTTTGTTCTTTGAGTCATGGGCTATAGAAGTCTATTCCTTAATTTGTAAGAATTTGGAGATGTGTTTCAAAAATTTTCTCAAATGTGTGGATCACTAGGGACTTTTTTTCTGATGGGTTTTACAAACATTTTTTACTTGTGGCTTGTGCTAACTTTAGGAGAGCTGGATTGGATGATGACTGCAAGTTTTGGTATTCCTTGAACTGTTCTCCTCATTCTCCAGCAGCAGTTCTTATAAAAAATAATGTATATGCCATGCACTTTCCCCCAAATGTAACTTCATTAATTCAGCCACGTGACCAGGATATTCTTAGATCAATGAAGAATAAATATAAAAACATTTGCTTGAGCAGCATGCTAGCAGCAGTGAACACTGACATGAGTGTGGAAGATTTTCAAAATGAGTTAAACATGAAGGGTGCCATCTATGCTGTTGCCAATGTTCGGAACACAGTGACTATAGACACAGTTGTGCATGCCTCGCACAGCCTCTGGCTTGAGACTATGTTCAGTGATGATGATGAACAAGGTGGTAACTTTGAAGGATTCTATATGTCAAGTGAGAAAAAATAATGTCTGACTTTCTTACATATGCAAGAAATATACCTTCAGAGTCTGTTAGCTGAAAGAAGTGAATACTACAGAAGTTTTTAACGTTGATAATGAGGTTTCATTAATGTATTAACTGATGGTGAAATAGGGGAAATGTTTCTGAATCAAGATGATTATAATAGGGATGATGATGACGTTAACACTGCAGAAATGCCTATAGATGACATGCTTGAAAATGTATCATGGGCTTATTGAGGGACTAGAATGAGAGACTTCAAAGACAAAAACCATTGTCAATGAGGCAAGATGACTCTGGAAGAAAGATTTTTAAAAAGCCATCCAGCAGAATGCAGAATGCCTCCTTAACCCTAGAGAACCCACTTTCTGGTCTCAACTGCTTCTGTTGTTTCTTCTCACTAAAAAAAAAAATAGAGCATACAGTAAACTTTTAATTAAAACTGAACGCCATAGGTGGAGACTGAAAGCTGATTATTTGTTGTTGCCATTGCTTAACAGCTGACACAGGGATTCTGGTGATGCTACTGTGCTGCTTAGTTACCTTGGTAACATTATTTTTTCCACTGCATTAGTGGTATGTCATATTTTTTACTGTTACGTACTTATGTGTGAAGAAGAGTAAAAAATGATTGCTTATTGATGGCGTATAAATTCAGAGTTAGTAATGATGATGCCAAACAACCACAGGTTGTCCACATGGGTGGCTGAGATAGTGACATTTTTGCTTTCTGATCATTCATGTACACAAACTTTGTTTCATGCACAAAATTATTTAAAATATTGTATAAAATGACCTTCAGGCTATGTGTATAGGTGTATATAAAATGTAAATAAATTTTGTGTTTAGACTTTGGTTCCATTTTGAGACATCTCATTATGTATAGGCAAATATTTTAAAATCTGAAAAAAGATCCAAAATCTGGAAAAAAGATCCAAAATCTGAAGCACTTCTGGTCCCAAGTATTTTGAATAAGAAACAACCTGTATGTCAGGTCAAGTTTGTCAGGTCTCTACTGCCCTTTTTTTTGAGACAGAATTTCACTCTTGTTGCCCAAGCTGGAGTGTAATGGCATGATCATGGCTCACTGCAACCTCCGCCTCCTGGGTTCAAGCAATTCTCCTGCCTCAGCCTCCCAAGTAGCTGGGATTACGGGCGTGCACCATTACGCCAGGCTAATTTTTTGTATTTTTAGTAGAAATGGGGTTTCACCATGTTAGCCAGGCTGGTCTCAAACTCCTGACCTCAGGTGATCTGCCCTCCTCAGCCTCCCAAAGTGCTGAGATTACAGGCATGAGCCACCGCCCCTAGCCACACGTTTGTTTTATATATTTAAAACTGCATTATTTAGTGCATATAAATTTAGAACTACAATTATTCCTAGTCAATTGATTACTTAGTATCATAAAATACAAAATATTGCTTTCTCTATCTAGGAATACTTCTTGTCTTCAAGTATGTTTTGTATTAAATAGCTACAGTAACTTTTTGTTGGTTCATGTTTGCATATTTTCATCCTTCAACCTCTCTGTGCACGTATATTTAAAGTGTTTCTTGTAATTAGCATTATAGTTTCTTTTAAATCCAGTCTGATAATATTTTAATTGGACTAATGAGTCAATTTGTGCTTTATGTGATTACTGATTTGAGTTTTGTATCTACCATCTTATCATTTATCTTATAATTCCCACTTGTTTTTAATTTTTTCTTTTTTCAACCTTCATTTGGATCAATCAAAATCTTAAAATTTATTTTCTTTTTTTTCCAACTACCTTTTTATTTTCATCTTCTTACTTTTTGAAACAGAGTTTTGCTATTGTCACCCCGGCTGGAGTACAGTGGTGCAATCTTGGCTCACTGCAGCCTCTGCCTCCTTGGGTTCAAGTGATTCTCCTGCCTCAGCCTCCCAAGTAGCTGGGATTACAGGTGCCCGTCATCACACCCGGCTGATTTTTGTATTTTTTGTAGAGATGGGGTTTCACCATGTTGGCCAGGCTGGTGTCGAACTCCTGACCTCAAGTCATCCGCCTGCCTTGGCCTCTCAAAATGCTGGGATTACAGGTGAGAGCCACCACGCCCAGCCGTCGACTAGCTTTATAGTTATACATCCTTAAAAATAATTCTTTCAGTGGTAACCCCTGTGATTTTAAACACACATTCATTACTTAATAGAGTCAAATATGAATTTGTATTTTTTTCTACTTCCTAGACATGTAAAATACTTAGAACACTACATTTACTCCCCCAACTTTTGCCATTTATGTTATTTTGGCCAGCCATTGAAATTCTACACATATGCAAACCTTTATAAGACATTATTATTGTTATTGATTAACATTGACATTTATTTAGATTTTTCCTTATACTTAACATTTCTACTGTTTTACATTTCTTTCTTTCTACAGTAATATTGCCAAAAGCTTTGGTGTCTTCTCCACTTCTTATCAGGGTTTTTTCTCTGCTAGGAATTCTGGTCTCTACTCTTGCAAGCTCTAATTTTGAATTGACAAATAAAAGGAAAAATGAACTAACAGAATGTTGGCTTACCCGTCTGTGGTTCCTTTCTGTTCATGACCTTGCCCCCTCAATCATTGTCACAGTAGTGCTCTAATTTTTATTTGTATTTTATTTTTTGTATTTTATCTATTGTTATCAGAAGGGAGACTTCTGGAAATTATTTTTACATAGAGGGAAGAAATATTCTCATATACTTTTAAAAAATAGTCTCCAAATTGACAGAAATGATAAATGAAGCACATAAATAATTCTGATTTAGAATATAGTCCAGGCATGATTCACTCAGTCATGTCTCAGTATAACATTTAAAGGTATACTAGAGGCTTAATCTTGCCAGGTAATATTCCATGGTAGGTAAGTTTTCAAGAATAAGAAAACAAGATCTCCTGAGTTTATATTCTTTTGGAGAGGGATTTGGCTGGAGGAAGACATAGATAATATATAGTATATTATATATTAATGGGATAATTAAGAGAATAAAAAATACTACAAAAAATAAAGCAGGGAGATTTTATATAGAGAGACTGGGAGGCAGTGGAATCAGGCTATCGTAGACTTAGTACTCTGCATGGTTAAAGACATTTCTGTAGAGGTCATATTTTGAGAACTAAACGAGAAATAACTGGACTTATATAGACTTAGTGACAGAAGATTCCTGGGAGAAGAAATAGCAAGTGAGAAGATCCTAAGAGGTAAATGGTTTAGGCATGTTCATACAGAAATCTTGAGTGGCTTAAACATAGAGGATGAAGGGACAAATGATGTGAGATGCGATCAGAAATATACCCAAGGCTCAGATTAGTGGGTTGAGTTTTACTCAAATGCAATAGAAATCCACTAGAGAGTTTAAAATAAAGAGATGATATGAATTATGTTTTAAAAGATCATTCTGGCTCTGGTGTTGAGAATGATTTACAGGGCACTGGAGAGGAAGTAGGAAGGCCAGGTAAGGGTAGATCAGGTTAAGCATGGTAGATTGGACACATGTTTACCTTGGTTCTCTCCTGTAATTCTACTAAAATGATAGAGAAGGGATTAAAAGGGGATGAACTCAGAAAGAAAAAAAGAACTAGGAATGGGAGGTAATAATAACTACATTATATGCATTGAGCAGGAAAATGGAGGTTTATTATCTAGAGAGCTTTGGGACATCTGACTCAGTTCAGGAAGATGGGTGTCATCTTGAACAGTGAGATTAAATCAAAGTGTTCATATTGAACATAAAAGCTTCCAGCTCCCTCCCTTCCTCCACGTAGCTAAGATTGCTTCTTAGGCTTATGTTCCTCAGGCAGGAGATTGGAGCATTCATTTCTGAGGCTATTTAACAGCTTAAGATTGTTAATGAGAAGCACCACTTAACATCTCCTTATGCTATTTTATCAATTGAAAGAATTTACTGGGTGACCTGAGAACATTTAAACCACACAGAGGTTTTGGTAATGGTCATGGCCGCTATCTCCTTACTTTGATCCTTGCTTAAGGGTGAGTTTTAATGAGCTTCCCTTGCTTTAAAACTTTCTTAATTTTAAATTTGAAAATTAGTTCTCTCTTCTAACCTAATATGTTCTCCAATTTCTGGGCTAATTTTCTTTCATTCTTTTCATTCCTACTTGAAGGCTGAACAGTTTTTTTTTTCTGATCTCATGTATTTCTTGTAATATGCCATCAAGCATTACCCACAGAGACCTATCACAGAATTTAGTTCTACTTTTCCTTCCTCTACATTTGGAAATATGAGATCATTAAATAACATAATCCTTCTCCAGGTTCATAGTTGTACCAAATATTTTGCCACTAAAAAGCACGAATCACCATCTTTCCTGCCTTCAATATTAGTTTCTTCACTCCCTGCTATCTCGACACTGAGCCAATGTTACATATTTGATATTTATTGTTATGGCAGTGCCCCACTGTGGTCCCAGTGATTGAATTGGTCAAGATAGCATAACTTAGGCTAGCATAACAAACAACCCCCAAATCTGCCTAAATACAACTAAATTTTTTTTTGCTTGCTCGAGCAATATCTATGCAGGCCCAGGTGTCTCTCCAGCTGACTCTCTAGCTGTTCTCTATGTATTGGTTCAGTATTCCAAGCTGCTTTGATTTTCATATCAATACATCACTATGCATCACTATGATACGAAAAAACTGGAGATTTAACCACTTCATTTAAATACTTCCATCTAGAAATGACAAGATTAGTTTTTTTCTAATGATTTGCCTGAAATAAGACTTATGGCCATGCTAACTTCAAGGTGTAGGAAAGTGTAGTCTGCCCTTGTGTGCACAAGAGGAGGAGAACCAGATATTAATGTTAGTAATATGTACTACAGAAGATATCGCATCTCCTAAACAAGAAAAGGATACATCCTCCTTCACCCCCCTTTTCAGAGACAGCGTCTCAGTACATTTCTCAGGCTAGTTGGTCTCCATCTCCCATAACTGCTAGGCTCAAGCGATCCTCCTGCCTCAGCCTCCCTAGTAGCTAGGACCACAGGCACAGGCCATTGCATCTGGCTAGAGATGGTTTTCTTCAAACAAGACATAAGATAAACTTTGAGAATAAAAAAATTCTTGAGAAAAATTGCTAACAGACATGTTAAAAGGTCTTTAGAAGTGTCAGAAAAATTGAGAAATGTCCAGAAAATAGAGCAAAAGTAAAAACAGACAGGACTTTGAGAATTTTTATGTTCAGAAAGACTGTCAATGGAGTGTGAAGATTTAAAAAAATTTTCTAAACACAAAGTCTCAAAATATTGGCCTATGAAGCATATTTCCTTAGAAATTAACTAGGGAATTTTCATCACAATAAAGGAGTAAACCAGAAAGTTGACATGGGATCCAGGAAACAAGGGTCCAGGCATTGATAAGACACCAAGGGAATTCCCAGGATGAAAGTGATAGGAACCCAAGGGATCACCGACACACATGCTGCTGGCCCAGTCCGGATGATCAGTCTGGAGAGAAACAAAAGGCTTCAGTAGTTATCTCTCTAAGAAAGATAAGGACATGCAGGGATTACCTGATATGTTTCAATCTGTAAGGGAAATTTACATTTTGCACTGTGGGTTTAGAGATGAATTAATGAAAAGAGATTTTTCCTTTCCTGAAGAATGTTTTTAAGAAGGAAACACCTCATTTGCTATTATATGAAAACTAAAATCTCCAATCAATCTCTTGCCTAAGGTTTAAAGTCAAAACAAATCAGTAAAATATTTATTTTGAAAAAGTAATTCTTAAGATGGTATCTTTGGTTAAAATATGAAGGTCCTAGGTGAGAGAGAAAGGAACATGTGGCAGAACTTATTAACTTGATTCTATTGTGATTCTACATTGGCTCTAATAGTACCCTAGAATTTTTTTTAGTGCCATAATGTGTTAAGTCTTATGAAAATAAAATGGCTTTGATAATCATTTGTATGTTGTTTAATGCAAGAAATGAGACCCACGTTCTTGTTTATGTTCTAATATCAATGAGCTCTATTTCCTAACATATCTAAGCCTTGGTTTCTTTGTATTTTTTTTTTCCAGACAGGGCTCTCTAGTAACAAATGCTGTCATTGCTACCTCATATGCAGACCATGTACTTCCTAATCCATATTAAGTTGAAGGGTCTCTGGCATTATTATATTGGAAAACAGTCAAGGCTCATTTTCCTCTGTTTATTTTGGAATTGGTTGTCTGTGTTAGGAATGGGGTGACTAAAATTTTTTCGTTCAGAACCTCAGAATGAAATACTAAATCTTTTCAAAGAAGAAAAAAATCCTCTTATTCTTTACGTGTTCCATCAGAGTTGGTACAGTTGACTTTCATTCCTCTTTGTATGAGGGTTGCAATAGTGAGTAAGAAAGATCTAAGGCCAACTGATTTCTAAACATGGCTGTGCTGTGCTTATGTTTCCTTTAAGTAGAAGAAAATCAATATATTCTGGTTGAATGTCTCTCACAACGAAGCTACTGAGGGTGATGATACATATAAGATATACTGCAGTTCTCAAACAATTTATAATCTCTGTACAAGTAGAGATAAGTTAACTGTGCATAAAAAATAACCAACAAGAAATGTGATGGAGACAATAACAGTTAGATGAATTCACATCCAGGAGCAATTGCGGGGAGCTAGTATGGTTAGGAAAAGCTGCTTGGAATGGGGCTGAGTATATTTGGATAGATTTATATAGGAAATATCAGGGATTGAGGGTAGGGAAGAGATGGCATTAAGAAAGACCAAGGATGGTAATGGGAACAATAATAGTGGTAATAAAACCTCAATAATAATTATAATAAGGAATTTAATAATTGTTAGCTAATCAGAAGGCTTTTCCTACCCCTAGCTCCATGACTATGAGCCCTTGAGTGCAGGATCAGCTAGCAGAATATTAGGACACTTTTATTATAAGCATCTTTCAAGCCAAGATAATCAAACATTTTCCTAAGACAGACCACTCGGAGAAAAAAGCCTTCACAAAGATTTTACAGCATCCCAACATTTCAATTACTTCCTAAGATTTACAGATCCTTTCTCTTCTCAACACATCAGAAGTCACCCATATTCTTATGACAAAGAGGACATAGAGTAGGAATGGAGGGAATGTTATCAGTAGGACGTGTGCACCCTTCAACTCTGGTCTGGTCTCTGATCTTACCTTGTGAGTCTTCCACTTTTGATGTTCAACAGTGAAGACTCCTGGCAGCATGGCACAGAGCTTTTTAAAACTTTGACTGTGGTGTCAGACTGAGCTCAAACCCTGACTCTTCATTCATCAGCTGTGTGATCTTGGGCAAGTTACTCAACTGCTCTAAGCTTCGTTTTCTTCACAGGTGAAAAAGGAGAATAATGATGCTTACCTCATTGTTTCTGGGTGATTGAGTGAGATAGTCCACATATAGCACTTAACACAGTGTTAAGAACATGGGAATATGGTATAAATGTTTATTCTTGTTGACAGTTGTTTACTTGGTAAAATTTTGCTGCCTCATTTTAGACTCCAGAATCCTACATATGTATATTTTATTTTAGTCTTAAAAAAACTAGGAGTGCTATAAATTAGTCTGGGGGGGTTGGACATATTTAGCAAAATATATATTCTATTATATAGAAAAAAATGCCAATCAAAGTCATCTTATTTTAAGTGTCAGAAAACATTAGGATGACATGTCCTTCATTTCTTGAACTTCTTTATAATTAAAACCATTATAAAGCAATAATAATCAACAATATTTATTGATCACTTGCTATGTGCCAGGCATTGGGCTGGGACTTTATAGGCAATAAATTTCACTTATGAGGTAGGGCTTGTACTATCCTCATTATTGTTTTATCACCACCCTTTTTAATGGATAAGGAAACTCTTAAAAAGGGCGAGCAACTTAGCTTTAGCCACATTGACAGGAAGTACAGAGAATGGACATACATCCAGGCAGTGTGAAATCAAAGGCCTCTTTCCTGTACCACACAGCTATGCTATGGAGATGGTGTCTGGAGGGGCAGGTTCACATGAGAAAGTAGTGCAAGATTGTCCAGGTCATTTGGGGCCAAATTATAAAGAGTTTTAAATGCAGAGGAACTCTAGAAAGTTGACCTGGATCGCTCTTCAAAAAATGTTAGTTAATCTGCTTGTGTGCTGGGGATATTATCACATGGAACACATGTCTCATTGCTTGCTGATATACTTAGGTCAGCCAGATGGTCAGTAAAACACTTGGCATAGTGCCGATGTCCATAGCAAACGCTATACAGATAGTAGTTGTTTTCCTTAACATACTGCCGCCTTATACGGTGTTCTTACCTCCATTTAAGAAATTCGCCAGATTACCCATTGCTGTTGATTTACCTTGCAATACATTTTGACTGATACTCATGAAATGCCATGACTGCCAATGCAGGTCACCTCTAACCAGGTGCTAGTATGGTTAGGAAAAGCTGCCTGGGATGGGGCTGAGTATATTGTGATAGATTTACTTAACTGATAGGAAATATCAGGGATTGAGGGTAGGGAAGAGATGGCATTAAGACCAAGGGTGGCAATGGGAACGATAATAGTAGTAATAGAACTACAATAATAATTATAAAAACCTTAGTAATTGTTAGCTAATCAGAACCCCTTTCCTACCCCTAGCTCCATGACTATGAGCCCTCGAGTGCAGGATCAGCTAGCAGAATATTAAGACATTTTTATAGTTATAAGCATCTTTCAAGCTAAGAGAATCGAGCATTTTCCTAAGACAGACCTCTCTCAGAGAAAAAAGCTTTCACAAAGATTTTACAGCATCCCAAATTTCAATGACTTCCCAAGGTTCACAGATCCTTTCTCTTCTCAACACATCAGAGAAGTCACCCATATCCTGAGACAAAGAGCACATAGACTAGGAATGGAGGGAATGTCATCAGTAAGAATTGCAACCTTCAACCTTGGTCTGGGAGGTCTCTGATCTTACCTTGTCAGTCTTCCACTTTTGATGTTCAGCAGTGAAGACTCCTGGCAGCGTAGCACAGAGCTTTAAAACATTGGCTCTGATACCAGACTAAGATCAAACCCTGACTCACCACTCATCAGCCATGTGATCATGGGCAAGTTATTCAACTGCTCTAAGCTTCATTTTCTTCACAGGTGAAAAAGGATAATAATGATGCTTACCTTATTTTTTCTGGGTGATTGAATGAGATAGTCCATATATAGCACTTAACACAGTGTTAAGAACATGAGAATATGGTATAAATGTGTATTATTGTTGACTATTGTTTACTTGGTTAAATTTTGGTGCTTCATTTTAGCCTCCAAAATCCAGGTACTTGGATGTGTAACATGCTTACTGTCGACTAGTCCTGCTTGTTTCCAAACCCATCAGTCAGTTGTACTTGTTATTTTCATCATGCAATCTAAGTAAATTGTTATAGAAACCAATGAAACATGAATATGGAAAGAGATATTTCTATATAAACTTAACTGAATGCTTTAGATATGTTTCATAAAGACATTTTAAAAATTATGTCAAGTTAGTTGTGGGCAAGAAATGTAAAAAATAAGAAATTCTTATAAAAATCCAGAAAGATTGTATTCAGATTTCTTCCTGGGGGTTTAAAATTTTTGCTTCACTTTAAAGACTTATTGCATCATAAGTGTATTTTGTGATGTGATATGGAACTTCGGTAAATATGGAATGAATCCTATTCTCCCATAAAAAAGAAAGGCAGGGTAATTTAGCTTGCAATTTACTTAATAAATATAAGAGCATATAAGTAACATTTTTGTTCTTGTTTGCTTAAAAATGCTATGACATATCTCTTAAACATCCTGGGTTTGGTTTATATTTGCAAAAATAGGAAATAAGCCGTGATATTTTGCTTTTATTTATGATGATGACCTTTTTGTAAAGTATCTCAGTCAGCTCCTGAAGGAGATGAGGGCCCTGTGGTTGATACAGAGACTTCTATTTAATGCGTGGTTTCAAATTTAGAACTTCTCTTCAGAAACTATAAATTATTTATGCAGTATCAAGCTTTTAAAACCCTGTTTATGACAAGTTGGGATTTTGCCAATCTCAGTTGAAACAGCCTAAATTATTTATCTTGTATTGCTTCAATGTACCGTATATTCTGAGGCCCAAGAAATATTAAATACATTTCATTTTCTTCTCTGCTATGCTGAGGTAGGGGAGGTTAAGCCCTTAGACATTCTTAGAACAATTCTTGGTCTCTGTCTTCTCTCTGTGTGCTAGGTTTCTTTTTTTACTTTCATATTATGCCTTTTCTTTCATATGAAATTTTCACTTTGTTGAACTTTTTTTTCAAGACCCTTTATCTCCCATCAGTTATCTTTACTGAATTTCCATACATTGTAACTTCAGTTATAAATGAAAGAATATCTTTGCAAGTAAAGAATTCAGTTGTTTTTAGGTCTCAATATCTTGCAGGAGCATGAACAATGAATTACTCTCATTTGATTTTGCTGAAATGTGTGAATCATTAATGATAAACAACAAAAGAGTTCAAGATTTAATTAAATAGCTAAATTTTGGGAGTTATTTTAATTTAGTTTTAATATATGAACTATGAGATAATGCAGATATAGGGTAGCTTTATTCCATGAATCTTAATCACCTAAAACTACCAGATTCTAGGAAGTTTGGCATTTCTACTAATTTTGAAAACAGGTGTGAGAAAAAGGACATGTAAACAGTATTTAATTATTATAGCCAGCTTGCAAATTTTAATAGCCCCATTTCCTTAAACTGCAGAATGGCAAGAATGAACAGTAAACATGCAAATAGCAAATTCTTATATTCAATAGACTGTATGTATCATGTTACTAGTAACATTATTTATTCAGCTAGTTTAGATAGTTATTCCCATTTTGAACTTGGAATCTACTCATCAATTGCTCTCAGCAAATGTGATTGGGTGGAGGTCTATTGGGATATGTGAATTAGGCATAGCCAATCAGATCCCCACTTTTCCCTGTTGTCAATGATTAGTTCATGGACACTCAGGTGATGCCATCAGAGCCAAAGAAATATCATGAGACTTTTTGGAGACTTCCGAGATAGAGGGAGGTTCTAGAGGGAAATTTTGGGAAGCTGAGATTATGTATTTCTGGAGTTGCTCAAGTTCTCTAAGGAAGGAGCCTGTCTGTAAATAGAACAGGCAATAGATTTTCTTTCACTTGCAAGAAAAAATTTCTAATTGATAAAAATCATACACATAAAACAATAAGCCATATATTTATTGCAGTATGCATGCAGGACTCACTAACAAGCACTCTTATTTATGGATCATTGATTAATAAACATGACAATTATGTCCACTGTAAACCTAGAGCAATTCCAATTACACACATCTGTTCATTAAATGCAGACAGTAGTTTATACCATGTTTGTATCATATTAAATACTAACATTTAAAATATTTTTTCTTTAGAAATTTTGTGTGTCTGGAGTTTTAACTTTTCATTATAATTGTCTTTATTAGCTCCTAATCTCATATTTATGAAGGATTGGGATTAGTTGGAATATTGATGAAAAACTGTACATGCAACACAGAGAAAATGATCATAAACACAAAATACTGTGTCAGGAAGCCTATGGATTTTCTGAAGCCCATACATGGATAAGGGCCCTTGGTCTATCAGAAAATGAACCCTTGAAATTTTTGATTTCTGAGATTTTCTTGAAGTTTTCTTTATTATCTACTATGTGATAGATTTTTAGACATTCTAGGGATGCTTGAGAATAATGCGTATTCACTCTTTATAGAATATTGAATCTAAATAAATCAATCTTAATTCAAATTTAATTTGTAAATATTTGTCATTTTTCTCTTGAACTCATAATGTTTACATATTTTTATGATACTAAGTAATGATTTATAATTGTTATGTATTATTGACTTAACCCCTTATCTATTTAAAAATAAATAGACCATTAATACCTTTGAAGCTTTTGAGTCTTTAATTTTATAATAATGTAATCACTGCCTTTCTTTTTTTTTGCTTCTATTTGCTAATACTTATCTGCCCACACTTTTATTGACATTTCTCTATCATATCATTTTAGAAATGTTGTTAACCACATATAGCTGAAATTTATTTTGAACTGAATGACAGTATTTTCCTTTTACCTGAGGAACAGGATTTAGCCTATTTATTACTTTCTGAAATAAGTGATACACTTGATCCTCTGTTTTTATGTTTCTGTTAGCTGTGTTTTATCTCTTTATAAGGACTATAATTTTATTTTTCTTAAATCTACTGCAGTAGGTATACTCTTTTTTAAAACTTCATGGGTTGTTAGCTATTTCTATATAATAAACTACATTAAAATAGAGTAGCTAAAACAAAGACAGTTATTTAACTCGGATTCAGTAGGCTTGCAATTTAGGGTGAGTTTCAATGGCTCAGTTGGAATCCTGCATGCACAGAGTAGGGTAGCTCTGCTTCTGGGGTTGGCTGGTTGTCAGCCATGGTGGCAAAGGGACAGCTGAGCCACATTTCATTGAGCAGGCTCATACTCAAGTTGACTTGACAGCATTATAAAGGAAGGGCAGCTAGTGAGAGGAGCCACGGGTCATGGAGAACAATTTATTGGGAAGCCACTTCCTGGGATTCAAGCTGGGCCTTAATCAAGGAACATTACTGCCTCTGAGTAGAAATAGTTGCTTGGCTGAATTTTATAATGTCTATGGACCATGACTGTTATATGCCTTTAATCCTCCCACTTTTTTGAATGGGAGTATCTCTTGTGGTTATTCTGCCCTGCCTTACTATTGTAGGTAGGGTATATGGGTGACAGACAACTTGTCTTTTTAGGTCAGAGGCCTCCATGTCAAGAGGAGCTACAATCAGACCAAATACAGATCACAAGATTCTGAACTTTGAGCCTAATGCTGTGATTAGATTAGACTTCGGGATGACTCCGGAGGTGAGTATATTTTGCCTGTGAGAGGGATGTGAATAATTAAGGCCAGATGTTAGGCTGTGGCAGATTGTAATATTGGCTGTAATTATTCACCTCTGGTCTCCATGGTGCTTGGCAACATAATTTTGCAGAATTTCCCACCAGGAGTTAAGAGTTGATTTTTCCACCCTGAAGTCTGGGCTGGCTTTGTGATTTGCTTTGACCAACAAAATGCAATGGAAGTGAAATCATGTTTCAGGCCTCAAACTTAAGAGGCCTTGCATGTTTTCCAATTGCTCTCTTGGAAAATTCCTCCACTGGCATATGAAAAAGCATCGACTATCTTACTGGAACATGGGAGACCACATGGAGCAAAGAGGAGCTGTCCTAGCAGAAGCCATCCTCAAATATTTAGTTCCCCAGCTCACCTGGCAGTTGAACTCAGATGCATTCATGAGGCCAGATGTGAACAAAAGAACTGGCCCGCTGAGCACAATCCAAATTGCTCACCCACAGACTCATAAGCTAAATAAATAGTGGTTGTTTTGGCTCAGTAAGTTGTGGGGTGGTTTGTTACATAGTAAAAGTTAACTGATAAGATCTTTTACTGGTTCTCTTTCACTTTTTCAAAAACACCCCAGAATGTAATACCTTCATCAAATTCAATAAAAATCAAATCACTTTAAACTTCTTGCTATGAATGTTTAAGTATTTATACACATTTACTTTTAGAGTCAGACTAAAGTTATCATATTTTTATTTCAACCCACATACTTAACTGACATCAGTGTTTCCCACGCAGACTTATGTATCCCATTTTCTTAATATTTTATTGCTCATTCAATTAAATACAGTTTATACATATTTTTTAAAAGAAGAGTTAATAGTTGTTTACTTTCATAGCCCTTTTATGTCTGAGCATGTCTTTCAGTGGCTTTTGTGCACAACTTTAGAAGACAACCACTTTTTTTCATTTCATATAAAAGTTGCTTCACTTTTTTGTGGCCAGTGTATTGGAGGAGAATGAATTTTAGTTATTTTAAAAAATATCAATTCCATGTATTCTTCCTGAACATTTACAGGCTTACTCCCTTTATTTCTAAAATACTTTTTTTCAGATGATTTCTAAGCATGGGTCTCTACTCATCAATGTTGCATGCAATATCTTGACTCCTTTTGACTACAAGCTCAGATCATTTTTATAGCTTACAAA
The DNA here is from genome assembly GCF_000001405.40 of Homo sapiens. NCBI lineage: Eukaryota > Metazoa > Chordata > Mammalia > Primates > Hominidae > Homo > Homo sapiens. The sequence goes on from NC_000002.12 coordinate 180,116,596, forward strand.
AATTTTCCTCTCTTAATTTATTGCTTTGGCTCCATTTGTTCTCATTTGCCCTTGCAAATACCTCTTTTCTTAGAATGGATTGCCGTGCTTTGTCTATCATCTTTGGTGTAATATTTTTTCAACTTTTGTGTACATTCTTCGACAGCTTGTTTGATTTTTATTCTAAATTAGTGATGTATTTTTAGTATATTATCTCACAGTCTGTGAGTCGGGAATCTAGGCATGGTTTAGCTAGGTCTCCACCTCAAGATTTCTCATAAGGTTGCAATCAAGGTATTGGCAGGAACTGTCTTCTCATCTGAACTCTTAATCGAAGGAATATATGCTTCCAATCTCACTCCCCTGGTTGGTAGGTTTCAATTCTTTGAGGGCTATTGGCCTGTTCTCTGTCATGTGGGCAGCTCATCAAATGGCAGCTGTCTTCCCTTGGAGCAATCCGGAGAGCAATAGAGTGGGTGCCTCAGATAAAGCCAAAGTTTCTGCGTAAACTAATCTGGGAAGTGACATCTCAACACTTCTGTTGTATCCTATTTGTTAGAAGTCAGTAAGTCTGGTCTATGGTCAAACGGATGGGATTACAAAGTGTTACAATAGCTCGGGTCAGGGATCACGGGAGTCCATCTCAGGGGCTACCAAATGTGGGGATTGTGCTCAGTCACACAATATTACTCTACACTCCTCCTGACTTGTCCCATATTTAGTCAGATACAATCTTATTTCTAGGTTTTCTATCGGTTACCATCAGGACTTTAAATAATATTCTCAAAACTTTATTCTGTAGTCTTTCACCTTAAAACAGTTCCTCTTCCCTCTGTGCTATTTAATAGTAGGGTTCCCACACGCCCATCAGGTCTCTTTCTCTGCTTCCACCTCCCAAACTATTGTCATAAATTTCAATGTGGACATTGCCAGGGCTCATAGGATTTATATTCTCTTTCAGAATTAAAATTATGCCTTCTGTGACTTGTTGATGAGTTGATTCTGTGAAATAAAAATTAATAAACAGATTACTATACAATGAATATGTAAATATTCACTGCAGAATCAGCTCTGGAAATTTTACTATTTCTTTGATAATTTTCATTTCTCTATTTCTTTTCCATTATTTGGATATTGGGCCTCTTAGGATTTTTAAAAAATATCTCTTAACTCATATTTTACCTTTTGGGTTTTTGTGTTTTTGCTTTTTTGCTCTTTATTCTGGGAGATTTTCTTAAGTTTATCTTTTAGCCTTTCTCATGTATTTCAGCAATGTCTTTTAATTTGTGAGACATCTTTTATATTCCACAAACCTACACAAGTAGGTTAAATCTATTAAACAGATTAGAAAATATAGGCCTATGAAATTGTTATGACTTAGTTTAATCAAATAATGGAAAAGATGCAGGAAAAACCATATACATTTTATGTCATGCCCTCTTATATGCTTGAAAAATTCCATTAAAAATTAAAATATCAAGCTCACTTTTGTGTCCTTTAGGCACCACTTAGAGCTCATTCCTATTTGCTTTTCTTTGTACATTCATCTTGGCTTAAATGATCAGCTTCATGCTAATGACAACTGAATCAATCTATAGCTTTTGGCTTTATGCTCTAGTCTGACTCTAGTTTTGATTCCATCAACCTAAAGTATAGTTTCTACCACCTGTCTTGTTACTTCAAACTGTCAAGTTCTCGACTTGTGCCGAGTCAGACTAATCATCTGGCACCATCATTCTCTCTGTCATATTACCTTAAAACCTTGTGAAGGCTACACTATTTTCAAAGAGTACAAATTCAGATGCATAAAATGTAACATTCTTTATTTTTCTATAATGAAATATAATTATATTTTTACCTTATGCATCATTTCTAATAGTAGCAAAATAACCCCAATCATATCTAGAAAAATTCAATCACTTTAATGATTTCATAATTATTATATTCAATCAAATTTAGTGATCTCTCACTTATGTTTAACATTTATATTAAATATAAATTACATGTAATAACTATAAAATGTAGCTATATATACATATGCATATATTTAGTTATCACTAATATAATATGCTTAATATTTGGTGCCCTTTCTCTCTACTGCAGAGGAACAGTGTTGATGAGGAGGGGTCCTCATCTTGGTCTTGATCTGTCTCATGCTGTTGTCAGCTGAGATATTGTTATCCTGCCATTATCCTTGATTGTTAGCACAAATTCTTTTTGCTAAGATGTCTTTGCTCCCATCACAGTGTGGAAACTGAGGGTCCAATATCACTTTTTGCTGAGATAATTCATCACCAACTCCGACAGATCTTTGGGCTACAAACTCTCTAAAATATCTCAAATAACTTCTGTTGCTCAAGGACCTCTCTCCAGGGCTGTCAAGATATAGAACCATCATTAAGATCTGTGTGTCTGAGATAGCACTAACCTCAATGCCATGTGGTGGACAGAAAGGAGTCCATTCATGACTCTATCCTTGAATCTCTAGGGATAAGGGAGGGTGGTACATTCTTCTGGCTCCTTTTGATCCACAAGGTTTAGGGATGTGGAGGAGACAGAGAAATAGGAGTGGATAGTGTTCAAAGTACTTACTGTAAGTGTCTAACCTATCTTGTTCCTGTCCAACTTTCTTCTTTCCCAGGGGGATTTGCATGGTGGGGGGTGTGGGGGAGGGCGGTGGCAGAAAAGGAAGCAAGCAAGCTAGAATGGAGAAAACAAAAAGGTTTCTTAATTTTTTTTTTTGGAAAATATTCTGTGTTATATGCACAATGTAGCTTTATTTTTATTAACTTATTTAAAGCAAAGGATTTGAGATCTTTTTACTACTATCCCTTTTTGACATCCCAAATGGGTTAATGCCTGCATCATGTCTCCCAGCCCAATCGAAGGTAGGTCCGGGGGTTAATGTGCATGAAAAGAAACACATCAGTTAATGCATCATCTACTAAGTTTTGACTTTTCTTTCATTTCTTTCTCTTTGTGGATTCTGTATCCAAGATTCAAGACCTCTCTTTCCTTTAAAATACCTTTTCCTATTTGTCTCTTCCTTTCAATTCTGACAGCTACTGCTCTAGTCCCATATCAAAAGAGTTACCGAAATGTCCTCTCCTCAGACCTCCTTGACTCAAGTCTCTTACAATTTGAATCTATCTTCTGTATTGTTAATAGAATACTTTTCTTTAAACATCACTTTTATCATTTTAGTTCTCTACTAAAAAAAAAATATAATGGTTGCCAACTGGGTCAAATTCAAAGAAAATTGCTTCACTTGTGAATCCACTGTAATAGGGATGCACTTTATCTTTAAAACCTTATTTTCCAGTAGTCTCAGCAAGAAATGTTCTAGTTGATTCTTTATTAGTCGTGCTAATTTTTGCCTTAGAACTTATGTGGTATCTTTTGACAGTAGCGTTGGCCCCTTTTATTTATACCCTAATTCTTACCATCTTTCAAAACCCAGTTCAAGCCTCACCTCCTACCTGATGTCTCTTACCAGGGATGCAATTCACATTGATTTCTCTTGCCTTAAATTGGTTCTACCAAAACTTCCCTGCAGATTAGAATCACCTGGAGAGTGGGGGGGTGGCTTTACAAAATTTGCCCATGTTGCACTCCACTTGAAATAGGTCAGAGTGCTGAGCAGTGGAATCTAGGCATCAGTATATTTTAAAGATTCTCAGATGATTTCAATGGGCAGCAAAGTTTGGTCACCACTGCTTTTTTTTTCTGTGATAGTGTGCTTCAGCTGTGCCATAACTTTGCACTTAGTTATATACTTGGTCGAATATTGGTATCCAGTTCTTTTCAGTAGTCACCTAGATGGCAATATACCAATGGAAAGAAGACAAGTTTTATGCTGATTGAAGTAGAGACTGTTGTTGCTCCACCCAGATTTCCTTATTACTCTACTAATACTATGATCTAGTTTTTACTAACAACTTCTGACACCAAATGTGTGGGACTCTTTCCCCCAACATCAAGTTTCCAACTCTCTGCACACCAACTGGTTGTCCTACAGTTTAACCTGATTCTGACATTAACTACCCAGAATTAGTGCAGACCCCACAGTTGAAGAGCTGATTCCCACAACCCCCACTTCAGATGCCAGTTGCAAGTCCAGGGCCTACCATACTTCTGATGACCAGCTATAAGTCAGGTGTTGTCATGACCCCTTTTCAGGGTCAATATATTTGCTAAAATGGCCCACAGAACTCAGAGAAGCTCTTTTCTTACTCTTACTGCTGTATTATAAGGTATATTATAAAGGATACAGATGAACAGCCAAATGGAAAAGGTGCACTGGGCAAGGTATGGGAAGGGAGGGGTGCAGCACTTCCACGTCCTCTCTGGGCATGCCATCCTCCAGCACCTTGATGTCTTCACCAACCTAGAAGCTCTCTGAACCCCATGTTCAGTGTTTTTATGGAGCTTGCATTGTTGTATTACATAGACATCACTGAGTCTCCAGCCCCTAATCCCCTCCCAGAGGTCAGGGGGTGGGGCCAATATCACATGAGAGGTTCCTCACTGTCAGCTTCCATGCAGAAGCTATCTAGGGACCTATCAAGAGTTGCCTTGTTAGCATAAACTCAGGTGTGATAGAAAGAGGCTTATTATGAATAATAAAGGACTCTTCTGTCACACCTATCACTCAGGAAATTCCAAGAGTTTTAGAAACTCTATGCCAGGAACTGGGGACAAAGACCAAATATATATTTTCCTTATTATATAACAATATCACAATCTCTTTGCACATCTGCTTTGCCCCTCCTGCAGCCTTGGCATGGTTTTTCTTCCAATGGCCAGCACCTGTGAACATTCTTTGCTGGCCCAACCAAGCAAATGAAATTAACATATTCATTAGATAAGAACCCAGGCTCCTTATCTAATGAATAATGTGTTTTGGAGCATGAGAGCCCAGTTCCTTTGCTTCCAGTTGGGACAAATTTCCTACAGGATACTTGGAGTTCCCTTTAGGACCAGGCTGAGGCTATCCTCTATGGGACTTGGTCAGAAACACACTATTGCTTGGTTTTGCCTTCCTATTCTGCTTTCCCTACTCCCTTACTTATTTCTCTTGAGAGCACCTTCTTAATCACTTGCTCATGAATCTTCATCTCAGAGTCTGCCTCTGGGGAACCCAGCCTAAGATACTTATCTCTCTCTCAAAGCATAGTGCTGAGCACATATAAAATTCAATGAAGATTTATTAGTACAGGGATTTTTGATATAAGTAGAATCACAATTTAATAAAATCTTAGTTGTGAAGGTACTGAAATATAATATATTCAGAGGTTCTCCATAGCATTATATATACTTTCTTAAATGTAAATTTAAATTCCTGGATATCTTGAAATCTCACTTGGCATAGGAAATAATGGACTGGGTAAAATTAATAATATTTATAAAAATATTTGACATACAGTTTGGGACCAAGCAGTGTAGTATCAAGGCAATTGCTTGTTATTTTTATACCACAATTGAACAGCACATTGGGAGACCCTGCATTTAACCTCACATGATAAGATCTTGAGAGAAGCTTTTTCTCTTGACCTGAAAATAGTGACAAGAACACAAAGATGAAAGTAAACAAGTGTTATGTGATTTTAGGGACCTTTCATTTCACTCCAAAGCTTAGATAAAGATTCAAGGAAATTGGTGATCTGGGTACAAGAGAGAAGAGTTTTGAGTATGAATTGGCCAATCCAGTTTTTCCACTCTCAAAGACTGGAGTGCCATACTAGGCCTGTTGAGTCTCAATCCCTTCCTCAAACTTCTGCCCTGCCATGTATCACAGGGGAGCTGAACTCTTCAGGTGTATTTTAGGTTGTATTTGGGTGAAATTACACAACTTAAATTATTTCACCTAAATACAACCTAAAATACACCTGAAGAGTTTGCCCCGCCCCGCCCCCCACGTGATATGTGGCAGGGTGTATTTTAGGTATATTTTAGTATTTCAGGTTGTCCAAGTCAGTTGGCTTCCTGTTGCTCTGGGCCAAGTGTGGAGACATTATTGGGACAGCAGAGCACACAAAAGGAAGGGTATTTCTACCACTCTCACTATGCCTCAGATGATGGTAACTCCATCCTCTCTGCAGCCCCAGTTCCCATCCCCACCACTCAGGCCTACCTGTGGCCTAGCTTCCACCAAGTAGCCCTGGGCCCTGGACCCTGGACCTGTGGGTCCCTCCAGGTGAAGGTGGCAGTGGCTTTCTGCTGCCATCAATCCAAGGTTTCTTTTTTCTCTCTTGGATCATGATTAATACAACTAGGCAGATTTGGGCTAGCAGAAGGGAAGCTATAGAGGGACAATTGGGAGGAGAAAGGAGCCCAAAGTCCTCCACATGAAGTGCTTATGGGGTGAGAAGCCTCATACTCCTCCCTTATGAGATTGTGGGTGGCACTAAAAGAAGGGAATCAGTATCTTATTTCCCAACTGGCTATTTCCTTAATCAGACGCTGAGTCAGGGAGAAGCAGCCTGTGGAGAGAAACAAAGAAGGTGGTTGCCATGGAACAGAGAAGATTCTGGCTTTGGAGTGACAAGAATGTACAAATCTCCCAAAGGCTGCGTGGATATGGGGAAAAGTAGCTGAACCTGAGTCATCTTAGCAGTACTTCCACCTGAGTCCTATTTACAGGCTGTAGATACTCCAGTGGGAAGAGGTTAATGGGGGAAGCTGTAAAGGGGTAGGAAAGACTGGCTAGAGTTGGATTTACCATGTCAGGGAGACTCTTCAGGGCCTTCTGAACTTACCCAATATCCCCTGAGGTAAGCAGTATTTCGGCACAGAGAGGACATCTATTGGTAGCTGGTGTTTTCTAGATGAGCAGCAATACCCAACAGAAAATTCTGCAACAAAAAGAATTGGGTGAAGAGACTATTTTGTTTCTTCTCCTCTGATCCCACCTCAAGTCATTAAAGAAGCTAGATCTTGATGTGGAGAAAGAAGAGGTTTTGTGCAACCAGATTGGCTTCATGGTTTTGGAGTCGGGAGGAGGGGCAGGCCAGACCCCTTTGGGGCGCCTGTTTTACAAGCTGAGCTAGGTAAAATTACATGATTTATATGAACTATGACAATGATCAATTATCAATGGAATCTGCCTGAGATATCATTCAGGGGCAAGAAAGCAGAAGTTGACCAATCATATGATTAGAAAAAGAAAATTGCTTCTGATTAATATCCATTGAGTTCAAACCATTTAGTGAAACAGTTACCCTTAAACTATCAGCTCATCTAGAACAGAGTTTTGCAAACAACATTTTGTGGGCCAGTAAAACAGATTTTTAACACCTTGCATTTTTACCTCTCTGATCCCTTCTCAGAACCACCAGCAGATTTGACAACTGTTTTCCTCCTTACTCTGTCTCTTCCTTGACTATACAGTAGAAAATAGAGAATTCAATTTATTCAACTCTTTGTAATGTATGTGGTTATTTGAATCCTGTTGTATTCATACAGAACATGAGCTTTGTTCCTATATTTTCATATAATTGTTAATAAGTTATAAGAAGGTTTGAGGCTGTGGCATATAAACACAGCACATAAACATATATTTCTATATAACATAATCTTCCCACTTTTACTACATATTTTTACTAGACTGTTCTGGAAAAGCTATTTGTACATATTTCTTTGTGCACACAAGTTCCTCAGCTAACGGCTTTGCTCTGTTTTTATAGAACATGTTGTATATGGTTAAAAAATGTCTTTCACATAAGCCACATTTTTCCTGTTTTTGTTTACTTGTCTGTATTGCACCTCAATTAGCAAATCGTGCAGTCTTCTCTCCCTGTCATAATAACATAAACTATCTCCATTTTAGGCTGTTCGATGTAAAACAAAAATCCCCAAATTTCCACTAGATGGTGCTATGAGAATGCAAACTTCTTTGGTCAGGGTATATATAAAATCCTCAGTTATTGCAGCCTGTTATTTTGGCTTGTGAAACAGGTCTGCCCCCCACTAAATTAGATGCACAGGGATGATTTAATATTTAGTTAAGAGACGATGCAATATTTCCCACAAGTCTCTGAGGAGCCCAGGCAAAACAATGAAGAGGCATTTTTCGTCTAATCCTCATCCATACCACTTCTTCTTACCTGGCCTTTTTGGTATGCTACTCCATAGATACCTAGGAACAACCCCATAGTGGCAACATCTTTTGACCCCGGTCACTGCCACCGTCTATGGCTTCTTTACCCAGTCTTCCCTCCTTGGCTGGAGGGGGCTAATGGATTTATTACATTACTGACTGTCAGCAATTATTTTTTGACAATTTGTTCAGTGGTTTTCAAAGTGTGATTTCCCAGACCAGCAGTGTCATCTGGGAGGTTGTTACAATTGCAAATTCTCAGACTTCAGCTCGGACCTACTGAATTGGATGGGAGTGGAGACCAGCAATCTGCATTTTCACAAACCTCCCCGAGGTGATTCTAATGTGTAGGAAAGTTGAGAACCAGTGTGTTAAATACTTCCTGGGAACAAAACTGCCTTATCCTATTTGGATTAACCTCATTCCTGAAAGCCCTCAAAGAACAACTTTAAAGGTGGATAGGTGGGTGAAGAAATTTTTAAAGGTGTTGCCAGGTACAGTGGCTCACCCCTTTAATCCCAGCACTTTGGGAGGCTGAGTCAGGTGGATCACTTGAGCCCAGGAGTTCAAGACCAGCCTGGGCAGCATGCTGAAACCCTGTCTGTACAAAAACAAACAAACAAAAAATTAGCTGGGCGTGGTGGTGCACGGCTGTCCCAAGCTACTCAGAAGGCTGAGGTAGGAGAATCCGTTGGGCCCGGGAGGTTGAGGCTGCAGTGAGCCAAGATGGCGCCACTGCATTCCACCCTAGGCAACAGAGTGAGACCCTGTCTCAAAAAGGAAAAAAAAGTTTAAGGCGAGCATTTGTTCTACTTGGCCTACTCTGCTTTCCCTTTGGGTTGCTCTGCTCCCCTTGGGCTGCTTTGCTCTCCCTTTGGGTTCTGCCTGTCACTGAGGAGTCCTCACTGCAAAGGAATAGTGAAGCCTGTATCTAATGTGTAAATGTAGGAGAGTATGATTAGTAACTCACTTTTTTTTTTTTTTTTTTTTTAAAGAGATGCCCAGGAAGGCAGCCAGATGGCAGCATCGTTCCTACACTGTCTCTGCACTCCCAAAGGCAGTTTCTGGCCCTTTACTGTAGTCAAAGGAGATCGCGTAGCAGCGGTCGTTTATTGGCTAGGCTGTTTGTCTTTTTTCTCTACTGCAGCATGAGTCAGAACCCACAGAGAGAACCAGAGAGGAACAACCCGTTGATTAATGGGTCAGAGAGCTATGTAAGACTGTGATCTCCTATTGTCCCTGTTTCACGGAACAAATGTGGGGGATGCTACAAAGATTCAACACTAGGTAGACATCTAATGAAGCTGGGTTGCCATCAATCAGTTCAAACAGGTGTCTGGAATAGCTGTGTCTTCTGTCTTTTGATAAACACTGAGTACCTGCACATACAATTCCCTGGGAGCTTTTAAATCTCCTGATGCCCAGGCTGCACCCTAGACCAACCACATCAGAATCAGGAGAATGGTTTTAGGGCATCAGTACAGCTTTAAATCTTCCCAGGGGATACTAATGAGCATGAAGGGCTGGGAACCATGATATTAAAGACGTTGAGATGAAATTTGTGGCAAAGTTATTTCAATTGAGAAACCTGGGTTATTGTCTTATACCGTACTGTCAATTTCAACAGTGGAGTTTGTTGTTTTGGCCAGTTTTGATCTTGGCAAGTTTCGATATTCGAAATGGATTTTGTTGTATGACAGAAGGGGGCATCATCTCCTCTCCACCCCACACCACCTCCTTCTCTCTTTCCCCCTCCTCCTTCTCACTTGTTGTTCTGTTTTGTGTTTTGTTTTGTTTTGGAGGGGTGAAGACTGAAAATTTAAAACTGTGGCTACAAAATGGGCATATTACTGCTACTTAAAAGAAAAATTCTGACCAAAAATATATAGTCAATATTCTGAGTTTAAAATATTCTAAACTGTAAAAACCTTCTGTTTTTGCCTTCTGCCACATGTTCTTAGGTACCCTCAGGCTACAGTCCTTATTTTAAAGGATATGATAGTAAGAAAGTTACATCAGCCTTGATGAAAAGCTGTGAATTTAATCTTAGGAGCTCACACTGACTAGAGAGAATGAAAACATTCTATCATAATTGCTTGAAAAACTGTAGAACTACTCACTAGAGTTGGATATTGGTCTATAACCAAAACTCCTTTTGTATGGAACAAAGTGAGTTTCATGAAACTCTTTGTAAAAGATTTTCTTTATCCTGGAAAATCCTATATGTTTCCATGTAAAATTCTTAATAATAGGTAGAATGAAAGCTGGAGGGAAATATAATTGTGACATGTGAAGTATGAAATATACTTCAACTTAGTATAGAAGTATAGGCTTAATTCTTTGCACCAAGGGGCATCTAGAAACCATCTCCAGAAGCTTTCGGTGATACCTTATTAATCCTTCTCTAGGTGTACCACTTAGGAAATGTAAATGGTACTAAAAGAAATAATTTGTTAGGTCCTTAATCCCACAAAAGTTGATTAAGTCATTGTCTGTGAATAAAGACTAGGTGAGAAAATTGGGAGCTTTGGGAAAAGGGAGCCCAAGGAAAAAGTGGAACAGGCTGGAAAAAAAGGAAAGTGAATTAAAGAATAGGGAATCAGATTTCTTTTCCATTTTGACTTAAGGATATGTCAGGGCCAAAACTATAGAAATTTGAAATTGGTTCATTTAGAGGATCAATGCTCTTTTTTCAAGTGATTTTTTTCCTAAGTGATTCTTTTCCTAAGCAAGTCACACTGATTTTTTGGTTTCCAAACTCATTGACTTATGGGCAGTTTGGAGAATTAAAAAAAGGTATAGACTACTAAGGCGTCTTGTGTACCAGACAAAGGTTTCTTGGATTCTGAGGATTTATTTCATTACTATAGATATCTCTAAGGCAGCATGACCTATAAATAATTTAGGCAATCTCCTACATATGGAGAAATAATAATTAGGAAGGGGCAAACTTTTGAAATTACAGTTTAGATTTAGTTTAGATTTAAAATTGCACACACAGTCTCCCTAACAAACGTTAAGCACTTCTGTCTGTTGGAGATTAGCAAAGAGTTTGAGGAACTTATTTTACATTGGATCTAGTTTGTCCTTTAATTGGTAAACCTCAATTCCAATGGCACTACAGGTTGAGTACTCCTTATTTGAAATGCTTGGAAGAGGAGAATTGTTTTGGATTTTGTATTTTGAATACAGGCATACCTTGGAGATATTGCAGGTTCAGTTCCAGACCACTGCAATAAATCAAATACTGCAATAAAGCGAGTCACACTGATTTTTTGGTTTCTAAGCACATGTAAAAGTTATGTTTACACTATAATGTAGTCTATTAAGTGTACAATAGCATTTCTTTAAATGTACACATCTTAATTTAAAAATATTGTTAAGAAATGCTAACAGTCATCTGAAATTAGTGAGTTGTAATTCTTTTACTGGTAGAGTCTTGCCTGGATGTTGATGGCTGCTGACTGATCAGTGTGGTGGCTGCTGAAGGCTGGGGTGGCTGCAGCAATTTTAAAAAATGAGACGATAAGGTTTGCCACGTTGCTGGATTCTTCCTTTCACCAAAGATTTCTCTGTGGTATTTGATGTTCCTTGATAGCATTTTATCCACAGAAAAAACTTTTCAAAATTATAGCCATTCCTCTTAAACTCTGCCACTTCTTCATCAACTAAATTTACATAATATTCTAAATCCTCTGTTTTCATTTCACCAATGTTCACAGTATCTGCACTAAGAGTAAATACCATCCTAGCAAACCACTTTCTTTGTTCATCTATAAGAAACAATTCCCCATCTTTTAAAGTTTTTTCATTAGATTGTGGTAATTCAGTCATATATTTAGGCTCCACTTATAATTCTAGTTCTCTTGCTATTTCTGCCACGTGTGCACTTCCTCCACTAAAGACTTGAACCTCTCAAAGTCATCTGTGAGGATTGGAATCCACTTCTAAACTGTGAATGTTGATATTTTCACTTCTCCCATGAATCACAAATGTTCTTAATGACACTAGAATGGTGAATCCTTTCCAGAAAGTTTTCAGTTTGCTTTGCCCAGATCCTTCAGAGGAATCCACTATGTCAGCTTTAGTCTTACAAAAAATGTATTTCTTAAATAATAAGACTTGAAAGTTAAGATTATTCTTTGATTCATGGGCTACAGAATGAATGTTGTATTAGGCATGAAAACAACATTAATATCTTTGTACATCTCCATCAGAGCTTTTGGGTGACCAAGTGCATTGTCAATGAGCAGTAATACTTTGAAAGGAATCTTTTTTTCCTCTAAGCAGTAGCTCTTGACAGTAGCACTTAAATATTCAGGAAATCATGCCATAAACAGATGTGCTGTCATCCAGGCTTTATTGTTCCATTTGCAGAGCACAGGCAGAGTAGACTTAGCATAATCCTTAAGGGCCCTAGTATTTTCGGAATGGTAAAGGAGCATCGACTTCAACTTAAAGTCACTAGCTGCATTAGCATGTAATAAGAGAGTCAGCCTATTCTTTGTAACTTTGAAGCCAGGTATTGATTTCTCCTCTTTGTAATGAAAGTCCTAGATGGCATCTTCTTCCAATAGATGGCTGTTTCATCTGCATTGAAAATCTGTTGTTTAGTGTAGCCACTTTTATCAATAATCTTAGCTAGATCTTCTGGATAACTTGCTGCAGCTTCTACATCAGCACTTGCTGCTTCACCTTGCACTTTTATGTAATGAAGATTGTTTCTTTCCTTCAACCTCATGAACCAAACTCTCCTAGCTTCAAACTTTTTTTCTGTAGTTTTGTCACCTCTTTCAGCCTTTGTAGAATTGAAGAGAAATAGGGCCTTGCTGTGGATTAGGTTTCAGCTTAAGGGAATGTTGTGATTATTTTGATCTTCTATCCAGACCACAACTTTCTCCGTATCAGCAATAGGGCTGTTTTGCTTTCTTATCGTTTGTGTGTTCACTGGAGTGACACTTTTAATTTCCTTCCAGAACTTTTCCTTTGCATTCACAACTTGGTTAACTGTTTGACACAAGAGGTCTGGCTTTTGGCCCATCTCAGTTTTAGACACACCTTTCTCACTAAGTTTAACCATTTCTAGCTTTCTATTTAAAGTGAGAGACATATGACTCTTCCTTTTACTTGAAAATTTAGATGCCATTTTAGGATTATTCATTGGTCTAGTTTTAATATTGTTGTGTTTTAGGGAAAGGAAATCCTGAGGAGAGGGGGAGAGATAGGGGAATGGCGGTCAGGTCAGTGGATCCGTCAGAACACAACATTTATTTATTAAGTTTGCTGTCTTATACAGGCATGATTCTTGGAGCCCCAAGGCAATTACAATAGTAACATCAGAGATCTCTGGTCACAGATCACCATAACAGATATAACAATAATGAAAATTTTGAAATATGGTAAGGATTACCAAAATGTGACACAGAGATGCATGAAGTGAGCACATGCTGTTGGAAAAATGGCACCTGTAGACTTGCTAGACACAGGGTTGCCACAAACTTTCAATTTTTTAAAAAATGCAATATTTGCAAAGCACAATAAAGCAAAGTGCAATAGTATGAGGTTTGCTGTGTTTGCATATACTTATTTGTTGAGTATCTCTAATCCGAATGTATGAAATCTGAAATGCTCCAGTAAGCTTTTCCTTTGAGTATGACCTTTAAGTATGTCAGTGCTTTAACAGTTTCAGAATTTAGAGCATTTTGGAGTTTTGATTTCTAGATTAGGGATGCTCAACCTGTATAGAACTTTTAGGCATCAGTATCATTCTGTCTAATGACATAAACATATTTAATGAGTGGGAAGCCAGATAATTTGTTTCAATAGCTGCTTTTATTTTCTGTTGTTGATATGTTAAAATAGTTAAACACTTGCATTCATCTCATCCTATTAAAGGAACTCCATCAGGGAACAGTGAGGTAACATGTTTGGTGACAGCAGGCTTAGTCACCCTGCTGTGAGAAAGAGATGAATAATGTTTTTTAATCTTACAGCTATTGATTCTCTCCTTTTAAAATGTATACACCATTTCTGAAAGAAGTTATTGCAGACTATATTTTGTTAGCAGTTTATCTTTTTCATATCTTCATTATTAAATGGTACATTTACTTACATGGTTGTGCATAAAATAAAATTGCATGACATTTCTTATTGTTTATAATTTCCATTTTGAAAGATCTAGTCATACATTCTTAAAATTTTATAAGTGATTTCAATCTTTATACTAGTAGTTTTCGCTTTTATTTTTTTCCTTGGCTATTTGGCTGCCAAATCCTTCCTCATTTTAAACATTATCTTGCTTATGTTTTATGATTTATCTACTATTTGTCAAAACAATTTTTAGAATGACATTTTCTAGTTTCCCATTAAAGCACAGCATGAAGAAGAATTAGATATACAAGATCATATTGGTGACTATTTTTATTAGACAAAGTCATTGTGTGAAAATTCAGAATTCCAGTAAAAACAATTTGAGAAAATCAATTAGTGCATGAATTTAAGAAGGACCAATATTTTTCTAAGACAATAATACTTTTTTGCACCTTAGCATTTCCTTCAAAAAGACTATGATGATAATGTTATTTCTTTTAGATCCAGGCTAATTTCTTCTAGATTTTGAACTTGTGGATCACGAATAATTATTTTTCTCATGCTAGCCAGAGCTATTCCACTATAGGCTATTTTACAATTTTTCTTGAGTCTAGTATAGTATTTGATAATCCTCAGTGTCACAAGAACAACCTTCCTCAATAGTAGCTTATTCAAATAATTAATTTGTTCTTATTGTTTTCTTGGTAGAAAAGGAGAATATTTGGCTACCCTGGTTATAAATACCCTAAATATTAGAAAATGACTCATTGATTCAGATAGACGTTTTCCCCATTTTAAAATCTCTGAAATCGGAATGCGTATTAGAATCAAAGACATCTTACATTTACAATTTTCAGTGTTTTATTCTTTCTTAGTGATACATAGAGTAATGATATATCATGCAATCAATAATGTTATCGATTTAAATGAAATATAACTAAATTAAATTTGGATTTAATAGTGATTCAACAATTTATGTTTCCAAGATTAGAAAACAGTTCTTATTTTATGGTTACTTGTACAGTCAAGATTCTTGAGCCATTTTTACACACTAAAAGCTCAACATATTTTGAATATAATAAAATAGAAAACAATATATAGTGGAAATTCATCATAGTTTAGAAACAATCTAGACATGCTGCTCAGGAAATTGTTCACTTCTGGCTCTAATCGAATTTATTTTGATCAAGGTTCTCAAGTTACTTGCTCTATTCCTGGAGGACATTTTAAAAAATAATCATAAAACATTAAAATTGATTATGAAAATAAGAAAATATCTCACATATAGGGTTTTACAGCCATGTGTTGGGTATATAAAAGCAATTTTGTAGGTGACTTTGGGCTAGTCACTTAATATAGAGTTGGGATAGTGACTGAAACATCATATTCACATAGCAATCATTTATATATGTGTATAATTGGAGAGCAAATTTCTCTGTAAGGGTAGGCTACCTGATGCTTTTAAAAATATATATGATGAAGACTGAACCAAAGTCTGTGTTTGCTGGTAAATTTCCTTGTAGTGTGCATAGGCATTTTCCATTATTCCAAAAACTCTAAAATTGCTTTCAAAATAACAATTTATTCCGAATTGTTTTTCTTGTTAATAAGTTTTTTTGATGCTTATAAAAATATTTTATGATAAATGTTGAGAAGGGTACATTTCTAGTGTGACTTCTTCATGATTTGTTACTCTTCCACCCCAATAAGAAATTAAACTCTAATTTCCTAATAATCTCTATCAGCTCTTTATGTGTAGTGCTCATGTGCAAAGGTCATGGTGGTTATAATTGATTGATTATTGACTAATTCAACAATGCATTCTATGTGTCAGGCACTCCTTAAGGCACTGAGGATACATCAGAGAACAAAAGAGATAAAAATCCCTGTCCTCATGGAGCTTACTTTCTGGAAGAGGGAAGTCAATCCTAAACACATGAAGTATGTTAGAGCATTATAAGTGCCGTACAGAAAATAAAACACAATAAGAAGGATAGAAAACTCTAGGTGAAAAAGGTTCTGTTGGAAAGAAATATTTTTCCTTACCATCTTTTAGGTTCAGGACCTGGGGTCTGCAAATTAAACTGATAAAAGATAGATTGCCAGGAGGAAAAAAAAACCCAGGTTATTTATGTATGCAATGCACATACATGTGGGAGAGCTCAGTGAGGAGTAACTTTAATGGGATGGTTAAAACTTGGGGCTTATATAACATCTCAACATAGGATGATAAATTGTGGAGAAGTGACTAGATGAAGGAAAGGGAAGGTGTGGGCTAGTAGGGGGAGTAAATTGTGAGAAGGTAAATATAAGGAGGAGATAAGGGTTATTTAGTAAGGTTTGTTATGTGGACTCAAGTTGGTGCCATCTCTAGTAATGAATCTTCTCTTCATGAAAAAGGGGAAGAAGGACATTTTACAAAGGAAAATGTATTTCCTGCTTTTAGACAAAAAAAAAAAAAAAAAAAAAGTAGGACAGAAAGCCCTTCCTCTATGTGCTGTTTCTCAATTGTCTTCAGTTCAAAATAATTCTTATGGCATATTTTTGGGTAGCATATACTAATTCCTTTCAGTTCCAATCGTAAACAGGGTATGTGGGCTAAACTTCGTTGAGAAAGTAACCTGTGGGCAAAGACTTGAACATAGAAAGGTTGTGAGAAGAAGGTTCTGGGACAAGAGAATAGGAAGCGCCATGCAAAAGCTGAGATGGAAGAGGACTGCTAGTGCTCAAGGTGAAGAAGGAAAGTAAAGGGAAGTTAGATTTTAGGCGAGCATTGGCTTTTTACCCTAAGAAAAATGGGAGAGTTAGTAGAGGTTTTTAGCCAAGAAATGGCATGATTGACCATTTAAAATCATCACTGGCAAATAACATCAGGTTTTATTGTTACATTAGCAGTTTTCTATGACAATACAAGGTGCATAAGTGGAGAGGCCATAGGTTAGACCTGCATTTTAGATTAAAACTTGTACAAAGAATTTTGGGTTGCAATGTTCTAGTCCTTGGGACACAAAATAGTCATGCCCACTAACAACCACCCTTCTTCAAGAACTATATTAAGCTCCTTAAGGAAAGTGACTCTAAATTCTGTATTTCTGTTTTTACTGTACCCTCACATACTGTGTCTGTGTGCACAGTGACTGGCACTGTTTGCCTCTCTGCAGATTGACTCATGAGGGGTGGAGGTCCTATACACATGATGGAATGTGTGCCAAGGCTCAATCTCCATCGTCCAGATTTGGTTGTTAAATGACTCAACAAAATTATTTACCCATATATTGGACCCTATGCTATGTTCTGAGAGTATAAGCATAATTGACAAATGGCTTCCTCCTCAATAAGCTCATGGCCTCATGAGGAGGTAAGAGAGCCATATGTTGAGATTTTTGCTGTTTTCACTAGACAGGAAACAAATATATCTCTGTTGTATTTTTTTTTTTTTTTGGTGAGTACTTTAAGATAATATACTAGTAGGATTTTTTCTGAAGAAGCTGAGGAAATGTCTTCTGCTAAATGTCTTATCATAAATGTACTTAGGCTATTTAAACAGTTAAATATGTAAGTGGTAAAGTTAAATTACTTAACATGTATGTGGCCCTTTCTTTCCAAAGGCTAGATATTTGCTGTGCACTCTGAAGTTGATATCCTTCATCATGCTTCAGTGACTTTAAATCTGTATTTTATGTCTGAATAATTTCTTTGATTTTTGGTTGAGTCCACTAAGAATTAGTTTGTTTTCTAAATATAAAAATAGAAAAACTTAGACTTTCTGCTTAAGATTATTTGGAAAAATATGCTTACAAGTAATTAATCCTACTATGAGGTGATTTCATAGCTATATTACTCTCTTCGGTTCTACCTAGGGTAACACAATATTTTTGCCACCTGGTAACCATTTAGTGGCTTGCTGTCTGTCAAATTGGAGTCATTAATCCAAGATCCACAAAACACTGACCTCATCAAGAACTATCAACCACATTTATCACACAGCGAGCAGTAATTAATACCCTCACTGTACATCTCAGCAGATGCCAAGTGGTAACCGTGCCCAGAGACAGAGCCATTTGGTGGTGGTCTGAGCGTGGTATTCTTTTAGGATAAATTGAGACATATTGGTAAGAAGCTTGCTGTCTATATACATGAGAAAACTAAGGACTCTCTTTGTGTATCTAGCAGTATTGCTTTGAGCATGCCCAATGGTTGTGTGGATTTCCTTGATGCACCTGGATAAAGCTAATTACCTTTGCTACTACAGTGCCTTTGATGTATTTCCCTTAAGCATTTTTCACAGAGATTTCCCATTAGGTACTCTCTCTTTCTCCTACTAGTCTGTGAGTACCTAGAAGACTGAATGTATGTTGTATTTATATTTCTAACTCTGAACCAGCACAGTTCCTGGCACTTGTTACTATGTCATTGGTACCTGTTAAATAAATGACTGACTATGCTGCATATGAATAGGCAATACACACAAATGGACTGGGATAAAGGTGTGAGCTTCTCAGGTGTAGGCTGGATGGTGTTATATTAATATTCTGGTTGCCTTGCCATGTGTTGGGCACAGAAAAAGTGCTCAATAAATACTCATTGAATGTACTTCTTGACAAGACTTCAGCAGGCTGCTCACTGCAGCCTCAACATCCCAGGTTCGAGCCATCCTCCCAACTAAGCCTCCCGAGTAGCTGGTACTACAAGCATGTGCTGCCACACCCTGCTAATTTTTGTTTTGTTTTGTAGAAACAGGGTTTCTCCATGTTGCCCAGGCTTGTCTCAAACTCCTGAGCTCAAGCAATCCGCCAGCCTCAGCCTCCCAAAGTGCTGAGATTACAGGTGTGGGCCACTGTGCCTGGCTCACCAAGTAAATTTTTAAAGGATATATTAATGTTAAAGTAAAAAGTATTCTGTAAGAGATTGGGAACTATTTTAAAAAGAGAGAGATTCTTACTGTAGTGAAAATTTGTATGTAGTTCCCCAAAGAATAAAATCAGCAAAATTCCCAGATGTGTTTTCAGGGTTCTTTGAGGATTTCTGATCCGAAGGAATTAGAAAGGTTAGAAAATATAGGTCTCTTCTTTAAAAAAGAAAAAAAAATATGCACAATTAACTCTAAAATGTTACTAGATGTTACAATCTCATTTGATAATAATATCAAAATAAAAATAAAACACATGCCCCTGTTTCTAAGCAAAACAATGACAATGTTTTTTATATTAAACGACTTATATGGCTTATGCTATATAGAGAGTTTTTGCTAATGGAATTAAATGAATCATATTAAATACTTGTTAATGAATAAATGAATTTATTAAATAACCTAATAGATTTTTCCCTTTTTACTCCCAACATGTGCTATATATAAGGAAACTGAAATTCCCTTGCAATTTTACTGAGCTTGATTTTTAATAGAATGTTGAGTGTACATCAGTATTCCTGGAGCAGGGCAAGGCAGTGAGGATCAATGAAGGTATCTTTAATTTATTCTATCAATTTAAAGCATTCTAAAAATTCTAAACAAAAATGATAATTAACAACAGTGAAAAGCAAATGAGGCAAATTTAGGCATTCAGGACTGGTCTTTCTAATTTAGCGGCTTGTACCTTTCTGACCTCTGCTGCTTTCCTCACTTGATATATTTATCTATTATTCATTTGTTTGGTTTCAGCCTGCCACTCAATCCGATCACACAATAATGTAGTCAGTGGATGTGGTGTCTCTGTAGAGCTCATGGTCTCCACTCCTTTTGAACATCTGTGAGAAGCCTGCTGCTAAAACATACCCGATTTAGAAAGGCAAACACTTCTCTTCCCCATCCTTCCCACTTAGATTTGGTTTCA
Organism: Homo sapiens; assembly: GCF_000001405.40. Lineage (NCBI taxonomy): Eukaryota > Metazoa > Chordata > Mammalia > Primates > Hominidae > Homo > Homo sapiens. The sequence continues at coordinate 180,136,594 of NC_000002.12, forward strand.
ATTTTATAATGAAAAGGCATCTGCAATAATTAAATTTAATAATTTAATCTCAGAATTAAAATACGTATGTTCAAATCAGGTTATTAGTTAATGTAGACCCTTTCACCGATTTTAAAACAGTCTTTCATGGCTATTGATTTGACCACTTTTAACCTTCCTAAGCATTGAGTTCTGTTTCTCTGGACTTAAGATTGCCCCCTTGGTCCTGTAACATAAAACACCCATAATCTGGGCCTATATTATTTATTCAACCTATTTAAGGAGATTTTTTTAAAGGGTGAAAGTAATAGCACTTTAACTCATATGATCAAAACATGAAAAGTAATTATTTATACCCGTAGCTATGTCATGTTAAGCATTTTTATGTCAAAGAATATCATCTATATTTGCCTGAAGAAAATGTGATGGAGATACTTAGCATCTTTCATTAAAGAGAAGTAATTAAATAATTCCCATTCTGAGAAGATGCTTTATCACAACATCCATGTCTAAGAAATTTACCTTGGATTCATTGTAAAGAAAACTAATGATCAAATGCACACGTATTTTTCAAGAATTTTAATGAATGGTCTTGGCAAACAGTTTCTCTAGTCATATTTCAACTTCCTGCCATTTATTTTCTTGGATTGAAGCCTGTCAATTTGAAATGTATTGGCACTGTTGCACAAAATGAAGTTGGAGGATATTTCAGGAATGAAACCTAAATTCTGTAGAAAATATTGAGAGGATTATATTGAGTAAAGCCTTGTAAACAGTAGTATTTAAACTGAACTAACAGACAATAGAACAAGAAAGTTAGAAGTTTGTGAAATTACTGTACGAAAGGCAGTAAGAAGAACTGAGTTATTAGAATTTGTCTCTTAATAATATGGGTTAACTGAGGAAAAAATGAGTATGGCTGGGTGTGGTGGCTCACGCCTGTAATCCCAGCATCTTGGGAGGCCAAGGCTGGTAGGTCACCTGAGGTCAGGAATTTGAAACCAGCCTGACCAACATGGTGAAACCCTGTTTCTACTAAAAATACAAAATTAGCCAGGCCTGGTGGCGCATACCTGTAATCTCAGCTACTTGGGAGGCTGAGGCAGGAAAATCGTTTGAACCCAGGAGGCAGAGGTTGCAGTGAGCCGAGATTGTGCCACTGCACTCCAGCCTGGGCAACAAGAGCAAAACTCTGTCTCAAAAAAAAAAAAAAAATACAAAATACATAAATGTGTGATTTTCTTGGAATTTCCTATATGAAGGGCATAAGATATTTTCATAACTGAGTTAGTACGATATTAGGTACATGATTAAAGTAAACTCTGCTGGCATTAATGTGAAAATGAAAAACAATTCACCAGATGAATAGATAAGATAGGACCTACCTATCCACAGGAGAATTTGGATATAAGCCATATCTGACATAAATTGTCTGTTTTAAACAGAAAATAAAATCACTTATTCAGATTCCCCCTTTAGTCAATATTACCAGGGCTTTGGTTTCAAACTTCTTGTTGTGTTTCAAACAAGACACAGATGAGGGGAAATTAGTTAAAATGCATAGTGCAACGTTATGGCATGTTGTATATAGATAAACATTTATGCCATAACAATAAAAAACACTACATGGATATAGATTTTAAAAGTATATATATTTTTTGTCCTTAGAATCAAACTTCTGAAGGATAGGACCACATTTTATAGGTCTTATCTAATAAGTAGAGTAAACTACTTCAAGTGAATTGTGAACGAGTTAAAGAAGAAGAAATATTGAACATGACTTTTCTGCAAGTACAGCAGCAATTTGAATGTCAGCTGCAGCTTTTGCAAAATAAGCAAGACCATTTGCCCCTTGTTGCAGAGTAGTTGTAGAAAGGGGAAATTTTGAAAAGAGAATAGAAAAGGTCATGGAGAGAGGGTTTATGTGTGTGATATGTGTGAATGTGTATATGTGTGTGCGTGTGTGTATGTGTGTGTGTGTATCTCAGGGGATGGTGAAGACTGGGAAGAGAACTGGAATGGAAGAAATATTCCCTGAGGTGCTTCTTCTGTCTGCTGCACTTTGTATCTGAATTCTAAGGGTAGGCTATGTAATAATGTCTAACTTGCTAAAAAGAGAGGAAGAGACCAGTGGAAACTGAAAGCCAAGAAAAACCCCAAAGGGAAAAACAGATTTAAAAGCATGAGGGATCAGAAGTATAGCTATTGGTGAACAGAAAAATCAGGAAAATATGGGGCCTGTCGTGCCATAAAGGCAAGATCCATCCTGAGACTTGACAGCCATTTCTGGCCCATTTAAACTATATATAGCCTTTAGAAGCAACAGAAGGGTTCAGGTGACATAGTCTTGGAGTGAGTAAAGAATGGGTGAAATGGCCCTCTCAGCCCAGATGGATACTCTGCACAAAATGCAAATTGTCATGTATAAATCAAGAGTTTGATTTTTCTGATTGTTCAGGGAGTTTCTCTCACACAGCATTGTGGAAATACACATGAAGATGGAAATGCAAAGAGACAGGGATAAATGAATGATAAAAGAGCAACAGTGGTAGCAACACTGATCCTCAATACTCAGCCATTTTATGGCTGAGTAGTATTCCATGGTGTATATATGCCAGATTTTCTTAACCCACTTGTTGGTTGATGGGCACTTAGGTGGGTTCCACATCTTTGCAATTGTGAACTGTGTTGTTACCAACAAGCATGTGCATGTGTCTTTTTCATATAGTGACTTCTTTTCCTTAAGGTGGATACTCAGTAGTGGGATGGCTAGATGGAATGGTGTTTCTACTTTTAGTTCTTTAGTTCTCAACCCAACAGTTGAGTCAGGAGGTCTTATACCTTAGAAACTGAATTTATGAGAGTACAGATAAACTCTGATAAACTTTAATACAGCTTGTTAGAGCTTCTGCCTCTATCAGTAGAAGACCACCTTGATGAAAGTAGACAAAATAAGGACAAAACCAGCACTGGAACTAGGACTTTGTGTGAAGAGTGACTGCTCATTAGAAGAGAATCCTACATGAGAAGTAAGTGGTTGTCATTAATTATGTATGTGTTTACATCAATCATTTTAGAAAATCGCCATATATAATCCTCTATAGCATTTTTTCTTCCAAAGTTTATTCTTTTAATGTTTTTCTCTGAAATTAACTGTTATCCTTTTCTTTTAAAAATATTTTTTATTTAAATAATTTTTGAGGTAAAAGTGGTTTTTGGATACATAAATTCTTTAGTGGTGATTTCTGATATTTTAGTGCACCCATCAACCAGACAGTGTACACTATACCCAATTTGTAGTCTTTCATCCCTCACCCACCATCCAACCTTCCCAGTCCATGATGTCATTCTTATACCTTTGTATACTCATAGCTTAGCTCCCACTTGTAAGTGACAACATATGATATTTGGTTTTTCATTCCTGAGTTACTTCATTTAGAATAATGTCCTTCAGCTCCATCCATGTTGCTACAAAAAGACATTATTTCATTCTTACGGCTGAGTAGTATTCCATGTTGTATATATACCGCATTTTCTTTATCCACTCATTGGTTTATGGGTACTTAGGCTGGTTCCATATTTAGAATGATGGCTTCCAGCTCCATCCAAGTTGCTGCAAAAGACATTATTTCATTCCTTTTTATGGCTGGTAGATACCAAGTAGTGGGATGGCTGGATCAAATGGCATTTCTACTTGTAGTTCTTTAAGGAATCTCCATACTGTTTTTCCTACTGGTTATACTAATTTACATTCCCACCAGCAGTGAAAAAGTGTTCCTTTTTTTTTTTTTTTTTTTTTTTTTTTTTTTACCACAACCATACCAACATCTATTATTTTTTGGGTTTTTAAAATTATGGTCATTCTTGCAGGAGTAAGGTGGTATCTCACTGTGGTTTTAATTTGCATTTCCCTAATAGTGATAGTGAGCATTTTTAAATGTTTGTTGGCTGTTTGTATATCCTCTTCTGAGAAACGTCTATTCATGTTCTTTGCCCACTTTTTAATGGGGTTATTAGTTCTTTCTGTGCTGATTTCTTTGAGTCGTTTGTCAGATGCATATTTTGTGAATATTGTCTGCCACTTTGTGGGTTGTCTGTTTACATTCTGCTTTTTTCTTTTGCTGTGCAGAAGCTTTTTAGTTTGAGTAGGTCCCATTTATTTATTTTTATTTTTGTTTCATTTGCCTAAGCAACGAATGAATTCTTTGCCTAAGCCAATGGCCTTAGCCAATCCAGCTTCATTCTTCTACATGGGGCTTACCAATTTTCCCAGCAACATTTATTGAATAAGGTGTCCTTTCCCCAATTTATGTTTTTTATGCCCAAAGTTTGTTCTTTTTTTCTATTATAATTTAAATATTGTCCTCTAAATCTGAAGTCAGAAAACTCCATTAAGTCATAAGATAAACATATCTGAATCTGAGTGAATACAAACGGATCACATGACCTATTATCTATTCATTCATTTATTCGCTCAACTGCTCATTTGTCTATCCATTCAGCATATTTCTATTTCAAACATACAGTGTACCTAACACCAGAATATAAGTAATAATAAAATATCCTGCCTGCCCTGAGTCTGTAGATAAATCCAATATTTATTGAATACCAAGAGACCAGTGTCTTAAGAGAAACTTGCACAGAGTACTACCAGAACATGTTGGAGGGTTCTTAAGTTTGAATATTGAGATCTAAAGTTAATGTAGCTTAAATGAAATAATTTTTCTCATACCTCAATTCTGGGCACAAAATTGCAGGGCTGGTATGGCGGTTCCACAGTCTCAAGGTTCTAGTTTCCTTTTACCTGTTTTCTCTGCCATCACCAGTGTGTTGCTTAATTCACATAGTCCACAGTAGTTCTTTCCATCGTCCTCATTCTAGCCAGCAGGAAGGAGAAATTGAGAAAGTTGAAGGCACCCAGGATTCTCTTAAGAGAACAGCTCAGAAGATTAATCCATTCTTCAAGCCCATAGGCCATTGGCCAGGAATTAGTTTTATGGCCATACCTAGGGGAAAAATAAGTGAGGAATAGAAATATATTATTTTATATTATTTCTTTTTGGAGGCTATCCTTTTAGCTAAAAATAGAAAGTTTTTATTGTTATGAGAAACAAGCAAATAATGGGCTGGAAGAAAGGTAACTAATAATCTGTACCAGAGAACCGGTTTCAGTGTGTGTTAATAGTTGGTTCTTCAAGCATGTTTTGGAGTTTGCTAAGTCAACAAACATGGGAAAATAGTGTTCCAGACGGAAAGAGGAGCATGTTCATTGAGTCACTGTGTACCTAGACCTGAAACTGTCTTCTAGTATACCATTTATTTTCATACTTGTTACTCTTCAGAGGACTGAATAGGGATCAGCCCTGACTTGGGATAAATTGGTCCTCAAACAAGAACTCTTTGTCTTTTTGATAATGTGATATTACTTTGATGCTATAGAAGCAAAAATATTGAAGATATGTGTTCATGATTTTTGACCCTCTCTCCACCCTCTAAAGGAGAGTTCTTTGCCATCACTGCCAGGTTCCTGGGCTTCTAATATACTGACCAGAATACTGGGTAGAATTGCAGTGTGAAGACTTCTGCTTACATAAGAAAATGGAGGTCAATAATGGAAAAAAAGGCTAGAGGTGCTTTTGGAAACACAAAGATGAAAAATTTAGGGAATTGATTGTTTTAATTCAAAGGACATAAGAGAAAAATCTATCCAAAAAAGATTATAGAAAAAATTATCTCTATTATATGTAGTAGTATTCCTGGTTCCTCTTTTTGTTGCCTCTTCAAGACACCTCTAATTTATTTCTTTTGGATGCAACACTGCGCTGAGATGAGATTTGAAGTTGAGGTAAGAGGACATCATTTTGTTTGAAGGAATTAAGATATTACTCTTGTTCAGTTTTTTTTAACTTTTAAAAATCAATAAGCTGAATAGATGGCTATCCACACAATGAAATCCTGGGTTCTAGACAGAAAGTCACATACCGAACTCTCTCCCCTGCCAAGTTTCCTAGAATCTTTTTTTTTTTTTTTTAATGTTCTACCCATTAACTCGTCGTTTACGTTAGGTATTTCTCCTAATGCTATCCATCCCCCATCTCCCAGCCCCATGACAGGCCCTGGTGTGTGATGTTCCCTGCCCTGTGTCCGAGCACCAACACATTACATGTATACATATGTAACAAACCTGCATGTTATGCACATGTACCCTAGAACTTAAAGTATAATTTAAAAAATCAGGTAAAAATAAATAAATAAACAACAACAACAAAAAATTATTCTACCTTTTGGTTTAAGCACTGACTGACTGATAATTCTTCAAAAAATTTTCCTATTTTTGAAGTGACTTAGTCTGTAACATTTTAGTGTAAATTAACATAAATTTAAGTTATCTGATGACTGAAGAAGTTACAGCCCCAACACAGAGGTGAGAAAACTCCTAACTAAGGGAAAATATTTGAAGTGTGGGGGGAGTAAAAGTATGGAAGTGATGAGATTAGGGTATCAAAGGCAGTTTCATCTATTCACTTTTATTGCCTAAGACTAACTCAAACACAATTAAAAATATAAATTTAGAAAGATGTTTCTTAAGGAATGCTTGCTTTAAAAGTAAAAGGCAATGTTTCTGACCAGAAAGACTATGTGTTTTTCTATATAATAATACTACTTAAGGCAAAGTTTTTGTTTCTGGGATAAATAAAAGACATTTGAAATATTATCTCTTGGTATAGTTTAGTACCAATTTTAAGCCTTTCAAGAAATAGGAAAAAGGTTAGAAAGGAATTGTCTTTCTACAAAAACCCATTTTTACAGGACAGATTTAAAAATTCATCATGTTTGTCAAAATATGACAATTATTTATCAAACTTGGTAGACTTCAGGACTGTTTGATCCTATTTCATTTACTTTCTGTAAGCCATCCCTCATCTTCTTTTGACAGATAAATACAAACACCATTTACAGACATAATTTTTCCCAGAGCAATCAACATTGGATTTAATAATTTCCAGCGATTATTTTTTCCTTTTATTATTATTATTATTTTGGCCCTAATTCCAGAATATAATGGAACATAAAAGCAGGATTTTGTGGCAAGCCCTATTGGAGAGATATGTATAGTTCAAAGCCCTGGGGAGATGTCTAGTTTATAGAGCTCTTCCTTCCATTAACACTACCTGACCTTCAGTGTGGCCTCACCGAGTCCTCATGTGCCACAGATAACAGGCCTCAGGGTGACTAAGACTTCATAAACTACGAATCTTCAATAGCAGAAAACCCAAATTATCTTGTCACCATTTCCCACAAATGAAATAGAAGCCCAAGATAAGGACAATGACTGTTTCCTACAAGATGGCAGTGGTCTTTGTGTAAAGAATAGAAGCATAGCATTCACTGGGTCTGACACCAACTGTGACAAAATTTTGCCCTTGTGAATGAAGTGCTTGTGAAAGCTGTGTCATGGTTGTTTTCTCCGCCATAGGCTGAATTCTCAGAAACACTTAGCCCTATTTTCGTAGGAGACAAAAATGCTGCAAATATAATATAATGTCTTATATAATGTCTTTCTCTAAGGAGCCAAAAGTATTTTGCAGCTGTTATTTAATTAACCTCACGCTATGCCTCTGAGGCAAGAAAACAGAATTACTATATATCCTACTTATCATAGTGAATTTAAATAATTTGCTGATACCATTTTTAAGGGGAAATGGTGGTGCAGGGAATAAAAAACATTTGTTGAGTTCTAGTCCATAGCCCTAATCATTAAGCCAGGCTGATTTTTTTGTAGGGTGATGTTTATAAACCTAGAGAAGAGACCCTATTCAGTTTACATTTAAAAAAAAATTCTTTCCCAAGTACAGCTTCCAAAACAGTGATTTTCACATTTTAATTTGAGCACTTATGTACTTTAGCTTTTGAGCTTATTGCTTAAGAATACAGAAGAGTTTAAAAATGCAAAATGCTAGGGCCCTGTCCCATGAGATTCTGCTTTCATAGGTTAGGGATGGGGCTTAGGAGTTTGCATATGTTAAATATAACTAAGGTGATTCTGAGACTTGTGGTCTGGCCCACACTTTGAGATACTGCTCTACAAGTCTTGAGTAATACATTGGTAAGACAGAGAAATTGACCCAATTTTTAGAACTTAAAAGAATCTCATTTCTTTGGAGAAAGATACTCTATATTATATAAAAGTTTGAAATATAACACTTTCTTCAATTTTTGAAGGGTAAATCTGGATGTGTAAATTATTATGCTTTATTTATAAGTTTCATTTAAAAATCAGCTAACATTTTAAATATAATTATTTTAAAACCAAACTTTCAGAAGCATAACCATAATGATTAAAAAAATTACATACTTCATCTTCCTCTTGAAGTTCAATGGTCCTTTTGCAGAGGCTTTAGGTAACTGGATTCTAGACTATCTAGAATATTTTATTTCTAGAAATACAAGAGACTAGAAAAGAAATTCAGGTGTAGTGTAGTGTAAAAGTTAACCCACTTCTGGTAGCATGAATCTGTTTTTCTTCTGTTGAGATGAAAATCAATGCAAATGTTTTCCCTTGGTTTTATCTTTTTGTTCAATTGGACCCACATAAGCACCTGAAATAGTTCAATAAAATGGAAAATTTAGCTGAAGCACTGAGTCAACAGATGCCACATTCCAAATTCCATGATGTGAAACTCCAGGATGTGAGATTTTACAGGGTGATTGTGGGAGACTGGAGGATGGCTGCATGATTCGCAACCCTTCTGCTGGCACGGAGGGTACAAAAGGATCACCGGCTCAATTTTGAAGGACAGTTTGGGGAGAGGGCTATTTTTGTTCTGCGACTCTCACATTCTCCCACAGGGGGATGAGGCACTTTTACCATTCCTCAAGTCAAGAGAGAGGTGATTTAAGGAGAAAGCAAAGACTTAATATGGACTTCTGACGGTTTGATGAACATCATAAGTGTGTAATTCTTACCTAGAAAATATTATGGGCAAGAGAAGGGCTGGCAAGGTTCTTTGACGGCCAGACTGTTTTCAGAGTAGCTGATCCTTAAGTCACTGTATGCTTGCCAGTCCTTGATAGCTTTTTAGCGTTTACCAGCTTATTAAATGTAAAGTGATATCTTATTTTTCGTTTTAAATTTCATGACCAATGAACTGAAGCACTAAGTGCTTGTTAGCATTTTCATACTTTTTTTTGAATTGCTTATTCATGTTCTTTGCCCATGTTTCACTGGGGTAGCTATTTTTTCTATTCGTTGGCATAAGTTCTGGGTAGATTTTAGTGTATGTGTGTGCAGATAGCATAATCTTGTGTAATTCTTTGATACTTTCAGAAATTGCATATATAGTCTCCCATCTGCCAACGATTAACTTTGTCTGTGGTATCCTTTATTGAATAGAAATTCTTAATTTGGAAACTATGAAATTTATTTTTTTTTGGTTTTTGCAGTTTTATTTCAGAAGTCTTCTCTTACCTAGGATACAAGGATGTATATCCATGGTTTTTCTCACTGAATTCAAATTAATTGCCTGTGATATAAGTTTATATTTATGCCAAGATACACAAGGTTACTTTTTTATCCTGCTTAACTCTAGAAAATAATTAAGATTATCTAAGATAAAATAATTATATAATAAAGCCGCTGCTATAAAAATAGATACCTTTGAAATGTCAAAAACAGGGCAAATATTTAAAACTAAGCTAGTATTTCCCAACAAAAGGTCAATGGATCACTTGCAGCATATTTATTTTGGATAGTCATTAAAAAGGCAGATTTAAACCTGCTTAATCAGAATCTCTTGCTGTAGACCCAGAAATCCTCATTCTTAATCTTTATTCATTTTAATTCTGGATGTATACTAAAAACTGTTTAATACTACTAATAGTACTAAGTTTGAGTTTTAAATTTAGGTGTGAGCTTTTAGACTGCAAAGACTGAGAAAAACATTTACAGGTTATAAATTCTAATTAGGTGACATAAATAAATGCATACATTGTTTAGGAGAAGCTTTTTCCTGGTTTTAAATTCTCAAAGGATATATTTCTATCCATGCTAAACCCGTATGAATCCTTTTGCCACAGACCCTGAACAATATCAAGACAATCCCTTTAAAAAGGTTTTTAAAGAATATTCAGTGATGTTTTTCATGTGACCTTTGGTTGATTTAATCTTCAACAGAATGTGAGAGCAAAACATTCAAGTAACTGGATGAATACATTTTCACAAATGAGTTTGCATTTGTTTTTTTACACTGTATGGAGGTTAAGAATGACTGGAGCAAACAGTTTTCTTTTGTAAGGAATATTCTTGGTGAAGTAAAGACACTTAATAGTCACCAACGGCTCCTTCTCAATGAGAGCTTGGTTTAAATTTTTTCTATTGAGATGTAATGTTAATATTAACATTAAAAAAGTATTAGTGTTCAGTTAAAGGTCGCCTGGGTTTTGCATAATAATAGGAATATGGAAAAAGCAAATTTTAGTTGCCTGTTAGAAGACTATTTTTTTTTAGGATTCCTGAGATGCTCTTTCTATTCCAAAGCTGTCAACAGATGAAAACCTGAGAAACCCACGGCATTTACCTTGTTGTTAGATGTTCTACTTAAGGACTCATTTCTGATAACTTGTCAGAGTTACTATAATTTGTTTCATAAATACTTAGCACCAGTTCAGTATACTTGGAATCATGGAATTTTAGCATTAGGAAAACCCTAAAAGTTATCTAGCTCAATCCCCCATTTTATATGAGAAAACTGACAATCAAAGAAGTAAAATGATATGGCTTAGATCATTTGTTTATTGGCAAAATTGGGACTCGAATTCAGGCTTCTTGAAGCAAAATGAAAGAGAAACCTTTGAGACAAAATGCAAGAGAAAATCAAGGACAGAGCTTTCTTCATTCTGAATAAAACTGGACTTTGGACAATTCTTAGATTTTCTCCATGTTTGCCAACTTACAGAGAAGGGCAGAGAGGAATTAAGTGAGCACTTCAGATGCATATTTTTTAAAATTTATTTTGAGATAATTTCTGGTTCACATGCAGTTATAGTGCAGAGGAGTAATACAGGGAGGTTCTGTGTACCTTTTATCCAGTTTCCTCCAATAATAACATAAACCCAGAGTACAATATTACACCAAAGATAATGGTATTGATGCAGCCAAACTGTAGAATACTCCATCACCATAAGGATCTCTCATACTTCATATAGATGCCATGGTAATAAATGTTTTACACCTAATTTTTTTTTATCAGATTATGTCCAAGATCAGTTCAGATTACTATTTCTTAAGGTTTCCGTACTAAGTCTAGAAAGACCTTTTTACCTCCCAGTCAGGCGAATTTAGTCTCAAAGGAAAAGAACCTTCCTTTCTGAGAGAAAACAAGCTCAGTCCTGTCCTTCATCTGTAGGGGGAACCTAGTTGGTAGGGAGCCCTAACTGGAAAAGGAGTTAATCATTCCCAAGGTGCTTGTAACTTTCTCTTAATTTTTCTGAAAAGATTACTAAAACAAGACTAGAAGGAAAAAAAATAAGGAAAAAAAAAGGAAAAAACAATAAATATTACTATTAACCAACTGAAATCATTAAGAGTATTCTTAGTAGGCTGGGTGCGGTGGCTCACGCCTGTAATTCCAGCACTTTGGGAGACCGAGGCGGGCGGATCACGAGGTCAGGAGATCAAGACCATCCTGGCTAACACGGTGAAACCCCGTCTCTACTAAAAATACAAAAAAAAAAAAAATTTAGCCGGGCGCGGTGGCGGGTGCCTGTAGTCCCAGCTACTCGGGAGGCTGAGGCAGGAGAATGGCGTGAACCCGGGAGGCAGAGCTTGCAGTGAGCCGAGATCGTGCCGCTGCAGTCCGGCCGGGGCGAAAGAGCGAGACTCTGTCTCAAAAAAAAAAAAAAAAAAAGTATTCTTAATAGAATAAAGTACTACAAAAAAAAAAAAAAAAAACATTCTGAAGTGACAATGGTATTAAAATCTGAAACTTTGGTTAAAATGTAGGTATTAAATATTTAAGAAAAATACATTTAAGATGAATGATCTTAAGCATGTAATAAGAATATGGGGATTTGGATTTAATCAACACAATTTTAGTTAAAATTTATGCAAATGTTTGACATCAGTAATTGCTATATAGTTCTGAAGCAAGCAATCTATGTAAGGAAGGTAAGTGAAAATCCTGAAAAACAGTAGAGCACCAAAGCAATTCTTGCTGATAAAATTAAAACAATCTTCATTAGAAAAACTGGAAATATCATTTCTAGATGACTAAACATAAATGGAATCTCTATTAGGAGGAAATTTTCAATGAAGATACTTCAATTTAAAATTTCTTAGTGTCCATAGCCAATACCGATCAGATATAAAATAGTTATCTCTAGAATCTCTGTTGAGTAAAAATAATGGAAATATCAGCAAGACCAATTCCTTGTCTTGGATAGTTTCTAGTAGTAGTAATAGCTCAGGGTAACTTTTCTGCTAATTAAGGACAATAGCAACAGACCAAAATTAGTAATTTCTAAATTAGAGCAAAAAAGGCAAATCTCATTTTTATACCACAAGCAAATGAATAAACAAAATGTGATTTTAATGGATTCTGTTAGAGAGGACTGGGACTTACTTTGTCCAAGACAAGGCTGTCTTCTCACATTTCTTCATTTTATTGCTTGCTCCACTGCCTGACATCAAGGTTACTGGCAGCTTAATCCTAATTTCTAAAGCACTGTCAACAACCATTTCTTTTCCTTCAAAATAAAATTGAAGTTTTATGAAATTATTTGAAAGTAATAAAAAATAGTTATCCATCATAAGACCAAATAAGAACAAAGAAATAAAATCTTCCCATCTCACCCTAGCAGTCTTAGGATGACACAATTTTAATATTTGTCAAATTGCCATAAGCATTCAGGAAATATCCAGGGAAGTCATTAGAACTGAAATCCAACATAATGCAATAAATTTTCAACTAACAAAAGAGTTTGGATAAAAAGGTATTATTTCATAGGATGTAGTCTTTTCTAATTTTCTCACAACTATAGCATTTTTTTATTTTCTTGTTGACATAGTAGACATTTAAAATTCTACCCTGCAAGTACACATACCCACAATATTTTGTATGTGTGTATATGTATGTATATATACAAATGTATGTAGTCTTTTCTAATTTTCTCACAACCGTAGCATTTATTTTCTCGTTGACATAGTAGACATTTAAAACTCTACCCTGCAAGTACACATACCCACAATATTTTGTATATTTTGTGTATATATACATATATATACACACACATATAAAATGTGTGTATATATATGAATATTTTGAATATTTTGTATATTCACTACCCTTCCTTGCTATTGGTTAGGAAAGGAGGCTGAACAGTAAAAACTCATTAATAGCTTAAAAATAGTTCTAGACACTAAATTATTAACCAAAAAATAAAAGTGACAGATAGCTTGTTCAAGTTATAACAACTTCCTTTGGGGCCAAAATGGGGGCACTATTTATGTTGGTTAAGCAAATCCTGCATGTGTTAGATACTGGACAGAACATTCATTGGCTGGGTCACTAGAGAACAGCAGGTGAGGTAGAGTTAGGAAGGCAGATGAAGCAGATGTGTAACTGTTATCCCCTGACACATGACAATCCAGACTTTGAGAAGGTGAGCTTGCCCAGAAAGCATCAGGATTTTCATTCTGAAACACTTGACCTCTACATAAGCAGGTAATCAGCAGGAAGCCATGAGCAGTTTGCTTTTTCCCATTTGAAGAGACTTGAAGGGAGTATGCTCAAGGTTACCCCATGTTTTATAACTTCTTTTACTGATAAATTAGAACTTATTTTTTTGTTTAAATCAAAACTAAGATTTCTCACACATTCTTTTTTCCTCAGGGTAATGATCTCCTGCAGGAAGACAATACAATCTGTTTTGCTGGTGTGAATCACCTTGTTCTGTCTTAATGTCATGAGAGCCTGGGTGCTGGTCTTTGCAGATGGACTACCTGTTCAGTGGGAGTTATTAACACTGGATCACTGTTTCTATTTATAAATAGAAAAACAAGGGGAATAATAATACTTGAATCATTTTGTTTTGCCTTGAGAGAAAAGATAACATCACATTTAGGCTTGCTTTCTCATCATTAATTTTTTATAGCTTTACTTTCTGAATTTGTACTCACATAAAAGGATACTCTTGTGTAATCCTAGGTTCCCTTAAAGACTATAAATAGAAACCTTTAAAATTCTGCATCCATAGTTTAGGGACATGAATTATTTAAAAATTTTCACCATATCTTATGACTATTTTAACTTATTACCATGGTAGCCGTATGTACTGAATGTTAACTTGCAAACAATACAAATTGAGAAGACATATTTTACCTCCCTTTTTACCATATTCTTGTTTGGTTGATCAATGTAGGAAGAATAAAGCCAGGAATACAGATTCTCTATTATTTCATATCAAACACACAGATTTGAGAAATTAAGTAAATTTTACAGCTTTTTCTAACCTGTGCCTTTTGGTGGCTAAGAAACTGGTACTTTGAGGGGCAGAGGAAATTTTGAGGTAAAATGTCACTGTCTTTAGTTCTCAACAATTTATCTCCAAGAGGAGTGTAATTTTACATGAGAGTTGCATGAGGATTATCAATTGCACAATGTAAATGGTTCTTATTGCATTTTCTTGTTATTCCAATTGGATTATTAAAGATAGCCTTAAATTGGATCTTATATGACATCAATAACTAATATAAAGAGAAGAGTTTTAGCAATAGATCTATTTTATTTATTAAAAGAGTGTCAACTGTAGTCCTGCTTTCTTATTTATCATATATAAAATTTGGCCTTATGAAGGACTGAGTTAGAATATGATGGTTCAAACATAGGCATGTCTTACTGTCACTTCCTCATGCAGGGAAATGACAGCTTTGTCCTTATGCAGAGCTCTTCCTACGCTCATCAAGTAAGCCTGGGACCCAACCTGCTTTATCTGTTTCCACGTTTGATAGGAAAAACATTGCTGTTTCACTGCATAAGTATACTTTTGTTGGAATATTAGTTTGCTTCTGCATTAGAGCCAAGAGACTGAATAATTCGTATTTGAGCTCCAAGACCTATAAATCCTAAACTTGAAAATATATTTATTAGAAAGATACAACCCCAAAGCACTGTTGATGCGTAGGTGCCTTACTTCACACTATGGGGTCAGCTGACAACCCTGGGCAAATTTGATTGAAGAAAATAAACTAATTTATGATCAAAAGGCAAGAACAGAAGTGACTGAGAACCTTAAGTGGCTCAAAACAAAATGAATGCTGCCTGAAAAAATTAAATAAGTTATCTGAAAATGGTGGACAATCCAGCCATATGTTTGTATGCAAACATAGCAGGAAGTTGAAAGTTTGGCCGTTGTGTAGCAGCCAGACTTCAGAGCAGAACACTGGATTTCATTTCTCAGTAAACTCTAGTAGTGCACTAATTTTACTTTATTACTGTATTTAATAATGTTAAAACTTCCTTAAGAGTAAGTAGCCTTTCATCAGATGACTAAAACATTCAAAAAAATATCCTAATAGAATGACTCAAGCTTCTATTTCCACTTACTGTGGGGAGTCTAAAATATCCCTTAAACAGGTTTTCATGGATTTCTAGGAGGTTCTAGATAGGGGAGACGTCAGGAGGGGGGTATGTTTTTTTTCCTAGGGATCTCTTTGGGATTTCGTGCTGAGTACTTAATCTCTGATTGTTGTATTCGCTCTTGAAACTACTGTTTGACTTCTATAAACTTTGGCAGTGAAGGGACATGTGCCTTCCATATTCCTCAATAAAATACTTGTACATCATACTTTCATTGAACATTTAAAATCATGGTGGCAGCCTACAGCATAGCAGACAACTAAAGAAAACCTAAACCCCCTATTCTTACAATTCTGGGGCATCTCTGTTTTGGGGATTCCTTATGACTATCTTTCCTTGACCCTTTCCTGATATCATGCTAATTACCCTTTACTCTTCAGAACATTCCTCCTAGGCATACTCAAAACTTTGCATAGGTCTTGAAATAAGATTCAGAATTATAATATTTCATTAACACATCCTAGTTCAAATTCTAAGGCAGTCCTCGTTCTCCCATTAAACAGAGAAAAATCCAAACAGTCCCCCTATTTTTTCTCTCTATTGTACATATGTTATATACATGTACAAGTTAGGAAATTACTTATCCAACCATGACATCATGAGGAAGGACTTGCATTTCTGGTGTATTCCTGGTGGCTTATCAAATTTTACTTGCAACCCTGACTGTTCTTTGTTAATAATTATTTCTGTATCTGTTATGTATACCTTATATAAGAGTCATACTGCCTTTGCAAATTCAAACTATTTTTGTTTGTATATAAATATCACTTTGCTGCCATTGATTGACATATAAGATTATTTTAAATTTTATTTGAATGCATTCCATGGTTAATAAGTACAGTTATCTTAATAAATTTTAGATTTTTAGATTCTAGAAATTCTAGATTTTCAATTCTTGATGGAGCAGCGAAAATAGAATACTTTCTGTCCTGGTGGTAGTAAAGACTTTTTTAAAACTTTTATTTTAGGTTCAGAAGTACATGTGCAGGTTTGTTATATAGGTAAACTCATGTCGCAGGGGGTTTTTGTACAGATTATTTTGTCACCCAGGTACTAAGCCTAGTGTCCAGTAATTTTTTTCTTCTCTCTGTCCTCTCACCTTCTACCCTCAAGCCCTCAAGTAGGCCCCAGTGTCTGTCATTCCCCTTTGTGTCCAGGAGTTTTCATCATTTACCCCCCAACTTATAAGTGAGAATGTGAGGTACTTTGTTTTATGTTCCTGTATTAGTTTGCTAAGGATCATATCCTCCAGCTCCATCCATGTTCCCGCAAAAGACATGATCTCATTATTTTTTATGGCTGCATGGTATTCCATGGTGTATAAGTACCACATTTTCTTTATCCAATCTGTCACTGATGGGCATTAAGGTTGATTCCACATCTTTGCTATTGTGAGTAGTGCTGTAATGAACATTTACTTGCCTGTGTCCTTTTGGTAGAATGATTTACATTCCTCTGGGTATAAACCCAGTAATGGCATTGCTGGGTTGAATGGTAGTTCTGCTTTAAGCTCTTTGAAGAATTGTCACACTGCTTTCCACAATGGTTGAACTAATTTACACTCCCACCAACAGTGTATAAGTGTTCCCTTGAGACTTGTTTTATTTATTATTTCTTTTTGTAGATTCATATCTTTTTGCTGACAAAATAGTCTGACATCTTTCAGGGAAAACAACCTTTATATCATTGTTTAATATTTTTTCATAAGTTTTTTGAAATTCTTTGGGGCTTAATGAAATAAAAAAGAATTGTTTAAATTTGTGAGTAGTAAAACACCAACTAAAAGCATTAATTAAAACCTCTTTCATTTTATTCAAGAGTGACCAATATTTTGTTTTAAATAATTTCTTGGTTTCACGGAGGTGGGAGAGACCTCAGTGGTCATCTAGTCTGTCAATTCACAGTGTAGAAAACTATCCATTTGTATCCTCTTTGTGTACATTAATCCTTTTTAAATAGTCTCCCCATATACCCTCAATTCTTTCTCATATATTTAAACTTCTGTCTCCTTATAACATTGCTTTTCCTTTGAATGCAAAGTCTGTCTGTCATGCGTCCTTCCTTTCTGACCCTGACTCTGATGTTGACTCCTGTCCCTTCTGCTTGACTTTCTTCTTTGAGGCAGTGTATGCATCTAAGTTTATGTTCAAAGGGTCTCAGTTCATCCTGATACTTATTTGACCCCATATTAAGATACTTTGATATCACTCCTATTCCCAAGTTGTTCTGAAAACTTAGTTTTTTTCCTGAATAGGAAACCTCGAGATTGTAGAGTTTGGCTGGCTTTTTTGTATAGAAGATATTCTTTCATTAATAAACTTCATTTTATCACAAACATTTAAGGATAGTAGGCTATACTCTACCAAACCTCTGCTGTTATCTTCAATAGGTTTTGTGACTCCTCCTCGACTACATTCTGTTGCGTATTTGATTTTTGTGTCAGACAACTTCAAGCAAAGCATTACGATTGATCTAAAGTCTATGACTCAATTTAAGCTAACCTTGAGTAGTAACTGTAAATCTCTTGATTGTTTAATGCTGTGCCATATATCGATAACAATAATAACAGCTAATGTTGGCGATCTTGAACATGTCTTTAAATTAAATATTTAATGATTAATCCCACCTCTATCCCTCTTAGTTTGGATTACGTAAAAAAAAAGACACAAATAATATACAGAATCATAATATAGATTTTTTTCTGGTAAAGCTAGATGATAAAGCTGCCACCACAGTCAGATTTCCTGACACCTGTCCTCACAGCAAGTATTTGGGGTAACCATCTAAGATGAGACTTAAAGCTGGCATTTGGCCAGATGTATGGGGAATCAACATGCTTTATACCCAAAGGAAGAGGTAGGTTTGACCTCTAAGCGGCAAGTCATAGGCTATATCCTGAGTGAGGCTATATCCTGAGTGGTGGCAGGGACAAGAAGGAATCGCTCCTTCTTGGGCACAGAATATTACAAAAGGGGAGTCTTAGGAGGGGAGAGTTAATCTTGCTTTGTGTTTTTCTAAACTTTTCCAGTCATGTAATCTTTCTCTCTAATGGGAGAGAGATTGAGAGAGAAAACTGTTCTTAACATTTCTGAAAAGGCAGTCAAACTTTCTTTACAGGAACATCTGGAGAGGGAAAGATGGTCCCCACTTTAAATAACTAATATTCAGTGAGGACTTATTATGCACCAGGCACTGTACAAAGTACTCCACCTTTATAGTGCAAATGTAGAAGACTTCAAAAATTATCTAGCATTCCTTTCCCCCATATTCTGCTAAGAACCCTTTTCTTCCTTAGCAGAACCAATCTTATCTACTCCATAGAGTTCTAGTGGAACTTCCAAATATGTACCTACTGGGGCAGACCTTGAGCCCAAGCTAGACCATCGATAGTTCCTCACTCCCCTCCTAAGTGTAGTGATTTGTTCAAAGGGTAAACATGTGCATTGAGCAGTTGGAATTTCAAATCGTGTTATCTGCAAATAAAGTTAAATTTATCTCCTCCATTCTGATATTTACACCTTATTTTAGAAATTAAGTTAAAGAATTTACAATCTAGCTAAAAATAGGCATTGGCTTTGAATAATTCTCAGAGATGATAGTTTTTTGTTTTGTTTTGTTTTGTTTTTTTTGAGATGGAGTCTTGCTCTGTCGCCCGGGCTGGAGTGCAATGGCGCGATCTCGGCTCACTGCAAGCTCTGCCTCCCGGGTTCACGCCATTCTCCTGCCTCAGCCTCCCGAGTAACTGGGACTACAGGTGCCTGCCACCATGCCTGGCTAATTTTTTGTATTTATAGTAGAGACGGGGTTTCACCGTGTTAGCCAGGATGGTCTCGATCTCCTGACCTCGTGATCCGCCCGCCTTGGCCTCCCAAAGTGCTGGAATTGCAGGCGTGAGCCACTGCGCCCAGCAGAGATGATAGTTCTTTTCTTTGAAATATTAAAATGATAAGTCATATTAACAGATTTTCTAATATTCCTAATCAGAGCTTATGTCACAGCCAGACACATAATAGGTGCTGTTAGCTAAAAACATGGATAAATTCAAGAAGGATTGATGGACAATTTGGTGGATGATTTACTTATTATATATGGAAGTTAATGATGGCTATGAAAGTGGTCTATAAACCTATTCATGAGAACAGAAGCTCTTGAAAATTTTGGTCATAGATTTTGCAGTTGCAAAGATGCTGTGCTTTGTACCTAAGATTGAATGTTCCTTTATATTTTATGTAAGTACCTTATTTGATTTAATTTAATCATTAATGTCACTATTAGCATAGTTTAACATGTTACATTCCTGGAAATCCTTAATTACTCTTTTTGACAATCTACCTATGTTTTATTCTTTTATGTAATTCCCATCACTTCACTTTCAAGCCATTAAAATTACATAAAGTAGACTGGAGGTTTATTTGCCTTTAGCTGTTGCTTCTGCATTTTTAAGATCACTTTCCCTCTGTGGCCTTCTGTAAGTTTACAGGCTTACTAAAGACTTCATTTTAGCCAATTTACTAGAGACCTATTTTCCCTACAGGGTAACTACAAATAAATATAAAATTATATTGGAAAATAAAATCATCTTAGTACACTTTACATAGACCATTTTGTTTCAGACTTTTATGGTATAGATGAACAAGATAATATTTTAATATTCTGGCATTCCTGTGATCCTTGGCAAGTGTCATCATTTTTATTTTATGGAGGTGGGAAGAGGGATGAGAAGCAGATACTATTTGCCTAAAGTTACATGGACTGTATCTTCACCTGAGTGAGAGACACACAAATGTCTGGCTTCTCTGCTCCCTGGATCATCTTTATGGTTTGTGTCTACCTGAGATACAATACTATATACAGTGCCTCCAGAGGTTATTCTTGGGTAAATGCCTGTGAAGCAATCATGTATTTAATCTATGTAGATTATTGTTATCAAGATGTATGATATTTCATTAATCATAATCTACTGGCATGTGATTTTCAATGCTAAAATATGCCATATAAATCAAGCACATATCACACAAAATAATTGTGCACAATTGCTTTGGATAATTTGATTTCTAACCAAATGTAACACTACATCTTGAATGACTTTGAGGTATAAGAAGTTTATGAGTTGTAGTAATTAGTTAGTGGGCCCCATATCACATTAAACGGTTCCATTTAAATTGTGAGGAAATAAATAGAACAGGAGTTACTATACTTACAAATCTAGGTCTCTCTTTACTTAATTACATTGCTAGACTGTCAAAACACTTTCAGAGAAGAAAAAAAAAAACTTCTGTGAACAAATGTGTCTTCAGATTCCTGACAGTCAATATTAATTTCAGAGATACTTGCTGTAATCATTGCATGATCTTTGCCTGTATAAGCTAACCTGCTTCTTTTTTTTAAATAAGAAAATTCTTGGTTTATTCAGTTCTCTATATGTTAAATAATACAATGTCTTGGAAAGCACCTCATTGATTTTTTTTGAGTGAGGTTGTTGGTTTAAACCTTGGAATATAAGATTATTGTTGAAATTTAAGTGTTGAAATAGTCACTGTGAGGAATGTTGAAGACAATTAAAATTTAACTGAAATTCAGGATGAATTGATATTTACACAGAATATAAGCAATTCAGAGATACATATAACAAACGGCTTCTGTCCTGATTTTTCCTCAGCCATATTGTAAACAAGTATTTGTAATAAGGCAACATTGATTTTTATCCCAAGACAAAAGGCTGTTCACCAAATCATAGCAACTCTAAGTTAAAAACAAAACCAAAAACCTCTTAAAATACTTTTCATAAAGGGTGCATTAAAGGGTGCAAGTCTTGGTTTTCTTTCTTCTTCCTCCTACTCTAACAGAATTATATTGTATGTAAGGTGTCAAAAATTTTCCAGCTATAAAATAGTTTAGATAACCGTAAAGCAATAAAGTAGTAAATGAAAAATGAGACAAACTGAATTTATATATAAAATGGTTTAGCATCAGTTATGCTAGCTGATATCTTGAAAATAATGGTTGAAGTAATCTTATATGATTTAGCTGCAAGTATCTGTGGCAATAAATTCAAGTCTAGAGTTATCCTCCAGTCATGCAAAATATTGAACACAGCATATCATTTTAAAATGATGTGTGGTGCACCATGTAGAGAGCAAAATGGCAATCTACAATAATACTTTCTGACCCTAGCTCTCCAACAAAGCTACAGTTTAACTGGTTTATTGACAGGGTAGATTGTTATAGATTAAAGTGGTTCACAAAAGATGGCAGCTCCAATTCTTTTGTAATAGTCCAACTGAGCTGTTCATGAAAACCTTTCATCCAAGTAGCTCAGAACATTACTAATCAGTACTTTTATGCCTAACATTTATGAGATAACTCATTTGCAATGACTTTGAAATCTAAACTAGTATTCATTAATTATGTCTGTGAGATGTTCTAGCATATTTAAGATATTTAAAAGTGAGACACTAAGGCCTAGTAAGTCTCAATAACCTTTCCAAAGACATGCCATTAGAAAACTTGTCCTCCGAGGCTCAACTCTGTCCTTGGACAATTGACTCATATTTTCATCTTGAGTAAGGGGGGACAAATTAAATAGCCTTTTCAGAACCATTTGACTTTGGGCAAATTGCTTAACCACCATTTGTTTCTGTCCTTACATGATTATAAATAAGAATACCACTGACTTTCATCATTTCACTTGCTTTACAAAAAGATTTATCTAATTCACATTCTATTTTGCTTTTCCAGAGAAGGTCTATGAATATCAACTATAATTAAACATTTATTTGTTATTGCAAACCCTTTGAATAAAGAGTTTTATTTCATGTTTAGGGGACATTGTATTTTCTTAGAAACCCAAACCCTTTGAATTTTCTTCATATGTTTCTGTGGAATATTTAGCAACTGAAATCTCCTTCATTTAAAGTGTCACGAAGAACAGATGGTGCCCCTAAAAAGACTAGTTTCATATGCAAGTTATTTTGCAATAAAGCACTGTCCTTGAATTGTATTCAAAGTAAACTTAATGCTTGTAAGTATGAATCAGAAAGCCAAATGAACCAGAAGACATAAATGGAAGATAATTAATGATAATACTTACGTTTAAATAATTTCATTGTCATAAATATCAATGCTTGTCAGAATTACAGAGATGGAATTTTAACATCTTTAAGTTCATCCCTTATCCATACAGTTTGAGACTTTGAATGAAAGTTTCCTATGTGACTTCTCAAGGTAGATACGTATCTGGGATCCTTGTGTGAATTTCCCTTAACTCTTGAATGCAGTTTCTCCACCTGCCTTTAAGCCTTCCAGCTTTCTGTGACCTTCATGGCATTTATTACAGAGCTTGCATTTTGCTTATGGGCCACTGACTACTACTACTGACCTGAGAATAGCTAAATCTATATCATCTTGCTATTTGATCATCTTATTTCTAGGAAACCTGGCTGTCCCATTGGCTCTATGAATATGAAATAGTTGCGATTTCAAATATAGTTAAGTCTGGTACTGAGGGATGTGAAAATTTACATAATTTAAACATCCTTACTGTAGATAAATTATTGGGATATGGAAATATCTGTGTTTTGAGAATATTTATTTCCTTCAAGTTTATGGTGTTTTATTTTCTTCATTTCCCACACCTGGTTTGTCCTGTTTCTTCCTGGACATCTCCTAGGATGCTCAGCACTGCTCCCTTCTAGGCTTCAACTCTACCTACCTCAGGGAAGAAAAAAGGAGTGAAACTAAGTTTTGTCTGCTGTCTAAATCCCCCAACTTTAGCAAAGATCAATGACAGTATATTACCAGGAAAATATTTGAGGAATTGTGTGATAGCCAATTGTATGTGTCGGGTTGGAGGGTGTTTTTGGATAAGATTAACACTTTGTGAACTTTGAGTAAAACAAATCTCACTCCATAGTGCAGGTGGGCCTTACACAATTAGTTGAAGGTCCAAATAGAGCAAAAAGACTAAATTTCCTGAGCAAGAGATAATTCTTCGGCAGATATCTTTGGATTTTATTTTCATCATCATCTCTCCTGGGTCTCCAGCCTGTGGATACACACTACAGATTTTGGACTTGCCAGTCTCCATGATCACATGAGCTAATTTCTTATAATAAATGTCTTTCTCTATATATACACACATATTCTATTAGTTCTGTTTGCTAATCCTGAGTAATATAAATTGATTCCCAGTTTAACACAGAATATGATGGATCAAGAAATGTAGGTGAAGTGGAGAGTAGCAAAAACAATATGGTGAGAAAATTGTGGCTTCACTCTAGACTAGCAACTAACCGTCCTGGGTGAGTATCAGTGAAGTTGAAACTTCTCCTATATCAAAATGAGGACATTCAATCAGATAAACTTAAATATTCTTGCCAGCCTTTACACAGATGGCTACATGAATCCCTGGATGCTCTTAGCCTGAGAGAGGCCTGTAGTTTCTCTGGTACTTCTTCATCACTACATGGGAAAAATGTACAAAATGGGGGCCTTTGTCAGGTATAAAGGAATGAATGTTTATCATTAATGAATGAATCATTCATGAATGGGTAGGAGACCCATTCATCTCCTACCATACTCAATAAAAATCAAAATATTCAAGCAATTCATTTACAAAACAAATTCTTAACTATATGTAATTTTTTTGTGTATGTTACTTTTTTAAAAATACCATTAATGATGAGTTTAATAATTCTAAAAGAATACCTAATGTAAATGACGAGTTAATGGGTGCACCACACAAACATGTATACATATGTAACAAACCTGCACATTGTGCACATGTACCCTGGAACTTAAAGTATAGGAAAAAATATATATTTATAAAAAAAAAGGAAAGAAAAATGGAATCAAGGAGAGAGGAAGAGAGAGAGGGAAGGAGAAAGAAAAATGTAGCAATTGAAAGAAAATAATCAAAAGTGTTCACAAATAATATGGTCTTTGTTGAAAATATTGAAATATCTACAGATAATTTATTGGGACAAATGAGAGTGTTTATCAGGATTGTTAGGTAATAGTTCAGTGTCAAACTACACAACTTTTTAAAAAAAATCAATGGTGTCTAATAGAAACAGATTAGGAAATATGATTTTTAAATATTCACAACAGAAACTAAAATACAAAACACAATGAGATATTTATGAAGGAAAATATTGAAGAAAGACCTAAATATGTATATATTATTATATATTTATTTTTATATAACATTTTAAGGGTGGGAAGATTTACTATGTAAAATATACCGATTTTCCTTAAAAAAAATTATTCTAAAAGAAAACGACAAGAAAGTAAACCAACCTTCCAGAATGATGTCTCCCAGGGATGTCAGTTAAGACTCCCTGAGGCATCAAATAGAAAGTTAATGGGAGATATGGATATAATTGCTGCTGTATCAGTGCCTTAAGCATTTCCTGTTTCCCATCACTTGTTTTGCTGAATGGTTTTGTTAAATGATTTCTTTCTTTGCTTCCCCTCCCACCTTCCTTTTGAATTTTGCTTTTAAAAATCCCTGTAATTAGTTTCTCTGTGTTATCATGCTAGTATCATTATAGATTCTTGTGTATTTGCTGTGTGTGCTACTTTTCTAGAAACCAAGCAGTTTAAGGAAAAGATGTAATTTATTAGAGTTTAAAGAATACAGAGAGCAAATATGAAGGGTTATATAAAATTTATATAGGCGTTCAGGTTACTCATATTTTTATCATAGTTATGTAAATGTTAATCACAATCAAATTCTAAATACTGAAAATGCAGATGTAGAAGCCATTGTTATATTTTAAGAATAATTATTAAATTGTCCTCTTGCTATCGGTTATAAACTGTGTTCTTCCGTCTGAAGGAATGTAGCTTGGTGGTACGAACTGGCATAGTATGTTCTGTCTTAGTTCATTTATGTTGTTTTGAGCATTTGTGTCTACCACAAGTATGCAAAGCCCTGTCCCATGTAAGTGTCTATTCTGTCGAGACCCATTGATAGCCTCCCTGGGTTACCAGTAGTGGTCTGATGTAGTCTACTTGCCAGCTATGTGCCGGGCCTCCCCCCAGGGGATTTGTACAGTCACCTATTATTCAATAGTGATCTGTATGCCTTGCATCAATCCATGCTTCTCCATTTTGCAACATTCAAAACTAAGAAGACTTCTAAATTAGTCACTCAATCCATTTAGTAAAGGTTTTTCAGGAAGCCGATGATACTGAACTGCAAAAGGAAACAATTCCTTCACATTATGCTGCCTGATTTCAGTAGTTTTTTTGTTTCCTCCCACCGTAGTGATTTTTCACTATTATTTTTTCCCTTTCATAGCGGCTTTAAGGCTACATGCTCTAGCTCAGATTGTCCCAAACCTAAGGTTGATGCAGTAACAGTGTCTACCCCAACATTTTGCTTTATTTTGAGCTTAGCTATTACAGATAAAAGAAAAACCAAAGGACTGTATATTTAGCTTGCTTATCATTATTTTGCATTTCCTTATGTATCCAGTGAGCAAACTACTTAGGAGTTGGGTCTACCACTTCTAAATTCTACTGGTAACTTTCACTTCTAGTAACTGATCATAGCATGGCTGCTGTCTCATACCCAAGGGGACTTGGTAGCTACCTAGGCATCAAAAGTTAATCTTTCTTTGTTCCTTACACTTCCCCCAAACAATGATTTTACCATGCTTCCATGATTCAGTCATTCTAGAGAATCGCACTTCTGATGCTTAACTGTATTAACTTAATTGATGAAAAAAAGACATGTGATGAAATTCAATCTTCATTTATAATAAACTCCCAGCAAACCAAAAAGGGAATTTCTTCCATTTGAGGACATCTGAAAAAGTCACTCCCTTCTAGTCTACAATTATCCTTATACGTCAACAGTTAAAGACTAAATGCTTCTCCCTTAACATCAGGAAGAAGGTGAGAATGTCTGTTCTGATACTTCCCCTGAACATTTCTGATACTCTCTTTTCCAGTTTTAGAATTTTCATTGGAAGCTTTTAAAAAATATAGCTCCCAATTCTTTGCTGAAATTCTCTCTTCATGCATGTTGTCTACATTTCTCCCTGAATCTGTTAGCATTTTTATCACAGATAAGTTAAAGATAATAATCCAACCTCTGAGCCATTCCTGGGCCGCCTTCTGTTGACACTTTTCTACCTTGACCATGGGCCACAGTGTTATGCTTATTTTTGTGTCTCATAGTGTTTGATTATATAGAGAACATTTTGCATAAAAGGATACTAGACACTAAAGTTAATATTTACCTCCTAAAAAAAGCATGCTGCTTTTCTTGTCAACTGCTAGAGGAGCACCTAAGTTAGTGTGGTTATCTGTTGTTGTTGAGCTGTTCACTCATTCGTTCATTAATTAATTAATTCATTTGCCTTTCATTTGACTCAGTTCACCACTGGCTTCAACACTTTTGAAAGTGGGATCAGGACTTTCCTTTCAATAGTGTTTGGGATTATACATTGGAAAATTTCCAGAAATTTCTTGGTGCTTTACAGGTGAACCACCAGCTTTCCTAACTATGGGTGATCTCTCTCTCCTCTATATTCTGACTGCCAGCTTTTTGGGATGCTGGGGCATTCTTTTTGTACCAGGTGAAGGACTATTGGAAAATGTTGGCGTGTGGGTGTAGATACACTCTGACTGGGGCTTCTTTGAATTCTAGTGTGTAATGCCATATGGTGGTTAAAAGTTTGTTAAAAGTTCTGTTCATTCCTCCTTCAACCCATCTGTGGTACATTTGTCCTCATTCCTGTCATTATGCCTGAAACATAAGCAGCTGTGGTCTTTTTTTCTCCTATGAAAGGCTTGGCTCATTCATTTATTGAATTAATTTAGATTTCTTCGTATCTTCAGATTCCTAATTGGCTTAAAAACTATGATGTTGCAACTTACTTGATTTGTTTTTGTTATTAGGGTGAGAGTTATGGTCTCTTTTGACTTTCTATATCCTAATCAAATGCATTTTAATTAATTATGCTGCTCTACCTTTCTGTCGAGAGTTAAGTGCTTTGATTATTGTGATATTTCCTATCTAACAACGAAATACCTTAAAACTGTGTATTGGCATTTGAGTTAAACTGTGCCTATATCCCATACATTTTTATATATCATGCTTTCATTGTCATTAATTTATAATTTTTTCACTTAAAACAATTTCTAAATATTTTTAATTGCAGTTGATTTCATTTCTCCCCAGGATTACTGAAGAAGAGGGCTGTGTGTGTGTGTGTGTGTGTGTGTGTGTGTATGTTCAATTCCAGTTTTGTTACATTGTGATCGGAGAGTATAGTCAGATAAATTTCTGCTTTGGGGGGAGTCCTGGGGTTCTCATGTTCTAACACTTAATAGCACTATGTTTGAGTCAGAGTACTAGGGGCGTTGGGCATACAGGTAAGCAATTAATATCTATTGAATGAATGAAAGAAAAGTTTTCTTCTGGTAAATGTTAACTATATACTTTTGAAAACTGTGAATCTAAAGTTAGATCTATATTATTATTATTATTATTATTATTTTTTGAGACACAGTCTTGCTGTGTCACCCTGGCTGGAGAAGTGTAGTGGTGTGATCTCTGCTCACTGCAACTTCCGCCTCCCGGGTTCAAGCAATTCTCCCGCCTCAGACTCCCAGGTAGCTGGGATTACAGGTGCCTGCCACCATGCCTGGCTAATTTTTGTATTTTTAGTAGAGATGGGGTTTTGCCAAGTTGGCCAGGCTGGTCTCAAACTCCTGACCTCAGGTGATCTGCCCGCCTTGGCCTCCCAAACTGCTGGGATTATAGGTGTGAGCCACTGTGCCCGGCCAGATCTATATTATTATCCAGTTTAGAACGTCTATTATTTTTCCTAATTGATCAAAGACTGAGGGAGGTGTGTTGTTTCCTGCTGGCTTTTCTGTCATTTTTCTTCTTATTTTTTCTTAAAAAAATTACTCTTGTGTTTTCGTTGCTCTTATTTAATACTTAATGACTCATGCTAGTTATACTTTTTAATCACTCTCTTTTGTTTGAAAAGCTTTTTGTATGCTTAGACTTTTAAACTTTTTTTTAATATCACTTTTTTCAGTCATTCTTATGAATGATGTCTGGTTGTATTTCGTTTAAGGTTCACTACTGGAGACTTTGTCTTTAACACATTTTTTTTTTTCTTGAGACAGAGTTTCACTCTTGTCCCCCAGGCTGGAGTGCAGTGGCATGATCTCGGCTCACTGCAAACTCCCCCTCCCAAGTTCAAGTTATTCTCCTGCCCCAGCCTCCCAAGTAGCTGGGATTACAGGTGCCCGCCACCACGCCCGGCCGATTTTTGTATTTTTAGTAGAGACAGGTTTTGCCATGTTGGCCAAGCTGGTCTGGAACTCCTGACCTCGTGTCCGCCCAACCCTTCCCTCCCAAAGTGGTAGGATTACAGGCATGAGCCACTGTGCCGGGACAACACATTTTAATTTATTGCCGTAACTGTATATTTTGCCTAATACTTCCATATTGTTTTTATTTTCTATTTTTTATTCACTTTTCCTCCTATCACTGCTCTTTCTTCTCTCTTTTCTTTTTTCTTCTTCTGCTTCCTGTCACCTCATACCTCCTCCTCCTCCTTTTCCATTTACCTATTGCTATGTAGACAACTTTTTCGTCACTGTTATCCTTGTTTCTCTTCAAATTATTTTCTAATTTTACATGGTTTTAAATTTAACCTTAACTTTGAATGATGCTTGACCTTATATTTTTATAATTCCTAAGAAGCAAATAAATCACTATTTCTTAACTGTTTAACCATAAAAGATGAATAATGGGAAATATGTGTCTAATTTGGCTATACATTGTAATGATCATTTAATCTCAATAGTTCTTACTATTAATGCAAATATTTCCTGATTTCTGCAATTACTTGGCTTGTAGTCCTAATTTTCAGCATTGTTAAAATGCATCACTTCTGCATTTTCATAGCTATCTTCTTGGGAAACAGAACAAGGCTGATTCACATCTTACCAGCCAGGTGCCATTTTGTGAATTCACCTTTGCTAAAGTTTCTAATGGTTGCTGGAAGAACGTAGAAAAGCTATTGATTTTTCTTGTTTATCTTTTATTCAGCTAATTTACTGAACTGCCTTATTAATTCAACTGGGTTTTCAATTGATTCTCTATAATTTTCTGATTATACAATTATATTATCTAGAAATAATGAAAATTTTGTATGCAATTTTCCAGATTTAGTGTTTCTAAATTATTTTTTCTATCTTGTTTCACTGGTAAGTATGCTTTGGCTGTTTGTTCAAGACACACTATTGCTTTAGCAATCACTACATTGTCTTTTTAAAAATAAATGCTCACAAACTAACTGTATAATCAGTTCCTGAATATTTAGATTTTTGCCACATACCCACATCTGTAGCTTCCATATTCCTTCCTTTTTTTCTGATTGAACATAATAATTTCAAGGCATCTGGATATTCTATAAACATTTTTCCAAATTACTAACCTGGCTCTGAGATCATGTTTCTTCAAGTTAGAATTAATATGAACCTAGTGTTTTAAGTTCAGTACAGAGTAGTTATATGCTCTCTCTTACTGTCTCCTCACTTATGACATGTTTTATTCCTCTACCTAAAATGATTATCCCACCTTCTGTTCTATAGGTTGAAGCATATGAATTTGTCTTTAGATGAAAAGAGGAATCTATGGGGACTCCTTCTTAACCTATTCATATGGGTTAATCTAATACAAGCAGCCTTAACACGTAGGACTTTAGGAACACATTCCTGTTTTTTGTGGGTGCAACTGACAAGTAAATAGTGGAACCTGTACTAGTCCCAGGTCAGGATACTCCTTTGTGCTAGGCATCCTCCCTTGAATGGGCTTGGTGGGCATTTAATATGATGGAAGTTACTCCAGTTAGACAATAGTTTGACTGCTACTGAGACGCAATTTCCAAAGGAAGCCAAAGTAACCCATTTTGGGTTTGGGTTGTAACACCCCAAAGCAGTCACATGTGTGATTAGGGTTTAGTTTCCTTATAATTTTGTTCTCCCCAGTCCCCCAATTGTATTCATTGGTTATTTCCACCTGGATTGCTGTTCTAGAGGCTGGGTTTTAAGTCAGCATTCTTAAACCTAATTTTTTAGGGGTGATGTTGATGTCTAGCCTTCCCTTTCCTCATTAACAGGAGCTAACAGACTCTTTCTAATGAAAGCCCCTCACTCACCAACCTGTTTTTTCATGTTGGCTAGAAGGAAAAGCAGTGTGATACTGTGAAGTCAGATTTCTGTTCTCTATTTCTGACTCCATTCCTCATTTGTTTGGAAACCGTTGGCAAAAGTGGGCAAGAGATAATATGGAATAATAAAGTTTGTTATAAAGGAATACCTGAGAAAATCAAGGACAGAGGAAGTACAGCATTTAAGTGAGGATAAAAACATAAGTGGCCAAATGGAGGAAAAATGTGTCTTATTCTTTCCACAGATTACAAAGGCGAAATGAGTACTGAGGAATTTAGGTATTCAGGTATCTGCTGAATTATCTGAGCTAAATAGCACTCAAAGCTAAATTCTGTACTTCTTGATTATTTAATTTCTCAGAAGTTAGAGTTAGAAACTTGATATCTGCTACTTTGAACCTAATTTGGGGCTAGTCAATTAATTAAATATTCTAGAACTTGGAACAGAATGACTACCACCCTTGAAGATCTCATGCAGTCCTGGAAAAAGAATGGTGAACAAAGGGAAGTGCCTTAATTTTGGGAAAGCAAATTCCAAGTAAGAGCTAAAATAGGCATACTCTTGTAGCCTGAAAGCATAAAAGGAAACAGTCTCCAAAGCTTGAGAGTTTTCAAGAGTAAAATTCCAAATATAAAAGTAAAAGATTCATATGACTCAAAAGAGATGGAAGCAAATATGGTGTTGCTCATCTTCGTAGAGCCTTATGAGATTTTAAATATTTATAAAAGGTGAAGGAGATGCATAACTAAGAACTAATGTAAAACTTCAACATGGTCTTGTAAGATTATCAGGAAGGCCAATAGAAGAATAAACTGAAGTTTGGAAACAGAAAAGGGATTCGGTGGAGAGCACAGGGTTCAGTTTTTCTGATGTTATTAACTTCCATGCTATTGATAAGGGTGATCCAGGGCATGGAAAACCTCTTGGTTATATGCAGCATCTAAGGGCATCACTCTAGCTCCCACTTCCTCCTTTCTCCGCACTACTTTTTGTGGCACAGCTGGATTCTGTCATTCTAGTGAAAACCTTAGATAAATGCTTTGATAAGGCATATCTCTTCTTTGCTCATAAAGTTTTTATGGATTTTTAAATAAAATTTTCAACCATACAAAAAAGTAGAATTAACACACATATACCTACTACATTCGTGTTGATATAGTTTTATCTTTATATATGCTCAACTGGTTTAAAGTAAATTGCAGAAATGAATTTACCTGAACACTGTAGTATATATTTCCAAATTAACATTCATCTATATAGATGCAATGTATTAGTCTGCTCTCACACTGCTGTATACCTGAGACTTGATAATTTATAAACAAAAGAGTTTTAATTGACTCAGTTCTGCATGGCTGGTGAGGACTCAGGAAACTTACCATCATGGTGGGAGGTAAAGGGGAAGCAAGGCATGTCTTACATGGCAGCAGGAAAGAGAAAGAACAAGCAAATGGGGAAACTGCCACTTTTAAACTGTCAGATCTCATGAGAACTCACTATCATGAGAACAGCATGGGGAAAATCACCACAATGATCCAATCACCTCCCACCAGGTCCCTCCCTTGACATGTGGAGATTACAATTCCAGATGAGATTTGGGTGAAGACACAGAGCCAAACCATAACATTCAATCCTGACCCCTCCCAAATCTCATGTCCTTCTCACATTGCAAAATCAATCATCCCAACAGTCCCTTAAAGTCTTAACTCATTCCAGTATTAACTCAAAAGTCCAAGTCCAAAGACTTATCTGAGACAAGGCAAGTCCCTTCTGCCTATGAGCCTGTAAAATAAGGTAGTTACTTCCAAGATACCATGGGGTTACAGGCATTGGGTAAGTGTTCCCTTTCCAAGTGGGAGAAATTGGCCAAAAAAAAAAGGGGCCACAGGCCCCATGCAATTCTGAAAACCAGCAGGGCAGTCATTAAATCTTAAATCTCTGAAAAATGATCTCCTTTGACTCCATGTCTCACATGCAGAGCATGCTGATGCCAGGGGTGGGCTCCGAAGACCTGTGTCTGTGGCTTTTCCAGGAGCATGGTGCAAGCTGTCAGTAGATCCACTATTCTGGGATTTGGAGAATGGGGTGGCCCTCTTCTCACAGCTCCACTAAGCAGTGCCCCAGTGGGAACTCTGTGGGGGGGCTCCAATCCCACATTTCCCCTCTGCATTGCTCTAGCAGGGGTTCTCCATGAGGGCTCCATCCTTGCAGCAGACTTCTGCCTGGACATCCAAGCATTTTCATTCATCCTCTGAAATCTAGGTGGAGGCTCCCAAAGCTCAACTATTGTCTTCTGAGCACATGCAGGCCCAACACCATGTGGAAATTGCCAAGGATTAGGGCTTGCATCTTCTGAAGCCACAGCCCAAGCTATACCATGTACTGAGCCTGCACAGAGCAGTGGGGCCCTGGGCCTGGCTCAAAAAACCATTTTTCTCTCCTAGCCCTCCAGACTTGTGATGGGAGGGGCTGCTGTGAAGATCTCTGAAATGCCCTGGAGACATTTTCCCCAATGTCTTTGCTGTTAACATTTGGCTCCTTGTTACTTATGCAAATGTCTGCAGCCAGCTTGAATTTCTCTCCACATAATGGGTGTTTCCTTTCTACTGCATGGTCAGGTGGCAAATTTTCCAAATTTTATGCTCTGCTTCCCTTTTAAACATAAGTTCCAATTTTAGATCAGATCACCTCTTTGTAAATACTTATGACTAGCTTTCAGAAAAAGCCAGGTCATATCTTGAATGCTCTGCTGCTTAGAAATTTCTTCTGCCAGATACCCTAAATCATCTCTCCCAAGTTCAAAGTTCCACAGATCTCTAGGGCAGGGACAAAATGCCACCAGTCTCTTTGCTAAAGCATAGCAAGGGTGACTTTTGCTCCAGTTCCCAACAAGTTTCTCATCCCCATCTAAGACCACCTCAGCCTGGACTTCATTGTTCATGTCACTATCAGGATTTTGGCCACACCATTCAACAACTTTCTAGGGAATTCCAAACACTCCCATATCTTCCTGTCTTCTTTTGAGCCCTCCAAACTATTTTAACCTATGCTTGTTACCCAGTTGCAAAGTTGCTTCCACATCTTCAGGTTATCTTCACAGTAGTATCCCACTATCCCAGTATCAATTTTCTGTATTAGTCTGTTCTCACACTGCTATAAAGTTATCACCTGAGACTGAGTAATTTATAAACAAAAGGGGTTTAAATGACTTACAGTTTTACATGACTGGTGAGGCCTTGGAAACTTATGATCATGGTGGGAGGTGAAGGGGAAGCAAGGCACATCTTTTATGATGGTAGGAAAGAGAGAGAGCAAGCAAAGGGGAAACTGGCACTTTTAAACAATCAGATTTCATAAGAACTCACTCACTATCATGAGAACAGCATGGGAGAATTGTCCCCATGATCCAATTACCTCCTACCAGGTCCCTTCCTTGATACATGGGGATTACAATTCCAGAGGAGATTTGGGTGGGGACACAGAGCCATACCACATCACATAATATTACAATATTTTAAGAACCATTAAAAATAATAGTAGCTTGCCTTATTCACTCCTAGAAGCAGGGTAAACAATAGTAGCTATACTAATTTGTTAAGAGATATGCAATATAAAAACAAACTGGGACACAAAGAATTCAAACTGTGAGATGGGTAGTGAAATAAAAGTTTAAAGTATTTTTGATGATCAAAGAAGTTGTTATCAGCTTATAATAACATAACTATAAAATATTTATTGTAATCCTCATGATAGGCACACAAGAAAATCTATAGTAGATATACACATAATAATAAGCAAGGAACCAAAACATACCACTACAGAAAATCACTTAACCACAAAGAAAGACAGCAAGAGACATAGAAACAAGGGACCTACAAAACAATGAGAAAACAAGATGACAGTAGTAAGTGCTTCCTACCAGTAATTCCCTTGAATGTAAATAAATTACCTAATGAAAAAACAGTAGCTGAATGGATTAAAAAAAAACGATTCAACTACCTGCTATGTACAGGGGATTCATTTACCTGCAAGAATACACTGAAAGTGAAAGGATGAAAAAAAAAATTTTGTGCAAATGGAAATTGAGAAAGAGTAGCTACACTTATATCAGATAAAATAAATCCTAAGTCAAAAACTGTAAAAGAATGCAAAGAAGATCATTATATAATAACAAGGTCAGCTCAGTAAAAGGATGTAAAAATTGAAAATATTTATGCACTCAACACCAAAGCACCAAGATATGTAAAGCAAGTATGAATAGATATGAATGAAGAGATAGACTGCAATACAATAATAGTAGGGGCTGTCAACACTCCACTTCTGGCAATGGAAACATAAAGCAGAAAGAAATAGGGAAACTTTGTACTTAAACTCTATAC
This sequence comes from Homo sapiens, assembly GCF_000001405.40. Lineage (NCBI taxonomy): Eukaryota > Metazoa > Chordata > Mammalia > Primates > Hominidae > Homo > Homo sapiens. The sequence continues at coordinate 180,171,791 of NC_000002.12, forward strand.
ACTAGATCAAATGAACCCAACAGACAAATACAGAACATTTCATCCAACAGCTGCAGAATACACATTTTTCTTAGCTTTTTGAGAAAACCAACAGCACATGAAACGTTCTCCATTATAGATGATATGTTAGGGTACAAAACAAGTTTTGGTAAATCAAAAGATTGAAATCATATCAAGTATCTTTTCTGACTACAATGGTAGAAAACTAAAAATCAGTAGCAGAAGAAATGTAGAAAATGTAGAAAAATACACCAATACATAGAAATTAAACAACATTCTCCTCAACCAATGGATTCATAGAGAAATTAAAAGGGAAATTATTTTAAAATTTCTTGAGACAAATTTAAATAGAAATACAACATAAAAGAACCTATTGGTTAGAACCAAAGCAGTTCTAAGAGGAAAGTTTATAGTAATAAATACCTATATAGAAAAAAAAATCTCAAACAACCTAACATTGCACCTTATAGAACTAAATGAAAACAAACTCAACCCAAAATTACTAGAAGGAAGAAAATAACAAAAATCAGAGCATAAATAAACTGGTGACTAGAAAAGCAGTAGAAATGATGAAAAAATGAAGAATTGGTTTTCTCAAAAGATAAAATCAACAAACCTTTAGCCTAAACTAAAAAAAAAAAAAAAAAAGAAGACTCTAATAAAATTAGAGATGAAACAAAAGGCATTACAACTGAGACCACATTAATACAAAGGATCATAAGAAAATTGGCTTCAGCCTTATACTGCTTGCCTGGGAGATGGGTGCACCAAAATCTCACAAATCACCACTAAAAAAACTTACTCATATAACCAAATACCACCTGTTCCCCAAAATCCTATGGAAATAATAAGTTTTAAAAAAAATACAGGCCAGGTGTGTTGACTCATGCCTGTAATCCCAGCACTTTGGGAGGCTGAGGCGGGTGGATCACGAAGTCAGGAGTTCAAAACCAGCCTGGCCCAACATGGTGAAACCCTGTCTCTACTAAAAATACAGAAAATTAGCTGGGCGTGGTGACAGGTTCCTGTAATCCCAGCTACTCAGGAGGCTGAAGTAGGAGAATCGCTTGAACCTGGGAGGCAGAGATTGTGCCATTGCACTCCAGCCCGGGCAACAGTGTGAGACTCTGTCTCTAATAATAATAATAACAATAATGCTATAATAATAATCACAACAAAGCTAAATTTAAAAAAGAGACTTATGAACGATTATATCCCAACAAACTGGAAGAAATTGATAAATTCCTGGACACATACAATGTATCAAAATTGAATTATGAAGAAATAGAAAATCTTAACAGAGCATTAACAAGTAAGGAGATTGAGTTAGTAATAAAGTCTCCTATTAAAGAAAAGACTAGGACCTGACAGTTTTACTGCTGAAGTCTATCAAATATTTAAAGAAGAACTAACATAAATTCTTCCCAAACTATCCAAAAAATTAAAGAGGGATAACTTTCAAAGTCATTCTATGAGGTCAGCATTACCATAATATCAAAAACCAGACAAGTGCACACAAAGAAATCTATAGGCCAATATCCCTATGAACATAAATACAAAAAATCCTCAACAAATTACTAGGAAATCAAATTCAACAGCACACTAAAAAGATAATTTACCACGATCAAGTGGGATTTATCTCGGGGATGCAAGGATGGGTCAAGATATGCAAATCAATAAACTCGATACATCACATTAACAGAATGAAGGAGAAAAACCATACAATCATTTCAATAGATGCAGAAAAGGCATTTAAAAATATTCAATGTCCCTTTATAAAAACTTGTATCTCAACACAATAGATTGTTTTCTCAATTTTTCAGATAGTGCACTGTAAGAAAACAATCTCATTTATAATAGCTACAAAAAATAAAGTACTTAGGAATAAATTTAATTGCAGAGGTGAAAAATCTCTACACTGAAAACTATAAAACATTGATGAAATTGAAGATACAAATAAATGGAATGATATCCTGTGCTCAAGGATTAGAAGAATTAATATTTTTTAAATGTCCGTACTTCCCAAAGCAATCTACAAGTTTAATGCAATCTCTATGAAAATACGATATTGTTGTTCACATAAATAGAAAAAATCCTAAAATTTGAATGGAACCATGAAAGACTCCAAATAGTCAAATCAGTACTGAGCAAAATAAACAGAGCTGGCGGCATCACATCCTGACTTCAAAATGTACTATAAAGGTATAGTAACCAAAATGGCATGGTACTAACATAAAAAGAAATACATAGGAAATACATAGACCAATGAAACAGAATAGAGAGCCCAGAAACAAATCCACACATTTAATTGGCTAATTAATTTTTGACAAAGGTGCCAAGAATATACAACAAGGAAAGAACAGTCTCTTTAATAAATGGTGTTGGAAAAAGTGGATATCTATATGAAGTAGAATAAAACTAGACCTTAGTCTCACATCATATAAAATATCAACTCACACTGGATTAAAGACTTAAATATAATACCTGAAGCTATGCAACTACTCAGAGAAAATGTAGGGGAAAAGCTCTGTGACATTGGTTTGGTTAATAATTTTTTTTGGTTGAAACCTCAAAAGGACAGGCAACAAAAGCAAGACTAGACAAATGGGATTATATCAAACTAGAAAATTTCTGCACAGCAAAAGAAACCATCTACAAAATGAAGAGGCAACCTACAGAATGTAAGAAAATGTTTGCAAGCTACACATCTGATAAGAAATTGATATCCAAAAAAAATAAGGAATCCAAACAAGTTAATAGCAAGATAACCATCCGATTTAAAAATGGGCAAAATACTAGAATAGACGTTTCTCAAAAGAAGACATACAAATGGCCAACAGATATATAAAAACATGTTTAACATTACTAATTATCAGAGAAACGCAAATCAAAACTACAATGAGATATCAGTTCAGGTCTGTTAAAATGTCTCTTATGAAAAAGACAAAAAGGTAATGATAGTGCGGATGTGGAGAGAACAGAACTCTTGCACAATATTCGTAGGAATTTAAATTAGTAGAGTCATTATGGAAAACAGTATGGAAGTTCCTCAAACAAAAATAGAACTACTATAAGATACGGCAAACCCACTAAGGGGTACATATCCAAAGGAAATGAAATCAGTATGTTGAAAAGATATCTGCACTCCGTGTTTACTGAAGCACTATTCACAATAGTCAAGATATGGAATCAACCTAAGTGTCCATCAGTGGTTGCATGGATGAAGAAAATATGGTATATACACAATGTAATACCGTTCTGCCGTAAAAAATACAAAATCTTGTCATTTGTGACAACGTGGATGAACCAGGAGGTAATTATATTAAGTGAAATAAACCAGAGACAGAGAATTACTGCATGATCTCACACACATTTGGAATATAAAAATGTTGATTTCTTAGAAGTAGAGAGTATAAGAGTGGTTACCAGAAGCTGGAAGAGTTGAGTAGGTGGGTTTAGGAGTTTGTTGGTCAAAGAATACAAAATTCTAGGAGGAATAAGTTCAAGAGATTTATTGAACAGCATGATTACTTCAGTTAATAATGATATTATATTCTTGAAAAATGCTGAGTAGTTTTTAAGTGTTCTTGTCATAAAAATGAGAAGTATGAGATAATAAATATGTTAATTTGTTAGATGTAACCATTTTACAATGTATATGTACTTCAAAACGGCATGTTTTACATGATAAATACATTCAATTTTATGTCAATTTAAGACATTTTTAGAAATTGAAAAAGTTTTCATATTTTATAAAAGGATATTTTCATAATCTTTTTTTGTTCTACCCCTTCCTCACTCCCCTCTGCCCCTATATTTACTTTTCCAGGACTCCAGGCTAGTCTTCTTATAGAAAACCTCACATTCTGACTTTGTCAGACTTTTTCTCATCATATTCATTTCCTCATTGCTAAAAGTTAAATGTAAAAAGTTTGATTAGAGTTAGTTCAAACATTTTTGGCTAATATACTTCATAGGCAATTCACCTCAGGAGACACTTGATGCCTCCTTATTCCACCTGGCCATTGTGTTCTGGAACTCTCTTGGCTCCATGCTCTACAGCTTGAGGGTCATTTCTGCTCCTCCCTGTCCATGCCTCAGCTCTTAGAGTGCTGGCCCAGGTGTTACTCCATGAGACATTCAGACTCTGTCCCCAGGCTGGGTAATTCCATCCATTCTCACAGACTTAACAATCAGCCCTGAAAAGATGTTGAATGATTGATTTTCCATAGGAGATAAAATCAGTATGTCATTCACAGTAGATTAAATTCAGTCTAGCTTAGAGGTGAAAGACTCCGCATTTATCGTATCTAAGCTGCTGTTCTTGTGTCATTTAACTTGTGATTGGATATGTCTATTAGAGGGGGATTTCAAACTGTAGTCATTAGTGCTGTTCTTTATTGAGACATCTATTTCCACAGCTAGACTAAAGAAAAATATATACAATCCAACTCTAATGTTCCAGCTTTATGAGTCTCTGGTTGAAATTGTAATTTGCAGTTGAGATACCTGTCAGCACATTGATCCTCGGCTAGTGATAGCTAAAACAATAGAAACTCTGTTGAAAAGAACACCTATATCTTTAATAATTTACAGAACAGCATTAAATAAAGGAGTACATGGAAAAAACACTTCCAGCTTTATTCTCTATAAACTTTCACATCTGTGGCACAAACATTTATGAAAACTCTGCTTGTTAAACCCTTTGATTTGTAACTATTGAAAGTTATTATTAAAGATGTGTGTTTAAATTTGCAGCGTCACACTCGCAGAATGGAAAAAGATATTGTAGGACAAATATCTCAGTTAACATAGGTATAAAATCAGGAAAAACCTTGTTATATTATTTCTATATATTTATATATAAAAATAAACCTTGTTATATTATTTATATGTATTTTATATCTTTAAAAACCTTGTCATATTTTTAAACATTTACTAAAATTTTCACAAACTTATTTCTTTCAGCATTATTAATTGGCTTTGTGTGGCTCTGTGGTTTATGCTAATAAGAGAAGAGAACTGAAATAACAGTTATTCTTAATTCTCATTTTGTTAAAATCAGGGTTGGTAAATTTTTTTCTGTAAAAGGGCAGACAGTAAATATTTTAGGCAATTTTTACCACCTGTGGGCCACGTGGTCTCTATTGCAACCGTTCAACTTTGCCATTGTTGTGCTAAAGTAGTCATAGACAATCTGGAAATGAATTGGCATGACCATGTTCCAATAAAACTTTATAGACATCGTAATTTTAATTTTTAAAATGTTTATGTCATTAAATATTATTTTCTTTTGATTTTTTTAACAAAAGACTTAAAAATGTAAAAACCAAAACCAAAACAATGTCTTAGCTTTCAGGCTATATTAAAACACAAAAAGCAGTAACAGGCCAGATTTGGCTGCTGCAGTTTGGCCATTGTAGTTTGCCAACCCCTGGTCCAAAGCATTTATCTTTAATTCTTATCCATTTTTCTTTCTGCCTTTCTCTTGTTTTTTCCTCTCACACACACATACAGTGTTAAATCATTGTTAAGTATATTTTTCACAAATTTTTAAAAAATGGCAACTTATTAAGCAATTCATTTCACCTCAGAAATATAAATACAACTTTGCAATATACAAAGCAATGAGGAATAAATATAATTGTCATTAATATCTTTATTAAGACAAGTGATACTGTTGCTATTTCATATGTAAATATTAATTATTAAGGTAAGACTCAAGGTTAAATCATGTTCCCTGTAAGGTTTTGCTACATGCTTGCTTACAAATTAGACTGCCTTAGTCAATTAGTAAAATAAACAAGCACTGTTAGTTTAATTTTTCTTCTATCAGTGTTGTCCACAATAATTAATCATAAAATCTCATCTGTACTTATCAGCAATTATCCAGACTATTTTAAATTTCATTAGATTAAGCAGCTCCTTAATGGGGGCAAATTTCAAACAGATACATTGACTCCAGATAACCATCCAGCTGATTTCTGTGGTAATTTACAACATATCCACAAATTCTTTGATAATTTTTTCATCCAGATGTGGGGTTTATGTTCTCTCCCTTTGAACATGGACCTGCTTAGTAACTTACTTAGAACCAACACAGGCAACACTGTGATTTACAAGGCTAAGTCAGAAAAGGCCATGCAGCTTTTGTGTGGTTCTTCCGGGACACTTATTCTGGGGGAGTGGGTCACCATGGGAGAAATTCAATTATTCTGATCCTGCCATGCTGGAGGATCCAAGTGTGATTGCTCTGATTGACACCTGAACTCCCAGTCAACTGCAAGGTCCAATCTCCCAGACAACTGCAGCCCCAACCAGAATCTGACTGCAACCTCACCACAGACGCCAAGTGAGAACTGTGTAGCTGAGTCTTCCCTGAATTCCTAACCCACACAATTATAAGCAAAATAAAATGGTAGTTCTAGCTGCTTAATTTGGGGGTAATTTTTTAAATGCTGTAGTAGTAACTGGAACAATATCCTTAAAGTTGCAATGAGGCAATTTTAAGTCTGGACTCCAGAATTTCTATGCAAGTTTGAATCTCAGTTCTGTCATTTAATACCTGTTTGAACTTCAGCAAGTTAACAGCAACTCTAAGCTTCATTTTCATCATTTGAAATTGGAGTAATAATAGGACCTACCTCAAAAGGTTGTGTGAGGATTAACTTAAAATATGATTGTGGCGTATGCATTTGGGGTGTGGGAAGCACTCCATAAATATTAGCTGTGACTATTTAACACAAACACACAAGGCCAATTTCATATGCATGCAACCTATGCACATGACTTCATGCTCAGACCTTAGTTTAAGGCTCTGCTGTTGCCATTTTGAAATTCTAAATAATTTTTGAACACGAGGACTTGTACTTTCATTTTGCGCTGGGCCTTGCAAATTATGTTGCTGATCCCACATGCATGTATATGTGCATGTACGCATATACATGCACACCCGTTTACAACGATGAACTATTAAACAGTATCCTTAAGCTTTATAATATTCCTAACATCCAACAATTCAGTGTTTCCAGAAATTAAAAGAAATCAAGGAGACCAACTAGGATGTTCTCTCTTTTTTGGGGGTCAGGAATTCTAAAATGGCTTCCCTGGGTAGCTTGGTTTAGTATCTCTCATGAGGTTACAATTCAAAGCAACAGAGTCATCAGTCATCTGAAGGCTTAAAGAGGCTGAACAATATTTTTGTGAGCTTACTTATGTGATTGGTAGCAGATTTTGGCTCCTTATCACATGGGCTTTTTAAAGCATGGTTGCTGGCTGTCTTCAAGCCAGCGATCCCAGAGAGTCAGAATCCACAATGTCCTTATGACCTATCCTTGGAAGTACATAATTATTGCATTCTAGTGGTCATGCAAACCAGTCCTCACACAATGTAAAAGGGGGCTCCATAAAATAAATGCCAGGAAGCAAGGATCACTGGGGGCCATCTTGGAGCCTGGCAACCAGAGAAGTCAAACTGAAAAAGAATATTTTCATTAATTTTGGAGATCTCGGAGGCTTCATAAAATACAGTGCTACCCATCATGCCTGTCTTCATCTTTAAAAGTTGGGGTGTCTAACTCAAAATAAGTTATTCAGATTTTAGAAGGTGAACTACTCAGGCTTTTTTATTTAAATGAGAAAAGTTCCATTGTTTTCTTCTTCTCTATTCATAAGAAAGCAAACCATTAGAAAACCAATTAATTTCCTCATTCTTCAATTCTACAAATAATGAGTCAGAGTTCTTGGTAAATTGTAAATCCTGGGCCTGTTTCCCCAGAATCAGCATCTTATGGAACATCTTAATGAAAGTTCTACGAAACACATTAACCAATATGTCTCAAGAAGGCCCTCATTTTAAATAAAAAGTTCATTATGGCCTTGAAAGGGGATGAGATTTTTACCAGCCAGACTTGCAGTTAAATTCTTATTCTTGCTACGTGCCAGCTATATGATCTTGAATAAGTTACCTAATCTTCTTGAGACTTCTTTGCCACAACTGTGAAATGGGGAAAATAATATCTAAACTGTAGCCTTGTTGTAAAGATTAAATGTGAAATCTAATAATCCCTCTACAAATATTGGTTCTATTTCTCCATTAAGGAGATGCAGAGATGTGTTTCCAGGGATCAGAAAGAAAATAGAGAACTGTGGAGGTATAGGCCTTTATTAACAATAGATAACAGCCTGGAAATTCTCCTTGCTGTTAGAGAAAACTTGATTATAAAATAGTTTGCCAAGGGGGATATTGTCCTTTTGACCCGAAAGATCTTGCTGTTAAGTAGCTGCTTTGGGACAATTTCTTTGATACAGTAATATTCTCTGGCCAATCACATCTCAGGATTGATTCAAGTTTAACCAGAAGGATAATTGAATTTTCATCCTGGCTCCACCGTTGGCTCTCCCCTTGCCTCAAGTCTTCCCATCTGCAAATCCATCCTCACTCTACACTTGTTTAATCTTCCCAGGACACCGCTTAACCTGTACTCCATTCCTAACTGTGAAACCTTTAGATGTCTTCCATTCCATATAAGATTAAATCTAAATTATTTAATAAGTAATTAAATGTCTTCAATGGTCTGGACCCATTTTTTACCTGTTCCCTTATAGAAATTTTCTCTTCTAGTTGTCTCATGCCTTAATTTTTCTCCGCCCCCCCACCTTCTAAAAAAAATTCATTCACTTATCAAAACCCAGCCTAATCTTAAAACCTCCCTAAATAGACTTTAATGCAATATTCCCTATGGATATTATATAAGCACACCAGTCCAAGTGTGCCCATATGTATACAAATAACTAAGTGTAAAATACAGTATGATTCATACCACAAGCACAGTTCAAATGCTAGGATAGGGGGAAGGAGGGACAAAGCAGTTTCAGCCTGGAGCTTGAGAAAAGATTCCTATTATAGTTAACATTTGAAAGAGTCCTTGAAAAGTGGCTTAGAATTTCTAAAGACAGGAGGAGAGGCCAGTCTTGGTAGAGGAAATAGCATCTGAAGCCAATAAAAGTTTGGAAAATACAGGGTATTCTCAAGGAGTGATGAAAAACTCTGTTTGAACAACGTATAAAATACACATAGAAGTATTTTAGGTACTCGGTAGATTGGAACATGGATGTACAGGACATTATAAATGCCAATCTAAAATATTTGCACTTTATTTTGAAAACATTAAACTGGCAGATGTATGATGATAAAATAAGAGGTATGGTACAGAGCAGAGAGGAGTCGAGAAGACTTCATTCTGAGACAATTGCCGTCAGTTAGGAGAACTTAATAGGGGCTTATTTTAGAATGCTTGGGGGAAGAATATAAAGGAAAGTACAGGTGTGAAATAAAGGAACAGATGTGAAAAAGATATAATCCACATCAAATATTGAATGAACGGATGAATAGAAGTATGGACTGCACACTTTGAGAATGTATTGCATGCTTGTTTTGAGTAAGGGCCTTGGATCAGACTGCCTGGCTTTGCACTTTGACTGCTACCAGGCTGAAAGAACTTGGCAAGTTTTTTACACTGTGTGCCTCAATTTCCTCATCTATAAAATGGGATAAAAACATGAGAATTAACTGTGTCGGGGAGAAAAGGTAGTATCTTTTTCTCACCCATTGCAATGTTTGCAGCTTACGCCCCTATATTAAAAGGCATATTAATAAGGAAAAAGCATACAAATGTATTTAATGTAAGTTTTATGTGACACAGGGGGCTTCAGAAATGAAGACTCCAAAACCCAGGGAAAATGACGTATTTTTATGGACAGTTATGCAAAAGTGTGATTGGAGCCTGAAACAGTGTGATCTAAGGGTAGTAAACTGAGGGTAACTTAGCAAGGCCTGTTTGTTCAGAGTCTTCTTGGCCTCCAGGTACAGAGCAGGACCCCTCTTGAATGAGAGTCTTATGACCTCAGGCAAGGCAGGTCAGATAATTCTTTTTGACCTGCTTCTGGGGAAATAGTGGGAGCAGGTCAGAAAGTGACGTTTCTACTTCTGTGGTTTTCTCAATTTCCTTCAGCTAAAAACACTCAGTATGCCAAGGTGCCATATTTTGGGGTATCATGTACTGAGCCCTGACAAATGGTAAATGCCATAAAATGCACAGAACAATACCTGGCATGAATTAACTTCTATAAATGTTTGCTGTTATTATGTGGACTAGATTAGGAGGCTGCTTAATAGTTTGAGTAGCGAGAGCCTGCTGTATAGCAGTGCAGTGTGTGGAAGAGAATGGGTAAGGAAGTCTTATGCGGCTTCCATGGTGTCTTGCTCATACTAGCGACATAGTAAATATGGTGTGATTTAATTATGCCTAAATATTTTTGGTCCAAATAATTTTTGCTTAAATAAAAACAGCATTTCTCCTTCAGTAGATAATTAAAATTACTGAAAACATCTATAAAATTTTCCTGGAGAAAGATTGTATATCATTTATTAAATGCTTACCATGGGCCAAGTCTGTTGGAAGTATCAAAAATTTATTGTCACAACATCCATATGAGACATTTTTTAACTATTTTATTTTTATTTCAATAGTTTTTGGGGATACAAGTGGTTTTGGGCTACATGGATGAATTACATAGTGGTGAATTCTGAGACTTTAGTGCACCCATCACCTGAGTAGTATACATTGTACACAATATGTAGTTTTTTTTTTTATCACTCATCCACCTCCCAATGACTCCCTTCTGAGTCTCCAAAGTCCATTATATCACTCTGTATGCCTTTGCATGCTCGTAACTTAGCTTTCATTTATAAGTGAGAACATAAGGTATATGGTATTCCATTCCTGAATTATTTCACTTAGAATAATAACCTCCAGCTCTATCCATGTTGCTGCAAAAGATATTATTTTGGTCTTATGGCTGAGTAGTACTCTGTGGTGTATGTATATCACATTTTCTTTGTCCATTCATTGGTCTATGGGCACTTAGGTTGGTTCCATATCTTTGCAATAGTGAATTGTGCTGCAATAAATATACATGTGCATGTGAGACAAGCATTTTAAGATTACTTTTAAGTTTGTAAAATTGATGCTCAAATGTTAAATTCATTCTCCTTTCCCTGACTGGAATGAGAATTTAATGGCAAAATCATTAATGGTTTTAATATAACAACAAAAACAAGAAGAATGCCTATCAGCATATTTAGTGTTTGGTAGAGTGAAAAATAATATGATTAAATAAGAAACTAAAACACTGAAAAGGAGGAGGCAAACATTATTTTTTGCAGATGATGTGACTAACTTGAATCACATAAGAGAGTGGACATAAAAACTATTGTATATCAGAAAATCCTGCAAGGTGGTCATGTACCACATTGGTATATGTAAATCAATAGTTTTTCAATTAACAAATATTAATAGGAACATATTTGCAAAAGACCTAATTTATAATGCCAATTTAAAAAATCATAAAATATCCAGAAATAAATATAAGAAGTAAGTAGGACAATACTAAGAACACAGTTAAGTAATTTGAATGGAAACTAATAAAAAGGACTTCCTTTTTCTTTAATAAGTATCAGTTTTATAAGAATATCAGTTGCCCAATATTAATCTATAAAAATTTATTGCAAACTCAATCAAAGTCCAGATACTTCTTTTTTCTTTTTCTTGGAGAGGAGGACAGGAGGAAAAATTGTCCAGTTGATTTCTAAGTTTATTTTAATAATACGTATATAAGAACATGTAGGAATATTCTTAGGATAATTATAAACGAGGAGTGATAAACCCCCAAAACTACAAAAATAGAGGATACTAGAAATGAGAATAGACAGATAAGGAAAATGAGAAAGTGACCTAGGTATCTAATAGATTCAATATTGTTTAAAAGTCATTAGAAAAAATAATTTATATATCAAATAATATTGGGACATCTGAATAGCCATTTAGAAAAAAATAAACTAAATCAACTACCTCATTTACCCTGAGACATACCATTATGTTGACTCTTACGAAAATGCTTAGATTTGATATTTTGACCCAATGTATGATTCAACCTAACATTAATATATTATTTAAATTTTAATGTAAAAAGTAAAGCAACAAAGTAATTTTGTATTTATTTATAATTTAAAAGCATAAAGATGTTTCCCAATAAGACACAAACTCCAAAAGTCAGGAAAAGTTTGATTAATTTGACTATGTAATGACATAAAATACAAATGTAAAAGAAAAAAATTACCTCTCTAAATTAAAAAATAATGAGCTAGGAATTTACTTGCAGCACATATGACATACTGATCATTTCTTTGATTTACAAGGGATTTGTACAAATCAATAATAAAAAATGCACTATTCAGCAGTAAAATAAACATAGTACATGGAGAAGCAATTTTAGGCGAGAATAAAAGAGACCCAACAAAGGACCAATAATAATATAATCATATGCTCAATTTAATTCACAAAAAATGCCAGTCAGAACAACAATATACAATTCTCATCTATAAATTTTTTTCTATAAATTTTAACTAGTGTTCCTACTATACTATGTATTTATTCACTTAGCAAATGCTTATCATCATTTGTTTAATGCAAGACTGTGGTATAATGCCGGGGGATATATAAAAATGAAAAAGTTTGACTATAGATGAAGATGGGAGAAAGAATGAATAAAGGATACATCAAACAATAACATTTTTATCTACCACAAAGTAGATGGCTTAAAATCATAGAAATTTATTGTCTCACAGTTCTGGAGGCCAGAATTCTGAGACCAAGGTGTTGGCAAGATTGGTTCCTTCTGAGGGCTCTGAGGGAGAATCTGATCCATGCTTCTGGTGGTTTGCTGGCACTCTTTGGCATTCCTTGGCTTGTAGAAACATCACCCAATCTCTGCGTTCATCTTCACATGGTGTTCATCCTCTGCACATCTGTCTTTGTATCCAGATTTCCCTTTATTATTACAACAAAGTCATGTTGGATTAGGGCCCATCCTAATGACTTCATCTTAACTTGATCATCTGTGAAGATCCTATTTCCACATAAGGTTACATTCACACATAGTGGGTGTTAGTATTTCAACATTTTCAGGGGACATGATTCACCCCATAACAATTTTTAAACAATTAAAAAAATTGGTTAATAGTTGGCGAAGTTTGGTAAGGAGGGAGGAAGCAGGGGCATTTTTACGCAGATGACAGGTCTTACTTTTTGGAAGATGAATGGGTAATATCTTTGAAACCCCTGTAAAATATCTATAAAACTTCAAATGCACATATTGCATGTCCAGGCAATTCTGTTCTTAGGAAGTTTTTCCTATAGATAATGCACATAAGATACATGTACAGTGTGTTTATTGCAGCATTATTTATAAAAATAAGCAAAACTGGACAAGCCTAAATGTCCACCAGTTGAAGAAACTAATCACAGCTTATATACACTACCTGACTCTTTTTAAGAAATGAAATAGGTGTATATTTACTCACTAGTAAAGATATCCACGATATAGTAAGTAAAAAATGCAAGGCATATAGTGTACTGGATATGCCAATTATTTTCTCAAAGAATGTACAAGAAACTGATAACACTGTTTGTCTTTGTGGAAAGGGCTAAAAACTGGAGATAGAGAGGGAGACTTTTAATTTGATACCCTTCACTAGTGCTTGAAATTTCTTACATTTGCATATATTACTCACTTTTTTTTCTGGTTTTAATGTCAGAAGAGTTTATGTATGTTGTAGAATTATGAACTGCTTTATTTTTATTTTCATATTTTCTGTATTAAAAAGGAACTAGTGAATATTAAATAAAAATGTGAAAGGACTTTTCCTATCATATTGCATGAAATAAGAGATTTTTGCTGGTTGGAACATTCCTATAGAGCCATATTCCTGAAGAATATTTTACACTTGCTTGATGAACATATCCCATAGTTTTATGGATGTATGTCCCATGACTATGATGTGTGACTTCATTGTTAAGTATAGAAAACTACTGAGTAAGAGGTAGGGCTCTAGACAGATTTAGAAGTTTAACTGGAAAAACTACAGCTAGAAAGAGCTATGCCAGCCTGGGCAACCTGGAAAAACCCCGTCTCTACAAAAAAATACAAAAATTAGCCTGGCGTGGTAGTGCACGCCTGTAGTCCCAGCTACTTGGGAGGCTGATGTAGGTGGATGGCTTGAGCCCAGGAGGTGGAGGCTGCAGTGAGCTGAGATGGCTCCACTGCACTCCAGCCTGGGTGATTGAGGGAGAGTCTGTGAGTGTTTTCTCTATTGTCACAGTGGAAAGGATGTTTTGAAGTACCTTTACATTTTGAATAGTTTCAAGATACTGTGCTAATCACCTCTGAAGAAAAATTACCTTGAGAATGCAAAATATAAGCAGCATTTTGATGAATAGCAAGAACCTACTCATAGGGACCAGAAAAATCCTTTTACACAGCTAATTTGCCTTTATCAGTATTCTCATAGGATACTGAGTTGAAAGCCACTTGTGCTCTGTGAACCACCTGAGAGTTCTTTAGTTCACTATAGGTCTCTTAATGTAATATATGATTTCATCATTCATAGCATTTCCCAGGCTAAGCTTACATCATCTGACATTTAAAGACTATCTTTGCTTTCTTTTTTTTTTTAACATACAAAATTTTAAAATTTTGAACTCATTTTTGGTTTGGATTTCATCCACTGCTAAAGGCAGGTACAATAACATTTTTTCTTCAACAGCCAGGTTTTTCAAATCTGTCAAAATAATTTTCTTGCACAGTCAGATTAATTCTGAGCCAGCCACGTGGTCCAAAGAGGCCTGCATATGTGAAATTTTATGAAAGTACATTTCTTATATCAAGCACTTTTGCTGAATGTATAATTTAAATTCCTTAAAATAGGCCCATGGGAAAAGAACTTTCATATTTCTAAACATCTGTAAAATACTTAGGTAATGCAAGATGGTTAGAGAATAATAATGTCCTTTTCTGTAAACAGCAGTTCTTAACATTGGTTAATCCTCTCATCCTCCTGCATCGTCATCTTTGTTTAAATTAATAGTACCACTATCCTTCAACTCATCAGTTTTGAAAATTTTCATTAAGCTTGCCTTCCTTCCCCTCACGTCTAATAATAACAAGTTTTAGCCAGGCATGGTGGCTCACACCTGTAATGCCAGCACTCTGGGAGGCTGAGGCCGGTGGATCAGTTGAGGTCAGGAGTTCGAGACCAGCCTGGCCAACATGGTGAAACCCTGTCTGTACTAAAACTACAAAAAATTAGCATGGCATGGTGGTGAGTGCCTGTAGTCCCAGCTACTCAGGAGGCTGAGGCAGAAGAATTGCTTGAACCTGGGAGGTGGGGGCTGCAGGGAACAGAGATGGTGCCACTGCACTCCGGCATGGGTGACAAAGTGAGACTGTCTCAATAATAATAATAATAATAATAATAATAATAATAAGTTCTATAAAGTTTACTCCCATGATATTTCTTAAAATTATTTCTCCCTCCTCTAAAATTTGAGGGTAACTCATCAGTTTTTGGTTTTTTTTTTTCTTATAATGATGAGAGTCACCATTATGCAGTTGGATTCTTTGGCTTAGGCACCAAGCAATGTGATTTATACATATGACATTATTTAGTCACAGCAGCAATGTAAGATGTGCACTATTACACCTATTCTCTAGAAAAAAAGGAAAATAAACCAAAGTGTTGATGTAACTTGTCCAAAGTCACACTGTCATAGCTGAAAATCGGAGATGGTTTTGGTAGATTTTGAAGCCCTTACATTTTTAGTTCATCATCCTACATTATCTTTTTATATTCATCATCTGTTATCTTATAGAGTGTGTGTGTGTGTGTGTGTGTGTGTGTGATTTCCCTTCATAGCCTATAGATTCTTTTAGAATAAGGTCCATATAAAACTATTTACATTTCTTCCTTTATCTCATTTAGTGCCCTGTGTTTAGAAAGTACCCTGAAACATTTGGTAATAGTTTACAATCAAATGAATGTGTCACTTCTGAGACAAAATAGAGGCCTTTATCTTTACCAATAATCCCTTTTGTAAGAGTTAAGGTATGTGGATAGATTTATGAGCCTCTTTATTCTTTAAAAACATAAAAGAACTTGTGAACACAATGTATTCATCTCTTTCACATATGAAATTCAAATACATTTGCCTTGGCATTAAACATTTGAATTTGTATGTAAGATGTCAAA
This sequence comes from Homo sapiens, assembly GCF_000001405.40. Classification (NCBI taxonomy): domain Eukaryota; kingdom Metazoa; phylum Chordata; class Mammalia; order Primates; family Hominidae; genus Homo; species Homo sapiens. Next base: position 180,187,938 of record NC_000002.12, read on the forward strand.
GTTATATAATTTTTCTGTTAGAGATGGTTGAATGTGCTCACTGGGTTTTCAAATTTTCTCACGTAAAAGCGGATGCAGATAGGGACAAATGCACTCTCTAATGTATGGAAAACATCATTAGCCTACCTTACAGAAAATTTTCTTTCTCAGCTCTGGGACGTTTATAAGAGAATGAATATTGTATTAGCCAAGTATAGGATAACATGCAATAAGTTTGTCTGTCACTATAACAGTTTTTGCTTCATGATCAAACTTGTATTCCCAGGACTTATGTGGTGTCAAAAGATGATGGGAATTACAAATCCAATGCTAGAATTACATAAAGTATAATCACATCTCAAAGAATTGCTGTGAAAAATAAAAGACTAGATCTTTGCCATCCTTTTTGTATTTGAAAAATCAATCAGACAATCGCTATTAAAATGGAAAAGAGTAAGAGTTTAGAGTCATAAGACCTGAGTTTGGCTCTTGGTATTTCATTTATTGGCCATAATCTGGGGAAAATAACAACTTCTTTAATTCTTAGTTATTTTATTTGGTGAACTGTAAGGGTTAAAAATATGTAATGATTTTTGTAATCTACACAGCTATGGTTAAAGACATAACAAGTCTAAAGGTATTATGGGGATATAAGAAATAGCTTATAGAATCAAACAGAAATTAAGAAAACACAATATAGTACAAAAATGAGTATGTGAGTGTTAGCACAGCAGTGGGTGATGTCTAGTCTCATGCTGATAGATGAATTAAGAATTAATAGGAAACTGCCCAGGAGATCAACACAAACTAAGCATCTAATTAGATAAAGAGTTTTAAGAGCAGTCATAAGATATTACTTTGATTTCTGCCTTAACCACTACTAGCACTGCTAGTGTTTATTTAGCCAGACACTGTCCTAAATCCTACGTATTTTATCTAGTTTAATGTTCACAGCAATCCTTTATGATAAATCCTGATATTATCCTGCTTTCCTTTCACAGATGAGACACAGAGAGTTTAACTCTCTCAAGGTCACACAGAGAGGCTTCAAGATATGTAAATATGGTCATCAACATTTGGCTAATTAATATAATGTAATACTTTTATAATCAGATGGCATTTAAGGGTAAAATGAATAAACTTGCACTTTAAAAATAAAACTAATTGGGGAGTTGTCATATTTGTTTCTTCACTTCTATTTGGGGGAAATTGTCATTAAATTTAAAAAAATTTTACTCACACACAATATTATCTATTTTAAAATATTTGTATATTAGATGTAATATATAAAATATGCAAATATAATCATGTCATAATGATTTGTTTTCATTCAGATGATATTTTTCCTTATTTTTCTTAGAGACCCTACTCCTAACCCATAGTTATAATTTAGTGTGAAGCCTCCAGGTTTATATAATTATATGGGATATATATTTTTATATATACTCACACAAAAATATATACAAATAGATATACATGTTTTTAGTCACTGATTTTCAAAAATGAAATCCAGTTTTACACATTTGTGCATGTTGCTTTTCTCACTCAATAACACTGTGTGGAAGTCCCTCTAAATCAATCAGTTGGGCTCAAATTCACTCTAAGGGGTATATGTGCCATAATCTATCTAGTCATTTTCCTATTGGTTTCCATTTTCCTATTCCTTTGGTTTCCAGACTTTTGGAAATTACAAACAATGATGTGTTAAATATCCTGTTAATAAATCCTTATATGTGGTCATCATAATTTCTTTGAAAAAGATTCCCAGTTGTAAGATTGCTAGATTGAATTGTAAGGGGAGGCCTTCTTAACCAAGATTAGAAACAAAACCAACATAAAGAGACATTTTGACTGGATAAACGTATGCCTAGGGAATCATAAAGTCATCTGATATTTGGTAGCCTTGGAAGAACCAGTTGTAGCACAGAGAACAGAGCTAACTTAAGGGGACAAGCGAACCAATAGAAAAATGTGAGAAAGATATGAAGAGGTGACTTATGAGTGAGCAAATCCAAATTGCTAAAGATAAAATAAGAAAGAAGAGGTGCAGTGGCTCATGCTTGTAATCTCAGCACTTTGGGAGGCTGAGATGGCAGGATTGCTTGAGGCTGAAAGGTTGAGACCAGCCTGGGTGACACGGCGAGGCCCTATCTCTACAAAAAAATTTAAAAAATTAGCCAGACATGGTGGCACACACCTGTAGTTGTAGCTGGTGTGGGAGAGTCACTTAGGCCCAGGATGTCAAGGCTGCAGTGAGCCCTGATTGTGCCACAGCACTCCAGCCTGGGCAACAGAGCAAGATCTTGTTGCAAAAAAAAAAAAAAAAAAAAAAAAGAAAAAATCAAAGCAAAACAAATAGCGTTCTCAAACTAGTAGTATGTAAATTATGGCAACAATAAAAGATCATTATATACCTTTCAGACAGATGAAAAAACCAATTAACATCCATTTTAAAGGTTAGGGTAGAGGAATATTTATGGGTGTGGGTACTCTTATTCATTGTTAGTGAAACTGTGAGAATAGCTATAGATCATTTGAAAAACTGGCAATGTCTGTTAAAATCTGCATTTAACCTGAAGTCAATTTGTGATTGCTGCAATTAACTTGAATTTCAAGACCTGTCCTTTGTTTCTAATATTGTTTCCTATTACTCCAAAATTATTAGTTCCTTTAAGCTATTCTGGTCCTTCTTGTGGTACTTATTATGTTCATAATACATACCCTTCCAATAATCAAATTCTGTCTTCCAGTGCCCATTTTAAGAAAGGGAAAGGAGGAAGAAATGAAGGAAGAAGGAAATTTTAGAGGCATTCTTTTTGAATTTCTAAGAATGACATACAAGAAAGTATAGATATGTGTATATAAAAGTATATAAAGTATATAAAGTGTATATATAGATGTATATGATGGAAATTTTAACATTACAATACATTTATTGAAGACAAGGGATTAGATACATCAGAATGTCATCACTAAAAGTGGATGAGTCCCACCACTCGTGGACTGCACTGTTCCCAACATGGTTTGAGAGATGGTCTGCTTTGAGGCAGAGAAATAGTGTAGATAATCCTCAGGGTTCTTTTAGCCTCTTTTGTTACCATGCAGTCCTTGAGCTATCTTCTCCATCTAGACTTTACAGGACTGGAACCAGGTATCTAATTGTGGAGGGAAATGACGGTGCAACATTGTTGCAGATCCAATCAATCTCCTTTAGATTTAGTCTGTTATCTTCCTTTCTTCAATCTATAAGTGACACTTTTATTGGTTGGGGCTGCTATACAGAAAATACATACTTGGAATGCCTTTGTTTGTTTGTTTGTTAATCCAGTGAGGGAATGTCAGTTGAGGAACTTCAAATACCTGTGATATTTTTCTTACTTGAAACTAGAGTACACTAAAAGTTAGGATTATAGAAACCTTCTTACTTTTTTTTTTTAAATTGGTATCTATGTTTCTCATAAGAATAGCCTGAATATAAATATAACAATATCTTGAGTAGATTTAAGACAGGAGAAAGGCAAGTTATAAATATTAATATTAGTGTTACTTTTGACACAGCTAGCCTATCAACCTAAATTGCTGTTATCAGCACAATGCGAATGACTGCCGGCCTTATTTCCTCCCGATGGCTCTGTTCCTAGAGTCACAGTGAGCATATGTGGAAATAGCCAGCTTTAATACAAACACAAATGTTTTCTCTAGCTGTGCCCAAGACTTGTTACAGCAATCTTTGAAAAGTGAATTGTTTTGCCAAGAGAAGACTTAAACTGTAAACTGATAATTAATAATTCAGGCATGTTAGTTTTCTTTTAATCTTAGCTCTAAAACACTTCACATTTGATAACCAAGTAGGAGTTTCCTTAAAGTAAACAAATTAAGTTATGAATTTTGATGTTTTGAATTTGCCAGAGGCCTCCGAAGGTCCGTGCTTGAGCTAAGAGTCCAATCATTCACTTCCATGCCGGCAATTCATGCTGGAATTACGGCAAACAGCATAAACTCGGCTCTGAGAAATGGAGCTGGGAGGACAAAGCACCTTTTATTTTTATTGCTTTTTGAAGACGTGCCATCACTCTTACCATCTTTATTGTGGTCATCACAAGATGCATTTATTCTGACTGCATCTTCGGTGGCCTCACCCATACACACAAGGTTAAACACAAATTTGTTTTTCCTGTCTTCTCTGAGTTTAAACTCTGAACCACGTGATGATTCTGTGGATTGGGTTTAATAAGCAGAGTTTACAAACAGTGGGGAAAATATTGTGTGGGGTGACTAATGAACAGAAAACTGGGGAAAGACTGTTAGAATTAGAAAAAAAATAACTTCTATTTATGTCTTACTGAAGTTAAGAGGTGCTTTGTACAAGAGATGAATTTTAGCAATATTCATGATAATTACAGCATGTTTAACATGTACTATATTGAATGAAAATCATATATGTCATATATATTATGTATCATATAAGATTTAAGTGTTACGTTCTGTCAGTTTGCGAACAGGGTTAAAATGTATACTTTCTGTGTTTTTTTAATATTGCTTTTTTTTTTTTTGAGACGGAGTCTCGCTCTGTCGCCCAGGCTGGAGTGCAGTGGCAGAATCTCGGCTTACTGCAAGCTCCACCTCCCGGTTCACGCTATTCTCCCGCCTCAGTCTCCCGAGTAGCTGGGACTACAGGCGCCTGCCACCACGCCCAGCTAATTTTTTGTATTTTTAGTAGAGACGGGGTTTCACCGTGTTAGCCAGGATGGTCTCGATCTCCTGACCTCGTGATCCCCCCGCCTTGGCCTCCCAAAGTGCTGGGATTACAGGCGTGAGCCACCGCACCTGGCCCAATATTGCTTTTGTTTTATAGAAGATCTAGTTTTTTTTTTTTAATTTTTTAAATTTTTTTTATTTATTTTTATTTTATTATTATTATTATACTTTAAGTTTTAGGGTACATGTGCATAATGTGCAGGTTAGTTACATATGTATACATGTGCCATGCTGGTGTGCTGCACCCATTAACTCGTCATTTAGCATTAGGTATACCTCCTAATGCTATCCCTCCCCCCTCCCCCAACCCCACAACCATCCCCAGAGTGTGATGTTCCCTTTCCTGTGTCCACGTGTTCTCATTGTTCAATTCCCACCTATGAGTGAGAACATGCGGTGTTTGGTTTTTTGTCCTTGTGATAGTTTACCGAGAATGATGATTTCCAATTTCATCCATGTCCGTACAAAGGACATGAACTCATCATTTTTTATGGCTGCATAGTATTCCATGGTGTATATGTGCCACATTTTCTTAATCCAGTCTATCGTTGTTGGACATTTGGGTTGGTTCCAAGTCTTTGCTATTGTGAATAATGCTGCAATAAACATACGTGTGCATGTGTCTTTATAGCAGCATGATTTATAGTCCTTTGGGTATATACCCAGTAATGGGATGGCTGGGTCAAATGGTATTTCTAGTTCTAGATCCCTGTGTAATTGCCACACTGTCTTCCACAATGGTTGAACTAGTTTACAGTCCCACCAACAGTGTAAAAGTGTTCCTATTTCTCCACATCCTCTCCAGCACCTGTTGTTTCCTGACTTTTTAATGATCGCCATTCTAACAGGTGTGAGATGGTATCTCATTGTCGTTTTGATTTACATTTCTCTGATGGACAGTGATGATGAACATTTTTTCATGTGTCTTTTGCCTGCATAGATGTCTTCTTTTGAGAAGTGTCTGTTCATATCCTTTGCCCACATTTTGATGGGGTTGTTTGTTTTTTTCTTGTAAATTTGTTTGAGTTCATTGTAGATTCTGGATATTAGCCCTTTGTCAGATGAGTAGGTTGCAAAAATTTTCTCCCATTTTGTAGGTTGCCTGTTCACTCTGATGGTAGTTTCTTTTGCTGTGCAGAAGCTCTTTAGTTTAATTAGATCCCATTTGTCAATTTTGGCTTTTGTTGCCATTGCTTTTGGTGTTTTAGACATGAAGTCCTTGCCCATGCCTATGTCCTGAATGGTATTGCCTAGGTTTTCCTCTAGGGTTTTTATGGTTTTAGGTCTAACATTTAAGTCTTTAATCCATCTTGAATTAATTTTTGTATAAGGTGTAAGGAAGGGATCCATTTTCAGCTTTCTACACATGGCTAGCCAGTTTTCCCAGCACCATTTATTAAAAGGGAATCCTTTCCCCATTGCTAGTTTTTCTCAGGTTTGTCAAAGATCAGATAGTTGTAGGTATACGGTGTTATTTCTGAGGGCTCTGTTCTGTTCCATTGATCTATATCTCTGTTTTGGTACCAGTACTATGTTGTTTTGGTTACTGTAGCCTTGTAGTATAGTTTGATGTCAGGTAGCGTGATGCCTCCAGCTTTGTTCTTTTGGCTTAGGATTGACTTGGTGAAGCGGGCTCTTTTTTGGTTCCATATGAACTTTAAAGTAGTTTTCAGAGAGCCAAATCATGAGTGAACTCCCATTCACAATTGCTTCAAAGAGAATAAAATACTTAGGAATCCAACTTACAAGGGACGTGAAGGACCTCTTCAAGGAGAACTACAAACCGCTGCTCAATGAAGATCTAGTTCTGAAGTTTGTTACTTACTCAATTCAGCTGACTTGTCTTCCAATTTGAAACATCTATTATTAAGAAATAGAAACAACACTTGTACAGAAAGTGTCCCTTAGATGAAGAGGAAGTATAAAAAGATTCAGAAATATATCATTTGTAGATATATTTAGAAGTCAAGTTACATTTTAACAATGCTTTTTTTTCCATTAAATATAATTTTTGCACAGTAGTATTGTATAACGTTTTGGAAATTCAAAAAAGTACAAAGCAGCAAATTTAGAAAAAAAATCATCTGGTTAACATGTTGATACATTTTTCCCCATTTTAAAAATGTGTATGATATGTTCAAATACATATACACATGCTGTTAAAAGCTAAAAATGTACATAATACATTCTGTAAATGGAAATCTTTAGGGATGTTAATGGACTTACATAATCAAAATCCTCCTTTCCCACTCCCCAAGATTTTGTAGCAGTCCTACTGAAGCTGAATCCTCATTCCACAGTTAGTTCTCACGGTAGTGCTCCTGTGGAACTAAACGATTTTCTGGTCCCAGAAGAGGATATCCTCTCTTAACTTAGGTTCTATGTACGTCCTATTTCCTCTTCCTGGACACTCTTCTCCCTGACTTCCAAATTTTTCATTATGCCCATTTATGCTGCCTTCCTACTGAGGCTGCTCCTGACCTCCTACCCCTGGATTAGGAGATCCCATTGTGTGCTCCCATGGGACTTCACATTACTCAGTCTTGAAATCTACCACACTAGATTGTAGCTGCCTGAGTGTCCGTATTTGTCACCAGACAGGAGCTCTGTGAAAGCAGAAATTTCATCTTTTCTGCTTTGCATTGCATACCCAGCATCAATGTGGCACATACTAGGTGCTCAAAAAAAAAGTATATATTGGGTTAATCAATAAGCCAAAGCTTTTATGTATCACTTTCATTTTTTTGGAATGGACTTTTCTGCTCTCTAATAGCTACAGAAGACTATTCTGTGTGAGGTTTATGTCCCTTAAGTCTCATATCTGCAGATAAGAAAACTGTTACGAAAATCATTCTTCTTGTTCTAGAAACCTTTTATTGTTAAATATTCTTATGTCATTATATAGCAGTTTCATTTGATCTAATCTCACTTGAAGATACCAAAAGCACTATGAATAAAAACTTTCATGAGAGATCATTTTGTTTTTTATTATTACATTAAAGATTAATAAAAACCCCAAACTGGAAATATCAGGAAGTATTTTATGTCCTCTTAGCTTTTTGAAACTTTGAAAAAGAGATAATTTACATTCCCAAAGCCTAGCATATATTGGGGTTTTGACAAATATTTCAAACAAAAAATTAGGATGACCTTCTTTGATATATTTGAAATAATATTTTGTGACTAACATTTATTAAACTCTAGCTGAATGTAAAGTCATCTTTTAATTACTCCTGTCAATGGGGGAAAACATTGGCATGGATAATTGGAAAATGGAGATACTTCCTCTGACAGAGGCTGACAGAGATGGTAGGAAAGAAACACTGCTTGCCAGTTCTCACACTGCTTCCTGGTTCCTGTTGTTCTTGTGGATGGATGATCTGGTTTGACTAGGTTAAGTGGGTCATATGTGTAAAGACAATATATAAGTTTGCCTTCAGTTTTCATTTTTCACTTGGTTTAAAATAATATCCAAGTGGAAAATGTAAGCAAATGAGGAAACAACTAGTAAAAATGGTAAGCACAGTGAGAGAAAGATAATCAAGTTAAAATCTGAGGTGTGATTTCAATGTTAAGATTAGTAAATGTTTAGGATAGCATCACAGGCAGATTCCTCCATGCATTTTTTAAACATCCAGGGTTACCTTGGGTTTAGACAGACTAATGTTTTGGAAAAATAAATTATTATTGTCTAGTATAACGAAGAACATCAAGAGTCCTTCTGTTCTAATATAGAAATGAATGCTTTTGAAATTTAAATTGAGGTGTGTGTGCTAGATAGTCTCCAAAGATAGACACCAATTTCTTCCTTTTCTCTACATTCATGTTGCATTATCATTCAAGAGGTAGAGTCTATTTCTGTTCCTCTTGAATTTGGGCTGATCTTGTGACTTGCTTTGCCCATTATAATGCAGATCAAGTAACACTATGCTGATCTTTGACCTAGCCCTTAAGAGGGCTAGTAACTTTCACTTTCTTTCTTGAAGCCAGCTGCTATGTAAAAGTCTGATTTTCCTGAGACCACCATGCTATGAGGAGCTCCGAGCTAGGCATGTGGCATGGCCATGTGGAAGAGCAATGAAGTCCCAGACATGTGAGTTAAGTCTTCTGGGATCTTTCAGTCAAGGTTAGTCACCAGCTGAATGTAGCTGAGTGAGTGATCCAGCCAATGACCATGTCTATGGATATGGAGTAAACGACTTCCTAGTTGTCTGACAGACTTGTAAAAAACAATAAATCATTGTTCTAAGCCACTACATGTTGAGTGGATTGTTTTGCAGCAATGAACAATAAAACAGTATTCTAATTATTATTTTCCAATAATGATTTAAAAAATTTATCAACATGTTGTGTAGGTATAAAAATACTATGTATAAGTATTTATAATACACACATGTGCACATTGGTTTAGGGTATACAGTTTGGCTTTTAGCATAAGTTATGACTAATTATAAAAATGACCAATATGTACAAATTTTCTGGATTATTTCTTTTACTCATGTTATGATCAAAATTAACTTCTGATTTACATTCATTGTAATATTTTCTCAGTAATTCAAACTAAGTGGATACATTAATTTTCAACAGGAAACACAAAATATCCAAATAGATATGTTTCAGAATAGAAATCTTTTGTGATAAGATGTGAGAAATTTCATAAAAATACCTGAGTGAGACAAAACAAATGTATTTTGTGTTTTGAGATTAAGATATGAGTGTAGTTGAACATCAATAGAGAAAAAGTGGAAAGAATAAAGTTTAAGACACAGAGCTAAAGCTTTCAGCCTTCTCAACCAAGTGAAGACTAGCTTCAAAAATCAGTAAAACAGTACCATTTCTCCACCAAATTTATGTACCCCAAATTAAATTTGAAAATGAAAATACAGTAATAGGACTTTGTGCATTAATTATGTTAGAGATAGCTTCAAGTCTTGACATAGCAGGAGCCCTCGAGGGTTTCTAGGGGAACCCCAAGGTTATTGCTTGCTGAAATCTGAGTCTCTGGTGAAGATTCAGTAAGAAACAGAGGTTACACTGGAGCTTTGCTTCTTGAAGAATAACAGATGAGTAGATAGAAGCTTTCGTTCTGACAGCAGAACGCAGGGTGATCAGAATCCCAATCACTCAGTAGATGATGAAATAGAGCAGTGGAAGGATGAATTAAGATGACATGCTCTGTTTTATCAATAAAAGTAATGGCAAGAGATATATTTCTCACGATTATTTAACCAAGAGAAAGCTCCCAAGAATGATACATTTTGCTTATAAAGCAGTGTGAAGTGGGATAGATCACACTGTCAATTTAATGGCTCAGTTTGCTGCATTTGTATTAACAGCAAGATTATTCTTTGTATTCATTCAGAATGAATGAAAACAGAGAAAAGTGATTCTGACTGTAAATCTCTTTCTGCTGGAAACCTTTTTTCATCCTATGCTGTTCTTGTTCTTTAGGCTGAAACAAGTCAGAAAATTGAACAAATTACTCTTTGTACCAGGAAGTCTTTGGTGTTATTCTTATACCTGGACTTAAACATGCATTGTGTTTTCCACTAGAAATTAAAAAACTCAGTTTCCATTTGGAATGAAGGATGTGACAGCTAATATGCAATAACAAAATTCAGTTTAGGGTAATGTTAGTGACAGTTCAATATGATATATTTTCTGTAAAGTTTTTAAAAATTATTATTCCCTTATAAGTGATGTCATGTATTCAATGCACATACTGTACACAAGTACCACAGTAAGAGCACAATCAATGCTCATTCATCAATAATCAATGAGCAAATATACCATTCTGTGTATTGAATCTGCAATAGTATGGTTGCCTCACAGAAAATCAAATTGGAATTTTCTTCTTCCTCTGAATTAGGACTTTCTCCTAAACAGCCATAAAACACTATTCAAGGATAAATGGGAGCAGTGTTTCTTTTTGATGGTAATTTTGATGGTAATTTTGATGGTATATTCCTGCTGGTTGTTACTATGAAAACTGTGTTCACTGTGTTACTCTGTATGTAGTATGTCATGACAGAGAATATCCTGATGGCCCATTGTAAATCCCAGCACTGCCACTCACTGAATGTATGACTCGGACAAATTACTTGACTCTGTGTGCCTAATTCCCTCATCTTTAAAATGAGGATATTCATAATATTTACTGTATGGATTTTTAGATGAGGATCAAATAAACAAACACGTGTAAAACACTTAGGACAGGGACTGGAACTCCTTAGTCAACATTAGTTCTTATCTTAATATAGATTGAACATCTCTAACTCAAAAATAAAACAATCCAGACTGCTCAAAATTCTGAAAATTTTTGAGTGTAACATGACAACAGAGTGGAAAATTTTACACCTGACCTCATATGATGGGTTATAGTCAAAATTTTGTTGTATGCACAAAATTATTTAAAATATTATGTAAAATTATTTTTAGTTATAGGCATATATGAAACATAAATTAATTCCTTAGTTAGATTTGTGTTTAATTCCCAAGATATCTCGTTATGTATATGCAGATATTCCAAAATCTGAAAAAATCTCAAATGTAAAACACTTCTTGTCCCAAGCATTTTGTAAAAGAGATACTTAACTTGGCCAGGCGCGGTGGCTCACGCCTGTAATCCCAGCCCTTTGGGAGGCTGAGGCGGGTGGATCACGAGGTCAGGAGATTGAGACCATCCTGGCTAACACAGTGAAATCCCACCTCTACTAAAAAATACAAAAAAATTAGCCGAGTGTGGTGGTGGGCGCCTGTAGTCCCAGCTACTCGGGAGGCTGAGGCAGGAGAATGGCATGAACCCGGGAGGTGGAGCTTGCAGTGAGCTGAGATTGCGCCACTGCACTCCAGCTTGGGAGACAGAGCGAGACTCCATCTCAAAAAAACAAAAAACAAAAACATACTCAACCTGTAGTAGATTTTGTAGGTAGTGAGGCAGAATGGGGATGCCGAAATGCAGAGATAGCAAGTCTTTAAGGCAATGATTTCTTTAGAATGTGCACTACTTTTTCTCTTTAAAATGAAGGATAATATTTATTATAAGACTGTCATAAAGAGATCTCACGACCTAACTTTGGAACTACTGCATTCTTATGAGGAATTCTTTAGGGTAATGAATTCCAATCTGACTTTATTCTTAGAGAAGTGTATCTATTGGATTACTGTTTTACACCATTCAAGAGCATTGGTGATGTTCAGCATTTTCTATGTAAATGATCGGATTTCTCCCCAACTCTCTTTGTAAAATTACCTTCAAAACCCATCACTCACTGATTTATAACATCTGATCAAATTCTTGATTTTCATTTTAGTTTCAAGAGCAAAAGTATAAAACAATTTATCTACCAAGCAAGAGATATAACTGTAAACAGGATGAAATGCGAATCTAGTTATGACTACAGTATTGAAGCCCCTTCAGTGAAATCCATTGTGCTGAGGTAGGGTTAAAATTGTTTGCAGGATTTATGAGCATGGTCTATGTTCTCCTTGGCTTCCCTCCTCATCTTTACACCCACCACCACACATTAAACACATGTCAACCATTACAAGCTTTCCTCGGCTCCTAGGATAGTTTATGATTTTTTTTTTCTCCTGGTTTGCACCTTATTTCACCATGACCTCACTCATTGTTCAGGTAGCTTTGGCCTTAGGCATTATTTTCTTCAAGATGCTCTCTGAACCCTCAACCCGGGACACTTTCCCCTTCCATGTGCTCACATAGCCCATAGCCCTGTTAGGTCAGCCATCACATTTTCTGCAATTGTATATTTACATACTGGTCTTCCTTCCTGACGCAAAATGTTCTGTATGGTAGGGCTTAGGTTTTACTCATCCACAGTTTCATCCCTGTCACTTAACAGGTACATGGCACACAGTAGGCATTTCAAATACTGCTGAGTGACTGATCAAATGAATAAATAAACATAGGTTTTAATTTCCATCATCAGATGAATAAAAATGTGCAGAAAGGCTATCTCTATATTTAAATAACACTTCAAATATTTTGACAAACATAAGAAAGGGAAAAACTTCAATTAAAGGAGTTAAGGGGCTTGCTCTCAGCTAGCTGCCAAGCTGGGAGGAAAATCCCACAATTACTGAAATTTTACTTCCATATCATTACTATAGACTGAGGAAGAATAATTTTCTGGGGTCCTATTGGAGGAAATAAAATATGCCTATCTAACAATATAAGTAATAACCTATCTAAGAACATAAGTAGTAAATTTTAAGCTCACCATAAATATTCCAAATGAGAAATTGCCTTGAAACTGAAGATATATTAAAGATTTAATATAAATTATAGTTATATATGCTGTTTATAGCTTAACAATGAGCTTATGCTCATTATACTATTTTATAATAGTAATAGTTTTGTGATACCTTTTTATTAAATATTGATTATAGTTCTGAATACTTAACAATTTCAATGAAGCCCATTTTGTTTCAAAAACTACCTCTAATTCTTTCCAGGAATTTTTGCTGATCCTTTTTAAAGTGTTCTATTATAAAATTAATCTTTTTTTATTTATCTTAACTGGATTCTAACATGTAACTGAAGTAATAAACACCCACAGATAGCCTTGACTAACATGTAAACAGTTCTTACCAACTATGAACCTCAAGCGACTCCATCTTGGGCCTGATTTATGACCTATGTGTTCTTTAACCTTAAGATAAATCTGATAGCCTGTCTTCAGATGAAATATTCATGAAGTTTCATAACATTCATTACCATTTTATGATTCTTTTTAGTTGGTATAACAACAATCCTTTCTAGAACTCTATTAATCAGGAAGCAACTTTGTAAATCACTAGCCCAAGTGTGTGAAGCCATCACTTGTTAATGTCTTAGCTGTGCTGCAGAAATGTGCTCAAGCATAGGGTAAATTCATGCTGCCAGCGACTCTACTATTTACATCCTTCTCCTTCAACATGCTAATTTGTTTGGGAAAATTCCTGTCTGATCTCTTCCAGTTCTGAGTTTTCTGAATTTGACAACTTAAAGAAGAAATCTGAAAGCCTTGGATAAAAATGTTACTCTCTGTAAAAAGTGCAGAATAAGTGACAGCACAAATCTTTTGTAGATTATTAGTAGATCACATTTCCTGGACAGGCAGAAAATGATTTTGCAGGGCAAGTTAGACAGAGGAAAACATAAACCTCTTCTCAAATGACTTCACTTTCCTCTTTTATCTCAGCCCACCTCTCCAAATTTGTTTCCAGCATATTAGATATCTTTGATCTCTTATTACTGTACTGGGAATTGACAAGATTTCAGGTTGGTAGTGCTATTTATATGTGCAGATTATTACAATAATTACCTTTGAATAATTTTTAAAAGGTCAAAGACATCATTTCTGGTTTAAAGGAACTGTCTTTTTAGTTGCAAGAATCAAAATCTTCTATGCTATGTCACTGAAAAATTTCCTAATGTCTAATGTTTATCATATCAATATCTATATGTCATATCATATCATTAAACTTTGAAATTTAAAATTAAAGACAGTAATTCTTATTATGCTGTTTAAAGTTTTTCTACCTTCCTTGGAATCAAGACTTAGGTAGATTATTTTCCTTTTTGAATATGACTAACTGGGCATATAGTGGATCTTTAAATAGATTTTGCAGCCTGTCTTTCTCAGGGATGTTACATTTAGGAAAAATTAGAGTCCAGAAATCTAGGTGAAAGGTGGTGGTGATAGTGGAGGAGATTAAGAAATAATGGAGGTGTCAGGCAATTTTTATCATGATGAAAAGTGTGCTGACAAAGAATAAACAACTCCTTCATTGCGTATGCTGTCTTTATCATGGGATAGTTTAGTTCAGAAACTAATGGGAAAGCCATTTTAAACCTCCTAATTGCTAACTGTTTTTATATCTATTCCACTCAGAGGGTGCTATATGGAAGCCAGATGGCTGCAAATGTTATTCTGGTTTAGAAGCGTCGAGATTTTTGTATTATTGCCAAAGCCATTGTCAAAACGTCCTATATCAAAACAAAACAAAAAATAAAATGCTCTGTTTTCCAAACTTCTGAAAATTCCACAATAGCAGTAAAATATCAACCCCCCTGTAGATTTTGGCAGTTAAAAGGAAAAATTATCCGTCTCTAAGCAGCTTGTTGTCTGAACTAACTGAGCAGTAGGGCAGCCAAAAAAGGAACTGCATCATTGAGAAGCTCATGAATTTTCAAACAAGAAGCCTTTGGAATTCAGAACGGCTCCTAAGGGGCTAAGCCAAATGGACTCCGCACAGAAATCAACCACTCAGAGGATTGCGTAGTGACTAGAAAGGAATTGAAAATTGCTAACAATGCTCACCATCAAGCAAAGGGAAGGTGGCACCTATGCAAAGTTTGGGATCCAGCTAAGGTGTCTCCTAGATACTAGAAGCATTGGATCAAAGACAGTTTTACCTTGAATAATGTAAGGAAATATCACAATAAAGTAGGGATGAATGATTTCAGCCAACACAAGGTGGTACCAACAAGCAAGAGAAATATTACTAGTAATTTCACTGCATCTCAAATATAAAAAGGGCACACTCTATTCTAAAATTATTTGAAAAGTGAAAGGTATATAGTTGAAAGTACATTTCAGACAAATGGATGTTGTTAATATATAAATTTCAGGATTAAATCCTTATCAGTTCTATGATCTATTAAATCCAGGTCTTCCAGGCCCTCATCTAGAATCTAAACTATGTTCTGATCATTTCTTCATAATTAATATTTTTATTTTATTTAAAATAAATTATCAACTTAAAGGGAGATTTTCCAGAGGGTGAGTTGGAAGGTTTTTTTTGCTCAAAATTTTAAGAGAGCAAAATTGCGTTCTTATATTATCACCAGATATTGAAAATACACAATATAATGAGAACTCATTACTGTTTTTAGCATTGCTTCAATGGTAGAGACTGATCTACCATTGAAGCTCCATGTATCTTGTAGCTGTCCGAGTGTTGCTCACATATATTCTGCTTTCCACCTCTCCAAGTGCCATTTTTGAAATCTCTGTGAGTTAGGAGTGTTGGAGGTTGTTGCCAGTTGGGTTCTCTAGAAGCAGAGAGTGAGACGGCATTTGGAGAAACAAGATGTTTATTAGGAGCCAGTATCTGTGAAGGAAAGGAGTGGAAGTGGGATTGGGAGAGGGAGAAGTTGTTTTGTGATACCTGGCTGGCTGTGTCTCAGCAAACTGGCTAGGAGCTCTGGAGCAAGTACTCTTCCTTAGAGGACTTATCACTGGGCCATCCTGGGAAGCATGTTGTCCTATGGAAGATTGTGACCGTGGGCAGACAGTGCTTTGCAGCTGAGGCAGTCCCTGATGAGGCTGACAGTTGGGGGTGGTCTGTTGATAGCACTCGCCACACTCGATCAACAAGTACTTCCAAGAAGAGAGATCTGAGTAATACATCTCTGGATCTACTACATGGATTTGGAAAATAAGCCAGGGCTCAAGAAACAAGCTAGAGGCATGAGTCTGCATAGTCAAGCCACCCACCCAGAGAGCCAGGAGATTAGAAAACAAGGGCTACAAGGCATTGCTTAAGAGACCAGAAAGCATGAGTCAGGGACACAGGCCCAGGCCCCAGAGCAGATCATGTCCAGAGCAAGGAAGGAGTCTGACTAACTGACATGAGCACCAAGAAACAGGAAAAAATTGGATACTGAGCCAAAGTGCAGGGAGAGAATTTTGATATCACACCAAAATTCTAGTTTCCATGTTTTTGCAGCTAATGGTGGGCAACTGGTTTGAGAGGGAAGGCGGCTATGATTTCCTAGATGAAGGGCAATTAAAATATGCTCTCCAAATTTCCAATTTGCTTGCTAACTCAAATTTGCTTGGAACTTTACAGCTTACCTTCATTCCAGAGATACAGAGGATCTTCCATGAATCTCTGGGGGAAAAACAAAATTCTATGAATTTGAATTCAGAAAATATGCAGTTTTTGATTCTCCAGTGACTGTGAATCACAATCACTTTGTTAACAATGTGGTTTTTCTTCTTTCCAGAATACTATCTTTGTTATCTTCAAAGAAATAATACATAAACCAATTTACCATTAACTAATGTATTCAACAAATTTAAGTGTCTCCTACACATATGCTAGGCACTGTTCTAGGGAGTTGAGTTAAATCGGTGAATAAAACAAAGATTCCTGTCTTTGTTAACCTCAACAGTAAGCACACAGTAAACAAAATAAATAATACGTAATAGTAAGTAAGTAATAATATGGACAAACAAAAAGTACGTCAGGATTAAGAGTTGGAAGCATAGTAAATGCAGGGGAAAAATTTCTGTTTTTATAGGATGCTCAAAGTGAGTCTCTTTGAGATGTTGACATTTCAGATGTTGATATTTGTGCAAAGTCTTGAAGGCAGTAGTGTTGATGAGCAAATAGTCCTGGCAGAGGGCTCTGCTAGTGAAAATTCCCTAACACTACAGCATGCACAGTGTATGCAAGGGACAGTGGAGACTCTTGCGGTTGGAGCACTGTGAGGGGGTGTGGGAATGATAAATATCAATACAGTAAGGGGTGAATGGGTGAGGAGATGGTTTAAAACTTAGGCTTCAACTCCGAGTTTTAACCCCAGCTCTATTGCAGCTTTTTGCAGAAGTTCATCATCTGATGTGCTTGCTATCCTGGCTACTCTTGAAAAATAAAACAGAGGGTAGGGGAAACAAGGCAGAAGGACATGACCAGTTAAGAGCCTGGTTCAGTAATCCAGCTAAACAAGAAATTGCCTTCATTTCTGCTGTCAATTGAAAAAATAAAAATAAAAAGCCCATGTTAACACTGTTGCTATTGCTCTCACTGGACTTAGATCTAACACTCAATGTCAGCAAAGGAACTGCACATTGAGAGAAATTGTCTATCATTTGGTAACCTTTATTCTTTCAGGACTAAAAGGTGACATGAAATACCAGAGAGCATGTCTCTCTCCTTTGTGCTGCTCTGCGGCATTTCAGGATCTGAGAAGACTATTCTAGTATTGAGGTTTACATACCATTACGCCCGGAATTCTGTCCAACTCTTCCCAGTGCAGCTTTTGTCCTCAGAAATAATTTTTGAAGCTGAAATACTCAGTAGGACACAGGCCTCTTTTTGTCTTTTTTTTCTTTCTATAAAACAACACATTCAAGAAGGCCAAAGAACAGTTACCACATCAGTAGAGAAGAAAGAAAGGGACGTGTCATGTTTAGAACAACGGTTGGGTGAAAGAATGTGCTAAGTGTGGGTAAGTTTGACAGAAACAAAGAAAAAGTTAAAGGAAATGGAGCCTCCTGGGAGGGAAGGCAGAACACAACTCAGTCAGATCAGGAATCAATGACATGAACACTGCTCTGTCTTGAAAAGTCAGAAGCCCTGCCCAGGGCACACTGCCCAAAGCCCAACAGCTTAACATCTTTTCACTCTTGGTAGGTGGATATTCTGAAACCAGGTTTTGATTCTCAGATTCCTTCTTTCTGTGGAACTAAACATTCTTAAAAGTAGTTTTTGATGACGCTTCTCTAGATACCAACATTGCTAAACTTTACCTTTTCTCACTTGCTTAAAAGAGTACCATATTTGATTTTCAAAGACCTTGTGAATAGCCCCTTAAAATGTTTCATTTTTTTAAGTGGGCAATTGAATACTGTGTGTGTGTGTGTGTGTGTGTGTGTGTGTGTGTGTGTGTGTGTGTGTTTTCCTCCTTAGGATAATATTATCTAAATTCTAGTAAGTTTATATTCTTTAAACACAAAATTGTTTTCATAGGTCAAAATCTCAGTATCTGATAGGCAAGTAGAAAAGTTTGAAGAAAAATCCCCTGTGAGCTTAGAGTTCTTTTGATCTGCTGTCAGATACCACCTGCAATGTTTTCCATTACTCCACCTGATTTTTAGAAACCCTGCATCTGCCACAGGACACTCAAATTGCCGTAGACATTGTAGACACCGATACCATAACAGCTACTTGAAATTAGAAGATAGAAATGTAATGAATAGGAGAATTTTACCTCCACTGTTGGTTGATAAACCCCATGTTGCCCTATAAGGCAAATTCCTTCTAAGGCCACAGTTATATAAAATGCATCAAACACAGTTTGCCTGATTGTTTTCTTCATTTTTTTTTTTTTTTGAAATTCAAAACAGTGAGTGGATACTCTCAATCATAGCCTATTGGGGAACTCCTGAAAACTCCGCAGGAGACACGAATGGTGCTGAAAAGTCAAGAGGAAAAGGCCTGCTGATGGTCTGGGAGGGTGTGATAGCATTGATGGTATGAGTCTATAGAGGGTAGGACTAATCAATCTCCCCACTCATTTGTCCCACCATTTCCCTTTTAGGCCAGGAATAGCTTCAATTATATTATTGGACACAAAGTCTGGTGGTAAATAAATCCTTGTGACGTAGCCATATTTGAGCACTTGTTGTGTGATCCAAACTTTAGTAAGCAAATTGAGATGGAAAAATGAACTATAAGACTTGACACTTTCCCTCAAGAAAGTTCCATTCACGTTTGGAGAAAAGACAAACCCTCATGAAGTAGATTTGAGCAATGAAACATAATATGTCATTATTTGACTGAATATGTGATAGACAATTTTCTGCAAGAAAATTGGAGCTTTCATAAATAACCTCCCAAAAAATGGGCCATCATGTGCAGAGCTTAACACAAAGACATTGCCTTAATTGCATCCTTACTGTTAAATACAAATTGCAGAAAATGAGATATTTATTCTTAAGATGTTTTCATGGAAACAGCAATTTATGATGGAATATCAGCAATAAGAGGTTTTTGGAAATTAACAATGCAGGGATGCAATGATAGAAACCATTTCTTATTCATTTGAATTAATAAAACAATGTAAGTTATAGATATGTTTTATTTGGACTACACAGTGTTAGATCTCATAGTATTTGGACATAAGAGGCAAATTAGTGAAGATATTTTAATTATTGGGAGACGTCATATAGAAAGCCAGATTTCCAGCTTCTCTTGAAACATCAGAAGAGGTAGTTCCACCAGTTCAGCATTCTTACAAGGCAACAATCACCCAGCATGTTTTAATAGTTCATATTTTTTACCTAGCCTCCTGTTGGCATTTGACTTTATGATTTCCTGATGAGGTCCAATCTCCAAATGCAGTCGTGCCTTTTGCAACATTCTTCCTGCTTGAACACATTACATGGAAACTCACTTGTCTAGGCAACCCATTCTAGTGTTGGACACGTCTTAGTATGCTACTGAAAAGCTCTTCATTTACAAAGTGTTTGTTCATTTCCTTTGCCTACTTTTTAATGGAATTTTTGCTTCTCAACTTGTTTAAGTTCCTTACACATTCCGGATATTATGCCTATCCAGATATTATACGTATACCAGATGCATAGTTTGCAAATATTTTCTCCCTTTCTGTAGGTTGTGTTTACTTTGTTGATAGTTTATTTTGCTGTGCAGAAGTTGTTTATTTTAATTAGGTCCCACTTGTCAAGTGTTGTTTTCGTTGCAATTGCTTTTGGCATCTTGGTCATGAAATCTTTGCCTGTTCCTATGTCCGGAATGGTATTCTCTAGGTTGTCTTCCAGGATTTTTATAGTTTTAGGTTTTACACTTAAGTATTTAATCCATCTTGAGTTGATTTTTGTATATGGTGTAAGGAAAGGGTCCAGTTTCAATCTTTTGCATATGGCTAGCCAGTTATCCCAG
This sequence comes from Homo sapiens, assembly GCF_000001405.40. Lineage (NCBI taxonomy): Eukaryota > Metazoa > Chordata > Mammalia > Primates > Hominidae > Homo > Homo sapiens. The sequence goes on from NC_000002.12 coordinate 180,208,371, forward strand.
CATCACTTATTAAATAGGGAGTTCTTTCTCTAGTGCTTGTTTTTGTCTACTTTGTTAAAGATCTATTATTTCCATTGGTCTATGTGGCGGTTTCTGTATCAGTACAATGCTGTTTTGATTAGTGTAGCCCTGTACTGTAGTTTGAAATTAGATAATGTGATGCCTCCCGTTTTGTTCTTTTTGCTTAGGATTGTTGTGGTTATTTGGGCTCTTTTTTGATTCCATATGTATTTTAAAATAGTGTTTTCTGGTTTTGCAAAGAATGACATTAGCAGTTTGACAGGAATAGCATTGAATCTGTAAATTGCTTAGGGCAATATGGCCACTCTAATGATATTGATTCTTCCTATCATTCAGCGTGGAATGTTTTTCCATTTGTTTGTCCAGCACTCTTTTGAATAAAAATTGTGACAGCAGACTTCCTTATCTTATTTTCAGTCTCATGGAAAATGCATTCAGTCTTTCACATTAAGATGAATATTAGCTGTAGGTTTTTTGTAGATCTTTGTCAAGTTGAGAAAGTTTCCTTTATTCCTATTTTTCTAAGAGTTTTTATCATGAATGAGTGTTGAATTTTATCAAATGCTTTTTCTGCCTCATTTGATATGCTCATGTGATTTTTCTTCTTTAGCCTGTTAACATGGACCACATTCATTGAATTTTTGAAGACTGAATCACCCTGGCAACCATAGAACAAACCACACGTGGTCACAGTATAGGGGTCTTTCTATGTATTGCTTAATTTTATTTGCTAAAACGTTAAGGATTTTTATGTCTATAATTATGAGGCACATTGGTCTGTATTTTTTGTTTGTTTGTTTGTACTGTGTTTGTCTGGCTTTGGTACCAGGGTAATGCTAGCTTCATAAAGTGAGTTGGAAAGTTTCCTTCCCTTCTATTTCCTGGAAGAGATTTGTAGAATTGGTGTTATTTTTTCTTTAAACATTTGGCAGAAATTTGTGAAACCATGTGGGTCTGAAATTTTCTTTTTTGGGAGTTTTAAAATTACAAATGTAATTTTCTCAGTATTACAGGACTATTTAAATTATCTATTTCATACTAGGTAAGTCATAGTAGTTTGTGTTTTTCAAGAAATTGGTCGATTTTATCTAAGTTGTGGATATATAGAATTGTTCATTGTAACTCTTATTATCATTTTGATGTTTGCAGGTTCTGTAGTGACATCCCTGTTTCATTCCTATTATTAGTAATTTGTGTCTTGTCTCTATTTATTCTTGCTGGAGGCTTGAATATTTTCATATTATGTTTTGAGACTCTGGATATTATTTAAATCTGTTTTAGCTGTCTTTCTCTGACACTGCTCTGGCCTGGAAAGAGAGGAGAAGACACGGGCTTTGTTAGGGCCAAGTGGAGGAAGATGTCTAGTTTCCCTATTTGATCACTGTTGACACCCAATGTGAGGGTTCCTTGTTACTGCTGGGTGGGAGTGAAATTTCTGGTTCCCCATGTGGCATCCATTGGTACTATAGTGAAGGTGGCCTCAAAATCACTGGGCAATGATGAACATCTTAACTGTCTACTAGGCCTTCACTGATACCACCCCAGTAGGGATATGGAGGGATACCTCATTATTTCTGGGTGATGGTAGAAATTCTGTCTCCCTATATGGTCCCCACCTATACTTTTGGGAGATTACTTCATTGCCAGCTGATGGAAATGAAAGTCTCAACTCTATACTTGGCCTTCTCTGGCACTGGTTTGGGGACATCTCATTCTAGTCTTATGATGGTAAAAGTCTAAACTCCCCACTGGACCCTTGCTACTGTGGTAGGAGGTCACAGTGTTTTCTGTGGTGTTTAGCTGGAGTAGAAAAGTTACTGTTGAAAAGTTTTCTGTCTCACTAGGCTGGCTATTTCTAGGTTATTTGGCTAAAGACAGAAGGTGCTTGTTGGGGCTCTCTCTCTTTTTTTTTTTTTTTGACTGCACCCATAGGTATTTTCAAGTTGTTAGCTTCTTTAACTCCAAATCAGTTATAAATAAGGCATGAAGAAAACACAAGGAACTTACAACCATGTCACTTTTTGGGTCCTGAGATGGTCCTTGGCTGGTCAGCTTTCTTCTTTCGAACTTTCAGAGTCTTTTTATGTTTCTTTAAAATATAATATCCAGGGTTTTTAGTTGTACTTAGTGGGAAGAGAGAAAAGTAGGTCTAATTCATGTTCTTGGAAGAAGTCTGTGCTCTACTTTTGATAGCTAAAATGTGCTGCATTACCTAATCCTCATCCATGCATTAGAGAAAACACTCAGAAGTCTACAACAGATGGACCACATGGATGGTGACATTTTCATCAACCCGACAATACCATTTTCAGAACAATGCACAGTCCAGGCTGGAGCAGTCATGGCTTGGCAGTCAACTCACCCTTATTGAGTGTCAGCTATATTCCAGGCACTGTTTTAGGAACTGAGAATATAACAGGACTAGTTATCACAGATGATGTCCTCATGCTGTTCCCAAATTATTATTTGGAATTAGTGTCATATATTCAATGTGAGTGTATAGGGTGGAACAACTCCTTTCTCCTCCCCATACCCAACTTAGAAATTGCAGGTGTCTTATCTCTTTTATTCGTAGAGTTCAGACATCTATTCTCACTCTGAACTTGAAGTTCAAGCCCTCTGAGAACTGCAAAGAGCAACATCATTGGATTTATAATCTACTTGGGATGAATAAGAGCAGAATCTCATCAATATTCAGTTTACCAACTGCAGAGCCTATGCTTTTCTCTAGGGCACTTTTTATCCAGTGTATTTGAGATATAAGAATGCCACCAACTGTCAGTAACCACCTTTTTCTTTGGAACACTGTGTAACATATTTCTAGGATGGTACCTCATAAATGCTGTCTCCTATCTGTTAGAAAGAAACAGATAGGAGACAGCATTCCAACCGTTCCACCTATTCCTTTGAATACTCTCAATTTTCTATTCATTCCTCCTTTTTGGGACCGTATCTACAAGGAGCACCACTTCCATGCCTACTCCTGGGTGTGTAGCCAGTGAAAGTGGTGTCTGTTGGCAGTGGATTAATTAGGAGATGCATATTGGTAGGCATACAAGAGATGTACTTGGGAGCCTAGAAATTGCACACCAACCCAATGCTCTGATCTAACATACCCCTATGATACCAACATTTTATCCCAGTTGGATATAGCTGTCATGGGAAACAATGAAGAGTAGGTAGTATCAGATGCTGTGTGAAAGGAGCTGCATTTTTTAAACTGTTGGAAGTGCAACAGTGTGATCGGGCCCTTGCAGGAGGTCCTATGGTAATGAAACACAATCCATGAGGCTCAGTCAGAGCCAGTGATATTTACATGTTCATAGAGGTGCAATGTTCAAGACAGTAGCTACAAATGGTAATTTAAATTTAAATTACTTAAATTGAAATAGATTCAAAAATTTAGTTCCTTAGTTGTACTTGTTACATTTCAAGTGCTCAAAAGTCACATGTGGCTGGGCCACGACATTGGAGGCTCAAGGGTAGAAGTCTCCATTATCACAGAAAATTCTCTTGGATAGCACTTCTATAGAGTGTTCTTGTTACTTCCTGTTCTCTTGTTACCTTGTTGTCTTTGACTTTTGCTTTTCTTGGGTATAGTATGTCCTATTTTATTGTTTTGCTATTTGACCTGAAGGCCTGTCCCATTCCTCCTTGATCCCTGCCTCTGTTCTGTTACAAGCTTCAGTTTGAAAAATTATTGTCAACTCTTGCTAAATAACTGACCTCTGACCTCCTCCTTTGATTTTGGATTTGTTTCTTAGTACATAATGGTCTTAACTTGCTCACCCCTGAGCTAGAACACTGAGTTCCTGATTTGGTCTTAGCATCTGGTTTGTCCTCTCTAAGTCAGGTCACCTCAGAATTTTAGTCTATGGCTTTCTCGCTCTGGACATGTGTATGCTGTACTTAGCTCACTGGTTCTAATTGTATTGTTTTTATTCTTCAAGATCTGTAATTGTGGGCAATAATAAAATATTAGTGTGCTATAACCAAGGCTTAAGTTTTAGATTTATTATTGTAAACAAGTTTCCAAGATGTAGATAAAGCTAAATAAACAATACTTGTTAATATGGCAAGATGAAAAGTGGAAGTAGGGGCTTACTTATACTAATAGCTACTTTGAAAAAAGTTAGAACATAAATTCTAGATGATAAAATTTGTAAAACCTTTCATACTGTATTTAGAGTCATAATACACACAGTTTAAAAACCACCAAATACTCTGCATGATTGGCTAAATATTAGTTGGCAGTGTTTTCATCCACAGAAATATTTCTTAACTAAAGTAGCAGCAAATTCAGCTTCACAAAACTTGAAAATAAAAGAAATCTAAATTTCCACAATTAATTCTTATTAAAGAAAGATCATTTCAAGATGACTCATGATTAATTACAAACAAAAATGTTCGTTTTTTTTTTTTTCTGTGACATAAACTTGTCATTTTAAGATGCTCCGAGAAAGACTGCTAAGGGAGGAATCCTGCAATAAAATGTATGTAGCAGCAAAGGCAACCCAATTAAAGTAGGTACTTTATTAGGAAATGTAATCAATCCTCAATTATCTAAGGACTTACCATTTCGTGTATGTATTTCTTAATCTGTTAGGGAATTGTAGGAAAAGAGAATAAAATGGAGGTTTAATCGCTGATTACAGCCAGTCTAAAACCTAATTGTATCACTAATTACGGTGCTTTTCACAAAGTGGGCACTTAATAAAACTTATGGAATTGTAGATAAGGGAAAGATAGATCACCAAAGATGAAAATCAGTCAGTGTGTTTAAAAATGTCTTCTTTATTGAAAGCATGGTATTAAGAATTCCGTGGAAAATAGAAAATACTTTGTAGAATCTAAGCAAAAAAAAGAAAAGCTAAATTAATAGGTGCCTCTACAGCAAATGAAAAACAATAGTGCCTATGATATTTTCATATAGCTTTATGACTGAGGTAGTTTATATAATATACATACATGGTTGAGTCACTGAATTTTAGAAATACACCTAAGAGGTATACTTGAAAATATTAGAAATTTTGATTTTTTTTTTTTTTTTTTAAGACTGAGTTTCGCTCTTGTCACCCAGGCTAGAGTGCAATGGCATGATCTTGGCTCACTGCAACCTCTGCCTCCCAGGTTCAAGTGATTCTCCTGCCTTAGCCTCCTGAGTATCTGGGATTACAGGCACATGCCACAATGCCTGGCTAATTTTTTTTGTATTTTTAGTAGAGATGGGGTTTTACCATGTTGGTCAGGCTGATCTCGAACTCCTGACATCAGGTGATCCACCTCCTCAGCCTCCCAAAGTGCTGGGATTACAGGTGTGAGTCACTGTGCCTGGCCTGATTTTTAATTAATAACTAATATTTTATGGGTCTATCAAGCAAAACCCAATTTAATATAAATTGCATTAAACCTTAAGATTTTGTTTTCTTGAACCACAATTGAAATGCTATTCTCAGGTTGTTGTGTAAATATTTTTGTAAATATTGGACTGAATCTTGTGTTCTACATGTTATAGAGAAACCTGTGCATTTGAAAATGTGCATGTTGAAGCTGTGAAATTTAGTTATTAATTGATTATTTTTTATGAGACAGGCTCTCATTCTGTCACTCAGGGTGGAGTGCAGTGGTACAATCATGGCTCACTGTAGCCTTGACCTCCCAGTCTCAAGCAATCCTTCCACCTCAGCCTCCGGAGTACATGTACCACCATGCCCAGCTAATTTGTTTTATGTTTTATAGAGATGGTGGTCTCACTTTGTTGCCTAGGTTGGTCTTGAACTTCTGGCTTCAAGCAGTCCTCCTGCCTCAGCTCCCAAAGTGCTGGGATTATAGGTGTGAGCCACTGTGTCCAGTTTAATTATTAATTTAAATATTAAATGTTATTGAAGCAGACTTTGTTGGATTCAAAAGCCAAAAACAAAAGCATTGTTAAACACTTGTTTTTAATTTGCAGTAATCTAAAAATGAAATAAAATGTTTTATCTGTGTTAGAAACAGGGAAATTTGATCAATAAATTGTCTTGGGAATTCCTTTTTTTTCCTTGTATCTGGGCAAGCCCCATGTACCACTACAAAAGTTTTCTATTTTTCTCATCTGAGCTTTAAATATTCAGTGTACAGATCAGATGCTTTTTAACTTATGATGGGATTACATCCTGATAAACCATCATCAGTTGAAATATTATAAGTCAACAATGCATTTAATACACCTACCCTACTGAACATTATAGCTTAGACTCATTTACCTTAAATGTGCTCTGAACACTTACATTAGCCTACAGTTGGCAAAAATCATCTAGCAACATAGTTCACTGTAGAGCATTGTTGTTCATCATGATCCCTTGGCCAACTGGGAGCTGTGGCTCCTGCTACCCAGCATCATGAGAGAGTATTGTACCCATGTCACTAGCCTGGGAAAAGATCAAAACTCAAAATTCAAAGTATGGTTCGTATTGAATGCACATGGTTTTCACACCATTGAGAAGTAAAAAAAAATTGTAAGTCAAACCATCCTAAGTTGGGAACCATCTGTATAGCCTAATGCCTACATCTTACTTTTCTGTTTCTGTTGTCCTTTTCATAGGCAGAGGTAGAGGTGCACTTTGGAAGGTTGTTTTTACTATCAAAGTTTCCCTTTAAAATTGCCCTTCAAGTTGAATAAAGGAGTAAGACTCGACTGTATGCTGTCTTCAAGAGATCCATCTCATAGGCTCAAAGTAAAGAGATTGAGAAAAATCTACCAAGCAAATGGAAAACAGAAAAAGTGCAGGTTGCTATTCAATTTCAGAAAAAAAGACTTTATTTTTTTTTTAGTTGAAGTCTCACTCTGTCACCCAGGCTAGAGTGCAGTGGCACGCTCTCACCTTACTACAACCTCTACCTCCTGGGTCCAAGCGATTCTCCTGTCTCAGTCTCCTGAGTAGCTGGGATTACAGGCGTGCACCACCATGCCTGGCTGATTATTGTATTTTTAGTAGAGGTGGGATTTCACCATGTTGGCCAGGCTGGTCTTGAACTCATGAACTCAGGTGATACGCCTGTCTTGGCCTTCCTAAGTGCTGGGATTACAGGTGTGAGTCACCATGCCCAGCCAAACCAGACTTTAAACCAACAATGACCAAAAAAGACAAGGGCACTGCATAATGGTAAAGTGTTCCATTCAACAAGAAGACCTAACTATCTTAAGTATATATACACCCAACACAGCAGCACCTACATTCATAAAGCAAGTTAATAGAAACCCATGAAGAGACTTAGATAACCACACAATAATAGTGGGAGACTTCAACACCCCATTGACTGTATTAGATCATTGAGGCAGAAAACTATCAAACATATTTGAGACCTGAACTCAACACTTGACTAAATGGACCTAATAGACATCAACAGAACTCTCTACTCAAAAACAACAGAATACATATTTTTCTCATCTGCATATGGCACATACTCTAAAATCTACCACACAATCAGCCATTAAACAATTGTTAGCAAATTCAAAAAAACTGAAATAGTAACCACACTCTCGGACCACAGTGCAACAAAAATGGAAATCAATACTAAGAAGATATTTCAAAATCATACAATTACATTGAAATTAAACAACCTGTTCTTGAATAACTTTTGTCCAAAGAAATTAATGCAGAAATCAGGAAATTATTTGAAACTGATGAGAACAAAGATACAACATACCAGAATCTCTAGGACACAGCTAAAGCAGTATTGAGAAAAGTTTATAGTGCTAAACATTCATATCAAAAAGTTAGAAATATCTCAAATTAACAACCTAACATTGTACCTACAGGATCTAGAAAAACAAGAGTAAACCAACCCCCAACATAGCAGAAGACATGAAATAACTCAAATCAGAGCTAAACTGAATGAAATTAAGATGTGAAAAAACAAAAGATCAACAAATCCAGGAGTTTGTTTTTTGAAAGAATAAATAATATTGATAGACCAGTAGCTACACTAATAAAGAAAAAAGAAGATTCAAATAAACACAATCAGAAATGACAAAAGGGACATTATCACTAACCATACAGGAATAAAAAACCCTCAGAGACTTTTATGAATGCCTCTATGCAAAAAAAAAAAAAAACAAAAAAAAAACCTGGAAAAACTGGAAGAAATTGATAAATTCCTAGACACATACAACCTTACAAGATTAAGCCAAGAAGAAATTGAAACCCTGAACAGACCAATAAAAAGTTCTGAAATTGAATTAGTAATAAAAAGCCTACCAACCAGAAAAAGCCCAGGACCAGACAGATTCACAGCTGAATTTTACCAGATGTGTAAAAAGGAGCTAGTATGATGCCTGCTTAAACCATTCCCATAATTGAGGAGGAGGGACTCCTCCTCAACTCATTCTGTGAGCCCAGCGTTATCCTGATACCAAAATCTGGCAGAGATACGGGAAAAAAAAAAAAAAAAAAGAAAATTTGAGGCCAATATTCTTGTTGAACATAGATGCGAAAAATCATAAAAAAAAAAAAAATCCAACAAACCAAATCTAGCAGCACATCAAACAGCTAATCCATCATGACCAAGTAGGCTTTATTCTTGGGATGCAAGCTTGGTTCAATATACACAAATCAATAAATGTGATTCATCACATAAACAGAACTAAAAAACCACATTATCATCACAATAGATGCAGAAAAATCTTGTGATAAAACACAACATTCCTTTAGGTTAAAAACCTTCAACAAACCAGGCATTAAAGGAACATACCTCAAAATAATAAGAGCCATCTATGACAAACCCACAGCCAATATCATACTGAATGAGAAAAAGCTGCAAATATTCCCCTTAAGAACCAGAACAAGACAAGGATGCCTTCTCTCACCACTTCTATTCAACATACTGGAAGTGCTAGCCAGAGCAATCAGGCAAGGGAAAGAAATAAAAGACATACAAATAGGGAGAAAGAAAGTCAAATTATCTCTGTCTGCAGATGATATAATTCTATACCTAAAAAATCCCGGTTTCTGCCCAAAAGCTCCTAGATCTGATAACTTCAGAAAAATTTCAGTATACAAAAATCAATGCACAAAAATCAGTTGCATTTCTCTACACCAATAAAATCCAAGCTGAGAGCCAAATCAAGAATGCCATCCCATTCATAGTAGCCACAAAATGAATAAAATACCTAGGGATACAGCTAACTAGGGAGGTGAAAGATCTCCACAATAAGAATTACAAAACACTTCTGAAAGAAATCATAGATTATACCAACAAATGAAAAAACATTTCATACTCATGGATAGGAAGAATCAAGATTGTTAAATGGGCATACTGATGAAAACAGTTTACAGATTCAATACTATTCCTATCAAACTATCAATGACATTCCTCACAAAATTGGAAAAATACTATACTAAAATTAATATGGAACCAAAAAGAATAAAAATAGCCAAAGAAATCCTAAGATCAAAGCTGGAGACATTATATTACTTGACTTCAAACTATACTACAAAGTATACTACAAAGCTACCATAACCAAAACAGTATGCTACTGGTACAAAAACAGACACACAGACCAATGGAACAGAAAAGAGCCCAGAAATAAAGCTACACACCTACAACCATGTGATATTTGACAAGGTCAACAAAAACAAGCAATGGAAAAAGGACTCCATATTTAATAAATGGTGCTGGGATAATTGGATGGCCATATACAGAAGATTGAAACTGGACCCCTTCTTACACTGTGTACAGAAATCAACTCAACATGTATTAAAGAATTAAAAGTAAAACTTACAAGTAGGCAAACTCTAGGATATAGCTTAGAAAATACCATTCTGGAAAAGGCCCTGGCAAAGATGCCATGATGAAGACTCCAAAAGCAATTGTAACAAAAACAAGAATTGACAAATGGGATCTACTTAAGCTAAAGAGCTTTTGTACACAAAAGAAACTATCAAAAGATTAAATAGACAACCTACAGAATGGGAGAAAATATTTGCAAACTATTCATCCAACAATATCCAGAATCTATATGGAGCTTAAACAAATTAATAAGCAAAAATCAACCCCATTAACAAGTGGGCAAAGGACATGAACAGATAGTTTTCAAAAAAGACATACACATGGCCAACAAGCATATGAAAAAATTCTCAACATCACTAATCATTAGATAATTGTGAATCAAAATCACAGTGAGATACCATCTTACACCAATCAGAATGGCAACCGAAAAATAACAAAGTGAGGTTGTGGAGAAAAGGGAATGCTTAAAACTACTGGTGGGAATGTAAATTAGTGAAGCCCTTGTGGAAAGCAGTTTGGTATTTTCTCAAATAACTTAATACAGAACTACTCTTTGACCAAGTGATTGTATTATTGGGTATATACCCAAAGAAATATAAATCATTCTACCCTGAAGAAACAGGCATGCGTGTGTTCACTGCAGCACTATCACAATAGCAAAAACATATTATCAACCTGAATGCCCATCAATGGTAGACTGAATAAAGAAAATGTGGTACATCTACACCTTGGAACACTACACAGACACAAAGAACTAGGTCATGTCTTTGGAAGCAATGTGAATGCAGCTGGAGGTTACTACCCTAAGCAAGCTAACAAAGGAAGAAAAAACAAAATACTGCATGTCCTCAACTCCACTAAGTGGGAGCTAAATATTGAGTACACATGGACAGAAAGAATGTTTATATGGATATATACACACAAATATATTTATATATAAGTAAAGAGGAAATACAACTAGTGTAGTTTTAATTTGTAAATAGTCTCATGGTCGTAGCTGATATTTATTACTTGCTTCTTTTAATACCTATTCCATATTCCCTTCATCCTCAGCAAGCAATTTAGCTGATCATGGTTTCTTGACTTGTAGAGTGTCCCAAAACTGAATTCCTGGTGTCTATGCTGTTAGTAGTACTGATAATTTTGAGTTCTTATAGTGTTCCATTAACTTTTTTACTGGGCCCTACTTGAGGGTGCAGGGTGGGAGGAAGGTAAGGACTGGAAAACCCTATTGGGAACTATGCTTTTTAGCTGAGCAATGAAATAATCTGTACACGCAACTCCCATGACACACAATTTATCCATTTAACATAGTTGCGGATGTACCTCTGAACCTAAAATAAAAGTTAACACAAATAAAATAATAAAATTGCCTTTCAGTTGAAGCTGACATATCTTTGGCATGAATACTCAACTCAGCAGCAAACAATTCACAGCTCAGGCAACTGGGAATTGTGATCATCAGATGCTAGTAGGTACTTAAACAACAGCCTGAGATGAGAGCTGCAGACAATGTGGCCACGCTGGGCCATGTCCAAGTCTAGGATGCTGATCATGGGTGATTTATGGGAGAAACAGAGAGATGCTTTAGTGCCTGCCCTTTCCCTTCCATTTCTGGGATTCTTGTGTTCTGGCTGCTCTTCATTTCTTGTCTTTGGATGCCCTTGGAATTTGCATGTTTTCCTTTATGTTAAGCCCATTTTCATTAAGCTAGACTTAGAGGATTTCTGATTCTTATAATCAAATATACCCTTTCTAAAGCATAGGTTTTTATGTTTTTCCCTGAATATTTTTCTTGTGATATCTATTTCTTTTTAACCTCTAGCTCATACTTAATCACCTTGGATGGCATTGTTTTTAATTAATTTATACCACAACTCTAACTCTGATTATTTTCTTTACAATTAAGTATTTATCTTTTGGAGTTTTATACCATATTTGGTAACAATTTCTAAAGTCTACAATATTCCTTTAAACATTTTTTCCTCATATATACTATAAAACAACAAGCTTGAAGGCATTTTCTGATTTTGAAGCTTGTAAGTGATACAGGTTATAATTTCAATACTTCTAATCAGTAACATTTTAAAGTGTTGCTGATACTGTATTATATGAACGAATGTCTCTGTGCTGACAATACAACTGTCATATCTGTATGCTTAACATCAGATAGATAGTGTGCTTTTCCCTCTTTTTATTGGATTTAGAGTAAGTTGAGAGCACTGTTTTCTACCTACCCATTTTATTTTCCAGATTAAAGGTATATAGGATTAAGTCTGATATTTTACCTGTACAACATGGAACAATGCCCTATTCCCCAAGACTGAACTCAAGTTGGGTATTCAGATTATAACATAGAAGTAAACCAAGGTTAAAGCAGCATGGATCATTGTTGGTAAAGCATGAGCTCAATTATTTTTATTTGTTAAACGTTTACAATAAGAAGTGGTTTACATTGAAAGGTCAGCATTCTATGTAAATGGGACATGAACAATAACTTTCCTCTTCCCCCAAAAACTACATTTGAGCCATGTGCATTTATCCCTCTCTTTAGAACTAGGTCAGCAATTCCACGCCAAGAACAGTAGGACTCAGGAGAGTGGCAAGCCCTTTTCAACTTGGGTTGAATTTAAATTAAACCTAGAGTTTGCAGAGACTGTCTTTTTGAAAGAAAACAGGACCAAGAAAATAACTAAAATAATCATTTTTTAAAGTAGAGGTTCATAAAATATTTGCATTCATGAAAAATTTGTAAAATATAGAAAAAAAATTTTGCTGAGAAATACATATTTAAACAGCCAGTGCTTAAAGTTGGATATTTTTGGAGGTCTATGAATGTAAGAAAGTGGCATAGATTAGTGGTTGTGCACTTGGAATGTCAGAAAGCCGTGGGCTTAGGTTTTCTTTCTTACTGTGTGATCTTGGGTAAATCACTAAATTCCAACTTTCTTATCTGTGAAATGGAGATAACAGTAATGCTTTCCTTCTAGAACTATGAGGATTAAATGAGATCAATATAGCTGTTAGCTGTATTTTCTAACACATAGTTAAAACAGTAAGTCTAACACATATCTAGCACATAGTAAGTTCTTATTAATGTCAGCTTTTACTATTATTACTATTAAGAAGTAGTGTGTAATAATGTTATTGATCTTATGGAGGTTCTGAGGACCAAAAGTTAAATAAGCTAAGTTTTATTATTTCCCCATAAGCTTGCCAGTAGACTATGAGCTTCTAGAGTGAATATTAAAGGTTAGATTACATTTTAATGTTTTCCTTAATTATGCTTTCTTCTTCCTTTTTTAGAAGTTTGATGACTATAATTAAATCAATGTAGTCATGGATTTAGATTATAATTTTCCAGTTAATGTAATGAGATACTGTGCTATTTATAACATTTTTCTCTGTATCCTCCAAATTCCTCTTACAGGCCACTTTTTGTTCCATGCACCTCTCCCTCCATCTTTGTGAGTCAGGAAATGGTGGTTGCAGAGGCAGAGAGCATCTGTTGGCTTCACACTTCTAATCTTAATTTAGGTTCAGCCAGGATGCACCTCTATATGAGTAAGACGTGTTCCTTTTCAAAATTTGATTTTATGTCAACGATTTATTAGCTATTAAAAAAACTTGACTAGGGATATTAGTGTGTGTTAGAGAGTGAAGAAGAAAGGAAGAGAGAAACTGTACTCCTTTCTCGGTTTTTTTTTTTTTTTTTTTTTTTTTTTTTGCCATTTCTCCTCCTGCTGTTATCGTCTTCTTTACTGGTCAAGGAAGTGTGGGGTCTGTTATTTGTAAGGTACCCTCTGTCCTTATGCTCTTGATTCTAGTCTTGTCCTATAATTTCTGGCTATTGAAACATTGGTTACTTTTCCACTTTGTTAGTTTGAGTTCATTAACATCATTCTGTTTTCTATAAACATATTGATATCCTCCCTATCTCAGAAAAACCTTTGAAGGATTTTATTACTCTCTCAGGTTGTTGTACCATTCTTCTCCTCCATCCACTGGTTCACTTCTTAACAGGCTGCCTTTTGCTCTGTTTCCTCACCATCTAGTCCTTATTTTTACTTCTGTTCTTTTTTTCCCCCCACAAGGATGTTGAAACTGTTATTTTAAAAGTAATTTTGATTAAAAGCGATTTTGCCTCTTACTAACCTTTTCAGTTGTATTCCCCTCTGTAGATGAGCACGATGTAACTTCAGTCTTAACAGTTTGTCCTATACCCTGTGTATGAAAGAAAGGGCTCCCCCTTAAGTGGGATTATTGGAAGGATGATAGAGGGAGCATCTAGACTTTGATAAGATATAATTTTTTTTACTCCTGGTAATTTTAAAAATAATGAGTATGTGGTTATTATTTTTTCTTTAAAATAAGAAATTAACATTGAGAAATGAAAAATAAATGGTTGACATTACCATTGCTCACTTGTCAGTTCTTCAGTCTTCCCCAGCCCCCTTGCAGGTAAATGCACTGTGGACTATTCTGGCCCATGGACTGTCTCTATGTGGCTGGGGACCTGAGAAGCTCCTGTATCAGTCAGGACTAAATCAAGGAAGCAGAACTACTCAGAGTACTGTAGAGTAGGGATTTATTATAATGGTAACTTCTTGCACAATTGTAGGAGAAGCTGGAGAACAGTCACTTCTCAGCTCCTCTGATGCATTGGCGTGGGTGAACAAGTTAGAGCTTGCCAGGAAATCAGTGAAGCAACACATATGCAGCTGCTAGAAGAGGAGTGTAAAGGAGAGCTGGTGGCTTTGGAAGGTTGCTGTTTATATGTCTGCTGAAGGATAGGGGATCCTATTCATCAGTGGCATTTGGAAATAGAGCTGGATGCAGAGTGGAGAGTGATAACAAGCTGAATCCACTGGTATGTTTGTGTCTGTCTCTCAACAGCAAGAAGATTAAAGAAAAGTGAAAATCTTCTGGAAGATCTTTATATTTCTTATTTCCTTTAACTAGGATGAACTTCAAAGAGTAATGGCTGCTGCTTCATTTCTGCTTTCCAAATCACATTGGATTATCTTTTGACCACCTCTGAGAACCATATGGGGAAAGAGGATTCTGGGCAATATTGTTCCAGGTCAAACAAGCTGATAAACTACAAGCTGATAAACTACAAAACAACCGCACTCCAGCTCATGTCAGCTTGGTGTCATTCACATCTCTTTTATCCATATTTGCATCTAATAGGTAAGTCATGATTCTACCTAACATGATGCACCTATCTCTCATGCAACTGAAAACCTGCTAACTCCCTCCTCCAATTCACTCACTTCCCACCAAAAGAGGATACAAAGTCCCATAGTCATTTCATTCATCTGTGGGTGGTGTTTATTCTCTTCCTAGATTGGTCACATTCTTGCTTTCATATCTTCTAATAACTTAAACATTGACATATTAGGTTAATCACTATTAACACATATTATGTTAGATTGTAAAAAAGAATGGTCAATATGTATATATATACACAAATCTCTGTATCTTGTATTAACTAATCTATTTCTTTGTTATTTTTTCCTCTCTTGGATATATGTTTATATGGATATATACACACAAATATATTTATGTATAAGTAAAGAGGAAATACAACTACTGTAGTTTTAATTTTTGTAAATGGTCTCATGGTTGTAGCTGATATTACTTGCTTCTTTTAATACCTATTCCATATTCCCTTTGTCCTCAGCAAGCAACTTAGCTGATCATGGTTTCTTGACTTGTAGAGTGTCCCAAAACTGAATTCCTGGTATCTATGCCATTAATAGTACTGACAATTTCAAGTTCTTATAGTGTTCCATTAACTTTTTTACTGTAAGAATATATGAGTGATATGGTTTGGCTGTGTCCCCACCCAAATCTCATCTTGAATTGTAATTCCCATAATCCCCACATGTTGTGGGAGGGACCTGGTAGGAGGTAATTGAACCATGGGGGCAGTTACCCTCATGCTGTTCTTCTGATAGTGAGTTCTCATAAAATCTGATAGTTTTATAAGGGGCCTTTCCCCCTTTGCTCAGCAGTTCTCTCTCTTGCTGCCATGTGAAGAAGAAAGTTCTTGCTTCCCCTTCTGCTGAGATTATAAGTTTCCTGAGGCCTCCCCAGCCACGCTGAACTGTGAGTCAATTAAACTTCTTTCCTTTATAAATTACTCAGTCTCGAGTATGTCTTTATTAAAAGTGTGAGAACTAACTAATACAGTAAATTGGTACTGCAGAGAGTGGGACATTGCTGTAAAGATACCTGAAAATGTGGAAGCGAATTTGGAACTGGGTAATAGGCAGAGGTGGGAATAGTTTGCAGGGCTCAGAAGAAAACAGGAAAATGTGGGAAAATTTGGAACTTCCTAGAAACTTGGAGGGCTCAGAAGACAGGAACATGTGGGAAAGTTTGAAACTTCCTAAAGGCATGTTGAATGGCTTTGACCATAATGCTGATAGTTATATGGTCAATGAAGTTCAGGCTGATATGGTCTCAGGTGGAGATGAGAAACTTGTTGAGAACTGGAATAAAGGTGGCTCTTGCTATGTTTTGGCAAAGAGAGACTGGTGACATTTTGCCCCTGCCCTAGAGATCTGTGGAAATTTGAACTTAAAAGAGATCATTTAGGGTATCTGGCAAAAGAAATTTCTAAGCAGCAAAAAGTTCAACAGGAAGCAGAGCAAAAAAAAAAAAAAAAAATAAAAAATGTGGAAAATTTGCAGCCCAATGATGCAATAGAAAACAAAAATCCATTTTTCTGGGGAAAAAAATGAAGCTCAATGCAGAAATTTAGATAAGTAATGAGGAGTCAAATGTTAATCACCAAGACAACAGGGGAAATTGTCTCCAGGTCACATCAGAAACCTTCATAGTAGCTTCTCTCAACACAGGCCTGGAGGCCTAGGAGGGAAATATAGTTTTGTTGTCCAAGCTCAGAGCCCCCCTGCTCTATGCAGCCTCAGGACACGGTGCTATGTGTCCCAGCTGCTTCAACTCCAGCACTGGCTAAAAGGGGCCAACATACATTACAGGCCATTGCTTCAGAGAGTACAAATCCTGAGCCTTGGTAGCTTACATGTGGTTTTGGACATGTGGGTGCACAGAAATCAAGAATTGACATTTGGGAAACTCCACTTAGATTTCAGAGGATGTATGGAAATACTTGGATGTCCAGGCAGAAGTTTGCTGCAGAAGCAGAGCCCTCATTGAGAACCTCTCCTAGGGAAGTATGGAAGGGAAATGTGGGGTTGGAGTCCCCACATACAGTCCCCACTGAAGCACTGCTTAGTGGAGCTGTGAGAAGAGGGCCACTCTCCTCCAGGTCCTAGAATGGTAGATCTACTGACAGCTTGAACTGTGTGCCTGGAAAAGCCACAGGCAGTCAATGTCAGCCTCTGAAAGCAGTTGGGAGTGAGGCTGTACCCTGCAAAGCCACAGTGGCAGAGCTGCCCAAGGCTGTGGGAGCCTACCTTTCACATCAGTGTGCCTTGGATGTGAGACAAGGAGTCAAAGGAGATCATTTTGGAACTTTAAGATTTAATGACTGCCCTATTGGAGGCATTACTTCCTAGGGTATGAAGATCTCTAAAATAGCAGATCCCAAATTGTGAGGACAGGGAGCAAAAATTTTGCTATTGGATAATTAAGAGTAACAGGGAGAGAAGCTACTTCATTTTCTATTTCCTGCTTCCCTAACCAATGAATCTTGACTAATAGGCAAAAAAAACCCAGCATCATATATTGGTCATTGATTCAGAGCATATACTATATGCTGAATGACGTTGCAGCACTCCATCAAGTGTGACCATTCAGTTGGCATTGTGTTTGAGTCTTAAAAATTTATTCCAGGAAACATGGTAGGATCAGTAAATTCAATAAGCAAAAAATAATTGTTGCTCTTTACTTACTGTAAAACAAGTTCCTTGGGCAGAAGCAAAGCTATATGATACATCATGTTAGTGAATAAAGCATTCTCTAAGTTTACAGATGGTAGTAGTTTTTACTACAGCCTTGTGGACTTGAATGGCAAACCTGCATTCATAAAAGGTATCTTATCAAGTGAGAAAATATTGCGGCCCATTCATTGAAAGAAATTTTTCAATGTAATCAAACTGCTATGAGGTGGCTGATTACCCTGGAGAGTGGTATACCATGTTGGAACTCTGTGTTAATCTCTGTTGTTCTCAGGCTGAGACTCAGCAGTGGCTGTTGACAGAGTGGCCTTTGTGAGTAGAAGTATATGTTGCTGAGCTCATGAATGCCTTTTATTTTTACTACTGTAACTATCTTATTAGTGAGCTGGTACAGAAATATCACAAGTGGCTGAGGAAAGAGGCTGATTGACATTTATAGACTGAGAAAGGTTGTCTACCTGATTATTAAAATCTCCTCTGCTGGAGGTCTTCAGTGAGCATTAATATGGGACACAAATATCCTCACACTCTGTGTCCATTTCTCAGAGGTTGATCCACATTCTTCTCCTCCAGGACTACTTTTTACCAAATTTAGTCATGTTCCTCCAAGTCCCTGACTATCTAACAATTGTCAGCCTTTGCTTAAGAATCAGCATAGATCTATATCTCTGGCCATCTCTCTCTCTTTTTTTTTTTTTTTTTTTTTTGAGATGGAGTCTCGCCCTGTCACCTGGGCTGGAGTGCAGTGGCATGATCTTGGCTTACTGCAACCTCCGCCTCCTGGGTTGAAGAGATTCTCCTGCCTCAGCCTCCTGAGTAGCTGGGATTACAGGCATGTGCCACCATGTCCAGCTAATTTTTTTGTATTTGTAGTAGAGATGGGGTATTACCATGTTGGCCCTGCTGATCTCGAACTCCTGACCTTGTAATCTTTCTGTTCATCTCTTATTCTTATTAGACAAAATAAAAAAATCCCACGTGCACTGCTCAGAGTTATAGCTTCTAGGGGGATTTTCCCTGAGTAGTAGTGCTAAAAGTAGCACTTTTAGAAAGTGCCAGTGTACTATGTGGAACCATTTGTAAACCATTGCCACATCTTTCTTCTCTTCAGTCAACTGGTTAAAAATACTCACACAGCTGTGGGCTGATAGAGTAGAGGAAATGTAAGGGGAGCAATGGAAAGCTGAATTATTTACTCATGCATCTTGTGCTTTTAGGAATTGCTGGTGTTGATGATGGAGTTGTACTGTTCACTCCCAATTTTATGGGGCGGTTAAATCCAAAATTAGTTCTTGACAGTCAATTTAATTTTCAAGATAATTTGGTGGTCCATTGTTAAGTATCTATTCTCTACTAGGACCCAACATAGTTCAAATGCTATTTCTCAAAAGTGAGCAATATCCACAAAGGATGGTGAAGTTTAGCTTCTAAATCTTAAAGTTCTGTACTTAAAAAAAAATTTCATTAGTGCTAAAAAATTTCCATTGTAAAGCATAAACACTTCAATCACAGGTCTGCTGAAATATAAGGCCTAAGTGGCAGAACAGCTTACATGGAAAGCTGGACCTTTTACACATTTTTCTCTCGTTTGAATTCCACTCAAAGATAGCAGTCTCTTGGATTACTCAATAATTGAGTCAGAGTAGTATGCCCAAATGAGGTATAAGTTGCCTTCAAAATCCAAAGAGGCCCACCAGGCTTAGTCTCTTTCTCGATGTTAGGAAGGACCAAATTAAGCAGCTTTCTCTTTACCTTGGGAAAGATATAATAACATGGTCCTGACCATTGGACCCATAGAAACTTTTCTGAAATTTTTTTGAATATGAGCATCATACCGAGGTGTTTAAAGTAATTACTGCTTCCTGCTCACCAAATCTAATCAGCCTGACATTATTAATGTAGACCATCAGGATGTCTTGCATAATGGAGAGATGATCAAAGAAGGTTCCTGTAGGGTAGATTATGACATAGGACGTGAGAGTTGATACAGATAGTTCTGAAGTAGATTTGTGGTGGTATATCAAATGAAAGCATGCACAGGATCAGCATTATTATTTCAGGAGCCCAGGAATGTATTGATTTGCCTTAGTAAATAAATCACATATGGAACTGAAGCTACAGTATGCATCATTACCAGTTTAAGTTTACAGTAATACGCTATCATTCTCTGGGATCCCTGTGTTCTGTACAAAAGCCAAACATGCAAGTTGAATAGACATGTGGTAGGAATCACCCTCTCTGTATCCTTCAAGTCCTTAATGTTGGCACTTATACCTGAAATTTCCCCAAGGAATGAAGAACTGCCTTTATTAATCTGATTGGTAGAGGTAGTTCTAGAGGTTTCTCATTGGTCTTCCTCACCATTCTAGTTCTATTTTATGAGTTAGGAAACCAATGTGGAGATTCTGCTAGTTGTTTATTATGTCTTTACCTATAATGCATGCCAGAAGCAGGCAAAGAAATATGGGTTGATTTTAGGGACATGTTGATGAGATAGATGCTTTTCAAAACTTCATTAATGACTTTACCTCCATAAGCCTGTCTATATTATGGCTGACTAGTGGTCTATAGTGGTATTTGGGTCTGTTGCCCTGGAACTACTCTTGGTACCAATAATTGTAGTAGTTAGCCTCCATCAGGAAAGCAGAACCACTATCAGCATTATGGAACAAAGGGTTTATTGTTAGTTAAGAATTTGCACAACTGTAGGAAATGTTAGAGAAATAAGAGTGTAAAAGGAATATTTAAGAATCAATGAAAAGTCACTAACCAGAACTTCTGAGCCACTGGCACAGGTGAATAAACTGGGGGTTGTCAGGGAATACATTTGCCTGCCAGTGTGAGACAGTGAAGGAAAACTGCTGGAGAAATCTAAAGATAGCTGTTGCCTCTGTGTCTGGGGGTGGGTTTGATCTTATTGTTGATTAGAAAGGCTGGCAGTAAGGAAAAAGAGCTGGACAGGGAGTGAGGTTGAGCAAGAATAAGCTAAAATCTACTACACCTCTGTGTTTATCTCTTAGTGTGCAGAGAGCAAAAAACAAGGTAGAATCTGATGATAGCTCTGCATCTGTCTCTCGCTATCTCTAGCCAGGATAACTTTCAGAATATAATCACTGCTATCTCACTTTTGCTTTCCAAATCTTGTAAGAATTTCTTTTTTGGCCACCTCTAATAGGAGAAACTTAAGGGAAAGGGATTTTGGGAAACATTTTCAGATTGGTCAAGTTAACACAGAATAAAACCTCCACACCCCTTGTGTAATCTTCCAGTTTCTTTTTATTCTTCCAGGGGTGAGCACATAGACGACATGTTGAAACAATGGTGTCATAAGATCAAAGTTTCTTCAATTGCTGAGTGACTGCACAGAGGACACTTTCCTTGTAGAGTTATTCAAACTACAAAGACTTTGTGAGGGGAAGATAAACTTTTGTTTTTTAATCCATTTAGGTTTTGGGGGTTGTTACAGTCTCTTTGCCTATTATGATGAACACACCCTTCTTTCTCCCTTAAAGCAAGGGAAGTCCTTGATTAAGCAAGACGGTTTTTATTTGAAGGTTGAAGGGTAACTTTGGCAATGATAAAAGCTCATGATTTTGAATGTGGTTATTTGTGGTGGAGTGTTTTGGGGAGTGGATTTTTTTTACTGTTTATCACAAGTAGAGGTGGCACATAAAAAACAGAATAAAAAGTCTGAGGGGTCACCTCTATTAATGTTTTTGACTCCAGAGAGGAATGTGTTGTGTTCTGTAACAACCATGCCTCAGACTCAGCTGAGAACCTCCACCATCATCCACATGTTTGATGGCCTCTTACTCTGTACCTAGCTGAGTGAACTCTGCACTGTCTCAATGCCATCTTGGCCACATTTCTTCTGTTTCTGATTGCTTCTCCTTCATTTGCTCCAATGATTTCTGCCTTCTTGCTCTAAATCTCTACTCCATGAGTTCTTAACTGTGTTATACATTCTCATCCTATGTAAAAGACTCTCATGTATGATTTTTATTTCATTCATTATCTCCTTAAATTCTACTGTCACATCTATAAGTTCTGGATAATTGTGCACTGTCATTTTTGATATTCCACTGCAACAATATATTCAATATCTTTGAGGCCAAACTCATTTGCTTTTTGATAAATTTGTTTCTTTCTCATTTTTATTTTCCTGTTTATCAGTGGTTTTTCTATCTGTATAGTCAACCAAACTAGAAACCTTTCTTCTCCCCTTATAACCAACCATATTCTACAAGTTTTTCTTATTTATCTCTAGCTCTTCAAATCCCTCTGATCCAGAGGCCATTTATAAGACAGGGTAATATCTAGTAGCCAAAGAAGTTTATGAAATTACAGTTATAATAAAGTTGTGATATACTTTAAGATAATGGAAGATTAATTCCAAACTCAATAAAGACCTACTAATGATAAAGTCCTATGGCCTTTTGGCATATTTTATGTTTTAGTGACTTACGCATCCAATTTAAACTTATTCTTAAAAGCTAAATTTTACTATTTTATAATACTATGTGTTTGCCATTTTGCCTGCAAACATATGTAATATTTTAAATATCCCCTTTAATAGCTATATGTTCAAGCAAACAAATCAGGCTTTAAGAATACTTGTAATAAAGAAATGCTAATGAATGAGCATACATCTCTTATTTAAACAAAAGAAAACATTTAAAGTTAGTTTAGACAAGTTTAAAAATCATTGATAACAAAGGAATCTCGATCTTGTTGGACAAACTTAGACAACTTATTAAGTGTGAAAACAAAAGACAATTTTTATGTAACTTTTTTTTATTTCTGGAAAATATGGGATGAATTGTAACTTGATTTTGAAAGAGTAATGCTGTTAGAATTTTCAAGACAGGGTAGTATTTAGTAGCCAAAGAAGGTTATGGAATTACAGTTATAAGAAAGTTGTAATACACGTTAAGATAACGGAAGATTTATTCACAACTCCATAAAGACCTACTAATGATAATGCCAGCAGTATTTCATTGAGTTCTACTCCTTTATGAATTCAGTCTTAATGGTACATAAAATGTGCTCCAGGTAATTGCTTAACACTGTGAAGTTGACTTGAGAGGTGCTTATTACAAGGATTTCTCCTCTGTTTCTTGCAACTCTTGTTAGCTTATCAGCCCCACTAATGCCTGCTTCCTTAAGCCTGATGCACAGTTTGGCTTCTGACCTTTGGCATTGTGTTACGTCTGGTTTCTTATCTTTCTCAAGAGCAGAATCTACAAGGACCAGATTCTTAAAGGGACCACTGTTCAGAGTTTGACATCTGTACCTATCAATAGGTTTCTTGCATTCATTTCTTTACAATCTTTCTTTCTTTTCTTTTCTTTCTTTCTTTCTTTCTTTCTTTCTTTCTTTCTTTCTTTCTCTCTCTTTCTTTCTTTCTTTCTGTCTTTATTTCTCTTTCTCTTTCTCTCTTTCTCTTTCTTGTTTTTTTCTTCCTTTCAATGGTTAATACTGAGTATCAATTTGATTGGATTGAAGGATACAAAGTATTGATCTTGGGTGTGTCTGTGAGGGTGTGGCCAAAATGGATTAACATTTGAGTCAGTGGGCTGGGAAAGGCAGACCCACTCTTAATCTGGGTGGGAACAATCAAATTGAGACACAGGACTAGCTGGATTTCCTAGGCCAAATAAGAATTCCTGAGCCTAGCTGGGGAAGGTGACTACACCCACCTTTAAACACGGGGCTTATAACTCAGCTCACACCCAATCAATCAGGTAGTAAAGAAAGCACACTAAAATACCAATTAGGCTAAAAACAGGAGGTAAAGAAATAATCAAATCATCTATTGCCTGAGAGCACAGGGGGAAGGACAATGATTGGGATATAAACCCCCGGCATTCAAGCCGGGAGTGGGAAGCCCCCTTTGGGTCCCTCCCCTTGTATGGGAGCTCTGTTTTCACTCTATTAAATCTTGCAACTGCACACTCTTCTGGCCGTGTTTGTTCTGGCTCGAGCTGAGCTTTCGCACACCATCCACCACTGCCATTCGCCACTGTTGCAGACCTGCCATTGACTTCCACCCCTCAGGGTCCGTCAGGGTGTCCACTGCGCTTCTGATCCAGCAAGGCACCAATTGCCACTCCCGTCTGGGCTAGAGGCTCGCCATTATTCCTGTGTGGCTAAGTACCTGGGTTTGTCCTAATCGAGCTGAATACTAGTTGCTGGGTTCCATGGTTGTCTTCCATGACCCATGGCTTCTAATAGAGCTATAACACTCACCACATGGCCCAAGGTTCTATTCCTTGGAATCCGTGAGGCCGAGAACCCCAGGCTTGCTACAATCTTGGGAGCGGCTGCCACCATCTTGGGAGCAGCCCGCCACCATCTTGGGAGCTCTAAGAACAAAGACCCACCCATAAGATTTGGTGGCCGGTATGGGGATTCTCCAAATCAGTGAGTAATATTGGACCATTTTGCTTGCTATTCTGTGCTATACTTCCTTAGAATCAGAGGAAATACCAGGCCCCTGTCAGCCAGTTAAAAACAATTAGCATGGCCACAAGACTTAAGACTCAGGTGTGAGGCTGTCTGGGAAAAGACTTTCTAACAACCCCCAACACTTCTGGGTTGGGAGGGTTGGTCTGCCTGGAACCAGCTTCCACTTTCACAATTTTCCTGGGGAAGCTGAGGGCTGACTAGAGGGAGAAAGCTGTCATCCGAAACTCCCAGCATTGGCCAGGGTAAATTTAAAACCTATAATTGATAATTGAAGGTCTTCTCCATGATCCTATAGCACTCCAATACTACCTTGTTGTCAGTGTAAACAAGGGCATAGCCTGAAAACACTGAGACCACTGACAACCCATAGCCTTCCTATCAAAAATCCTTAACCCAGTAACCCATGGATGGCCCAAATGCATTTAGTCGGTAGCGGCAGCTGCTTAGCTAACAGAAGAAAGTAGAAAAATAACCTTTAGAGGAAACCTCATTGTGAGCACACCTCACCAGTTCAGAGCTATCCTAAGTCAAAAAAGCAAAAAGGTAGCTTACTAACTCAAA
This sequence comes from Homo sapiens, assembly GCF_000001405.40. Taxonomy (NCBI): domain Eukaryota; kingdom Metazoa; phylum Chordata; class Mammalia; order Primates; family Hominidae; genus Homo; species Homo sapiens. The sequence goes on from NC_000002.12 coordinate 180,233,084, forward strand.
AATCTTAAAGTATAGGGCTATTCTGTTAGAAAAAGATGATTTCCCCATCAAGCTACTGATGACTTTCTTCACAGAATTGGAAAAAACTACTTTAAACTTCATATGGAACCAAAAAAGAGCCTGCATTGCCAAGGCAATCCTAAGCCAAAAGAACAAAGCTGGAGGCATCACACTACCTGACTTCAAACTCTACTACAAGGCCACAGTAAGCAAAACAGCATGGTACTGGTACCAAAACAGAGATATAGACAATTGGAACAGAACAGAGGCCTCAGAAATAATACCACACATCTACAACCATCTGAGCTTTGACAAACCTGACAAAAACAAGAAATGGGGAAAGGATATCCTGTTTAATAAATGGTGTGGGAAAAACTGGCTAGCCTTATGTAGAAAGCTGAAACTGGTTCCCTTCCTTATACCTTATACAAACATTAATTGAAGATGGATTAAAGACTTAAATGTTAGACCGAAAACCATAAAAACCCTAGAAGAAAACCTAGGCAATACCATTCAGGACATAGGCATGGGCAAGGACTTCATGTCTAAAACACCAAAGGCAATGGCAACAAAAGCCAAAACTGACAAATGGGATCTGATTACCTAAAGAGCTTCTGCACAGCAAAAGAAACTACCATCAGAGTGAACAGGCAACCTACACAATGGGAGAAAATTTTTGCAATCTACCCGTCTGACAAAGGGCTAATATCCAGAATCTACAAATAACTTAAATAAATTTACAAGAAAAAATCAAACCCCATCAAAAAGTGGGCAAAATATGAATAGGCACTTCTCAAAAGAAGACATTTATGCAGCCAACAGACACATGAAAAAATGCTCATCATCACTGGCCATCAGAGAAATGCAAATCAAAACCACAGTGAGATACCATCTCACACTAGTTAGAATGGTGATCATTAAAAAGTCAGGAAACAACAGGTGCTGGAGAGGATGTGGAAAAATAGGAACACTTTTACACTGTTGGTGGGACTGTAAACTGGTTCAACCATTGTGGAAGACAGTGTGGTGATTCCTCAAGGACCTAGAACTAGAAATGCCATTTGATCCAACCATCCCATTACTGGGTACATACCCAAGAGATTATAAATCATGCTGCTATAAAGACACATGCACACGTATGTTTACTGCAGCACTATTCACAATAGCGAAGACTTGGAACCAACCCAAATGTCCGTCAATGATAGAATGGATTAAGAAAATGTGGCACATATACACCATGGAATACTATGCAGCCATAAAAAGGATGAGTTCATGTCCTTTGTAGGGATGTGGATGAAACTGGAAACCATCATTCTCAGCAAACTATCACAAGGACAGGAAACCAAATACCAAATGTTCTCACTCATAGGTGGGAACTGAACAATGGGAACACTTGGACACAGGGTGGGGAACATCACACACCGGGGCCTGTCATGGACTGCAGGGAGGAGATGGATAGCATTAGGAGATATACTTAATGTAAATGATGAGTTAATGGGTGCAGCACACCAACATGGCACATGTATACATATGTAACAAACCTGCATGTTGTGCACATGTACCCTAGAACTTAAAGTATAATAAAAGAAAAAGAAAAAGATGACTTAACATTAACCACTGAAAATTTCCTTAACCCAGCAGATTTCCTAACAGGGAATTTAAATCTTAATTACCATACAAAGGTCCTACCAGACCTAGGAAGAACTCCCTTCAGGACAGGACGATAGATGGTTCCTCCCAGGTGATTGAGGGAAAAAACCACAGTGGGTATTCAGTAATTGATAGGGAGACTATTATAGAAGCAGAGTTAGGAAAATTGCCTAATAATTGGTCGCTCAAATGTGCGAGCTGTTTGCACTCAGCCAAGGCTTAAAGTACTTACAGAATCAAAAAACTCTCTCAATCCTGACTCAGAATCTTACCTACACCCTCTCTGAAATGAATTTGCATAAGAACTGTTGTTTATGGGAATGCATCTTGATGGGGCAGCTGGGTTGTTATGAAATACTCAGGAATACAGCCCAGCTCTAGGACTCACCCCTGAGTGCAAGGGCAATGTTGGGCATGCTGGTAAAAGATCACTATAATCCAGCAGCCCAGACCCCTTTCTTTGTGGTCAAGAAAGGCAGGAAAACAGGTGCCAGGACTGCTACATTGGTGAGCGTAACTAATCCGATAAGCAGAGGTCCATGGGTGGTTACGCACCCTGGAAAGGAATAAGCATTAGGGCCATAGAGGACGCTTTAGGACTAATGCTCATCGGAAAATGACTAGGGGTGCTGGCATCCCTATGTTCTTTTTTCAGATGGGAAATGTTCCTCCCAAGGATGTTCCTCCCAAGGCCCCTAAGATGTATTCTGGAGAATTTGGCCCAGTCAGTGTGTATGTACCTTTTTCCCTCTCAGACGTGAAGCAAATTAAAGTAGACCTAGGTAAATTCTCAGGTAACCCTGATGGCTATATTGATGTTTTACAAGGATTAGGACAATCCTTCGATCTGACATGGAGAGATATAATATTACTGCTAGATCAGACACTAACCCCAAATGAGAGAAGTGCCAGTGTAACTGCAGCCTGAGAGTTTGGCGATCTCTGGTATCTCAGTCAGGTCAATGATAGGATGACAACAGCGGAAAGAGAACAATTCCCCACAGGACAGCAGGCAGTCCCCAGTGTAGACCCTCACTGGGATGCAGAATCAGAACATGGAGATTGGTGCCGCAGACATTTGATAACTTATGTGCTAGAAGGACTGAGGAAAACTAGGATGAAGCCTATAAATTATTCAGTGATGTCCACTATAACACAGGGAAAGGAAGAAAATCCTACTGCCTTTCTGGAGAGACAAAGGGAGGCATTGAGGAAGCATACCTCTCTATCACCTGACGCTATTGAAGGCCAACTAATCTTAAAGGATAAGTTTATCACTCAGTCAGCTGCAGACATTAAAAAAAAAAAAAACTTCAAAAGTCCGCCTTAGGCCTGAAGCAAAACTTAGAAACCCTGTTGAACTTGGCAACCTCAGTTTTTTATAATAGAGACCAGGAGGAGCAGGCGGAATTGGACAAATGGGATAAAAAAAAAAAAAAAAGGGCACCGCTTTAGTCATGGCCCTTAAGCAAGCAGACTTTGGAGACTCTGGAAAAGGGAAAGGCTGGGCAAATCAAATGCCTAATAGGGCTTGCTTCCAGTGTGGTCTACAAGGACACTTTAAAAAAGATTGTCCAAATAGAAATAAGCTGCTCTCTCGTCCATGCCCCTTATGTCAAGGGAATCACTGGAAAGCTCACTCCCCCAGGCAATGAAGGTCCTCTGAGTCAGAAGTCACTAACCAGATGATCCAGCAGCAGGACTGAGGGTGCCCAGAGCAAGCACCAGCCCATGTCATCACCCTCACAGAGCCCTGGGTATGCTTGATCATTGAAGGCCAGGAGGTTAACTGTCTCCTGGACACCGGCATGCCCTTCTCAGTCTTACTCTACTGGCCTGGACAACTGTCCTCCAGATCTGTCACTATCTGAGGGGTCCTAGGACAGGCAGTCACTAGATACTTCTCCCAGCCACTAAGTTGTGACTGGGGAACTTTAGTCTTTTCACATGCCTTTCTAATTATGCCTGAAACCCCCACTCCTTTGTTAGGGAGAGACATCCTAGCAAAAGCAGGGGACATTATACACCTGAACATAGAAGAAGGAACACACGTTTCTTGTCCCCTACTTGAGGAAGGAATTAATCCTGAAGTCTGGGCAACAGAAGGACAATATGGACTGTGGGAAAGAGAGTTTCTGGGGTGCCAGTTGAGTTGGTCTCCCCTGTGTGGGACACCCATGGGAAGCCAAGGGTGGCCTCTGTGGAGAAAAGTCTCCTTATTGCCTTCATGTCTTTATGCCCTGAGAGCATCACTGCTCAGTGGCATTCCACAGGTTGCTCAAGGAGATAACACTCCCTTGAAGCAGTGGAGTATAATCAAACATCTTGGCTCCTCCTGAAACCTGCTCCCACCCATTTCAGTCCCAATAAGTTAAAGATCTAAAGTAGTTTAGACACATGCCTTTGCTCAAGGAAATTCACAGAAACCCCACTGCTATACATCTTACCAAATGACTGATGAGTTCTCCTTCACTGATTAATCCTTTTCCTCATCCTTTCCTCCCCCTCCCATCTGCCCTAAGAACAAAGAGCTTGTAAACCAATAAATTGGGCGGAGCCCAAGAGTTCTGGGCCGTGAGCAAGCCTCCAAAGCTCCGGTTCCCTGGACATGCCTTTTAAACGCTTATTCTGTCTCTTTCTAACTCCTTTGTCTCTGCCAGACTCCGGGTACCCGCTGGGTGGTGTGGGGCTGGTTTCCCCAACAATGGATGAGTGAAGAATGCCTATCCTGTTCAAGTTAAGCTAAAGTATTCTGCCTCCTTTCCCTACCAAAGGCAGTACCCCCTTAGACCCAAGGCCCAACAAGGACTCCAAAAGATTAAGGACTTAAAAGCCCAAGGCCTAGTAAAACCATGCAATAGCCCCTGCAGTACTCCACTTTTAGGAGTACAGAAACCAAACAGACAGTCGAGGTTAGTGCAAGATCTCAGGATTATCAATGAGGCTGTTGTCCCTCTATACTCAGCTGTACCTAACCCTTATACTCTGCTTTCCCAAATACGAGAGGAAGCAGAGTGGTTAACAGTCCTGGACCTTAAGGATGCCTTTTTCTGTATCCCTGTACATCCTGACTCTCAATTCTTGTTTGCCTTTGAGATCCTCTGAACCCAACGTCTCAACTTACCTAGACTGTTTTACCCCAAGGGTTCACAGATAGCCCCCATCTATTTGGCCAGGCATTAGCCCAAGATTTGAGCCAGTTGTCATACTTGGACACTCTTGTCCTTCAGTATGTGGACGATTTACTTTTAGCCACCCGTTCAGAAACCTTGTGCCATCAAACCACCCAAGTGCTCTTAAACTTCCTCGCCACCTGTGACTACAAGGTTTCCAAACCAAAGGCTCAGCTCTGCTTACAGCAGATTAAATACTTAGGGCTAAAATTATCCAAAGGCACCAGGGCCCTCAGTGAGGAACACATCCAGCCTATACTGGCTTGCCCTTATCCCAAAACCCTACTAACTGTTGTAAGTGCCTCCCTCTGCACTTCAGGCCATACATTTCAATCCCCGTATATTTAACCTCCTTGTTAAGTTTGTCTCTTCCAGAATCAAAGCTGTAAAACTACAAATCGTTCTTCAAATGGAGCCCCAGATGCAGTCCATGACTAAGATCCACCATGGACCCCTGGACCAGCCTGCTAACCCTTGCTCCTATGTTGATGACATCAAAGGCACCCCTCCCGAGGAAATCTCAACTGCATAACCCCTACTATGCCCCAAATTCAGCAGGAAGCTGTTAGAATGGTTGTCGGCCAAACTCCCCAACAGCACTTGGGTTTTCCTGTTGAGAATGGGGACTGAGAGACAGGACTAGCTGGATTTCCTAGGCTGACTAAGAATTCCTAAGCCTAGCTGGGGAAGGTGACTGCACCCCCCTTTAAACACCGGGCTTGTAACTCAGCTCACACCTGACCAATCAGGTAGTAAAGTGAGCTCACTAAAATACCCATTAGGCTAAAAATAGGAGGTTAAAGAAATAATCAAATCATCTATTGCCTGAGAGCACAGGGGGAGGGACAATGATTGGAGATAAACCCCAGGCATTTGAGCCGGGAGTGGGAAGCTGCCTTTGGGTCCCCTCCCCTTGTATGGGAGCTCTGTTTTCACTCTATAAAATCTTGCAACTGCACACTCTTCCGGGACGTGTTTGTTCCAGCTTGAGCTGAGCTTTCACTCACCGTCCACCACTGCTGTTCAACACTGTTGCAGACCCACCATTGACTTCCACCCCTCCGGATCTGTCGCGGTGTCTGCTGAGCTTCTGATGTAGTGAGGTGCCCATTGCCATTCCTGTCCAGGCTAGAGGCTCACTATTGTTCCTGTGTGGCTAAGTACCTGGGTTCATCCTAATCAAGCTGAACAGTAGTCACTGGGTTCCACGGTTCTCTTCCATGACCCATGGCTTCTAATAGAGCTATAACACTCACCACATGGCCCAAGGTTCCATTCCTTGGAATCTGTGAGGCCAAGAATCCCAGGTCAGAGAACAAAAGGCCTGCTGCCATCTTAGGAGTGGCCGCCACCATCTTGAGAGCAGCCCGCCACCATCTTGGGAGCTCTAAGAATAAAGACCCACCTGTAACAAAATCAGCTGCCAGTGAATATAAAGCAGGCAGAAAAATGTGAAAAGAGAGACTGGCCTAGCCTCTCAACCTACATCTTTCTCCTGTGCTGGATGCTTCCTGCCCTTGAACATTGACTCTAGGTTCTTGAGTTTTGGAACTTCACTGGCCTCCTTGCTCCCCAGCCTGCAGACAGCCTATTGCGGGACCTTGTGATCATGTGAGTTAATGTTTAATAAACTCCCCTGTATAATACATATATTCCATTAGTTCTGTCCCTGTAGAGAATTCTAATACCCCTTCCTTCCTTTCTCCCTCCCTCCCTTCTTTTCTTCTTTTCTTCTTTTCTTCCTTTCTTACTTTCTCTTTTCTTCTTGTTGAGACAGGGTCCCAGCATGATGTTCAGGCTGGTCACAAACTCCTGGGCTCAAGAGATCCGCCCTCCTTGGCCTCCCAAAGTGCTGGGATTATAGGTGTGAGCTGCAATGACTGACCCACAATCATTTTCTAAGCAACCTCCATCAATTTTTGTGTGCCTAATAATGGCCTAGCTTCTAGGAAAATTAAATCAAATAAGACAATGTACCTGTAATCAAAGAGCTTATAGTATATGGAGGAGAAATATTATAAGTCAATTATTATAGTGTAATGCATTAAATATTATTTTAGAAGTGGGGGAAGAGAGCAAGGTCAGTGTGTATCACATTGTAGGTACTTAATAATTATATATTGAGTAGAATAAATGTGGATTGAAGGACACATAAATGAATGGGTCTAATTTGACTGTGGATTGATAGAAGGAGCATGGCTCCTCTCTAAAAAAGAGGATGCTTAAAGTAAGCTTCAAAGAATGAAAAAGTATCAGGAGCAGAAGCCTGGAAGTGCACTCAAGGCAGTCAGAACAAGTGTGACAGATACAGAGAAAGCATAAATACCATTGTGTGTTCAGGTAAATGCTTTCAAATTGATGGAGCAAATAATTCATTTTGTGTTATGGCTGAAAACTCAAAACCAGTATTTCTAAAACTGAACTCATGAATTCTTCCTTAAAATTGTTTATTCTTATCATTCTTTCTCTTGAAAAATAATATCACAAACTAAACAAAAATCTGGATATCACTTTCCTCCTCTAATCTCCCACCTCTATTTAGTTAGTCAGTTTTGCTGCAGATTTTACCTTCTTATTATCTTTTAGGTATCTCTTCCCTCTTTCCAACAAATTCTTCAGCCAGGTCTCATATCCTTATTCCTTCTTTCCTTCATTCATTCAACAAATATTTACCGGGTACCTATTAGTTTACCCACATTGCTAACAAAGTAATATTTCAAATCTATAAATTTGATCATGTCTCTCCTCATGTATTTAGAAAAAGCCATAAAGACTTAGCTAAAGAATTCAGAGTTTACTCTGCAAGCTAAAGGAATCCATTGAAAGCTGAGAGTGATATGTCTCCATTTGCATTTTAGAAAAACACTAAAAGGACCAAAGATGGGGCCCTGGAGAACAACTCACTGAGGTGATACATGATAGGAGTGGAGCTGGTGACAGATACTAAAGTGCAATGGAATTAATATTGGAAGAGCATGGAGTAGCCACAAGAATATGGAGTTTTTAAAGGAGAAAGTTCATAAAGAGATTTTTATCACCTTAACTCTCACCAAGAGAGGGCAGGCTCTCACCAATATCTATCTTTCTTCTTTTGGGGCAGTGAGTGAGGCAATTGGAGAGGTTCCTACCTTAGGAGTTGAAGGTAGAATGTGAGGAGTGTCAGAAAATAATTCCCTTACTCTGCCCAGCTTTTCATCTCATGACACCTTGGCTTGATACTTAAACCTATGGTAAACAGGAAAGAAAAGCTACAATTTGCAAAGTCAGTCCTGTTCTCATCATTGTGAATTCACTCCCTGTCACCATCCACCACTCACCATTATCCTCTTTGAACCATGGTGGGCAATTCATATTTTGTTCCCAGAATGATCTGAAATGGGTGAAAAGAAGACTATATTAAAAAATCTATCTACTATTCTGAATTTTAAGTTTTTTTCTATTCTATTCCATATCTCAAATTGTATTTATTCAAAATTTAGAAGGAATTACATATTCAGTCAAATTATAGTATAAAAATGTTCCAGATAGCACAATGCCAGCAGTGAAAACATGACCCAAATATTCAAATTCAGAACACCCTCTAATTATCAAATTGCTAAGGGAAAATTAATACCCAGAATAAATTTGCTTCTAAATTAAATTCCTAAAGAAAACTTAAAATTTATCTCTCCATTATGTCTTATTATGCTGATTTTCAATTGGGTTGGAGTTTTAAGTCAATGGGAGTTCCTTCAGCAGCTGTAACCTGCAATTTCTTACACTGGGTTCCTTTAAAGGGGCTCAGGAATTGATAGGACACACTGGATCATCACAATACTTCTTGGTCAGTCATATGATTGAGAAGCAAAAAGCCTGTAGGTGCCACAGCAGCAGTACTAGCAAAATAATATAACCATAGTTTAGAACATAATACTATTCAGGCCCTCACCACAGATGTCAGCCAAGGATCATTTATTTAGTAGCATATGGAGGCTAGATAGAAATAAGAAGATAGAGACATTTTTAGTTTTAGCTTCTCTATGATAGTTGTCAGTTGGCTATCAATAATTTCCACTCTGTAAGTCCAAGGTTTTTATAGCTGCAAAAACAGAAGTCCGATGAAAAGCAGTAACAGTAACTTGTGCTATGTGCTTCTTCAGAATAAACTTTCATATTTTACATTTTTAATTCCATTTTTATTGGTTAATCTTTTTGATTGCAATGGCATTGTCTCTACCATTTATTTTCCTCTAAGCAGGACTCGACTTGTTTCCATTAGGGTCCATTTAGCAGCACTAAAGAAACACATTGAAGGTGGGCACAAGGAAAGCTCTGTCAGATTTCTTCTACCAACATCCAGGTCATGAAAAGTCTCAACTTCTACAGATCAGGAGATGTTTACTCTAGTCCAGTACTTCATGTTCCAGGCTGAGATGCCTCCCAACAGTGCATGCATGAAAATTCTGCTCTACCTGGTAAAAGTCTTTCCTGGTTCTAGCAATGATCTTACTCATTCTATGTATGACCAAATCCTAGAATATATAACAGTGCCTCTCCAGTTTAAGTTCCTCAAAACTCAGGAAAAAAACATTATGTTTGCACTTATGATCAGATTACCACTTACTCCATTTGAAGGCTTTGAAATGCCCAACATGACTGCTAAGTTGAATGCTTTTTCCTGATTAAACCTTACTGTGGTTCTCAGCTCAAGCACACCACTCAAATTTTTGCTTAAAACTTCACTTGCTCACTGTACTTTTGTGTTTAGCTACATAACCTAAGCCTGTTAACATGAACCTGCACTCATGTAGACATCCAGGAAAAATATAAGCTTCTGCTCACTTCAAGTTTCAAAGAACCAAGAAGCGTTCACTTGTTAAAGCTCTTCATTTCAGCTACATTAGAAAGTTTAATAGATCCGTGCCATATTTTGATCTAAAACTCAGTCCTGGATCTATTTTCATAGTTTGCCAGCTGATGCACCTTGTGTTGAGAATTTAGGATGACAACTGTACTTCTCCCTTAGTTTCGGGGATTCTGAATTGAAAAAATAGGAGTCAGATAAAGATCAAAATATCAGCATCATTTGTTGAAAAAGTGGATTGGAAAAACTTGGCCTATATTTGAGGCCACAATGGGCCCCTTCTTATTTTCTCCTTGAATTATATTACCCTTCCTACTAGCAGGCACAATGGCTGAAAAATTATAGGTTTCACTTTCTCACACTGCCCTGGTGAAAAGCATTCAATAAAGTTTGCAAGCAGGCAACTAGAAAAATAAAAAAATAAGAAAGGGCATTTCACACAAGAACAGTGACCTTTATTTCATTAGCTCTGCTTATTAGCAACAAAATGCTTACTAGTATTAGAAAGATTTGGGATATGTTGAGTGAAGACATTGGGAGTGGTTTTTGTCCCAATATTTCCAAAAGTATGAATATTATTATTTTCTGATGTGAGAAGGCATATAAAAGCACAGAGAGGATGATTCCCCCTGCAGAAGAGATGACAATGTTAAATACCACACACAAAAGTCAAAGGAAAGGTCAAGAAAGACGAGAACAGAAAACCGCTCAGAGAGTCTAACATGGTAGAGCTTATTGGTAATCTTTTAAATATAAGTTTCTGAAATTCTGCAATTCAATAATTCTCAAATGTTATCGTGCTTCAGAATTGCCTGGAGGGCTTGCTAAAACATAAATTTCTGGGCCTCAGCTTCTCAGAGTATTTGGTCCACCAGTTCTTTGAAAGGAACAGTTGAACTTGCATTTTTAACATTCCCGGGTGTAATAGTTTGTTTTCACACTGCTATAAAGACATACCTGAGACTGGATAATTTATAAAGAAAAGTGGCTTAATTGACTTACAGTTCTGCATGGCTGGGGAGGCCTCAGGAAACTTACAATCATAGCAGAAGGAGAAGAGGCAGGTGAGAGCACGAGAAAGAGCAGGGAAAACTGCCTTATAAAACCATCAGATCTCATGATAACTCACTCACTGTCACAAGAACAACATGGGAGAAAACACACCCATGATCCAATCACCTCCTGCTTGGTCCCTCCTTTGATGGGTGGGGATTATGGAGATTACAAATTGAGATGAGATTTGGGTGGGGACACAGAGCCAAACCATATGACCAGGTAATGTTCATGCTGCTGATCTGGGACCACATTTGGAAAACCACTGCTGTAAAGTATTGAGAGCAAAAGCCAACGTGCAATTATGGAGTAAATGGCCTATGAGAAAGTAGGAGAATGGTATCTTGACTATTCTTTCAAGAAACTTGGCTATGAAGAAAAGTATAGAGATAAATAAATGTTGGGACGAGAGGTTATATGGAGTTGAGGATAGATTTCCATTAAGTCATGCAGATATCTTCATTCTCATGACATTTACTATAATTGAATTGGTTTTGTCACACATTTACAACTGAACACTATTGTAATCTATCTTTTGCAGTGACTATGTGCTGGATATCTTCTATTTGCCCAAGCAGATTCACTCTCTCCATTATTTTACCATGTTCTGCGAGCTCCCTTGTCATCTGGCTTGCTGTTGGGTTTCGTCAATGGGGACCCCGGCAGAAATCAGAGGGAATGAGGAGGTTGAGGTTAGAGTATTGTTTCCCTGGCATCCTCCTTGCCAGTTGCCTTGGACTGGCTCTGTTCCATGACAAAAGACCATTGTTCCTCTCAAGGTGGCCATTTCTAAAAGACTGTATTCTTTCAGATTCTGATAACTGTTGTCTCCTTTAGTTCCTATTATTTGTATCCTTTCCATTCCCTAGCCAAACTTTTATTAATTGAATAGTCTTTTATCAGACATTCTTTGGATTATTCTATCTTGAGGATACCACCTAGGAAGCTGAATGATATAAGGCTCACACACGGCATACATGTGTGTGTTCCTGTCACTACCTCATAGATTTTCTTTTGAGTTACAACCCTTCCTCCACTTTCAGTCCATGTAACTCAGGTAGTAATGACAATCCTTCTCCAGATTTAGGAGTGGGCATGTGGTATGTTGTAGATTTCCTGCACAGTTCAGCTCAGAGAAGGGCATTTGATGTAATTTCATCCAGTGAAATTCAACCCCTAGACTAGATATATATGAAAGAGGTCCTTTCCTCTGCGATGGCTAAGCTGGTACTTTGTAAGCTTGGATCTTCCCATGACCTTTATCATCACTTATGAGATCCTGCCCAGAAATGAAGGACTACAGAGGAAAACAGAAATAAAAAATGAAGAAAAACAGATTTCTGATGATGTCTTTCAAAAACATAGATTCAGCTGAAAGCGGCTGCTTCTAAAGTGTTAGTATTTATTTTCATGTAATCTGTAATAGAAATTGCCTTTACTAATTTATTCCTATTTTCTCCCTTGTTCCATGTGTGTGTGTTTCAATTTCCACCTTTTGCCTATCTACACAGCACTGCTTTGAACTTTTTCCCGTTCTCCAGCTTCTTCTTAAATCCATCTTTCTAGACTCCAAAGGTATATTTGTACATATATGATCCCTCTTGAGCAACCTTATAAAAATTGTATGAGAAATAAATTTCACCCTAAGGAAAAAATTGATTTCAAAAAGACTTTGATGATGGAGTAAAAAATACTATATTTGCAGCCGTACCAATACATCTGAGACTTTCAGGTAGAAAAACTTAATTGTTGTGATTTTAAATCTATGGACCCTAAACCACAAAACTGCATGAAATTTTTACAGAATTACTTCAAACTACCATTTGTTTATACTTTGTACTACAGCTGTGTTTGTTAATCTACCATATATTGAAGTAAAATGATAATAAGCTAAATCGGGCCACAAGACATTTGAGGCACAGAAATCTAAAAAAGCATGGAGCAAAGTAAGAATATTACCTTGGGGGTAACAGATAAAAATTAAGTGTTAAAATAGGCATAGGACCTTGATGCCTTCTGGATTTTGAAGCTAATCGGCAACATTCACTAAGTGCCAGATAAATTGAAATATATATGCTAAGCTCTAGAATTTGATAACACCTTTAAATGTACTTTCCAACTCACTAAAAATGTATTTTTAAAATATGTAAACTACTGCAGTTTGGAATGAAAGAAGAATTCATTCATTTGAAGTGGCTTAAAAAAAAGTCTTAGCTCATGTTTATCAAACCTGACAAATACTAAGGAAAATTGTTAATTGTTAATGACTAGATTTTTTTTTGAAAAGGAACAAAGGATGAGAAAACAACAATCTAGTCCTGTTCATTTGAAACATATTTTAGCATTTTAAGACATAATTTTTTAAAATGCCAGTTATTTACTCTGCCAAGTACATGGAAAGTCATTAGTAGCTTCTTGTCAAAAAGTGTGTGTTCCTTAATAAGCAATTCCATTTGCAGATATTTGTTAGCAATTGTTTCACAAGCTTTCACCCTTTTGTATTCCATGCCACCCACATCATGGGGTTTCCCAAGGAACTGACAATGGCTACAGAAGTATTCCTCTACCCTCTCCTTCACCTTGTACCAAGCAGCTGATTTCAGCAACTGCTTGTGATCCCTGGCAGAGGTTAATCCATTCATGCTTTGGGACAGCTGGTTCCAGTGGCAAGTGTTTCCTTGGGCTGCTGGAAAAAGAACAGGCTCCAGAGGTCTTCTCGATTTTCAACAGCTGTACAGGAGCACAGAGGTCTGCCAGCTCCTGATTTATAAGTCTGCCATTCAGAAAACTCAGTCGGAGCTGCAATTCAGTTCTTACCCATAGCATTGTCACCTGTTCTGACAATGGACAGTTGTCAGGAAATTCAGTCAGCAAATTCATAGAGAAAATGTGCTTGGTTTAATACTGTCCCTTTGGAAAACAATGACTTTGCTTACTAAGATTTCTGTGTAATTCAAAATGATGGGGAAGACTTATATACTAAATCTACCTCCTTACTCTAATGGTCCCCATCCTTGGCTGCTCATTTGAATCACTGAGAGCATGAGGAAATATGGATGCCCAAATCTCATTCTCAGAGATTCTTACTTTGATGGCCTGGGAGGGCACCCTAGGCAACAGGATATTCAAAAGCTTCCCAAGTGATTATCATGGCCAGCCAAAGTTGAAAACAATTGCATGAGTCCAACTTGCTCTCTGAAATTGTTTTCAGAACTACCCTCCTGTCTTCTCAATCGAATCCAGAACACACTTCTTTGTCTCACCTGAACTTTAGTTTTACACCTGTTTGGTTCAGTCTCACACACTATTTTAAAATTGTCACCTGGCAGTTCTACAGTATTATGCCTTACTCTGCCCATTAGTGTTTCAATTTCTAGCCGTGCTATGAAGACTTCACTTTTTTTTTTTGACAGCTGTCTGCAAGCTAATAATTTCTAAAATAAACAAAGTAAAGGATTATACTATAATTCAGTCTTAATTCCTTTTGTTCTTTCTCTCAGTCTTTCTCCTGTATGATTTTCCTGCCCATTGTGACTTGCCCTCTTTCAGGTGGAAGCCTTCAAGGAGATGAGGAACTCAAACAAACACTGGCTTACACATTATATTCATTTTAAGCTAATCTACTTTGGTATATAATAATTCTCAGAAAAAAAGGGAAAGGCTTAAGTCATTAAAAATGCTCTTCACTACAAGTATAACAGGGAAGATGATCCCTGAGGATGCCTCATGCTCACCTGTAATTTAGGAAAATGAAGCAATGAAAGAAAATGTCTGTGATCTTAAAATATAAGTTTAATAAACAAATACATCTAGTAGTTAGGAGTTAATAAAAAGTAATTAGCAAGCAATGTTCTCTTCTTTACTTTTCAGTGCTCTCCTTGGGCCCTGAAAATAAAGTTATAAATAAATGAAACAGGAATGATTTTATTCTAACATCAGTTTGACCTCTCGTTGCTCAATCATCAACAGTGGCTTGTATTCCCTAAGAATGAGTCTTGGAAGATTTAATAGACACTATTCTCTGTATTGCCAAAGTGACATGTAGTTTACTCTAGAATGCTGGGAGCGTATGCCTGTTTTCATCCTTACCCAGCAAAAAGGGGAAAAAAATGTAACAATAAGTGCTTTTAGTGTTGAAATTACTTAGATCATATTTTTACAAGTTTGTTTCACAATATCATTTAACACACTACTTCATTGTGCTTCTGTGGGTAGAGCCACAGAATCTCCAAAATAAGCATTCATTATATACTAGGCAAGCTTCACAAGAATGTCCCATCTTTATAATTCTAATAAAATCCTCATGAGGTAGGATAATTAAACATATCTTGCAGATAGATAAAGAAACTGAGGCTCAGAGATGTTAAATAACTTGTGTACTGTCACTCAAAGGAAAGTGACCTAGCAGACATTCAAAGCTAGACCAACCTGAGCCCAAGTCATGAGAGATTTTCTGATTCAAGAATGAAATCTTGGATTCCTCGTTTGAGGTGTTACACCAAAGTGCTACACCTTTGTGCTTAAGAGGTTGTACTTTGGAGACAAGACAGATGAGGATATGAATCCTGGGTTCACCAAATCATAGCCCTTATAAATCTCAGCTTTTTCATTTAAAGGATGAGACTCTTACTACCTGTCACATGGTAGCATTGAACACATTGTCAGGATTCAAAAGGCATGTGAATAAAACACTCAGCTTGGGCTGGCAAAGGGTAAATATTAAATGATAATAGTGTTATTATTTTTGATGTTAGCATTTGGTGTGTAGAATAAGTTAACCATACTTTTATATTTAAATTGTTTGATAGTCTTACTTTGGGGCTTTACTTACTGTATTTACTGTATTTGGAAATACAGAGAATAATGTCTATTAAATCTTCCAAGACTCATTCTCAGGGAATACTAGCCACTGTTGATGATTGAGCAAAGCAACATGACAGGTCAAACTGACATTAGAAGAAAATCATTCTTGTTTGATTTATTTATATTCATTATGCAACATATATTAATATAGCACCTATGAGGGGTCAGGCATTGTTCTTAGAGCTGAGAATACAGTAGTAAACATACCAGATAAAAATGTCTGCTCTCATGAATCTTATATTTGTGCAATTATTGTCTTGCCTTTCTATTAGCAAAAAGATTCAAATCACCATTAGAGAATTAGCTATTTAAAACAAAGTCCAGCTGATCTTTCCCATTCTATTTGATATCAAGTATTTCAAAGAGATTTCTTAATTTTAGCCATAAAGTATAAATTTCAGGCATGAAAAGATTAAGTGTTGCTAACAGCTATCCCAAATTACCCCATTTAAATTTCTTTGGATTAGAAGAAGTACTAAAAATCAATTAGTACCATATAATGGGGCCTGCATAACTATTTTATTCATTCTCTGTATTTTTTGCCTGAAACCATCATGTTTTAAAATACAGAGTCAATTGATTAAGCATGGTACATGCACCTTAATATTAACAGCACATTGAAACACACCTAGTAGTTCAGCCAGGAGCAAGACAAAATGAAAGTTCTTGAAAGCCAACTGCAGTAGTTGATAGAACTCAGATGAAGGTGACATGCCAATTATCTGTTTATTTTTCCATGATCAGAGCAGCAAAAGGCAGAAGGATGTCAGATGGATATAGATTAAAGTAAGGGACTGAAACTCTGAGGGTTAACACCTTCACGTTTTTCTTGTTCTTCCTTTGCTTTCTACTTATGTTTCTGTCTTTTTCTTTCTCCTGATGCTGCAGGAATTTGAGTGAAAGAATCTGAACTAGTCTAAAAAATACTGAGGATACTGTAAAGAAGTTTGGGGAGAAATCCAGGCAGATAAAATAAGATAACATTGTTCTGTGTAGGTTGGAATTACTCAACTTTTTAAAAAGCTCTGAAAATTATTTCAAAATGTAAACTTGCTGGAACAATTTAAACAGCCTCTCAAACTGCCTCATCATTTATGACTCCATTCCATTGAAATCGTCTCTCTAACTTGTACACCAGATTTTCTGGGTTCTCTTTTCTTAGCCTATGCTTGTAAGCATAACCATTTTCTATGGCTGTTAACATGTTGCTGATTGATCTTTTTTTAAAATCTATTACTAATATAAGAGAATAATCAAAGCTGTGGGTATACTTTAAGAGGAAGATAAAGGCAGAGAACAACACTTATTACTTAATGTGGGTGTACTTTAAGAGGAAGATAAAGGCAAAGAGAAAAACTCTTAATTAAAAGTAAGTTAATATTTTGTGTTTGAAAATGCACATGCAGTATGATTTTTATTTGCAATGACAGGAAGGATGGTATCAATCAATGGTTGTATTGATTGTGTTAGATATCTTCCATCGCATCTGCAAGTCATCTCTCCCTCTTTTCCCTTATCTGCCCTATGGGACTCTTCTGTATGGACTACTTGCTTTCTGGCTTCTAGGTGGGATTGGCCAATGGGGAGCCTTAATAGGAGATGGATGAGGTCAAGATGTTTATTCTCCTTGTTCTTTCCTTACTCTTTCCTTATAAGGTTGCCTCAGGCTGGCCTTATCAAGGCTTCAAGGGGAGGCCCTCTCAACCCAACTTCTTCCTGTAGTGTTTTGGTAACTACTCTCTTCCCTTGCTCCTTCAGGCCTAGGGATAATGGAGAACCCTGCTCTTGAGTTTCCTCTACCATGCTTACACCTCTTTAAACAGGCCCTGTGGTTTCAGATTCATTCATTCCCTGCCCCATTCTTGCCCTCTCTTGCCTTCCCCTCTTTATTCCTTTCTAGGACATCTCCAGCTTTATTTCAGCATTCACCTTCCCCATTTCCCCCCCATGAAAGGTGATATTGCACTGTAGCCTTGCAGCATATATCAGGATTAGTCTAGCAAATCATTTTAATCCTATTTATCTTTCCAATGATTGCTTTATACATGTTCATGTGACCTAGGCCTGGTCCATGAGGCCTGAGGAAAAGACTGCATTCAGAGAGTTTTGGAGGGCTTTTTCTTCCCCCCAAAAAGAGACTTGTTGAAGAAAAATCTTCCTCTTTGAGGCTAGATGCTTTTGTGTTTGTATGTGACTCCCGGAGCTGCAACTATCTTGCAGCCATGAGGAAGACATCTCTGCCATACTGTGCATGAATGAGCAGGAAGGTGGAGAATTCCCAGGTCCATACTGATGCCTTTGTGCCTCTGCACAGACTCGGAACCACCTATCTTGTTATGTGCAATTGTTTGCCCATTATTAACTAAATGATTTACAGTGACTTTTCTGTCATTTTGCAGCTCAAGGCACCCTGAAAGAATTATTTTTCTGAAGAAAGAGATCTAGAATAAAAATTTGACTTGACAAATACCACTTCAAGTTACTCTTAAAAATTGAAGGAGAAGGCTGGGTGCGGTGGCTCAACACCTATAATCCCAGCACCTTGGGAAGCCAAGGTGGGCAGATCACGAGGTCAGGAGATCAAGACCATCCTGGCCAACATGGTGAAACCCCATCTCTACTAAAATAAAAAAAAGTTAGCCAGGCATGGTGGCATGCGCCTGTAGTCCCAGCTACTCGGGAGGCTGAGGCAGGGGAATTGCTTGAACCTGGGAGGTGGAGCTTGCAGTGAGCCAAGATCGTGCCACTGCACTCCAGCCTAGTGACAGAGCAAGACTTTGTCTCAAAAAAAAGAAAAAAAAAATTGAAGAAGGAGTGGGAAGGAAATCAGTGATTATAATTCATTTCTTAATTGTGTATATACTCTTATGGCACAGACATAGGTAAGAAAAAAATATCTAACTCTAATTTCTTGGAAAATTATTTTAGACTAATAAGTGAACCTTTAATATGAAGAAATTTCAGTAATTGTACAGTAACAGTAGAAATTATCCAGCAGTGTTGTAGTCAAAGAAAATCAAAGCTCATCTGGTGTCTTAGTCTATTTAGGCTACTATAACAAAGCACTATAAATTGGATGGTTTATAAATAACAGACATTGACTTCTCACACTTTTGGTGGTTGGAAGTCCAAGATAGGGACACCAGCATGGTTGGGCTCTGGAGAGGACTCTCTTTTAGGTTGCAGATGGCTGACTTCTTTTTGTATTTTCACATAGCAAAAGGAAAGGGAATGTGCTAGCTCTCTGACATCTTGCTATAAGAGCACTAATACTATCTATGAGGGCCCCACCTTTGAGATCTAATTACCTCCCAAAGGCCCTACCTCCTAGTACCATCACATTGAGGTTAACATATCAACTATGAATTTTGGCAGTAGGGGGTAGGGCCACAAATAAATATTCAGTCCATTGCATTTGGTCTTAAAATGTTTAATCATGTATGTCATTGATTTAATCAAAACTGAGATATTTTACAAATAATTATTTCTATAGAAGGAAAAACGATTATGAGTTGCTCCTGACTGACAGACTTAAAACCTTAGTTATGAAAACAATGATCACTTTACTCTCTGGACTATGCAGGTTTTCTTTTATCTTGTCTAGAAGCCCTCTCACATTCTCTTGACCCATCAGTTCTATCAGTCTTTCATGATCATCCTCAGGGCCTGCATGCCCCAAGAAGCTTTTCCTGGTCCCTCAAAGGACTGTGCTTTTCCTTTCTTGTAAGACACAGCATGAATTCACTACTTTTATTATTATTATTATTATTATTATTATTATTATTATACTTTAAGTCCTGGGATACATGTGCAGAATGTGCAGGCTTGTTACATAGGTATACATGTGCCATGTTGGTTTGCTGCACCCATCAACCTGTCATCTACATTAGGTATTTCTCCTAATGCTATCCCTTCCCTAGCCCCCAACCTTCCAACAGGTCCCAGTGTGTGATGTTCCCCTCCCTGTGTTCGTGTGTTCTCATTGTTCAACTCCAATTTATGAGTGAGAAGATGCGGTGTTTGGTTTTCTGTTCCTCTGTTAGTTTGCTGAGAACGATGGTTTCCAGCTTCATCCACGTCCCTGCAAAGGACATGAACTCATCCTTTTTGTGGCTGCATAGTATTCCATGGTATATATGTGCCACATTTTCTTTATCCAGTCTATCATTGATGGGCATTTGTGTTGGTTCCAAGTCTTTGCTATTATGAACAGTGCTGCAATAAACATGTGTGCAAGTGTCTTTATAGTAGAATAATTTATAATCCTCTGGGTATATACTCAGTAATGGCATTGCTGGGTCAAATGGTATTTCTGGTTCTAGATCCTTGAGGAATTGCCACACTAGGAAGAATCAATATCATGAAAGTGGCCATACTTCCCAAAGTAATTTACAGATTCAATGCTATCCCCATCAAGCTACCATTGACTTTCTTCACAGAATTAGAAAAAAACTACTTTAAATTTCATATGGAACCAAAAAAGAGCCCATATA
Organism: Homo sapiens; assembly: GCF_000001405.40. Lineage (NCBI taxonomy): Eukaryota > Metazoa > Chordata > Mammalia > Primates > Hominidae > Homo > Homo sapiens. Next base: position 180,253,159 of record NC_000002.12, read on the forward strand.
GCCAAGACAATCCTAAGCAAAAAGAACAAAGCTGGAGGCATCACGCTACCTGACTTCAAATTATACTACAAGGCTACAGTAACCAAAACAGCCTGGTACTGGTACCAAAACAGATACATAGACCAATGGAACAGAACAGTGTCCTCAGAAATAACACCACACATCTACAACCATCTGATCTTTGACAAACCCGACAAAAACAAGCAATGGGGAAAAGATTCCCTATTTAATAAATGGTGTTGGGAAAACTGGCTAGCCATATGACAAAACTGAAACTGGACTCCTTCCTTACACCTTATACAAAAATTAACTCAAGATGGATTAAAGACTTAAAGTAAGACCTAAAACCATAAAAACCCTAGAAAAAAACCTAGGCAATACCATTCAATATATAGGCATGGGCAAAGACTTCATGACTAGGAGAATTCACTACTTTTTATAGTTAAGGGCATTTAGACTAACGGACCTAGAGGAATGTTCAGCTTTCTTACTTAAGGATGAAACCCAACATTTTTAATCTGGCCTGAATATTTTTCTAAGATCTGGCCCCACCAGGTTTACCAGCCTCAGTCTGTCTCACAGTGAGTGGTCTGGCCACTCAGGCCCTTCTTTCAGTTCTTCAAACACCCCTCAGCTTTCACCCTACTCTTCCCCTAGCTGGGGTTCTCTTCTCGGCATGCTCCCCTTCATCATAATAAGTCCTACTCAGCCTTCAGACCCTTGAGAATTGTTAGTTTCCCCATTCTTTGCTTTTCTAGTATTATATGCCTTTTCTGTGGCAGGAATACCTGCCTCAATTGTAGTTTTGTGCACGCGATTATATTGGAAATGTCATCTTTGGTCCTTTGAGAATCTCCTTCTTTGGGTATATTTGGGAAAAGGAGCTTTAACTCCTGGCCATTTTGAATTTGCCCAGGTGGCACTGACTTCACCACACCAAGGGCTCTTCTTTTTTACTCTCAGCAATGCCTGGGATACTACTTGCTTTGCTTCCCCTTGTGGGACTCCAGGACCACTGTCTTTTTCAGTCCTTGCTGCTAGCCTCAGTAGGAGATGATGTGAGGGAGGCCACAATTCCCTTTATTGACCTTTAACTTAATTACCCACAATCTTACTAACAAAAGGCTGTCCACGTGTAATACACTTTATTGAGGAGTTAGGGATTATCAGAGGATATTACAGTATAGGAGAAAAATACCTTGAAACTAGATGTGAAATGTCACTATTACAAAAGTTCAAAGGACGTAATTTCACATAGAGGTCCTCCTTAGAAGCAGCTTCAATTCTTAATCCTTTTTCCCAAGCTTAAGTCTGCTCTACTTCACACCTTGGAGAGTAAGATCTTTTCTTCAGACTATCATGGGACACATTTTGATCCATTTATTCAACTCCTTACTCAGAACTGCTGATCTAGTTCATAACTCTTGCCTCTCTGCCTACAAGGTTTAGCTAAAGGATGCAATTAACCACAGTAAAACATTTCTTAAAATCTGAATTCTGCCTAAAATAACACTATGGTGTCATTCTATAAGACCATTTAGAGAGTTTTTCATTTTAAGGTAGCTAACCTTAGTAGTCTTTCTACTCCTGTGAAATGAAGATATGTTTCCTTTTTCTCTTAAATCTCCTGGTAGGAACTGTTGGAACTTTTACACACACATGCACACCTTTTAGAGAAAACAGTAATTTTCATAAACTGCACAGCTTATATTCATATTAAGGAACAAAAATTTTTCTCTAAATCTAACTTAATCTGTGCAGTCTACCATCTCCTCAATGGAGATGAAAGTTCATGTAGCTAGAAGACTCTTTTCCCTTGTTTACTCTCCTGCTTTTATAAATAGATCACACTTAGAAGCTTATCAATGTGAAACAGGGCCCGTTATTGTGCCTTTCCAAACAACAAAGCTATCTACTCTTTAGGACAAGCAAACAAACATAGAAGCTTTCAATGACAGTTTTTCATGTACCTTGTGTCAACTTAAATTCCTGAGAAGGGTGCTCTTTCCCACAGGCCTGTGTAATCTAGGTATTTATCTTTTTCCCTATCTAGGACATACCCCAATCAAGAGTCTAGGAGGGAGATGGCTATTTTATTTGCACATAGGATAAAACTACTTAATATGTGTCTTTTGTGCTAAAAATTTAAACTCCTAAAGCCATAAATGGTAGCTGTTTTATTCGTGACTTAGCCCTTGGGGCTACCACAGTAGCATACCTCAATAAGTACATATGAGATGAAGAAATGGAGGAGTAAAAGAAAAAAGATTGGACCTACGAGGGACATTAGAGATCCTTCTTAATGGGGATACAAAGACACAGAGAGGTTGAGCAACTTGATTTACATCACACAGGTAGTGAGTGGAAACATTCAAAGAGGAATATAGGTTTCATAGCCAACACTTATCTCACCACATTTGACCAGAACGTTATCTAATTCACTGTCCCAGCAATGGTACATGTCACTACTCTACCCCTAACAAGGGGCTTAAGAAGCCTACTTGGAGACCTATCTGTGGGAGAGCAAAGGGACATGTCAGTTTCACAGCACCTGAAAGGCAGACAGAGTATTAAGCCAATGACTCAGATATAAGAAGAACACAGGCAGCCAATTATTACCAGACTGGGGGAGAGAAAGCCACATTTTCAAGAAGCAAGACTAGAATCTAGGTCAGATTGGAGTGTGGGGAAGAGTCCTAGGAAGGGGAAACTTCAAGTACAAAGATGCTAAAAGACAAGATGCTTGACAAGGCCAAGGAACAGCAAGGAGTCAGTGTAGATCAGGGGAGTGAACAAGTGGAATTAGCTTAGAGGTAGGCAAGGCTAATCTACTCCTCTCTCAGGGCTTTGTAGGCCAGGGCTATGTGATTTCATGGGCAATACAGGCATTTGAAGGGTCACAGACAAAGAGGAGCCATGATCTGATTTACATTTTTAAATTGTTCTGACCACAGTTTGAGGAAGGATGAGGTCACCAGGAGAAAGAACAGAAGCAAGAAAACCACTGAAAGGTGATTGCAATGGACAAGGTCAGTCCTGATAGTGGGCTTGGGCTAGGGAGGTCACCATCTCCATACATGTCACCTGTCTAGATCTGATTAGAAATAATCACTTTCTGCTCTGCCTTCCCATGTCCTTTTTGACATTCAGCCTCTTAATTTGATTGTATGTCTGTATGTCTTATGTCACCTACAAGATTATAGGTTCCCTGTCGACTTCTGCAGCCTATGTAGATTTCAGTGTAGTGCCTTGCTCAGATCAGCAGTCAGTCAAATTTTATTTGAATGTGAAGTAGCTATTTCAATAGAGATTCTCATGTGACAAATGAGTTTCATGGTCAATTAGTGGGAACTGACTACGCTTTTCGGGTTTTGCCTGAGAGAACTTTATTTAAATGTTTAAATGTAAATTAACGTTAAAAGAGAACTGTGGCACTTAGTATTTTGTCTTATATTATAGCTATATGTGTATGTAGCTTATTTCCCCTACTAGATCATGAGCTACTTGAAGGCAATTTACTGTATTTTGTTCATAATTTTATACCTCAGTACACATAGTTGAGTATTCAATAGATACGTATTTATTAGGTTAGATCTAGGGAAATATTTTTGCAATGTATGTTGGTTGCAGCTAGGAATGGTTTGCTGCTCTCTTAATGACTAGAACATAATCACATCCATGGAGCCACAATATCTGTTTGGTTACCTAATAAACCTCTCAGCTATTCTCATGGCTGTTACTAAAGAAGGGACATTGGCAGTGAGCACTGAAAACCTAAGGAAGGTCTGGTACTGGAAGTTGCTTTTTTACTTGCTTTTTTCATCCTTGCATGTCCACAGCTTACTTTCTTTTAGCTTTGATTCTTCCTAATGTGTCTGCTTGTTCCCTGTGTCAGTAATAATAAACTGAAAGTAACAGTAGCATGTTTAATTTGTGGTCTTGTTCACTGAAATAAGGTTCAGTAGATAAATGGGAAGACGATGGGGTAGCAGGGGACAGGAGGGAAATAAACAGCTACTTGTGGGCAAACAATGAGTTGGAACAAAAGATTCAAAGTCTTCACTGATGTGAAAGTCAGCAGAAAAATGACAAAACCTAAAAGGAACAAATCCAAGAAAGGGTTTATCTTCCCTCTTTCGCTTTGGTCCTCCCCCTACCTTTACCCAATTAACCTGATAGAGAGTCAGGGAGATGAGGAAGGCATTGAACAGTTGATAGAAGGAATAAAACTGATAACTAACACTGGCTGAGTGTGTACTGAGGTCCAGGGATTAGTCAATGCACTTTTTTTTTTTTTCTGGAGAGAGAGTCTCACTCTTGTTGCCCCGGCTGGAGTGCCATGATGCAATCTTGGCTCACTGCAACCTCCGCCTCCTGGGTTCAAACAATTCTCCTGCCTCCGCCTCCCTAGTAGCTGGGATTACAGGCGCCTGCCACCATGGCTGGCTAACTTTTGTATTTTCAGTAGAGACAGGGTTTCACCATGTTGGCCAGGCTGGTCTCAAATTCCTGTCCTCAGGTGATCCACCCACCTCGGCCTCCCAAGGTGCTGAGAGCTACCGCACCTGGGCTATGTACTTTTAATGCATGAAGTCATTTAATCCTCACAACAACTTTATGAAAGAGGTGCTATTATCATGCTTATTTTACAGATGAAGAAGCTGAGGGACAGAGGTAATTTACTAATGGAACTTTCCCAAAGTCAAGAGAAATTGAGAGGAATTTCAAGACATGTGGTCCAGAGCTATTTATATCCATGTAAAGATAGAAAGAAAAATTGATTATAGATTCCAGAAGAGTACCTTGAGATTTATTTCCTCCTCCTGGATCTCTTCCTTGAACAAAGTCTGTTACTAAACACTGACACCATGCTATAGTTTAGTAGGATGAGAAAATGCTTCTGGTTGCAGTTATCTCTATTGTACTCCATAAATTATACAGGTCTTTTCTGAGGCAGCCTATTTAAACATGTTGACTTACCCTTCTTGTAAAATGTTTATAGATATGATTTGCTACAGGGAACTATTTTAAAGACTCCAGGCACTGTTGGGAACTATTAAAACAGCTAACTATAAACTAGTTACTAGGGGTATGGAAATTAGAGTCTTTGAGGGTCAGGTAACAATCACCACCACAAACCAGAGGGAAGATAAGACATAACAAAGTAAGAAGAAAAATCCAAATATTTAAATAGCAAATTTGACAGGATACAGGCACTTACATGGCAGCCTAAGAAAACCTGTCATGGGATAGAACAAGAATTTATTATAGCTGAAGTAGGCCAAATGCAAACACACTGTTGTCTTAAAAAAATTAAAAGGACTAACTCAAATATCAATGAAGGAAGACAAATATGCACACAGGGAAGACATACAATTCGGTCACGTCAGTATCCCTGCTCTGCAAAAGCTGTTAAGTCACAGATTTAACAAGCCAAGGTGAATTGGGGCTCTAAATTCACACATACTCTAGAATTATACTACAATAGCTGTCCAAGTGTTAAGTATCATTTAAAGATGCAAACCCAAAATCCTAGAGGGAAAGTGTTCACTTCTTTAGCATAAATAAAATGGAAATAACTTACTGATTAAAATGATAGCACCACTGGGCTTAATGTAATGCATGTCCATTTTTTGAAAAAAAAAAAAAAAAAAAAAAAAAATGGCGTTTAAGATTGGTCCAGAGAGGAGGAGATGAGTGAGATTCAAACAAACATTTCTTGAGCTTAAGTGCTTACTATTTAAATAAGTATTATCAACCTTACTCTAAATTTTGGAAAACTGGGATGTAGAGATGTTAGAAAAAGAGAGAGGAAGGAAGGAGGGAAGGGAAACATTTTCTTGAGGTCATAAAGTTGGCATATGATAGAGTCAGACTGACACACAGACTAGTATACAGTTATGCACCCCAAAATGATATTTTGATCAATGAAGTACCACGTGTATGACAGTGGTTCCATAAGGTTATAATACCGTATTTTTACAGAGCCTTTTCTAGTTTTAGATATACAAATGCCATTGCATTACAATTGCCTACAGTATTCAGTACAGCAACATGCTGTATAGGTTAATAGCCTAGGAGCAATCGGCTAACCCATATAGCCTAGGTATGCAGTACAGTATAACCATATAAGTTTGTGGAAGTACACTCGATGACATTTGTATACAAGAAAATCACCTAACAATGCCTTTCGTAGAATGGATTCCTGTCATTAAGTGGGGCATGACTGTAATTCTTTCTACTACACCACTCTCTTATTTAACAAATGCTCAAATAGATTAAAGGAAAATCTGTTGAAATCCATGTTATCAACAGAGGTCAGACCCTCATAGAAATGTAAACTCTCAACCCAGCAATGAAAAAAAAGAGCATTTTTTTCTACTGTTACTAATAATAGATACAGGCTGGTGTTTTCCAGTGGATTGAGAAGATAATAAAAAATGAAGACTAAATGACATTTTAGTCACTTGTGATCACTTTGGGGAGCAAATTCTGTACAGAAGTACCTCAGAGATATTATGGGTTCAGTTCCAGACCACTGCAACAAAGCAAACATTACAATAAAGTGATTCACACAAAGTTTTTGGTTTCCCTGTACATATAAAAGTTACATTTGTATTATGTTGTAGTTCATTAAGTGAACAACAGCACTATGTCTAAAAAACAATGTACATACTTGAATTAAAAATACTTTATTGCTGTAAAATGCTAACAATCATCTGAGCTCTCAAGAAGGTGAAATTGAACAGCTGATGGAATAAAATTTCTTGTTAGTAGAGAGTCTTGCCTCAATGTTGATGGCTGCTGACTGATCAGGGTGGTGGTTGCTGAAGGTGGCCATGATAATTTCCTAAAATAAGATATTCTAATGAATTTAGTGTATCAATTGACTCCTCCTTTCATGAAAGATTTGTCTGTAGCATGTGATGCTGTTTGATAACATTTTACTCACAGTAGAACTTCTTTCAAAATTGTAGTTAGTCCTTTTAAACCCTGCCACTGCCTTATCAGTTAACTCCTGTTAATGTTGATATTTTTAACCTCTCCTATGAATCACGTGTGTTCTTTATGACGTCTAGATTGGTAAATCCTTTCCAGGAGGTTTTCAATTCACTTTGCCCAGATCCATCAGAAGAATCACTATTTATATCAGCTATAGCCTTACAAATGTTTTTGTAAATTATAGGACATGAAAGTTAAAAATACTGCTTGATCCAGGGGCTACAGAATGAATGTTGTGTTAGCAGGAATGAACAACATCCTTGTACACCTCCATCAGAGCTTTTGGGTGACCAGATGCATTGTCAATGAGCAGTAACACTTTGAAAGGAAATTTTTTCTCTAAGCAGTAGTTCTCAACAGCGCACTTAAAGTATTCAGTAAAACATTCCATAAACAGATGTGCTGTCATCTAGGCCTTGTCATTTCATTTATAGAGCACAGGCAGAGTAGATTTAGCATAATTCTTAAGGGCCCTAAGATTTTCAAAGGGGTAAATAAGCATTGATTTCAACTTAAAGTCACCAGCCGCATGAGCCCCTAACAAGAGAGTCAGCCAGTTCTTTGTAGCTTTGAAGCCAGGTATTGATTTCTCCTCTCTAGCGACAGCTGTCCTGGATGGCATCTTTTCCCAATAGAAGGTTATTTCATGTAAACTGTTTGGTGTAGCTACCTTCATCAATGATCTTAGCTTGAGCTTCTGGGTAACTCACTGCAGCTTCTTTATCAGTACTTGCTGCTTCAAGTTGCACATCTGTGACATGGAGATGATTTCTTTCCTTAAACCTCGTGAATAAACCTTTGCTAGCTTGAAACCTCTTTTCTACAGCTTCTTCACCTCTTGCAGCCTTCATAGAATTAAGAGAGTTAGGGTCTTGCTGTGGATTAGGCTTTGGCTTAAGGGAATGACGTTTGTATACAAGAAAATCACCTAACAATGCCTTTCTCAGAATGAATTCCTGTCATTAAATGGGGCATGACTGTAATTCTTTCTACTACACCAGTAGAAAACAAAATAAGCCTGTTTTGTTTTCTTATCAGTCATGTGTTCACTGGAGTAACACTTTCAATTTCCCTCCAGAACTTCTCCTTTGCCTTCACAACTTAACTATTTGGTGCAAGAGGCCTAGCTTTCAGCCTCTCTTGACTTTCCACTTGCCTTTCTCACTAAGCTTAATTATTTCTAGCTTTTGATTCAATGTGATGGATGTTTAATTCTTTCTTTCACTTGAATACTTAGAGGTCATTTTGGGTTATTAAGTGACCTAATTTCAATGTTGTTGCATCTCAGGGAATAGAGAGGTCAGAGAAGAGGAAGAGAGAGGAACAGCCTGTTGGTGGAACAGTCAGAACATAACATTTATTAAGTTTTCCATCTTATATGGGTGTGGTTCTTGGCACTCCAAAACAATTACAAAAGTAACATTGAAGATCACTGATTATAGATCACCATAACAGATATAATAATGAAAAAGTTTGAGATATTGCAGAAATTACTAAAATGTGACACAGAGACATGAGGTGAGCCCACGCTTTTGAGAAAATGGTACAAACAGACTTTCTGGACACAGAGTTGTTATAAACCTTCAATTTGTAAAAATAAAAATGCAATACCTATCAAGTGCAAAAGAGTGAAGCACAATAAAATGAGGTATACCTGTATTTCTTCTAATTTTTGTTAAAAGTTCTTCAAAATCCCACAGTTCAGCTCATATTTGGCTTCTAAGGTTGCTATAAACTATTTCCAGTTGAAAAGAATGTAGCCCGATTTCTCTTGTTCCTCTTTTCTCCCCCATATTACATTCACCTGTACCTGTGAATCACAAGTGTGTGTTTGTGTGTGTGTATGTGTGGTGTGTGTGTGTGTGTGTGTGGAGGGGTGGGAAGGAATAAGGAAGGAGAAGTTCTGCCTCTTAACCTATTGGAAAGTGGTGGTGAACTGAATTTGTGGTCCTTCTTATCTAAAAATTTTTGCTCCTTCATCTATCTGTGGCTCCGCAGCTGGTTTCCAAATGTTTTTCTTCTATATCATCTTTTTTCCTTTGGGTGTTCTAAAAGGGGCCTCTCTTTGTGCATTTCCTTGGTCATATGGCTCTATTGAGACTCCTGCCTCTTCCCTCCCACTCCACTGTGAATATTTCTTTTCTCCCCACACCCCCAACTCCACAGATAGGAATCCATCCCCTATTGCTTTGGGCTTGGTGTGCATCCATTTCAGTGGGCCCTCTCTTGAAGATGGTCTTAAGCCTTGGCAACCTTGCATGGTACACTTGTACATGTACATAGTTTTCCTACTCTGAGTATTTGAAATGCCTTCCCACCAGAAGAGAGAAAGAGAATAATTTGATGACTTTAGATATTGTTATAATCACATCTTCATATTACCATGTTAGTAATCAAGAGTTAGTATTAGACTTGGAAGAATATATTAAGCTTGGATGAATACATTGCTGAAAAATTCCACATTATGGCCACCACTGGATTTCCCAAAATGTGCTCTGAAAAGAGAGTGTTTTCCTAGTCATTCTTACCTGTTATCTCTATAATTAATCTGCTTATTAATATTTGGACATGTTTTCTTCTTTTCTCTTCCCTTTAGGACTTAAGGGGGTACTTTTGGAAAGAAGAAGCAAAGCCTAAGATAACGTTCCAGTGGTTATGAATGTCTCTGTTCTTGTTGTGACAGTTCTGGGAGTTTGGGTTCAAGTAGAAAGTTACAGTCTTTTTCATATAATTATACAAACTCTGCCCTCAAAATGTTAGATATTGGGGATGAAAAGACACCGCGAGACAGAAGTCAGAAATGCACTAATTCTTACTACCTGTGCTGCATCATTTTTGCCTGTCTTTATAGATTCTAATAATTATAGCCCATAGCACCACCTTGACTGACACTTGAAATATATTGCTCTTCATTTAACCAGCAACTGAGATCTAGTTCTGAATGTTCATTGGAAAAAAATAACTTTGAATTCACTGATGCTCAATATTTATCAAAAGCTTAACTAATTTTAAAAATATTTTAGGGAGATTACCTGATGGATACAGGTCTGTCTCTTTTTCTAGACACTCCAAAATCTATCTCTAGATGAAGCCAGGTTACAGGAGAGCTGGGTACACACACTAATGCCGTGTTTTGACTCCCTATACAGTTGCTTGTTTCTAAATGACATCATTTGGTTCTATTGACTGATGGATGATGATGTGGGAAAAACACCCTTCTGAAAATTGGTGCTAGAATTCTTGGAAGGTATTATTGAAAATTTTGTCCTCTTTGCAAGGACCCATGGAAAAACTTACCCTGTAATCTATCAAGAATAATCATCTTTGTAATTCCACCTCCACATGGTAAAACTGTTCCTCAATTTGTGTGATGATAGTCTTTTCAGCCTGTGCTTAGGGAGTCCTACAGGGCCTCTCCTGCTCCTGCTAACATATATTGCTGCCAGTCTACTCTAAGAAGAAGGCTATCTTAGATGGAACCCCCAGAAGCTAACCCTGAGAAAAGCTTCAAGAACAAGCGATTTTTTAAAGAAGTCTTTGCAAGAAAAACTGGTTCTTTACCAGTTTTTTCTTTACCCACTTCTTTAGTGGGAGAAGAAGGAGAGGGGAATGGAAGAAGCCAAGAAAAGGGACAATTTTAGGAAAAGCAGGATCATTTCAGCTTGCTCCTGCAGGAAAGCTGTGGAATATAAATTAAGTCCTGTAACTTTACTTGAAGCAAGGGAGCTGAGTTTTCATGCTCCTATACCAGTTAGGGACTGGAAAAGGCTGCCTGGTGAGAATGAAAAGTCTAGGCACTTCCAGCTCTGCCAAGTGGCTCCACTAGCTACTAGCTCAACAGCAAGTCCCTGAAGAGAGATGAAGATGCCAACTCTGAAAAGCAAAGCAAAAAAAAAAAAAAAAAAAAAAAGGAATGGGGCACCAGAAGGAAGTGTGCTAAAGGAATCCCAGAGGACCCAGGCAGAACACTGACAATATCTGCTTTGGGGACTATAATTAAAACTGACTACACATCTTCCCCTAAGAATATCAGGACCAATTCCATCATGTATTACATTTGTCTCTTTTAGGTTATTCCCGGAAAAATTTTTTTACCAGCATATTTTCTATGCATCTCCTAATATGACTCAAACTTGTATACTTCCCCAACCACTCCATGACCGTTCATTGTTCCTCTGGAACTTGGCAAACATCCCTATATCTCCAACCTTATCCTTCACCACAGTCCTCTAATTTATACTTATTTCTCAGTATGAAACCTGTCACCCCTGAGAGTTCCGGTTTCTCTGAAGCCTTTTCAAGGATGGCTGTCATTTCCCCCAGACTTGGAGAGGGAGCAGGGGTTCTCCTGGCTCCATATTGTCAATTTGGGACCGCTTCTTCCATTCTTCTACTCCTGAAAAATCCCTGATTCCATAAATGGCATTCCATTGGACTTGACCACCTTCAGTTCTTCCTTGTTATAATTTTCTTCTGATCTCTTAGTTCATTGGTTCTCAAACATGGCTGGACTGACTTTTTTGTTTTTGTTTTTAAATTAATGCCTGGGTCCTAACCTTAGGGATTCTAGTGTGGTTAGCCTGGGCATTAAGACTTATAAAAGCTTCCCGAGTGATTCTAACATGCAGCAAAGTTTCAGAGCTAGTGTCTTAATCATTTCTTCTCATTTGTTGAAGAATTTTAGCACCCGTTTCTCTTTAACAGTAAATAGTCATCATTCTCATTGATTCCAGTGCCCATGTTAATCAATTATTCTCTACTATATCATACTCAATACCGCCCCATGACAAATATAATTTTCCCTTTACTATCTTGAAATAAATTTCATAGATAATATCATCTACCAGCATGCATAATATTTAAAAGTCAATATAATTACCTAATTATGAGAAAAAAATGTATAATAATATATACTTTACTATGTGACTGCTCAGTAAAACTATACCAGAAGACATAAACAAATAGCAATCTGCTTGCAAATATATAGAAGTGCAGACTGATGTGGTCATATTATAATGGAGAATTAAATACTATGCCATCAGTAATATAATTTTCTGAAATAATAAATTTCTTTGGTAAATTTCCAAATAAATTAATACAACCTTCCTTTGATTTACATATTATTTGCATTTATGAAAAATGTATATTAAATCTTTGAAACTATACCATATGTAAATTAGGTTCCAACCTCAGATAAAAACTGGCAATTTTTTCCCCCAATTATATGAATGCCCAGTGAGCCCTTTCAAAATCTTCAGGACATGGAGCAATTCTTTAATTGGGACCATCCACAATATAGAAGGACTTCTGGCATTCCTTGTTTCTACCCACTAAATGTCAGGGGCATGCTCCCAATTATTATGAAAGCTAAAAAGAGCCTCACAAATTTCTAAAATACCTTGAATGGGGAGGAATTATCAAATTGAAAATCACTGACATTGACTATTCACAGCCCCTCAGGCCTCTGAGTTGCCAAATTTCCCTGATCCTGTTACCTCATTAGCCTCTCCTTTTTTGGATCCTCCTGTCTTTCATGAGCTGTGTATCAGTCAGTCCCATCAGGTTTAACCAGGGGCTTAGAGTTTTACTTAGGGGCTCTTTAGAGAATAGCTTAGTGTATAGGTTAGTGGAAGGAGTAGAGAATGGTGAAGCACCTGGGGGTTAGTATCAGCAGGAAGCTGTTACCATCCTGAGGCCTGATGGTGCAAGGGAGGAAATGCTGTAATTGGAACTGGAGAAAGACCTCAGAATCATAAGAAAAGAGGCTCATGCACAGGAGTAGGAACAGCCATGTTTGCGGAGAGGTGGAAAGTGGGGTAGCTAAATATTCATGATTTGTTTTCCACTTGCTAATCTACTGATGATGCTGTCTGTTTGCTGATTTCTAAGAAGAAGGAGGGAAGGGATGAAGGTCTGTAGAGTTCAGCCTCCTGGGGCACAGAGCAGAGAAGAAAACAGTGGAGAATGGTTTGAGGGTCTAGCATGGCAAACTCATCCAGGTTTGCCTAGGACTCTCTTGTTTTAGCACACACAGTTCTGAATCTAGGAAAGCTCCACAGTCCTGGGCAAATTGGAATAATTGATCACGCTAGAGGAAATTTTTTTGCAAAGAGAAAAATAAATCACCGACCTCTGAATGTTGAAATGCCCCTAGGACTCAGCCCTTAGATACGATCTCTTCAGTATCTACACTCTCCTCCTATAATCTTATCTAGTTATATCTAAAATTTAAATGAATATTTATATACTATTAGGTAGTTATCCCCATAAGAGAATGTGGTGGCCAAGACAAGAGTGACACCAGAGGAGGTGAGAGATGAAAACGAACATTCACAACACCTACATTTATGTCTCAGTCTTGACTTCTTTCCTCTTAAAACCTGTATATCGGCCGGGTGCGGTGGCTCATGCCTATAATCCCAGCACTTTGAAAGAATTAGCCGGGCATGGTGGCAGACGCCTGTAGTCCCAGCTACTCGGGAGGCTGAGGCAGGAGAATGGCGTGAACCCGGGAGGCGGAGCTTGCAGTGAGCCGAGATCGCGCCACTGCACTCCAGCCCCGGCGACAGAGCGAGACTCCGTCTCAAACAAAACAAAACAAAACAAAACAAAACAAAACAAAACAAAACCCTGTATATCCTCGTGCTTCTTGAACATGTTCATTTAGATATCTGGTAGGCATGTCAAAATTAATGTTTTGACTTTGCTTCCTAAACCTGCTTCTTTCCTAAATATCTTCCTCTCAATAAATTACTTATTTATCTCATCACTTATTTACTCCAGATTAAAAACTGAGGGGTCTTCCTAGATGCCTCTTTTTTCTTCACACTCCACATCTAATCCACGTGCAAGCCTTCTTTGCAATACATCTCTCACCTCCACTGGTATCACTCTTGTCTTGGCCGCCGCATTCTCTTATTGCCGCCGCATTCTGTTATTGGAATAACTTTGTACATCATCTTCTTGCTTCATCTCTTGCCAGCCCACAGGCCATTCTCCATATACAAGCTACAGGGATTCTTTTAGTATATAAATCAGATTATATCTTTTTTTTGTTTAAAATCTTCAGTTGCTTATTGTCAACCAGAATGAAATCTACTTTATTCATGTCTTTGCTCAAATGTCACCTCCTCAAAGATGTTTTTTTTTTGACTGCAGAATCTAAAATAACTATGCCTTGTATTTAAGTTACCCTGTATTCCATACCTTAATTTGCTCCTATCATTTATTATTATCTGGTATTACAGTATAGGTTCTTTTATGTATTATTTGCCTCCTTCACTAGTATGCAAACTCCAAAAGACAGGAATGGTTCAGCACTATACTGATAGCTTTTGTTTTATTTTATTGTATTGTATTTTTGCAGTTTAAGGATTTTTTTTCCAACTTTTATTTTAGATTCAGGCGATACATGTGCAGATTTGTTATCTAGTTACATTGCATGAAGCTGAGGCTTAGAGTGTGGATGATCCTGTCACCCAGGAACTGAGCATAGTACCCAATAGTTTTTCAACCCTCCCCCCAGCTTCCCTCCATCTTCTAGCAGTCCCCACTGTCTAATGTTATCATATTTATGTTTATGAGTACCCAATATTTAGTTTCCACTTGTAAGTGAGAACATGTGGTATTTGGTTATCTGTTTCCGTGTTAATTTACTTAGGATAATGGCTTCCAGCTGCATCCATATTGCTGCAAAGGACATGTTTTTTTTATGGCTGTGTAGTATTCCATGGTCTATGTGTACCACATTTTCTTTATCTAGCACATTGTCGATGGGAACCTAGGTTGACTCCATGTCTTTGATATTGTGAATAGTGCTGTGATGAACATGCCAGTACCTGTGTCTTTTTGGTAGAAGGATTTGTTTTCTTTTGGATATATACCCAGTAATGCGATTGCTGGATGGTGGTTCTGTTTTACGTTCTTTAAGACACCTCCAAACTGCTTTCCATAGTGGATGAACTAATTTGCATTTCCACTATCAGTGTGTAAGTGTCCTCTTTCTCCGCAGACTTGCTAGCATCTGTTGTTTTTTGACTTTTTGATAACAACCATTCTGACTAATGTGAAATGGTATCTCATTGTGGTTTTGCTTTGCATTTCTCTAATGATTGGTGATGTGGAGCACTTTTTAAATATGTTTGTTGGCTGTTTGTATGTCTTCTTTTGAGAAGATGTTCATTTCTTTTGCTCATTTTCAATGAGGTTACTTTGTTTTTTGCTTGTTCAATTGTTTAAGTTCCTTATAGATTCTAGATATTAGATCTTTGTCAGATGAATAGTTTATGAATATTATCTCCCACTCTGTAGGTTGGTCTGTTTGCTCTGTTGATAGTTTCTTTGGCTGTGCAGAAGCATTTTAGTTTAATTAGGATCCATTTGACATTTTTTTGTTTGTTTTTATTGCAATTGTTTTTAAGGACTTAGTCTTAAATTATTTTCCAAGGCTGATGTATGGAGTTATGTTTCCTAGGTTTTTTTCTAGGTTTAAAAATTTTTCTCTGCTTTATTTTTTGAGAAAAAGCTTTTTAGACTTCTTTTGAAATCGATGGCACTGACCTCATATTAAAGTTTGACCTTCAAAGGCAAATGAGGTGGTGGTTATGTTTAAATGGGGAAAGTCCAAGGGTTTGATGGCTGTGCAGAAACTGCTATGCATGTTCAGATATTTCCATATAATTTAGGCAAGATTGGAGAAGAGAAAGAAAACTGCATGGCTTTTCTAAACAATAGCAATTTTTTTGTAGTCTCTTTTTAATTTACTTGTTTGGGTCAGAGAGGGGATGTGGCGTGCTGGTTAAGGGTACCAACCTAGGAGTCTGAATCAGTTCTTGGATTTACAAGCTCTGTGACCTTGGGCAAGTTACTTAGCCTCTCTTTGCCTATTTCCTCATCAGTAAAATGAAGGTGATAAGAGCATATACTTCACAGAATTATTGTGAAGATTAAGTAAATAAAAATATTAAAATGCTTAGAGTAATACTTGACATATTATACATGATTCATGTGTGAGCTATATTATTATTATCTGTAAAATACCATCAACTCTCCCTTCCAAACTGCCTTTGTAAATACAACATTCCTGAGAACATGTGTCTTATAAAGTCATGCTACATTATGCAATGTTAAATACATATTTTCTTGTACATCAAGGAAAACTGACAGGCCTTGAGGTTGACTTTATAGTTGGAAAGTGTCCCTTCTATCACCTTCTACAATTCTTATAGTTTGAAGTCTTACATTTAAATCTTCAATCCATCTTGAGTTTTTTTATTTTTTAATTTTATTTTTTTGAGACAAGGTCTTGCTCTGTCTCCCAGACTGAAGTGTAGTGGCACAATCTTGGCTCACTGCAACCTCTGCCTCCCAGGCTCAGACGATCCTGCCTCAGCCTGCTGAGTAGCTGGGACTTCAGGATGTGCCACCATGCCTGGCTAATTTTTGTAGGGACAAGGTTTTGCCATTTTGCCCAGGCTAGTTGAACTTCTGGACTCAAGTGATCCGCCTGCCTTGGTCTCCTGAAATGCTGGTATTAAAGACATGAACCACTGTGCCTGGCCGAGTTAATTTTTGTATGTGGTGAAAGGTTAGGGGTCCACTTTCATTCTTTTGCATATGGCTCACCAGCTATCCCAGCACCATTTATTGAATAAGGGATCCTTTCCTCATTGCTTATTTTTGTCAACTTTGCCAAAGATCAGAAGGCTGTAGGAGTGCAGCTTTACTTCCCAGTTCTCTATTCTCTTCCTTTGGTCTATATGTCTGTTTTTGTACCAGTACCATGCTATTTAGGTTACTGTAGCCTTATAGTCAGGTAGTGTGATGCCTCCAACTTTGTTCTTTTTGCTTAAGATTACTTTGGCTATTTAGGCTCTTTTTTGGTTCCATATGAATTTTAGACTAGTTTTTCCCAATTCTGAGAAAAATTACGTTGGTAGTTTGAAGGAAAAAATGTTGAATCTGTGGATTGTGTGAGCAATATAGCCACTTTAATAATAATGATTCTTCCAGTCCATGAGCATGGAATATTTTCCATTTGTTTGTGTAACCTATTATTTCTTTCAGAAGTATTTTGTAGTTCTCTTTGTAAAGATCTTTCACCTCCTTAGTTAGATGTATTTATAGGTATTTTATGTGTGTGTGTTTGTGTGTGTGTGTTTGTATACTCATAAAGGGATTGTGTTCCTAATTTGGTTCTCAGCTTGAATGTTCTTGGGGTCTAAAATGCTACTAATTTTTGTGTATTGATTTTGATTTTATGTCCTGAAACGTTCTTTACTGCACTCATTTATAAGTTCCAGTAGCCTTTTGATAGATGGAATCTTTAGGTTTTCTAGGTATAGAATAATATCACTTGTGAAGAGAGATAGCTTGACTTCTTTTCCTATTTGGATGACTTTTATTTATTTTTCTTGTCTGATTGCTCTGGCTGATAGCTTTTAGATCTGTACTTTCACCTTTCATACAGCACTCAAGGACTATTTGTTGAGTAAGTGAGATAATGTTATTTTTAAAATTATAACTATAAGTTGTGAAACAGACTTCATTTCCTTCTTTCTGTGGGATGCTATCAAATCTGCACAGATAAATTTTTTGCATCTCTTTAACAAAGATATTGTGCTTTATTTTTGTGTTTATTTTGTTAATTTTTAATTTTTCTGGGTCCATTGTAGGTGCATATATTTGTGGGGTAGATGAGATATTTTAATACAGGCATGCAAAATGTAATAATTACACCATTGTAAATGGGGTATACATCTCCTCAAGCATTTATCTTTTGTGTTTCAAGCAATCAAATACTTTTAGATATTTTAAAATGTACAGTAAAATTGTTTTGGATTATAGTCACCTTGTTATGCTATCAAATACTAGGTCTTCTTTAGTCTTTTTAACTATTATTTGTATCCATTAACCATCCTCAACTTCCATCTACCTCCTCCTACCCTTCCCAGCCTCTGGTAACCATCCTTCCACTCTCTGTCTCCATGAGTTCAGTTGTTTTTATTTTCAGATCCCACAAATAAGTGAGAACATGAGATGTTTGTCTTTCTATGCCTGGCTTATTTCTCTTAATAAAATAACCTCCAGTTTCATCCATGTTGTTGCAAATGACAGAATCTTATTCTTTTTTATGGCTGAATAGTACTCCATTGTGCATAAGTACCATATTTACTTTGTCCATTCATCTACTGATGGACATTTAGATTGCTTCCATGTCTTAGGTATTGTGAACAGTGCTGCAACAAACATAGGAGTGCAGATATCTCTTTGGCATACTGATTTCTTTCCTTTTGGGTCTATACTCAGTAGTGGGATTGTTGGATTGTATGATAGCTCAATTTTTAGTTTTTTGAGTAACCTCCAAACTATTTTCCATAGTGGCTATACTAATTTACATTCCCACCAACAGTGTATGAGAGTTTCCTTTTCTCCACATCCTCTCCAACATTTCACATTTTGCCTGTCTTTTGGACAAAGGCCATTTTAATTGGTGTGAGGTGATATCTCATTGTAGTTTTGATTTGCAGTTCTCTGATAATAAGTGATGTTAATACCTTTTCCTATTTGTGTCATGTGTATGTCTTCTTTTGAGAAATGTCAGTTCAAATCTTTTGCCTATTTTAAAATCAGATCATTAGATGGTTTTCCTTTAGAGTTGTTTGAGCTCCCATTTTCTATCATTTTGTAGGTTGTTTCTTAATTTTGTTAATTGTTTTCTTTGCTGTACAGAAGCTTTTTAACTTTGTGTGATCCTATTTATTCATTTTTGCTTTGGTTGCCTGTGCTTGTAGGGTGTTACACAAGAAAGTTTTGCCCAGACTAATGTCCTAGGGATTTTCCCCACTCTTCTCTTTATGATAATACTGGAGAAATATCTTCATGTCCTTCATGTTCTTAAGGGATATTAGCCTGCAGTTTTATTTTATTGATGTGTCTTTGGTTTTAGTATCATGGTAATACTGTCCTTTTAGAATGACTATGAAAATATTCTATTTTCCTTTATTTTTTGGAACAGTTTGAATAGAATTGGCATTAGTTCTTCTTTAAATGTTGGGTAAAATTCAGTGGTGAAGCCATTAAATTTTCTTTTAGTAGTTTCATAGTTTGAGATCTTAGATTTAAGTCGTTAATCCATTTTAATTTTATTTTTGTATATGGTGAGAGATAAGGGTCTAATTTTATTCTTTTGCATATGGACATCTAGTTTTCCCAGCACCACTTACTGAAGACACTGTCTTTTTCTTAGTGCATGTCTTTGGCAACTTGGTTGAAAACGAGTTCACTGTAGGTATGTTTCTGGTTTCACTATAAGTATTTGTTTCTGGGTCCTCTATTCCTTCCCATTGATTTATGTGTCTTTTTTTTATGCCAGTGACATGCTGTTTTGGTTACTATAGCTCTGTAGTATAATTTGAAGTTAGGTCATGTGACCCATTCAGTTTTGTTTTGTTTTGTTTTTTGCTCAGGAAAGCTTAGGCTATTCTGGATCTTTTGTGGTTCCATATACATTTTAGGATGTTTAAAATTTCTGTGAAGAATGTCATTCATATTTTGATAGGAATTTCATTGAATCTGCAGATTGGTTTGGGTAGTATAAACATTTTAACAATATTGATTCTTCCAATCCAGGAACATGGAATAGAATATCTTTTCATTTTTCCATCTCCTTTTCAAATTTACTTCAATAATGTTTTATAGTTTTCATTGTAGACATCTTTCCCTTTTTTGGTTAATTCCTAGGTATTTAATTTTGTCTGTGGCTATCTTAAATAAGATTACTTTTTTGGTATCTTTTTCAGATTGTTCACTGTTGGCATAAAGACATGCTACTGATTTTTGTATGTTGATTTATTTATCCTGCAACTTTGCTGAATTTGTTTATCAGTTCTAACCTATTTTTGTGGAGTCTTTAGATTTTTCTAAATATAAGTTTATACTATCTTCAAACAAGGATAATTTGACTATTTTCTTTTCCCATTGGATACCCTTTAGTTCTTTCTCTTGTCTGATTGCTCTAGCTAAGAGTTCCAGTACTATATTGAATAACAGTGGTGAAAGTGGGCATCCTTGTTGTGTTCCAGATCTTAGAGGAAAAGTCTTCAATTTTCCCCTGTTGAGTATGATGATAGCTGTGGCTTTTATTATGTTGAAGTATGTTCCTTCTATACCCAATGTTTTTAGGGTTTTATCATGAAGTGATGTTGAATGTTATCAAATGCTTTTTCAACATCAATTGAAATATCAAATCGTTTTTGTTCTTCATTCTGTTGATATGATGTATCACATTGATTGATTTGCATATGTTGAAACATCCTTTCCCTGGATAAATCCCACTTTGTCATAATGAATGATCTTTTTAATATGTTGTTGAATTTGGTTTGCTAGTATTTTGTTGAGGAATTTTGCATCAATGTTCTTCAGGGATAATACTAGCCTGTAGTTTTATTTTGTTGTTGTATCTTTGTCTGGTTTTGGTATCATGGTAATGCTGGCCTTGTAAAATGAAAGTATTCTTTTCTCCTGTATTTTTTGGAACAGTTTGAGTCAGATTGGTATTAGTTCTTTATTAAATGCTTGGTAAAATTCAGCAGTGAAGCCATCAAGTCTCAGGCTTTTCTTTGCTGGGAGTACAGCTTTGATTTCATTACTTCTTGTGTGTTCAGGTTATGGATTTCTTCACGGTTGAATCTTGATAGGTTGTATGTGTCTATAAATTTATCAGTTGCCTCTAGATTTTCCAGTTTATTGGCATAAAGTTGCTCCTAGTAGCCTCTAATGATTCTTTGAATTTCCGTGGTGTCAGTTGTAATGTCTCTTTTTTTTTCCATCTCTGAATTTATTTATTTGGGTGTTCTCCCTTTTTTTATCCCATTGGTCTGGTTAAAGGTTTTTAAATTTTGTTTATCTTTTCAAAACACTAACTTTTTGTTTGATCCATTGTATTGTTTTCTTCATTTCAAATTCATTTATTTCTACCCTGATCTTTATTATTTCTTTTCTTCTACCAATTTTGGATTTAGTTTGCTCTTGCTTTTCTAGTTCTTTAAGATGCATCCTTTGGTTATTTATTTCAAGTTTTTCTTCTTTTTGATGTGGGCACTTATATCTATAAGTTACTCTCTTTGTACTGCTTTCACTGTATCCCATATATTTTGGTATGTTGTGTTTCCATTATTATTTGTTTTAAGAAATTTTTCAATTTCCCTCCTAATTTATTCATTGACCCACTGGTCATTCAAGAGCATATTGTTTAGTTTCCATGTAATTGTATAGTTTCCAAAATTTCTCATTTTTGATTTCTAGTTTTATTCCATTGTGATCAGAGAAGATGCTAGATATTATTTTAATATTTTTGAATGTTTTATGACTTTTTTTGGAACCTAATATATAGTCTATCCTCATAATTGATCCATGTATTTGTGAAGAAGAATGTGTATTCTGCAGCTGTTGAATGACACGTTCTGTAAATATCTACTACGTTCATTTGTTCCATAGCATAGATTTAGTTTGATGTTTCTTTGTTGATTTTCTGTCTAGAAGAGCTGACCAAGGCTGACAGTGGGGTGTTGAAGTCTCCAGCTATTATTAGGGCTTATCTTTCTTTTTAGTTCTAATAATATTTGTATTATTAATAATTTGTATTATTAATAGCTCTAATAATTTTATATTATATCTGGGTGCTCCAGTGTTAGGTACATATATATTTACATTTGTTATATTATCTTCCTGAATTGAGTCCTTTATCATATAATGCCTTTTCTGTGCCTTCTTACAGTTTTTGTCTTGAAATCTATATTGTTTGATGTAAGTATCACCACTCTTTCTTGGTTTTCTTTTACATGGAGTATCACTTCCATTCCTTTATTTTCAGTCTATGTGTTACAGATGATGTGTGTTTTTTTGAAGACAACAGATCTTTGAGTCTTGTTTTTCATTCATTCAGCCACTCTATGTCTTTTGATTGGAGAGTTTAGTTCATTTACATTCAGTGTTATTATTGAAAAGCAAGTACTTATTCCCTCCATTTTGTAATATGTTTTGTGGTTGTTCTGTAGTCTTCTCTTCCTCCTTTCCACCCTCCCTGTCTTCCTTTTAGTGATGGTAATTTTCTCTACTGGTATGGTTTAATGTCTTTATTTTTATTTTTTTGTATATCTGTTGTATGTTTTTTGACTTCAAGTTACCATGAGGCTTTCAAATACTATCTTAGAACCCATTATTTTAAACTGATGACAACTTAACACTGATTGCAAACAAATATGCAAAACAAAACTAATAAAACACTCGACACTTTAGTTTCATCCCCATGCTTTTTAACTTTTTGTTGTGTTTATGCCTTATTGTACTGTCTATGTCTTGAAAAGCTGTTGTAGTTATTATTTTTGATTGGTTCATGATTTATTCTTTCAACTTAAGAGTAGTTTATATACCACAATTACAGTGTTATAATATTCTGTGTTTTTCTATGTGCCTATCACCAGTGAGTTTTGTACCTTCAGATGATATCTTCTTGCTCATTAGCATCCTTGCTGTTCAGAATGAAATTTCTCAGCTTTTGCTTGTCTGGAAGGTCTTTATTTTTCCTTCATGATTGAAGGATTTTTTTTTTTCTGAATATACTATTCTAGGGTAAAAGTTTTTTTCCTTCAGCACTTTATATCATACCACTCTCTCCTGGCCTTTAAGATTTTCACTGAAAAGTCTGCTGCCAGACATATTGAAGCTACATTGTATATTATTTGTTTCTTTTCTCTTGCTGCTTTTAGTATTGTTTCTTTATCCTTGACCTCTGGGAGTTTGATTATTACATGCCTTGAGGTAGTCTTCTTTCAATTAAATCTGCTTGGTATCCTATAACCTGCTGGTATTCTTGTACTTAGATATTTGTATATTTTTCTAGGTTTGGGAGGTTCTCCGATATTATCCCTTTGAATAAACTTTTTACCCCTATCTCTTTCTCTACCTCATCTTTAAGGCCAATAACTCTTAGATTTGTCCTTTTGAGGTTGTATTTTAGATTTCATAGACATGCTTTATTCTATCCTTTTTTTTACTTTTCTGACTATATACTTTCAAATAGCCTGTCTTCAAGCTCACTAATTCTTTCTTCTGCTTCATCAATTGTGCTATTAATAGGGTCTGATGCATTCATCAGTATGTCAGTTGCATTTTTTGCTTCTAGAATTTCTGCTTGATTCTTTTTAATTATTTTAATCTCTTTGTTAAATTTATGTAATAGAATTCTGAACTCCTTCTCTGTGTTATCTTGAATTTCTTTGAGCTTCTGCAACACAGCTTTCTTGAATTCTCTGTCTGAAAGGTCACAAATCTCTGTTTCTCCTAAATTCGTCCCTGGTGCCTTATTCAGTTCATTTGGTGAGGTCATGTTTTCCTGGATGGTCTTGATGCTTTTAGATGTTCATTTGTTTTGGGGCGTTGAAGAGGTAGGTATTTATTGTAGTCTTCACAGTCTGGCCTTTTTTAAGCTCCTTCTTGAGAAGGCTTTGAAGGTATTCAAAGAGACTTGGGCCCCAAGCCCAATAAATGCTGTTTTTTTGCATTCTGTTAGAAGTACTGCCTTGGTGGTCCTGGATAAGATCTGGAAGAATTCTCTAGATTATCAGGCAGAGACTCTTTTCCCTCACTTTCCCCCAAACAAAGAGTCTCTCTCTCTCTGTGCTGAGCCACCTGGAACTGGGGATTTGGTAATGAAAGCACCCTTGTGGCTACCACCACCGAGACTGTGCTGGGTCAGACCAGAAGCCAGCACAGTACTGGGTCTCACCCAAGACCCACTGTAACTGCTACCTGGCTACCACTTATTTCATTCAAAGCTCTAGGGCTCTATGATCAGCAGGTGGTGAAGCCAGCCAGTTTTGTGTCCTTTCCTTCAGGGCAGTGAGTTCCCCTAGGCCCTGGGCAGGTCCAGAGGCGCTATCTGGGAATCAGAGACTGGAATCAAAACCTTAGAAATTTACCTGATGTCCCATTCTAGTACAGCTAAACTGGTACTCAAACCACAATACAGATTCCTTCCTGTTCTTCTCTCCCCTTTCCATAGGCTGAGGAGCCTCTCCCTGTGGCCACCACTGCCACAGACCCACAGGGGATTCTACTAGGCCACTGCTGATGCTTACTTAAAGCCCAAGGGCTCTTCAGTAAGCTTGTGATGAATGCTGCCAGCCCTAGGACTCAGCCCTCAAGGCAGGTGCCTTTCATCTGGCTTAGAAAAGGTCCAGAAATGCTGTCTAAGAGCCTAGGCCTGGACTTGGGAACCCCAAGTCCCTGCTTATTACTCTATCCCACTGTGGCTGGGCCCAAGGGCTCTTTAGTCAGTAGGTAATGAATCTTGCCAGGAGTGGGTCCTTGATAACCCAAGAGATTATCCATCTTAAAAATGTAGGTCTGTCATCAATAGTAATGAAAAGAAAATTGACATGTAGTCATAAAAACCTTTCAAGATGGACATTTGGGTTGGTTCCAAGTCTTTGCTATGGTGAATAGTGCCGCAATAAACATACGTTTGCATGTGCCTTTATAGCAGCATGATTTATAATCTTTTCGGTATATACCCAGTAATGGGATGGCTGGGTCAAATGGTATTTCTAGTTCTAGATCCTTGAGGAATTGCCACACTGTCTTCCACAATGGTTGAACTGGGTTACAGTCCCACCAACAGTGTAAAAGTGTTCCAAATGTCCATCAATGATAGACTGGATTAAGAAAATGTGGCACATATACACCATGGAATACTATGCAGCCATAAAAAAGGATGAGTTCATGTCCTTTGTAGGGACATGGATGAAGCTGGAAACCATCATTCTCAGCAAACTATCGCAAGAACAAAAAACCAAACACCGCATGTTCTCACTCATACATGGGAATTGAACAATGAGAACACTTGGACACAGGAAGGGGAACATCACACACTGGGGCCTGTTGTGGGATGGGGGAAGTGGGGAGGGATAGCACTAGGAGATATACCTAATGCAAATGACGAGTTAATGGGTGCAGCACACCAACATGGCACATGTATACATATGTAACAAACCTGCACGTTGTACACATGTTCCCTAGAACTTAAAGTATAATAATAAAAAAAAAACTTTCAAGAGTTTTTACCCCCATGTACCTGAAAATATTTGATTTTATAGCACACTTGTGAAGAAGTCAGGTCAGATATCATTAACTTTTATTGCATAACCTGAAGGTCCTAGGCTTTCTGGTACTCTCCCTTTTACTCCTCACATCACTTCATAGTGTTCCTTCCATAAACCCTGGTTCAGCCCACCAACCTCACTGTGTCCTAACATGTTGGCCTCCACATCATTGTTTAGGCTGGAATGGCAACCAAGTTCTCATTTCCCCATTATATGAAGGCATCACTGATTACTAACATTCAAAGTATACTTCTATTCTTTGGAATATAGCTTTTGTTATTTGTGTGAATATTTCACACAAATATTGCCTAAAGTATAACCAAGGGTACTTTAGCTTCTGAAATTTTCTTCTAGGCAATAAAAAATCTGTTTTCGTTAACTTGTTTCTTTTTAATTTGCTATGTCTAAAAGACTGACCATCTCTGCAGTTATTGAGCCTTTTCAAGAGTGTGTTCTTACATACCTTTAAGTCTATATGTATTAATCGAATACATATAGAGGTGCTCAATAAATGCTTGATAAAAGAATACATAAGGAGGTAAATGTTTAAAGTCAATTATGAAATAGCTTTTATATTACTTTCATTTAAATGGTGTCTTTCTAAATTATACAAATGATTTTGCCATTTGGTGTTCTCTACATGAAAAAAACACTTTAAATTAGACACATACTTAGTATATTGCTATTTGTTTGAGCTGGTTTGTGTACAGATATTGGAGAACCAATTTTGTTCATATTTTTAGTTATAGTGATGTCATGCTTCAGATATTTGCATTTCACCGCTGACCTAAAAGCCTTCATTTAACGCAGACATGCTATTATTTCTTCTGAAGCCACATGTAAATTCTCAGTTTCTTGATAATTCACTAATGTTTGATCTTTACAATACACAGAGATTGGTTAGACATATTATGAGCTTCCCTGACCCTTGAGAATTGCTGTAGAACTGGGTTTAAGTCCCAAATTCATGGCTAGAATGCTTTCCCTAATTGCTGAAAATTCTCAGCAAATTCCTCAAGACCCTCTCTGTATCTGCTCTTACATTTAAGAATGTTGCCTTTTCACACAT
Source organism: Homo sapiens (assembly GCF_000001405.40). Classification (NCBI taxonomy): domain Eukaryota; kingdom Metazoa; phylum Chordata; class Mammalia; order Primates; family Hominidae; genus Homo; species Homo sapiens. The sequence continues at coordinate 180,279,391 of NC_000002.12, forward strand.
GCGCAAAGCTCCAAGCCTTCTCCATTTTGTTTTTTTTTTACATACATTGGTAGCAAGAATTTTGTGAATTTTATAGACAAATGAAAACGTGGGGGGCTTTCTACAGAAATCCCATTACACACTACGCCATAGACTCTCCTCTTGCTTCAGCTCTGTTTTATCGTTTATTCTCATTTCTCCTTTTCCTTTCTTGTCTTTTCTCTTTCTTTACAGAAAGAAAAAAAACAGTTCATGCCCTTGTCTCAAGCCAAACAGTGTTACCCACACTCAGGTCCTATTATCTCTTGCCTTCTTTTCCAAGCAAGTTTATTGCTGTATTTCCTTAACAAAGAGTTGCTCTCTTTCTAAGAATTCTTCTACCAGCTAACATAGTTATTCTTTTTTTAATACAAGCATTTCCAATCTGGCCACATTAATTATGTCTAAAAAGCAAAGCTTGACAATATGGGATTTATAGGGAACCCAGAAGTGGAAAGCATTGTAAAAAGGCAAACGTTTAACAATAGGATGAAGACCATAAAATAGCCAGTGTATTAACTAATATAAGATCTTCTCTGCATTATTAGTGTTCTCCAAGTTTCCACAGAGTGCTGTATTTACTGCAATACTGTCTTCCACTGGGTATTTTAAAACTTATAGAGGGATGTGAAATTCATAAAGATTCTTCAATACCTTCTCATCGTGTAACGACAAGGACCTTGAGGCACAGTGAAGTGACTTCTTTAAAGCCACACAGCTAATTTGAAATGTAACTTAGACTGGATTTGCAGTCTATTGTCTGCCTGTTGGAGACTGGTAACTGGGATGTTGGAGTAAATTGGTCATGAGACCCTGAGCTGAACAAGGAAAAATATTTAAGTTCTCACTGATACAAATTCTACTCTAATAGCTCCTCTAATAGCTGTGATTTTTAAAGACGAAAATGTTCCCCTCCAGAAATTTCTGATAATGGAATTAAATTTCTGGCTTTACCATTTGATGGTCTCTGAATTACAAAAATCCAAAAATTTTGGGTCAGATTATCAGCCGTATGCTAGGAGGATAATAATACTTGTAATTAGGTGGCTTATGTGGAATGATAAAGCAAATGTAAGTGTGAGAAAATATTAGCATAAATATCTCATGAAAACAACCTGTGATCTCACTTTCCCTTTTCTGTTTCATAAACACTATTAATATTGTTGTAAAATTATAACCATGTTGCAGTAAAGCAGTGGTCTTGTTCCTTGGCTAAGTCAATTGTTTTATAGGATGCTTCAATGAAATTTCCTTAGTTGTATTTCCCAAACTTGCTGGATCGTATTTTTTAAATGGGTGATTCTTATGATCTGTCAACTCTTGGAAACACTGGTCTAAAGCGCTGTCTCTTAGTGTATTTTTTTGTATAAGAATCATCTAGAGGAAGAGAGAGAACTTGGTAAAAATGTAGATGTCTGAGTCTCATCCCTAGGACTCTAATTCAGAAATTCTGGAATGGGGTTAGAGAATATTCTTTTTAATAAGTTCCTCTGATAATTCTTTTATTTTCTTTTATTTTATTTTATCTTTTTATTATTATACTTTAAGTTTTAGGGTACATGTGCACAACGTGCAGGTTTCTTACATATGTATACATGTGCCATGTTGCTGTGCTGCACCCATTAACTTGTCATTTACATTAGGTATATCTCCTAATGCTATCCCTCCCCCCTCCCCCCACCCCACAACAGTCCCTGGTGTGTGATGATCCCCTTCCTGTGTCCACGTGTTCTCGTTGTTCAATTCCCACCTATGAGTGAGAACATGCGGTGTAGAGGAGGTATTTAGAATCCACCCTTTCAGAAATGCTAGTCCACAGGCTATACCAAAGTAAATTCTTAATATGTTTGCTTTGAATTTAAGTGTATGTCTATAAATGAAACATTTCCCCAGAGACTCACAATAAATCATCTGTTTGAATTTGTCTTATTCCTCCAACTGCTTTGAAGGCATTAACCTAAAATGGTAATTTTATTTTCTTCCTTCACACATCATATTCTCCCATTATTTGATATTTAAATTATAATAGTAATGAACACTTCCTATTACAATTAAATACTACAAATATGTATAGAAGAAAAGTTAACCGTTACAGACCAGTGATACACCCTATTTATTATGTGCACCCTGTATCACTCATTCCCAAGCCTCTGGGGTTAACCTTAATAGCCTGGTGTTATTCTATACCTTTCTCTTTGCTTGTTGAAATACATGCAAACATAAATCCCCATATACACAAAGACTTGCTTTTTTACATAATAAATATCCCCTTGACATTCCCAAATATCAGTAGACATATCTAATTTGGTTTTATCAAATCTTTAATTAATTCACACATTCATAGAATCACACACTTTATATGTATACTTGTACATAATGAGATAATCTCTTATGTAGCCTTTCTTAAAATTAGTAGTTTAATTTCCTATTTGAGTGGTCTTCCTCCTCCCATTTTTTCTTTCATCTGCCCTACTTTTCCAGCTCTTTCCAACCTTATTGAATCCTAAAAACTTATCTTTTTATCTTTTCCTCTATCCTCATATAACCACATATGAAGACTTTGTCTATTAATTCATGCATCCACTTTTCTTCTGTCTGTCTGTCTATCTATCACATGAAACACTTTTCTGCATCTTTTGTTAATCACTCGATAGTACCTTCTAGAAATGTCACCACATCAAGTTGTATAGACCAATTCATTTCTTTTAATTGTTATGTAAATATTTCACAGTGAATATTCTGCCATTCCTCTTTATTGATGAGTATTTATTTTCTTTCCATTTTTTGACATTATGAACAAAAGTACAGGGAATATTCTTACACTGGTGATTTTTATCATTATGAAATACATTCTTAGGAGCAGGATTGCTAAGAAAAAAGACAAAAACAGATACTGTCTTATTGCTTTCCAAAAAGGTTGCAATAACTTATATTTCCACTCTCCCATGGCAGCAGTATGTGTCATTTTTAAATTTTTTGCCATTATAATGAATGTAGTGATACTTTATTGTTATATTAATTTATATTTTATAAACTTACAGTAAGCTTATGCTTCTTTTTCATGTTTGTTTGCCATTTAGATTAGCTTATTAGTGAATTACCTATATTCTTTGCTCATTTTTCTATTAAGTTCTTTCCATTGTCAACTTTAAAGAGTTCTTTGTATCTCATATCAATGAGATACATTAGTATATTTTGATATTTTTCCTATGTAAGTCATTGTTTTATAGATTCTGTAGAGGAATAATTTCCTATATAGATTATTCTCAAATATGCCTCCTTTCTTGTTTGTGGCTTCAGGGATTTTCTGTCTTGGTGAAGACAGATTCCATACTCCTACACTTCTTTTATTAATTTTTCTTTTTGCTTTTAATGTTTTAAACATTTAAGTCTTCTATCCTGCTGGTGTAATTTATTGTTGCTTATGGTATGAGGAAAAGGCTTCATATTGTTTTCTCCTGGGTTAAATAAATAACTTGTATGCAGAATATAATAAACCCTCCATTCTTTTTTTATGTTTTATCATATAGTAAATGAACTTACACATTGAAAGCCATATCTATATACTCTTTTTTAGTCTAATCTGTTTGTTCCCATGCCAATACCATATTAATTTGATTACAGTAGTGTATTTTGATATTGGGTATGATAAGTCTCTCTAATTTATTTTTCATTCCTATTTTCTTGGCTGTTCTTATATATTCTTCAATATAAAGTTTAAGATTATTTTACTCAAGTCTAGAAACATCCTTTTGGAATTCATATTGGAACTGCACAAATTTACATGATACTTTTTAGAGAATTAATGTATTATCAATTTCAGTCATCAACTAAGAACATTTTTTGTTTTGCCCTTTATCCACACTTTGTTATAAGATCTTTGATTAATTTTTAAAATTAAGGTTTTTTGAGGTATAATTCATATACATGTACATCTTCGTATATAATAAAATTCACCTTTTTAAAGGTGTACTGTTCAATGAATTATGATGAAACATATAGTCATATATCTACTACTACAATCAAGACATGACATATCCATCCCCTCCCAAACATTCCTCATGCCCCTTTTTAATCACTTCTCTTCCCACCCCACCGTCAGCCTCTGGCAATCATGGATCTCTTCTCTTTCAATTAGTTTTGCCTTTTCCAGGATGGCCTGTAAATGAAAGCATATAGAATGTAGCCTTTTGCGTTAACTTTTATCACTTAGCATAATGCATTTGAGACGTATCTGTATAGTTACATACATCAGGGGTTTGTTTTTTAATTACAGAGTGACTATTACATTGAATACTCACTATTTGATTTTCCATTTCCAGGTAATAGGCATTTTGGTTCTTTTTCTAGTTTGTGGTTACTATGAATAAAGCTGCTTTATGTATTCATATATAGGTTTTTGTGTGGAAATATGGTTTCATTTCTCTGTGTAAATAACTAGGAGTGGGATTGCTGGATTATATGGGAAATCATGTTTAGCTTTATAAGACGTGAACAAATTGTTTTCCAAAATAATTGTAATATTTTGCATCCACATTAACACTGTATCAGTTTCAGTTGCTCTGCATCCTGTCTAGCACATGAGATTGTTAGTATTTTAGTGTGATTTTAGTAATTGTTAAAGGTGTGTAGTATCAATGAGATTTTATACAGTTTTTAATGTGCCTTTTGTGGGATGGCAGGAGAAGGTCTGGTTTATTTTTATTACTATTGTTATTGTTTTACTGTTTTCTCATTTATGTTTATTTTTTATTATAATAAGAACATTTTAACATGATACCTAATACCTACCCTTTCAACACTTCTACCCTTTAAATATACAGTACAGTCTTTTTATTTTTTTCTCTCCTAGTTTGTAAGGTTTCTGCCAAGAAGTCCATTATTAGCCTGATGGGGTTCCCTTTGTACGTGATCTGACCTTTTTCTCCAGCTGCCTTTAAGATGTTTTTCTTTAGCATTGACCTTGAATAATCTGGTGACTATATGCCTTAGTGATGTTCATTTTGTATAGTATTTCACAGGCATTCTCTGGATTTTTTGTATCTAGATGTCAACCTTCCTAAGAATATTAGGAAAATTTTTGAATTAAAAAAAATTTCAAGGTGTTTTACTAAATCACTGAGTTTTCTACCTATTCATGGAAAAAAATTCTAGTTGACTCACTTTTTAATGCCTCTGAATACCTGTAATATATTTGTCTCCTTTGCACATAAATCAAAGGTCAACTAATTAATTCTTTAAAGGATCTTTAATTCTTAGACTAAAGACCGTTTTAATCAAATTTTCTATACAACATTTCATTGCATGCTGCAAATTAGTTTCACACAAGATGTTGGAAAAAGGCTAATTTTTTATTCTTTGAAATTAACCCCAAGTAACTTTTCTCTTTGAATATTTGTATGATTTTTTTCTTTATCTTTGACAATCAAGAATTTCACCAAAATAAGTCCAGTAATGCCTCTTTACTTATTTTCCACAGAATTCCATAAATCTATTCCAGGTTGCAGATATCTGCCTATCTTTCTATTTTTAAAGTTCTGAAAATATTTTTACTCCCTTGTTTCTTTCTCTCCCATATAAACTTATTATTGCTAATTTGTTATCTCCATTCTCTGCTTCCTCCTATATTTGGCATTTTCCTTCCTATCTTTATGCTTCCCTTTCCATTGGCATATGGCTTCTGGTTCCCTGCATCAACCATTTCTACATGTAAATGTATATTAGAATCACCTAGAGGACTTTTTATAACACACATTTTCAGGACGAATTATATCAATTGAATTAGACTCTGCAAAGGGAGTTTCTTATATTTGTGTATATGAATCAGTCCATGTGATTTTTATGCAGTTGGCTTGTTGACAAGAATTTGAGAACCAATATTCTAAATCATGTTTCTGTCTCACTTTAGTGTTAGCTCTGTACTCCATTGCCTTCAATATAGATTTTTTATTTTATTTCTCTGAATTATTTTCTTATATCTGCCTACTCTATTTTTGTCTTAGCTAGTACTCTTTCTTGTCATGTCATTTAACTTCTTATTTCATAGAGTCTGTAGAACCAGATGAAATTGCATTTTCTTCTGTGTTCACAGGCATGCATTTCTCCCAGATCTTAAGTAGATTAATTTCTTCTTTTTATGCTATAAAATCTTTCCATAGGTTTCTTGAACTAGAAAAGATATAGCCAAGGTTAATATGCCATTTACTGCCAGACTTTCTTTCTCAGAATACATACTAGAACAAAAGTTAATCTATACAGTCCCTAGTGAAATTTTTATTTTATAATTTTTTTTATTAACTCTCTCATTTGACATGGGGAAATGGGTTCTTTTTCTTTGATTACCCATTTTTTGAATACAAATAAGTGACTTATTTCTGAATACTATGTAAGAAGAAAATTTCGGTCTCAAGGGAAGAGACTAGAGAACCCAGAAATAAAGGTGCATACCTACAGCCATCTGATTTTTTACAAAGTTGACAAAAATGAGCAATAGGGAAAGGTTTCCCTATTCAATAAATAGTGCTGGGATTGCTGGCTGGCCATATGCTGAAGAATGAAAACTGGACTTTTCACTACATGCAAAAACTTACTCAAGATGGATGAAAGATTTAAATGTAAGACCTCAAACTATAAGAATCCTAGAAGGTAACCTAGAAAGCATGATTCTGGACATCAGTCTCGGGAAATAAGTTATGATTAAGTCCTCAAAACAATTCCAAAAAAATTTGACAAGTGAAACCTAATTAAATTGAAGAGCTTCTGCACTGCCAAAGAAATTGTCAGTGGAGTAAACAGACAACATAGCGGATGGGAGAAAATATTTGCAAACTGTCCATCCAGCATCCAGCAAAGGTCTAATATCCAGAATCTATAAGAATCTTAAACAATTGAACACGCCAAAAGCAAATAACTTCATTAAAAAAGGACAAAATACATGAACAGACATTTCTCAGAAGACATACAAGTGGCCAAAAATATGAAACAATGCTCCACATCACTAATTATCAGAAAAATGCAAATCAAAACCACTATGCGATAATATCTCATCCTAGTCAGAATGGCTGTTATTAAAAAGTTAGAAAACAACAGATGCTGGTGAGGCTATGGAAAATAGGGAGCTCATACATTGTGGTGGAAATGTAAATTAGTTCAGCCACTGTGAAAAGCAGTTGGGAGATTTCTCAGAGAACTTAAAATGGAACTACTATTTGGCTCAGCAATCCCCTACTGAGTATGTATATGAAAAAAAAAAAGACAAATTGTCCTGCCAAAAAGACACATGCACTTATAAGTTCATTGCAGCACTATTCACAAGAGCAAAGACATGAGATCCACCTAAGTGCCCATTAATGTAGACTGGATAAAGAAAATGTGGTATGTATACACCAAGGAATACTACACAGCCATAAAAAAGAATAAAATTATGTTCTTTGCAGCAAAATAGATGCAGCTGGAGGCCATTGACCTGAGTGAATTAACACTGGAACAGAAAACCAAATGCTGCATGTTCTCACTTACACATGGCAGCAAAACACTGGATAAACATGAGCATAAAGAGGGCAACAATAGATACTGGTGACTACTAGAGGTTGGGGCAAGGGGCTCAAGGGTTGAAAAACTAACTATTGGGTAATTGGGTACCATGTTCAGTGCCTGGGTATTGGGTTCAATTGTGCCCCAAACTCAAACATCATACAATATACCCAGGTGGTGACAAACCTGCTTCTAAAATAAAAGTTGAAGTCATAAAAAAAGAGAAAGTTTCAGTCCCTTATGGACACTGAGTATTCCCAGAGCTTTCCTGGCTTTGCCCTTACCTATCACCAAGGATATCCCAGGTTGCACCTTATTATAGCCTATGCTCTTTACTCCTGGTCAAGTTGCACTGCTAGAAGATGTGTCTTCATTAATGGATGTAGGAATGAAGTTATTGATAGATGATGGAGGCATGGAAGAAAGAACCAATTCTGGCTGTTGTAGATAATATACCTTATATAAGAGGGAAGTTAGTAGTTCCAGGTCCATTCCTCTGGTATTGGAGCTTCTTGGAAGTGAGTGGGCACTTTCTCTTATGTAATTTTTCTTTAGCTATATTGTTGATTCAAAGATCTAGACCAGCACTATCTCCTAGAACTATGCCAGCCACACAATGTAATTTAAAATTTTCTAGCAGCCACATTTAAAAATGCAAATAAAAACAAATGAAGTTAATTTTAATAATATATTGTATTTAACTCAATATATACAAAATTATTTAAACACGTAATCAACACAAATAATTATTTATGAGGTATTTTACATTCTTATTTTTGTTTGAAGTCTTTGAAATCTGATGTATTTTTTTTTTTTACAAAATTTTCCATGTGAAATAGCCACATTTCGAGTGCTCGCCAACATGTTGCCCTTGCGCAGTCAGCTCTGGACATTGATCACTTCTCAGTCCACTCAACTATACAATTTTAGAAGGGGCATTTCCTCCCAGAGTTTAGCAACATCTTTATAAATATCTTTGGCTTTTACTGTGAGAAGTTTGACTGTGTGAATTCAACACAGCTATCTAGCAAGTGTTTCCCCTGAAGGAGCCTGACATTTAAAATAAAACAGTGATTTTATTGTTTTGAATATTAAATATGGAGTATTATCAAAATACAATACAATCTTCAGTTAGTTGCTTTACTACAATAGGAAAAAAATCTGATAAGAACTGCCTTATTTGGCTTTTGCTGTAAAAAGATGCTCAATATTTACATAGTTTGTTGATTTTAAACTGACTTCAATAACATTTCTTAGAAATCCTTGAAACAGATTATTTCTTTCCCTCAAAAGTCCAAATATTCCCATATTTTTGTGCAAACAGCTGACAAATTGAACTTTTTTCTTCTTCTGGAACACCAGCTTCCTTAACCTTAAACCTGATGAGTATACCCCATTATTCCCATATGCACTAATTTCTTTTTCCAATCTACATTAATGGGCACTCAGGTTGATTCCATGTCTTTGCTGTTGTGAATAGTGCTGTGATGAACATACAAGTGCATGTGTCTTCTTGGTAAGACAATTTGGGTTTTTTTTGGATATATACTGTGAGAGCACTAGGGGGGAAATTTTAAATAATCATATTTGACACTATTTTTGAACCCTTTAGATTTCCATCTTCTAGAATCCTCAAGTCTCCTAGGCTTTAAAATAACATATCTTTTTACTTCAAACAGAGGGAATTTAGCTGGATGATCCAGTCCTGGCAAGACAATCAGTAGTCATTATCTAAGGAAAAATTATAGCAAGTTTGGAGTATACTTCAGGCTATGATCTTTCTAATACTAGAAACTATTGTCATACTTTCCCCGATTAAATGTGAAGTGCTGGTAGATCTTTTCACAAACAAACCTATTTAATTTTTTTCCATGGCTCTTTTCTTTACTTCAACTTAGAATATTCTTAATAGGAGAGCTAAAAATATTTCTGTAGAATACTCTTATAATGCCTTTGTTGGAGAATGTAGGATTAATGTTAATAAACAGAATTATCTCTGACTCTTGCAACGTAACTGACAGTTTTCAGGAATCTGTATGGCCCAGATTATAACAACCCAGGTCCTAATAAGATGTGACATGATGTAATTCTACTAGGACTAAGAAGATGTTGGGTTGTTGTGGTATGCACTTAACTGGTGACTATTTCACTGTAGCATAATGTCCAGGTTAAAAAAAAAATCATCTCCACAGAGTAAGCCTGTGAGATAATTAGCCACCTTTGAGGATGGCTAGTTGTCCTTTCCTCTATGATGTCAAAGTGATTATCCATGCTAAGGTGAAACACAAATGAGTCAAAATAATTTATTTTTTGAGACAACTGAATGATTTTTCCCTGGTGAAAGGAAGAAATAGTTTGATTCCTCATTAATCCACAGGGTCTTCCAGCCTCACCCTCTTTTTTTGTTTGCTTTACAAAGGCCACTGAGGACAAATGTGAACAAAACTCAGGGATAGTTCTCCTTCAAGAGTCATTTCCCAATAGAATTTTGTCTTTTCTAACCACCTTAACACAGAATTTCCCTTTGTGCTTATTTCATATGTGTGAAAACATTTAATAAAAATGGTGTTAGCATTGAAACTGTGGATATGAAATTAATTGGGGAGATTGTATGCTTATGATTATTGGTGTGCCTTTTTGTACTATATTTTAGTGATCTAACAATAATTCAAATTATGGAATGGGAAACTTCTGAAAAACAGGTGGTTTCTAAAAAGAACAACTTTTTTTTTTTGAGAAAAACCTTATTGCGCTAAGATGGACTACCATCTTAGATGACGGACACAGTGTCATTGCATATCTTGGACTACAGAATAAATGAGATAACAGTATGGTTTGTATAAAGAGCTGTTCAGGGACATTCTTCAGGGCAGCTTTGTACACAAGACAAATATTTACTGAGCTTGCTTCATGAGTCGAAAAGAATGCTTGCTCTGTTCAATGATTCTAACACTTAATCTCGTAGCAGCAAATATGTAAGGCTTTGGAAAGATCATGGCTGTGAGGAACATCTGAATTGGGTTGGATTTTATCACTCATCAGTAATGTAACTTCATACAGTATTTAAATTCTTTAGGCTCCATTTTCTCTTCTGTATAAAAGTGGTTACGGTTGTTGATAGCTACTGCAGAGAGCTGTTGAGATTAAAAGAGTAAATGCGAGTGCTTCAGTCATCTTACCAGATATATAGTGGGCACTTTATAGATGCTAGTGTTTTTTTGCCCTATAGTCAGAAGAATGTTGTTATTTGTAAACTTCTGCTTTTAATCTGTTTTAAAATTATTATTTAATTAACAATTAAAATATGGAAGAAAATAAAACAGGATTACACTTTGTGAGCTCAGTAAGTCATATAAATGTCTGACAGAGAAATAAATTGATGGTATATTACGCTAGCCTGTGACTGTTAACGCCATTTGGATGCCTGCTATGGAAAGAAAACATGTATGTTAAACATACCTCCATCTTCACTACTTAGAGGCAAAGTAAAAGAGAAAATATTGCTTTTGTTTAATCTTATTGCAGAATAATTCTTTTAAAGTTCAAGTCTAAGGGAAACTAATATATAGCATTTTCTGGTTTTAAAAGTAACTTTCTTTGATAGAAATCCATTATCATATCTTTGTTAATTGGGGTTTGTAAAAATGTAGTGTAAATTTTGAATTTCAGTGAAACTCTGATGGTGACAAGTTTTATTCTTATTTTCTCCTGGAGGCATCCATGAAGACCTCCTCTTAAGGATGGTGTACAAAAGTGAAGATAAAATTAAGTATATTTTACAGGAGAAAAGATGTTTCATGAATAAATTGATGTGTGCTAGTAAATTCAATGTGTAGCATTCCTTTCTTGATATAGTAGCAATTCAGTTGTAAGCAGGTTAAATTTAGGGTCCTCTTAAACCACTGTTTCTTTGCGCTCTTTCTGAATGATGAATATTTCATTTCAAAAATTTATCTGGGGAATTTTACAGACTGGGAAGAGAAGATTATTGTAGTTTTTTTATATTGTGTTCAGATCTCTTTTTTATTGTTATTTCCACTCAATTTAAAGAACTCTTTTGTATAACACTTTCTATAACAGAATATGTTATTTAGAAAGAAATTTAAAGAATGAGTAAAGAAAGAATTATTCTTAAATGAATATTTTATTTCAAACTTGTACATTTTCATTGGTGCCATCTGTAATTGAGAGGCACTTTGAAATGTCTTAGGAAGCTCAGCAACCTCTGGCAGTTTCTCTCATTTCATCTGTCTTTACATACAACTATGACAGAAGTGGATTGGCACATTGCTAACCGAGTTCCCTGAGGACTTCTTGTTGTGGTTGCTGTTTAAGACATTATTCATGCCTCATTCAACAATAATTTTTCTGACTAACAATCATTTTTCTCACCATGTCTCAGCAACAAGTCCTATGACTTTCCTCTAGTAATTTTTGTTTGTTGCATGTTTTAAATAGAATTTTATGTTTCCAATTTATGCTTGTAAGTGTGAGTCTGTGTGCGCATATATGTGTGTGAATGCATGCATATTTCAAGGAATCCAAAGTGAGATTATACGAAAATCAGGAAGATTTTCAAAAAGCAATTTTGGATGCAGACTCCAGGGTAGAAAGATATTTTATAAGAACAAATGATCTACAAAGTTGCAAAAATTTGAGGCGTGCTATGCTTTTGATTTATTTGGGTATCTGGGTGATTTGTTGGCTGCAGGTCTATGTGAATAGATCTTTGTTAAACTCTGGAGTAAAAATATGCTGCCCGTAGGAGCCTTGTTGATAATAACGCTTCAAATGCGTTACTCACCTTGCAATCATCAAATGCCACAAGTGATAGAGAAGCCAGATCAACTGACTCAACATTTATTCCATCCTTAATATGTTTTCTGTATGGCAGAGACTAGAAAGCTTAAAAATACATTTCTCAGACTTCCTTTGGAGCAGAAGCTCCAGATGTAATTTAAATTTAATCAATCAGATGTACTCAGGAGAGGCTTGAATGCAGAGCAGGGTGAAGTGGGGAAAGGGAGGGTGTAGTGGGGTCATGCATTTTCCTGGTGCATGGCCTGACTCAGGAACCAGCAGTTCCAGCAGCAGCTTCCTGATCCCTGGAGCCTAACTGGGTTACTGTCTTGATTCCCCATTTTCCTAACTGAAGCTGAGGTAGAAGTTTCCTTGTTGAGCCAGTTTTGCCGTGATGACCTGCGAACTGTTCTTTGAGGTCCAGCCCAGAGCAAGTTTCTCCAAAACATCTAACAATTTTGGAAGTACCTCATTCTTAGTACTAAATCTCTTTGGTTCACAATAGTCACATTGTTTTCTGTCATCTGCAGTTGAACATTGACTAACACACACATACTTGATAATTTTTCTCTTCTTGTGACTTGTTGCTTCACCACAACATTTTTCCTTGAGTGTTTACTTTAATCACTACCTATATTAAACAATATCTACTTAAAGCCAACATTAACAGAGATAATCTTGCCTCTATTCACTGCAGATACATAGTTAATTGAAAATTAATCCAAGGGATTCAGAGACAAAATTGACATGAGAACAATTTCACTCTTAGTTTTCTTGGGGACTGATTTTCAGAGTTAACACCATATATTAATAATATGAATAGTGATGCATTTACAATAATAATGAAAAGCCATTTATAGATTGGCAATAGTTACGTTCAATTTAGCAATTTAGGTAATCATTGTTATAGTTTATTATAGATGAAAATGTATTAAATTGTATAAGAACAAATGCCTTCTAAAAGCTTAACAGTCTTTTCTGATTGTTTTATAAAACTCTATTGCTGTTAAAAGAAACAAGGAGATGATCTTTTAGCAAAAAGGAAAATCTGCATTTGGGATTTCTTTTTGTTGAAATATATGTTTTTCTAATTTTTTTTAGTTGATCTCTTCAGATTTGGCAATGCACAAAAATGGATTTGTCTTTTTTATTTTTAATAAATTTTATTTTTTAGAACAGTTCTAGATTTATAGAAACTCTATGAAGATAATGGAGTTCCTATATATTCCCTCACTCAATTTCCTCTATTACTAAGATTTATGTAACTACAGTATAGTTGTTATAATTAGTGAACAAATATTAATACATATTTTTAACCAAAATTTATACTTTATTCAGTTTTCCTTAGTTTTCACCTAATGTCCTTTTTTTTGTTCTAGGTTCCATCCAGGATACCACATTACATTTAATTGTTCTGTTTCCTTAGCTTCCTCTTAGAGATGAGTTTCTCAGATTTACTTTGTTTTTGATGACCTTCACTGTTTTGAAGAGTACTAGTCAGGTATTTTACAGAGTGTCCTTTAACTGGGTATTGTTTGATGTTTTTCTCATAATTAGATTGAGGTCCTGGATTTTTGAGAGGAAGACCACAAAGATAAAGTGTGATTTTTACTACATCACATCAGGGGAGAATATACTATCAACATGACTGATATGGTTTGGGTCTGTGTCCCCACCCAAATCTCATCTTGAATGGTAATCTCCAGGTGTTGAGGGAGAGGCCTGGTTGGGGGTGATTTGGATCATGGGGGTGGTTTCCCCCATGCGGTTCTCATGATAGTGAGTGTGTTCTCATGGGAGCTGATGGTTTTATAAGCGTCTGGCATTTCCCCTGCTTGCACTTCTCTCTCTCACCTGCCGCCATATAATACGTGCCTTCTTCCCCTTTCGCCATGATTGTAAGTCTCCTGAGACTTCCCCAGCTGTATGGAACTAAACCTCTTTCCCTTATAAATTACCCAGCCTTGGGTAGTTCCTTATAGCAGTGTGAAAATGAACTAATACAATGACTTATCACTGTTAATGTTGATCTTGATCATCTGGCTGAGGTGATATTGTAAGGATTCTCCACTGTAAAGTTACAGTGTTCTTGTTCCCTTTCCACACTGGATGGAAAGAAGTCACTATTTACAGCACCCATTAAGGACTGGGGAGTTATGCTCCATCCATTTGAGAGTGGAGTATCTGTAGAAATTGTTTTGAAATCTTCTGCATTGGAGATTTGTCTATTCTTCTCATTTATTTGTATCAGTATCGACTCATAGATATTCATCTTATTTTGGATTGTAACCAATGCTACTTTATTTCTTTTATTGTTCCTTCTATTCCAGCTTTGACCATTGAGAGCTCTTTCAGTTGACTTCTGTGTCCCTTTGACACCATCATTGTGTTTTTTGTTTAACACTTCCTTGCTTTCTGGTAGTATAAGATATTCTAACCTTATCTTATATTATTTCCCCCTCTAGTCCTAGAATCTGCTTGTTCTTTCAGGAAACCTGGTTCATTTTAGTGAAGGATGGTAGTAGGAGCTATTAGATGTGTTTATTGGTACTGAAGATGTGCTAATTGATTCTAGGCCCTCTCAAGTTCCAACAGAGCAAGGAAATATGCGTATCTATACTAACCTATGTATATACCCATATCTATCAATATTTCTATGTGAAACCATCTGTATCTATTTTTAGCTAAACCTGAGTTCATAATGACATCTCTGGCTCATATAATTCATTATCATATGGATCATCCTAGCCTCGTTTTGCTTACCTGTAACTTCACACTTCAACAGTGAGAAAAGTGGCTCCCATCATCTACCACCTGTTTACTTAATAACTAAACCACCTGTTTACTTATTCAATTCTAGTGTACCTATACAGTGGCATCGGAAGTCTTAATGTATACTTTCATAGGAACAACTTTCTCAATTAAAATATGGTGTTGGTGTACAGTTTCTTTTGCCTTTAGTCGTATAAACTCCACTCATTTACATGGTTACTTAGGTCAGCACCTTTTCCTCTACCTTTTCTGTGAGATAGTTTCATACATTTATCATATAGTTAGACTGTTTTCTCATATTCTGCATTCCATTCTGGGACCTTCCCAAACTTTGAAATAATTTTTAACAATCTGCATACATTAAGTTTCTCTCTTTGGGCTGTGAGGTCTATGGGTTTTCACAAGGTATAATGTCATGTACCCACAATCACAGTATTTTGCAGAGTAGTTTCAGACTTCTAAAAGATCCCCCATGTTTCACATATTCAACCCTCCTCAATACCCTGAACCCTTGGCAACCACTAACTTTTTAGCATTACTACAATTTTATCTTTTCAGCATTACTACAACTTTATCTTTTCAAGAATGTGTCATAAGTGGAATCATGCAGTATGTATCCTTTTCAGATGTAGCAATATTAAGGTTCCTGTGTGTCGTTTCATGGCTTCATAGCTCATTACTTTTTATTGATAAATAATATTTTATTGTGTGAATGTACCACAGTTTATCCACTCATCTACCCATTGAAAGATATCTTTATTGCTTTCAGTTTTTGATGATTATGAATAAAGCTGCACATATTCACATGTAGATTTTTATGTGAACATAAGTTTTCAAATGAATAAATACTTAGATGAATGATTCCTGGATCATATTATAAGCCTATGTGTAGCTATGTAATAGACTACCTATCTTCCAAAGTGGCTATAAAAATGTTAATTCTGCTTTTAGTTCTTTAAGGAATCTCCACATTGTTTTCCATAGTGGTTGTACTAGTTCACATTCCCACCAGCACTGTAGAAGTGTTCCCTGTTCACTGCATCCATGCCAATATTTATTTATTTTTATTTTTTTAAGTATAGCCATTCTTGCAGGCGTAAGGTCATATCACAATGTGATTTTGATTTGTATTTCCCTAATCATTAGTGATGTTGAGCATTTTTTCATAAGTTTGTTGGCCATTTGTATATCTTCTTTTGAGAATTGTCTATTCATGCCCTTAGCCCACTTTTTGATAGGATTGTTTGTTTGTTTTTCTTGCTAATTTGTTGAGTTCATTGTAGATTCTGGATACTAGTCTTTTGCCAGATGTATAGATTGTGAAGATTTTCTCCCACTCCGTAGGTTGTCTGTTTACTCTGCTGACTGTTCCTTTTGACACCCAAAACTCTTTAGTTTAATTAATTCTCAGCTATTTATCTTTATTTATCTTTGTTTTTATTGCATTTGCTTTTGGGTTCTTAGTCATGAAACCCTTGCCTAAGCCAATGTCTAGAAGGGTTTTTCCAATGTTATCTTCTAGAATTTTTATAATTTCCAGTCTTATATTTATGTCCTTGATCCATCTTGAGTTGATTTTTGTATAAGCTGAGAGATGAGGATCCAGTTTCTTTCTCTGGCCTGGTGTTTGCTTGAGCCCAAGAGTTCAAGACCAGCCTGGGCAACATGGTGAAACTCTATCACTCCAAAAAGAAAAAATAAAGTTCATTCCGGCCAATGATGAATAAGAGTTTCTTGTGTTCTACCTTCTCACTCACATTTGGTATTGTCAGGACTTGGATTCTAGCCATAGTAATAGGTGTGCACTTCACTGTTGCTTTAATTTGCAATTCTATGGTGACAAATTTTTAATTAAGTTATTCTTTTCTTAATTTTTAATTTTTTAAAGTTATTTCTAATTTTTAAGTTATTTCTTATTGTTGCACTTCAAAAATATTTTTGTATATTTTGAAAAATAATTTCTCTCAGTCTATGACTTGTCTTTTGATTCTTTTAAGCATCTTTCACAGAGCAGAATTTTTAATTTAAATAAATTCTAATTTATCAAATTTGTCTTTAAGAGATGTATTTTTAATATTGTGTCTAAAAACATCACCAAGTCCAAGCCTTAATTTTTTTCTGTTATCTTCTAGAAGTTTTATGATATTATGTTGTATATTTCAGTTTATGATCTATTTGGAGTTAATTTTTGTAAAAGGTCTATGTTCAGATTCATTTACTTGCATATAAATGTCTAATTATTCCAGCACTATTTATTAATGAGACTCTCTAGGATTGTCTTTGTTCCATTGTCAAAGTTCAGTTGACTATATTGGTTCAGCTCTATTTCTGAACTCTTTATTTGGTTGCGTTGTTTTATGTGCCTATTTTTCTCACCAAGACCACACTGTCTTGATTGCTGTAGCTTAATAATAAGTCTTAAAATCAAGTAGTGTCAATTCTCCAGCTTTGGTCTTTATCAGTATTACATTGATTCTTTTGTGGTTATGCCTTCCATATAAATTTTAGAATCAGCTTTTTCATATTCACAAGATAGCTTTCTATGATTTTGATTGGAATTGAAGTAAATCTTAACAATTGACATCTTAACAATATTGAGTCTTCCAGTTAAGGAACATAGAATACCTTTTCATTTATTTAGGTCTTCTTTTATTTCTTTCGTCAGAGTTTTATAGTTTACTTCATGTAGGTTCTTTATGTATTTTGTTAGATTCATATGTACATAATTTTCTAGCAATTATAAATAACATTGTGTTTTTTAATTTCAAATTTCAATTATTCATTGCTATTATGTAGGGAAGCAATTGAGTTTTCTTATTAGCTTTGTATTTTGCAACCTTGCTATAACCATTTCTTTTTTTGTTGTTTGTCTTATTTTATTTTTTAAATTAACTTCTCTATCACTCACAATATAGTCACTTCTTAGTTCCAGGAGGGTTTTTTCCCTGTGGTGAATTCAATGGGATTTTCTATATAGACAACCATATCCTCTTTAAATAAGACTGTTTTCTTCCTTCCGAGCCATATACATTTTATTTCCTTTTCTTGCCTTATTTTACTAGCTAGGGCTTCCAGTGTACTGTTAAATTGAAGTGCTGAGAGGGGACATCCTTTCCTTGTTCCCAATCTTAGGGGAAAGTATTCGTTTCTCACCATTAAGTATGATGTTAGCATAGTTTTTTTGTAGATGTTCTCATCAAGTTGAAGAGGTTCCTCTATATTCCTAGCTTGATCAAGAGTTTTTATCAAGTATTAATGTTAGATTTTATGAAATGCTTTTGCTCCATTAATTCATATAATTATATGATTTTTCTTCTGAGGCATGTTCATGTGATTATATTAATTAATTGTCAAGTGTTGAACCAGCCTTGCATACCTAGAATGAATCCCCCTTGATCATGGTGTATAATTATTTTTTCACATTGTTAGATTCAATTTGCTAGCATTTTGTTGACAATTTTTATATCTATGCCTATGAAGGTTATTGGTCTGTAGCTTTCCTTTCCTGTAATATCTTTATGTGGCTTTGATATCAAGGTAATACTAGCCTCAGAAAACGAGTTAGGAAGTGTTTCCTCTGCTTCTATTTTCTGAAAGAGATTATGAAGGACTGGTATTCATTATTAAATATCAATTCATTCTTAAGATGGTTTTACTACCATCCTAACCTATTTTACCTGATTTTTACTAGTATATTAGTAGAGTGTGCTAGTGAAACCATCTTAACCTACTACTTTTGTACCACCCAGCTTGAGTGCAGTGGCAAGATCTCGGCTCACTTCAACCTCCGCCTCCCAGGCTCAAGCGATTCTCCTGCCTCAGCCACCCGAGTAGCTAGGATTACAGGCTTGCGCCACCACGCCAGGCTAATTGTTATATTTTTAGTAGAGACAGGGTTTCATCACGTTGGCCAGGCTAGTCCTAAACTCCTGGCCTCAAGTGATTCACCCATCTCTGCCTCTCAAAGTGCTGGGATTATAGGCGTGAGCCACCATGCCCGGCCCTATTGCTTTATTTTTTGAAGTGTATTTATCATTGATTCAATGTCTTTAATGCATATATAAGCCTATACAGATTATTTTTCTTTGTGTGGGTTTTTGTAGTACATGTCTTTTAAGGAATTAGTTCTTTTCATTTTAATTATTATATTTGTACACATACAACTAATCACAGCATTTATTTATTATCCCTTTTAAGTCGATGAGACCAGTAATGACAACTCCTACTTCATTTTTTTATATTAGGAACTTGTGTCATTTCTCTTTTATTCGTGGTTATCCTGACCACTACAGGTTTATCAAGTTTATTGTTCTTTTCTAAAAATGAGATTTGTTTTCATTGATTTTCTCTATTGTTTTCCTGTTTTCAATTTTATTGATTTCCATTCTAATTGTTACTATTTTCTTCTGCTTGTTAGTCTTAAATTGTTCTTCTTTCTCTAGTTTCTTAAGGTGGAAGGTCAGATGGTTGACTTAAGATCTTTTGCCTTTTCTGAAATACACATTTAATGCTGTACATTTTCCTCACAGCCTTATTTTAACTTCATCAGTTGTATTTTCATTTCCATTTACTTCAAAATATTTAAAACTTTTTTTGAGATTCTTCTTTGACCCACATTCTATTTAGAAGTTGTTTGTATTTTTAAAAGAAAAAATATATTCATAGGTTAGTTTCTTTAACTTTTTTTACAGGTAGAGTCACGTAGTACTTGCCTTATAATTATGTAGTAATAGATAGATAGACATGATTTTTATCTGAGACACCTAAATGTGTAACTGTATATTTCCTATCTGGGTCTCTTAGCACACCAGAAAGAAGACATAAAATATGTTAGTATAGGTTGCCTGTTCACTCTGATGGTAGTTTCTTTTGCTGTGCAGAAGCTCTTTAGTTTAATTAGATTCCATTTGTCAATTTTGGATTTTGTTGCCATTGCTTTTGGTGTTTTAGACATGAAGTCCTTGCCCATGCCTATGTCCTGAATGGTAATGCCTAGGTTTTCTTCTAGGGTTTTTATGGTTTTAGGTCTAATGTTTAAGTCTTTAATCCATCTTGAATTAATTTTTGTATAAGTGTAAGGAAGGGATCCAGTTTCAGCTTTCTACATATGGCTAACCAGTTTTCCCAGCACCATTTATTAAATAGGGAATCCTTTCTCCATTTCTTGTTTTTGTCAGGTTTGTCAAAGATCAGATAGTTGTAGATATGCAGCGTTATTTCTGAGGGCTCTGTTCTGTTCCATTGATCTATATCTCTGTTTTGGTACCAGTACCATGCTGTTTTGGTTACGGTAGCCTTGTAGTATAGTTTGAAGTCAGGTAGCGTGATGCCTCTAGCTTTGTTCTTTTGGCTTAGGATTGACTTGGCGATGCGGGCTCTTTTTTGGTTCCATATGAACTTTAAAGTAGTTTTTTCCAATTCTGTGAAGACAGTCATTGGTAGCTTGATGGGGATGGCATTGAATCTATAAATTACCTTGGGCAGTATGGCCATTTTCACAATATTGATTCTTCCTACCCATGAGCATGGAATGTTCTTCCATTTGTTTGTATCCTCTTTTATTTCATTGAGCAGTGGTTTGTAGTTCTCCTTGAAGAAGTCCTTCACGTCCCTTGTAAGTTGGATTCCTAGGTATTTTATTCTCTTTGAAGCAATTGTGAATGGGAGTTCACTCATGATTTGGCTCTCTGTTTGTCTGTTGTTGGTGTATAAGAATGCTTGTGATTTTTGTACATTGATTTTGTATCCTGAGACTTTGCTGAAGTTGCTTATCAGCTTAAGGAGATTTTGGGCTGAGACAATGGGGTTTTCTAAATATACAATCATGCCATCTGCAAACAGGGACAATTTGACTTCCTGTTTTCCTAATTGAATACCCTTTATTTCCTTCTCCTGCCTAATTGCCCTGGCCAGAACTTCCAACACTATGTTGAATAGGAGTGGTGAGAGAGGGCATCCCTGTCTTGTGCCAGTTTTCAAAGGGAATGCTTCCAGTTTTTGCCCATTCAGTATGATATTGGCTGTGGGTTTGTCATAGATAGCTTTTATTATTTTGAGATAAGTCCCATCAATACCTAATTTATTGAGAGGTTTTAGCATGAAGGGTTGTTGAATTTTGTCAAAGGCCTTTTCTACATCTATTGAGATAATCATGTGGTTTTTGTCTTCTGTTCTTTTTATATGCTGGATTACATTTATTGATTTGCATATATTGAACCAGCCTTGCATCCCAGGGATGAAGCCCACTTGATCATGGTGGATAAGCTTTTTGATGTGTTGCTGGATTCGGTGTGCCAGCATTTTATTGACGATTTTTGCATCAATGTTCATCAAAGATACTGGTCTAAAATTCTCTTTTTTGGTCGTGTCTCTGCCCGGCTTTGGTATCAGGATGATGCTGGCCTCATAAAATGAGTTAGGGAGGATTCCCTCTTTTTCTATTGATTGGAATAGTTTCAGAAGGAATGGTCCCAGTTCCTCCTTGTACCTCTGGTAGAATTCGGCTGTGAATCCATCTGGTCCTGGACTCTTTTTGGTTGGTAAGATATTGATTATTGCCACAATTTCAGATCCTGTTATTGGTCTATTCAGAGAGTCAACTTCTTCCTGGTTTAGTCTTGGGAGGGTGTATGTGTCGAGGAATTTATCCATTTCTTCTAGATTTTCTAGTTTATTTGTGTAGAGGTGTTTGTAGTATTCTCTGATGGTAGCTTGTATTTCTGTGGGATCAGTGGTGATATCCCCTTTATCATTTTTTATTGCGTCTATTTGATTCTTCTCTCTTTTCTTCTTTATTAGTCTTGCTAGCAGTCTATCAATTTTGTTGATCCTTTCAAAAAAACCAGCTCCTGGATTCATTTATTTTTTGAAGGGTTTTTTGTATCTCTATTTCCTTCAGTTCTGCTCTGATTTTAGTTATTTCTTGCCTTCTGCTAGCTTTTGAATGTGTTTGCTCTTGCTTTTCTAGTTCTTTTAATTGTGATATTAGGGTGTCAATTTTGGATCTTTCCTGCTTTCTCTGGTGGGCATTTAGTGCTATAAATTTCCCTCTACACACTACTTTGAATGCATCCCAGAGATTCTGGTATGTTGTGTCTTTGTTCTCGTTGGTTTCAAAGAACATCTTTATTTCTGCCTTCATTTTGTTATGTACCCAGTAGTCATTCAGGAGCAGGTTGTTCAGTTTCCATGTGGTTGAGCGGGTTTGAGTGAGTTTCTTAATCCTGAGTTCTAGTTTGATTGCACTGTGGTCTGAGAGACAGTTTGTTATAATTTCTGATCTTTTACATTTGCTGAGGAAAGCTTTACTTCCAAGTATGTGGTCAATTTTGGAATAGGTGTGGTGTGGTGCTGAAAATAATGTGTATTCTGTTGATTTGGGGTGGAGAGTTCTGCAGATGTCTATTAGGTCCACTTGGTGCAGAGCTGAGTTCAATTCCTGGGTATCCTTGTTAACGTTCTGTCTTGTTGATCTGTCTAATGTTGACAGTGGGGTGTTAAAATCTCCCATTATTATTGTCTGGGAGTCTAAGTCTCTTTGTAGGTCACTCAGGACTTGCTTTAGGAGAAAATTTTCACAACCTACTCATCTGACAAAGGGCTAATATCCAGAATCTACAATGAACTCAAACAAATTTACAACAAAAAAACAAACAACCCCATCAAAAAGTGGGCAAAGGACATGAACAGACACTTCTCAAAAGAAGACATTTATGCAGACAAAAAACACGTGAAAAAATGCTCACCATCACTGGCCATCAGAGAAATGCAAATCAAAACCACAATGAGATACCGTCTCACACCAGTTAGAATGGCAATCATTAAAAAGTCAGGAAACAACAGGTGCTGGAGAGGATGTGGAGAAATAGGAACACTTTTACACTGTTGGTGGGACTGTAAACTAGTTCAACCTTTGTGGAAGTCAGTGTGGCAATTCCTCAGGGATCTAGAACTAGAAATACCATCTGACCCAGCCATCCCATTACTGGGTATATACCCAAAGGACTATAAATCATGTTGCTATAAAGACACATGCACACGTATGTTTATTGTGGCATTATTCACAATAGCAAAGACTTGGAACCAACCCAAATGTACATCAAAGATAGACTGGATTAAGAAAATGTGGCACATATACACCATGGAATACTATGCAGCCATAAAAAAGGACGAGTGCACGTCCTTTGTAGGGACATGGATGAAATTGGAAACCATCATTCTCAGTAAACTATCGCAAGACCAAAAAACCAAACACTGCATATTCTCACTCATAGGTGGTAATTGAACAATGAGAACACATGGACACAGGAAGGGGAACATCACACTCTGGGGACGGTTGTGGGGTGCAGGGAGGGGGGAGGGATAGCTTTAGGAGATATACCTAATGCTAAATGACGAGTTAATGTGTGCAGCACACCAGCTTGGCACATGTATACATATGTAACTAACCTGCACATTGTGCACATGTACCCTAAAACTTAAAGTATAATAATAATAATAAACCACTTTAAAAAAAAATCTAATTCAAGTTGTGAGTAAATTCTCTTTTAAAGTTAAAAAAAATATTAATGTAGATAAAATAAAAATTTAGCAAAATTGACCAGGCAGACCCATCTTTTTTATCTGTCCTAAGGTGAACCATGGGTAAGATTAATATTCTTTAAGATTTTATAAATTAATTAGTTGAGTTTGAATGAATGAACTGTTTGAAATCATATTTTTCAATAAGTAAGTACTTCTTTTTCTTCTGGGTGAGAATAAAAATCTGGTCAGTATTTTAATTAATAAATAATATATTTGACAAAGTAAAATGATATTTATGATCAATTGACTTTGTATTTCAGTAGACTTTGTATAAAATGTAAAAGAATTTCCACATTACTGAAAAAATATATTAATGCCATGAAAAATAGTATGTTCTGAATTTTCCAAAGATAAGAAATGTGCCTCGTCCTAATATAATTTAACGGGGGAAAAGGAAATTATGTTAGCTTCAGTTCTCACTGGATATATCTCAGATCTAATGTTTAAGATAAGAAAGATGACAGTTTGAGAGAGGCTGGTGACTTTCAAATAATTTACCCAGTTGGGAGAACTGCTGTTATGTTTTTGTTGCATGTAAATGCTGCAAGATACTGCCTGTCCCTAAAGCTATTCAGCACTCAAGTGTGGCAATAGTGTTAGGGCTCCTTGCCACATGTATCTGCACATCTTCCCCTCCTCAGCATATCTCAGTGGTGAGGGCTCAGTTTGCTGAGGCTTTTGCTTCGGGCCCATTGGAGTAAATTTCCCATTTTATTATCTGTGGTCTCTTAGGGAGAGTGTAACAGATAATGAGTCCTGATGCTGAAGTATCCCACATCCACTGTCATCGCTAGGCAGAGTGATTGCACTTCATAGCAGAGTGCAGTGATTTTTCAGCAGGCAAAAACAGAACAAGGACAAATGCCTTTATAGGACAGAGGACTAATTGGAGAAACAAAAAAACACATTTTAATTTAAGTGTACTATACACTTTCAAGTACCTATGATTAGAGTTCATAAAGGACGTTTGGGAAAAAATACATGATTTTAGAATTTTAAATAGTAGCAGAGAAATCAAAAAAGGAAAATGACTACCAAGTTAGGTTTCTGGAATATTTGATAAAATATAAAATCTTCAGGCAGTGCAAAAGTACAAAGAAACAAAATTGTGACTATATTGATAAAAGACATGGATGATGTAGAAGACCACATAAGCTAATAATAATATTTCTTTAAGGAGAAAATAGAACAGATGAAACATGTTTGTTAAAATTCTTCCTGCAAACAAGAGAATGCCCACTGTCTAGTTGAAGAAGTAAAATAATTTTTTAAAATGTATTTGGTCATATCTCTACAGCCTGGCTGGAAATTTAGCATGGCTATTGATGTAACACCCTAGGAAAACCTGGGGGCTTCCCTAGCAAAACTGCCCTCAGCACTGAGGACTTTTGCCATCCAGGACTGAGGATCAGATTCTGAAGCTAGATAGCCAAGAATAATGCCCAAGCACAAAAAGCCTTCTATAGCACAAATGACATTAGCGTCACTACTTAGGACTGGAGGCAAAAGCTTTTCTACCCTACTGTGCCCCAAAAGCATGACATATCTATCACTAGGCCTTCTGGAAAATCAATTCCCCCAGCCAGGTATTTTTTCTTCTAACTTGGGGAGTGGAAGTGGCACTGTAGAAAATTACCAATATTTAGGAATGATATTTCAAGATGTCAAGCAACTACAAATGACCAATATCTACTGGAAGATATAATATTCCAAATGATAATAAAACTTATTTGAGATGAAAAAACTTAAATGTTTTAGATGGAAGAAGCTTGCCACATCTCAAAAAGAATGAATTAAAAAAAAAAAGAGGCACAGCAATATTAGGAACATCATTCCTTTGGTTAGCTTCCAGTTGTTATTATGCCTTCTAGATTAGGAGAGTGGGTGTGGGGATATTCTGTTTTCAGACTCATAAATGTATCTCCTCATTTTTTGCCCCTCTTTTTTACTTGTGTACATGCTCTCTCTCTGACTTATAGATTCTGAACCCCCACTTTCTCTGAGTCAGCTGCCTTTCTCACTGCAGTGTCCTTGGCATATTTTCCAGATTATAACTTCTGCTCTGCCTCAGTAGTCAGTAAGCAATCATTTTCCTTAGAAATTTATGAAAATCACTTCCGTTCTCCTGGTTCCACTTCTTGATCTTTTTTTCTGTTGTTGGTTTGCACGATATTTATTGCTTTATGAACATTTCAACAAGTCCTTAGGAGGCAAGGGATGTAAATCTGTTTTAAGACTACCATCATGACCTGTAAATCTCCTGTAAGTGTTTTCTAAAAATTATTCTGTAATACTGGTGTAATCATAGTATTAACAATCCAAGTGAAACCGTTTACTATTCTTTTCCTTATATTAAATTAAAAATGATAATCTGTCCTTTTTAAAGATGATAATGAGGCACATTCAGTCGAATGTGTAACACCTGTCACTTTCTTTTATGTAATATCTCATTCAGCCTTTCATTCATTTTCTTCGTTCATTCTGTTGTCTGAAATGGGAAACAGCTGGCAACCTACAGGAAAAAGGATAAGAAATACAAAATGTCTGTTTTGTAATTTTAATGGTTATATGCCTTAAAGGAGGTGCATGGGTCAAGGATGTTTGAGTATGTCATGCAGACAGGGTGGAAGAGGACCAGCCCAGTGGCGTCTCCTCTGTCAGCTAATGTATTCAACTTGCTATAATACAAAATCATTTATGCATGTGTTTTGATTGTCTCCCATTTACTTCGTTGATGAAAGGATTCCTGCCTTAGAATTATGGGATGGCTGAATATAGGACACTCAACACTGGACAGATGAGATCGACAGCAGTTTATTAGTCAATGTACTCACAGCCGGGAGAGAAGGACACTGCATACTATGTAGGGCCGCACAGGGGTTACCTTTGGGAACAGAGTGAATAACCAGGAGCTGTGGCAGGTAGGATTCTTAGTAACAATAGGGTGGGGTGCCATTTTGTTCCCATGGGATGAAGATGATGACATTGGCTTGTTAGAATAATTCTGTAGGTTGGCAGGGAACTGAAACCTGCTATTCAGGGAAAATAAGCAGGAATTGTGCCTGGTCTGCTTAATAAGGAGTATTGTTTTGCTAGTGGAATTTATCCATGGGAGCAGAGTGGGGAGGGGAAATTGCTCCTGGGCCATTTGAGGCCCTCTTGATCTCACCAGACGTCAAGGCAACACATAGTATTAAACCTTAATTTGAGGCCTTGACCTACAGTTGGGGCCCATATGTGAATAATTTTTAGAGGAGAACATTGAGTCTGATATAGGCTTGTTCATTTTCCCCCCCGATTACTTAATTAGACTTACCAGATTTGTTTTCTGTATAGGAATAGTCTGTGTATTCTCAAGAACTCTTCCATCTCTAGAGTTTGACCCTGTCAAGAGGTCTAGTTTTCTAAAATCTGTAGGAAATGTTTTCTAGACTGAATGACTCATCAATATTGTCCATAAATAAAATAAAACTTATCTGTTAAGTAGATTAAATCGTGCAAATAACCCATCCTGGCTACTCTCTTGGTTGAATTAGAACAGTTATACTCACACTCTTTGAGAAACTGAATTTTTGTTTCTCCTTAAAGAGCTCATTGTTGATAGAAATCCCACATACTTCTTTGGTTACTTATTGATGCCTTAGTTATGTACTAATAAATTTTGAAGACAGTCTATTTCAAATCTTTAAGTAACTCAGAGTTCTGACTTTTAGGAGGAAGAAAGACTTGTTAGGTTACTCCAAAAGAATTTAAACCAAGTAATATTTGGTTTAAGTCTCAATCAACTATTTTAATGATTAATGGAAACATTTCTGATTGAAAGTCTGTTTAGGCCATGGAAAAGTAAATTCAGCTTTGAGTTTAGAAACTGTCATTCAAGAAGGGAAATCAACAAGAGAGGAAAACTGGCATAGTGGAAAGAAAATTGCACTGTAAGTCAAGAGGCTCTTGTTCTGAGATTTAATTTTGACTAAGTTACTTAATTTTTTTGTCTCATTTTTTTCCCAAACCTATAAAATGAGAAATTTGTCAAACTAAACTCCTAGGTATAATCCAACTCCAAAATTTTGTAATCTAAGAAATCTCTGGTCTCTAACATTTTATGGTCATGTCAGAGGTAGCATTTTTATAGCACTCAGGACATGAGCATTCCATTAGGATATGTATCAGTTTCCTTTGCTACTCACACTTTCTGTTTATATAGAACCTTTTCCCAATCATTATCCCTCTTGGAAATTAAATAAAAGTCTAACAAGAGTGCCAAAGCATAAACAGACTAATAAATGTTTTAATGCAGTCACCTTGTTAATTTTCAGAGAACACCATAAAGAAGTCATAAAAGACACTCCTCAGCTAAGAATACTGTCAGCCGCTGGCTAGGACATTACTCCCTGGTATTTTAGAAACTTTTTACTAGAAGCTGAAAAAAAGGGTAGTATTTTTGAAATAGTATTTAATAGAAAATTTACACAAAATATTTTTGAAAATCAAAAAGGAACCACAAGAATAAAGGCTGTTAACCAGCTAGCCAACTGCCTGGATCCAAAAATAATTTGAGTTTTCTTAATGCTAACCACAGCCTTTGGATCCCCAGGGATATGTTTATTCCTCTACTTGAAATATCAATAATAATGGTAGCTAATTTTTATTGAGTAATTACTATTCAAAATATTTCATACATTTAATCTTCATAACTATTATATAGTTATCATACTTACATTGCATGTGAGGAAAAAAAAACAACAGAGTTTAAGTAGCATGTCATAAATCACACAACTCCTAAGTGGTGAAGCCATGGTTTGAACTTTCTGACTTCAGAGTTGTCAATACTAACCACTATGTAGAAGAGCATTGCACACCAATATGGCACATGTATACATATGTAACAAACCTGCATGTTGTGCACGTGTACCCTAAAACTTAAAGTATTTATATATATATATATGAAGAGCATTGAGCATAATAGCAAATAGCACAAGAACTTGCAGTCAAAAGGGCAATTCAGTGCTACTAAAATACCAAATTGAGTAGAGGTAAAACAGAGAACTCTAATATAAATGGGAAGAAATTGAGCAGAGATAGATTAATATTCCATTTGGGGCTTATGAAAAGTGCAATCACTTTCTTCTTTCCTTTCTCTCTAATTTTCCTAAATGTAGACATAACAGCACCAGCAAGTGAGGCCTTTGAGAGGTGAAGGAAAGATCTAAGGGAGATTTGGGGTTGACTGAATCATGGGAGTGATGTGGCACACAGTCCTTGTTTCTCCCTCAGCAATTATCTTCTGTTACTGACTTTCTTGCTGACAAAGTCTGCAATTGTTAAGGGTAGTGATTTGTAAATGCCAGTTAGATTAAAGCTTTTGTTAGTGTTATTCTCTACCTTTACTGATCTTATTTCTCTAGTATCAATTACTGAAACAAATAAGTTAAATATTCCAACTATAATTATGTATTTGTCTATTTTTCTCTTTATTTCTGTAAGTTTTGCTTTATATATTTTGAAGCCGTGTTATGATGTACATATATATGTATAATTGTCATGTCTTCATGGTGTGTTGACCTTTTGTTATTGTGACATTACCCTACTTGTTTCCAGCAATGTGCAGTCTAGAAGTCTATTTTTCTGATATTAATATAGCCTCTATAAGCCTCTATATAAAGACTCTACCTTTTTAAATCTTGCTATTTACATGCAATATATTTTCCCAGTATTTTATGTTTGATGATTTGTGACTGTATTTGTGTTCCTTGCAGGTAGCATATAGGTGATTCTTGCTTTTTATTGAGCCTGACAGTCTCTGACTTTTGGTTGAAGTTTTCATTCTACTTTTATATATAAAAGCAATTTTTCTATTATTTATTTAGGTCTGTTTTTTTGCTATTTGGTTATTATTTGTCTCTTTTTTCCCCTTTATCCTTTTTGACTTCTTTTAATAATCTGACTATAAAATTTTATAGTCAGATTTTTAGCTCAATTTATTTTCTTAGTGTTTGCTATATAGACTACAATATGCCTCTTAAATTTATCCCAATTCACTTAAAGTTTATCCTTCCCTGTACTGCAGCCTAAAAACTCCAGGCAGTAATCTGGACAAACGTAGGGCTCAATTCTTTGTTTCTATCTTTTAGGCATCATTGTCCCAGTCTAAATGATGTCTATATTTTCTTTGCATCTTAGTTATTTCAGGTGAGAGATTAAATCATGTCTTTGTTATTCCATCTTGGTTGGAATTGGAAGTCCTAGTTAGTGTAAATTTAAGAAATGAAAATGATATGCGTAGGCAATTAAGTTGTCAGCTTTCAGTCTTTTATATATATTTAGTTTTTTGAGGTCTAATTTATGCACTACTAATTCACACATCTTAAACGTACAGTTTGATGAATTTTACATGTGTATGTATATGTGAAAATACACTATCCAGGTCATCCAGATCAAGATAGAGAACATTTCTGTTACTCTAGAAGGTTCCTTCATGTTTCTTCCTAGTTAGTATTCACCATCCTTGCACTTTAGAGTAGCACTATTCTAACTTCTATTACCATAGGTTACTTTTACTGTTATTAAACTTCATGTGATGGGAATTATATGTACACTTTTGTGCATGACTTCTTTCATCATGTTTTTTTGAGATCCATCTATGTTGTGTGTATCAGTAATTCATTTATTTTCATTGCTGTATACTATCCTAGTGTATGAATATATCATAATTTCAATCCATTCTCCTGTTGGTGGCTATTTGGGTTATTTCTAGTTTGAGATTTTTGTGAATAAGTTTGCTATGAATATTTTTGTGGTCACTCATATAATATTTTTCTGGGGGAATAAAGAAAAGGCGCAAGAAAAGCTTTTCTTGAAATTAGTAGCTGGTAGTAAGTTATGTCATTCAGAATTAGTTAATCTTAAGTATCTATTTGCAGGACAATTTCTGCACATCTAAATTACAATCAGCATTTACATTGTACACAAAGATGACCCACATTACTACATATTTTGAATTGACTAATCTCTAAAGAAAGGTTTTAAAATAATTTGTGCATACCATCATAGTGATTTTAGTATAATCTGAGTTAATTAATTAACAACATTACCATCTTATTAATATTATGGGCTAACCTTTGACAATCACTTATTAGGGACTGTTATAACTAAGATATTTTCTTCACAACAATCTCAGTATAAAATATTCACATATAATTTGTGAAATAACTGAGACCAATATATGTTAAGTGAGTTGTCCTAGACGACATAGCCAATAAAATGGTGAAGCTAAAATTTAAATCCAGTTGGTCTGGCTTCAGAGCCTGATATTTCTTTATCAAAGCAGGATTACTAATAATTGCTGACAGGAGAGGAATAGCTAATTTATATGCATTAGTTAAACTTTCCTCATTATTAGCTGACCCTATTACTGTGGTTTTTGATTACTGAGTTAGTTCTTTCAAGGCCAGAGCACACTATAGTCAAAATTTATGTTTCAGCAATGGAGTATGTTAATAAAAAGTTTTACGCTTGTTCACACTGCAGTGATTTTTGATAGTTCAGAGACTGTGATATATCGATGCCAGTCTTATGATAGTTTTAACACATCTTCAGTCTGGGTATGTCAATCTAAATCAATCTTGATGGTAACATCTTCATATCCATGATAAATTCCTCTTAACTAAATGATTTTATATAAGGAAAAATCAATAAACAAATTTTATTCCTCAAAGTCACTTCGATTTTATAAATATAACTAACTTTAGGTCACGAAATTATTAAACGTTTCTCTGTGAACACCATTTAGTTGTGGTTTTGTTCTGCCAATTTAATCGTTAGGTTTTTACAACAATAATAAAATGATCATGAAGGACAAATAGCAAGATGAATAAACATTATTTTACTATGACAGTAACAGCATGATAATTATGAAAATGGAAAATGAAGCTCTGAGAATCAGGAAATCCGTTACTAGGATGTAGTAAAATGTAGTTCATAGAGGCATTTATTTCAACTGCACCTGATAGTCAAAATCCCTCTATCAGCATTTAAGCACATGTTTTCCAAGGTTATGGCTAGGCCATTTAATAATTTTCTAGGGGAGGGCTTAGGTTACAATAACCTAAAATGACTTTGAAAAATAGACTCATAAATAAATGCAATATAAGTTCATTTCAATTTTAAGCCCAAAAGATATCACTAATAATGCTGTGGATTGGTAGGGAATAATGGAAGATAATCAGTTATTTAAGCATTGATCAAGGACTAGAATTGAATATAGTTGATTATGGATCATAGGTAAATTTAATAAGTGAATATAAGTTTAGAATATAATAATATTTCAGTTGGTTAGAAGGATATTTTTCCCAAAATGATCGAAGAGGGATGTGACAGAGGTGATCAAGAAGTTGGACATGCAATGGAGACTCCCAGAAATTCAGGGAAGGGTGGTGTGAACTAGTGAACAGAAAGTTGAACTGGAGAATTGAAGCCCCTGGTTTTGAGTACTCTCATCTCTCTTCTACCACAATGTGGCCCCAGCATGTTGCATAACTCTTCCAACATCTGGTTTCCACAGCCACAAAAAGAGGAGGTTGTAGTAAGTGAGGCCTAAAGGCACTCTATCTAACCCAGTGACTGATTGTCCTACCTATTGGGAGCACAGTTCAAAGCTATTGTCATTGGGGATAAAGGAACATGCCCAGTCTCCCAATCTGTGGGAAAGAATTATAGGCTTCTTTTTTTCTTTTAACCTATGTGGCTAGAAAAGACATGAAAATTATTTTAATTATAAATTTGGATCCTTAGCTTATTTCAACTACATGGTGAAAACTAGCTGGTAGTATCTTAGTCTGTCTGGTTCACCTGTAAATTACAGTTGCTAAACTTCTGAGTCATTTTGCCTTTGACCCTGTGGAGACAACCAAATCTTAACTAACAGTCGCTTAGTAAGCTATTCCTGGGCATTATGTAAGAAGTCCATATTTAATTAAGAATATATATAACATTAAAAAAAACTATTCTCCCGTGTTAGTGAATTTGAGGTATACTGAAATTAAAATAAGCTTTCTGTAGAAGGAATTTTTTGTTTTTGCTTCTTTTAATCAAAATAGCAGATAAAATTTATTCATTAATAGAAAGAATATAATATTTATTGAGAATCAACCATGGGCTAAGCATATTTCTAGGAACAGAAGCTTTTCAGACAAGGCTTCAGCCTAGTAAATTGTGTATGATAGTAGGTTCATATAATTAGTAAAAATAAAGAAATTATTAACATAGTTTCAAATAGCAATAAGCACAAAGAATAGCTAGTCACTAGTTAGGAGTGTTGCACTTTTAGATAAGAGCTATCAGAGAAGGGTTCTCTAAGGGGGCTATTGTGAATTGAAATCTGAGTGAAAAGAGGTTAACTAAGGTGAAGATCTGAGTAAAGATTTCCAACCAGAGGATACAGCAGCATCAAGACCTTGAGGAAAGTGTAGGCTTGATATGTTTGAGGTTTGAAAAAAGATTAAGATGTCTGCAGTATAGTGAAGGAAAAGGGAGCAGGGCTCTCTGAAGATGACAACACCTCCTTTGAAGAGTTGTTAAGAGAACTGGAGCATGCCTGCTGTGTGTTCATGCTATGAACTACAAATACTACAAATCTGTGATTTTGCTGAGTACATGAAAAAAAAGACCCAACTCATGTTCAGGATATGATATAATTTTAAAAATAATTATTCTATTTTACTCTTGCAAGGATGAACAGCTAACAGTTACAGTTTACAAAACATTTTTCTGTATCTTACATATTTCTTA
This sequence comes from Homo sapiens, assembly GCF_000001405.40. Taxonomy (NCBI): domain Eukaryota; kingdom Metazoa; phylum Chordata; class Mammalia; order Primates; family Hominidae; genus Homo; species Homo sapiens. The sequence continues at coordinate 180,312,883 of NC_000002.12, forward strand.
GGCCTTTGAAGCAGGGTATGGCATACCTGGTCAGAATTTTATGTATCTGGTTATTTGCCATGAATGTGCCATTATTTCTTTTTGGCTGATCCTGAATTAAAGAGTAATTATTGTTGAACTGGTTCTAAAAACCAATGGCATCTGCTCAGAATCTGAAAGTACCCTTGCCAAAGGAAGTTGCTATTTAGGAATATTCCTCTTGGAAAATTTAAAATGATGTAGGCATAGGCATCTGAAGAATTGCAGTGTTTAGAAAATCTATAGTGAAATAAAGTTATAAACTGAGAGTTCACATTATTGTAGAGCATGTTATTTTAACACATTGTGGAATCATGTTATATAAACCTAGAAGCATAATAGCTTAGAAGCAAAGGTACTTTAGAGATTATCTAGTCTATTAATTTCACATTTCACAAACTGTACTCCAAAGAAAATACACTAGATATCAATAAGGGTCTCTTTCTCTCTTTTTATGGCTCTCTCCCTCCTCCCCACACCACACACTCACACACATATATACATGTACACAGGTGAAAATCAAGGGTTTAAAAATAAGTTTTGTGGCCTTCTGTTTCTGTAGGACTTCTCAGAACTCTAACATGATAATATACACAGTTAATTCCCAAGTCAAGGATATCATTTATAACTTATTTAATCAATTACCTTTTCCTGACCCTCAACTCATGGAATAGTGTATTAGTTAGGGTTCTGCAGAGGGACAGAACTAATAGGATGTATCTACACATGAAAGGAAGTTTATTCGGGAGATTGGCTCAAAGGATTACAAGGCAAAGTCCCATGATGGGCTGTCTGCAAACTAGGGAAGAGAGAAGCTTGTAGTGGCTCAGTCTGAGTCCAAAAGCCTCAAAAGCAGGGAAGCCGAGAGTGCAGCCTTCAGTCTGCGGCCAAAGACCCAAGAGTCCCCAGCAAACCACTGGTGAAAGTCTAAAAGTCCAAAGCCCTAAGAACCTGGAGTCTGATGTCTATGGGTAGAAGGAGCAGAAGGAGGCATCCAGCACAGGGAAAAAAAAGGAAGCCAGAAACTCAGCAGGCAAGGTTATCCCACCTTCTTCCCCCTGCTTTGTTCTAGCCATGCTGGCAGCAGATTAAAAGGTAACCCCCCTACACATTGAGGGTGGGTTTTCCTCTCCCAGTCCACTTACACAAATGTCAGTCTCCTCTGGCAAAACCCTCACAGGCACATCCAGAAACAATATTTTACCAGCCATCCAGGCATCCTTCAATCCAATCAAGTTGATAACTAATATTAACCATCACAAGTAGTTTTTATCATCTCATTTTACAAGCATTTCATGGAACATGAAAGTTGGCCTACTCTTAACTTTCTACCAGATGCTGTTATCTTCTCTCAAGCATTTTTCGTGTTTGACTAACTTTTGTTTGAGTCATTCTAGTCATGGAGATCTTTCAACCCCACATGTCTATATTTCTCCGTGTGACTAGCACTCACTATGTTAGTTTATCCTCCTATAATTATAATAACTAACATTTGTAGAGTGCATATTATTGCCAGGAATAGTATTAAATGCTTTATCAGTTCATTGAATGCTTATAAAAAATTTATGAGAAAGCTAATGCTTTTGTCCTCATTTAGAGTTAGGAGACCTGGGCATAGGAAAGTTAAATATTTTGAACAAGGAAATAAAGCTAGTAAATGGGAGGAGCCAGAATTCAAACACAGGCATTCTGGTTCCAGAGTCCAAGTTCTTACCACCACACTAGAAAAAAATCTAGAGCTTTCTAAATTTTGTTTTCAGCAATGAGCCCCACCTCAAATCTGTATTTCTTATGACTTTTTTTTTTCTAAGTTTTATGTACCAGGTCTAGGCACTCCTCTACATGACAGCATTATCGTAAGATTTCTCAAAGACTTCTCTCTTTCAAGTTAATCATCCCCAATTCCTGCTCTCTTTCTTTTTTTATTTTATTTATTTATTTATTTATTTTGAGACAGAGTCTCACTCTGTCACCCAGGCTGGAGTTAAGTCTTGCAATCTTGGCTGACTGCAACCTCCACCTCCCAGGTTCAAGTGATTCTCATGCCTCAGCCTCCTGAGCAGCTGGGACTACAGGTGCCTACCACTACACCCGGCTAATTTTTTTGTATTTTTAGTAGAGATAGAGTTTTGTCATGTTGGGCGGGCTGATCTGGTACCCCTGATCTCAGGTCACCTGCCTGCCTTGGCCTCCCAAAGTGCTGAGATTACAGACATGAGCCACTGCCCCTGGTCCTCTCTTTCAAGTTAATCATCTCTAGATCCATCTCCAAACTCTTCTTCAATATGACGTATTTACCCAACCTACTCCCTAGGCTAGTGTTCCAGTTTGACAAATTTTCTCTTAAGATTCTCTCTGTGATATTTTTGAATTAAAAAATAATATAACATAAGCTTTAGAATCTGAGCTAGATACAGATAGTGGCCCACTACTTCATTAACTTGTAAATGAAAAAGTTCAAGTTTCCTCACTTGTAAAAGTGGAACTATGACGTGGTTTGGACCTGTGTCCCCACTAAATCTCACATGGAGCTGTAATCCCCAATGTTGGAGGTGGAGCCTGGTGGGAGGTGATTGGATTATGAGGGTGGATCCTCCATGAATGGTGTGATGGTTAATATTAGGTGTCAACTTAATTGGATTGAAGGATGCCTAGGTAGCTGGTAAAGTATTAGTTCTGGGTGTGTTTGTGAGGGTGTTGCCAGAGGGGATTCACATTTGAGTCAATGGACTGGGAGAGGAAGACCAACCCTCAATGTGGGTAGGCACCATCCAATCAGCTGCCAGCATGGCTAGATCAAAGCAGTCAGAAGATGGGATAAACCAATTTGCTGAGTCTTCTGGCTCTTATCTTTCTTCCATGCCACTTGCTTCTCTCCACTCCTCCTGCCCTTGGACATCAGACTCCAGGTTCTCTGGCCTTTGGACTCTTGGACTTACATGAGTGGCTTGCTGGAGGCTCTCAGGCCTTCAGCTAGACTAAAAGCTGCACTGTCAGCTTCCCTGCTTTTGAGGCTTTTGGACTCGGACTGAGCCACTACTGACTTTTTTCTTCCCCATCTTGCAGGTGGCCTACTGCGGGACTTCACCTTGTGATTGTTTGAGCCAATTCTCCCTAATAAACTCCCTTTCAAATATACATCTATCCTATTAGTTCTGTCCCTCTGGAGAACCCTGACTAATACAAATTGCTTAGTACCATCCTCTTGGTGCTGTTCTTGTGATAGAAGTCTCATGAGATCTGGTTGTTTAAAAGTGTGTAGCACCTCCCTGCTCTCTCTCTCTCTCGCTACTCCTCCCACCATGTGAGATGCACCTGCTCCTGCTTTGCCCTCCACCATGAGTAAAAGCTTCCTGAGGCCTCCCCAGAAGCAGATGCCACCATACTTCCTGTACAGCCTGCAGAACTGTGAGACAATTAAACCTCATTTCTTATAAATTGCCCAGTCTTAGGTATTTCTTTATAGCAATGTGAGAATGGGTTAATACAGACTATAATATGTATTTTATAAACTGGCTGTGAAGATTGAATAAGGCGATATATATTTAGGGCATATTTATTGGGCCCAGCACAAGAAGGGCAAATTGATTCTATTTTCCTTAGGTGATGCTAATCTGCTCCACACATGTAGGCTCCTGGCCAGCCTGCATTTCTACTCTACATCCATCCGTCATTCCCTCCAGGTCAATGTCTTTCCTGGAAGACGAATGCATTTCCTTATTTTATGTGCAAAGATTCTTTCACTTTATAGTGACTTTTCTTTCATCTTGTCCCCAAAAGATGGGGGCACAAATCCTATATGTAGGCTGCATAATGTTTCCCTAAAGATGCCCATCTCATTCTTAGAAACTGTGAATATGTTAATTATATGATTAAAGCACTTTGCATGTGATTAAAGTGATAGATGGAAAGATGATCCCGCATTATCTAGGTAGGACAAATGTAATCATAAGGATCCTTCAAAGAAGAAGGCAGTGAAGTTAGAGTCCAGGAGAAAAGCTAAGGATAGAAGCAAAGAAAAAATTAGAGTGATGCACATTGAATATGGAGAAAGGGGCTGCAAGCCAAGGAATGTGGGCAAGCTCTGAAAGTTGGAATGGGCAAGGGGACAGTTTTCCCCCTAGAGCCTGCAGAAAAAATGCAGCCCTGTGGACATATTTTAAACCTCTTACCTTCAGAGGTATACAAGAATAAAGTATGTTGCTTTAATTCACTCAGATTGTAGTAATTTTTTACACTAGTATTAGAAAACTATCACAAAGTGTGACCATGTGGCAATTAATCTAAACTTGCTAAGGCTTAGTTTCCTGTCAGAGCTATTGTGAAGTTTAGATATCATGCATGGGAAAACCTTTTACAAAGATTCTAGAACATAATGAACACTTAAATGATAGCAGCAGTTATACAGGGAGTAGTGAAAGTGTTCATCACATTTACTATTAATTGGAGTCCATATTTAAGCCCAGTATCACCAAAAATTTGAGAATAATATTGTGCCTAGTTCAGTGGTCTTTATGTAGCATTATTCTGGCTTCTGGTTTTACTCTTTAAAAATGTTAATGTCATATTTCTGCTTGAATACCAAAAGCGTCCCATCTCAATGAAAAGAATATTTGAACATATGGCATGGTTTACCAGGCCCTATAGAATGTGGCTTCTGCCTGTAGCTCTAGCCACTTGTCAGTCTGGGTTCCAACCACTCTGGACATTCTTTCATCAGGGATTTTCGTTTACTCTTTCTTCTTCCTATACTGTAGGACTGGATACTTCTTATCTCCAAGTCAGCCCAAATATCACCTCTTCAGAGAGAGACCTTCTCTGATATCACACCAGCTTGTTTCTCCACAACCAGGAGCTCTCTCATATTCCCATTTTTTCTTTTTACTTTATAATACTTATCCTTATCTCAAATTGCAGTATTTCTGCATGTGATTACATGTTTACTATCCATCTCCCCTTCTTTGGGTGTAGGCTCCATTAACACAAGGACTTGTCTATCTTGTTCACTACTGTATGTTCAGCGTACTTTGCTAGGCACCTGGGGTATTCAAATATGAATAAAGCATGGGTAGTGGTTTCTAATTCTTGTAGTGTTTCTACTCCATTGGATACCAAGGTTCCTGATAATAGCTGTTGGTCATCTCCCTATATACAGTTTGAGAGAAGCTCTCCCTCACGTTGGTGGCTGAGATCTCTCAGCATCAACTGAACATCCTAATGTGGCTCTATATTATCTCTAAGTCTTGGTTCTTCACTCTGGTTGATCATCAGTTTCTTAAGCCTTAGAACTTATGGGCTAAAATTTCAGCTACCATGTTCTTGGCGATATCTTCTCCTCCAACTTCTTGTTGACTGTTCACAACTCTTCTGTCTTTCCACTTCAGATAACCTAAGCCAGTTTAATTAATTTTTTTCTGGTTACTATATGGTTTACAATATTCATCTTTACTTATCACTGTCTATATTTGGGTATTATTATACTAATTCATATGCAGGGTAAGAATCTCATGACAATATTCTCCCAAACTTATTCTTTTATCCTTTTTGCTGTTATTCTCATGTTTTAATTTTACTTATTTTAGAAATTATACAATATTAATATGATTGCTTTAGACATTTATTTTTGTGGCAATTGATAATTTAAAATTCTTAAAAATTACCTTGTTCTTCCATATCTAAGAGTCTTTATTACTTTGTGCAGATCAAAGTTTCTACCTGGTATTATGAGCTCTGTTTGAGGAACGTCCTTTCAAATTTATTTTAGTACAAGTCTCCTGGCAATGATCTAGTTCTCAGAATTTGTGTTTCTGGTGTTCCTTTTTGCTTTCATTTTTCACTGCATTTAATATTCTGGGTGAACAGGATTTTTTCTTTCAGCGAGTTAAAGATATTATTCTATTGCTTTTCGCTTTGCATGATTTCTGACAAGAAGTCTGCTTTAATTATTATCTTTGTTCTTTTACCATTTTTTCCCCTTGGCTGTCTTCAAGATTTTTCTCTTTGTCTCTGATTTGCTGCTGTTTCAACTATCATGTGTGATGTATCTATGTGTTTTGTGGTGTTTTTGTTTTGTTTTAAATTTGGGTATTTACTTATCTTGGGGTTTTGTAAATTCTTTAGATTTGTTGTTGAATGTGTTTCATGATTTCTTCTGAAGATTTTTAGTCTTTGTCCCTTCAAATATTTCTTCTGTCCTCTTCTCTTTCTTTTCTCCTTCTGTAATTCTAGTTACACATTAGACTAGTTGATCAAACCAGAAGTTTGAAGATCTCTGTTCTGTATTTTTTCGCTCTTCCTCCCTTTTTGCTTCAGTGAGGATAATTTATATTGATCTATTTTCAGGTTTAATGATACTTTCTTAAGCCATGTTAAGTCTGTTGGTAAGCCTGCCAGAATAATGTTCTGATATAATGTTTTTCTTGTCTAGCATTTCCACTTGATGTTTTCTAATAGTTCCCATGTCTCTGCTAACATTCCTCATCTGCTTATGCGTGATGTCTGTCTTTTCCACTTGAGTGTTTAATACATTAACAATTATTTTATAGTCCCAATGTAATGGTTTTAAACTCTAGGTAATCTCTGAGACTGGTTCTATTTATGTATTTCATATCTCTTAGCTATAGTTTTTTTTTCCTTCTGTTTTGTATTTCTTATTTTTACTTTAGTATAAAACATCAATAATAAAATAGTTGAAACAAGTAAATATTATTTACATTAGAAATGATTCTTCCTCTGTTAGGAAAATGGTATAGCAATTTGAATCAATATAGAAGAAGCTGTGCTAGACCTGGGTTTTATTTTTAGTGCATTACAGACTTCAGATTCTTCTAGTTGTGGGCTATCATTCCTTGCAGTTAGGGTGAGGGCTGTGATGACAGAGAATATTCTGAGGGTTTGTACTCCATTTTTAGCTGTCAGTCATTCCTACCCACTTGCATGGGTTTTTTCCTCCATGTTGTTGCCCCTCACCCAGTGTTGACTGCTGTTGCCACTCAGTGCAAGGCTTATTGTGGGGATGACAATCAGTTTCTGTTGTCCCATTTCAGCTTCAGGCTTAGTTTGGCTTTGTATATCTGAGCTTTGGGTTTGGACTTTCTCAGCATTATTGCTTCTCCTTTCCATGGCAGTCAATCTTGGCCTTGTTTCTGTGGTTAAGCTTGAGAAAAGTTTTCCTGCCCTTTCAAGTGTTATCAGACCACATCTGTTTGGTACTGGAATAGGATCCTTGGTGCATGATTGTTTTCTGCCTCTCTCCTAAGTGGAGAGATATATTTTCTGCTGTTGCCTCCACCACAGTGGGTTTTTTTGTTGTTGTTCCTTAGAGACTATGGGTTTTGCTTCCTCTTTCTGGAGTCAAGGTGTTTGTTCATATGAGAGAAGGAGCCAGTCAGAGGGGTAGAGTTTCATGAAATCTTTCCTCCTCCCCAACCAGCATCTGCTAATTACCTCCAGGCCTGTTCTACCCAGGGGTTCTTTTGGGAACAGGATCCCCAAAATCTGGCCATAAACTGGCCCCCAAACTGGCCATAAAAAAATCTCTGCAGCAGTGTGACATGTTCATGATGGCCATAACACCCACACTGGAAGGTTGTGGGTTTATGGGAATGAGGGCAAGGAACACCTGGGCCGCCCAGGGTGGAAAAAGGCTTAAAGGTGTTCTTAAACCACAAACAATAGCATGAGCAATCTGTGCCTTAAGGACATGCTCCTGCTGCAGTTAACTAGCCCAACCCATCCCTTTATTTTGACCAATGCCTTTGTTTCCCATAAGGGATACTTTTAGTTAATATCTATAGAAACAATGATAATGACTGGCTTGCTGTTAATAAATATGTGGGTAAATCTCTGTTCGAGGCTCTCAGGTCTGAAGGCTGTGAGACCCCTGATTTCCCACTTCACATCTCTATATTTCTGTGTGTGTGCCTTTAATTCCCCTAGCGCCGCTGGTTTAGGGTCTCTCCGACCAAGCTGGTCTCGGCAGCGTTCTGTCTTTGAACTCCTGCTCTGCCATATTTTTTCTCATGAGATCCCAGTAGAAGTTCATGGTAGGTTGGAAGGTGAGGAAGCTTGCTAGTGAGTAAAACAAGAACTCAACTAAATCTGAAGCCCTCAGCAGACACATTAGCCCATATTGTCCAAAATTTGTAAATATTGGAGTTGATTTCATCTAACTCTCTTGTATGGTGACCACTCCTTCCTCCCATGTTCTGTCACAAGTGAGCCAGACTGAATGTTCTCTCTTTGGAGAAGCTTGTCTCACTTTGTAATTCAGCCAACTGTTTGCCCTATCAACTCTTTGATTGGTCAACTAAAATTGTGATCTTGTAGTTTTCGTATTTTTCACATTGTTAAGGTTTGAAAAACACTCTTAACAGCTTTCTGCAGACTAAAGAGAAATGAGAAAAAGCCAGCCATTTTTCCGTGGCTTTTTGTAATTGTACCATCACAGGGTTACCAGCACAAAATATCTTCTTAAAAGAAAAAGAAAACCATATACATTAAATGATGACAAATATGACTCCTGGCAAGGGAGAAGAAATGCTTTATTATAGAGTATAATAATTTTAAGGGTAATTTTTAAAAATATGGTTGTGATTATATGATTTTTAAAAGCACTTTTGTGTTAATTTCCATATTTTGGATCAGGAATTTCTGTCCAGTAGTGAGAGTCAAATTTAGGAAAAAATGTAAATAAGACTAAGGGTTAAGTATCTAGTAGACAGTCACTGCAAGTTCATAGGTAACAGGTTAAGATAAATCTATTACATATCACAAGGGATAGATTTTAAAGTAATAATTTAAAAGCATTAACCACAAAAGAGGATTTCTTTGACTAGGGAGGAATTAAAAGAAGGCAAAGACTGCAAATGAGTACCACTGTTATTGCAAAAGTACACAGAGATAAACTCATCCCTTGAGAAGTGTTCCCCAACTGTATAAAGGGATTGAATGAAACAAAGGAGTCTTAATAATAATGAGCAATAATAGGCTCTTACAGCTGACCTTTCCCATAAAATCCCCTAAGGGCTTAGTGCATGTTGAATATTATACCAATTTGAAATAGTAAAGAGGATTGTTAGGCATAGAAACCATTTCAGTTATTGACAGGACCCATAAACTATGACAGAGAGAATTTTTAAAGGTTCTCTAGGGATTACAAAGCAAATGCCTTCAGGTATTGTGTAGGTAATGTAAATGAGGGAAGCTGTCCTGCTGTAAGACAAATAGAAATAGTGAGGTTTGAGGGACCTATGTCAAGATTTTCAAATCTAAATTGCTTTAAAAATTGCTTCAGCCAAAGTAAATATATCTGTAGGCTCTAGGGTTCCCTCTCCCTGCCATGTCTACAACAACAGCATTTTATCACTATGTTAACTAAAATGTTCAGTTTCATAGCTTGCATCTATGTGTCTTACTATATCACACAGCCAACTCTTATATGATATGTTTACTTGCCTGCTAGAAATTGAGTCTAAATCTTAAGATCTCCTTGGACATTTTTTTTGCAACTAAGAGTACTATGATGCCCAAAAATCTCTCCTAAACTTAATAAATTATGAAGACCTTACTGAGGTAGTACTTGTCAAATTGGAACATGGTTCATGAGCTAAAGAAGCTTATACACTCACACCAAGTTCTCTTCTGCAAGCCTAACTTAGAGAGTTAAGAGGAAAGATGAGTGAAGTGAAGATAAATCTTTTCTTTCTTCTTGTTCTTTGGAAAACATTTGCCCGAATGGATATGTTTTATTTAACAAGTGTTGTTTAACATGTTGTAGAAAGATAGAGAATATGACTTACTGATTTGGAAGATAGCAGGGTGCATTTTTATCTATAGAAAGAAAAGCAGCCATACACACACTCACAAACAGAAAACCAATATTAAGTAAAAATAAGGAGTAGAGAGGAAAATGTTTAGAAGTAGACAAACTGGGTTAATTCTATGGCCAGTAGAAATACAACAATTTGTGCTTTCCTCTGGGACACTAAACATAATTCTTGGATTTGGGTAGAGGTATGAGATTAAAATCTGTGTTTATTTGAATCACAATTCTGATGCTCAGGAGAGAGAGGAAATACATGACTCATTTGTTATGACCAGTATCTGAGAAGACAAAACTCACAGGCTATTTTTTATTATCTACAGAGTAGATATAAGATTGTTTTCTGAGACTTCAGCTGCATGGATTTTTGTACTTTGGAAGTAAATAAGAGAGAGTTGTAGAAAACCTCAGAGTTTCTGATGTTTTTCATAATGAGATCCATAAATATTAAGAATTATATGACTAATTAATTACTTTGACTTAGTCCTTGGGTCTGAATTTATTTTTATAGCCATAAAAAGTAATTATATTATTTGATATGGCTTGGTTTTAAAGTTTACTTCTTTGTACTTCTTTTGAAGCTCCTGTCCAAATTCTTTTAGGACTCTGTGTATTGGCTTGGTTTTAACATAAAATTAGTTGAATGTACTTAAATATAAAATAAATGAAATCCCACATGCTAATGGCCCTTATAAAAACATAAAATCCAAGTAAACTTAGTCAGTTCTAAAGAACTATGCGCATAATATAATTTACACAAAAATATAAGATAAATGATGTTGCTTTGCTAACATGAAACTTTTGGTTGAAAGGTGAATAGAGTGCTGATTTTATCATAGTCCCACAGCTTATAATAATATATGCCTGTGTTGACTCAATTTGTCACAACTTTTCCCACTTCAAGCTAACATTATTCCAGAGCAATTCATAGGACCCTCAGGAACTGTCCATAATCTACAGTTTATAAAAGGCTGGCCCACAGGTATGGTACTTGCTCAATGCTTTACACTAACTGGGACATATTACACTAATTGGGACCCCATGTAAATAAACAAAGAGAGAAAAAATAAGGCAAACAATATATAAAGCACGCATTTTTTTAAAAAAACAAAGCAAAACACCTCTTACAGCATAGAAACACTTAAAGAAACTTCCATTTGTTTTGTTGTTATTGTAGAATTTTCTCATGGGAAACAAACTATTGAAAGGATTTCCAGTAGTCCCCTCCTCACTAATTATCATTTTCTCTTGTAATTATCTTGATAAGTTTTAGAGAATAAATTTCATGGGAAGCTGCCCAGAAGTCCTTTTTCAGTCACTCATTCCGTGCTCTAGTGGGAAGTTGCTGGCAGCCATTTTGGTGACAGATAAATCCATAGATAGACAGCAAGCTTGAGGCAGGTGGGTGAATTCCAAGCCTATGCTAAGTGCTCAACCTGAGGAAGATTATCCAGAGAAGTCACTTTAAATTTTGGGAGGTGGCAAGCACAACACCTGGAGATATTGCCTTAATTTACCTCCTTTATTACTCTAGCCTAGATTGATGTGACAGCCTGTTAAAGATTAAAGACAGTGTTTATCCCTAATTTGTAATGCTAATGCTTCCCAAGAACTGTGGTGAAGGATTACACAATTAGCAATTTTACACTTTCATCATTGCAGTGGAATTTTCAGAAGGCACCCCACCCAATGTTGAACTCTGGTTGTGTTCATGTGTTGAACAATTATATGTTCTGACCATTAAATTAGTCAGTTGTGCCTGATGCTCATTTTCACTTCTGTAGCTTTTGACTAAATATTTCACTCAAGATGAAGTCTAGAAACCCCTAGGCTAAATTTTATTACATTCTTTCTTAAATAATGTTAAAACAGCTTTCATAATATAGGATACACTAGATTTCTTTCTCATGTTGCTGAAGGTATTTTTGACAAATTTATTGGTATTTGACTCGCAAATAAAGAGAAGGATGATTGCTGGCCCTTAAAATCTGTACATGTTTTGCCATCTGTTTAGAAGCCAAAATTATGCAATCCATACTTTTAGGATGAATTTAAACATAGATATTTCCCTTCTATAGTATCTAACATAATCAAACTTTTTTTTACATGTTTTGGCTTATTATTTTTATCATTACCATTACCTTACCTTCTACTTATTAAGATGCACTTGTTACAGTACACTAGGAAGTAAAAAGACATATTTTTTTCAACTACAAAGCTATCAAAAGTGAGAAAATGTTCTGTGTATTGTAGAATTTGGCACAGCAGTATTCACAGATATTCTTCTTACATGTGACTTTTGAATGGCTTCTTAAGAACATTTTCCTCTAACTAATTCTCTTTTAAGAAAAGAACTGGCTATCACTAAACAACTCCTATGGAGTAGTCTTTATTTTAAAATGTGTTGCCCCAGAATGGAAAAAAAAATCTGTAAATCTTAAATTCAAATGATTTCTTGAATGGTGACTTTTTTTTTTGTTTAACCATTGTATGGACTAACAGACTATAGATACCAAACTAAATTGAATATAGTTACTGGAATGTTTGTAAATATTGCTGTGCTATTGCTGCCTTAATCAACTATGGTTAGCCTAACTTTTCTAAATTACCTTTTGTTAATAATAATAATAAAAAAGCCTAATCACTAGATCTGATACGTTAAAAGTGACAAGTACTTGTTAAATTGGATTTGAAGATATCACTGGGTATAGTATAAATAAACCCACTGCTCATGAAAATTTAATAAAAAACCCTTAAGATGTGAAAGAGGGACAATGATATAATAAGTTTTTGTTTACTTATCATACTTCAGACTTATTCTCAAGTGAGACTTTAAAAAAATTGCATTAATGAGCAAGAACCATATGGCTTGTGATGGAGATATTGCAAGAGTGGCATAAATCCAGCTGTCCATTTCCAGCACATAAGCATGTTTTATTTGCTGTTTAATTGTTTCTAGTAAAAGAATTTGCTTATGTGCTAAATATACACAAAATATTTTATTCTCTTTTTATACGGTTAGTAATGAATCTTCTGTCATCATCAGTATTGCATATTTACAAAGCACCTTTCCTTTGAGTAATTCACATAATTTATAACCAAATTATAAGGCTATTTATGTAAATATTTTGCATGCCTACTTAACAACCTTGAAGCTTGCCATGTGTTCACATTCAGGGAGTCACAAATAATTTATAGGAGGTCAGTTATAATGAAGTGGATTTTATTAATTTTATTTTCTGTTTATTCAAACTGTGGAATTGAGGAGTGGAGTCAGAGGGAGCTAAATAGGGAAGGAAATGTAGCATGCCAACATCAATTTTAGGCCAGTTATATGCGATATATCTGTTGAAGAGGGGGGCAAAAGAAAGAGAAAACATTTTTTAAAATGTTTAAATGTTGTTTAAATAATTGTAAAATATTCTCTGAGTCAACATAATAAATTAATGTAATGACTTTCTTATTTTTAAAATCCCCAAATATTTCAACAGATTTTTTTCAATCACTTTTTTTTTTTTTTTTTTTTTTTTTTTGGAGACAAAGTCTTGTTCTGTCACCCAGGCTGGAGGGCAGTGGTATGATGTTGGCTGACTGCAACCTCTGCTTCCCAGGTTCAAGTGATTCTCCTGCCTCAGCCTCCCGAGTAGCTGGGATTACAGATGCCAGCCAACATGCCCGCCTAATTTTTTTTGTATTTTTAGTAGAGATGGGGTTTTGCCATGTTCGCCAGACTGGTCTCAAACTCCTGACCTCAGGTGATCCTCTTACCTTGGCCTCCTGAAGTGCTGAGATTATAGGTGGGAACCACCACGCTGAGCCTCAACTACCTTTTAAACCTTGGTATTAATAATACTGTGCCTTATCCTGCATACGTGCAATAATCATTTATTGAGGGCTACCATGTATCTGATACTTTTTTAGATATTCAAATTTGCACTTACATCAGAAAAAGTGTTCAGAACTCACAAATTATCAGTCCATAAACTGAGTCCAATCATGATATAAGTGTAGTTTGTTTTGCAGGCTATTTTATAAACTTTTTTGAATTAGATGCAATGTTTAACATTTGGGACATTGCACAGAATAATCTAGATGAAGAGTTTTGAAAGAAAATCAGAAGATGTTACAATACTGAGTTTAGATTTCTTCACAGTAATAATTCTCTGGGGCATAGTAGACTTGGCCCTTTTTAGAAAAGCATGCATTCTTTAGTTATCTACCTTTCTTACCACTTTCTAACTGGAAGTAGTTAATAGAACATCTTGTTTGAGGAAAATAAGGAAAGAGCAGAGGATTAAGCTAGAAATGTAAGAAGGGACCAAATCTTGATGAATATTATACAGCATCTGAAAGAATTTGGATTTAACTTTGTGGACAATAAAAAGTCTCTGAAAGACTATAAATGAGGGAGTGAAGTAATTTTATTTATGTTTTAGAAAACCACTCTGATAATGGAATGAAAGATATATGCATGAATTGAGGCTGAAGAGAGATTAGTTTAAGAGCCTATTGCAATAATCTATTAAGAAGTAGTGCTAGTTTGAATAGAAGGCCAAATGCACAGGATTTTATGATAAACTAGCTATAATGTGTGAGAGACAGGTCAGAACATAGGATAAATGTCATTTTTTGTGTGTGTGTGAGACTCAGTGGGTGGTGACATCATCAACCAAGTTGAAGAAGAGTTGGAGGGGAGAGAAATTAAGTTAGTTTTGATTGTATTGTGGTTGAGGTTTTGGTGGGACATCCAGGAGGAAATAAAGTGTGGGCAGTTGAGTATATGACTCTGAAATTAATGGGAATGGAGGCCATCAATACATAACCTGGAGTTCATACATTAGTGGAGGACCAAAGCAAGAGGAAAGCCAAGACAAAATATTGTGGATCACAAAAGTGAGGGTAGTGAAATAGAGCATTTTTAAAGGGAGAAAAAGTCAGGTATAATCCAGTGTCCACTGGATTTTGTAGTTGAATGAGAATAGTTTGGTAAAGTAGAAGTCTGATAATCATCTGTATACAAGAATAAAAGAAAGCTGAGAAGAAATTGATTTAAAAAATCCTACCCACCAGCCCAGGGAGATATCGTGTCCTTATCTTTGCATTGTGGGAAAACATTCTTCTCTAAGACTTTGTAACCATAGATCTGTCTGTCTACTGGTTTGAAATTTTAATTGTACTACACATATAGTTGAAGAACCCCAAGCCATGACATTAACATAAAAAAGTGGCCACAACCCAGTAAAACTTCTTGACATTGAGGAGAATCAAAGACAAAATCCTTTTGGATGATATAACTTTCACCTATAATACTTATAGAATACCATTAATAAGGATTCATCTAACATGTTTAAAATGCAAATAACAAAAACATGTGGAAATAATCCACCACGAGTTGGAGTTAGCAACAGGATAAGCCACTAAAACCTTTGCATGATGGAACTATTGAATTGGGACCATGAAATAAATGTTATTAGTAACTAAAACATGAGGAAAGAATATGATATTATTAAAAGAGAATTAAGAATAAATATAGAACTTCTAGAAACAGAAAATCATCATTGACTTAACATATTCAGTGAATGGGTTAATAGTAGATTAGACACAGTTAAAGAAGAGAACTAAAAGATGGATCTGAGATAATTACTCAAAATGCAGCACATAGATATAAACAGAAGGTAAATATGAAAAGGGAGTTAAGAGCCATATAGGATATAGAAAAGGCCCAAAATTTATATAATCGGAGTTCTAAAAGCTGAGAAACAGGTGAAAGTGACTGAGAATTTTCTAGAATTATTAAGAAACATAAATCCTCAAATTCCAGAAGACCAATAAATCCCAAATATGAAAAATAATGTTCTTCCCTAAATACATTCTAATAAAGATGAAGAAAAATATAAAACTAATAAACATTTGGAGACAAAAATGAGATTATCTACCATAGAAAAAAATTAAGTTGATAGCAGTTTTCTCTAATGATAACATAAACCAGAATATAATGTAATAATTTATTTAACAGGTAGGTTAGAATAGAAAATGCCAATCTAGGGGGCAAGATGATAGAATAGTAGGCTCCAGTGTTTCTCTTCCCTGCAAG
Organism: Homo sapiens; assembly: GCF_000001405.40. NCBI lineage: Eukaryota > Metazoa > Chordata > Mammalia > Primates > Hominidae > Homo > Homo sapiens. Next base: position 180,328,818 of record NC_000002.12, read on the forward strand.
GACACTGATTTAACAACTATTTACATAGTAAAACATCTTCATAAGAATAAAAAAGCAAATAAGCACTCACAGTACCTGGTTTTAACTTCATATTGCTGAAAGAGGCGCTGAAGAAGTAGGAAAAAGCAGTCTTGAGTCACAGAGGCTACCTCTTCCCCATCCCCCAGCAGTAGCAGCATGGTGCAGAGAGCATTTCTGTGTGCTGGGGAGAGAGAGAGAACAGGAATTCTGAAGCATTAAACTCAGTGCTGCTCTGTTATAGCAGAAAACAAAACTGGACTAAACTCAGCTGATGCCCACCCATGGAGGTAACATTTAAATCAGCCTTAGCCAGAGGGGAATCACAAATCCTAGCAGTCCAAACTTGAATTCCCACAAGCCTCACCACCACCCAGTGTCTGGGCCTTAGATAAACTTGAAAGGCAGTGTAGGCCAGAAGGACTGCAGCCCTAAGGCAAATCCTAGTAATAAACTTGTCCCAGAGCCAGTGGACTTGGGGGCATATGACTTACTGATCACCACCTGGGGCAGCCAAGGGGGTGTTGGCATCACCTTTCCCCTAACCCAAGGTTGCACAGCTTATGGCTCCAAAAATATCCCTTTCCTCTGCTGGAGAACAGGAGATAGAAGAACAGGGAGGACTTGGTCTTGAAGGAAAAACAATTTACCCTAAACAGTATACATGGTGAAAATACCCTTCAAACATGAAGGAGAAGTAAAAACTTTCCCAAACAAAAGCTGAGAGATTTCATCAACGCCAGACCTGTCTTATAAGAAATGCTAAAGAGAGTCCTTCGATCAGAAAAAAAGGATGTAATGAGTAACAAAAAATTTTCTGAAGATACAAAACTCACTGGAAATGGTAAACACATGGAAAAACACAGAATATTATCATACTGTAATTATGGGTAAACTACTCTTAGGTAGAAAGACTACATGATGAACCAATCGAAAATAATAACTACAACAACTTTTCAAGACATAGTACAATAAGAGAAATAGAAAAAAACAAAAAGTTAAAAAATGTGATGAAGAAAAAGTATAGAGTCTCTATTAGTTTTCTTTTTGCTTGCTTGCTTCTCTGTTTATGAAAACAGTGTTAAATTTTTATCAACCTAAAAAATGAGTTATAAGGTAGTATTTGTAAACCTCATGGTAACATCAAAACAAACAAACAAAAATCACACACAATGAATACACAAAAAAGAAAAAGGAAGAAACTAAATCATGTAACAGCAGAAAACCACCTTAACTAAAAGGAAGATAAGAAGGAAACAAACAAGGAAGAGAGGACCACAAAACAACCAGGAAACAAATAACAAAATGACAGGAGTAAGTCCTTACTTATCAATAATACCATTGAATGTAAATGCACAAAAATCTTCAATCAGAAGACACAGCATGACTGAATGAATTAAAAAACAAGACCCATTGATTTGTTGCCTACTAAAAACACACTTCAGTATAAAGACACACATAGACTGAAAATAAAGGGATAGAAAAAATATTTCATGCTAATGGAAACCAAAAAGAGCAGGAGTAGCTATACTTATATTAAGCAAAATATACTTCAAGACAAAAACTATAAGAGACAAAGAAGGTCACTATATAATGATAAAGGAGTTAATATAGCAAGAGAATATAACAATCATATATGTACCCAACACAGGAGCAATCAGACATATAAAACAAATATTGTTAGAGCTAAGGAAAGAGATAGAACCAAATACAATAATAGCTGGAGGCTTTAACACCCACTTTCAGCCTTGGACAGATCTTCTAGATAGAAAATCAAGAAGAAAATTGGACTCAATTGGCACTGTAGACCAAATGAACCTAATAGAAATCTACAGAATATTTTATCCAATGGCTTCAGAATACATTTATTTTCAGCACATCGATTATTCTCAAGGATAGACCATATGTTAGACCACCAAACAGCTCTTAAAACATTCCAAGCAACTGAAATAATATCAAGCATCTCCTCTGACCACAATGAAATAAAACTAAAAACTAATAATAGGAAAAATTTTGGCAATTATACAAATACATGGAAGTTAAGCAATATGCTCCTGAATGACCAGTGGGTCAATAAAAAAATTAAGAAAGAAATTAAAAGATTTCTTGAAACAAATGATATTGAAAACACGATATATCAAAACCTATGGGAAATAGCACAACAGTACTGCATAAAAAGGGAAGCTTACAGCTATAAGTGCCCACATCAAAAAAGAAGAAAAATTTCAAATAAACAATCTAACAATGTATGTTAAAGAACTAGAAAAGCAAGAGCAACCCAAACCCAAAATTTGTAGAAGAAAAGAAATACTAAAGATTAAGGCAGAAATAAATGAAATGAAGAAAATAATAGAAAATGTCAATGAAAGAAAAAATTGGTTCTTTGAAAAGGCAAACAAACAAAATTGTCAAAACCTTTAGCCAGACTAAGAAAAAAAAGGGAGGGGGGGGCGGATCTAAATCAAATCAGAGATGAAAAAGAATACATTACAATGGATACTGCAGACATTCAAGGGATTACTAGTGGCTACTATGAGAAACTATATGCCAATAAATTGGAAAATCTAGAAGAAATGGACAAATTACTGGACACATACAACTTACCCAGATTGAACCAGGAAGAAATCCAAAAATCTGAGCAGTCTAGTAACAAGCAATGAAATCAAAGCCATAATGAAAGTCTTCCACTAGAGAAAAGCCTTGGACCCAATGGCTTCACTGCTGAATTCTACCACACATACAAAGAAAAGACAAGTCCAATCCTACTCATGAAAATAAAGGTGGAGGGAATACTTTGAAACTCGTTCTGTGAGGCCAGTATATCCCTGATACCAAAATCAGACAAAGACACATGACAAAACGAAAACTACAGGCTATTAGCCCTGATAAACACTGATGTAAAAATCCTCAACAAAATAGTAGCAAACTGAATTCAACAACACATTACAAAGATCACACATCATGACCAAGTGGAATTTATGCCAGGGATGCAAGGATGTTTCAACATGTGTAAATTAATAAATGTGATACATATATCAACAGAATGAAGGACAAAAAACACATGAAGCATTTGATAAAATTCAAGAAGCATTTGATAAAATTCAACATTCCTTCATGTTAAAACTTTCAATATACTAGGTATAGAAGGAACATACCTCAAGAAAATAAAAGCCATATACGCCCGACCCATATCTAGTATCATACTGAATGGAGGAAAATGAAGACCTTTCTTCCAAGATTTGGAACACGACAAAGGTGCCTACTTTCACTACTGTTATTCAACATCTACAGGAAGTCCTAGCTGGAGCAATCTGACAAGAGAAAGAAATACAGGGCATCCAAATTGAAAAGGAAGAAGTCAAATTATCCTTGTTTGCAGGTGATATTATATCTGGAAAAACCTCTAAACTCCATAAAAAAACTATTAAAACTGATAAATTTGGTACAGTTGCAAGGTATAAAATCAACATACAAAAATTAGTAACGTTTCTGTATGCCAACAGTGAACAATCTGAAAAAGATATAAAAAATAATTTCATTTACAATAGTCACAAACAAAATTAAATACCCAGGAATTAAACAGAGAAGTGAATAATCTCTATAAAAACACTGATGAAAGAAATTGAAGAAGACACACAAAAAAGGGAAAGATATTTCATGTTCATGGATGGAAATAATCAATATTGTTAATATGCCCAAAATCCTCAAATCTACAAATTTAATACAATTTTTATGAAAAATCAATTACATTCTTCACAGAAATATAAAAGAAAAATCCTAAAATTAATGTGAAGCCACAAAAGACTTAATATAGTCAAAGCTATCCTAAGCAAAAAAAACAAAACTGGAGGAAACTCATTACCTGACTGCAAATTTTACCACAGAGCTATAGTAGCCAAAACAGCATGGTACTCGCATAAAAGCAGACATGTAGACCAATGGAACAGAATAGAGATCCCAGAAACAAATCCACACACCTACAGTTAACTCATTTTTTATAAAGAACATGCCCTGAGGAAGAACACACCGTGAGGAAAAGGGTATGAGGAAGAACATACCCCGAGGAAAAGGTATGCCAAAAACATACCCTGAGGAAAAGACAGTCTCTTCAATAAATGGTACTGGGAAAACTGGATATTGATATGCAGAAAAATGAAACTAGGCTCCTCTCTATTATCTTATACAAAAAAATCAAATGAAAATTGACTAAAGATAAATCTAAGACCTCAAACTATGAAAATACTATAAGAAAATACTGGGGAAAACCTCCAAGACATTGATCTGGACCAAACTTTCTTGAGTAATACCCAACAAGCACAGGCAACCAAAGCAAAAATGGACAAATGGGATCACATCAAGTGAAAAAGCTTCTGCACAGCAAAACAACCAACAAAGTGAAGAGACAATCCACAGAATGGAAGAAAATATGTGCAAACTACCCATTTGACAAGGAATTAATAACCAGAATATATAAAGAGCTCAAAAACCCTGTAGGAATAAATTCTAATAATCTAATGAAAAAATGCGCAAAAGACTTGCATAGACATTTCTCAAAAGAAGACAAACAAACGGCAAACAGGCATACTAAAAGGTGCTCAACACAGTTGATCATTGGAGAAATGTAAATCAAAACTACAATGAAATATCATCTCACCTGGGTCAAAATGGCTTTTACCTAAGAGTCAAGCAATAACAAATGCTGGTGAGGATGTAGAAGAAAAGGAATTCTGGTACACTGTTGGTAGGAATGTAAATTAGTACAGCAACTGTGGAGAACCTTCAGTGTGGAGGTTACTAAAAAACTAAATATAGAGCTACCATATGATTCAGTAATCCTACTACTGGGTATATACCCAAAAGAATGGAAATCAGCAGCACTTCCATGTTTGTTGCAGCACTGTTCACAATAGCCAAAATTTGAATGCAACCTAAGTGTCTATCAACAGATGAATGGATAAAGAAAATATGGTACTTATACACAATGGAGTACTATTTAGCCATAAAAATAATTAGATTCTGTTATTTGCAACAACACGAATGGAATTGGAGGTTATTATATTAAGTAAAATAAGCCAGTAACAGAAAGACAAACATCGCATGTTCTCACTTGTTTGTGGAATCTGAAAATCAGAACAATTGAACTTATAGAGAATGGAATGGTGGTTACCAGTGTCTGAGAAGGTAGTGGGTGACAGGTGGGGGGTGGAAATGGAGATGGTTAGTGAGTACCAAAAAATAATTAGAAAGAATGACTAAAACCTAGTATTTGATGAGAGTGCAGCAGGGTGACTATTGTGAATAATAATTTAATTATACATTTAAAAATAACTAGAAGTGTATAATTGGATTGTTTTAAACACAAAAGATAAATGCTTGAGGGTACAGAAACCCCATTTTACATTATGTGATTATTATGCATTGCATGTCCACTTCAAAACATCTTATTTACCCTATAAATATATAGACCATGTACCCAAAATTAAAGTAAAAAAAGAAAAGAAAAAATGCCAATCTATAATTCCATATTGTGCTAATCTATTATTTAAGAGGCAGAGGGAAATGCTATTATCAGACAAACAAAAACCACAATTTTCAGAAAGTTTGGTTGTAAAGAAAAGAGACAACTTTTATAGGAATAAGTGATGGATACAGAGTCCGAGAATCATGTTAAATTTGTAGAAACTTGAAAATGTCGATAGACCAAATGATGGGAAATGATAGAGGCAGTAACAGAAAGGCAAGAGAGGAGAAAGAAGAAGGGATGGGGAAAGAAGGTAAAGAGAGAGAGAGAGGAGATTATTGTTAGAAAAGCTTGAAAATCTATGAGGCAGGTGGAATCAAGATTTTGAGGAAGTGAGAATGGGTGCATGTATGAGAGAGTCAAAAGTGACATTGAAAAACAGAGAAAAAAGGAAGTGAACAGAAAGATGACTAAAAACCAGTAAAATAGTTGATAAGAGATACTGAGAGCTCAACGGATGTTTCAAAGCATAAATTTCCATCAGCAACACCGCTACCATTTCTATTTCTTAAATAAGGAAAAATTATATTTCTAAAATTACAACAGTTCCTGAATTTTATTTTATTTTGTCATTAGAGACAGGGTCTTGCCATGTTGCCTAGGCTGGTCTCGAACACCTCAGGGTGGGAGGATTACTTAATTCCAACTCCCAAGTAGTTGAAGTTACAGGTGCAAGCCACCATGTCAGCTCAGTTTCTGAATTTTAGAGCAAAAGCTAAATTATATCTTTAAGGGAGACTCTTTAGTGAGATTTATAGTTATGTAGTCCTACCCACAGCTTTTGAAATCTAAAATTAGTGATTCCAAAAACAGATGCGACTGTTAAATAATGTATTCAGTTACATAAAATATAATTTATTTCATAATGGGAAAATAGTTTAATATTAGTTTATTTTTATCTTTCTGTGGTAAGACCTAGAAACTGACTGGGAAGCTGGATCTTAAGAAAAAGCACAGAAATAAGGGAAACTCAAGTCGGTTGGTGGAGAGTAGTGGTACAAAGACTAGCATGTCAGGAATGAAGAAGACAGATGGGTCTTATGAAATTTTCTGTTTAAGGACATTATCAAGAGATACTTGGGATCTTTAGTTTTGTGGTACTGTTACCTGATATCTAGTTTTAAGATTTCCTTCCACTTAGTTTTAATCCCTACATCTTATTGTCTACATATGCCTGGGAGCCTAAAGAGGTGGGTGACCTATGTATAGGCATTGGAACCAAGGTGAATTCAAGTGAGCAGTAGCTTCACTGAGAAGCAACAGGATGGCCAGAGATGATGGGAGTTGGGGATTTCCCAGAAGCACTTATCTGAAGCAAGACATCTGACAAGGATGGCTATGAAGAGAAAATGGGCATCTTACAGTCACATAGAATTTGAACTTGAATTATGGCTGAGTTGGATACTAGAGAAAAAGATAGCCTTAGAGTATTAGATACTTTAGATCAGAGGTTTTAGAATTACTTTTCAAATTATCTCTCCATTTTCATTAAAACTGTAAACCTTCACATCCAGAAGACTTAGAATTCTTGGTGTACTTTTACTAGTACCATTTCATTGGTGTTTAGCAAACTGCCTTAGATTATGCTTAATTGTATTTTCCCAAATCCCTTTATCACTCTAAGCTATTTGATGGAAAGAAATATATTTTACTCACCTTTTGACCTCCTTCAATACCAATACCAACACTAATACTGATACTAATGCCAATACTAATACCAATACAAATACTAATAGGAGAGTTCAAATCTTAAATCATAGTCTACTTTTTACATTATATACTATTTCTCAATTGTTTATCTGAACTTCCAAAATTTTCTTCCACAATGTTTATGCCATGTGATCTCTAGGTATCTCTAGCTATCTCAACCACAGAAACCCTCACTTTCCTGAGCCTTAACCTTCATTATTGTTCTAATACTACCAACTCATGTTTACTTTTACTACTTTGCTCCTGCTTTTCCTTTTGTCTGGAATTCTCTTTCCTGATTATTGAAGTCCTACTTTCATTTACACTTCAATTCCCACATCCTTCTCACCTGAATATATATCTCCAACCAAGTGAGACAGCCAGGTGGGAGGGGGTCCCTGGAAAAACTCCAGCCAGGCTGCACACTGGGGTTGAGCCTCGGGAAGTTCGTGCAGTTTGCAGTGGGGAGGATGCTGGCCTCTCCTCTTCTTGTGTGGAACCTAGGATCCAAGCTGCTGGCAGAAAGCACTCTAGCAAGGACTCTGGCTTTGTAAGAGTCCCTGTTTCCCTCTTTTCTTCCTTTTCACCCAATAAAACCCTGTCTTACCCACCATTTAAATTGTCTGTGAGTCTGAATTTTCATGGCTGTGGGACAAAGAACCCCATTTATGGCTGAATGGAAAAGTCCTGCAACATTTTTGGCACCCAACATGGGGCTCAAGAAGTGGTGAGTGAAATGGAGACTCAAAACTTCTCACTGTTGCTTCTAAGCCTTTTCATCCTTGGACTTCTGAGGACGGGAAAAACTATACCCAACCCCCATCGCTACCAGGCCTTTTCATGTTTTTTTTTTTTCTTTCTTTCTTTTTTAGGACTGACCAGCAAGCAGCTGCTCTCTGCCACTCTCCCCTCCCAGCTGGGGTTGGGATGCATGACACAAAGGTCCCACACAGCTGACTGGATGGTGTTTTCCACCATGTACCACCAGAGCCTACCCCTTCCCCAGCCAAAGGGCTTTACTCTATCAGAGAGTAACTAGGCTTTTCTCCTGTGGAGGAACCAGTTGCCTAAAAATAAGAGGTTCTTCCCCAGGCATTTTTAAACCTTTTTTCTTGCCTCTTCTCTACCCCATCAGCAGTTAAACTTTAATTTTTTTTTTTAGAAGACATTTTTTTACTAGGCCAGGCCCCACAACTGTCACTGTTTATATTTTCTGCAAAGTTTTGGTTGTGAAATCAGCCTTCGTCTTGTCTTACATCCTGAGGGCATGGCTGGTAATTGCTTGGCAAGGCTTTGTTTATCAATCCTGCCTTAGGGGGTGAAACCTCTCTGGTTCAATACCTGCATGTTTTCCTAGACTTGTCTTTTAAAGGGCCCCATCCGACAACTGGGTTTTCTTTTGCCTGTCTGTGTGTGTACTGTGTGTAACGTCTGTCAAAAGAGCTCTAATTAATTTGGAGTAAAGAAAGACAAGTGCTTGGATCTATTATTTTTTAAAGGGAAGATAAAATCTGTGGTACCTTTCAGTTCATGTGACTTTAATCTTTAAGAAATAAAAACAGCCCTAAACACTATTGGTAAAATGCAGGTTAGATGGAAGGTTTTCTAAGTGTTTTGAGGTTACAAATTGCTTTTTGTGTTCTGAGAACTATTTGACTTGCCAGCTTCACAACTGGTAAGGCCTGGGGACATGTGGAACTAACCATGCCCTTAATTAAGAAGGCAAACCTTGGCTGCAGTTAGCACACAAAGCAACTTACCAAGTTTTCCCTTAAAGTTAAAAATTGCTAGGAGTTAATTGAAACTACTAGAAATACATTTATATGCAAGGTGTTTAAGAATAGTAAAATGTGTTTTTTTAGTAAAAGGTTATAAGAAGGCATGGAAATGTAAACTTTTGCCTAGGGTTAAAGGATCATTTTGAGTTAAATTAGGAAAAAGTTGAAGGTTCAAAGAAGTGGTGGAAGAATTGTGGAAATTAATCTTGCAGATATTGACTACATTTAAAAAAGGGTATTATATGGCTTCCCTGTAAATTGAGGATTGAAATGAAAGCATAAGAAGGTTTTACTAGGGTGCTAATCTGCTCTTTGGCAAAATTTGTAAAGGTTTATAAGAGATTTTTGCTTCTTTAAAATTTCTGAGTCATCATTTTGGCAAAACAAATAACTTATGGTAATCTGGAATTCTATTTCATAATATCAAGTGTTTTAAACCTTAAAGATTTAATAGCCTTTCCAAAATCAAACTTCAGTTTCAAAATTGTCTTCCCTGGCTCTTCAAATACTTCATATGGCCCCTGAAGTGTTCAGAAAAGAGAGGTGAACAGGATTATTTGACATGTTTAGGTACATGGGATTGCCCATGTACCTAAAAGATTGTTCAATCATTTTTAGGTTATATCTTGGTGAATAATGCTAATATATGTTCCAAAATTATATGGAATTTCTAAAATTCTAATGTCTAATTACATGCTATCAATAATCATTAAAATTTTTATGTTAAGTTATTGTAAACCACGGAGATAACCAAACTTCTTTGCCAATTGTGTTTCTAACTGTAACTACCCAAGACATTTGAATATTCACAGTCAATTGTTCTCTTGTTTTAATCCTTTTCAAAGATGGTTTATAATGAGCTGTAGAACTTTAACAGGTGCTCTCAAATACAGGCTTCCAATAACTTTAGAAATTGTAACATTGGAATAAAGGAAAATGTACAGGACTCATAAAGAGCTGAAATGTTCACAAATATTAAGCAAAACAAGAGTTAACTAAATGGACTGAAATCAGAAAGCTGAAGCAAATCTTTTGGACTTTTGCTTAGAATATTACTGATCCTTGTTTTGTTTTTCAGAGTCAAGGAAACTTATTTTGAACTATTTACGGCCTTTAATAATTAAGTAAGGTATACACTCCTGTGATCACAATTTGGAGCATGTTTGTTTCTCTCTGCCTGATTCCTCTAGAATTTGGAAACTATTTGCAAGTATTCTTATGGCAATACAGTTGTTTGCATCAGTGTAATAAGAATTCATTTTTCTTTTGCAATAGAATGCAATTGGAGAAAGTGGTTATTTTACCAAGGCTTTGACTGGAAGGGTATGCTTCCCTTTAAGGAGTCAATCTAGCCTTGCAGAGCCAATAAAATCCCAATGAGGAAACTGGCCTTACATTGTTTTCTATGCAGTCCCTGTACAGGATTCCTGATGTGTGATCAGTATAGAATGTTACTTTTTAACAGGTCCAGGAGCTCCAAATTTATTATGGGACTTCTAGAGGAATGGATCACCAAACTAACAGGTGTTTGAGGATACAAACCCTTGGTTGGGCTCCGTATTAAAAGGTATTATCTGAGATTCCTTGTGGAACATACTTCCGTCATTCCAAAAGGCTTATGTAGAAATAATTATTCTTGCTGCACTTTATGCAAATAATCAGGCCAAATATAAGACAAAAGCCTATTCTGCAAACCATTCAATCTTATGATGATTTTTTTTTTTAACAAAAATGAGGACTGGAGAGAGAGAAATCGTGTTTCAAAATTTATCATACATTTGTCGTTAAATTCTAAACTCTTTAGTTGTTTTTATGTTTTCACATACATTTTAGACTAACCCTGCTTGCTGCTGTGAACCAACCAGCAATCTCTGGCTGCAGCTCAGAAAGAACGAGAGGGATGGGTAATGTAGAAATCTGGATAAATATTCTAGTTCTGAGCAGTTATCCTGGAAATCCTGCCAGGTAAGGAAATACATAGGGAATAAATAGAGTGGCCATCACCCAGAGGTTTCCTTTTTGGGAAAGTAAGACCAAGGAACCTAATCAAAGCCAAGCACCATGCACCAGAATCCTAGCAAGCATAACTATAGCTGCCAGTTATCTGAATGTGTCATAAGACATCCTTTTCTCTCTTTTGTTCGAGGAAGACTCAGTTCCACAGTTTCACCTTAGCATTCAGCTATAATAAGAAGTCCATACAACTCCCTGAGACACATTTTTATCTAAAACTCAATTCCAAGCTTTGGGTCAAAGCCCTAGAAAGGAAAACTGGATCTGAGGGATCCAGAGGCAAATGGTCACAGAGGTTAAAAGCCACAGCCAAGGTGAGCATGGCTGATTTCCTTCTGATTAAGCCAACCCCAAGCTTCCTGCTTCATGGATAAAGACCAGGCTAATATCCATGGCATAAATGAGGTCTAGGGAACTCCAAGACTACTGAGAGTAGCGAGGATAGAGGCATAGGTGAGAGCAGATAATTACTATTCTCTATACCCTTCCTGCTTCATAGGTGCAAGCCGCTTTGGCTGTCATGGCAGGACATGCCAAGGTCACCAGGACTTGAGTATGCAAAGATGGTAGAGGGAAAGAGAATGCTCTTCTCTTTTTCCTTCAACTACTCTGAGTATCTACTAGGAAGAGAAGGGAACCAGGGACACCTTCTATCCTTTCTAGATGGGTAGCCATTCATCTTCAGGTGGTATCCCTTCTGAATGCATCATCCTGAACCCCTGGGACTCCTTTGAAAAATGCCTTATTTTTTCCTTTCTCCTCCTCTGTCCTCTCTTCATGGATAGGTGATTGTGTCTCCATACTATGAGAAACTCCTGTGAGATGCATCCTCCAAACTGGAAAGAGTTAATTTCCCAAACCTTAAACTGGTTGGCTTAGGATTGGGCTCAGGGGAAGGAAACCTAGAGCCCAAAATGCTGCAAAAGGGTAATGGTTGTTTTTTGTTTGTTTGTTTGTTGTTTTTTTGTTTGTTTGTTTGTTTGGTTTTTACCATTTGAGCTTTTAACCTCTCTTTTCCTGTGAAAACTGGTAAAAGGCCTCGAGACTTTGAGCTATCCTTACCCCTCCCCTTGTTTCATTTCGATACATGTTTTATAATAACCTGATTTGTCTCTTCCTGCCTTCAGACCATCAAACTCCAAACAGTCATGCAACCCAAGACTCTGATGATTGCCCTTTCTGCTGAGAACCCTTAGATAGGCCTCTGAGGGAGCTCAGACTGCTGTTTCCCATCGGCAGGAAGCAGTTGAGATTGGTTTTCGTCCTTATCTTTATTCTAATGGCAGTTAGATGTACTTTTTTAGAGAGGGGAATGAGACAACCAGGTGGGAAGGGGTCCCTGGAAAAACTCCAACCAGCTTGCACGCTGGGGTTGAGCCTCGGGAAGTTCACACAGTTTGCAGTGGGGAGGAGCCTGGCCCCTCCTCTTCTGTGTGGAACCTGGGATTCAAGCTGCTGGCAGAAAGTGCTCTAGCAGGAACTCTGGCCTTGCAAGATTCCCTGTTTCCTACTTTTCTTCCTTTTCACCCAATAAAACCCTGTCTTACTCACCAAGTTTTCTGCAAGCCTGAATTTTCATGGCTGTGAGACAAAGTACCCCATCTGTGGGTGAACTAGGGAAAAGTCCTGCAACACAAGTACCTTGGGAGCTCTTTATTTGCACCTCTCACCATACCAGGCACATAATATATTAAATAACTATTTTCTGTATTGAATCCATTTAATATACACCTAGGCAAGTTCACATTCCTTATAAATGAAGAAAGCATAGTGTAGGAAAATACTAATATCTCATGATCAGGCAAAGATCTATGGTAAACATGTGAGAGAAAACTCTGTTCATATCTATAATATCAGCTGTAGGCATTGAAACTAATAGATCATTATCCTTTTCTGTACTAAATTTTCATGGGCTTGATTAAAGAAGTTTAAATTACACCAGTGGATCTCTGGGGGCTCACAGTTTGGAGTAACAGAACTGAAACTGTGAAATTAATTTTGGCCTTGGTAGACTTCCTTTCCCACATTACCTTTCAACAATAGTTGTACTTCACGTAGTTAAAATTGCAGTTGAAAACAATATCTCTGAATGTCATTAGGTTTTTTATGTATTTCTCTTAATAGATGTACATATTTGTATGTAAACTTATTATGCACCTATCTGGCATATCATCCTTAGTAAGAGTTTAATACTGGACTATTTTTTCCTTTTTAACTATGTTTATTTAAAGTCCAACTACCCAGCATCCTTCTATTTTCCTTTCTACCACTCCTGGGGTTATTTTTATTGCTTCGGAATCTTCCCACATTCACGGCTCAATTTAATTATTTTTGTCTCCATCAAGCCCACAGTACCACCTCCCATTCACACAGGTTCCTCACTCACTGATCCTATGTTCCTAACGTCTGAATCATACAATTCAGTGCTAGCAGTATAGTGTTCTATATAGTTCTCTACTTGCTGTAAAAAAAATTTTGTTTTGCTTTTATTCTCTTATACATTATAAGTAACTCCAAAACTTAGGTTGTATCACTCCCATTTTCAAAGTAAGAAAAATGTGTGCAATAACATTATTTTTAGCTGATCGATTATAAATTAGTATATTCTTAAATAATACACACAAAATTTATCACCAGTCAAAGTTGAAAGTAAATAGTGGGTGGTGATGCTTCCAGGAAATAAAATAAGTGCTGTTATTGTATCATTATTATAGTGCATCAGATAAATTATAGCATTTATTCTGAAAGAAAAACAGTTGGTCATAATAATAGTATCCAGAAAAATTACACTCTCCCACTTGTAAACGTTTATATTATTTATCATATATTTTTGTTATATAGTCACTAGTGTTCAATCTACCATTTATTTGTTAACAGTGGGTTTTCTTTTAACCCCTCTATTGATGTAAGCTGCAGTATTGATTTCTCCAAATAGCCTAATGGTGTATTTGAATTACTGGCAAACTCTACTGATCTTGTCTTGTTCTGTTTATAAGCCTCTTTGTAATCAATCTTCCAGATACTCAGCAGTCAGAAAGATTGTTACCAATTTCAGTTTAAAAGTATTTATGCTATTCAATGCCTGGGTATATAATTTCAAAAAGAAATTTAACAGAGTTGGGTGGAGGCAGTTCAATATTACTGTGTTCAAAAAGCGATTACTTGTAATACAATGAATATGAATGTGACAACTGTAATCTGTGTTGAAAATCAGAACGTTAGGCAATTCTGTAATAATAGAGTAATTGGAGGACTATAGATACATGTTCAGGACAGATCAGTAATATTGCACAAAGAATAAATTTCAATAACAATATAAACATCATATTTGAGAAATTATCAAATCAAAAGCATGCAATGCTTTTCTTACAGTACTAAAATTATAATTTCAAGGGCTGAAGGATTAAACCTCTAATAATAAATGAATTTTATGAGGTATTGCATCTAGCAGATCAGGTAAAAGGTGGATTTTTACATTATTTTTTTTTAATTAGGGATTTTTCTGAGGTCCAGATATGAACTCAAATAATTAAGACAAAATTTTACTCTAGTACATAATATCAAATTTTATCTATGCCACTTAGAAAACATTCACATATAAAGAAGGTCAATGGTTTTTAGAAAGGAGCGTAATGACTAAACTGAAAATTGTCAGTACAAGGCAACATATTACTCAAATGTTCTTGACACTAATAGATTTTCTGCCTCTTGCTGTTGATACATGGATCATATGTAAAATAAGAAGGTCCAAACTGGAGCTGCTTTATGTCTGCCAAGATTTACATAACAGAAAATGTCTGTAATAATTTCCAATAGCAGCCCTGCTTTGTGAATGAAACTGGGGGGGAAGCAAAGGAAAGGAAATGCTAAGTGCCAGGTCTGTGTGTAGCACTCCTCTAGGGAGAAGAACACACCTTTGGATGAATACTGGGCTCTCGGAAGTCTCTCTGTAACAACTAGATACTTGGATGAGGCAGCAGTCTCTTAGGCCCTGCTCTTCAAGTTTTAATGCTTTATGCAGCTTCCTTTGTGGGTGATCCCATGAATTTAATGCCTGGCTGTGAATTTAATCTCTGAAGTCAATTTTCTAGTAAAAACATGTAATTATTCTTTTTTGAATGACATATTTATGTAAATAGGTTACTGTTTATTTCTATGGAATATGGTAAAAGCTAAATTATACATCAAATGTTCTAGTATGTGTCTTCCTTAGAATATTATTTTACTTAACACATAAACTAAATGATCACTGGGGACTTTGTTTCCTCTGGGTAGTTGTTGCTTGGAAAAGAGACATATGGTTGCATGCATTTAAATTCTTCATTAAAAATGTTTACAGGAGGGGAAAAGTAATATACTCTAAAATGGCAAACATTATAGAGGGTTGCAAAATCTAGCTCCAAAGAGTTTCATATCATGACTTTACTACTTAGAAATAAACATTATGCCTAAATAAGTTGTTTATACAAACTCCAAGTAACTCACTTCCCTGAGTAAATATTTAGGCTGAAAGTATTCCCAAAACATTTAGTTATTCTAATTTACATGGGATATAGGGATAGAGTATATTTAATCATGTTATTAAATAGAATTTCAAAGGAGCAAACATAATTTTTGGTGTTTTATTCTTTTAATTGAAAAAAATGTAGATTATTTTATTCTGCAGTTAAAAATAACTATATTGGTTGTCAAGAATTAATTTCATCTTGATTTAGTCTGATTTTGATTAATGTCCAATTCACTTAAGTAGTCACAGCTGTCAGCACAGACAGTGTTCATTCTGTAATGGGTATCTTTGGCTGCCCTGTTCCTTCTACCATCTTTTGTCTGGTCCACCCCTTCTCATACAAAGGTCAAAACAGCAAGAATAACAAAGCTAGTCCAATAAATAAGGTAGTTCAACAGCTTCTGGGGATACTAAGATCCCATCTAAATTTAAAAATGAATAGTCTACAATAACTTCATTCACCTACAAAGCAACAAAGAATGTTGGTTGAAATATTGACTGATCAAAGAGTGGGGTGGCAATGTTTCTTTTTTTTCTTTACAAATAATAATAATAATAAAAACTTTAGATATAATGTTCCAGACACTATGTGAGATAAGCATTTGTTAGAAGTATGAGAGGACCATGAGAGAATGGGAGAGGGAATTCTAATCTGTTTAAAGATCTAACTGGCCAGTAGTGACTCAACACTTGTAATCCCAGCTCTTGGAGAGGCTGAGGCAGGTGAATTGCTTGAGCTCAGGAGTTCAAGGCCAGCCTTAGCAACATGGTGAAACCCCATCTTTACTAAAAAATGTATAAATTAACCAGGTGTGATGGTGTGTGACTGTAATGACAGCTACTTGGGAGACTGAGGCAGGAGGATCACTTGAGTCTGGGAGATGGAGGCTGCAGTGAGCCAAGATCATGCCACTGCACTCCCGCTTGGGCAACAGAGCGAGATTCTGCCTCCAAAACAAAACAAAAAAAGTATAACTCATGTTCACATGTTCGCATTAGCAATGGAGATTATTAGCAATAGGTTTCATCCCTCTTGGAATTTATGGTTGAGTGGTAATAACAGACATTTCTTGGTAGTCAGAGATGCAAACTTAATAAAGGGTGCACCATTAATTGAAGTCCAGTTTTTCTACTTATGTTGCTTATTCATATGCTTTAAAGGTAATGGTAAACCCATACCATTACCCAAGACATGGTTTCTTTAGACCTCTTAGACTTCTTAAATGTCAAATTTACATATAACTAAATAACTAAATAACAAATATAACTCAGCAGTTATGCCAGTAGTTCTGTTGTAGCAGCTTTAGAATATAGATCAATGTCAATGGTGCCCCTGGTATCTAAATATCTCGATTGTTTAGACATTCAAGACAATCTATTATCTTTAAAAAAATAGAATGTTTCCAATTTGAGTTCTGGTTACTACCATTAACTTTTTCTATGATCCTGTCAAATAAAATTACTCAATATTTTTATTCCTTAGTTTTATGAGGAGGTTATACAAATTAATATTTTTAAAAGGTGGAAAAAGTGAGTAAGGGATACAAGCAGGAAGTTAACCAGAGGAACCCCCCCACGCACCTTATTACACTCACATACACACACGCGCACACACACACCCTTCCTCTAAACAAAACAAGACAACACAATAAATTGCCAATCAACATAGGAAATACATCATCGTCATAATTAAAGATAAATCAAAACATTAAGATTCCATTTTCACTTCTCATGCTAAAAAAATAATAAAAACTTTCTATTTACAAGTGTTGACTAGAGCATGTGAAAAGTAGACATTCTTATACAGAGTAAATGGGAATAGGTTGGGGTATTTATTTGGTTAATCACCCTGGGGGACAGCTTTCTTATTTTTAAGATTATCATATAGTAAATTTTACTGTTTTGTGGGTAAAATTATATGAATCTTAACATGTGTGTAGATTACCTGGAACTACAACTATATTCAGAAAAAAACAAAACAGCAACAACAAAACAAAAAGAAAAACAGTCCTATCATCCAAAAAAACTCCCTTATACTACTATTTTATAGTCACTCTTTTCGTCACTCATAACCCCAGGCAATTTCTAATATGCTTTCCCTTGCTGCAGATTTTTCCTTTCAAGAATGTCAAATAAATAGAATTACGTAGTAGGTAACCTTTGAGACAGGCTTCTTTCACTGAGCATAATGCCTTTGAGATTCAACCAAGTATGTATCACGATACCGCTCAGCACTGGTTGTCTTTTGAAAAGTAAAATATATTGATTTTAGTGAAGTTTAGTTTGTTATTTTTTTGTGTTTCATGCTTTCAGTATTCTAAGAAACTTTTATGTACTTCAATAAAGCAACAATTTTCCCATTTTTTTCTAAAAGTATTATAGTTTTAGATTTTAATTTAGATCTTTTATCTATTTCGAGTTAAGTTTTGTGTATTTCATGACGTAAGTAATATTCTTTTTCCTTCCACTTGGATATCCAGTTTATTCAGAATCGTTTGTCCAAAAGACTTTCCTTTCTCCATTGAGATGCTTTGGCTCCTTTGCCAAAAATCAGTTGACCACATGTATGGGTCCATTTCTTTACTGTCTATTCTGTTCCATTGATCTGTGGAACAGATCTATAGAATAGGTTTTCCAAAATATCAAACTGTCTTAATTACTGTAGCTTTATAGGAAATCTTGAAATCAGACAGGTAAGTCCTCCACCTTTGCTCTTATACTTTAAAATTGCTTTTCATTACTCCAGGAGTTTTAAGAACATTTCAGTCATTGCATTGTATTTTTCAGTTTTAAAATGTCTATTGGGTTCTTTTCATAATTTCTGTTTCTTTGCTGAGAATGCCTATCTTTTCATTCATTTCAAGTGTGCTTTCTTTATCTCATGGGGCTCAGTTATGATAGCTGCTTGAAAGACTTAGACCTATAGTTCTAACATCTGCGCCATCTCAGGTTGTTATCTCTGATTATTTTTTCCTTGAAATGTAGTCCCATTTTATGCTTCATTTCATGTCAAGTGATTTTGGATGGCATCCTGGACACTGGTACTAGAAATGGTCCTGAAAAGCAAACCATAATAATAGGATTCTGAATTTGGAAAATTTGCAGCCTGAGAGCAAAGGAATCATACTACTGGTGAGAAGAAGGGTGCTGGTGACAACCCAGCAAGTAACAGCATCACAATTACTGACTCGACAGGGTGGGGGGAGTATTGAAATGAGGTGTGTAAGGAAGGTGAGTTAGTGACTAATGTTTTGGATTGGCACTTAAACTGTATGGGGACAATGGTAGTTAAAAGGACTGTGGAGTTGGCTGGCTTTAGTTAATATCATTAATATCCTTAAAGAAAGAAACTGATAGACTCAAGAAACACCTATAAACTCAAAGCACACAGACAAACCATATCCACCCTAAAATGATTCCTTTTCTATCCCCTCAATGAAGGTAGTAAATTGGAAGCAAAACCTTAGTATCTAGGAGAGTTTTGTAGATTAGTACCATCAACAAAGATATAAAGGACAAAGATGTGATTGTCCCAGATACATCCACATTTTTATAAATGTCAGAAAAACCTCCATTGTAAAGGTTAAGAGATCTTTATCTCTTGAAGCCAAGAGCAGCAAAGCTAAAAATTAGGCTCAGTGAATAACTTCTGTAGCTGACTTGCCAAAGCCAAGGCTCTGATAAAAAAAGATTGAGATTCTGGAAACTGAGATAAGGACATTTATGTGGATAAACCTAAGAATTACTGCTATCTAAGGATCAAAATATTATCATGAGGACTTCGGAGACCAATTCATTTAATAATGGGTCCAGTGACTCTATGAACTCCTCCATGTAATATCTCACCTCCAAGCATGAGATAGAAAAACTTACACAACTGTCCTTGATCTAAGTAATAATAGCAATTATGTAAGAAAGGTGGAGTGTGACACCTTGTATTAGTCTGTTCTAGTGCTGCTAATAAAGACATACCTGAGACTGGATAATTTATAAAGAAAAGAGGTTTAATTGTCTCACAGTCCTAAATGTCTGGGGAGGCCTTACAATTATGGTGGAAGGTGAATGAGGAGCAAAGTCACATCTTACATGGTGGCAGGCAAGAGGGCATGTGCAGGGAAACTCTCATTTATAAAACCCTCAGATCTCATGAGACTTATTCACTACTATAAGAAAAGTATAGGGGAATCACCCCCATGATTCAATTATCTCCACCTGGCCCCTCCCTTGATACATGGGGATTATGATAATTCAAGATGAGATTTGGGTTGGGGACACAGACAAACCATATCACACCCTGAAATGATTCCTTTTCTATCCCCTCAATGAAGGTAGTAAATTGGAAGCAAAACCTTAGTATCTAGGAGAGTTTTGAAGATTAGTACCATCAACAAAGATATAAAGGACAAACATGTGATTGTCCCAAATACATCCACATTTCCTTTTACAGTTTTGGATGGATTATGGCAGGATTTAATAGACTACATAAAAACTTAACCAAATGATAGTTCCAATCACAAATGCTACACTAGTTGTGCTCCCTTTATGGGAACAGATCAACATAGTTTTTAGCACTTGGTATGACACTTCTCAATCCTCACTAACACCCTCTAGGCCAATGGTCTTCAACCTTTTTGGCACCACGGACCAGTTTCATGGAAGACAATTTCTCCATGGACTGGTGGAGGTGAGGGATGAGACTGTTTCGCCTCAGAGCAACCTAGATCCCTCCCATGCATAGTTCACAACAGGGTTTGCACTCTTATGAAAATCTAAGGATCTAATGTCACCACTGATCTGACAGGAGGCAGAGCTCAGGTGGTAATGCTTGCTTGCCCACCACTCACCTCCTGCTGTGCAGCCTGGTTCCTAACAGGCCACAGACCAGTACCAGTCAGTGGCCCAGGGGTTTGGGACTCCTGATCTAGAGGGTAAGACCAAGTTACATAACAGATGACCCAGACTCTCCTGACACATCTGTTGCACCAACTACTTTTCCTCAGTTAATACTTATGTCTACATGGGGGATTCCTTATTACTAACAAATAAGGGGGAAAAAACCTCAGTTCTATTTCATAGATGTGTCATGTTTATATGCTGGAGCTAGCAAAAATCAATTTCTGCCTCATCAAATTCACATGCAAGGATGGCTCTTGAAGGACACTAGTGAAAGGAAATCCATCTGATGGGAAGAACAGGGGATTTGATTATTTGCATTGAATGGAGGAGAGATGACCCAAGGTGGATCTGCACTAACTCCAGGTCTATAAGAAAAAGCTTGCCTGGTTTCTCAGGAGCTTGAAAGTAGCAAAGTTGGAAGATTAAAGACAAGAAAATTTGCGTGGAGACACGTAGCAGATCCTATGAAAGTGGGCACAAAATATGCAGAGTTTTGTGTCTTGTGTTAACGTCCACCAGAAAGTATGTACTGCAAAAGAGGCATTTTACAACCACATTGATAGATAACTTGTCTGTTGAATAGCCTCTTTCTTTGGCCACTTTCTTGTACTTATATAATAGGACACATAGAATGTGTTATTAATATTACGGCAGGTGTGAGATTCTGAGTGGGCACAAGAACATGGACTCTGACAAAGGCTGGTCATTTATTGCCACTGCTTGTGCTCAACTTGCCATTTGTAGAAACTAACACTGAACCATCAAGATTGCACAATTCCCTAAGTAGATCAGGTTGATTACACTGGGCTTGTTCCTCATGTAGGAAATAATGATTTGCCTTTACTTAAATTGACATCTACTCTAGATTTGGATTTGCCTTTTTTTTCAGTACTACCATTTGAGGCCTTCTGGAATGCCAGATTTATTTACATGAGATCCTGAATAACATCATTTTAGACCGAAAGTCTAGTTTTATTGTGAGGTCTATAAAAATGTGTTCATAGTCCTAGAATCCACTTGTCCTACCACAGACATCTTTCAGATGCTTTCAGCCCAATAGAGAAATGTATTGTCTATCATAAGCTCAGCTATGACACCAGTGTGGGGTTAAAATATTACAATGTTGGGTGACAGTCTCATAGGATACAATATATGTATTAATGGTGGATGATAGATGGTCCCGTTTCTCCAGCATACTAGTACAGGAACCCAAGGACAGGTGTATGATCAACCTCTTTCACCATCTTTCCCAATACTTGTGCTTCTTATCCTGAAAATTTAGGCTCATCTCTTATAGAAATCCTAATTCTCAGTGTGGAGAAGGGCTCTTCCACCAGAAGACATAGTAAACAGTGAACTTGAAGCCTGAACTATCACATCATTATTTTGGCCTTCTTATGCCAGCAGATAAACTGGAAAAAGTAAAGAGCTACCACTTTGATTTCTGGCTGGGGGAATTGACCCTAATTACCATGAAGAATTAAAGGTGTTGCATTAAAATGGGAAAGAAAATAGTACACAAAAGAATACAACAAGAGCCCAGAAGATTCGCTAGGCGTCTCTTGATGCTGATTTGCCCAGTGATGATATAAACAGACTATTGCACCAACCATGGCTAATAAGGGTGAATAAAGTATAGACTCCAATTTCTCCATGCTGAAAGCCTGAATCAGCACAAGCAATCTAGACTTCATAATACCAGCCAAGAGTGAGGCAAATTTTAAGTGGAAGTGATGAAGATCAATCAAGTCTTCAGTACTAATTGCTGCAGAGACTGTTGCTTATTCCACTAACCTTCCTGTATTGTGTTTTTGGTACAATTTGCCACTAACTACCACCTGAAATCTCGGTGACTTACATTAGTTTGCTGTGGTTACAAGAGTGCAAAGACTCTATTACATAGCTCACAAGGTCTTGGCCCACCTTTTTTTTCTGGCCATTCCTACAGTAACTACTTGATTACAGGTGGAGCCTGATAGAACTTCACCTAAGGTGCACCATTTGTATCTTGCTTTCTGCTTTGAGGCTTCTGTATTGATGGCTGGCACACCCTTGGGGGCTTGCTCAGTCATTCTGGTACATGCACACTTTGGAAGTCTTAACAGAAGGAAGGAAGTTCAGATCTCCTGTGAACACTTGACCAATGGGAAATGACTGAAAAAATACATCCCTTTTCTGCATCTTGAACAGACAACTTTGAAGTCAATTATACAAAGTTTCTAGCAAGGTCTCCAGAAGAATTAAACCGCCAATGCCCACAGCTGGAACCAGTTGCATAACATCTTGGGGGTTGATATCCTTCTTTTCCTCTTTTGTTCATTCAAGTCCTGATACTCTGATTCCCTAGGGAAACTTTCCACAGTGAACTATTTATATGAAGATCCCTGTCTTAGGCCCTACTTTTTTGGGGAAAAGCCAAGTAAAGAAAATTAGTTAAATTGGAGCTTTCAGCTTAACCTCTTGTTGATTATGAAACCACTGTAGAGTTAAATCACTGTACAGGTGTAAGTCCTTATCATTATTGTTTTCATTTCTCATTAAACTAATTTTTAACTGGTGTGCCTTAGAGCGCTGGTCTTTAGGGGTCCTTCCTTAACAAGAGTTATATATTTAAATACATTTTGGAAATACTGAATATGTATATCTCTTAGAGGCTTATAAAATACATTGTGTATTCGAGGTTATAATAAATCCTATAGCAAGTAATCCTATTCAATTTTGCTTAATTTCTTATTTCCCAAATTTATTTGACAAGGAAGCTCTGTTTTCACCTATCAAAATCTCACAATGTAGTGCTCCCAGAAAAACATTTTGGAAAATTCTGTTATTTTAGAGAAAGTCACAGGAGCATTGAGTACTTTGACTTAAGTCCTTGATAAATAGTTTTTATTCGCAGTTTGAGGATCAATTTAGTCAATTTGTCCAGATGTCAGTGGATTACATACAATAGTTAGGAAAGGAGTTTTGCTTCCCATTTCAGAATCTGTTTGATTAAGTAAGAACTAAGAATAATCCCTATAAATAGGTTTTATAGTTTGGGGAGAAAATGGTTCCCCCCTTATTTTCTGGGGGATGCCATCAATGAAAGCATGTAATTTTTTTTTAAATTTGGGCAGGCATTTGTTACATAATTAAATATAATAAAACATGTAAACTACTGAGCACAATGCCTGGCTCTTAGCAACTACTCAGTAAATATTGACCTTTTTTTAAAAAAATTATGACTATTATTGTGATTATAGTAGTATTTATAATTTCTTCAAGGAGTTAAAGCAGGGGGTTTTCAACCCTGGTCATCTATCTGGATCATTATTCAAAATGCAAAACCAGAAACTTTGGAGTGAGATTTTGTTATCTGCATTTTTGAAAAGCTTCCCTGGTGAGGGCATAAAACTACAGCATACCTGAGGTTAGCCTGAAAAAGAAGGTTAGTGATATTTAAAATGTAAAGTCTTCTAGAATTAAGGGTCAGTTCCAATATATGTTAATTATACTAAACAAATTTTAAGTTGTGGGGTCGGAATGGAAGAATTCAGGACTTTTAACAATATTTGATCAGGCAAATAAGGGAAATGATGCAATACAGCTTGAGAGGAACCAAGTTCAGCTGTGAAAAAAAGTGCTACTAATATTTTGCCCAGTACTTAAAGTTATCTCTTCTTGGAATTTTACATGTTTAATTGTACTGTTTACTGATAACACTTACATCTTGCCTCTGCACTTAGAATCAAATTGCAATATTTTACATGTGGTATTTATTTTTTGCTTAATGTATTCCTGGAAGACATAGCTCTCCAAGGTTGAAGGAAAAGGTATACTGCAGATCCTGTTCCAATGAGAGAAAAAACAAACTGGCAAATTATCTCTGGATGTTTGTCTCTTGCTGAGCTTAATCTCTAACAATTTATTGTACAAGAATAATAAACAATTGGAAAATATAATGGGAAAAATTAGTCTATTCACAATAATATCATCAACAACAATTACTGCAATATTTAAAACTTACCAAAATGGTAGGACCTATGTAAAAATAATTGTAGAACTTGGTTGAGAGTCCACAAAAGGAAACATTTCTTGATAAAAAGCCTCAAAACTCTAAATACTTAAACTATCCCAACATTAATCTGCACATTTAAGTACATCTATTCAAGACCCTAATTTTGTAAAAGAAAACACATTATTATGATTCAAAATTTCGCCTGACAGAATAAATGTGTGAAAATAACCTGGATAATATACAAAAAGAAAACAAAAACAATAGAGTAATGCATAGTAGACACTATAGTTGTCTTCTTAATGATCATTTCACCCCTTTTCCGTTGAGTAACAACAATACAGTTTGGAAAATAAACCCAACAAAATGAAGATTGGCCTAATTCCAACCTCATTGTCTGTGCCTGGTCAGAAATGGGCATATTATTCAGAGATGCTAGAAGACTTCCATTTTAGATGAATACCTTGAGCACCAGAATCAATCAATTTTAAAGCCTATCTATATCCACCAGAGATTAGACAGGAAACAGAAGCTACTGTAAACAGTTTTTTGTTTTTTTTTTTTGGTGAGAGAGAGTCTCCCTCTATCAGCCAGGCTGGAGTGCAGTGGCGTGATCTTGGCTCACTGCAACCTCTCTGCCTCCTGGATTCAAGCAATTCTCCTGTCTCAGCCTAATTCCAGCAATTATCTTGCCTCAGCCTCCTGAGTAGCTGGGATTACAGGTGCCTGCCATGACACCTGGCTAATTCTTGTAGGAGTAAGGTGGTATCTCACTGTGGTTTTAATTTGCATTTGCCTGATGATTAGTGATGTTGAGCATTTTTTCATTTGCCTGTTGGTCGTTTGTATACGTTCTTTTGACAAATGCTTATTCATGTCCTTTGCTCACTTTTTAATGGGATTATCTTTTTTATCTTGTTGACTTATTTGAGTTTCTTGTAGATTTTGTATTGTAGTCCTTCGTTGGATGCATACTTTGTAAATATTTTGTTTTATTCTGTGGGTTGTCTGTTTGCTTTGTTGATTATTTCTTTTGCTGTGCAGAAGAGTTTTAGTTTAAGTAGGTCCCACTTGTTTATTTATTTGTTTTGTTGCATTTTCTTTTGAAGTTTTAGTCATACATTTTTTGCCTATGCCAATGTCCGAAAGAGTTTTTCCAAGGTTATCTTGTAGAATTTTTATGGTTTCAGGTCTTATGTTTAAATCTTTAATCCATCCTAAGTTGATTTTTGTATAAGGTGAGAGATAGGGACCCAGTATCATTCTTTTCTATGTAGCTAGCCAGTTTCCCCAGCACCATTTATTGAATAGGGTCTCGTTTCCCTAATTTATATTTTTGTATGCTTTGTTGAAAATCAGTTGGTTGTAAGTATTTGGCTTTATTTCTGGGTTCTTTATTATTCTGTTTCATTGGTCCATGCCTACTTTTATACCACTACCAAGCTGTTATGGTAATAATCTTGTTGTATAATTTGAAGTCAGGCAACGTGATGCCTCCAGATTTGTTTATTTTACTAAGGATTGCTTTGGCTATTTGGGCTCTTTTTGTTCTGCATGAATTTTCGGATTTTTTTTCTAATTCTCTGGAAAATGATGATTGCAGTTTAATTGAAATTGCACTGAATCTGTAGGTCGCTTTGGGTAGTATAATCATTTTTCCCAATATTGATTCTTCTCATTAATGACTATGAAATGTGTTTCCATTTGTTTTTGTTATCTGTGATTTACTTCAGCAGTGTTTTGTAGTTCTCCTTGTAGAGATCTTTCACCTCCGTGGTTAAGCATATTCCTAGATATTTTATTTTTTTATTTTTACAGCTGTTATAAAAGGGTTTGAGTTCTTGATGTAATTTTCAACTAAGTCGCTGTTGGTGTATAGCAGTGCTAATAATTTGTGTACATTGATTTTGTATCCTGTTACTTTAGTGAATTATTTTATCAAATCTAGGAGTCTTTTGGAGGAGTCCTTAGGGTTTTCTAGGTATACAATCATATAATCATTAAACAATAATAGTGTGACTTTCTCTTCTTCAATTTGGATGCTCTTTATTTATTTCCTTTTCCTGATTGCTCTGGCTAGGACTTCTACTGCTATTTTGAATAGAAGTGGTGAAAGTGGGCATCCTTGTCTTGTTCCTGTTCTCAGGGGGATTGCTTTCAACTTTTCCCCATTTAGTAAGATGTTGGCTGCGAGTTTGCCATATATAGCTTTTCTTATTTTGATATAAGTTCCTTCTATGCCTAGTTTGTTGAGGATTTTTATCATAAGGGGATGCTGGATTTTATAGAATGTTTTTCTGCATCTATTGAGATGATTATAAATTTTTTGTTTTTAATTCTTGTTTAAGTAATGTATCTTTTTATTGACTTGCATATGTTAAACTATGTTGGCACACCTGGTATAAAATACACTTGATCATGGTGTATTATTTCTTTGATGTGTGGTTGAATTGGGTTAGCTAGTATTTTGTTGAGTATTTTGTTGTGTCGCTATTATTCATTTTAAAGAATTTTTAAATTTCCATATATATTTCCATGTTCATCAGAAATATTGTTTTGTTGTTGTTGATGTTGTTACATCCCCTCCTAGTTTTGGTATCAGGGTGATACTGGCTTCATATAATGATTTATGGAGGATTTCCTCTTTTTCAGTCTTTTAAAATAATTCCAATAGGGCTGGTATTAATTATTCTTTGAATATCTGGTAGAATTTAGCTGTAGCTGTGAATCCATCTGGGCCTTGGGCTTTTTATTGCTGGCAATTTTAAAATTTCTGATTGCTATTTGTCTATTCAGGGTTTCTATTTCTTGCTGATTTAATCTAGGAGATTTGTATGTTTCCAGGAATTTATTTATTTCCTCTAGATTTTCTAGTTTGTGTGCATGAAGATTTCATAGTATTCTCAAAACATCTTTTGTATTTCTGTGATGTTGGTTGTAATGTCTCTAGTTTCATTTCTGATTGAGCATGTTTAAATCTTCTCTTTTTTATTGGTTAACCTAGCTAATGGCCTATCAATTTTCTTTATTTTTTCAAAGAACCATCTTTTGTTTCATTGACATTTTGTACTGTGTTTCAGTTTCATTTAGTTCTGCTCTGATCTTTGTTATTTCTTTTCTCCTGCTAGCTTTGAGCTTGCTTCATTCTTGTTTCTCTAGTTTTTTGACATGACATCAGATTATCAATTTATGATTCTTTAGAATTTTTGATATAGTCATTTTGTGCTATGAACTTTCCTCTTAGCACTGCTTTTACTGTGTGCTAGAGCTTTTGATAAGTTGTGTCACTATTATTCATTTTAAAGAATTTTTAAATTTCCATCTTAATTTCAAAGATACAAAGATCCTTTAGGAGCAGATTGTTTAATTTCCATTTATTTGTGTAGTTTTGAAGATTCCTTTTGGAGTTGATTTCTAGTTTTTTCCTACTGTGGTCTGAGAAGGTACTTGATATAATTTTGACTTTTAAAAACTTATTGAGACTTATTTTGTGGCCTATCATTTGGCCTCTCTTGGAGAATGTTCCATATGCTGATTAGCAGAATGTATATTCTGTGATTCTTGGGTAGAATGTTCTGTAAATATTTGTTAGATCCATTTGTTCTAGAGTGTAGTTTATGTCCATTCTTTCTTTGTTGACCTTCTGTCTCAATGATTTGTTTAGTGTTCTCAGTGGAGTATTGAAGTCTCCCTTACTATTGTGTTGCTGTCTCTCATTTCTCAGGTCTAGTAGTAATTGTTTTATAAATTTGGGAGCTCCAGTGTTAGGTATATATAAATTTACAATTGTCATATTTTCTTTTTGGATTGATCCTTTTATAATTGTATAATGACCTTCTTTGTCTTTTTTTTTAACTGTTGTTGCTCTAATGTCTGCTATATCTGATATGAAAATAGCTACTTCTGATCACTTTTTGTTTCCATTTGTACGGGATATCTTTTTCCACCTCTTTACCTTGAGTTTAAATAAATCCTTATGTGTTAGGTGAGCCTCTTGAAGACAGCAGATATTTGGTTTGTAATATTTTTTTACCAATTTTACCAATCTATATCTTTTAAGTAGAGCATTCAGGCCACTTACATTCATTGTTAATATTGAGTTGTGAGGTATTGTTTCATTCATTATGTTTATTATTACCTATATCCTTTGTTTTCTTCATTGTGTTATTGTTTTATAGGTCCTGTGAGTTTTATGCTTTCTAGAGGTTCTATTTTTGGTTCATATAGAGCTTTTGCTTCAAGATTTAGAATGCCTTTTAGTATTTCTTGTAGAGCTGGTCTGATAATGACAAATTCCCTCAGCATTTGTTTGTGTGAAGATGTCTTTATTTCTTCTTCATTTATGAAACTTTGTTTTGTTGAACACAAAATTCTTGGCGGTTATTCTGTTTAGGGAGGCTAAAGATAGGATCTGAATTCCCTCTGGCTTGTAAGGTTTCTGCTGAGAAGTCTGCTGTTAGTCTGATAAGTTTTCCTTTAGAGATTATCTGATGCTTTTATCTCATTGCTCTTAGAATTCTTTTCTTCATGTTAACATTAGATAGCCTGATGACCATATGTCTTAGTTAAGTCCTTTTTGTGATGAATCTTCCAGGAGAGATTCTTTGAGCTTCTTGTATTTGAATATCTAAGTCTCCACTAAAGCCAGGGAAGTTTTCCTCAATTATTCCCTCATATAAGTTTACAATCTTTTTGCTTTCTCTTCTCCCTCAGGAACATCAATTATTCTTAGGTTTGGCCATTTTGCATAATCCCATATTCCTTGGAGATTTTGTTAATTTCTTTTGATTCTTTTTACTTTACTTATGTCTGGTTGAGTTAATTTGAAAGCCTTGTCTTTGAGCACTGGAATTCTTCCTTCTACTTGTTCTAGTCTGTTATTAAAACTTTCCACTGCATTTTATGAATGGGTGGAAATGTACCATAAGTGAGCCTTCATTTTCAGAAGTTCTGATTTGTTTTTCTTTAAGACATCTACCTCTTTAGAAAAGTTTCATTCGTATCCTGAATTGTTTTTTAAATTTCTTTATGTTGATTTTCACCTCTCTGTGATATTTCCTTGAGTAGTTTAATAATCAATCTTTTGAATTCTTTATCTGCTATTTCAAAGATTTGGTCTTGGTTTGGGTCCATTGCTGGATAGCTAGTGTGATCTTTTGGGTGTGTTATAGAACCTTGTTTTGTCATATTACCAGAATTATTTTTCTGGTAATTATTATAGAGAGTCTTTGTATGATGGCATTCTCAGATGCTCATTGTAGTCCCAATGTGTACGGTGTGTGAGCAAGTTCACTGTTTCCTATGGGGTTGGAATGGCAGTGATCTCTTGAAGCTTATCTAATTCCCTTGTGGTGTGTACTTTTTTATTTATGTATTTTTTTCCCCAGTATTTTATTTACTGGTTGAATAGTTCAGGCTTCAGGCCAGTAGAGGGGGTGTCCATGGGTAGAAACCAGTTGTGGCTAAAGCAGGTGGGTAAATGCCATACCCAATGGAGGGCAGAAGTCCTAGCCTTGACAGAGGTGGCTGGGGGACCTTTCAGTGAAATGCACTGAGGTCTTATCAGGAGGAAGTGTGGGAGCTACCTTCACTCCCCTGCGAGGCCAGCATGAAAGCTATCCACCTCCCAGACACACTTTTAACTCAGTGTTCTAGCTATTCAGATTAGACAGGCACCTCTTTTTATCTGCAGGAATGTTAATGTTCCAAGTAAAGAGGAATTGTGACTTTATGTCTCATGCCAGCCTGAACCTGAAGGATGCTCCTTCTGTGGGGATGCAGTCACCCTGAAGTTTTCCACGAAGTCTATTTATAGGTATACCCATGCCAAACTCCTGTGGAAGAAGCTTCAGCTGTGTCTGCAGCGGTGGATGAGTGGGAAAAGAAGTCCCCTTCTCCAAGTCCCTTCACAAGCACCAGAGTTGCCTGATTATTGGGGTACAGCTTCAGACTTTCCCTGCTGAGCCCAGCACTTCAAGTGTCCCCCTGCTGAATGAAACTTTTCACCAGCAGAAAGGTCTGGGAGTCAAGGCCCATTGTCCAGAATCTTTTGATCCATGGGGTGTTCCCTTGATGTGATACACTCTTCCTTACCCTAGGAGTAGGAGTCCTTGAACACCAGACTACTGTGAATGCTATTGCTCCTCTGGGTCTAGCCACCCAGTGGGGCTGCCACACTTTAGGCAGGTGCTGGAAAATGTCTACAAGGGATGCAATGATATTACCTGTCCTCAAGTCTCCCAGCAGCAAGTACCAGCACCATTTGTGATGGGAGTGGCAAGCGAGTGACATGGAATCTATGAGATTTCTTGGTTATAGATATCCTTATTCTGTTTGCTTTCTCAAATGCCAATTGTAGTATTAATGAACTGATCATGTGGATAGACTCAGGACCTCAGGCCATGCTGCTGCAGGCAATGGTTATAAGTGAAGCCACACACAAGTTTTCTCATTTGGTGCAGTGTTATTCCACCAGGAGGTGCTGTAATGG
The DNA here is from genome assembly GCF_000001405.40 of Homo sapiens. Classification (NCBI taxonomy): domain Eukaryota; kingdom Metazoa; phylum Chordata; class Mammalia; order Primates; family Hominidae; genus Homo; species Homo sapiens. The sequence goes on from NC_000002.12 coordinate 180,359,724, forward strand.
ACTGTGCTGGTTGGCCTGAAGCCAGGAGGTGGCACTTGCAAAAGAGTGCCAACTTCTATAATAGCAGTGGGATTTGTGCTTGCCAATGTTACCTAAGGGAGGTACTCTGGTTTCTCAGGCAAGGGGTAGGGTCATAAAGCTCCTGAAAGTTTCTGTCCTTTGTGTTAAGCTGCCACAGCAGGTGGCGGCTGAGTGGGGGCTGTGTCAGGCAGGTCTGCACTTGGACTTTCTGAGTGGGGCAGGCAGGAGCCCTGTGGGGGTCAGAGGGCAGTTCTCTGGCTACTGGGGTAATGTTCCAGGGACAAGTATAGCTGCCTCTGCTGCACAGAACACTTCACACAGGAAATGGAGAGAAGCAGGTGGCACTAAGCTCCACCCAGATACCACACACTTGGCAAGGCAGATCTTACACCCACAGGTTTCTAGCAGCAGCAAGCTAAGTTCCAGTTTGAGCTCTCAGAACTCAAAACTGCCCCAGGCCATAAGCCTTCCCATGGCAATAGCAACTATGGCTTTCATGCCATGCCCCTCCCAGTTTGCCTGCAAAGTCAGGATGCCCAGATCCTGTGTTTGTGACTGCAGTGCACTTCTCACCTGCCCTCCAGCTCTGGCCAAGGGAGTTCATCCCCACTTAAGGTTATGTTGAGAAGTTCAGCTGTGAGTTTCTGTCAACCTGCAACCACTGCCTGAGTTAGCTGGCAGACTTCTACGAGGTCCCCTGTGAGGTAGAATAAGGAGTGGCTTCCCTTGGTCCACACTGGAGACTGAGAATACAAACAAGGCTCTTCCTCATGCTGCTCCTACTTTTATATTTATCACTGCTCCCTAAATCGGTTCCATTACTTGGTAATGTTGAGGTCTTCCCCCATGACCTGGACTTCCAGGTTCCCTGGTGGGAGTGTATATTCTGGAGGCAGTCTCTCTTCATCTCACACTCTGGGAAGTTAGAGTTTTCCACCTGGCTCGTGGAATAGGCTACAGCCTGTTGCTTCCTTCAGAGGGTTTACGGATTCTTTCAGATTTCCTGTTAAGTTCCTGTGTTGGTTCTTTGAGAAAAGTTCACAGTGTGAATCTCTACACACTACTTTGTCTTTCCAAATGGGAGAGACATGCTAACACTGCCTCCAATCCACCATCTTGGAGAAAAATAAAATGGCAATTAGTATTCATAAATGAGCAATATCCCTCTGACTTGGCTCCTTTCTGCCCCATCCTGTTTAGCAAGATAGATATGCAGTCTATTACTTATTTAGGGTCTTTCTAAAACTTTAATTATTCATCCTCTAATCCACAATGCAACATTTTTCTGAGCCTCCTAGACCTTTGGCACCTCTGTGACATTTCAGGTGGCTCTGTGACATTTCAGGTTTACCTTGATATAACAAACTGGTCTTGCAATTTTACTCCACTGATTACAGAGCTGTTTCTAGTCAGTTCTCCCCACACATGCCACCAAATGACTAAAGTGGTGTTTGAAAGGTATGTACCAGAAATGGCATATATTGGATTGAAAACTAAAGTGGTCAGTAGAAAGATATATGCCATAAATCATGCTTTAGGATGAGTGTACCTCATATACTCTCTAAAAATAAATAATTAGGAGCTCATTTATAAATATAAATTTACCATACACAATAGAATACTATTCAGCCATAAAAAAGTATAAAATTCTGTCATTCACAGCAAGATTGATGATCCTGGAGGACATTGTGTTAAGTGAAATAAGACAGGCACGGAAAGTTAAATATTGTATGTTCACACTCATATGTGAAATCTGAAACTTTGTTCTAATGGAAGTAGAAAGTAGAATAGTGGTTACTATAGGCTGAAAAAGGTGTAGTGGGCGATAAAGAGAAGGTGGTTAATGGATACAAAAGTATAGCTGAAGAGAAGAAATGAGTTCCAGTGTTCTATAGCACTGTAGGGTGACTATGGTTAACAATAATTTATTGTGTCTTTTCAAATAGCTAGAAGAGATTTTGAATATACTCAACAAAAAGAAATAATAAATGTTTGAGGTGATGGATATGCTAATTACCTGGATTTGATCATTGCACACTGTATACATGTACTGAAATATTACACTGTATCCCATAAATATGTAAAATTATTATGTGTCAATTAAAAGTAATAGTAAAAATTTAATAAAACAAAAAAATCAGATCCACAAAGTCTGTCACATTTTTTTCTACTATGCAATATTATTTTTTCTTGAAATTTCTATTTTGAAAATTGTCAAACTTTCACAGAAGCTAACATTTTGTTACATTTGCCTTAACTTTTTTTTTTCTTGCTCCTATTTTTCCCTAGAACTTAGCCCTCTTTACTTCAGCATAGATTTGCTAAGTCTAAGGACATTATCATACATAATTGAAGTATTTTATAATACCTAAGAAATTAATAATACTTTCACAATGTCATTTAGTATCTGGGCCAATCCAAATTTTCTCAATGATCCCTAAATATATATTTTTTTCTCAACACTTTTCAGCAGAGAAACAAAATTACTGGAGGGAAAAACCACTAGTATCTTCATGATACCTTCTTATGTTGTCTAAATGGAATTCCTCTACTATCTGTCTTAGATGACAGTGTCTTCATCTCATATGGGCATGAGGTTATGGCATAGATGAATAGAAGGTAGCCATAATGTGAGTTTGTCACCTTTTGTGCAGGAATGTCTCTGTGTGTATTAACTATATGTAGAGAAACTCAAAGAAATGAGGTACAGTGCCCATCCTCTGAGTGCACAAAAGGGAAAAAGGATCTGATTTTTGTTCCTAGTGGTCTGGGCAAATTTGAGCACTTATTTCAGGTTTACCTTGATATAACAAATTGGTTTTGCAATTCCTCTCTGCAGAGTTTGAATCTCATCAAACTGCCAACAATAACTATTTTATATCTTGAGACACTTTAGATATTTGTTGCATCTTTCTTTATATAAATTGACTAATACACAACTTAACTGCTTCTTGTTGCTGATTACAGTGTCTTTGAAGCTTATGCTATATTTTCTTTGAATTATTCTTATATTTTAGTTTTTACTTTTGAAGATGTCAGGGTTCTCCATTCCTTTCTTTTTAAATGCTTTTTAGAAATTTTGGTGCATTTTCTGTTTCCTTGAATGCATTTCTGAAACCAAAAGAATGTTATTCAGGTGTACTTTTATGATGTGTGAATTTTACTTTTCAAAACCTTTTAACAGATATTTAAATAAAAAAACAACTATAAAAATGGCTAATTTTAGCATAGGATCATTTGGAGAAATGTCAACAGGTTAACTTGCAGGAGAAATTAATGGTGAGACTACTGGACTGTGAAAATAAAAGGAGAAAATTTGACTAGGTTAACTATTCAAGTACGACCTTATAGAATAGCCTGTCAATTTGGCACTGAAAAGACAGGCCAGTGACCCAAATTGGACTTTTTTCTATTTTCTTAAGATTAAGGTAGTTAATCTGTGATTTTCCTAAGAACTATCTTTCTACAACTTCAGGGTAGGTGTGTGATTTCCAAATAAATAGGTCCAGCTTTGGTTCATGTAGCAAGTGAGATGAAAATAGAATTTTCTATTTTGAGTATGTTAATGGAATTAAGTATGAAGCTCTTAAGGGACATTAATAAATAATAGAAAATATAAGCCTGAAATGTAATAATGTACTTATATTTTAATATAATATTATGGTGAAACTAATAATATTTAAGCTGTGGCAAATGTATGAATTTTGGCATGTAGTATGAATAGATTGTTTATTCTTTAGTGCTGTGTTAGACACACAAATAAAATCTGATCTTTTAAAATATTCATTAATTTTAATATAAAACTCCATTATGTGCTTCTAGAAAATAGTACATAATTTAAGTGAAGAGGGATGTCGAAAAGCTGCTTAAGATTATAAAAGATCACTTCAGGACTGTAATTTGTCTTGTTATTCATGAGTTTTGAATTTTCGAGTCAAATAATGGCATCCAACTTCATTTTTAAGACTGTGTGTGCTATTCCACAACCTTTTAGGGTGATGTCATTCTTATTCTGTAGCATCAGCTTCTGAGAGATTTTACATCATTAGTAGAAATATTTACAGTTTCTTTACAAAACATAGAATCAGGTCTTTAGAACTCTTTTTGTTCATCTGTTTGTTTTACTGAATAGGCAATTGTGGAACATCTCTTTTTTCCTGAATAATGCCTTAAGAAATGAAAATTTTATTGTGAATAGAGCAAAGACTTGGAACCAACCCAAATGCCCATCAGTGATAGACTGGATAAAGAAAATGTGGCACATATACGCCATGGAATACTATGCAGCCATAAAAAATGATAAGTTCATGTCCTTTGCAGGGACATGGATGAAACTGGAAACTATCATTCTCAGAAAGCTAATACAGGAATAGAAAACCAAACACCACATATTCTCACTCATAAGTGGGAGTTGAACGAGAACACGTGGACACAGGGAGGGGAACACACTGGGACTTGTCCGGGGGTGGGGAGATGGGGGAGGGATAGCATTAGGAGAAATACGTAATGTAGATGATAGGTTGCTGGGTGCAGCAAACTACCAAGGCATGTGTATACCTATGTAACAAACCTGCACGCTCTACGCATGTATCCCAGAACTTGAAGTATAATTTAAAAAAAAAAAAATGAAACTTCTATCATCCCCTTACCCTGCCATTGCCATACTTGGGCACTAAAAGTATGTGTAATATTAATGTGTGATATACAGTTTAAAATGCTTGCTGGTGGAATGGCTACAACTTAAACTGTTAGAAATGCCCTCTCCCATGATCCATCCCCCAGCAGATGGGTACTTTGTCCAGCAGCTGTGCTTCTTCAGCAAGTCGTTGTTACCCTGTCTCATTTCTCCTAGGTACTATATCACTGAGCTCTCTGCTCTGCTGGAACGCTTCTTCTATAGGCTTGCTGCAGAGTTTAAAGAGGAAAAGGTCCCTCAGTGTCATGAGAGACTTTTCACGACAGTAATCTTTTGCTATCAGAGGTGAAATATCCAGGCTATAGAGGTAGTAGCTTTTGCTGTGACTGCTGCTTAGATAGAAAGCTTAAACTCCTTGAGTTGTTAGTCTTGTATCTGAGGTTTTAAATTCATTCAGCCTGGTGTTTGCCCATTGCCTTACTACTTTTGACTTGACATGGCCTAGTAAACTGCAATCCCTCTCTGGGAATGTTGCCGAAAGCCTGCTGAATAAGGCTTCTCAGGTTGTACTTTCTTTTATTTACATTCTGAGACTAGTGTTCTCTCTATCCAAGCACCAATCGTACTTTGTGTTAAAGATGGGAACCTTTGCTTTCTCTAATAATAGGTTTTAAATCAGGAGGAAGAGAACTTTAACTCAGTTGGCATGGAGGGCAGAATATATGGTGCAGTGAATAAACAAAGACCTAGAAGGCTTTTGTTAGACTAAAATACTCCCTGTGATTGTTTTTGATAAAATAATAATAATTACAGTGATGGCTGATGCTTGCCACTGAAAACCTGTAATTTCTAACAGCTGTGGCATGGCCATGACAGCTACCAGCACATATAAAATAAAATGTATATTTCCCTGAACTGAGATTGCCTGTATATGTAAATTCTCTATTGACTGTGCCTGTTTGTTTTATTAGTGACTCACCTGAAACACCAAAAGATTTATATATTTTCAAAAGTTTTGTCTTAAGAGCTCTTAAAAGATTTTGAAGCCATGCTTTTTAAAATAAATTAATTAATGGCCTTATCAGAATGTAGCTTATTAGATAAAATTGTTTAAGGCATGCTTCAAATCACACAGTTGCTGCAAACCTAATATTAACTAAGCAGTTATTCAATAGGCAGAAATTTGCCTTTTTCCCCAGCATCTGCAACATCAGGGAACTCTATGGTAAGAGAGGAATTGTATATGTGATTTTCATAGTAATCAACTAGGGTATTACCAAATTTGCATTCGCAGTTTATCAAAGAGGAGAGAAAATACTTTGCAGTTCTCTGTTTATTTTAATATTTTGACAGATGTTACATGATTTAACACCAGTTGCTAAGTAAATACCTACTATGTACAAGGAAGGCACTATGCTTGGTATTAGGGAGAGTAAATGAACCAGGTAACTGCCACAGGAAACTTCTAATTTATTAGGAAAGGAAGATATAAATAACTTTATTACATGTTATTTGAAATAAGAACTTTAAGACTGGAATAAACGCATAACTATAGGTATTTGGAGGTGACAATTTGCTGTGTCATGAGACAGAAAATGGTTCAAAAGGAAGTCAGAACTAATATTGTTGCAAGGGAATATATTGCTAGTTTAAAACAAGAAATGTGTTTTGTTTGTTTGTTTATATTTTTCCAGCAGCCATGTGGGTATTTAGGGTCAAAGCAGGGAGAGGAACAGGACTTATGTGGCAAAAGACAGGCATTTCTCAGAATCAGAAGTTGTTTAGGCCAGACAAACCTATGAGTGGCCATTACAGACATGGTATTTAGCAGAGTCTTGATTTCATGAAGAAGAAAGAAGGAAGGACAGAAGAAATTCTAGGCCAAGGGAAGGACAGGAACAAGAGTGTAGAAATGAGATGATTCAAAGCAGGTGTTACTTACTTGGCTAGGCAATGCTGTATATATTTTACATACTTCCTCTTTAGGACAGAATTAGAATTGAGGATAAGTGAATTTGTATCAGAATGTGATTATGTTCCTTTAATTCATATTTTTTTCTCCAGAAGATTTTGACATTATTACATATGTAAATGTAAAATTATGTGTCAATCAACAAATTGAACTAAATCCCTCCTAAGTTGGTGTGAAATCATAAATATGTTTGAAAACAATACTGCATGCTGATTTTTCACAAACCATTTGATATCCCTTCACAGCTTGGCTGAAGTTGCTTTGCTCAACAGGGAGGTAGAAAAAATACACAATGTTGTGGCCTCTGGTCCTGAAATAAAAATAGTGGTTTGATTAAATGCCAGTTGGTTGTAAATGATAACCCACATAAACAGTGGGAAATCATTATGCTTAAGCAGTGAATTCTAATTTAATTTTATGGCCTTTGGAAAAAAATCCCCTAGGCCAGTCAGCAGAAGCTAAGGAATGGAGACTCAGCTGAATGTTGGAGGAATTGCAATTCTGTTAGGCCAGCTCTGAGATGACCTACCCTGCAGCAAGCAACTGGTTACCTAGATTCTTCCCCCTATTCTTCAGATGGGGTCATTTTATTGTTTGATCACCAACATACAAATCTTAAATTTGTAAAAAAGCCACATCACCAAATTTTTGTGTTTGATGTCCATGTGTTTCAGTTACATATTTTATTGATGCATAAACCACCCCCCCCAAAAATTACTACTACCTTGAAACAACAACCATTTCATTATATCTAATAATTTTCCATGTCAGAAATTCCATCAGGGTTTGGTTGGGTGATTCTTCTGCTTCATAAGATATCATCTGGGATCCCTTGGTGATATCCAGTTGGTATGTTGGCCAGTCTAAAGGGAATAAGACAGCTTCATCCACAAGCCTGGTGTTTTTGATGGTGACAGCTGGAAGACTGGGCTCAACTGGGTATCTCTCTTTCCCAAAGTAGTTGTAAGAGCTCTTCATCTTATTTCTCCAGCATGGCAGTCAAACTTCTTTCATGGAAGCTCAAGTCTACAAGAGATCAAAGTGGAAGCTGCCAGTCTTTTTACAGGTTAGTTCAGGGATGGAATAACCTCGCTTTCACTGTACAAATCCAAATAATCCTAGGCCAGCCAGATTCAAGGGGAGAGCAAATTGATTTCACCACTCATTGAAAGGGATATCCAAGGATTTGCGACCCTCCTGAATCTACCATATCATGTACAAAACAACAAAGTCTTCTAGAAAAATGAGAAAAGTGAAAATTGAAAAACCAAAATTGTTAATATGTACACATAAAGATCAATAAAAATTATTTTTCATGGTCAAGCTATTTCTTTTCTTCATGCAGTGCTGCTGAACAAGTGCTATCTAGGGCAGATTATCACTGTGTAAAGAAAACTTTAACAAGTAGAGATTCTTTTGGATCTCTGTGAAAATTTAATCTACAGATCTAATATATAGCTAGTGCCTTGGCCCTGTCTTTCTGTGACCACTTGCACTATGTGCTTAATTTCTAAGGTTTTTCTCCTCAACTTTTTGTTTAATGTGCATATCTTGGCCTTTCTCAACACCAAACTATGCAGCTTGTTTGTTGGATGTTGTATATGTGTATCCCAGGCAACAGATGCAATACACCCTATTGTCTTGGCAGCAAACACACTTTAAGAACAATACTGCTTCTCATAACCCTGGTAAGGTAGTTTAATTTGGCACTGACTGACAGTAGTTGCAATACCATATAAAGATGCCTATTGGCACTGGTTTGGTTTTGCAGTCAGAGAAGGCAAAGAGATACTATTTTTCAGCACTTTGTGCTGGGGTTGTTGATCTAATTTGATCTATACAGGGCCTTGTATAAAGGTGCAAGTTGTACTAGGCAGGCATCTGGAGCTGTTTGGCTGACAGAACATTACTGGATATTAGAATAAATTAGGCAAAATTAGTACAGCATTCAAATGGTGCCAATACAGGTGTAATATTGATTGACTGCTACAATATGTCACATAGCAACAAAATCACACTAAGTAAAGGAAGAAAATGTTACAGAGGTATGAGAACAGAAAATATTATAGGACATTTATTAGGTAGCCATGATATGATCAAATTTATTTAAGCACTTATAAAACTCACTAAGATTTGTTTCCAAGTATAAAACTCACCAAGGTTTATTTCCAAGTATTTTGGAACGTTTTTAATCAGAGGAGGAAAGACAAAATAAGAAATGAAAGGCATTTTCTAAAATTTACTTTTGGATTAGATTTCTTGCCTCTATACTTCAACTCAGTAAGCATTTATTAATTTATCTCTGTGCATTTTTTCTGTATTCATAGATTCAACTAGATTTATTGAAAACCTGCTACAAGACTGTTAAGAAGATACATACATATATACATAAGTGATATACAATCACAATGGAGATAAATACTATGTATAAGGCATGCTAAAGGCTTGTGTAAAAAGCTCTCAGAATTTCGGGGGGGTTCACATGTAAAGAATTTATTTCTTACATATTTTCACTCGTTGTTCCTTGTTAGGCAGCAATATGGGTAGCTCTTCATAAGGAGCAATTTAGGGACCTAGTTTTCTGCATCTTGTGGCTCCGTTCTCCTCCTGATTTTCATGTTTTCTCTGTTTAGCTAGTATGTGGGAAAAGAAGGCTGGAGGGTTATGGATGAGAGGATTTTATGGGCCTTGCTTAGAAATGGTATGCCAAACTTCTGTTCACATTCTACTGTTCAGATCTCAGTCACATGGTCATATATGACTCAAAGGAGGGCAGAAAATATAGTTTAGTTGCTGCTCCATAGGAAGAGGAAAATTATTAAGCCGTCTCTGCCAAATGCTTATGAATGAAAATAACAGATGCTTTCAGGATGTGATGGATAAAGAAAAACAGAATAAAACAAAATATCATCATGAGATTTGCAGTACTTGTGGTGAAATATATAAATGAGATTTTTAAAATGCAACACAATTTACATTTGAATAAAAACAGACCATTAACAAATCTTTTGCTATCACTGAATCTAATTATTTCTTGTATGTAAAGAGTTAATATCCAAGCTGGGCCTGGTGGCTCACACCTGTAATCTCAGCACTTTGGGAGGCTGAGGTGGGCGGATTACTTGAGCCCAGGAGTTTGAGACCAGCCTGGGCAACATGGCAAGACCTCATCTCTACAAAAATAAAAATAAAAAATTAGCAGGGTGGGGTGGTTTGTGCCTGTAGTCCCAGCTGCTACTACTCAGGAGGTAGGTGGGAGGATCATCTGACCCTGGGGAGGACGAGGCTGCAGTGAGCCATGATTGCACCACTGCATGCCAGCCTGGGCAACAGAGTGAGACCTTGTCTCAAAAAAAGAAAAGAGTTAACATCCAGTTTAAAGTACTTGCTAAGGTAGTGCAACTAGTTAGTGTCACAACGGGGACACTTATTGTCAGAGAAGTTTGTAATGCTCAGTGCTTGCACTCACCCTTACCCACATAACTGATTCTCATTTTCTGTCTACTATCAGATGAGCCAATATTTCTAATTAATAATGCTTATTTCCAGTGCTGAACTTTCTTTGGAGGAATTCAATTAAAGGGACCTTGATTCACATTCAAATAACTACCCACAACTGGCAATAACTATCCTCCAGAGAAACCCAACCTGAAGAAGTTCATGCATGAAGTCTGACCTTGCTTAATTGGTTTGGTGGGACAGGACCAAAACTCTTCTAGAGACAGGTAAAACTGATCCATACAAATGAATATTGGAATCTTCTTTCTTGGGGTCTAGGCTGATGTGGCATCTGGCAACGGAGGCCAACTGAAACTTGGGCCTCCAAGTATATCCAAGTACTGGCTGTGGCTGAAGCTTGAGCTGGCTACAAGGTTTCTCCTATACAGGAGAGAGTAGCTACCTTTATTGCATATATTTACATATTGGTATTCAATGCTTTTGTATTGGAAAAACTGAAGTTTGTTCTTTTAGAGCCAGTTTCTGAGGTGAGAGGTAGAGAGAATTAGAGATATGACTAGTAGGGTCTCCTAATCACGAAACAAATTGCAACCTATGCCTTGTCCGGTCATCTTTATATGACTGTTTTCTGAAAGAGATATGAATAACATGTACTGTGCAGATTAAGGGGTTGAAGAATTCAGAGTGTGTACAGTTTTGATGTGGGTAACTTTTAGGGAGGAGACAGAGATTAGAAAATGTATCTAAAAATATAGTTTGCAGCTGCCCTGCTTTCTAATCCCTTAAGGTGCTCAATAAAACACAGACTCCTGGGCTACCTCCAAGTTATTGAATAAGACTCTTAAGCTTTTTGACCTGGAATCCTGAATGTTAGCCAAAATTCCCTTTGCCTAAACAATGGCTACTGGCAAGGGATGAAAAAAAACCTGAATGCTGATATTGAAATGTAAATCATCGAATTGTTTTTTCTGTATTTCGTAAGTAACATGCCAATTTACAAAGTGAACATTTTCCTGATCATCCCAGATGTGGAACTAATGAAAGACTATTTCTATACATAGTCAAATCAAATATAAAATGATTCATTCCTGCTTATTTCAGATAACTGGTCAAAAAGAATTGTTTGTCTGCAGTGATTGCTGTTAGCTAAGATCAGCTGTCATGGATCATGTTTGGCATGCCAGAGGTCTTATGAGAATCAGCTGTCAGGCATGGAATAGAATTGTACAGTTGCTATAGGTCAAAGGAGAGAGTGTTTTTTTTGCTAGTGGAATTTTGATGTTGTGTCAATGGTGGTATAAGTGGTTATATTTAACACAGTGAGGTTCCCAAGAAGTCTCATTAAGAATCCTAAGGCACTAAAATATCTCCAAATTATGAAAGATTTATTTTGCAAGGCTTATTTTCCTCTTGGCTATAATGAGATACTGAGTAAACATTTTCAATGATAAATTCGGATATAACAAGTCTTTGTCAAGACTTTTAGAAAGACTCACACTGGAAATTCTGAATGACTTTGTTGAAATTATGCAGGATTCTGGTTAGACACTAATAGATAGCTAATGTTGATTTTTTCTTTAATAACATTATAACTATTTTTTGAATCAATGCACAATAAAGTACTGAGAATTGGGTGAGTTTTCAAGAAATCCAAAGCCATGAATCTGTCAATTGTGTCATACCATCAGTAGTGGTGAGTTGAATGGCAAGACCCACTTAGCTTCTGTTCACTCAGGGGTCACAAATTGGCCATCTACAGGGATCATTTGGCCTGTGAATGAATTTAATTTAGAAGAAAAAACTCACTAAACTTTTTTTACTCAGGTGAAGCCATTTAAAAATGTAATGATTTTACATAAAAACCTAGATTCTGGTATTCTCATGAAAAATCAGAACATTAGCACATTTCCCTATGGCAGCAATCAGAAGTGGTGGCCCCCGTTGGATAATCATGTACTCTCCAGCATGAACCTGCTTCAGGCATTCACATTACCTGCCTCTCTGAGTTTCTGCACCCTCCACGGATTGAGGCTCTTATGAAAATGACCTGTTCTCCCCTTTTAAATTTCTAGTGCTTTTCACTTGGGATCCTTTCAAGATGACTACTTACTCTGTGAGAGATGACAGAAACCACTTGACTACATTTTGTAAAGATATACATGCGTAAGACATATACGAAGGCCGACAGTTACAGGCACACAAAATTCGTCCAGGCTTGTCAAGCTTAGAAGATGTATCATTGTGTATTGGTAGGAATAAGGACCAAGGTTAATAAAATAAAATATGATGGGGAAATGTGAAGTCCTAAATTTACTTAAATATGAATCCATAAATTTTATTCACAAATACAAATCCCTAAATAAAAAATCAGTTAGGAAAATACAAAATGGTAAAGACCTGATTTGGTAGTATTTTTCTAAAAACAAAGTTTTCATAAGTGATAAGTTCAATGTGTATCAGTAGAGTGATATGACTACTTTAAAAAAGATGCAAAAACAGGTGCATTAGTAGAAGTAAAATGTACAGATGGTGAAAATTATGATATTTTGTACTTCATTTTTGTCAATCTGGGTATAGAGGAGTGTTTCCTCTGAAGTTTTAAAAAGGCACTGACCACAAAACTGCAAGAAATGAGAATAGGTGACATTCATGGAGAGGGTTGTAGGAATCAAGACATACAAGGAATGATTGAATAAACCATATGTTTAAACTAGAGAAGAAAAGAAAAAATGAAAAAAGGTAAGAGGAATAGGCAAGCTCCTTAAATTTTGAAAGGGCTCTGACACAGCATGGGATATGTTCTTGTACTGTGACTCCAAAGACCAGAAACTGATAAAGGCCTGATTATTTTTAAAATATGGGAGAAGGTAAATTGCAAATTGCTCAGATTAGTGACACTGACCGCTATGAATGGAAAAATAAGAACTCTATTAACAGATGGATTTTGAACACTTACTAAAGAGACAGAGGTTGGGCCGGGCACGGTGGCTCACGTCTGTAATCCCAGCACTTTGGGAGGCCGAGGCGGGCAGATAACCTGAGGTCAGGAGTTCCAGACAAGCCTGGCCAACATGATGAAACCCTGTCTCTACTAAAAATACAAAAACTAGCTGGGCCTGGTGGTGGGCACCTGTGATTCCAGCTACTCAGGAGGCTGAGGCAGGAGAATCACTTGAACTCAGGTGACAGAGGTTGCAGTGAGCCAAGATCCTACCGTTGCACTCCAGCTTGGGCAACAGACTCTGTCAGAGCAAGATTCTGTCTAAAAAGAAAAAAAAAAGGAGATAGAGATCATAAAGGGCCAAGATGTACACAAAGAACAATTCATGACAAGGTAATTAAATTATTTTAGAATTTTAGAAATTCATAAATGTCAGAAAAACATCAAAAATAGAAAATATCTAATTAAAATTACTTTGAATCCTATATTTTAGAGAAAATCATTGTTAACATATTTGCTTATAGGCAAAGTCCTTATGAGAAATTATGCAAATCAATTTTTTTCTTATTTTTCTTTTTTCTTTTTCATTCCACAATAAATCATAAATGCCCTGTCCTCTATGGTTAATGTGTCCTCTATAAGTAAATATATATTTAAATTATTTTAATATCATACTATATCATATTACTATATCATAATTAAAAATTAATTTGTTATTGGAATTGATCTACACTATTTCTTATTTTACAGAATTATGAAAATGATTAAATATATTATCATGCCAAATTGTTTCTGTAGGATGTATTTCTAAAATAGGATTTTAGTATCAAAGAATATGGTCTTTTAAAAAGGAACTGTGATATATGTTATAAAATTTCCCTTTAAAAATGTTTCACAACTTAAACTTCTACAAGCTGGTAATGACAGAGAAACTGTCCCAACATCTATATTAAATTTAATGTTACCACTACATTTTTTCCCAGCATAAATTTTTCCGTAAATATATTTTTCTTTGGTTATTAAAAGGTTTATATATTTTTCATATATGTATTTTTCATTTTTATTTGGGGAATAATTGCATTTTCATACATTTAGTCTGTTCTCTGTACTTGTTCATCTTTTTCCTATTGATTTGTGAAAGCTTTTTTTTTTATTTTAGCTTGATATGGTTTTGATATTTGTCCCCACCCAAATCTCATGTGGAATTATAATCTCCATTGTTGGAGATGGGGCCAGGTGGGAGGTGATTGGATCATAGGGGCACATTTCCCCCTCGGTGCTGTGGTCATGATAATGAGTTCTCATGAGATACGGTTATTTAAAAGTATGTGGCATCTCCTTCACTCTCTCCCACTCCCTCCATGTAGGATATGCTTCCCCCCCGCTTTACCTTTTGCCGTGATTGAAAGTTTCCTGAGACTCCTCAGAAGCCATCATGGTCCTGTACAACCTGTGGAACCATGAGCCAATTAAACCTCTTTTCTGTATAAACTACCTAGTATCAGGTATTTCTTTGTAGCAATGCGAGAACTGACTAATACACAGCTATTAATGTATTATCTTTCATTTTGCTGCAAATATTTTGTTTGTCAATGAATGACATTTCAAACTGAGTTATTATATATAATCTATATATACATTATATATAATATATATTATATATACACATTATATATAATATATATATTTATATAAATAATATGTATATATAAAAAACTGTGAAAGGTCTGAGATTTCACCCCACTTGTAAACTAACAAGTAGGCCTGCCATAGTTTCATGGATGCCAGCAGAAGACATGCGACTTCTGGATGGGAGAAAATGATGACTTATTACTCAAAGCATCAACAGTAGCCAGAATGCTACTGTTTTCTTAAGCTGATTTTCAAAGCCCCAGTTCCCACCAGGCAGCATGACAAGGGCCAGGTGATGCTTGCACATGCAGTGAGCTGTATTACAAGACAGTAACTCCAAACTTTGAAAATTCTAATATTTCATAGTAGCCAGCAAACCAACCTAATATTTGGCTTAGAGGAAGACATTATCTTTATTACGTTGGACAACAAACAAGCCTCCTATCTCTATTTCCCAAGGCTACAGCTAAATAAACATCCTTGCAAAGATAATTCAGAACAAAAGCCTCTTAGTGCCTCTGTTCCCAAGACATGCAGAGTAATGTGAGAGACCCCTGGAGAATTGTCTTCTGACTGTACATGACATACAAAGTTTAAAAATTAGATATCAACATGTATCACTTTTGAGTTTCTTTTTTTGTTAGACTGAATAAGTTATTCTCCTCTTTGACAGTTAATAAACTGCTCATTTGGGGAATTCCCACATCAGTACTTCTCTAATGTTTCCACTGAGGTATCTTAATAGAAGAGGTCTGCCTTGTGAGTGAATTTTCAAGTCCTTTTGTCTTAAATATTGAGGTAGATTATTTTTTCAACTCAATAAAATATTTGTTTTAATGTGTAAATAATATTAATTTTCTCAAATCATTAAGTACTATTCATTCCGGAAGATGTGCTGCTTTATTTACCCTTTAGCTTTGGAAATTCTGGCACACTATAATTAATATTATTATGGAACTCTGCAGGTAAATATTAGTGTGTATGAAGCACTAAATATGTGCCAGAAATTGCTCCAAGTACTTTACGTATATTAGTTCACTCTAACCTCACAACAATTTGAAGTGGGTACTATTTTCACCTTGTTTCACAAATGTGAAACCGAACCTCAAAAGTGACAAGAAAGTTGCTTAATATCAGATTCCTTAGTTTGAGAATTACAGTGACAGTTTGTCTGATTTCAATAAGAAATTTTTCCATTGTCTCATGCCCTTGAAAAAAATGGACACATTTAGGTATATAATTGATCAGAGAGATGATCATATGCAATGCTGACTTTTTGTATGCCTTTAGCTCATTTAAGAGTCTAATAAATGCTATACATCATCTCTCAGGAAAAAAAATGCCTTGTCTTAAATACACATAATATTGCACATAATTTCAGGAGGTTGTTTTAAATGATACATTCAGTATTAATAAATAAGTTTACTGTGACTTAGGAAAAGTTATTTATCTTAAGTTTAGTTATTTTTTATGTTCCATTTACCCTTTAGTACTTTAAGTTTTGGCAGCAGCTATTTTTTAATAATTTAATTTTACTTTGAATATGTGTATATAAAATGCCTAATGTGATAAAAGTAGAATATGCCTGGTTGAAGGAAACATAGAAAATTGAATTGCCACTGATTTGGCCTTTCCTTCATCTTTCATGGGGAGCCAGAGAGAATCTGGTTCAGAAGACAGACTCTAGAGTCAAGCAGCTGGGGTTCAAATCTTGGCAACATTTCAGGGTGATTTTAAAAATATTTAACAGCTGGTAATGCTAGATGTCGACTTGTCAGAATGGATAAAGCCTGACATGACGTATATAGCCACACCAGCATATAATCAGCCCTGTCTCCACCACTTACTAGTAGTGTCTTTATCTGTAAGATAAAGATAGCAATAGGCATTATCTCATAGGGGTTTTATGAGGATTAGGTGTAATAATATATATAAAGCACTTATGACAATGTTTGGAAGAAAGTGTCATTCAACATTAGATATCATCATCATTGTCATCATCGTGACTAATACTTGAGGAATTCCAGAATGTTATGGTTAGAATGGTAAAGTTCTGTGCTAAGAGAAGGCAGAGAAGATGTTGTTGAATTTGTGAATGGTGCAAGTCTCTAACGGATGCTATTTGGATGAAAGAATTAGTGTTCCGTAAGATCTTGAAAAGGTACCAAAATGGAGAGGAACTAATATAATGACATTCAATAGAGATAAATATATAGTTTTGCATTTTAGTTAAGATATAAAAAAATCCCTGTGTATAGGAAGGGGAAAAACAACCAAGAATTGAAAAAAAGACTCTAGTGAAAAATATATGCTGGGATTTTAGCGGAACAACCATAGAAAGTATGTTGCCTTCCACTATGTTTAGTGCATTTTTCACCACAGTGGTCAGATTAATGCTGCTCTGAGAGACTGTATCACATCTGTAATGTATTGAATACCAGGCACCAGGTTGTAGCTAGAGAAACATGGATATATTGAGTTTGTTCGGAAAAATGTGACAATAAGGGTGAATAAAAAAGGGTCACAACGCCAGAAAAGGTAACCAGGAGTGTTTTTCCTGGCAAGGTAGAGGTCAAAGGGGTGAGGTGATCTTGATTTTTAGATTCCTGGATGACTCTAGCATGGAAGCATTCACTATGCCTCTGATAGGAAGGAACAGAACCAATCATTGAAGGTCACAGAAAGGCAGAGAACAGCTCTACATACAACATGCCCAAAGTAGATCTGCCTGCTCACAAAAGAGGGGGAATAGTTCTCTTTCAATAGAGGCATTAAGAGCAGAAGGAACAGCAATTGGGAAAGGAATGCTGTAAAGGGAATTTTGTCATTGGTGAGAAGTTGATACTCTCTTGATTTCCTTTCCAAAATTCCTTAAATCTATAACTTCAAGTTATGAGCCAAGTTGGTTATGAAGGGTAAAGGGAAGAAAGGAAGAAAATAAGGAAGGAGAGTAACAGTAATTAAGTTAGATACTCCAGAGAGATTTTGTCTCAACATAAAATATTTTCTAAGAACTAAAATTGTAAAAGAATAGAATAGGCTGCTTCCTGAAGAAGTGTCTTCTAGAGGCAGTTGCTGAATGATGTAAGCTGCACATCCTTGGCAAGTAATGGATGCTGAGAAAATTTCATAATGCTAAATGAATTATCACCTGTCAGGAATGTTGTTTGAAGGATTCTTGAATTATTGGAAGATGTACTAGATGAAGCCTAAATCTTCCAAAGCTAAGGTTTTGTTATTTGGATTGTTTCTGTCTTGTGCCCACATATATTTTGTTTTATTTGCTCCATATTGAATTCTCCCAATGTCTACCTGAGAAATGTCTTTATTTACTAAAACCAAATCAATATGATATGAACCAAACATGATTACTCTACCAGAAGTTCTTTATTGCTTCTACCAGCTGCTCAGTTTACTTTGATCTTATTATTAATATATCTTAGTGATATTTGATCATTCTTAGAGGAGAGAGATCTTCCTTGTTTATCCCCCAAATCTCATGAATGTGGATGATAAATAAAAGTATTCAGGCTTCATATACTCATCAGAAATTTTAATAATGTTTGAACATATATGTTTTTCTTTTAAATATGTAGATTAGAGCTTTTTGATTGTAAAATGGTATAATTATCAGTTATTATTTATTTGATTAATTATTAAGCCATAACATGTTTTAAATAACATTTTTCTTATTACAAAAGTAACATGTTTAATTTATAAAATAGGGCAAAAGCCATATACATGACGAGTAAAATTGAGATTACGGCTGTAACAAATTATCTCAAACTTGATGATTTAAAACAATACAAATTTATTTTCTCACAGTTATGGTGGTTAGAAGTCCAAATGTTGGCTGGGCTTGGTGGCTCATGTCTGTAATCCCAGCACTTTGGGAGGCCGAGGCGGGTGGATCATGAGGTCAGGAGATCAAGACCATCTTGGCTAACATGGTGAAACCCCGTCTCTACTAAAAATACAAAAAAAAATTAGCCAGGTGTGGTGGCACATGCCTGTAGTCCCAGATACTTGGGAGGCTGAGGCAGGGGAATCACTTAAACTAGGAGGTGGAGGTTGCAGTGAGCCAAGATTGCACCCCCGCACTCCAGCCTGGGTGACAGAGTAAGACTCTGTCTCAAAAAAAAAAAAAAAAAAAAGAAGAAGAAGAAGAAGAAGTCCAAATGTTGTTAGCAGGGTTGTGCTTCCTCTGAAGACTCTAGGAAAAAAATAATCTTTCTTTATTCTTCCTAGCTTCTAGTAGCTCCCAGGAATCCTTGACATTATTTGTCTTGTAGCTACAATATTACAGTCTCTGTCTCTGTCTAATATGGCCTTGAATTTTGTGTATCTTTGTGTCTCTGTGTGTCCTTTCCTCTTCTTACAGAGGTACCAGTTATTGAATTTAGGGCTCACCCTAATTCAGTATGACCTCATCTTAACTAATTACATGTGCAAAGATTCTATTTCCAAATAAGGTCATATTTTGTGTTTATAGGTAGGCATAAAGTTTGGGGGATGCTATGGACTGAATATTTCATATTTATGTTGAAATATGAAATATTCTGATATTTCATATGTTGAAGATATAATCCCCAATCTGATTTTATTTGGCATTAAGGTCTTTAGGAAATAATTAGAGCTGAATGAGATTATGGGTATAGAGTTCCCATGATGAGATTATTACCCTTTTCAGGGGATGAAAAAAACAGCTCTCCTGCCCGGCGCAGTGGCTTACACCTGTAATCCCAGCACTTTGGGAGTCTGAGGCGGGCGGATCACCTGAGGTCGGGAGTTGGAGACCAGCCTGACCAACATGGAGAAACCCCATCTCTACTAAAAATACAAGAAATTAGCCGGGCGTGGTGGCACATGCCTGTAATCCCAGCTACTCGGGAGGCTGAGGCAGGAGAATCGCTTGAACCCGGGAGGCGGAGGTTGTGGTGAGCCGAAATCACGCCATTGCACTCCATCCTGGGCCAAAAGAGCGAAATACAGTCTCAAAATAAATGAATAAATAAATAAAAACAGAACTCTCCTTTTCTTTCTACCATGTGAGAATACAACAGGAAAGTAGCCATTTAAAAACCAGGAAGGGCTAGGCACATTAATCACATGTGTAATCCCAGCATTTTGGGAGGCCAAGGTGAGTGAATCACTTGAGCCCAGGAGTTTGCGAGCAACCTGGACAACATGGCAGGAGCTCATCGCTACAAAAATATACAAAAATTAGCTGGGTATAGTGGTGCATGCTTAAGGTCCCAGATACGCAAGAGGCTGAGGCAGGAGGGTTGCTTGAGCCCAGGAGGTTGAGGCTGCAGTGAACCATGATTGTACTACTGCACTCCAGCCTGGGTGACAGAGTGAGACCCTGTCTCAAAAAATAAATAAATAAAAATAAATAGAAGCAAGTAAAAAGGCCCTCACCAGAGCTAACCTGCTGCCACCTTGACCTTTGGGTTTCTTAAACTCCAGAACTCTGATCAGTAAATGTTTGTTGTTTAAGCTACCTAGTATATGGTATTCAGTTATAGCAGCTGGACCTAAGACATAAATTGGTAATAGAAGTGGGGTGTTACTGTAACAAATACCTAAAAATGTGGAAGTGACTTTGGAACTGGGTAAGGTGTAGAGGCTGGAGGAATTTTGAGGTGCATGCTAGAAAAAGTCAATATTGCCATGAAGGCACTGATAAAGGTTACTCTGGTGAAGGCTCAGAAACAGAAAAGGAGCGCTATAGAAGAAGATTCCATCTTCTTAGAGAATACATAGTCATGTATAAATATTAGGAGAAATATGAATTGGACAGGTCATTCTCATGAAGTTTCAGGTGGAAATAAAGAATAAGCTATTGGACAGTGGAGAAAAGATTATTATTGTTCTAAAGTGGCAAATAACTTGGCAAATTGCATTCACATGCTAGCGTTTTTCAGAAGTTAGAACTTGTGAGCAATAAAATTGGATATTTAGCTGAGGAGATTTCTAAGCAAATGTTGAAAGAACAGATTGGTTCCTCATTTCTGCTCATAGTAAAATGTGAGAAGAGAGAAATGAATTAAAGAAGGAATTGTCAGTCAAAAGAAGATAGAACTTAAATATTTGGAAAATTTTCAGCCATTCATATTTTAGAGAACATTAGGGATGTGGCTGACTTACCATTTGATAAGGATATTAGTGTGAGTATGAAGCTTGGACCTAATCAGTATCTCAATGGAAGCTACAAATAGAGATGAGACTATGCTAGCAGAAACACTGCCAGCTGGGATCAAAGGAAAAAGACAAATCAGGATGAAGTAAAGGTAGGCTGTCAAATTTCTTACACCCTACAGGACCTGACCATATAGCTATTCTGCTGTAAGCATGAGATATTTTTCAAGGCAAGAAAAAAATGATTCCAAAGGTAATTCAGAGATCATCAGGGGTTCCACTTTCACCCCCATCCCAGACTGCATAGCCCTAGGGGTCAAGGATACCTACTTCAATTTCAAAGGATGACACTACTGCCCATCAGAGCTATGTGGATAGAGCCTCTACCCTGCTTCCAACAGGCCAGGTGATGATTGCCATTCCATCAGATTCTGGGACAGTGGGTCTGGAAGGCAGAGCAGCAAGCAAACAAAAATTATTTTTTAAATTTAGTATCTGATTTTTTTTCCTTGCTAGGTGTTGGACTTGCTTGGGACCTGTCATCTCTTTCTTCCATCATGTTCCTTCCTTTTGGAATGGGAACATCTATCCTATGCCTCTTCCACAATTGTATTTTGGATACACATAATTTATCTTCTGGTTTCATAAGTTCACAGCTAGAGAGAAATTTTGCTTCAGGATGAATTGTACCTTGAGTCTTATTTATACCTGATTTATATAATATTTAAATAAAATTTTGGACTTTAGACTCGAGAGTTGATGTTAGAATGAGTTTAGAGTTTTGAGATTGTTGGGATGGAATGAATGTAATTTGTCTGTAAGAAGGACATGAATTTTGGGAGGCCATGGCAGAGTGCTATAAACTGAAAGTTTGTGTTTCCCCAGAATTCATTGACTGAAGCCCTAATCTCAAATGTGATGGCATTTGGAGTTGAGGCCTTTGGAGGAAATTGGGCTTGAATGAGGTCATGTGGGTGGAGCCCCCATGATGGGATTGGTGTCCTTGTAAGTGAATGAAGAAACCACAACTCTCACTCACTTTCTGTCATGTGAGGATACAATAAGAAGGTGGCCATCTTTAAGCCAGTAAGGACCCTCATCAGACCAAAATCTGCTGGCACCTTGATTTTTGACTTCCCAGTTTCTGGAATTATAAGAAATATTTATTGTTTGAGCCACCAGGTCCATGGGTATTCTGTTATAGCATCTCAAGCTATAAGACAGGGGACACTATTCAACCCACTACACCTAAAATCTCATTTCTGTTAATATAGCTTTTCTTTTCATTTTTTTTGTAGTAAAATACACATAACATTAAATTTTGCCATGTTAACCATTTTTAACTATGCAGTTTAGTGGTATTAAGAACACTTACATTATTGTGTAATATCACCACCATCCATCTCCAAAACTATTTTCATTTCACAAAACTAAAACTTTATACTCATTAAACAATAGCTCTCCATTTCCCCTTCCTCTCAGCCCATGGAAGCCATTCTACTTTCTGTCTGTAATTTTGACTACTGTGGAAATTTCATATACACAGAATTACACATTATTGGTCTTTTGATGACCAGATTATTTCACTTAGCATAATGTCCTCAAGGCTCACTCATGTTGTAGAATATGTCAGACTTTCCTTGCTTGTTAAGGCTGATAAATATTCCATTTTAGGTATATACAGTCAGCCCTCCATTTCCATGGGTTCTGCATCCACAGACTGAAGCCATCATTAATGAAAAATATTTTTAAAATAGCAATACTACAATAAAAATAATACATATAAAATACAGTGTAACAACTATATAGCATTTACATTTATTAGGTATCATAAGTCATCTAGAGATGATTTAAAATATACAGGAAGATATGCATAGGTAAAATGCAAACAGTGCCATTTTATAAGAGGGACTTGAGCATTCAGAGATTTTGGTATATGTGGGGGTTCTTAGAACAAATCCCTTGTGAATATCGAGAGAAGATTGTACCACATTTTCTTTTTTATTCATCTGTTGATGGACACTTGAGTTGTTGACATGTTTTAGTTATTGTGAATAATACTGCTATGAACATGGGTATACAAATATCTGTTCATATGTTAATATACATCTTTTCTATTTTTATTTTGTTCATACCTGTTATGAAGTTGGGATGATGCACCTGAGTGTGCAAGTTGATGAACATGCTCTTTTGAACCTGCTTACTTCATCCTATATTGTGAATATTTTTCTGTTGCAATAATTAATTTCCTACCCTTTTTATTTTTAGTGTACTAAATTAATTCAACCAGAACTCTATTGTTGCATATATTGCTGTTGTTCCCCCTCTGTTTTGCTACTGTAAGTAAGGCTTCATTGTATATGAATCTTTGGATATATCAATGTTTGTTTTCATAATGTAAAATCCTTTGCTAGAAATGAAATTGCTTGATCTAAGGGTTCTATTTTATCAAGATTTTTAATATACAGTGTATTCACTTTATGCCATTTTATATGTTGCATGGCAGGTAAGTAGACTGAGTATATTTATGCCTCTTTGAAATGGATCAATTTTGTTCTAGAAGAAATCTTATTAAACTCTTAGCATATCATGTATGTATTTGTATTTAATATTGTATGAATGCTATGGGTAAGTTATATTCCAGGTTAGATCTTGAAATAAGGCAATTTTGTTTTTTAGGCAAATATTGTATATGACTGATGGGAAGTCCTGCTTCTCTTTAATCTTCTCTAACCCCATTCATTTTCACATGTTGTATTTTGTCTTCATTGCCTTAATGGAAGTATCTAAAGAGATTGAGGGGAACAGTTATTAGTAGGTAGAGAGCACGATGTACCTAAGTTTTTAAGGCTTGCTTTCCATTCTGATTAGAAAACTAGACTTAACTAGTTACGTGTGCCAGTAATTCTAAAAATTGATCAAAATCATTACTTATGTTTAAAAATAAACATTGTGGAAGACAGTCTCTGGGAAAATTGAAACTTTTTAAAACTAAAATTGTGTGTTGGTTGCTTTCCTAATAGAAGCATTTATATCTATGTTGGTAGAGGCCATAAACTTAGATGCTTAAAGGGGAAGCTAATATAAATGAGCAAAGCTGAGAAGTAAAAAGAACCACAAATCCTAGAAACAATGGACTGAAAACAATGTTCTTGGTATGCCCCTCCATCTTAAAAAAAAATGCTTTTTTCATTTCTACTTTTTTTTTGATACGTGAGAAAAACGGGCCTGAGTTTGCCAGATTGTGTGGTGGTGTTTTGTTTTGTTTAAAGAAAAGCCAGATATCTAGTTTTTGGTGTAAAATATTCCAATTTTTAAACATAGAAAACAAATTAAAATTATTTAAAATTAACAGAAAGGAAGATTTTGTGGGCTCAGAATAACACTTTTGTAGAGAATATTTGCCTTCACAAGATCAGGCTTTGACTTTTGGTCTAAATTTTGACTTACATTTATTAGAGTGTTTTTGTTTCTGCTAAGTTTACTGTTGTAGTTATAGATTTTTTGGTAGACAGCATCTCAATTTGCCACCCCTTACCCTTAACTAACCCAAGGGAACTTAGCATGGAGGAAAAACCCCAAGATATTAACATTATGAATATTGTGATATACTTTCCAAATATATGAACAACAGCTGGTGAACCATAAAATTGTAAGTCAACTTAAATCCCTTTTTTGGCAATTAAGCAATTCTTTTGTCTTTCAATCATTTCAAAAAATCAAGTGGAGAATTTTACTCTCACACATAAAAGCACCCAATTTTACCTATTGAGGGAGATAGGCATCTAGGTTAGTCATTTAAGACACAGAAGAAATCAGGATATTGCAAATAATACAACAATTTATTTTATTTGCAAAGAAAAATTTTGATGGGACATATCTAGGGCATTTGATTTAAATTGCTGATTGTATACAAAAATAATGTCATAATTTTAGTATTTTAAATTTTAGAAGAAAATTTCAGCTAATCATACTCTCCTAAATACATCACATTTATGATAATTATCCTGTGTACAAATTCTTTCTACATAAAACTTTCAGAAAGTGATCTAAAACACAATAAGGTCTATGGCTTTGCCACTCATATTACAACTAGGAATCTTAATATTCATTATGGCTTATAAAGAAATAATTAGGATAAAATTGAAAATATTTTCCTAGAGTCGATATGAAAGTAACTTTTAATTACTTATGCTATGCAATGCGTATCATATGATATGGATGATAAAAGCCTAAATATTAAGTAGTTACTTACTATTTACTCATGTGCAGTTAATCTAATTTGTTGTCTTTTATGTGTACTATATCGATCAGAGTATTTATAATCCAGTTTTCTTGCACTAGTCAATTGTCAAGTGAAACAAAGTAGTGTATTTCTGACTAAAATTGATTTTTTTGTAATGACCAATCACAATTCTGATGTTCATTAGTTCCTCTTCTTATTTCCTGGTTCAGTCAAAAGATACAAAGAGCTATATTGACTAGAAAATGATTGAGCTCCAAACTTGTAATGGAACAAGGGAGAATTCAAAAGAAAATATTGACAGAAACAAGTGTTAGAAAATTTACACTTCTGTTGCTCTCTCATACTAGTGTTTTCCCAAAGAGTTCCTGTATGAAATAGATAAGGAATTCATGGAGGAGCAAAATAAGAATGACCTATATAAATTGATAAATTTACTCCTCTGCAGAAGTGACAATACTCTCTTCCAAACTGGGTTACGTTGAATAACAGAATGGCAGTGTAAATATGTTAATCTGATTTTCCTTTAATTCTCATTGCTAACTGGTGACACATGCTAAATGATATAAAGAAGTATCTTTGGTTGACAAATTTTAAATACTTAAAATTGTAATGTAATTGTATTGGTCTGATAAAAATCAGTAGGACTTGTTAATGTCTTCCTAGTTAGGAAGGTACAATGAATCTTTCCAGAAATGATCCATATATATGATACTATCTTAGATAAATACTGGAAATAAATAAATTTTATAACAGTCCAGGGATCAATACGTCTGCATAGAAGTGAATGGCTGATTCATAACAACAGGAAGTTGATTTTTCATCAATTAGTAAAGAGTCAAATATATACATTTTGAAATACCCAGAAACTGCACGTGTGTAGATGGATAGGAGAGAAAATACCATTGTTTTGTAGAGCAGATTTGAAACTAAAGATGACTCACAGACTATTTCTCATAACAGCTTTATTGCAATGTATTTCACATAGCCAAAAAAAAGTCCTATTGAAGTATACAATTCAATACAACTGCTGCCATTACATAATTTCAGAACACTTCATCACCCCCTAAAAGATCTTCTGACACATTAACAATCATTGCCCAAACGTTTTCCTGCCAGACCCTAGTAATCATTCCTGTGCTTTGTTTTTGTGGAATTGCCATTATGTGAATTTTACATAAATGAAATCATAACAATATGTGCACAATTCTCTCTGGCTTCTTTCATTTAGCATGTTTTCAAGGTTCATCTATTACTTTTACAAAGTAACTGCACTATGTCACAATGTTTACAGTAATGCATGAGGCTTCCAAGTTCTCACATCCTTGCCAACAATTGGTGTTCTCTATCTTTTGTATATTAGTCATCCTAGTGAGGGTGAAGTTGTATATCATTGTGCTTCTTTTTGCATTTTCCAAATGAATAATGATGTTGAACATTTTTACATGTTCATTGGCTGTTTATATATCTTTGGAGAAATGCCTATTCAAATCATTTGCCCACCTTTTTATTGGGTTTCTAAAATAGTTGTTTTAAAGAGGTATTTACATTTGTGGATACAAGTGCCTTATCAGACATATGATTTGTAGTTTGTTTTCCATTATGTGGGTTGTCTCCTCTCTTTCCTAATGAGTCATTTGAAGCACACAAATTTTTACCTTCGATGGAGAGTAATTTGTCCTTTTTTAGTTGCCTGAGATTTTTGAATTATATAAGAAAAAATGCCTAATTTGAGATCACAAAAATTTACTTTTATGTTTTCCTCTGAGAGTTTTGTAATTTGAACTCTTACATTTAGAGTGATTCATTCTGAGTGAATTTTTGTATGTGTTATGAGGTAGAAGTCTACAGTGTGTGTGTGTGTGTGTGTGTGTGTGTGTGTGTGTGCATGTGGATATCTAGTTGTCCCAGCACCATTTGTTGAAAAGTCGATTCTTTCCCCCACTTTTTTCAAAAATCAGTTGATCATAATGTAAGGGTTTGTTTCTGGATTCTCGACTATCTTCCATTGATCTGTGTGTCTAGCTTTATGCCAGTACCATGCTGTCTTGATTACTGTAGCTTTTGTAATAAGATTTTAAATTAGGCAGTGTGAGTCCTCCAACTTCATTCTTTACTTCAAGATTTTTGGCTATCCTTGTCCCTTAAAGTTCTACATAAGTGTTGCAATCAGGTTATCAACTTTTACAAATAAGCCAGATGGAATTTTGAGAAAGATTATGCTGAATCTGTAGATACATTTGTGGAGTATTGCCATCTTCATTCTACTGATTCATGAAAATGAAATGTTTTTCCATTTTTGTAGGTTTTTAATCCTTATCAAATATTTTATCTGCTGCTATTGAGATAATCATCTAATTTTGTCCTTTATGAAGGTTTACTATTATTATTATTATTATGGTTTATTATTATTAATTGATTCTTTTAAAAACTTTTAGGTTCAAATGTACATGTGCAAGTTTGTTTTTTAGGTAACCTGGTGTCACAGGGATTTGTTGTACAGATTATTTTGTCACCCAGGTACTAAGGCTAGTACCCAATAGTTATTTTTTTCTAATTCTCTCCCTCCTGTCACCCTCTATCCTCAAGTAGACTCCAATGTCTACTGTTTATCTCTTTGTGTCCATGTGTTCTCATCATTTCGCTCCCATTTATAAGTGAGAACATACAGTATTTGGTTTTCTGTTCTTGCATTAGTTTGCTAAGGATGATGGCCTCTAGCTCCATCCACGTTCCTGCAAAGAAAATAATCTCATTCTGTTTTATGACTGTATAGTATTCCATTGTGTATATGTACCACATTTTTTATCCAATCTGTCATTGACAGGCATTTAAGCTGATTCTATGTCTTTGATATTGTGAATAGTGCTGCAATGAACATACACATGCATGTGTCTTTACGGTAGAATAATTTATATTCCTTTGGGTATATACCAAGTAATGGACTTCCTGGGTCGAATGGTATTTCTCTTTCTGGCTCTTTGATGAATTGCCACACAGCTTTCCACAAAGACTGAACAAATTTACACTCCCATCAACAGTGTATAAGCATTCCTTTTTCTCTGCAACTTCACCAACATCTGTCAATTTTTGACTTTTTAATAATTAGCTATTCCTACTGGTGTAAGTCTGGTATGTCATTGTGGTTTTGATTTCCATTTCTCTAATGATCAGAGATATTGAGCTTTTTTTCATATGCTTCTTGACTACTTATATGCCTCCTTTTGAAAAGTGTCTGTTCATGTCCTTTGCCCACTTTTTAATGAGGTCATTTGTTTTCTTCTTGTAAATTGGTTTAAGTTTCATATAGACGCTGAATATTAGACATCTGTCAGATGCATAGTTTGCAAATATTTTCTCCCATTCTGTAGGTTGTTTGTTTACTCTGTTGATGTATTTATTTATTTATTAATTATGTATTGCTGTGCAGGAGTTCTGAAGTTTAATTAGATCCCATTTGTCAATTTTTTGTTTTTGTTGCGATTGCTTTTGACAAAGATGCCAAAAGCAATCGCAACAAAAACAAAAAATTGACAAATGGGATCTAATTAAACTTTGACAGTTCCTATGTCTAGAATGGTATTGCCTAGGTTGTCTTCCAGGGTTTGTGTAGTTTTGGTTTTATATTTGAATCTTTAATCTATCCTGAGTTTATTTTCGTGTATGGTGTAAGGAAGGAGTCTAGTTACAATCTTCTGCATATGGATAGCCAATTATCACAGCACCATTTATTTAATAGGGAGTCCTTTCTCCATTGCTTGTTTTTGTCGGTTTTGTTGAAGATCAGATGGTTGTAGGTGTGCAGGCTTATTTCTGGCCTTTCTAATCTGTTTCTTTGGTCTATGTGTTTGTTTTTGTACCAGTACTATGCTGTGTTGGTTAATGTAGCCCTGTAGTATAGTTTGAATTTGGGTAACATGATGTCTCCAGCTTTGCTCTTTTTGCTTAGGATCACTTTGGCTATTCAGGCTTCTTTTTTGGTTCCATATGAATTTAAAAATAGTTTCTTCTAGTTCTGTGAAGAACGTCATTGGTAGTTTGATAGAAATAGCATTAAATCTGTACATTGCTTTGGTTAGTGTGGCCATTTTAATGATATTAATCTTTTCCATCCATGAGCATGGAATGTTTTTCCATTTGTTTGTGTCATCCCTGATTTCTTTGAGCAGTGTTTTATAATTCTCATTGTAAAGATCTTTCACCTCCCTGGTTAGCTGTATTCTTAAGTATTTTATTCTTTTTGTGGCGGTTGTGAATGGGATTGTGTTCCTGATTCCATTCTTGGCTTGGCTCTTGTTGGTGTACAGGAGTGCCAGTAATTTTTGTACATTGATTTTGTATCCTGACACCTTACTGAATTCATTGATCAGTCTGAGAGACTTTTGGTGAAGTCTTTAATGTTTTCTAGGTATAGAATCTTATTCAGTGAAGAGAGATAGTTTGACTTCTTTTCCTATTTGGATGCCCTTTATTTCTTTCTCTTGCCTGATTGCTCTGTCCAGGACTTCCAATCCTATGTTGAATAGGAGTGGTGAGAGAGGGCATACTTGTCTTATGCCAGTTTTCAAGGGGAATGCTTCCGGGTTTTGCCCATTTAGAATGATGTTGGCTGTGGATTTGTCATAGGTGACTCTTATTATTTTGATGTATATTACTTCAATACTTAGTTCGTTGAGAGTTTTTTTTTTTTTTTACATGAAGGGATGTTGAATTTTATTGAAAGCCTTTTCTGCATCTATTGAGATAATCATGTGGTTTTTGTCTTTAGTTCTGTTTATGTGATGAATCACATTTATTGATTTGCATATATTGAACCAACCTTTCATCCCACGGATAAATCCTACTTGATTGTGGTGGATTAGCTTCTTGACGTGCTACTGGTTTCAGTTTGCAAGTATTTTGTTGAGGATTTTTGCATCACTGTTCATCAAGGATTTTGGTCTGAAGTTATCTTTTTTGAATTGTCTCTGCCATATTTTCATATCAGAATGATGCTGGTCTCATTGAATGAATTAAGGAGAAGTCCCTCCTCCACCTCAATTTTTGGGAATAGTTTCAGTAGGAATGGTACCAGCTCTTCTTTGTACATCTGCTAGAAGTCAAAGCTATGAATCTGTCTGTTCCTGTTTTTTTGTTTGTTTGTTTGTTTTTTGGTTGGTAGATGATTTATTACTAATTTGATTTTGGACCTTGTTATTGGTCTGTTCAGGGAATCAATTTCTTCCTAGTTCAGTTCTGGGAGGATGTATATGTCAGGAATTTATCAACTTATTCTAGGTTTTCTAATTTGTGTGTATAAAGGTATTTATAATAGTAGTCTCTAGTGGTTATTTGTATTTCTGTGGGGTCAGTGGTAACATCCACTTTGTCATTTCTAATTGTGTTTATTTGAATCTTCTCTCTTTTCTTTTTTATTATTCTAGCTAGTGGCCTATCTTATTAATTTTTTCCAAAACCAAACTCTTTGATTTGATAATCTTCTGAATGTTATTTTTTGTGTCTCAACAGCTTTCATTTCAGGTCTGACTTTGTTTATTTCTTGTCTTCTTCTAGCATTGGGGTTGGTTGCTCTTGATTATCTACTTTTTTCAGTTGTGATGTTAGGTTGTCTATTTGAGATCTTTCTAAGTTTTTGATGTGGGTATTTAGTGATTTCAAATGCACAATGGCAAAATTTGGCCTCATAGGTGCATCTGCTTTGACAATTAAAAGATGTACCATCTAATAGTTGTATTTTTTTTCTAGGCAGCAAAGCTAAGGTTTTCTTGCTAACGTGTTGAAGAATTGCAAAATCGCACACATTTTTGATAAAAAATTGCACTGATGAATCTGTGCTTAATTCAATAACCAATACAAGAGTTAACACAGAGTTCGTTATGATTGCCAGTAATCTCAAATGAAGGAGAGTTAACAAATGAAAAGGATGGCAGATTTGTACAAAACACTAAACATGATGTATAAATTCTCAAGAAACTACAGAAATAGGAAGATCACATAATGTATGTACTTTAGTTCACATCTTTCTTCTTCTTCTTTTTTTTTTTTTTTTTTTTTTTTGAGACTGGGTCTGGCTCTGTTGCCCAGGCTGGAGGGCAGTGGCATGATTTTGGCTCACTGCAACCTCCACCTCCCAGGTTCAAGCAATTATCCTGCCTCAGCCTCCCGAGTAGCTGGGATTACAGGTGCCTGCCACTACACCTGGCTAATTTTTGTATTTTTAGTAGAGACAGGATTTCACCATGTTGGTTAGGCTGGTCCACTTGCCTTGGCCTCTCAAATTGCTGGAACAACAGGCATTAACCACCACCTGGTCTTTTCTTGTTTTATATAGGCATCTACAGCTATAAGTTTTCCACTAAGCACTGCTTTAGCTGCATCCAATAAATTTTTGCTGTGTTTTTGTTTGCATTTATCTCTAGCATTTTCTCATTTTCCTTGTGATTTCTTTTTTGATGCATTGATTATTTAGAAGTGTTTGCTTAATTTTCAAATATTTGTGAATCCTCCAAATTTCCTTTGTTTTTTGATCGCTAATTTCATTCTGTTGTGGTCAGAAAACATACTTTGGTTTGTTTTATTTTTGTGGGTATATAGTAAGTATATACATTTATGGGGCACATGAGATACTTTGATACTGGCATGCAGTAAGCAATAATCACATCCTAGGCAATGGGGTATCCCTACCCTCAAGCATTTATCCTTTGTGTTACAAAAATCCAATTACACTCTTTTAGTTATTTTTATATGTACAATTAATTATTGATTATAGTCACCCTGTTATGCTATAAAATACTAGATCTTATTCGTTCTTTATAACTACATATTTTTGCCTATTAACCATTCCCACTTCCTTCTCCCTCCCACTCCTCCTACTACTCTTCCTAGACTTTGGTAACCATTCTTCTACTCCCTGTCTGCATGAATTCAACTGCTTTGATTTTTAGCACCCACAAATAAGTGAGAACATGCAAAGTTTGTCTATCTGTGTCTGACTTATTTCACTTAACATAATGACTCCAGTTTTATCCATGTTGTTTCAAATGACAGGATCTCATTATTTTTAATGGCTGAATAGTACTCCATTCTGTATATGTACCACATTTTCTTTATCCAATTATTAGCTGATGGACATTTAGGTTGCTTCCAAATCTTTGCTATTGTGAATGGTGTTGCAACAAACATGGGAGTGCAGATATCTCTGATATACTGATTTCCTTTCTCTTGAGTATATACTCTGCAGTGGGATTGCTAGATTGTATGGTAGCTCTATTTGTAGATTTTTTGAAGAACTTCTAAACTGTTTTCTATAATCATTGTACTAATTTACATTCCCACCAACAGTGTATGAGGATTTCCTTTTCTCCACATCCTTGTCAGCATTTGTTATTGCCCGTCTTTTTGATAAAAGCCATTTTAACTGAGGTGAGATAATATCTCATTGTAGTTTTGATTTGCATTTCTCTGATGATCAATGATGTTAAGCACCTTAGAAAACACCTTAAGTTATTTCAAACAGTTACAATTAATTAAGGCTTCTTTCATGGTCTTATAAATGATCTGTCTTAGAGAAAGCTTTGATGTCTGTTTGAGAAAAATGTGAAATGTCTTGTTGGGTGGAGTGTTGCATAGATGTCTATTAGGTTTCCTTGGTTTACAGTGTTACTCAAGTCTTCTATGTTTTTTGTCCTTCCATTGCAATCACGTAGCAGAAGACTTATTGAAACTGGCATATTGAAGACTCTAACTATTACTGTTGAATTTTCTATTTCTCCCTTAAATTTCATCAATTTTTGCTCCACATATTTTTCTTTGTTGTTAGGTGCATATTTTGTTATTATGTCTTTCCAATATATTGGTCCTTTAATTATTACAAAAGCTTCTTCTTTGTGCATAGTAACAATTTTTCATCATACTCTTTATTTTGTCTGTTTTTAATATTAATATAGCCACTTTATTGCTCTCGCATGATGTATCTTCTTCCACTCTTTTACTTTCCATTAATTTGCATGTTTTAAGGTGTGTCTCTTGTAGACAGCATATAGTTTGAATAAAGTCTTTTATCCGTTTTGGTAATAGATATTTTTTTGAGTGCTTATCCATTTACATTTAATGCAACCACTAACAAGAGTTGTCTACTGATTTGCTCTTTGCTTTCTATATGGCATATGTTTTTTTCTTTATTAGTTTTACTTTTTTCTCTTGTATTAAAGGGATATTTTTATATCACTTTAATTTTCTTGTTTTGGATTTATTTTCTTAGAAGTTGCCTGGGGATTATAATTACCACGATCACCTATAATAATCTAGTTTAAATTAATGCCAGCTAAGTTTCAATTTTACCTAGAAACTTTGTTCTAGTGTATTTTTATTATCTTCTTCCTCTTTTGTGCTAGTATTGTAAGCTTTATACATTACAATTTTTCTTTACATTACATCTTTGTACAAGCATGAACACAGTTTTGTAATTATTGTTTCTTGCAATTTTATTCTTTTATCTTTTGAAAAATAAAAGTAACAAACAAAAATATATTTACTTTATATTTTTCTGTACCTATGTAGTTACATTTTAATGTGTTTTTTATTTCTTCATGTAGGTTTGAGTTTCTCTCTAATGTCATTTTATTTCAACCTGAAGGACTTCCTATACTCTTTCTTGTAGGTCAGGTTTAATAGCAATGAATTGTCTCGATTTTTGTTTAACTACAATTATTTTAACTTCTTCCTTTTTGAGGAATAGCTGTTTTTGTTTTTGTTTATGTTTTTAATTTTACTTTAAGTTCTGGGATACATGTGCAGAATGTGCAGGTTTGTTACATAGGTATATGTGTGCGATGGTGGTTTGTTGCACCTATTGACCCATTCTCTAAGTTTCCTCCCTTCTACCCCCACCCCCCAACAGGCCGTGGTGTGTGTTGTTCCTCTCCCTGTGTCCATGTGTTCTCATTTTTCAACTCCCACTTATGAGTGAAAGCATGCTGTGTTTGGTTTTCTATTCCTGTATTAGTTTGCTGAGGATGATGGCTTCCATCTTCATCCATGTCCCTGCAAAGGATATGATCTCATTCCTTTTTATGTCTGTATAGTATTCCATCGTGTATATATACCACATTTTCTTTATCAGTCTATCATTGATGGGCATTTGGGTCGGTTCCAAGTCTTTGCTATTGTAAATAATGCTACAATAAACATATGTGTTCATGTGTGTATGTGTCTTTATAGTAGAATGATTTATACTCCTTTGTGTGTATACCCAGTAATGGGAGTGCTGGTCAAATGGTATTTCTGGTTCTAGATCCCTGAGGAATTGCCATACTGTCTTCCACAATGGCTGAACTAATTTATACTCCCACCGACAGTGTAAAAGCGTTTATATTTCTCCACAGCCTCACCAGCATCTATTGTTTCTTGACTTTTTAATCACAATTCTGACTGGCATGAGATGGTAACTCATTGTGGTTTTGATTTGCATTTCTCTAATGATCAGTGATGTTGAACTTTTTAAATGTTTGTTGGCCACATAAATGTTTTATTTTGATAAGTGTCTGTTCATATCCTTTGCCCACTTTTTGATGGGGTTGTTTGATTTTTTCTTTCAAATTTGTTTAAGTTCCTTGTAATAGTTTTTCTTGATATAGAATTCCTGGGTTCAGCACTTTGAAAATGTCATCCCAAGTTGTCTTCTGGACTTCATAGTTTAAGATAAGAAATCAGCTGTTAATCTTACTGAAGATTCCTTGTACATGATTAGCCACTTTTCTCTTGCTACATTGAAGACTTTCTCTTTGTCCTTGGCTTTTAAAAGTTTAACTATGATGTGTTTAGGTGTGAATATATTTAAATTTATCCTACTTGAATTTTATTGAACTTCTTGGATATGAATATTAATTTTTTTCATCAAGTGTGAAAGATTTATGACATTAATTATTCACATACAAATTTTGTCCTTTTTTACCTTCTTTTTTGGGACTCTCATTTTGCACATGTTGTCCCAAAAGTCCCTGAGTCTCTTCATTTTTTTCATTCTTTTTTCTTTCTGTACATCCAATAAGGTAGTCTTAATCAATTTTCAAGTTTGGTGATTCTTTTTTCTGTCAGCCCGAATATGCTGTTGATCCTCTCTATTAAATCTTTATTATTATTTTACATATGGTGAAACATCTTTCTGATGTTTTCTTAGTTTTTTTTAGACGTGATTTTTTTTTTTTTTTTTTAGTTCTTTGAACATATTTATAATAGCTGATTTAAAATCTTTGTATCTTAAGTTCAACATCTGGGCTTTGTTGCAGATAGTTTCCAGTAACTATTTTTTCTGTTTATGGGCCATGTTTTACTATTTCATTGTATGTCTCATGATATTTTGCTGAAAACTGAACATCTTAAATAATACATATAGCAGCTTTAGAAATCAGGTCTCTTCACTAGGGTTTGTTGTTTTGCTGTTTGTTTGTTCAGTGACTTTTCTAAACTAATTTGGTAAAGTCTGTATCCTTTGTCTTGTGTAGTCCCTGAAGCTTCTGTTCAGCTGCTCAGTGGTTGGCTAATGACTGAACAGAGATTTCCTTAAAGGTATTAAATCAATAAGTCTCTCTGTCTTTGCCAAGTGGCTTTGCATGTATGTTAGGGCATAGCATTGATGTTCTGGTGGTTTACAATTATGCCTTAGCCTACACCTCCTGATTACGTAGAGCCAGAAGTGAGGATTTTGGATCTTTTCAAGACTTTCATGAGCATGCTCATGACCCTGGGCATGTACACAGCTTTGCACATGTTTGTGACCTTCTAGATTTCCAGGAATCTGTCAGAGCTTTTCATAGCCCCTGGTAAATACCTAATCCCTAGCTTTTCTTTTTAGTTTCTTGGCCAGCCTCTTGTTTGCCCCAACGGTTATCACTGCCTCAGGCAGCAGCAATGTTGAACAATTGCCTTTGACTGTTGTAGACAAATACCCCTGAAGAAAGAGCATGTTCTGAGATAGGTAAAATAAAGACAAGTCTTGCGAGAGGTGGTTTCTAATGAGCTACCAAACTGGTCAACTGACAACAATTCTTTGGAAATGGGACTTTTTGGGGAGCTCCAAATCTATTCTCTCAACTCAGTGGTCACTACTTTAAAGGTTTTCCCAGTAGGATGTAAGACACTTGGTTTTCAAGGTTACAATAAAGGTGGTAAGTGTAGGATGGAATTAGGGCAAGTTAAAACACCACAAAGCTTACTAGTCTTATAAAGATTCAACCAATTTTCTAAAATAAATGATCCCTAGATAGTTGAAAACTATTGGTTAATTTCTAGTTTTGATAAGTTGATTTTGATTTTTTTCTCTATTATTCTCATTGATTTTATGAAGAATAGGTTTTTGGGAGATCCTTATTCCATGATTCTGAAAGCACTTCCCTTCATAGACATTTTATGTAAAAAAGTATTAACATTTTTTTTGAAATCATGTCACAATGTAGTAAATGCTGAATTTAAAATATTTCTCATGAGATATATTCATAAACTCAAAAATGGACCTAAGTATATGTGGGAATTTAGAATATAACAAAACTGACATTTGCAATTTGTGGAAAGAAATTCATTTTTCCATAAGTAATATTGGAGCAATCACATACCTAATTATAAGAATATAAGCTAATATTGTGGTCTCACGTCTTTCATCAACAATAAATTCTGAATGCTTTATACATGTAAGAATGAAAAATAAAACCATAAATCAAAATAATTAACTCATGCAGAGAATAGAAGGATGGTTACCAGAGGCTGGGAAAGGTACTGGAAGGGTTGTGAGGGGAGGTGGGAATGGTTAATGAGTTCCAAAAAATACTTAGAAAGAATAAATAAGACCTAGTATTTGATAGCACAACAGGGTGATTATAGTCAATAATAATTCAATTGTACATTTAAAACTAACTAAAGGAGTATAATTGTTTGTAATGCAGAGGATAAATTATTGAAGGGATGGGTACCCCATTTTGCATAACGTGATTGTTACTCATTGTAGGCCTGTACCAAAATATCTCATGTACTCATAAATATATATATATATATATATATATATATATCTCTACTATGTACTCACAAAAATTAAAATTAAAAAATTAAAAAACTACAAATGTACTGAAAGAAACATGGGATTTTATTTAATTTTTTATCCTCTTGGTATTTAGAATACATTTTTATGAATGATAAAGAACAGGACCCATCAAAGGTTAATAAATTCAGCTATACACACACAATTCTGTAAGATAAAAAGTATCATAAATTCTAAGGACAACATAGTAAAAACAATGTTTTTTTTGTGCTATAAGAAAACTGGATGACTAGGGCAAGAAAGATGGGAATGGCATGTTTTTCACTGGAGATACTTTGTGCTTTTGAATGTTATGTAAAATATCACTTATTTTTGAAAAATTAGAACATGTTTTTTAAAATTATTTTTCAGTTTACATTTTTTTCTGTTACTTGATTATTATCAGTAATAGCAAAATTTAAAGAGTTATTTTGGGCAGGGTGTGGTGGCTCATGATTGTAATCCCAGCACTTTGGGAGGCCGAGGCAGGCGGATCACGAGGTCAGGAGATTGAGACCATCCTGGCTAACACGGTGAAACCCCGTCTCTACTAAAAGTACAAAAAATTAGCCGGGTGTGATGGCCGTTGCCTGTAGTCCCAGCTACTTGGGAGGCTGAGGCAGGAGAATGGTGTGAACCCGGGAGGCTGAGCTTCCAGTGAGCCCAGATTGCACCACTGCACTCCAGCCTGGACAACAGTGCGAGACTCCAACTCAAAAAAAAAAAAAAAAAAAGTTATTTTGCACATGACATGATTACTTATAAGCTTAAATCTGTTACTATAAATCTACTCAATTAAAAATCAATATTTCATTATAAGATCATGTCATACATATGTTTTTATGTCACAGATATATCATGTTTCCAAGTAGAAGACACAAAAAATGTCCTTCTATTCAGCATAATCTGTTTAAGGGTTTTGTTTTTTTTTTCCTATTTTTCCTCGTAAACTTTCTAGAGAAATAGATAGCACTGACTATCTATTTAGCAGTTAGAAAGTTAGTAGTTCCTGTGTATGCCAGGAAATACCAACAAGTTTGCCTCTGACACACAAATAAACAGTATGGTCTCTTGATCCAGATTGCTTTCTGTGGTAGACACTGAAACTACTCAAAAACATTCTGGTTTTCCTTCCATACCTACAGAGGGGCATATTTTCCCCCTCCATTTGAGGTTAAGCAAATTCATGTGACTTCGATCAGTGAAATGTGAGAAGTGTGTTACCTATGGTCAGAAACGTTAACTGCCATGTTTCTTTCTTTCTGTCTCAGTGATTGTGGAAAATGTGTCAAGATGGAATTTCCATTAACCAGGTCTCTGAATTACCAACAGGAGCATACTATGCTTGCTGACATGTAACATGAATCGGAAATGGACTTTTATTATTTTAAGCCACTGGGATAGAGAAGTTGCTTATTATTCCAACATAAACTCATCTATTTTGACTGATAAAAATTCAAATTTCAGCTCGTCCAATAAGCAGCTTTGTGACTTATTTTGCAAATTGATCCCAAGTAGAATACACAGAATATAATTATTTTTGTATCACTCCCTCTTTTCTTAATTAATGAGAAAAATGAAGAAATTGAGGCATAAGGGCATGTAACTAAGTGGATGAACAATAACTAGACGCCAGGCCTCTTCCTTCCAAATCTAGTGCTTCAATACCATATTAGCAGACAATTACTTTTCTAATGCCAAATAAGAGCTATTAGAAACTTTATTCTCAACAAGACTGAAGCGAAGAGTTTTTCACTCCTCATTTTTAGTGCTTCTGGAAGGTTTATAATGTATCAATGTCCACATAGGAACAGTGAGAACATCAGTCTCTAGTCTGAGTGTTACGACCCACTAACATTATTCAGATAGATTTTAAGTTGCACTGTTTTTAGGATGATTCTGAAATATATGATTCCATTTGCTATTGACAAAGTACATTTCCAGTTTAGTCAATTTGTTGAACTTCAAATCGTAGATGTCAGGGAATGCATCAAAACGTATTACAGAAAAGACAGATACATTGCTTCTTGCATCAAAACATTGTTTAGAGTGATTAGTTATACTGCAATTCTCTTTGAAGAGTTCAAGTTTCTCCCATTTCTAAGACAACATCCAGAAGTCATGCTATTTTAGCTGAAAAGCATGCAAACTCTTGTAAATATATTTTGGTTTATTTAAAAAATGTTAGAATTATACTAGACTATTTTAAATAATGTGATGTGCTGAAAACTATTTTAATTGTTTATTTGTACTTAATTGATGTGTTGTGGTATTGTATTTACTGTGTCATATGTGGTCTGACCCCACCACAGGGTGAGATATACCCCAAAGTAGGAAATGAAAATAAATGCGCTTTTTTCAGTTTACTGTAAACAGTATAGATATATTGCTTTTAAAAGTACAAGGTTGATAGGCAAAATGAAAAATGTTTATAAATGTTAAGAATACATATTCTAGGTGATGTCAGGCTAAATACAGAGACTAGTTTATTCTGTATTACACCAAATATCTATTGAGTATTTATTATATTCCAAGAATAGTTCTTGACGCTGGGGATAGAAGGGAAAACAAAAACAAACCCAGAGGTTGTGGAGATTATATGACAGTGGGGTAATGAAAAAATAGGCAAGGGCTGGGCACGGTGGCTCACGCCTGTAATCCTAGCACTTTGGGAGGCCGAGGCAGGCGGATCACGAGGTCAGGAGATCGAGACCATCTTGGCTAACACGGTGAAACCCCATCTCTACTAAAAATACAAAAAATTAGTCAGGCGTGTTGGCAGGCGCCTGTAGTCCCAGCTACTCGGGAGGGAGGCAGGAGAATAGTGTGAACCCAGGAAGCGGAGCTTGCAGTGAGCCGAGATCGCACCACTGCACTACAGTCTGGGCGACAGAGTGAGACTCCGTCTCAAAAAAATAAAAAGAAAAAATACTCAGACAAATAAAATATAATATAATATTATGTAGTGATAAATGCTAAGAAGAAATTTATAGCAGGGATAGAGAAGGGGTGTTATTATGAAAGGGTTGTCTCTGAGGAATTGACATGTGAGCGAGGACCTGAATGAAATGAATGAACTGTGGAGATGAGCTGGGTGACTACTCAAGTGAAGATTGTTTCAGGAAGCGGTTAAAATGAATATAATGGCGCCAAGTTGAGAGAGTGTTTGAGAGTTGCAAAGAAGCCAAGAAATTGTCATAAGCAAGGAGAAAAATGGCAGGAAATGGGAGTAGGGAGATATTCAGTGTCAAATCAGGTAGGATCTAATAGGCCACAGCAAAGATTTAGGATTTTATTCTGAGTGTTGGAAAACTAATGCAGGGTGTCTAGCGGCAGAGTGACATGACATAATTTCCATTGTAAGAGACACTTTGGCTACTGTGGGCAGAGCTGACTACTGATTCACCACAACAGAAGATTTCTTGGGGGCCCAGGTAGTGAACCTAAGAGAAAGATGGTGATGGCTTGGATTAAGCTGGTGTAGGGAGAAGAGAATACATTTTGGATATCACTTGAATTGAGATCTAACAGGATGGATTTGATGAATTAAAAGGAAAGCTATGAGAAATAGAGAGGAATAAGGGTGACTCCAAAGTTTTTCCTTAATAAATTAGATGTTTTATGCTGATAACTGCTGTGATGTGGTCTTCTAGAGGAAGAGTATATTTGACAAGGGGTAGGAGAGAGAATCAAGAGCTCAGTTTTACATTTGCAAAGATCGAAATGACCATCAGACATCCTGGTACAAGTATAAAGATTTTGAGGAGATGTTCATGCTGAAGATCTAAATTCAGGAGTCATCAACATATGGAATATGTTGAATCATTGGAGTGGACAGAACCGTCTAAGAATAAGGGACACTATAGCATTTCAAGACTGAGGAGATGTTAGAATTATACTAGACTATTTTAAATAATGTGATGTGCTGGCAATTATTTTAATTGTTTATTTGTACTTAATTGATGTGTTGTGGTATTGTATTTACTGTGTCATATGTGGTCTGACCCTACCACAGAGTGAGATATACCCCAAAGTAGGAAATGTAAATAAATGCTCTTTTTTCAGTTAACTATAAACAGTATAGGTATAGGATCCAGGGCACCGAGAAGGAGCAGCCAGATGGGTAAGGATATAAATCAGGAGAATACGTTGTATCAAATCTCAAGTTAGAGAAAAAGATGTAAAGGAAGAGGGAGTGATGACGTGGATCAAATGATACTGAGAGTTTGAACTAAGTGGGTGAAGGGAGTGTGGAAAGGGGTGGGGATAGACACAGGGCTGGAGGCTAGTTTTGATATATAGTATGGCATATTTGTGTGCTGAATAAATGATACAGAAGAGAGGAGAAATGATGACATGATGAGGTAGAAGACAGAAGAGATAATTGCATGAGAAATGTCCCTGAGTAGGCAGAAATGGGATCGTGTGTGAGAAGCTGGCCCATGTAGAATAGGGACAGTGGGCTCATTGAGTCATCAGAGAAGGCAGAGCACACATGGGTACAGATACTGGTGGATTGGAAGTTTTGGTGGCAGGAGATTGAAGGCCTCTTCTGATTCATTTGCAGTGGAATAAGAAAGAAGTTTATGAGCTCCAAATAAACATTTTGTACTTCTGTTTCCCTCACCAGACTTTTTGCTAAGGTCAGAGATCAAGTCTTCTCCATCTTTATATCACTAGCATCTGACCCAATGCATGGCACATATTAAATACCACATGAATGATTGTAAAACTCAAATGAATAATAATGTTTAAAAATTACTCTTGGCTTCACCTTCAGTTAATATGTTAAGCACATTTACATTACTATTTATTTTATTTAGGTAGAATTAAAGTATTTATTTATTTATAGGAAGTTGATTTTGAATATCTTACCTTAAAGTGAGGCTCTCATCCACTGACATTTGGTTTTTCTTTCTAGAAGTTTTTCAATCTAGAAGAGGGGATTGATTTTCTCAGGCCACCTAGGTGCTACACATACACAAAAACATTCAAAGATGTTCAAAGAGCCTACCTTTCTCACCAAGATAAATTTCCAAGTGACTAATATCATTATCAATGATGGTCTTGACTTTTAAAAAGTCAGGTGAAAGATGACATGGAATTTGAAAATTTGAGCTGTTTTGAAAGAAATACCAAAAGATAAAAAGTAGCAAATAATCACTGTATATCTTTTTCTATGTTGACTACTTTGAGGTTTCTCAAACAAAGGTTTCTTAATCTCAACACTTGACATTTTCGTCTGGATAATCACTTGCTGTGGGGATTGGGGGTGGGAGCGAACTGCCCTGGACATTTAAGGATCTTTAATAGTATTCTTCGCGTCTGTCCACTAAATGACAATAACACACCCCTCCCAAGTGTGACAATCATCAGTGTTTCTAGAAATTGCTAAATCCCTGCAGGTGGAATGAGGGAGAATCACTCTGGTTTGAGAATCACTACTGAAACAAACAAACAACAAAAGACAAGTTTCCCCAGGCTTTTGGGTGATTCACTCCAGAAACAGGTTATTATTTGGAGTAAAATTTTGGAGTTTTTAATCTAATTAGGGCATGGCTCTGAAGGTATTGTCCCAGGAATCATCACTGAGATG
Source organism: Homo sapiens (assembly GCF_000001405.40). Lineage (NCBI taxonomy): Eukaryota > Metazoa > Chordata > Mammalia > Primates > Hominidae > Homo > Homo sapiens. The sequence continues at coordinate 180,402,432 of NC_000002.12, forward strand.
ATCAATTCCTATTTTACATTCATAGAATACCTTCATCTTGGATACATTACAAAACATTCAAAGCTAAATACTCATTAGTTAGAATGTAGCCAAAGCTGCCATATGCAAGGGGAACACAGCTGCCAGAAGAATATTTCTCAGAGACAGAACTATGACCAATGGCGCTAATTTTAAAGAGAGACAGTTTGATTTGTGATAAGAAAGATGGTTCTAATGATTAGTAGTGACTAAAAATGGAACTAGCAGCCCCAGGGTTCCTTTTCAATAGACTCAATCAAGCCAAAGTTATATGGTAACATTTCAGGAATATTGATAAAGAAAAAGAAAGCATTGGTTGGATTTGAAATCTCATTCAGTCCTCAGAGTCCAGAATGAAAGGGGAGGCAATAGAACCACCCACAATTAAGTGGCATCAGACAAAAAGTATGTAATAAAAGGCAAGGAAACAATAATGGGAAGCAAAAAAACTGGATTAATGTGAGAATAAGGAAGTCCTCATCTTCAGAAAGTATGAGGGCATCTTCAAAAAGTTCACGGAAATGTATATTATGAAAAAACTATATATGGAATTCAAAATTTTCTTGCACCAAAATAAACTTGTGATAACGTGATTATAACATGTCTGACAAGATCTAGATTGAGGCACTAAGAAGAACCAATTTGAAAATAGCCCCTATCAGAGAATTAAAGCAAGAACAAACATCAAATTTATGATAAAGCTCAGGTTGAAGAATGCTGAAATCATTCAAACTTTATGAAAAGTTCATGGGAACGATGCCCCAAATAAATCATCAGTTTACAAGTGAATAACTTGTTTTCTGGGAACAAGTTAGGGAACAGACTAGAAAATGTCGAAGATGAAGCCCACAGCAACAGACCACCCACATCAATTTGTGAGGAAAAAAATCATTTTTTTTGTGCCCTAATTGAAGAAGACTAATAAAATTAATAGCATACGCAACAGCTAACAACATTGACAGTTCAATTGGTTCAGCTTACACAATTCAGGCTGAAAAGTAAAAGTGAGCAAACTTTCCATTGGAGGGCTGCCAAAACCCTTGTGCCCTGATTGGCTGCAGGCAAGAACAGAGCTTTCAATGGAAATTTTAAACCAGTGGGATCAATATCCTGAAGCATTTCTTTAATGAATTATAGAGGATATAAAACATGGCTCTACCAGTATGATCCTGAAGACAAGGCACAATCAGAGGACTGGCTACCAAAATATGGAAGTTGTCTAGTCAAAGCAAAAGTGGACTGGTCAAGAGCAAAGGTTGGCCGGGCGCAGTGGCTCACGCCTGTAATCGCAGCACATTAGGAGGCCGAGGTGGGAGGATGACGAGGTCAGGAGATGGAGACCATCCTGGCTAACACGGTGAAACCCCATCTCTACTAAAAATACAAAAAATTAGCAGAGCGTGGTGGCGGGTGCCTGTAGTCCCAGCTACTCGGGAGGCTGAGGCAGGAGAATGGCGTGACTCTGGGAGGTGGAGCTTGCAGTGAGCCGAGATCGCGCCACTGCACTCCAGCCCGGGTGAAAGAGCGAGACTCCGTCTCAAAAAAAAAAAAAAAAAAAAAAAAAAAGCAAAGGTCATTGCCACAGTTTTTTAGGATCCTCAAGGCATTTTGCTTGTTGACTTTTTGGAGGACCTAAGAATGATAACATCTGCTTGTTATGAGGGTGTTTTGAGAAAGTTAGGCAAAGCTTTAGCAGAGAAACCCCCAGGAAAGATTCACCAGAGACCTTTACCACAACAATGCTCCTGCCACTTCCTCTCATCAAACAAGGGCAAGTTTGCAAAAGTTTTGGTGGCAAATCATTAGTAATGCACCTTGCAGTCCTGATTTGGTTCCTCTGACTTTTTTTTTTTTTTTGCTAATCTTAAAAATTATTTTTAAAGGGTATGCATTTCTCTTCAGTTAATAATGTAAAAAAGACTGCATTGACCTGGTTAAATTCGTAGGATCTTCAGTTCTTTAAGGATGGACTAAATGGCTGGTATCATCACTTATAAAATTGTCTTGACCTTGAGGTAGCTCCTGTTGAGAAATAAAGTTTATGTTTTTATTTATGTCTTAAAATCACATTTCTTCATGAATTTTTAAAAGTCCCTCCTCATATTTATACTTCTCAGGAGAAGGAAAGAAAGAATTTAAATGTGTGATCATCTTCACTTTAAGATTCTCAGCAACTCTAAACTTGTGATCTGGGGGAATTCCTCAAGCTGCGTTGGTGGTACGTAAGAACTCTGCTCTAAATCCATCCCTATCCCTGCTTCTTTATGGGAGTTTGTGCCATTTTCAGGAGTTAATGCAATGGTCATTAGAATCTTCTTGGGGGTGCTTGTCAACCACACAGATTTGTGGGATCACCATACAGATTCCAGGTTCTTTTTTTTTTTTTTTTTTTCTTTTTTTGAGACGGAGTCTCGCTCTTTTGCCCAGGCTGGAGTGCAGTGGCGCGATCTCGGCTCACTGCAAGCTCTGCCTCCCGGATTCACGCCATTCTCCTGCCTCAGCCTCCCGAGTAGCTGGGACTACAGGTGCCCGCCACCAAGCCCGGCTAATTTTTTATGTTTTTAGTAGAGATGGGGTTTCACCGTGTTAGCCAGGATGGTGTCGATCTCGCAACCTTGTGATCCACCCGCCTCAGCCTCCCAAAGTGCTGGGATTCCAGGCGTGAGCCACCGTGCCCGGGCCAGATTCCAGGTTCTTAAATATCTCTGTGAGCTGGTGATTCTGCATTTTAAACACCTGGGAATTCCAAGGTAGGGGACCTAAGATGAGTCTTTGGGCAGCAGTGTTTGGAACCATATAGTTTAGTTTCCTATCTGGCTCCTACCTGAGCCCTGTGAATTTTGTAGTTTTTCCAAAAAGGAGATATTTCGAGAGAATAGCATGCTAAAAATCAGACTTCTACTAAATAATCTAATCTTCACTACTTGCATCCCTTTTCCAGAGTTGAAGTGGAACCAAAGGAGTATAGTAGTATTTTTCTGCAACTTTCAAGTTCACATTTATTAATTTTTTAATGTTAATTTTCTGGAGTTTGTATGTTTGTGCTTTTTTATAGCCTTTTCCATTTATAATTTGTTGTAATTTCCTTTCTTATTCTACATAAATGTTCCTTTTTGTGCCAAGTTATATATTTGTGATTTTATGTTCTTTTTCTGTAAGAGGCCTCCAAACTGTAGCTTTAGGTCTGACAAAACCTAGATCTGACCTTCAGTTATATTTTCTAACAAGTTTCTGTCTTAGTTTTTAGAGAAGTGAAAAAGTGAAAACTGTTTTCCTAACCCCTGAATTGTGGTCGTCCTCCTGGTAAATAATAGCCAGGTCATAGAGCAGATATGCGGGCCTTGGGAAGCTTCTGAAACAGCCATTTCTAACAGATTCTCCCAACATCCACCCGCTCCAGGATTTGAGTGCCACTGGAAATCATAAATAAATCTGCAATAAGAATTGTGTACATGCTTTTATTCATATAAGGTTTACAGTTTATTTTTGGATATTTTTATATACTTTTCCTGACTAGCTATTTTAAATGAGCCTGCAAAATACCACAAAATCAGTAAGGTATGGAGCACGCCTAGAATCCTGCTTTGTAGACTGTAGTAGTTATTTCCATCATAACACGCAAAAGGGACACACTGCAGCTTTGAACAAATCTGCCATTATCACTGGCAAAATTTTACATCCTTTACAAATGATACCAAGTAGATCTGCTTCTCAGGTAGACTACGATACACATTTCTGGCATAGAAATCAGTCACTGTGAACCTTTGAATCACATTCTGTCTCTGTCAGGAAGAATTCTAACTGTCAGGAATCTGTTACTATTTCGTAGGCAAAATGAAAATTGTATGATTCTGCCTTACAGGACTGAGAAGTGCAAAAATACCGAGAAAGAAGAATTTCACAGGAATAAGATGATGCTTCATAATGTTTTGTAACATTAGATCATCTTTCTTCCTGAATTCATTGCTTGCATCCTGGGTATGGCTGAGATGATGAGAATAAGATGGCAGTGAAGAAATAAAATGAAGGAACAGGAAATTCATGGTTGACGTTCAAACCTGCTAGTAAGTTATGTCCCTGACCAGTGCCTCCTCCTTTACTATCCTCTTACTTTTCCAAACAATTTAGTAATTCTGCTGCAGCATTTTGACTCTCCTTGGTTAAGATTTTCACAGCTTTGCCAACTGACATCAGTCACCTCATTCCTTACTCCACATTTCTGTGTTTTTCTTTCCCTCCTCTGAGGGGAAGTATCTCTTCTTGATGCTCTTTTTTTGCACATTTAGAGTTAATAATTTGTCCATGTTTTTGTCAATTGTACTTATGTGTCTAGAAATCTCAGGGAAGTCATCTACTCCTTAAAGAAGAGTCATTTTCTCTTTTCTTTTTCTTTTTCTCTGGTACATTGCACAACATCTACAATGTTAGCAGGGGGTCTTTAATCCACAGTGCCACTAGCAAAGCTGAGTAGCTGAATAACATGGCAGACGCTCCTGATGCTTCGCTATTCTTCTTAGAGAAGGGGAGAGAAAGAGGACATTAGAGGAGTGCTATATATGAAATGGTTAAAAAAAAAGGGCGGGGGGAAGAGTGGATGCAAAACTTAACGTAATGATTCACAAAAATAAAATAAGTTGCCTTTCAAGACCCCAAGGTTGCAAGATACCCGGAGAACTTTATTACTGTTTTTCTCTCTGCATCTTCCCATTCTCATCATGTGATTTGGCTTTTTTCAATAAGACCTATGTACAGCCTTTTTGCTTTCATACTTACTACAAAAAACATTTCTTTTTTTAAATCTGTTAACCTCTAAACTGATCTCCCAGTACGCTTTGGCCTCTTTACTGTATGCACTTCTTTCAGATTAACTTTTCAAAATCACTTTCCTGTTCAGTCCATTCCCCTGCTAAAGATTTCTACCCATTGGCAACCACCTTAGAACCTACACTGGGATAGGAATACAAAGATATCAGTGATGTAACCCTACCATTGTAAACTTAAATACTTCAATTCCAATATACCTTCCAACTAAAACTGGACTGTTTCCTGTTCCTTGCAATGTTCTGTCCCCAGGGCTTTGCCCCCCTATCTACCTGGAACTCTTTATTGTATTATTTTATAGACAAATCTCATCTTTCAGGCATCATTCTAAATGATACGCTCTCTACAAAGTATTAATCTTTTAAATTCAGATAACCTTCTGTTGCTTCTCATGCCACTAAGCATATTCTATCTGGTATTGGAGATATCTCTGTACTTGTTTTTATTTCTATAAGAGGACTATAAACTCTGTAAGAGCAAGAGTATTGTAACAATTTTTACTTGTTAGTAGTCAATGATTTACATAATACCATGTGAATATTAGACACTCAATTAATAATATTAATTTTTTAAGCTAACTGAAACATGAGCCAAATGACAGGGGCAATTCAGAGAAAATAAGTCAGTTTTATGAAATGCTGTTAAAACACACACACACACAAATACGTATATCTGATACACACACAAATATATACACACACAAATACATATATCTGATACACACACAAATATATACACAGACATTTATACAAATGTATGTATGTATATACACATACATATATACTATATACACAGATATATACTATGTATGTATGTGTATATACAAATATATACATATACACATATTTATATATGTAAACAAGAAATACAAAACAAGAGGATCTGGGACTTTCTGAAAACACTTTATCTCTGTTTGTTTCATGCACATTCCTAAGTGTTGTTCTCTATATTCTGATACTTCTACAACTCTTTGCCTCCCTTCTTTACCTTCCAAATTCATTTAGCACAGATTTCACCCATATTAACGCTTGAAGGGTCCCAAGAGGGCCCATGAAAAAAATTGTGGTAGTATTCATCCCACCCTCATTCCCCGCCCCCAGCACTGATGGAATTCTGCTGGATCTGGTGTAATAATTTTTGCAACCAATGATATACTCAACAAAATGTCATTCGTTTTAGACTAAAATACAGCATTATCCAAGTTCATAAAGGGCAGGCACTATGGAATGTTTTCTCTGAGGAACTAATGCTACATATTTAGCTGAGTTAATAAAGAAGCAGTATGGCCTAAAGAAGCAAAAACTTTATATTGTGATTGGCTTGAATCTTTTCTTTCACATCCTGTACCAGACAGAGAAGATTTACTGTGAAGCTAAAAATGTTTCGTTGATGTTTCAGGGCCCCATATTTGTATGGGCCCCAGGACAGGCCATAGCAATTTTGTGTTTGTAATTTTGTATTTTACTATTTTCAGCATTACCTTTTCCAACCCCTGTCAAGTTGTAGAAGCTTCAAGCCTCACAAAACATAGACTTGCGCCCATGTTATGACTTCCTCCAAGCAGGGTCCTGACATTGCTAATCTTCTGAATGAACAGCAGTTACATTGATAGAAAGGAGTTATAAACTTACAGCGCTTTGTTTTTTTTGATTGGGAAAAATTCCCATCCACTTCTCTTTCTATGCCTTTTATTCATCACTTGTCAGTACAAAAATACAACAAATAATAAAGGACACATATTTTCATAAAATAGCAATTAAACAATGTCTATTTTTATTTCAACCAAGAGTAGAGCAATAAGTTGTATCCGAAATGAGAGAAATTATTTCCATATTATGTTGAATAATACACATATCAGAGCAAAGACCATAGGAAGACAGACAAGGAGAAAACATAAGAGCTATTATAAGTAGTGATTGTGAGAAAACATATGCAATATACTAGATAAAAGGAGAATATCTCTAATAGCTGACAGACAGCTCCCTGGATCATTTGTGTTTCTGCACATCTTATAAATAAGGCATTAACTGTCCTTTGTTCTGGACTATGTCTTCAAGAATGTATGGATAGCAAACAACATTGGAAGTTATAGACAGTGTCTATCTCTGGAGCAAAAGGCAGGAATGCTGACTGTCCATTATAAAAACTTTGGGTTTCTTCCCTTTAACACAACTTACTGAATGTGCAGATGTCATCTAGCCCCATCGGCAACATCCGTGTGGGACTTGTAGGTGAAGAGAACTGACCCAAACATACTGATGCTCATGATGCTTCCTGTGTCCTGAGAAATAATGCCCTTTGTCTCTGACCCAGGAGTCTTGTGTCTTCTGCCTGCATCCATAAAACTATAGCAGAATGACTGTTAGTTTTCAAGTAGTGTAAAATTTCAAATCTTCACAGATTTTGACACGTATACAGTGAGCTTATGCAACTTAATAAAAACGAATAGAAAAGCAAACTAGTAAGATAAATATTTAGTAGAACATAAAAATGTAAACATCTATACTTTAATACCTTTACATCTTTACTCATCAGGAGTTATTAAATAATATTAAGATGTCATTTTGCACTCATCAATTGACAAAAACTAAAAAAAATAGCAATAGGAACCAGACGCAGAGAAGAGATAGACAAACAGATACTTTCATGTATTGCTGGTGGATGTGAAAAGTAATAAAACAGTTTAGAAAAGTTGTGTGTTTATATCTTCTTGGCCAGCCGTCCCACTTTTGAAATCTATCAAAGGGAATAAAACTCCAATGACTCTGTCTGTCTTTCTTTCTCTCTGTCTCCCTCTCTATATATACACAAGTATATGTGTGTGTATGTATGTATGTGTAATCTTTAGATATAGGTAGCTTATCCTTGTCTGAAATGGGATGCAATTATGAGAAAGAAAATATTAGATCACTATGTATTAACTTGAAAGGATGCCCATGAATTATTAAGTTACAAAATTACAAATGTAATATAAGAAGTGATTTGATTCTTCTTTTGAAAAAGAATAAACATAGTACATACATGTGTGTATGTGTAACTTTATTGTAATCTGTCACAATGGGCAAGTAAGGATTGAATATATTATTTAATCCAAAGGTAACTGCAAATTGACTTTCCTCTGGTGCTGTGGAAGAGATTAATAACTTACACTGAGCTAGCATCTCAATCTCAATAGCAGCTTAGTCAAAGCTGCAGTTAGGCTTTGGAATCAGACAGACTGGAATTCCTATCTGGATTGGACAGCTGACTGGCTGAATGAACCTGGGCAAGTCATTTGGTCTTTCTGAGCCCCTGTTTATTATCTGTTAAAATGGAAATAACAATAGTGTCTACCTCACATATTTTTAACTTACAGTTCTGTCATAGAGTCAATGATGGTATTGGTAATGAAATTTACCACTTAAAGTGGATATTTTATGTGATTCTCTTCTTGTCTTTTAAAAATAGTAGATAGCTCACTTAGCTGCCTATACAGAAATGATAATACCTCAGATTTTCTCACTATTTTTCTATACAAGCTCATCAAACAACAATTGAACAAAGGCCTTGAGGTGCCCAGAAAGCCGAAGTGTGCACATTGTTAGTGCTGTTTATCTTCAATGAAGATTAGAACTGCGACCATTAGATGGCTTAATGGGTGTGAAGAAAACCTTTAGTAATACAGCTAAAGTATCATTAGCATGTTTACAGTTTACCATCTGAAACAACTGTTATATTTTACAAATGAAAAAATAATTATCCCACACCTTCCTTAAGTAAAAACCATAGTTTCCTGTCAAATTGAGTGCAAGAAATCCCTAAAAAAATGTAAAAAGGCTGTTGTCCAAGTTTTTATTTCAATAACATCAGAGAAAATAAACCAGCTGAGCTACTTGTCATTTTCTTTAATTTCTCAACTATGGAGTGCTTCAGTGAAGGAGCTATTTATAACTCTCATTTCTCCTTTAAATTCTTACCTTGTAGCGATCTAGCTAGATTGGAGAAAAGCCCTAATTTTGTTCAGGATTGCATAGGCTGCCATCAAATCATGGTTTTGAATTAATCAAAAGTCTGATTACTCTCCCTGAAACTACACAAGTATTAATGGTTTCCTTGTCAGCACTTAATGAGAATTTTCTTTGGATTGATAGTCTCCAGTGCTTTGTTCATTCACGTATGTACAATTTTTAATCATCAGTTTAGGTAAGATGTGAGTATTTGTTTTCAAGTTGTAGAAGATAATGGGACTATTAATGTAACTTAAAAGTAGAATCTGGAAAGTTGGCATGCTAAAATATGAACATAAAGATGCTGGAATCTGGAAGCTCCATGTCTCAGGGTGTTGATATTATTGTGGAAACCAAATGAAATCCTACAGAGCAAGGACTATGCTATAGACACTGCCTCTATATTTCTAGGACCTAGAGCAATACCTGGCACCCAGCCCCAGGGGAAGAAAAGGGAGGAGGAAAACACTTGACCAAAATGCAGCAAAGCGAGACATTAGTTAAAACATTCACTTCGTGCTAGAAAGAAGTTGTGGCTTCATTTATGTGTCAGAGCTTCTGTTAAACATTTTCTAAAGTCAACATACACATGATGCTTTATTTCCTCTAAGATAAAATGTCAGTTTCCGGGAATAGAATCATGGTGAATGCCCCTTCTGTCTTATCCCTCTCAATCCCTTGTCAAGCGACAACTTCAATAGCTATTGAAAGGAAAGGCACATGTGCACAGAGAGTTAAAACATTTCTTACACGGTGTTAAGAAGGTCAGCAGAGATTTCAAGGTCATTTTTGCCTTCTATTTTCTTAGGACTCTGAGGAGAAAGATGATTTATGAAATGCATTCCTTTTCCATAAAGTGTGTTTGGTTTGGAGAGGATACCATTTAAGCATTAAATTAAATCATCTAATCATCATCAATAAAAGCCAGCTTTTAGTCACTTTTTAAAGATTTTTGAGCACTATAAAATAAAATCTCAAAGCTTTTAATTTCAAAATAAACAACATAATTGAAATAGTTTATTTTTTAATACATGAGGCTGTTTAAGAGGCCTAGGGGACCTAGAAATATTAAATGCTCTTTTCCAGATGGAAAGACAGGCAGAGGAAGAACCAGTGCGCAGAGAAGTCAGTAAATGAGATGGCATGACATAGCAGTTAAGACCACAGCCTCGAGAGCAAGCCAACACTTAATGTATTTCCGTTCTCAGACAAATCCCTTCACCTCTCTGTGGCTCGATTTTCTCATTCATAAAATGTACATAATGGTAGTAACTTTCTCTCAAGGTTGTTTTGATGATTAGATGATTTAATTTATATAAAGCTGTCAGAAATATGTCTAACACACATTAAATGAGCCTTTGCAGTTATAAAAAGACAGAAATATGTTGGAAATAAAGATAAATACCAAAATAGTAATTATTTGTTAAATGTGACAGGTTTATATCTCTTGCCTCCAAGCTCCCAGAAACAAAAGACAGGATTCTTGTAGCTCTTCCATCCAGTGAGTCCAAAACTGTGCAGATGGGCAATTGCTAGTACAGATTCAGGGACTTTAAGAGAAAGAACAGAATGCAGAAATCACAGCTGTGTCCAAGAGATGAATATTCCAGTTCCACAAATGGCTGTCCATCTCCCGGAGTCATTGTGCCAGTAGCAACTGTGGGCTCACTTGGAAAAGGAATGAGGTGGGCTGGGTGAGGTGGCTCACACCTGTAATCCCAGCACTTTGGGAGGCTGAGGTGGGCGGATCACCTGAGGTCGGGAGTTCCAGACCAGCCTGAACAACATGGTGAAACCCTGTCTCTACTAAAAATACAAACGTTAGCTGGGCGTGGTGGCAGGAATGTGTAATCCCAGCTACTTGGGAGGCTGAGGCAGGAGGATCGCTCAAACCTAGAAGCTGGAGGTTACAGTGAGCTGAGACCATGCCATTGCACTCCAGCCTGGGCAATAAGAGCAAAACTCCATCAGAACGAATGAAAAAGAAAAAAGAGAAAGAAAGAAAGAAAGAGGGAAGGAAAGAAAGAAAGAAAAGGAAGAAAGAAAAAGAAAGAAAGAAAGAAGAAGGAAAGAAGGAAGGAAAGAAAGAAAGAAAGAAAATGAAGTGGTTCTTAACCTGTGTTTTGTGGTGTTTGCTCATCATGACCCTGTCACCTGTGTGCTTCCAAAGTTGCAAAGCGTGACATTATATTTTCTTCTTCCATCAGTAATGGGTTTGCTTAACATCTGCCAGAGTAAAGGTTTAACTGAGCACACCCTATGTGTTGGCTGAGAGTCAGTTTCCAGTCAAAAAGCACAGTGACCAGCTTATCGGGAAGGTAAGTGTTGTTTGCACTTTGCCTTATGAGAGGAGCTCAGAGAGGGCAGATACAAACAGTGTCAGGGCTGAAGGGCAGCCTAGTACTTTGTAAGGCAAAGAACTGTGAGACCCTGTTATCTGACATTTATGATTATTTGGTTATCATTGACTACTTAATATTGTCTGAAGATTTTTAATTCCCTCAAGTATTTCTCTCTTGTTCCCACATACTTTCAAAGAGTACCAGGAACCCAGAGGTGAGAATCACTAGAATGAGTGCTAATGGCTTCAAGGTCATCAAGAATTATTTTTTAAATTATTTTTTATTTCAGTAGGTTTTTAGGAAGCAGGTGGTATCTGGTTAAATGGATAAGTTATTTAGTGGTGATTTCTGAGATTTTGGTGCACACATCACCAAGCAGTATACATTGTACCTGATGTGTAGTCTTTAATCCTTCACCCTCCTCCTGCCCTTTCACCCATGTCCCCAAAGTCCAATGTATCATTCTTATGACTTTGGGTCCTCATAGCTTAGCTCCCACTTATGAGTGAGAACATACGATGGTTGGTTTTCCATTACTGGGTTACTTCACTTAGAATAATGGTCTCCAATTCCATCCAGGTTGCTGTGAATGCCATTATTTCATTCCTTTTTATGGCTGACTAGTATTCCATTGTGTTTGTGTGCATATATATATATATATATATATATAAAATAGTATAAATATATATATAGTGTGTGTACATATATAGTATAACAGTATAAACAGTGTTTATAGTATAAGCAATGCCAGTGCTCAACTGGAGAATTGCTGTTAATTCCACTAAACAATATATATCATAAATATATAGTGAAATTATATGTATATAATTTCAACATATATAGTTGAAATTATTGTGGAAATCAAATGAAATGATATATATATATATATATATATCACATTTTCTTTATCCACTTATTGATTAATGAGCATTTGGGCTGGTTCTATATTTTTGCAATTGCAAATTGTGCTGCTATAAACATGCGTGTACAAGTATCTTTTTAGTATAATGACTTCTTTCCTTCTAGGTAGAAACCTAGTAGTGGGATTGCTGAAACAAATGGTAGATCTACTTTTTTTGTGGTTTTGATTTGCATTTCCCTGATAATTAGTGATGTTAAGCATTTTTCCATAGGCTTGTGTCACCAATAAATTTTTGATATGTAAATGTAGTCTTTTTGCATAGCTATGCAAATATGTATTATTATTTTATTTTTAAAATTGTCGATGTAAACATGAGGTAAAGTCTTTTTTTCAGTATCTATTTTCTCTTTTGAAATACTTACACAAATGATTGAGAAAAGGAAAACAATCATAGATCATTGTATTACCCTAAAAGGGCAAAGATTTTGGGATAAAGAAGGATGGGAAGGTAAGGGGTTTCCTAAATTTCTTGGCTTTTGCCTCGAATGACTATTTGTTAGGAGATTAAAGGTTTTTACAAAATGTGCCAGTGGCTGGGTGCGGTGGCTCATGCCTGTAATCCTAGCACTTTGGGAGGCTGAGACGGGTGGATTGCCCGAGCTCAGGAGTTTGAGAGCAGCCTGTGTAACATGGCAAAACCCTATCTCTACTAAAAATCAAGAAATTTGCCTAGCATGGTGGCACATGCCTGTAATCCGAGCTACTCAGGAGGCTGAGGCAGGAAAATCACTTGAACCTGGGAGGCGGAGGTTGCAGTGAGCTGAGATAGCACCACTTAACTCCAGCTTGGGAGAGCGACAGAGCGAGACTCTGTCTCCTAAATAAATAAATAAACAAACAACAGTGCCAGTGCTCAACTGGCGAATTGCTATTAATTCCACTATACAAGACTATGCCATTAATAGAAATGAATATTTTCACGTAGTGATATATTTTTAAATGATATTTATGGCAAACATCCGTTAGTTGACAACCCAGAGCTCTGGCATTTGCCATAACTTTGCAAAAAAAATTATTGTGCTAAACATAATTATGGTTATTTTTTCTTCAACGAAAAGCTTAGTACTGAAATTTGGTTATGTTCCAGAATCTAAATTTCTGTTTCCATCTGAGCAAGTCTACGAAGTAATTGGTCTATTTTATTAGTATAAAATTGACTGTATGGGTAACTTGAAATATATACACTGTACATACATGTCAGAAAAGTTACAAAATGGCAAAAATAATATGTTGTTCTTGCTTTCAGAGCAGGAAACAATGAAGTGGTGGGGGTGGGTGCTTGATGGGGTAGAAGCTTCAATTAAATGTCAGAATACTCAGGTTTCACTCCTGATTTAGAAACTTCACTGGAAACTGAAGCACATCGCTGAAGCTCATTAAGCTTCAGATTTCCCCTATGTAAATGGAATGCTAATATCTGATCCTATCATCCCAGTAAGTTTCTGTGAGGATCTTGTGATACGATGTATGTGAACACACTATGTAAATATATGGCAATATTCATCAAAGTATCGTCTTATGGTGCCCTATTCTCTTCTTGATACAAATATTTCATTTTCCCTGTTTTAAAATAGTCTTTTTTATTATACCAGGAATAAATGAATATTTTATCATCAGAGAAATACAAGCATTACCATAATATACATAAAAGAAAATGGAAGACCCCTGACTTGCCTGTCTCCAGATCTTCCTTCCTCTTTAGTGGTATCTCTATAAACAATTTAATGAGTTTTCTTTCAGAAATGTTCTAAGCATATATGTATGCAAGAATATGAAACATAATTTTATTTCATATAATTGGGATCACAAAGTTTATTTCTAACTCACAAATTTAGCTTGTTAAAACAGCACAAGGTTTTCCCCCCTCTGTTTTCCACTTAGGAAAAATGTGACACAATTAGCACTGCAGTTGTTTCAGGTAGAGAACTGATGGAAAAAGAAAGGTTAAAGGAGTCGTAGGAAAGATGGGACAGGTTTTTGTATTGCAACAAGGACAAAACCCATATACAAATGAATGTGTTTCAGTTCTCATAGTCATGAAACCCCATTGTGTTAACAAATGGGAAATAACACTTCATGGCAGCCAATCTAAAATAATCTCTATGTGATGAGTACCACTGGCAGATCCGCCAAGATGCACAGATTCTCAGTGTGATCACATAGATTTCATCGGTCACAAACAGAGAAAAGCTCATGATTGCACTGAAAACGATGGCAGTGGTGCCAGCCCAGAAATCACAGCTCAGGCTCCTGCACGATAGCAGACTATCACGCCTGCCACTTGACAGGTGTGCACTAAAATTTATGTAAAGCTTTTCTAGCCAAGCCATCAGGCTGCTAAAAAGAATAGTGAATGCCTTGAGCCTTGACATTTATTACAGCTTTGCCAGCATATCTGTCTTGTAGAGTGTGATTTGAAAAACGATATGTCTAACCATGATCTTAATAAGCTCATTTGTTCCAGGATCTCATTGTACTTGTGCTTGCTGATAGAAAAGGAGAGGGCCAACAATATAAATAAAGGAGGCTTCCTTGTGAAATGGCTGTACTTACTGCAATATGGAGACAGTCCTGATGTTTAACATTGCCAGTTGCCATACGTAAGAGAGGAATTACAGTGCTACTTTGAGACGTTTCATAACGGAGGGTCCAGTTCTTTAATAACCTTAATTTCAATCAATTTGCCACAAACACTGAAATTAAAGCATGCAGTAAATGTTCTGGTGGAGATGTAATATAATATAATAATATATATTATATTGTATGTAATTATATACAATATTACTAATATTAGTAAGTGATGTAGTTAGGCTTTGTGTCTCCACCGATATCTCATCTTGAATTGTAATCCCCAAAATCCCCATAATTCCCACATGTCAAGGGAGAGACCAGGTGAAGATAATTGAATCATGGGAGTGGTTTCCCCCAAGCTGTTCTAATGATAGGGAGTGAGTTCTTAGGAGATCTGATGGTTTTATAAGGGGATCTTAGTCCTTTGCTCAGCACTTCTCCTCCCTACCACCTTGTGAAGAAGGTGCCTTGCTTCCCCTTTGCCTTCCACCATGATTATAAGTTTCCAGAGGCCTCCCTAGCCATCTCTAAGTCAATTAATCCTCTTTCCTTTAAAAATTACCCAGTCTGAGGCAGTTCTTTTTAGCAATATGAAAATGGACTAATACAGTGAGGAAAAATTTCTTTAATTATATTTCAAAGAAAACTGAAGTTTTTTGTTTACCATTCATTTTTAAAAGACTAAAGATACTTTTCATGTATTTTTATTTATTATTGAAATACCCTTGGATGACAAAGATGGGACAAGTGTCATTCCCTGTTGATTCAGGAAAAGCAAAAAGAAGTCAGACAGATGCTTAAAACTAACTTGCCCCAGTGCCTGTACTATAGTTAGCAAACACATTTCTCAATTTTCAGTGTACAGTGCTTTTTTTCTGGATAAATATAAGCCTCAGCACACACCACCTGTATTTAAATACATTTATTTTTATAAATGCGCTTGTCTATTAAGATATAATATTGAAGCACAGATAATAAAATGGTACTTTAGAAAGCATTATTGTGTTATCAAGAAATGCAATATTTTTTTGTATTACAGAGGACTTGATCTTGCATTTCTTCTCCTTACTTCTATCAAAATAAATATTTCATTTAATGGAAATCTTATCCTCTTATCTTTTCTATTTCTTTATTCTAGTAAGTTCTTATGTCCTTTCCTGCCCATCTTTGTGCCTCTCAACATTATTTGTTTTCTGGTGAAAATAAATAACCAAGAACTCTAAAAAGACCCAATTAAGAAAAACTCTATAAATAAACAAAATTAGAGAGAACGGTAATACAGTGCAGTAGTCTATTTGCAAATGAATTTTAAAATCTAAATAAGATGAAATGAACAATTTTCTAGAAAATAGTAATTATTATTTTATTTATATAATTTTATTAATATAAAATATTTAAAAATATAATTAAGAAGAAGACATAAACTTGAACAGAGCTACTGGTGCATTCATAATTTTGGAGAAAACTGAAAATACCATCAGAGAATTACCTTCAGGAAGCAGATCCAATGAACAGACACTTCTCAAGACATACACGTGGCCAACAAATATATGAAAAAATGTTCGGCCAGGCGCGGTGGCTCACGCTTGTAAACCCAGCACTTTGGGAGGCTGAGGTGGGCAGATCACGAGGTCAGGAAATCGAGACCATCCTGGCTAACATGGGGAAACCCCGTCCCTACTAAAAATACAAAAAATTAGCCGGGCATGGTGGCGGGCACCTGTAGTCCCAGCTACTCGGGAGGCTGAGGCAGGAGAATGGCGTGAACCCGGGAGGCGGAGCTTGCAGTGAGCCGAGATCGCGCCACTGCACTCCAGCCTGGGCGACAGAGCGAGACTCCGTCTCAAAAAAAAAAAAAAAAAAAAAAAAA
The DNA here is from genome assembly GCF_000001405.40 of Homo sapiens. Classification (NCBI taxonomy): domain Eukaryota; kingdom Metazoa; phylum Chordata; class Mammalia; order Primates; family Hominidae; genus Homo; species Homo sapiens. The sequence goes on from NC_000002.12 coordinate 180,418,962, forward strand.
AAAAAAAAAAAAAAAGTCAACATCTTTAATCATTGGAGAAATGCAAATCTAAACCGTGATGGGATACCATGTCACACCACTCAGAATGGCTATTATTAAAGAGACAAAAAATAACAGATGTTGGTGAGGTTGCAGAGAAAAAGAATCATTTATACACTGTTGGTGGGAATGTAAATTAGTTTAGCCACTGTGGAAAACAGTTTGGAGATTTCTCAAAGACAAAATGAGCTACCATTTGACCCAGCAATCCCACTACTAGGTATATATTCAAAGGAAAATAAGTCATTCTACCAAAAAGACACATGCACTCATATGTTCATCACAGCACTATTCACATTAGCAAAGAAATAGAATCAACCTAGGTGCCCATCAACAACGGACTGGAAAGAAAAATGTGGTAAATATGCACCATGCGATACTACTCAGCCGCATATAAGGATGACATCATATCTTCTGCAGCAAAGTAGATGCAGTTGGAGGCCATTATACTATGCAAATTAACACAGGAACAAAAAACCAAATACCACATGTTCTCACTCATAAGTGGGAGTTAAACATTGAGTACATACAGACAAAAAGACAGGAGCAATAGACACCAGGGACTATTAGAAGAAAGAAGGTGGTAGGGGTGGAGAGGTTTACAAAACTACTTATTGGGTACTATGCTCACTACCTTGGTGATGAGATTTTTCATACAACAAATCTCAGTGACACAATTTACCCATGTAAAAAACCTGCACATGCAACCCCTAAACCTAAAGTAAAAGTTAAACAAGTAAATAAATAAGAAATTGATCCAAAGTATAGTACTTTTACCAGGCAATCATTTCATATTTTTCAAGTAACTGAAGATCTCCTTGGTAAATTTTCCCAGCATATTGAAAAGGATAGCATATTATATCACTTATTTTATGTTAATAGTAAAATTTGGTAGAGATGGTACACAGAAAGAAAATATTACAATACACTAGTCTCCTGGATACATACGAATAAATATGCAAAGTCCAAAATAAAATAAATACAAGTGAATTGAATATAGTACCATATTTTAAAATGCATTTTTCCTTTTCTTCTTTTTTTATATTTTTTCTTTTATTTACAACCAACCAAACCAAATAACATAGCTATAATTTTATCAATCTCAGAACTATAAATTTAAGTCAAACAGAACATAAAGATTTTTTTATATCAACTCATTTATTTTATTTTTTTGCTGGGGTAGAGGATGACATTTTATTTTTTATGTTTTTAAATTATACTTTAAGTTCTGGAGTATATGTGCAGAACCTGCAGTTTTGTTACATAGGTATACACGTGCCATGGTGGTTTCCTGCACCCATCAACCCCATCAAACTGTCACCTACATTTGGTATTTCTCCTAATGTTATCCCTCCCCAAGCCCCCCACCTCCTGACAGGCCCTAGTGTGTGATGTTCCCCTCCCTATGTGCATGTGTTCTCATTGTTCAACTCCCACTTATGAGTGAGAACGTGGTGTTTTTCTGTTCTTGTGATAGTTTGCTGAGAATGATGGTTTCCAGCTTCATACATGTCCCTGCAAAGGACATGAACTCATCCTTTTTTATGGCTGCATAGTATTCCGTGCTCTATATGTGCCACATTTTCTTTATCCAATCTATTATTGTTGGACATTTGGGTTGGTTCCAAGTCTTTGCCATTGTGAATAGTGTCACAATGAACATACGTGTGCATGTGTCTTTATAATAGAATGATTTATAATACTTTGGATATATACCCAGTAATGGGATTGCTGGGTCATATGGTATTTCTTGTTCTAGGTCCTTGAGGAATAGCCAGACATGTCTTCCACAATGGTTGAACTAGTTTACAGTCCCACCAACAGTGTAAAAGTGTTCCTATTTCTCCACATCCTCTCCAGCATCTGTTGTTTCCTGACTTTTTAATGATCACCATTCTAACTGATGCAAGATGGTATCTCATTGTGGTTTTGATTTGCATTTCTCTAATGACCAGTGAAGATCAGCATTTTTTCATATGTCTGTTGGCTGCATAAATATCTTCTTTTGAGAAGTGTCTGTTCATATCATTTGCCCACTTTTTGATGGTTTTTTTTTTCTTGTAAATTTGTTTAAGTTATTTGTAGATTTTGGATATTAGCCCTTTGTCAGATGGGTAGATTGCAAAAATTTTGTCCCATTCTGTAGGTTGCCTGTTCATTCTGATGATAGTTTATTTTGCTGTGCAGAAGCTCTTTAGTTTAATTAGATACCATTTGTCAATTTGGGCTTTTGTCATCATTGTTTTTGGTGTTTTAGACATGAAGTCTTTGCCCATGCCTATGTCCTGAATGGCATTGCCTAGGTTTTCTTCTAGGACTTTTATGGTCATAGGTCTTACATTTAAGTCTTTAATCTGTCTTGAATTGATTTTTGTATAAGGTGTAAGGAAGGGGTCCAGTTTCAGTTTTCTGCATATGGCTAGCCAGTTTTCCCAACATTTATTAAATAGAGAATATTTTCCCCATTGTGTGTTTGTGTCAGGTTTGTCAAAGATCAGATGGTTGTAGATGTGTGGTGTTCTTTCTGAGGCCTCTGTTCTGTTCCATTGGTCTATATATCTGTTTTGGTACAAGTATCATGCTGTTTTGGTTACTGTAGCCTTGTAGTATAGCTTGAAGTCAGGTATCATGATGCCTCCAGCTTTGTTCTTCTTGCCCACGATTGTATTGGCTGTGCAGGCTCTTTTTTGGTTCCATATGAAGTTTAAAGTGGTTTTTTCCAATTCTGTGAAGAAAGTCAGTGGTAGCTTGATGGGGATAGCATTGAATCTATAATTACTTCGGGCAGTATGGCCATTTTCACGATATTGATTCTTCCTATCCATGAGCAATTTTTCTTGATGAAGTAAAAGTATGTCTTACAATTAAAAAATTATTAAAATAAGCTGCCTAAATTGATTGAAAGAGAAAACCTATTAATAGTTTAATACTAAATGCATTTGATATATTTCAATGTCAATTTTTAAGCCCAGCTCAATTACTTCCTCCTCTAAGAAGACTTCTTTGATTTATTTGGGTGAAAGTAAGCTCTACTTTGAACAATCATATCACTAAATTTATTTTTTTTGTGTATAAAACCATTTACACTATATCTTATATTGTCAGTATTTGTGTATATACTATCATCTATTTTACTTAGCTATTATCTCCAAATAGTAGTGATTTTGTTGTATTAATTTCTTATCTCTCATAGCATCCAGGACAGAGTAGCTTCCTTATAAATGCTTTCTGAATAAACATATGAAATTAAACACATCCTACTTAAAATTATAAATGATAGAATATGTATAGATAGAAATAACAATTATTTGTATAGGCATCTTTTTTGGCATCATTTAATAATTGAGCACATCATTATATACCAGAAGTCAGAATGTAGCCTTTTGAACCACTTTGTCATCATGATACTTCTTCTTGGTTTATACATAGGAAGGGACTGGCATATTTTATTTCATGACAGGGGCTACAGTATTATTTACCCCGGGGAGATTTTTGTTATTTCTTTTTCTTTTTATGATTGGAGAACAGCAGAAAACTGTAGATAACGTAGTAATGCAATGAATAAAATTAATTTCTGTAAATTTTTGAAAATCATGAAGTTACATAATTACATTATGGAATTCTACAGTAAACTGAAATTCTTATAAAAATTATATAATGCTTTGCCTCTAAATAACCCAAAATGCTTTTATCTATGTTATATGATTTTATTTGGGTAAATTTATACACCGACTCATTTAATTATGAATCTTTATTAAGGAATTATAGCTTAAGGATAAATCCAAAGTTACCCATATTGTATGGGATTTACTCAATAATGCTCCCAATTAAAATGATACCATATTGCTTTGATCTCCAAATTACAAAATGTAGATATCTCTCCCAAATGTTTTGTTTGCCTCTGTGTGGCCATGTCATAAAGAGGTAGCCTGATGTAGTGGAAAAAAACCACAGGGTTTGGTTCCAGACAAAATCGGTGTCTTATTATTGCTCTGCCATTTATGTAGCTGGCTGAGATTGGGAATGTTATATAATGATACTGGGCCTTGATTTGTTTGTTCTCCCCATAGGAATAAGTACTTACACTGTATTTATGCTGAAGATGAAATTATATAATGAATCTGAAGACATGTACCAGGTGTTAAACTAATGCTAATTTTTCCCATTATGAAAGACCATGGGTCATTGGATTTTCTGTGCCTTTGCTAACTGGTTCTACAGGGTTTTATTTTTCTTCTGAGCATCTAGGGAAAAAAGAACACAAGTTCCAGGAGCTCAGGAGCAGGACTGTTATGTCCATCCAACAAGTTAACCCATGTTTGACAAGTAAAGATGCTCAATCAGTTAATGAAAAAGAAGAATGTGTGAAAAAATTGCTGAGTTTTTTTTCACTTTGTGCCCACCAAAAGATGATTTCTAAAAGTCATATGACAAAACATTTTTTTCATTGGCAATTTAAAATTCTTAAAATTTTTCAGTATCTCTTTGACATTCTCACTCCCCTCACTAATCCAAGTAAAACTCAAATTTAACTGCATGCATTTCTTAGGACTTGTTTATACACTTTCCTCATTGCTTTATATCTATTTTCTTCTATATTTATTCCTATCAATAGTATAAACCTAGCAGGATATAAATATAGGAATGTTTGTCTATTCTTTTCCTCCAGTTGCTGATCCAACCAGGCTATGCAAAATTTCCTTTTGTTGTCCCCTAAGGCTATGTCAGATAGATCGCATAACTCTTTGATCATTTTCAATTAATAAAATGTTATTTTTGGTTGAGCCCAGTTTAAGACATCTAGTTCATGTCTAATTTAATTATCCTCTCTTTTCTTTTTCCTAGGAATAGCTGAACTTCGTCCTGAGTAAGGGAGGGAACACAGTCCATTTTCCATTGCTCTCTCCCCTCTCATTTCTCACCCATTATCTCTTTTAGGAGAAAGAAGGTAATAAGAAATAAAAAGGATAGGCATTTCTTGCTTTTTCATTGTGATCCTCTCTTGGATGTTGCTGCTCCTCTAGTGAACCCTGACTGGCCATTGGTTTTTTTTGTGATGGCAAAAAAAAAAAAAAAATGCTTTAACTTTCATTGCAGGCACAGTTGAGTTCTTCAGGTACCTTATGGGGACATCTTCGTTACTGCTAAGACTTTTCCACTTTCCTTTTTTTCATATATACCCCAGCAGGGTGCCCCATAGCTTTTTGCCACTGAAGTTATTCTTCCAGCATGTGTTCATTTTAAATAGGGGTCCTAGGGAGTACCAAGTCTGGCTAATTTTTGCTACATCTACTTGAGCCACAGGAAACTTGCCAAGCCAAACGATGCAAGTAAAGGCTGCTCCACACTTGAGCTCTTCTCTGTCCTGCTATCTGTTTCCAATTCTTCTCTTTCCAGCTCAAACAGAAGCAAGGAGAAGATCCACAAGTTGGATGCTGCAAAATATTCTACTGAGAAATGAATTGTCCATGTTTACCAGCATCTCTAAACTCTCTGAATGATTCTCCTGGTCTCTTCCACCGTGATTCTCTGTAGACCCTCCTTCTGAATACAGTCAATGTCTCAGCAATCCTATGGCACCCTCCATCTCACATCTCTCTCCTTACTTTCTACTTAATTTTCATTGCATTTAGTCTAGGGTTTGGGAGCTCTGATATAACAGTTGAAAGTAGCAGAGCTAGTTTGGTTGTCTTCTAATAAATTCTAAAGTGGCTTTTCCCTCCTCCTTAATTTTGCTGTCTTCAGAATATATGAGTACTTGACAACATTTGTCTTGATTATGAATTCAATAACTAATTCTTGTGATATAGAGAAAGAAACTATCACTAATTTATTAATTTTTAAAAGTAGTGCTGTCTTTTCTTTCCACCATTTCCAATCAAAATGATGGAAATATAATTTATTGCCCAGATATCATTATGTCTTTTCTTTATTGAAAGTATAGGAATACTGAGGAGGTAGGGAAGTCCAAGAGGAGCAAATATGTACAAATCAATTACTATAACTATCAAAAGGTTGAGGGAGGGCCAAAAAACAACTTGCTGAAGCAAGACAAAAATAGTAATAAGGTGCCATAAACTTTAAGTGTTTATTGCTTCAGAGTATAGGTGGAACTGGCTTAGCTTCAACTAAACAGATGAAGCTGTGTGCTATTGTGCACTCAGTACCAACAGTAGTGAGAAGATAAAAGATAGACATGTACAGCCCATGGGAGGTACAAGAGCCCTCATTATAGCCCCTCATCCTGCCAAGAATTTACAACAGAACTCACTATGCTCTGCATCAACAAAAGACCAAGATTACGGCTAACCCAAACAGAAAGTCTATCAGTGGTGGGCTTTCCTCTGACCCAATTTTTCTTTGACTGATGACTTCATCTGGACGCAGGGAAGTGCTCTCCTGAACCTAAAGGATACTACTACAAACAGATGGTGACTTCTCTGCCTTAGACACAGAAATGCTGAAAAACACGTGGGATCCAATCAGACATAAAGACTACAAGTTTATAAAGTAGATTCAGGTCAAGATATTTAAAAATCTATATTCAAAAATTTTAAAAATAACAAATATTTTATTTCCTCTTGAATGTATTGGCACCAAATTAAGACATATATGAAGGGTACACAGTATATAACACGTCCAGAAATTATTTATATATTTTATATAGCAAGACCTTAAACATATATTTCAACCATGAAATTAAGTTAAGTTTCTACTATACTTTCAAAATGGAGAATTCTGAGGAACTTCTATTTTCAGATAACAGTCTTGGTTAATGATTTAAAGAGTTACATCATCAAAAAGTCAGATTAAAGCAAGAAAGAGGATCTAGGGGTCAGGAAGCAGAGGATCCTGCAGAGGAGAGAAGCAAAGAGAATTTTTAGAATGATAGTGAAAAGAAGGGCAACCATGTGTATTAGTGATAAATCAGTAAAGTTTGGAGCTGAGTGATACAGAGGGCCAGGAAGATAAAATAGAAAGAATGGCTAATTGTAGATACTATAGGGAAGAATTTTAAAATAAAGCAAAAAATGACCCACCAATACCTCTGTTGTGTATATACCCAAAGGAAATGATATGAACATTTTATAGAGCTATCTGTACCCCCACGTTCATTGCAATATTATTCACAATAGCCAAAATATAGAAACAACTTAACTGTCCATCAATGGGTAAATGGATAAAGAAATTGTGGTATATATACATAATGGAATATCATTCAACCTTAGCAAAGGAGATATTGGCATTTTCAGAAACATGGAGGACATTATGCTAAGTGAAATAAGACAGAGAGAAAAATGAAAAGCCCACATGATTTTATTTACATGTGGAATTTAAAGGGAAAGCTGAAAACATAAAACCAGGAATAAAATGGTGAAACCCTATCTCTACTAAAAAAAAAAAATACAAAAATTAGCTGGGCGTGGTGGCACACACCTGTAATCCCAGCTGCTCAGGAGGCTGAGGCAGGAGAATCACTTGAAAGCGAGTGGTGGAGTTTGCAGTAAGCTGAGATTTTGCCACTGCACTCCAGCCTGGGTGACAGAGTGAGACTCTGTCAAAAAACAAAACAAAATAAAACAAAACAAAACAAAAACCACCACAGATAAGGAATTTATAATTTGGACTCCTCTTAGATAAATTTAACAAAGAGATTGAAATGGTTTTTCAAAAATCAAGCAGAAATTCTAGAGCTGAAAATTCAATCGACATATTGAAGAATGCATCAGACATGCCAACGACAGAATTGATCAAGTAGAAGAAAGAATTAGTGAACTTGAGGACAGGCTATTTGAAAAGACACAATCAGAGGAGACCAAAAAAAGATTTTAAAAAATGAAGCCTGCCTACAAGATCTAGAAAGTAGCCTCAAAAAGGCAAATCTAAGTATTATTGGCCTGAAAGAGGAGGTATATATATACACATTATATATATATATATATATATATATATATATACACACACACATTTTATATATATATATATTAGAAAGTTTATGCAAAAGCATAACAGAGAACTTTCAAAACCTGGAGAAAAATATTAATATTCGAGTACAGGAAGGTTTTTAGACTACCAAGGAGATTTAACTCAAAGAAGACTACTTCAATATATTTAATAATCAAACTCCCAAATGTCAAGGATAAAGAAAGGATCCTAAAGTCAGCAAGAGAAAAGAAACAAATATACAACAGAGCTTCGATATTTCTGATCTTCCACTGAAGCAGACTTCTCAGTGGAAACCTTACAGGCCAGGAGAGAGTGGCATAACGTATTTAAAGTGCTGAAGGAAAAAAAAATTATCCTACAATAGTTTAACCAGTGGAAATACCCTGCAATCATGAAGGAGAAATAAAAATTTTCCCAGAAAAACAAGAGCTGAGGAACTTCATCAACACCAGACCTGTCTTACAAGAAATGCTAAAGGGAATTCATCAGTCTGAAAAGAAGTACATGAACAAGTAATAAAAAATAATCTGAAGGTACAAAACGCAATGGTAATAGTAAGCACAAAGAAAAACACAGAATATTGTAACACAGTAATTGTGGTGTGTAAGCTACTCATATCTTGAGTAGAAAGACTAAATCATGAACCTATGAAAAAATAATATTAACTGTCAAGATACAGACGGTATAATAAGATACACACAGAAACAACAAAAAGTTAAAAAGCAGGGGAACAAAGTTAGAGTTTCTATTAGTTTTCTTATAGCTTGTTTGTTAGTTTGTTTTTGCAATCAGTGTTAAATTGCCATCAGTCTAAAGTAATGTATTATAAGATGTTATTTGTAAGCCTCATGATAACCTCATATCAAGAAGCCTGCAACTGATACACAAAAAATAAAAAGCAAGAAATTAGACATACCACTGGAGAAAATCAGCTTCACAAAAAGGAAGACAGGAAGGAAAGAAACAAACAGGAGATCAGAAAACAACCAGAAATCAAATGACTAAATGGCAGGAATAAGTCCTTACTTATCAACAATAACACTGAATGTAAATGGACTAAACTCTCCAATCAAAAGACAGAATAATTGAATGTATAATAAAACAAGACTCAATGATCTGTTGCCCACAAGAAATGCACTTCACCTATAAAGACACTTATAAACTAAAAATAAAGGGAAGGAAACTGATATTCCAGACAAATCAAAACAAAATAAGAGAAGAAGCAGCTATACTCACTTTAGACAAAATAGATTTTAAGACAAAAACTGTGGAAACAGACAAAGAATGTCATCATATAATGACAAAGTTGTCAATTCAGCATGAGCATATAACAATTGTAAATATATATGCATTCAACATATGAGCACACAGATATATAAAAAAAAAGTTAGCAGAGTTACAGAGAGAGAGATTGACGCCAATATGACAATAGCTTAAGACTTCAGCATCCCATTCTCAGCATTTGACAGATCATCTGGGGTCTGAAGGATGGTGGCCCTCCTCTCACAGCTCCACTAGGCAGTGCCCCAGTGGGGACTCTTTGTGGGAGCTTTGACCCCACATTTCCCTTCCACATGACCCTAGCAGAAATTCTGTATGAGGGAGGGCTTCACCCCTGCAGCAAACTTCTTCCTGGCCATCCAGGCATTTCCGTACATCCTCTGAAATCTAGGAGGCAATTCCCAAGTTTTAATTCTTAACTTCTGCGTATTCTCAGGGTCAACACCACATGGAAGCTGCCAATGCTTGGGGCTTCCACCCTCTGAATCTATGGCTCATGCTGTATACCTTAGCCCCTTTTAGCCATGGCTGGAGTAGCTGGGATGCAGAGTACCAAGTCCCAAGGTTGCACACAGCAGGAGTCCCCTGGACCCAGTCCAGGAGACCATTTTTTCCCCTAGACCTCCAGTCCTGTGATGGGAGGCACTGCTTCAAAGGCCTCTGACATGCCCTGGAGACATTTTCTCCATTGTCTTGGCCATTAGCATTTGGCTCCTCATTATTTCTGCTTGAATTTCTGCCCAGAAAATAGATTTTTCTTTTCCACTGCATTGTCAGGCTGAAATTTTTCCAAAGTTTTAGGCTCTGTCACCTCCTGAGTGCTTTGCTGCTTAGAAATATCTCCTGCCAGATACCCTAAGTTATCTCTCTCAAGATCAAAGTTACACAGATCTTTAGGGCAGGGGCAAAATCCTGCCAGTCTCTTTGGTAAAGCATAACAAGAGTCACCTTTGCTCCAGTTTCCAACAAGTTCCTCATATTCATCTGAGACCACCTGAGCCTGGACTTTATTGTCCATATCACTATCAGCATTTTGGTTAAAGCCATTCAACTAGTCTCCAGGAAGTTTCAAACTTTCCCACATTTTCTTGTGTTTCTCATAGCCATCCAAACCTTCCAACCTCTGCCTGTTACCCAGTTCCCATGTTGCTTCTACATGTTAGGGTATTCTTATAGCAGCTCCCCACTTCTGGTACCAATTTACTGTATTAGTCCATTCTCATGCTGCTAATAAAGACATACCCAAGACTGGGTAATTTATAAAGGCAAACAGTTTAATTGACTCACAGTTCAGCATGGCTAAGGAAGTCTCAGGAAACTTATAATCATGGTGGAAGGGGAAGCAAACACATACTTTTTCACATGGTGGCAACAAGGAGAAGTGCCAAGCAAAGGGGGAAAAGCCCCTTATGAAACCATCAGCTCTTGTGAGAACTCACTCACTATCATGAGGATAGTTTGAGGATAACCACCTCCATGATTCAATTACCTCCCACTGGGTCACTCCTACAACATGTGGGGATCATGGGAATTACAATTCAAGATGATATTTGGGTGGGTACATGGCCAAGCCATATAAACATGCAAGTCAGTAAATATAACACACATATCAACAGAATAAAGGAGACAAACCATATGATTATTTCAATTGATGCTGAAAAAGCATTTATAACATTCAACATTTCTTCATCATAAAAATCCTCTGAATACTGCGTACAAAATGAGCATACCTCAACACAGAAAAAAACCATATATGACAGACCCATAGCTAGTGTCATACTGATTGGGGAAATATGAATATCCTTTTCTCTAAAATCTGAAACATGACAAGGATGTCCAGTTCACCACTGTTATTCAACATAGTACTGGAAGTCCTAGCTACAGCAATCAGACAAGATAAAGAGATAAAGGGCACACAAATTGGAAAATCAAATTATCCTTGTTTGAAGATGATATGATCTTATATTTAGAAAAACCTAAAGACTCTACCAAAAAGCTATTTGAACTGATAAACAAATTCAGCACTGTTGCAGGATAAAAAAAAAAATCAGCATATAAAAATAGTAGCATTTCTGTATGCTGACAGTCAATAATCTAAAAAAGAATTCGAGAAAGTAATCCCATTTACAATAGCTACAAATAAAATAAAACACCTAGTAATTAACTTAACTGGAGAAGTGAAAGATCTCTATAATGAAAATTACAAAACATTGATGCAAGAAAGGAAGAAAACCCAAAAAGGGAAGATATTCCCTGTTCATGATTTGGAAGAATCAATATTATTAAAATGTCCATAATACTTAAAGTAATTGATAGATTTAATGCAACATCTTGCAAAATAGCAATGATATTCTTCACATAATTAGAAAATACAATATAAAATTCATATGGAATCACAACGGCCAAAGCTATCCTGAGCAAAATAATAAAAACTGGAGGAATCACATTACCTGAGTTCTAATTATACTACAGAGCTATAGTAACCGAAACAGTACAGCACTGGCATAAAAACAGACACATAGACCAATAAAACATAATAGAGAAGCCAGAAATAAATCTGTACATCTACAGTAAATTCATTTTCAACAAAGGGGCCAAGAATATACCCTGGAGAAAGAACAGTCTCCGCAATAAATGATGCTGTTAAAACTGGATATTCATATGCAGAAGAATGAAACTAGATCCCTATCTCTTGCTGTATACAAAAATCAAATCAAAATGGAATAAAGACTTAAATCTGTGACTTCCAACTCTTAAGCCACTAAAATAAAACATTGGAGAAATGCTCCAGGACGTTGGACTGGGTGAAGATTTCTTGAATAATAATAAGCACAGACAGCCAAAGCAGAAATGGGCAAATGGAATCACATCACATTGAGTTAAAAAGCTTCTGCACAGCAAAGAACACAATCAACAAAGTGAAGAGACAACCTACAGAATGGAAGAAAATATTTGCAAACTCTCCATTCTGACAAGGAGTTAATAACCACAATATATATGGCACTCATACAACTCTATAGGAAAAAATCTAATAATCTGATAAAAAAATTGGCAAAATATCTGAATAGACATTTCTGAAAAGAAGACATACAAATGGCAAACAGACATATGAAAAGGTGCTCAACATCATTGGTCATCAGAAAAGTGCAGATAAAACTACAATGAGATATCATCTCATCTCAGTTAAAATTGTTTTAATCCAAAAAACAGTTCATAACAAACGCTGATGAGGATGTGTAGTAAAAGGACACCTCATACACTATTGGCGGGAATGTAAATTAATATAACCACTAGGGAGAACAGTTTGGAGGTTTCTCAAAAAACTAAAGGTAGAGCTACCATATGATCCAGCAATCCCACTGCTTGGTATATATCCAAAAGAAAGGAAGTCAGTATATTGAAGAGATATCAGCACTCCTATATTTATTGCAGCACTATTCACAATAGTCAAGATTTGGAAGCAATCTACATGTGTATCAACAGATAAATGCACAATCTACGTGTGTATCAAAGAAAATGTGGTATATATACACAGTGGAGTACTATTCAGCCCCCCAAAATAGAGATCTTGTCATTTATAATAACATGAATGGACTTGGAAGACATTATGTTAAGTGAAATCAGCCAGGCATAGGAAGACAAATGTCACATGTTCTCACTCATTCACTGTAGCCAAAAATTAAAACAACTGATCTCATTGAGATAGAAAGAGGATGTTTATCAGAGGTTTGGAAGGGTAGTGGTAGGGGAGGGGAATTGGGACTGGTTAATGGGTACAAAGATATAGTTAGAGAAAAAGAATAGATTTGGTATTTGATAGCACAACAGGGTGATTAAAGTCAACTAATTTATTGTACATTTCAAAATAACCAAAATGGTATAATTGGAATGCTTACAACACAAAAGATAAATGCTCGAGTGGACAGATTTTCCATTTATTCTGATATTATTATTATGCATTGTATGCCCGTATCAAAATATCTCATGTATCCCATAAATATACACACCTATGTACCCAGAAAAATTGTAAAACTAAAAATTAAAAGAAATTGCAGTGAGGTATATACATACGTCCGGAGATGAAATGTATAGCAGAAGTCATGTAGGGCAGGTTTTAGGCTTCACTCAGGAAGGAATTCAAGAGTGAGCCAGTGGTGGAAGGAAACAACTCTTTTTTTTTTTTTTTTTTTTGAGACGGAGTCTCGCTCTGTCGCCCAGGCTGGAGTGCAGTGGTGCGATCTCCACTCACTGCAAGCTCCGCCTCCCGGGTTCACGCCATTCTGCTGCCTTAGCCTCCAGAGTAGCTGGGACTACAGGCGCCCACCACTACACCCGGCTAATTTTTCTTTTTTGTATTTTTAATTGAGATGGGGTTTCACTGTGTTAGCCAGGATGATCTCGATCTCATGACCTCATGATCCGCCCGCTTTGGCCTCCCAAATTGCTGGTATTACAGGTGTGAGCCACCGCGCCGGGCCAGGAAGCAGCTTTAATGAGCAACGGTGTTACAGTTCCATGATTGCTGTGCAGAGCAGGGCTACACCACAGGCAATACAAGGAGAATAGCAGTGTTGGGGCAGTTTTCAGTCATTCTTATACCTGCTATTAATGACATGCTAATTAAAGGGTGGGGTATTTAGAAATAGCCAGAAAATGGGCTGTAACTTTCAGGTGTTGCCATGGCAATGGTTAAACTGTCATAGTGCTGGTGGAAGTATCCTATGCTGATGGACAGTGAGAGGTGTTTTCAGCGCCTCTTCTCAGTTTTGGGCAGTCTTCAATCTGATCTGGAGATAAGGCCCTCCTGCTTCCTACCTCAGAAGGACTATAGTTAGTAATACTGTGTTGTATATTAAAAATTTGCTAAACACACACACACAGAAAAAAAGGTAACTATAGAAGATGATGGTTATGTTAATTTGCTTACTTGTAGTAATATTTCACTATATACTGTAAACAAAGGCAAAAAAAATTATTAATTGGGGGATTATATAAAAAATGAAATCATATTACACTATATGATAGCTTTTAACATTTATTTAGTCATCATTACATTAAAATGGAATGTTAATCTAACCAAGAATTATAATGTAATAAATTGGATTCTGGTTGCGGGGAAATATATGACTCAAGGAAAAATAATGGTGAAAAACACATATCCTTATCAAACTTAGAAAACAAAAACATTTTTTCAATGGCAGCATAAACCTATTTTTCTTGAAAAATAGTTTAAAAATGAAATACTCAAAGAATTCCTAGTAGTTACATCTATGGGGCAAAACTGGGGGTATAGAAGGGATTTCTTGAAACAGTTGTTTTTTTATAATACAATTTTGAGAAGTATTGATGATACATTTTAACATAACAAATATAAAAAATAGCTTTGATAATAATGAAAGAAAAAAGTAAATATTGTTAAAAAGATTGGTAAAGAGACAGTGGACATGATTAAGTAGAGACAGTTAGTTGCTCCTATATATGTACTAACCTGTTCTTCCATGGTAATGGAAATTTTAGCTGAGCTCATAGTAGCCCAGAATAAAGATCATGTACGTCAGCCTTCCATGCACGTAGGTATAGCCATGTGACATCACTTGCCAGTGAGATGTAAGCAGCAGTATCCCATGGCAGTTTCTTGAAGCCTTCCTAAAGAAGTAGGGTGCACGTATCTTTGCATTTTCTTCATCTTCACTCCCTCCTTAATGTTCATTCTTCTCTCCATCCTGCAGCAAGGAACATGATTGCTACTCTCATGCACCACAAAGTTAAGACTATGCACAACTGAGAAATGAAAACAGAAAGAGCCTGCTTCTTGACACAGGGGTAACTCTATCTGCCCTAGATAATTTATCTTCTAAAATATGAGAGTTATATTGGTTTTTCTGATATTCATAGTTGAAGCTAATTTTGCAATGCTAATATCATTAAACTTGTTATTTAAGATTTAAAAAAATGAAATCAAGAATCAATGAAGACATACGAAGAAAGAGACTAAGAAAGAACTAATATAAAGCATAATAATCAAAGCAATGTAATTCTGGAGTTGGTAGAATCATAAAGCTATTAGAACGAAAGAAAAAGCTTAGAAATGGTCAAAGAGATACGAAACTATGATTTGAGTTATATTTCAGATTACTCGTTAAAAGTATAAATAATAGGCTCTCATAAAATATGAATCTATAATACATAAATATTTATATATCATATTTATTATATTTAATAAATTATACTGAAAGAGTAAAACCTTTTCTGGAACTGTGAGACTGAAAGTCAACTTAGACAAGAAAAGGAAAAACAGTTCTGCCATTTATAAGGCCAACAGTACAGATGCAGATAGAGTCAGCTCCACAGTTGACGGGAGCCACTGTTTCTCCTAAATTGATGCAGCATCTGTAAAATGCCAAAGCAACATCCTTTCTGGGTAGCTACTGCTTTCTTACTGACGATGTCCCCAGACAGCTGCTATGCTTGTCTATTACTGGGATACCCGATTGCTAAGCCATTCTTGCCCTCAATCCCTAGTTAATTCAGCTTCTCCAATCCCACTTCACAGTCACCACTCCAAAACTGATCCTTGATTCCTTTACATCCTCCAAAGTTTCCAGATGTTAGTCTCCTCCCTCCTGTGGAGAACAGCATACAGTCCTAAGGAATGCCTTCTCTCACTCTGACTCAATAAATCTGATTTTGTCAAACCATAGGCTTCTTCGTAGTACTGGCTGATTAGATTTTAACAATATACTACATATCTTATAGTTTATATATATATATAAAGTTGGAACTATTTTTCAACTTTTTGTCACACCTTTCGTTAAAAAAAATTCCAGATAGATTAAAACCTAAATATTCAATAAACCATTAGAAAAAAAAGACGTGATTATAAGTGTAAATGTAATATTTTCTTCAGGACAGATTTTTTAAGAAAAATCAGTACACTGATGTCTGAAACCACAAAGGAAAATGTTACTAGATTTGATTAAATAAATATTTTAAACTTTTATACGGTGGGGGGAAAACAGAATAAGGGAAATTAAAGGGCCATTTACAAATAGGAAAATATTTACAGCATATATTCTATAAAAAACTAATATGCCTAATGTATTAAAAGGCTTTACCAGTGAAGTTTTTTGAAAATCTCTATCTTTACTAGAAAAATAGACAAAGGATCAAGAATGAAAAAATATGATTCAAATAAAATATGGAAAATTCTCAACTACACTTATAATCAAAGAGATGTAGATTAGAGTAGCATAATTGTTCTCCCAAAAGATATGTTGAAGACTTAATTCCTAGAACCTGTAAATGTGACATTGTTTTAAAATAGGGTTTTTTCAAGTGTAATCAAGTAATCACTAGGGTGGGCCCTAATCCAATGTTCTTTTAGGAGGAGGAAATTTTGGACACAAAGACACACAGGGAGAATGCCACATTATGACAGAGACAGAAATTGGAGTGATGCAGCTGCCAGCCAAGGAACACTAAGAATTGCTGACCACCACCCAAGCCCTGAAGAGGTGAAGGTGGCTGCTCTCTTAGAAATTTCAAAGGGACCATGACCCTGTTGACACCTTGATTATGTACTTCTAGCTTCCATAACTGTGATATAATACATTTTCTTTGTTTTATTTTTATTTTTTGAGAGTAAAAATCACATATTTATTTATTTTTAATTTTTGTAACTTTTATTTTAAGTTCAGTGGTACATCTGCAGGTTTTCACATAGGTAAACATGTGTCATGGGGGTTTGTTGTATAGATTATTTCCATCACCCAGGTATCAAGCCTACTATCCATTAGTTATTTTTCCTGATACTCTCCCTCCTCCCACCCTTCACCCTCCAACTGGTCCCAGTGTGTGTTATTCCCCTTTATGTGTCCCTGTGTTCTTATTATTTAGCCCCTGCTTAGAAGTAAGAACATGCGGTATTTGGTTTTCTGCTCCTGCATTAGTTTGCTAAGCCACACTGTTTGTTGTACTTTGTTATGGCAGTCCTAGGAAACTAATACATGTAGTAATAAGGTACCACTTTTCAATTCTTAAATAAATTAAGATTAAGTTGATTTTCATACATGGCTAAGGATGAAGTAGAAATTAGTCTAATATTTATCTGGATCAATTTGGCCAAAGTTTATATATATTGACCCTCCTATTCTATTTCCAAGAATTCATCCTAAAAATGAGTGGAAATGTAGGCAAAATATACAGTGAAAGGGTATGAAGAGTGTTGCTTATAATAATGTAAAATTGAAGAATATCTAACATTAACATTAGCATGGTTAAATTCAATAGTCTACAAAACCACTCAAAATTAAAAATATTTACATTTATTGGAATAAAATTTTAACACACTATTTGGTGAATAAAAATTGCAGATGATTCCCTCTATGAAACATTGAAAAAGATGTAATCTAGTGTTAATATTTCCTATTATCTGCAAGACACAGCACAATGATTTTTCTTTCTTTTTTTGCCTATATGAATTTTCTCAGGTTGTTAAATGACAAATATGTACTTTTTGATTACATGCCAATTTTAATTCATTATTTTAATGAATGGAAACAACAGTTTAAATCATATGCTTTTTCCTTTAGCATCGGTTTGATTTTTTTTTTTTTTTTTTGCTTTTCAGTTAAAAAACTTTCAGCTATGCTAATTATATTTTCTGACAGGATATTAAGATTAAAGTTAGCAAATAAATATGACTAATACATTGAGCAAGCAGTTTTCACAAGGTATAATTGCAAAAGCAATTTTATTTTGTCCCCTCAAGTCTCTTCAAATCTAATCAATGGTGTTGGCCCCACCTTGACAACTGGATGAAATTTTTTCTGATTACTCTCAGGTAACTGAAATCACACGCACCTCACATTCTCAATTCGGTAACAAAAAGTGTCCAGTCCCAGATAAGAATCAAACTTTGATTTGATTTAAAATGAAATTTTTTCCTTCCCCTAATTGAGACTGGCAGTGGCAGAACTTGGATAAAGGAAAGCCTGATCTTGTCTTCCTCTTTCCTTTTTGCTGTGCTGTTTTCATTTTTTCCTTCAGGTTGCTAATGAGAGAAGTCTGGAGGGTAGAAGCAGCAGAGAGGCAAGAGGCAGGGAACAGGAAAGTTATTACCTGACTTGTTCTCTCCTAAGACACTTGGTGCTTTCTGAACCTGGCAATTATTTTAAGCTGACTCTTTCTAGGAAAGATATTCTTGGTTTCCTCAGATACTCTCACTGCAAATGTTTCCCTGCAACATCCGTCCACTCCTCAAAGTCTTTGCTGTTGATGTCCCAGCAGCTCACATCCTCTATGGGGTTCTAGGCAAAATGGTCTGTCTTACCACCCACTTAGGGATGGAGCATCTAATGTTTTCTTGTTCACCTGCAGGGAACAGTAGGGGTTTCATTTTAATATTCTATTACATATAGTTTATAGTTTCTAAGCCTGTGTAAGTTGATTATTAAGAGAGGGGAGCTCACAGCTAATGGCAGAGTGGCTAGCTTAGGAATCACTGTTGCTACCAATCAGAAGAGAACATCCTAAATTACTTGCAGGTTTGAACGCATCAGCTTGTGTCTCCCTTTAGGCTACCAAAAGTATCTTCAATAGATTTATTTATTTTATCCTTTCTTCAAATGCCATCCTCACTTCCTTATCTTCAAATTGTAGACTCGAGGATTTCATAATCACTGGTTTACCTTAACTCTTTTAAAATTCTTTTTTCCCCACTGTCCTACAATCAACTTATATTTGCTTATTAAAGTATTATATCGTCATGAGAAATAACATCTTAGACTTCTTGGCAGGAAGGTATTAAAGCAGTGGACAGGGATCCGTGGAATACATTCTCTCTTTTCATCAGGGGATGTTCCCTAAGGAAAGAAAAGGAGGTAGGTGACCCAGTCTAATCTTGTTGAATGGACATTTGGATAAATAGACTAATGCTATTTCCTAGGAGAAAGATACCTAATCTCTGAAATACCGTTAGCAGTATATACCTGATTTAGAATTACTGTACCTGTAATAGGTGGAACTCAGGATCTATGATACATGGCTCCTTGGAGAATGTCACATAAGCTATAAGACCCTACTAGACACGAAATGGAGACATATCATAGCTTAAACAGGTCCCGCTGTTTAAGGAACTCAAAAGCCCCCTTTCCAGAGCTTATCTATTTAGAGGTACATCTCACCACCCTTGATGTCCTAGACCTTGTTCTGCTTCACCTGGGATTCTTGAATCTCTTGTATTTTAGTAATTATTTATAGTAAAACTGTCATTAAGACCTCTGAGTCATGTGAATCTGATCTGATAATCCGATGCTGTATGTTAGCTCATTTCTTCAACTTATTTTAAAGAGGTTCATCTTAGTTTACCCTACATTAACAGCAATGAACTCTTTCCAGGAATTTTGTGCCTACTTCCAAAATATGGCATACTGATATGTTTTTGACTTTGACTTCAACTTTTCATGATCAGGATTATATTTCTATTTTGGGAAAGATATTCCATAGATGAAATTCCACAGTGAACTGATTACAAATGTTTCAAACACATAATTGATTTTTTATATCCATGGATGCTATTTGGACAATGAATGAACTGCCTTTAGTTTCTTACTTTACTCATTCTTTTTGTTTCTGTCATCTTCTTACATCTCTAGAATCATTTTAATTTTAATGTTTTTCATTTTCCCTCTCTGATATTTAAATTTTATTTGATATTCCTGATATTAAATCCTGTACACAAAGTTTTATTTTTATATTTTTTTCTTCCATGTTTAGACTAGTCCAGAGCTTGCTTCCTGTTCTTGTTTGGGGAATCTACTTTTTCTGGTTGATGTCCAATGACTACCTCACTTTATTCTTACCTCATTAGTCTTTATCTCTTTTCTTGCCATTTTAAAATGCTAATAATTTGGCTTTCTTTACTTAGGCTCTCCTCCAGAATCATCAGTGAGCTAACTTAATACAATTGGCATTAATATTCCTAATATCGACCACAATGCTAAGTGTTTGAAGAATTGGCATTCATTTTTGGCTAGATCTAATTATAAACACAGGCCCACTAGATATGAAATAAAATCAAAAAACATTCACAAGGCACTGTTCTGGAAACTGGAGAGTAGAAAGATTATATTATAATGGCTGTGGTAGGAATTGAAAAGGGAAGGAAGATACTAATCATTTTAAAAGGCAAAGAGAGAAACAAAAGAAATAGACACTGGTAGGAGAGGAGGGGAAAAGATTCCTTTTTGATTGGAAAAAAATGGGGAATTTTTCATGGAGGAAGCGTCACTTGAGCACTGAGGAATAGTACATGGGTAGAGTCCAGGGACAGGAGAGAATAAGAGGAAAGGGAAGGGAAAACATGCAGAAAACTAGCAGAAGAATACTAGAGAAAAATGCTGGATATTTAAGGCTCTTTAAGGGTCCTTAGGTTACTTCACAAAGAGTTGTCATAGATTGTCACATGTATTGGTTCTTTTCAATCAGAAAAATAAAGTTTGATCATTCTGCAAATATGATGAGGATTTTAATGTAAAGCAAAATTTTGCTGGGTATTTGAACAATCGTTGAGTCAAAGATTCCACCTTTGAGGGGTGAGGGTAGTTGTGTTAGTAAAAATGTGTAAATGCCCCTTGTAAATACAGTCAGCTCTCTGCCCTGCCCCTTTTCTGCTCCTTAACTGGCAGCTAACAGTTAATTTCTACTTACCTAGAATTGACTCGGGTGAAGAATGTATTCAATAGTATTTTCCTCCAAGGACCATCTTTAACATGATAATAGGTCAAAAGTTTATAGATTCTTGAACATTTTATTCTTATTATTCAATATCAAACTAGGACATAATCAAAAGCTTCATTAATAAGACATCATCTACAGGCCAGTGTTAAGTGCTAAACTTCAGAAATATGTCTCTGCTAAAATGAGCAAAACAAGCCAACAGATAGTAAAGGTCACAGACAAATTTAGCACCATGATTTTTTATAAATCATGTTTTATAAAATGCAAGTACAGATATTTTAGTATTATGGTTTTTACCACTAAAAACCACACCATTTAATCTGGACCTTTGGGAAATCCTGTGTACTACAGAATATGACCACTTGTCCCCAGCACTGCTGCCATCGTCCTGGACAAGTCCCCATCATCTCTCACCTTTATCATTGCAATAGCTCTGAACTTGCCTCCCTGGTTCTAATTTTGCCTCT
The DNA here is from genome assembly GCF_000001405.40 of Homo sapiens. NCBI lineage: Eukaryota > Metazoa > Chordata > Mammalia > Primates > Hominidae > Homo > Homo sapiens. The sequence goes on from NC_000002.12 coordinate 180,440,435, forward strand.
TTTTACTACTCATAACATCAACTGGAGTGATTCTGCTGAAGCCTGAATAAGATCCTGCCATGTCATCTATGCATGAAACCCTTCTAAATCTTCTCTGCTCCCTTAGAGTAAAGCCAATGTGGCCTAAAGGTATATATGACCTTCCCCTCCTCCCCATTGCTTTTCAGAACCTATTCATTACACTTTACCCTCCTTCACTCCTCAATGGCCACACTGGCTACCTTGCTATTTCTTACATGTGCCAGGTTGAATCCTGCCTCAGGGACTTTGCAATTGTTGCCTCCACCCTTGAGGGCTCTTCCCCAGGAGGAAGCCCAAATCAACTCAAGTTGTCTTCTCAGTGAGATCTTTTCTCAACACAGAATTTAAACATCACCATTTACATATCTCCATACCTACTCTTCATATCACTCCTCTGCTTTTATTTTTATTTTTAGAACTTTTTGCTATTTAATGTACTAGTTTTATTATTGTTAAATGTATTATTTCACTTTCTGTCTCCCTGAGTAGAATGAAGACTCTATGAAGACAGGGGTTTATATGTGTTTTGGTTGCTGCTGTATCTCTCCAGTGCCTAGAACAGTTCCTGGCACATTATAGATGCTAATTAATCTCTTGGATGAATGAATAAATTAATTTTATTCATTATAGAATCCCTGTTGGCATACATTTTGTATGCTAAATTATGGATAAAACATTTTAATTTTTTATTCATCCTACAGCATGGAGAATTATTTACAATTCAAACTTTTTTTTAAACTCCATGTAGTGCAAGGTTTTCAATACACTTTGGTGTAAAAATGTTTCAGATATGGAAAATATTTCTTAAAATTCAAAATCTTTTAAGGAAATTAAAAGACAGTAGAATTTTTCCTCTTTGCCTTCTGACTTGGGTGTTGATGTTCTAGCAATTAGAAACTTCATTAGTGGCCATATGGCCAAATGATCTCATTATGGACCTTTGAATTAATTTGCATTTTTATTATGCTTCTGCTTCTAAATTGTATGTACTGTGTTTGATCATTTGTGTACTTTTCAGAGAATTGGAGAATTCTTATTTTATTGAAGAATATATATTTTTAGATGGAACATAAGTAGTATGTGCATTCCAAATTTAAAAATTTTTTAATCACTAGATTATTAACAAAAACAAAAATAAAACCAAGTTATTTGTTTCATTGGATATGCCTCCTAACAATTTCCATGCACTTTTATGAGAAAACCTCTAATATGATAACATTATTTGTTTAGTACGTCAGTTTGGTAAAATTAAAAGAAAAGAAAACTATAAGTTGTTTGTGTCTTTAGGGTAAATTAGTAAGAGTAACATGGACTCCTTAATTCCAGGAAAGTCTCTGAACACTTCTCCCCAATTTCTCTATCACCTCCATACACACACACACAAATTACATATAAGGCCAGGAGGTACCCTCCAACTTGAAAAAAATAGAACAAGACCATCTGTGGTATGGGAGAGAACGGCCCTTCCTGTCCTTTAGTTTCTAGATCTGGCCAGTGACGAGGAAGTAGAGTATTAGAAAAGGTTTAATCATCTCATGGTTTGTGGGCTGTACAGGCTTTTGCTTCTGGGGAGGCCTCAGGAAACTTAAAATCATGGTGGAAGGTGAAGGGAAAGCAGGTACATCTTCACATGGCTAGCAGGAAAGAGAGAGAGAGGGAAGGGGGAGGTGTTACACACTTTCAAACAACCAGATCTGGTTGGAAATCTATTATGAAAACAACAAAGGGGACATCCCTTCTAAAGGGGGAACTCCAAAGGATTCAATCACCTCCCACCAGGCCTCTTTTCCAACACTGAAGATTACAATTTGACATGGGATTTGGGTGGGGACACAGAGTCAAACCATATCAGAGGACTTGGAGATTCCCAGAAGGAAAACAATCAGCCAGGGTAGGAAATTAATAAAATACTCCCCTCCCCTAGTGAATTTTACTATCCAGGAAGGAAAAGGATTGGGTTTTCCATGGGCAGACACAGAGATAGACTTTGAAATACAAAATTAGGGCTCAATTCTTGTGAGACAAAGAAAAGAGGAAGCAGGATTGGCCAGAGGAAGAATTTGAGTGTCATGTATGCCTGACGATGCTTGGGCCAACCTGTCATGGAGCTTCAAGGTATTATTGGTCAGAGTGACCCATGCCAGAGTGAAGTGTCTGGGCCTTTCTAGCCAGGGCTTACTCAGTCACAGAATGTGTCTCAGTCACAGAATGTCCTAAAAAGGCCATGATCTTGGGTGAGGCTTCCTCTCACACCTTCTCTTGGATCACTCAGTTTGAGGAAGCCAATTGCCATGTTGTGAGGTAGCCCACTGGAGAGGCTCACATTGTGAAGAACCTGAGGGACCACATCAGTAAGCTTGGAAGTAGCCCCTCTACACCAACACACACAATAGACCTTTCAGATACACTTGCAGCCCCCAGGTGATAGCTGAACTACAATCCTGGACAGGACTTGAGTGAGAGGCACCAGCGAAGCCATGTGCTAATTCATGATGCACATAAATTTGAGATAAAATTCTTGTTTTATAAGCTGCTAAATTCTGGGGATAGCTTGTAAGCAGCAGTAGATGACTAATCAGTTGAGGCAACCCCAAGGCAGCAAGTCCTTACTTGAAGGAGGATTTGGGTGGCACATCTCTATATCTGTCATAGTCTACCTGTTTTGTCATTTGTATACACATATATTTGAGTAACAGCTCCTCCAGGATTCTGGTGGGCCACTTTTCCTTAGGGGAAATAGAAAAGAAGGAAATTAGCAGAACTAACTACAGTTGCTCTGCTATGGTTGATCTCAGGACCAATATTGCTATTTACTTTATTTCTCCTATACTAGTCATTTTAGGTCCTGCACCATCAGGCACTATGTCTGCTGTCCTTGGTCATGTGTCTGGTAGCATTACTCAGACTGTCCTCCCCAAGAAGTCTGATCTATGGTTACCATGTCCTCCTCATGCCTGCACTGCTGGATCTGTCCATTTACACTTACAGTTGGGCAAGGGATTACTGTGAGGCACTCAACCAAATCATCTGAGTGTCACATGTATTTCTCACTGTCTCCACTGTATAGCAGCAGTCCTAACCCTTAATGATTTAACTCAGTTACTCCTGCTGATATGGTGACTCCTTTTTTCCCCCAAATCTCCAGACAACAGTCATACTAATAATTCTACAGAGCTTTTATTTTGTCCTCTGGTGAAATTGTGACCTTTTTATAGATCAGGGCCTTTAACTCTACAAAGCACCGTTGCAGGGACAGGAAGCACCAAGTTCAAGGATCTTTATTTACTGTAGTACAGGAGCCATTTCTGCTTCTACTTTTTGGTTCTGGAGCCCTTGCATTCTTATCAGACACACAAAGCTGCACAAAATCCTTTGATTCAGTGTGAATACTGCATATCCAGAGAATGGCACCCCAACCTCATAGAGCACTGCCTCTGATTTGGGCTTTAGCTACTCATTTAGCAAGCCATTCCAAGGCTCTATTAGACTAGCAGCATCTGGAGAGAGCTTGTGATACAGCCAGTGAATGTCATGGTATGGGCCCACAGTGGCACTTCCTATGTGGTAAATGGTCTTCTGGTCTGAGGAAGTGTTGTGTTAGATTACATATTAGTGGATCAGAAATTTCATAATCCCTCAGCTAGAATGATGACTAAGGCTTTTGGGCAGAAAAAGCAAATTCATGTCTGGAATACATGTTAAATCTAGTCCTGTGAGCATAAAAGAATGGCACTTCCATAATGGAGGTGGCTTGTACGACTGGTTGGACTCCTTGAAGAATGGTGTTGCATCAAGGGCTCCACACTGATATCTGGTGTTGGTAGGGTAGAAATTCAGCAGCTAAATTGGACTTCAAAGGTGGGAGTCCATGCATTGGCACATGCATAATCTCCTTTTCTGCCACTGTGGTCTCTTAATTCATTTTTTCTCTTAGTCAACACTGGGGAGGTTGAATACAGAGGTTGGCTGACACCAACTGCTTGAGTTATTTTGTGTACTTAGTTGATTAGAGTCTTCTGTGATTGATATTCCTTTGTAAGCATTGACATATGACATGTATATTCCCATTTCATGCCCATTCCCATATGCCCATTTCATAGACATCCCATATATATCCATCTAATAGACATCCCATATATCTAACACAGCCTCCTCATCCCCAAACTTTGTTTTCCTTCCATAATCCTGAAAAGTCAGATAGGCCTTTTACCATTGCCCAAGAGTCTGAATACATTATAACTTCACTAATTTTATCCAAAATTAATGAACAGGTACACTATACCTAATATGTTTTTTAGAAGTATTTTCCTTCTTCAATGGGTCATACAAGATCCCCCATACAGCTATAAAAATCAGCTGAGGGAAGGGTTCAGTGGCTGATTCCAACCCTGTTTTTGCATAGTCACTTTCATACTATGATGGGTTGCTCCTGGGTCTACACTAACTTATAAATTGGTGGGTCTCACAGGAGTTAACTAATGATGGACAGTTCTGGCCACATGTTCACTTGGTGAACTATAGTCAGGCATTTCATTTTTACCACAGCTCACTAGCCTGCCTGGAATTATTTTTCAAAAGATGTATAATTGTGCACTGCAGATGGCAAGACTTTGCCCTAAAATTTCAGGGGATCTACTTTGTGGTTCTTCCACTTGGACTTACCATATGACAACTTTTCACACCACTGATACTGCCTGCACCACAGAGCGAGCCAGATCATATGGTCCAAGTGCGAGGGCTGCCTGCACAGCAGTTTGGACCTGTTGTGGAGCTCTTTACTTCTCTGTACACCATTTAAGGCTGACAGTCTTTTATATCATTCTGAATATAGATGTGGAATGCACCAATTTCAGAGATGGAAAAAGCCTACCAGTGTGGTTCTTCTTTATCCACGGTGGATGTACAAGCTATGATAATTTGTATGTTACTTTGGAGAGGATGTCTTGCTACACCTCTAACCATTGAACCCCTAAACATTTTATGGTTGTGGTAGTCCCTAAAATTTATTTCCTTCCCTTTAGAGCACGCATGACTTATTGAGGCCTCACGTATACCAGCCACCGCTTGCTCATCTGGCCCAACCAATAAAAAGTTACCAGTGAAATGGGTCAGTTGGTATTCTACATGATATCTAAATTCTCCTACACACATGACACAGGGCCAGAGAACTAGGATAGTACCATTTTTGGTTATGCATTTCTATGACACTTGGGATATTGTATTGCATTAACTACCTCCATAACTCTTTTCAGCTCAGGTTCTCTTGGGTGCAACCCTGACCTGCCTAATTGTTATAATGATTACAATCCTTTGGTTTCGGAAGTTAAATGCTGCTACCTACTTTTATGTTTTTTGGGGTCCTGTTACCCCTGTTGCTGTCAATAAGCCAATTTATGTAACAAGCTTTCCTATTGTCAACGTTGACTTGAAAAGGAAAGCCACCATTAAACTTTCTGGTACACCTCTTATCACTGCATTCCTGTGTCCTTGGCAAATAGTGTGTCTTCTTGGCCTTCCTATGGAATGTAATCATGTGGTGGTTTTCCAACCTTATGTGATATATTCATTCCAGGATGCCCACTTCCCTGAGCCCTTGATTTCTTTTCTTCACTGTCTGCCATGACAATTCTGACATTTCAACTGATCTCAGAATGGATCATCATTTTTCTATGCTTATAGGAGTTATCCTAGTAGTGAATTCACACTGTAGTGGAATCTTTGCTAGGGTGCATCTGGAGAAAGCGTTCCAAAGTCGATAAGTGCTTGCTAGCTAATTTAATGTTCTGGTCTTCTTGATCAAACATCCTCAGAATCCACTTCTTTTCTTTTTCTTTTTCTTTTTTTGAGATAGTGTCTTGCTCTGTCGCCCAGGCTGGAGTGCACTGGCGTGATCTCGGCTCACTGTCACCTCGACTCCCTGGTTCAAGCCATTCTCCTGCCTCAGCCTCCCGAGTAGCTAGGATTACAGGCATGCACCACTGTGCCCAGCTAATTTTTATATTTTTATTAGAGACGGGGTTTCACCACGTTGGCCAGGATGGTCTTGATCTCCAGACCACGTGATCCGCTCACCTTGGCCTCCCAAAGTGCTAGGATTACAGGCGTGAGCTATCATGCCCGGCCCAGAATTCACTTCTATGCAAATTCTCCTGGCTTCTATAAGTACACATTGGCTAGGTATCACAACAACTTTGGGGTTTTCCCAGAAAACTCACACATTTCCCCCATCCACACATAACAGGCTTGCTGTGGTTTTACATTTAACTTTCTTCGAAATAAAGTCACTTATACTATTAGGTACTGGGTGTGGTTCTCAACTTTCTCTTCCCTCTGCTGTGCGTGAAGAGAAATTCATTGTATTTATGTAACCAAAGAGGTTCACTGGCTTTCATGCCAGGATTTCAGTTGGCTGTCATTTACCCTTTGCTGTATAGTTTCTTTCTGTAGAGCATCCATGGCACTTAGAAATAGTCACACAATTCCATTATCTTTATAGCTACTATTTCTTCCATATTTATCAAATACCAGATAGGCTGAGCCCAGTGTACTCCTTTCTACTAGTAAAACCTCCTAATTAACCTCCAGTGGAAGTTTTAACAACGGCTCTGCCACTTTATGCCACAAGCTATTGGTGCTAAACACCAAACGGTGGTGGTGTCTTCTTCCACATGGGTATGAGTGATTTAGCTTCAAAACAATCTTATTGCCTGCTTTCTCAAACCACTGCTGAGAGCAGCTGTTACTCCTGAGCCACTGAGATGGAGTCTGAGATGCCAGATGTTTATTAGAGATCAACACTTATGACAAGGATTGGAAAGGAGCACTTTTGAAAAGAGGAAGGGGCCAAATTGCAAAGCAGCTTGATGAAGTCTTCACCAACCCTGCAGAAAGTTCTAGAGTGAGTATTGTCCACATCAGAATTTCCTGTGTCAGGCCACAATGGCCAGGCCTTTATATCCCTGCTTTGCCCAGTGACTGGATATTGGCTGACTCCAAAAAGTTGACCCTTGGGCCAGGCAACTCTGCAGCTAAAGCATATCCTAAAAAAGCTAACGGATGAAGGCTATCTGTTGACTATACTTCTTGCAGTTGGGCAGTCTTTCTCTGAAGTGAGATCTGCGTAGCACATTTCCATGTATACTACAGGTAGGCTGGACTGTTAACCAGAGCTCAATAGTCAGATCTTAAGGGATGGTTGTTTTAAACCCTGAATTTACTTCTATTCAGGAAACTTGGCACTGGGGCAAGTGTTGTATTGTGGTAACAGTGATTGGACTTATAAGCTTAAAGCATGAAGGTTTAAGCTATGTTGCTTAAGCATGGAGTACCCTTGACCTTGAATACTACCAGAAGAAGTTGCATTCTCCTTCCTGAAGGAATCAACTGTGGTCTGAGCAGATATATGAGCCAGTAAGATTACTACTGGAGCCAATGGCAGGAAAGCATTAAAACATGCAGAACAACAATCTGTGAATATACTGAAAACTTTTGGATCGTACTCTTTAAATGGATGAATTGTAGTATAAGTTAATTACATCTCAATAAGATTGTTAAACAATTTTTAGAAGTAATTTTCAACCCGTCATTTCTTAACAGCCAAAAAAAGGCAAATCATCCCCAATCTGGCTTTCTGGGAAACTTTTTATAGCCTCAGATAATCACCTGACATCTGTTTCAGAGGAGGGCTGGTTGTTTCACACGAATTAAGCCTCCCAGTTAAGGTAGAGGCGAATGGAGGGGGGAAGGGGGCAGATACTAGAGGTCCTGTTGTTGTTGTTGTTGTTGTTTTTGGCATACAAAGTTTTCCAGAAATTACTTTAAGTATTAAAATGGATGTGATTTAATTTATATCCTAGGGTGGCAAAGAGGGTCAACCAAATACACGTGCTTATATGTTGGTCTTTTTGAAAACATCCTTGGAAAGTTGCCCTTTTCCAGAATGGCTTCCAAGGATCTATTCTGAGCTCTGTGAAGACAGTAAAAACATTCACTGGTGCTTTAAGATTGGTCATTCATTCAGTTGGTCAGTCATCATTCATTCAAAAATCATTTTTGAGGAGTCTACTAAATGTCAGGCGTTCAGCTGGCCACAATGAGTATAGAATTTATTGGGAAGTCCCTGCCATGATAGAGGGAAAGATATAGGAATTTAAAATATAGTGTATTTTGCTGTATTTTATAATAGATGCATGAAGAGAGTGCTTATGGGGGCAGAAAAGACTAAAGTCCTTTTGCTCTTTTGTTTAAATCACTTGCAATAAAAATTATGCTTACAAAAATTGTATTTGTCTTATAAAACTCCAATGGTTTCATGACAGTAATTACCTCTTCTTTTCCTTTCTCTCACTTTTCCCTTCCAGTTGCCTTCTGGGCTCTTCTAGGTCTACTTAAGAATCATAAAACCGGCTTATAGAAAAATATACTGACCTAGGTATACATTATCAGGAAAACACCAGACTAAGTAACCAAAGGAGAGACTGGGATCTTATGCTGGAAACTGCTTCTAATTAACTAATTGGATTATTGTGATCTTTAGGACAATATGTGTGACAGAAGCTTCAGCAAGAACCTGACACCTAATGAGCTCTCAATATATTTAGTGGGGAATTAGTTGTAAGGGTTCTGGGGGAAAATCTGATTTAGTGTCTGAGCAATGTGTCTGGAGGTATTGAGGATTAAACAGTGTCAGAATGGGAACAAAATGCATAAACCTACTGTAATTTTTATTCTAGGAAACACCTATTCCTAATGGAGGCAGAGGAGTTCAAATATGTGATGCATGAGGACACAGGATTTGAGCCATGTGAGGGTTTCAGGAAAAGTGAGGACTCTATCCTATGTACAGCACACTGACCACTCACACCCTTGTATAGCGCTGCTCTTGTATCCCACATATCTAGGTCGACATAGCAGCAGATGGTCAGTGCCCACAGTGGAAGATTTTCTTATTAAGGATTGTGGAAAATGACTCAGATCTGGCCAGCACAAGAAATACCTAATTCCCATTCCAATATAATTTGTGATCTAAAACTTTGCATAAAAATAGCATCAACTGCTTCAACACTAAAGTAATAATTATTAATAGCTTTTTAGATAGATTGTTAAAGTACTCATCTTGTTGCATTGCATATATTATTTTTTTCTTATCAAATATGACCTATATTTAATAAAATCTATTTCTCCTCCATTTCTGAACCACAGATGCAATACTTGCATAATACAGTGTAATGTAGCTTGTAGCTGCCAAGGGCCATAAATAATGCACCTTAGTAAAGCACTGTAATCAGGCTGCTTGTTGTGTATGGGCTGCTGCACACCAGTCTGACCACCCCCCAAGCTGCAGGCTATTTCTACTTGGGGGTTCAGCGTACTGAGAATGAGATGCCAGGGTTTTCTTGGGCATACCAATAGGTCAAAGCTAGGATCTATGGCCAAAAGTTATTATTTATTATGAAAGTGTAATGGGCACATAGTTTAGATAGAAGAGAACTTTGGTTAACAACCACATACATCACTTCAGAAATTAATGTGAATTATCATAGTTATCAAAATTTTTTAAAGGACAAATATTATGTTCTGTTTCAAGATTTGGGAAGTAGTTTGGTTGGTCTGCTGCCTAAAGTCGGTGAGCAGAACTGGAACTACATCTTGCCCTTATTTGAATTCACAAAAATCCTACAACAGTAACTGTATTTTTGTTGTGATTATTATTTTCAGATAGGAGTTAATGATGGGTATTGGAGCATATACAATTCAAAATATAATCACAACATATTGGAGACACACTTTATAAAATCCTCTTTTCTGCTAGTTTGAGGTTTACCTAAGAATCAACATATTCATTAATTACAAGATACGTAGTTCTTAAGTATGACTTTTTGCCTCTTCATCTGATTACCTGGTTTACCTGTTTGGGGTAAAAATGATTTACTGAATGTGAAAGTGCCTTAACATTTTTGCAGATAATTTTTCTTTGAGAAAGACTGCTATACTTTTGCCTGGGTTAGGCAACTTGTTTAAAAACTATAATATTATAAATATTATTTTGAGAGAAAATAACATTTGAAAAAGTTGAAGGATGAAAATTTATACTTACTTTCATAACTTTTAAATGATCATGTCTACTAAATATTTAGTAAATAGATACATGGGAAGTTGTCAGATAAATATGCTTTACATGCCTTTCTGGTTTATTGGAAAGAATATTAATAAGGACCACCAAATGTATTCCAGTGTTTTCCATTCCAGTTAATCATTAGAAAATGTTATGAACTTCTTTTGTTATTTGTATATAGCTGGCTAGAACTTTAAAATATTAGCTTTAAAAATAACGTGATGGAACCTCTGTTATCTGGATGATCTTGGAAGAAGAGTAATCAAGGTATTGAATGCCCTGGAATCCTTAAGATAATTCATGATCTCATTTTTCTGTTTCCACTTTTAATTCACCTGCAGCTTATTCCATTAGACAAAGTCTTCTGTCTCTCTCTGGCTTCTGCCCCAATTTGTTTTCATTTCTCTCCCTACCACTGTTCTCTTTTCCTTTCCCTTTGGCCTCTACCTTGACCCCTACTTTATTCCCAATGTTTGCTCTTCTATGCCTTCTACCCTTCCCAGCCTCAGCCCTGTTCAAATATTTTTCCAATTAAATAGGCATCAGAAATGCTGAGGAAATAGGTTTCAGTGCATCTACTACAGCCTGCCTTTAAAATCAAACCAGCTTAACTTGGGGAAAATTTTTAAAAGCATTTGTTTTTGCCAATGTACATGCCATTTTCTCCATTTTTATGGAAACTTGTTCCACAAAACCTTTTATGAACCTTGTTCATATGCAGTGGAAAATTAACACTGCTTTTAGAAAAGGAAGCGGAAAATACTATTTCAAATTTTGCACTTGTTAAATTTGTAAATTCAAGTTAGTTGAGTTTCTGTTGAAATGATAGCATAATCTTAAGATTACTTTTCTTTTTCAGAAGTGAGCATTTTGTGATCCTCATGTTGTAGACAGGCTATTAACTGCAAATATTTTTTCTGATTTCTTACAATGTATTGGTGTAGTGCTCTATTATGAATGAATTGAAAAAAGTATTTTTAACTATACCTCAGGTAGAAACCTTCTTTCTCATGAGAAAGACATACAGAAACAATTCCATTTTTTCCCCGTTACTTAAAGGTAAATTCCTCAAAAGGTGATAGTAAGAGATCACTTTCCAAAGTTATTATGAGAGTTATTTAGAAACCTCGATATGCAGACATAAGCTGTAAGTGATATTACAAATCAAAGAAGGTACAGTTAATTATGAAACAAATTATCAATGTTGCCATAAAAATGTTAAGAAGTCACACTATAGGTTTCTTTTTCTGTAAAAGGTGACAGTTTTGTTTGAAAAATATTTTGCTTCAAGGACTGATAGTTTTATTTATTATGGTGTGTTTATAGACTGTGTTTATAAATAGTATTTATAGACCATACTGTGAATGAAGTGAAATGATACCCCAGTGAGGCCTAACCTTTCAGAACATATATTACTTAATTCTGAGTCTTAAAGTCACAATAGTTTATCACTTACCCTACTGATATTTTATTAAACATTTACAATCATTTATTAAAAAAACAGGTTTTGTTTGTTGCATTTCTTTTTCAACTATAAAAAAAGATTCGTTTTGACATTTTTTTTTTCACTTAGATTCCCTCACTTCAGGTCATGGTTTGGCTGAGGAAGCTAGATAAAGCCAGGTTTTTAATGTAATTTTCAGATTCTTTGAAAACTCCCACCTCAACTGCCTGTTACTACATGTTCAAACCATAGTTTGTATGAGGTCATTGAAAGTTTTAAGTTAAGCCAAGCTTCTGTAATCATGGCAAAAATTAATATAAAGTATCCTAATGTTGTTTTAAACCTGTCACAATTCATAAAAATGTGAGACATGCTCACCAATCATTAACATATTTTTTCCTATAGCGTTATGCCTGAAAGGTCAGATTTGCATATGATAAAAGCGAAGGAGGCTGATTAAAGAATCCATGATCTTTCAAACTTCTGGATTCTAAAATCACACCAATCTGGCAACTAACTATTTGGCAATGGGATCATTGGGCACTACAAAGTTGTCTATATATTATACTTATTTGTCATGTTTATGAACACCTGTATCTCATGGCTGAAGGGATCTTGTCAACGTCACTGCATAATGAAGGGAGGCAGAGGAGGGGGAGCTGTTGAGGTGGACTCTTTAGCAAGGTGGGTTTAGAGCGGAGAGAACACGCTCTCTGGCTCTGAGACCTTGAGCATGTTATGTAACCTCCTTGCATCTTGGGTTGCTCAACTGTAAAATAGAAATGTAATAATAACTGCACCTTACAAGGCTAATTTAAATGAGACAATTCAAGGAAAGTGCTTAATACAATGCCTTGCCTATAATAAATATTCAATATATATTACCTGCTATTATTACTAATATTGTATTGTTGTAGTTTTAGGTGTTACTACCTTTATTATAGCATGATTTTCCCTGGGTAATACAGAGCTGAGTTAAAATGGCCACGTTCCAGGTATGGAAGTTTGGTTTAGATACTTATAACCTCTTATCAACTCACAGGAAGTTCAAGGATTAAAAAAAAAAAAACTGGCCGGGCGCGGTGGCTCACGCCTGTAATCCCAGCACTTTGGGAGGCCGAGGCGGGTGGATCATGAGGTCAGGAGATCGAGACCATCCTGGCTAACAAGGTGAAACCCCGTCTCTACTAAAAATACAAAAAATTAGCCGGGCGCGGTGGCGGGCGCCTGTAGTCCCAGCTACTCGGGAGGCTGAGGCAGGAGAATGGCGTGAACCCGGGAAGCGGAGCTTGCAGTGAGCCGAGATTGCGCCACTGCAGTCCGCAGTCCGGCCTGGGCGACAGAGCGAGACTCCGTCTCAAAAAAAAAAAAAAAAAAAAAATGCTAAGTACTTGGATCTGATCATTATACATTATATGTATCAAAACATCACTTTGTACTTTATGAATGTACACAATTATTATTTCTCAAAAAACAAAATTTTAAAAAGAAATAAAATTAACTGCGATGAAAGTTTCAACTTTCATTGCCGTGCTTCATGCTGAAGCACCATCTTGTTTGATGTTTTGTTGGAACATACATAAGAATATATATATATATATATATATATATATATATATATAGCTTCTTAGTCATTACATGAACTCTATTCAGTATTTCCTCCATCGGAAGCAGTGGAGAAGTTTCTTCAACGATTTTCAATGTGGTTTCCAGATCAGTAGCATCAGCAATGCCTAGGAACCTATTAGAACTTGGCCCCCACCCCAGACCTCTTGAATCAGAAGCTCTGGGGTGGGACTTATCAAACTGTGTTTGAAAAAGCCCTTCTGATGATTCTGATGCTCACTAAAGTTTGGGAACCACTACTTTATTGTTTTAAAATTTTTATTTATTTATATATTTTTGAGATGGAGTACCGCTCTTGTGGCCCAGGCTGGAGTGCAATGGCACAATCTCAGCTCACTGCAACCACCACCTCCCGAGTTCAAGTGCTTCTCCTGTCTCAGCCTCCTGAGTAGCTGGGATTACAGGCGCCTGCCACCACACCCGGCTCATTTTTGTATTATTTGTAGAGATGAGGATTCGCCATGTTGGCCAGGCTGGTCTCCAACTCCTGACCTCAGGTGATCTGCCCGCCTCAGCCTCCCAAAGTGCTGGGATTACAGGCGTGAGCCACCAGCCTGCCCGGGAACCATTACTTTAGTGTTGCCTGCAACAGGAAGCTGAAAATACTAATGGTTGTTATGTAGGAGTGAGATGAGAAAAGATCCTTTTAACTGGTGAAGATAATTCCTACTTTATAATCCCAGGTTTGGAGGACAAATTCAGCAAGGGAGTATTTGGCTATGGAGCAAGATAAAGTGGAGAACCTGGAGATGGGTAGGTTAGAAGAAAGTAAGGTAATGATTACAACAAAAAGCAGGGCTCTGTGATTGAAGAATCCTTGCTGTTGTAGGCTACCGCTGGAATTATGTCCGAGTAGTTAAGGCAACACTCACGGTACATAAAATGGAATTAAAGTAGTTGGTTTTATAGCTCCTGTTCTGCATTTTATTTGATTTAACATTTACAGGATTGTGTTCACTTTAAAGTGTTTTGAAATCAGAATGAAAATGAGCATGATAGTGAGGATAACTGGATGAGGAAATGAATGGATGGTGGAAGTGCTAAAAAAATTTGTAGAAATTTTTTCCTTCCTCAAAACTGAATCAAATAGAAATTCCTTAAACATGGTCTGGAGTCTAGGTGCTGTTTAGTCCTAATTTCAGCCCTACCCAATTAAATTATTTGTGCCTTTTATATGGAGCAATTAATTGACCCAAAGACACCATGTAGTGCAGTGAGAAGAACCTATGCTTTAGAAGTAAAACAGGTCTGGGTTTAAATCTCCCTTACTAGATATTTGATATTTAGGCCAATTACTTAAGAATCAGTTTTGTAATCTGTAAAATACGGCTAATATTGCTTACCTTTTAGGGTGGTGATTCCCAAAGATGGGGATGGGGCATAACTTCCCTTAGAGGGAGTTTTGGTAAACAGGATTGGATGAGCCTGTGGCACTTTAGTGGGCAGGGAGCGGGGGTGCTCGGCACTCCACCATGAAGAACTATGCCCTGCATTACTCTTCCCTGCTCTCCTTTCCAATGACTGCAAGACATTCCCTGGGTGAAAATCCTCTTTATAATTACCTAAGTCTAGAATCTGTGTTTTACCTAAGCATAGGTATTGTTGCATGGTTTTAATATTATCATAACTAGGAGGCAGTGGCACTGGTGACACTGGGTGCCAGTGTAAATCCATGTGAGTGGTTACTCACAGGCCAGGAAGTCTGTTTCTTGCCTGGAAATGCAGGTCCTGGCCAGCCTGAGGCCTGTCATGTGCCCACGGCAACCTCTTTTTCAGGGTGACGGTGACAGCATTCTGGGAGTTTCAAACTCAACCCTAGGACTCCAAGAGAAGGGGGAGACAGGACTCAGTCTGAGCTGGAAATGATGAGAAGCTTAGGAATTACATTCAACACATAGCTTCCCCGTCCTCGTTGAACAGACAGTATGCAGAAGGGCTTTGTTGCCTCTATTAGTCTTGTTCTCTGGCCACTGGTTTGGCCATCTGGTTGCCTGTAAAATTCTCTGGAGTGTTGCAGGTGTTACTTTTATGGTCCCTATGTTACCAGAATGAATTATTAAAGTAGAGGGCCTCAAGTCACTTTTTAGACTACAAGCTGAGTTGTCAGGTTTTGAGGTGACTATGGCGGCCTGAAGTCTATACCATCATAACCAATACATGAGTGTATCAGATTGGAGTGGTTCAATAAGAATTCTACCACTATTTTTAATTTCCACTCTGCTCCTGAGTTGTGACTGCTTCTCATGACTAGGATATCAGTAGTGTTATAGTCAATAAAATAAATGCTTGACTCCCTAAACAAAAATTTAGAAAGATTCCATGGACTAGATGGCATCTCAAAATATGCTGGCATTTATCCCATGTGCTAATCCTAGGTACTATAAAATAATTTCATAAGAACTGATGATGTATCATGTGCAATAATAGATATGTTTTAGGTCATCCTAAAAAAAACCTCTATATATACCCCAACTAGATGAAAGAATAGGTTAAACCCCTTATTTAAGGATTATATGAAAAGAAGTAAACAAATTAATTGACATTTCTTTAGATAATTGTAACTCATGCAGGTATTGCCACTTGCTTGTAATGCTGACTGGCCAGGATAATGTGTAAAACATAAAGGAAGCATCTCAATATTTTTTGATGAATAACAACAATGAAATTAGGTAGTCAAAGGCAGAGTGACATAGTATGCTAAGTTATCACATCCTGAAATAATAATTGGCCAGTGAATAGTATTAATCAATGTAAAACTTAGATATTTTTACTTACAACCTTTTTAAAATGTTACAATGTTGAAGTCAGTATGACCAGAAAGGATAGCTATGTCTTAGATATGCAGTCCCAAGATGGAAAAAGATCCTATTCCAGAAGTCACTTCACCTCTCAGGTTTGTTTGACTAGAACACTTTGAAAAACTGAAATACACACTGACATTTAAGAATCCACAGGCTTTCACAATTCTGTCAATCCTGACATTATATGTCTGTGAGGCAGAAATATTCCCTCCTCTCTGCCTTTTCAATGGTGCTTCAGTAGAAATACAAAGCCTAGGAAATTTCTTTAAAATATTCAGCTTTTTTTCCTTCAACTCTTGACTTGTCATACAAAGTATGTTTTTTCTTTTGTAAATATGTATTTTTCCTGAAAGCTAATTCCGTGTAAAGCTACATTCTGGATCATACAATCTCTAGTTTGTTATAGGCTCAGAAAGGAATGGACATGATTCCTACTGGGACTCCAAGTCTCCACACTCATAATTGAAATATATACTGTACATGGTTCCTTTGCCTTCAACATTAATACCCATCTGCTGAAATGGCAAGGTGCCTGCTCTCCAGTTGATTGGATGGATGCCCTGGAGCACAGGTGCCTGGCAATGATGGGTTTAGAGAAATCCCCAACATAACATTGTTCGTGACATTTCCTCTGCAGGACATCTCTCCTGGGTGTGTGTTATACAGAAGGCTCTCTCTTCCTGTCTGATGTCATGACGGCTGCTGTACATCTTCAGAAATTTCTGTTCATCATTAAAAGCAAAAGTCTCAGAACAACATGACATTTAAAAAGTGGAAACCATAATATTTTGATTCTTGAGGTCTAGTTTAATTTTTTTTAAGTGCTCTTTCTTGTGATGGAGTAGAATAGAGTAAGGTGGAGAAGATCTTAAATACCAATTTTTCAAGTCCAGGGTATTCTTCCAGGTACTATTTATTCATTACTTGCATTGTATAGTCCATGAAAGTCAGCTATATGAAGCCAAAAGCCATGCTATTGTAGCATACACATGGTAATATTTTATGAGACTATATGTATGTCTGTGTTAGGATTTAAAGTAAATGGCCATCTTTTGGTTATCTCATCATAAAAGCTATTGTGGGGCAAAAAACACCTTTTTTATTAACCAATATTATTTCTCTTCAGTTTCTCCAATTTCCTCATTGGAGTAGCTAGTTAATTCTATGTGCAATCCCTCAGGGGATAGGTGTGACAATCCAGAGAGAAAAGAAATCCCATGAGTCATCCTAACTTTGGTTTCCAAAAATCTAAACCTTTAGAAGATGAAAGAGTTTTCAAAGATTAGGCCATAAATTTGGGAGAAACACAGGAAAGAGTGTAGAGTCTCCTCTGCTCATTTTCCACTTTAGAAAATAATTCCCTTAGGTTCCATAAGGAAGAGATGGAGAAGAAAAAAATGAGATAGAGATGTGTTACTGGGCCTTAGCGGGAGCATTCCTGTGTCCATATCTTGGGCAAAGCCCAGAAATGGTATACAGCCTCAAAGAAAAAATGACTATGAGCTTCCTGCGGGTAACTGGGAGTCACAGAAACCTTTGCAGAGATGCCCACACCTCTAGGTTAACTGAGCTGAGGATTATTTCAGCATTAGCCCTTACCTTGTACCTAGATGATTAAAGAACCCAAGAACTCATGCTCCTCTCTCTTATCCTTGATTGCTTGGTCACATGAAAGCAGCCTGGAACTTTGATACAAGCTTAAGAAGGAATAATAGAAAACTAAATTCACTAAGCACGTTTATCTTGAGATATTTGCAACTGATTCAAGTTGTTGAATAATTAAATTATATTTGTAGTTCACTCAAGCATGTGTGCTGACATTTATATTGACTACACTATTTATATTGTGATTTATTCTAGAAAAGAGTTAAAGACTACTATACACCATGGAATACTATGCAGCCATAAAAAATGATGAGTTCATGTCCTTTGTAGGGACATGGATGAAATTGGAAATCATCATTCTCAGTAAACTATCGCAAGGACAAAAAAACAAACACCGTATGTTCTCACTCATAGGTGGGAATTGAACAATGAGAACACATGGACACAGGAAGGGGAACATCACACTCTGGCGACTGTTGTGGGGTGGGGGGAGGGGGGAGGGATAGCATTAGGAGATATACCTAATGCTAAATGATGAGTTAATGGGTGCAGCACACCAGCATGGCACATGTATACATATGTAACTAACCTGCACATTGTGCACATGTATCCTAAAACTTAAAGTATAAAAAAAAAAAGACTACTGTAAAACTTTTATAATTTTTTTTCTACTTTTGACTTTGTTAAAGGCAGTGTTTATGTACCCCATCTGTTCCACATCTGAATGAGGTACAGAACCCCCATTCTCTTCACTAGAAGCCTAAATCAATGGCCTGGTATATTGAGGTTCAGTTCTCTAATTATCAGGATTTTTTAGCTCAGTATTTTACAAAAATGACAAAAAAGATTTTTTGATATTATTGAGTCAATACACTACAATAATAACTCTGTTGGGTCTAGTTTGTATATTTATATGCAATTATTTGCAAAATCTATGTATTAGTTTGATTATCAGTGTCTACTTTCCACTTCCTCTTTGGATTAAAAATAGATAATAACTTCAGATCTTCTCACAAAAATTCTGTTTAGGAGAGAATCCCCTTGAGTTCCATGTTTCTCTTGTGCCACGATGTCTGCGTTTTGTTTCAAGGTTCTTATGCCTTTTCCTTTCCCTATGCCTTTTCCTCTCCCTCTTACGTACCCCCATTGGCTTACACAATCACACAAAGGATGACTTTAAGCACAGAACTATTCTTGATAGATTTTTGCAAAAGTCTTTACTTTCCCCAAAATGCTTTGTGTGCATTCTCAGTGTGAATGGCTGCCTGGTGCTACCACTCTGCCCCTTGAATTTGAGCGTCTTTTTCTTCTTATAGACCAATGTGTGCCTGCTGCCTGCTTAGCATTCTGAATGCACCATCAGTGCTCTGCAATGAGGGGAATGGCAAGGATATTTTAAATGTCTTGCGGGCAAGAGCCATTTTATGTGTATGGCCCAAGATAAAATATATATATACACACATATATATATATTTTCTCCATTATTTAGCATAAAGACACTAGTGGGTTAATAAAATTTAACATTCTCCTGCCACCTTTCTATTTACCTACTTTCTGTTTTTTAACTTCATGTCGAAAAGAAGATGGACGTATTTGTACCCATGAACCTGGAGAAAACCTCAGTAAAACCTGATTCTTGGCTGCAGATCTCTGCTCCCTTTACTTTTAATTGTTACTAAATGAGTCTGCCTCTGCCTGTGGCCTTATTGTCAATACTTTTCAAAAGCTGGATTTATCCCAACTACGAAAAGCAATTACTAATGTAATCAAAATTGTTGAAATCATTCTGATTATCAAATAACTTATGAGAGTTCTAAATGGTATTTTGGGGCCTCTTATTTTACTCTAATTTAAATGTGAGAAAAATAGAAATGTGGGAATAATTCCTAAGTCACTTATATACCATATAATCTAGTTATATAAAACCATATTTTAAAATACCCCTCTCTGTAACAGGAGACTTTCTGGGAATAATTATCATTGATTAACCTTTAGGTCAATTCGTTATTGTTAAATAACCAGCCACAGCTTCGTTTCATATCTTCAACCTCTGATTCTTCCAGCTTATACATTTTCAAAATAGCTAATTATTTGATAAATGCCAGATAATTTCTTCTAGTTATCTTGTGCTCTAACAGTAGAACAACACTTGAATATACAGATTCCCTAAATGATTTATCTCCCTCTTTGTATCTTTAAGTAAATAAAGAGTAGTAGGACATAAGTATTATCTCTTTTAATGTGATAAATGAGATATTTCCCAAATCTGTATGAGATATAATATTACATCAAAGCATTGTATTTAGTAAATTAATTATATTTATGTAAAGAAAAATATAAGTCATATTGACAATCTTTTTGGGTGAAAATCTGTCAATTTCACATGTACAGGGACAGTGTAAGACATTACATTTTTATCTACTATTACTGTCAAATTTTAAAAAGAACAAGACCAAGAAAAATCTCTATGTTTGGACAGTTTTATGCAACTAAAATGAAGCAGAAAAATAAGCTAATTGTGTGGATAATTAAGCCTAAATCATCTTGCTTGAAATATATTGTTGTGGCAAGTAATTGTTGCAGTGGTTTTTGGTTTTGTTTACATTTATTCTGCCAATGTAGATCTAGCCTTTATGTGAATCTCAGGAACAACAACAACAAAGTAGAGTCAAAATATAGCAAAATAGAGTTAGATTTATAGCATAAATTCAGCATCCTCTGTTTAGGCCGGGCTGATATTGCACTGAAAGCCTGATAGAGATTCCATGTTCATTTACTTCAGAATGCTGAATCAAGCTCAATGAAAAGTGATTTGTAAGTTGCTTATTCCGTGAACTTGAATAAATAGCTCATCAACTGATGTCTTACAAGAATTTCTTAACCAGCCCATTTCATTTGAAGCCGTGCTACAGCTTGTCGATTTCCTCCTCTGGATTATGTTGAACAGAAAATGTTGGAGTAAAAGCAGGCCATTCTACTTACCTGCGGAGAAGGACAGTCTGTTTGCAGAAGAGGAAAAATGTGACCATGGTTTTAACATACCCCTCTCTCTAGCTAGCAATACTGCCCTCAGAACTAAGGAAGAGAGACCTCTGACATAAACCCTGTGCTTTAGAGGATCTAGACCTGACTTGAGGTACTGGGGCAGCTCTTTACAGAGTCAGGTGTCCACAGGCTCAAGCAGATATGTCCACCCAGAGCTCATCTTCCCTCTTTCTAGGCCATGCTTCAAGTACTTGAGACCCCAACTCCACCTTTAAGACCTGCACAGGCTTCTGTCTCCCCTTCCCAAGTGTAGGCCATACTACGCCTGGGTGTGAGATGTGGTCAAGTGGAGGCAATTTTCAGGAGAGCTTGGAGACAGCTTGGACATTCAGGCAGGGGTGTCCTCGTACAGGACTGTGAGGTGCCTCATGGGACCGGAGGGAAAGAACCAATCACTGGCCAGCGACAGAGGCTCGGGGCCATCACTCCTCGTGCTGGACATTCTAGTGCACAAATCTGAGGAGACCAAAAATTTCTAAGTGTGAATGGCTGCTTGGTGCTACCTGGCCTTCCAGATTCCTATAAAGACACATTTTAAAAGGTAGGATGATAGACCTTTTATTTAACACTGTGTTCACTTGATTTATAACATTTAGATATTTAGGAATACAGCATATGGGCCTCCATTCGTACCCTCATTTCAGGCCTTCCAATGTTAAGGAAAGGCTTACCAGCTAGCCTCTATCTCTCTACTCTCCACAACCTAACTTCTCGTGGCTTTCTTATCTTGCTGCATCCCATTTGCTCATTCCCTACTTCTTTCCTCACCTGATTTTGCTTGGGCACCTACAACTTCAACACACCTCTTCTAATTTATGCTGACTTTTACTTCCTTGTTAGAAAAGTCTAGTGGGCAAGATGCTCAGTCCTGACTAGACTTGTTCCCTTAGCAGTGTTCAACATTGCTAACCACTTTCTCTTGCTTGAAACATTCTTTGTTCTTGGTTTCTAGGGCGCCACGGTCATCTTACTTTCCCCAATACTTCTCTGGCCATTCCTTCTGTCTGTCCCTTATTCAGTCCTCAGTGGTCATTCTGAGGCTCTCATTTTTTTCCAATTCAATGGCTTCTCTCCATGTCATTTCATCAGAGCTGTAACTGACTGACCCTTGTATCAAAAAGAATCTCAATATGATCTCTCTAGCTCAAACCTTTACTCTGAGCTCTAGGTCTATCTATCCAAACACCTTTATCACATTTCCTTCTCCTGTCTTATAGGTGCCTCAAAATGAATATGCCTAAACTGAACAATTGATCTTATCTCCCAAACTTGGACTTTTTCTAATATTCACTAGAACCTCATATTGTACAATTATCCATTCAGTCTTGTAAACCACAAACATAGAACTCATTTTTTACACCTTTTAACCCTAACCTCTCCTCTACGTACAATATAGGGCCAAGTTCTCTTGGTTTTAATGAGTTTCTAATATATGTACTTTTCTTTAGCTCCACATCAGACCTTGTCATTACCTACAGCCCGAGCCTCATCTAGTATATATCAACCTTCTACTTGCTCTGTACTAGCCCAGCCTTTCTTAATGTTTTTATCTCTGGGATCCCTTGAAATACTTCTTATATTTCAGGAAATCTATATAAAAATATTATATCTACAGCTCATAGCATGTTAGTGTGAACATAAATTGTACATAAAATAATGCATTAAAATTGTCAATGCTTTTTGAGTGAAGAATGATTTTTTTTTGTGGATCTGCTTATTTTGGCCAGTATATTCTCCTACTGCCATGTTGTTATACCTCTCTACAAGTGCTCTAACTCCAATGCAAGTCAGCCTGTAGGTAAAGGAAACTAGCTTTTTCTTTATTTAATAATTTTATGGTTGATTTAAAAAAATATATCCAAGTATGCCTAAATGACGTACTATAATTTTTCCTATTTAAAATGCTAATGAGGTTTATTATGTGCTATATTGAACATACAAGACTAATTGTACATTTTTCTTTATTAAAAGATAAAAGTGACCTTTTATCCAAATTTTACTTAAAAAAAAGTTGTTTATCTTACTGTGTTTGAAATTATCATTCGCTCATTTTCATAAATTAAAAAAAAATCATAAGACAAACCATAAGTTTCTTTTAAATAATTGGTTTGGGCCAAAATGGGATTTAATTTTTCTGAGAATTGGCTTTGTAAATTTCACTTAAATAAATATTATAAACTGATTTTAATTAATGTTATTTCAACATGAAAATTTACTGGCAATGTTGAATAGTAAGGCTCTCAAAACTGTAAGAAAGAACTATGAATAAAAATATAGCTTATGCACCATTTTATATAAGACTTTGAAAACATTTTCCTACTGAGCCACATATCAGGCAAAAATATAGGCCTAGACAGTTAATAAAACTTTTATATATGTACATTAGTTTCTTGATCTCTGTTATAGGCCTACACATGCATAGACTAAAATAATGGAAAACACGTGCTTGCTTTTCATTTCAGAAATATTAAAAAATGAAGTTCTTAGACTCAGCACGAGTGTCAGAGAAAGGGCCCTCACCTAGCCAGGTACTTGTGTTGAATGGGATGGGAAAAAAAGGCCATTTTGTTCTGTGGTTATTCCAGGTGGATTTCAGTAAGACTAGAGACTGACTGATAACCTTTCTCACTCTCAAATCCAAGCAGCATGGGAAACATTTCAAGGTTTCCTGTTTCAACATGATTGTTTCTAATGATTCTGTTTCTTTTAAAGCCAAACATCTTGTCACTTGACATCAAAACATTTTCTTCAGGACCTTGCAGAGACTTGTCCAACTGATTCATGAGATGAAAAATGTTTGCTAAGCAGGTTAGTGTCTGCAGCTATTCTTCATCATACAAGCCCTTAATAAAATCTGGCCTCTGTGTTCTTTCTGCAAGTGTTCCTGCAATTTAGCTTTCAGTTCAAACTCCCTACAGAGAACTCCTTCTCTATTAAGTATATGGATTTCTGTAGGGAGCAGACTTATGATGTCTTTGATCAGTTTTCTAAAAATTATTGAGTGAACTGGTCTTGTTTAATAAAGTTAACCATTTTAATAGCATCGCATAGGACTTTTTAATTTCATGTTGAGGAGTTTTTGAAGAAGCATCTTTCAGTAAAGAAGGCAATGAATATGACAACATTGGGATTTTCATTTTTTTCACAATAGGTGCATGGTGCTATCAGCATAGATGCCAACACGGTCCTCTTAGACAGGCCTTTTGTTTCCACATATGATGGCACAACATTAAATAGATCTTGGCATTTGCTGTTTGGGTAAGATAGATACAGTAGAAAAAAGTTTTCTTGGATTTCACCACCATTTAGAAATGATACAAATGCTACAACAAGACACTTATTGATGAAATCTGTTGAGTCGTCAACCTGCATTGGTAAGATGTGCAGTTTATTACCCCAAAGTTCTTCTCATCCTGTGGCATGTCAACAATATGATAACTTAGCATACCATGTAATACAGAACCTTTTCAAATTATCATATTGCAACTCTTCCTATCATTTTCCTCACTATATATTTCTATGCTAGTATTATTAGGTTCTCATCAAGTACATCAATTTTTTCATATTTTTAGGCAACATATTTAATTACTTAATAACTTGCTTCCTGAGCCTTTTCACTAAATGTGACTTTTTTTAAACAAAATTTCACTTTTATTCTGAGATTCCAATAGCAGTTCAAAATAATCAACAACTTTACCTATAAAATGGCTATGATTTGTACTCATGTCTTTTTAATTTTCCTGCAGGAAATGATGTGCAAATGATGCACCTGCACCATAGAATACAACTTGGATAAACAATCCATGTAAAACCCATTGATAACTAGTTTTTATTGTAATGAAATTGTTTTGTGTTCCTTTTTGCACTAGTACAGTGAAATGACTTAGAAGTTTATAATTCTTATTATCCATAAAATCCTCCTCTACCATCTCAACTTTGTCTTCAAAAATTACCTTAATGGAATATCTGACATTTTGGACAATGTAAACATTGATGAAACTTAAAACAAAATGACATAATAAATAACCCTCTTAGTCCATTTGGGCTGTTATAACAAATTATTATAGACTGGGTGCCTTAAACAAGAAACATTTATTACTCACAGTTATAGAGACTGGGAAATCCAACATCAAGGTACTGGCATAGCAAGTGTCTGTTGAAGGCCCGCTTCCTGGTTTACAGAAGACTATCTTCTTGTATCCACTCTCACATGGCAGAGAGCAGAAAAAGAAGAAAGCGCTCTCATTTCTCTTGCTATAAGGGCACTAATCCCATCATGACTCTTTCACTCCCATGACCTAATTATTTCCCAAAGGCCTCACTTTTTAATACCATCCCACTGGGGATTAAAGTTTCGATATATACATTTTTGGGAGAATACAAGCATACAATTCATAGTAATAACAAATGAAGGAAAAAATCACAGAAATATGAAAAATTCACAATGTAATTCAATTCTAACCTACATAATCCTTATTCTGCAACATTTATAGCAACAGCAAAGCAGCATGAGAGAAACTGAGTCATGACACACAAAAATACCTTCTTTAGAATAAAAATTTCCCCACAATTTTGTATTGCACAAATAGAGCTTAGTCACCTTTAACAGCCAATCATTGACAAGAAGAAGAGGTTGTGGTAGGCACTTTGAGAGGGAGATGTTTATGTCATCAATCTACTGTCCTCCCTTTTGTGTGACATAGTGTTCACCTTTTATCATTGACCTCCCCTATCTCACAGAGAAACTGAGAATGCACTTGTCTAAATGAGCACAGTCCTACTG
Organism: Homo sapiens; assembly: GCF_000001405.40. Taxonomy (NCBI): domain Eukaryota; kingdom Metazoa; phylum Chordata; class Mammalia; order Primates; family Hominidae; genus Homo; species Homo sapiens. The sequence continues at coordinate 180,465,874 of NC_000002.12, forward strand.
CACACTGTCTTACAGAGCTACAAGACTGTTGATGAAACTGCTGCTGGGGCCGTTCAGTAATAATCCATCACTGCAAGTGCAAACATTGTGGGGTATGTAAAGTTTAAAAAAAATTCCCCCTCCTCTTTGTTTTTTCCCCAATCTAGTAATATCTTGTGGAATCCTAGAGCTTCACACCCTCTTTAGTTACCATGATTTATTTAATTTCCTGAAGTGTATCAGTACTTTCCATTCATGCTCCTCACGTTGCCATCTCTTCTTCTTGGAATGCCCCTGTCCCATTGACTCCCTGACACCCAACACTCCAAATTAGCACAGATTCACCATTATGCCCTTTTCACAGTCTCGCATACCACCATTCATAGCACTTCCCTCAATTGTACTCAAATAATTAATATCAATGGTGGTTTAACATCTTTTTCTTCTACTTGGACATAAATGACCAGGTCCATGTCTCTTGTGTTAACTACTAAATTCCCACTTCATACTATAATCAAGGCCTTCAGAAATGATGCTTACCTTTATTTTTGTTGCTTATAATTTACAGAGGTAATATATGAAATGAATGAACAATCTGAAATCACAGGGCTTTAACAGGTGGTAGGCATGAAAAATAAGGCAACACGGTAAATAGCACAGCTGGTCCAAGAGTTTCTGTGAACAATCTGACATGCATTATGCAGTAGGAAAGCTAAGAAGAAAGGGAAGAGGCCCAAAGGAATTCCTGTAGAACCGTATCAAATTCTTGTTTTAAAAACTAAGTCTTTGAGGGCATAAATTACAATACAATTTTGGAAACATAGAGTTCCAACTTCATGGGCCACAAAGTACTCAAGTTTCTGGCATGAAATTTCTAATGTTTTTTGGTGTGGAGCAGAGCTTTTAAGGTGAATTTTTTTCTCAACATCCTGGCAATAAAATGACTTACTGAGTAGGGAGGTAACTGCCATTGCAAGGACATTGGTACTTAAAGGAGGACCTTGGTTCCATTTTGAATAAGAGATGTATTCCGTGGTTGTGGATGTTATATATTCCTTTTCTGGGGAGTATGAATTGAGGAAACAAGAAAGAGGAAACAAATGAGCTCCTAGTTCCAATGCTGTGTGTATATTTTATTTCTAATGATTACAGAGGGAAGTTACTTTATTGCTTCCATGCAAAGGCATTCTCTGGAAGAAGATAAAAACTCCAAGCTAAGCAGTTATTAACTTCTTCCCAGAGACACTGCTAAGTGGTAAGAAACACTGCCTCTGTACTTTTCCTACCCCATGTCAAGTTAAGAAATGGATTTTAGAAGTAGAGACTGAACATGCGACTTCCAGATTTATGATGAATAAGAAGTGTTTCCATTCAGTAGACCATAAAAAGAATACTTGTTTGGAGTTTAGATCAGACTTTTGAATTCAGGTCAGTTTAAATTCTGTTCCCAGTTGGCCCCTTGACCATAATATTTGTCCTTTCTACTTAATAGCATTAAGGAACAACTACCATTGAAAGAAAACATATTAAAAGAAATTTCTAATAAGACAGGTAAGACTTTGTTTAAGTAGACATAATATTTAATATTTGTAGTAAATTTTTCAAGAAAATTATTATAAGAAAATTATTACTGTATCTTTCCCTTTTACTCTGTTATTCAAACTCAGCAAAAAATTCAGCGTCATAGAAACACAAATATTATGGAAGGAATTAAGAAAACATTATGGAAGGAATGATATCAGTAAGATAGCAGAAAATAAAGTTGGACTCTCGTTCACCCAAAGAATACACCAATTCAACAATACATATACAAATTTCCTTTGTGAGAAGTCCACAGACTAGTTGAGAGGCTCTTGCACTCTTCCACTGCCCTTTTGTACAGGGCAAAATCAGCCACATTGAAACCAGTAGGAAAGTTCAAGATATCATCTCACCATCACCTCTACTCTTGGCAGAAGACCAGAAGATCAGAAGAAAACCCCTAGTTCCCAGCTTCTCCCTGGGGAGGGAAATAATTGGACTGCATATGCAATGCCTCAAAATTTTCAGGGGTTTCCCAAGGCACTTGCTCTTATCTCTGTCATGTCAAAGCACTTACAGGATATAGCATATTCTAAATGCCTGGGGGAGAATGAGAATAAACATGATGTTTGGACTAGCACATAGTCACCATAACCCATCCCCCACAGGCTCAGCAAAGGGAAAGTATAAAGGCCATACATCAAAAGCCCACTGCTAGCATCATACTCAATGGTGAAAAGCTGAAAGCTTTTCCTCCAAGATCAGGAACAAGATAAACTGTCCACTCTTGCTTCTATTCAACATAGTCATAGAAGTCCTAGCCAGAGCAATTATGCAAGAAAAATAAATAAAAGGCATCCAAATTAGAAAAGAAGAAAATTATCTGTTTTCAGATGACATAATCTTACGTGTAGTAAACCCTAAAATACTTAGGAATAGACTTAGCAGAGACAGTGAAGGCTTTTACACTAAAAGCTATAAAATATTGATAAAAGAAGTTAAAGAAGACACAAATAAATGGAAAAAAAATCCTGTGTTCTTGGACTGAAAGCCTTAATATTATTAAAATTTAAAGTCTTAATATTATTAAAATGGCCATACTACACAGAATTATCTCCAGATTCAATGCAATCACTATTTAAATACCAATGGCATTATTTACAGAAAGAGAAAAATCTATCCTAAAATTCATTTAGAGCCATTAAGGACCTTAAATAGTCAACACAATCTCAAGAAAGAACAAAGCTGTAGGCACCACATGTTCTGATTTCAAAATATATTACAAAGCTACAGTAATTTAAAAAGTATGGTACTAGCATAAAGACAGACATGTAAAACAATGGAATAAAATAGAAAGCCCAGAAATAAATCCATGCATATACAGGCAATTGATCAATTGATCTTTGACAAGGGTTCCAAGAACACATGATGGGAAAAGGCTAGTCTCTTCAAAAAAATGCTGTTGGGAAAACTGGATATCCACATGAAGAAAAAATGAAAATATACTTTAATCTCACACATTAATAAAACTCCACTCACAATAGATTAAAGACTCAAATGTAAGGCCTGAAACTATAAAACTCCCAGAAGAAAACACAGGGGAAAAGCCTCATGACATTAGCCTTGGAAATGATTAATTGGATATGACATTAAAAGCACAGGCAACAAAAGCAAAATTAGACAAGGGGAACTACATCAAACTCAAAAGCATCTGTACAGCAAAGGAAACAATCAATAAAGCGAAAAGAGAACATATAGAATGGGAGAAAATATTCAAACCATATATCTTATAAGGAATTAATATCCAAAATATACAAGGAACTCCTACAACCCAGTAGCAAAAAAAAAAAAACCAAATAATAAAAAAATAATAACCCATTTAAAAAATGGGCTAAGGATTTGAATAGACATTTCTCCAAAGGAGACATACAAATGGCCAATAGGCATATGAAAAAATGCTCAGCATCACTAATAATCAAGGAAATGCAAATCAAAACCACAATGACATTTCACCTCACACCATCAGGATAGCAATTCGAAAACAAATACAATCATTGGTGAGGATGTGGGGAAATTGAAACCTTTATACACCATTGGTGGTAATACAGAAGGATACAGCCGTTACGGAAAGCAGTATGGAAATTTCTCAAAAAATTTAAAATAGAACTACCATATGATATAGCAATCCCAGTTTTGGGTGTATATCCAAAAGAATTTAAACCATTATCTCAAAGAGATACCTGCGCTGCCATGTTCATTGCAGTATTATTCAAAATAGGCAAGATGCAAAAATAACCTAAAAGCCCACTGACCAGATGAATCAATAACGAAAATATGGTATACGATAAAATATTATTCAACCTTTAAAAAGAAGGAAATCCTGCCATATGAGATGACAAGGTTGAACCTTGAGGACACTGTGCTAAGTGAAATAAGCCAGTAAAAGGACAAATACCACATGATTCCCCTTATATGAGATATCTTGTGTAGTCAAACTCATAGAAGCAGAGAGTAGAATGATGATTTTCAGGGACTAGGGGTAGGGAGAAATGAGAAGTTGCTATTTAAAAGATACAAAGTTCCAGTTATGCAAGATGAATAAGTTCCAATGATCTGAGGTACAACTTAATGCCTAAAATTAACACTACTGCATTGTACACTAAAAAAGTTTCGTTAAGAGGGTAGATTTCATGTTAAATGTTTTTACCACAGTAAGAAAAGAGAAATAAAAGAGAGCATTGTGCCTCAGATGAAAAATTGAACTAGTGTATCTGTCACAGGAAAAAAATTAAACTTACTTTTTACTTCTCTAAGATTTAAAGCCTTAAATGACCTCTACAAAAAATGTTGGTGAAAAATACATGGCAGAAACATTCTACTGCAAGAATGGCTCAGTCAATGCCAACCTGCTTGATTTTCAAATGCCTACAGCAGTCACTGCATGAATGTCAGTGGTTGATTTTGATAGGGAAGACTTCTCAAATTCTAGTATTCAACTTTAGTACTTTGTTGGTTGCCTTGCATAGGGAGAGAATTTAGTTCACCTCCAGATGTTTGCTTTCATTTCCTCACGTATTTCTCATGGATATCAGCATTCTATAATTTAGGCTTGTATTAGGAGAAAGCAAACAACATGGGACTTTACCTAGAACAAATAATTTAGTCTGTGAAACCGCAGTTAGCCAGAGAAGAGATAGCCCTTAACATTAACATTTCACATAATAACTATTCTCCTAACAAATGTGTTTCACTGGGCTCATTTAATTAATAAAATATGTTTCTAGAATAAGCATTAAAATAGCATTAAAGGAGGAAAGTGATTCATGTATGTATGGTTATATTCTGCACAGAAGATTATATCACAGAAGATTATATCATATAGAACTATCATATCATATAGTTCTCCTACGAACTTTCTCTAACTCTCTTCTTCTAGAAAATAAATGAAAAGAACCTGTTTCAATATTGTATAAAATAAAATTACTTCAGGTTTCACCTGATTTTTTTCATCACTTTATTGCTTTTTTAAATTCAAGTTTAAAGACAGGTAAAACTTTTAAGATACTAGACATGTCTGTTTTTCTATTGCTTGGGAAAAGAGAAAAAGTAGTGGGTGGATTATGAATACTGTGTAAACATCTTGATGAAGAAGAGGTTCTTGTGAGACAATGAGAAACCAATTGATTTTTCCCTTTGTTCACTGTTTAGACCTATTGCATGGGGTTGGTACTTAGCCTGCCCCTTGACGAAATCTTGGGCAAACCCATGACATCCCAGTCACACATAGAATAATGAAAAGTCTCCCAGCCACTTCAAGGCATAGATCACAGTTTCATTCCCATAATTAATATATTCTTTCACGTATAATAATTAACACTTCAAATTTAGTATTAGGTTAGTTTTGTTTCTCCTTGGAACTACCCAGTTTGGTCTCCTGAAGTGGGAAATGAAGGAAAAAGCTTGGCAGGATTCTCTCTCCCAATCTAGAGACTCCATCCCCTTTTCCATCTTTCTAACAGTTTCTGACCCTTCCACGATTGGCATATGGATGAGATCAAAGGAGGTAAAATTTAGAAGGGCATAAAAATTTCACTCAGAGAAAACATTCAAGATGTGTTCTTGAATTTAAGCTGTTTGGTGTCACCACTTTCTGAGCACTGCAATCGTTTTCATCATATATCACTTTGGTGAGTTCCACAGAGGAGTGTAGTCTTTGAGGATTTCTCATTAGTAGTAGCCTTGACAGAAGTAACATTTTTCTTGAACTGATTTCTTATATTGTCCCTAGAACCCCCTCTGCTTCCAGAAGATCACCTCCAAATTCTTTCTGGTCAAGTTCTTTTATACCTTAAGGGATGCTCTTAAAAATACTCATGTTTTCTCTGTTGAAAGAGACCCACATTTGGTCCATAGGAAACATTCATCCCCTTTGCCATAACAACATGGAGTGCAGGCCGGACTCAGTGCAGTCTTGTCCACCTTTCTCCATTCCCAGGGCACTTAGTTCACTATACTGTTATGAACCTTGATTTCTTAGACACCTGCTGTGTCACCTGAAGCACCAGGGAAACATCAAACTCTCCTCAAGGTGTCCAAGAAACCCAATTTCCCAGGAATGAAGTGAGAAAGAGACACCTCTTCTCTGACTTCTCCCTCTTGGGGAGGGAATCCCAGAGAACATTAACTCGCTACACAGATCCTTTTTTATCCAACTTTTCTCTCAAACTTCCAAATCTTTTATGCACTAAAAGAGGATAAGAGATTAACAATCACAAAACTGGGTTTTGACTACTCCTTTGAAGTCATGCATGTTTAGCTGTACCTAAATTCGAATGTGATTTTTATTATTTTGAGGCTTCAGCCCCAAAATGGAGAGAAACAGTCCAATTCAACATTCTGTCACATCTGGTTTTCATTAGAGATTATAGTTTAGCTTCTTGTGTAAATAGCCAACAGATTCTGGGAACTATGTTTTACTTTTACTTTATTGTTTATGAAAGCCAAGGAGGAGTAGCTCAGCTCACCCCATCAGCACCATTCTAAAGACACTACAGTTATCTTTGGTGTTATCAGCCTTTGTTTTCTGGGGCTTGTCTTACTATTTCAGATATTATCATCCTTGTTTTTATGTTTTTCTCTTTAGAAATCTTTTGCCTATTAAAGCCACTTTTCAGTCGGTTTAAAAATAAATGTATGGGTTCTATACATCATACTTTTCAATCTACACTGGGATTTTGGTCCATTACATATTTATTCTTTTTGGTATATCTTCAATGACATCAACTTTCAGGGAGTCCCTGTATTGAGCCTGCAGACACCTTTCCTTCCTTCCTTCCTTCCTTCCCTCCCTCCCTCCCTCCCTTCCTTCCTTTCCTTCCTTCCTCTCTTCCTTCCTTCTTTTCTTCCTCTCACCTTCCCTGCCTCCTTCTTTCCCTTCCTCCCTTTCTCCTTGCCTTCCTCCCTCCCTCCCTCCCTACTTACCTTCCTTTTTCTTTTTTTCATGACTATATGTATTGAGTATCTACTATGTCCTGGGCATAATCCTAAATTCTTAGTTTTCTCCCATTCTTAGTTCTCCTAAATTCTTAGTTCTCTCCCATTCTATAAAAGCAATACAACATGCACACACACTCACAGACACACACACAGACACACACACACACACACACACACATCTCTTCTCTATCTCATACTTCATATCAGTTGTCACCTATCCTTCCCTCTTATTTTCTTTTTATTTACATTAATTGTGTGCTTTGTATTTCCTGCCCTAAATTTTCCTCTTCAGTTCCTTTTGGGTTATCTTTTTCTTCTGAGAAGCACCAGATTTTGGCTTAGGAACAGCCTGTTCCTTTCCAGCAAGGATCCTCTCAATGTGTTGGTGGAGTTCATATATGGGTCCACCTGACCATGATCTCTGTTGGCACCTTGAAGGCTTCATTGACCTGATACATTCAGTGACCAGAGAATGAACTTCTAAATCCTGCAGTTCAGCATTATCCTCTGCGTTTTTAGGCACAGGTAGAAAAGATTTGGCACGCTTTTTGAGTTACTGCCACCATTTCATCTCCACTCTTTAGCTTGGAGATGCCTGCCAGATACACAATTGTATGGAATTAATATGACATATTTAAGAACAAAACAAAACCCTCCCTCAATTTATAACCCTCTTTGATTATTGGCATATCTCTCTGCCTTTTCACAGCCAAATTTCTCATGACTCTTGCTAAAGCTTTACTTTTTTATCTCCCATTTACTCTTAAATACTTTCTATTTTGGCTTTTGTACTCACTCCTCTATTTAGATGGCTGCCTTGCCAAGGCACTTATTGCTACATCCGTGGAGCTCTTTTTATTTTATATTCTATTTTCCTTCTTAGCAACATTTGGCACTACTGTTTTCTCCCTATTTGTAGAAAAAAATCCTTCCTTTTGTCTTTCAGTTTCCTCTTTCTTTCTTGTGCTTTCTTCTCCCATCTTGGTATTCTTTCCCAATCTCCTTTGGAGGCCTCTCCTACTCTGACCACTTCTCAAACTATGTTTTTTTCCTGGGGTCCTTTCCACTGTTTCTTAGCTTTTACTCTCATCCTAAACTCTCTACCTGCACAATTTCACTCCAAAACTTTAGTCATTATTTTAAAAACTCCCACATTTAAATTCCTCTTAGATGGCCCTTCTGAGCTCCAATATCTCCTAACAGCTGCCTATTGGACGTATCAATCCAATGGTGAAACTCTTCCGTCTGTCAATCTTGTTATTCCTCCCACATGTCCCCGATCAGTGAAAGATGCCATCCCCTTCACCTGGTTGTTCAAGCCAGAAATCTGGCTCTTTTTCTTCTTTATACCTTCAAATAACCAAACCCCAGATCTTATTAATTATGCCTTGAAACTATTGCCCAAATCTCTGTACTTGTATTACTAATACTCTTACTCTTGCCTTGGCCATTCTGAACTTTTCCTGGCTTGCTGGAACAGCTTCTCAATGCATCTCCATGAATCCCATATAGTCTTTTCTTTAGACATGCTTCCTATTGTAGCCAGAGTACTCTTCTGAGGTCTCAAGAGTCCGCCCGCTTCTGCAGCTTTTCTCAGATATTACCTCCAATCACATGGCAGTGGGCCTCCATGGCTCCATGTTTATTATATGGCATCTTTCTTACTGATAACAAAAGATGCAGACAGAATAGACACCTGGTTCAATCAGATTCTTTCTCTTGGAAATGTGGAGTTAACATTAAGGACTGTTAGGTTTTTTTAATTGGATACTTTAACTGGAAGAACTTGCACATGTGGGAGATATGAGGCAGATTCAGCCATGTGCACAAGGAAGCATCTATATACCAAAAGGAGCAGAGATAGAACCACATTGCCCCAGACAGAGAGAGAGGCTGAGAAAAGAGACTTGACTTCTGATGGCTTTAGAGTTCCTAGCCTCATGAGGCTCAGCTAGTCTCTGCTTGCATGATTTATCCCTGAGTCTATAATTTCATGTAGTGGCTCTGAGCTCTCCAGCTGGTCTGTTGCAGATGTATGCTGTGATATTGACCCCCTAGCCTCAGGGCAGCTGGAGTCCCCAGGCTGCTTGCCTCCTGCCACAAGCAGCCTTGTCTCTTTTCCCCAGGGTGCTGTATAAATATTATCATTTTCCATCTGTGCCAGGATATGGAAAAGGTTGAAAAACAGTATAATACATAGTTAATAAATTTCTTCTTTTTGCTTAAGTCAGCTCTAGCAGTATTCTGTTTTTTTTTGCCACGGAGAGCTTTAACCAAGACATCTTTCAAAATGTAGATTGGAGCTGATTTTTCTCCTGTATAAAACCATACAGCGTTTCTCTAATGTCTTGGGAGTTTAGTCCAAACTCCTTGCTGTACTATATAAAGACCAACATAGTCAGGCCCTCCCTTCTTATTCTTTAGCCTCTCCTCTCCTCACCTCAACTGTATTTCTCTGAACTTCCAGAAGGCACTATACTCAGTGAAATAGAATATACCAGACTTCCTGTAATTGTAGGTCTTTGCATATAGTAGGCTGTGTGTTGCAGCACTCTTTACTCCTCTTTCTCTCATTGCTTGGTTAATGCCTATCGATATTCAAATGACACCTTTCCATTCAAAGTTCCTGAACAGTAATCACATTGAATGGTAATTTTTTCATTTACTTAACTAATCTCTGTCTTGAAGGTGTAGTCAGTGTCTACCTTGTTTATTATTGTGCTTTCAAAATCTAACACACGGGAGATAAACAATAAATACTTACCATGGGAACAATACTTTCAATCCTTGCATGTATCCTTATTCAATTGCTTATTTTATTCAGTTTCAAAACCATTCTAAACCTTCTGCATCCTCTTCAAGCCCTCTTCTCTTCCACCACTCAGACAATCTCCTTTCCTATCAAACTGAGGATTTGAAGTCATCATATACATTCTTCCTCCACTCCCTACCATTTCATACGCAGTCACCTAATCTATAATCCCAGTTTTCTACAGTCTCTGAGAATGAGGTGCTTCACTTGCTTTTCAGGGACAATTGCATTCCCACCTTCCTCGACCCATTCCATTCTTACTCTTTTTAGAATAGCCATTTTTCTGTCTCTATTCTTAAAATTTTTACTGACTCCTTCCCCTAGCTTATAAACATATCCAATCTTTCCATCTTAAAAATTTAACGAGCTCTTTTCTCCAGGAATACCAAACTTTGTAGAATTTTTAGAGAAATTTCCCAATGTTTGCATATTCATTCATTATGCAGTTCCTTCTACATGAAATTAGTATCTCTTTCTCTCTGTTAAAATAAAATCTTACATCAAGATTCATCTTTGGCACCATCGTATTCATAAAACATTTCTTGATATCTCAACTGAATATAGTCATTTTCTTATACCTGTCTTAAGTCATTTATTACAACTTATTTTACATTACAGTTATTTGTGTATTTATACAATGCCTAACCCATTATAGATCCAACTTAACACTCCCAACACTATATTGCAAATATAGTGAAGGTAAAGACTACGTGTTACTAAGTTTTGTTTTTTACAATATCTAGCACCAAGTAGAAAAGAAAAAAATGACATAATAAAAATACCATTAATTTTTAATATTTATTGTTTACTATGTTCTAGGGAACTTCCATGAATTTCATTGAATTTATGTGACAAACACTGAAATTGTTACTATTATTATCCCATTACAGAAACAAGGTAAGGTGCAAAAGTCATATATTTGTCATAATGCAGATATGAGTTTGAATCTTGACTCAACCAAAAACTGGTAGTTAGATCTTAAAAGTTATTTAACTTCTCTGAGTCACATCTGTGGTGATGCCCTATGTAATAAGATTGTTGTACATTTTTTAGAAACTAATAGTGCATGCCTTGTACAAATTACTTAACATAAATCCGTTCTTTTTTTTTTCTTTTGCACATACAGATACTCAATGAATGTATTTTTGTTGTTGTTGAGATGGATTCTCACTCTGTTGCCCAAGCTGGAGTGCAGTGGCATGATCTGGGCTCACTGCAACCTCCACCTCCCAGGTTTAAGCTTCTCTCACCTCAGCCTCTGGAATAGTTGGGATAACAGGCACACACCACCATGCATGGCTAATTTTTGTATTTTTAGTAGAGATGGGGTTTCATCATGTTGGCCAGGCTGGTCTTGAATCCCTGACCTCAAGTGATCCTCTGGCCTTGGCCTCCCAAAGTGCTGGGATTACAGGTATGAGCCACCACACCCGGCCTGAATGTATGTTGATATAAGTTGAATGTCTCTACATCTGGGTACTAACACAGATAGAGTTGCAAAATATGTTCCCATGTTGTTTCTAAATTGCTCATTTAGTCTTGAAATATGGTTGTGCCATGTGCTACTTCTGGAAGTGTATTGAACCTGGCTAGGAGATTCAGAATCAAGGAAGGAATGAAGTAGATGACATAATACTCTGCTTCATTATTTAAAAAATAATAATAATCAAAAATTGCGCTCATGACAAAAGCCAAGAGTAGAAAACAAAAACACCAAGTACTTAGTTCTAATTTGATAATGTTTCTGTTAACTTTTACTCTATAACAAATTATGTAAAATGTATTTGAGGAAAACAACCATTTATTATCCTGATGGATCATGTGGGTTAAGAGTTTGGATAGGGAACAAAGGGGATAGCCTACCTCTTTTCCACAGTATCTGAGGCCTCAGTTGGAAGACCCAATGGCTGGAAGCTGGACTCATCTGAAGGATTGCTTATCCTTGGTTGTTTTTTTGACTAGCTATTGAATGGGGGAGTTAGTTTCTCTCCATGTGGAACTTTCCGTGTTATTTTTCTACATGGCTAGTGTGGACTTGCTGACAGCAGAGTGGCTGGCTGGGTTCCATGAGTGGCTGAAGATAAAAGAGAGAAGTCAGAGAATGAGGAAAAGGAAAGAGAAAGAAATGAGATATGTTTAATAGACTTCACCTCTTGACTGAAGTGTTGATGTTACATTGTAAGAAGCATATGTAGGATGGTATATATCTGGAAGATACACTCTCCCACAGAGTGTATATCAGAAGGGATATATACATAACTGGTATTTCTGTAGTCCATTAGGAAGATTATTAACTGTATATTTTAAGTTGTAATTTTCAAGGCATAAAATGATAAAAATCAAGGTGTGCCTTTGACCCATTTTTATCTCTAGGTTGGTATTTTAATAACATATCTAATACTTGTTCTAAGTACAATAAAAATGGCAAGATTTCATTTTAGAATGTAGGCTAAATGATAAAGGGGAAAAGGTTCTGTGCCTTTTGAATCATTTTGAATTAGGCACTTTAAAAATTATATTACCTTTTTTTCCAGGGATGTCTCTATTTCCAATATTTTCTTTTCCAAGAATATATTTCCTTCTTCAGAATATTTCTAGCATTAAATTATATAAAATAGCTGAAATGTTTTGCATTTGCTACTGAGTTTGACATTATTCTTCTTAACGCAAATATTGCCTTTTGGCTTTAAATTAAAGTGTCAAAGATCTCACCCTTAATCTTTCTAGAATGTGTGTCAGAGAATCAGAATAGAGAAAAATGCTCTTAGGGTCAGATTCTAATCTGGATAAGGAATCAGCCAAATTTGTACTCCAGAACCAAGTTCTCAGCTCTTTACTTTTTTCATCACAACCATCTTACGAATTTTTCCTTTTCATTTGATGCCTTCAATATCTTCAAGAGTCTTTCATTCCAGAATTAGAGTTACCATGCTATTAAAACACTTGGGGTAAGGTGCCTTAAATTTACAAAATAATTTAAGTAATATTTGTAATACTAATTCCATAAAGCAGATTTTGGTTAGAGTAGTGGTCAGGGGAGTCCCAAATACTGGAATGTGTGGATGGATGAAGATGAATGGAAGAAACATTACAAAGTTACATAATTTTGAGCAGAGAAGTTGAGCTCTACAAAGGAGGAAGAATAGCAGCAGATCAACTAACCTGGCATGTAGAGTTCAAAAGTTTAATTAAAGCTCTTGGCATGAAAAATAGAGGTGCACAGACCCTTAAATGACAGCCATTAACAGTTACAGGACTTGGTCTGTGTGGGGCCAAGAGTTTCAAACATTTTTCAGGTGCAACCTCAGATAGAGATGAGGATATTGGTAACAAGAATCAACTTTGAATACCAAAGGATGATGATAACATCACTACATTTCTGAAATTCTTAAGTCTCTGTGGTATAAGAAAATGAGGAGATTCTGGATGATTTATGACATATTTGTCATGAAATTAATTGCATGATGCTCAGGACATTTATCTTCTTGCTTAGCTAAGATGTTATACTCTTTATATTCTCAAAACTGAACATGGTTCTATGATATAACTCCTGAGCTTACATTTTAGACAAAGGGATGATCAGTGAAATGTAGTATGTATGTAGACATAAAAGGACACACAACTAATATAAAGAGATCAAAAAGATGGCCAGGCGCGGTAGCTCATGCCTGTAATACCAGCACTTTGGGAGGCCGAGGTGGGTGGATCATCTGAGGTCAGGAGTTCAAGACCAACCTGGCCAACATGGTGAAAACCAGTCTCTACTGAAAACACAAAAATTAGCTGGCGTGGTGGCAGGCACCTGTAAACTCAGCTATTTGGGAGGCTGAGGCAGGAGAATCACTTGAGCCCGGGAGGTGGAGGTTGCAGTGAGCTGAGACTGTGCCATTCGACTCCAGCCTGGGTGACAAGAGCGAAACTCCATCTCAAAAAAAAAAAAAAAAGATAATATATGGGAAAAAATTGTTAAAGCACTAAACAAATACAAATATAGTGGTAGTCTACATAATATTATTTGGAGGGCAGGTTGGTTATGAGAAAGCAGTGGTGTATGCAAGAAGGTATTGAATTATTCACAATAAGCCTTCTTGGTACACGTTTATAACTGACTTCTAAATTTTTTTTGCAAAGGAAATGTATATAATTTAAAAAGAATGAACAGATGTTAAAAAATTTATTTCCCATTTAACTTCCTATGTTGGTTTTCTGACTTATTTTCCCACAGTTCCTTTAATATATACCTCAATGGACTTTGCTCCTAATCAGCTTTTCACAGAGCAATATAAAGGCAGGATTAGAAGGCATACATATAACAAAAAAGGTCTCTTTTTTCCATAGCAATAGGTAAGTAGATATTAGACAATTATAAATTTAAAAATATAATAATCATTAAATGTAGCACATCAAAGCAATTCTGTAACAGAACTAATTACTATTCAGGTATTTCATAAGTTTATGAAATGAATGAGGTTTTAAGTGATTACCTGTCTTGAGTATAGCTGTTTAGTAACCAAACTAGGTTTAAAAAATAATTATTAAAACAAATCTATAAAACATCAGCTTAACTCTTATGATGTGTGTTGTTTCTGTCCCCCCAACCCAGGCTGATTCACTTCTAACGACAGGAAAATGTAGTGAAATAAAAGGAGCCCAGAATTTCAAAGCAGAATTCCCTGGATTTTATTCCCTCTGACTTTCCAATTTTGTAACTTAGTAGTTATGAGAATTTAGATAGGCTGTAGAGCTTTCCTGAGCCTAATTTTCATCATCTAGAAATAAGAAAACCTGCTCTTGTTTTTTAACTTACGAGGTTTTGGAGAGGATCAAATAGGATCAAGTATGAAAATAAGAATATATATTTTAAACAGAATCCCAGGCTCTAACTCTTTAAATAGATTAGGGGCATAACCCTGACATGCAAACGCCAATTGATCCTGTTTGACTTACCCAACTATTTCTCATTGTTCAGACAATTTCCAGATTTTTCACTCGCACTGTAGGTTGCATTGAATTGAAAAAGAAATATAAAATCATTCTTATTCAACAAATTTATATTGAGTGAATTTATGTCCAGGGGAAATAGTGCTTACATGACTACTAGTAAAAAAAAGATGAAGATTACTATAAATATGTAAGACAGATTTGATATATATGATATGAAATATCTATGTGAAATACATGAGATTATGTTTAGCTCTGCACCTGATGGTCTTTATGTTTACTGTCTACCTCTTAATAGACTTCTCTGATTTCATTTAGGTCTTGGAGACAAGAACTATATGTCATAGCCTAGCCTTGTCTAATTTATTTAATCATATAAAATACATGTTCTCATTTTCAAGTGAGTAAAGTGCTGAGAAAATAGTGTTAACTATGTTGCATATAGCAAAAGTGGGGATGCTAAGAGCCAGCATAATTTAAGTAAATGGATATGTTTATAGAGCAGCAAAACTAATGCTTTCTGACAGTTGCTCTGGCCTTTATTTTAACCTCTATTTTTTTCCATTATAAACCAAAAGTAGACTATCTAAGCTGCCCTGGAGGGACACTAAAGATGTATTATGAGTATCAATCCCTAGAAATAGAAAAACTCAAGTTCAATGTTGATAATAAATTTTGGCACACTTGCTGTTGCTCAAATACAATATCATACTTGTGAAAACCTTTGCATTTTCACCCAAAGATATATCAAAGGCTCAATATTTTAAAATAGCATAGCACATTTTAGACTTTGAACATATGAAATATAAAAGTGAAATATATCATTGCAATAAAGTTTTGGCAATGTGATGTACTGAAAACAACAATAATGACACTAAATAGCCCTAAGAAGAAGGAAACCTGCGCCCTGTCTCCTCCCTTTCACCTACTGATCTTGTAACCTTGGGCAATATAACTTCTCTGGTCCTTAGTTGACTCTGATGATAAAGACGATTACATGAATGTAGGAACTGAATCAGATGACTTTCACTAGCCCTGAGACTATGATGATAATAATGTATTAATGATTTTAGTCAATGGCTTGGGGGCTGTTGGGGTAAAAATCAACACTGTAAAAATTTAATATCCTTCCATCAGCAACACTAAAATATAATCATGAGGTTATATTCTTCTATGTGAATTTAATTCATTTAACAAAAACTTGTTAACCATCTACAATATGCTGAGTGTTCTCTGAGAATAAGAGTGGGAGGAGGATAGGAAAGGGATAGAAAGATGAATAACTCATGATGCCTGCTCCAGAGGGTGTTTTTAATTTAGAGAGCAAGTAGACACACTAACAAATAATTACAGAAGAGTGTGATAAATATGATAATGATCATTCATACAGAGAACTATGGGAGTTAAGTGGAACATAGAGGGCTCTGGGATAGGTTGTGGACTGCATTATGAAATTTTAGGCAATTGATATTACAGTATGATATGATAAATGTACTACCAGCCAGCACACCGAGGTTCTGCTTTTACCAGTTTTATTTTTTGCCAGTACTACCTGCTCAAAATGTAGCCTGGAGCAAATCACTTTAATCTTATCTGGAAAATTGTGGTAAGGCAGTTTCAAATTCTGTTAAAGCTCTAAAGCCCAACAACTCTCTGGCAGACATGCTATCTTAGTCCATTTGTGCTGCTATTACAAAATACCACAGACTAATTTGTAATTTGTAAAGAAGAGAAATTTATTTTCTCACAGTTCTGGAGGCTCGTAAGTCCACTATCAAGGTACCAGCAGGTTCAGTGTCTGGTGAAGGCTGCTCTCTGCTTTCAAGATGGTGCCTTGATGCTGCATCCTCGAGAGGGGAGGAACACTGTGCTCTCACATGATTGAAGGTGGAGGGCAAAAGAGACAAACTTCCTCCATCAGGTACTTTTGTAAGGCCACCTAATACCATTCACAAAGGCTGGAGCCCTCATGACTTAATCCCCTCTTAAAGCCTCCACCTCTTACTACTAACATATTGGCCATTAAGCTTTAATGCTTGAATTTTGCAAGGAGCACATTCAAATCACAGCACATGTCAAATATCTATCTGATATTCACGCTCCCTTTCTTAAAAAACATAAACTCAATTTTATTTGGGGTTACATTATGCTCAGATTAAAAACCTGGTTTCCCAGGAACTTTTATTTCTAGGGGTGGCCATGAAAAAATGAAATGCTTTGCTTTCCTGATATGCGCACTATTTTGCACTTCCTTATCCCTGCCCAGAATATTGTAACACCACAATGAATAAATACAAATGTCATAGTTACGACGGGAGAGTAGGAAACTATAAGAAACTTGAGGCCCTTACCAGCACTAGCTCTAAAATACCTTCTTCCTGACTTGTTACCTGATAAATAGTTGTATTCTGGTTTCTGCTACAAGTAGCTAAACTTAATGAATACAGATCCCTAAGCTTTAATATTAAAAGACAGTATTTTCTGAATTAAGAAGCTGGGCTAAATTATAGTTCAGCATGACATAGTTCTATATATTAGTATCTGAGTGTGTGTATGTATGTATGAGGATGTGCCACTATGCATGTGCGTGTCATAGCTAGATACTATATAAATTGTAAGTCATTGACTCCCAGATTTATATCCTCATTCAAGGCTTCTCTTCTGACCTCTAAGCCAACTGCCATCCTAATATTTTTCTTTGGATATCTTAAAGGTCTCTCTACATAAAAACCCAAACCAAACACATTAAAGTACACATACACACCCCCAAACCTAAATGTTCATTCAAAGTTTGCTATCTTCATATTGGCATTTCCATGAAATCAGATAATAAGCCTGGATAACTGGTAGTTAGTTACCTGTAATACTCTTTGCTCCTACACATGTCACAGACAAAATCTTCTTACATTCTTCTCCCAGTGTACTTGTAATTTCGTTTCTTTGTGGTCAGTTTTCTTGTCTGTAAAATTGACATAAAACTAATATCTACTACGGGATTTTTTGTAGATTATATTAGTTAATATATTTAAAATATCAGAACAACGCCTAACCATTTTGTGCTGCAATAGCAGAATATCTGAAACTGGATAAATTAAAGTAAACAGAAATGTATTTCTCACATTTCTGGAGGCTGGCAAGTACAATATCCAGATGCCAGAATCTGTTGAGGGCCTTTTTGCTGCGTCTTAACATCTGAAGGTGTGTTGAAGGCTGAAGGCATCATCATATGGAAGAATGGCCAAGAGAGGTGAGAGAGAGAGCAAGAGTGGGAGATCCTACTCCCCTGATAATGGTGGTAGTCACTTCATGAGAGTGGAGACTTTATGACCTAACCACCTCTTAAAGGTGCCATCTCCAGATACTATCAATGGCAATTTTAAAATTTTAACATGAGTTTGGAGGGGACAATCATTCAAAATATAGCACATGCTAAATGTTTAATAAATATTTATTATTATTTTTGAAATAGTAATAATATTGTGCACCTTGATATTAGGGGAATGAGTGTAGATGTATGATTTTTATTTTAATTTGCTTCAATACTCACTTTGGGTGTGGTGAGATAATCAGATCCTGTATACATACTTTGATTTGTAGCTTGGAAATAAACAGAAAAATGAATCTAAACTTTAACTCATGCAACAAATATTTAGCAAGCACTTTTGATAGGCCAGGTACTCATTTCAGCATTAAATATAAGGTAGTGAATGTGAAAAGTACCTATGCTAATAGAAATTTAAAATTCTAGTCTGATTCCTCATCAATGAAATAAAATGATTAGATTGGATTGGATTGGCAATAGGAGATATCTAGTTCCTTATCACTATAGGAATATGTGAGACTATGGTTACGTGAAGTGTTATGCTGTAATATGAGTAGGAAGACTCAAAACTAGAACATATGGCCACAATTTGACATGCAGTAGAGGGCCAAAACAAATTTTTAATTGGTGCAAGAAGAGTTACACTTTAAGAAAGAAGTTTAACTGGGAAGCATTCTGTTGGACAAATTGAATTTGGGATTTTTACAGATAGAAATATCACTCACCCAAGGATAGGAAATGGTGATCACTGGTGTGGCTAGAAAAGGCGAGAACCTTTAACACTCTTGGAAACTATACAGAGATGTAATTCATGGTATAACATGTGGCTGAAACAGGCAACCCTTCTAGATCTGGGCTTGATTTAGTTTTCTTTTTTTTTTAAAGTCTGTGTGGATATTTGCGTATATAAATAGGAAGATGTGTATTATTAAACAACTTTCATGTTAGGTGCTCAAGAAGAAGGTGGCATGGAATCATGAGAATTAAGCATGAAATCATCTTTTTTATTCCTTCACCCAGGACCAGGTGGGGAGGCAAGAAACACCATCTATACTAGGACATAAATTGTACCTGGAAGCTAGCTCACCATGCATTGGGCTTAGTGTGTACCAAGTTACTATACATGGTCCCCTAGGAAACACCTGACCTTCCTGCACTATATTTTCTTGGAAAGACTGCCCAGGTTACAACACCAGTCCTATGGAAGCAACCACAGTATTGCAGCCAGGGTGGAAGACTCTTGTCTGACAGAGGCTGCTTTCCTGAGATCTTTTGGACTAAGAAACTATCCCTGGGCCAGGCACAGTCGCTCACCCCTCTAATCCCAACACTTTGGGAAGCTGAGGTGGGAGGATCACTTGAGGCCAGGAGTTCAAGACCAACCTGGGCAACATAGCAAGACCCTGTCACTACAAAAAGCAAATTAAAATTAGCCACACATGGAGGTGCATGTCTGTAGTCCCAGCTACTAGCGAGGCAGAGATGGGAGGATACTTGAGTCCAGGAGTTTAAGGCTACAGTGAGCCATGATCACGCCACTGCACTCCAGCTTGGGTGACAGAGACCTCTCTCTCTCTCTCTCTCTCTCTGTCTCGCTCTCTCTCTCTCTCTCTGTCTCTGTCTCTCTCTCTCTATATATATTTATATTTATGTATGTGTATTTA
Organism: Homo sapiens; assembly: GCF_000001405.40. Taxonomy (NCBI): domain Eukaryota; kingdom Metazoa; phylum Chordata; class Mammalia; order Primates; family Hominidae; genus Homo; species Homo sapiens. The sequence continues at coordinate 180,485,609 of NC_000002.12, forward strand.
CATATATAAGATAGACATATATATATATAGAAAAAGAAAGAAAATTAAACAAAAGAAAAGCAAACTGTCCCTGAGGGGCTTAAAGCAATCAATAAGGAGAAGATTCTGAAGAGATAGACTAGAACCTCAGAATCACTTGATTTGAATGAAAGGAAAGTGACTTAATTCTTTATCTTATGCTGATAAGTGGGACATACTGATTAAATTAGAATGGAGGTCTAATAGTGATAATATAAAATTCTATGGGATCATAGTTTCAAGCAATAGCAGTATTAAGGTGATGTTGATAAAATTTTTGGAGTGGTAATTCACTCTTTATGGAGTAAGAACTACCACATATTTTAACAGCTAATTTATTTTATGTTTTAGGGATATGGGTTTTGTCAATTTTTGTCATCATATCCAGTGTGCCTTTTCAAATACTGCACCATTTATTTAGAATTTTGTCAAATCTCCCCACTGATCTTCCTGGCAAAAGCCCGTTCGTCTTTGAAATCTGGCTCAGGTGTGACCTCTTTCGGGAGTCTTTCACAAATTATGCCAGAAAGAATTAAGTCCTCTTTCTTCTTTATTACTTTGATAAATAATGTGCTTTTTATCATTGCACTTGCTGCACTGTATTTTATTTTTCCTGTGAGTTTAAGCTTCTCAGTTATGTTCATGTCAGAATCTTTACTGCCAATCATACTGCTCATAGAAGGTGTCTGATAAGTATTTAATGAATGAATAAAAATTCAACAAAAATATATTGATCATCACTTATATGCCAGCTATATAATATCAGCACTGTAGCTACAATAGTGACTAAAAGAGTTATGATCTTTGTCTCCATAGAACTTGTAGTCTCTTGAGCTGTTAGACAAATAAAATGGCAATTACAACCTGTTATGATAAGCATATATCTAATTTATATCTGTGGAAGCACATAAGATGAGTGTGTCTCCTGTGTCTAAATATTTGAAATTATATGTTTCTATCTTAAAAGTAATGATACATTCAGAAAGCAATTAATATTAAAGTTAAAGAGAAAAATGGCTAGGACTGTAAAATCTGAATATTAAGCTTTATTTTTGAGTGTGTTATTTGTTTATAACATTAAAGAATCTTTTGAATCCAAGTAAATAAAAATATGTCTTTTTCCATGTGAACTGGACTAATAATTCTTGGGCAATGTAAGACTCACAGAAGCAAGATGCGATAGCTTATCATATAAACTCAAGATGTAACTTAATGTTGTTCAGACATGGTTATTTAGTAATTTTTAAGGACTTTAGGGAAAAATGCAGTTTTTAGGAATGCATTTTTAATTTAAACACTTTAGGAATATAGCAAAGCTCTCTGGGCATATAATGTGACAGTCAGGAGACTTCTACCACAGCCTTTCTTCCCAAAAAAGTACCAAGAAATTGTACCCCACTGCACCTTAGTTTTCTTATTTCCTTAAATACTTTTGGCATAACCAATTCTATAAGCTGTAGCATAGAGAAATATTTATTTATTAGTCCATCAATAATTATATATACATTTTAAATTAGGTATATGTAATAAGGATATCTGTGTGCGTGTGTCTTATATACTTCAGCACTTTTTGCTACGGGTGCATATAGAATACGAATAGAATTCTTTTTAGTCAAAATTACATGAGAACACTTCTTAAGAGCAGCAATGGACATGTTGATTATTATTTTTAACTTAGTCTGCTCGATACATTTATATATATATATGTATATATGCATAGTCTGCTTAATGTGTTATACATCATGACTTGCAAATAGAAATGAAGCTATGAATTGCTACTCTTGGCCAGTGGTGTTTATCAGGAGGTTTTTCAGAGGTAAAAACAATGTGACTTAACATATACATGTTTGCATCATTTCAGAATAAGTTCTCTGAATTTGCATAGCCAAATTTTAATCATGATTATTGCTATCTCTAAGTGTTTTTTCTCACATTTGGAGTATATTCAAGATTATATTCAAAATTAGATGATGCCTTATATTATAAATATAAAAAAGAAAAGCAATATGACAGGTTGGTGTTTTGATTCTAAATGATACAGCATAATACAATGAAATATGTTAACAGAAAAAAATTCTGAAAAATTAAAGGATTTCAGCTTCTCAAGATTATCTTATTTGTTGTTTCAATTTAACGTGCATCTTGTACAGGTGTGCTGACATGAATTCTGATTACTTTGTTGACTAAAAAAGGAAATATCCAATTTAGATGAACAGTTTCCTGTTAAAAAGGTGAATGTAGAGTATCAGATTGCACATAACACAATCCCATAAGTAACTTACTGTTTTGTCTTCTCTTTTATTGTTTCATATAACAACTTATTGATAAAATGTAAATGAAATAATAGAGTACCTGTTGCTATTATATTATTTAGAAAATATTAAGCTCTTTTCACTGACAGAGACCACTGAAGTACCTGAATTGTGGCCATAAAGAAATGTGGCTGATTTTTTTTCACCTTTAAAAAACATTCTATATATATAACGAGTATAAATACAGGCTTCTTATATGCATGTAGTGTGTAGTGGTGAAGTTGAGGCTTTTAGCACACCCATCACCCAAACAGTGAACACTGTACCCAATAGATAGTTTTTCAACCCTCATCCGCTTCCCAGACTCCCAAGTATTGTCTCTAATGCCTATTGTACCACTCTGTATATCCATGTGTACCTATTATTTAGTTCCCACTTATAAGCCAGAAAATGTGGTATTTGACTTTCTGTTTCTAAGTTATTTCAATCAGGATAATGACCTCCACTTCCAACCATGTTGCTGCAAAGGATATGATTTCATTCTTTGTTATGGCTGAGTAGTATTCCAAGGTGTGTGTGTATATACATGTATATACACACACACAAACACATGAAACATTTTCCTTATACAGTTCTCTGTTAGTGGACATTTAGGTTTATTCCATATATTTGGTATCGTGAATAGAGCTGTGATAAAATATGAGTGCAAGTATCTTTTTGATATAATGATTTATTTCCTTTTGGGTATATACCCAGTAGTGGCAAAGGTGGATTGAATGGTAGTTCTATTTTTAGCTATGCGAGAAATTTCCATACTGTTTTCCATAAAGGTTGAACTAATTTACATTCCCACCAACAGTGAATAAGTATTCCCTTTTTTCCACATCCTTGCCAACATCTTGTTTTTGGCCTTTTAATAAAAGCCATTCTGAGTGGTATAAAATGTTATCTTGTTGTTTTAATTAGCATTTCTCTGATTATTAGTGATGTTGACCATTTTTATTCATGTTTGTTGGATACTTGCATGTCTTCTTTTGAAAAATGTCTGTTCATGTCCTTTGGCATTTTTTTTAAATAAGTTTTTTTTTTTTCTTGTTGAGCTGCTTGAGTTTCTTATAGATTCTGGATATTGGTCATTTATCTGATGTATAGTTTGCAAATATTTTTTCCCGTTTTGTAGGTTTCCTGTTTACTATGTCGTTAGTGTCCTTTGCTGCACAGAAGCTTTTTGGTTTAATTAAGTCCCATTTGCTTATTTTTGTTTTTGTTACATTTGCTGTTGAAGACTTGGTCATAAATTCTTTGCCCAGGCCAATATCCAGAAGGGTTTTCCCTAGGTTTTCTTCCAGGAATTTTATAGTTTCAGGTGTTATGTTTAGATCTTTAATCCATTTTGAGTTAATTTTTGTGTATAGTGAGAGGTATGGGTCCAGTTGTTTCATTCTTCTGCATATGGCTAATTTTCCCAGCACCGTTTATTGAATAGGGTATCTTTTCTCCAGTTTGTATTTTTGTTGACTTTGTCAAACATCATTTGGTTGTAGGTACATGACTTTATTTCTGGTTCTCTATTCTGTTCCATTAATCTATTGCCTATTTCTATACCAGTACCATACTGTTTTGGTTACTCTAACCTAGTAGTATAATTTGAAGTTGCGGAATGTGATGCCTCCAACTTTGTTCTTCTTGCTTAGATTGCTTTGGCTATTTCACTTCTTCTTTTAGTTCCATATAAATTTTAGAATTGTTTTTTCTAATTCTGTGAAAAATGATGTTGGTAATATCATAAGGATTGTATTAAACCTGTAGATAGTTTTGGGCAGTATGGTTATTTAAACAATATTGATTCTTCCAGTTCATGAGCATAGAATGTATTTCCATTTGTTTATGTGATCTATGATTTCTTTCATTAATGTTTGTAGTTATCCTTATAGAGAGAACTTTCACCTTCTTGGTTAAATATATTTCCAGATATTTTTGTAGCTACTGTAAATGGTATTGTCTTATTGATTTCATCCTCAGCAAGCTGATGATTGGTATGTAGAAATGGTATTGATTTCTGTACATTAATTTTGTATCTTGAAATTTTGCTCAATTAATTTATTGAATCTAAGAAGTTTTTATGTGTGTGAAGTCTTTAGGGTTTTCTAGATATAAGATTATATCATCAGTAAACAGGGATAATCTGATTTCCTTTTTTCTATTTTGTATGCTTTTTATTTTTTCTCTTGTATGATTGCCCTGACAAGAATTTCCAGTAATAGGTTGAATAAAAGTGAAGAAAGTGAGCATCTCTGTCTTGTTGCAGTTCTTAGAGGGAATGTTTCCAATATAATGTTGGCTATGGGCTTGTTGAATATTGCTTTTATCATGCTAAGGAGTGTTCCTTCTATGCTAGTTTGTTGAGAATTTTTATCATGAAAGGATGCTGGATTTTATCAAATGCTTTCTTTGGGTCTATTGATTTGATCGTATGGACTTTGTCCTTGATTCTGTTTATATGATGTATCACATTTATTGATTTGCATATGTTAAACCATCCTTGCATACCTGGGATAAATTGCACCTGATCATGGGGTATTATCTTTTTGATGAGCTGCTGGATTTGATGTCCTAGTATTTTGTTTAGGATTTTTTGCATGTAATTTCATCAGGGATATTGTTCTGTAGTTTTGTTTCTTTGCTGTGTCCTTTCTGATTTTGATATTAGGGTGATATTGTTCTCAGATAATGTGTTAGGGAGAATGCCTTCATCAATTTTTTGGAATTGTTTCAGGAAGATTGGTGTTAGTTCTTTGTATGTTTGGTAGAATTTGACTGTTCTGGGCCAGAAAGTCCACCTGGTCCTGGGCTTTTTTTTTTTTTTTTTTTTTTTTTTTTTTGAGAGAGAGAGATTTTTTATTTCTGATTCACTCTCGTTCTTCATTATTGGTCTACTCAGGAATTTTATTTTTTTCTGGCTCAATCTCAGGAAGTTTTCAGTTTCCAGGAATTTATCATTTTCCTCTCGATTTTCTAGCTTGTGAGCTTACGGTTGTTCATAATAGTTTCTGATGATCTGTTGCATTTCTGTAGTATTAGTTGTACTGTCTCCTTTTTCACTTACAGTTGTATTTATTAGGATCTTCTGTCATGTTTTTGGCTAGTTAGTGATTTATCAATTTTATTTATCTTTTTTCAAAGAATCAACTTTTCATTTTGTTTATCATCTTTAATGGTCCATATTCATTTTGTTCTGCTCTGATCTTTGTTATTGCTTTTGCTCAGCTAATTTGGGGTATGGTTTGTTCTTGTTTTTGTAGTTTCTTGAGGTGTGATGTTAGGTTGTTTATTTGTGATCTTTCTAGTTTTTTAATGTAGGTATTAAATGCTATAAACTTCCCTCTTAGCACTGTCTTTGCTGTATGTCACAGGTTTTGGTATTTTGTATTGTGTTTTCATTTTCATTCATTTCAAAAGTTTTAATTTCCATCTTAATTTCTTCATTGTCCCAGTGGTCAGTCAGAAGCATTCTGTTTAACTTCCATGTATTTGTGTAGTTTCTGAAGTTTCTTTTGGTATTGATTTCTAGCATTATTCCACTATTGTCTGAGAAGATACTTGATATGATTTAAATTATTAAAAAATTTGTTAAGACTTGTTTTATTACCTAATACATGGTCTATCTTGGGAAATGTTCTATCTGTTGATGGAAAGAATGTATATTCTATAGTTGTTGGGTAGACTGTTCTATAAATGTCCATTAAGTCCATTTGGTATAAAGTCTGATTTAAATCCAATGTTTCTGTGTTAATTTTCTGCCTTGATGATCTGTCTATTGCTGTTAATGAGGTGTGGAAGTTCCTCAGAATTATTGTACTGCTGTGTATCTCTTTCTTTAGGACTAGGAATATTTATTTTATGAATTTGTGTGTTATGATGCTGGCAGCATATATATTTAGGATTGTTCCTTTGCTGAATTGATACCTTTATCATTACATAATGACCTTTGCCTTTTATTATCATTTTGATTTAAAGTCTGCTTCATATAAGTATAGCTATTCTTGGTTGCTTTTGTGGAATAACTTTTATGACGTTTTTACTTTCAGTCTGTATCTGTCTCTATGGGTAAGGTGAGTTTCTTGCAGACAGCATATAGGTGGAGCTGGATCATGGTTTTCTTTAATTTTATTTATTTATTTATTTTTTACTTTAAGTCCTGGGGTACATGCGCAAAACGTGCAGGTTTGTTACATAGGTATACACATGCCATGGTGGTTTGCTGCACCCATCAACCCATCATCTACATTAGCTATTTCTCCTAATGCTATCCCTCCCCTAGCCCCTCACCTGCCAACAGGCCCTGGTGCGTGATGTTCCCCTCCCTGAGTCCATGTGTTCTCATTGGTAAACTTCCACTTGTGAGTGAGAACATGCGACATTTGGTTTTCTGTTCCAGTGTCAGTTTACTGAGAATGATGGTTTCCAGCTTCATCCATGTCCCTGCAACAGACATGAACTCATCCTTTTTTATGGCTGCATAGTATTCTGTGGGGTATATGTGCCACATTTTCTTTATCCAGTCTATAATTGATGGGCATTTGGGTTGGTTCCAAGTCTTTGCTATTGTGAATAGTGCTGCAATAAACATACATGTGCATGTGTCTTTATAGTAGCATGATTTATAATTCTTTGGGTATATATCCAGTAACAGGATTGCTGGGTCAAATGGTATTTCTGGTTCTAGATCCTTGAGGAATTGCCATACTGTCTTCCACAATGGTTGAACTAATTTACACTCCTACCAACAGTGCAAAAACGTTTTTATTTCTCCACATCCTCTTCAGCATCTGTTGTTTTAATGATCGCCATACTAACTGGCATGAGATGGTATCTCACTGTGGTTTTGATTTGCATTTTTCTAATGACCAGTGACGATGAGCTTTTTTTCATATGTTCATTGGCTAAATAAATGTCTTCTTTTGGGAAGTGTCTGTTCATATCCTTTGCCCACTTTTTGATGGTTTTTTTTTTTTTGTAAATTTGTTTAAGTTATTTGTAGCTTTTGGATATTAGCCCTTTGTCATATGGATAGATTGCAAAAATTTTCTCCCATTCTGTAGATTGCCTGTTCACTCTTATGACAATTTCTTTTGCTGTGCAGAAGTTCTTTAGTTTAATTAGATCCCATTTGTCAATGTTGGCTTTTGTTGCCATTGCTTTTGGTGTTTTAGTCATGAAGTCTTTGCCCATGTCTATGTCCTGAACGGTATTGCCTAGGTTTTCTTCTAGGGTTTTTATGGTTTTAGGTCTTACATTTAAGTCTTTAATCCATCCTGAGTTAATTTTTGTGTAAGATGTAAGGAAGGGATCCAGTTTCAGCTTTCTGCATATGTCCAGCCGGTTTTCCCAACACCATTTATTAAATAGGGAATCCTTTCCCCATTGCTTGTTTGTGTCAGGTTTGTGAAAGATCAGATGGTTGTAGATATGTGGTGTTATCTCTGAGGCCTCTGTTCTGCTCCATTGGTCTATATATCTGTTTTGGTACCAGTACCATGCTGTTTTTGTTACTGTAGCCTTGTAGTATAGTTTGAAGTCATGTTGCGTGATGCCTTCAGCTTTGTTATTTTTTTCCCTTATTTTTGTCTGAATCGATTATTTTAAAAGACCTGTCTTCAAGTTTTGAGATTCTTTCTTCACTTGGTCTAGTCTATTATTAAAGCTTTGAACATATTTTGTATTTCCTTCAATGATTTTTTGTTCCAGAATTTCTGCTTACTTTTTAAAAAAAATATTTATCTGCTGGGAAAAATTTTTATTCATGTCCTGAATTGATTTTCTGATTTCCTTGCATTGCTTTTCAGATTTCTCTTGTATCCCATTGAGCTTCTTTAAAATTAATATTTTGAATAGTTTTCTGGCATTTCAAGGGATTCTTTTTCATCGGAATCTGTTGCTGGGCAACTCTTTTAGTCCTTTGGTAATGTCATATTTCCCTGCTTTTTCATGTTTCCTATGTCTTCCTGTTGTTATCTGTGCATCTGGTGTAGCAATTGGTTGTTCCAATGTTTCAAAATTACTTTTGTAGGGGAGAATTTTTTCCTAAAAATGTGTTTGTGCTGTTGGTTAAGTAGGATATTTTGTTTTTGATTTTGGGTGCCTGTGATAGTGTGATCTTTGTATGTTTCTTTGGCAGTACACAATGTCAGTGGTCTTTATTATTTTCTTGGTGGTTTAGAGTACAGTTATTAGTTGAAGTCATGGCAAAGTTTTGCTGGGGCCTATGAACAACAACTGAGCTAGTCTTTGGGTTCCAGTTGTGGCATCAGTGGGGCAAACATGCCTTATTTTAGGCCCCAGAGCAGCTTACACTATTTCTGGTTTCAGTGTGTGGTGGAGGGCTGATTCTTGGGCCTGCTGGTAGCTTGCTTAGAAGCTATAGAGGGAGTAGGGAACCAGGTGTGGGCAGGCTCTGAGGCCCCTCAGCAGCTAGTCTTATGTGGGTGATGACAGTAGCAGTGATCGAGCAACCCACTGGGGCCCAAGCCTTCTGTGTTGGTGTTCCTGGTAGCTGCAATGAGTTGGGCTGGCTGGCTAGTCTTCATTCCTACTGCCACCTATAGCAGGGTGGTGGGTATTGTACTAAGTGTGTTTAGGAGAGCTTGGTCGTCCCTTCCCTTCCCCAGCTGGGTGGTGGCTGCAGTTGTGACATGTCAAACTCAGCCCAAGAGCAGACTACAGCTCAGTGTTAAACTCACAAAATGGTGCCAGCTGTGGGCTTGTGTCTAGAGGATGCCCCACCCCTCCAGCAACCCCCACACCCACAGTCAGATGAGCAGCAGGGGCATGAAGCTGTTAAGTGTGTGGCCCACTCAAGTCTCAGTATCACAGCAGCCTGTAGCAGGGTGGTGGGTACTGTCCTAAGTAAATATAGAGGAGCTTAGTTTCCTTGTGCCTCCTTAGCCAGGTAGTGGCTGCAGACACGCCAACTCAAACTTGGTCCAAGGGCAGGGCACAGCCCAGCATTAAACTTACAAAATGGTGCAAGCTTTGGGCTTGTGACCAAAGAGTGCAAGATCTCTTTCAGGGGGGGCAGCATAGGCAAGAAGTTGTAGAGAGTGTGGTCTGCTCTAGTCTTGGTTTCACAGCAGTCCAAAGCGGGTAGTGGGTATTGTCCTATGTGTGTGTAAGAGAACATGGTTTTCCTGACTCTCTTTGACCAGGTGATGGCTGCTTCAGCATTAAACTCTCAAAATGGCTCCTTGGGCCTCCAACCATGGAGAGCAGGGCCCTTCCCAGGTAAGCAGCATGAGCAAAAATCTGTGGAAAGTGCAGTATCCTCACATCTCAGTCTCACAGCAGCCCATTGCTGTGGGTATCATCCTAAATGTCCATAGCGGGGCCTGGTTTCCTTGACCCTCTCTGGCTGGGTGGCAGCTGCAGCTATATCAGCCCAATTCAACCTGAGGATGGGGCACAGCCCACTCTTAAATTCTCAAAACAGAACCTTGAGGCTGAAGCCAGAGAGGGTGGGGTCCCAGGCAAGCAGTGTAAAAAGCTGCAGGGAGTACAGTCCATTCATGTCTCAGTCCCAACAGCAGCTCACAGCAGCGTGGTAGGGACTTTTCCAAGGGTGCACAGGAATGCTCAGTACCCCCTCTCTCCTCTCTCTCCTTGGAGCAGTGCAGCAACAGCAGCCAGGTCTGTAGATCCCCAGTATCTAGACCCTTGAAATGGCGGCTGGCTGAGGCTGCTCTAGTCTTGCTTGCCTGTGAGATTCCATGTAGATTCCCTTTCTGGAGCAACATCTCTGTGCAATCTTTTGGAAGAACCAAGGCCCTAGTGGGTCAAGGGTTTCTCCTGTAGCCAAGATCATAAAAGCCACACCCTAGGGGTTTCTGTCTTACTGTTTTCTTGTGTCCAGGAGGTGTTCCTGGCTCTCAGTCAGTCCTCGGCTGGGCAATCTGCCTTGAAGCCTCTCCTTACTTCTCGTGTTTCCTGTCCCCTTTCTGGTGAATCATGGCATTCTCTCCTAGCCAATCTGTTTGAAATGTATCTACTTATATTCTGGTTCCTTTCTATGGAAGAGGCATATACTACCTGTGTTTAATCAGTCATCTTCTGATTTTTTTTTGTTTTTAAATCACTTAACCTAATAAAGGATCCTTATGTCACACTACTTAACTAGAATGATTTCCATTGCTCAATTTTGAAATTCAGATTTTGAAACTGTCTTCAAAACTATTTTTTTCTGGTAGTGTATTTTTTAGTTATTTCAATAAGTAGTGACACCAACCATTTTTAATACATAGTAGAATGTTTAAAAGCTAGCATTTTAATAAGGTACAGAAGGGCTGAAACTCTATAATACTGAATTAGGATAAGGCAGTGCTGAAGCAACCCTACATTCATAAGACTAATCCTACTATTTCTGATCTAGAAGTACCTTTGTCTCCAATGTGTAGAGAACAGTTTTGGTTTTAGACACACATAAAAGTCACTTAAGGCCAAAGCTGGTGACATCGGGGTTTAAAAAAACCTAAAGATAACAATTTTAATTAAGAAAACAATAGAAGTAAAGAAATCTGACAATCAAGAGATATTTTGTGTATCTCTTTAATTCCCAAATGGGGTTTTAAAAGCACATTGAGCTCCTGACTTTCAGTGGGCCATATGAGAATCTTCAGGTAGGTTGAAGGTGGAGTTGATATAATTCAAAATTGTAGTCAATATTATAATGTAATTTTTATTTGAAAATAAAACATCTGCATTATTGCCATAATGGAATAGAGAGAGGAGAGTAAAGGTTGTTAATTCTTCTTGGCAGGTAGAAATATTCAAGAGATCTAGTTAAGAAATTATATGCTTTTTTTTTTTTTGACAAAGTGTCACTCTGTCATGCAGGCTGAAGTGCAGTGGTGCAATCTCGGCTCACTGCAACCTCTGCCTCCTGGGTTGAAGCAATTCTCCTGCCTCAGCCTCCTGGGTAGCTGGGACTACAACTGTGCACCACCGCACCTGGCTAATATTTTGTATTTTTAGTAGAGAAGGGTTTTCATCATGTTATCCAGGCTGGTCTCCAACTTATGACCTTGGGCAATCTGCCCACCTTGGTCTTTCAAAATGCTGGGATTACAGGCTTCATACTTATATTTAATTGAGTGTCTAACATGTATTTGTTAAATATTTATAATGTGTATTGAGCATATAAAATAAATTTAAGCTGCTTTTCACATTGTATGCAATAAATATAATAAATTACTTATATTTTAGGTTGGTCACAGATTTTCTTAAAAACAATTGAAACCACTTAAACTTCTGCTTCAGATATAGAAAATCTCAAGAAAGCATCATTCCCAAATTGAAAGAGAGAACACACTGGATAATCTACAAAATTATGTATTTTTTAAAGTTTATCTTTTAAAAGAGATATGAGGTTGTGATGGAAACTAATAGATTGAAATTCAGAAAGTAATGAGCTCCTCCTAGGAAAGAAGAGATTCATGATTGCACCCATCCTTGTTAGAGCAATGGGAGGGGAAGGCAGCTGCCACAGGTGTGAAAAGAGAAGAAATGACCTTGTGTTGAGTTTTTAAAGGCTGAGTGTGGACAGATTTAGTCACTTAAAAGACCCAGAAGTCTTGGAGAAAATAAAAATACGCATAACTCTTCCAAGGACCTTCACTTAGTGCTTATGAGAGTAGAGAATTGAGAAAAACACATTCTAAGGTATAGTGACATCAGGCTTGCTTAAGTCTGAAGGAGAACTGAGAGAAACCCAGCATGCACTCCAGGCCATATGATGAGTACCAGATAGTGACTATTTGCACCTTGCATGAGAGAAGAAAAGAAAACTCTTCTGAGATGCAGGTGCATAGGGCCTGCTAATGGCTAAGAAGAGGGCAGAAAACCTGAGACAAATGCTCCAGGCACTCAGACTCCAAGCTCTAATAAAGGAAAGATTTGTTTCTGCCATCACATCATTTGAAGACTGAGTGAAATGAATCTATAAATCAACAACAGGAATCTAGACACATGATGTTCAACAGACTAGATTGAATCTATAAATCAACAACAAGAATCTAGACACACGATGTTCAACAGACTGGATTGTGTTCAACAGACTAGACTGATGTTCAACAGACTAGACAGACTAGATAGTGGCCAGACAGGAGACATGCACCCTTTTGGGGCATAAATATAATTTATGTCAGTCACCACTCTTCTTTAAACCACTATGTCTTATATTCAATTAAAATTTATGAGAAACATGTTGAAGCAAGAAAATGTGTCCCATTATCTAAATATCAAATAGTCAATGGTCATTAGAATCAAACTAAGGGATAACACTGATGTTGAAATTATTAAGCAGCATTTTAAAAATAACTGTGAAAATTCTAGTGAAAAAGATAGGTTGAAAGCAAAGGCTGAATAAATGATATACCATGCAAACACTAAGCATAAGAAAGTATTAAAAAAGCTGGTAGGGGTATATTATTATAAGAAGAAGTAAATATCCAAAACAATAGTATTACAAGAAATAGCAAGGGACATTTTATAGTAATAAAGGGATTAACTCATTAAGAACAGTAAATGTCTATACCTAATAACAAAGCACTCAAATACCTAAAACAAAAACTGACAGAAAGAAAGAAAGAAAGAAGGAAATCTGCAATCATAGCTAGAGACATTAAACCTTCTTCTCAGTATATAATAAGGTTATATATTAAAAAATCACCAGCCGGGCACGGTGGCTCATCCCTGTAATCCCAGCACTTTGGGAGGCCGAGGTGGGCAGATCATTTGAGGTCAGGAGTTCAAGACCAGCCTGACCAACATGGTAAAACCCCATCTCTACTGAAAATACAAAAAAAAAAAATTAGCTGGGTGTGGTGGCTGTTACTTGGGAGGCTGAAGCCGGAGAATCGCTTGAACCTGGGAGGCCGAGGTTGCATTGAGCCGAGATCGCACCACTGCACTCCAGCTTGGGTGACATAGCAAGACTCCATCTAAAAAAAAATAAAATCACCAAAAATACAGAATATTTGAGCAATACCACCTAATTGATATGGAAAACTTTACATAAAACAATAGTAGAAATGAATATGAGATATCCACCAAAATAGACCATATGCTGGCACATAAAACAAGTCTCAACAAATTTCAGAAGATCTTAATTATGAAGTTTATATTTTCTTATCACAACAATATTAAATTATATATCAATGTGAATAAGATATATAGAAAATATCCATATACTTGAAAAGTAAATATTATTTAATTATATTAAATTAAAAAAATTAAAAAACACCTTGAACTGAATATATTGTAAACACAATATATCAAAATTCGGCAATGCAGGTAAAGTAACTCTTAGAGGAAAATGTATAGCATTATTATATTAGTTAAAAGGGAGAGGGGCAAAATTAAGACTATATATTTATTCCTTAAGAAGCTAGGGAGGCAAAAAGAACAAATTAAATCCAAAGAAGTATGACAAACAAGCAAAAGTAAGAACAGGAATCTATATAATGGAAACCAGAAATACATTAGAAAAACTTAATTTAAATTTAAAATAATTGGGAAATTTGATAAATTCCTAGCAAGAACAGTGAAGGAAATGAGTAACACATATAACTTATGTAAAAAATGAAAAAGCAGACTTCACTACAGATACTACAGACATTTAAATGACAATAAGTTTTAACTGTGTACAAATTTATTTTAATAAATTTGATCACTTAGAAGAAATTGACAAATTCCTTTAAAAACACATCTTAACATAATTCATACAATAAGAAATTAAAAATATGATTGTTTTAACTTTTAAGTTCAGGGGGACATGTGCAGATTTGTTACATAGGTAAACTTGTGTCATGGGGGTTTGTCCTATGGATTATTTCATCACCCAGGTATTAAGCCTGGTGCCCATTAGTTATTTTTCCTGATCCTCTCCCTCTTTCCACCCTCCAACCTCTAATAGTCTACAGTGTATGTTATTCCCCTGTATGTGTCCATGTGTCCATGTGTTCTCATCATTTGGCTCCCACTTACAAATGAGAACCTGTGGTATTTGGTTTTGTGTTCCTGTATTAATTTGCTAAGGATAATGGCCTCCAGCTCTATCCATGTCCCTGCAAAGGACATGATTGTGTTCTTTTTTATGGCTGCATAGTATTCCATGGTGTATATGTACCACATTTTGTTTATTCAGTCTCTCATTGATGGACATTTAGGTTGATTCCATGTCTTTGTTATTGTGAATAGTGTTGCAATGAACATACGGGCGCATGTGTCTTTATAATACAACAATTTATATTCCCTTGGAAATATACCCAGTAATGGATTTGCTGGGGAGATCTCACACCAGTCAGAATGGCTATTATTAAAATGTCAAAAAATAATAGATGTTGGTAAGGTTGTGGAGAGAAAGGAATGCTTATACACTGTTGGTGGGAGTATAAATTATTTCAACTATTGTGGAAGAGAGTGTAGAAATTCCTCAAAAACAAAAAATCTGATATTCTTTAAATAAATTAAATTCTTAATTTAAAACTTTTCCAAAAGAAAACCCTAGACCCCAATAGCTTTATTATGGAATTCTATCAATTTTAAGGGAGAAATAATACCAATCCTATATAAATTATTTCTGAGAAGATAATACTTATTAACTCCTTTTATTACACTGGTATAACCAAATCCAAAATCAAGTAGAGAAACTGGAAGAAAAGAAAATTACAGACCAATGTCCCTCATTATTAAAGACATGAAAAATAAGATATTAGCAAGGACAATCTAGCAAGATATAAAAACATAGTATATTAAGGAATTTATTCCATAAATGACAAACTCTCTCTACAACTAGGAATAAAATAAAGCTTTCTCAATCTTATAAAGGACATTTAAGAACAACTTACAATTAACCTTGTATGGAATAGTGAACTATTGAGTATCTTCCTCCTGAGATAGAAACAAGACAAGAGTATCTGCCATTACAACCTTTATTCAAGATCATACTGGATACATAAGTCAAGAAAAAGAGCTAAAAGACATAAAGAAAGTCAAGAAGAAACATAAGATTCTGGTGGATGACAGAATGTAGTTGTAGAAAATCCCAAGAATTTTGTTATAAAATGAATAATAAAATAAATAATTAAACAAGTAGGCTTAACAATATTATAAAACAAAAACAATACGCAAAAATCAATTGTGTTTCTACACATTCTTACTGAACAACTTGAAATTTCTTAAAATAGCATTTACAATAACAAAAATATAAAATATTTAATAATGCATTTAAGAGATGTGTAAGTTCTCTTTGCTGAAAAATATAAGACATTACTGAAAGCAACTTTCTAAGGCCTAAATAAATGGAAAGGTATGCCGTGTTTCTGCTTGGCACATTCAATACTGCTAAAAAGTCAATTTTCCCCAAACTGAGCTGCAGAGTCAGTACAATCACAATCAAATTCTCAGAAAGTTTTTTTAATGGCATTTTGCAAGGTTATTATAATATTTAAAGGAAAATGCAAATGGCCTAACATTGCCTGAAAGTATTGAAAGGTAAGAACTAATTTGGAGAAGGTACACTACCTAACTCCAAGACAATATAAATCTAAATAATTTAGACTGTGAGGCATTGGCTAATGGTAGATAAATAGATCATTGAAGCAGGATAGACAGTGATGAAATAGACTGGGAAAGGACCTGTGGAAAATTTCTGGCATTGTGGAAATGTTTTAAGTCTTGATAAGGGTTTGGGTTGCTCCTTTATATACATCTGTCAAAACTGATCTAGCTGTGTAATTACATCTGCTCTTCACTGAATCTAAATCACCCTTTAATATAAAAATTAAACTTTGGTTTTTCTAACAATTAATATTGAATCTCAAAACATGCACTCTTTAAGATCTCATTTTTCATCTGTAACTTGAATTAACAAACATCATGCCTCAGCATGGTAGAAATGAGGACACTGTCAAAGCTGGGTTATTTGAAGCCATTCTCTAGTGCCATAAGTTGATATAGGGTATTATGATAAAGTGATGGGTATAATCGAAATCAAATTTCAGGTATTGATTTTCAGACATACCTAAGTGTCTAGAACTTTCCACATCCACTAGTTAACATACACATTTATTGATCTACAAGTGAGAAAGTGACAGCTTCTTGAAGATCTTTGCAAAAAAAAAGATGATCAATTCAAATATAGATTCCTGTACTGTATATTACAAAATATAGAATCAAAGTTTCTCAATATGTTTGTTTATAAACATTGAGAAGTGAATGTTACATTTTTATTTGAATAAAAATCACAAAGCTTATTTTTGATTATTTTACTGACCATAATTTTTTCCATAAAGTGTAATTCATTGTAGTACATAAGAGTAAATGGTGATAAGACATACCAGCAATCTCTAAAGCCCGTCAAAGTTTAATATAGTTCTCTTAATCGTTAGACAAAAATCACACCATTTAAGAAATTCTTACAAAACCTTGCATTCTGAGTACTTTGCTAAAATACTACTTGGAGAGGAAATTAAAATGATATTTTAGAATATTTCCTTACCCAAATACATAGTCAAAGCTTAACAGAAGCTTAACTGAGAATATTAAATTCTCAGTTTTCCAAAGATCAAATTTTTGTCCTCATGTCCTACTGGTCATCATAAAAGAAACTTATGCTTAACTTTTACTTATGCCAATTTGTTCCTAAAACTATCATAGAGAAAAAAAATTACGCGGCGTTTTAAACACCTGGAGCTCTTCACTAAGGTTGAAGCTACATCAACATTCTTCACTGTGAATAAGCTGAAATGTGGCTGTAGCAGGGGGTGGAAGGGACAGTAATTAGAAGAAGCAATGTAATATTGGTCAAGCAACTCTCTGTTTTATGATTTAGAGATGCATTGAGTTGTTCATCTCTGATCAGTGCCCTCCAAAACTATGTTCATCCATCTACGAAATGGTCTTAACCTCATCATGAAGGAACCAGACACTGCTAAAATCATCTGTTATACATTATATCATTTTCTTTTCCTTGTATGGATATGATTACTGGCCATGAAGCACTTTTGGTTCATACTGAGAATTCTCGCTTATAAGAGGAAATTATCCTTGGCCAGATTTATGCACTAACATTGTAATATTCCCAATTTTAGTGCAACATGGCTAACACAAATTTTTAAATCTTTAAAAAAGAAAAAAATCACTGGCTATTGGCATATCTAGCAGACAGATTTGAGGTTTTGAAAACATTGTGTTTCCATGGGGCTGATACCAACATTATTCTTCGTTATATACTTCAAAAATTTATAACAATATAATTTTTGATACTGTAAATTAGTGACAAAATATTATTGTCAGTTTCTCAACTCGATAAAGTTCACAAGACCCAGTGTCTTGAACATAATTTGACTTAAAAAATACATTGTTTTAAAAAATATATGACTGTTAAAATTAACCATGTTAATTTTCAGATCATCTATATTCTGATTTTTTTTAACTGATTTGTGTAGTTGATTGGCTCACCGTATCCATTCACCATTTTCCTACCAACTGATTTTCCATGGGGAATTCACCTTGCTACCATTCTCCTTTAAGATTTTTTGGGTGAGCTTGACGTTACTCCTATCACCATGGTAAGACGTGGGTCCTGAATGGCTCAGGCTTATGAAAGAATGAGCCCTTGCGGTTATGCGGCAGCTACCTGAAGAGATCCCTGATTGTTGCTTGATATTTGTGGAAAGAATCTGAGACCTGTGACAACTGCACTTGTCTTTTGACTATGAGGAAAGAGCCTGGAACTGGTTGAAGAACCACCATTTATAGCCTTAAGATGAAACTTTATTCAACATGAAAGACAATAGAAAAATAGTGAGAAACATCCTGTAATTCAGCCCTGCTGCTGAGTTTTTAAAAACTTTTCATCTTCATACTTTTAATTTCAAGGACTTAATTGCTTCCTTTTTCATAGCTGCATGTTTTTATTTTATGGGTATTTTATTCCTTTGAATTTTTCTGAGGTTATTAACATTACTCATTTTAAAGTTTTCTTATACTTTTGGCATCAACATTTTCACTAGTGAGTAGTTGGTTTGTTCAGAATGGTGTTGATTTTCCTCAAATTCTTGGTGATCTTTAGTAGAGTCATATTTATAATGCTGTTAACTGCATACAATCTTTCTAACATAAATGAAAACCTCTACTCCCCTGATAAGGAATGTCACAGAAAGTGCTGTCTCCAGTTTGTGGGTACCAAAAATGTTGCTGGTTTTTTGATGCCCAGAGAGTTTGCCCTCTTGCTGGTGCCTTGCTCATCCTGGTGATTGCCTGCTTTTCTTCTGATTCTCACTTTTAATTCTGAGAATGTATTTCAGCCAATGTTACTATTTAGAGAGCTCTAGTCATGGTTTACTTTTGGCAGCAAACATTGGAACCAGAAACTAAGATTGGGAAGACTAAAAAAATTCTAGTCTTTAAATTAATTATGATCTACTGGTAGATGGCTCACTGCTACTTCAAGATCCATGATTCTTGATCTTGAGGTTACTCTTTGGTTCTACTGGAAAATTCACTTTTTGCAGAGAGCCTGTCTTTCTCTTCAACTATGTTGGGTTTCATGGTTGATCTGTTACCACTTGTTTTCTACTTTCAAGGACTTTTTCCATTTTAGGTTTCTTGACAGCAGCATTTCTGTATTACCACAGATTTATTCTTCTGTCATTTTAATGGATTTTGTCTAAAGAAGCAAGGTAAAGGTTTATGCTTAGACATTGTAGAATGGAAAATCTTTCAAATAGTCTATTCACTACTATTGTCATGAATCATTTTTAGTATTCTTTTCTACTAGAAAAGTATGATCTTAAATTCTAGTGATTTCTTACATCTATTAGAAAATTTTAAAAACATAATAACTAGCAGTTTTCCAACTTATTGCTAATAGAGTTTGAATCTCTTGATCTACTTCTTGCTATTGAGTGACTTACAAGTAAAACTTCAGTATGGATATAGGTATTCCCCATGGGTTCAGCCTATAGGCAATAAGCAAGCTAGATAGTCATTTTCATGCTAACAGTGGTTGACAATCTTCTTTGCCCAGGGCTTTCCAGGATTTCAAATTAGGGGTCCAAGAAAGGAAGGGAATCAAAACTGGAAACTGTCAGGCCCACCCTCCACCTCTTTCTAAATTACAATGAAACATGGGGAGAAGATTACGGTACTGACTGTGAGTGTGAAAGAGAAGTGTGAATTTCTTCTCTTTTGGCTCATGAATCATAACCTCCTCCCTGCTCAGTAGGTCTTAAGTGAAGGGTGCATTTACTGCCTTATCATTAAATGGTGGACATTTCTGCTCTAAGAAGTTACAACAGAAAATATTTTGCTTAAAAATAGACCATCTCAAGGCATGTCAATGTTAATTTCCTCCATCAATTAGGCTTTCTATCTCTTAGGATAAAAAGAAAGTAAATATTGCCTTACTGAAAATGGAGCAAGCTTTCATTTATAGTCGGATGATTAACTTCCAACATGACTAATGCATGAAAAGTGGAAGACCTAATGCTGTTTTGGCTATGTTAGAGCATTTCAGTTTATGAGAGGGAAAGAAGCAGAATAAACTGACATTATGTGGTTAGTGATTTCCATGAATATCACTGTGTAATAAGGACCAAGAGATAAATGAAATCTATGTGCATTTATGCATTCAAAATTATTATCTTTTTCCTAACAGAGGCAACTGCTTTTATGAGATGACCACTAGTTTTAACAGTAAGCCAATCTAACTTGGAATATTATCCTATCTAATTTGTTAGTTTGCCAGTGGGGAGAAGGTTAATTGAGGGTAGCATTGTAAAAATATAATATTCTAATGTGGAATTTGTTTTACAAAAGTAAATTCACTATGATAATATACTGCCCCCAAAAACAGTAATATGAGATCTCAAGGGTTTAATATGGTGTAAAATATTTCAGTTAAGAGGAATACAATTGAGATGATTCTTCTCTAATTAGAATTGGTAATTTTTCAAAATTATTCTATACCTGATGATATATTTAAGACAAAAGACATTGAAATTTGGTGATTGTGGCTAGTTAGTTTGGTCTAAGTTAAGGACAAGTATGCAGATTTGATTCTTCGGCAGACATCTTAATTGATTACTGATTTACAACAACATATTGTCATCAAGCTGCAAATGAGTATTCTCAGAAACATAGGCTCTTGATCACAAAGTGGTCCAGAAGAAGGTTTAATTCTGATCTTATCAGTACAAATCACTAAAAGCATGAGGTTTTAGTGAGGGTTTGGGAATACTGCAGTATTGTGTTTTCCACAGGTCAGCATACTAAAATGAGTTCTATGGGGAAGGTTTACATATGTACCCCTATTTCCACAATTGTGACTTTAGTATTTTAGAGAAAATGAAACAAAGGTGTACATTAAAAAAAAATACTAAACTGGATAGCAGTGGAAGTGACTGGACACTTAGCAATTTGTTTTTAATTTGTTTTGCAGCTTTAATTTATTCAACAGTTGATGAGGGATCCACCAGTCCAACTCTTAAATTTATTAATTCTGATCTTCTGGGAGAACTCACAGTTTTAGACAAGTGGAAAAAAACTTGAGGATAAAACATAGGAAATAAATTCAAATGGATACCATGACAGCCGTTAGTGTCTAATATGGATTGACAGAATTAGAGTGTTCTCTGTTAGACAAGTTCTCATTGATTACTTCTCAAGGTCACTTGACACTTCTGCTTAGGTAGACAGGTAAATAGAGATCTAAGTAAAAATGACAATATGATTCAAATAAAAGTGGCACTTCTTTAAAAGAGAAGGTATAGAGCTGGGGATTACAATAATTCAGGAGGAAAAGATATGGAGACCTTTTAGCTACTGACAAAGCTGGGCATAATCTGATTATTAACACACAGAAAGAAACTTCTTTCTCCTGTGGTGTTATGCAAAAGATTTTTTTATTCATTAATATGTGTCTTAAATATAGGGTCATGTGTCACTTAATGGTGGAGATACATTCTGAGAAATGTGTCATTAGGTGATTTTGTTGTTGTGGAAACATCATAGACTGTATTTACATAAATGTGGATACTACAGCCTACTACATACCTAAGCTATAAAGTATAGCCTATTGCTCCTAGGCTACAAACATGTACAGCATGTTATTGTGCTGAATGCTGTAGGCGATTGCAATACAATGGTAAGCATTTCTGTACCAAAACATATCTAAACATGGAAAAGGTACAGTAAAAATATGCTATAAAAATTTTAAAATGGTACACCTATATAGAGCACTTACCATGGATGGAGCTTGCAGAACTGGATGTTGTTCTGGGTGACTCAGTGAGTGAGTTATGAGTAAATGTGAAGGCCGAGGACAATGCTGTTACTGCAGACTTTATAAACACTGTGTACTTAGGATACACTACATGTATTTACAAATTCTTTCTTCAATAATAAACTTGGCTTACTGTAACTTTTTTACTTAATAAACTTTTAAATTTTTAAACTTTTTAAATCTTTTATAACAATAAACAAAAACATATTGTATAGTTATACAAAATTGCTTTTCTTTATGTCCTTATTCTGAAGTTTTTTCCTGTTTTTGTTTTAATTTTTTTTTACTTTTTGAATATTTTTGTTAAAAATGAAGACACAAATACACACATTATCCTAAGCCTATACAGGGTGAGAATCATCAAGATAGCACTAACCAGCAGGAATTTTTCAGCTCCCTTATAATTTTGTGAGGGCACTGTTGTCTACACATTCTGTTGTTGACCAGAATGTTGCTATGCAGCACATGACTGCATTTAAGTTTTAAAGTAAACTACAATAGCACAGAAATAACACAGCTCTTATTGAATTCATTTTTCCTTCCAATTTTTGTTGAAGTGCTTACGCTTATTACTAATTTCAATCATATTTGAGTTTGTATTCTTTATTATTTCAAAAGTATTTTCCATCTCTGTTTTTCTATTTTTATTTTTGTGGATACATAGTAGTTATATATATTTGTGGGTTACACGAGATATTTTGATACAGGCATGGAATGTGTAATAATCACATCAGGGTAAATGGGGTATCCACAACCTCAAATATTTATCCTTTGTGTTACAAACAATCCAATTATACTCTTTTGTTATTAGAAAATGTACAATTAATTTTTGTTTACTATAGTCAGACTGATGTGCTCACATATACTAATTCTTATTCATTCTTTCTATTTTCTTGTACCCATTAACTATCCCGTCTTCTCCCCTCCCCATCCCACTTTATTTCCCAGCTTTTGGTAACCATCCTTCTACTCTATCTCCTTGAGTTCAATTATTTTAATTTTTAGCTTCCACAAACAAGTGAGAACACATGAAGTCTGTCTTTCTGAGCCAGGCTTATTTCATGTAACAAAATGACCTCCAGGTTAATCCATGTTTCTGCAAATGACAGGATCTCATTGTTTTTATGGCTGAATAGCATTCCAGTTGTGTATGTGTACCACGTTTTCCTTACTCATTCATCTATTGATGAGCACTCAGGTTGCTTCCAAGTCTTGGCTATTATGAAAGTGCTTCAATAAACATGGAAGTGCATTTATTTCTTCAATATATTGGCTTCCTTTCATTTGAAGATATACCTAATAGTGGGATTGCAGAATCTTATGGTAGCTCTATTTTCAGTTTTTTGAGGAATCTCCAAAAAACTGCCACTCCTTAGTGGCAGTACTAATTTACATTCCCACAACAGTGTATGAGGGTTCCCGTTACTCCACATCCTCGCCAGCATATGGTATTGCCTAACCTCTGGGTAAAAGCCATTTTAACTGGGGTGGAATAATATCATCATAGCTTTGATTTGCATTTCTCTGATGATCAGTGATGCTGAGCACCTTTTCATATGCCTGTTTGCCATTTGCATGACTTCTTTTCAGAAATGTCTATTCAGATCTTTTGTCTATTTTAAAATTGGATTATTAGATTTTTTTTCCTGTAGAGTTGTTTAAATTTCTTATATATTCTGGTTTTTCATCACTTGTCAGATGGTAGTTGGAAAATATAGGTTGCCTCTTCACTGTGTTGATTGTTTTTCTTTGCTGTGAAGAAGCTTTTTTTTTTTTTTTTGCTTATTTATTTATTTAACTTTTAAGTTCAGGGGTACAGGTGCAGGTTTGTTACAAAGGTAAACTTAGGGGTTTGTTGTTCAGATTATTTCATCACCTCTATATTAAGCCTGGTAGCCATTTTTCCTGATCCTCTCCCTCCTCTCACCCTTCACCATCTGATAGGCCCCAGTGTGTGTTGCTCCCCTCTACGTGTCCATGTGTTCTCATCATTTAGCTCCCATTTATAAGCCAAACCATGCAGTATTTGGTATTCTGTTCCTTTGTTACTTTGCTAAGGATAATGGCCTTCAGTTCCATCCATGTCCCTGCAAAGGACATGATCTTTTTTTATGGGGGCATAGTATTCCATGGTGTATACAGACAACCTACAGAATGGGAGAAAATTCTTGCCAACTATTTATCCAACAAAGGTCTAATATACAGCATCTATAAGGAACGTAAATTTACAAAAAAAAAAACACCCACACAAACAATCTTATAAAAAGTGGGCAAAGGACGTGAACAGACACTTTTCAAAAGAAGACATACATGCGGCCAACCATCATGAAAAGAAAGGTCAACATCACTGAGCATTAGAGAAATGCCAATCAAAACCACAATGAGATACCATCTCACACCAGTCAGAATGGTTCTTATTAAAAAGTCAAAAAATAACAGATGCTGATGAGGTTGTGGAGAAAAAGGAACACTTATATGCTGTTGATAGGAGTGTAAATTGATTCAACCATTGCAGAAGACAGTGTGGTGATTCCTCAAAGACCTAAAGACAGAAATATCACTCAACACAGCAATTCCATTACTAGGTATACACCCAAAGGAATATAAATCATTCTATTATAAAGACACATGTACACATATGTTCACTGCAATGCTATTCACAATAGCAAACACATGAAATCAACCTAAATGCCCATCAGTGATAGACTAGGTAAAGAAAATGTGGTACATATACACCATGGAATACTATGCAGAAGTTTTTTAACTTAATGTAATCCCATTTGTCCCTTTTTGCTTTGATTGCCTGTACTTGTGGGATATTACTCAAGAAACCTTTGCCCAGACTAATGTCCTGGAGAGTTTCCCCAGCGTTTTCTTGTAGTAGTTTCATAGTTTGGGGTCTTAGATTTGTCTTTAATTTGTTTTAATTTTATTTTTGTACATGATGAGAGATCAGGGTCTAATTTCATTCTTCTGCATATAGATATCCAGTTTTCCCAGTACCATTTATTGAAGAGACTGTCAACAAAGTGAAAAGACAATCTACAGAATAAGAGAAAATATTTCAAAACTATTTATACATCAGGGGTAAATATCCAGAATATATAAGAAACTCAAACATTTCAACAGAAAAAAATCAATTAAAAAATGAGCAAATGATCAAAACAGACATTTCCCAAAAGAAAACAGACAAATGGCCAGTAAATATGTTTAAAAAGTGCTCAACATCAATAATCATCAGGGAAATGCTAATCAAAACCACAATGAGATATTATCTCACCCCAGATAGAATGGCTACTATAAAAAGTCAAAAATTAACAAATGCTGGCAAGATTGCAGTGAAAAGGGAACTCTTATATAATGTTGGTGGGAATATAAACTAGTGTAGCCATTATGAAGGTTCCTCAGAAAACTTCAAATAGAATTATCATATGATCCAGCAATTATGCTACTGGATATTATCCAAAGGAAAGGATATCAGTATACCAAGGAAACCAATATACCAAAGAGATATCTAAACCACCATGTTTATTGCAGCACTATTTACCAAAGCCAAGATATAGAATCAACCCAAGTGTCCAACATGAGATTAATGGATAAAGAAAGTGTTGTGTATATACACAATAAAATAATCTTCAGCCATAAAAATGATATCCTGTCATTCATGGCAATATGGATGAGCCTAAAGGACATTATGTTAAGTGAAATCAGTCAGAAACAGAAAGTTAAAGACCATACGTTCTCATTCACATGCAATAGCTAAAAAGGTTGATCTCACAGAAGTAAAGAGTAAAACAGGTTACTAGAGACTGGGAATGGTAAGCAGAAAGTAGGAAACAGGGATATATTTGTTGAAAGATACAACTTTACAGCTAAATAGGAAGAATAAATTCTAGTGTTCTCAAGCATTGTAGGATGACTGTAGTTAATATTAACATATCATGTATTTTCAGATAGCTAGAAGCAAGGATATTGAATGTTCCCAACACAAAGGAATAAGTGTTTGAGATGATGGATATGTTAATTACCTTGGTCTTATCACTATATATCAAATATATCAAAACATCACTATGTACCCCATAATGTGTATAATTATTATTTGTCAATTTAAAAAGTAAATTTTTTAAAAATAATAATTTCATTGTAAGAGCTTTGGTAATACTATGAGAAATAAGGAAGATGATTCCTGTGTAAACTTTATTTTTAAGTTATTTTTCCCATTCAATTCTTAAATAATATTTTTAATAATATTATCACCTAAAATGATAAAATGTATAAAGGTAGTGATAATTATAAAACACAGGAATATATAATATTACTATAGTGTTATGAATAAAGGACCATGACAATTTAGATATCAGAAATTATATTTTCAACTACAGGGAGTTAGGGTTCTTTGAACAGATGCCATTTGAACTGAAATTTGAAAAGTGAGTAGAATTTAGCAACACAGACATAAAGTATCTACCAATTCAGATGATTAGTGAGTACTACCTATGTGTTACAGGATGCTCAAGAGGTCTTTTCCTGTTATCCTGGAATTGCAGGTAAGTCCCAAAGTAAGAAAAAGAACTGGACATTCTGAAGAAGCCCACCAACCAGACACTCCCTGAAAAGCTTAGTAAGGCAGCAGAGCCAGTCATCAACTTTCATTGCCATCCTGTGCCACTCTTCTTCCTTTTCACAGCCACATACAGGGAGAGGAATGCAAAAGTAAAGGGAGGGTTTTGGGTAGGAAGTGAGGGGTGTTCTCCCTCCAAGATATGTAAAAAAAATAGCTTCACAGAAAAATCACTCAGAGTTGAGAATATATGCAAGAAGGGACAATTGGCTTCTTATCTCCTTGTTAGGTGTATGTATAGGCACATTTCCAGATCTGCTCCTCTGTCCATGTAGTCTTAAAGAGAACTGGAAAGAGATGGCAGGGTTTAGAAAAAATATGAGAAACAGCCTACTCTTTTATGTTTGGCCATGGAAATTTCCCCTTCAGCAAGAAACTACCAGGGCAAATGGAAGGCTTACCCAAAAAGGCTGTTCAACATGCATGACAATTCAGGCAGTAAGAGGCTGTGGGAACAATCATGGACGTCAAGAATTAAGGCAAGGGAGGGACTAGAAGAGGTTTAGCCAGAACAAGATCTCCCATGACAGTAAATCATGCAATAGCAAGGCCCCTCCAAAGAACCTACACGTGCATCCCACAAGAGAATCAACATTTTGGTACCAGCCACACACAAAACACTGATGCTCCATCAGTGTTAGTCAAAAAAGTAGCAACAACCGATAAGCAGTAGCTGTGGATTCATTTAGTTAAGAAAAGAGATGTTTGTCCCTCAAACCTCCCCAAAAACTAGGGAAGCTAGAAAGGAAACACAGAGAGACATAGTAAGAACAACCACATTCAATTATCCATTCCAATCCCCTCCAGTCAAGAGTCTAATCAATGATGGGGGAAGAGGAGAGCTTTGAGGTATATGAGAGATTTGATTTTTAAACTGGATTAGACTTTTTACTAATTAAAAAGAGCAGGGAATGTTTGGCTTCTGTTCACACGTCCAGAAAAAGAAAAGGGGGAATTTGATATAATCATTTATTTAAAGCAACTACATTTTTTAAAGTCTATGTTTTATTTCTCAACAAATCAAGATCCTTTCTTTTACTTTTTTTTTGTGAAAAGAAATGTACATGAAGTCACATTTCTTTATACTGGAGGTAAAAAAAATGAAGTCACGGAGGTAAAAAATGAAGTTAAGGAAAATTAATGATAGGACTTTCAAGCCAGATAATGCTGATGAAAAAGATGATTATATTAATAGCAATAGCTAACTTTATTATTTATTATATGTCAAGCAGTGCTCTAAAAGCTGTACCTGTTGTTATGGCTTGAATATTTGTCCCCTCTAAATCTCATGTTGAAATGTGATCCCCAGTGATGGAGATGGGGCCTGGTGGGAGGTGTTTGGGTCATAGGGACAGATCCCTCATGAATGAGTTTGTGCCCTCCCTGTGGTAGTAAGTGAGTTTTCTGCTACTGCAAGATCTGATTTTTAGAAAGAGTCTGGTACCTCCTCCCCTCCCTCTCTCTCTCTCTTGCTCCCTCTCTTGCCATGTAACACACCAGCTCTGCCTTTGCCTTCTGACATGAGTAGAAGTTTCCTGAGACCTCACCAGAAGCTGAGCAGATGTTGGTGCCATGCTTGTGCAATGTACAGAACTTTGAGCCAAATAAACCTATTTTCTTGATAAATTACCCAGCCTCAGGTATTCCTTTATAGCAAAGCAAAATGAACTAATGTACTTGTATCCTCTCATTTAATTCTTGAATCAGCTCAAAGAGGCATCTCAATCAAATGAAACTGATCCCATTTTACAGATGTGAAAACTGAGGCTCAAGGAGGTTAAGTAACTTGCTCAAGGAGATAAACTTAGGAAGTGACAGAACCGTAGCCAGACATGCTAATCCCATAGCCCTTGCTCTAAACCATTAAGTTTTGCTGTCAGTGAAGTCTGCTTTATGTTCACTACTTTTACTGAACTCTATACTACTTCAAAGATCTATCTTCAGTTCCACATTCTCCACAAAACCACTCGTTTATTCTCCATAGTCAATTTATCTTTGAATTTCCACTCCGTTTGAATTCTTAAAGTACATTCTAGCATTAGGGATAATTTCATTTACTTTTTTGTACCCCTACCCCCATCCCAGACTTCCCTATTCTTCCTGACCCTACAACTGCCGTGAAAATCATGCAATGCATCACAAAGAGGATAGACAAGCATAACTCATAGATGTTTTCTGATTTTCCTTAACCTATTATTTTGTAGGCTGCTGTAATAGAAATCTGACAGAAAAAGGTCTGTAAATTCCTGGAAGTTTCAATACTTTTCCTACTACCTAGTCTCAATTAACACAATTTAAATGCCATTTAAATGGCAGCTAGTGCTCTCGTTTCAATCATTTAATACTTTTGTAAATCTATTTTTGAACTCATTTTATGCCTAATAATCATTCTATTCAAGTACCGCTAAGCCATGTTGCATGACACCCTGGCTCTGCTGGAGAGCTGCTTCCTTTGAAAAACGGTTGACGAGTACCAAATTTATTCTGCGTAAATTGTTTTTATAGCAGCCTGATGTTCTTCAATCTTTTCTTAAATTGAACAGTGGTAAGATACAATGTAAACTGCCTTGCAGCTACATTGGATTTGCCATGCTGGCTCTCCACACTTGGAATTAGATTGATGTTTCATTTTACACAAAGGATATTTTAAGTAGCTCTGAGTACACCTCCATACTACTCACAAAGCATACTTCCTCATTATTTCAATATTTCTTCAGTTAAAAAAAGACAGACAGCAACTTGATTACTCCTTTGGGTTCGAAGAACAACTCATATTTTCAATGAGCACTCTAAACAACGGGTTTTCACAGACCGTACTTCAAAATCCACAGCTATGGCAGGGATCCCTGTGAGCTCATTAGACGGTTGTTAAATGATAAAGTTGAAATATGAATCTTTAAAAGAGGACCCCAATTTATGGGTGTATTTTATCAAAATAAAATATGCTGAAGGAGGGAAATATATTCATGAAAACACTTTTTCTCTGAGATATTTTTCAAGGCAGCAGCTTTTTAAGCCCAGTTTGCCAATTGTCATCAATTCATCTTCTTAAGCACATAATTCAATCTATTCAATGTTGTACTATGGCAGTGTTGATGAGCTCTTAATTCTCCCCTATTTATTATAGTAAATGTAGCACTGACCTTAATAAGGCATGTATTAAGACAAAAATGTCAGTGCCATATTTTAAAAGACAGTTTCAAGTGCAGAAGTTCCAAAGGTCAACATGATATTTGGAAGTGGGTCATTCAAACACATATTAAGTTTGGAAAGAATGTAAGTGAAATCACTTGATAATTTGATAGATTTTTTATTTTTAAACAGGAGATGCAGGAACAGCTAAAGTTTAGAAACTGTAGAGATGATCTGATTTTACTTTATTTGACTGTCGTGAATCTCTTTCAATTACCAAAATTACTTTCTCATGTAAATAGTTATTTAAGGTTGGAGAGTGGGAAATATAGTCAGTCAACTGATGCTGGCCCTCACAATGAATATATTTTAAGTAAATTGTTGACTAAAAAGCTTATTGTCTGAGAGGAGTGCTGTATACATGGTCGGCTCTGAAAATTTTGTCGTTTGAGTAAATCTATTACATCAGTTACTTATGGACTAAATTATCTGAATTGAATTGAGTGGATACTTTTGAATTCACTGTTTCATAGAAGTCTGAAGATGTAATTAGTTATGAAATTAATTTAATTATAGGTTTTTGACAGCCTGCTCTATTCAAGGTTCCCTATTGGTCTCTGTGAAGATGAGAAATATTTAGAACAGCCCACCCCTATTTTCAAGGAGTTTAAAGCTCTGTAGGAAGAATAAGAGACAAGCAAATACAGTATATTTAGTTTAACCTCAGATTCTGTAATAAGATTATTCTATATCATCCCAAGCAAATGGCTCTCTGGTCACTGACCACTGCCAGCTCTGTCACTATCTCAGTGCAATCTATTCTGTAAGATTGAAATGTAGTTGGAAAGTTCTTCATTGCACTGAACTAAAATTTGTTTCTTCATGATTTCTTTCCATTGATTTTATGTTCTGGTCTTTTAAATCAAGAACCATCTACTCTCTCTTTTTCAGGATAATCTTTTAAGTATCTGAAGACCCTTCGGTTCCTATATTGGTCAATTCACTTCAACAAATGCCTTTATCTTCTCTTCCAGCTGAACCTCTTTAGTTTCATTTTTAAAATATCTCAATATAATGACATTTTGAGATTCTTCTGCCCCTCCCCTCATCTTATCCCATTTGTCTTATTCTGGTTGGGAGAAAAAGCCCATGTGGTTTGGAGATGAAAATGATTAGTACAATAGCATGATACAGAATAACTATTATTGGAGGTTGAACTGCACTGAGTACAAAATGCCATAGTAAATTATAAGGATAGAATGTTCACTGTTCTTTAAGGATTTTTCTTGTGAGTCAAATTTTTAGAAAACTTTAAAAGTCTACCCTGTTAGTGCTCACAATCTGGATGTATGGGTGTTGCTGATGCTGGAAAATGCAAAGCAGTGTTCTCCACGTGGCAGACACACAAAGATTGCCCTTTCATTTTCTTCTGCAGCCACCATCTAAGAATCTGTTTCATTTCCTCACAGTCTGTTTGACACCTTTACTCAAAAAGCCACCCCATCTGTGATGCTTCATGCCATATTGTTCTGTCTACCAGTGATGCTTCCAATTTGTTCCCAGCTCTGCCATGCCACTTGAAATGGGTTGCAGTGTCGCTAGAAAGCTTCTTAGTTCAACCTGCAATTCAGCTGCCTTTTGGGTTTCTGATTTTGCATGTTGATTATGTATCTCCCATGGAGCAGAGTTATACAACCACAACTGGCTGCTGTTTCAGACTGAATGCTTCAGATTATTCTTGGCCACCTCAGACTGCCTCATTTTATGCTAATTATGGCTGGCTGGTGACATTAATGAGCTTTAGAGATCCCACTAGAGCATCAAGGGTATGTCAAAGATCTAGCAGGCACCTTGAAGATCAGACACACCATTGTACAGATCCACATTTGGTTCTGTCCCTAAGGACATGATTTTTTTTAATTAATATCTTTTTTTTCCCTGTAAATTGGCACAGCTCTACAAATCTGCTTGCAGACTGCAGGTTCAGTGATAGTTTTGGACTCTCTACTGTTCATGATCATCTTGGGAATGAGGAAGTTATTTTTGTAGTTTCTGTTTTTTCAGGTTTAGAAATAACAGTATCGACAATGATGACAACAAATTCCCACATGAAACACATTAGAACAAGACCCCTTTGACCAAGCCCCCCTTTCCTCACCCTTCTTAAGAGCTGTCTCAGACCCCAAGACATCCTCCAACATCTCTTCAGAATAGCGTGTGATGGTGAGGACATAAAAATTATGCGCATACAGATCTGGATTTCTATCCCAGCTCTATGGCAAACTATTGTGCAAACTTTGAACAGCACATGTTAAGCTGAGACAGTAACACTGACTTCAGATAGTTATGCTAAGAATTAAGCCAAATAAAATTGAGGCCTGGATGTATTCTGTCTTTACTCTGTACTCCTAAACCAATTCATGGTGTACTTTTCTAGTGAGACCTGGTCTCATGCTCCATCAGAGTCATTGGGTATTTTCTTAGCATCCTGGTGCCAGGTACTCTGTCTCTCACCCTTATCTTCCCAGCCATGAATAATGCAATATTTTTAGCAAATTCTCTCATCTAAAATTTACCTAAGCCGCAAGTCTTCCATTTGTGATTTACCTCCTAGGAACACAAAGCTGGGCTCAGAGTCTGTGAGGAAAACATATTAGAGAAGAAACTTAATTACTTAGTTACCATTTCCCACCTCCAACCTGTCTGTTCCCCTCTTTCTGTAAGTTACAGTAATTTTAATCTATAACAGATCTTGGTAAATATTTTCCTTGTTGTTCCCCAAAATGTGTGTCAGCAAAACTAGCTCTACAGGATGATACATAGGATTAGTGAAAAAAAAGTGGTTTACATGATCAAGTAAGTTTGAAAAAACTCTGTTCAAGCAAGGTTGAAAGGCTTTTTTTTGGTTGTAGGACTTGTTAGCACTTCTAATATGCTAATATTCTTAAAAGGAGAAGGGATAAAGTAGATAGTCCTCATATTACTTGTTTTTCTTTACACTTGAAATCTGAGAGGGGATTACCTCTCAGGTAAAGTGCTGATCTAATCCAAACAAAACAGAGGCTCAGAAAGCCATTTTTATTTCACTGTGCTTCAAAATCATAACCCTCAAAAGCAAAAGGACAGAAAAAAATGAGAAAAGCAACACAGGTGGCATGCAGCAAACATGAGCAGAGGAAGATTCTGTGTTTTAATCAATCCACAAACTATCCATAAAACTTCCTGTCCCTTTAAATCAGTTATATTTAATCCTTCCTAATTTCTGCAGCTGCCTGGCTACCTTCACTCTCCCAAACACATTTAATCTGATATGATATTAACAATTTTATTAGTTAGTGTTATATATCTGAATTTGGGTGTTTGAAGGGCTTAGCCTTGCTATGGGTTGAATTCATCTGTTGAAGTCCTAACTCCTAACACTTCATAATGTGCACTTATTTGGAAATAGAGTCATTGTAGAAGCAGTTAGTTCAGTTAAGATGAGGTTTTACTAGAGTATTATGGTCCCCATTGTCTAATATGAGTGGTGTCTTTAAAAAAGGGGGAAATTTGAGCACAGAGGAAGACATGCGAATAGGGAGAACATGCATGTGCAAAGACAGAGATGAAGGTGATGCTTCTACAAGCCAAGAAACATCAAAGATTGCCAGCAAGCCACCAGAAGCTCAGAGAATGGCATGAAGCAGATCCTCCCTCACAGCCTCAGAAAGAACCAACCCTGCTAACACCCTGATCTCAGACCTCTAGCCTCTAGAACCTTGGGAAAATACATTTCTGTTGTTTAAGCCACTCAGTTTTGGTACTTTGTTACAGCAGCTCTAGCAAGCTAATACGTGCTCCTAACATTTCTGGGAGGAAATAACATCACTTATCTGGCTTATGAACTTCTCTTACCCCATTCATACCCCTGGTACCATCCTGGTTGGCCTCCTCCTGGGTTTCTGTCTCTTACTTCTGCCAAAAGTTCAACGAAGGTGGAGAGGCAAGGTTTATTTGCTGTGCCCCTACATCTGCTTGGGTCTTAAATCTTAGTTCTATTCCTGTGAAGCATTACAACAGTGAGCATGGAGCTGGCCACATGCACATAATTGTGTCACTTAGCCTCTGTGTTGTTAGTTGACCAGATTATCTAGTTTAACATATTATGAACACATAGGACAATAAGGCTATGATAAGAAGTAAATATTTGTGTGGCTGTAGGCAGCGGTATATAGTAGCTATTATTTACAGGCACAGAAATTAATATGGAAGAGAAATATATTTTGCTATTTAAAATAGCATTAACCCTAGACACTTATGATCACTTCATTATGAAGTTAATTAATAAAAGCACTGTAACTTTTAGGGGCATCATTTTAATGATTTATTTATATGGACTTTCACAATTAAATATTTTATTCCCTGTTTATAGACCATGATTATCTCTTCACACAGTAGTTTTGTCTGCTTACAACAATGATTTGGATTCTCTTGAACTCAGACCTTGATGAATCATTCTCCTAGCTGTTCTCTGTAGGAACTGAGTCATCACAAAGAGTATTTGTTCATGAAAGGGCATAAGTCAGCAAAGGGTGTTAACTATTTTGGGATCACCTTTCTGAAAATCTAAGAAAAGCTAAGGACTCTTCCCCCTTAAAAATGAAAATTGTTTATTTTCTATGTAATTGCAAGTGTTCACAAGAAACATAAAGTTTATAACTAAATTCCCTAGAATTCTAAGGGCTCCATGTTAAGAATTCCAAAACAATATCATCCATCCTCATTCATATGCCTCTCAGGGGAGAAAAGGGCTGTTTTCCACCCATGAAAAGAACAGGTAACGAAGAACTGAACTGATAGAATCAGCATCTCAGAAAAGATTTTTTTTTTAAACTAAGTATTCAGATTCTCTAGTGGATGTATCCCAAGGAAAAACAGCCACATTTCTCAGGATGGATCTTAGCAAAAGAGACTATTGTGCTTAATTGGCACCAGGAGTGGATTTGGTCACACACTACTTCCAGCTTTTATCTCTGAAGTGGTGTATATTCAGTGGATCCACCTGTCCAGCATCAGCTTCTCTTTCTTCTGATGATAATACCCTATCTTCCCTTTTGAGGGCCCAGTCTTCTCTAACTCGATTCATTTGGTTCAGTTATGGCTGAATCCATCTCAGCTCCAGAGTTTGGCACATAATTGAAAGCTGGCTTGTGAGTGTATTCTACTTCATGCCTATAGTGATTGGTTCAGGGAAGGATCTTTGAGCTAATCTGGGGACTTGTGACTTACATTCAACTTTTAGGTCAAAGAAACCCTCTCAGGGTAGCTAGGCTGTTAGGAGTTAGTCCTGGAGCTGCTGGTGATCTTTTTGTCACACATGAAAGAAAGCATGTCTACTAGTAATGCCATGAGAGAACAGAAAAGATCCAGGAGATGGCAGCCCAGTCCTGAGGGTATCATACCTAGCTGTGTGGAAGAGAACCACTCTGCACCTTTCTCCCCAGAAGCTCAACCCAGGAGGCTGACCTGTGGAGACCACATAGAGTGCCTCTCTGGTTTTCAGATGGGGTTGGGCACTGGGAAGCCACAGCAGAGGTGAGGTGAGGGATTTAATCCTCTGGGTCTCTCTATAGGGTTGTCTCAGGCTGGCTCTGTCAGACTCTTTTCAGGTTCTGGTAACTTCTTCCTCTCATATCATTCGGCTTATAGGTGGTAACAGCTCTTCTGCTAACCCTGGGTTACTGTTCTAGCTCATTTTCATTCACTACTCTCATATCTTCACAATGTTTCTTGTGTATGTAAACTGTTCTGGTTATTTTAATATAAGCGTGCCAGCTGTTTCCTGTTGAGACGCCCAATAATACACCAGCCTTGCCTGAAATCAGCTCAACCTTAGACATTTCATATACGTGAGCATATACATTCCATTTTTTGTTTAATCCATTTTGTGAAGTGTTTCTATCACTTGCAACCAGAAAGAGTCTTGACTAATACAATCTCTCTTAACCCCCTTGGGCCACCTCGTGCATTCTACTTGGGAAATAATTGCTTTAGAAACATGAACAGACACATTATGGGAGCTAAAACTCACTTAGGTTGGAATGTAATTTTCAAACAAATCCATCATGCCACTCATGATCTATTAATCCTTGTCCTGTAGAATTCAAGCAACCACGTTAAAAAATGTGACCCCTACTGCCTGTAGAATTTCAACCAAATTTTTATGCACACAAGTTTCTAGCACATGAAAGTGGTATGAATCAGACCAAAAACATACTTGTTCCAATTAAAAGGTGTGAAAAGAGCAAAGAGAAATGGCCTTTTATATTTACTCAACTCAGCAGCTGAGCAGTTCATTAGCAAATCCTGAAATGCACGTAGGTCATAAGCTCCAGGAATGTGAAGACTGTTTTATAAAGCAATCTTAGAAAGGCAACCTTTAAGTCAAAAGTACTATTCCCTGGTGAGGTTTATTAATTGAATCATTTGTTTACAAAAGGTGAACGTGGCTCTAAGTGACAGTACTGTTTGCACAGTGGCACCAATATTAGGAAAGCTTATGTGTAATGCATTAGTAATGTAGAAAAAGATGCTGCCTGAGTCAGGGGTATTTGTTTAGCACATTGACATCCAGCAACTCCCTGAGCATGAATTGAATTAACTTATTAAAATTTAAGGTAGTCTTTAAAAATATTGCTAATGAGTACAGTGAAGTCAGGATATTTACCACCTTCTCAAACTTGCCAGAGATTTAATGTGAGTCCTTGGCTGAATAATGGAAAAGGTTAAAAAAAAAATGGTGTGGGAGGGTGTTCAGTTCCCCCGTTTTACTTCTTTACTTCTTCTAGAATCAAGGTGAAATTTTACTAGATTTGATTTCTGGAATGAGGACTTAATAATTGTTGTCAGCAAATATTTTCTTTTATTTCAATTACAATTCCTTGTAGAGAATGTAGCAGGAGGAATAAATATACTGATTAAAGTTATCCTTTAAAAAATTTAGTTTTGCCTCATCACTCACCAGTCGTTTTAATTTTCAGTAAACCAGCTCTGAGGTTGAATGAAAAGTTAACACATTTTGATTATTTGACTCCTATAAAATACAGAAATGTTTTTTTATATGTGGAGATAATTCTATGCCCACTGAAAGATGTTTTCCCTTTCATAGAGAATGCCTTTGACAGACCATGCAGGTAGATGTGACTAACTCATAGTGGACTGTGTGTGGAAGAGAAGCGTGCTGTTTTGTGCGAAGAGAAGCAGGCTTACCTTTTCTTTTTAGAGAGCTAGATCTAAATGATAGCGAAGTCTAGGGCCTCAAAAGGAAAGAAACCTAGATCATTGCCTGAATTACTGAGTGGAGGTGAGATGCCCAACAGTTACATCTACCTTGGACTGTTACATGAGCAAGAAATAGAATTCTTATTGCACTTGAGCCATACATATTTGGCCTTCATGTTTTTAAATGTACATTTGGCCTTCTCTAATGAACACATTATACCTTTTAAATCAGACAACCATGGGCCATCTAAGTCTGACCCCACCAGGGAGATAAAACTCCAACATCGATAATAGGGCATAATTACCCGGCTGAACTAGATCCAGACACTGACAGTGTAGAAAATATTCCTCTCCCTCATTCCTTCTGCATGTTCTAAGGTTATGTATAGAAGCATTTGTTTACCAACTAAGGGAGGGGGGATGGTTTTAGCTAAAAGTAAAAACCAATAGGAGAAAGAAGAGGATGGTATGAGGTCTGTTCTCTGTGGGAACAGTGGTTAGGCTGAAAACAACTCCTTTAACTGTCTAGGCACAAGGTTTGGATTTGAATTCTCATAAATGGAGGAGAGAATTAGAAACAAACAGAACTGTTCACCACTGGCCGGAAACTTGATAAGATGATAGATCTAAGTAGTTCTGTTTGGGGCCCAGGAGACAAGACCTGACCAAGAGTTTAAAGGATAGCTAATCTTCCTGCCTCTGTCCAGAATTTAACACTAACCAAGGGTAGCTTTGGGAACACCTGTATACAGGATACTTGGCCTAGACATTGTCATTCTCAAAATGGCACCATCAACAGGAGTAATAGGCAGAAATCAACTGCCCTCCCTGACACAACACTAATGGCTGACAATATTTGCCCATCATTTTTCGGATGTCAAACACTGTTGTAAAAGTTTTATAGATACAGGTTTTGAGTACCCCTAATCTGGAAACGTGAAATCTGAAATGCTCCAAAATCTGAAACTTTCTGAGTACTGACATGATGCTCAAAGGAAATGCTCACCGGAACATTTCAAATTTCTGATTTTCAAATTTGGGATGCTCAAATGGTTAAAATAATGCAAATATCCCAAAATTCAAAAAAAAATCCAAATTTGAAACACTTCTGGTTCCAAGCATTTCAGATTAGGGATACTCAGCTTGTATCTCAACTATTCCTGGTAACATTACAATGAGGTCGTAATTACTAGAGAGGTAGGGAGGTAGTATTATTTCTGCTTTATAAATCAGGAAATGGATACAGAGATTGAGTAACTTGTGCAGTGCCATGTAGCTATGAGTGACAAAACTAGGATTCAAATCCAGCGAGTCTGAATTCAGAGCCTGAGTTTGTAGTTGCTGTACTATACTCCTCTCTACCCCACTATCCACAGGGAATGAGTTTCCCAGAAGCAAGGAAGCCTATTACTAAAATAAGCTTTCCAGTCTTAAGAGATCAACAAGCCCTTCTAGAAATAATCAGAAACACTTGGAGAGGGGATACTACATGGAATTTCAGCCAGGTAGAGGCTGCAAATCATAATTTGGGCAAAAACATAAACACCACCCCTTTCAGTAGTCATGGTCTTGTGAGTCTACGGTACTTCTGCATTTCATTAACTTATCCGTTCCTCTCTAGGTCACAGTCAATATGATTACACCACAAGTAAATAAATGACATAGATTTAAAATACCAGACGTTTAACTGTAGGGGAATAAATTAGAATAGTTGAAGCAGAGTTTCACGGTATTTTTTTTTATTATTAAACAACCTCGGACACTTATATTTAACACAGGAAATAGTAAGGAGAAAGAAGAAAACTGTGTATTAGGACAGTGAAAGAAAAAATGGATTTCTGTAGTGACCAATGCTGTTACTCATCTAACTGTTCCTTTGGGGTGAAGGGTGACTTCCTGCATGAATGTCTTATTTATGTGATTATACATGACTAATGGGGCCAATCTGGCCACATATTTCCCTAGGGAATGGGTGGACCTGGGCGGTTAATTTCATGTGTTGTTTCTGCTGATCAAATTTTTCTCTTTTTGTAGTTGAAGGATTGAAAAATACTTCATTTCTTGCTGTGGATTTTTTATTCTCCTTTTTCAATATTAGGGATGATAAGCCATAGGTGTTTTGAATCCTGGACTTCTAATTTGAGCTGCCTAAATGACTGTGATGGTGAGGCTTAGAGGATCAAATCACCATGGTGTTCTGCTCCCATATTTACCTGGGTAATTGGCCACCTGGGTTTCATATCCCAACTCCTAAATATTACCAAGGAGCTCCTAGTAGTATCTCACAACTGCTAAGAATAATTATCCATTGTAAGGCTCTGTGCTTTTTCTAGCTTCCACACTTGCCCTCTTTCAATCTACACAACAGTCAGAGTGAGCCTTTTTTGTAAAAGATAAGTCAGATCTAGTTACTCCCCTGCTGAGTACTCTCAAATGCCTTCCCAGCATGCTGAGAATAATATCCAAGGACTCTAGAAAATCTGCCCTTGGCTGCCCTCTCCTCTCGCCCTTTCTGGGCCTCTGCTCCTATGGCCCTGGCCTTTTTTTGCTTCAATATGCCAGCCTCTCCGCCCATCTGGTTTATCCCATAGTTTTCATCTGGCAGCTCTTCCCCAGATCCTCTCTTGGCTCACTCTCACATGTCACTCAGGGCTCTACTCAAATGCCCCCTCATCAGAAAGGGCTTCCCTCACCAAGTCTTCTCAAATAGCACCCCTGGAGGATATGCAACCCCTTAACCTCCCTCATTTGTCTTCATAGTTCTTATCTTTACCCAGCATTATAACAGATATTCTTGTTTATGTATTGTCTGTTTTT
This sequence comes from Homo sapiens, assembly GCF_000001405.40. NCBI lineage: Eukaryota > Metazoa > Chordata > Mammalia > Primates > Hominidae > Homo > Homo sapiens. The sequence continues at coordinate 180,525,048 of NC_000002.12, forward strand.
TCCAGTAGAATATACATTTTATGGTATAAATTTAGCTGTTTTGCTTACTATTATATCTCCAGTGCTTATAAAAGTCTTGGCACGTAGTAGGTAATAAATAATATTTTGTCAAAAGAATGAATGAGTGAGAAACAGTGGTAGTTTTTGAAGTGATTGATTCATCGTGACTCTTTAAGTGTTCAAGATAGGTACACTGAAGTTGGTATTGGATTGGGGTATATGGCTATTAATATGATCATTAATTTATTCATTCAACAAAATATTACTGTCTACAAAATGACAGACACTGTTCTGGATGATTGAGATATTGCAATGAACAAAAAGTCTCTGCCCTAGCGGAGTTTCTATTCTTGTTGGCCAATAGAGACAGAAAAATAAAACAATTATTTATTTTTTTTAAGATGGAGTCTCGCTCTGTTGCCAGGCTGGAGTGCAGTGGCGTGATCTCAGCTCACTGCAACCTCCACCTCCTGAATTCAAGCGATTCTCCTGCCTCAGCCTCCCGAGTAGCTGGGACTACAGGTGCATGCCACCACACCCAGCTAATTTTTGTATTTTTAGTAGAGACGGGGTTTCACCATGTTGGCCAGGATGGTCTCGATCTCTTGACCTCATGATCCACCCCCATCAGCCTCCCAAAGTGTTGGGATTACGGGCATGAGCCACCACTCCTGGCCACAATTTTTTTAACAGAAGCTGGGAAAAGCACAGGGCCTTACAAGGGACAATTAATTTCGGCTATTGTGAGATATTAGTAAGAGCTCCTTGGTAAGTTTTGGGAGCTAGAATATAAAACCCAGGTTCCAATCATCTAGGTAAACTTGGGAGAAGAACAACATGGTGATTCACTGACACTTAGAAAGATCAAATTAGAAGCCTTCACTCAATACACACAGAAATTACCCCTTCTAATATTAAAAAGAAAAAACCTAATTGTTTTGATTAAGTGACATTTCAAAAGAAGAAAACAAGAGAAGGATAGAGCATTCTGGGATGGTGTATAAGAGAAGGCCCTGTGATAAGGGGGCATTCCAACAGGAATCTGACGAAGGTAAGGGAGCGAGCATAGAGCGAAGAGAGGAGCTTTCCAGGCTCAGTGAAACACAGGTAAAAGGCCCAGAGGCAGGAGCAAGGAGGCCAGAAGGCCAGAGTGCAGTGAGTGAACTGGAAGGTAATAGGAGATAACTCAGAGAGGTGGTGGGCTGGGCCATGTAGGGCCAGCTAGATCATAACAGAGACATTAGCATGTACTGAAAGGGAGACAGCCTGCAGATGGGTGAATTTGGTCATGCTGGCAGTTTTGTTGAACTACTAGAAGGGTGTTAGGAAGTTATTTTTAGGGAGTTTTGGAGCTATTCCAGTAATCCTGGTGAGAGATGATGGTGGCTTAGAGCAGGGTAGTAGTGATAGAGGAGGTCAGTTTCTAGAAAAAATTGATTACCTGTGTCTTACCTGATTTATATGGCCATGTGGGCCTGTGGGCCTCTTCTGAGTGAAAGCTTATTTAATAGTTCCTTACAGTCTCTTTTATCTGTCCATAATGACTCTGCTACCATTTTGAGTATTTTTCACTCAAAGACTATTTCTGCAGAATTAAAACTAAACTAAGTGCTCATCTTTTGTTCACGGAGGTTTCATGTTCCAATGAGAACACTCAATAAATCCCTCTTTGATGCTTTTTTTTTTATACTTTAAGTTCTAAAGTACATGTGTACAACATGCAGGTTTGTTACATATGTATACATGTGCCATGGTGGTGTGCTGCACCCATTAACTCGTCATTTACATTAGGTATATCTCCTAATGCTATTCCTCCCCCTCTCCTCACCCATGACAGGCCCCAGAGTGTGATGTTCCCCACCCTGTGTCTAAGTGTACTCATTGTTCAATTGCCTCATATGAGTGAGAACATGCAGTGTTTGGTTTTCTGTCCTTGTGATAGATTGCTGAGAATGATGGTTTCCAGCTTCATCCATGTCCCTACAAAGGACGTTCACTCGTCCTTTTTTATGGCTGCATAGTATTCCATGGTGTATATGTGCCACATTTTCTTAATCCAGTCTATCATTGATGTACATTTGGGTGGGTTCCAAGTCTTTGCTATTGTGAATAGTGCTGCAATAAACATACGTGTGCATGTATCTTTATAGCAGCATGATTTATAATCCTTTGGGTATATACCCAGTAATGGGATCACTGGGTCAAGTGGTATTTCTAGTTCTAGATCCTTGAGGAATCGCCACACTGTCTTCCACAATGGTTGAACTAGTTTACATTCCCACCAACAGTGTAAAGGTGTTCCTATTTCTCCACATCCTCTCCAGCACCTGTTGTTTCCTGACTTTTCAATGATCGCCATTCTAACTGGTGTGAGATGGTATCTAATTGTGGTTTTGATTTGCATTTCTCTGATGGCCAGTGATGATGAGCATTTTTTCATGTGTCTGTTGGCTGCATAAATGTCTTCTTTTGAGAAATGTCTGTTCATATCCTTCGCCCACTTTTTGATGGGGTTGTTTGATGTTTTTCTTGTAAATTTGTTTGAGTTCTTTTAGATTGTGGATATTAGCCCTTTTTCAGATGGGTAGATTGTAAAAATTTTCTCCAATTTTGCAGGTTGCCTGTTCACTCTGATGGTAGTTCTTTTGCTGTGCAGAAGCTCTTTAGTTTAATTAGATCCCATTTGTCTATTTTGGCTTTTGTTGCCATTGCTTTTGGTGTTTTAGTCATGAAGTCCTTGCCCATGCCTATGTCCTGAATGGTATTGCCTAGGTTTTCTTCTAGGGTTTTTATGGTTTTAGGTCGAACATTTAAGTCTTTAATCCATCTTCAATTAATTTTTGTAGAAAGTGCAGGAAGGGATCCAGTTTTAGCTTTCTACGTATGGCTAGCTAGTTTTCCCAGCACCATTTATTAAATAGGGAATCCTTTCCCCATTTCTTGTTTTTGTCAGGTTTGTCAAAGATCAGATGGTTGTAGATGTGTGGTGTTATTTCTGAGGGCTCTGTTCTGTTCCATTGGTCTATATCTCTGTTTTGGTACCAGTACCATGGTGTTTTGGTTACTGTAGCCTTGTAGTATAGTTTGAAGTCAGGTAGCATGATGCCTCCAGCTTTGTTCTTTTGGCTTAGGATTGACTTGGCAATGCGGGCTCTTTTTTGATTCCATATGAACTTTAAAGTAGTTTTTTCCAATTCTGTGAAGAAAGTCATTGGTAGCTTGATGGGGATGCCATTGAATCTATAAATTACTTTGGGCAGTATGGCCATTTTCACCGTATTTATTCTTCCTGTCCATGAGCATGGAATGTTCTTCCATTTATTTGTTTCCTCTTCTATGCCATTGAGCAGTGGTTTGTAGTTCTCCTTGAAGAGGTCCTTCACATCCCTTGTAAGTTGGATTCCTAGGTATTTGATTCTCTTTGAAGCAATTCTGAATGGGATTTCACTCATTATTTGGCTCTCTGCTTGTCTGTTATTGCTGTATAGGAATGCTTGTGATTTTTGTACATTGATTTTGTATCCTGAGACTTTGCGGAAGTTGCTTATCAGCTTAAGGAGATTTTGGGCTGAGATGATGGGGTTTTCTAGATATACAATCATGTCATCTGCAAACAGGGACAATTTGACTTCCTCTTTTCCTAATTGAATACCCTTTATTTCTTTCTCCTGCCTGATTGCCCTGGCCAGAACTTCCAACACTATGTTGAATAGGAGTGGTGAGAGAGGGCATCCCTGTCTTGTGCCAGTTTTCAAAGGGAATGCTTCCAGTTTTTGCCCATTCAGTATGATATTGGCTGTGGGTTTGTCATAAATAGCTCTTATTATTTTGAGATACACCCCATCAATACCTAGTTTATTGAGAGTTTTTAGCATGAAGGGCTGTTAAATTTTGTTGAAGGCCTTTTCTGCATCTATTGAGATAATCATTTGGTTTTTGTCTTTGGTTTTGTTTATATAATGGATTACGTTTATTGATTTGTGTATGTTGAACCAGTCTTGCATCCCAGGGATGAAGCCAACTTGGTTGTGGTTGATAAGCTTTTTAATGTGTTGCTGGATTCGCTTTGGCAGTATTTTGTTGAGGATTTTTGCATCGATGTTCATCAGGGATATTGGTCTAAAATTCTCTTTTTTTGTTGTGTCTCTGCCAGGCTTTGGTATCAGGATGATGCTGGCCTCATAAAATGAGTTAGGGAGGATTCCCTCTTTTTCTATCAATTGGCATAGTTTCAGAAGGAATGGTACCAACTCCTCTTTGTACCTCTGGCAGAATTTGGCTGTGAATCCGTCTGTTCCTGGACTTTTTTTGGTTGGTAGGCTGTTAATTATTGCCTCAATTTCAGAGCCTGTCATTGGTCTATTCAGGGATTCAACTTCTTCCTGGTTTAGTCTTGGGGGGTATATGTGTCCAGGAATTTATCCATTTCTTCTAGATTTTCAGTTTATTTGCTTAAAGGTGTTTATGGCATTCTCTGATGGTAGTTTGTATTTCTGTGGGATCGGTGGCGATATCCCCTTTATCATTTTTTTTGTGTCTATTTGATTCTTCTCTCTTTTCTTCTTTATTAGTCTTGATAGTGGTCTATCAATTTTGTTAATCTTTTCAAAAAAACCAGCTTCTAGATTCATTGATTTTTTGAAGGGATTTTTGTGTCTCTGTCTCTTTCAGTTCTGCTTGATCTTAGTTATTTCTTGCCCTCTGCTAGCTTTTGAATGTGTTTGCTCTTGCTTCTCTAGTTCTTTTAGTTGTGATGTTAGGGTGTGAATTTTAGATCTTTCCTGCTTTCTCTTGTGGGCATTTAGTGCTATAAATTTCCCGCTACACACTGCTTGAAATGTGTCCCAGAGGTTCTGGTATGTTGTGTCTTTGTTCTCATTGGTTTCAAAGAACATCTATATTTCTGCCTTCTTTCGTTACGTACCCAGTAGTCATTCAGGAGCAGGTTGTTCAGTTTCCATGTAGTTGAGTGGTTTTGAGTGAGTTTCTTAATCTTGAGTTCTAGTTTGATTGCACTGTGGTCTGAGAGACAGTTTGTTATACTTTCTGTTCTTATACATTTGCTGAGGAGTGCTTTACTTCCAACCATGTGGTCAATTTTGGAATAAGTGCGATGTGGTGCTGAGAAGAATGTATATTCTGTTGACCTGGGGTGGAGATTTCTGTAGATGTCTATTAGGTCTACTTGGTGCAGAGCTGAGTTCAATTCCTGGATATCCTTGTTAACTTTCTGTCTTGTTGATCTGTCTAATGTTGACAGTGGAGTGTTAAAGTCTCCCATTATTATTGTGTGGGAGTCTAAGTCTCTTTGTAGGTCTCTAAGGACCTGCTTTATGAATCTGGGTGCTCCTGTATTGGGTGCATATATATTTAGGAGAGTTAGCTCTTCCTGCTGAATTGATCCCTTTACCATTATGTAATGGCCTTCTTTGTCTCTTTTGATCTTTGTTGGTTTAAAATCTGTTTTATCAGAGACTAGGATTGCAACCCCTGCCTTTTTTTGTTTTCCATTTGCTTGGTAGATCTTCCTCTCTCCCTTTATTTTGAGCCTATGTGTGTCTCTGCACATGAGATGTGTCTCCTGAATACAGCCCACTGATGGATCTTGACTCTTTATCCAATTTGCCAGTCTGTGTCCTTTAATTGGAGCATTTAGCCCATTTACATTTAAGATTAATATTGTTACGTGTGAATTTGATCCTGTCATTATGATGTTAGCTGGTTATTTTGCTCGTTAGTTGATGCAGTTTCTTCCTAGCATCGATGGTCTTTACAATTTGGCATGTTTTTGCAGTGGCTGGTACTGCTTGTTCCTTTCCATGTTTAGTGCTTCCTTCAGGAGCTCTTGTAAGGCAGGCCTGGTGGTGACAAAATCTCTCAGCATTTGCTTGTCTGCAAAGGATTTTATTTCTCCTTCACTTATGAAGCTTAGTTTGGCTGGAACCTGATCTTTCTCTCTGGCTGCCCTTAACATTTTTTCGTTCATTTCAACTTTGGTAAATCTGACAATTATGTGTCTTGGAGTTGCTCTTCTCAAGGAGTATCTTTGTGGCATTCTCTGTATTTCCTGAACTTGAATGTTGGCCTGCCTTGCTAGGTTGCGGAAGTTCTCCTGGATAATATCATGCAGAGTGTTTTCCAACTTAGTTCCATTCTCCCTGTCACTTTCAGGTACATCAATCAGACATAGATTTGGTCTTTTCACATAGTCCCACATTTCTTGGAGGCTTTGTTCGTTTCTTTTTACTCTTTTTTCTCTACACTTCTCTTCTCACTTAATTTCATACAGTTGATCTTCAATCACTGATACCCTTTCTTCCACTTGATCGAATTGGCTACTGAAGCTTGTGCATGCATCATATAGTTCTTGTGCCATGGTTTTCAGCTTCATCAGGTCATTTAAGGTCTTCTCTTTGCTGTTTATTCTAGTTAGCCATTTGTCTAATCTTTTTTCAAGGTTTTTAGGTTCTTTGCAATGGGTTCGAACATCCTCCTTTAGCTCAGATAAGTTTCTTATTAACGATCATCTGAAGCCTTCTTCTTTCAACTCATCAAAATCATTCTGCATCCAGCTTTGTTCTGTTGCTTGTGAGGAGCTGCATTCCTTTGGAGGAGAAGAGGTGCTCTGATTTTTAGAATTTTCAGCTTTTCTGCTCTGGTTTCTCCCCATCTTTGTGATTTTATCTACCGTTGGTCTTTGATGATGGTGAAGTACAGATGGGGTTTACGTGTGGATGTCCTTTCTGTTTGTTAGTTTTCCTTCTAACAGTCAGGACCCTCAGCTGCAGGTCTGTTGGTATTTGCTAGAGGTCCACTCCAGACCCTGTTTGCCTGGGTATCACCAGCAGAGGCTGCAGAACAGCAAATATAGCAGAACGGCAAATGTCACTGCCTGATTCTTCTTCTGGAAGCTTCGTCGCAGAGGGGCACCCAGCTGTATGGGGTGTCAGTCGGCCCCTACTGGGCGGTGTCTCCCGGTTAGGCTACTTGGGGGTCAGGGACCCACTTCAGGAGGCAGTCTGTCCATTCTCAGATCTCAAACTCCATGCTGGGAGAACCACCACTGTCTTCAAAGCTGTCAGACAGGGGCGTTTAAATCTGCGAAGTTTCTGCTGCCTTTTGTTCAGCTATGCCCTGCCCCCAGAGTTGGAGTCTACAGAGTCAGGCAGGCCTCCTTGAGCTCTGGTGGGCTTCACCCAGTGCAAGCTTCCTGGCCGCTTCGTTTACCTACTCAAGCCTCAGCAATGGCGGACACCCCTCCCCCAGCCTTGCTGCCGCCTTGCAGTTTGATCTCAGACTGCTGTGCTAGCAGTGAGTGAGGCTTTGTGGGCATGGGACCCTCTGAGCCAGGGGTGAGATATAATCTCCTGGTGTGCCATTTGCTAAGACCACTGGAAAAGTGCAGTATTAGGGTGGGAGTGTCCCGATTTTCCAGGTACTGTCTGTCACGGCTTCCCTTGGCTAGGAAAGGGAATTCCCCGAACCCTTGTGCTTCCCTGGTGAGGCAATGCCCCGCCCTGCTTCAGCTTACACTCCGTAGGCTGCACCCACTGTCCGACAAGCCCCAGTGAGATGAACCCGGTATCTCACTTGGAAAGGCAGAAATCACCTGTCTTCTGCATGGCTCACACTGGGAGCTGTAGACTGGAGCTGTTCCTATTCAGCCATCTTGGAACCTTCCAACTGATGCTTTGTTTTAAACAATTTCAATTGTTTTATGTAGGTGAATTTAATTCAATATGAAAGACATTTGCTCTCCAGATTTGCAATTCTCAGTTCTTACCCACACTTCTGTTTCAGAAAAAAACAGTGCTAACCAATAGCCATGTGGACTCAGTCATAAAGTTTTGAAAGAAGATGGAAACTCAGTGATCATTTCTATTAAAAAAAAAAAACTTTCCCTGAAACATTACAATTATCATCATCTACTATGCATTAGATTTAGGGATTTTTATTTTAATGACTTTATAGAGATGCTTAATCTCACAGAGCTAGAATACTAATTACTGTACTATGTTGCAATAGGAAAAACAGCAAATTACTGAAATTTTAATTAAGATATTCAGTTTTAAACAAGTGTGTAATAATTGACTTTGTGTGCAATAATTGATTTGTCATTTAAGCAGTAATTTTTTATGCAAATTGACTACTTTGTATGTGTGAACCAGTTATTGTAAAGTTAATTACTGAATATAATATCTTGCAGAACTGACTACCAAGAGTTTTTCTAACTGGCTTATCCATTCATGAGAAAGCTGGGTTTTTATGTACAGTGATGAGCTTTATAACCAAAAGAAATTAAACCACATTCTACATGCCTGCTAACTGTGCCTTTCATTGTAATTATTCTTTTCAAGTGCATTATAAACACTTTTCCTCAAGGCCTTCCATTAATGAATTTTCACAGTAACCCTAAAAGCTAGTTAAGTATTTTAAATCTTCCACATTTTGGAGATGTGGGAATTTAGTCTGTGACTAAATATTAAATATTTGGCTAATGTTCACTGTGAAGTATCACTAGCAATATTTACTAGTCTGGATTCCTTTATGAAAGGGGACAAGTCTGTATTGTATGTTTTTCTCTGGCAAATAGAGAAATCAAAGAGACAATTGAGGATAGTTATTAAGTCATAGACTAGAAGGGGGAGAATGCAGAAGACACATGAACATTTGTGCACATCTACATAGCTCGTGGCTGCAGATGGGCATAATAGCACAGCCATGACAGGACTATAGAAACTTCTGGGAACTTCTTTAGGCCTTTTCAGGAAACTCCTCAGATCTTTTGGTCATCTTACCTGGATTTCTGGACTAAGCCTTATGATATCATTTTCTCTCAATTCTCGGTGCTTGGCCTAAAGCTTGCCACTAAAAGAAGCTTCACAGTTAATTCTTTTAAAACAATTTTTGAAGCCAAAATTGGCCCAATAGCTAACTCTCATATAATTAACATTGTATTTATTATATTTTACTATATGAAAATGATTTGACATGCAACATATCATGTGATTATTATGCCAACTGAGTATACTAATTAAGAAAATATTATTATTATCATCTAATAAATAGGAATTTAAAATGTAATGCACTGAAGTTACTTCCCAAATGTATCTACTCAGTGACTGATTCTGAGAAGACTAAAAATTGCTAACTCTATTATTTTAGTCATCTTTGACTCTTCCTTTTATCATAATCCTATAGGACCTACCATCAAGATATTGCCAAAACCTGAGCTTTCTCTTTGCCTCCACTGCTAACCTCCTAATCCAAGCCACCATAATTTTTCATCCAAATTATGTACTATCCTCCCAACTAGCCTTCTTGCTTCTGCCATGATTCCTTTTCTCAGCAGAGCAGCCCAAATGATCCTTTTGAAAGGTAAAGGTAAGTCAGGTCATGTCACTGATTTACTCAACAGCTTCCAGTGGCTTCCCATTTGGACTCAGAGTAGAGCATAATGTCCTTATGATGACATGCAAGTTCTGGGCTTCTCTATTTGCTCGATAGGCTTTGCACTGTGTATGTGTGCACTAGGCTGAACCAGCTAATAGAGGTTAAAATCAATTTATTAAACTGCATGTTCTGGTGAATGACTAATGTGTACCTTTTTCTTTCTTTTTTAAAATTAAAAAATAAATTAAATTTTGTGGGTATATATTTATGGGGTACATAAGATGTTTTGATACAGGCATGCAATATGAAACAAGTACATCATGGGGAATGAATGGGGTATTCATCCACTCAAACATTTATCTTTTGAGTTCCAAACAATGCAATTTTTGTGCACCTTTTTCTAAGTCTCACAGAGTTGCCATATGGGCCAGCAGAAGCCCTTCACTCAGCCACCTATAATCTTTCAGACCTTACTTCCCATCATTGATGCCCATCCTAAACCCACTCAAAGTCCATCTCTCTGGCCTAGCCACAGTGACCTCCCTGCTCTTCCCTGAATGTAGCAACATTCAGGTATCACATGAGCAGTGCCCTTTGACTATACACATGTAGGAGAAGATGTGATGGGAATTTTTATGATTTTATCAAGGTTGTCACTTCCTCAGAAAAGTTTATCTTTGCATAGGAAGTTATCACTTCCTATGCAAAGTTTATCACTGATCAACAGGGGCTAAATAGCCTACAGTTTCCAGAGGAAAAGAAACCTGTAGGAAGACAAGTCCAGAGAGATTAAGGTGGTCTCCATGTAGACACACTGACAGGGAAAGGCAAGGCAGCTACTGAAATAAAATGATGTTGAGGTTAATAAGGAGGAATTATTCCAGTATATCCTTTAAGACTCAACCACTTTGGCATGGTATGATGTTTTGGGAAAAGAAAATGACAGAATATGTGGGTGTAACCTAAGGCATCTGATAATCTCTGGGGCCCCAGCACACACTATTATGACCTTTGTAAGAACTGGAGTCAGCAAGAGGGTCACTGCGGAATGTACAAAGTCCACAGAGCTGTGTAAGAATCAACTTCAACAGCAGAACCATGTGGCAGCATTATACAATCTCAGTAGAGGCTAATTAAATTTTCCACATGTAGCTATGGAAAGTAACCAGAGAAAGGAAATAGGAATAGACCCTTTTGCACTGAAAAAATAAAAAGAATTTACTTGCAAAAGCTATAGTGACTTATGCCTGTACTTTATCAGCCAGTTCTGTTAAGGACTTTGATACTCATTGTTTAAGAACTTCTTAGGCCCCTAAGAGGTAAGATTATTGCATAGACTCAGAAACTATGTGTTCCTGAAGCCATATGTATATACACACATACACAAAGACTATATATAATGCAAAAAAGAAGTTTATATCTACATCTGCTTCTTGGTATAAGAAAGACATTTTTTAAGATTGTGAAGAGTATATGCAAAGTATGCATTTTCAAGGACTTCACGGTTTTCTGGAAGCCCTCCTATAAATTCTGTGATGTCCACTAATACATGCTATCTCCTTCTCTGTAGATATTTTTATGTTGGGCTCTATGCAAGAGAATACTAGAAAGACATGGGGAATTGATAGCTTAAGGTAGATTTTCCCAGTGTCAGGTGATAACCAGAAGGACTGGCAACCATAGATCCCACAGTTAAAGTGGTCAACAAGATCTTTGGGAAAGGTGTGCAGTCCCAAGTTACACTCCCAAATCCACCAAAATTAATGAAATAGTAAGACTTCATTTCCATTGAAACAGGTGGAGAGCTCCAACTTTAAAGCGCAGACCCCAAAGAATACTTGCTGGACATAAGACAAGGTTGAAAGAAGTTTAGCAGGATGCTTGTAATTGGGCCACATCTTTTTCTATCTAGAGAATAGTACAGCACACAGGAAAAGAAAAACAATATATTTTTGAATAATTGATTAAGATATTCAACTTGAAACAAATGAAATTGGAAATAGAAAACACTATATTTGTGGTAACTTTCCCTGCTGCTGAACAGAAATGACAGCCAGGACTGAAGCAGAAACAGTATACTCAGTGACATTTTTATTGACTTGGCTTTCCAACATCTAAGCGCATGCTGAAAGTTAAGTTTGTGAGAAGAAAAGAGATATAAAACAATATCCTGTAACCAGCTTCATAATTATAGAAGACCAGTATCATCTGAAGAAAACAAAATGTACTGTGGATTTATAGTTTACACTTGTCATCTTGCTAATTTTCCCTGCTGAAGCCAAAGCTCAAAAGCAGGCCAAATCCTCCAGAGGGTCTCCGTTCCCATCGTGGAACAGAACATACTGCTAGTTTAGAAGGACTAGAGGTTTAAAGAGATTTAGAGGAAGGAAAAAAAGGAACCAAGTTTCAAGACTAATGGTACTCCTGGCCCCAGCTTCCATAGTACTCTCCTCAACCATCCCAAGTCCTAACACAGACTAGAGAAATTCAACATTCAAAATTTTAACCTCAATTTTGAGGGGAAAATTTATAAAAGATCAGATAAAGACATGACAGAATCAAAGAGTTTCTACTTATATTCTTTGTGCACAATTAGGCCACTCATGTAGGACTTAAACTAAAAAAAAATAAAACTAAGAGGGAGAAAAAATCAGTATGTTATCTGTGAAAAAATTCTTCAACCACAAAGTAGGAGAATATGGCAAGCAAAAGACAGTTAAAACACACAGTTGTATAGCATTAGAAGATATACCAAATGTAAATGACGAGTTAATGGGGGCAGCACACCAACATGGTACATGTATACATATGTAACAAACCTGCACGTTGTGCACATGTACCCTAGAACTTAAATTATAATAAAATATATATATATATATATATATATATATATAAATTTAAGAAAACACAGTTGGAAAAAAATTTCCCCAAGATATTGAAGAATATTTTATATTCAATGCTTCATAAAGAAAAGAGAACAAAATCAATACTGCAGAAAACCAGAGGAAAAAGAAAAACAAATGAAATAGCACAAATAGTTTTTAAAAAGGTAGACAAAGAAATAAGAGCAAAGAGTGAGAAGATGCCAGTTATGAAAATAATAATGGAGGTTCAGAAGCATAATTGGTATGCTTCATGAAGAAAATAGGACAAAAAAAGAAATAAAAATATTCAAACATATAATAGAACAGAAATTTTGTGAAATTTTAAAAAGAAGCATGGGTTTTCAGATATAAAGGGCAAACTGTATCCCGAAGATAATTTCTGTTGAAGCCCACATCCAAAGAACATAGGGGAATACCTATTGATCATGCAAGACCCAGTCTCTGAAATAGATGTGTAAGGGAGGGCACCACCTTGACACAGTCTCCAATGTAAAATGTTAAGAAAAGATACTTAGAGGATTTTGTAGGCTAGGGTACATCCTAAGATTATTTTAGGGCATAAGATCGTAAGCAAGATCTGAATAGGGAGTGAACAAAATTCATGAACTAGGCCGGACTAGTTGCTGGACTGTCAGCTGTCCAATCTCCAGAACACGTTGAGTGTGGCATTATTACTGCCAGTTCAGTTTGAGGTCTTCTCTTGCAGCCTGTGAGTCTGAGTGAGATTATAATAAAACCACTGAAGCTTAGTTTGTGTTGCATATCAACATTTGGTTCATTGAATCTGTCTTGAACATCACAGTGTTTTCCATTTCATTTATCTTTATAAAGGAAAAAGATCCACATTAGGATACAAACTAATGACTTTTTCTTATTCAAATATTTTATTAAGGAAAGGAGCTTGAATGCATCTGTAAAGAAGAAATATGTCACCTACAAAGTGGGAAAAGGTACAATAATCTTGGAATATTAGATGCCAATATAAGTGGAGCAGTGTGTAATTATTTGGAAAGAGAATAAAAGTATAATTCAATAACTTCTATGCCCAGTCAAGTTATCATTCATGAGATTAAGTTCGCGAGCCAAGACAACAAAAAGACATTTTAAATATACAACCATTTATGAATTATACAACTCAAGCATGCTTCCTAAAAGTGGTTGTGTCTTATATTCCAAACAATTGAAAAATAAACAAAAATAAAGAACTCGTATAGGGAAGTTATGAAATGATAGGAGAAGAAACACCTGTTTTGCAAGACAGAGACAGAGAGAAACAGAGAACTCCTAATGTTCTTTGTTGAGGCCAGAAAGGACTAACAGGAGCTACTTAAGCAATTAACATTCACTTATTGAAAGACAACTAGAACCTGTTCTAGGAACACAGGATGAAAAAAAATAATCTTCCTGAAAAGTTCATTTAGTCCCCTAAAGTCATAGTATCTGATTATGAAATTATAACATTCAATTCATGAAACATCTCCCCGGTGGCAAATGACTGTTTTTACATCTTGTAGTAAACAGACAAAAGCAATGAAATTTGATGTCCTCAGACACCCTGCTGGCTTTACGCTTATGTAAAGTCCGCATTTGTGTTCTCTGGCAGCTGTATTTCTTGCTTGAAAGACATGGCTCCTGTCGGCTTGACTTAGTTTCTTCCATCTCTCCTTGAAGTGTGAGTGGTACAAACCAGTGAAAAAGGGGACATACTAGAAAGTTCTCAAGTGTGAAATTGAACCCTTAGCCAAACACTAAAAATACTCTTTGTGGCTCAGCAAAAGTTCCATTATCTTTTGTTTATTTCTGGGTGCCACAGTTCTTCTTGATTATATCTAGCCCCAGCTGTGGAAGTAATAGAAATGTCTTGTGAATCAATTAGTACATGGGGAAGCTGTTGAACTATAAAAAAAAGTTATAAGCACCTGAGCTTGAGAATGTTTATCTCATATGTACCTTAAATTATAGAAATTCAACCATCCTTATTGCAGATAGCTTGATTCCTAAGAACTTTTAAAAGTTAGGCATCAGAACAAATGAACTGAGACTCTGTTATTATTTTGTTCTTCGCAAAACTAATTTTCCATGGAATGGCATAAGAAAAGCAGTTGAAAGGGGCTCTTTTTTATTTAGAAAAACCTTGTTGGTGCATTTGTGCAATCAGTTTTTAATCCATTCCATCCAGTACTATTTCTCTCTTTGTAATCGCTGATCTTTAATATTGAAAACTATGATCATTATTTTTAATATGGTCTTTCTAAGGTGGAATAAATTATACAGGCAAATCATCTGAGAAAGTACCTAGCACAGCTCTTGACACATGGTTTATTGGTTTATTTTTAAAAATTTTGTTCAACTTAACATATTTTTGAGCAATATTGTGTCTCACATAGCTACTGTTCCTCTTTACTATAGATTGCTCAACACCAACAACTTACAACCTCAATAAAAATAGAGTACTTCACATATCAAAAAAAGGAAGTTCCACTTTAGGGCAACTTACAGTTGGACAATGAAAGCTTAACTCTTTTTCAAGCAGTCATAATTTTTGTAAGCATTGATGTATAATAGAAATGTTAATATATATAAAAAATGAAACCTCAGCTGGTAGAAATGAAGAATATAAATTAGTTATGATTGATAATGTTCATCTGCTTTTTCTGAGATATGATCCATTCTCCCATATGCCATATGACCCTATTATAGGATACCAGGTATACACACATACACACACACACACACACAACTATGTAAACGATATAAACAACTGTTTGCTCAGGGTGATATACAATACCCAGCACACTGTTGGCCTTCATAAATATTAACCAATAATAATTCACATGTCGCCTCACTTAAAAAGTAAATACTACCTCATTTTAAAAGATCTTAGTTTTCATCTGTGTTTGGGACCATATCCTGAATGTGTAGTGCTATATTTTAATGATTTACTTTATGGTGTCAGTTTAATAAATGAGTTAATTGTCTAGACTTCCAGTGTCACATCAGAGCAGTGGTGAAAAAGCAAGCTTTCCTATTCAGCAGTCAGTGTAACAAGGGAAATTATACAGGTAGGAATACCAGGAGAGCAGCATGTTACACTGCTCCAGAAAATAAGTTTGCTGCTTCTTATTTTTCTCCTGATGTTGACCCCTACTCTTGGAAAATGTGTAAAGTGTAGATAGACCTGACCTCCTTCCTTCCCTCGCTCCATGGTATCCAGCTTGAAAAAACAAAAATTAAAAATGTGATCTCATTCTAATCAAAGAGATTATCGTGCTACATTTCAAATGGCTTTACATCAGCCTTCAGTAGCCATAGGCTGCTCAGGCATTTATCACAGGTGTTTCGAACTGTTTTTTTTTTTTCCTTTTATTGTAAGAACACATTCATACTGGTGACACATCCCCATGTGCAATTCTTGGTGTGTTAGTTTACCTCATACTTGCCCTCTCTCAAAGATACGTACTGTAATCCAAGTGAGTGATCAACTCAGTACTCCACTGCTCCCTGCTGAAGCTGGGGACTTATTTCCCCGAACTCCCTTTATTGTCTGGTTCTGGGCTAGTTTGCCAAAAAGAGACACTCAAGGAAGATAAGGAAGGCAAGGAGGAAGCCATTATCCTTGGGAGATCGCCAGACGCGGCAGCCTTGGAGACTACTCCACCAGCTCCCACTGTGCAGGCCAAGAAGTGTCCAGACACAACAAGGTCTTAGGTTTCACCACAAGCTCAGTTTTCCCAGCCATTGCAGTGTTTTGAACTGAAATCATTGACGATTGCTTCTTGAAACCGGTGTCGACAGAACATCCAGCTCCTGCCATATTTGTACAAACTTTAATTTCTCTATTGAATCTTTTATTCCTAGAATAGTTTCAGGGGCTATTTTCCTGACTGAACTCAGACTGACCAAATCCAGAGAGATTGGTATTATAGGTATATCTTGTCTCTGCTCTGATTTATGGAAAAAAGTACATTATTCACAAACTGTAGCATTTCACTGTTAATAATAATACTTAAGTTACATTGCATGAATGAATATGAAAAAGTTATGTATTGTGACACTGGTTAAGAAACCCTTGCTGTGTTATTATTATTGTTATTAGTACTGCTCTGCTATTGCTACTTAAATTCCCTGTAGTAAAACAATAGCATGGATATATGCGTTATTGTTCACTTAAGCAATAATTACTCATATATGGGTAATTATGCATGAGTATTATGTATATCAATATTTAATAATAATATTTAATAAAAATATTTAATGATCAAACTTCAACACAAATACAAAATTACATGCCGGGGGGACACACAACACACTCCTTAGTTCTCCGCTTATTTATGGTAGCATTTTGTGAATCCTGAAGTCCTGCACAGTGACCCACTTTCTCTCTCGTCTAGCCAGTTAAAAAATTCCCTTCTTCACCCCCACCCTACTCATTACTTTGTATTAATTGTTCTGCTTTTGTCAGAAATTTCCTGGATAAAAAATGATTGTTGATTCTCTACCAAGCAGTGGAACAAATATGGGCTTTGAGTGAAAAAAACCTGTGATTGAATTCACCTTTTACTAGAAACTAAATACAAGGTGCACTACTTAAACTCTCTGGCCCTCAATATGCGCACATATAAAATGAGAGAGATAATTCCACGCACGAAAGTATATGACAAAGATCAAGTAACGTAAAGGCTTAGCAATGTTTCTACCACATCATAGGGCTTCAACAAGTGTTAATTTACTGGGCAAGCCTGGACCGCTCTAAACTTCAGTTTCCTCAGCTGTGAAAGGAGGCATTAATTATTCTAACTCATGAAGATGTTATGAGATGAAATGAGGTTACACTTAGCACAGAGCCTGAAATAGAAGTTAGTTGATGGTTAATCAACCTGCTGCTGTTGTTGTTAATCCCTGACAAGGGATATGCTTTGGGAGTTTCTCAAGACAACTCTCTCTCTCTCTTTTAACCAATCTCAAGTTTATTCAATAAATATTCAATGCCTTTCTAAAAATTGCATTGAATATCCAGAAAGTCTTCCCTGGTCCTGACTCTGGAGTCACCCTTGCTACTCTGCTAAGGGCTTAGTGTACATATTGTTGACTTTTTAATTCCAGCTCTGTTAAGGCTTTTTTAATTCACTAAACATCTGTGATCATGACTTTTATGTGTCCAGTTGGCTGTTTATTCAGTCAAACACTAATTTAGTTATTGTTGTGAAGGTATTTCTTTAGAGGTGATTAATATCTACAGTAAATTGACTTTAAGTATAGGAAATTATATTTGATAATCTGAGTCAGCCTCATTCAATCCATTGAAAGACCTTAATAAGAGCAAAACTGAGGCTTTCCAGAGAAAGAAGTAATCCCACCTATGAACTGCAGTGTCAGCTCCTGCCTGACAGTTTCCAGCCCACTGGCCTTCAGATAATAGACTTGCCTAGCCAGTTTCTGGCAATAAATCTCTTCATATAACCCTGCTTCTACTTGGGTTTTCTTGTAGAACTCTGAACTAAATACAACATCCTAATGCCCATATTAATATAATTTGCCTTCCATCTCACTAACTGCAATCTATAGGAATACATAAATAGTTTTGTCTATTATGACTTTGGTGAGTAGCCTTGAATAATGTGTATCTCAAGACTAATAAAATCATGAAGACTGAGTAAATCGTTGTGATCTTTTCTTTTACCAATAAATTTGGCTTGTTTCACAAAATGTCACTTGAATTGGTCCTATTTCTCTTCCTATGCTCTAATCCCACTACCCCTATTCTAGGCTAAGAAAAAAAATAGATGATTTTAAATGAGTTTAAATTGTGAGTTATTAGATGCTTAAGAAAATATGTGCTGTCATATTCACAAATATAAGCAATAAAATCAAGTGTTGTTCACAAAAGAAACCAAATTATGGGTGTTCAGATAAGAAGGAAAAGGATCAAGAAAGCTACTGACATAGATTTAAAACAAACTTTCATCTCTTGAATATGTAGAACATTTTATGAAGCTACTTATAGTCATTATTATAAAAACAGTAGGTAATTTATAAAACCACATATTCTGAAAAATTTAAAGATAGGGATAAAATCCAGTAGTACAATATTTTTCTTTTATTTGTCTCAAAACTCCTCACTTCATGCCTATGCTGCTATAGCACTAACAAGATTGCTATTATTTAATGAGGTTAAATGTTTACATAACTAATATTTGTGTTTTATTCTCTTAGGAACAATTATTATTGAGTGCCTACCTGATACATTCTAGGAAGTACGAGTTCTCTAATCTTAGAATTCTTATTAATAACGACCCTATAGCTATAAAGAACAAGGATCTACAGGTTTTAAGGTAGTTTGTTTTATTTTGTTTTGCCATTTGTCTTCACATGTCTGACTCTGACATCCTCCTTTTCTTCCTACATCTCATTTCTGTTTATATCCATCCTTAGGCGCTCTCTCTCTCTCTCTCTCTCTCTCTCTCTCTCTCTCTCTCTGCTATCTACTGTTTATCCCTAAAATCCACATGTTGAAACCGAATCCCCAGTGTGATGGTATTAGGCAGTCAGGCCTTTGGGAGATGATTATGTCATGAAGACAGAGGCCTCATGAATGAAACTAGCACCCTTCTACGAGAGACCCCAGATTTTTCCCTCACTCCTTCTACCATGTGAGAACACAGTGATAAGATAGCCATCTATGAACCAGGAAGTAAGTCTTCACCAGTGAATCTGCCAACCCCTAGATCTTGGACTTCCTAGTCTTCAGAATGGAAAGAAATAAATTTCTGTTGTTTTCAAGCCACCTGGTCTATGGTATTTTTTGTTGTAGATGTCTGAATGGCCTAAGACACTCCACTTTAATTTTTTTCTTCTGACTTCAATTTCCTTCTCTTCTTCCTCCTCTTCTTTTTCTATTATTATGTCACTTCCCTTTCAAAATGGTGTCACAAGCATCCTCATCATCTTTCTGTAAGCAGATGATCAACCCAGAGTGAAAACTGATTTTATCACAACCAGCATTTCTCTCAGCACTCAGGACCATAACTTGTACATATGCATCTGTTGTTTCTGCATGGGCATTTGAGTAGGAAGCATTGTTTTCTTTTAGTTCTACCTAGCCTTGAAACACACTTCCTCTTTCAGGAGAATTCCATATTTCCTTGTCATTAAGTTGTAAGCTCATGAACTTGGTTCACCAACTCGTCACAACTTCAGGGTTTTAGACTCCCGAAGGGATTTGCACACTGAGAGAGTTTAATTCTCTATTGTGATGAAAAGACACGATAAGATTTACATTTGGCATCCTAAGTAGTCATGCCTGTTGTTTGATTCTGGCTGTGTTCTCTTTATAGAGCTTGGTTCTCCAGACTTTCCATGAATTCTGTGAGCTATGCAAGATCTTTCTGATGTATTCCTTTTTTGTTCAATGTAACCATTATTGTTTCTGTTGTCTGCAATCAAGAACCCTGTCTGGCCAGCACATTTCAAAAGTGTTCCATTATTTTGTGTATTGTGTTTTTTCAGCTGAGGGATGTGGGACACGGAGGGTGGGCAAGGACTGTGTCAGATAGTTGAAAGGCTTCTTTAGCTTTGGATATCCTGACACAGAGAACTATATCACATGGATGCTCAATAAATGGTGACAACTTGATAATTGATTGAGATTCTATGAACCTTGCCAGTGGTTTCTGCTAAAAGGATGATGGAAAAACATTACTAATACCATTTTGCCAGTGGTTCCCTGAGATATGATGTGCAAGTTACTCTTTGTCCTTTTGAAGTAGGAAAAAGTCAGTCCTCAACATAGGTGAGAAAGATGTCAAATTAAAAATGAGTGAAAAACCTGTGAAGCACTTATAATACTTTGAAAGAAATTATATAATAATCACAGGTTCTGATGCTGTTAGTCATTCATTAAAAAGTTATAAGAATTATTCTTTCCATCATGAACTTAAGTGCCTAGGCCATAAAACTTAGAACATACAGAAAAGCATAAAATAGGAATAATTTGTAATTACAGGATTTGGAGTATATGGTTAACATTTTATATAATCACTAAAATTTTTCTAAAGGCAACAATATTTCTTTGCTATTCTGATAAAGGTTTAAATGTTGCTTAAGTTCATAGTTTTTATTTATGCAGAAATTTACTTGATGTCTAAGTATTATTAATCTAGAAGCCAAATTACAACTGTTGGAGATGAGTAGATATTAGTCAACCTTCTTCAGTCGGTGCTTAGTGCTCTTGGAAAAGAGAATGGCAGGAAGACAAAGTTTTTGGATATGGAGGAGTAAGTTTTGTCTTGGAGCATGAACATATTTCGTTGTGGCTGAAGGTCAGTGTAGAGGTGAAGCAATAGGCAAGTGTTACATCACTAATGGCTATGACATTTGACTTTTATCCTGAAATTAGTGGAGATCCTTAGAAGCATTCAAAGCAACAGAATGAGTTAATCATATCGTCTTTCCTGAAATCTCATTCATCAGCAATTTGAAAGAAGATTTGGGGATAGAGGGTTGAGCAAGACCATAAGCAAATTACTCCATTATAATCGTCTAGTAGCAATACTATGACTATAAACAAAAGCAGTGGCAGTGCCGTGGAGAAAGAAAAAGGCTACAGAATCACTGAGTGAAGAAAACAAGAGACCTTGCTGATTATTTGGATTTGAAGGTATGGAGTGAGGAAGGCCACCTTACTAAAGCCATGTGTTTGGCTACCCTGCCCTTAACTGATGAAGCAAAAGGAAGCTGCATTAACATCCACTCTAAAATTCACTCCCTTAGTCAAATCCCTGTATAATGAGGCTTGGAGGAAAAGGCGAAGGTTAAACTTACACTCTCACCTAACTTGTTCTTTCCTGGTAATTTATAGATTCAATACTATTCCCATCAAACTACCATTGACATCACGGAATTAGAAAAAAAACAATTTAAATTTCATATGGAATCAAAGAAGACCCCGTATAGCCAAGACAATCCTAAGCAAAAAGAACCAAGCTGGAAGCATCATGCTACTGGACTTCAAACTATACTACAAGGCTACAGTAACAAAAACAGCATGGTACTGGTGCCAAAACAGACAAAGAATTGGCAATAAAATTCATTTCAGAGTCTTTTAGTTTTAAGTGGAAATTCAAAAAAAGATAACTAAGAGATGTGAAAAATTGATTGAATCTTATAAAACAACATATGAGCTAAAATAAAAATTTCATATCACAAAACTATTACTTCCCATAATTTAAGAAGGAAAATTTAAAAGTCTGATTATTTAATCCCTGGCTAGGTGGAAAAAATGTGAACACACCACACTGACACTGCTTAAAATAGAAAACATATTCAAAATCTGTTTAACCTCAATTGAAGGAGATTTCTTTGAAAGTATTTTTAATGCCTTTCAGATTGCTTCATATTATTGAGGGGCTCCATTTCCACTATATATAACTGCCTATTTAAAGTGCCTTATAGCTTTACATAGGGATTGAGCTATAGTTGAAAATACAAAAAACTCAATAGATATAAAAACTTGGCTTAGGAAGCTATGGTTTGGCTATTTGTGCATGCCAAACCTCATGTTGAAATTTGATCTCCAATGTTTAAAGTGGGGCATAGTAGGAGGTATTTGAGTGATGGGTGCGATCCCTCATCAATAAATTAGTGCCCTCCCTCAAGAGTGAGTTAGTTTCTTACTCTATTCATTCTACAAGAGCTGGTTGTTATAAAAAGCCTGGCGTCTCCTCCCTCTCTCTCTCTCTTGATTCCTCTCTCACCATGGGATCTCTGCACACACCAGCTCCCCTTCACCTTCCACCGTGAGTGGAAGCAGCCTGAGAACTTCAGATGTAGATGCCCAGACTTGAGCTTTTCCAGACATTCTAACTGTGAGCCAAATAAACCTTTTTGTAAATTTATAAATTTCCCAGCTTCAAGCATTCTTTTATAGCAACACAAAACATGCTAAGACATCAAAGGAACTCAAAACGTAGCTTTTCTAACTTTTTCAAGTGAATCTAAATTTTCTCAACTACTGTTAGAGCCACAAATGTACACCACAGCCTTCCCATAAACTTCTACTTCTTTTTTATTTGCAATTGTAAGTAGTTTTGTAATGTTGTTCTAGATATTCTAAACGTAATTGATTTTAACAAAGAATTGGCAATAAAGCTCATTTCAGAGTCTTTTAGTTTTAAGTGGAAATTCATAAAAAGAGAACTAAGAGATGTGAAAAATTGATGGAATCTTATAAAACAATATATGAGCTAAAATAAAAATTTCATATCACAAAACAATTACTTCCAGTAATTTAAGAGGGAAAATTTAAAAGTCTGATCATTTTATTCCTGGCTAGGTGGAAAAAATGTGAGCACACCACAATGATAGTGTTTAAAATAGAAAACATATTCAACATCTGTTTAACCTCAACTGAAGGAGATTTGTTTGAAAGTATTTTTAATGCCTTTTAGGTTGCTTCATATTATTGAGGGGGGCTCCATTTCCACTATATACAACTGCCTATTTAAAGTGCCTTATAGCTTTACATAGGGATTGGGCTATAGTTGAACATACAAAAAAAAATCAATAGATGTAAAAACTTGGCTTAGTTTTCACTCCATTATAATGGAGCAATGCTAGATGTTTTAGGTTAGTAGAGCAAACTATTTTTAGAAATTACTGAACCTTAAATAGATTCTAAATGAGCAGAAATAAGATTTGAGAATTTTTTTAAAATGAAAAGAGATTCACATTTACAGCTTTGTTATAATGTGAAAGCATTAGAAGAAACTTACACTATCAACTCAGGCAAAGAGCTCGTGTATAGCTATGGTCACCTTTAAGCAAGAGACAGTGGACAAGGCCAGGCAAGTGGGAGAAATAAAGGTTGGAGCAGAACACCCCAGCAAATTTCTGGTTGCCATATTAAAGAAGGGAAAGACACACATAGCCAGAAATAAAGCTTCTGCTGTAGCTGCCATGGGCTCAGTTGCCAATCAGGCTGGTCTCAATGAAATGAAATTATGAAATGGCAAAGAAACATTATAGTAACTCTAAATGGCTTTCTTCCTCCTTTTATCTAGATGTGTCGGGTTAGAGTAGGAATCCAAGCACTGCCACAAAATCAACCTCAGCTGCTACCTAGATAATAATAGACCTTCTACCGTGATGATGATGAGGAGGAAGAGGATGATAACAGTGATTATAATGGCAATTAGTGCTCATTGAGGAATTACCATGTGCACGATACCTTGTTTAGCTCTTTTTTGTATTATTTTAGTTACTCATAATATAATTATTATACAGTACATGTCAATATTTTATAAATGAGGAATTTGAATTTAGAGATAATTACTAAATTGTCTAAGCTCATATATCCAGAGAAAAGCAGAGTTAGGATTTGAATTTAGGATGAGAAAGCCAAGAAATATCACTGAATCCAAAAGGTGGTACCTATTCTGAAGAATCAGTACAAATGAGAGGATGAAGAAAACTAAAATTAGGAAAATGTCTAACGTATGTTCTTTAGAAGACACTATGCTTATAAAGTTAAACAAGAAATAAGAATAATCTAAAATCTGAAAGGCCTGAATGCAGATTTTAAAAGAATAAAAGCATGGTTTAAAAAAGTACAGTAAATAAAATGCACAATAAAGAAAATTAAATTAGCAATATAGAACATCAGCTTGAGAATTCTTGCAATATTTGGAAAAAGAAGTAAGATAATGAGAGAAAAGATAAGAGACAATGAACAGATGAGGGAAATGTAACATACAAATAATAGAAATTCGAGCAGTAAATAACTGAGTAGATATATTAAAAAAATTTTTTTTCAGAATAAATATTTGTGTTTTGGGGGCAAAGTAACTACATATAAGGAAAAGAAATACAGAGATCTGCATTCATATTTTTTAAAGTTATAAATAGGAAAAGATTTCCTACAAAGAAAGAAAAACCAGTGTAGCCTAGCAGACAGAAAGAGAGTTGGAGTAAAGACCATGAAATAAAACACAGAGGATGAAGGAAATGATTGTGACCCAACAATTCAATTTTACACTGTTAAATTTGCTGTTATGAACAAGGATAATTAAAAATTATTCTCATATATGGAATGATTTAGACAATGCCACATATGTGACCTTCCTGAAAAAACAACCTCTCAAATAATTAGTCTTTTAGACTGAGAATTTAATCAAAGTAGAAAATATAGAAACATAGAAAATATAGAAACAGAGAAACAGGGTATTAAAAAGATTATAAGTGAACACACAAAACCAGTGGAACATAAAGATTTTTGATAACCATGTATGATGCATTAATTTTCTGTTAAGTAACAAATTTCCACCAACTTAGTAGCTTAAAACAACACAAATTTATCGTCTTATAATTTTATAGTTCAGAAATCTGACATGGTCTCACTGGGCTAATATCAAGGTGTCAGCAAGCCTGTATTCTTTTTAGTGGACTCTAGGGAAGAATTCATTTCCTTGCCTTTTTCAGCTTCCAGAGTCTGTCAACATTCTTTAGCTCATAGTCTCCATCTTCCTTCTTCAAAGCCAGCAGTGTTGCATTTATCCGCCCATATTTCCATAATCACATCTCTCTCTAATTCTTCTTTTCTGCTTCCCTCATTTTTGAGGACCCTTCAGTAGGACTGGGCGCATATTCGTTGGATAATACAGGATAATTTCCCTGTTTCAAGGTCCTTAACTTCATCACATCTAAGAAATTTCTTTTGCCATAGAAGGTAATATAATCACAGGTGCCAGTAATTAGAACATGTACACCATTGGTGTTGGTGGGAAAGGAGCATTTTATGCTTGTCACATATGCTAATAACATAAGCATTAAATCTGTTTTATACTAGATAATTATATAAATTAATATTTTAACAGTTTTTCTATGATTTCAGGTTTGTTAGTTTTTCTCAAATATTTCCTTTAATTCTAGTGTTAAAAGTTTCTGTTCTTAATTTGGCAAGCTCGCTTTTGTAAGTTCCTATATTTAGCCTGACACTGATTACAGTATCTTCTTCTGAGTTGGGATTAGAATCAGACAGCCCTATGGGAAGGCATTATATAATATTATAGTCCTACGGGGAAACCTAGAGTTAGAAATAAAAAATTCCTATCATTACATTCGTTACTCTGCTCTTAGCTGGGTTCTGTGAAAGAAGAAAGAGAAGACTTTGCTTACTTTTCGAAGACTAAAGGAATTTCAGGAGAGCCTAAATTTGGATATGAAAGGGGTAGATACAAACTAATATATAAAATACAAACTAAAAGTTACAAGATTATTCTTATATTTTTCATTTAGTTTGATTTGGTCTGCATTTAAAGAATTAAATCATGACTTTTAATATCATCTTTAAAGTCATAGAAAAAAATGTATGCATATAAAATATATTCCTAAATACATATTTATATATGTGTATATTGTATACATATATAAGTTATCAAGGAAGAAACAAGGTGTCAGCTCAGAGAAGCTGTTTCTTAAAGCAATTTTTCTTCACATGCTATTGCTCAAAGGATGGAACTAAGAGGAATATAAATATAAGTTATGCTTGAAAAACTGCTTTGGCTAAAACCCTGAATTCTTTTTAACTGATGAGGGAGAAATGGGATTACAGTAGATATTTCCAATCTAGTTTTTTAAAAATAGTGTTAACGTCTGCCTATTAAAGCAGATTATTATTTATAACCGAAACCTGTTGATATTTTTGTTGGACATTGAATTGAAAATTCACGGACAAGCCATTCCTTCCAGTTGTCTGAAAAGCAAATGGAAATAAATTGGTGTGAAGAGTTTTAGGCAGGAAAGAGAGCTCTGCTTGCTTGATCCCTTTCAATATGGCATATATAGAAAAAAATTGTGACATTATTTCTAAATTGGAAATTTTGATCAGATTATACCCAAGCGTCTGCATTTTAAAGAAGTATTTATATAGAGAAAATACTGGCAGGGTTTTTAAACTATTATATATATTTTAATGAAGTATATAATGAACTATTAAATTTGAAGCCCCATTTTAAGTGATATGTATGACTCCCAGGTAGTAGTGATAGAGGTGGGGGAAAACATATCATTAGAAAATGACTGAATGATTGGGGACAGTTTCACTTGGAGAAAATAAATCTAAGAATGATGTAAAGTAGACTTATTCTGTTTTACCCTCCTGGTTATATATCTCCTAATTGCCACTTCAGACCCACTCTCCACATTTCTAGACCCGAGGGCTTACAACTCCTAATTTTCTATACCCTGTAATTTCTAGCCCAAGGATCAGCAAACTTTTTCTATAAAAGTCCAGAGAGCAAATATTTGGACTTTTTAGGCCATACAATATCCATTGCAAATGTTCAACTCAGCCATTGTAGTACAAAATCAGTTATAAGAAAACTTTATATATAAAAATAGGCTGTGGATGTGTTCTAGATTCCAGGCTATAGTTTCCTGTGGGCAAGTGAGTCTGGGGTCTGTATTTTATAGACTGCTAGTCTTGAGATACAAGAAGAGCTTAGAAGAATACGATTGTGTGAGGGTCGGGAGTAAATACCATCATAAATGGTACAAATATAGTGCTCCCTTTTAAGTTGTAATTATTAGAACTATGAAAAGACTCAGTTATCCAAAAAAACTAAGAATCATTCTGCTGAATTATTTTTATTAAAAATCCTCTAAAATATAAACTTATAAAATAGGAAAATAACACATTTTTTAAAAGTTGGTGATTTCACAAGAGAATCAATCTTAGATCAGAGAAATTTGATTTTAGCTGAGAACAATTAATTATATGGGAGAGACTGCTCTGTGTTCAACAAAATCTGGTTGTTAATATTTCTAGGCACACAGTTAAACTCCATATTCCTGTTTCTCTTGTCTATGTAACCGAGTTCTATCCTATGGAATATAAATGGAGGTAATGTACATCAATTTCAGACATGCTCATTTAAAAATGCCATGTAATTATCCACTTTTTTTTAACCTCCTAGCTGAATGGACAGGAGCCTGAGGTCCTAGCAAGCAGACTGCTCCAATATGAGAAATTGTTGTGTTAACCACCTGAGGTCCCTGACCACACACAGCTTCTCATTGACCAAAACACTGATAGGGACTTTATATAAATGAGCAATGAAGTTTTATTGGGTTAAGCCACTGAGACAGCTCTTTTTACTCTAATAAATATTCACAGTTACTGAATTTTTAGGACTCAGTGAAGATAGTGATCAACACATTGGATGGTTTATAAAATTGTTTTTTAAAAAGTTAAAATTTTTTCCAGACCTCAGAAAAAAAAGAAAAAAAGAATAAAGGAAGAAGAGTAAGATCATAGAGAAAAGCACAAGAGAATTGGCAAACTAATATACACATGATAAACATAAAGACAGAACCAAGATGGCCAACTATAATATTCAAAGATCCCTGGGCTAAAGGAAGACCAAGTTGCCAGTTCAAAATTTCTACCAAAAATCAGGCAAAAGTTTAAAAAGATTACTATACATTGAAGAGCATGGATTTTTCTAAGAAGAATTGTTTGAAAAAATTAGTTGTTTTTTAAGTCCACAAAAATCTGGGGAGAATTAAATTAGGTGGTCATCAAAGGAAAATAAATTAGGTGGTCATCAAAGTCAATATTAGCGTTCTCATCTAGAATACTGCATGCCAGAAGAAAATAGAGCATTTTCTGTAGGATACTTAAGCAAAATAGTTAAAACCCATGAAACTTCTGCCTGATCCAATTGTCAGAACAATGGAAAGATTTTCTCAAGTTTGGCATGACTCAGAAAACATACTTCTCAAAAGCCCACCAAGAAAATTATGCATAAAAAGTCAATCTAGCTAATTGGGAAAATGAAAAATATAAATATTCTAAGTATAGAAAGACATAATAGGCATGGCAATGAGCTTTATGAACAATAAAACTGTGTAATATGTAAACAATAGCTGTGGACACTATTATATCATACAGTACAACTGCAGAAACCATGGCAGAGCAAAAACTTGCTGTCTGAGAGCAAGGTTTGTAGTGAGCTGACAGCCTCCAGATAACAGTGCCTTCAAGATCTTTCTCAGCATTCAAGGGAAGGCCATACACTTCCTGGGCATACCTCAGCCAATGACCTAGCACAAGAGAAATACTGGGACTTGGCCATTTCTACCCAATGCAGGACTCTTTTAAAAGCAATCTTTGTTTGGGAGCTCCTGGTGGAGTTGGCTGAAATTTTGTGAGATCTGGATCACAGTCAGAGGCTCTCCTTGATCAATCTTCTTTCACTTTTCTTTTCTTTCTTCCTTCACCTTTCTTGTCCTAGTTGTCAGATATGCATTATGTTCTGGAGATTCTCTCTGCTTAATCTTATTTCCTTTCCTATTTATAGACAACCACCTCTCAATCTCTAACACTCATAAATTTATCTCAGTCTCAGTTTGAGGAATCAACTGACAAAACAACAATTAAAAATAATTATTTAAAGAAAATATATTTAACTGGCATAAAATTGGCATACTGACCAATGGAACAGAATAGAGAACTAAACCCACACATATGTGGTCAACTGATCTTTGACAAGAGTGCCAACAATACACATTGAGAAAGAAAATCCCCTTCAGCAAATACTGTTGGGAAAATTAGATATCCACATGCAGAAGAATAAAAGTGAACTTCTTTCTTATACCATATACAAAAATTAATGTAAAATAAATTACAGATTTTAACGTAAGATCTGCAACCATAAAACTTCTAGGATAAAACATAGGGGAAAGCGTCTTGGCATTGGTCTCAGCAGTGATTTCATGAATGTGACACCAAAAGCACGGGCGACCAAAACACAAATAGATAAGTGGGACTATATCAAACTAAAAAGCTTCTGTATAGCCAAGGAAATAATGAAAAGTGAAAAGTTAGCCTACAAAATGATATAAAATGTTTACAAGTCATATGTCTAATAAGAGCTTAATTTCCAAAATACATAAGGAACTCCTAAAACTTAATAACAAAAAAGCAAATAACTTGATTTAAAAATGGGCAAAGAACTTGAATAAACAAGGTATATACATAGAATGGAATACTATTTAACTTTAAAAAAGAAGGAAATCCTGTCATTTACAACAATATGGGTGGACCTGGAAGACATTAAGCTAAATGAAATGAGTCAGCTGCAGAAGGACAAAAGCTTCATGATTCCTCTTATATGAGGCATCAAAAATAGTCAAATGCAT
This sequence comes from Homo sapiens, assembly GCF_000001405.40. Lineage (NCBI taxonomy): Eukaryota > Metazoa > Chordata > Mammalia > Primates > Hominidae > Homo > Homo sapiens. The sequence goes on from NC_000002.12 coordinate 180,554,522, forward strand.
GGAAGTAGACAATAGAATGGTGGTTCCCAGGAGATGAAGGAGGTGCATTTGGGGAGTTGCTCAATGCATATAAAGTTATGACTTACACAAGATGAGTTAGTTCCAGTGATCTATTGTACAACATACTTCATAAAGTCAAAAATAAGATATTGTGTATTTAAAATTTCAAGAGGGTAGATTTCAAGTTAAGTGTTCTTACAAAAAAAACCCACAAAGAGACATATTTATGGATATATTTATTTATATATTATTTATATACATTTTATTATATATAATATATATTTATATTTATATGGGTATATTTATTACTTTCATTGTGATTATGGTAACATGAGTGTATATACATGTCCAAACTCACCAAATTGTATACATCAATTATTGTATTTTTTGTATACCAGTTATACCTCAATAAAGCTGGAAAAAATAAAGATATTTTGAAGATACTGTATAAAATTATTATTATTTTTAAATACCCAAATCTGAGGTTTGATTGAGGAGAGGGGAAAAATAAATGCAAACAAAAATCTCTTCCTTTTCATAGGTTATGGGAAGTAGAATGGATACTTTAATTTTCTTGATTATTTATGTATGGACATCAAAACATATTTCTAGGTAGTTGGACATGACAAGATGGCCGACTAGAAACAGCTGCAGTTGGAGGGTCCCCCCAAAAAGAACGAAAACGGTGAGTGAATTCTGCACCAGCAACTGAGGTATCCAGGTTTTCTCACTGGGACTGACTAGGCGGTTGGCGTTACCCACAGAGAGTGAGGAAAAGCAGGGTGGTGCAAGGGCCCACCTGGGAGCCACAGGGGGAAAGGGGAGCTCCCACCCCCAGCCAAGAGAGGTGGTCAGTGATTGTGCTACCCGACCCAGGAAACCACGCTTTTTCCACGGATCTGTGCAACAGCCGGATCAGGAGATCCCCCTAGTGAGCTCACGCCACCAGGGCCTTGGGTCCCAAGGACAGAGCTATGCAAACTCTCAGCAGCCATTTGGCCGGAGACTACCTAAAACTACCGAGTTCACTGCGGCTGCCTGCTGCCTAAGATGACTCAGCTCCTGGGGGGAGAGGCGCAGCCATCACTGCGGCTCCAGTCTGCCATTTTTTTCCCCTGCCAGTACGGTGGAGACTGGACAATTTCGACCCAGGAGGAATTCCGCACAGTGGCTGTGGCAGATCGTGGCCAGACTGCCTTTTTAGGCCGGACCCTAACCCATGCCTCCTCACTGGGTGGGGTCTGCCTGCGGGAATTTCAGCAACTCCAGCAAGGGCTTTATGGATAGAACCCTGAATTATCTGGGACGAAGCCCGTAGGGGGAGGAGCAGCCAGTTTTTGCAGATCAGCCGACTTAGTCTTTCCCCCCTGCTGGCTCTGAGGAATCCAGGCAGTCTGGATGAGCGGAATTTCCCCCAGTGCAGTGCACCCTCTCCACCAATGGGCAGCCAGAGTGCTTCGTTAAGTGGGTCCTGGATCCCTTGTCTCCTGACTGGGTGAGACCCGCCCCCCATCAAAAGGGGTAGACAGACACCTTATACAGAAGTGTTCCCTTTGGCATCAGGTCAGTGCCACTCTGGGTCAGAGATCCAAGAGGAAGGAGCAGGCTGCCATCTTTGCTGTTCTGCAGCCTCCACTAGTAACACCTCTAGATGCAGAAGGGATAGGGTCTGAACTGGATCTCCAGCAAACCACAGCAGTCCTACGGAACAGGGTCCTGATTGTTAAACAAACAAACAGAAAGCAGCAGCAACAACAACAACAGCATCAACAAAATGTCCTCACAAGAGCCCCATCCAAAGGTCAGCAGCCTCAAAAATCTAAGCTAGGTAAACTCATGGAAGATGAGAAAGAATCAATGAAAAAACACTGAAAACTCAAAAAGCCACAGCGCCTCTTCTCCTCCAAATGATCACAACACCTCTCCAGCGAGGGCACAGAACTGGGCAGAGGCTGAGATGGATGAATTCACAGAAGTAGGCTTCAGAAGCTGGGTAATAATGAACTTCATTGAACTACATGAGCATGTTCTAACCCAATGCAAAAAAGCTAAGAACCATGATAAAACATTACAGGAACTGTTAACCAAAATAGCCAGGTGAGAGAGGAACACAAATGACCTGATGGAGGTGAAAAACACAACCTGAGAACTTCACAATGCAACCGCAAGTATCAATAGCTGAATAGACCAAGTGGAGGAAAGAATTTCAGAGCTTGAAGACTATCTTGCTGAAATAAGACCGACAGACAAGGTCAGAGAAAAAAATAATGAAAATAAATGAACAAAACCTCCAAGAACTATGGGATTATGTAAAAAGACTGAAGTTACGACTGATTGGGGTACCAGAAAGAGATGGAGAGAATGAAACCAAGTTGTAAAGCACACTTCAGGACATCATCCAGGAGAACTTCCCCAACCTAGCAAGACAGGCCAACATTCAAATTCAGGAAATCCAGAGAATCCCAGTAAGATACTCCACGGGAAGATCAACCCCAATCACATAATCATCAGATTCTCAAAGGTCAAAATGAAGGAAAAAAAAAATGTTAAGGCAGCCAGAGAGAAAGGACAGGTCACCTACAAAGAGAAGCTCATTAGACTAACAGCAGATCTCCCAGCAGAAACCCTACAAGCCAGAAGAAATTTGGGGCCAATATTTAACATTCTTAAAGAAAATAATTTCCAACCCAGAATTTTATATCTAGCCAAGCAAATTTCATATCTAGTTTCATAACCAAAGAAGAAATAAAATCATTTTCAGACAAGCAAATGCTGAGGGAATTTTTCACCACCAGGCCCGCCTTGCAAGAGCTCCTGAATGAAGCACTAAATATGGAAAGGAAAAAACTGGTACCAGCCAGCCACTGCAAAAACACACTGAAATACAAAGACCAATGACACTGTAAAGAAATTGCATCAACTAGTATGCAAAATAACCAATCAGCATCATGATAACAGGATCAAATTCACACATAACAATATTAACCTTAAATAAAAATGAGCTAAATGCACCAAGTAAAAGACAGAGACTGGCAGATTGGATAGAGTCAAAGCTCATCAGTGTGCTGTATTCAAGAGACCCATCTCATGTGCAAAGATACACATAGGCTCAAAATGAAGGGATAAAAGAAAATTTACCAAGCAAATGGAAAGCAGAAAAAAACAGGAGCTGCTCTCCTTATTTCTGACAAAACAGACTTTAAACCAACAAAGATCAAAAAAGACAAAGAAGGGTATTACATAATGATAAAGAGATCAATTCAACAAGAAGAGTTAACTATCCTAAATATAGTTAACCCAATACAGGAGCACCCAGATTCATGAAGCAAGTTGTTAGAGACCTACACAGAGACTTAGACTCCCACACAATAATAGTGGGAGACTTTAATACCCCACTGTCAATACTCGACAGATCATTGAGACAGAAAATTAACAAGGATATTCAGGACTGGAAATCAGCTCTGGAACAAGTGGATGTGACAGAAAATTTTTGCATTCTATCCATCTGACAAAGTTCTAATATCCAGAATCCATAAGGAATTTAAGCAAATTTACAAGAAAAAAATGAACAGCCCCATTAAAAAGTGGGCAAAGGACATGAACAGACACTTCTCGAAAGAAGACATTTATGTGGCAAACAAACATATGAAAAAAAGCTCAACATCACTGGCCATTAGAGAAATGCAGATCAAAACCACAATGAGATACCATCTTAGACCAGTCAGAATGACGATTACAAAAAGTCAAGAAACAACAGATGCTGGTGAGGCTGCGGAGAAACAGAAACACTTTTACACTGTTGGTGGGAATGTAAATTAGTTCAACCATTGTGGAAGACAGTATAGTGACTCCTCAAAGATCTATAGCCAGAAATACCATCTGACCCAGCAATCCCTTTACTGGGTATATACCCAAAGGAATATAAATTATTCTACTATAAAGATACATGCACGTGTATGTTTACTGCAGCACTATTCACAAAAGCAAAGACAGGGAATCAACACAAATGCCCATCAATGATAGAATGGATAAAGAAAATGTGTTACATATGCACCATAGAATACTATGCAGCCATAAAAGGAATGAGATCATATCCTTTGCAGGGAGATGGATGGAGCTTGAAGCTGTTATCCTCAGCAAACACAGGAGCAGAAAACCAAACACTGCATGTTCTCACATAAAAATGGGAACTGAGCAATTAGAACATATGGACACAGGAAAGGGAACAACAAACACAGGCGTCCTTTCAGGGGCAGGGGGAGAGAGGAATATCAGGATGTGGGGCTTAATACCTAGCTGGTGGGTTGATAGGTGCAGCAAACCATCATGGCACATGATTACCCATGTAACAAATCTGCACATCCTGCACATGTATCCTGGAACCTAGAATAAAATAAAATTAAATAAAAAACCTATTTCTAAAATTGAATCTAAACACTAAATTGATAAAACTGAAGAAGTGATTTCACAATCACTAAAAAAGTTTGCATGTATAGCAAAGGAGAGAATAAACTTCACTCTCCCCAGAACATGAGAAAAGACATACAACTTAATATGACTATAGTAAGCTATTGTTTATTATATTAATGTGAATAGATTAGTTTCCTCTACTTACAAAAACATAATCATCATATTAGACCAAAAGGAGAATTGAAATATATGCTCTTTATTAAAGATCTACTAGAAAGTAACACAAAGTTATTGTTTAAATGTGATAAGCAGAAATATAAAATAAATAGAAAGAAAGCATGTGTTAATAATGTTAATACCAAAAAAGTTAGAATTCAATGGAAAAACTTTCCATGGGGCAAAGAAAAATGTTTGTTATTCAAACAGGTTAACTGTGAGCTCACATTTATGTTCCCCTGACAAGAGTACTGATAAATACATAAAGCTTCATGAGTAAAACAACAACAGAAAGTTCTCTGAGTCTTTGGCAGATCAAATGGATAAAAAGTAGAACATGAAATCAAGGAATTGAATAATAAAATGAATAATATTTATTTCATACATTTATCTACCTTTTTATAGTACACGTAAATTATTGTACTATAAATGCCATGGAAAGTTTACAAAATATAACTTGAACTAGACCCAAAGAGAATCTAAAAAAATTTTATAAACATACGAATCAGTACAGAACACACTCTGATCAGGTGGGTGGTGGCCATGAGAATTCACCTCACAGAAATCCAGGCATAGGGCACATAACCGAATGAGGTCTGGGATGCTACACTTTGAAATCTATCACCTCATTTGCACCAAGGCCATGCATCCCACAAGCCCTTCTACAACAAAGGCTGAGTGCGGTTGTTATAGTTAGGAAGATTTATGCCTGGGAGATTGAGGACTACATTTTCAGCTAACTGACTCCAGGAGTCCTCAAAAGCGCTGTCGAAACTTCAAAACTGCACAGTAGTAGTCTAGGATACTTTGCCAACAGTTCCCACCCTCTCTCACTCAGGGTCAGCATTGCATTGCTGTATGGTAGCTCTCCCAGCTTTGCCCAGTTTCCTTCCTGTTTCCCTTCACGCGAGCATGTCCTCTAATTAAATCTTTGTACATTAATCCTGTCTTGGCATCTTGTTCTTGGATATCTCAGCCTAACACAAAATGTAATAAGATTAGAATTATTGCCAATAGCATACACAGAAATAGCAAATAGGTGAATTTTAAAACTAATTGCTAAATAATTTTTTAATCAAAAGAGAAAACTGAAAGTACAATTATACAGTTGCAAACAATACCATGCGATGAAACTTATAATCAAAGTTGTGTTTAGAAAAACATTTGTAACTTAAATGCTTCTATTAACCAAATAGAAATGAAAATATACCTACCAAAACTAAGAACTCAAGAACATAGAAAAAATAAACACGCCTAAGCACAGTAGGTTGAAGGAATTAATAGGGATTAAAGCAGACATCAATAGAATAGAAAACAAAAATACTATATGTGATAATTATTTTCTTACCAGAGGTGGCTTTTCTCCTCAATTAATTTTAAAAATAAGAAAATATGTGTAGAAAGTTTGAAGGAAAAATGCTGAGTAGTCATAGATAAATAAGGTTTATAAAAATAATTATAATTGAATATTACATGGCACACAATGTTGAAAAACATGATCAGGATTAAACATATAATTTTGAAAGACTTACATTTAACTAAAACTTGTTGAAGATGATATAATAAAACTAAATAGATCAATTTAAAAATTAGCAAGTTATCCTACTCATCTCTAAAGAGACTGGCTCAAAGTTTCAGAGGTCAGTTCTTTGTTTTATTCTATTTTTATTGAGCAATAATAATTGTATATATTTTTATGGGGTATAATGTGATGCTTCCATGCATGCATATATCGTGGAATGAGCAAATTAGGCTAATTAACATATCCATGTCATAGGTGAGTTATTTCAAACATTTTAGTAACATAAGTTATATTTTATTTACAAATGTCTAGAGTATATACAAAGCAGGAAAGGTTATCAATGTATTCAATACATTTTTATAGGCATGATAATAAACCATAACTATAGGGGATGGGAAGGGAGGATCAATCCATATCACTTATAATACCGAGGCAAAAATTGTAGAAAAGGTTTGGCAAATCGGATCAGAGAAGTCAATTTAGAAGAGGTGGTATCAAGAATGAACTGAAGAGTAGGATTTTCACCAGCGGAGCGAGGCATTTGAAACAAGGAAAAGTTAAGTGAGCTGCAGGGGCACAGCACAAAAGACCCACCTAGGTAAAATGACCATGCTTCCCAGTTTCCCTGGCCAGTGCTTGCTTATACTGCTTTCCAGTATAACTGTTAGTAGCATCCTTTTCCACTCATGAAGGTATGCTGGGTCTGGGCATGGTGGCTCACAGCCTTTAATCCCAACACTTTGGGGCAGAAGCAGGTGGATCACCACTCAGGAGATCTAGACCAACCTGAGCAACATGGCAAAATCCCATCTCTACAAAAACTACTAAAATTAGCTGGGCATGGTGGCACCCACCTGTATTCCCAGCTATTCAGGAGGCTGAGGCAGGTGAATCTTTTGAGCCCAGGAAGCAGAGGTTGCAACGAGCCTAGATTGCACCACTGCACTCCCACCTGGGCAACAGAGGGAGATCTTGTGGAAAAAAAAATATTCTAGGGTCTCCATACCTATTTAAAATGCTGAAAGCTGAAAAGAGCATTGTTTTTATTCTAACAACTACAATACAAAAAGCTGAATAAACTATACAATTGTAATTATTTGAACCACAGACCGAAAGATGCAGGGCAACCAAGTAGCCTAAAATCTAATAAAAAGGATGCATCTTCAAGGAAAAATGAGACACAAGCCCATCACAAGCACAGAGCATGGAAGGAAGAGTTGCCGTTACAAATAGATAAAAAATTAACTGAATTTGTTAATGAATTGATAAAGGCTGGTTGTGGGTAGGTGTAAAACCATATAATCCATGGAGCCATAAACACAAGGGGGATTTGCACCCACTCATCCTCTTTTCCATGGAACACAACTAGTGTTGATGAGAAACTCTGATGCCAGGGCAGGAAAACAATAAAAATCGAACTTTGTTTTATGGCTTGGAGGAGGGGAGAGGCCACCACTGCAGGAAAGGCACAAAGCCCTGGCAGAACCATCTTCTCCTGTGAGTTTTAAGCCCTTGAAGAGAGAGCAGTAAGCCCTGTCAACCTCAGGGCACAAATTAAGATCCATTACAGCCTGAGAAAGAGTAAAAGAAAAAAAAACTTTTATTTTTAAGGAAACAGGAAACCATGCTCAACCCTATCACCGGAGCAGCAAGAAAGTCCCACACAAGAACTACCAAAAATATAAGAGGGTTTGCCTGCCAGGGAGGTGAGCAGCAGGATGACTGCCAAAGCTCCATCCCTAAGGCCCAGGGACACAAGGCCAGCCTAAGAATGAGGCTGGAGCAGGACAATAGAGAAACTCCTTTCCACTTCTATAATAAGGTTAGAAAGTCCCAATTCGCAAGCTACAAATGTCTATCTCTGTGACAGCGATAAGAGGATTGAGACACCCACTATGAGGTGCAGGCACAAAGGGAAGGCTGAAAGCCAAGGGTGGAGTAGAAACATTCAGCAAAACGCTCTGGCAACCCAGCTCCCAAGATAAACACAAGATAACCCTCCAGGATTTAAAGTCTGTGATACACTCAAGGAAACAATAGGAACAACAAAACTCAAACCAGCTCAGATATGGAGTAGATTGAGTCAACTGCATGCACTGTTGGTCTAGCAAAGAGGGATGCCCATTTTCAGGCACATATATTATTTCTCCCTGTCCTTACTGGAGCTACTCACAATGAGTGACATTCAATAGAAGAAATAGAAGGCTCACAAACAAGTAAGAAAAAAGAGCCCACTGGAAAGAGATAAAGCAATTAACAGACACCGACTCAGAAATGGCCCAAATATTGGAACTATTGGACAGGAAATTTTAAATATTATTATTAATAAATTATAATTTCTCATGGAAAACATGGTCAACAGCCATGAACAGATGTGGACTTTTGCAAAGAAATGAAAACTATTCAAAAGAGTCAAATAGAAATGCTAAAAAATATCTATCAAAAATGAAGGTGAAATAGTTTTTGAGACAACAGAATACATACATACAAACATACATATATACATATGTAAAAGAATTTAATATCAGCAGAACTGCACCACAGGAAATATTTCAAAAAACAAGCAGACAGAAAACAAAGATGTCTTTAGGCAAAGGAACATGATACTAGACAGAAATTTGAATCTATACACAAGCAGGCAAATGAAGAACTCTAGGAATAGTTAAAATGAAAGTAAATTAAAAAGACACTTTTTATTTTTAATCACTCTAAATCGCTTTTCTTTAGACGTTCAAAAATACGCTAAAGTATCATTGAATGTCTAAAAAACACTGGTAGAAATGCATTAGGGGTTTATATCATATGTAAATATAAAATGGATAACATCAATCAATAGCACAAAAGATGAGGGGGAAGAATCGTCAGTATGCCATTTTGTAAATTGCAGTCTAAATGAAGCAGTATGATGCTATTTGAAAGTACACTGTTATTAATCAATGATGGGCATTGAAAATCCTGTAGCAGCCACTACATTTTAAAAAGTTGTTTATAATAAGCTAATCATGAAATAAAATAGAATTATATAAATTTCTCAATCATAATTAGACAAAAAGGAGACAAAAAGGAACAAAGAACAGATGGAACAAATAGAAAACAAATAGCAAGAAAGCAGATTTTAATTTAACTATATAAATATTTATAATTTATAAAAGTATTTAAATGCATTTATATCAGTCAGGGTTCTCCAGAGGGACAGAACCAATAGCATATACAAGAAAGATAATTTATTAGGAGGAATTTGCTCATGATCACAAAGATGCAGTTCTAGTACAGGCCATCTGCAAGTTGGAGGACCAGAGGCCAGTAGTGTGGCTCCCAGGGAAACTGGTAGCATGGCTTAGTCAAAAGCCTTAGAACCAGGGAAGTCTGAGAGCCTCCAGGAGGCTGCTGTTGCAAATCACAGAATCCAGAGGCTGAAAGAACCTGGAGTCTTTTGTCCAAGGGCAGGAGGAGAGGAAGGTATTCTACTCAGGAAGAGAGAGAGAAGAAGCCAGAGAATACTGGGTATCCCCCTTCTTTGGTCTGTTGTCCCCCAGCCAATTGGATGATGTCTACCTACATTGAGAGGGAGTCTTCCTGTCTCAGTCCACTGACTCACAGGTCCATTTCCTCTGGTAGAATCCTCCCAGACACACACAGAAATAATTCTTCTACTAGCCATCTAGACATTTCTCAATTTGGTCAAGTGAACAGATAATAATAACTATCGTAGCACGAATGAAAAGACAGAGATGGTCATATTGGCTAACAAGCAATTTATTCTGTCCAGAAGAAACCCCTTTAAATATAAAGACAAGTATAGATTAAAAATAAAATGATGTAAAAAGATGTACTATACCAACACTAATTAGAGGAAAGCTGAAGTGACTACATTCATACCAGACAAAATAGACTTCAGATCAAGGAATACTACCAGAAAAAAAAAGAAGGAACATTATAAGGCTGTGGCTCAGGAGAGGAGTTGACTACAAAGGTGACTGAAATAATTTTTGTAGAGTGAAACTATTACATATCTTGACTCCTGTGGCAATTACACAACCATACACATTTGTCAAATGCATAGATCTATACACTAAAAAAGGTGAATCTTGCTGTATGTAAATTATACCTTAATGAATCTGACCTTAAAAACATCACTCTAAATAGAAGTGAAACAAGTAAAGAATAAATTTGTTTTCCCAAATGTCTATTCAATGTTTGCTAGGTAAATAACACTGTTTGAAGGCTATCTTGATATCCCTTTTTCTTCTTATTCTCTTTTAAATATAATCTGAGTGCATGTACATAATGATTTTTTCCTTTAAACTTTTTCGTTGACATAAAATTCTAATTTAAAGGATTAATTAAAGGATTTTGTTTTAAGACAAGGTCTCACTCTGTCACCTGGACTCGAGTGCAATGGTGCAATTGCTACCCACTGCAAACTCAACCTCTAAGAGCTCACACAACCCTTCCACCTCAGCCTCCTAAGTAGCTGGAACTACAGGTGCGCACCACCATGCCTGTCAATTTTAGTTTTTAGTTTATTTATTTATTTCTTTTGTAGAGATGGGGTTTTGCCCTGTTGCTCACGGTGGTCTCAAACTCCTGAGCTCAAGAGATTCGCCTGCCTCAGCCTTCCAAATTGCTGGGTTTACAGGTATGTTCCACTGTGTCTGGCAAGGATCATTTTATTTAAGAATTCTTTTACTTTTATTCTGAATTCCCTTTCTTTTCATACCAAATCTGTAAGCAAGTAGGTAAAATAATGGACATAAATGATTTCATTTTGTTCAGAAACTATTTCAAATATTCGTGGTGAAGTTTCTGATTTCATCCTCTGTCAGAAATATTTATTATTTTAAAATAGGATAGATAAAATGTTGCCTATGCAGTACTTATATACCTGAAAGGGAATTTATCAGGGGAATTTGCTCAATTGCATGCCACCATATGGAAAAGAATTAGAAGTAAAAGAGTATCAGAAATGATGCAGGGACTTTGAATTTTTTTTTAATACAGTGCATTGATAAATCAATTATCTCACACAATAACCCATATTCAGTATACTATAAAACTCATTACCATGAATTAGGAAGAAGTGAGAAATGTGAGTTTATCCTTTAAGTGCTAACACTACAATATTTACTATAATTTTAATGTGTTGCTTTGCGACTTACTGATCATTCAGTTTTAATTGAAAGAAAGGTATCTCAGGTAACGCTGCACATTGAAATAAAGAAATAAACATTCTTGGAAACAAAGCAAAATACTATGTAAAATTTCTTTCCAGAGACCACACATATTTGGGATAACAAATCATCATATGAACTTAGAGTTAAAGAGCATTTCTAAAACAATATATGTGTTCTCATGCCTAGGGCTTCCTACACTGCATATTTTGTTTAATACAGGCTGAAATCTGCTCAAAAAGAGATAAATACATTTAATATTGACTGATGAACTAGGCCATCTCTGCTTTATAGTATGCAATAGTGTACTGAATTGATCACCATATCTGTTCATAATATTCTTGCTTTGCATGAAAGGAAATAAAAACCTCCACATATTTTCATTTATTTTTATTATCTCTTATTGTACAGCATTTTAGAAATAATTCAACATCAAATAAGAAGACATCATTTCTTCACAATTCTGTCATCTCAATAAATCTAACTTTTAAATTTTTCACATTTTTTGAATCCTTAGCAATATATGTACAAAATTTTTAACACTATAGTAAACATAGTGACAATACCGTTTATGCATCTATTCACCTTTCAACAAATATTCATTGAGTGCCAACATCATTTTAAGACCTTAGTATACATTATAAACCAAAAATCTTTGCCTTCATGAAGATTAAACTTTGGGAGGTTGAATACAGATAATATAAAAGAATTACCCAGCAACTTGGGAAGCTGAGTCAGGTGGATCAGTTCAAGCCGGGAACCTAAGCAACATAGTGAGATCCCAACAGAGAGAGAGAGAGAAGTAAAGTATGTTGATATTAGAAAGTTTTGCCATACTATAGTTAAAAAATTAGAGAAAATATGGCAGGGGAAAGGTGTGCTCGGAGTTTGGGGAAGGGCATTGAAAGTTTAAATAGGATAAAAGAGTAGACCTACGTGAGATCCTGACACTAGAAACAATCTCAAAAGAGAAGAAGTAGTTAGTCACATGGATATCTAGGGAAAGAGAGGTCTAGACAAGGGCCAGAGCCAATGTGAGGTCCCTGGGCAGGGACATGCCTAGGAGGTCAATGGGGCTGGAATGCAGGGAACAGTAAGGAAAGTCATAGGAAGTGAAGTAAGGGAGGGAACAGGGGGTCAGGACAGGGCCTTTAGGGCTTTCTGCTTGGAGTTTATTTTTTTCACTTACAATCATATCAGAAGCATTTTCCATACTGTTACATTCTCTTCTGCATCAGGTATATGGCATGACAGAGGAAACAATTCCTCAAGTGTTGTTGTTCTGACCAATGGAGCATAACCAACCTTCTAGGAAAAGAGAAAACAGAAAAAGACACACACCAGATAGACTCCATTTTTGAAATCTCTCTTCTTTCTTCACAATTTATTTCCACTTATTTTTTCCTATTCCCATTACCACATGTAGATGCCTAGAAAAAAAATCTAATATTTATATACCTTAAAGTATTAGGGTCTCAATCTTCTATTTTCCCACCTTTCATTTTGAATGTGAAAGGAGCAATTTTAACAAAAAGGGAAATTGCAAAGAAATAATTCACACATTGGAACCTGTCCCCATCATGTATAAAGGAAGACCCTGTTTGAAGGCCTGCTAGAATATGCAACACAATAATGGTTTATATGACAGATGAGTCTTTAGTAAACCACCGTGTTTACCCTCCTGTGAGTGTATGTGGCCAGAACTGGAATTTTGTGCAAAGGTGACTAGTTAAAACCATACGATTCTGAGGCACATATTCCTTCCACTCTAGCTTTAAGAAAGTATGTTCTTTTCCCAGGAGATAGTGTTAGAATTGATCTGCCTCACACCAGTGTTTCATCTCTCTGTGCTAGTTATTCTGAGAGCTTTACTCATTTTTCCAAAACTATTGTTAGTATCCTTTGTATTTGCAATAAACAGAAACCAGAGACTGCTCATTACTATGAAATGCTTTCATGATCTCATATTATTTCTTTTTAAATGCAGCCAGCTAAAACATGTTCTTGAAATGTGGCAATTAATCAACAGATCCAAAGCAAATTTTCCTTTTTGCTTTCAAGTGACTAGTTAATTAGATGATTTACTATTTAAATGCTACTCAACCTATGTGACTGTTCATTATACTTATTTCCTGTGTCAATATAAATGTAAAAAACTTAGAATAAATAATACATTAAAATTGTGCTCATTTCATTTCCTGCTATTTTGCCAGTTTCACATTAGATGCATTCCTACCTGGAAACACATTGATCAGTTGAATTCTCTCACATCTTTATTATTTATTCCTTATGGAAATATTCATTTCTGAGAATTATAAAGAAAATATTTCAAGATTTTGTTATAATTGATATCCATATCATATTCAATCATTCTCTTTTTATTACTATCAGAGCTGTTTAACTTGACATACTATCAGTTTGTAAAAACACACTTTTGGTTTCTGTAAGTTCATACTTTCTGTCATTAATACAAATGCATAGATTTAAGTAACCTTAAACAACTACTTATAGGAGGCAGAATAATTTTTAATGACATGAAATAGATATCCTCCTATTTCCCCATTGTTGCTTCTAAGCCATTTTTCCTTCATCACTGGGCGTCTCAGTTCCTTGGCATGCCCCCTCTAAAGAGCTTTTCCTCCGTAACTGTGCTACCTTGAAAAATCCCAGTTACAAGCATCCCCACTTCTAACCTCCAATCTGTTACTCTAGCACTTGCGTTTTAATAACACCTTGACTACATCAGGAACTTTAATCCATTCACGTCGCTGTTGGTCACCTCCATGTTCCCATGTCCTTCCTTATAGGCTCAGCTTAGATTCTGGGTCTATAAAAATAGGCACTCTTTTTCCCTCAATACGTTTGCCTCTGCAAATGCAAATGTTCCCTTGCTTGGTACCTACATTCAAAATCTCAAGGGCCAGTCACACATTGTCAAGTAATTATATTGTACCTCTTCAATAAATTGCATTCCCTTAGTCTCTGAAATGAGTAGTTCAGACCCCCTTGTTTTTTCTTTGAGTTTCTAACCCTAGTCCTTATCTCCATCTCAGCCGATTTTCACTCACATGTAGAGGGAAAATCGATTCTATCAGATGAGAGCTGTTTCCTCTTCCCAAAACCAAATTCACCAACCACCCCACATGTATACTTCATTTCCTTTGAAATAGAAAAAAATGTCTCCCTTTCTTTCTAGTATTAAACCTCCATATGCCCTCTGGATTAACCCTACAATTAGTTTTCTGAGGTAGTACCAGGCAGTCATTAAGAATGAAGATAAATTACTTACCCTCTGTGTGTCTTAGTTTTCTTCTCCATAACCTGGGAATAATAACAGTACCCCACTTAAACTGAGTAAGGAGATAATGAATTACTAAGTGTGAAGTGATTATATTACATTTGGGCATAATAAGTACTTTATAATTGTCAATCATTTTTTTCTCAAAGTTTTGTTTCTGCAAATTTCATAATTATCCCCAGAATCAATTTTTCACTTTCACCCAGATCATCTCTATCAGTATACAAAGATGATTTAAAAACTTCCTTTATACACCAGGTCTGCCTCAAAAGCCTCACTGTACAGTATATACTCACTGTCCATACTCACTGTCTTCACTTTCTCACTTTCAGTTATATATTCAACCCTCTCTAATTAGGCATTGGAGTTCACCACTTAAATAAATCTATATTTCCAGTTGTTCAGTCCAAAACTTTACATTCTGCCTTTACATTTTATCGTAAATATTGGTACTTCTCATTCACCTCATGTCATCACTGGGGTTTGAGCCTCTGAAAGTTTTCATGTGATTCTAGCAATAGACTTCTAACAACTTTCTTACTACTTACTACTTATTTATGTATTAACCAAAGTCTTTTTAAAATTATAAATCAAATGGTGCCACTCCCTACCTAAAAATAGTACTTTTTCAGTTGACAGCAGAATAACATCTAAATTGCTTACCAAGAATCATGCATAATCTCCAAATCTAGGATCAGACATGGTTGATAATTATCATGCTCCCATCTAATATTTTTGATGCTTTTGTGCAAAAATTTATCATTTATATATATAATTTTGGATCCCAGTTTTTAATTTAATGACATATCACAAGAATTATGTCATTAAAATGCTTACTTCATATTTTACTGGGAGCATAATATTTCATCATATGAATGGAACACAATTTATATAACTAGTCTTATTTATGTAGTGTTGAACATTTGATTTTTGTGAAGTCAGAGAACAGAATCTCAGTTTTCACTTATTGATGGAAATCTTGTGGCAGTTGAGACAGAATAAAATTTTCTAGAAGAACTAGGTAAGAAAGCTATAACTCAGGAATGTGCCATACCTAGATAATTAGTTTCCAACTGAAAATTCTATAAATAAAATGACGTTTGTCTACTTTATGCATAGTAAGTGTATGTGCAAAGTTAAGAAGTGTTTCTGGCCTTTAAAATAACTGGTCTGAAAATTAATTTTAAAAGATCAAATTTTAAAGAGTAACCAAGTGATAAGAGGGAGTTGAGCAGGTACATTTCTGAGGTATAACCAATACAAGATCTAAAGATCCTTAATTAGTATTAGTGATCAGACAGCAGGGCCTGCTAACACACTCAAATTGAATCATGTCAAAATTTGGGTGATTTGGAAGGAAAGGATCTACCAAACCTCTACGCTACCCACAGACTTCAAAATATAAAGGCATATGGTTCAATAATATTGACAGTAAATAAATAGTTACATTAGTAGCATATTTATCCAGAGTTTACCAGTGGTCAGCCTTAATAAGCAGTGATACTATATTTTCTCTAAAAAAGGCATTGTTAGCTTTTGGTAACATGTATGCCTTTCTTATTTCCAATGTATCTTAAAAAAACACAAAGCCTCCCCAGGAAACGTATGTATATAAACATAAAATTTTGTGTACAGATTCAGATGATTCAGAAGTGCTCCAATTAATGTTTTATCCTAGCTTAAAAATCATCAAGAAGAGCATTAAACGAGTGTTCAAAAGCGTTTTCATTGACAGCATGAATAAATGTAGCCCATTAGCAAAGAAGGGTAAAAAAAAAAAAGAAAAAATCTATAAAACAATCACAAGATTTGAAAATGCTTGGAAATTTATTGCAGTGGTAAGCGGCTCTATATATCTCATGTGACAAGTCCATGATTGTTTAACTGGATTTAAACAGAGTATTATGATAGATGTTCAGAGCACATTCCCTGAGTTATCAAGAATGACTAAACCATCTTTGCGCTTTCTGTTTCAAAAGGCACTTTAGAAAGGATTCCACCAGAAATGACTTAAAAGTATTAGGAGTTTAAAAAAGAATACGCCTGACATCTTCCCTGAAGAATCCATCTCTTTCCCCAGTGATGCCAGATAAATAATTTACTACTGTGGCAATATCAATCTCTCCTCACATGTTTGGAGACTTTTCTTAGTTACCATATCATTTCAACTAATTAACAGGTTTGTTTGAGGGACCCGTTTCTTAAAAAAACTTTAACAGTTTTGTAAAAATTGATTTTTGTAATAAATTGACATAAGTTAAATAACAAGATAAGTCATCATTAAAGAAATCCCATGACAAAAGATTCCTTTAACATGAGTTTCTGTAAAACTTAATCTTCCTTATGACTTTACATGTACTATGAGGGCTATAAGACAGACAATAAACAAGTATTAGTGAGGATATGGAGAAATTGGAACTCTCATACATTGCTTGTGGGAATGTAGAATGGTTCAGCTGCTTTGGAAAACAGTTTGTCAGTTTCTTTGAAAAGTTAAACATGGAGTTAGCATACGAACCAGGAATGCCATTCCAAAGTACATAACTAAGAGAATTGAAAATGTCTGTCCTCACCAGAACTTGTGCATAAATGTTCATAGCATTCCAAACATGTTCATCATAGCCAAAAAGTTGAAAGAGCTCAAATGTCCATGCACTGATGAAAGCAAGACAAAGTCTTGCTTTTTGTCATACCTAACAAAAAATGAAAATGGAAATATCATCATAAAAAATGAAATATTGATTCATGCTACAGCACGGATAAACCTTAAAAACACCATGCTAAGTGAAAGAAGCCAGATGCAAAAAGGCAAATATATGATTCCATTTATGTGAAATATCCAGAATAGACAAATCTATATAGACAGAAAGTACATTCATGGTTTCCAAGGGTTGGTAGAAGGTGGGAATGGGGAATGACTGCTAATGGGTATGGGATTTCTTTTTGGAATATTAAAAATATTCTGAAATTAGGTAGAAGTGAAGGTTATACCTTAGTGAATAGACTAAAAGTCACTGAATTTTATACTTTATAATAGTGAATATTGTGCCATGTTTATTATATCTCAATAAAAAGTCATCTTTTTATCAATTTGTATATTTCATACATAAGCTCTTGAAATGAACCATGCCCTTGATGTATTTTTTTCTTATGACTTTTGCAACTGAGCCCTGAGGATTTCAAATAAGGGAATGTGTCTCTAATAAAGCAAAGTTATAAAGGGCCATTATTTTGAGGACTAGTCATGTCAGCAAAATGATTATTAGTAATTTTTTAGATTAAATATATGAGAAGAATGAAGAACTAATTATATCAGTGGCTCCTGTTCTGTCTCTCTCTTTCTCTCTCTCTCTATTTGATTACAGGCTCATGAGCAATAGTTCTGTTGCAAAGTAAACATCCATCTGTTTAGAAGTTGCAAGAGGGTGCTGAGCACTTTCTTTGGTGCTGTATTTCCTAACTGACTTATTCAGTTCAAATTAAGTATTTGATCTTTTAGCTACAAAGCAATGCAACCCAGTCTGGGGATGCTGAAAATTGTTAATTATGAAAATGACACAGAGGAGAAGAGAAAATATTTAGCAAATACATTAAAGCTGTATAGGAAGGAAAGTAATAAACCTCTACGTAAACATCTGTGGTTTATGAGAGTATCATATATTTTATTATTAAGCAAAAATCATGAGGCAGCAGAGAATATACTAATAATCACTAATATTTTCCAAAACTAGATGAATTGCCTGAGACTGAAAAAGTTACATTTGTTGATAATAACATAATGAGAATATTTGATTATTTCCCTCAAGGTAGAATTTTTCAATATTCTGCTGAGTATACAGGATTCCCTCTCTTCTTTTCACTGTTTCAATGACCTTGTATCTTTTTATCTAATAAAGCAAAACACTCATTCAACAGTTTAAACCGTTGTGTCAACTCTGAGGGTTTTTTGTCTTGGTCCTTAGCATACGAAACACGTGTAATTTGTAGCCCTGTCATGAAACTATTGGAATTTCTTCTCTCATTCTCAGTTGACATTAGTAGGAATACAGAATTCTGGGTAATTGTTGCATTGTTTATTTCATAGAATTTTTTATTATAATGATATATTTGGTTATAATGCCCAAACTATTTCAACCTTGTGTCATAAAAATTTCATTTTAGAAGTAAAACAACTTCAGTGAATCATTGCATCCACACAATATTATTGGTTTTACGTAAGGTGGTCAACATGGTTTAGCAAGTTATGTAACTGTTTAGTTTTATAATTCTATAAGGAATCTTATACATATGATTCTATAAGGAATTATAACAATGCTTGACATATTCAAGGCATTGAAATCATAATATAGAGCTAATTTTAAACAGTAGCAAGATAACAATTTATTCAGAGCCCCATTAAAATGTTCAATATTCAGCAATTAAGACATGTAGTCAGACTTTTTTAAAGAATGAAGAGAGTATGTTACATTTTAAAAAAAGTGTCATCACATAGCTGTTTTTGTCAACTCTATATCTGGCTATAGAGGAAAGAATATAAAGAAATGTGTAAATTCATAGATAAAAATGTGTTTTAAAGTGTAGAATGGAGGATTAGTGGGCTAAAAGGAGTCTTGGGGTGGGGGGGATCAGGACCATTAAAATATCAATATGTTATGTTACTTTAGACTAATGGTCAGATGAAGAATAAAATTGAGGTCACAAAATGGTTAGGCTTGGCTCTAGGAAAGGACAGGGATTTGTAATTATGGAAATAGAAGCTTTGATTCTTACAGACATGGGGACATTTAAGGTAGGCGATCAGTGTATAGGAAGCATATGGAGGCAACAAAAATACCTATCGTTGAAACATGAATATAGAGATTCCAGTAGTATTTTCTCCAGTTTCTGAAACTATTTTTACCCTGATTATTTTTAGTCATTTCTTTTCTACCTCCCTCTCCTGAGGCATGATTCATCTCGTTTATCAAAATTCCTGCCTTAGGCTAGTTCTAACAGCCCATTCTTCCTTTTCATTATGAGAATGTGACCACAAATCCTTCTGATGTTGACAGAGAAGGTGGGGCACTACCAGGTCTCATTGCATTGAATCAATATAATAACCTATAAAAAATGATGGCAGTCTTATATTCATGTGAAACATTTTGTGGGCTACGGTCACAGCTCTTTCAGCCCCTAGGAAGTGAGGGGGTATATTAATTCAAGATATCAATGGTATTATTATTTATATTATCAGTATTAAATATTAGGTGACTTTCCAACTCTTTCTGCAGTTTTATCCTTTTAGGTATGACTGGTTCTATTATCTTTGATTTACAATGTCATCATACTAGATATATGATCCTTTGAAACTAAGGAAGGATAAGCAAGATATTCAAAATGTCCCCATGTCTGTCACCACTACAGCAACTATTTCTATAATACAAAATCCCCATCCTTTTCTAGAGCCAAGCCTAATCATTTGGTCACCTCAGTTTTATTCTCTATTAGATCATTAGTCTAAACTAACATTACGAATTTTTTGTATTTTAACAGTCCCTTCCAGAAACTCTTTTTATTCCACTAATCCTTCATTCTATACTTTAAAACATTTTTTTAATTCTATAAATTTACACAGTTCTCTACAATTTTTCCTCTATAGCCAGAAATAGAGTTGACAGAAACAGTTATGCAGATACTTTTTAAAAATTAACACTCTCCTTTCCTTGACCAGTGTCTTACTATATCTCTAAAATACATAAAACACCTTTTTAAATCTCTGAAATAAAATATTAAATTATATTATGTTAGACTTTTAAAAATTACTGTCAACTTTTTCCATACAAAGATATTGAAATCTATCCAAATCTAAAGTTTTTCTTATCTCTTTAATATTTTCTATTTCATCTTCATGTTCTTATTTGCTTAATTTGTTCTATGCCTTAAAGATCTATGTGTTTGTTTTTATTTTTAAGTTGAGTGCAGAGTTGACTTAATATATTCCTCAGCCCATTGCACATTGTCATCATTGGTCAATTCAAGGCTTCCACCTTATCTATTGTTATTTTTCTTCTTCTTCTCAATGTCTGCCCCCATTCCCCTCTTACACATGGGCACCACCCTATTTGTGATACAGGTCTTAAATATGCACATATTCCTGTAATATTATTATGTGACGGTATTTTTAATCTTGTGTATAGGATATTTTGCTGCTTAAGCTTCTCTGCTTCTTACTTTTCGTGCTTAACACATTTGAAATTTTACTCTGTGGTATTTCCTTCCTTCCTTCCTATAGTTGGTTTTTCCATTGACTTCATGGTCCATATTTTACATGTTTTTGATCAATAACAACACAGATTGTTTCCAGCTTCCTGCCATTCCTAAAAATTATTTTTTGCCATTCTGACTGTGTAAACTGATATATTATTGTTCTTTAATTTTTCCTTTATCTGATTAATAGTAGGGTCGAGTATTCTTTCATATATGTTCCTGTTAGCCATGGTATTATCTACCTATACACTGCTTGTTCGCCTATTTTCCCCATTTTTCTATTGAGATTTCTGTCTTTTTCTTATTGACTTACAAATGTCTTTCTTATTATGCCATCTATCTGTTGATTTTGTCTGTTGTCTATTAGACGGAAATCCTTAATTTCAATGTAATCAAATGATCCATATATTTTTGCCATACAGTTTATATGTTGGGGTTTTATTTAAAAAGTTTTTTCTATGCCTGAATTACAAAACTTTTGTTTACACTTTTATTCGTTTTATTTAATAACAAGTTTTAAATCTGTCTACCATCTATGCCATGGAAATGTGCACTGTTAGCTTTATTTTTCTTCATATACTAATTCTGTTTTCCAAATACCATTCCTAAATGATCATTTTTCCCTGTTACTTTGTGGTGCTATGTTGAAAGCTAAACATTGTTCCCATCCATTGGTTTATTTGTCTATTCCTGAGTTAATACTATACCGACTTTTATCACTAGAGATTTGGTTACATTTTAATATAGGTAGAATAAGCCCCTCCTCTCTAACTGTCCCATACACCTTTAATTTTCTTTTTTTTAAAATTGGCTTTTATTCTTCCATATGAATTTGAGCATGAGTTTGCCAAGTTCCAAAAAATCTGTTTTTAAATATGTCTCTTAATGATTATATATAACAGCATATTTTTGGATTTTGATTTAAAATCAGAAACCTATCTCCTACAACATTTTGAAAATATTATATCACTGTGTTCTACACTCAAGCATGCCTTTTTGAAGTCTGAGGCCAATATGACTTGTTTCCCTTTATGGAGAGTCTCCTTTTCTCTCTAGAAACTTTTAAGTTTTTCTCCTTGTCTTCAATAGCCATGTATTTTACAATGTTTTTAGGTTTGGGTTTCTTATTCTCTATGCTGTTTCATTCTGAAGCCCTTTCAATCAGAAGTTTTCCAACCTTTTTCAATTAGAGAAATTTTTCGATGTCATTTCTTGAAATATTTCCTTTTCTGTGTCTACATACATTTTTTTTCTTTCCAAATGGAATTTCTTTTTAAAAATACTTTGATATTCCTATTGCTGACTGCAAGTATGTTGACTTTTTTTTCCTCTCTCTTTATTCTCTCCTAGGACATTTTGGGAGAATTTTCTAGCCCACTTTTCCATATTCTGTCCTATTATTTGGCTGTATCTTTTAGCTATTTATCCAAGGTATTGGTAATTTATTTAAACTAACATTTTTCACACCAAGTGTGCCTACTTGGTTCTTATTTATAAATGCATATTCCAACCATTCTATCTTAATTCTTTAAGAATGTTTACTAGTTTTGTTTAGAGTTTTTGGCTAGAATTTTCAGAAGCAGTGCTAATGCTGGGTCACCTAGTACGTGCAGTTTGGATGGCTGCCTTTCTTTGCAACAATTATGCTCCTCGGGTGTACAGTTATTTTTGTTTTTGAACTTGTTTTGCTCTGGCTGTTATTGGAAGATGGAGGCCCAGGTTCTAGCTTGTGCTCCTGAGGGTTGAAGAGTAGGTGAATGTGGATGTTGATCATTGGCAGAAAACCCACCATGCCACAATTTGAACATGACCATCCCTCTTTGCACTTTCCTCACCAGATGACTGTCAACCCTTGATGGTAGTCAGATAATGCTGGGGATGGGTTTGGAGATGGTATGGGGTTTGGAGATGCTATGGGGTTTGCCATGCTCACAGGTCTCTTTGTTATCTCTCCTAACACTTGTCAGGTTCCTGTGTAGCCTGAATGCTATCTGCTGGCCCTGTGGCACTGGGTAGTCAATGCTGTTTTTCTGTCCCTTGAGCTACCATGTGGCCAGGAAAGTTCTTAAAGATACAGATTAAAAGCCCACCCTATCTTTTTCCTCCACCATGGTACTTTGTTCCTCTACCACATCCATGTTCAAGCACCCCTCTCAATCTTTGTCTGCTTTTTTTTTTTTCCTTTAAATCCATTTTATTTTACATCTACTACATCTTCTGGGGTGAGAGAAAAGGAGAATAATGGCATTTAAGAAAATTTTCGTTTTGTTGAGTTCTATTCACATTGTTTTCAAATGATTGATTTCAAAATAGTGCCAACTTTCATTGAATGCTATGTTTATACTAGGCCTGTGCTAAGAGTTTTGTACATATTACATCATCTAATTCTCATAAAAACTCTAGGAAATAGATGCTTTCATTGTTCTCATTTTACAAAGGACAGAAATGAAGTCTAGACAAGGTACTTCACGTAGGAAGTAACAGAGCCAAGGTGCAAATTTAAGCTGTCAGATTCCAAAGTCTATTCCTTCCAGTCGATAGTGTAATTAGTGTAATTTAAATTAGGTTTGTTCTGGGCATCCGTGGATTGACTTCATAATATCCAAAAACCTTCTAAAATTGCGTCCAAAATTTTTGTGTTTATATATACGAGGTTTTTTGTTTGTTTGTTTTTTGTTTTTTGTTTTTTTTTTTAACTACAGATTGAATTCATTGCTTTAACTGGATTGTCAAAGGTTTCTATGAGTCTCCATGAGATGAAAACTGACTTTAGGTGAAGTCAAATTACACAGGTGCTTTGGCACTGAAGTCAGCCAGTAATGTTAAAATTGCATATAGTGATTTACCTCTGAAACTTTCTTAAATGACCCTTATGTTGCCTAGACTAGGTCACTGGAAGCTCAAAAGCCAAGGATTAGTATGTATTTTTCATTTCTCTTTGCTTTTAGGTGCCAGTATTTTTTTCTTGGGACAGTGGAGGACAACTAACTTTGAAAATGTGATGGGGATTGACAAAAGGGGGCATAAATAAAAGATTATCTCTCAAGAAACGTGTTTAATTGTGTTTATTCCAATGCTTACATTGAGGCGAAAAATATGTTTAAAACTCAACTTCAACCTGGTATGAAGACAAAAGAAATAGCAATATGTTCAGTAGCTTGTTCTGCATGCCCTAAAGCCTGTCTGTCTAGTCATAATCAGCCCCAGGAGGTGTCAATTTGGCCTTCTTGAGTGCTCAGCTGATCCTATTCACTCCAGCAGAATCTGGTAGGTTTTCTATTCATGGGTTCTAGGGAAGATGAGTCCTGTTGAAAAACTTCTAACAATTTTCTCCTGTTAATGGAAGATTTTATGATGAAGCTTAGATAAAGATCTCTTTGAGGTGCCATTGATTCAACTTGTCTCAATTTCAGAGCTGACTATAGCTCTCAGGGCTCCTTTGTACCATGAGTTCCCTCAGTTCAATTTCCCCAGCCCCGTTTTCAGGGCAACTTAATGTCTCATCCCCAAGGGAAGTCTAGAACTAAACTAACTTCAGAAAACAGGTAATTATGCTGGGCAATTAGATTAAACTTTGCTCTTCTGAAGTAAGCTCTAAGGCACAATCATATTCATAGAAAAATACTTAAATGATAGACATGTAGTACTTTTAAAATATTGAAAGAGGGTAGCATGCATAGTTTCTTTAATGGAAATGGAGCACAGTATGCTATCTAAGTAAAATGAAGGGTAATTAGTTTACATGTCTATTTCAGAAATTGAGAGGGTAGAAAATATCAAAACTTACCACATACTGCTTTCAGAATTCAATTATTCATTTAAAACAATACTGATCCGTAATACTGAAAGAAAAGAAAAGAAGTCTGCCAGCTTCAGCCTTGAGATATTTTGTGTTCTCTAGAGTCAATTTATTGGTTTTTGGTGTCTGGTCCCACATGGACCTTAAATAAAACTTTTCTATGAGGTGTTAGCCAGTAGCTTGTAGAAAATGTTTTCTTGCCAAAGGCACAGAATGTGAATCTTGAGTTTTCCCACAACGAGTAACTGAATCTGAAGGTGTCAGGAGTAAAATGACTCCATCTTATAATCTCTCCCAGGGGCAAGGAGCTTCTCACTTCCAGAATAAATTGATGATGAGGTCCACTTTCTACCTGCCAGCATGATGATCAGCAAAGCTTTCACTCCAGCTTGCTGACAAGAGAAAAGTGCCTGTCCCAATTGGTAGGTGTATGTTATTTATGGAATGGAAGGCTTTATAACCTGGTATGCACAATGGTTCCACTGAAAGTCTTCATGTGTTATAAGCACAGCTATTTGTAAATTGCACTCACAGAGGGATACCACTCCTCCTTCCCACATACATGAATTTTATTCTTCCTTCTCTTCGCAGTTTCCCAATGTGATACTCTATTTGATAGCCCCTAAGCATCTCATTCTAAAACCCCAATCTGGTATCCTCATGTGTAAACTATAATACAGCTTACGTGAAATGTAAAGGGCTTTCACATTTGTTTTCTATATCCATTTAACTCTGAGCAAATATCACCATCTCAGTTTACAGCTGAGGACACACAGACGCAAGACAGGAGCTATCACTACACAATCTGTGTTCTCTACTTTTCTACTGTTTTCCTTGAAATGAAGTTCTCAAAGGTATGTAAGATTCATTCAAGTTGTTTGCTAAATGTAATAGGAATTCTAGTTAATATGATGCTTAATATCACCAGGCACTCTTTTAAGCACGTCACATATATCAACTGAATTTTTCCTCACAACAGCTCTGAGTTAAGGACTATGATTTTCGCATTTCACAGGGAAGAAAGTGTAAGTACAAATAGGTTTTTTAATTGCTTAAGGATTAACATTTAGTAAAATCTGGAGCTGGAATTCAAGCCAAGGCAGCCTGGTTGCAGAGTCTACCCACTACACTGGTCCCTAAGAAGAGTCCTTGTTCCCTCTTCTACAGATTTTTTTAAAATTAGCATCTGAGGGTAGATCTCTGGAATCCAAATTTTCTTTTTTTTTTTTTTTTTGTACTGGTTCCTTTATTCAAATTAAGATATTACAATACAAAAACATTGTTCTAAATGTAGGCTTATAATGAAAATCATACTATTCCATACACTTGCATAAATGACTTAAACAATTGAGAGACAATATTTCCCAAATAGTATATCATAGAGTTAATAACTGAAACACACCATGAAAATGCTCTGTGGTCAAACAGATTTGGGCAATGCTGGTTAAGTAAAGTTAAAGAGTTGGTTTTGCAATATGACTTCTCAGAGCTATTAATATGTTAGTATATATTTGAATACTCAAGAGGGAGCTATAAGCAGTAAGCAAAATTTTTTTTAGAATATATTTGATGAAGAAATTATTTTTAGATGGAAATCTATAAGGCTGTTTTATATAAAAAAGGAAGGCACTAATCTTTCTCTTCTGAAATGCCAAACTTCAATGATGAGTCCTGCAAACTGGTTCCTTATGGCACGATGCTATCCAGGAATAGGATAGCATTGATGTAGGATTGGCTATGTGTTCGTATCTGAGTGTTAGCATGACATTTGCATGCTATGTCATGGACTGAGAATCTGGGTTAGGTTGTCCTGACAGCAAACGCAATTGTGATATTGTCAGTATACCACTCTCTCTATTTACTCATCTAAATGAACCACTCTACAAGAAACCTTTGAAATTTAATAAATTCAACTCATATTGAACTCACAATTTAATTTTAATTCATATTTACGAGCTATTGAAAAAACATTCCACTCACTTGAAAATTCAAAACAAAAATAAGAGTATTCTTTATTCCATAATTGCACCGACTGAAAATATTAAATAAAAACAAGACGAGAACTTGTCTCTAAAGAACTTTAAGGAGTCCATTTCTCAAAAAACTATGCCATACTATAGATTCTTCAATATGACCTACAAAGAGACTTAGACTCCCACACATTAATAATGGGAGACTTTAACACCCCAAATTTTCAACATGCACTTCCCCAAACCCTCAGGTGGCTCTCATGCCAGGGTTCTCAGATCACACTTTGAAAAACATTGGCTTTAGGATTCAAACACACTGTTTGGTCTTCAGTAATAATATATTGCAATAAAAGTGTTCCAAGGGGGCATTACAAACTAACTGTTTATAAGCAACGGAGCAAAACAGGAGGATGGGACAAGAAACAGTGCTTGAGGGTTTAAAAAGGTAAGAAGTTAATAGAGTTAAAGGAGAAAATTGATATTAAGAAAAGCCACGGGAGAAAAACAGATACAACACCCCCCTAATAATTTTCCTTGGAGCTGGACTACTCAATACCAAGGTTGGAAATTAAAAGTTAATTTTTTTTCTCAAGTGGTTTTGAGAAAAAAAAAAGTGGAAACAATGGCAGAGGGCTTGGGTTAAAATTATTTACTAAATAGTAACAAGCCAAGTTTCTTGACTTGTAGGATCTATAGCTACACTGTCTAAAATGGTAACCACTAGCCATATTATTTAAATGAATTGAAATTAAATAAAATTTAATATTTAGTTTCTCTATCACCCTTGCCACATTGCAAGTATTCAATAAGCACATATGGCTAGTGGACAGCACACAGATCTAAAATCTTGCCTTTTTTGCAGAAAGTTCTATTGGACAGCACTAATCCATAGAACTTCTCCCAACTATTCTTTTAATTTTTTTCTTACTGTTAGCAAAATCCTATCTGTTAGAGCAATTAAATAAAGAACATTTAGCATTCGCATTTTGCCTGCCTCAAGAACACTGAAAAGTTTAATATGTCAGTTTACAGTCCTGGTCACTTATCAGCATATCTCAACAAGGACTTGTTATTTTTCCACTGTTAAAGATGGAGTTATGTGGGGTTGGAGGGAGGATGATGGTGTGTGAATTATAAACCATAGCAATCTTCCCTCAAATGTGAATGGGTGATTTCCCAGGCAAATGTCACAGGCTAAGGGAGTTCCAGGTGGACAGGTATTCCAGGATGCATGCACCATGAGGGCAAGGAATCACATCAATGTCACCATCATGGCTTTTTACATTTTGTTTTTAGTTTGGATATAATTTTTACCCTCCATTATTACTGACAGCAGTGGATGGAAAATTTTTAAGCTGTCTCAGTCTGATATAAGTCAAGAGTCATTTCATTAGCTTCACATATACAACCCACTACCATACAAACTAAAGCATTTGCTGAATAAGCCATATGGGGGCTCAATGGGTCTGCAAAGACTCCTGAGTAGTCTGTCCCCTCAGTTCAGATCTCCTTCCTCCAGCAGGCTAATCAGCTGTTGGCCAAGAGTCAGCCTCCTGTGGCTGGACTGCTTTGACCTCCCACTGGGTGCCAGGGGCCATGGAATTATTAGAGCAGTGGTTCCAACATTTCTGGGTCAGCTTCCTAGGGTCATTTTAGACAATCTTCTAGAGGTTCAATAGATAAATATTCACTCCCAGGAGTGAGTTTTCTAAGGGTTCCAGTTAGCTCTAATATAGTGGATACTCTTTCCAATGATATAAGCACCAGATAATTGGAATGAACTTTATAAAGAATAGCTATTAGCTATTAGTTAAGACAGTTTAAAATGCCTTTTCTTTCAGCTTCAATTATGAATTATTATACATGCAATTATTAGTTATGATCACTCATGCCAAACTTCCCTTTCTCATACGAGATGGAACCCTAACCAAAATCTCAGAATCATTGAAATTTAGGACTGAAAGAAAATTTTGAGATTAGCTATTCTAACCTCCTGTTTTACAAATGAAGAACTGTATCTTAGAAAGGCTAAGAAATTAGTTCCCAAGTTAATTTAGAGAATTATAATTACTGACGTGTAACTCCTAATTTCTTATTCAGTACTATTTTTACCATTTTCCTTTTCTGCAGGAGTAAAGACTTGCACTATCACACAGAACGTACAGAAATATTTTACTGTACATTCCCTATGAAAGGAAGATGTTTGAGCTTCAGTTCCAGAGAAGGCACTATTTAGCAATAACTAATACATGTGTGATGCCAAGTAGATGCTAAGCACTGTCCTAAGCACCATGGTTACATGATCTCATTCAGTCTTCTTGACAGCACTCTGAGATCCAATTATTATTCCCATTTTATAGATGAGTGAGCTGAATCACAGCAAGGTTAAGCAATTTGCCTAAGTATACACATCTAATGCTTGGTCAAATCTCAGTTCAAACTCAGGAAATGCAGTTGCAGACTCCATGCTCTTACCCTGCTGCTTTGCTGTCTAAAGACTCATATCTGGAGCTATCAACTAGAATGAGTAAATACATGCAAATGAGGTTGGAAAAAATGTCTGTGTGCCTATAATGCTCAGTTCTAAGGCAAAATTTTGATAACATTTTCTAGTCCATGTTTATAGAAACTAAAAGCTGTAGTTTTCATTACAGCATTCATTATTGAAGACATTTTATTTGTTTCTAAGCCAACCCTTTCAGTGATCTTAATGAGTCCAGCAACCAAGTAGGCAGAGCAGTAAAACCTCCTACTTTGGTGACGATACTTAACAGTCATTTCTAACCAGGAGCAGCAGCAATGGCAGATGAATGTCATTCTCTGCTCTCTGGGGTGCAGCTCTTCAGAACAGGAACAAGTTACATAATCAGGAGGGATTTCCATTTGAAACAGTCTGGGGTGGTTAATCTGGGAAATGCTATTCCTGTTTTCTGGGGATAAATGTTGACATCACAATGAAAAGCGAAAAAAATGTTCTGATAAAAGTGAACTCACTTATTTTGGTACAAGCACGCTGGCTCATATATGTAAGTCCCCAGCATTGTCACAAAATAAGTTTATTGAGCTAGAGGTTAAGAAAAAGTGATTTCCAGAATGAACACTCACCTAGGATATGTCACGTTCATAAGGATGATGTAAATATATTTAAAATATGGGAATGACAGTCTGTCTTCAGAAGATTGTAAGCTCTTTGTTGGTGAGGACTATACATTATGTTTCTTAGCTTTCTGCCTAGTACCCAACACAGTCCTGGGCTTAGGTAGGTGAGAAAGATGTATGGCTGAAGCAATGGGATTGTGGTCAGACTCGTCCATGAGGAAGAATTGTCATGACTCTTCCCTGCTTAAATCTTGGCTATTGCTGCAGAAAGAAGCTTTGACCCTTTGAGATTAGCTCTCAGTTCTTTAGCCAGATGTGAACCTCTCTGAACCACAGTGATCTTGCTTAAAATGTCTATCCCACTGGGTAGTGGTAACAATACATTTAGATACTTATGAAAAATTATTTATAAAATCAAAAGCTACATATGGTTATAAGTTGTTAATAAGTCCTCCCGTAATCTGATAATCAGGATTGAACAAAAATGATTTGATTGATAAAAATATATCCACTTCCTAACCCCATCATGACTTATGCCTCTGACAACCTCCTCTCTGCTTATGGGTGAGGATTAATTATAGTCAAAGTTTCTCTACTCTCCTGTCCCTACCTTCCCTCATTTACTCGATGTTCAAATAGACTACTTATAGCCATA
This sequence comes from Homo sapiens, assembly GCF_000001405.40. NCBI lineage: Eukaryota > Metazoa > Chordata > Mammalia > Primates > Hominidae > Homo > Homo sapiens. The sequence goes on from NC_000002.12 coordinate 180,584,908, forward strand.
TAAGTTATGTATATTTTTAATCAAAACATCACAGAAAAGAAATCCTATTCAAAGCACTATAGGAGTGACCCAGTGTTAGAAATAAGTGTTCATCATCCAACTTCAGTCACTTCTAACTGTAGCAGCACTTAATGCCAATCAATTTTTTTTTTTTTTTTTTTTTTTTTTTTGAGACGGAGTCTCGCTCTGTCGCCCAGGCCGGACTGCGGACTGCAGTGGCGCAATCTCGGCTCACTGCAAGCTCCGCTTCCCGGGTTCACGCCATTCTCCTGCCTCAGCCTCCCGAGTAGCTGGGACTACAGGCGCCCGCCACCGCGCCCGGCTAATTTTTTGTATTTTTAGTAGAGACGGGGTTTCACCTTGTTAGCCAGGATGGTCTCGATCTCCTGGCCTCATGATCCACCCGCCTCGGCCTCCCAAAGTGCTGGGATTACAGGCGTGAGCCACCGCGCCCGGCCGCCAATCAATTTTTAACAGAGGAGCTAAAGAACGATGATAACATAGATGAAAAAAGTCTCTGGGTAGTGAATCATCACCTACAGAAGTACTTGTGAAATTTTCATATTCATGCTGATCACCTTGCTAAAAGGCAGATACTAAATGAGCAGAAATGGGGTTGATTCTGAGTTTCTGCACTTCCCAGGTGACATCAAACACTGCTGGTCTGTGATCTACACTTTGAGTCACCAGAACTTAGACTATGCTCACTGACTTTTTTTTTTTTTATTATAGCTTAAGGTCTAGGATACATGTTCATGATGTGCAGGTTTGTTACATATGTATACATGTGCCACGTTGGTGTGCTGCACCCATTAACTCGTCATTTACATTAGGTATATCTCGTAATGCTATCCCTCCCCCCTTCCCCAACCCCAGGACAGGCCCCAGTGTGTGATGTTCCCCTTCTTGTGTCCAAGTGTTCTCATTGTTCAATTCCCACCTATGAGTGAGAACATGCAGTGTTGGTTTTTTGTCCTTGTGATACTTTACTGAGAATGATGGTTTCCAGCTTCATCCATGTCCCTTCAAAGGACATGAACTCATCCTTTTTTATGGCTGCATAGTATTCCATAGTGTATTATGTGCCACATTTTCTTAATCCAGTCTATCATTGATGGACATTTGGGTTGGTTCCAAGTCTTCGCTATTGTGAATAGTGCTGCAATAAACATACGTGTACATGTGTCTTTATAGCAGCATGATTTATAATCCTTTGGGTATATACCCAGTAATGGGATGGCTGGGTCAAGTGGTGTTTCTAGTTCTAGATCCTTGAGGAATCACCACACTGTCTTCCACAATGGTTGAACCAGTTTACATTCCCACCAACAGTGTAAAAGTGCTCAGATTTCTCCACAACCTCTCCAGCACCTGTTGTTTCCTGACTTTTTAATGATCGCCTTTCTAACTGGTGTGAGATGGTATCTCATTGTGGTTTTGATTTGCATTTCTCTGATGGCCAGTGATGATGAACATTTTTTCATGTGTCTTTTGGCTGCATAAATGTCTTTTTTTAAGAAGTGTCTGTTCATATCCTTTGCCTACTTTTTGATGGGGTTGTTTGATGTTTTTCTTGTAAATTTGTTTGAGTTCATTGTAGATTCTGGATATTAGCCCTTTGTCAGATGAGTAGGTTGCAAAAATTTTCTCCCATTGTGTAGGTTGCCTGTTCACTCTGATGGTAGTTTCTTTTGCTGTGCAGAAGCTCTTTAGTTTAATTAGATCCCATTTGTCAATTTTGGCTTTTGTTGCCATTGCTTTTGGTGTTTTAGACATGAAGTCGTTGCCCATGCCTATGTCCTGAATGGTATTGCCTAGGTTTTCTTCTAGGGTTTTTATGATTTTAAGTCTAACGTTTAAGTCTTTAATCCATCTTGAATTAATTTTTGTATAAGCTGTAAGGAAGGGATCCATTTTCAGCTTTCTACATATGGCTAGCCAGTTTTCCCAGCACCATTTATTAAATAGGGAATCCTTTCCCCATTTCTTGTTTTTGTCAGGTTTGTCAAAGATCAGATGGTTGTAGATGTGTGGTATTATTTCTGAGGGCTCTGTTCTGTTCCATTGGTCTATATCTCTGTTTTGATACTAGTACCATGCTGTTTTGGTTACTGTAGCCTCGTAGTATAGTTTGAAGTCAGGTAGCGTGATGCCTCCAGCTTTGTTCTTTTGGCTTAGGATTGTCTTGGCAATGCAGGCTCTTTTTTGGTTCCATATGAACTTTAAAGTAGTTTTTATTTTTCCAGTTCTGTGAAGAAAGTCATTGGTAGCTTGATGGAGATGGCATTGAATCTATAAATTACCTCGGGCAGTATGGCCATTTTCATGATATTGATTCTTCTTATCCATGAGCATGGAATGTTCTGCCATTTGTTTGTGTCCTCTTTTATTTTGTTGAGCAGCAGTTTGTATTCTCCTTAAATAGGTCCTTCACATCCCTTGTAAGTTGGATTCCTAGGTATTTTATTCTCTTTGTAGCAATTGTGAATGGGAGTTCACTCTTGATTTGGCTCTCTGTTTGTCTGTTATTGGTGTATAGGAATGCTTGTGATTTTTGCACATTGATTTTGTATCCTGAGACTTTGCTGAAATTGCTTATCAGCTTAAGGAGATTTTGGGCTGAGACGATGGGGTTTGCTAAATATACAATCATGTCATCTGCAAACAGGGACAATTTGAGTTCCTCTTTTCCTAATTGAATACTCTTTATTTCTTTCTCCTGCCTGATTGCCCTGGCCAGAACTTCCAACACTATGTTGAATAGGAGTGGTGAGAGAGGGCATCCCTGTCTTGTGCCATTTTTCAAAGGGAATGCATCCAGTTTTTGCCCATTCAGTATGATATTGGCTGTGGGTTTTTCATAAATAGCTCTTATTATTTTGAGATACGTGCCATCAATACCTAGATTATTGAGAGTTTTTAGCATGAAGGGCTGTTGAATTTTGTTGAAGGCCTTTTCTGCATCTATTGAGATAATCATGTGGTTTTTGTCTTTGGTTCTGTTTCTGTGCTGGATTACGTTTATTGGTTTGCGTATGTTGAACCAGCCTTGCATCCCAGGGATGAAGCTCATGTGATCGTGGTGGATAAGCTTTTTGATGTGCTGCTGGATTAGGTTTGCCAGTACTTTATTGAGGATTTTTGCATCAATGTTCATCAGGGATATTGGTCTAAAATTCTCTTTTTTTGTTGTGTCTCTGCCAGGCTTTGGTATCAGGATGATGCTGGCCTCATAAAATGAGTTAGGGAGGATTCCCTCTTTTTCTATTGATTGGAATAGTTTCAAAAGGAATCGTACCAACTCCTCCTTGTACCTCTGGTAAAATTTGGCTGTAAATCCATCTGGTCCTAGACTTTTTTTGGTTGGTATGCTATTAATTATTGCCTCAATTTCAGAGCCTGTTATTGGTCTATTCAGGTATTCAACTTCTTCCTGGTTTAGTCTTGGGAGGGTGTATGTGTCCAGGAATTTATCTATTTCTGCTAGATTTTCTAGTTCATTTGCATAGAGGTATTTATAGTATTCTCTGATGGTAGTTTGTATTTCTGTGGGATCGGTGGTGATATCCCCTTTATCATTTTTTATTGCATCTATTTGATTCTTCTCTCTTTTCTTCTTTATTAGTCTTGCTAGTGGTCTATCAATTTTGTTGGTCTTTTCAAAAAACCAGCTCCTGGATTCCTTGATTTTTTGAAGGGTTTTTTTGTGTCTCTATCTCCTTCAGTTCTGCTCTGATCTTAGTTATTTCTTGCCTTCTGCTACCTTTTGAATGTGTTTGCTCTTGCTTCTCTAGTTCTTTTAGTTGTGATGTTAGGGTGTTAATTTTAGATCTTTCCTGCTTTCTCTGGTGGGCATTTAGTGCTATAAATTTCCCTCTAGACGCTGCTTTGAATGTGTCCCAGAGATTCTGGTATGTTGTGTCTTTGTTCTCATTGGTTGCAAAGAACATCTTTATTTCTGCTTCATTTCATTATGTACCCAGTAGTTATTTAGGAGCAGGTTGTTCAGTTCCCATGTAGTTGAACTTATTCCTGAGTTCTAGTTTGATTGCACTGTGGTTTGCGAGAAAGTTTGTTATAATTTCTGTTTTTTTGCATTTGCTGAGGAGGGCTTTACTTCCAACTATGTGGTCAATTTTGGAATATGTGTGATGTGGTGCTGAGAAGAATGTATATTCTGTTGATTTGGGGTGGAGAGTTCTATAGATGTCTATTAGGTCCACTTGGTGCAGAGCTGAGTTCAATTCCTGGATATCCTTTTTAACTTTCTGTCTTGTTAATCCGTCTAATGTTGACAGTGGGGTGTTAAATTCTCCCATTATTATTATGTAGGAGTCTAAGTCTCTTTGTAGGTCTTTAAGGACTTGCTTTATGAATCTGGGTGCTGCTGTATTGGATGCATATATATTTAGGATAGTTAGCTCTTCTTGTTGAATTGATTCCTTTACCATTATGTAATGGCCTTGTCTCTTTTGATCTTTGTTGGTTTAAAGACTGTTTTATCAGAGACTAGGATTGCAACCCCTGCCTTTTTTTGTTTTCCATTTGCTTGGTAGATCTTCCTCCATCCCTTTATTTTGAGCCTATGTGTGTCTCTGCACGTGAGATGTGTCTCCTGAATACAGCCCACTGATGGGTCTTGACTCTTTATCCAATTTGCCAGTCTGTGTCTTTTCAATGGAGCATTTAGCCCATTTACATTTAAGGTTAATATTGTTACGTGTGAATTTGATCCTGTCATTATGATGTTAGCTGGTTATTTTGCTCATTAGTTGATGCAGTTTCTTCCTAGCATCGATGGTCTTTACAATTTGGCATGTTTTTGCAGTGGCTGGTACCAGTTGTTCCTTTCCATGTTTAGTGCTTCCTTCAGGAGCTCTTGTAAGGCAGGCCTGGTGGTGAAAAAATCTCTCATCATTTGCTTGTCTGTAAAGGATTTTATTTCTCCCTCACTTATGAGGCTTAGTTTGGCTGGATATGAAATTCTGGGTTGAAAATTGTTTTCTTTAAGAATGCCAAATATTAGCCGCCACTCTCTTCTGGCTTGTAGAGTTTCTGCCGAGAGATCTGCTGTTAGTCTGATGGGCTTCCCTTGTGGGTAACCCGACCTTCCTCTCTGGCTGCCCTTCACAATTTTTCCTTCATTTCAACTTTGGTGAATCTGACAATTATGTACCTTGGAGTTGCACTTCTCAAGGAGTATCTTTGTGGCGTTCTCTGTATTTCCTGAATTTGAATGTTGGGCTGCCTTTCTAGGTTGGGGAAGTTCTCCTGGATAATATCCTGCAGAGTGTTTGCCAATTTGGTTCCATTCTCCCCGTCACTTTCAGGTACACCAATCAGACATAGATTTGGTCTTTTCACATAGCCCCATATTTCCTGGAGGCTTTGTTCATTTCTTTTTACTCTTTTTTCTCTAAACTTCTCTTCTTGCTTCATTTCATTCATTCGATCTTCAATCACTGATACCCTTTTTTCCACTTGATCGAATTGGCTACTGAAGTTTGTGCATTTGTCACATAGTTCTGGTGCGATGGTTTTCAGCTCCATCAGGTCATTTAAGGTCATTCTCTACACTGTTTGTTCTAGTCAGCCATTTGTCTAATCTTTTTTCAAGGTTTTTAGCTTCTTTGCAATGGGTTTGAACTTCCTCCTTTAGCTTGGAGAAGTTTGAACGTCTGAAGCCTTCTTCTCTCAACTTGTCAAAGTCATTCTCCGTCTAGCTTTGTTCCATTGCTGGCGAGGAGCTGCATTCCTTTGGAGGGGGAGAGGCACTCTGATTTTTAGAATTTTCAGTTTTTCTGCTCTTTTTTTTTCTCCATCTTTGTGGTTTTATCTACCTTTGGTCTTTGATGATGGTGATGTACCAGTGGGGTTTTGGTGTGGATGTCCTTTCTGTTTGTTAGTTTTCCTTCTAAAAGTCAGGACCCTCAGCTGCAGGTCTCTTGGAGTTTGCTGGAGGTCCACTCCAGACCCTGTTTGCTTGGGTATCAGCAGCAGAGGCTGCAGAACAGCGAGTATTGCTGAACAGCAAATGTTGCTGCCTGATTCTTCCTTTGGAAGCTTTGTCTCAGAGGGGTACCCGGATGTGTAAGGTGTCAGTCTGCCCCTGCTGGGGGGTGCCTCCCAGTTAGGCTACTCGGGGGTCAGGGACCCACTTGAGGAGGCAGTCTGTCCGTTCTCAGATCTCAAACTCCGTGCTGGGAGAACCAGTACTCTCTTCAAAGGTGTCAGCCAGGGAAATTTAAGTCTGCAGAGGTTTCTGCTGCCTTTTGTTCAGCTATGCCCCGCCCCCAGAGGTGAAGTCTACAGAGGCAGGCAGGCCTCCTTGAGCTGCGGTGGGCTCCACCCAGTTTGAGCTTCCTGTCTGCTTTGTTTACCTACTCAAGCCTCAGCAATGGTGGGCGCCCCTCCCCCAGCCTTGCTGCCACCTTGCAGTTCTATCTCAGACTGCTGTGCTAGCAATGAGTGAGGCTCCATGGGCATGGGACACTCCCAGCCAGGTGCAGGGTATAATCTGCTGGTGTGCCGTTTGCTAAGACCGTTGGAAAAGCTCAGTATTAGGGTGGGAGTGACCCATTTTTCTAGGTGCCGTCTGTCACTGCTTTCCTTGGCTACAAAAGGGAATTCCCTGACCCCATGTGCTTCCTCACCCTGCTTCAGCTCACATTTGCTGGGCTGCACCCACTGTCTGACAAGCCCCAGTGAGATAAACCCGGTACCTCAGTTGGAAATGCAGAAATCACCCGTCTTCTGCGTCGCTCACACTGGGAGCTGTAGACTGGAGCTGTTCCTATTCATCCATCTTGGACTCTGATCACTAACATTTTTAAGTACAAGAACATACTTAAATTTTTAATTATTGACTTTATTCTGATTATAAATTTTAAAAATATGTGGAAGTAAAAAATCCTATTCTTACCACCCAAAGACAACCACAACTAAGTTGGGGTATATAATATATACATAAGTACCAAATCAAAATTGGGGTTCCTGTATCTACATTGTTTTAAAGTTGCCTTTCCACTAACTTTAAAATTACTGAAGAAATACATATTAATTTTAGAACATTCATAAAATAAAAATAAGGAAACAGAAGATAAAAACCACTTGTAGTCTTATCACTTAAACACAAAATACAAACAACATTAACATGTTAATCTATTCTCTCCCATATCCCTACACATCAACTCCAACTCCATGGCCACTGTGTATGTGTACCAACATCATGATGACATCATGATGATAAGATTGACGGAAAGGCACAGATTCAGTCAGGTAAAGTTGCTTGAAATAAAGGCTATAAAAATGTTAGTTTACAATTATGGAAATGTATGCTGTCTCTCTCTCTATATATAATTGCAAATGGACAAAAAATGGACAAAGTAAAAATCAATTACATGTATAATATTCAGGAATTAAAATGATATCCCAAACTTAGAAAAAAAGTTAGATTGTTAATAGCAGATAATGGAGGCATGAAGGATTTTTGCAAAGTCCTCAATGTGCCCCATGGATGTAGAGCCATGACTGATGCCAGACAAAGAATGAGGACCCCTCCAGGCATGGTTAGTCAATAGTACTGACTGTATATAATCATTGCATATTAAGGCCGTATACTTTATAGCTTCTCTTTTGAAAACAGTCTGGCATTTTATTACTAACATAATTTTTCACCAAAAAATACTCTCTTATGAGATAATTTTTAAATGTTACCCTGAATTTCATTCTATACTTTCAACAAAACTTACCATTTTCCTATTTCTAGACCTTTTAATTATTTCTATTTTCCAAATTTATAAATAATGCTGTGATATACATTCCTATATTTATTATAATAAATCCTTGTCTAATATTCTTAATCTGGAGAACCTTTCAAAGGGTGTGTATTTTATATGTAATACAGCCTTATAGTTTAAAAAAAGTCACAAAACAACCTTCTTCTGAAACCATTACCAAGATATAGCTATTGTTAATATTTTATAAGTATCTTTATAAATATTTGTATGTGAATGTATATATCCATATATAAATTTATAGTAGGGTTTAGGGGGGATTTTCTGCAAGAAGAACTATACTTACTATACTTTGATTTGTTATTTATTTACCTGAATCATTTTAATGAGTTCATAGTAGCATGGGATTACATGAGTTTTCATAGATAATCATTATTTTCCAATAGCCCACTGAAAAACATTTGTTTTTGCCCTTCTCCTGCAAGTAAAATTGCTAGGCCAGAGGGTGTATTCATTTTCCTTTTTATTTTGACAGATAATAGTCTGCAAAAAGGTTTTACTGATTTATACCTCCTTTCTACAATGGTAAAGAGGTTCCATATCCCCACACCCTTGTCTACAATGGGTAGTGTGTTTCTTTATAATATAAAATTTTAAATATTTAGCAGTTTCAGTTTCTTAGAGCTTTAAATTTTCATTAGAGCTCAACTCTAGCCAAAATTTCATGAGCAACAATAAGCAGTGTTTTATTTATTTTCTAGCTATGTCTCTTTTTTTTTTTTTTTTTGCTTTTTCTTTGATGTAATAGTCACTTACAAGTATGTTCCTACGTGTTCATGTGTCAAATAACATTCGGGAGGATGGACTGTAACCCCAAAACGGTGGGATAGGAATTTGTGATGATTCTTGAAATCCTCTGTCTCCCTATTCCGAATAAATTATCTAAAAATTTTTTGTATGCTTGCTTTGTCTTAGACTGAATAAGTAAAAACTTTCAATTTTGTGGTATTTCTATGTATCTTTGTGGTTTCTGAAGTTTTGCCTTAAAAATAGCTGAAGCTATATTATCTAATATATATTAACATGATAATTTACATAAAACTATGTTACAGATTATACTCTTTATGATTTTATTGTTATACTTTTTGGCATCATTTAACTTTTTTGCTTTTTCTCTTAATGCAACCTGGCTTAATGTTAATGTAGGCTGTCAGTGTTGTGTTTTGTGTGTTTGTTTTGGTGTTGGTTAGTATTTGCCAGGCATGTCTTTGCCATATTTTTACTTTCAAATTTTGCTTAATGATTCTCTATAATAATGTTAAATATTAGTTTTTATCAATTTAAGAATCATTTTATTTTACCAGAAGAGTTTTTGTTTTGTTTTGTTTCTGTTTTTTTTTTTTTTTTTTTTTTAACATCCTAAGCCTCAGATGGTGCTATAGGTAGTTCCCCTGGATTCATCCATTTTTTGCTCTGGATTTTGTTAAAATAGCATACTACAGTTTACCATATCTAGTGACACTGAAGTTTCTCCTGAGATGGAAGCATTCACTAGTTTTCAGGCTATTTTTCCAAATCAGGGTAAATTAATGGTTACATGGTAGAGTGAATGCTTCTGAGATGTTTTCCTGACTTCAGACCTTATATATTTTCCAAAGAACTGTAGTTATAAATCAATGCCAAGATAATGAATCAGGTCATAATTTTATGGAAAAATAAATAAGAACAACTTACTGAAAAGGATATCCTGTGAACTCTTTGGGTTGATTGTTAATATCTTCTGGCCTGCCAGAAAGGTCAGTATGGGTTTCCCCTTTATCCTTTCCCAGAAGTTCATGGTAATTGTGAAAATTAGCGACAGGTATGGCAATAAGACATTCTCTTGCTAATTCTAATTATTTTAAATGGAGGTGAAACAGCCACATCTTTGCAGTTTTCCAATTGAATCAATGTCAATCAATAAGCTAGAGGCCAAGAGGGTAAATTTTCTTGACTGCTAATAGCTGAATAACCCTCTATTTCCTCATATGAAATGATTATCTTTGATCCTTCTTACTGCCAAGTTGCTCTAAATTGGAAATAGAGATGTGAGCTGATGGATAAAAATGTTGATGTAAAAATCAAATTCTCACAAATCACAAAAAACAGACCTGCACACCCCCACATCCACACTTACATACTGAATCCTGTATGAAGGTCAGTTAGAGCCTTTCTATATCACCAGAAGTTTATATGCAACATTTGAGTTCCTGTGAGCACCAGAGGAATACATTTGGGTAGAACAAGAAAATCCTTGAACTAGGACTTTGATGACCCAAGTTCTAATTGCATTTTTTCCATTAGTACATCACTATTAAAATATCACTTAAACATTATCAGAAAAATGTGAATGACAGGTCTATGAGGTTCATAAAGTTGTTAATACCATATAGAAAAATTTGAGGAATTTTTCCAGAGAACACAGACAGCAGTCTAACCAATATGCTTCCAGGTCTCGAAGGCTGCCATCACAGTGTTGTGTGGTGCTGCAGTCTCGTGTGAGGTTAGACTTGGGGAGTATCTATTGCCACGGTAATGTGGTTACTGGCAGCATTCAATGCCTTGTGAATTGTCATACTGATGGCCTCAGTATCTTTTTTTTGTTTGTTTTTTTTTTTTGAGACAGGGTCTCTCTGTGTCATCCAGGCTGGAGTGCAGTGGCACAATCATACCTCACTACAACCTCAAGCTGAGCTTAAGCGGTCCTCCCACCATAGTCTCCCAAGTAGCTGGGACCACAGGCATGTACTACCACACCCGGCTAATTTTTAAATTTTTTGTAAAGATGGGGTCTGGCTATGTTGCTCAGGTTGATCTCAAACTCCTGGGCTCAAACAATCCTCGCACCTCGGCCTCGCAAAGAGCTGGGACTAGAGAGATGAGTCACCATGCCTGGCCAGCCTCATTTTCTTATTGGCTGTAGGTCATAGGCTGCCATCAGTTCTTTGCCAGGTGAGCTTTCCCTGCATGGCCATTTCCTTTCTCAAAGCCAGCAAGAGAGAGAATTTTCTCAGAAAGACAGGTGCAAAATCTTATGTAATGTAATTCTGTACTTGTAATAATACATATCTCATTACCTCTATTACAAACAAGTCTTAGGTCACGTCTACACACAAAGGAAGAGAATCACATGAGGATGGGAATAATGGGAAACAGGGATCATGAGAACCATCTTAGAATCTATTTGCCACAATAGGAAAGGAGCCAATACAAGAAAGCTAATAAGCAGGTTACTACTGTGAGCATCAATTCTGCTGAGATCTTTTGGGAAATAGTGCTGAACTGATATGGTTTGGCTATGCCCGCACCCAAATCTCATCTTGAACATCTTGAATTATAGTCCCCATAATCCCCACGTGTCATGGGAGGGACCTTATGGGAAGTTATTAGATTATAGGGGTGGTTCCCCCATGCTGTTCTTGTGATAGTGAGAGAGTTCTCACGAGATCTGATGGTTTTATCAGGAACTTTTCCCCCTTCTCTCTGAACTTCTGTCTCCCACTGCCATGTGAAGAAGGACATGTTTGCTTCCCCTTCTGCCATAATTGTAAGGCCTCTCCAGCCATGCAGAACTGTGAGTCAATTAAACCTCTTTCCTTTATAAATTACCCAGTCTCTGGCAGTTCTTTACAGCAGCATAAGAACGAACTAATACACAAACATATCTCAGAATTGTCCCATTCCAGAAGCAAGAGAATTAGAGTATTGTATCAGTCTGAGATCTCAAGAGAAACAGAAAAGTGTGTGTGCTTGTGTGTGTGTGTTTGCACACACGCACACACACTCACACAGAGATGAATTTATTAAGAAACTGGCTCATGTAATTGTGGAGACTGGCAACTACACAATCTGCAGGACAAGCGGAAAGGCTGGAAACTTAGGCAGAAGTTGGTACTGCGGTTTCGAGGTAGAATTTATTCTCTGAGAAATTCCATCTTTTGCTCTTATGGCCTTCAACTGATGGAATGAGGCCCACCATATTATTGAAGGTATTACTTTTTACTTAAAGTTAACTACATCTGCAAAATACCTTAACAGCAACACCTAGATTAGTGTTTGATTAAGTAGCTGGCACTGTAGCCTAGCCAAGCTAATACCTAAAATTTAGTTTCCTAGAGCTGCCATACTAAATTATGACAAACTAGGTGGCTTTAAACAAGAGAGATTTATTCTCTCACACTTCTGGAGCCTAAAAGTCTGAAACCAAGGTGTTGGCAGGGCCACATTCTCTCCAAAGTCTCTAGAGGAGGATTCTTCCTTGCTGCTCCCAGCTTCTGGTAGCCCCAGGCATAGCATCATGCTACCGCATAACTCAAATCTCTATCTCTGTCTTCACATGGCTGGCTTCTCCCATGTCTGTCCATATACAAAATTTCCTCTTTTTATAAAAACATGAGTCATGTTGGATTAAAATCTATCCTAATATAGTATGGCTTTATTGTAAAATGATTACATCTATAAAGTCTCTATTTCCAATAAAGTCACATTAATGGGGACCAGGGGTCAGGACTTCAGCATATCTTTTTGAGGGATGCAATTCAACTCATAACACTGACTTTTATAGGTATTTGTACACCATCTGTTTCTGCATTGGTTGAGGGTTACTCCCAAGACTATTAACACTCTAGCAATTCAGTCTGCTTGGTGAGTGGGCCAAGAACACCGAGGCCAGAAAAAAAATAAAAATAAAACCCTCAGGCAGAGTTTGCTATGAAAAGCCCTTAGCATATATAAGATCAGGGAGTACTGAAGGAATATGGTGATGTGGGTGAGGTGTGGACACTGTTCCCTGCACATGGAAAATACCAACCAGGAGGCCTCAAAAGATGATATTTACCTAAGAATTCACACCGTGTCTATAGTGTATTCATCATTCTCATAGATCCTAAAGCAGGGTATCAGGTGCCTTACATAAATACTTCTGAAACCTAAATATCTAGGGAGTAGAAAATCTACTATTTTATAACTATTTTTTGAAGTAATAGCAGAATTCAACCTTCTTTAAAATTATTTTTTAATTTTTGGTGAATACTTTATCACCTCTTTGGCTATGCAAAGGTTAAACCAAATGCCATACCATAATGGTGACATATGAGACAAACTTTCTTATTGTGATCAGAATTGTACCTCAGAAGAGCTTGTTTTGATTTTGCCTGTAAACCAGACCTTACACTAGCTGTAGAGAAAGAGTGTTTTGATTCTATCATTGGATGATGCAAGAAAATTGACTGTGAGGTGCAGACTATAGGTAAGAAGGTTCTAGTGTCCCTGTTATAGAATTTATATGTTTATAGATGCCCAGGTCCCTGCATTTTCACAGCAAGTGAGGGCTCATAATGTTACAGGTCCTATGGTGGGGCCTACTCTGAAGATTGAGGGAACCACAATACCTATATTAGTTTGCCAGGCCTGCTGTAACCAAGTACCACAAACTGAGTGGCTTAGACAAGAGAACTTATTGTCATACAGTTCTGGAGGCCAGAAATCCAAGATCAACGTATCAGCAGGGTATGCCCCCTATTAAGGCACTAGAAAAAGGTATGTTCCAGAACTCTCTCCTAACTTTTAATAATTCACCTTGGTTGTGGCTGCCTAACTCCAGTCTTCACATGGCATTCTCCTGGTGCATGTGTCTCTGTGTTCAAATTTCCCATTTTTTGTAAGGAAAACAGTCATATTGGATTAGGAGTCCACCCTACTCCAGTATGATTTCATCTGAATTAATTACACCTGCAACAATCCGATTTTCAAATACGGTCACATTCTGAGGTCCTGGGAGTTAGGATTTCAACATATGAATTGGGAGACACACTGTTCAACCCATTACAATACCTTTGTCCAATTTTAAAAATTTTTCTTCTTTTTCTTTTTCTTTTTTTTTTGGTCATTATTCTTTTCTATAACTCCATATCTTTGGTGAAATAAACTGGGTTTGTTCTCAAGCCTGTGCCAGACCTGTGGTGATGCTATACAGGAAAACCTCCAGAGAAACTTGGTAATGCTGATTAGGAAGCAGAAAAAAAAAGCAATTGGAAAAAAAACAATCTGCTGCTGGTAGGGAAGAAAGAAGATGGTTGACAGAGATGCTAAAACCAGCACAGGTTTTCAGGATCTGTAATCACTCCTAAAAAACCCAGAAAGACCCAGAGGGAGAAGAGACAGGATCCCCTACTAATCAAGCGGGATGGAGACTGGGACATTATGTCCATTTGGAAACTAAGAAATATTTGGGGATATGTGGTTTTAAACCTCATCTTGCCAACACCATCCATCACGTTGGCACAGACTCACGTTAATAAAGCTCAATGAAATGGGTATATTTCAACCACAATCTCAACTAGTTATTTAGAATGATAAATACAATTATGAGGTAGATTAGAATACTTGAAATAGCCATTTGATACATAATTCCCTGAGGCCCATTTCTTGTAGGAAGTCCTTTTTTTACTTCCATTAAAAAAAATACAACCATAGGCAGATTGGACATTGATGCCAGTCTTCTTTCCAATGCATTTTCTTCTCATGGGCCGAAGGATGCCTGCTAAGTGCAGGTCAGAATAAGGCAAGTGAGAATTATCTGACTGGAACACTCAGGTATGTCGAGCTCTGGAGGCTGCTCTGCCCATCTCCATAGAGGATATACCCTTTGCCACCCTCCCAAACTTAGAATTGGAAAGAGTACAAAAATATTTGGTCTTCTCATTTCTAGTTTTCTGGCTGATTTGTATCCTTTGTACACATACATCCTTCTCCAAAAAAAAAAAAGAAAAAAAAAGAACATCAACTCTTGTGTTTAGATCTCAAGATACTTAGGCGTCTTCATATTCCATTTCTGTACTTCCGAGTTTCCAATGTTCCCAAGCCCTTCGGACACAGAGTCATATGCATTTCCCCTGTGAACTTTCCCTGATGACTGACCACAGCCATAATGTGTGGATTTTGCTACTTTATCTATCAGATATCATTATGTTTCTTATCTCCAAGTTCTGTGGAAGGGAGTCCTCCTTCTGACTTCCAAATTCTAACAAAATACTGGACATTGGAATGCCCCCACTTATCTGGCATATGTCCAGATTTTGTGTAAAATATCTTATGTGATATTATATTATTGTGAAAAATGATCTCGGGATCTAATCAAACCATCTATCTCATTGTATAAATAATTACTTGGAAAAGGATTGTGTGAGATGCTCAAATACATAGAGGTGGTAGATGGCATTGCTGAAGCAGAGCCTGGCCTTTCGGACTCTCATTTTGACATCTCCCTCTGCTCCAGGCTGCCTTTGGCTACTGGTTCCTCCACATTTCAATTGCTTCTGCCGCATGCGGGAGAGGGCTCACTGATAATGATCTGTCCTTTCCCTTATCCTTTTTCCCTCTCACACAGGGGAGAATGTTACAGGACCAAATCACTGAAATGTAAAAACATTTGGAGGGTTTAGCTTGTTTTATTTTTATTTTTTCTCATTTCTTGTCAGGGAAAGAACACACCACTTTGTCATCAAGACAAAGTAGATTCTTTAAGAGGATTGTTTTCAACAAGGCTGCTCTGTGGTGAATATTGGCCATGACCTGATAGAAAATGAATTGAGCCGTTCAAACATGTTAGTAGCCTAATACTGAAAATTTATTTTCCCATTCTAATGAAAGATGATGGCTTCTTCAATCATAAACTTGGTCTAGTTTTATTTAAATATTGCAAGTGTCATCAGCATAGGATCTATTGTGCTGGGCTTCTAAAGAGAGAAGCAAACAGTCATTTTCTGAGCTTGATTGGGCCTGATGTGTTATGATATGTAGGATAATTTATTCTTGCTTTAAGTCCAATTAAGGTGAAACACTTCTCAGACAGCAGAGGTTTTGATGGGCTAACCGAGGCTTATGTGGATTACAAAGATGTCCTCTGGAAGGAAAATTTACTTTGAGACAGTCCATTCCACTTTTTGAGATGGAAAAACAATTTTTCTTAGAAATGTAGTGTTACTGATAAATACCAGAAGTCAGTTCCTATCTCTGAGTTAATCACAGCAACTACAAGACTGAATGCTCACCCATCTTTTACTGTTCCACAGGCATAAAATGGGAGAGCAGAATGCAGTTCAGCAGAAAACAGGAGAGTGCAGGTGCTGAGGCCACATCAGCTGAGTGAGAATTCCACCTCCTTCCTCTCCTAGGTGTGTGACCTTCACAATGTGCTTGGCCTCTCTGTACCTCAGTTTCCTCATCTGGAAAATAGAAATAATGATATATAGTGTCTATTTTCAGAGCTGGAGTGAGAACTGAATATGTTAATATATGTAATGTAGGAAGAGTACCTGCTGCTGATAAACTAAATATTAGCTAATATAATACTTGTTATCATATGCCACGTTTTTAGCCAATTATATTTAATTTAGAGCACAAAGTCTGATATCTTTGAGGATGTCCAGATGTGATTCATGTATCTATCTTTAATATTATTGAAGTAACATTAAATTGACTTCAGATTTTTATCTAAGTCAAATAGTCAAATATTGATTTATATTTGCTTAATAGACAGAAAATAAATCTCAGAGTCAAATAGTTCAGGAGTTAAATCACAGCTCTTCCATTTTAACATTTCAGTAAACAAATAATTATCTTAATTGTGTCTTACATTCCTAGCTACAGAATGGAACAATAATACTTATCCATAGCTAATATGTATTGAGCACTACTACATATCAGGCACTGATTTAAGCCCTTTGGATGTCATAATTTATTTAATCTTCAAAAACACTCTGTGAAAGAATAAGTCCATTGCTCAAGCTGTTACAGTTAATAAATAGCTGAACTGAGATTGAAATCCCAGCAGGATTCCAGATCCCAAACTCTCAATGTATAATGTATTCATTCATTCCACAAATATTTATTTTTTGCCTTACATGTGTCTAGGTGGTGAGGATATAGCATTGCATAAAAGGGAGAAAATAAAAAAATGTCTTCTGACAAATTTAACTCACTAAGGTGACATGTGAGTTAATATACAGTGCAGCATCGTCCATTAGAAATATAATGCAAGCCACAGATCTAAGCCACATATGTAACTTCAAATTTTTAGTGGCCATATTCTAAAAAAATAAAAAGAACCAGGTAAAATTAATTTTAATAATATATTTATATAACCCAAAATATTATCACTTCCACAAGAAGCCAATATGAAAAAATATTAATGAGGTCATTCTATTTTATAGATATTAAATTTTCAAAACCCAGCGTGTATTTAACACAGCACAGTTTAATTCACACTGGCCACATTTTAAGTGCTCAACAGCACATGTGGCTAGTGGCTACAGTCTGGCACAGGGCAAACTTACAGGATAAGAATGAGTCCACGAGAGGAGCTCAGTGCAAAGACTAGGAGTGGAGAAAGGGCTCTGCATGCCAAAGTGACTGGAACAGAGTAAAGAAGAAGGAGAGTGGTCAAGATGAGGTTTAACAGGGAGGTAGGGGCCCGATCAGGCAGGATATTGTAGGTCATGATTTAGGCAATTCATCTGGGAAAAAGCAGGGATTTCTTTGCCCTTTTGTTCTAAAGCACAACTCCCTTTATCTTTCAAAATCTGAGACCTGAATCCAGTGAGTGTATAATGAATGACTAAATGACCTGCAAACTTTGTTAGCAAAAAGTTGTTTGTGTTAATGATCTTTGCATTGTGTCTCATTTACTTTATCAAAGCAAACTAATGCCTCAAGTCACCTGAGACATCAGTGGCTGAAATACTAACTTCCAACACAGTGTTCAATGTGGGAGCCAATCGAATTTCATCTCTGCAAATAGCATACATGCATAATCAGTTTGGAGAGTTGATATGAAATGAGGCATTTTCATCCAGAGTTGGTTTAGTTCATTAAGGTTGGCTTTGATTTAAATTCCAAGTGATGCTTACCCTCAAAACAGTTAATTCAAGCTCATACTTACTGATAGAAATAAAAAAGAAAAACAACAGTTAAAACAGAATGAAATTATGTGATTCCAAATGTTTTATCCCTTCTCTTCAGTAACCTTAGAATTCAACAGGTGTGTGGCATAGCATCATACAAAGAATGAATATTTGCCGGTCCAAGAATGGTATGATTCCTGTATTTTTTTTTTTCAGATTTAGACAGCACATTCAAAGGTGACTCTGAAATGTTGTAATCTGAAGAACCTGGAAGCACTTGAATCTGCAAAACCTTCTATATCTAACAATAAGCCTTAACAAATTGCTACACATAATTACAGGGACTTCTCCCTAGGTAGCATTCATTATAAGCTGTAAATTTTTAAAAAGATTTAACACTTGTTTTTACACCTTGTTAAAATGTTGTGTCCTTCGCAGTCTACTACTAAGACAATCTTACATTATAAATTTGGAAATACTTCAACATGAAAAAATTATTTTTATATTTTTATCTTGATAGGTAAGTTGAATGATGTTGAGTTATATACCAATAACATTCAAGGAACTATTCGCAAGGAACTAATCTCAATGCTGTTTTCTGGATTTTCCTGCTTTAACAAAAGCCTGCCTTCTTGCTCCATTCCTATTACACAGAACAGCAGTCTTCGTATGAAATTAACAGAAGTGTGTAAGTTCAGGTCACTACTAAGTAAGCGGAACTATTGGAAATCTAGTTTCTACAAATTGAAAATCTCTGTTTCTTATCCTTATCCTTGCAACGTCAAAGGTTGTTTCATCTGTTCCCTCCCTCAGTTAATGTATATCTATCCAACTTTTTATTTAAGACACTAAGATGATCACTGTAGAGGGGTAGGGAAAACAAACAAACAACAACAACAACAAAAATAAGCACATTTGAAAAAACATAAGCGACTCCTAATTAAGAATGTTGCATACATGATTATAACACAATTTAGAATGGGATGTGCCAAATGCCCCTGAAAGATATATACAAAGCAATATGATAATTTAGATAAAGAAGGAATTCCTGGTGAGATTCAGAGATATAGTTATTGAGGATGGTTCTCAAAAATGTGTAGAATTTCAATAGAAAGATTTTTGAGTGAGTAGGCATTTGAGAGAAGGAATCTGTTCAACAGAATGATCACTTTATTTTGTTTTTAAATTGAAGTCTCAATAAAAGGACAAGAGTGAGAGACAAGCAGGCTGGGATCTGGTTCAAGTAAATCCTGAATGGTAGGCTGAATATAAACCTCATTCCATGGAGATTAGGAAGCCTGTGAAAATGTTTCAGCACAGGAAACATTTTTCTTTAGATTTTTTTTTTTTTAGTAGAAAAACACTTAGGATTTATTGTAAGAGAAATGGACAGAAAACAGACAGACCAATTGCAAAGTAATTGAAAGTCCAGTGGTAAAATTGCAGGGGTTGAGGCCTCCAATCTTTGTGACATTGTGAAATTTTATTCTCAAAGCCTAGATCTTTGAGACACGGTAGGGGAAAATGATGATGATGACACAAGTTTCTAATCTGGCCAACGTAAAAAATAGAAAAGTGAGTGAGCTGCTGGTTTGTGGGGAAGACGATGTGGTTGGGACCAATAAAATCTGGCTATCTATTATCCTCCTTAGATTGTGGAACTGAAAGACAAGCTGTAGTGAGAAAAGAGGCCAGGAGGAGGCGTAGAGACAGATATTCTGGAGATAAGACAGACAGATGACAAAGATTCATGACATTCAGACTGTTCCTCTCTAGATAAGACCAGGCCTCTTCTAACAAAATCCCAGGCAAGCCAACTGCAGATTGTAGCTATTGGTTTTCTTCCTCCCCTTATTAGAGAATGAAATCTTAGTTGCATTGTTTCATTAAAAAATATATGTATAAACTGTTGGATGTGGGAGACAAGGGTGTTGAAATGCCTGACCTCACTTTTCTTTTAAGAAAAGGGTTTTCTTTTGTAACTAGTTTTTTTGTGTGTGTGTCTAGAAGGATGTTTTGTGTGTTCATCCACAGAATGGGTAGTGAACCTACTCCAGAAGAGTGAAAGACCCTAACTTTCTAAAAGAGATTTTTGAGATTATCTTACAGTTTTATCTACCTATGTCAAAAAATTACTTTCGGCCACCTTTCCTTGGTCTAAGACCTAACCATTCTTCCAAGTTGTTGTAGTCTGTTCTTCATTCTCCTTTAGCAATGGATTTACAGCCACTATTAACGTTTATCTATTGATATGTAAGTCTCTCTACTAGATTCTAGTATCTTTGCGAACATAGACTGTTACTCATTTTACCAATCTGCAAGTACTTTGCAAAAAGAGGTTGATAAATGATTAGGGAATGAATGCATGTGTAACAACCTGGTTTACTGAGAACATCCTATATGCCAGGGATGTTCTTAGTACTTTGCGCTTGCCACCTCATTAATCTTTGCCATAAACCTATAAGATCGGGACTGTTACGTTGCCTAAAGCAAGGTGAGGGTTAGTACTGGTTATATAAGTAGCAGAGGTAGAATGTGAACCTAGGAAGCCTGGCACCATAGCCTGTGATCTTAGTGACTATGTATATTGTATATTGCTGGTACTGTAGTTCATGTCCTGATTTGCTTGCCACATATAGGGGAGGAGAAAGGGGCAAAATGAAATTTGGAGCAATGACTTTGAAATCATGAGTATATGATTTCATACAAGTCATAAATTAATTTCTCAGTTTCCTCATATAAAAATGGATTAATAGAAGTATTTATTCATGAAATCCTTGTGTCAAATAAATGAGACAATGCACATAAAAATGCACATAATAAAAACAAATCTTCATGATAATGCAAAGTATGCCTAAAGTGTTTAACTCACATCTTCTCCTTTGAGATCACAATACCACATTCCATCTGGGAGTGAGATCTTAGCATCTACCCTTCTGCATTTGATGCTATACAACATTATTTTTCCCAAGAGCAATGATTTCTCATCAGTATGACGCTATCCAATAACAGTCGTAAAAATATAGAAAGTAGCATTCATGTCCATTAGTAAGAATGATCGACAGGCCAAAAAATTAAGGGCCTTATTATTTTGTAACTAAAAATGAATCTCTCTCAAATGTTAAGTTGGAGGCATTTCTTATTTTCTTATTAGGGGGTGATAATTAAGCTAATAATAGCATACTTTACTCTGTGTGGTGGCACACTGATGCATTTTTCTTTTTAACCAACCTACCGTGTTATATGTAGTTACAGCACTCGGAGTACATAGTTAAGCAAACACATGGGTAGCAAAGAAAGGTCATTATTAAGAGATTGTTTTATTTATTTAAAAAAGTATTTTTCTTTGAAATTTTTCTAACAAAATGGTATTCAATCTAGAAATTACAGTAAGAAACAAAAGATGCTAACTCTAATGAAGGAGAAGTGACAAAAGAGGTTGGAGAAGAAATACATGCTTTAACGCTCCTATTCTCCAGATAAAATAAGGCACCTGATACTAACACATGAGTCCCTGCCAAGAGAAAATAATCATTGTATTGTAGTGGCTCTTTGTGCACAGAATTTAAGGACAGGGCCTACTCTTATCCTTGAGGGAAAAAAGTAAGTATCTGATTTAAAATATCCACTAATGTGCTTACAAGAAATAATGCATAACCCATTAGCAAGCCTTTGCATAGCAAATTAATAATTTGAGATTCGGAATTTACCTGAAGGTCTCAGATTTATACTAGTTTAACTTTTTCTTCACTTCTTTTGAATTATGGACATGGGAACAATTTTTCATACTATTTGGTGAGCCTGTTACTTTTAGCAATAGCACTTGCAGTGTATGTCTTGAATTTGAATGTGTATATATGAAAGCTACAACCAAATGGCCTATGAGATATTATTAGTTTCTTTACACAAAATCTGCTAGAATATGATATTTTAAAATTTTACAGTATAAAGTAAAAACTTTCAAAATATTAATTGAATCTCAATAGGAAGCGATGTAGCATATAAGAAGTCCAGTTTACTGCTTTGAATTGTTCTCTTAATAAATCTCACTATGCTAGAATGATGACTCTCATATTTTGCCTGCATTAAAATCATTTTAGAAGGTAATTGGTTTAGCTTGTTGTAATACTACCTGATAATATTTCTTTTGCTTTTCAAGCAAAGAATAAGGTATCATTAAATTATTGGTGCATGGGGAAGTAATGTATTACAAATGTTAGTGAGTACAGAATATAAAATGGACTTGAGAAAAATAAATACGCTTCATTCAGGAGACTTACTG
Source organism: Homo sapiens (assembly GCF_000001405.40). Lineage (NCBI taxonomy): Eukaryota > Metazoa > Chordata > Mammalia > Primates > Hominidae > Homo > Homo sapiens. Next base: position 180,606,867 of record NC_000002.12, read on the forward strand.
CAGGTTTCGTTGGATTATTTAAACTCATTCAGATAGGTTTCTATTTGATGGGCAAGAATTGCTTGGTAACCCATTCTCTTTATTTTTCTTATATGAAGTTTACTAATTGAAAAATATATAGAAAATACATTAAAAGCATTAGAAGGTGTATTTTGGAAAATTCACCTAATCCTACTTTAGAATTAAAATGAGATGTGCTATTGTTTTGAACATTTAAAAAAATAAGGTATATCAAAGTTTAATTTTTGTTGTTGAACCTGAAATTAGAGAAATAAAATGATTAGGTTTACATAACTTTAATGCATTTTTTTAAAATTAGAATGTCCACAACCATAAAATGAAACAATTTTTTCAAATAGACTGTCCTAAGTGATATATCGGTATATAATAAATATAAGATATAATGTAATAAATAAAATAAAATAAGTATGTGATAAATATGTAAACGTGTGTGTAACTATACTTTCTACGGATGATTTTTAATAAGTTAAAACATAATACTATTTTACTAAATTGAGAATATTTTAATTCAGTAGATATATCAAATTAGCTGAATGTTTTCCTTCCACAGAAATTTTTTTAAAAAATCAATAGCCCATTGTTTTTTTCCAGACTGAGGCGAACTGAACGAATTAACTAAGTCTGAGGGAGTGGGTAGTTCGTAAAGTCATAGCCCAAGAGTCTAAAGTTTCCCTAGCATCCAGCTTACTCTTGTGTGTACAATTATATACATCATTTTAACAAATTTAGCAAGTGCTGCTCACTGACTTAGCCTGATATTTCACCACAATACACAACTGTAGGTTGGAGGGCAGGTGCCTTGTGAACTGTGGACAGAGTCCCGATCAGCTGAGCACACACAGTATGTAAACATGTCAGAATAGATAATGGATACAGTGATAGATGCTTCTGTGGTGAGGAAAATCAAAGAAGCTGTCATTTAGCTTGACAAAAGAAAGGGATGGAAAGCAGGACCGACTGCCCTGAGCAAGGAAGACAGGTGGTCCAGCTGAAGAAGGGAGGGAGCAGTAATGATCTTGGAGGCAGTTAATGGCTGTCTGATCTATGGCATCCTTGTACATAAATATAAGCCATTTACCAGCTAAAAATGCTTGAGAAGGCAAAGGAATAGAAGTCACCATTATTTTTCCCCTTATCTTACATCGGTTATTTGGCAATTTGGATAAAATGAATATTTAATTTTGAGAGATTATGGAAGACTATCCTCTAACTACCAACATCTGCTATAAGAAAATAATTTTATGTACAAGTACTATACTCTGGTTGGTTAGTTGGTTGTCAAGCTGTAGAATTTATGAGCTGGGTTTAATGAAATTAAGTGGATGTTGTGATTGAAGAAACTAGACATCTTGTTACATGAAGAGTTAAGAGCTAATTTATTTGTTACAAATCTCACAGTCAATGCCTCAATCAATTGGGGAAAATGTCCAAAAAGCTGAAACATAAACATGTGAAATACATCCATGGTATGGTAAGCTTTAAGGGAGTTGACCATTTCAGTTGATAAAACAGGAAGGATTATAGAAGCCAAATCAGCTTAAGGCAAAAGTTCAAGTACCAATTAAGATAGAGCCTAATAGAACCTATTCGTCAGCTATTAAGTGACTCTGTAGACAGTGAAAGTCTATTTGTTACAGAGATGAGATTTGTTCACAATTTTAACTATACTTAAGTATAATTTTAAGTATTTTCAGATTTCAGATGAACAGACGTGCTAGAGGTTAAAGGGAGAAGATTACTGTCATTAAAATGCATATTTAATTGAATTGTCCAGGCCTTTGATTTTTTCCTTCCACATTCCTTCTGCTTTAAGATTCAATTCTTTTGTCTATAGAAATTATATGTGGGAAATTATCAATGCAATACTTTTTGTTTATTTACCCTAATGAATGGAAGCAGTGATATCAATGTAAGTAGATAAAAGCAATCTAAAAATACTTGTCTTTAATGTTATATTTAAAAATTTGCATGATTATTTCTGTATATATATACTGCATAGCTACAGTAAAAGATGTTTGATTGCATATTATATTTTGTCTCAATCTCTCTATATTTGCTACTAGCCGACCACAAAAAAAATTAAAAAATAAAATAAAAAAACATGGATTCTGACACTTAAATCTTGAACTGGAACCAAATATGCCAACTTTTAACATACTTCCTTGCCTTATTAGAAAGCTGGTCTTGGTCAAAGCATTTACTTTACTGAGTCTCAGTTTCTTGTTCACAGAAATGAAGTGAAGAATGTTTCTCTTATTGATCTTGCCATGGAGAACAAATGGAATAAGGTATGTTACTCTACTTCGATAAATGCACAGATTAAAACTCAAGGCCACAGACAAATGAGCTTGGTCTCCACCTTAAATAAAATCCTAGAATGGAATAGAAAAATGACTAGTGTTTACTAGGAGAGAATAAAACGTATCTAACCTCATTTCTTTGTTTCATGGAATTCTTAATTGTTTGGTCAGGAAAATTAGGAAGGAATATTATGTCTAAATTTTAAGACCCTTGACAAAATCCATTTTGATCATTTTGCAAACAAGTTTTATAAATATAGAGTGAATTGAAGAAAAAAGAGATATTAACTAAAATCCTCTGTGCCAATTACAGTGCTTGGCGTTAACATGTATTATTTTGTTTAGTGCTTCCAAGCTTGTAATCAACCTCTGAGGGATAGTGTAACAGGGGTGGGTGAAGTACATGCTCTAGAACTAGAGTACCTGCTTTAAATCTCAGGTCCCTTGCTTTCAAGCTGTGTGACCTCAAACAAGTTATTTAACTGCAATGCACCTCAGTTTTCTCACAAGAGGCACATTGTGGTTATAAACAAAATAGTTCACAGCTTAATAGAGTTATCATGAGGATTAAATAAGTAAATACCTATAAAGGTTTTGGAATACTGCCTGACACATAGTTAGCAGTTAATAAATAATATTTGCTAACAGCTTTTAAGCAATTATTAAATGTTAACTCAGAACACTGCAGTTCATTAAGTGATTTGTCCAGCCTCTCATACAAATTAAGAAATGGAGTAATGATTCAGGTCTGTCTGAATCAGACCCATCTCCCTTTATGGCTCCAACACTTTATTCTTTAAACATCTCCATACCAGGCTGTATGGACTACTGGACTCTGCCAAAAGTATGGGGTGACAGATTGGGATAATATCACAGCGTTGCAAACAGCTAAGAATGCAACATTAGATATTCCTGTACTTAAAATTACGATTCAGGCTCATCACCAGTGGAAACTTCTCTCTAGTCATGTTTTTATGCAGTCTTGGCTGTCTGCCATATTCTCCAATTAATATCTCTCACTCCTTCTATCTGTCACTTTCTCTCTCTCTCTCTTCTCTAAACTCACTGTTCCTCCTCTCTTCTATGATTTCCATCCCCTTTACATGCCTGATAACTTCTTATGCCGCATGGTTTTGCTTCCATTTTGCTTAGTTTTTGTTTTTTTCTAGGCTATATCTTCAAGACCTCACCTGCCACTTTCAGATTGCATATTAAAATTTTCTATTATGCAAACACTCACACACAAGTTTCTTACATAGGAGAAACTTGAGTTTCAAGAGGTAAGATAATATCTTCCGAGCTAGTCATTTGACCAATTTGCCTCCCTGCTTTAAAAACCTGGCATATTTTCCCATTACCTCTAGGATAAACTCCTTCATTTGGCATTAAAGACCCCTTTTAATCTGTTCCTTAGCTAGTTTTCTAGTGTAACCTTCATTATAATAAAGAAAAGTGGAAAATAAAGATTATGGAAATTTTTTTAAACACTTGTAACTTCCACCACATAATGATAAGATGCATTACACAGTTGATGTCCATCTTTATGTCCTATCTGTGTAACTACATAAATTTTACATTATAAAAATTGAAAGCCACTTCATATTCTTTCTTAAAACCTGTTTTTAAGAAATAAACAATAAATTGTTCTCTAATATTAATAAATATTAATATATAATACCATTCTTAATGGTTGAAGAGAATGTTAATATAGGGCACTAATTTTATCAGTTCTGTGATCTCTAAATAGTTATACTTTTCCCAACTTTTTGACACTATAACCATCACTGTTATAAGCTTCCTTGTAGCCAAATCATTGCATATATCCTTATAAATATTAGTATAAATTTATAAATGTAGAATTGGCAGCTTAGTATATACGTGTAAAAATCGTGTTTCACTCAAACCCCGGGTAGGGCTATATGTTATAAAATTGTAAATATGTGTCAACGCTTTGGTGAAAATTATATCTTACAGCTGTACCCAATGTTGCATAACTCTTTCTTAGCACGTTAGGATATGTATTCCTATATATCCAAATATCTCATTTTCAGTACGTGAAAAATGTTGTTCTTATATATCAAACACTTAAGATATTCAATAATCGTATTTTGAGAGAACATCAGAAAGTAAAAGCTAATTTTGTTAAGAAGTCTATGACAGTCTCAGAAGCAATGAAAATTCTTATGTATCCATTTATGTGTGACTATTAAGTTAAAATAAAAGAATTTGTTTAATACTAAACTTTGTTTACATGATGAAATTAAATTTAGAAAGAATAAATAAATACTAAGAAACACATGTAATTCTCATCAGTAATCATAATCAAATGGGCTCATATTATTGCCATTAATTATAAATTAAGAGTTGGTGATGGTCTCATAAACATTGATGCTTGCATGTTCATTGTCTGGAGCTGTAACTTGGAAATGATATTCTGTTGATCCTTATAAAGCCAGGGTTTTATAAGACAAAAGCATATCATATGGCTAGATAGAAGATAGCACGTTGGGCCCTGCACATGATTCTTGTTCCGACCTCTGTAGGATGTGTGAAGTCCTGGGACTGATCGATGGGAGTGGGTGATCCACAGTCCACTGTGGCCTGTTTCCTATCAGGGTGGAAGCTCTGGAAGGGCATATCTGCGAGAGCTGGTATGTTGGGTGTTGTGATTGTGACAGGCATGTTAGGATGTTCAGAACAGTTAGGCAAGGTCTGTCAGTGTGTCTGGACCAGTCCTCCTTCGGAGCCACCGATGTCCAGAGGAGCCTGCGTGTCCCTGTGGTTGGTATTCCATGTTCAGGAGTCCCAGAACAAGCTCTAAGTACCTTCAGAGTGCTCAGGATGTCTAGGCCATCAAGCTAGAATTCTCCAGGAAGTCAGAATGTTGCCCATGTCTTTGTTACTCCCAAACCCCTGCAGAGGTCTATATGAAGATAGACTTCTCCAGTTGGGAATATAAAGCGTATGCAAAGAAGGATGCTAGAAGCAGGATTTTTATTCCCTTTCTTGTTCCTAGCATGTGCTTCTGGAGGAGACAGGGAGTGAGGATCCATCCAGAGCCCAGCCTAGGCTAAATAAGACTCCTGAAAATGCTATAGAAAAAGTTCTCTAAATATTTTAGTTATACTGCTAATACAGCACTAACACATTGTACTTTGATAGACTTTAGCCACTTTAATATGGTTTAAAAAGAACTTTCATTATATGGTTCCAGAATGGGTTTTCCGGAAATAGACTCTGAAATCAGAATTTTAATCTGAAATAAGAATAAGAAATAGACTTGGAAATACGTTTATTTGGTCAATAAAGGAAGCTCTGATAGAGAAGAGTGCAAATGAGATATAAGAAGTCAGTATCTTATTAAGGTAGTTACCACTGAAGGTAACTGAAGATTACCTGAAGCAACTGAAGTCTTCGGTTGAAGACTGCTGTTGGGGTAAGCGGGCAGCACTTCTGGCCAGGTTCAGAGGCAGGTAAAGTGGCTTCAGTGCTATTTGCCTGTTAAAGTCCTCAGGCTAAAAAAGAGAAATGGTGATGTGTGGAATTTGGACCTGCATATATTAAGGAGATACAGGCAAGACTCTCACAATGTCTGCCACAGATCCCTTTCTACTTACCTAGCCTCACTTCGTTCTTATGTCACATGCTCTAGGAATTCTTACTAGCTTGCTGTTTCTTTCACTATACAGGATATTTATTGGATATACACTGTGTTCTAGGTACTTCATCAGGTACTCAAAATGCGAGAGCAAAGATAGAAAGGGTCCCTGCTTTCATGGACACAATGTTCTTTCTTCTTTCTGAAATATTATTTTCATTGCCCACTGTCTTAGTCTGTTCAGGCTGCTATAACAAAATATCATAAGCTGGGTGGCTTATAAACAACAGACATTTATTTCTCATGGTTCTGGAGCCTGGGAAGTTCAAAACCAAGGCGTCTGCATATTTGGGGTCTGGTGAGGGCCCACCTCCCAGACAGCTGTCTTGTCAGTGTAACATTACATGGCAGAAAAGGCAAGGCAGTTCTCTGGGGCCCATTATATAAGGGCACTAATTTCATTCATGATGTCTGTGCTCTTATGACCTAATCACCTCCCGAAGGCCTCACCTCCTAATACCAACATGTTGGTAATTAGGTTTCAACCTATGAATTCTTCTGGGATGGGGAGTTACATTCAGACCATAGCATCCACCTAATACACTTGTTCACAAATGAAACTTTGTTTTTTTCCTCACAAAAATGAGAGCCTGACGAAGGCAGAAACCATCCTGCCTCATTCACTGCTAGAGTCTCAGCCCCTGGCAAAGAGTTTGGCATACAGCATGTGTCCAACACATTTCAGTTGACTGTGTGATACTATAGGTGATTATAAATGTGAAAGTTGGCTTGGTTAGAGGAGGATATCCTTGAGGGCACTCGTGCCTTATTCAGCTTTGTGTCTCTGGAACTTAATATATCTCTGACACATTATAGATATTCAATATTTTTAATAGAGTTAAATTCAGTTTAATCAAATTGAATTATTGTTTAAAATACATTGACCCAGATATACTGATAACTTGAAATCATGTTTCATAAATTATCGTTGAAGGAATTGGAAATATTACATTTGAAAAAGACAAACCTCGGAGAGGACATAGCACTTGTCTTCAAATGTCATTGGTACTGATAAAGAAAAGACACTGGACTTGTTGAGTCTGTCCCAGAAGAAAACAGATTTTAGCACTAAATTAGAGCTATCAAATTTAATATGCTACTGTCAGGGGCCATTAGTTGCACATCATTGGAAGTGCCCAAGCAAAGACTGGAATGTGGTAGAGAAAATTTAGCAGTAATACATGCAGTTGATATAAGTACCTGAGATTCTATGATTCTTCTAGATAATTACAAAGCAATGTATTTCTTCATCTTTGTCAAACATAATTTTACAAAGAGTGTTCTAGGAGAAAATTATCTCTACCTTTTCCCCAATGAGGTTGTGTGTTCAGCTAATTGTTGAATTGCTTTATACCTCACAAGTGGTTTTCACATAATCCTTGCAGAGATTCCTTGCATAGGCAGACAAAGTATTATCCCCATTTAACATGAAAGATGACAGATGCTTATAGAAATTAACTCATTTGTTAAAAGTCACACATATAGTAATTGATGGAAATAGAAGTTGAACCTAGGTTTTTCTGCTTTCTCATCCTAAGCTGTCTACCTACCATACCATGCCACTTCTATTATTACTGAAATTCAGATAGGAAAAACACAACCATCTTTTTAAATAATAATGCAGCGCCTCCCTTGCAGAAGAACTCTGACAAGCCCTCTGTAATTTGTAGTTGAGAATTGAGTTTAAGTTGTATGATCAACAGCACACAAATAAGTAGAAACAAGATCAGGTTTAGAACACAGGGCTCTAGTAACTCAGGTTGCCCCGCATCATCTTACTGCTTTTTCTGGGAGGAATTATGATGATGCTTTTATGTTTCTGAACAGGAAATGTTTATAAATCTTAATGTACCATTTGCAAGTGATGTTACCTTATGAATATTAAAAGATTAGGAAATGACATTGGCTTTTGTTGAAAACCTTAAGTGACCCTATAAGCAGACACAACAAATGATTGCTTTTATTTTGGTGCCCTCTAAATATTATTAAAACTCTTTATAGTTGGCAATAAATAATGACAAACGAATGCTTGATTTATAGCAATTATAGTACAGATGAGTTGGATTCATGTGCTGCACTGTAATGAAGATAATAGCTCAAAACACATGAGAAACAGTCACTCAGTGAAATATGAGCTGATTTGCATGATCCATGTCCCTTGAGTAACCTGTAATTGGCTATTATGAAATGGACTAAGAATGATTTGGACTAAGGAGAGGACTGGATTACTATATATTTTACATGGATATTTTTTATTTCCAACATCAGAATATTTTGTGGCATGTAGAATCTGTGCCCCCATATCTAACATGTGGAGGTATTCGACAGCTAAAGGCCATTCTTCTCTAACACCTTTGAAAATTTTTTTCATTGAAAATAGCATCACATCAATTTTATTCACAGGAAACATCACACAAAATTGTCCTTTTTTAGCTTCAAAATGTCTTACATTATTTCTTAGTAACCCTTTTAAGAGTAGATTTTGAGGATATGGCTGAAATAGCATTGTGGAATTCCCAAAGGGATTCCAAGTATATGTGTGACTTAATTTCTTCAGCAAGGAAAATTTAGGTAACTCTTATTTTTAATATTTGAGATCTTAGGACACTTCTAGTGAAAACTGGCTTCATTAGTGTTTTAAATATTTGCCTGAATCTTCCCTGGACACTCCTCCCAGTAGAAAACCACACCAAAAAACAATACACATAAACATTGGTTATTTTTCTTTCTTGGTGAAATTAACTGCCATTTTTGAAAAGCAATGAAGGGAATTGTACCAAACAGTATTTAACGCTTAGACCTTCTGTCACGCTTCTGAAATCCCATTCTCATTTTCACACAAATAACCCAAGGGATACAGTTAGTCCCACTGTAAGTGGGATCATCAATGTTTATCCTAAGCTATGGCTACAGCAGCCATAATGGGAAAACATATACCATAATTAAGAGCTATAGCCAACTAATTAGGTCAAATTATATCTAATTATAAATCCAGTAATCTATGTCCAAACTAGTTGCTGGTAGCTAAAGGAAAATAATATAATTTTCATTAATCTCCATTATGGTTTATCCAACATCTTCTGATCTCCTGACGATACACTGATCCTCATTACTGTTTTCTTTCATATGGACCACTGCAATACCTTATTTCTCTGCATCAATTTTTGCTTCCTTCCAATTCATTCCCCATACTGCAGCCGGAATTATTTTTGTAAACTCAACCTTATCATGTAACTTTCTTGTTTAAAACCTTCCAAAGGCCAACAGAATAAAGAGTACATTTCTTGACAGGTGTCCAGGATCTTTTATGATCTGACTCCTGCCTAGGTCTCCTACTTGATCTGACAGTGGAATCTCCCTCACTGTCTTGGGTGAAACCTTTGTTCAGATTCTTACTCGTGGCATTCTTCCTCTTGCATTGCGGATTCTCTGCATTTGCTTCTGTCTGGTTGGGAGTACTTTCTACCACCTCCTCTGCTTTACTTTCAAGTGATTTGCTTCTACTTATTTTTTAGATCTCAGCTCAAATCACCTCATTAAGAAAACTATCTGTTACCACCAGTACTTTTCAATTGTGGTATTTCTTTTTAATTTCTTTTAATTGTAAAATTATGTGGCTAAGGTCTATCTCTTATTAGACTATACATGCCATGAAGATAAGGATGACATCTGTTTTGCTCACAGCATATCCAGACTATTCTTGTACAGTTCTGGCACCAGTATATGCAATAAATATTTGTTGATCAATATGTAAAAAGTAGACGAACATGTAATTCAATGGTGAGAAATAAAGTTGAATAATGTGAAGACAAATTCATTGTTTAACATCGTAAAAAAGTACATGCATTTGTCTCTTCGGCCCCCAAACCTCTCACTCAAAATGTATAAACACACACAAACAACGAGAATAGGACAATAGTTAAAAGTAGACTAGAGAGTTAAACAAATTAATTAGGGATTGAAAGTGAACTAAATGAGCTGAATCTGTCTTAGCAAAGCAGGGATTGCTAACACCTTAAAGATCTTTGAAATGAATACCAAAGAGAGATAAACTGATTTCTACCCACAGAATTCCAGAAAGTCTCAGATACTAGAGGCACCAAGTATCATGGAAGTAGAGTGAGGTGAGGGGCTGAAAACAGGGGGATTGTTTGAAAATCTGTTGAAAATAAAATGCCGTTGTACAATCCAAGTACCACACTTCTCTACCCGACGTGCATTGAACTACCAGATGATAAAGCCTCTCTCTACCTTCAGTTGAAACAGGAGAAGTATTGGTTGGTGCAAAAGTAATTGTGGTTTTTGCCATTACTTTCAATGGCAAAAACCGAAATTACTTTTGCGCCAACTGAATATTATCTACAAAAGTTTCACTGGAAAATCCCAAGACTCAGAAACACCAGACAAGCGGAGATCAAGTATAAGACACTGCTCTGGTAATGGGAGGAATAAATGAGAATCTACACACACAATTTGAAAACTCTATGTCTCTTTGTTATACTCAGCTCCAAGCATGTCGGCAGAGATGGACAGAATAGAATACTCACCGGGCAAAAGATGAGAGTATTCTATTCTAGAGAAACTGATTACCTCTAGATAACAAGCCTACAGATAATGACATTTGTGGGTTTTGGAATAATTTTTTTGTGTTTTTACACAATTGTATTGCTATTAAGTTCACCAATCAATAAGTCACATCAATGTATACATAGCTTCTAATCATCTTCTTAATCACTTACTCTTAAATTTGATAGTTACTCAAGAATAACCAAATAATTAAGGAATGTCTAGAACATGAAAGAGAAGGAACAAACAAAGGCATTTTCATAGGAAACAGAAACAAGGCAGGCAACAGAAGAAAATGTTTTGGAAAATCCTCTAAGTAATTATTTCAAAGTAGGATATGAGGCTGCATCCAAGAAATAAGAAAATAACTCAAAAACAATGCATCAGAAAATGAAAAACATGATACCCAAACTGAAAATTTTAATAGGAGGTTTGGAAAATAAATTCAAAAAAATCTCCAAAACTGTTGAATAAAAAAAAAAACCTGTGAACAATACATGAGAAAAGAATTATAGAATTAAACTAAGAAGGCTAACATATGGCTAAAATTAGTTCCAGAAAGAACAGAAAACTGAAAGGGCAGAAATTATCAAAGAAATGATATATAACCACAAGACTGTCTTCCAGAACTAAAGAATATCAGTTCTCAAGTCGAAATAGGCCATGTGGGGGTCTGGGGGGAAAGGTGATGTACTTTGTAATTTCAGAATGCTGGAGGTAAGAAAAGTTAATGAAAGCCAGGTCCCAAAGAACTGATACAGCTTCAGAGATTGGCAAGCACGTTGACTGTTGATTTAAGGCTACTCTCATTTTAACTCTTGAACAAACCAATAAACAAGCAGTGCAAAGGTATATAGAAGACAAGGACACAAGTAAACAAACATTGCTCCACATGGCTTCCCTGGCTCTTCACAGAGGTACATTACAAGTTATGTGGTCAAGATGGCCCACATGGACTAAGGAGTAATCTGGTGAGATGAGCTCAGAAGTATAGCCTCATTGATGCTGCAATATTGGGCTAAGATAGAGCCATATGAGCACTCAAGAGTCCATAATTAGTAATTTAAACCATATGAAGGAAGTCTTGCTATGGGCCAGCCATGGTGGTTCACGCCTGTAATCCCAGCACTTTGCAGGGCCGAGGTGGGTGGATCACCAGAGGTTAGGAGTTCGAGACCAATCTGGCCAAAATGGCGAAATCTGATCTCTACTAAAATAACAGAAATTAGCCAGGCATGATGGCGTATGCCTGGGATCCCATGTACTTAGCAGGCTGAGGCAAGAGAATCACTTGAACCTGGGAGGCAGAGGTTGCAATGAGCTGGGAGCATGCCATTGCACTCCAGCTTGGGCCACAAGAGCGAAACTCTGTCTCAAAAAAACAAACAAAACATCTTACTATGTCATAATCCTACAATTATCTATTCTGTTTCCTGTTCCTCACTAGGCTAACATCTGTTCTGACCACATCCTTCCAAACCAATAAAGGCACAGGAACCAGCACGGCATCAGACATCTCAAAAACAATCTTGGGAAAAAAGGGGATTAAAGACAAACCTTCAATCTCCAAGGGAGATTGATTTCTGAGCTAGAATTCTGTAACAATCCTGACAGATAATAAAGTGTAAGGGTAAAATAAAGACATTTTTACGCATGTAGGCTCTCAAAAATTGTTTAATTTCTGTGAACCCTTTCTCAGGAAGCTAGAGGATGTATTCCACCAAGAAAATAAACGTTTTAGGATCTAAGGAGCAGGGGTTAGTACATAGCAAAACCAAAGAGATTTTCCAGGAAATGGTGAGGAATATCCTCAGGACAATAGTTGTACATACATCTGAGTGCAGGAACAGAAAGATATGGGAATAAAACAGAACTGATTGAATGCTTAACTAATCTTGCCTTGTAGAAAACAATATAACTTAAAATATTTAAAAATGTATTTTTAATTTCAGAAAAAGTAAAAGAAAGTACAACAAATGTAGTGTATGCATATTATATTATTTTGCTAAGCTCTCAGTATTATCGATATAGCTATAATATTATAAACATTATTGGGATAATGGGCAAGATATATAATATGTAAGGGCCAAATTCTTATCTTCTAAAATATGCATTAATCCTTTCATCCTGCCATATCATTTCTAGGAATATTTCCCAAAAGAAAATTGTTAAATTTTTAATAACTTATGGCCAAGGTTATTCACTTTGATATTATTTATAATAGCAAAAAGTGGATATGATTTGATGAATTTAATGGACAACTGACTCAGTAAACTATGGTACATTCCCACAATAAAATATAATGCAGTTATAGAAAAGGAATAAGGAAGATCTTTGTATATCAAGTGATCTCTTAGATATACTGTTAAATGGCAAAAGTCAAAATATACAATTGTGACTAATAAATGCAGAGCAAATAACTGAACTACTAAATCGCTACTTTGTAATTCCTAAAGAAATTTTTAAATCAAGTTAAAATCATCATCACATGAAACTGTTAGAAAAAGGTTTTAAATGGAATTTTAAAGTAGAGACATTAGGTTGTCATCCCCTGAATCCAAATTTTAGTCATAACATCTACTGAGAATAGGAGGACCAAACATTATCCAGACCTGATGTTCTTCTGGAGGTCTGACAGGAAATCTTAAGTCATCATCTTACATTCGATTTTTTTTAACTCTTCTTATTTATCTTAACAAATGCCCATAATTGGTACATTCTACTCCATAACATATGCACTTATTGCACTTATTTTGATACAACACTATCAATGTTTTAATTATATGCCACTGAGCAAAATTGATGCTCTAGAAATATGTACCTTATATCTTCTGTAGTTTCATGTAGTTTCCTCCTTTCTTGCTTAAAGATTTTCACCATAACCTCTGTGTGTGTGTGTGTGTGTGTGTGTGTGAGAGAGAGAGAGAGAGAGAGAGAGAGAGAGAGAGGCAACATTTTCACAAAGTTTGGTGGTTAAGGCAGAAGAATCGCTTGAACCTGGGAGGCGGAGGTTTCAGTGAACCAAGATCATGTCACTGCACTCCAGCCTGGGCGACAGAGTGAGACTCCATCTCAAAAATAAAATAAAATAAAATAAAATAAAATAAATAAAGATAGAAAAAAGAAAAAAATTAAAAGAATGTCTAAGATGATACTAGGAATGTCTTTCTTTGGTCGGTTTTATTTGAAAATAGAAGAGACATAATTAGGATTGTTGGCAAGTGAAGAAAGGCTAAGTGGAAGAGTATGGATTGAAGATGATAGAATGAAATAATGTTTGATGGATCAGTACAAAAAATAGAAGAGGAGAAAGGGAAGAGAACACAAAAAAACACTGCAGAAAATACAGTAGCTCAGTGAACTATGGCATACAATATTCAGTCAAATTAACATCAACTCAAAATAGGTGGGACTCACTTCCATATCCAACTCCAAATTTCTCCAGTGAATTTATCTCACTTTCTAGACTGTCCTAGTATGTTAGATACTATCCTTTGAATACAAGTGAAATTTTAATTCCTCTGCTTACTATGTACTAGGCACAGTTCTAAGTGCCTAAATGTATTACCTCAAGCAATCCCTTGAGTGGTATGGAGCAGGATATACATCTTCATTCCACAGATCGATAACTGAAATACAGAAAGGCTAAGTAACTTGCATAAGTCAGACATCTAGTAAGTTGTAGAGTCAGGAATCAAACATAGGGATTCTAATTCCACAACCTGCATGCTTAATCAACTCTAATATAAGCAGTCAGGTTTGATTCCTTATGGATTTCCATTGTTAAAACTGTATAATAATATTCTCTTTTCTGACTTTTAACACGTCTTTAAAATAACAGCAAACTGAAGCAACTTCAAAAGTAGAATAAAAAACATTTTTAAAGAAGAGAATAATAAAAACAGGTATTCTTTGTATAGAACAGAAGATTTCTAAGATAAAAACAATACTATTCATTCATGCAGTAATTTACCAATATAAATATCACTAGTTAATCTTAAAGTTATGCAAGATGACTGGTCAAGGTCCTAAATGATCCATGGAAAATTAGTTTCACATATAAATTCAATTGTGTTAATAGTGGTTATTAATCAATGTCAACAACAGCAAGTAAAATAAGATTGGTTACTTCTATTAATAAGTGAACAAAATTGGTGTCTTCTGTGACTCAGCAAAGGTTATGTTAAACATTAAACTGCAAAAACTTTTTATCATATTATGCATAGTTTTTCATCTTATTGGCCCTGACATGTAATGATAAAAGGGCTGAGATTTATAACTAAATATGTGCTGGATGTAGTAAATATTCTGCTCTAAAATCCTTATAGCACTTATAGCTACTGGGTATTATTAGAGCAACTGGACATTATTATAATGGTTTAATTAAATGGTTTAATTGCATTCTGGACATTTTCCCATTTGCACAAAAATAAATCTCTTTTTTTAGTTCCTTCTGTTCTTAGTATATGTACCAAAAACTAAATTACTTAATTGGTTGAAAAAAACACAGGAACTTTTCATTTCCTTTTAAATAGAATAAAATGCTCATATGTTCTATAATGGTGCTAACAGCTAAATCTCTTAAGAATAATATATTCAAACTGATATTTAACTTGGCAATTAAGGAAATTATCTTAGTTTCATGTTCTGTTTACACTAGGAAGTTCGTATTTAGGTTAACTGAGGGTTGATATTTTAAATGGTGGCAAATTTCCAGAGTCAAATGGAATCTCTCATGCAAGACATAATTCAAGCTAGAATTGACTGCCTTCAGGCAGACAACACTTCTACCAAAAGTCACCAACATCTTGACTCAATATATAAATATTGAGGCATCACAGGGCTGTTGAGGCAACCAAGACTTGCAAAACTAATATATCAAAGAAAAGAGAGCCATAGAATGGTGAACCAATATTTTGTGAGTCATTTTTCCCCTATAAGTATTTGTATATCTTGGATCTCACTCAGAGACTGTGAATCCAGGCAGAAAGCCATAGTGATAGGGTAGAGATGCCAGCAGAGCACAATCTCACAAGACTAGAGAGACAAATGTCAGGAGGTCCAGGCCCTATGATTAAAGGGGCTGAGATCCAGTGAGATGGGAGTCACAGAGTGAACAAATCCAATTCTCAGTGGTTTCCCCCTCTAGACATTTTCCCTATTCTTAAGCTTCTCAGAGAAAACAGCTAAAATGCTAAGCAGAAAACCACTGGAAAGCAAAATGAAGTTAGAATTAGTAAGATTAGTAAGCTCACCGGATACAAGGTTTGTCACTGTATTCCTATGTTATGGGCTGAATTACGTCACCAAAATTTATATGTTGAAGTCCTAACACCTGATACCTCAGAATATGACTATTTGGACATATGGTCTTTAAGGGGTTAAGTTAAAATGAGGTTATTACTGTGGATACTAATCCAATATGACTGGTGTCCTTATAAGAAGAGATTTGGACACAGAGAAGGAAGACAATGAGAAGACACAAAGAGAAAGCAGCCATCCAAACCAAGCATAGAAGCCTCAGAAGATACCAACCTTACCAACACCTTGTTCTCAAATTTCTAGCCTCCAGAATTATGATAAAATAAATTTTTGTTTTTTACAAACAACCCCATCAAAAAGTGGGCCAAGGATATGAACAGACACTTCTCAAAAGAAGACATTTATGCAGCCAAAAAACACATGAAAAAAATGCTCGTCATCACTGGCCATCAGAGAAATGCAAATCAAAACCACAATGAGATACCATCTCACACCAGTTAGAATGGCGATCGTTAAAAAGTCAGGAAACAACAGGTGCTGGAGAGGATGTGGAGAAATAGGAACACTTTTACACTGTTGGTGGGACTGTAAACTAGTTCAAACATTGTGGAAGTCAGTGTGGTGATTCCTCAGGGATCTAGAAATACCATTTGACCCAGCCATCCCATTACTGGGTATATACCCAAAGGATTATAAATCATGCTGCTATAAAGACACATGCACACATATGTTTATTGCAGCACTATTCACAATAGCAAAGACTTGGAACCAACCCAAATGTCCAACAACGATAGACTGGATTAAGAAAATGTGGCACATATACACCATGGAATACTATGCAGCCATAAAAAATGAAGAGTTCATGTCCTTTGTAGGGACATGGATGAAACTGGAAACCATCATTCTCAGCAAACTATCGCAAGGACAAAAAACCAAACACTGCATGTTCTCACTTATAGGTGGGAGTTGAACAATGAGAACACATGGACACAGGAAGGGGAACAACACACTCCAGGGACTGTTGTGGGGTGGGGGGAGGGGGGAGATATACCTAATGCTAAATGACAAGTTAATGGGTGCAGCACACCAACATGGCACATGTATACATATGTAACAAACCTGCACATTGTGCACATGTACCCTAAAACTTAAAGTATAATAATAAAAAAATTAAAAAAAAAAATTTTTGTTTTTTTAAACCCCCAATCTATGGTACTTTGTTACAGCAGCCCTAGCAAACTATGTCCTATAAACCATCAATGATTAGAAATACTAAATTTTAAATGAATAATACTTCAATAACACAGATAGTCATCAAAACTAAGAAATAAAATAATTAAAACATTCTATAGTTGAACTTTATCCCACTAACTAAAAAATACTCCTTAGAATCCTGCATTTTGGGGGCATTTCATAATTCCAGGAGCAGTCCTATGTAGCATATCTTAAGGTTCCATTCCTCCAGAAGTTCTGAGTCACAGAAAAACTGAAGTTATTTCTATAATGTCAGAGTTTCAAGCTTCTCTTCCTCAATTAACTGACAAACAGTGATGACTGTACAATTCTCCAATGGTACTTTAATAGGAAAGGCCATTGACTAAATGTATAGTTCTTAACAAGATTAAAAAGCAAAAAAATGGATGAAAGCATTAAAAGGAAATACAGAAAAACATTTTTAGCATTGTTTCATAAGGACCATCTTCAGAGGCAAGAAATAAAACAAAGCCATTATGAAATATATTGACATATTTGACTTCATGATGATTAATATTCTCTGTGTAGCAAAAGACACCATAACTGTCATTAAAAGACAAATGAGAGACTGGAAACAAACTATTTGCTATAAACCCAAGGAGGTTCAATGAATGACTAAGGGGACTCAATTTTCTATCTCAGAAACAGTATATGTAAAAAAGGCATTAATATTGATAGAAGTACATCATAAGCACTGGGAACACAAAGGAAAATGAGGCAGAGTTATTGCCATCTAGGAGCCCATAATGCAGTGGCAGAACGTTTGAGTAAACGAACTGTTACCAGAGAAAGTGGACTGCTATAATGAAGTTTTACACAGAAAGGTACTTTGAAGTGAGAGGACCTAATATCAGTTAGGGTCAGTGAGATGTGACATAGAGAAGAAAACAAAACGTGATGGGTGAGCAGTGATGCTGCAAAGAAAAGGAAACGTGTCAACAATTTCTCAAAAGCAGAAGCAAAAACTAGGCAGACAAGAAATTGGAAGGAGTCTGGGACAAGGTAATGATGTATGAGGTGGGCAAGAAAAAACATTTTAGGCAGAGAAATTCTACACATGTTGAATTTCTACAATTTTAGTTTATGCATAGTTTTCTTAAGTTTCCTCTGAAAACCCACACATTTCTACATGTGTAGTAGAACTTCTACATATGTAAAAGTGTTTGGGTTTTCAGAGGAAACTTAAGAAAACTATGCATAAATTAAAACTGCCATCCACAAAGAAAGCAAATTTCCATATCCTGATTGTAGGAGTATGGGCATTCGGCATTGTACCACGCCACTGGTGGTGAGCAGTAGGGTCTGATGGCTACTTTGCATATGCCTGAGATGGGCTGACTCAGGCAGGTCACAAATTGATGAGGGTTAATTTCTGATATAACTTCAAGTTCATGAAGTCATTATGTCTGATGTTACATTTCTTTTTGCTCAAGTACTGACCCATTACCTGTCTCCTTAAATCTTTAGCTCCTGCTCTCTTTTCATAAATGAAGTCTCAATACTACGCCATTTACCATATGCCTGGAATCCACATCCCTGTCAGAGTAGATTATTCTTTCAAATAACCACAGCAATACTAGCTTGTTTATATAAATGCAACAAGCTGCATTAGAAAAACAGGAGGATAGCAATTATAGAATCTTTCTCTTCATTTTGTTTCAAAATAAGTGACTCAGCCTATCCAATATGTGGACCCCGGAAAAACACAATGAGTCATTGGTGACTATCCAATGGAGACCATTAAGCTGTCAGCACCTCCTCCTACCATTCTCTGCTGGTATGAAGTTCTCTAAAGTTAAATTCAACATTATGGAATCCCAGTTATTTTGTGGAATCTAATTATAATTGCTGACCAACAGATTAACAACCATGCAAGCCCTCTGCAAACATAGCTAAATTATGGCTGCTACCAAATTTTTATTGGATTAAATTATCTATGACATTTTCTAAATTTTGCATCTATGCCATGAAAGAAATAGTAATTAGAAGACCATTAAATCTTAAAATGACCTAAATTATTGGTAAAAACTTAAAGAACAAAAATTGATTCAGTCAAGAAATATTTGTGAATTTCCTTCAAATTGTTAAAAAATAAATACCCTAGAATAGATATTACCTATAAGAATAATAAACAAAGTTCAAATAGACTTTCTCTTTTCTAAAAACACAATCAATTTCTTAACATTATATATGTAAAGAATTGAAGTTGGCTAAATTTTACACTTTTAAAATGTAAATGTTTTATTTTGATTTATAATCAAAATATTATGTGTGCTCAAGCATGTGTTGTCTGCAAAGAATACAATGCCCAAATAAAAAATACAATTCACCAAATGTTACATTATCTTACCTTTATTTCACAGATAGAGCTAAATATTGTCAAATTAACATGCTCAAAAGTAAAATATGGCATGCCAATTTGACTTATCATTCCCCATCAAAAAATGAATGATGAATATCAGTTTTAAAGCATCTTAACTCATTTGCATGATACTGTGTTTAGTTTCTCTTAATTTGCTTTATGCTGTGATTTTATGTCTGCTAGAGCTATGAATTGAGTTAAATATCTAGATATGGATTTTGTAGGAATTTAATCTTCACCAAGTCAATTTTCCAAATCAAATCAACTCCAACATATCGGAGTATGTACATTTAAAGACTGGTCATATTGACAAGAACAGAAGCATTTTGTTGCTTCTAATTCATATATGTTGTTAGCACCCGTGAATTTAAACTCAGATAAACATATGGTCAAATAAAAACATAATTTGACAAATATCATAAGGATAATAAACATTTTTATGTCAATGTACTGTAAATACATTAAGAGGATTTTCAGACATTCGAAATTCATTTTCAAAGTGAATGAGTTACCGTTTTTGCCTAGGGAAATATACTAAGTCTATAGAGAAATACAAGCAAACAACTCCATTCTGTTTGTGCCCAGAATAAATGACAGAGCTTATATTTTCTAATTCATTTTGTCTCTGTAGCATTAAAGCAAGCATTTTAAAATGGCTCCATCCTTACCCTTACAAAGAGAGCAGACATATTTTCCATAAATTAATGATGATCAATTTTAAATGTATCCTCAGTATTTTTAACTACTTTAGTGTCTCTAGTTAACTTTTCTCGTTTTTATAACAAGTATTTAAAGCTAATTGCACTTTTCCCAAACATCCAACCCCTCTCCCCACCTTGCTTCTCTTTATCTTAGCAGATAATCTCACCACTTGTTTTCTGAGAAAAACTGAGCCATTTGATGGGTATTCCTTGGTTTTTAAACATACGATCTACCTGTGTCAACACCTATTCTATTTCATCTCCTCCTGTTGCAATTAAAGACATTTCCTTCCAGCTCTCCAAAGCCAATGCCTCTATGTTTAGATCTCCACCATTACCATATTTTCACAAATACACACTTGAAAATATGTATGTATTCTCTTCTCCCTGCCTTTCAACTTGTGCTCTCAATTTGATTCTTCCCCTCAAGTTTTTGAGTACTCTTCTATTAAAAAATAAAACTAATAAAAACCAAAACTGTCCCCTGATCCCACACTCCCTTTATCTCCATCACAGCCAACATTCCTGTAAGAATTGTCTACTCACCACTGTCTCTATTTCCTCATATCCCACTCCTTCTTCAACCACTCCAACTTGACTCCTTCATACATCATTCCATCAAAAAAGCACCCCTAAACTCACTAATCAGCTCCAGAAAGTTTAGTCAAAAGGGTACTTTTTGGTCTTTATCTTACTTGATTCAACATTTGTATTAGTCAGAGTTATTCAGAGAAACAGGTAAATAGGATAGATAGATAGATAGATAGATAGATAGATAGATAGATAGACAGATAGATGGAGATAGAGATTTATTATGGAAATTGGCTCATACAATTATGGAGACTGAGAAGTTCCCATGATATGCTGTCTACAAACCGGATAACCAGGAAAGCCAGTGATGTGATTCCATGAGAACCAGGGAGTCTGATGGTGTAACTCCCAGTTTGAGGCTGAAGGACTGAGAACCAGGATCAGGGTTGTCGGGGTAGTGGAGCCAGAATGTTCTGTAAGTCCTACAGTTTAAAGGCCTGAGAATCAAGAGCTCCAAAGTCCAAGAGCAGCAGAAGATGGATGTACAAGCTTAAGAGAGGGGAGAATTTGCCTTTCCTCAGCCTGTTTGTTCTATTCCTGACCCTCAATGTATTGGCCGATTCTCATTCACATTGGTGAGGATGAATCTTCTTTACTCAGTCTACTGATTCAAATGCTAATCTCGGCCAGAAACACCTTTATAGATGCTCCCAGAAATAATGTTTGACAAGCTATCTGGACATCCCTCAGCCCTGTCAAGTTGACACATAAAATTAACTGTCATGACATTTAATAATTATTTACTGAGCACTCATTGTGTTTGAGGAACATATACTTGGGACATATCAGAGAACAAAGTAAAGATCCCTTGCGGAGCTTATATTCTTAAATAAGACTCAGCAGTATGAAGGCTCTTGACCACTCACTTCTACTTGAAGCGTTTTCTTTCCTTTGTTTCCTTGAAACAACAATCAGCTGGTTTTCCTTCTGTTATATTTGCCATTTCTCCTCTGGTTTATTCTATTTTAGCAGACCATAAAAATTTGAAGTTCCTCAAATTTCTGTCTTAGACTATCTTCTCTTCTTATGTTCATGATAGCCACCTCTCTGAAATCTGAAACCAATTGTCTACTTGACATTTCTCTTAAATTATCAAAATTACTTCATATTCAACAAATCAAAAATTTAATTCATGTTATTTTCTCCCAAATCAGTGTTTCCTAGCTCAGAGAATGGGACCACCATATATTTATACTATATTATTGTGTATTATCTTCCTTTCCAAATCTAACATGAAGTCCTTTCAATTTTATTTACCAAATATCTCTTTTTTCCAATCTCTACTGCACTCAATCTAGCCCTGGTGAGAATGACTCTCTCCTGGGTTAATACCATAATCTTTCCTCAGTCTTCTTGCATCCTCCCTTATGCCTGTTTCTGTTTGAAGCCAGAGAAATCTTTTGAAAAAGAATAATTATGTCTAAGATCATTTATTAAGATAAAGTGAAATGCAAGGATTTGTGGGTTTCTCAGACACTCCCCATTCTCCAACATTATCTCACACCATCCTCAACCTCATTCTCTTCCACATATAGTGGCTTATATTTGCTCTTCTGTGCTTACTATATTACAAACCATCACAAAGCATTTATACATACTGTTTACTTAACCTGGAAAATACTCCCTCATGGGTGTCCCCCAGATCTCTATTCAATCTACTTTCTTAAGGAAACCTCTCCTGAATGTTTTGATTATGTAAAATTTTTCTACTTTTATCTCTCCTCTCCATCACAGTACTTCTGTGAAAATTTTAATTTGTGACATTTGCTAATTAATATTATTTGTCTCTCCCACTACAGCACATGCAGCATGATGTCAAACACTGCATTTGTATATTTTCACCATTGGATCCCCAGCACCTAACTTGGTACCTATAGTGTAGTAGATTCTCAATAAATTATTGATTTAATTAATACATACAAAGAACTACTGTTACTGGTTTAATTGCATCCCTCAAAAATATATATGTTGAAGTCCTAATCTCAAGGCCTCAGAATGTGGCCTTATTTGGACATAGAATCTTTTCAGGGCAATCAAGTTAAAATGAATTCATTAGAGGGGTCTCTAATCCAATATTACTGGTGTTCTCATAAAAAGGGAAAATTTGGACACAGAGACATACATACAGGGAAGATGATGTGAAAATATATAGGGAGAAGACGGCCATGTACAACCCAATGAGAGAGGACTGGAATAGATTCTTCCCTCAGAAGGAACCAACATCTCAATTTTGGACTTCTAGCCTTCAGAACTGTGACACAATACATTTCTGTTGTTTTAGCCACCCAATCTGTGGTACTTAGTTACAGCAGCCCTAGCAAACTGATAAAACTACTTACTAATTATAAAAACATTGTGCATATGTCATCCTAGGTATTAGAATTGAAAAATCTGTGTATATATACACATGTTTGTGTTAAGTGTTAGAAAAATCTTATAGACTTCTACTCTATCTATATTTTAAGAGCTACTCAGTCTTTTTTCCAATTCACATTTTGGGCTTACCTCATGATATTCCAAATTTATAAATGAACCCATGCCCAAGTAACATGTATTTTAAACATCCCTGGTGCCAGTTATTTCATACCCTGAAGTATAAGAAATATTTCACTATTCTGAAAGCTAATAATGAGTTGTAGTTTAAGATTTGGTGGTGAGCGCCTGTAATTCCAGCTACTCGGGAGGCTGAGGCAGGAGAATTGCTTGAACCCGGGTGGTGGAGATTGCCGTAAGCTGAGATCGCACCATTGCACTCCAGCCCTGGTGACAAGAGCAAAACTCCATCTCTAAATAAATAAATAAATAAAATATATTTACCATTGCTCTACAGTCTTAAGATGCAGCCATGCCACTACAAGCTTCTACAATCTTCTCAACAAGAGAAGCCCTAAAGAGATATATTTCACTTTTGCTCACATTTCATTAACCACAACTGGCCACATAGTCACATGGTTGTACTTATCATCAAGGAAATGGAGAGTTTAATTCTCCAAATACCCAGAAATAGAGGAGAATTGAACATTATTAATGCCTACTACAAATCTACTGTGATAGTTAAAATTAGGAAACTTGCTAGGGTAGATCAAATAGCTCCTAATAAGTTCTGCTTCTAAGAGGGAGATTTTAGGTTGGTGACTTGGGCTCAACACCAGATCTGAGAGTTCCAGGAGAAGAAATGGTTCTAACACTGCATATTACTGAAGCTAGAATCCCTTCCCACTCCAGTTACCTTAGCCTTGTAATCTTGCTATGGGAAGGATACTCAACCATGTGCATATAAAGTAAAAGAGCTGTGATCTTGCAGCACAAGCACGGAACATCACTGTGGTACCAGCAGATATCTAGGTTAGCAAATACCTCACCACAAGAGTAGGCAAACATTCATCAGTTAAATACTCACTAAATATCTAGTGAGTGCCTATGTCAGCCAGTTAGGTTCTGGAGAAGTGATGCAGCAACAGAAACATTCTCTGTTATCATGGAGCTTAGAGTCTAGTACAGAATTCAGCCAAAATCACACTAACAGATGAATAATTTAAAACAGAATGAATACGCTGAAGGAACAACTCCATGATTTCTTTTTACAAAGAACCTGACCTCCACAGTGTTAGGCCCACTCCCAACCTTTGCAAGAGTCAGGACAAAAGTACAAAACCCAGGCCCAATTGCCATACATCTCAATCTTTATTAAACCAAGCAAACTATTAAATAGCATATTTATGTTTTCATACACTGACAAGTATGCCTTTATGATGACAGAATTAAAAATTATATGTAAAGTTCTTGCTTGAATATGACTAAAAGCAGGCAAAATATCAAGATGACTGAATTTGTTGTTGCATATATCTAGATGCTCTATTGATAGGCCTGCAATGTTTGGATGACTAATAAGATAGCAGAACATATAATTGATAAATTATTACATATTCATTCTATAACATTCATTTTCTTGTCTTCCTTAAACCAAATTCACTGGTTGTGTTGTTGAAACAAATTTTTTATGTAATTTTGGTTCTATTGACAATTATGAGCTAATTTAATGTATTTGCATTAAAACAAAGTAAAATAACATAAAACGTTAAACATTGAAAAATTAAAATTATTTTTCTTATATGTTCTTCAGAGTATTTTTTCTTCTGAAATATTCAAATTACCATTAAAATTAAAGAGTAAATATTATTAAATTGTATTATTAAATGATTAAATATCAAATATTTAAACAAAAATATTTAAATAAAACTGAAATGTTTTTATTTTAACTTAATTAAATTATATTACATAATTTATAAAATTTAAAAACTATTTTAATATTCAATACTCCTAGTTACCAACATAAAAAATCTATATCTACTTCCTCTGTATCTGGATCTACCTATATGCAAAATAAGAATAATATGAACTGTTTGACATTGCAAAATCTTCCTCAGTCACCATTTGCAACTTTTGCAAATACAGTGCCAATTCACGAGTACTTCTAAACCATAAATTGGAACATCATGAGAAACAAACAAAAATAGATGCTGTGCACTACTGGGAAATGATACTTCATTATGTAAGAATCTATTGCATTCACAGAATCTGAGAGGAAAAATTTGACAAGTGAATTAATTTGACTTTTTTCTTACCTAAGAACTTCCATGGCTCAAATTCTTTCCACATTTCCTAGCTTTTTCCATCTTCAATATAAAGAGCAACACAACCTACCAACTTTCACAATATGAATTAAAACCTTTTATTTCAGGAACATAGGGCAAGATTTTGGAAGGATCATTTCCTGGGTACTAATTGGTGTTGGTTAATTAGACCTGATATTTATGATTATAGGTGGTGCTGTACTAATGTTGAGTGCAGGATAAGACCACAAATGACAGAGGGGCTTGGTTGTTTTTTTTTTTTTTTTTTTTTTTTTTTTTTTTTTTTGTGTGTGTGTGTGTGTGTGTGTGTGTGTTTGATACAAAGGTCCTCTCAAATATGAGGCCAGGGCAGGGGCCCTTGTTGTTTGTATTTAAGGGGAAGAAAGCCAGAGAATGAATGTGAAATCCTGCCTTAGAAAGCTGTACCTAAGACTGAAGTGTGAAGAATAACTAGGAGTTAACCATGCAAAGATGTGATGGGAGGGAGGTGAATAGGAATGACTCAGAGGGAACAGCATATTCTCTGTGGCAGGAAAGCTCACCGTTTGCTCAAAGAATTCAAAAAAGACCAGGGACTGGGAGCAAGGGGAAAGAGGAGCTTAGCAAGAGATAGGCAGGGCCAGTCTTAAATGTCCAGAGGCAGCTAATGCTACAAAGGTACTAGTAGCTATATCAGATTTTCCAATTATCTCTGAGTCTAGCATTTATAAAGCAAGACTAAACAAATCTCTGGGTTTTTTAGACATTTAAAAAATGGAGGAAAAGTTCTCAAAATATAGATAATAGATTTCTCTCTAGTAAAGTGACAGGGCTTAGAGTGATTAATTTGAAGAATTTAAAGGCCATAATTGTGTTCTCAGCTAGTGAAGTGGTTCATGATGAGTTCAGATATTTATGCTAAGATTTCTCACAAATCCCAAAAGATTATTACATAAAAATGTTCAACACAGTGCTGTTTATAATGTTGATAAGCCTAGAAATAACCTAAATATCAACAGAACTTTGAATGTTGGATAGTTTTAAAACGTAATACTATGTGATCATTAAAATAAGTGATTTTCTTTAAATTTACTAACATGTAAAGATCTCTGTGATATCTTGATCAGTATAGATAAATAAATGTATGTACAATAACTTCCATTTATATTACATTTTGTGTGTGTAGTGTGTGCATGCATGTGCAGACAGAGAGAGATATTTGGAGAGATGTTGTCTCCTATGGTGAATATGATTTTTGTTCTATTACATTATATAATTAGTTACTATTGATTTACTGATATAGGGGAACACTTGATTTTTGCAGATTGTGGTTGTATGAGAAAACTTACTGAGCTCACTTGTATTGATGTGACCAGACCGCAAGTCTATTGTAATGCAATAGACTCAAAGGTAGTGAACATTCTTGTCTCACTTCAGCGAGAATACTTTTGAGAAATATACTTGTTATAGATTTTTGATAACCTTCTTAGGTGAAGGAACTCCTTTCTATACTTAGTTAGCTAATTTTTTAAATCATGAAGATAATTTTTATTAAAAGCTTTTTTAAATTAATTGAAAAAATTATATGAATGATTTCTCCTTCAATGTGTAAGTGATTATATTACATTAGTAGACTTTTCAGAGGTAAAACTTCTTGTAATCCCCTAGATAAGCCCTATTCACTTGCGATATGTATTCTTTTACATATTGGATTTGACATGGAAATAAAATTGGCTTAAAATTTTCTTTACTTGAACTGCCTTGGTCTAGGTTTGGTATTAAGATTATACAAGGCTTGCAAATGAATCTGAGAGTTTTTCGTCTGTTTATTTACTGAAATAGTTTATATAAGTTGAAGATTAATGACTTGAATGTTTGGTAAAACTAGTGTATGAAGCCTCTTCCTGGGTTAGGTTTCTTGGTAGAGGACAGGAAGTCTTGATTTCTTATTCATTCTTTAATGATTATTTTATACAGTTCTTTATTTCTTCCTAAATCAATTTTAGAAGTATGTATTTCTAAATTTGGATAAGGTTACTGTTTTCATCTAAACTTTCAAATGTATTGAATTACAGTAACAGGAGTAATATCCTCTTTTAATCTTTGATGTATCTGTCCGTATGTCCCCTTTATTATTCCTGATTTTATTTATTTGTGTTCTTTCTCTTTTTATTGTCCAATCTTATTTTGATTTTTATTATGAAAAATTATAGATTATTTTTTAAAATAGAGAAAATGGTATAATGACTCCCATGAACCACCACCATCTCCAATAATTAACAATTAATTCCTGATTATATTCTATGTATACCTCATACTACCTTCTACCCATAAACTAATAATTGCACCATTTCATCTATGTATATATAGTTCAGTATGTATGTTTAAAAGCTAAGGAATAATATTAAAAATGTAACAATATCATTATCACACCTAAACAAATTAAATATAATTATATTTAAATATAAAGTCAGATCTCAAATTTTCTTGTTTCATAAAAACATTTTTGCAATTCTTAGTTCAAATCAGGATCCAAACAAAGTCAATAGAAAAATGGACAAAGGCTATAAATAGGCACTTTATAGTAGGAGAATCCTTAAGCCCAGCAACCAATGGAAAAATTTTCAACATTAAAAGTAATCAGGGAAATACAAATTAAAGTCACAATAAATTATTTTATAATTTTATAAGTAACAGGAATTCTCATAACTGCTGGGGGGAATTTAAATTGGCAGAACCACTTTGGAGAGTAATTGGCACTATCTAGGAAAGTTAGCATCTACTAAACTTGAAGATGTGATCCCACTTCTAGGAATAAATTCTGGAGAAAATTTAGCATGATATAATAAGGTGACATATACAAAATATTCATTGTTGCATTTCAGTTTGTACAAGTAAGGTTTGTAAAAAAATTGTCAGTTGGGAGCAAGATGGCTGAATAGAAGCCTCCACCAACTGTCCCTGCCCCTGCAGAAACACGAAATTTTAACAACTACACACACAAAAGCATCATCATAAGAACCAAAAATCAAGTACACACTCACAGTATCTGGTCTTTAACTTTATATTGCTGAAAGAGGCACTGAAGAGGGTAGAAAAGACAGTCTTGAAACACTGACACCACTGCTTCCCTGTCCCCTAGCAGTGGCCGCATGGCACAGAGAGAGAATCTGTGGGCTTAGAGAAATAGCACAGTGACTGAGACTTGGCATTGAACTCTGTGCTGCCCTGTCATAGCAAAGAGCAAATTCATGCTGGGTTCAGCTGGTGCCTACCCACAGAGGGAACAATTTGGACCAGCCCTAGCCAGAGAGGAATCATCTATCCCAGTGGTCAGAACTTGAGTTTTAGTAAGCCTTGCCACTGCAGGCTAAAGTGGTTTTAGGTCCTGGGTAAACTTGAAAGGCAGTCTAGGACACAAGGACTGCATTTCTTAGGTAAGTCTTAGTGCTAGGCTGGTCTTGGAGCGCATGGACTAGGGTGACACATGACCTAGTGAGACTCCAGCTGAGAGAGCTAAGGCAATGTTTGCACCAACCCTTTCTCAATCCCAGGCAGTGCAGCTCAAAGCAACAAAAGTGACTCCTTCCTTCTCCCTGAGGTGAGGAGAGCAAAGAGTAAAGGGGACTTTGTCTCACATCTTGGATACCAGCTCACCCATAATATGATAGGGCACTGAGCAGAGTCATGAGTACCCCATTCCAGGCCCTAGTCTCCTGGATATTTCTAGACACACCCTGGGCTAGAAGGGGACAGCTGCCTTGAAGGAAAGGCCCCAGTCCTGGCAGGATTCATCACTTGCTGACTAAAAAGCACTTAGGTCCTGAATAACCAACAGTAATACTCAGGTAGTAAGCCATGGACCTTGGGTGAAATTCTGAGATGTGCTGGCTTCAGATGAGACTCCAGCATATTCCCACCTGTGGTGGCTGCAGTAAAAGACTCTGTCTACTTCAGAAAAGCAGAGGGAAGGGTAAAGGGAACTTTGTTTTGCATCTTAGGTACCAGCTCAGCCACAGAGAGGTAAAGCACCAAGTGGGCTCTTGGGGTCCCCGAGTTCAGGCCTAGGCTCTTGGACAGCATTTCTGGACCTGCCCTGGGCCAGAGGGGAACCCACTGCTGTGAAGGGTGAGTCCTATGCCTGGAAGTAGTCACCATAAGCTGACTTAAGAGCCCTTGGGCCTTAAGTGAATATCAGTGGTGCCTGGCAGAACTCCCAATGGGCTCTTGGTGGTGGTGGTGGTGGTGGCCACTGAGAGACGCCTGTGGAAAGGAAAAGGAAGAGTAGGAAGAACTTCATCTTGTAATTGGAGGGCCACCTTAGCTGCAGTAGAATAGAATACCAAGTAGATTTCTAAGGTTTTTTACTCCAATCCCTGGCTCCCAGACAGCATCTCTGGACCCATCTGGGGCCTGGGGGATCCCACTGCCCTGAAGGGATGGGCACAAACCTCACTTGCTTCTTTATCTGCTGATTATAGAGCCCTAGGGCCTTGAGTTAACATAGGCAATAGCCAGGTAGTGGTTACAGAGGGCCTTGGGTGAGACCTAGAACTGTGCTGGCTTCAGGTCTGATCCAGGAAAGTCCTCATGATGGTGGCACAGGGGTTCTTATGTCACCAACTCCCAACTCCCAGCTCCAAGCAGCTTAGCACAGAGAGACAGAATCCATTACCTAGGGAGAAAGTAAGGGAATAGAACAAGAGTCTTTGCCTGGTAATCTAGAGAATTCTTCTGGATCATATCCAAGACCACCAAGGTGGCACCTCTATGAGTCTGCAAGAACCATAGAGTTGTTGGGCTTGGAGCATAAGTTCTTTGAATATCTGGAAATTCGTCCCAAGAAAGAGAGGCAAAAACAAGCCCAGACTGCAAAAACTACAATAAATACTCTTCAATGCCCAGACATCAACAAATATCCATAAGCATCGAGACCATTCAGGAAGTGGAGGGTCCCTGGTGTCTTATTTAGTTCATTAGATGAGCATCATGACCTCACCAAATGGCTAAAGAAGATACCAGGGACCAATCCTGGAGAAACAGAGACATGTGACATTTCAGAAGGATAATGCAAAATAGCTGTTTTGAGGAAACTCAAAGAAATTCAAAATATCACAGAGAAGGAATTCAGAATTCTGTCAGATAAATTTAACAAAGATAATGAAATAAAAAGAATTAGAAACTCTAGAGCTGAAAAATTCAATTGACATACTGAAGAATGCATCAGAGCCTCTTAATAGCAGAATTGATCAAGCAGAAAAAAGAATTAGTGAGCTTGAAGACAAGCTATTTGAAAATACACAGTCAGAGAAGACAAAAGGAAAAACAATTTTAAAATATGAAGCATGCCACAAATACCTAGAAAATAGCCTCAAAGGGGCAAATCTAAGAGTTATTGGCCTTAAAGGGGAGACAGAGGAAGAGATAGGGGTAGAAAATTTATTTGAAGAGCTAACAACAGTGGACTTTTCAAACCTAGAGAAGGACCTCAACATCCAAGTACAAGAAGGTTATAGAACACCAAGCAGATTTAACCCAAAGAAGACTACCTCAAAGCAATTTAATAATCAAACTCCCAATGCCAAAGATAAAGGAAGGATCTTAAAAGCCACAAGAGAAAATAAACAAATAACATACAATGGAGTTCCAACATGTCTGGCCCAGACTTTTCAGTAAAAACCTTACAGGCCAGGAGAGCATGGCATGACATATTTAAAGTGCTGAAGGAAAAAAAGTTTTAGCCTAGAATAGTATATCTGGCAAAAATACACTTCAAGCATGAAGGAGAAATAAAGACTTTCCCAGATAAACAAAAGCTGAGAGATTTCATGAATACTAAACTTGTCTTTCAAGAAGAGAGTTCTTCAATCTGAAAGAAAAGAATGTTAAAGAGCAATAAGAAATCATCCGAAAGTACAAAACTCACTGGTAATAGTGAAAAAAAATAACTATGACTACTTTTTAAGACATAGTACAATAAGACATAAAGACAAACAATAGAAAGTTAAAAAATTGGAGGACAAAGTAAAAGTGTATAGTTTAGATTAGTTTTCTGTGTGTGTGTGTGTGTGTGTGTGTGTGTGTGTGTGTTGAGACAGAGTCTCACTCTGCCTCCCAGGCTGGAGTTCAGTGGTGCAATCTCAGCTCACTGCAAGCTCCACCTCCCTGGTTCATGCCATTCTCCTGCCTCAGCCTCCCGAGTAGCTGGAACTACAGCCACCCGCCACCACGCCCAGCTAATTTTTGTATTTTTAGTAGAGATGGGGTTTCACTGTGTTAGCCAGGACGGTCTAGATCTCCTGACCTTGTGTTCCGCCCGCCTTGGCCTCCCAAAGTGCTGGGATTATAGGTGTGAGCCACCGCGCCCAGCCTTGTGTGTTTATTTTTTATCCAATCCGTGTTAAGCTGTCATCACTTGAAAATAATGAGTTATGAGATAGTATTTGCAAGCCTCATGTTAACCTCAAATCAAAAACATACAACAAACAAAAAATAAGAAGCAAGGAATTGAAGGATACCACAAGAGAAAATCAACTTCACTAAAAACAAGAAAGAAAAAAGGAAGAGAAGACTACAAAACAACAAGGAAACAAGTAACAAAATGGCAAGAGCAAGTTCTTAGTTATCAATAATAATGCTGAATGTAAATGAACTATGCTGTCCAATAGAAAGACATAGAGTGGCTAAACAAATTTGAAAAAAAAAATTGATTTATTTCCTACAAGAAACTATGAAGATGAACATAGACTGAATATAAAGGGGTGGAAAAATATATTTCATGCCAAAGGAAACCAAAAAAAAAAAAAAGCAAGAGTAGCTATACTTACATTAGACAAAATAGATTTCAAGACAAAGACTATAAAAAGAGACAAAGAAGGACATTATATGATCATAAAGGGGTCAATTCAGCAAGAGGATAGAACAATTGTAAATATATATGCACCCAACACTGCACTATCCACATATATAAAGCAAATATTATTAGAGCTGAAGAGAGAGATAGGCCTCAATACAATAATGACTGGAGACTTCAACACCCTACTTTCAACATAGGGCAGATCTTCCAGACACAAAACCAACAAAGACACATTGGACTTAATCTGCACCATAGACCCAATGGACCTAATAGTTATTTACAGAATATTTCATCCAAAAGTTGCAAATATACATTCTTTACCTCAGCACATGGATCATTCTCAAGGTTAGACTGTATATTAGGTAACAAAACAAGTCTTAAAACCTTCAAAAAATTGAAATAATATCAAGCATCTTTTCTGACCACAGTATAATAAAACTAGAAACAAATAACAAGAGGAATTTAAGAAACTATACAAACACATGGAAATTAAACAACATGCTCCTGAATTACCAGCGGGTTAATGAATAGATTAAAAAGGAAATTAAAAAATGTTTTGAAACATGATAATGAAAACACAACATACCAAAACCTACGGGATACAATGAAAGCAGTACTGAGAGGGGAATTTATAGCTATAAGTGCCTACATCAGAAAAGAAGAAACACTTGAAATAAATAACCTAATGATGCATCTCAAAAAACTAGAAAAGCAAAAGCAAACCAAGCCCCAAATTAATAGAAGTAAATAGATAATAAAAGTCAGAGCAGAAGTAAATGAAACAAGGAATACAACAAAAAACATCAATGAAACAAAAAGTTGCTTCTTTGAAAAGTTAAACAGAAGCAACAAACCTTTAGGTAGACTAAGAAAAAAGAGAGAGAAGATCCAAATAATAAAATCAGAGATAAAAAAGGAGACATTATAAATAAAACCACAGACATTCAAAGAATCATTAGTGGCTACTATCAGCAACTATATTTCAATAAAATGGAAAATCTAGAAGAAGTGGATAAATTCCTAGACACATACAATCTACTAAGATTCAATCAGAAAGAAATCCAAAACCCGAACAGACCAATAACAGGTAACAAGATAGAAGCTGTAATAAAACATCTCCTAGTAAAGAAAAGCCTGGGACCCAATGACTTCACTGCTGAATTCTACCAAACATTTAAAGAAGAACTAATACCAATTCTACTCAAACTGTTCCAAAAAATAGAGGAGGAAGAAATACTTCCAAATTCATTCTATTGGGCCAGTATTATTCTGATAGAAAAGTCTGACAAAGACGTAAGGAAGGGATCCAGTTTCAGCTTTCTATATATGGCTAGCCAGTTTTCCCAGCACCATTTATTACATAGGGAATCCTTTCCCCATTGCTTGTTTTTCTCAGGTTTGTCAAAGATCAGATAGTTGTACATATGTGGCGTTATTTCTGAGGGCTCTGTTCTGTTTCATTGATCTATATCTCTGTTTTGGTACCAGTACCATGCTGTTTTGGTTACTGTAGCCTTGTAGTACAGTTTGAAGTCAGGTAGCGTGAAGCCTCCAGCTTTTTTCTTTTGGCTTAGGATTGACTTGGCGATGCAGGCTCTTTTTTGGTTCCATATGAACTTTAAAGAAGTTTTTTCCAATTCTGTGAAGCAAGTCATTGGCAGCTTCATGGGTATGGCATTGAATCTATAAATTACCTTGGGCAGTATGGCCATTTTCACGATATCGATTCTTCCTACCCATGAGCATGGAATGTTCTTCCATTTGTTTGTATCCTCTTTTATTTCATTGAGCAGTGGTTTGTAGTTCTCCTTGAAGAGGTCCTTCATGTCCCTTGTAACTTGGATTCCTAAGTAAAGACTTAAACGTTAGACCTAAAACCATAAAAACCCTAGAAGAAAACCTAGCCATTACCATTCA
Source organism: Homo sapiens (assembly GCF_000001405.40). NCBI lineage: Eukaryota > Metazoa > Chordata > Mammalia > Primates > Hominidae > Homo > Homo sapiens. Next base: position 180,640,968 of record NC_000002.12, read on the forward strand.
GGATATAGGCATGGGCAAGGACTTCATGTCTAAAACACCAAAAGCAATGGCAACAAAAGCCAAAATTGACAAATGGGATCTAATTAAACTCAAGAGCTTCTGCACAGCAAAAGAAACTACCATCAGAGTGAACAGGCAACCTACAAAATGGAAGAAAATTTTCGCAACCTACTCATCTGACAAAGGGCTAATATCCAGTATCTACAATGAACTCAAACAAATTTACAAGAAAAAAACAAACAACCCCATCAAAAAGTGGGCAAAGGACATGAACAGACACTTCTCAAAAGAAGATATTTATGCAGCCACAAAACACATGAAAAAATGCTCACCATCACTGGCTATCAGAGAAACGCAAATCAAAACCACAATGAGATACCATCTCACACCAGTTAGAATGGCAATCGTTAAAAAGTCAGGAAACAACAGGTGCTGGAGAGGATGTGGAGAAATAGGAACACTTTTACACTGTTGGTGGGACTGTAAACTAGTTCAACCATTGTGGAAGTCAGTGTGGCGATTCCTCAGGGATCTAGAACTAGAAATACCACTTGACCCAGCCATCCCATTACTGGGTATATACCCAAAGGACTATAAATCATGCTGCTATAAAGACACATGCACACGTATGTTTACTGCGGCACTATTCACAATAGCAAATACTTGGAACCAACCCAAATGTCCAACAATGATAGACTGGATTAAGGAAATGTGGCACATATACACCATGGAATACTATGCAGCCATAAAAAATGATGAGTTCATGTCCTTTGTAGGGACATGGATGAAATTGGAAATCATCATTTTCAGTAAACTATTGCAAGAACAAAAAACCAAACACCGCATATTCTCACTCATAGGTGGGAATTGAACAATGAGAACACATGGACACAGGAAGGGGAACATCACACTCTGGGGACTGTTGTGGGGTCGGGGGAGGGGGGAGGGATAGCTTTAGGAGATATACCTAATGCTAAATGATGAGTTAATGGGTGCAGCACACCAGCATGGCACATGTATGCATATGTAACTAACCTGCACATTGTGCACATGTACCCTAAAACTTAAAGTATAATAATAATAAAATAAAATAATAATAAAAAAAGAGAAGTCAGTCAAAGACATAGAAAAAAAAAGAAACATGTGAGCCAATATCACTCATGAACATTGATGATGCAAAAAATTCTCAACAAAATACCAGCAAACCAAATTCAACAGTACATTAGAAAGATCATTCATAGTGACCAAGTGGGATTTATCCCAGGTATGGAGGGATGATTCAATATATACAAATTAATCAACATGATATATCAGCAGAGTAAAGTACAAAAACCATATGATCATTTCAACTGATGCTGAAAAACATTTGAGTAAATTCAACATCCTTTTATAACTAAGAAAAACCCTCAAAAAACTGGGCATAAAGGGAATATGCCCCAGCATCATAGGAGCCATATGTGAGAGACCCACAGCTAGTATACTGAATGTGGAAAAACTGAAACCCTTTCCTCTAAGATCTGGAACACAAAAAGGTTGCACATTTTTACCACTGTTATTCAGCATAGTACTGGAAGTCCTAGCTAGAGAAATCAGACAAGAGAAATATATAAAGGGCATCCAAATTGGAAAGGAAGAAGTCAAATTATCTTTGCAGATGATATGATCTTATATTTGTAAAAACCTAGATTCCACAAAAAACTATTAGAACTGATAAATAAATTTAGTAAAGTTGCACAATACAAAAACAACATGTAAAAATTAGTAGCATTTTTATATGCCAACAATGAAAAAAAAAAAAAGGAGGAACTTTGTTTACAGTAGCCTCAAATATATTAATTACCTAGGAATTAACCAAAGAAATGCAAGATCTCTATAATGAAAACTATAAAGCACTGATAAAAGTAATCAAAGAGAGCACCAAAAATATGAAAAGATATTCCATGTTCATGGATTGGAAGAATCAACATTATCGAAATCTCCACACTAACCAAAGCAATCTACAGATTCAATGCAATCCCTATCGAAACAACATTCTTCACAGAAATTGAAAAGATAATTATAAAATTTACACGGAACCATAAAAAAACTCACAATTGCTACCCAAAGCTATCCTGAACAAAAGGAACAAAACTGGAGGAATCATAATACCTGACTTCAAATTATATTATAGAAGTAACATAACCAGAACAGCATGTTACTGGCATAAAAACAGACACATAGACCAGTGGAATACAATAAAGAACCCAGAAACAACTCTATACACCTAAAATGAACTCATTTTCAACAAAGGTACTGAGATCATACACTGGGGGGGAAAATTGTCTCTTCAATAAAGAGTGCTGGAAAAACTAGACATCCATATAGAGAAGAATGAAATTAGACCACTATCTCTCACCATATAAAAAAAACAAATCAAAATGGAATAAAGACTTAAGTCTAAGACCTCAAACTATAAAACTACTAAAAGAAAACATTAGAGAAATTCTCCAGTACATTAGTCTGGGCAAAAACTTCATGAGTAATACCTCAAAAGCACAAGCAACCCATGTAGAAATGGACAAATGAGATCTCATCAAGTTAAAAATCTTCTGCATTGCAAAGGAAACGATCAATAAAGTGAAGAGACAACCCACAGAATAGGAGAAACTGTCTGCAAACTATTCATCTGGCAAGTGATGAATAACCAGAATATAGAAGGAGCTCAAACAATTCTACAGGAAAAAGTCTAATAATCTGATTAAAATGGATGAAAGACCTGAATAGACATTTCTCAAAAGAAGACATACAAATGGCAAACAAGCATAGAAACACATGCTTAACATCATTGATCATCAAAGAAATGTAAACCAAAACTAAAATGAGGTATCATCTCACCTCAGTCAAAAATGGCTTTCACCCAAAAGTCAAGCAATAGCAAATGCTGATGAGCATATGGAGAAAAGGATGCCCTTGTGCACTGTTGGTGAGAATATATAATAGTACAACCACTCTGAAGAACAGTTTGGAGGTTTCTCAAAAAACTAATAATAGAGCTACCATATGATCCAGCAATCCCACTGCTGGGTATATACCCAAAATAAAGGAAATCAGTATATCAAAAAGATATGCACACTCTCATGTTGGCTGCAGCACTGTTCAATAGCCAATATTTTCAAGCAACTTAATTGTTCACTGACAGATGAATGGATGAAGAAAATGTGATATATATTCACACAGTGGGGTACTATTTAGTCATAAAAAGGAATGACATCCTATCATTTGCAAAAACATGGATGTAACTACTGGTCATTAGGTTAAGTGAAATAAGCCAGGCACAGAAAGACAAACTTCACATGTTCTCACTTACATGAATTTTTACACTAAAAATTAAAAAGAATGAATTTTTATATATAGAGAGTAGATGATTGGTTACCAGAGGCTGCAGAGGGTAGTGGAGGGAGTAGGGGGAAGTGAGGATGGTTAATGTTTGTAAATAAATAAGACCTAGTATTTGACAGTGCAACAGGGTGACTATAATCAATAATACTTTAATTATATATTTTAAAATAACTAAAATAGTATAACTGAATAGTTTGTAACACAAAGAATAAATGCTTGAGGGGATGGATACCTCATTTTACATGATGTTATTGTTACACATTGCCTGCCTGTATCAATATATGTCATGTACCCCATAAATATATATGCTTACTATGTATCTACAAAAATTAAAAATTAAAAAAATTGTCCATCAAATAGAAAACAGGTAAAAAAAAATGTGATATATTTGTATGATAACGTAGTCATCTTGCAGAAGCAGGATGGACTTCCCCACCCAAACTTTGGATCAAATTTCTAGACCCATATTGCCACACACACTAAGAGGTTATGAAAGGTTTATTACTCACATAATGAGATTTTCTGGGGAAAGCAAGGAAGTTTCCCAAGCTGGTTAAAATGTAGCTTAAGAGTCTAGGGAAAGAAGACTGGAGTTTCTATGGTGGTAAACTCCTAGCCACATGAGATAACCTTTAACCCACGTGGGGAGTGAGTGTTCCTATGTACACACTAAGGCTAGGATTTTTGTGCCAAAGAAGTAAGCACCTGGCTTTTTTATCAGCTTGCCAAGATGTGGGGCAGAAGGGTAAGAAAGAGTGGTGGGGCCTGAAAATTGTCAGCAGTGAAACATCAAAAATGAGTCAGGCTCTTTACTATAAATGAAATGTTTAAAAATTATGGAATGTATACATATATTAACATGAATAAACCTCAAAAACAAAGGTAAGAACTAAAAGTTGTTTGAGGAATAATACACACATCGATAAATTTAGTGTTTCCAGCAAAATATACATTTCAAACATAAAAAATTATATGATGTATTATTTATAAAGACATACATTTATAGTAAAAATGAAAACATGAGTAGGAATGACAAACATAGGAAAAAGAGAAAAGAATGCAATTGGGGTGGCTACAAATGGAGCTTGAAATACATCGGTAATGACTTATTTAAATAATATGACGTTGACATGTTGCAATTATTAGAATTTGATAAATCTGGGTAGTGGGTACAGAGGCATTTATTATGTTATTCTTCTCTGGGTGTTTGGAATATTTTTCTTAAAAAGGTGAGAAAGAAATACTTTGAAGACTATTACAATCAGAATGGTACAGGGTCAATCTTGTTTCCATGCCCAAGTGGCACTACAAAAGGGAGTCTGATCCATTTATCATTGCTGCTAAGTGCTTCATGGTCTTGCCACAAAACCTAGCCCTGCTAGTGAACTGCTGTAGTGATATCTTGATAGTGCAGCTACCTGCACAGGCCTCTCCCATCAGGAACAAACTCTTCTCCTTACACCCATGCTCTGTTTTCTAGATTTGCAAATTTTAGCTTGCTTTTCTTTTCATTTCTATACACAGTCTCTCTCATGAATACCAGCTGGCTTCAGGAGCATTACATTTTAGGGTATTTTGTAGTCCCCGACTTATGGACTTTAAAACCAGCATCCTTCTTTTATTTTTAAAAATCAACCTGGGACAATTTTTTTCAGCTGTATTAAGGTTTAACTGACAAATTTTAAAGTTGCATATGTTTATATTATATAACGTAATGTTTCAGTATATGTATACGTTATTCAATGATTAAATCAATCTAATTAACATATCCATCACCTCTCATACTCATTATTTTTGTATGGTAAGAGCATTTAAGATCTACTTTCTTAGCAGTTTTTGAGTATATCTTACATTATTATTAACTATAGTAACCATGCTGTGCAACGGATTCCCAGAGCTGATTCCTCCTATCTAACTGAAACTTTGTACCATTTGACCAACATCTCTCTATTTCCCTTTTCCCCCTCAAAACACTTAGGCTTTAATGATACTCCCCTTCCGTCTTTCTTAAAGTGACCTTCAATAAATCTGTGAGGTCTCCCATCAACCTGAAAGAAGGTATTTTCAATGGATCTAAGGTAATTTGCTTTCTTAGGGAAAGTCCCCAATAAATTGCAAGATGTCTAGACTCACTGCTCTCAAAAAGGACATGACAGCTACTTGCGTTTATTGTAAGGTACCTCTGTTGCTGGAGAAAATTAAGCCACATATTTAATATTAGCAAGGTGTTAGAAGAAGCATTTTATCTATTAGGAAAAGAAAATGCCATCTTTATTTTTGGACAAAATGTATTTTACTTAACCTATGTTTTTCATTAGCCTCTCAGGTACTCGTATCAAAAGTACATGTGTTTATGGAAATTGGTACTACTTTGGTTGAAATATTTCTTAATCCTTTTTCTCTGGCGAAACTGTGGGTTCTGCCTGGTTTGACCAGAAATGAAAATATGTTTAATCCAAAGTTGTTGGAAATTCTAGACTCAAGATTGTGCAGTACAAAGATCTGAGCAGAAAGCCCAAGTGTATAGTAATATGATCATATATTCCAAATTGAGATACAAAAAAAGAAAAATCTAGGATAAAAATCCAAGAAGAAGAAAGGGGCAGGATGCCAAGACTGGAAACAGGAGCTGTAGAGACAACCAGAAGAAGGATTTTGGAACGATCCAGAACTCCATCAGCTGCTTGGAGTTTAAATCCTCAACATTTGCAAAGCAACGGATAGCTGGCTTCATCCATCACATTCAGGCTGAAACTGGTAGGTTATCACTGTGATTGTTCACTGGGAAATAAAAACAGAGATTGTTCACTGGGAATAAAACAGGAAATAAAACAGGGAAATGAAATGTGAAGATCAAGATATATCAGCTCCCAAATGTGGGTTTTCCACCTGTTTCCCAGTAACTGTGGGCAGATACTTGTGAATATTCAGAAAACCACTCAGAAAGCCTGGAGAAGGGCATCTTCAACTAACTAGGGCAATACTGTGACTAACACAGTAGGGTGTTATTTGGCTTGTTTCTGGTGAGCCCTCCTAGTACCAGAGTAGTATGTATCCATGTTGCATGCTGCAGAGTCCTCAGGAAAAAGATTTACAACCCAAAAGTTACATGTGAGCAGCTGGTTTATGTGAAGCCAGATGCTGACAGATGAAAATATGCACAGGGAGAGAGAAAAAGAATGTTTTAAAATATCAAAAACAAAATCTGTTTCTCTGCCTTCCAAAGCTAAGATTTTTTTTTTTCCTTTTTAAAGAATTGTTTTCCTTTCTAAATTACAGGAATCTTTACCCTATCACCTCCTTTTACATTTTGTGATGAGGTGAGTTGCCTCTTTGGCTTGGATATTTTGCTGAGATTTTTCGATTTGGATCCATTATCTTCTTTCTCAGTTTTGAGAGTGCCAAGATTTTCTGTGTCTTTTAAAGCTCACAGGCCTCTGTCTCTTCTTCTTGGCCTCAGCCTTCCTGGATCTTTTACAGTACATTACACTGTTGACTCTGGCTGCTGGCTGGGAGCTCAGCTGTTCCATGGTCGATGCTGGAGCTTCCCCTCATGCTCGGTCCATGGACACAGAGGTTGATGTTGATCTCCAGCCTCAATTCTCATCACACTAAGTCCTAACCATTAGGACTTTCTTTATATTTATTCTCTTTCTCTCTCCTCTGTTCCTTTTCCTCCTCTCTCTCATCCCCTCTCTCCTTTCTTCCCCCACCCCATATAGTACTTGGAACAGAAATCTAAAAAAGTTTTCATCTCACTTCATCATTCTGAGCATACAAACCCCTTCTGCAATCCATACCTTTCCATGCTCTCCTGTTATCATGGTATGCCCTAGTACATGGGCACCTTGCTTCCAAAGCAATGCATTACCACATCCACTCAAACAAATTACCATTCTCATCTTAACTGACTCATGTGGCACCAAAAATCAGCTAAGAGTCCAACGTATGGGCAGATCCAAATGACTTTATACACACACACACAGAATAAAGCAAGTATCACAGTGTTTTTGAAGGTGTTTCTTTTCTCATTTTTCTTGGAATGTGCACGGATCTAATTTGGCATTCTGTATAATGCGTGTCATGGTACAGATGACAAATCATGTCAACCCCAATTATACAACCTACAGGAGAGACACCAGGAATGGCAGAGCAAAAAGGGAGAGGAGCGAGAAATATTTGTAAGCATTATCTATGTCTATGGTATCATTTTACTGTCTCTTCAATCTTTTATGAGGTATATTTTATTTAAGCCTTTTCTCATCTCTGTCATCCCTATAAACACTGTATATATCATTGCATGGCAGAATAATGTGTTGAGATATTACCTGTGTTTGGTTCCACACACCCCCAGTCTTCCAATTTCCCTCCTGCCCACTTAAGTACAGTAACTGGTTGACCCTGACCTGGTTACCCCTTGTTTCTCTGGGTGTAGCTTGGAGAACTCCCTGGATGTCCAACTCCTGGCTAAGAAACCAACCTGCACAAATGCCCCCTAAATCTAAAATACCAGCTGAAATTATTTTTAAAAAGAAAGGTAAAGTAAAAATACCTTGATCAGAAGTAGGAGCAGAAAAGTAAGTGGAGCTTCCTCCCCTTCAAAAAACAAATAATAATCCACGCTTAAGGAAGGAGGGAGGACTGAGGGACAAACTCGGTTTGAAGAAATCTGAAGGTAGCAATAAGACTTCTACAGATTTATTATGAATAAATTTATGTGAAAATTTTATAGAATAAACACAGTAATATCAGTAGTAATATTTGTAAGAAATTCTTTGTCTTTTACTTTGCCTATGTCTCTTTTATACTGTTTGAGCAAAAATCAGACCAAAAATAGCTTCCATACTTCAAAATATTTAATTGCTACTTTATAAGATGAAGTAAGATCATTGTGAATATCCTATCAATGTATATTCTGAGCTCCTCAAGCCATGAGGCATTATAATGAACTCAGTACCTTTGATTTCAAAAGACCTCACTTTTACAGCAAAAATTCATTAATTTTGAGAATAGCAGTATTCTCTTTGCTTTTTTATACTCCATTTTGCAGAACTGTCTAGTGTTCCAACACATACCTGACCTGGAATAGTGTGCATTTGACTCTTTGACTCTTCTTTTTTTTTTTCTTTTGAGGCAGAATTTCACTCTTGTTGCCCAGGCTGGAGTGCAATGGTGCCATCTCAGCTCACTGCAACCTCCGCCTCCTGGGGTTAAGCGATTCTCCTGCCTCAGCCTCTCGAGTAGCTGGGATTACAGGTGCCCGCCTCCACATCCAGCTAATTTTTGTATTTTTAGTAGAGATGGGGTTTCACCATGTTGACCAGGCTGGTCTCAAACTCCTGACCTCAGGTGATCCGTCTCCATGTTGGTCAGGCTGGTCTCAAACTCCTGACCTCAGGTGATCCGCCAGCCTCGGCCTCCCAAAGTGCTGGGATTACAGGCGTGAGCCACTATGCCCGGCCTTGACTCTTAATCAAATTCAAATAGTCCCTGTTTGAGACATAGGAAGAAACTATTAAGCTTTTGAAAGAAACTTCAGATCACGCAGTAGTAAAAATTATTCAGATATTTTAGTGTCTTCCAACACATGCAGTTATTTCCTTTGTTTAGATAATTCCTTTATTTATATGTAAAAGGCTCACCATTTTCTCTCAGAAAGCACATGACTTACTGAGCTGTTCTTGTCTTTGTTAAGGTTAGAAGAGTGCTTTCTCTGCACTTACACACTCTCTGCTCTTACACACCCTCTTCCCATCCAAGCCCTCTCTTGCCTAACTTTCACATCTGCGTTAACAAGGTAATTGCTTATACACACCTTGAAGCAAGCCTTTTTTCTTTTTTTTTTTTTACATATAGATAATTGATTCTCAAAGCTTTGTGGCACTTTTTTTTTTCCTCACATCATTGAAATGTCCTTGCTTAAAAGCCTGTCAAAGACTGACCAGTTAAACCTGCAGATACAGGGACTCTATTTACAAACCCGCGTATTTAGGCTTCTTTTCATTTACCTGTTGAAGTATCATACACTTGAATTATTTGGGCCACTTTCTTTCCCAATGATACAGGAATAGTATTTTGCAAACATTAATCTATTTTCCCCCCTATATATAATATTCTCTTGTCACCCTCAACCTGCTTTTCCCCAGGGAGGTCAGCAAGAAGTATTCACAGAACAAAGTTACCAGCAAATGTAGCAAAACAACAGTCTTGGAAAAAGCTACTTGTGAAATTAGAAAGATTTGTGAATTTCATAGGTCTTCATTCCATATAACAAGAGGTGAACCTGGAGGACTTGGTCATTGAGTTTCATCTAAGCAAAGGCCCAGCCAGAAGTAGAAAGCTTTCTTCTGGTTATTTAAAAGAAAATAGAAGGGGTGCTGCAAGGTAAGAGACAGAAGCAGGTGCACTTGCTTTCTGCTTCTCTTTAGATGGAATTATCTATACATACTGTATGGGAATCCAGAAAAAAATCACTCCTTTCCTTGGGTGGTGGGGAGAGGGCTTGGCTATCAGCATATTTCCTTGTGTTACAGGAGAAATTCTGCCAGTGGCCACTTAAAATAGGGTTCAGGGACATAGCACAACAGTGGCATCAGGAGTTGAGAAAACAACAAGCTTGAGACAGCACTGCTAGTTCTGTATGTAGCTCATAAGGAATTCAAAAATGCTCTAGTAATGAGCTGCAAAGGTGCTGACAAATTCAGTGAGTTTCTCAGGGACTTTGTGCACTGGATAATATAGTCTGGGACCACCTGCTGCCCTCCAAGAGTTGGTTATATACCATGGAAATCCACTTTGTCCATGGGTTCTCAGAATGTAGAGACACAGAACCCACCTCAAAGAGTCACTTGGCCTCTCAGCAGGGTGGGTATCCATCCCACCTTGCACTTCTGTCATACCATTCCAAAGGTAATAGTGGACTCTGGTGCTTCAGATGATTTTGTGGAACTGAGAGCTGGTCTGACACATCCAGCTTGTTACCTGGTCTTAACCTACACAGGATGCTAGTTAGAGCACCTTGTAAACACTGAGACCTCCTCACCAAGCTACACATTGGACATATATCAAAAGGCTGGTACAGTCCATAAAAAAACGCTAGTTTGGCTCCCCAGCTGGAAACTCATAACCCAATCCTCCTCTGGGAAAATAATTTTTACCCCCTATACTGACTGTACCCCAATTACCACTTCTGTGCTTTTGATACCATATAATTACACCCATTAACAAGTACTTCTAGACATGGTAGCAGAAGGATGGAATTTATGACTCAGAAATACTTACATTATTGACTTGGGGCGCAGGGCCGAGGTTCCTGCCACGTATTTTTAATTTCTTTGGGAAATAGGAAGACTGTTTAGAAGGATCTTCCCTCTTTCCACCTCCTTGCAGTTTATATGACATATTCATCAAGACTTAAGATGAGTGGCTTCTCCTTTATGAATTATTGTGCAATAATCCATACGAAGGGTAAGTTAGATACCATCATTTCCTCGCTCTGTGAATACTTCTATAATGGCACTTAGTTACATTATGTTAAAATTGTCAGCAAACTTTCAAAATTGTCGTCCTTCTGTGTTTAGAAAGAATGGGTCTTTTGTCTCTCGATCCATAGATCTTAGCGTAGTGCATTGGTATTATAAAGTTTCTATATATGTTGTTGCATGACCGAACGTATGGTCAAATAAACGAATGAATGTGCAACACTTTCATCTTCCAATCCAAAATGTTAGAGATTCATAATGCTATATAAATTTGAAAGAAGTTTTTGTTTAAATATAAAAGGATATGATCATGCTGAAGACTCTGCTATGCACAGTATTTTGCTTGAAGACTGTATAAAGCAAAGTTGGATATTTAAAAAAGAAAGTGACCCTGAATGAGTTTCAGATACATGTTGGTAATACAGAACATATGGCACTAAGACTATGTATGTTGTTGGAACAAATCAAGAGAGATAATTTAATGGTCTGCTGAGTTGTATGTTAACTTCCCCTACTATGGTCCCCTTCATGGTGTCATTTCATTACTTTTACCTGTTCACTTTTTAATCAGTTAGTGTAGAGCTCCAGAGCTCTGTGGAGTCAATATAAAGCTATCAAACTAATTCTGGAGTCTGACTCTATCCAAGTCGACCCCTCTTTAACCCTGCTATGAAGACACAAAGCAAGTGGCTTTGAAAATGAGGATTTGAAGATGAGAAGGAAAGGCCACAGTTACTGCTTCAAAGATTACGCAAAGAAATACAAAGACAAAGATTAAACAAAGAAATATCCCCCTATAAAGTTAGTAGCAGTTTTATTATAAATTGTTTTGGGGGACATAAGGGCATGATGCTTGAAATAACACCTAATAGAAATTCTTTTTATTTTGAACTATTCACCACAGTGTTGATATACATGGGTAAACAATTCCTATTTTAAGCTGTCCTCAAAACTTTAATTTTAATCTAGTTATTTAAAACTTTAAGCTAATCCTATTTAAAATGCCAATATAGCCATAGGATAAATCCCTCCTGATAATTTATGTCTATTTTCTTTCTCCACTCACTAGAATGTCAGCCTATGATATTTTGTTCAGTACCCAAAACAGTGCCTAGAAAGAGTAGTTTCACAATAGTCATTGAGTGAATGGTATTTTTATTATAACACACATTCTCTTACCACTTCCTCTTTCACACTTTTTCTCTTTCTTCCTCCCATTCCTCTACATTCCTTACATTACTTTTCTTGTGTTTGATTTTCAATCTTCTATTAAGTTCCAGATTTTTCAGTCATGTCAACAAGAAACATGTTTCTAAGCAAGAGGTGTTTTTTACTTAAAACCAAAAAATTGAAACATGAGGAACTTTTCTATAATCTGTGTGTATCCAATGCCAAACAATCAGTTGATTTCATGGAAAGTGAACTGGTTATGTGGCATGACGCAGAACAAATTCTACTCCAACATAAGCACACATATGCACACATACCTACCCCCTTCCAGCTGCTTGTTTTTTTTTTATGTTTTTAACAAAGTGTGTTGATATTGTATAAATATTGATTCATTTTATCAAGATGGGGAATTTAGTTTCCTATCTAAAGATAAATTTGGGGCTCCACAGCCTATATGCAATTAAGCCTTCTTTCAATAAGACATTAGCATTAGTGCTTTAATATGAAATATATATATAGAAATAATAGCTTCTAAAGCTCTTACTAACATCTAACTTCAAATAATAATAGGTACTAGCCCTTGAGGACATATTAGGTCCCTAGGCACTAGACACTTATAACACTTGAACTGCTGAAAGGGCATTTAAGCAGTTGGCATAAACTGATATGAGAGCTGCTTAACTTGCAGAGTATCTAGTGGAAGGCTGAAGTCTGCTAAATTGGATATCAGAAATCCAGAGAGCCAGGAATCCTATTTTAGTCCTGGTTCACACAGTGACAAGCTACATAGCCCTAGGCAATTGGCACATTTCTTCACCAATGGCAGATATTATGCCCATTGATCTCAAATGTGTGGTGAGAATTAATATTTTGGAAATATCTTGAAACTTAGATACATGCAGCATTTTTTGCTGCAAAACATTTTCTCATATATTTATCAATTTATCATAGGATTTTTGGTTAGGTCTTTAAAGAGTCCTCCTCTTTTTGTATTTCTCTCTTCTACATTGCTCTTTTGTGTTGCTGATTTACAAAGAAACTATTTTTCCTTTTATTTCCAACAACTTTTATGTACTGATAGACCTGTTAACTCTATTTCTTGGTTTTTTGGGGGTTTTTTGTTTTGTTTTGTTTTGTTTGTTTTGTTTTGTTTTGTCTGTCAATAAAATTCCTGAATGACATTCTAAATGAACTGCAGAAGCAACTCATCAGCATATCTTAATTCTAGTTCATCACAGTTACTTTTTGCCTTTCCAAAAGGCTTTGAAATGTTTACCTGTTAACACAGAGGGTGACAGAGAGTGCTTAGTCAGTGGATGAGCATTTTTCCATTTATAATGAAGAGATATTTGGTGAAGGACAATATCCATCAGCTCTTACACAACGAAAGGTCTTTGAAGATGGGGGTCACTGGGCTCATCTCTGTGTACCAATTGAAACAGCACAGACTTTTACTCTAGAAGATTCTTAAATGTTTGAATTCAGTCGATGTAAATAAGTACACACAATTTGATTTGGTTTCTCTTATTATTCATTAAAAGTTTACAAATACGATTTTGAGACTTTTGAAAATCCTAGCACGGATTTTGAATTATTCTATTTGTATAGATAATGTTGAGGTTTGCTCTACCACTGGAACTGATTTCTAGCTCTTCCTGACTTTTAAAGAAGTATATCCCTTGATAATTCTGTATTCTCCTCTTTGGGCATCGTTTTGGAAATAAGACTATTCCTGTGCTCCATGATTTTCTCAGAAAAACAAGTAGGTCTCCTGTACATGGATTTAGTAAAATGACAGCTACACTCTAGAGGGAGTTAATGCTGATTTGGGAATTCAAAGACAAAAATCAGAATTAGAGTTAGCAGAAATGTCGCATTTCTCATACAATGCTGAATTTAGATTAAATTCAGTCCAAGAAATTACTGTTGAAGGTTCTTATGGACGCTTTAATTTTGTTCTAAGTCAAATCGCTCACTCATGAGGATAAACTCCATTAGACTGTCTGGTCAATATAAAGTGCTCAAGAATTAAAATATATAATCTGTTTACCAAAATGTGTTTTTCTGCAAACTAGCCATGCCAATATCTTAAAAATCAGTTGGTTATCATTTTTCTAGGCTTAAAAGAATGTTTTAAAACATTAATTTTTAACCTCTATTTAAAAATGTTTGGCATAGCTGCCTTGTAGACATGATCTACTTTTAAAAATATTAGTAAATAGTATAATTGTCTTAAACATTTTTTTAAAAATCCTCAAATTATGTTAAATTTGATTGTCTGTCCCCAACTCTGATTTGAGCAAAACTGTCCTATAAGAACTTCTGGATCATGCAGTTAGAATCCACTAAATTAATACCTTTAGAGACCTAAGGCTCATTTACATGCATTTATACTTTTCCATTACTAGCTTATAACCAGGTAAACTTCATTTTTCCTTATTCTGTCTTTATTCCTGAGGCCACAAATCCTGCTATATCAAACTACTCCCAGGTCCACAGAAGTGCTAGCTTCTTTCTCAGCAGTGAACAGTCATATGGCTCTTTCATTTACTTGGAATGCTCACTATGCTTTTTTCACACTTAATTCCTTTTGGTCTTTCAGGACATACAGCATAACCCCCTCAGAGAATCCTTTCTGACTCACCTGGTCTGGATAAGTTGCTCGTCTTATTTCAGTGCTTAACACTTAGAACCCTGTACTCTAGTGACTTATTTTCATATCTCGTTGAGGACAGGCACTGTGACATTTATCTCATCTTTTATGGCATGTAGTGATTAATCAGTAAATGTTTGCTGAATGCCTACCTGAATGAATAAATATCTGCATTTTGAGGCTTCCCTTGACATTCATTTTATTCAGAATTGACATTATTACCATGAATGGAAGAAATAGTGTCGGTGATTCACACCTTTTCACAGCTGGGGAAGTCACTGGGAACATGGACAAATAGTTACTGTGGATTTCTGTCCCTTGTCCATTTAATGTTAGCCACTTATGTCATGTGACCATAACAATGCTTATTTCACAAACAAGAATTGAATCCCTGCTATTAGCCTGGCACTAAGGAAACAAGCATAAAGATGTCTTTGTTTTCAAGGAGTTTAGAACTGAGTTGAAATGAACATTAAAACAATCAGCATTCCAATGAAAGTGTGTTCAATGAGGATATGTAATGAAAGAAAGAAGAGAGCATTACTGTCTACCTTTGGGAGAACAGAAAAAACTTCACCCAGAGGGTCACATCCATGATGGGTTTTCCAAGTGGACAGAAGTGGTACTTCCAGGCAAAGAAAACAGGATGGACATAAGTGTGAAAGAGTGAAATTGCTGTAACACTCATGGCTTGACTGAGATTTAACTATTTTTCTTCTAGCTCAGGAAAATACCTTGTGAAGTTGGAATAATAATTTTCTTCTTACAGCAGTGTTTTTCCATGGGACTGTAATGTATTAAAAGGGTAAGCTGGATTACCAAAGATTTAATAATTTAATATCATGGCTTGGAAATCTGTCTCCACTTCATTCAAAGGCAAAATCTCTTTGTGATGAGAAACTATTCTCCTAATTCATTGAAGCCTCCCATTTGCCTCTGATGAAGGAGCTAGTGCTAATGTCAAATCCATGAGTCAGGTGTAGTTGCTATGAGTCACTGAAAGGAATGACACTAGTCCTCAACCATCTGTTTTCAGTTGTGCTGACAGCAAGGTCTGGATGAGGTAAGTTGCAGCTACTAGGTCCTGCATCTGCGACTTCCACACCTATCCCTAACCTATTCTATGCCAAAACTTGAAGTGGATGATGTCTAGGCAGAGGGACTTGCTATATATTCTTGATATGCCACTGGTAAAATGGTGGCTTTGTACAAAATTTCATGTTTAAAAAGTGGCAAACAATAAAGCAAGGTACCTTGACATAGCAAGAAGTGAAATAATACTGTAAGTGCTCAGTGGCCTCAATAAATAATTTCTGAGATCCAGTATCTATCCAAGAGATCCACTGTCATTGGTCCATCAGTCCATAGAAAGCACCTGAAATATCATAAGTATTACATAAATTTTTGTTGAATTAACATATAAGGTCACTGGGATAGGAGAAATATGAAGGCAAAATTAGCTCAATATGAAGTCTTTGCTTAATAAGTAGTAACTCAGTTGCCGCCTCAAAGAAGTAGGGAAACAGAAGGAGGCAGTACACAAGTGATTCAATATCTTCACAAGTGCTTTGTGATTCATGCTGCAGTAATGAGACTCCCTTATCAGGAATCATTGAGCTCCTTTGGGGGATGGGGACCAGCATAAGTGAGCTTTCCTCCACTGGGGATAAGTGTGCCCAACAGCACATTATAAAGGTATTCCAGCATCCTGTGTGCCTACTCTTTCTAGGTTTCTGAGACAACCAGGACAGATTTTACAGGCAAAACTTGATTCTTTGGTTGCCTCCAGTTATATGACAATCCCAAGCATCACCATGATAAAACATTCTCTTTCTGTTTTCTCTTTTCTTGGATCCTTGCTTCTTTTACTCTTAGGCCACAGTTGATCTGGCCAATCATAACTAGTACTGTATGAACTGGATAGATCAGAGTCACCATACTGAACTTGATTTGAAATAATGAACACATTTTCCTCTTGATTTATAAATTCTACAGGTTGTATTTGGGGAAGTGGCTATTAGAGATTAAATCTGAGACATTGGATTGCCATTTTTATCATTGCCTTTCTAGCCATAGACACATTAATTAGTGCAGTGACAAGGTGAATTTTGACAGGCTGCCCAAAATGGTCTACATTACTTTTGGTAGAAGAAGAGCAATGAGAGACAGGATACATTGAGTATTTCAGAACAAAGTGTTCCTTGATGATTTATTGGTCCCGAATTCTTCCACATATTCCTTTGGGTAGAAGAATTCAGGGATTTGAATTTGTGCAAAGAACAAGAATGAGATAGTTTAAAATTTTTTTAATAGGGTCTGTCCATGTCACCTGGCAAGTGGTTCATTCAGTCTGACATTTCAGATTTTTGCCCCTGCTGGATGTTTTCCCTGTCTTGCTCTTTTGCTTTCCATTTATTCAAATCCTCTCCAGTTACTAAGATATTATTGATTTCTCATGGCCTGGTATGAGTCTATGAAGCTCCCTCTGGTTATTCCAGTTTATGCTATTTTCTTTTTTAAGCAGATATTACATTTCTTGCTTATAGTATAATAGATAGCATTTCAGTTTTAGTATATTATTAATTGATTTATGTGTTTTACAGTCAGATTTAATATTTAATAAACACTGAATATACAAGTTTCATATTATCTAATAAGATCATATTAAATTCTAGACATTTAGTGTAATAAAATAAATTTTTAGAGAGCAACAAAAATAGTATCTTATATTTGTAAAATTATTTTCATACTCAAAACTTTTTCACATATATTATTTCATTTGGTTCTTAAGTAATCTTGTGATGTATGCAAATTGGATAATTTTATTTCTATGTAAAAATATACACAGAGCTTATGGTGATTGTATGAAGTGACAAAACTTCCAAAATTTGTATGTGGTAGAGCTGAGGTTAATTAACAGTTCTTCTGGCATATAATATTCAGGGAGAAATATACCTAGCCCCAATTTGTAGAGTGGATTACTGAGCCAATGTTATAATGTTACCATTAAACTTGACTTTTGTACATTTAAAAGGTCATTTTTTTAACCATAAAAAAATGGGTAAGAGTTTTATGTGGCTCTAAGAAGAAAATGTTTATAGGGGTCCTTGCTCAGTTTACTCAACTGAGAAAAACTTAAATGTTAATTTGAACATATCCCCAATTTGTCTAATTATCATTTTTTCCCAAGAAGCTAAGAAAGGAACTATATGTAATTGCCAGGTTAACATAGCACCAGATGTGTGTAATCTAACTGGCAAATTGTGGCAAGAGCTTTCCAAGTGCTACCCTTAAGGAAATATGCCTTATTAGCTATATAACACCCAAGATGCATTGTATATACAGTGCACACACTCAAGCATTTTTTATTATTATACTTTAAGTTCTGGGGTACATGTGCAGAACATGCAGATTTGTTATATAGATATACACGTGCCATGGTGGTTTGCTGCACCCATCAACCCATCATCTACATTGGGTATTTCTCTTAATGCTATCCCTCCCCTATCCCCCCACCCCCTGACAGGCCCTGGTGTGTGATGTTCCCCTCCCTGGGTCCCTGTGTTCTCATTGTTCAACTCCCACTTATGAGTGAGAACAGGCAAGCTTTTTTTTTAAGGGAGAAGAAAATGAAAAACAGAAGTCTAGGGTTTTTTTTTTTTTAACAAAGAGTGCATAAGGTGTGCCTGATACACCTACCAGTAAGAGTACCATCAGATGTTAAAATGTCAAATCTCTTACAGTATTCCTGAATTTTTCATGGCTCATTTTCATTGCAAAGCTGGATATTTTGATGCAGACACTATTAGTGAGGAGATTTGAAATTTTTTGTCAAAATGTAAAACCTTTAACAAAACTTGCCAAGTCATGTCAGCAATTGTTATTCTTGATTCTTCCCTTCTTCCTGAGTTTGCACAATTATATGCCTCTCAGAGTCGGGGAGAGACTAAGGGATACAGTGTGAGGAGGGTCAGACATGGTTTACAAAAATGAGGTAAAATGGAAGCAGGAGGGGAAGTTTGTGGAGAGAAAAGGGAGATGTGATATTCAGAGAGAGAATGAGGATAAAGACTTGGGTGGGAGTCGGGCACACTATTGCAGGCATTAGTCGCTTTATCTTTTAAAGTGTTTTCAAGGCAATTAAAATGTTTCTGGTGTTGAAATGTGATGATTTTCGTTAATAGCTGGGGGATACCATGTCTAACCAGCTGTGTGTCTTTGGACAAATCTTTGGACCTTCATTGGTCATTTCTTTATCTGGAAACTTAGGGATTTGATGCACCACCCTTGCATCTTCTGTTCTCTGAGTCTGCACTCTCTAACAAAGTGACAGCACATCCGCTTGCTTTTTTGGTAACCCAGGCTAAGTCAGCATGTGTTGGTATGTAAACTTTATGTTTCAGTCAAATCTCAAAATGACATAAGGCAATGTTTTACAATATAAGATTTAGCATTTATTAACTATACATTATCTCACCAGATAATGTATAAGGTCCTGTCTAACTATGAGGTAACATAGTTATAAAATTAATCCAGAGTTTCTATTCAAGGACATAACTTATTGGTCGTTCATACTCACTTAGCGAGGCTCACAGAGCACATGGAACATGGAGCACAGCCGTCCTTGTTCCTGCTAACTGTTTCTTCAACCCGGGGCAGAGCGTTAACAATCACCAGTAGCGGTGGAATAGAACTCGGCTTTGGCCTGAGACTCTCACCCCAGAGACCATCACAGCTAGTTATCTGCAGACTCGTGTTTCAATGTTTGTTTTGCTGCAGATGACCAAGGACAAAGGCCTTTGGCTCTAACCCTTAAAACCTACTTTAACACAGTTCCTCTTGGAACAAAGATTTTTATCTTTCTATCTTCCTTGTTTAAAAGGAGAAAAATCTGAACAGAAAATAAATGAGAAAGAAGAAGAAGATAGTCAAGTAGACCCCTCCTTGGGTTTTTTTGTTTGTTTGTTTTTCTTTTTCTCTTTGGAGAAATTTGACACAGGTGTGATGATATAGATTAATGTGTATGTGTTTCTGTAAGACATGCCTACTGTGCATTCCATACAAGGTGAAACTAAGTGTAATCTTTCATTTTAGTTACAATAAATTTTCCATGTTAGAATCGTGCATACTTATCTATAACCTAAATCATATGAGAAAAAAATCTTAAGCAAACAAAAACAAAGTTATAGCAATGTCATATCATATATCAATTTAGCAATTGTTAAAAAGTTCTTTTAAAAACTTTACTAGGTAATTTGCCTATAAAATAGTGGTCTTCAGATTAAAATGTCAGAATTAACCATGAGTATCTTTCTACATAGTGTTATCTACTCAGTGTTTGAGAGGTTCTGTCTTGGATTCCCCTAACAGTTGCATGTTTAAGACTATGGTGCACAAAAGTAAGATGATATCATCAATGCAGTCAGTATTTTGAAATCCAATTAAATGTTACATACAACAGAGATGAAGCCCCAGCTTCAGGCGGCAGTATGGAAAAGCTTTGCTTTATTTCATGGGAGTATTTATAGTGCCTTGATATTTATGAAAACCTTTTATGATCAATGGCACATATTTGCAAGGCAGCTGGCTAGTGTTCAGGATTTGTGACCAGAGAATAGTTTTTTTTTTTTCCCGCATGTGAGAATCGGACCTGTAACCTTGGCTGTATTAGCATGCTTTTCTAACAAAAGTAACTGGCTCAGCTACAGCCCAATAGGAAATTCCTGAAAGGATGTCTGATCCTTTACTATTACAAAATGAAAATGTGTTCTTCGGAGGTCTCCCTCCACTCCTAAAGAGACATCTTGGTTGATTTTTACATCTCTGTTCCAAATGCCAAAAGTATGTCTTCCAAATAGACATATTTAGTATTTATTTGGCAGTATGCTGTGGAAGTTACACTGTAAGTTTTTCCAAGTATGGAAAAAGTACATAATCCTATATTTTAGACCACCGCCTTGAAAAGAGCTGGAACTCTCCAGTGCAGTTGCAGCAAAAATTACCTTAATTCTCACTAAGAAAAACAGGTATCTTCTTTTGAATTTCCCTTGGAAGCTTGTTCCATAGTGCCTGATTTCATCCATGACATTAATCCCTACACAATGTTTCTGGCCACACATATATACTCTTAAATGTCTTTTTAAAAACATTTGAATCAAAACAGCTGCATTCTTAAAGCATTGCCGTTTTTTGCCCTTGCTATTTTGAGATGTTGAACATGAAAGAACTTTTAAAAGTGTACAAGTGCTGTATGAACATGTGGGAATAGTATCATCACACAACTATCTGTCCTTTTTGCTGAAAGTTCTGAAATCTCCACCTAAGAAGGTTGGAAAATGGATATAATGTGTAGGCTAAATGTGTTGTATCCAAAGTTGTGTAAGGCAGTGGTTTTCTAAACTTTTAATAGAAGCAAGTAAATTAGGATCTCTTTGGATTCTTATTAAAATGTTGATTTCTGGGCTCCACACCTTAGATCATCTTCATTAGAACCTCTCAGACCCGAATATGTGTATTTTACGTGACCCTATGGTTTCCTGTGCAAACCAAAGCCAGAGACTCACTGCTGCAGGGGAGTCAAGCTTTTGGTTCTTCCTTCCTAGTCACTCAAGGACTAGAAAAGCAGCTCTAGTATTAGTCAAATCCCAGGATATTTTGCAGGGCAGGATGGTGGAGTTCTCTGTAATATTATAAGCTCGTGGGGGTAAATATTTGATTTTTTTTTCCTTTGATGGAAGTAGCAAGAGGGTTCAGGCTGCTGCCAGGATCCTCTGCAGAGAGCTTGGCCATCTCTCCCACTCTTGTGACTCCAACCATATGGGGACAATAGAAAGAGACCCTGGGGTTTTCAGTGAAAGCCCCAGCTAATAATGCTGTACGTGTCTCTTTGCCCTGCACTATTCTCAGTGCCAACATTTCTCAGGATCAGAGGAGATATGATGGAAGTGAATAGCAGAATTGTGACCAAATGTCATCAAAATCTAAGCTCATATATTGGAAAGGATCATTAGTGTTTATGGCAGTGGTTCTCAAACTCACCCCAAGGGCTGGTTAAAACATGAACTGCTGGGCTGGGCTTCACCCTCAAAGGTTCTGATTCAGTAGGTCTGGAATAGGTCCAAGAATTTGTATTTCTAATAAACTGCTAAGGGACACTACTAATGCACAAAGTAGACAATTGGAGCCACCAATTCAGAGTAACCCTCCAACCCCAGTGCAGCTGAAACTGGTATTCCAGGCAAAATTCTACAAATAGAATATTCACCACTGACCAGGTGAAGCTCGCCACAAAACAAGCACAGCTGTTTTGTATAAGTTTTTTGTTGTTGTTGTTTTATTCTGTTTTGTTTTTGGAATTTTAATGTCAGTCACTGGAAGTTACTACCTGGTTGGTTGCCATAGAGTCTCTGATTCAGTACCTAGCTCTGGGCCGTTTTGCCATATTTGGTCAGAAGCGACCCTGCCAGATTCATCTCAGGGGACTCCAGTGGATTTTCTGCAGCCAATCTGAATTACTCCAACCATGTGCTCTTAATTTATTCGTATTGTAAATCATGGTCTTCAGATTAGGAGAGTTAAAGTGAAACCAAAACAAAAAAGTATGCACATACATGCATGCACACACAGACTTCTATAAAACATCTAGGGTCCTTCTGTCACTTTCTTTGCTGATCAGGGCCCTCAGAGATCATGAGCTAAATCCTAGATTGTAATTGTGCATTTCAGAAACTTAGAGTGTGACAAATACTGAACAAATAAAGAGGGATGAGGACCTTATTGTATTGAGTATGAGTCATAAACCTGGGTGAAAATACAAGTAGAACTTAATGGAATTAATTTGTATGCAAAGATTTAGTAGGAAATAAAAAGATCTATTTCTGCAATACTTTGATTCCAAGAACCAGGTTTGCTCAGAAACAGAGGGAGTATCCCAGTGTCAGGTGAAAAGCCTCCTGAGTTTGTCATATGAACCGAAAACTATTGTTAGGGCTTTGAAAGAAAAATCTCAGAAATGAAACTCATTGAAGAGTGAAATCAGCTTAAAATCCAGTTTTTAGTTATGTAGTAAGTGTAGGAATTCTGGGAAAAGTAAGAAAAGAGAGCAAAGACAGTAAAGCAGATTTAAACCTTCACATGGTAGAAAAGAAACCGACCTCAGAAGCAGGACAAGTTTAATAAACTCAGCTGGACAAAAAAAAGTAGGGACATACTGGAGAAAACCGTAAGGGGTCATCAGACAGCATAATCTCTTCTCCCGTGGAACTCTTTAGGACAACCCCTAGGTGATTTTCCTCTGGCCCAGAGATGGCTGAGGGGTGTTGAGATCCTCTCTTCCCCAGGCATAGTGCCAAGGCTCCAGAACGTTTCCTCCTGTTCTTCTTAATGACCAACAATCTCTAATCATGCCCTTTTTGCATGTTAGACTAAGCTGTGGAATGGGAGTATGTACAGTTATGTTTGGGTTTGTTCATTTTAGTGACCACACTTTGACAAAAGTCCTCACCTATTCACTGTGGACACACACGCACATGTGTGCACATGCACACGGTTCAGACAAGCACGCTGACATCCACATTGCAGTTCAGAGACTGAGGGCAATTTCTAAACTAATATTAGTTCCTTTGCTTTGTCTTATATTCTAATATGATGTTTTATTTAGAGGGCTTGCAAAGATAAACGGTTGATGAAGAACAAGATTTGGGTGTTGGAATATCTATTGTCATTGCATTTTAAAATTCCTTAATTCATTTTGCTTAGATTTCTTAGGAAACCCTAGAGATTTGATTTCCTGAGACTTTATCATTGGAAGAATTAAAATAAAAATTGTCATTTGGTCAACTCAGAAGGTTTTATTCGTATATTTATTCTCTATCACTCACCTGATTCCATCACTTATTTGCTAAAGCCTGGTGCTATTTTTCTTTCCATTAAGAAAAATGCCAGACCTTTTCCTTCCATCTACCAGAACTCAAAGATAAATCTCTTCCTACACCTCAGTGCATACAAATACAGAATGCCCTAGAAGGAACATACCTCAAAATAATAAGAGCCATCTGTGACAAATTGCAGCCAACATCATACTGAACAAGCAAAAGCTGTAAGCATTCCCCTTCAGAACTGGAACAAGAAAAGGATACCCACTCTCACCACTCCTAGTCAATGTAGTACTGGAAGTTCTAGCCAGAGCAATCAGGCAAGAGAAAGAAATAAAATGCATCCAAGTAGAAAAAGAAATCGAGCTATCTCTATTCGCTGAAAATACGATTCCATATCTAGAAAACACGATTCCATATCTAGAAAACACTAAATATCTCACCAAAAGACTCTCAGAACTAATAAATGACTCTAGTACAGTTTCAGGATTTAAAAAAATCAGTGTAAAAAATCAGTAGCATTTATATACACCACTAACATTCAAACCGAGAACCAAATCAAGAATGCAATCCCATTCACAATAGCCACAAAAGAATAAAATACCTAGAAATACATCAAACAAAGAGTGAAATATCTTTACAAGGAGAACTACAAAACACTGCAGAAAGAAATTAGAGATGACACAAACAAACTGAAAAATATTCCAGGCACATGGGTTGAAAAAATTAATATTGTTAAAATGGCCATGGTGCCCAAAGCAATTTATAGAACCAATGTTATTCTTATCAAAATACTAACATCATTTTTCACAAAATTAGTACAAAACTATTCTAAAATTCATAGAGAACCAAAAAAGAGCCCAAATAGCCAAAACACAAAACAGTCTTTTTTTTTTTTTTTTTTTCAGGCAGAGTCTTGCTCTCTCGCCCAGGCTGGAGTGCAGTAATGCGATCTCGGCTCACTACAACCTCTGCCTCCCAGGTTCAAGCAATTCTCCTGCCTTAGCCTAGTGAGTAGTAGCTGGAATTACAGGTGCACACAACCATGTCCATCTAATTTTTGTATTTTTAGTAGAGACGGGGTTTCACCATGTTGGCCAGGCTGCTCTGGAACTCCCGACCTCAGGTGATCCACCCACCTTGGCCTCCCAAAGTGCAGGAGTTACAGGCATGAGCCACCGCACCCAGCCCAAAGCAATCTTAAGCAATAAGAACAAAGCCAGAGGAATCACCTTATCCAATTTCAAACTATACTGGAATGCTACAGTAACCATAACAGTATGGTACTGGTACAAAAACAAACATATAGACCAATGGAACAGAATAGAGAATCCAGAAGAAATGACACACAGCTACAACCATATGATCTTTGACAAAGTCAACAAAAATAAGCAATGGGAAAAGGACTCCCTATTGAATAAATGATGCTGGGATAGCTGGTGAGCCACATGCAGAAGAATGAAACTGGACTTCTACCGTTCACCATACACAAAAATTAACCCAAATTAGATTAAAGATTTAAATGTAAGTCCTCAAACTGTAAAAATTCTAAGGGGCCAGGTGTGGTGGCTCACGCCTGTAATCCCAGCACTTTGAGAGGCCGAGGCCAGGCTCCACTATAGCCTTGGTGACAGAGCAAGACTGTGTCTTGGAAAAATATATATATATATATTCTAGAAGGAAACATAGGAATCTTTTTTGACATTGACCCTTTTTGACATTGACCCTGGCAAAGAATTTAAGGCTAATCCTCAAAAGCAAAGCAAAAAAAAAAAACAAAAAACAAAATATGACTTGACAAGTGGAACCTAATTGAAGCGTTTCTGTACAGCAACAGAAACTATCAACAGAGTAAACAGACAACCTACAGAATGGGAAAAAGTATTCTCAAACTATGCATCTCACAAAAGCCTAATATCCAGAATCTATAAGAGACTTAAACACATCAATGAACAAAAAACAAACAACTCAATTAAAAGGCAGGTGAAGGATATGAATAGACACTTCTCAAAATAAGATATACAAGCAGCCCACAAGAATATGAAAAAATTCTCATCATCACTAATCATAAAAAAAAATGTAAATCAAAACCACCATCTCACACTAGTCAGAATGGTTTTTGTTAAAAAGTCAGAAAATAGCAGATGGTGGGAGTGGGGAGAAAAGGGAACACTTAGATACTGTGGGTGGGAATGTAAATTAGTTCAGCCACTGTGGAAAGCAGTTTGGAGATTTCTCAAAGAACTTAAAACAGAACTATCATTCATCCCAGCAATCCTATTACAAGGTATGTACCCAATGGAAAATAAATTATTCTACCAAAAAGACACATGCACTCTCATGTTCATTGCAGCACTATTTACAATAGCAAAGATGTGGAATCTACACAGGTGCCTATCAGTGGTAGATTGGATAATAAAATGTGATACATGTATATCATGGAATACTACACAGACATAAAAAAGAATGAAATCATGTCCTTTATAGCAACATGAATGCAGCTGTAGGCCATTATCATAAGTGATTTAATGCAGAAACAGAAAGCCAAATACCACCATGTTGTCACATATAAGTGGAAGCTAAACCTTGGGTACACATGGACATAAAGATGGGAACAATAGGCACTTGGGAATACAAGAAGGGAGAGGGAGGATGGAGATCAAGTGTTAAAAAGCTACCTATTGGGCACTATGCTCACTTCCTGAGTGACGGGTTCAATTGTACTTCAAACCTTGGCATCATTCAATATACTCAGGTAAAATATGTGCACATGTACCCCCAGAATCTAAAATGAAAGTTGAAAATAAATCACAGAAATGCTGGATTAAACCATCAAAGAACCTACTGCTTTAAGAGAAAAAAAATAACATTCAAACAAGCATAATATTATTCAAATGTAAACGAGTGAAGAATAATGTATCTTTATAAAGACTATTTAGCCCTGTGATTATCTGAAATTCAGATTTAACTGGGCATCCTATAATCTGCCCACCCAATATTTGGTCCCCACAATCTACATCAGTGACTCTCAACCCTGACAGCACATATAAATTCACCTGAAGCATTTTTAAATAAAACTCATGTCCAGGCTCCACCCCAGACAAATTAAAACAGAATCTGTGGTGATGAAGTGCAGGAAAGGATATTTTATTCAAAGTTCCCAGGTAATTCTATTGTTTGACCAGGGTTGAGTACTACTGGTCTACACAAGTCATATGTGACCATTCTGCTTCCTGTCATCCCTCCCACTGTTAATTTCATTCACCATTTTCTCTTCTTTGTCTCTAAGTACCTTTGTTCTATTTCTCTCCGGTTGTCTATAGTTTTACAAGTCTTTCTACCTTCCTAAATTCTTGGTTACTTTTTGACTTATTGAACACCCAGAGCCCAAACAGTTGATTTAGATAAAGACCATAATCCTCATTCTTAAAGAAGTAAGAAAGTTTGCATGTGGTGCTTGCGTGTGTGTGCATGTGTGTGGTGTGTGTGTGTGTGCATGTGTGTGTTATGGGTAGTATGAGTAAAACTTGTAATAACAACCAAGTTCATATGCTGTTTGATAGAGGTTCATTGCAGCATCTTTGGGCAAAACCACAGCATACTTTGAGTTGTACTAACAGCATAGACAGTTTAATGCCCACATTCATGTTAGAAAGCAACAACTCTACTCATTAAAATTGGGTTTAGAGTTCCATTTGAAACTATAATAATTTATGCTAACTGCAGTTGCAGTCTTCTTAGTTTATCAATTATCCTATCTAGTAATAAGAGATCATCTGTTTGAATTTTCTATATATTTCACAGGAAAGTTTGGGCTTGTCCATATTTTCACCTGACAGTTATCAATGCATAAGGATATAAGATTATCCTTCACAATAAGATTGTAGATAGGAGACCAATTTAAATGAATGTGTTAATTATTTTTTTCTAATTATGGCCATTAGCTGCTGATGATCTTTAAAAGCCATAATATAGTCTTCACTATAAGATTTCTCTACTTAGCCAACCACCCTTGCACTTGTCCAAGAAAACTCCAGAACTGAAAATCAATGGTACATAAATTGGAACCCCGCCTCTCTGCATAAAAAAGAAAATCTTTCCTTAGCTATTAATATTTTTGGTACTCCAAGCACAGGAAAGGCCCTGGAATTAAAATAAGGTTTCCAAAAATGAAGAAATCATTTAACAGATTGAGCTGTGTTATGTGAAAATACTTTTGTGTATCACAGAAACTTGTTTTGGTTCCTGAGCTTATTTATGTAACATTCAGTTTATTTAAGTGAATTATAAAATGTGGTAACACCTGGACCTTTTTATGTTGCTAGATTGCATTCTAAATTTATTTAATAAATCTTTATTGAATACATACATCTTCAAATATTTGATTTTTCATTTCAGATAAAATCTTCTACCTGTAGTTTAGACAGTTTAGAAATTAATATTCTATTTAATTTTTTAAATCTTCTTAATATGATAGTGGTTTATGATATACATAAACTAGAAAAAAATGAACATACAATATTTCTTATTCAGACATGAGAAAAAGGATGGGGTATTTTCAGACATAAAAACTTCATTTCTCTAAATTATGACACCTGTACTTTAAGTGCCTCTGTAAAGAGGACTGTCTTCTGGGGGAGATAGTTCATAGGAGGGAAACAGGATCTATCAGAAAAGCTGTTTACAATAAAACATTTTGACAGCTCGAGTAATTAAACGGGTTTCCCAGGTGCAAAGCAGTATCTTAAATGCCCCTCTGGCTATAATAGAACACAGATTTATCCTTCAGAAAAAGAAAAAAAAAGTCTACTGTGAAAACAAGTTAATAAAAGGAAAGGACACCTAGCTAAAATACTTTTCTAAAAATATTAGTAATTTAGTTAAGACATATAAAAAGAATAAAACAGTTTTTGCTTACATTAACACTGAAAAACATAGTTCTTTTAATGTTTTGGGAGAAAAAAAGAGATGTCAATTTAAGTCATGGATTTCTTTCTAAGCATATATATACTTGCCTCCATAAAGCCATGAATTAGTAGAAGTGACACAAAAATATGCAGACCAGCCCATTCTCTAGAATCTGATTATATATGTTTTTAAAAATAATTTGTCAAACCATTTGCTTCTCCTATGTACATGAATTTAATATCCTGACCATGGCATCTACACTAAAGATAAGAATTTCAAAAGGAAGAAGAGGTAAAATTCAATGATATACAGACAACTGAATTGATTGGTTAGAATTCTATTCTTTTAGTCAAATGCCATTGTATAGCTTATCTAGTAAAGGATTTATTGTTAGTTGTGCAATAGGAATTTAATAATTGCTTAATGAATGAACAAACAGAGAAAAAAGATGTTAGGGATTCATGAGGAATTATGGTTTTCTTTGTATTCTCATGTTTCACTCTTCCATTAAGGAGGATTTGTAAAAATAATCCCTTTATTTAGGCATGCCATGTTTGAGAAACATGCTTTTGTATTTTTAAAATATATTGGGCATTAAAAGAGTTATGCCTTAAATATTTATTAAATGCCTATAATGTATGCATTTCATTAGCATGTGTGGTAATCCCTTCAACAATTGTGTTTTCTGCATGCATGTGTGTGCATGCACAGAGAGAGGAAAAAAATTAGAAGAGTTTGGCTTGTTCTATTTTATTTCACTATTAACCATGGCTAACACTTATTGAGTACATTGAGCACATAGGAAGCGAGGTACTCTCATATATATTTTTAAAACATTGGCTCATTTAATCTTCCAAATGACATTATAAGAGAGAATGTATTTTTTATCTCCTCTTTACGAGAAAACTGAGAACCATACAGATAAAGTGAATTGCCCAAGATTACATAATACTGGAGCTGGGATTTGTGACCAAACATCCTAACTCCAGAGACAAGGGTTTTGACCACCACAAGACAGTGCCGCATGACTTACTTAATGACAGTGCCGCATGACTTACTTAATGACAGTAATGGCACAGAAAATGTAGATTAGCTTACACCATAATTGTGGTAGTTTACAGAAAAAGAGTTAGGGAGTCATAAAAAAGGAAAGAAAAGTTTGAGAGCTCAATAAAACTCCAAAAGCCTGGTGCCTGATGCTTGCAAAGCCCCATAATAACTGCTAAAGAAAACGCCCTACTGAGGATTTTGAAATAGCAGAAGGTTGACCTCATTATTTTTTTTTACTTTTATTTTACATTAAGTGGCTACATGTGCAGGTTTGGTACCTGGGTAACATTGCATGATGCTGAGGTTTAGGGTATGAGTAATCCCTTCACCCAGCTACTGTGAATAGTACACATCAGTTAGTTTTTAGCCCTGCCCTCTCTCCTCCCTCTCAGCTCCAGAGTCCCATGTCTATTATTGCCATCTTTATGTACAGGTGCACCCAAGATTTATCTCCCATTTGAAAGTGAGAACATGGTGATATCTGGTTTTCTCTTTCTGTTAATTTGCTTAGGATAATGGCTTCCAGCTGCATTGATGTTGCTGCAAAGGACATGATTTTATTAATTTTTATGTCTGTGTATTATTCCATGATATATATTTACCACATTTTCTTTATTCAATCCACCATTGATGGGCACCTGTGTCGATTCCATGTCTTTGCTATTGTGAATAGTCCTGCAATGACATGCAAGTGCATGTGTCTTTTTGGTAGAACAATTTGTTTTCTTTTGGATATATACCCCGTAAAGGGATTGCTGCGTCAAACGGTAGTTCTAAGCTCCTTGAAAAATCGCCAAATTTCTTTCCACAGTGACTGAACTAATTTGCATGCCCACCAACAGTATATAAGCATTCTTTTTTCTCCACACCCTCACCAACATCTGTTGTCTTTGACTTTTTAATAATAGCTATTCTGTCTTGTGTCAGATGATATCTCATTGTAGTTTTGATTTGCATTTTTCTTACGATTAGTGATGTGGAGCAGTTTTTCATGTGTTTGTTGGCTGCTTCTATGTCTTCTTTTTTTTTTTTTTTGAGAAGTGTCTGTTCATGTCCTTAGCCCACCTTCTAATGGAGTTATTTGTTTTTTGCTTATTGATTTGTTTCAGTTTCTTTTAGATTCTGGATATTAGACCTTTGTTGGATGCATAGTTTAAGAATATTTTCTTCCGTTCTACAGGTTGTCTGTTTACTCTGTTGATAGTTTTCATTGCTGTATAGAATCTCTTTCATCTAATTGGGTCCCACTTGTCAACTTTTGTTTTCATTGCAGTTGATTTTGAGGACTTAGCCTTACATTCCTTGCCAAGGCCCATATGAAAAAGGGTGTTTCCTAGGTTTTCTAGGAATTTTATAGTTTGAGGATTTACATTTAAATCTTTAATCCATCTTGAGTTAATTTTTGTATATGGTAAAAGGTAGGAGTCCAGTGTCATTCTTCTGCATATGGATCGCCAGCTATTCCAGCACCATTTATGAGATAGACAGTCCTTCTCACATTGCTTGTTTTTGTTGACTTTTTAGAAGATCATATGGCTGTAGGTGTGCAGCTTTATTTCTAGGTTCTTTATTCTGTTCCATCGGTCTATGTGCCTCTTTTTGAACCAGTAACATGCCATTTTGGTTACTGTAAACTTAAAGTGTAAATAAGTGTGTGTCAGTGGATGGTGGCGTTTCTGTGTTGCTGTCAGAACAAACTGTATGTAATTGGAAATCGCATGGGTTGTTCAGATAGCGTAAATCTGAACTAAATGAGAGATGAGAAGGGAGAAAGAACACAAAGGCACTGCAATGGTCTGGCAAGACTTCTGGACTATATTCTAGCCAAACAAGAAATGAGAGGATAGATGCCAAGGATGTGAGATAGAAGAGCCCAATAAGTACAGCTATTATTATCACTGACTATAGTTGCTGTGTTTGCCTTATTTTTAATAGCAAAAAATGCAATTAGTTTTGCAGCAACCTAAATAGTTACTGTGCTTGATTCTAAATGCTTGGGGGAAATGGAAAGGATTGTAAAGGCAGTAGCAACTAATGGTAGTAACAAGGTCAGCATAAAATTTCCAACAAAAAGAAAGCAGAAATAGATTTGTACATTTTTAAACCTTCAATCAGCAAATATTTGCTGAACATCTACTATGTGTTTTTCACTGTTCTAAGTGCATTACATAAATTAACCATTTAAATCCTCTCAAGAGCCTTATGAGATGAGCATTATCATTATTTTCATTTTACATATGGGGAAACTGAGGCACGGAATTCACATGGCTACAAACTGACAAGAGCAGTATTTGATCTCAGGGAGCCACTCCAGGCTTTCAAGTTTAACAATTTCCCATTGCTGCCTCTCAAGCATCTCTATCTCTTTAGGGTAAGAAAGTATTTCATGACACAGCAAAGAGATCTGAAGTAATAGAAGTCACTAGTTGAAAGTTTCTTCTACCTTAAAATAATGCCCAAAAGATTAGAATACTCATAAAATTCATGTGTATGTATTTTCTACCAAATACTATTTTCTGTTGACTTCTATGACCTGCTCACTGTGAAATTAATATTATAGCCAAAGAGATAAAAATATTCTGTAAGAAACTTCAACATTAACACCTATTTTTTATCTTCTAAAATATGTGTTTAAATAAAAAATAAGTGAAGGGGCAAATAGGTTTTAGTTTAAAATTATATTTACTGTTTACTGTTAAGCTAAAAAAAATCCTGTGGGTTATTGGGAATACTCACAGTAAACCATTCTGCCCCTGGCCCTGTGGTAAAGTTTCTAAACCTTCTTGACAGTTGATCCTCAAATATCTGGTATCAAATTCCCTCCAGATCCTTTTGCTGCTTATTTGATTGCCCAGCTGACCCAAAGTTCAACATTTTTAAATCTCTTAAGTCTGTTTTTACCTAAGGGCATAGAGAGGAAATGGCTTTAATTTATTCCTCTTCCTGCTACCGTGCCCCCATAATATGCTCTCCTAGCTGCACATGATCATTTTATCTTCTCATTGATAGTCAAGGAGGCTGCAAAGCCATTTAGCATAAAAAGAGCAGGTGGTACCAGATGTTAGAATACAAGACTCCATTACTTTGGGAAAAGGTACAAATCACCCAGGAAGGGTTCTTTGGTCCACAGAGCAGCTGGACTAATAAGGATTAGAGGTCTCGATAAGGGTGGTAAATTTTTTTTTCAGAATGAATAATCTTTCTCACATACATAGCTTTCTCAAGGCATCTGTTTATGTTTTTCTTCTTTAAAAAATGTCTCAAAGGGACTTGGTTCTCTCATTTGCTAAACATTAAACATATGGTTTTACAAAAATGGCCTTTGACTTGTTTAATATATCCTCGACCCAGGTAATACAAGTTGCAAACACCATGAATCTCACTATCTAAATTCTACACTTCGGTTTCTGAGAAATTTTCAAGGAAGGGCAGTGACTCCTAATCAAATGAAACAAGAGGTCGTGAGGTTCCCAAGAGCAGTGTCTGGCACAAAGATGGTGCCAAATGAGTTGGCAATATTAATTTTAATTATAATAACTATTAATTAAATACCTTCTGTGAGCCAAGTGATGCATACGAATATGTTTTTGATAAACTTCCCAATATACATATTATATCTCTATTTATAGGCGCATAAACTGAGGCTCAGAGAAATTAAGTAACTGACAGCCAGTTAAGTCTAAGCTGGTCTATTCCGATTCCTATGGTCCTGGTTGCATTTTAGTTGCCTGATATGGCAGAAATTCCGCTAAGATATGCAAATAATATATAGTGTTCAGTAGTCAGCCTGCTCAGATGGAATGGAAGCTTTTTTTCTTTAATGAAAAAGTTCTAAGCCCTTAAATCCCACTTTGCAGAATAAGACTGCATTCCTCTTAATGACACACAAAAAAACTCACTCATTAACATTCATCATGATACCTGTGGATGATCCCTTGGAGGGCATCAGAGGAGGGACAATGTACTCTTCTCTGCCTGCAATTAGCATTAAAGGAGACAGACAGGAGACATGCTGATTATCTGTGAAAGCATGATTAGGATAAGCAATATAATAGAGGTACCAGTAAAGTTCTATAGGAGATATAAAGGCATAGAAAACACTTGATTCTGCCAAATGGGGTCAATGAATAATTGCAAAAGAAGTGATATTTGAGTTGAGCATTGAAGGATAAATAGAAATTTGACAGGTTAGAGAAGGTGAAGAAAATATTCGGGTCTTATATATTCAAAACATATTTAGGTACTAAAGATACAATGATGAATAACACCATGGTCTCATTTTAGTGGGAGATATCACAGTCTAATGAGAGACAGATATTTAGATGACCTGGTATGTATCAAGATGCAAAATATGACTCTTTTGAGTCAGTTTACTCTGCAACTCAAAGGCCAAGAACAAGTACTTCCACATTTTAACATTAGGTACTAGACCAACTGTGAAGAAAATGATAAGAGTCTATAAAATTAGGCCTGCCAGCATTAAGGAATTAAGGATTGACAAACTCCGGGTGGGAGAGGAAAGAGACAGAGAGAGAGAGAGAGAGAGAGAGAGAGAGAGATAGAGAGAGAGAGAAACAAAGAGGAGAGAGAGGGAGGGAATGTGGGATTAGGAGGAGAGAATGGTACTCAAATGTCAAGAAGGAGGGATTTCTTTAGAGACAATTGCATAGTATTTTGTATCTTCTTTTTCTGCCAAACAATCAAATGTCCCCTAGAGCTTAAGGTGCTAGAATCTGATTCTTGCTAAGAGAGTCTAAGGGGAAGAGACTGAGGCTACAGTTGCCTCTGCCTGACAGTCCAAGTCATCCCATGAGGGAGCTCACTGAAGCTATCAAAAAGCTATACAGTGGAAAGCAGCAGAGAAGGCTCAGCAGCAGAGAGATGGCTGCACCTGAGGAAGGAGTCATGAGTCAGAGAGAGGCGTGTGTTTGTCCTGGTAATTGCAGCTGAACTTTCCTGGGGAGGAGGGGTGTGTCATTTAGAAATCCCAAAAAAGGCACCCATGAAATAAAAACAAAACAAACAGCAATTATATTTCTGCAACAAAAGCCAAATGATAACTGTAATGTATCATCCATTTTTTACTCTTCCTGGGCTTGAAACTATTGTAGTCAGAACACTGCAGGAGTGGCCAGGAGGATAGAGAGAAGCCTGTTACCCTGCAGGTTCATGCCATCCTGTCCCACAGCCAACTTCCAGATCTGAAACCTTGCATCTCTGGGGTAGGGGTGACAGGAGAAACTTTAATTTGAATAAAGTTTGGAGTTCTGGTTATTGGTATGGATTGGACATTTTAAATCTTGAAATGAGGCACTTATAAAACAAAGAAATTGGCAAGAATATAAATAGTTCACAGAGCCTTAATCAAAACCAAAACTTAGAATATTTAGTGCCTAAAGTCATATAACCCCACATGCAAATAAAATGACCATGGAAGATTTGACAGAATCCCAATGTCTTCCAAGAATGAACTGTGAATTTTTCTGTGACTATTTCCTTAAGTATTCTTTCCATTAATTGAATATTGATCAATAGTATGGAGTAGTGAGCTCAAAGGCATAGTTTTGACTAGTAGAGCACATCTTTTGACTAGTGCTTTCTTCTGACAGAGAGCAGATGTGCTATTCTTACTGGTGCCATGAGGCAGTTACATAGCGGTTTAGGCTTGAGTCTTCCCAGCCTTGAACATGTACAAGAATCATCTAGGTATCTTGTTACCCTGCAGATTCTAATCAATGGGTCTGGGGTGGGGCCCAAGAATCTGCATTTCTGATATGTCCTGAGGTGAAGTCAACGTTGAAGAGTTTAGAACTCTTCATTTTGGGAGCCAGACACTCTTCTCTTCAGTCTTCTAATTGTTCTCCTAAAAATTAACCAATTTTACCAGCCCATTTTTAATGGGCTCAGCTATGACTTTTCTGAGTTTTGCCCTCACTTACCAGTATCTTATTTGAGAACGTAGGAATTATAAGAGCTTAACCTACTCACCCACTGACTCCGCTTCTTTGAAAAATAAGTCAATTTTGGTTTCTCTATCTCTGAAAACAACTGAAAAAACTCTAGGTTTATGGAGAAGCAAGAGAAGCTGAGATTTTTTCCATCGCTTCAAAAGAGAACCAGAGACTATTAAAATCACTCTAGGACAATTTAATTGCCTTGCATGGCTAAGGCAATGATGTTGTTTCTAAATTTTTATAGACTTCTCCCTGAACCTGAACCTGAACCTGAAGAACCTGCCTCACTTCAACTATTCTCACCTTCCACCCAGTGAATGTGGCATTGCCTTTGACTCTCAAGCTCCTTTGGCCATAATTCAATGCTATTTTCCCTAGGAATGGTCCATAATTACTCTTATCCCATTGATTTATTAATGAGCTCCACTCTAGTGGCAGAGACTTGAAACTGGAAGCCAGCAGACTCCCTGGCTCCTAGAAAATGACTGGGCATCTCTCACTTGATGATGGTTGAAGCAGTTTGGGAGTTTAAGGACAAGCTATTCAATCAGAATTTAGGGCATTTTCACAATGCCAAGGCTACACACACACACACACGTGCGCACAAACACATAAAATCCATGACTGAGATGCCCCTCTGCTATAATATGGGGGTTGAGATCATTAAGGTAAAGATTGAATGTACCAGATGAATAAGCCTTTTTAATTCATCTGAAAAAGATCTGCACTTTGAAAGGTTATATTTCTTTATGTTCAAAGTCACAGATTGATTTATTGATTTATTTATTTGGGCATAGCCCTAAACCCAAGATATTTTGTCTGAGCAAAGGGTAAATGGGCCACACCTTTCTCTGTCAGCCTCAGAGGAACCCAGTCCAAATACCACAGCTCATATAACAGGAATTTGTTTTTTTCTAGTTGGGATTCAGGTCCCTGCTAAATCGGATGTGATTTGCTTTAACATGTCCATAACCTTCTGTCAAAGTGCATGCTACCTTTTTTGGATGTCTGGCCACCTTTTGAAGATCTTTTAACCTTTATTTGTACTTGCAAGTTAATTATTTCTGGGGAGCTAAATGCCAAGATTGGCAGCCGTTCTAGTAGGACACGACCTGAAACCAATGAGAAGTAAAAAGAATTGTTTTCCTCTAGGAGTAAAATGTAGCTTGAGGATTTAATCTAGAGGAAACCTTATCCATATTTCCAACATGGACGTCAACACCATTGATTGAATAATAGTTTCCCTTGCTGCCTTAGGTTAACTAGCCCAAGTTTGGTAAAAAATCATCCTTTTCACCATACTTTAACTTTTAGCATAGACTTTTCTGGAACTATTTTCCACTCCTAGCTCCTTTCTGACATTAAGGATTTAAAAGAAAATGAGAGGAAGAAACTTTCAAATCATATTAAGAATCTTTAGTTCTCCAAAGATATTTTATCATCTTTATGCTACACACAGGTTTACTTTATTCACATATTCCAATGTGTGAACATTTGTTTTTATGTACAAAACTCATGTTCTTACATAATTTATTGCTAATATTTATGTTTGAAATGTTCGCTAAGAAAACATTTAAAAATGAATATTTGCCTAGTAAAGTTTGTTCATTTGGGATTTTGTTTTGTTTCTTTAAGCAGCAAATGAATCATTACATGAAACTCTAATGCTTGCCTGGTAGAAGGCGGGGTGTGGGAGAGGCTCTTCTTTTTCCTCCCACCCCTGGGGCAACCTCTAAGGCAAGTCTTCTGTATTCTCCTCCAGAGGCTCTGTAGAAGACAGTTCAAAACCCCTGCCCTGATACACGTATCATATGATTCCAAAATCATTTCTGCATAGGGTTTCAGGAAAATTTCTGTTGGTGAGGTTAGACAAATTTGTATTGTTACATGTGAGCTGTAATAATTCAATGAACAAAAGGTGGTTCCAGAGTATGTCATTTTTAAAGTTTGTCAGTTTTTGCATTTGGCACATTGCAAGCTAATGAAAATTACTGCTACTTTGGGAGAAATACTCAATGAGGGATGTTTATTACAATGACACAATGTAAGGAACACATTAAGGCAAGCTATTTCTCACATTTTCATTCTTTCTAAATTCATTGCCTTTTTATGCATCCATTCTTGTTTCTACAGAAACTGATTTGTAGTTTCAAAATAATAAATATTCATCTCATATGGATTTTTAAAGGTGACTGATTTGTAAAAATCAATAACTGTCTTTTGCCAGCTCGTGGACTGACATGATTGCCTTCATTTTCAAACATAAAACGATTGCATTAAAATAACATTAAGAGACAAACATTGGCTGACACAGGAAGAGAATTCTTAAATGAAAACTGCTCCAGCCAGCTTTAATCAGTTCTGATCATGCTTTTTATTATAGTGCAAATGGGCTCTATTAAAAGGAAAGCCAATTCCAGATGATGATGCAAATAATTATAGCTGCCTTTAGCCTCTAGTTAGTGGTATTAACTAATGGTTTCAAAACGTGAGATTTATTTTAGAAAGAACATTTTCCTTTAACAATGAAATGGGAAATTGGGCTTTGTCTATCTAATGTTAAATATACAGATAAAAACTGAAAAAGAAATTAGTCTTTTTTTGATATTTGAAAATATAGCAACTATTGACTAAATTACTTAACATGGATAAACTTAAAGTTCATTAGTTCAGCAATACCCAGACTAGCTTTGGCTCTATGTTCCATTAAGTGTGAGAAATTCTGTATACTCTCTTTACCCTGCCCCTTTCTACCATTTGAGATTATAATATGTGTTCACACATTAAAGGCCCTTAGAAATTTTTCAATAAAGATCTATGTCTATCTTGTTTTTCCTTTTCTTTCCTCCAGTCAGTTTGAACATGAAATGTTTTTAAGACATATAAGTTAATATTCTATCTTACAGCAATATGGAGTATTCCCACTTCAGAAATTCTGAATGAATTTATCAACTACGGCTCTATTTTTTAACAGATAGTGATACACAAATCAAACATCCAGCCACTCAGTCATAAAAATTGCAATTATGGAATCAAAAGTTCTAAGTCAAAACAATAATTTAAACACAAGTGTAGGCAAACATATAAATATTGTGTCTAAAAACATCGATCATTGAAACATTTCTCTGGAAATACTTGATTTTTCACTTATTTGAGATCTAATGAAACTTAAATCAGCTTGTTCTCAATGCTGTCCTTCTTAGCATTGATACATTAATTCATTTAGCTTATATATACTTCTATTATTTCTTATGTTGCAGAAATCCCCCCCTTTTTTTTTTTTTTGCCTTTGTCTCCCAGTGGCAGGTATGGAAATGTGTTATTCAGTTGTCCCTTCAAGAAAACAATTGTTCAGCTGTAAATGGTGTAGTGAGCTGACAGCCTCCAGCTGTTCCCTCTGCAGGATCTGCCTCAGCTTTCAAGCCAAGGCCATGCTTTTCCTGGGCAGTGCCTAGTGATCTAGCTCTGCAGGAGCATTTCCGTGCATGCAAGATTCCTCTAACAGGCAGTCTTTGCTCTGGAGCTCCCCGATTTTGTTGGCCAAGATTCTGTCAGGTCTGCATCATGACCTAAAGCTTTCCCTGCCTAGACCTGCTTCCTCCTCCTCCTCCTATTTTTTGTGAGCATTACCTCCAATAAATCTCTCACACTCCTAACTCTGGCTCAGCATATGCTGCCAAAAGGATCCTACTGACATTTCCTTTTTAGCTTCTAAGACACTTTAGAGACAGAGTCGTGTCTTTAACATTGCATTCCAACTATCTCTCAAAAAAGGCTTAAATTAGCACTCCATAATCAGGTAAATTTTCAGTATAATTAGACAGATATAGGTATAGATGCTGATGTACATGCCACATCTGAACTACTTTTTTACCTGGGTTGGGTATATATGAGTGCATGAGTGAGTGCTGTGCAGAAATTAGTAGAAGATACTGTGTGAAAGAGTTAAATTCATTGTGATACAGGCTAAATTTTGCCCATTTCTCAAAGGATTTCTAATCTGGATAACCCCAACTGAGGAAATCTTGTCCTAACACCATCTATGAGTTCAGGTTATTAGAATATTAGAGTCCACCTGTACCAGTGGAAACCATTTTAGGTATTTTAATCGAAAAGACAGATTTTGAAAAAGGCATCATAAGAAGATTAATTCAACATTTGCGTGCATAATAGATGGAAAGAGCGAAGACTTAAAGCAGAATCATTCTAGGAGGCAATTACAGCAATCATTTTGGATCATCATCATCAAACAGATACTGGCTGATGCCTACAACATGCCAAATATTTTACATACATTTACATGTTTAATCCTCAGCCTGAAGTATAGATATTAAAGATAAGGGAAGAAAGTTTGAAGTAGAAAATTTGTCTACCTTCTTTCTGGTAGAAAGTCAGTAAGTGAAAAGTTGAACCTAGATCTACTTTACTCCAAAACCTACAGTCTTTTTGGGATATCTAACTGCCTCCTATGGAGAAATAAGGATTCCTCTAAGACTAGAATTGTTTTTAATGACTTAGTCTAAGTGAAAAAACAGAAAGCATCACTCTGAGACATGTGCTTCAGAACAGATGGGTAAAGAAAGACAAGGCATGCTCTGATGGAAAATGTGAATACAAATGAGCAAGAGGTCATTGCCAAGAAGTCTGGAAATCTAGAAAAATGGAAGTCCATATAGGGATCTCCATCATGGTGCTTGGAGAAGGCAATATTTGGGTTAAAATGCTACAATAAATAAACCAAGTTCAGAGACAAAGAAGTCAAAGCGAAAATATAACGGGAAGTCCAGTAAATATATCAAGTTTGGTCTTCAGAGAAGTCTTCTAAAAAAGGGGTCAGCAAATCATGGCCCATAGGCCAAATTTTGCCTGCTATCTGTTTTTGTAAATAAAATCTTACTGAAACACAGCCATTTGGCCCACAAAGTCTGAAATATTTACTTCTGACCATTTACAGAAAAAGTTTGCTGAAGCTTATTCTAAAAGGCTTTTGTAATTGGACTTGTGATAATAGATATAAAGTAAGGGTTTGCTAAATACTATCCGTAAAGGGCCAGATAGTAAACATTTTAGGCTTTGGAATAACAAATGGTCTCCACTGTATAATCCTCATTTTCTGTTTGTTTGCCTCTTTCCAATCATTTGCTTCTTTCCAATCATTTAAAAATGTAAAACCATTCTTAGTTCATGGGCAAGCATAACACAACCTGCAGCCCAAATTTGTTCTCCAATTCATTATTTGCAGATTCTTCCTTTTATTTTTAATTTTATGGGTGCATAGTAGGTATATATATTTATGAGGTACATGCAACGTTTTGATACAGGGATACAATGTCTCATAAATCACATCAAGGTAATTGGATTATCCATCATCTCAAGCATTTACCACTTCTTTGTATTAGGAACATTTCAATTTTACTCTTTAACTTATTTTAAACATACAGTAAATCATTTTTGACTGTAGTCACCCTGTTGTAGAATCAAATGCTAGATTTTATTCATTCTATCTAACTATTATACCCATTAACCAACTCCATCTTTTCCTACCTCTGCACTGTCCTTCCCAGCTTCTAGTAGCCATCATTTCACTCTGTATCTCCATGAGTTCAGATATTTTAATTTTTAGCTCCCACATATGAGTGAGAACATGTGAGCTTTTCCTTTCTGTGCCTGGCTTATTTCACTTAATACAATGTCCTCCAGTTTCATTTACGTTGTTGCAAGTGACATGATCTCATTCTTTTTATGGCTGAATAATATTCCATTATGTATGTGTAATAAATACACAGGCATACTGTATGTGTAATAAATACACAGGCATACTGTATGTGTAATAAATACACATGCATACTGTATGTGTATTTAGGCTGCTTATAGGCTCTCTGCAAGAAGAAAAATATGGCTCTTTTTGCCTGACCCTGCAGGCAGTCAGACCTTATGGTTGTCTTCCCTTGTTCCCTAAAAATCGCTGTTATTCTGTTCTTTTTCAAGGTGCACTGATTTCATATTGTTCAAACACATATGTTTTATAATCAATTTGTACAGTTAACACAATTATCACAGTGATCCTGAGATGACATACATCCTCAGCTTACGAAGATAACAGGATTAAGAGATTAAAGTAAGACAGGCATAAGAAATTATAAAAGTATTATTTGGGAATTGATAAATGTCCATGAAATTTTCACAATTCATTTTCCTCTGCCACAGCTCCAGCTGGTCCCTCTGTTTGGGGTCCCTGACTTCCTGCCACAACCAGTCATATTTCCTGGATCAATGCTCAGTTTTGTAATAATAAGGGATGCAGAAAGTCAAGAGAAGTCTTATCTCCTATCACTGTCTGATTGCTCTGCCCTTCTTTATGAGTCTAATATTGTAAAATATGTGTGTATGGTTATACAGCCATATTTTGAATTGATAATTCATCCTGCAATAATGAAATAAATAGCTAAAGTTCATTGAATGCCTTGTGTCACATACCCTGCAAGGTACTTTATTATCTCATTGACTCAACAGAGGACTCATGTTAAATGAGCACTGTTCTCATCCCTGCTTCACATATGAGTAAACTAAGGTTTAGAGAGATAAAGCAACTAACTCAAAATCACATAGCTAGCATGTGACAGCTCTTGGATATGAACTCAAGTCTATCTGACCCGACAGGCAATCTCTTTCTCTCTGCACTGTACTACATTTGTACTGAAGTACAATAGTGCCCTTTGTCACTCTGATACCTTTCCTGAAGGGGTTTTATGACATTTTATAATGACTTCCAAATATCATGAAAAGGAAAAGATATTAAGAGAGCATCTGAAATGTATCAATAAATTTTGGATAGTTTTGAAAACATAAACTTATGATTCATTTTCTTTCGGCTGTGTTAATAGAAGTCCCTGGAGGTTAATTGGTTAATTTAAGATATTAAAGAAATGTTCAAAGTATATAATATAGAAATAAATTGTTGGATTAAAATGGCTTTTATTATGTAATTAATTTTTTCAGATCCTTTAAATCTAAAAAACTGGATGTTTCCATACAGAATTTCTATTTTATATGTTATCCTCACAAAACATAACAAAAATGTTCAGAGACTTATTTGAGAAGAATTCATAATGATGCTAAAAATGTTAAGAAATTGTCTGAGTTAAATGTGATAAAATTCAGTAAGAACAAATGCAAGGTAGTGCATGTAGGATGGATTAATCCTTCCCCTAAATATAAAATGACGGTGTATCCTGAATAGTGATACAGGAAAAAAGACTTAAGATCAACAGCAAACCATGCACTGATCATAAGGATCTAATCACGTAGATTCTTACAATGAGAATACATTGAAAAAACTTAGCAGAAATATTTTCCTGCTTTCAGATGTTGAAAACCCCACAGGCAGAAATCTCATAGTGAGTTAATATCATTGACTGTACAGCATAAATATAACCTTATAATATACAAGGCATTTTGCTTCATAATTTATATACATTATCTCATTCGATTATCACACAAAACCTATATTCTCATACTTGAAGATGAGTAAACCAAAGCTCAGAGAAATATGTGTATATTTTTGCTAAAATATGATTATCTAAAAGAACTACATTGAAACCATGATGGTCTAATCTTCTTTAGTAATGCCAAAGTATCCATTTTTAAAGTTAAAATATGACTGTTACACAAATATAGAATGAACACATGCCAAAGATTTATTAACTTATTAATGTCATTAGTTTTTAACTTGTTTACACATTATTAATTTATAACTTATTACCATTATTTATTAATGGTAGAGCAGTTTGAGAAAGTGGATTTTATAAACATTTTTAAAAGGGAAGTTAAAACTTCTAAGGTAGATACAAAACTAAATAATATCCTGTAGGGCAATAAAAAGACAACCTTTGGGGGTTATCTTTTCTATTAGACTATTTACATCTTTACCAGACAAGGTCTACAGATCAACTTGCAACTTCATCAAGTTTGAGCCCTTAAATAATAGTAAATAACAAAGTCAAATAAAAGTATATGCTTCAGGCACTTAGACAATCTGTGGTTGTTCAGGAGAACCACCTGCCATGGTTTTTCAGGAACAGAGGGGTTTCCCAGACATTGGATTCTTAGAGCTAAAACCAGGAAAGACCCTGGAAACCCAGCATATTTGATCTCACTAACAGTGCCCTGGAATGACACTGAAAGAACATGCTGCATCCTCCTGACCTTATTTCCAGAAAATTTTTTTAACAGTGAGATTGCAATAATGGTATTCTATCTTGATAGTGACTTCAAACCTTGGAAAAGCTAAGAATATATAGACATTTTTGGGTTTACCTTAATTTGCATTAAACCCACAAAGAATAAGATTTTTTTCCAGTTATTCATTAAAATGCTGCTGCTCAGGATAGCAAAGTCTCTAAGAAGTGGCACAGTAGGTTTCTACTATAGTACATTTAACACGGCCTCAATTTGGCCACCAGTGAAGAGCAGCACATGAGATCCTTCTTTACCTACTTGATGTCCATCTTCTCACACTTTGTGTTTGTATGTTTGTGTTAAGCTACAATGCAAAGATAACCTGTTTTAAAATCATCACCTCTGATTTAGTTACTATTCTGCATTCAATGGGAGAAATTTATCCAAGCTAAACTAAAGGGGCTTTGATTTTGTTTTTCTTTCTCCTTTTTTCTTTGTAAAAAGGAAAAACCTAAGAGAGATTATCTAATGTCATCAAATTCTGGAATATTGCATATCCACAGCCATCAAACTTAGGTTTGTCCCCTCTTCTGTGCCTTTGCTCTCCACAACTCCATTACTCCATTCAAATATGCTCAATGTTTGGTTTCTCAGAGTGTCATCTTGCAGACTTGAGACTTGATAGGGAGTCCTAGGCAGTAGATGCGGAATGGCAAAGGGAGGTAACTGGGCGGATATATCTGAGAGCAGCTCAACTTTGCAGAACCTAAAGACCTTGGGATGGTGCAGAAAATTCAGATATGAGTTCCTGAGACCCCCCCAGGAAGGTAGAGTTGCACTATAAGGTCTGAGAGCTGGCAGACTGGAAGAGGCCCAGCTATACTTAAACACTTCTCTGCCTTCCACCAAACTTGCATAATTAGCACATCCAGTTAGTTGTCATGCCACTAACAGAAACCACCCCTGTCGGAGGGCAGTCTATGGTAATCTATCTTTTCTTGAGCCTGCCCAT
The DNA here is from genome assembly GCF_000001405.40 of Homo sapiens. Lineage (NCBI taxonomy): Eukaryota > Metazoa > Chordata > Mammalia > Primates > Hominidae > Homo > Homo sapiens. The sequence continues at coordinate 180,685,625 of NC_000002.12, forward strand.
TATCATCTCACTGCCATATCCAAAATTGCTCCTCAAACAGTTTTTCCAAGCCCCCTCAGTAATTTTTCTGAGTGTAGTTATGACAATATAAATTTATTCAACTCCTTGCATAATACAATTTGAGTCAAATTGCAGGATGACACCACTTCTTAAGAGAACAGTGCAAGAAAGCAGAAAAATAAGACAAAGTAGAAATAATTCAGAGAAAACAAAAACCTTGCTAATATCCTTCTTTTGAAGACTGGGGCTGAAGCAAGGGTGGACTGAGAGTAGAGATAGGTATTATCTACCTGGGAGTCACTTTTCTAACCACAGAAAAAAAATAATACTAAGGACACTAAGCATTGCTGCTAAACAGTGTTTTTTTATTTTTTTTTATTCTGATCTAGTGCCAGCAGGGGGGAAAAATAGTAATCTCCTCGGAGCCATTGTCATTGCTGAGGACCAAGAACAGCAAAAAAGCTGTCTGCACAGAAATGCTAAACCCCAAAATAAGAAACATAGGACATTTCTGCAACCCAAATTCTCACAAATGCACCAGTCTATCCCTAGATCAAGGAAATAACTGAAAATCTGAAAGGTATCCAGCTGAAATTCAAGGACAGTTCTTCACTGTAGCTGAGCTGCCCTCCAGCTTTGAAAGAACCTTGTGTGAAGACGTGACTCTGACCAGTCTCCCCAAACAGCTGAAGAGCAGAACACAAACCATGAAGTGTCTACACTGAGTCCATTTTCCAAGAGGTATATGAAAAGATTTTAAGGTCAACACAGAAAATAAACCTACCCAGGCTATTTTTAGGCTCATAGCACCTTCCAGGATACATCATGCACTTGATGTTTGGAGTTGCAAACCCTGAATGTCTGAGATAGCATGATGGTATATATCTAAACCCCTCCAAGGATAACAGCTATAAAGCACAGGGGAAACTGCCTGGTATTCTGGAATCCAACTGTGATGGGGGTAGGGCTGGGGAAGGTGAGGCTTGGAAGACCTTCCTACTTCCTTCAGGAGTACCAATAACAGGACCTTATTACTCCCATTTCAATTACCAACCTAGCTACATTAGTCTTGCAGTTTAAAAGACTTCACTTCTAATTCAGGCAGAGGCAAACTTTCAGACCTATTTTCTGGTACCTTTGTGACTTGTTTTTTTTCTCTGTCTTTAAAGGTGTCTTCTGTGGAAATTGAGAACAGGTGTGCCAGGGGCTACTAGACAAATGTCATTATTTGTCTTTAAACTGCTTCATGTCATCATTTGATACTATTTGCCCATTAAATATGGGCAAATAGTATTTGTACTATTACGTAGACCCAGAAAACTATAAATTATATTAATCTTTGTTCCCAAGGCCAGTGTTTTTATTTCTTTTTTGGTAGCCTCTAATTATTTTCTTTTTTGGTAGCCTCTAAATTAGCCTCTAATTAGGGGAGCATCTATAAATAAGTTATTTTAATAAGTTAAAAAATAAATGCCACTTTAAGGAAAAACTTTAATTGGCTAAATTTTGTCCTTAAGCTTTTGCCAGATATTAAAAAGAGAGTGAGACTGAGAGAAAAAAGACAGATCAAATGAGTCAAAAACTACTACTTAAACTAGTCCTAGAAAGTCAAAGCTTAAGTGGGGGACATTAACTTCTAATTTAAGTCTGTTCCTACTCATTTTTCTCTAGCAGGTCCACATCTTCTGTGTCCTTTGCACATGTTAGTACTAATGCCTATCTATGCTTTGCTTCTTTTTATTTTCCCCAGTTGGAATCCCATCCTATTTCCACCATCTAGATCTCTCCCTTTTTTTAGAGCCTGACTCCACCCTTCAATGCTCCAAAGAACATTCTCCACTAAATGTCATCAGGCTATAATGGTACATTTCTTTATATTATTTCACCTATGCCATTTTATATGTCATACATACACGCATACACACACAAAACACACACACACACACACACACACACACACACACACACACGCAATTTCTACCCAACAATATGAAACAATTTCTTTTAAGAAAGGGACCAATTCTTTGATTGATTTTATATTATTAAAAATACCCCTTAAAACAATATACTATTTTTCCACATTGTGGAATAATACATTTAAAATAAAATAGACTTTTCAGATAGCTGGAGTTTTTATTCTGGGAATTCCCAAGAAAGAAAGATAGCTGAAAATACAGAGAGGATAGGCATCGTCAGGGAGGTTTCAGTTAATTGGATAAGGTATGGCTCATTTGACTAATTCCTCTTCTTCCCTGAATTCAAGGTTACTTTTATCTTGACTGCTTGAGCTCATGGTATTACTCTTCAAGCAAACTTTAGGAGACTCACAGGACATGAGACTAGATTTCAACTTACAGATTTTCACTTAAGCATAATTTTCACAGCAAAAGAGAAAAATCAGAAGTAGGATATGGCATGAAGCAAAGATGGCAAGATAGATAATATGTGATCAGCTGTGGCTTTAAAAAAGAGAGAGAGAAAAGAAAACTACTGTGGGGAAGGGCAGACGGAAGAGGGAGAATGGTATGGGAATCAACTAGGGAAAATAGTAGATTTTACATCATTTTAAAAGATATTTTGCTAGACAGGAAAAGAAGTCAAGGTAGGTAACAATTCAACCCAAGAAACATAGATGAATGAAATACAATAAATGTTGGACCTATCTGCTATCTTGTGATTCCTTCTGCCTGGTTTTGTCTTTCACTATTTTCTCTTAACTAATAACTTCCAAAATCTCAGGGACAAACTCTAATCTTCTGTCTCCAAATAACAAATATAAACATTTATTCAAGACTTAAGAATCAGGATATTTGTGTTAGAATCCTAGCTCTGCAGTTGTAAGCTGTGTCTTTAAATAATTCATTCAACTTATTTGACCTTCAGTTTTGTATTTGTAAAATGGGCATAATAATAGTGCCTAAAGTTGTGAGAATGTTACAAAATACCATGAGAAAATGCCTTGAAAATATAAATCTTTATGCAAATATAAAGACTCCTAAGTATATTTTAATATGAATATTTTTATGTCAAATTCAGTGTTTTAAAACACATTTAATAGCTTACCATCCAGAATTGTTTCTTTTTCTTTATATTTTTAATGCTGTTAGCTTTCAATTGTTGTCTTATCCAGCTGGAATGAAAACTTAGGGTTATCTTTGAATCCTTCCCATCTTTAAATATTAACTAACTGCTGCCTGTTATTACTTTGCAACACTGGAGATGTGAATCTCTTTCCATTTTGACTGTTTTTGTGCCTCTTTTTCTCTAGAAGATTGCCTTTGGCACACTACTGTGCAGCTCATTCATCTAAACCTCTGCTCCTACCATCTTACCTCCCTTACAGATTGTTTCAGTAGCTCCTCCATTTAAAGTAAAATTTCCTCAATTAGGCCTTATCATCAGCCACAATCTTACTCTGCCTTAACCTTTCAGAGTGTGTTTCCCCTTATGAATCCTCTGGGCCTCCCAAATGTTTTCTTTCAATCTATCTAGTATATCATGAATAATGGGTAACAGTGTTATAGGGGATGGTTGGGCTTAAGGCCCTAAAACTATTAAAATGAATATAGTCGTATGAGTAGAGAAGACAGCATATAATTTCATAGCATCAGGGCATTCTTAAGACACCTGGGCTATTGTCTGCTTTTTTCATTTTGTCCATGTACATAAATGGTTCATACAATATTAGTTTTGGTTAAAAATAGCTTCTAACTAAAACAATAGACTTATGATGAAAACGAATATGGGAACTTGGATATCTATGGCCAAAATTCATCCAAATCAAGTAATAATAGTTTTTAAGATGATAAAAAAATTATACAAAACTAGTTCCTAAACACACACACATACACTGCCCTTTAATATTATAATTTTGTTTCTCTGAATAGAATTGAAAAGAACACTCAGCCACATTGTTGTAACATGTTGGATCCTATTATTTTTAGGTTGCTAACCAATACCAATTTGCACCAAAAGAAAGAGTTACAATTGATGAAAAAAATTAAACAGATTCAAGTTTGATTTTATCACAGTTTTAATCCCTTTAACACAATATTTCATTTTTTTATGTCAAACACCCATTGAACTCTGTTTTGTGGATGTTTTGTTAAAGCATATTGTCCTGACATTTAATGCAAGCAAGTCATTGTTAAAGACATCTCAGTGTATCCTGCCATTATCTCTTCCTTCTGTTAAATGGTCACTGGATACATCAAGTCTACCTCAGAGATGGCTCCAGAATGATGGTTATCTGTCCAGATATAGGCCAAATGAATGTCTGTAAGGAATCAAGTCATTTTTCAGAAAACAGCACTACCCAACTTCAGCTCATGAAAAGGTCCCAAAGTTTTTCATAGACATGATTACTGCCTGGAAGTTTTTCAAAGCAAGAATAATCAATAGCCCAAAAGAACCCCAAACTGAGCCTCAAATCTCCTCTGTTGGTAATGCTAACGTGTATAATTAGGACATAATGTATTTCTGTTAAACTTTGTGCATGATTTGAAGATGCTAATGATAAGAAGTTCTATTTTGGACAACTGTGTATTACTCCTGGATTAGCTGGAGATAGTAGATGCAGTAGATACCCAGTGATGGAGACTGCACAACATGGTGTCCTCCCTCAGTTGCTTTAGGGTCACACAAGAAGACACAGAGCACATGGACGTTGAACTTCATGATAAAATACAAATTGTGTGATGCAAATAGCTAAGTGGTTGTGCATAACAAATACTGAACAAACGGATAGAAAATGGATTCCAGGGAGTTTGCAGTATCACTCACCATGGTTGGAAGAGGGTATTGGGGCTCAGTCAATCTTAAAGTTACATGAACACTTTTTATTTGATACCAGATGTAACTGAACAATGTTCCTTTTGATGTATGAGGCCAACCAAAATATCACCTCCAGGTTTTCTTTTCCCTTTAATGCAGGAAATTTAATTTGGTAGGAAAATATAGGTCTCTTCTCACCTTCTTCAGTTTCCTCCCTCCCTCCCTTCCTCCCTCCCTTCTTTCCTTCCTTTCTTCCTTCCTTCCAAGTCTTAGTACATATATAGAGAGGCATTCTGGCCATTAGTTTTTCATGAAAGTAGTTTATTCCTGAATCATAGGCTGTTTACAGTCATTGTACAGCTTGCATATATTTATCTTTAATCATCAGTTGCCTGGGAAATGATACAACATAAGATGTTGGTATGAGACAGATATTCTTCTCTCTTCCATTGTTCTCTCTCTCTCTCCCTGTGTGTGTGTGTGTGTGTGTATGTGTGTGTGTGTGTATTTATAAGGAAAGACTGCTGCTGTGTTAAATAATCAGATGTAATGCTTATAAGTATTTTATATAGTATTTCAAAACACAGACCCATAGCCAAGGAAAGTATTCCCTGTTATGATATTGCTGCTTAACAGTAAACCACTAATAGTATCCCTGAATCCCTGGGTGGTATTAGAAACAAGTCAGCACACCTGAGCTAAGGAGAATACATTTAGGTGGAGTTATACTGGATTTCAGCCCCTTGTTTCTCAGAGTCAAGGAGAGGGAGATAAGACAGTAAAATATGGCTTTTCAGTGGGTCATTTTGAGAGGTGACAGCGTGCTGGCAGTCCTCACAGCCCTCGCTCGCTCTCAGCGCCTCCTCTGCCTTGGCTCCCACTTTGGCGGCACTTTAGGAGCCCTTCAGCCCACCGCTGCACTGTAGGAGCCCCTTTCTGAGCTGGCCAAGGCCGGAGCCGGCTCCCTCAGCTTGCAGGGAGGTGTGGAGGGAGAGGCGCGAGTGGGAACCCGGGCTGCGCCTGGCGCTTGCGGGCCAGCTGGAGTTCCAGGTGGGCGTGGGCTTGGCGGGCCCCGCACTCGGAGCAGCCGGCCGGCCCTGCCGGCCCCGGGCAATGAGGGGCTTAGCACCCGGGCCAGCGGCTGCGGAGGGTGTACGGGGTCCCCCAGCAGTGCCAGCCCACCGGCGCTGCGCTCGATTTCTTACCGGGCCTTAGCTGCCTTCCCGCGGTGCAGGGCTCGGGACCTGCATCCCGCCATGCCTAAGCCTCCCACCGCCTCCATGGGCTCCTGTGAGGCCCGAGCCTCCACGATGAGCGCCGCTCCCTGCTCCACGGTGCCCAGTCCCATCGACCACCCAAGGGCTGAGAAGTGCAGGCACAGGGCGCGGGAGTGGCAGGCAGCTCCACCTGCAGCCCCCGTGCAGGATCCACTGGGTGAAGCCAGCTGGACTCCTGAGTCTGGTGGGGACTTGGAGAATCTTTGTGTCTAGCTCAGGGATTGTAAACGCACCAATCAGCGCCCTGTCAAAACAGACCACTCGGCTCTACGAATCAGCAGGATGTGGGTGGGGCCAGGTAAGAGAATAAAAGCAGGCTGCCCGAGCCAGCAGTGGCAACCTGATGGGGTCCCTTTTCAAGCTGTGGAACCTTTGTTCTTTCTCTGTTTGCAATAAATCTTGCCACTGCTCACTCTTTGGGTCCACACTGCTTTTATGAGCTGTAACACTCACCGCGAAGGTCCGCAGCTTCACTCCTGAAGCCAGCGAGACCACGAGCCTACTGGGAGGAACGAACAACTCCCGACGCGCCGCCTTAAGAGCTGTAACACTCACCGCGAAGGTCTGCAGCTTCACTCCTGAGCCAGCGAGACCACGAACCCACCAGAAGGAAAAAACTCCGAACACATCTGAACATCAGAAGCAACAAACTCCGGACACGCCGCCTTTAAGAACTGTAACACTCACTGCGAGGGTCCGCGGCTTCATTCTTGAAGTGAGTGAGACCAAGAACCCACCAGTTCTGGACACAATTTCAAGTCCTCAGGGTGAGTTTTCCCCAGCTGAGTGAGAATATAAATTAGTCACAGGAGTACCCTGAATCACTGTTTGGTTGGACTAGTTTTTCTAGGTGAACACTGTGCTGGCTGTGTGGCACAAACTCCTGATTGGTCAGACTGAAATTTCCTTGCGGAAGAAAGAGGAGTATGTTTTTATTGAATCCTATTATTTCTTAACTCCTAGGACAGACTTCTGCACAGTAAGGGCCTATCAAATATACCTATTAGGATAATTATATTAGCTTTTCAGAAGACAGTTACCAGGACTGTGTGATTTGTGCTTTTCTATATTTTTCCCTTTGTGCTTAGCTTAAATCTATTTGGCAATGTTGGTAGTGACTTTCTTGAATACTGTAAGGTTCTATGAACATTAATCTAGCTAATTTTATTTTATGCCACAGCAAATTCTCAAAGCAGAATATTGGTCTCGGCTGGGCGCAGTGGCTCATGCCTGTAACCCCAGCACTTTGGGAGGCCGAGGCAGGTGGGTCACCTGTGGTCAGGAGTTCAAGCCTGGCCAACATGGTGAAACCCCATCTCTACTAAAAATTGGCTGGGCTTGGTGGTGCCTTTAATCCCAGCTACTTGGAAGGCTGGGTTAGGAGAATTGCTTGAACCCCGGGGGAGAGAGCTTTCAGTGAGTGGAGATCATGCCACTGTACCTCAGCCTGTGCCACAGGAGCGAAACTCCGTCTCAAAATAATAATAATAATGGTCTCATGATACTCATAATAGTGGTAGTTTGTGCTCTAAGACTGTCAATTATTCTGTAATATATTTGTATTAGGTTGAGGAGAAAAGAATTTGGGGAATCAGAAGAAAGAAATAAAAAGAAGAAAGGAGGCGGCTGAAATTTCAATAGGTCACCCAACATCATCCGTTCCTTGCAGCAGAAGCTAGTATTGTCATAGAGGAAGACACAAGAGTAGGGAAAAGCAGGAGTCTGTAAATCAAAAGAGCTCTGTCCTACTCCCAGTGAGCAGTGCAACTGGAAGAAATTCTAGAACTTCTCTATGCTCCATTTTCTATTTTAAAAACATTTTTTAAAAACTTTCTTAATTATAACACAACCATCTTTTTGAGTATAATTTTTTTCTTCACAAAGTACTAAAGCTACTAGTTAAGCTTCCTTTGTGTAAGCCTCAGAACAGGAAAGTTCTGTTGACAGAGCAATCTCTTTATTTTTTTGTTTTATTTGCCTATAGGATGACATCTTAAAAATCTCAAAAGCAGAAAAACATAGCTGAGAAATGAACAGCTTATTTAGTCTAACTCATGGGAAATGCAGCTAGCACATGTTATAAGACTTCTAGAATTTGTTGATTCATGTGAGCATTAATGATCTTTATTTGATTTTAAAAATGAAACTTTCATTTCAAGCTGCCAAGCCGAAACATTTGCATCCTGTACAAATGAGTACTAAAGGCCCTTTCATTGGCAGATTATTGGCTGTGCTATGGAAATGAGAAGATTGACTCTATGAATATTGTATCTTTAGCTGTGATCAACTCATTCTGAAGATGACATGACATGATATGACTGATCATAAAAAATTTATTGGTCTATTTTCCAAAGTTTGTTGAGTTACTTTAAAACATAAAGTTATATTTCCCATTTAAGTTTCTTTCCTTTGAAAACTACAATGAATCTTTTTCTGCAAAGACAGATCTTAAAAAGGTCAGCCATTTTTAGCCATTCATGCAGAAGTACATCTCACATTGACATCAAAATGGAAAATATTTTAATTATTTCTTGTTTCACAAATAAAAATAATAATCATTGGACTGAGAAAGGTATAAACAATTTCTGGTAAACTTTTGCTGAGAAAGCTGTGAGAAATGAAACTATCAGGGTAAAACTTATAATACCTGCTTAGATTTCAGACATAAAGTAAATTTCCCAGTCATCATTTTAAAACAGCTGTGAAGTTCATTATAAATAATGTTATAAATTATATGCGATAATCTTTTTTTTTTTGCAATTGTCAGTGTGTTTATCTCTTGTGATCCTTCTTTTTTTCCAAAATTCTATTAGCCCTAAGGAAATGTTTACATTTTGTCAGAAGCTGTTGAGACTAAAGTTTGTGGCTTTTTAACATATACAATGTTAGCATTATTCTTTGTTCACTGAACATCCATAGCTCTCCCTGTGACAGGCTGTCAAGAAATATGTCTCTGAAAAGACAGGTTAGCTCCTCAAAGACAATCACTGATGCAATTCTAAACGATGTTCTACACCCCACCAGAGTGCCCCTTACTGTTCTCGTGTGCAGTGATGTGATGTCTGAACTATTTGTTTGCTCTGCCATAAGATAGCATTAGCAGATGTAATGTGAACAGATCACTCATTTGCAGAAATATTTATGGTAGTGCTTTCAAAGGATCATTCAATCTGCAAGTTGCAATTGGTGAAGCATGTAGCAAGGACTGTTTCTAAAACCATGTAGGCTAAAATGTCATACTACAAGGCAGTTAAAATGGTTAATATGTGTATGTCCAGAGATTAGAAAACACATGCTGTCATATTTGAGCAGATTCAATACACGTGCATTTTCAGTAAAGCAGAAGTAATCATCTTATGTTGAAAGGGCTAGGTTAAATTGCTTTAAGAAAAAAGCTTCCCTAACACATACTTTATGCTGCCCATCAAGGAAGCTTTCCATATCTAAAATGCATCTTCTTCTACCTGACAGAGCTTTTTTAACATAATATTGTTTTCTGAGCAATACTTAAAATCACACTTCACAGCATGTGATTGCAACACATTTAAAAGTGAAACTGAGCCAGTCCTACTCTTTATAAGGCTGCTGATAAATTTTTCTATCATAATGAGAAACGCCATAGAAGATGAATTAATTCAACAGATACACATAAGTGTGATTCTGGCCACAAACAATTGCTTTCATCCCTGGGATGCAGCATCGCATGCTTTCATTAAACACCTCACTGTGCTCTAATTATTGACAGTCTTTTAGTCCAAAAACAGCCCAGAAGCAGGTCATAAAACATAATGCCCGGCCAATGGATGCTGGCAGATCTTTGTCAAAAGTTTGGCAAAGGTATCTGAGAAATCTCTGAGAGGATAAGAAGAGAAAACTAAATACATGCGGCTAAAAGCTAGGGAATACCACAGGGATCTGACTTTTGGACACTTCTTAATATAATACTTTCATTACTTTGGGCTACTTAGCGCAGTGATAATTTACTAAACAGAAGCAATTTACTAAAGAGACTCCAGAAATGTAAAAGAATTATTGCACCTCTGGAAAAAGTACATAACATTCCCTCTGAAAAGATGAGACCCAGCATTTCCAATAAAGTTGATTTACTACTTAATGCGCCTCTGAAACAGCGTGGTGTTGGTTCAGAGAGCAGTTTGCAGCAATTCGATTTACACTAATCAAATGAAATGGTACATTTTCCTGACACCTAAATGAAGTACACATTTTAAAAAATTACTTAAGAAAATAGATATTTGAAATATTTAGTCATTGTGATGGAAGCTAGCAGACATTTCACACTTTAAATGGATGGCTTCTAGTTGTCTCTAAAGATACATCTTTGTAATCATCCATCTTGTAAGTTTGCTTTTAGAAATAAAATCTCATCCTTCTAATTGTGTTTAACCTTATGTCAAAAATATTTTAAATACAGTCCTGTGTCACTTAACAATGAGGATACACTTCTGAGAAACACATCATTAGGCAATTTTGTCATTGTGCAAACATCACAGAGTGTACTTAATAGATGTCATAGCCTGCTAGATTTACCCAGGCTATGTGGTACAGCCTATTGCTTCTAGGCTACAAGCCTGCATGTCGTGTTACTGTACAGAATACTGTAGGCAATTATAACACAATTGTAAGTATTTGTGTATCTAAACATAGAAAAGTACAATAAAATATAGTAGTACAATCTTATGAGACCACCATGATATATACAGTAATGGTGTTATGTGGTGCCTAACTATATATTTAAGAGACCTCGTGAATAGAATGAGAAAGTATAGCCAAATAGGAGTTCTAAAAAATTATATAAGAAATGATGCCATTAAATATTTTTCTTAAAAGGTGATGGGTGTTTGTGTAAGGGCAGAAATTTTGTAAGGTTTATATTACGCTTACAGGTACTGAACACCTGCTACATGCTGGTTATGGTCCCAGGTGCTTAAATTACAAAATTGTACACAACATACTCCTTTTATTTAACAAATGTAACTTTATTATTGGAAATCATTTGGTGTCACAGAATCGTGTAAGAGAGCATCCAAACCAGATCTGGCATGTTAAGGAGATCTCCAAAATCCTGAACTGAGGTGGAAAAACAAAGATGTAGTTGTTTCCAGGATATGAGTAGTATGTGTCTTTTTGGGCACAAGGGGCAATGAGCCTGGGGGTGAACCCAGGTAGAAAGTGTAGAAAATGTGGCTTGGACAAAAGCACCAGTATGTGAACTTGTCCTCCTGATGGGATAGGGAAAGTACCGGGCAAGGGGGAGAGTCAGATGGAGTCGGGTGGGACTTGGTGAGGTGATGTCACATTACAAAGGACTCATTGACATGCTAGACACCCAAATCTAACTCTGTGTGTCATGAGGAATTGTAAAAGGCTTTTAAGCAAGGTACTGACATGGTCGTAGTCTTTTAGAATGAGAAATGAGGAAGAATTGAAATGAATACAAAATGGACACAGGGAGATAAATTAGAAGACTGATATAGTAAAGGTGAAGACCTCAACTGAGTCAGTCACTGTAGGAGAGAAGATTCTACAGATACTAAAGCAGTAGAATCAGATTCAACTCAAGACAAATTCTATGGAGAAGGTGAATGAGAAGGAATACTCAAATACAAAATCTGGTCTCAGATTTGCTTTTTTTTGTAAAGATAACTAGACGAGATATTATTGACCCTAGCCAAAAATAAGAGAAGAAAGAGGAGGGGTAATTTGGGGGGAAGAAAATAAATATATTGTGTTGAATGCTGGCCTGGAGCTTATTAAATGAGATTTGGGCTGTGATATGGATTTTAAAGTCACTGGAGTGAAAAAGATTATTAAATTTATGTATGTGGAAGATATCTAGGGAAAATATTTGAAGAGAAACAGCTCCAGGAAAGCATATTAGGAAAAAACACATGCATAACTACTATTGAAGGAATGTAAATCTATACAGCCAACTTTAAAAACACATCCAGAAAAGCTGAAGAAGAGAAGAATACTTTACAGAAAAAAGAGAAAGAATTTCAAGAAAGTCAAAGTCATTTAAGATATTTGAGAACTACAGAGAAGTAAATTAACATAAAGATTGAAGAAAGATCACCTAAATAAAGAAGTAGTTGCAAGGAAGAAGCTGAGATGAGAGAGACTGATGGCAGCGTGCTGGGGGAAGAAAGAGAGGAGAAAGTGATGCCATGAAGAGGAAGCAAGCAAGAGGAAAAAGAGGGGGGACAGCTCCTAGAGGAGGTAGGACCCAGGGATGTGGTTATTTGTATAAGAGGGAGGTTTGAACAAGTTGATTATGTTGAGAATGCAAATTGTATTAGTCTGTTCTAATGCTGTTAATAAAGACACACCTGAGACTGGGTAACTTATAAATGAAAGAGATTTAATTGACTCACAGTTCCACATGGCTGGGAGGACTCACAATCATGGCGGAAGAGCAAGGGACTTCCTTACGTGGCAGCAGGCAAGAAGGAAAATGAGACAGAAGCGAAAGTGGAAACCCCTTATAAAACCATCAGATTTTGTGAAACATTCACTACCACAGGAATAGTATGGCAGAAATTTTGTAACATTTAGATTACATGTACAGATACTGAACAGCTGCTATATGCCAGTTGGCTGAGTAGTATTCCATTGTGTATATATGCCACATTTTTAAAATCCATTCATCTCTTGTTAGACACTTAGGTTGTTTCCATATCTTGACTACTGTGAATAATGCTGCAATGAACATGCCGATTTCAGTTTCTTTGGGTATATACCCAGAAGTGGGATTGCTGGATCATGTGATAATTCTATGTTTAGTTTTTTGAGGAACCTTTATACTGTTTGCCATGACTGTACTAATTTACAATACCACAATTTCTGCACATCCTTAACTGACCTTTGTTGTCTTTCAACTTTTTAATAAGACTCAATCTAGTATGAGATGATGCTTCATTGGGGATTTAATTTGCATTTCTCTGATGATTAATGATGTTGAGGATATTTTCATACATCTATTTGTCACAGGATCCTTGGAGTGTCGTTTCACCAGCCAGAAACCTCTGTGGCTGGTGGCACCTTTGCCCAAGTTTTGCTCAGGCCCACTGGGCTTGTTCTGCCCACTCAGCCTGGCAAGCAGCACTCAGTTTGCACTACTGGCTGAGATCCCACACCTGCCAAGGGAGAGCTAGGTGCAGGGTGGTGAGGGGTGTGTGAGTGAGCACAGGGTCCTGCCACTGCACACAGCCAGGCAAGCCAGATGCAGCCGAGCAGGCAGCTCCAGATGTTGGCACAGGTGCCAGCTCTGTGCAAGGCTGCAGCTGGACCAGATGCACCACAAGCGCCTTCTGCTGTGGGCACCTCCATCTGGACAAAGGGGATGCAGTGGTGCCCAGAAGCTTGGAGATGCCAGAAACCGCAGAGCCCCAAATAAGGTGTCACAGCCCTGGCTCAGGGAACCCCTAAGTCTGGGCTTCTGGAAGGGCCGCAGCTCTTCTCTCCTTCTTATCACCCTCAATGTGGTGAGTTGGGGGGAATGTTTCAGCCCTGTTTGTGTTAAAGCTCTTTCACTCCCACCATTCAGTGGGTCCCAAGTTCTTGTCCCATGTCCAGGGAGAATGAGGTATATGGACAACTGGAGGGTGAGCAAGGTGAAGAGGTGCTTTATTGAGCAACAAAACAGCTCTCAGGAGACTCAAAGTCAGTAGCTCCTTTCTTTAGACAGGTCACCCCAATGAGTGCAGGCCTCAGCAGAGAGAAGACCTGGTGTGGGTACCTCCTATCTGCAGGCAGGTCATCATGATGAGTGTGCAGTCCTCAGTGGTGAGGAAGCCCGAAGTGGTTACCTCCTATCTGCTGGCAGGTTGTCCTGTCGTCTCTGTGAGTCTGGCTGAATTTGGGGTTTTTATGGGTTTCAGAAGGGAGGAAGTGCATGCCAGTTGGTCCCTGGGCAGCCATGTGCGGGCCCAGAAAAATCACCATAAGTTCTCACTCCCCCTATGGACTCCACCCAGAACTGACAGCCTGGCCCCCAGGGTGCAGGCCATCCCTGGCTTGAAGGTGGGGCTTCACCAGGGACACACACCTTTCTGCACAGAAGTGTGTCTGCCTCTTGCCATCATCAACCCGCCCCCACAGCACCCATGGCACCCAGGCTGTTTGTGTTGAGGGGCACCTGCAGACCCATGCCAAGCTGCCCTCAGCCTCCCCTTGGCCTCTCTCCCATGCTCACTGGTGCCCAAAGTCTGGAGGGGGACAAGGTGGCAGGGGCTGGCATGTCAGCACTGCTCCAAGTGTGTGCACACCTGGCCCAGCCATGACAATGCCAGGGCTTGGCCTCGACTTTGTCACAAAATTGGAGAAGGTGCAGGGAGCAGAGAGAGGCCCAGCAACAGGAGCAGGCACTTCCGAGCCTGCAGGGTCAGGGGAGCTTCCCAGGCCCCCAAGAATGCAGAGATGCCTGGGTGCATAGTCACAGCTGGGCAGCTGCTCCTATGCTCAGGAGGGCAGGGCTCCTGCCTGTTCCTGGCTCCCTCTGGCTTCCTGGAGCTTGCAGCCCCAGCCACACCTCCCCTGCTGCAGCCAGCATCTTTGCAGTGGCAGCACCACGTGAGTCACTGTTGCCATCATTTTGGCCATTTGTATTTTTGTTTGTTTGTTTTATTTTGTTTTTGTTTTTTTGAGAAATGTCTATTCACATCCTTCAGTATTTTTAAAATCAGGTGATTTGTTTTCTTCTTATTGAGTATGTTGAGTTTCTTGCATATTTTTGGATATTAGCCCTTTATCCAATGTATGATTTGTCAATATTTTTCTCCCAATCTGTGGATTCTCTCTTTATTAATTGTTTCCCTTGCTGTGCAAAAGGTTTCCAGTTTGATGCAATCCCATTTGTCTAATTTTGCTGTCATTGCTTACGTGTTTGGGGTCATATCCAAGAAATACCTACTAAGACAAATGTCATGGAGCTTTTCTTCTGTTTTCTTCTAGTAGTTTTATAGTTACAGCTTTTACAATTAAGTCTTTAATCCATATTGACTTGATTCTAGTGTAATGGGTGACACAGGGGACCATTTTGATTCTTCTTCATGTAGACATCCAGTTTCCCAATACTATTTATTGAAAAGATGGTCCTTTCCCCATTGTATGCTATTGGCACCTTTGTAGAAAATTAATTGACTTTTGCCATGTCACATAACATGTAAAATAAGAAAAGAAAACATAAAATCAATTGACTGTATATGTGTGGGTTTATTTCTGGGCTCTCTAAACTGTTGGCAGATATGTCTGTTTTTATGCCAGTACTGTCTATTATGATACCTGTAGTTTTATAATATATATATTATAATGTATATTAAATATACTTTATATGTACTTATATATTATAATGTATATATAAAGTATATACTTTATATATACTTATATATTATAATGTATATTATTGTATATAAGTATATATCATAATATATACTTACATATGCTCACATATATTATAATGTATATTGTATATATTATATACATATTATATATGTATAATGTATATATACATTATATATGTATAATGTATATATACATTATATATGTATAATGTATATATACATTATATATGTATAATGTATATAATATATACAATATATGTATAATATATAATATATACAATATATGTATAATATACAATATATGTATAATATACAATATATGTATAGTATATAATATATATTATATATGTATAGTATATTATATATTATATATGTATAGTATATAATATGTATAATGTATATATTATAATATATTATATATAATATCTATAACAATATAATATATTGTATATATTATATATAATATATATTTATATAATATATATTATATATAATATATTATGTATTTATTTATATTATATATAATATAAATATATATAATATAAATAATATTTATTATATATTAATATAAATATTTATATTAATATATATTTATTATATATAAATAATATCTATGATATAAATAATATATAATATACATGTATATGTTATAATATATACATATAATATACATGTGTATATATACTATACATGTATATATAACATGTATATATATACATGTATATATATTATGTATACATGTATAGTATATATACATGTATATATATACATATATACTATACATGTATATATACATGTATATATATACATATATACTATACATGTATATATACATGTATATATACACATATATACTATACATGTATATATACATGTATATATATACATGTATGTTATATACATTATTATAATATACATATATAGTATACATTATATACATTATATAATATGCATTATTATAATATAATATACATTATTATAATATACATTATTATAATATAATATACATTATTATAATATACATTATTATAATATACATTATAATAATATACATTATTATAATATACATTATAATATTGAAGTATATATACTATAATATATGTATATATTATAATGTATATAATATACATTATTATATATAAGTATGTATTATATATAAGTATATATTATAATATATGTATATACATATATAAATATATATAACATACATTATAATATATATAAATATATATATATTTTTTGAAATCCCATAGTGTAATGTCACTCCCTTTGTTATTTTTGGTCAAGATTGCTTTGGCTATTCAGGATTTTTGTGGTTTCATAGAAATTTTAGAATTTTTTATTACTGTGAAAAATGACATTGGAACTATGCTAGGGATTGCACTGAATCTGTAAAGAATTTTGGTACGAACATTTTAACATTTTTTTCCACTCCATGAACATAAAATATCTTTCTATTATTTATAGCACCTTTAATTTCTTTAATCAACATTTTATCATTTTCAGTATTTATATTTTTCACTTTCTTGGTTAAATTTACTCCTAAGTATTTTTTACGCTTATTTTTTTCAGATAGTACTTTGTTAATGTACAGAAATGCTACTAATTTTAGTATATTGCTTTTGTATTCTGCAACTTTACTAAATTCATTGTACAATTCTAACACTTTCTTGGCGGGGTCTTTAGAATTTTCTACATACAAGAGCATGTTGTTAGTAAACAGACAATTTCACTTCATTCTTTTCTAGTTGGATGCCTTTTATTTTTTTCCTCTTGTCTAATTGCTGTGGCTAAGTCTTCTAGTATTACACTGTGTCACAAAGAAGTGGAGAAAGTAGGAATTCTTGTCTTGTTCTTGACCTTAAAGGAGAAGCCTTCAAATTTTCAGTATCGAATATGATGTTAGCTATGGGCTTATACATGACCTTTATTGCACAGAGGAACATTCCTTCTATACCTAATTTGTTGAGACTTTTTATCATGGAATGATGTTGAATTTTGGCAAATGCTTCTTCTGCATCTATTGAGAAGATCATATGCCTTTTGTTCTTCATTCTTTTAATATGATGAGTAACATTTATTGATTTGCATATATTCAACCAACTTCACATTCCAGGGATAAAACCCACGTAATTGTGGTGAATGATTCTTTTAATGTACAATTGCATATGGTTTGCTCTTATTTTTATTTATTTATTTATTTATTTTTGAGATGGAGTCTCACTCTGTCACCCAGGCTGGAGTGCAGTGGTGTGATCTCGGCTCACTGCAACCTCTGCCTCCCGGTTTCAAATGATTCTCCTCCCTTCAGCCTTCTGAATAGCTGGGATTGCAGGCGTGCACCACCACGCCAGACTAATATTTGTATTTTTACTAGAGATGGGGTTTCACCAGTTGGTCAGGCTGGTCTCAAACTCCTGACTTTGTGATCCATCCTCCTTGGCCTCCCAAAGTGCTGGTATTACAAACGTGAGCCACAGTGCCTGGCCGGGTTGCTAGTATTTTATTGAGAATTTTTGCATCTATCTTCATCAAGATATTGACCTCTAGTTTTCCTTCTTTTTAGTTTATTTGCTAGCTTTGTTATCAGGATAATGCTTGCCTCATAAAATTGGTTTTGAAATATTCTCTCCTCTTTAGTTTCATGGAAAAGTTTGAGAAAGATTGGTATTGGTTCTTTAAATGCTTGGTACAATTCAGCTGTGAAGACATCTGTTCACTGGCTTTTTTTCAATTATTAATTCAATATCCTTATTAATTATTTGTTCAGATTTCCAATTTCTTTATGATTCAGCCTCAGTAGGTTATATGTTTCAGGGAATGTATTCTTTTCTTGAGATTGTTGAGTTTTTCGGCATATAATCGTTCATATTAGTCTCTTATGAGACTTCCTGGATTATCATTGTAATGTCTCCTCTTTCATTTCTGCTGTCTTTGGGCTTAGTTGGTTCTTATTTTTCTAGTCTCTTGAGATATAATGTTAGGTTGTTTATTTGATATTTTTCATCTTTCTTGATGTAAGCATATATTATTATAAACTTATTTATTAGAACTTCTTTTGCTGCATCTAGTAAGTTTTGGTATGTTGTGTTTCCATTTTTATTTGTCTCAAGATATTTTTAAAATTTCTCCTTTTATTTCTTCTTTATCCCAGTAGTTTTTTGGGAGCATATTATTTAACTTCCACTGTTAATTGTCCATAATTCATTTTATTGATTTCTAATTTTATACCATTGTGATTGGAAAAGAAATTTGATATGATTTTGATCTTCTTAAATTTGTTAGGACTTGTTTTATGGCCTAATATATGATCTATCTTGGAGAATTTTCCATGAGCACTTGAAAGAATGTGTATCCTGTTGCTGTTGGGTGGAATATTTTGTATATGTCTATTAAGTCCATTTGGTCTAAAGTATAGTTCAAGTCCAATGGTTCCTTATTGACTTACAGCCTAGATGATCTGTCCAATGTTGAAAGTGGGATGTTCAAATTTCCTACCACTATGTTGCAGTCTGTGTCTCCTTTAGATCTTTTAATATTTGCTTTATATATTTAGGTGCTCTGATGTTGGGCACATATATACTTAAAATTGTTAAATCCTCTTGATAAATTGACTCATTTATCACTATTTAATGACCTTCTTTGTATCTGTTTACAGTTTTTGACCTGAAGTTTATTTTCTGAAATAAGTGTAGCTACTTTTGCTCTCTTTTTGTCTTCCTTTGCATATTTTTTCCATCCCTTCACTTTCAGACTATGAGAGTCCTTTAAGTTGAAGTTGAGTCACTGATAAGCAACATATACTTGGATCTTGCTTTTTTATTCATTTAGCTAATGTGGCAATTTTAGCTGCAGTTTTGTACCCAGAATTACTTTTGGTTTGCAGCGTTTCAGCATTGAAAAGATGATGTCTCACTGCTTCTACTAGATGGTGACAATTAAAATATATTGCTACCTCCCTCTGCCCATTCTTCTCACTCACCCTCCATTCCTCTTAACCTCCAACCCACAGGGTATTCCTTTAACATGATGAATTACAGAAATAAAAGAGTGAGGAAGGAAAAGACCGAAATAAGATTTTAAAAACAGAGAAAAGTAAGACAAGAAAATAAAAAGTAAAGTAAAAATGGAGACCCAGGGGTGACAACAAAAATTATACAGAAAATAAGAAAATGATGGTATTTGAAAAATAAGCCTTTTGCTTATGTCAGGATACTTATTTTTACACCCACAATGCATATTCAACCTAGATGACAAAGCAACATGTAATCAAGTCACACATGGGAAAGGAAGTTGCAGATATTTTTTCAAAATCATTATAGAAAATGTGACTCACAGAGGCCTTACATTTCTACTCCTGTTCAGGATAATCTTTCAAGTCAGAGAAGATAAAAACAATGTTTAGTGTTTATAAACTATGTGGGTGAAAAGAGCTAGGAGGATAAGGTTCTAATTTCAGAATCCAAATCACAAGCTTTTTGCATTTAATTGTGACAAAAATGGAAGGTTTGTATTAGGTAAGTGTTTGTAAATAAAAATTCAAATGAGCATTAAGGGATTTTGAAACCCTGATGAGGTAGTTACCTGCTGCATTATTTAGAACACTTGACACTCAAACTGCTGCCCTTTTGTGTGCCACACTGCCACTGGCTGATGTAAGGGCCTCAGAATTTCTCACTTAAGAGGTATAGTAAATGAAAATCCTTTACCAAAACAAGTTCCTGAAGTGTGTCATCCCTCTGCTAGACATCTAAGGGATGACTTTTTTCACAAATCATATTAACTCACCAGTACAATAGTAGTAATACTCATTGTAAGTTGCTGAATTTTGCAACTTAACGAATGACAAGAACATGGCATAGGTCAGTGATGCATGTTATGCTTAATTTTGAGTGAGTGACTTGCATGTTATATCTCTGCCTGTCTGAAAAAAAGTTGGTGAAAATAGAGGCACTAAACATCATTAGATTCCATGATTATACTACATTTTTGCATAAAATAAAACTTTCAGATGTTTTATAATTACTACAGTGTATTATCAAAATTTTATTATGCAATTAAAACATTAGCTACAACAAATATAAATATGTTCATGTGTTCTTAATTACAGCACTTTAATAATCACTGTTCACTTGTGTATAAGCTGTTTACATACAACTGGAAGCACTTTATGTGAATTAAATTAATATGAAAGTGGGATTTTAAACTTTTAAATCTATTTTTTTCTATAAATGGAAACTATTAGGTGATTAAAATGTATAACCAAAGGGATAAAACTGACACTGAATAACAGTATAACTGGTGGCTAAGTGCCATGACTCTGGGTTTAGATCCTGACTCTGCTACCCATTATCCATGACACCTGGCACAAGTTGCATCACCTCTCTGTGCCTCAGTATTCATATCAGTAAAATAGAAATGCCAATTATAATTAAAACACGTCCTAGGCTTGTTGTAAGGATTAAATGCATTGATATGTTGTGGCACTTAGAACGGCATCTGACACATAATAAGTACTGCATGAGTGATAGTGATGAATATCATTATTATTGCTTGATTGTCAAAGGAGCTATTAATCTAAATTATCAAGATAGGGGTCTTTAGTAAGCTTTCTCAAAAGATTTCAAAAAATGCCTAGGTAAGAAAAGCAAGCAATCAACAGGAAATTTTTCTGTTCTGTCTTAAAAATGCAAAATAGAAGACTGCCTAATAACTAAGGTGAAAGCAAAGGGTCTCAGACTTTCATGAAGAAAGCATAATGATATAGCAGTAGAAGTAGAAGAAACAGGAGTCTTCTGAAAAAGAAAAACTCTCCATATCTCTCCTCCCTGATGAACTCCCCCACCACTTTCTCACTCCTCCTCAAGAAGGAGACCTAATCAGCTAAGGCTGATGAGTCTAATGAGGCCATCTGGTAACATGCAGAAATGAGGAATGCAGAAATGCATCCACTGTGCATTAGATCTCTCTTGTAACACAAGGAAGGGACATACCAAAAGCCTATTTTTTTAAAAAGCAAAACAAATCACTTGCACTCTCTTCATTTCCTTCCTGCAGCCAGTAAGAGTGTGGTAAAATTCTGCTTTAGGGTTTCAGGCATATGGAAACTTGGGCTATATGCTCTAGCCCAGTTTACCGGAGCTATTTTTGGACTTTGGGACAAAAAGCCCAGCTACCAGTAAAGTGCTTGTCTGTTCCTTGGGCTATCATTCCTTGCTTATATATCTCCCTACCAGTGGCTCTGGTCTAGGGTAGGATTGGGCATTCCTGGGTCCTTCCACCTAATCTTATCTAAAAGCATCCGTATCTCAACACAATCTCTAACATCATGTAATAAATGGGGAAAATAAGAACCATAAAGGGAAAGAAACCTGCCCAAGGTTACATGGTTAGTTAACAGTAGCACTGTGGTTTGAAGCCAAGTTTCCTGACTTCCAGTTTAGTATTCAAAAATGGGGTGTAGTAGCTCAAATAAAGTGGAAAAATGCAGAAAATCCTCAACACTTTGAAAATGTTATTTTTAAAGTAGAAAGCATACAAACTGTTTTTGTATAGAACTGAGTTCTTACCATGCTTTATTCTTTCCTTCCAAGGTCCTTCTCAGAAAAGCCTCATTTTCTTAGCCAAATTCCCACTTAGGCAATTACATCCTGCTCACATAAACTGTCTTTATATCTCAATTGGACTTTGCCCACTTCCGTCTAATTTGTCTTGTTCCCCTAATTGGCTTTGCAGAATTGCTATGTGAGCTTCAAATTGCTGAGCTTCCTCTCTGCACTCCAGCGTATCCTTAGAGGGTCATTGAATAAATTACTTTTTTTTCCAGTGTTCTAAATAGTGCCCTAGTGCCCTGAAAGAGTTAATTCACCTCAGAGAGGTGAGCTGTTATTCACCCAAGAACCAGGATTGTTACTGACCCAAAGGGAGCTGTAATAATCTGGGCATATGGCCAATTAGCCACATGCTGGCTTAGCAGACATTCAGTAGTTGCCCAACCATTGTTCATACCCCATTGGAAGTGACTCAGCCATGGGGAACATGTGACTGTTCAACTGAATCCCAGGTCTCCCCAAAAGGAGAAATTAGAAGTAGATCTGCCTAAGAATGCTATTAATACCTGACTTGTGGAGGTTGGTTTTTCTTCACACTTAGCTGTAGGAACTCCTAAGTATACAAGTTGGTTCTTCAATGACCCTGCCTAAACAAGATATTAGATTCCCAAAGGAGCATCTCAGGGATTTTGACTGAAGATATGTATTCCGTGTTTCAAATCCTCGTAGAAGACATAATTATAGGGTGTTATTCCATCTTCTAGAGCTGTCCAATAGAAATACAATGTAGGCCATATATATAGTTTTAAATTTTCTAGCAGCCACAGTAAGAAAAGTAACAATAAATAGGTAAAATTTATTTCAATCATATATCTGATTTAACCCAATATATCCAAAATGGTATCATTTCAGCATATAATAAATATTAGAATATTATTAGTGAGGTATTTTTCATTATTTGTACTAAGTCTTTTGAAGATGGTGTGTTTTACAGTTTGAGCATGTCTTATTTCAGTTAGAAGCCACATTTCATGTGGTCAATAAACATACGTGGCTAGTGGCTTCCATGTTGGACAGCACAGCTTTAGAGGTCATCTAAATTGGTCTAGCCTCAGAGAAGACTATATCTTCCTCTCCTCCTTACCTGTAATGGGTTTCGTTTGCTTCTTAGTTTTGCTTTTTCTGGGCAAATTCAGATTCCCTGAGCTTGCTCAATTCTTTCTAAGTTTGGTTCTGGATCTTCAGAATGGTCTGTAGATGACCAATTTTTCACAAAGATTTGCATTATGGGACTTTTGTAAGGTGTTTTCGCCCCAGCATCCCAATTCCTGAAATAGAATAGTGGAAAATGATAGAAACAGAGCTGTGGTATTTCCAAAAGTATGGAAAATGTAAGAGACAGAATCTTCTTTCCTTTTATTTCTTGATGGTAGAAAGGAAGAGAGAAATATTGAGAAAAAATAAATAAAGTTCAACAGTTCCATGAAACATTAAGAACCTACTAAGGATCAGGCCCTTAATGTGCAAAGATGAGCAAGCCATCATAACAATTTAGAAGCTTGCAGTAAAGTGGAGAAGACATCCTCAAGAATGATTTCAATACCATATAGAAGTGATCAATGAGAGGAAATCATAGACTGTGTGTGGGCAAACTGCATGATATTTTTCCTAACTTGGGATACAAGGATACCTTCCTGGAGGAAAAGAAAATAATAAAGTAAAAGCTTGGATGCCGTACAAGAGACCTAAAGTTTGTAAATCACACTATGAGCTCACTTACTTCCATAAGTGAGGGGAAACCATTGGGAGTTCCTAAGGGAGTCACCCATTTAGGTTTGTGTTTTAGATGGAACACTCTGACTGCTTTACGGAGGATGAATAACATGGAGTGGGAAGAAGGAAAAGGAAGTGGAGCACTAGAATAAAGGGGACAAAGTAGAGGCTGATACAGAAGTGCAGGTGAGAGACTGAGGACTGCCAAGGGTGAAGGGTTAACCTAAGGCAACGGTAGACATATATAAAGTAAAATTGTTAGTTTCAGTGGTAGACATATATAAAGTAAAATTGTTAGTTTCAGTGATTGGTTAGATCTAGGAGATTAGATTTGAAACAGTTAGATAGGGAATTCAGAGAGAAGTCAATTTAGATGTGAAGACAGTAAATTCTATTTTGACAGCCTGAATGTGTTGTTCCTGTGCAACACCCACAGGGACTTACATGTGTAGATAGTAAATAATATCTCTAATTTACAGATCATTTAGTGAAGTCAAGGAACTTTACATTTGTCATCCCATTTAATGGCCAGAATGACCTTATACAGCAGAAATTATTATGAGCAATTGTATAAATGTAGACATTCAGGCTAAGTGTCACAGTTAGTAAGTTGATTGAGTCACACAGTTAGGAGCCAGGATTCAAACTCCAAGCAATCTGAGCCCATAGGCTTCAATCTTCCTTAAAATGTTGTGCTGTGTCCTCTAGTTATAATACCACAGAGCAAAATTTAGGATTAGGGATGATATCGCCCAAGATGAGGGTAAAAAGAGATCCGTGAGTCGAACACTAAATCTTCTATCGCTCATAAGAAATCTAGAAGTCTGCTGCTTGTTATAAACATGTAAATATATGATGAATAGCTCAATCATTTGCTTACAAATTTACCATGTTTAGTTTACAATTTGAAGAATAGATTCTTCATAAATTATAACTTTATCAATTAAACACATTTCTCTTTAATAATTTTTGGTTACAAAGTAAAACCTAAGGTATGATTGTGATAATTTAATTTTAATTATTATATCATTTTTAACACAAGTTCTGTTAAATATTTACAGTATCTAGAATCTCTATTTTTTGCCAAATTTTGAAAAATTTAGTCAAATTTTGAAAACAAAAAGAACTAATAATATGCAAATTTAAAAGGATAGCAAGACAATTTTCAGTCTTGATAACTTGTCTCCATATAATTAGTTGGTTACAGAGGACTATCACTGTAAGGAAAGAAATCTCATCTACCTCCTGTCATTCTTGACTTTTTAGTAGTAAAAGAAATAAATAATTATTTAAAAATATTTAATGTACCTTTCCCACGGAATTATTGTCTACATCTTTTTATATTCATTTTCTGACTGTCACTAGAATAGCTTTTTGCTTGCTGCTCTAGTTGAACTTGAGTTCTACTCTAAAACTCAATTTACTTTATAGAGGTGCAAGGTCCCTTCTCTCTCTTCATGACTTCCATTTCTATTTTCTGTACCATAGTCTGTTTAGATTCTGTTGGATGGCCGCTATTTTTTGTTTGTTTGTTTGTTTTAACTTTTATTTTAGGTTCAGGGGTATATGTGCAGATTTATTATATAGCTAGACTCATGTTGCAGGGGTTTGTTGTACAGATTATTTCATCACACAGGTACTAAGCCTAGGACCCAATAGTTATTTGTTCTGCTACTGTCCCTGCTCCCACCCTCCACCTTCAAGTAGGCCCCAGTGTCTGTTGTTCCATTCTTTGTGTTCATGAGTTCTCATCATTTAGCTCTCACTTATAAATGATAACACATGATATCTAGTTTTCTGTTCCTACCTTAGTTTGCTAAAGATAATGGCCTCCAGCTCCATTCATGTTCCTGCAAAAGACATGATCTCATTCTTTTTTATGGCGGCTTAGTATTCCATTGTGTAAATGTACTACATTTTCTTTACCCAATCTGTCATTAATGGGCATTTAGGTTGATTCCATGTTTTTTTCTATTGTAAATAGTGCTTCAATGAACATATGCTTGCATGTGTCTTTATGATAGAGTGATTTATATTCCTTCGGGTATATACCCAGTAATGGGATTGCTGGGTTGAATGGTATTTCTGTTTTTAAGTCTTTGAGGAATCACCACACTGCTTTCCACAATGGTTGAAGTAATTTACACTCCAACCAACAGTGTAGAAGCATTCTATTTTTTCCAAATAGATTACTGGCTTCCAAGACCTTGCCAGTATCTGTGTTTTTTTTTTTTTTATTTTATTGAGATGAAGTCTCACTCTGTTGCCCAGGCTGGAGTGCACTGGCGTGATCTAGGCTCACTGCAAGCTCTGCCTCCTGGATTCATGCTATTCTCCTGCCTCAGCCTCCCGAGTAGCTGGGACTACAGGCGGCTGCCACCACGCCTGGCTAATTTTTTGTATTTTTTAGTAGAGACGGGGTTTCACCGTGTTAGCCAGAATGGTCTCGATCTCCTGACTTCGTGATCTGCCTGCCTCGGCCTCCCAAAGTGCTGGGATTACAGGCGTGAGCCACTGCGCCCGGCCTAGTTTTTACTTTTTAATAATAGCCATCCTGAATGGTGTGAGATGGTCACTGTGATTTTGATTTGCATTTCTCTCAATATATCTCAATATCATCAGTGTTATTGAGCTATTTCTCATATACTTGTTGGCCACATGTATTGTTTTTTTTTTATTTTTGAAATGTGTCCGTTCATGTCCTTTGCCCACTTTTTAATGGGGTTGTTTTTTTTCTTGTAAATTTAAGTTTCTGATAGATTGTGGATATTAAACCTTTTCAGATGCATTGTTTGCAAATATTTTCTCCCATTCTGTAGGTTGTCTGTTTACTCTGTTAATGTTTTCTTTTTTCTGTGCAGAAGCTCTTAGGTTTACTTATATCCCATTTGTCAAGTTTTGCTTTTGTTCCAGTTGCTTTTGGCAACTTTGTCAAAAAATCTTTGTGCATCCTATGTCCAAAATGGTATTGCCTAGGTTGTCTTCCAGGGTTTTTATAGTTTTTGGTTTTACATTTAAATCTTTAATCCGTCTTGAGTTGATTTTTGTATATGGTGTAAGAAGGGGATCAGTTTCAATCCTCTGCGTGTGGCTAGCCAGTTATCTCAGCAACATTTTTTTTTTTGTCAGCTTTGTTGAAGATCAGATGGTTGTAGGAGTATGCCCTTATTTCTGGGCTCTCTAATCTACTCCATGATCTATGTGTTTGTTTTTGTACCAGTACCATGCTGTTTTGGTTACTGTAGCTCTGTAGTATATTTTGAAGCCAGGTAAAGTGATGCCTCCACCTTTGTTGTTTTTGCTTAGGATTGCCTTGGCTATTAGGGCTCTTTTTTGTTTCTATGTGCATCTTAAAATAGTTTTTTTCTAGTTCTCTGAAGAACGTTATTGGTAGTTTGATAGGAATAGCATTGAATCTGTAAATTACTTTTGGCAGTATGGTTATTTTAATGATATTGATTCTTCCTATCCATGAGCATGGAATGTTTTTCCATTTGTTTGTGTCATCTCTGATTTCATTAAGCAGTGGTTTGTAGTTCTCATTGTAGAGAACTTTTACATCCCTGGTTAGCTGTATTCCTAGGTATTTTATGTTTTTTTGTGGCAATTGTGAATGGGACTGCATTCCTGATTTGGCTCTCGGCTTGGCTGTTGTTGGTGAATAGGAATGCTAGTAACTTTTGTACATTGATTCTGTATCCTGAAACATTGCTGAAGTTGTTTATCAGTTGAAGGAACTTTTGGGCCAAGACTATGGGGTTGTCTATATATAGAATCATGTTGTCTGCAAATAGTGATAGTTTGACTTTCTCTCTTCCTATGTGGATGCACTTTATTTCTTTTTCTTGCCTGATTGCCCTTTCCAGGACTTCCAATACTATCTTGAATAGGAGTGGTGAGAGAGGGTATCATTGTCATGTGCCAGTTTTCAAGAGGAATGCTTCTAGCTTTTCCCCATTCAGTATAATATTGGCTGTGGCTATGCACACAAGCTAGGAGAACTACAAGAGATGGCTAAAGTCTTGGACACATATACCCTCCCAAGACTGAACCAGGAAGAAATTGATTCCATGAATAGACCAATAATGAGCTCCAAAAGTGAATCAATAATACATAGCCTACTGATATGGTTTGGCTGTGTCCCCACACAAATCTCATTTTGAATTCCCACGTGTTGTGGGATGGGCCCAGTGGGAGGTATTTGAATCATGGGGGCAGGTCTTTCCCATGCGGTACTCGCGATAGTAAGTCTCACGAGATCTGATGGTTATTATAAGGGGGAGTTTTTCTGCACAAGCCCTCTTCTCTTGTCTGCGCCATGTGAGATGAGCCTTTCATCTTCTGCCATCATTATAAGGCTTCCCCAGCCATGTAGAACTGTAAGTCCAATTAAACCTCTTTCCTCAGTCTCGGGTATGTCTTTATCAGCAGTATGAAAACAAACTAATATACCTACTAACCAAAAAAATCCCATGACCAGCTGGATTCACAGCTGAATCCTACCAAACATACAAAGAAGAGCTGGTACCATTTCTACTAATACTATTCCAAAAAAATGAGGAAGAGGGACTCCCCAACTCATTCTATGAGGCCAGCACCATGCTGATACCAAATTTTGGCAGAGACACAACAATAAATGAAAACTTCAGGCCAATATACTTGATGAACATTGATGCAAAAATCCCCAACAAAATACTGGCAAACAATCTAGCAGCCCGTCAAAATTGAATCTACCACCATCAAGTAGGCTTCATCGCCAGGATGCAGGGTTGGTTCAAAATATGCAAATCAGTAAGTGTGATTCATCACACAAATATAACTAAATACAAAAACCACATGATTATCTCAATAGCTTCAGAAAGGCTTTTGACAAAATTCAACATCCCTTTATGTTAAAAGCTCTCAGTAAACTAGGAATTGAAGAAACATACTTCAAAATAATAAGAGCTATTTATGACAAACCCAGGGTCGCTGTTTAGATACAAAGCAAGGCACTACTTAACACCCAACATCACCACCTACCTGTTTAAGCACTGATTATTGCCCCTATGCATTAATGCTACCCTCACCCACCCTAGATGGCCTGGCTGAAGCTCATTTGACAGGACCTTTCTATGTTGTAATTGGATGAGTCTCAGGATCCAGCTCTTACAACCTGAATCAGCCTCTGAGAAACGTTCACCCATATTTTTAGCTTCCCTCTTTGGGCACCAGCGTGCCACAGAATTGCCAACACAGTTCTTAACAGAAGATGTTGATACTTTTGTTATGAACTGCTTTTAGTACTCAGGGAATATAATCACAGAGCAGGGTGTCATTCTATAAAATCTTCCTATTTGCAAGCTTTTTAGGAATTATTTAGAAGAAGTAAATTCCAAAGTGACAAGATAAATAAACCTATTTTGTTTACTATTAAGCAAAATTTTATTTCCTTTTTCTTTTTTTAAAAAAAGAAATGTCCTTTATAATTCACAGCTAGAATCTCTCCAAAAATTCAACTAAGTTATAGTTAAGTTGTTCTGAGATTTAACTACATATAGGGTGATAGGTTGATAAGCTAGGCTTATTAACACAGTTGTCAAGGCACTCTCTGGCTCTTTCTCTTGTCCTCTCAGTTGTATCAATTAGCCCTCTCAATAACTCATACCTAGTCTTAAGTAGATTTAGAGCCTTTCTATTCATGAGGCCATTCAGGTAGCTGCCCAAGTGACATTTTCTGAAAGAGCCCAGAAAACTGATCTAACTGGAATCATCTCCAGCCAGCCCTCCAATGTATCTGTAATCACCATTAAGTAGTATTGGGAACAAAAACCTATGACTTATTTAGCTAATAGGGTTGTAATTCATGTGCATGAATAACCACATTTGTTAACCTCTTATTGTCACCATGACAACAGTAGAGTGTTTCATTTATTTTTAGAGTAAACAAATATTTATTGAGTGATTATTGCCCCATGCTCTAGGCTCTGCACAGGCACTGAGTATACATAAAAGAACATCACAGCATAGATAAAGTCTTTGCCTTCAACGAGTCTAAATTTTAACTTATCCTAATGAGGGGGGTGAAGTATGAGACAATGCATTATTCAGGCTATAACTCAGCTATGCTAAAGGAAAATATGTCCCCCAAATTTATTGGCTTCTGAAAACAATGGTTTATCTCTCACTTTCATTCCATGTCCTTTGCAGGTGAGCTGGGTCTCTTCTATGTATCTCTTCACAGGCTAGGAATCCAGGCTAGTAGGGTAGCCACTATCTCAAATATTGTTGGACACTAGAGCCTAGAACAAAAGTACCCTAAAGAATCTTGCACTAGTAATTCAACACCTTGGCCTAGAAGAGATAATCCTTACTTATACTCCCAACTCAGTGACCAGAATCAGTCATGTGAACTTATTCAACCACAAGGAGACAGATATACCTGGGAGGCAGAGAAGTAGAATGTCTGAACATTTTTAATGACTACCAGAGCCATGCAAGTTCTGAGGGTGAGGAGGAAATAAGTGGAGACCTCTATTGTGTTGCAATCCCCAAACCCTGCAGAATAGCACCCTTGGAGATCTGGGCATCCACGATAAAGCTTGCAAGTGTAAGGTTCCAGAAAAGGGGATAAAGGAACAGAAGCAGGGGGAATTATATTTATTGATTATCTACCTTGTCTCAGTCACTTTAATTTTGTTGTATTGTTCAAATATTTAAATTTAAGGGACTGAGGAGGAAAACAAAATGTTTAAGAGGAAACAAGGGAGCTAGGTGTATTCTCATATGGTTTGGCTGCGTCCCCACCTAAATCTCATCTTTAATTGTAGCTCCCATAATTCCCACGTGTTGTGGGAGGGACCTGGTGGGAGATAATTGAATAATGGGGGTGGTTTCCCCCATACTGTCCTCCTGGTAGTGAATAAGCCTCATGAGACCTGATGGTTTTATAAGGGGAAACCCCTTTCACTTGGCTCTCATTCTCTGTTTGCCTGCTGCTGTATAAGACATGCCTTTTGCCTTCTGCCATGATTGTGAGGCTTCACCAGCCATGTGGAACTGTGAGTTCATGAAACCTCTTTTTCTTTATAAATTACTTAGTCTTGGGTATGTCTTCACCAGCAGCATGAAAACAGACTAATATATTTTCCAAATGTAAACCAGGCTCCCTGAGCAATCTGATTTAGCAATATGGTACCAGAGATAACATGGCACATACAAACTGATAGCTATGTTTTCTAACTAGGTAAATGCATTCTCCAAGATTTACCTTGAGTCTCCTACCAGAGACATAAGGAGAAGATATAAAGTGTGACTCATAGAAATACCTAGGAGAACCAGACGTCGTGGCTTCCTAAAATTCCAGCCACTCAGGAGGCTGAGGTGGGAGTATCACTCAAACCCAGGAGTTCAAGGCTGCAATGAGCTATTATCACGCTACTATTATAACACTATAACCTAAGTGACAGAATGAGACTCTCTTGAAAAAAAATAACTGAGAACAAAGCTCACTTTGCTTTCACGCCCACAGCTTTCATTCAGAAACATGTCAGGATTTTGTGTGTGCTCTGCCTCCAACCTTCCTACAAATGTTAATATTCTTCCCACTTCTCTTATATTCAAAGTGTTGAGAGCCAAGGCATGCAGCTTGGAATGAGGCCAGCAAGACCTCTTGGTTTTCTTTCACTTTTTCTCTTTCTCTCTTCACTCACTTTTCTTCTGCTTGGATTCCTAAATTGCTTCTTCTTTCCATGTCTTTCTGATATCTCCTTGTCACCAACCCATTCTGTTAATTACTCTTCTTCTGGTAATGAAAGAATAAAGCACTTTGTGGGTTTCAATTTAAAGTAATATATTTCTTCATTTGGTTCTTTTTTCTTAAACTTTTTTTCTTTTTACTTGTTTGGCCTCGATGTATTAGAATTAAAGAATGTAGTAAAAATTTAAAAGATATGGATGATGCCATCAAGTAAACACATTTTGGAGCAAAGAATTAGCTAGACTAAAAAGTTCAAAGCATTTGGAAACTATTCCCTAAGTTTAGACATCAATTTCGGCCCAGTTTTTCAGAGTTGAACATCAAAAACCAAATTTATAAGTTGGGCAATTTTTACATATGCCCATGAGTATCATATTTAAAATATATAGGGCTATATCTTAGGATCCCTGAAAAGAAATGAAACTTTTGGAAGAAAAAACAGGATTGGTTAGAATGCTGCAAAATTACATGCATAGGGAAATTTGGGGGACAATATGCAATTATAGTTAATGTTTGATTATCAGATAGAATTTTGGAGGGTGAGTGGAAATAAGGTAAGCTACAGATAACTCAATACCATGCACAGTTCAGATCAAATCACAGTTGACTGTTCATTAGCTTTCAGTAGATTAGCCACTTTGCAGATTAGTCAAATATCTGGGGTGATCTTACCTCCCAGGAAGGCTGAGTCATTAGGTAATTAGAAGATTGGAGTTGAAGGACAGCTCTTCAAGGTGCAGAAGCTGAGAACCCAAACTCTGGGTAAGACTGCTGATGGAGTGAATGATGTATGCCAGATTCCATGTGTCCAGACCTGGAACCGAGTCGTCCAGACCTGGAACCCAGTCCTCCAACCACTGGGTTGCTGATAATCAGGGCAAATAATCACGGCTTGATTGCATGCCCTTGTAGGGGAAGATACCCGATTCCAAATCCCTGCTGTACCTTAACTACCTCCATCTGAAAACAGGTTAATCCACCTTCAGATGATCAGGAATTAATTGCATGCATCCCTGTAAGTGCATTTTAATACATAATCAGAAAACAAAGAAGCAGTTTTTTATATTGAAGCCCTAGAAATTGTTTAGAATATAACAGAAATATGTCTTAGCCTCATTTTTTAATCCAAATGTAAAAATACAAATAGTATTGAAGAGCATCTCTACCCATTGTTCAATATACACCCAAAGTTGGGACCATTTAAGTCTTCTAAAGCTGTTTGATTTTTAAATGAACATGAATTTACTTTTCAATGGATATCTATCATTGTCATTAATTGACTCAAATAATAACATTGAGCACATATTATACATCAAACCAAAAAGCAACCACCATTAAAAATATATAATGAGTTATGGCTTTGTAATAGAAACTTATATTCTTAATACCAAACATTTAGGACTTTGTAGCCAAAGACTGACAAATGCAAAACAAAAGCATGTACTGGGCATGTAGGACTTAGAATAAAAACACTACAAGATCATGAGTCAAAGGTTTATTTCCTAAAACAAAGAATATGTTGTAAAATCAGATTGTACAATAAAGGGCAATTTGACCATTGTATCAAAATTTCAGCTTTATCGAGAGAGAGCATTTCTATTTGTGATAAAACTGAACAAGTTAGAAGAATTGGGCAATGCTTTTCAGTTTTCTTTACAGCCTGCCTGAACCTTCTCTCCTTCTCTTATCTGACTAAAGATATCCCCCTTGGGATGTCTTAATCTAGAACATGAGTTGGCAAACTAGGGCGTAAGGACCATAACCATGCCTCAAACTAAGAATGGCTTTTGCATTTTTGAAAGATTACAACAAAAAAACAGAAGAAAGATTACCAAAAAACACCAGACTATACATGGCCCACAAAGTCTAAAATACTAGCTGCCCACTGTAGGAAAAAAATCCCTGAACCCAGTGTACAATATTCTTAGACTCCTCCCTCTTATTTTCTCATCAAATCCAAATTACTGTCTGCCTCTTAATACCTCTGCCACAAGTCCCTTCTTCTTCATCCTTCTTGCTAACTGTTGGTTATTACTACATTGCCTCCTGCTTAATGTTGTTGTCTGCCTCCAGTCCCAACCGTCTCCATTATAGACAACTACTATTATGTCACTAGAGTAATTTCCTAAAGAGCAAGTTGCCATGTCTTCAGTAAATCTTTTCTTGACATCCCAAGACCACCACCACCTACATTCTTGCTTCTCCCAGTCCCTGCCCTTGTGCTGATGTCTGCTGCAACACTCTTCACATGAAGGATTTATTTGTATGTTAGCTTTCCCACGAACCTGAGAGCTCCCTTGAGTGTAGATACAGCCACAGCACCTGCCACACAGAAAATGTGTGAATGACTTTAATTCTGTGTTCTCTGGATATAGATTTTAACAGGGTAGAAAACACCCCCAGGATTCTGGAAATCTTTGGAATAAGGAGGTAGGTATGTGCTAGCAAAAAGATGTTTAGAAAAGTTCACGAGGAGAATTGAAAACCAACTAGAACTGAAAACCACCTTCTCATCTGCTTTTCATGCTAATGCCTCTCTCCATGAATGCATTTAAATACATAAATTTTCAACTTAAATTGTGTGCAAGACTAAGCTGTGTACTTTATATATTTCACCAGTTATTTTCATTTTATAAAGTTGGCATATGTGTGAATATAGAATTGAAAATTGACAGAATGGGTGCATTTTTCGCGTGTAGAACAAGAATTAAAGAAAAGCAGGAGGACAGAAGGAAGACAGAAAAATTTACCACTAGCTAGCTGCTTCCCCACTTTTAATTTCTTTCCCCAAGCTCCAGAAACAAAGCAATCTCCTTGCCTCTCAGCATCTTTTTTTATTAAGCAGGGTAAATTGTGCTATGGCACAATTTTAAAAATCACTCTGAAGTCTTGAAGTCTTAACACAACTGAAGCTTATTTTTTCTTCTCCAGTGAAATGTGTTCATTTTTTGTCAGCTTTAGGCTGGTTCATTTGGACACTCAGGATCCTAGGGTTATGGTGGCTCCACCAACCAGGCTTGTACTCCCTGAGATATGTGGTCTTCTTTCAAGAGAAGAAAGTACATAAAGGCTTCATACTTTATTACTCTGTACTGTATTCCATTGCTCAGAACTAGTCACATGGCCCTGCTTAACTGCAAGTACAGTCTCTCATGTACTAGAAATGAAAGGAGAACCAGATATTAGTCAACAGATATTATGGATTTCATATCCATTTGTTCAATAAGATAAACTGTTATGTTGGATTCAGTCTCATCTTCCTTACACCTTCAGTTTACGTTGAGATTTTTTTTCTAAGTAGTCCATTAACTAGTCAAGAAAATAGCAGACATTTATTCCTGCGACAGGTGCCTTCTCTGATCATCTGAGCAATAGCCTCTGTTGGTTACCCAATTCTCCTGATTTTGCTGGAATAAAGGGAATTAGAACAATAGCCCAAAAATTAGAAATTAAAGGAGTAGCCTAGAGCTGTGAATATTTTTGTGTATGTGGAAAGGGCTGAGGTGGATAGCGTGGAAATGGGCTATTGGGAACTGGGCAGCCATGAGCTACCTCTTTATCCTTCCTTATTAGTGTGAAGGCAAAATAGGAGACCACCTCCTCACTCCCCAAAGCTTTCATAATATCCCTCTTGGGATCTCCTTTTTCTTTTCTTGACTACGTTGGATGTTCATTTAGCATGCTTCTACCTATGTACAAATGTTAAGAAGGAGAAGGCCATATGGATTCAATTATCACAGGCTCCCCCATCTCATAGAAATAAACTGGAAAGACTTAACTTTAAAAACCTTTTTGTCGTTGGCTCTCTGTGCCTTACCCAGATATCTGGATATCTAAAAGTGAAATGAATATGTGTTGAGTAGGAGGAGATTACCATGGTTTAGATAAGTCTATGTTAAAAGTGTATAGAAACATAATTTGTTAACCAAATGAGCTCTTCATTATAAAGTTAATGCAGTAGTTGCCTGGGGCCAGATTTCTGGCCAATTACATCTCCTGGAAAGAAAAAAAAAATTGAAACTTTATACCAGCTCTACAAAGGGAAAAGTAAAAAAACAAGTGAGCAGAGACTATTAGCAACATGATCTAACTTCTAGAAGGAGATAAAGGCTTCCTGCCCCCTGAGAGGAAGAAAATCTTACATGAGTTAAGAGTACAATGGGCTGGGCATGGTGGCTCATGCCTGTAATCCCAGCACTTTGGGAAGCTGAGGCAGGTGGATCACGGTGTCAGGAGTTCAAGACCAGCCTGGCCAAAATGGTGAAACCCCGTCTCTACTAAAATTACAAAAATTAGCCAGACACAGCGGCAGGCGCCTGTAATCCCAGTTACTCAGGAGACTGAGGCAGGAGAATTGCTTGAATCCGGCAGAGGTTGCAGTGAGCCAACATCATGCCACTGCACTCCAGTGCAGCCTGGGCGATAGAATGAGACTCCGCCACAAAAAAAAAAAAAAGTACAATGAACTCCTAGGACTCCCTAATGCCAGTTGCCAAGCTAGCCTGTAGATGGAGTGAATACATTTCTCCTTGCCTGACATGTTCAAATTATGGATATTTTCTCTTTTTTCTCTCCCATGTGTCTGTAGATGGAACTGGGATAATCTCCTAATTGTGAAAGCCTTTTTCTTCAGATAACACTGTCTTCTGCCACCTCTTGGAAGGTCTACACAGGAGATCCTAGGCTGCTTCATGTGTGTTATGTTTGGCCCTCACTGTGTCAGCTTACATAGAATGTTTTTACATTTTGAATTAGCTGTTACTATTTAAAATTCAAGAGATTTAATATAAAATTCAAGATGCCTGATAACTCTGGTAATCTGGGACTGAATTCCCACATGGTGACTTTTGGCTGAAGCTAAATAACCCCTGCTGCCTTTAAAGGAGGCAAGAGCTCTCCAATACTCTAGTATCTCCACTCCCTGTTGCCTTGTTAACACTGAGACTGGGCATTTAATTTCAGATTTGCCTTGATGTTTTCCTTGGACTTAAGAAGCAAGGGGCATATTTCCAACTCCCAGCCTGTTTTACGTATTCATTTTTCCTGCTGTGCCCCCTTTAAAGATTGGAATTTGTAACCTCTAACTAGCAGAACTGAGTTTTAGCCAAAGCATCAAAGTTAGAAAGGGACTTTCTTGGACTTATTTTTTGTGTCCTAGTAAGCTAAGATTCAGGTACCATCTTAGAGGTGAGAAATCTAGGAGTCTGCTTAGCCTGCTTCAGCCTCGGCAGAAGGAATCTGAAAATGCCCAGTGTGTCAAGTCAGGGATGGGTATGGACTGAAGACCCAGCTAGTGTGCATTTAACAAAGAAATTGAACATGGGTTATCTGATTTTTTAGGCTTTGGTCACATGTAACAAAAAGAAACATATCCAAAATGTTCTAACCAAAAAGAATGCATTGGCTCCATAATCAAAAGCTTCAGGAATCAGTCTGGCTTTAGGTGTAGCTAGGTCAAGGTTTCAGTTGACACCATCAGCCTGAGAGGCTTCTGTCTTTCCATCTTTCGGCTCTGCTTCTTCTGGCTTCACTCTCAGATAGCCACCCTACCTCATGGTCACAGATGGCTTCTATCATGCCCAGAAGCACATCCTCATCCAGTAGGAGAGAGGACTCGCCTTTGTCCTACCATTCTAGCAAAAGCTTATCTACATTACATCATCTTTGCTTGGGACAGAGTGAACCCAGTCTCTGTGGCCAGGGAAATGACAACAAGGGCACCAGTGACAGGTCAGATGCTCTGCCAAAAGCAAAAATGGTTGGAACCAGAAGAATAATTCCCCCAGATGGAAATCAAAGTATAGTTACCAGGAGAGGAGTGAATGGATCATGGATAGCATCAGTAGCTGTTTTCAGCTGCACCTGGACAGCTTCTTAAAAAGGAAACTCTTCAACTCCAGCACTGCCCAGGTATTCTGATTCATTAGATCTGGAGCTGGGCCCAGGAGTCTTCTTATTTAACAAGATCTCCAGGGATTCTGAGGCAAGAAGTCATTAATTCAAACTTTGTGAAACACTTTGAGACTGCAGTGTCTTATTACAACTAACAATACATTTATAATTATATGCCAGGAACTGTATTGTGTTTTATAGGCATTATTACAAATAATCCTTAAACAACTCTGTGAAGTGGATACCATTATTATGTCCATTTTTAGGTGAAAATGTGGAGCTTAAAAAGTTTAATAATTTGCTCAATGACACATAGATAGCAAGTGGCTGAGCCAGAGCTCAAACCCAGTGTTGTTCCTACTCTACTATAATGCCTACATCCCTTTGGATTTCACATAAAAATTAAATGAGGGAGATAAAAGTGTCAAGACTGTGTGTGCCCTCAGTAAATATCAGTTTGTTTATTTTTTAATCTGTGCATTAAATCATAAAAGATCAAGTAACAATTTCTTTTTCTATCATTTTATTGCTGCTGCTGATCCATTGAGAACTTTCGCTATGGGCCCCCTCATTACCTTTGCAACAGATGCTAACCAATGCTGGAAAAACTGTATTCTTCAGAATGTTTGTGATGCCCATGGCAGCTGATATTTTCATTTGAGAGTGGTGCTCAGGTATTGGAAAGAGGGGAATAGAAAATACATTTGTTACATGATTACATGATCACTATGTGGTAGTTATGTTTTAGAAAATATTTTGCCAAGTTTTAACAACAGTGCTACGTTGTGTAGATTAAGAAGTTCTTTTCCCAAGGTCACTCTGCCCAGAAAAGTAGAGGATCAGAATTTGAGCTTCTACCATGCCCCAGTGACTCTACAACTTCTGGATATGTCATTTCCTTGTAAAAGTATAGCCCCCGTCATAGATATAAATTGGTGCTGACTCCGCTTGAGTGAACTTTATTAGTGAAAACCTCAGTATATTTGGCATATTAAATGTTCAAAACTGAAACACAGGAAATCATCAAATGTGAAGAAGGAACACTGGCAATTTTACTGATTAGCCTTACAATACTGGAACAGTGTTGATTATAACAATGATAAACACATCTTCTTTTAAATACAATTCTAGTTGACCTTTTTCTTACTCTAGGCTAGAAATTGGGAGTTCAAACTAATCAAACGCTAATGTAATAAGTTATCTAATAAGTAGGACATCACAGGTTTTGAATGCATATCAGATTTTTCTCTTTTCCCTGAGAAAAAAAGAATCATCTGGAATCCTCTGCTGGGTGAGAGCAGGTTCTTATTAGAGGAATGTAATACATTTATGATGAAGATAGCGGTTTTGCAAAGTTGCCTTTCTCATTTGCTTTACATTCAATTCCTTCAGAAGAATGGGAAAAATTCAATTGAATAGGAAAAAATCACTGAAGTTCCAGAACTTGATCAATTATATAACAATATTAAGAAACTGAATGTATTTTCTTATGTAATCCAGTTTATCTTTCCAGGTCAGTTAACATTGTTCCTTCTGAAGCACAGATGGAAATTTTTTGAGTTTTTCCCAAACTTTCCAGAGTTCAAATACCCTGTGTTTTCTTTTCAGTGCCATCAATATTCTGAAAATGGCAGTGATTTTTATTCAACCTGTATAAGGCACTTTCACCATGTACCTGGAAGCAACATCTACATCTTTTTCAGGTAATAGTTTCCAAATATTAATTCATAAATATTGCTATTGTTAAGAAATACTAAATAGCTAGAAGTAAGTTGCATATTCTCAAAATGCCTAGAAATTCACTCCAAAATTTTGCAAAATTATTAGAGGTTAGTGCAGATAACATTGATGCTATTCTCCTTCCTCACGGCCCAAGCTCAGTTATTAAGAAGTAAATACCCAAAATGAAACAAAACATGTATGTTCCCCAAATTTCTCTAAAAGGCACTCTTTAAACAAAAAAGAAGTTTTTACCTCTGGAATTGGAATTATAAATGGCAATTACAATCCCAGATTAGCCCACAGAAACCTAACCATCAATACCAACTGTGTGAATGCTGGCAGCTGGCAGAAGGGAAGCAGACAGGAAATTCTCCCTTCTGAGGCACAAAGCTAGCTTTATATAAAGTTGTTATTTAGGCAAAGATTTTCTTTCATGTCACTATTCTTTTTTTTCCCCTCATCTCATCAACCACATTCCTAGTTTTCCTCTGTCCACTATGAAGGACTTTGTGACCACATTCTGACTCTGATGAGATCCTGCCCAGAATTGACCTGAACCCCAATAATTCACCTTTCTCTCAGGTAATGTTTTCAAATCCAGGTACTCTTTCAAGGTCCAATTCATACAGCTGTTTTTCTAGAATTCCTTTTTTTACCCAACCCTTAGCTCCAACTCTTGTCTTTCTCTGAATAGCTACAGTGAGTACTATTTGAATAAGCTATTTATTATGTAAACATATCCTAGCATTATTGTTACAGGAAAGGGGTCCCAATTCAGACCCCAAGACAGGGTTCTTGAATCTCAGGCAAGAAAGAATTCAGGGCAAGTCTATAAAGTAAAGTGAAAGCAAGTTTATTAGGAAAGTAAAGGAATTAAAGGATGGCTACTGCGTAGACAGCAGACCTGAGAGGGGCTGGTTGCCCATTTTTATGGTTATTTCTTGATGATATGCTAAATAAGTGGTAGATTATTCATGCCTCACCTTTTTAGACCATATACGGTAAGTTCCTGATGTTGCCATTTCATTTGTAAACTGTCATGGTTCTGGTGGGAGTGTAGCATGGAGGACGACCAAAGGTCACTCTCGCCGCCATCTTGGTTTTGGTGGGTTTTAGTTTGCTCCTTTACTGCCACCTGTATTATCAGCAAGGTCTTTATGACGTGTATCTTGTGCCAACCTCCTAACTCATCCTGTGACTTAGAATGCATTAACCATCTGGGAATGCAGCCCAGTAGGTCTCAGCCTTATTTTATCCAGCCCCTATTCAAGATGGAGTTGCTGTGGTTCAAATGCCTCTGACATTATGACACTGTTTACTGACTTGAATCATTAGTTAAATCATATATTGTATGTAGGTTTTATGTCTTTGTATATTATCTCCGCAACCATTATAAATTGTACCATGAAGGATAAACCTTGCCAAAGAGAGGTCTGGCCTTTGCAGTTGGCCCCTGGGAGGTAACCTCTAAGCCCGTGGAGTATCCTGCCTGATTAGAACATCTTTGTTTACTTGGGGTCTGAAGCCATAGGTACCTCAGACTACAAGGTGTCAGATTGACCTCTGGAAGTGCTGGAAACTAAGATTAGCCATATGAATAGTGGCTGGGTGACTGGATTGCAATCAAAACTCCAGACACCAAAGCTCAAATGAGCTTCCCAGTGGGCAATATTCCATGTGTATTTTCACACAATGTTCCTAGAGAAATAGGTACTGCACACATGCCTTCACTGGGAGAGGATAACTGGAAGCCCTGTGCCTTAAGGTCTCCTGAGCCCTGCCTTGTGTGCCTCTTTCTTCTGCTGATTTTAATCTGTATCTTTTCACTGTAATGAACTGTAACCATGTGTGTAACAGCTTTCCAAGATCTGTGAGTCCCTTTAGAGAATTATCTAACCTGAGGGTAGTCTTGGATCCCTGATCTCACAGTACATGTGAGAAGTAAAGGTGGTCTTGGGGACTCCTGAGCTCTGTGTACTAATAAAGGGAAGGGACTGTACTAAGTCATACTTCTACATATACATAGTCAAAATGCCTAACGCAGAGTTTAGGACACATGGTTGAATAATGATTTAATTCTATTAACAACTTAACTGTTCATTCTTGTCCTCGAACTCCACTTCCATAGCACCTTACTTAAAGATAACTTCTTATATCTGAGGCAGTAAAGAGCGAAAAAGAAAAATAATTTGAGTAAATATGCTGAGTGTTAAGGAATTCTACAGTACCTGGTGATAATAATGACCACTTAGAACATATAAAGCACCAAGTATGGTGTTAGTCCTTTACTCGCAATAACTCTTCATTTTCATTGCAACCATTTGAAGCATCATTGTTAAATTTGCCTCTTTTACAGATGAGAAAACTGATACAAAATTTTTAACAAAGATGCATATTTAATCATTAATATAAACTTTTAAAAGTCCACATACCCTTTATCTGTTTATAGCCACCACTCCATTTCCCCATGCTGCTTCACAGCAAACTTCACTGCAAAATCCCTCCCACAGGTTGACTATATCCTGTCTCCACGTCCTCGTTTCTAACTAATTCCTTCACCTACTCCAATGACTTATCTCTACCTTTCCATCAAAATTGTACTCGTCAAGGTCTACAAGTCTTTTCATGTGGCCAAACCCAGCAAACATGTCTTAGTTTTCATGCTACTCATCCTCACAGTTTATCGTGTACTCCTCCTTTAAATATTTTTTTTTCTTTTGGCTTCTGATTTTTCTGTTACTTACTAAACTTAATTAGTCTTTGATCACACCTGTTCCTCCATCTAAACTCACTGTTAAATGTTGGCCTGACCAGGGCTTCCTCTGGGGCTCTTTGCTCTTCTATGTGTACTGTCTCCTTAGGTAATCTCATTGCCTTGACTTACAAACATCTATACGTTGATGATGCTCAAATTTTCAGTAAAAGTCTAGACATCTTCCCTGTGCTTCAGGCTCAAAAATCTATGTTTCCCCACTTACTCCTCTTATCAACATCATTGTGTAAAGGAGAATATGGAAGTAGGAAAGGCAGAAGCTCACTCTCTTGGTGCCTCTGTGACATGGTGTGGCATCGAGGGAATCTTCACTCTTCTTACTCCAGTCATGACCCAGGATATTTGTGTTCAACTGGAGTGGATAAGAAAATTGTAAGTCAACACAATTGTTTTTTATAAGGAGTTCTTAATGCATAACTCATATATGTACATACATTATATAGTGGCAATTTATGTGATATTTTATAACTTTAAAATATTTAGATCCAATTCAACTTTCTAAAAATTGGTGTGACAATTAAAGTCAACAGTTTTTATCACAATCTTAGCATGAAATCCAATTCTCTTTTAATAGTCTACAATGTTATCAAGCACTGCTTTTTCCCCCCAGCCCCCGCCCACCACTGGCCTTCTTTCTACTTCTTAAATGTTATT
This sequence comes from Homo sapiens, assembly GCF_000001405.40. NCBI lineage: Eukaryota > Metazoa > Chordata > Mammalia > Primates > Hominidae > Homo > Homo sapiens. The sequence continues at coordinate 180,728,137 of NC_000002.12, forward strand.
TCCTACTCAGAATATTGGTACTTGCTTTTTCCCTCTGGCTGGAATACATTTTTTCCCTCATCTAGCATGGCTGACTCCTTCTCAATCTTGAGGTCTCAACTCAAATATCATCCCCTCATGAAGGCTTTTCCTGACCCCTGTTCCCACTCAGATAGGAGCCCCTAATTAACCTGTATTACATGACTTTGCTTACTCCCTTTACAGAACCTACCACACTAGATAATATTTTTCATTGTCTTCCCATGCCTCAACATGAGCTCAGGGAGAATAGGTTCCTTGTCTGTCTTGCTCACTGCTATACTGCAGCACCTACAATAGTGTCTGGCCCCCAATAATTAATTTGTTCAATGGATTTGTTTTACTAGGCCCCTATGCCAGGATTCAAACTTGGGTTGAACGTGACCACAGAATTTAAGCTCTTAAATACCCTGCTTGGCTAACATTTCATCTAAAGCAAGTGACAGGAGATAGTGAGGAGATGACAACAGTTGGCATCAGTCAGGGAAGATTTCCTGGAGAAGATGTGAAAGATTTGGATACAGGTAGAAACTTAAGGAAGAATATTTTAGGCCAAGTGAACACACAGAACCAGAAACTAGAAATAAGCTGGATTTATGAGGTAGATGACTAGAAAATCTTAATTATAAGGTTAATTGTAATTATAATGGAATTAGTATTGAACAGTCACAACATAGCCTTTTGGTGGAAAAATTTAATTCAATCCTATTTTCTCCCAGTTTCCATGCCAAATTTAAGTTACATTGGGAGCTGATGAGTTCACATGTACATTTATACATATAAATGGCAAAGCTGCAACCTTCAAACTCAGGGTCAGTATCTGTTATAGGAGGTGAGTTAAGGGCTGCTGGTTGCAACCCACTAATGCCTGAAAGTTGTTTAGAACCAAAAACCCAGAAACTGGGGGCATCCTCCTCTCTTATTTATTTTACTTTGAGCTATGCCAGAATATTCAGCATGGCTGATCCTAGTGGAAAGAGCGATGGAACTGGGTGGAGGAAGGAGGTGGCAGAGAAAAGGTTGTACAAACAAAATATTTTCACTTTGCAAATAAAGCGATTTAAGCATTCTCCAAAATGTTACTGCTTCTATATTTTTCATCTTGTTTCCCAGAACATGTCACTTTCATTTTGAAGTCTAGTGTTGTTAAATAGGAAAGCCTAATTGATATATAGAAAGAAGTATTAGTCACCTCACCCAAATGCCTGGGAAAATATCCTTAGCTATACAACTCATGACTCACAGATGAAGCTGAGGGCCAACAATAAACTAAAACTCTTACTCAGAGATAATGAAGCATGAAATGGCACTTTAGAATTAAAACTCCATTGAGAGAAAATGCCTTTCCAAAGTACAAAAAAAAAGGGTTGAAATGTTGAATCAAACTATATAAGGTACATTTTCACAGGTTACTAAACAATATATATTATGCTGTGTAGAGAGGTTATTTTTCTTCCAAATTATGTGAGTCTTTGTTTTCTCAAATGTTACAATATTTTCTAATAGTTTTTTATGAAAACAATTGAATGATAAGTTTGAATTAAAATCATTTTTTTAGAAAAAAAAAATGCATCTGGGCCTGGAATTTTAGTACATCATTTCGTTATTGTTGTCCAATTCAAATATATGTTCCTCTAGCTACCCTCATAAAATATTTTAGACTTCTCTGCTTCTTGGTATGTCATGTGTATGTAGGTCCTTTGAATTTATTTATTTACTCTCCAATCCATAACCTAAAACTTCAATTATTCCACAATTCCGAATATTAAAGAAATATGGGCTGGGCATGGTAGCTCGTGCCTGTAATCCCAGCACTTTGGGAGGCCGAAGCGGGCAGATCACGAGGTCGGGATATTGAGACCATCCTGGCCTACAGGGTGCAACCCTGTCTCTACTAAAAATACAAAAATTAGCTGGACGTGGTGGTGCATGCCTGTAATCCCAGCTACTCGGGAGGCTGAGGCAGGAGAATCGCTTGAACCAGGGAGTCAGAGTTTGCAGTGAGCCGAGATTGCACCACTGCACTCCAGCCTGGCAACAGAGCGAGACTCTGTCTCACAAACAAAACAAAACAAAAAGAAATATGTTCATGATCTATTAAGTAAATAATTTATACATACAAAGCCCAAAGGAACTATTCATGGCTCTCTGCTTTTAAGTGTTATTCAAGAAAGAAAGAAGAAAAATATGTTTATTCAAATATTTTATTTAACTCTTAGATACATCATATTATGTCTATAAACTAATTTCATTCTTATTCCTCTTGATTTTGCTGTTATAATTATATTAAAATGCATGTATTCATTCATGATATTTGCCGATTTTTTTAATTGCATGAGAATAATGCATTTGTGTAGTGGGATGCAAAAAATTAATAGTGATTTTATTTTTCTTCCTAAATAACAGGAAATGTTTCCAATTATTTTTTAAAGCAGGACATTTGGTAAAGATAATGTTGCTATAGCAACTTTAGAACAAGGCTTAATTTGGGCCACAGTGAGTGCACCCACTTGTTTTAAATTCATCATTCAGTCTAATCTAGCATTTACATGTAGAGCTTCATTTACAAACAACTGCAGCAGGAGAGCCTATGTGGAAAGTGCTTTAGGGATACCGTGCCTCAAATTTCCACTTGCATTCGTGGCATTTATTAAGAGCCTATATCACGGTATCAAATGTTCTAATGTTGATTAAGAAAAAGATAAAACCTTAACTTCAATTTTACTCAAGATTAAGAGTTGTGAAAATCAATTTGCTCTTAACATGTCCGCGAAAATATTTTGACACTAAAATACTCCTTACTTTCTAGTTTTAATCCTTACAAAATGTTGGAATGGAAACATTTATTGCATTTGTCTGAGGAAAGATAGTTTAGCTTAGTCTGCTTTAGCTTATTTCCACCGAAAGAATACTATGTACCTGTAAGACTCTTAACCAGTGTTGTGTCACTTAACAATGGGAATACATTTTGAGAAGTGCATTCTTGGGTTATTTCATCATTGTGCAAATATCATAGAGTGTACTTACACAATACATGGGATTTCCCAATTGCTATGGTTTTGTGTCCCCTCTGAAATTCATGTTCAAAGTGGATCCCCATTGTAGTGGTATTAAGAGGCAGGGCCTTCGGGGGATGTGATTATATTATGAGGACTCCAGTCTCATGCATGGAATTAGTGTTCTTATGAAAGGGCTTAGGTTGAATGGGACACCCTGTTGGTCTTCTGTCCCTTCTGCCACCTAAGGACACAGTGTTCCTCAACTCCAGAGAATGCAACAACAAGGTGTCAACTTGAAAGCAGAGAGAAAGCGAGAAAGCAGAGAGAAAAAGAGAAAGCAGAGGGCAGCCCTCAACAGACACCAATCCTACCAGCACCTTGATCTTGGACTTCTCAGCCTTCAGAACCATGAGAAATAAATTTCTGCACTTTATAAATTACCCACTCTCAGGTATTCTGTTATAGCAGCACAAATGGACTAAGACAGAAACAGTACCAGAGAATAGGGGTGTTGCTATAACAAATACCTAAAAATGTGCAAGCAGCTTTGAAACTGGCTAACCGGTAGAGACTGGAAGGGCTTGGTGGTGCATGCTAGAAAAAGTCTAGATTGCCATGAACAGAGCATTAAGGGCAATTCTAGTGAAGGCTCAGGAGAGGAGATCTGTAGAGAACATGTCAGTCTTAGAGAATATCTCAGTGGCTATGAACTGAATGTTGGTAGAAATACGGACAGTAAAGGCCATTCTGAGGCGTTCTTAGACATAAATGAGGAATATCTTACCGGAAACTGGAGGAAAAGCCATCCTCATTACAAACTGATAAAGAACTGTGTTGACATGTCTCTGTGTCTTACTCCTTTTTACAAGAAGAATTTAAGAGAAATGAACTAGGATGTTTAAAGGAAGAAATCTCTAAGAAAAGTGTTTATGGTGATGCGTGGCTTCTCTTAACTACTTATAGTAAAATTTGGGAGGAGAGAAATGAGTTAAAGCCAGAATGTATATCAAAAGAGAAGAATAACATAAAGATTTGGAAAATTCTCAGCCTGGCCAGATTGTACAGAATGCAAAGTTGTGTTCAAGAGAGAACACCAAGGGTGTGCCAGGAAATTTTGTAAAGGAGATTAGTGATACGCATCTAGACAAAGAAAAAATGACCCCAAAGGCATTTCATAGGTCTTTGAAGCTGCCACTTCTATTACAGGCCCAGAGTGCCAGGGCCTTTTAGGGCAGAATGGTTTCCAGGGAGGGATCCAGGCTACCTGTGGAACCTTTGGGCTTGCTGCCCAGGGCCACCTCAAGTTTCCACTCCCTGCATTCCAGTGCAGCACTCCTTGGCCACCCTAGCTATGGTTCAAGCAGGTGCAGATGTGGCTCAGGCTGCCACTTCAGAAGGTACAAGCTACAAACTTCGGCAGTGTCCACATGGTGCAACCTCTGCGGGCATGCAGACTGCATGAGCTGTGGAGTCATGGCTACCACCACCTAGATTTCAAAGGATGCCTCAGAGAGGCTCAGGATCTGGGCAGGGAACTGCTGCAGTGTTGGGGCTGCCGCAGACTTTCCAATGCAGCAACACCTAATGGAGCTGTGGGAGCAAGCTGTTCTTGAGGCCCCCTAACTATAGAGCCACCTGTGTATAGTGCCAGCCCAGGAAAGCTGCAGGCATGGAGCTTCAGTGTGTGAGAGCTGAGAGCTGAAGTTGGGGCTACACCCAGCAAATCAATGTTGGTGGAGCTGCCTGAGATCCTGGGGGCCCATCCCCTGTTTCAGTGTTTCTGGAAGGCAGGACATGGAGTCAAAGAAGATTATTCTCAAGCCTTAGGATTGAATGTTGTTTGCATGGTTGGGTTTTAGATTTACTTGGGACCTGTTACTCATTTCTTCTTTCCTATTACTCCCTTTTGGAATGGAATAATCTATTGTAGGCCTGTCCCACCATTGTATTTTGGAAATACATAACTTGTTTCATCTTACACATTCACAGCTGGAGAGAAATTTGCCTCAGGATAAATTTTACCTTGAGTCCCACCCATATTTGATTTAGATGAGACTCTGGACTTTAGACTTTTGAGTTGGTGCTGGAATGAGTAAAGATCCTGGGGTTTATTGGGATGGAATGAATGTATTTTGCATGTAAGAAGGACATAAATTTGGGGGGCAGGAGGGAAGGAATGCTATGGTTTGAATGTGTCCCCTCTAAAATTCATGTTGAAACTTAATTCTCATCATGATAGTATTAAGTAGTGGATCTTTTGGGGGAAATGATTAAATCACGAAATCTCCACTGTCATGAATGAATCAGTGTCTTTTTAAAGGACCTGAGGGAATCAGCTTAGGCCTTTTTTGCTTTTCCTCTCTCCCACCATGTGAGGGCACAGCATTCATCCCTTTTTGCCCTTCTATCCCTCCTACCATGTGAGGACACCTTAATGGTGACATCAATGAAAAACAAACCCTCACCAGACACCAAACCTGCCAGTGACTTGATCTTGGACTTCTCAGCCTCCAGACCTGTAAGAAATATGCTTCTATTAGTTATAAATTTCCCAGTCTAAGGTATTTTGTTACAGTAGCACAAGCGGACTGAGATGCCAATTATACAAAAGCATGCAAAACGTGCTCTGGTGTTCAGTTTCACTGTCATAAAGGCTGAACTATTTAACTTACCATTGTAGGAGAGATTCAGTCTGCTACTATTGATGTATTGCCTTTGAGGCAGCAAATATCTTCACACACTCTTTTACCTCTGCCTAAAATTTGTTCCCTGCCCCTCTTATTAAGATTTAACACAAATGTTAGGTCTTCTAACAAGTCTTCCCTGAACTGCAGTTCTCTTTCTCAAGAGAACCGGGCCTAGACTGGACTCTGCTATTTCAAATACTTATTTGCATATCTGCCTCACTGCTAAACAGACAGTTCTATAAGGAGTACATTCTTTAACTTGGAGTTTCCTTCTCAAACTAAGCAGTACCTGGTAAGTAGCAGGTGCTACTTGCAAATTTAAAAACAAAACAAAACGTGTTTCAATTAATCAACACTAGCTATTGAAGAGCTATCATGAACCGTAATAAATGTTATGAACTTACCATTTGTATTTGGGCCATAAAGTGTATATATCTATTATCTCTTGAAATGACACCTAAGCATATAAGAGTACAAAGCAATAACTGTCATCTATAAAATGCCTAAAACCAACAAGAAGAATAATAAGCTATATAAGAATCTAAGAGATGGTCTGCTGGGGAGAGCAGAGGCTGTTTCAAGGAAAGGAGAAGATTTTAGCTAAACCATAAGTATAATTAGAAACTGAGGAGGTAGCCAAAGGGTGTGGAAAGATTTTTCAGAGAACAGCAAAAGCAAAGAGCAATGGAAGCAAGATCATTGATCCTGGGATAATCAGTACACAAATGTGGCTGGGTCTAAAGCTCCCTCAAGGAGAGGGGATTCCTTACATTCCAGAAGAGTGGTTAAGACCAAGCACCTTTAAAAAAGGCTGTGGAAATTATGAAAAGGTTTTAAATCATGCACCACAAGGTTCTGGTGTACAGAGCTAGAATTGGTTTAATATTTACTATTAGCTATTACTTTCCCCTCAGAACATTGTAAAAAACAACAATACATAAGAGTTATAACAAAGTAAAATATGAAATGGCAAACTCTTTCTCAAATCCACTATTTTCCCTCATAAGACTATATTTAGTAAACATTTCAGACAATACAGAAATGTAATAAAACAGTATATTTTAGGAAAAGGTAAATTTAGTTGACATCTCATTTGCCCTGAACTACTAGCTCCAGACTTTCAATCTCATTTTTAAAATATTTTCATTGATATGATAAAAATGCTTAAAACACACACATTACTATTTATATAAAAGCGAATTGAGCTATTGACAGAGATTTGAAGATATCTTTGTGGTTCAAGAAAATTACAGAAGGAGGCTCTTAGATTTTGTATTATTAATATATAAGTATGATAGCCAAGAAAATATATTTTCTAGAATAAAAAGAATAGGCTATTGATATACTTGATCTAAAATAGTCATTATGAGTACTTCACAGCAAGTTTTAGGAAACAGGTAAAGTTTAAAAGAAATCATTGAGAGAAAAAAGCGTGGGAGGCTGTAAATTTAATTTAATGAGAGGTCAAGACATGTAACTTCACATAAAAGACTAATTCTGGGGAGAAACATTAAATAAACATTATGTGGGAGTCAACTACTACAGTGAATGAAGACTGGATTTGGAGAACGGTAAGGAACACAGGTGGAGGTTTGATAAATGGAATAAATATAAAACCCTAATGTTTAACCACGAAATCAGTGATCTGAGAGGCTGATACACACTATGACAGACATGAAAAGCATAAATGAAATAGCATAAAAAGCCATATACCAAATTAACAAAATATTATGATTCAGGATCAAAAATAGCTAGTCTATAGCTAGGAATAAGAAAAATAAAAGGAAGGGAACTTGGCTTTAATAACATGATATTAAACCAACTGTTAGGAGTGAAGACAATAGAAAATGGAAAGAATAATTCTATACTCTTGCCTCTCAAGAGCATTGAGGATTAATAAGAAGATAATACATACTTGCTCGATACAAAAGGAAGGTGATGAAGCTTCAATGGAACAATATTTTTATAAATTAAAAAATTTGGTTTTTTTGAACATGAAAAACTCTAAGCTTGGAATTTTCCATACTAGAGCTCTAGCAAAACAGTGTTGCTGCTATTTCAGGGGCTGACATAGTTTGGGTGTTTATCCCCTTCAAATCTTATGTCGAAATTTAATCTCCAGTGTTGGAGGTGGGCCTGGTGGGAGGTATTTGGGTCATGGGGGTGGATCCCTCATGAAAGACTTGGTGCCATCCTTGTGGTAATGAGTGTACTCTCTCTCTAATAGTTCCCTTGAGCACTGATTTTTAAAAAGAGCCTGGCACCCTCTCCTCTCTCTCTTCCTTCGTCTCTTGCCATGGGATGACTGCTCCCCTTCACCTTCCACCATAAGTGGAAGCTTCTTGAAGCCCTCATCAGAAACAGATGCTGGCACCATGCTTCTTGTACACCCTGCAGAACCATAAGCCAAATAAACCTTTTTTCCTTGTAAATTACCCAGCCTCAGGTATTCCTTTATAGCAATGCAAACGTACTTAGATAGGGGCTTACAATTCTGTTTTAAAAAAATAATCACAGATCAGAATGCTCCCTTAACTATAGTAGTTAGTATCCTTGTTTTCGTTTCTTTTTAGCTCTACCGAGAATATATACTGCCTCATTCTTCTGAATATTGATTGTCTTACATCTCTTAGAGTCATTAATTCAAGCCCTAGCCTCATCTATAATAGAGAGGCATATATAGAACATATAATAACAGTATGTGATGCATGAATTTATATACCATTTACCATATTCTAAGCACTACACTAAACATGTTAAATGTTAGCATCTCACATGTGTTCAATACAATACTTTCTGTGACTTTAATGTGCTTGTCGTATTTATCAATTTATTGCCACTCAGCTCCAAATCTATTCTTAATTCCTTGTTCTGCAAAATTAGAGCTGAACCATTTAAATATTTTTGTCTTTCCACAGTGGCACAAGGTTAAGCTTTGCTAGCAGACACTGTTTGTAGGGACACTGAAGGAGGAAGGAGTGTTTCTCTCCTGGGTCTGGTGTTGTCCTCTGGTCGGGCACCTGCCCCGAGGGCATCTTTTCCAGCTCTGCCTCCTAGGACACATAGCAGCTAGCAGCCCTGGTGGCCAAAAATTTTCCCCAACACCCCATCAGATAACTTCATAGCCAGGTGTTACTGACAAATCATCTCCCTATGGATAGCGCCCCTTGACATCTTCTTGAGCCACCTTGCAGCAAGCTAATTCTACTGGGTTTTCCATGGGTGGTCTAGCTCAGCCCTAAGGAGATGGCTGCTCCTCATTAACTGCCACTGCTGCCTCGTTACTGCTTACCAGCTAATCCTCTGTCACCCCCAGTCCCCTATAGAAGATAATTCTTTATATTAAACTTACTTTGTTCAAATAACTGCGGGGTTTCTGTCTCCTGCTTGGAGCCTGACAGGCACAGTACTTTTTTTTTTTTTTTTTTTTTTTTTTTTTTTTTTTTTGAGACGGAGTCTTGCTGTCGCCCAGGAGGGAGTGCAGTGGCGCGATCGCGGCTCACTGCAGGCTCCGCCCCCCGGGGTTCACGCCATTGTACTGCCTCAGCCTAGGCACAGTGCTTTTATAAGGTAGCAATTGGTAAGCCCATTTTACCCATAGAAAACAAACTAAGACAGTAACTTTCCCAATGTCATATGGCTAATAAATGAAATAATTGAGATTTGAACCTTGTTTTTTTTAACTTCATAACTCAAGTATTCAACCATATTTATGACCAGGTATAATTAAAAACAGATACACCTTTATTCTCAGAAGTATCCCAGTTTGTTTGATAAATTATATTATTATCCTGGTTATATTACACTATTTCTCATTTTGTTTAAACCCAGTAGTTTTCACAACTTTTTACCTAAAATACTCATCAAAAAATACTCAAAAAAAATACTCATCATTCTGGAGATTCCAAGAGTCTTATAAACTCTTGTGTCAGGAACCGAGAGCTAAAACCAAATATTACGACAAAAGATACTCCTATCACTGAAGAAGCTGCAAGGGTTTGGGGAGCTCTCTGTCAGAAACTGAGGATGAAGACCAAATACACATTTCTGATTATACTACAATATCATACCTTGTGCTGCAAATGGGAATGGAGCTCATGTGTGTGTCATGCTCTGTTGTCCAGTTCCTTTAATTCCCCTCTCTCACAGTCTAGGAAGCATATTCCAGGACAAGTGAGAGAGATGTTAATATGAAGATAACTTTGAATCAACTCTAATGTATTCTAAAGACAGTCTTCTACAAATTTTTGTACTTTGTCTACCATCAGTAATTAATGACTTATGACACTTACAGTTGATTGTAACATATGTATTGATAAAACTGGTCATTCTAACCCATTCACAAGGAAAACAACCTCGTTTGTAAGCTAAAGCTTCACAATTGCTTTACACAGGGAGTTGAGTCCAATCTCCCTCCTCCACCGCAAGACCCCATTCCAGTGATCCCTTTACCTATCACTATGGCCCCCACAAGATTAAAGTTTGCCTTACCATCTTTAAAAAAATTTCTTTACATAACATGCAATTTATTATATATAATATATAAAAATTATCACCATCCAATTAATTTTTTTAGTGTACAGTCATTTTCTATTAATATACTTTAAAAGGTTTGATTTATTCCAAGTGACAAGTTGCATCTCAACCAGTACAATTGCTTTGATGCTTTACCACTATCAAAACATCTTGAATATTAACTTTTTACATGTAAATAGCTCATGTAGAGTTTTCTAGATATCAAAGACACGCATACAATGGTACATCTCACTGAGAATATCCTATACTAAATGAAAAGTAAATTAAAAGTTAAAAATTTGGGGACCTGCTTCAGGAAAGAAAAGAAAAATTGTTAGGGATCTTGACTTTATATCTTCAGATAAACTACTAATTTTTTCCCCAATAGGACAGAAATAAAGCTTCCTTATTAATATGCTGAGAGTTTCCAAAGCTTTCCTAGGGTTATAAAATGCAGTTTATTCTAGCTTTTACATCTGATGACAAGGATTTAAGCAAGGAGTTATAGTTCTCTTCCACAAAGTTTTGAAACCAAAAGACCCAGGAGAGCAATTGAATGTTTGGTAATTTGGGAATGAGACATTGTGGCATGGTAGAGGCACAATAACCAAATAACAATACATTTGCTGAGGAGACAGATGCATAATATTCCTTCATGCAAGCATTGTCTGCAGTTACCCAACATACTTACATCAATATTATATAACCTAAGCATCTAAAATGTGCAAGGCATTCCTAATCTGAGACTCCCATTTAGAGTTAGGAATACCATGTTGAGAATCCAGCTTGGTTACCTTAAGGATTGTGTAGCCCACATGTTTGATTGGGAACAAAAAGACTTACACTAGGCCTTGATTCACCCAGCATCTATCCTAGGGCTAACAGCTGTGACCTGTCACTCTTCTGAGGTTTTGCCATCGGCTTCTCCATGGAGCTTTGGCTTGCATGAGCCACAGCATCAGCTTGTGACATACTAGTGGGGCCTGCCTCCCTTAAGATATTTAATATCTATCACAGAGGCATCAAGTGCCAGACAGCCAAAGAATACTAATGAGTGCTGTAAAAGCAGGTTTAGGAAAGATTACAGAAATTGTTTGCAGAAGGCTTAAAGTGGATATTGTCCTAACTGCTCACATGGGTCTCATTTGACTGCTTCCAGAAATAAGACATTATTCATATGATTATTTGATATCATTTGGCAATTTGGATTCTCTCCAGATATTGTAGACATTCCAGATAGTCCAGATATTCCCTACTCTCTTCTAGAATCACAAAACAGTTGGTAGGATTGGCTATATCTTGAATGCTTATCAGGGCATCTCTAGTTCTCAAGGTCCAGTTCTCAACTGAAATATGTATTTGAAAAATATTTTGCATGTTTCTCCTTAGTGAATATTTGTGCTGGTTACAATATAAAGAGTCTACCTATATGATTATGAAACCACATTTTAGTAATATGTTTTCAAACAAAGGGTCATTATATGCCCTTAATAAAAATAAGTATGTATATAGTGAAAATATATGTTTCTCTTATATTTGTTTCTGGTAGAATGTTTGTTCATAAATATCTTTGCATATTTACAGCCACAAATTGCAATAAAAAAATAAGAGAAAATAGGCAAGCCATGCTATAGATTGTATAGAAAATGATAAATTTAAAATCATACAAGAGCTACTGAATTTTTTCAAGGAAGTGGAAAGGTATGATAATAAAACTTTAGCTTCATTTAATTTTTTTTTCCAGAGTCTCGTTCTGTCATCTAAGCTGGAGTGCGGTGGCACGATCTTGGCTCACTGCAACCTCCACCTCCCAGGTTCCCAAGCAATTTCCTGCCTCAGCCTTCTGAGTAGCTGGGACTACAGATGCCCACCACCACGCCTGGCTAATTTTTTGTATTTTTAGTAGAGATGGGGTTTTGCCATGTTGGCCAGGCTGGATTTGAACCCCTAACCTCAAGCTATCCACCCACCTCAGCCTCCCAAAGTGCTGGGATTACAGGCATGAGCCACTGCACATGGCCTGCATTTGATTTTTGACAAAGCTTTAAGCCTTTTGTTTCTTTGTAAATTAATGGATACTTTCCTGATTGCAGAAAAACTCAGACTAGGGAAACTAGTGTGTGTCCTTCTCTTCGGCCACACTTTTACTGAGGTAACAAGAGGGTAATCTCCAGACCATTTTTGGCCCCTTGGCCTGGTGCTCAGGCAGTAGTAGATTTTGCCTGCTGACTTCAGTATCAAGGCCATTCCCGGATGCTCCAAGCCTTTTTGCTAGTAGTTGGGTACAAGGAAGGGATAAAGAAAAAAAAATTAAAATGCATAATATTAATAGCTCTGAGGTGTGGCTACTTAAGCTGTTGAAAAGGCCGAAAAGGGCAACAAGCATTTGTGAAGTAATTAAAAAAAAACTTTCAGTAATTACTGGTCCCACTGCTTTGACTGTAACAAGCAAAATATTCTGCATTCCATTATACATCTTGTGATTCATCTCATCTCCCATCAGACAGAGATTAATACTGCAATACGAAGAAGGAAAATGTGATTACACCAGATTTTATTGTAATACCATTATCGATTTGTTGCCATAATAATGTAGGATGCACATTGCCTTACTTCAGTAAGTTTTTATTTTTCTACATTTCCCCCTAGAGATTTGAGAGCTTATATGCTACAAAATTGCAACCTTGATTCTGCATTTGAAAAACCTATCCATTGTTCTAAAGTTACCTTTAATCTGACTATACAGATAGTCATAAACTATCATGATAATAGAATTATACTTCTAGTACTATAAATTTTTCATCACTGGGCTCCTGTCTCAAGCACACCTTAATATTTAAGGTATATCAAGATACACTGAAATTTTTTTTCTCCATCTTAGTCATTTTTATGTGTGCGATGTAATGGATTCTGCAGCATTATAGATTTCAAACAAACGTCCAAAAAGCAATGATGCCAGCCTTCCTCACACTAACTCGCTTGAAAATATAAAACATTAGCTAGTTAGTCTTATTAAAGCAAAGCAAAAAAGCTTCCAACTTTTTAGAGCTTTCTATTTTTCCATCAATGAGTGTTATTTAAAATATACATTTTCTTCTCACATTTTTGCTTGTTCCTTTGCCAGTAGTAATATTTTGTTAATACAATCCAACTTTATCATAAATTATTACTTAATATGTGGATTCAGATGTCTTCTGAAATATTCTACTTTATGTAATAGGAACCTTCATAACACAAATGAGATTCTTTGTCCACTCTTCTACTCTCTACCTTCACTTTCTCCGTAGACCACTTCATCTGTTCTCATGTAGGTAGTGTCTGTTTACATACTACCTACATGGAGATAGTTTCCAAGTTTGTATCTCCAGTTCAAATCTTTTCTCTGAATTAAACTCCTGTAGTCAGCTCTCCAGTTGACATTAGTTGTCTCAAAGGTGTCTCGAACTTCACACATTCAAAGAGCTTTATTTTATTTTATTTTTAAGAGCCAGGGTCTATCTCTGTCACTTAGGCTGGAGTGCAGTGGTGCAATCATAGCTCCCTGCAACCTCAAACTTCTAGGCTCCAGCCATCTTCCTACCTCAGCCTCCCAAATAGCTAGGACTACAGGCACACATCACCACATCTGGCTATTTTGTTTCTTTTTAAAGTATAAACCAAGTCTCACTATGTTATCCAGGCTTGTCTCCAACTCCTGGGCTCAAACAATTCTCCTGCCTTGGCCTCCTGAAATGCTAGGATTACAGGCATGAGCCACCATGCCTGACCCAAAGGGAAGCTTTTGATTTATCTTCCAACTTGCTCCTCCTCCTCATCCCCATTTCAATTATTGTCATCACTATTCACTCAGCTATCTGTGCCAGAAAGGTAGGAATTATCCTTGGTTTTTCCCTTCTCCTCATTCTCTGCATCCAATCCATCAGCAAGTTCTGATGGCTTTATCCTCAAAATATATTCTAAATCCATCCACTCCACTCCATACCCACCCTGGCCTCCCCTGTCCAAGTCATCACCTGGAGCCAATTAACTGCTCTCCCAGTGTCCACCCATGGTGTCCTCCTATACTTTCTTCACAGAGCAAAGCATTTTTTTAAACCATATTTAGATCATGTCACATCCCAACTTCACTTAGAATAAAATAGAAAACTCTTGATGTCATATTTAAAATCAGATCTAAACTTCTTACTCTGATTTACAAAGCCTGGCTTCTACCCACCTTGAAAATATAATTTCCTGTCATCTCTCCTTTGCTAAAAATGTACCAGCCATCCTTCATCTCCCACCTCAGGGACTATATGCTCTTTCTCTGCTGTGAACACTGTTTGAATTCCAGGATTCTTTTCGCCCTCCATGCCTCTGTTTAAATATTACCTCCTTAGAAAGGTTTTCTTCCTGACCACTTCATTTAACTATGGTCCTCAGCCCCCTGAATCACCTCCATTATTTTCTTTTACAACACCTCTGCCCCCGATTTCTTTCATAACACTTTTCAAAAATCTGTGATTATTTATCTAATTTATTCACTTTTTAATTAGCTGTCTTTCTCTGGGCTAAAATCTTCTTTAGGGCAGGGATATTGTCTACTTTGCTTATATTTGCAACCCCAGAGTCCAACAGTGTTAGTCACACAGGAAATGATAAATAAACAAGCAGACAGACCAGTGTTACGTGGATCATCATTGACCGCAGTCTTGTCTATCACTGCTTATTCACTTCTGTCCCAAGCATTCACTTGACTTCCATTATTCAAAATAAACATTTCAAAGGTATTTTAAGTTCTATTACGTTATCACCATTGACTTAAATTTAAAAATAATAGAAGTGTGTTCACTAATCTTCCAAATATTTAAATTTGATAGCTTAGTTCTTTTCTCCATAAACCAAGTGTATTAGTTTGTATTCAGTGACAAATGACCATAAAAATTCCAGTGACTTAATATGATAAAAGTTTATTTTTACACTTGTTCCATATCCCAGGCACATCAGGAGGGGATTTTGTTCCACATAGTCACTCAGAGATGCAAACGGACGAACAGAGCTCTTACTGCCTTGCAAATGTGCAGTGGGTCGTGGTGCCTCCTCAGTATCAATGGAAGAGAAAAAATAAATTAGAAATTGCACATACGTTTCCCTTACTCCAGAAATGGCACACCATACTTCTGCTCATTGGCCAGCACTAGTGACATGATCCTACCTAAGTGCAGGAGCCAGTAAGTGAAGAACTTAGGAAACGTTCCTCCCTCTGCCACTCCTGCTATACCATCCAAATGATACAGATCACAATCTTAAAATTTCTCAGAATTTCTTGCCTTTGTATCACCTATCAGGAATGTGTATGTGTGTATATTGCTCAGTTAAGTATATGGCACTTATTTGTAATGTGATTCAATTTATGAGTATTTTTAATAGAAATGAGCAGTTACTATGCATAACACATGTGGAACAAAACCTTGAAAGATCATATGCTCTGTAATGTACTTTGGAAATTAATATAATAAAAGCAATAGTATAACAGTGGGTGGAAAAAATAGAAATAAGAAAAATGACAAATATTATTTATTCAGCCATAAATATAAATACAACCTCAAGTGTAATTTGTCCTTTCAATCTGACAACAACATATATACAGAAACATATAAAAGAAAAAAATTCCAGTGGCTCTCCATTGCTCTCTAGATCAAAAACTCTTCACTGTAAATGTCAAAGTCTTCCATCAGTTAATACTACCTTGTCTGCAGTACTCTTTCAGAAATGTATCTTTATTTGTGCTAAAGACTTGGCTGAGCACTAGCAATCACAGTGTGATTATCCTCACAACAGAAGTACCTGTAAATGCTGTAGAAATAGAAGAGAGTTAGAAAACGCTTCATAGAAGCAGCAACATTTGATCACAGTCTTAAAGAATGATCTGGCAGGAGAGAACAGGGAGTGGGGACTCCAGTACAAATTATTCCACAAAGCTCCAGAAAGGGATTTGTGCCCAACTATATTGCATATCAATACAAATCTGATGTACGTATCCTTAGTCAGGTCATGCTTGATGGGGAGCACGCCAAAGAAATCTTGGCAGCCCACATGAGCGGAAGTTTGTTATGTATAAAAAAAATTGAAGGTATTCTATAAAAGAACATAGCATGTGCAATGTCACAGGAAAATGAAAATTCATGGCAAATATCAAACTGATAAATACCAAAAGGCTATGGGTAAGCCTCTCACACATTGCTAGTGGGAAGGCAAAAAGTACAACTCCCATGGAGAAGAATTTGGCCCCCTCTTGAAAAATCACATACACATTGTCATTTGACTCAGCAATTCCTTTTCTAGGAATCTATCCCAAAACTGACATTGGCAAAAACATGAAAAGACATTATGTACAAGGCTATTGATTGCATTACTACTTTTAAAACCAAAAATGCAAAAACAAAACTAATTCCATTAACAGCCACTGGCTGAATAAACAATGATCCAACTATGCAAGATAGACTCTGCAGCTGTAAAAGAAATGGAGACTCTCTTTATCTACCACTATGGAATATCTCTAGCATATATTTAAATGAAAAAGTAAAGTGGGGGAAAGTTAGTAGAATGTGCCACCATTTTTCTAGAAGAGACATGAATATTTATGTTGAATGCATGAAATTGCTGTTTTTTTAGGTTAAAAGGCAGTGAAATATCTAAAATTTGATGTGGTTTTGTCTAATGTATATGTATTAGCCTATATATTTTAAGGAAAAAGACTAAATTTGTAAATAATATTTTCAAGACAGAATGACATATATGCCAGATTTGCCTGGAAAAGTTCCAGTTTATTCTTCTCTTCAAAGTGCAATTATTAATAGAACCCCTTTTCACTTTTGAAAATGTCTCAATGTAGACCAAAGTTATATGGTCATTTGGAGGATAGGGAGAAAAAGGTGGAGAGGACCGGTGGAAATGAAGAAATAAAAGTGTGAAGAGCAGAAATACAAGTTTGACTTCTTTTAACATATTTGTTTGTCAATTTTACTTTGAAAACATGTAAATATTTTAAATAATGATAAAAATTAATTTAAAAAGCAGTTCTTGAAATTCAAGAGCAAAAAGAAATATGTAAATCTAAATGTATATCACTTGATGGCGTAACCATACAAAACTATTTAGAATGGCATAAGAATGCAATTCTCCAGTAAGGGAAAAAAACCTAGAAACATGTCTTAAAAAGAGGAACGAAGATAAAGACGTAGAATTAACAGGTTGGATAAATATCCAATAGCACTGAATTTGAATTAAAAGTAGCGGTATGAGTTCAGAATGTCTTTATATTAAAAAGAAACAAACGAAAAACATATTTCCTGTCTGTTTCTAAAAAGCCTAGAAACAATGACTGATTCAGTAGCTCTGAGCATCCCCAGTGTTCACATTGTGGTCACCAATATGAACTATTTCTAAATGGAGCCAGAAATCCTTTGAGAAATGGATGCCTACAGATCTAAGGTAGGAAAATTCCAAGATAAGCCTGGAAATTATTTTCACATAAGAAAGCAAAAAAGCTGTTAAAGACTACTACTAAAGTCTAGTAAAAAGGGTTCAGATGGCAACATGAATAGGCTCTCATTGGCCGAAGGGAGTAAGGGAATCTAGGATTTATCCTGCCTCTCTGTAATTAGCTATTCCTCAAGACAAGAAATTACATCATAAGGGAAACTTCCCTTTATGGAATTGCTCCAGCTGATGAACTATGAAATGTTTTTAAAATTAGGATATTTTCATTTTGCAATTCTGAATGAATTAATGGATCTAGAAAATGACCATCAATAGCTAAGAATATAAAAGGAGTTGTAATCAGATATTATATAACTCCTGAGAAGGCACACACCACCACCTCTGAAGTTGTCTGATAAAGCATTTTTTTTTATTTTACTTTAAGTTCCAAGATACACGTGCAGAATGTGCAGGTTTGTTACATAGGTGTACATGTGCCATGGTGGTTTGCTGCACCTATCAACCTGTCATCTAGGTTTTAAGCCCTGCATGCCTTAGGTATTTGTCCTAATGCTATCCCTCCGCTTGCCCCCCTACCTCCCAACAGGCCCCAGTGTATGTTGTTCCCCTCCCTGAGTCCGTGTGTTCTCATTGTTCAATTCCCACTTATGAGTGAGAAAATGCAGTGTCTGGTTTTCTGTTTCTGTGTTGGCTTGCTGAGAATGATGACTTCCAGCGTTATCCATGTCCCTGCGAAGGACATGAACTCGTTCTTTTTTTATGGCTGCATAGTATTCCATGGTGTATATGTGCCATATTTCCTTTATCCAGTCTATCATTGACAGGCATTTGGGTTGGTTCCAAGTCTTTGCTATTGCAAATAGTGCTGCAATAAACATACGTGTGCATGTGTCTTTATGGTAGAATGATTTATAATCCTTTGGGTATATACCCAGTAATGGGATTGCTCAGTCGAATGGTATTTCTGATTCTAGATCCTTGAAGAATTGCCACACTGTCTTCCACAATGGTTGAACTAATTTACTCCCACCAACAGTGTAAAATCATTTCTATTTCTCCACAGCCTTGCCAACATCTATTGTTTCCTAACTTTTTAATAATTGCCTTTCTGACTGGCGTGAAATGGTATCTCATTGTGGTTTTGATTTGCATTTCTCTAATGATCAGTGATGATGAGCTGTTTTTCATATGTTTCTTGGCCATGATAATGCATTTAGGTCCAACAGTTAATATACAGGAAATACAAGGAACACTACAAGATGCAATCAGCAAAATCTAGACTGTGAGAAATTCTATGAGAAAACGACTTGGTTTCTTCAACAAATAAGTGTAAGAGGAGGGAAAAAAAACACAGGTAGAATCTATAGACTTAAAGAGACTTAAGAAATATATTAAACAATTGCAATGTATAGACCTAGCTCTTGATTCAAACAAAATGTAAACCAGAAAATGAATCATTTATAAGATAATAATCAGAGAAGTGCAAACAGTAACTTGATATTTAGTTCTTGAATTATTGTTCATTTTTTAAAATTGTGATAATTATATTTTGGTTACTGTATTTTAAAGACCCCTGCATATTTTCTATTGCCAAAACAAATGCAGTACTCTGTACTCTAACCTCTTCCCTGTGGCAATCTTAATGAAATGACTAGTTTCCTTAAATTGCTGTGTAAGGACACTGCTTCGGGAAGGTTTTTTCACCTTACCCTATCACTTTAAACATTCAGCACCATCTAATCTTCATAATACACTTCATAATTATAACATATCGCTATAGGTATTGTATCATGGTGGAAAGAAAGAAATAAAACAAGCAAACAAAAACCTCAAATACTTTATTGGCAGTTGCTAGAGGTCCGAATAAGCAATTTGTTTTTTCTCATTCGAAACACACATTTATGCCCTCGGCCTTGCCCCACTTTCTCTTCCTGCAGGATTCCACTTCCGATATCAGACCCAGAAGGGCTAATGCCAAAACCAAAGGATTAACTCTGGGCTGACCATGAGCAGAGGATGACTGTGGTGTCACCTTGCAAATAATGCCTAGAGAAATTTTCAGAATATCTGAGGGTAGTTGGACCAGATTGCCAATTGGAATATAAGAAAATCAGTTCACATACCAGAAGAGAGAGGTAACAACGGGAGGAAAGTTGGAACAGGTGTTGAGAAACTAAGTTTAGCTGAGTAATAAGAATGGAATCCAGGTTAAAGATAGAGTCAGAAGAAACAGATGGAACAGGAGTTGAGCAGTAAGCAATATTGAATAACTAGAGCAGGAACAGTGTCAGAACCAGAACCAAGAGAAATAGTGAAGTCAGGTCTCTGTAGCAACAGAGATCAGAAACTTATTTTAAAGAAGATTTCCCTGGAGGCACAGGGTCATTTCTAAGGCATGGGCTGGAAGCTTTTATTTAAAACTTTACATGTCTTAGAAGCACTCTGGTTGTTGCTAGGCAGACAATTTTACATCTCTTGCTATACCAGTTGCATGAAGTTCATCATGCATATTGGCTGTGGAAAACCTTAACAGCATCATGTCATAAGGTTTCAGTAAGGTTTAAATGAAATCATGTATTAAGCACTTAGTATAGTGCACCTTAAATGTTAGCTTCAAAACAATGACAACCTAACTAATGTTGAAAGAAGCTTGTGTTTGTAAATTATGTCTTATTGAAAGATGTCATCAAATCCTGTTATTTCTAATCCCTTAAAGTCTCTCAATGTATTTCTTTTTGCCATATCCAATGACAGGACCTTAGTTTAAGCCAGTGGTTCTCTCAACTTCTAATCCAGAGATACCTGGGTGTCCCCAAGACCTTTTCAGAGCATCCTTGATGTCAAAACCATTTTCATAATAATATTAAAATATTATTTGCTCATTGTACTCTTATTCTCTCCCAAATATTCAGCGAGTTTTCCAGAAGCTATATAACATGTGGTAACATCTTATCACTCTGACGATTAATAGAATATGTGTTTTTGTATTCTTGTGTTTTAAAATTTTCTCACTTTGTGTTTCTAATATGGTAACGATTAATAGATATGGTCTCCATGACCAGAGGTCTTTAAAGTCATCAATAATTTTTAAGAGACTAAGAACTATCACTTTAAAGATTGAGAACTACCATCATAATTTGCTTCTTTAGCTTTTACAATGCCTTCTAATGCATCCCTGCCTCCTTCTAATTTCTTCAAAGTCCCCAGCACATGGCATTGCTGCATGACACTCCCTAGAAGATGAGAGTGGTCATCTGACAATGGGCAGTGGGCAAATGTGATCCAGGTCTAGTTGTCTGATAAAGGAAGGTGGTTCCCTTCCATTTCTTTCCTCTTGTCTGCAAGCTGCAAGGTGGGCTAGGGTGTGATAAGCCAGTGTCAACATGTGGATGAAAACCACACCTACCTTCTCCAGATGGTCTGCCAAAGTCTAAAATTTTTTGTGGAAAAAGTAATCTCAACCAAAATCTTCATGACCTTAATCGCTAGGTAAATTTTCTAGCTATTTCAAGGTTTCTAGCTAGGTTCCCACTAAGGCCTGCTCTGAACAACCTTTGATTTTTAAAATTTATTCTTCATTGAATATTTATGAAGTTTGGTAGGCACTGGGCACAATGCTGGAGTAATACTTAGTCAACATCATGGGACAACCTCAAATAATTTGGGATAACACCATGGGACAACCATCAACACCACGGGATCCAAAATCAAGGAAAAGGTGTCTTGACAGAGCAAAGTGACAGGGGACCCAGGGTGTCAATAACCAGAAGCCTGATCACACAGATTCTGGGTCTGCACACAAGTGGCAGGACCTCAACATGTAACAGTATTCCAGATTATTGGAGGGGGATAGGTAAGGACACAGTGGGACACTGGTCACTGGCTCAGAATGTAAGGTACTGAGTGGGATCAGTGCAGAGGAGTGCTTGGGTGTGACGAAAGTAACAGGAGCACATCTTACATCAAGCCTGGGCTGTTCTAGAACCGAGTTCAAGACTGAGCATGCAGGCAGGTAAGGGATCCAAGATCATCAAGAGCTAGAGGAGGCCAGAGAAGGAGAAATGCTTCTGCAATCACAGGTGATATGTGCGTGAGGGTGGAGTTATGTATTTCATTGACATGGCTTTTCACGTGAAAAAGGCACGTATTTTCCCAGCTAATTTTTTTTGTTGTTTAAAATGAGAATGTAACCTCTTTTGGAGATTGGCAGTATTAATACATTTCTACTGAAAATAATTTCCAATTTTATATAATTTTTAGGCCAAACCATATAAAATTGCTGTTTTATGGATCAAACAGATAAGTTACTGTTGATTTTTGTATGGTTCACCTATCAACTTGCCACTTCACCATGTCGTATTCCTGTTTGCAATGATTGATTTAATAATTTACATATTCAAACTGTGATAATGGGGGCTTTGATAGTCCATGATGCTAAACAGTGCTGAAGGTATGATTTTTTTCAGGGCGAGCTGTTGTTTCATTTGTTCATTCCATTTAGCTCCCTAAGTGAAAAGAACATTTTTAAAAACAGGTGAAATGAATAAACTCATTCGTCCCTCAAACCAGAAATTATTTGAGGTTATCAATAACTTCTCCATGGAAGAGTTTGTTAGAGTTTTGGTCAGGAAAACAAAGTCTCTAGGTATGTTGAGTAGAAAGAAAATTATTACATGGGATTCGAAGGCTTACACAACCATAGAAAGATTAAAGTAATGAAGGACAGAAAGGCCTCTTTTGGGAAATCTGGATATGAAAGAATTGTAGACAACCACTACCAAAGTTCTCAGATACCTGCAGCATCAGAGTAGCTGATACATAAGACTTCATCAAAATGCCACAAGGGAAACCTCATCTCTACGATTTACCAACACTTAGGATCTGTCTAAAGCTGAAGAGTAATGGCTTTCGCTTTTCTTCTTTCTTACAAGTCTCATGCAAGTACTTCTTATTATTGGTGCTATCTCACTAACTAGAATTCTGCTGGCAAGGGAGTCTGTGGAATGTAGTTTCTAGGTTTTACACCCCTGTGGTAGAGCAGGGAACCCAGAAGAGCTTTAACCTATGTTAATGCCATTGTTATTAATTAGACTATGTGTAGGGTCCGTGGAGTAGAAGAAATGAGTTAAAAGAAGAAAGAGAAGGTAAGGGAAGTATGTGACAACCCCAATTCTTTCTCTCAAGTGAGTGACCCTTTTCACTTTATTTTCCCAACTCTTCTAGCTCTTTCTCTATTGTGGACAAAGGGAGATACTGCTAACACCCAAACCCTACAGGTATGAGTATGGGTGTGAGTGTACATGTTTCCTGTAGGATCCACAAAAGAAAGACTCTCAGAGTTATTTTTCTTTCAGTCTCTACACTTTCCTTCACTCAAAGAATAAAGTCATATCTATAATTTTTGTATGGAGGGAGTTTAAAGTGTTTGAAAATACATAACACATTAACCTGGAAAAAGAGACATCTGGTATTCTAAGCTATGACATCAAATGCATCCTTTATCCATTATTGTCCACTTAAAATATAAATTGATGTGTTATTTTTAATGAAAATGTAATTTTCTGCTTGGTAAAAATGCCCCCAGACTCCCTATTTCAGCTTCTCAGATTGATTGTTTAAGAAATCAGTGGCAGAGCTAAGCCATGGGGCTTTCACGGTAATTACATCCGATTCCTGGACATTATATTAATGCTGAGCTATTAGGATAAAAATGGCCACAGATGTACTTTTCATTTGTATTTTCATAATAACATTTATCTATGGAAGACACCTAATATGTGATAATGGAAAGTTGGTGTTTTTTTAAGATACATTTTAAAAGGCTAATCCCTTATGATTTGACCACAATAGTTCACTGTCGTGAAATTCTATCATTTTTTTCAATATGTCAATGTTAATTCATTTTACAATCTGGTTAAGTCTAGCTTGGTGGTCAGGCGTTAAAGCTGTATTAAAGCTGTAATAGTTGACTGTCTCCTACATTGTCCTTTAGAATTTTTTTTAGAGTCATAAATTTGAGGGGAATTATCTGTGATAATAGTGTTTCTTGTTATGTAGAATTGCTTATATTGATATTTGATATAATTTTCAAAATCCGAAAAGAGATGAATGAAATTACTTGGATAAATACCAATACATGTATCTCCCTTCAGATTAGTTATTTTTTCCTGGACCTAAATACGTATTCAGCTCCATCGTAGAAAATATATTTTAAATATTGAAAATTTAACACACATATAATTCTACTATCCAAAAGTATTACCATTTTTTAAAAGATGTATCTTTTTTTCAATTATCTATGTGCCAGGGTAGATGTGTGTATGTGCATGCACATGTGAATGAGAATGCATCTTCCGTAGACAATTCAGATTAGGAATATGCCATCTTTTATTTACCATTTAAATACAGGAGATTTTATCAACACTTATTATTGGAAAAGTAAAATCTGAGGACAGACTAATTTTTACTGCTTCATAGATTACCTAAAAGTTCTAGAGATCTGGATTTTGTTGATATGGAGGATTACATCAATAGATTTGCAAATGTTAGGCCAGCCTTGCACTCTTAGTATAAAGTCTACTCAGTCATGGTGTGTAATTCTTTTTAGATATTTCTGAATCTGTTTGTTAATATTTTGTCAAGGATTTTTGTGGTGATATTTATGAGGGATATTGGTCTCTATGGTGTCTTTTGTTTTATTTTTGTATTTTCTTTGCCTCATTTGGTATCAGGTTAATACTGGTCTCATAACATGAGTTGGGAAGTATTATATTCCCTCCCCTTCTGTGTTCTGAAGGAGACTACGTAGACTTGACATTAATCCTTCTCTAAATGTTTAGTAGAATTCTCCATTGGAACCATTTTGTTCTGGAGATATGTTTTCAGGAGCTATCAAATTATATGTTCAATTTCTTCAATGCCTGTATGGCTATTGAGATTATCTGTTTTATCTTAGTTGAATTTTGTCAGTTTGTAGTTTTCAAGGAATTAGTGTAATTCTTCTAGGTTATTGAATTAATGAGCATAAAATTATTTATAATATTTCCTTATTATCCTTTTAATGTTAAGGTGCAAAATCTGTAGTAATTTTTTTTTTTCTCGCTCTGTCACCCAGGCTAGATTTCAGAAGTGCTGTCTTGGCTCACTGCAGCCTCACCCCCCTGGGCTGCAGCGATCCTCCTGCCTCAGCCTCTCATGTATCTGGGACCACACCCCACACCTATCTATTTTATTTATTTATTTGGAAGACAAGTTCTCACTTTGTTGCCCAGGCTGGTCTCAAACTCCTGGGCTCAAGCGACCCTCTCACCTTGGCCTCCCAAAGTATTGGGATTACAGGCATGAGCCACTACACCAAGGCTTGTAGGGATTCTTTTTAATGAAGTAAATTTTACAAAAGTAAATGCACAGATATAAAAAGCACATTTTGATGTGTTTTAACAAATATAAACCCATATAACTGCCACACAAATCAAAATGAAGAATTGAAATTTCCTTAACCTCCTTGTCAGCCAATAACCCTTACAGCTAAAGAAACCAATGCCATGATTTCCGTCACTCCAGAACAGATGTTTTAGGGCCCTCCAGAGAAACAGAACCAATCGAATATATAAATATACATATAGAAGAGAAGATGTATTATGGGAATTGATTCACGTGATTATGGAGGTAGAGAAGTTCCACAATATGCCATCTGCAAGCTGGAGAACCAGGAAAGCCCATAGTGTGATTCAGTCTGATTCCAAAAGCTTGAGAACTACAGGAGCAGATGGTGTGACTCTCAGTACAAGACGCAAAGCCTGAGAGCCTGGGGAACTCCTGATTTAAGACCAAGAAGTCAAAGATGAAAGGAGTTGGGTGGTGCAATTTTCAGAATCCAAAGGCCAGAGAACCTGAAGTTCTAACGTCCAAGGGCAGAAGAAGATGGGTGTCCAGCTCCAGAAAAGAGCAAATTTGCCCTTTCTCTGTGTTTTTGTCCTATCAGAGCCCTGAGGGATTGGATGATGTCTGCCTACATTGGTGAGGGTGGATCTTCTTTACTGGATCTACCGAATTGAATGCTAATCTCTTCTGGAGACATCTCACAGAAATACAGTCAGAGGTCACTTAACAATGAAAATATATTCTGAGAAATGTGTCATTAGGTGATGTTTTTTATTGTGCAAGCATCATAGAGTGTACTTACCCAAACCTAAATGATACAGCCTGCTACACACCTAAGCTGTATGGTGTAGTCTGTTGTTCCTGGGCTACAAATCTATGTAGCGTGTTACTATACTGAATACCGTAGGCAATTGTAACACAATGGTAAGTATTTGTGTATATAAATATATCTAAGCATAGAAAAGTTATAGTAAAAATATACTACAATTGATTTTTTTTAATGGTCCACCCATGTAGGGCACTTACATGAATGGAGAATGCAGGGCTGGAAGTTGCTCTGGGTGAGTCAATGAGGAAGTGGTGAGTGACTGTGTAGGCCTAGGACATTACTGTACATACTGGAGACTTCATAAACACTGTACACTTAGGCTACACTAAACTTAATTTTTTTTTAATTTGGCTGGGTGTGGTGGCTAACAGCTGTAATCTTAACACTGGGAGGCCAAGGCAAGAGGGTCACTTGAGCCCAGAAATTCAAGACCAGCCTGGGAAGCATAGCAAAACTCTGTCTCTGCAAAAAATTTAAAAATTAGCTGGGCATAATGGTGTGCACCTGTGGTCTCAGCTACTTGGGAGGCGAGGCCAAAGGATCCCTTGAGCCTGGAAGGTCAAGGCTGCAGTGAGCTGTGTTTGTACTAGTGCACTTCAGCCTGGATGACAGAGCAAGATCCTGTCTCAAAAAAAAAAAAATTATTTCTTCGATAATAAATTAATTTTAACTTACTGTAACTTTTTTACTTCATTAAATTTTACACTTTTAAACTTTTTGACTATTTTATAATAAAATTTAGCTTAAAATACAAACACATTGTACAACTATACAAAATAATTTTTCTTTATATCCTTATTCTATAAGCTTTTCTCTATTTTTAATTTTTTTGTTTTATTTTATTTTTTATTTAAAAATTAAGACACAAAAATACACATTAGCCTAGGCCTACAAAGGATCAGGATCATCAATATTACTGTCGTCCTCCTCCACATCTTGTTCCACTGGAAGGTTTTCAGGGACAATGATATGCATGGAGCTGTCATCTGCTGTGCTAACAATGCCTTCTTCTGGAATGCCTCCTGAAGTATTTGTCTAAGGCTCTTCTTGAGGAGGTGTCACTCTTTTCACAAATATGTCCATGGTGGTTTGCTTGTTTTTTTTTTGTTTGTTTGTTTTTTAACATCATGAAATTGCCTGTAATCAGATAATGCACCACGAGCATTTCTTTCTACTAGTGGAAATATTTCATTGTTGGGTATATGTTTTCAAAATTTTTAAGAAGCTTATTGAGGTTTGCAAAAGCTTCTGCTAAGCCCTTCACTGTGAATTTTTGGGAGTATTTGTCTTCTATAGTTCCCTTTTCTCTTGTCTCTTCTTCAGCTACGCATTCCTGTTCTATTTCCAATGATTCCTCATTAGTCAATTCCTCAGGAATCACCTCTAGGAGTTCTTCAATGTCATCTTCATCCACACCTGGTTAACGTTGTTTGCCATATCAATCACAACCCTGTTGATTTTTGCAACCTCTTCATCCTTAGCAAATCCTGTGAAGTCATGGATGACTCTTCAGTGTCTTCTTCCAGATACAATTCATACACCCCACGGCAACATCACCCCAAGTCCAAACAAGGTTCATGATGCAGTCACAGATGTTGTCTTTCCACAATTTCAGTGTCTTCCTCAGTTGCAGCAATAGCCTAAACTAAGGTCCTCCATAGGTTGTAGGCCTTAAAAGCTGTTATAACTTCTTGATCTATTTATTGAATCAAAGAGGTGATGTTTGGAGAGAGAAACACCACTTTGATGTTGGGATGAAGCTCACCAGTAAAAGGAGGATGTGCAAGAGCATTATCAACAATGAACAAAACCTTGAAAAATATCTTATTCTCCAAACAGTACTTCTCCATTTCACTGGCATAGCAATTGAGGAGGGCATTGGAAGAGGAGCTGGGCTGTCCATGACTTCTCATATTGCTCTTGTAGTACACTGGCCTGTGTACTTATTGATATAAGTACAATATTAAAATAAATACAATGTGTGCACTTATTGATGTGCTGGAAGGCCCTGGGGTTCTCACTGTGCCAAATCACAAAGAGTTTCAATTTATAGGCTATAGCATTGCTCCCAAGTGGGACTGTTATACTGTCCTTATGAACCTTGAAACCTGGCATTTGTTTGGCCTCCTTGTGGGTGAAAGCTCTTCAAGCATTCATTTCCAGAATGGAAAGGTTTCATCTGTATTAAAAATGTGCTTGAGCAAGTATTAGGTTGGTGCAAAAGTAATTCCGGTTTTTGCCATTATGGCAAAAACCGGAATTACTTTTGCACCAACCCTAATAATTTTTCTCCACAATCAGCTTATGTAGAGAGTTTCCAAAAGTTCTTCAACTGCCTTCACTGCACTCGCAGATTCAGCACTCACTTTCACATTGTATAATGAATAACAATTCTTGAATCATTTAAAATACCCAAAACTAACAATAAATTCAGCATGGTAATCAGGTAGAGCCTTTTCTTTCAACATCAAAAACAAACTTTTTGCTTGTGTCATGATTTTCATGGTGCTGAGAGGAATATACTTCTGTGTCTAGTCTTCAATCCAGGTCATTAGAAGTTTCTGTATGTTTGATATAGGTCTTTTTAAAATTGTGTTAGTTGCATTGCCTTCAGAGAAGCAGATTCTTTAACAGTTTCTGTTACTTTGCTCATGTCCTTCAGGATTGTAACCATCATGGAATGGGACATGCCTGACTGCGAACAATAACTATCACTGATTTTTCACCTTTGTAGTTCTTAATCACTTTTAATTTCGTTTCGAGGTCAGTCACTGAACATGACCTCTTTTTGGCAACATTAGCGGTGGATTTTGAAGACTTAGAGGCCATGCTGAACAAAACAACAGGAGATTACGTTAAACATAAGAGAAAATTATGCAATCAAAAGATGCGGTGAACACAAGATATATGAGGCTGCTATTGGGGTAACATGGCATAACTGTTTCATAGTAAACCTTTTTGTATAAGTAGAAGAAGTACACTCTAAAATAACCACAAAAATTATAGTTTTGGAAATGCCTAAACCAGTAGCTGGTGTTTATTATCATTCTCAAGTGTTATGTATTATAGTATAACTAATTGTATGTGCTATGCGTTTATACAACTGGCAGCACAATAGGTTTGTTTACAGCAGCATCACCACTAACACATGAATGATGCATTGTGCTATGATGTTACCGTGGCCACAATGTGAACAGGTGATAGGAATTTTTCAGCTCCATTATAATATTTTTAAGACCACCTTCATATATACGGTTCATTGTTGACTGAAATGTAATCATGTGGTGCATATGACTATATTTTACTAGCTATCTGGGTACCCCTTCACCCAGTCAAGTTGACACCTAATTAACCATCACAGCAGGAGATGGCAAACTATATAGTCCAAGAGTTAAATCTGGCCTGCTACTTCTTTTATAAAAAGATTTCATTGGAACAAAGCCACACTCATTTCTTTAATGTATTATATATACTACTGCTTTCATGTGAGACAGAGACATTATGGCCTGTACTAGGGAAGTTAGTCTTTCCCGGATTTTTCACTGTTCCTACAGAGACCCAGCCCCCTGAGCAACGGAAATTGACAAGTTATAAAGACAGGGAATGCCTTCTTTTCTCCCCCAAAACATTTGCTCTCCACAATTTAAAGTTACATATTTATACTTCAAAGGGGAATGAAACTAGGAGCCATTTGTTTTCATTCCAAAGAATTATACTTTAAGGATCTTCAACTTTTGTTTTAGTAAAGATTTATTTATATTAGGAAGATAATATTTATGTTCTTCTCTCATGTGGAGAGGAGGGCAGCTGTATAGCAGTTCCCATTGAAACTGCCAGATTCATAACTCTGGGGTTCCACTCCTGTGTATATCTCAAAATCAAGTTGTCTTCAACTCTTTTAATCTGCAAGATTTTCCAGGCTAGTCCTTTGCATTTCTATATGAATTTTAGCATTAGGTTATCAATTTCCATGAAAATCTCTGCTGGGATTTTGATTGAATCTGTAGGTACATTTGAAGATAGTTAACATATAAAAATACTAAACTTTTCCAATCTATGATTACAATATATCTCTTCATTTATCTAGGTCTTTAATTTTTCTAAGTAATATTAGTAGTTGCCAGAGTACAATTCTTGTAAAACTTTCACTAAATTTATTCCTAAGAGTTTGATGGGGGTTTTAATGTGATATTTCAAATTGGTTATTGCTGGTATATAAAAATACAATTGATTTTTGCAAATGCACCTGTTTAGTTTGTGACAATCTGAGCCCAGTACATGGTTCTCTGATTCCTAAGCCAGGAGTCTCTCTGTAACCAAACTGCTATTATGTGAGCATAGAACAGCTCTCAAAGTAAATGTCCCACTTCTATTTCTGGCAGGTTATGTTTAGCTACCTTTCCAAAAGAGTCCCAATCCTAGTATGCCTTTCAACAGTGTCTGCTCCCTCTGTACTGGAAATTGTAAAAAAAAAAAAAAAGAAAAAGAAAAAAAAAAAGAAAAGAAAAAAGATGCCTTTCTAAATTCTCATAATTTTTTTATTCTAGGAATTAAAAAAAAAACTTGGAATATTTTTAAGTATGAATCTCTTGATTTTGCCTCAAATAAGCATATAGTATTCAACCACATCTGTGAATCTTATTTTAGCCCAAGAACTTTTGTTTTTAATTTTTAATGTTTTCAAATTATTGAATTTCTGTTTTTACTAGCCACTTCTATTCATTCATTCTAAAAATATAGTCTATATATTCCTGGTGCTGTAGTAGGCCCTGGTTTAAAAGTGTCAGCAAAAACAGGTCATTTTCTGCACTCATTATACTTAAAGTTGAGTGAGGGGACCGCTATTCAGTTTTGAGCATGGTTCAGACTCTCATATCCAAATCCAGAAGTCATAAAATAGGAATTAAACAAATTACCTCTCCTCCGACCCCAAACACATATATTCTTTTTTATGAAGCAAGTGTCTTGTGTGACTCTGTTGGGTCACATAAGACAAAGTATAGGTTGGCCATTAATCTCATGCTTACTGGATATTGTTCCCAAATTCCATCAACAGCATGTAAGATAACATTGGTTTTTAGTATTATTGAGAATTTCTATCTCCTTTTAGTGATAAATCAGAAGATGTGTCAAAGCCTATAAGACAGAACTGAAGATAGTTTTGTTTAATGTAATTAATTATTTTCCTAAATATTGTCTCTAGTTTCCAGTGCTTTCTGAGATTAGTCCTTAGCTTTTATGATAAGTTGTCTAGAAAAGAGCATTGTATTGTTCAAACCAGTTATCCTTTCTGAACAATTTTAGAATGTATTGCTTTTTAAAGAAATAGTCCACTCCTCTATAGCTTAAAAGCTATGACTATCATTATTTCTAAAATGTATTCTTATAGTTTTGAATCAAAAATACAAAAAAAACTCTATAGAGGATAATAGCCCACAACTAATTATCTACAGAAGAGGTTAGTTATGAAAGCCAGAAGAAAAGTTTTTTTATAGAGTTACTCAGCATCTATTCTTCTAATTCTCTTTAGTATAGTACCTATTTCCTATGGATAAGTTTCATACACATTTTTTAATCACAGAATGATTGCTGCTTCTATAGATAAATTTGAACTCAAGGTGAAAATGTTGTGTGCATCAATTTCAAGTCCTTTTTTGGCAGTCTTCTCTTCATTTTGATACTAAAATGGATGTATTGTTTGTGAAAGAATTATATGCAGATTACTGCATGTAGTGTCATTTATTCTTTTACAAATTACACATTTCTCCTCAGTTCTGGAATCATTTACATTATAAAAGCTATGTACAAGAAGAAATAATGAATTTGCTTTTATTCTCAGCACTGGAATCCTCTGTCCTAATGCTATGTCAGTGCTTTATCCACATCTGATTTTAACCTCATCCGCAGAGATGATAAGATGAGGGGAATTTCTTCCACTACAGAAGTCTGACCTATAATTCTGGAAGATCATTTGTAGTGGAGCATTATCTTGAATTTTAGTTCACAGAAGAAAAATTTGAGAGAAAGAAAAAGAAAAATTTAATGCTAAAGATTATTGTGTCTAAAAGCCCATGGTATTCTTTTTCTCTATTTATTTCTCTGCTAAGTGGTTCCTAATTTGCTTTTAAAAAGCAGCAAAATCTTTTGCGCTATTGCTTACCTAATAAGTTTGGACATTGGTGCATGTTAAGAAAAAAATGATGTCCCAAAATATTTAGGGGTTTTTCTTTTCTCCTTTCCTACTTATTTTAGGGATACAAGCTTATATGCCTATGAGGCCCAAGCAGGTTGTATAAAGTTCTGATTCCAGCTTGGTATAAAACACTAGGGATCAGTGGGTCACAGAGACTGAGCACCACCAAAAGGCTCTCAAATCCTAATATTTAAATATGTTTTAGCCAAAACAAACAGTTTGCAAAAGGTGCAGGAGGATATGCAAAATTTAGTCATAAAACCACCAGTTTCCTGATCTTATTTAGATGTCAAATACCAAATATCTTCTCTCTTTAACTCTACAAATAGCCCTGAAAGGGAAGTATCACTGTCCCCACTTCATCAATAAACAGAGAGCCAAGAACATGCATAAGCACTCTAAATATGTGTAAATAAACTTGTCTGTATACACTTATATAGATTATATATGTATCTACATGAGAGGCAGTTACTCAGCAAAAGCAACATCAAATCCAGAGACAGTCAACCTGGACTTCAGTATCAGTTCTGCCCCCAATTTCATATCCAATAATGACAAAGTCACCTAGTCCTTCTTTGCCTTATTTTCCTTCTGTAAAACAAGGATTTTTTTACATATTTTAAGAATTAAAGAGGCAATATATGTGAAGGTGTTGATAGAAAAGAGCAGGACTAAACCACAGTATGACTCAACCATAACTATATAAAGACAACATGGTACCAAGTGGAGAGATGGGCAGCTATAGAGCTATTTTAAGCAAAACAAAGTTTCCCTCCAAAATGTCCGCATCCTAATCTGGAACCTGAGAGCGCGTTATGTTATAGGGCATAGAGGAATTGAGGTTGCAGATGGAATTAAAGTTGCTAATTAGCTAACCTTAAGATCAGAAGAGGATCCTGGATTTTCTGAGTGGGCCCAGGTAATCACAAGGGTCTTTGAACAATAAAGACAGAGACAGAGCTGCATCAGAGTCAAGAAAGGAGGTGTGATGGCAGAAAAGGAGATTGTAATAATGGGAAGTGTGAAAGCTTAATCTTCCACTGCTGGCACTGCTGCCAACGAAAGAGCCTCTAGAAGCTGGAAAAGGCAAGGAAAACAATACTCCCCTGGAGCCTCTAGAAAGGAAGTAGTCCTGCCGACACTTTGATTTCAGCCCAGTGTGACTCATTTTGAAACTCTGACCTCCAGATTTGTGAGATAATTAATGTGTGTTGTTTGAGCCACGAAGGTTGTGTAATGTGTTACAGTTGCAATAGGAAACTAATTCAAGAGCTGACTGGCAGAGGGGGCAATCTGATATTCTCTGCCTGTGTCCCGTTGGCTCCCAGCAATTCACAGGAATGTCAGAGACTGAACGCAAGCTAACTAACCCTTTTCCTTGATATCTGTGGATTTCTGGTTACTTCGCTTAGGCTGTTTCACTGCTCACAGTAAAGCACTGTGGAGACCAGAGAGAATACTCTGGACGAGAACTCATGAAATGTGAACTTTTCTGATTTTCAAACGTCTCTTCCTGTGCCAAATACAGCATTGGGCTCCAGAGTATCGACGGCGCTCTCCTGTGATGTAGGCCGTGAATTTCACGTGATGTGCACCTTGCTCCCAGCATGAATCCTAGACTGAAACTTCTTGGCGGCTGTAAAAATAAGATTTGGGGTTTTCACTTGGCACCTCATTTTCTTAATGTAGCAATAGCTAGTTCTCTCTTTCCCTTTACAGCTTTCACTTGGTCTGGAAAAGCAGAAAAGGATTCGTGTGACTCCTCCTGACTTTCCATTGTCCTATACTGTAATAACTGGGAGAGAAGGGCTGTCCTTGTTTCAGGAGGAGTGTGTGGCAAACAAAATAACTTCCAAATTAATTTGGCTTGCCTGTTGGGTCAACTCCACTTCTTCACTGTCAATCCTTCTGAACTCTATTTCATTTGTAGAATTCATGCTTCAGGATATGCACAAGAGGCCTGGCACATGGCTCATGCTTGTAATCCCAGCACTTTGAGAGGCCGAGGCAGGTGGATCACTTGAGGTTAGGAGTTTGAGGCCAGCCTGGCCAACATGGTGAAACCCTGCCTCTACTGAAAATACAAAAACTAGCCGGGCGTGGTGGTGGATGCCTGTAATGCCAGCTACTTGGGAGGCTGAGAGAGGAGAATCACTTGAACCTGGGAGGCAGAGGTTGCAGTGAACAGAGACTGTGCCATTGCATTCCAGCCTGGGCAACAAGAGCGAAACTACATCTCAAAAAAAAACAAAAAAAGATATGCATAAGGACAGCCTCTGCATGGCAATGCTACAATGTTGGAGAGAGATGATTCCTTACATTTCTTTTTTCTGCTTCTAGCACCCAAGGACACACCACTGACTTATTTTCCAGCCCCCATGCTCAAAGATGCAGTAGTAAGCTTTGGGGTAATCAAGTCATGAAACTTACTTTATCCACCTGTGTCTACTCCAGTTTGTCTCTATGTCCAGTTTGTCTCTATGTCCTCTATGAACTAGAGGAAGTCAGTTTCTATTATCTTGTCTATAAAATGGGAATGGTATTTCCTGGCTTCTCCTTCCTTCATACTGATAAATGTGGTTAATAATGGAAGCTGAGAATAGCCGCACAGTTCTGACTTCCTCAGAGATGTGGCTAAATAAAAATTATATAATACATATTAGTGTTCATCTAGACATGCCTAATGAAAAGAAAGCTAAATGGGGAAGAGAGTGCTATGGACATTACAAATTCCACATGTTCCTTTTAAAGCTTAGATTAAGCCTGAGCCTCATTAGCAAAAGTGCCTCAGCCACTTGATCACATAACCTCTGGGGAGAGTCTGACAGTAGTGGTGTCTCTTTTGGTTGCTTTTGCTTCCTTTGTATACCCTCAAATTTCATTTAAGATTTTCACAAAAATAGATGTAGTAGCTCAATGTTTTCTTCTTTTCATCATATTTTTTTCAGAAATATAAACTGTCTTCTTAGTTGAAACATTCTTGTATCATTAATGATGGACTCACTATATGTCTAAACTATATTTTGTATCAGTAAATATATTACAAAATTGTGGTTTTATTCTTTTTTAGAGGCAAAATGAGGCTGGCATTTGAAACAACGCTGTGAGACAAACTCTCTTTATCTACCCCCTCCCCACCTTCTCTCTCTCTCTCTTTCTCTCTCAATCGCTCTCTCTGGATAGACACACATGCCTGCTCCCATGCACACATGCACACACTCTACCCCCAGAGTTAGATGGTTATATACTGAACTTGAAGAAAACTTCAGCTAGCAGTTGGTCTTTGAAATCTTTTGTATTTACTTATGCCTTTAGAGCTCAGTATTGTTTTCATCTGCTATCCTTCCAGAAAATAAAAGAGATACCCACAACATTCTGTATATTAATGCCATAAATGCCTGCCTCTGGCAAAGCCTTAATGTGTGAACAAAGAAAGGAATTGTTCACACAGCAAAACATACAAGGAGAAATGTATATCAGTGGTGGAAACCTCTCTGTCAGAGGGAATTTCAGATCATTTCAATGTTTACATTTGCAACTGAAGCATATTGACAGAGCAAAGCAAATAAATGTACACTAGGAAATGCAGGAAGAAAATTATTTGCCCAGATACTGCAAAGATTTTCTAGCTATGTGAGAAATGAAAATGCATTTTTGCCATATTTGGTAAACTGAATGTTATTAAGAGGACAAACCTCATGTAAAAAGGAGATAAGCAGAAACTGATTTGAATATTATTGCAGAGCAAAGTAAATAATCATGATGCATTCAACCTTTATAAATGTGCAAAAACAGATTAATTTTCCCAATTACAAGCCTTAATAATATTAAATGACTTTAAACACATGAAGTAGGGTAAGAAATAGATAGCAATGATAATACACGAGTGTGTTATAAGGGATATTAATGAATAATTGGTTACACAAAAGAGGGAGGGGATGGAGAAAAAAGGGAAAATGCTGGATTAAAGTTAAACAGATATCCTGAATACTTGTCATATCCTTAAAGGCTAATATACGTTCTGAATCTCTAAATAGAAATAGAGTATACAGTGTTTTCTAAACTTCTTAATCCCAAAAATACTTTCGCAAAGCACCTCGAGAGACTAAGAGTTGTGAGGAATACATAGGTAAATGAATATCTTTCCAATTGACTTAGACTTAGAGTTAAACTGAATTGCACAGGGGCAGTGGCTAATGCCTATAATCCCAGCACTTTGGGAGGCTGAGGTGGACAGATACCCTGAGGTCAGGAGCTCAAGACCAGCCTGGCCAACATGGTGAAACCCTGTCTCTACTAAAAGTACAAAAATTAGTCAGGCATGGTGGTCGACACCTGTAATCCCAGCACTTTGGGAGGCTGAGGCAGGAGAACCACTTGAACCCAGGGAGGCTGAGGTTGCAGTGAGCCAAGATCACATCATTGCACTCCAGCCTGGGCAACAAGACTGAGGCTCCATCTCAAAAAATAAATAAAATTAAAATAAAATAAAATAAAATAAAAAACTGAATTGCACATTCTATTCTAGATGTTGATACAATGATGGTTATTGAAATCTGATTTTTTGCAAATTAATAAATGAGCTACAGATGTGCAAATAGAGAAGTCATTATTCTATATTTGTTTCTGAAATCTAGTTCCCTATTTCTGAGAGTTGCAGGGGTTATGCCAGAAAATTGCTGACCAGATAGTCACAAAGAGGTATTACCAGATGGTCTCACAGTATATTGGCAATGTTACGATGATCCAGGTCCAGAAACTTGACTTTTTCATAACCAATATTGTATTGTCAATCCCATAGTTATAGACCTGGATTCTTTTTTAAAAAATTCACTGGTTTTCAATGAAAAAGAAAATTGTCGGTTCAAAGATGGCCAAATAGGAACAGCTGTGGTCTGCAGCTCCCAGCATGATTGATGCAGAAGATGGGTGATTTCTGCATTTCCAACTGAGGTACCTGGTTCATCTCATTGAGACTGGTTGGACAGTGGGTGCAGTCCACGGAGGGCAAGCTGAAGTAGAGCGGGGCATCACTTCACTCGGGAAGCACAAGGGGTTAGGGGATTTCCCTTTCCTAGCCAAGGGACGCCATGACAGACTGTACCTGGAAAAACGGGACACTCCCACCCAAATACTACACTTTTCCCAAGGTCTTAGTAACTGGCAGACAAGGAGATTCTCTCCTGTGCCTGGCTCAGTGGGTCCCACGCCCATGGAGCCTTGCTCACTGCTAGCACAGCAGTCTGAGATAGAACTGGGAGGCAGCAGCCTGGCTTGGGGAGGGGCATCCACCATTGCTGAGGTTTGAGTAGGTAAACAAAGCGGTTGGGAAGCTCAAATTGGGCGGAGCCCACTGCAGCTCCACAAGGCCTACTGCCTCTAGACTCCACCTCTGTGGGCAGGGGATAGCTGAACAAAAGGCAGCAGAGAACTTCTGCAGACATAAACGTCCCTGTCTGACAACTCTGAAGAGAGTAGTGGTTCTCCCAGCACGGCATTTGAGCTCTGAGAACAGACGGACTGCCTCCTCAAGTGGATCCCTGACCTTCGTATAGCCTAACTGGGAGACACCTCCCATTACGGGCCAACAGATGCCTCATATAGGTGGGTGCCCCTCTGGGGCGAAGCTTCCAGAGGAAAGATCAGGCAGCAATATTTGCTGTTCTGCAATATTTGCTGTTCTGCAGCCTCCACTGGTGATACCCAGGCAAACAGGGTCTGCAGTGGACCTCCAGCAAACTCCAGCAGACCTGCAGCTGAGGGATCTGACTGTTAGAAGGAAGACTAACAAACAAAAAGGAATAGCATCAACATCAACAGAAAGGACATCTACACCAAAATCCTATCTGTAGGTCACCAACATCAAAGACCAAAGGTAGATAAAACCACAAAGATGGGGAGAAACCAGAGCAGAAAATCTGAAAATTCTATAAATCAGAGCACCTCTTCTCCTCCGAAGGATCACAGCTCCTCGCCAGCAATGGAACAAAGCTGGGCAGAGAATGGCTTTGATGAGTTGACAGAAGTAGGCTTCAGAAGGCCAGTAATAACAAACTTCTCTGTGCTAACGGAGCACGTGTGAACCCATTGCAAGGAAGCTAAAAACCTTGAAAAAAGGTTAGACAAATGGCTAGCCAGAATAAACAGTGTAGAGAACACCTTAAATGACCTGATGGAGCTGAAATCCATGGAACAAGAACTTTGTGATGCATGCACAGGCTTCAATAGCCAATTAGATCAAGTGGAAGAAAGGGTATCCATGATTGAAGATCAAATTAATGAAATAAAGCAAGAAAACAGGGTTAGAGAAAAAAGAGTAAAAAGAAATGAGCAAAGCCGCCAAGAAATATGGGAATATGTGAAAAGACTAAATCTACATTCAATTGGTGTACCTGAAAGGGTTGGGAAGAATGGAACCAAGTTGGAAAACATTCTTCAGGATATTATCCAGGAGAATTTCCCCAACCTAGCAAGGCAGGTCAACATTCAAATTCAGGAAATACAGAGAACACCACAAAGATACTCCTCGAGAAGAGCAACCCCAAGACACATAATTGTCAGATTTGCCAAGGTTCAAATGAAGGAAAAAATGTTAAGGGCAGACAAAGAGAAAAGTCGAGTTACCCACAAAGGGAAGCCCATCAGACTAACAGCAGATCTCTTGGCAGAAACCCTAAAAGCCAGAAGAGAGTGGGGGCCAATGTTCAACATTCTTAAAGAAAAGAATTTTCAAACAAGAATTTCATATCCAGCCAAATTAAGCCTCATAAGTGAAGGAGAAATAAAATCCTTTACAGACAAGCAAATGCTGAGAGATTTTTTCACCACCAGGCCTGTTTTACAAGAGCTCCTGAAGGAAGCACTAAACATGGGAAGAAACAACCGATATCAGCCATTGCAAAAACATGCCAAACTGTAAAGATCATCAATGCTATGAAGAAACTGCATCAATTAACAGGCAAAATAACCAGCTAACATCATAATGACAGGATCAAATTCACACATAACGATATTAACCTTAAATGTAAACGGGCTAACTGCCCCAATTAAAAGACACAGACTGGCGAATTGGACAAAGAGTCAAGACCCATCAGTGTGCTGTATTCAGGAGACCCATCTCACATGCAGAGACACACATAGGCTCAAAATAAAGGGATGGAGAAAGATCTACCAAGCAAATGGAAAACAAAAAAAAAGGCAGAGGTTGCAATCCTAGTCTCTGATAAAACAGACTTTAAACCAACAAAGATCAAAAGAGACAAAGAAGGCCATTACATAAGGGTAAAAGGATCAATTCAACAAGAAGAGCTAACTATCCTAAATATGTATGCACCCAATACAGGAGCACCCAGATTCATAAAGCAAGTCCTTAGAGACCCACAAAGAGACTTAAACTCCCGCACAATGATAATGGGAGACTTTAACACCCCACTGTCAATATCAGACAGATCGAGACAGAAGGTTAACAAGGATATCCAGGACTAGAACTCAGCTTTGCACCAAGCAGACCTAATAGACAACTACAGAACTCTCCACCACAAATCAACAGAATATACATTCTTCTCAGCACCACATTGCACTTATTCTAAAATTGACCACATAGTTGGAAGTAAAGCACTCCTCAGCAAATGTAAAAGAACAGAAATCACAACAAACTGTCTCTCAGACCACAGTGCAATCAAACTAGAACTCAGGATTAAGAAATTCACTCAAAACCGCTCAACTACATGGAAACTGAACAACCTGCTCCTGAATGACTACTGGGTACATAACGATTTTGAAACTAACGAGAACAAAGACACAACATACCAGAATCTCTGGGACACATTCAAAGCAGTATGTAGAGGGAAATTTATAGCACTAAATGCCCACGAGAGAAAGCATGAAAGATCTAAAATTGACACCCTAACATCACAACTAAAGGAACTAGAGAAGCAAGAGCAAACACATTCAAAAGCTAGCAGAAGGCAAGAAATAACTAAGATCACAGCAGAACTGAAGGAAATGGAGACACAAAAAACCCTTCAAAAAATCAATGAATCCAGGAGCTGGTTTTTTGAAAAGATCAACAAAATTGATAGACTGCTAGCAAGACTAATAAGGAAGAAAAGAGAGAAGAATCAAATAGATGCAATAAAAAATGATAAAGGGGATGTCACCACCAATCCCACAGAAATACAAACTACCATCAGAGAATACTATAAACACCTCTATGCAAATCAACTAGAAAATCTAGAAGAAATGGATAAATTTCTGGACACATACACCCTCCCAAGACTAAACCAGGAAGAAGTTGAATCTCTGAACAGGCCAATGACAGGCTCTGAAATTTGAGGCAATAATTAATAGCCTACCAACCAAAAGAAGTCCAGGACCAGACGGATTCACAGCTGAATTCTACCAGAGGTACAAGGAGGAGCTGGTACCATTCCTTCTGAAACTATGCCAATCAATAGAAAAAGAGGGAATCCTCCCTAACTCATTTTATGAGGCCAGCATCATCCTGATACCAAAGCCTGGCAGAGACACAACAAAAAAAGAGAATTTTAGGCCAATATCCCTGATGAACATTGATGCAAATATCCTCAATAAAATACTGGCAAACCGAATCCAGCAGCACATCAAAAAGCTTATCCACCATGATCAAGTGGGCTTCATCCCTGGGATGCAAGGCTGGTTCAACATACGCAAATCAATAAACGTAATCCAGCATATAAACAGAACCAACGACAAAAACCACATGATCATCTCAATAGATGCAGAAAAGGCCTTTGAAAAAATTCAACAACCTTCATGCTAAAAACTCTCAATAAATTAGGTATTGATGAGACGTATCTCAAAATAATAACAGCTATCTATGACAAACCCACAGCCAATATCATACTGAATGGGCAAAAACTGGAAGCATTCCCTTTGAAAACTGGCACAAGACAGGGATGCCCTCTTTCACCACTCCTATTCAACATAGTGTTGGAAGTTCTGGCCAGGGCAATCAGGAAGGAGAAGGAAATAAAGGGTATTCAATTAGGAAAAGAGGAAGTCAAATTGTCCCTGTTTGCGGATGACATGAATGTATAGCTGTAGGTTTTTGAAGATGTTGTCAAGCTGAGGGAGTTCCCCTCTATTCTATTTTTGTGAGAGCTTTATATTTTTTAAAGTAACAACAATTCTACACATCTCTTCCAGAAAATAGAAGTGGAGAAAATATTTCCTAATTCACTTTATGAAGCTTGTTTTACACCAAAACCAGACAGAGAGTACACACACAAATAAACAAAAAACTGTAAACCAATATCTCTCATGATACAAATTTAAAAAAATCCTTAACAAGGTTATTAGCAAACAAGATTCAGAAATAGCTTGATTCTTTTAAATTATACACTATAAATAAGTGGGGTTTATACACTATAAAGAAGTGCGATATGCAAAGTGTCTAAAAATTCTTCCCTGGAGAAGCTTGAAATTCTGAAATTTTTTGCTTAAATGTCATGTTTCTGAGATTTAGTCATGTCCAGGCATATATTTCTATTGCTTAGTAGTATTACTGTGTATAAACATGCAACAATTGCTTATTTATTTTCTTGCTAATGGATGTTGAACTTGTTTCTAATTTTTCAACATTACAAATAATATCTTAACATATTTCTTCATATGTATATGTAGATAATCCATATATATATATACACACACACATATGTGTGTGTGTGTGTTAGTGAAAGTCTCTATACACAGAGACGTCCATCGTCCTACAAGTAGAATTGTTGGATTATAGTGTATGTACATCTTCACATTTGTTAGATATTTGCAAATTGCTCCTCAAAGTAACTTAACTAATTTATAGTTCTAGTAGCAGTGTATGAGCTTACTCTTTTTCTTCATCTTTGACAAAGCTTAGTATTGTAAGGCTGTTTACATGTTGCCAATCTTATGGTTATAAAATGATATCTCATTGTATTAATGTGCATTTTGCTGATTACGACTGAGGCTGATTATCCTTTTTGTATTTACAGGCCATTCAGTTATTTGTTGATTACTTATTGATTGGGAAGAACTTTTATAAATTCCAGGCATTCATTGTTTATCAAATACATGTTTTACAACATCTTCCCTCTTTTAATATATCCACATAATGTGGCTTGCTTTTATTAAAATTTGAATGTTGATAAAATTACTAATATAGCTTTATAGTAATCTTCAAGTCTTGTTTATAAAATTCTTCCTTATCCTGATGTTTTCTAAAAGTTTTTGTTTTTTAAATTTAGATTTTTAAGTACCTGGCATTTTTTTTGTTGTTGTTATCAGGTGGATACCCAGTTTTTAAAATTCCATATAGTCAATTACTAATTTAGTAGTGTGCCAAGTTTCTGCATTTTGCTCATTAGATCTATCTAGTATCTATCCTAGTATCAACAAATAATATGTGCTGTTTTCTTTTTATAACTAATTAATTAATTATGTTTTATTTATTATTCCTTAATTATAGATCTTGATATCTGGCAAAGAAAGTTTCACCTTTTTGTTGTCTACAAAATTGGTTCTGTCAATTTTTAGAACTTGATTCTTCCATATGAGTTTTAGACCTGTTGGTAAATTCCTATAGGGTATTCATTTGAATTGCATTAAATTTCCAGATTATTTAGTGGAGAATTAATTATAATGTCAAGTCACTTCATTAGGGAGCTTAGTGAATCTTTACACATAGTCAGGTCTTTTTTTATGTCCTTCATCAACCGTAATTTTCTTTTAAAAGGTCTTATATATCTTTTTCTAGGCCCTTTTTGATTATTGCTACTACCGTATTATTTTCTAATTAGTTTTTTTTGGAAAGCTATTAATTTTTGAACACTGGTCTTATATCCAAAAAATTTTGCTGTCCTCTCTTATTAATAAAAGTTTATTTATGAACTTTTGATTTTTTTCCTACATCCAATCATATTGCTTGAAAACAAAAACTTTGCCTCTTTTATTCTGATTCTTGTACTTTTACCTTGTCTTATTGCAAGGACCTTCAGTATGATGTTGAATTGTATGAAACCCACAGTCATAATTATCTTACTGTTAACATTAATAGTACTGCTTTAAAATTTTACCATTTACTATGGTATTCATCATAGGTTTTTGCTAAAGATACTTTACAAGGTTAGGGAAACATCTTCTTATTCCTTGTTTAATAAGTTTTTATTTTTAAAATCATAGTTGAGTGGCTACAATATCAAATGCTTTCTCTGTATCTTATGAAATGATAACATGATTTTTCTTTCTCGGTCTGTTAATGTAGTTAACTACATTGATAAATCATCTGATAACCATTCTTTCATGCCAGCACTAAATCTTTCCAGGTCATGTGTTTTGTTTTGGTTTAAATCCATAGTTAAAAATTAGAGTGTTTTTAACTCAAGATTATGTGCATTTGATGTATTCTACAAGAGACAGAATCATTTTCTCAGACTCAGATCTTTATTTTATGATTGATGTAATTAGATAAGATTATGAAACTTTCACTGTTATGCCGGTGATTTGAATGTAAAGCAGTTTTATTTAAATCAATATAATTTAATAAAAACATATTTAAATTTTGGGTTAGATTAAAAATTTTCTCTATTGCCAATACTTGGTTTGAACTCAATTAGGCTCTCTTTACATAAGAGACTACATTAAACACAGACATATATGAGGTATTTTTGAGACATTTGAATGTAATATATTGTAATTTTACCATTTATTTTGTCTCCTAAATTGACATTTAAATAATCAGAATCTCTAGCTCAATATTCAAATTAACATTTTCTTCCCTTAAAATGGTGGGTTACCTCCTTCCTGGAAGGAGCGGAATGTGAGTAACATTTCTTCCTTTCCATGTTTTTCTCAATCAAATGGCACAAAGGATTTTCTTGACTGCTTGAAAACTAAAAACAGTTTCCCAGAGTTTATTAAGTTCATATTAATTTTTAATGCAAATACCTGTTATTAAAACTCTAAGTAGGGCAGGCGCGGTGGCTCACACCTGTAATCCCAGTGCTGTGGGAGGCCGAGGTGGGTGGATCACTTGAGGACAGGAGTTCGAGACCAGCCTGGCCAACATGGTGAAACCCTGTCTCTACCAAAAGTATTTTAAAAATTAGATGCGCGTGGTGGTGGGTGCCTATAATCCCAGCTACTCGGGAGGCTGAGGT
Source organism: Homo sapiens (assembly GCF_000001405.40). Classification (NCBI taxonomy): domain Eukaryota; kingdom Metazoa; phylum Chordata; class Mammalia; order Primates; family Hominidae; genus Homo; species Homo sapiens. The sequence continues at coordinate 180,772,416 of NC_000002.12, forward strand.
AGGAGAGTCACTTGAACCCAGGAGGCGGAGGTTGCAGTGAGCTGAGATCATGCCGCTGCACCCCAGCCTGGGTGACAGAGCAAGACTGTATCTCAAGCAAACAAACGAACAACAACAACAAAAAACCTCTAAGTAATAAGTCTGTAACTTTACACCAAAGGGGATTTTTCTTCAGTAATTCTATAGGATTTTTGGGTTCTTTACATTAAGTTGAATACAAACATAACATGAGTTACAAAAGATTAAAACACAGAAGTAATATTAAGGAGCAATAAATGTCATATGAAATCCCTAAGTGGAAAATAATAGATATTCTATTTTACCATTATTTTAAATTAGAAATTATTTACATTAAATTATTTTAAAACAATTATTACCACTACCAGTATGACTCGACTGCCTATGATCAGAAAGGACAGAAAAAAGATGTCTGAAACAACTGCTGATTTAGACTTCCATTCTTTTTGAGTTATATTCCTGCTAATGATATGTGTTTAACATTATATGAGTAAGAACTAAGGAATTTAATCTAAGAAATGGAAGTTACAGGTGCATTAAAAGAAATTAGTAGGTGTTTTTTCAGCCTAAAAAAAAAAGGCCTTATGAGATAAGTTATTCGTATTTTATTTGGTTTTGGTGACAAGGGTGAATTTTTGAATTGATAATCTAACATTTATTTTCTGTAGCTCTCTTTCTCTGATCTTTTTATTGGACATTTGTTAATTTTTATTAATCTTAGAAATGATTCTCACTCAAAATAAAAATAATTTTAAGAAATCTTAAGAATGAGTGAAGCACATTCCATGCATTTTAATCTAAAGAATAATAGAGAATTGTTTATGTATTTATAACAAGTAAATGTGAAAAACTGAAATTCCCTGCTTAATAAATTAAGAATGTCTAACCTGATGTCTTGTATAGCTGTCCAATCACATACTGCTTACACTTTAAAGATCAAATTTATCTTTAACATTTGAAAAAAGAAAGAAGAAAAAAGAAAGAAAGAAGCATGATTAACACATCAGAAATCTAGAACAGGGCTTTCCAATAGCATTTTCTGCAATTATAGAAATGTTCTATATCTGCACTGACCAATACAATAGCTAGGAACAACATGAGGATGCTGAGCACTGGAAATGTGGCTAGTAAAAGACCAAATTTTAAATTTTATTTAATTTTAATTAATTTAATCTTAAGCACAAATATCCACATGTGGCTAGTGGCCACCGTACTGAACAGTGGAGGCCAAGAATCTTAGATTTTCCAAACTTATCATTAAAGCTATAATCTATTACAATTTCAACATAACTCTTGCTTTCTTCTATAGAATGTGTGCATCAAATTTGAAGTTCAAGTATCAATTATTAAAACCTGTTTGTTAATATTTAACATATATAGAGCAACTTAACCTTCTAAATAGTATATTGCCCCAAACTGGAAAGATCCTGCGCAGAGCAAATGAAAATTTTTATTCTATGTAGGGAGAGCTGATAAAGAGTATGTTTGACCAGTGTATTTCTACTAGTTTCCATGCCAACAGAATTTTTATTATCATGATATTTGATGGTAATTAACATAATGAAATGAGTATAGAATACTCATCCTAAAAGCATTTTATTTTCTGGTAATGTGAAGAATCTCCAACTAGGATTACTTTTAGTTGCTTCCATTAAGTAGAATTTTTCCACAAAGTCTAGTTATAATAAAACTCAGAAGACCAGAAAAATAACTTAATATTTGAAACATATTAATTTCTTTTTAATTTGGACCCTTCACTGAGGTCCATATTTTCAAGGGAAATTAAACTGTCCTGTAATACAGCTATGTATTACATTAACATTTTAAGAGCTAGAAATAATAAGAAACCACATTTTTGCACTGCAAATAACTACTGTTAAAAAATCTTTTATGTAAATCCTTTTATTGCTTAGTATTTAAATTGTAAATTAAAAATTGATGAAAAATCATTACATATATTCTGTCTGGGGAATCAAAGGGAACAAAAATAATTTTCTCAGACCCTGGACTCAAAAGCCAGATTCTACATTTTGGTTTTTCAAAAAATATTTCTATAAATTATTTCATTCCAGATTAAGAAATAATACATAATTACACAATTTACTATGTCTAATTATTTTTTGTATGTGTGGCTGAATTGCAGCCATTAAATATTGTGTAGACTTTCTCTAATATGTCTTCATATTTTAAACACATATATGTATATACACATATGCATACAGAATTCTATATATACATACAGAATTGAAACCAAAATAGAACCCCTTTATTAATACTGTTTGAACAAAATCATTAGTCAATTCAAACACACAGAGACACGTATGATGGCTAAAATGTTTTGAATAGCCAAAATATAATTGTCAAAACTTTAGAAATGATTCATACAAATATAAAACAAAGACATGTCAAAGATTTTAAAAATAATTAATAAGTAAACCAGCAGAATGGTAAAGCTGATTAAGAGGAGAACTTTATGAACAGCAATTGGTATCATCAGTCTGGAAAGGGTGGTGAAATAAGTTGGCTAAGTTTGAGACAAACTTGATTCATGTCCTAATTAATGTCCTATAAGGAAGTAAAACATAACCTTTGGGATGTTCTTTTCTTCTGGAAAGATGTAATTTGAATCTGCCATGGACAAAAGCATACAATTTAGCATGCAATTTCTATAGTTAAGCTCTAACCAATAATAAATATAAGTGCAACAAAAAAAAGTATATCCCCTACAGAATTAAGTAGTCCTTTGAATATGCGTTTCAGACAATGCTCCAGTAAGACGGTGAAAGGACATGCAGACATTCTTTTTTTCTTATTTCCAAGTTTTATACAAATTTTTTTAACAGAAAGGAAGTATTGTTTTAATTTTTTAATCAAGATAATTCTTTTAAAAATCAGACTGAGCACAATGGCTCATTCCTGTAATACGAGCACTTTGGGAGGCCAAGTTGGGCAGATTGCTTGAGCACAGGAGTTCAAGACCAGCCTGGGCAACATGGTAAAACCCTGTCTATACAAAAAAAAAAAAAAAAAAAAAAAAATAGCCAGTCTTGGTGGAATGTACCTGTAGTCCAAGCTACTTGGGAAGCTGAGATGGGAGGATGGATTGAGCTAGGAAGGTTGAGGCTACAGTGAGCTGTGATCGAGTCACTGCACTCTAGCCTGGGCAACAGAGCAAGACCCTATCTCAAGAAAAAAAAAGTCAAAACACTTCACTATAATAGAAAGTCATAGTTTATTTCTTGAAAAGCTTTTGAGAAATACATAATTTTATTTTGTGATTTATGAGCCAAGTTTTACCAAAGCTGATAACCTTGGAAAAAAGAATTTTATATATTTTAATATGGGAACAGAAAGAATTCAAGAATCATTTCAGTTATAAATGTTGATCAAACTAGCAGTCAGGTCTGTATACAGACAGTGTAGAGCACAATCATTCCAGTTTTCTGTCAATGATATCACTACCATTGTAGAGACCAATCTGCTGCCATCTGTCAGACTAAGACTGCAAAAACTAAAAAGAGTCTTTGGTAGAGTTCTATTTTTTGGGGGTTGGGTGGGGTGGAGTATAAAACCTAAAACTGAAACATGACCATTATAAAGAGAAGAATCTCCACGTCTTCTCGCTCCCTCCCTCTCTCCATTTTCTTTCCTTTTCGTTGGTTCCTTCCTTCCTTCCTTCCCTCCCTCCCTCCATTCCTTCCTTTTTTCCTTCCTTCCTTCCTTCTACTCTTTCTCTTTCTTTCTTTCTGGATTAAGGAAACATATGTTCCCCTTCGTATATCCTTTGGGATATAAGGTGAGAAAACCTGAACAGCCCACAATTTGGTGAAGTAAGGAGACCACAATAAGCAGCAGATAAAACATACAATGACAGGTGCTTCTCCAAGAAAAAAGCCTGTGCAGGCTGGGTTTCTTTCTAAAGTGGGTAGTTAAAGCAACGGGAAACCACCAGGTAGGATGTTTTTCCTATATTGGATGGTGGCACAAAGTTCTCTTCCAAATTATTCCAGGGATGCAATGCAATGCATATCAAGTCAATGGAGGGGGCCATCTGCAATATTAGATATTAAAACATATTTTAAGCCTACAATAGCAAAAACAAGGCACTGACACAAGAATAGATAAAAGGCCCTATTGCAGACACAAATTCAGCATAAGAAAAATGGTGTTTTAAAAAGATTTGTGCCAATAATTTTGGATTATATTTTTATTTTCTTTCTTTATGAGTGTTTCTCTTTTATATAACTTTAAGAATAGACCTGAATTATAATATCACATATATACCATATTTTATCAAAGTTCAGAATTATGTGGTAACCATAATATATACACAAACATACATAAACATTACATCTCACACTTTCATTAAATTGAAAAGTAAAGTAGGGTTTTCTTTGATCTCACTTGTCAAAATTAAAGAATAATGATGTATGTATAATAAAAAAACAAGGAAAGATACAAAGTCTCTCATTGCTAAGATTGGGTTATAGAAAGATTACTTTACCATACACTGCCCAACATTTTAGGTTTCTCTGTTTTTCATCAAAGCAGATCTGGCAGAGAAACACATGTTTTCAGTGTTGCTCCATGAAAAGATAATCTTCATTTTAGTATTCATTATGCACAATGTATGCAAAATGCAATGAGCCAACTGACTCACACTTTGGTGTCATGCAAATAAAACCTAAACACAAGAAAGTGTAACATCTAGTAAAATGTGCATAAAACCACAAAGGCTAAGATAAGAAAATGGATAGCTAAAAAATGCAATTAGCACATTCACTGAGGGCAACCAGTAGAATTTGGAGATGAGCCAGACAAATATAATTCTGTGCTTTTGGCTAAGAATAATGTTACCATTATAGGCAAATAGAGGCTCACATTTGCAGAACAGTTTCTGAATTTGATAGGAAGAAAAAAGAGCTTCTATGAAGATAGGTGGAAGGCAGACACATAAGTGTGTCAAAATGTGATCCTTTTTAATAAAAGGTAAGTGTGTATACTTCTTGATTTTTTCATGACCTTCTGATGTTTCAAGTAGTGTTCATGTTCTTTTCCAATATTAGAGAAAATATTATTTAATCATTAACATTTAGTAATTTAGGTAAGACATAGGCCCAGGGTTTCTTCATAAAGACACGAAGATTTATTGCCTTTTCCCCACAGAATAATGGATAGTTGAATGTGTGTGTGTGTGTGTGTGTTGGGGGGTATGTGTATTTATATATATATAGTATATGGATTGATTATTCGTAGTTTGAATGCTTGGCTTCTTCCAATCAATGAGTACAAAATCAGCTTGACCATTTGTGTAAGTGACAAATTAGAATTTATAACAAAACCCATATAGCTCAGATATTTAAGTTACTAATTCTAGCAGACAATCAGGCAGTCAATTATTCTAAGTAGTTGAATTGGTTTAGGTTGTTGAGATATAACCAGAAATTAGTATGACAATAAAGGATTACTATTCAAGAAGTCAAGCTCAAGTGTGGCAAAACAGAGCGGACATGGAAAATGAGGGGGCAGCAAGAGATCATTGGTTTTCTAAAACATAAGAAAGTCGCTGGAAGGAAAGGGATAAAATATAATCTTTTCTAAGGTCAGCTCTATAAGCAAAATTTAAAAGTCATTCGTCTTTTTCAGTGGTTTTTCAACTTTTTGGATTTGTATCACCACTAATGGTTATCACATATGATCGGTCACAGTATACCAAGATCTCAGACAACTAGAGAAATGGCCTTAGTCCTCATAGAATTCAAACAGTTACTGAGTCTCTATTTGAGAATAACTGATTATTCCAAATAAGTACGTTCTTAAAGACTCAAGTGACAACGATCTCTGAATTTGCTAAGTAACCTTCCACGTTAGTTGGAAGCCAGCTTGAAAATACACGCACCAACCTTCTCTTCTTTCCCTCAGCAAGTCCTAACCTGCTCCACAGCAAAGCACAGGACCCCTTTTGCTCCATATTCCATCTGACAGACATTGCAATGACCATATGTATTCTTAGTTGTCACCAAAATACATTTTACACATAGCAAAATTTGGCAGCATACCCGGGAAACATTTGTGGTACATTCCCATATGCCCCGGCATGCCAGTGGAGGGCAACTGATTCAGTTGATTATTGCAGTCACATAAGAGGCAAACAAAAATGTTTGATAAACATGACCTGCAACATAGTTTAAAAAAAAAAAAGAATGGACAAGTAACTCCTAGTTGACACCGGTTTGGAGGAGGAAAAGGCATTTGTGAGGAAGAATGGAATATGATTTTAAATTTGAGATATTCACATTGGATTCTCTATTTTCTTTTAATTGACACTGGAGCATATCCAAATGTTTGCTGTTGATGAGTGTTTATATGGTGGAAAGGTGCAATCTGTGAGCTACAAGAGGATCATGACAGCTGGTAATTTATTTCTAGTTAATTTTTTTCAAGTATATTCTTTGAAATTATTTGTTCAGGAGAAACTGAGAAGTGAAATAAAATTCCTTATTGAGTGCTTTGCTGTCAATCTCAGTTTGAGTTCCAGTACTACGAGGGACTAGCTGTGCAACTCTGGGCATGGTGCTTAATCTAGGCCTTAGTTTTCATATTTGTAAAATGTGGTCAATTGATAAAGACCTCTCTCATAGAGTTGTTACGAGGATTAAGTAAGATAATACGTAGAAAGCATTTAGCACAGTGTCTAAAAATAGTAAGTTCTTAAAAACTGCAACCTGTTATTATTATCCAACTTACTTGTGACTACATCCAGATATTTAAACACTTGGAAGTAAAGCAAATATAAATGTAACTCTGAATCACACAATAGAAAAATTTAGAAGTCATAGGTCCTGAGAAGCTTAAATCACTAAGATAATGGCGAACGGCTTCCAGGAAACAGTCTGAAGAAGAGGAATATGGAAACAAAAATTATTTGGTATAAAAACACAACTATCATTTAATCTAAGATTTATGAGAGCCAAAGCATACAAATTCATTCCTTCAGTTCTTCTTTGAAATGTTTCCACATATCCTAAGCAGGGAGGAAGACACAAGGCACTGGGAGTCTCATGATTCTGTGAAACCAAATGAAGGAAATCAATTAGAATAATGATTGGTTTTCATTACCGAGTACTGTTTTGAAATCTATCTGGCAGGCATCAATTTTCTGTTTCCAGAGGTATCCAGAAAGTAGTTCTGTAAAGATATTTTATTTGCTAAAATAAAATGGATATTCCCAAAGAAGAGCAAGGGTAATTTTGCCACCAGATATTGTAATACAAAATAAAGACTTTGAATATTTGAGAAAACAAAGTAGGATGAACGGGTACTTGCTGAGAGAAATGACAGCCTGACATAATTAGGATCCAGAAAGCCACTTTGGAGAGAAGCACACCTGAGAGCAGTCTCTGCCAAGGCCACTGCCCACCCCAGCAGTCAGACTGGCCTGAGGTTGAGCATCCTTTAGAATCTAGTTACAATAGAGTTATTTCTCAGGTCCTTAAATGGTAGCTTGAGTTCGTCTTTTACATATCCATCTTCTAGTTACAGTCTATGGTACAACATCAACTTCAAAGTTGGTCTTTCATTTTTTAAGGAAGATTGAAATTTACAAAATAAAATGCCACAGTCTTCCATGGTCAATGACAACATCTTTCAAAATGTGAGATCGATTTAGTTGGGTAGCTCCCTGCTGTGCTGTAGCTTCTTAAACATCAAGAAGTTAAAAAAGAAAAAAAAAAAAGCTGAGTTAAGAAAACTAGAAGGCATAGTTCTTCTTCATTTAAAAAATAGAAGTAAATCTTAGAAAAAATGAAATCCATGAATTTCTAATCAATTTATGTAAAGAAATTCAGAGCCATTTAAAGTTTAAAGGTTTTTATGGGCCTTTTAACAATTCTCATAATTTTTGTTTATTGTAAAGGTCATTTCACCCTATAAATTAATTCAATCTATCCTCAAATATCTCACCAAAGAGGTAAAGACCAGTCTTAACACATCAACAAACTATGTTACTCTCAGGATCTAACTTTTGCCCTCCAGTAAAAAAGTAGTAGTTCAAGAAAATTAGAAATTATTTAAATCATTATATGACTTTACTGTATTTTTTCTTACATCAGTATTAGAAATTATTGCAATAAATATCCCAATTTGAATATTTAATTTTAAAACATTCTGAAGTTCCATTTTGACCTAAATGAGGAATTATTTTTAAAATTGTTAGCTTAAAACTAGCCTAAAGCTAACTTTCAAATACAAAAAAGTACAAATAATACTTCATATTCTAACTTCTAGAATTTTAAAGCAAATATTTCCCTATGGTTCAAACAATTTCAATAATTTCAGTGTAATCATAACTGTCATAATTTTTGTTAGAATTACAGAAATTAAAATTTTAGAATAAGAAAGATTCCTCAAAAGATACTAAATGCATCATCCTTCTGTTACAAATGAGATAACAGAGTTGTGGACTGCCAGGGAAGGTGCCTGAATCATGCTGCAGTCATTGACGTATCCTTTGCTAAAATTTTCAAAATGCAATGCATTTTTCAGCATGCATAACACCATGAAAATTCTATTCTATGAAAAATAATGCACTTTAATTAGAAGTTGAAAAACATTCACAGGAAACTTGATTCAAGGCAAGGGAAAGGGGAAAGAGGAATTGAGTTTTATAGAGCTCAATCTGCAAACTGTTTGGAATCTTGTCATTTAATTTCACACTACAAGCAATAGGTTCTACACTGGATCAAACCACAGGTAGAATGACTCATTTGATAAAATAATTTTTTTCCAAGGAAAATAGAGTAGCTGCCTCATGTTATGGATTCATCAGTAATATATAAGCCAATTATCATTCTACAGAATTGTACGAGTCCAGGCGTTGGCAATTAAAATGAATTAAACTCTCAGGGAGAAAGTAAACATTTCTGAGTCTAAACCAGATTTGTAGTTCAACTCTATAGTTACATGTTGCCTTAGGCTGGATTTCCCTAGAACTCTGAGAGTCAAATGGTATTTGAGGTGTCAGTAGCTTATTTTGGACATGATCCTAGGAAGTATGAGTCTGGAAGTAGAGATATGAAACAGAGAAAGAAAGGCAATATATGATGTAACTAATGAGCAGATTACCACTGTGGGCAATTGTGACTCAGTCCCACTGGAGACCCCTAGGAGATGATATAAAACAAATTTCAGAGCTGTCATATCTGAAAATGAGGAGGCTGAATCTTTTGGTCATTGGTTGTGGGCTGTTCTGAGAGGAGTTAGCTCTCTAGCATTTCTGGTCTTTCCTCCTCTTGGCTGTGCCTGGAGAAAATCCGAATGGGTATGGATGGTGCATGCACAGTCGTATTACACATATATGTACACGGTAATGTCTCCCTGATTAACACCTCTAGACAAGTGGTAGTGCACTGAGAGTCTGAATTTACACTGTTCTACTTATAGCAAATAAAAAGATATGATAGTAAGATAGTGTCAGAATGTGGGAATAAAGTGACTGAAAATGAACTTATGGAAAATCATAGTGAGCAATAATAGGTTCCTCCAATCTATTAGGGTATAGCTTTAGGTGAAATCTGCCTGTAACTGTAATGTCATATTTCAACCCTTCTGCAGATTGAATTGCATTATCATGCAATGGATTTAGTCAAACAAACTAAACAAGCATGGATTTAGTCAAAATGAAGTGTTTACCAAAAATATCGAAGAACAGCATGAAAGGAACAGCAGCTGGCAATGCTCATGCAGTACTCTACCGTGGCTGAAGCTGGGACTTATGGAAAGATGGCCCTCTCTGGTGTTGGGAGAATCAGGCTCTCAAGGCCTGATATGATGCTATGCATGATGTAGGTCATCTTGCTAGCTCTTATTGTTCTGATCCATGCTTACCAAATAACCTGGATAGGTCGGTCTACAAAGAGAACAGTTACTAGGCAGATGATACAGATGTTTGGTCACCATGATGATTTTCTTTTTTCTTTTCTTTTTTTTTAAATTATACTTTAAGTTCTAGGGTACATGTGCACAACGTGCAGGTTCGATACATAGGTATGCATGTGCCATGTTGGTTTGCTGCACCCATCAACTCGTCATTTATATTAGGTATTTCTCCTGATGCTATCCCTCCCCCAGCCCCCCAACCCCTGACATGCCCTGGGGTGTGATGTTCCCCACCTTGTGTCCAAGCAATCTCAATGTTCAATTCCCACCTATGAGTGAGAATATGCGGTGTTCAGTTTTCTGTCCTTGTGACAGTTTGCTAAGAATGATGGTTTCCAGCTTCATCCATGTCCCTGCAAAGGACATGAACTCATCCTTTTTTATGGTGGCATAGTATTCCATGGTGTATATGTGCCATGTTTTCTTAGTCCAGTCTATCATTGATGGACATTTTGGTTGGTTTCAAGTCTTTGCTAGTGTGAACAGTGCTGCAATAAACATACGTGTGCATGTGTCTTTATAGTAGCATGATTTATAATCCTTTGGGTATGTACCCAGTAATGGGATGGCTGGGCCAAGTGGTATTTCTAGTTCTAGATCCTTGAGGGATCACCACACTGTCTTCCAAAATGGTTGAACTAATTTACACTCCCACCAACCGTGTACAAGTGTTCCTATTTCTCCACATCCTTTCCAGCATCTGTTGTTTCCTGACTTTTTAAATGATTGCCATTCTAACTGGCATGAGATGGTATCTCACTGTGGTTTTGATTTGCATGTCTGTGATGACTAGTGATGATGAGCATTTTTTCATGCATCTGTTGGCTGCATAGATGTCTTCTTTTGAGAAGTGTCTGTTCATATCCTTCACCCACTTTTTGAAAGGGATTGTTTTTTTCTTGTAAATTTGTTTGAGTTCTTTGTAGATTCTGGATATTAGTCCTTTGTCAGATGGGTAGATTATAAAAATTTTCTCCCATTCTGTAGGTTGCCTGTTCACTCTGATGGTAGTTTCTTTTGCTATGCAGAAGCTCTTTAGTTTGATTAGATCCCATTTGTCTATTTTGGCTTTTGTTGACATTGCTTTTGGTGTTTTAGTCATGAAATCCTTGCCCATGCCTATGTCCTGAATGGTACTGCCTAGGTTTTCTTCTAGGGTTTTTATGGTTTTAGGTCTAACATTTAAGTCTTTAATCCATCTTGAATTAATTTTTGTATAAAGTGAAAGGAAGGGATCCAGTTTCAGCTTTCTACATATAGCTAGCCAGTTTTCCTAGCACCATTTATTAAATAGGGAATCCTTTTCCCATTTCTTGCTTTTGTAAGGTTTGTCAAAGATCAGATGGTTGTAGATGTGTGGTGTTATTTCTGAGGCCTCTGTTCTTTTCCATTGGTCTATGTATCTGTTTTAGTACCAGTACCATGCTGTTTTGGTTACTGTAGCCTTGTAGTATAGTTTGAAGTCAGGTAGCATGATGCCTCCAGCTTTGTTCCTTTTGCTTAGGATTGTCTTGGCAGTGTGGGCTCTTTTTTGGTTCCATATGAACTTTAAAGTAGTTTTTTTTCCCAATTCTGTGAAGAAAATCATTGGTAGCTTGACGGGGATGGCAGTGATTCTATAAATTACCTTGGGCAGTATGGCCATTTTCATGGTATTGATTCTTCCTATCCATGAGCATGGAATGTTCTTCCATTTGTTTGTGTCCTCTTTTATTTCGTTGAGCAGTGGTTTGTAGTTCTCTTTGAAGAGGTCCTTCACATCCCTTGTAAGTTGGATTCCTAGGTATTTTATTCTCTTTGAAGCAATTGTGAATGGGAGTTCACTCATGATTTCGCTGTTTGTCTGTTATTGGTGTATAAGAATGCTTGTGATTTTTGCACATTGATTTTGTATCCTGAGACTTTGCTGAAGTTGCTTATCAGCTTAAGCAGATTTTGGGCTGAGACAACGGGGTTTTCTAAATATACAATCATGTCATCTGCAAACAGGGACAATTTGACTTCCTCTTTTCCTAACTGTATACCCTTATTTCTTTCTCTTGCCTGATTGCCCTGGCCAGAGCTTCCAACACTATGTTGAATAGGAGTGGTGAGAGAGGATATCCCTGTCTTGTGCCAGTTTTCAAAGGGAATGCTTCCAGTTTTTGCCCATTCAGTATGATATTGGCTGTGGGTTTGTCATAAATAGCTCTTACTATTTTGAGATACATCCTATCAATACCTAATTTATTGAGAGTTTTTAGCATGAAGGGCTGTCCAATTTTGTCAAAGGCCTTTTTCTGTATCTATTGAGATAACCATGTGGTTTTTGTCATTGGTTCTGTTTATGTGACAGATTACGTTTATTGATTTGCGTATGTTGAACCAGCCTTGCATCCCAGGGATGAAGCCAACTTGATTGTGGTGGATAAGCTTTTTGATGTGCTGCTGGATTCGGTTTGCAAGTATTTTATTGAGGATTTTCACATTGATGTTCATCAGGGATATTGGTCTAAAATTCCCTTTTTTTGTTGTGTCTCTGCCAGACTTTGGTAAAAGGATGATGTTGGCCTCATAAAATGAATTAGGGAGGATTCCCTCTTTTTCTATCGATTGGAATAGTTTCAGAAGGAATGGTACCAGCTCCTCTTTGTACCTCTGGTAGAATTCGGCTGTGAATCCGTCTGGTGCTGGACTTTTTTTGGCTGGTAGGCTATTAATTATTGCCTCAAATTTCAGAGCCTGTCATTGGCCTGTTCAGAGATTCAACTTCTTCCTGGTTTAGTCTAGGGAGGGTGTATGTGTACAGGAATTTATCCATTTCTTCTAGATTTTCTAGTTTATTTGCATAGAGGTGTTTATAGTATTCTCTGATGGCAGTTTGTATCTCTGCGAGATCAGTGGTGATATCCCCTTTAACATTTTTTATTGCATCTATTTGATTCTTTTCTCTTCTCTTCTTTATTAGTCTTGCTAGCAGTCTATCAATTTTGTTGATCTTAAAAAAAATCTCCTGGATTCATCGATTTTTTGAAGGTTTTTTTGTGTCTCTATTCCTATCAGTTCTGCTGTGATCTTAGTTATTTCTTGCCTTCTGCTAGCTTTTGAATGTGTTTCCTGTTGCTTCTCTAGTTCTTTTAATTGTGATGTTAGGGTGTCAATTTTAGATCTTTCATGCTTTCTCTTGTGGGCATTTAGTGCTATAAATTTCCCTCTACACACTGCTTTAAATGTGTCCCAGAGATTCTGGTACGTTGTGTCTTTGTTCTCAATAAATAAAGAACAACTTTATTTCTGCCTTCATTTTGTTATTTACCCAGTGGTCATTCAGGAGCAAGTTGTTCAGTTTCCATGTAGTTGTGCAGTTTTGTGTGAGTTTCTTAATCCTGAGTTATAATTTTATTGCACTGCGGTCTGACAGACAGTTTGTTGTGATTTCTGTTCTTTTACATTTGCTGAGGAGTGCTTTACTTCCAACTATGTGGTGAAGGATATGAACAGACACTTCTCAAAAGAAGACATTTATGCAGCCAACAGACACATGAAAAAATGGTCATCGTCACTGGCCATCAGAGAAATGCAAATCAAAACCACAATGTGATAACATCTCACACCAGTTAGAATGGCGATGATTAAAAAGTCAGGAAACAACGGGTGCTGGAGAGGATGTGGAGAAATAGGAACACTTTTACACTGTTGGTGGGACTGTAAACTAGTTCAACCATTATGGAAGTCAGTGTGGCGATTCCTCAGGGATCTAGAACTAGAATTAACATTTGACCCAGCCATCCCATTACTGGGTATATACCCAAAGGATTATAAATCATGCTGCTATAAAGACACATGCACACGTATGTTTATTGCAGCACTATTCACAATATCAAAGACTTGGAACCAACCCAAATGTCCAACAATGATAGACTGGATTAAGAAAATGTGGCACATATACACCATGGAATACTATGCAGCCATAAAAAATGATGAGTTAATGTCCTTTGTAGGGTCATGGATGAAGCTGGAAACCATCATTCTCAGCAAACTATCGCAAGGACAAAAAACCAAACACCGCATGTTCTCACTCATGGGTGGGAATTGAACAATGAGAACACATGGACACAGGAAGGGGAACAACACACACTGGGGCCTTTTGTGGGGTGGGGGGCAGGGGGGAGGGATAGCATTAGGAGATATACCTAATGCTAAATGACGAATTAATGGGTGCAGAACACCAATATGGCACATGTATACACATGTAACAAACCTGCACGTTGCGCACATGTACCCTAAAACTTAAAGTATAATTAAAAAATACCTACAGCTAAGATTTATATTGAATAGCAAAGTGCTGAATTTTTTTTCCTAAATTAAGAAATAAGATAAGTAGTGCATTCTCACTACTCTTATTGATTATACTATTGGAAGTTCTAGCCAATTCACTAAGACAAGGGAAGGAAATGAAAAGCATACAGATCAGAAAGTAAGAAATAAAACTGTCCTTATTTGCAAATGCATTGATTATCTATGTAGAAAATTCTGAAGAATCTACAAAAAACTCCTAGTACTAATAAATGAGTTCTTTATGGTTGCAGAATACAAGATAAACATACAAAATTGTGCTGAAGTATTTGGACTTCCACAAGAAAAAGAAAAAAAAAGAGCCTCAACCTAAGTCTTGCACCTTATACAAAGATGAATTCAAAATAGATCACAGACATATATATAAAATGTAAAATTAAAGTTTTTTAGAAAAAGAAAAGGAAAGAATTTTTAGAATCTAGGACAAGGCAAACAGTTCCAATACTTAATGCCAAAAATATAATCCATAAAAGAAAAAAATGATAAAGTGGACTTCATCAAAATTAAAAACTTTTGCTCTGTGACTAAAGCCTTGTTTAGATGATGAAAAGACAAGCTATATGTTGGGGAAAAATATTTCCAAACCACATAGCCAAGAAAGGACTAGTATCTAGAACATATGAAGAAATCTCAAAACTAAACAGTGAAAAAAAATGCTATTTGAACATGGGCAAAAAGGAACGGATAAATATTTTACAAAAGAAAATACACAGATGATAAACAAACTTATGGAAGATGTTCAACATCATTAGCCACAGAGAAATGCAAATTAAAACCACAATCAATGAGACAACCCTGCAACCCCATCTGAAAGGCTAAAATGAAGAAATAATTACAATATTGAATGCTGATGAGAATACAGAGAAACTGGATTACTCATAAATACTGGCAGGAATGTAAAATAGTACTGCCATTCAGGAAAACAGTTTGACAATCTGTACCTTCAATTACCATATAACTCAGCAATTGTACTCCTGGGCATTTATTTCAGAGAAATAAAGAATTTGTTCATATGAAAACCTGTACATAAACGTTTATAGCACCTTTATTGTAATAGTTCCAAACTGGACACTATTATAAAAGGACACTATTACAAAATGTTCCAAACTGGACACTATTACAAAAGGACTATTACAAAATGTCCTTAAGTGAGTAAATTTTTAAGTACATTATGGTACATCTACATCATGAAACACTACTCAGCAATAAAAAGTAACAAACTATTGATATATACAACAACCTGAATGAATAATCATACTGAGTAAAAAAGGCCAATCTCAAAAGTTTACATATTATGATCCACTTATATAATATTTTTGAAATGACAAAACTGTAGAAATGGGGAACAGATTTGTGGTTGCAAAGGATTAAGCGGGGATTGTGTGTTGAAGGATAAAGGTTGTAGCTATAAAAGAGTAACATAAGGAATCCTTTTGGTGATGGAAACGTCCTGTTTCTTAGCTGTATCAAGGTCAGCATACTGTTGTGATGTTGCAGCAGTTTTGAAAGATGCCTCCATTGGAGGAAACTGAAAAACTGCATATGAAGCTATAATTAATTCAAAAAAATGTTAAACTAAAACACACACATGCAAAGTTATTATCCTTGCAAAGAGTTAAAATAATGTTTATAAGTAGTGTGACTAAGAATATAGCATGTAAGTTTGTGGTAAAATTTTGTCTAATTTAGTACTATATACCTCATTTTCCATAGGGTGCTCAGAAGCCAAGTTTCTACTGCTCTTTAGGGAGATTTGGCCAGCTATTAAAAGTTGAGATGCAAAACAAAAAATAAAATAATGCATATATTGTTACAACCTGGCCAAAGTCTGTAGCTAAAATTATATCCCACTTCCAAATTCAACTGTCTTTGGTCTTATATCCCTAGTTTTCATAAATCATTCACATTGCATGAAAATTATTGAAAGAACTTAAATAACTATTAAGGAGTCCAAGTGCTTACTCTCATAATTAAGTTAAATTTATTGTTCCCAGTACTTATGATCCTTTGATCATTGAGCAAGGCAATGAATAAGACAATACTAAACGTGGATGAGATTGCTCCTTACCTTGTTTTGTTCACATGGCATTTACGTCCCTCCATTCACCCAGGAAGGAAGGAAGGCTAAGACCTGACCAATCAGCAAACTGGAGCACCTATTCCTTTGGACAATGGCAAATTATGGTGCCATAGAATTTCAGAGAGAAAACTAACAAACCATCTAACCATCTTCTTATTTAACATGTGAGAAAACTAAATCCCAGAGGAATTAATGGATAATCTATGGTCAAATTAGCAAATGACAGAGCTTAATTTTTCATCTGTTTAAAAAAAATTTACTAAACTTATCCATACATTTATACTAAGATTACTTTTTGTTTCAGATATACCCA
The DNA here is from genome assembly GCF_000001405.40 of Homo sapiens. Lineage (NCBI taxonomy): Eukaryota > Metazoa > Chordata > Mammalia > Primates > Hominidae > Homo > Homo sapiens. The sequence goes on from NC_000002.12 coordinate 180,789,098, forward strand.
GAAGGACTGAATGAGAAAGTGGGAACTTGCTATATGGCAGTATTTCAAGAAATGGCTTAGCTGGGTAAACTAACAGTAAAATACTCGTGTCTATTAGCAAATCAAATCTAATGAGTGAACTCTTAGTGGGGTTTGGAACTGCCTGAGAATATTCCTATAGAAACTGGGTCATCTTGCCTTCTGTGCCACTAGAACCTCCTGTCTCTCCAATAGCTGCTTCTCTCTAATTCTTCACCATAGTTTTCTTTCTGTGGTCTTTTGAGGTTCTCTCCTCACTTTGCTTTTGACTTAAGTTCTCCACTCCTGACTCACCCAAATCCACGGCTTCACACGCCACCCAATTAATCTAAAATTTGATTCTCAGCTTTGGAACGCTCTGCTGAGCTCCAGGTGCATAGAATCAACCTCACGAACATTTCAAGCTCATCACATCTAAAACTAAACTCATTATTTTCTCCTCTGTTCCCTACGTCTGCAGGTAACAACCAACCATTCCGTTTTCCAGGACAAAAAAAAAAAAACTTAAAATTACCCCAGTCTACCTTCTCTTGCCACAGTTGTATCTAATCAATACAATCTCCTTTCTGGCCTCATTTGCTTCTTGATTATTGTAATAGCAGAACTGGTCTCTGAGTCCTCTCACCTCCTCCCCTCATACACAGAACTTCGTCTTGCCTTTTGTGGACTTCCCTGCAAGGCTGCCAGAGTGATCTTCCTGAAGTGCAAATCATATCATGTGACTCCTTAGCTTAAGGTAATGTAAGGGTTTCACAAACCTTTCAGCCCAGAATACACAAAGCTCTCTGTGGATTGATCCCTAACTACCCATCAAGCCTCAACTCTGGACACTCTTTAATGCTTTCTTTCATAGAATACTGGTAGTTTCCAGACTTTCTTGTATTTTTCAAACACCACTGACTGTGCACATGGTCTTCCCTCACCTAACTCCTCTCCTGCTGCTCTCCCCCTCTGTACTCAGATTCCAGCCATACAAGCCTCTGTGCCGTTCTTTAAAAATGCCAAGTGTGCTTCTGTTTTAGAATACAGTTTCCATACTAGACTGCTTCATGTTTTTTCATACCCCTTTAATTATTCCATGCTTCTCCCTTTGCCTGTAATATCTCTCTACCTAGCCCAATTATGGCTCTTCTAATCTGTATGTAAAAAGTCAGTTCCAAATCACTTTCTAAAGCTCTTGATGTCCTGACCACTTTCCCCAGGATAATGTGGATGTCCCTTGCATACCATCTCCTGGTACTCCCAGGCATTGTATTGGTGATGGTTTACCAAGCAGATAACTAGCTCTTACTGTGACTAAAGTCACAAAAACAGTAAATGTTAATTCTATGGAAAAGGGGGTTTTATTTTTAGCATTTTTAAAGTAAATATAAATAAACCCTAGAATGCATTACTGTTATGGCCTCTGCTGTTTTGTCCACCTTTGAAAACAGACAGATAGATTTTTATCTATCAAGCATGATTATAGAGTATTGTTATTTGTCAGTGAATATACTACTACTATTTTGTATTCATCCCTCTTTTTCTCTTGTTCTTTTTCTTATTTTTGTACTACTTCCCATTTCTCTCTTTTTTTTACTTATCACCTCCCTTCTTTCTTCTTTTTCTTTTTCTCTTCCTTTTCATTCCTTATTAATTTCTCAAGTGCCTACAAATGTGTCTCATGTTGCATATAATAATTCAGAAAACAAAAATTGACATAAAATCAAATTCAAATATAAGGAGCTTAGAAAAATGGGGAGACAGTTGAAATATCTATTAGTTAGCATACATTAAGTTACAAGTATTAGAAAAGTCATTCTTAAACTAGCTTAAGAAATAAAGAAGTTGATTATCTCAGATAGCAAGAGGTACAGAGATAGGGTGGCTCCTAATTTGGTTACTTCAACAGCATTGTCAAGAAACCAGATTCTCTCCTGTTTCCTCATCTCTATCTTTGATGTGCATGCTTTGTCTCCAGGCTGTTTCCCAGCATAGTTACAGGATGTTGCAGTACTTATATGTAAGTTACATCAAGACAGAATCACTCAGACACTGAATGCCTCTTCTGGCATGTGCTTTATACAATTTAGAAAAACAGTTTGAGAAGCACACTCAGTCAAATGTCTGCCACATCTCATTGATCAGTATTGAATTAAAACCTTTTATTGAGACATTCAATAAATTCTTATTAAATAAATTCATGGAAATTCCAACAGCTCTAAAATTAGAGTTTAAAAAATGTTGTGCCAGAACTCAGGAACAATATTATATTACCAAAATGTATTTGAGCAAATGAGCAGAGCAAGAAAAGTAAATTATAGAAAGAGATTTCCATCTATCTCACTGCACACATGGAGACTTAGCTGTTCAGAGACCTAGTAGCCATTTTTATTACCATCTTGTCTCTTTTCCCCAGTTAGTGTATCTTTTTCTGTATCAAATTAGCCACAAATTATGTACTTATACTATAATATCAGGAAAACCAAAACTGGTAGTTGAGAGTGAAATAAAAGCAAGTTGAATTTGCCCTCTTTGTGGAGTTGGTTACAAATCTTTTTTTTTTAATTATTAAAGTTGAAAAATATATATTTGAGTATGTCTTAAAACTCACAGTGGTAATTATGATAGGAAAACTGGAACCTTGGAAATCTTTAGAGGATGAAGAAAAGACAGAAAAATATAGTCTACATAACAAAAGAGGCAAAAATTTAACAAGAAACATTGTTACGAAACAGAAAATAAAAACAAAAAAGAGTACTCAGAAGTAAAATCCAATATATCAATTATTAGAAAAAAAGTATAAATTGCCTAACTCCATTCATTAACAGACAGATTCTCAGACTGGAAAAAGAAAAATCTACTCTGTGTAGTTTGTGATAGAGTGATCATGTAGTTTATTTCAAAATCAGACACTTTTGAAAATGAAAGGTAGCCACTATCAATAATTATGCATAGAAGATAGAGGTAAACCAGACCCCCGACTGTCCCAGGCAAACAGGGATATATCATTACCCTATTTATGAAAGATATACTAAATGAACACTAAAATGTTGAACATGAAATAATTGTTAAATATTTATCAGATCTTAAAACATAATTAAAACATTTATATTAAACAAAATGATTTTAAGGCAAAGAGCATTGAATATCAGTTAAATGATAAATATTTATTGAGCATTCCCTATGTGCCGGGCACTATTCCAGGGACCAAAATAATAGCAACAAAGAAGACCAACACAGTCACTGTCCTCACAGTCTATATTCTAAAATCTAATAAGCCAATGACTATGAAATAAATTAAGAGTTCTCTGTCTGTCTTTTCTGCTCTTTTACTGTAATTCACTTTTATCATATAACAAAAGTTTTACACTGAAACTAAACAGAAAAAGTGGGGGAAAAAGAACAAGGGAAGAGGCAGGGTAGGGGAGAAGGCAGAATAATCCTCAAGGAGTATAAAAGAATACTACTAAATTAAATCGAGTAGAAAATGTAAAAATAATATGTCATAAATAAGATTTATGCTAGTAATTTCAAGATGGTTCAATATTTTAAAAATCTATTAATGTATTAATACACATGAGAAGGTCAAAGGAGATGACACATAAAACCATTTCCCAATAGTCACTGAAGAACAATGTTAATCAGGTTGAGAAGCAGAAATTTCCTAGCACAGTTGTTGGAGAATTAAGTTGGTTAAGTCCACAATCCTTCATCTGAAGTTCTAAACACTGTTTTTTGTTTTGTGTTTGTTTTTGTTTTTTGGTAATTCATTCGAAGACAAAGCTGTGCTGACTTAAACTAATAAATAAATGGTAGAATGAAGAAAAGGAAGTTAAAGATTGGCATGAATAATATGATCACATCTTTGTAAAATTTTGTATATGTGTTTGTGGCAGGAGCAAAGAAGTTGGTGGACATCTAAAATTTATCTCTAAGTGGTGGAATGATGAGCAATATTTGCTTTATTGTTTGTAATACTTTGATTTTCTTTCTTTTTGAAATTGATCAATGCCTCACTGTGAAGTATGAGGAAATTAGCTCATCTGCAATTGCCCCTTCTTCACCTCCCCTCATCTCCCAATTTTTCTAAATTATATAGTTTTTGCACTAATAATATTTATAAAACATATGAATGTATATTTAAATCCTCAACTGTAATAAAATCTTCCGTGTCTATCTAAGACACATTTCTACAAGTGTTGTCCCACAGCAGCACTATATTATGGTGATTTTGGGTCCTACCCCATGCCTGAACCATATTTTCTGAGCTTGGGGGCTATAATATGACCAAACTCAAGAAATAATAAATGCATATTAAAAGCATATTAAATGCAACAACTTGGATGGAACTGGAGGTCATTATGTTAAGTGAAATAAGCCAGCACAGGAAGGCAACTTCACATGTTTTCACTTATTTGTGGGAGCTAAAAATTAAAACCATTGAACTCATGGCGGTACAGAGTAGAAGGATGGTTACCAGAGACTGGAAAAGGTTAGGGGGTTGGGTGGGGGAGAGGTGGGGATGGTTAATGGATACAAAAAAATTACAAAGAATAAATAAGACCTAGTATTTGCTAGCACAACAGAATGGCTCTAGTAAAATAATTTAATTGTACATTCTAAAATAACAAAAGAGCATAACTGGATTGTTTGTAACACAAAGGATAAATGCTTGAGGTGATGAATGCTCCATTTACCCTGATGTGATTACTACACATTGCATGCCTGTATCAAAATATTTCATGTAACCCATAAATACATACATGTACTATGTGCCCACAAAAATTAAAAATTAAAAGCATATTAAAAACCAATCTCTTTAAATGTTTTTCATGGACATTAAAATGTGGGACCACTGGCCTATAGTTTAGACTCAAAAACGAAAATATCAACAAGCAACAATTAAATATGATGGTAGGTGAATACAATTAACTCTAGAGTTAAGTGACACACCCGAAGCTGATTGATAGAATCATTTTTAGGCTTTATTTTGGGAGAAAAATATTTTCATGAATTACTGTCACCATTTTCTCTGACAACTTCTTTCGTTGCCTAGTTGATTCCAAGTTACAAATTTCCTCCAAAGCTCACTGAAAAACAAGTAGGCTTGAGTGTCAGACTACTGTTTCTTTCCTGCTCTAGGTTCTCTATTGGACTAATTTTGGACTTATATTTTCCAGTAATTTCTTGAAGCTGATTGTATTCTTTACTTCCTCGGCTGTAATGATTTTATTATTTTAAGAACATAGAAAATTTATGTCATCAAGTGGGAATTAAGACAGAGAAAGTTGTACATGTTCTATCTATTGAGCCAGAATTTTTCACGTCTAGATGCATTGTCATCATGATCATATTTTTTTTTAAAAAATGTTAACTTTGATTATAAAATATCTGACACATATATGACTTTTTTAAAAGTATGAAAAGCCTGTGAGTAGTACAATATTTTCTTAAGGTAATAAAGAATATCAATCTAAATCAACAAAAGCTTAACACTTAATATTGAAACTGTAGGCTTAATATCAAAGTCAGAAAAACAATAAATATAATTTTTATCACCACTATGATTTAATATAGTCTTAGAAGTTCTGCCTAAATCAATAAGATGAAACAAGAGGAAACAAGAACATCATTATTTTCAGATATTAGCCAACAAAAATGTCCTACAAAATTAACTGAAATGTCCTTCTAATTAACAGGAGAAAATAGTAAGTTAAACATGGAAAAATAAATGTGAAAATTTTATTTTTTATATTTAGCAGCAATAATCAGCAAAATGGATAAAAGTTCCTGGTCATAATAATAACAAAATGATAAAAATGCATAAAATATGAAATCATCATCAAGAAATATGTAACACTCATAAACGAACACTACAAATATTCAGAGTGAAATGAAAATGAGCTTAGTAAATGAGTAGACTATATTCTTAAATAAGAGAACAAAAATTCTAAAAATATAAGTTGCCTTTACATTTATTTAAACTTTAAACAATTGCATTCAATACTTCTGCAACATTTTTTTAAGAGATAGGGAGGAATGGTTTGTATTAGTTTATATTATATATTATATTAGAACATATGTCTACGAAATTTTTTTTTTGTTTTTTTTTTTTTGAGATGGAGTTTCACTCTTGTCACCTAGGCTGGAGTACAATGGCATGATCTTGGCTCACTGCAATCTCCACCTCCCGAGTTCAAGTGATTCTCCTGCCTCAGCCTCTCAAGTAGCTGGGCTTACAGGTGCCCGCCTCCACGTCCAGCTAATTTTTGTATTTTTAGTAGAGACAGGGTTTCACCATGTTGGCCAGGCTGGTCTCAAACTCCTGACCTCAGGTGATCCACCCACTTCAGCCTCCCAAAGCTCTGGGATTACAGACGTGAGCCACTGAGCCTGGCCTTACAGTAATTAAAACAATGCTGCACTGACATAAGACTTGATGGATAGGATATGCAAATTAAATGTAAATATTACCATGTTTAAGAATTTTCAATATAGTAATGGTACATGATACACTGGTAAGGCCTAAAAACTATTAAATTTGAGAATACTGACTTGGAAAATAATCTTTAGATTCTTATCTCATACCACATATCAAAATATAAACTCCATATGTCTTTTCCAAACTAACTCCTCAAAAACGAAACTGTATACATAGAAAAAAATGTAAATGACTAAATATCTAATCTTAATCAGGAAATCAATAATAGATTTTTATTAAATAATACACTTGAATACAGTAACTCTTCAGGCACATATATTTCAATATATTACAAACTTTTAGTGATAAACAGCACACTAGGAACCAGTATTGCAAATGAATTATATTACAAATGAATTATATATAGTCTTTATATATAAAAACCTTATAAAAACTGAAAAAAACCTAAATAAAATTCAAATATCGAATTATTTTTTAAAAATAGTCAACTTTGCTAGTAGAGAAATTGAAACATTCAAAGCAATGATTAAGTGTAATTTTGCCCATAATGCTAATAATACATAGTTTTCAAGGTAAGATAATAAAAAGACAAGCCACCAGTTGAGAGAAAATTCTTGCAAACCACGAACCTGTTATAAGACTCATATCCAGAAAATATAAAGACATTTTTAAGCTCAATAATAAACTTTTTTTTTTTTTTGAGACAGGGTGTTGCTCTGTCGCCCAGGCTGGAGTGCAGTGGCGTGATCTCGGCTCACTGCAACCTCCACCTTCTGGGTTCAAGCGATTCTCCTGCCTCAGCCTCCCAAGTAGCTGGGATTACAGGCGCAGCCGCCATGCCAGGCTAATTTTTTGTATTTTAGTAGAGACGGGGTTTCACCTTGTTGCCCAGGCTGGTCTCAAACTCCTGAGCTCAGGCAATCAGCCCGCCTTAGCCTCCCAAAGTGCTGGGATTACAGGCGTAAGCCACTGCGCCCGGCAATAATAAACATTTTTAATGGGCAAAAGATTTGAACATAGACTTTAATAAACAAGATACATGGATGACAAAAGAGAACAGGAAAACATGATCAAGATCATCAGTTATTAGAGAAATGTAAATTAAATCCACAATGAGATACGACTGCACGCTTACTAGAATAACTAAAATTCTAGAGTGATCATAAAAGTGTTGGCAAGCATATGAAAAAACTAAAACTCATATACACTGCTGGTGGGAAAAACTTTGTCAGTTTCTTAAAAGTTAGACACATACCCACAATATAACTCAGCCAGTTCACTCCAAGATATCGACCCCAAAGAAATGAAAGCATGTGCTGCGATTTGAATCATGTCATCTCCTCCAAAATTCACATTGAAACGTAAGCCCCAATGTAACAGTATTAAAAGGTGTAGCAATTGGGAGGTGAGTAAGTCGCAAGAGCTCTGCCCGCATGCATGTGATTACCACCTTAAGAAAAGGGCTAGTGGTTGAAGCACACACTCTCCTACCCTTCCTTCCCTTTTGCTATGTGGGGCATCATCTTGAAAGGAGAGACCAGGTCCCTCACCAGACACCAAACTTGCTGGTACCTTCATCTTGGACTTCCCAGTCTCCAGAACTAGAAAAAATAAATTTCTGTTCTCTAGAAATGACCCAGTAAAAGGTATTTGGTTATAGCAGCACAAATGGACTAAGAAAGCAAACTTACATACAAACACTTGTACACAAATATTTATAGTACCTTTATTGGTAATAGCCCAAAACTGGAAATAACGCAAATTTCCATTAATAGGTAAATGAAAAACAAATTACATTCATATGCTGGAATAGTATTCACCAATATAAAGGGCTAAACTATCAATACACACAACAACATGTATGAACCTCAAAATTATTGTGCTTAACGAAAGAAGGCAGGTGGAAAAGAGTACGTAATGTGTGCTTTCTTTTATGTAAAAGTCTAGGTAACACAAACTAGTCCATAGTGATGGTGAATCATGATTGTCTAGGTAGGGGTGGAGAGAGGCAGGAGGGAAGATATTACAAAAGGGCATGAGAAACTTCTAGGGATGATAGATATGTTCATTATCTTGGTTGTGGTGATGGTTTCATGGGTGTATAAATATGTTAAACTTATCAAATTATGCAATTTCAAAATGTACCATTTATTATTTACTAATAATACCTCAATAAATAAAGCTATGTAAAAGGAAAGCAGGATGGAAAATCATACCTACAGAATGATTTTGTTTTCAGAATACTGTCCCTCTTTCTCTCATACACATGCAAACACACACACTCAACACAAGCACAGTCCAAGAAATGAAATTAGAAAGAGATACATGAAAATACAAAGAATTATTTATCTAAATGTTAGAACTTCAAGGTGTTATTTTTAAAGTTCTAATATTTTTAAAGTTCTTCTTTTACTTCCCTGTGTTTCCCAAATTCTCTAAAATTTTGGCTTTGCTAAGCCTAAATGATTACTTCTATGAAAAATAAAATAAAGTAACTTCATTGTCATCCAGCTTCAAATATCCAGATTCATTATAGCATCCATTTTTTATACATAAGTCATTTTCATCAACCTTTGTGTAGATGTTAATTCATCTTCTTGCTTATTACCCACAGAAGGTATATTATGGAAACTACTGAATGATTACCAAAATATATTGAATTTCACATAGTGATCATTTTGAGAAATGAGTATTATGTTAAATTTATTTCTGTTCACTTGCACTCACTTTGAATTATGTGTCTATAGAGTATAAAATGTTATATGAGGGACCCAATTTTTCAAAATGACAAATTAGTTATAATATTATAAATTAAAATTTTACATTAAAATGTAATAAAATATCCAAGCATAAAATAAATATTTAAATTCAAGTATATCTTCAAGTCTAACAGCTCCTCCTTGCTTACCATACAAATGCAAACTCCTTAAGCTGGTCATCAAGACTGTCAGTGCTGTGAGCCTGGCTTACCTCCCACTGTATTCCAAAACATCAACCTTTATTGTCCAGCCCCACTGAGCTACTGATGCTTTCACAGTTCCTGCCTCTGTGCTGTCCCCAGTGAAACTTTCTCCACCTCATGTCCTCCCCACATTCTCTACTTGTCAAGGTCTTGTCCATTCTTCAATGTTTATCTAGTCCTTTCTTGCTGATATACTTCTTTTCTTATAAACCAGAAGTTGTCCTCTCTTTCTTGGAACACCCTTCCACTGATGCCGAACCTCTAAAATGGCACCAAGAAATAAGACACTCACTATGTGTGTATGTGTTTGTGTGGGCATGAGTATGGGTAGATGTGTAGCTGAATTTCGCCTATTCTTTTCTATCAGATTTTTCAGCACAGCGAGTGTTTAATAAATATTTATTAAGTTAAATAGCAATTTTTAAACATTGTTTAACACATGACTGTTTTTCTGGATCATGATTTCCTACACAGGAGTAATAATTTCATGGGCTTGTTATTTGTTATGGCAAATAGCATAGAAATCTGCAGTGAAAATATAGTAGCCATTGAATAAACAGAGCAAAAGGTTGTTGCACATATTTAACATTTCGTTTGTCATCTGATATATTTTCATAAAATCTTTTAAAAATTAAGGAATCCTTTTTTGGAATACTTACCCTAGGCCATGTTAAGTATAATTTTTCTTGTGTAGGATAAAGGAAAATACAAATAAAATAGTTTGCTGTGATTATTAACAAAGAATGACTTTGTGCATTGTGTAAAATGGAGCCAAATCAGCATAGATGGTATCTGCACTGTCTCTGTATGACTGCCATCATGCGTGTTTCTTTGCTCTGTTTATTTTGCTGTTCTCTGTAAAGTAGATCAGCCAATTCTTTGTCATTTTATTGGAACAATGTGTTCTGCTGTTGTTGTTTTGCTCAATATATAGCATGGGGTTAATTCAGATTTAAAATTAAAATATTTACTTTTCATTTTATACATAACTCAATTACCAGTCACTCATGTTATAAAAATATTTGGATATATTTTAAGCATATATGTTATTGATAGTATAATGGTTATCTAGTACTTTCAGTAATAAAATATTTCCATCACCTAGAAAGCTTAGAATTTTTTTTATTATTACTTTTGTTTTATAAGTTAATGTAACTTGGCATAAATATAATAGTGTAGATATTTGGCATAAATATTTTAATAGTGTAGATATTTGGCATAAATATTATAATAGTGTGGATACCCTTGGTCAAGAATATTATAATATTCCATTTCTGGAGTAGAGTACTTCAGACAATATGAAAGGGTCCAGAAGTGCCGCTATTTGATTTGTTACTAAAAATGCATCCTCATATCCAGAAGTTAAATGCTTAGCAAACACAACTTACCTTTAGTTGCCAGGATAATTGGCTTTACTTCAGTATATCTTAGATATCTTAGTTGCTTTCAATAGTCTATCTGTGTTAACTGCTGGTAATTTTTAAAAAACTGATGCCAAGTAAAGTCAACATAACATTAAGCTGTTCTGCTTTATTAACTTCAGCAGTGTGTTTCTCAGTCAGAGCAATACTGCCTCTAAGGAATCTAACTTACTAGGTTTGAATTCTTCTTTTATCCAAATGCTTTCATTCATTCACTCATTCATCCATATATTGGATACTTATTTGTGCCTACTGTTTTCTAAGCACTGTGCTAAAAAGAGTAGAAAGTCTTCCTAGTCAAAAAATTAAATCTGGTGGGGGGATATATTTATAGAAAATTATAATACAATGTAGTATGTGTAATTCATTAAACCATTCAACAAAAAATATATTGAACATCCACTAGGTGAGTGTGGTATTGTGGTACAAACTAGAAATAAGATTGTAAGCCAACAGACATTTACAGAGTTTATGGTCCAGTGACTTATTTAAGAAATAACTAGAGGACAAACTTGGTAGTCATTAGTAGTTATCAATAGCTTGGTAATAAAATGGATGGGTGGGGATTGAAGAATACACAGCAATTGCTTTTGAGGTTCTAGCATAAGTTTGTTTATTTGATTATTCGTGTATTTGCATTAAAGAGACGTACAAAATTTACTATATGTCAGGCTCTGTTCTAAGCACTTTTTAATCCACCTAATCCCATGTAACAGCCCTACTTTTATTTATACCTATCTTGCCAATGAGAGGCCAAGTCAATTTTTCAAGGTTACAGAGCTATTAAGTGGTAGCACTGGAACTCTAACCCAGATAATCTTGCTCAAAAATTGTTTTTCTAAACACTAATCTAAGCTGCCTCTCACATGCAACTAGGAGGGCCTATTGCTATAGAAAATATATTTAAAAATGGATACCTGTTGTAGGGATGATGTCAGTCTTGAGATACTTAGAGAACATCCTCTTGGTAGGTAGCTTGCTGGATGTGAGTCTTAAGTTTAAGAAAGATGGCTGGGTTAAAGATACAGATTTAGGAGTTGCCAATCTATGGGATTAGGGAAGGTCGAACAAGTAGGTGAGCTCACTTAGTGGTTCCCAAACACTAATCCACAGGCCATTTCGGATCCATATTGAAGTTTATAACAACTCTTTGCAAAGCAGATCAATAAGGATTGTTGAGGAGTTTAGTGCCTAAATTCTCTTTTCCCCTTATGTAATTACAGTGAATAGAGAATACACACAAAATATAGTCATTGGAACTTAGCTAAGACCTAAAGTCAAATGGGCTCTATTACTCACTCTGTACACCTAAAACATACAATCTGTCAAAGGAAATAGCTGTCTACACAGGAGACCCTGTCTTACCTACCCAGTTATAAGCTAAAACTCTAGGGGAAATGTCTACCCAAATTCCTCACAAATTGAAGAGAGGAATGCAGCAAGTCTAAAGAATGGGCTGTCCAGGAAAGACTTAAGATGATAATATTAATAAATTACCTAATATGAGAATATACTGAGTGATACCTACATGCCTAGCAAGAGCTTAGAACTAAATTAATGACAGCATATAGAAAATTAAGCAAATAAAAGAAATACTATTATTAATCTAGTACTAAGTAGAATTGTCATGCAGCAAAGGTAATTGTAGTGTATTATTTGGCCCAGTTTTTACAGACATAATAATGTAAACACATTTTTATAATCAAAATTATTATTTACCCACATTGATGTGATGCGAATAGAAAATTGAGTGGGGAGTAATATTGGGAGCAAGGGTAAAGAGAGCTAAATTTTTATCCTCCACAATATCAAACCAATAGAAAATGACTAAAAGTAATAAACATAAGAACTGCCACATTTTATTTAGAGATACAGAAATAAATATCAAATTATCAGTGAAAAATAGGGAGTGCTGGTTTCCAATAAGAAAAAAGGAAGGATCAGGGACTACTGTTTTTCATAACACAATTTGTGGTACTATTGAACTCTACTTAACTATGTGCACACATAATTTTTATTTGAAAGCTGCATGATATGAAAACTTGTAGGTGAAAACAAAATGAAAGTCATAAATAGCAGCGTTTGTATTAGCAAGCATTGAAATAGTGAGCTCATGAAAGAAAGAGTTGAAAAATTCCACCAGAGACAGAAAGTCCTAATATCCAGAAGACAAGAGTTTCAAAAGAAAGAAAAAAAAGAGATAAAAAAGATTGAATGGATTCTTAGCATGACAAAAAAATGATAGTTAAGTATCTTATACCCTGGCTTATTATAGTGAAATTTAAAGTTATCAAAGACAAAGGAAAATTTCTAAAAGCTTCTGAAGAGAAAGAACAGACTACCCAAAAAAGAAATGATAATTAGGTTGACATCTGACTCCTCAACAAAAACTCTAGAAATAAAAGACAATGGAGAAATATTTTCAAAATATGGAAGAAAGAGAACTCTGATTTTAGAATATTATATCTTCTCAGACTGTCATTTAAATGTAAGAATGAAATTAAGACATTCTTATGCATTCAAAGCCTGAGAGGTTCTGTGTAATAAAGATCCTCTGAAAATATTATTTAAGGAAATATTACAATAAAAAGTAGAGTACTATTAGAAACATTTAAAAAATGGGTTAGAAGGTAACTTATAGTTGTACAGAAGAGCAAGAACCACAATTAAATTTTTTTTAAAAGCAAGCAAAGGCCAGGCACGGTAACTTATGCCTGTAATCCCAGCACTTTGGGAGGCCGAGGTGGGCAGATCACCTGAGGTCAGCAGTTCGAGACCAGCCTGACCAACATGGAGAAACCCTGTCTCTACTAAAAATAAAAAAATTAGCTGGGCATGGTGGCGTGTGCCTGTAATCCCAGCTACTCAGGAGGTTGAGGCAGGAGAATCGCTTGAACCCGGGAGGCAGAGGTTGCAGTTAGCCAAGGTTGCAGTGAGCCAAGATTGTACCATTGCACTCCAGCCTGGGTGACAAGAGTGAAACTCCATCTCAAAAAATAAAAATGAAAAAGTAAAATAAAATAAAAGCAAGTGAAAAAGGTAAGAAATTGAAGAAAAGCTGAAGAGCGAGTGATAAAAAATGGAAATCCATTTCAACACAAAACTGAATTTTAGAACTTAAATTCTTCCAACATAGTAACAGAACCAAAGGTAGAGAGGTGAAAAGGTAGAAAATATTTGTCTCATTTCAGTATATATATAGATATTGGTAAGTTCATAAAATTGTCAAGAAAAAATTAACTTTACGTGTGCATTAAAATGCTAGTGACAATAATATAAAAAAGAGAAAAAATATTTATCACACCTTAATCAGCAAAAGAAAACTTGATTTATCTAATACAAAGCAGAAAAAAACAGAAAACAAAAATTTTTACGGAGAAAATTTTAAGTAAGGTTGAATTTTTAAGTCCTAATATATCAATAAATATAATTTTAAATAAATTCAAATTTTCAATAAAAAAGACGATCAGGTTCTATTCAAAATGCAGTATCCAGCAATACATTGTCAGAGCAATGCAAAACAAACCTACAATTCTATAACACATTTTTCTAAGCAGCAGATAGAAAATATAGCATTTTTCAATAATAGCAAACACTGTTTAATATGTATGAATTAACAAAGAATTTACAGAACCTCTTGAAAAAATTGCAAAATATTGCAAAACTGTTGATAGACATAAATAATCTGAATATATGAAAAGATATTCTGTACATATATAAAGAACGACTTAATATTATTGAGTTCTGTTCTCCAAAAATCATGTATAAAAGCAATGCAATCACAATTAAAATCTGGCCAGATTTTTTTAAAAGGATACAACTTCTTATTATAAAGCCAAAATCACTAATCACAGATCCATGAATAGTTATGCTGACTTTTTAAAAACTGAGCAAAATTGTCAAGGGAGGTTAGCACCAAGCCTACCAGCATTCAGACACATTAAAATTCTTAAATGAGACAAGATTATAATCTTTAAATAAAAGTGTGTGTGTGTGTGTGTATATATATATATATATATATATAGTGAGAGAGAGAGAGAGAGATTTAAATACATCAAAATGTATTCATTTGTTGAAAAAAGAAGATCCTAGACAAAGTAATCAAATGATGACAATATAGAAAATATTTGCAATATCTAAAACTTGACAAGATAATGATACATGGTTGGGGGTAGGAGGAACTACTTCAAGAAAATAAGAAAAGGAGAAGAAACTCAAAGTTTAAAAACAGACATTTGAGAAAAGGGGAAGCCCAAATGTTAAATAATTATATGAAGAAATACTCAATACCATTCATAATGAGAATAAAGTAAATCAAAACAAAGAAATCCCATTTTAAACCCTAAAAAATATGTGTTGGAAAAACTTGGAGTGTTGGTGAGGATTTGGGAAGCAGAAACCACCATGGTTCAGCTAATGTTTTGTAGAATGGTGTAGCTAAGAACAATATGGCAGTTCTTAGTGATATTAGGGAAAAGTATACTCTGTGTCCAAGAACCCCTCTACTGGTATTCCCTCACTAAATAAATGATCAATTAGCGACATGCAAGAATATGCATATTGCAGGGGAGTTGGAACCACCTAGATGTCCCTCAGTGGAGGGACTGAACAGAATAATGTGAACAGGTGGAGGATACGTACTACAGAATATTATTCATCATTCGAAGTAATTCTTAAAACCATAATATGGAAAGGGTAAAAAACACAATGGGATTTATGGTGAAATAACTTTTATGACATTGTCCATATATGGGAGATCAATTGAAGGGCAATAGTATAAAAAGGAATATGCTAACATAACGAGAGAGGGGTCTTGAGGGGACTAATAGTGATGCTGCACCACAAGCCAAGAGAACTCCACACTCTGGCTAAGGAGGAAGAAAGGTGAAGAAAGAACAAAGTGGGGTGGGAGGAAAGGATGGAGAAAGAAAACAGGGAGGAAGATAAAGTACAAACTTAAAAATACAGACCCGTAAATACCTACCATTTTCTAGTTAAGTTAGCCTGGTTATTTTTAAGTTATGATATAATTTGTGCATGAATTAATTTTCTTACTCTCCTAAAACTATGGGGTTCCCAGAACAGCCAAATTTCTGCCACACTGTTGATCCAAGAGGGGGACTGAGGACCTAACAATAGACTGAGGGCATTCCCCACACAGGCCCTAGGATTCAGTTGCTACGTTTAAGAAGTCTGGGACTTTGAAGCAAGTGTATGAGCAGGGCCCAAAACAATTTGCCCCTGGACTCATTTAAGTGGTAGAATCTCCTAAATCTCTATGTTAAATGGTAGAATCTCTTTGGGTGTATTACCATGGCCTCATCTTATTACTAAGTAAGACAGTAGTTTTCTAAAACATGCTTTTATTTAAAACCTTGATTCTTAATTCCTTCATTTTGGATTAGTTAGAATGTTGCCAACACTCTTAATATAATAAATTGCAGTCAGTAATCATTATTGCAAGGTTATGCTTTGACAATGAAGATTTTAGATTCCAGAAAATGAGGGATGTCCTCACGAAGGGATTTCCAGTCTCAGACAAGGGCTGGTGTGGGGCATTTAAAAACAAGGAATAGAGACGGAGGAGCTGCAGAAAGGGGTGGAAATTTCTTAAGGTGACAATAAGCAAGCAAAGGCAGTAAGGTAAACATTTACAAAGGTGGGAAAGGCCATGAGAAGATAGGGAAAGATAAGCTTTAAGAAATAACAACAACAAAAAAAAGTAGAATGGGGAAATGGGAAATTAATAAAATATTTGCTCAAGTAAATGTATTCATTTCATCCAACAACATTTATTGATTGCCTTATCTGTGACTGGCTCTATGGGAACACAGCTGTGAATAAAACATTACCTCTCAACAGTCCTGTGTGGAAGACAGGATAAAAAATAATGAAGATTCAAGGTGTTAAATGTGGTAATAACGGTATAAAAATGCTGTTGAAAGACAATGGAGGGAATAATTCTCACCACAGGGATTATGAAAGGATTCAGAGAGTAGCATTTGACCTTCATTCCAAAAATGAAGAGCAAAGATTATTTTAGGATAATCATTGAGTAAATAATATATTCTTATAATTTATTACTATTTTACAGTTACTAAAGACTGCTCATTTTAGAATGACCTTTAGCTAATACAGATAATAAAATAATTTTTAAAAATTATTATGGGATAACTTCATTTTCTCTCATTCTTTTGATGAAAATATAATTCAGAAAGATGACTTTTTCAGTATATTCTAAGATGTTTGACCAAACGTTTCCCCTAAATTGGCCTAAAAATTACTTCTTTTAAGAATTAGATTATGTTTATGTAATGGGTTACATTTATTGATTTTCATATGTTAAACCAACCTTGCATCCCAGGGATGAAGCTAACTTCATCATGGTGGATAAGCTTTTTGATGTGCTGCTGGATTCAGTGTGCCAGTATTTTACTGAGGATTTTTGCATTGATGTTCATCAGAAATATCGATCTAAAGTTCTGTTTTTTTTGGTGTGCCTCTTCCAGGTTTTGGTATCAGGATGATGCTGGCTTCATAAAATGAGTTAAGGGGGAGTCCTTCCTTTTCAATTGTTTGCAGTAGGTTCAGAAGGAATGGTACCAGCTCCTCTTTGTAGAATTCAGCTGTGAATCTCTCTGGTCTTGGGCTATTTTGGGTTGGTAGGCTATTAATTGCTGCCTCAATTTCAGAGCTTGTTATTGGTCTATTCAGGGATTCGACTTCTTCCTGGTTTAGTCTTGGGAGGGTATATGTGTCCAGGAATTTATCCAATTCTTCTCTCAATAGATGCAGAAAAGTCCTTCAATAAAATTCAACATCCCTTCATGTTAAAACTCTCAATAAACTAGGTATTGATGGAACATATCTCAAAATAATAAGAGCTATTTGTGACAAACCCATAGCCAATATCATACTGAATGGGCAAAAGCTGGAGGCATTGCCTTTCAAAATTGGCACAGAACAAGGATGCCCTCTCTCACCACTCCTATTCAACATAGTATTGGAAGTTCTGGTCAGGACAATCAGGCAAGAGAAAGAAATAAACTACTTACTGAAATGATCATTTGTCTGAGTAACTCAAATATCTATCAGATCCTGTAGTCAAAATAATTTTCCATGTATACAAAGATTTAGTTTTTATCATTAAAGAAAATAAATAAATAAATGTCCACATAGAAAATAATCACTGACAATAATTAGCATTAATGGAGTTGTATTTGGATAGACATTAGTGCAGAAGGAGGAAAGTTCAACCCCTTTCTGAATAGCAGCAGTCATTGGTTCTCTAGTCCTCATCTGTATTTTACTGGTTTAAAAACTATTAAATTTTCATCAGCCAAGTTATATGTAAATAACAGCAGTAGGTAATATGCTATATTTTCTCCATGACTGGGGGAAAAACATGCAGGAGTTCTTGTGAACACAAAGCTGACACAGAACAGAAATTCTAATACGTGCGGGTGGTGTAAGATGTTAGCATCTCCCTTTGTATAACTGAATGTCTGTTTTCATAAAAGAAAAAAAGGACGTTATGGCAAATGTACAACTCCCTTTGAATTAAAACCTAAATGCTTGAACCTGAACTTTAAAATTTGTGCTCAGAATTCCTTTTAGAGCTGGAAGAGTGAGTCCTGAGCTGTCATTTGTTTCCAAATTGCATTTCAGTTTCCCAGAAGACATCGTAAAAAGGAGGGGGAGAAAAACAATTTTTCAGAAATTGCAACAGTTTGAATAGATTTGTTTTGCTGTTGTTTAAAACAGAAAGCTCCATGAAAGCTAACACAAGTAACTCTTACAAGGAGGACACTGAGGACTGAAAGTTGCCTGTCAGAAGGTCTGTATCCTCATCCTCGCATAAAATAACTCCTTTAGAAGACAAAAGCATAGCATAAAAATATACATGTTTGGTGACAAGGATCACGTTTCCTTCTCAACTTTAGTAATAGAGGTTTATTTCCTCGGTGATTTCAAAACTGTCTCAATGTTTTGATATTTTTAAAATATATTTGTCATAGATATTTATATATTTATTTTGTTCAATCATGGGGCTTAAGGCTTAGTAAAGGATGAGGAAGGATTTTATTCTTCATTCCATCAAGAATGAGCTAGATATATGACCTACCCAAAGCAAGTCATTCAAATTTCCAAAATGCTGCATTAGCAGGCTTCTCACAGGTGCAGGTTGATGATCATAGGGCCCTTGGGGCAAGCGGCAGAAACAACTGGCTGTCACAAGCAAGAAAGGAAATTACCGGTAGAATAAAAAGTCTGCACATTGGTGGGAGGTAGTTCTGGAAAATGTGTGAGGCCCAAAGGGATTCTGGAAGTTAGGTATTATGAACATTCTCGCCAAGACACTAACATTCCACACAACAGTTGGATGCTCATTACCAGAGCATACCACATCTTCATTCAAAACTCTACCATCATGAGCTCTGTCTGCCAAGGGCTGGGGAGAGAGGAATTTTCCCATTGAGCTTCCATAACAGAAGCAGGGTGCTGAAGGATCCTACCAATACTACACTCAATGTGTTCTTCCTATGACAGAAAGCAGATAAGAAATGTTGAACCAAAACGAAAAGAAAAAAAACAAAAGTTTAAAAAAATTCTATGGCTTTGTTGTTCCCTCTTGTCCTCTATGAGATATAAAATATAAAGACAAGAGCAAAATACATAAAAGCCTTCTATTTTAGGCCCGCTTTATTATCTTCCAGAGCCCTAATGTGAATGACTGTGATGCATTTGAATTTCTTAGATAAAAGGCGATTTTCAAAACATTTCAGTCAACTAGAATTTCTATAAAATCTTAAACATAATATATTTACACATATCTTATAAATGACAACATGATACTAAACTGCTGGATAAAATTTGAAAGAAACAATAAATGAATCAGATATTCTGTTAGCATGATAGTGATATCTTTGGAAAGAATTATTTGAGTATATCTTATTTTAGAGAAAATATTTGTCATTGAAATAAATATCTGACTCATAGACAAAAAAGTATAGAAACATGAAAAAGACTAAAAGTATGGAGCATATACACTATGACATATCACATACCAGTCAAATTTGCCTTATAATACCTAAAAAAAAACAAAAATCAAGTACAGCTGAAGTCCATTGGAATTCATTGTAAAGGAAATCAACCCATAGAAGTAACTTTCAAACTTCTTTTTTTTCTTTTCCACCAACAGCTCTATGACGCTGCTCCAGACACCTAAGTTTGAAAATCTTAGCCGAGACCCTCAGTTTTCTCATCTGGTAAATGGGAAAATAATCCCCTCATAGGTTGAGATGAAGATTAAATAAAACACCATAAACAAAGCATTTGAAATAACGCCTGACATATTGTTTATCACCCAATAAATGAGAGTAATTATTATTACCTAAGTAAGAAATTCACATTCAGGGGACTGTAGTCCTTTAAAAACTGCAACATTTTTCACAATTGTTAGACCTTGATTCTTCCTAATTGCTTGTCAAGATGCCCCAGTGAAGAAAATCATTTTAGAGTTTATGTTATACTATCTTTCTAAGCCATGCCAAAAAGTTCTGGTTATAGGGAACTTCATCAGTTACTTCAAAGTATCTGCCTTAGCCAGCAATTCTGATCAGTCTCCAAGTTTAACATATTTTGGTTATTTGAATTGTTGAATTCAACATTTTTTAAAAGAAATTGGACCTGATCTTCACCTGGCATTATTTATTATTCCAAATTATTTGACTGTCATCCAGTTTTAAGACCTCATCTGTAAAAAGTACTGGCAAGCAGGGAAAAAATACATGAAACTATTGCTAGTTATAATAATATGCTTTCTCTTTTCCTGAGCTCTTTTCCCCATCCCCTAAGGCATAATTTCCAAGTTATGTGGGACACAACATCAGTCTGATGATTGCCTACTCAGTGTTATCAAATAGTTTTCCGGAGAGATAGAATAATACTTTTATAATAACATGACAAAATGAAAGTAAATAGATTTAAGGATGCATTTGTCATGAAAAATAAAATACCTCATTACCTGAACCCATACCAAATGATCCTGGTTATTAAAGTCAAATATAAAACGATCTGTGAACATTAGTAGCCTCTTGTGATCGTTGCCAGCCGAAGTTCTAAAATTATTGTACTTTCCTCTCCAACACTCTGAAGCCCACCTCCTGCTTATTTTTAGCCTTATTCTGCATGCTCAATCTGTAAGGATTTCAGCTATGTCTACAATAATCTTATGATAAATATGTTTAAATCAAAACAATATTAATTGGTGCCCCTAGACTTGAAAAACATCTATAAGTAGTTTTATCTTTGTATAAATAAAATAAAATTGCAGAATCATAGAACGTAGAGTTGAATGGGAACTTGAAAATATTCTAGCTCAACCTCCTACCTAAAGCTGGAAACTTCTGTACAGAGCACTCACAATTTGCAATATAATTCACTCCATTTCTAAATATCTTTGCTTTTAAAATTGTTCGGGTTTAACTAGGTTCAATCTGGACCTTAGCTTCTTGAAACTTCTGGATCTGCCCTGTATCTGCTTCACAGAATACCTCTAATCCTTTCCTACATGACACTCTAAAAAAATATGAGGACAGTAATTATACCATTCCTCTCTCTCCCAAATATGTTTGAAATACAGACAAATCTCATTTTATTGTGTTTCAGTTTATTGTATTTTGCCTTATTATGCTTTGCAGATAGTGTGTTTTTTTTACAAATAGAAGGTTTGTGGCAACCCCGCATTGAGTAAGTTTATCAGTGTCGTTTTTCCAACAGCATGTGCTCACTTTCTGTGTCTGTGTCACAGTATGTTAATCTTAGCAATATTTCAGTCTTTTTCTTTATTATTATAACTTATGGTGATATGTGATCAGTGATTTATGCTGTTACTATTTTAATTGTTTTGGGGTGCCACAAACCTTGCCCATATAAGATGGTGAACTTAATTAATAACGTTGTGTGTGTCCTGATTGCTCCAACCTGTCGCTTCTTCATTTCTCTCCCTCTCCTCAGGCCTCCTATTCCTTGAGACACAGCAATATTGAAATTAGGCCAGTCAATAACCCCACAATGGCCTCTAAGTGTTCAAGAGAAAGGAAGAGTCTCATGTCTCTCACTTTAAATCAAAAGCTAGAAATGATCATGCTTAGTGAGGAAGGCATGTCAAAGCCAAGATAGGCTAAAAGCTAGGCCTCTTGTGCCAAATAGTTGGCCAAGTTGTGAACGCAAAGGAAAAGTTCTTGAAGGAAATTAATTGTGCTACTTCAGTGAACACATGAATGATAAGAAAGTGAAACAGCCATATTGCTGATCGGGAGAAAGTTTAGTGGTCTGGATAGAAGATCTAACCAGCCACAACATGCCCATAAGCCAATCCCTAATCCAGAGCAAGGCCCTAACTCCCTTTAATTCTTTTAAGGCTGAGAGAGGGAGGAAGCTGCAGGAAAAAAGTTTGAAGCTAGTAGAGGTTGGTTCATAAGATTTTTTTAAAAAAAGAAGCTATATACAATTAGTTCAGTCACTGTGAAAGCGGTTTGGAGATTTTTCAAAGGACTTAAAATACAACTACCATTTGACCCAGTAATCCCATTACTGGGTATATATCCAAAAAAATCAAATTGTTCTGCCAGAAAGACATATGCACTCACATGTTCATCGCAGTACTATTCACAATAGCAAAGACATGAAATCAAACTAGATGCTCACCAGTGGTGGACTGGATAAAGAAAATGTGGTAAATAGCCGTAGGTAAATTGCTTCATAATATTAGTACATATTTATGGAACACATGTAATATTTTGTTACACAAACAGAATGTGTAATGATCAAGTCAGGGTATTTAGAATATCCATCATCTCAAATATTTATCATTTCTAAGTGTTGGGAACATTTCAAGTCCTGTCTACAAGCCATTTTGAAATGTATGATACATTGTTGTTAACTATAATCACGCTACTCTACTATTAAACATTAGAACTTATTTATTCTGTCTAACCGTACGTTTGTACCCATTGACCAATCTTTCTTCATGCCTCCTTCCACACACACACCCTTCCCAGCCTCTGGTACCCATCATTCTATTGTCTACCTCTATTAGATAAACTTTTTTAGCTCTCACATGTGAGTGAGAACAGGCAATATTTGTCTTTCAGTGTCTGGCTTATTTCCGTTAACACGATGAACTCCAGTTCCATCCATGTTGCTGCAAATTACATGATTTTGTTCATTTCTTATAGCTGAGTAGTATTCTATTGTGTATATATACCACATTTTCTTTATTCATTTATTTATTAACACTAAAGTTGATTCCATATCTTTGCTATTGTGGATGGTGCTGTAATAAACATGGGACTGCATGTATCCCTGTGATATACTGATTTATTTTCCTTTGGATAAATACGCAATAGTGGGATTGCTGAATCATATGATGGTTCTATTTTTTGGTTTTTGAGAAATCTCCACACTATTTTCCATCGTGACTGTACTAGTTTATATTCCCACCAACAGTGGGTTGGTGAGTTCCCATTTCTCTGCATCCTCAGTAGCATGTTATATTTTGTCTTATATTTGTCTTCTTAACCATAGCCATTCTAATGGAGGTAAAGTGATATCTGATCGTGATTTTGATCTTGCATTTCCCTGGTGATTATTGATGTTGAGCGTGTTTTCATACATCTGTTGGTCATTTGTATGTCTTCTTTTGGGAAGTATCTATTCATGTCCTTTGCCAAATTTTTAAGGGGGTTATTTGTTTTGTTTTTTTACTGTTGAGTTTTTTGAGTTCCTTAAACAACAGATTTTCAATGCAGACAAAATAGTTTTATATTGGAAGAAGATGCCAACTAAGATTTGCATAGCTAGAGAGAAGTTAATGCCTGGCTTCAAAGGACAGGCTGACTCTCTTTTTGGAGGCTAATGTGACTGGTAACTTTAAGTTGAAGCCAATATTCATTGGCTGTTCCAAACCTCCCAGGGCCCTTAAGAATTATGTTAAATCCTGGGCATGGTGGTGTGCACCTGCAGTCCCATTTACTTAGGAGGCGGAGGCAGGAGAATCGCTTGAACCTGGGAGGCGGAGGTTGCAGTGAGCGGAGATTGCTCCACTGCACTCCAGCCTGGTGACAGAGCAAGACTCCATCTCAAAAATAATAATAATAATAATAATAAAGAATTATGCTAAATCTACTCTGCCTGTGCTCTGTATATGGGAAAACAAAGCCTGGATGATAGCACATCTATTTACAGCATGCTTTACTAAATATTTTATACCCACTGTTGAGATCTACTGCTCAGAAAAAAAGATCCTTTCAAAATATTACTGCTCATTGACAATGTAGCTAGTCACACAAGAACTCTGATGAAGATGTATAAGGAGATTAACATTGTTTTTATGACTGGTAATGCAACATCCATTCTGTAGCTCATGGATCAAGGAGTAATTTTGACTTTTAAGTCTTACTATTTAAGAAGTACATTCTGTAAGGCTATAGCTCTCATAGCTCTTGTACATAGTGATTGTTCTGACAGATCTGAGCAAAGTATATTGAAAACCTTCTGGAAAGGATTCACCATTTTGGATGCCATTAAGAATATTTGTGATTCATGGGCAGAGGTCAAAATATCAATAGTAACAGATGTTTGGAAGAAGTTGATGACATTCAGGGGTTCAAGACTTCAGTGAAGAAAGGAACTGCAGATTTGGTAGAAATAGTAAGTGAATTAGAAGTGGAACCTGAAGATGTGAATTGCTGCAATTTTATAAGAGTTGAACTAATGAGGAGTCGCTTCTTATGGATGAGCAAACAAAGTGGTTTCCTGAGATGGAATCTACTCCTGGTGAAGGTGCTCTGAACATTGCTGAAACGACAACGAAAAGTTGAAAATAATCCATAAATGTAGTTGAGAAAGTAGCAGCAGGGTTTGAGAGGATTGACTCCAATACTGAAAGTTCTACTGTGGGTAAAATGCTACCAAACAACATTGTATACTACAGATAAATCTTTTATAAAAGGAAGAGTCCATTGATGCAGCAAACTTCATTGATTTCTTATTTAAGAAACTGTCACAGCCACCCCAACCTTCAGCAACCACCACCTTGATCAGTCAGCAGCCATCAACATTTCGGCAAGATCCTTCTCCAGCAAAATGATTACAACTCACTGAAAGCTTAGATGATTGTTAGCATTTTTTAGCAATAAGATGTTTTAAGATTAAGGTATGTACTTTTTTTAGACATAATGTTATTGCACACTTAATACTCTACAGTATAATGGAGTGCACTGGGAAGGCAAACAATTTATGTGACCTACCTTATTGTGATATTCACTTTATTGTGGTAGTCTAGAACCAAACCCACAATATCTTTGATGTATTCCTGTATTGAATTTATTATCTTTAAAAAGAAATAGGGGCCGGTGTGGTGGCTCACGCCTGTAATCCCAGCACTTTGAGAGGCCAAGGCAGGTGGATCACTTGAGGTCAGGAGTTCAAGACCAGCCTTGCCACCATGACAGAACCCCATCTCTACTAAAAATACAAAAATTAGCCAGGCATGGTGGTGTGCACCGGTAATCCCAGCTACTCAGGAGGTTGAGGTAGGAGAATCACTTGAACCTGGGAGGCGGAGGTTGCAGTGAGCCGAGATTGCATCACTGCACTCTAGCCTGGGAGACACAGCTAAGGTTCCATCTCAAAAAAACAAAACAAAACAAAACAAAACAAAAACGGAAAGAAATGAGATTCAGTCTGCACCTCTAAGTTTCCACTTCTACAGCTAAACATTTTCAGCTCAAATTTTGGTGGGTGATTCATTCAGAATTAAGGAGTTATCCTTGGCCTCTCGTTTAAGAAATAGAGGTATGAAAATAAAATCTGTTGGGGCTAACTTTATCTCTCTTTTATACTCAGGATTTAGCAATGCTCGGGCCTATATTGGGTTGAATGGTGGCCTCCAAAACAATATGTCTACATCCTGACCCCTAGAATCTGTGAATGTGACATTCATTGGAAAAAAATAGTCTTTGTGGATGTAATTGAGAGTATCGAGTTGAAATCAGCCAGATTTAAGGTATGCCCTCAATCCAATAGTAAGTAACCTTACCAGAGACACATGAGGAAAAGAGTAGAAGACACAGAGAAGGCCATATGAAGACAGAGGCATAAATTGGAGTTATGATGCCACAAACCAAGGAACACATGGAGCCACCAAAGGCTAGAAGAGGCAAAAAATGGTATTTTCATAGAACTTTCAGAGGGAATGTAGTTTTATTTTGGACTTTGGAGCTCCAGAGCTGTGAGAGTGATGATTTAATATGGCAGTCCTAGGAAACTGATACAGAGCTCTCTAACATACTGAATTCCCAACTCTAGTAAGCAGAGCAGCTTCCACGTGGTAACCTGCTCTCCCTTTGTCTCAGAGTGACTTTACCTTCATCTTTCCCTGATTTGCATTCAGCATTGACATATTCATGACAGGTTCTTTCTTTGGACAGGCTCTCACTCTGTAATCCAGGCAAAAGTGCAGTGGTACAATCATAGCTCACTGCAGTCTTGAATTCCTGAGCTCAAGTGATCCTTCTAACTCAGCCTCCTAAGTAGCTGGTACTACTGGTGTGTGCCACTATGCCTGACTAATTTTTTTAAAAAAATTTTTGTAGACACAGGGTTTTACTATGTTGCCCAGGCTGATCTCAAACTCCTGGCCTCAAGCAATCCTCCCCCCTTGGCCTCCCAAAGTGCTGAGATTACAGGTGTGAACCACTGGGCCCAGTCTTCAATCTCATTTTTAATTCTTACTATGAGGGAAGATCCAAGAGATTACCTTGGACTCCAGATGCTGACTAAAGATCAGATAGATCTGGAAAATCACAGGTGCAAGCTCTTTCTGCCATAAAATGCTAAACACTCATGAACTAAAAATACCATGAGAAATCAAAGTTAAAACAGGAGTAAATGTCACATTGAAGGTTCACTTCTTCCATCTCTCTTTATTATACTCCTCCTACTAGTCATGAAATACAGGTTCTTAGAGAGGGAAATTGTGAAATTGTGCAAAGGAGAAAAGAATGTGTACCGACAGATACACTCACAAACACAATTTTATATACAATTTTATGGGTCAATCATGTTGCCTCTAAAGGGACTATAGCCCTGTATTAGCTTGCTAGGTCTACCATAACTAAGTACCACAAACTGGGTGACTTTAACAACAGAAATATATTGTCTCACAGTTCTGGACATTATAAATCCAAGACCAAGTTGTCAGTACGGTTGGTTCCTTAAAAGCTGTGAGAGTGAATCTGTTCCATGCCTTTCCCCTAGCTTCCGATAGTTAGGTAGCAATCCTCAGCATTCCTTGACATGTAGAAGCATCACTCCAATCTCTACCTTCAGCGCTTCACATGAAATTCTCCTTATGTCTGTCTCCAAATGTTCCCTTCTTCTAGGATTGCCAGTCAAAATGGATTAGAGGTCCATCCTGCTTCAATATGACCTCATCTTATCTAACTATATCTATAATGACCCTATTTCTAAATGAGGTCACATTATGAACTACTAGAAGTTAGGAATTTAACATATGATTTTTGAAGGGAGATGCAATTCAACCCTTAACAGCCCACAAAATTAGTTGCCCTTGTGTTATTCACTATGTGTTTGAAATTGTGCTTGTTGTCACATGAAGTAGAAAAATATGTCATGATTTTTACTGTCAATGAATTTTCTTTACTGGACACATGAAACAATTTTTTTAAAAATTAAGATTATTTAATTTGTTTGATAAGAACTTTAGGTACTAAAAGTATCCTGATAAGGAGAAAACATGTGTTGTGCTTTCTTTTTAATGTCATAGATAGACATTAGAAATGTTAATTCAAATAGACACTAGAGAAAGGAGGGTCTGAAATAGGCATTTGTGCACCCATGTTCATAGCAGCACTGTTAACAATAGTCAAGAGGTAGAAGTAACCCAAATGTTCATCAACATGAACAGATAAGCAAAATGTGATATACAAATATGACGGAATATTATTCAGTCTTGAAAAGGAAGAAAATCCCTTAAATTCTACAATCTTGAGAACATTATGCTAAGGTAATTAAGCCAGTCACAAAAAGACAAATACTGTATGATACCACTTATATGGAGTATCTAAAGTAGTCAAATTCACAGAAATAGGAAGTAGAGTGGTGGTTACCAAAGGATGCAGGGAGAGGGAAAAAGAGTTCTTTAATATGCATAGACCTCCAGTTTTGTAAGATAAAAAGTTCTGCAGATCTCTTTCCCAAGAATGTGAATATACTGAACATTACTGAATTGCATTTTAAAATGGTGAAGATTGAAAATTTTGTTATGCTTTGTACCAAAGTAATAAATAAATAGTAAAATAACTGAAGCAAATAACTGAATAGATGTGATTTAAGAAGAGATTAGACATAGCTAAAGAAAAAGTTAGTGAATGGGAATATAAGACAATACTCTAAAGTATGAGAAGAAAATAATAGAAAATAGAGAAAAGCAAAAACAAGCACAAAGTATAGAAGAATTAAATCTGACACGTGTGTTATTGGGATGGTAGAAGGAAGGAGGAGAGTTTCAGAGCAAGTATTTAAGGTTTTCAAAATGACAATGACATGCCATGCTTTCAAGGAGGCTAACAAACAAGAAAACCATAAGTAGGACCAGTAGAAGAATTCTGTCACAGTCCAAAGACAAGATCTTAGAGCCTAACAGAGAAAAAAGAGAGGGCTTTCAAAAGAGTAACACTCACACCAAGGACCAACTTCACAATAAAAACAGTGGAAACTAGAAGATTAAGTGCTCATAAAAAATACACTGCTAAACTGGAATTTGGTATCACTAAAAACTGAAAAGGAAAGTGCAGATTAAATAACAGAAAATATAAATTAGAAGGAAAATTATAGTCATGATAGAATACATGTGATTGCATGCAAATCATATAGCTATATAATGAGTCATTGAAACCAAAAGTTTTATGCAGAAAGCATGTCAACTCAGAACTATATAATAATCATGGGTCTAATAATTAGGAAATGTATGTTGATAAGGAAAAACATTTCATTGATACCAAATAATTTTCTCACTCTTTAACTGGGAAAACTTTTTTTCTCATTAGAGTGACGAAAAGTTAATATTCATTAAGGACATAAAATATAACGTAAGATCGAGCAAATATTCAAGGCTGGAGGCAACTGAAGAAAAAACACGTCCAACTTCAGGATGGGTCCTAGATCAGAAAAAGGATATTAAAAACTAGTGCATTTAAAAATTCATTAATTAAAATAATAAAAATTTTAAAATAAATAATAAAAATAAAATTAAAAGTCGGTAATTTGGCCAGGCACAGTGGCTCATGCCTGTACTCCTAGCACTTTGGGAGGCCGATGTGGACAGATTTCCTGAGCTCAGGAGTTCGAGACCAGCCTGGGCCACATGGTGAAACCCCGTCTCTACTGAAACATAAAAAATTAGCTGGGTATGGTGGCATGCACCTGTAGTCCCAGCTACTCAGGAGGCTGAGGTGGGAGAATTGCTTGAACCAGGAGGCGGAGGTTGCAGTGAGCGGAGATCGCACTACTGCACTCCAGCCTGGGTGACAGAGTGAAACTCCGTCTCCATTTAAAAAAAAAAAAAAAAGTCTGTAATTTAGTTAATATAGTGCCAAAGTTACTTTCCTGTTCTTTATAATTGTACTGTGATAAGGTAAGATGTTAACGTTAGAGGAAGCATGGATTAGAATTACAAACACCTTCTTTGATCTGTTTTTGCACCTTTTCTATAAATCTAAAATGTATTCATAATAATAATTTTAAAATAGGCATTAGGAAATGTACTTCCAGCACAGCATAGACAGCTTTGTTCAAATCCTAGAGTCATCACTTACTAGCTGTATGATTTTGAAAAAGTTACTTAACCTCAGGCCGGGCGCGGTGGCTCACACTTGTTAATCCCAGAACTTTGGGAGGCTGAGGCGGGCAGATCACCTGAAGTTGGGAGTTCGAGACCAGCCTGACCAACATGGAGAAACACCGTCTCTACAAAAAAATTAGCCAGGCATTGTGGCACATGCCTGTAATCCCAGCTATGCGGGAGGCTGAGGTGGGAGAATCGCTTGAACCCAGGAGGCAGAGGTTGCTGTGAGCTGAGATCGCGCCGTTGTACTCCAGCCTGGGCAACAAGAGCAAAACTCCTTCTCAAAAAAGAAAGAAAAGAAGAGAAGAGAAGAGAAGGGAAAAGAAAGTTACTTAACCTCTCTGATACTCATAGACCCCATATATAAGTCGGCAATACTAACAGCATTTACTTCATTCCGTTGTTATGATAGTAAATGAGTTAATATTAGAAAAATGCCTGTCACACAGCCAGCATTGAAGAAGTAATAGATAAACTATTACTAAGAAGTTTTCACTGATTAAGAATGCAATTAGGTAAAGTTGCAGTTGGTTAATAAAATATCCAGAGTCTCTGAAGAGAGAAAAAGCAAGGAGAAACAGATCATTGAAACAGAGATCAACTTTGAACAAAATATAGTTTTCCACTCAGGCTAAAGGAAAGAGGGTAGAGTGAATGTCTAACAATGTGTATTACTGGAAAAAGGAAGTTGGACTTTCTTATCTGAGATGCTTTAATTTTTTTTATAAAATGAAAGTAGGGATCTTGGCTAAAAATGAGTTGGAGGAAGGAGTTTAAAGCAGATGGTTTGTGTGTGTTTGTAGATAGGTCAGAGGAACCTTTTGGAGAAGAAAAGAGTTCTGATGATTCTTTTAGACATGTTGATAGCTGAACTTGTAAATAGACTGATGATATTTACTAGAAGGAACGCTCTTATTTATGGAATTCTCTTAGGAGGATGTTCCTCATTTAGGTTTGCTTATGACAAACAAATCTAGGTTCTATGAATTTATGGGGCATGGCACTCTGGAAAATGTCATGCAAGTTAGGTGACTAATTTGAGGTATAAAATGGAGATATGGTGTAACCTAAATGTTCCCTGCTATGTAAAGTAATAACCCATGAGTACTTCTTTGTAGACCTTATCCATTACTCTGAACCACGCACTGTGCATGTCTAACGCAGGAATAATGAACTTTGAGAGCCATGCAGATGTCTCAGACCTCTCCATACTTCATCTGTACTTCTTGATCGCTTTTATTCTTGAAATTAATACAAGAAGGTCTCTCATTTATGTGAGTTGAATTGACAATCCAATCCTTTGGGTTAGCTGATTTAGTAGGTAATGGTGCAGCAGGAAGTTTGAGAAAATTCAGTTTAGAATTGAGAAGGGAGCTGATAAAGGACACATAGCTAGGCAGTGTTGGAGATCAGCAGGAACTAGACACAATGAATGGATATGGCATCAATACTCATGAACATGCCATTCTTCCAGCAGTGCTTGGCAACTCAGGTTGAGGAACAGAGAAGGTGGATGGCTTAGGTAATGGAATTGGATGCTTTTTAAATGTCAGTGGCTGTCAAAACTGTATAATAAAGGAATTTAGAGCAGTGGCAAAAAGAAAAGACAGAGAAAGAGAAAGTGGTTGAAATGAGATATGGGCAAGATTGAATATGGAAAGTAATAAAAGCATAAGAGCTATATAGCATACGCTATGAAGAAACTAGACCTGAATTTAAATTATGTCCTCCACTTCCCTTGAACAATTTATTTAACCTCTCTATGCTTCAATTTCCATAGATGTGAAATGGGATAATAATTCCTACTTCACATCAAATGGCTTAAATCAGACAACTCATGTAAAGCACTTGGGCAATCTAAGTGTACAATAAATTGTAATTTTATTGAATAAATTGGTTTAAGGAAAATAAAAAGGTTAAGAACGCCAAGGTCTTGATGAAGTGAAGGCCTTGTTTAAGCAGAAATAAAGAAGTGAAAAGATTTAAATGAATATGAAGTTGGTCAGAGGATGGAATATTAGAGTTGATAGTTTTAAGGATGGAAGAGTTCCAGGGAATAAAAGGGCCCAGGATTGGAACCAAGGTTCATGGCTAGTTAACATATATGAGTCTGATGGTCACTGATACTGATAAAATCCGAGAGCCATGAGGCTGCTCAGACAGATCCCAAAATAAGAGGCAGTGTTAACATGTTTACTTTTCACTGAAATCATCATCATCATCACCATAAAGATACATCTTAAAACTCTACCTTATAAAGTCTTAAATTAAACCTTGAAATTTGTGTTAAAAATAGGTTGATTTGATTTTATTATTTCCTAGGCAATGAAAACATTGTGAGGAAAAAGGTGTTTCTCTGTTAACTCCAGTGGATCCAGTTGCACTGTTTACCTATGAACAACACACAAACTGAGGTCAATTAAGCAATGAGACAAGAAACACTATTTAATGTAATGGCAGTTTTCATTTAAATTATATTATAAACAATACTCCATTTGGCTAATTTACAAGATCAAAGCATAATTATTCTACCATAGTTTCTGGAAGACAAATTAGTTTAAATCACTACCAGATTTGCAAAATTAGTTATGTAATATAGCATTTCAGCAGAATAAATGATTTAAACTAACTTGTTGAAATTAATAGTGGTGCACTTGAGAATAATTCAGAGATGTTTAATCAAAGGAAAATATGTAAAGATAGGAAATAGGCAAGGTTTAAAATATACTAGTATCAATGTGAATAAAATTTACCCAGTTCTTCTGTATTTTAGTAATATAATTAGTCCAGAAAATATATAGTAACTAATAATTGGACAAAATAATTAGAACAGTTAGAATCTGCAAAATGATGACCAATGCTCTTGAACATAATTATAAGGAATTACAAATGGGAAGGTAAAACTATAATTCTAAATATTAAACCAAATAATATCCATATAATTTGTTTTAAGTATTAATAGTCTATTCAGAAGAATATTTAATATCTATTGTGAATATGATAAAACATTATTACATTATAATGACAAAAATTTTTCTTTTTAAAATTTGGTTTATTTTGCAAAATCCCAAGCATGCGAATATTTAGACATTAATTTTTTCTCATTCTAGTTTCTGGTTTTATGGCTAAATTTTTCTAGTTTCACATAATATTATATACTTTTATTATATTATTTATTATATTTCATTATTTTATTACAATGATAATATTTTAAATATTAATATAGTTTATTATATTCACACAGTAATGTAATAAAATGTATTAGGGTTTCATATTTATAAAATCATAATCAATGGATTTTACCACAGGTTTTTATCAAATTCATTTATTCTTTCCTAGTGAAGAAAGGAGTGGTTTGACAGCTATTTCTACCACCATTGTAGAGCAGTGACCAGCATCATTTCTGAAGTTACAGTGCAGATAATGTTTCTATTATTTAAATTTGTTAAAAAATTAATAGCTATTATATAATATTCATCTTAAAGGTCTAAATGCACTTCACCTTCTTTTCTTGGTTCTCACATTTGTCCCTTTAATGAAGAATTTGACCAAGGAAGACCCTCTATCCTCTGACCTCTTCTATTTTCTCTCCTCTAAAAAAATTATTGCATACAAAGTAATGTATGCTTATTCTAAATAGTTGTGATGGATAACTTGATGTGTCAACTTGATTGAGTTATGGGATGCCCAGATAGTTTGTAAAACAATATTTCTGGGTGCATCTATATGCTTTTCAGAAAAAAAAGATTAGCCTTTTAATCAGTGGACTCACCAGTGTGGGCTGGAATCATGCAATCAGTTGAGAGTTCAAATGGAACAAAAAGCCAAAGGAAGGGCAAATTATCTCTCTCTTCTTGAGTTGTCACATCCATCTTTTTCTGCCCTTGGACATCGGAGCAGGGCCCAGTGCACCAGGTTTTCTAGCTCTCAAACTTGTGAATGGTATCTCATGGGACTTCTCAGCCTCCATAATCATGTGAGCCAGTTCTCGTAACAAGTTCCCTCTTACGTCTATATACATAAAATCTATCTATATCCTCTCTTTATGTCTCTCAGGAGAACTCTAATAATGCATTAATCAAATATTACAAAAATCTTACGATGAAAAGCAACAGTATCCCTCTACTTTGTTCTCTAACTCACATCTATTCCCCCAAACAACCTCTTAACCATTCTGTTTTAATAACTCTGAATAATATACTTCTATATACCTTAGATTATTGATTTAACAGATTTATCATGTTTATTCTTTTTTCCACCTTTACTTTCTTCTCTTAATGTTTATAATTAGGTCGTTACCTTAAATTCTCCTATTGCTTATGTTTGTCACTTTAAATGATATCTTTAACCTCTATTTCTTGTTCTGTGAATTTTAGGTAGGATCCCTTAACTCTACACTTTAAAAATTAAGATATGGTAGAATTTTTTTGGCAAGAAAAAAATTAAAAAGAAGAAAAACTTAAGCTATTTGGCTCCTTACTCTTCCTTCAACTTTTCTTCCACACCAGAGTCCTTTCCACATCCCACCATCTACCACCTACTTTTTCCTTTTATATTTCCAAGGTTGTTAACATTTACCTTCATGCAATCACCACCCGGGTTTCTGTGCTTTTTCACAGATTGACTCTAAATATAATGACCCAGAAACAGCATTTACATTATCCTTATTGTGTAAATATTCTTTAAAGTTGGACCAAGTACTATATTAAGATTGCATTACTTTTTTCTGTGGACCAAATACAACCCCTAGGGTCACTCAAAAGAGATTGTGATGGCTTTGTAATGTGTTAGTGCGTTATGCTACCAGCTAGGCTGACCTATGTGTTCTGGAATTCCTCTCCCTATATGATTCATATTAGATTGGGCCACAAGAGACATTCTGTGTCAGATTTTGAAGGCAGAAATGAAAAAGTGGTTATATTGTTTGTATGCTCAGAAGATCAAGGAAGAGGCAACAGGAGGTTTTAGCTCTCACATATTTTCTTATTTAGCAGCTCACATTGTTGGGTAGGAGCAGAAGCCCAGCCTGCAGCTGCTCCATCTTCCCCTAGGTCTTTCTGTTTCTTCTTCTTTCAGTTTCTTCTACGCCAGGTGTGTGCTTAGCTCCATGACAAAAGGTGACAGCTTATTCTGCAGCACACACACATCATCAAAGTGGGAGGTGGTGAGACTGGCACACTGACAGTCTGTCCTAGCAGATTTCAGCTCACACTGGTGAGTTCCAGCATGCTTATACCGCTATTTTACACGTCTTCCCTTCGCCATTGTCTATCTGCAGACTTCTCCAACATCAGATGCCAGATGTCTCATGGAAACTAAATAACTTCTACAATTGTGTGTGTATTTATATAATTGATACAAATATTGGTTCTAACATCAATTCCAAGTTGATTTTTTAAC
Organism: Homo sapiens; assembly: GCF_000001405.40. Taxonomy (NCBI): domain Eukaryota; kingdom Metazoa; phylum Chordata; class Mammalia; order Primates; family Hominidae; genus Homo; species Homo sapiens. Next base: position 180,824,257 of record NC_000002.12, read on the forward strand.
ATTCAACAATTACTTCCAATTGTGTCACTTCTTATTTTGCTTCATATTTTTTACTGACATTTCTAATTATATTTCTTGGTTCCTTGAATTTGTAACTTTATCATACTCATATTCTTCCTCATTCTTAATCATATTGTCCATAGAGTTCCTTCCCCCACACCTTTCCCCCAACCCCATAGATAAACTTATTTATTTCCTTCAATCGAGGACTATGCAAACTATAATTATGGGATTTCTTTGACTTCTTTACCAGTTAGACACACTGTTTCCAAAATTCCATATAACCTTTGTGCACTCTTCTGTTTTACTTTAATATATCCTGTTAGTCACAAAGAAAAATTGATGAAGAATAAATATTTTGAATTTTGCATGATTAAAAATGTCTTCAAACAATCATCATATATGGTTGATGGTCTGAGCATAAAACATTTTGTCTCATAAATTTGAAAAATATTTTTATAGAAGTTTTTAGTGTCTTTTCTCCTTGGTGATCTGTAAAATGTTACAAGAATATGCCTTTGTGGGGATCTTTTTGCAGTCTCAGACACCTAGTGGATCCAGATCCTTTTAATCTGAAGACTCATGTCCTTTTCAGTTTTAAATAATTTCCTTATATCCGTATCTTTAATAATACTTCCTCTTCCATCGCCACCACCCCATCCTAACCCCAAGCACGCACTATTTTTTGTTCTCTTTCTAAGACTCTTACTAACCAAAAGTTGAACATTCCATATTTGAACCCTATGCCTCATTTCCTTGCTAACATTTCCATTACTTTCTCATTTGGGTCTACTTTCTGGGAGATTATTATCTTTTATCTCAATGGTTACATTTTAATCTGTAGAAGCTCTCTTTTATTGTGTAATAGTTTTCTTTGCATTACTTTCCTGTTCTTGGATTAAGATTAATAAAAAAATACTAATATCCTCTTTAAATTTCTATGAATATATTAACTATTTCAGATACAATGGAAAGGACACTGGCCTTGAGTCAGATATCTGGACCTTGATTATTTAATGTACCAAACAAGGATAATATTTACTATTCCACAGGATTATTTTGAATATTAAAAGAGATAATATATTTTAAGAGCCTTGTAAATTATGAAATATGTAAGTACAACATAAGAAAGATATTTAAATTATTATATATCCCTGCATGACAATGTTTCTGAGCATGGCAATTAAATGCTTTTACGAACCCACGTTTAGTTATTTCCTTCTATAATGTTCTATATACATAAAACTTCAACCACATCACACAATGAAACTTGTGGAGTTATTTTTTTGAGTCCTTTGCTGTCATTCCTCCAGGCCTTGCTTTTGTTAATGGAGCAGACACTGTCATATATACCCAATATTCATTTTCCACATCTTCAGTAATAAAATCCTGTTTTTAGCAAAACACATCATTTCCCCACTTCTCCACCTCTCTTGAGGTTGCTTCCAGAAATAAACAGAATCAGTGTACACAACTTTTGGTAAATGTTTGGAAATAAAGAGGGCATGCTCTTCTTCCCTACTATCCCTTTCCTTTCTGCTGGCTGGAATGCAGATATGATGAATGGAAATAATGTGGCCGTCTTAGAGCCTGAGCTGGAAGCCATGTATGGAATATGGTGGAGAAACAACATGGAGGGAACACCCTTGGCTCCTACCTCTGAGTACAGTACCCATGCTAGACTAACTATACCTAGATTTCTTTTATGGGAGCAAGAGACAGTTTCCTAGCTTGTCAGACCAATATAACTTGGGGTTTTCTACTACTCCATGATGAACCTAATCCTAATTAATATGCTGTTATAGTTTCTCAGCCTTTTGGTTAAGATCAGATATACTAAGACACTCCCCATCAGGACATGACAGTATTTACTCATCCTTTATGAGCCAATGAAAGCATCACCCTCTCTAGTAAGTCCTGCCTAATGAGACCTCCCCAATAGGATTTAATGTCTTTATTATAGAATATATTTTTCATGAGACAAAGGATCCTGTTTATTTTATTCACTAGTGTGTGCCTAGTGCCTTGAAAAATGTGTGGGCCATATTAAGCAGGTGTTTGTTTGTTTTTTGAGATGCAGTCTCGTTCTGTCACCAGGCTGGAGTGCAGTGGCATGATCTCGGCTCACTGTAAGCTCTCCCTCCCGGGTTCACGCCATTCTCCTGCCTCAGCCTCCCGAGTAGCTGGGACTACAGGCGCACGCCACCACGCCGGGCTAAATTGTTTGTATTTTTAGTAGAGACGGGGTTTCACCGTGTTAGCCAGGGTGGTCTCAATCTCCTGACCTCGTGATCCGCCTGCCTTGGCCTCCCAAAGTGCTGGGATTACAGGCACGAGCCACCACGCATGGCCTTAAGCAGTTAAATAGTTGTTAAGTATGCACAACTCTATAACCCTTAGGATTTTGTGGTTACCTCAGCTAAACCATAGATGCTTTTCCCAAGCCTCTCTCCCTACACAAATTGTAACCTCACTAGCGGGTAAAACCGTATATATGTATCACTTACTTTGCTCCTTAATATATGGTACATGACTGACAGTACTTATGAATTGAATAATTTAAATGAGAATAAGTGTAATGATATATAAAAAATTATTTTTAAAATAAAATTTACATAAAAGTATTACAATTTGAGATGAACTACATCAACACTTTTTCATCAAAAAATAGTGTTTTCTCTCCCCTGATTATAATGAGACAATTTAGTGACTGCTTTTATCAAACATAATAGAGCAAACCACAATCTGACTTGGAGCAATTTGCTGGACTTCCAAACCTCAGTTTTGTCATTAATAATATGAGGTTCATATCCACCACATTTGGCATCTTGGACTGTGCTTGATTAACACTTGTGCTCAGTAAGTGGTAGCTGCAATTCTTATAGTGACTAAGAAAAAGCATTATCTTTAAAATTTACTGATTTAAAGTTTTATATACATTCATTTATTCAATAGCTATTTGCTTGATCCCTACAATGTAACAGCAATCTAGATGCTGGGGACACAAGGTCCACCTTCCAGGAATATGGCCATGACACCAGAAATCACAAACATGATGAGAATGGAATGACTGGGGAAGAAGTGCCAGATGCTTCACTTGTAAATGAAGACCCAGCCTCTGGGGATGCAGATACCACCTCCCTGAAGAAGCTGAATATCTGCAGATAAGTGGAGTTCACCAATGATGAGGAGCGGGATGGAGAAAGGAGGTAGGGAGAGTCATCCAAGGAACATGAGCAACATGTTAAAAGGTAAGAAGTGAGACAATGGTGAGGTGGTGAAACTTAACAAGTCGGCCATGGCTGGGGGTGAGAGTGAGGGAGGGTGGTGGGAAATAAAGTTGCTGGGATAGGGAGAAGCCAGATGATGCAGCTTTTGCAGGACATGGTACAGATTTGGGAAAATATTGTAAGGTTTTGGGAGAGTATGAGGGATTTATGGGTCAGGTTTATATTACAAAGATTATTCTAAAAATATTAGGCCTCCCGAGGCACTCAAGCCTTTTACCTTGCAGTTTCTACTCACCCTTTGGGACTCAGCTCAAATGACATTTCCTCGGGGGTGCTCCCTGATACCCAGATTGTGCACCCTGTGATTCTCCTTCAGAGTATCACAAGTCGAATAAAATCGTTAATAATAGAAAAAATATCCTGTATGTAAATAGGCTACTTTAAAATGAAATCATTTCACATGTATTATATTTTCTATTTAAATAAATTCTACCATTAAATTTTTGAAACATATTTACCTCTTAACTATATGTCTAGTTAAGAAAGTCCAAGTCTTTGAAGATTTTATTTTGTTGTAATCAATACTTGTAAATATATGTGGATATATAAAAATGCACATAAATGACATAATTTTAAATGTAAAAGACCAATGTGTATATGTTTTTAACACATTTTTAGGGTAATAGGTACTAGTATTATTTTATTTTTTATTTTTTATTTTTTTGAGATGGAGTCTTGCTCTGTCTCCCAGGCTGGAGTGCAGTGGCGCAATCTTGGCTCACTGCAAGCTCCACCTCCCGGGTTCACGACATTCTCCTGCCTCAGCCTCCCGAGTAGCTGGGACTACAGGCGTCCGCCGCCACGCCTGGCTAATTTTTTTGTATTTTTAGTAGAGACAGGGTTTCACCGTGTTAGCCAGGATGGTCTCAATCTCTTGACCTCGTGATCCACCTGCCTCGGCCTCCCAAAGTGGTGGGATTACAGGCTTGAGCCACCGTGCCCGGCTTATTATTTTAAATTATAACTTGTTCTATTTGAAGCAAGGAACTGAATACACTTATAAACCATTTATTTAATGATGTACATTTCAAATATTATCAAATTTAATCAACACTTTTAAGAATAAAAATAGTTTATTGAGTTTTTCTGCTTACAATTATGGTAGTCATGCAAAAATCCATGTATTCCCTTCTCTGGTTATCAAATCTAACATTTCTTTCAAATATTGACCAATCTATTGTGAACAACATGTTTTTCCCATATATAAGGCAAACCAACTGATTGTTTTTATTAGCAACAAAGGTCATGGGAAAAAAACAGAAAAAGCCTGACATATTAATCCTAAAATGGCAAAGCGTGTGTAAATGTAAAGTAAAAGGTTATGTAAATGAAGGAGGTTAAGACCTAAAAGGTTATGACACAGTTGGATCATTCTCATTACAGAAACATTAACATAGATGAGTACAATCTGCAGGCCAGCTAAATCTAAATTGCACGACTGCACCCAAGGGAACTGAAACAATTTCCATAGTTTCCTTAAACATAGAGCTAAACAATTTAAGTTTGAGAGAGTTGCTAAGTTATTTAGAAGAACTATTTAATCTTTAACAGTAAAATATTAAACCAAAGAGATTTTGTGATCTAGTACTTATTTCTAGAGAGTAATAAATTTATTATTCACATATTCTGAATGAGCTTGCATCAATCACTACAAGACATTCAATCAAATTCATCTTGAAAAATGAAATGGCAAATGCATTTAAATTCAAGAAAGCCAATTTAGAGCAATTGACTATAATTAAGAATGTTCACTGGGATGAGGTCTACTAGATTCGTGAATATATAAAAAGGAGCCTTGAAAACACTAAAAGTTAAATACCAGGATTAGGATGTGAACATTCAACTGAAAAGAATAAGATTGGAAAAACGGTTGTGTGAATGCATGAGTAAGTGAGCGAGAATGCATGGGTGTGTATGGGCGTATGTATGCCTCCACATTTATAGAACCACAGTTAAGGTTTCTGAAAGGAGGAACTGGGATTCTTCCTCCCTCTTTAGCTTCACCCATTGTCATGATCAGAGAGTAGTATATTCCTTGTCCTTTCTCCTCCGATAAAATAAGAACTTGGCATCTTGTGAGTTTATACCTTAATTATGGAAAACTTACTAGAGAGTCTTTGGATTAAGAAGAGTACACCCTGTAGATATGATATCAAGCAAATTCACTTTCTGAAACCAAGCTTTTAGGAGAAGCAGAAGGTTCCCTGGCACCCTCTTGAGTGGCTACTATCTGAGCAAAAAGAATTAAAAGTTATCAGCCTTGAAACTACCAGACAGTCGATCCAGAACAAACTGTGCCTGCTTATGAAGCAAGGCTTTTTCACCCTTAGTTGGAAGTTCCAAAAGATAGAGCTTCTTTAAGTGCAGTTAAATTCATACTCTGAGCTTACTATAGTTCCAGCAACACCTTCAAATGGCTCCTCCCCAAAGAGTATCACATTAATGTTGCTGGCAGGCACAGTTGCCAATTTAATTAATACTTTTGAGTGCACAATCTTCAAAAGAGTAGTTCTAAATTTAACCAAAAACACTTGCCATGATTTTAAAAATCAACACATTTGGTTTCCTTCACTCCTCCAACAACTGTAATTGAATCACTGCCAAATACAGAACACTGGGGTAGGTGCCTCAGGAATGTGCAGCCACTTACAAGAGTTGGGGGGTGGGGGTGGGAAATACAGTCAACTAAAACAAGGCAGAGTGTAGTGAATGCCAAAAGTTGGATTCGAAGGCTATGAGTGCGAGGTGAAGGCAAAGAACATAGTCCTACATCTCTTTCCCTCCACTACTACAATCTACTTCCAAAGACCTGTCCCACTATCCCTCAACATCCAACAATTCACTTCTTTTCTGCCCAGCCTAAATTCCAGCGGAATTCAGTTTCTCTCCACCTTCAAATTCTTTTTTTTTTAATATTTGCCTGCTATATATTTTTTCATTCTTTTTTTTTATTATACTTTAAGTTTTAGGGTACATGTGCGCAATGTGCAGGTTAGTTACATATCTATACATGTGACATGCTGGTGCGCTGCACCCACTAACTCGTCATCTAACATTAGGTATATCTCCCAGTGCTATCCCTGCCCCCACCCCACAACAGTCCCCAGAGTGTGATATTCCCCTTCCTGTGTCCATGTGTTCTCATTGTTCAATTACCACCTATGAGTGAGAATATGCAGTGTTTGGTTTTTTGTTCTTGCGATAGTTTACTGAGAATGATGATTTCCAATTTCATCCATGTCCCTACAAAGGACATGAACTCATCATTTTTATGGCTGCATAGTATTCCATGGTGTATATGTGCCACATTTTCTTAATCCAGTCTATCATTGTTGGACATTTGGGTTGGTTCCAAGTCTTTGCTATTGTGAATAGTGCCTCAATAAACATACGTGTGCGTGTGTCTTTATAGCAGCATGATTTATAGTCCTTTAGGTATATACCCAGCAATGGGATGGCTGGGTCAAATGGTATTTCTAGTTCTAGATCCCTGAGGAATCGCCACACTGACTTCCACAATGGTTGAACTAGTTTACAGTCCCACCAACAGTGTAAAAGTGTTCCTATTTCTCCACATCCTCTCCAGCACCTGTTGTTTCCTGACTTTTTAATGATTGCCATTCTAACTGGTGTGAGATGATATCTCATTGTGGTTTTGATTTGCGTTTCTCTGATGGCCAGTGATGGTGAGCATTTTTTCATGTGTTTTTTGGCTGCATAAATGTCTTCTTTTGAGATGTGTCTGTTCATGTCCTTTGCCCACTTTTTGATGGGGTTCTTTGTTTTTTTCTTGTAAATTTGTTTGAGTTCATTGTAGACTCTGGATATTAGCCCTTTGTCAGATGATTAGGTTGCGAAAATTTTCTCCCATTTTGTGGGTTGCCTGTTCACTCTGATGGTAGTTTCTTTTGCTGTGCAGAAGCTCTTTAGTTTAATTAGATCCTATTTGTGAATTTTGGCTTTTGTTGCCATTGCTTTTGGTGCTTTAGATATGAAGTCCTTGCCCATGCCTATGTACTGAATGTTAATGCCTAGGTTTTCTTCTAGGGTTTTTATGGTTTTAGGTCTAACGTTTAAGTTTTTAATCCATCTTGAATTGATTTTTCTATAAGGTGTAAGGAAGGGATCCAGTTTCAGCTTTCTACATATGGCTAGCCAGTTTTCCCAGCACCATTTATTAAATAGGGAATCCTTTCCCCATTGCTTGTTTTTCTCAGGTTTGTCAAAGATCAGATAGTTGTAGACATGCAGCGTTATTTCTGAGGGCTCTGTTCTGTACCATTGATCTACATCTCTGTTTTGGTACCAGTGCAAGGCTGGTTCAATATACGCAAATCAATAAATGTAATCCAGCATATAAACAGAACCAAAGACAAAAACCACATGAGTATCTTGATAGATGCAGAAAAGGCCTTTGACAAAATTCAACAACGCTTCATGCTAAAAACTCTCGATAAATTAGGTATCGATGGGATGTATCTCAAAATGATAAGAGCTATCTATGACAAACCCACAGCCAATATCATACTGAATGGGTAAAAACTAGAAGCGTTCCCTTTGAAAACTGGCACAAGACAGGGATGCCCTCTCTCACCACTCCTATTCAACATAGTGTTGGAAGTTCTGGCCAGGGCAATTAGGCAGGAGAAGGAAATAAAGGGTATTCAATTAGGAAAAGAGGAAGTCAAATTGTCCTTATTTGCAGACAACATGATTGTATATCTAGAAAACCCCATTGTCTCAGCCCAAAATCTCCTTAAGCTGATAAGCAACTTCAGCAAAGTCTCAGGATACAAAATCAATGTACAAAAATCACAAGCATTCTTATACACCAATAACAGACAAACAGCCAAATCATGAGTGAAATCCCATTCACAATTACTTCAAAGAGAATAAAATACCTAGGAATCCACCTTACAAGGGACGTGAAGGACCTCTTCAAGGAGAACTACAAACCACTGCTCAATGAAATTAAAGAGGATACAAACAAATGGAAGAACATTCCATGCTCATGGGTAGGAAGAATCAATATCGTGAAAATGGCCATACTGCCCAAGGTAATTTATAGATTCAATGGCATCCCCATCAAGCTACCAATGACTTTCTTCACAGAATTGGAAAAAACTACTTTAAAGTTCATATGGAACCAAAAAAGAGCCCGCATTGCCAGGTCAATCCTAAGCCAAAAGAACAAAGCTGGAGGCATCATGCTACCTGACTTCAAACTATACCACAAGTCTACAGTAACCAAAACACCTTCAAATTCTTAACCAAAGTCTTTTAACTATACCCACTCTGCAAATTCTCAGAGAGAGCATTCCAAACTTTCAGTGCCTCTATTCCTAAAAATACATATTCTTGATGAAAAACCCCATGCAATTTTAGAGAATGATGCCAAATTTACAAATTTAAGATGTCTAACATCAAAGAAGCCTTCAGGCAACCTGTTAATCCTTTGACTTTCCTCAGCAATTCTCTCTCTCTCATTCTCTTCATCAAATACCCAGAACTTCCAATATTCTCTGCAAATTCACCATTTCTCACTCTCAACAGATATAGCCTGAGAAAAACAGAATGAAAATTAAGGTCACAAAGTGTAAACTCCCTCGGTGTTCGGTTTTCATACATGCTTCCACAGGCTATTTTTCTCGTGCCTCCTACCCAAGTCTAATTTTCCCTCAGTGCTCTAGAGCTCAACCAAACTGCAACACCTGCCTTCAGCAACTTTTAGTCCTTTTAATCCTCAATTGGTTCTTTTCATTGCCCTTTTTTCCATTCAGCCTGCATACATGTGCAACACTCTCCCTTCTTTGCAAATATCTTTCTATAACTGTGTGCCCCTCTATCTCTTTACATCACTTCACTGATGTCTGGCATCACTGTGTTTTACTGATTTTAAAAGTTCATTGTAGAATATTTGAAAAATGAAGAAATGTATGATAAAAGTTGCTGCAATGCCATGGTCCAGAGATAACTATTTTGGTTAACTTTTTAACAAATTTATGTATTCTTTCTAGCATTTCATTCTATTTATGTATATGTGTGAGCTAGTCTATTTTCTATCAGATTTTAGCTGAGGTATAATATAGCTTAAATCCTTTTTTTTTTTTTTTAATTTTTTTTTTTATTATACTCTAAGTTTTAGGGTACATGTGCACATTGTGCAGTTTAGTTACATATGTATACATGTGCCATGCTGGTGCGCTGCACCCACTAACGTGTCATCTAGCATTAGGTATATCTCCCAATGCTATCCCTCCCCCCTCCCCCGACCCCACCACAGTCCCCAGAGTGTGATATTCCCCTTCCTGTGTCCATGTGATCTCATTGTTCAATTCCCACCTATCAGTGAGAATATGCGGTGTTTGGTTTTTTGTTCTTGCGATAGTTTACTGAGAATGATGGTTTCCAATTTCATCCATGTCCCTACAAAGGACATGAACTCATCATTTTTTATGGCTGCATAGTATTCCATGGTGTATATGTGCCACATTTTCTTAATCCAGTCTATCATTGTTGGACATTTGGGTTGGTTCCAAGTCTTTGCTATTGTGAATAGTGCCGCAATAAACATACGTGTGCATGTGTCTTTATAGCAGCATGATTTATAGTCCTTTGGGTATATACCCAGTAATGGGATGGCTGGGTCAAATGGTATTTCTAGTTCTAGATCCCTGAGGAATCGCCACACTGACTTCCACAATGGTTGAACTAGTTTACAGTCCCACCAACAGTGTAAAAGTGTTCCTATTTCTCCACATCCTCTCCAGCACCTGTTGTTTCCTGACTTTTTAATGATTGCCATTCTAACTGGTGTGAGATGATATCTCATAGTGGTTTTGATTTGCATTTCTCTGATGGCCAGTGATGATGAGCATTTCTTCATGTGTTTTTTGGCTGCATAAATGTCTTCTTTTGAGAAGTGTCTGTTCATGTCCTTCGCCCACTTTTTGATGGGGTTGTTTGTTTTTTTCTTGTAAATTTGTTTGAGTTCATTGTAGATTCTGGATATTAGCCCTTTGTCAGATGAGTAGGTTGCGAAAATTTTCTCCCACGTTGTAGGTTGCCTGTTCACTCTGATGGTAGTTTCTTTTGCTGTGCAGAAGCTCTTTAGTTTAATTAGATCCCATTTGTCAATTTTGGCTTTTGTTGCCATTGCTTTTGGTGTTTTGGACATGAAGTCCTTGCCCACGCCTATGTCCTGAATGGTAATGCCTAGGTTTTCTTCTAGGGTTTTTATGGTTTTAGGTCTAACGTTTAAATCTTTAATCCATCTTGAATTGATTTTTGTATAAGGTGTAAGGAAGGGATCCAGTTTCAGCTTTCTACATATGGCTAGCCAGTTTTCCCAGCACCATTTATTAAATAGGGAATCCTTTCCCCATTGCTTGTTTTTCTCAGGTTTGTCAAAGATCAGATAGTTGTAGATATGCAGCATTATTTCTGAGGGCTCTGTTCTGTTCCATTGATCTATATCTCTGTTTTGGTACCAGTACCATGCTGTTTTGGTTACTGTAGCCTTGTAGTATAGTTTGAAGTCAGGTAGTGTGATGCCTCCAGCTTTGTTCTTTTGGCTTAGGATTGACTTGGTGATGGGGGCTCTTTTTTGGTTCCATATGAACTTTAAAGTAGTTTTTTCCAATTCTGTGAAGAAAGTCATTGGTAGCTTGATGGGGATGGCATTGAATCTGTAAATTACCTTGGGCAGTATGGCCATTTTCACGATATTGATTCTTCCTACCCATGAGCATGGAATGTTCTTCCATTTGTTTGTGTCCTCTTTTATTTCCTTGAGCAGTGGTTTGTAGTTCTCCTTGAAGAGGTCCTTCACATCCCTTGTAAGTTGGATTCCTAGGTATTTTATTCTCTTTGAAGCAATTGTGAATGGGAGTTCACTCATGATTTGGCTCTCTGTTTGTCTGTTGTTGGTGTATAAGAATGCTTGTGATTTTTGTACATTGATTTTGTATCCTGAGACTTTGCTGAAGTTGCTTATCAGCTTAAGGAGATTTTGGGCTGAGACGATGGGGTTTTCTAGATAAACAATCATGTCGTCTGCAAACAGGGACAATTTGACTTCCTCTTTTCCTAATTGAATACCCTTTATTTCCTTCTCCTGCCTGATTGCCCTGGCCAGAACTTCCAACACTATGTTGAATAGGAGTGGTGAGAGAGGGCATCCCTGTCTTGTGCCAGTTTTCAAAGGGAATACTTCCAGTTTTTGCCCATTCAGTATGATATTGGCTGTGGGTTTGTCATAGACAGCTCTTATTATTTTGAAATACGTCCCATCAATACCTAATTTATTGAGAGTTTTTAGCATGAAGGGTTGTTGAATTTTGTCAAAGGCTTTTTCTGCATCTATTGAGATAATCATGTGGTTTTTGTCTTTGGCTCTGTTTATATGCTGGATTACATTTATTGATTTGCATATGTTGAACCAGCCTTGCATCCCAGGGATGAAGCCCACTTGATCATGGTGGATAAGCTTTTTGATGTGCTGCTGGATTCGGTTTGCCAGTATTTTATTGAGGATTTTTGCATCAATGTTCATCAAGGATATTGGTCTAAAATTCTCTTTTTTGGTTGTGTCTCTGCCCGGCTTTGGTATCAGAATGATGCTGGCCTCATAAAATGAGTTAGGGAGGATTCCCTCTTTTTCTATTGATTGGAATAGTTTCAGAAGGAATGGTACCAGTTCCTCCTTGTACCTCTGGTAGAATTCGGCTGTGAATCCATCTGGTCCTGGACTCTTTTTGGTTGGTAAACTATTGATTATTGCCACAATTTCAGAGCCTGTTATTGGTCTATTCAGAGATTCAACTTCTTCCTGGTTTAGTCTTGGGAGAGTGTATGTGTCAAGGAATGTATCCATTTCTTCTAGATTTTCTAGTTTATTTGCGTAGAGGTGTTTGTAGTATTCTCTGATGGTAGTTTGTATTTCTGTGGGATCGGTGGTGATATCCCCTTTATCATTTTTTATTGTGTCTATTTGATTCTTCTCTCTTTTTTTCTTTATTAGTCTTGCTAGCGGTCTATCAATTTTGTTGATCCTTTCAAAAAACCAGCTCCTGGATTCATTGATTTTTTGAAGGGTTTTTTGTGTCTCTATTTCCTTCAGTTCTGCTCTGATTTTAGTTATTTCTTGCCTTCTGCTAGCTTTTGAATGTGTTTGCTCTTGCTTTTCTAGTTCTTTTAATTGTGATGTTAGGGTGTCAATTTTGGATCTTTCCTGCTTTCTCTTGTAGGCATTTAGTGCTATAAATTTCCCTCTACACACTGCTTTGAATGCGTCCCAGAGATTCTGGTATGTGGTGTCTTTGTTCTCGTTGGTTTCAAAGAACATCTTTATTTCTGCCTTCATTTCGTTATGTACCCAGTAGTCATTCAGGAGCAGGTTGTTCAGTTTCCATGTAGTTGAGCGGTTTTGAGTGAGATTCTTAATCCTGAGTTCTAGTTTGATTGCACTGTGGTCTGAGAGATAGTTTGTTATAATTTCTGTTCTTTTACATTTGCTGAGGAGAGCTTTACTTCCAACTATGTGGTCAATTTTGGAATAGGTGTGGTGTGGTGCTGAAAAAAATGTATATTCTGTTGATTTGGGGTGGAGAGTTCTGTAGATGTCTATTAGGTCTGCTTGGTGCAGAGCTGAGTTCAATTCCTGGGTATCCTTGTTGACTTTCTGTCTCGTTGATCTGTCTAATGTTGACAGTGGGGTGTTAAAGTCTCCCATTATTAATGTGTGGGAGTCTAAGTCTCTTTGTAGGTCACTCAGGACTTGCTTTATGAATCTGGGTGCTCCTGTATTGGGTGCATAAATATTTAGGATAGTTAGCTCCTCTTGTTGAATTGATCCCTTTACCATTATGTAATGGCCTTCTTTGTCTCTTTTGATCTTTGTTGGTTTAAAGTCTGTTTTATCAGAGACTAGGATTGCAACCCCTGCCTTTTTTTGTTTTCCATTGGCTTGGTAGATCTTCCTCCATCCTTTTATTTTGAGCCTATGTGTGTCTCTGCACGTGAGATGGGTTTCCTGAATACAGCACACTGATGGGTCTTGACTCTTTATCCAACTTGCCAGTCTGTGTCTTTTAATTGCAGAATTTAGTCCATTTATATTTAAAGTTAATATTGTTATGTGTGAATTTGATCCTGTCATTATGATGTTAGCTGGTGATTTTGCTCATTAGTTGATGCAGTTTCTTCCTAGTCTCGATGGTCTTTACATTTTGGCATGATTTTGCAGCGGCTGGTACCGGTTGTTCCTTTCCATGTTTAGCGCTTCCTTCAGGAGCTCTTTTAGGGCAGGCCTGGTGGTGACAAAATCTCTCAGCATTTGCTTGTCTATAAAGTATTTTATTTCTCCTTCACTTATGAAGCTTAGTTTGGCTGGATATGAAATTCTGGGTTGAAAATTCTTTTCTTTAAGAATGTTGAATATTGGCCCCCACTCTCTTCTGGCTTGTAGGGTTTCTGCCGAGAGATCCGCTGTTAGTCTGATGGGCTTTCCTTTGAGGGTAACCCGACCTTTCTCTCTGGCTGCCCTTAACATTTTTTCCTTCATTTCAACTTTGGTGAATCTGACAATTATGTGTCTTGGAGTTGCTCTTCTCGAGGAGTATCTTTGTGGCGTTCTCTGTATTTCCTGAATCTGAACGTTGGCCTGCCTTGCTAGATTGGGGAAGTTCTCCTGGATAATATCCTGCAGAGTGTTTTCCAACTTGGTTCCATTCTCCACATCACTTTCAGGTACACCAATCAGACGTAGATTTGGTCTTTTCACATAGTCCCATATTTCTTGGAGGCTTTGCTCATTTCTTTTTATTCTTTTTTCTCTAAACTTCCCTTCTCACTTCATTTCATTCATTTCATCTTCCATTGCTGATACCCTTTCTTCCAGTTGATCGCATCGGCTCCTGAGGCTTCTGCATTCTTCACATAGTTCTTGAGCCTTGGTTTTCAGCTCCATCAGCTCCTTTAAGCACTTCTCTGTATTGGTTATTCTAGTTATACATTCTTCTAAATTTTTTTCAAAGTTTTCAACTTCTTTGCCTTTGGTTTGAATGTCCTCCCGTAGCTCAGAGTAATTTGATCGTCTGAAGCCTTCTTCTCTCAGCTCGTCAAAATCATTCTCCATCCAGCTTTGTTCTGTTGCTGGTGAGGAGCTGAGTTCCTTTGGAGGAGGAGAGGCGCTCTGCGTTTTAGAGTTTCCAGTTTTTCTGTTCTGTTTTTTCCCCATCTTTGTGGTTTTATCTACTTTTGGTCTTTGATGATGGTGATGTACAGATGGGTTTTCAGTGTAGATGTCCTTTCTGGTTGTTAGTTTTCCTTCTAACAGACAGACCCTCAGCTGCAGGTCTGTTGGAATACCCTGCTGTGTGAGGTGTCAGTGTGCCCCTGCTGGGGGGTGCCTCCCAGTTAGGCTGCTCGGGGGTCAGGGGTCAGGGACCCACTTGAGGAGGCAGTCTGCCCGTTCTCAGATCTCCAGCTGCGTGCTGGGAGACCCACTGCTCTCTTCAAAGCTGTCAGACAGGGACACTTAAGCCTGCAGAGGTTACTGCTGTCTTTTTGTTTGTCTGTGCCCTGCCCCCAGAGGTGGAGCCTACAGAGGCAGGCAGGCCTCCTTGAGCTGTGGTGGGCTCCACCCAGTTCGAGCTTCCCGGCTGCTTTGTTTACCTAAGCAAGCCTGGGCAATGGCGGGCGCCCCTCCCCCAGCCTCGTTGCCGCCTTGCAGTTTGATCTCAGACTGCTGTGCTAGCAATCAGCGCGATTCCGTGGGCGTAGGACCCTCTGAGCCAGGTGTGGGATATAGTCTCGTGGTGCGCCGTTTCTTAAGCAGGTCTGAAAAGCGCAATATTTGGGTGGGAGTGACCCGATTATCCAGGTGCGTCCGTCACCCCTTTCTTTGACTCGGAAAGGGAACTCCCTGACCCCTTGCGCTTCCCAGGTGAGGCAATGCCTCGCCCTGCTTTGGCTCGCGCACGGTGCGCGCACACACTGGCCTGCGCCCACTGTCTGGCACTCCCTAGTGAGATGAACCCGGTACCTCAGATGGAAATGCAGAAATCACCCGTCTTCTGCGTCGCTCACGCTGGGAGCTGTAGACCGGAGCTGTTCCTATTCGGCCATCTTGGCTCCTCCTCTAATATAGCTTAAATCCTAATGTTTTCACTTTATTATATCAAGAGTATTGTTTGTCACAAAATATTTCTTTAAAAATAATTTTCATGGCTGTTAGGCGATAGCTTACATTATTTTTCCACACTGTACTATTAACAATATTTTATATTTGTCAGCTTAATAGTCATATAAGTACATATTTATTTACATTTGTATTACTTTGGTTATTGGAGAATTGGATATTATTTTATCTATATTTACTGGTTATTTTATCTTCTTTTATGAAATATCTTGATAATTTTTGCCTGCTTTTCTATTTACTTATGAGTCTATCCATATTAAAAGTATTAACCTTTTTATGTGTGTACTAATAATATTCCCACTTACTATATGTCTTTTATTTATGGTGTTATTTTACATACAATGCTTTTCTATTTAAATTCTCAAATTTTTTAGATTTATTCTATCGCTTTTATGTGCTGTAAATCATTCTTCTTCCAGAAAATCTACATGATTTTCTGTTTTATGTAGTCTTCAATTGTTTACACTTAACTCTTTCACACCCCTGTAATTTATTCTGAATTACAGTATGGGGTGTAGATCCATTTAACTTGATAGTTTTCATAGTAGATAACAATGATGTCAGCAGCATTTATTGTCATTCCTGTCTCCTCTGATCTGTGATGTCACCTTCACTACATATTCTATTAGGCTATACTGTATCCCTTTCTTGCTCCTCTGCTGCTTTCCTCACTACCTCAGACCTATACACACTGATTTCCACTCTCCCTTATTAACAAGCTTCTAGTGCTTATAATGGGAAGGGCTAGTAGGGAGAAGAGAGTAGTGAAGGTATTTCTCCCATCTTTCTGCCTCAGGTGATACCTTAGGTAGAGGTTGCACTTTTTCTCTGATTCTTGTCCCTGCTTGGACAGGCCCACCATGATTCTACCTTCCACAAGATGACCCAAGCCTCTGGGCTGTAGGAATTCTACATTCACCCTGTGTTCTTCTAGCTAGAGGTAAAGCAGCAGCCTACTGTTGTTCATGTTTGGGTGGCTTCTCAGTCTCTTCTCACCTGTGGAACTCATTACCTGCATTAAGTTTTCTCTGCTTTCAATATTCAGTTTAGCCGGGCGCGATGGCTCATGCCTGTAATCCAGCACTTTGCGAGGCGGAGGTGGGTGGATCACCTTAGGTCAAGAGATCGAGACCAGCCCGGCCAACCTGGTGAAACCCTGTCTCTACTAAAAATACAAACTATTAGCCAGACGTGGTGGTGGGCACCTGTAATCCCAGCTATCTGAGAGGCTGAGGCAGGAGAATCACTTAAACCGGGGAGGTGGAGGTTGCAGTGAACTGAGATTGTGCCACTGCACTCCAGTCTGGGCAACAGAGCAAGACTCTGTCTCAAAAAAAAAAAAAAAAAAAAGAAGAAGAAGAAAAAATTCAGTTTAATTTCAGATTTCCTGTTTGAAACATAATGTTTCTTTTTCATTGGTGTGTAGGTTATTTTCTGTATCAGGGCTATAATTTTAATGATTGTAACCTATATAAAATAATGTTATTAATCCTTTTAAAAATGTCATTTTCTAATTTTGTTTTAGTAAAACTAATTTTTCCAAGTGAATTTTAAAATTATTTTGTCATTTTTAACACTTTATGCCATTAATATGCTTATGGACAAACATTGAGTAAACATAAGTATATATATTTATTGAAGAGTTAATTACACTAGTAAAAAATGGAAAACAATATTAAATAAATGACAATATATTTATATAATGGGACACCCTAAGTCTTTAAAAATATGGAACACACACTGCTATGAGAGTATGAATTGCTACACTACAATTAATTGGAAAACTCTTTGGCAGTATCTACTAAAACTAAATATATAGATGCCCTATCACCCAGCAATTTTACTTCTAGGTATATGCCCGACAGAAACATGTGCATATGTTCACAAAAAGGCATGTACAAGAATGTTCCCAGCAGCTCTATTTATATTTTCAGTCTGGATACAACCCAAATATCCACTAAAAGAGAAATCTATAAGTTATATTATATTCATGTAATGTAACATCACAATGGAGAGAAAAAACAAACTATAAAATGACTCTCATAAATGTAATGTTGACTATAAGAAACCAGACACAAAAATAACACTGCATTATTATTCCATCTGTATAAAGTTCAAAAATGGGCAATGCTAAAAAAAAAAGTCACAATGATGGTAACCTTTTGGAGACTATAATTAGAAAGGAGCATGAGGAAAGGATGATTTCCAAACTTCTTTGTATGTATGATAGGTTTTCCTTGTAGAAGTTTAAAAATGTATAAGGTAGATCCATATGTATTGATGCAGAAAGATATCCAAGTTATGCTGCTAAGTTAAATAAAATAGTTGCTGAAGAGTATGTAAAGAAAGAGGCCATATGTGTAAAAAAAGCATATATGTGCGTGGGGGTATAAATATATATTCATGTGTGAATATACACACATATATACATACACACATACAAGAAAGGGAGAGTAAGAGAAAGAGAGACTTCATTTGATTCTTTCTCCACAAAGATGAGCTACTTTTATACTTTTTAAAAAGAAAATGTTAGTAAAACCTCAGTGGAATATTTGGTTAATTTGCATTAAAACAATAAACTGATTTAGGAAAATATTTCTACCTTATCATACTGTTTTTCTGGCCTGAAATATGCTATGTCTCACCATTTGTTCAATTCTTCTTTTATATCATTCACTTAAGATTTTTAACTTTCTTCCAATAAGCCCTATATGGCTCTTGAGAGATTATTCCAGTGTATTATTTCTTTATTATTCCTCTTGTGAATTATGTTGTTTTATATCTAATTTCCTCAAAAGAGAAATTTAACATTTTCTCTACTTATCTATTTTCCATTCGTTTCTAACCTGCTCAACCCTGATGAAGCTGTTCTAGCAGAGATTATCGGTTGCCAAGTATAACAGATGGCTTCCTTTTTTCAGCATGACAGCTTTAGACAGTTATTAATTCATTAATTCAACAAATATTTGTTGATCACTTGATATATGCTAGTCACAGTGCCATACACTGTAGGTGTAAAGGTGAAAACAAGCTCTACACTCATACTGCTTATATCTTAATGGAGCAAACAATAAACGGGAGCTTACAACACATTATACTATGTGCTGAAACAGAAAAACACCAGATTCTGTGAATATACATCAGAGAGGCATCCAATCCAGGCTTGAGTTAATAGGAAACACTTCCGAGCACAGATGCTGTGTAATTGAAACCTGGGTCTTATGAGGTAAAGATAAGAATGAAGAACATTCTAGACATGGATAAAATTATCTCAAAATCTGATGAAGGTCAGAATCAAGAGCAATAACAGCATTTTTTAGCATATTTAAAGAAATGTCAGTAATTCAATATAGCTAAATTATAGAACTTGAGAAAGGTAATTGTAGAAAATTAGGTGAAAATATTAAGTAGAGAGCAGATGACAGGGTCTCATGGCCTTTTTTTTTTTTTTTTTTTTTTTTTTTTTTTTTTTTTTTGAGACAGAGTCTCACTCTGTCTCCCAGGCTGGATGTGCAGTGGTGCAATCTCAGTTCACTGCTCACTGCAACCTCCGCCTCCTGGGTTCAAACTATTCTCCTGCCTCAGCCTCCTGAGTAGTTGGGGTTACAGGTACATGCCACCATGCCTAGCTAAGTTTTGTATTTTTAGCAGAGACAGGGTTTCACCATGTTGGCCAGGCTGGCCTCGAACTCCTGACCTTAGGTGATCCACCCTCCTAGGTCTCTCAAAGTGCTGGAATTACGGTGTGAGCCACTGCGCCCGGCCCTTAGTAGCATCTTTTAATGGAGGTAGAGTTGAGATTTCAGTGACTAACAACTAAAGGTATTAAAGGTAGGGGTTTATATGATACATTTGCATTTTAGAAAACTGATCTAAGCTTCAATGTGAAGAACAGATTGAAATGGAAGGGGGAGAAGACTAGAAGCAGAAACATTACTCATTTAAGTAATCTGGACCATGAAACTGAAAAAAAGTATAGGGACTCCAAAAGTCATAAAGAAGTGAAAGCAAGATTTGGCAATTAACTGCTAGGACAGGGAAGAGTTGAGGGGAGTCAAAGAGGAAAGCAAGGTTTCTGAGCTGGCAAACAGTGAATTGTAGCTCTGTTCACTGAATGAGGCAAACAAGAGAGAGCAATTTTGAAAGGATAGAGAGTGATGTGATGGTGAGTTTAGTTTGAGACATGTGGAGTTTGAGATGCTTGTGCGACACAGTGGGAGGCCATAGTATGTACGGGACTTGTCTCCAGGAGACATGTCTGGGAAGAAGAGCTAGACTGGAGAAACATGAGCATGTTCAGGTGAAAACATGTGAGTGGATAAGAGCAAGAGGGTGAGAACACAGACCAAGGGGCTAAGGGACAGACTGTGTTCAGTATTTGGGTATGGAACTTGTTTTTGCTACTTGCTAGTTCTAAGACCAGGCTCAGACTCTAACTTCTCTGTAATGTGGGAATAATGACAGCACTTACCTTATAAGATTTTACAAAGATTAAAATATCATATATAACAGCACTTAACACAAGTAAGAATTCAGTAAATGTTGACTGTTATTACTATTGTCTGGGTCGTTATAAGTTTGAAGACACAATTGCATAAACTGTCATCATTAAAAGGAAAACAGAGAAAAGTAGTTCTGGAAGGAGTCTGAGAGGCATTGCCAGAAGGTTAGGGGGAAAATCAGGATAAAGTAATGTTCCATAGGCCAAATGTGGGGGCTGGGGGAGGTGTAGGATTTCAAGAAGACAAAGTAGACAACAGTTTACAATGCAGTAATAGAGGCAAGTAAAATAAGGATTTATTGCATCAAACTATCTTAATGAGCATATACTCATTGGTGTTCTAGAAACAAAAGCCAAAGTACTTTAGGCTGAGAAATAAATAGAAGGTGAGAAAAAAGAACAGTCTTTATAGTCAGTAAGAGTGAAAAGAGAAAGATGGTAGTTGGGGAAAGACAGATGGGGAGAAAGGTTGGCTGGTTGTTAATAAAACAGTAGAGGATGAGCATGTATTATAAATGCTGGTGGGAAGAAACCTTGTGGCAAGGAGGGTGGTAGTGTTGGAGAAGAAAGAGAGGATATAGTAGAAAGTTAAAGAGGAACTGGAAGCAGGTGGGATCCAGGACATAGGAAGGGGAAGAGCCTTGGGCAGAGGTGAGACATCTGCAGGAGGGAAGGAACTGAGAGAAGGGAAGGTGTGCAAATGTGGCAGGAGGAGTTTGAGTAAAGTTCCATCTGATATCCTCTATTTTCTCTGTAAATCATTCTGAATGAAGTATGAGACAAAGAGATCAAAGGCTTGAGAAAAAAGAAAATTTGAAAAAAAAAAAGTACTGTGGACATTGAAAGAAGAAAACAATAGGAGATATTTAGAAAATTTTCCAGGCAGCTGTCAGGACCTGGTTATTGTTGAAACTGGTCAGACTATCAGTCTATGGGTTAATTTTCTCCAGCATTATTTAGTAGCTCCAGAAGGAGAATGGATAAAGTAGGCATTGAAATAGGCTTAAACTTTGGTTCTGCTGGTGGATTCAAGAAAAGGGAAAAATTGGAAGAGTTGAGAGAATGGGCAAGAAGGAGGTCCAAACGCTGGAGCATGAACAGAGAAAAAAGACAGAAGAAAGAGGGGGTGTGGATAAAAACAAAGGGAGCAAAAAATTGTAGATCCTGATGAGGTTGAGGAATAGTGGTTGTAAAAACTAGAAGGATAAGAGTTTGTGATCCAAAAGCAGGTTGTAAATATTTCAGAAAAGGAGCACTTTCTGAAGAAAACATGGTCTGGGTTGGAGGTATGGAAGTGGCTATCTAAAATGGAATGAATTTGAAGATCATTGGCTTAGAAAAAGCCAAGCCAACAAGAAACTAAGCTGTTCACTAGAAAGTGCAATGACCACTGAAGTTATCCTAGTTAATGACAGGAATAGGGATAAAAAAGAAAGACACATTCGGTGCCGAAATATATAATAAATGAGATGTAGTGACTAGAAAGTTTATGACAGCAAGAAAGCCGTAAAGGATGAAACTGTAAACGTGTTATGAATCTCAAAGGAGAAGAGAAGATGTGGAGTTATGTGTCCAGATGCAGAATTGAGGCAAGAGAATCTTGACCCTCCCAGCTTGGTGGAAAAATAGGTGGCACCTACTTAAGACAGCTGCTATAAAAGCCCATTGTCATCACAGACTAGGGTGTGACATCAATAGTTTATGAAGCGACTAAGGATATAGAAGAGGGACATCAGATAAAATAGGCATCACAGAAGGTGGCTTAAAAAGGTTTTGGATGTAATGGGGAAGGCATATGATGGGGCAGAGGAGAAAAAGCCTTTCAATGCAAGGATGAGAATATGGACACAATACACAGTGGGGAGTGTTTAAATTGGAAATGGTGACCATGAAGGACAGGAATGTGAGGCATGGGGGGATCCACTGATTCTAATTACAAACATTTATGTCTAAATCATTATAATAAACTCCTGACTGACCACTCTGCTTTCAGCTTTGATCTTTTAATTTATCATGATGTATCTGGATTATATTATATAAAATAGAATTCTAATCCTATCATTCATCCCCCTGATTAAAACCTCCACTGTTTTCATCAAATCCACAGTGTTAATTGCAAACTCCTAAAATTAGCATTATGTAAAAAGTCTCTCCAATTATCTGGCTCCTGTCCACCTTCTCACTCTGTCCCTCCTGCCACAGTGAACGACATGATTCTTCCCCAAACTCCATATACTCTAATTGGAGATAAGGGGAAAAGAATATTCCATGTGGAATAAACAATTTGAAGACAGGTGTAAAGATGGGAACATTCCAAAATGTCAAGAGATGTAATTTAACTGGACTACAAAGCATAATTAGAAGATAAGACATGAAAAAAAGGATTTCTGGAAGCCAGGACTCTTAAATGAAGTACTGCTTCTTTGAAATGTGTTAGAATGTGGAGCTGTTAATTTTTCTCAAGGAGTTTTAATTTTATTTTTTATTAGGATACACTTGTCTGATGTTGCTTTTAGTAATTACTGTACACATAATCTTTTCCTCATATTTCCAAGTTTTCTATAGTCAAATTTTTTGATGTTGAGAGGAATATTGGTTAAGAAGTACTCTTCACAGCATGTAACTCATAACAGGCACCTTGCAAAAATGTGTGTGAGTTTGTGTATTTTTCAAAGATAATGAGGAGAAAGATTTAAAATCTGTTCAAATGTTTTCTGGCAAAATGTACGTAAATCGTGCCAAAAGGAATTGGATGTTGCATGCCTTCGATCTGTTTTTGAATTATTTGTAGATACAGGCAACATCTGTTCCACTGGACAGAGATATACTACAAGTGCTAATAACTTTGGAAAGACCTGACTTTAAAAGTTTGTGCTTGGGAGTTAAATATTTTTAAACATATACATTTTGAAGTTCTCTTCTACATAAACTTAAAAATTTTAAATTGCAAAATAATAAAGAAAATATTTCACAAAGTAAACCAAAGTCTGAAACTTAAGGAATTTTTTTGAATCTATTTAATTATGTGTTAAGTGTGCCTACTGGCAAAATATATTATTGCAGCTCCACTCTGTTAAACATAGATGGGGAGGGGAGAAAAAGAACTAAGAGACCTATCTGTAACTATGTAAAAAGAAATTCATTTGGGGCAAAAGCTGTGTAGTCTTGTGAGGAGATGAATATAAGTAAAACTAAAATCCAAAAGTAAGAAAAATAATGAAAAATTATCAGGGGAACTAAAATCCAAAAGTAAGAAAAATAATAAAAAATTATCCCGGGACTGCGAGTAAAAAGGCAATGATTCAGTAAAGATTCTGGCCAGCACAAATCAACACTCCACCTGGCTTGAGATTTGCAGACACCATAACTGTGCAGCCGCAGTAATCAGATTAATCAATTGGAGCAATATTGTTCCAGAAAATTGTAGCTCTGATTTAAACTACCTGAAAATACAATTTTTTATTTAAAAAAGTAAAATTTATCTGTTTCCCAGTGTCTCACAGTTAAATTACATAACGTGGTAAACATTTCTTTTATGGCCAGAAGGAATATCTTTGACAATGTGCTGATTGTCATTAGGCAGTATTTTTCAAATTTTAGAAAGCCATCTATTATTGGTTCACAAAATACACTGGAGTAGAACATGATATTTTTGAAATGAAAAATAACAGAATAGAAACTAAGAAATTAAATCACAGATAGTAGTGGTAAGGATTGTTTTGCTAAAATTTTGTTTCAATGTATATGTATGAGAAAGATATAAAATTTGTTTGTTTTTGTAGATCACAGTTGAAAAGGTTTGAAAACCCCTGTCAAAGGGACCACCACCATGGAAAATGTCATACTCTCTCCTCTTTGGAGGTTGACCTAGTCACAATTCAGTGTAAAAGAGCAGATCTAAATCAGAGAAGATCTTGGGCCAGATAAAATCGTTGGTATTACAAAGTCCTCTGAGGACCAGCAGTACAGAGAAGCTAAGTCAGCCAAGAAACAATCTAAGGGAGGTGACAGATGGTGAGGTGGAGGCTGCAACAGTCACTTTTCTCCTGACCTTACAACTGGGAGATACTAAACTAGCTTTTGGAGAAAGATGAGGACTTTAGAGTAAAATAGGAAATTATAGCAAGGCAATACTTGGCTGGTTTTATAAGTAACAAGGAAGGTGTACCTTATTAAATATTATAATAAACTATGGAATTAATTCCAGGGTTCTGTAGATATTGGTCACCAGATGCTAACCATCTCACTTGATTTCAGAATTAATATGCCTAAGGCAGAGAACAAAAACCAGCAGATCTAGTGATTTGAAAAGCCATTGTTGTGTAATTGAATGACAAATATAGTAGTACCTAGCTTATCTAGCCTGATCAAAAAATGAGAAGCAGAGGTATTCATAAGGTTGCCTGATCTGGGGAGGAGAACTGAGTGGCTATAAGACATGTTAGGACAAAGGTTTAAATTTCATTGCACACACTTTTTGCAATATTTGAATTTTAAAATACACATTTTACCAGTTGAAAAAATAATAATGTGCACTTAGGAAAATATGTCTCTTACATTAGTAAAAACTTCTTAGATAAGCTGAGTTAGCTCTGTATGTGGACAACTTGTTGATTGTTTAGCCAATAGCTATTCTCCTGGATCCTTTTTGTTAAAAATCTCTGATTTTCTCTTGGTGATACCACGTCCAAGACCCATGAGATGAATCAAAATTAGCCTATACCAAGCCGGTGAAGGGCCTGGGGTGGGTCAATGAGAAGTAAAGTAAGCTGAGGCTTCTAGAAATGAGTTTTCTCCCTGACAATTAAAAAAGACAGCATGTAGAGGGTTCTGAGGAAAGCTTTCTCTGTGCCCTACCTAGCTACCCCTCTTCCTCCTTTGAACTTCAGGTGAGATTATAAGAAGCCGAGCAGTAATCTAGTGTTCACAAGAGTGAGGCTAAGGGCATTAGAAAAACACTGATCCAGAACCCTGATATTGTAGCTCAGCTAGATCAACTCTATAACTGGCTCCATCCATAAATTGTGCAAGTAAACATTAAGTTCTCTTGTGGTTTAAACCTCTGTTAGTTGGGTTTTCATTAATTTCAGCTAACCTGTTAATGCACTGTTAACTGATACACACTGAAATATCTATTTTTAAATGTAATAATTTTGAATATTTTTATAAAACCAGTACTTCTCTGCTGAATTAAATAGAATCCATTGATTTTCATTTAACTTTTACTTAATGATTTGGTATTGTCATTATGAGCATAAATTATTATAATGTAATGAATAAAAATAATATAATACAAATATATGCCCTCTAGGTTATAAACACTTGAGGACAGGCCCAGTATGTTATTCATCAATGTATCCCTACTACTGCAAGCATCATAATAATGGCTTGCATACAGTGGTGGTCACTTATGAATTATAATTAAGTATTGCATTAAAATGCTGAACGTGTATATCTAGCTCATCTCCACCTGAAAGTCACTGGGAATATATACATGTATGTATACACACATATACACCTGTGTGTCCATATGTAATATATGTCCTTAAGTGTATATATACATTATATATATACTTTTACTACGTGCATATTTAAGAAAAATTTCCTAACAGTGCTGCTGTGCTAGAAAATAATGGAGTGTTATCAGTAGGCTGGAAATTTTGATGAGTTCCTAAGAAAAAACAGACAGAATCAGGTTGACAAAAAAAAATCACAACCTACAAGTACAGAAGAGATTGCTACAGAGAAGGGTGGTGCTCCACACTCAGAGGCATGAATAAAAGGCCTAAGAGAGCACACAAGGCAATGATTAAGATGCAAATACGCCTTTCAGGTTGGCTCCTTCCTATCTTTCCATCTTGTGCTAAGCAGTGAGAAGAAAAATATTTATCCACAGCTAAAGCAATAAATGTGGGTGTACATGTGTATACACACACACACACACACACACACACAATTTCTAAATGCAGGCAATGATAATCAAGATTAGCTTTCATCGACAGGTCATCTCAAATATGTAGATGAGGATACTATCAAAAATCATAAAATATTTGAAGGAAAACTATTATGAAAGGAAAAAACAAATAATTTCAAAGAAATGTAAATATTTTCAGGAAGATATGAAAGTCTGTCTTATCCATGAAAAAAATAACAGGATAAATTATAAATCTTGAAAATAAAAAATATGTGGTCATTAATACTAAAAAAGAGATGGGCTAAATAGCAAAAATTATTACACCTGAAATATACATTAGAGTACTGGAATATTAAGGCAATGGGTTTTTCTATTATAATAGAGCACAAAGAAAAAAAAGAGAGTGAGGAAAAAGATGAAAGAGCCAGAATGTCCAGCATTCATTCAGTGTGTGTTTCTAAAAGGACACGTATGAAGGAAGTCAAAAATAAAGGGAAGAGTGAAGGGGGTGCTCAAAATTTAATAAACATAAGAGAACCCATTAAATTAAAATTTAAGATAATGATAAGTAATTTTTAGAGATTTTATAAATTCTAGAATTTTTTAGAGATAATAAATCATTATAAGATAATTTTATAACATTGATACCTAAACTAGGCAATGATGACACAAAAAATAAAACCATAGGCCAAGTGTTCTTTTAAGTATAACTGTAAAACTTCTAAATAAAAATGCAATAGATCAAATGTAGCAATGTATTAAAGATTGGCCTGACACTGGTAATGCAAGGAAAGTTCACTGGTATAAAAACATTTTTAATAAAATTAATTTTTAAAAAGATTTAAGAGACAAATTCAGTTATTGAAAAGTGACACTATTTGTGATTTTTTTGTTTGATATATGTGAAATACAAGGAGAATTTTTCCTAATATGATTGAACTATATTCAAACACGGGCAATGGTCAATTAGAACATGTAATGGAAAAAATATCCTATTCATAATTTATAACAGAAATGACAAAAAATTAAACAAAATATGTAAGAATAAACTAATAAAAATATATAATAGCTACCATATAAAGTTTACTGTTAAACATCAAAATTATATAATTAAGTAGAGAAACATACCCTATACTAAAGTGGAAAGAAAATATAGCAGCCATTCTTCACAAAATAAATTACAAAATAAATGTAATCCCATTCAAAGCCTAATGAGATTTTTAAAAATAAAACTTAGTCCAGCTCTCAGAAAAGATGCAAAAATGTCCAAATTCATATTTATCAAAAGATGGGAAAAGATGAGGATTTGTACGTTCAAATTTCAAAATATACTATAAAAATACAGCAATTAAAATTATATGGCATTGACAAATTGATATATATAAATGAAGGAGAACAGCATGTATAATGAAGGGACATTCTAAACCACTGAGAATAAAACTGAACAAATGGGATTGAAAAAAAATTGTTAAGATTCCTAACTTGGCCGCCAACATAACATATATTCTAGGTTGATTAAAAATCTAAATACCTAACATAAAACCATAGGAGCACTCAAAATAAATATATTTGTAATCTTGGAGTACAGAAGACCTTTAAAAGATATAAAATGCATATGTCATAAAAGAAACAATTGATAAATCTGACAATATTTAAAACATGTACCTGAATAGAAAGAATAAAATGTTATTGGAATGCCTACCAATATTCTTAATTCTTACCACTAGGAAATTTAGAGTCTTCAGAAGAAATGGCTCAAAAATAAAGAAAGTATAAGTTAAGGGAGGCAGAAAGAATTGCCAAATGTTTGAGGCCTACAGTGTACCAGACACCATGGTAGGGGCTTGACATAAGATATCCCATTTCATCTAAAGGAATCTTCATCAGACATGCAAAGAATGTATTATTATCATCATTTTGCCGAAGAGGACACTTATCTTTAATCAGATATCAAGTAATCGACTGAAATGGGATTCAAACCGAATGCTTTTAACACCATCTTATCTCCCTGCAAGATAAGAAAATATAAGAAACTTTGTGAAAAAAAATGAATGAGTGCTAAAGTGCTTGCTATACTAGTTAAGCAACTACAATAAGATGGATTAATTTAAGATAATTTAAATGCACACAAAGCAGATAGTTGTTTAGTATATTGTGTGGTAGATCACGAAGGATGAGAGGATGAAGGCAGGAGGCTGTTAAAACATTTTAGCATAACACCTACAGAGCTTGAGCCAGTCTTCCAGGGGCAAATATATAAAAATGTTGCAAAATACAAAATATTTAATAACAGCATAGAGAATGAGATTCAGCTGTAGAGAGATCATTTGAATCTACTCCCAGCATTTAAGCTAGACTGCTGGTGTACTAACAGCACTGATTCTGTTAGCAACAAGTAGTGGTAGACAACTAGAAATATGTCAGTTTAAAACTTGTGAAGTTGGTTGTTACAAATCTCCATTCTGTGTATCTCCATTCTGAATACTAGATACACATCTCCATGTGTATCTCCATTCTGAATACTAGGTACAACGATTTTGTCTCTTGGAAAATTTCCTTGTCCACTGAGTAAAGTTAATAGAATCCTTATTTTAAAAAAAAAATTCAGGAGAAATTTTTGGTCTTAGAGTATCTTTCCGTTTGAAAAAAAAAAAAAATGAATCTACTTAAGGAATATAGTATCCTATTCAAGTTAGCACAGATCATAGAAAAATTTCTTCAATGAGTTTCATTTTTCTTTTTTCCTGTTGCTAGAAATAATCCTGCATAATATTTTTATTATTTTGAATAGTGTGTTATAAATTGAGAGCTGAAATCCCTCAGTCTACTAGGTTAGCATCGCCTCATCCCTTAAACACTTCTAAGTCCTACAGTTGTTCAAACACTGGTAAACCTGGCAGTGCATAGGGCTATTCAAAGCATAGGATTAAGATTTGGGACACCTAACGTCTTGGCTCAGAACACAAATTAAAATACACAAACCTGCCTAGTAATCTCTGGCTTTATATTCCCCATTTACATGACTTGATGTCTACCTCAAATTTTGATTTGCTTTCCTCCACTGGAAAAGACACCCTACATCTCTCGCCTGGGCCCTGGCAAGTGTACAGCCCTTTCATTTTCTTAGCGGGCTTAGTTCTGCATCTCTACCCACAGGCAGCAGTTAGACTGGGCTTTAACATGAACTAACTACCTGGAATCCAGATACCGCTAGCTTCTGATTATCACCATGTTTGCTGAGCTTCCATGGTCAGTGTGACTTAGAAAGATGGCCGACCTCTTTGAAAAGAAACAACTTTCACAGATGTAAATAATTCCCCACCAAAAAATTAAAGGGAAAATAAATACTATTGCCTAAATTGAACAAAAAGGAGGAATTGACATGTTGAAGTTTGGTTATCATAGTACATAATCTCACCAATATAAACATATAAAACATTTATTTTGATGATAATTTTTAAAAATTAATTAATTCATATTGTTTGCTAAGGTTAATAGAATTCTTAACTGTTGTACTTTGGACATTTGAGTTTGAATGTAACATTTGGCCAGATGAAGGCTGCTGACTTGCATAAGTTGAAACAGTTTTCCATTGAAAAAAACTGGAAAGTAACTGTAAAGCAACCTGCTATATATTTATGAGATTAAAGCCATGTAGGATAGGGAGAAAAGAATGAAAATAATGAATCTAAGCTTTTCTCCTCCAATAAAAGACCTATAAAATAGAGAATTTTTTTTTTCCTTTTTGAAAATACAATCTAGTGCCTTGAGTGGTTTCTTTCTCAACAACTATTTGATTCTATGAATGACATTCACTTTGAGTGTGGACAGTTGTGCCTTTGGGACAGAAGCAGTTGTTTCTACCTTTGTCATTTTGTACAACAGCTATAGTGGGAGAACTATTTTCTCCCAAAATTACCACTAAAGAGACCTAGAAAATAAAACAATGTCATTTTGTATGTTTACAAAAGACAAAGCAGTCTTTCCACTATAAACCAAGTAGAGGAAAAAAGCAATTGAACTAATGGTATCTTTATCACCGCGACTATACCACAAGTCATTAAAAATAGAGGCATGTAAAATATTTAAGGATGCAGTTAAAATAATGGACATCAAATTTTTTTAAAGGATTCAAAAAAACAGAAAAGTTTTTTGCAAACTAGCTAAAAATGTTAGAGGAACCTTTTTTTGCAGAAGACTACAGATGGCCCAGCGCGGTGGCTCACGCCTGTAATCCCAGCACTTTGGGAGGCTGAGGCGGGTGGATCACCTGAGGTCAGGAGTTTGAGACCAGCCTGGCCAACATGGTGAAACCCCGTCTCTACTGAAAATATATATATTAAAAAAAAAAAATGGCCAGGCATGGTGGCGTGCACCTGTAGTTCCAGCTACTTGGGAGGCAGAGACATGAGAATTGCTTGAACCTGGGAAAGGGAGGTTGCAGTGAGCCGAGATCATGCCACTGCACTCCAACCTGGGTGACAGAGTGAGACACTGTCTCAAAAAAAAAAAAAAAGGCTATAGACATAAAAACGTTTTCAATGTATTTTTCTTATCGCTTTCCTTTTTGAGAAGAGACCTTGTAAAGAGAACAGTATGTGCCTCGTATAACCAGTACATACTGGAAGAGACAGATTATGCATTAAATTCTGACTAAGTAACTTTTTCTGCTAGCTATAATAATAAATCACCATTGTTACAACTAACTCATAATTCTCATGAGCCAAGATGATAAACTTCCCCAGCTATAGATAAAAATTCTAAATCATATAACTTGAGTGAAACAAGTGTGAACTATATAAATATTATGGCTGGAAAAAATCAGAGACTAAGAATCAGTTAAGTATACTTTTTTGTTTGTTTGTTTTTGAGACGGAGTCTCGCTCTTTCACCCAGGCCAGAGTGCAGTGGCGCGATCTTGGCTCACTGCAAGCTCCGCCTCCCGGGTTCACGCCATTCTCCTGCCTCAGCCTCCCGAGTAGCTGGGACTACAGGCGCCCACCACCGCGCCTGGCTAATTTTTTGTATTTTTAGTAGAAACGGGATTTCACCGTGTTCGCCAGGATGTTCTCGATCTCCTGACCTCGTGATCCGCCCGCCTGGGCCTCCCAAAGTGCTGGGATTACAGGCGTAAGCCACCGCGCCCGGCCCAGTTAAGTATACTTTAAATATAAATATATATCCACTGTTGGTATTCCTTTCTTTTTCTAGCCCTAGGGTTTGTAGATAGATTTTGTGAGTACTAAATGAGTACAACCAATAATAACCTAATTCAATATATGGCAATGAAATATATCTATAAGCAATAAATTAGTCCAGTGCACTGCTGCCAATATGTACTGCCTCAAACTTTTATTAAACACAAAATCTGATAATGTTGCCTTTGTTAAACGACCTAAAATAGTGTTATCTTTATTAGTTATTAATATTTTACCAAATATTAAAAACCTTTTACGAATGCCTTCATGTTAGAATTCTAATGTACACATTAGAATTTATTTTAAATTGTCACAGTTATTTTTACTATATATATATATCAGCATTCCAAATTCCTTGAGATATTCCAAATTTAATCTTTTTAATCATGAAATTTGTTTACCTAAGTACCTGAAAAAATTAAGACAGAATAAAAGCAGATTATTCTGTTAGCCAATTAACCAGATTTGCAACATGATTGCAAAATATTTATTAAAAATTTGTTTAGAATGTTGACCTTCCTATAATAAAAATAGATAGTTCTAAATATTTTTATAGCTTTCTTTCATATTTTTAGTAAAAGAATTTATTGTAAATTTTCTAAACACATTTTTCCTACTGCATTTCTAATTCAACAGGGATAAAATATCAATTTGCAGACAATTTTTAGAAGTTCAACTATTGAATAATGTATCATAAAGATGTATTTTTTTCATGTCATGCTCACGAAATCAGTATGAGAAATTATGCTCCCTCTCTGCACAAGAGAAAATGGAAAGCCAATGAGGTCATGCCTTTGCTTCATCATTTAGATACAAAACAGATGCAATGTCTGTGTTTCCTAGTTTACTGATATTTTCACTTCAAATTAGCTCATATTCACAGTTTCATACCTGAAATAATGATAGTATATGGAAAAAAGTTTAAATGAAAATGACCTTTAATACTGTTATTATACTTATGATCACCATCATCAAATAAATGCTTTATCATTTTTATAAGGGCACGTGACTATTTTACAAACTGGTAAATATTTTTGCAGAAAGAAAAATATTTTAAACTTAAAAATAAAGTGCTTTATTTAAAGTTTTTGTCTGTCTCTAGGTGATTTTTAGTAACAAGCTTAAAGTTTAGAACAAAACCTCAGATAACATTAAACACTGTAAAAAAAAGTCTTGATATATGAATCAACTAGAAAGGCCTGTATTTGTGTAGCAGGCAAAAAAAAGTCAAATTAAAGTCAATTTTGAGGAGGTGTATGAAGAAAAATATTTGTAAGGTGTATTAGTCCACTCTCACACTGCATTAAGGACATACCTGAGACTAGGTAATTTATAAAGGAAAGAGGTTTAATTGACTCACAGTTCAGCATGGCTAGGGAGGCTTCAGGAAAATTATGATCATGGTGGAAGGGGAAGCAAACACGTCCTTCTTCACATGGTGGCAGGAGAAAGAGGTATGAGAGCGAAGTAAAGGGTGAAGCCCCTTATAAAACCATCAGATCTCATGAGAACTTACTCACTATCACAAGAATAGCATGGGAGAAACTGCCCCTGTGAGTCAATTACCTCTCACTAGGTCCCTCCCACCACACATGGGTATTACAGGAACTACAATTCAAGATGAGATTTGGGTGGGGACACAGCCAAATCATATCATTCTGCCCCGGCCCCTCCCAAATCTCATGTCTTCACATTTCAAAACACAATCATGCCTTTCCAACAGTCTCCAAAAGTCTTAGTTCATTCCATCATTAACCCAAAAGTCCAAGTCCAAAGTCTCATCTGAGTCAAGGCAAGTCCCTTCCACCTATGAGCCTGTAAAATCAAAGCAAGTTAGTTACTTCCTAGATACAATGAAGGTACAAGCATTGGGTAAATAAACCCATTTCAAATGGGATAAATTTGCCAAAACAAAGAGGCTATAGGCCCCATTCAAGTGAAATCCAAAAGGGCAGTCCTTAAACCTTAAAGTTCCAAAATAATGTCTTCTGACTCCATGTCTCATCAGCATCATATCCAGGTCATGCTGACGCAACAGATGGGACTTACGGCCTTGGGAAGCTCTGCCCCTGTGACTTTGCAGGGTACATCCCCCCTCCAGGCTGCTTTCACGGGCCAGTGTTGAGTGTCTGTGGCTTTTCCACACACATGGGTGCAAGCTGTAGGTGGATCTACCATTCTGGAGTCTGGAGGACTGTGGCCCTCTTCTCACAGCTCCACTAAGCAGTGCCCCATTGGGGACTCTGTGTGGGGGCTCTGACCCCACATTTCCCTTCTGCCCTGCCCTAGCAGAGGTTTTTTCATGAAGACTCCACCCCTACAGCAAGCTTCTGCCTGGACATCCAGGTGTTTCCACACACCCTCTGAAATCCAGATGGAGGTCCCCAAACCTCAATTATTGACTTCTGTGCACCTGCATGCTCAACACCACGTGGAAGTTGCCAAGGCTTAGGGCTTCAACCCTCTGAAGCCAGCCTGAGTTATATCTTGTCCCCTTTTAGCCACAGCTGGAGCAGCTGGGATGCAGGGCACCATATCCCTAGGCTGCACACAGCAGGGAGGTCCTGGGCATAGCCCACAAAACCATTTTTTCCTCCTAGGCCTGAGCCTATTATTAGAGGGTCTCCCACAAGCTCTCTGGAATGCCCTGGAGACATTCTCCTCATTGGCTTGGTAATTAACATTCGGCTCCTCATTACTTATGCAAATTTATGCAGCTGGCTCAAATTTGTCCGCGCAAAATTGGTTTTTCTTTTCTATTTGCATCATCAGGCTGCAAAGTTTCCAAACTTTTATGCTCTGCTTTCTCTTGACTGCTTTGCACTTAGAAATTTCTTCCAGCAGATACCCTAAATCATCTCTCTCAAGTTCAAAGTTCCACAGATCTCTAAGGCAGGGGCAAAATGCCGCCAGTCTCTTTGCTGAAGCATAACAAGTGTCACCTTTGCTCCAGTTCCCAACAAGTTCCTCATCTCCATCTGAGACCACGTCAGCCTAGACTTCATTGTCCGTATCATTATGAGTGTTGTGGTCACAGCCATTCAGTAAGTCTCTAGGAAGTTCCAAACTTTCCCACATCTTCCTGTCTTCTGAGCTCTCCAAGTCTCCAGGAAGTTCCAAACTTTCCCACATTTTCCCTTCTTCTTCTGAACCCTCCAAACTGTTCCAACCTCTCCCTGTTACCCAGTTTCAAAGTCACTTCCACATTTTCGGGTATCCTTATAGCAGCACCCCACCACACCAGTACAAATTTACTGTATTAGTCCATTCTCATGCTGCTATAAGGTCATATCCAAGACTAAGTAATTTATAAAGGAAAGAGGTTTAATTGGCTCACAGTTCTGCATGCCTGGGGAGGCCTCAAGAAACTTACTCTCATGGTGGGAAGGGAAGCAAACATGTCTTTCTTCACATGGTGGCAGGAGAATGAAGAAAGAGAGCCAAGTAAAGGGTGAAGCCCCTTATAAAACCATCAGATCTCATGAGAACTTACTCACTATCACAAGAATAGCATGGGGGAAACTGCCCCCATGATTTATTACCTCCCACTAGGTCCCTCCCATCATACATGGGGATTATGGGATTACAATTCAAAATGAGATTTGGGTGGGGACACAGCCAAACCATATCACAAGGGTAAGGAGGTATGCATCTGTGTACAGACTGTTTGAATATTAGATAACAGGGAGTAATGGGCCATATAAAGAAAAATGAATGTACATCCCACTTAAAGCCATTAAAGCACAAAAATTCAAAATCCCATGCTAGTAAAGGGGTGCTCAAACTAAACAATCCAGAGGCTCTCTTTAAGTGGTAGCTGCCAGTTTGCAATGCTTGCTTAGGTGAAATTCAGAAAACACAAGATACCTTATATTATTTATTTTTTGTTTTGAGAGTCACTGAACTGGCCTCTCCTATTCTCCAAATGCCAGTTGGGTACCAGTTACTCTGGGAAAAGAGTGTAAAGATCTATTTTTTTTTTTTTTTTGGTTTGATGAAGGCTGCT
This sequence comes from Homo sapiens, assembly GCF_000001405.40. Taxonomy (NCBI): domain Eukaryota; kingdom Metazoa; phylum Chordata; class Mammalia; order Primates; family Hominidae; genus Homo; species Homo sapiens. The sequence goes on from NC_000002.12 coordinate 180,859,368, forward strand.
ACCCCTAATACCCCCTTGAAATATAGTACTCGTCTCAGGAGAGGAAGGAGAAAATTTGCCTATCAACAGACATAGCTACTGGAAAGAAAGGGACATCAATCTAACTCAGTCCCTGCACTCAGGATTTGAGATGGTCAGACTGGGGGTCATTGATAGAAAAGGACATGAGACACTGCAAAGAGGATCTTGCCATGATATAGAGGAACATCTTAAAGCCGGGGCTGAGAAGTTCATGGACAATGCCTGAGACTGGAAACCCCTTCAAGCCTCTTTGCCTCATCATTTAGGTATAAAACAAGTGTTCTATACATAAATGTGACTTTCAAATGCTGTAATCTGGATGCCAAGTATGACAACCACTCTAGTAGAGGAATGTGATCTAGCAAAGATTTTAAAACTAAACAGAAAACAGTAGTCCTTGCCATATGGAAAGGAACAAATTGTAATAGCAACACTCTGGTGGAAGCAGAGGCAAGGGCAATCCTAAACCAAGAAACTACAGCAAACCAATCAGAATGTCCCACTATTCATCACCTGATCTTTAGAAGAAGCTTCAACAACCTTGGACCTGAGTACGTCTGGGGAATCTTGGATAACCGAAACTCAGAGAGGGATTCTGAACTTCTGTCTTGTATGGCTAATGGGGATAGTGTAGAGGTCAAGTAACTAACTAAAGAAATGGAAAAGATACCATCATTTTTATAGTTCCGTCTGGAGCAGTAAGTCTTTCTGGCTATATCCAATTCATCAAGCAAAAATTTGCAAATATACTTGTTTATGTTGAAAGTTCAAAGTTGAATTCTTATTTAGAGCGCATAGTAATTAGTGCCCTTTCTTTCAGTACAGTTATGTAAAAACTATCCATGTTCAAAAAAGTGTAGACATATACGTTTAGAGTACTTTAGCTATATTTAATAAATAAAGCCTAGTAATGAAGATATGACTTTCATTTGCATCACACTTATCACTCTACTCATGCTATTTCATTTTACCATCACTGCACTTCTGTGAATTAAGTCAACTTACAGTTTGGTTATTCCAGATTCAGAGGTTAGATAATGTTTGAAAAGTTAGACCAAGTGCCCAGGTCTTTTGGACCAAGTCACTGTCCATAAATATACAAAGAACCTCAATAAATAGCCAAATGTCCCTTAAAGGACATTAGGATTAAGGATGTAAAGAGGATTCATATTTCTCTCCCTGCCCACACTGGCCACCGTCCATTTCAATTACCTGCCTCTTTGAATTTTTGGAGCAGAAAGGAAAAAGGAGAATGAGAAAGGTGGAAATGCTACTTGTCAAAATAGAAGCCAAAAATTATTTTCCCTCTGATTCTTCTACCGTACCTTTTCTAGAATGTGGTCAAAGAGCTGCCTGCATCCATCACATTGGGGCTTGTTACCATAGAAGTGCCCTGGGCTCCCCTCCAGAACCTGCAACTTGAATCTCTATAACGTGAAGTATGGGGATCTTCATTTGTAGCAGCCTTGTCCAAAAATTAATCTGCACACTAACGCATAAGAACCACTGCATACTCTCTGCAGGGACTGCCTTAAATATTAGGTTAAAATCCTAGTGTTAAAGTTGTTTGATTAACAACATTGGCAATATCACACAATTTGTTTATAAAATCCTAATGAATAGGTCTGTGTTCAAGTTATTATGATCGTATGGAATATTGCCCTTTGCATGTTTCCATCCCCTACAGAAACTACAGAAATGGATCTGCTCGTGACTCGGCCTTTAAAATAAATTACTATATTGTTTTTAAACGTCTCCCTCCTGTCAGCTATTAACGTATGTTATGACCTGAAGAAAATATGTAAAACATCAAAAGAAAAGTCAGCATTGAAATTGGAATTTCGTAATTAAATGATATGTAAAATTTGAATATTATTTGTTCAGTCTTATTCTTCCAGAACCTCAGTTACTTTCTTTTATTAATTCAGACAGTTACCACAGTACTAGTCAGCTATTACTCAGTTCTGATCAAATTCTAATAAAAACTTGGATTAAACAGAATTGGAAGACTTCAGTTTCTGCTTTCGAAAAAAAAAGGGAAATTTCTGCTTTAGAAAAAAACAATGCATGGGGAGAAAAAGAAAAGTATTTGGAAATAATGTATAATATATTACTAAATATAAATGAATATACATAAAAGTCAATTCTTTTTCTATTATAAAAGACCAATTTTCCTAATATCATTTACTTACTAATACTTTCTTCAACAGAATTCTAATGATTATGCTACTATGTTCTAAATTCTCATAGGTGTTTGGCATTAGTTCTATACCACACTGTTTCAATTATTAGAGCTTTATATTATCATAAACGATACACTAGAAGAAGGCCCCTCCTGTTCTACTTTTTCGGAATCGTTTTAGACAACATTTTTGGACCATGACTCCCTGATATAGATTTCAGAATCAGTTTCTTCTGGTTTCATGTAAAATGCTACTGGGAATTTTATTTAAATTGCATTACATCTATGGGTTAATAAAGTAGAAATTTGGCACATCTCTAGTTTTAGTTTTTTCACCCATAACCATGGCAGGTCATCTCATTTATTACGTGCTTTAATAATATTTTATAGTTTCTTTCATAGTGTTGTTTTACATCTTTTTTGACATTTATTTCTGTAGATTTATATTTTTGAGGAGTATTTGTTTTCTATAAGATTTTATATTTGGTTATTACTAATGCATAAAATTGTTTTTATGTGTTTTTTTTGTATTTAGGAATTCTTTTATACTCTCTTTCGTGACTGCAGATTTTTAGTCTTAATGTATGTCCTATCACTTACAAATCAAAATCACTTTGCCTCCTCTTTCCTTTTCATTATGCTATTTTTAAAATTTTTCTGGTTTTAATGCACTTGCCAGATTCTTCAGTAAAATATTAAATAATAATTCTGACAGTATATGTTCTTGTCTTGACTTCAGTCAGAATGCTTCTAAATGTTTTCCCACTAAATATTTGCAAGAGATTTTTGTAGTTTTCCTTTAAATAAAGATAGTTCACTTCTCTTCCTCACTTGCAGAGAGTTTATATATAATAAGCATCAAATTATGTCAGTTGCTTCTTTGAAAACTATTGCTCTCTTTAACTAAATGCTTTTTTAACCTTTTAATTTGTTAATATGGTATACTGCTCTAATAGTTTTTCTGATATTAACTCATCTCTATACTCCTCAAATAAAGCCTCTTGGATATGCATTATTGTTTAATCCTGATGGATTTTATATGGTAGCAATTTATTTAAGATTTTTCACAACAATAGCCATATCGTTGTAGCCTTCTTATTGGTTTTCTCACTCTTGTCTTCCCTGCAGTGTATTCGACACACAGCTGCCTGATGGATCCTTCTATATCAAATCATGTAACACACTAAAAACTGAAGTTCCCAGCAGAGCTCATAAGCCACCCTCTACAACCTCAAGAGATGAATGCATTTCTTCTTCTTACTCCTTTCCTTGCTATTTCTTAAACTGATCAAGAACACCTTTGCCTCGGCACATTTGCCCTTGCTGTTCTCTCTGCCTGGTATGCTTTCCCCCAGATATCTGCATGTCTCATGCTCTAATGTCTTTAGGGATCTGCTCAAATATTACCTCATGAATGAAACCATTCCTAGTCAATTTCTTGAAATAGCACCCCCTCCTCTATTCCTCTCCTATTCAACTCGCTTTATTTTTCTTCATAGCACTTCTCATTACATGACCTAATTTTTAGTTACAGTTACACATTTATTTGTGATTGATGCTCAGGCAGCTAAAATGTGACTTTCAGGAGGGCAAGTATTTTATGGTTTTTTTTTTTTCAATGTGTGTATCCCCATCCATAGAACATTCCTGAACCATGGTAGGTACTCAAGAAAATTGGAGATAGCATTATGTTAGGTAACTGTCTGCCTGTTGTTCATTCACCTATTTGGTAAATATTTCCCACCTACAGTATGCATAGTCCTTTTCTAGACCTCACAGCGCTTATCAGGGTTCAAGCTCCTGAAAGGGAATTTGTGTCTACTCTTGTGGCCAGAAGGCAACTGCTTAGTCATATCCCATATCAAGGTTTAACATGCATCTCAGCACCATATTCAGTCAAGCCAGTCCCTTCCTGAATCCTGGCTCTGCACTAGTGTTTCAACTCTAGCTTTTGACTATAAGGATCCTTCAAAGTGGATTCCTTTTCCACTCAAAGATATCAATAATGCTCCTCCAACTGCTGTCTCGTGCCCCACTCCCAACCTATATTTTGTTTTGCTAACGCCAGCCATTTAGCTTCAGCTCCTGCTCACTTTGACTTTATGTTTCCTCTTCACTTTGGATCATGAGCATTTCTCTCTTGGATTCATAGGCATTTGTTAGCTTTCAGCCATCATGTCTATATATTGGTAACAAGAGACACCACCTTCTGCACTGGCTAAAATTTTATCATGGGAACTGAAATTTTTTTAGTTGTTAAAAAGCTGTGCTTATAACTCTGGATATTACAGGTGGTGAATAATTGTGTAGATCCATCTCTATGGCAATGTGCCCTTAGCAGTCTGGTGAAAAATATAAATCCTAGTTCTTTCTATATTGATTTTTCACCTCATTGTCCTTACAAATATGCTTTTAAAAGTTTTATTTCTAAATCTTCCATAACTATTTCATGACTGTTTTGTGAATCATTTGTGTTTCATAGCCCTATGTGTAAATTATTATTCCAGAGACTCCAAATAATGTCATATTCAGTGTATCACACTGGAGTGGTAGGAATGGGTTACATTACTGCATCTCAAGGTGCCAATAAAATATGCTTGAAAAAGCTCTCACTAAAGATAACTTAGTATAGAACCTCTTAATATGAGCAAAGATAAAAATACTCAGAGGAGTTTAAAATGCACAGGAGAGCCCCAGATCAGAGAAAGAATGCATTTATAATTGGATGGCTTTTACAAAGCTCAATAGAAATTGGATAGAAGGATTGTCTTCCTGCCTTTCCCATGCCAGTCCTGTAATGCCACTATAAGAAATCCTTTCCTAAGGAGCCTAGATTTCCCAATTTCATTAAACAGTTGGCTGAATGTATTCAACATTTGTTAGATTAATTTAGCCATCTTTCTTTGAAAGGAAATGCTCTCCCCAGGGCTTTTTTGTCTTCTTTTTCTTTCTTTTTTAGTTTTAGTTTTTAGCAGGTTTTTTAAATGCCTTTATACCAACACTACTAAATTATGAGAGCGAGATGTCCAGGCATTGTTTTTCCAAACAGCACACTAATTGCTTTGGAAACAATGATAACGCTAGCATGTTTTGAGTTAACATCACTCACATGGCTTACGTCTGCATAATGCAAAAGTAATAGGTTAACTAAACAAGTCCCTCCCTAAAACTGAGTCATTTCAATAAACCAACTAGTTGAAATTATCATTGCTATCTTATAGAGGCAAAAGAACTAGTTAACTGATTTTGCTTTAATGAAAGACCTAAGGATTGTCTATATTATTATTATTATTATTTTTGAGATGGAGTCTCGCTCTGTCTCCCAGGCTGGAGTGCAGTGGCAGGATCTCGGTTCACTGCAACCTCCACTTCCCGGGTTCAAGCAATTCTCCTGCCTCAGCCTCCTGAGTAGCTGGGACTGCAGGTGCGTGCCATCATGCCTGGCTAATTTTTTGTATTTTTAGTAGAGACGGGGTTTCACCATGTTAGCCAGGATGATCTCGATCTTCTGACCTCGTGATCCGCCCACCTCAGCCTCCCAAAGTGCTGGGATTACAGGCATGAGCCTCTGTGCCTGGCCCTGTCTATATTATTTGTAATCATCTTTATGAAAGCCACTTTAGAGTATGTTCTTAGTGTAACATATAAAACTATAATCAAGGTACATATCATTCCTTTATAATATATAAAAGTCATTTAGTAATTCAGAGCAAAAAGAAAGAATCTGGGCATTCTCTTTCGAAGTCTGGTAATAAGTAAAATCAAATACTAGTTAAGAACTCAAACTCCAGAGTCAGGTTGCCTTGTTCAATCCACTTACTAGCTGTGTGACCTTCAGAAAATTACTTCCTCTGTAAAAAGTTACCTCCTCTGTAAAAAGCATATGGTGTGAGCTAAGGTTCCAATTTCATTCCTCTGCATGTGAATATTCAATTCTCCCAACACTATTTGTTGAAGAGACTGTCCTTCCCCATTGTGTGTTCTTGGTGCTTTTCTCAAAAATCAGTAGCTATAAATATATGGACTTATTTCTGGGTTATCTATTCTATTTCATTGTTCTATTTGTCTGTTTTTATGCCAATATCATGCTGTTTTGATTACTATAACTTTGTAGTATATTTTCAAGTCAGGTAGTATAATGCCTGCAGCTGTGTTTTTTCTCAGGATGGCTTTGGCTATTCATGGTCTTTTCCACATGAATTTTAGGATTTTTTTTCTATTTCTATGAAGAATGTTATTGGCATTTTGATAGGGATTGAAATGAATCTGTAGATCACTTTAGATTGTCTGGATATTTTAACCATATTAATTCTTCTCAATCATAACATGGGATATCTTTTCAATTATTTGTATTTTTTTCAATTTCTTTCTCAATGTCTCACAGTTTTCAGTGTAGTGTTTTCACCTCCTTGGTTAAATTTATTTTTAAGTGTTTTCTTTCTTGTAGCTATTAAAAATTGGATTTTTTAAATTTATTTTTCAGATACAGTCATGCATCACTTAATGACAAAGATACATTCTAAGAAATGTGTTGTTAGGTGATTTCATTATTTTTGAATGTCATAAAGTATACTTACACAAACCTAGGTGGTATAGCTTACTGCACACCTAGGATATGTTGTATAGAATATTGCTCCTTGACTACAAAACTCTACAGCTTGTTACTATGCTGAATATGGCAGGTAATTATAGCACAATGGTAAGTATTTGTGTATCTGAATATATCTATACATAGAAACGGTACATTACAAATACAGCATGATTATTTTTGGGGTATATGTTGTTCATCATTTAATGAAATGCCACTATGTGGCAAATGACTGTAGTTCACAGTCAGAGTTTACAAATGATACTGATTTTTATATGTTGATTTTTTTGTATCCTGTAACTTTACTGAATTTGCTTATTAGTTCTAACAGTATTTTAGTGGAGTCTTTAGGATTTTCTATATATAAAATCATGTTATCTGCAAACAGGGAAATTTTAACTTCTTCCTTTCTAATTTGAGTGCTTTCTATTTCTTCCTCTTGTCTAATTGCTCTGGCTAAATTCTTCAGCAGTATATTAGATAGAAGTAGCAATATTGGACATCTTGTATTGTTCCTGATTTTGAGGAAAAGTTTCAAATTTTCCCTGTTAAGTATGTTAGCTGTGGGATTGTGATACATAGCTTTTATTGTGTTGAGGAACATTCCTTCTATGCCTAGTTTGAGAGTTTTTAATCATGAAAGAATGTTAAATTTTATAAAATGCTTTTTCTGTATCTATTGAAATTATCATATGGTTTTTATTCTTTATTCTGTTAATGTGATGTGTCACATTTATTGATTTGTGTATGCTATATCCTTCTGGCAGCCCTAAAATGAATCCCTATCTGTCTTGGTGAATGATCTTTTTAATGTGCTGTTGAATTTTGTTTGCTAGTATTTTGTTAATAATTTTTGCACCTATGTTTATCAGTGATACTGGCCTGCAATTTTCTTTTTCTGTAGTGTCTTTGTCTGGCTTTGGTATCAAGGTGATGCTGCTCTTGTAAAATGAGTTTGGAAGTATTTCCTCCTGTTTAATTCTAGTCTTAGAAGTTCAAAAAAGGAAAAAAACTAAAGGAGTACAAAGCTTATTTAAGGAAATAGTAGCATAAACCTTTCTAAACCTAGTGAAAGATGTCAATAACTAAGTAAACAAAGGTCAAGGTCTCCAATCATATTAAATTCAAATAAAACAACCCCAGGACATATTATAATCAAACTGTCAACAATCAAAGAGAGGATGCTGAAAGCAGCAAGGGAACAGAAGCAAATACCATATAAGGAAGTTCTAATACAGCTAATAGCAGACTTCTTAGCAGAAACCTTACAGGCCGGGAAAGAGAGATGATATGTACAACGGGCTGAAGGAAAAAAATTTCCAACTATGAACGTTGTATCCATCAAGGCTATTTTTGATGCTGTGTCATAAATATTATAAGCTTTTCTTATTCCTTTTCATTATTTTATCTTTTTTTTCCTTTGACTGTATTTTCAAATAACCAGTCTTCAAATTCACAGATTGGTTCTGCTTGATTAATTCTGCTGTTGATGCTGTCTATTTCATTTCCATTTCATTAACTGTACTTTTCAGTTCAAGGATTTCTGTTGCATATTATAATTATTGTCAAGTTTCCTTAAAACGATTATTTTGAATTATTTTTCAGAGAGTTAATATATCTCTATTTCTTTAGGGTCAATCGCTGGAAATTTTTTTGTCCTTTTGGTGATGTCACGTTTCTGTAATTGTTCTTGATCCTTGTAGCTGTGTATTGATATCTGTGCATTTGAAAAAGTAGCTATTTATTCAAATCTTTACAGTTTGGCTTTGCATTGGAAAGTCATGTGGCAGGAGCAATGATGGGGTGTGCCAGAAGCCCACGGTACTTGCAGCCAGCATGGGACTGGAGCGCTCGAGAAGCCTGGGCTCCACTATGGTCAGTTCAGTGCTAGGGAATTCCAGATGCCCAGAGTCAATGTTACCAACATGGCATTGGGGCATGCCAGAGACGTGGGGCCTACTGCAGCAGGCACAGCTCTGAGGCACACCTGAGCCTCAATAGATGCAATCAGCATGGCACTGTGGTATGCTAGAAGTCTGGAATACATGGGACAGTGTTGCTAGAAGGTCAGGGCCTGTGGCAGCTGGCTGGTACTGGGATGTGCCAGAAGCCTGAGGCTCCTGAGAGTTGCCTGCCACTGAGGACTGTCCAGAGCCCAGGATCTCTGAAGTCAGGCTGGCAGTGGTGAAAGATAGAGATTGAGTCTACCACGCAAACCTAAAACCTTGAGCTGTGTGGTACCATCTGGTACTGAGGTGGGTCTAGAGGATTAGTCTGTGAATTGCAGCCTGGATTCTGCAGTTGTGGGGTCTGCCTGGTGCTGAGTTTTACTGTGGTGGACTCAGTGTTGGGATCCAGCGGAAAATCCTGTGCTTACTTTCCTCTCTTCCTGCCAAGTGGAGAGTATGTCTTTTCATGCTCTGCTGCCTGGAATTGGAAAAGAGGTGATTTGGATAATGTAAAACTGTCCTTCCTATCCTCTTCAACGTATCTTTTATTATTATTGTGCTACAACCAGACACTGTGATCTTTCATCTGGTTTTCTTAGACGTTGTAAAGATATTGTGTGCATGGACCAGGTATGGAGGCTCATGCCTGTAATCCCATTTTGGGAGGCCAAGGCAGGAGGATTGTTTGAGCTCAACAGTTTGAGACCAGCCTGGGCAATATACTGGACCTCACCTCTACAAAAAAAAAAAAAAAAAAAAAAAAAAAAAATTAATTAGCTAAGTTTGGTGGCACGCACCTGTAGTCCCAGCTATTCCAGAGGCTGAGGTGGGAGTATCGCTTGAGCCTGGGGAGGCAGAGGTTGCAATGAGCCATGATCATGCCACTGCAGTCCAGCCTGGGTGACAGAGCGAGACTCTGTCTCAAAAAACAAAAACAAAAACAAAAAAACCAGCAACTATGGTTGCTAACAGAATAATTTAGTTTACTGTCCAAGAAAATAAATATATCCCACTTGGATGCCAGGTAATGTAAACTGGTTAAAACTTCCCTAACACAAAATATGCTGAATATTTCATCTCTACCTTTTAATTAAGGCAACATTAAAATATTAGTTTTCTGACTTAAGATAGCTACAGTTACAGAAATAAAATACAGTTGGGATATACTTTTCACTTATTTAAGCTAACCTAACTTCTGATCAAGTATATATTACAGAGAGCATATGGAAGATTCCACTGGAAAGCAGTCCAACTTCTGTATAAATCCTCAAAATAAATTTTCTAGAATTTATTTTATATCATTGAAAATTTTTATTTATATGGAAATATTTTCATTAAATCTAAACCCTGAAAGCAAATGTTTTTATACATTTACAAAAGATTTGGTTTTTAGAATATCTTTCAAGTGAAAGATAGTCATCTGAAAGAATTGCCATTGTAGACAACCTATCCACTCTTCTCTTTCCTGTTCTTTGCTCTGGAAGGCCAACATTTGTGAGCAATACTGAGCTCCCTTGCACTGTGGCTTCCAGTTGGGTTTGATTAATAAAGATCGCTAACATGAGATCAAAAGAAATAAAGTGAGATTATGGTATTTATACCACAGATTTTCTGATCTCTCAACCAGAAGTCACATCTCATGTCAGGCAGCCCTCTCCCCCAGACTTCTATGTCTCTGGATGCCAGGTATATTTTTTTTCTCATGTCAACTTCTCACCTGGGTGATAATCTCGGCTCCAGATACTGTTACCTCCCTTTCCCCTTCTTGTGTGGTGTGGTAATAGCTGTTAATTAGTTCTGGAGCATTACAGTATCACTTGTAGTTTCCCCACACCTTACCCACAGTAAACACCCTCTTTATTAAAATAGTATCTAATTACTCAATTAGTATGCATTCTCATTACACTCAAAACATTCAGCTGAAGTTTTCTTCCAGGACTTTGACTGATAACTTTACCTAAAAATCTTGTAATTATGTCACAAATATATGCTTTGATTTATTCTAGAAAATAGGGTTTACACTTAACACAGTATTTGGCTTTTGTTCATTATTAGTGCTTCAGTGTTTTCTGTTGCCACCTTTCTTCCCTTCAGTTCTATCAAAATGTCTAATGCCTGGTCCCGTCCCTCTATTGCTTTACATGCTTACAAGTAAAAGCTACTGAATCGTGTTAATGTGATAGTTGGTTGGCTCATGTATTTTCAGGTTGACAGGCCTTTTCTGGAAGTAATGCCTTAATTCAAAGAATTATAGTAGATTTCTGAGAAAGTTACCCCAAATTTTATGAAAACATATTTACTTGGGCAAGATGGTCAAATAGAAGCATCTAGCAATTCTCCCCACTTCAGGAACACTAAATTGAAAAACTACACAAAAAAGAACCTTCATAACAACCAAAAATCAGGTGAGCAAACGCAGTACTTGGTTTTAACATCATATTAAGGAAAGAGGCGTTGAGGAGGGTAGAAAAGACAGTCTTGAATAATGTACACCACTCTTCCCTCATCCCCTGGTAGCAGCCACCTGGCACAAAGAGAGAATCTGTGTACTAGAGAGAGGGAGAGTGCAGTGACTGTGGGACTCAGTGCTGCCTTGTAGCAGTGGAAAGCAATATGGGGCAGAACTCAGCTTGCACCCACAGAAGGAGCATTTAGACCAGCCCTAGCCAGAGGCAAATCATCCAGCCCAGTAGTCAGAACCTGAGTTCCAGCAAGTCCTGCCACCACAGGCTAAAGTGCTCTGAGGCCCTCAATAAACCTGAAAAGCAGTCTAGGCCACAAGGACTGCAATTCCTAGGCAAGCTTTGGTGCTGTGCTATAGTCGGAGCCAGTGGAGTTGGGGTGCATGCAACCTAGTGAGATACCAGCCAAGATGACCAAGGGAGTACTGGTGTTACCTCTTCCCCAACCCCAGGCAGCATAGCTCATAGCTTCAGGAGAGGTCTCTTCCTTCCACTTGAGGAGAGGAGAGGAAAGAATAAAGAGGACTTTGTCTTGAAACTGGGATACCAGCTCAGCCACAGTATAATAAGACACTAGGCAGAGTCCAAAGGCCCTGTTCCAGGCCCCAGCTTCTGAAACTGAATAATATTTCTAAACACATCCTGGGCCAGAACAGAACCCACTGCCTTGAAGGGAAAAAAACAGTACTAGCAGAATTTATTGCCTCCTGACCAAGGAGCCCTTGGGTTCTGAATAATCAGCAGTGGTAGCCAGGCAGTACTCACTATGGGATTTGGGTGAAACTCAGAGCCCTGCTGACTTCGGATATGACCCAGCAAGTTCCCAACTATGTTGGCTGCCTGGAGAGATCCATTCTGCTTGAAGAAAGGAGAGGGAGGAGTAAAAGAGACTTTGTCTTGCAGCTTGGATGCCAGCATGACCACGGTGGAGTAGAGCACCAAGCAAGCTACTGAGATCCCCAGTTCTAGGCCTTTTTTCTTGGATGGCATTTCTGGAACTTCCCTGGCCCAGAGGGGAGCTCACTGCCATGAAAGGAGAGACTTGGGAATGACAATATTCATCACAAGCTGACTGAAGAGTCCTTGGGCCTTGAGTGAACATCAGTGGTAGCCAGGTAGTACTTGCCAGGTGGTGGTGACGAAGGAGGGAGACTCCTCCCTTGACCGAAGGGGAAGAAAGAATGAGGAGGATTTTGTCTTGAGGTTTGGGTGCCAGCTCAGGCTCAGTAAGATAGAGCACCATGTAGATTCCTGTGGTTTTCAATTCCAGGCACTGGCTCCCAGATGGCATTTCTGGACCCATACAGAGCTGGGGAGGGAAGGACACAAGCCTGCCTAGATTTGCCACCTGCCGAATGAAGAGCCCTTGGGCCTGGTGTGAACATAGGTGGTAGCCAAGCAGTGGTCACCATGGGTGTTAGCAAGACCTAGTGCTATGCTGACGTTAAATCTAACCCAGTGCAGTCCCAGTAGTGGTGGCCACAGGGATGCTTGCATCATCTGTACCCCAACTCCAGCCAGGTCAGCAGGGAAAGAGAGGCTCCATTTGTTTAGGAAAAGTAAAAGAACAAAGGTCTCCGTCTGATAACCCAAGAAATTATTTTGGATCTTATCCAAGACCACCAAGATGGCACCTCTATAAGTCTGAAAAGTCCACAGTGCTACTGGGCTTGGGGTAACCCCTAAAGCAGATATGACTTCAGTGACAAAAGAATCAGATTACACACCCAACTCACTTTAAGTATCTGGAAAGCCTTCCCAAGAAGGACAAATACAAAGAAGCCCAGACTGTGAAGATTACAATAAATATTTAACTCTTCCATGCGCAGCAGCTGATGAATATTCATAAGCATTAAGACTTTCCAGGAAAACATGATCCCACCAAACAAACTAAATAAGGCAACAGTGACTAATCCCAGAGAGACAGAGCTATGTGACCTTTCAGACAGAGAATTAAAAATAGCTATTTTAAGGAAGCTCAGCAAAATCCAAGATGACACAGAGAATGAATTTAGAATCCTATCAGATAAATTTAACAAACAGATTGAAATTATTAGAAGCAATCAAGCAGAAATTCTGGGGCTGAAAAAATGTAATTGATGTACTGAAGAATGCATCAGAGACTCTTTTTTTTTTGGGTACCAAATTTCTTTATTTGAAGGAATGGTACAAATCAAAGAACTTAAGTGGATGTTTTGGTACAACTTATAGAAAAGGTAAAGGAAACCCCAACATGCATGCACTGCCTTGGTGACCAGGGAAGTCACCCCATGGCTATGGGGAAATTAGCCTGAGGCTTAGCTTTCATTATCACTGTCTCCCAGAGTGTGCTTGTCAAAGAGATATTCTCCCACGCCAGATTCGGGCGCTCCCATCTTGCGCAAGTTGGTCACGTGGTCACCCAATTCTTTGATGGCTTTCACCTGCTCATTCAGGTAATGTATCTCAAGTCACACAAATGGGGGTCATTTTTGTCAGTGGCCAGTTTGTGCAGTTCCAGTAGTGACTGATTCACATTTTTTTCCAAATGTAATGCACACTCCATCGCATTCAGCCCGCTCTCCCAGTCATCACAGTCTGGTTTCTTGATATCCTGAAGGAAGATTCGGCCACCTCATTGGTTCTGCAGCTTCATCAGTTTCTCAGCATGTCCCCTCTCCTCATGAGATTGGTGAAGAAAGTATTTGGCAAAGTTCTTCAAAGCCACATCATCGCGGTCAAAGTAGTAAGACAGGGACAGGTAAACTTAGGAGGCGTAGTGCTCCAGGTTGATCTGGCGGTTGATGGCGGCCTCTGAGTACTGGTGGTAGTTCTGGCGCACCTGCGAGGTGGACGCGGTCGTCATTGCGGCGACTAAGGAGAGGCGGCGGCGGCGGCAGTGGCTGCGCCGCGCTGGAGCAGCGGCGGGAGCCTTGGGGCAGTCCCAGGGCGCCGTGAAGAGGTGACGGAGGGCTGGCTATGGGCGAAACCCCTACGACTCTCGGCGAAGAACGTCTCTCATCAGAGACTCTTAATAGCAGAGTTGACCAAGCAGAAGAATTGGCGAGCTTGACGACAGGCTATTTGAAAATATCCACTCAGAGATAATAAAAGAAAAAGCATGAAGCATGCCTACAAGATCTAGAAAATAGCCTCAAAAGGGCAAATCTAAGAGTTATTGGCCAGTAGAGAGAGAGATAGCAGAGTAGAAAGTTTATTCAAAGGGATAATCACAGAGAACTTCCCAAACCTAGAGAAAGACATCAATATTCAAGAACAAGAAAGTTATATAAAAACAAGCAGATTTAAACCTTATTAAATAAGACTACCTCAAGACATTTAGTAATCAAACTTCGAAAGGTTGAGAATACAGAAAGGATCCTAAAAGAAGCAAGAGAATAAAAACAAATAACATGCCAAGAACCTTCTATATGACTGGCAGCAAATTTCTCAGTGAAAACCTTAAGGGCCAGGAGAGAGTGGCATGACATAGCTAAAGCACTGAAGGAAAAAGTATTTTATCCTAGAATAGTATATCCAGTGAAAATATCCTTTAAAAATGTGGGAGAAATAAAGACTTCTCCAGACAAACTAAAATAAGGGATTTCATCAATACCAGATCTGTCCTATAAGAAATGCTGAAAGAAGTTCTTCAGTCTGAAATAAAAGGATGTTAATGAATTAGAAATCATTTGAAGGTGAAAAACTCACTAATAATAGGAAGTACACAGAAAGAGAACAAAAAAACACTGCAATTTTGGTGTGTTAACTACTCATATCTTGAGTAGAAAGATAAAAAAGATGAACCAATCAGAAATAACCACAACTTCTTAAGACATAGACAGTACAATAAAATTTAAATGCAAACAACAAAAAGTTTAAAAGCTGGGGGATGAAGTCAAAGTGTACAGTTTTTATTAGTTTTCTTTCTGAGTGTTTGTTTATGCAGTTAGTGATAAGTTATCATCAGTTTAAAATAATGGGTTATAAGATATTATTTGCAAGCCTCGTGGAAACCTCAAATCAAAAACTACAACAGTTACAAAAAAAATAAATAAATAAAAGGCAAGAAGTTAAAACATACCACCAGAGAAAATCACCTTTGCTGAAAGGAAGACAGAAAGAAAGTGAAGATCACAAAACAACCAGAAAACAAATAACAAAATGGCAGGAGTATGTTTTTACTTATTAAAAATAAGATTTAATGTAAATGAACTAAACTCTCCCGTCAAAAGACATAGAGTGGATGAGTGAATAAAAAAAAAAAAGACCAAATGATCTGTTGCATGCAAGAAACACACTTCACTTACAAAGACAAACATAGCCTGAAAATAAATGGATGAAAAAAATATTCTATGAAAATGCAAACTAAAAAAGAGCAGGAGTAGCTATATTTATATCAGAAAAAATAGATTTCAGGACAAAATTTATAAAAAGAGACAAAGAAAGACATTACATGATTATAAAGGGGTCAATTCAGCAAGAGAGTGTAACAATTGTAAATATGTATGCACCCAACACTGGAGCACACAGGCATATAAAGCAAATATTATTAGAACTAAAGAGAGAGATAAATCTCAATACAATAATAGATGGAGACTTCGACACTCCTCTTTCAGCATTGGAGATCATACAGACAACAAATCGACAAAGAAACATTAGACTTAATATGCACTATAGACCAAATGGATATAATAGATATGTATAGTATATTTCATCCAACTCATGCAGAATATACATTCTTTTCCTTGGCATGAATATCTGGATAATTCTCAAGTATAGACCATAGCTATTTTTAATTATCTGTTTGAGTTTTAATACACAACAAAACAAGTAGTAAAAAATTCAAAAAAATTGAAATCAAATCAAGTACCTTCTCTGAACACAGTGGAGTAAAACTAGAAATCATCACCAAGAGGAACTCTGGAAACTATACAAACATGGAAATTGAACAATATGCTCCTGAATGACCAGTAGGTCAATAAAGAAATTAAGGAAATTTAAAAATTTCTAGAAACAAATGAAAATTGAAACACAACAAAACAAAATCTATGAAATACAGTGAAAGGAATACTAAATGGAGATCTTATAGCAATAAGTAGCTACATGAAAAAGGTAGAAAAACATCAAATAAACAACTATGCATCTTAAAGAACTAAAAAAGCAACAGCAAACCAAATTCAAATTTAGTAGAAGAAAAGAAATAATAAAGATCAGGGCAGAAATAAATGAAATTGAAATAAAAACAACAATACAAAAGATAAATGAATTATGTTTTAGTCTGTTCTCATGTTGCTAATAAAGACGGACCTGAGACTGGGTAATATATAAAGGAAAGAGGCTTAATCAGCTCACAGTTACACATGCCTGGAGAGGCCTCACAATGATAGCAGAAAGTGAATGAGGAGCAAAGTCATGTCTTGCATGGCAGCAGGCAAGAGTCCTTGCGGAGGGGAACTCCCATTTATAAATCCATCAAATCTCATGAGACTTATTCACTACCACAAGAACAGTATGGGGGAAATTGCCCCCATGATTCAATTATCTCCACCTGGCCCCACCCTTGACACGTGGGGATTATTACAATTCAAGGCAAGATTTGGGTGGGAACACAGCCAAATCATACCAAATTAAAAAGTTGGTTTTTGGAAAAGACAAATAATATTGACAAACCTTTAACCAATTAATTAAAAAAGAGAGAAGACGCAAATAAATGAAATCAGAGATGAAAAAGGAGACATTACAATTAACACAGCAGAAACTTAAAGGACCATTAGAGAATACTGTGACCAATGATATGCCAATAAATAGAAAAACCTAAAATAAATGGATAAATTCCTAGATATGTAAAATGTAACAAGATTGAACCACAAAAAAATCCGAAACCTGAACAGACTAATAACAAGTTGTGAGATCAAAGCCATAATAAGAATTATCCTAGAAAAGAAAGGCCCAGGACTCAATGACTTTACTGCTGAATTCTACCAAACATTTTAAAAAGAACTAATGCCAATTCTACTCAAATTATTTCAAAAAGTAGAGGAGGAGGGAATACGTCCAAACTCAGTCCACAAGGCCAGAATTACTGAATCCAAAACCAGACAAAGCCACATCAGGAAAAGAAAACTACAGGCCGAAATTCCTGATGATTATTGATGTAAAAATCCTCAACAAAATACTAGAAAGCCAAATTCAACAACACATTAAAAAGCTCATTCATCATGACCAAGTGGAGTTTTTCCCAGGGTTGCTGGGATGGTTTAACATACACAAATAAATCAATGTGATACATCGTATGACAGAATAAAGGACAAAAATTATATGATCATTTCAATTGATGCTGAAAGCCTTTGAAAAAATTCAACACCCTTTCATGATAAAAACCCTAAAATAACTGGGAATAGACGGAACATATCTCAACACAATAAAAGCCATATACAACAGACCCACAACTGGCATCATTGAATGGGGAACAACTGAGAGCCTTTCCTGTAAGACCTGGAACACAACAAGGATGCCCACTTTCACCATTGTTATTCAACATCATACTAGCTAGAGCAATCAGACAAGAAAGGGAAATAAAGCATATCCAAATTGGAAAGGAAGAAGTCAACTTATTCTTAATTGCAGATGATATGATCTTATATTTGGAAAAACCTAAAGATGCCACCATAAAACTATTAGAACTGGTAAATTCAGTAAAGTTTCAGGATACAAAATCAACATAAAAAAATGGTAACATTTCTATAAACCAACAGCAAACAATCTGAAAAATAAAGTAAAAAAGTAATCCCATTTACAATAGCTGTAAATGAAATAAAATACTCAGGAATAAATTTAACCAAAGAAGTAAAAGATCTGCATAATAAATACTGTAAAACATCGTGTTCATGAATTAGAAGAATCACTATTGTTAAAATGTCCATACTACTAAAATCAATCTACAGATTCCATGCAATCCCTGTCAAAATAATAATGACATTCTTCACAGAAGTAGAAAAAACAATTCTAAAATTTATATGGAAACACAAAAGACCCAGAATAGCTGTAGCTATCCTGAGCAAAAGGAACAAAACTGAAAGAATCACATTACCTGACTTCAAATTATACTACAAAACTATAGTAACCAAAACATCATGGCATTGTTGTAAAAACAGACACATAGATGAATGAAACAGAATAGAGACCTAGAAATAAATCCATACATGTGCAGTGAACTCATTTTTGACAAAGATGCCAAGAACATAGGTATTGGAAAGGGACGGTACAGTCTTCAATACATGGTGCTGGGAAAACTACATGTCTATATTCAGAAGAATGAAACTAAACTCCTATTTCTTTCCATATACAAAAATCAAATCAAAGTGGATTAAAGACTTAAACCTAAGACCTCAAACTGTAAAACTACTATAAGGAAACTTTAAGGAAACTCTCCAGGACATCGGATTGGGGAATGATTTCTTGAGTAGTACCTCACAAGCACAGCCAACCAAAGCAAAAATGGACAAATGGGATCACATCAAGTTAAAAAGTTTCTTCTCAGTAAAAGAAACAATCAACAAAGTGACATCCCACAGAGTGGGAGAAAATACTTGCAAACTACCTATCTGACAAGGGATTAAAAACCAGAATATACAAGGAGCTATCAAACAATTCTATAGGAAAAACTCTAATAATCTGATTTTAAAATGAGCAAAATATCTGAATAGACAATTTTCAAAAGAAGACAAATGGCAAACAGGTATATGAAAAGGTTCTCAACATTGTTGATCATCAAAGAAATGCAAATCAAAATTACTGTGAGATACCATCTTACCCCAGTTAAAATGGCTTTTATCCAAAAGACAGGTGATGATTAATGCTGGTGAGGACATGGAGAAAAGGGAACTCTCATACACTGTTTGTGGGAACTAAAATTAGTGCAACCACCATGGAGAACATTTTGAGAGTTCCTCAAAAAAAGTTAAAATATAACTACCACACTTGTCAGTAATCCTACTACTGGGTATTTATCCAAAGGAAAAGAAATCTGTATATCAAAAGGATGCCTGCACTGCCACGTTTGTTGCAGCACTGTTCACAATAGCCAAGATTTGGAAGCAACCTAAGTGTCCATTAATGGACAAATGGATAAAGAAAATGTGGTGTATACACACAATGGAGTACTATTCAGTCATAAAAACAAATGAGATCCTGTCATTTGCGGCAACATGGGTGGAACTGGACATTATGTTAAGTGAAATAAGCTAGGCACAGAAAGACAAACTGTGCATATTCTCACTTATTGTGGGAGCTAAAAAATTTTAAACAATAGAATTCATGAAGATAGTTGAATGATGGTTACCAGAGGCTGGGAATCATAGTTGTGGTTGGAAGTCAGAGTGGAGATAGTTCATGGGTACAAAAATATAGTCAGATAGAATGAATAAAATCTAGTATTTGATAACACAATGGGGTGACTAGAGTCAACAATAATTTATTGTACATTTTTAAATAACTGAAACTGTATAGATTGTTACACAATGAAAAGATAAATTCTTGAGGTATGTGTATCCCTTTTACCCCGGTGTGATTATTACTCATTTTATGCTCATATTATATTATCACATGTACCCCATAAATACATATACCTACTATGTATACAAAAATATTTTTTAAACATACTTGTAGACCAAAGAAGCTCAATCAGTTACAAGATAATTAAATTCAAGGAAAAAGTACATCTGAAACATGATGGTCGATATTCTGAGAACCATGTATAGAAAGAAAATCTTGAAAGCAGCCAGAGATAAACGTATGCTAAAACAGGAACAACAATATGAGTGACAACTGACTTCTCAGAAATGATAAATGTCCAAAGACAAAGGAAGTAGGTTTTTAACATACTATAAGGAAATACTCTCATTTAGGAAATCCACATCCAGAGAAATTCATCCTCAAAAATGAGAGTAAAACAAAGATAATTTCAGATAAACAAATGCTAAGGAAATTTGTTGTCAGCAAACCTGCACTAAAAACAAAATGCTAAAGGGCATTCTTCAGACTAAACAGACATGATAACAGATGGGAATTTATATTAACAGGAAGGAATAAGTCCCATAAATGATAAATAAATGAATAAATAAAAAAGACTATTTTTTCTTCTTCATATAATTTTCTTAAAAGACAATGACAGTTTGAAATAAAATTAGTAACAGTGAAAGGTAGGATTTATAACACATGAAAAGTAAAATATGTGACAACAATAGCACAGATGATAGGAAAGGTAAGTGGAATTATATTGTTGTAAGATAATTATTTTTGTGAAGTTGTACATGGAAAGTGTGAAGTGACAGTTGCGAGATGGGATATGGTACTATATTGAGTCTAAACAGACCTTGATGAGTCAAGGATGCATATTGCTAACTTTTAGGACAACTGATAAATGTAATAAAAAGAAGACATCTAGGAAACCAATAGACAAATAAACTGGGGTTTTAGTCCATTGAGTCTGCTATAACAAAATACTATAAACTAGGTAGCTTATAAACAAAAGAAATTTATTGCTGTAAAGTTCTAGAGGCTGCGAAGTCCAAGATCAAGACACTAGCAGACTCAATGTCAGGTGAGGACCTGTTTCCTGGTTCACGAATGTAGCCTTCTAATTGTGACTTCACATGGTAGAAGGAATAAAGCAGCTCCCTGGGGCCTCATTTATAAGGGCAGTAATCCCATTCATGAGGTTTCTACCCTCATGACCTAATTATCTCCCAAAAGACCCCAGCTTTTAACACCATCACCTTGGCAGTTATAATATCACTATATGTATTTTGGGAGCATAAAAACATTCAGACAATATCAAGTGGAATACTGAAAATATCATTTTAATAAAAAATAAAGCAGGAAATAAGCAACAGGGAAATAAAACTAAAGGTAAATGGAAAATGAATTCAAAAGTAATAAACAAATCCAAACATAGAAATAATCACATTAAATGTAAATGGATTAACATTCCAATTAAAAAGCAGACTAGATAAGAGGAATATCTAGTGTCCTATAGCACTATAGGTGACTATAATTAAAAATAACTTATTGAACATTTTCAAATGTATTTAATATTTGATATGGTCTATTATAGGGTGATTATAATTAAAAATAATTTATTGAATATTTTCAAATAGTTGGAAGAGCAAATTCTTAATGTTCCCAACACAAAGATATTCTAAATGTTTGAGATGATAGATATGCTAATTACACTATTTGAGCATTACACGTTTTATCCGTATCAAAATATCATACTGTACCACATAAATTATGTAAACTGTGTCAATTGAAAATAATAATAAAAGCAAATAAAAATATTACAGTGGAGATTTATGTATCTCCTATATATACCCTAACCATATACAACTGTATGATATATACATATGTGTATAAATCCTAATGCATAACAAATTTTGTAAATACAATATTTTGTTTGAAAAAGAGTATATATTCTTTATTTTGAGGTATAGAATTCAATATATAATAGATTATACTTATTTTTAATTTAAATGTTCTATGTATTTATTTCTTGTATATGTTATCTATTGATTTCTGAGTGGCATACTAGAATCTCCTATTACAATTATACACATCACAATTATTCCTTGAAAATAAAGAGTCTGTGCTTTGTTAAAAAAAGGTCAGAGACTATTAGACTTAATAAACAGGGTGATTTAACCGTATGTTTTTTGACAATAGATACACTTTAAATATAAAGACACAAATAAGTTAAAGGAAAAAAAACACACCATGCAAAGAGTAAGCATAAGAAAGCTAATGTGTCAATATTAATATCAATACAAAGAGTATTATAAGACATAAAGATAAACAATTCATAATGATAAAAGAGGTAATTCACCAATAACATGTTAATTCTAACTTTTTGTGCACCTAGTAACAAAACCTCAATGTTCATGAGGTAAAAACTAACAGAAGTAAAGAGAAATTGTGACTAACTCACAATTATATTTGGAGATTGAAATACCTCTCATTCAGTAATTGAAAGAAAAATATATAGATAAAATCAGTCAAAATATAGTTTGAAATGCGTTATCTAACAACTTGATCTAATTGACATTAAATAATTCCATACGCCAAAACTACAGAACACTTACTCTGAAAGCTGCAATTGAAAGAATACACACAAAGTACTTATCAAGATAGGCCATGTGAAAAGTCATAATATAAGTTTTAATGAAATTGAAAAGATTGGCTATATTCTATGGCTATAATAAATGGAATAGGAAATTAATAGCAATAAGAAATATAGAAATTCCCCAATACTTGGAAATTAATTAACACACTTCTAAATAACAAGGAGGTCAGAGAAAAAAATCACAAAAGAAACAAAAAATATTTCTAACTAAATGTTAATAAAAGTACAATATATCAAAATTTGTGGCATTTAGCTGAAACAATGCTTGAATAAAAGTTATACTTTTAAATGACTATACTAGAAGAAAGAAAGCTTTTAAAACAGTGACATAAATTCCTACTTAAGAAGCCATAAAATGAAGAAGAAACAATGCAAAGTCAGTAAAAGGAAAGAAATAATACATACAAGAGCTGATACCAGTAAAAATAGAATATAGAAAACATTACAAAAAAACTAAAAAAAATGCTTTCTTTAAAAAGATTAATAAAAATCAATATACCTACACAAAACTAATTAAGAATTAAAAGAGAAAGAAATGCACAAATTACTAACATCAAGAATGATATGAAGGATATCACTGCAGGTCATAAAGACATTAGAAAGATAGTAAGGGACTACTATAAATAATTTTATGCCAATAAATTTGGAAATTTAGATGAAATTGACAAGTTCTTGAAAAAATAGCACTAAAACAGATATAAGAACAAGTAGCAAATATGAATAGTTTGAAATCTACTAAAGAAATTGTATCTGGGGCTCAAGATGCCTGACTAGATGCAACTAGAATGTGCCTCCTCCATGGATAGGAACCAAAATAGCAAGTAGATATTCACACTTCAAGTAGATTGTCTAAGAGAGTACACTGGGACTCAAAAGAGAAGTGATGAGAAGCACCAAAAGCAAGTAAGACGAGGGAGGTGAGAAATCCTTCTTGGCTGGGATTGGTTGGGAACTGAGGGAAGCTCCCAGACATGGGGAAAGGGTAAGAGATATATCCTCAGCATTCCATACTTGCATTATAGTCTTTTACAGTCTTAGCCATGAGAGAACCCCTTGAAACATGTGTCAAAACTGACACAGGGAGTAACCTAGAGATTACACAGAGGCGTTGTTCCAGAGAGGGAACTCCTGCAGATGCCCATAGGCTTTTGAGCCCTGAGAAACTGCAGCTTGGTGCCATTCTGAAATCCAAGGCCCCAGAGGACTGCATCCTGCTTTGAGGCTGATGCCACCCATGCCATCAATGAAAGGGGGAGAGAGGAAGCTGGGGTCTTTTACAAACTTCAAGGACAAATCCCACCACTGCTGCTGCAGGGTTCTGGAGAACTGAGGTGCAAGCAAACCACACTCCCCACAGCTACCTGCCTACACTGCTCCTGCTGAAAGGGGCTCCACCCCATGCCCTGGTGATAAGTCCATCTGCAGCTGGCACCATTCCAAAAGCCTAGCCTCCAGAGGTCTGTGTCCTGCCTTGGGGGCCTGGATCTGGGTTGCTGTTGCTGCTGCCACCACCAAGGCAAGGATGGAAAGGGCAAGCCAGGTGTTTTCACATGTCTTGAGCACAAATCCCACCAACATTGATGTAGGCTGCTGTGTGATTGAGGCATGAGGAAACTGCATGTTCCCAGCTATCTCCCTATGCTACTCCCACTGAGAGTGACCTCACCTCAGTCACTGGAGGAGTGATCTTCCCAGTGGCAGATCCACAGCACCACTGCCACTCGCCATACCTCAGCATTCCACTAACAGCCTGGGAATCACCCTGCCCCTGCCTATGACAACAAGCACCTGAACACACTTCAAAACAGCCTAAGTCTGCTGGCTCAGTCCCATCCTCTCAGTAATTCAGTATGCTGTCCAGGGGCCTGGAAATCACTCAGCACAGTCTACCACCATTGGCACATGAACACTTCTCCCAGGGTCTAAGGACAGGCTGACATAACATGCTAATACCACCAGAGCTGGCACTCACCCAGATGTACCACATCAGGCCAGGAAGCAGAAACTACCAACATCCCAGCAAACCATGTGGAGGCCCCCAAATCAGACTGCTTGGGCCTAACAACACAAGTGCCAGCATAAGCCAACCTGGGGCCAAAGGACAGGCATGATCAGCTAATCACTGCCACCACTGAGGCCCCATGACTGGACCATCTGTTATCCTGGTCCCCAGCAAAACTTCATCACAGCCAGCATTAATAACTGTACCCTAAGCCACCAAGGAAATCACAGCTATTACTGACATTGTTTACAGACAAAGATCCCAGAGATCACACTACTGCATACACCCAAAATCAAAGCCAAAGCACCTTACCCAACTGACAATATATAAATATTTTCAGGAAAACTTCTTCCCATATGAAAGCAGTTGCAAAAAAAAAAAAAATGGAAGAAGTAACTATTATACCAGAAGTGCAGATATCAATGCAAGGACACAGAAAAAAAATGAAACGGCAAAAAAAAAAAAAAAAAAGACACCTCCAAAGGAACACAGTAGCTCTTCAGCAACAGATTTCAATCAAAAAGAAATTAATAAAATCCCTGATAAAGAATTAAAAATATTGATTTTAAGAAGTTCAGTGAGATACAAGAAGATTCTGAAAAACAGTACAGGGAAATCAAAAAAAAATTCAGAATATGAGTGAGAAATTTACCACAGAGTGCCAGATATTTTTAAAAAGAACCAGACTGAAATTCTGGAACTGAAGAATTCATTG
Source organism: Homo sapiens (assembly GCF_000001405.40). Lineage (NCBI taxonomy): Eukaryota > Metazoa > Chordata > Mammalia > Primates > Hominidae > Homo > Homo sapiens. The sequence continues at coordinate 180,884,445 of NC_000002.12, forward strand.
AATGAAATACAAAATATAATCAGAAGTATCAACAAAGGACTAGATCAGTAAATTTCTCAACAAAAACCTTACAGGCCAAGAGAGAATGAAATGACATATTCAAAGTGCTGAAAGAATAAAACTGGCATCCAAGGATACTACATCTATTAAAATCATCCTTCATAAATGAAAGAGAAATGAAGTCTTTCCTATATAAGTAAATACTGAGGGAATTTATCATCACTATACTGGTCCTACAACAAATGCTCAAGATAGTTTTAAGCTTGAACGTGAAAGGGTAACATTTACCATCATGAAAACATATGAAAGTATAAAACTCACTGGTAAGCCAAAGACACCATTGAGGAAGAGAAAAAACTCAAGTGGTACCACTACAGCATACCCCAAAGCACAGTGACAAAAAATAAGAGAAAAAGAGACAATGAATATAAAAAACGACGAGAAAAAATCAACAATATGACAGTAATAAAACCTCACATATCAATAATAACCTTAAATGTAAATAAATTAAATTCTCCACTTAAAAAATACAGATTGTCTAAATGGATAAAAAACATGTTCCAACTATATGCTGCCTACAAGAAACATACTTTACCTGTAAAGACACATACAGATTCAAAGTAAACAAATGGAAAAAGATGTTCCATGCAAATGAAAACCAAAAGTGAGTAGGAGTAGCTACACTGATATCAGATAAAACAGACATTAAGTCAAAAACAGCAAAATGATGAAGATGGTCACTAAATAATGATAAAGGGGTTATACCAGCAAGAGGATATAACAATTGTAAATATATACATACACCCAACACTGGAGCACCCAGATTCATAATGAAAATATTGCTAGATCTAAAGAGAGAAAAAGACATCAATACAATAATAGAAGGGTATTCCAACACCCCACTCACAGTATTAGACAGATCATCTAGACAAATAACTAACAAAGAAATGTGGGATTTAAACAACTTTAGACCAAATGGACCTAACAGACATTTACAAAACATCTTATCCAACAACAGCAGAATATACATTATTTTCATCAGTACATGAAATATTCTCCAGGATGGACCATGTGTTAGGCCACAAAACAAGTCTCAACAAATTTTCAAAAGTCAAAATTATATCAAGTAACTTCTCAGACCACAATGGAATAAAGCTAGAAATCAACACCCAGAGGAACTTTGGAAACTCTACACATACATGGAAATTAAACAACGTGCTCCTAAATGACCATTGGGTGAATGAAGAAATTAAGATGGAAATAAAAAAAAATTTCAACAAATGAAAATGCAAATACAGCATACCAAAAGCTGTGAGATGCAGCAAAAGCAATGCTATGAGGGAATTTTATAGCAATTAATGCCTACATCAAAAAAGTGGAAAGATTTCAAATAAACAAGGTAATGATGCTCAAGGAACTAGAAAAGCAACAACAAACCATCCCAAAATTAGCAGAAGGAAAGAAATAATAAAGATCAAATCAGAACTAAATAAATTAGAGAACAAAAAAAAACAAAGGATTAACAAAATGAAAAATTGATTTTTTTGAAAAAGTAAACAGCATTGATAAACCTGTAGCTAGACTAACCAAGAGAGAAGACCCAAATAAAGAAAAACAGAAATAAAAAAGGAGACATTACAGCTGATAACCACAGAAATACAAAAGATTATCAGGCATTATTATAAACTACAATACACTAACCAACTGGAAAATCTAGAAGAAATAAATAAATTTCTGAATATACAATCTACCGAGATTGAAGAAAGAAGAAATAGAAAATGTGAACAGACCAATTACAAGTAATGGGATTGAATCAGTAATAAAATGTCTTCCAACAAAGAAAAGACCAGAACTGGATGGATTCACAGCCCAATTCTACAAAATGCACAAAGAAGAACTCATACCTATCCTCCTAAAAAAATCCCCCAAAAATTGAAGAGAAGGGAATTCTGTTTAATTCATTCTATGAGGCCAGTATTACCCTAACACCGCAATCAGATTAGAACACAACCAAAAAAGAAAACTATAGGCCAATATCCCTGATGAACATATTTACAAAACTCCTCAACAAAATACTAGCAAACCAAATCCAACAGCACATCAAAAAGATAATACACCATGATCAAGTAAATTTTATACCAAGAATTCAAGCGTGGTTCAATATACTCAAATCAATGAAAGTGACACATCACATCAACAGAATGAAGGACAAACACCATATGATCATCTCAATTAATGCAAGAAAAGCATTTGATAAAATTCAACATTCCTTCATGATAAAAACTCTCAGAAAACTAGGAATAGAAGAAATTTACCTTAAAATGATAAAGGCCATATATGACAAACCCATAACTAACATCTTGCTGAATGGGGAAAAGCTGAAAGCTTTCCCTCCAAGATCTAGGATAAGATAAAAATGCCTTCTTTCACCACTCCTATTCAACATAGTGCTGAAAGTCCTAGCCAGAGGAATCAGGAAAGAGAAAAACAATAAAAGTCATCCAAATTGGAAAAGAAGTCAAATTGTCCCTCTTTGCTCATGATATAATCTTATATCTAGAAAAACCTAGGGACTCCACCAAAAACTCCTAGATCTTACAAGTCAATTCAATAAAGTGGCAAGATGCAAAATCAACATACAAAAATCAGCAGCATTTCTATATACAAAATAGAGAATATCTACTATGGGATATTCTTAGTAGAGAATAGCTAACTGAGAAAAAATCAAGAAGGCAAATCTCATTTACAATAGTCACAAAAAAATTAAATACTTAGGAATAAATTTTAACAAAGGAGGTAAAAGACATGTATAAGAAAAACTACAAAACACTGGTGAAAGAAACTAAAGGGGACACAAACAAATGGAATTACATCCCATGCTCATAAATCAACAATGTATACAGTTAAAGTGACCATACTGCACAAAGCAATCTACAGATTCAATGCAATCCCTATCAAATACCAATGTTGTTTTTCACAAAAATAGAAAAAATAATAGTAAAATTTGTATGGAACCAAAAAGTCTCCTGAATAGCTAAAGCAATTCTGAGTGAAAAGAGCAAAGCTGGAGGCATCACACTATCTGACATCAAAGTATATTACAAGCCTATAGTATCCAAACAGGATGATACTGATGTGAAAACAGACACATACACCAATGGAACAGAAATGAGGATCCAGAAATGAATCCATGTATTTACATCCAACTGATTTTCAACAAAGGTGCCAAAAACACACACTAGGAAAAGGACTCTCTTAAATAAATGGTGCTGAGAAAAATGGATATCCATATGTAAAAGAATGAAACTGAATCCATTTGTCTACCCATATCAAAAATCAACTCAAGATGTACTAAAGACTTAAATGTAAGACTCAAAATTGTAAAACAACTAGAAAAAAGTAGGGAACATACTTTAAGATCGGTCTAGGCAAAGATTTCATGGCTAAGAGCTCAAACGCACAAAAAACTATAATAAAAATAAATAAATGGGACTATATTAAACTAAAAAACTTCTATACAGCCAAGGAAACATTCAAGAGAGTGACCAGTTTTATGGGAGAAAATATTTGTAAACTATTCATCTGACAAAGAATGAATATCCAGAATAACCAAGGAACTCAAACAACTCAACAATAAAAAAAATCTCATTTAAAAGTGGTCTGTGGACATGAATATAAATTTTTCAAAAGGAGACAGACAAATGGCCACCAGGCATATGAAAAAAAAAAATGCTCAACATCAGGAAAATGTAAATTAAAATCACAGTGAAATATTATCTCATCTCTGTTATAATGGCTATTGCTAAAAAGACAGATACTGATGAAGACGTAGAAAAATGAGAACTTTTATAGACTATTGGTTAGAATGTAAATTTGTACAACCACTATGGAAAACAGTATAGAGACTCCTCAAAAAATTAGAAATAGAACTGCCATATAATCCAGCAATCCCACTACTCGGTATTTATCCAAAGGAAAAAAAAAATACGTATATTAAAGAGATATCTGCACTCACAAGTTTATCACAGCACTATTCACAATGTCAAGAATTTGTAATCAACATAAGGGTTCATCAGCAGACGAATGGATACGGAAAGTGTGATATATATATACATATATACAATCAAATACTATTTGTATTTGATGTATACAATCATATACTATTGTGTATATACATACACAATATATATATTGAATATATATATATATATACACAATCAAATACTATTCAGCCATTCAAAAGAATGAAATCATGTCATTTGTAGCAACATAGGTACAACCTGAGGTCATTATGTTATGTGAGATAAGCCTAGCACAGAAAGATGCTGTATGTTCTCACTCATACATGGGAGCTAAACAACAACAATAAAAAAGATCTCACAGAGATAGAAAATAGAATGATAGGAACCAGAGCATGGGAAGGGTGTGTAGGTGAGAGGGGGAAATACAGAGGGATTGGTTAGTGGGTACAAACATATAGCATATAGTTGTAAAAAACAAAAATGCCCCAATATTCAATAGCAGAGTAGAGTCACCATAGTTAGCAACAATGTATTGTATATTTCAAAGTAGCTAAAAGAGAGGACTTGTACCAACACATAGAAATGAAACTCAAGATGATGGCTATTTCAAATACCCTGACCTGATCATTACACATTTTATCCATGCAATAAATATTCACATGTACCCCATAATATGTAAAATATTTTGTTTCAATTAAAAAAATTTTTTAAGAAATTCAACTAGTAATCAAAATGTTCCCAAAAGGAAAACATCAGGCCTAGGTAGTTTAACTCTCAGATATATCAAACATTTAGAAAAAAAATAATAATCTTAAAACATTCTTCCATAAAAACAGAGGTAGAGAAAGCGCTTCTCAATTTACTTTGTGAGGCCATCAAAACTGTCATATAAAATCTGATGAACACATCAAAACAAAGAAAATTAAACATCAATATCCATCATGAATGTGGGCACAAAAATACTCAAAAGTATTAGAAAATTGAATCCAGTGATATATAAGAAAATAATGACTTATATTAAAAAGTAATATTTACACTGGGAATGTAAGATTTGTTCAAAATTGAACAAATTATTCAATTAACAATACAGAAGAAAAGTCATAATCATCACAATAGGTCTAAAATACCTTTTAAAAATTCAACCTTCATTCATTATTAAAAAAAGAAACATCTCAGCCAACAAGGAATATAAGGGAACATCCTCAATCTCATAAAGAAAAACCTTATAGAAAACATATTTCATGATAAAAGTTTGAATGTTTTCTTCACAGCATTGGAGATAAGTGAAGGATATCTGCTCTTAGCATTTCTATTCAATCTTGTGCTGGATATCTTAGCCAAAATAAAAAGGCAATAAAAAGAAATTAAAAAGTCCACATATTGGAAAGGAAAAAGTAAAATATTCTTCATTTTCAGATGACATGATTCTAAGGAACTTATAAGAAAACTACTACAATCAATAAGAGAACTTATGAAAGTTGCAAGATAAAAGGTCAATATCCAGGAATTAATTGTATTTCTACATGCTAGCAAAAAATAATTGGAAATGAGATTTTTAAAATACAATTTTCATGTCTTTCAAAGACATGAAATGCATAGGTATCAATTTAACGAAAGATATGCAGGACCTCTGCACAGAAAATTACAAAACATTGCTAAGAGATATTAAAGATATCTATATAAATGAGAGTTACACCATGTTTATGAATCAATAGTTTGAAAAAAGTGCGTTCTTCCCAAATTGATATGTAATTCAATGCAATATCAATAAAAATTCAAATAGGAATTTTGGAGAAATTGGCAAGTGGATTCTGAGATGCATATGAAAATGCAAAGAACCTAGAATTGCTGAATTATTTTGAAAAAGAACCAAGTAGGAGAGCTTATGCTACCAATCTTAAGACTTGTATAAAATTTCTGTAATTAAGACAGGGTAATAATGGCAAAAAGATAGAAATATAGATCACAGGAATGGAATAGACCATTCTGATATAGAACCACACACATTGCCAACTAATTTTCAGCAGAATGCCTGGTCAATTCAATAAAGAAATAAAAATCTTTCCAACAAATGGTGCTAGAATAACCGGAAATCCATAAGAAAAATTAAAAAAACCTCATGCCATATGCAAAACTTAATTTTAAATAAGTTATAAGCCTAAATGTATAAAATTGTAAGGCTTTTAGAACAAGACATTGCAGAAAATTTTTACAAACTTGAATAAGCAGTTATTTGTTAGGCAGGACACAAAAAAAACAAGCCATTAAAAAAATTGACAAATTAGACTTTATTAAAATTTAAATCTCCTGCTCTTTCAAAGATACCATTAAGAAAATGAAAATGTAAGGCACGGATTAGGATAAAATATTCACAATACATGTATTTCATAAAAGACATAGCCAGGATAAATTTTTTAAATTCTTGAAATAATGTGAAGATAACTCATTTATAAAATGTTTAACATAATTAGTCATCAAGAAATCACAATAAGATTCCACTACAGATTTACTAGAACAACTAAAACTTTAAAACTGGCAACAAATCAGGGTGTGAAGCAACCAGAGCTCTCACACATTGCTGATGAGAATGTAAAACAGCACACTGTGGAAAATAATTTGGCAATTTCATTTAAAGTTCAACATACACTTTCCATAAAACCATCAATTCCACTCCTTAGTGTTTTCCTATGAGAAACAGAAAAATTATTTCCCAAAAGAAGACTTGTACACTGATACTTATAGCAATTTTATTCATAATAGGCAAAACTAGAAATAATACAAATGTCTGTCAACAGGTGAATGAATAAACAAATTGTGACATATTCATATAATGGACTAGTACTCATGAAAGAAAGGCTCCAATTACTGGTACATGCAACAATGTGATTTAATCTCAAACCTAATACAAAAGAGTGCATACTATATGACTTGAATTTGTCTGAAGTCCTAAAACAGGCAAAACTAATCTACAGAGATAAAAATCAGATCAGTGGTTGTACATTGTGCCTATTATGTAGTTTTTTATCCCTCACTCCCCTCCTGCCTTCCTCCCTTCTGACTCTCCAATGTCCATTATACCACTCTGTAAAATGGGTTTACTGCAAAGGGACCTGAGGGAGTGTGCTGGGGTGAAAAAAAATTCTGTGTTTTAAGTGGGTTGGTGGTACTCATTTGAAAGTACATGTGCTTTTCAAAACTCTTTGAACTGTACACTTAAAATATGTGCATTTTACTTCATATAAATTACTTTTCAGTAAAGTTGATTTAAAAATAAAATGAAATTTCTGAATTAAAAAAGGGTTGGGTGAAAATTCATATATCTCAAGAGCAGAAACATAAGTAGTAAAGGCGGTGCCTGATGGATGTAGCCAATTCATCTAATATATTAAGAATATAGATTGAAATTCATGTTGCTGGTGGGCACTGTTAGGAATTGAATACATGATGCTCTGTAAACCTGAACCAGCAGTTTGCAAAAGTAAGTAATCCTTAGTTTATAGGCAATTAGCAATTAGGCATAAAGTATAATTGCTGTTGCTATATTTGTAGTCAAGTGAAATTGTAGTATGATTAGACTAATTGAAAAGTGTAAAAAAATCTGTTGTGTAAACTGTATTTAAAGATTTCTCTCCATGCAAAGGAAATGTTAGCAAGATTAAACGGAAACAACAAAAAAGACTCCCACCTATCTTGAAGATTCCTGATTGTCACCAAACTACTAAAATTATACTAGAGGTTTTATCTACCATTCAGCCAGAGGCACTGTGGCTTACCAAAGCTAAAGATGTTTTAGTCAGAAAGAAGCCATATGCCTTTCAAGTATTAGCAGGCATTCCTAAGGACGTTGCTGAGAGGTTGGCCTCGGAAGCAACTGCTACATCCAGATATGAGTATCTGGGATGCTTACTCAGAAGGATTTGCAGGCTTGTTTTAGAAAAGTCGAACAATTTCAGTGGTTTCCTAAATTAGACTGTTCTCCATACAGTATCAGAGTCATCTCTCTAAAACACAAATATAATCATGCAAACTTTAGCTAACTCCCCGACGTATAGGGGCATCCTAAACTCTTTGGGATAACACACGTGGGTCCTCTCACTATGGCCCCAGCCAATCTTTCCATTTTCATCTCCCTTTTTAATCAGTTCTTCAGCCACTTTGACTTTCTCACCATTTCCAATTATGCCATGAAAAGTCATAAATCAGTTATTATTCCCAAACTCCTCAAATGCTTGGAAAATGCTTAATTATCATCCAGACCCAGATCAAATGTCACTTCCTTTGTGAAAATTTCCTGACTCCCTCAAGAAGAGTATTTCCATCTTTCCAGTTGCAATCTCACTTTGTACAATACCTTCATTGTAATATGTATGTCATCTTATTCAGATTGCATTTTAATATGTCTAACTCAACTATGAAGCTTTGATTAGCTCAAGGCCAGATACTGTGTCTTATTTATCATTAACTTGTCCCGAGCACCATACACAGTACATAAACTCAGTAGCAACTGAATCAATGTCTATTGAAGAATGAATCTCTTGATCAGATATAAATCTCTTTCTTTCAAGGATCAGAAAAATGTAGATTCCCTACACTGAATTTCACCCTCTTACACACCAAAGATTTCCCTGTTTTTAGACCAAAGAGTATACAGAGTTTCCCTCCAGTGCAGGCCCTATTCTCTCCCAGATGTGACAGTGATACAGTCCTGTGCTTTGGAAAACCAAGTTCATTCTTAAAGCTACTATAATAGGAGACTACTATGGAGATTTAGGTTAGACTTTGATATAGGTTGGATGCTTGTCTCCTCCAAATCTCATGTTAAAATGTGGTCCCCAATGTTGGGGGGTGGGGCCTGGTGGGAGGAGGGCAGATCCTTCAGGAATGGCTTGGTGCCCTCTCCACAGTAATGAGTGAGTTCTCACTGTGTTAGTTCACTTCAGAACTGATTGTTTGAAATAACCTGGCATCTCTCTTGCTCACTCTCTTGCCATGTGAAGCACCTACTCCCTTTGCCTTACACCATGAGTAAAAGCTTCCTAAGGCCTCACCAGAAGCTCAGCAGATGACAGCACAATGCAGAGCTGTGAGTCAAATAAACCAATGTTCTTCATAAATTACCCAGCCCCAGGGATTTCTTTATAGCCATGCAAAATGGATTAATACAAACTTCATCTCAGAAAAAAATTATAAGAAGATTTCTATATCAAAACTATTTTGATTACAAAAATAATTTCTTGAAAACTCTGATATCCACAAGTAGATGGTCTCCAAAGTGATTGTGGGTACCTTTCAGACACTGAAGGAATGACGTGAGAAAAGAGACTAATAGGCCAAAGCTGTAAATGTCCAGTGAATTAAAGGGGTGGGTAAAAGAAACTCTTAAAAAGCACAGGAAATTTGAAACTGGTTAATGCCAGTGACAATTGATGAAAATTTAAAGCATATGGATGATTCCCTTGCATCATCAAAAATAGAGGTGAGATTGCACAATTTAAGTAGATCTTGATCTTGCTCTGAAAGCAGACAGCACTGCCCTGCATATCACAAATACACTCCCAATGGACAGAACATATATCTGTTTAGTCAGAGAAAAAAAAATAACATAGAGTTATCCATCTTTGGTTTTCCTGCTGTGCCAAAGCATCTTCAAACATGAAGAGAGCTGCACCTGGGATGCCCTGCTTCTTTTCCCAAGCCTGACATTGTTTCAGTTCTTTCTTGGGAATGCATCCAAGACATGGAGCACAAGGATGTTCTGTACACAATTTAAAACACTTTTATTATAAGAATCAAAAAATGGCTGGAGGTAGGAAACTTATCGTACTCATTGGCACTTCTAAAAATGCACAAAAGACTACATTGTACTGTGCCCAGTAATTATTATTAAGCATTTGTATAGAACTTTATATTTACAAAGTGCTTTGTAGTCCTTTGTGTTATTATTCCTCACAGCAGCCTTATGAGGTAGGTTGGTATTGTTAAATCTATTTTACCTCACTTCAGGAGGTCCCTCTTTGAAGTACTTTGAAATAAAACTTGAAGAATCAAAACCCTTCAGAGTGTCTGGAAGAACAAGGTGAAAAAAAAGCCCCATGGTGAAAGTTTGTGCTAAAAAAGAAATCCCAAAGGGAGCCTGTGTGCTGGAGAAGGAGATCAGAGACCAAAAAGGGAGCTGGAAATTGCATCAATTTGATTTGGAAATAATGGGCAGCCTGAATATAGTGAGATTCATTTATTAAGTTGAGTATGAATATGAGACCTGTTTTCTTTTTGGTTTGTTTAGAAAACCTTGTATCGGGTACTGATAAATTGTAAATAAGCTAAATATTTTTTGTATGGTATCTAGGTGAGACTGGTGATTGCCCTTCACTGTCAATTTCTGTGTTTTTATATCATAACACATACAATCATAAATGAGGAAATTCAGTGCAGTTGGGCACTGGGTTCTGTTACGAATCCAAGAGTTAACTGATCAGCCACAAGAAGAAATTTTTAAATGTTTCCGTTACCTTCGAAGATAAACTTTCTTTATTTCATCTTAAAAATCATTCATATTTGTATGGAAAAAATTTGGAGAATAAATAAAAGTTTGAAAAATTTCACCAATACTCGTAATACCCAAGACAATCATCATTTAAAATGTCAGATTTCCTTCACATGTTTGTCTAAGCATAATTTACATTATTCTGATTAAATAATGTATATAGTTTTGCATACTCCTTTTTATTTTACATTTTAATATAAATATTTTTTCTGTTTTATATAACAAACACTTACAACATGCAGCTCTTCTAAGCCTGGAGAAATATACTTAGTCCTAGAAACTGCAAAGATTTTAGCATCCCTAAAATACTATTACCTTAAAAATATTATTACTTTAAAAATCTGATATGATGACCTTTCTTAATAATGGCAGAAACTGTCATGGTTTCCATAAATGGGATCATCAGTCTCAGAGCTTAGAATACCATCTATGTATATTGATAACTCCCAAATTATATGCTCATGTCTCTCTTTTAAATTCCAGACTTGAATATCCAACTTCCCAGTCAGTCTTTTCATTTGAATGTTTAATGGGCATCTCATACCTAAAACAGCCAAACTGAAATTCTTTTTCTTTATTTTAAAAAAACTGTTAATACATAGTATTTATACATTGTTATAGGGTACGTGTGGTATCTTATTACATGCATAGACTCTGTAACAATAAAGTCAGGTTACTTAGGGTATCCATCACCTTGAGTATTTATAATTTCTATGTGTTGGGAACATTTCAAGTCCTCTCTTGTAGCTATTTTGAAATACGCAATACACTGTTGTTAACTACAGTCATAATACTCTGCTATTGAACATCGAAACTTCTTCCTTCTGCTTAACTGTATGTTTGTACCCATTAAACAACCTCTCAGGCTCTCACACCCTTCTCAGGCTCTGGTTACTAACATTCTACTTTCTACCTTCATAAGATCAACAATTTTTAGCCCCAAAAATGAGTGAGAACATGCAATATTTGTTTTCCTCCATCTGGCTTATTTCATTTAACATAATGTCTTCCAGTTCCATCCATGTTGCTATAAATGGCAGGATTTTATTATTTTTTTATTGCTGAGTAGTATTCTATTGTGTATATATACTGCATTTTCTTTACCCATTCACCTGTTGATGGATACTTAGGCTGATTCCATATCTTTGCTATTGTGAATAGCACTGCAGTAAATATGGGGGTGCAGGTGTCCCTTTGGTATAATGATTTTCTTTCCTTTGGATAAATACCAGTAGTGTGATTGCTGGACTGGATGGTAGTCCTGTTTTTAGTTTTTCTGAGAAATCTCCATACTGTTTACCATAATGGCTATAGGAATTTACATTCCTACCAACAGTGTATAAGAGTTTCCTTTTCTCTGTATCCTTGCTAGCTTCTGATGTTTTTTGTCCTTTTAGTAATAGCCATTCTAACTAAGATGATATTTCACTGTGGTTTTGATTTACATTTCCCTGATGATTAGGGAAATTACATTTCTGTCATACCTCACATCTCATTTATTAGAAAATCTTCTTTGTTCTCTCTTCAAAATCTAACCTCTGTCCACATCACTACCAATACTCCCCAGGTTCAAGTCACCAGTCTCTCTCTAGATTAGTGCATTAGCCTCCTATCTGATCTCTGTTTCTGCTCTTGCTCCTTTAATGCTATCCTTAATCTAGAACCCAATGCAGTTCTGTTAAAACCTATCAGACACACTCATCCTTGCTCAAAACCTTGCAATGGCTTCCCATTTCACTCTCAGTATGGACTTACCAGGACCCACAAGCTCTGCCCCTCACATTCACACTCATTACCTCCCAGACCTCCTCTCTAACTGCTGTCCAGGTTGTCCACTCTATTCCAGACACATTAGGCTCCTCCTATAAATACCAGGCACCCTCCTGCCTTGGGACTTTTTCACTTCTTCCCCCATCCGAAATTCTCTTCCTCCAAACAGTCACTCAGCTCCCTCTCACATCTATTCTCTTCAAAAGGCTTTCCTCTAAAATTTAAAGGCTACTCCACCAATAAGCCATCTGTCTCCTTCCCTGCTTTTTTCTTATTTAGTACCTTAATTTCAGATTAACATACCATATATAGTTCTATTTATCCTGTTTAGTACATATCTTCCCCCGCTAAACTGTAAGCTAAGATATAACAAGAATATAGGGGCATAGATTTTTGTCTGTTTTGTTTGTTGCTCTATTTCCAGCACCTAAAACAGTATCCAATACATGGTGTGTGCCAAATAAATATCTGTTCGATAAATAAACCTTCTGAGATAGAATATGTGGAAATTTCTTAACTGACCTAGCTAACCTAAAAATTAAGGTACAATGCAACGAGCTAAGTAAAAGGTATTTAGAGACAAGACAAAGTAAAGTGGCCTATATGATAATAAGATGACCTGAGGACCACTTGCCAAAGAACTTAATAACTCTTCATGTTAGGAAGAAGTCATTAATATTCAAGATCAATGTTTTTAATATATCTCACTTACCCTTTCTAGGATTCAAGGCAGTGTTGCAGGTTAGATTCTAATAATGGAGCCCTTCTTGCACTGTCAATAGTCACTTGGGAACTTTGCATAGCAAGTAATTTTCCACAACCCTTAGTTTCTCATACCATTTCTTAGAAAAAAACTAATCATAGAAAAAAATTTTATATTGTTAAGATGTCATTATTGAACCATATGCACACAAATATACATTAAACATAAGTAATCATATATATAACAAAATTAATGTTATGCAGTAATCTGTTTGATTTTCAACATGCTTTTATAGTTTATAAAACATGACCATTTGTATCAGGCTCTATTTCAATGTTTAAAACTTAAAAGATTTTTTAAAAGAATCAAATAACTAAAACAAATTTTAAAATAACATTTTTATTAAGTACCTCTGAGAATAAATAGGTAGAATTCATACAAAGTCCAGCGATTCAACAAATTAGTCTTCCGAGGTAGCAAAAAAAGTTTAACTGTATCTACAAAAAAGAATTAGTAAGGTGAAAGTTAACTTATCAAAATCAGTTGTCAAAACAAACTACTCAATAGTTACTTTAATTGCCTATAGTGGAGAAAACCTTCAAAGATTTAGACTTATATATATGACCCAAACAGCTTATTCAGGTGATATTTTAAACCTTAAGAATTAGATGTAAGTGTAAGTAAAACTTAAGATTTCATTTTTATTTACTAACATTGCTCCTCTACAGGGACAATTTCTCACTTTCTCTGAAGGCACTGACACAGATTTTGGTGATTATTGCTGTATGCTGGGCCATATGTTACACGGCAGAGTACAGCATGTGGCAGGCTAATTTGTAGCAATGCAATTTTAGATTTTTGACAATATACACAATATATGAAAACTATCAAGTAACTGAATTTTACCCTGATGAATTATCTATATATGTCACTTCAAAACCCACCCCCTAAAAACAGACTGCATATAATATTATTAAAAAGTAGTACAACTTATGACTGTTAAAATGTTATTCTCAATTTATCATGCAAGACCATATTCAGATTCTGTTGCACAGTCTTAAAATTGCCAATTACTGAAAAAAACCATCACAATGGTAATTTTCCAACCATGAGAAAAGAACAATATGAAAATACTCTACTGAAAATTGATGAAATTGAAGAGAAAGGCCATTATGAAAGTAAAACTTCCAAATAAAATGCTTTCTTTCTTTAATCAGTAATCTTCTTGAATGTATCATATACAGTTAGAATCATTGCTTAGGCATCTACCAGGGCATTAGCGATATCTGTGAATTCTCTTTTAGGTGTAAATTGTTGTTAAAGTGAGGAAAAGAGATCAAATGTTTGTTTCACTCCAATATGATAAAAATTCAATATTCAGTTTTAGAACTGACGATCACAGAGTTAGTATTAGCTAATCATACCATCACATGCGCAGAGCTCTACTGTTCTATAGTAGTCCACCCTTGTCAAACTCTTTAAAAATTCCCTGTTGGCATTGTGGCATGATTGATAATGCCAGGAGGGAGTTTTTAAAGAGTTTGACAAGTAATTTATAATTTGAGGTAAGTTTTAGTTAATTTATACCCATATATACACTAAAATAAATTTGCAACTCTCCATTTATTTAACAAAGATTTATTAAGCTCCTTTTATGTGTTAGTCATTTCTCTATTCCCAGACATTCAATTCAACCAGATAAATGTGGAGCAGGGAAGACAGAATTAAACAAATAATTATAAACTTCCAGTCAGCCATGACAGATTGAACACAATAGTGTATCTCTGCTCCCTCTTGAAAGGCCACTAAAATGACAGTAAAAAATACACAAACTCACCAAGATAAAGAAAATAGGAGAGAACATACAACAGATAGAAAAAGTCAACAAAATTGAGAAAAATGGAAAATAGATGGCTAATTGGCCATTAGCTTAGGTTTCAGCCTTCTCCCCTCTGTTGAGTGCTTAGGTAGGGAGGAGAGGCAGATGCTGGGGGAAGTGAAAGGGAGTGATGAGAAGATAAACCAATTGGTACCTCAGAATTCCACAAAAAGCCTGGGTAAGGCACTAGCTATCTCTGATATCAGACATGTAAGGTGAAACTGAAGGAAATTAGATTTATTTAAAATCTGTATAAAAAATAATTAGACTTCTCTACTCTACTCTAGCCAAGTGGTTTAATTTCTGGAGATGGTGAACCCAAGAGGCTCTGCTGGGAGACAACAAAAATAATGAAGGTAATGGATGAAATCCTGTATGCTCAATGTAAAAATACTTAGCTCCTTTCACTTTAGCTGCCAGAACACTTGTGGTTTTATATTCCATCAGATGGGAAGCTTCTCTTCTCTGAAGAATCTGGAAAGTATATGAGAAAGGTGAGGTTGCCAAAGAAATGGTTTGTCTCATCCAGTCCCTCACAGTGAGTCCCAACAGTTGGAAAATTCCACCAGTGAATGCAAAAATTTCAATTTGTCTTGTAGTGTCTCACTTTTAAATATGAATGAATGGCCAAAAATCACCAGATACAAGTAGAGGGAATTTCACTTCAAAGACAAGGCCAAAGCAAGGAAATAAGCAAATGAAAATGAACCATGCAGGGACTTGAAGAAAATTTGAAGCAACTATAAAAAATCTCTTCAGAGACACAGCATTTACAAAACAAGAATAGAATGCTTTTTTTTTTTTTTTTTTTTTTTGAGATGGAGTCAGGGGTGCAATCTCAGCTCACTGCAACCTCTACCTTCCAGGTTCAAGTGATTCTCCTGCCTTGGCCTCCCGAGTAGTTGGGATTGCAGTCACCCGCCACCAAGCCTGGCTAATTTTTCTATTTTTAGTAGAGATGGGATTTCACCATGTTGGCCAGGTTGGTCTTGAACTACTGACCTCAGGGGACCCACCTGCCTCAGCCTCCCAAAGTGTTGAGATTACAGGTGTGAGCCACCGCACCTGGCCCAGAATGCTACTTTTAAAACAAGTCGAGTAGTATTCAGAAAACAAAAAAGGGCCCTTGAAAATTAAAAATAAGATAATAGTATTTCTCAACCTTGGAAGATAAAGTTTAATAAATTACCCATAAAGTAAAACAAACAAAAAACAAAGGGCACAAAGACAAAGAAAATATTACAAGAAATATGTTTAAACAAAAGAACCATTTCAGAAGATACAAGATGTCTAATAGGAATTCCAGAACAAAAGAACAGAATTAATAAAAGAACAGAAATAAGGGGAAACAAGCTTAACAATGAAAGAATATCAGAAATTTCCCCAGAATTGAATGAAGTACATGAGTTTTCAGATTGAAAGAGCTCAAAGAGTTTTCAATTCAATTAATTAAAACTGACCCACAACAAGATCCTCAATATTAAATTGTAAAACACCAGGAATAAAAGAGATCATAAGAAGAAACCACATGACAGAGAAAAAGCAAACATTTTAAAAGATCACACATAAATAATAAAAAATTAGAATGATATAATTCTCAAGACAATAATGGAGCATTGTCTTTTAAATTCATCTTCAACATGATGGATATGCTAATTACCCTGATTTGATCACCAGACATTACATGTTTCAAAACATCACTATATACCCCATGAATATGCACAATTAATGACCATTAAAAATAATTTTTTAAAAAGTTGAAGTACAAAGACTTTTGTGTATTTTCTTCACATCAGCAATGTATGCTACGTAATTTGCTTAAATATAAAATAGAAATAAGCCTCTCTTAAAAAAATAGTTATCCGCAACCTATAGTGTATACTCAACAAAACTATCAAGCAAAGGTGAAAGTAGGATAAAAAGTTCAGACATTCATTGACTCAGCGATTGATTACAGAGATGCACCCATTCTCAGGAAAGTACTGGAGAACAAGCTCCAGCGAAACGAAGGGTAAAAGCTGAGAAAAAGGAAGGCATGCAATCCAAGATATGCAGAATTAACACTAGAGAACAGCAAGTTTCAGGGCAATGGAGAAGAGAAGTCCCACGATGACAGTTGTGCCCCAGGTATAGAGAACAAGCAGTTCAGATCAAAGAAAGACAGGGGGCACCAAGACAGATGTCAAATGTTCCTAAGTGGGGAGAAAAGTATTGCTGAAAGATAATGGGATATGCCTTACCATACCGAGAGGCATTTTACATAAAGTTTTGGGATGAATTAGAAATAGGTACAAAAGTGATAAACCAACCACATTTTAGAAGTAAAAGCAAATAACTTATCTCAAGAAAAATAGTAGTAAAAAGGTAAAAGAAATGTAACCAAAATACACTCTGTATCTCAGCAGTAAAGATTATTATGAGAATGGCGTATACTAAAGGTTATCTAAACAAATGACTATTTTTCAAATTGGCTAGCTGGGAAATGGTAGTGGGGAATATGGAGGAGTGAGTAGAAGAGATGTAAATCTTAATTTGTTATAACTGAAAGTCAGTAAGTAATGACTACAGTTTAAAAATTCATGAAATTGCAGGATAAGCCCTTTGAGAGTCATGGGACAAGGCACTACTATTTCCTTGTAAATAATACAGCACTATTCGACTTTTAAAACCACATGTAAATATTTTTAAATAAAAATTAAAAGAGTATATGCTAATATAATTATAATAAATATGAAGGAGAAATATTAGAAATCTTGAGCGATTGCTTAAACTAGCTTTAAGTTGATCCAAGTAATACATTACTTTTCTGTTTTAGCTTGGTTCCCTTTGAGGTGAAAATTGTGTGAAAGAGCTTTGGGAGGGAGAGTTTATGGGAACAACAGTAACAAGAGAGTAAAGGAGTCAAGCCTGGACAAAGGAAAAAAATAAACTAAGAAGCAATTGTAGTGAATAACTTGCAAGTAGTCTTGGTACTAAGCTAGACCTCCAGAGATGCCCCAGATAAAACAAGGGGCCAGGGCTTTAACTCCATTGACCAGTCACTGGATGCCAAAGAGGAAGTGTAGCATTGGACATAACATTATGGCAGCTTCCTTTGAAAGAAGAATTCCACTCTGAGCCATTAGCCAACAGTCTTAGCTGCTGAAAATGAGTGCCTAGATTCTGATGGGGGGATTTGGAAGGTAGGCAGGAATATTTACCAAAACCCTTCTGTTATTCACAGATCAAGTTGCAGAGTTTTATTTGTCAATTTTGGGAAATTTAAAAGCTTTTTCATATTTAAAAAAATACAAATTAAAAACACATTTTGAGATAGTAGATAACTTCCAGAGATGGACTACAATTGTTCATTTTCTCCGTAGTGCTACTAAAAGCATACTGGTAACAGTACTTCTGTAAGCTAATCATAAAACGGAATAAAATTTCTCTTGGAAAATGCATTCAGAGTTCCACCCTTGAATGCATGGGGGGGCATGTCTTTTTTACAATAGCCATTTGCCACAGGAGTGGGAAATTCCACTTTTCCTGATGGATATCTATGGGAGCTGCTCCTCCAAAGTCCTGGAAGTAAGAATGTGACAAAATAGGGGAAATAAAGGAGAGAAAAGAGGATTGTAAGCCATCAGCAGTGCAAAGTTTTCCACCCCTCCTTCTCCTAACTTTCCTGCTTCACCCAAGTAGCAACTGTAAGTTCTTCCAATAACTACCATCACCTGGGTGAGCTAAGAAGTGGGAAGAGAAGACAATGCCATCAAGTCAGCTTACGTCGTGTGCTGGGCAACATTTAAATGGAAAAGGATAAAAGAGGAGAAACTCTAAAGTCAGCCAAAACAGAGGGAAGTTCTTAACGCAGGAACAGAAAACAGCAAATACTGTATGTTCTCACTCATAAGTGGGAGCTAAATGATAAGAACTTAAGAACACAAAGAAGAAAACAACAGACCCTGGGGTCTGCTTGAGGTGGGAGGGTGGGAGGAGGGAGAGGAGCAGGAAAGATAACTACTGAGTACTGAGCTTAATACCTGGGTGATGTAATAATATGTACAACAAACCCCTGTGACATGCATTTATGTAACAAAAGTTCACATGAACTCCTAAATCTAAAATAAAAATTGAAAAAAGAGAGGGAAGTTCTTGACTCTACCAAGCTGAACCCATGTTTATGAGAGATATTTATTGCGTTTTAGCATGTAGTTAGTGAGAGTATAATATGTGGCTGACATTATATAAGATGCGAGGAAGGATGCAAGAATAAATCTACTGGATTCAGATATTTGAGCAGGTAGTTAAAATATTGGTGATTGCCTGTGGTAGGAAAACTGAACTTACTCTAACCTCACTAAAGAATGTTGAAGGACGTGACTACTTATGTGTACTGGATACACTGTCAGGGGCAGCCTTCAGAGGTACTGATAAAAAATTGAAAAGAACAAAATCTCAGAGTAAGCCTGACAGAGAACTATGAAAGAAAGAATGTAAGAGTATGCTCCATGTAACTACTGATGCAAATTCAATATCTGCTGACTGTTAAAAGTAGAATGATAACAACTATAGCTTTAATTCCATATAAACAGAGCTGAAAACCCACTATATGTTTGTAGCCACTTGCTGGCTACCTGCATGCATTTGGGGTATTTGGTTTGTTCAACAATAAAATCAGCTAATTCAAAATTTATGAACTGGCATGTTCCTTTGGGTCTTCCCCCCCCCCCCAGTGCTGTATCTTTATAGGTATAACTGAACAATAAGAAAATGTATATGCACACTACTTCAAAATATCAAGGACTTTTCATCAATATTCAACTAGGAAATTCATTCTTCAACATTTAGAACTCCCTTAAGCAGTATAAATCCAATTTTTAGCAAAATGCTATTTCCAACGTGTTTTAAATAGAAAGCAAAATATGTTCTGAATTATCTTAGAATCAAAGGGCATTTAAAAATATTTATTCAATAAACTATAACACTATGTCCTGAGTATATAAAATCAAGCAATTAGATATTAAAAATAAACATGCTTAAGATGTATTTTATGTTTAATGGTCCAAAACATTCAAAATGCCTGACTTCAGAGCATCTCTAGAGTTAACAATAGTCCATATAAGTCAAGTTTCCTTCTTCCAAAATCATAGCTTTGCCTTTTGTTTAATCTGATTCCAATATTTTGCCCTGTCACATTTTCTGCCATTTCAAGACAGGTTTTTGATGGGTTTATCATGGTTATTTTATTTTGGTCACAAATCATCAATAATTCATTTTCAGTTGATTTATCTTATTTATAAAGTGTCACATCAACTATTACCAAAGTTTAGTATTTGAATTCTGATAGCTCTAGTAAATAAAACACTATCTGCCATAGAAGAATTGCTGAGTTCTCATTGGAAGAATTCTCTTTTGATCTAATTGTCTAAATGCAAGGCCTTTAGACAAGCTCAAATTATAAGAAACTGTTCTTACCCTGAGACAAGTTACATGTATCTCATACTTTGATATTTCAGTATGTAAACAGTACACAATTGTTTCTCTTTGTTTTATCATATACACTTCATGTATCTGATCATGTATGGTTCAAATACTTATACAAATATCATGCTGCAAAGCAGAGTCTTCCTCTAAAAAGATGCTTTAAAAATATGTGTGTAATTGCATGCAATTGTTTATAAAATGACCGTCGTGTCAAGGAGGAAAATGCATATCCATTTTGATACCAGTTGAGTATTATACTCTCAGTTATATCAACAGGAGTCTTGTGTTTTGTTACCTAGTAAGAGGCAGGTGGTCTAGCATCCACCCCCTTGAACAACTGGCAGCTTAGTTTACATTTGGCTGAGCAGCTGCTTCCTCCTACTTGAACTAGCATTGCATCACAAAGCACAGTTGTCACTTGTATAACTTGCAACACACTAAGACGAGACCTTATTTCCACGCTCAAGTTATCTGCTTTGTTCACTTTTAGTACCATTTGGAGTTTCATCCAGTTCAAATATTTTTCTTTAACAATACCTAGTATTGTTAAAAATACTTAAGCTTTTCTAAACATTGTTAATATGATGACACTTTAATTCTTTTGTATGTTGTTACAGATAATTTAGAACTCTCAAACTTTGAGTTTGACCTCTATAAAGACACTAAAAAGGTTTACTGAGAATGAATAAACCAAACACTATGCATTGAGAACTATATACTGCTTACTTAAGGGGTAAACATAATGCAATAAGTTTCAAAAACTAAACAGTATTTTCCTAGTATTAATTGATTGATCCATCCCTTCTCCTCATGATACAGTGAAATCCTTAGCCACCTGGGAAATGCTTAGATCTGTGATGAGCTCATACTGACATCTGCTTTCATTGCCTGCTGGATCCCATTCCTGTCTGCTTCAGTATGATCAACTCTTTGTTATCAGGGCTTCTGATAATAAAGGAAGAAATTGTCTAACTGTCTTTCTCTATCTGCTTCATGTCTACTCTTTTAGTACACATTATTCATCAACTGCATTTCTAAGAAGAACAATATTGTGGTAATTTGTTGGAAGTTGTTTGCATAAGCAAACCTCTATACTCTTTGAAAAAAGGTACATTCCCTTCATTCATTCCATTTTTAAGCCTTGACCTACATGGATGATAACTGAGTAAAATGGCTACTGCAGTTGCCAACTTCCTGGGGATGACCCTGCTATGTTGACAATTTTGTATAGATATTTTTGTAAGGTTTAATATAGCAGCTGGAGGAGTTTTCTATCTCACTCTAGCTTTTGGCAAGATAAGAACAGAATAGCTTCCAGGCTTGATATAACATGTTTTAAAGTCTCCCTTATTGTTTATAAGCTTTTGACTTTGGAATCCTCCGGTTTAGACCCTTACACATTACCTTCTGCATCCCAATCCAAGCTCAGGTACCCAAGGTGGTTTTACTATTTAACCTTTTGGTAATGGCTTTCCCAAAGGCTGCCTATGCAGAAGCAGAACAATTCTAAAATTGTTTAGACCATGATATTAGCCAAAGTGATGGTTAATTTTATTTGGCCTTTTGATAACTCGTTAACTACTATAGTCATGTTTGCTAACACATATTAAAAAATCCATTTGATCAAAATTTGATTATTGGACCAAAATTTATTGCTAGATGAGAACCTAGTTAAACTACCCATGTTTGTCCTAAAAAAAAACAAAGGAGAAAAGCATAAAAATAATTTATTTCATTGTCTCCTTTTTTCTCTTACATAAAAATCAACTGGCTGTCAATCAAGTCAAAGACTGGAAACTTTCTAAGGAAAAAGAAGCATTTGCAAACTGAAATGAAGCACAAATCACTTCAATAGCTTAGATTTGTGCTTTGAAAGTGTCAAACTAAACTAATCACTGTAGGAATTGATGGAGTATTAGCTCTGGATTTCAAGTTATTATAATTTTTCAATGTCTGTCTCACATTTTTGGCTATCTGTCAGATATAATTTCCTTGGAAATCCCATCCTCAGCGTTGGTTCTCTGTTTAGAGCCTCAGGGGAACTGCTATAAAAATGAATTAGTCCCATGAAAACAGACTATTTATGGGTGTTTTCTGCATGGTATTTGGACTATAGAATAGACATTCTGTAACCTTGACTTGACAGGAGTACAAAGTGGTAGATGCACAGTGTTGGAGAAGGCAGTGAATATAAACCTACAGAGATGATTCCGCATTGTTCCACCCATCCCAACCCCAACTCAAACATTGAGAGGGAAACATGGCTACTATTTTCAGATTACAAGAAAAATAAATTTACTGCCTGCTCGTTTGGAGATCTATAACCTTTATACTTAGACAGTTTTTTAAAAAGTATAACAGCAATTATTTCTCCCAATTTATTTAATGCCGTTTTTTCATTGCATCCATTAAAATATTTTACTTTTATAAGCAATGATACCAGGAAGTTATCGTTTGAATAGTCTGCTGGAGGAGTAGGGCAAAGTAGTTAAGATCAATTGTTCTTTCAGAAGGCTGCTGCTTTCTAGCTGCATGACTTTGGGTACGTTATTTAACCACTAAACTTCAGTTCTCCTGTAAATTGGAAAAAAAAAAAAAAGACAATGCTGAATTCAAATAACTGAGGATAAATGAGGTAAAGCATATTGAGACTTATTATAGTTCATTATTATTGCTTTATACAAATATGAATTCTACAATGTGTACCTTCTGGTAAAAGTTGTGATGCCCTATTTTATTTTTTAAAGGTTTTCTTAAATTTATGTAAACTTCCAATATCATAAGTTGACAACATGCCAGTTGGCCCTCAGATCTGTTTATTTATTGAATGACTGCTCTCTGGTTTATAAAACAGATATGTTGGAGGTTACAGTCTAGTAGAGACAGATAATAAACAAATATATATACATGAAATGTGAAGAAAATAACCATGGTACAGTGTATTTCTTTAAAGGGTAATTACCCATCATAAATGGTCCAAGAAAGATTCCCTAGAGAATTAGCATTTAAGTTAAGAGCTGAACGATGGTGGTGTCAGCCATGTGACTCATGGAATAAGAGGGTTTTATGCAGCATGGTTAGGTATTGGTCAGAAGTCAGACAGGAAATGGTTAAGCAGGAATGCTCCTGAGTTATTGCTTCTACAGAAAGGATGTCTAATGGTGTTATACTGGAAGTAACACAGTACTGAACACTTTAAAAAAAAATGAGTTGTATTGCAGCTTCCAGCCAGAAAGTTACTTTTCTTGCCAAAAAGGACAATTATAAACTGTAACCCTCTCTAGAGATGAGTGGAGAAGGCTGGGGTTGGAGGTGACTCAGTTAAAAGGACCTGCAGGGTGATCGGAGCTAGTCACCTGCATTTTACAGAACATTTCAAAGGCAAGCAAAGCTTCAGGTTCAATCTGTTAAAGGTCAAACTTTTAGTGTACAGAGCTGGAGAATGAGCTGAAACAACGAAACATCAAGCAGGGCAGCCTGCAAGAGCAAAAATACTATGAAATGCACAGAAAAGGAACTGAAGAACTTGGACAATTGAGAAGAAAAAATGTTTGACATACCCAGAGCACAGAATGTACTCTTGTCTGCAATAATTATCACCCATTTGTAAGAAGGAACTGGAAGCTAATGTCATTAATTCAACAAATATTTATTGTATTACATCCCCGTACAAAGTAAACAAGGAAACAAAGATATTTACCCTCAAGGAACTTACATTGGGGTTGGGAGGGGGTGGGAGAGTACAGGGAAAACAGATTTGCATTGTGTTAAACATAATAAATAAGTAAATGACACAGTGTGTTAGAAAATACTTAGTGCTCTGGAAAAAAAGAAAAGTTGAGTAAGAAGGGGAAGACAAGGCTGGGAGAAGGTAGAAGAGACAGTTTGCAATATTAAATGGTTGTTCAAGCCAGGCCTGCCTCATTGAAAGGGTGAAATCTTCCTTCACTGGAAGGAAGTGAGAGAATTAGTCAAGCAGCTATCTGAGGAAAGAACATTCCAAGTAAAGAATATACAGCCCATACATTGTTGGATGTGTGTACATTGAAATTTTTGTGCAGTAAAATGAATATTTCATTTACCTATATAATTTTACATAAAATAAAATATATTTTGAATGTGAGTTTGTTCCAAACAAATCATTTTCTTGCCTTCAAAACCACTGAGCTTAAAGAACTCTTTCAAGTGTCATTAGAGATAGATTCCAACTACAATCAACATTGTGGAATCCAGAGGAGGCAAAATGAAGGAAGCAGCACTCATTACAAAATGCTGCTTTGTAAAGAATTAATTCTGTCCTGGTATGTTTCACATTAGGTAATATGAAGGAAATGAATATGTCATGAACCCTCCTTGAGGATGTGGGGGAATTAAAAGTAATTTCGCTTAATATCCAACTCTCACTTTTGGCTTTGTAGTCAGAGGGAAACAATGCTTTCCCAGGTTCTAAGGTAAACGTTAAAAGGTTACAAGGAGACTTGGAAGAGTCAAGGAACGCTTCCACCAACTATTCCTGCCATTCCAGTTGGGAGGGTTGTCTGAGGGGAAGTGAAAAATAGTTTATTACTTACTATATTTTTGGTACAAGATCTGTTATATTTTTCTAGATTAAAAACAATTCAGTGAACACTGATCCTTTAAAAAAAAGAACTCGAGGTTTATAAAATGCCTCTAAGGTGGGGGAGTGGGTTAGTGGTAAGAAAAGCAAAACTGTGATGCAATTGTTGAAAAAGCCAATTATTAAGGCATCATTCATGGAACTATAATACCTGATCCTAAAAGTAATATATCCATTATACTTTGCCTCAGTTCTATATGTCTAACTCATCAAGTTAATTTCTGAGAGCTGCATTTCTTAAAAGAGATGTTAAAGGTCAGGAGATCGAGACTATCCTGGCTAACACAGTGAAACCCCGTCTCTACTAAAAATACGAAAAAAAAAAAAATAGCCAGGTGTGGTGGCACACGCCTGTAGTCCCAGCTACTCGGGAGGCTGAGGTAGGAGAATCACTTGAACCTGGGAGGCAGAGGTTGCAGTGAGCTGTGATCGCGCCACTGCACTCCGTCCTGGGTGACAGAGCAAGACGCCGTCTCAAAAAAAAAAAAAAAAAAAAAAAAAAGTATAGTGAGGTTATAGGAGTATGAGTCCAATAATGTTGGGGTACAGAAACTTTACCATATGAGGAATAGTTAACAGAGACAATACAGAGCCTTCAAATATTTGGGGGGCTGTCATAAAAGTTACCAGAGAAGGTTTTAGCACATTCCATATGACAAAATGAGGACTAATGGCAGGCAGTTAAGAAAAACCGATTTGGGCCGGGCGCGGTGGCTCACGTCTGTAATCCCAGCACTTTGGGAGGCCGAGGCTGGTGGATCATGAGCTCAGGAGATCGAGACCATCCTGGCTAACATGGTGAAACCCCGTCTCTACTAAAAATACAAAAAAAAAAAAAAAAAAAAAATTAGCCAGGCATGGTGGCAGGTGCCTGTAGTCCCAGCTACTCGGGAGGCTGAGACAGGAGAATGGCGTGAACCCGGGAGGCGGAGCTTGCAGTGAGCCGAGATCGCGCCACTGCACTCCAGCCTGGGCCACAGAGCAAGACTCGGTCAAAAAAAAAAAAAAAAAAAAAAAAAAGAAGAAGAAGAAAAAGAAAAAAGAAGAAACAGATTTGGAGACAGGGTAAGAAAAACATTCTTAAAATTAGAAATTTCTAGACAAGAAAGTGGCTCATCAGCTAGTGAACTAACCCCTGATTGTAGGAAATATTCAAGCAGAAGGTAGAGGGTGAACTATAGTCACAGTTCCAATATACACTGGAAGCCTAGATAAGATGACCTCTGAAGAATTTTTCTGTGTGCACATTGTTTTATTTTATGATGTATATAAACAAACAAAAGCTAATAAAATCTCCTGTTTTGAATCATACATATTACATAAGAGCGTAAATTTAGGAAACTTGAATGGCACTTTTGTTGATATTATCATTCAAGCTATCATGTGCCAAATTAAAAGTGCTAGAAATGAGATAATACTGCTTAGTGACAGAACTTTTTAAATAGTAGTACTAGTTATTAATGTATTACCTCTCATCTCCACATGCAACCTTTTGGTCCTTTTTTTTGATAACGGGAGCTGGGCTATGCAGACCACACACCTCTGCCAGCTGGTGAAAAGAACCTAAGCAGTCTTAGGTTCTTGCAATAGAGGGTGCTAGAGAGAGACTGCAAGGCTGGAAGAGGAAGAAGGGATTTTCTACTCTTCCCAGTGTTCTATTTTTCACGCCATGGTGAGCAAATCAGTGTGCCAGGGGTCCCAGAGGGCTTACCCAAATAGCAGCAACTCTCCCAGTTCTGCCGCAGTGAAAGGCCTCCATCCGCTTTCCTCCCCAATCCAGCGCCGGGCAGCATGTTCCTGCAGTAGCTGTCCCTCTCATAAGAATCTTATAGGTTTGTGAGAGATCCTTGCTTCTGTTTCTAAGTCCCTTCCGTTTTCACTTTTCCCTAAGTGCTAGGGGTAGCAGCATTTTTTTTTTCAGTTGCTACTTCTAAATACCTTAGAGTTCTTACCATTTTTAATAGTTAACCATCCTATACCTAATGGATAACTAAGATATTTACGTTTTTGTGCTCAACTTAATGTTGTGGTTCCCGCCCCCAGAGTGACTGTACCCTGACTAATATAAGACTTGACATCAAACCTAAAGGCCAAGAATGAAAACCAATTCAAAGTCTCTTATTTTTTGTTTCTACTAAAACTCTCATACAACAAATAAGATTATTCTCTTTCCCCTGATTTTGTGATTATTTCTGGGATGGTGGTTGAGTAGAAATATGTTTTAAGCATGTTCCCCTGGATACCAGTCCTGTTCTGACAGAAGTACTTGACAAGTATCACGTATATTCATAGTTTTACTACAGCTTGCCTGATTGTAGCCCGAAAGGACTGCTTAGAAATATTTAAAGCCCTTTATTTGTGGAAGGCAGAAGCTTGACATGGTAATCATTTATGTAAAATCTCATGATAAAAAAGAAATTAACACATGTCATGCTACCTTCTTTGGTGTCCAATTTAACTATGCCCAGTGATTATGAAAAAAGATGCTAAAACTTGGGGTCTATTTTAAATCTACATATCAAACAATACATTATGAATGTGGCATCAAGATATTGTATATTCATGTTTGTTTGAGTATAATTGTGTATAATGTCCACTCACCTCTACAGATCTCAGTAGACTCTGGGTATTTTGACCTGACCCAAGTTACATAAAACAAGATGACAATCACGAGAAATAAAGACTAGGATAGAAGAGATCAAAATATTAAGTCAAATGTTCATCATCTCTCCTCTTTTCTGCCTGTGAAAGACACTTCTAATTGGTCCACCACACTTTTTCATTATGTCAACTCAGAGTGGTGGTGCTAGAGGTACTGGTATAGACATAGAAGTAAGGAAGCTAGATAACTGGAGTGATCTTGCCCTACAATAGAAAAGAATTGTAGGGGGCTAAGAAGGAAAAGAAATAAAAGGACCTATAGTTGTTAACAGAGGGAACAAGCAAGTGGGAGAAGGGGAGAAGTAAGGATTGACACAGAAGAGCCAAGGAGAATCTGACACAGGAGAGGTAGAGAGTCTCTTGGTGGGGGCGGGTGGGGGAAGAGTATATGTGACTGCAGTAAAGATGTGGATCTTGGAGGAAGATATGTAGAGATAAATTTAATATGATTTTCTGTGAGATGTCTGTTTAACAGCCCCCTTAGGTCCCCCAATAAACTTTAACAAAGTTTTCCATTGCTTTTCAAGACATTTTTTGTTTTAATTAATGTGGCAAGTGTGTTTGTTTTGGACATGGCAGGATAGAAGAGGCAAACCTCAAAAGGGCCCAGTTATATTCAGGACCCAATCAAAAAGGAGAAAAAGCATTCCCAGACTATGGTATACCTTTAAACTACATTATTTCATTACATATCTATTTTCCACTTAAAAAATATGCACCTTGAAAAAGGAGCAAATATTACTGCTCTTTACAGTTATAATTGTGTTCCCTTCTTCCCATCCCAGATTTCATATTATAATTTAAGTGTATCCGCTACTGTTTAGTAAAAGATGGCAAAATAGTGCTATACATAATAGTTTAACCTATTCAGGTTATTGTCTGGGTTATAGCATATACCACACATGTTTCTGTTATGTTAAATTATAATTATAGTGTTTGGTGACATTATTTACATGGTTAAGATTCTATTCTTCAACACAACAAATGTTAAATTAAAAGGAAACATAGCAGGCACACATTAACTAATATATTTCTTGCTTCATAGCAGCATTTTTTTTTAATTTCTGGAACAAATATGTAATACCTGCTTGGAAGTTAGCGGACTAGATAATGGTATACATCTGCCAACTGTTGAATAGGCAAGAATAATCTAAATTGGCAAGGCAGAATTGGTGAGAATAATTACAGAAAGAGTGTGTGATACCTTGGAAACTGAGGTCTTTCTCTTTTGTGTATAAGAAAACTGTACAAGACCTTTTGAAAGCCTTCATTTTTGTTATACACAACTACTGTCTCTGAGTTTTGTGAGTTCCATTTCAATTAAAAAAGGAGTAGTTATATGAGACCAGCCCTCCCACAGAAAACAATGAGAGATTTTGGACAAACACACATATATATGTGTGTGTGTGTGTGTGTGTGTGTGTGTGTGTGTGTGCATGTGCACATGCATGTGTGTGTTTGTGTGTGTATTTTAACTTTTAAGTTCAGGGGTACATGTGCAGTTTTGTTACATAGGTAAACGTGTCATGGGGGTTTGTTGTACAGATTATTTCATCGCCCAGGTATTAAACCTAGTAACCATTAGTTATTTTTCCTGATCCTCTCCCTCCTTTCATCCTCCGCCCTCCAATAGGCCCCAGTGTGTGTTGTTCCCCTGTATGTGTCCATGTGTTCTCATCATTTAGCTCTCACTTGTAAGTGAGAACATGTGGTATTTGTGTTTCTGTTCCTGTATTAGTTTGCTAAGGACAATGGCTTCCAACTCTGTCCATGTCCCTGCAAAGGACATGATCTCATTCTTTTTTATGTCTGCATATTATTCCATGGTGTGTATGTACCATATTTTCTTTATCATTGATGGACATTTAGGTTGATTCCATGTCTTTACTATTGTAAATAGTGCTTCAATGAGCATAGACATGCGTATGTCTTTATAATAGAATGATTTACATTCCTTTGGGTATATACCCTGTAATGGAATAGTAGAAAATTAAAACTGGACCCCTCCTTTACCTCATATACAAAATCAACCTCAAGATGGATTAAAGACTTAAATGCGAAACCCAAAACTATAAAAACGCTGGAAGACAACCAAGGCAATAGCATTCAGGACGGAGGCACAGGCAAAGATTTCATGACAAAGATGCCAAAAGCGATTGCAACAAAAGCAAAAAGTGACAAATGAGATGTAGTTAAACTAAAGAGCTTCTGCACCATAAAAGAAACTGTCAACAGAGTAAACAGACAACTTACAGAATGGGAGAAAATTTTTGCATGCAATGCATCTGACATCTAGTATCTAATATCCAGCGTATATAAAAATTTAAACAGATTTTACAAAAAAAATCAACCCAATTGAAAAGTAGACAAAGGACATGAACAGACACTTTTCAAAATCAGACATACATGTGGCCAACAATCATACGAATAAAAGCTCAACATCACTGATCGTTAGAGAAATGCAAATCAAAACCACAGTAAGATATCATTTCACACCAGTCCAAATGGCTATTATTAAAAAGTAAAAACATAACAGATGCTGGTGAGGTTGTGGACAAAAAGGAACGCTTGTACACCGTTGACGGGAGTGTAAATTAGTTCAACCATTGTGGAAATATATATAATTTTAATTACCAGGCCTGCAAATAGAGTGAGGCAAAGGAAGCACATCAGGCACAAAATTTAAAGGGATGAAAAAAAAAAAAACTCAGTAATCCAGATAAATAAATTTTGAGTGCAATATTTTAGAAAATCAAAATGAGTACCCTAAAGAACCATGATGAACATGGAATCAAAATGTAAATAAGAAATAAAATCAGTATGACTGATTTTTTTTCTTTTACTCCTGTTGCTAATATAGCTCAGCACAGCACTGTTACTGATTATTCCTTATTTAAAATGTTGATATTTTTCTCATCATGGACTTTTTACATTAACTTTGTAAATGAGAATTAAAATAAAGAAATTTTTCTGGCTTCTGCAAAGGAGATAGGTGCTCAGCGAGTGGCGTAGATAAGTGATGCAAAATATGAGTTGGTATTATCCACCCTTCCAAACTAATCAATTATTCTACCAAATGTCAGAAATATGTATGTGAATGTTATCATTTCAACAGTGCTGAACACATCCCAGCCATTAATGCTAGGTATCAGCTTCATTTTCATCTATTTGCTTAGCATTTGGTGCTTAATGTAGTGTAGTCTACAGCAACTCTAGTCTGGAACACTACAGAACAAATTGACAATTTGAACCAAAACTGCTGCAAAGGAAATAATGATCTAGTGCACCACTGTGGAAAGTCTCCAAAACAGTGGAGGGGAAAATCTTTTCGATATAGCCTCTCTTTCAGATAATTTGAATGCACTTTGACAGAACTTGATAATGAACGTGGGTGGTACACTCAGAGATGCTCTGCCAGAATTCCTTCAAGGAAGTACTTACTGCCCAGCCATGGGGAGGACAGTCAGGAGGCAACCCAGCGATCAGCAACTTCAGGGTCCACCTCAGCTGTAAGGAGCCACCTCTCCAGAGATCTCACCCTTCTCAAGGCAGACTGCAGCTGCTGACTAAGCAAGGCAGTGTTTGAAAGGCCCCATCACTCTAAAGCACAATATTCCCTTCATTGCTCCTGCTGAATTGGTCAAAGATTTGTTGGCCTGCATTCCAGTTCAACTTTTTTCTCTACCCAGTCCTGCTTCCTGTCCTTCCTTTCCCATCTTACCCTCCAAAACTCATCTAAATAAGCATCTGCTCCCAGAAAACCCAACCTGAGACAGGGAGTTAAACTTCCCAACGTTTTTCTTTTTACAGTATTATTTAGAATAACAACAAAAAAGTATGCAAAAAAGACTAAATATCCAACTGTATTTGCAACATATATTTTTGAGCTTTCTCAGTTTAGATCTGAATTATATAGTTATAATGATTTTGGATTCAGTTTTTTGGTTGACATTATTTAACATACAATTCCTCAGAGCAACTTTGTCGAGATATTTCTCTTCTGCAATGCCCTTACAGTATTCTATAGTGGATTTCTTAACTGTCTCCAAATGTATGGCCTTACATTGTTTACTATTTTTTCACTCCTTGAAATAGTGTTATAATATTTATGTACAAATTGCTTTCTTTCCCTTTTGATTAATTCCTTCAACAATTGCCTTCCTAGAATTGAACCAGAGTCCGGTGAATATCAGCACTGGGACCAGTTAGCAGAGGAAAAGGAAAGAATAAAAGCGAAAAGAATGAAGAGTCATATGATTACCAACTTTTCCTTTTTCATATAAATTGAGTGTATATGGGTCTGGAACAACCTGAATTTCCATCAAGTCCTGGCTAACCTCATTATGTCCTATGAATATTTTTGACTAATCCCACTTTACATTAATCTGTATTGTGAATGTGGATATTGAATTATATTTCTTTGTAATCCCATTATCCAAAATCCAGTTCAGAGACTATTAGTTACCAATGTTCACTGTGAAGGAAAAAAAAAAAAAAAAAGCTCAGAGGATAAACATGTGATATGGTTTGGCTGTGTCCCCACCCAAATATCATCTTGAATTGTAGCTCCCATAATTCCCACGTGTTGTGGGAGGGACCCGGTGGGAGATAATTGTATCATGGGGGTGGTTCCCCCATACTATTCTCATAGTAGTGAATAAGTCTCACAAAATCTGATGGTTTTATGAGGGAAAACCCCTTTCACCTGGTTCTCATTCTCTTCTCTGGTCTGTCGTCATGTAAGACATGCCTTTCACCTTCTCCACCATGACTGTGAGGCCTCCCCAGCCACGTGGAACTGTGAGCCCATTAAACCTCTTTCACTTATAAATTACCCAGTCTCTGGTATATCTTTATCAGCAGCATGAAAACAGACTAGTACAACATGTTTGGAAATGATGTTCAGAATTAAATTTTCTTCTTGAAGAATAATAATGTACAGGAGTGTGTTGAAGATTTTGAGAATTCTCACAGCAAAGGAACTTGTTAATTTTTTTAATCCACCTACCTAATAGAATTAATATTTTAAGAGAAACAGCTTGTGAAACAATTATATATATGGTCCCATAAAAACTTTTAGAAAACAATTATTATACACACATATAAACACATATTACTTACTAGTAAAGATGTACCTATCTTCCTAGGAAGCTCTTTCATGGTATTTCATTAGTATCCCTTCCAGCACCTACCATCCATCCAGGCAAATTTTAGATGTTTTACAAAGGTTTATGAAATTGCATTAAACACCTGTTAAAAATCACTTTGTTCATTGCAAGACATTTATATACTGTAGTTTTAAAGAAAGATAACAGCTGAGGGGAGCTACAGGAAAAAGAAAAGCATAGAACTTATGTTGAATTATTTTTCTTGTGCATATGAAGTTGCTCTGTGAGAACAAGAGCACTCAGCAGACGTATAGATCCACTATCTTTTCACATGGCAATATGTTCATCCTTTCAGACAATTTGAGCAAGTTTGGAACATAAAATAATACAAAGAGGCTAAAATGCAAAGCAAAAAAAAAAAAATGAAAATGATTGGCACAAAATAATGGAGCAATTGTAAGAGATGTTACATGTGTAAACTTAAACCAGGACATAAACCGTTGAAGTTCACCGTTTAAGGAAGCATCCAAATATATAATAGTCCTGCTAAATGCTTGGAGTAGCAAATTTCTATCACATGCATCCACATGCACATCTTACATTAAAATCCCGTGACAATAGTGTTAACATCTTGTCATTTTAGCCTTGAATGTCAAAGGCTCATGGGATCTACTCCATGACTCACATAACCTGTATATCTAGAAACAGGTGTTTTAAACTCTACATCTGGTGATAAATATTAAAGATAGAAGATGAGAGTTCTAAAACAGTCTACTTATTTCATTTCCACTTGGCTTTGCCACCATTACCTAAACTATTACAGATTGAGCTCCACAGACTACTCAGAATTCTCCTCCTGTCTTGAAATTCCAAATGCAATTTTCCCAGGATTTTTAGAAATTTATGAAATTATTAGCCAAAAATATTATATTTCAAGATTAAGCCCTCATCCTACAGTTTAGAAAACCAAGAGCCAGCTGAAAATACTTGCTCAAATTCAGAGAATGAATGTTGTCTAAATTAGTTCAAAAACAAGTGACTCATTGAAGATAAAGTAGTGTGGTGATTAAAAGCATGTACTTTGAAAAAAAAAAAAGTGACTCTTGGCTTGTAATACAATTTTTTCACTGCATTATTCTAAGGAAATTTGTTAGTAGAGCTGAAATAATACAGCATTAGGGTTAAAAAGTACAAGTTTCAAAGTTACAAAGACCAAGGTAGCGAAAGGCAAATTACTCAACCTCTCTAAACATGGTTTATTCATTAGTAAAAGAAGAACAAGAATATTATTTATGACATAGTATTAAGAGTTTTAAACAATGTAGAATACTGAAAGTGCCAAAAAACTATTGTCATTATTACATATGTAAGTAAAATTTATTTTCTGCATATCATTGTATTAGTCTGTTTTCATACTGCTACAAGGAACTACCCAAGCAGGTAATTTGTAAAGAAAAGAGGTTTAATTGACACACAGTTCAGCATGGCTCGGGGGGCGGGGGGGCCCTCAGGAAACTTACAATCATGATGGAAGGCAAAGGGGGAGCAAGGCACCTTCTTCACGAGGCGGCAGGAAGGAGAAATGCTGAGTGAAAGGGGAAGAGCCCCTTATAAAACCATCAGATCTAGTGAGAACTCACTATCATGAGAACCGCATGGAAGAAACTGCTTCTGTGATTCAGTTATCTCCACTTGGTCTCTCCCTTGACACACGACGAATTACAATTCAAGATGACTTTTGGGTGGAGACACAAAGCCTAACCATATCAATCACCATACCTTTCAAAAACTACAAATAGTTTTCATTACATTTGGAGGTCAGTCTCATGTAAATTATAATGAGGTATCATATTCAAAATCCACTTTGATCTCTGCTTCTAAGAGGACGGAGTGGACATAATTTCCGTATTCCTCCCAATGGGCACAACTAAAAACTCTGGAAATGATATATAAAACAAATGTAAGAAGACTCTAAAGCATGGAAAGAAAAAGGCAGGCGAGCTTGGGAAATTGGAATTCAATGAACTACACAGTGCTGAGTTCCCTGAGTTTTCATCTTGCCTCACATATCATCTCAGACTGGGCACTAAAGACATCAACAACCCGAAAATACTAAAACGCTAATGGACACAAACACCAAAACACACACATACACACACAAATAAAAACCCAAGAGAAGCCTGCTTTCTCTTGCCAATGGACCAGAAAAGAAGCAGCATAGGAAGACAGAAAACATTTAGACAATAACCACTTTACTCTAGCCAAACACTATGTAAAATACTGCATGCCTACCCCTAGAAGCAAAGGCAGAGGGGAGAGTCCAGTCTTTGGACTCTTGCCAGGCTGCCAGGAGGTGCTGCAAGCCCTACCTACCTCCAGAGTGGTGTCAGAGAAGGCAGAGTGGAAAGCTGAGACCATCATCCCTATCAGGTGGTAAAGAGGATCCCCTTCAGGGTGTCAGGGGAGTCCATGGGAAGAGGGATAGGGACTTGGATTTCCACCCTACCCAGAGGCACCAAGGCACCCACACTCCTCTCACTGAGGTGCTGTCAGAGGAGGTCTAATGGAGAGTCGGTACTTTAATGTGGCTCAGTGGTAACAAGCTCGACCCCAAAAGTGCTAGTAGAGGCCATGTGGGAAGCTGTAAGAAGACATCCCTCCCCTCCCAGCCAGGGTGGTATCAACAGATACCTAATGGGGAACTGAGTTTTGACCAAAGTGCAAAAGCAATTCAATGGAGGAACAAACTTTTCAATAAATGGTGCTGAAGCAATTGGATACCTATAGGCAAAAAAATAAAAATAAAAAAAAATTAGACCTCAAACGTTTAACAAAAATTAACTCAAAATAAATAGTATATTTAATATAAAATGTAAACTACAAAACTTACAAAATAACATTGGAGAAAATTTTCAGGACCTAGGACTTGGTGAAGAAAATGTAGATGTGACACCAAAAGCACAATCCATACGAGTAAAAAATCAATAAATTGGATCTACTTTTGCTCTGTGAAAGATCCTGTTTAAGAGAATGAAAAGACAAGCTATAGAGTGGGAGAAAATATTTGCAAATATCAGTGAGATTTCTTAAAATTGAACAGTTAAAAACAAATAACCCAATTAGAAAATGGGCCTTCCCCACCCCCAAAAAACCCATGAAGAGACATTTCAGACATGTAAGCAAATGAAAAAATGTTCAAAGTCACTAGCTATTAGGGAAATGCAAATAAAGACCATGAGGAGACATCACTACATACCTTTCAACATGCTGACATAAAAAAAACGGTGACAACACCAGATGCTAGCAAGGATACAGAGAAACTTGATGTCTCATACATTGCCAGTGGGAATACAAAATGGTTAAGCCACTGTGGAAAACAGTTTGGCTGTTTCTTAAAGTAATTAAACATATGCTTACCATACAACCCAGAAATTGTACTCCAGGGCATTTATCCCAGAGAAATGAAACATTATTGTAGCAGTTTTTTGTTGTTGTTGTTATAGCCAAAACCTGGAATACAGCAATAAAAAGGAATAAACTATTAATACACACCATGATTTGGATGGATTTCAAAGTCATTACAATAAGTGAAAAAAAATCTCAGAGGACACATTTATATGTGAGCTCATTTATACAACATTCTTGAAATGATAAAATTACAGAGACAGGAAAAAAAAATTATGTTTCCCATGAGTTAGGGATGGTATAGGCGAGGAAATTGAGTGCAGCTATAAAGGGGTAATTTGAGGGAGATCTTTGTGGTAAAGGAATAGTTCTGTATCTTGATTGTACTGATGATATAGACTGATGAATCTACACATATGATAAAATGACATGGAATCATATATACTCATTGTCTAATTTCTGTCTTTGATGCTGTATTATAGTTATATAAGATGTATCCATTGATGGAAACTGAGAGAAGAGTACGTGGGTTGTCTCTGTGCTACTTTTGCAACTTCCTGTGAATCTACAATTATTTTAAAATAAAATTTTTCTTTTTTTATTATACTTTAAGTTCTAGGGTACATGTGCACAATGTGCAGGTTTGTTACATATGTATACATGTGCCATGTTGCTGTGCTGCACCCATTAAGTCGTCATTTACATTAAGTATATCTCCTAATGCTATCCCTCTCCCCTCCCCCCACCCCACAACAGGCCCCACTGTGTGATGTTCCCCTTCCTGCGTCCAAGTGTTCTCATTGTTCAATTCCCACCTATGAGTGAGAACATGCGGTGTTTGGTTTTTTGTCCTTGCGATAGTTTGCTGAGAATGATGGTTTCCAGCTTCATCCATGTCCCTACAAAGGACATGAACTCATCCCTTTTCGTGGCTGCATAGTATTCCGTGGTGTATATGTGCCACATTTTCTTAATCCAGTCTATCATTGTTGGACATTTGGTTTGGTTCCAAGTCTTTGCTATTGTGAATAGTGCCGCAATAAACAAACTTGTGCATGTGCCTTTATAGCAGCATGATTTATAAACTTTTGGGTATATACCCAGTAAAAAAAAATTTCACTTTGAGGACATTCCTGGGGAGCAACAAGAGGTTTGTATAACTACCTGTTAAAAGAAAACAACATGCAGCACAAAAGATGTTTGGCTACTGATTGAAGAAAAATGTTATACTTTTTTTTTGTGGCAGAGAAAACAATCCATTCATTCCAATATGAGTTCCCACTAGATTTCATGGTTTTCAAACCCTGACTACAGATTAGAACAAAGTGGGGAGCTTTAAAAATGTTCAACTTCTGGCTCTACCTCCGTGGATGCTCCCTTCATTGGCCTTGGATGATCATAATTATTCTAGATGATTCTAAGTGTACTCTGAACTGAGGAATGCCATATTTCACTAAGGAACATGACATTAGTTCCGTGTCTGAAATTTGACACTATTGCTGAGTCCTCTAAAGGAGTAAACCCAAACGTTTATGTTATTCTATTAGTGAGGTTATGTTAAGGCCAGTTACTGAGCCACCTGAACCTCCTAAATGTTAATTAATGAAGCGATATACCTTACCCAGGCAGTTTAAAAATAACGTAGGTAATTTTCAACTAGCTATGTTTACAAAGAAATCAATATTTTATTCTTTGGACATCACCAATTATCTCAAATGATCTTTTTACTTTTTTAGTGGTATTAATAAGGGGCAAGAAAAACATACTCTAAATTTCAGACATTAATTTGTGATGAACTGCTTCTGAAAGAGGTAGTTCTACATGGAGTGAACCAAGGTAAATAGCAGCAGGGATCTTTTCATATTACTCAGGATAAAAGAATGACAAATGTGTTCTATAAAGAGGATTTGACACAAATTTAAAACTTTAAAAACATTACGCTTTATATTAATTACTACAGTTATGAAAGAGTATCAGAATTACATATTAATATTTGTAGTTTCCATTAAACTTTATTTAACAACAGTTAATGATGCTCTTGAGCAATGCTAGACATTATAGTTAATATATAATTGAGCTTCAGAGCAGAATACTGGAAACAGAATGGAAGCTGAAGACAGAGGGCTTTGGTACACATCCCTGCTACCCCACTTACTGGTTATTTGACCTTGGATGAATTATTTATTAGTTTCTCACCTGTAAATTTGAAATAATAATATTCTTAGAAATGAATGAAATCATATGAAAAACACTTTAAGCATTTTGTCATTGTCATAAGTGTTCCCATCTTCAAAAAAGTTTTTAATTGTTAACTGCCTGTTTATAGGTCTATGAAATTTTTAAAAAGTTGTAGCCTATATAAATAGAGCACGTTGTCTATGATCAAAACAACTATATGGTGATAATCAGCAGTTAATTAAGGAAGATTGTTTCCAGATACCAAATTACTTGGCCATATTTGCTTTCATTGATGAAACTTATTAACCATAACTCATTGGAAGTGGCCAGCTCCCTTGGCATCTAGAGTCATGTGGCATGAAAATATTGTATGTCATTTACAGTTTTCCATTTATAAGTCTATCAGATATATTTCATTTCTGTATCTAGCCTTTCTGTTAAACAGTGCTTTAGCTGTGGTGGTGCCAATATTTTAAGCTTCAGATTTTGAAGCAGAAGATTCCTAATAGTGTACATATGGCTGTAAATATTCCACACCCTGAAGCAACGCAGAGGACCACAGGGATATCTGGAAGAATTTCAAAATGTCTGTAGCATGCAATAGTAGTTAGAGAGTATATACATGATGTTAAATAGTATGAGAATGAATGACATATAAATAGTTTTTAAACATCATAAATATATTATAAGGCAATTCTAAATAATAAATTTAAAATAACTCTAGGTAAGTAATTTATTAGAATAATTGAATAATAATAATTTAAGAACTAGCTAAGCCAAATGCTGAAAATCACAAGTAATAATTTCATCGGGACAATTTCAGTATTACCTGTAAAATTCAGTATTACCTGTAAAATTATAACATTAACAAAAATATTTTTGACATAATTTATGGAGGTTGCCTTCTTTCACATATTTAGATATGTAACTTTATGTTTCTCTTTCAAACATACTAATTTTATCTCTAGTAAAATTATTAAAATTAACAAGATTTAAAATACAAACATAAACCTGGTGATTCCTCAAGGTTCATAATTTTCTATATTGCAGCTTAGCTTTTCTCAAATTGATATATCTGCCTAAAAGTATACCTATAGGTTGTATACCTATGCAACCTATCGGGTTGTCCTTATGTGTGCAAGTAACAGGCAATGTGATTTTACTGGCTTGTTTTGTTTATTTATAGTACCTCTCCCACCCAAACAGAAGTGCAATGTCTTACTATAAATAGCTACATCATAACATACAAAACATTAATCAAGGAAACTGAGATCAAGGAAAAAATGAATATAGAAAAAATAAGATGTAACCTAAAGTAAGGTTAGAATGCATATGGCTCAGTGTGCTTGCCAGAGAATGGCTACAAATTTAGCTCTAAGGAAAAAAACATGATCAGTTTACGATATACAGTGTCCATATGCTCAGTAGGTGTGGTTATTTCTGGTGCTGAGATCTATGAGACATCTCTCCCGGGCATGGTCATAAAGTGGGCCCTCTCTGATGTAGTTAACAGCCATCAATAACAATAACATCTCCAGAGGTTATGTCTCCTAGGCCTTTTCATATAACATCTCTCTAAGCTGACTAATGCTATAGCATCAAAGTTCAGGAAAAGTAATT
Source organism: Homo sapiens (assembly GCF_000001405.40). Taxonomy (NCBI): domain Eukaryota; kingdom Metazoa; phylum Chordata; class Mammalia; order Primates; family Hominidae; genus Homo; species Homo sapiens. Next base: position 180,924,419 of record NC_000002.12, read on the forward strand.
CTGCAGGAGCCAAACCATACAGAAGAGGGACCCAGGTCCCTAAAGAGCAAGAAATAGCCAGATTTGAGCCCCAGCCAATAGATAATGGCAAGGTGACCCCATCTTAATCCACAGACAATTTTAAAGTTAACTGGAGGAAAGAGTGACCAACATAGTTAAATGTCAAACTATCATTTATTTTCAGATAAATTAGAATAAGGGCAGAGGTTCCTTTAAACCTTTTATGCTGCATAATTTCTTCATTATTATTATTATTATTTACTATTTTTTTTTTTTGAGACAGAGTCTCGCTCTGTCGCCCAGGCTGGAGTGCAGTGGTGCGATCTCAGCTCACTGCAACCTCCACCTCCCGGGTTTAAGCAATTCTCTTCCTCAGTCTTCTGAGTAGCTGGGCTTACAGACACATGCCACCACACCTGGCTATTTTTATTTTTGTATTTTTAGTAGAGACAGGGTTTCACCATATTGGCCAGGCTGGTCTTGAACTCCTGACCTCGTGATCCACCTGCCTCGCCCTCCCAAAGTGCTGGGATTACAGGCCTGAGTCACTGCACCCGGCCTCATTATTTTAGCATATAGTGGAGGCTGTGATCATAGATCTTAGAAATAATCAAAAGAAAAAGAAAAACTATTGATGGGTAGTCAAATTTTAAAAATAAAATGGAAGGTTTGGGTAATGAAAATGAAATGACTCATTTACTATTAGTATATTGGTATTGAGATATTTATGTTAAATTTCATGCCAAGAATAAGAGAAGAAAAGCCAATGAATACAAATTAAATTTTACACTAGCACTGAAAGATATGAATGTCCAAAAATAAATGGAAAGGCCCACATTTCTTTTAACTGGACTTTCGAGATACAAAGCCAAATTATCTAAAAAAGAGAAATGGATATTTATAAACACATACTAAAATGTCTATATATGGACTACCAGTGATAATTACTTTGCACCTATTCCCCTCAGCACCCAACTTGTCTTAGCCTATTTCTATTATCAGAACCTGAAAGCTGATTGGAAAGTGGAAGAAAGACCTGGATCAATTTGTATAATCTACTTGCCTAATATTGTGAATAGATTCTAGGAGGTCTTTAGGTATTACCTTGATAACCAGATATTTCCTTTCAGAAACTTACTGCCAAAAAGATCAAGACTTCAGTATTAGCCAAACAAAGAATTACAAAGAAAAATTAGGCTACAGGTAAATCTCAAGATTAATTCATGTCAAACCAATTAAATCAGATGCCAGTAGTATCCAAGAAAAATCACTGAGGCATATAATGGACTTGGCTTAAAATTTAAGAAAAAGAGTGAGAAAATTCTCTTTGCTTTTGGCTGAGACAGAATGGAAGAAGGTTGAAGACTGAGATAGAAAATGGAAGATAAAGAGAGTTCAAGAGGAGGTAGGTAAAGCAGGAAAAAGCAGAGATGAAAGATGACTTCCTATCAGCTTTCCTCGTAGGTGCCAGCTACCAATTGGCCTTTACTCTCTGAAAGTGCTTGTGAGCTTTGAACTGGCTAATGTGCCCAGACTTTGCAGAACAAGGTGATAAAGGCATATTTGCGGACTGAGAAAAGGAATGAGCATAATATACAAGGGGGAAATTTTCAAGATCACTAGAGATAGAGACACAAAAATACACCTTAATGTACAGAAACAAACAGCTCCCCAATTTAAAAATAACTGAACCAGTGAATAAAAACAGATGTGGAGAGGTAGCTCCCACACAGGCAGACAGAGAGGAGGAGCTCAAGAAAGAGAAGAGGATAATGAGTTAGAGAAGGCTGTGGTGTTGGAGGAAAAGAAGGGTCAGAAGGAGGAAAACAGCCAAAAATGTACTTACTGGAATAGCCACTGTAGAGCCTGACTATTTAAGATGCCAAGTTTCTGGCAAGACTCCCTTCTTTGCCAGCCTTTAGCTAAGTAGGAATAGAGTAGAAATCCACATGGCAAATTTAAGTATTGGAGGACGGAGATGAGTGGGTTCTGTAGTCTTGCTATAATACTGTTGATTTTAGGATATGTTTTATTATAGGGAAGAATCATCTATGTGATGGCTAATACTGAGTGTCAACTTGACTGGATTGAAGGATGCAAAGTATTGATCCTGGGTGTGTCCGTGAGGGTGTTGAAAAGGAGATTAACATTTCAGTCAGTGGGCTGGGGAAGGCAGACCCACCCTTAATCTGGTGGGCACAATCTAATCAGCTGCATTCGAATATAAAGCAGGCAGGAAAAAAAAAAAAAAAAAACATGAAAAGGTGAGACTGAGACTGGCCTAGCTTCCCAGCCTACATCTTTCTCCCGTGTTGGATGCTTCCTGCCCTCGAACATTGGACTCCAAGTTCTTCAGTTTTGGGACTCCAACTGGCTCTCCTTGCTTCGCAAGCTTGCAGACAGCCTATTGTGGGACCTTGTGATCGTGTAAGTTAATACTTAACAAACTCCCCTTTATATATATAAAGATATTATATATATATTATATATATATAATATATATATATATAAAATATATATATATATATCCTATTAGTTCTTTCCCTCTAGGGAACGCTGACTAATACAATCTAGGACCCTATCTGGAGATATTAATGAAATACAAAAAACACCTCATCTATAACATCATCATTTATAAGGCAATCCCATAAGTGGATCCTGAAGACATCTTCATAATTACGTTCTAGGGTATATGTGAATTGAAATTCCCAGGAAACAGGACTCTTCTCATAAAAGATGTACCTCTGTAGATAAATTCCAGAAACGTTACTGGATACTTCCTGTATGTGGGGATACACAAGGGTGTGAGGTGACCAAAGGAGTTTTCCTTTTTCTTGTAGCTGGTGACTAAGGGAATTTTCCTTTTTCTTGTAGATCATACACTTGCTTGAAGTGACAACTGAAGAACAACCACACATAAACAAGTGCAAAATAATGAGGCTAAAAATGGGAAGACTGTAAAAGAAAAGTAGTCACTTAGACCTACTTCCATTCATAGCAAAGACAGAAAACATTCAAGGAATAGAGTAATTTGGTGGGGGCAAGGTAAATCATTGACTACAGTTAAATTTGAATCATGTCTTGAATTGCTGGTCTGTTGGGAAAGTGACTGACAGGTCCTTCATTAAGGAACTCCATGAGCAAAGGTACAAAGGGAAGAATGTAAAATATGTATATAAGGGACAGTGATCAAGAGGTGGTAGAAAAGATGTTTAAAGGAAAAGAAAAATGACCTTGGACAGCGATGAAATAAGGGAAAGAGATTGAAAAATAAACTTATGAGCCAAGAAAGTGATGTGATGAAAACAATATTTAAATTTTTCCCCTGTGGCTTTTTATAGTTTTACAGACACCCAGGATTTCTAGAGACAGGTGCCTGCTTAAAAGTGGGGAAGCAACATTTGTAAGATGCTTTGGTGGTTTCTCTACTATTTGTTTCACACTGAACAAACAGCAGTGAATATAATGCAGATATTTTGAAATAGGTGTGTGTGTGTGTGTGTGTGTGTGTGTGTGTGTGTGTGTGTAAGTGTTGTTGTTGTTGCTGCATTGCTGTTGTTGTTTGGGGAAGAGTATTACATCCAGTAAGTTACCTCTGGAAGAAACAATGACCACTTCCATCATTGTAAATGCGGAATGAAATCTGTTTACTCGTTACTTTTTATTGAGACCTTTATTTCATATGCAACAAGACAATTTGGAGAGTAGGGATTTTCTAAATCCATTGTTTTAGATTATCAAAGGAACACTCTAGGGCTACTGTGATACCTCCACTACTAATTGGTTTTGTTTAGTCATATTTCTAAAATCTATAATTTCAAAATAATTTGGTAAGATACTTATCTTGAAGTTGGATCAGAGGAAGATACTGTCCTTAAATTATGGAATATATCATAAAAGGATGAACTTAATGCTCCATTCAACTTCTTCTTACTGCCATATTATCAAAGTAATAATAATTGCATATGTAACACAGTGTGAGAAGACCTGAATAACAGTCTTTCGAAAATGGCCAGTGGTAGTGATACAGATGCAGAAATCTTTGGAAATGTTATGTAAATATTTGAGTTCAGAATTTGGTTTGAAGTGTCTAGAAAAGGAACAAGATATTCAAATGAGACAAATGGCTTAGGGGGTTGATGGAAACAGATGGATAGCAATTAGAGGGAATGCTAAGCATGAAGCACCACTGCAAATAGTTCCTGGCTGGAGAAGAGCAGATGATCTGAGCCTGGGAATGGGAGGACGGAGAAAAAAGAAGAAATTGCTTACTCCAGCTCTTGCTCGACCTTTACATCTAAGAAAAAAAAATTAAGGTAGAAAGCAACAAAGGAAATATCATCAAATGGAAGTTGTCTGTGATTCTCAGTATCTGTATAATTTAGCCTTTCTCCCCTGCTTCCCACCTCCCTCCCTCACCTGCTCTTCTTCAGTCTATTTGCCTCTTAACCAAAAGTCAGAATTTGTTTCATAAGTTTTGTTATTTTCTTCATTTTGTCATAAAGGTCCACAGAGTTTTCTCACAACTGCAATCTTAGAATAATAGTGATAAAGGGGAGAGAAAAAGAACTGATGGAAAGGTATTGGCTAATAAAATTTAATTTTTTCATGTTCAGGAAGTCTAGAAAAACTGAGTGAAACATGAGGGCGAAGGACTTGATATGGCTTATAAATTTACCACGTACATGATCAAGATGATTGGCTGGAAATTCTCAGCTTGGGAAATCACTTTTAGCTGGAATAAGGGGGGCAAGTTGGAAAAGATGCAGAACTGTTGCATTATTGTTTGGTTTATTTTGATCATATTTAAATATATTGTACAATGATATTTAAAAAACACCATGTAGTAATGTTTATTATTTAAATTTTATGTTTCCTTTTCTGAGGCTACCATTACACTAGTCTGAGGCATTAGTATTTTCACAGGAAATTCTCGGGCATAGTTGTAATCACTCACCTTCAAAGATCTTTAAACATGTATCTTGACCATTGAAGACCTTACTGAAATCACATTAGGTCAAATAAGATGAATAACACAAGAAACGGTGTATAAGAAGAATTAAAATATTTGAGAGAAAACAAATCTAATTATTGAATGGTATTTAGTGGAAAGATGTTTGCTCTCAAGGATAGCAAGTTACTTAAATTGTACGCATTCCTTGTTTTTTGGCAATGGAAGAAGAACCACTGGGGTTTTCAAAACATGTATCAATTAAGTCATAATGAATATGTATATATCCTGATTTGAAAAAAAGAACATTTTATACATATGTATATATCCTAAAGCTGACTGTTAAATATTAAAACAAATATAGTTATTTAATAACAAAAAATAAAGTGGACGTTAGAAACTATTTAGACATGGTAATCAATTCCAAAAACCTTCACAGATAATTTGGCCAAATGTTTAAGTTTTCTTCAGAGAAAATGAGAAATATTCAAAGGAATACACAAAAATAAGATTATTACTAATTGTATTATTAATTATAATTATTACATTGTATAAATTATTATATGCACAGTAATAATGCAACCACAATTCTTGTAGAAGCATGACTTTTAAAAAGTTTAGAATAAGATAGAGCATAGTTTAACGAAGCATGTTATATGGCAGCAAGAATTCTACCTGAAAGTCAGAGGCCTGGATTTCTGCCCTAACCTTAAGCAAATGTCTTCACCATTTTAAGTTTCACTTATATATAAAATGAGAGCTTTGGACTAAATCACTTTCATTCTCTTCCAATACTCATATTTTATGAATCTACAAAATCTTGTAATATTGAGGAAATGAGTTTTCAATCCAAGATGATTAGTGTTTAAAATTTGACTGCTTTCCAGGATTTAAAATTAACAAACTATACTCATTTTTAAGGAGTATTTACATATTAAAAAATTCTAGAAGCACATACACCAAAATGTTGACATTTATTTTATTTAACAGATATATATTATTGCTATCTCATGGCAGGTACTATACTCTTCACCATGGATACAATGGAAAACAAGGAAGGCCTAGATTTTACCTTCAAGGAGTTTATAGACTAGTGCCTATCTCTGCAAGGCAAAATTGCAGTGTGATTTTGTGTCTTTCTTTAATCTCATTTTCTAGAGTTTGTTACATATAATACTATTGAAGGAAAAGAAAGTTACTACTTTTAAAAATTCAACTGTTTTTAAAAATCATGTAGTCTTTATCTTTACAAATAATGGTGCACAAAGGAATATTCAGAACTTAAATGACTCTAGGATTTTTTCTGACTTTTATATTAGGTTCAGAGGTACATGTACAGGTTTGTTATATGGGTAAATTGCATGTCACAGGGATTTGGTATACAGATTATTTTGTCGCCAAAGTAATACGCATAGTATCTAATAGGTTGTTTTTCTATCCTCAACCCCCTCCCACCCCCAACTCTCAAGTAGGCCCTGGTGTCTGTTGTTCCCTTCTTTGTGTTCATGTGTATTCGGTGTTTAGCTCCCACTTATAAGTGAGCACATGCGGTATTGGTTTTCTGTTCCTGTGTTAGTTAGCTAAGTGTTATGGCCTCCAGTTCCATCCAAGTTGCTGCAAAGGACATAATCTCATTTTTTATGGCTTCATAGTATTCTATAGTATATACGTGCCACATTTTCTTCCACCTAGTCTACTTACATCGATGGGCATTGAGATAGAGTCCATGACTTTGCTATTGTGAATAGCGCTGTGATGAACATACATGTTCATGTGTCCTTGTGGTGGAATGATTTATATTTCCTTTGGTATATACCCAATAATGGGATTGCTGACCTCAGGATTTTTAACAAAAGCAAGACAATTGCTCAAATCTATTCTTACGAGCAATGGGCTTTCTGAATTTTATGATGTCTGAATTTTATTGCTGACTTATTATTATATTATACCCTTGTGGCCAGTTGACCAGAGTACCCATGGTAGTATCATCAGGCTGCTTACAATTTCAGACCCCATCTAGAAACCTAGGAGACTCTTGTAAGGACTGTGGTCATAAAACACCAAGAGGGTACTTTTTCTAAAAGCAAACTCTTATGGACAAACCTCAGTAGCCCTATGCCCCATAGTAAAAACTCTGTAGTACTATATATAATGATAGATTTGATCCAAAACTAGAGCAACCTCTCTGATGAAGCCCATCATACTATCAAAATCCTTTCCAGGAGCTCCACAACACTGCCCACTACTTGGTCAATTTTGTTCTCATCATTGTTTATTGTCCTCTGTTTAGTTTTGTATGATGCACTTTTGTTGCCTTAGAGTTCTCCTTGACCAAGGATCTATTTTGGATAAATTGGAGATTGCTTTTAACATTTGCAATGATGTTTTTCAACCAAATATTACTCTCTTTTTCATCACATTTTTTTCCTCTCCTTTCTGATAAATGTTCTTTTCGTAAGTATTAACACTTCCAAATCATCCATAGGCCTAGGTTCCACATGAATTTCACCTGACTGGCATTTTAGACATTGTTGTTATTGTTATTTTGTTATTACAATTACTTTTTCCTTACTAATCTGATAATACATAGCTTGCTACATATTTTCATATGATTCATATTACCATTATTATTATTGCTATGACAGTTAATAATCTATTACTAATTGATATTAGTAATAACTCTAATATTAGTAATACCTCTAAGATGGTAAATCAGCAATTTTTAAGGGTTGACTAGCTTCTTTAAAATATCTTGCAGGCAGAAAAACAATATACTTCCACTGCAAACTGTCTGTTGATATCTATGTAATACAAAAAGTGAAAATAAACATTTTGGATAGAGAATAGTCTTGGAAATAAAGGCAAATATATAAAACCATAGACCCTGAGAGTGTTAAGGGCCTTAGAGACCTGCCTAATGCAGAAATGTATTGTATAGGTTCCCTAATAGCAGACATATTTATATACAATGTAGTAGTTATGGCCAAAAGGGGTATATGTTATAATAATACATGTGATATTGATGATGATCTATGTAATTATATCAGGGAGAAGGTTCTTATTTTGTTAATAATTTAAGGGATAGTGCATCAATTCTATAGGCAGCCTACTATGATATTTAATAACTTCAGAAAATTCAGAGTAATATAATAGAGATATCAGTAGCTTATTAATTTGTAGAACTGGATTGCAACCACTCTTCCCTCAATGTCCTATAGTTCTACCGTGGTATTTTATTATTTTGCACCTAAGTTACATTCGTCATGTTGTAGTTTAAGCCTGTGTCATGATATTCTCTAGCCAGTAGGAATAATCTATATTTTTATCTATAGTTTTTAAGGTTTATTAGGTTAAAGTGATCCTTCATATATCTTGTCACTAACCTTTTATTTTAAATTTTTTTCAAGTCTTATAAACACAAGGCTGTTTTGCAGACACAAAGTCAAACTAAATGTTACCTCTGCCCTCAGGGAATTTCAGTGTAGCTAGGAAAAATGAAACAAATTATAATAACCCCAAATTGGTTACTAGCTGAGCTTAATCTAAGCTCTTTTTGGTTGTGCAATGTAAACTGCAAAAGCATTTGAATATGAAGATGATCTGGCTACAACAGTGCAGATTCTATTAATCACCAATATTAATTTGGCCTGGCGGGTGAACCTGTTCTCCCTCATTACTCAGTCCTGCCTAGAGCATGTGCCATAAAATGTCCTAAGTGCTTTCCTCTCAAAAAAAACATTGCTGATAGACATTATTATGTACATTTTAAACATAAAAAGGTAAGGCTCAGAGAAGTTAAGTTTTTCCTCAAGAGCCACAGCTAAAATCTTTTTGAGTCCAAGCCCCCAATATTTTCAATAAAATATGGCCATGTTCCCCTATTGTATCACAAATAGTTCCTATATTAAATCCTCCCAATATCTCAGATCTAGCTGCAGGAACAATAGACTCTGATTAGGGCAAATAACATGGAAAGTATTGCCTTTTCTATATTCATAATTAAGAGATTTCTAGAAGAAATGAGAATTTAAAATAATTGAGATCAATTAACAGTGACTGCCAACAACATTGTGTTGTGAAAGATTCTGAAGACATGTCTGAGAAGAGTAGAAAAAAAGTGCCATAATTAATTATTGATGTTTACCATGAGAATAGAAAGGGGAAGTGGTTGAGTATACATTGTTCACTTTCTTTTTATCCTTAATCTGCAGGGTACCACAGTTTACACATTTTCCCTACATATAATTTTGTGAATTTATGCTCACTTTATTTTTTACTACTATCCACACTATAATATACCATGAACCTTTGTTCGCCCTTTGTTATCACATAAAACACTAATTTTTCTATTTTTGCTTATTGTGACTATCTACTTCAAGCAATTCTTTTCCTGATTATTAAGGGAACAGATCCTTGACCCATTTAATTTATTACCTTTATCCAGAGACTATAGTTTGTAACTTTGAAGAGCTGGATATCATATGAACATAAAGAATCAAAGTTAACATATAGGAATACAGAGTAATTTATAGCCACAAGGAATTGAGTTATGGTTACTATAGTAACCTTAACTATGAATGTTAAGTCTTTCTAAGGTAGAGAACTCAACCATAATAGAGCAGAAATATGGCTTTTTCATGCTTAATAAGCCAGAAATATTATATATCATAATTGTGTGCAATAAATTACATCTGTGGAGTAAAGAAACCTCTAAGATGGTAAATCAGCAATTTTTAGGGGTTGACTAGCTTCTTCAAAATGTCCTATGGGCAGAAAAATAATATACTTCCCTGCAATTTGTCTATTGATATCTATGTAATACAAAAAGTGAAAATAAACATTTGGATATATAATAGTCTTGGAAATAAAGACAAATATCTAATAAAATCACAGACCCTGAGAGTGGTAAGGACCTTAGACACCAGCCCAAAGCAGAAATGTGTTGTAATAGATTGTAGCCAGACTTGGCTTAAACCTCCAACAATAGAGATCTTATTTTCTCACCAAGCAGTCCTTCCGGTTGTTGTACAGATTGAGGTGTTATCATAAAGTTGTTTCTTTGAGCCAACAATATGCCTTCTTTTTTGCTTTCACCCGCTGATTCCTGCTCTGCTCTCTGGAATGACACAGTGAAAATAATCCCTGTAACAACATTTGACAGTCCTTTAGATATTTGAAGACAGCTATTAAGGTTTTCCACTAGTCTGATTCCTAAGTTTAACCTGTCTCTGTTCCTTCAACATTTCCCATAGATCATAGTTTTCTGACACTGCCAGCATCTGCCAGTCCCATAACAGATTGTAGATGTCTTTCTTGAATTAAAGGGGAAGAGGGTGCCGAATTGAGCAAAGTAACTTTTCCATGTATCTAGTACATTCCAGGGATTGCGCCAACGTTATCTGACTATCTCAGAATGAAGGGATTTACACTTTCCATAATATTCTTATTAACCATGTGGTCAACTAAATACTCCAGATTGTTTCACATGAACTGCTGTCTGATTGCTTTTTCCTCCCATTTTGTACTTACATATTTGCATTTCCACGTCTAGACTGCAGACTTTTATTCCTGCCAAATTTCATCTTGTTGTTTTGGTCTGATATTTTTGCCTGGAAGTATAAAGTTGGGCAATAAAATTTTGAATCTTGAGTCAACCATTGCCAAGCTCTTAGAATCTAATAATTATGTCTTCTATTTCCACTGATGAAAGTGTTGATCAGTAGGGATTGAGGAAAGGAACTCTCCAGTCTTCCCTGTTTGCCTGCATTCCAGATTGAAACAGAGATATGAGTGATACCCTTATCTTGCATATTTGTCCTTAGATAATCTTTATAAAGCCTTTTAATACTACAGTCTTATGTAAACTCACAGCCACCTATAAGATGGACTTGCAGGCATTATTATCTTTGTTTTACAGATAGGGATACTTGCAAGGTCATACAGCTACCAAACAGCACAGCTAAGACTAGAACATAATCCAATTCTTCCTCCTCTATACTATTGCATCTACCAGCAGGACTCATGCTTACCTTGAGGAAAAAAAGTAGGCTCTATCTTACCACCACGAACTACCATTGAAATCCAGACAGCATTAGGAGGAAAGGAAGGTTCTCAATATCCTTTAACCTGACATGCACTATGTCCCTGATAAACAAAGCAAGCCAACATTTAAAAGTAATCTCTGGGCTATGATTCTGCTTACATAACCAGCATATCCATAAGGTTATTATGAGAGGTAATTCTTTTTTCTGAAAACATTATACACCAATCTTAACATTCCACTCCCACCAATCTAATAACTGGTAAAATATGGTAACATATTTTTGAATGTTTTATCCTAAAAAGACATGTAAAAATGTATATTCTTCTCTAAATATGAGTCCTTTACATAATAATTTGTTCTACCATTTCATGATAGATAGGTTCATATTTTTCTGGAAGAAGGACATTATTAGGTGCCAAGCTTTCAGAAACCTATACAAGACTCTATGATGGTTTGGAATATTGCTAAACAGGAGATAGTAGCTAATTGATGAAAGTTTCTTTGCCATCCTGACAGGAATCTTTATCTGCATATAGAGACTCAAATTCATTTTTAGTTATTTTCTGATTACCTCCTTACATATATTGGTCTATGATTGCTTCTCTAACTTGATTTGTCTTATTATTTGGAAATTTTGCCCTTTTGTAGCAAATATGAAATCAAAACAGGTTTTGGATATTGTTACTTCTAGAGACCTGAGATCATTTGTCTCCAATGTAGAGTCTAAGGCATTCTTTTTACTCTTCTTCCTGCTCCCAACATAGCTTAAGAAGTCACTTAGGCTGCATTTAGTAACTTTTTTTCAAACTCTCAAATGTATTCTGAGTTTTAATCTTTCTGACATTATTTCTAGATGTTTGTGTTTCTCTTTTCAATTAGAGATTATTTTTGAGTTTCTTCTTTCTTTTTTTGCGTCTCTTAAAGTGAAAGAGATGAATCAGAAAACTCTTTATACAGCGATACTGATTTTTTTTTACTAATGCTTCCTCATTTTCTTTTTTCTTTGAGTTATTTCTTTTTAAATTTCATCTTTTATAGATCTCCAACCCTCAAAATTTGTTCAAAAAAAGAAGGAAATCTCTTACCCATTACATACCATATTCCATTTTTAGAGTCTCTAAGTTAGAGGTGTATCTGTGTTTTTACTGAAATTTTAGAATTTCGGTTCTTTCCTAATTTATTACATTTTTTATACCCTTTGAGTTACTGGCAAGAACAAATTAGCCAAGAATATGGCCAAGAATACCTTCATACTACAGAGAAAATGTAGTGATAAATGGGTTTGACCAGATGTTTTCCTCTTTGGTTTAAGCAAAAAAACTGTGGAAATACTCTTCCCAATCCATACACATTTTGTATAGATAATGCCTTGGCAGCACCAAATGGGATGGAAAAGGTCTTTGTAAAAATAAAATGTTATTCAGTGAAGTTTGATTACTATTATTTCTGGCATGCCAATATCTTAGAATTATTATTTCATGTGGTGGAAAATTTGAAGATATGTATAAAAATTATTAAATTCCAAATACATGCAGACTTGATATCTTTAGGAGCTGGCATTTTCTGTGCATTAAGGCCTAGCATATTGGTCTTATCAGAAAGCTGAATCCTAATATGAAGAAATAAGCCCCTATCATTGTGGGTTAGTTACCTCAGAAGCTTACCAGTTACTATGATGCTAACCAGAGACTAGGTTGCCAACATAAAGGCTGCTTCTACCAGAGTCACTCTACCCAGTGGTAGACAAGGAACTAGAACCTTGACAAGGAGAAATTCATTTTATTATGGTGAGATCCTTTGTGTACTCAGTATGGTAATTCCAGACAAGCTTGTTAGAAGATTCCGATCTATTTATTTCATCATGCAATACCTTCACTAGAAAATATTAATAAAAGCAACATATTAGGGCCTCATAAGACCTGTTCCTATTTCTCTCATTCCAGAATCAATAACATGCATGACTGTGTGTTCCTAACTCATCCTGGAATGATAGCGACAACCACATGAACCAACTTTTTTCCTCTTTAGAATTTATGAAGCACCTTACATGTGCTGTCTAATTCAATCCTCAGAACAGTGCTACCAGGCAGATGATATGGTTTGGTTGTGTCCCCACCCAAATCTCATCTTGAATTGTAATCCTCATAATCCCCACATGTCAAAGGAGGGAGATGGTGGGAGGTGGTTAGGTCATGGGGGTGGTTTCCCCCATGCTGTTCTCGTGATAGTGAGTGAGTTCTCACTAGATCTGATGGTTTCATGAGGGCTCTTTCCCTTTCACTTTCTACATGAGCTGTCTCGTCTGCTGCCATGCAAGACGTTCCTGCTTCCCCTTCTACTATAATTGTAAGTTTCCTGAGGCCTCCCCAGCCTTGCAGAACTGTGAGTCAATTAAACCTCCTTTCTTTATAAATTACCCAGTCTTGGGTAGTATCTTTATAGCAGTGTAAAAACAGACTAATACAGTAGGTGTAACTATTTCAATTTTACAGATGAGAAAAATCTTTGAAGGTCAATTACTTGCTTCAAGTGAAAGGCTAGGTAGTGACATCAGTGAACCAGAACATCAGTGAAGGCAGATCTCCTTCAATTTTAAACACATCATGTATTCTTTTTGTTATGTTGCAACTATGAGAAAATCTGTGGCTTCTTTAAAAATTCCATCAGAGGATTCAAAGAAGAGATAGAGGCAGAGGTTAATGGTAGCTTAGGTCTGGAATAAGTGGTATTAGATGAGAGTAAACCTAAATAGCAAGGTCCTCAACTGGAAAAAATTTAAAGAACTATTGTACAGGAGGATCCCATGATAAGAACCCTCCAATGACAAGAAATGTCAGTGGCTCCAGCTCTAGAAATCGCCTTTACTCTCAATTGGGATGAACTCTAAGAAGAAATTAAAAGACTAATTAGGAACTTTGGCTGCTGAGACATAGTTCCTTGGGCATAAATGGAGAAAGACATCAGATGATGAGAAAAGCAAAGAAAAAAATTCAGTAGTTTACAGTCATTATATTAGACAAGAAAGACAAAAGCTTTCCAATGTCATATCTTTATTTCTTTAGTGAACTACATTTCTGTTTGCCAAATATTCTTGTTTCCCTCCCTGCAATGTTCATCACTGCAGAACCCTTCCTGTGGGAAGATTATACATTCCCTGCCTATTGCACTTGAAAGTGATTGTGAAACTTGGTTTGACCAATGAAGTGAGAACAGAAGTGAGTGTGTGTGTTATGAGTGCAAGCTTTAAGAGCCAGCTCATGCTTTGCCATGTGTCTTTTCTCTTCTTCAAGAACAGCAACATCCTGAGCAGCAACAGCTCCAATCTATCTATTAAGGCTTGGCAGATTAGTCTTATCAGAAAGCTGAATCTTTTCTTTTTCAATTGTTAGCATTTAATGGACATCCCTCCATGTGGCTTCAAGCCACCAAGACCCCAACCCCACACCCCCACCCCACCTCTTTCACCCTTAATCGTCTCCTTGGCTCTTCTGCTGAAGAATTTGGCCTTCACAATAATAGCTGCTTTGGGAGCTTTCCCTTTCCCAGAACTTTTTAATTGCCAGGTCATACCACATCAACAATGGGAGCAGCTCCAGTCTTGTTTTTAGCAACTTTTACCCATGTCTGCTCCCTGACCAAAGTCCACAATTTGTCAAGATTGACAGCAGGGCAGAAGCTCTGGTTTCTCTTTAAGTGGTAATGCCTCATGCCAACTTTCCCAAAGTAACCTGGGTGATATTTGTCAAAGTTGATCCTGTGTGATGCATGCCACCAGCCTTACCACGGCCTCCTGGGTGCTTCCAGTGCTTTACTTTTTTACAGTGCAGCTGTGGCCGTGGCTCACATAGCCCAAAAGTTTCTGGGTCTTCCTCAGTCTGGATGGCATGTCAGCAGGCCAGACAAAAATAAGAAAGCTGAATCTTAATGATACAGTGTGCCTGAGTCAATCCTGGGACCCCTCTCCATTACATTCTCTACAATTATATCCTAGGTAATCTCATTCAGTTCCATGACTTCAAATACTAACCACAAATGAACAACTTGTGAACCTCATAAAGGTGATCTTCAGCATCAGCTGCTCCTCTGAATTCCAGGCTCATGTATTCAACCTCTCCTCTTACATGTCAAATAACGACCTCAAACTTAACATGAGAAAACCTACCATGTGAATTTCTGTCAAGTCTTCTATTATCTTCATATTTTCTTTATCAGTATAGAAATTTCCTTTCTCTCAATGTTTACACAAAAACCTTGAGATCATCCATGCCTCATCTCTTTTCTCACGAGCCATATCCCATAGGCAAACTGTGTGAACTCTACCTTCCAGTCATACCCAGAGTCTGACTGTCTCCACCTTTATCACTAGAGTCTCAACCATCTCAGTCTCTCATCTGGATTATTGCAATAGGCTCCTACTGAAACCCTTCCACCTGGTTTTTAGGCACTGTATACTCCACACATGGGAGCCAATGGGATCATTTGAAAATAGAAGTTAAATCATCTCACTCATCTGAACTCAAAAGATAAACTCCATATTCATTATCCTACCCTTCTCTTAACCTCTTGTTCTCCTTCACGATTTCTTTTTCTTCTAGGATCTTATCTTTCATCCTGTCCTTCATCACTACCCTCCACATTGGCCTCCTTTCTGATCCTCAAATAAGAGAGGCATGCTGCCACCCCAGGCATTGCATTTGCTTTTCTTCCTGGAAAAGGTTATTCCCAAGCTATCTGCACACTTTAATTCAAGTGTCTACTGAAATATCATCTTACCAGAAGTCCTTCCTTGAGCACATTATACAAAATAGCATTTAATCTTCCGGGGAGAATTCCCTGGCTGAGTGTGGAAGCATGCTGCATGTGATTTGGGCTGGTCACTGCCAAGACAGGGTGAGTCTGAGCTGGCATGGAACCACCCCTCATAGCTTCAGCTGAAATCAGGAGTGGGCCACATGGATGTGAAACACACCCTAGAAGCATTGATTAGCGTTGACATGGAGATATGATGACAAGTTTTTGCCCAGTTAAATGAAAATTTGTTTATAGATGAAAGCAATTAACTGATGAGGCTACTAAATGAGACTTGGAGAAAATTGATTACTGACTGAGGCAATTATTATAAACTAATTGACTAATGAGGACTAATTCTAGCAATTTTACTAAGGTATAATGAGGTCATTTCCCTAACTTCCTCATAAATTTTATTATTTTGTAAGCCATTGCCACCCATACTGTTTTTGTTGTTTTATTTTGTATTTTTTGAATTTAGATTTATGTGTTTAAATTTTAAAAAGATAAATGCTTTATATAAAAAAGCTATAGGAAGCTATAAAGAAATGAAAACTTCACCATATTTCTTATCCTGCTGACAGAAGTTAAAAAAAAATATTGTACTTTGGTGTGTAAACTTTCAGATTTTAAAATTTTTCTGTTTGAATGAACATTTACTTATACATAATATTTAAAATAAACTATATCAACTGTTCACTAACTCATTTTTCGCAAATGCAATATACATTAGATCCTCTTCCATCACTACAATAGATTCCTCATTATTTTTAACAGCTGTATAGTATTCAATTACACAAAAATTCTTTAACTGATTCCTCTAATAAACATTTAAATAATTTATAATTCTTTATTATTAAGAATGATGCTTAAACACCAAAACGATAAAAAGCAAAGTGTGGTGTTCCACATACGTACTACACAGATTCTGGTTTTGAAATGTTACTCTCCACTAAATGGAGCCAGGGCTCCTCAGAAAAATGGCTGATTCCACAGCTGGGACAATGAGAATGAGCCTGAACCATCTTGTATCAGAAACTAGGAAAGTGTCCTAAAAATGATCAAGCTATGTCAAAGGGACATGTAAGCTAACTTAAAGCAGTCTCATTTGCTATATCTGATATAATTTGAGCACCAAAAAATTATATCTTAATAAATATTGTATTTGTTAATATTATGTTAATAAATCCTCATAGAATATTTTTTCTTGAATTAAATTAAAATCCATTATTCCATACTAACACAAAGAAAAAAATAGATTAAAAATGAGAATCTTTCTTATAGAAAGTAAACAAATAAATGTAGAAGAAATGGTGGAATTAGAAAATCTGTATTTGGCAATCATCATACTAATAATTGATCTAGGTATACATCATTATAGGATACTAAAATGATTAGGTGAAAGTTTGAGGGGTACCCAAATATTTGTATCTTTCAACATATACCCATAAATACTTATAAATTAAAAAGAGAAAAATGGCGTGTTTACACTAGAAAAACCTATTGAGCAATTCTTCAACCAAGTGATCACAGGAAACACCACCGGTAAAAGCACAAAACAGTAGCATGTGCCCCCTGGTATCATGGACCAAAGAAAACACTACATGACTTCTGGAGTATTCCTGCCAAAATGCCTGATATGAGCCTAATCATGAGAAAACATCAGATTAACCCAAAGGTAGAGAAAAGCTACAAAATAACTGCTCTGGACTTTTTAAAAAATGGCAACATCATGACACACAAAGAAAGACAGAGCTCTTCCAGATTAAATGAAACTAAAGAGACAAGACAATGAATACAGTCTGTAGCCTTCTTTGCTATAAAGGACATTACTGGGACAATTGAAGAACTCTGAATACGTTCTCTAGAAAAATATCATATCAATATTAATTTCTTAATTTTGATAAATGTATTAAGAATATGTAACAATATCCTAGAGTTTTAGGAAATACACAGTGAAGTATTTAGGGGTAAAGAGTATCCTGTATAGGAGAAAAAGTGTGTGTGTGTGTGTGTGTGTGTGTGTGTGTGTGTGTGTGTGTGTGTGTGTGGAGAGAAAGAGAAGAATAAAGCAAATGTTACAAAATGTTAACATTTGAGCATTCCGAGTAAAAGGTATATTCTTGAGTTATTCTTGAAATCCTTCTATAAATCTCAGATTATTCCAATCATAAAAGTTGTAAGCAGTATTCTAGTGAACAAGAATGTATAGGAATATTTTTATCATTCTAAAGGGATTACTGTAAGATTAATTCCAAGGAGTGGAATCAAAGAATGTACCTACTTTAGATTTTGAGAGATACAGACAAAATTCTTCTCTTTTACCTCCATGTATCATTTGACAATCCACAAATGACACAGGATATAGTGTATTTTCTGATACCTCAACATCAAAAACCACTGTCATTCTTTTGAATGCAAGTCTGATAAGAAATGAGATCTCACTGATGTTTGGGTTTGCATTCCTTTGATTAGTGGTGAGATTGAACATCTTTTTATATATTCAATAACCATTTAAATCTCATTCTCTTTAAAGTAAAGTTCATATACTTTAATATTTCAAATGTTTTTTTAATCATTTACAAGAGTTATTATATTAAGGACACTAAGTAAGGAATTAATACTGGATGTAAATGTTTCCATTCGTTTATCCTTTGTCTTTGACTTTTTAGTAGTGTTTCACAACTTTATGTAATCAAATAAATCATTTCCATATGGATTCAGGATTTCATGTCATCCTTAGAAAAGTGCTCTTCATCCCCACGAGTATAAGTTTTTCTCCTATAGTTTTTTTCCTGGACCTTTCATTATTATTTAACATTTAAATTCACCAAAGCTATTTATTTTGCTTTCTAGATGATTATTAAAATCTATTTTGGTGGATGATAAACTGAATTTATACATTTTTTAAAAACTTCAAAACTTTTTTAAAGTTTTATGTTAATAGAAAATAATAATAATCTGTAAGTCAAATGCTGAACATGGCCTACATAAAACAATTGTGTTATGGAGTAGGTCAAGTTCTCTAGCTTGCTAAAGATTTATGAATTATTTGGATTCCAAGAACAGATTTGGTAGATTATCCCTCATCCCAGTTTTATTCTAACAGTTGATAGGATGTGTAGGAAAAAACTGCTGTCAAATTTCCCAAATAAGCTCCCTTTCCCAGAAATAATATCTTAGGGTAAATATCTGTCTGGAGAGAATCAAGTTGCTTTCTGTTTAGCTGGGGCTGGCAGGAAGTGTCAGTCCCTTTGATCCCTTGAAAGCATATGGGCCTGTGGGCTGCCATTCTCTTGAAGAATCTTGTCATTCCCTGTCAATCCATATTAGACAAGGATGGTGTTTTGTAACAGTTTGTCTCCTTCAAGGTGATTTAGTTATTTTCTGCCAAGATTATGCTAGAGGATGTCATTACTTTTGTCCTGTCTGTCTCATTACTTTTATTGCCAGAGAATGTTGTCGTTTATTTTCACTGATAATCCATCTCTCCTAAAAGCTTCATTTTTACATTAAAGAACATAGAAATAAGATTTCTGCCCTTATTCTTTGAAGATGCTGTCACAAGTAAACAATAAAGAACCTTAAGAAAAAAGGATATTAAAAGTATCAACGTGTTGTGAGTGGAATATTTTTAAAAAGAAAAGAGCAACTATATAAGCATTCAATTACTCGCAGTTGAATGCTTTGGATCACAGCATGTTGGTTAAAAGGAATACTTTGGGCTCAGCCATTGTTAGCTGAGTAACGATGAAAGTGTATTATCATGCTCTTAAAGCTCTCTTCCCTTATTTGTAAAATAGAAATAACAACAGTACTATGTCCTAGTGTTGTTATGAAGATTTATTTAAATAAATACATGGAAAATATTACCATACTACTTGGCATATATTAAGAACTTAAAGAGCACTAAGTGTTGTCATCATAAACAGCATCATCAAATAATAGGATTATAAAATAACATCCCTCGCTTAGTCCCGAACACCATTGCCTATGGTATGCACATGCCCTTGAACTGGCTACCAACAGATCGTGATGAAACTAAAGGCTTCTCGTTAATTTATGAATCATCATAACAATGAAATCTATATAGCAATTATAGAGTGAAGTATTTTTAATAAGATCACTTTAGTTAAGTCAGGCCCCTCCCTAAAATATTTTTTATTTTTAGATAATTGGACACTATTTTGCCATAATTTTACCAAAATATTTTAGATAATATTTTACCATAATTGCCTCTCTAGATGAAGAGGTTTGTCATAGACTAAACATAAATAAAGACTTCTCTTCCACAGTACCTGTGTCATTTGGGGGACCACTTTGGAAAAAGTGGCTGCCTGAGGCCTCTGATTCAGACCTCGGACAGCTCCTGACACAACCCCTAAATCTTTCGACCAATGACTCCCTAACTCCTTTTACTCTCCCTTTTGTCCAGCTCTCCCCGCTCTAATATTCCTCCTCATACTCCCTGCCATTTAGTTTAGAATAATTCTATGTTTACTCCTATTCTTCTAGTCTTCCTTTTTAATATACTGTATATTTCACATCTTGGAGCAAAATTCAAATTGCCAGGAAATAGACACTGTATGATATGTTAAAGAATAAGCTAAATAAATGTGGCACAAAATATAAGAAACGAGGAGAAAATAAACATGAAAAATAGGATACTTAAATATTTATAAAACTTAAAACTAACTTCTTTGTCTAATCCCATCAGTAACATTAGAATTACTGGACCAATATATTCAGAAGTGTTAACAGATATATTACAGCTTTATTTAACATGATCAGGTAACTCATGATATTCTTGGAGACAGTGGATAGACATTGACTAAACAGAGATTCTGATAGATACATTCATTGGCAGTTGAATTGCTCTGCTCAATGTGTGCTGATTAATGGACTGATAAAGACAAGGTTCTAAAGAAGAACAACAATTAAAATGTATGCATATTTTAAAATGTATTGATGTATGACTAAGATTCAGTGAAATGTACAGATTTTAAGGATATTGTTCAGTTTTAACAAATGCATGCACCTTATGTAACCCACACACCTCTCAAAATATAGAGTATTTCTATCTCTTGAGGATGTTCCCTCCATGCATTTGCCCAGTCTTTCTCTCCCACCCAGAAAGAACACTATTCTGATTTCTATTATCATAGATTAATTTCATAGAACTTCATTTAACATACAATATGCACTTTGGGGATGCTGGCTTCCTTCACTCAGCATAATGTTTTTGAGATGCATCAATATTGCAGACTGTGCCACTAATTTAATACTTTTTTGCTAACTAGTATTCTATTGTATGAATATACCAATTTATCCATTCTCCTATTGATGGACTCCTGCGCCTGGGCCATTTCCCTCTTGAATTAATTTTTGTGTATGATATGGGGTAGGTAGAGATAGGCATGTTCATTTTTTTTCCCACGTGAATATCCAAATGTTTCTACACCATTGGTTGAAAAACATTACTCCCTATAGAATTGGTTTGGGTTTTGGCACCAAATCATTTGACCACACAGACGGGTGTATTGACAACTTGTATTCTGTACCATTAATCAATCATTTATATTTTGACCAATATTACACTTTTTAACTCTGTACCTTTATACAAGTCTTGAAATTAAGTTGTGTAAACTTTTCCACTTTTAAGATGATTTTAGCTATTCTAGGTTCTTTAAATTTTCCATACAAATTTTAGAATCTGCTTGTCAATTTTTCAAAAAGTCTTACATTATTTATATTGAGATTTCATTGAATGTATAGATCAATTTGGGAAGAATGTTTAGTCTTCCCATCCAAGAACATGGTATATCTTTTTTCATTATTTAGGTCTGCTTTAGTTGAACTCAACAGTGCTTAGTAGTTTTTAGTGCAGAGTTCTGAACATTTTCTGTTAACATAAAGAATTTTATGTTGTTGGATGCTACTGTAAATGATACTTTTTTTTAGTTTCCTTTTTCAATTGTTCCCTACTATTCTAGAGAAAAATACTTCACTTCTGTACACTGGTGTTGGATTCTCAGCGTATTAAATTTACTTACTTTTAGTTGGTTTTTGGAAAATTTTTAGGTTTTTCTGTACAGAATCATATAATCTGAAATAGTTTTTTACATTTTCTTCCAATCTTGTGTCATTTTTTTTTCTTGCCTCACTGCATTGACTAGAACTTCTATCTAGCACAATATTGAATAGAAGTGGGGGTGGGGAAAGTTTTAATATTTCAACACTAAAGAGTAGGCTTTTCATAAGTGCATTCCAACATATGAATGATTTTTTCATTTACTTCTAATTTTCTGTGAATTTTTTATATGAATAGCTGCTGAATTTTATCAAATACAGGTTCTGCTTGTGTTATAATGATTGTGGGTTTTTTTCTGCTTTGATCTTTTACAACGTAATCTGAATTACATTGATTCTTGAATGTCAAGAGAATCTTGCATTTATATGCTAAATCCCACGTGGTCATGATATATTGTGGTCCTAGTATATTACTTAATTTGATGTACTAATATTTTATTAACATTTCTTGCATCTATGGCTGAGAGATAATTGGTTTACAATTTTTTTCTCATAGTAATTTTATCTGATTTTCATAATGGCATTATTTGGCCTCAAAAATAAACTGAAAATTATCTTTTATTCCTCTATTTTCTGAAAAGGTTTGTATAACTTTGATATTATTTTGTAACTAAATTTTTGATGGAACTCACCAGTGAAACGATTTGGGCCAGGAGTTTTCTTTGTGGGAATGTTTTTGTTAAAAATTCAATCTCTATAGCAGATATGGGGAATATTAGTTATTTATTGCAGTGTGGCAAATCATACCGAAAACTTAGCAGCCTACAAGAATGAGAATTTATTAACTCTCAGTAGGTCAGGAATCCCAGAGCAGCTTTACTAAATTACAGGGTGGTTTTAACCCAGAATCTTTCATAAGGTTTCAGTTAATCTGTCAGCTGAAGCTGTAGTCATCTAAAGATTTAGCAGGATAAACCACTTCAAATTCGCTCACATGAGTTTTGGCAGGCCTCAATACATTGCTGGTCTTAAACTGGTAACCTCAATTCCTTCCCATATGAGCTTCTCTATGAGCTACCTAACTGTTCTCACAACATGGCAGCTGGCTTCTTGTGGAGTAAGTGTTCCAAGAGAGAGAAACAGAGAGAGAGAAAGGAGAGAGAGAGAGAGAGAGAGAGAGAGAGAAATAACCAAGATAGAGACCATAGTGTCTTTCATAAATGAACCTCAGAAGTAACATGCCATACTTTCTGTTGTAATCCCTTGGTCATACAGATCAACCCTGGTAAAATGGGAGGGCAAAATACAAGGTGTGAATATCAGTATTGCTAACTACACAAATGAACACAATCTTAAGCAAGAGAAAAAAATACCCTTCAGAACAAGAAAGTATTGGTGCCAATAATATCTGCTACATATTGGAAGTATTATACTCCTTTCTGACACTAATAAAAAGAAGCCTTGGCAAACTGAAGCAGGCAGGCAAGAAACAGTCAACAAATATTGAGTGTTTATTAAATGCCAAATGAAAAATGGTAGTTACAAATGGTTGAAAAAGCTGAAAACTGGCATATTCTTTGACCTACTAATCCTACCTTTAGAAATTTATCCTGGGAAAATAATACTTAGAAAAGCACACAAAGAGTTGTATGCAAAGAGTCTTTGCAGTGTTGTTGTTTAGCAAAGTAAACTATGCAAAGAACTTACATGTTCAAAAGTAGAAAACTGTTCAATTAAATTAATATTTGTACCTATCAAAATTATTTTCTAAAAGGATATTCACTGACAAAATAAAATGTTTTTTATTTGTTTTAAGTAAAATAAAAACAAGTCACGAAATAGAGTATTTACAGAGTGATCCTATAGTAAGAAATACGTATTTATTTAAAAAGTCTAGATACAATATCATTATTCAAAACCTTTTTAAATTATTCCACAGTGGACATTTACAGTTTTAGCTTACCCAGGATCTATTTCTCCCTCTCCTATTAACAAGATCCAGACTGTCCACTGATCCCTTTCTTATCTTCTGTCCACTGATTGGGTAAAATGAATTAAAACCCAAGATTAACAAACAATCATTGTATTCTCAATCACAAATATTGATTGAGGGATGGAATTAAGAGTCAATTCCCAGTCATTTGTTTGAATTTAAGCTTGAAGTAAGAATGGCCATGTTGCTGCTGCCTGGAAGCCAAGATGTGGAGAGAGGCCTTAAGACATCATTTGACCCTGTATCCGTAGCCAAGCCTGGGTGTCCTCACCCCACTCAGGCTCTCACACCTGTGCTAGGTCATCACTCTTCTCTCCACCACATACACTCCTATCTTAATTGGCTCCATTCAGTGGCTTTTGGGCTGAATAAGGAAGAAAGGATAGAAACAAAGGAGGGATAGATGAACACAGGAGGAAAGAAGAAAGCTTAGGTTTCTTCTTTATTTTTTAAAGATAGCTATGTAAGAAATTAGAAAAAAAATTATTTTACACAAATGAAGACAGATACAAAGGAAACCATACTATTGTCTTCAAACAGGTTCAGAACTCATCTATAGAAACAAAAACAACTATTGTGCACTCCATAGTATAAATTACAAGGTGACATAATTTGCTTCAATATATGTATGCAGCATAATATTTTAACAATTTGAGCTGGATACAGATAAAATGGGATGCCTTACAGGATTATAAACCCCTTGTAACTGGAAATATTCAAGCAGAGAATAGATAAAAATTATCAGAGTTTTATATAGGAGCTTCATTCCTACTTTAAAAGAAAGGCAGAACAAATGACAATTAAATTCGTTAGCTTGGGTAGGTAACTAATTTGGGGTGTCTGGGCTTTTATTTATCTTTTTGTTTTTAAATATAATAAAGTAGTCCATACACAGCACACTTTTAAACATAACTCTAGAGATGTCTGAAAGAGGATATTTGAGGAAAGCGTTACACAGTGTTTTCTAGTAGCTAAAATAATTAGGCTCTGATCTTTTTACAACTCAGAACAATCAGTAGTCGTAGTCAGGGCATTAAATAAAAACAACTTAGTGGGACAAACAGTTCCCTTTTGAAAAATAAAACTACTCTGAATTACACCGAGAAGAGAAATTTCCCTTGGATAAAATTTAAGACATTATATAACATATTAAGAAAAGAAAAACATTTTATTTTTATCAGCATGGGATTCAAGAGTGTTTTTTATGAAAACCTGAGCATGACAAAGAGTAAAAAAGCAAAAAATATTTATAAATATCTAAACCATCACAATTTAGCTAATGGAATAAAATACTGGGTCTATATGGAATAAATTTTACACATGAGTGTTTATTCATTTAAACAATGAACGTTTTGATAGAAATATTTTTACAAATGTATAGGCAGATTTGTCACTTTCCTGCCTTTTTAGACAGAGACTACAAAAATAGCGTTTTAAAGTGGCATGATGACCCACACAGCTGTAATATGCTCAACTAAAGAGCCTAAAAAACCTATACAATTATCACTTTATACTCAACTTATGTTGTATATATAAGTTGATGCCCTTAGAGTCTGATGAAGCAAATATATATCACCCTACATTAGTATCCCATTGATGTGTGTTTTGACTAGCAGTGCCTCCATTTTAAGCTTTTTTTTTCTTTTTTTGCTTTTTCTCTTAATATCAGACTCCAATTTGTCATTCTTCAATGCTGCTAATAGGATTATCTCTAGCAGCCTTTTTCCTCATATCAAATTTGCTTTTTATCTGCTGCTGGTTGCTCCCCCCAGTTTTAGTGAGGTATCACTGACAAATAAAAGTTGCATATATTTAAGATACACAAGGTGATGTTTGATATATATGTATACATTGTGAAATTATTACCACAATCAAGCTAAGTAACATATCCATCACCTCACAAATCATCTCCACTGAGGGTTGCGTATGTGGTAAGAACACTTAACAATCTACTCTCTCAACAAATTTCAACTATACTATATTATTCAGCCTTAAAAAAAGAAGAAAATTTTACCAATTTGGATATTATGCTAAGTGAAATAATCCAGACACAGAAAGACAAATATGGCATGGTGTCGCTTAATGTGGAATTTAAAGAAATTGAAGTCATAGAAACAGAAAGTGGAATGATTGTCAGGGGCCAGGAGTGGGGAAAATGGCAAAAATTTTGTCAATGGGTGCAAACTTTCAGTTATAAGATAAATAAGGTCTGGAGATCTAATATATAGCACGATGACTACCTGCTGCTGTTTTAAAAGCTGGATAGCTTAAGCAGAATAAGAGTACAGAAGGAAGATTAGAACAGAATAGTGGACTGAGTACACGTGTGCCTATTCTTTCCACCCCAAATACTATAAATGAAATAAATATATGTTAAAGATGTGCAATACAGGACTGTAAGACATTTTTATATTGAATTTATCTGAAGTTTAAAATTGCTGGGAGAGAAAAAACTGTTTGGAGTATCGTGGTTCATATGTCCTCCCCTGCAAGAGTAGAAATTGAGACCATCAAAACCATGTGGTTTGTTGGAGCATTGATTCCTAAAAGAAGGGAAGATGGACAGACAAAAATAAAGCATGTTTAACACGCAAACACTTGCTACAGGGAGACCTTCCCCACCACCATACTGGTTATTTGTCAAATTTTAAGAAACTTGAATTACAAAAAGAGAAGCTGCCCTCTTGCAGTTTGATTTGAGCAGAATTCACATTTTTTTCAAGTTGATATGCAAATAGCCTATACGAATAGTAAAGTTTAGTTTATATATAAATTATTTTATTAAATCCATAAAACATTCCTTAATTATTTTGAAGCTAAAACTACTCATGACTTTGTTCAGTTTTGGAAAATTTCAAATTATCATTGCTTCAAATATTATTTCTCCACCATCCCCTCCATTCTCTTCTTCTAGAACTTCTGTTAGAAATACATAAGAATATTTACATCTTTCTTCCATATGTCTTCATTGCATTTTCATATTTTAATCTGTGTTTGGGGTGAATTATTCATAGTATCTTCTCATTTGCTAATTCTGTCTTTTACTATCTCAGTGTAACAATTATCTATCGCTGCCTAACATCCTTCAAAATTTAGTGGTCTGAAATAAGAACAACTTATTTCTTATGATTTTGTGGAATGCCTAGGTGGTTTTCCTGCTAGTCTTGCCTGTACTGGCTCATGGAACTACATTCACGGTCAGGTCAGTGAGGGTCTGTGCTTTGCTAAGCTTTTGAGGTAGCTGAGGTGACTGAACCTCTCACTCCACATGCTCTCTCACCACTCAGGAGGCTAACCCAGACTCTGTGTCAGGATGGTTCTGGTGTTCCCAGCAGCAAGAGCATATAAGACCCCCAACGTTCAAGTGCTTTTGAAGTCTCCACTTGCATCACCTTTGCTAGTGATCCATTGGCTAAATCTAGTCACATTGCCTATCCAAGATTCAAGGAGTAAAGAAATGGACTCCACCTTTTGATGGAAGGAGTTACAAAGGATGTATGGCCATTCTTTGCAATTTGCCATATCTTGCTATAGTTTATCCATCTTCTGTACTTTGTATTACAAGAATAGCTTTTTATTTCAAATATTTCTTCTCCTTTTTCGTATCCATGTGTTCTTTTATATGCATATTTTATTTCATGTAATCCTGTTCTTTGCCATGATTTTCATTTCTTTGTTTCTTTCTTTGAAAAATCAAAAATTTTAAAAAGTCTTTGTCATATTGTGCCATAAAACTGATTTTGTCCAGGGGGAATTTATGTCCTGATGATTTTCTTGGCTGTCTTTTCTTTTAGGTAAGTGTCAAGGGTTTAAAACATACTAAGCTTTATCATGGTGATTGTTATCATTATTACTTCACGATTCCTCATTGTCCTAATTGTTTTCTCATAACTTTGTTTTTCATTTTCTCTGTTGGTTGTCTTTTTCATTATTACTTCTTTCATGAGTTTCATTTTGAGATGTAGGTTTTGTTTGAATTTGTGGATTGGGTTTGTTCTCAGTTTCTCTCCTCTACCCATACCAGTTTTATTTGTTCTCTCACTCCTTCAGACCTCAGGTCCAGAATTGAGTTTTGCAGTGTTTTGGTATTCCTATACTATTGTGACCTGTGGGTTTGTAAAAAATTCAGGCCTTGGGTCCTGAAAGCAGTTTGACTCAGTTCCTAATCTTAGTCCTCTTGCTCCCTTAGCCCCAGGCGGTAGGGCAACAGCAAGAAGGAGGGCAACACCAAGCTTTCTTTCCTTAGCTTCTTTTCACAGGAGTGAGAACATGTTGAACTCCAAGCTGTAAGACAGGCTCTGGTTCCCCATCTCCTATGGAAAATTTCTAGCATCCTTCACTTCTACTTCCAAGCCCATCACCTGTCAGACCTTCAGATTCAGTCCTGCTTACTCATTCACATATCTGTCAGTTTATGGGCCATGAAGGTGTTTACATGTTGTCAACTCTATGGCTTTTACATTTTATCTTTTGGGGGTATAGGTTTGGACTAGATGAAGTATATTACACATGAATAGATCATCCAATACAGCCCCACAATAGTTTTAGCAAAACACTTTGTATTTACTCAGAAGTAGACAATAAGCACATTAAAAAGGTGCCCAATATCATTAGTCATTAGGGAAATATAAGTTAAAACCACAATGAGATGCCACTGCACAACTGTTAGAATAGCTAAAATTAAAAACTGATCATACCAAGTGTGGACAAGGAGGTGGAGCAACAGGTGCTTTCATACATTGTTAGTAGGAATGAAAAATTATACAACTAACTTGGAAAATAGCTGGCAGTTTCTAAAAACATTAAACATATACCTACCTTCTGATTCCACCATTCCACTCTTAGGTATTTATACAAGTGAAATTAATACATTTGTCTATACAAGCACTTGTACATAAATGTTTATGTCAGCTTTATTAGTAATAGCCAAAAATGGGAAACAACTCCAATGTCCACCAACACTGGGTAAAAAAAAAAAGAAAAAGAAAAGAGAAAAAGCATGGTATATACATATAATGAAATGCTACATGGCAGTAAAAAGGAATGAACTATTAATATATACTGCAGTATGCAAGAATCTCAAAATAATTATGCTGAGTGACAGAAACTAATGAGAAAAGAATACAAACTATATTATTCCATTGATAAACATTCTGGGAAATGCAAACTTTCGTGACAAAAGTAGATAACGAGTTGTCTGGGGATAGGTATGGGAAGCAGGGAACAATGGGAGGTAGGGATTATAAAAAGTCATGATGGAACTTTTGGGAGTGATGAATATGTTCATTATGGTGATGGTTTCACAGTAAATACATGTCAAAACTCACCAAGTGGCACACTTTAAGTATATCCAGTTTACTGTATGTCCATTATGCCTCAATAGAGCAATTTCAAAAATTAATTTGATGGTATCATAAATTTCTGAGCTGGTTTAGCTTGAACATATCAGTTTCACCTAAAAGACAACTATAATATTGACAAAAATATTGATGATGATAAATAATATTATTTGGCACATTGCCAAGCTAATTATTATGCTAACCATTTTAGAAGGTCATCACATTTGATCCCCTTCAACAAACTTATCAATTAGGTGCTACTAATAACCAAATTATATAGATAAAGAAACTGAGGTCTCAAAAGACTAAGTAACCTGTCCAACAGGTGACACACATGTTAAGTGGCAGAAATGGAGTTTGAACCATGTGTTATGGCTCTAGGGCTCAAGCTCTTAACACTATCCCAAGTAGGGTGGGAAAGGACAATTTGCCTCACTCTTACTCAGTTTCCTAGTCTTGTCCTTTAAAACTGTCCTCTCAAGAAAAAAAAAAAAAAAACACAAGAAAATAAAACTGTCCTCCCTCCCAACTCTGTCCCACTCCCATTTTTATCTTCTCCTCCTAGAAAAGGCCATTAAGTCAGTTCCCAGGATGGGAATCAAGAACCTTTTGGCTATACTTCACCAGGTCACATATGTAAGGGAAAAATTATAAACGAGGTGGGAACATATGATGTGTCCTGGCTAGTTAATACACCTACTGATCACCTCTGTCTGTCTTTGACTGGGTTATTTTAAAACTTTTTAGAGATAGAAATTATACATAACTGATGGTAATGCAAATAATTCCTGTCCATAGAAATGCACATTGTATCTGGTAGAATGCAACTGATTATTTGCCTGTGGACAATTACCTTTTTGTTTTTTGCCAGTTTTCCATCCATTTATATATTCATTTCAGTATTCCTCAGACTGTAAGTTGCCTATTGAACTGATTGTAATGTCTACTGATTCCTTCATTAATTAATGAGTTAAATAAAATCTTTGCATGTGATAATTTCATATTTGTATAAGCTATTATTTTATCCTTTTTAAGAAAGCCTATTTTTTAACACATATATATTATAGTACAATTTAAAATAATTTTTCAAATGTTATCTAACTGAGCAGCTCACTGAATTTAGTAAGCTCTTTCTATTCTTGTTCTATCATAATCTTCCCTTATGTGTGTGTGTGTGTGTGTATACATACATACATATATATATATATATATATTCAGTGACTGAGAATTTCCATTTTAATATAATGGTGTCTTCTATTATTTTAACCAGATACCTATATTTGAAATACCAGATACCTATGATATCTGGTAAAAATGAGAGGAAAATGCTGAATGTTTTCTACAAGAAAAAGAAGTAAATTAATATTAATATATAGTATATGTCAGTACAGTTTAAGGTATATAAAATATCATTGATGCCATCCTTATGAATAAATGTTATTTTATCTGAGATGATATTTAAAATATTTAAAAACCTTCAGGCAATGGTGGGCTCCTCCATTGATCGAATTAAGAACAGTAAGATTTGGGAGTGGAAAATAGAGACTAGATATAAAATAAAGGTGCAGAAGTAAATAAAGATTTTTTTTCTTTTCCAATAAAGGTATGGAAAGTTTAAAAAGAAGAGCAGAAAGAAAAGTAAATGCAGGCCTCAGGACTGCCTTCTTGTAACATCTGCAAGGAGAAAGGAAGGAAGCCAAGTACATGTTCTTTGGCTTGAAGTTATCATAGAAAGAGCTGAGGCCACATAAAATGAGAATTTGGAAAGAGTAAGAAATACCTGCTTTATGATGATGAGCATATTAAATACAGATGACTCAAAGCTTTTTCCCATTCCAGTATCCAAGTTTTTCTCTGTACCTTGGTTAAGACAGTAAGAAGATAGGAAACAGGAGATGAGGAGGCCTGTCCAAGATGCAGGTTTTTGGAGCATAGGATTAAATAACCCTGGACATAGAAAACCAGAAAAGCATTGATTGATCCATAACTGAGCAAAAGATGCTCGCTTTTTAGATTCTGTGCCATAAAGAAACATGAATTCGTGGGTATCTGGTTAAAATTCAAACACAGGAGAATTCTGAAAGTTTTCTGCAAGAAAAATAAATAAATGAATATTCAGTATATAGTGTATGTTATTACAGTTTAAGGTATATAAAACATCACTGATGCTGTCCTTATGAATACATGTTGTTTCATCTGGAATAACATTTAAGATATTTAACAAAATTGAGGCATGGGGAATACCTATGTAGATAAGGCTTTGGAGGCACCTTCCTGTGCCTGTCATTGACTTATTCCTTGCTGAATTGTGGGAAGTGCCGTTGGCCTCAGGGGAGTAACCAGGACCACTGGGGAAGGGTCTGGCACTTGGAAGATCTGGGAAATTTACAAATTGTACAGAAGCATTTCACTATTTTCAATAAAGCACTATCTCTCCTAAGTACTTAGCACTGTCTGCCAAAGCATTCAAAGGACAAAGAATTTATAAGGGAATTGGTTACTATATGAGTTATGAAGATAAATAGCTATGAATAATAGAAAACCCTACCATTGTGGCTTAAATAGAAGGGTTTTTTAAAATTATACTTTAAGTTCTGGGGTACCTGTGCAGAATATGCAGGTTTGTTACATAGGTATACACGTGCCATGGTGGTTTGCTGCACCCATCAACCCATCATCTACATTAGGTATTTCTCCCAATGCTATCCCTCCCCCAACCCCCCACCCCCCAACAAATAGAAGGGTTTTAAATAATGTTTTTAAAAAAGCTAGTTGGGAGCAGTGTAGGCTTGGGCAGCTGCACATTGCCATCATCAGGGACCCAAGCTTCTAGCATCTTCTACCCCAGTTATCCTTATCATGCTTGTTATGCCCCATGGTCATCAGTTGGTTCACTACACACCTAAGTTTCAAGAAAGAATAAGATTGAAGAGTGAAGGAGTAAATTACCTGTCTTAGGAGAGGAAAAACATTTGACACATCCACAGCAGACTTCCACTTGCTTCTCTGGCAGAATTATGTCACCTTACTTACTTTAGATGTCAGGTAGTATCAGGAGGTCACTATTTTTAGTGATGCACTTTATTGCATCAAAAAAAATGAGAACTTGTTAGTAATGATGAAAAAAAATAAATATTACTTAGGTAAAAAACAGTGTACACCTGCTATAAACAGAATGTTTGTGTCCTCCTAGAATGCATATGCTGAAACCTAATCCCAATGTGATAGTATTTGGAGGTTGGGTCTTTGAGGTAAAGGTAGAGTTCTCATGAATGGGATTAGTGCACTTATAAGAAGAGTCCAGAGAGCTAGCTTGCTTTCTTTCCACTATGTGAGGATACAAGAAGATGGCAGTCTGCAACCAGAAGACCCTCATCAGCACCTTACCATGTTGCTACCCTATCTTGGACTTCCAGCCTCCACAACTGTGAGAAATAAATGTCTGTTGTTTATAAGCCACCCAGTCTATGATTTTTTTTTAGTAACAGCCCTAAATGACTAAGACTATACCATACTCATCTAAAACTCCATCAAAAACTAGAATTGACTCTACCAGTGAATTCTTAACGCATATGAAAAGTTCTTAAAATGGTAAAGTTCACTCTGCTATGGGCTTTAACATAATGTATTGTGTCACTCAGTAGATATTATATTTAAATTTCACATCTGCAAATACGTATATAATCACAACCTCATGTTTAAGTAGAAACCGATGTATTACTTACAAGCCATTTCCAAACATGTATAATCACATTTCTGAGCCAAATTTCTCCATCCACGCAAAAAAAAACACTTCTCACTGATGATCACATAAAATCTGTTCATCAATGTAAGATTAATTTTAGCAGCATTTGAGGAGAAAGAAAGGGCATAATTTTGAAAAATTTAAACTTACATGAGACAATCAAAGGTAAGGAAATTTTCAACCTAAATTTTAATTTCAGAGTTATCAACCACCTCAAGGCAGTTATTTTGTGTTCTTCCTGATTCTGCTTTTTTTCTAAGGTAATCTTCAATTTCCCTTCTGTCTTTCTCTATTTTTGCTGTACTTAATTTCTTCTCCTATTCAGAACATAATTTTTACAAGAGCAATAGAGAGATTTTCTCCAAATTGCCCAACATTATATGCCTGTATTCCAGAAAATGGAATCTTTATCTGTCGCAAAGATGCTTTTTATAGGTTCTAATGCATCAAATCCAATACAATAAGTTATTCTCCCAGTTTAAAAACATCTTTGATGAAATAATATGTAAGAGTTATTGGAGAATAACCCTTTCATAGAATGTTTGAGCATTGTGTTATTTAATCTGAATCCCACTTTTGGAAGAAAAGTGTTCTCACAATAGTTTCCTTTTGACAAACTGTTGATACAGCTGAATCCTCTACTCTCAGTGAGGCAAAGAATGGAGAATAATCAGGTAGAGATCAACACAGACAGTTGAGATGCTGATATCTCAGTGTAGCACAAGGAGTATTTATAATGCCTCAATCAAAAACTTAACAGGTCTCTAGGAAAAAAATAAAAGGGAAGTGTAACAAGTCATTTCTAGGAAAGATGTTGGTTCTATATTTAGGCTATACTTACATGCAATTCAAATTAACTCAGTTTAAATAGACTCAAATATGTTTTACAAAGGTTTAAGTCTGTTTACCCTAAACTTTCTTTCACTAATGATAGGTATGTGTAACTAATAAAACCTTGTATAGAAAGGTGCACCATACCATTAGAAAATAGTCTGAGAGATACAGTCTTGCCTATTTTGCCAGTTTCACAGGGTTATTCTGAAGGGAGAATAAGATAATAGATGTAAAAATGTTTTAAAGACTTATACGTGCTATACAAATCATTTACTACAATCTACATCATAATGGAAATAAAATTAGTTCTTGGCTCTAGTTTTAAGGGATGGGTTTTGTATAAATTCAGAAGTTCCTAGACTCATGGCTGGAAGGAAGTTCTACAGAAAGAGGTCCTTAAAGTATGACACCAGAAGACTCAGTCTTGTCAGGCATATATCCTTGTCTGCCATTCATGGGGACTAACCTATTTTAAAATGAACTCATCTATAAATAGCTAGCTAACACCTGGAAATAATATTAATAATACACCAGATTTTAAAACACTTTACTCCTATTTTTAAAAGGAGGAAGGGAAGTGATGATACTAATATTCTTTATCAGATAACATTTCCAGGATTCTACTAGAGTCATGTGTTGTTTAGTGTAATCTAAATTCTTGTGTTTGTTTCATATTTTCCATGTGGACCTTAATTTTTTTAAACTGTTTTTTAAATTATAAGAGTACTATTCATACATGCTAGGATAAAAATGTTTAAACAGAATGAAGGGGTAAAGATAGACATGAATTTTTGTGTCACCTCTTCAGCCCACCCACATTGAGTCCAAATAATTCCGAAAATTTAATAACATTTCTATATTAAAAATAGTGTAATATTGCAATAAAGAATACTAATTTCCATATTTACTTGAAATGGGAAATGATCACATTTCTTAGCAATACCAAGCATCTGAAGTCCCAGGAGCAAATGGGTATCTTGAAAGATCCTAAAATTTTGAGCTTCCATGGCAGAAGACATATCTTCAGTTGCCTGATCTTATTTCTTGGTGTTTCCACATTCCTATTTTTTTAACCCCATGTCCCCATCTCAAACACAGAAAAGAAACAAATCTCTTTTTTATGTTTATATGAGAAACAGCAATACTAATTGGAAAAATATCCAAATATTAATAATTTCATAGCCCAAGCTATCCCAGTTTTTTAGAATGTTCTCACAGGAAAAGCATTTACTACTACTATGACTGGCTACTGCTGCCATTATTACTGATATTCATAGTAATAATAATAATAATAATATGAGGAGCTACCATTTTCTAGTGGAGCATTTGCAATTTGTCACAGGCTTTGCCTGCATTTTCTCATATTTTTCTCACTATACACGTAAAGGCTTACCAAAAGCAGACTGAGATGAAAGATTTTAAGTAACTAACTTCGGGTCACACAGTAAGAGCTGAAGCCTATGTGTGGAACCAGGTAGCGATCCCAGTATTCAGGGCTTTTTAAGTATTAGGCTTAACTGCTTTGCAGGCTCACAGACTTACCAAATGGAACTTCTAAAAGCACACCATTCTCCATTAGTAACAGCTTTTGTGGTTGCTAATATTATGACTTAAGGAAAATTACTCGAAATTATTTTTAAACCCTGTACTGATGTAAAAAAGTAACAGATTCTCAGAATAGAATTAACCCACAAAGATGCTTTGAAAATCTACTTCAAAAAGCACTCTGCCCGGCATAATTGACAACCTTACACATTTCCATGGCTTTAACTAACACCAATGTGTGATGAAGTCCAAATCTTTAGCTCCAGTGCCACCTTCTCCTTCAAGTTTCACTCTCTGTAATTGTGCTGGGACTTTTCCAAGGGACTACCCCAAATGTACCTAAAAATATGTCTAACATGAAAATCATTTCCTCTAACAATACTATTATGTACAAATCCCTTTACTGGTTCTTGGTGTTCTGTTTTTCCCTTTATTCAACTTTATTACAATTTGTAGTTTCATATTTATTTGTTCATTTTTTCCTCCATCACTGAAGTGTTAGCACCAAGAGGGCCCGCATCAAGTTTATTCACACAAAATTGAAAGTTTTAAACTCTATCTGTACTTTGTGCTTTGACACACATCTTGCTTCTGCTTGAAATATTAATAATTTCCTCTTGTCTTGTTTTCCTTGACTAAATTCTATTTATCCTTCAACATCAGGCATGACTTCTAAAGGTAGCTTTTCCTTCCAAAGCCTCTTCTTTGTGCTAATAGCACCCAGGGCCAACTGCTATTTCTGTCAATTATTGCCCTCTATTGTAATCATTATTGGTTTGTCTACCTTATTAGACCTTAAGTTTCTAGAGGGCAGAATTAGTAATATTCCATTTGATATATCTATTATACCTGGTATGACCAGGTAAAATGCCTGGTCATCATAAGGGCTCAACAGACGCTTTCTTAATGGATTAATGAGAAATTGCATGAGTGAAGGGGTGAATGAACCATATAATAGATTCCAAACATATGGCAGTTCTTGATACTTTAATATATAAGCATGTAAGCATAGTGCCAGGATATTACACCTAACAGATACTAAATTGCTAGCATTTTCACTTTTTCTTTTCTTTTATTTGCATTATCAGGAATTTCATCAAGATCTTTAAAATAAAGGTATACACACCACACAGAACACAATGGGGCATTGTAGTCTACTCGGGTTAATTGTGGAACTCTCCACTGAAAATAAGACATAATGATATATTTCTCCACTTAAGGCCAAACTTAACATAGCAGCCCCATACTCAATCCCCAAAATGTGGCTGGATAAATTTCAAGACAGAAAGAAAGCCAATGTACTCGATGTTCTAATATTTATTACTGTGTAACAAATTATCACAAAACTTAGTGGCTGGAAACAACAAATATTTATTACCTCAAATAGTTCCTGTGGCTCAGGAATCTGGGTGTTACTTAGCTGGATGGTTCTGGCTCAAAGTCACTCATGGGGTTGCAGTTCTGCTATCAGCCAGGGCTGGAGTCTCTGAAGTATCCACTTTTGAGCTCAGTCATGTGGCTGTTGGCAAGCCTCAGAAGCTCCACTTCCGAGATCGTTCACATGTGCCTTTTCACAGGACTGCCTACAATATGGTGGCTGGGTTTCCCAAGATCAACCTAAGAGAGGGCAAGATTTAAGAAAGAACAAAAGAGAATGAGCAAGAGTACTTAAGAGAGAAGCTGCAGTCTTTTTTTAACCTAATATAAAAAGGAATATAACATTGCTTCTGTCACACTGTATTTGCCAGAACTGAGCCACTGAGGCCACCATATACTCAAGGGGAAGTGATATACAAGGTGTGAATATCAGGAGGTGAGGGTCATGGGGGCCATCTTACAGGTTGTGTACCAGAAATATATTCTCTGTATTTCAAATATATTTTAAACAGGAAAACATAGCAGAATATTACAGGTAAAATTGCACAGACATATAGGTGATGAAATCAAATAACCAAGAGGAAAGCCCTTAATATTAAAACTCAATGTTTAAAATGAATTCATGTTATGTAGAGGTGGCTTTTGAGACAGCATTTTGTGGGCACAACCCATGTAATAGTTATTAAAATGGTTATTTCTATGCTTATTTTGGAATTAGTGTCAGGTTAATGCTCTAGTTCTCAACATAATTCAGATTCCTCACCACCAAAATCTAACAAATGAAAATAGTCACTTGCTATAGATATTGTCTACTCTTTTTAACTATTACCACTGGCATCATTTGACTTTTCTTCTTAACTAAAGGGGAAATAATGTACTTTTAATTACTGAGTTAACCATACTCTACTTATAAACTAACATATGTCTCTAGGTGGTTCAATGTGATTCCTTAAAATAAACTAACAGTTAATATAACCATGAAAATTTAAGCTTCTACCTCTGTTAAGACTTTAATGAATAAATATTAATTTGTTTAGGAAGACAAAATTGTACATCTCCTATAGCTTGAAAAACCAGCAAAAAATATAGATTATTATCCCCATCTGAAGCATGGCAGAAATTTCCTATCCTGTTTAAAGCCAATTTCATGCTATTAGCTTCATTTTTTTCATTTGTATGTAATAGCAAAATTAGACCTATAATAGGAAAGCCACATATTATTTGTTGTATCTTTTCTTAAATTATGGGTTTTTTTTTTATTGAACACCCTTTAATATATATACATCTCAGGCTTAAATTCTTTAATTCTTTTTTACAGAGATCGATTTTTAGTTTTCCAAAGCTCTGAGACCCCTGGGAAAGGGATGTTGTGATGAGCAGAGAAGAATGCTTAAGGTGAAGAAGGATCTGTTCCAGGCCTCCTAGCTGTTGCTAGTTCCTTGGCTTGTGGCAGCACAGCTCCAGTCTTACATGGCATTCTCCCTTCCTCCTCCCCTCCCCGTGGGTGTGTGTGTGTGTGTGTGTGTGTGTGTGTGTGTGTGTGTCTGTGTTTCTCTGTATGTGTCCAAAATTTTGCTTTTTATCAGGGTACCAGTCATACTGGATTTGCTGTCCACCTTACTCCAGCATGGCCTCATCTTAACTAGTTATACCTACAACAACTGTATTTTCAAATATGGTCACATTCTGGGGAATCAGGGATTAGAATTTCAACATATGAAGTTTGGGGAGACACAGTTCAACCCATACCAAAGCCCGGGGAGTCTACTTGAGTCCACTGGCAATGATGAGCCACTAAGTAAAGATTTTTTGTGTGCTGTTAATGGTTTTTCTGTTTTCTTTTAGTCAGGAAGCTGACATGTTCCAACAGGTCTTTTAAATAAGTGTGTCTTAGTTGTTGCGGGTAATAGTGACTGAAGGGGCTCTAACCTGGAGGCAGAGAGGCTAATTTTAAGCTGTTTGAGGGCTATAATCTAGTACATAGTCTACAAAGAGCTACATGATCTGGCCACCTACCTTTTCAGCCTCAGGGTAGTCCATTCTCTGCGCTCCACCCAAACTGGCTTTGACTCAGCATCATAAACACCCCAGGTCCTTTCCTCCTCGGTTTCTTTCAGCACTTTGTTCCATTATGCCTAGATTGCTCTCTCTGCTTCACTTAGTTAATGCACTGCTTCAGAGCCCAAGGTAAATAGCACTTCTTCAAGAAATCTTCACTTGAGCCCTCCAGACTAGATCTGTCTCTCTAGTTATTTGCTGTTTTAACTTTTCTTTCATCTGTGAAACTACCACAATTGTAGTTGTATGATTAATTTTACAATTTGTCATTTACTCTCTGTCTGCCTTGTTAGACTATAAATTCTGTGAAGGAGTGAAAGCATTTATCCTATATTGCCACAGTATAATGCCTTGTGCAGGGTAGGTCCACAATACATATCTGTTGTATAAAAGAGGTAATAAAAACCTGTGCTAGGGTGGGAGCTATGGAAATGCAAAGAAAGGACAGAGGAAAGGTTTAGGAAATGTTCTGACTTAGCAACTGCATGTGGTGGGCAAGGAAGGAGAAATCAAAGATGGTACCAAGATTTCAAGTGGGAGAGAAAGATAGTACCACTGATAGAAATGAAGAGGCTAGAGGAACTAGGTTGGGAGCCCCATCTCACCATGAGGTGGATGGTGAGACAGGCAAGTAGAAACATGAACCACTTAAAGAAAGAAAGGTAGGTAGACAGATATTTGGTTGATATGTGGGTCTTATGCTGGTTCAGGAAACTCCCAACAATCACTGTTGAGGGAAATGATATTCTAACTTATTTGGTCTGCATTTCCAATATACATTTACAGTCATTTTTCATATGTGTAAGTATTTTTTATTTTTGAAACATTCACATTTAAGGTAGATAATTTGGAAAATAAAAAAAATAAAGAAGTCCTTGTAGGACAGGTACACATAAGTAGAAATTGGCTTGCCTACAAGGGAAATATGTAAATTGATATAATGCTTCTGGATGACTATTTGAAAGTGTAACATAAAACACTTAAAAAATAAAAATGGCAATATACCTCATACTGGATCATTTACATGTTTTGGAATTTATTCAAAGGAATTAACCAGATATGTGTAAATGGTTTGCTTTGAAAGATGCAATCTCTTTATATGGATGTGACAGCTGCATGGTTAAGTTTCCATTCAATAATTTTTAAATGTTTGGTCTTATTGTACTAATAATTTTAAACTTCAGGTCACACTACATACACTGTTTCAAGCTCTGCTTTTTTTTACCCTATCTTTGCCATAACCATATATTAGGTTATGTTTCAATAACCTAATAATTAGGTTATTTCCATTTTTCTTTTATAATCTTGCTGTGATAAACACTTCTATACATAAAGCCACTTCATCCAAAAGTGGTGATCAGATGTGAGCACAAAGTCAAATTGCTATGTCTTTTTAGTCTCTTGATACATTACCAAATGATCTTCCAAAAAGTTGAACCAATTTATACTCTCACAAGCAGGATATGATATTTTATTGTGTCACCAAATTCTGGCCAAGTTTAACGCTATTTCTGGTTAGATATTGGTTACTTACTGGGGCCAGTCGATGTCAAACAGGCATTTGTCTGGGCTTTCAGAAAGGAAGAAGGAAAGGAAATCACCTTAATCACATACCTATGATTAGTGAGACAAATGATATGCACAAACAAATGGGTGCACAGAAGTCAAGAAGTGAGGTTTGAAAACCTCCGCCTGCATTTCAGAAGTTGTATGGAAACACCTAGAATCCCCCGGCAGAAATTTGCTGCAGGGGTGGGGCCCTTATGGAGAACCTCTGCTAGGGCAGTGCAGAAAGGAAATGTGGGGTCGGAGCCCCCACACAGAGTTCCTACTGGGGCACTGCCTAGTGGAGCTGTGAGAAGAGGGCCACTGTCCTCCAGACACCAGAATGGTAGATCCACTGACAGCTTGCACTGTGCAGCTGGAAAAGCCACAGGCATTCAATGCCAGCCCATGAAAGCAGCTGGGAGTGGGGCTGTACCCTGCAAAGCCACAGGGGAGGAGCTGCCAAAGACCATGGGAATCCACCTCTTGCATCAGCTTGACCTGGATGTGAGACATGGAGTCAAAGGAGATCATTTTGGAGCTTTAAGATTTCACCGCCGTGCTCAATTTCGGACTTGCATGGGGCCTACAGCTCCTTTGCTTTTGCCAATTTCTCCCATTTGAAATGGCTGTATTTAGCCAATGACTGTACCCCAGTTGTATATAGGAAGTAACTAACTTGCTTTCAACTTTACAGGCTCATAGGCAGAAGGGCCTTGCCTTATCTCAGATGAGATGTTGGACTGTGGACTTTTGAGTTAATGCTGAAATGAGTTAAGACTTTGAGGGACCGGTGGGAAGGCTTGATTAGTTTTGAAATGTGAGGACATGAGATTTGGGAGGGATCAGGGGCAGAATGATATGGTTTGGCTGTGTCAGGGGGTGGGGGTAGGAGGGTGAGCATTAGGGAAAATAGCTAATGCATACTGGGTTTAATACCTAGGTGATGGGTTGATACGTCCAGCAAACCACCATGGCACACATTTACCTATGTAACAAACCTGCATATCCTGAGCATGTACTCCCTAACTAAAAAATAAAAATTAAAAAAAAAAGAAATAAAGATGCTATGTTGCTGGCTTTGAAGAAAGAGTAATGGGGTAATGAGCCAAAGAGTGCAAGAACCACAGCTCTAGAAGCTGGAAGACCAGGAAACAGATCCTCCCCTAGAGCTTCTGGGAAGAGCATGGCTCCAACAATACTTTGGTGTCGGCCCAGTGAAACTTATTTCAGGCTTCTGACCTGCATAACTATAAAAGAGTAAGTATTTGTTATTTTAAGACACCAACTTCATGGTAATTTGTTATAGAAGCCATGGGAAACTAATACAACATGTTTTGGATACATAGCAAGAAAAGATAGGGGAAATCAAAAAAGTTGCTGCAAAAGTAATGATAATGTTATCATTGAATAAAATTTTCCAAACCCCTGGGAATTTTTTACTAGGAATTTATAATCTGAGGATGTTTTGTTGTTGTTCTAATGGCAATCTCCCTATTTTTAGGCAACTCCAAAATCTGCACACTAAAATAAACAAAATGCAGTCAGTATATAGTTTCCAAATGCCTGACCATAGAATGAGGCTGGCATAGGATATTTTTAATTGGTCCTTGGATGAAGTGAGAAAAATAAAGACAATGTAATGAGTTTTTTCAA
The DNA here is from genome assembly GCF_000001405.40 of Homo sapiens. Taxonomy (NCBI): domain Eukaryota; kingdom Metazoa; phylum Chordata; class Mammalia; order Primates; family Hominidae; genus Homo; species Homo sapiens. The sequence goes on from NC_000002.12 coordinate 180,966,323, forward strand.
AATTAAATTTATTTATGTATTTGCTCTTATATTTCTATTATTATCTTGTAAAATTATATATGCCACTGTCGTGTTATAATTTTAAGCAATAAGTTTAGAATAAGGCAGTAAAATTAAAAGCTAGCAATTGGTTCCAGAACTTTTTGGAACTTTTACTGGTCTATTAAATTCCTAAGTTTAGTAACCATTTACCTAATGCAGATAATCACGAGAATTTTTCTACCTTATTAATTGTATTAGTTACTTATTGCTGATGTAGCAAATTACCACAAACTTACATCAACAGTGTATTATCTTACTCTTTTGTAGGTTAAGACGCCTGAGGTAGATCTCACCAGAAGAAAGTTCACTCACTTTTGGAGGCTCTAGAGGAGAAACTCTCTCTTTCCTTTTTCCAGCTTCTAGAAACCTCCCACATTCCTTGACTTATAGCTCCTTCCTCCATCTTCAAAGCCAGCAACAGCAATTGAGTCCTTCTCAAAACACATCTCCTTCTTTGACTCTATACTTCTGCCTCACTTTTCCATTTTTAAGAATTTTATTATTAAATTAAAATTTTAATTGAGTTATTTAACAATCATATTCAACAGTTTGATAAATATGACTAATCTTAAAAATTAGTGTTTTTTTGTATGTGCTTTTATCATATTTCATAAAATTGAAAATTTGATTCTAAAGTATGTCATTATTTTATAAACTTCTAAGAAAAATTGTTGTCAATTAAACAATAGCTCACTATTAAATCAAATTAAAAATTTGATTCTAATCAAATAATGAATCATTGTTTTATGTGCTACTATGGAAGAAAAGTCACTGCCAGTTAAACTACGATGATTTTTTTTTACTACTTAGAATTGTTACTTTATGTTTATTGAAATAATTTTCTTCAGCTTAATTGGACTTATATTTTTATCATACATCATAGCAATATGAAGAGCTACGGCCAAGTTCATGCAGTCACAGGCAATGACAACTATATCACCAATGCTGCCTGGCTGAGAGTGATTTAAGACATCATTGATTGGAAGGTATATTTTTATTTGAGAGAAGTTAAAATGTGCATGTTAGAATCAATGACATTATATATTACGGAGACTGTTAGATTATGTTGATTCTTGATTCCCACTCTTTGGTAGTAACTGAGATGGTTCTGGATGGGAGGTGATTTCTGCTTTGCTGGGAAACACATTGCACATGTTTCCTGTTTGGTGCACAGGACAGGGTTCCTCAGTTAGTGAATAAGCCTGGTGGATTATGCACTCAACTCGCACAGCTATGAGTGCACACTCGTGCAGAAACAGACACTCTCCTTGCCATCTGATGCCTAAATTTAAGTATATGCAAAGATTTCCTATAGCCTAATAAATAGCAAAGGTCTACCATGGGTAGTTACAGAAAATAGACATATATTCCCAGGGAGAAAAAAAAAGCAGGTTTTCAAAAAATCTGTTTGAATAACTAAAAATCGCTACCATTTATTCAGGGCTTACTACATGCCAGGCACTATGGTAAGAATTCTGTCAACATTTCCCCCATTTAATCTCCCACAACTAACAACCTTACACAGACGATGTAAATATAATCCTTTTATAAATGAAAAAAGTGAAACTCTAGACTAGGTAAGTGATGTGCTCCAGGAAACATGCTAGGAGGGGGCAGAGCTAGGTTTTGAGTCCTGGTTTGTTTGAGTCTAATCAGTGTACTAGACAGTCTTCTATATTCTACATTGATTATATCTAATCAAATAAATAACTGCTTCCAACTTACTGAAATTACATTAAAGTTGGAGGGAATTTTTGTATCTCTACTATAACTCACTTTTCTTACTGGATAACTCTAAGATACCTCAGGAAAACATACTTTATGAAAATGAATATAATTAAGGAATAATAGTAGAAAGCATAGATTTATCTTTTTTCCCTAAATTGAGAATGACTTAAAAATCAATTTCCCAAGGACACCTGTCACCTCCAATTACCCATTTGAAAATTATTCATTCTGCCTCATGACTACACAATAATGTGTATATTATACATCAAAACCACTTTTTTGAAAAATGATTAAACAAATTAAAAATAGTTCTTATATGACCACAGAGGAAATCTATAGGAAAAAATAGTTATCATACATTAAAATACAGGGGCAAGTGATTTACTGGTGTACTTCAGATCACATTTCTATAATTTGTAAATTTATTCTTTCATGCAATAGATGGAACTGAAGTTAGGATGTTTCAATAAATCAGAAAAAAAACAGCCTAATAATCTCTTTCTATACATCACTGGTCTATGGCAATTTGAACAGTCACTAATGTTCATTCTTTAATTTAGCGAGTAGATATTATTTTCTTACCATTTTTCCACAGTACTGATTCTTCACATTCCTACCACTAAGTTACATAAAGCAATGATTCTCAACCTTGACCATACATTGGAATCACCTAGGAGAGCTTAAAAAAATATTAATGCTGGGGTCTCACCCCAGAGCTTATGATTTAATTGATTGGGAGTATGGCCTGTGCATCAGGATTTTTAAAAGCTCCTCAATCATCCCCAGATGATTCTAATGTGTAGCCAAAGTTGACAACCACTAATATGAAGAGTTAGATAATCAAAAACACATCTGTCAGTTTGAGAAGGAAGGCTGACTCAAATAGCTTAACAGTGATACTTTTGAATTAGCTACAGATTTCTTTGTGTATATTATATATGTTCTTATAACACCATAGATAATGGAGACTTAGTTATGTTGCCAAATACACTAGGCATTTCATGAACCAAAAAATATAACCAGATCCTTATCTGATTATAACTTTGCTCCTAAAATTATCTTATTTGTTTTTAGAATTATATAACAATTTGTGTTTGGATCATACCACCATAAAATCCACTACTACTACTGTCTTGGGGGTGTACGTGGGAGTGTGTAGTAAAAAGGTTTAAAATTTATAACTTGCCATCTTGGGCAGCAATCCTGGCCAAGTTTCTTAAAAGACAATTTGATACACTAATAAAACTTCTGCCAAAATAATCTTTTACAGAGCCAAAGTAACTTTAGGTATGATAAGCTGGCCCCAATGCATGAACTTATGAAACAAACAGACAGTAACAGGCTATCTGTACTTCTGATATTACTGTTTTCTTGAAAAATATACATAGAAGAAAGTAAGATTTTGTATAACAAGTGGTAGAGATGCCCCCAAATAATACTTTCTATTCACATGTAACTTTATAATCTGTAAAGCTTCTTTACAATAAAATTCCTTATTTGGTTTCTGTGGTTATTTAAAGTCACTTGACTCCTTGGTAATGTTCTTAAATAAATATCTTTCCAGCTCAAGTGGTATACTAATAAGGTAATTTAAAAGAAAATTCATGATTGGTTGATGAGAAGCTGTCATGATGCTGTCAAGAAAGTTAAGGTAACTCACTATGATGTTTATATGTAGCATTATTGCAGTTTCTAACTAGCACATTTACCTCTGGTTCAGATTATACATCAATACTCCACTTTACCTAGCTCCTTTAATATTATGCCTTCTAAATAGACAATTGGCAACTACAATAGCAAATACTCTGTAAGAGGAAAATATGACCTCTTAAGAGGAAAGTGTCATCTACTGGGACTTGATGTCAGCAAATGAATATTCATTCAAATAAACATCTGTTACTTCCACAAGCCACTGCAGTAAATCAGTTTTAAGAAGCTGTACAGAGATGAATACCATATCACCTTTCCTCACCCCAAATCAATCTCTTTAAACTGGGATCCCTGTTGTCTGGATTTTACATTGCACATACCACATTAAAACACATTGTAGCTAGGCAATACAGAGCCTGTGCATGTGCTCCTGATGTCAGTCCCCGATATTGGTTTTAACTTACTTAATATTTGCAGTACTCAAGTTACATGTGTTTGTCAAGTTATGTGGTTGAGATTGCTGCAGTGTCAGTCCTCATTTGTAGTGTCTTTAACAAACAAGTGCTTGTTCCTGTAGCAAACTGACCATCTGTGCACACACACACTTATATGTATATACGTATGTGTATACATATTATATATATATTTGCACTCTGTTCGATTAGAGTAAGTACACTCAGATTAAGTCATTAGTCCAAACACTATTTGTGCCACAGTAGACACAGATGCCTGGTGATACTGGGAATTTTCCCCAGACAACTCCTTTAAATAACTAACAATTATTTTTATATACTCACAGTTAAATGCACAAATAACAGCTTATCAGTGATTTAGTGTTCTTTACAGAAACTCAGAGATTTCAGCATTCTATAAACTATCCCTCAGCCTACATTAGGCACACATGAACTTCTTGTTCCCGTTATAAAGTGAAGGGTCTAATCAATGTTCCTAAATCTAAATGGTGGATTTAAAAAAATGTAAAATAAATTGTTAAATTTTAATAGGAAATGCTTTGTATTTAAGATTTGGCCATATCTTCTAATATTGAAGTGACAGAGTACCAAGATTTATTTTTCATAATCTCTTACTTTTTATAGTCCACTTGGGGACACTACTCTTCTGTTAAGAGTCACTGACCTCCATGTTCCTCACCAATAAGAAATCATTTTTAAGTTACTTCAGTTGTTTTCTTCTAATGTAAGTGGAGTGTGTGACGATATAGACATTTGATTTAATAAATATTTTAAAATTTAGCTCAACATTATAATCGCCTAAATGGGATAGTAGAGGAAAGGGACAAAGAAAGGAAATGTCATAAAGAGAATGAACTAGAGAGAGTTTGGTAGAAGAAAAATTGCCCGGGAAGACCACAAATTGTTTCTGATTTTTACAGGAGCTTCTTTAAACACATTTCTTCCTCATTGGACAGTCACTGTCAATCCCACTATCCAAAGGCTGTCCAAAAGCAACCTCCTGGGGATGCCTGAAACCACAGCACTTCCCCACTCTTCACTGGCTGTCAACATCTCCAGGCTGTCCTAGACATCTCAATCCTTTCATGCCACTGTGGGGCCAATGATGCTGTTAATTTCTTCTCCTCTTTCTCATCTCTTCACTTGGAATGCCACTTTTTTCTTCAGAAATGGCAGCGCACAGCAGCCAAGAGCATGTGTTTTGGGGCACAGTCCAACATTTACTAGTCATGTAATGTGACCTCGGGTATGTTGCTTTCTTTCTCTGTGCCTCAGTTTCTTCATTTGTATTTATTAACATATAATAATTGGGGTTATTGCGGGTATTACCTAAGTCAATGTATATAACAGACAGCATAAAAAACAGTAACTGCTACAGACTTGTTTGCTATATTTATTCAACAAATGTTTACTAAGCTCCAACAGGGTGCTAGGAACTGGGGATACAACTGTGATGGTAGCAAGTGAGTGAGAGAGTCCAACATCTGAAGTATCCCAGCTGAAAGGTTGAATTCTGAATTCTATTTTTTTAAAAAAAGATAACCTACCACAATGTGAAAATAATTAAACTGCTGCTATTTAACCACCATATAATTATCCTTAGAACTTGTTTTCTATCTACTCAACTAGTCCCTATTTCTTCAGAGACTGCTCTGTGTGCATGCATGCGTGTGCTCATGTGTGTGTTGATGGACATGTCACCTATATTCAAAAATACAGTTTTCTCTCTGCAGGACTAGATATTACAAAACACAGTTTTTTCATTTGTTGAATAGGTACTCAATATTTGTTTGCTGAGTCAGTATATAAATCTACCTTTCATATGCTCTGGCCTACTCTCTAATGCATTTGAAGGTAGCAAAACAATTCCAAGGGGCTACTTATTACCTAAAGAATAGGTAAGTGAAATTCAGCCATTGTCTTTTAGGTAGGAAGTTCCTGTTTTTAGACCTTGAGGCCATCCCTCTTAAACTATCCTCCTAGATTATAAATCCTTTAGAGCAGAGATGCCATCCTATTTTGTTTGGCACATATCACTCTAGAGCCTTTGTACTATACAAAGTCCTTTAAAAGGACTTTATATATTTATTATATGAACAAATAAAGTCTCAGATATGCATGTAATTGTATTTCCTAAGTTCAGTTTTATGGGACTTTTTGTGTGTATAGCAAGAGTAGCCATAAGGTAGTAATAACTTTGTTTTTTAAGAAATTCTTCTAAGAACAAGAAAAAAATTAAGTTTAGAATTAATCTAACCAGAAAGTTGAAATCTCACATGATAGAAACAACCTTATTAAAAATGAAAAATGACATCAATTATTTTTTACTCAATTCTAAACAACTTGAATTGCTGATGTATTTTTTCCCATTTAAATTGACAGCTGGTTTGGATACACATATGCTCATATAGCCAAAATAATGGGGAAAAGGTGGCGCTGGTTATGGTATCCTTTACATAAGAAAGACATTCTAATTTTTAAAAGCTAAATTGAATTTTAACAGTTAATCGACTCATGTGGATACATATGGACTTAAATCATCACTGGCATAAGTGGTGCCTTTAAGCACTGTTAGTTTTGTTGTTGCTGTTTCTGTTTTTAAAGATGCTAACAACCATGTTAGTTAATTCAGTGTGTTCAACATTATTTATTTAAACAAGAGCATAAATCATAGGGATTCCAGAATTGGAAAGGACTTTCAGACTCTTCATTTTACTGATAAAGAAACTGGCATCTAGAAGGCTGAAGCATTTTAACTAGGACTTAAACTTAAGATGCTGGGTTTCTGGGTCAATGACCACGATGTTTTGATAAAGTAGTAGAGAAAGTTGGACCAAATGTATAACAGTTTTATTTTCCATCAGTTCTTTTAAATTGCTCTGCCAATGAGTCTGAGATTGATTGAGGTGATTGATTTTAATCTTAACTGCCAGACTTTAGCTTTATAGAACACAGAACTTGATCTCTTCTACGCAGACATTTTATTAAGCAGGTTAGAAAAACTGTGCTGCTCTGCTACACTTTTAGAAAATAGCGTAAGTCTACAGTCCAGTACTCATTCTCTGATCATGATCTTATTAGAAATTGGGTGAGAAAATGTGGTCATTGTTCTCCCTGACATTTATCTCAGAGGTTAGAGTCATATACCAAACATCTTTAATTTATTTCACTGTATGAAACTACTGTCCTTTAATTTCTCTAAATACCTTTCAATTCCTGTATGCTTGGCCTATGCTGTCTTTAATGAAACTGGCTCCATAAATATATTAGGCAGTGTGAAAAGATAATTTTTCTTGTTGTTATTATTCCATAACATTTCCTTCAGTTGGCTCTCTCTGAGTGTGAATGAAGGTAACTTGGTCTCATTCAAGAATTATTTTACTAAATATTATATGCCACGTATGCCAATATACTGTCTTAGGCACAAAAAATGGATATGGGACCTTCCCTCCTTCTAGTAGGGGGAGAAAAATATTGCAGAAATAATCACACAAATAAATATTTACTTATAAATTGTGATAAGTCTTATCAAGAATATATAGGATGATTATATAGAGAATGATTATTACAGGATTACTGAACTTATACTACCATATTAGAGAAGGTCTCTTTCATGTTTATGAACAAAGATGCAAAAAGACTGTTAAAGTTATAATAACTTTCTGATGACAGTCTTTTGACAATCTCTACAGGAGCTGGTGACTTGGGAGACTGGACTCTGTGCCCTGGTAGATAGGACAGCATAGCAGAATGGGCATAGAATTCCAAAGTGCTTTGCACAGTTCTGTCAAGAGCTACCTTTAAGACTTTAGGAAAGTGATTTATTGTCTCTAATCCTTAATTTCATCGGTAGAAAAAGTCTAGTACCTCAACATCCTTTTCTGGATTATTAGTACTGATACTAAGTGGTCATTCCTTTATGAATCTAAGTTGGAGATGTTCCTTACCTCTACCACACAGAACATATATTCTTTTTGAAAATTCTGTATCACTGTTTTTTTAACTCATTCACATTACTCTGGGATATTTACTTTGTCTGAGTTATTTTGGGATATTATAATCCAGAGAAGTTAAAATCATATACACTTTGATATTTTACTAGGCATAAAAGATTTTTGAGATCTTTATAAATTATAATGAGCCTTTAAAATGGACCTGAATAAAACTAAAAGTCTTACTCTTGAAACAGAAACATTCTGTAAAAATATTTTGTTTTACTACTTTAGTTATATAGATGTTCAACTGGCACATAAGCCTGATTATCATATCAAATTAAACTACTTTATTTGCAGCCCCAAAAGAAAGCACACTACTCCTTATTGAGTCTTTTCTAATTAGATAACCATTTATGCAGTATGGAAGAGGTAGCCAGAATCACAAGCAATCAGGCTACTTATTCCAAAATAATTGTTTGCATATTTCTTCCAAATCTCTATTATACATTTTTCATCCATCATGGATACAACTTTGTTTTCTGAAGCAGAAAGGATACATTTAACCTGATTTTACAGAAGATGCTATAAGACATCTCAGAAAAATTTAAGTGACAATGTTAAGTAAAAATATAAGTTAAAAAATGATGTATGACACTTTTGTTAGTCTTTTTAACTAAGCAGGACATGAGCTGATTTCATAGAAAAGGATTTTCTGACAAGGAGGAATTGATAAACTGTTAGGTATAATACTCACCATTTTATATTCATGTATCATATTCTATCGAGTGAATGAACCATAATTTACCAAGCATAGTCCTTATGTTGGACAGTTTGAGTGGTTTCCATTTTTATATAGTATAAATTATACTGGGATAAACACTGTCAGGCATATAGCATTTAAAAAATATTTTGGATTATTTCCTTAGGATAGATTCCCAGAAGTAGAATTACTAGGTTAAAAGAGTATGAACATTTTTATGATTCTTGTAACACATTGCCAAATTGCTTCCCAAAAAGGTTATATCAATTTACAATGCCATCAGCAATATAGGAAAGTGCCCTTCTCATAATACTCCTCCAGGTATTTGGCATTACGGTTTTTAGATTTGCAAATTTTGAGGGCAAGAATGTTGCACCTCATTTTAATATATATTTCTTACATTTTTAAAGGCAAAGATAAATATTTTTACATGCAGCTTAATAACTTCGAATTTCTAACATGTTCTTTAACTATTTTGATATTTTTATAAGCCTATTCAGAATTATATGTGATATATACTAATCATTATTCATAGTATTATACAAACCATTTTATCTAGCCTGTTGTTTCAACTTGCTACATGTACATGGTTCCTTTAGGAAGGCATATTGAGGCTTCAATTTTTGTATCTGGTCAAATGCGTTGTTTCCTGTAATTTTTTGTGTTGTTGTTGCTTTTTAGCATAGTATATCCTAACTCTCTATCTCTGCATCATGTACTCAAATTATTCTAATTTTCTTAAGTAGTGACTTTTAAAAATGTTAACTCTTGAATTCACTTGTAATTATGTTGATGTACGAAATAAGGCATGATTTTAAGTGACCTTTTCCATATTGGTAACTAGTTATCTCAGTCATTTATTGCATAATACTTCTTTTCTGTATGTTTTAGGTAAAATCTCATCTGTTACATAATTAAATGATCTAATTCTTGGTTACTTTTTTTCAGTGATCTATCTGTCCTTGAGCCAGAGCTTATTGTTTTATTTAATGTGTAGTCTCTTCACGTGACTTTTTTCAGTATTTAAAATTGGTTTCCCTATTTTTTCTTACATCAAATTTAAAGTCCTGACAAATTCTAAAACAGTTTGCTTGAACTTTCATCATTTCTTTTAATTTATGTAAGAACTTATTTTAAAAAACTGTTAAAACAAAACAGCATTTATTTTTGCCAAATCTACACCCCTGCATTTATTCACATCTTTTTTCCCCTCATAAAAGTAGTACCTGCTCATTAAACTAGAAAAACACTGAATATAGTAAAAAGAAAATAAAGTTGTTCATATTCATAGTCACTCTAAAATCTAGGTACTGGTCAACCTTTTGTTTTCAGACATTTTTGTTTTGCTTATTGTAAAAATATGATGCATATTCATTCAACAAATATTTATAGATGATTTACTTTGTGCTCGGTACCTTGAGAGGTATTGAGGCAGGCTCTGATTTCCCAGTAACTAAAATAGACAAACTTCTACCTTAAGTGTATTTTATAATAATCTGTTTTTGTATTTTAGCTTGCTTTTCACAACTGTTATTTTAATAATGGCAAATTTAATTATGTGGGTGAATCAGTATGTGTAATCATTTGCATATTGTTGGACATTTCCAGTTTTTCAGTATCATTTTTCTCACTTTTAGAATGTTTCCTTGAAGTACATTTCTTTTGAAATGGAGAAATCTGGTCAAAGGGTATGGCCACATTTAAGGCTCCTGAAAAAAATTTCCAAATTCCTTTTCGAAACATGTACCAATTTTCATTCCTACTAGAAATGGACAAAGGGATTTTTTAAAAAACAATTTGCCAGGAATTATTATAATAACTAAAAATTGTTTTTGTTATTTTGATAGATATTTCATTTCAACTTTCCTTTCTGGATAACTAGCAAGACTACATTTTTGTTATAATGTTAAATATTTCTTTAAAAATTTTTGCCTTTTGACATACTAAGGTGCTCACGGTTTTGTTTCATGTGTACAGGCTCCTTACCATGACATGAGCCTTTTTTGGTATATACCTTCCCTGAGAGTTATCTCAAAAGAGAAATACAGAAAATAATCACTGAGTTATCTGACGTCAAACCAAGGCTTATGCACCTTTCCAACTCCAGGGCCCAGCCCTTGGTGTAGGACACAGCAGGTTTTCCCCTCAGGATGCAGTGGAAGTGCACCCAGATGTCAAGCGGCACATTGGATTCTGGGGGTCCAAAGACACTGGGACTAACAATGACAAACAAGGCTGTGTAAACTAAGGCTGAGCCAAGAAATACCTTCCTAGTAAACCAATCCAGTCTTTATGGGTAGAGAAAGAAAATTTCTTAGCCAGAGAACTGAGGATACAAGTAACTGGAAAGCATCAGAAACAGCCAGTAAAAATGAAGGGACTCTTAGAAAAGTTATTGACTGGAAGGAAACAAAGTACCTTAAAATCAACAAAATAAATTCATATTTATTCTACATTTTTTACATGTGAGGGATGCTGCTGGTCATGGTGGATAAGTAGAGGTCTATACCCCAGCTTACATAATCATTCAATTCAGAAACTTCTTAGGTAACTCAGTGATAGATCCTGTGAAATTCTTAGTTATACATACTCACAGTTATGTACACAGATAACACTGAGACTCATTGAAAGGCGCAGGAAAAAGCATCTCCCAAACTAGGGAGGTGCAAAGGATTCTGGGGTCTGCCTTATTTGCCCTTAGGCAGGCCTCTTTTTGTCACAACATTTGGTGGATAAGGGGATAAGAGATAATCATTGTAATACTGCAATTGGATTCGGCATCTTCCCTCTTACCACTGCCCTTCTCAGGGTTGTGAGAGGCTGGCAGGACCCCACACCAACAAGAGAAAATAAAAGAGACTGAGAGGAAACAATCTTCTTTGTGGTAGCTGGTGTCTGCTTGTGGAACTATTCTGAGGGACCTTATGGGAAAAGGGCCCTTTTTATATTTTATGAAATAATTGCATTAGGTCAAATTTGTATGCTTCCAAGAGTGCCTGTGAAACATGATCCTTAATTTCAAGGATTGACATAGCAAAAACAAGAGAGAAAAAATAATTACAAAACAGGTTGTCACACAAGGAAGAACTAAACATTAGAAACAATTTACACCTTACAAGTTACTTCTGGTGGAGGTGATGCCAAGTCACCTGGGAGAGGAGCTGTGAGCTGAAATCATTTGAGCAACCCCTTGAGTCAGCTGAATGAAGGCAGCCAGGCACCTCACATTGTAGGGGCAGGGCACTACTGCCCCTAACCTTATGGAGCCATTCATTATCTTTACGGTGACTTTAACAATAGGTATTATTTGTTGAACACCCAAATTCCAGGTATTTTGCCAAGAGCATTATCTATATTATCTACATTATCACTGGCCCTAGTGCTCTCTCCAGGACCAATCTAATGTTTCCTTCTTTGACCTTTACCTCATGCCCCACAATTCCAACCTGAATTAATAGTTCCATTATTAGTTAATTGATGATTAGTAATGCTCTTTTCTCATTCTCTTTACTTCTTTAATACAGCACTTCTCATTCTGCAGGCTACGTTTCTGGCTGCCCCACTGCACAATTGAGCTTGGTTAAGAGCATGACCCATGTTTCACTCCAGTTTCCCAAGCAGTTAGTAGATCCTAAATATTCTGTTGGGTGAATGTTAAGTTAAACTCCATGACTTCAAGTTCGCCAAAGAATCACGGAATCATGGAATTTTTGAGCAGGAGAGGACTTAGAACCTTTGATACAATCTCCTTTTACATAAAAGTAATTGAAATAACTTAACTTGCCTGAGGTCATATGAACTTCGTAGAATGAGGATTAGAATACACTTCCCTGGCTTTTCAACCCAATACTATTTCTTCTGTAGAAGATGTTACCAAACAACTAAATATCTTTCTCCCCTAAGCTCCTTACCCCACTAAATCCTATCAGCAATTGGCCTTTGGGCCTTCAGGCTATTTCTGTTCTTAAATTTCCTAAAAGAACCCATGTTTAACGTACAGCTTTCCTTTTCTGTCTCCCCATTCCAAACAAAGCAAAGCTTCAACTCCAAATTGGCTGGCTTTTGCTGTAACATCACATCGTGTAAAGCTGGGGGAAAATTCTGCTTTTATTTTCACTAACAAGCTTTTCCCACAAGCACTCTTTGACCCAGCCAAATCAAAATGCTTGTCCACACACAGACCATGATCTTTTTTGAGGCATGAGATATTCTATCTGTTCATTCTGAGTGGAATATCCTTACTACTTATGAACCTAGCGAACTTTAATGAACTGTTCCCCTTCTGGACTAGGAGCTCTTAGCACAGAGTAGAGACCTGGCTTTAGTCACACAGCAATTGAATGAGTGTATGTCCAGCACCTAGCAACATATAGCCCTCAATAAAGTTAACTGAATGACTGTGTCTTTGGAAAATTATGGAAATGTAACTTACTCTTTAGAGTTGCTATCAAGCCTTTACCAAAAGTTTTCTATTAGGAGAAATAGTAAGCAAATACGTTGGCTCACTCAGTCTTTTCTTCTTTCCCTTAACTCTATACATCTTTTGACTGCCATTCTCACTCCCTTTGTGAACTGCACATTCTCACAGCACCCCTGCCCCTGGACACTTGTGGGAGAGGAATCCACAAATTCCTTTGAGGCTCCATCACCGGAACAAGTTCTCAGTAGCTGGAGAAGGCCTGGGTGGCAAACAGGAAGTTTTTGTATTCTGGCTACTTTGTGCCGTGGGGTAAAAACCGCAGAGTCCACCTGGAGACTGCAAAAAGAATGGTAGAACAAACAAAACTGTCACTATCTCCACCTAAAGCTTTTCTGGGTGGACATTCTGACTCAACATCACTCAGAACTTTTCTTTCCAGAACTGGCTCCTCATGTGCAAGACAGAAGAGTCCCGCAGAAAAGTGTCATGTTTTAGCTCTCATCGCCACCCCCCAACCCCAAACTCTTCTCCTTCACTTTTAAGAATGTTGAGCGGGACATTTTAAACACTGTTTTGGATTTTTAAGGTTTCAAATAATCCGAAGGACACTTCCCTTTGGCAGCGACAGTTGCAAGCTATGAGCCAAAAAGAAATAGAGGTTGTTCCCCTAATCTCCAAATACATTCTACCCTCTTCAATTCCCAGGACCCCAACTTGTCCCTTCCTCCAGCTTACGCGAGGGGCAAGTGGCAGCTCTTCTCCGCCTGCGTGCCTGGCCTCGTCAACAACACCCATTAGTCTCCCGTCTCCCGGGGCGGCGGGGGACTCCCAACCACGCGCCCAGGGCCCTTGCCCAGGTACTGGGGCCCCGGGAGCCACGACGGCCCCCGCGCAGGCGGATGGGATGGAACCAGCCCTGGGGACGCGGGTAGCCCAATGGGCAGCCTCGCCCCGGAGGCGGGCCCAGGCCGGAAGCCACCCCGCGGCACAGCGGCCCCGCGATACGGTGCCCGCGCCCCCGCCTTCTCTGGCACAGGCTCCGCGGCCAAGGGCGGCAGGGGCCAGCCCGCCGGGTCCCCGCCGCGCTCTTTGTCCTGGCCGCGCGCGGGCGGACGCGTGCACCCCCAGGGTGAGGGGAGGTGTGGAGAGCGCGCACGGGAGCGCGCGGGAACAGCTCGCGCCCGCCGGGCGTCGGCGGCGCGCGCCCCTCCGCCAGGCAAGCAGCGAGCACGCGCGTCGCCGCCGCGCCCGCCCCTCCCCCCCGCGCTCGCCTCGGAACTTGCTGACTGCGCGGCCGGGAGGAGCCGAGCCGGGCGGCGGCGGCGGGAGGCTACAGCGCGCGGGGGTCTCCCGCGTCCCCTCCGCCTCGCCGGGAGCTCGCGCCCTCGCCCAGCCGAGCTCCCACCCCCGCTTTTTTCCGAAGGCGCTGGGCGGCGCCACCCTCCGGCCGGAGCCCGGCACTGCACAACCCCCTCCGACTTTCAATGTTCCACACTCCCCGGCCAGAGCCTCCTCGGCTTCTTTTTTTCCCTCCCCCCCCTTCCCCCCCCCACAGCTGCCTCCATTTCCTTAAGGAAGGGTTTTTTTCTCTCTCCCTCCCCCACACCGTAGCGGCGCGCGAGCGGGCCGGGCGGGCGGCCGAGGTAAGGCGGCGGGGCCGGGGGGCCGCGTGGGGGGCGGCCGGGGCGGCGGCGGCGGTGGGGGAGGGGGCGGGGGCGGGCAGCTTTGTTCGCGCCGGGCGCCCGCGTCGCCGGTGTCCGCGAGCCGCGGCGGGGCCGGCTGGGCTGCTCGCATCACTTGGCGCCCGGCGCGGCGAGCGCTACCCGCGGCCCCCGCGCGGCCCTCCCCACAAAGGGCCGCGGAGCTGCGTGGCCGCCGCCGCCGGCCGTGGCTCGCCTCCGCGGGCGCGGAAATTTGTTGCACTTCTTGGGGCTTTGTTTATTTGTTTGTTTTTTCTCTGGGTTTCTTATTTTTTTCGTTATTTTGGACAAAATGTCGGTCCGTGATATAAAAATTGAGCGAGGAACCTTGGTGGCATTGGGAGCTTTGCAGAAGGTGCAGTTTGAATTCTGCTTTTCCCAGGGTGGCAGCTCGGTCTTGGCCGGATGAATCTTCGCTGCTGGCCGTGGAAACAGCTAGAGCAGCTCGTTAGTTGATTTTTAAATTTCCAAGTGTTGTGTTTAAAGGCTTTACGTGCACTGAGGAGGAATCGCCACCTTAAATAAGCATATGGGCGATTAACAGGGTGTGTTTTCCTCTCGGAAAGGGAATTTGGTAGCTTTGACCAATGTCAGTGTGTAAATATTTAGACGTTATTAGTGACTTTTAAACATTTTTCAGCGAGATCTGTTATTTACAGTGTGTCATATGTTATTAATGCTTGTTGCCTAAGTTCCTTGGCAAATCTGTTTCATGCCTTCTGAGAAAGTAGACAATTGATAGATTGTCCAAGAGACGGAAAAAAATGTGAGTGGGTTTTCTAACTTGAGTTCGGCAAATCCCTTAACGCTGGCGTTGTGTGACACATCACCTCCCTTGTACGTACCCCTGTTGTACGATGAAATAAGTGTGAACACTTTTGAAGCTTTTTCATTACAAGACGATTTTAGATGACTAGAAGAAAATGCTGTTGGTTTATTTCCTAGATTTAACATTTTCTCCTCCTCCTCCCCTGTTCTCTTTAAAAGTTTTCCAAGAGATAACTTCACCAAGATGTCCAGTGATAGGCAAAGGTCCGATGATGAGAGCCCCAGCACCAGCAGTGGCAGTTCAGATGCGGACCAGCGAGACCCAGCCGCTCCAGAGCCTGAAGAACAAGAGGAAAGAAAACCTTCTGCCACCCAGCAGAAGAAAAACACCAAACTCTCTAGCAAAACCACTGCTAAGTTATCCACTAGTGCTAAAAGGTAATGTGTAAAAGAAGGATCCAGCACACTTTGTCAGGTTGTCTTCCAGGTGGTTGGACGCTTTTGTTGGTTTTACCTCAATAGCAGTAGTTCAGAAATATTTACTTCATTATCAGTTTAATTGTACTTGAATGAGTTGTCATTCTTTAGGTGGTATGTAAGCAACATTACTAGAATTATACTTTTAAGCAAACTTAATTCTGTACTTCGGTAACTTCAGTTAAGAGTGTCCTTGAGTAGAGATTAGACTAACATTCTGACAGATTGTTTAAGGAGTTGGCAAGGAAAATTTGGTGAACCCAAATTAGATGGTACTTTGGGGATGTTCCTTTTATGAGTCATAATCTTCTTTAATGAAATTGACACTTCCAGAGATTAGCAGTGCCTCTCTTCATGAAACTTAATGATCAGAAATGATCATATTTGCTAGAAAATTTGCAAATTCAGGCCTTTGCTATATTTGAAAGCAGATTTAAAATTGTGCTGCAAATCTGCTTACAGTTTTACAAAACATGACTTTCAATCGTATATCACAGGTAACTTTCCTGGTTAAATTATGATTATCCCTTCCTGTGCTTGTGAGGGCAAATCAAACTGAAAAGTAGCCCTTTACAATTTGAGGTGTCACTAGTGATAGAAAACTTGCATTGTCCTTGGGCCTCTTCACTCTGAAACTTGTGGATGTGCTTGACAAGTTAATACTCAACAGCAGGAGAAACATATTTAATTGGATGTAAGTGAAAGATCATTTGTTTCCTATTGATTGATGTTTTCTGATGGAGAAAAAAAGATTCTGTCAATGAGACTCTTATCAGTGGTAGTAGTAGTGGAATATCCACAAACTCTAGTAATTATACATAAAATGTATAATGTTTACAGCATTAACCAATTTTGACATTTTGTTAATTTTTATTGATAACTAAAGGAAAAAGAATATAAAAACTGATCAAATATTGCATTCTGTGGTGATTCATAAATACTCATATTTTTCTATGGATTTTCACCCTTATTGTCTCAGTAATGAAGTATTAATAACTTGATAATATTTTTGAATGGCAGCAGTCTTTGACATAATTTAAAATTCTCAATTTGGTATAGTGTTGATGCGGAACATATTAGACACATCTAAAGTTTTGAAATCATCTTAAATTTGAATCAAATCAGAGAACTGCTTTTCTCCCCCTTAACTCAGGCCTATGTATTTTCTCCTCTTTCTCTCAATGTTTATTAAATTTAAGTGCTGTACCTAAAATCAGGGAAAACAGAAATGGTTAAATTAGAATGTCAAGTAGTCTTTGAAAGTTTTTCACAAGTAAAGATATTTGTAAATTTTAAACTTTTTTTTTGACAGATAAAATATTGTCAGAACTGTTAATGTGCTCTTGCAGTAGCCTGTTAATTTTTACCTCAGTAAAAGTCACTTCAAGTCCTTGTCAAATATTCCAGTGCTTTCCCTCCTCCCTTTTTGTCTCATTTGCATATAAGCTTGAAAAGAGAATTTCTTTGGTAAAAAGTGTTTTGAAATAGATATTATATTCTTTACTGAGTACTAGTGGATGAGTATTTCTCCAATCAAGTGTAAATGACTTACTTGTTTGCAGCAGCAAGTGAGAAAAAAAGCTGCAAAGTTTCTGTTAAGGGATTTGGGTTATGCCTCTGAGAACAAAGAGGAAGCAGCCATGTTAGCATTACTGAAGGCAGAGCCAGCCTTGCATTTAACTGCATGGTGGTAGAGGGCAGTGTAATTCCCTGGTTATTCTGTAGACTATATCAAATCCTTTTTGTCTCTTCTCATTTCACTAACAGAATTCAGAAGGAGCTAGCTGAAATAACCCTTGATCCTCCTCCTAATTGCAGGTAAGAAATGAATTTTGTTGTTTTGGTTTCAAATTGTGGAAAAATACCAAGAGATTGATGTATTGTCTGGATATGTGTGCAGCAGAGGAGACAACATTTGCTTCTTTACAGCTTTGCAAGTGCATTAAACAAAAATTGTAGAAGGTGAACTAGATAAAATTGGGAGAAAAAATACTTTTTAGCATAAGTATACATTGTGGATTTATGAATATACTGATTTTGTGCTTCTGATATTCATATGAATGGTGCTGATTTTTGTTCTGATGTATTTCTGTAGAGGGTGTTTTTTCAGAAGTATACTGAAGAAACTTCTAAAATTTTGCTAAGCTTTAAAGTTACTGCTTGTGTGTGCAATCTGAACTGACCTTCCACATTTAGAAATTGCTGAATGTGGTGTTACAAAATGTAAATGCAGTAAATAAGCATATAGTTGGTTCTGTTTGATTTATTCAGTTACTAGCCTTAAGGACAAATTTTATGGGCTAAGCTAATGGTTTTAGTGGTCGTTTTCTACAGAATGCATTGTTGGAATTATTTACGTTTTAAGCAAATGTCCTAATTGCTTGGGAACATTTTTAGTAATTTTGGTGGTTGGAATATGTGTATGAAAAGCAGTAAATGAATTGGAATTGTGGGAATTCATTTTAGTGGAACTCAGGTAGATGAATTTAAGATTATTGGTTGGTATAAGATACATTAAAAGTAGCTGGTTGATTATTTTTTCTCTAATAATTTTTTTCATTTCATTTGTATAGCGCTCTATTCTTTTTTTAATGACTATGGCTTACAAAATTGAACACGCATAGAAAACAATATTGTAGATAGTTTGTGAAGAGATATGTGCTCAATAATGCGAGTGGCTGCAAGGAATTAGGCAGTTTTATGGTTTGATAGGACAATGTTTTCATGTTTAACCTGTATTTTTGCTACAAGTTGTATTCACTTGGGATGATCAGACCCTGTCTCTGAAGTCTGCTTGTGATATAATAGGGTATAATCCAGTTGCTTCTTATTGTGTATGTTAACTGGATCCTCAGATAAGGTGATTTGATCCTGATTTATCCGATGAATGAACAGTTTGCTTGTATTTGTAATTTCAGTTCAAACAGGAAACATGAATGTAAACTAATTTTAAGGAGATGGTGGTATGTGAGATCTCAAAGTATTACTTAAGAGCTATGCTGTCCGGTAATGTAGCCACTTGCCACATGTGGCTATTGGCCTCTTCAGTTGTGGCTAGTCCAAAATGAGATGTGCTATAAGGGTAAAATTTATACACATTGGATTTTAAAAACTTAGTACAACAAAAGGATGTATAATACTGCATTGACTTAAAAAAAGTTCATTAATATTAAAATAATATTTTGGATATATTTGGCTATATAAAATGTTAAAATTAATTTCACTTTTTTACTATGTTAATATGTTATTAGAATATTTAAAATTACGTATGTGACTTGCATTGTATTTCTATTGAACAGTGCCGCTTTAGAGAACAAGTAAATGAAAGTATTTTCCCTCCAGCCTTCTAAATGGTGTGTCAAATCTGTAGCCATTTAGGGAGGTCAAGTTAAATTTGCTCCCTGGAAGAATCACTTAACTTGCAGAGTGTATTCTGATATTTCCCATTATGAAAAATGTAAAGATCTATCAATTCAGAACTCTTAAATGTTTTAAAATTGCATGTAGGGTCAAACATTTTTAAAGGTTTCTGTTGATTGTCTGCAAATGAAACAAACTAATGTACGTGCATAAATCTAGAGAGCCTAGTAGACATGTATTAAGTGCCCTCAGAGCAATAGCCTAGTGTTGCAGTTGCCAAAGAAATCTACTTTACATGTTTAACTCCGGAATGTTTCCTCAAGGTCACTGAGGATTATTTTAGAGGGAGTAGAATCTTTCAATGAGATAGGAGGTTTCACTTGTCTTTCTCTTTATATACCAGATTTCATTTAAGTCCTTGAAATAATGCTTCCTCATTTAGTGATCAGACTAGTGAAACATCAAAACTTTGGGCTTTCTGTGAACAGTAACATGGAACACCTCATCCCTGCTTTCCCTTGTCACAACCTGTGATGACTATCAACTGCTGCAAATGACATCTTTCAGTTCTCAGGTTCTTTTAATAGATGAGTTTATGTGTGGCTGTGGTATGTGAAAAACAGACATACAGTATGTCTTAGTAGGGAACCAGGATAAGTGGTTTCTTATTATTTGGAGGCAGTGTTTTACCATATGCCTCACATGTAAAATATCCAGATACTTTGTCTTCAAATTCTTGTGGGTGGAAGAAGACCTAGTTTTTGTCCTTGAGTAGGAATTGGAATACTGAGTGTTTAGTAAAGGTGTTTTAGAACTTTGACAAATAAAAAGCCTGAATTTGTATTGTATTTTTGCCTTCATGTCAGATCTGTGACAGACTGTGGTGTTATGTTCTTTTAATTGACAAGTGCGTAAATGAGAATTTTAGCTTTACGGTGATTGTACAGTTTAAATTTATTAATTTATGCTATAATTAAAAATGGAATCTATATTCATAAATTCTAGAATATGTGAATTCATATTGCCTGAGATCTATGAAACCTAATACATTTGGCTTTCGTGTGTAGTTATTTAATCAGAATTCCATTACAGTTTTGAATATGATTTTTACAAGCTTGTCAAAGTACATGACAGATTTAATTCTTCCTCAGGGAAGAAATGTAAAGTATATCTGTGTACATTCAGGAAAAAGTTGAATGAAACACAAGAAAACTCAGCAAAACCAAAATTATTCAGACTGGGATGATTTCTCTAAAATCCCTTCCTGTGTTTTAATTAATGAAATATTCTTTAATTAGTATATAGTTATGTCTAGTACATACATACCCAGGGTGATCTTAAGATAGATTTAATTGAATTGTGTATGGCTTTATACATGTTTTAATATATTTTGATAGCATTGATATTTCTTTTCCCGATAGTGTAAAAGTTTGATAATGACGTTATTTCCAGTGATTTGATGTTATTTTAAATGGTTTTAGGTATTGGAGGGCCATGGGCCATAGTGTACTAAACATAGGGATATGTTTATTTATTGGTTTCAGTTTATGCTGTTTACATAAAGTATAAATAATTTATACATCAATGAGAGTCAAGGGAAATTGTGTTATGGGCATTTCCCTATTTGTATTTATTGAGAATTGTTGACTAGAATTGTTTAGTGATGTGTTATTAAGACATTTACTTTCCATCTGTTTCCCAGAGGGTGTCCTTGTCCTCTCCTAGTCACCACTTGTGCAAACAGCGAAAGTTTAGAAAGGTACTGGATTTCTAACTTAACCCCTAATTTCTTTCCATATAGGAAGAAGCACAAATATACTGACGAATATTTTAAGAGTGTATGTTCAGATTGAATCTATACTGGAGATATTTGGGGGTATTTGTATTAATAAATAGTTTCTTGATGTGGGAAAGGCCATATTGGGGGATATGTATTACAGTTTCAAGTTAATAGTATTAATATATTGACTAGCAAAACCTGAGATCAGGTGATTTCGTTGACTTTCTTCTTTAAAAATAAAAAAATAATGAAATCATAAAAGAAGCAGTTGTTTCTAAACCAGTAGTTGATAATCTCTAGATTCCTCATTAGCCTAATTGTCTGAGGATAAATTCTGCTTTCTTCTGAGGGTTGCTACCACTTTCCATCATTTTCTAGGGCGGACTAGAACTTTGCTACTTAAAAGAGTGAGCTGCTGACTGTCAGCATCTGCGTCACAGATGAGGTTGTTAGAAATGCAGACTCTTGCTTCCCCCAACCCCCAACCCAGAATTTGAATTTAACAAGATTCCTGGTGAATTGTATATATAAGTAGGTTTGAAAAGTGCTGGTACTGGAGCAAGACTGTCTGGTTTCAGATCCATGCTCTGTCACTAACTTGCTATGTTATTACCTTAGATACATTTTGGAATATTTCGGTTCTTCTCCTCAGTTGTAAAGTGGGGATTAAAATGATACCCCCCTTTATAATAGGGTTATTGTGAGGATTAAATGACTTAATGTGTTTAAGTTTTGTAGCAGTGTAAATCGAGTCAGTAAAGTGGCCACAGCAAGATAAAAATGGGAGAGACAGTGTAGCCTGTAGTGATGTGCTCTCACTGTTGCTGGCATTTTCTCTAGTGCATTGACATCTTATGTAATTTTATCTTAGTCAGTTCACCAGATAATTGAGTACAAGTACATAACAAGCAATTTGTTTTTTAATGTCAGTAAAAGCAGTTCCTAGGAACTTGCGTAAAAAAGAAAATTAGCCTAAAAA
Source organism: Homo sapiens (assembly GCF_000001405.40). Taxonomy (NCBI): domain Eukaryota; kingdom Metazoa; phylum Chordata; class Mammalia; order Primates; family Hominidae; genus Homo; species Homo sapiens. Next base: position 180,988,395 of record NC_000002.12, read on the forward strand.
CTTCAGGCATAGATGAACAAATATTGTATTCCTTTTAAAGGAACATGCATAAGATTAATGATATTTAATTCAATAGAGAATATTATGATTGTCCAGTAAAGTATAATAAACAATTTTTAGATGAGTAATGATTATATTTTCCCCTTTTAAAATAGAAGAATTTGTGATTTTACTGTGAATGGGATTATATCAGCAGTTGTAAAATTCACATTCTGGATTGCTGTTACCTGCATTACCTAACCCCATAGCATTCTTTCCATGTCTGTGAACTAAGGAGAAATTTTGAAAGCTTTTTTCTAATTGGCGTATGAAAGCAGGTAATAATTGAAATAACATGTGATCCCTATATTAGCTTTGTTGGTTGCTTATAGAGTACTTGGTTTTAAACTCTCTCACACATGTAGATAGACTGCTTTTTCTTCTTTACTTAATACATTTGATTGTTTTTGTTTTAGTGTTTGCTACAAGATTGTATCTCATTAGTTATCTAGTCCTTTTATTTTCAATTCTTCAAAAAAAAAGGTCCTGGAACCCGCTTTTTATAAAAATTAAATCTTAATTGGAAGCTCGACTGTAAAACAGATAAATACAGAACTACTCTGACAAAGTATTTTTCATCCCATTATGCCGTGGGTGGTCATCTACAGATAGTTTGTATTATTAGTTTTATTGTTAATAAATTCATTTTGGCATCAGCATAAACCTCAAAAATCATGAGGGTTTTTCTGGGGACTTGGGCGTTAGTGATAATTTTAAATGGTTTATGATCAAAGCAAATTGACGTTTTATTTTTCAACAAGCTAATAGTTTCTTCAACACAACTGTAATAAAGTACTTTTTTCATGCTGTATTATAATATTTGTCTGCTTTCTGCAAGAGCGAGTGTTCCTTGAATGGAGAGATTGTCTCATTCATTTTTGTATCTTTTCCTTACTTCACATGGTGCTTTGCATGTGAAGGTCTGTTAATAAATAAATTGAAGTCTCTCAAATTGACATAGAAATAGCAATTCCAGGCAAAACAATGACTTCAGAGAAAATTTATTAAATATCCTATACATTCTTTACCTTTTTCATAATTATGATACTTAATATTTAATAACCTATTCAAAGTTTACCTAGCTACTGTTTTTGCTTATAAGAGGAAATTGATACTCACAGTAGGCCTAGTTATTTCCTCCATACGTGCCAGTGTAGCAGAAATACTCAGTACTCTGTGTGACTGGAAACATTTTCCAAAAGAGTGACCAACTGAAAATAATATTCTTCCCACTAAACTTCACATTTTTATTAAGGATCTATTAAGTTCAATGCAGATAATGTAATTAGAAGGTGGGTAAAACAGCATGTGCTTTTAAAAAAAGTTATATGTTTACTTCGCAGCTACATGCTCACATAACCAGTCATATTCCTCTCATAACCAATTAGTACTTTATGCTCTCCTTAAATGAGTTGCTGTAACAACAGATGGATATGTTTACTTTTCAGGAAAATCAGCAAGTCTTGCATAGAGTGTAAGGACATTCAGATTGAGAATGAAGAACTTGTCCTTTCAGTCTCTTCTTCCCTATCAATATGAGATAAAAACATAATAAAATCACTTGTAAATCTAGAGAAATAGAAAGTGATTTTTTTTTCCACATACCAATTTTGACAGGTAAGTATATTTGGGCATTTTAATTGGAATCTGGAAGCTGAAACATCTTCAAACTTTTAACCTTTCTTTTGCCTTTTGATCAGTGGTTCTCAACTGAGGCAATTTTTGTCCTCCCCTTCCCCAGCCACCAGGCTAGGCGACAATTGGTAATGCCCAGAGATATTTTTTGCTTTTCATAACTGAAGGAGAAGGGGGCTACCACTGACATTAGTAGGTAGACGTCAGTGGTACTGCTGAATACCCTGTAATACATAGGACAGACCCCCACAATAAAGAATTATCTGGGCCAAAATGTCTAGTGCTGAAGTTGAGAGACCCTCCTATAGATATTTGTTCCTGTACTTTGCCTCTTGAATTTTTGAATAGTTTGCTTTTGACTGTTTTCCTGTCTTATTAGTGATGCATCCTTAATATATTCACCTACACCTTCCTCAGCTGATTCTTCACTTCCTGCTACTTCTATGCGTAGTTTACATATGTCTTATATTATTTGTCATACGTGTGTGTTATTTTTTATGTGAAACCACAGGAATGACTACCTTGAGTACTTGCTAAATTATGGTCTTCTGAGGCCAGAAATGCTTACAGCAGTATTTTATTTCTTTTAGGTCTTGTGCCAGTTAATTATATCCCTGCGTGATCTAGCTTTAGGCTGGTTATATCTATTATGTTCTACTAGGAGTACTAAAGTAACATCATGGAGAAATAACATTGGACAGTCATCAAAATTCAGTTTGACATTGAATTACACACAGGTTAGAAATGTGTGCTCTTCATTTGGGTTTTATTTTCATCATTATGACAATACACAAGTTACTTCAATTTTTACAAGTTCACAATCCTTTATTTGAAACCCTTGGGGCCAGATGTGTTTCAGAATGCAGAAAGTTTCATGTTTTAGAAAGGTAGTATGATGTGTTTGTGGTACTTTATGTAATCTGTTCCACAGTAATGTTTCTCGACATTACTGTTTCCACACCAAAAATGTATTAATATTCATACAGGTGGAATAAGTGGAAGCTACAAATAGTTTCAAGTCAGTTCACATTTAGGGTTGCTACCAAATTATTTTGTAACAACCTTATTAAAAAACCTTTGATTTTTTTTTCTTTTTTTTCAGAGTTTTGGGATTCTAGAATTGTAGATAAGCAGTTATGGCCCTCTATAATAGTTCCCCCTTATCTGTGGGGAATACATTTCAAGACTCCCTAGTGGATGCCTGAAAGTTGAGATAGTATTGATTATATACTGTGTTTTTTCCTATACATACATACCTATGATACGTTTACATAAGGGTTACAAATTAGGCACAGCAAGAGATTAACAACTTCCCATTGGCATATCCAAACTGCCAGCATCACTACTCTTGGGCTTTGGAGCCATTGTTAAGTAAAATGAGGGTTGTTTGAAAATAAGCACTGCAGTAGTCTATAACCGATTTTGATAGTGGAGTCTGATAGCCAAGACCACTACCAAGTGACTAGAGCAAGCTTGTTCTACCTGCGGCCCTTGGGCCACCTGGTGGCCAGGATGTCTTTGATTGTGGCACAACACAAACTCATAAACTTTCTTAAAACATGAGATTTTTTTTGCGATTTTGTTTGTTTGTTTTTTTAGCTCATCAGCTATTGTTAGTGTTAGTGTATTTTATGTGTGGCCCAAGAGAGTTCTGCTGCTGCTGCTGTGGCCCAGGGAAACCAAAAGATTGGACACTCCTGGACTAGAGCATATACAGTATGGATAAACTGGACAAAAGTATGATTCAAGCCCAAGTGGATGGAGCAGGGCAATGTGAGATTTCATCGTGCTACTTAGAATGAGGTACGATTTAAAACTTAAGAATTATTTCTGGAATTTTTCCATTTAATATTTTTGGACTGTGGTTGACCTAGAGTAGCTGGAACTGTGGAAAGTGGAACTGCACAGATAGGTAGGGACTGCTCTGCTACTTCTGTTACGTGACCATGACTGAAATTACTTACTACTCATGATGAAAGGGTATTTTCATTTGCTTTGCTTTCTTTTTTACCTGTTTCCTAATAGCTGATTTTGGTTTCTCAGTTGTTGTTTTTGGTTTGTTGGGTTTTTTGTCTTGTAACTTGTATGCTTAAGAGTTCTTTTCTCTTAAGGTGAAACTATCAGTGTCTACTCGTTTTTAAGTTGTTCTTTGTTTACTGGGTTGTTTTTCCACTTTGCTTTCAAATACTCTTTTAATCATTCCATTCATTCTAGATACACAGTATTACACAGAAAGGAAGATAATCTTTAATTCTTAAACACAAGTATTAAGTAATACTTAATACTTTGGATGTATTTTGCCTTGCATTATTTAAGTGCAATTAGACTATAAAAGGAGATGTTAAATTTTTCTGGTTGTGTTGTGATTACAAACAAACCTAGAAGGCTCAGTGGCTCAATGTATAAAGATTTATTTCTCACTCATGTGAAGACCACTGTGGGTCCAGGGACTATCTTGGGCAGCTCTTCTCTGTGTTGACTTATATCTGTGTATCTTGTAGCTCTGACATTTGGAACATATGCCTCAAGCAATCCTCCCACCTCAGCCTTCCGAGTAGCTGGGACTACAGGCGCACCCCACCATGCCTGACTAACTTTTTTTTTCTTTTTGGAGACAGAGTCTCACTCTGTTACCCAGGCTAGAGTGAAATGGCGCAATGTCAGCTCACCGCAACCTCTGCCTCCCGGGTTCAAGCAATTCTCCTGCCTCAGCCTCCCGAGTAGCTGGGACTGTAGGCATGTGCCACCACACTCAACTAATTTTGTATTTTTTTTTTAGTAGAGACAGGGTTTCACCATGTTGATCAGGCTGGGATTTGCTTTTTCCAGTGAGTCTCTTTGGAAGAGTGGCTGCTCCACTTTACAAAACAGAACTAATGTTCTCAGGGCAACCTACCACATTTATATATTTCATTTTAAATTGATGACATTAATGAGTTTTATGAATCAAATATGTGCCTTGCATCTTGTCTAAATGCAGTAGTAAAGTTAAATTGTAAAGCCTTGGGATTTTTATCTCTGTTGACATTCTATCAGTTTTATAAGGGTGTATAGAGAAATAACAAAAGCTTGTTTATCACATCTGTTTTGGATGTGCCCGTCGGTAGGTGGTGATAAAGTAATACCAATAGTGAGGATCAGCTTAGGGTCATTCAATTTGTAAAAATCCCAGTTCCTTCTTTTTGGTCCTTGATGTATATAATACTTGTTTTAACTTTATGGTTATTCACAACAAATGAAGCTTTGAAAGGAACTGTGGTGTAGTCTGCCTTTTTTGGAAGCTTTTGGACTAGTTATGCCATTCCAAAGTTTTTTTGCTGCTTTAGTGTTCCAGAGCAAATATACTCTGTCATTCTGTTTAACTTCCAGCTTGTCTGGGGAAAAATAAAGACATCTCTAGTCCAAAATTGCTTTTGGGAGTATAGTTCCACATCTTTTGGTCTGAATGAAAGGCCTAGGGAAACATGAATTTTGTTACCTTTTTATTTTATTTTCCTTCACTTATAAATCATCATCATGATCCCCCTTTACATCCATGCGTCTCACTTTTTATAAACACTGTTTATTCCCTTTCTGAGGATGGTTATTTGTAGTTAGTTTTGCCATTTACAGTCTTATAGGTCCTTTACAAATGGATCATTTTCTCACATTAAATTCTAGTAGGTCAAGAATCCATTTATTCAGGGTCCCGAAGAGAATCGATCTCAGAAGATTGTGGCTACATATTTTTTATGGCTTCCTATTGCTTTCTGTAGTCTTCTTAATTTAAACAGTAGCAACAGCAAAATATAGAGGGTACCATAAGGCATTGGCTTTATGATTTATTCTTGCCTCATACTTGTTTCTTAGGGTATTGGTGTTATTTGTTAGATTTGTGATATATATGCTTGTACTAAATTTACCTGGTATCACAATGAGAAGAAACCTGGCATTTGAAGGCTTTGAACGCAAACTCAGAGACATGTAATTTATATGGAATTCAATGGCAGTTTTAACTAGTGTGCCTTTAATTTTTCTTCATTTTATGTTTACACCAGTGTCCTTGTAAAATTTTAAAAGACATTTTTCTCATCTTCCCAGGTGCTTACTATCCACATTTCCATTAGAAGATGCCAAATACTCATTTTCTTCTTTTGAAAACCCTAAAATAAGCACGTTGCAATTATCACTTTTCCCTTCTGCCGAGGTTTCTTAATTTTGGAGAACTTGAAACATATGCAAAAGTAAACAGGCTGGTATGATGAACCCCCATATATATAACCTTTATCCAGTTTCAGTAGTTACCTAATCATGGCTAATCTGGCTTCATCTATGCCTCCGTCCATTTCACCCTCCCATTATTACATTAAAAAAATCTCAGACATCATTTCATCTATATCTTAAAACATGCAAGTATTTCACTATGCACTTTCAAAAGATAAGACTCCTTTTAACCATTGTGACATCAGCATGCCTAAAAATTTTCAGTAGCTCCGTAATCAGTCATTGTTTAGGTTTACAAATGGGTGTTGTCCTTCCTTCCCCACAGTTATTTGAGTGAGGATACAAATAAAGTCCAGTTGACCTTTGAACAGCATGGATTTGAACGAGTGGGTTCATTTATACACGACTTTTTTCAATAAATGTATTGGAAAAATATTTAGAGATTTACAATTTGAAAGAAACTTGCAGGTGAATGGTGTAGCCTAGAAATAGTGAAAATATTAGGAAAATATTAAGAATCCACAAAATATATGTGGATACTAGTCTGTTTTATCATTTACTGCTATGAGATACACACAAACCTATTATAAAAAGTTAGAATTTATCAAAACTTACACAGTCATTTACAGACCACACATGGTGCCATTTGGAGTCAAGAGAATCGTTAATGTAAATATTAAATCGTAACTGCATAAAATTAACTATAACATACTGTATTACTGCAGTAATTTTGTAGCCACCTCCTGTTGCTGTTGCAGTGGGCTCTAGTGTTGCAAGTATCTTCTTAAAACACTATGTGATGCTAATCATTTCTGTATAAACAGTTCATCACTCCAGTAAATTGTGTATTGCGGTAAAAAGTGATTTCTCCTGGTTCTCGTGTGTATTTTACTGTGTTTCGTGCAATACTGTAAATAACACCATGGGACCCATGGTGTTAGTGGCACTAGTGATGCTGGAAATGCTCCCAAGAAGCAGAGAAAAGTCATGACTTTACAAGAAAAAGTTGTAATTGCTTGACATGTACTGTAGGTTGAGATCTGCAGCTGTAGGTGCCTGCCATTTCAGACAAGCTTACAATATTGATAAATACAGTATAGTACTGTAAATGTATTTTATCTCCCTTATGATTTTCCTTTGCTTATTTTACTATAAGAATACAGTATGTAATACATGTAACATACAAAACGTTTCTGTTATTGGTAAGGCTTCAGGTCAAGAATAGGCTATTAAGTTTTTGGGGGCATCAGAAGTTATACTCAGGTTTTTTCCTTTTTTTCTAATCTATAAGGTTCTCAGTGTTGTCTTCATTTTTGCAATTTATTTATTGAAGAAACTGGGCTGAGTTTCCTTAGAGTCTGTTTTGCTTATTGGATTTCTGTGGTATAGTTTAATATCTTTCTTCATCCTTAGTGTTTCTTGTATGTTTGGGAGTTAGATCAAGAGGCTTGATCAAATTCAGGCTGGATTTTTTTTTTTTTTTCTGACAGCTACCACTTTTTGTTTGTTTGTTTTGTTTTAACGAAACAAAACTCCTGGTGTGCTTTTCTATCAAAAGGCACCTAAGATCTGGTTGTTTTTCTGTGATGTTAGCAGCCATTGGAATACAGCTCTAAACAGAAACTTATTCTCATCTCCTATTTGGTTACCTGGTCATACATGGTAAAGGTAAGATATGTGCTTAATTTTTTTGTCTTACCAGTTTTTTCTTCTTTTTCAAAATAATGAGTTGGTGTCCTAGTATCCTTTTCAGAATGATTGTCACTTCATAATTGTATTTCAACCCATTGTAGTACTTCAGTATATTGCTGTTATCATCTTTATAGAATTTCTTAATTTAAAAAAAACTTCAGCTTAAATTGCTTTGCTCTAGGAAACCTTAGAGGGTAAAAGTCATATGGACCTATTTGGTGTATAACAATGCGAGTACATACATTCAACTTAACCATTGCTCTAGGTATTATTTTGAAAACTGAATACTTATTGAAGCTGTTGTTTCAAACATGACATTCTCCTAGCCACTTCCTTGTCAGTTGTCAGAGATAATTAAGTCTTGGCATTAGGAGAACTGAGAGATCTTTATTATAACTATAGGTCTGCTTTAAGTTTTGAATTAAACTGAGGGGGTAGTTTAAGGTAGAACGCAAACCTTTATCAGAATCAAATTAATTTGTCACAATAATTGAACTTAAATATTAACCCTGTTGTTAATATACAAGAAGCATCCTCCTTTGTTTAGTGTTTCTCATCAGGGGCATCTTGGTTATTTTTGACTGGATTGTGCTTTGACTTGGAAGACATTGAACATCCTCAGACTCTGCTGACTAAATGCTATGTTCTGGCCACCAAAACCTGCCTCTTCCCCCCCATTTCCAGGTATCTTGGAGGGGAGGGGCTGTCACTTGGCACTTGCAAATTACTGGCCTAGATTCCACATTGTAGTGATAGCAAATCATAATGCTGTAAGAAACCAATTTTATATAGCATTACTTTGAGTAATATATAATAATTTGTAATAGTTGTGTTTCTTACATAAAATGTATGTTGACCAAGATACATTTGTGTGATTTTTACTGCATATGTAATTGTCTGATATGCAAAAAAAAATTTCTTCCTCTAGCCCTTTAGTTTTTACACCTCCCCGCAATTCTGAACCCTCATAGTACATTTGAACTTTGTGCATGAGCTTAATGTGTACGTATGCACACATGGCTCTTATAAATATGTGACTCTGTGTATCCCTTTGATCTTTTTATTATTAATGAATTTTTTTTTTTCCACTTACAGGGAAACTTGTGTTCTTAAAAGGATTTCTGTTACCCCATTGCCTCAAACTACACTTTTTTTTTTTACCCTTCTAATCTCTCTTCAATTATTTAACCTCTTTCCTTTTCTAAGAGATTTTTTTAAGCTCATTTAATTCTTTCATCTTTTTCTACTTATTATCCACTATCCAGCTTCCCATTTATCTATCTCTATTTATTTTTTTTCTGTCCACTTTTGTGTCTTATATTTCTTTCATATTTTTGTTATCTGGCTTTTCCTCTTTCATTTTATTTTAGAAAGGTCATTTGGTAATACTAGCTGTTAGTATTTTTTCATATGACTTATTCTGTTTCTTTTTTGTTTTGTATGCGCATGTTCTCTTCAGTTTCATCTTCTTTCCTGATGTACTTGAAATGTGTCTTCTTTCTCCCACTCTCCTTAGTATTTAGTATTTCTTCATGTATGTGATATATATTCTTTTTTCACCCTTGTGTTGTTTATCCCTTCTCATCTCCCCTAGGCTCTCATGCCACATTGTATCACAGCTGCTTTTTGGTGATGGATTTCCCTTAGAATCCTAGTGGTTGTCTATCAAAAGTACCTGCATTTAGCTCTCTTAATTTATCTTTATTTTTATCTTATCTTTATTTTTTCTTCCATTATGTAGAAAAGTCTTATGTTGTAGCAAAAGTATTGTTTCCTATTACCTGAGTAAAAGTTGGGTTTTCTAGATTCTGCATCTTTGTTTACATCTCTCGTTGCCTAGGATGGCTTTCATCCTTCAAGTGGTAGTGATCTTTTAAAGCCTATTTCAGATGTTACATCTTTTTGTGAAGCCCTTCCTGCACATATCTCTTTTGAGAGACATTTGTACTACTAATATTTAATTCACTGGTATTGCCTCTTGTCATGTACCCTTTCATCCCAGCTGAACCGGGCACTAGGACTGGGTATAGCTCTTATATTTCTTTATATTTTCATCTCGGTAAAATGCCGTAGCACTAACTATGAGAATAATTTTAATTAACTTAGTTGAAAGTAGTTCTGAAACTTGCCAGACTCAAAGTGTAGAGCACAACAGCAACTGTGCTTGACCGTACTCCTTGGTTTACATCTATTGTCTTGACAAAAATATTAATAGCATTTCCTTTCACTTTTAGAAATACTCGAGTTTGTATGATAAATTTTAGGTTCACTTTACCCTCATGCTATAAATTGGTGGTGTTCTGGTTGGACTTGGTGAATCAGGAGATTGTATAATCAACAATTACCCAAAGCAGAGATTCTGATTTAGTAGGCCAAGGGTGGCCTACTAAATGTGCATTTTAAGAAGGCATGTCTAAGGATTCAGGTAGTAGTGTGAGAAGCAGTACTCTGTTTCTGGTACTGAGGCTAATGGTCTTAGTTGGGATAAGGAGAGTGGGGAAGGGGCAGGGGGAGATGATGAAATTCATTTATCCTCTGTGATGCTATGGAAGAACAATTAAGATCATGTTTCCTACTTGATTTTAGTTGCTAGTCATTTCTTAATCTAAGCACCCCCTATAATTTACCTATGTCATCATGCAAAATCACCATTGGTAATAATGTGGGGGCGGGGGAAGTCTATACAAGAATATTAAGGCCCTGTGCGTGAGCATGTCTATAGTTAAAGACTTAATGAGAAAGCATCAAATTGTGGTGCAAACAGCTGAAAGTAGAAGTAAATCAGAACGTAATAAGATGCAACTTTGGAGGAGCTCAAAGCAACAGATACGTTTTTATCCAAAAAGGAGTAAAACAAAAAAATCGTCAACGGCAGTTCCTTCAGATAATCAACAGATGATTCATTTGAAAACCATAATTAACTAGGTTGTTTGTAAAATAACTTTTTTCAATTTATACTTTTTAATGTTTATTAAATTACTTTTCTCTATAGATATGCAGATAAGATGTTTTAAATGTGTAAGTGGTATAAATGTCCCATGTGTCTTTTATTCTAGAGCATAAGAAAAGATGGGAAGCTACCTCAAACTTGTTTTGAGGCAAATGTAGTATGAATCCCTAAACATAACACCAGTACTGCTAAATGACAGTTATCTAATCTCACTGATGAACAAGAATATGAAAATTATAAAAGGTCGAATTTATTTATTATGATAAGAGAATAATACCCCTCCACAAAGGGTATTACATGACCGCAAAGAATGGCAGTTCCTAGTACTCTGACGTTCCACAGTAGGCTAAAGAAGAAAAACTGAACATTTCAAGAAATACCACAATACCAAAAAAAGCATTTGGTATAGTTTATCTCCTCACCAGTTGTGAGCCTTTTGGTTGTTTCCACCTTTTGGGTACTGTGAATAGTGTTGCTGTGAAGGATTCACAAATACACATCTGTTTGAATACGTGGTTTTATTTCTTCACTGTATATTCCTAGGAGTGGAATTGCTGTGTCATATGATAATTTCTCTGTCTTTGTGAGGAAACATTGAACTGCTTTTCACAAAAGCTGTACCATTTTACTTTCCCAGCGGCGTATGAGGGTTCCAATTTGTCCACATCCTTGCCATACTTATTTTTTGTTTTTTTTCATTATAGGCACCCTCCCGCCCTCCACCCCTCCCAAAAAAAAAGAAAACCAAAATATAAAACAGACCTTGTTGTACATCAAGGACATCCACATGACTCAGATAAAGGGCTTTGGACTTAGACAAATGGAAGTTCAAGTCTTGGCTTTACAATTGAGTAACTGTAAAAGCTTGAGCAAGTTATCTCCTCTGATTCTCAGAAATGTGAATAATACCTGTTTCATCATTCTTAAGTGTTTTAGATATTATGTAACTGGTATATTTTACATATAATGATATAAAAAGCAGTTATATGGACAAATAAACAGGCATGTTTATGAAAGAACATTTTGAAAAATGAAGTATTAAAACCAGTTGTAATAACAAGATATACTTTTGAAAGTGGTTCTGGCCCACAAATAGCAATGATCAGTGATACAGAATAAAGAATATTAATACAGTTTGGTGATTGTTTTGTGTTTCCAGCTGCCTTTTGCAATTTTTGTTCTTGGCATTTAACCCAATTTCTAGATGTATTAGATACATACATATTTATAGTTTTAAAGTTTTGTTCACTAGGTGTTCAGAATAAGACTCACTGTATTATAAAACAAACACCTCTTTAAAAAATCTATTAAAGTAGCTTTCTACAACATGGGGTTAAGATTATTAAGTGACATTGGGATACATGAATAGTGATTTAAAAAACTGTTAATCACAACTTCTATAATCTAAACATAAGATGGATGAAAATCTTACATTTTGTAAAGGGTTAAGCTATTGGAAAACTTTGCAAATAGGCATATATATTACTGGTTGAATCTAAAATGTTAACACTGTACAACTCCAGGGGGTACCATTCATACTGTACTCTGTATTCAGCATAGCACAGCACAGAGTAAGTATAGTATAAATGGTATCCCCTGAGTTGTATAGTGTGGTGGCCAGGATTAGACCTTAAAGAATAACCTTTTTTTTTTTTTTTTGAGACAGAGTCTCGCTCTGTCGCCCAGGCTGCAGTGCAGTGGCTTGATCTCAGCTCACTGCAAGCTCTGTCTCCCGGGTTCACGCCATTCTCCTGCCTCAGCCTCCTGAGTAGCTGGGACTACAGGCGCCCACCACCACACCTGACTAATTTTTTGTATTTTTAGTAGAGATGGGGTTTCACCGTGTTAGCCAGGATGGTCTCGATCTCCTGATCGTGTGATCCGACCACCTCGGGCTTCCAAAGTGAGAGTAACTTTTTAAATTCATAAGCAAAATCGTAAAGGCATTGATTGAAACTGTTACGTAAAGTAAGAATTCTTGTGCTTTGAAAAGGAACAAAATTTTAAGCACATTAGCATTTGATGTGTGTTTAAAATATTTGCATCAACATTACAAATAATGTATGTTGTGCATCATCAACTCATATCAGTAATGAAGATATTAAGATTTACTGTGATGAGATGGAGAATATGACACACTGACTCTTAAAGAGGCAAAAATTGGAAACAACTTGGGACAATTTGCATTACTTGGACTCTTTCAGAAACCTGTTGAAAGTTTTGAACCACTACTTCAGAAGAATGCTTAAGAATTTTTGGTTTTCTGTACTCCAGAGTTCCTTTAAAGCTCTAGTGTTTTAGAAACATGAGTTACTACATTTAATGTAAATTAGAGTGAGGAAATGAAATGAGGTAAAATATGTCACTTAATCAGGAAAGAGAGGTGGGAGAGAAATACAGAGTAGCCTCCAGAAAGTTGAGAGCTTGGATTTCGAAAGTAGAATTTTCGAGCTTCTTAAATGGCTGGGGAAAAGAAACATACAATTATGTTTTGCCTTGAGTCCCAGAAGTCCTCCACCCCCCACACCCCCAACTGTGAATGTAGAGGGTGGGACATCAAGAAGTGGAAATACAACAAAAGAGACAATTTGGAGAAGGGATGGATTGATACAGCACCAGATAAGTAGGTTTGCTTAAGCATAAGAGAAGGAATAGGCAGAAAAGTGAAGAAAAAAATAAAGGAGATTAGGAGCCTGAAATGGCCTAAGAGCCCTGTCAAAACTGAAGGTAAGGATTCTTACATGTAAAGGCCATAGGAAATCTTTACAGGGTATTGAAAAGAGGAGCTGGGATTTCGAAGGTGACAGATTAGCATATAACCAGTTGTGGTGGTTATAGAGACTTGGGTAACAAATTGGGGAGGGCGGAGAGAAAGAGAACAAGCTGGATGCAGTTCACCTTTCATATCTGTTAATATACTGTTTTCAAGTATGGATGAGGGGATTTTAAATTTTTATTATTTTTTAATCATCTAAAATGGCAAGACTGTCTTTACTATTAAGTATTTGTTGACGAAAAGAAATGTGTTTGTACATGTCTTTGCTTTAATAATGGAAGTTTACAAAGAAGTTGTAGTTTTCCAGCTGTTGCATATGGAGATTGAAGGGCTTGAATATCCCAAGCAGCAGACAGTACAGTATCATAGAAGCCTAGTTGGCATTAGCTAGAAATACATATGGCCTTCCACACCTAGCATTTGCTGGCAAATGAAATAGTAGGGATGAGGTTGACTTTATGGCTGGCCTACTGATCACATCTGGAATGTTTTAATGGATTTCTTTTTTTACTGAAAATGTATGCATATCACTTGTTGGCTGCATAAGAGTACTAGTACACAATTAACAATATAATGCCCTTTGATCTAGTTTCATGTTTAATCTATATTATTCATTAATGTTTATTTTCTGTTGCTCACTGCGTTAGGTAAGGCATCCTAAGAGGTTGTATGAAAAAGTATAGAAGGATAAAGTACATAGAGAATGTTTAAGCTGGCAGATACCTATCAATTCACAATACTTTTTTTGAAGACAAACTTAGGAATGATTACGAACGAAGAAAACCCTCTAAATTCATAGATTTGATTGCCATGATTTACAACAGTGCTTTCCAATAAAAATGTAATGCATACCACGTATGTAATTTTCAGTTTTCTAGTAGCCACATTAGAATTTAAAACAAAGGAAATGAATTTTAAGATTTTTAAACTCAAATATGAAAAATTACTAATGTAATATAAAAATTAATGAGATATTTCATAATTTTTTTGTACAGTGTTTTTGAAATGTAGTGTTAAAATATACACCACCTTTTAAGGACTTAAAATAGCCACAGGTAGCTAGTGGCTACTGTATTAGCAGAGATTTACAATTGCTGCTCTGTGTTCTTTCACTTATCTTCGATTATCTTTTGTTCCCTCTTACCTCTTTTTATTGTGCATAGATTTCAAGAACTGGGGCACACCCCAGTTTGTGAAAAGATGGACAACCTTTCTTGGCTAGAGATAACTAGATGTGAAAGGTCTGAAAGAAAACTCAACACCCGGTACAAAAATGCAGGCTTCTTTTCAAGGGTTTTTGTTTTGAAACACATCTCTCTGCCCATGTGTCTTTGTTGTTGGTATCTTATGTAGTACATGTGTGCTTTTTGTTTTGAGAGAGTCTCTCTGTTCCTTTTGAGAATGGAGTGTATGTCCTGAACATCACTTTTGTGACAGGAAGTATAATATATGTGCCTTAATTAGTATTCCCAGATAGAGGAGTTTATTTAGTAAGGAGCTTATATTAGCCTAAATATATTTTCATTGGTGTTCTGAGATGAAGTGTTATTTGTTATGAGTTTAATTTTTTTATATTAACAGCGTTTAAGCAAACATGAGCTAATAATGTATTTCTAACTGCTTTATCACATTATAGACAATCTTGCCATTAGCAGTACTCATGTTTCAGATGACCTCTAATGAGCAAATATGGTATTCTCACTTGAGACATTTCTAGAAGTACTTTGTAAATAACTTTAAATCAAATTATTTATGTCTACTTTTGAAGAACTTCCAGGGGGGATGACGCTGTCTCAAGATTTAAAAACAATCTAATTACAGTTGGACTTTATTTGATATAAATTAAGATGTAGTTAGTTTCTGGATTTTTGGATTGTGATTTTACTCAGTACCTGAATGTCATAAGTCAGTTTGCTGGTTTTGAACACTGAATTTGAATATTATAAAACTTTATAAAACAAAATTTATTTGTTTGCACATAGTACACTGTGGAACCAGACTGTATTTTCTAAGACTCCTAGCCATGGACATTTTTATTGCCGTTTACTTTTTCCTTATATGATGAATTGTTACAAGTATCACTTAATTGCAGCTATACATGCCCATTTGAATATGATTTCAAATGCATTACTTGTTCAGTGTGGTAGGTACTATTCTAGGTAATTTACATGTATTGTTGATATTTCTGCATTCTCTCAGGAAGATGTTACTATCTTTTTAGAAATGAGAAGAATAAATTCTTCAGAAATTATATAACTAGTCTAAAGACAGACTAATAAATGATGGAAGCAAGATTCAGTTTTAGGTCTGTCTGACTGAAGGTCATGCTCTTCATCACACTGCCTGCATCAGGTGTGAATGTGTGTGTGGGAAGGTCTTGGAGAGGCTGGGGTGGAGAGTTAAGAAATATCTAATACTGTGAAGTTAAATTTAATCAGTACAGCATAATACTTTGCTTTTCTCTTCACTTTCTCTGTATTACACAGAGTTTGAAATTAATTGACTCAAAGCAACTTTCAGAAATTATAATTTTTAGAGTTGAAACCAATGGTGCAGTGTGTAGTAGTTCTAGTTGTAAAACTTGATAACATAATGTTAATATTTTAAATTTCTTATTTGTATGCAAAAAATTACCTGATTAGCTGTAGCTTAAGAAACAATACAGCTGAGTGTGGTGGCTCGCACCTGTAATCCCAGCACTTTGGGAGGCTGAGGAGGGCAGATCACGAGGTCAAGAGATCGGGACCATCCTGGCCAGCATGGTGAAACCCCGTCTCTACTAAAAATACAAAAATTAGCTGGGCCTGGTGGTATGCACCTGTAGTCTCAGCTACTCGGGAGGCTGAGGCAGGAGAATCACTTGAAACATGGAGGCGGAGGTTGCAGTGAGCCGAGATTGTGCCACCGCACCCCAGTCTGGCGAAGAGCGAGACTCCATCTCAAAAAAAAAAAAGAATTGCGTTAAGTAACTTTTGATTTGGGACTAAATATGTTTAATACAAGGAATACTTGTCAGTTTATGTATATGTCCTTTGCACATGCTTACAGCATGTTTCTTTTTAAGAAGGCTAAGGCATCATAGCCTCCTATATTGTGAAAAAAGTAATATATATATACGTAGTAGGTGACAACTAAGGCCTTTATTGTTTCTTGGCCTTTTGCCAAATGTAATTTTGAATGCTAGTGTTTGTATGATAAATCTTCAGACAGACAATGTCTTACGAAGAAAATATTTTGGAAGGATTTTAAGTAAAACCCAAAACTTTTATTTGCATATACTTGCATACTGTCAGCCTATAAGACAAACTCAGCACTGTGTGTAAGTTACTTTTAAAAATTGACTTTGAATGCCTGTATCAGAACTTATTTGGTTGCAGCGGCATACAACTCAAACCAAACCAGCTTAAGTAAAACATAAATTTGTTGGCTCACATAACTGATAAAGTCAGAGTAGATTTGGCATTTGGCATGCTGTCAGCATCTGATTTACCTTTCCATTTGCTTGCTTTCCTTCCTCTTAGTTGACTCCATGATTAGACAGACTTTCTCCTTGTGATCATAAGATAACTGATAGTACCTCCCAGCTGTGTTCTTCAGATTGAGATGCAGTGTGAAATAGCGTGAATCTTGGCCCCAGTTTTTTCATCAGAAGTCTAATGCATTTCATTAACTCCAGCTGAGTATATTATATCCATATGGTTCATGCCTAGGCCACTGCTCTATCCCCAGGATAGGAATGGCATTAATTCCATTGGAAGCATGTAGACTGTGAGAAGGGGTGCAAAGGTGAACTGGGTTACCACAAGTTAAGTAAATGAAGCTGATGCTGAGTAGCAAAATTAGTATGTATCTTTTTGGACTGATAGGCATTATCTATTTCTCCATAGTCCTTACCTCTTCCTATTATGATGGTTCACTTAACTAATTTATATTACCTGTGTGGCACCTTACTGACATTTGGGTTTGATTCTTCTGGTTTATAATTTCCTGTTATCTATTGAATAATTTGTTACGGTTATATAGTTATATATTTTTTCTATTTAACAGACCTACATTTTTAGCTTTAATCTTTTGTATATGTATTTAATATTTTTGTGAATCTGAAGTTACCTTTGTTTGAGTTGTGAAATGGCAAGGATGTTTATAAAGGGTCAGGTTAATTAGTTTTTCAAATGGCTTTACCAAACACAGGTTTATGTGTTGGTTAAAGCTCAGCTGGTAGTCTTGAACTGCTTCTGGCAATTTCTTAGAAGAGGCTGTAGCCCAGATTTTGGCTCATGTGTATAATTATAGCTAAGCCAAGAGCTGCTGATGTAAACACCAGTTTATGGGCTAAGGACTGGGAGGCTGTCATAGTTGGAACCAAGGAGGTCCAAGCCTAGTCCTTCTGAAGAACAGAATTGGGAGGCATTTCCAGAGTCTCTTACTCTGACAGCAAGGCAGAACTGGAGAGGGTAAGGAGGCAGAAGTCTGTAGGGTCAGAATTCGTATCACCAGGATAAAATAAACAGTGAGAGCTAGAATTGAGCACAAATAGTACAGAAAAAATTCCCCAGTCAAGATTCCCTTGAGCTGGCATTAGGTTTAAGGCCATAGAGTTTGCTTAAATAGACATACTTTCACTTGTTTTAAAGTAAAGGCACACCTCCCTGTTCAATGTATATGCATTCTGTTCATATTGTTTGTGATTTCAGATTTTTGTTGCCTTCCACCTTTTGCCGTTCCAGATTCCATGAAGGATACTACTTCTGGATCTAGGATGGCCAGATAAAATACAAGATACCTAATTAAAATTGAATTTCAAATAAACAATAATTTTTATAAGTATGTCCCAAATGTACATGGAGCACACTTATATGCATGTTAAATATTAGGAACATGCTAAATATTTCTCGTTTAGCTGAAATTCAAATTTAACTGAGTAGTTTCTGTTTTTCTGTAATTAAACTTTTGATTTTGAGATAATTATAGATTCATATGTGGTTGTAAGAAAGCAGAGAGATTTTTTCTATATTTTTATTTGCTAAATTTGACAACCCTCTCTGGGTCCTTTCATCATAAAGCAACCCAACCTCCAAACATTTGTGTTTTGCAAATAGTAAATATTAGTTAGAAACCCTTTGGATCCTCTGATACTTCAGAGAAGACTGACTTTTGAAAGATCAGTTTTTAAAGTAAGATACTACTAAAATTACTTAAACATTTTCAATTTCTCAGAGTAAAATTACTTTAAAAGCCATGCAGAATTTATAATACCTAACAATCTAATATTTCTAGCAAGATACTGCATTGGAAATGTTAGGAAACAAATAATTTAGCTTGAGGCATCTCTGAGCAGGTAATATTTTGAACCATTCAGTCTCAGGTCTCTTTCATCTCCCAGTCCTTCAAAGTTCTTCCACCTCCTTTGACCTAAATTTAATCATTTTTTTTTCCAGTAGTCTGTGGTGACTTTATTAGTGATTTCATAACTATGGGATTACAATTTGGATAAATCAGATCTTAATGCCCACTGCCCCTTTGAGTAAGCTGAGAGAAAGAAGTGACCCTGCAGGTTTTCAGAATTTTTGAGCCTAATTAAAATAGCTTGCTACCTTATCCTTTTCCCTCATCTGTACAGTAGGTAGTATGGCCTGGGGAGAAAGAAGGCTAGCGTGTTTTCCACGCAATTACTTAGCCCTACATGTTGCTCCCTATTGATAATCAGACCTTGTGAGTACTTTCATCATTTTATAAATATAAGAGAGTAGACTGGACTCCGGAAAAGAAGAGAAAGTGGAGATAAGTAAAACTGTGAACTAAGTATAATTGTTTTTTTTTTTTTTCTTTCTTTATACTTGGAAATACCTGGGCAAATAGCTATAGAACATTGTTCTCTAATGAGATGGAAATTGGAGCTGGAACCATTTGACCTTCCATTGGTTGAACTTTGGTCTCCAGAGTTACCATCCTGGAAGGGGCAGTGTGTCAATGTATTCTTTCTGCCAAGACTGTGGAGGGGGCCCAACAGTGAATGGAGGCCAGTAGAGCCAAAGGTGCTGCTGCAGGTTTCTGTCTACACTAGTGCTGGACAGGAGAACTTTCCACAATGGTAGAAGGGCTTGATATCTGCCACATGTGGGAAATCGAACACTTCAAATATGGCTAGTGTGAATAAGAAACTGAATTTATAATTCAATTTTAATTATTTTAAATGTATAAATAGCCACAGCTAACATTTAATGAAGTCTTGAACCCTTATCAAGGAAGGTTTCTACAGGAAAAGTTTGTTAATCCTTATTCTTCAAGCATCCACTGAAATTAAAGCCAAACAAATACAGTACTTTGTATTCTGAATTGTCTTTTTAATCTGGCTTTTAAAAAAGTAGGACTTGAAAAGTATTGAGATTTAATCAGTTTAAAGTTGGGCCTGGGTGATAAAAATAAGCAGTTGTGACATTATGGGATCTCTGCGGTATAGACAAATATGATGGGTATGCCAATCAGGCATATGTTATTTTGCTTATGATGTTTTGTTTCTTCTGCATGAGGATTGGATGGAAGCTGTGCAAATAATTCTGCTAATATTTATTGACCAATTACTATGTGGCAGGCAATAGTGTAAGTCTCAAAGCAGCCTTATGAATGTTATCCTCATTTTGAGGTGAGAAAACTGAGGTACAGAGAGAAGTTCTTCCGAGGATCACATGGTTGGTAAAAGGTGAAAGCAAGATTTGAAATCAGGCAGTCTGGCTCCAGAGTTCATGCTCTTAACTGCCACACTGCACTAGTCTTGTAAATTGTTCTTAAAGTGGTCATAGATGCTTCGTATGTGCATTTCTAGTTCTGGCTGAGGTCCAACTGGATATATACAGCAGTCCTGACTGGGTAAGGGAATGTTTCCCTGTTCCAAGCCATGCTCAGGGCAGCATTAGGGGCAGCCCCAGGTTCTAGCAGAGAGAGGAATTAGGCCTGGCTGTGGCGGAGTCTCTAGTGGTGAGAGGAGGATGGAGGATTTCCTTAGTGGACTAGTTAAAGGGAACGTCAGTGGGAATGCTTAGAGCAGGTCAGAGAGCACTGGGTGTGCCTAAGTCAGGTATGTATCCCACAAGCAAATGTTAAACAGTTATTGAGAGTGATGGTTTAATTTCTTTAGAGCTAAGCTTGAAATAATTTTGTAGACAGTGACCGTGATTCTCTGTTGCAGTCTTTGACAAAGTCAGTCTTGCAGTATGTGCTTTTTTTTTTTTTTTTATCAGACTAGGGTATAATTTGTTTTATTTTTCATGGGAATGTAAAATTAGTTGAATGAAACATCATTGGATCTTGATGCATTAAATATTATAGCAGTGCTAAGGATACTTATTCTAAAACAACATAAACAGATAACCATTTGTATAAAATCGTTAAAAGGTAAAGAAGTAGTTATTTCTTCTAGCCAGTTCTTCTACATTTTGTCACTTGTCCTTCTCCTTTAGAATGTTCTATCTAGTCCCAGATTTTCTTCCTTAGTAATTGTTAATGTAATGCTAGAGTGATGTTTTCCCCAGGTCTGTAATATTTTTGATGCTAAGAGATTGGACACATTATAAAACAAATAACTGAAAATCAGTGACCTTTTATACTATTTATCTATAAAACCAACTTTGAATTACTAAATTATCTTACCATTTTTGTTTATTTTGGCATATACACCAAAATAAAAAATGCAGTTTTTACCCATTCACATGCAGTTCTTACCCATTCTTGATTACAGTAATGTTTTACTAACCAGAAACAAAGTAAGATGGAAGTCCACCACATACTACTACTCCTACCATAATGGTGTAATAATTGGAAAATATATATTTATACTAGGCTTTATTTATACTAGGCTTTATTATTTTATTTTATTAATTATGGTTCTCTATATAGTTCTTTTTTGTTCAGATAACCAAATATATTTCAGTATACACCAAAATAAACACTTCACTGCTTGAGGTCAGTGAACATACTATTTTCTTTATTTTAGTGTTTGTTTTTCTAACTTCTACTTAAGTGATAATTGTGACAATTTCTTCTGACTCCCGTACTGTAAAGTACAAGCTAAGACTAATTCCTTTATGAAATGTAAAATGTACTATTTTATGGATTTGTTGATAACTAGAATGTAAGTTTGTATTAATAAAGTGCACTGGCACTTAGCTATATACTTTATAAATGCTTTTTCTATTATTAATGTATAGCCTATTTTTCTTGATAAGCTAACTTTTCCAGTTTTTTAATACTTTTTTTACTCTTCATTTATTCTTCTCAAGTGTATTTGTATTTTGATATTTTAAATACTATTTCTGCTTTGTTTTATGCTACCCAGATATGTGGTTGCAAGTATGAACAGATTCTAGTCACATGCAGTTTTTACCCATTCTTGATTGCAGGAATGTTTTACTAACCAGAAACAAAGTAAGATGAAAGTCCACCACATACTACTACTCCTACCATAATGGTGTAATAATTGGAAAATATGTATTTGTACTAGCTTTATTATTTTATATTATTAATTGTGGTTCTCTATAGTTCTTTTTCATTCAGATAAATCAGTAGGCTTAATTTCAGGTGTGTCAGCTAGTTACAGGGTTAATATGTTACTATGATACTATTTCTTGTCAGTCATATTCTGTATTTTCAATACAGATTATTTTTTTGGGAAGGATTATTTTTTTGAGGTCGTCACTTTAGCTGGTAAGAGTAGTGGGTGTACAAGTCGCGCTCTTATTGCAGCTGGCAGCATGTCAGTCTTATAATCTGAAGAGTAGTGGTTGATATTCTTAGCTGTAGAAGAAATCAGGGAAATCAAAGGGATATTTGCATATTTATAGATTCTGCCTATCCTCCTGAATCTGTGTTCTCTAATGTAAGAAAGATGATCTGAGTTTCACAGGTAGATATAAAAGGAAAATAGTAGATAGCAGAATTTTTCCAAATGTCATCTTATACTTTACTTTTTCTACATTTGTATAAACAGTGTTTTCTGGTGGGACTTCAGAATAACTAAAACAGCCTGTGACTGATACAATCAATTTAGGGGCAAAAATGTTTGCTAAGAAGAGGTCTGATGTTATAGAATGTTGAAAATATTTACCTCCTGTTGTCATATCCTCCTCTTTTTTTTTTTTTTACATTTTGCATGGATGTGTTTATTGGCAACATTCAAATCTGCCTCAGACTTTTATGCGTGCTTTGAGTACCTCTTTGAAAAAATGAACCTACTGATTTCTTTACTAGTGAGTGTCTTGAATTAAAACTTCCTGCTGAAGGCTTGCCAGCTTCAACTTCGCATCATACAACAGCCAGAGCTTTCACAGACTTATCTAATATAAGCCCTTCACTTAATAAAATTAAAGAGAGACTAGGTGACTTGAGCACAGGGTCTTGACTTTTTTTTTTTTAATTAGTTAGAGCCAGAACAACAATTCAGATTTCTAGGCTTCAGTCCTGTCTTAATCTGTTTTGTGTTGTTGTAATGGAATGCCTGAGACAGTAATTTATAATGGACAAAATTATTTGACTCATGTTATGGAGGCTAGAAAATCCAATATCAGGGTGCTGGCAGGACCTTCTTTCTAGGATGCTGCTTATCCCATGGCAGAGTTCAAGAGAGAGAGGTGATGGGGAGAAAACGGGGGTGATAAGGAGGTAGGGAGAGATAACTGCACACAAGGGCAAAAGGGGGCCAAACTCAGTCTTTTATAATTAACTCACTCTAGGGTGGAGCTCCCGCAGCCCAGTTACCTCTCAGAGGTTCTACTTCCTAATACTGTCACAGTGGCAGTCAAATCTCAGCCTGAGTTTTGGAGGGGACATTCAACCCATATAACAAGTCCAGTACTCTTCCCAGTGCACCTAAATCAAAACTAAGTCAAAAATTTTTTAAGAAAAATAATGCACTGGCTGCACAGGAACGATGGTATAGAAGTGCCATTTTAACTGTTAGTTGCTAGGTAATGTCTTTCTATTCTTTAACTTCCAGCTTAATGCCAGCCTTGTGTGAGCTGTAACAATTTAATCATTCAGGTCCTCTGGCAAGTAGTGTTATAGAAATTGGATCATACCATTATTTGTTGTTTTTATTTTGGCTTTTAAAATGAATGAACCATGTGTCCTCCTTTTAAGTGATTTTAGGAAGAGCAAATGATAAGGATGGACTGTAACATTTTTTCCAGTTACTTAATTTCACTTTAAGAATAGTGATTTTTATTTGTTTTAAAATTTCCTGAGTGAGGGTTGTTAGGCAAAATGGACTCCATAGAGTGTATCATATTTTCCTGTCACTTTAGTGTCTCAGAATTAAACCATCATTTTATGTGGAAGCATAGCTCCGCTTTGCTCTACTGCAAGGTAGAGTGCTCAGTTATTAGGTTGGAAGGAAACAAGTTAATTGATGTTTTCTTTTGAGAGAGGGCAATATGATCAGTCAGCAACTCCAGGTTTTTGTCACTTGTGATGACATTTTTTAATAGTATTCATGTTCCTTTCTTGCGTCAACACTTACTACATTAACAACACTGATTAGTTTCAGTAAATGTACATGTATAACAAAGTATACATGTACTAGTATATACTGTAAATTTTCAAATATAACTGAAGCAAATATTTTGTCTTATGCAGTTGACAGGGTATTGGTTAGTTACAGTTGTCATTTGAATCAGTGCTGTCTTATTTACATTATTTTCTAGATAGTTTGCTATGTATTTTAGGTACTTTAATAGCTCTTTAAATTAAAGAATGTCAAGGGATGTGTGTGGCTAGGTGGGTGTACACACACACATACATGAGGTCGCTCATGGATTCAGGTTTGTGAGTGTAATTGATTTTAAGTCATTTATTTGACAACCACACATTGTCACATAAGCACACAAGAGGTTTAACATGTAATGGCCACAAAGTAATCTCTTTGTTATCTATGAAGCCGGTTTGGAATGTCTGACTGAGTAAAATGAGTGCAGTATATTCTGTGTAAACTAATAGTTCAAAATATACATATACCCATATCCCTAGTTGTTAGTTATACAGATATTTAGTTGTAATTACAATCTAGGTTTTGAATTATGGTGTTAAACCATTTGGTGGCATCACACATTAGACTAAAGTTTTATTATCTAACCCATGTATAGGCATGAATTTAGAGATACTAACAAGTATTGGTATTTCTCATATTGAATATTTATGGAGCCCCTACTATGTGTTAGACATTGCTTGGTATTTAGAATATACCAGTGGACAAAGTCAGGCCTTGTCCACTCCCATATAGTCCTTCCTAACAAGGGATCAGGAAGACATGCACATTAATTTTTTTATTTTTTACATGGGAGTCTCATTATGTTTCTCAGGCTGGCCTTGAATTCCTGGACTCAAGTAATCCTCCCACCTCAGCTTCCCGAGTAGCTGGGACTACAGTCATGCACCACCTTGGCTGACTACATTAATTTTTTTAAATTGCAAATATGTTAATTGCAACAAAGGAAAAATACTGAGTGTTATGATAGTGAACCATAGGAGTTGTGTTATCTATTGCTACTTAACAAATTACCCCACAATTTAGTGGCTTTAAATGGAAAACATTATTATTTCATACTTTCTGTAAGACAAGAGTTTGGGAGAGGAGTAGCTGCTAGCTGGGTGGTTCTGGTTCAGGGTCTTCCATGAAATTGCAGTTAAGGTATCAGCAGGCTGTAGCTGTCTGAAGACTTGATGAGATTGGAAGATCTATTTTCAAGGTGGCTCACTCACATAAAAAGCTGTTGGCAGAAGGTCTCAGTTCCTCACTGGCTGTTGGCAAATGGCCCTAGTTTCTTGACTTGTTGGCCTACCTGTAGGCTGCTTAAGTGTTCTCATAAAAGGGCAGTTAACTTCCTCTAGAGTAAGTGACCTGAGGGAGGGAAGGATGACATTTCCATGTAACCTGGACTTCTATAAACCTGATGACTGGGTTTCAAGAGCGAATATTCTGAAGCAGGGGAAGTGGGAAGAAGAGAGGGAGCTCATGGGTGTGTATATGTGTGCAGCAGATGAAATCCTCATTACTTTTTTTGACCTAGGCTTGGAATTCATACAGCATCACTTCTGCTGCTTTTGTTGGAGGTAATCAGAAAGTTCCACCCAAATTCAAAGGGAGCAGAAATAGACCATGCCTCTTCATGGAGGAATGGCCAGGTTCTGAAAAAGCATTTGGACCAATATTATTCATGTGGTCATTTTTGGAAAATACAGTTTGCTACAGAAGGGAGAGCAAGAGCAGATGCTGGAAGATCAGTAACATGCTTCTAATAGTCTAGGAAGGATTTGATGGTAGTGGAAGTGGAGGTTGTAAGAAGTAGATAATACAAAAGGTGTGCCGAAGTATGGATAGCATCTGTTGATTGAAAAGATGTGGATGGTGAAGGAGATGTATATGTCAGGGATGATGCCCATGTTTCTGACGTAAGTATTAAATGCAGTGCCATATTCGGAGATAGGAAATCCTGGAGGGTGTAAAGATGGAAGTTTTAGTTTTTGTTTTCAATGGTTGTGGTTGTGGTGGGTGGGGGAACATTTTAAGTTCATTTCTGAACAAAGTGAGTTTGAGTTACTTAAGGGATATTCAGTGGAAATGGAGTGTTGCTAGTTGGCTACATTTCATTCTGATACAACTCAGAGAAGCAGCCTGGGTTGGAAATTATTTGAGTATTTTAGGTGTATAGATGGCAGTATGTATCAATAAAGTTCACTTAGGTGAGTGTAAACGGAGAGGATGAAAAGAGGGGAAAAAAGCTTTGAGAAGAGTTAACTTTTAATGATTGATTAGGGAAGGCTAAGGTCAACTTTCAGTGATTGATTAGAGAGGGCTACATGAGCAAGCAAGGCTGAGAAGGACTAACCTGAGAGATTGGAAGAAAACAAAGAGGTTGTATGTCATGGAAACCTGAGGTAGAAAGTATTTCATAGGTGTGCCAGGTAAGTTGAGGACTGGATAATCTTTATTGATTGTTGTCTCTTGGAGGTGACTTCAGCAGAGCTGTTTTATTATTTTTTAAATTTTTATTGATATAGTTATACATGTTTTTGAGATACATGTGATATATGATACCTTTATATGATGTATAATGATCAAATGGGGATAATTGGGATATCCATCATCTCAAACATTTATCTTTATGTTGGTAGCATTACAGATCTTCTCTTCGAGCTACTTTGAAATATATAATAAATTATTAACTATAATTTCCCACTGTATTATTGAAGTGGAAGTGAAGTCAATTTAGAATGGTGTGAAAAGTGAGTGGGAAGGAAGAGAACGGTGATGCCTGATGAAGCAGCCCTTAAGATGTGTGGTCAAGCAGGCATTAGAGACTGAGGTCAATAGCTGCAAAGAAAAACGAAGTACAGAGTTGTTTTTTTCTTAATTAATATTTTTTTCCCTTTTAAGATGGAAGGGGTTCACAACTTTTATATGCTTATGGTAAGGATCTGGGAGACAACAAAAAGGGTGGAATCCTATACATGTGAATTTAGTATAAAATTCAGGACATGCAAAAACATATTTAAAAATTGAAACAGCATTTATGGCCCAATATTTTAAGCCTACATATAGTCACATTAGGACATTTTAAAATGAGGGCTTTATCACATAGCTTATATGTGTTCTTTGTGAACTAAATTGGTGACTTGCATTTTTTTTATTTTAATACATCTAGAACATTTTGTCAATAACTACAGTGTTTACTGAGACAAAGTAGGGATAGATGATAGTACTTAATGATTTTTGCAATAAAGACTAACAAAAACAAAAAGACTACTTATTAAAAAGACCAAGTGGTGAAATAAATGATAAAAGTATAATCTGGAGGAAATGCAGTATTAAAAGACAGTGTCAGAATTCTTGGAAAAATGAACAGTTTTCATTATATGATAAAGGTAAGATGATTTTTTACTTTAAATTTTTTATAATAACAGATAAGGATGGAATAAAAGCAAGTTAATTGGTTTTAGGAAGTCACTAGGAAAAATCGACATTTAAAAAATAAATACCACAAATTCCATCAAAGGTGAATGGTAAGAGAAAATCTTAAAAGAATGCACAGAAGCCTGGACTGGAGTATAATCACTAAAATGATTACATGGTCCTTGTTCCATATACTAGAGATGATACCCACAAAACTTAAGTCACTAGTTCAGCAATTTATAGCTAACTATGCTGCAAGTGCCCAAACTAGAAACTGGGTACTCTTCTCACCAGCAAATGTTGTTTCTGTTATATAGTACCATGGAGCATGTTAGAGCAATGAGAATGAGTCCAGAGTAATTAGCCATGAAGATTAAAATTTGTTCAATTCAACTAGCTTTATAAAGTTATAGGAAATTTTAGAAAGATAAAATAACCACATGCTACTTCTGGCATTCATATGGCAGACCTTGAAATAAATACTAGTGAACAATGTAGTGGGCCCGGTTTCAAATAACTGAATTTTAACCCTGAATCTGCCACTGATTTCACTTTGTGAGCCTGGGCAAGACACTAACCTTTACCTTCTTTATACCTTTTTGGGGTTTAAATTTTTTTTTTTAAATTTTTTAGTACAGACAGGATCTCACTGTGTAGTCCAGGCTGGTCTTGATCTCCTGGGTTCAAGCGATCCTGCTTCCTTGGCCTCCCAAAGTGCTAGGATTACAGGCATGAGCCACCATGCTTGGCTAATACCTTTTTGTCTTTATCAATAAAAATGACAGGGTTGGAGTCAGAGCTATAAAAAAACTCAAATTTATTGTCACCAACTATGTGGCAGGTCGTATCATTTTCTTAATATTTCTTATTTAATATGTAACACCCTATGAGGCTGCTTATGTCAGACTCATTTTACAGTTTAGCCTAGATAACTTGACAATTACCTGGCTTATAAGTAATGGAGGTAGAATCCCAGCTCAAGTCTGTTGACCCCCAAACTGATTCTTTTTGCAAAGCATTAGTGTTTCCCAAACCTTAGTTTTGTACAGCTTTAACAACTGTCGCCCTATCAGTCTCACGACTATTATGATTTACTAGAAATTTTTCTTTAAATGTGTATTCATATATTTTACTTAAATATATTTCAGAAGGAAACTGCTTGATAAATAAGAACAAAACTTAACAAAAAATTGGTATGAAAGTCTGAAAAGATAAGGAACTCTTTCTCCCCTCATGGGCAGTGGGGTGGATATATATGAAAGATAGGAAGGACCAAGGGCCCAGAGAGAGGGAACCTCTTTAAGTTAGAAGCCAGAGCCTGGAAATGCCATAACTGTTCTAAGAATTGTGCTTGAAACTGGCAATTTGATCCCATCTGATTGAGAACTTTATATCACAGACAGAGTAGGGAGAGTGAGGAGCAGCTGGATTTGATTTAAAAGAGAAAACTGGAGGTGGAGACAGAATTGGGCCAGGAATGCAACCTGTGTTATAGAAGGGCCTGAGACTGATAGAACATTCCCTGAGAGTGGGGAGAAGGTTAAAGCCTGAAGGAAGGACATAGGGATCGGGAGTATGGAAGAATCACAGGGGCTGGAAGTTTACATTAAAGTGGGATACAGTGGTCAAGACTCCTGGAAATAGATGTGTGCAGGTAAAGGCTGAGGTCCAGGAGGGGCCAGTGGGACGAGTTTAGAGCAGAACCAGTAAAGGGGGCTCAGAAATGAAGCCTTAGGGATGGTTGCGTCTGAGGTTGGGATGGTAATTTTTGAGTTAGGGGCATGAGGGGGGTGGAAACCAAGCATGATCCCTCCTGGATTAA
Organism: Homo sapiens; assembly: GCF_000001405.40. Lineage (NCBI taxonomy): Eukaryota > Metazoa > Chordata > Mammalia > Primates > Hominidae > Homo > Homo sapiens. The sequence continues at coordinate 181,017,451 of NC_000002.12, forward strand.
GCCAACACTTTTTCTTCTGAAACTGGACTACGAATGTGACAATTCTGAGCAGTTTTCTCCAAGGGAAGACAGCGTGTATGTGTATTGTCTAAAGTCACCTCATGGAAATGCGGTAATATGCATACCATCCTTTTGGGAAATGTAGCTTTTTCTAGACTGGATTCATCTATGCCTTCCTACTCTGGACTCTTCCTTGATCCATTTTTTTTTTTAATACGGAAGTGTCATATGTTGCTTATTTAACAACAGCATAAAAGGTTTTTTTGTTTTTCTTTGTTTGTTTCCTAATTTGTTTAAGTAATAGTTAGATCTAGTATGCTTTGGACTTACCTTGTCTTTCAGCTCCGAACTAAAACGGGTATCTGCTAACTACAGGATAGGGGGTTTAAGATGCTTTTTTAAAGGGAGTGATTGACGAGGGCCCTGTTGCTACAGGATTTTTTGGTTAGAGGAATCCCAGCTTCATGTCAGCCATCATCTTCCAGCTCAGTCTTCTGAGCGTGACTCTCTTTTTTCTGTATTTCTTTTCACAGTGCCTTTACTTTCTGCTTTCTCTTTCTACCTAGAAGACCACCCTAATTTTGTTTTCGTTGTATTTTTAACCTAGCTCTACATTATGGGGCTGCTACAGTGATTGTGCTTTGGCTTCACTTATGCCTGTGGGACTTTCATTTTCTTTACTCTTCTTGGTACTGCTGGCTGTCTTCTAAAATGAATGTTCTTGAATGTATAATAAAAACAGTTATACTCTAGTAGCAATTTATGCCAATAAAATATAAAGAACACTAATTATGTTTAGAGATTCTGTCCACCTTGGAGGAATGCATTCTGGTGATGTACCTGTATACATAAATACATATCCACACATATAAGCACCTGTGTTTACACATGTGTTTAATATTTTTATCTCTGTGTGTGTGTATATATATATATATATTTGACCTAGGAAGATAATATTTTTATCTGTGTATACATATATATTTGGCCTAGGATTGTACAGTTTATCTGGGTGCAGATACCTATCTACCTTTCAGTGCAGTTAATCTATTCTTGATGAGCTTTTGTGCCCGAGGACTCAGGGGAGTATAGTAGTAAAACTGTGCCCTTTTTATTTGCTGATCTCCCTGCATTTTGTTTCAATTTCTGTGTTTTTTTTTTTTTTTTTTCCATTAGTGAGCTGATTCTGAAGAGCTTGAAGGAAGTCATTTTAATTGAAGGAGTTAGGGTTTCTTCCTCACACTTTCCCAGTCCTCCAGGACTCTTCATCTTTGATTTCATACAGTTGGTAACATCTTAACAAATGACCATAGTATAATAATAAATATGTATAATTATTTTCTTCTGTGTCTGGAGGGTCTAGAAAAGCTCATGCCTTTTATATAGGGGAGTGTTATTTTCCTCATAAACAATTACCTGAGTTGGATGTCAGGATAGATCTAGGTTCCATGCTCTCAGATTTTTCATTGTAAAGTAAGGAAGTTGGAAATACTACAACTCTTAAGTTCCTTTCTAGCTCTAAATTTTTTTTTTGAGATGGAGTTTTGCTCTTGTCGCCCAGGCTGGAGGGCAGTGGTGTGATCTCTGCTCACTGCAACCTCTGCCTCCCAGGTTCAAGCGATTCTCGTGCCTCAGTCTTCCAAGTAGCTGGGACTACAGGCATGTGCCACCACACCTGGCTGATTTTGCATTTTTAGTGGAGACAGGGTTTCGTGTTGGTCAGGCTGGTCTCGAATTCCTGACCTCAAGGGATCCACCTGCCTTGGCCTCCCAAAATGCTGGGATTACAGGTGTGAACCGCCGCACCCGGCCTAGCTCTAAAATTTATGAGAATACGGGTCCCTGAAATTCTTAGTTGATAGACGCTAAATCATTGGAACATGTTCAGCCGGTGCTCAAAATGTGCTGCCCATAAATGTCACTCAGAAGCATATTAACCTTGCATTAATCTTTTTTCTACCTGTAATATAAACTTTTAAACTTTCAAAATTCAGTGTTCAGTGTCATTTTTAACTTGGCGGTTGTTTCATCTTGTTACTTTGGAAACCACAGCATATATTTTATTTTGGTTTTGCATTTTGAAGGAATAATAGAAACTAGAAAACTCAGGAGATGGGAGCTTCATTTGTAATTATCTCAAAAATTATTTTCATTGGGGAACACAATGTACCAGTGATTTTTTTAAAAAGTCTACTTACTATTAGTTTTTTTAAACATAAAAATATGAGCTTTATTGAGATAATTGACAAATTTAAATATGTATAGTTAAGGTATACAGCTTGATATTTTGGTATGTATATTTTGATACATGTATATTGTGAAATAATCACCATAAGCTAGTTAACGTAGCCTTCACCTTACATACTTACCATTTTCTTTTAATTTTTTTCTTTTTTTTGTGGTGAGAACATTTAAGATCTACTTTCTCAGCAAATATCAAGTGTATGATACAATATTGTTAACTGTAGACACGTTGCTGTACATTAGATCTCCAGAACTTGTTCATCTTGCATAGCTAGAATTGTGTACCTTTTGACCAATATCTCCCCATTTCCCCATACGTCAACCCCTGACAACTAGTGTTCTACTCTTTGCATCTCTGAGTTTGACTACTGTATTTCTTATCTGTTTTTGTGGGAAGGTTGATGTATTAGTTTCCTGGGGCTGCCATAACCAAGTACCACAAATTGGGTGACTTTGAACATAAATTTATTGTCTCACAAATCTAGAGGCTAGTTCTCCAGTATAAGATGTGGACAGGGCCGTGCTCCCTCTGAAATCTGTAGGGGGAGCATCCTTCCTTGCCTCTATTAGCTTGTGTTTTTGACGTCACTCTACCTCCATTGTCACATGGCTGCCTTCTTCCTGAGTATCTCTGTCTCTCTTCTCTTCTTGTAAGGACATAACCCATAAAGATTAAGGGCCACCATACTCTGGTATAACCTCATCTTCACTAATTACATCTGCAGTGACTCTGTTTCCAAATATGCTCACATTTTGAGATACTGGGGGTTAGAACTTCAACATTATCTTTTAGGGGCCTACAATTCAAGCTGTCACAGTTGATTAAAAGATTTTGATCCTTAATAATAATGTAATAAAACTAGAATTATTTCCTTTGTTTTTAATTCATAGTCATTTCAATAATACCACTACGACTTTTCCATCTGCTGAGCAAATCTTATCAAATACTTCTTTGTTTCTTGTGTCTAAGTTCAAATAAAAGCCATAGTGTGGATTCAGAGGGAATGCCTAAACTAGTCTTCATATAGAGCTAAGGGAAAAAAGGTAAATGGTTAAAGTGGGTTTCATATGTAATGCATAAGGAAAAAAGTAAGGTAGTCATAAAAAATAGACAACTTGAAATTCACCTCATTATATCTGGATTTCCCTGACATGGGTAAATCTAGTGATATGGTTGTAGGTGACTGGATGGATTAAGTTTTATATTAAGTTTTTAGAGTTAGGGAATGGTAGAGGATAGGAAAGGGGAATTTTTATCCTTCCTGTTTTGTAATATTTTAGTTGGACATGTTTCAATATTTGTGTATGCATTTGAAACTGATGAAAGGGTTATTACATACTTTGTCAATCATTTCTTACCCTACTATATGTGAAAAGTAGTAATTATTTCAGGGAAAGGTGGTTTACAGAAATAGGATAATAGCTACAGCAATATACCAGTCTTCGTGGGCTTTCACATATAGTAATGTAGTTGCGACTACGAAACATGAGATTAGTCAGGATTGTGATGTTTTTGCTGACAAATAAGATATTAATCCTAATGGAGTATTGTTTTCCCTTGTGAAGTCATATATTCATTTAAGTTACATTTTTCTGTCTTTATCCGAGTGTTAAAAATTGATTATCCAGATAACCTCACCATTACAGTGTTTCTTCTTTTCTCTTCTTTTTTTTTTGTTTTCTTTTCTTTTTTTCCTCTTTTCTCTTTTCTTTTCCCCTCCCTCCCTCCCTTCCTCCCTTCCTTCCTTTCTCCCTCCCTCCCTCTCTCTTTCTTTTTCTCTTTCTTTCTCTCTCTCTCTTCCTTTCCTTTCCTTTCCTTCTTTCTTTTATTCTTTCTTTACAACTTTTCTTTTAAATATACTCCCTTCCTTCCTTCCTTCCTCCCTCCCTCCCTTCCTTCCTCCCTCCCTTCCTTCCTTCCTCCCTCTCTCCCTCCCTTTTTTCCTTCCTTCCTTCCTTCCTTCCTTCCTTCCTTCTTTCCTTCCTTCCCAACTTTTCTTTTAAATATACTATATCTATTAATGTCTGTGGTCATGGAACCATATAAAGTAATTTAGCAGTTTTTGACCAGTGGATTTCTTAATACTTTTGCAGACTAGCTTTCTATTTGTTTTTATTTTATCTTTTTCAAGGATTATAAGTAGGTTGGAAAATACTTCTGGGTTTTGCTTTCTTAAGTGATTTTTAAATGCATCTAAAAGTTTAGAGTAAAAGTGCCCAGAATCCTTGACCTTAGTCTTCCTTCTATGTGAAACCACCAATTTTTCCCTTTTGGTCACTTTTTTACTGTTAAGGGTAAAAACTGCTCTGCCTTAAAACTTTTGTGAAGGTAAAATAATAATGTACGTTAACATTTTGGAAATTGTAAAATGCAGTACAGATGTAATAAGATAGCATTAACAGTAATATTGGAAAGTAAATGGAACATTAAACTTTGATGTCCTATGATTAATATTGTTATGGCAAACATACTATAAGTTTAGGAGTCAGACTGCCATTTTTTTATGAATGTTAATAGTTATTTTATAGGAAATGTAACCTTTTTGGTTAGACTCTTGAAAATAAGATTAGTATTATTGCTAGCTCTATTTCAGGAAGATTTATCAAACATTTAGAAAAATAAACACAGTTGATTTTCATTATTCTCGGTGGTGTTATGTTCCATAAAGTTGTCAAACACCGAATTAGCGAATACTGAACCATTACTCCTAGGGGAAATAAAAGATTATCTTTTTTTGATCTTCTAGTTAATTATGTAAATTAATACATAACCATTTTATGTTTCTGTTGAAAAACATCTTCTCAGTGTATATTGTTGATTCATTAACATTTAACTCGTGGCCAACAGCACTATAACCATGCCTGAAGGAAGCTCATCTAAACATGTATTTTATCAGTAAAGCATGTCACAGCCTTCTTGCACTTAGAAACACTAGATAGCACTTTAGCATTATGTTGGGGACCATTTCAAACAATGAAATTACTAACAAAAAGCACAAAAATGCAAAAAGCATGGTACTAAGTAGGCTGCAAAAAAAAACAAAAAACAAAAAAAAAACCCCACAGGTTTACAGAAAGAGAGCTGAAACAGAAGACAGAGTGCTGCCTTGTTCAACCTCAGCTGGGACTCAAATTTTTCTCCACTCTGCGCATTGTCTGTAAATGACTGCAAAAGCCCCTAGTATTGATTTTTGGCTTACAAATACCAGATGTCCTTCAACTTACAATGGGGCTATGTCCTGATAAGCACTACTGGAAGTCAAAAATACAGTTAATGCTGGTAATAAACCAGATAGTCCCCGACCAACAGTGGTTCCACTTAATGTTTTTTACGATGGTGAGAAAGCAATATACATTTAGTAGAAATCACATGCATTCAGTAGAAACCATAACCCCGACATGAGTAAGTTGTGAGGAGTTCCTTGACTTACAGTGGGGCCGCGCCCCAATAAACCCATCCTAACATCTGAAAATCATTAAGTAGAAACATCAGGAACCATCTTTATATTTTTAGGAGTAGGTGAATTCACAGACACAAAATCCCCAAATAATGAGAATTGACTGTATGCTGAATAGTGAGAAAATGATTTGGATTAAGTTAGTATTTTAGTTGTTAAAATTTGATTTAGTTACTTTTATCTTGAATTTCTTAATCTTTCATAGTAAATAGAACATCCTCTACTTTTGTCTTCTGATTTCTCAAACAATGTATATTGCCACAAAAACTCCATTATCAATGATATTTGTTACAAATACTTAAAATTAATGCTTTCACCTTTCATTTGATAATAAGGAGTTTGCTACTTAAAGGAATCATGAATTGCTTTGTGGCACAAGAAGACAGAGGAATTCGGCCAGTGTGAGGCATCCCTTACTTTCTTTAACACAGCCGCCTGATAGAACAGTAGCCATGCTCTTTAAGTAACTCTACTCTGACAACCTCGAAGGATTTCTGGGCATAAAAATTGGGGGCATCCAATATAGCAAAGGGGTTGAGAGCATGGACTCTATCTTGGTACCATCACTTACCAGATGTGTGGCTTTAGGTTCATTACTTAAATTCTTTGTGTGTTAATTTTTAAATGACGATGATAAAATATCTACCTGATAATTTTGGTGTGAGAATTAAATGAATTGATACATGGAAAGTTCATAAACTGGTGCCCTCCACGTAAGTTCGTGCTAGATAAATGTTAGCTATAATCATTACTACTATTATTATTATCCTTAATTTAAGTAGACTCTTTATTTCTCCCTACTCCTTACTGTCACAAGTGATAAAGCAATGGGAATACCTGTGTTTTATATTTCTTTTGCATTTGTAACCTCTCCCAGTACTCATGTTTGTTACTAATATGGTTAGTCATTTTTCTCCTATTGATACTGTCGTTGTAGGTCAGGTAAACATGTATGTTCAGTCCTTCACTATGAGTGAGCCAAAAGTTCATATGAAGACTTCAGCATTGAGTCCCCAAAGGATTTTTTAGAAAGTTCATTAATATCTTCATTTGTCTTCTTCCAAGATGAGCCTCTTGACTGACTCTTCTCAGAAAATGATTGACACTTTATGTGAGAGTAAAACTTAAAGTGAGCTATGAATTAATGTTAAAACCAGATTACGAAAAAGTAAGACTTCATCCTACGATTCTACCATCCTATTATCCACTCACCTTGTACAAAAACAAAATCCAGAAACATTTTCAAAAAGGAAGGAAAATTCAGTCAAGTATTTTGGAAACTGAGTTCCAGTCATCATGGAGTAAACAAGCAATAAGCAGATTAGGTAGCGCTGCAATAAATTAAAATTGTAACAGAGCTATAAATTAGATTCTGAATGTTTTCTAAATTTATTTTCAAACTTGACTTTTAATATATGTGATTATTAAGATGTAATGGTGATGTGCTATGTAGATATGAATCTGTTACAGTAATCTATTTTTCTCTTAACATTTTATTATGAAAATGTGTAAACATACAATAAAGCTGAAAATTTTAGTGACTACTTATATGCTCATCATCTAGATTCTATCCTTGAGTAATCTATTTTTATAAAGGTATTGATGTAACTATTTTATAAATGAAAAACTACACACTAAAAACCAAATATGTGATCTCCAGCATCACAGAAATGAAATAAGGATTTTTTTTTAACTTAGGTAATATTGCTTGAACTGTAGTAATTCAAATGTAGCAATTTCAAAGGTAGAATTTCCCATGTATTACTATACTGCTTCACATCAGCTCTATTAATAAAAGTAGAACAGTTGCAAAGGAACTTTTATGATCTGTTTTGACAGGACAGACAATTTAAAAAGTTGTTAATAAAGGTTTTTAGAATTCACTATAAGCCTTTCATGTGGCTTTAGTTAGCCACATGGAGATACGTTCTGGGACGAAAGTTGGAAGTATTCTCAAGAAGTAAAAAATACCAAATAATTTATAGGGGCACGAGTGGTTTGAAGTACTGTTTAGGATTAGAGTGGGTCTTGGCATTTGTCCAGAAACCAGACTACTTTGCACAATTATACTTGAATTCCTAATCATATCCACTAGCCTACTCTCTTAAATAGACCACAGAAACCTTGCTCTTAACATTTAAGACAATGGAGTGTCTTGCTTTCTAGAAATGCTTTTATTTTTATTACCACTATGCAAATAAATGTAATTTTCACAGTGTCATAACATTGATTTTGTCATTGAAGATATTATCTATTTTTTCCCTGACAGTTTATGTTAAAATACATTTAGCTTTGTTAGGTAAGAGAACTTTGATACTTCCTTTTCCTCTTTATTGTGTATACAGGTATATTTGGGATATATGGCATTTAAGGGTATTCTTTTAGAAGACTTGTCTAAGTTGTTAATAGTTGTAAAATACCACATATTAATTTTTTTTCTACATTTAAATGACCATCGTCCTGTGTTACTGGACTTGTCTCAGAAATGAGGGAAATATAGGGCCATTATTAATTTTGTATTTGAATCATATCATTGGCTATTAATAATCTTCTACAGTCACATCTACATATATTAGCAGTGAAGAATCATTTCAGTGACAATTTGTTAGTCTTCAAAGAGAAAAAAGAAAAATCTGAGTTTCATACCAAGTCTTCTATAAGAACAATTCTAATGTCAATGTAGAGCCCTTTCTTTTTTGTTTTTAAAACTCTCTAAGATAGCTCTACTTTATATGGAAACAAATTTTCTAAAGAGCAGGCAATGGATTTATGGAAATTTGCACATAAACGTGTAATCACATTTTGTCTAAAAACTGTAAAAATATTTTAACGTCATTCAAAACATACGTTAAATGTTGAGTAATACCAAGAAGCAATTTGATCTCATTTGCAGGGTCAACAGAGCAGTTAATACAATGACAGTAGATTTGGGGAGGCTTTTGCGTAGAATCAAATCTGTTGGGATAATGAATACTTAAATAGTTTTAAACAGCAGGAAAAGATGAAAAAACACACTGAAACCCTTTGGAGGATTAAGTTAAATTTTGAAAATAATGATTGAAGCTAATACTTTAGATATTCTCATAGAAACAGAAAAACCAGTTGTTTAGTATAGCAAATATAGATTACATATTCTGTAGATTGTCATGGCATTTTTTTGTAATCTGATTTTTTTTTTCAATTTCAGAAGATAATGAATAAACCCTAGGTAACTCTTTCATTTCCATTCCCTTAACAAATAACTGCAGTCTCTCATAGACCATTTTGATTCCTGCTGGTTTCTCTATCTTGTTTGTCTGAAGGTAGAGCAGAGACACCTCTGTGTATTGTATTTTCTGTCAGCTAGTTCTTAGATCTTTCAACTATTTTTTTTTTTTTTTAAATCCTTGATACATGCTTTCCAAAGGCTGAGGAAACAGAAAGTGAGAGAGGGGTGAAAGCTGTATATAATGGGGATTATCTGGAGATTAGTTAAAGTTTCACTAATGCCATTAATTTAAATATTTGACTCCGGCCCTTTCGTGTATGAGATTTGTTCCGCCATTACTTCAGGTAGATTTCATTACCTCGACTGGACTGCCTAAATACAACTTTTGTGTCAGTCAATATGGTTATACTTATACTTAATTTACACATGCTAATGGCAATATTAGATCTATTGAACAGATATCATCAGTAAACAGTTAATGATTGATATTCAGGTCCAACTTTGATTATTGATCATATAATATTTTGTGTAATTTCTGTGGTTATTATAAATATATGATTGATAACCAGTTATTCAGGCAATTTGCATTTATAATTTTTTATGTAGATTTTACTAATCAGCTAGAAATATCTCTTCATGAAGGTAATTATTAGTAAAAAAATTTGTGCAGAGAATTGCGCAGAGTATCTTAACTTTATTCTAACTTATCCTACTACTAGGAATGTTCTTAATAATCTTTATTAAAAACTTAGTTTCTTAGATTGTCTGTACCTGTGTTAAAATGTGGTCTACAGCCATTTAAATAAAAGGTCTCTATTTTATGACTTATGTGAATTTCGGATTTGTAACGTATATATGTATGTATATTTATGTTTGTGCATTTGTGCATAAGTTAAATCTTTGACTAAAAGATGGACCTCAACAAGTGTGGGAAAGTGTTATAGTTACAATATCCTGCTTTTTGCTTTTCTGTATAAGAGACTTGGTAGCTGCATCATATATCATGGTCATCCAAACCTCTTGTTTTAAATGAGAGACATAGTTAATCATAATTAAAAATGCTAAATAAATTTGAAATAGGAACTATTTGACCCATTAAATAAAAAGATCCCAGGAATTCTTAGATGTAAAGTTATCTAATTCTTGAGATTTAACTTAAAAATATAAGTATTTATTTATGGGTAGTTTTAAATTTGTCTTTCAAGCATTATGGAGATTAGAAATTTTGTGTGCTTTTTTTAAATTTGAAGGTCCTTAATAAAACAGTATGTAATTGTGAGAAGCAAGAGTGCTGCAGCATGTTGTGTCTTTTAAATATCTTTGAGAGTAACAGAAAAGCCCAAATTCTCTCCTAGTGTCGTTTTTAAAATCAAGTATTGAAACTGAATATAGTTCAGCTAAGCTTTCTTTGCTGTCACTCTTAACATTGCCATAACTCTACTTTCCTAGTCATTTGATTGTACAGAAAAAAGTAAATTCTTTTACTATGTAAGTATACCCTTATCATCAATCATGTACTGCATAATGCATAGAAAAGAATACATGTAACATTTTTTGAAGCATAACAGTAACACAATACTGATGATTTCTCACCCAGCTTAAAAACTAGATGGTATCATTGAATCTCTATATGTTGTCTGTCCCTATTCAGTCACTCTATTTCCCTTCACCCAGATGTGATCATTATTCTAAGATGTTTTCATTCATTTCCTTACTTCTTATAAAAATAATGGTTTCTGAATGTATTACTAAACGGCATATATTGTTTAATTTTGAGCACTATACATTACATAATGTAATTACCTATTAATGTAATTATTATAATGTAATTATACTTTTTTCTCTTAAATCTTGTTTTAAGATTTATTTGAGTCTTGGCATGTAGCTATAGTTAAATTTCATGCTGTATACGATTTTATTACGTGGATATACTTGTATTCATTGTAGTAGGGTATATTGGGTGTTCCATGTTTATTTTGTTTTTTGTCACTATGAACAATCGTACTGTGAAGATTACTGAACATGTGTTCTAGTAATATGTGAGTAAATTCTTTCATTGTATATCTAAGAGTGGAATAGGTGAGTCTCACAGAGAACGTGCATATTCAACCATGCAAGATAATGCCAAATTGGTGATACACTGATACACATTTCCACCAGCAAAGTGCAATAGTTCTCTTTGCGCTGCAGGTTTATCAACTCTGACAATCTTCAGACTTCTTGATTTTTCCTAATCTATGGGTATAAAAATAGTATTTCATCATGGTTTTAATTTGCATTTCCTAATAATGAGGTTGAACAATTTTTTTATGTTTATCTTCCATTCTCATTTCTGTGAAATGCCTTTTTTTTGTTATTTGTCCCCCTGCCCCCAATTTTGTTTTATTAGGGGTTCTTATGTATTGTGGATACAGATGCCTTTTGTACATATATGTTGCAAAAATCTTCTCTCTGTTAATGACTTGGTTCTTTTATGGTATATTAGTGAAAAGAACTGAATTTAAATGGTAGTTAAATTTATCAGTCTCTTATATGATTAGCACTTTTTGTGTCATGGTTAAGAAATTACTTTCTGTCCCAAGGTCTCGAGGATATCTTTATTTTTTTTTCAAAGGCTTGCCCTTAGTGTTCCAAATTTATTTGGAATTGATTCTTTGAAAAGGGTAAGGTAGTAGTCCAATTTCATTTTTCTCCATATGGATAACTATTTGTTTTAGTAACTTTATTGAATAGTCCAGTGGCTAGAGTGCCATCTGTCATTTCATGATTCTTTTTTTGCCTAGTTCTGTGTTGGGCTCTTCCATTCTATTCATCAAGTTGTCTATCTCTGCACAAATAGTACATGATATAGTTTTAATTACTATAATTCTAATGAGTCTTGATATCTAGTAGGACAAGTATCTGTATTTTCATTAGGAGCTGCCTGACGCATTCATATAAAATGAGAATCAGCTTATCAAATTCCTTGGAAAAGTATTCTTGTGGTTTTAATTAGAATTTTATTGAATTTGAGAAATTAGAAGTAGAATTCTTAAAAATGTTGAATTTTCTTTTTCATAAACATACTGTATCACCCTCATTTATTTAGGATTTCTTTAATTCTGATTTTGCTTTGTAATTTTCTGTATTCAAGTATTGTACATCTTTTGCTAAATTTATTTCTAGGAGTTTAATATTTTTGATGCTTTTGTAAGTTTTATCTAAAAACTTGTTTTTTATCTAGCAACCTTGTATAAATGTTCTTTTTAATTCTAATAATTTGCTTATACATTACATTCTTTGATTTTTATCTGTAGACAATCTTTTTTTTTTTTTTTTTTTTAAGTTCTGTTTCTTACTTTACTGTCTAGGACAACCAAGTCATAATTGAGCTTCTTTTCTTGTTCCATGTTTTAAATGGAGCGGTATAAACTTGTCATCTTTAATATTGATGTTTGGCGTGGGTGTTTGAAAAGGTATTCTTTATCAATTAATTCGGTCCCTTTTTTTTTTTTTTTTGAGACGGAGTCTCTCTCTGTCGCCAGGTGGGGGTGCAGTGGTGCAGTCTCGGCTCATTGCAACCTCTGCCTCCAGGGTTCAAGTGATTCCCCTTCCTCAGCCTCCCGAGCTGGGACTACAGGCGCCCGCCACCATGCCTGGCTAATTTTTGTATTTTTAGTAGAGACCAGGTTTCATCATGTTGGCCAGGATTTTCTTGATTCCTTGACCTCATGATCCACCTGCTTCGGCCTCCCAAAGTGCTGCGATTACAGGTGTGAGCCACCACACCTGGCTCCTCTATTTTTCCATGAAAGTATTTTGGTTGTCTTTGGTGGTGGTGGTGGTGGCCTTATGTAAACTCTTCATTGGGCATTAAATTTTAATGAATACTTTATCTACTAAAGTAATAATCATATGGTTTTGCTTTAATCTATTAATATGATAAATTGAATATGTATATTTTTCTTTTGTATTTATTTATTTATTTATTTTTTGAGACGGAGTCTTGCTCTGTCGCCCAGGCTGGAGTGCAGTGGCACGATCTCATCTCAGAATGTGTATATTTTTCTAATGTCAGACTAACTTTGCATTTCCAATTTGGCAATATATATTATCTTTTTTCAATATGAACAGTCTTGGATATGATTTGTTACTAAGAGTCTTACATGTGTGTTCATGATTTGAGATTGGCTTCTTTTTTTCTTACACCTAATTAGCCTGTTTTTAATACTGGCCTCAGAGAAAAAAAATTATTTTTTTATTTTTTATTTTTGATTCTCAGAAGCGTTTTAAGAGTGGAATGATCTCACTTGAAATTTGATAGAAGTCTCCTGTAAAACTATGTGGACCTGGTGGTTTTGTATTTGGGATAAGGTGGGGAAAAGGTGGAAATTAACTACAAGTCCCATCTCTATATTGTATAACCAGTATTCACTTAGTCTGTTCTTTTTAGTAGGTTGAATTTTTCTAGGAATTAGAGCATTTATTTTTTTCATGTCTGTTATTTCTGTCTTCTCTCTGTCTTGTCACAAGGTTTCTATGTTTTATTAGTCTTGACCCAAAAATTTAAAAAAAATTTTAGTTTTTATTGACACTATTTTGTGTTTGTGTTGTGTTTCACTAGTTTATACTATTACGTTTGTTACCTTTTCTATTTACTTGAGCTAATTTTGCTGTTCTTTTTGTAATTTTTTAGATTGGGTTCTTAATTTTTAGCTTTTCTTCTGTAATACAAACATTAAAGCTGTACATTTACCTCTAAGTACTGATTTTTGTGGCCTCTCATACTATTTTTTTAAAAAATTTGTTAAAAATTGCTTTTGGACCTAATGTATTGTTAGATTTTATACATATGTCCAGTGTGCTTGAGAAAAATATCTCTTCTCTGATTGTTACATATAGGGTTTGCTATGTTTTCATTAAATCATGTTCATTTATTATGTGGTTCAGATATTCTGTATCTTCATTTTTTCCCTCTGGTTGTCAAAAACAAGATACGTAGAAATGTGTTTGCTGTATTACTTTTTATTTATATATTGCTGTATAATCTTTGCTGTATTACTATACCTTGAGGCTATTTTATTATGTAGAGCAAGCTTACAATGTTTCAGTAGCATATATTTTTACCGTTTTTGTTTTTTTGTCATTTTAAAGTACCACATTACTCTGTGTGTTTTTATTTATTTAGTCTGACAGTCTTTTAAGAGTTTGGTTTGTTTGTATTCATTATGATAGGGGTTTGTTACTACCATTTACTTAACGACTACTTTCTGTTTTTCTCTTTCTGCGCCCCTCCTCCTTGCCTTGCCTTTTTGATTGATTGAGGACTGTTTGCTTATTAGTTTTGGTGTTTTGTTTTGTTTTGCTCATAATTCCATTCCTTCTTTACACCCATTTTTGGAGGCTATACACTATTTCTGTATCCTTAGTGGTTCTGAAACTTTACTGTGCTTACTTAAAAAGAAGTCGTAAGTTAATAATCTTAACTCATTCTAGTATAAGACAATGATTGTGAAACAGTTTAATTTTAATCAGCTCCTTTCCTGATTAAATGTTTCCAGACTAGTGACTTTTAAAATGCCAGTTGCTTCTGTTTAACTCAAAAGTTTGTCCGGCTCACAAATGCCATTTTGGAAATGCCATGTAGCCTGTTCTTACAATCTAAGAGTATTCTGCAATGGAAAACCAGCTTCAGGGAGGTGCTCCATTAGGAAAATCTAGAAACCAAAAACTGTGGATAATCACTTTGCTGAGGTTTTCATTCCCTGAAGAAGCAAAAGTTGCTAGTCTCCCTTTGAACAAATTTTATGCCTAGCTTTTCTTGGGTTTAGAGGGCAAAATTAACTTTTTTTGTTGAAGTAGTGTGTTATGAAGGCTAAAGCGAACATCATTATTTCAAAGGAAAAGTAAAATAGAATATGGTCTTACTCACCTGGTAGCAATTGCATAAAATAACGTGTATCCAACATTAATTTTTAATCGGTAATATTTTTTTCCTCTGGAGAGCCAGCTTCTGCTATCTGATAAAAAATATATATTATCCTTTTATATACATGGGTTACAAAAAAGTCATTTGACTAACTTATTCAAATGGCCCCTATTTAACGAACCTCTGTAGTAGATAGCGTGGATAAGATAATGAAGTTTCAAAGAAACATTTGAGTCATTTAGTATTTTTCAATATCTTTATATCTTAGGACTTTCTCATTTGTCAGTGTCTCATTTGACCCATTTCTTTATTCTTATTCTTTATTCTTAACTCCAGATTTTTTAACTTGATATTTATTTTCTTCTAAGAAAAATTTACCATCTCTTTGAAACACTGTAATTTGGACATGCAAAGAAAACAAAGTTGCAAAAATGTAATTATTAAATATGCCTCCTTATTCCCAACTGATTCAGAACCACTGCAATTTTTGGGCAAGCGCTTTAATTTAGGATTATCAAACACTGTCTCAGCCCAAAATCTCCTTAAGCTGATAAGCAACTTCAGCAAAGTCTCAGGATACAAAATCAATGTGCAAAAATCACAAGCATTCTTAAACACCAATAACAGACGCAGAGCCAAATCATGAGTGAACTCCCATTCACAATTGCTTCAAAGAGAATAAAATACCTAGGAATCCAACTTACAAGGGATATGAAGGACCTCTTCAAGGAGAACTACAAACCACTGCTCAACGAAATAAAAGAGGACACAAACAAATGGAAGAACATTCCATGCTCATGGATAGGAAGAATCAATATTGTAAAAACGGCCATACTGCCCAAGGTAATTTATAGATTCAATGCCATCCCCATCAAGGTACCAACGACTTTCTTCACAGAATTGGAAACAACTACTTTAAAGTTCATATGGCACCAAAAAAGAGCCCGCATTGCCAAGACAATCCTAAGCCAAAAGAGCAAAGCTGGAGGCATCACGCTACCTGACTTCAAACTATACTACAAGGCTACAGTAACCAAAACAGCAGGGTACTGGTACCAAAACGGAGATATAGACCAATGGAACAGAACAGAGCCTTCAGAAATAATACCACACATCTACAACTATCTGATCTTTGACAAACCTGACAAAAACAAGAAATGGGGAAAGGATTTCCTATTTAATAAATGGTGCTGGGAAAAGTGGCTAGCCATATGTAGAAAGCTGAAACTGGATCCCTTCCTTACACCTTATACAAAAATTAATTCAAGATGGATTAAAGACTTAAATATTAGACCTAAAACCATAAAAACCCTAGAAGAAAACCTAGGCAATACCATTTAGGACATAGGCATGGGCAAAGACTTCATGTCTAAAACACCAAAAGCAATGGCAACAAAAGCCAAAATAGACAAATGGGATCTCATTAAACTAAAGAGCTTCTGCACAGCAAAAGAAACTACCATCAGAGTGAACAGGCAACCTACAGAATGGGAGAAAATTTTTGCAAGCTACCCATCTGACAAAGGGCTAATACCCAGAATCTACAAAGAACTCAAACAAATTTAGAAGAAAAAAACAACCCCATCAACAAGTGGGCGAAGGATATGAACAGACACTTCTCAAAAGAAGACATTTATGCAGCCAAAAGACACATGAAAAAATGCTCATCATCACTGGCCATCAGAGAAATGCAAATCAAAACCACAATGAGATACCATCTCACACCAGTTAGAATGGCAATCATTAAAAAGTCAGGAAACAACAGGTGCTGGAGAGGACGTGGAGAAATAGGAACACTTTTACACTGTTGGTGGGACTGTAAACTAGTTCAACCATTGTGGAAGACAGTGTGGCAATTTCTCAAGGATCTTGAACTAGAAATACCATTTGACCCACCAATCCCATTACTGGGTATATACCCAAAGGATTATAAATCATGCTGCTATAAAGACACATACACATGTATGTTTATTGTGGCAGTATTCACAGTAGCAAAGACTTGGAACCAACCCAAATGTCCATCAATGATAGACTGGATTAAGAAAATGTGGCACATATACACCATGGAATACTGTGCAGCCATAAGAAAGGATGAGTTCATGTCCTTTGTAGGGACATGGATGAAGCTGGAAACCATCATTCTCAGCAAACTGTTGCAAGAACAGAAAACCAAACACCACAGGTTCTCACTCATAGGTGGGAATTGAACAATGAGAACACTTGGACACAGGAAGGGGAACATCACACACCGGGACCTACCGTGGGGTGGGGGGAGCGGGGAGAGATAGCATTAGGAGATACACCTAATGTAAATGACAAGTTAATGGGTGCAGCACACCAACATGGCACATGTATACATATGTAACGAACCTGCACGTTGTGCACATGTACCCTAGAACTTAAAGTATAATAAAAAAAATTAAAAAGAAATTTCCTGGAACTAGCATGTCAGAATACCATTTTATGTCCAGCTTAAAGTTTAGTGTGAACCTTGAATTTTATTTCATTTCTATTTATATTCAGGTTTCTAAAGAACAAGTTTCCATGAACAAATGTGGCTTTCAACAGGTGAAATGATTTGAGTAATAGAAAAAAATTAGAATTTGAAAAATTTGAAGAATTTAAAAAGTTAACATATTTGAAGAATATGAAATACTAACATTAGGGAAGATTAGTTTGATACTTTTAATTTAGGAACTATTAGAGAAAGGGGAAAGACAACTAATATTTTAGGTGATTCTATTTAGATAAATGGCAAAATCCGCCTTGGAAAAGCTACATAATAAATATACAAGTCATTTGTAAACTATTCGGATCACTTAGGTGCTTTATGGTTAGTATTCATATTTTAAAATTAATGTACATTACAGCAAAATAACTGTTTTGTTTTAATATTTATATGCATTCTATATAAGGGATAACCTTTTGAATTGTAAAAAGTGAAACCTACAAAGTAAAACCTACACCTATTATACTATGATTTGCATGATGTAAGGCTATAAATGTATATTCCTTTTTCTGAACTATTCTTTCAAGGGTTGCAGTAGTACTGTCAGCTGCTGATTTTTCTTTTTGAACTTAAACACAGCTTTTGTCATTGTCATGGAAATGTTACCATGTTCTTTATTTTAAAATGTATTTATAAAAAATATGAATTACTTTTTAAATAGTAATAACTACTCTTACTAGTGATATATATTACTTTCAGTAGATGTATTATATATTACTCTTAGTAATATTATATATGTATACTTTAATAAACATGTAAAAAGCATGCAATGCTAAGCTCATTAGTAATATATTAGTAATGATACATAGCAAGCTTGTTCAACCCATGACCCGTGGGTCACATGCGTCCCAGGACGTTTTTCTAGCCCAACACAAATTCGAAAACTTCCTTGAAACATTATTAGATTTTTTTTGCAATTTTTTTTAAGCTCATCGGGTGTCATTAATGTTAGTGTATTTTATATGTGACCCAAGACAATTCTTTTTTTAGTGTGGACACCCCTGATATATAGTTGTACTTGATTGTTCCCAAGGGTTTTTACCACAGGAACAGAGGAAGGTCACATAATAGGTAATATAAGCTGATGATGAATTTTACTCATAATTTAATGGCCAGCTGTCTCAGAATTTAAGATTTATTTTGTTTGGTGTTGAACTCTATAGGTATAAAGTAAGCCTCCAATGTGGTAAGTGATGTCAGTACAGTGCATTCTTCAAACAGTAAAGTCAATCCTGATTTCTTGAGTGGTATGTTTGAAATACCAAATTCCTTATTGAAATGGACAGAATGAAGGACTTGGCTCACAGCAGGCAACAGGCAACATCTTGTACATTCTAATTTTTGCAAAGAAAGAACGAAGTTGGAGGACTCATACTACTTGATTCTGACGTACTAGGTAAACATAGAGTAATCAAAATAGTGTGGTATTGGCATGGGTTGGGCATATAGATCAGTGAAACAGAATAAGGAGCCCAGAAGTAGATCCACACATAAATGGTCAGTTGATTTTCAGCAGAAATGCCAAGGTAATTCAGTAGGGAAAGGATTTCGACATAAAGTGTTAGAATAACTGAGTATCTATACACAAAATACAGCAGGTCCTTGAATAATGGTTCATTCAACATTGTATTGTACTTACAACGTTCATGAGGAAAAAACCTGATTCCTGGCAGGGGCCATTGTGTGGAGTTTGCATCTTCTCCCGTGTCTGTGTGGGCTTTCTCCGTGTATTCTGGTTCCCTCCTAAATTTCAGAGATGTGCATGTTAAGTGAATTGGTGTGCCTAAATTGTCCCCACCTGAGTGAGTGAGGGGGTGTGGGGGTTATGTGAAAGTGTGCCCAGTGATGCAGGAGCATCCTGTCCAGGGATGGTTCACACCCTGTGCCCTGGGCTGCTGGAACTCTTCAGCCACCCTCTACCCTGAACTGGAATAAGTGGGTAAACAATACTCTAACTTGTTTTTTATTAACTTTTCTTAACTGTATGTATAGCTCACATTTATTTCAATGCTTGATATTAGAAATATTTTGGTCTTTATTTAGTAAATTTTGGTGATGTTGTGACCAGAAATATGACATAGGAACTTAAATCTTGTTTATGTCAATTAGCCTGTGGTTAAATTGGTTTCAGTATATGTCATTTCACATAAAGTTGCAGTTTCCAAGAACCTATCCACAACATTAAGCGAAGACTTACTGTATTGAACCTTGATTGTGACCTCACATCATCCATAGTTATGCATTGTATAATGACATTTTGATGAACAACAGTCCTCATATATAATGGTGGTTCCAGAAGATTATGATAGAGCTGAAAAATTCCTGTCACCTAATTGAGGTTGTAGTCATCGTAGCATCGTCAGACAGTGCATTACTCACATGTTTGTGGTGATGCTGGTGGAAACAAACTTGTGCTGCCAGCAAATATAATTATATGTAGTACATACTTGATAATAAACAACTGTGTTCCTGGTTTATGTATTTACTGTACTTTTTATTGTTATTTTAGAGTGTACTCCTTATTTTTTTAAAGTTAACTCTAAAACAGCCTCAGGCAGTTCTTTCAGGAGGTATTGCAGGAGAAGGCATTGTTATAGGAGATGACAGCTCTATGTGTATGTTATTGCTCATGAGGACCCTACAGTGGAACAGGATGTGGCGGTGGAAGACAGTAGTGATATATATGCTCCTGAGCCTGTGTGAGCCTAGGCTAATGTGTATGTTTGTGTCTTAGTTTTTACAAAAAAAGTTTAAAAAATTAAATAAAATAACTTTTAAAAATAAAAAAGCTTATAGACAAATACAAAGGAAAATATTTTTGTACAGCTATACACTGTGTTTGTGTTTTAAGCTCAGTGTTACTACAGAAGAATCAGAAAGTTAAAAAAAAATTTTAAGTTGACATAGTAAAAAAGTTACAGCCAGGCTCACACCTGTAATGCCAGCACTTTTAGGAGGTTAAGGGGGGAGGATTATTTGAGGCCAGAAGTTTGAGGCCAGCCTGGGCAATATAGCAAGACACCATCTCTACAAAAAATTTAAAAATTAGCGGGCATGGTGGCATATGCCTGTAGTCCCAGGTGCTTGGGAGGCTGAGGTGGGAGGACCACTTGAGCCCAGGAGTTCAAGATTGCAGTGAACTATGATCATACCACTGCACTCTGGTCTGAGTGACAAAGTCAGATCTTGTCTCTAAGCACAAAATAAAAGTTATAGTAAGCTAAAGTTAATTTATTATTGTGGAAGAAAAGTATTTTTGTATAAATTTAGTATAGCCTAAGTGTTTATAAAGCCTGCAGTAGTGCACAGATACATCCTACGCCTTCACTACTCACCCCTGACTCACCCAGACCAACTTCCAGTCCTGAAAGCTCCATTGTGGTAAGTGCCCAATACAAGTGTACCACTTTTTATCTTTTATATCATTTTTACTGTACCTTTCCTGTGTGTTTAGATACACAAATCACATTGTTTTACAGTTGCCTACAGTATTCTATATAATAACATACTGTGTGAGTTTGTAGCCTGGGAGCAATAGGCTATACCATATAACCTAAGTGTGTAGTAGGCTGTACCATCTAGCTTTGTGTAAATACGCTATGATGTTTGAAAAATGACAAAATCCCCGAATGACACATTTCTGAGGTCATATTCTTGTTGTTAAACATTAAGTGACACATGACCATACAAAAATTAATTCAAAATGGGTCATTGACCTAAATGTAGGAGCTAAAGCTATAACTTCTAGAATATAATGTAAGAGCAAAATTTTATGCCCTTGGATTAAGTAAAAATCTCTTAGGACAAAAGCAAGAAATAAAATAATTGGCAGGTGGAACTTAAAGTAAAAGACACTGTTGAGAAGATGAAAAGGCAAATCACAGAAAGGGAGAAAATAATTTGAAAACCTCTGTCTGATAAAAGACTTGTATCCAGAACATGCAAGTCTTAACATACAAGTCTTATATCTTAATAGACAAACCAATTTAAAATGGACAAAAGATTTGAATAGAGATGTTACTGATGAAGCTGTATGAATAACAGTGGTGCTTACACATCATTAGTCGTTAGAAAAATGCAAATTAAAACCACGATGAAATACAACTACATACTGACTAGAATGGTTAAAATAATTATAAAAAAACAGGATGAGGAAGGATGTGTAGCCGTTGAAACTCTCATACATTACCATTGAGAAGGCAAAATGGTATGGCCACTTGGGATAACAGTTTTGGGGTTTCTTACTATAAACATACACTTACTACCATGTGACTCAGTGTTACTGGTTAAATTACATCCTCCAAAATGGTATGTTTAAGTCCTAACCTCCAGTACCTCAGAATGTGACCTTTTTTTTTTTTTTTTTTTTTTTTTGGAAATAGGGTCATTGCAGTGGAACGAGGAAACATTTTTGGGGTGGTGGATATGCTCTATATCATGGTTGTAGTGATGTTACAGGACTATACATTTGTCAAAACTTAGCAGTGTTTATTTCAAAATGGTGAATAAATTTTATAAATAAATTTATACTTCAAAGCTGATTAAAAACATTTGAAAAATACAATAAATGGCTACATTGAAAATGTAATGAATATACTTTTAGTTCAAAAAGTGGGTGCAGACGAGCATTCTGGCTCCTGGAGCGGCTGGGAGGGCGACTTATAACTAGAATGCCTGTGGTCGAATGTAAAAACATTGTCTTAAGAGTGTACAGGGACTGGTGTGGTGGCTCACGCCTGTAATCCCAGCACTTTGGGATTTCGAGGTGGGCAGATTGCTTGAACTCAGGAGTTTGAGACCATCCTGAGCAACATGGCGAGACTCCCATCTCTACAAAAAAACAAGTGTACAAATGCTAATTTTGGCTATGATAAAATTTCTAATAGTGTCACTTGCAAAGTCGAAAAATTCATCTCAATAATTTTATAATGACAAAGACACTGATGTCTAGGAGTTAAATAAAATTTTCGTAAAATGTCATCCCGTGGTATCCTTGGGGGATTGGTTCTGGGACTTCCACAGATACCAAAATTCTCAAAATACTCAAGTTCCTTATATAAAATGGCATACTATTTGCATATAACCTATGTATATCTTCTGGTATACTTTGATTACTTATAATACCAAATACAATATAAATAATAGTTGTTAAACTGTATTGGCTTTTTATTTGTGTGATTTCTTATTAGTTTTTTTCTGCATATTTTCTGTTTGTGGTTGGTTGAATCTGTGTATGTAGAACCCATGGGTACAGAGGGCTGACTGTATTTATAATTTACCACATGGGGTGATTTTTAATATCTGTAGCTAATAATTATTTTAAGTGGCCATTTGACTGTTTCCTTGACATTCCTAAAAATTTATATACTTAAATTGGGGAGGAAAATATGTTTGCGTTCTTCTTAGTGGATAAATGGAAGATTGCGTTATAGTCATATATTCATAGAGCTTTCTGATATACCCAGTTAAGCAATTTTGATACATCCTTCTTCGTCCTTCCACGGGACATTGACCTGTCTCTAGTTCTGCACATGTTACACTGTATTGCATTTAGCCTTTTCATAACAATAAATTCAATTAGATGTCATTTATTTCTTTTATCCCTACTACAGTGCCTGGCTTATGATGTACATAAAATAAATATTAGTGGATAGGAAAATTTTTTTATAAAGAATCAATTTTTTGCCACAGTGCATTTTTTCATGGTTGACATTTATTCAAGAAGCATTTATTGAGCAACTCTTATGTGGAAAGCATTATACTGGCTGCTTTGAGATATATAAAAGAACTATAACATCTAAACATTTAATGTTAGAATGAAATGTAATTTCTATTTAGTATAAGGTATACTACAAATTATAGGATGAAGGTGGGTAATCACTAGAGGTTTCAGATGGATCATAGGTAAAAAATACTGGAAAAACAGTTTAGTCTGATGACAAAGGAAATCACTTTTTAGTAGCTATGGTATTCAAAATAATCATAGTTTAAAATGTCATTTAACAGTTTCTGGAATTTTTATAAAATCATTCTCCTTGCTGTCATATTGTTAGATCCAGAGAGTTAGACTGTGCAGTAAATGAGCTATTTTTTTACCTTAGAAAAGCAGAAGACTTGAATTTTCATAAGTAGACTCTTAGAGGTTCCTTCTGATGCTTCAGCACATTTCCTTTTCTCCAAAGAAATGCTTCAGGGCCGAGTGCAGTGGCTGACGCCTGTAATCCCAGCACTTTGGGAGACCCAGGCGGGCGAATCACGAGGTCAGGAGATCAAAACCATCCTGGCCAGCATGATGAAACCCAGTCTCTACCAAAAATAAAAAAATTAGACGGGTGTGGCAGCACGTGCCTGTAGTCCCAGCTACTTGGGTGGCTGAGGCAGGAGAATTGCTTGAACCCGGGAGGCAGAGGCTGCAGTGAGCCGAGATCATGCCACTAACGACAGAGCAAGACTCCGTCTCAAAAAAAAAAAAAAAAAAAGATAGATTTTTTTTTTCTTCATATAGAGTGTCAAATAGCGCTTGAACCAAAGCCCTTTACCTCTCCTCATAGGGGCATTGAACAGTAATAGAAGCTTAGAACATACTACTTTTTATATAGATGTCAGTATAGATCTATTTTAATTGTTAAAATGGATGTCAGGGTTTTCTGTGAGCAGTGTGCAACATAAGGAATTTTTTTTTTTGAGATGGAGTCTCTCTCCGTCGCCCAGGCTAGATTGTAGTGGCACAACCGGCTCACTGCAACCTCTGCCTCCCAGGTCCAAGCAATTCTCCTGCCTCAGCCTCCCCAGTAGCTGGGATTACAGCACGCACCACCATGCCAGGCTAATTTTTGTATTTTTAGTGGAGACAGGGTTTCACCATGTTGGCCAGGCTGGTCTCGAACTCCTGACCTTATGATCCGCCTGCCTCAGCCTCCCAGAGTGCTGGGATTGATTACAGGTGTGATGTTGCACACTGCTCACAAAAACTGTGGTAAGCTCTTTTCAAATAAGAATTATATTTTTGGCCAGTGCTTTCACTAGGTGAATTGAATGACAACCAAACCACTGTCAGGAGGCAGCGTGGTCTGGAAGAGCAGTGGAGTGTGAGTCAAAACACCTCATCCTTGCCATCACAAAGTGTGGAGAGTCATCTCAGCAGACCTTAGTACTGTTGACTATAAACATTATTGTGATATACCTACCCTAATTTAGACTGGAAAGCAAGTGTAAATGAGGATATAATTGTGGAGCCTTCTGCATTTGTCAAAACTAAGAAATTAATATTGGTAACTTAATATTAACTAAACTCCTGGCTTTATACCAGTTTTTCCACTAATGTCCTTTTTGTTTCAGGATATCACATTGCATTTAATTGTCACATCTCTTAAGTCTACCCTATCCCCATCAGTCATTCTAAGCTTTCCAGATGTTTGAAAATTAATGTTTGCCTTGTCTTAGGAATCAGAGAATATGTGCTGAGCATTGCTCAGTCTTTCCTTGTTAATTCAAGGGTATTGTGAAGCATCAGTTAATATTCTGTGCCTTCAGAGGCTGTTTACATGTTTAAAGTTTTCTGACTTTAAGTGGCTGTGCTCTTCTGGTTAGCCCCCCATCAGTGTGACCTAATCAAAAAGCCAAACAGCAATCTGTACTAGAGTTCAAAAAGAGGGAGAAGTCCCTTTTGGAATTAGGGAAGTCCTTCTATTTATTAATTGAATTCAGATAAAGAATATTGAAAGAGGCAGTAGTCATCAGGGAGGTAGGAAGAAATGGCATGAGCAAAGTCCTGAGAAGTTTTCTAAGGATGCTGGTGAAAGAGTGCCAAACTGGAAGTCATGGAACAGGTTAGAATTCAGGTTCTGCCACGTATTAGCTCTGGAGCCTTGAGCAAGCACCTGACCTCAGTTTCCTCATTTGTAAGACTAGGGACCCATACTAAATGATATCTAAAGACCTTTCAATTCTGAACATCCATAATTGAGTCCCAGGCCAAATGTGCTAAGTATCTGGGTTGGAAGTAGTGATAAAGAAAATTACATAATAGTAGGAGCTGTCAGCTTCACTATAACCCCAAAGGCAGGTGCCATCACATACAGATGGAGAAAAATTGAGTAATTTGCACAACGTCACACATCTGGTAAATGCAACCAGATTTTTAGATCTTGTGTGATTTCCAAGCCTTTTCAATACAGTTTACTGCTTCCTCTTTTATTGTTACAAGAAAGATTGTTCAGAAGAACTTTCAGGATGTCTGGTGAGCAAGGAAGCTTAAAAGTCAAGTCTTATGCCTGCACAACTAGAAAAATAAATGAAAGTGCCATTTAAAAAATTGTTTTAAATAAAAGTATATAACAGGTTGAGCATCTCTGATCTGAAATCTGAAATGCTCCAAGACGTGAAACTTTTTGAGTTCCAACATGATGCTACGAGTTAACCTGAACACATTTTTTCATTGTATCCATGGTATGTTCTATTTTTTTACTAAATACTTACATGTGAATAAATATAAGAAAATGAATGCTTACTAGTAGCATATAAATTCAAGAGTAAGGAATGATGGTGATGCCAGTCAACCAGATTGTCCACATGAGTGGCTGAGATACAGTGCTTTCTGATGGCTTAGTGTGTTCAAATCTGTTTCATGCACAAAATTATTTAAAATATTGTATAAAATTACTTTCAGGCTTAGTGTATAAGATGTACATGAAACATAAATGAGTTTTGTGTTTAGACTTTGGTCTCATCCCCAGTATATCTCATTATGTATATGCAAATCTTCCAAAATCCAAAAATATAAAAAAAGTTAACACTTCTGGTCCTAAGCATTTTGGATGAGGGATACTTAACCTGAATTATTGTATAATATTTGATAAGACAAAAACACAAGAAAGTAAAATATAATAATTAACGATAATCACCATAGACATAATCAATGTTATTTCCACCCATCCTCTTTTAAAATACACATACTGTATACACATATACAAATTGTTTACACAATATGATTACTGGTGTGTATGTATAGTTTTGTGATCTACTCTTCTTTCTTAATCTGTCATGAATATTTCTCCATGTCATTAAACAGTCTTCAAAATCTTCAATTTTTTTCAGTGCCTACATCATGATTGATTGAAAACCGTAAGTGATTTAACCGTTATTTCGTTGGACATTTAAGTTATTTTGAGTTTCACTATTGTTATTTTGCTTTGAGCCTTCTTTTACAAAAACTTTTATTCACGTCTCTGTTTTTTGTCCTAGGATAGCTTCTTGGATGTGGGATTACTTAATCAAATGACTCTTGATACATGTGGCTAAGAATCTTTAAAAGGCTGTATTTCTCCTCCGATCTAGTGGTATTTGAGCATAACTGTCCCTCCACATTTTTCCCAAGTACTACAATTTCTGGTCTTTGGTAGGGCCAGGTTTTGTGTTAAAGATTATTTTTATTTTGTTGAGTTTGAGATGACGGTTGGTCAGAAAAAGTATAATGTTCAATAAGTACTGAAAAAGTGAATAGTGCAAAATATACAGTGCTACAACTAAAAATTTAGAAACTGACTATATGTAATTTATATAAAATAGGATGAAATCTCTAAGCGATAAATATATATAGTTTGTATTATCTATGGCACTATGTATGGCAAGAAGGATGCCAAATATCACTTCAGGGCAAACCCAGATCATAAGGGATAGAAGTGGAAAAAAAGAATCTTTAGTGGCAATAGAGAATACTAGAGGTGACAGATAGAATGCAGGTTTACTTTAATAGGAGATTGTGTTTTCTATAAGGCTTTATCCTAAGGAAGATTCAGTTTTAATTTACTGTGTAGAAACTACTTTTTGTAATTTCAAGATTTGTGACATAATTCCACTATTATGCTGATATAATTTTTTATGTCACTAGATTAGTGTATTGATCTTCTTAATGCATCTTTTGTTGTTTTGTATGCTTATAGATGGTAACATAATTCCTAAAGTCCCTGTGAATGGTTCTTACATTAATCACTATGTTAAAAGTCTTAATTGCTCACTAGTTTCTGATTTAGCTTACTGTACTCTCCAGTAATTGTTCAGTTCTAAGAATATTTTATGGCATAGTAGTTATATAATGTCAGTGGTGCACTGGTTAATGTTCTAGAATTAATAATACATTTTCTCTTTTCATATTATGTAGAATTTTCTAAATGTTAGAATTTAAAGTCAGAGAACTTACTAAGTGTTTACATAGGACACTAAAATAAGATTTTACCTTCCTCTAGTAGTATACCTTGTGTTTATGCTTTTACGTCTGCTGCTTTATAAGCAGAAAGAGAGGGAGGGAAATGGCAAGAAAGCATACAGCAGGAAGAGCTGAGAATCTTAAACTGTCATAATCTACTTTTTAAAGACAAATGTGTAAGCAAAATTACTTGTGCTGTGTATGAGTAAGAAGGTTGTAGAGACGTTTTCTCATTTGATCAATTTTAAAAAGCTGTTATATTATGCTGATTATTGTTACAGCTTTTTGAGGTGGTGATAGGGAAGTTTTCCAAGGAGGCTGGCATGCCCCTGGCTGAGCCCAGCAAAGCTGCATTACCTCAATAAATTCACCACAATCTAAAGATGTTAATGAGTTTTGGCAAAAGTTATAATAGCTTCTTACATCTTTCTGCACAATAGGAGTAACAGTTAGAGAGCCCAGGCAATTATGTCACATCTGAGGATTGGAATACTTTCTTGTTTTCATTCTTTTTTTCCCCATTCTTTCTGCATATCTGCTCTCCCCGTCTCCAGTTGTTTTGAATCATGGCTGAGCATTTTATCACCTGATGAGTTTTTAAAGCTCTGTAAGCTCAGACCAAGCCCCAGACTAATACATCAGAATCTCTAGGGGTGGGACCTGGTATTGGGTAAGTTTTTAAACTCCACAGGTGATTACATTTGGCAGCCAAGGTTGGGACCCATGGTTTCAGATGTAGTAACCACATCAATTAACTTAGTACCTCTTAAGAAGGTTGCTTATTAGAATAACCTGGGAGATTTTCTCCACACTGTTCCCTCCCTTCCACTTCCCTTATTAATTTAGTGAGCCAGTGTTAACTGATGGGAATATACACATACCCTTGGATATGTTGGGACAGAAAAAAAAAAGACAACAATCAATTTGTTAAGTACTATTTTTCCTACACTCTTTTTGGAATATAGTCTGCTTATATAAGTGACTTTGTATCTATCCAGCATTATTTTATGTGGATAATTTTGTGTTGTTCAGTATTTGCATAATCACTGTGAGGGCAAGGACCTTGTATGTTCTTCTGTTCATCACTGTATTTTCAGTACCCACTAGTGCCTGGCACATGGTAGATAATCAGTAAATGTTAGAAGAGTGAATCAGTAACACTGAGTACCCCACATAAGTGCCAGCTATAGTATGAAGCTTTGTAATTACATTGTCCACCAAGGAAAAAGATCTTCCATAAAGCCACAGATAAGCAGGAAATAGATTTATTGAATTTTGAGTCTTTCGCAGGTCAGGGATTCCGTGTAGGCATTAAGGTTCTGAACAAAAATGTAGCACAAAACACAAATACTTGCTAGCAGAAGATACATTTCCATACCTGCCCTCGTATATCAAACTGCAAAACATACAGAAAAAAACTAATGGACAAACAGGTGCTGTTAGAGTCTGTGTTTAGTTTAAGCCTCATGATAAACTGGGCTAGAGCTTGACACATTTATCAACTGTTAGTTGTATTTTACCTAATCATAGCCTGTCTTAAAGGCAGAAAATGAAAACAAGATGATCTGTCACATATGGTTAAGTTGTAATTCAGATTTACAATATATTGGCGAAATGGCTTCAGTTTTGGATGAGCCCTTAAACTGTACAGTGTGCAAAGAATGGGGGAGGGAAGAGACCTAAGAAGGGTTAAGTAATCTTAGCCAAGATTTCTAAAAGCTCTTATTAATCTGATTTTTCAGAATTAGAAAATCTCTGTTGTCAGAGTTCTCCAGTTTGGGGTTTGATAAGAAAGCATATCATAGAAATTACTCTGCCTACCTAAAATCCTTTATGGTTTAGATTTTATTCTGTAGTGCCTTTACAGCACTCTTAGTGCTTCAGCCATAGCCCCAGTTTTGACTTATTGGGCCCCTGTCCCTCTTATTTTTCAAATTAAAAATTACACAGAAAACTATTCAGAGTAGAAAGAGTATAAGTGAAAACTAGGTTTCCTTTTCACTACAGAGCACCACATCCTTTTTAGAGGTAACCAGTATTAGCATTTCCTTCTGTATTTTTACAGAAAGAGTTAGTTCATATTGCCAGCATACACATGCAGGTAGTTTTTGTAGTTTATTGGCATGATCACCACATGACTAGATGACGTCTTTAGTTTCTAACACACTTTTCAAACCCAGCTTCTTTCCATATCTCTTCATGTAATTAATCTCTCCTCTGCTTTGTTTCCATTTGCTTTTTTGTCCCTCTGTTAAACACCTGTTAGAGGTCTGACATGTATTATTGGGACTTAGGTGTGGTGGTCTCATCTCAGGTATCATCTCGCCTTCTTACTCTGTACTCTTTACCTAGCCTGGCTCATCCCACCTGCAGGACATTAAGGACCTGTGTATCAAGGTCTCACAAATTTATATCTATAGGACCAGGCCCCTTTATCTTACTTGTCTGTCTCTTTGACATACTTATCTTTTGGATATCTCATAAACTTCTTAGTCCCAGTGTATCCAAAACCAACTTTTTTTTCAACATCCATATCTTAGTTAATGGCATATACATTATCTCAGTCATAGCAGTCTGAAAACTATAAGCTATTCTCGAAACCCTCCTTTTCCTCACTTGTCCTATTTCAAAACGTAAGTCTGGTTGATTTTTGTTTTGTTTTGTTTTTTTCCTCCTAAATAACTCTCAAGTCCCTCTTCTTTGTCTCTGGTACCATATTAGTCTAGCCTATCATCATCTTTCACCCAGATTACTGCAGTGGTCCACCCACAGCCCCTCCGGGCCTCCTCCAGACCATTTTCCACAGAGCAGCCTGAGGAGGCCTTGCAAAATGTCCATATTAGTTTAACACTCCCCCTTTGTTGCTTAAAATCTTTTGATAGCTGCCTATTTCTTTTAATATAAAGACAAGTCTCCTTCATGTAGTCTTACAAGGTCCTGCCTAGACGTTTGTTACAGCTTCCCTCATTAGGTCGTTTCATTGTACTTCCCATGTTCTCTTCCCTTCTGCCACATTGTGCTTCCAGGCCCTGCTACTTGTTCCTGATGGCCTCAGGGCATTTTCCTATGCTTTGAAGTCCTCTTTCCCAGCCCTTTCCTTTCAGCTTCTACTGATAAACCCCCACTGGGGTATTTGAAATAATCTTTTAAATATTGCTTCCTCTGACTCTTCCCTTATCTCTCTAACATTTCCCCGGCATTCAACAAGGAATACCTTGCCTTTGTAGCGTTTTCTGTTTTATGTTTTTTTGTGAGTTTATTTGATTAAGATCTATATCCTCAGCTTGGCTGAAATCTCCATTGTATATTTAGTTTCTTGTACAGATTCCTAGCCCCAAATCGTAGACACTCAATAACTCCTTAATGAATGAATGAATTTGTTTTCTTTATTGAATCTAACAAGTACTGTATTTTGTATATTGTTAAAGCTTAAATACTTTTTTTGATTCAAAGTAAATTCATAGGTTCACAAGGCACAGTATGGATTAATAAGCAATACCATTTCCTGGTTGGTTGTTATAGAGATTACATAAGAATTCACACATTTACCAAAACGAGGTCATTCTTGGGAAGAGGAGTAGGAAGATAAAATCATGGGAACCACTAGCACATACCTAGGTCTGCCCTTTTAGTTAGTAGAATTATTTTTCTACGTTATTTCCCCAGCCACTCCTCTCACCCTAATTGTCTGTATTATAGCTTTCCCTAATTGTGAACTCCTAATTGCTTTCAACCTAAATAAATATGATTCTTTCTAAAACACTCAGGAATAACAACTGTTCACTTATAAACAGTTTTTGAAGTTTGGAAAGCAATATAGAGGTTTGGCTTTACTTTAGAAAAATATTACAGAAGCTACCTGTGTTCTCCGCCTACTTCACACATGCCCATTTAGCATTTGATGTACTTCATATAATTAAATTTGTTCTGCATCCTAAGGATTTTCCTGAGCCCCAGCCGCCTTGATAAGGTTGTTAAAATGAACAACTCATTGCTAAGATTACCTTTTCTCCCTCTCTTGGGCAGTAGAACTCAGCTGAGAGAATAGCGGCAACTAGGAGAAGAAAGGGTGATGGGTTGAGATTTCTGGAGATTTCAGCTGAGGGAGTAAAGAAGCTTCAGAGGATAAAGATATTCTTTATGTCACCATTAGCAGAGAAGTCAAGGATCTGCTGGACAGAGCAGCTTTTTGAGTGTAGGTATTTTAGCTAAGTTGGATATTATACACCACAATGAATGTGAATATAAAAAACAAGGGATTTAAGTGTGAAATTGTGACCACAGTATTGGCTAAAGACAATATACTTATAGATGTTGATATTTAATTTCACCACACCCACAGTTTATCCTGGCATCCCAGTGCCTGGTCCATAGTAGTTATTCACAATGTTGTTTAACTGACTGGACTTGGATGTGTGTTTGTGTGTGTTTTTTAAATTATTTCACCTTGTGTATGGTTGTACTTGTAGAAATGTTTTCATCTACATTTATATAAGTGTACAGTACTTTGCAATAAAAATACCTGTACCAGAATTCTTCTCTTACAAAGTGTTTCTTATGATTATACACAATAGACTTGACTGCGTTTGGATGATGACTGTCATAATAGGCCTTAAGATAGACAAAGCACAAGCTTTATAGTAATAGTTTTGAAGAAAGACTATATGGTAATTACTAGATCAAGAAAGCATTATTGCATTATCTGTGCAGATAGAAGCCTTTAGGCAGATGCCATAGTTTTTTTACTTCATCAGTCTTTTTATATGTACACCTGACTGCCAGAAATAGTTATTAATTCTTCAATGAAGATGGTTTTGCAGACTGAATTTATGTGTATGTATATAGCACGCACACCCAGCCATTTTATTTTTATGTTCAATCTAATTCCTTTAAACAAAAGACTATGAAATACTACTACTTTTCTGTAGGCCATGTGATAAGGTTGTTAGGGCTGGACAGAAAGAAAAAATATATTTATTTGCCATACCCTGAATATATGAAATGAAGACTAGATTTCAAAAATCTTACTTTCAGGCATCACAGTAATTTACAAAAAGGCCAATAAGTTACACAAGCATTTGTAGTAATTTATGTAAAAGATGTGAAGCTGGTAAGGGATGGTTCAAAAACTTACATATCAGAATCTGCTTAATACAAATTTTAGGAAAAGAATCCACTTCTTTACAAGGCAATACTCTGATCACTATTTCCTGAACAGTTATTGAAGGTGTTTCAAGCAAGAGTTACATACTAGTATAGATTTTTAATGCAAATGGCCATATTTGTTTTGAAGGTGATACCTTGTGGGTTTTCTTCAACTCTTTCAAAACTTGAATTTTATATCATTTTGTTTTTCCTCCCATCCCCACATCCTAAGTGCTAAAAGACTCTAAAACTCATCTTGTCACCTGCTGTTTTGTTCAACGGGATTCTCTTCAGAAATATAATCCTAAAGTTTGGGAGGGACTCTTAGAGTAGACACTTAAGCAGAGATGGAACAAAGAATTAATAATCCAAATTATATGAAGCATTTAAAAGTCTGTAGAGTAGAAGCCATTACAGAATCACCTTTAGTACGTGATTAGATACCTTTATTTCTGAATCTGTTTACATTTTATTTTTGGCAGGAGCTGGGTAATTAAAAATATTTGTATGGATTTATTGCTTTCAAATTTGTGGTGAAGACATTTTAGAAGAGAATCTTAGCTCTGCATATACGACCCTAGGCAAGTCACTTAACCTTTCTGGCTCGGTTTCTCATCTGTGAAATTGTGATAAAAATACTCGAACAGGATTACTACTATTGAGTTAGATGTGATATAAAGCACCTGGCAAAGAGTGGGCACTCCATAAAATGTTCTTTCTTTCTTTAGTTATGTTAATAGTAAAATAGAGCTCTGGTGTGCTTTGAAACTTCCTTCTTTCTTGTTTCAACGTACAGTAATAGGTAAGACTTGAGTAATAATCCAGTAATCCTTTCATGTATTCTAGCTTGAACATTTTTTTAAAGGAAATAAAACTATATATAGTTGAAGTTTCTTCGTACTTTCTTCCCAGTCTCATTCCTTTTCCTTCCGGCCCAGAGGCAATAACTATCCTGTATTTTTGGTCCATGATTTCTGCATGTTTTCATACTTTCACGGTGTATGTATGCATTCATAAACAATATGTGGGATCTTTTTTATGTTTTTAAAACTTGAATAAATGGTATTAAATTACATGTTTAATCCTTCAGCTTAACTTTTTTCACTCAGCATTATTTTTGAGAGCTATCTCTTGCTGAAAAATATAGGTCATTCATTTTAATTGCTGTATAATTATCTATTTCCTTATTGGTAGACATAGTGGTTTTATGCAGTTTTTTCAGTATTTTAAACAATGCTAGGTTGGATATCTTCTCATTTTTAATATTCTTCTTAGAACTCAGGTGTGCTTACTGAGTTGCAGCTTAATCCCTGAAATGTGCATTACTGACCTACAAACGTTTGTAATGAACTGATTTATAATCTTAATTACCTAACTCATTCCAGTCTTTTCTAAAGATTGGTCTAATTTAAGGGCTCCTCTTTCTAATCTCTCCTACCCCCATTACTCATACTGAGATGCTAACTTGATAGCCTCATTGTGGGAAAAGTCGTATCAACATTAGGAACAGTTATTGCTTATTTTGGTGATATTAATAGTGATTGATTTTAATTTTCAATATTATGCATTTTAAGTATACCAATTCTGAAGTATACTTTTGCAATAGAATATGTGTGCAAATTCTTAGGACTATTAAAATACTTAGTCCAACCTAATGGAGTAACCTTTTGTATGTAATTTCTTTTTAAATATGTATTTATAGTGAATACATGAGCTAGTTTTATAATTACTATTCTCTGTGTTTTCTAGACTGCTTTTTTATGCAGTGTGGCATTGTACCTAAAATTTTGTATCTGTTTTTAAGTCAAAAATACGTTTTCCAAATAAAATTTTGTATAGAGTCTGAAGACACTGGATACATTTCTGAGTCACTGAGGTATTTCCATATAGTTTGGCACAATGTAAAAATTGTGTGATTTAACTTAATTATGACTGAATCATTGTGAAGTGTCTCCTTTTATTAGCCATATTATTAATCTGAGTGAATCTTATCTAGTTGTTAAGGTTGAGAAAAGAAAGGTGGCTGACACACCCACATCCTATAAGAAAATGTAATACTTAAATTACAATCATTAAGGTGTAACTAATTCTCCCATTTAGTTAGGATGTTGGTGATGTCAAGAATTAATTAAAATACTTTGCAGGGGTGTCCAGGGGAAAGAATACAGTCGTAGGTTCTTGAAGTTTCTGTTTCTGGTTAGGCCAGTAAAGCCCCTTCCTCATCCTCTTTTTCTCTTATCACTAGAGACAGAAACTAAAACCCATGGCTTTAGGCTGTTAAAAGCATAAAACAAAACAGCACAACAGCAGCAGCAAAATAAGGCAGGTTGGACAAGTTTGCTAGAGTCTGTGTGACATTTAAATATCTTCGTTAACCCAGCTGTTTAAGGTATATGCTCATTGCTTTTCAGAAATTTTGAATTTTAAAAATATCTGAAAATGGTTGAGTGCTGAAAGTTAACAGTGCAGGCAGTTATCATTGAGAACACCTGACTTTCACACATTTTAACACCACTAACATTGGCTAGTCCTTTTTATTGTCTAGCAATAGCCCAGAAATACTCCTTTCCTGTTTACCTCCCAGTTTGTAGTTTCTAATCATATCAAGACCTAGTTTTTAATCACTTTTGCTGAAAGGTCTACCCACTCTTAAGGCCAGGGTAGACTCCTTGTTTTATTTTCTTTGTTCTGCTTCTTCTGCCTCTGCTGTTCCAGGAGTCTTCCATTTTCCTATCTGCTGTGAAATGCTTGCTGGTCACTTTTCTACCTTGGTTTTCTTTTATCCTTACCTCCCTTCTATCTGGCTGATTGGTGGGCTTTCCATGTGCCTCTCTGTGCACAGGACACCTCGCCATCACTTTTACAATGCTGTTCCCTCTTAGTCATTTCTTAGTCGTTTCACCACCCTTTAAGTTTCCAGGAATAATCTTTTTCTTTTCCTCTCGTTCTTTGTGACCAGAATTTCCTTATTTTTACATCTCTTTTCTCCTTGGTTTATAAAGATATGTTTGAAAGAGTAGGAAAAGATCAGAGGCCAGAGTGAATACCTGCCAACTACATGAACTTTGAGAGCCAGAGTGGTCAATTCGAAGGCACTCTGGTTTATGTAGTTTTAAAATGTCTAACCATATATCATACTTTTCAGTATTTTTTACTGCAGATATACAGTACCTTATTTAATATTATAGAAGAAATAGTTTAAATAAATTTTGTGGACCAGGATTTAAACCACCTTAGTTCTATGGTCCAAATGTGTTTCAAGTTCCAAAATACCTGATTTCAGAACAAATTTTTGGAACATACTCGTTTATAAAAGTTAGTAACTCTTTTTATAAACCATTACTTACAGAAACATTGACCTCTTATTTTAATATATAAATATTTGCTTGTTCTAAAATTTATTTGTATTTTTTAAATTAATAGCTTTTTCTGGGCAGTTTTAGGTTCATAGCAAAATTGAGTGAAAACCCCTTGTATCTCTGCCCCTGCACAGACACACAACCACCCCTGCTATTATTGTCCCACACTACAGTGGTATAGTTGTTACATTCCAATCGATAAACCTACATTAACACATCATTATCATGCAAAGTCCCTAGTTTTCATATGGGTTCACTCTTGATGTTGTACATTTTATGGATTTTTACACATATATAGTGACATATCCGCCATTCATACCATACAGAAAAGTTCACTCCCTTACAGATCCTCCGTGCTGTGCCTCTTCATCCCTTCCACCCCACTAACCCCTGGCAACCACTGATATTTTTACTGTTTCTGTAGTTTTGCCTCCAGAATGTCATATAGATGGAGTCATACAGTATGTAGCCTTTTCATATTGGGTTCTCCCACTTACTAATATGCATTTAAGTTTCATCCATATCTTTTCATGGCTTGATAGCTCATTTCTTTTTAGCACCGAATAATATTTCGTTGTCTGGAGGTACCACAGTTTATATATCCATTCACCTACTGAAGTAACATCTTGATCACCTTCAAGATTTGGCAGTTATGAATCAAGCTGCTATTCACATCTGCATGCAGAATTTTGTGTGGACATAAGTTTTCAGTTCATTTGAGTAAATACCCAGGAGTGTGATTACTGGATCTTATGGTAAGATATGTTTATGTTTGTAACAAGATTGCCAAACTGTCTTCCAAAGTGGACATCCAGATGCATAAAAATGAATCTAGATATTTTGCATTTCCTGTACCATTTTGTATTCTCCACTAGCAATGGATGAGAGTTCCTGTTACTCCACATTTTCTTCAGCATTTGTTGTTGGTGTTTTGGATTTGGGCCATTCTAATAGGTGTGTAGTGGCATGCTTTTCTTGTTTTAACTTGAAATTCCCTAATGACATGAGTTTGAACAGTTTTTCATACGCTTACTTGCCATCTGTTTATCTTTGGTGTGAGGTATCTGTTCAGGTATTTCACCCATTTTATAATCAGGTTGTTCATTTTCTTTAGTTTTAATGGTTCATCGTATATTTTTGATAACAGTTCTTTATCAGGTACATCTTTTGCAAATATTTTCTCCAAGACTGTTGCCTGCCTTGTTCTCTTGACATTGTCTTGCAGAGCAAAAAAAATCTAGGCTGCAGTTACAGATTTGGAAGTTAAGAGCATATTGGTGGTATTGGGAGCCGTA
Source organism: Homo sapiens (assembly GCF_000001405.40). Lineage (NCBI taxonomy): Eukaryota > Metazoa > Chordata > Mammalia > Primates > Hominidae > Homo > Homo sapiens. Next base: position 181,054,778 of record NC_000002.12, read on the forward strand.
AAACTGCATAAGATAACCAAAACAGTATATGTAGGTAGAAAAGAGAAGAGTGTAAGGTCTTAGCTCTGGAGGACTGGTGATATTTAAAGCTTAGGGTGATAAGGAATAGGAATAGAGAGTGAGAACGAGGGGCCAGGAAATGTAGGAAAGCTAACAAAGTATGTTATTCTAGGAATGAAAGAGAAAGTGTATCAAGGAGGATGTGATTGGCTGTGTCAAATGTTGCTGGACCAGTCAAATAATATGAAGATTGAGAAATGATCATTGGGTGTAGTGATGAGGTCATTGGTGACTTTGGATAAGAGCTGTTTCAGTGGAGTAATGGGAGGAAATGCCTGTTGGGAATGAGTTCAAGTAACAACAGAGGAGAGAAACTGAAGATAGCAGATGTAGATAAGATTTCCAAGGAGTTTTGCTGTCAAGGAAAGATGATTGAGATGGAAACTCGAAGGGAGAGAGAAATAGAGATTTTAAAAAATAATAATAAAGTTGGGAGAAAGGGCATTGTTGGATTCTTATTGGCATCACTCACCAGAGAAGGAAAAATGGATGATGATTCAAGACAGTGGAAGAGACAGAGAGTGTCGGTCAGTTGCTAGCCTCTAATATGATTTGTTTAAATTACAGTGGACTCAGCCCTGCAACTGCTCATGTCCCTTCCTGACCCCTTCCCATCTTGCCGTATGTTTTGACTAACAGATGGTACATTTATGAGAATGAAAAGAGGCCCCTAATCCAGACAGGTAGCCAACACTACCTGGATTTTAGGACTGGATTTTAGCCTTCACTTGTCCTAAACTAGGTGTCTTTGGGTACAGCAAAGTAATCATACTACCATAGCTTCTCTGCTTAGTCTACTCCAAGACAATAGGAAAAGTTATTTACTATCCTGCAATAGTTAAATGTACACTTTGTCCTATAGTTAAATGTACACTTTGTCCGATGGCAAATAGCATGATAAGTGGGAAGAGAGCACATTTAAGAACTAAGAATTTGGTGTGGGAATCCAAGCTCTTCTATCAACTGGCAGTAAAATATATTTGAGGAGAGTTTAAGGCGTATGAGTCGTCTTACCAACAAGTAATTATGAGTTTAGATTTTATTTGAACTATCTCTCTTGTTTGTATTTTATAAAGTAATGGTGTGTTAAGCGCAGTGCACCAAAATGTAACTAAGACTTAGTAGCACCTAGGACTCAGATCTTGGTTTTTCTTACAACATTCGCACTGAAAGGAACCCTGGCTCTTTGGAAAAATGTTTGATTCCAAGGATGGGATTCCTTATGCCAAAGGAAGGAAATGCTTAAAAAAAAAAAAAAAAAAGATGCTAACATGTTGCAAGGATATAGGAGTCATTTTGAAAGGGTTCCCCATCAGCCAAATCTGCAATAATTTGGGTATCAAAATAATTAAAGTCAGTAATGACTTATAAAGCATTGGGAAAAAATGAGACCATACCAGTAATACTTCTGTACATACGTACAGGCAGGAGAAGAGGCTCAAGGGGTAACTGTTAAGTGTAGAGAAAGTTCTAGAATTGGAAAATCATGATTTTATTGCTGTAACAGAATACCTGAGACTGAGTAGGTTATAAGGAAAAGAGGTTTATTTGGTTCACCTGATGGGCATCTGCATCTGTTGAGGGCCTCAGGCTGCTTCAACTCACAGTGGAAAGGCAGGCATCAAGTGCAAAGAGATCACAAAGCAAGAGGAAGCAAGAGAGAGAAACCAAGGAAAGCCACTCTTTTTAACAATGAGTTCTCTTGGGAACTAATTCATTCTTGCTAGAGTGAGGACTCACCCCTGAGGGAGGGCATTAATTTATTCATGAGGGATCTACCCCTCTGACCCAGACACTTCCCAACATTGCCGCGTTTGGGGGTCAGATTTCAACTTGAGTTTTAGCAGGGACAGATCAAACCATAGCAATCACAAATGGATGCTAAATCTTGGGAAGAAATTTTGATAAGAAGCAGGATATTTGCCTGGTCTTGAAGTGTCTGTCCAAATATTGCTTATTGGTTGCAGGGAAAAGATAGTAACTAAGCAGTAGGAAAATTGGATAGCAGTTTGTCTGGATGATGAAACTTAACATCACCAATGAGGTACAGGTAGGTGCTGTGTGCCTCCAAATGTGATACCATGAGAAGGACACATACTATTTCAGCCAGACACCTACTATTTCAGCCAGAAATGCGTTACATGAATCAAATCATGAGGAAACATGGCAAGCTCAAAATGATGAGCATTTTTTAAAAAAGAAGACTAGATTCTGCAAAAAACGTTAATGTTATAAAAGTTAAAGAAAGGCGGAAAGGACCCATATTAAAGGAGAATAAAGACACAGGAAATAACGTGGTTCCAAGACTGGGTCCTGCATCGGAGAAAAATTAATTTTTTAAAAGGGTATTACCGAATCAGTTGACAACATTATAATACAAATTGTACTTTAAAGAATTGTATTAATGTATTTACTGAAATTGTAACTGTATTGTAATTTATAGGAGATTGTTTTTAGGAAATGCACACTGACATGTTTATGGGGAAAAGGCCGTGTGCAACTTTCAGGTGACTCAGAAAAAAGTATGTCTCTATGCATGCTTGCAGGTTTAGAGGGGTGTGTGTTTCGGGAGAGAGAGGAGCAAATGGGGCAGAGCAGAATGCTAATGGAGACTGGGTAAAGTTATACCAATTTTCTTTGTACTTTTCTTGCATTTCCTCTGTAAGTTTGTAATATTTCCAAGTAAGTTCATACACACATGCACATGCAAACACATTGGGGCTTATTTCTTTTATACTTATTTTACTTCTTATTGCTCTAGATTGCTAATTTACCTTTAACACTTCCCTGGTTTTAGGATATTAACATTCATTGCTAATATATGTACATACTGATTTTTAATTTCTTTTAAATAGTGCTGGGCCTAAAGGAGATAACATTTATGAATGGAGATCAACTATACTTGGTCCACCGGGTTCTGTATATGAAGGTGGTGTGTTTTTTCTGGATATCACATTTTCATCAGATTATCCATTTAAGCCACCAAAGGTAAGAAGCTTGAAGTGCATTCTTTAGTATTTAATCCTTCTCCTCTAAAATCGGTTATTCTAGAACTTAAATGTGTATTGATGCAGTTATTTTGATTTCATTGCTTTTCATGGATTGATATGGAAATTTTCGCATAATCAAGAATTTTAAAACAGTAATTGACTCCTTTCACAAATAATTTGTAATAAACAGAAAGAGTTTAATTCTTAATTGTAAATAAAACTATACCTTGCACATCAATAAAGCAGATAAATTTTATGCTTATGAGGGAGAAGATCCTATGAACCTTCATTAATACCTTAATTAATAATACCTTAATTAACTATTAAGGTATTAATGAAGGTATTAGGATAAAAAGTAAAACTGTTTGACAGCTTCCAGAAATAAGGGTTTAATAATGTGAATTTTGTGCTGAATACCTTTATAGATAAGCAAAAACTTCATAGCCAAGAAGAGGGAAACTAATAATATTTAGTAAACTCATTTTGTACCTTCTGTGGGTATGATGTAGTAGTGGAAGCAGAATGCCTGAGTTTTGTTGGCTCTGAGTTCATTTGAAGTATGAATTAGATGGATAACAGAGAACGGGGTGAGTTGTGCCTTCTAATGACCATCAACTTTGCAAAGCTTAAATATAACAATTACTTGAATGGCTCCCTCCGCTAACTTCTGTTTCTACAATGGTCAAGTCAGCAGGTAAAAACCACTGGAATTAAGCATGAGCATTATTATGCTGTTGTTACAGAGATGTCTGACATAGCAGGGGAAAGTGTATTTTCAAGTCCATAGCCCTTAACTATGGTGAAATGTTTTTCTTTTCCAACATGGTGACTTTTGTTCTCTGTACTTTTAAAAATTTATGTTGCAGTCTATACCATTTAAAATTTATGTAGCCTGTGTGTATATGTATATGTGCACATAAACGGATTTATTTTGTGAATAAAAGAGGGTTATTTCTCAGTAACTTATTGTCTAACAAGGTAACGAGTGCCATCTAGTGGTATTTACCCCAAACCGCAGACACCATTTACTCTCAATTACAGCTGTTAGTGTTTAAAGTGCTTTACCGTGTGGTCCCATCAGCATGTAAGATCTTGAAATTATTTTTGCATATGGGGAAGATTAATTGAAGAAAAAGACTCTTAAGTTTTCCTGGACACCTTTTAATGAAAAACAGAAATTGGCTAATATAAGAATTTCACACTATATAGTACTGTATATGATTTGCCGTAATTTTGATGAATATAATGATTATAAATTTAGCATGTTGGTTTTTTGCTGAAATTGCAATATATCATCTAATTCTTTAGTGTTCACTCTGTTGCTGAGATATACAGTATTAACCATTAAGATCTATAGTTGGACAAATGAAAAATAAGATTTCTGGTATAATCTTGGTATTTGGAACAATTATTTCTCTGCAATGCTAAATCTTTTTGAAGTTTGGAAAAGTTGAGCTTCTTGAAGGATAATAAATATTTAATAGAAATCTGCTCATGAATGCTATTCTGTTCACTAGTTATAGCTGAAAATATATTTGTAAATCACATATGTATTGAGCAGTAACGTCAGTGATCTGAACATAAATTATTTCTATATTCTAGAGCAGCATTAATGGAAATATAGTAAAATCTACATGTATAATTTTAAATTTTCTAATAGCCACATAAAACATAAAACAATTTTAATACTATATTAGTTAACCCAACATATTAAAAATATTGTCATTTCAACATGTAATCCGTGTAAGAGTATTGTTAATGAAATCTTACACATTTTCTTTTTGGTACTAACTCTTTGAAATCTGGTATTTATTTTACACTTCTAGTTCGTCTCAATTCACCTTGCCACAATTTAAGAGCTGTATATGCACATGTAACTAGTATATGCTGTATTGGTCAGAGCAGTTCTAGAGGGGCATACTCTCCTCCTCCCCCACTAAACTAGTGTGTTGGTCCCCTACCCCCTCCCTGTCATGCATTCTTTTCAGGAAGACACTTTTGAGAGCATTTAATGTTTTCCTCCCAGATTCAACTTTTGCGCTCACAGTACACTGCTAGTTTTCAAATGATCAGAAATTTTTTTTTTTCTCGGCAACTCCAATTATGAATTAGCTATCCAATTAGTGTTTGTGATTGTTTTGAGACTTGGCAGTGTTTGTTCTTATGATTTATCTTCTTTTCTCACACATTTCAGGGATATATTAGTTTCCTTTATCCAGTAGCTAAAAACCTTGTTTATTTTATTTTAATATTTTAGCCTAACAAGACAGTGAACCAGCTGTAGAAATAAAAGGCTAAGAAACAGAAAGGCAGGTAGTGTGAATGATTTTACCAACCGTCTTCTAAATCCTCCAGTATTTTCTAACGTTTGGTAAGAAATTAGCTGAATTGATACTGATCTTTTCTAGTAAGAAACTGATGTAACTTTTATGTTTTAAAAAAAAATCTTCATCAGTTCCTCTTACCTTCGGCACCAAAACATTTCTTTTCTTCCTCACTTTCTGTCTTTCTGTATGTATGTGTACACACACAGTTGTATATGCTGTGGATGTGTATGCAAACAGACGTACCCACACACATAGATGGAATTACTGTATCAGTTATTTAAGTATAACTGATCAGTTCCTCACTTTAGTTCTTTCTATACAGGGTAAAAACAAAAAATTTTTTTCAACTGAGTCAAAAGCATTTAATTTTGTTATTAAACCTAATCTAAGTTTAGCTCCAGTCAAATAATTTAGTATCATCTATGATATATTACCCTTCATTTTTTTTTAGTGTTTTAATTGGTAATACAGCATTCATTTTCCTTCTGTTTTTAATGTGACTGTGCTTAGGTTACTTTCCGCACCAGAATCTATCACTGCAACATCAACAGTCAGGGAGTCATCTGTCTGGACATCCTTAAAGACAACTGGAGTCCCGCTTTGACTATTTCAAAGGTTTTGCTGTCTATTTGTTCCCTTTTGACAGACTGCAACCCTGGTAAGCAAATCTTTATTAACATGTACAATAAGACTACAAAAACGAGTGCTTTTTTTTTTTTTTTTTTTTTTTTTTTAGTTAGCTTTAAATGTAGATTGAGAGGTAAATGTTATTCATAGAAAGATCCCCATAAAACAGTTTGTGAGGAAATTACCAATGCCATTTGAAGTAGACTAGGCCAAAAGTTTCTCAATACCTTCATTTAATTTGTTAATGGCATACCACTCTATAATTATTTTGTCACCATCATTAATGGAATCTCTACTTTTAAAAGTATTTAGGTGCACAGACCACTTCTTTTTTTTTTTTTTTTTTTTTTTTGAGACGGAGTCTCGCTCTGTCGCCCAGGCCGGACTGCGGACTGCAGTGGCGCAATCTCGGCTCACTGCAAGCTCCGCTTCCCGGGTTCACGCCATTCTCCTGCCTCAGCCTCCCGAGTAGCTGGGACTACAGGCGCCCGCCACCGCGCCCGGCTAATTTTTTTGTATTTTTAGTAGAGACGGGGTTTCACCTTGTTAGCCAGGATGGTCTCGATCTCTTGACCTCATGATCCACCCGCCTCGGCCTCCCAAAGTGCTGGGATTACAGGCGTGAGCCACCGCGCCCGGCCGACCACTTCTAACAAGAGTAAAGCAATGTGTCTGAAACCAGTGCCTCCTTTTCCTGCTCCTTCCATGCTGCTGTATGCTTTTAGGCAACTACTTTAATAATAGAAGGCTTCTTGTTCTCCCTTCCTTTTTTAATTAATTAGTTATATAAAGTGTAGTAGTAATGGATATTAAAATGATAGCCAATGAGAATTGAACTAGATTATGATTATATAACCTCAGATAAAATCATTTGTGTATAATTCATAACTTTAAAAAATGCCTGCCACATGTGAACTTCAGAAACTTGGGTAGCTGACTTGATAAAGTGATGTTTAGACCTGAAATTTCACACATTTTGTTTCGTTATGTGACCTTTTTTTTTTTTTTAAGTTGACTTACTTCTAAATATTTGATAAGTCACTAAAGACTGTTACTGTTGTTACCTTATGCTCGGCAGAGATACATATGCAATAGATAGTGACAGATGGATATTCATTGTGGTATCCTTTATTAGAGTATTGGAAACAACCTCAATGCCCATTAATAGATGTAACGTTTAAAAAGAATGTGACAACTCTATATGAACTAATAGGGAAATATCTTCAAGATATATTAAGTATAAAAGGCACTGGAAAAAAATACATATACACAACATAATATTCTAAATGCTTGTCAGTGCATGTAAGAACTCTGGGAAGTAATGTTGTAAATGGGTAACAATTGTTTGCCAGGGAAAGAAACTTCTGAGCAGTTGGAGTCAGGAAGGAAGATAGTTTTTTTTTACTGGCTATGGTTTGGTACAATTCAAATATTGTACCATATGTACATATTTTTTTGTTTTTAAACATCAAAATAAAAATTTATATCAGGTTCACTCTCTAGTTCAGAATTCTACTTAAAACAAAATGGCAAGTAAGTTTTCAAGTGTAAATATTGATAGTGATTAGAGTCATATCAGGCACAGAATGAAGGAAGCATTTTATTTGAAATAGCATGGTATTGTAAGACTGGGGTTTTATTTTAAAATTAACCATTTTTGAACTATTCATAAGCAGAAATATAACCACCTAGTATACTTCCATTTTGAATGAAAGGCCAAAATTACAAAATAGTTTTTGTATATTAAAGACATATCTTTTATAAAAGTCAAATCTAACTTTTTATATATAGCTCAAAATTCATTTTTTTTTTTATGAAGGGGACTTTCCTAACTGGAATATTAAAATATACATATGATCATGTTACTTTAAACTTTTTCTTTTGAAAATTTAGCTATTATATATGAAGATACTGCTGAAAAATAAGCATTTCATTTTAATAGAATATTAGAACTATACCTTGAAGAAGATACCACAAAATAGCTTTTAATGTTCTTTCTGCTTTTCCAGCGGATCCTCTGGTTGGAAGCATAGCCACTCAGTATTTGACCAACAGAGCAGAACACGACAGGATAGCCAGACAGTGGACCAAGAGATACGCAACATAATTCACATAATTTGTATGCAGTGTGAAGGAGCAGAAGGCATCTTCTCACTGTGCTGCAAATCTTTATAGCCTTTACAATACGGACTTCTGTGTATATGTTATACTGATTCTACTCTGCTTTTATCCTTTGGAGCCTGGGAGACTCCCCAAAAAGGTAAATGCTATCAAGAGTAGAACTTTGTAGCTGTAGATTAGTTATGTTTAAAACGCCTACTTGCAAGTCTTGCTTCTTTGGGATATCAAAATGTATTTTGTGATGTACTAAGGATACTGGTCCTGAAGTCTACCAAATATTATAGTGCATTTTAGCCTAATTCATTATCTGTATGAAGTTATAAAAGTAGCTGTAGATGGCTAGGAATTATGTCATTTGTATTAAACCCAGATCTATTTCTGAGTATGTGGTTCATGCTGTTGTGAAAAATGTTTTACCTTTTACCTTTGTCAGTTTGTAATGAGAGGATTTCCTTTTACCCTTTGTAGCTCAGAGAGCACCTGATGTATCATCTCAAACACAATAAACATGCTCCTGAAGGCATAGTTTCCTGTCGTAATATTTTAAGTCAGTCTTGTTAGAAAGTGTGTCTGAGATGATTGTTGATGAAGTAAAAATGTGGCTATGAAGATTACTAAAGACTAGCACAAATAAACCCATTCTTAAATTGAAAACATTTAAAATCCTATTAAATGCATAGAGTTTTTTTCCTTTGTTATTGAAAGAATGACCTTAAATAATCAAAAGTGGATTTTGACCCATTGGTCTCAAACACATAAAGTTGTACTTCGGTAATATGATGTTTAAGCCAAAAAGAATATGAAATCCTGGCTCGCTCACTCAGGAATCTGGTAATGTCTTATGGAACATGTTGCTTCCAAATTGATGATTTTTGTTCAGCACTGGGCAATATTGTCAGATGGTAACTGTGATGTGGTAGCTAGTCTGTGATGCACTTTTTACTTCTAATCCTGGTCTTGAATGTTCATGTTGTGTATTACCATTCTTACTATGGCAAGTGGCCAGCAAATACAGCCAGAGGCAGAGATGAACACAGAAATCTTTGTCTGCCTTGAAGGTAGACTAGAACTGTGTTAGTGTACAGATGTGATATTATTTCTCAATTGGTAAAATACCAAATTGTAAGGTTTTTAGAAGGTTAAATTTCTTCTTTCTAGTTGTAATTCTGAAGTGTTAGATTTCTTGAAAGTTAGAATTTCTTTGCAATATTTAGATTTGCTAAACAGAGTATAATTGTGTGTGGTGGTGGTGTTTTGTTTTGTTTTGTTTCCCTGTGACTAAGGTAATCATCTCTGGTCATGTAACCAAGGTTGTGGTATATGGGGCAGGTGTCTTCTCCAGTCCTCAATATGGAAATGAAGTATCATCTTAAAAATGTATAGAGTGAAAATATTAACATAAAAAATGCTTCCGGATAAAGTAAAACGTGTAGTTGTGTGTGTCACTAGAATAGCAGACTCCTGTTTGTCAGTAGAAGTCTTATATCAGAGTAAAATTAAAATTACACTTACATATCTGTTTTTCACTTAAACTCCCCACCCCCAACATTATTACAGAGGAGCACTATACAAAGGTACTATTTTGAAGAATTCAGACTTTACCTCTGTGAAAACCTAACTAATAATTTATAATGGAGTCCAAGTGAATGTGATGCAAGTGGAGACCGTTTAAGTTGTAAGGTTTTTTATCAACCGTAGTTTTTCCTCCACTGCCAAAATTGTACATTCTACACCCTAGAGTAATAAACTTCTCTCTTGGTGCTAGAAAAACTTAAATCATACTGAATGTTGGGATGTTTGGGGATGCTATGATTAGACTTCCTTTAGTTACCATGAGCCTAATTACCACCGCCAAACTATTTTGCTTACTTGTTGGCTGTGTCCATACTGGTGTGGGATAAAGTGGAGGGAATTGGTTACTTAAAATATTTGCAGCTCTTCCACAAACTACCATTGTGGCCTTAAATAAGACACTTTAATTCTTTGAGTTTTAGTTGGTTTATATATGAGACAGAAGAGTTGATTGGATAATTTCCCTCTTCTCTGTTGACCCTCAAGCTCAGTAGTTTTAATCTTGTAAATTTTGTTGTGCTTGTCCTGCTTTTTCTTTTGGGGAACAGGCTACTCTTTGAAGTGGACTAGTAGTATCTTGGTGTTCTAATGAGTAGATCAACCTATGACATGAGAGCCACTGCATGCCAGGGCACTGTTCAGTCACTGATGTGCCTTATCTCATTTGAGACACCTAAAGAGGTTTAGGAGAGCAGACACTGATGAATCTTAGTTGACAGTTGACAGTGTGCATAGACAAGTTTAAATAACTTGCTCTATATTACACAGCCAATACGATACTTCCTCTCCCCCTGCACCTTCATGCTTTCCCGCAGTTTTTGTTTATAACGTCACAACTTTATATTGAACACGCGCGCACACACACACACACACACACACACATACACACACATACACAAGTTATAACTGTTCCCTATAAAAGTAGATATTCATAGATTATAGCTTCTGGAGTTTATAAAGTACAATATTGCATTTTAGCAAATCTTTATTTTAATATTTTATTTTAGTCTCAAATGGAACCTTACAAAATATAACTGCTGTTTGCAATGAATATGAGGTAGGTAGGTTTGTATTCTCCCTTAGATATTTGTCATAGAAATACTTTCAATATCACAGATTTCACTTTATCAGTTTGGAAAATGAGATAATGTTATTTCAAATTTATTTAACCATATATTGCATAATCACATTAGAAAATTTATATTGATAAGTAAAGCAAGCATTTAATAAGGTGGTGTTTTCTGATGCATACTTAAAGAACTTGGAGTCTGCCCCACTAACTTGTCTAAGTGTTCTTACAACAATATAAGAATGTGACTGTATGGTAAGATTTAAGTCAATTTCAGTCCTGTGACTTTAGATAGTAACCTACATTATAGTGATATACGTGCACCACATTAACACAATTTCGTTAACATTTACATTGTAAATTATTTGGACAGAATTATGGCATGATGTGAAACGTCAATTATTTTTCTCAAATGTTTATAAATTGTCTTAAGAGAGTGAGATAATGGTTCTACATAAGCATTATCTACTTATATTCCAGTTAGTGGTCTTTATTTTAGGTAAATACAATATACAAATAAATTCATTTGTTTCATATTTAAATAAATTACTAAATTTTCTCAAGTAATAGCCAAGTAAAAATTACAATTACATTTTAGTAGATATTCATTATTTGAAATGAAACAAAATTTTTCTAACTAGTTTGTCAATTTTTTCTTGTAAAGTTCTTCAGTGATTTAAATGTGTATCTGCAATGTGTAATGGGATGTTTCTACAGAGTAAACTGATAGACCTTTCAAAGTGGCTATAAAATGAATGACTAGGAGTGACATTTATAACTGCATTGCTGATAGTAATAGGTAATGTTAAAGCCTTTGTCTTTGTCAAACAGAATCAATCTTGTTAAATTAGAAATGAGGAGTGATCCTGTAAGGTGTATACCTATCATATCTAAGGCATACACACACAAGCCTCACTTCCTTCTTTTTCTCCCTGACTCTCTTACGAGAGCTCCTAAACTCATAAGCATTTCTCTTAAGGGAATGTCCTTGGAACTCCAGCAGTATCTCTCTTACTTCAGTTTACCACCTGCTGGGCTCTCAGCTTCTGTGGTTCTGGTAATTCATGTAACAGGAAGCCCAAGGTGATTTTTAAATAGCAACATCCAATATATTAATAAGACCATATATTGAAAAGCTAAGTTTTGAAAAAAAAAAAATAAGCAATACATTACCCAGATTCAGGCACAAGTACAGTATAAATAGTCTTTAGTAGTCTTTGTTGTTAATTTAACTATACATGAGAAAGAGTGATTAAACCATGATTAGGCAGCAGAGCGTTGGTACCTAGTCCTGGATATATTTTGAAGTAAACAGAACAATGCATAGCAAAAGGAATTTTTGACAAATGTAGGTATTATCATTGACATGTATTTACAGAAATTTAAGTTCACACGAAATCTTCGTATCTGTAGGGTTACCTTGTTGAAATCTGGTGAAGCTAAAGACAATTACGCAAGTCCTCCAAACACAGGTCACTAAAAGCAACTTTTTTCCCCAAATCCTCCAATCTCTAATCCCTAAAGTTTATCTCAAGTCCAGCTCCTTTGATGGAAACCTTTCTGTTACACTGCTCTCACATACCTGTTGGTCTGTTTCTCTGAGATGCCGTCTTCACAAACACCAGAAATAATAAAAGGGAATCAAGTATATGCATATTTCCAAGTGCCAACAACAAGCCAGGTGCCTTCCTCAACAATGTGTGCCCTAAAGCCAGGAATTCTTTTTCCTTTTTCTTTTTTCTCTTTGGAAGGAGGTAGGGGGAGATGAAAGGTGGTTATGCTATATAACTCCTTAGCTGATCTTCACTTTGAGTTTATCTGCTCTACAAATTTTATGTGTTTGCTAATTACAAGGTTCTTTCTGGCACTGTGATACATACAGAGATGAATACATTTTCACATCCTTAAACAGTTTATCATTTCCCTGTCCAGATAGACTTTTCCCTTTGCTAATGTATATCCATTTTTATTGAATGACAAACTGAACAGATGTTCCTGATGATTTAGCAATGAAAATATTAGTATAATATTTAGTAAGTTTTACTCTCTATATATTAAATATGCTTAATACTATTTGATGCTTTTAAAATAATTATCTTAAACTACACTTAGTACCCTATGTTTCTAGCATGCGTTTTGGCATTTTATTCAGTTTTATTCCATATCCATATTTCTGGATAATGAGCTTTTGGAGGATAATATCTATGCTTTGTGTCTCCTTATTTCAGTATCTAGCCCAATATGTAACATGATGTATGTTTGCTGAGTGAATGATAATTATATCATGGGTGTAAGTCTTCTCCATAAGGTTATCCAGAGACCATGTGAAGCATATCTGTCATGTCTCCTTTAATTCCCCATGTTGATTCAGTGCTTTGTATGTGGTTGGTGCCATATATATTTAAATTGTTAAATTTGAAACTGTTAAATTGAAATATGGGAAATAGCAATGGGTTGTTCATATAACCTACTTAATGACAATGTGTTTAAAATAGAGACTGACTTAATCTTGTAATTTTAAACTTTCCTTAAATTCACCAGAATATTTTCTGTCCTACAAATTTTACATAATTTCTCATTATCATTACTGTCTTCTTAATGGATATTTCTCCTATCCTTTTTTATTGGTAAAAAGAAAACAACTAAATACATGTATCTGCTTGCTGTATTTTAAGGAAATCTAATAGAAGAAATGGAAACTGATGGCCTTTGAGAACATCTTTTAAGATAAATATTTTAGGGAAAGGGAACTAGTATACCATTTGGTAATGTGGAACGGAGTACTCTGGAATGTTGGAAGTCGTTTATTGAAATATTTTTCAAGTCTTTTTGTTTTCTGTATGTGTGTGTGTGTTTTTCACTTCTCGCTTCTGGGAGAAAAGGGAAATGGAGTAGGATGAAGAGTCACAGGGTCATTTTTTTCTGTATTGCCCCATGTTATTTCTTTGCCAGTAGGTTGAATTGAAAGGTAACTGGGTAAGAAGCACCCTAGTTTCAGAAGTATAATTTCAACAACTTCTATTTTGTCTCACACCATGAGTATTTCTTAAGTTAGCTTAGCAAACTCAGATATGTTGGCTGCTCCCACCTTAGTCCAAGAGAAGGAAAAGGTAAATCTGTGAAGGAATGGGTTGCCGAGAGGTGTGTGGTACTAAGTCCTGACAGCTAGGGGCCCAGGTCTGTAAGGAAAGTCAGGGATTCTCTAGTGATTGAGATTGGGGTAGTTAGGTCTTCATATGAGCATTTCAAGTTTTCATCTACAAAGTGATGAAGAAGAGTATTAATTTATGAGATAAAGAGTATGAGGGGATAACACTGTAGGGCTTTCACTGGCACCCCTTACCTGATTCCTTTATCATCGTTTGAAGAGCACTTTTTAGCCCTCTGCTAAACTCTTGCTGTGGTCACAGAACTCTCAAATGGTGAAGATCATTTTAAATATGCATGAGACACCATGTTTTTTCTTCCATGGTTATTTTTTTTTAAGGACATATATAATGTTTTACTTGTGTATGTATATCATCTCAATTATGAGCCCCTAGAAATAAGGGATCCAATTTATTTCATTCAGTAAGTTATTAGTTGTGTACACTGGAATATTGGTTTGGGTGCTTAGGATTAGCAGTGAATAAAATACACGAAAATTCCTACCCTTATGGAGTTTACTTTCAATTGCTAGGAGACAGACCAAAAAAATTTAAAAGTGTATATATATATGTGTGTGTGTGTGTGTGCGTACGCACACATTCTCACACACATATATGTATGTTAGATGGTAAGTGTTATGGAGAAAAACAAAGTAGGGAAGGGAAATAGTGTGTGCAGTGAGGGAGAAAGAAAGGGGAGGTTGAATTACAGTTATAACAAGGGTAGTCGGGGAAGACCTCACCTAAAAAATGAGTCAAGAGCTGAAGATGGTGAGGAATAAGCCACATAGGAAAAGAGTCCTACAGGCGGAGGGAATACCAACTGAAAAAATCTTGTAACAAGAGCATGCCCAATGCATTCAAAAGGTAGCAAGTGCTTAGGAGGGCTGGAGCAGGTGAGCAACTAGGAGAGGAATAGGAGGCCAGGTCAAGAAGATGACAGGTGGGCAGATCACATAGGGTCTTGTATTTCATTTTAAGGAGTTTGGCTAGTATTCTAAATAAGATGGGACACCACTGGAAGCTGTTTTTAGCCAACGAGCAACAGGACATGATTTATTAGAATCTGATCAGTCAGAGAAAAACTTGCTGTGGGGCTAAGGAATTGGGAGCAGGGGGACCAGTTAGGAGGCTAATGCAGTAATCCAGGTGAGAGATACCAGTGACTTCAACCTGGGTGGTGGCAGTGTAAGTAGTAAGAAAAGGTCAGGTTCTGGTTAAAAATAGAGCTAAGAAGATTTGCTGATAGATTGAATATGTGGTGTGAAAAAGGAGTTAGAGTTTAGGGCCTGAGCAAACTAGTAGGCTGTAGTTGTCATTAACCAAGGTGAAAAACTCGAGGGTGAAGCAGGATAGGGAGAAAGATTATGAGCTTAGTTTTTGACAGGTTAAGTTTGAAATGCCTATTAAACATCCAAATGGAAGTGCAAGATTGGATATACAAATTTGGAATTCAAGAGTTCTGGGCCAGGGATGTATATTTGTGACACGTGAGTGTGTAGTTGGTATTTATAGCTGTGAGACCTATGATCACTCACTCAAGGGAATGAGTGCTGCTAGAGAAGAAAGAAGCTTAGGCACTCCCAGCATTAGGAGGCTGAGGAGAGATGAGTCAGCAAAGTAATCCAGGAAGGAACGCTCAAGAAGTGAAAGGAAAATCAGGAGAGTGTGATAACCTGAAAGGGAAGTAAAAAGTTTCAAGGAGGTGGGAATGATCTACCCCATGAGAGACTACTGATAAGCCAAATAAAATAAGGACCTAAATAGCCATTAGCAACTCAGGAGTCCTAGACACTGGTGACTTTTATATGCAATTTTGTTGGAGCAATGAAATTAAAGCTTGATTGAATAAAGTAACAAGGAATAGAGAACTTGGAGACTCCTGACAATTTTGCAGTGAAATAGAGAAGTAGGGAGTAGTTGGAGTTTCTTTAAGATGGGAGAAATTACAGCATGTTTGTATATTGATAGGAAAGATTAGAGAGGAGGAAGTGGATGGTGTAGGGGAGGAGGAGCAGTGTCCTTGAAAAAGTTATCTGCTACATAATTTATTCAGGGTGTTTTCAAAGTTCTGCACTACCTTGGACATCTGTCTTTCTCCCTGACTAGAGCAGAAGCTCTTTGGGAAGTGCAGCATCCAGCACTTACAGCAGCATTGTCATTCACCAAATTCTTGAGTTCCCCTAGATAAGCAAGAGGGGATAGGATCTAGTACAAGTGAGGTGTTTGGCCCTTGTTGTGAATTTGCAGAGGACATGGGCATAGGTGAGATTGGAGGGTAGATGTGGTTCGTAGGAAGTTCTTTGGTAGCTTCTACTCCTCCATGAAACGAGATGTTATTGGCTGAAAGTGAGAATGGGGAGACGACAGTTCATACATCTGTGTGACCCATTAATGTCCAGCAGAGTAACTAGTCGTTTGTGGTCAAGTGTAAAAATGAATGATTGAGTTGTCTATCTGGATGAGCCTTTCGTTTATTTCATAGTTAACATGTTAATGAACATGCAATTAAAACATCCATATCAGCTCGAATGGCTCCTCTTTTTCATCAGGTATGGTTTAGCAGTTGTTTGAATCTTTAGCACCTTAATTTTTGTTTCATTCAAGTGATTTTCCTGAAGTCATTGAAGAATCTACCTTGACACCAATTTTAACTAGAGAAATTCAATTATTTGCTGAAAGTTAATACTGCTTTAAATGCTGGACACAAAAATAGTTACGCTGTGTTTCCCAAAGAGGTCATCATGGTCTAGTCAGGAAGAGGGGTGTCCAAGGTGAGTTACACAGAGCTTTGGAAAAGCCTCAGTGGATGGTGTGGCAGATGACGTCCCTGAGTTTGCTAGAGGAAAAATGACTCTAGAAAACTGAGTATTCTTCCCTGTTCTATTTTATGGATGTGGTGGTCAGAGAAGGACATAGTGACCAATTTCTGTGACCCTCACTTCCACCATTGGTCCCGTGGCAAGACTCAGTTACAAGCCTTCTCTCCCTTTGGATTGTACCTCACTCAGGAAGTACGGAATTTGAAGATCAGATTTCATTTCCAGAAAATCCATAAGGCAGTCACAGCTTATGACCAAGGCTCACACCTTTTTTTCTGCTTACCTTTCCCTGCTATTGTCCTGACTTCTTGCCTCCCAAGATTGATATGTAAGAAGTGGGGCCATTTTTTTGCTTTTCTCTGAAAAACTAGTCAGCAAAGAGGTTGGAATTTTAATTGGTTTAACTACTTAACTTAGAAAGCCAAGAGTTAAATACTTAGAAGTGAAACTTTTTTTCTTTTCCTGATTGGGTCTTTCTGAACAATATTTTTGCTGTGATTATTGCACATTTAAGCCCAACTGTACTTTTTATCTGAAAAAAAAATAGGATATGACTCTTAACTGTCGTAAGCAGATTACAATAATATTCTTTAGAACACGGGTGTCTAATCTTTTGGCATCCCTGGGCCACATTGGAAGAATTGTCTTGGGCCACACATTAAGTACACTAACACTATAACGGTAGCTGATGAGCTAAAGAAATGGCCCATGCATAAATATCATAATGTAAGAAAGTTTACTAATTTGTGTTGGGCTGCATTTAAAGCCATCGTGGGCTGCAGGTTGGACAAGTTTGCTTTAGAATATTTCACATTTAGAGTGGTAGTTGCTTTCTTTTTTTCTTATTTCTGAAGGAAGTCATGTCTTGATTCTGTTCTCTTCCTTCCACTCCTACTGTCTCATTCAGGCCCTTGGTTATTCCTTATCTAAAGGAATCTTTTAAAAGTTATCCTCTTGTTCATCCAAACAACACCAACCCATTCTTCACACCACTATCACATTAATCTTCCCAGAGTAAACTGTTTATCAGGACAGTCCCTGCTTCAACTTCAGTGGTTGTCTGTTGTTTACTGAATAAACTCCACACTCCACTTTCTGTCATTACATCAGTGTACTCCCTGGATGAAGCAGCATCTATTTCAGTAGCAGCTTCGGATGCATTCATTTCCTAGTGAAATACCAGAGTCACTCTTACCAGGGGCAGCAGTTCCGTATATCACTGAAACATATTTCCTCAGAGAAAGTGATAGTGACTCATTGAGAACATTTCCTTAATTCACCAACTCTTCTTCAAGGTTTTCTGTTCATAGGACTACAACTCTTTGATGCCCTGACGTTTTTATAATTTTACTACTAGCAGTTGAATGTATTGATGCATGTAACCTTGTTGCTAGCCATGTTAAGTTTCAATCAAGCATCAGAAAATGGTTTGCTTAAGATACTTGGCTAGGCACACCAGTATTTTAAATGTGAATTGATATACTTGGTGCTTCAAGACAGATGGTGCATTGCTTCTGTGCCTAAGAGCATTTGGCAGTGCTGAAATTGAGCCTTCTGTTCGTTCAAAATAATTCACTGATGAGTGGGCAACTTTATACTTTTTTGAGGGTTTTTTTTTTTTTTTTTGCTGAATTCGAGTATTGGAAGTGTTTTAGCTTACATGTTAGCTATATGTAAGTACCTTCAAAAAATGACACTACAGGCATAGGCAAGTACATAATCGGGATAAGTACTGTATATCAGTTTGACATATGGTGCCACATGTTTTTATTTTTATTATAGTGATATGTTTCTAGTAAGATTTACAAGATATTTGACCCTTCAACAACACGGGTTTGAACTGCACAGGTCCACTTAATAATGCAGATTTTTTTTCAAAATGTATCAGAAAACTTTTGGAAATTTGTAACAATTTGAAAAAACTTGCAAACCATGTACCCTAGAAATATTTTTTAAAATAGTTATGTCATGAATGCATAAAATATATGTAGATATTAGTCTATTTATGTGTTAACCTACTTCGTTATCAGACTCCTGGTCCACTGTAGGCTACTACTTTTGGGGAGTCAAAAGCCATGTGTGGGATTTTCCACTGTGTGGCATCACCCCCCTGTGTTGCTCTTCAAGGGTCACCTGTTTGGCCACTTTGGCCACATTTAAACATGGGCCCAAACTTTTCAGATTTAAAGTTAACAGACTGATGTTAGTTAAGCTCAGAGGGAAGGCTTTTCAATGAAGTGAGTTTAAGAGATCAGAGAATTTTAAATCTCATGTTGGTCACCTTTCCTGTTTCATGTTGTTAATACTTCTCCTCAGGCACCTTGCTAAAACAGCGTTTTCTTATTTAAGGCCTGGCTGGACTATTGCCATGAATAGTATCTCTGAAGTCTGTATTTAGAGAATAGCATCTCTGAAATCCTATATATTGTTAACTAAAATTAGAAATCATTTGTATTTCTTTTGACTTGCAGCTTGTTAGAGGCTTCTTAGTCATTAGCTAGAAATGTATTTTTTCTCTTCATGTATTTTCAAAGAAGGATTTATGTAACCATGTTGTCATTTGGGAGGCACTGAGTGTTAAATATCATAGGATGCCAGAAGCCCACAAGAAGATAAGAACACTCCAGTGAGGACCTCTGAAGAGAAACAGCAAAAGCATCTCCATCCTGCACTGAGTTGTGGGTTATTATTGTCATGGAGGTGAATAAAGGATGATTTAGGAGATGGTACTATAATGTGGAGGAAACATCCAGCCCATTTATGGTTCAGGAAAAAGGTTTACTCCTTTGAGCTTGGTTGGGTTAAAACATTGTATTGCCTACTCTCATAATGCTGGAAGTATAAAGAGATCAATAAAGTTTCCTCAGATTCTGTAAGTCAGACTTGGCTCTATTTTCTTAACATTTCCAGGGAAGTCAAGATCACAAAAAGTGGTTGATTCTGGTGGTGGGAATATTGATATTGATTCTATAATATTACTGTAAATTCTTTCTCCGAGATTAAATATATTGTGCACAAGTACTCTGACCACATCTCTAGATTCATTTTATGTAACCTGCTCATGGACTGATCTTTGAATAGCCACCTCTTAGAATCTGCAACTTTGGACATGTCTGGAAGACTCATTTCCTGTCTAGGACCTGGCAGCATGTCCTGGGAAAATGGAATTAGAAGACCTATTTAGGAGGATACACAAACACGTGCCCCCTCCCCCCTGCAAACAACTAGTGAATTATCTGAGAATCACTGGAATCTGCTTCTTCTGCACTGTAGGGACAGCAGCCTTAGTTCCAAAGTTGGGATCCTGCTGGGAAATCTTTAAAATCACCATCTATAGAGCATACCCAATAAAATCTATATTACACTTATACAAAAACTAATTACCAAGGGTTGGGGCCTAACACATTTTGACACTTTCTCTTGAAAGAAATGAATATGGAGATCACAACTTTTAAATGTTAGTTATATTTTTGGAGTAATTATAGGTCATTGATTTATCACAATAGTTTTTTAGTGAGTAAAACACTTCAATAATAATTGATATTTTAAATCTGACTTCTGGGTCTTTAGAATACTGAATTCCAGAGCCAGAATAGTTTAATTAATTTAACCACCAGCCTGTAATAGAGTAAGCTTTCAAATGCCTTATTTGCTGCCTTGCTCTGTAGCAAGGAATTTTTTTCTTTTTACTTCTCTGGGCCTGAATTTTCTCAACTATGTAATTGAACTAAAAACAATGAACAACGCTGCAGAAATGTAGTGAAAGGAAAATTTACTTCGTGGTAAAACAGTGGGCAGTGTAAAGTATCTGAAAGACTTTTAAAGCAATAAAATATACAATTTTAAATTGTATGGATAATTATGCATTTGAGTGCAGCATGAAGCTTCACTGTTAGAACATTGTTTTTGCTTGTGCTAATAGGTTGTGTCGCATCTTTTTTTGTTGTTTTTTTGTTTGTTTGTTTTTGTCTCTGGGCTCTGAAGATTGAAGTTTATTAATTGCTGAGAAGGAAATAAGTGAGTATATTTCTTTTTAAAAATTTAACAACACCATCAGTGGTGCATATTTATTTAAGGACATTTGGTTATAATTAAGCAACATGGCTGCCTTAAGATTATTTTAGGGCCAGGTGTGGTGGCCCATGCCTGTAATCCCAGCACTTTGGGAGACTGAGGCAGGAAGATCACTTGAGGCCAGGAGTTCAAGACCAGCCTGGGGAACAGAGCAAGACCTTTATCTCTACAAAAAAAAAAAATTAAAAATTAGCCAAGCATAGTCAGCACACCTATAGTCAAGCTACTTGGGAGGCTGAGGCAGGAAGATTGCTTGAGCCAGGAGGTCAAGCCTGCAGTGAGCCATGATCATACCACTGTATCCAGCCTGGATGACAGAGCAAGACCCTGTTTCAAAAAGAATATATATATTTTTAGGATTTTACACTTGAGAGCTGGTCTAATGATTTCTGGATGATGATTCTTATTTCCAGACATAATTGAAAGAGTGAATTAAAGAATTTAGCATTCTGGGTGTGGCAGGAACAACGTCATACACATTCTTCGCGAGAAAAATCATACATTTCCTAGTTCTCGAGGATTTCTTTTAGTTCCATGTTTCCTCCAGGCCAACAGTAAGATGTTTTCACTTTTCTTTCTTTCTTTCTTTCTTTTTTTTTTTTTTTTTCAGAAGAGGTGTGGTGGAAAGGTCTTCCAGAACCAGAGGCTAAGCACACAGCAGTACAAATATAAATTCTTTATTCCAGCTTCCAGAATTCCTCCTCTTCAGCCTTGCCTGCTCACTGGAATAATGAAGCAATTAAACAGTGGTGTAAAGAAGTTCCATCCAGTGGTTGAAGTTCAATAGAAAACAAGGAAATAGGCTGATGTATATCAAATACACCATCGGCACTCTGAGTCCTTCCCAGGTTCCCTAAAGGGGGAGGAGGGGACACCGTTTTAGATTTAATTTGTACTGTACCTGATATGATATGATTGTGATAATTTTCCAATGAATAATTGTTAATCTTACCTAATTAAAATAATTATATGTTAAATAAAATATGCAGATGTTAAATTGACTTCCTCCTGGGGCCACTTAGCATTTATTTCTTGTTACCTGTGGAAGGACAGAAAGCAAACACAGAAGCCATGTTTTTACTGATGCTGCTGCATTGGGAAAGCCCAGGGTAATAGAAACATTTTGTTTTATATTTTTATTCCAAAGTAAATACAGTATATTAAATGAGCAGGTTTAAATAAATGCTTAGTGACATGCCATATAGCTTACATATATGCTTAAAGGAGCTTTCCTTCTGGAATTAATAAAATTCTAACCACAAGGAGGTGCAGAAGTTAATTCAAGGGATGTAGTGGAAACCCTGGAAGGCTTGCCTCCTATGTCCCCTTCCCTCATTTCTCCTCCCCTCCCCTTCCTTCTTCCTTTCTTCCCTCCACCGTTGCCTGCATTCACTATAAAAAGTAAATAGGAAGTGAGCACATAATTACATGTTGCTCCTTTAGATTCTGAATTAGTGGGATATTTTTTGGGATCTCTCAAACCACAACATGAAACAGTTTTTCACCACTCCCACCTCTAATATTCCGTCTTTTTATGTTTTGTGAATTGGCGAGTGTTTCTAATTGAACAAGCAAAACTTAAGTATACAAGAAATGTACATTTATTTAATCTTTTAAAAATCTTTTTCTTGATGCCTTGCATAAAAAACAAAAAGGTGCTTTTTCTTTCTGCCCCATCAGAACTGTGGTTATTTTTGGGTGTGTGATATCCTTTCACACACCATAAATCTCCACTAGATGTCAGTGTGTCACTAAATGAAAACAGTTTAGCATGCTCTCCAGACTTGTTCTTGAAACGTACTGGAAAGGTAAACTCATTTATAGTTTTTAACCAGAATGATACAGAGATGTTTTAGTAGGACAAGTTAGTAATAAGTGGTATTTATCCTAATGAATATTAATAACAAATGAAATCTTCTGCTTAAAAAATCCAGTATCTTTCATCTGAGGATGTTGAAATGCTTATGAATATTCTTGCTTTTTTGCCATCATATCCACAAAGAATTAGAATGCTAATAAGATCTTCCTTTTACAGTAGACTTAACCTGAATTGCATGGGGCAAAAACGATAGGACCAAGATGAATCACAGTCGATGTATGGTGGAACCAGACTGGTACTTCTTTCATTGCAGACCCTACTCTACCTAGATAATGCTGCCTTTCCTTTGGTGTTTATGGTGTACTTAGATGCAGATGTCCTTTGAAGAAGTCTGTCATTTGTATTAATGCCTTCCTTATTCAATAAGCTCAACAAGAGTGGAATAAGAACGATGAGATAGTTGGTTAAGTTACTGTGGGGACGTTTATACCAGAAAACTTAAAAAGCAAAGTGTATACAGGAAAAAGTACTAAAATTACTTGTGCAAAAGACATTTGATAATAACTTTAAATTGTTTTATGCAGATTTGAGAATCTGCATTCATAATTTTAAGATTTTATAATGATTGCATAAAAATAATGCTAAGCAACCAAGAAGATAACAATATTTTACATATACTCTTTTAGGGACAGTGAACTCAAACTAAAGAGAGCCTCGTATTAGTTCATTTACTCAAGTGGAGAAGGAAGGAAAGGAAGTTGTAATTTGGTCTGATGGTTGAAACTCTTAGGTCTATGAGGATTATGGTGTAAGTTTTACACTGTATAATTTCCTTAAAGAGAAGTCTGCATAAATTCTTTATATTAGGCCTTAACTAGTGATTTCCTCTAAATTGTATGAATACACAGGTTACAACTATGTAAAAAGTATGTTTGTGAATAAAGATTAAGAGAATACATAGAAAAAAAGGTTAGAGAATAACCTTTCTAAAAAGGTTGGAAAATAAAGATTAAGAGAATACACAGAAAAAAAGGAACTATGGGTAAATATAATTTCCTCTTTATTTGGCAATATTGTTTTTATAAATATAAAGGGAAAAATTGTTTTTCCTTTATTGTCCGTGTTGTAAAAATTTGCCACAATCTCAACTTTAGAAGGGCTTACTCATATCATTGAGGTGCATTGTAAACAATTGTAATTCAAGAAGATAGGCTTCATGCTTAGTTTGTTTACCAGCGTTTCAGTTTAAATCATAAAAATCAAAGTAGAAGTACCTGGTCAGATTTTCAAACTTTAGGTAAAGATAAATGATTGCCCAAATCCCAGCAGCCTCTTTGCTGTAGTATTTAGTGCATTATTGGTGTTCAGTAAATTTTGATGAAGAAATCTTTAATAAATGAAGCCATCCTTAGCTTGTGTTTTCATTTTAAATGGTTTAATTTTAAAACAGTTACTAGCAAAATCAAGAGAATACCAAAATTAAAATTGCTATTTATTTTGCATGCTTGGACCTATATTTAGATGCAGAACTTGTATTATAACAAATCATGCATGCATCAGATTGAAGTATAAAATGGTAGCATTTCATATATAGAAAACTTGTACTATATGTCTTATTCAAGTAATAACAGTATAGTCACCATTGAATTATGCATGAAAACTTTATGAACAGAAACACAACTGGTCAGTGATTATCAGAATAGGCTAAAAAACTTGTGTATTATAATTGGCTAAAAAACTTTAAAAACCATGCCACCATCTCCATCCTATAATCATAATATTTGGAAACTTGGATTTCCAGATTTGGGCATAGGGTGTATGGAGGAGGCAGGAGTGTTTGATTCCAGGACTTTCCAGGGTACTGTAAAGTGCTGATGTGTATAGGACTTTCAAAATCACCCCAACCCCTAGGTGTATATTTAAGTTAATTTTTGGACTCTTGAAACCACTGCAATGTTACTGGCTAGACCACCTAGAATACTGGGCTCATACTGGTCTGGGGTTATCAGATAGTTGAAGAAAATCTAGGTGACAGGTCAGTGGAGGTGAATTCTTTGTGCAATCATTTCTTGTTTATAAAGGAAAGGAGTCAATATATTCATGTCTGATTTGTAGAATATAAAAAATCCAGCCCCCACAAAACCTTGAGTTACTCCACCAGTTTCTCACTCTGCCTAGAATCTCACATTAGAGAGTCATTCAAGGAAAAATGACAGAAAAAAAAATCCAGTTTGAAAATGGGCAGATGATCTCACTAGACATTTTTCCAAGAAGAAGACAAATAGCCAATGACTACATGAAAAAGTGCCCAAAATCACTAATCTTCAGGGAAATGCAAATCAAAGCCATAATGAGATATCTTCTCACCCCAGTTATAATGGCTGTTATCAGACCAATGAAAAACAATGCATGCTGGCGAGGATTTAGAGGAAGGGAAACACTCCCACACTGTTGATGGGAATGTGAAGTAGTACAGCCATTCTGGAAAACAGTCCAGAGGTTCCTCAGAAAAACTAAAAATAGAACTACCATACAATCCAGCAATCCTACTTTTGAGTATTTATCTGAAGGAAAATAAATCAGTATATCAAAGAGATATCTACACTCCCATGTTGCAGCACTATTCACAGTAGCCAAGATAATGGAATCATCCTAAGTGTCCATCAGTAGGTGAATGGATAAAATGTGGTATATATAGACAATGCAGTTCTATTTAGCCATAAGAAATACACATTTTCACTCGTAATCTAAAAAACATGATCTCTTAAAGGTAGAAGTAGAGTAGAATAGTGGTTACTAGAGGCTGGGAAGGGCAGGAGAGAAGGGATGGTAGGGAGAGGTTGCTTAACAGACATAAAATATTACAGCTAGATAAGAGAATCAGTTCTAGTGTAGTGTTTCATAGCATTCTTGAGGGACTATAGTTAACACTATTTATTGTATATTTTCAAATAGCTAGAAAAGAGGACTTTGAATGCTCCCAACACAATGATAAATGATAGAGGTGATGGATATGCTAATTACTCTGAATTACTCTGTTAATTATACTTTGTATACATGTATCAAAATATCACTGTACCCCATAAGTATGTACAATTATTGTATCAATTTAAGAAAAGCCTCATGAGATAAAGGCTTTTTATAGAATATATATATATATATTCTATATATATATATGGTCATCTCCAGAAATCTTTTTAATGCCAATATTATACGAATTCAAAGCACATTGAATTTTACCAGTAACTATACACTAAAACTTATTAGCTCATAGAAATCACTTCCTGTCCCTGCGCCTGCCTGAAACACGTTGTTGGGTAAATAAGGATTTTGGTATGGGAGAGGGGAGAGAGGCCCAGGGCACTGTAGCTACTGCGGGACAGGACAGGCCCCTGGGGGAACACTCCCTCAGAAAACAGGAGATCAGCATCCTTTCAGTTTCCAACTTGGACTTGAAATCCCATAGGGACCTTCCTAAAATGTAGACTGATTCTGTAGGGCTGGGGCAGAAAAGTCTGTGTTTCTAACAAGTTCCAGGTGGTGTCTATGTTGCTGTTATGGGGGAACAAACATAATCTGATTGTCCATGGCAAGCCTTGTAACCCAGCACCCAGAAGTCCTTTAAACCAGAAGTTCTAGCACTTCAGTGAGACTAAGAATCACCTGGACACCTTGTTAAAAACAGAGATCCCTGGGCCCCATCTCAGAGATTCTAATTCAGCAGGTGAGGGTCACAAATCTGTATTCTTAACTGCTGATGCTAGGGCCAGGCTTCAAGTAGCAATGCTTTAGACGAGACATTCCCAAGCCATATGTGCAATCCTGACAGAGCACCTGATATTCCAATATATCCTTGAGTTCTAAGTTATAGGTGTTTTGTGACATGCTGCAAAGGTGAGCCCAACATTCTCGTTTTTGCCAAAATAATAATTATCCAGAAGATCTTTCCATTCAAGCTCTCAAGATGTCTTTCGTGTCTTTTTAAGCTCAGCCACTAACAAGAAGATAAGATTTAGTACTGATGGCTTGTATACTGTTATCGGGAGGATAAAGAAAAGAAATTCAGTGGGCAGTAGGTCATCATTTCCTGGCTGTGGTGTGTTGCATTGTTTGAAATCCACAACTTGCTTAAGGACATTTAGCCAGAGTTAGCAATGATACTGTTTTAAATGTTGCAGACTTTTCTTGGCAAAATCTTTCCAAAATTGATAGAAATATTTTAAGAACTTGGAAATGTATTGAAAAAAATATCCATAGGCAACTGGGGAAAACTTCTTAAAGTTATTATCTCCTTAGAGCAATGTTTATTCCATTCTTAAAGGATAAAGATGGAGCTAAATATAGAAGTATTTTAACTTCACATAAATTAACATGAGAGAAAATTTCAGTCAATTATTATTGCAATAGCTTAAAATACAAAACTGTTACTTGATTTTTGTTTCCAACCAGCAGTTCCCTCTTTATTTTAATCGGTTTTATTTTCTTCAGTGTTTCTGAATGTATTATTATGAGAAAATATGGTTATAGTTCCTTGACATTTACATAGCAGTATTTGATAATAATCTCTTTAAGGATTATCACATTTTAACTTTTCTCAAAGATTAAAGCATATTCAATATGGAAATTATATTTTTTTCATTTTTAAAATAAGTTTTACTTCTTTCATTAATATACAGTTATTCTATTTGAGCTGTAGTGTTCTGTAATTTGTAAAATTTCTCTCAGTGGGCATGCATTTAACAATATTAGCTTTCCCCACTGGAGGTTTGTGAGAGAACTAATAAAGTATTCCATGCCACAACTGGGTACTACAATTGGAAATAGCTAAGCAACCTTGGTTTCATAACATAACAACATGTACTATTTGAAAACTACAATAATAAGATTTACCAAATATTGCTTGTTAGAGGCTGGTCTAAATAGCAATGCTATTCTGAACAAATCTATCCAAAGCATATTTTTTTTCCTTCCATAAAGTAAAAATCTCTAGGTTATCTACTATATTGGATGGATTTCTTGGATAACTTTCAACGTTAATAGTTTAGTTACATACTATTGTATCAGTATAAAAGATTTTAAAATGAGAAATCTCCTCAACCTCATCAACCCAATTAGTTGCCAGCTGTTTAACCTTGGGAGCATTGCTTAACCAATTTCCTTTGTTATATGTTATAACCAGGCTTTTTCCTTAATAGAAATGACTTCAGTCGGTCATTAGGGTATTTCCTCATTTGTATGACTATTTGATTGTCTGTCTTCCGTGTCTGGGCTTCTGAACCACATGAACTCAAGGACTAAAGCTTCTCACTCTTCATTGCATCTCCAGAGTCCCGCATATTGTTTAACTTTGTAGTAGCTCAATAAATACTTAGTAGTTATTTGGAATTAAAGACTTATCTATACTCATATGTAACATATTATTTCCTTAGACCATCAGCCTTGGGAGCAAGTCAGAATGTGTTAGTAGTTATTTTGTGCCTCAGTCCCCAAAATTTCTTTCTCTAGTTCAAATAAAGGAGGACTGATTGCTTGGAAACTTCCCAACTGCCATATTCCTTCTGTTAAAATGTGGTTGCTTTGACATTCTCTGATTGACTTTCAGAGTAGCCCTGAGAACCCACAGGCCGTGGCTGCTGCAGCAGGTGGAGCTCCCACCACCCCTGGACCTGGGGTGCCTCACTTCACATGAAGCTGCCTTCACCAAGGAGATGGGAGCTGTCAGATGCTTGCGGAGTCAACTTTCTCCTCCATGTCCGTACTTTTCTGCTTCCACTCCCTGTAAACCCAGCAGCCTCTCCATAGCTAGGGACTGCTGAGATGTTGTATTTGTCTTATCCTAGGCTACAAATAGGCTCCTTGGAAACAGGGTTGTCATTTTTCTATATTCATTGTCTAACTTGATGACATACATTTTTATGCCTGTAACAAATTATGCTAACAAAGCATATTTGAGAGAGATTTTCCTACCTCTGTGTCCAGGGACTTGGGGCTTTCAGGTCTGTTTCTTCTCCTGGAAACTCAAATTCTCCAAAGCCTATCACCGAAAGGTTTACCTAAGCACAGTTTCCACTGCTTCTGAAGTCATTTTGTGAGTTGTTTCTGACTGTTCTCAACTCAACCCAGCCTAAGAATTTTCTTTCCCTCTCCCTCTGTGTCCTCCCTCCTTCACTTCTGGATCCTCTGCCTGGCCAGCCAGGTGTCTCCCACTCCCTGGCATAATTTCCTGTGGGAGAGAGGAAGAGGACTTTTGACTACAGACGTGTGAACTCGTATCTTAAAATATGACATCAAGAAATATACAGAGGCAATGTTTTGCATCAAATTTGTTTCTACATTTAGTATTGTTGCTATTTCTTTGAGGTTATAGATATAAAATACATGAAGACTTTTACAAGTTTAAAATTAAAAGATACGTAAACCAGGTCTTGGATTCATATTATCTTGGGCCATCTGTATAGTTTGAATTTCTTTTTTTATTAATAGGAAAACTTTGTTTTAGACCTCAAGAACGCTGGCCATCCCTGTCATTTTCATCTAATCATTTAATTCCTTTATCCTTGTATTTTTTACAGTGTAATCTACTTAATTGTATTAATTAAATCTTTAGTTTTATCCTCTGTAGAGAGAATGAATGATTTGATAGTTGCCTTCAAGCTTTTAACAAGATTTTTGGTGGGTTTTTGTTTGTTTGTTTGTTTCCAGTTTATGAGAAGCAAACAGAATTTGCTGAAGGGAAACTGTTGATAACAAGACTGGGCATGTAGCATGACAGAGCATTGGGCTCTCCAACCCACACTAGCTGTTTAACCTTGGGAACATTGCTTAACTCTCTGGTCTCAATTTTTCATCTGTAAGATGCAAATGTCAATAGTACTTATTTTGTAGAGTTGCTACAATGATTGAATGAGATAATGATTGTAAAAAAAAAGCAAACACAACCGGGTGCGGTGGCTCACGCCTGTAATCCCAGCACTTTGGGAGGCCGAGGCAGGCAGATCATGAGGTCAGGAGATCGAGACCATCGTGGCTAACACGGTGAAACCCTGTCTCCACTAAAATACAAAAAAATTAGCTGGGCGTGGTGGCGGGTGCCTGTAGTCCCAGCTATTTGGGAGGCTGAGGCAGGAGAATGGTGTGAACCTGGGAGGCAGAGCTTGCAGTGAGCGGAGGTCAAGCCACTGCACTCTAGCCTGGGCTACAGAGCCAGACTCCATCTCAAAAAACAAAATAAATAAATAAATAATAAAATAAAAATAAAAAAACAAACACAATATCAAACAGCTCCTTCAAGTCTTCATTTTCAGAAAAGGAACCCTATTTCCTAGACAATCTGACTAATCCAGTTCTTTTTCTTGCTTTAATCTCCTGATTAACTGAAACGATTCCACTTTGTCATAGCTAGCTTATTTATTTATTGGGCATAAGTATTTCCGACCATAGATAAACTTTTTTAAAAACCTACAAAAAAAGGGAGATTAGAGCAGTCAAGTAAATTGTCATGATGCCTCATTGTCATGAGGTTGCAGAAGGAACATGCCTCTGCCTGAATCCTAGAATGCACTCTTGTCATAACCTCATCAAACTGCCTTGTATTCGGCAAATGTTTGAATAAATCTGTTAATCTCTGGGAAGTCCTAAATGTGTTTATCCCTTTTGAGGGCAGATTTCCTAGGCCATACACAATGAACCTCTCCCAGGGTCTCAAGCAGGCTGGTTTTCTTTTCCTACTAGCTCTAAGTTTGCCACTGCTGGTTTTATAACTGTGCTGTCAATAATTGGCATCACTCCCTCAAGACAGTTCTAGGAGTTGACAGCAGCAAGAATAAGGCAACAGGATTCTTGTTTTTGGATCATTACTTTATATTTTGTATAACTATTTAATATCTAGGTTCAACATGTACAACAGATATATTAATTTCTGAAAATCATTTCATGTTTACTGGTTTTCTAATGTGTAGTCTCTGTTGTTTAGCTTTCAGAAGTGATTTGGAAGAACCAAGGTAAGAAGGTAGGGTAGTTACACTTTAAGATAAATCTTTTGAGATGTTATTCATTCTTACATACATCATTCGTTTTTTTTCTACTTTTAGAGAAATTTTTTTCTCTGAAAATATCTCTTGATTCCTTTTTTCCAAGCATCCACATTTCTGATTAACATAGCTATTTTTTTGTATCTTGATTCCCTTAATTAAAACAAATTCATACAAAACTCCTTTCAGTCAAGTTGAAACAATGTGTTATAGCTCATAGTGTCTGTAAAAGGAGTGATTTGTTTATCTTACCCGAGGAGTAAGCTGGCAGTGGGCTTTTATTTTTTATTTTTTCCTTTTGCACAGGTGGCCTTAGGAGCAGCATAAGAAGGAAGGGGCAAGTATTGATTATATACATTAAAGATGGTGACTCTTCAGGACTCTACTGGGAGCTCTTGTTAAAAGGTTGCTCTGTAACTCCTACAGCAGTGATCCAGATGAAGGAACACAACCACAGGGAATAACCAAGGTGCACCGGGGCATAGTCTTGACTGTGGCACTGTGTCATTCAGCTTCCTTGTTACCCTGGGGAAGACTGTGCTGCACTGAATAATCAAAGGCTTTGTGACACTCAGAGCATGAAACATCACTGTCTTCCCTGTAGAGGAATAGAGAGGATGGACATTCTAGTTAAAGGACACATCACATTTAGAGGCCTATTAGAGCAGATAGCAGTCAGTGAGGGTTTTAGGAGCAGAGGTGATATACTTGGTGACTAATTGGATAAGAAGTATGAAGAAGGAGGT
The DNA here is from genome assembly GCF_000001405.40 of Homo sapiens. Taxonomy (NCBI): domain Eukaryota; kingdom Metazoa; phylum Chordata; class Mammalia; order Primates; family Hominidae; genus Homo; species Homo sapiens. Next base: position 181,086,181 of record NC_000002.12, read on the forward strand.
GGATTTTTAAACGACCCTAAGTCTTTTAGTTCAGGTAACTTGCTATATCAATCAAGAAAGGAGTTATCACTAAGGAAAAGAGTAAGAGCAGGAAAAGGAGAGAACTCACTACTACTGTGCCTGGTCATCACCATATATGATTTCATGATTCTCTGAAAATTCCAATGAAGGAGACATAATAAGACTAAGTGATTTGTCCAAGTTTACACAGCTAAAGAGACCAGGATTCAAGCTCAGGACCTTTTAACTGCAAAGCCAGTGCCATTTTGTTACAACGTCATGGTGAGTAGAAACATAAGCCACACTATCTTGGTAAGGATGCTACTAGAGTTGTGCCCCAATCGTATAATACAAACCTGTCAAATGAATAGAACTATGCCAATAAAAAGAAAGTAATAGTTATTGTAAAGACTCGATGTCTGCAACAACCTGCCCATTCATACTTTCTCAGTTTGCTTCAAATGCTGAATATTTAATTAAAGAGAAACTTTCTTGGGCACACAATTGAATCACTGAAAACACAGTGCTGCAGTGTTTTGCTGTTTTACTAGTTATAAAATTGGCCACAGACCTTGAAACTAAATATCAAACATTCCTGTACTGAACCAACTGCCGTTAGTAAGCTGTTCTTATATTGAACCTTTGTTCCTGGAAATTTTTGCATTAGAAATCCTTCCTGGCCGGCCGCGGTGGCTCATGTCTGTAATCCCAGCACTTTGGGAGGCTGAAGCTGGCGGATCATGAGGTAAGGAGATTGAGACCATCCTGGCTAACATGGTGAAACCCCTTCTCTACTAAAAATACAAAAAATTAGCTGGGTGTGGTGGCACACAACTGTAGTCCCAGCTACTCAGGAGGCTGAGGCAGGAGAATCACTTGAACTTAGGAGGTGGAGGTTGCAGTGAGCTGAGATAGCACCACTGCACTCCAGCCTGGGTGACAGAGGGAGACTACTTCTAAAAAAAAAAAAAAAAAAAAAAACAGGAAAAGAAAAAGAAATCCTCCTACACTAGTTCAACATGTTGCTTCAGATAGGATAAGCTGCCATAGAATACAGATTGGTTCAGGTCCTAAACAATATTGGGGGAAACTCATCATTACTTCCATTTCCCATCATAGAGAACATAGAGTCTATGTTGTACAAGATCCAAAGCAGTGTTTCTTAAAGTGTGGTCCAAGAACACATCATTTTAGTTGATAGTTAGTATCCAGGCACCTGGGCTCTGCTCCAAATCTCTAAAAGAAATTATTGCAAAGTGGCCCAGGAATGTGCATTTTACTAAATGTCCAATATCATCTTTATGCATACAAATGGTTGAAACAACTGGTCAAGATGTGGACAGGTTGAAACAACTGGTCAAGATGTGGATTGTGGCCATGTGGCCATATAGTGCTTTTCAACAGCAGAGTTATTTCTCCCAGAGTAATAGACAAGAACAGGTCCATAGAAATAGTTTCTCTACAGCCATCTGTTGTTCATTTTTCTTCTCCACATCCTGAGATGGGGCACACAAAAAAGAAAGTCATCATTTTTATTCGGTAACAACCACTGCATTTTATTTGGTAACAGCCACTATAGCATACCTGCTATAGTGACAGCCTCCTAAAAGGATGCCTCTTGCTGGTTAAACATTTATGTGCTTTGTGTGAGAGGGGCATTTCATATGCCATAAAACACTGGTGTTCCATTTTCATAGCTTTATTCTTTTTTTAAATTTCTGTACTTGTAATTTTCAGTGATTTTTAATGGAGTTAGCCAAAAAAATAATGTTTCTCCCAAGTAGTGCACTATTATAGTGCTGTTTAGTGGTACTCCAATACAATACTCAACCAATGAAATAAAGCAAAAATATGTCCCATACAGAGCACAGCACGCCATGGTCACTCTGATTTCTTAAGTGATGTGAAACAAAAAGTAACCAAGAAAAAGAAGACAAAGTGTTTGTGGAGACAGCTTTATGGCTCCAAAATTACATTTTTACATTTATAGAAACAGCAACAGAATAATTTGATTCATTCCCTGTGTGTAAAGGGATGCAATGTTGATTGAAAACCGTCAGTCAAAAGTACGTTGTGCCTAGGAAACTATACATAGTGCTAATCGGGAGTCTTTGTAAAGAGATAATTCACTGAGCATTTGATAAATAAGCACAATGGGTATGCTCTACACACTAGTAGAGCCTGAGTCTTATCTGCCCCAAATTAAATGTTTTGTAGCCCATGCTTATGGTGAAGATCCATTTTCAAGCATTAGCCAAAGCATTGTGCCACAAAATTATTAAAAACTCAAAGAAATGAAAATTAACCAGATTTTATTATTATATATAATTCTGCATAAAACAGCCAAAAAGTGGAAAAGCTTAGGCAACTTCCTTGTCATTTTTCTCTATAACATTAAGCAATGAAACTCAATGACGTTTTCAGTTACTTTTAGTAAATTTACAAGCGCCTTCCCTAAAATGTATACATGTGAAAAGATAGGGATAAGAAATCAAATTAGTGATATATATATACTAAAGACATTAGGGTGGCCAGGAGGTAGCTCTAAGCTGGAATAATCAAGAAGGCTTCCTGGAAGAAGGGGCCATTGAGCTGAACCTTTATAGGAATTGGGGAACAGAAGATGGGAGAAGATGGTAGTAATAACATGATATGAAAAAGTGCATTTGGTAGATTATGTGCTTAAATATAGTTGTAGGAAAATATGTGTGTTGAGAAGGAGTAAGAAATCAGATTGGATATCCTGGGAAAGATGTCAGAATAGGAACAGCTCTGGTCTGCAGCTCCCAGTGAGACCAATGCAGAAGGCGGATGATTTCTGCATTTCCAACTGAGGTACCAGGTTCATCTCATTGGGACTGGTTAGACAGTGGGTGCAGCCCACAGAGGGCAAGCAGAAGCAGGGTGGGGCGTCACCTCACCCAGGAAGCACAAGGGATCGGGAACTCCCTCCCCTAACCAAGGGAAGCCATGAGGGACTGTGTGTGAGGAACAGTGCATTCTGGCCCAGATACTATGCTTTTCCCACATCTTCACAACACACAGACCAGGAGATTCCATCAGGTGCTTTCATCACCAGGGCCCTGGGTTTCAAGCACAAAACTGGGTGGCTGTTTGGGCAGACACCAAGCTAGCTGCAGGAATTTTTTTTTCATATCCCAGTGGCATCTGGAATGCCAGCAAGAGAGAACTGTTCACTCCCTTGGAAAGGGGGCTGAAGCCAGGGAGCCAAGTGGTCTTGCTCAGTGGATCCCACTCCCACGGAGGCCAGCAGGCTAAGATCCACTGGCTTAAAATTCTCACTGGCAGCACAGCAGTCTGAAGTAGACCTGGGACGTTCAAGCTTGGTGGAGGGAGGGACATCTGCCATTAGTGAGGCTTGAGTAGGTGGTTTTCCCCTCACAGTGTAAACAAAGCTCCCTGGAAGTTTGGACTTGGAGCCCACCACAATGCCACAAAGCCACTGTAGCCAGGCTGCCTCTCTAGATTCCTCCTCTCTGGGCAGGGCATCTCTGAAAGAAAGGCAGCAGCCCCAGTCAGGGGCTTATAGATAAAATTCCCATTTCCCTGGGACAGAGCACCTGGGGGAACGGGCGGCTGTGGGCACAGCTTCAGGAGACTTAAACATTCCTGCCTGCTGACTCTGAAGAGAGCAGCGGATCTCCCAGTACAGTGCTCTAGCTGTGGTAAGGGACAGACTGCCTCCTCAAGTGGGTCCCTGACCCCCGTGCCTCCTGACTGGGAGACATCTCCCAGCAGGGATCAACAGACACCTCATACAGGAGAGCTCTGGCTGGCATCTGCTGGGTGCCCCTCTGGGACGAAGCTTCCAGAGGAAGGAGCAGGCAGCAATCTTTGCTGTTCTGCAGCCTCTGCTGGTGATACCCAGGCAAACAGGGTCTGGAGTGGACCCCCAGCAAACTCCAGCAGACCTGCAGAAGAGGGGCCTGACTGTTAGAAGGAAAACTAACAAACAGAAAGCAATAGCATCAACATCAACAAAAAGGACGACAACACAAAAACTTCATCTGAAGGTCACCAACAGCAAAGACCAAAGGTAAATAAATCCAAGAAGATGAGGAAAAACCAGCGCAAAAAGGCTGAAAATTTCAAAAACCGGAATGACTCTTCTCTTCCAAAGGATCACAACTCCTCACCAGCGAGGGAACAAAACTGTATGGAGAATGGGTTTGATGAATTGACAGAAGTAGGCTTCAGAAGATGGGTAATAACAAACTCCTCCGAGCTAAAGGAGCATGTTTTAACCCAATGCAGGGAAGCTAAGAACCTTGATAAAAGGTTAGAGGAATTGCCAACTAGAATAACCAATTTAGAGAAGAACACAAATGACCCAATGGAGCTGAAAAACACAGCACAAGAACTTTGTGAAACATACACAAGTATGAATAGCCAAATCAAACAAGCAGAAGAAAGGATATCAGAGATTGAAGGCCAACTTAATGAAATAAAGTGTGAAGATAAGATTAGAGAAAAAAGAATGAAAAGGAATGAACAAAGCCTCCAACAAATATGGGACTATGTGAAAAGACCAAACCTACGTTTGATTGGTGTACCTGAAAGTGACGGGGATAATGGAACCAAGTTGGAAAACACACTTCAGGATATTATCCAGGAAAACTTCTTCAACCTAGCAAGACAGGCCAATATTCAAATTCAGGAAATACAGAGAATGCCACAAAGATACTCCTTGAGAAGAGCAACTCCAAGACACATAATTGTCAGATCACCAAGGTTGAAATGAAGGAAAAAAATGTTAAGGGCAGCCAGAGAGAAAGTTCTAGTTACCCACAAAGGGAAGCCCATCAGGCTAACAGTGGACCTCTCTGCAAAAACCCTACAACCCACAAGAGAGTGGGGGCCAATATTCAACATTCTTAAAGGAAAGAACTTTCAATCCAGAATTTCATATCCAGCCAAACTAAGCTTCATAAGCGAAGGAGAAATACAATCCTTTACAGACAAGCAACTGCTGAGAGATTTTGTCACCACCAGGCCTGCCTTACAAGAGCTCCTGAAGGAAGCACTAAACATGGAAAGGAAAAACTGGTACTAGCCGTTGCGAAAATAACCCAAAATCTAAGAACCATTGACACTATGAGGAAACTGAATCAACTAATGGGCAAAATAACCAGCTAGCATTGTAATGACAGGATCAAATTCACACATAACAATATTAACCTTAAATGTAATTGGGCTAAATGCCCCAGTTAAAAGGCACAGACTGGCAAATTGGATAAAGAGTCAAGACCCATTGGTGTGTTGTATTCAGGAGGCCCATCTCACATACAAAGACATTGATAGGCTAAAAATAAAGGGATGGAGGAAGATTTACCAAGCAAATGGAAAGCAAAAAAAAGCAATCCTAATTTCTGATGAAACAGACTTTAAACCAACAAAGATTTAAAAAGACAAAGAAGGGTATTACCTAATGGTAAAGGGATCAATGCAACAAGAAGAGCTAACTATCCTAAATATATATGCACCTAATACAGGAGTGCCCAGATTCATAAAGCAAGTTCTTAGAGACCTACAAAGATACTTAGACTCCCACATAATAATAGTGGGAGACTTCAACACCCCACTGTCAATATTAGACAGATCAACGAGACAGAAAATTAACAAGGATATTCAGAACTTGAACTCATCTCTTGACCAAGCGCACCTAATAGACATCTACAGAACTCTCCACCCCAAATCAACAGAATATACATTCTTCTCAGCACTACATCACACTTATTCTAAAACTGACCACATAATTGGAAGTAAAACACTCCTCAGCAAATGCAAAAGAACGGAAATCATAACAGTCTCTCAGACCACAGTGCAATCAAATTAGAACTCAGGGTTAAGAAACTCACTCAAAACCGCACAACTATGTGGAAACTGAAAAACCTTCTCCTGAATGACTACTGGGTAAATAACGAAACTAAGGCAGAGAAAAATAAATTCTTTCAAACCAGTGACAAAAAAGACATAATGTACCAGAATTTCTGGGACACGGCTAAAGCAGTGTTTAGAGGGAAATTTATAGCACTAAATTCCCACAGGAGAAAGCAGGAAAGATCTAACATTGACACCCTAACATCACAATTAAAAGAACTAGAGAAGCAAGAGCAAACAAATTCAAAAGCTGGCAGAAGCCAAGAAATAACTAAGATCACAGCAGAACTGAAGGCAATAGAGACACGAAAAACCCTTCAAAAAATCAATGAATCCAGGAGCTGGCTTTTTGAAAAGATTAACAAAATAGATTAACAAAATAGATAGACCACTCACTAGACTAATAAATAAGAAAAGGGAGAAGAATCAAATAGACATAATAAAAAATGACAAAAAGGGGTATCACCACTGATGCCATAGAAATACAAACCACCATCAGAGAATACTATAAACACCTCTATGCAAATAAACTAGAAAATCTAGAAGAAATGGATAAATTCCTGGACACATGCACCCTCCCAAGACTAAACCAGAAGAAGTCAAATCCCTGAATAGACCAATAACAAGTTCTGAAATTGAGGCAGTAATTAATAGCCCACCAACCAAAAAAGCCCAGGGTGAGACGGATTCACAGCCGAATTCTACCAGAGGTACAAAGAGAAGCTAGTACCATTCCTTCTGAAACGATTCCAAACAACAGAAAAGGAGGGTCTCCTCCCTAACTCATTTTATAAGGCAAGCATCATCCTGATACCAAAACCTGGCAGAGACACAACAAAAAAAAGAGAATTTCAGACAATTATCTCTGATGAACATCAATGCAAAAATCCTCAATAAAACAATGGCAAACCAAATCCAGCAGCACATCAAAAAGCTTATCCACCACAATCAAGTCAGCTTCATCCCTGGTATGCAAGGCTGGTTCAACATACGCAAATCAATAAATGTAATCCATCACATAAACAGAACCAATGACAAAAACCACATGATTGTCTCAATAGATGCAGAAAAGGCCTTTGACAAAATTCGATAGTTTTCATGCTAAAAACTCTCAATAAACTAGGTATTGATTGAACATATCTCAAAATAATGAGCTTTTTATCACAAATCCACAGCCAATATCTTACTGAATTGGCAAAAGTTGGAAGCATTGTCTTTGAAAACTGGCATAAGACAAGGATGCTTTCTCTCACCACTCCTATTCAGCATAGTATGGGAAGTTCTGGCCAGGGCAATAAGGCAAGAAAAATAAATAAAGGTATTCTAATAGGAAGAGAGGAAGTCAAATTATCTCTGTTTGCAGATGACATGATTGTATATTTAGAAAACCCCATCATCTCAGCCCCAAAACTCCTTAAGCCGATAAACAACTTCAGCAAAGTCTCAGGATACAAAATCAATGTGCAAAAATCACAATAATTCCTACACACCCATAATAGACAAACAGAGAACCAAATCATGAGTGAACTCCCACTCACAGTTGCTACAAAGAGAATAAAATACCTAGGAATCCAACTTACAATGGATGGGAAGGACCTCTTCCAGGAGAACTACAAAACACTGCTCAGGGAAATAAGAGAAGACACAAACAAATGGAAAAACATTCCATGCTCATGGTTATGAAGAATCAATATCATGAAAATGGCCATACTGCCAAAAGGAATTTATAGATTCGATGCTATTCCCATCAAGCTACCACTGACTTTCTTCACAGAATTGGAAAAAACTACTTTAAAGTTCATATGGAACTAAAAAGGAGCCCATACAGCCAAAACAATTCTAAGCAAAAAGAACAAAGCTGGAAGCATCACACTACCTGACTTCAAACTATACTACAAGGCTACATTAACTAAAACAGCATGGTACTGGTACCAAAACAGATATATAGACCAATGGAACAGAACAGAGGCCTCAGAAATAACATCACACATCTACAACCATCTGTTCTTTGACAAACCTGACAAAAGCAATGGGGAAAAGATTCCCTATTTAATAAATGGTGCTGGGAAAACTGGCTAGCCATACGCAGAAAACTGAAACTGGACCCCTTCCTTACACCTTATACAAAAATTAACTTAAGATGGATTAAAGATTTAAACATAAGACCTAAAACCATAAAAATCCTAGAAGAAAACCTAGCAATACCACTCAGGACATAGGCATGGGCAAAGACTTCATGAGTAAAACACCAAAAGCAATGGCAACAAAAGCCAAAATTGATAAATGGGATCTTATCAAATTAAAGAGCTTCTGCACAGCAAAAGAAACTATCATCAGAGTGAACAGGTAACCTACAGAATGGGAGAAAATTTTTGCAATCTACCCATCTGACAAAGGGCTAATATCCAGAATCTACAAGGAACTTACACAAATTTACAAGAAAAACACAAACAACCCATCAAAATGTGGGCAAAGGATATGAACAGACACTTCTCAAAAGAAGACATTTATGCGGCCAACAAACATATGAAAAAAAGCTCATGATCACTGGTCGTTAGAGAAATGTAAATCAAAACCACAGTGAGATACCATCTCATGCCAGTTAGAATGGCAATCATTAAAAAGTCAGCAAACAACAGATGCTGGAGAGGATGTGGAGAAACAGGAACACTTTTACACTGTTGGTGGGAGTGTAAATTAGTTCAACCATTGTGGAAGACAATGTGGCAATTCCTCAAGGATCTAGAACCAGAGATACCATTTGACCCAGCAATCCCATTACTGGGTATATACCCAAAGAATTTGTAAATCATTCTACCGTAAAGGCACATGCACACGTATGTTTATTGCAGCGCTATTTACAATAGCAAAGATTTGGAACCAACCCAAATGCCCATCAATGTTAAACTGGATAAAGTAAATGTGGCACATATACACAGTGGAATACTATGCAGCCATAAAAAAGAATGAGTTTATGCCCTTTGCAGGTACATGGTTGAAGCTGGAAACCATCATTCTGAGCAAACTATTGCAAGGACAGAAAACCAAACACCGCATGTTCTCACTCATAACTGGGAGTTGAACAATGAGAACATATGGGCACAGGAAAGGGAACATCACACACTGGGGCTTGTCGGGTGGTGGGGGGCAAGGGGAAGGATAGCATTAGGAGAAATACCTGATGTAGATGACGGGTTGATGGGTGCAGCAAACCACCATGGCACGCGTATATTTATGTAACAAACATGCATATTCTGCCTATGTATCCCATAACTTAAAGTATAATAACGAAAAAAAAGAAATCAGATTCAAAAAGTGAATTCATTGAAAACTGGTAGGTTCCTTGGGACTTTATGGGGTTCAGGCAACACCTTCTGTTCTAGGGTCTTTAAAATATATGCCCCTGAGAATAAAATACCTATGCACAAATGAGAGCCCATCTTACCATCTTAGCTTAGTGACATCTAACAAAACTCCAATGTATGAGGCATCACATTTTTTAGCTACTCTACTATCTGAGGGTTCACTGATGATTCATGTCACCTCCTTCTAGGTTTTTTTTCTATCTTGCTGGCTTCTCTCCTTCCCTCCTTTTCTCTGACCTTTACTCATTTTCGTTTCTTTTATCCAGAGGGAGAAAAAACAAACAAACACACAAGAAATTCCTCCCTTCATTTCCTGACAGCTTCCCCTTTCTCTGATGGCTTGTTTACTGCTGATATCCAGGCTCTGCTCCAAGTGGGGAAGGAGTAACCAATCAAGTTATTTTCAAATAAGACCGTTTTCTTCCTAACAGACATTCTTGTGCTGGCTATTAAAATCTTAAAAATTTAACATCATTGCACATACAATGACAAATGACAAATGTAACAAGTAAGTATAATCCCCTTTTGTTCCTGAGGTCTCTGCCTCACTAACTTGAACACTCCATCTACGTTTTCTTTCAAAGTAGCATTGTATTATTTTCAGGTGATCAGTGTTCTTTCTCTGCCCTCTCCCTTCTCCTCTCTCCTTTTCCCTCCACCTCTCCCGTGCGACGATGAGAGGGATATTAAGCTCTCTCTGTCAGGAAGAGTCACTTAAGACTTGGTGTCCTTTAAACTGCTCCTTGGAAGCAACTAATATTCATTACTTTTTAACGACTTCTTGCCCACCTGAATGTGGGTTTTACATTCATATACATCCTCTTCTTTACCTCCATAACCATATGAGAGAGGTATAATTATCCTTTTTTTTTTTTGAGATGGAATCTCACTCTGTCACCCAGGCTGGAGTGCAATGGCATGATCTTGGCTCACTGCAACCTCTGCCTCCCGGGTTCAAGTGATTCTCCTGCCTCAGCCTCCTTGGTAGCTGGGATTACAGGCATGCACCACCATGCCCGGCTAATTTTTGTATTTTTAGTAGAGACGGGGTTTCATCATGTTTGTCAGGTTGGTCTCGAACTCCTGACCTCATGATCTGCCTGCCTCGGTCTCCCAAAGTGCTGGGATTACAGGCGGCCCACACCCGGCCCCCATTTTTATAAATGTGGTAACACAAGATTACAGAAATAACCGGTTCAAGACAATACAGCAAATTCAAGACAGAGTAGGTCTTTGAAAGTAACTCTGTCCTCAGGGATTTGAAAGCAAGTTTGTCTGATTTTGAAATACTTTCTATTATTGCAGCTTCTCGTTTTTCTTAAATATTTGGCTTGACTGAAAGAATTACGGCTGCACTAATGTAAAATAGCTACCAGTATGTCATCTCTCAAATTACTATTAAAACTCAAATTTTCCACAAATGTACCTCATATTATGAGCCTTATTATGCAATTTTCTGTACTCCAATCACAGAAAATATCTAACCAGTAGATATTTCCATTCTCGAAGGACTTTAGAGTATATCCCAGATTTCTTAGTTCAGACTCATCCCTCCCAGCCTTCAAGCCCCTTCTCTGTATGTCCTTAAACACTACTATATTAGAGTTCTCCAGAGAAACAGAACCAATAGGGTGTGTGTGTGTGTGTGTGTGTGTGTGTGTGTGTGTGTGTACAGAAAGAGAGATTTATTTTAAGATATTGACTTACATGATATGGCTGGTAAGTCCAAAATCTGCAGGGTCTACTGGCAGACTAGAGACTCAGAGAAGAGTTACTATCTGAGTTCTAAGACTGCCTGGAGGCAGAATTCCCTCTTCACTGAGGAACTTCTTTCACTTAAGGCCTTCAACTGATTGGATGAGGTTTATCTATGTTAGGTAGGGCAACCTTCTTTACTCGAAGTCTACTGATTTAAATGTTAATTCTATCCAAAAAATACTTTTACTGAAACATCTAGAATAGTGTTTGAACCAAGTTTCTGGGTATCATGACCTAGCCAAGGTGACAGACAGAATTAACCGTCATAACTACTTACCCCTAAGCTGCTGTTTTTCTTAGATTTATATCTTCGTGTGCAGAGAAGAATGTCGGGAAGAATATACACTAGAATGTTTACAACTAGAGAGAATGTGCCACCTTAGGCTACGGAGAAAAGGGAGAAAATTAATTTTGGGTAAGTACCATTTTGAATTGCTCAAATTTTTTGAGTGCATTGTTATTTTCAAATTAATTTTAACCAAAATAACACATCACATAAAGTAAAATAGTACTACAAAGCTTGTGAGGAAGTTCACAGGCCTCTTTTCTACCTCTCCATGCTCTGATTCACATTCCCCACAGGCATTCACTTTCAACTCTTTAAGCTATTTTTTCTGGTTTTAAACTCTATATTTTGAATAACACATTTGTACTGCTATTTCTTGGCTTTCCCATTTCAGACATTATCTATTGACATGACATTCCACCATGGAAAATGGATATTTATACTAACCTCTTACCCAGCCCCATACACTCTTCTACTTTCTCTCACTCCATTTCCCTCAAATCATGTCATATTTGGGTCAAATATATATTGAATGTTACATTAATATGCCAGCATAAATATAGCAATGTAGTACACTATATTGCTTCCATAGCAAAGCAATATAGTGTAGTATAATGGCATCTTCTTTCTTATACAACTTTCTCCTCCTGAAAATCACTTAATTTTATTTTGCTTACTTGCCTTCCTATGTTCTTATTGATAACTTACTTCTAAACATTTATTAGCTCTCTAAACATCCTCTTAATATAACAGCTGGACACATAGCTAATCTATCAGTGTCTTCTTGAAACAAATGATAATGGATACAGCAAAAGCAATACTAAGAAGGAATTTTATAGCTATGAGTGTTTTTATCAAAAAAAGAAGAAGAAAAAGCTTCAACTGAACAATCTAATGATGCATCTTAAAGAACTAGAAAAGCGAGAGCAAACCAAACCTAAAATTAGAAAAAAAAAATAGAGCAGAAATAAATGAAACTGAATTGAAAAAAAATACAAAAGATCAATGACACCAAAATTTGGTTTTTCAAAAAGTTTTAAAAAATTGGCAAACCTTTAGCCAGATTAAGAAAAAAAGAGAAAAGATCCAAATAAATAAAATCAGAAATGTAAAAGGAGACATTATAACTGATACTGCAGAAATTCAAAGGATCATTAGTAACTACTATGAGCAACTATATGCCGATAAATTGGAAAATCTAGAAGAAATTGATAAATTCCTAGAAACACATAATCTACCAACACTGACCTGGGAAGAAATCCAAAACCTGAACAGACCAATAAGAAGTAATGAGATTGAAGCTGTGATAAAAAGTCTCCCACTAAAGAAAAGCCCAGGAACTGATGGCTTCACTGCTGAATTCTACCAAACATTTAAAGAAGAATTAATACCAATCCTACTCAAACTATTCCAAGGCTGGGTGCTGTGGCTTACACCTGTAATCCCAGCAAAGTAGCTGGATGTGGTGGCACACACCTGTAATCCCAGCTACTCAGGAGGCTGAGGCATAAGAATCACTTGAACCTGGGAGGTAGAGGTTGCAGTGAGCTGAGATTGTGCCACTGCACTCCAGCCTGAGGTAACAGAGTGAGACTCTGTTAAAAAAAAGAAAAGAAAAGAAAAGAAAAAGAACAGAAGCTATTTTGAAAAATAGAGGAGGAGGGAATACTTTCAAATTCATTCTATGAGGCCAGTATTATCCTGATTCCAAAACCAGAGAAAGACTGTCAAAAAAGAAAACTACTACAGGCCAATATCTCTGATGAATGTTGATGCAAAAATCCTCAACAAAATACTAGCAAACCAAATTCAGCAATACATTAGAAAGATTATTCATCATGACCAAGTGGGATTTACCCCTTGGATGCAAGGATGGTTCAACTATGCAAATCAGTCAGTATGATACATTATATCAACAGAATGAAGGGTGAAAACCATATGATTATTTCAATTGATGCTGAAAAAGCCTTTGAGAAAATTCAATATTCCTTCATGGTAAAAACCCTAAAAAAACCTGAGTGTAGAAGGAACATACCTCATAACATAATAAAAGCCATATGTGACAGACCCACAGCCTGTATCATGCTGAATGGGAAAAAATTGAAAGCCTTTTCCTCGAAGATCTGGAACATGACAAGGATATCCACTGTCACCACTGTTATTCAACATACCACTGGAAGTTCTAGCTAGAGCAATCAGACAAGAGAAAGCTATAAAGGGCATCCAATGTGGAAATGAAGAAGTCAAATTATCTTTGTTTGCTAATGATATGATATATTTGGAAAAATCTAAAGACTCCACAGGAAAACTATTAGAACTGTTAAATAAATTCAGTAAAGTTGTAGGATACAAAAGCAACATATGAAGATCAATAGCATTTCTAAATGCCAACAGGGAACAATATGAAAAAGAAATAAAAAAATTTACAATAGCCACACATAAAATTAAATACCTAGTAATTAACTTAACCAAAGAAGTGAAAGATCTCTATAACAAAAACTGCAAAACATTGATGAAAGAAACTGAAGAGGACACAAAAAATTGGAAAAATATTTCATGCTCCTGGACTAGAAGAGTTGATATTGTTAAAATGTCTGTATTACCCAAAGAAGTGTCACCAATGGAGGCTACAGAACAGCAAATATTGCAGAACAGCAAATGTTGCTGCCTGATCCTTCCTCTGAAAGCTTTGTCTCAGAGGGGCACCTGGCTGTATGAGGTGTCAGTCGGCTCCTGCTGGGAGGTGTCTCCCAGTTAGGCTACTAATCTAATCTTTTTTCATTCTTTATTAATTTTTATTCTCATGCCTTGGTATCCAATAGTTATAAACCTCTAACAAGACTGACAAAGAGAAAAAAAGAGAAGACCAATTTTTCCTGTCAGGAATGGAACAAGATACATCACCGTAAATGTCAAAAGAACAGTAAGAGAACACTATCAACAATACCATTTACATAAATTTGGTAACTTAGATAAAATGGACAAATTCTCCCCCAAAATCCATTAATTATCACAACTCACCTGTTGTGAAGTAAATGACTTGAATAGCCCTATGTCTATTAAGAAAATTAATTTAAAATTAAATACTCCCCCCAAAAAAGGAATCTTCAAGCCCAGATATTTTTACCTACAAAAAATTCTACCAAAAATCTAAAGAAGATTTAACACCACTTCTACACAGTCTTTTCTAGAAAAGAGGAGCTGAGGGAACATTTTCAGTAATTTATATAAAACTAACAATAACCTGATACCAAAATCAAACACAGAACAAACAAAAGTACAGATCAATATCTCTCATGTATATAGACACAAAAATGCTTTATAAAATTAATAAATAAAATTTAACATTTTGTAAAAGGAATTTGTCATGACCAAATGGGGTTTATTCCAGGTGTGCAAGCCTCTTCAACACTGAAAACTCAATCAATGTAATTCAATCAATGTGGTCCAATAGACTAAAGAAGAAAAAAAAATCAAGCTGTAGACAAGCTATAAACCTGGAGAGAGTATTTTCAAAGATATCTGAAAAAGAACTTATATGTAAAATATTTGTAAACTTATACATAGAACACTCAAAAATCAACATTAAAGAGAATTCAATATGAAAATGGACAGAAGATGTGAAGAAGCATTCCCCTGAAGACATACTGATGGCAAATAAGCACATGAAAAGATGTTCAACAGTCTAGTCATTTGGGAATTGCAAATTAAAACCACAATAAGATATTAGCATACACCTATTAGGACAGCTAAAATAAAAAATAGTGACAATACCAAATGATGGCGAGGATTCGGAGAAACTGAATCACTCATGCATTGTTGATGGGACTGTAAAATGGTACAGTCCCTTTGGAAAATAGTTTGGCTCTTTCTCAAAAGACTAAATATACTCTTACCATATGTTCCAGCAGTGAGCATTGACACTCCTTGATATTTACCCAAAGAAGTAGAAAATATATGTTCACACAAAAACTCACGCATGGATGTTGATAACAGCTTTATTCATAATTACCAAAACTTGGAAGCAACTACAATGCCCTTCAGTAGGTGAATGGATGAATAAACTGTGGTACATCCAGACAATAGAATATTATTCAGCACTAAAAAGAAATGAGCTACTAAGCGGTAAAAAGACATAGAAGCACCTTAAATACATGTTACTAAGTGAAAGAAGCCAGCCTGAAAAGACTACATAGTATATGATTCCAACTACTACTACATGACCCAGCGATTAAACTCTTGAGACTTTATCCTAGAGAAATGAAGAATTATGTTCATTCAAAAACCTGTTCACAAATGACTATAGCCTCATTATTAGTAATAGCCAAAAACTAGAAGCAACCTAGATACCCTGCAACAAATGAATGGTTAGACAAACTGTGATACGTTTGTGTGATAGAGTACTACGTCACAAAAAAAGGAATGAACTACTTGTTACAGGAAGTCACCTGGATGAATCTCCAGAGAATTATGCTGAGTGAAAAGAGCCAAGCCCAAAGATGACCTACTGTTCGATTCCATTTATATAACGTTCGTGAAATGGTAAAATATAAAAATGGAGCACAGATTAGTGGTTGCTGAGAGTTAAGGAAGGAGTGGGGAGATAATTGTGTATGGCTATAAAAGGGCCATTTGAGTGATGCTTGTGATAATGACAGTCTTCTGTATCTCATATGCCAATATCCTGGTTGTGATATTACATTATAATTTTGTAAAATTATAATTAGGAGAAACTGGTAAAAGTACATAGGATCTCTCTGCATTATTTCTTACAACTGCATGTCAACATACAATAAAATGAAAGGTTTGAAAAATGTTTAAAATCATATTTAAAATAGTATGTAAATTAAATCAGAAGTAAGTTTGCTATGATGTTTTTCAGTGTCAATGCTTATGCTTGTGAGCATCGATGCAATTTTGTCCAAAAGCTAGCTATGAGGATGAACCAAGGACCAACCTCGTCATGAGAATATCTCATTTTGCAATATTACTTCTTAGACACATGTTCTTCCCAATGCCTTTGCCCAAACAGAACCTGCTCACTTCTGATTAGTGAATAGTCTACATTATTCAATAATATTTTCAATATCTCAAATACTGAGTTCACAGCATGTGTTAATTAAGGACATCTTTTAACCTCAGTAGAATATAATATTGATTTCATGCCTGGTTCCAAACAACTATCTATTTGTAGTTAATAAGTTTTTTACATATCATTTAAGAACTTTTTATAGAATTTAGCACCTGGAAAAGTGGCATTGCTTATATTGACCTTTAAAACACTGAATAATATGAATATCAACAAATGAAGAAAATAGGCATATCAGTAGTAGAAAGTTTTTATCAGGGCATGAAACAAAAATCAAGTATTCCAACGTATTTTTCTTGTATTAGGGAGCTGCAGATATACTGCCTTTTCTGTGCCTCACCCATGCTGGGCTTCCTTTGGTGATCTTGCATGCCTGCTCCAGTCCCATTAGGTCGGTTTCTTCAGGTCGCATGAGCCAAAAACCGTTGAATTTTTTCCTCTACAACCCTATTTTACAGCTTCCCCTGAGTACTCAAGGTTTTCTCTAGGACTTCTCAGATACGTTCTTTTTTTAAGGCTTAAAGACTAATAAAAAATAAAGAACTACTAAATCAGGAGTACAAAAATAATGCTTTATGTTAAGTGTTTTGACAGATGAACATTTTAACACAAAATTTTACAATGGACCCTTTTCTTCTCCTAGACCTATCTGCCTCTCCCTGTGGCAATGGGTGCAATCTCTTTTAGAAGATTAAGGCTGAAGTCTAAAAACACAATCCTTTGTGAAAGTTGAGGCTGGGTTCACAAGGTCCCAATCCCATTCCCCTTCCTCCTCCTCCAGGGCATAAAGAGACACTGCCCTTTATGCATTCCCTACTTCTTTTCATCTCCTAATAGTTCTCAACTTTTCTACCTTTGGACATCTGGGCATCAACTAATGCTGTCTCCAATGTACTTACGGTTCAGCCAGGAGCACAGAGAGCCTGAGCTATTCCGACTGTCTTCTTGAGAATAGTCCTCAACCCAGGCCTGTAGAACTTGTCAAAGTATGAGAGAGAAATGGTTTTAGTATTTTATTACTTTAATTTCTGCTTTTTTACAATAATTTCTCCCTTTAAACTACTGCATTTCTTTTGACAGAGAAAGAGTGAAGCTCCTATTTCTGTTATATTTATAATAAATTTACATTCACATTAAATGTGACAAATATTTCTTTAAATGGAAAATTTGGAGGGTGGTTTTTTTGATTTATAAAATCCACAGAGAAAAGATTTGTTAAATAATGTGCCAGTTTTTAGATTTAAAATTTATTTAATTTAATTTAATATATTAAATTTTATTTAATTTTAAATAAATTTAAAAAACATAATCCTTTGTAATTGTGATTTAAAATTTATTTAATTTTAAATAAGTAACACATTCACATGGTTTAAACTACAAAACTACAAAATGTCTCCCTTACACCTTAGCTTCCAACTCACCTAATTCTCCTCTGTTGAGGTAATCTTTTCAGCTTCTTGTCTATCCCTCCAGAGATACTGTACACATATAAAAGAAAATATATATCATTATACAAGTGGTAGGTCCCAAAACATGATTACACATCTTGCTTTTTCTTCCACTTTAGCCAAATGTCTTAGAGACTGTTCCATAGCAAGACATAAATATTCACTTCATTTTTACTTATGAATTACCATAATTTATATAAATAGCTCTACTGATCAATAATGAGTCTCTTAAAAAATAATGGTATAATCTTGTACTTATATCAGGTCACACACAGGAAAATACAGCTGTAGGTTCTCTAGTGTAAAATACATCTCTAGAAATTCAACTCCTTTTTTTAAAAAAAATCAGGGAGTTGTTATATCGACTATAGAATTTTCATGTACTTAATAAATGTGTAAAGAGAAATGGTTTTAAACGGTGTTTTAATTCAAATTGGTAACATGCTATGAATTTTATGAGGAAGTAGATCTTAAGATATGAAAATTATATGTGTACTTCTTTTTGCTTTTGTTTGTTAGTTTTTATTTTCTCCTCCTTTTTTTCCTTTTTATTTTCATGGTCTTCTCTTTTTCTTTCCTCCCGCCTTTCTTACTTTTCCTCCGCTCTCCCTTCCTTCCCTCTTCTTTCCTTCTATTTGGTTTCTATCAATGGTCAGATTGAGAGCCGTGTAACCACTAGGTGGTGGTACAAGAACATAGGGAGAAGTATTTTTGTAAACAGACTGGGAATTTGTTTTGATTTCCTACTCAGTTTTTAAATTGCTATACCCTTGGGCCCTTAAATACCTCCTAAGGGATGCCATTGTGATTGCTGTTTAGTAGTTGAGCCAACATAAAATTGATGTTGAGCTTTACAACAGCTGTTATAGACCACTTTATGTTGATGCTGAAGCTTTTTAAAAATGCTGCTTGCATGAAAACGTTAACTCTTCGGTAGGAATCTGTTAAGTTTTCGGAGAGATTCGAAGGCCTTGCTTATATTTCTGGCTGATTTACAGATCTTACAATGTTGCAGTTGAGACTACTTAGAATATATACTCCTGCTTTATTTAGCTGACTGAATTTTCAGTAAAGACATGACAGTTTCCTAGCTACTTTCTATGGAAATGACAAAAGGCAGCTGCCCACTATGATTTTACCTTATTGACTGCAATTCAGTGTTTATGCACAACCTTGTGACATTGATCTTCATCTTAATGGCTAAAATATATTTTTTAAATGTTTTGAAATTTGAGATAAAAATATTTTTCTGTATATGAATTACCTTAATTTTTGGAAATGTACCTTTTCTCTTTTAATATTCTGAATATGTGCTTAGAAATTTTGGATCAGTTAATTCTCTTTAAACCACAGAAGAAAGTAATCCAGTATCAATATTGAAGAATCTTTGCTTACATTAGAACTGTATGATCATTTCAACACTTAAACTCTGCTGAAATTCTGTTTAATGCATTTAGTACAAGAGTGTGGTTGTAGTTATCCTGTAAAACATTCTTCTCAGAGCTGGCACACGTTCTACACTTATGTAGTGTCCTTGTTGGATTTGTAGAAACGGATCTACGAGGGCTCCCCTGCTTTGTCTTAGCATTTTTATGTCAACTTGAAAATCCCTATCTTTCTAAGAAGTAACCTTACAACAAGGTACTTACTGATTTACTTGGATGAGTCAGTTATTTTTGGATAAGTGTTGATGCATATCACCTCATTCTCATAGGGATTGAGGGTTCTACATACCATTTTTATTAGCATTCCCTGGGTTAGAAAATACTGTTGGCATTTTAGCTAAGTTGTCTTACAGGTTTTGATGATAATAGGGCTTTCTTACCATTTAACTTGTAGTCTTCCTAATGAAATTCTATGATTTGGTATCTTTTAACATTAAACTTGAAGACTTCATTTAAGGCATTTGGTGTTTAACTAAAAGCAAAATGGCTTCTTTGTACCTGTTTACACATTAGGAAAAAAAACAAAAAATGAGCACAGACTCCAACTCCATGGAAGAACACTGTTAAAAGAAGCATCTCTTAGATGATGAAAGCATTATAGCACTGTTCCAGTAAATAGCACCAACTGCAGCTGATTCTTTGGTTTTATTAGGAAAGATAGCACATTTTGTGATCTGCAACGTTTAAATCAATTGAACTATAGTGAAATCTCTCCCCTGAAATATCTATTACACAGCTTGCAACCTTTTGTTTAAGAGATTAAGTTTGCATCTCCTCATATTATCTCCTTGTAATTGGAAAACTTTCATTTTGACAGAGAAAATGTGCCAGTATCCCTGTGAGCCTTGCCACAAGCCAATGCAGAATGCCATCTGGAGGATGCATGCCCAAGTCATGCAACAGCCTCCTGTCGGGATGTATCAGGAACTTTGCAACAGAACAACTAATAACATCTTAAGCTCCATTTGTCTAGCTCGCTAGTCCTCTTGGCAGAGGTCATACCAGCAGTGGTTTTGTTGATTTGCTGCATCAAATGTAATTAGGCTAAAGCACTCACTGACAGAGCCTCTGATAATGGCATAAAAGCCTCAGGCTTAAATTTACCCATTGAGTCAAATTTAAGTGGATCAACAAAGACATACTAATTTCATCACTAGAACAGTAAAACAATTATTTTTAAAGGTGCTTATTTGGGACAACAAGATTTTCCTTTCTTTGGATCTCATAATTGTTTTATTTTAATTTTAATTTTAATTTAATTTAATTTATTTTATTTTACTTTTTAGTCGCTGGCTTCCAATGAAGTGGTTGATGTCTCTGACTAGGAAAGACAGTTTCATGTGTACACAAGCCATATATCCCTTCTGAATCTTACTCTCAAGTACCCTGTGGAAAATGATGAGATGTTTTTGTCAGGTTATATCCAAATAACTTTGAACTCTACCAGTTGCATACTCATAAGGGTAGCAGTAACATTATTACTGACCTTTTAACCCTTGCTTACTGGAAAACTCCAGTTGTACCAGTGGCCTCTTTATAAATGAGTCACTTTCAGGCTATGACTAAGATGAAGAAAGCATTACTTAGGGTTAAATTTAGGTCAAGTCTGGGCCCAGAGCACAAGACAGGCTTTAGTTGTTGTTAAGAGCCATAAGAAAACTATGAAAAGCATTTCTGCCTTATGCAGAGAAGAAACAATTCAACAGAAATAAGGTTTAACAGTTTCCTGCATAAATATTGTAAAGCAAGTCAGCAGGGGTCTGTGTTAGAGTGAGAGAGAGCTTGCAGGTGGTCTCAGCAGGAAGGAAGCACTTCCCTGGAATGCCTATATGGATGATCTGGATGAAGCTTTTTAAGAATTAGCAAAGAAATTAAGTATGATGGAATAAACAAGATAATAATAATATGTGAAATGTACTCTTTTAATTCATTTCTAAATTTTCTCTTGTGTTCACTGGTTTTCAAATATACCACCAGCACTAGAACTCCTAAGAAATCACTCTGAAATTTCCAGGGCATGGCAATGATTTCTGAGGATTTTGTACCTCATCGTGGAATTTGACTTAGTTTGAGTTCTAGGTATACTGCTTTTGATGATAGCAATAGGCACACGTGAGAATGAGGTTAAGTAAGTGTTTATTTGAGGATTTAATATTGTACACACTCTAGGAGTAAAGCAATTATCATGCTGTTAATTTCATATTCATGTATGGCTTATTTATTTGCTGTTTACCTCTCTGCATAATGAAAATGCCATGGAAATCTGCTTCTTCTAGCACTCTAATTTTAAATGAAGCTAAATGTTATGTATAATTTCAAGATACAGATTGCTAATTTCATTCTATTTTAAATACTGTATGCATGAGAAGCTTCTATGTTCTTGCAGAATCCATCTTTAACCAGAATCGAAGCATAATTTTCTAAGTAATTATGGAATAGTTAATACATTAAAATATGAATCAGGAGCATCATAGGCATATTTTGAACCATATAGTTTTCTAAACCTATATATATATGTATGTGTGTGTGTGTGTGTGTGTGTGTGTGTGTATTCCCTATCTCAGAGTCAACACCTTAGTTACTTTTCTGACAAATAAAATATAGTCATAACATAATCTCTCTTATTGCTCCTACTGATAAATTATTTGCATCTGGCTTACTTGTAATTTGGTGGCAAAATCAATGTTTGGTGAAATGATTCTGAAAACTTCAGGGGCACTATAGTTTTCATTTATTTACATGATATGCTATTTTTAAAGAACCAGTCATTGCCAGAATTCTACGTTAGTTCATCTTCTGAGAATATAATGGGAAAAAAAAGAAAGAAAGAAGTTCATATCTAATGTACATGGAGTTTTCTTCTCCAGTCTGATAATTCACTCAAGTAACATGCCTCAGATTTCACTTCCAGGCCCACCCTTGCTCGTCTCTGCTCAATACCAGAAACTAGAGTTGTGTGTCATCCAAGTTTTTCTAATTTTTTATTTTTTCAGCAGGTATCACTGTGTGCCCACCATGTGCATGAATAAAGTCCCTATTTCTGGGTGGCTACAGCCCAGTTGTGAAGATAACACATAGATGTGAAATATTGAATGAATAATACCACAAGTCAGTATACATTTAAATATGCCAAAGGCAGAAATTGTTGAGGAAATTCACTTCTGAAAACTCTTAACATAGTCTGTAAAGCTTAATATTCGCCAGTTGTTCAATTTCCATTGTTATTTACAAAAATGAAGCTTTGAATTAAGGAAAAAAAAAGCACCATCTGCCTACCCATGCAATAATGCTTGGTTTTATTCCCAAGCATATCAACCACTGGCTTGGCATTTTAACTAACTGAAGTAATTTTCTCGTTAGAGTGTGTCTGTGTCTACAAAATGCATTTTTCCTGGTTACTCATTTTAGTATTTCTGCTCTCTAGCTCTGCCTATGCTGGACTTGAAGCTTTCTGTCTGTAAGTACAGCCACCTTGTTAAATGATTCATACCTTCTAGGTACCTCAAGTGCAGACTATACCTGATGCCCCTTCTTTTCCAGTTACTTATTCAATCAATCCCATCAATCCTTTTATTAATTGATTGTTTAGTCAATATTTATATTGAGTGCCTATTTTCTGTGGGCACAAACGGCACATACCGGCCTTTAAAGATACAGAGAAATGTAGAGCATACCTGCCCTCAACTACATTTCAAAGAAAAAGTGCATATAAAAATATTCTGTCTGGGCTGGATGTGGTGGCTGATGCCTGTAATCCCAGCACTGTGGGAGGCTGAGGTAGGTGAATCACTTGAGCTCAGGAATTAGAGACTAGCCTGGCCAACATGGCAAAACCCTGTCTCTACTAAAAATACAAAAATTAGCCGGGTGTGGTGGCACACACCTATAACCTCAGCCACTCTGATGGCTGAGACATGGAGAATCTCTTGAACCGGGGAAGGGGAGGTTACTATGAGCAGAGATTATGCCACTGCACTCCAGTCTGGGTGACAGAGCGAGACTCTGTCTCAAAAAAAGAAAAAACAATCTGTCTTAAGTAGAATTTTCTAAGTGTCAGAGAGAATGTTACACATTTATTCATTCAGTCCATCAATTTATTTAGCAAACATTTATATTTATTGAGCATTGTGATATGTCAAGCATTCTGACTCACTGGAGATACAAAGATGAATAAATCATATATGGTGCCTGCCTGCCTTATATGAATTTAGAGTAAGTTGATACCATGGTAGGCTAGAACTTTGTTCCTCCACGTTTGTCTGAGAACCAGGAGCATTGGCATCACCTAAGAGCTTCAGAAATAAATAATTTTAGGCTCCATCCAGATATACTGAATCAAAGTCTGCATTTTATTGAAGTGCCCAAGTGATCCAAAGTGAAGTTTGAAAATCACTGGGCTAGAAGGATTATGGAATGCTTTTGTGGAGGAGCTGAAATAAGTAGATATCATCAAGTTTTATTAAAAGAGGAAGGAAGACTTGTTAAAAAGGATTGGATAACATCTGAAATCTAATTTAGGATATGGGGTTTTCAGAGCTGGTTGGGAATGATTATTCAAACAATGATGGGAAATGACCCAATAGTTGGTTGATGATCCACAGGGAGAGGAGTGGTGATAATGTATGATAATATGGCACTCAAAGCTTAGAGAAAGATGAGTGGTCTAGATTCTAGACTCTAGAAGTAGCAATGGGATACTGATGGTGATGCAGTGGCTAAAGGCAAGATTTTCTCATCCCAAGCATGTAGAGGTAAACACTCATATTCTCACAGGTGATATTTAAATTAACTTTTAGGATTTATATTTTTTGAATCCTAAAATTACAGTGAAAGTCAATAAGTAGATACAAATCCAGCTAGTAAAATGTTTTTATATATGCCAGTTTTTTTCAAAATACATTTAATTTATTGGACCTTAAATATGAGAAAAAAAGGAGGTAATCTTAATGGAGAAAGGCTGTTTACATTTTTATCTACAGAGTTATGTCTTCATAATCAAGAGAAGTCCCAGACAAGATTGTGAGAAAATGAAGTTTATCTGTAGTGGCTTTATGTACTTCAATCATCTTTCTGTTATCTTCCTCTCAGTTTTTGTAATCCAACACAAGGAAATGAAGACACCATGTGGTCGGAAGTCAATAAGAGTAATATTGAGGGAATGGTGACCTCCTCAAATGCATTGGTTTTTGTTTTTGCTTGAGACAGAATTTTGCTCTGTCATCCAGGCTGGAGTGCATTGGCGTGATCAAAGCGCACTGCAGCTTCCCATGCTTAAGCTATCCTCCCATATTAACCTCTCAACTAGCTGGGGCTACTGATGCGCACCACCATGCCTGGCTAATTTTTTAAGATTTTTGTAGAGATGAATTCTCACTATGGTTGCCAGGCTGGTCTCAAATTCCTGAGCTTAGGTGATACTCCCACCTTGGCCTCCCAAAATGCTGGGATTACAGGTGTAAGCCACCACACCTGGCAAATGCATCATTTTGAATCACAGGATCTCAACTGGCTTCTGTCCTCCTGTGAAGTCAAGTCCTCCACACAGGGATACTTCCCCTCACAGGTTTGAAAGAATTTAAGGCGCCAGTGCTGTGTAACCTTATGACAATCATAGACAAGGTACCTTTGCTCATTGGGCCCTTAAGACTGCCTCCGCAGATGATTTCATTTCTGAGATGCTTTAAAAGTGACATCCATATCTCCTGTTTTTTTTTTTGACATCTGTTAGTGTGGCTTTAACATATTCAGTGTGCTTTAAACACATGACTTATCTGCACACAAACCTGAGCTGACAGGGAGAAGCCTGCAGCTCTCCAATAAATGACAGACTTAATCAGTGAGACATAGAGCCTAGAGCAGTGTCTTGGATAAAGTCTACCTTACAAAACTCAGAGACGATCAGAATACTTTCATTGCTAATGTTTCAGATGTTCTGCACAATGATAAATTATTTTTTTTCTGAATAGAGTGCTTTGAAATAACTTGAATGGTAAATCTAGAATTATATATTCTTAGCCAATAATACTTCCTAAGTATAGAAAGCTGGAGAAGTAAATGGGGCTACACAGAGGTTTGGAAAAAAGAGTTTGCTAGCTAGAAGTAGCGTCCCTCAGTGAAGTTTTATAGCAGACTTAGAAGGTTAATTATCTAATAAGTTGGAGTGCTATTTTCAAAGCTAAATTATTTTATTGTAATTCAGATAGATTATGTTTTGGGATAAACTTTTTTTACATAGCCACAGAAAAGTCCTATCATGAAATAAATTAGCTATATTGAACATTAGTAAAGGTACGGTGTTTAAGGGATAATATTTTTCATTACTTTGAGTTCTACAAGTAAAGGTGTTTGTTACACTACAAATATGAGTTAAATGGCAAATGAATATTTCACTGATGGCAAATCTTCAATATTTAATGGTAGATTTGATATTTTACTTATAAAGGTCATCTGGAGCCATGTACCGTATAGTAAATTACTCAAATGATTGATTTTTTAAAATATTGTTTTAGGTCAAAAAATAAAAGAAGATGGAAGGAAGGATGTACAGAAGGAAGAAAAAAAAAAGAAAGAACCTGTGACTATGAAGTAAGAACAATTTTCCTCATTTGTATTGAAAATTCTCTTTCATTCCAAATAGCAACAGCACTGGCTTCATGATTCCTTCTAAAGAAACTGTGGCTGCTGCAGTGACTCACTCCTATAATCCTAGCACTTTGAGAGGCCAAGGCCAGCATATCACTTTAGGTCAGGAGTTCGAGACCAGCCTGGCCAACATGGCAAAACCCGCTTCTCTACTAAAAATACAAAAATTAGCTGGGCCTGGTGATGCGCCTCCCAGCTACTCAGGAGGCTGAGGCAGGAGAATTGCTTGAACCCAGAAGGTGGAGGTTGCAGTGAGCCAAGATCGCACCATGGCACTTTAGCCTGGGCGATAGAGCCAGACTCTGTCTCAAACAAACAAACAAACAAACACAAGAAACTATCATATCATGGCCACAAACCTTTGAATATATGTGTTCCAGTTCCAATGTGTTGTCCCAAATAGGTTTCACTGTTCTGCAGTTGGTTTCATGCTTACATGCTACTTAATTTTAACAATCACTTATCGATCATTATTTCTACAATGAAAGCCACACTATATATGTGAGTACACTATCTATATTATTACCAATAATATAATTTTTAGCTTGATTTTTTTCATGTAGGAAAATGAGAATTTATAAAATAACAAATCATATAATTAGAAACTATAGAGTAGAATATTCTCCTTTATTCCTCAAAAGATAGCTGCATTTTAATAGAAATTTCATTAGGATTAACAAATATCACTTCTGAAAATATTAAGTGTAGAGTCAAAAATTATTTTTCTAACCTTAAAATTAGTTTCATATTTTTTTCCTAAATATGTTGAGATCTCAAGTACTGTCAGCTCTATATTTTGTTTCTCTTTTAGCTCATATTTTGTTTTCATTCAAACTTCTTTGCCACCACATGAGAGTACCACCAGTGAGGACTCAAAATAGCTTTCTCAGTTAAGGAAAAAAAAAAAAAAAGTGAGAGCTGATGGAATAGCTGTTTAGTGACTGGCTACTTGAGTCCAGCCCACGGAAGAGAAAAGTGTGGTAGCAAAAGTGGCATCACAGAAATGATTATCAGTGGAAAAAAATGTCACACATCATGTGGCCTCTGTCTGTTAATTTAACATGATGCATTTGAGTGTAAAAATAATGGGCTGTGTCAGCCTTACTAATTATCTATGCTTGTTCTAGAAGTCAGGATCATGAAATGCCTCCAAACCACATGATTTAACAGGCTATTTTAGACCTTTACTTACAAATCTCTAAGCAAGCAATTGGTAATCCCATTGGAAGGCTCTTCTGTAGTTAGGGATGCTGTACTGAGCTGGACTTGAATAACACCAAAAGTAGCTGCAAGATGGTGGAATAACTGATTTTCCGTAGTGGGTTCTTTAGCCTGGTAGGACAAGTTTCCTAGTTAATGAAACTGTTTTGATGCTGAAGCACTTCCCTATCTCATACTGCCTCTGTTTGTCCATTATAGTTTAAATATACTGCATTGTTCTTGCAAGTTCATAGTCGAAATGTATATATTTTGTAATGTATATATATATACATTAAAATGAATATATATTTAAACTATAGGTTAATAGTGGAAGCAAATTAGCCTATTATAACTACTTACATGTGCTTCTTTGGTGTCATCTTTAACATGACCTTTAGAAAGCAAGAACACGGTCAGGAGATCGAGACCATCCTGGCTAACATGGTGAAATCCCGTCTCTACTAAAAATACAAAAAATTAGCCAGGCGTGGTAGCGGGCGCCTGTAGTCCCAGGTACTCGGGAGGCTGAGGCAGGAGAATGGTGTGAACCCGGGAGGCGGAGCTTGCAGTGAGCCGAGATCGCGCCACTGCACTCTGGCCTGGGCAAAGAGCGAGACTCCGTCTCAAAAAAAAAAAAAAAAAAAAAAAAAAAGAGAGAGAAAAGAAAGCAAGAACACAAGCTGGCCAGATAGTGCTTCGATATTGGAAACTATTAACACCTGAGAATTTACTGGCGGACCATTTTAAGAGGGAGAGGTTTGTGAATGGGATACTATGTAGAAAGACCTTGCCATTGAGGGCCATTTTTTTTCTAATTCTTCTAGCAAGCTGGTCAATGTGTGCGTGTGTGTGTGTGTGTGTGTGTGTGTATACAGTCATATTTACATTTCGACTACGAACTTGCAAGAACATGTCTTTGTTCATAACTTCCCTGGATCTTGGCAGTATGTTGGGTACCCAGTGACTCTGTAATGCATGTTTATGAGGGGTAGATGTTCTAGTGAAAGCACATGAAGATTGGGATGAGAAGCCTGGGTTTCAATTCTCTTTGATGCTTACCACCTGTGTGACCTGGGTAAGTCACTTAACCTCTTCAAATCTCAGTTTATCACCTCTAAAAGAACTATAATATCTTTTCTATTTCTAACATTCTAATTTGTTTGAAGATCAAATTTGATTATGAAAATAGTAATAATAAAATGATCTTAAGCCCTCTATTATTATTAATAACAGTAAGTAAACTTTAAAATATGATCTAGCCTTATAAATTTTTAATATTTTATGGTCCTTCTTACAAAGTTTAGAGGAGCATTTTCTTGCTAATATTTTCTATGCCTCTACATTTGTATGTAGTATCCAAGGAATATAATCTTTTTAGATCATTCTGGAAAGAAAAATCGTTATTAAGGAAAGAAAGTGGGAGCTTGGTTAAATATCCAGGTTCACCTGCCATCTAAGAGTTATGAAACAATATAATCAGATGAAGACCATTATTTATATAGGTTCTCCCCATTGTAACTAGATTGATAACCAGATTTAGATATGCCATTTCAATGCATGTCTCACCAACATGAAATAATTAGTAAATTAATATACATCAATAATGCTTCTTTACTTTTTAACAGTAAAAGCTAATTGTTCAGCTAATGTCTGCATTAGGTAAGCCACTTAACCCACTCAAACTTCAGCTTTATTCTTATAAGGTGAGAAAGTGGCATTGAATGATCTCTAAGGCCTTTTTTGGCTCTGAAAAGATTTGGATTTCTGATCTTGTGTGTCTTTGAGTATGTCATAAGTAAACTATGCTTTCACATCAGGAAAATAATCATTTTAAACTATCTAGAAGTTATTCTTACATTAACTTATTCACTTCCATTATAGCTCTTATCACAGCCTCTAATTATCATGTTTATTTATTTATTTTCCTGTTTAGGGTTTGGCCTTCTGTGAGACCTGAGACTGTCTTGATCACAGGTGGCCAATGCCCAGAACAGGGAGCACGTGGCATATAAAGGAGGAATTTATATTAATTAAGGAATGAATGAATTCAACTTTATCTCCAGGGTGCCGTGTCTTTATTCTTTATAATAACATCACTGGGAGTTCAGTAGGAATGTAGTAATGGTTGAATCTACTATTTATGTAAAATAATTAATAGAGGAAATGATTAAATGTTTTGCTTTCTATGTATGAGAACCATCTATAGTTTACTAGTTTATGGCTTTATTACTTTAGCTAATCAAGAGTGGGATTTTCATAAGAAAGTTGTTTATGTATTTGGTTTCTTTAACACTAAATTTGATTAGCTATTTTGTATCTAAAATTTATGATTGGCTGTCATACTTGAGTACATTGTAATATCTAGATACAGTCTTACATTAGGTAAATAAATTTGCCTGTTATTGGCATGTATTTTCTTATGACAGAAGAATGTTTGTCACCATTAAATGAGAATTGTAAATTTTAGAATTCATTGTGAATAGCAATATATCTTGAAATTTCCTATTGAGATATTAGAATATACATACTTTTCCACACCTCACTCATGTAGTTTCCCATAAGATAAAAATGTTTGAAAATCTTGTCATTTATCCTTCACAAACTGACTGAATTACTTTGTCAACACAGATTCAAGTTAAGGTCAATCTGGTTGCTATTTTCTCAGCTTTAAACTGGTTGGAATAGTAGATCTTTATTTGTAAGACATTAAACAGTGAGCATCACCAATGAAACTTTTCTCCCAGTGGAGTAAACATTTTCAAATTAGAAAAATAAAATCAAATTGCTTGGGAATACAGAGTCACAAAAATCAGTGACAATTGAGCCTGTTATTCCCTGTTATGAGACTCTCTAATAATAAGTCTCTTGAAAAATTAAAAAGGGCATTATCTTTCATTGTCATTATTTATATACAGTAGGAACTAGTTTTTCTAACAATGCCAGTTTCATCGATGAACTAACAATTTTTCTTCATTCAAAAGCTGTCAAGTTATGGTGGAGTGTAAATATGACAGTTTGTTAGAGGCAAACATTTGTAGCTTTCTTTTCTTTTTTTTTTTTAATGACTTGTTCCCCAGTAGATCTGGGAACCATTCCTGACAATAAAGCTAACCCTATGTGTGTTTCATAATCACACTTGAGATTACAAATTAGCCAAGAGGTAAAAACAAAGCCAGTGAGACATTAAGGAACACAGGCTTTGGTGACATGGCAGAGAAAACAGGACAGAAAATAATTTACTTGCCTGTAAGACATTTGTAGTGCCTTGGCCACTGTGGACAAAATCACTCTTCAGTATATCCTTGCTGTGTAGCAAGAGTTGAACAAGAGACTCTCATCATAAACTTGTTTTACTATCACACCTGCATGTATACATATTTATGTGATACTTTTATTTTGACTATTTTTGAACTGCAAAACATTGCATATTAATCGAGTAAAACTGGTTTTGAATTGTCTTTTTAAAAGGTGCAAATTATGGTTTCAAAGTGACCTGATAGAGGTGCAAATGAATGTTAGCACAACATTTCTAAAATGGAATTATTTTAAATATATGCATATAGATATGAATTCAGAATTGGTCTACTTCATTTTTTTTGGTTGAGGGTTTACTGCCTTAAAATGGGAAATAAATGTGTGAATTCTATCAAGGGTGTGAAATTCTCCATTTGTACAGACTGGAAACTTGGTAATAATTATGAATATAGCAATAGCAGAAATTATACAAAAGTTTAGCAACATTTTAATTTTAAATGCAAGTATTTCAAGAGTTTAGAATCTACTTGGAGAGGTTTTCTTGCAGTCTTTGATATTAAAAAGAGATTTCTGAACAGCCTACAAATCTAATTTTCTTACAATTTTAAAACAGAAAATTGCATTGACTCACCTTTTCTATTTCTAAAGCTGCTTATTCAAAGTGTGTCTGAATCTGATAAACCCATGAGCCCCAACTTCACCCAACCCAAGCAAAACTTAGCCTTTTCTCTCTTCTCACATCAGTGGACAATGGGCCTCAGCTGCAGGGAGCATTAGAGAAGCTTGCCCAGTCTCAAGGCCAGCTGGAAGGCCAGCTTCCCTGCTTGTCAGCCAAAGAGACACTTGGCACTGAGTTACCTTAGGGCAGAGGTTTAACATGGTTTGAATGAAGCTTGGATTTTGAAGTATCCATCTCTTTAGGTTGATGTCACTGGGAGTCCAAGACCCCTCTTTCATTAACTGGCTTCTCACATAGATGGCAATGATGACAGAAAACAGCCAACCACTAAAACAGTTGGTCCTTTTTTTATTATTTGTAATTTTGTCTATTTGCATGAGAGCCTGGCAGCATATGGCCTGATGAATTAAAAAAAACAAAACCCTGTAAACTCTCATCTGCTGGCCAGAGCCTCCAGCTCATGGCATTAGCAGGGGATAGTGCTGCTCCACCTGCCACTTGTCTGGAGGGTGGGGGAATAAACTGATGACCTACTAGGCTTCCACAGCCAAATAGCACTCAGCTAATACCATGATTTAATTCCTAACAGTACTGTCAGAAATGACTAGAAGTGGTAACACCCACTGTTTCAATAGCAAATCTGATTGGCAAGCTACCTGATCTCTGCCCTACCTAATATTCTACACTAATTATACCCTATCAGACCAGCAGGAATTGTGAGGGAGCAGAAGTGCTTCTAATCCAATGCACACAGATCAATTTTGAGTAGAAATACATAGAGATGTACACTCACATGATCATCTCAGGATAAAAGGGAGTAGCAAGTATACTTAGGAAGAAACAAACACCTTCACAGTGCATCTATTTACTTAATTATACACTTGATCTTTTCAAAGTCAAATATTGATATGCTTTTTGGATTTTTATATTTCTGAATTAGCCATTTTCTTTAAACACAAACTTGGGGAAAGGGAATTTATCGTATTATTTGTCTTGAGAACTAAACCTTTCTTTGGCTAAAATAAGGAAATTACAATTATTTGTTAATATCTTATAATTGAAAACAATCGCTAACCTTTTTTTCTCTCTGTTATTTTGTGTGTATTTAACTTATGATTATACAGCATCAACAAACCATACAAGTATATAAACAGAAACAATGTATAGGCTTTCATTAATTAAATGGATTGGTGTAAAAGTAAAAAATAAGTCATTCAAAATTCAAACTGAGTCTGCTAACCCATTTTGATCTAGTCGAGAAATTTTTTCCCTACATTTTAATATTGCTGATTACATTTACACTACAGGCATGAATCAGCATTGCCAGTGATGACTGCACATCTTTAGTATAAATGCAAGAAAGGAGGAAATAATTTGGGAGTAAAAGCTTCTATGACCTTTTCACGTGAGGATTTTCTTGATAAGCCACAGCAGACAAATCTAGCATTGTGAGATTGGGCAGATAAGACAGCAAATCCTTGCTAATCCTAGGTATTGCTGTCTCACTAAGTCCTAAAACAACAAACAACAAACAACAAAACCTCTATGAGGTAGGTAAGAGGGAATTTAAAAATATTTAACAACCAGTAGAAAGGGGACTGACCAATCAGGATGGCAGCACTGGAGTAGAATCCCAGAAGCCCCTTTACTTGTTGAAGCATTGATGCTTTGGTTCCTGAATTTGGGGAGGTCAAAGGATTCTGGTATAGAATGGGACATGAGGACTGGTGGGCTTTCATAGCAGCTATTTACCAATGTATGGAAGTGTTTCACTGTTGGTTAAACAACATGGCAGTCAGTACCTCTGAGTGCTGGCTGAACATCTGTCCCAGGGGCAGGCCTTATTTTACAGATGAAGACATTGTGGCTTAGAGAGGTAGATTAACTTGTTCAAAAATCATCCAGTTAACAGGAAACAGAGCCAGGATTTGAATCCATATCTATCTTGCTCCAAAGACTGAGTCCAATCTTTTTTACTGAGATTCCCTCTGAGTAATGTGGATAAAGACATCAGATACACCCTAGCAAGTCACAAAGATTGAGCGAGAGCAGAGAAAATCTATTTCAAACTCAACTGGTTCTTTGATATTAGAGTGGTACATGTTCCTACATGTAATTGGTAGTTAATAAGTTTGTTAGAATAAAATCTTTTTTGCTGCACTTCTACATAGAGAGATGTGTGTAAAACATATGCAAGTCATCTTTTTAGGTAAGATGCAATTGTAAATAAGAGCAAGATACTATTTTTAAAAAGAAAAACACCCTCTGCAGTACTCTGTAGTATTATTTGTTTACAGCTGAGGTAATTTAAATTGAACCAAACTAAGTGATCAAGTTTTGCTTCAACTCAAAATGAATATAAATTACTAAATCTCAAATTGTAAAGAAGATTTAAAGCAAGGGTGTGCAATCTTTTGGCTTCCCTGGGCCACACTGGAAGAAGAATTGTCTTGGGCCACACATGAAATGCACTAACACTAACAATAGCCCATGAGCTTAAAAAAAAAATCACGAAAAAAGATATCCTAATGTTTTAAGAAAGTTTACGAATTTGTGTTGGGTGTGCATAGGACAAGCTTGGTTTAAAGTTTTAAGGTTTAAAATGTTCATATATAGACGTGAAATTTGTGTTGAGCAGTAACATGTAGTAAGTGCTCTGTGATGGTCGATTTCTTCCTGATGAAGTAAAAGAGATTTTGCAAAGTAATTGCAAATTAATGCTAATCAAGCTTTCTTCCTTCATATGATCAAGATGAGACTATAAATACACGCGAATATATAACCATTCTATTTAGAAAAATAAGATTTCACTAGATAAAATGTAAGTAGTGTATAAACAGATATGTCCCTAGATTATGAACAGATTTTGTTCCAAATATTTACTTGAATTCAGCATTCTGGAATTTTATATGCAAATTTCTATACATAAAAATGAAATGAGTAGATATATTCCTCAGTTTT
Source organism: Homo sapiens (assembly GCF_000001405.40). Taxonomy (NCBI): domain Eukaryota; kingdom Metazoa; phylum Chordata; class Mammalia; order Primates; family Hominidae; genus Homo; species Homo sapiens. The sequence goes on from NC_000002.12 coordinate 181,120,210, forward strand.
ACTAGTAAAATTTATTTTACCTATACTGTACTTCAACAATAGAACGAATTCTATTTTAGGTCCTATTCTCCATGTAGTATATTGTTAATAAGGGAAAACATTCTGAATTTTAAATGAATTTTCTGGAACACATTTGGTTTCAGACCTCTGGTCTTGACATAAAATGAATAAACTGAATACCCACAGATTAGAGCACATCCTCCTATATTTTCTCAGAAATAAGACAAAGGTTCATCAAGTAAGGGGCTGAAGGATGAAGTTATTTACTTAGATTTACTATGGGTTTCTAGGACAACTATTTGAAAAACTGTAAATCTAAGTGATTCAAATTCTGAGTATCAATGTAGATCATAGCACTTAGAACTTAGGAGCTGGATGGAACTTTAGATATGATTAAATTGAGCATATCATTCTAAACTGAACAAGCTGAATAACAACTCTTTCTCCTCCCTCTTCATTTAATTCATAAGCACAGGTTAGGGCCAAAGAATATCCACGCCTTTGCCTGGCCTGTTTTACTTGTTGGTAAGGTACAAGGTAGCCATATAGCAAGACAGTTATAGTTGAAGGCCCTGTGACAAGCAATGCTTATCTTTCATTACAACTTTCTTTCATTAAAGCATCCATTGTTACCAGAGTCTACTCATTGTGCAAATATTTCTTGAATTTCTCTCCTTTGTGCATGATCCCAGTTGATGGGTAAATATAGAAACCAATAAAATGTGGTTTTTATCCTCAAGAAGATTATGTTTTTGGTGAGAAGATACAAGTCTTCTTCAATTCAAGAGTTTAATCAAGAAGGTAAATACATGCTTGCAAAATAAATGAATCAGATGAGCTAACACAAGCTCAGAGGAGGGAAAGAATGCTATATGGTAGAATTGAGATTGACTGATGGCCCGTGGAAAGGCAGGATCACTGAGGCTGGGATCTAAACTATTTGATTAAGTGTGGATGAAAATGAAACAAAAGTACAGAACATGGGAAAAAAAGAACTCAATACCAATTGGTGATTTATTGGAAAGAGTCAATGAGAGGGAGAAGTACAGGTTTCATGTGTGAAACCTGTAGTAAGCCGCACTAATTTTCTAACCAGTTGAGTAGAGGCAGAAATAGCCTGATATAGTCAAAATGGCCTTGGACTTGGGGACGGAGGAGTTGTCAGGATACAGAGGTTCATCTCTTTAACATACCAGAAATACAATTTTGAATAAAATGATCAACTTCTCTTATCTAATGCTTCTTGAAATGTGAAACAAAAGGTTTGAATTTAGTATCTAAAGTCCCACCCAGCACATGATTTCTAAGTGCTTGGATTCAATTTTGATGAAAATAGAGTAGTGAAGCAGCTGCAGAACAAAAAGGAGAAACCTTTTCAGAGGACCAGAAGGAAGCTGGAGTGGTTGGTGATATACTGGGAAGTGATGCACTAGGTAGAGAAATCAGTGAGTCTTGAGGGGCATTTTGCATTTGGAAATGGTATTTGGGTCTGACCCAAGACTTTGTATTGGTACCTTAGATCCCCTTCTGCTAAGCATACCTGTTCTTTAGTTACCCTTTTCTCTCTTTCCCTGTCATAGCTCCTCTACCCCAACTGGATGCACCCAAATGGTAGAAGGTAGAATAAGGGGGAGATGCTCTGCTTCTCTTATTGTGGTTGTCCATGGATCTCTTGCTTTTCCCCTTTTATTTGAGCATTTTGAATTGCCACCAATATTGGCAACTGCAACTGTGCCTCTTTGGTTTGTATGTCCAAGGCCAATGATATAATAGCTATATCCTTCGAACCTGCCCAGACATACCTAGAGAAAACATTTTCAGGTATCTCTAGGTAGGTGTGAGCTAGGAGGAAGGTTAGTTAGGAGCAGAGACCAAAAAGAGATATAATGAATGCAACTCTATGAATCACAAGGGAAAAAGTCTCTAATTGCAGAAGGAGCAGTAACAGTTTTAAGCTGGAGAGCCTGGGTTGGTGCCCAAAGCATTTCTTTGTTTGCCAAAAGCTGCCTCAATGTGGTATTTCCATCAACACCTATTTGTTGAGAGCCTACTCTGTGCCAGACACTATTATACAGGCTGTAATTTTCTATTGGCTCTAAGCCATTCTGATACATAAAAATATAGTTTCCTCAAAAGAGATTAGTATTTTATAATCTAGTTCAGCTTCATGTGTTAGCACTTAGTCTGAATATTTGCCATTGTGAAAATATGCAATATCTATGTATTTTTCAGACATGAGCCAAAGTATTGAAGTGCTTCATACTTAATTGTTCTTCAAAGTGTTCAATCTTTAACCAAAATATTTCTCAAGAAGTATTTCATGGATATACTTGTTATTTATTTTTGTTCTCTGAAAGAAATGCCTCCTGATGTTAAAAATCATTTTGCTAATATCTCAGTCTTATTCCTTTTTAGAGTCCTCTACACTCTATCAATATAGAACTAGCTACAGTTACCAGAAAGTGCTATATTGTTTTGTGCCTCTGGATCTTTGAATATGCTAGACTCCCAGCTGGGAATGCACTTCCTTGCATGAAAAATGACCACACAATATTCTTTACCACAGTTCAAGAATCAACTCCTTTGATCAGCTCTTTTACGCTAATTAGAATGCCCGTTTCCCCACTTGAGGCCCAATGTATTCTATATAAATTCCTATTGTTGTAATTCTCACATAATATTCATAATTATTTGTCCAGTTTTCTTTTCCCATCTTGTGATTTCCCATAAAATCATAAGATTTTATGAACTTATTGAGGACAGAGATTATGTCTTATTTGTGGTTATATCCTCAGGGCACAAAAAAGAGAAACTCAATATATGTTCAGTAAATTCATTGAATGAATAAATGAATCAATGAACAAACAAGCAAATGCCATATGCATGCATATATTCAACTCCTAGGAACACATTTTACTGGTATTTTATATCTTATATTTATTTATAATATATAAATATTTTATATATTATATATAAATAAATACAAATATTTATTTATATATAATATATAATATAATATATTTATTTATATATAATATATAATTTATAATTATATAAATATATAATATATTTATATATAATATATAATTTTATTATATATTAATTATATATATAATAAATATATATAATATATAATTTTATTATATATTAATTATATATATAATAAATATATATAATATATAATAATATTATATACATTATATATAAATATAAATATTTATATAATATATAATATAATATATTTATTTATATATAAATATATAATATATAATTATATAAATATATAATATATTTATATATAACATATAATATAATATAATAAATATATAAATAAATATAAGATAATAAATATAAGATAAGACCCTTTTCTGAAGATACTTCTAAGAAGTATCAGCAATACATTCTATGGGATGCGTATAATGGTTCCTGGATAATATAAAGAAAGAAGGCTTTCCTTTCTCAAAAAGGCAGTCTGTTATAAAAGTCTTTGTAAGTTGAAAACATTTTTTTTGAAAAGCAGAACCCTGTAGTTAAAGAAAATTCAGCAGCCTAAATTCTTTACTACATGTGTGGGTATAGTGAAAACATTTAGCTATCTGATATTACACTATCGTTGACTTCTCAGTTTTAGTATTCAGAGAATGACCTGAACTTAGCTGTGTTAAGTTGCCTGCTCCACAGGAAACCACCTCTGTAACTGTTGCTTGCTGCTTTCTCTTTAGGCAACACCCAAAGCCACTGTCAGATGTCATGGAGATGAGACCTCACAAGGTAAGTGCAAAGAAAACAGGAACAAATACATTTTCAAACAGAACTTGGTGAAAACATTGGCCCAAGAATGATAGGAAGCACCGCCTTTTGGGGATCCCTATTTGGGCTGTGGAAGGGACATATAGCCCTGTTTTATATGGAATCATATATGGTGTGAGGGAAATGAGTCAGATCCTGGGTTCCCAAGTGGCCTATCTGAGACAGAAGCAGGTTATGTTGTCTAGACAAAAGGAAATGCTTTGTTTTTTGAGGGAATGTTATCAGAATTTTAAAAGCCAAATGATGGCTAGAGAATATAACTAAAATTTTATTGACACTTTGTTTTTTAGAAGGCTTTTTCCCTCTTTCTTTTTGTTTCATTCTAACAGTCTATCTTTTTGCCCAAGATGCAAATTGAAACTTAATTAAATCCATGATTCCAAAGAGATATAGGCCTTATTACACAGCAGGCATTCTCTGGCTTTTCTTCACATCTGGAGTTTTAAACTTTGGGGTATTAATATCATGTCTAAGATTTCTTGTAGTCTTGGTTTGCTAAATAGAGGATACATGGCTATTTTAAATGAGGGTTTCATAATCACCCAAAAATGCTACAAATTTCAACGTGAAATAGCTTTTTCCTACATTGTAAATATTAGATGATTAAGCATTCCTTATGCCTTTTGCATGAAAAGGCAACATAGACTTTATTAGATATCTGCGGTTCTCATTCTTTGAGTATTTGCCTCCCTATTGACCTTCAGGCCTTTTGTGCTTCTTTAAAGCCGTTTCCATCCCCCCTACTTCCTCCTTCACAGAATGTAAGATGTCAGTGGAAGAAGATGAAACCAGAGGTTTTAAGAAAAGATTGGACAATAATAACTAAAACAAGTTCCTTTAGCTTTTATTTTTACCCATTTTATGTATTTTTATTGATATAAATTGCTTTATTATGATTATAGTTGAAAGTCAACATTTTGGCATATTAAAAAGACCATTTCCTTCCAACCTAGAAAATTCTATCTCATGATGATACATGTTAGGCCTCTTAGCAACTTATTCTGTCCTATAGCTGTGTGTGGCCACTGCCAATTTGTAGTCCCCAGTTCTAGTCCTGTCAACTATTTCTCCAGAGGTAACTGGACCAGAGATTATACCAGAATTTTATTTTATTTTTCTCAGATGGAGATTTTTTTTCACTGTGAAACTGTCTGGTTTCCCACTGATGGGTCTAATATACAGAGCTTTCTGGGTTTGACAGATGTGATAAACTAACAAGAATATTTGCATTTGTGTAGCTTTTATATACAGATATTTCACTCTCCTAATACTTTTTCAAGTTATAGATAAATGTTTTTTAAAAGCAAACTGAAACGGCTGACAAACAGCTGCTGCATAGACTTTGGAACCTGGCTGCCTATGTTTGTAGACTGCTCATAGAAATGTGAGTTCTGATAGCCTTTTTGGAGATGAATCTAGCAATATATGTGGATATTTATTGTGGCATTTGCTGAAGTTCCTTCTATAGCCTACCAGGCACTGCATCACCTGGACCTTGGGCAAGATATATGTCTGGTCCCTTTTCCTGCCCTTCTGTCACTCTGCATTTACTGTAGTGGCATTCACAAGTGTTCCCAGTCTCGCTGAGTATCTCTCCCTCAGAACTCGGGTGCTTGCTGCTTGCTGTTCCTTCTGACTGGATTGCTCCTCTCTTAACAGGCCTCATGGCTTACTCCCTCAAGTCATTCAGGTTTCTGATCAAATACCTCCTCAGAGAGCTCTTCCCTGGCTACCCCATTTAAAGTAATAAGAAATTTCCTGTAACTTTGTATCCCCTTGTTTAGCTTCATAAAAATATAACATTATGTTACATATTAAATTAGTGCCTGTCCCCTCCACTAGAATGGATTCTTTAGGAAAGTGGGAACTTTGTTTTGTTCATTGCTCTATTCCTGGAGTTGAACAGGCGCATAGAGTGTATTAAGACTTGTTGCATGAATAATTTGTGGTAGCAAATGAACGAAAAGATAAAGCAAATAGAATATCCTTTGGTAAGAGAATGGTTAGATAAATTGTGGCATATCAATAATATGATGAAGTCATCAAGAAGAATAGAATTAGATCAATGTCATCCAGGGAGTTTCAAAGTTTATTATTAAGGAAGAAGTGGAGGTGCAGAAAAGTTTGTATAATAGGACCCTGAGCAGTGATCTACATATATATGTATCTATCCATCTATTTAATCTATCTATCATCACATAAGAATGATTCATATAGTAGGATATTCACCAGGTCATAAGCATTAGCTTTGTAGGGAAATTGTGCAGTGTGATTTTGTTGAACAGGGTATGGAAACGGAGACTAGAGGGCTCAAAGTTGGCTGAAATATGTAAAATGATTGCCAATTTGGGATACAGCTTCACTTGCTTTTGCTAAATACACTTCAGAGCAACTTCAGTCATATCTTTCTCCCCTTGCCACCCACACTGTGACTTAGTGTCAAACTCTGACCCATGGTTGCTGTCTTGGCCTCCCTTAATTACTCTCCTTCGGAATTCCGTGTTGGTGCTCAGTGCTTCCATGCTGAAGTACAAGTTCCAGGCAGTCAACTTGTCTTGTCTTTGACTACTACTTAGAACCTCTTTGCATTCCTTGAAAAAAGGCATTTGTCTCTTACTGATGTGTTTTGCTCGTGTTTCTCATGCAATGAGTCCTTGATGTTCTTACAGCTGTTGCTGATCACTTTTTGGGGGGTTTTGAGGAAAAACTATGAAATTGATTCTAGACAATTTAGGCTTTTGTGGTTCACTGGGGCCCATAAAACTACTGAGCTGGGGAAGTGTGATTGGGAGAATAATGATATTTATTCAACGATAATGTGCTTCACATACATAAAGAGAACTCTGCACAGCCCCCGATAGAAAGTTACGGAAACATTCTCAAGTTAGAAACAGTAAATGTTTTGAAAATAAAGTGGCACTGTCTTAGAAATGCAAGAAGGCAGAAGCAAAATATTAGATTTGATAATTAAGAATATAATTAATGATGAGAAACCCCATATTTTAGAGTAAGACTATATCCCATTTATCATGGCTTTCAGTCATTTGAAAATTTATGTTCGTTAGTTTGATTGTATTTTCCACCAGCTCTAAGGAGGAGCTGGAAGGGTGTGTACTTTTTTCATTAACATTGGATTGCAATATTCAGGCACCTATCTGTTCTTACTTTAAACAGAATAATTTAGGAATGTTAGTTCTAAACTCAAGCTGAGACAAGATAAAGATTTTGTAGTGATTTTCATTTGAGAAGATACAAAAGTTTTGCTAATTCACAAGTGTGTTACTTATATCCTTATAGGGTTTCCAGCTTATTACTGTTTTAAAGATGAACATCAATGGTATTACTTGTGAAGAACATTAACGATTATTCTAGTACAATAAGAAACTAGATCAGGCCAGGCGCAGTGGCTCACACCTGTAATCCCAGCACTTTTGGAGGCCGAGGCAGGTGGATCACCTGAGGTCAGGAGTTCAAGACTAGCCTGACCAACATGGAGAAACCCCGTCTTTACTAAAAATACAAAAAAATTAGCCGGGGTGGTGGCGTGTGCCCGTAATCCCAGCTACTCGGGAGGCTGAGGCAGGAGAATTGCTTAAACCCAGGAGACGGAGGTTGCGGTGAGCCAAGATCACAGCATTGCCCTCCAGCCTGGGCAACAACTGTGAAACTCCATCTCAAAAAAAAAAAAAAAGAAAGAAATTAGATCACTTCATGTCATAAGCCATTAGAAAATTAGTTTAAAAAGTAATTTTTCTGAGTGAGGAAAAAAAATATGTTTAAGCCATGCTGTTGGGCAAAAAAATCTGAAGAGTATTTTTCTGAGCTTTTCCTTGAGCAGTTTCTTCCATCAACATATTTATAAAACCAAATTCTTTTCTTTTCTCAAATATATATAATGTGAAAAGAAGTCGGGAGTGATGGACTAATGCGATGTAGCAATTCTAACTTTCTCACATGCATGCTTAAAAATCATGAAACAGCAACAAATTGTAGCAGTTTGTAATTGTTTGCTATTGTGTTAAATGCTGGACAGTGACAATCACTTGTTTAGGATAGAAGTCTTTTGATTATGTGAACCTGAACCAGCAGAACTCAAAGGAAACATGAAAATAAAGAAGTACAAATACTCCTTTTGCATAAAGAGCAGTCCACCAGACTCATGATGAGCTTTCTCCTTTTGTTCCTTTAAGTTAACTCTTCTGCAAAATGTTTTTTGTTTGTGTATGTTTTGCAGTGTCCTTTTCAAAATTAATGAGCTAGACTTCTTGAATCATAAAACTATTCTGAAAGCCCACATTATTAGAACCATGGGGGAAGTTTGCATCTGTTGATTAGCTGAGAAGCTTGCTTTCACTATTAATATGCAACAGTAATTTCAGTTATGTTCTGATAAAAGTAAGTATAGATATTAGACAGCAACTCAAAAACTTTTGACAAGACAGGTTTCTACAGAGAGGAATCTCTAGTACTCCAGGGTTTTGCTTAGTAGTAAAGTTTAACATCTTTACCCTTTTTAAACTCTTGAAACCTAAAACTCAACTAGATAATGTACTTCAATCTTATTAGTCATAAAAAATGTACTAACTACAATGGCCTTTCCTCATGGACATCTAAGGTTACCCCACAAGAAACTTCAGAGTAATTGAAATCAAGGTCTTAGCAGGCTCTTCTCTGTATTTTAAATGTGTCCGCCAAGCAGTATGCTCAGGGGCTTGTTAATGGACAGTTGTTGGCTTGTTAATGGACAGTTGTTTAAGATCATGTATACATATGTAACAAACCTGCACGTTGTGCACATGTACCCTAAAACTTAAAGTATAATAATAATAAAAAAGAAAATATGGCACATATACACCATGGAATACTATGCAGCCATAAAAATGGATGAGTTCATGTCCTTTGTAGGGACATGGATGAAGCTGGAAACCATCATTCTCAGCAAACTATCACAAGGACAGAAAACCAAACACCACATGTTCTCACTCATAAGTGGGAGTTGAACAATGAGAAAACATGGACACAGGATGAGGAACATCACACACTGGAGCCTGTTGGGGGGTGGGGGGCTGGGAGAGGGATAGCGTTAGGAGAAATACCTAATGTAAATGATGAGTTGATGGGTGCAGCAAACCAACATGGCACATGTATACCTATGTAACAAACCTGCACATGTACCCTAGAACTTAAAGTATAATAATAAAAATAAAAAAATTTAAAAAGATAATGTTCTTTATAAATGTCATTGACCTACCTACCCTATACTTGTAGTCTCTCCACTAAGATTTATAATTTTCTGTTCTCATGTTAAAACAGAATGCATATAATTTATTTCTAGTAAAGCTCCATCAAATAATACAAAATACAATGTCTTTATTTCTTAAATGTACATATGTACTGACTGAGAGTGGCAGGAGGCAGCCAAATGCCTAGGCAGATAGGGCTGTGTTTTTGGTTAAACCCCACCTCCAAGTCAAAGACAGTTTAAAGCCTGATAGCCAAGCTACAAATTAAATCCTTGGACCAGGTTGAGAACACCTCTTCCTGTTTGGCACATTCCTCTGATTCATCCCCCCAATCACCTATTTTACATATACCTACCCTTTCCTAATTGGTTTTCTACACTGTCCTGCCCACCTTTGAGTGGTATTTTCACTTTAACCTTTTTTGCATACTCACAAACCAATTAGTATGCATTCCCCATTCTCAACCCATAAAAGGCCTTGGACCAAGTCACACAAGGAAATTTCCTGCCTTTGGGTAGGAGGGCCACCCCCACATCCCCTCTCCACTGAAAGCTGTTTCATTGCTCAATAAAATTCTTCTCTGTCCTCCTCACTCTTCGGTGTCCAGCATATCCTCATTTTCCTGGGTGCAGTACAAGAGCTGGGGAACCACCGAATGTGGGTACAAACTATAACACAAGTGAGCTGGGACACACCAGCATGGCCTAGTGGGATCTGGGCAGGGTGTCGCCAGCCAGAGGTCCCGGCTTGCAAAGTGACTAAGAAGAAAAATCCTACATCATAATGTTATCTGTTACTGTATAAATAAGAAGAAATGCTGAGAGAGGAATAGTTATAAAAATAATTTTTATTTAGAGAGCTTGATAAATGTTTTCACAGGATTCAGATGTAAAAATGATCACAGAACTCAAGAAAAGCAGGCATGCTATGGAAAACATAATGAACAGTATACTAATGTTTTCATACATGAATATGGAAATCTTTAAAATAAGCATATTTTAAATTTTATAATTTAAAATTTATTATGTGTAGCAAAATTTCTAATATTTCATTTTATGATCCACACATTAGTTATCTCATATAAAAAATTAACTTGAATATTTTTAAATTTATATATTATCTATTAACCCCATTCTCTTTTGTATTCTTTCTCTCTGTCCTTATCTCTGTCTCTTTCTCCATAAGCACACACATAGTTTTTTAAATCAAATGCAAACATGTAATATATTGATAGAAATGTAAAAATTGAGGTTTATATGAAATTTCAGATTATGACAGATATAAGCACTAAAATTTTGTTTAGAAAATGCAAAGAAAATATTTCTCAGAAATAAAAACAATGATTACTTGGTGCAGGCTAATTTTAGTGACTATATATAATAACCAATAGATGCAAATTTTACATGCTTTATTGATCATAAACTGCGATTTAGATGAAAAAATTGTTCAGTGAATAATTATATTAAAAATTTAGATAAATTTGTTATTGTTGCTTTGTGAAAATAAGACATGTTCTTCCATTAGGAATAAAGCTTTTCCAAAACCTCTGGGTTCCTTAACCACTAAGATGGACCTCATTATAGGAATATCTCGGACCTTGTCCAAGAGATTTCATAACTCAGCGTCAGCACTTTAAGTCTGTTTCATCTACAACAGTGAAGCATCACAAATACTACAAACAGAGCTTCTCTAAGTTTCAGCATAGTGCAGTATGCTCTGGTTGCAAATTTCACCTTAATTTACTTTTGTTTACTTTCAGCTAAAGAGCATGTTCAATATAAGATTAATGTAAAATGAGTCCCAGCTGCAGGCAAAGTGAGTTCATACCTTTTCCTTTATTTTGCTCTCCAATGCCTTTACTCACAGCTTTTATATAGTAGCCACTGTCTGACAACTACCAGTTTGTATATTTGTTTGTTTTTCTGAAAACTACCCCTCAAGTAAATTTGTCAAAAATTGGAATGAACTGTCTGATTGTCATTTTGTTTAGTAAGTTTTATTTTTTGCTAACAGACTTGTTTATTGTTGAATAGATATGACTTCTAAGCTGTTAACAGTTACATATTTTGTTGAACTGAGTCTTCCAAGTCCAGTTGGAGTTAGCCAAGAAACTGAGGTAGGCAAGGGTGCTTTGGCTCCAAGAGGGAAAATAGTCTTTATTTCATGAAAATACAAATAATTAAGGAAGGAGGTGGGAGCTAAAAATATGTATGGAGATAAGACTATCCAGGAAGAAGTTAAGAGAAGAAAAGGAGTAGAAAATGAAACCATGAAAATTCACAATTTAAACTGAGAAGAAAAACTCAGAAACTGAAAAGAGATAGTCTGCAAAGTAAGATGAGGTAACATTTCAGATGACCAAAAAAAGGGGAATTGTGAAAAGAATGGAGCCATCCTCAGCATCCATTGTTGCAGCAAGCTCAAGTAGCTGGAGAACAGAAGAGGGTTTAGGGATGCTAACCACTGAGAACTCATGGTGGCCTTTTAGAGAGCAGTCTTAGAAGACTGACGTGGCTGCAAGGAATGGGATGTGGAGCCAGTGAGCATAGTGACTCTTCGAAGTATTGGCAGAAAAGCTGAAAGAGACAGAGTGCATATTCTGAGCAGGAAGGAAGATTGAGGCAAGAGATGCATTTGATTTTTTGGTTTTTGAAAACAGAATTCCATTTCTGATATAAATACATGGATTTAATCTGAAATGTTTCTGTATTATTTAGAAGGTTTCAGGGCTATAGCTTTAAGATGACATAATAGAAATAAACAGACAAAATTAATTTAGCCACTTGAAAGAATTTACACTAAGCTTAAATTGTACTCACTTTTAAACTCTCACAAGGTTAATTTAGGATATACTGGCACATGTTTAATAAATAATAATTAAAATGACAAATTTCCACATCTTTATTTCTGTGAATATTTAATATTTTATGTTCTATTGATGACATATGCCATCTATAATGCTGTTAGTTTAACGTTGAGTTAGAACCCATTGTATCTTCAGAATATGCTAGCATATTTCATAGAAATCCAAGAAATATTTTCACTATTATAGAGAATTTTGAATGGAACTTTTATAAATACTAACACTGGGGGGGGGGGAAGGACATCTCCTATAAATTTGAATCAATAATAATTGTAAATATACTGAACTTATGAATAGAAACAAGTATGAAAATTCACAAAAATAGTCAAGTTACAAACTATTGTGAATGGATCTGTAGACCTACTGGTTCAGCCTGTAGTAAACAAAATTATTAGATGCTTCACTTGATATTGTATTTGAACAACCTAAAAAAAAAAACGGAACAGTTTGCTATGACCCGCTTCATCCTAAACTTCTACATTTTGGTGTTCTCTTAAGGCAGTATCCTAGGTCACCTGTCTTTTCTGACTAATCTGTCCTAGGTGATTTCATTCATTCCCAGGATTTGAAGTACCATCTATACATTGATGACTACCAAATTTATATTTCTAGCAAACCCCTCTTCTCTAAACTTACGTATCAACTTCCTCCTCCTTCCTATCCACCACCTCCTCCTGTTCTGCTTCCTCCTGCTTCTCTGCCTTCTTTTCCTTCTAACAGCTTAACTGAAGAGTCATTGACATATAATAAACTGCACATATTTAAAGTGTACAACTTGGTAAGTTTTGACATATGTATTCACCCATAAAACCATCACTACAAACAAAAGAGTGAACATAATGATCACCCCATAAGTTTCCCCATGGCTTTTGTAATTCCTCCCATTCCCCTGCCCCCTCATGAGTCCCTAGGCATCCAAAAATCTGCTTTCCGTATACACTAGTTTACATATTCTAGAATTTTATAAAAATGGAATAATTTGATAAATGAATGAAATATTTTCATAGTATTTTGAAGGTTTCAAGGCTATCTATAGCTTTAATATTACAAACTACAAAATACAAAGATAGAATATTAAACAGCCATTTGAAATAGTATTTTAATCATTCTGTTTATGGCTTTTTTTATTCAACCCAATTATTCTGAGATTCATCCATGTTGTCGCATGTGTTGTTGAATGTAATTCATTCGTTTTTACTGCTAAGTAGTAATATCTTATTGTATGACTACACCACACAATTCGTTTACTCATTCATCTGTTGGTGGGCATTTGAGTTGTTTCCAGTTTGGGGCTATTACAAATAAAGCTGCTATGAACATTTGCATACAAGCCTTTGTATGGACATATGTTTTGATTTCTCTGGGGTAAATACCTAGAACTGGAATGGCTGGATCATATGGTAGGTGTATGTTTACATTTTTAGGAAGCTGTCAAACTGTTTTTTAATATGGTTGTAGTGTTTTTTCATTCTCACTACCAGTTTATGAAATCTCTAGCTGTCCTCCATCCTTGCAACACTTGGTATGGTCAGTACTGTAATTTTAATTCTAATAAGTGTGTACTGTTAGTGTTCTGGTTTTAATTTATATATCCCTAATAACAAATGATGTTGAGTATCTTACCTGTGCTTATTTGCTATCTGTATTCATTTTTGGAGAAGTATTTGCTCAAATCATCTCCCTGTTTTTAAATTGGGTTGGTTGTTTCCTAATATTGAGTTTTGAGAATATGTAATATAGTTTTTTTGGGGAGATACAAGTTCTTTGGCAGATATATACTTTGTAAATATTTTCTTCCAGTCTGTGGCCTGTTCGTTTATTTGCTTAACCGTGTCTTTAAAAGAGCAGGCATATTCAATTTTGCTGAAGTACAATTTACCAATTTTCTGTTTGCTGTATCATGCTTTGGTGTAATATTTAAAAATTGTTTGTCTAAACCAGGGTCAAAAAGATTTTCTCTATATTTTCTTACAGAAGTTTTATAGTTTTATGCTCTGCATTTAGGCCTACAATCCATTTTAAATTAATTTTCATGTATGGTATGAGGTATAGATCAGTTTATTTTCCCACATATGGATATATAATTGTTCCAAAACCATTTTTTGAAAAACTATTCTTTCTCAATTGAATTGCCTTTTGACCTTTGCCAAAACAGCAGTTGTCTATGTATATGTAGGCCTATTTCTGTACACTCTGTTCTATTCCATTTATCTATTTGGGTATTTTGATGTCAAAACTATGCTGCTTTGATTACTATAAATTATATCCATCTTGAAATTAGGTAGTATTAGTGTTCCAACTATTTTCTTTTTTGAATTTTTTTTTTTTTTTTTTTTTTTTGAGATGGAGTCTCGCTCTGTAGCCCAGGCTGGAGTGCAGTGGTGCGATCTCAGCTCACTGCAAGCTTCGCCTCCTGGGTTCATGCCATTCTCCGGCCTCAGTCTCCCGAGTGGCTGGGACTACAGGCGCCCCGGCTAATTTTTTTTGTATTTATAGTAGAGATGGTGTTTCACCGTGTTAGCCAGGGTGGTCTCGATCTCCTGACCTCGTGATCTGCCTGCCTCAGCCTCCCACGCCTGGGATTACAAGCGTGAGCCATTGCGCCTGGCCTTGGAAGTTGTTTTGACTTGTCTATGTCTTCGCATTTTAGATGAATTTTGTATCTCAGAGAAACTCTATTTTTCAATTATCTTTATTTCAGTTTTTCATTTTGATAGTTTCTAATGCCATGTCTTCAGGCACACTAAATCTTTTTTTCTGTGATGACTAATCTGCTATTCATACATTTCATTGTATTTTTTATCCCGGACATTGTATTGTTTATTTCTAGAAGTTTTTTTTTTTTTAATATATCTTCTTCTATGTCTCTACTTGAATTTTTTAAAATATGGAAAATATCCTTGTCTGCTAATTGTAACATTTGTATCATTTCTGGATTGGTTTCAGTTGATTCATTTTAATTCTTTCTTTTTTCAAAATTTAATACTTAGAATAGGTCATATTTTCCTACTTCTTTCCATGACTGGTTTTTTTTTTTGAGACAAGGTCTTACTCTGTCACCCAGGCTGGAGTGCAATGGCACATCATGGTGCACTGCAGCCTTAACTCCCTGGGTTCAAATTGCACTCCTACCACAGCCTCCAGAGTAGCTGGGACTACAGGCATGCGTCACCAAGCTTAACTAATTTTTTTTTTTTTTAATTTTTTTTAGGGCAGGATCTTACTTTGTTTCCCAAGCTCTGGTAATGTTTGATTGGCTGCTAGGCACTGTGAATTTTACCTTGTTGGGTGCTGGTATTTTTGTATTCCTATATATATATTACTGAACTTTGTTCTAGGGTATAGTTCAGTTACTTAGAAATAACTTGATCCCTTCATATATTACCTTAAAGATTTATCCTCAATGAAATATTAGCAAACTGTATTTAACAGCACATGAAATAGATCACTCGCCATGATCAAGTGGGATTCATCCCAAAGATGCAAGGATGGTTCAATAGATGCAAAATAATAAATATAAGATATCGTGTCAACAGAATCAAGGACAAAAACTATCTGATCATTTTAATAAACGCTGAAAAAGCATTCAGTGAAATTTAATATCCCTTCGTGATAAAAACTTTCAACAAATTTTGTGTGGAAGGATCATACCTCAAAATGATAAAGACATATTTGATGAACTCACAGTTAATATCATACTGAACAGATAAAAATTAAAAGTTGTTCTACTAACATCTGGAACAAGAAAAGGATGACTTCTTTTACCACTTTTATTCAACATAGTTCTAGAAGTCCTCGACAGAGCAGTTAGGCAAGGTAAAGAAATAAATGGTATCTGAATAGGAAAGGAAGAAGTCAAACTGTCCTTGTTTGCAGATAACGTGATCTTATATGTTATAAAACCTAAAGATTCCACCAAAAAACTCTTAGAACTGAGAAATAAATTCATGAAAATTGCAGGACATAAAATCAACATACAAAAATCAGTAACATTTCTATATACTAACAGCAATCAATTTGAAAAAGTAATCAAGAAAGCAATTCCATTTACAATAACTATGAAAAACCCCTAAGAATAAATTTAGCCAAGGAAGTGAAAGATCTCTACATGAAAAATTATAAAACACTGATGAAAAAAATGCAAGAGGACACATCTGTATAAAAAACAAAAAGATAGCCATGATAAAGGATTCCAAGAATTAATGTTGTTAGAAAGTCCATACTACCCAAAATGATCTACAGATTTAATGTGACTCCTATTAAAATAACAATGACATTCTTCACAGAAGTAGGGAAACAATCCCCAAATTTGTATAGAATCACAAAAGACCCTGAAATAGTTAAAGCAATCATGATAAAAAAGAACAAAGCTGAAGGCATCACACTTTCTGACTTCAAATTATATTATGAAGCTATAGTAACTAAAATAGTATATTTATATACATATATGTGTGTGTGTCAAGATTCTGTGAGTTGCCAAATATTTCGTAGTTAATATTAGCCAGCTAATGATGAGTCTAGCTCTCCAAGAACATTTAGAAGTCATAAAAGTACAGCCATTAAATTAACATCAGCCTTTGGGCTGATTTTTTGTTTGCTTACTGCTACATGGTTACCTGTCTGTTGGAATGTGGGTTCAGGGATTAACCTCTCTACAATCCTTTAAAAATGTGGCACAGTTTAATATCTGGAATTCCACATAGCAACTGGTTTGTCAAAGTTTATGATCTAAGTTCTCGGCCCTTTCCTTCTCTCAATGGAGACCAGACGGCACTGACAAGATCAAAAGTAACACGGGCTTATTCCTTATTCACACTGATGTGACTTGTTGCCCAAGGGGGATTTCAACCGACTATACCTAGGCATACTCACATTAGTGACAAGTTGAGCGGTATGGTAGCCATGCAGTATAAAGGCATGGCTTCTACTTTCTTAGTTGAAAAAAGACATCAAAGCTGGAAATGAATAGATGTATCTGTATTTTGCCACATTTGCTTAAGTTACTATAAAAAGGAAATGGTATGATTTGATGTGACTTAAGATTGTATATGCTTCCTAAATTTGCCATCTTTGTACATTAAATGAGAACACTGAGGTTATGGGTGTTAACAGCCCATCAGAAACTCATGCAATATATTCTGCCTATAGAGAAAATCCTCTTTCTCTCCTTTACTCTTTCTTCTCTTCCTTCCAAGTGAGGTAGGGGTCCATAATGGATGATGGGAATATAGTGGCTCAACCTGATGCATGGTATTATGAGGTTAGAGCCCACACGAGTTTAGTAGGTTGGCTGTGTAGAGGAAAAGATGACGATGGACAGCCTAGAACACAATTGTGGGCTGTGAAAGGTTTAAGAAGATATTCATTTTGAGGGCAGAAGTAGCCAGGCATGGTGCTGAAAGATTTTACATGTAAGGGAGATCGGATTAGTACATATACTGAAGATATTGAGAGCCAGGTTTTTTACTATCCATATGATATCCATATGGAAAAGGAGGACACTAGAAGGAACTTCATGGTGTTGGATTAAAATTGGAAGTATAAATGTAAAGTCAAGGTTTTCAATATATACTGACATATGCAAAAATACAAATAGGTGTAAATGTATGTATGCATATATTCTCTAGCTCCTTTCACTGGGAGAACCTGGAAACATTGATATCCCAGTAGCAATAAATACATCTATCACCCAGATGTTTGTTTATAAATGCCATCCTCCATACAAGAAAACAGAGATGCTTGGAGAAATAGCTAATCCCAGAGTTTGGGAAGAGAATGTACACCTTGAGCCTTCTGGTGACAGAATGTAAGAAAGTACTCAATGAGTAAATGGGACATACTCAAATACACAGAAGCCAGCATAAAAGAGTTCCTACTGGCCAAGCTAGGACAATAGGCATATCAAAATAAGAAATGGTAATAAATTCAACTAACTTCATGAAAACCTTGTTTCTTTATCATTGTGAGAATATAAACATTTTGTTTTTAACTTTATCCCATTCAATCTAGTGTTTCATTCACTTTTCTGATATTTTCAACTGGTTAGGCTATTGGAAAGCCATAGAAGTTTCCACATGAAGTATATTATCTGATGAAATTACAGTATTTCCTTCAATTTTAATAATTGTGGGAAAAAGTGCCACTGATTCCCCGCCCTTAATTATCTAGTCAAAGAGATTTATGTCTCTGTCCCTTGACAATGCAAAAGGTAAATCTGAGTGGAAGGGAGGACAACGGTATTTTAGGCATGAACCCTTATTTATTCCTTGTAATTCCCTCTCTCTTGTTCTTTCCAAGCACAGATAATCTCTCTTTTTTTTTTCATTCTGGCATATGTTAATTCCATATATGATACACAAATGAATCATATAACTTACTAAAAATTTTAAAGATAAAATTATAATTTTAAACATTTTTAAACTGAATTTACAATTTGGTTTTATGTCATTATATATAGAATATATATATACAATATACACTGTATCTTTTGTGCAAATATATATGAATCTCCTTATGCTATAAGAGGGAAATAAGCATAAAAATGAAAAACAATAAAATCACCTAATACAGAAGGAGCAGGACTGAGATAAAAATTGAATAAATAAAAATTTTACAAAAAGAAAATCATTTAAATCATGAGTTTAAAAGAGAGAGAGAGTTTAGGAGAAAATAGAAAAAGTCAGAGAAGAGTAGACTTGAGGACAATTTCAGGTAAGAAGTGTGAACAGGAACAGCAAGAGTAAGGAGACAGAAAGTGAATGCAGATGGTCAGGAATAGAGGGAGGAAAAACAGATATGAAGTAGGGCTATCCAGGGAAGAAAAGTCTCAAGAAGCTGCAGTTGGTGGACAGTGTATATTGCCACATGATGAGTCATTGCATTTGGAAATTAGGTGATGGTTGGAGGCTGTGGAGAATGGAAATTCAGTTGAATATATGGATAGAAGCCAAATTCTGGGAGGTGAGGCCAACGTGAGAAAAGTAAAGATTAAAACTAGCCCACGTCCTCCTCAAGTTTTAAGTAGCAGTTCCAATTCCACTTCCTACAGGAGGTCTGGGCTGAGTCTTCTGCTGGCAGATGCTTCCCGAGCACCCTGTACTCTTCTTACCATGTCACTTATTAGACCTTTATTTTATTTATTATTTGATTCTGGTTTTCCTGCAGGTATAGGGCAAAGACCACATCTTTATTCATAAAGCATCTAGCACAGTGCTTGGCATATAGCAGATGCTCAATACATAAATTTTAGTGTTAACTCATTAGGAGAATAGTTTGAGAGAGCCACATAGTTATGTTTTCAACTACAATGGAATCATTCAGAAACTTCCTCAATAGCATCCTCATGAAAAGAGGAAAAGACAATAGATTGAAGCAAATTTTTCAAGTCAAGCAATAGAATTAAATAAACAAACAAACTTGAGGCACTAATGCCTTAATGTTGAGATTACAGCAAATGTTAAAATGGAGCAATATAGAGAAATGAATGAGAGAGGACCATGGCATGAGACAACAGTAATTTAAATTCAGGCTGTGTTTATCAGATTTGTAATGTGAAACTTGCTTAAGTTGTGTGAGCCTCAATTTCTTCATCTTTAAAATGAAGATTAAAATCTAGTGGTAATATAAGGATATATGCAAAACTTGTATACAAAGCAAATGCTTAAGAAATATTGAATATTATAATAACTACATCTATTTTCTAGTTTCCATTTTTATTTAGTTTAAAATTGTTGAATTTAATAAACTAAAAAGAAACTTTCCAAATAATGCTGATAGCCAGGATACAAAAGTTTTCCTGTTTTAGACTTGTTAATGAGAGAATTGTGAGTTTCTACAGAAAAGAACACTGTCTTATCCTCCAAATTATCCTTCATATCCGGCAAACAGTATGCACTACATATGGAATTTTGGCATCAAAGAGACAATAAGTATATGAAATATTCATTTTCCCTTACTTTTTTGTCTCCCTTTTGCAAGTGTTCTTTCATATGTAGAAAATTAAACCACCATGCAAAAGAGTGCAGTCTCTGATGAAAAGCTGAGATAAGTATGAAATTAAAAGTTTGAACGACTTAAAATGAAAATACTGAAAGAAGCCAGTTATGAGGTGGTTGGTAAGTCTGCACCCTTTTGACATTGCTTGCCAACTCCAGTACTTGTCTGTTAGATAATAACTGCAATTACTCTACCTACCATCTAACTCTCAGAGTCTCTGTTGATTATTATAGATAGCTCAGGTGTCATTTTATAAAAATTGGAAAACAAATTGATTTTGTTTTTCTGCACCACTACCATCAAAAAGCAGTCTGTATGCCTGTCATTAGCAGAACTGTGTATATAATTTACACATAAAGCTATCATAGACTTATCCCAGACAGTATGCCAGAGGATAATGTGGAAATTATGCTCTTTTGTGTAACTGGGAAGGTCTCCAAGAAGAGTGCCATTTCTTGGAACAGCAGAAGTCTTTTCTCACATGAGCTAGATGACAGAGGAGTGTTATGCAACTCACCCATGGATGCTGGCGGCCAAGTGACACCCAGAATTCTGATTCTGCATTATGTAATTGGAAATCCCTGCAGTGCAGTAACTTTTCAATGTGCAGGATGATCTAAATTAATGTCTCCCTTCTACTCAGGGAGAACTAGACTGTCAATGATTTCATTTGATGTTTTTTTGTTTTTGTTTTTTGTTTTTTTTTTGGGAAGAGATAACATTAGAGAAAATTGTAATGAATGTTTCTGCATGTCTGTTTTGTGCCGTTCCTTTTATTTTCTCACATCTGTGAGATTGTGAGCTTAATGTATTTTAGGTGTGTGTGTGTCTGTGTATGTTTACATTTGCTCAGTTGCTGTGAAGTACTAAGAAGGTGCCTTGGCTATTATACATATCACTTTTGCATATAAAACATGGTTGCTTAGTGGCCAAAACGTGGGACATATTCTTCCTATGGCAACAACTAGGTCTTTTGGCACACTCCAAAGATGATGCCTTTGGTTATTTTGCAATTGTTACTGTAGGATCTGTTGCCTGTGACTCTCTTAACTTCCTGAATGTGTTTTCCTTTCTTTCAACCTGAAGTCAAAGGCATTACTACTCTTTGACCTGATTTCTCATACATGAGTGTTTACCTATGACATTTTCAAAATAAAAATGTGTTTCAATGAAAATTGTTCCCTTTGGTTCATTTTCAGTGTTGTTTTATATTAATACTAAACAAGGTCTTTTACCTGGAGGAAAATAATACTGATTATTTAGAAACTGGCATTTTAACTGTTCCCTCATGACTTCAAATGCATATGGGATCCTTTTACCCACGATTACCCCTTGCTTTGACTCTTTAGATGTTTTAAAAGGGAAATGTCTTTATATAAAAAATGTGCCTGGGCAATGAAAGAGAAGAATGTATATTTTGCAGAAAACCAAGCTCTTCCTCCATCACTAGCAAAATTTCTAGCTCAGTCTAATCCTCCACTTTCTCTTTCTTGAATTCCAGCAACAACCTCCCAGCTTGTTTCTCCATAGGTACTCTGACGCCCTCTAAATTGTTGTTTGCATGAACAATTCATATTTGATTATATTAACCCCTTCTTCTCTTCTATATACCTATGCTTAAAATTCTTTAATGGTGTTCCTTTGTCCTTAGGAAAAGAAGACAAACTCTTCAATATGGCTTACAAGGCTTGGCTTCCTTTTCCAGCCTCATCTCATTCACTCCATGCTTTCCCTTTTCTGAGCTCCAGTCTCACTTTCCCTTTTTCATGCCCTGAAAGCCCCATGCTCCCTGTTACCCACACGTAGCTCCTTGTACTTTAAACATGATTGTTCGTAGCTTTCACTCTGTTAGTTTCATGGTTTCTTCAAATACTAACTAAGTTATCACTTCCACAGAGAAGCTTTCCCTCTCCAACATAATTTGTTTTTTTCCCACAGAATTATATTCCCATAGCACTGGCTTTTTCTCCTTTATATCACTTAATATAGATGAAAATTTACATTTATTTTGTGTAATTACTTTAATATTTATCTTTCTTATTACACAAAGGCAGGGATTATGTTTTTCAGTTTTTGTTTGTTTGATTTTGCTTAACTTTGTATCCCACCACCTAAAATAATGCCTGCAATGTGGTAGCAGCTCTATAAACACCTTTTTTTCTTCAGATAAATGAAAAAAAATGAAATCATATGGCAAGAATTTGAAATAAATCTTTACTAAGTCTACTGTGATTATTTAAGACTAGAAATTATGGCCATTAAGCTACCTAATTGTATTAGAGTTTTCTTGGATCAGATGATTTTGGCAAACAAATTGAACTTGAAAGAGGGGATTGCTGTAATTTCATCTGAATGGACTCTACATGGAAAGTGTCTTGACACATGAAAGAAGACGAATCTGGGATGGATGCTAACCTTTTTGGTCTTCACAAATAGAGATTGGGAGTTGATCAGCATGTCCAAAATGCCAATGTGAGGAAATATGTAGTCATACTGTAACAACATTTATTGAGTTATTACTCTGTGTTAGACATGCTAAGTTCTAAACCTGTGTAACTCATTTATATTCTCAGCAGTCTTCTGAGATGTTCGTAGTATTGTCATCTACATTTCATAGAAGAAGAAACTGAAACAGGTTAGGTAACTTACTCGTGGTCACAGAGGTAATTGGTGGATTTGAGGATTCACAGGATTCTAAAATCGAGTTGCTGCACTGCCTTCTTTAAAAAATTAACATTTTTGAGTTTTGTCTAGGAAGTGGGAGTAGGAAATGAACAATTTGTTTTGTCATAAGTAGAAGTATGAGAGGAACACTTATCTTTAAGAATAAGTGCAGACTTTTTGCTCTCCTCAAAATATCATCTTCATTATAATTCCAAAAATATAATGAAAGAAAAATTAAAATGATAACCTATCTTATTCTTACAATTAACTTAAGATTTTTTTGAGTTATTTCCATCTATATACTGGAATCTTAATACTGACCTTGGCATTAAAGTCCAGGTAGTATTAATAATATGAATGTTACATTTGTGTTATTATTCTACAGTTTATTAAGTGCTTTTACTTATATAGTGGATTTAATTCTTCTGAATACTTCATAATTATATCCATTTTAATAATATGAAGGTGAGTGTTAGAGCTCTCAAGCATACAGTAGACGGCTAAGTTAGGGCTAGCCTATAGATTCTCTGACTTTGGTCCAGCACGAAGGCTTTTCTATGACAAAGCCCTTTAAATGCATGAAACTTATAGAGCCATCTTCTTCTGGAATACATATCTGCATATAAAGGGTCTGAGCACTACTCAGCATATGCTGAAATATTTTGTTGCAATGTGTTTTGAGTTCTGCTGTGAAATTTTAGTAAAATTGATTAAACAGTTTTTCCTATGGAAAAGAGAAAAATGAAATCATTTTAAAAAGAGAATCACCATTCAAGATACACACACATATACATATTTTCTTCATATATACTTTATACATAAGCATTAGTATTTATTTTACAAGACTGCAAAAGAATTATGATTAACATTTTCTTCAGAGCTCATTAGAATCATGATTTCTAGTAAACAATAAACTGACCTTAATGTTGCTATTTTCTTATTGTTAGCTGCTGGGAATAACAACAAATACAAAACATTTAAATATATGGTAAAACAATTAAAATGGCATTTTTGTGATATGTCATATTAAGGCACAAAGGGCAGAGTTTTTAATGTAATAATTATGGCCTTTATTTTCCTGAAAGTTTGTTTTCTTCAAGTTTTCTTTTTAATCTTGCTCTGTTTACATCAAAGCTTTAAAACTATCTTCAGTGTAACCTTAGCACAGGAAATGAATGACAGCAGGGTAGCTGGTCTGACCTCAAGACCTCCATATTTTTACTTTGAGGGCCTCAGCGCTCACATGTACTGAAACTCTACCAGCATATAGCAAAGTGCAGTGAAAATAAAATCAGAAAAGACTTCCTCAAGGTTGTTTTTTTTTTTTTCATAGCCCAAATAATAGTATCATGTGCATTTCCCATCAGGTTTGGTTTAGAATTTTCCATACTGTGTTTATATTGATACGTTGCCACAGTGCCTCCTACTGTGGTAGGAAGTTGGGAAATCTATGGTTGTATAAAAGTATGATAAAGAAATGAATTCAATTTTATTTTTAATTAGAACATCCCTAGATATAAACTGATAAGGTCAGCCAGGAGTTGTATCAGAATTTGCAGTTGGTTATCTAAAATCAAAATCGCAGGAGGCAATGTTCCTATGTTCTAAGTTGAAAGCTGAAATGTTGCAATGTTTATGTTTTTTAGCAAAATACAGTAAGTAGTTCCTTTTTAACAGTTTTGACCTTTTCAAAGAAATTAAAGGCCAGAAAACCTCACATGTTGTTGTAGTCCTCCATCGGTGAAGCAGAAAATGTTATCAAGTATTGTATGTCTTGTTTCTGGTGTGGTCTTTGCAACACAATTGTGAAAAGCCTTTGCTACTTGGGAAAAGAGAAAAAACCCTGACGCTGAACACGTGACAGATAATAGCAGTGAACATGAGCTCAGAGACCTGGGAGGGAGTCCTAGTCCTGCTACTTACTAGTCTTAGGACAGGCTCTTCGCTGCTAAGTGACAGAAAGTATAGCTCGCAATTCCAGCCCTACTGTGTTCGAAATTGGTGGGTTCTTGGTCTCGCTGACTTCAAAAATGAAGCCATAGACCCTTGTGGTGAGTGTTACAGTTCCTAAAGATGGTGTGTCCAGCGTTTGTTCCTTCAGATGTTCAGATGTGTCCGGAGTTTCTTCCTTTTGTTGGGCTCATAGTCTCACTGGCTTCAGGAGTGAAGCTGCAGACCTTTGCGGTGAGTGTTACAGCTCCTAAAGGTGGCGCATCTGGAGTTGTTTGTTCCCTCCGGTGGGGTTTGTTGTCTCACTGGCCTCAGGAGTGAAGCTGCAAACTTTCGCCGTGAGTGTGACAGTGACAGTTCACAAAGCACCCAGAGTTGTTCCTTCTTCCCATTCCCAGTTGTCTGTCCCTCCCTGTGGGTTCGTGGTCTTGCTGGCTTCAGTAGTAAAGCTGCAGACTTTCACAGTGAGTGTTACAGCTCATAAAAGCAGCACAAACCTAAAAAGTGAGCAACAGCAAGAGTTATTATGAAAAGCAAAAGAACAAAGCTTCCACAAAGTGGAAGAAGACCCAAGCAGGTTGCCGGAGAGGGTTTGGGTGGCCTGCTTTTATTCCCTTATCTGGCCCCACCCACATCCTACTGATTGGTCCACTTTACAGAGAGCTGATTGGTCCGTTTTACAGAGTGCTGATTGGTCCGTTTTGACAGAGCGCTGATTGGTGCATTTACAATCCTTTAGCTAGACACAAAAGTTCTCCAAGTCCCCTACCCGATTAGTTAGACACAGAGCGCTGACTGGTGCGTTTACAAACCTTTAGCTAGACGCAGAGTGTTGATTGGTGCATTTACAATCCTTTAGCTAGACAGAAAAGTTCTCCAAGCCCCCACCTGACCCAAAAGCCCAGCCGGCTTCATCTCTCAATGGCACTACCCACGGGACTTTGGGGTACATAGCCAGGGCACTCTGGCAGCCCAGAGGGAGCTCCTCCCACGATCAAGCGCAGCAGGCGCCCGCAGGCCGAGCTGAGTGCAGGGGCTGCGGAGCCCGCGCCCACCCCAAACCCGCACCTGCCTGCGAGCGCCTTGCGCAGCCCCGGCTGCCACGGGCGCCTCTTCCTCCACACCTCCCTACGAGCAGAGGGAGCCGGCTCCGGCCTTGGCCAGCCCCAGAGAGGGGCCCCCACAGCGCAGTGGTGGGCTAAAGGGCTCCTCCAGTGTGGCCAGAGTGGACACCCAGGCCGAGGAGGCATGGAGAGCAAGCGAGGGCTGCTAGCAAGTTGTCATCTCTTACTACCTACCATTGCTGTAGTGCAGCCACAGCATCTTATGTATGGTGGATTTGTGAAGCTTTACACTACTGTTACATGGTTTCTCAATCATATTTATCGTTTATACAAGAGCTCACAAATTAACAATTCTTTTACCTTGTTTCCAAATACCAGCATAGTCACAAAATGAATGACTCAGGAAGTGTAGATCTAGAAGAACCAGATAATTGCACATAAGTTTGGTGAGATCAGCATGGTTGTTATGTTGTGGGTGTACTTTGTTAGCTGTCTTTATTTTTATTCTCAGCCCTTTGTAGTGCTTTAAATGGCAGAGGTTTTGAGAATGGGTGTCCCAATGACGTTACTGAGGGCTGAGGTTAAGCATTACATAGAATGGTGGTACTTAGTTGTTGGCCATGACTGGTTTCCTCACCATCTGTGTGAAAAACTGTCAAAAGTACGTATTATTATGCTGATCACCAGGCATGGATACCCAAGTTTCCTGTGGTGGCCTGACTCTGCCATGTTGCTATAATTATAACATAAAATATGGCATGTTTTCCTATTACTCTTGAGTTAGAAAACATACAAGCCAATGCCACTGAGGAGTGTAGTGGTGGAATACACCAGTAACAAGGGGCATCTAACTTTGGTGCCTTTCACTCTTAAAGCTCACCTTGTATCTTAGCAAAGAATATACTTGACCTAGCTCACAGTCCCTATTCCACACAGGGACCAAGCTTCTTTCTTTCATTTTTATGATTGACATAGTTTTTGAGTAGGTAATATATTCAAATGAGTCAAAACCCAGAAAGTATATAGATATCTGTGAAAAGCCTTCTTTCCTTCCCATCCCGCTGTTTAATTTTCACACATTCTTCCCCATCATGGCCACAAACAGGTAATGTGTGCTGTAGGTTTCTTGTGTATCCTTAAAGAGATAGATTTTTTTTATAGCTGTAACTCGATATAAATATATTTTATTTTTCTTTCTTAAAAAGACTCATAAATGATGTGTATAAATATATTTATATCTCTTACAACTCAGCACAATGCTGGTGTAATGATTTGATATTCAAGCAAATCACAAAGCTCTAGTTAAATTAGTCTTTAATATATAGCTAAGAAAAATCGTTGGCAAATTTGTGTGCATTACAGAGCTCAAATGCCTAAGCATTGCCTGCCTCTGTTCTCAGTAAGCATATGTTTTATTTAAAGAGAAATCATCAGGTTTATCTGGGTTCATCCTAATGTATTCAGCACATTAACACTTGTTTCCAATAGAGTTTAACAGCTTCTTTTTACCAATCCCTTTAGTAAAATCTTTTATAATATAATAGTTTAAACCCAACTTATAAAATATAAAATGTGTAGTTCCAATCAACATTAAAGTGTGTTATATGTATAATTTAATATTTCTTAAATTTTTATTCATTAAAAAATCACATACTGGTCTTGATTTGAAACAGCGTTTCAAATGGTTTTTAGTTATGTAAATTATTTCTCCCCTGACTGTGTAATTACATGATGGACTGGTTTCTAGAGTATCATATACTTAATGTGAGTTTCTAAAAATGCTTTAATCATATAATTGCTAGTTTATCAAGTAGAAATATAGGTTTGAGA
The DNA here is from genome assembly GCF_000001405.40 of Homo sapiens. Classification (NCBI taxonomy): domain Eukaryota; kingdom Metazoa; phylum Chordata; class Mammalia; order Primates; family Hominidae; genus Homo; species Homo sapiens. The sequence continues at coordinate 181,147,629 of NC_000002.12, forward strand.
ACACTATCATTATGTCATTATTTTCCACAAAAGACTGTGAAACACACTGAAGAGGCTATTATGAGGCAAATAACAGTTTTCTGTGGTGTCTAAATTTGCAAGGATTATATTTTTAAAAGAATAGTAAAGAAAATACCTAAAGGTGAAGAGCTTTAAATCTAGCCAGCCAATTTATGTTGTGTCTCTATGAAAAACCAGTCCAGGCAAAGAGAGTGAATAGGTTAAGACCAGAATAATGAAGATAGTAGATTATCTAACTCAATGAGTGATACTAATATTTAATAATTGATTCACTAAATTCTGCAAGAAAGCCTAAAGGAAATGAAATAAAGTGGAGATATTTTATTTTATTTATACTAGAATCCAGTTGCATTGCTCTTATACTAATTATTACTGGCTGTACCATGTTCAAGTGTGATTGAAATAGAAAATCATTTATCTTCAACTGGTCTACCGCCAGTAGGAACAGGGAAATATAATCTAGAAAGGCTAAGTGGTTAAATTGAAGTCTAGTTTTACAGAAATTAAAGATTTAAATAAACGTTTTCTGATTTATTGAGTAGTCATGGGTGAGAAAATGTTTTTATTTTCAACAAAGTCTAGTAAAAGTCTAAGGTTAAAATTGCTCCCTCTGTGGGTTTAGTATGAGAAGAGAAGACTCCTAAAAAGTCCTCTCTCAAGAAAAAGTCTCTCTCAATATATTTCTGTTACACACACACACACACACACACACACACACACACAGTCAGCCTTTCGTGTGCAGGTGTTCCACATCCCTGCGTTCCACCAATGATGAATGGAAAATACTTGGAGAAAAAAAGTATGGCTGCATCTAAGCTGAACATGCACAGACTTTTATTCTTGTTACTCCCCAAACAATACAGTATAACAACTATTTACATAGCATATACTTATATTGGATATTATAAGTAATCTGAAAATGATTTTAAGTAAAGGGAAGGATAGGTGTAGGTTATATGTAAATACTATACCATTTTATATAAGGGACTAGGGCGTCTGTGGATCTGGTATCTGTGGGGGTTTCTGGATACCTCCACAGATAGCAGATCCACAGATAGCCATATTTATTTCTGGATACCTCCACAGATACCAATACCATAGACTGTGTATCTATTACCCCGTCTCCATTTAAAACGATTACAGCTACAGCTCTGAGCAGAAGAAAAACCAAAGGCAGGATGTTAGATTTGTTGATAAATGCCTATGTTAAAGGTGTTTCTATATTGTAGTTTCAAGTTCAGATATTTATTGTTATTTATTCTGTTACTATTTACTCAGCTATTGAATATAGTTCATGATGAATATATCTAGATGATTTATATTTTCATGCAATTAAAGCGTTTTTCTCCCATAACGAGTTTTTTTTAAAAATTAGGTTGTTAAATTGCTACTATATTCTGCTATTTAATCTTTTGATTTCCTTTTACCTTTTAAAAGAAATTAAACGTAATATTCTAGGAAAATAATACATTTTAAGCATTTTAATTTGCTGAAATGGTTAACAATTGATTTATTTCTGACCATTTAGGTCTCTCAGGAAAACCTGAAACTCGGTGGAGGGTGTTAGATGGGACTTTTGTGGCTTACACTGGAACACTGCAGGGTGGTGATTAAGAGTCTGGATTAACAGATCAGAATGCCTGGGTTTGAGTTCCTGCTCTGCCTCTTATCTCTCTGTGACTATGATCAATTGAAAAAACTTCTGTGTAATTCAATTTCCCATTGTAAAATAGGGTTGGTAATATTAAGTGCCTCATAGAAAATTAAAGGTCATTATGTGTACCAAATGCTTAGAACTCAGTGGAGCACATGGTATACCCTCATTCATTGTGCATTTTTCCTTGGTTTTACTATCTAGGGGCCTTTCCTGTTTCCTGAGTCTGTAGCTCTCCCTATTCCTCTTATACCTTCTTCACTGTTCTATGATTCCCTCTTTCATCAAATAGTCAGTGCTTAGAATACATCCACAATTTGTTTTAAAAGTGTCTCTGCCATTCAATAGCTGGGCAATCTTGAGAAAGTTCCTTAATTTCTCAGCCTACTGTGTTTTCTTTTGTAGGAATCTGTTTTCTTGTAAGGATCAAATGATATATTAATGTGAAAATGCTTTAAAGTATGCAAGTAGCTTGAAGTGTGAGTGCTAGAAAGGAAAAGATCATCCTCTTATTTCTTTTTTTAAACAGAAGTTATATTTTCTGTTAGAATAGATTTGTTTTTGAAAACTAGAAAAGCAGAAAGAAGAAAAAAATCTGTATTTCTTCTGTTGAAAGATAAATATTGTTAACATTTTGTTATATTTTAATATATTTTCCTATGCATTTTATTATATTGTCATAAAATAGAAATGTAATACGGTATTGATGTGCCTTGTTTTAATTTTTGCATACTGCTAGCATACCAAATCTAAAACATAATTTAAACAATTATTCTTTCAGTCATGATTGTCAATCTCTCTTTTTATGTATTACACAAGCATATGTATATATACACACACCCGCATAGGCACATGTGGAATGCATGTGTGTATATCACAAAGAGGATAGATAATTATTTTACTTGTGCTACAATGTGTTTTTTTCTGCATGATTTATGTGTTGCTTTGTTTGCCTTTCAGTGTAATATAATGCACAACTTTTGTTTTATACTTGTGGATGGTGAAGAGTTTTACTCTTAGATACTAAAAACTATCATAAAGATAGCCATGTTTACCTTTCATCTCATCATCAAATCAGATACCATATATTATATCATATACTATAGTATATGTAATTTATAATATATCTTATATATGATATATAACATATATGATATATATAATATGTGATTTATGTTATAAATCATATATGAAAAATTGCTTTATAAACAATCAAAATATTCTTCTCCCCAGTATGTTATTTGTTCATATACTTTGATTGTAGGAAGGAAAGATAGTTGTGAAAATTTGAGGTTGAGGAGGAAAAGTTAACAAAACTCCCAGCTTTAAGAACACAGAAATTTGAAACTCCCATGGATTATTATAATCTGAAACCAATAGTAAATAAAGCTTATTTATAGAGTGATATTGATTTTTAGTGTTAAGGTGATCAAAACAGATGGAAATACACATACATTGAAATAATTTTAATGTAGTTATTCTAACATCTTGCATTTACAGTTATTTAAAGGCAGTTTTTAAGACTTAAATTATGGTGTAGTTTTTGCCAACTACTCTAATCCATTACTAACTAACTGTATAATAGCTATATTAAAACTTAGAGCAAAAGAAAAATGGAAAACAATGTTTGAGAAAAATGCAAAACCAAACCAAAAAACACCCTAGAGAAGCAGAACAATATAAAATTAAACACACACACACACACACACACACACACACACACACACACACTAGAGTTCATAAGAGATATTGTGGTAAAGAAAAGTTATGATGCTAGAATTGAGGCAAATAGTATCCATGGAGATGCGCATTAGCCAAATTGAATCAGCCTTAAATTTGGATAGTTCAGCTGAGCTTTCAATATATTTGATTTTTTTTACTTAAGAAGTACTTACTAAGTGTCTACTATATGCTAGAATATCTGCTATGGAATTGGAATTTAAAAATAAAAGAATTTGTGAAGTCCTTGCCCTCCAGATCACAGTGTAATTGTGTAGACAGATACACACATAGATAATGAAAATACGACACTGCAAAAGCAGTGACATGTGTTAGACACAGGTTTTGAGAACATTCGGGAGAAAGAAAACGTAGTACCACCTGAGATAGGGTGGGGAGTACAGTTTCTGGGAAGGATTCCTGGGGAGCAGACACCGAATTGTATGACCCTGAGGAGTCAGGTCATGGAGGGTGGAAGAAGATGGATAAACCAAACTCCGGAAGCAGCAAGAGCATGGTATGCTAGTTCTGTTGTTGGTGCCTATCTGTGAGGTGGGAAGACCAGATATTCTGAAGGGAGGGGAATGATTATTTGAGAATTTTAAACCCTCAACTTCCATTTTAGATAGGTTATCCTGCTATCTCTGGGGAGGATGGAGTTGAGGAAAACGATAAAACAGACAGAATAGTTATGTTCTATGACATTCTCAAATTTCCTCATGGAAGATCTTTAAAAAAATTAATAGAAAAGTCTAAAAATAACAGTGCTTTTTGTGTGATAATTCTACTCGTCTCTGTAGATAGAGAAGCCTATTGGGGAAAAATACAGTAGGTAGATTACTGGGAAAGAAAACAATGAGACTTCTCCCAGCCTCTATATGCAGTCAGGGGGAATATGGAAGCTATGCTCCTTGGAGACCACATGGGTGAAAACTGCTTAAGGATTATCACTGGAGAATGGCTTCTTCAGAAGCAAAATTCTGACTTAAGGAACTCATTTAGTGGTCATTAATTAAGTCAGTGTGGCAATCCAATTTTTACTTTTTATCAGACGTCATTTATGTTTCCAATATCCATAATGAAGAACTAGAAAAGATAAATGTATAGAATGGTGAAATTAAAATAGAAGAGTCTAAGATAATAAATAATTTCTTTCACTGATTGTAAAGAATTATAAGCTATTTTACAGCCAAAAATTTAATAAATTGCATAAGAGCAAGTCTGAATTTTGTTAATAATAAAAAGTACAAGACAAATCTAAACTAGAGAAAAAATCCTCAAAAATGTCAAGTGTTTACCCATCCTTTTTTGTCTTGTCTCCCACACTTCTTCCAGATTGCAAATTAAACTGTGTCTTCCCACTCAGACATAGTTTTTAATCTCTTGGGAATGAAATGCATACTGTAATTCTTCATGGTTCAACTGTAAGTTAAACAGAGCAGAGTTTAAAATTATAAAAACACTTAACAGGAAATGTCAAAGTTCCCTCAGCCAGTAACCCAATGAAGATTGTAGTTCATAGCCTTTTCAGGACTACTATTTGTTACTGCTATGGAAATTATATCATTTCTGGGTAGACAGTATTTGTAAGGCTCCTTGGCCTTTACTTAGCCTGGTTAGTGAGTGTTCTTTGAGAAATCACAGTTGTAAACATGGTCTTAATTTATTTGACACTCTGTTTTATACTTTTTTTTCCTTCAAGTGTTTTAAGTTATATTCACACATATTAATAAACTAATGGCTGCCTATCTTCCTATCTTGCCCCTGTACTTCTTGTATGTATTTTTCTCACCAACTGCTAACTTGGATTCACACTTTATTTTTTATACCAGAGCTCATCAGTTTTACTTCCTATATTCTGCGTGTATTCCTCCTGGCTTAAGCCCCATAAAACAGCCTGCCCTGCCAAAAACTACGCAGAAAACAATAACATTTCTGTCTGAAATTGCTGCTAGACATGCCATGCTATTAAGGAATGGTAAATATAAGGAAGCTCATTTCTGGCAAGTTACAATCTCAGCTTAAAAAATATTTCCAAGCATCAGCTTATGCAAAGAATGTTTCAAACTGTCAAATTTATATTTTAAACCTTTTTCATCTTCCACAAAAAAGAAGGTATATTTATCAGTCCTACATAGGTACATTGATGTTAGTGCATACATGTTAAAAACTAAATAATCATTTTCAAGCTGATCTTAGTCCTTTAAAATTTTGATCTTGAAGAAGTTAGTTCCTCAGTCTCCTTTATTTCGATGTCATGTTTCATTAGACTATGTATTTTAATCTAGCAGAAACAAGCTAATCAAGTCAAAATACTAAGTTAAACTCGTGTGTTTTAAAAGTGAGTTTCTGAAGGGACCACAAAAAAACATGCTGCTGTTTCTAAATCAAATGTTTATAATCCATAAAATATGAGGGTTAGGACTATTTATTAAAGCTTTATCTTTGTCACTTTAACACAAAAACAGAAAAATTTAAACTGTGTAAGTATATATGAGGGTTATTATTAACTCCACATGTATCAGAGTTTAGGTTTGGCCCTTAATAACTACACTATTTTGGGTACTTTTCTTAATTTCCCTAAGTTTTAGTCTTCAACCTTATAATGGGAAAAATAACACTGTCTTGGGTTTTTTTGTGAGAATGAAATAAGGGACATATACAAAATTCTTAGTGAGGTAGCTGGCACTTGGTAAGCATACAGTAAATGGTAGCTAGAAGACCAAGGAAAGAGGGGGCAATATTTAGCAGCAGGAGAGAGGGTGCAATATTCAGCAGCAGTAGGAGGCTTCGTAAGTGTGGAGATATTCACTGGCATGGTCCTAATTCTAGTGATCACATTGAACTACTTTGTTATATATAATTTGAGTTTTAGAAGCAAAGCATGGATTACAAAATTCTAAGACAAGGAAAATAATTTGAGGTTCTGAAGTACTGAGGTGGGTTTTTTTTAAAATAACTCAGGGTAGTAGGATGTAAGAGAAAGAAAATGCCCAATATGTGGGAAGAGTTTCAAACACATCAATCTTACTATGTGGTTTGTGATTACAGAGTTCTTACAGAATGCTTTGTGTGGTGGGAAAATACTTATTTAAAATCACTCTTCAATTTTAAAGGGTTCATATCAGGGTTAAGACTAGTGAATGTAACGTGAGATGGTTGATGTATAAAACCAACCCCCAAAGCCAAAGTTCTCCAAACATTATTTGGCTTAGACCCTTTCAGCCAACAATAGAATTCTCCATGTGGCTTGCCTCAGTTCTAGAGTCACTACTCCCACCAGAAATGCTAATGGCAATTCTCTGAAACAAGTATCACTGAGAAAAAAGTTTTTTCCTTACTTTGATTCTCAAACTTGGAAATCAGTTAGCATTTCTGATTTCACATCCACATGTTTCAGAAAGGAAAATAGGCTTCAGGAATCTTAGCAAATACTCTAAGCATAAAAAGGGCATTACACACTTAGTTTTTTTCCTCTCACTAAGGATTAATAATTGTGGAAAGAAAAAATAAAAGAAAATTTTATCTGGATCAGATTTCTGAAAAGATGATTTTTTTTGGTAAATTTAGGAATGAGAGAGGTTAAAAGTGGACATAGTAGTCTTCATATTTATTAATATTATCCTCATGTTAAATTTGTCTAAAATAAAGTGCCATATTTACATGATTATTTTATACTAGGAATTAAAAATAATTTATATAAATTTAAACTTCTATGTATCCACATGAGTGCCAAACAGCTTGCTCTTTTAACATTGCTGTAAAAAACATTCTGAAGTCCTTTAGCGTATGGTTCTCAAAATATTGAGGCAACCCAAGGCCTTATCTACCTTTCTCCTTAAGGGAAATATTATCAGCTTTCTTGTTGGTAGGAAATTAGCGGTTAGAAGCATGCCTCACATTCGTGAAACTCAATGACATAACTGTAGCAGATATATAAAACCTATAGAAGGAGATCTGCAATCCCATAAATGTTATTATTAAAATGGGTAGACGAGCAGGTAACCCCCACAATACTGACTGGAGGAGTGGGGAATGCTTTACATTAGTAGTTATAAATCTTTAGTCTTTGAGGTAGATTAGGGAAAAAATTTTCTATGGAATTCGAGGCAGTGGTAAAACAGAAAATAATTTTTAGTGATAAAACAAAAAATAATTTTTAGGTACCTGGCATTCCTGACATGGTATCCACCAGTATGTATTTTGCCTTCATTCTCAAATTTCACTAGATATAGAATTCTGGGTTGATAGGTTATTTTCTTTCAACTCTTTAAAGATATTCTTTCTCTGTGTCTAGCCTCTTCTGTTTCTGATAAGAAATTTGCAGTCATTTGAATTGTTCTTCTTTATAAAATATATCATTTTTATCTAGCTTCTTTTAACATGTCTCTGTTTTTATTTCATTTTCAGCAGCTTATTACAACAGATTAGATGTGTGTGCATAAGTGTTTTTTGAGGATATTCTGTTTGTGGTTGGCTTCTTCAATCTATAAATTTATCTTTTCACCAAATTTCAGGAAATTTTTGCCATTATTTATTCCAATTTTTTATTTCATTCTTTCTCTTTCACTTTTCTGGGACTCCAGTTATATCCATGTTATAGCCTTTGATAATACTCCACAAAACACGGAGTCTCACTTTATTTTTTTCTAATTATTTTTCTTTCTGTTTTTCAAAAAAGATTGATCTATCTTCAGGTTCACTGACTCTTCTGTCATTTCAGTTTTGCTCTCAGGCTCATTCAGTAAATTTTAAAAATTTCAGGTATTGAATTTTCAGGTCTAGAATTTCCATTTGGTTCTTATTATACTTTCTATTTTTCTGAGATGTTGTTTTTTTATTCATTTTACATATATTTACATTTATGTTCTTGAGAATGGTTATAATGACCTTGGCATCATCTCAGAGTGGGCTTTAATTCTGTTCTCTTAATAATGGGTTATATTTTCTTGGGTTTTATTTGGTATATTAAATAGTTTTATATTGTAGCATTATCATCATGAATGATTTATTATAGAAACTGTAGTTTATGTTACGTTTATCCTAAGAACACTGTGTTCCCTCAGAAGGACTGACAGAACTTACTGACAGCTATTATACTCACGGTTTTGGTTCATTACAGAGAGTAGATTCAGATTATAATTAGTGAAAGTCAGAAACATATACACAGAATCCAAGAGAAGTACCAAATGTGGAACTTCTGTTGTCCTCTTCCTGCGTAGTCAGGATGCGTGACTCTCCTGCCATTGATGCATGACAATATACATACAGTATAGTCAACCAGGGAAGCTTGTCTGAGCCTTGGTGTTCAGAGTTTTTATTGGTGGCTCCATTACGAATTCTCCAACCCTTCTGGGCATGACCTGAAGCCCCAACTCTACATTGTATAATTGGTCTTTACCATGTGGTTATTCCCCACCCTAAATACTATCTGGTATGGCTTCCAACCTAAATCATATTGTTGGACAATCTGGCATGGCCTAAGGTAAACAAAGACACTTTTATCAGGAAAGACCCTCCAAGATTCTCCTGGCTGAGATTACCTCCTAAAGGCCAGCCCTTCTTGGTGGGCAAGATCAATTTCTATTTTTTAACGTATATTTTTTAAAAAATTTAAATTGATACATTAGGCCAAATTCTTTACTATACATAGTTGTTATTAATGTCAGATAAATACATTAAGATTACTGTTGATACCTGTCTTCGTCTGTTTTGTGTTGTTATAAAGGAATAACTGTGGCTGGGTAATTTATAAAGAAAAGAGGCTCATTTGATTCACAGTTCTGCAGGCTGTACAAAAGAAGCATGACACCAACATCTGCTTCTAGTGAGGAGTTCAGGAAGCTTCCAATCATAGTGGAAGGGGAAAGGGATTTGCATCACATCACAAGAGGAAGGAAGCAAGAGAGAGAGAAGGGGAGGAAGGTCTGGGGCACTTTTAAACAATCAGTTCTCAAGGGAACTAAAAGAGCGAGAACTCATTACTATAAGAGTGGCACCAAGCCGTTCATGAAGAATCCACCCCCATGACCCAAACACCTTCCACCAGGCCTCCTTCAACATTGGGAGTCAAATTGCAATGTGAGATTTGGAGGGGACAATCATCTACACTGTATCAGTAATACTCATCAATGCATCAAGGACATTGAAGGTACTGTGTTCCTGTCACTGCAGAAACTATTAGTACTAATGAAGTTGATACTTTATCTTCTTACTAGCCTGTGGAGATTCTTGGGAAGCAGTTCTCTTTGTTTTTCTGTGCTTTCTGATTATTAGCCTTTTATATAGATTCATGAGCCCAGGGCAGGGGCAATCAACTTAACAGAAAGTCTCTCCTTGGAAGCTGACCTGCTTTTCTTGAAAGAGACATTTACAGCGCTACTGTCTCTTCTCTTTCTAATCTGAGAGGCTTCTTAGACACTCAGGCTAGGAGACTGGGTTTCTTCAGGAACCGAGTAGTTATGACTACTCATACTTAAATCCGAGAGTGAGCACAACTTAATTGCACCCTGGCATGTGTTCATTAACCACAATTTATACCAACATTGCACATCAGAAGATTAGTGATTCCATCTGGGTCTTTGTGAGGAAACTTCATTTTTCCCTCACAAGGAACCTGGCCCGTCTGATTTAACAGTTTCAAGGGATGGTTACAAAATATAGTATTACATATTTCATGATGGTGTATTGTTCAAAATGTAATAATGTGAACATCATGTATAAGTCATATTTGTTTATTTATAGGTAAACAGAGAAATACTGTAAATATAATATCTCACCCTACTGTTTAGTTACCTTGGAAGTCTATTGTATTTCAAAATGAAGCAGAATGCATGTTTCTTCATTTTATTCAAAATGAATAATACTGTAAATGCTTTTATGAACAAAATTATGTATCTTTCCAATTCTGATAGACTACAAGTAATAGTAAAATGCATTTAAAAACTTGATGATCACATGATTACAAAGGTAAGAGAACACGTGTCTTTAGGGTGTGGCAAGCAAGGTACCCAGGGTGCACCTTCAGATTCCAACTCTGCACTTGTGCTAGCCTAAGAGTATCTCATTAAATTTTGTTCCCTGTACACCTTGTCTGCCTGACTCTAGTCCTGACCCCCAATATATCCTAGTTCTATCATTTGTGGAGTGTGTGACCATGGAAATGCAAGTTACTCTCTCTAAGCCTCAGTTTCCTCATGAAGAAGTACCGGTAATTTTAATGTAATGGCAGTGTGCAGGGTGAAGGGAACATACAAATAAGAGCCCATTAATGAGATTTGAAAGTGCCTCAAAACTCACAAAACAGTAGAGGTTAAACTGACCTGAGAAATTTAATTATTTTACTTCCCTGAGGAGAAAATTGACAGTGAGTTGGAAGGTGCAGGGACTTATCAGACGCTATTCATGTTTTGGGGCAGAACCAAGGTTGGAGATAAGTTTCCAGGATTCTGTTCAAATGCTTTCCACTGTACCACACTTACTGCATAGCATAGTGAACTAGGTTGGGGACTCTGGATTTGTAGAGGAAGCAAATGGATTCAGGAAAGTTACAAAGCAATCACTGACTGGTGATCATTGTAAAGTGATGGCTAAGACGTCACAATAGATAGATGTTTACAATTCAGACCTTTGATGACTAAGAAAATGATGCCATCAACTGAAATAAACCATGAAAATTTGTAGGAGAGATGGTGAGTTGGCAAAGAATTGGAGTAGAAAAAGCATGCTTCAGCCAGGATGAGAAGGATTTAGATAATCTATAAGGAATAATTTTTTTTGAGAAAGAAGCCTGCTAGGGGCTTGTAGTGGGATATATAGGCAGACTGGAAAAATTATGATGGTCTTTAAAAATAGGATAGTTTTCTGGGGTGGCTTAAGTATAGCATTGCTTATACGCAAGAAGTTGTCTTCAGTGATTTCTCAAAGTCCATCTGAAGCCTGTGGTTCTTTGAAGTTCTTAGATTTAGTGCACTTAGTTTGTTAAATGGATGTTGGATATGGGACATACAAATATGATGGATTTGAATTGACCTTTTGAATGATGAGCGGAATCAGCTATGCTTTACCAGAGGGGTCACTGTGGTGTAACCTTTCCAGATCCTATGGGCTGGAGTGCTTTTAAAGACCCAAGCATCTGAAACTTCATCCATGCACTAAGCATATGTAATCGGCATGTCTGCCAGGGCAGTTACAGACAAGAAAGACTTGTCAGGCGGCAGCGTCTGCACCAGAGAACTGGGAAGCTTCTTGAGTTGACTTTTCATCAGTAAAAGTGGGATGACGAGCCTGGCTAAGTTGTCACAACATAGATTCTTGTAGAAAGTGACTCTATAACCTCAAGGTTACATTTAACACCATTTTACTTTTCCGGCTCAATTGGTAAATAGTCATGCGTTGGCCATTGTTCATTTTCTTCAAGCATGCCTAAGGACTCAAAATAATTTTAAGAGAAACAAATTTTAAAAGATACTGTTACGTTTCAACTTTTGTTATTGTGAGAGAAATCAGAGTGGCCAAAAATGGTATTTCAAAACCCTGCTTTTGAACTTTCTTAGGCTAGAACCCAGAAAAGCTATTTCTACCGTGGTGATATGTGAGTCTTGGTGATTTTGACCAAATACATTTGCTAATTTTAATGGAGTAGTTTATTCATAGCATCTTGATGAGAATTTGGGGACTGCTTGTCCATTTAGTTATGGTGATGGGCATCACTCACAAAGATAGAATGTGTTCAAAGCTACACTTCTTTCTTTATGGTGCGTGGATTTTATTTCAATGACTATTATTGAGAGGAATATGGAATGAATATTATTAACATTATTAATTTAGCCAAACTAGAGAAAAATTATTTCTATAGACTTGTAGCAGTGTGATTTCATTAAAGCATGCATTGAAATTGGGCATTTGGGGATACTGACTGCCCTTGGTGTGTATCTATTTGGATGGAATTGAAAGGGTCTATAGGGATGAAGTTTGATGTGCTGGATCTTGGGGCCATGGAGGAAGGCGATGCTGAAATGATGGAGACATTATGGGGTCTATGCACAAGCCCAGTCTACAGGGCAAGAGTCAGTATCTTTAGCTTTGAATGGGCTAAATAAAGAAGAATGCAGAACCATTTTGGAAGGTTTTACAGTTTTGTGAGGAATTGGAGCAGAAATTTTGGTGTACATGTCTCTTAGTCAAATGAGGGGACGCTGCAAATGAATTAGAAGTGTTCTTACTTTCCCTTGTAACATTAATTAAGTCATATCCCTGTTCTATAGTTGATGTCCATTTCATGGAGAAATATGGGATCAAACTGTTGATGAAAAATTATAAAATTTAGTTTTTATCACCACCATGCTTTTAGCAGTAAGAAATAATGTATTTATTATGTATTCATTCATCATATGTTTTCAGCTGGATTCTAGAGTATCAGTTGAAGAATCAAGAGAAGCATCAAACGCAAAGGTGAAATTATGGAGGTCTGTTAGCTTTACACAGCCTTCTGATCATACTTGAATAATGTTTTAAAAGGTATATCCCATGACAAGAGTGATGCTTAGTTAGAATATGAGCTGTTTTGCACCTACTGTGTTCTACCTGACATATCACAAATATTTGTGGTTATTGCGCATCCCCTGTAGATATTAGTGTTTGCAATCCCTGATCCAGAAGTATGTTTTCAAGGACCATATAGAAACATTATATCTTTACATTACATAAACATCACCAGGTCTGACCATGCTTTAAGTCCAAATAAAGTCTCATTAATATTAATACTAATTAATTATGTTTCTTTTATTCTATATATATGACTATAGAACTTCAGCACCACTTGTTTCTGCATATATCCAGGGACATCTCACATGCATACAAGAAAAAAAAAATCCACTCATGTTTTTTACCTTGCTGCCAGAAAGTCTTTGGAGGGAGCAGTCCTACCACAGCTGCTGCAGCTGATGCCCTCGTGGGGAAAGCACCTTCACTGAGACTCCATCGCCCTCGAGGGTGGCCACCACTGCTTGGCCACTGCTGTCCAGGCCCCACCAGATATTGTTACTCTCTTTCAGTCCAGAGGTGGGGATATTCCTTTTTCCATATTAGTTTTAAACTTATTGCTAGGTGCCAGAGCCCATACTCTTAGAGTTTCACTGGACAGTGGCTTCTTTAGTGCTGAATTTAATTATTCTTCCTCATTCATTGCCCAAGCCATCCTTAGAACTGTTTGGCAGAATAACACCAGGCCATGCCATTATTCATCATTTTTTCTCATATCTTTCCTCATGTTCCTCCAATCTCCAACTCCCACGTACTTCTTTTTCCTCCTTTTGGTAAAAAAGTGCAAAATCTTGAATACATTTCACCTCACCCAAATAGGCACTCTGAAACATGACTCTCAGTCCCTTAAGCAGATAATGGAACTCATTTTTGGACTAGCAGGATATACTACTAAATTTGTATCACCTAGTATAGTTAGCAAACTGCATTTATTTTCATCTTTTTATGGTTTGTGTACCCATAATCACATCTATATAGGTATACTCACAAGTACAATCTTTGTGAAACCTGTTTCTAAAGTAGGGACTATTCATTTATTCTAGTAAGTTCTACTTAAACATTCCTTTCTTGACATCTTTGGTTGATTCATAAAGTTAAGCTAATCTATATTCAATTCTTTACATCCCTTCTATAATAAATAAGAGTTACAGAACATAATATTAGTCTTGCCTTGTCATACCTTTTCCCATATTCTCTGAACATGTGAATCTTCTTCAAGACACAGTTCAGGACTCCTGTCTATGAATCTTTTTTTGATTAGTCATCTCTTGTTTCAGTCATTGCCATCACATTAGTTCAGTTTCAGAAAGGGCTTTTTATGGAACACTGTACCCTGCTTTTTTCTTTTCTTTTCTTTCTTTTTCTTTTCTTTTTTTCTTTTTTTTTTTTTTTTTTTTTTTTTTGAGGCAGAGTCTCACTCTGTTGCCCAGGCTGGAGTGCAGTGGCCCGATCTTCGCTCACTGCAACCTCCGCCTCCCAGTTCAAACAATTCTCCTGCCTCAGCCTCCCAAGTAGCTGGGACTACAGGTGTGTGCCACTACGCCCAGCTGATTTTTGTATTTTTAGTAGAGACAGGGTTCCACCATGTTGCCCAGGCTTTTTTCGAACTCTTGGGCTCATGTGATCCGCCTGCCTCGGCCTCATAACGTGTTGGGATTACAGGCGTGAGCCACTGCACCAGGTCATGGAACGTTGCTTTCTTGAAAGATGTTAATAAGTGTTCCTTGGCAGGGATGAGGGAAGAAATTTGTGCCAAACTAAACTTGGGTAATTCTGCTCACTTTTATCTACCTTTCTCAGTGTACATAAACACATTAAAAGTTTTAAGGTGTGCGGTGGCTCATGCCTGTAATCCCAGCACTTTGGGAGGCCGAGGCGGGCAGATCACAAGGTCAAGAGATTAATACCATCCTGGCCAACATGGTGAAACCTCGTCTCTACTAAAAATACAAAAAAAAAATTAGCTGGGCGTGGTGGCCTGTGCCTGTAATCTCAGCTACTCAGGAGGCTGAGGCAGGAGAATAGCTTGAACCAGGAAGTCGGAGGTTGCAGTGAGCTGAGATTGCTCCACTGCACTCCAGCCTGGGTGAAAGAGCAAGACTCCATCTCAAAAAAAAAAAAAAAAAAAAAAAAAGTTTTATGTGCTTTATAAATAAAGAAACTAATTTAACTCTGTATCCAATCTTATAAATATATATGCTCTAACATTCATATTACATTTGTTATATGTTGCAGCTTTGTTAAACTGAAATTTCTTAAGAATAAATCAATGTTCTCTATTTCTATCATTAACTCTCCTTGGTACGTGATCCAATATTGTCTATAGATTCACTAAACTTACTTATTAGATACTAGACCCAACGCTAGGTCCTGGAGGTTTCAAGATGAATAATTTTTATAAAGATTAATAGACCAAAGAGTAGTTTCAATGAACAGTATGTTGGTGATAATTAGTATTTGCTGAGTTGTAAATTCCTTGGAATTTGATCTCTAATTCTAATTATTAGAATTTACTCTCTGTTTCTCTGATCTATTTCAGAATCTGTTGTTTTTTTTTTTTTTCCTGTTGTTGTTATACAATTGTAAAAGGGGTTTTAAAAATACTTGAAAACTGGGCCAGGTGTGGCAGCTTACACCTCTAATACCAGCCAGCACTGTGGAGGGCTGAGGTGGGTGGATCCCTTGAGCCCAGGAGTTAACAATCAGCCTGAGCAATAGTGTGAAACCCCAACTCTACAAAAAAAAAATGCAAAAAAAAAATTAGTCAGGCTTGGTGGTGCATACCTGTAGTCCCAGCCTCTCAGGAGGCTGAGGTGGAAGGATCACTTCAGTCTGGGAAGTCAAGACTGCAGTGAGCCATAATCACACCATCGCACTCCAGCCTGGGTGACAGAGTGAGACCCTATCTAAAAAAAAAAAAAAGAAAACCAAGAGCAAGTTGCCAAAATATTACACAAGGATTTCTAGTTTTATTTTCTGTTTCACTGTGATTGGGTAAAAGTAAAGATATATAAATATAAGACATAAATGCATTTTATTCTTTGGAATCTAACATCTTCAATTAAAAATGAAAAATTTCTAACAGGAAGGATCAAGAGATTGGAAAGTAGCCTAATAAGTCTTTAAAATAGTGTTTCTAGGAATCTGATATACCAAAAGCAAGGAGCAATAGGAAATACAGATAAAGGCAGGAAAAGGTAGATTTTGTTACAACACTATTGTGGTTTCTGAAGGAGTTTGGCCTCATTGGGTGATGCACATCAGTGTTAATTTCTAATACTCAGAAAATTAGTAACCTTTGTACCCAAGAAGTGAACATTCAGAGTTCAAAGAACCACCCACCACCCCAAATCATTCAATAATTTTCACTGGTGTTCTACTACAAGAATTATAATTCACTTGTAATTATGGCCACCAAAAGAATGTTTTTTTTCCATTTTATAATTCAACAAACACTTGTTGGATCACTAGTTGATGTCATGAATGTATTAGGTGCAGTGGTGGTGATAGTGGATGGGTGTATTTGAAAATAAATAGTGTATTCTAGGGAGAATATATAGTCTTTTGAGAGAGAAGGTAGGCTTAAAAATATAGAGTGCTTTCAAATACACTAAAGGTGTGCAAAAAATATTACTACTACATGGTAGAGGAAAACACAACAAAACTTTAAGAAACCTCTTGAGGAACGTCTGGTTTGGCTTCAGTTTATTTAGAAGAATGAAGAGCTCCTAGACAAAATGCTAGCATACATAACACAGAAACAAAATAAACTATAAATACCTTATAAATAAATTATAAACTACCTTGAGGAGACAGATGAAAACAAATTAGAGTTAAAATCTTGGCAAGTGAAGGTAGATATTATGCCACAGAGAAAAATTTGAAGAAACTGTGCTTGTGGAGTTTGATAAGGTTCTTCTCACAAAATATAAACTGTGGTCTTTTAATGAAACAGAAGGTTTTCACATTCTATGGAATAATAGTGATTTTTGATGTCAGCTCTGGAGAAAAAATCCTGGTGATATTTGGAGACCACCTGTTCTGGATAGTTTCCATGGTAAGTCACGAGGTGTACCAAGATTCTTACAACCCATCAACTTCTTCATGCTTTTGTGAATATACTGAGAAGAAATGATACCACTGAGAAAATGATTTAGAATGTATTTCTTATAAATTTTAATTCTAAGGTAGAAACTGAAAAGGTTGGATTTACAGGTGGAATTTAAAAAACAACAACAAAACTCTTTCTGCATTTGTGAATTCTGGCATAGAAAGAAGAATAGGGAAGTGAAACACTGACCTTACAAATAATGTTGAAGAACATAATTTTTTAAAATGCCATTGCTCAGGATGAAAAACACATGGGTTTGACAAGAGGAGGAAACATCTTGTTACAGCATGCAAGTCTGTCAAAATAACCTTAGATTGGTGAAGAGTGTTTAAGAATTGAGAGGGTTTGGGCATAGGGAAAGCAAAAAGAGGAAGATACCAAGAATTTCTCAGGAGGAAAAATAATTAGAAACTATTATTGTACCCTCAGATACCTATGTTCCAATTCCCAAATATAGGGAATGTAGAATTGAAGATACATATATTTGTAGAATGTGGGAGTAAAATCATTTAATAAAGGAAGAAAATATTTCAAAAGGATGCTACCACCTGGCTATCTACAGGATGGCCACTGCCAGCAGCTCCTGTTGCTGCCTACTACTTTGGATCCCAAAGTTTTTGGATGTTAAAATGGGCCAAGCATGAGTTCACCTCTTCATACCCTTTTTAGAGGGTCTAATTTTGATTTCTACCCACATCCTCTGGAACCGTGATGAAGTTAGTTTCATTTCTCAGCCCTAGGTCTGTCATCCCTTTCTTAGGCAGCTTCGGTCTGGGCAAGCTTGATGCTGAGTTGGTCTTATGTTTATGGTTCAGTATTGGGTACGTACGTGTCCTAATACAAACTTAAGGGGGGTTTCCTAACTACTAAGATCATATCCATGATTTTGTGTTGTGTTAAAAACATGAATGTATTTAGTTTACAGTGGAGACCGCCAGATATCTGTCTTTAGGGACAGTTAGTAGCAAACTGCCTGTGGCTAATTGTAGAGAATAGTCTATAGAAGATGTATCTTGGCTTTCCCCAACTGCTGAGGACAGAAGTCCTTTGAACTGTGAAGAAAAGAAAGTAGAATGTGGTGGTGGAGGAGGGAGAGGAGAGGAGAAGGAGGAGGAAGAAGAGGAAGAGTTGTCTCACTTTCTTTACCCCGTTCCACCTCCAACTCCCCACATGTATTAGTATGTTCTCACACTACTAATAAAGACATAACCAAGACTGGGTAATTTATAACAGAAAGATGTTTAATTGATTCACAGCTCCACGTGACTGGGGAGGCCTCACAATCATGGTGGAATGCAAAGGAGGAGCAAATTCATGTCTCACATGGCAGCAGGCAAGAGAGAGTATGTAGGGAACTCTCCTTTATAAAGCCATCAGATCTCATGAGACTTATTCACTATCATGAGAACAGCATGGGAAAGACCCACCTCTATGATCCAATTACCTCCCACTGGGTCTCTCCCATGACATATAGGAATTATGGGAGCTACAATTCAAGATGAGATTTGGGTGGGGACAAAGCCAAACCATATGATTTTGCCTCTGGCCCCTCCCAAATCTCACATCCTCACATTTCAAAACACAACTGTGTCTTCTCGACAGTCCCCTAAAGTCTTAACACATTTCAGCATTAACTCAAAAGTCCACAGTCCAAAGTCTCATCTGAGACAAGGCTAGTCCCTTCTGCCTATGAGCCTGTAGAATCAAAAGCAAGTTAGTTACTTCCCTGATACAATGGGTGTACACACTTTGGGTGAATATACTCATTCCAAATTGGAGAAATTGGCCAAAACAAAGGAGCTACAGGCCCCATGCAAGTCCGAAATCCAACAGGGCAGTCATTACAACTTAAAGTTCCAAAATGATATTCTTTGACTCCATGTCTCATATCCAGGTCACACTGATGCAAGAGGTAGGCACCCAAGGACTTATTCAGCTCTGTCCCTGTGGCTGTACAGGGTACAACTCCCCCTCTAGCTCCGCTTCTTTCACAGGCTGGCAAGGAGTGACTATGGCTTTTCCAGGCACACAGTGCAAGCTGTCAGTGGATCTGCCATTCTGAGGTCTGGAGGATGGTAGCCCTCTTCTCACAGCTTCACTAGGCAGTGCCCCAGTGAGGACTCTGTGTGGGGGCTCTAACCCCAAATTTCCCTTCTCCACTACCCTAGCAGAGGTTCTCCATGAGGGCTCTGTCCCTGTATCACACCTCTGCCTGGACATCCGGACATTTCCATGCATCCTCTGAAATCTAGGCAGAGGTTCCCAAACCTCAATTCTTGACTTCTGTGCACCTGCAGGCTCAACACCACTTGGAAGCTGCCAAGGCTTCAGTCTTGCACCTTCTAAAGCCATGGGCCCAGCGGTACCTTGGCCCCTTTTAGCCACAGCTGGAATGGCTGGGACAAGGGCACCATGTCCCTAGGCTGCACACAGCAGGGGGGCCCTGGGCCCTGCCCATGAAACCATTTTTCTTCCTAGGCCTGTGGGCCTGTGATAGGAGGAGGTACTGTGAAGACCTCTGACATGTCCTGGAGACATTTTCCTCATTGTCTTGGCAATTAACATTTGGGTTCTCCTTACTTATGCAAATTTCTGTAGCTGGCTTGAATTTCTCCTCAGAAAATGGGTTTTTCTTTTCTATTGCATTGTCAGCCTACAAATTTTTCAAACTTTTATGCTCTGCTTTGTTTTTAAATGTAAGTTCCAATTCCAAACCATATATTTGAATATATAACACTGAATGCTTTCAACAGCACCCAAATCACATCTTGAATCCTTTGCTGCTTAGAAATTTCTTTTGCCAGATGCCCTAAATTATCTCTCTCAAGTTCAGAGTTCTACAGATCTCTAGTGCAGGGGCAAAATGCTGCCAGTCTCTTTGCATATCTAGAGTTATCTTTACTCCAGTTCCCAACAAGTTCCTCATCTCCATCTGAGACCACCTCAGTCTGGACATAATTGTCCACATCACTATCAGCATTTTGGTCAAAGCCATTCAACAAGGGTCTAGGAAATTCCAAACTTTCCCACATCTTCCTATTTTCTGAGCCCTTCAAGTCTCTAGGAAGACACAAACTTTCCCACATTTTCCTATCTTCTTCTGAGCCCTCCAAACTGTTCCAACCTCTGTCTGTTACCTAGTTCCAAAGTCACTTCCACATTTTTAGGTATCTTAATAGCAGTACCTCACTCTACCAGTAACAATTTACTGTATTAGTCTGTTCTTACACTGCTAAAAAAGACATACCTGAGACTGGGCAATTTATAAAGAAAAAGAGTTTTAATGGACTCAGAGCTTCATATGGCTAGGGAGGCCTCACAATTATGGTGGGAGGCAAAGGAAGAACAAAGTCACATCTTACATGGAGGCAGGCAAGAGAGCATGTGCAGGGAAACTGCCCTTTATAAAACCATCAGATCTCATGAGACTTATTCATTATCATGAGAGCAGCATGGGAAAGACCGACCCCCATGATTCAATTACCTCTCAGCAGGTCACCCCCGCGACACTTGGGAATTATGGGAGCTACAATTCAAGATGAGATTTGAGTGGGGACACAGCCAAACCACATCACCACACTAGAGTTGACCACACGACTAATGTCTGGATCCATTCACTTACCATCAAAGCCAAATTCTCCTTTGGTTCTACTAGTTCATCTCATTTCTACCCCTTCAATTATAGTTTATCTAAGGACCTGTTAGTTTATTGAAATCAGATGTGTGTTTTGAATAATAGTGGTAAATCTGGAGAGGTTTGTTGAATATTTGTGGACTGATAAAGTTAGTTGTAACTTACATATATTAACTCAGATACAAGAGACCATATGATGTATCTATCATTGCTGAAGTGTAAATACATTTAGAGATAAACAAGAAACAAATAGTGAACTAAGAAGTATTTTATTCACATTTTAAATAATTTTAAAAGCCAGAGTTTGCTCCACTAAAATGTGAGAAGGGAATATAATAAAATGAAAAGCACTTTAGCCTTCTCAGTTTTCTCCAATTAAAAGTATTTTGCAAACTTTGGGAGGCTGAGGCGGGAGGATTGATTGTGCCCAGGAATTTGAGACTGGCCTGGAAAATATAGTGAAACCCAGCCTCTATAAAATGTAAAAAAAAAAAATTGGCCTGGTGTGGTGGTACACATCTGTGGTCCAAACTAATAGAGAAGCTGAGGTGGGAAAATCACTTGGGCCTGGGAGGTTGAGGCTGCAGTGAGCCATGATTGTGCCACTGTACTCCAGCCTGGGTGACAGAGCAAGACCCTGTCTCAAAGCAAACAAACAAAGAAACAAAACAAACAAACAAGAAACCCCCCAAAAAATCAAGGGGAAAAAGAACATTTTGCAGTTATTCAGAAAACAAAAGGTTTTAAAGACTAAATCCACATTTGCTGTGCAGAAAATGGGTGTGGAATATGCTATGAAATTATGTGTGTATGTGTTTTCAAAATGGCTTGGGTTAGAGTATGCTAATGGCAAGAATTCTATTTATTCTATGTAATATTTTTGGTTTTAGTGTTTAATCTTTACTTTCTCTTGCTGAGTATTACATAGAGAGATAGAGAAATCTGTTGACTATTATGGAAATGTGAAATGACTTTCTTTTCTAGCTGAGAATTCTAATCATTTTCTAAAAATCAAAGGTCTTATCATCAAGTATTAATTTTTATAGAGGGCAGCTAAAAAGGCTTTAAACCTAAGATTTCTATGTAAAAGATTATTAAATCAAATTTATCCATGAGTGTATATATCATTTAGAAAAGGCAAGTGAAACCTGTTTCTCTAATCCTAAGCAACCATATTATCAGAGGAGGGGTAAAATCATGCAATGATGTCACAGGCTCTGCATAGAGATCAAATACAATTTAGAATAGTTGTTCTCAAACTTTAGTGGGCATACGAAATCAGCTGGAGATCTTATTAAAATGTAGATTCTTCTCCAGGAGAGCTGGCTAAGGCCTTTGAGCCTGCATTTCTAACAAGCATTCTCCCAGGGAATCCCTATGCTCCTGGCCCTTGGATGACACTATGTAATGTGAGTGATGATTTGGAATAAGTTTCATAATTCCACTTCATTTTACTTTACCCCCTTCTCTCCCAGCAGTCAGCCTGAGGTCAGAGTAAATTGTCATACTGAAAGGATAAGCTGAGGAAGAGTTTCTATAAAACTTTGCTGTGGATAAGTCAACTAAAAAGAAGTTACATGCCTTTTCACTTAGCTGGCCAAAGTTGCTCATGGGCTACAAGAGAAACAAAAGATCATTGGTAACATACGTATTGCATGAAAACTTTTTTAACAATATGGTTTGTTGATAGTTAAAGGCAGGAAAGTGGGAATTTTCTACCAAACTACTAAATGTTTATTATCATTAATATGTCTCTTAGTAATGTAAAGTAAAAAGGAATTATTGCTTTGAAAGAAAAAATAAAGTACATAGGTAGTAAATAAATGATTCAACACCACCATAATGATATCTTTCTGGCTTTTCAAATTAAATGTACACATTTCTCCTGGTAATTAGGTAATTTCTCATTTCCTACAAATGTGTGAGCTCCTTGATGGCAAGGATCGTGCCTCATCCCACCTCTGTGTAGTCTACAGGATGCAGTGCAGTTCCAGCTGCATAAAGTTTTGCTAGCATTTAGGACATATTGATCACGTGCAACCTTCTCTTTTCTTGACTCTTCATTTCACTGCTTTATATTGCAAACAAGGTGCCTAAGTATAAGGCCAGTCTCTCCTTGAAAGATGCAGTTCAGGGTGCCCATGTGGTTCTGGTTTTCGCTTCCTGAAACTTATTTGTTTTGAGGTGACTCTTCTCCTGTTTACTTTTGTGCAGAACTGTGTCTAGAGTTTGAAAGGGAGGCTGACAAGAAATCTCATAAAATTTTCTAGGAAACAAATTATCTGACTTTTAGGACTCTAAACATTTATTAAATTATTATTGAAGTTTGGGGGGTAAGTTTATTATACTACTCTTTTTAGGTGCATTTGAAAATTTACATAATCAAAATCTAGAAGAAATTGGGACTTGAAACAAGGAAAAATACTATTTATAAGTTTGAGCATATATAAGAATAGAAAAACAAACACAAAGACATGGCGTATGTGTTTACTAAGAAATAAAACATATGTGTGCAATTTGATAAAACTTGAGTTCAAAATCTTACAGAAGGATTTTTTTTTTATTAATATAAGGTTTTAGTCTCTACTTACAGGGACTAAAAAGGCTGAAGTTTTTAGAAGCTTATCACTGTCATGATCTCTTCAAGTAGATTAAAAATGGTCAAGTGTGAGGGGGTATTTTAAAAGGCTACAATGATAATGAAATTTCCCTGCTAATTACCAGCATATGAGACCACAACTTCAGGCTTAGTTGTTACATGGGTGCATTCATTGTTTTGGCAGTGCTCACACACTGAACTTGGCCTGTCATCTCAAGTGTGCATCACAAAGAAAAACTACATTAAGAGTTTGATTAGTGCAAACCTAATACTACTGTTAGTGAAGCAACTCAAAGTAAATTGAGTTACTGATTTATGCATTTGTTTAAGCAATAAACATTAACTAAGGAAATATCTTGTGCAAGACACTGTTTTCTAAAGACTATAGGAGAAACAAGATATATTGTTCTTTTCCTCAATATTTTGTAATTTAGTTGAGAGGATTGACTTGGGTTCTTAACTGTAATATAAACAGACTGCAGTAAGTTCTACCAGAAAGGCACAAATGAAGGTCTAGAGAGGTTAGGAGGTAGAACGAAGTATTTTTGCTTTGAAAGGATGCCCCATTGATAATGGGTCAATAAAGTATCTTGCTGGGCATGGTGGCTCACATCTGTAATCCCAGCACTTTGGGAGGCCAAGGTGGGTAGATTGCTAGGGCCCAGGAGGTCGAGGCTCCGGTAAGCTGTGATTGCGGCACTGCACTCCGGCCTGGGCAACACAGTGAAACCCTGTCTCAAAAAAACAGAAAAAAAAGGATCTTCATGTCTAACAGACTTCTAGATATATCAGTGTTAAAAATGTTATTTTCTGACCTGAAAATATCTTACCCCGTAGGCTTTAATTGCTTTTATAGACATTAGTAAATATATAAGGTCAAAGTATGATATACCATTTTAGTACCAGATGGAGGTTACAAGCTATTGAGTATACAAATACAGTTACACATCGATATGTATAGTATGATTCCTATTATATAATAATGTGTATATTTGTGTGTATCTACATATATCTAGCATGAATTTGAGAAAATTTTTGAGCAAGATATATACCTTTATATCTAATTCTTTATGCTAGACTTAACTATTTTTAAAGATTATACAAACTTTAAAAATAGTTAAGTCTAGCATAGAGAATTGAGTGAGTGGAGTAGAAGAAAATTTTACTTCATAGGTGATCCTGGGAGATTTTTACTTTTTCTTTTTAGCATTTTTCAAAATAAAAAGCTGTAATTTTAGTTTCAATATAGAAGAGATATTTTAAAACTTTCTAGTCCACGTCTGTGCCTTTGGCAAAATAATAAAATCATATGTGCGGACATTGCTTGTTGCTTTTAGATTTTCCTTTCATTTAAAACAAAGTGCTAGACTATAACTGCATATTTTTATCATACAATACTAGAAAAAAAATACACCAAAATTAAGTGTGGTTGTGTGAGAGTGGTGAGGTATTTATTATCTTTTCATTATATTCCAATTTTTTGATAATATAATATATTGTTTTGATTAGTATTAAAGAAGAAAATAGAAATTTATTTAAAATATATAGGCTTATATATGGCATGTATGTGCCTTTCAAGACTAGTGCAAGGTTAAGCTTATAAGACTATTAAAAAATATGTTTACAAAAACTAGGTACCCTTTATTTCTAAAGCATGAGTCAGTGAAACATTATCTATACATTATACTGTACATGAACAATTAACAAGTTAGTGATGGCCATCTATGAGGAGGAGATTTATTTTTCTCAAAAAATGATGCATTCACATTAAAACTGTAACATACAAGTTGGACATGTCATAAACATCTGCTTAAAGTGTCAAGATGTTTTGGGTTTTTTTTTTCCTAAAAGTCAGTGGTAAAAGTAGGTAAAAACATTATCAGATATCAACACATTTATTAGGAAGTGTTCATCATGCATTTGCCACTCCTACTACCCAACAGCTGCACATAACAGAAAGGCCAAGGACTCCGGTTTCAGACTCAGGTCTACCACGTACATACCAGATGGATATTTTATCATGTTACTTAATCTTTCTCCGAGTCAGTTTCATCATTTGTAAGAAAGGAGTAAATAGAAAATAATGATTCTTTTTTTCTCTTGGTGGAAATATATCTACCATTTTTTTGTCAAAGAAACCTCATGCTTTCAATTGGGTGGGTGGGGGCCCTACGGACTATTAGAGAGAATAGTTGAGGAAGAGAAAGGAACTAATATTTATTATATGTCTTCTCTTTGTTAGCAAAGCTGACTTCATGGACATGTGACCAGTGCAGTCACACAAAGCTCCATGCCCCCTCAGAAATGTCCTGAACTTAGTTTAAGGCTCTATAGTCACCATTCTAAATTCTTAGTAATTATATCTTTCATTGGTGATTTGTAATTGAAGTCAGAAATAACAATGGAGCAAGTGCTGGGGGCTTCCCCACCACCCCAGATGGGTTTCTGGCTGCCATCTCCCCTCCCCTCTGCATCCTGGGCCCTGACTGGCCTCCCTCACCCCATGGTGCCTGTTGGGGCCCTTCTCCCTTGTCAAGGGCCAGGGTGAAGGCGTGGGGAGGGTCTTGCATGCCCCGCAGTGTCTTGGAGTGGTGTCATTGTACATTGCACAGGTGGGAATGAACATTTTATCCACTTGTGATCCAGGTACCTTCCTAGTGTGTCCTATCTGCCTCGGGTTGGAGTTGGGCTAGTAGGAAGGGAAGATGCCTGGCCCAATGCCCCTACCCCCAGAGCTGGGGCATGATGCATTGATTGGGTAGTCAGCAAGAGGGGCAATCTAGCACCTGATGAGCTGCACGTGTTCAGGTGAGTGCACACAACACAGGGCGAGACTGGGGACACCTGTGAGCATCTGTGAGCCTCTTCACTAGTCTGGTGAGTGTTCCCGTGCTCAAGGAGCACAACATTAATTAGCAAATGAAGAAGGTCCTGAGAAAGAGGCTGCGAAAGAAAAGTAAGTGCTTTATATATTATAATCTGTCATGACAATTTTACTTGTCTTTAGGACCACACGCTCCAAATTTTCATTTTGTATTAAGCCCTGCAAGTTATCTAGCTCGTACTAAGTGTCAAGATGTGCATTAGGTTGCTGAAAAGATTAAATGAGCTAAGGGATGGTAAATATCTAGCAAAGGGTCTGGTACACATTAGGCCTTCAAAAATAGAAGGATTATTGGAAGTAAACTGTGGGCCCAAAACACAGAAAAAGATTAGGAAGGATATCGTGAAAGGGACAAAGAATCCTACCAGCATCACTAGGGAAGGATCCTTCCATTTCGCTCTCCCTGCCCTGCCCCTCCCTTCAGTGTGAGAGGCTGTTTCTAGGGCATGATTTGACTCTTCGATATTGAAGATTTTTTTTTTGAGGATTTATTTACCACGTTTTTGATATAATTATTTAGAAAGTGGTTTGGCAATGCAAGGGGCCATTTCTAAGAGCAGTGTGAAAAGGATTATATGTCGAACAAATCCTTTGCAGTGCCCCATCTAATCACCTGAGCGGTATTTTGACACGGGTCAAAAAGGGAGGCTAGTGAAATGTTAAAGCCAGAAGGCTCCTTAGAGAAGCGCTATTTCAGCCTCTCTTTTTCAAGTGGATTTGCTGCTGTTTTCTCTTTTTCTGAGCATGTGTGTGTTTGAGCTACAAAGTGGAGCATGGCAGGAGCAGTGTGAACCTGTGCATGGTTACAGGCTTCACCAGAAGAAAAAAAATATCTGTCTCTGGGAAGAGAACATGCCCTGCCTATTTTTGTATAGTAAGACTATTCATGTAATAAAAGGAGTTTACATAGCTTGTTGAGAAATATTTTCCAGAAAATTAAGCCTCTATTTCTCTTATCTTCTTTTTAACTTTGCCACTAACCCATGAGCAATAAAACTGGGAAATCCTATAAAGCATTATGGCCAATAAAATAATTCATGAACGTAATATGTTTGGTCTGGGGAAATCTATTTTTATCCACTACATGGTACATGGAGTGCACTGTAATTTCTTCCAAGTAACTTTTGGAAGATATCAGGCAAAATAATTCAATATGACTAGCAGTTATTTTCTGGAGACTGGTATTGTTTTGACATGGAGTGCATTGAAAACATATGGTCTTTCATGTCTCTTGCCTGTGCTTTCCTTGAAAATGTTTATATTTGCTTGTGATAAAATGCATTAAGTTTCATAATCCTGAACAACCTTCTGGTTACATGATTCATTTTCAAACAGTGCAACGGGGGAAACAAGTTTTTACAAAAAAACAAAAAGATTTTCTTAAGTAGCTATGCATTTTGTACAACACAGGTGCCAATTTTGATATTTTTTTCAAATGTTAAAATTTCAAAACAGCTGCCAGGATAAATTTCTTTATGCTGTGCCCTGTCCTTTCCCCAAATAGCTCGTACTCTTCAAGAATCGATGTAAGTTTAGCCAGGACTTATCAGCTTACAAAGCTTACAAAGTCTGTGCTCATTTTACCTCCTGATGTGGTTTCAGTGTTCAGTGACCCTTGTGATTATGACAGTAAGCGTTTTCTATGCATGTGGTAGAATGAGATGGCTCAAGTGAAAGGTTTTCCTTGACATAAGATGATCATAAAAAGTTCATTTTTTTTCATATTCTGTGATGAATCTGCCAGGCATGATTGCTAATGTGTTCTTCTTTTAGGTTCAGAATCAGTAATCTTTCTCCTTAGCATTTGCTGTTTTTAAAGAAGTAAAAGGTGATTTTGGCTGTGTTCATTAACAATGGGAATCCAAAGCAAATTTTTAAGACATCTAAATGTACTTTAAAAAAAAAAATTTTCAGGCCAGGCGCGGTGGCTCACACCTGTAATCCCAGCACTTTGGGAGGCTGAGGCAGGTGGATCATGAGGTCAGGAGATCAAGACCATCCTGGCCAACACGGTGAAACCCCATCTCTACTAAAAATACAAAAAAATTAGCCAGGCTTGCTGGAGGGTGCCTGTAGTCCCAGCTACTCTGGAGACTGAGGCAGGAGAATGGCGTGAACCCGGGAGGCAGAGCTTGCAGTGAGCCGAGATCACGCTACTGCACTCCAGCCTGGGCAACACAACGAGACTCCATCTCAAAAAAAAAAAAAAAAAAAAAAATTCAGATATACTGAAATCAAATTTTAGAAATTTCATCCCAGTTGTTCAAACTTTATACTTTGATTACTTTCATTAGATGCAATATAATTTATTAGAACATACACCATCTTTCAAAACCATATATATTTTTACTTTTTCTGCCTTTATTTCTGTTGATGGCAAATTCAGCTTAATATAGTGGTCGGTGCTAAATTTAGAGTAGTTGTAACGTGCTGGTGGAGGACTTTATTCCAAACTAGAATTCTAAGGCCTATTTGGAAGATTGGAAAATACCTCAGTATATCCAGTGTTGAAAGTCTGCAACTTTTTTCCAAAGCCCCGTTATAATACTTATATAATTAAATGTTCCAGTAATGTGAAATGTCTGAATTGATTGGAATTATGTCTTTTTTAGAGAATATCAGCATACCAAAGAAGAATTTAAAGAGAAAATCCCTACCCCCAAATTTATGGCAACATCAATTAAAATATCAGTGTAATTACAATGCCCAGTCATTTTATAATGAATATAGTTTTCTAAAGCACACAATTTTCCAGTAGTTTCAGCTAACTTTCAAAGAAAAAGTATTTAATCTTTATTTGAAGTATTAGTTAAAGAAAGGCAAAAACAGCTTGGATACAAGCACGCTGGAAATCATTCAAGATTCAAATTGTTAAAACTGATTCAATCTGTTCACTGTCTTGGGTGTTTCAGAGATTACTCACCTGTAGTAAATTGAAAAACCAGGAAACACTGTATTGTTACATTTTCCAGTTGGACCATTAAGTACTTTCTGGAGATTCCTTCTCTGAAAAATATGGGCATGACATGCACTGTTTATTATATTTGTTTTGAGAAGAAGATAATAATAGCAACAAAGAAGTAATCATCTTAAAGATGTACAAATATTCCCATATGGGCAACACATGAATTCTCAAGGTTAAGACACTTTGAAAGGGATTTTTGACTTTAGGGAAGTTACATGGGAATAGGATGGGAGAATCAAGCCAACCGTTATTAGTATGATTAAACCATTCTTATACAGGCATTACCTAGAATAGAAACAAGTCATCCAAAACCTGATTGAAGTGAGATAATGAGTATAATAAGCCACAGAAGCAAGAGAAATCAGGGTGCCTCCAAACAGCTTTGTTTGATTAGTGTATTAAATTTAGAGGTCTGTAACCTGGAAGGGAGTATTTAGTAGCATTAATATTTTTAGATGCTACTCCAAAAAATCTCACAAGTACTTTGTGACCCAGAGTATAATTCTTATTATCCAATTTCACTGTGAACATTTTATTCAAGGAAGAAATATTAGAACTTGTTAAAAGTACATGTCATAAATTTGTCAGAAATAATACGCCTCCTTCTTGTAAAATATTGATATTCTGGATGTATTTCTTACTATGATCTTAATTACCTGAAATCAATTTGGCATGCTTTGTAATATCTGTAAGGGGTTCTTGCCCATCTCAAATCAATAAAATATTTTATGTATTGAAGATGTTTCTGTTTTAGCAGTCAGATCCAGCCAGCAGAGCAGATTTCTGAGTCTGATATTGAATGGTTTTGTTTTGGAACATTGTGGATTGTGAACATTTTTGTGGTGGGAGCCAAAGAGAATAGAGCTTTGTCCTATGAATGTATATTCTAAAATTAGTCAAAATTTAACTTGTTTAGTTTAAATATTTCAAAATATATTTTCAACTCCTCAACTTTAAAATTATAAAAATATTGTTGACAAATATCCATTTTTTTCTTACCACAAGCCACTTTTCAGTATACTAAGAGAATAAGAATTAAGTTCAAAACAGCAATCAATGTATCCCTGGGAAAACAAGTTCTGATGATTTTGTTTTTTGTGTAAATCTGTTCAAGCTGAATCTAACCATGTGTAAAGGAGCTAGAGACCAGGCCCTGCAACCTGTGCTGCCCTCTCTTTAACAAGGTTTTGGTCAATAACTATAACTGAACCACAAAAACAGATTATATATCCTAATTTAAGGGACTTTGGGGTTCTGTTTTGGAGAAACTTTATGCCCCGGCTCTTGCTTGAATAAGAAAATTCTGACAAACATAGCAAAATCCAGGTTGATGCTGGCTTCTGTTGAGGAACTAAGGAGAAGGCCAAGGGCTTAAACTATACTGTGTACAAGAAGCAGCTGAAAGGTACCCTTTGTGATTCTTTTGGCTAGTTAGAAATTTTTCAAAAGTATATCTTGTTCTTAGGAGGCAACCTCTAGACTCACACATAATGAGCAGCCTTGGAAAATTGTCTTCACCTGATGGCTCCATTTTTAGCAGTCATTCTGAAACCTAGCACTGGGGGAGATTAACAGAAATCAAGTTCTTCTGTGAAGGCAGTTGAGACTCTTTTACTCATTCCAAACACACAATTTAAAGGAGTGTAAAAAAAGAATGTGACATGAACACAATACCTATTGCAGAATCCACATATAGAGATGGTCAGAAATTGTCAGACCTAGAAAGTTCTCAGAGTTAGAGGTCATTTATTACAAATTGCTCACCTCTTTTTCTTATCAAGTAAACAGAGGACTGGGGTGATTTAGTGACATTCTTGCTAAGGCATACTTATGTGACAAGGTGCAGAAGTAATTGGCTAAATGGCAAATTGAAACTAAAATTCTTGTTTGAAATCTATTTTTCAGATTATGCTTCTTAAAACTTGTCTTAAATCAGTTACTTAAATCCTCAAAATATTTCAAAGCTTTGTCATTAGCTACCAGATGAAGAACAAATGCTTCCAGCTGGTGTTCAATATCTTCTGATTTTCCTTTACGGTGGAGGTCAGAAAGCTCAAATACCTGCTGAAATCAGTTACCTAAGAATTGTTGAAGCAAGATTTATGAAAAATGTTTATCTTTATTACAAAACAACAACAAAAACTCAGCCTAGTCATAAAAATAGAAGGCAACGGACATTTGCAGAGGTAATAGGAAGTGTTAGGGACTGTGGCCTTCAACACAGTACCTTCCCTGACCTGCAGGGGTCTACTTCTGCTCAAATTCATTGATTACTGACATGTGGGGATGCAAACCCAGCATTGCTATCAGAATTTTAGATTTTTCGAGAAGCCAAACATTTAGAGTTGTATGTGTAATCTCCCAATATTTAAATACTGGTTGTTAAACACCCACTTTCTTTCTCTTGCTCATTCTCTCCTTCTTATTATAGTTAGGAAACTAAATACTGAGCAGGTCAAACAAATCATCAATTTGCTCAATTCAGCTCTGGTCTGACATTTACTCCCTAGGTATTGTAGTAGGTGTCTCTTACTCCCTGTATATAGGCTTTATGTTCCATGCTCCACCTTTCTCCTATCATGACTTCCATGGTCTTGCCTCTTTGCCTTTGTTCTTATAGTTCTTATCCCCAGGAAAGCCTTATTTACATCCAGTTTATTGAAAACTTAACCTACCATCACAATCGACCTCAAATTCTTTTTTTTTTTTTTTTTGAGACGGAGTCTCGATCTGTCACCCAGGCTGGAGTCCAGTGGCATGATCTCGGCTCACTGCAAGCTCTGCCTCCTCCAGGTTCACGCCATTCTCCTGCCTCAGCCTCCTGAGTAGGTGGGACTACAGGCACCCGCCACCACGCTCGGCTAATTTTTTTTGTATTTTCAGTAGAGACAGGGTTTCACCGTGTTAGCCAGGATGGTCTCAATCTCCTGACCTTGTAATACGCCCGCCTTGGCCTCTCAAAGTGCTGGGATTACAGGCGTGAGCCACCGCGCCCGGCCGCTACCTCAAATTCTATGTCCTCCATAAAACTCCTCTCAATCCTCTCTGCCAGGCATCCCACTTCCTTTTACATTTCCTGAGTAATCTCTTTTGTGCTCCATTGCTTAACTCTGCCTTGTACATTTGCTGTTTATACTTTTATGCTCCTACTCACTATAAGATGCATGAGGCAAGACCACCTCTGGAAACTCCACTGTCTGCAAATAACACCTAAATATAGAGGAAACTCAAATCTGATTTTGAACTTATCAACAGTTGGGAAGGAAGATTCTCTGTGTTTGAGCATTTTTGTTTCCACCTAAAAACTGTAGGTCATCTGCTTATTAAAAGTAGGTGGGTTCATCCAATCCCTTTCTTCCTCCCCATAGCCCAGATACCATTGCACTGTATATGTCAGAACTCACTTTCGTGGCACATAATGTGATGTGGAATCTACTTTTAAGGAGGAAAAGTATCACTGTACAGGAAGATCAGCTGGTATATAGAAAGTTGATTCTAGCCAGGATGATGTGCCTATTCCCTCCTCAATAAAAAGGCAACAGATTTATTCATTCTTCTTCTCATTTAGGGCCCTTTTTATTCCTCTTTCTGATACCATGAAATATTGTTCAATATTCAGAGTTGATGTTTTGGGCCTGAACTTTCTTTGCTATACCACATTAAGTTCTGAGCTCCTGATCAGATAACAGGCAATCAGGTAGGCCTCTGCACAGCAAGTAAATGACCACAGAGTACATTGAGAACTTAGTCATGCATATTTAAAAGCATTTAGCCTGAGCACATTTTTATTGATGAATGATAAATGCTTTGACATACCACCATCTTGCTACTTAAATTTAAACACATCCCGGTAGTTAGTCCCTCAACTTTTAATTGTAAAAAAGCCTTTATAGAAAGTCATGCTTTTGTTCCACTCATTCACTAGGCCGAGGTCTTTAATTATAGTTTAAGAAATTTTACTGTAGCCAGGACATGCCCTAAGCTATATTCTAATGAGCAGAATTGTAGTTCTGTTTATATCTGGCATAATAAACATTAAGGGACCATTACAAACATTTAGCATTAAAATTATTAAAAGATAAGGTGTAAGGAAGGGATCCAGTTTCAGCTTTCTACATATGGCTAGCCAGTTTTCCCAGCACCACTTATTAAATAGGGAATCCTTTCCCCATTGCTTGTTTTTCTCAGGTTTGTCAAAGATCAGATAGTTGTAGATATGCGGCGTTATTTCTGAGGGCTCTGTTCTGTTCCATTGATCTATATCTCTGTTTTGGTACCAGTACTGTGCTGTTTTGGTACCAGTACTATGCTGTTTTGGTTACTGTAGCCTTGTAGTATAGTTTGAAGTCAGGTAGCGTGATGCCTCCAGCTTTGTTCTTTTGGCTTAGGATTGACTTGGCGATGCGGGCTCTTTTTTGGTGCCATATGAACTTTAAAGTAGTTTTTTCCAATTCTGTGAAGAAAGTCATTGGTAGCTTGATGAGGATGGCACTGAATCTATAAATTACCTTGGGCAGTATGGCCATTTTCACGATATTGATTCTTCCTACCCATGAGCATGGAATGCTCTTCCATTTGTTTGTATCCTCTTTTATTTCACTGAGCAGTGGTTTGTAGTTCTCCTTGAAGAGGTCTTTCACATCCCTTGTGAGTTGGATTCCTAGGTATTTTATTCTCTTTGAAGCAATTGTGAATGGGAGTTCACTCATGATTTGGCTCTCTGTTTGTCTGTTATTGTTGTATAAGAATGCTTGTGATTTTTGTACATTGATTTTGTATCCTGAGACTTTGCTTCAAAATGGATTAAAGACTTAAACATTAGACCTAAAACCATAAAAACCCTAGAAGAAAACCTAGGCATTACCATTCAGGACATAGGCATGGGCAAGGACTTCATGTCTAAAACACCAAAAGCAATGGCAACAAAAGCCAAAATTGACAAATGGGATCTAATTAAACTAAAGAGCTTCTGCACAGCAAAAGAAACTACCATCAGAGTGAACAGGCAACCTACAAAACGGGAGAAAATTTTTGCAACCTACTCATCTGACAAAGGGCTAACATCCAGAATCTACAAAGAACTCAAACAAATTTACAAGAAAAAAACAAACAACCCCATCAAAAAGTGGGCAAAGGACATGAACAGACACTTCTCAAAAGAAGACATTTATGCAGCCAAAAAACACATGAAAAAATGCTCACCATCACTGGCCATCAGAGAAATGCAAATCAAAACCACAATGAGATACCATCTCACACCAGTTAGAATGGCAATCATTAAAAAGTCAGGAAACAACAGGTGCTGGAGAGGATGTGGAGAAATAGGAACACTTTTACACTGTTGGAGGGACTGTAAACTAGTTCAACCATTGTGGAAGTCAGTGTGGTGATTCCTCAGGGATCTAGAACTAGAAATACCATTTGACCCAGCCATCCCATTACTGGATATATACCCAAAGGACTATAAATCATGCTGCTATAAAGACACATGCACACGTATGTTTATTGCGGCACTATTCACAATAGCAAAGACTTGGAACCAACCCAAATGTCCAACAATGATAGACTGGATTAAGAAAATGTGACACATATACACCATGGAATACTATGCAGCCATAAAAAATGATGAGTTCATGTCCTTTGTAGGGACATGGATGAAATTGGAAATCATCATTCTCAGTAAACTATCACAAGAACAAAAAACCAAACACCGCATATTCTCACTCATAGGTGGGAATTGAACAATGAGAACACATGGATACAGGAAGGGGAACATCACACTCTGAGGACTGTTGTGGGGTGGGAGGAGGGGGAAGGGATAGCTTTAGGAGATATACCTAATGCTAAATGACGAGTTAATGGGTGCAGCACACCAGCATGGCACATGTATACATATGTAACTAACCTGCACATTGTGCACATGTACCCTAAAACTTAAAGTATAATAATAATAAAATAAAATAAAATAATTAAAAGATTCAGGGATTTTAAAATAAAAATACCCATTTCCCAGCCACCTAATACATAATCATTAATTTGATGTCTTCTGATTTCTTTCAGGTTTACACCAAAATATGCAAATACTTTTTACCTAGTTTTAAGTATACTTTATGTAAACTTTTTCTAGACTGCTCTTTTACATTCCCCATATTCCAGTAGATTGTTTTATCTTTTGATGGAAAATTATCTATAGATATAATAGGACCTAAATATCTATATTTTGAAGGATGCTGTTTTTACAGAAATCAATAAAAATATAGAATCATAAATCAGCAATGACTATAGGCTCTCCCTAAAAATACAGGCTCTCGCTTCAATAGTGTATTGTTTGCTGATGCTGGAAGTGCAGTCCTAAGATCACTATACAGAATAGATTCATAGAGGACCTGAGGAAATATTGAAAGGCAGATGCTCACCAGTATTCATCTTTAAAAACGTATAACTTGTATTTATGAAAAAATTGACTACTGTTAGAAAAGAATTGACACTGGTGTCATATCAGCCAGTCATGAGTTACTTATGGTCTAAGAGTTATCCTTAGGAGGTTTTCTGAGGGAATCCTGGGAATTCCCCAAAGTGGCAAGGCTGACAGGACCATCCTCCTTGCTGTTAGCTTTAATATACTGTGTAGTATTGCTGTCCTGTGCATGCAGTTAAGTAGCTTTATGGATTGTATGTTTTAATTTGAAAAATTTGCCCTCACAAAAGGGATAAGTGGCTTTAAAAATTCCAGAAAAAAACCTAAAGGTTGAAGATAATAATAACAGAAGCCAAGCAAATTTTAACAAATATAAAAATTCTTCACATAAATGGCAGGCGATAAGCAGAGTATCATGATTTATATTTTGATAAATATATTTATTTTTTCATTCACAATAAAATTATTAAATAGTGTTATTAATTAGTTATTAAATAGTGTTTTTCATTCACAATAATTTCTTTCTACACTATTTTTAAAGCCCACTCTTATTCCTTGAGTGTGAAGTGGGAAGGAGCAGAATGTCTGCCTCGCGTCCAGGAGCAGTGAGGCTGTCACCAGCAAGCATGGGGACCTGAGAGACCGTGTGGGTGGGATGAGGCAGATGCATTAGGGATCTCAGAAACTGACACCTGAAGAAGCCATGTGTTGAGGGGAATTAGTGGAGTTAATATGGATTGATATTAGCTGGATGCTCATCCCTGCTAACCCCTTTTCCCTGGTATGTTATAACTCCCTCCAATCCCAAATAAGAAACAACAGAAGCTCAGCATGGCATGGTGGTATACACTGTAGTCCCAGCTAACTCAGGAGGCTCAGGCAGTTTTGAGAAGCCCAGAAGGTCAAGACTGCAGTGAGCCATGATTATGCAACTGTACTCCAGCCTGGGTGATGGAGCAAGACCTTGTCTCTGAAAAAGAAAAAAAGAAAGGGGCAACAGAGAGACAGAAAAAAGAAAGAAGCCCTGGATTGACAGAGTAGATTTCAGCCACCGTGTGGAACAGGGGGCTTAAAAGAGAAATTACAGACATTTCTTACACACCTAAGTGTGTGGCCTGAAAATTATACCAGCTCCAATATATACAGAGAGCAGTTTCAGTTCTCTTTTATTTATCTTCCTCTTTTACACCAGTGGTCCCCAAACTTGTTTGCACATTGATGTCACCTGAGGAGCTTAAAAAGCTGCCAAAGCCTGTGTCTCATCGCTAAAGATTGTCATTTTAATTGATCTGGAGTGTGTGCTGAGCGTTGCCATTTTTAAATGATCCGCAGGTGCTATGGTTTCAATGCATGGCCACTCCAATCCAGATACTGCCAATGAGGTAGTATTAAGAGGTGGGGCCTTTACAAAGTGATTAGGGCATGAGGGCTCCTCCCTCATGAATGGGATTGGGTGCCCTTATAAAAGGGCTTTGACGGAATGAGTTCATCCTCTCTTGCCTTTTCCATGATGTGAGGATGCAGTAAGAACGTCTTATGTGCAGCTGTGTTTGGGAATCACTGTTCTAGAACATTTCCAGTGGTCTGTCAATGTATAAATTATGTGGCTCATTCCTGTGCCTTTCCAAAATAGAAGGCATCTATCTACTCCTGATGACCAGTTCTGAACTAAAAAAATTCAAATGCATTTTTGATATTATAGCTTACTTTCTATTATGCGATAATTGTGCTCCAAAACACAACAAAAACTGTAAAAAGATTTTTCCTAGAGTCTCGTAACCAATAGCTGTCTGCAGAATGCAGTCTTGTTAACACATGAGTTGTATTAAATATAAATTGTTTTTGAATTGCATATAATTAGATGTTTATAGGTAAAATGTATTATGTATGTACATACTGGATGGGGAAATATCTAAATATCTTTATTTTATCATATCCTAGATTAGTGTTTTAGGCAGAGTATCTTTTCCCACTATTCCTTGTAAGTAGAAGCTAAGCATAGGTTAACATCTCTTCCATGTCCTAACTAAAACCTTATTTTATTCTTAAAGCCTCACATAGAGTTTAGCAAGAAAACTTGATTCTCCCCTTTCTTTGAACTCACCCAGTTCAGTTCATACTACGTTTTAAGGGACTTGAATCTCCTGCTTCTCCCTATTACCCTAGTTCAGACCAGCATCCCTTACCCAGATTACAGCAATAGTTTTCTAACTGGTTTCCCTGCACTCTAACTTGTTCCCTTTTAATCCATTCTTCACACAGCCACTAGAGTGATCTTCGTAGTATGTGTTCATTTCACTTCTGGATCATGCAGAGATTCCCATAGCCCTGGGATGAAATCTAAACTACTTAACCTGCTTTAGGAGTTTCTTTATGTTTTAACCACTGCCTCTTCGGGTGAACTCTTGTCAGCCCACCATTTAAGCTTCATTCTTAGGACTTCCCGTTTCTGAGAAGCACCAAGCCCTGAGAGTTCTTCCACGAAGTTCGGCTTCCTCTTTCACGGGGATACTTTGATTTGGGAATGTGTTTGTGGATTCTTAAAGTCCAGATTGCTGAAAGTATTGTAGCACATGGTGCTTCTTTCTCAAAACACACACCATTCTGTAATCATTTCTCCATTCACTTGCTTGCATGAGGACAGAGGCCTTGCCATGTTTGCCCGACATTACTCCTTAGCATCTGACACAGTTCATGGCACGCAGAGAATAAAGAAAAATATTTATTGCATAAGCAAGGGAATGACATATATAGGTCTTTGCTCCTTTTCCTACTCTTTATACCTAATTCCAAGCTCCTCCTGAACTAGAAAACTCTCTGGCTGAAATCTGATCAGTCATGAAGCATGTGTACGGGAGCAACCATGTGAGCAAACAGATGCACATATGGGCCTCGGCTGAATTTGATATTACCAATTTGGAGATCATAATTAAATGCCAAATCTATTGTCATAGCCTGCTTAAAGTTCTCGGGGAGATCATTTCTGCTCTTTCATTTCTGGAATTAGTCAAGACCATACTATGTAGAGTGAATCATTAGCTACATATTTCTGAATGGTTTTGTAAGGTTGGTTCAAATTTATGGGTTTATGTTTCTATGTTCTCTACATTGGTACGTCTATGATATTTCATTGACATTTTACTGCATCTCTGAATTCTATATTCTTTGTTCAATTGACATGAATTTGATCACAACAGCAATTTTGAATTTCAAAGTTAAAATTATCAAGTGCAAAGCATAACACACCTAAAAGCCATGCTTTTCTACAATGTTTTAACCTAAATGTGGATAGTAATAATTAGAAAATTAATGAATTTCAAAAGATTTTTTGAGTCTTTTAAAAAAGTTATTTGTGCCTTACATTTTCTGACTCTATCTGAAAACAAATATTTACATTTATATTTTAAAATTGAACAGTAGACTTTATTCTCCTCTATCCGATTAGTACTTACTACTACAAACATGGAGCACATGGGACGTGCAGCAGCTAATATATCACAAAATAAGTGTGATTGGCAGGAAGAAAAAGCAAATAGGCTTTTTCAAGTTGTCTTTTTAAAATAAGTTTGTTATTTCTGCCATCTCATCAAGTTTCCCAGTTGCTTGGTGAATCTTTGAAGGGATCAGCAGTAGTGTTTATTGCCAACTAAGTAGGCCTCACCATAGTACATTTTGTAAAATGTAAAAAGAAATTCTGTGTAATTTTATCTTTTGACATATATTATAAAAAGAAGTAATGGCTTGTGGAGTGACTCACATAAGATACCAAATACAACACATAATGGAACATGAAAAGTCAGTAAAAAAGACAAATAACCTACTAACCTTCTTAAAGGGAGCTGCCATCTTTTCTGGACCCCCAATATCTGGAATTAGATTAATTATCATTCTTAGTCCAGGATACACTATCGTCATTTGACTAAGCATGGCCATCTTTTATTTGTTTTAATAATATAAAAATGTCCATGAGCCTCCAACCCCCACCCCCGACAAAGAACTGGAATTTATATTTATCTATACACTATTATTTATATGTATACACTATTTTGTATTTATCTATACACTATTTTCTAACCTCTTTCTCTCCCCTCAGAGATAAGCACTATCCCAAATTTTGTATATATTATTCTTTTTAAAGATAGTTTCATCACATACACATAAACAAAAATACATATACTTAAACAATACATTGTTTATGTCTGTTTGGTTTTGCTCCTTTTTGTTCAGCATTGTTATTGAGATTTATCCACATTGCTGTATCTGTAATTTTTGTTTTCAATTACTTTACAATATACAATGAATATATACCACAATTTATTTATCCATTTTCCTGTCAATAGACGTTTGGAATTTTTGAAGCTTTTGTTATTCTTGGCTGTGATGTAGGAACTCTCTTATGCATGTCTCTGTGCACACATGCAACTGTTTCTCTGTGTTTATACCTTGGAAGGCCATGGTACAAAATATTAAACTCTACAAGATTTACAACTCCAGAAATTATTTTTGACAAACTGATTTATCTTTACTCTCTAACACTTGGTATTGTCAGACTTCTTAATTTTTGCCAAATACTTTGAAAAATGATATTGTGATCTGATATTCATTTTCAAGGTTTTTTCATAAGATTGATCAGCTTTATCTGTTTATTTGTCAAATA
This sequence comes from Homo sapiens, assembly GCF_000001405.40. Lineage (NCBI taxonomy): Eukaryota > Metazoa > Chordata > Mammalia > Primates > Hominidae > Homo > Homo sapiens. The sequence continues at coordinate 181,187,834 of NC_000002.12, forward strand.
TATTCATTTTGATTAAAATATTATATCTTTTTCCCAGTTTTCCATTGCGTTTTAATTTTTTTTTTTTTTTACTGATCAAAATGACTTTTTCTATATACTTGATACTAATCCCTTCAGTATATCTATTGGAACTATCTTCTATTTTGTAGCCTGTCATCTTCTTTACAATGTCTTTTAATTTTAATATGCCCAAATTTATCAATATCTTTATGAATTAAACTACAAGCAAAGATGTGCACACACATATGAAAAGATAGTATTGGGCATATATAGACATGTAATACATGTGTATATGTATATATATTTTCACTATATGATTATTTTCATTATTCCAAATCTCATGATTCCAAAATCAAGTTATTTGTAGAATGGAGGATACCAAAGCATGTATACAGACTAATTACAGGTTGTTTTCAGAATTGAGAATTGTTAAAAGAAAGAAAAATTTCACCTTAGTATTAAAGAAATATTGCGTTCTAGATTTATTTCAGTACACAATAAACTCCAATTTTAGTCAACTGATAATTTCCTATTTTTCCCAGGCCAAAAAATTATACATTATATGTAATGAGTATGTGGGTATTTTTGAGAGAAAAGATATCTGTATCTTCTGATATTTATTTCACATATACATATAACCAGATAACTAATAGTAAATCCAAAATGTAAGAAACCATTAGGTAATACTTTTAAAGTAATAAAACTAATGCCATGACATAAAATTATACCTAACTTTTCCTGAGTACTTGCTAAGTACCAGACAGCATTAAGCACCTCGTAGGTGTTAATACACACCGTCCTCAGAGCAACCGTATGAGGGAAGCACCACTATTCTTATTTACACATGACAAAAATGGGACAGAGTTCCATTTTCTTTTAGTCCTAGTTCCCCTGGAAAATAGTGGAGCTAGAATCTGAACTCAAGCAGTCAATACACTTGAAAACAAAGGGAGTACTATTCAAAACACTCTGGGGAAACACACGTAAACCAGCAGGGAATCAGAAAAACCAAGCTGTGTAACCACCTAGCCATGCAACATGCAGAAAGCAACATTTCCCAAGGATTTGTATCACTTTGGAACTGGTGAACATAATCTGTTTCTTGTGAGTGTTTACATCCTTTAATTTGTGGAAATGTATAGTTAGTTCCTTTCTATCTAGCCTCCAGCAATCATTCACACATCAGTGTGAAACCCAGCACATGGAGCCCTACCAAAGTGGACCTCAAATTTTCCCTGCTCTGAGTCTTCTTGGTGATGCCTGGACTTCAGCCAGAGAAGCCTCAGCACTAACCTGTGTGTGTCTCAAGAGAATTGGTTGTCACAGTGTGCTCCCTTTTAGATGGAAATAAATATTAAGAAATATTACATATCCCAGCCTTCACTCAGTATAAGATGAAAGAAAGAATAATGTGGTTTCTGAAATTTATAGCTCAAAAGTGAGAGAGCTGTGAAGTTGAGACCAATGTGACTTCTGAATCCTTATTTGGCTTCTTTGATGACTTATAAATAATAAAAATTGCTGCTTAAAAATATATATGATGGGGAACAAATCAACACCAGTCTTCTTAAAGCATCCTGAAAAGTATGTTTTGTATAAGTGTCCATTACTTGCTATTATTTTTGTGAAAAGATAGATGAATGTAAGGTTTCTCTTTCTTTGTCTTTCTGGATGGAATTCATTTTAAGTCCAGAAATTTGAAAATAAATATCAAGTGAAAAAGGAGAATTAATAGAGTGTTCTGAGGTTGGGGAGACACTCTCCAACAAACAGCAGCAAAATGTTATTCTCAGACTTGCTCATCCGACTGTCAGCAGCGGCTAACCCTGCTTCTCAATGCACAACTCATTGTCTGCCATGAATGTCACCTGCTATTGCCTGTGAATGAAGAATCACAACTGTACACAGTAAAGAGAAAGAATGGTATTGCATAAAAGTAACACATTTCTCTTAGGATTTGTCCTGATTCAAGTGCCATTCATTTATAGACAAGCACTAAAATTGAAAAAGACAACTTGAAGACATGCATTTCTTCCACTTAATAGATTTCTTAATTGTGCTTTCATTTACATACTTTTATTGATTCTACAATATTAACCTTATTGAGTAAAGTATCTACACATATAAGAAAAATCTGATCATTATTTTATAACGAAATAAAAGAGTGATTCTTTGGCATTCCCCTTTTTGGATTGAAGCAGAAGGCAGTGCATTTGGCTTAACACTTGACTTTTCACTTAGCTATGTCCAGAAAGAGAAATGCTTACACTGAGCCACAGTTATTAATCACAGGGGATCTCAGGCTCTAACACATAACAGGTGCTTGCTAAGTGTTTGTTGAAGGAACAATAGAAGGAGTCATCAGTTATTTTAAGGCTGTGATATGTGATCCTTATTTTATTATAATTTTTTTTTCTGAACATGGCATACTTGAAATTCAATGGGGGAAAATAAACTGACTTCTCCATTGTAAAATGACAGTTTTAGGTTGAGTTTCTCTTAAAGGTATTTTTTACTTAATGATTGTATTTGGTTAATCAGTAATATATTTCTAACCCATTATCAATAACATCAAAGAAATAATTTGGGGAGAAGTACACCTAACCCTACATAATCATTTCAAATGGAGTCTTGGCTATGCATGATGGTATTCCAAAATCCTCATGTTGGCTGAAAATAATTTTATTTGACTATTCACTTGAGGTTTTCAAGAAAATTTGTAGAGACTGTATTTTTTTTGTGTGTAATTCAAATAAGATGTTTAATAAAGGCATATTTTAGAATTTTAACAGCTATATAAGTCAGGTAAAAAGCCACATTTATTAGCCCCAGTAGATAACTGTAAAACTCAGACACAAAATTAATTTCTCAAAACAGACAGAAAGAAGAGATAGAACTCCCTGTAGCTTATGTCAGCTGTCAAAAAACAGTGATGTATTGTCCTTCTCCACTAAGTTGCTTCACCACCAGCAGGTTTTAGTTAACATGATTATGATAGTGAATGACCCTAAAGAGGGCTCCTTCATTCATTTAAGGCTCTTTCCTAATAACCCACAGCTGTGTGAACACCATCAGCTGTGGGAGTTTCCTTTGGGCACGTTGAAAGTGGTGGTATGTCACTCCATATGGTTCTTATGGGCTTCCTTTGACTACTCATATATTCCATCAGTCCAGCTGTCAAGAGCTGATTCCTCAGCTGGGCTGATGACTTGAAAAGCTACTCACCAGTCTTTAATTGTTTCTCAATGTTGCTACTAAAAAGCTAGGAGCTCTTTGTTTGCAGTAGGTAAAAAAATGAAGAGGAGCTCATTTCAAATTAAAGCAGCCAAGGCTCTGAATAGGACAATCCCCCCAAACTCAGTAAGCTTTTGTTTTTACATACTAATGTCCACATGGTTGTGGGGATCCAAAGTAATTTGGAGGAGAATTGTTATCGCTTTGATTGCATGCAAATGTAATCAGGCTTTTGCAAAGGAGGCCTCAAATGGAGCTTTGCACACAAGTTTAAGAAATGATCTTAATTTGTTGGCTTATAGTAGAGGTATTTAACTTTCAAACTTGTTTTCTGAAGAAAAGCAATGAAAATAAAGAGGTAATGGCAGTTTTGCTGTAAAACTTTAATTTGAAAAGAATTGTGGGATCATTACATTGTTTATTTGGAAAAAACAAAGGCATTATTGAAAAAATAACAGAATATCTAAACTATATGGAAAATTAAATAGAAATAAGGGAAAGAGGGTAACTGAATGATTAATCTCGTTAATTCTGTAATGAAATTAAAGTTTTTTTTAGTCTTCTAAATTGATATCACCCCTTAATTTGGAGCCAGTCTTACAGAGCCTTAGCAATTTATTGCTTGAATTGTCAGAGGAAAATAATGTGTTGAGGTTTGTATGTTACCCTTGTGGTTGAAATTTAGACATTTATCTTTTTTTAAAAAAATTGGAAAACGCTTTTAAGAAGCTTGGTAGAAAGGAGACAGTTTCTAGGGAAGATAGCTTAAGATTGATTACTTTTGTGTCTTTAGCCTTCCCTTACCTATAAAAATTTATTTAATTTTTCATGTTTCTGTTTACCTACTTTCACAGAAGGCCAGAAAACAACAGACTAACTCCGGATATGACAAACTCTTTATAAATACTTATAAGTACTGTTGGCTACAATAGTTCTAAAGCCTTAACAAATGATGTTGAAGCAAAATGAATAATGATTATTCCTATTTCATTAGGAATTAGTGTCTGTGAAATCTTCCTAAATCTTCAAAATCAATTAAGGTGTATTTTTACAGAAGCTTGAAGCTAAAGACTCTAAGAAACATTAGTGGAACTTCATTTGCCCAAAATTAATGGTTCCTGATAGTAGTTGGAATTCCAAGAAAAAGGGTTCATTATGTAATTCTCAACTCTTTAATTATACAACCACTTTGTTTTAATACTCTCTTCAAACTTCTGAGAGTTCAGTTATATTGTGATAGCCATTGATTACTTTCTCTTGCTACTTTATCTTTCCTTTTACATTTTATGGGACAGAAATGATATTTAATTTATTAACAAACTTTTATACCTTACAAACAAAATATCAATAATTGGACTTTCAAATCTTTTCTTACATAGTGTAGGAAATGTAATAATTGTTCTTTAAAATGCCCTCTTGAAGCTGGAAGACAGATGGAAAGATGCTTTTTTTTACTTATTAAACTGTTTTTTTTACAGTGAGTTGATTATTTCAAAAAATCATAGAAAATGAAGTGCTAAGAATTGCTGTAATCAAGATAAAGCAATAAAAATTTGAAATGTGATAATCAAGAAAGTATCTAATATTGGCTAACAAGTTTTAAATGTAAAATATAGAGATTTATTACATTTATATGTATCTCACAGTAAATAATCCCTTCTCTTAAATTCTTCAAGCAAAATTTAGTTATTAAACCTCTTTGTGGCTTTATTTCACAAAACATGGGAAAAAAAGAAAGAAGGAAGCATAAGATGAAACTCAGAAAGCTGTCAGGAACAATAATTTTCATACATGATAGTATTAAGTCTGTTTTAACTGAGTTGAAACAAAATTATGACAAAGTCATTGACCACCTCTCCCACCCAGATATTTGCTAAGGTATTCTAATGGAGGACATATAGTCAGGCCACATCTCAAATACTTAGATGTGACTAAATCAGTGAGTTTGGGTATAAACATGAGACCCTCTGGGAAAATCAAGGATGGCTTAGTGAGATGAACAGGAAAACTGTTTCACAATAAAACATGAGTGGGAACGTTGGGATCTTACAGAGCCTGGAAACTCAGTCATTAAAAGAATGGCTGAGAGTATTGGGACCCTTGGATATCCACATGCAAACAAATGCATCAGACACAGACCTTACACTCTTCATACAAGTTAACTCAAAATGAATCATTGACAGAAATGTAAAGCTCATAACTGAAACTTCTAGAAGATAACATAGGAAAAATCTAAATGATTTTTGACTATGGCAATGACTTTTTAGATACAACACCAAAGGCATTATGCTTGAAAGAAATAATTGATAAGCTGGACTTCATTAGAATTAAAAAGTTCCCTAAGATAGTCAATGTCAAGAGAATGAGAAGACAAACCAAACCACAGGGTAGGAGACAATATTTGCAAAAGACATCTGGTAGAGGACTGTTATTCAAAATATCCAAAAAACTTGTAAAACTTAATGACAAGAAAAGGAACAATTCAATTAAGAAATGGGCAAAAGACCTAGACATCAAAGAAGATATACCAATGGCAGATAAACATATGGAAATATGTTTAGCATCATAAGTCATTAAGGAACTGCAAATTAAAACAACAATGAGGTATCACTGCAAACCCTATTATAATGGCCAAAACCCCAAACACTGACAACATCAAAAGCTGTGAGAAGATGGTGCAATAAAAACTCTCACCCATTGCTGGTGGAAATGCAAAACGGTAGGGCCACTTTGTAGGACAGCTTGGCAGTTTTTACAAAACTAACCATAGTCTTACCATACAATCCAGTAACAGCACCCCTTGGTATTTACCCAAATGAACTGCAAACATATATCCACACAAAAACTTACACATGAATGTTTACAGCAGCTTTATTCATAATTGCCAAAACTTGAAAGCAATCAAGATTTCCTTCATTAAGTAAATGGATAAACTATGGTACATCCAGACAATGGAATATTATTCAGCACTAAAAGGAAATGAGCTATCAAACCATGAAAAGAGATGGAGGAACCTTAAATGCATATTACTAAGAGAAAGAAGTCAGTCTGAAAAGTCAACACACTGTTTGATTCCAACTATGTGACATTCTGGAAAAGGCAAAACTATGGAGGTAGTAAAAAGATTAAAGGTTACCAGGAGGAAGGTAAATAGGTGAACATGAAGGATGTTTAAGGCAGTAAAACTATTCTCTATGATACTACAGTGGTGGATACATGTCATTATACATTTTTTCAAAACCCATGGAATGTACAACATCAAGAGTGAAGCTTCATGTAAACTATGGACTTTGGGTGATAATGATGTGTCAGTGTGGGTTCATTGATTGTAACAAATGGGGCACTGTGGTGCAAGATGTTCACAATGGAGGAAGCTATGCATGTGTGGAGGCAGGGGGCTCTCTGTACCTTCTACTCAATATTGCTGTGAAACTCAAACTGATCTAAAAATAAAGTTTATTTTAAAAATAGCTGAGGACTTTTAAAGAACAGGACTGATAGTTTACCATAAGATACATGTTAGGCTACGAGCAGCTGTACAGCACCCGCTCCACTGCCTCAGACCATCTACACAGTCTGCTCTGCGTATTCTCCAGTTAGTGGTAATTAGGAGGGAGTAAAGAGCTTCGGATGATGGCAGGAACCTAGCATGGAAAGGGCTCTCAGGAAGAATCAGCGCATGGCGAGAGTACCTGTCACAGAAGCAGCTGCCAGGTGGATGGCTCAGGAGTGAATGGAGACCACTTCTCTTTTTCGCGGAATGATACTAACAAACTATCGGATGTTGCATTTGGCGTGTTGGGAAGAGAGTTGACAGAAAAGCTGACATCTGCTTCTATACTTGTGCAAGAGATCTATTTTATTTTGCATTTTGTAATGCCTCTATTTGAATATATGGAGGATAATGTACTGAAGAAATAGTGTTAGGCAGATAATAGATACTGTATAAAGTTGTAAGTGAATGGGGAGAAAAACTTAAGAAGCAAACTTGACGCCAGATGGATACGGATAAAAGTAGTAACTATAACAATTACACGGAAATATTTCATTTAACTTCATTTTTCAAAAGTACCATAGTAATTTTATAAGAAGGACATAAAATGAGCAGATTTTAAGCTAATGCTTATGGATATATGAAAAATAAAGATTTTGAGGGAAATAGAAAGTTTTTTAAAAAAATTCTTAACTGTGACATAAGGAAATCTCATAGTTCAGTCAACTAGAAGGGAGATAAAATAGTGTCCAGGCATTTCTTAATTGGAATTTTCTTTTTTCTCAGCCCAAAAAGAAAACTTCCATCTGTTCTAGCATCTGCTTACTGTGGTTCAAGAATTTCTTCAATTTAACAAGTAGGTGTGTCAATTGTGACATCTGGGAATGTTTATAAAGACACATACACAAAAAGGTGAGGTGGCTGCTAACTGGTTACATAAGCTTTTCACAGATTCCTTGTATACACATAGAGTTGAAATAGCTGATCACATGGCACTTTTATGCTCTTTTTAAAAAGAAGCTTTAAATTTTTATAATATTGGAAATGTACCTTTTTCCCCCTAACCTATTTATCATGAGAAGAGCAGAAGGAGGATTGCCTAATCATGGCCATAGTAGGATTTTAGAGATGTGACTTCAAGGTCTGTTTGTGGGATTAATCCCCTTTGGGGATTTGGGAAAGTGGCTTTGGGAAAGTTGTCTTGTTTCTCTTTGACTCAATTTGTCCACTGGTTAAAAAGCAAATTTAAATATGTCTTTATTCCAAATATACTGAAATATTAAGAAAGAAAATATGCTAGAAATAGAACCTATGAATGCAAATGAAGACCACTACATTTGAAACTTCTATCTTTTATATTTACTTTGGCAACTCTGGATTCTGAAGCTTTATAATTTCTAATTTTTACTTGAGGAGGAAAATACTCATGATCTTAAAAGTTTAGAGGTTCTGAATATGGGTGGAATATGTAAACTTTTCTTTCTACCTTTTAAAATCATTTTTGATGTTTATATTTATTAAGTTATTTTTGTTTTATCTTTATAGCTATAAAATGTCTCTAGTATTTTAGGCTTTCAATTAGCATCAGGCATTCATTGAAGCAGCAAGTTTTGTACAATCGTTTTTATCTTTCATATTTGGAAATTGAAAAAGTGAAAGGGCATAAATTTCATTGGTATTCTACCATGTGCACAAAGCAAAAGTCCCTTGCTGCCTGCCTCTAATGTATATTCCAATTCTACTTTTGTTTGAAGTGATTTTCTATAGTCTTACAGTACAGATCTTCCTTATGTGGCTATCAGGGTGGCTCCAGGATGCCCTGAGAATTCTGGTTCTGACCAGTAAACTAGTCTTCACACCATGACCAGAACTCATGAGCCCTTCAGTCTGTAAAGGTCTTTCAGTTGTATAGAATCATTATTCTTGATGCAAGGAACACTACCATTGTTGATTTATTCAGGGATCACAATTGAGTTGTCTCCAGTATGAGTCTATTATAAACACATACACATGCTTCCTGGTACACATGGCTGTATACACATAACGAGGTGGAATCGCTGAGTCAAATGGTATATAGATAGATCACTCAGAGTCATTCTGTATTCTGCCCATATCCTCCTCTTCTGGTTTGATTGGAATCGTATGTGCTTTGGGAGGAATGAGATAAGATATGGCAAAGGCTGAGAAATTGAGGAATCTGATACAAACTTACCTAATGTCATATAAGGTGAACGATAGTTGGGGGGTCAAAGTGCTGATGTTTCTTCACATATTGCCTAAGAAGTAAAGAATATGAGAGGTCTTAAGTGACCCTCTGTATTTTGATGACTTGCTGGAATATATTCTGCAAGTATTTGCTATTTTATGTCTACCCATAGCTATAATATTAAGCATTTAACAGAGTCAAAAATGGAGAATTGAAAAAAGCTTATATATTACCAGAAAATACAGGAAGAGATTCTCAAGCTGAATTTAATTAGGTAAACAAATTAAGACCAAAATGAGAACCATTTTACACACAAAAAAAAATTTGCAAAAATTAAGCAGTCTAAGACTACCAAGTGTTAGTGAGGATGTGGTGCAACTGCTGTATTATTCATTGCTGGTAGGAAAATAAATGGGTTCTACTACTTTATAAAATAAATTCATATTATCTTGTAAATTAGAGCATTTATATACCATTTGACTCAGCGATTCCACTTCCTTATGTGTTTACAGTCATGTGTACCAGGAAGCATGTGCATGTGTTTATAATAGCCTCACACTGGAGACAACCCAGCTGTGGTCCCTGAATAAATCAACAATGGTAGTGTGTCTTGCATCAAGAATAATGATTCTATACAGCTGATGTACATCCAAAATAAAAGACTAACTGAAACAATAGAGACCAAGGGTATCTGACACAGCACCTAACACAGAGAATGTATGTAATCATTTGTTGAATAAATGAATGATAAAATAATCAGTTTCAGAGTATTACGTGACTGACTAGGCTTAAAGCAGTCTTTCCTGTCTAACCTATTTATCTCTGATGAGTCAAATAACAAATCCTTACCAAGAACCACTTTACCAGTTATTTTCTCATCACTCAATGATTCTGAGTTACGTTCATTTGTATTTTGCTATGTGAATAGTACTAAAATGTTTTTACCCTGCCTACTTTGCTAAGTAGAGCCAACTTACAAACTTTTGGGGGCAAGAACCATACTTTCAGGTGCCTTTTTCTTTTCTAGAACTACATAGAGTAAGAAATCAGTAACTACTTTAGGACTTAATGATGAAAAAAATCCACTTGAATTTTACTCCTTACAAAAATATATATTCGGGAAAGAATAAATCATGATCAAAAGTAGAGTCTTTGAACCAGGTTAAGTGCTCTATGGGTTCAAGTTGGAACTTTTAAAAAAGTTTAATACATAAGTTGTCAAGTTGTGACAATTATTTTTGTATGTAGGAATGTTTGTGACAACTACAAAGAAATTCTTTATGTGGTAATTCTACAATGTCATCAAATTCTCAGCACAGAAGCCATCAATGATAGAAAAACATTGTATATCTGATATTCATCCAATTAAAAACATGCTAAACAACGTGCTATGCTCATTATCTTGCTGAGAAAAAGGTAATCCAGAAAGCTGTTGATATTCAGTTCTAAGAGGTTATTTTTGTTTGTGTTGTTTAATCAAGTACTAATCAGGAGAAATGTACTTTATAATAGGAGAGCCAATTTATCTGACATGAAAACTACCCAGGCGGTTAGCCTTAGATGATTATTCTTAGAACCATCTTAGCCTATTTCCAATTAAACTGTACTTCCTGTTGTTATAGTGGTTACAATAGGCACAAGTTTAAAGAGAAAAAGAAAATGTGTGTCCCCACCCTTTCCCTTCTACACAGTACATTACCAATTTGGACCTAATACACAAATTAGTTCATGTGTATCAGATGAAAATCTTTTGATAGAAAGTAACAGAAATCCCTATCCAAACTAAGTCAGCCAAAAGGGAATGTTACTGTTTAATGGAGTACTCTGTATCTGATATGACCAGGATTTATTGCTAGTTCTGCTTCCTCTGCATTGGCTCTACTTTAAAGCAAACTGTTTTGTGGTGGGCACATTTCTTATGTAACAGGAGAGAAAGCTCCTCTACTTCAAGAGTAGAGCTACAACTTGGTTTCATAGGCTTACATTTAGTCTTGGGCTCATCCCTAACCAATCACTGTATGTGGGAAATTGAATTGGTTAAGGCCTGAGATAACATGCCTCTAAAAACATGGGAGTGGGGAGTCAGTTGCCTCCAAATACATAGACTACATCTAAGAAGGATTGAGACTTACACAGAATTTAGGGTACTATCACTAGGGGTAAATCTATGCTAGATTATCTAATTGTCTACTATATTATACTCTTCAAATCTATTTCACATTTTCTTACAGTATTCAAAATCATTGTGGGCTGTATAGTTTCTTTTTATTGAGCTATAGAGGGATTCTTGGCAAGAGAGAACAGTTTTATTTTGTTTCTTTGTTGGTGAAGAGGCTGCAAGCCACTTTTCTGCCAGGTGAAGGATAATAAGCAGTTAATTTGTACCAGATTTTTTAATTCAGAGAGAAGAGTTGCTGAGGGTCTACCTGTATTTTGTAAATAAAGTAGCAACCCATTGACTCAGGAAAAGCATGTATTAGGATACTTCATGACTTGATAAACTTTTCCCCATGTATCTTTTGCTATACAAGCTTGGAGAAAAGTCCAAGTAAGTTTGCATCATCAAAGCCTTCTAGAAGGAAATAGAATCTCCTCCCTACTTAATTTGAGTTTACCTTATCACAACATCAGATAGATTATGATGATTTCAAATAAATTTGCCTGTGTCCCCAGTGGAAACCTTGTTTTGAGGGAAGGCAGATAGATGACTAGCGAATTTTAGGAAATCATGAAGGAAAATTGATGCATAAACAGTCTGTGGGTGTAAGACCTCCATCTCATAATACGCACATTGTGGGAACAACGGCCTAGACTTGAAGGGTAAAAAGAGAGCTGTAAATTTGGAAGCCTAAGCATCGTGCCACGGTTTGAATGTGTCCCCCAAAAGTTCATGTGTTAGAAACAATCCCCAGTACAATAATGGTGGGGGGGTGGAGTCTAATAAGAGGTGATTGGCCCTGAGGGTGAAGCCCTCATGAATACATTCATGACATTATCATGTGAGCTGGTTAGTTATCATGAGTCTGTAGTTATAAAGTGAGTCTTGTCCCTGGTACTTCTCTCTGCCTCAGTGCTCACATCTGTCTTCTATTTTCCACCACAGGATGACCCTCACGAGATGCTGGCACCATGCTCTTAGATTTCTCAGTCTCCATAACCATGAGCCAAATAAACTTTTCTTTGCAAATTACCCAGTCTGTGGTATACACAGGTATAGCAGCAGAAAATGGACTAAGACAGATAGTATACATCTGTAGCTTGTGTATCACTGTGAGAGAGGCAAAAGGGCTCAAAGGAATGTGCTGGACTGAGTCAGTTAAATGCAGTGAATTCATATGGCAGCAACAGCAGAAATAGCAATTGGCTAGTAAGAAATGGGTCAGGTAGGCCGGGTGTGGTGGCTCTTGCCTGTAATCCCAGCACTTAGGGAGGCCGAGGCAGATGGATCACTTGAGGTCAGGAGTTTGAGATCAGCCTGGCCAACATTGTGAAACCCCTTCTCTACTAAAAATGCAAAAAAATTAGCCAGGCCTGGTGGTGGGCGCCTGTAATCCCAGCTACTTGGGGAGCTGAGGCAGGAGAATCATTTGAACCCAGGAGGCAGAGGTTGCAGTGAGCTGAGATCGCACCACTGCACTCCAGCTTGGGCAACAGAGGGAGATTCTGTCTCAAAAAAAAAAAAAAAGAAAAAAAGAAAAAGAAAAAAGAAAGAAATGGGTCAGATAGCTTGAGAGCTTTCCTTCCATTTTTCTTTCCTTTAGTCTTTCTCTTTCCCTCCCTTCTTCTTCTTAACTATTTTAATACTCCTGTAAAAGTTAAGTAACTGAGATGGTCCCTTTGGACTTTGTAAGCTTCTGTGATTCTTGTCAACTTGGTTAGGTGTAGGGTAGGTTTCAAGAGGTAGCCACTGGATTTGCTTTTAAATTGGTCCTATGGGGGATTGAATGATTAATTTGATTATTAAAAAGATTTATGATCATAATTATACCTCAGGCTGGTAATGCAGGTCACATTGATTTTTACCTGATTTAAAAAAAATTCAAAACTTCAGGAGTTATTCGTAAAAATTCTGCATTTCCTGTTTTCTCGACTTCAAACCTGATCAAAGATAAAATTTTCTTTAAAATAAATTGTTCCCAGATCATCAAATGTGAGTTTAGATGGTAATAACACAACAAAAGAAAGAATGAAGAAGAGAAATAGGGGAGGGATAGTTGGTCAGCAGAGAAAAATGAGGTCCAGAGAGTCTAGCATTGGCACTTCCCATCCCTGTAGAGGGAATGCTGGCTCATGGACCTGTCAGACATCTTGGCAGGAATAGCTCAGTTCTCTGTCAAGCTCCCTTAGCCGGATGCCATTGAACAATCAAATCAAATAATTAACTCAGTTCATTTTCAAATTTCATGTTAATGAAGCAAACTTCTAATTATATTTTGGGTTCCCCATAGGAAAAGAATTCACTGAATAAGGAATATATTCTTTGGGAATCCTTGGCGTCAAAGATGGCAACATCAAGCTGACCTTTGAAAATGCCAATTTAAAAATTATTCAAGAGTACAATAAAAATTAATAGAAAAATACATTAGAAAATGTAAAAGTAAATGAAGACAACATAATTCTCAACTCAAACTAAAACAGATAATTGAAGGATGACAGCTCTCTCATAAAGATAGGAAAAATAGCAAAATTTGTGTTTGGCTTTAATTATTCACTTTTGGGGAGACTTACTATATGGGTGCTGGGATACAGCAGTGAACAAGACACTCATGTTCTTTGCCCTTATGGAGAAAAATTATATTGGAGGAAAATTGATTATATTATGGCAGTTAGCTAACTGGTTTTACTTTTTAATAACACAGATGAAAATGGGAAATAAAAAGTGCAATTAAAGCATGGAGTGTGGCATTGGCTCTACTCTGATTTGTCAGGAAAGGCTTCCTGGAGGAAATAACATGTGCCCTAGGATGTGAAGTCTGAAGGAAGATGAGAAATTGTAGTAGAGGGCAGAGAAGGAGAGTTCTACATTGTATGAGTTGGGGTTCTTGTTTATAAACAATATGTACCAAATGACTAACCAGTGGATCAAAAAGAAATTATTGAAAGAGTATTAAACATGTCATAGAATCAATTGGGGTATTGTGAAACAAGATTAGAGAATGAAAGGACTTAAAAATGTAAGACAATGGAAAACAGTCCAGAAAACATCAGGGTAATAGTTTACTTGGGATGCTATCACTAGCCTTGTTTCCATTTGATATTTGTGATGAGCTGTAAGTTTTTGCTGCCACTGTGTCCTTACTTCACTTTCTCATGTTTCAAAGTCCTGACAGGGGCATCTGACTGGCAAAGTATGGTAGCCATTCTCTAAGATGGCTCCCACTGATGCTTGCTGCTTGGTATACATGCTCTTGTGTAGTCCCTTCTCATGTGATATTAGGGTTCATTGCTGTGGCCAATAGAATACAGTAGAAGTGATGGTATGTAACTTCTCAGGCCAGATCATAAATAACATTGTCATTTCTGCCTTGCTCTCTCTTATATCACTTACTTAGAAGCCAGCTGCCCTGTTGTGAGGACATTTAAGCATCCCTTTGGAGAGGACTACATAGTGAGGAACTGAGTCCTTCTGCCAGTCCTAGCAACAACTTGTCAGCCAACTTGTAAGCCACATGAGTGAGACATCTTGGAAGTGTATCCTCCAGCCCCAGACAAGCTTTCAGATAATTATGATTATCTTAATTATAACTTCATGAGAGGCTGGGCCAGAATGGCCTAGCTAAACTGCTCCTGAATTCTTACCCCACAGATGCTATGTGAAATAATAAATGCTTATTTTTGTTTTAAGCTGCTAAGTTTTAGGGTAATTAATTTTTGTTGTTTCTTTTTGAGACAGAGTCTTGCTCTGTAACCATGCTGGAGTGCAGTGGTGCGATCTTGGCTCACTGCAACCTCTGCCTCCTGGGTTCAAGTGATTCTCCTGCCTCAGCCTCCCAGGTAGCTGGGACTACAGGCGCGCATCACCATGCCCAGCTTATTTTTGTACTTTTAGTAGAGATGGGGTTTCACCATGTTGGCCAGGATGGTCTCGATCTCCTGACCTCGTGATCCACCTGCATCCGCCTCCCAAAGTGCTGGGATTACAGGCGTGAGCCACCGTGCCTGGCCTAGGATAATTTTTTTATGTAGAAATAACTAGTACACATGCCTGATTCTTATTTGCCAGAAAGAGAGAGGTTGATTTTTTCTGCAGATGAGAAAATTAACTCAAAGAGATTAGAAAATAATCTTTAACTTTTTTTTCAAAATCATTTAATGAACACTTGCATGGCTCTGCTACCTATCAGACACTGTTATAAATACTTTACAAATACAAACTTAATAAATCTTTATAGCAGCCCTGTGAGGTAGGCACTATTACTATCTGTTATGGACTGAATTTTGTGTGCCACAAATTCATATGTTGATGCCCTGATTCACAATGTGACTATATTTGGAGATAGGGCCTTTAAAAAAGTAATAAAGCATAAATGAGGTCATAATGATGGGGTCCTAATCCAATATGACTGATGTCCCTATAAGAAGAGGAAGAGACATCAGAGATATATGTCCACAGAAAAAAGACCATGTGAGGAGATAGCAAGAATACCCTATCTGCAAGCCATGGAGAGGTCTCAGCAGAAACCAAAACTGCCAACAACTTAATCTTGGACTTCTATCCTCTATAAATGTGAGAAGTAAATTCCTGTTATTCAAGCCACCCAGTATGTAGCATTTTATTATGGCAGTCCCATCCAACTAATACTAGCTAATGCCATAGGCATGCATGAGTCAGACTATTCTGATTGCTGCCTTAACTGCTATCCATTGTACCCCACCCTTGCCCTTGATGATGAGGCTGTAGATAAGGAATCTAAGGCACAGGCAAGTTAAGTAAGGTATCCAAGATTACACAGTTAGTAAGTGATAAATTAGGATTTGAACTCTAAATGAGTCTATCATGCTGTATCTCAACCAGGTAAGGAGATTTTAAAAGTATGCTTGCCTTGGGAACTTTATATCCAGTACCTTTTTAAAAAAGGAATTGTTGGTATAGCTTCTAAATGGGCTTCATAAGAAGTTTAAAAAATTATTTTGGTTTTCACTGGAATGGATTAAAGAATCCATTCTGAATTTCTTGGACTATTTGAAAATTTTTATTTTAGAAATGTTTGAATGCATGCCTGAGAAATGCTGAGCTATAAATAATCTCTGTCACTGTATTCCTTTTTTTTTTACCCCATGAAGTGTCCAAAAGACAGAAGAAGCATCTGATGGGCTGAGCCTTGGTCAAACCCAATTTCTATCTGCCAGCTAAATTGAGTCATATCCTTGAATAGAGAGGAGAAAAATAACCAAATGCAAGAATTTACCCTGTTGTGTGAATGCAACCCAAATGTGGTTCAAGATATTCTCAACAATTGCCTTGTACTGAGACACTCAGCACTTTGTTGGTTCTCTAGAATACATCCAAGTTTATAATATAGTGAGAAATATATGAGAAATTTATATTTTTCTAAAAATATTGTTTATGGAGGGTAGGATTGCTGTTGCATAAAGCCCAGCAGAAACCTTATAAAATTCTACTTTAAATTGTTTCATTTTTATCTTCAAAGTTCCTCTCCTTGCCTTTAGCTTCAACTGTTATTTTTTTTCCTTCACTTGTACAGACCCTGAAAAGCTCCCTTGGCTATTTGATCCTTTCAGTTCTGTGCAAACTTTAGTTAACAAAACAAATGCCCTATCTTCAGTAGAGCAGCAAAGACCTAAATGTAAGATCCAAAAGATAAAACTATGGAAAGAAAACATATGGGAAATGCTTCCAGAAATTGGTTTTGGAAAACATTTTATAAATAAGGTGAAAAGGTGCAGACAACAAAAGTAAAAATAAACAAATGGGATTATGTCAACTAAAAAGCAAAGGAAACAATCAACATAGTGAAAAGACAACCTACAGAATGTGAGAAAATATTTGCAAACTATTCTTGTGACAGGAGATTAATATCCAGAATATTAAAGAACTCAAACATTTCAACAGCAAAAAAAAAATGACCAAAAATGTACAAATAATTGATAATTGAACAGACATTTCTCAAAAGAAGGCATACAAGTGGCCAAGAAATGTGTGAAAATAAAAGCTGAGTATCACTAATTAACAGGGAAATGGAAATCAAAGCCACAATGAAGTATCATCTTACCCCAGTTAGGATGGTTATTATCAAAAAGACAAAAAGTAGTGAATGCTGGAAAGGATGCAGAGAAAAGGGAACTCTTAAGCTCTGTTAGTGGAAAAAATAACTATACGAAAGAGATAATCTGCACTCTCATGTTTATTGCAGTGCTATTTATAATAGCCAAGGTATGTAATCAACCTAGGTTTCCAGCAACATATTAATGAATAAAGAAAATGTGGTATAGACAATGGAGTAATATTCAGCCATAAAAAGAAGAATCTTGTCATTCAAGTCAACATGGATGGAACTGTAGGACATTATGTTACGTGAAATAAGCAGGAACAGGGAGTTAAACACCACATGTTCTCACTCATGTGGAAGCTAAAAAAGTACAGTTGATCTCACAGAAATACAAAGGGAGCAGAGTATACTAGAGACTGGGAAGGGTTGGGGAAGGGAGGGATAGAAAGAGATTTGTTAAAGGATATAAAATTACAGCTAGATAGATGTGTATTAGTCTGTTTTCACACTGCTATAAAGAAATACCCAAGACTGGGTAATTTATAAGGGAAAGGTTTGATTGGCTCACAGTTCCATATGGCTGGGGAAGCCTCAGGAAACTTACAATCATGGTGGAAGGGGAAGCAGCCACATCTTACATGGTGGCAAGCAAGAGACAGCTAGCAAGAACAGGGAAAACTACCTTATAAAACTATAAAACTATATAACTATCAGATCTAGTGAGAACTCACTCACTATCACAAGAACAGCACGGAGGAAACCACCCTCATGATCCAATCACCTCCCTCTCTCGATATGTAGGAATTACAATTCGAGATGAGATTTGGGTGGGACAGAGAGCCAAACCATATTCTGCCCTGGCCACTCCTAAATCTCATGTCTTTCTCACATTTCAAAACAAATCATGCCTTCTCAACAGTCCCCCAAAAGCCTTAATTCATTTTAGCATTAACTCAAAAGTCTCACAGTCCAAAGCCTCATCTGAGACAAGGCAAGTCCCTTCCACCCATGAGCCTGTAAAATCAAAGCAAGCTAGTTATTTCCTAAATACAATGGGGATACACGCATTGGGTAAATGCTCCTGTTCTACATGGGAGAAATTGGCCAAAACAGAGGGGCGACAGGCTCCATGTAAGTTCAAAATCCAATAGGACAGTCATTAAATCATAAAGTTCCTAAATAATCTTCTCTGACTCCAAGTCTCACATCCAGCTCACACTGATGCAAGAGGTGGGCATCCATGGTCTTGGGCAGCTCCACCTCTGTGGATTTCCAGGCTATAGCCCCCTTCCCAGTTACTTTCATGGGCTGGCATTCAGTGTCTGCAGCTTTTCCAGGAGCATAGTGCAAGCTGTCAGTGGATCTACCATTCTGGAGGACAGTGGCCCTCTTCTCACAGCTCAACTAGGCAGTATCCCAGAGGGGAATTTGTGTGGGGGCTCCAACACCACATTTCCCTTCTGCACTGCCCTAGCAGAGATTCTCCATCGGGGTCCACCCCTACAGCAAACTTCTGCCTGGACATCCAAGCATTTCCATTCATCCTTTGAAATCTAGACAGGGGTTCCCAAACCTCAATTTTTGACTTCTGTGCACACACAGGACAAACACCATGTGGAAGCCACCAAGGCTTTAGGCTTGAACCCTCTGAAGCAATGGCCTGAGCTGTACATTGACCCCTTTTAGTCATGGCTAGGATGCAGGGCACCGAGTCTGGAGGCTGCACAGAGCAGTGGGGCTCTGGGCCCAGCCAAGGGAACCATTTTTCCCTCCTAGGCCTCCAGGTCTGTAATGGGAGGGGCTGCAGTGAAAGTCTCTGACATGCCCTGGAGACATTTTCCCCATTGTCTTGGTGATTGACATTTGACTTCTTACTCATGCAAATTTCTGCAGTGGACTTGAATTTCTACCCAGAAAATCGGTTTTTCTTTTCTACCATTTGGTCAGGCTACAAATTTTCCAAACTTTTATGCTTTGCTTTGCTTTGAAACATAAATTCCAATTTCAAGCCATCTCTTTGTGAACACATAAAACTGAATGCTCTTAGAATAATCCAGGATATATCTTGATAGAAATTTCTTCTGCCAGATATTCTAAATAATCTCTCTCAAGTTCAAAGTTCCACAGATCTTGAACAGGGGCAAAATGCCAGCAGTCTATTTGCTAAAACCTAGCATGAGTAATATTTACTCCAGTTCCCAATAAGTTCTTCATGTCCATCTGAGACCACCTTAGCTTGAACTTTAACTTCATTGTCTATATCATTATCAGCATTTTGGTCATAACCATTCAACAAGTCTCTAGCAAGTTCCAAACTTTCCCACATCCTCCTTTCTTTTCTGAGTCCTCCAAACTGTTCCAACCTCTGCCTGTTACCCAGTTCTAAAGTCACTTCCACATTTTTGAGTATCTTTTTAGCAGTTCCTCAGTACCTCAGTACCAATTTACTGTATTATTTCCTTTTTCCACTACTATTAAAAAATACCCGAGACTGGATAATTTATAAAATAAAGAGATTTAATTGACTCATAGTTCTGCATGACTGGGGAGGCCTCAGGAAACTTACAGTCATGGTGGAAGGGGAAGCAGGCACATCTTACATAGTGGCAGGTGAGAGAGAGCAAGCAAGAGTGGGAAAACTGTCTTATAAAATCGTCATATCTAGTAAGAACTCACTCACTATCACAGGAACAGCATGGGGGAAACTGCCCCCATGATCCAGTTACCTCCTTGTCTCTACATGTGGGTATTACAATTCAAGATGAGATTTGAGTGGGGACACGGAGCCAAGCCATATCAAGATATCAAGAAGGAACAAATTCTAGTGTTCTATGACACTGCAGGATGAATGTAGGTAATAATAAAATATATTTCAAATTAATAGAGGATATTGAATGTTTTCAACATAAATACTGTTTGAGATAATGAATATGCTAATTACTCTGATCTGATCACTATACATATGTATCAAAACAACACTATGGACCCCATGAATATGTATAATTATTATTGGTCAATTTTTAAAAAATTTAAAGGAAAGGTGAGGAGCCAAGATGTCCCACTAGATGCAGCCAAGGAGAGCTTCTCCAATGGAAAGAGACCAGACCATCAAGTAGACTGGCATATTCTGAAAAGATCTCTGGAAAGAAGGCATAGAGACTGGACAGAGGGAAGTTTCAAGCCCTGGGCTGAAAGAGGAGGAATTTGGGAACCCTGCATGGGATTGCCTAGCACAAAGACTTGTTCCTGGCTCTAAGGTGAAGGGGTAAGTGAAATAGGCATGGAGTGACCCATTCTTGCTATGGACCTCTGGAATCTTAGCTGTGGGAGATGCCATGACCCCCGTGGACATCTGAGTTGGCAGGGAGAACTTCCTGGGCAGTTGGCAGAGACAGAACTCCAACCTGTGTGTAGCACAGCCATGAATGCCCATACCCCTATACTCTCTCTACTCCTCCAGATGGCTGTAGCATTTGTTAGTTGCTGGACCTAGACAGAGCAGGATTGTCTTGTCCATTGGATGGGGCCAGTCTGATCTGAGTGTCCCTTTCCCATCTTTCAGCCTCTCCCAGGCTCACTACCTGTCCATACCCACTTGCAACACAGGCTCAGCTGCCTAGCCAAAGTGCTCACGAGTGGTCACTGCCATAGCTCTTTCACTGGCAGACCCAGCCTACTTGTCAGAGCACTTTTATAGACAGACCCCTGCAAGCATACATTTACCCACAGCCTTCCCCCAGTGGCACACACTCACCACTTGCCTCCAGTCCCCTAGTGCCTTGCTGATGTGTGCGTGGACCCCTTCCAGTCCTGCTGGTTCACATGTGCATGGGAACTCACCACTGTCCTACTGGCACACTTTTGCTGGCAGCCCCTATTGAAAGATTGTTGCTAGTGGACTTGGAATACTTCAGCCCCTCCAGCACTGCAGGTGGTTAACTTCAAGGAGCAAAAGAACAAAGTTGCAATCTTATTCCTAGCCCCCCAGCATTACATCACATGATTCGGAGTGCTGAGATGAGCCTTGACCCCCTAAATGCATTCAGAAATGAAGCCAATTGACTAAACCCAATTTATACCACAGTCAAATCTTCAAGGGACACTGAAGAATATAAAAGCAAAAAGCCTCATCCAAAAGATAGCAGCTTCAAAGACTAAAGGAACATCAACTCACATGGAAGAGAAAGAATGAACACAATAACTCTGGGAACTCTAAAAGCCAGAGTGTCTTCTTATATTCCAGATGACTAAACTAGCTCCCCAGCAATAGTTGTTAACCAGATTGAAATGGCTGAAATGACAGACATAGAATTCAGAATCTGGATGGCAAGAAAGCTCATTGAGATACAGGAGAAGGTTGAAACCCAAACCAAAGAAAATAGTAGAATGAATGTTGAAAGACAACATAGTCGTTTTAAGAAACAACCAAACTGAATTTCTGGAAATGAAAAGTTTACTAAAGGAATTTCAGAATGCAATTGGAAGCATAAATAACAGGACAGGTGAAGCTGAGGAAAGAATCTCAGAGTTCGAAGACTGCTCCTTTAAATTAATGCAGGCAGACAAAAATAAAGAAAAAAGAATTAAAGAAGAAGAAACCTCAAAGAAATATAGGATGATGTAGAGATCAAACCTTCAACACATTTCATTCCTGAAAGAGATGGAGAGAGAGAGCAAGCAACTGGAAAACATATTTGAGGATACTGTGTATGAAAATTTCCCCAACTTCACTAGAGATGTCAATATGCAAATTCAGGAAATTCAGAACTCTTATGAGTTACTATACAAGAAAGCCATTTCCAAGACACATAGTCATCAGATTCTCCAAAGTCAATGTGAAAGAAAAAAACCTTAAAGGCAGTTAGAGAGAAGGGGTAAATTACATACAAAGGGGACCTACTCAGGCTAACAGCGGACTTTTCAACAGAAACCTTATAAGCCAGAAGAGATTGGGGGCTTATATTTAGCATCTTTAGAAACGAAATTCCAACTAAGAATTTCATATCCAGTCAAACTAAGCTTCATAAGTGAAGGAGAAAAAAATCTTTTCAGACAAGCAAATGCTAAGGGAATTTGTTACCACTGGACCTGCCTTACAAGAGGTCCTTAAAGGAGTGCCAAATATGGAAATGACAGACCATTACCTGCCACCACACAAAAAAAAACTTATCTACATAGCCCATTGACACTATAAAGCACTGTACAAACGAGTCTGCATAACAGTCAGCTAACAACACAATGGCAGGATAAAATCTTCACATAACAATATTAACCTTGAACATAAATAGTATAAACACTTCACTTAAAAGACACAGTGGCAAGTTCTATAAAGAAGCACAACCCCACTGTATGCTGTCTTCAAGAGACTATCTCACATGTAATGATACCCATAGGGTCAAAATAAAGGGATGGAGAAAGATCTGTCAAGAAAACAGAAAATAAAAAAGAACGGGGGCTGCTATTATTTCAGCCCAAACAGACATTATACAAGCAACAATCAAAAAGGACAAAGAAGGACATTATATAATGATAAAGTGTTCAATTCGACAAGAAATTTAACTATCCTAAATATATATGTACCCAACACTGGAGCACCCAGATTCATAACACAAATTCTTAGAGAGCTACAAAGAGAATTAGATAACCACACAATAATAGAGACTTCAACACTCCAGTGACAGTTTTAGGCACATCATCAAGGCAGAAAACTGAAACTTGACACTTGACCAAATGGACATTTGACCAAACAGACACCTACAGAATACTCCACCCAACATTAACAGAATATACATTCTTCTCATCTGCACATGGCATGTATTCTAAGATTGACCACATGCTTAGCCATAAAAAAATTCTCAATGCATTTTAAAAAATCAAAATTATACCAGTTACACACTTGAATCACAGCACAACAAAAACAGAAATCAATACCAATAAGATTTCTCAAAGTCATACAATTAAATGGTAATTAAGCAACCTGCTCCTGAATGACTTTTGGGAAAAGAATGAAAATAAAACAGAAATCAAGAAATTATTTTAAACTAATGAAAACAAAGATACAACATACCAGAATATATGGGACACAGGTAAATAGTGTTAAGACTAAAGTTTATACTGCTAAATGCCTACATCTAGAAGTTAAAAAGATCTCAAATTAAAAAACTAACATCACACCTAGAGCAACTAGAAAAACAAGAGCAAATCACTACAAAGCTAGCAGAAGAAAAGAAAGAACCAAAATCAGAGCTGAACTGTATGAAATTGAGGTATAAAAATCCAGATAAAAGATCAACAAAAACAAAAGTTGGGTTTTCAAAAGAATAAATAAGATTGATACACTGCTAGCTAAATGAAGAAAAAAAGAGGTGATCAAAATAGACATAATCAGAAATGACAAGCTAACATTACCATCGACCACAAAGAAATAAAAAAAAAAACTCCAAGATGATTATGAACATCTGTATGCACACAAACTAGAAAACCTAGAAGAAATGAATTGAAAAATATAACCTCCCAAGATTAAACCAAGAAGAAATCAAAATCCTGAGCAGACCAATAATGAGTCCTGAAATTGAATCAGTAATATAAAATCGACCACCAGAAAAAGCCCTGGACAAAGCAGATTTATAGGTTAATTCTACCAGATGTACAGAGAAGAGCTGGTACCAATCCTACTGAAATTATTCCCAAAAACCTGGAAGAAAGGATTTCACACTAACTCATTCTGTGAATCCAGCATCATTGTGATATCAAAACTTGGCAGAGACACAATAAAAAAAGAAAACTTCAGGCCAATATTCCTGATGAACATAGATGCAAAAATCTTCAATAAAATACTAGCAAACCAAATTCAGTAGCACATGAAAAAGCTAATCCACCATGATTAGCTTTATTCCTCAGATGCAAGATTTGTTGAGTCTATGCAAATTAATATACACAAATAAATACATGTGAAAATATATGTAAATAATTGTTGATAGAATGCAATGGGAAAATGACTCCCCATTCAATAAATGGTGCTGGGATAACTGGCTAGTCACATGCTGAAGAGTGAAAATGGACCCCTTCTTTTTACCATATACAAAAACTAACTCAAGATGGAGTAAAGACTTAAATGTATAACCTAAAATTATGAAACCCAAGAAGAAAACTGAGGAAATGCCATTCTGGACATACACATTGGAAAAGATTTCATGACCAAGTTTCCCGAAGCAACAGCAACAAAAACAAAAATAGACAAATTGGACTTAATTAAATTAAGGAGCTTCTACACAGCAAAAGAAACTATCAACAAAGTAAAGAGAAAATCTACAAAATGGGAGAAAGTGTTTGCAAACTATGCATCTGACAAAGGTCTAATACTCAGAATTTATAAAGAACTTAAATCAACAAATAAAAACAACCCCATAAAAAATGGGCAAAGGACATGAACAGGTATTTCTTCAAAGAAGACATAGCCAACAAGCAAATGAAAAAATACTCAACATAACTAATTGTAGGGAAATGCAAATTAAGCTGCAATGAGATACTATCTTATGGCTATTATTTTGAAAACTCAGAAAAACTATTATTTTTAAAATCAAAAAATTAAAGATGTTGGTGAGGTTCCAGAGAAAAGGGAAAATTTATACACTGCTGGTGTGGATGTTAATTAGTTTAACCACTATGGAAACCAGTTTGGAGATTTTTCACAGAACTTAAAACAAAATTACTATTCAATCTAGAAATCCCATTACTGGGTATATACCCAAAGGAATATACATCATTCTACAAAAAGGCATGCATAGGTATGTTCATTGCAGGATTATTCACAATAGCAAATATATAGAATTAACCTAGATATCTGTCAACAGTGGACTGGATAATAAAGACGTGGTATATATATACCATAGAACACCTCCCAGCCATAAAAAAGAATGAAATCATGTGCTTTGTAGCATCATGGATGGAACTGGAGGCCATTATCCTAAGCAAATTAACACAGGAGCAGAAAACTAAATACTGCACTTTTCACTTATAAGTGAGAGCTAAATATGGTGTACACATGGACACAAAGAGGGGAACAATAGACACTGGGGCCTACTTGAGGGAGGAGGGTGGGGGAAGGGTGAGGGTCAAAAAACTACCTATCAGATACTATGTTAGTGAGCATAGTACCTGGGTGATTAGATTGTCTGTACACCAGACCCCAGTGACATGCAACCTACCCATCTAACAAATATTCACATGTACCCCTTGAACTGAAATAAAATTGGAAAAAAATATGAATAATAATATTTTATTTTAAAAATTATTTAAAAAACTACTGTCTACAGGTAATGTTGGTGTGGGATTGGGCATTGTATAAGAAAGTAGGATGTAGAGGAAACTGTTGAACAACTCCAGGCTGCCTGCCTTGCTTTAAAGACACTCAAATTCAGTACAAAACAAACATCCAAACAAAAAGTAAAAAGCAAAAAGAACACTTATGCTAGCTAACCAAAATATTTCCAAGGGCAAGATTTAGTTGTTTTGCTGTTTCTTCTTCACTGTACCTTACTCTACCCTAAATGGTTTTTTCAAAATATTCACCCAAGAAATATGAGGCTCTTTCAGAGCAGGAATTCTAGGGTAAGAAAATATATTTTTTTCTGTGCAGTGTTTGAATGTGCTCATTTATTTCAGATGTAATGACATTAGGGTGACAAGTATTGGTTTTTACATGTACGCTTGAACTTCATTTGTATTATGTAGAAAATACTTTGAGTAACAGGTTCTTCAGGAGTCAAGAATCTGTGTTATATTTACAAGTATTTTGAATTCCCTTTATATATTTTGAGTCTTCCTCTTGCTTCCCTCCTTAGAATGTGGTGCTATAAAATATTTTCCTCCTCAGATCATTCTAAGGAGGAAAATATTTTAACAGCAGTGCATAATGACATGTAGACGTGATGAGAGTCATACTTCACGTGTGATCTTTAGGGCTTATAGGTAGGAAAACTGGTTCATCCATGTGAAATCACAACAGTTTAATTTCAGCCTAAATCAGAAAACCAACTCTCAATTAACAGCCTGCATCCTGATTCTCCACTTACTCTGCTATGTGGTTTTAGGTGACAATTTTGTTTTCTAATCTAAGACTCTGGATGAAGTGCTGACCCATTCTAAGCTGATGCAGAGGCTTAAATTAAAATGAGATACAAGTAGAGATTGGCAGGGACCTGGCATTTTGGCAATTTTCTCATTTTGATAATTTTAACATTGCCCTTGTTTGAATCACTTCAGGGCCAAAATACATCTATTTCACATTTATGCAAAACAAAGCAATGAAATCTTGGTGGGAAGGGGCACAATTATCTTGTTCTATTTTTTTTCTCAATTATTAGATTTTCAGTCATGGATTTTGTAGCATCTCTGTGTGTGGTATTTTCAAAGAATAATGTAACTGAATAGACTATTAATGCATTTAAAGCTAAACATTGATGATGTGTAATGAACAACCTGCTAAATGTTAATACAATTTATCCTTTTTAAAATTTATAAACATGACATATTGCATGCACTTAGTGCTAATCTATTTTAGACATTCATTTGGGTTGACCTATGACCATAATATATTATGTTCCTTGAGATATTTATCTTGTCATTTGGAAACGAGATTACAATTAATGGGACACACATGACTTTAAATTACTACTTCAACTAGAGATGTGTGAGTAATGAATTAGCCATAGCTTTGAACCCCTCTGCTTATAATTTAAATTACCAGCCTTTAGCTGGTACTTGATTGTGATCCATTAAATAAGTCACAGAATCAAAGAACCACATATTGTTTTTGTTGCTAGCTCTATCAGGGATATTTTCCCATTTAATTTACCTAACCCCAGGCTAATTTATCCAAATTCATATATTAAAAATAAACATGAGAGAGAGCACTTATGCATTTTGGTTAACAGTAAAATAAAATCATAGCCAGAGTCTATCCAAACTAGATGTACAAAAATTATCCTTTTTCTGCTGAACTTTTAAGGAGCAAACAAAAAAATGATATTGGAGAAAGTGAGCTCATATGAGAGACTTCATCTGCAAAGCATTTTGCAGTAGAGGACTTCTGCTATAGTTTGAATATTTGTCCCCTCCAAAACTCATGTTTAAACTTAATCCCCAATGTTGCAGTAATGAGAGGTGGGAGTTTTTAAGAAGTAATTGGACCATGAAGACTCAGGCCTCATGAATAGATTAATCCATTCATGGACTAATGTTAGCACACTTTGCCTCCTGGCCATGTGATGTCCTGTGCCATTTCAGGACTTTGCAGAGTCCTCACCAGCAAGAAGATTCTTCACCAGATGTGGCCCCCTTGACTTTGGACTTCTCAATCTCCATAACTGTAAAATGTAAATTCCTTTTCTTTGTAAATTTCAGGTATTCTGTTATAAGCAACAAAAAATGAACTAATATAGCCCCTTAATAAAAAGTTTAATTTCTTATATTTTATATACTCCTTTCTCAACACTGACTTTGCTAGACTATACATTCTGGGAAGCACAGAATAGAAACAATAAATATTTATTAAGTGATGTCTGATAATAAATGATAACCATAGTAATAGATCCCTAAAAATCCTGAGTAATGGCAGATTAAATAATGCTCAGTAGCCTCCATTTGGTATGACTGGACGGATATATTTTTATTGTGTGTATTTAAGGTATACAGCATGTTTTGATATATATAATGAAATGATTACTATGGTCAAGCAAATTAACATATCAATTTCCTCACATAATTACTATTTTTGTGATAAGAGGACCTAAAATCTATGATCTTAGCAAATTTCTGGTGTACAATGCAATATTATTAACTATGGTCATCATACCATACATTAGATCTTTTGGATATGTACATATTCATTGAGCTCTTACTGTGTGCTAGGCACTGCACTAAAGTGTATTTTATGTATAAACTCATGTTTTAGATATTAACTCATATACATATATAATACGTAGTATACGTACTTACATGGACCATATACTTTTCTTTTTTTGAGACAGAGTCTCACTCTGTCACCCAGGCTGGAGTGCCGTGGTGCAACCTCAGCTCACTGCAACCTCTGCCTCCCGGGTTCAAGCAATTCTGCCTCAGCTTCCCAAGTAGCTGGGATTACAGGCCCGTGCCACCACATCTGGCTAATGTTTTTGTATTTTTTTTAGTAGAGCTGGTGTTTCACCATATTGGTCATGCTGGTCTCGAACTCCTGACCTCAAATGATCGACCCACCTCAGCCTCCCAAAGTGCTGGTATAACAGGCATGAGCCACCATGCCTGGCTTGGCCCTATACTTTATAACACATAAATAATTTAATATATATGAAACCTCTCTACAACAAGATCACAAGTTTCTTGAGAGCAGAGGTTATGTTTTAGACATCTTTAGTATTTTCCCCCATGTACCTGGTAAAATGCTATTCACAAAGTCTTAGTAAAAGACTTACTGAATACAGGTTAAGATGTTCTTTTGTGACTTCACATTTTATAGTGCACTAGAGTGCAAATAGTCCCAAAGGGCTACTAGAACTATAAATTACCCAAATCAATGACAAACAGCAATAATCTGAGAAATACAGCTTCCCTTTTATTTGTTAAACTCTTGTAGATTTGCTAGATTCGGTCCATTAACAGATTAAATGCCTGGTACTAGGCTGGGGTGGAGATCAGTAAACTTTTACACATTTATTATCTAACTGAAGAACCCAGAATAGAAATATATGAACCAAAGAACAATTAAACCCTACACCATATGGTACCATTTAGAACATGAGTTTAGAGAAAAAAGATCTTAGAAGAGGGAGCAAAATAACAGAACAGTTAGGGACATAGGCCTTTGAGTCAGACAGATGGGGCTTGAATATGGTTTCTGCTACATTTTAGCTGTGTTACTTGAGACAATTTACTTCTCTGATCTTTTCATATCTTTAAAATGGGATCCTACCACTCTTAATGGAATTGTGGCAATTAAATATGGTCATATACATTAAGCACCGAAAACATTGCCTTATACAAGGTAAACAACCATTGGATTTGTCAAAAGGCTTCAAAGGGAAGTGATACTTTAGGTGGACTTTAGAGGATGGGACTTTAGGTGAAAGAGGAAAAGATCAAGACCACTTTAGGTTTAGGAAGAACATAAACAAGAGAAGACAGAAATGACGATGGCACATAGGAGCAAAAATGAGGAAATCTGTTTGTTAGAGCTAAGTAGAAGGAGAGAGTTGGCAGCAGTGGGAAATTAAATTTTTTTCTGGAAAATGGGTTCAGATAATTGGAAGCATTGATTACACGTCAGAGATATTTCAACTGAAAAGGACCCATAGAACGGAGGATCCTCAGTTGCTCTGATCTCTGTATAGAGCACTCTCAGATGTTTAGATGACATATTATTGTGACTGAAGTATCCCTTAATATTAGCCTTTACTGCCAGCATTTGACACGTTGTCTTGAATATTAAGGGCAATAAATACATCGTTTTCAATATAAATTAATGAATCTGCATGCTGACAGTCCTCTGCTTCGCTTTCTGTTGCACAGGTCTGATGTGTGTATATGTATATGCATAGCTATCCCTCTATGAAAGAGGAAGACTATGTGTTTAATAACGATGACGAATAAGTCCTTAGGAATTATGACTAAAGTTTTGTAGAAGTATAATATACAGTAGATCCTATATAGTCTATGTATTTGTTCACTTTTGTCTTCCATTGTGGTGCTAAATTCTTTGATATCACTTGTATTCTCTCAAAGAAGTATTCCAAAATGTCTGGTTTTAATAATAAAATTAATTTTAATGTATATAGAATATCTATATTAAACCCATTTTCCAAGTTTGAAAATGAGAAAATGTATATCTTTTGACAATTTAAATCTCAGTTTATTGAACTTACTCTAAAGTTTAGTCAGAAAATTGACCTACCCAATGACACAATATGATGCATTGTCATAAAATAAAATAGGACATTTTTCAAAATATCAAATTTAATTTTAAGTAAAATTAATTTATTACATACCTTCTAGAGAGTTTGGTTTTCCCATGCCCAAAGAGTTGGGAATAACCCATATTTATTGAATTTGGCTATTGCACTCTAAAAAAAGTCTTTGAAAAAACAAATTGTTATGCTCTGTCCTTTAGAAATAGCTATTTGAGGAGTTCATAGAATTTTCCCAGATGTCTGAATTGAAGCTGTCTGATTCTTATGTAGATTTTCTCCAACATACAATATCTGGTTTTCAGAGTTGTGGCTCACAGGAAAATGGCTGCCTAACAGAGACAGAAGTATAATTACGATATCATTAGAAATATTTAAATATAAATAACTTTCTATATTTGTCCTTGTCACTTGTTTGGGTTTTGACAGGAGGAGCCAGTTTTGATGGGATTCCTGTGGCCCCATAGATTTTTATCCTGTTATCCAATTTTCCGCTGCACTGCTCTCCTTCTGTCAAACTGACTGCCAGCCAGCCTTACGTTCTCCCGAGAGGAGGAGCAAAGCTTTGTATTATAGTGGGCAGAAGAAGAACAAAAAACTGATTTTTCCCCTCCAAGTGCTATATTCTCTCTTTCTAATGGAAAATTCCATTGTCTGAGGGTTTGAGAGAATAGCAGGGTAGGAAAAAAGGAAGACTTCACATTTTCATTCAATAGAGCAAGATAATGTTGCAAAGCAGACTGAAATCCAAAGCTGAGCAGCATACAGATCAGCAGACAGTTTTCCAGGATGCTCAGAGTCACAGGAGTTGCTGAGATGCTGCCAAAGCTGGTTTGTGCTGAGTATTCCCTAACATTTCAAATATTGGCTTGCTGTCATATAAAATGAAAGGATACATACCAATCATGGTGTAAGGAAAATGAACATTTTTCTTTCATGTGAAGATGTCACAGTGGAAGCTATTTTACTTGAGAGTTTCCCATTGAGATTTGCTAATAGTGCAGGGCTTGGTGCAGAGATCAGACAGGTGACAAAAATGAGTGGGTTAGATGGGTCATTAAACAATTGGGAAGAATAAGAAATGGGGTGGGGTGGCCAGCTTAGGCGCCATCTAAATACCAAATACCAAATTGCAAAATACCAGAGCAAACCAAAACATAGTCTTAGAATACCAAATTGGAAAGTTCTTCAAAATATCATATTGCATAACCCAAACCAAACAAAACATACTCTTCAGGCCACACGTATCTTTCAACTGAATATGGCCCATGGCCTTCTGGATGCAATATCTGCATTAGAGAAAGGGTAGTCTTACCCTGCAGAGGAGCCAATGCTATATGAGGTAACTGAAAGGGCAGTTTCATATAGCCATGATTACTTGTTGGTGAGATGAAGACCTTATTGTGCACCAGGAACTTTATTTTGTTCTTTATTTATATCACTTAAGCCTGATAGTAGTCCTTGAAAAATTGATTCATTACATGCATACAAGGCATAAAATTTAGCATACATTTTTCTCATTTATATTATAACTAAAACTATGTGAGTTGCTATCAGAATCTTGAGAATATATCATGATGTGGGTCAGATTTTTGTACTCATAAGTACAAATATTTATGCAAAATTTAAAATGTTGAACTGTGTAAGAAATTCTGCTGTCAGATGTTAAAATTTTAGTTCCATTTTGAGTTTAGCAAAATGCCTTTCTGCTTAAGATACTATTTTCTCATAAGGGCATGAGTACTTATAATATTGGAAATACAGCGGGGCATGGTGGTATACATCTGTAGTCCCAGCTACTGAGGAGACTGAGGCAAAAAACTGAGGCTTGAGCCCAGGAGATCAAGGCTGCAGTGAGCTATGATAGCATCATTGCACTCCAGCCTGGGCAACAGAGTGAGACCCTGTCTAGAAAAGAAAGGAAAATTCTGGGAATGTAGAAGAAATTCATTCCTCCAAGTTTTCTTAGTGGTCAGTGCTGGAAACTGGAGTTTATGCAACCTTATAAATTAGGGATTTTTGTTTTTACCCTTAGTTTCATGGAAAATTTTAAAAAATTAATCTACCTTCTGACATTAAAAGGGGATTTTGATTCCTTTAAAGTTCTAGGCTTTGGGGAGTTGCTTAATAAATGTTATGTGAATGTTTGTGTCACTTTAATATTTTAAGTCATTGCATCCTGTTCATAAATGCATATACTATATTCTTGATGGTATTTTGAAAACTTTTTAGCCCATTCAATCAAATTACATTTTAAAATATATAATAATTTAGAAAATTTGGAAGTCCAGTGTACATGAACTGATGTTTTGCAAATGGTTAAACACCCAAAACACTATGTAATTTGCTTTTTAAAAATTATATATATTTACAGCATACAATGTGATGCTTTGATACAGGCATACCTTGTGAAATGATTAAATCAAGCCAGTTAACCTATCCTTCACCTCACTTACCATTTTTTGGTGATGAGATAATTTAACATCTCTCTCTCTCTCTTTTTTTTTTTTTTTGTTTGATTTTATTTTTCAAGACGGAGTCTCTCTCTGTCTCCCAGGCTGGAGTGCAGTGGCGCCACCTTGGCTCACTGCAACCTCCACCTCCTGGGTTCCAGTGATTCTCCTGCCTCAGCTTCTGGAGTAGCTGAGACTACAGGCACATGCCAACATGCCTGGCTAATTTTTGTACTTTTAGTTTAGATGGGGTTTCATCATGTTGGCCAGGCTGGTCTCCAACTCCTGACCTTAGGTGATCCGCCTGTCTTGGCCTCCCAAAGTACTGGGATTACAGGTGTGAGCCACCGTGCCCAGCCAGATCTACTCTTTTAGCAACTTTCAGGTATACAATATATTATTAAGTATAGACATCATGCTGTACATTAGATCTCCAGAATTTATCGATCCTATCTAACTGAAACTTTATACCCTTTGGCCAACATCCCCACCTCCAATTACCATTCTCGCCCTTGCTTCTATGAGTTTGACTTTTTTAGAATCCACATATAAGTGAGATTATATAGTATTTGTCTTTCTGTGCCTGGCTTATTT
Source organism: Homo sapiens (assembly GCF_000001405.40). NCBI lineage: Eukaryota > Metazoa > Chordata > Mammalia > Primates > Hominidae > Homo > Homo sapiens. The sequence continues at coordinate 181,221,004 of NC_000002.12, forward strand.
CACCTAGCGTATTGTCCTCCAGGTTCCTCCATGTTGTCATTAATGACAGGATTTTTGTCTTTCTTAAGGCTGTGTAGTATGACACTGAATATATATACCACATTTTCTTTATCCACTCATCAGTTTAACTAACACTTAGGTGTATTCTCTATCTTGGCTATTATGAGTAATGCTGCAATGAACATGGGAGTGCATGTATGTCTTTGACATGTTGATTTCAATTCCTTTAGATATATACCCAGACATGGGATTGCTGGATCATATGGTAGTTCTATTTTTAGTTTTTTGAGGAACCTCCATACTGTTTTCCATAACAGCTGTGCTAATTTACATTCCCACCAACAGTATATGAGGATTCTCTTTACTGTGTCATCACCAGTGTCTATTGTGTTGTGTGTCTTTTTGATCATAGCCATTCTAACAGGTGTGAGGTGATATCTCATTGTGGCTTTGTTTTTCTTTGCAAAAAAGAAATTAGTGATATTGAGCATTTTTCTCATGTATCTGTTGGCCATTTGTATGTGTTTTTGTGAGAAATGTTTATTCAAGTCTTTCGTCTATTTTTTAATTGGATTGTTTTCTTGCTATCAAGTTGAGTTCCTTATATATTTTAGACATTAACCCTTTCTCAGATACATGGCTTGCAAATATTTTCTCCCATTATGTAGGTTGGTCTCTTCCCTCTGTTGATTTTTTCCTTTGCTGTGCAAAGCTTTGTAGTGTGATACAATCTTATTTGTCTATTTTTGCCTTTATTGCTTGCACTTTGGGGTTATATCCAAAATAATTATTGCCCAGTCCAATATCCTGAAACTTTCTCCCTGTTTTCCTCATTTTAGAGTTTCACATCTTAGGGTTAAGTCTTTAATCTATTTTGATTTTTATATATGATATGAGATAAGAGTCTACTTTTATTCTTCTGCATATGGAGATCCAGTTTTCCCAGCACCATTTCTTGAAAAGACTGCCATTTCCCCATTGTGTATTCTTCGTATTCTTGTTGGAGATTCTTTGGCTATGTTGGTATAAGTTTATTTCTCGGCCCTCTATTCTGTTCCATTGGTTTATGTGTCTGTTTTTATGACAGTACCATGCTATTTTCACTACTATAGTTTTGTAATATTTTGAAATCAGGTAGTGTAAGGCTTCCAACTTCATTCTTTTGCTCAAGATTTTTTGTCTATTTGAGGTCCTTTGTGACTTCATATGAATTCTAGGATTGATTTTTCTATTTCTGTAAAAAATGCAATTGGAATTTTGTTAGAGATTGCATTGAATCTGTAGATCGCTTTGGCTCCTCTGGACATTTTAGCCTTATTAATTCTTCTAATCCATGAACACGGGCTCTCTTTCCAATTATTTATGCCTCTTCCATTTCTTTCATCAGTGCTTTATAGTTTTTAGCGTAGGGATCTTTCACCACTGTGGTTAAATTTATTCCTAAGCATTTTTTAATGCTATTTTAAATGTGATTGCTTTCTTGATTTTTTTAGATAGTTTTTGTTCCTGACTTGTTTTTGGCTCACATTAGTAGATATAGTTAATCATGTACCATCTTTTCCCCTCCATTTTAAAGGACATGTATAAAAGACAGATTAAGAAGAATGCATGATTGGTCAGTAGCAGCATTTTATTATCCACACTAGCTTTTAACAAAGCTAAAATCAGGTAGTCAATATATTTGTAGTAGAACTGGCTAAAAATCCAACTATTTTTTAAAAGTGTATTTTTGTTGCTGTCATATCTATATGTTAACTTTACCTCATGAAAATGAAAAAAAAACTATCTTAGTATAAAATGAAATAAATGTACTTATATTCTACTCTCTTCTATGAAGTATTCTGCTCATTGACCATCTATAACTTATCAAAAAATTCTGACATTAACAGGATAAATAAGATAGATTGAATTGCCTGGATATCTACCTAAGATTGTACTAAAAACTTGTGGACATATATACAGAGAAAAAGAAGCTACAAATTTTGACTCATATTCTCTGCCTGTCTGAAAGAGTAGAAGGACCATATACCAATATTTTCTGACTTTAATCACAGGGGCAAACATACCCTGAGTTTTACAATTTTTTAATGAACCAAGGTTGTAATAAAAGAACTCAACTGCACAGTTTCAGGAAACTGTTGAGGTGGATTTTCCTGCTCTTTACTTAAATAAATTTAAAACCAGAAATAAAAAATCATGAAAAACTACTTCCATGTGTATATTTTAATAGAGTTGAGGCCATGGAAGATCTCCCTTAAGATTTGCTGGCTTCCTGTTTGTGTCTTGCTTGTATCATTACACACTTAACCTGCCCCATTTTTCAATTTATTGCTTCCAATAGCATTTTAAAGGTGTCTTTTTTGCTGGCCCATATGGAGGATGTTGATTCTGTTGTTCCAATAACAGTATGAAATATAGTTTGTGGTTGCTTTTTGGGCTAAAAGAAACTCATTACAATTTCCTGTTCCTTTGTGTGTCGCCAAAAATGTTATTGTTACTCAGGTCTGGAGATGTCTTTAGAATCTGTGCTACTTTTTAGACTTTTACATCAGCACATTTTTGTAAATGCAGCAAAATTTGTCCCAACAATTGAACTCCAAAGGATCAGCGATCTTCATCATTACCAAAGACAAGTAGGAAAACAATCAAACTTTTTAGGGGAAGCAATTCTTACAAATTTCTAAGGAGAGTCCATTTGTGCAGTTCTTTTTATGTACTACGCAACATAAAGGGCTAGAACTCTTCACTCTTCTACAAGTTAAGATTGTAAAAGAATCAATCACAAATCGAAAAGGAAAAGAAAATGGAAAATATTTAACAAAAGATTATAGTTCTCTAAAGCTTTGCTACTCAAAATGTGGTCTGTTTCACATCAGCTGGATGTCCAAAATCAGAACCTTAGGCCTTACTTCAGACTTATTAAATAAAAATCTGCATCTTAACGATCTCAGGTGATTTGTGTGCACAGCCAAGTCTCAGAAGCACATAGTTTCTATTCAGTCAACAGAGTAATTCCAAACTTATCACCAGATGATCTTCTTATAAAGCCTTGAAGTTTACATAGGCAAACTGCTTTGTAAGTACAGCCAGAATAATTTTTGTTTTAATCTGCAACACAAGTAAATTAACCTTAGTAATATGGTCAATTTAGTTTTTAATTGCTATTGAAAGTTTAAAGATAGTTAAGCTTAGAAAAGAATGTACAAAAGTTAAACGTCAAAGGTTACATTTAGAAAACCAAAATACCTACAAACATGCTGTAAAATGTCCATGTGTGTTTAAGTGCATTAATCTTCAAATTCATGCTTTTCTTTTATTACTTGAGTTGCTGACGGGATAGTTACTTTTGACTTATATGAGTATAAAAATGCCACTGGGGAAGGAAACATGTTTTTCTGTTCTCAAAATTCAAACTGGCTGAATGAATTAAGCTCAAACTTATGAAAATAATTCACCTTCAGGCTGAGCCTTTCTTATTAAAGTGGCAACCGGAGTTGAGAGTGACTTGAGTGGCATTTGTGAACACCTACAATGATAGGTTTTAAAAAGGGATATTTTCTCCCTTTAGCATTCACAGTTGATCATTATTTTTGAAAACTGATTATTGTTATTTGTTCTATTATTTTCATGCCTATTGATCTGATGGTAGAGAGATGTTTGTTTTCTTGAATGTTTTCATTTTTCATTTTTTTCCTCCTTTCCTCTGTTCTTTACTTTCTTTCTCTTTTTCTCCCTCTCTGTCTTTCTCTCATTTAATTATTGATTGCCCCTTGTGTGCATGGCTTTTTTTCAGACTACAGAAAGATTTAAAAGAAACAGAAAACATAACTCTTGTCTTCAAAAATATCACAAATTCCTAATATTTTCCTGAGTTAATATTCCCTCTCAACATGCTCTACCAAACTGTTTCTCTTGTGGTCATTATATATTCAGGGCTAATTCTGTTTTTAACTTTGTTTTCTTTGTTTCTCCTTCCTCACCATCCTTGTTTTGTTATAAGTAGATCAACAGTTACTATGGAAACATATCACTGTTTTGGGTGTGGTGAGTACCACAATTTATATATGATTCTTAAAATATGAGTACATGAAACTAAGATCGCACGTTACCCTTTTGATATTCATGCTTTGTTTCTAGATATGCTTAGCCTTGACTAAGATGTCTGTCATTCTATAAAACAGCTTTTACTCAGTTCAACACATTTGAAATTCTATTTCAGACATACCGAAAATATTATGTTAATCACAAACATGTTTGTATTAAGCAAAAATTCTATTATTTAATATCTTGCATAATTAACAAGATATAGTAGAAGGATATACTGATATGGTCCTAAAATAAATGAGTTGTATCCAATTCTATAACAAATTTGCTAATCCCATAAATCCTGAAAAAGAAATCAAAGCAAATGAATGTAAATATTAAAAATATACTTTAAAGTCTATATTTTCAGACCTGTGGAATCTTGCCTATGGAAAGGAAGGGGAAGTTTTATTTTCCTTCATTTCATGCCACAGAATGAACAGTGTTGGTAGGAAAAATTCTTTCTCTACCAATTTAGGCTTGAGTGATGGGACCTGTGAATTAATTGACAATAGACCCAGTAGTTAAATAAATCCCTAAATAGAAGGATTTATATATCAGTTTAACAAAGTGGGTGGGGAAATTTAGAGTTGCAATAGCTGTGGAAGGTTCTATTGGACATTTTCATCCTAATGACAATAGGCAGTCTCCTTCTTGCCTAAAAGCTCCCCCATACGGGGGGTTAATGGCAGCTGTGTTTTCCAGGAGGCTCTACTTTTGCCAGAGAAGTAAAGTTTAGATAAAATTTATTTCTCCCATCAACAACTTTTCCAAATTTTCTCACTGAACTTTTGTTTAAAAATCTATGTTTTGCATTTATAATACAAACTGATTATCCCTAATCTGAAAATCCAAAATCTAAAATGCTCCAAATCCCAAAACTTTTTGAGTGCTGATGTCATGCCACAAGTAGAAAATTTCACACCTGATCTCCTTTGATGAACTGCAGTTGAAGTTCAGCCAAAACTCTGTTTCATGAACAAAATTATTAGAAATATTTTATAAGACTACCTTCAGACTACATGTATAAGACGTATAGAAAACGTAAATTAATTTTTTGTTTAACCTTGGTTCCCATCCCCCAAGATATCTCATTATATATATGCAAATATTCCAAAATTTGAAAATATTCAAAATCCCGCATTGATCCCAAGCATTTCAGAAAAGAGATACTCAACCTGTATACATCAATCCTCATTACAGTTGACCCTTGAATAGCATGGGCTTGAACTGCACAGGTCCATTTATACATGGATTTTTTTTTCAATAAAAGATACACCAAGTATAACTACCTTTCCTGCCTCCTTTTCCACCTTCTCACCTCTCTGCCTTTGCCACCATTGAGACAGCAAGACCAACCCCTTCTCTTCCTCTTCCTCCTCAGCCTACTCAACGTGAAGATGATGAGAATGAAGACCTTTATGATGATCTGCTTCCACTTAAAGAATAGTAGGTACATTTTCTCTTCCATACAATTTTCTTAATTTTTTTTCTCTAGCACACTTTATTATCAGAATATAGTGCATAATAGAGCATATAATTTATGTGTTAATCAACTTTTTATGTTATTTGTAAGGCTCCTGGTCAACAGTAGGCTATTAGTAGTTAAGTTTTGGGGGAGTCAAAAGTTATACATGGATTTTTTGCTGCACAGGGAGGGATCAGTGCCGCTTACCCCAGCATTGTTCAAGGGTCAACTGTATATTCAAATAAACTTAGGAAATGTGTGTTGGTATATACTTCATAATTATATCTCTGCCTCAATAAAAGAATTGGAATTTATTCTCTGTACTCTACTATCAAATATTAGAATTGATTAGAGTGGTAATGGGATTCAGGACATGTTACCCAAAATATGGCACCTTGGCATTTGAGAAAACAGCAGAAGCAGGAAGGCCACTCTCACCTTCTCACCCTTCTCACCTTCTTCTCACCCTTCTCACCTGAAGCATATAATAAAACCTAAGAAGATCACTCTTTGGCTTTCTCCTACCCTTCTTTTTTGAAGCAGGTCATGAGACCTTCATTTGAAAGGTGCCCTTCCTAAACCCAGAGGAAAGGAACATCTTTATCTTTGAAGGCACAGGGGCACAGAGAAGAATCAGAACGAGAAGGGCTTGCTAAACTCCCCCCAGTTTATTATTATTAGATCACACCCACTTTATCCAATCATACTTCTCCATATCTATCCATCTCTCCATCAGATCTAAGCATAAAAATACACTAGGTTACCTGTTTTTTTGAATCTTTGTTTCCTTATAAAGGCTACTGTGTCACATAAAGCTTACATTAAATAAATGAGTACGCTTTTCTCTTATTAATCTGTCTTTTTTTATTGGTGCCTCAGCCATGAATCTAGCAATGAGTAAGGAATGAAATATTCTCCTTCCCTATGGCTAGCATAGCACCTTTGTTAAAATTATAGCATGACAATACATCATACAACCAAAAGTGATACCAATGCGCCACATTTTCCTTTTATAAAGTATGCTTTAAAAAGCAAAGTTTAAGGAATGAACACAAATGGAGACACAGGCAATGGTAGAAGCATTTGGCTCCAGCCTATTCACTATGAGGTCCGCTAGATTTCTGAACTGCTCTATGCTGCTCAGTTTTCCTCTTGGGTTTTAGATTTCTGTTCTCTTTTCATGATCTCTTATTGTTTACATGACTATCTTTCTTTTGTACACTAGCTTCTTAAGGGAAAAGAGTGAACACAACTCAACTCTCCCCACCATATGTAGTGTCTGGTACATTGTAAGTGGACGACATGTTGGGTGAAATATGTGAGGGACCAAATTCTTATTTGTCCTGCAAGAAATAACCAATGATGGAAAAATTTAGGCATAGGTATATACCTTGGATTCTGAAATTAGGAAATGATTATATTCTCTGATTATGCCTGTGACCTGGGGTGTGGACAGAAGATATTTCTCCCTCTTATGAGTTCTTTTCTCACACATTTATAGAAATTAAGCCAGGAGAAGCAGCTACACAATGCAGCTACCCACTTTATTGACAGAGATCCAGGGATACTAGGGAAGCTGTGGCTATTGTAACATGCTTTTCCTGCCCCCCCAGCTAGCTTCTACATGGAATAACCACTGCTACTACATACATTATGCATGCAACATACATAAATTACTATTGCAACCACAATTACTAACTAATATGAGCATTCACCATTTATAAATACCAAGCCTTGTGCCTGGCACCTTACATAAAGTGTCTTATTTATTTTTTCCATCGCCCTAAAAAAGAAATAAGTTATCCCCATTTTACACTTGAGAAGACCAAAGCTAAGAGGGGCTAAACCCAGCTCAGTTAAAAAGCATTCCAAGGCTGGGTGCGGTGGCTCATGCCTGTAATCCCAGCACTTTGGCAAGCTGAGACAAGAGGATCCCTTGGGCTCAGGAGTTTCAGATCAGTGTGGGCAACATAATGAGACCTCATCTCTACAAAAAATTTTAAAAATTAGCCTGCATGGTGGCACACACACCTGTAGTCCCAGCTACTCATGTGGCTGAGGTGGGAGGATTGCTAAACTCAGCAGATGAAGGCTGCGGTGAGCCATGATCATGCCACTGTATTCCAGTCTAGGCAACAGAGTGAGGCCCTGTCTCAAAAAATAAAAATTAAAATAAAATTTAAAAAAGCATTCCAAGGCAGTTGCCCTGAATCATGCACCCAGTTGATGGGAGTGACCTCTCCTGTGGATGATTCTACAGTCAACAGAGTGCTAATACAGTTGAGGGCATAGAGTAGGAACTCAACATGTTTTGATTGGCAGTTTTATGTTAGCTCTGGGAGAATGCATGGCTAGGGATCTATAAAACAGTGAAGAATGGCCCTCAAATGTAAGTTTTATTATTATTATTTAATCTTTAACTAGCTTTTTAAAGTCAAGTCATTCGGAGAGTGAGTTAGCTATAATTTTATCTTTTTACCTTGAGATCAGCCCTCACTCTAATAACTTTTAATTATTAGAGTTGTGCAAGTTTTGGGGAGAATTTAAACAATCTAAGTAAAATCAAAGTAACACATGAATGTAGCTATAAATATATCTCTATATATTTTTTCCTGATGAATTCAACCACCCTGAGAAAAGTGTTACATGATTCAAATATGGTATATAAAAATGGTGATTCCAATGACTATTCTTTACTGAAAGTATTAAGTCTTAATCTGTTAGCATGGCTTTCCTACTCTTCTTTTACAAGATAGATTTGAGTTTGTAAATTTTAGTCTTTGCAACATTATCTACTCCAGGCACAGAGGAAGTGAGAAACTCCAAAACGTGTTCCACTGTTATATGAGCCAAAGGCTGGTCAGTGCCTTGTGGTGACAAGAGCAGCTAAAGCGGCTGTCACCCTCCCTTGTGAATCAGCCTCAGGAGATGAGGCAGCATGAATGGAGAGCTCTGGACTCCTTGTTGGGGTCAGGTCCCAAGCACGAATATCATCCCTAATTCCTAGGAGATTCTCACCTGGTGCTGCAGAAAGCCCCTTTGCAGCTTCTGTCCTTGAATAGAAGCACCTACATCCAAAACAAGATTTTGGTGACATTTTCTTTGAACAAAAGTATCAAGCAACATGCAATTATTCATTAAAACATACACATTTGAGTAACCCATTTTATCTAGGAGTTGCTTAATTGTAGACTTCTAGATTAATTTTAATGTAAATGAGTTGACAGTAGAGTAAAAAGTATGCTAAAACTAGTTCAGAATTAAAAACTGAAAGAAAATTGGAATAATTTATAAGTAATTTGTAAAATTTTTACATTTAAGAGAAACAGATCATGTCAGTTTCAAATATGTGTATTTGTTTATTTGCTCAAAGTTTATGACTTGGTCAATATCCATATCCATGATTTGTGACTAGTTTTTAAAAATATGCATAATTAAAATAATGAGTGATTTTTGTAAAGTTACAGCCAAATATTTTTATTCTCTTCTCCCTTTTTGATATCTATCACTGATTCTTTATCATGTTTGCTAGATTAGCTATTACCTGTGTAACTTGCTTATTTATATTATGCATAAGTTATCTAATTCTCTAGAATCCTATATCTATGAATTTTCTGAGTTAATACCCAAGTAATACCTCAAAAATACCCATGTAGTTTTCATTGATAAGAAATAAAGACCATGTTTTTATATCTGAAACTGTTATCAAACACAGGGTGGCATGCCATCTTATCATTGTTCCTGGTGAGGTGGATCTAGAAAGAGGGAGAGGGAAAGTCTTCTGCTTCCTCTCACCTCTTCCTTTAACATGCATTCCCTCTACAAGCCTGGCCACAGTGCCAAAAACTTCTTTGTCCCCAGATATGAGCCATATGCCTTTTAATTCCCTATGATTGCTTTGTTGTCTGGAGTCTAGAAAGTTTTCTTGGGTTCCAAGTTTCCCTTTCCTTAAAAATGAGAATTTTCTTGAAATGGCTTAATTACCATGACCTCCTTAATAAAACAAAGTTGACAGTAATGGAGAGTAAAATGGTACTAAGAACAGGCATGATGTTAAAGGAGGCTACCTGAGGGTGGAAAAGTGACTGAGAATAGAGACTGATTCTGATAATTCTATATCATGTGTCAGTCAATGCTTTCTATTTAGAATATTGATACCATACATAGCATAGGGTTTGATTGTTGTTGAAGCATATTGAGGATAATCTCTTTATATTTGAAAACTGTCTTGGAAGTAATTTTGTAGAAATATTCTGATATGGAACTGATGTCATAGGTACATACATCAGACTGCCTAGAATAATAATATGGAATCAGCAACTAGGAACACTATAGACCCAGGAGGATAAGGTAGTTTATATAGGCTTCCATTTGGGGGATATATCATGAGCATGTTGTCAAAACCAGATGTGGTTCTGAATTACCTGATCAATTCAGTCTGAAGAAGAGTTAAGTAGGTACCTGCCTCTTACTACCTTCACACCCCAAGCCTCTACCCCAATTTGGGGGAACTCTATGTCTTGAGACTACCATAAAAATTATTATTTGGTATGTTTACATGTAAAGATTCTTGAGACTCAAAAATTCCTAAACTAGCAATAAAATAATTTTTATTCTTTGTCAAAAACTTTGAAGTATTGTTACAGCTCTGGTTCCTCAGACCTTTGGATGAAGAAGGTTTAAAAGGAATGAATATCTGGAATAGTAGGGTTGAAAGCAAGATAGGATGGAGAAAGATCTCACACTGTGAAGCAGACCTGGCAAAGCCTTGGCCAACCCAGTAGGTGTCTCTAGAGAGAATATTGCTGATGAGTCAGGATGGCTGGGCTTTTGTGCAGGCTGCCTCAGACAGGGTGAGACTGCAAACAAGGTGGCTCCCTGCACTAAAGCAGATCCCAAAGGAGTCCCATGTTAGAGGCTGCCTCCTGACAGCTCTCCCTGCAGCTGCACGGGGGGTGAGGGCAGCACATCTCCAGGTCTACCACACATCTTTTCATTTTCTTGATGACTTAGTCACCTACCTGATAGGTTTCCACATAGATGAATATTAACTTTTTGGGTTTCTTTATCATTTTATTATGTTTCCTTATTTCCCCAAAGTGTTAGTGCTTATAACTTCTACCACATAAGTCTTACATTAAGATTGGGGGCTTAGTTCCAATTATCTGACTCTACGTCTTTGACCAGCTGTTTAGCCCAGGGTACATGTATTAACCTCCCTAAACTTCAGCCTCCTCATTTGTGAGTTGTTGGATGATTAAATGAGGAATATATACAAATCCATTGGCTTAGCATCTAGTATATTGTACGTACCCAATAAGTGTTATTATTAAAGAGTCTGAGAAATTTTCTAAATGCACTGGTCAATATTAGAAGAAGAAACTAACTCCCAAATATATCTGCCTATTAGGCATCATGGCAGCAGAACAAAAACTATGTTAAAATAATTAAATAAATGCAAGGCAAGGGGTGAGAGAAAACACCATCTGGCAGCTCTCAGTGAGTCATTTAGGAGTGAGTTGGAAGATAATGAAGGCCATTGCATTCTGGTCATGGATGGGTCCTTCTGCTTGGCTGGTGTTATAGCCTTTCTCCGAATAAAAATAGCCCATGCATCCTTTACTGCAGCTCAGTAAACACAGATTATGTGAATAAAAATAAAAGAATGCACAACAAAATCTTTGGGGAGATTTGACACAGTTTATTTTGTTTCTTAGTGTACCCGTGAATTTCAGCACAATCAACAGTTTAATCTGAACAGCAAGGAATTTGTTTTTTGGCTGTTTGAAGTAAGTTTTATACTGTTTTTCTAGCAGAACTGACCATATGAAATACTCATCAGAGCCAGGAAAACAATCTTCAGATTTAAAGCTGTATGGTGGCTGGAGTGCAGTACTACACATAGAATCATAACAAAAACTCTGATTTGGGTTTAGCCACTTACTACCTGGGAGGACATTGAGTATTCCCTAAGCCTTAGTTTCTCTTTAACAAAATGATTATGGTAAATAAATCTTGTAATACTTAAATGAGATCAGATGAGAAAGGAGTATAATGTTCTTTTAAAAATGCTTTGTAAATATTAGTTTATTATGAGTAAAGGTAAAATGCTGCTTTTGAAGGACAGTTTCATCTTGTGATTTTAAGATTGAACTTAAAAAAAAAAAAGACTAAACTGACTACCAGTTCCTAGCCAGGCAAAGTTACCTAAATTGGGGGAATTTATTTGGGGAAATAAATTTTGGTGCCTTGGCTTTCTTATCTGTATAACTGAGATGACAGTAATATATGACCTCACAGAGTTTTTGCTGAGATGCAGTGAGATGGTCTGGATCCAACACTTGAGTACAGTTCCTGCCACGGAATGATGATTTGGCTGCTATTGTTATATTTTAATACAAGGGTAAATAGGAGTCTTTCTTTTGTGTTTTGCACTGTTGGCGATTCTGGAATGGTTTACTAATATTTTTACTTTAATCCTGGAGTTATACAGTGATACCTTCTAACACACAGCTGGCACTTTGGAGAGATTACAATGACAAAAAATAAAAGATGGGGACAGACCCTTGAAAAGGGAATGGAAGAATAGTTCTAGGTTTTATTTTGTCTTGTTTTAAAAGATATTTCTATTGCTAAATTAACTTTATTTTTAAAAGCATGGATTAAAGAAGTATTAGTAAACGATAAAAGAAAATGCACAGGTGTGAGGGTTTTGAGCCTGAGCTCATAGTCTCCCCCCTGTCAAACATAACTGTCTATGGACATTGAATAAATCATTTAATATCATTGGCTCCAAAAGAGATGGATAAACAAGATTTGTGCTTCTCAAGCTTGACCACATATTAGAATAACCAGGAGTACTTTTGCAAAACAGTATATCTGGCTCCACCGGGTCCACCTCAGAGCAATTGAATTATAATTTCTCTGGTGAAGAACCAGTCTGCAAGCTCATCAGTTGTTTAGGGTACACAGTGAGGGTTATGGACCACCTGACTGGGTGATCATTAGGGTCTCTTCCAGCTCTGAAATCTTGTATATCTGTACATATCTTTTTACTACAGTCACATACATAAAAAGTACTTCTTAAAATGAAAACATATGTGGCATATTTAGAGAAGGTAAAGGAATTTGATTTAAGCTATTGGCTTCTGGAAATAAGCAAGTGATTTTCTTGAAGCTTATTGTAAACTATCAACCTCTCTTGCCTTAAGCGAGATGTAATGATTATACTTCAACCTACAGGCTGTATATTTGACTCAGCTATCCCCTTTTCAGTTTATCTCTGTTTTTTATGTGAAGAGTTCTGCCATTTTAGTAGCATGGATCTAATGGAGGCAAAATTCTTAATGCGATATTTAAAAACCATAAATAAGGCCTCACTTATGGACTACAGGAAGTGAGAAAATATTTCCAGAGAGGGATTTTCTCACCCACTGATCTTAGCATAAAGCATCAGCCTGAAAAAATGTTTTTTTAAATAGAAATATTCAATGATAAACACCAATAATTTCCATTTATATCATTAAAACGATGGAAGGAACATATGGCTACGATTAGAAGAATGAACGTTAGTTATGAGGCTGCATTTGCAAGAGACATTAATTAGAACTGAGAGTACCTCAAGTACTTGACTCAGGAAACAAATTGGTTTAATAAGCTGCATGGTCTGCAGATGCCCTTCCCTCTTCTTTTTCCGTGATTCCAAATAAAGCAGTTTTATCTGTGCAGAGCTAAGTACACTTGAGGAGTCACATGATTTTGTGCTTCACTTCATTTATGTTTGGAAGCAAGTTGACATGACCCTCATATGGGTAAGGTATCTCTTACAGCAATATACATCCAGGTGAGGGCATAGTCATGTTAAATCAGGATCAGATTTTAAACTTTCTATTCAGAGACTTGCCCTTAAAGAGAACTCCATTCATTTGAATACTACAATTGAGTTGCTGATGTGCTGTCTCAACTCCTGGAGACGCTCTGCTCTGGGGTGTACTTGAGTGGAGGACACTCCACATGCCCTGTCTTGTGCTTGTATCAGCTCCTGCTGCTTCCTTTGATCAGCAGTTGATAAAATCTCCCCTGAGGTTTGTGTAGCTGATGAAAGCCATGTATCTGGGATAAGCCTTTGGAATTTGATTTTTGGCATTATCATAATGTTAATATCCATTAGTACATTTTACAACATAAGCACAAGGCCTTAGATGCAGGGAATTCTCTGGTGAATACCAACTGGGGCAGCTGACATGTGGGTTATGTGGAACCCTCAAAAGCATATACTGTATCACTTTCTTAAGCTAAGAGAGCTGTAATGACTCTCTTGGGACAAATAAACATTTTGTGTGGAATCTCCACTTGCTTAATTGCTAGCCTTGAGTTTTAGAGTCCTTGCTACCCTAAGTAAACTTATTTTAATAAAAGTAAACATTTTCAGCTGTTTTTGGCTCTTGGTGAGGAGGCAAAGGTCAAATGGGAATTGAGGAAGAGCTTGATCACTCAGTAAGGCAACATTTGAAGAGTGAAATAGAAAGGTGGGATATGTAGAGAAGAAGACCAGGGTAAAAGCAAGGTTCTGGAGACAGGCTTCCTGGCTTTTAGCTTACTGCTTGCTTGCTGTAAATCTCAAGGAAGCTACTAAACTCTCTGTGCCTCAGTTTCCTCATCTATAAAATGGGTTTAATGACCAAATGAGTTAATACTTGTGATTAGCATAGTGCCTGCACATCAGAAGCAGTCAATAAGTGTTACTGTTCATAAGCAGAGCCCTGTGCTCGTAGTACCTTTACTATCAAGTGGCTATCTTTCTTTAGAACCAGGTCAATTTTATGAGCCTAATTTAAGATTCTTTTACTTTCCTGAGGCTGGTGCCAAATGGTTTTGTGATGCTAGAGGAGTGTGAACCTCAAATACCAAACCGTCCTTGCTTATAAAGTGTAGAATAATTTAATGCCGCTTATAGGTATGTTGGAGAAAAAAATAAGGACACCCTTGTAAATATTTTCAGCTCCACTGGGTGCAGCAGAATCAGAAGGTGGTATGTATAATAATTCAGCTTATCAGTCAAAACTTCAAAAAAAAATTAACTCCATGACGTGGGACATTTTCTAGTAGATAAATCTTTTACTGTTTAGATCTCCGAATCACAATAAGAAATGCTATTGAAGTATAACTGATTCCCAGATTGTGTCAATACAAGTATTTAGTTTCCGCCATTTATTAAAAACAAAACAAAAACTCGTTCACTTATTTATTTTTAATATACCCCACGTAGTTCCAGAAAGTATTTAATGCCACTGAAAAGCACTTGTTGAATAGGTTCAGAAAACAGGAGTTAGATACTTTTATCATCTTGTGGCTTTCAATATCACCACTTGATAGAAGTCAATAATAGTCTTCTTCCAAGTTACACTTAAACACAGATCTTTGACTGCCACATGTATTACTCATTAAAATCCAATAGAAACAAAATAAAAAACTGTCTAGGCCACTTGTTAGGGAGTTCAGGATTCAATATCCATATTATTTATTATTATATTATGAATGAACTATACATTGATACCACAGTGGTCATGTTATCATAGTTCTTGACACTTCTTGGAAGGCCCTTCTTTCTGACCCCACCCAATCTTCAGTTCCTCTAATGTGTTTGTGGTTACTTTTCTTATAGCCTAATTGGGTCCTAAAGTAAGAAATGAATGTGTGGTGGTCAGGGAGTTGTTTCCTTTGACACATACTAGGACTTTAGTAAGTGGTGGTGGTGGTGGTGGTCAATGTTCCTTTCATACAGAACATAATAAGCTTGAAGAAAATTGAAGGAGCCCAGGGAGCCTGGGGTATAGTGCTACCATTCAACTAACTGTAAGAACTTGGTCAAGATGCTTGATTCCCTTCAAACTCAGCTCTTAATCTACAAAATGAAGCGAATGAGCTAGTTCCATATTCTCCTTTCTAACTTGCAATTATCTTAAGATACTAGGCATCAGCATAATTGTAGACCTTTTAGCAGTTACAGTATGACCTAAAAAATTTCTTAAAATTGTGTTTAGTTTGCACGTATAACACAAAACCAAAATATTGAGGTTGTAATATATACAGATACCTGACACAGATAATCAAAGCTTTTCATTCTTTTATATCATTTTACTGTCATATTATTATGTGTCCCTTGGCTTCTACCATTTTATTATTCTTGGAGGGAGGTTTATCTATGTATTTATTTACTGCATGAAATGCAGACATATAATTGAGAAGGAATATATTCTTGTCAGGCAAGTTGCTAACATTAACATAAATTAATTCAAGAAATATTTATTCAGTCATCTAGTAAATAGGAATAAAACAATGAATAACACATGGGGCTTGCCCCAAGAAGCTTATGGTCTAATGGGAGTACTGAAAAGTAAATAGATAATTATAGAACTGTGTGACACAGATGATGACTGGGGAACGAGCAGAGTGCAAGATGAACACAAGTGGAGACCTAATCCAACTGGGGAGATCAACACAGACTCCGCAGAAGACATGGTATCTAAGCAGATGACAACTGGGGTTATTTGGAATATAGGATTATTTCAGGCAGGATAAGCAGCTCATGCAAGAGCCTGGAGGTGTGAGAGAATCATGCTTTTCCAGGAACTGAAAATAACTCACCATATGTATTGAGCAGGAGAGGAAAGGACATAGCAGTATGAAAAGGTGAGGATTTAGAGGTACACAAGGAGTTTGGGTTTCATCCTGAGGACAATGAGGAGACACTGGAGGGTTTTCATAAGAAGGGTAACATACAATATTAACATTTAAGAACAAACAAAAAATGCAAGGGTGTGGCAAATGTTATGGAGTAGAGCAGAGCTGGAGACAAGGTGATCAGTCAGAGCACTGTAACAATTAGATAGGCTAGAAGGGATAATGGGCTAAATCAAAGTAGAGGCAACAGGGAAAGAGAAAAGAAGACAGATTCGGGAAATATTAAGGAGACAGAATCAATAGGATTTGATGATTGGTTCATTCAAAAATATGTGTTGGGGCCGGGAGTGGTGGCTCACACCTGTAATCCCAGCACTTTGGGAGGCTGAGGAGGGTGGATCACAAGGTCAGGAGTTTGAGACCAGCCTGGCCAATATGGTGAAACCCCACCTCTACTAAAATCACAAAAATTAGCCGGGCGCGGTAGCAGGCGCTTATAGTCCCAGCTACTCTGGAGGCTGAGGGAAGAGAATCGCTTGAATCCAGGAGGATTCACACCACTGCACTCCAGCCTTTGTGACAGAGGGAGATGCCATCTCAAAAAAAAAAAAAGTGTTGGATTTCTGTTTCTGGTCATTATGTGGTAGCTGGTATTGGACATATGCTCCCACTGTAAATAACTATGAGGTCTGGACCAACTATTTAAAACACTATTTGTAGGCACTGGATAGCAGCTCAGTGCTGAGCTACAATCCTTGCAAAAAGGAAACATATAAGGTAAGCTACAGATTCACACAAAGTTTCTCTCATAGAGCATTTCTCAGGCCATAGTGTAGGGAGATAGACCCCAGTAGAGAGCATCAGTTTTGCCAAATGAAGGATATAGAGATCAAGCTGTAGGATATAGCATGTGGCTACTAAGTTGGCTGAGATTTGGGACAAGAGCATCAAAAATAGGAAGCTGCAGAGAAAAAATCCAAATAAACGGAAATCTAAGTGAAAATTCGTCTTAGGTATTTGGCTGACTCCTGGACTATGCAAGCACAAGAAGAGATTTCAGAAGGTTTGGAAGAGAGTCTCTTCTGAGAGGCTGAGGGCTAAGAAGACTGCCCTGTGCAGGAAAGATGTTGGAGTGCAAGCCCATCTGGAATGGAGAGACCTCGATGAAACACATAGGCAATTAATTAGATCCCAGAAAGGCCACACTGTGCAAGTAAGTGCTATGTCTTAAGAGTAAAAACTAGAATGGGCCACCCTAACAAAGCCTAAAACCAAGACTTAACAAGATAAGGTAAATTTTTAGTAATTTAACTGCTTGCTGTAATAAAACTCAACCTTCTTTAGAATAAGACAACATAATGTAGTGCTTCTACAATGTTTGTCTATAATGTTCACTATTCAACAAAAAGTTATCACACACTTGAAGAAGGAACAGTATCTGATAATCAAGTGATTAAAACTGTCAATAAAAGCAAACCTAGAGACAGCGCTAACAAGAATTTCCTATATGTAGAGCATTTCCTATGTGCAGATACTGTTTTAGCTGTCAACAAGGCAGAAAAATATCCCTGAGCTCACTGAGCTTATCTTCTTGAAAGAGAAAACAATGTATAAGATAAATAAGTAAAGTATTTGATATATTAGATGGTAGAAAATGTCATAGAGAAAGAGAAAGTACAGAAACAACATAGGGAATGTTAAGAGGGTGGGATTTTAATAGAGGACCAGGGAAAGACTAAATGTGTGGGGCTAATGAAGGGCAAAATGAAAAGATGACATCCATGGTTTGAGCTTGTGCCTTTATACTGCTTTGAGACAGGCAATTTAAAAGGCGGAGGAGGCTTACTTTTTAAAGGATGATATTCAGAAAATGTTTACTGTGAGGTGCCTATGAGACTTTAATTGGAATTTCATAATAAGCAATTAGACACATTAATTTGGAGAGAAGAAGATATCTATTCTAGGGATGTTAATTTGGAAGTGATCAACATATGGTAAAAATTTTAACAGTACAAGAAGGGAAAACTCTGAAGTGCTTCAGGATTTAAAATACAGACCTGAGATATAGAAATAATAAGTGATAAATAACTGGATAGATGGAATAATGCAATAGAATATGTCATCATAATA
The DNA here is from genome assembly GCF_000001405.40 of Homo sapiens. NCBI lineage: Eukaryota > Metazoa > Chordata > Mammalia > Primates > Hominidae > Homo > Homo sapiens. The sequence goes on from NC_000002.12 coordinate 181,239,368, forward strand.
GTCAAGTGTTTTAGCAAGAGGAAGTGGTCAGCAATTCCAAATATTGAGAAATCAAATGAGCACTAAAATCTTTTCTTGGATTAGTAAACAAAAAACTTGGTAAAAATTATTCTGATTACAGTATGGGGCAGAATTCAGATTGTACTGAGATGAAGAGAAAATAAGATGTAATTCTGATAAGATATTGACAATGGTAAATGTGGCCATAAGGGGCAGTATTTGAGAGCGTTTTCAGGTTACGGGAGTGGAGTGTGTGTGTGTGTGTGTGTGTGTGTGCATGTGTGTGTGAGTGTATGGGTGTGTGTCTTTTCAGATGAAAGACTTAAACACATGAAGTGTACTTAAATACTTTTTGAAGGACTACTTAACTATGCAATCTAGATTGGAAACTAATGAGAGCATGATAATGTCTAGGTTAGGCACATAGTATTTTATTTTCTGGGATGATTCTTCATTGCTACCTGAGGCACAGAGGAAACTGCTTTAGTGCTTGTTACACAGTCTCTCAGGTGATATTATTGTCAAATCTTGCACACCAGAAATTCTAGCTTTATCTCAGATTCTTTTTCATTTAATATGATATAAGTAAATTTTTTCCATCCAAAATATTACAAGGAAAACAACTGGAAGACAACTTTACGACAATTTTTGTTCATGAGTTTACTTAACATTGGCTCAAGCAAAGTTTTGGCCTAGCACAATTTATATACATCTCATTACAAGAAACTTTTAAAATTACCACTATTACTATTTTTGAGATTGGAATCTAAAAATAGTTTTAAATGAATGACACTTTTCTCTGCATAATATTTCTTTGTGTTTATACACATTATTTCTTAAGGAGATGTTTATTATAATCTAGCTTAACCACAGAGCCCACATTATAATAATTAATATCTTTGTTAGTAATTAAACACTGGCAAAAATTTTAAGGAAGAATTCTGTGCAAATAGAGTTTTTTCTGTTAATAGATGTATATGAACAAAGTGTAATTACTCTTAGAAGCCCATTATCTTCTTCATTCAGGATTAAACTAAGAAATATTCAAGATGACCCTGATTAGATTTTCAGGAATAAAGTGATAAAAATATTAGAATATATTTGAGGACTTGTACCATAATATCCCAAGAAAAAATAAGGGGAAATTTTGAAGTGCATGTTTATGACAATAGAAATGAATTGTGACAAAAACATTATACCCATTGAATGTATTCGAATGTATGAGCTTGCTCTGATGAGAGAAAGACATCAAAATTAATTAATTTATCAACTACCTTTTACTTTGAAGAGTGCAAAAAATATATACTTGAAATACATATTTTTCCGAGAATCACTCACTGATATTTGAGACATTCAAATTTTCAGCTAATTTAGGACATTTTCCTGAGTTTTAATGCTTTCTGCAGACTCTTTGTTACTGAAATGTCATCTTGACATCTTTTGCATTAAAAAACATCTAGTTATCCTAAAGTGTCTCTTTATTCATGAATAAATGCAGATCATAAAGAAAGATAAGCTATTTTAACAAGTCATTTTGAAAGATTAATTATTGTTTTATTATACTGCTAATGCTCAGAGTGATCATACGACACTTAAGCTATCTTGGTCCAGATAGATTTGAAAATAACCAAAGGAATTTAGTGGGAATAATGACAGTGTATAGTGTTGCTGGAGGGAGTATATTGAACAGGATAACCTGCTGTGCTCCTCAAACCCAGGGGGAAAGATTATTCTTAACAGGGCATGAAACCAGATACTGATCTGAGTTCAATTAGCAGCTCTGAAAGTCTGGCTGCATCTTGAAATACAATATCATTTAGTATGTGATTTATATTTAGTAAAGTTCATGTTTTAAATATGAATATGATTTGTTGTTTATTAAAGTCATATTTTCATTGCAGTAGACTAAAAGTAGCTTACAGAGATGGGCAATTCATATTTTACACACAGATATTCTTTCTGAGGAAACTTACCTAAACTTCTGTGGTATAATGTGAGATTTGTGTTTGAGATTAGAAGCTGACTCTACATTGTTGGAGGCAGGAGGAGAAATATAAACGCCTTTTTCACCCTGTTCCCTGGTAGTTGTCCACCATCTGAAGTGTGGCTGTTTTCCATCCTCAGATGGTCTGGAATAAGGTCAAACAAACCAAGGCTACTCAAAAGAGAGCATTATCCTTGGCCTCCCTCCCTCCCTCTACTTTCTTGTCAAGGTCTAGAAATACTACAGAGTTCTTTGTTTCAAACTTTCAGCCCTTTTAGAGAACACTAAATAGCCAAGCACGCAGGCATTATGGATGTCTAATATCCATTCAAAGATTAACTCAGTTTTGGGAGTAGTCACTAAGGCTTTTCATCTGTCATTGGGAAGTGCTTTATACAAAGGCTGTTGGATTAAAATTTTCCCCTGTTGCTTAGAAGGGAAACCTGAGTGCTGTCACCTCACATGGCAATTTGCATGAGTCTCTGGATTTTCCTGGATTTTGTGACAACACATTAAAGAATATTTACAGCTGTTAAAAACTCTTTCGTACACATGCAAGTGACCAATCCTTTTAAGTGTTGGTGAGTCCAAGAGAATGAGCCTACCAACTAGTCCTCCAGTCAGCCATCATCAGTGAAAAAGGAACCAAGAACTCGTTCTTGTGGTTTAAAGCCAAAACTGACATTAGTTAAAAAGATATTTCCTGGCTGGGTGCAGTGGCTCATACCTGTAGTCCTAGCACTTTGTGAGGCTGAGGTGGGAGGATCCTTTGAGCCCAAGTGTTCAACACCAGCCTGGGTATCATAGCCAGACCCTGTATTTCCCAGCTACTTGGGAGGCTGAGGTGGGAGGATCACTTGGGCTCAGGAGTTTGAGACCAGCCTAGGCAACATAGTGAGACTCTATCTCTACAGATAATAAAAAATGATAGACAGCTTCTGACCTAATCAGTGACCTTGCTTATGGTGGATAATTTTATGTGACACTTTGGCTGGCCATGATGCTGATTTTTGTCAAACATTATTCTGAATGTTTCTGTAAAGGTGTTTTTGGATGAGATTAACAGTTAAATTGGTGGAGTAGAAAAGATTACGCTCCATAATGTGGGTGGGTCTCATCTAGTCAGTTGAAGGCTGTAAGAGACGAAGACTAAACTTCCTGAGCAAGAAGAAATTCTGCCAGCAGAGTGCCTGTGGGCTCAGACTGCTTCTTCCCCAGTCTCCAGCCTGCTTTCTTACCCCATTAGATTTTGCACTCACCAAGCCTCCACAATTATGTGAGTCAAATTTTAAAAATAAATCTCTTTCTCTGTTACTGTCCCTCTCTCTCTCTCTCTATACACACACACACACACACACACACACACACAGAGAGAGAGAGACATGTATATACAAATACATATGTATATACACACATATTGTTGATTCTGTTTTTCAGAATAACTGACTAATATGCTGCTTAAAAATACAATTAATGCCTGACTCATGAAAAGAACCCTGAATTATTGAATGAGTCAATGAATAAAAATATATACCAGGAATTTTTTTTGTAAAAAATAGTTTAATAGTAAAATCTTTGGGGACAAAGAGTGGTTTTTAATACCTTTGAACCCAAAATAAATTGAAAGTAGGGTAAGGTGCAGTCTTCCTTAGTGAGTTGTAAAACTTGAAAGTTTAAAAATGAACTAGTTCAGGAAAAAAAAAAAAAGTCTGCATTCTAGCCTTGGCATTGCATATCATTAGCTTTGGAACCCTCGATCTCTCTAGGCCTCCAATTATTCAACTATAAAATGACAAATGTGGGTTAGTTGGTAGGTTATACAATCCCTTAATTCCATAATTCCCTCTAAAGACCTTTCCAGTATGGTCATTCTGATTATATCACTAATCTAGAGGTATTTTACTAACCAGATCCCAATGCAATGATATTGTAGCACACATCAAGTCTTCATGGTTAAATGGTTAATGGGAAATTTAAAAAGTGTAGTCACTGGGTGCAAGAAGGTATTTGTTTTCCAGTAGGCACTGTAGAGGAAAGCTTAGAGATAACAGAAGTTTCTTGAATTTACAGTTGATAAATGAATGTTAAAATCCCCTTTGTACTGTTCTTTGAGAATGAAGGAATCAAGGCCTCATCACTAAATTGTATCATGAATAAAAGGTCTTTTATTTACATTCATTGCTTTGCCTATGTAGGAACTTGGTTGTTTGCCAACAACTTAATGTCTTGAGAAAGCTATAGGTCATTTTGCAGCCCAGCATTTAATAGCACCATCTCACAAATCTGATTAAATCTTTTCATTTTGTCACTAGTTTGGGAGGACAGTACAAGCTCCAAATAATAAAACTTGAATGACCCAAACAGCAGTTTATGTCTCATCTCCAAACATCTTTCTTTTATAGAAAATTCTATAAATTTTCTCTGCCATATTCATTGAATGAAGTGATTTTTCTAAGCTGAAAAATAAAAGATCATTGCAATTGTGAATCTTGTCAAAGAACAAAGGAATATATGTTCCTATAAAAATTTTTAAAAAGGATTCCTGATTTGGCAAATTATGACAATCTCCAGAGTTATTCCTCAGCCTGGTGTAGGTTTACTAACTATTTACATAGTCTCAGAATTAAAAAATAATTCTTCCAACTAAAAAAAAAAGAAAATGTGTGTGGTTTTTTTTTTTTTTTTTGGATAAGGCATGAGTTACAGAGTGCTTGCTTTTATTGAATATTATAGGAAACAAATATCAGCATGATCAATATTAACTGGAATTCAGTTAAGGTTATTTTTTCCTAAAATAAAGTTGCTTTTTGTTGAAAACTCAATACTTGATATTAGAAAATAAAGACAAAAGAACATTTAAAATGATAAGAATCCTGCCACCTAACAACCACTGTGCATAATGAAATACTATATATTCTTTCATATGGGTTTTTATAGATGCCTCTCCTAACTCCCTAGCTCGAAAAAACAAATACACACATAAACCAGATGTCTTCAATACTGACTAGTCTGTGAAGTCAAAATGAGGCCATATTTTCTTTGATGTTAAAATCATGATACTCCCAAGCCCCTGCATGCCTATAATTATGAAGCCTTGATTTTTCCTTGCCTTTTAGTGGTTTTATTGTTCGTTTGTTTTTGGAGATAGGCTCTCGCTCTGTCATCCAGGCTGGGATGTAATGGTGTGATAACAGCTCACTACAGCCTCAACCTCCTAGGCTCAAGAAATCTTCCTGCCTCAGCCTCCTGAGTAGCTGGGACTGCAGGTGAACACCACCACACCCAGCTAATTTTTTTAATTTTTTGTAGAAATGGGGTCTCCCTATGGTGCCCAGGCTAGTCTCAAACTCCTGGTCTTGAGCATTTCTCCTCCTTCGACCTCCCAAAGTATTGGGATTATAGGCATGAGCCACTCTGCATGCCCCGCCCGCCCCCAACCCCCGCCCCTGGCCCTGCCCCTTAGTGTTTTCTATGGTGCAGGTGAGAATTTCATGGTTTCTAACTCAAGCCAGGGGACTCCTCTGGTATATTTCACCTTGATGCAGAGAGTGGACAACCTTTAGCATGCCCTGTTTGCCTCACTGTTTCCACTCCACACAGCAATTCTTTGGAGTACCAGAGAGGAGCAGCCTTCCCCAAGTGTTAAGTTCAGTGATTGACACACCTCTCAAACACATAAGCCCAGAGTTTGAGCTCTTAGTAGTCAGTTTTCAGTGCACATAGGGTCATTTTTTATTTTTCTCAAGGTACCTTTTTAAAAAAATTCAGGTATACCCAGGTGGCTGGATCAGGCATTAGTTTTACACCATTCTCAAAACCAACACTTCTGATGGCCTAGATCTTGACACTAGTGCCAAGAGAAAGTCCACCAGTCAAGACTTGCTGGATGTGGTTGTGTAGGTTTTTTCCAGGTTCCAGTTGTGTTTTTCCTCCATTCAGCCTCAGCCAGGATCTCTCTGGTTCATCAGACCTATTTGAATGTTTGAATCTCAAAAGAAATTGAATTTTGATTTTCATCCTATTTCTTCTAGAAATCATCTTGACTCCTACATGAATTTGTGGGTGTAGATAAGTTGCTGGGGGAGGGTTACTATCTGGCTTCCTCCATCAAGAGCATCTACAAGACAGGCCTTGCCATGCCCAAACATATATAATTATCATTCTTTCCTCTCAGAAATCAACAAGTATTGGCCTTGCAGTGATCCTTCTACTAGGGAAGATCTACATACAGCATAATGGTTAAATAAACAACCTCTGGATTCGTGTGGCTAACATTTAAAGTTCTGACCTGTCATCTTCTGGTTGATGATCTTGTGAAATTTATTCAGTGGCTCTGTGGTTAATATGTCTTCATCAGTAAAACAGGGCACATAATAATCACACCTTTGTCATATATACTTCTAAGGATTAAATATATGAATACATAGTTAACAGTGTTCCTGGCACAAAGTTTGTGCTCAATTAACATCAGCCTTTATTACTTTAGTGGTTCTAAACATGGTTCCTTCCAGAACAATGAAAGGAGAAATATCCTCATCACTAAAGGTAAAAATTGCTACTGAATTAATTTTTTTGTGTGTTTTGAGATGGAGTCTTGCTCTGTTGCCCAGGCCTCCGCCTCCTGGGTTCAAGCAATTCTCCTGCCTCGCCCTCCTGAGTAGCTGGGATTACAGGCATGTGCCACCAGGCCCAGCTAATTTTTTTTTTTTTTTTTTTTTTTTTTTTTGTAGAGACAGGATTTCACCATGTTGGCCAGGCTGGTATCGCACTCCTCACCTCAAGTGATCTGTCTGCCTTGGCCTCCCAAAGTGGTGGGATGACAGGCATGAGCCACCATGCCTGGCCTGCTACTGAATTTTAAATATCACTTCTCTATTACATAAAAAAGTCTAATTCAATTGGTACCCCATTTCGCATTACCTAAATCTATAGAGATATGATTTTAAATGTTTTTTTTTTGGAATCCATATTGTTTTGTAGCCAGCTCTCCATAGCAATACATTGTGAAACTCTTCCCCTTGTCAACAGCTGTACTTCCAAGGTGTTTAAATTTTTATTATCCTATTTATAAGAGAGCTATGTTTTACCAATCACTTTGTATTTTCATGTTTTCAATGTTATCAATGATGGGGAAAGAAGATCTCATAGCAACATGGTCATATGACTCCTTAATTCTTTCCTCGGGACAAATATCACAAAAGGAATTTCAAAGCTTCTAAAATGTGTTGCTAAATTGCCCCAGAAACATTTACCTGTTTATATCAGTCAGCATCTCTGTATCCTCACCAACAGAATATTTTTAAAAATGTTTAATAGTTTGGTATACAAAAAAGCATGTTCCTTTCATGACTATCCTTTTAATATTAGTGAAGCTGAATGATTTTTATTATGGAAGGTTTTGAATTTGTGTGTGCGTAGCCTTTTTTTTTTTTTTTTTTTTTTGAAATGGAGTCTCACTCTGTCACCCAGGTTGGAATACAGTGGTGGTGACCTCCGCTCACTGCAACCTCCGCCTCCCAGGTTCAAGTGACTCTCCTGCCTCAGCCTCCCGAGTAGCTGGGACTATAGGCGCGTGCCACCATGCCTGGCTAATTTTTGTAGTTTTAGTAGAGAGGGGGTTTCACCATGTTGGTCAGGCTCGTCTCGAACTCCTGACCTCATGATCCGCCTGCCTCAGCCTCCCAAAGTGCTAGGATTACAGGTGTGAGCCACTGCACCCGGCCTTTTTTGGTTGTTTTTAAAGAGCTTTTTGTATATGTAAAAGAATCACAAATTTCCTTACTGCTATCCAGAAAGAAAGGAAATTTTGCTTATTAATTTTCTGCAACTAGTCCAGTTTTTCTCATGAGCCCCTATCTGGAGAAGGCAGTTGGTGGAGGTAGCAGTGAGGAAGAACTTAAACTTATCGATGAAAGTATCTCAGATATTTTTAGTTTTAACGACTTTTGTTCCCCAGATAACTTAATCTCAAGTAAATGCTCAGGCTGAAGATATACTTTCCCTCTCCCTGCTCCTTCAAGTGATATCTGATTATATTTTTGTGTTGGTGGTGAGTACTTATGTGATTCCATGTAGTGGGAGGGGAGTATGTGGATAAATGGTACAAAGGCGTCTGTGTAATCATCTGCCAGGTTTATCGCCTATCTGGCTCTTTGACACTCTTGGAAGCTTCTACTGAAGCTGTAGCTGGTCTCTTGTCTTGTTCAGAGCCTGGAGCCCCCTTACCTGCCTCAGTTGCATCTCATCTGGAGCCCTGTCGCTGTCCATTTAGCTCTGGCTTAATCCCTCCAATCTTCAGGCTTGGAAACTTCTCAGCCTCAAACCAGAGTCAAGGGAAGGCTCTTAGCTCAGGGCTCTTTCTCTTTCTATCACTTCAGGTGACCACTATTACTCCTTCATCTCTGTTTCAGAGTTTCAAATTGAGGGTGAGGCACAAGACTCTTCTGCTGTGGCTTTTCTCTCCACCTTTCTAAAACCCCACTCCTATCTGGGATTTTGGTTCAGGAGTGAAGAGCTAAGATAATTTTACCTGACGTTTTATTTCCCCACTTTTCCCTTTTCCACACTCTACTAGGATAGAATTGGCAGATTTTCTTCTTTCTCTTCTGGTCGGATTTGATCTCCTTTATGTCATATTCTGTTCCTAGGGACAGTAAGTGTCAAGGCATGGAAGAAACCCCCTGAACTTAATTGACTAGTCTTGGCGAGGTAGAATGGGTGCCTCAAGGCAACTACGAACCAGAGATTGCCCTATAGGGCAAAGATACATTGTGTCAATATTCCCCAGACATTGTTTGTTTTATAAATATATATGTACATATAGATTCAGATGTTCAAATTAGACAGAAATGATATCTGTTATGTATGTTGCAAATGTTTATGTCCCTGTTTTTCCTTTTTTAAAAAAATGTATGATGTTCCTTGATGTAGACAAGTTTTACATTTTCATATTGTCAAATCTACCAATTACATACTTTATGGTGTCTAAATTTTGTAAATCTTAAAGAGTCCTTTCCCTCATCAAGAAAACATTATATTTACATCCATTTTCTCCAAATATTTTTATGGCTTTTAAAAACTTTACCTGGAGGCATTTTGTAGCTACATATACATATGTATGTGTATACATACATACACATACATGTATACATATATTTAATAACCAACCCTTGAGCTCAACATATTTTGTTGAATAATCCATTTTTTCCTCACTGATTTGAAGTGTTACTTTACCATATATTAAATTCTTATTGCTTGTCTTTTTTCTGATCTTTGTTTCATGTTCCATTGATATATCTGTTTATTCCTTTACTAGTTCAAAAATATATTTTTAAAAGCTAGCTTTGAAATATGTTAATATCTATTTGAACTATTTCCCCCACTGCTTTTATTTATCAGCATTTTTTGGATCTTTTCATGAATTTTCCTCAGATGATTTCTGATTGGCATTTTCTTCATAGTATATTAAAATTTAATATTAAATCAAGAGAAACTTTTAAAAAAACAAAAGACAATTCTATTTTTCTCCATAGAATTTGTTAACATTCATTCATTTGGAGAATGGAAATAATTACCTCTATCTCCATCTTCCTCATCATCCAGTTCTGTTAGAAACAAAATGCAATTTAAAAATTGCAAAGTAGAATGAAATGTCAAGGCTTATCTAGATAAAAAAGCTAGAAAAATATTTGTGACTTCAGTATTTGAGAATCAAACCAAAGAAGGTGAGGTTTTTTGCCTTATATTATCCAGAGAATATACATTTTATTTGTACATGTATTAATTTCAGGATTTCTTTTCTCCTGATTTCAGAGTTTGTGGGTTTTTTTTTTTCTTTGCTATAATGATTAAGTTCCCAGACTTTAATGTGACTTTTTCAGTCATTTTAATGATGGAAAAAAATATAGAAGTTGGCTATCAAATTTATCTTTGCTTCTCCTTTTTCCTTTATCTCTTTGATTATATCAAAATTTCATTATTGTCCTCAAAATTACTGGGTTTCCCCCCAGTCAATACTTATTCTTTTAGGCCTAGATTTATAAAAATAATACCAAACTAATCAATTGATTCATTTTCTCCTGTAATTACGTATGCATGTATGTATGTATTATGTATTCCTTTTGAACTTAATCTTTTCTCTTAAGAACTATCTGTGGTGTGTGACTTCAAAAGAAGATTAAATATTTATAGTTATTGGAGGGACTTGGGGGCCATGGATTTTGCAGAGTCTTCTCTAGTGATCTTCTGCACCACAAAGAGTCAAAGTCATTGCATTGGCTACTTTTGTCACTCTCACTCTTCATGTCCTCCAAATATACAAGGGAGATAGTGCAGGGACCAATGATTTGGGTGGTGTATTGTAAAATCATCTGTAAGAACCAAAGAAGTTTATAATCTTTCAGCTTTGAGGTTACAAACAGAGTAAACGATCTAATTGCTTGATATATAGGCCCATTCCCTGCTGTGGATGATCCTCCTGGCTCAGTTTTGGAAAATAAAGGAGCAGACCAAACTGAGCTAGAAGGGAGAAAAGATGATGAATGCCAAAGAATATCTTCACCTAAAGAGAATCAAAATTAGCTATGCCAACTTGAGATGCCATCAGTTAAGCAAGTAATTCATGTTATCCTCATCTATAAGGATTTCTGTGATATTTTTATCTAAAAGATTTTTTAAACTAATACTTATTGAGTTTTACCAAAAAAGACCATAATAAATAAAACGTAATATATTTTCATATAACTAATTATGTTCTGTAATTTTAGCACCTTAACTCATGGCAATAAATTAGCAAAAACTGAGATTATTTGGTAGTATAACTACCCACATTGAGCACAGATGTTCAGCAAAAGATTTAGGAACTATTTTGGAAGCTCTCATTAGCTGAGGTAAATTAGCAGAATATTTATGGGTAATATTAAACTGTTCAGGTTCATATTTTCTTTCTTGATTGTTTTATCGAAGTCTCATAAATAGCAACAGCTGGCTTACTTGTCCTTTAGAAAGTTCTTGTAGATATCAGTAAGACTGAAGCCCAATATTTAACGGTTCTGAATATCAGAGCAGTGGCCTGGCCAGAGGTCACTCAAGCAAGCTCAATCCAGCTCCAGCTCTGCCCCCCAACCCCCACCCATGGGCCTCCTCTCATCTCCAAGACTTTGCTTTTTCCTAAAGTAGTTTATGGAATTGTTACAGTCCTAAGTTGTTTTTCAGAAGGGATCTAATTTGCTGTAGGTTATCTATCTCCTAGCCCAAAAATCCTCTAGGAGCCTAACTGATATCCAGAATACAAGGGATATATAGACTGAATATGTGAGAAGGGAATTAGAAGGCTTTATTATGTTTGCCATGGATTCTTCTAACCCAAACCAATACCCTATATGCATGCCTCCTTCTTCATCTGATTCATTCAGAAGCCCAAAAGATTCAATAAAGGCCAGGACTAGATACTAAATTAACAAAACATTTGAACTACCTTTAGAACTTGTAAACATTGAGTACAGTGTGAGAACTCAAAAGTCAACTGTATTGCTCAATGAATACAGTCAACTGTATTGCTCAATGATGGCTTTGGCGATCATCTTCCAGAGAAGTAAACCATAAATAGCCTAACTCCTGATATTCAGATGACCAGATGAGAGGCTTTACATGTTAGGAAGGAGTGATAACTACCATTGGGAATGTATATTTTGACTGACTGTCAGGATCTTAAATGCCAATCTAAATTTGAACTCTCCTATAAGCAAGCGATATGAGACAAACAAAGCTTAAGATCAAGAACTATGCAAATGATATTAAGGCTGATTAAACTTTAGATGGGGTCAATGAGAGTTGGGAAAACTTAGAGGCAGACAAACAGGTCCAGGCAATCCTCACAAAATCATCCAGGGAAGGTGAAGTGGGCCTGAGGTTGGCAGTAATGCTGAATGAAGAGAGGAATGCAGGGAACATTATGAAGATTAACTATTGGTGGCAACTGATTTCTTATAAGAATAATGATGAGAGTGGATTAGAATTATACTGTAGCATTTTGAGAACAGTAAAGATGGCAAAAATTCACTGAAAAAATATAGGCTAAGCTGGAAGGCTTCTGACTTTGGGGGATGCTATCATTTGCATGTTTGTCTTCTCCAAAACTCATATTGAAATTTAATTGCTTTTGTAACAGTATTAAGAGGTGAGACCTTTACCTTAACAGTATTAGGAGGTGGTTAGGCCACAAAGATTCCACCCTCATGGGTAGGATTGATGCCATGAGGCATCATGAGCCATGAAGCTCATGAGGATGAGCTTAAGTCAGGCATGGTGGCTCACGCCTGTGATCCCAGCTACTTAGGAGACTGACATGGGAGGATCGCTTGAGGCCAGGAGTTCCAGCCTGGGCAACATAGTGAGACCCATCCCTCTTAAAAAAAGAGCAAGGTCAGTTTCCTCTTGCTCTCTTTTGCCTTTCTGCCTTCTGCCATGGAATTATACAGCAAAAAGGCAATTGTTCAGCTGCTGACCCCTTGATCTTGGACTTTCCAGCCTCCAGAAATGTGAGCCAACTAATTTCTGGTTTTTTTTTTTTTTTTTTGAGATCGAGTCTCTCTCTGTTGCCCAGGCTGGAGTGTAGTGGCGCGATCTCCGCTCACTGCAAGCTCCGCCTCCCGGGTTTACGCCATCTCCTGCCTCAGCCTCCGGAGTAGCTGGGACTACAGGCACCCGCCACCACGCCCGTCTAATATGTTTGTATTTTCAGTAGAGGCAGGGTTTCACTGTGTTAGCCAGGATGGTCTCCATCTCCTGACCTCGTGATCCGCCCGCCTCGGCCTCCCAAAGTGCTGGGATTATAGGTGTGAGCCACCACGCCAGGCCAATTTCTGTTTTTTATAAATTACCCAGTTGTAGGTCTTCTATAGCAGCAAAAATAGATGAAGACAGAGGAAAATGATAATTTGAAGCAAATAATTCTGGGAAGGATTCCACAATAAGATATTGTCAGATATTAAGATAGTGGGTTCACTTTTGGATTACTTGCCAATGGTACTCTGAGAAGTCACATATTAGAAAAAGAGAAGGATGAGTCACTAGTACTTCTGCAAAATCTAATGATACTGCGAAACCACTGAAATACTGAAAGGAGGCACTGAAATAAGTTGTAGATGCAGCATGAAAGGCAGGAAATTTTGGAAAACAAAGTGCTTGCTTAACACTCAGGCAAGAAAACCCTACCCAACAGCATTTGGGTTAAATCATTGTTTAGTGTATCAGTCAGAGTCCAGGTGGGAAATATTCAATGTGAACATTTCAATCAGAGCGACTTTAATGCTGGACACTGTTTACACAGGTGATGTAAGAGCCAAGGAGCCAAACAGGAGATGGTGAACAAACCCAGAGATTGGCAACAGCAGGAAATCACCATACACCTAGGACTAGAGGCCCACAGAATATGTGATGTGGTGTTACCAGAGCCCAGAAGCTGGTGCTATGGTCACCAGCACAAGATGCTTCTGGAGACACAGAGAAGGGAAAAATACCCTGTCCTTGCTCTGTAGCCTGCTCATCAGTCTTCCATCGTTGCCTCCCATTGGCTGAGCCTACCTCCGTGCTAGAGGGCAAGGGAGCCTGGGAAGTGTGGTTTCCTGTAATGCTGGGCAGAGGAAGGACAGGGCTGGAGCAGATCTGTCTGAGCAAAAAGGGCATATAGTCAGCCTGTTACACGGTACCTAACACAGAGTAACTTGAGGTTTTGAGGGCAACTTCCTGAGAAACTTTTGGAAAATGAATACAAATTAAAAAGTTGATATTTATTTCTCCTCTGTAACTGCAATCAGAACAACATTGTGACTTTCAAATGCTATTGAAAGCAGAGAATGTAACAGCCATCTAAAATAGGGGCACATGAGTTTTCAGCTGCTGGACTAGCCTTCAGTCCACCCTTCCCCCTCCATTGCATTACCTTATTGACATCACCGTGTACTTCTTCTCTAGTTATCAAAACTGCGGAGCATCCACCAAAAAGAACAGTTCTGTCATTTAAAATGGAACAGATGAAAGTTTTCCATGATGCAAGAGTGGGATTTTAAAGATAATCGTGTTTCTGCTCTTCTCTAATTAGGACTGGACTTTAGTTTGTATTCTGCAAATGATTTATGATCTCCTGGCTAGAAGAATGAAAAAGACTCATAGTTTTAGATGTGTTGCCTTTGGCCTACTATAGGTCTCTCTGCAAGTAACTGTGCTTACATAGAAATAAAGAACACATGTGGTATGTGGTTGGGTCAGCATTTGCACCTTGCAGCTTGTCCTCAGAGCCCGTGCTATACCCATCATGTTGTGCAGTCAACCCTCTCAAGTAGTCCCGGATGTGGAGACAGAGAGGACAATTAGCGCAGACTTCTCTACAATTAGGAAGAATTTGATTTGGTGAGGCCCTTCTGAGGCTCTATTTGGACAAATATGCTTGACTGGCTCTCAACTGTGGGGGATGAAGAATTATCTCATGACCAAACGAGAGGCAAGAGAGTAGTGGCCAAGGATATGGAGTCTGGTCCATTTCACCTGGCTTCTTAGCTATTTTACTTGGATTTGGAGTGTTGGTTACTTCATCTATAAAATGATATTTTGTATCCACCTCATAGGGCAGTTTTAAGAATGAAATGAAATAATATATGTAAAGCACTTGTCACATAGTGAGTAGTTCTCAACATATAGTGATTATATTATTATTATGATTGTTATTATGAATTTGGAACCCAGATTATATACTGTTTTACTATGATAAATCCTAATTTACCCCGATACACTCCCCAAATCTATCTCTTCATGTAGGCATTTAACATTAATAAGCCCTTCCGAAGGCTATAGCTTTAAACTATGGTTTAGTTCTAAATCTTCTGTCTTTGTTTAACAGCAAAATAAATGGGAATCAGCTCCCCACTGAAAACTTCCTCAAGATTAACAGAAACAGTAAAAAAAGAAAAAAAAAATCCTTAGAGCTTTCAAGCTCCTTCGATATTCACTATTGTGAATATTGTTACCAAGTAATGTCCTAATAGTGTCTCCCCTTGGTATACTCTTTGTATGCTAAGGTCCCAGTGCACCTAGGCTATATGATGGTCCACATAATTGTCCCATGCCTATGTCCCCTGGTCACGTGTTGTTCTTGTTTCCCATCTACCTAGAAAATCACCCCCTTTCTCAACCTATTAAAAAGTTAGTCCATCTTACATGTTTATATTTCACAAGGCCTTTTCTTATCTTCTTAAATAAATGTGATTCTCCCTCTGATCTCTGAACTTACAGTGCTTCTTTGTACCTATCCTACTGCAATCACTTACTACCTTGTATTATGATTGTGAACCTGTCTGAGCCTTCCTTGCTATGATAAAGATGTAGGAACTGATATTACATCTGGACATTCCTTGTCGCAGCTTTCATTGTGCCTTGCACAGAGTAGTCATTTTAAAATTATGCAGATAATTTAATGTAGAAAAATTTGGGAAGAATAATATTTTCAGTTCAGTCCCCTTAGCCTCTGGCTCTGTCCCTCAGCTCAGCCGTATTCTGGTTGGACACTTTGTTCTCTGATTTTACATTAAACATTGTCTAAGTAAACTATGCATTGCAGAGATCATCTTTGAAAAATGATATTCAATGGGAAACATACTCCCATTTGTTTTACTGTTAAATAAAGGCAAGAGAGTTTGGAATTAAAACCCAACCTACTACAGCCTTTGGAATAGTTCTTTAATTGACCGTTACATATGTACATGGGAATAAAAACTCTCTTTATTGAATTGAGGAATATACCACCAAACAATGCTTGCTTTCCCAGATACCAAGGAAATAAGCATGCTTTCAGTGAATCAAAATCTTCTGCACTAACTCTTTCCTTCTGCAGGAGATCCTGTTGTTTGAGAGGAGGCAGAACACCCAAAATTCATTGCTCAGAACACACATACACCCACACACCAAATTTTACTTTTAAAAAGTTGTCAATTCATAGACATTATAGAAATTGGCAAGTTGGACCCAAGGAGAAACATTCTGATTTTCTTATGTTTAAGTATATGTCATGATAAAGATGAATGTGACTAGAAAAGCAAACACATTTTGAATCAACAGGCCATAAATACACTCTTTTATACATCATTTGGCATTGGAGTATTGCTGGTAGTATATAGTATGTGAGTATGTATTATTTAATGTGGTAAGAACCATCCTGTGGGAGAAAACAGAATGAAATAAAAGCCCCAGCTTTCTAGACTTGTTTCTGCTGAGGGGCTCTGTGACAGTGTGGCAACTGTCCAGGCTTTAAGCACTTGGCCATTGCATTTGGATTTTAAAAGAGCCCAACCCATAAATTCTGGTTGAAATTAGAGCTGGTGAAAAGAAATATACCCTAGGAGTTATTAATATGTAAATCTAGTAATCTGGGAAATTGAACGATCTCAGATTAGGGTTTCTGAATTTATGCAATCTAATTTTGACTGAAATGACACAACACTTCAACAGTTCTGTATAAATTTGACAGCAAATTGCATAATGTTTCTTTAAAATTAGTACAGAGAAAGAATGCTTCAGCAGAGTATAAGGCAAGAACACACATAGCTACAATGCATCACACCAATGTTCCATGTACTCTGAACTCTCATTTCCAAAACAGCCAATGCCATATGGTATGGTAAATTACAAAATCCAATAGTAAAGGGGTTCATGCCTTTATGAATGGGGCCAAATGGTTCCTTTAGTTTATCTTCGTCAGACTTAGAATGTTTTATCTCAGTTCTGGTACAAAGAACCAATTTTTCTTATCTCTGCCAATAGTACTGCCATTTAGAAGGATAGCACTGATAGCTGGAAATGTTTTTTGAAATTTCTCAACAGACACGCCTGTAGACACAGCTTTAATCAGTCGTGAAATGAGATACATGGTTAATCAGTTTACAATATGCACGTGAGTTTTCACTACTATTACTCTCTTTACAAATACTTAAAACAGTCTCAGGTAACCCTAAATAATCAATTTGTTTTGAAACCAAGTCATATAGCTCTTTTGCCTGACTAAAATAATAAATTGGTATAGTTAGCAGGCTGCATTAATCATTTCATATCCCCCTAGTACTACAAACACCCGGGGCACTCCACATTCATTTTATCATGCTGAAATGTAGTTGAATCAAATATTGGTTCAGACCCAGATCCATCGAGTCCAATTACCTGTCTGACAGTCACATGAAGGGAAGATTTATGGGTAAGCACGGCTTTCTCAAAGTTAAGTATTGTGTTTATATATTTCTTTGCTTTACCTGCATACTGTAATCTGTTGTGGATGTGTTATATAAATGAATGTAATTGTTTAAATTAATTTTAAATTTAAAGTCTATTATACTTGTACCTCTCTACAAAGATATCTCTTGCTTTTAAAAAATCAATCTAGTGAAAGCTCCAAGAGTGTCATCTAATTTGAATATTCAAGGATTTGTAAGTTCATTTGAGTAAGACTATTTGGAGAAAGAGCATTGATCTTAGAATAAGAGGACTTGGGTATGAATCTTTGCTCTCCTACTGATAAGTTAGCTGAATATGAGCAAACAATTTAAAATCCAAGCCTCATTTTGTTTTAAAACTTAGTAGTACCTGCCATATTTTCATTCATTTTTTCATTTATCCAATATTTATTGAGCATCTACTATATGTTAGGCACTTTACAATATTCTAGTTATACAAAGACTGAATAATAACTCAGTTCAACAGTCCAGGGATTCACCCATAAGTAGAAGGATGTTGTAAAAAAAAATAATTAGGCACCATTGTGAGGAGTATCATAACTGAGATATCTGGACCAATATGCCAGGAGATTAAAGAAGAAAGTACATTTATTTCTTTGTTTTGAGAGAAGATTTCAAAAAATAAATAATATTTAATTTGGTCCAAAGAACCAAGAAGAAAATGTACAGTATGGAAATATGAAAGGACATAGCTTAGAGAATCATGAAAAACATCGTGTGACTGGTGTATTAATAGAATGCGGGAGGTGGAGTGAGAGGGAGTGGACATTCCTTTGCCATAGAAGACTAACAATCATATCCATTGGGTCCCACATCATTTCTGCTTATCTATCCTTTCGAAAAAAGGCCATTGGATTATACAGTCATTCATTTCCTTTAAAAACGTGATACCCCATTTTAATATTTTTTGTGCTTAAATGTTCAATAGTATTGCTTTTTATTAGAGATTTAATCAAACTTCTAGATGTTGGACACGACTCAACAATCTATTTTCCAGAGTCTTCTTGAGAAAGTATCTTTGGGTAGGGAGTTGTATTAGCCACTCATCATTCTTTTCTAACATGGTGGTCTGAACTGCAAACATACATCTTTTGGCCAACAATTCTACAATTTCACTGCCTAGTCCTCATAATATTCTCAGGTAGATACCTTTAAGCCCCATCCTGTGAACATTAAGCTGGTAAAAAAGTTGTTCATAGCTGTGTAAACCCAGAAAGTTCTGTGGAGGACATAAGCTTTGACCTAGATCTTAAAAGACAATTAGAAAGAGAGTGGGCATTGCAGGCAGAGGAAATCTTATAAATAAGGTACAGAGGCAGGGAAACTCAGGGCTTGGAGCATGAAGGAGGAGGCAGGAAATATCATGAACCCATTGAATGAGAAATCATGATTGCCTGCTTGCAGTTGGGCTTTATTAAATAGATAGTTCGGGGTAATCAAAGATTTTAGATCATAATAATATGAATTGTTCTCTAGGAAAATGAATCACAACTCAGACTGTAGAGGGAGATTGAGGATAGGAATCCAGGTAGCTAATATTTAAAGAATAAATACATAGTAAAAAAGGAAGTCTTGAATTGTGGCTGCAGCATTGAAAACAAACAGAAGGGAACGACTTGGAGATGTATTATACATGTAGAATCAATTGACAAGCAACTGATGGGGGAGGAAGGGATGGTGTTTAAGTGATTCCAAACTTTTGAACTGAGGTAATGCTAGTTCCATGAATAGAAAGTATAGGCACAGAAGGAGGAGGAAGAGAATGTTGCTGGGAAAATATAATGAGTTAATTAGCTATACATATGTAACGTAAGTAGAGATAATAGACTACTTATAAAATTAGACATATGGGTCAGAGGAAATAAAGACTTTGCTAATTGTCTGACATCTGTGTCCACTTGTCTTCTGGTTATAACTATAAAATACTAAAGTGAAAGGTGAATTATGATTACAAACCTATCCTTCCAAGTTTACTGGGAATTAAGTATACTATTGTTCTAATCTAACTATACCACACCCTCGTCAATGTGGTCCCTTTTCATACTAATATATCACCCGGGTCTTTAACTCAGTAGTCTCAATTAGATCGTAAGCAAATAAAGAATCTCTATCTCTCCACTTTACTCCTATATGACGGCTGGAAAAGTTTATTGGTTCTGAACCCAGATAGCTTCTTTGTAAGTCTTTTCTCTTTCTAAACTACTGTAATTAATCATTTCCAGACTGACAATAATTCTACTGTCTTCATTTCACAGACAAACTCATATGGTTTTGCAACACTTCAGATAACTTATTACTAGGTTAGAAAGGAATGAAGATACCCTTTCAGGCTTCTCCAGTTTTGCTATGTGCTGTCAGGTCAACATTCTCAACACAACTAAACAGGGACAGATGGTGCCCATTCCCTCAGTGACAGAATGATCCAGCAATGTCAAAGGCATTTACATCCTTGAGAGAGAGATGCTTTATGACTAAAAGTTTCCCACCGTGTGTACTCCAGAATACAGAAATAAAACTCCAGTAACAATTCATGTCCAATTATGTTAAACTTTAATTACATAAATCATTAGAAATAGACTCAGTTACTTTGTTCTATTATCAGTTCTCCAAGGAGTCTTTCTAGAAGGGCATTTGTGAGCTTGACTTGAAGGTGTCTGCACTAATGATTATGTGAAATTCAAAGTTGGATACATGTTCTAAAATGAAGGCTGTGTATTTTAAACCGCTATAGTAAAATTGAAAAAGGAAGATGTTATTCAGGAACATGGCCATTAATTTGGATAACATAAATTGAATCTTGTTTATTTAAACAATTTTCTTAACCTTTATTTGATATATTATAAAATTGAATTTTATCTTTTCTTATTCTGTAAACCTGGCCATAAATAACTTATATATTTGATAATTAAAAGATTTTAATGATGAATAGACTGTAATTATACAGTCCCATCCTGTCCATTTCCTCCTCTACTTTTAAGGGCACCCAGTATTCATTCTTAAAACTATAACTTAAAATTCTTAAAGAATCTGTTGACCTGAATTATAGTTTTAATTCTGGCATTAACTATTTATGTAATCTTTGCTAATAGTTTTATTTTTCTGAATCTCAGATTCCTCATATACAAAGGACAAAAGTTATTTAGCTAAGATTTCTTCCATCTTTGAAATTCTATTGTATGATTTGTTCAGATGAAAATAGTAAATAAATAATGATATAAATATAAAATAAGATTTGGCAACATGTAAACATTTATTTCTGTCATTGAAGTTATATTATTTTTATTTAAAAGTATAAAGTTTTAAAACCCATAAAGTTTTTTTGTCTTTGCCTTAGTTGAATATGACCATATTCTTATCTTGAAAATACCAGACCTGGGAGTACATCTCCATATCTTCTACACTATTTTTACCTCTGGATATTTCCATCACAGAGGTTATATCCTCTAAAAATCCTCCATTGTACTACAATTATATGTACTATAATACATATGCATTACATGTATTAATTCAGTTACCCTTTTTTATTGATTTCACTATAACAAGTATGTTTAAACTATTAAGGAGTGAAGAGGAACAAAACAGTGGCTCATTGACTTCAAGGAAAGTTAGCCAAAAGTGAGCTGTTGCTTATTCAATAGCAGATCTATGTTCCACTGTGTTGGAATAAACCACTGCTTTGCTCCATTCCCTCCAAGTCCCTCTGCCACTAAACGTCTATCTTGTGGTCTGACAGCTCGAAAAGTCACAGATCTCTTTGTGATGGTATTAGATCATATTCACATTATAAAATCTGTCAACACTAAGTTTTCCTTGAAGTACTTCTTTACTTGCATCCCATAAGTTTTTGGATATTGTGTCCTTATTTACATTTACCTCAAAGTATTTTCTAATTTTCTGATTTCCTCTTTGACCCACTGATTACTTAGTCCTATGCTGTTTAATTTGCACATATTT
This sequence comes from Homo sapiens, assembly GCF_000001405.40. Classification (NCBI taxonomy): domain Eukaryota; kingdom Metazoa; phylum Chordata; class Mammalia; order Primates; family Hominidae; genus Homo; species Homo sapiens. The sequence continues at coordinate 181,260,581 of NC_000002.12, forward strand.
ATATATATCTATAGATGAGCTTTGAGAGAATTCTCATCTTAATAAAATTGTACTTTCCAATTTATTAAGATGATATAGCTCTCCATTTATTTAGGTCTTTGATTTCTTCCATCAATACTTTGTACTTTTCAACATACAGCTCTTACACATATTTTGTAAGATTTATATCAAAGTATTTCATATTTTGGAGCTATTGTAAATTATACTTTTAATGTTAATATCCAGTTGCTCATTGCTAGTATATAAACTTGTCATTGATTTGGGGCTATTTAACCTGTATCCTACAGCTTTGCTAAACCTACCTAGTCATTATAATAGCTTTTTAATAGATTCTTTGAGATTTTTTATGTTCACAATCATGTCATCTAAAAAAGGAGACTTTTATTTATTTCTTTCAATTCTGGGTGCCTTTTATTATTACTTTATTGTGCTGGCTAAGACATGTATTGGGATTTTGAATAGAAATTGTGAAAGTAGATATCTTTGCTTTGTTCTTAATTTTAGGGGGAAACAGTCATTTGGTATGAAATACAATGTTATGTATATGTTTCTTTTTAGATATTCTTTATCAGGTTGATGGAGATATCTTTTATTTCTAATTTGTGAAAGGTTTTTATTATAAACAGATGGTATATGTTTTTAGACTTTTTCACTATCTGTTGAGTTGATCATGTGGTTTTTCTCTTTGATATGTCAATATAGTAAATTTTATTGATTAACTTTTGAGTATTGAACCAGTCTTGCATTTGGGGAATAACCTTTACTTGGTCATGATATATTATTCTTTTTTATATTGTTGAATTAAATTTGGTATTATTTTTAAAGATTTCTGTGTCTATGAGGAATGTTGATCTATACTTTTCTAGTAATGTCTTTTCCAGTTTTGATGTCAGGGCAATTTTAGCTTCACAGAATGAATTTCAATTTTCTGAAGTAATTTGCAAAGAATAGATATTAATAGATATTATCTCTTCCTTGAATTTTTGGTAGAATTTACCAGTGAAGCCATGATAGATAGAACTAGCTTTTGGGTCATTGAAAAGTATGCTTGAGATGCTAGAGAGAAAAGAAAATGGCCTTGCTGCAAATTTCCATAATTTCATGCTTAAGATATTAATGACATGTGAGAGGAATGACCTGAAAGACAAGCTTCTGTTCACATTTTATCTATTTTAAGTCAATGATTTTAGCTTCTAAATTTAATATGGAGAAAAAATTGCATCATCTTATAATTAAAAAGCAAAGAGGTATCTATCTCCTTAAAAATAAACCCACATCATAATATGACCTTTTTAAGAAAATGTCTTGCTGAAAACCACAGCAATAAAACAAACCACCTAAGGCCTTTTGTAAATCTTACTGCAAGTAATAGCTTTAAGAGGGAAAGGTTGATTTGTTATTTTAAAACTCCTCAGAATCAAATATGTTCCTATTGTTCAGGAGGCCATAGTCTCTTGTTATCTATTCTGTAAAAATATTATCATACAAAATACCTGCCATAATGTAGATTAGGGAACATAACCATAATTTTATATAGGAGAATTTACAATTGAACTGTAACAATAGAAGAAATATTACAATCATACTTGTAAAACACATGCAAATTAATTATTTTGAATACAAAACAAATAGAGTCTCTTTTGTCTCAGGACAGAATAGAATCTGCAGCGTCTTTTTTGCCGAATCCTAAATTGAAGCAAATATTTTTTGTCTGACTCTTCTCCAGGTGGTTGGGAATAGATACCACATAATTGAGGCATTGGATGGAGAGGAGTACCCCAAATACTCTCTATGTGGAATAATTCAGTTACTTCTCTCTCAAAATAAACGTATATCACATTGAAAATAAATAGCCCCTTTGCTTCACAGTCCTGAAGCTCCATACTATACGAGGACCTCAGGCTAAGTTTGGGGAATAATACAGTAACTAGAGCAGACAATTGCTAATTTCATGGTGGGATAATCATACTTCTAACATTTGGGCTAGTGGACTTCTAGGGAAGATGCACATTTATAACCTTGAGGCCAGTGAAGCCCATAGAAAAAATTATAAAATAGATGAATACATAAATAATATGAATAATTATAAAATAGATTGAACCATAGGAGAAAAAAATAGAGTTCTTTCGTCTGAGTCTGGGTGAGGCTATGGCAAAGAGGGACTTGATGTTTTGTGACTTCAAAAACTTGGTCATAAAAAAGTCAACATTTTCCCTCATCTTTTTTCTCTTGGGATGCATACTTTAAGAACCCTGAGGTATCATGAAGAAATCCATATGCCCTGAAGTTACCATCCTAGAGACATCATTTGGAGAGACTACAGTGCACAGAAGTAGAGAGGCCCAGCTGTGCCTGTCCCCAACTGATGGAGTCTTCTCAGTGTCAGTCACCAGACATGTGAGTGAATGAGCCTTCAGATGATTATAGCCCCTCATACTTCAAACCAGAGGAAGTCAGACATAGTGAAGCAGAGGCAAGTAGTCCTTGCAGTTCCTAGCCCTCAATAATTAATAAGCATAAGTCACTGTTCTACACCACTGTGGTTTTGGAGCAACTTGTGACATAGCAATGGACAGTTAAAATAGAGAGTCATCTGACCTGAGGACAGCCAAAGATAGAAAAAGGAGGTAATTTACTATAGTGACTTTTTTCTGATAGAAACAATTAGATTTTTCTTTTTCTGAAATTTTGACTGGAATTCTAGAGAGAGAGAGAAAATCAGTTGTCAATGGGAAAAGGAGCAAAAAGATATTGATGGAGAAAAGTCAGTGGCAGAAGCTGTGAAGTATAACCTCCTAATAAATGAGTGTGTATAATACCCAGAGCAGAGGATGAGCTGGTTAGTTGGTAGTGACAAAAGACAGAGAAAAGTTAAATGACTATAATAATAGAAATAAATGGCTAAAATAATGGTTCTGGAGGTAGACTCCTATGTTCAAATCTTGACTCTGTGTATTGGGAAGTCACTTAAATTTTCTGTGCTTAATTTTCCTCCTCCTATGTACAAAGCATTTAGAATAATGCCTAGAACGTAGTATATGTTTAATATTATTATGGATATTGACACAACCCTTCTGCTGTGGCTGCAGTAAGTTAATTGAATAGAAAGATCCATCCTGTAAAACCGGTGACCTTCAAGTTCCTCATTTTTTTAGACTCTTGGGTCCTCATGAACCCCAGATGTCTGTGATTCATGATTTCTCTATTTTAAAATCTAGTTTTACTTTAAAGTACTATTATTTAAAAGTTATTTTTAATTTTCACCAAAGGTGTTATTCCTAAGAGCAAGGCTCACAGGGTGTTTACAGTAAAGTGTGTGTCTGTGTGTGTGTGTGTGTGTGTGTGTGTGTGTGTGTTGGCTAGATAGATGAATAGATAAGTAGAAAGATCTCCCTGTCTATATGCTTCAGGTTTCATTTTTCTCTTTTACAAAGCTCTGTGCACTTGAAATAATTGACAATTGCTTTTAAAATATATATATTGTTTGATGGCTCCCTGATTGATGAACTGTAAGTTCCATACGGGCAGTGGCTGTCTTTTGTTCACTGCTGCATTACCAGAAGCTAGCTGCAAGGAAAAGCTCTCAGGCAGGATTCATTTAACCTGCTAGGCATGGGAATGCCTGAGACCTTTGATTCACTGAGTCTCACAGTAAATGCTTCAGGAATATAAAGGAGTGTTTTGTGTTGGTTATTTGACCTGGTGAGCAAGCAGGCATAGAGCCAGTCTTTCTAGGAGCAGTCCTGGGGGCAGAGATTTTATTTAAAAACTTGAGAATAGCAAAAGTAATCATTTCTAAGATCTGACAGACTCCTGAGTGGTATCTGTCATTATTTGGGTGTCTGAAGGTTATTGCTCCGCCACAAGCCTCCTACTATGTCCCCAGCTCTGGGGGCTATTTGCTCACAGGTGAGTTCTTGTATTCTTCACCTGTACCATTTTGCTCTTGGCATCTTTTCTTCGGTTCCTATCACCCTGTGACAACATCCACTAGCATAGATGTGGATCCCTAAAACACATTCAATACATATTTGTGAACTGACCAACTGCCAAGAAATTTCTTTACAACAAAACCACTGAGTTCTATAGAGAGTGTAGCTGAGGTTGAGTAAGCCTATCTTTCTATTCCTTTTTCCCTTGTCCATTTTCATGTGGTTGCAAAAATTCCTCATAGAAGGATGTATCCTTTGGATTTATCCAAGTGATTTGTTTTTTGGGGGGCAGAATAATATCCCATTGAGCTTATTAAAGAAAACTGCTGGCCGAGCATAGTGGCTCACACCTGTAATCCCAGCACTTTGGGAGGCCGAGGCGGGTGGATCACGAGGTCAGGAGATAGAGACCATCCTGGCCAACATAGTGAAACCCCGTGTCTACTAAAAATACAAAAAATTAGCCAGGCATGGTGGCAGGCACCTGTAGTCCCAGCTACTCGGGAGGCTGAGTCAGGAGAATGGCATGAACCCACAAGGCAGAGCTTGCGGTGAGCCAAGATCACGCCACTGCTATCCAGCCTGGGTGACAGAGCAAGACTCTGTCTCAAAAAATAGAAAAAGAAAACTGCTAAGCACATTTACAAACAAAACACCAGAATTAACATGTCACCAGCAAATTTACTCTTGGAGGTCAGCTCAGCAGGTTCAGTAAAGTGCTCTCTGTCAACTTCCAGGCTTGTCAATGGAAACAGAGCTCCAGTCTAGTGATAAAATTTGGCTCTGTGTCCCCATCCAAATATCATTTTGAATTGTAATCCCCTTGTGTCAGGGGAAGGGTCTGATGAGAGGGGATTGAATCATGGGGGAAGACTTCCCCCTTGCTGTTCTTGTGATAATGAGTGAGTTCTCAGGAGATCTGGTTGTTTGAAAGTGTGTAGCACTTCTCCCTTCATGTCTCTCGCCCTCCTGCTCTGCCATGGTAAGATGTGCTTGCTTCTCCTTTGCCTTCTGCCATGATTGTAAGGTTCCTGAGTCCTCCCACCCATGCTTCCTGTACAGCCTGCAAAACTGTGAGTCAATTAAACCTCTTTTCTTCAAAAATTACCCAGTCTCAGGTAGTTCTTTATAGCAGTGTTAAAATGGACTAATACATCTAGTTACCTCTACTACCCAGGCCTTACTCATGAATAGAAGAAGGCAAAAATCATACTTCTTAGCATTTTATTACCACAAACTCTGTACACTTATGTTGTGTTGAATGGGAGATGCTACAGAATGAGAAGTCAAATGCAAACCTGGCCTTTATGGCAGGAAAATCCCCTAGGGTAGGAATTCTGGATCATCTCACCAGGAGAAGCAGCCAGAGAAAAGGAGAAGCAGTGTGTGCTGTGACTTTAGGCAAGTATCTTGGCTCCTCTGGACCTCAGTTTCATCTTCTGTTGAGAAAATGGTTGTTAAGTAGTACCTTATTTTAGACTTATTATGAAAATTTTCAAACACACAGAGAAGTAGAAAAAGGGTGCAATGGACATCCATATACACACCATCTGTGTTCCACAATTGCTAGCATTTTGCCATATTTGCTTCACTAATGCATGCATATCTATCTAAAATGTGCCAAGCCATTTTAAAGTGAATTTTAACTGTCAGGGCATTTCATCGTAAATACTTCAGCTTGTATATTCAGAAATTGAGGACATTTTTCCACATAACCATAGGGACATTCACAGGATGATTCTGGAGTCCTCCTATCTCTGGGTGTCTTAGACATCATTTTTATCAGACATATGTGAGGAGATAAATAGGAGCAGAGACAGATATACCATGAAGCATATGCAACTTTAACTTCAAGACTTCTCACTTATTGACAAGGAAAACGATCTTAGCCATAACTGGCTAAGACCATTATCTCTTTTCAGTCTGGCTTCTCCTCCCTTACACCCCAACCTCCTATATACACACATCCCCATATCAGGCAACATAGGAAGGGCTTTGAACATTTTTGGGATTCCATATAAAGAGAGATTGGATAAATAATTTTTTTTGCCATCACTGCTGTGCATAGTGAGATTATGGTTAGCTCTTCAGAGGTACAAATGACTTCTAAGAATACTCTTACTATCCATGGCTAGAAGTCTTAAAACACCATCCTGCAGTGCCTGGTATCAGAAATGTGAGGAATGGAAGAAACACATAGATGGACATGAATGGAACTGCAGTGAATCTGGGAAAAGACATCCAGTCAGTAGATATGTAAATTAGAAAGGTGACGGTTTTGTTGTCATGCATGCCTAATGAAAATGCAAGTTCTTTCCTGTCAGGAATATACTGGTTAACATAATGCATACAGTTAAATATGCACTATACATACTATTCGAGGAATTGCACAAAATATAGTTTATCATAATAATCAGAAAACCTGTTGTTGTACTACACTGAATGCCTCTGAATGAGATGCTGCATGTTTTATACATCTAAACACGTTCTAGAGAATCTCACTCATTTTTACCTAAGGAAGTTTGGCAGCTTCAGAGAAAGTATGCAACATTTTCAGTGGCACTGTGAAATGTAAACATAATATGTTAATGAAGTAAATATGGCAAAATGTTAACAATTGTTGAATCCAGGCAGTGGGCACATGGATGCATACTGTGCTATTGTTCCATATTTGAAAGTTTTCATCATGAAAAGTTAAAAACACCACCCTGTAAAATCCATTTACTTTGTAGGAGAGGAAATGAGCACATACATCAATAAGTTGATATATATGGTAAAAAAGGAATTTGATTATACAGTCATACTGGCTCATACTACAGGGTGGCATTTCAAGAAAGCATTTGGTTTGCTATAGTGTATAACTTAATTTCCTCTTAATTTTGTATGTTTTTTATGATTGTTCATCAGCTCAACATTCAAATATGACTGAAATGAAGTATGTTGATGGAATCCAAAAAAACAAAGTAAAAGACAGAAGACTGGCAGAAGCTTCAAAATGCCAAAAACTCACTTAGCATATTGTAATGAAATTTAGAAGCTCAGATGTCAAAATCAATTAAAAATTTTCTATGTTATCAACTAAAAAATAACCTTTTAGTCATACAAAAGCAAAGACTAAATCTACATTCTCTATAACATTGTAAAATCATTATCATATGGAGAAGCAATCAAAGAGTATGCAGCCAAAAAAAACTGGGGAAAATAAAGTTGTGTCAGGTGGTTAATTATTGAAATACATTTTCTTGAATTTTTGATATCTATGCTATTTTCTAACTTTTCAATTATGTAGCTTGCTGCATTTTTAACCTTTCAATTATGTAGCTTGTAGCGTTTTTCTCATTTAAATTAATATTTACCTTTGTAGTTTTGAATTTATAGTTTTGTAATCTTAAAGAGGGCTGAAAAATTTTATACACTCAAGTTGCCAAGATTGATCACTGGTTATCATCACTCTAGATTTCATACAAAATGCAAATAGAAAAATTCTGTTTTCTACTCTTCTCAAGCTTATTTTTTTCTAGTGGCAAATGTATAATATTAAAGCTAATATAATATTAGAAATTCAAATATTTTAATATTTTAGTGAGGAAACTAAAGCTCAAAAAACTGACAACATTTTCCAAGTCAGATCAGTTGGCAGCAACACACAATAATCATGGTTCAGGGCTCCTGGTTCCTATCCCCCGTTCTTTTCATCATATTATGTGGTCACTCTTTAGTTAAAGAAATGTGTTATAAAAGAGAATACTCAAAATATGGCATTGATGAGATGACTCTGTGAAGTTCTTACTATTAATTTACTCAACCACTAACTTAACCATCAACCATTCAGTGAGCACTGGGCATTCACAGGTGGCTCCTGACCACATAGCCCCTGACCTTAAGCAGCTCAAAGGAGCAGACTAATATAGACTAGTAGACTAATATAGAAAAATGTTGTAAGATGCATAGTAATTGTACACCTTGGAAATCCACCAGGGAAAGAATGTGAATCTTCTGATCCATAATATGATTTGTGCCCCTACATATTCCTTGGGGATATGTAGGAGGGCTGGTTCTGGCTCCATCTGCCACCACAGAAATAATCTCTCTATCGTATCTCACTGTCCTTCCCACCACACACACAGTCTATTTTTACTCTCATTCTTACTGTAATTCACCACACACACACTCTATTCTTACTCTAATTCTTACTGTAATTCACCACACACACACAGTCTATTCTTACTCTAATTCAGCACACACACACTCTATTGTTACTCTAAGTGAAGAGTATTAGAAATAACTTTACTTCTCAATCCTCCACTACACACACACACACACACACACACACACGCACAGAGACAGAGAGAGAGAGAGATTTATTAAATTGGATCACGCAATTCTGGAGTCTGAAGACTGATAACCAGGAGGGCCAATAGAGTACGTTCCAGTCCAAGTCCAACAAGTCCAAAGGCAGGAGAAGACCTGTGTCTCAACTCAAAGACCATCATGCAGAGAGAGTGGATTCTCTCTTTCTCAGTCTTTTGGTCTATTAATGCCTTCAAGATATTGGATGAGACCTACATTGGAAGAAAATATGCTTTACTCTGTCTATTAATTCAAATAGTAATCTCACCCAGAAACATTCTCATAGACACACTTAAATAATACTTAAATAACTGGGTACCTGTGGCTCGGTCAAATTTACACGTGAAATTAACCATTACATCCATCTTTCTTCTCTTCTTCTTGACCTCTTTCTTCATTGCTACCTTAGATTAGGGCTCTCCAGAAGCAGACTCTCAGATGAGAATTTGTGGAAAAGTAGGTTACTAAGAAATATTCCCAGGGAAAAAAAGAAAAGGAACAGACAGTGGGACTGGGAAGGAGAGAAGGCCAAGCCAGGGTGGATTAAGCCAAGTTCTAGTGAGATGAAGAAGCTCTGGAGGCATGCAGGCCATACCTCAGAGATCACCCTGGCAGGTGCTGGGTAAATGGGATATTTACACCCACACAAGTCCCATTAATGGTAAGGATGTAAGTTTTCAGCTACTCGCTGTTCTCTGTTCACAACAATCATAGGCTCTGGCAGCCAGAGAGTAGCCCTCTGAGGAGGTATCACAGGTATGGCTTTTGAAAATGGAAGCACCATATCCAGGCAGATCAAAAGAGATCTGAGAGAATTGGGAGGAACACAGGCAGCATGTGCTGCAGTCGTCATCCTCTTAGTAATAGCCACAATAATCTCAATGTCATCAAAGACTCTGCACGAGACCCTGGACTCCATATTTTCCATATATGATATTAGCAGTCAATCATCACATCAGATTTATTATAATTAATACAATCTCCATTCTACAGAGGTGAGGAATGGGGCTCAAAGGAAGATAAGTGACCACAGGAACAGCCAGTGCTGATACAGTCTTTCCCACCCCCAGATGCTGCCAATTCCTTGTCCCATGTCACTGCCCAAAATTATCTGCTGAAAATACCATGTACTTGCCATGTGTATTAGTCTGTTCTCATGCTGCTAATAAAGACATACCTGAGACTGGGTAATTTATAAAGGGAAGAAGTTTAATGGACTCATAGTTCCACATGGCTGGGAAGGCCTCACAATCATAGCAGAAGAGGAAGGGAGAGCAAAGAAACGTCTTACATGGTGGCAGCCAACAGGGCTTATGCAGGAGAAGTCCCCTTAATAAAATCATCAAATCTCATGAGACTTATTCACTATCATGAGAACAGTACAGGAAAAACCCACCCACCCATGATTCAATTACTTCCCACCGGCTCCCTTCCATGACAAGAGGGAATTATTGCAATTCAAGGTGAGATTTGGGTGGAGACACAGAGCTAAACCATATCATCATGTAAGATAATTGGATAGAATGCCAACATGTCCATATGTGGTAGAGAAAATGTTTCATTACTTATAGTTGTGCTCACATATATTTTGTTAAGTGCCTAGGACATAACCCTGCATTCATTCAGAACCCTCCTGATATTGATGAAAAGTAATGCAGGTCTAAGCTGGCAAACAAAAACATCTGCAATTGCTCTAAAAGTTTATTTTTTAAAGCTACTTAAAAGATGCAATAGTTGGCTGTCATGGAACTTTTTACACCCAATTTTACACTCTGGGTTTCAGAAATTTGCTGAATATAAAACAAGTCTTTAGACTACCGAGTGTAGTGCTATTTTTTTAGTAGCAAGAAACAGTATTTCCAGATTTAGCCATTCACTACTAAGTGTAAAGAACAAGTGGTGGAAAATTCTGTGTGTAAGCTATAAGTGCTAAGAATGTCCCACGGTGGGGAGTCATATAGCTTCACCTCCTAAAGGCTCTCAAAGAGACAGCTGCATGTTTTTTAAACAAAATAAATGGATTTGTATACTCCACTACTCCAGAGTTAGCAATTACTTTGAGTTCTTCATTAAAAATGCATATAAGTGAAGACATAATTAGGAAGATTTAGAAATCTTTGTGTTTTCTGTAGTTATTTAATGTTTTGCAAAAGGAATACTGTCAAAAAAATTTACCGTTTCTCAATGTTAATTTTGAAAGTGGCTTAGTAAGGGATAGTTGAACCAAACCACGGCATTGTTTTAGGGTGGATATCAGGTTGTTTTTCTTGGTGAGTGATTTCCTCGCCTATCATAAATTAGTATTTTCAGCTTCTGAGATTTCTCAAAGAATTGAACAACAGAATATTTATTTAAAGTGATATCTTTCAAATTAGAGCTTTCTAATTATGTGGGGGAAACCAGAAATTTGATAAATGTGCACAATTGTACAATACTGAATATTTTTAAAAGATAGTCAGAATTCTTTCTTATTAATTTTCACCTTGCATTTTAACACATTTGGCTTCTTTTATTGTGGTGTCTAGCATTATCTTCCATAGAGAAATGCACTTCCAGGAATGCTTCAGCCTGTGTGGGTACATTTAAAGTTACCTGATAATGATGATGAGATGAATTCATGCAGTAATTAGAAGAAAGATAGCTTGAGGCACCTAAATTATGTGGCTCCAACTGGCCTTCTTTTGGAAAACAGCTAAAAAAGGTTATCATCTTCATTTTGTGAATGTTTTTCATTTAAAAGGAAAACAATGCTCATAAAAGTTTTAATATTATAGACTAGAAGAAGAGCGAACTATTTAAATACAAGTTCCTTTAATTTTCAGGTATATTTATTTTGGTTTCCTTCTGGACGCTGGTGAATGATGGTTATTGTTTTCACACAATGGTATCATATGTATGTGACTTCTGACCCTGGAGACAAACCCTCCCCACACACACACACACTAACAAGGGACCCACACAGTTTTTTTCTCCAATCCCAAGGAATCTCTCCTACCCCTCTTAGTCTTCTCAGAGCCATCTACCTCTTTCCTCCCCTCCCCATCACCCAGCAGAATCTTTAGGGAGAGAAGGAAAGGGTTTCAAGTATCTCTAAGCAAGGAATTTAGAAATCTGCTTAGGCTGGGCACAGTGGCTCACACCTGTAATCCCAGCACTTTGGGAGGCCGAGGCAGGTGGATCACCTGAGGTCAGTAATTCAAGACCAACCTGGCAACACAGTGAAACCCCGTCTCTACTAAAAATACAAAAATTAGCCAGACATGGTGATGTGTGCCTGTAATCCCAACTACTTGGGAGTCTGAGGCAGGAGAATCACTAGAACCCAGGAGATGGAGGTTACAGTGAGCCAAGATCGCACCATTGCACTCTAGGCTGGGCAACAAGAGCGAAACTCTGTCTCAGAAAAACAAAAAAGAAAAGAAAAGAAATCTGCTTAGCAGCTGAAAATCTGAGGGCAGAAGAAAGGAAAAATACAGTCATGTGCTGCATATCAATGTTTCGGTCAACAACGAACTGCATATACAATGGCAGTCCCCTAAGATTATAATGGAGCTGAAACATTTCTATCACTAGGGACATGGTAGCCTCATAGTACAACACATTACTCAAGTGTTTGTGGTGATGCTAGTGTAAACAAACTTATTGCCATACCAGTAGTATAAAAGTCTAGCACATTTAATTATGCATAGTATATAATACTTAATAATGATAATAAAATGTTAGGTTGTTGGCTTATGCATTTATTATGCTTTTTATCATTATTAGCATGTACTGCTTTTATTTATTTAAAAATAGTTAACTGTAAAACAGCCTCAGGCAGGTCCTTCAGGAGGCATTCCAGAAGAAGAAGGCATTGTTATCATAGGAGATGACAGCTCCATGCATGTTATTGCTCCTGAAGACCTTCCAGGGGGACAAGAGGTGGAGGTGGAAGATAGTGATATTGATGATCCTGACCCCATGTAGGCCTAGGCTAACGTGTTTGTTTTTGTCTTCATTTTAAATGAAAAGTTTAAAAGTATAAAGATGAAATTTTAAAAATTGAAAGAAGCTTATAGAAAAGATATAAATAAAATATTTTTGTATACCTATACAATGTGTTTTGTTTTAAGTTATGTTATTACAAAAGAGTCAAAAGGTTTTAAAAATTACAGTTTATTTAAAACTTAGGGTAAGCTGAGGTTCATTTATTAGTGAAGAAAGTTTTTAAAAATAATGTAGTGTAGCCTAAGTGCACAGTGTTTATTAGGTCTACAGTAGTGTACAGTAATATCCTAGGCTTTTACATTCACTCATCACTCACTCTCTCACTCACCCAAAACAACTTCTAGTCCTGCAGGCTGCATTCAGGGGTAAGTGTCCTATGCAGGCATACCATTTTTAAATCTTTCATATCATATTTTCACTGTACCTCTTCAATATTTAGCTATATTTAGATACATAAATACTTACCATTGTGTTAAAATTGCCTACATTATTCAATACAGTAACATGCTGGACAAGTTTGCAGCCAAAGGAGCAATAGGCTATACTGCATAGTCTAGGTGTATATAGGCCATATCATCTAGGTTTGTCTAAGAATACTCTATGATATTTGCACAATGATGAAGTCACCTAACAATGCATTTCTCAGAACATATCCCCATGGCTGCCTGACTGTATGTGAAAAAAAAAATGATTCAGTAAAATTTTTTAGAATATACTGTTCTCTTTTGTCCCCACCTATGATATTTTACTATGAAGTTTTCATCTTCTAATGCAGCATATCAGTAACAGCCTCTCAACCCATTTTCCCTCTTTCTTACCTTTTTGGGAGTCACAGGCTTCGGCTGGATGGAGTTCAGGGAGACAGAGCTCTGGCCAACCCCCAAAGCAGAACCTATGCAGGAGGGTATGGTGTCCACATTGCCTCATCCGAGGCAAAACTACAGCTATGTCAGGAGGGCATGGTAACACCTCAGTAATACGTTATATCTTCCTCACCACCTTGCTAAAGAGAAGCCAGTTTTAGACACAGTGATATGTAAGTGCTTCTTTTTTATAATTTGGTGAGGATCACCTTACTAAAGTGAGGATTTACTCACTTTGGCAATGTAACACGTTTATTAATTTTTTAAGCACAGAAAACTAATTTAAAAAATTTTCTTACCTTTAAGAATACAGATCAAGGTTTCAAAAACATTTTCAGTTGGAAATCTTTGGGTAGGAAAACTGCAGTAATGAGCAAAAGGGATAAAAAGGTAAAACATGTGCAAAACAGATGTTGCACCTAATTTCATGCCAGAACAAATTAAAAATCAGAATCTTGCTTTGTGATTTAGACGATGGACAATCTATACAGATGTGTGTAGGCTGAAAAAAATTCTCCTTGTGAAACTGGACATTTTTAAATTATGAGAACCTACTTTCTAAAAGCAACTGGGATCAATTACTAAAACAGAAATCTCTTCTTTTGTTTGGAGATTGTCAACAGTATCCAAACCTTGACATTAGATCAGCACCACATGGAATGAAAATAATTTTGAGGTTCATGCATCAAATGTAAAAACATGATTTAAAAATTTGAGAACATTTTCATAAAGAGTAAGATCCATATAATATGTGGTAATTTAAAATGTATTAAAACACACGAATTGGGCATCAATTAAGTTAGAAAGAACTGTGTTAGAACACCAGGCAGGTGGTCAAAATGGTAATGAAAAGAAATAAAAACACAGACAGTATGGAAGAGGCAGCCTGTAAACACCAAAACGGTGTCAGAGTCACAGAGTCACTGCCTGGTAGAGATGCTTGCAGGTTTTTTTTTTAATGTAATTTAAGTATTTCCACCCCCACGAGGAGATTTTAATGTAGTTATGATACATTTGAATTAATATCTTAGAGATTTCAAGTATCTTCTTCATAACGATCATCATTAGTCAAGAATAGAAGTTTTTAGATTTGAGGTCTATTTGCTTTCCAGAGGATCTGTAGATGGCTACAGAGGGTCTCTGACTCCTTTACAATTGTATGAAATCATCTATATATATATATATATATATATATATATATATATATATATATATATATATAGAGAGAGAGAGAGAGAGAGAGAGAGAGAGAGAGAGAGAGAGTACATAACTTTCATACATTCTTATGAGGATTCCATGACTTCTCAAACATTAAGAAACTATTGGAAAAAGCAGAGCTCTACTAACAGGAGACATGTCGATTTATCTTACATAAAAATGACCCGTACAACCCAGGAAAGCTTTGCAAACAGCCAAAATGTAAAACAAATTAAATGTTGTGTTTATCCCTTCAGAATAGTGCAGCACAACAACTCCAGTCATACAGTTTTTATTTACATGAATATTTTAGAAATCCAGCTATTTGTCATTAGACACTCTCTCTTTATAATTTGAAAAATTTCAAGAGCCATGGGAACTAACCATAGGTTATATTATGTTGTATATTACTGGCAAGTACTCAATAAAGAGCTGGCAAGAGACAGTAAATGAAAAATAAATATGTGGCTCAATCTGGTCAAGGGAAAATAACACAGATAACAAGGAGGGATTAGGTCAAGCCCATATTGTGGGTTGTAAAGCACCTGATTTCATGTAATTCAACTTATCAATATTCATGAGCACTTATGGTATGCAAAACACTGTGTTTCTGGTGCGAAAAAAAAACTAAACTTGAAACTTAGTAATGTTATAATTTTTCTTGTTTTAACCCAAGAATAATTTGTCAAATCAATGAGGAAGTTATGATTTGGGCTTTGTTGGTTTTTCACCAATAAGAGGATGATAGCAAGCAAGAACCACAGTGTGGTGGATATACATGATGTTGAGTTAACTAAGCTGGAAGGGTATTTCCCTCTATTCTTTGCCTGCGTACTTCTGGGTTAATGTAAGGTGCAAGAGACACAGTGCATAAGATGTGCACTAACCCTAACCCTAACCCTAACCCTAACCCTAACCCTAACCCTAACCCTAACCCTAACCCTAACCCGGGTTAATGTGAGGTGCAAGAGACACAGTGCATAAGATGTGGTAGGTGGAAGTGAAGTAGAAAGCATATTCTTTTATGCTGGGAAGGTCACTTGAGGGCACTGCTCTGTTTGCAGCCCTCTAGTGTTGCTGTTTGTCTGAGGGCTCACCTTATTGGTGCTGAGCAGTGGCGGGCCTGCAGCTCCTCCAGCTCCTGGCAAGGCCTGCAGCTTCTGATTCCCAAGTAAGGTGCATGTTGAGCTCTGTGATAATAAGCTCCAGCTTTTTCCACACTAGTTTATTAAAATTTATAATGCAGAAGGCATTTTTAAGTAGTTTGCTGCTTGTCTGAGCTTAGGGAGTAATCAGAAATAACACAAACTCTTATGAATCAGTTGCAGTTTCCATCACAGAACAGTCACAGCATTGGAGAAGTTGGAGGTCATGAGAAGCTGGCCTCAGAACCAGTTTATCCTTGTCTTCCCCTCTCCATTGAGGTCCATCTTTCCTTACCGCTGCCTACCCATTTTTTTTTTCTATGTCACTCATAATGGTTCTTTTCTAATTGATGTCATATACCAATGTATACCCAAATAACCTGACAGATATACATAGAAAAAGGATTTTAAATTAGGGGATCAATTGTTGATGTCAGAAGCAATATTTTTGCACTTTTTCAAACTCAATGCAACCTAAATCGTTCCCATGCTGGTGTATTAAAATTTGTAATGCAAAAAAGCATTTTTAAGTAGTTTTGTACTCTCAGGGGCATAATAAATTATCAGAAATAACAAAAACTCTTATAAATCAATTGTAGTTTCCATCACTTTACATAATATATTCTTTCTAATAACAACTAGTAGAGCAAAAACGTACTTTCTGCAGAAAAAGTAGAGAAAGGGAAAATCCAGGATCTCACTGAACTCATTCTTTGGCTTCTTTTTATTTCTGGAATTTGACTAGAAAGAATATTGATCTTTTACAGTGAAAAAAAAAAAAAAAAGAAAAGAAAAAGAAAAAGAAAAAAAATCACATCACATTTTAAATGTATTTGGTGCCAAGCTATCATTTATGGAAATAGATAACTGTTTCATAGTTAGTGGAAGCCGCTTACCTACTTTTGCAAATAGTAGTAGTAGTTACTAGATACCACATTGGCCCAGTAAAAGAGAGTTTAGGGAAAGAATCCTGGACTGATTTGAGAGTCATTAGGTCTTATAGAAAGATATCTTACAAGAAAAAATCATCAACTCAAATTAGATTGAATTAAAGAGGAGAATTTATTGGGATGCATAATTTTTAAAATACAACCCAAGAGTAGAGATATAGCTCTTTATCTTTCTTTTTCTGTCTGAATCCCCACCCTCATCTTTGTCTCTCTCGCTCCTCTCTCTCTTACTCTCCCTGTCTCCTATCCACCCCTTTCTCCCTTTTTACCCCTCTCCTTCTCTGTTTCCCTCCCTTCCTCTATCTTTCTCTTGATAGTTCAGGGTGCATGTGGCACCCACTCCTAGCTTACATAGCCTTCCAGCTTGAGTGCCACTGACCAACTAGCTAGTGTCTCTTCACCCAATTACTAGAAATATTCATTGTTATAATTCAGCCAATGGATTGACTATGCAAGGGGAGAGTTTCCACTTACAGTCGGATCAGCTATGGGCAGGGAGCAAAGTACAAAAATGGCTACTAAAGACAGTGAGTGACCCTTCTCGAAGGAGAAGTGGGATGGGCAGACACCCTGAGATATTTTCCACTTTACAATATTTGACTCTTCACCTAGTGGAAAGCAGCTGGATTCAATTGCTTTTTTTTTTTTTTTTTTTTGAGACGCTGTCTTTCTCTGTCGCCCAGGCTGGAGTGCAGTGGCGCGATCTCGGCTCACTGCAAGCTCCGCCTCCCGGGTTCACGCCATTCTCCTGCCTCAGCCTCCCGAGTAGCTGGGACTACAGGTGCCCGCCACCACGCCCGGCTAATTTTTTTGTATTTTTAGTAGAGACCGGGTTTCACAGTGTTAGCCCGGATGGTCTTGATCTCCTGACCTTGCGATACGCCTGCCTCGGCCTCCCAAAGTGCTGGGATTACAGGCATGAGCCACCGCACCCGGCCTCAATTGCTATTCTTAAGCAAGAAGCAAGTAACTCTTGGTGCTTCAGTTCCATCACGTTAATTTATGTAGAAAACCTATTTCTACTCTGGAGCCTATTTTTGAAAGCATGTAGTCTTTTAATGATAAGTACTATATAAATATTAGTTATGGCCATTATAAGTCTTTTAATTTTTTTTTTGTCTTTAAGGTCCAATTATTTTTTAAAAAGTATTTGTTCTAGCCAGGCGCGGTGGCTCACACCTATAATCCTTGCACTTTAGGTGGCTGAGGAGGGCAGATTGCTTGGGCTCAGAAGTTGAAGACTAGCCTGGGCAACCTGGCAAAACCCCATCTCCACAGAAAAATGCAAAACTTAGCCAGGCATGGTGGCACAAGCCCGTAGTCCCAGCTACCTGGGGGGTTGAGGCAGGAGGTCGCTTGAACCTGGGAGGTTGAGGCTGGAGTGAGCCTAGATGGAACCTCTGCATTTCAGCCTGGGGGACAAAGTGAGATCTCAAAAAAATGTATATATATGTATTTGTTCTAGATAACTGTTTGGTCTCCTTATCAGTCTGAAATAAGGGGTTCAGACTCCCATTCTCAAGGTATGATCGCGATAAAAATGTGACAATAATTTTGAGAGATCTTATGGTGTATGTCATCCCCCGGAGGTTGTGCTCTTCTTTCTGAATAAGAGGAAAATGTTATGTTCCCTGAATGTTTATGCAAATAAAAGATTTATTTTAACATTGAACCATAAACAAAATAAATAAGACATTTCTGATATATGAAAAATATCACAGTGGGAGTGAGAAATTATGTACAAAAAGCAAAATGAAATTGCAGAATGCTGTAAGTAGAAGGGGCTTTGGGGAGCATTTAGAGATTAAATGATCCAATCCAACCCTTTTAATTTCCAGGTTAAGAAATTGAAGGTTAGGGGAGATTAGGCAGCTTTCTAAAAATTAGTTTACATTTGAGCTAGGCCTCGGTCTTGTAATTCCAAATACAAGCCAAATAGCAAAATCTTGCCTTAAAAAGTAAATCGGGGAAATTAAAATCTTTCTCTATGTTCTCTTTCCTAGTTAGAAATTATTGTTCACCCAACAATTCATCAATATGACATCACTTAAGGATGTAAGAGAGAGAAAATAGTTGAATCTTCTTTGTCTGTATGATTAAATTATTTTATTCATAGTAACTTTGTTTCTACCATAAAGTGCTGCATAGTATATGCTTTTTAATAAAATTAATTGAAACTTGTATTGTTAAGGATGCTCATAACATTTATTAAATAATTAATGATACCCTTGACTTTTACCAAACCAGAATTGGAGATTCAAGAGTGAAGAGAATGGTACAAGCCTTAGTTTCCATCACATTTGGCACTGAATATCAAGGGCAGAGATCACATATAATTTATTGTACATGTATAAAATATTGGGGAGGCCAGCAAGAACAGAAGAAAAGCAAAGAGAGATTTAAAGATTTCAGAAAGAAAGAATCATAATTCACTGTTTAAAACTTCCATGGGCCTGAAATATCGTTCTATGATGAGCCTTGTCAAAGGGTAACATGAAAAAGTTTTAAGGTTCAGAGTGAACGATACATAAACTTATAAGAGAAAATAGTTGCATCCATATGACAGGGAGAAAAGGCAGGAGTTATTTTAACATGGAATCATATGCAATTGTTTGTATATTGCCGTTTTTTCCCCCTTGAGACATTCTGGCTGCCTTACCCTTGGTCAAGTCTCTTGACTCATTTGTAAAGTTAAATTTCATCCAGGGAAAGCCTTTCATGTCTCTTTATATCACATTCTACTTTCATTTGGTTTATTTAATGATTTATTAAATACATTAAGCATAGCACAATTTCCTATGAGAGTTGAAACATATGACTAAAATTATTTTAAAATTATGTTTATGTTGTGATTTATAAAATTGCAAATTGTCAAAGACATAAGGGATAACGGTAAAATAGCACACAGTTGCTTGAAGCCTACACATTACTCCAAGACCTCGCTTGAAAGCTGGTAATTCCCTTGAAATAGCCCATAGGGGAAGCATATGCAAGGCAACTGACAGCATGTGGTTTGAATAGATGTGCCTATATAGTGAAGGACCAGACTCGGAGAAGGTATTAATGAAGAATATGAATACAGGAGCAATTTCTTAACTTGGTACAGAGACTGACCCCATTTTTATCCAATTTTTATAATCTGTATTATTTAAGGGAGAAAAAATTTTACTCAGGGCTGAACACTCAATACTTTAAGTGTGCTCTAATGGATGTATCATGTAGAGAGCAAGGCAATTGCTTACCTCTTTTATTATTTGGTGGATTTATAAAGTGGCAAAAAATGGATTAGTAGCCATAGCAGCTTGTATTGATAGTGAACAAGTCACTTAACCTTTCTGTGTATCAATGTCTTAAAACAATTCAATCATTAATTCTACATACTGATTGTCAACTATATGCAAAGCATTTTGCGAATTCCTAGGATGAAGGAGTGGGAGTGAGTGATAGGAGATGAGGCTGGATGAGTAGTAGATACCAGATTTAAAATGGCCTTGTGTGACATAATAAGCAGTCAGGATTTATCCTTTATAGTCTTTTGGGTGTTATTAAAGGATTCTAAACAACGGAGTGGCAAAATTGGCACTGACTCTTAGAAATAACACCCTGGTGGTAATGTGAGGCATAGATCAAAAGAGGATAAACTTGGCCCGGTTAGGACAACGGTAATTAATCAGACCAGAAATTATGGTTGCCTGAACAAAAGCCATGTCAGTGGTGATGAGGAGAAAAGGACGGGTTTGAGAAATTGTTAGGAAGTTTGCTTGTAATTGATTAGATTTGGAGGCCAAGAAAGAAGCCTGCTTTGATAGTGATCTATATAATAATATTGATTTCTGACTTGTAAAATAAAGCATATACAGAACCTTGCATAACTTCAATTTGCTTTTATAACAATAAAAGTAATTGTTAAAGATTATTAACTTTGTCTATCAAGTGATGCATGTAAATGAATAAAGTACATTTTTGGATTGTGTATGTAATACAGACAAGCTTAAACACTGTTTTTTGTTGTTTCACTTTTGCTAATAAATAAGTTGAGAAAGCTGGTCTAATTTGACAGTCTTTATATTTAAAGGATAGCTTTCACTTCCCTATGGGAATGAGAAACAGCACTTATAGAAAATTCCATACAAAGCTTTGAGGTCTAACATGCCACGATTTGATAGACTAGGGCATCTGAATATTTAGTTCCTGACTCCAGAGAGCAAATGTTAGAAGATAGAATTGATGAATATTTGACTTAAACTAATTCCTTGAATATCTAGCCATGTATTTTATACCATCTATAACTGTGGTTTCTCAGCACTTAGAAATATGAGCGCTGAATAAAAATGTAGAAAACCACCTGTCTACATGGCAGTCTTCCAAGAATCTACAATCTAAATTATGCTTACCACTAGCAGGAAATGTAGGCAGCCACCTTCTACTTGTCATTCTCAGATCCATTTTTCAAAGGAAGACTATTGCAAGGAAACTACCTTTATGTTAAGACTGATATAATAGAGTACACTTCTTGTACATGGGGGCTTAGAATTAGGTGCTAGGATTTGAGGGAAATCAAGTGAGGCAGACACACAAAACATAACTTCTAACATATCTTTCAGGCATTTGATTTTGGAATCTAATGCAGTATGAGTTTGCTAGTGACCAAGGAAGCCAATAGTGAAGCAGAGTAGTATTAAGTTTCAGTCTCTAAGTTAAGTAACACAAGAATAGTTTCTTTATGTTTAATTGATAAGTTTTTGGTTGTTTTTGTTAAGTTAAAAACTTTTTGATAATTTTCTGCCTTATAACTGTGTATAAGCCCCTGAATTGTTATGGTGTGCGGTACAAAGATAGAAGGAATGGCCTCTGTATTAGGCTGTTCTTGCATTGCTATAAAGAAATACCTGAGACTGGCAATTTATAAGAAAAGAGGTTTAATTGGTTCATGGTTCTGCAGACTGTACAGGAAGCATACCACCAGCATCTGTTTGGCTTCTGGGGAGGCCTCAGAGAAATTTTACTCATGGTAGAAGGTAAAGTGGGAACAGATATGTCACATAATGAAAGCAGGAGCAAGAGTTGGGTGGAGCAGTGCCATATTTTATAACAACTAGATCTCATGAGAACTCACTCACTATCATGAGGACAGAATCAAGCCATGAAGGATCTGCCCCCATGACCCAAACCCATCCCACCAGGCCCCACCTCCAGCACTGGGTATTACATCTTAACATGAAATTTGGATGGGACATCCAAACTATTAGATTGGTGCAAAAGTATTTTGCTTAACCTAATATATCAGCCTGTAATCAACAGAGTGAGTATTAAGCTCTATTTGTGAGATACAAATATCACTAAAAATGGAAAATAAAGATTGACACATAACAATGGTTCATGATTTCAAATCAGTATACTGTTAAAATTTCTATTAGATAATTTTTTTACTAATTTCTGTTAGAGAAATTAGTAAATTGTATGTTTGTTATTTATAACATTCCACAGTGGTTAAATATATAAGATTAAATTCGGACCTAAGACCTAGCTTCAAAACTTGAGTCTGACATTTACTAGTGGTGACACTGTGAATCAGTTATTTAACCTCTTGAACTTTAATGACTTCATTTTTAATGGAGAAATAGTCCTAGCAATTGAGCTCAAAGTAATTCTCATTAATAGTTGCTGGATATTATTAGTACTGACAGTAGTAGAAGTAGGAAATCCTTTTTTTGTCCCACAAAATAATTGAGGTGAATTATTTTTAAAACTTAAAAAAAATGATAGTAGAAAATAATCAGGATATTTTTCTTAGTATATAAGAGTTAAAAAAAGAAAAGACTAGAGTCAATATGTGTGAATTTATGTATATCTGTGTGAGTCAATATGAGAGAGAGGTATCTTTGTATATTTGAGCTTTCAAATTTAAGCTTCAAATTTGGCTTTAAGATTCATGGCAGCCAATTTAAAAGAAGAATATATTCAGTCATATCATTTCTCAGTATCTATATGGGAAAAGTATGCCAATTATTCAGATAAAGCAACATTTTTCTTAACAATAATTTCTTAATGGGATTTCTTACAAGAGGATTTACAGAGAGCATATTACAATAAATACACATTATGGTTTCAACACTCGATTGCTGAAGCAAAAATATTAATGTATTGTTTTCTGTTTGATCTTTTGGAAAAGCCCATCTTACCACCAGTGGACAATTCAGTGATGCAAACTCCATGAAGGATAAAGTTCATGCAGTTCAACTATGTAGGTTTTTGTTAGTCCAGTTCTTTGATCCAAGGAAGAATTTAGAGCAACTTGAAAGATGGTTGGAATATGCAATTATGTTATTTAACACAACAGTTTAATTGGCTTTCTGATGACAGCTGGTGGAAGAAACTGTGAGCCCATCATCTGAGGTGAGGGTAGATTCATGCACTTTAGGAGCAAAGGAGCAACTGGGATGATTGGGATCCTAAGGGGACCAACAAAAATCCTCACTGGACTACTCAATATAAAATACTTCTAATAATCATGGATAAGAAGAATTATTTACATAGGGGAGGACTAGCCTTTTAAAAAGTTTCAAAATAGCAAAATATTGTTTTCTGAATTTGTTTCTAATATAAAGTCTGTTTTATTAAATTGAATGTGTACATGGCTTCAGAATCTCAATATGAGACAACAGGGATACTTCATTAAAAAAAAACTGTTTCTGTACCAGTACCATGCTGTTTTGGTGAAATTGATTCTGTGTAAAGTGATTTTGGTAGTCTGATAGTAATATGTTAAATTTGTAGATTGCATGGAGAGGGGGTCATGGCCATTTTATTGATACTGTCTCTTTTCATCCATGAGCATGAAATGTTTTTCCATTTGCTTGCTTTATCTCTGACTTCTTTCAGCAGTATTTTAAAGTTCTCCTTGCAGTGATTATTAACTTCTTTGGTTAGATGTATTCCTAGGTATCTTTGTATGTGTATGTGCGGCTACTGTAAATGGAATTACATTCTTGATTTGGCTCTCAGTTTGAATGTTATTGGTGTATAGAAATGTTACTGAATTTTGTACATTGATTTTCTATCCTGAAACTTTACAGAAGTCGTTTATCAGGTCTAGATGCCTTTTGGCAGAGTCTTTAGTGTTTACTAGGTATAGAATCATACCATCAGCGAAGGAAGATAATTTGACTCCTTTTCTTATTTTGATGCCTTTTATTTCTTTCTGTTGCCCGATTGCTCTGGCTAGGACTTCCAGTACTGTGTAGAAAACGGGTGGTGAGAGTAGGTATCCTTGTCTTCTTCCTGGTTTTCTTATTTTTATTTATTTATTTATTTATTTATTTATTTATTTATTTATTTATTTATTTGAGACGGAGTCTCAATCTGTCACCAGGCTGGAGTACAGTGGCGCCATCTCAGCTCACTGCAACCTCCACCTCCTGGGTTCAAGCGATTTTCCTGCCTCAGCCTCCTGAGTAGGTGAGACTACAGGCATGTACCACCGCACCCAACTAATTTTTGTATTTTTAGTAGAGACGGGATTTCACCATGTTGGCCAGGAGGGTCCCCATCTCTTGATCTGCCCGCTTCAGCCTCCCAAAGTGCTGGGATTACAGGTGTGAGCCACCGCGCCCGGCCATTCCTGTTTTTAAGGGGAAGGCTTCCAGCTTTTGCCCATTCAGTATGGTGTTGGTTGTGGGTCTGTCATAGATGGTTCTTATTATTTTGAGGTACATTCTTTTGATGTCTTTTTTGTTGAGGGTTTTTATCATGAAGGATTGAATTTTATCAAAAGCTTTCTCACATCTATTGAAATGATCATATGGTTTTTGCTTTTAATTCTGTTTGTGTAATGAATCACACTTATTGATTTACATATGTTGAATCAATTTTACATCTTAGGGATAAAGCGTACTTGATCATTGTAAATTAAATTTTTGATGTGCTGCTGGATTCAGTTTGTTAGTATTTTGTTGAGGATTTTTGTGTCTATGTTCATCAGTGATATGGGCCTGCAGTTTTCTAATTTTTTTTAATGTGCCTTTGTTAAGTTTTGATATCCGGGTGGTGCTGGCTTTGTAGAATTGGTTATGGAGGAGTCTCTCCTCTTTGATTTTTTTGGAATAGCTTCACTAGAATTGGTACCAGCTTTTCTCTGTACATCTGGTAGAATTCGGCTGTGAATCCATCTGGTCCAGCGCCTGTTTTGGTTGGTAGGTTTTTTTTTTTTACGACTGATTCAATTTCAGAACATAGTATTGGTCTGTTCAGGGTTTCAATATCTTCCCTATTCAATCTTGAGAGGATGTGTGTTCCAGGAATGTTTCCATTTCCTTTAGGTTTTATGGTTTGTATACATAGAGGTATTCATACTATCTCTGAGGATCTTTTGTATTTCTGTGATGTCAGTGGTAATGTTACATATGTTGTTTCTGATTGTGGTTATTTGAATCTTCTCTTTTCCTTGATCCTTTGGATTTTGGGTTCTCAGTTTCATTCAGTTCTGCTTGGATTTTAGTTATTTCTCTTCTTCTCCTAGCTTTGGAGTTAGTTTGTTTTTGTTTTTCTAATTCCTTTAACTGTGATGTTAGATTGTTAATTTAAGATCTAGCAAAGACATGAAATCAACCTAGGGGCCCATCAATGGTGGATTGGATAAAGAAAGTGTGATACAAATATATTATGGAATAAAATGCAGCCAAAAAAAAAAGCAAATATATATCATTTACAGCAACATGGATAGAGCTGGAGGGCATCATCCTAAACAAATTAACTCAGGAACAAAAATCAAATACCACATATTCTCACTTATAAATGGGAAATGGGAACAATAGACACTGGAGACTAATGGAGGAAGGAGCTGGGGAGCGGGGAAGGACTGAAAAAGTACCTAATGAGTACAATGCTCAGTCCCTGCGTGATGGAATCATTCATATCCCAAACCTCAGTGTCATGCAATATACCCATGTAACAAACCTGCCATATGTACCCCCTGAATCTAGAATAAAAGTTGAAATTATAAAAAATAAATACATAAATAAGTTAATTTAAAAACCTGAAGGCCACTATATGCTAATTATATAAGTAGCAGTGTTGCATGTTAAGAATTATTAAATTGTTGGTTTGGAGAAGATTTTGGAAAATGGAATAACGACTTGGGATGGGATAACAAATGTATTTCTCTACTTATTTAAGTTAAAACACATCTTTATCAGATAATAACAGTATAAAACATGCTATGACTTACAGTAGTCCATTTTTCCTAACATCATCACTGATAAAATTATAATAGTATATTATTTAAAGGAACACATGACATAAATTAATTTATTTTTGGCTTAATTTGTGCCCATTAAAGTAATGTGAAATCTGTTTTCTCTTAGATCTTGTTTAGTTGAATGAACATGGTTTTCTTTATTCAGCACTGAATGGTTAGTTATCAGGCTGTGTTGGTAAAGCGCAAGGTTGAGCAATTAAGATTAGGAAAGTGTTTGCCAAACCTATCTTATCATAAGACTAACTTGGGGTGCTCCTCAAAAATACAGATTATGGCACTACTCCAACCCTCCTGGATCATAATTTGGGCAAGGTGAACGTTATTGGAAATCTGTATTTTTAACAAGAGTGTAGGCGATTGTTTTATAATTAGAAAAGTCTTGAAATATTGAACTAAGCCAATTCTTCTCAGAAACATTCTGGAGATGATCTTTGCTTTTGAAGATCATTTCCTCTACTTCCCTACTCTTTCACCTTTCAGAACCAAAGAACAATCCACATATTCTCCAACAACACATCACAACCAACACTTGGCCTTCTTTTTCCTCCTACATGCAGAGTTCATCAGATTACAGTCTGCATAGATCTCTGCTGTGTTTTGGAATAGCAAGACTTTTTAAGTATATTTTTTCACTAACAACTCCTGTGGTGAGGGGTTCATGTTGCTGAGGCCTCTGCTTAGCTTTAAGGAAATATAGAAGATTAAAATTTGGTTAATTCTGGCTTTACATTTAATACATTGGGATAGGCCTGCCATTTTCCCCTATAATAAATGGATAGAGGACATAAGTTGTTGGAATAATTTCCAAGCACTCATTTATACATTGTATTTTCAGGTAATACTCGATACCAGACACTTACTTCTTGGCTTCTAGTTCATTTTAGAACTTTTGCACATTTTTAATTTTTTAACGTATGATAAGATTTTAATTTGATGTTTAAAAATTCACTATCAGACCTTTCACTTAGGGAAGCTAGCAACTCAATACGGTGTTTCTATAGGCTCTATGTTTTTCTTCAAAGTGATTTTTCTGCTAAAGATCCACCTTTAACTAATTTTAAATAACATTTGGGCATGCAAAAGCAAGACTTTAATTTTTACAAAGTATCTACACAATGCCTTGCAAAAATAATGTCAGGAGAGCAAGATCTACCGCACATTTCTAACTCATAAGATCTTCTTTTAATGTAAGTATGCTTAGTTCTTAATTGTTTTTTTCTCTACAGTAAAAATAAATTCATTCTTTTTGGAAACTTTTTTAGTACTAAGTAGCAGGGACTGCAGCTACTCATTTAGTTCATCAAAATCTTATGTTGCAACTCAGCAGTGTTTAGTGATGAAGAATTATTTTTATTTATATCTACTTAATACATGAATTCTGAATCAAAATAGCAGTTTTTTTAGGGCTAGAAGTTGACACATCTTGTAGCATGTAAGTACAACATATTCATAAAAAATAATTCATTTAGAAGCTGGACTCCCATATCCTTGAATGCATAGCCACATTCATTTTAGCAGGCCATTCCTGGAAGATAGTACAGAAATTTACGAAGAAAACGTTACTGTTTGTTTTTTGACAAACACTTTCACACTAAGAGCACTGTGTTTAGGAGGGTGAATTGATGTCAAATGTTGAAACCTTCAATCTGCTGTATTTGTGATTTTTAAATCCACATATTTCTGTACATGACTTCAGTGCAATATTATATGACAGGTTTTGATATTTCTTTTCTAAAAATATTGGAGGCCTTAATCAAGAGGATCCTTGAAACATATCCACCTGACAGTTGGAGGACAATTCTATACCCCTAGAGGTGAGAACTTTTCATGTTATTTGATTTCATTTGATTAAATGGGATGATCTTTCCCTTTGGTGTTGAGGTGGTCATAGTTCATTACACCAACTGGCAGCAACAGATAGCAATACAGAAAAGCAGAAAGCCAAACTTTGAGTTATAAATGTTTCTATGGCAGTGACCCTTTGTGAATTTAAAAATTGAATTTAAGACCCCTTTTCGTCATTCTCCGTATTTTCAGTCTTGGTCAATAGGTCTGCCCCTAGAGTCAAAGTGTTTTATTACCCTACAAAGCTTTTAATTATGTGTTTGTGAGCCCAAATATATCCTAAAACAGCATGGTGGAAGCGATGGCCCAGTGCCTCTTTGTTGGAGGCATTCTTGTAAAACAAATTATTTTTCTTATATGATCTTGGAATATATCCATTTCAGAATATATATGTTCAAGGTATCCAAAATATGTGTGTGTGTACATGCTTGTGTATAATATGTAGTATAAACTACGATATGATATAAATAAATAATATAAATATTAATTTATATTATTTATATAAATATTATATTTATATTATTTATATAAATATTATATTTATATTATTTATATAAATATTATATTTATATTATTTATATAAATATTATATTTATATTATTTATATAAATATTATATTTATATTATTTATATAAATATTATATTTATATTATTTATATAAATATTATATTTATATTATTTATATAAATATTATATTTATATTATTTATATAAATATTATATTTATATTATTTATATAAATATTATATTTATATTATTTATATAAATATTTATTTATATTATTTATATAAATATTATATTTATATTATTTATATAAATATTTATTTATATTATTTATATAAATATTTATTTATATTTATATAAATAATATATAAATAAATATTTTATATGTATATAAATATTATTTATATTATTTATTTAAATAAATAATATAAATTAATATAAATATTAATATTATTTATTTTATTATAAATAATATAAATATTATATTTATATTTATGATATTATAAATATTTATAATATGAAATATTTTATAAATATTATATTATTTATATAATTAAATAATATAAATATTTATTTATGCAATATAATATTTATATAATTTATATAAATAAACAATATACATATATTTATGCAATATAATATGGCACTGAAGTCATGTACAGAAATATTTGAACTTGACTCCACTAAAGGCAGCAGAATAAATATTGTGTATATGTTTAAAATATTAAATATCCAAAGAGTTTTCATAAAAACTGAAACTGTGCTTTTGTATATTATTGAAAATAAGTATTTTATGAAGAAAAACATATATTTTTAAAACTGCATATTTTTATAATATTAATTTCTTAACATAATGGAAACTAGAATCAACCTACAAAACCTTATCATTCCCAAAAGTATCTGATAAAAGTAACTTGTCATTCAATCGAGCCACCATGTATTAATAACTTTTCAAGTGAAAAATCTAAGATGAAATACCAAGACGAACAAGGCACTATTTTTGGTAAAGTGGCTCATATCAAAATTATAGTTAGTCTTGTGAAAATAATGAGTAATGTTTTTGGTGAACGAACAAAATATCACATATTTTTCTCGCTTTCTCTCAAAACGGAAATATCTTGATCAATTTTTTCCTGATAACAAAGCAAATGTATGTCCATACTAAAAAAATTCAGACAATCCTGCTGAAACTTACTTCTTCTTGAACCTCCCTACCTCCCTACTTTCCTTCTCCACCCACCCTCTACTCCAGCTTTCCTATTTCACAAAGATAAAAATTGGATGTATATGTATACATGTATGTGTGGATGTGTGCTTGCATATGTGTATGCTTGCATCTGTAGCACTTGGTATGTAGTTTAGTGCCTGGTACATGATAAGCACTAAATAGATGTAAGCTTAATTATAATTTATAGGTGACTCGATTGCATATTTGGTCTTATAACTTTTTTGGTAACATGCCTTTTACTCTATACTGTGGCAGGGATTTTTTTTCACATATAATCATATAGATCTCTCATGCATGTTGATGAATATTTTGCATTCATTTTATTGTTATATCTTAATTTGTTTTAACAAGTTCTGCTAGATGGTCATTTCATGGTTTAAATTTATTTTTGCAAAAATGACAATGTTAAAATAAACATTGCCCTCCAAAAATATTGAACAAATTTATACTACCAAAACCAATAAATATGAGAAAACTGATTTCTTTCTACTCTCATCAGTACTTGGCATTACTCGTACTTTCTCATCTTTGCTACTCTGAGGAATGACAGATGATATCACATGATTGAACTAACTGGCATTTTTGTCAATTGTCTTTGATGTGATTATTAGTCATTGGTTTTCTTTGAGATTGCCTTTCCATGTCATGTAACCATTTCTTTTTGTGAAATTTTTATATGCTTTCAGTATGTGCTATTTCTTTACATATTATGAATATAAACTCCATTTCTCTCACATAGGTTGTAAGTTTTTTTCTTCAATTTATCACTTGTCTTTTGATTTTTTATATTATATGGTATATTCTTCCATGCAGATATGTGTCAACTCTCTTTTTCTTTATGCTTTATAACCTTTGATGTCAAATTAGAAAGCTTTCTACTTCAAGACTTAGATAATACTTACTCTTATGGTTTTCCCATTACTTTTACAACTTTATTTTTTTATGCTAAAATCTCACCCATCTGTTTCATCTGAGAACTATGCCCATGCATTTATGCCTTCAGATAAAATAACCATTTTCGGTTTTTGGTCAAAATATTGAATATCTATGAATTAATTTTGAGACAATTAATATCTTATCAATTCTGAATCTTCCTACCCATAACAAATATGCTATGCCTTTTCATGTATTTAACTTTTCCTTTATGTCCTTTTAGATATCTTTCTAATTCTTTGTATGGTTTTTGAATATTTCTGAAATTATATCTCTGCAGATATCCCTGCCAAAACTCTTGGAAAAGATCGGCTTTGGTTACTTTCCTCCCCTCTGAACAAATCTTCATGGCAAAGGGAAAGAAGCATTCTATTTGGCTAGGTCCAGTGTGGCCCTTGAGTTAGGCCAGGGAAAAGGAGGGCATACAGGTTGGCGCCAACCCAATCCAAACCACCGGTCTGAGCAGGAATGCTGTGGGTGGGGTTTGAGTTTTAAACGAAGAGATGCTAGGTAGAAAAAGTAAGAGAATTTTATTTATACTAAATTCTTCTTTCTTTCCCTAAACTATGATTCATCTAAAGCACTAGCTCATCCCCATCGATGCTCTTTAAACCAGACACCGTCCCTCTTCTCTCCACTTTGGTATTCATGACTTCTGCCTCCACAATCTCATCAAAAATTAGCAAATTGGAATTAACAAACCTAGAATGTCACAACAAATCTTTGTCTTCACAAAGTTTTATATCAAATTGAGATTGTTTTTGAAAATGCTTCTATTTTTATTTCCATTTACTTAATGTTAATTTTTGCTCTACTTTTTCTTTCTTTCTTTCTTTCTTTTTTTTGCTTGGCTTGGCTTGGTAAACACAAGAAAATAAAGATTTTCAGATTTCTTCTTTATCTTGCTCTGAAATAAGATCTCTTTTTTTGTTCTTTGCGTGACACTGCTTGGAAACTTTCTTGGGGCTGTATTTTAATTATAGGATTCAAATCTATTATAATTTGGGGGTTGTAAATATGTGTCCAGAGACCTAGGATAAAGGGTAAAATTAAATCCATGTTCCCATTTTGATCCTGGGTTAGGCATAGCAATGAAAAGAACTAAACGTTCTAAATGGTTACAGTTCCAAACTAGGTAATTATTAATGATTAATTGCTTCTCCATGTAAATAAAAATGATGAAGTTTAATCTATACATTGATTTCTACAGACCTGGAGTGATAATGGATTTTTTAAATAGTTTCTGAAATGTTTTTATTGTCCTTAACAATAAAATAGTCACCTAAAGCAAGTCGCAATTTACAGAAGAAAACCATTAACTAACATAGATTGGTTTATATGGCTACCTGTTTGTATACTTCAAGGGATATAGATTGATGAATATTTAATTTTCAGTACATTTATAAGTGATAAAAGAATCTATTACTTACCAGTGTTTGTTTTAAGGTGTGCTACCTCAAAGCACAAAAGAGATATAGAAATACTCTACCCTAAGATAAAAGGAGATGTTGCAAAATATTTAGAAACCAATGAAGATATTCCCTAAAAACCAATTATCATAGGATGTCCAATATTTGGAAGTGATGCCCCGATACCATTTTATGATAATAGATTATCTAACAAAGTTGAAAGTATAAATAATTATAATAGCAAACAATGTTGTATGTGAATAAACTAGAACTTTTTTGTTTGGGTTTTGCAAAAAATAACACAGAGCTACAGACATTGTATATTATAATTAAGTAAATGAAAATATTGGTTTTGATTTTGGAAAACTTTTCCTGCCACTTCCAATTTCTGTTATATTAATTTTAGTTATTATTTTAATCTTGCAGATTTATTCTTCAGCCATGCCAAGTTTATTATTCAGCTTTTACTATTTAAAAAATTTGATAGTCATATTTTCAGATTTCAAAATGCAGTAACTCCTGAATGTTTACACATATATTAACACTTATATTTCCAATTTCTTCTCCTTATTATGTAATCTCTGACTCCATCGTTTCATCTCCAAATTTAGAGCTCTTGGGAGCTCCATGGGTTAGAATTACTCACGTCTTTGGTGTAACTTGCTCAGGTACATTTTCCAGGATAAAGTTCCTCTGTGGCTTGTACATCGATATGAACCCATTTGCTTTCAGATTTCCACATAGTTTAGGAAGCTGCTGTTTGTTGATGACACACTCACTCTTATTTTCAGCACTATCTACAGATTTGTTCTTTTTAGTATATCTTCACTGTCACTGAATAGCATCATTGGAAAGAAGTGAAATACACCTGGGTGTTCAGTAGACCGTTTTGAACCAAAAGTCCAGTTCCCTTTTAACAACAAAGAATAGGAAAAAAAAAACCTACTTTCAGAAATATTTTTTATTTAAATTCATATTTTTTCTGTCATTTTTGAGAGCTTTACTATGAACTATACTGAATGATAAATGTTTTATATGCATTTTCTCATTTAATCTTCATGTCACCCTCAAAGGTGCAGATTACGTTCCCCTTCTTATAAGGAAGAAAACTAAAGTTCAAAAAAGCTAAATAATTTGCCCAAATCATACAGGTAGAAAATAACAGATTTGAGAACTAAACCTATAGTTAGTTGTTGCCAGAAGCTATACTCTAATCACTCTACATACTGCCTTTCTATAGTAGACCATTTGGTCTACTATTTCTAGTACACTTAGCTGCAAACACTTCTTATTGCCTATTATAAACTCAGTAGTTTCCTAGATGTTGTATTTGTAAAGATGAATAAGGCAGTCTAGGTATACATCCTAATTCTTGAAGAATTTCAAAGGAAGGAGAGCAAGATGGCAGAATAAAAGTCTCCACTGATCGCCCTACTCCAGACAAGGACACCAATTTGACAACTATTTACACAGAAAAAACACCTTTATAAGAACCAAAAATCAGGTGAGCACTCATAGCACCTGGCTGGAACTTCATATCACTGAAAGAGGCACTAACGAGGTAAACAAACAAACACAAAAAGTCCTGAATCGCTGATGCTACCTTTTCCCCAACCGCAGCAGCAGCGATGTGGTGCAGGTAGTATATCTGGGCACTGGAGGAAGGAGAGGACAGCAATTGTGAGGCATTGAACTCAGCACTGTCCCATTAAGGCACAAAGGAAAACAGGACCTAACTCAGCTGCCACCTGCCCATGGAGGGAACATTTAAACCAGCACTAGCCAGAGGGGAATTGCCAATCCCAGTGGTCTGAACTTGAGTTCCCACAAACCTCACCACTGCGAGCTATAGTGCTCTGTCTCCAAGTAAACTTGAAAAGCAGCCTAAGCCATAAAGACTGCAATTCTCATGCGAGTCTAGGGCTGAACTGGGCCCAGAGACAGTGGACTGGGTGGGGTAGGGGGCCACAGGACATACTGAGACATCAGTTGGGATGGCTAAGGGAGCGCTGGCATCACCCCTCCTCTAACACCAGGTTGCACAGCGGCTCCAAAAGAGACCTCTTTATTCCTTTCTTCTGCTTGAGGAGAGGAACAGAAAGTGTAGAGAGGGCTTTGTCTTGCCTCTTGGAGACCAGCTCAGCCACTGCAAGACAGGGTATCGGTTAGAGTCATGAGGCCTCCATTCCAGGCCCTAGCTTTCAGACGACATTTCTAGACACACCCTGGGCCAGAAGGGAACCTGCTGCCTTGAAGGAAAGGGCCCAGTGCTGGCAGTATTTATCACCTGCTAACCGAAGAGCCTTTGGGACCTGAACAAGCAGCAGTGACACCCAGGTGCTACACCAACGGCATTAGATGAGCCTCTGAGACTTACTGGCTTTAGATGAGACTTGGCACATTACAAGCTGTGGTGGCTATGGGGCAAAACTCTTTCTGTTTGAGAAAAGCAGAGGGAAAAAGTAAAGGGGACTTTGTCTTACATCTTAGGTATCAGCATGGGCCACAGTGGGGTAAGCACCAAGTGGGATCTTAGGTCCCTGATTCCAGGTCTTGACTCTTGGATGGCATTTCTGGACCTGCCCTGGGCCAGAGGGTGCCCACTGCCATGAAGTGTGAGTCCTAGGTCAGGCAGCATTCACCACAAGCTGACTTAAGAGCCCTGGGGCCTTAAGGTAATTTTGGAGGTAATCTGGCAGTAGTCCTCATGGCCTGGGTGGTGGTGGCTAAGGGTTGAGGCTCCTCTGCCTTTGGAAAGGGGAGAGAAGAGTAAAAGGACTACATCTTGTGGTTTGAGTGCCAGCTCAGCTGCAGTACTATAGAATACCAGGTAGACTTCTAAGGTTTTTGACTCTAGTCCCTGACTCCCAAAGAGCACCTCTGGACCCAGGGAAGAATGCAGACATGGATGGCTTTGCCACCTGCTGAGTGTAGAGCCTCAGGGCCTAGAGGGAACATAGGCAGTAGCCAGGGAGTGACTACAGCAGGCCTTGAGTGAAACTCAGCACTGTGCTTGCTTCAGGTCTGACCCAGTGCAGCCACAGTGGTCATGGCCACAAAGATGCTTCTGTCACTTCACTCCTAGCTTTAGGTGACTCAGAGCAGAGAGAGGGCCTCTGTTTGGGAGAAAGTATGGGAAGACAACAAGATTCTCTGCTTGGTAATCCCGAGAATTCTCCTAGATCTTGCTCAAGACCATCAAAGCGGTACCTCTACGAGTCTGCAAGAACCTCAGCGTTACTGAGGGTAGGGTGCCCTTTAAAGCAGTTACAGCTTAGATTAAAACACCTAAGTCTTTTTAAATATCTGTAAAGCCTTCCCAAGAAGGATGGGTACATATAAGCCCAGACAGTGAAGACTGCAGTGAATACCTAACTCTTCAGTGCCCAGACACTGAAGAACATCTACTAGCATTAACACCATCCAGGAAAACATGACCTCACCATTTGAGGTAAATAAGACACCAGGGACCAATCCTGGAGAAACAGAGATATGTGACCTTTCAGACAGAGAATTCAAAATAGCTGTGTTGAGGAAACTAAAAGAAATTCAAGGTAACACATAGAAGGAATTCAGAATTCCATCAGATAAATTTAACAAAGAGATTCAAATTATTAGAAAGAATCTAGCAGAAATTCTAGAGTTGAAAAATGCAATTGGCATACTGAAGAATGTATCAGAATCCTTTAATAGCTGATTGATAGCAGAAGAAAGAATTCTTGAGCTTGAAGATAGGCTATTTGAAAATTCAGTCAGAGGAGATGAAATAAAAAGAGTGAAGAAACAATGAAGCATGCTTACGGGATCTAGAAAATACCCTCAAAAGGGCATATCTAAGAGTTATTGACCTTAAAGAGGTAATAGAGAAAGAGATAGGGTAGAAAGTTTATTCAAAGGAATAGTAACAGAGAACTTTCCAAACCTAGAGAAAGATATCAATATCCAAGTACAAGATTATAGAACACCAAGAAGATTTAACCCAAAAAAGGCTACCTAAAGGCATTTAATAATCAAACCCCCAAAGATCGAGGATAAAGAAAGGATCCTAAAAGCAACAAGAGAAAGGCAACAAATCACATACAATGGAGCTTCAATACATCTGGGAGCAGAATTTTCAATGGAAACCTTACAGGACAGGAGAGAGTGGCATGACATATTTAAAGTGCTGAAGAAAAAGTACTTTTACCCTAGAGTAGTATATCCAATGAAAATAATCTTTAAACATGAAGGAGAAATAAAGACTTTCCCAGACAAACAAAAGCTAACATCAACACCAGACCTGTCTTATAAGAAATGCTAAAGGAAGTTCCTTGATTAGAGAGAAAATGATGTTAATGAGCAATAAGAAATTATCTGAAGATACAAAACTCACTGGTAATAGTAAGTACATAGAAAAGCAGAGAATATTAGAACACTGTTAAGTGTGGTATGTAAATACTTTTATCCTAAGTAGAAAGAGCGCTTAACCAATCAAAAATATTAACTACAAAATTTTTCAAGACATAGTCCAATGTGACATAAATAGAAACAACAGAAAGTTAAAAAGGAGAAGGACAAAGTTGACGCATAGAGTTGTTATTAGTTTTCTTTTTGTTTATATGTTTGCTTGTTTATGCAAACAGTGTTAAGTTGTTAGGGTAAAATAATGGGTTATAAAATAGTATTTTTAAGCCTCATGGTAACCTCAAACCAAAAAACATACAATAGATACACAAAAAATAAAAAAGCAAGAAACTAAATCATATCACCAGAGAAAATTACCTTAATTAAAGGAAGACAGGAAGGAAAGAAGGAAGGAAGAGAAGACTAGAAAACCACAAAATAATTAATAAAATGGTAGAAGTAAGTTCTTATTTATCAACAATATCATTGAATGTAAATGGACTAAACTCTCCCGTCAAAAGACATAGAAAAGCTGAATTATTGAATCAATGAAAAAACAAGACCCATTGACCCCTTGTCTACAAGAAACACACTTCACCTACAAAGACACATATAGACTGAAAATAAAGGGTTGGAAAGTGATATTCCATGCCAACAGGAACCAAAAAAGAGCAGGAGTAGCTGTACTTATATCAAATAAAATAGATTTAAAGACAAAAGCTATAAGAGACAAAGGTCACTATATAATGATAAAGGGGTCAATTCAGCAATATATATGCAGCCAGCACTGGAGCACCCAGCTATATAAAGCAAACATTATTAGAACTAAAGAGAGAGATAGTCCCCGGTACAATAATAGCTGGAGACTTCAACACCTCACTTTCACATTGAACAGAACTTCCAGACATAAAATCAACAAATAAACATTGGACTTAATCTGCACTGCAGACCAAGTGGATCCAATAGATATTTACAGAACATTTAATACAGTGGTTGCAGAATACACATTAATTTCCTCACCACATGGATCATTCTCAAGGATAGACTATATGTTAGGCCACAAAACAAGTCTTAAAACATCCAAAAAATTGAAATATGTCAAGCATCTTCTCTGACAACAATGGAATAAAATAGAAATCAATAACAAGAGGAATTTTGGAAACTATACAAATACATGGAAGTTAAACAATATGCTCCTGAATGACTAGTAAGTCAATGCAGAAATTAAGAAGGAAATTGAAAAATTTATTGAAAAAAAGATAATGGAAACACAATATGTCAAAATCTATGGAATATAACAGAGTACTCAGAGAGAAGTCTATAGCTATAAGTGCCTACATCAAAAAAGAGGAAAAACTTCAAATAAACAATCTGATGATGTATCTTAAAGAACTAGAAAAGCAAGAGAAAACCAAACCCAAAAATACTTGAACAAAAGAAATAATAGACCAGAGCAGAAATAAATAAAAGTCAAATGAAAAAAAAAATACAAAAATCAATATAACAAAAACTTGTTTTTTAAAAAAGTTAAAATTGACAAACTTTTAGCTGGACTTAAGAATAAAAGAGAGAAGATACAAATAAATAAAGTCAAAAATGATAAAGGAGACATTACAACAGACACTGCAGAAATTCAAAGGATTATTAGTGCTGCTATGAGCAACTATATGCCAATAAATTGGAAAATCTAGAAAAAATGGACAAATTCTTAGACATATACAACCTACCAAGATTGAACCAGAAAGAAACCTAAAACTTGAACAGACCAATAACAAGTAACAAAATCAAAGCCATAATAAAAAAATTTTCCACTAAAGAAAAACCCAGGACCAATGGCTTCACTGCAGAGCTCTACCAAACATTTAAAGAACTGTATACTTCCTAATTCTTGAGGTGCTGGTTCAAAGGAATGTAGTTAAGTAAACTGTTAAGTCGTAGTACAAAAAATGCCATATAAACAGTTCTGTGGGAAGCTAGAAGTGGAATATTTATAACAAATTAGCTGATCAATATTTGACATTAAATAGAAAGTAAATATATTTAAATTTTAAATTTTAAAAATCATTTAACATTTAGGACAGAGAAAACATTTCCTTTAATTTGGACTGAATAGAATGTAAAGAAATACTGAACCACCAGAACCAATTGAAAATACTGGGTTTCAGACCTACTCACAGTCATCATCATCATTTATCAAGTCATATGAAATTGCATTACAGAAAGGTGATACTAAATAAGATAAGTCAACCCAGTTGGAGTATATGGGGCATAGTTAATACGCTTTTCTTTTGTTTTTATTATGGAAAAAATACTTCTATTGATTATGAAGAATCAATGCAATCCTTTTTAGTATCAAACCAAGGTATTAGCTTCTCTACCATTTTTCTGAGTTTGAATATTACTATATTAAAAAAAAGACAATTCCTGAAAAATTTTACCTAGCTTTATGTTTTATTAGAAACACAGCCAGGAAGACATTTCGAATTTATCCTACCTCAATAGTTTCTTCACACTGCAGTAGCTTAAGATTTTCAGTCTGTTTCTTTCTTAAATATCCTAAAGGTACATGCCATTTTGGTTTCCATTTAGATGCAGGGATGTTTTTAAAACACCAAATATCACAGACATGTGTTCTCCCCATGCCATTATGGTGACTATTATGCCCTGTTTATAGCTTTTTCCTTCAGAAATAATCAATATGACTTTCTAATAGGCACATTTTAAATCATAGAATTTAATGATATTATAGCTGAGAAGGAGGGTCCAATGGCTTTTCAACAGAGAATGTTACAATCTATGAAATTATGAATGAAGATTTCTGTGTGTGGGGGTTAAGTAATTTCATAAGGCCACCAGGCTAGAGGGGTAACTTTTTCTTTTACTTGGAGACCTGGTTTCAATAAGAGAGGATAGGAATGGTTTGTAAATAAGATATTATGAGACAATTCAGATCTCTTGAACGTTTTTTAATTTTACCAAAAGAAAATGAACCAACCTCTTAATGGTATATAGCAATTATTATGATGCTTAATGGTCTCAGAAAATAGTTTAAGAATTACATAAAATGATAGGTATTATCTTGGATTATTTTGTTTGTGGCACATTGGTTTAATTTAACATTCATAAGACATACATGGAATCCTGCTGCTTTGGTAAAGCACAATGTAGAGTTTAAAGACATGTCTCTTGTAACCAGACAAAGAACAGAGATAAAGATTCTGTGATCAGTGAGCTCTTGAACTTTCTTAGAAGTCTTGGTCACACGAGATTAGAAACAAAGCAAAAATTTGAATCAGTTATGTATTTTCTTTTTGGCTGCTTCAGAAGAACTGTTTAGTCAGGAAACAACAGATGCTGGAGAGGATGTGGAGAAATAGGAACGCTTTTACACTGTTGGTGGGAGTGTAAATTAGTTCAGCCATTGTGGAAGACAGTGTGGCGATCTCTCAGGGATCTAGAACCAGAAATACCATTTGACCCAGCCATCCCATTACTGAGTATATACCCAAAGGATTATAAGTCATTCTACTATAAAGACACATGCACACGTATGTTTATTGCAGCGTTATTCACAACAGCAAAGACTTGGAACCAACCTAAATGCTCATTGATGATAGACTGGAGAAAGAAAATGTGGCACATGCACACCATGGAATACTACGCAGCCATAAAAAAGGATGAGTTCATGTTCTTTGCAGGGACATCATTGAAGCTGGAAACCATCATTCTCAGCAAACTAACATAGGAACAGAAAACCAAACACCGCGTGTTCTCACACATAAGCAGGAATTGAACAATGAGAACAGATGGACACAGGGAGGGGAACATCACACACTGGGGCCTGTCAGGGGTGGGCGGCTACCTAATGTAGATGACAGGTTGAAGGGGGCAGCAAACCACCATGGCACATGTATACCTATGTAACAAACCTGCATGTTCTGCACATGTATCCCAGAACTTAAAGTATAATACAAAAATAAAATACATGAGAAAATAAAATAATTATAAAATAAAAAAGAAAGGAAGTTGATAAATGCAATAGTGAAATGTGTATAAAGCAATCACTTCCCAGGTAATTTTTCTATGAAAAATTCAATGATTTTATAATTCCAATTGAATTACTTGGTTATATAGGCTTATTTTTGACAAAACATGAGTAAATAACGGGACGTGTGGTTGGGAGGACTGAACCTCATGCCACATGCTTGTTTGTGTGGCATAAAGTGAAACCAGCTAGGTCTGTTCGCCCATGGAGTTCTGCGTGTGGTAATTTAAGGAAACCACACAGTGTAGCAAAGGATGTTGGAAGGGGTTAGAAAGCAAAATTAATTTACAACCATGCCAGCTTTACATTGTTGTTAAAATACCACCACCTCATGCTATCATAGCACATGTTGTTAATATTTCAATAAAGCAATACCTTTTAGTGACCAGTTTAATAATACAGATAACAATTTTCTCATGCTCTTCCCTCTTCTTATTTTACATGGTCTTCCAGAGTGATCTTTTACACACACATGGCTTCAGTGATTGCGTAAGTTCTGAACTTGGAGATCTATGCTCAAGGTCTAGTTCCTTATCACATCAATGATATCCTGCTTACTGGATATTTCTACTTGAATGTCCATGCACACCTCCAACATGTCCCAAACTATACTCATCTTCTCAGTCTTCTTGCTTCTCAGCTCCAAACCTTCTCCTCTTCCTATGCTCCTGACCTCAGTAAATAGCACTGCTACAGCCGCAGTCAAGCAGGAAACCTGATTATCATCTTTAATTTCTCCACCTTTTCTACATACCTAATGGATCACCAAGACCTATCAATTCTAACACCAAACTGTGACTCAAAAGTGTGTATTTCCTTCCAATCTTAATACCATTACAGTAGTTCAGGCCCTCATCCAATTTCCCTGGATCATTATAGCAGTTTTCTAATTGTTGAAAATACCATTTACCTATAATTGTTAAGGATGCTTATATAATGAGGCAGTTATTATTATGTTATATAGTTATCCAAAAGGAAACTGTATCTTATGCCTTTGTTATAAACAGGGTTGGTATTGGTCTTTTGCTGTGAATGACAAATTCAGGCATGAAAAACCTATCCTATCCCTCCATATGGCTAAACCTCTGTATGTATAATGTGTGTACATGACCCATCAGTGATCCCGCATCTAAACTGTGAAATGAGCTTATTGATGTTTCCCAAAATAAGCCATTTTAGAGCTTTGACTTTAATTCAAGTTCTAATTCAATGTTAGACTGCTTTAATAGCTAGAGAACCATTTTCAGTTTATGAAAGAAATGCCAGTCCAAGAGGAAAATAGGTAGGACATCTATTGTGTGTGTGTGTGTGTGTGTGTGTGTGTGTGTGTATGTGTGTGTATGTTTTAAGGAATAGTGCGTCTACTCAAGTCGAGGGTTGAATAATTCTCAAGGAGCACTTCTTATTGTTGGATATAGAAGATAACATTAAATTTTTTCAGCATAGAATTTTTATCAACACGTAAGAACATATCAACTTTCTAAATGATTACTTTCTCATGTTAGAAAATAAAGATATTTAGTAACATACAACTATGTCTCAAATAACATGATCATCACTTCAGTATATCTGTGTTGTTCAGCACCTTTGATAGTGAGCTGCATGTCTGGACTCTCAATTTGCCTAATTTGTGTTAATACACTTT
Organism: Homo sapiens; assembly: GCF_000001405.40. Classification (NCBI taxonomy): domain Eukaryota; kingdom Metazoa; phylum Chordata; class Mammalia; order Primates; family Hominidae; genus Homo; species Homo sapiens. Next base: position 181,302,252 of record NC_000002.12, read on the forward strand.
TATTTAGTACATAATATATGGTAAATACTCTGGGGAGATATAAATACTATCAGATATGACTCCCACTCCAGAGGAAACTAAAGTAAAAATTGGTTAAAAGTAAGAATAAGACAGCAGCATGTCCCTCTAATCCATAAGAAAAATATCAGACCACTTGGGTTGACTGATTTCTTTTAGCACCAAATGAGAACATACTTATTCAGTATTCTTCACCTCTATAAATCTGTCCATAAGTTGAAGAACTTTTGCTTTTGAAACACCAAGCATAGAGCTTTATATATTTTAGAAACCAAAAGTTAGTTTAGTCTGTTCAACCAAACATGAGTAAAAAAAATGAATATTCACTTAAACTGGTGTGGTATGGTCTTGAATAAAAGTTATTGATTTGATATTTTTTATTGTTAAATTGATCTTTAGGTTATGATTGCTAATTGTTCTCTTTCTAGGCATAGTCTAGTTTCAAATATATATTTAAAAAACAAATAGCAAAATACCCCATGATGCTTCAAATATAGATGTTCAAATATCCACCAGTAGGTCTTTCAACAGAAACATGACACTCATTTGCAGAGGAGAAAAACTGCATCAGTTGCCAGCTCTGTGGTACTAATCATTGCAAACAAGACTGAAGAATTTTGAAATTTTCATGTGCAAGACACATAGTGAAGGTTCTCAGAAATTATGATAGTGACTTTGTCCTATGTTTCATTACCAATCATCCTCTTACAATATTTTTTATGAATGAACTGTATCATGCTACCAAAAAATGTGAAAGAAAAAAATTCTTGGGGACCACAAATATTGTTATTTCAAGCAGAAACCACTTCATAATTTTGTTTCTTTGCATACAGATTTTTTAGAGCAATGACTCTACTTTGTACAGATTTATTACTTGAAAATAATATGGTATAATGTGGTGACAAGTCAATCATAACTTTAGTGATTTAGCTGTAGAAGTGTTATGAGTTGGCTGGGCATGGTGGCTCACGCCTGTAATCCCAGCACTTTGGGAGGCTGAGGCGGGTGGATCACGAAGTCAAGAGATCCAGACCATCCTGGCCAACATGGTGAAACCCCGTCTCTACTAAAAATACAAAAATTAGCTGGGTGTAGTGGTGCATGCCTGTATTCCCAGCTACTTGGGAGGCTGAGGCAGGAGAATCGCTTGAACCCAGGAGGCGGAGGTTGCAGTGAGCCGAGATGGCGCCACTGCACTCCAGCCTGGTAACAGAGTGAGACTCCGTCTCAAAAAAAAAAAAAAAAGGGTTATGAATTTTACAAAAACACTCTATTTTCATATATACATATATATAGAGAGAGAGAACAAGAGAGAGTAAACATCTTTCCAATCATATCTTGAAACTTACTATACTTAAAAGTAGAACCCTATACATCAGCATATTAAATAAAATAGATAAGCATTGTATAGTAAAAGTGATTTATATATTTGTGTATTTACATATTTTAAATATATACTAATATACATTTAGATATTTAATGATTTTATTAAAATAATAAAAGTAATATATCAATATTATATTGATATATTTATTTAAATTTATATTTAAAAACTGGGTTATCTGACTTATTGCCTAATTAAATTAAGATTTCAGCAAAAATCAGAGATAATTTTTTGAATATCTTGGCGATATATGTGGGGGGATGTACTACTTTTATTTTTAAAACTCTGTGAAAGTACCTCCTGCTGACCAGGCAGAATTCTAAATAATTTACAAATATTAATTCAGATAATCATACTGACAACTCTATTCAGGGTCTACTAGTGGGATGCCCAGTTTGCAAATGAGGAAGTTAAGTAGCTTATATTCAAGGTCAGACCACAAAGTGGCAGAATAGGATTCAAAATGACGCCAGAGTCTATGTTACTGTTTGAAAAGAATATTCAGCCATATCTGAGCAGGTTTTATTTATTAATTAGAGGTCAAAGCCATGGAAAAGATTAGCCCCGCCCCAAGTCTTGGTAGCTTAGTGGCAGGTCATCTAGGGCCCTGGAGTCTCCCTTTCAGCTGTCCCTCTGTGTGATATTTTGGAGCTGGGGTCATGCCTTACCTGCCTCCTCCTGGGGCCCTATCTGCTGAATACTATGACAGCGGGCAATAAAGGGAAGTTAGCATCAAAAGGCAGCCCTTCTCTTTATGTAACATAGAAATGACCCTTTCTTTATTTTTGACTGACCACAGCTACCTTAGTATTAGGTTAGCCTTGGTTACAGACTGGGTTTTGGTTTTGGTGATAAGTATGACTTTTGTAATTCTTTGAAACCTCTGCAATGCCTCTCAATTGCCCTATGAACAATGTAAATTTGGGAGTATAACTAAATGCAGATCTTCACAGATTGGAGTTTGAACTTGCCTCTTCAGCAAGGGACTGGGACGGCTCTTTATTACTACGGGATGTTTTTCTCATCTTCTAGAGCTTAAGTAAAAAAAATCTAGTTTCTCTTTGGGTAGTGAGGATGAACTGTAGATACTTCTTCACAAGCTCAAGGAAAACACATTAGACTTTCCTAGTCATAAATGAAGTCTCATTATGCTACAGGAGAAAACAGAGTTTTAAAAGTAACTATACTATCTAACTCTTTTTTAGTTTTATCACTGAATCTTGAATAATAGAACATAAGCAGTTGTTCGGATTTAAATTATTCTTCCCTCTTGAATTACTGTTCAACACCCTAAGATCACCATACGTATTATTTCAGAAAATGAAGAGCCTTAAAAATTGTCTCAGAAATTTTATTTCCTTATATTATAATTGAAATTTGGTAACTTCCCTCAAGATTAATAGAAAAGTTGTTCTAAAATCAACAAAACATGTTCACTTAATTTTTTTCCCCCACACTGTGGGTAGGAGCTAATATTTACTGAGGGTCCAGCACATGCCAGGCATTTTACTTTACTTAAGCCCATGCTCAGTATATGTGGTGAATATTGCTTCTTTTTATTTTATTGGCAAAGAAATGAAATCTCAGAGGCATTAGACAAATTACCCAAGCCTACCCAGGCCCTAAGAGGAGTCCAAACTGGGGTTATTCTGGCCTAAAAATAATGTGCTTTGCCCATCACAATACCACAAACTTTTTAAAATCTTGATCATTTCCACATTTCAATTAATCATCAGCATCAATGACGCACTTTAAAAGAGGAGGAGTATTTTTTAAAGAGAGACCTATTTACTCTTTTGGTCGGAGGCGTAGAAATTATGCTAAATACTATGCATAACTTACTTTGGCAAGTGCAATGGTTAAAACTAAGTACTAGTGTGCTTAAATACTTCCTTATTCAACAATTATAATGCAGATTAAAGCCCAAGTGTGAAATGTGAACCTTTGTACCCTGAGCCCACAAGGGTCATCCCCTCCTTGTGGACCCAATGCACAAAGTACAGTTGCCTGCACCTCCGAGTCCTCTTATGAATGGCTGGGAGGGATTACACAGGAATCAGCAGGTGAGAGGCATCAAAGGTTACAGCTCACAGTGCCCTTGACCCTCAGTCGAAGGCGGAGACTCAGAGTAGCTGTCAACAGAATAGAAACCATTGTATGAGAGAATTGCTTAAAATACTTCAGTTGCTCTCTGTGCATAGCAGAGGCACTGTTTGTGGTTTGGGAAGCTATAGTGACAGTTAGAGGCTGTTGTAGCAATCCATGAGTGTATGTACTCATGTATATCTGTAATGTGGTGTGCTTTCTTATCTTCAAGAGCATAGTTAAAACAGTTGGATTATGTTGATAAAATAGACCCTATAAGGAAAGTGCAAGTTTTGACATTTCCTCATTTTGTAGTTTGTGTTCAGTTGGCAATGTGAGTATTAATAGTGAACAATGTTAATGCCTGCATGTGAGGTGAACCTGCCAGTTAAAAGATGATAAATTATGGATTTATTATTCTTTTTCTCAATCTCTTGACAGCTGTGAGCAAGGCTGTTCCAAATTACCACCAAATGGTAGAAAGTTTATTACTTCCCTGGCCAAATAAAATACAAATACAATTTCACCCTGCAAAAATATTATTAAGCTAATGTTGCAAAAGCCTTATTAATCTTATTATAGTTAACAGTGCATAGTACTAAAAAGACAACTTGGGAAATTCAAGACAACTTGATTTTTAGAACCTAACAGTATCTAGAAAATCACATATTAAATGTCTAATAAATATTTGTGAACTAAATATACATGAAGACACTATTAACATCTTTCCAAGGGAAAAGTACCTGGCTAATAACTTTTAATAAGTTAAGTGCTCCTAATTAGGAGTTGGCATTTATAGTAGGGAGATGCTTTGTGATTTCACATATGTGGAGACTGAGAGACAGATATTTTATTGTAAAATAAAGGATGTATTGTGAAACAAAGGAGATGGTCAGAGTAGGGTGGGTAAAGAAGATAAATTAGGAGGAGAAAATAAAGTTTATTACTTTAAATTCTTTTGTAATGTCTTTAATAGAGACACATTTTAAGAAGAATTTTGTTCACGGCTACGAAAGACATTCATAAATGAGTCAGAGAAGAAAAAATAGAAAAGGTAGTGAATTATGAAAATGGGCAAAGTGAGAGGAATAAAAATTATATAAGAAAGGTAAAAGAAAAATGTCTAGAAGAAGAAAAGTATTTGTAAAATAGTTGTAAATCTTCTGCCCTTTCTTCAATCTTGAGGATCCTTTGGTTTCATATTCTCTGCTTTTTTAGACAGGATGTACATTTATAGACTGTTTACTTAGTAACTGAAACCTTTGCTTTTTTCCTCTTTGAACAAATCATGAAATGTAAAGTTAGAAGGGAGAAGTTTGTTTTAGCTACTTAAAAATGTAAACCTCATCTGGGGGCAGAGTAGAGATTCAAAATATTCTTTAATAACCTAAACTGAAAAAACTTTAAAACATTTAGGCTTTTCTTATTGGCTATTAAGATTTCTTAGAACTTACTCTGTAAAATATTTTGTGATATTAATGACATTTGAGTGAAAGCCACTTCTAGTACCATTAATGGCATTTTTATGTATAATTTAGAATTCTTTCTATATAGAAAAGTCTAAGGAAATCATGAATATGTTCCCGGAATTGGAAAATCGTCTGTCTGCTTGAAAACTGTCTCTGGCAGCACTGTAGCAGAGGGGTAAAGTGGTCTGGGCTGGAGTCCCAGCTCTGCCCCTTACTGTCCAGGTAAACTTGGGCAAAGTCATTTCTCCTCTGAGAAGGTACTCTCTTTGAAGATACTATCTCATTTGGTTGAACTATAGAATAAATTTACAGATGCAAAGAACTCAGAAGAATGACATAAAAGAGGTATTTAATAAATGTTATTCTGACACATTATCCAATATAGAAACAAGTAAACATCACTTCAAAACATAAAAACAGAAAGCCATTTAAAAAACAAATAAATATATTTGTAGCCAAAAGTGAAGATTATTTCTTAAAACGAATATATATATATATTCCTTTTTTGAGACAGAGTCTCATATTGTTACTCAGGCTGGAGTGCAGTGGTATGATCTCAGCTCACGTCAACCTCTGCCTTCTGTGATTCTCAAGTAATTCTCCTGCCTTAGCCTCCTGAGTAGCTGAGACTACAGGTGTGTGCCACTACGCCCAGCTAATTTTTGTATTTTTAGTGGAGACGGGGTTTCACCATGTTGGCCAGGCTGATCTCAAACTCCTGACCTCAGGTGATCTGCCCGCCTCAGCCTCCCAAAATGCTGGGATTACAGGCATGATCCACCATGCCTGGCCTAAATTCTGTATTAAATCTATCAGAGTATCTTCCACATAATAGCAGTTCAGTAAATATTTGCTGAAGAAATCTGGGTAACTAAAAGAATAAAATATAAACCTAGAGATCTTCACCGAAAAGTATTATTGAGATCTAATATGAGCTTATAAATGCATTAGGTCTATTTTGATTGAAGAAGAAATATAAGATGTAACCCAAGCTCTCAGAGTGGTTTCAATTAGTTGAAGAGAGAAGACCACATATATAACAGATATGGGGATTATCTTTTGCACATAACAGGTTCTTAATAAATGATGAAGTATTTGAAATGATTGAGTGAAAATATCTGAAATAATTATAAATGATAACAGCAATTTAAGGCACTGTAAGGTAGGTGTTCTGGGGATAAGAGCCAAAGGGTTGATGTAGTTCACAATGCAGGGCTCAGGCTGATATTTAAGGAATATATAAATTTAAGCCTGTCATTCTCAACTCTGGTTGCACATTACAATAGTGAGTGCCCAGATCCCACCATAAGAAAATCTTATTTAATTGGTCTGAGGTGAAGCCCAGGCATTTATGTGGCATTTATGTGGTATAAAAGCTACAGAGGTGATTCTAATGTTCAGTCAAGGTGAGGATCTCTGGTATAAAATGGTCAGTGAGGACAGAGAAGAAATTCCAGGAAGAGTTAGAGGAAGAGGGATGGTAAAGGGGGATGATTTGTGTATAGGACCTTGAAAGGATGTATAGTGGTTCAAATGGGAGCTGTACTGAAGCTAGTCTAGTTTAATGTTGTGGTAACAAAGTCCCTGACTGGAGTAGCCTAGATAGGGATGGAAGTAATAGACATGTGGCTCTCTTATGTACGTGGGCTTTGATTTTTAGATACACCCAGCTTAAATCTCCTGGGAAAGGTTGCATAATCTCTATAGGCCCTAGATCTCTTATCTCTAAAATGCATAATAATTCTACTTCAAGTAGCTCTCTCATGAGGTGTGGGGACAAAACGACATGCTGAAAGAAAGAGATGAGTTCAAGATGAGTGGGAAAATGGTGATGTTCCCACAGAGGCAAGAAGATGAAAGTGCCTAAAAGGGAACAAAAGCAAGTCACATGCTTCACATATAGTCCTAGAAAAATAAATCATTCAAAAATTTATAAATAAAATACACTGTGGATTAATAAGCCGCTATTTTATAAAACAAATCTCACCTACCTCCCAAAGACTAGTAATACATTTTCCCTCAAAACTGACTCTACTAACTCAAAAATCAAATTAGAGATGTATGAGCCAACTTGGGCAAAATAAGAAATGACCCTCTTGAAAGTTTACTTAGTGTTTTTAAATGTTCCTATTAAGAAGCAGAAGTATGTAAGTCCCGTGAGAAAAAGCCAAATGAAAATAGGAAGTACTGAAAATGAAAGCCACATACGTTTTGTAAGAATTTATCCTTCCAAATTCTTTTGGTATACTTTTTCTACAACAAAATAATTGAAATTGTTAAACTTTCAAATGAATATAATCTACATGGCAGCATATATTAGTGCAGCTATTTTTAAATTGAGTGTAGTGGCTTAGAAACACATTAAATGATAATTAGGCACCCTTTTTGACTTAATACAAATAAAACGAAAAGTAATAAGTGAAGCAGAATGATCTAGGAAGAAGTGTTGATCTATAATTAAATTGGGGTTTTTAAAAATCTGAAGCTCATTAATTTACCAGGCCAACTTTTGAAATGGTCTCTAGGTATCATTGCCCGACTATATTTCTGTTATCTCCATGCATTGTTATGTACTGTCACTCACTTTATTGCCACAGAACTTTGATAAACAGACATGCAATGCCATTTCAAAGTAGAGAAGACAAGCTACAGAGAGGGATTAACTATCCCCTCAAAACATGCCTGGCTAAGCAGTAATAATGACGGGGCTGGAACACAACTTTCTTGAGTCTGATATTATTTCATTGTAGACTATCGTATGCATTTTAGTGGTCACCAACCATTTAAAATCAAATTCAGTAAAAATAATTATTCTATCTTTCTTCTGATTGTTATAACACAAGTGAAACCAAATGCATTCTCTTTATGGAATTTTGTATGACTTGGACTCTGATAAATGTTACTTTATAAAATAAGCAGTAGTTCACGTTTTCAATATGTGCAGAGCTCTAATTTTAGATAGACCCAGCTTAAATATTCTAGACAAGTGGCTTAATCTCTACATGCTTCAGATTTCTTGTCTATAAAATAGATAATAATTTATATTTTATATTTGTGAGGATTTAAGAATACATATAATGTTCTTAATATAAAATAGGCTCAATAAATATTATTTACATAATTTTGATGTTGAAAATAACTATTTCCTATGGCACACATTTACCTATGTAACAAACCTGCACTCCTGCACATATATCCCAGAACTAAAAATAGATAAATAAGTAATGATAAAAGAAAAAAATGCTAAAGTGAATTCTTCACATTGAAAAATGAAACAATGAAATAATATGATTTCATATGAAACCATAGGAAAATATAAAGCTCTCTATAAAAGGTAAATATATATACAAGTATAAGACTGTTATCATAATGATGGTATATAAAACTCTCATAATTCTGCTATAGATTTAGTATAGTGTACTACTAAACTGTACACTTAAAAAGGTATAAAATGTTATATTTGTTTTAGTTCAATTAAAATTTTATAAAATGAAAAAAGAAAACTAATTCATAACATGGATGTATTAATTTATTATTTATTACCAAAATTGCATTTTATAAAGAAAAATAGCAATCTATGTTATAACCAAAGATACTCTGAAAAAAAAATCAGGTTAAAATATGGAAAAATATTTCAAACAAAAATATGTGAAAAAATGAAAAGTACAATAAAAATATCAACATGCGTTTTTATGAAGCTAGACAAGTTTATTTTAAAGTTTATGCAGAAAAATACATACACAAGAATAGGGCCTGGCATGGTGGCTTATGCCTATAATCCCAGCACTTTGCGAGGCCTTGGTGAGAGGACTGCTTGAGCCCAGGAGTTTATGACCAGCCTAGGCAACATTAGTGAGGCCCTGTCTCTACAAAACATTAAAAAAAATAATAATAACCAAGTGTGGTCCCAGTTACTCAGGAGGCTGAGGCAGGAGAATCACTTGAGCCTGGGAGGTCAAGGTTGCAGTGAGCCAGGCAGTGAGCACTCCAGCAGGCTGGGTGACAGAGTGAGGCCCTGTTTCAAAAAAAAAAAAAAAAAAAAAAAAACACTAAAAAGAAAAGCTGTAAGTGGGAACTAGTTATAACAAATGTTAAAACCTAGTATAAATCTTTTATACTTAAATCTTTTTATACTATAAATCTTTTAAACAGTGTGTCACCAGCTCATGATAAAAAGACTGATGAGTGGAACTGAATGGAAATTCTAGAAATAGATCCAGGTACATATTGAACTTGGGTATGTATGTGCATATCTGTACATTTACATCTATTTCCAAGTTCTCTGCCAAACCTGAAAACCCATTTTTGGGGATTTCTCTCCTGCACTGACTTGGTGTTACTGTCCTGGCAGGTGAACCTTGATTTTATTCCATGCTTCTAGTGATAGATTTTACCAGCATTGTTCATTACAACTTTCTGTATTGATGGAAATGTTCTAAAATCCGGGCTGTCCATTAGGGAAGCCACTGTCCATATGTGACTATTGAGCCTTTGAATTAGGCCAATGTGTGACTGAGAAACTTAGTTTTAAATTCTATTTAATTTGAATTAATTTATGTTTAAATAGTCATACAAGGTGTGTGGGGACGCTACTGGATGATCCTGCCCTATACTCTAAGCTCCTCCAGGAGAGGTCCAAGTCTGTTTAGTTCACATCAATGTCTAGTACAGTGCCTGAGGGATGACTAGTCTTTTTATTTCCAATCCGTATTAATTCTATTACATATGTATAGTAGGAGGGCTGGTTGCACCCTGATGTTCAGCTCCAAACCAGAAGATTAAATGCCCCAGTGCTGGATGTAGATGCTTAGAAGAAGCAGAAGCAGCTGCTAAGGGTGGGGCGTGATCAGGGAGGAGAACTGCAGCTTGTAATCGGTATTTCTTGCAAAGGCTTTTCCCTCTGCAAAAGTTCACTCTAATTTACATAAACCTCGGAGTATTGTTTTTAGATAATAGGGAGTAAAAAACAAAAGCAGACATAAATATATTTATCCACCTGCCTCAAGAAAATGATAGCTTTCTTAAAATAGTATTTTCAGCCTTTCTCTGGAGAAATATGTCTTTGAGGAAACATACACTCTCAATGGTTTAAGTAAACACGTCTCAGGAAAGCAGAACATCAGATGGAGGGCTCAACAGCAACAAAAGGAGGAAATCAGAATTTTATAAGAATTTCTGGTAATCTAAAGATTGTTTAAATCAGATCTTCATAGACAATTTTGGGCAAAGTCAAATAAAATGTTAATGCTGGTATAGAGAGAGCAAATGTTCTATGGGGCCATAAATGACTGACTGGACTTTCAGCTTTCCCAGTCCCTCAGCCGAGTAAGGAAAGCTACTCAACTTCTCTGATCATTAGCTCGTTTATCCGCAAAAGAGAATTGTATTGGGTAAGTGTGGTTTGCGGGGATGGAAATGTGGGTCAATGGTCAGCAGAGGTGAATTCCCCTCTACTAGTGTTTCCTGTCACACTATAGCTACCCCAAAGAGGTTGTCGTACAGGGTTAAACAATGTGAGAGCTGGAGAAGGTTCTAGAAATCACCCAATCAAATGAGGAAATCGACTAAAGAGGCAAAGACAAAAGTGATACCAGCAGCAGACTCTAAAAAAAGAACATGGCAAAAGTCACCAGGCTCACACCTGCTCCATGCTCTGGGTCACCATCTTCGAAATCAGGACTCTGCTGAAAGTTCAGAGATGCTAACACTCAAGTGCATATTTCAAGTACAGCTTTCTCACGCTGTGATTTCCATTATTTGTTTTTCTTTAGTTTGTTAAGTGTGTTGCCAGAGTGATGAGATTTCTTTATTCGAGCAAGTGATTACAATCACTTTACATTAAAAAAAAAAAAAGTCTCAACATTATATAGTAGGAAGACCAGCTTTTTGCTCAGTCTTCTACAGTTTTCTCTCTTTCAATGAGGCACTTTGGCGTATCTTAAATTTCAATGAACACAAACAACTTTCAGGGTTTTCTTTCTTTCTTTCTTTCTTTCTTTCTTTCTTTCTTTCTTTCTTTCTTTCTTTCTTTCTTTCTCTCTCTCTCTCTCTCTCTCTCTCTTTCTTTCTTTCTTTCTTTCTTTCTTTCTTTCTTTCTTTCTTTCTTTCTTTCTCTTTCTCTCTCTCTCTTTCGTTCTTTTACTCTGGGTGGCCTCTTTAGCTTCATTGTCTTTTCTCTTCCTGATCATAAGACACAGCATACAGATGTCTGATTGTGACAAAGGACTTGTGAAATTACACATTACAGACAAAGAATAGTTATGTCAGTTATGAAATTTTGTATTTTATAGTACAGTGCAGAAGTGCAATATCAATGTGTAGATCAAATATTTGCTTAAAAGAAAATTCCCTAAAGTCATACAATTTGGAAATTCGTTCAGATTTGAGTATGCTTTTGATTTACTTTACAGCAAGTATAAAATCCATTTTATTTTCTCTCCTGTTTCCTGATTTGGGTACTTAATTTTACATAGGTAAACATCTACAAACCTTTCCTCGTGTCAAGTTAATTTTCTCATATAGAATTTCTTTTTAGCACAGCTACAACTTTATCTAATGAGAAATCATTTTAGGTCTGGTATTCAGATATAATAGAACATAAGAGAAAGACAAAGAACCATAATTTTTGAAATGAGGTAATATAACCTAAATATTATGTGTGTGACATGACAAAGAAAATAATATACAACTGATACTTTACCAAATTTTGGGATATTACCCCATTGTGTCACTCTGGAGACGAACACACAGAACACTCCTAGAAGGCATATGACCTGGGTAGTTTTATCATTATCCATTATTAGAGACTGTAGACCTATAAATATTATTAATGATGTGCTTTCTTTTTCAATGAGTCATCTGCTCTCACTACCCTTTTCTTTAGCTATTATTTCCCCAGTGTTCCTCTTACTTTTTTATTTTTAGGGTCTCTCTCCCTTTCTCACTCACTCATCTCATACCTGTTCCATATTTTATTTATTTATTCATTCATTCATTGTATTCAGAAAGAACTTATATGATGATAAGATTAATATTAATCATAAAGAAAGGAAGATTCTCAGAGAAGACATTCATTCACAGTGCTGAGTTTTTGCCTCTGTTTTTTCTTTTAAGACACTATTTGGACAAATTCCAAAATGAAACCTTCCCTTAACAATAGCTCTTTAAGTGAAGCTATTTTTTAGTTGATTTTCTCCCTTTATAATTTCATGGTTTAGAGCAGTATTTCTGGACACTTAACCTCTCCCTCCTTCTCAACAGGAATCTCTTTCTTTATTGAGAGTAACAAAGCCAGAAGGGAAAGCAGGTGTTCAAAGCTTCAGTGGCCACAACTGGAAAAAAAGAAAGAAAAAAAAACTTCATCCCCAATCTATCTAGAGCATAATCTTTTTAAAAATATGCTTTCCTAAGTATTATACTGTAGGTTTATTCAATTTGCTTAATTGGGAGTGCATACTACCTACAGACTTGCCAGAAAATTTCTGGGACATCCTATTTTTTCTCACTCTTGCTAATGAGAGGGAAGCCCTAGACAGCAAACTCCTATGGCACAGCTCAAGCTCTGACCCAGGGGTAATGGGCCTAACTAGAATAAAGACAAAGGGGCCTCCCAGGGGCTTCATCATTAGTCCTTTATAATCATAGTCTGTAGGAATCCATGGATCAGTAATCATAAGTCCAATTCTGAGACAACTTATTTTTAATAATATGAGCTATTTATAAAACCATAATATGGTATAAATTAAATTATAATACCGTAGGTCCACTACTTTTATTTTCTAAGTGGATGCAAAGTGATCTAAAATGATCTATAGAAATAATTAAACTTTGTAAGGTGGTAAATTAGTGAAATTAACTTGCTAATTATTGTGAGACATTGAAATATTAGCACTCTCCATTCAGATAGAAAAAATATTGGACGAATTAAGTGATGATCTTTTTTCTTATTTTTCTCCTATTTTTTGCTTAATTCTCTAAGAATTCCAAGATCTACATTTTTAAAATCTAGAATAAAGTATTTGATGATTTTCTTTCATTCAAAGTCAGTTCAGTATGCTTCCTTCATCAAGCACAGAATGTTTCTCAAACCAAGTTGCATTTCAGATGTCATTTTAAAAAATAACCTTTCATGTGTTAACATCCTGGGAAAAAAACTAAGTGTTCTCATATATTGTTGTTGGGAGATAAATTGTTGGAATGTCTGTGAAGAGCAATTTGGCAATGTAGATCAAACGGAAAAAGCACATAAAATTTAACCATGAAATTCCACTTCTAGATATTTATTTAGCCTCTACATATACAGGTTTATGTGCACAGTGATGCATATGAAATGATATTTACTTGTGCATTTTTATAATACCAAAAATTAGAAACAACCCAAATGTCATTAATAGAACTTGTAAAATAAGTTTTTCTATGTCCATAGTGTGGAATGACATAGACATATTAAAAAAATAAATAAAACAATAAAAATAAAATGATGCAGCTATTAAAATTATAATACCTAATATTTATTGAGCAGTAATAATTTATTAAATAAATACATAAATTCATTTAACCCTCATAATATCCCTATGATGTATATATATTATAAATCCTGTTTTATAGTTAAGAAGACGGAGAAATGGAGATGTTTCCTATAGTGATCAAGATAGAATGCAAGTAATACCTTATTAAAACCCAGTCCATTTTATACTGTGTTATACTATATAACAACTATCAGGTATCCAGAGTGTGTGTCCATTTGTAAGAGAAATATATTTGGAAGGAAAGAAGGGAAAGGACAGAATCTGCATTCTTAATTTATCTAAAGAATATAATTCTTTTAAAAGTATGCCTTCCTAAGTATTTTATTATTTGCTAATGCACAACATTTTTCTAATATATTCAATAAATAAGTATTTTTTCAATAGAAGTAAGGGTTTCCATAAGTCATGCATGGCAAAGCATCTGTAAAACTCTGCACTGTTCAATATGGTAGCCCCTAGGCACAGGCTGCTCTTCAACATTTAATATATGGCTCTTCCAAACTGAGATATGCTGTAATGGTAAAATTCTTCCCAGGTTTTGAAGACTTGAGTGTTGAAAGCAGAATGTAAAATATTTTACTAACACTTTTATAATGATTCATGTTGACATATTTTGATTTTATTGGGTTAAAGAAATATATTATTATAATATGTTGGCCAGGAATAGTGGCTCATGCCTGTAATCCCAATACTTTGGGAGGCCAAGGCAGGTGGATCACCCGAGATCAGAAGTTCGAGACCAGCCTGGCCAACATGGTGAGACCCCCCCCGTCTGTACCAAAAATAAAAAAATTAACCAGGAGTGGTGGCGGGCACCTATAATCCCAGCTACTCAGAAGGCTGAGGCTGGAGAATCGCTTGAACCCAAGGGGTGGAGGTTGTAGTGAGTGGAGATCACGCCATAGCACCCCAGCCTGGGCAACAAGAGCAGAACTTTGTCTCAAAAAAAAAAAAAAAAATCAGCTTTTTCTTTTTACTTATTTAATGTGGCTCCTAGAAAATTTAAAATTACTCAAATTATATTTCTATTAGACAACAATAATTGAATGCTTTCAGGTTTCATTGTACTTCACTTGCTTCTCCTCCAGCATTATTTCTCTAGCATGAAGATTCTCAGTCCTTCATGTACATTAGAGTCACCTGAGAAACATTCAAATAATACCTGGGCCCCACTACCAGAGGTTCTAAATTACTGTTCTGGTCTGAGGCCCCAGCATAACTATTTTTCTTTCTTTCTAATTTTTTTAAACTTTGCATTCTAATATGAAGCCATTGAAGAGAACAACTGCTCTAACTATCTGAGCCTGTTTGGGTTGTGCAAGAAACTTAATTTTTCAGAAGGTATGGTATTTCTTTTAATAGTATTTTAGATGCTAAGTTTTGCATTTCTTAACTAGGCAGGGACATTTATTTTGTTGAATGATGCCTAATATGTTGGAAGATTGGACTTTTTAACTAAAGGAATATTTTTTAAAAATTTAGTCTTTGCTTGGTTAAATTTGTTTAATCATTGTTGGAACAAAGAGCCTTATCCGTATTCCGGTTTGTCCTCCAATTTTGGCCAGGAAGAAGCATTTAAAGCACTTCGAATAGAGCAAATAAAAGTTGCAAATCTGTTTATATTATGACTATGATAAATTAAATGTAACCAACAGTACTGGCTTAAAGAATATGCCTTTACAAGTCACAAAAATAGATCTTTCTGGCCCCTAATATTCCCAGTGCTATAAAAATGGACTGTGATAAACATACTAATAAAATTTTTGTGCTCTTCTGGATAAGCTCTAGTTTTATAAAATGCCACTAAAAGTTGATTCTTATTATATGTCATTGTATTCCATGGAGCCGACGTTCAGCCTCTCAGTTTTTCCATCATTTTTTCATAATTTACTCTCTTTTCTGTCACAATGTTCTGCTTCGTATTTCAACTCTCATTGCTGATTGGATGGTAGTCATAAAATATGGGTGATTCAGAAAATAAGTAAATGAAATGAAATAAAATTGTGGCTTATAAAATTACCCAACTTCAAAAAGGAAAAAATTACTCATAGAATCTGGGATTTTTTCTGGAGTCTTTGGTATCAGCTACATAATTGGTTTCTGTTTGTAAAATACCAGAACCTAAACCATACAGCTCTCAAAGTTTTATTAACATTTAAGCTGTTAAAAACTTACCTCCTTTATGATTTTATTTTTTTCCAAAATACTAAAATTCTCTTATCAGTTGGCTGTATTGGCAAGTTAGAATATAAGTTCCTTAAGGACAGGCACCAATCTGCCTTGTTCACTACATTTCTTCAATGTCCAGTAAAATAACTAACATGCATTTTTTTTTTTTTGAGACAGGGTCTTACTCTGTTAATGAGGCTGGAGTGCAGGGGTGCAATCACAGCTCACTGCAGCCTAGCCTTGACCTCTCAAACTCAAGAGATCCTCCTGCTCTAGCGTCCCAAAGTTATGAGATTACAGACATGACCCACCATGCCTGGCTCATATGCATTTTTTTAGTGAAAGAAAATAGAAATTTATAACAAAATATTTCAAAGTACAATATAGCTCTGTTACAGTGAAATTCATTAATGATAAAGTGAAGCTGTAATTCAATCACTCTGAATTTTGTCCTTTTTCTGTCTCTGTTTACTCCCAAATAATTCTAAAATTAGGTTACTGAATAAATTTAAAATATAAAATAATTTTAAAACAAAAAATTATGTTCACATTTGGGGAAAATTTTCAAGCTATAATGTAAGCTTGGCCTACCAAGTATTCTTTCCATTGGCAATGGTAGCATGGCAGCTATTTAACATTTTGAAGCAGATACCACTACTGTTACTTTCAAACAAATTGTAGTACTATATTTACCCATGTGATAGAGGTTGGATGATTGTATTGAGTATGACCTAGCATTCCGCAAGCATACCTTGAGTTAAAGCCTGTGAGCTGCGGTACAGTCACTTCATCCTGTAAAGCCTGTTGTGATAGCATCAGCCTAGTTCTGAGCTTATAGGCAGTAGTTTAGAATCAAATGCTTTGTGAACTGGCTCCATTGTTATTGAACAAATGGATATAGGAGCAGACTAAAACATTTGCCAGTAGATTGCATGCAAGACCTTATTACCTTGAAATATTCCTTCATAAAAAAAGGTATGAATGTAAATTATAGACACTTGTAAAAAAAAAAAGCTCCATTCTTTTGTGTAGATGATATCTCAGCTGAAAAGAATTTGAATTTGTGAAAGGGGGCATGCAGGACTCAGTTGAAAAGAAGTGGAATTTGCAAAACAAGGCAGGCAGGACTTGACCGATTTGGTAAGCTATCATCACATAAGCTAAAAATATAATTTTTTGATCAAGTTAGCCTCTTGCAAAGGTTTGAAGTCAGAAACTTGGTAATTGTTTGCATAAGGTACCTCTCCCAGGGGTACAAAATGCTTAGCAAAATAATCCTAATGATTGCTGGGAATTACTCAAGCCTCTCTGTCATTTATCATTAATATATCTGTATGCATGTGCTTAAAAGTGAGTAAAACTTTCAACAAAGAGAAATCCATGCATGTATTAAATTTAAAACAAAAACTATAAAATTATCTCTTAATTATAGAATATAACTTTTTTTAGAAACTCCAATATTTTGGAAATATTTTGGAGACTAATAAATCCTAGGGAATATGCAGCTGAATTCTGAGCATTGTTTTCTGTTAAGTGGCCACAAAATAGTTACAAACTCATCTCCTGGGATTATAAATGAGCTGTGTTTGAATCATGATTCTCTCCCTTACTAGCTATGTGGTTATGAGCAAGTAGCATGACTTCTCTACCCTACAGATATCTTGTTTTTAAAATAGGAAAAGTAATAATACACACTCAATGTTGGAGCTGTTGCAGAAATTCATTTGGGTAATAGATATGAAGCAGCTAGAATAGCCAGTGTTCATTAAGTATGAGCTATTAATATTAATGATTGCTTGACTATGGAAAAGTATGTAACTATGCAAATAAAACTGTGCAAAATCCTTGACAATAAAAAGTTCAGCTCTAGCCATTAACTCCTCTGGCTGGAAGATGTTTTTGCACAGTCAGACTAGTTTGTTTTTGTTCTCTGAATTGCTTGCTGCTTAGTTACCTAGTTACTGGGGTTGAGAGCTAATATTCAGGGATGAATCCTAATACTCTTAGTTAACAAAAAAAGTCTATAAAAAATCTAGTGTTTATGTTATCATAATTTATCAAGAATTTGTGATCTTCCAGGTACTATGCATGAATAGTTTCATCTAATCTTTACAATAACTCTGTGATAAAAGTACTATTTTTATTCCTTTCATGGTAAAATAACTAAAGCTTAGAGAAGTTATGCAGATTATTTATTTATATTTGTGATTTTAAAAGTTAAACTTTTAATCAAACTCATGATTTCAAAATATTTTTGTATGGGATGAGGCTAAAGTAGCTACCCCAGTGGGCAATATGCCCTACGTAAGCCAAATAAATGTCATGGTGGTGCTCAGGCATACCTATTAAAACCTTTACAAGTTAAATGATTAGGATGTAAGTATAATGTAGATTGTTTGGTTGCTAATACGAATTTTCATATACCGAATTTCCATGTCATTATGCAGTTCTTTTCAGTGATGTACTACATATCACTTCATATGTGAAGTATCAATTATAAATTGCAGCTGGGACTATACACTCTTTGATTTCCTTTTCTCTTGAACCTATCATGGACCCGTGCTTTATAAATAAGTCCTTTAAGGCATAATGCTGAAGACATTGATGGAAATATAGGTGCTATGGTTATTGCAATGAAATCAGTCATGTGCTTTCAGAACAGTAGGAAGACCAAATTGATGAATCACCTGAAACCATCTGTTACTGTTACAAAAGCACCAGCTGCAAAGAAAATAAAAATATACAAATATATTGAAAATTATTTGAAATTTGGATTTTAGTAAACTGTCAATGAGTGTAAACGTCTTCATTAGATATAGTGTGTTTTGGTGACACTCAAAGTTCTAGTTAGAAAGCATTTTGTCTCAAACATCAGTTTTGAAATGTACAAAGACTACCACAGGAAGCATTGAATTTTTAAAAGCAAAGCAGGTGGATATTCAGGTACCACAGAAACATCAGCACAGAGTGGGGGGAGATGAAATGTCAATGTTGCAGAAGCACTGTTTGTAATGTTGGTTTCTATTGCCCAGGTTGGTGATACTCAACTGGTGAGACACCAAATCAGCTGTAAAAACAGTTGCAAGTGATGGTCAGTGGGACAAGGCAACGGGAAACAATATCTGATGGGGCAACTCCATCAAATACAACAGTTCATCAGACAGTGACGATACAACCTAAATGTAGAGCAGTGTTTATTATCCTGAGTACAATGAAGTCCATAATATTCACTGGAGACTGGAAGATGAATTCATTGACATTAGCAATTCAGCTGATCTTATCATGTTTGTCAGATATGAGCTGAATAATAGGTTCCAAGAAGACATGTTGTTTGGCCGATCTTTGTTAACTCTTACAACTGCAAAAGAGATTTTAAAATTATTGATAATTTCTAGATAAATAATGACATGCAAGTGATATATTGGTTATGCACAGATGGTGCTAAGGCAACAGTATCCAGTAAAAATGACTTGTTCCATGTATTCAAGCTATTGTACTGGAAACAACATCTACTCACTATCCATGCATAGGGGAAGCTCTCACCACCAGAGAAGCTATTTAAAATTTAAGAAACAGACATCATGAAGCTATATAAAGACTATTAACCATGTTAAGGACTGCAAATTGAATTATCTACTTTTTCTCTGTTTTGAGAAACTATTAGCATTGATTACAAACAATTACTATCTTTCACAGTAACTTGAAAAAAAGTCATGTCTTTGGTAACAAAACTTACACAATGTATAAGAGTACACGCATAATTTAGATTGGCTTTGCCAATCAGCATATTGAGGTTATATTTTGTCCTTTAAACAACCTATAAACTTATCATTTCAAGGTAAGCAAATTTTCACTATTATTCCACATAAAATTGAAAATGAATGTGATGGTTGAAGATATGAATCTGTGGGATGCATACCCTGATTGGAGTAAACTGAATTATTATATTGCTCTGAATGAACTTATTTAAAAATTCATGAGTAGAAGTAACTGAAAATATTCTGAAAATTGGGAACATTCACTTGATAAATATCTCCAAGGAGAATGACTTTGGTGAATGGGTGAGTGCCACATTTTTCCACATTACCAAATATTACTGAAATATTCATATTAAAATGAATTCTGTAAATGGGGTCTACTAAAAGTTTGTTGAGCCAAAGTTATGGAATGTTATTGCATTGTGATCTATGAAGTGGCTCATCTTATGTCTGCATTAGGATATTTGTAAAGATTTTGAGGTTAGTACATGTTGTCAATTTTTTTGTAAATTTTCCACAGACACTTAAAAATTGGTGAATCCACTCTTTGTATAGAACCCATGATATAGCTATTAAATAAATGTTTATAATATTATTCATGACCTCTATATTATGAATTTTTATCTGGTTGTTCTTTCAAAGCCTGAGGGAGCTAATGGTCAAGTTTCCTATTACTCTTCTGGTTTTTTCTTTCTTATTCACTCACTCACTCACTCACTCACTCACTCACTCACTCAACAGTTCTGCTTTGTAAATACTTGCTAAGTTACTCAGCATATTAAGGTTACAATAATGCTACCTTCATCATAGACTGTAGCCATCTCTATAACAAGTTAAACTTTTTGTTCATAAAGAATGTTTAACCTTGAGCTCTGCATTGTTTGATTTTAGTATTGTTTTCTATGCTTTGTTTTTGTTTGTATCTTTTATGTATACATTTATCCAACATTTTATTTTTGTCTACTCTGAATTGCCTTTGTCTTATATATCTTTTGCAGATCTTTCATAAGTAGCATACGGATATTCATTTTTGATCAAATTTGGGGAATCTCTATTTCAATAATGAAGGTATCCTACTTATTTTTATTGTCATTTTTTATAGACTGGTTTCTTTCTGTCTCTTGTTTATTTTACTTTTGTCTTTTAATTTATTACATCTCACTGCTTCTTCCTTTCATTTTTCTTAAACTGTATTATTTCAGATTTTCTTTTTCTTCTTTAGTAATTTTAAAGTATAAGATTTGTATTTAAATAGGTTAACTGTTAAATCTTTTTGAAAAAGGCCTTAAATGTTTATTTTTCTAAATTATTAGCTTCAAAAATTAATTAGCCATACCTGTGATCTCACGGCAATCCCACCTTCTCAATAGAGTGATGCTATTTATCCCTCTTGACCCCCCCTTTTTGTTTATTATCACTATCTCTTCAATTGTATGGTTCTTATCATTTTTTTAAGTATGTTCTAATTTTATCCATAAAAAGAAACTTCTTCACTTGACTATACATCCCTGTCCTGCAACTGCTTCATCTCCTTCTCACTACTACTTTTCTAGAAAGAATTGTCAATTCTAGCTGTCTTCATTTCTCACCTCCCTGGGCTTCTGCCACATTACTCCCTGGATTTTCCTTTTACCTCTGGGAGGCTGCTTCTCAGTCCTTTTTATAATGCCATCCTCCTCCACCAGACCTAGATGTGTGTAATTCCTCAAGGGTTAACCCTAGGTCCCTTATTTCCTCTCTCTGGGACATTTATGCCAAGAGTTTCAAATGACACTATAAACAAATGACTTGCAAATAGACAACTCTAGTCCCAGGCCTCCTCTCTCCCCACCCCAGGACTCCAGATTCATACTTGCAACTGCCTTCTTGACATCTCAAGTAACTGTCAAAAGTGCCTTACAATCAATGCATCCATAACCAAATTCTTGATTGTTCTCCCTGAACGAATTTATTCTTTCATCCCCGAACAAAGAGAACTGTGAGAAAGCCAAGAGTGAGTGATGAAAAGAGTAGTTGGAAAGGAGCTGGGAGAAGTGGCCCAGCACCTGATCATGTCTAGCCTTGGAGGTCATGGCAAGGACTTCGGATGTTACCTTGAGATGCAAAGCGATTTGAAACTTTTGAATAGGGAAATAACGATATTTGTGTTTGAAAGGGTTCCTTCGTCAATAGTGTGGGTGAGAGTGGAGAAGAGAAGCCAGTAGAAAATCTATCACAGAAGCTTAGGTAATAGATAACAGAGGCTTGAAAGAAAGTGGTAGAAATGGAAGTGATTAGGTGTGGTCAGATTCTGATACCTTTTCAAGGTAAAGTAAGCAATATTTGTTGATGGGTTAGATGTAGAGTATGAGATAAAGAGAAAACTCCAAGACAGCTCATGAGATTTTTGTTATCAGTCTCTAGTGAGGGAAACTTAGAGAGAAGGACACATTGGGGAAGGAACTGGAATCAAGAGTTGAGTTTAAAATCTGCTGATTTCAGATGCTTATTAGACATCAGGTGAAGATGCTGAGTGGGCATTGGCATTTACAAGTTAAGTTCAGAGTAGAGGTGAGACCAGCAGATATAAATTTGGGAGACATCAGCATATATAGATGATAATTAAAAACATGTAGGAGTCAATGTAGATTGGAGATGAGAAGAGATACACACACTAAGCAAAGAAAATTGGTACAAAATGGGCTTCCTCTATTTTTGTGGCAGCCACCTCTGATTAGTATTTATTTAAAACAAAGAAAACATACCTTCAGGTAGGGGGTTGGTCAATTTTCTTTCATAGCCTTACAATTTAGTCCCCACTTCTTCATATTAGAGGCTTTAGAAAGAGTCTCTTAATATAAGCTGGACCCTTCACAATATTGAGAATCCAAGTCAAGAGAAGCTATGCCACTCCTGGCTTTGAGTTGGATGGGGGTCATGCATTTCTCTTCTCCTAGCTCCGATAGGGAGTTTAAGAAAGCTATTGATCCACACCAAAAGGAAAAGTTCTCCAAGGTTGGTGGTTCTTATCTCCCCCATGGCCTGCCCTCATGTCAGCTCTCATCCCTCCTAATCTAGATATTTCAATGAGTACCTAATTGGTTTTGCCAAAATATATTTCATTACTTTCAGTCACAATTCATTATTCTCTTAAGAAGATCAGTAATATTTTATTCCATTTGGTCCCATCTTTGCTATATTTAGCCATATTTAATTTAGGTATGTGGTTTTCATTTAGATATGTGGTTTATTAATCTTGTTCCCTGGTGTCAGACACAGTTAAGTTCCTTAATAGATACAACCAGCCTGTGAAAAAACAGGCATATGGATGTTAAGTAAATTTCATCAAGATCACATAGCTAATAAGTGAGACCTTGTTAGACTTTGCTTTCCACAGAGTCACAGAAAGTGATTAATTTCTAAAAGATATAATATTCTTATTCTTATGTTTCAGATATTTTTTGTTGATGTGACAGAATTTTTAGTTTTTTAGAATAAAAGTGCAAAAAAATCCAAGATATCATCATCATCACCATCAACAATGTTATAGGATTACTTTAAAATATTCACAACCATGTTTCAAAGATGCTTAGATTTTATAGATAACTTATTGGCACATGTGTATGTGATCTGTGAGTTTTGAATTCTGTAGAAATATAAACATTTTACCTTAGTAAATACCTGTTTGAGGAAACAAAAGGGTCTTCACTTCATAAAGTTTAAATTCATAAGCATAGTATATAAGCTCTCCATGAGCTGAATCCTACCTAAATCTTCAGCATTCTCTTTGCTGGTCTCATGCTGATGCCCTGCTCACCAATGTATTTAGTTACTCACATTCTTTAAACATAACCAGGCTCTTTTCTCTCTCTATGCCTTTATTTGTATGTTCCCCACTTCTTGGAATGCTCTTGGCCTCATTGTTTCCTGTGAAAAAAAAAATTCTACTCCTCTTCCAAAGCTTAGTTCAAGCATCATCTGCTTATGAAGTCTTTCCAGTCATTATTACTCCTGCTTGTACCCTGTAAATGCCCAAAATGTAACAATCATTACATTTTACGCCATTCATTTCTTTACATTTGTTTCTCTCCCATTCAATTTTGAGCTGATTCAGGGCTGAGATACCATGTCTGATTAATATTAGTGCCCCACAGCATTTCAGTAACATAGATGTGCTTAATAAGATTTTGTTATATTCAGTGGTAATAGTCAAATTTTTGAATATCTTGTTCAATACTGAGCAAGAAATGACCAATCTGAAATGATCAATTGAACATCTAAAGGGAAACCTTACTGGGTCATATTTCAGCCCTTCAGATTTCAGCCCTTCACATTTCACTTTATTTCCATTATATGCCTTCTTTCTTTATAATTTTGATCTCTGTGGATCTGGTGAAATAATATATAATCAATGATTTTATAGTTAAATACATAGTTCTTTTCAAAACATATTTTTAAAAAACAGTGCTGGTCTACACTCTCTTACCTGTCCTTTATAACATGTCAAATTCCATGACAAAATCTTACCAGATATTTATATTAACACATCTTCCAAATTATTTAAAAGATCATTGCTTTTTCAATTTCTAAAGTGAGAGTTTTGGCACTCTTCCTGTACTTCTTATAGGGAAGTGCTTTTTTCTTGCCTCTGACACAGCTGAGATCAATGAAATTATAAGCCTTTTATTGAAAGATTATTTATACAGAAGTCAGAACTATCTTAGCCCTTGACAATGTTAAATAAAAATCCACTAACTGACAGTTGATATTCCACATTATGCAAGGTGAGAAACCAGCCTGTAAGACCAAAGCAACTGTGCATGCAGGTAGGAAAAGAGTTAAAGTATGCAAAGAAGGTGCTCTTTTTTGGCCTCCTAGATTTAGAGATGTTCTTCTACTGAACGCACTTAACTAAACAAGAGTTAAGCTGAAACTCAAGTGAGTAAATGTATGATGATATTTTCTGTGAATCCCCAAAGAAAAGTATACAGACATATGTTTTAGCCATTATGTTATAAGATAGTGCCTTTTAGAATTTCAGCGTGTGGGACCACAAATCATCTGAAATGTTAGTTAATCTTGAGAAAGTATTTACAACAATCCAATGCCCCCTAGAATAAAAGAGAGCATTTAATGTGGCAGACCATGATGGAGGGGAGGCAATAAAAGAGAAAGCACAGCTTGAAGTGCAGTATAACTGGGTGACTTACACCTCCCTGCTGAAAGCAGCAGACTTGCAGTTACGGAACTGCTAATCTGTTCTACTGTTTTTTAATCAGATGTTGGCATTATCTGCCACTAATTGCTTTTTCATTTCCACTTGTAATTATTCCATTGCATGTTTGTAGTGAGAAGCTGAAAATGAGGCAGATCACTGAGAAAGAATTAATTGTTAATGAATAATCATCAGTAGGAAGCCAATTTCATTATCTTCAAAGAGGTAGCCAGAGATTAACCACTAGCTGTGGTTCTCCTACTTTCTGTGCATGACTGTGAAGTAATCACAAATAATCACGCCCTCCAACTTCATCAATTATTTTCTATTATGTGGATTGATACCCATTTTTGTCTTTGTTGTTTAATGATAATGGCCGTATTCATGCTGGGGAGTGCTAATTGGAAGGTGTTACATTCAGTGGGCTCTAGGCCTAATTATTAGAGCATCTTCTTCATTAGCACATGATCCTACAAGGGTGGCATGGTGGGAGTTACTAATTTCTCCAAGTTACAAGAATATCATGTTAGAAAACTTTTGCATGTCCTTACGCCAAGTAACACAGAAAATCTTACGTCTCGTCAAAGTTGTATAGCTACCAACAGAGACTTTCTGTTTAAACAAACCAAATAGGATGTTTTAATCTATTAGGAGTCTTTGAACACAAAGCCTCTTTCTGCCCTAGAAGCTGGATATGCCCAGGACTGTTGATGAGCTTTTGCTTCTACTTTGTTTCTGCCATTTACCAACGCGCATTCTTTAGAACGGCTTGCACAGGCCCCTGGGGTTATTATAGCTCCTGTGGAACTTTGCCATCTATTAATGGAAACATCATGAGATGAGTGTGAAAGTCAGGACAGAAGTGTCCTAATATTTGTTACCTCAGTGACTGAGTGACACTACTGCCCACAAGTAGGGAGAAATAAATATTTTTCCCTCTGTGACACCTTCACAATTGCTGGCTCACCTTGTCCTTTAACAGAGAAGTACAATTCCTTGCTGACAGACTTGCTGTAGCCTCAGAAACTCCTTTGGCACAAAACCCCATGTCCGGCATAGCATAGATACATTCACCTGCCTTCCTTCTCCATAATGATTTTTTTTTTTTTATGAGTGTGACTAAATAGGCTGCCTCTCTAATTTGAAATGCCTTCCTCAGCACTTTTATTCTTTCCCAGGCACCCAAGGCCCTATTTCCAACTAAACCCAAAGATGAAGAAAGCCATAGCATTCAATAATCTCAAGCTTAATAGAATACAGAACATGTTTTTTAAACATCTCCAGGAAGAAAAACTCACAAAAGGATAGAAATATCAGGTGTAATTGAAAGAGTGTGGGCTTTGAAATTAGTTGTAGCCATTTTGTTGGTGTGTGAGCTAGTGTAAATTATTTAACCTCTTGGAGCCACAGTTTTCCTCATTAGGTTGTCATAAAAAGTAATGAGCTATATGAAATATTATATGTAAAGTGCTAAACCCGGGGTCTGGCACCTAATCATTGCTTGCTTAGATAGGAGCCGATCATGAAGAACCTTAAATATCTGAAGTAACAAGTTTTTACTTTGGAGGAATATGAATGCCCTTCAGAGGAGAATCACCAAAGAAAAGGGATAATGGAAGCCTGAAAATAGTTTAGACATTGATTAAAAACATCCATCAAGAGAAAGGAGTAAAAAAGATAAAATTGCAATACACCAACAACAGCCAAACCAAGAGTCAAATCAGAAAGGCAATCTCCTTCATACTGCTGCAAAAAGAATCTAATACCAAGGAATACAACTAACCAGGGAGGTAAAAGGTCTCTACAAAGAACTGCAAAATGCTGCTCAAAGAAATCAGAGAAAACACACTAATGGAAAAACATCCCATGCTAATGGATAGGAAGAATCAATATCATTAAAATAGCCATACTGACCAAAGTCATTTACCGATTCAATTCTATTCCTATCAAACTACCAATGATATTCTTCACAGAACTAGAAAAGAATATGTTAAAATTCATACAGAACCAAAAAAGAGCCCAAATAGCCAAGGCAATCCTAAGCAAAAAGGACAAAGCTGAAGGCATCACATTACTCAACTTCAAACTATACTACCAGGCTACAGTAACCAAAACAGCACGGTCCTGTACAAAAACAGGCACATAGACCAATGGAACAGAATAGAGAGCCCAAAAATAAGGCACACGTATAATCACCTGATCTTCAACAAAGCTGACAAAAATAAGCAATGGACAAAAGACTTCCTATTCAATAAATGGTGCTGGAATAACTGGCTAGCCATATGCAGAAAACTGAAGCTGGAGGCCTTCCTTACACCATATACAAAAATCAACTGAAGATAGATTCAAGACTTAAATGTAATACCCCAAACTACAAAAAAAAAAAAAAAAAAAAAAAAAACCTGGAAGACAACCTACGTAATGCCCGCCTGGACACAGGAATGGGCAAAGATTGCATGACAAATGTACCAAAAGCAATTGCAACAAAAGCAGAAATTGACAAGTGAGATCTAATTAAACTTAAGAGCCTCTGCACAGCAAAAGAAACAATCAACAGAGCAAACAGACAACTTACAGAATGGGAGAAAATATTTGCAAACTAACATAAAGATCTAATATTCAACATCTATAAGGACCTTAAATAAATTTATAAGAGAAAAACAAACCCCATTAAAAAGTGGGCAAAGGACATGAACAGACACTTTTCAAAAGAAGACAAACATGAGGCCAACAAGCATATGAAAAACTCAATATCACTGATCATTAGAGAAATGTAAATCAAAACCACAATAAGATACCATCTCACACCATTCAGAATAGCTATAATTAAAAAGTCAAAAAATAAGAGATGTTGGTGAGGTTGTGGAGAAAAGAGAAAACACACACTGTTGGTGCAAGTGTAAATTTTTTCAATGATTATGGAACTTGGCAATCATACTTGGCAATTCCTCAAAGAGCTAAAAGCAGAACTACCATTTGACCTAGCAATCCCATTACTGTGTATATACCCAGAGGAATATAAATCATTCTACCATAAAGATATTTGCCTGCAAATGTTCATTGCAGAACTATTTACAATAGCTAAGACATAGAATCAACCTAAATGCCAATCAATGATGATTGGATAAAGAAAATGTGGTACATATACCACGGAATACTATGCAGCCATATAAAAGAATGAGATCATGTCTTTGTGGGAACATGGATGGAGCTGGAGTCTATCATCCTTAGCAAACTAATTAAGGATCAGAAAACCAAATACTGCATGTTCTCACTTATAAGTGGGAGCTAAATAGTGAGAACTTTTTATGAACACAAAGGAAAAAACAACAGACACTGGGATCTACTTGAGGGTGAAGGGTGGGAGGAGGGAGTGGAGCAGGAAAGATAACTATTGGGTATTGGACTTAATTCCTAGGTGATTAAATAATTTGTACAACAAACCCTTGTGACAAATTTTCACATGTACCCCAAAACCAAAAATAAAAGTAAAAAAAAATAGTGGTTCTACAGAGAAATATTAGCAATGTCTGAGAAAGACTGGGTTTGGAGGGTGAGAATGAGAAAAACACGTCAAGTGCTATTCTAAGTAGACTAGGTTAGAGCTGGCAGCTGCTTGATCATCAAGAGGGATACCACCATAGAGAAGAGGAAACTACACCTGTGAGAGACATGGACTGTCAAAGGTTGAGCAGAAAGGTTGAAATATCTTCTAAGTTTACTTAGTAGTCACTGGTGAATGGTACAAAGCCTCCCAACAACCTTGGTGAAAATCATCCTCAGAACTTTCCTCTTGAATATATTAATAAGATAATCCTTTTACACAATGACCTTTCCCCAGGCACAAAATAACTTTATCTTTCGTAGAAAATAACCCTAGACTCTTGGCTTATCTATTGTTAAATGAGAATTTGGAAAGGAGATGGTGAGAAGTAGGGTAAAGAGGATAGCATATACATAGCTATCCCATATTTTCACAATATTTGTAGTGTTACATGTGAGAAAAATGATTACCATGGGATGAACCTAATAGATTCTCTAACTTATTAATAGGCAACATTATTTTGGCATTTGCACATAGGATTATTCCAGGATGGCGAGCCATAACCCAATGCTATGGCATGAAATGTGTCTTTTGTATAAGTCATAATAACTAAGACCTCTTGTTTACACAACTTGTTTGTTTGACTTGTCTGACTTGTCTTATGTGTGTAAGGCATTTCACAGAGCACTGAACACACACTTCAGGATCCTGACCTTATTGTGATGTAGGCATTACAGGTGGTTTACTGATGACTGGTTGCTGTTGCCAAACATTTTGTTTCTACCTTTCATACCCTTCTCAGCAACTTGACTAATGCCTTTGACAAGAGAAGCATGAGAGAGAGTAAGTGGAAGAAAGCTGAACTCATCTTTTTATCAGAAGCCCACTCCCATGGTAACTAACCTACTGTCATGATAACAGCATTAATCCATTCATGAGGACAGAACCCTCAGGACCCAATCACCTCTTAGAGCCTCGCTTCTCAACACTGTTGCATTGGGGATTAAATTTCCAACACATGAACTTTGTGGGGCTCAATCAAACCATAGCAATAGGGTATGGGGAACATCCCAGTCCCAAAATACATTCTCTTCGTGACCTAGAGGTAGGAATCACATCCAACATGTTTTTATAGGTATTTCATATTTATGTAAAATAATGTTATACATTTTAAAGACTGTGATACTTTATTCATTAATTCATATATCTGATACTGTACTAAGGAGAAGATATGTTTTTTGCCCTCCAAAGTTTAAAATCATATATATTATCGTTTAGTGGAGGTCTTATTTCAGAGTGCTTTATTTGCTTATTTCAGAGAGCAAGAGAAACCCAAAATAGGGATTTTAGAGGCCTCTGAGTATTTTCAGGGATAAAAATAGTTTTAAAAACTAAATAATATTTTCTTATATGTCATGAAATTTTCTGAGATGGGAGTCCTGAACTTCAGAGTAAAACTCACAAATTATATTGCTCTTTAAAACATATAAAAGTAGGTGGGGCTACAACATATGAAAATAAAACTTGATGAAATTAAGGAAACTACTAAACTGTCTTTAGGTGACTTCATTCTGTCATCAACTTAGCCATCATATATTCTTACAAATCAAATCTTTCTAGCATTTAATACATTTTCAGTACTTTCTGTAAGAGATAAGAGCTCATTACATCCTGTACCTTTCCATCTGAAGTATTAGATTCTGAATCAAACATAAAGATTAGCAGATAGTCTCAGGAATGAAGCCATAACAGAAACTGCCCATGACAAGTGAAAACAATACCCCTAAAATGCCATTCTCTCATTTTGTCATCTCATATCAATTTTAATACCTTATGTCTCATCATAGAGTGGTTATACTCTGACACATTCCCTCTTGGTGCAAGATGACAGCTACTAAAATATAAATCACTGTAGAGAATTACTGGATTTAGAGCCAATTCTTCTAATCGAAAATAACAGCAATGTTAATTTCAGCTTGAGAATGATGGCTTTTGTATGGTGATATAATGGTACAGACTATAATAATGTCAACTACCGCAATAAAATATGCTTCAAATGGGCTACCTTTTTTACATTTAGACTAGGGTGACTTCTGTCACGTTTCTTTTTTTGGCATGAAACTGACAATCTATTAAATAAATATTAAACCCTAGCAGTCTTCAAAGCAGGCTGAACCATATCAGGATTTTAAATAACTTCATTAATTGCTTAACTACCTTTTCCCTAAATTCCTAAGGGATCTTTTGATGCTAGTCACTCTAATGAGTTACCAAGTGATTCATGACTTCAACCTGTTATCATGCAAAATACATTTCCAGTTGGAAATCTTTGCAGATGGTTTTGCCAGAAATTAGGTAGCCTTTCTAGACTTTAAAAAGAGCAAATTTCAGTTATATATTTTCTTATTTGGTTTTACATTAGTACTCTAAAATAATATCGTGTGTCCAAAAATTTAGTTCAGGCAATACATGATCAATTGAAGGGATTCTACTTGAATGGTAAAAGAGGATATGGAATTATCTGTGGATCAGTCATCCATGACAATTTTTTTACTACACACTGGCTAGTCTTTGCTTTCCTATAAACTTTCCTATTACTTCTCTCTTTCCAAAGTATTCATAGAAAACACACAATTTTTTTAGTAATCTAGACAAAACATAATTTGAAAGGTAACTATTTTTCAAAGGACAAGAAGAAATAAGCTTTTGTTTTTTAAAAGCTAGGTCTGTTTCTCTCCACTTGAGTGACACTCAAACATTGAATATTCTTTATTTTTAATGGAATATACTTTTATCATACTAGCAAATATGCATACTTAAAAAAATAGAGTAAAGTTAATAAAGAGCATTCCTGGAGAAACCCTTCTGGCAGCCCTCTGTTCTCTGTTGCAGTCTCGACTGGCTGCTCTCTAGGAGTGGTACAGATCCGCTTTTTTAGGATTTCCTTTGGCCTCTGCCCTGTATTGAATCACCCATTTCCAGTGTTCTGGAAGCTAAAGAGAAAAAGAAGGTTAGAGGAAATCATATAGATTTTCTTTTCATCTTCTTTATAGGAAGATGTCCTTGAGTCTGAGCCCTCTCTAGAGATTAAAGCTTCTAATTCCTGGAAGGATAATTAAGAGGTAGTTGCTTAATAATCAACTCAAATAATCCTCTTGTTTTTAACTCTAACTTTCAGTATCCAGTGCTTCTAATTTCTGAGCTTTTCTGGGTCTCTGTGTCATGAATCAATTCATGTTCCTGGGACTTAGAGATTTCAACTTTTTTTTTTTTTTCCATTTTCCCATTTGTTTACATTGGCTCCTCTTCTTTCTTTTTGTCCTTGTGCATCATGATGACAATGATTTTATTGATCACTTTAGTAGTGGTAAGGAATGAAGCAGTGATAAACAAATTTGTCTGCTATGTTAACTAGATGTTGATTATTTTGAAGCTTTGTCTTTTAGTCAGGCATTTGGGCAGTCAACAAACAGTAGGTCTACTGGGAATAGAAAATATTTCCAATTTATATAACAGAAACTCTCCAATTTATTTATAAATGTTTCAGTAATTTTTAATCCCTGCTCCACAGAGTTATAGAGATTCCACAGCACTTCCCTGGGGAACTACCACATAGGAAAGGATGTAAAAAGGCTGCTAGTGGGTGGGTCATTAGGCCACCAACCTCTCCTCCTACCCTAAATCTAAGAAACTCCATTTTTACCTGTTTTAGATAGATATTATATTTTATATAACAGTTTAATTTAAGAAAAAGTTTCAGAGATACAAAATGTTTCAACCCAATTTATGTCAAAACTTAATAAATATTCAATATTAATACTAAATAAGTTAAATGTAGACTATCTAGATCTCTCGAGAATGAGTGGCTGAGTTTTATGAGAACGTGTCATCTGATGACACTTTACTTGCAGAATTGCTCATTTTAATTGCTTTTTCTTTGCTATTACTAATATGTAGACTCTAGATTAGGCAGGCTCCTATATCGGTGTGTTACTGGTGGAGGGTGCCCAGGTTCTTGGCTTCTTAAACAAAGAATTGGACAAACACACAAACAAAAGAAAGAATGAAGCAACAAAAGCAGAGGTTTATTGAAAATAAAAGTACACGCCACATGGCTGAAGAGCCCTGTTACAGAAGTTTTTGAGGTTTAAATACCCTCCAGAGGTTTCCACTGATTACTTGATGTACACCCTATGCAAATGAACAGGATGAAGTAAAGTTATGAAGTCATTTACTTGGTGTATGCCCTGTGTAAATGAAAAAGATATTTCCTGTCATAGCTGAAGTGTTGCCATTTGATTCAGTTCTAGGAAGTCAGCATGAACTGGCTATGGGTTCCCTGCCTCCAGACCCTATTCTCTTGCCTCAAGTGCATAGTTGCATTCAAAGTAGATGTTTTTGTACCTTTAAGAGATGCTAAACTGGGACACAAAGTAGTGGCAAATTTCCTCAGACTGACTGCGTAGTTGCTCTATTTTATAATTGTATTATTTTTGTTTGTTTTTTTAGAGACAGAGAAAAAACTAGACAGAGTCTTCCTCTATAACCCAAGCTAGAGTACAATGGGGCCATCATAGCTCACTGCAGCCTCAAATTCCTGGGCTCAAGTAATCCTCCAGCCTTAGCTTCCCACATAGCTAGGATCACAGTTGTGTGCCGCTACATGCGGCTAATTTTTCAGTTTTTCGTAGAGATAAGGTCTCTCTCATTTTCTTCTTTTTATTCCTGTCTTCTCTCGTCTTCCTTACTCTTGTAATAGCTTATCCAGACGCGCCTTCTTTTTGCATTACCTCTCTAGCATATTCAGATATCACAATCACATCATTCATTCATTCCATTTATAAACTGTCAATTATTCCATGTTTCCCGGAAATCATCAGGTAATTGTTTCCACATATTTAGTGCTCACTTAAATACCAAAGAGTTTATTTTTCTGGGCACAGAGCCGTTTAACAACTTGATATATTTTCGGAAACCAGGATTGTTTTTCTTAACAGAGAATAACTGACAATATGGGAAAATAATTGATATAGGTTCTTCATTTCATATAGAACCAAGCTAGAGGTAGGTAAACACCTAATTTATTTCACAAAGAAGCAAATTCTCATGTCCTTCTTACTTTTGTTGTAAGTGTTGCCCTTGAGTAGAAGATAAGCTGTTCCCATTTATGAGCTAGTTCTTTGTCCATTCCTGGCTGGTATAAGTTCAGAATCCAACTGCATCTATGAAATTTGGAGGCAAGCAACTTATTCCTGACTCAATCGTTCACCAACTCTTAAATCATATTTTTATAATATATAATTTCTCAAATACAGAAAAATTATTGCTAGACATTCCATTTTATAAAGAGCCCAAATATTACATATTTGGAGGCCACTGGGTTTTTACAAAAAAAGACCTGTAAGCCTTGGAATAAGACCGAATTTTGAATTATTAAAGATTTGAAGCATGAATTCTCTGGGGTCATCTTTATGCATTTATGTACTCTAGGAAAGAAGCACACATACCAGTTGTTCATAATTGCTATACTATTGTCAAATAATGCTTGATGTTTTCTTATTCAAAGGCATACGAGTTATAAAAAAAATTGTATAATATTGAAAAAAGATGCTTCCAAATAAGAAGGGTGTTCATTGATATTTTACAACAAATTTTGCCCATAGGTTCTTTTTTTTTTTTTTTTTTTTCTTGAGACAGAGTCTTGCTCTCTCACCCAGGCTAAAGTGGAGTGACACGATCATGGCTCACTGCCACCTTAAACTCCTGAGCTCCAGGGATCCTCTTGCCTCAGCCTCCCAAGTAACTGGGACTACAGGCATGCACCACCACTTTGGCTAATCACTAAATTGTTTATTAGAGACAGGTTCTCACCATCATGGCCAGGCTAGTCTCAAACTGCCGGGCTCAAGCAATCCTCCTGCCTCAGCCTCTCAATTAGCTAGGACGAAAGGTGCATGCCACCATGCCCAGATAATTTTTAAATTTTTTGTAGAGGTGGAGTCTTGCCATGTTGCTCAGGCTGGTCTCAAACTCCTGGGCTCAAGTGATCCTCCTGCCTTGGCCTCCCAAAATGCTGGGAATACAGGTATGAGCAACCATGCCCGGCTGCCCATATGTTCTTAATTTGTGGACTATTTTATCACTCTAAAACAAATATTAATAGGTAGAAGTTCTATCATATATTTTCTTTTTTTTAATGCCAAAATGAATTCCTCCATGAGTCAAACATTCTGCATTATTTCCAGGTAAAGCCTTACTCAAATAATATTCATGTTCTTGATGCCGCTGCAGCCATTCCCATTGCTGTATCCAATTCAGTAGGGACTCAAGGTTTACACTGGGTTTCAGTGTCCTTTTGCTTTTTATATCTTTCACTTAGGATAGAAGATATCAGTATATTTTTTTCATATAGCATGTATATTAACAAACTAAATCATTTACTAGAACCCAAATCATACAGCATTTTTTTCTTAATCAGATAGAATAAATTAAAAACAATCAGGTATCATGTAAGTATGCAAATACAGCAAATGTGAAATGAATCCATTTGATCTATACCACAATTCACATTTATAGTCAGTGTTCAAACATAATTCAAATCCAGATGACAGCATTTTCGTCCAGTTCTGGTAATGTCATACTGTGGCTTCGCCTGAGCACATTGACTGCTTAAAACTGATGTGTGATGGTTGAGGAAAGTCATACATTTTGGTTTTCATGGTTTATGTGCTTCATAGTGCTTTTGCAACTGGAAAAATATATTGTGGCATCAGCACTCAAAAGGGCACCCATTCACTCACATCTTAGACAACTACAGCTTAAGTTTTTTAACATGTGGGCAAGTAGGCATTTTGGAGGATAAATTGTCTTTTCTCATAAGTTGTATTTTTTAAAAGGACTATAGTTAAATGGATAGAAAGAAAATAAGATCAAACAGATAAAATATTTATTTATTTATTTATTTTTATTTGTTTATTTTGAGACGGAGTCTCGCTCTGTCACCCAGGCTGGAGTGCAGTGGCATGATCTCGGCTCACTGCAACCTCTGCCTCCCGGGTTCACGTGATTCTCCTGCCACAGCCTCCTGAGTAGCTGGGATTACAGGTGTGTGCCACCATGCCCGGCTAATTTTTGTATTTTTAGTAAAGACGATGTTTCACCATGTTGCTCAGGCTGGTCCCAAACTCCTGACCTCGTGATCTGCCTGCCTCAGTCTCCCAAAGTGCTGGGATTCCAGGCATGAGCCACCATACATGGCAAAGATTTATTTTTAAAGGCTTCATCGGTTCTAATAATATAGGTTGGTACCACAGGATTTGATAAAAAGTATAAGGAAATGCAATGACTTTGGAGCCAAATATTACATGAGGAAGCAGGATAAGAACTCTTCAGTCATGTAGCAAAAACTGATTACGTACTCAAGTAATTCAAAGCATTTTCCAAGGTACTTGGGTACTTTGAAATAACTGAACATGATCTTTGATCTCATGATAGAAGGACATAGAAGTACTGAATAACAAAAAACAATTGATATGCGTATAAGCAGGTAATTACAATATTTGCAAAGCTGTGTAGAAAGAAAACAGTCATAGATAAAATTGGAGAAAGGAGAGGGTAATTTACTAGAAGATAAAACTTGATTCTACCTAAAACTCAGATATATGACTGATTTCTTTCATGAGCGCAAAAAGGAAGAGGAAGAACGTGATCCATGAACCACCATTGTTGCTGCCCATATCATTTGTATCCATTGCTGATAACAAAAGTGTGACAATACACTTAAGAAGAAAATAATTTGTAAAAGAAGAACCTCAAAGATTTTTAAAATTATAGAAATTACATTTCAAGCTATAAGAAGCATTTGTTTTATAAAGGGTGGAATATATCATATGTCTAGCATTTTTACAATATGACAAAAGTAAGTTTAATCATCTTCCCTTCCAACATGCTCTGTTTCCCATATTTCTTATCTCCAATCATTGTTATCACCATCCTCTAAGTTGTGCAGGTCAGAAAGGTAGGCACCATTCTTGATTCTTTCCTCTCCTTCAGCCTTGATGCCCAATCAGTTCCTGAGTTTTATACTTTCATAAGAATGTATGGATCCTTTCTGTTTTCTTCATTCCTGTTACTCTACTTCCATTGGTCCTTCCATCAATTTGGTCTTCTCCTTCTCTAATCCTCCATAAAGAAGCCAAGGTAATTTTCCTGAAGCACAGATCAGAATGGATCACTCCTAGTTTAAAACCTTTTAATGGCTCTTCATTATCCTGAGGATAAAGTCCAAAACCCTTAGAATGTTTCCCAAGCCCAACTTGACCTGGACTTCATTTGCCTCTCCAGCACACCCCTTGTGACTCTACGCCCCACTCCTTCCTCAATGTCAGCTGCAGTAATACTAGGAATGTAGCTGGGCACCCTTTGTTTCTGGGCTTTCAAACAAGCTATGTTCTTACACAAAATATTGCTTTTCTCTTCCACAACTACTATCATCTGCCTTTCCAATTTACTCACAGAGTATTCACCAGGTCCTCAATTTACTTGGGATTTCCACAATAAAGACGTCCTTGACTCATCCTGAAGTCTTTGGTGAGGGGTCAGTTACTGTGGTAGTAAGTGTTCCTTCTATTGTTGTTGCATGTTTACTTGTACATCTCACTCACATGTTGCAAATTCATTGGGAATAAAAATGGTATCTTTTTTATCATTAGATATATCCGCATCATGTAGCATGATACCTGGCACTCAATGAATATCTCTTGGAGGAATTAATTAATAATAGACATTTTATGTGTTCCTCTACAAAGTTTTGTTAAAAGGAAAGCAAAAACTGAACTAGTGTCACTAGACAAATCAGCCACAAGCCACATTAAACCTCCTTAATACCATTTGTACAGTACTTTGGTACTGTTCATACTGGACACTCTACTAAACACTATTTAGGCTAACTACAAGTGATGATAGCTAACATTTATTGAATCCATAATGTTGGTCAAGCACCATGTTAAATTATTTACAAATACGATCTTAATCTCATTTACTCAATCCAAAAGAATGGCAGTCATTCTTAATTTTTCTCTTTCCTTCACTCTGCTTCTAGCAAGTACTGTCAACTCTCCTTCAAAATATATTCAGAATTCATCCACTCCTTCACTTCTTTCCATTTCTTCTCTTATGACCCTGGTATAAACTACCATCGTTTCTTTTATTAGGTCAGGTTTATTAAGATATAGTTTACATACAGTAAAAATTTGTATGTTTAATTCTACAGTTTGATGACTTTTGATAAATGTGAACTGCTGCATAACCATCATCACAATGGAGATTCAGAACATTTCCATCATTTCAGAAAGCTTTCTCATGCCACTTTGTAGCCATTTCCCTCATCTCATTTCAGCCAGTGGCTATATCTGGTCTGTTCTCTGGTCCTGTAACAGTGCCATTTCAAGAATCTCATATAAATGGAATTTTGAAGCATGTATCCTTTTGTGACTAGCTTGTCACTCAGCATAAAAATCATGACATTTATCTATGTTGGTGCATGTAGCAGCAGTTTTTTTCCTTGCTATTGCTGAATAATATTATGTATTATGGATAAACCATAATTTGTTTATTTCTTTACCAATTAATAGATATTTGAATTGTTTTTAGTTTGGGGGTATTATGCAAAAAAGTTCTATAAACATTCTCATACAGATCTTTATATGGACAAATGTTTTTTCTCAATAAATATCTAGACATGGGAACATATGGTAGATGTATATTGAACTCTACAAGAAATCACTTAACTATTTTCCAAAGCCTCTGAACCATTTTTTATTTCCTCCAGGAATATATGCATGTTTTAGTTGCTCTGCATCTTTGTCAACACTTGGTATTTTCAGGGTGCAGAAAAACATTTATCTGAAAGGCATTTTAGTCCTTAAAATGTTAGTTAACATAGTAGAAATGTAAGACTAGCTCATTATGCTTTTAACTAGCGATAATAATGTTGAGAAATTTTTTGTGTCCTTATTTTGCTACCGGTATTTCTTCTCTTGTGAAGTATCTGTTCAAATCTTTTGTAAATTAAAAAAAATTGTGTTGTTTGTCTTCTCATTGAGTTGTAATTGTTCTTTATATATTCTGATGAATTCCTTTAAGAGGTGGTTGCTAACAGTCTATGGCTTATCTTTTTTTCCTATATTTCAAAGAGTAGTTTTTAATTTTGGTAAAGTTCAATGTATCAATTTTTTTATGACTCATACTTTTTGTTGTTGTTCTTGCCCTAAGAAATCTTTCACTAACCTAAGGTCACAAATATATTCTCATGTGTTTTCTCTTAGAAGTTTTATAGTTTTAGGTCTTCTGTATATGGTATGATATAATGCTAGAGGTTCATTTTTTTTGCATAAGAATGTATTCCTAGGCTATACCTCTTTCCACTATACAAGAATCTGATTTGTAAGAGCTGATAGATTTTTTAATATACACATTTGTTTATATTGTCCTGGCCCCCAAATTATTTGCTTTTATGGTAGGCATAGGCCAGGACTATCATACTGACTTCCTTCTAGACATTATGAGTAGCCCTAATTTTAGATATCACAGACTCGTCATCATCACCTGGATGCAATGTGCCATATCACTGTTCTATGACCAACAGACCCTGAAACAAGATGGTGCTGGTAACATCATAGGAAATTAGATCTAGAAGATGTGGTCTAGTCTCTTCTCTTGCATACTCATGGTGAGTGATACTGGCAATACCTTCACAACTTCCCCAATAGAAGGCAGCATCCATAGTCCTAGTATTGTTCTATGAAAAAGCTTCTCTTCATTTTGTAACATCCACTTTTATCAGAACTATAAGATACTAACTCACAAAAATGCATGACTTATTTTACATATATTTGCTGTTTCATTGTTTAAGATGTCAATGCAGATTTCACAATGGCATATAAAGAATGTAGCCTGATTTTTAGAGTTTTCAGAAAACTAGAAGTGAATTGCCCTTCTGGCTAGAAGAAGTCTGTTTGGGTTTCTCCTTCTGCCATCTTCCTATTCATGCTGCCTTTACTCCACATGGATTCTATAGATTTCATTTAAATTGCACCAACTTACAAAGACATATCTGCCCTAGAGATGTTTGAGTCTTTTAACATTCTAGTCACCACTAATGTTCCCTTTTCATTTAGGCTTTTAATTTGGATGAATTCCAAATTACTATTTATTCAGATAGAAACACTAGTAATTACACAAAGCATCTTAATAAAGAATGGAAACGCAATTCAGAGCATCCTCCTTGTGGTTTCTAATGCCTAATAGTTTTAAAATAGCACTAAGGAACTTTCTTTTATAGCTATTATCTAGTGCTGTTAAAACTCTTACTCCTTTTTATTTTTCTAATGTTGAACAAGCTTTAGATTGAAGGGCTTTATGGAGAGTTCTTGATCTCTCACATAGATTTTATCTTTGACCAACTAGGAATGTTTAAGGAAACATATTGGTCTGCCACTAATGTTTTAAAATAAGTCTCTAGAGTTATGCTAAAAACAGAGTATAGAAATTAAGGAATAAGCTTCATTTTCTTGATCCTGATACCCATCAGCATTTACTGGATCCTAATCTTTTGTTTCTTTGTTGATGTTACTATAGCAGATGGCATTGATGGCCCCGGCTCTTCCCCTCCTCAGGCCCACATCCTTTGCTATGCGATTTTGCAGTTTCCCTATCAAGATGTGAAGTGTTTTCCTTGCTTCTTGATTCTGAATTCAGGTGTCATTGGCTTTGGCCAATGGGATGTCAGAAAATGTGATGCAGCAGAGACTTGAAGATGCACTGCAGAGACTAGATTTATTCTTTTCTGCTGCAGCAATTGCCATGAAGTTGCAGTCCCAGCCTAGCCTGCTGGCCCCAGGATGAGGGTGAGAGACACTTGAAGTAGACCTACAATTACCCAGTCAAGACCAGCTTACATTATTTTGCCCACAGATAACATTCAAACAGATGAATGAACCCAGTGTAGATAAGCTGAACCTTACAAACACATGAAAGATAATTGTGTATCACTGAGGTGTGAGGGTTATTGTTACACAATCTCCAACCAAATTAAAAACTTTTTGGGAACAAGGCTTTTGCTTCACTCATTTATTAAATGCCTGGTGTCTAGCACTCAGTAGAGGCTTATTTAATCTTTATTGGATAGTTTCATGAATAAAGAAGTAATTGAAAATATTTTCTCTCTTTTTTTGTCATACTTAGATACCTTGCTAATAGCCTTAACTGAGAGCTTCTATGTGTAATAAAAAGGGCCATTCAATGAACGAATCTGTAATTAATCATCCTAGAGATGGTGGCCTATCTCTTTGTCCCAAGCTCTCTTGAAATAATTTCCACAGCCTCTCCTGATCCCCTGACTTGGTTAGTGTTTAACCATTCTTAATAGTAAGAACTTCTTCTGATAAAGATAAGTAGCCATCAAAGAATGATCTGCAGACCATAAATGAGCACTGACTAAAAAAACTTTTTACAACCTAGCTAAATACAGGTAGTAGTGTTTTGTCTCAAGTCAAGCTCTAGAGTAAATGGAAGAGTGAGCCATTTGTGTTTCCTTTTGAGCTCACCCCCTCCTGTCCTTCTCCCAAAATAAATACCCTTAAAATATGTACCCTTATCCTCTTCCCTATCAAATCCTATTCTTATAAAATAGTTCTGAAAGACAGCTAA
This sequence comes from Homo sapiens, assembly GCF_000001405.40. Taxonomy (NCBI): domain Eukaryota; kingdom Metazoa; phylum Chordata; class Mammalia; order Primates; family Hominidae; genus Homo; species Homo sapiens. Next base: position 181,343,109 of record NC_000002.12, read on the forward strand.
ATAAGTAATTACCAGTAGTATTGCCTCTCATTGGAAACTTGGATGTTAAGATTCCTTCATTTTTTCATTCATTCCATAATGCTGAGTGGCCACTCTGCCCAGCACCATGGGGAGTAATGGGGATGCAGTGGTGATAGATACAAACATAGTATGTTCTTTCATAGAGCTCATGATTTGGAGATCGGGGCAGGTTGGAAAACAGACACTGAACAAGAGTACTACCTGTTGGAAAGGAAAGCTAAAGAGAATGGTGGAGTGTATGGCAAGAGTTGCTAATCTAGTCTACATGGCAGGGAATTCCCCTGGGGAAATGCTGTTTACACTTGAAGAAGGAGTTGACTTTAGTCAAAAAAAACACATGGGAAAATCATTCCTGAAAGATGAACTGTGCATAGAAAGGTCCTGAAGAGGGGCGGATCATAGTTTGTTCCAGGAACCAAAGGAATCCAGCCTGGCTGAAAGGAAGAGAATAAGCCTCGATGATGTTATTTTGAATTCAGTTCAGACTTTTGTGTTTGTACCCAATATTGTACCCAATAGATAATTTGTGTTTTTTTTATCCTATTTGGGTGATGGTTTCAGTAGAAACATCACCATTATACATATATGTAACAAACCAGCATATTTACCTCCTGAATCTAAAATAAATAAAGTAACAAACTATTACTACTACTACTACTGGTAATAATAAATAGGCCAGAGTCTACTATTTTTTGGCAAGCCGTCATTGATTCTCCTTGTATGAAGAAAAGCACTGGGTCATACTAAGCAAGCCTAATAATCCTAAAATATTCTGTTTTAAGGCAATATACTTAATATGAAAATATCAAATAATTTTTAAACAACTTTAGCTCTAATTCATGTATCACAGTAATTCTTGGGAAGATGCTGGAATAAAATTACCATGAATGTTTTCTTAATAGACCACCCCCTTGACCAAATTGCTAAACTTGCCAACTCTGTCAAGTCTCCCTGCCCTATAGCACCCAGATGCTTGTGGAAATGGGCTATTCTTAAGGATAAACGCACACCTCTGCTGCCACTTACTCAGTTTTGTTGTTAACATGAATCAGTTGTGTTTATTCTCAAACTTATTTATGCTACTTATTTCTAATTTTGTAATTTAAAAAATTTAATTATCACATAAATAAGTTAAATGTAACTGTTTAAAAGCTATGATCTACATGAAAATCAAATTTAATGTTTTGGAAAGTACTGAAAATTACTTTAAAATCGCTTTCAGATAAACTACAGGTAAGGAAACAGAAAATATTGGGAAAAATCAGGAAAACCTAAATGGATTCTGCTTTGGATTGCTTTATTTATGGCTTTTAGTTCTTAATTCACATAAATAAAATAAAACAACTGGCGTTTATTGAGGATACGTTATGGATTTGTTTGTGTAAAATGTCAATGCTGATCTCCAGCCCCTGGCCCCATACCAAAGAAATGGCGTCGGCCCTACATTTGAAGTTTGGCAAATGAATAGGTATATAGCTTAAGTTAAACTAATATGTTATGATATGTGTGTATCTTTTTATTATTTCAGTTTTAACCTACTTCTTTGATTAAACAAGTAATTGTTGGTACCAATCTTATAAGAAGTCTTTTACTCTATAAAGAATGTGAGCATTCGTGCTCTAACATATAGGAAAGTTGTTACTACCCAAGTGTAGAGTGGGTACATCACTACCTCTAGCCCTGTTAGAATATGACTGAGATTATATATGGTAATGAAAGTTTTATATATATATATACCCAAAATATTTTTGTAATTTTTGGAGACAACAGAGAGAATGTTACAAAACAGGAATCTGGAATCATTTTCTTTTCTGGAAGGATGTATTATTTGCTCCTTTGATTTATTTCTTCTACAGAACAAAGACAGAAGCACATTTATTTCTGCTTAAAGCAACCTTCCTCTCAGTTTTGCTTTCAACCTAAAACTGCTCTACAAAAGAAAAGACTTTTTTTTATACTCAGAGTTTTTTTTCTGAGATTAACCCCTTTTTCAGAGGGGTTTCATGTTTATTTATTTATTTATTTATATATTTATTTATTTATTTATTTATTTTTGAGACGGAGTCTCGCTCTGTTGCCCAGGCTGGAGTGCAGTGGCGGGATCTCTGCTCACAGCAAGCTCTGCCTCCTGGGTTCATGCCATTCTCCTGCCTCAGCCTCCCGAGTAGCTGGGACTACAGGCGCCCACCACCACGCCTGGCTAATTTTTGTATTTTTAGTAGAGATGGAGTTTCATCGTGTTAGCCAGGATGGTCTCAATCTCCTGACCTTGTGATCCGCCCACCTCGGCCTCCCAAAGTGCTGGGATTACAGGCGTGAGCCACAGTGCCCAGCCTCGTGTTTTATTTTTTACTCTCTCTGATCATAATGGCAGGTGTAGCAAGAACAGGAAAATTCCAAACACTTCTGCTCCCTCTACACTCATTATCCTGGAGACCCTAACTGAGACAAGAAGAGTTTCCTTTCTGACTCAACCAGGCCTCTCTCACTAGCCAACTTTTATAGCCAAGAAAGGAGTATCAGCCAGGGGTGCTTGGAATTTAGGAACACCCTCTTGTGGAGCAAGACTTCCTGGTTCCTCACTGGAAGGTTGCACATAAGAGGCTGATAGCAGCCAGCAATAATAATATGTCTAGTTTCAGCTTTTCAACAAATGTAACTAAAGAACATATTGAGAAAAAGTAGCTTCCACTTCCAGTGGGTAACCAAGAGGAGCTCATAAAATCTGAGTTTCATTAAAGTAAGGTACCACTATGTACCTACTACAGTGACCCGAATCCAGAATACTAACAACAAATGCTGTGAGGATGTGGAGGAAGAAGAACTTCTGTTCATTGCTGCTGAGAATGCAAAATGGTACAGCCACTTTGGAAGACAGTTTGGTGGTTTCTTACAAAATTAAGAATCTTCTTCTCATAGAGTCCAGCAGTCAGGCTCCTTACTATTTACTCAAACTTATGCCCACACAAAAATCTGCACACAGATGTTTATAGCAGCTTTTTTCATAGTTGCCAAGATGTTCTTTCATAAGTGAATGCATAAATAGACTGTGATACCTCCAGATAATGAAAGAATCAATATCGTGAAAATGGCCATACTGCCCAAGGTAATTTACAGATTCAATGCCATCCCCATCAAGCTACCAATGACTTTCTTCACAGAATTGGAAAAAACTACTTCAAAGTTCATATGGAATCAAAAAAGAGCCCGCATCACCAAGTCAATCCTAAGTCAAAAGAACAAAGCTGGAGGCATCACACTACCTGACTTCAAACTATACTACAAGGCTACAGTAACCAAAACAGCATGGTACTGGTACCAAAACAGAGATATAGATCAATGGAACAGAACAGAGCCCTCAGGAATAACACCTCATATCTACAACTATCTGATCTTTGACAAACCTGAGAAAAACAAGCAATGGGGAAAGGATTCCCTATTTAATAAATGGTGCTGGGAAAACTGGCTAGCCATATGTAGAAAGCTGAAACTGGATCCCTTCCTTACACCTTACACAAAAATCAATTCCAGATGGATTAAAGACTTAAACGTTAGACCTAAAACCATAAAAACCATAGAAGAAAACCTAGGCTTTACCATTCAGGACATAGGCATGGGCAAGGACTTCATGTCCAAAACACCAAAAGCAATGGCAACAAAAGCCAAAATTGACAAATGGGATCTAATTAAACTAAAGAGCTTCTGCACAGCAAAAGAAACTACCATCAGAGTGAACAGGCAATGTACAAAATGGGAGAAAATTTTCGCAACCTACTCATCTGACAAAGGGCTAATATCCAGAATCTACAATGAACTCAAACAAATTTACAAGAAAAAAACAAACAACCCCATCAAAAAGTGGGTGAAGGACATGAACAGACACTTCTCAAAAGAAGACATTTATGCAGCCAAAAAACACAAGAAAAAATGCTCACCATCACTGGCCATCAGAGAAATGCAAATCAACACCACAGTGAGATACCATCTCACACCAGTTAGAATGGCAATCATTAAAAAGTCAGGAAACAACAGGTGCTGGAGAGGATGTGGAGAAATAGGAACACTTTTACACTGTTGGTGGGACTGTAAACTAGTTCAACCATTGTGGAAGTCAGTGTGGAGATTCCTCAGGGATCTAGAACTAGAAATACCATTTGACCCAGCCATCCCATTACTGGATATATACCCAAAGGACTATAAATCATGCTGCTATAAAGACACATGCACACGTATGTTTATTGCGGCACTATTCACAATAGCAAAGACTTGGAACCAACCCAAATGTCCATCAATGATAGACTGGATTAAGAAAATGTGGCACATATATACCATGGAATACTATGCAGCCATAAAAAATGATGAGTTCATGTCCTTTGTAGGGACATGGATGAAATTGGAAATCATCATTCTCAGTAAACTATCGCAAGAACAAAAAACCAAACACCGCATATTCTCACTCATAGGTGGGAATTGAACTATGAGAACACATGGACACAGGAAGGGGAACATCACACTCTGGGGCCTGTTGTGGGGTGGGGGGAGGGGGGAGGGATAGCATTGGGAGATATACCTAATGCTAGATGACGAGTTAATGGGTGCAGCACACCAGCATGGCACATGTATACATATGTAACTAACCTGCACATTGTGCACATGGACCCTAAAACTTAAAGTATTAAAAAAAAAAAAAAAAAACTAAAGTAGAAAGAATACTGGAAAATAAAATTTAAAAAAAAACAGAAAAAGATAATGAAAGAATACTCAGCACTAAAAAGAAATGAGCTATCAAACCACGAAAAGACATGGAAGAGCCTTACACGATTTTCATTAACTGAAAGAAGGAAATCTGAAAAGGCTACATATCTGCCAGTGAGGAATACGTGTATGACTCCAGCAGTCTGACGTTCTGGAAAAAGCAAATCTATGGAGATGATAAAAAAGATCAGTGGTTACCAAAACTTGGGGGTTGGGGAAGGAATAGGATGAGCATAGAGGATTTATCAGACCATGGCAATACTCTGTATGAAGTATAATGATGGATACATGTCATTCTTATACATTTGTCTAAACATGCATCCTGTGTGACTGTGCACATTTAAAATATGGACTTTAGGTGATAATGATGTGTCAGTGTATTTTCATCAATTGTAACAAACATACCACTCTGGTGGGGGATGTTGATAATGGGGGAGGCTATGCATGGGTGGGGACAGGGAGTATGTGACAAATTTCTGTACCTTCCTCTCAGTTTTGCTTTCAACCTAAAACTGCTCTACAAAAAAAAAAAAAAAAAAAAGACTTTTTTTTATACTCAGAGTTTTTTTTTTTCTGAGATTAAGTTGGTTCCAGTGATGTGCATTTACTAACTTCCCCTTTTCTCATTTATTTAGAAATAATATACAACAAGATGTACCTCAAGAATCCATAGAAATGGAGCAAATGAACAAATAATCAAGGGCTACTCCTGTCATTATAATTTTGTGGCTGACCTGGAAGTTATCTTGGTGTAGCTCTGTGACTATTTATATAACCTACTCCTAGCTTCTCTCATTCTCAGGGTCTCTATTCTTAACCACAACTATTTAAACAATATATTTATTGGCAATTCTAGATGACAGATGGACATGTGCTAAGATGATCAGTGTGCACATCTGATTTTTCTAAATAGCCCACAGTAAGTGAATAAGTGAATGTTCAGAAAATATCTGCCATGCTAAATTTAAGGTTCTCGTGCATATTTTATTTAGCATTACAAATTGACTAACAAAATTAAGTAGGGAAAATATATATCAGATCCATGATGTTTTGTGAATAATTGACTAGCCACACAGGTGCATAAGATTTCAGATGAAAATTCCTTCTTTTGTGTGGAATATGTACTATTAAAAGATTATAGGGGGAAATTCCATGGATTCCTTGTCATCCTTTAGAATAACAAGATTTTGTGCATAGTTTATTAAATAGCCACCAGTTTTCTAAATTTTTTGCCATTGTTATAATTTTACCTATATCACACTTATTCTAAGAAAATAAAATTTTATCACTTATTCTGACAATCATTATGCTTAAACAAAACTGCCTCTATTTTCTTCTGTTCTGGGGAACAGGTTGCTGCTTAAGCATAGCACTCTATCCTTGCTTTCCTATAGCACTCTGCACTTTCACCTTGTAGCACTTGACACAATTATAATGGTATAATGACTCCTATAATGATTCATTTTATATTTGTCACCACCACTCAATTATAAACGATATGCAGTCAAGGTTCATGGCAGAAGTTTTTTAACTCATGCTATGGCCTCAGCCCAAAGTAGATAATCAATGAATATTTTTTTTTAAATTAAAGAATGGATAGACAGAAGAGAGTGGGGAATCCTATATCTTCCTCTACTCTTTGCCTTAGCTTTTCTAGGACTGCTGTGAGTAGTTGGGGCTAAAAGGAGGCAGAGGGGACTCAGGCAGCAAGCTCCTCTGCCACCAAAACCTCTGCTCAATCTGTGCTCAGTCCCTCCCACTTTGGCTCTGGGTGTCAAATATCCTGCCATTGTGGACATAAACAGATGAGAATATGATTACTGTGAGACCAGCAAAAGTTTTAGTGCGCTGACAAAAATAATAATAATAATAATAATTGCTTACACACATGGTCAAGGTCACTCTCACACCACACACCAACATTTAGGTAGCACACACTCAGCCCCTTTTGTAGACAGAATTTATTGTGGACAACTATACTACTATGAGTATATCCTTAACCTTTTGAAGTTGACCTCAGGGAGGAGAACCAGGAGGATAATTTACACAATTCTCTTTAGTGTAACTATCAGAAATAGAACATAAGATAGCTGGAATACAATTCTAGCAGTGTTTTATATTTTACTGTTTTATTCTGATTATTTAACATAAATAACTCGCCACATACAGTACAGCTTAAAATAAATCATTAGAACTATATATGTAACATACTAAGTCTAGGTGGGCCCAGTGATGAAGCAGATACAGGGGCTTCAACAGACAAGGTGAAAATAGATTAAAATGAGCATTAACCACTATTTAAGGAAATGTATGTCAAAAATCAGGTTGTAATAATAAAAATAATATTAAATAGTCATGATGACAGTAATCAAATCTGATGATGGAATGTGGACTCAAAAATACCTAAAGATTAAAAAATTCAGGCCAGGCATGGTGGCTCATGCCTGTAATCCCAGTACTTTGGGAGGCTGTGGAGCTCAAGACCAGCCTGGGCAACATGGCGAAACTCCACCTCAACACAAACAACAAAAATTAACCAGTGATGGTGGCATGTGCCTGTCGTCCCAGCTACTCAGGAGGCTGAGGTGGGCGAATCGCTTGAGGCTGGAAGGCGGAGGTTGCAGTGAGCCGTGAGCCGAGATGGAGCCACTGCACTCAAGTCTGGGCAACAGAGCAGGACCCTGTCCAAATAAATAAATTAATTAAATAAATAAATAAATAAATAAATAAATAAAAATCAAGCAAGAAAATTCCTAATGGGATGGAAATGCTAAATGTTAAATAATAAAGAAAATTGCATATTATGACTTGGTGATTCAAATATTATAATGAAATAATTTATAAGAGATAGTAGAAGAATAAGAAAGTATGTGTTGCTAGTTAAAGTCAATCAGTCAAAAAATATTTTGGTCTTTTTCATCTATACCAACCCTGCAATAACCTTTTAAATGACTTTCCCATTTCTGATTTCTTTGCTAGTCCATCAGGCTCCTTTCTTGACTCTGTGTTTAAGTCATTTTCTCCGTTTCACATGTTCATAAATTTTAAGGCCCAGTTGAATGCTAACTATTTTCCATGAGGTCTTCTCTGATCACTAGCTATTAGTAATGTCTCCCTCCACCAAACTGCCATAGAACTTTTTCAGCACCTCTCTTATTTATGACTCTTTGAACTTTCTACTTTGTAGTTTAGTGACTAATGTACATTTTTTTAAGTTCCTTATTTGTTCATAAACTTTGGAGAGTGCAATTTCTCTTTGACGGCATACACCACACAGTTTATTATACTATTCAGTACACAGCAGGTGCTCAACTGGTAAATGTAGACAGTACACAATTTTCAAGAAAAGTTCTTATACATGAGATTCCAGAGAGCCTCCACACTTCTCTTTTCTCCCCAAGTTTCCTTCCCTGCTTTTCTAAACTTGGCTCTGAGTCCCCATTCAAGACTTAGCTCCTTAGTGGAGCTTCCCCTGACCCCCACATTCAAAGTTGTCTCTTCCCTGACAAAAACTCATCTATTCAACATCTAAAAGGTTTGAGTCTTCATGTGCTACCTTGTGGTAGGTCACCATTTTTATGTTTATCAACTATTACCTGCCTCCCATTCAAGATTGTAAACTTTTTGAGAGCAGAGATCACATTTTATACATTTTGGTACTTACTGTCATTTAGTACTATTTATATATTTAGTAGTTATTGTCAGTCTCAGAACAGTGCTCCACGTCTATTGATTCTATTTTGTTCCCGAGATATCCTAAATATCTAGAACACTATCTGGCACACAGTAGGTGGTCAGTAAGTATTTGTTGAATGAGGTTGATAGATGATTAGTAAAACTTCTCAAAATTTTGAGTGAAAAGTTGACTCTTTGGCAGAAACTTCCAGGAGTTGATTTTAGAGCTAAGAAAAAATAGAAAGCAATGTCCACTCTTGGTAGAGCTAGGCAAAAACAGGCAGATGAAGTAGACACAGGTGTCTTCTCCACAATCCCCATTTCACTTTATCTTAGGCATGTCTCCTTCAGGAGCCACAGCCAGATCAGAGAGGCCTCCACTTGGAAATGATCCATCTCAGTGGTGTGGATGGATTAGACCATTTCTCCCACAACTAAGTGGTTTTTCTCTGGCCATTCTGAGGTATATGCCATGTGTCTCCTTCAGAAATATCCTTTTTCATGTGATGATTTCCAAAATATATTTTAGTCACTTCACTTTGTGTTTAAGTGAATAACTATGTCTCCATTCACTTATCATTAATAAACATATAATAATTCACCTAATCATGGAGGTGTTGGTTAAGCCAGCATATTTTGAGTTCATGTAGCCAAATACAGTGGTATTTAGTCACATGAAAGTTTAGCTTAGAACACAAATATGTGCTTTTTTTTTTCTGTTGGAGCTCTTATCTTGCAACATCCTTCCTTCTTTTCTTCTTTCCTTCCCTCCTACCCTCTTTCCTCCCCGCTTCTCACCCTCCCTCCACTAGTATCTACTGAAGCCCTTCTATGCAAAGCACAATACTACTTGCTGAAGATATAATGAGGAACAAGTCAGAAGTGTCTCTTCCTGTTCTACTAGAATTTACACTCTTAGAAGAGATGCAGACATTCAATTACTATTTTTTACTATTTTAATTCCAACTATTACAAAAGTTGGACAGATAAAGAGGGACAGATAACTATGGGAGCTTAAAGGAATCTATCCTGGTTTGGTGGGAAAGGGATGATAGATTTCAGTAGTCTGGAAAGGGTCACCTGAAAAAATGGTGTTAAGACTGAGTCATGAAGAGCTAGTAGGAAGGGAGGGTGGGAGGAAGGAGAGAGAGAGTGGGGAGTATTCCAGGTAGAAGAAAGCAAATGTGTGGCCTTGAGTGGTCACTTCTCTTTGGCTTATCGTATATATCTATGAGCTAATGAGAATGAAAATTCCTTTTTTTTCAAATTGTTAGGTTAGCTTAAAGAGATATTGACTCATTAAATACAAAACACAAGAAGACATTAATATAAAATTGTATACATTTTTTAAAGCCTATATTTTCTCCCTTGAATTAAAAATAAAGTGCAGCATGTTGAAATGTTGAACCCTGGCCATATGACAAAATTGGAAGTCTCTCTTTGCTTACACCTTGGGGCAGAGGCAGGCATCAGACAAAGTCCTTTTTATTTTGTATCCTTAAGAGTATTTCAAGGTCAAGTTAAATGAAAAACTAGTCATTGGCTCTGTTAGATTTTCAAATATATCCTCAATAAAATGTACACTATTAATCATTTTCATATTGGTGATTTTAATCAACTTTTAAACCATTACTTTTTAGAAAAGTTTTTCACAATTTCTGGTTTCTAGGGTAATTGAAATTTCAGTATATAATTATAGTAGTATAAATATGATACTTAAAAGTATTATTAAAGGTCATTAAAATATTTTAAAAAAACTGGTAGGGCAAGAAGACTTTACTACAAGTTAATGAAATGGGGGTAATTTAGTTGAAAAGAAACAAAATGATTACAAATTAAAGATTACTATTCTGTGGCACTCTTTCTTTAGTTGACAGTGAATAAGGTAGAGTTACTATATTTTTATTCATATTATGATTTGGCCCCTTTCTAGAAAAGTGAAAATTTTATGTAACTCTGATACATGGAATATATTTTGAAATTAAGAAGTATATGTACATATATTAGTCATTATTATTACTGCAACTATTCCTAGTGAAAAATATACCTCATTCAAAGAGAAAGATAAATTTCAACAACTGTTATATATGCACACTTTTTGCCCATAAAACTAAGCAAGCCTAATAAATTAAAATTTATCTAAGTCACAACCATCCAATTAGGGACACTTTCTTGCAATCAGATTACAAAGGATATTTTTATCTCTTTCAATTTAGCAGTCAGGTTAGGGCTCCCTAATAGAAGGCTGCGTAGCTCATTAGTCCTACCACTTTGGATGGCCTTTACTCTTAACTTCATTCTCCGTAACTCAAGGGGAGTCAGTGTGTAACTGTGGGTGCAGAGCAGCAATGAGGATGCTTGAGTCTTCATTCTGAAGGGATCACCTGTGGAAAGAATGATCAGCTTTCAGAAAATCTCATCTGGTTAAGTCATATTTCTCTGCTTTAAAATGTTACAGGATTTCTCATTGCCCTTAGCACAGTTTCTCAAACTTTATTGAACATCAGAATTACTTGAAGGGTTTTCGAACTCATGAATTATTCGGCCTTGCCCCAGAGTTTCTAATTCAGTAGGTCTTGGGTGGGGAACATACTTTGAGAATTCTGACCTATAGGATAAACACTAGAGTTCTTATTATGTCTTACAAGGCCCATCATGATCTGAAGGCAGCGGTGGTTGCTGGTGGAGGATGTGAGCTTTGGAACTGGAGCTCTTTGATTCAAAGCTCTGCCGCTTACTCACTGGATAAGACCATGATCAAGTTATTTCATCTGAAAAATTGAGGTAATAATAATATCTCCCTCTTAGGGTGGTTATGAATATTTTATGAGATAGTACTTTTTAAAATAGGTAGATTCCAGAAGAATATCAGCTATTAGGATTATGATTACCTCTCCGGTTTCTTCTCTTGGTTGGATGTCCTAGTGCCAACCATACCAGACTACTTCAGACCATAGTAACATCACGGTTTTCCATCCTTGAAGCTTCAAATGTTCAGTTTTCTCAATATAGTTTCTACCCTTTTCCTACATCTTTCCCACCTTCATCTAGCTAACTCCTACTGAGACTGGAGAGCTCAGCTTTTACGTCACCATTCCAGGAAAGCCAACCTAGCCATGGTTGTATGTACTTTGCCATTAAAACACTGATGTCCACGTACATGTTTGTATCTGTCTTCTCTACTGGACTACAAACTCAGGAGGGTAAGAATGATCTGTTCACTGGTACAGTCTCCATGCCAAATAGTTGCTTAATAGGTATCTGCTGAGTACATGAATGAATCATCATTCATGCTGTCTGTGGGATTCTGGTCTGGGCTCACAAAAAAAAAAAAAATGAAAGTTTAGTATAGAACACTGGAGTGGAGAGATCTCTGCCCCTTCACTGGAAAAATATGCCAAGACTGGAACTGAATGACAATAGATACCTAGCACCTTTTGCGAAGTTATGAATATCAGAGGCATATGACATACAATATGTCTAGTCACATTATGTTAATACAGGGATTTTAATTTCTTTTATATTTAGATATGTCATTCTACTACTTAAATCTTTAAAAATACTAAAGCTAAGAAGAGCTCTGGGAAGGAAACACAACATAATAGTTTCTTTAGCAGCTTGGTATGGCTATTTTGTCTAATCAGCAGCACAGTGGTTACAAGTATAGATTCAAGGACACAATACTGCTTGTATAACTTACTTGCTGATGACTTTGGCTAAGGTTCTTAGTTTTCTGAGACCAGATTATTTTCCTGGTAAAATGGGCAGAATAGTAATTATCAATTAGTATTATTACAATTGAAATTAAGTACACAAAGCTCTTAGGCACTTATTCCTAAGAAGCAATCCTGATATATTTTAGCTATTCATTGTTTTATGATGTGGCCATTATAGTGTTCTTCTCATGGAGATTCAGTCAAAAACTAATCGTGTATATGTCTGCTTTGACTTGATTTTATAAAAGGAGAATGAATTTCAACATGTAATCAGAGTAGAAATGGAAATGATGAGCAAACAGGGTAAAAACCACTTCAGTGATGAAGTCTATAGTAAATCTCCATAAAACTGCTACTCGGAATTATTTGGGGATCTCTAAGTATAAAACACATAGAATCATGTAAACGAGTTTGATCAGTGGTAAAGTTTGGCTGAGTTTGTCTTTACTGAACTAGAGTAACATTTGTTTCCATATTTACCTATGGAGCAGGGTGCTGGGTTTTGGCACAAGACAATCACCAGTCTTACATTAGCTTTCTGCTATGATCCTTTTGTATGGCATCAGATAGTCAGATGGGTCAGATGACTTCCACATATTTTGCAGGGTAAATTTCAAGGATGCTGGAACAATTGGGAACACTTTCTGGGCATCTCCAACTCATTTTTCTACAAGTTGTGCTAGGAGGCTTTCTTTCCACACATCATCATTATTAAACCTCCTGCTTCAGATGACAATTGCCCATTTCAGTGGTTTGTCTCCCCCACAGATTGTCAGGTCCTTGAGGACGTCAACTATGTGTTATTCATCGGGTAGTGTCAGTGCTTGGTACAGTGGCTGGACCAGAATAGGGGTTCCATTGTTGAACTGAACTTCAGTTGAGCTGAACTGAATGTTCTTTCACTTTTTAAGATTAATAAAGTATAAGCTACTAGGGTAATATCCAAGTGGTCTCCAAGAAAGTCAGAACTTGACAGTGAACCATTACAACCACAAGGTAGGAAATCCTAACACCAGCAATCAAAAAAGGATCAAATACAAGTTTAGAGTTTGGAGCAGTTTGGGTTATTGGTTTCTCTAGGGAGAAGTGATTTGACATTTTCTTCCCCCATCCCTGAACCCACACTGTTTTAGTAGAGAGCACCAAATTGAAAAAACTAACAAACTTTTAAGAATCAGAATATATAAATCAACTGTTACTGTCAAATTCATGGATAGAGAATATAGTGTACACGTAGCCTAAATTAGTGATGTTCTTGAGGCTGTTCAATGATTTAAGAGGGCAAAACTTTGACAAGATGGGGTTCCAAATAATCACATATTTAAAATGGCATTAAGATAGAAGTAATTCTTTTTCCTTAATATTAGTCATCTAATAGTTTTGGCAGAGAAGTCTTGACAAATTCTTTAAATTTCAAGAATTGGACCTCTGCTCAGAAGGGAACCTGAAATTGCATGACATGAACCCAGCCACCACAATTATTTCTTCAGAAGATTTAGAAGCTCTTCACTGAAACTTAGCACAAAGTAATAGCTCTAATAGCAGAAATCTGAGATCCAAAGAACAGTTCACTATTTCAGCTTCTCACTTCTTGAGCTTTGAGGAAAACAAGCCCTTTATTCATTTTGGATTAATAAGAGGAACCTAACCATAAGTGATTTCAGTTTTCTCTGTAAGTTGTAGTCATTGTGAATTCCCTTCTGTAGATCACAAACGGGGCTGACTTTCAAGTTAAAGTGACTTCTCTTTAAAATAAATTAATTAAAATTCTATCACTGTATACCTCTCTGAGTTCTCTCCTCCCTCCAAATACATTCTATACACAAACTCAAATAGATTAATATTTTATTTCTAATTAAAAATAACTGCAAAACAATGTCACAGAATGTCACAGTGGACATACATCAACAATGTATTTCAACTTGAACTCTAGGGAAGAAAGATCTCAAATTATTTGCATGAATATTCAATAAGCCTATGAATCTTTCAGTCACAGTTAATGTTCAGAAAGGAGAATAGGTATTCACAAATCAAAAAATTAGCAAATAAAATGAAATTCTGTGTTACTGTCAAAGCCACAAAATGCGTTATTCTTTCTGGCTATGTATCTACATTACCTATATATCTAACTGGAAAAGTTAAAGAATGCAGTTTAATTGTTTTGCCATATAATACTGAGCAATTTTAGAAATGAACAATTTTAGAAATTTCCCTTTACTGTAGAGACAAAAGTTTCTAGTAACTTAAACACATTCAATATTGTATAAAGACTCAGTGTAGGAGAATCTTTTCTAGGAAGGATTTTTTTTTCCAAAACTATTTCTGAAGAAAGTGATTATTTATGCCCAGTGATAATACAAAAACAGCTTTTAGCACTTGTTTTGGGAGAAATAAAAGTTTTTCTGCTTGTAGCTTAAAATATATATTTAACTTACAAATTTGGAATAGTATATGAAATGCCTAGAATACCATCATTAAAAATAAGAAAACAATGGATTTTCAATAAATGAAACAGAAATCATAGGAGATCGACATTTTAGATATTGCAACCTCAAGGGTTGCTTTGGTTTACAAAGTACCATTAAACTTACTTCTCTTTGATAGATCTTTCTAAATAAAGGATGGGTAGATTTGGGTTTTATGGTCTTTGATCTTGATGTAGACAACAAAGCTACTTGGAAAAAGCTCCAGAAAAAACAGTAGCATATTTTTTGGAAGGAACTGAAAAGATCTCCAAAGGAAGTTGAAAGCAAACTATATTCTTAAATCCAGTTTATATGACATTCTGTGCAAACTGACATTGAAACTCAGTTAAAATACCAAGATTTTGCACATCAGATCCTCAGATTTACTCATCTTATAACTGAAACTTTGTTCCCTTGACCAACATTTCCCCATTTCCCCCACCCTCAGCCCCCTGGCAGCCACAGTAGTATTCTCTGGTTTAAAGAGTTTGATGTGTTTAGATTCAAAATATGAGTGAAATGATGCAGTATTTGTCTCTCTGTTTCTGGCTTATTTCACTTAGCATAATGTCCTCCAGTTTCACCTATGTGGTTACTAATGGGAGAATTTTCTTATTTTTATGGCTAAATAATATTCCATTATATATACCACATTTTTTATCCATGGTGACTATAATTAACAATACTATGTTGTTTACTTGAAATTTGATAAGAGAGCAGATTTTAAATGTCCTCACCTCCCACCATACACAAATGGTAACTATGGGTGGTAATGAATGTGTTGATTAATTTTATTGTGGTTATTGTTATACCATATACATCTATCATTATATTTTATACCTTGAATAGACAGAATTTTTATTTTTTAGTTAAATATTTAAGATAAGCACAAAAGAAGGAAAGAGAATCCCTTTGGAAGGAAAAACAAAGCCATGATTTTATTAAAGAAAATTTGGATGCTGATCTATTTTATAGGCTGTCCATTCTACCCATGTTTCTGAAATTTGTATAGTAAAACACAGAAATGAAAACAGTTTGGAATGAAAGTACCCATGAAGACTATATCAAGAGTAGACCAGTGACCCTTACAAGGATTCACAAAAGGTTTATGTTCAATCAACAAAAACTGTGGCTTTATTCACTCTTGTTCTCACTAATGTGAAATTTTTTCCAAAGACTGGAATGCTTTGCAGGCTGTAGCTTGTTAGAGAACATAAGTTGTGGATCAAATTCTCTCATTTAGAACACTTCTGTTTTAATTCAATGGGAGCCGTCTCAAAGTAAATGGTGTTCCTAATGAAAGATGGTGCATCTGTACAAAATAACTTAGACTTTCATATGTAGTTATTGGCCCACTAAAAATTTTTTTGTCCTGAGGGCAGTTTGTCTGTGTTGGGTGTTTTATTCTCCTATACTTATGAGCATAATGATTTAGAATTTCAGAAGAGAATGTCAAGTTGGAATATCCTAAAGAATTTAAACAAAGGAATAAGTACAGGGTGGCATCAAAGCTTAAACAATAGTAGGGTTTTTTTTTAATTTGATTGTAAAAGATGTTTTAAGTCTTTGAGTAATATCTGTGCCAGACTGAAATAGAAAATGGCAAAAGGTCAAATCCATGTATCTGCATGAACCACTTGGGTTTATTCACACACAAGGTATGAAGTGGAAGAAATATTGCCTCTTCAAAAAGGGCTGCTATGCATATCAGTTTATAGAAAGGGCAACATGAAATCGCTCATAGGGGTTTAGAAAGGCAGCTATATACAGGGTTTTTTTAAGAGGCAAAATGTTTTATCATTTTACTTAAGAATTATTGTCTAGTTGGGGTCAGTTTGCATAGTTGCAATCATGTCAAACAAAGACCTTCCCCCATGGATTTGCATTCCATGGTCAAGAACTGACAAAATGGAATATAAACCACAGACAATTGGTTTGGTTTGGAGGATGGGGAGAGGGAGAGGTGAGCAGAAGGGATACTATTGTTAAAAAAAAAAATGGACTTCTTTTCTTAAGGGAGTGGGTGTCTCACTATTAGATGTTCTCATACTACTAGGTGGGGATAATAATTCGTTATTATTATTATTATTATTATTATTATTATATTTTGATATTTTGAAAAGGTATTTGGTAAGCAACCTTAATTCCTGAAATTTCTCTACCGAGTCTATTGTTTTGGAAGTTATTTTGGCCAAATCACTTTTTAGGTCTAATGGTTTTCCATCTGATTTCCTGGGGGATAGACAGTCCCTGTGGGCTGGGGAGTCTAGGACTGGGGAGTAGCTGTGGCTTCTGTGCAAGAACAGAGAATTTCCATGGTGTGAAGAAAGTAGTGTGAGGGGCAACAGCCTTTTCTGTATCAAAGAAAGGAATTATACTACTATATTAGTCAGAAGAGGCAGAATGATTCAAACTATATGCTTTTAATCATTTTAACTGGCAGCAGTCAAAACTTCAAATAAAATAAACCTTAAGAATACTGCTATAACAACAGATTTAAATGACCTTGAAGTTTTTTTTAAAATTCTAATTTATCATGAACAAACCCATACTGAGTTCATATGCAATGTATTAATCATCAACCATATAAAATAAGCTACATAATAAAATTAAATTAAATCTCAATTTATCAAACATTAAAATGCTAACAACTAGCAACTTTGTTAAGTCACAGTGTAAAGATGAAATGAATAAAACACTAGAATCACTATACCAAACAATGTAATTGAAGTTAAAATGCTGTTTTCTGTGGTTCTTTTTTAGAGAAAAATAACAAGTTGCTTACTTTAATGCAGTGACATTTTATTTTGTGATTAATTTTAAAATAACATTGTAAAAACTACAAACTCATTTTAATTTGACAAGCATTTGGTAATTAATTTTCAAACAATGCTGTGGGAACCCAGAAAGCACTCTTCCTTTGACATGTATTTTATAATTTATTTTAAAACAATGCTGCACAAATCTGCAAAGGCATAATTCATTTGGGAGTTCATTAATTATGCAAATGAGTTGCAATTAACAAATCTGTTCCAAGGATGGCATTTGCATAATAATGAACTTCATGTTTGTGACATTATTTAATAAGATACCTTTGTGCATTTTTAAGCCAAACACTCCTGTGAATATTGCATGATGAGATGAGGTTGAAAATGGACATCTAGTCAATGAGATTCAAAAGTGTATGCAGAAAAATGTTAAAATAAACAGAATTAAATATAATTCAAATAATAAATATGGATATTCTTTTTAGAGTACAGGGGTTTTGGTTAATCTCAGCTCCCCTAAATAGCGTCAGACTTTAATTAATTTACATTTATAAGGAGCAATGCACAAATTAGGCTAAAGTAAGATGAAACAAGCAAAACTATAAACTTCAATTTAATATTTCAAGTGAAGGTAGATCATACACTACATCCAAGTCCCAAAACATAAACTTTTAATTAATACAGAAAATACAACATTGAGTCAAAAGGCCCTTTATTTCTCAGTGTTATGACAGGATGACCACAAAACTTGGTTGACATTCATTTACTCAACCAATAACGATTTACTGAGCATCTATAATGGGGCCAAAACTGGGGTTAAGTTAGAGCAAATAAAAAGAAGAATAAGCTGTATTTCTACTTTGAAGTGGCATGAAGTCTAACGAAAAACACAGACATATTAGGTTGGTGCAAAAGTAATTACGGTTTATATAAACATTAAAATTCCAGGAAAGTTGTCTTGTAAGAGAGATAAATGCAGTGTTCTAGAAGTACAGAGGGCTAGAATAATTAGCCTGGTGGAATTAGAAACGTGTGTAAGAAAGGGACAAAATGTTTTGAAGGATAGGAAGGAGTTCACCAATGAGCAAGAAGGTAAAGAATATTCGAGAAAAGGAAACTGTATACACAGAGTCATGAAACAATGAGTGTTCAGGGTATGGGTTGGGGGATAAATGTTTTTGGAGCAAGACTGTCGGAAGTTTTAGAGATCCAATTTGAAGTTTTAAAAAGATGATTAGAAGAGTGCTATAAATAGATGGCTTGAAAGGGACAGAGCCACAGGTAAATTTCTTCTGCAGCTCATCAGTTACAGTGTCTTGATTGATTGGTGATGCATCTAGAGTATAAGATGAGATCAGATGAGTTTATGAGCCAAGTATTTGCTATCCTAAATCAATGTGATTCTATGATGACCATAAGATCTTGTGAGTCTGTCATGTTTTTCCGATTTGCTCTTTACTTGTGCTTTTAGCCTCTCTCATCACATCTCAGTTTGAAACCCAAGATCCCTTAAGCGTCACTCCATGCTCCAACTGCACTGACTTTCTGGAGCTAGAGGGGTTTTCCAAACCCAGTCTTGTCTATTGTCCACTCAACTGAAGTCTACTCAGCCTTCAAAACTACATCATCATTAATCTGTCACAGAAGTAGAGTAAAAACAAGCAAAACTATATCACCATGGCTTAAAAATAGAGGTACAGTAGTCCCCCTTTATCCACAGGGGATACATTCCAGGACACAATAGTAGATGCCTGAAATCACAAATAATACCAAACCTTATATATTTATATTTTTCCTATATATACATATCTATGATAAAGTTTAATTTATAAATTAGGCACAGTAGAGAATAACAATCATAATAAAATGTAACAATTATAACAAAATGATAGCATTATGATTCTTGAGTTGGGGGCCATTATTATGTACAATTAGTCACTTGAACACAAGCACTGTGATACTGAGACAGCTGATATGATAACCAAGGCAGCTACTAAGTGACTAAAGGGTAGGAAGTATCTACAGCATAAACACACTGGATAAACGGACAATTCATGTCCTGGGCAAGACGGAGTGGAACAGCATGAGATTTCCTCACACTACTTAGAATAGTGAACAATTTAAACTTTATAAACTGTTTATTTCTGCAATTTTTCATTTAATATTTTTGGACCACAGTTGACTGCAGGTAACTGAAACTGCGGAAAGTGAAACTGCAGATAAGAGGGACCACTGTAAATAAGTGACATGAATGATACTGCAAAGGACCATAGCCTAACCAGCCAAGCAAACTGGAAGTACCTTTAGACTCACGCTTTGCCAAGCTCAGTTCCAGAATCACATGATGAAAAGAATGATGGAAAGAAAATGTTTGTGATATTAAAATTAAGGAAATTACTCCAACTCAGAGGTAGGTTTTGTGTTTTGATTTATTTTGTTTTGTTTTTTTGTTTTTATTTTTAACATAAAAACACCATGTTCTTCAGCTGCAAGTTTATTTAATAAGATTTGTTATTTCTATTTCTTCGGTGTATCTTCCTGCTGAGAGGCAGAAGTCTTGTCATCTATCCCACAAAAGCAAAAATACAGACGGGGGCATTTATTGCTTCTTAGCCATCCAGCAGCCATTCTCCATTCTTATCAGTATGCTATTTCCTTTGGGGAAATATCTTTTCCCCATTGTGTGCAGTGCTGGTGGGGTTATAAGCTAGGTGGTTTCTCTCCCATTCTTTTCTATAGATTGCATTAGACCTAGAACTAAATCCAGTCAATTACTCTCTCTTCCCCAGCTTTGAATCTTGACAGAGTGTTGCAAAGACAGAAGAAATGGTAAAGTTTCATTTCCTTATTTTTGGCAACTGGAAGACAAATTGCCTACTTGTTCCAAACCTGGTTCACTAGCTATCCCTCAATTCCCATAAGCTTCCCTATTATTCTTCCATAAAGTTCCTTTTTTGCTGTCATTACTGAAGCAATACAGAATCACAAAATTCTAGTGTTAACCCTCCAAAAAACAAGCTTTTTCTTGGAAAGAAATAATTAGAACTTCTAAAATGATATAAGAAAACAATCTAAGGAAAGTGTTACTTTGAACAAATGAAGCATAAACAGAAGACTCCAGGTAAAGTCTCTATGCTGTTAATGGTAGTTGTTTTTTGTTTGTTTGTTTGTTTGTTTTGAGATGGAGTCTCATTCTGTCGCCCAGGCTGGAGTGCAGTGGCGCCATCTCAGCTCACTCCAAGCTCCGCCTCCCGGGTTCACGCCATTCTCCTGCCTCAGCCTCCCCAGTAGCTGGGACTACAGGTGTCTGCCACCACACCTGGCTATTTTTTTTTGTATTTTTAGTAGAGACAGGGTTTCACTGTGTTAGCCAGGATGGTCTCGATCTCCTGACCTCGTGATCCGCCCGCCTCGGCCTCCCAAAGTGCTGTTAATGGTAGTTTTCAATAATGGCATTGATCTCTAAACTTTGGGAACTGGAAGCAGAATTTGAAATCCCTATAGAAATTTACAGAGATACAAAGAATTCAACAGTGTCTCCCCCTTCCACCTTCATGCCATCTTCCCAATCTAACCCAACCTGCTGCCTTCAAGAGGAGTAGGCAAACAAGCCTATTTATTGCAGTATCTGAAAAGTGGAAATGGGTAACTTGGACAGACAGTAATGCTGCTAATGTTGAAATAGATATGCCCCCATATCAGCCACAAGACCTTCAACATCAGGGTTATTATATCTTCCCAGGAAAACTTGCTCGCCAAAAATAGCTTCCAACTGTGTCTGAAATCCACCAGATTCAAAACTGAAAGAACAAAAATAATTTTTTTAAATTGTGGCAATGTAGTAATTGCCACAGTAATTATTAATATATTAATATATTATGTAATATAAACTGCAGGGAGATAAGTATTTGCCCTGATATTTTTAATATTAATTATTAATTATTACTGTGTAATTATTATGTAGTAAAAATTGCCATAGTAATTGCTATAGTGATTAAAGTAGCACTTACACTTTTGACCCTGGCAGGTATTATCTGACTAAATAGATTACAGAATGAAAAGTTCCATCAAACACTTGGATTTTTGAAGTATATGGATACTAGGCATTGTGATGAAATATCATACAGAGACTTGTTGAGAAAGAGAAGAGCTACACTGTTGAGCAAAGAAAAATATCAGGGCAAATGCTTATCTCCATGCAGTTTATATTACATAATATACGTGGAAGGTGGAAGGAAATACTTTACAACACATACGCCTGTCTAATAATGCCAATAAGGCTGTAGCAAAGGCTTTAAAATTCTTTTTTCACTATTTATGTTTTCCAAATCCACATAAAGCATTCCCTACATACTCGGGATGTTGTCAATGCTGTTCCCACTATGCGCCCATGACGATGAGGCAGGGATCATCCTTTTTCCAGGCAAAGATATCAGCCATGATCTATTTCAAAAGACTGCCTTCTTACATCCCTTCTCCCTTTTGCAATCCGGTTGCCGGAAGTGGTTAGTCTCTTGGAATTAAACCCGGCTGCTGTCAGCAGACATTTTAAAGTGGATATCTGAAAACTTCATGGAACATAAGCATTTTCTCTGGTTTTACTTTATATGCATCTGGGGCAAAATAAAGTTTAGATCCTCTTGTTACCTGATACAAGTTCATTTAAAAAAAAAAATGATTGAGCTACAGTGCCTGATTTTTACACTAGCTATTCTTCTGCCTGGCTAAACATTATACACACCCAAGGAATTTTTTATAAATACCATTGTCCCAGCCTAATAGAGTGTGGTGATTAGTACTTTTTTTTTTTTTGAGACAGAATCTTGCTCTGTCACCCAGGCTGGAGTGCAGTGGCGTGATCTCGGCTCACTGCAACCTCCGCCTCTTGGGTTCAAGCGATTCTCCTGCCTCAGCCTCCCAAGTAGCTGGGACTACAGGCACGTGCCACCACACCCGGCTAATTTTTTGTATTTTTAGTAGAGACGGGGTTTCACCATTTTAGCCAGGATGGTCTCGATCTCCTGACCTCGTGATCCGCCTGCCTTGGCCTCCCAAGATGATGGGATTACAGGCGTGAGCCACCGCGCCTGACCCTGTCATTAGTACTTTTTAAACGCCTGCCTACCAAGTGATTCTGATGCGAAACCAGGGTACAAAAACACAGATCAGGTGGATCAGGTGATAAGGAGTATGTTGAAATACTGCTAACAACATAGACTTTTCTATCTCACCAGAAACTTTTTGTTCTAGCTATCTGTTAAAAAGTTAAGAAATATTCTGCCCACAATGATTCTAGTACCTTTCTTTCTTATTTTCTTTGATGTCTTCTTGCCTATAGTGATCTTTGAAACATGCTAATTATACACAAGGATGCATTGTTCATGATAGCTGCCAGTTCCAGCACAAAAATGTGTGTATGCATACATACATGTTTTTAAGTGACACTGCTGCACCTTAGTCTGAATAAATTAATGTTTTTATCTAAATTGCATCATTTAGCCAAAACATACTTGTATATTAATGAAGAGCTAGCAACAAGTGAAGAAGAGAAGCAGAAAAAGTAGTAATTATAATTTATCAAGCTATAAGCCCAGGATCCTTATTTTCTTTAACCTAAAAAGGCCGGGTTGCTTATATGAAGCATTTCCCAACCATCCCCAAATGATCAATCGCAAGTCCAAATTCCTACCAGTGGTCCCTGCCTTTTCTACACTCTCCCTTGAGAATCTCTCATATCACTGCAGTTAGATGTCAGGTGATGCTGGAGTCAACTGAGGTCTCAACTGGTTGGATATCCAAGATGATTCACTTATTTGACTAGCAAATAATATTTAGTAGTCTTTATTTTTCCATGCCATATTTCCTGACAACACAACAGAAATTGATTGCATGAAGCTGTCAAGATAATTTTCATTTAACAATATTAATTGGTTGATTAATTAATATGTGCCAGGTTTTATGTTAGGTGAACCAGATACACTCTTTGCTCTCAATGCACTTACCTTTGAGTGGTGAAGCAAAAAAGGAATGGAAAAGAAAAATACAATACAAAACAAAAAATAAAACAAGAAATATTTGTGGAGATGTTAAGATCTATTTGAAAACTGTTAACTATGGAAATACTCAGGAATAGAATAGGATTAGTGAGTCAAGCAAGAGTTCTAAGATCTATTATCTAGTCTGAGACTTGGAAGTTGTATAAGTACTAGCGGTGTGAAGAAGGGAGAGAAAGAGCTTCAGGCAGAAAAAAATTACAAATATCAGGTGCAAATGTGAGAGAACACATGGTCAGCTGGAGAAACTACAAATACCACAGTATGGCTAGAGTAATCTACATATTTTATCATCTAAGACTGTCGAAGATTACTATATTTAGTGTCAAAATATTCACGGTCCCTCCTTGCCTGTTGTGTGGAAGCATGTCCCCACCCTATTGATATTAGTTTTAGCGATGCATCTGGCTTTGTTTAGAGAAAGATAAACAGAAGTGACATGTATCAATTTTGATCAGCAGTTTTAAGTCAGTTGGTGTTTCACCATCATTTACTTTCCACTGCCATCAAAGTAGCAACATCCTAGAAAAGGCTTCTTTATCAGCCTCCCAGGTACTGCAGTAAAGATGACATAAATCCAAGCCCCAGGTTGATCCATAATGGACAGGAAGTAAGAGTAGAAAGATAAACATTGAGTGTTACGGGCCTCTGACATTTGGATATTTTTTTTCTGTACATGACCTACAATATCCTGACTGATACACATTTAAGTGGTCCATTATTCTATGTATGTTTTGTTGGTGTTCCATACAAAACAAATAATAGCAACAAGCACCAAAAGCAAAACAGGAATTGAGGTGAAGCTTTCATTTCCCATGGCATTATTAATTCTTCTAAGCAAAATAATAAGTGTGTGACCTCTTAACATTTTACAATTGGAAGACAAAATAGACCTGAATAAATATTATCTTTCAGGGACTTTTAAACAGCCTTCCAGGGTTGCTTCATGATAAGTATGTGCTGTTACTGCTGTACTCAAGCAGATTCTGAATAGAATTCTGGGAGACAAATGCTTTGTTGTTGGGTGGTGTTCCACAGTGATATGATATGGTGGGTTACTGAGCACCGCCCATTTGGCCTGTACTCTCCCCTCGCCCCTACTAAGGCTAGCAATGATAAGTCTGTGGAGCCATTTTGATAAGCTGGTTCTTCTCTAAGGCTCTATGATTAAATCTATTAAGATAAGACTAGGAATCAATACATACACATTCTACTCTGTGGAGTGTCCTTCTTATATAAAACGGGTATTGATAGTAACGAAATAAAAAATGAAAACATTGCATTCTCAGGAGAGAAAATGCTTAGGAGATGGCTCGTTCCTCCCTTTACTGGGAGAGAGCGTGGCCTCATGGTTAAGACCAAAGACTTTGAACTTTAATTCCCAGCGCTGCCACTTGAAAGTAACTCCCTAAGCTTCTCAGTTTCCCTGTTTATATAACAGGGATAATAACACTACCTACTTTTCAGGGTTGTTTTTATACACACACACACAGACACAAACACAGACACACACACACAGAGTCATGTGTCACATCATGACATTTCAGTTAACGACAGACTGCATATATGGCAGTGGTCCCATAAGATTATAATAAAGCTGAAAAATTCCTTCTGCTTGGTGATGTTGTAGTCATTCTAATATAGTGTAACACATTACTCATGTTTGCAGTGATGCTGGTGTAAACAAACCTACTGTGCTGCCAGTCATGTAAAAGTATAGCATATACAAGTATGCACAGTACATAATGCTTGGTAATGATAATAAATGACTATGTGACTGGTTTATGTACTTACTATACTTTTACCATGATTTTGGAGTGTATTCCTTCTACCTATAAAAAAATGTCTACTATAAAACAGCCTCAGGCAGTTCCCTCAGGAAGTATTACAGAAGAAGGCATTGTCATCATAGAAGATGACAGCTCCATGCCTGTTTTTGCCCCTGAAGACCTACTAATGGGACAAGATGTGGACATGGAAGATATAGTGATATATTTCTGATATATATATAGTGATATTGATGATCCTGACCGTGTGTAGGCCTAGGCTAATATGTGTGTTTGTATCTTCATTTTTAACAAAAAAGTTCAAAAAATTTTTAAAAATTAAAAATTTCCAAAAATAGAAAAAAGCTTATAGAATAAAGACATAAAGAAAGAATATATTTTTGTATACTCATACAATGTGTTTGTGCTTTAAGCTAAGTGTTATTACAAAAGAGTCAAAGAGTTTTTTAAAAATTAAAAACGTATAGAGTAAAAAAGAGTAAGCTAAGGCTAATTTATCACTGAAGAAAGAAAAAATTTTTAATGTATTATAGTCTAAGTGTAGAGTGTTTATAAATTCTACAGTAATGTGCAATAATATCCTAGGCCTTCATATTCACTCATTACTCACTAACTCACCCAGAGCAACTTACAGTTCTGCAAGCTCCATTCATGGTGTGTCCTATGTAGATGTACTATTTTTAATCTTTTATACCATGTTTTTACTGTACCTTTTCTATGTTTAGGTATGTTTAGATACACAAATACTTACCATTGTGTTACAGCTGCCTACAGTATTCAGTATAGTAACATGCTGTATAGGTTTGTAACCTAGGAGCAATAGACTATACCATATAACTTATGTGTATAGTAGGCTATCACACCTGGGTTTGTGTGAGTACACTCTGTGATGTTCACACAATGACAAGATCACCCTAACAACACATTTCTCAGAACAGAGCCCCATTGTTAAGTGGCATGTGGCTGTATGTGCATATATATAAATATATATATATACACACACACACACACACACACACACACACACACTGAAGTGTGGTGTAGGTATGGTAATTAAGTTAAAAGCCTGTAAAAAAAGAACCTTGAACAGTGACTGGCATAAAGCTTTCACTAAATGGTAATAGTACCATTATTATCATTATGCCCTGTCACATGTGGTCCAGGCCCACTAAGGTCTACCACTCTTACAGTTTCTAAAGAGAAGCCCTGAAGGTCATACAGCTCTTCCCAGGAATAGCAAAACGGCAATAAAATTCCCTCTTCTATCACCTTGAATTAGATTCATGTAATAGAAAACCCATACTAATAGTGACTTTAAAAAGATAAAAGTTTCTCTCTCTCTCGCATACAAGTCATCTGGAGTTAGGTGGTCCAGGCTGGAGTGACAGAAACAAAGGCATCAGAAATCCACACCATCCTTCTCATTTTTTGTCTCTCATTCCATTCTCAAGTTTACCTCATAATTCCAGATGGCAACCAGAGCCCCATTCATCACATCTGCAGTCCAAACATCAGGAAGAAGGGACAAAAGTTAAGTATCCCTGCTGAGTCAGCTGACTTTAAGCAGGCTACCAAAAGACTGTTTCGTCTCATGGACCAGGAGTTAGTAATTTGGACACACCTAACTGTAAGGAAGGAAGAAAAATGTAATCCTTAGGTTGTTTGCATTCCTATGCCAAATGAAAATTTGTTCCTGAGGAAGAAGAGAAGAATGGATACTAGAAGGCACCTAGCAGTTTCAGGCCCTTCTTCACTCTTGGTGGGGAAGGTAAGGAGTTATATGTGAGCACAGATATATATCCTTGAACTGCTAAAATGCTGATCGTGGGCCCAAATGTGGGCCACAGGCTGGCCCTACAAGCCATCCACTTTTACTGGTTTAATTGACCCAGGAATAAAAGGGTTATAGAGGAATGTTCATAATATAAAGAGGAAACCAGAAGATTGTCTGCTTTATAAATCAATGACCGCTTTGTACCCTTTAGCAATTCCATGATGTGGCTTTTTCTCTATATTTCTTAGAGCATTTGGCCTTACTGACCCTTGACAAGTTATAAATTAGCCCATTCATCCTAAAGAGAAAAAGCGATACCCATTCTCATATAGTACCTTTTATATTTCTTTATTTTAAATGTTATAACTTTTCAAAAGAATGTATTTTCTCATACAATTATGTTGTCAGCTTATTGAAAGTATCCATAGACTTAAGAATACATATTAGCCAATGTGGTTGTAAAATATCTTCCATGAGAATTTTTTCTAAATTTTTATGAGTACTAGAAATTGAACTTAATTCTTCTTAACTGAATAAACATAAGCAAATTGTTGCTTCATTTTGAGTCGAACATATAATCTGAAAGCAGAAAATTCGATTCTAACTTGCTCCTAAAGGATATTTGAGATTAGGAAGAAGTCATAAAAGCTTATCTTATTTAATTATTGAGAAAAACTTTTAACATTTTACTATTTTTGTTTAGCCTATGTAAATATCTGCAAACTACCTTTTGAGGAAGAATTGATGCATTTAAAAAATTCGTTAGGCCTAATGATCTCAAATTAACAATTACTCAAGGACTATAGATTAATAAATGAGATACATTGTGAAAATGATTTATAAGATGAAGAACAATATACATATTCTTAGTTCTTGTTATAATCATGTTGGAAATTACTACGTTCATTTCATATTAACCTAATGAGAACAGAAGCTGTGAATATGAGTGAAATGAAAAAATATAACAGCCTATTAGGCTGTTTCCACAAAGGACATGATGGAATCATTAAAACTGTTTGTATATGAAGATCCAAAGATGGGGAGGGAAAAAGACCATCACCCTACAATGGAAGTCAGGTTAACAGGCACATATGAACAAAGGGCAATTGACAGCGAAGCAAACCCCATAAAGAATGAAGAGATCATGAGTTCAGAAGTCAAAGGCCTTCACTAAAAACAGGGTCCCTTTGCTTCCCAGGGCTCCACCACCCTCCCTCCAGTTCCCTGACAAAGGGCTGTTCTTACACTTGCCTACCACTCTTTTATGACCCCACTTCCTCCCTGAAACTTAGTCTGAACTCCCTTTTCAAAGGGAAAATGTTTTGCTTCCCAGAATCTTTCTCAACCTAGGTGTGCAGGCTAGAAATTCTCTAGGAACTTATGTTTTGGCTCAGAGAATTCACATATTTTAGAAAAGCCCATTCTATGCTAGGAAAACTATTTGAAGTCTCAAAATTCGATGAAGACTGATACTGTCAGATGCTTGGAAATAGGCGGAAAATTTTCTGGGTCCTGAGACACCTAATTCTCTACCCTTTAGAAACCTCATCTAGTCAATAAAAATTTAATTGAAACTGAAAAAGTAGAACATGAAATTTTGAATAAATCTAACTCAGGGCCTTTCAGATGTTGACTGGGCCAAAAGCAAACATTTTCTAATGAGGAAAACCACATCCTTCATATAACAAAGGCTGTTTTCAAAAACCAGAGGACCAGCATGGTTAAATAGACCATCTCAGACAGCTGTTCAAGTTCAACAGTGAAATAATTAGACATTCCACACTGCTGCCATTTGATATGAGGTGTCCAGACAAGGTCTTTGAGGCAGGGAGACAAGGGTCGCTAACAGAAGACACAATGAGAAAAAAAAAAAAAATGGTGTGAATGGAATGAGTAATACTGAATGGAATTAAGATTCTGCACTTGCTTCACCAAAGATTTATTCCCAAAAAATCCCAAACCTAAATAAAGTAAGGCCTGGAATGCTGGAAAGCTTTCAGAGCTGGGAATGTGTGTGAGGCTGCCAAATGGGTCATTGTTTCTAAAAATGATATGTCCCAAGATGACAGCAAACTTGTTTTTTCAGACAACTGGCATTCGTCTGTGTGATTGTACCAGCACTTCCTTCTTTCTTGATTTGTCCAGAATCTGTTCTGTCCTGACA
This sequence comes from Homo sapiens, assembly GCF_000001405.40. Lineage (NCBI taxonomy): Eukaryota > Metazoa > Chordata > Mammalia > Primates > Hominidae > Homo > Homo sapiens. The sequence goes on from NC_000002.12 coordinate 181,372,287, forward strand.
GGGCTGGAAAGTAATCCATATGTGTTGCCAAATTGAAGACTATGATTGTTTGAGGGTTTTTGAATATTATGAATATAATTTTCATTTGGTATATGCTACTATAATATTTAGTGAAGGAAGAAGAAATAGGTCAGCTTGAGCATATCATTCAGCAGGCATTTGAGAAACTTCAGAACCTTGAGGCTTTAAAGAGCTTCCTGTTAATGAGGTCTTTTTATTTGAGTTCATATGACAAATTTATCATCTGTACATTTTCATTGTTTTTCCTCATGATTATTCCTCACAAAGAAGTCTTTCCAACTGCATTTCCCCTTGATAAGCATCTGTTAGAGTTGGTTTGTTTTGCTCTGGTTTGATTTATTGGCATTATTGATGATTGTTGGGAGTGATCTGGTGAAGAGCTACTGCTTTTTCTCCAAAGACTGATTTCTAGAAAATGTCTATGTTGCTGCCTCCTATGTCCTTGCAGTCTCTTCACTCCTACTCCTACCCTAGCCAGCTGCCTCTCTGTGTTTTTGTCTTGATTAAAGGCTTCACCACTTACACAAAGCTAGAAGTCATCCTGTATCATATCTGTTTTACCCCCACATGCAATCAGTCACCAAATCTTGACAGTCCTGCTTCCGAGATATCTATCTTTAGACTGTTGCTTCTTGTCCTTTCTCGTCGCCTCTTTATGAGGCTATTGAAATAACATTCCCACTGGCCTTCCTATAATGATTGAGCACCCCTTCCCTCCCCACTCCTGCCCCTACCCTACAAATGGCCATCCTAGGCAATACCAACAGTTATTTCTCTCCTTAAAGGCTTCAACTTGTCCCTAGTTTCCTGGAGGATAAATTCCACAGTCACCTAGGCACCAAAGCCACTTCTTATCATACCCTAGCTCACCTCTCCAGCCTCATCTCCTGCCACACCCTCCCAGGCCCTCTGCTTCCAGCCACTGACCATCTCACTATTCCCTAAAATTTTATACCTTTTATTACTCTATTTCTCTACACATGCAGATCCTGAGCTTTGAAAGCTTTAATTCACTCTCTCTGCCAGGCTTTGTTTTGTTTTTGTTTTTTTAATCAAGACGCAGCCCAATGTCTCTTTACCGTGACATCTTTCCCTGCAATACTGTACAGAGTGTGCTGCTCCCTGAAGTCTGTTGACACCCGTATTATAGCACGTGTCTTGTTTTTTTGGACTCACCTTCCCACACAGAAACCTCTCTAAACATTCCATGAGCTCTGTGATAACAAAAACCATACTTCACTCATCTTCTTGTCTTCTCCTCCAAGCACCAGGCCTGGCAAAAGGCAGGAGCTCAGAAAAATGTTTACTAAATGATTCTGTAAGGCAGGCATTTCCGATTGCTTATGGCTTAAAAAAAGCAAGTCTTCTGCAGCACTCTCTGAGAAAGCCCTACACACAGGCCATGATTTTTAGTGGCAAAGAAGTTCTGCGTAAAACCAATAAATGGAGCTACAATAGCAAGGCCAAAAATAGGAGTATGCCCTACTGACATTCATTTATTTATCTACCCATTCATTCATTGAACAAATATTTTTTTGAGTATCCACTGAGTGTCTGGCACTATGCTGAACGCATCAGCTGTAACAGCTGTAGGAAAAGATGGAGTTGCCTTTCTAAGCTTATCTGGAAACTCAGATAATTCTACCAGAAATATTCCCTGGGAAAATAAGCAATAGATTATGTATGTGTGTACACTGTAAATATATAATACATATAAACAAGAGTGATACTCAAAATATTTTAACCACCAGTAGGGCATAGACACTGACTACTCAGATTGGTACATATATTTTGCCCTGAACCTTGCCCACAGAAAAAATAAAGTGTACTGAACTGACACAGAAAAAGGTAGGAAAAGGCATAATGAGATGACCTACCAGCAAGCCTGGAGCCTAGGCTGCAGGTTTGAAGAGATGTTTTAGGTTTCTCCATTTTTGTTTCTTCCCAGCCTCAGAGAAAGGAATATCAGAAATGAAACAGAGACCAAAACATATTATTTTGCTGGGCATGGTGGCTCATGCCTATAATCCCAGCACTTTGGGAGGCCAAGGTGGGCAGATCACCTGAGGTCAGGAGTTCAAGACCAGCCTGGCCAACATGGTGAAACCCTGTCTCTTCTAAAAATACAAAAATTAGCTGGGTGTGATGGCAGGTGCCTGTAATCTCAGCTATTCGGGAGGTTGAGACAGGAGAATGGCTGGAGCCTGGGAGGCGGAGGTTGCAGTGAGCCATGATCACAGCACTGCACTCCAGCCTGGGTGACTGAGTGAGACTCTGTCTCGAAAAAAAAAAAAAAACATATATATATATATATATGTATATATATATATATCGTGTAAGTAGCCACACAAAATTGGTACCCATTTTCTAAAGACTATCAATCCCTGTACACTAAAAACATGGCATTCCTTCAAAAACAGTGGCTGTTTGTGAAAAGCAGGGCAGTGGTCAACCAAGGGAGACGATAAACCCAACCTTTACCGGCAAAGCTGATAATGAACAGTCAGTTGCATGCTATTTCACAGCTGATACCTCTTCCCACAAAAAGGAAAAAAAGGGGGAAGATGATATTAATTGTGAAAGTTTCACAGATGTCTGCAGCAGTTGACCAGAGCTCCTGGGTTATTGCTTGTCAGACTATTAATGGGTTTGCCTAACCATGACAGTCATTTCTTTTCCCCCTCCTGTGAGCTACTTTCTGTGTAATTTATGCATGGGTTTTGCCAAGATTTGACAACTTTCAGGATATTAACATAAAATTAGACTGCAGAGCTGAACAATGGGTGGCTTTAAAATTAGTCGTGGTGAAAACCAATCAAACAGAATTGGCTTTTCCTTTGCATTGCTCCTAAATTTATTATTGTTGTCTTTCTCTTCCACATATAAGAGTTCATGTCGGCAGTTCTGCACAGAATAGAGAAATGAGAAAGGGGTGAGAGGGTGTGACATCCCATGGCCTTGGAGAGGGACTCTGTAACCCAGGCAAGCTCCCTCTAGATGCAATGCCTGACAGAGGCTTAAACGAACCTCTGCAGCAACCACTCGTGAAATTTACCAAAGCACACACATATTTTGAAGCTCATCTGAGAGGAGAACTTTTCCTTTGCCATCTCTCGGTTCCACACAGCTTGCTTAGTGAATGCCATTACAGAATGCAATGTGCGTGTTAATAAGCCAGGACATCTGGTAACCAGCTTTTTTCTGATTCATTAACTGACTCTGCTTCTGTGGCCAGGGGGGATGAGAAGAGAAATTGGAAGGTTTTTCTTTTAGCAAACGGGCACTTGATGTATGTCTTGCTTCTTTGGTCTAGCCTCAACTTTTAAACTTTACTCCAAGGTTAGTATATAAATGCAAGCATCCTTTGGCAAGAAGTGTCTAGTCCTGTATAGAAAACAAATAGTACTTAAATTATTCTATATAGTACGAGAATGTAGGTAAGAGAAAAGGAACCTTAGGGCTTATAGACTACATCCTATTTTAAAGCAGAGAATGAAGGGAGCGAAGAACATGCTTAAGGTGACACAGTATAGTGGTGGCAAAGGAGGGAGCCAACTCCAGGTCTCTTGACCCTCAATCCAGTTTTCTTTTCTACCTTAACGCATTGCTTAACTAACTTTTGGATTTTTGAAATGTATTTTGCTGAGTTTTTTTGGTCAGCAAACAGTGCCTGTTTGAGTTTTCTTTTTCTGCCTCCTGTGCATATGCCACCTGAACGTCTGAGCAGATGACAGTGCCGAACCGGTCCTCCTGCCTCCTCTAATATGTGATTAGGGACCCACTCGAGCATTTCTAAGAGGTACTTAGGGATAGTTAATTTAAACTTTTGAAGAATGGAGAATTTCAATTCAGGTTGTGAACAACCCTAGGGAATACACTTAATGAGAATACAATGAAAAACTCACACAGAAAATAGAGCAAGGTTATGAAAATCTCCCAATGATTAAGATGAAAAAAATTAAAAATATTATTATTCTATCCAAAACTTTTTTTTTTAAACTTCTCATTGAAGTCAATTAGGTCCAAATGCTCAAGAGAGTGATTGAGTAAAAGAAGTCTGACTTGATGGTACATGTGGATGGATGAAATGGACAATGAAGTTTCCATATGTTGCTTTTATGCAGTAATTAGAAACTGTCACACACGGTTTCATTTTTTCATTTCCTTGGGCTTATTTGCATGTTGGAACTTCCTTTGGAACAGGATGGAGAGTATCAAACTGGCATCCAGTTGAAATGAGGAGCGGTGGCTTGTGGACACCCTCCCCACCTCAGGGACAGGAAGGAAGCCAGAGGCAGGTACTGTTGAGGCGCATTGCACAGGAGGCAGCGAGCAGACAGCTGTCCTGGATGCTGCTAACGTGGCGCTGCATCCTGCCTGCTTGCCCTCCAATTGGTCATTATGGAGCACTTTGGCTACCCTGAGCTGGTCTCCCTTTTAAAGCACTTTCATTCCAGCCCAATTATCTTTCCTTTACTATTTGCATGGTCAGACTTGAAGTCAGGGACCCTGTCATCCCTATTGCCAGGCACACAGTGGTTCCCATGGGTCCTTCACAAACCTAAATTAATAACCTTTACATGTCTGGATCTTCATATAAGATTTTTCTAGTTCTAGAAATCTTCACCCTTGTTAAAAAAAATAGAATAGGCAAGGCAGTTTTCGTTGCATAAGAATTGTGACTAGGAGGCAAAAACTAGAAGTCTTTTGAATGTCAATAGTATTCTAAAAATCTGCTGCTTGCTACTACTAAACTATTACTGGAGAACTGACAAATTCCAGGAGCTGAAGGCTAAAAGAAACTTCATTTGTCTAAGATGGTTTATCTATCTGGACAGCTACTCTACTGAATACTTAAATGACCTGGAACAATAAAAAGAATTGAATTATACAAGCATAATTTGACTTATGACACAGTAAAGAATTTTCCCAAATCAAATTTTGGTCAGAAAGAAATTTCTTGATAAGTTTAAAATGCCATCTTATCTAAGTCTTTTAAATAACTTATTTGATTAAAAAATACAGATAAGCATAAAGAAAAAAAAACACAGATAATAATCCCTATCTCCAGAGGCACGCATTATTACTATGTTGGTATTTGTCCTTTGACTTTTTTTAGTATGGGTATAAATGTGTTTTATATGTAATTTTTTTAATGACCAATAATGAACCTAGTGTTTTATAATACTTTTTCAGCATAAAAGGCATCAAGAACATTTTTTCATTATAAATATTTCTACTACATCATTTTAATAGCAGTATAGTATTCTAGACTATAGGTATTCCACATTTTATTCAATCTCTTTTTTAAGATATCTAGATGGTTTTAATTTTTTCTATTATACTTAATGTGATGATCACTCTCAAATATTAATCTTTGGCATGTCTTTATTTGCTTGGGGTATATTTTGAGAAGTGAAAGTGCTTAGTGAAAGGCTATACCCATTCTTAAGGTTTTTGATACATATTGCCAATGGCCTTGCAAAAAAAGTTGTATTAATTTAGAATCCCACCAGCAGAGCATGAGGCATTTATTTCCTGGATCCCCTGCCAACACCCAGCATTATGGTTCTTTTTCATCTTAGCTAATCTGAGGAGTGAAAATGGTGTTTCTTTTTTGTTTTAATTAATTTATTCTTGAAGCCAACATTTCTGAAGATAGAATGTCACCCACCTTCTCAATTACATGATTGCATATGCCAGTAGTTATACCTAGAATTCATTATTACATGTATTTTATAGTTATGTCATTTTACAGTAGGTAAAACTAATCTGTTTAGACACCAAAAAAAGCTGTATGATCTGCTGAGATAATACAGATTTATGTAAATTAAACATGGAGCCTATCTTATGCCTTATATCTGAGAAAATATAAAAGACAATGAAATTTAAAACATACTTTTGTGCTAAAAGAGGAAGGAGTGAGATAGCTGGAAGGTAATATTACTGGTCAACACAATGGAAGGCGTCCATTGGCTACAGTGCAACTGCTGGAGGTGACTGTGTTGGTATCTGTAACATGTTGATGTGTGAAGTGAAAAAATGAATCCTATTCCTCAGGAGAGTTCTGCATATGTCAAGTATATTGTCTCATTAAGCCAATCCATTTATCAACCCACTGAATGCCAATTAAATTGCACAGGATGGTGCAGGTATATGGTGAGCTGTTGGTGCCAAACTTTATTACAGCTGAGCTTTTCTGGCGCAGTATGTTCCACCCAGCAAAATGGCAGGCATATCAAAGCCAAATTAAATGTTCTTGAAATAATGCCTTTAAAGAGGATGAAATGCCACAGCCTGGCAGAAAAGAATGTGAAACGTAATGTCAGTTCTTAGTGTACTTTTAGTTCCAATGAAGATGTCAAGGCTCAGATCCAGCCAGTGCCAAATGTCTTCACAGCGTGCAAATTAGATCAGTGTAATTTCATCAGGAGAATGATCAGACTCTGCTGTAGTTATGGCTGAATTCACTGCTTCTGCCGAGGGCTGGGCTGAGGACCACGGGGCCCAGCTGAGTTCATGCTGCCATCCTTAGAAAGAGAGAGAACCAGATTTAATGGATTGCTCTCTTGATGCCACAGTGGAAAGTTAGTCCCACCTCTCAGAGATATTGCTAAATGAGCATCTAACATAGATTACGATGCATTTGTTTGGAATTTTTTAAAATCTGCTTAGTGAAAATTAAACCCCAAGTCACTGAAATACCAAGCTAGCTGCCAACGGGCATTACAAGCAAAAGAGGTTTATGTTTGTAACTAAGCATAATGTTTGTATGAAAATTTACAGATATTGATATTAAATACTTAAAGCATTCAAATTCCAGGTATGTTTAGAAACATATAATCTAATACGTTGATATGACAAATATTCTTAAGGATCAATACAGAAAAATAAATAGCTAATATAAAACAAAGAATCCTGAAAACCTCTTACTATAAAACAGAAACCCAATAAGAATGTTGTGAATAATTTTTAGTGTTAAACAGAGGAAAATGGTATAGAGTAAAGATCTTAGGAAGGAAATGATAAATGATGTAACTTACAGTCTAATGTTTGGAATAAATTGGAATAAACCAATTTTATGACATGATAAGTCACTTATTATCATGAAATTGTTGCCTGCTTTGAAATGGTTTCTTAATGCAGCACTTAAAAATACTCCTGAAATGTTTAAAAACAGAATTTTTGCATACTTTTTTTTTTTTAACCAGAGCAATAATATCAGGATTCTTCTTTGAATTTGTTGGTGTATCCTTAGTAAAGACAAAGAAGGATTCCCAATGCATGGGTGCAATTTTTAAGAATAACCAGAATTCTCAGTTTCATGTTTAAGGAAGTTGTAGTTGATTTTCAACCTTTTCAAACCATATACATTCTACTGTAATAAAGCACTTTGTTTTAATGCCAATTTGAATAATGTTTTACAATGTTTATTTTATAATCCTTATAAAATATATTTCAAAGGCTAACAAATATAGAGGAAAATAAAAATTACCCATAAACGCCCATCCAGACATAACAACTGCTATTACTTTTATATTTTTTCCAGTGTTGAGTATGTGAATATTTTTTCCCAAATTGAGGTACTATTGTTTATAAAGTTTGACTTCTGCTTTAAATATAACATTCTATGCCATTAAAAAGTCTTAAAATTATTTTAATGATACAGAATATTGTGTGTAAGATCCCCTATTATTGGAAATTTGTATCAGTATTTAGCTATTACCTTCACGATGAACATTCTTATAAATAAACATTTGTCCATATTTGATTAATTTGTTTGGACAGACTCCTAAGAAGTGGCATTACTGAGTTAAAGGTATGAATTTTCAAAGTTCTTGTTTTTACTGTGTTACTTTTCAGAAACTATCTTTAAACCTGTAATTTGTAGCCCCCCAAAAAACAATAACTTTACAAAATCAGATCTATAAAATTCCATTTTCGTATTCTAACAGCCATATCATGACGTCTACCTTTCGAACCTTAATTTTATGGAAATAGGATAAAGAATAGGGAAAACACTCTAAAACTGTGAGATCTGAGGGCAGTAGGAACGTAGCTGCCTTTCTTCTGTTGTTTTTCATGACTGAAGGATGTGCTATGCATTCTCAGTTACTGGCAAATAATTTGATTGATTGATACAATTAGCTTAGAGCATGCTTAAAGTCAATGAAAAATTATTCTCCCAAGCGTTGAAACTATTTTAACATTAACTATATATTTAATCAATATAGACAAGCCAATTATTTACCATAAGCTAGTGTTACTTTTAATTACTTTCATTCCTGTATATCGCTTCAGAATTAGTTAGACCTTCTGCTGTGGAACTTTCTTTCATTTCCTATTTTAGCAATAGGCACAGGACCCAAGGCTATCTCTGGGGCTTGCCAAGACCCCAGATGCCAAGCTTTGGAACATTCTAGTAGCAACATCTGGCCTTTTGGTGAGCTCCACAGGCAGTTGTGCACTCAGCTCGGAACTGCCTCTGGGGATGTCACATGGTCAAATGACCTACTGATATTTCGGCTAGCATGCTCTCTGAGGAAACATTTGTCTTTCTGCTCAGTTTGAGTAGGTAGCAGATAAAATTAGAGCTATTAAGTGGAAAAATGTTTTCTACAAAAAAATCATTTGTTTTAAAATCTTAATTCTTTAATTGGTAGAGTTGCATTGCAGCTTGGTTTCCAGCTGTTCATTACTTTTTTCAGGAATCAGGAGAGACACTGACTAGTTGAGTTCAGGATAAATTTTGTACAGCTACATAGAATTCATAAAAGATGGCCACACTTGCATTCAGGGTGGCTTAAAATATTGATGATAATTGGGGGAGAAAGTATTAATAACTCCAAGACACTTCCTCAAAAATAACCTTCTCGATTTACTGGATCAAGGACATTTCCTAAGCATATACAATGCTGTGACCCAGTAGAATATTTGTTTACCTAAGTCTTTAGACTGCTGTAGATCTCTTTTAATGTCTTTTTTTAATCAAGAGATTAAAACCTGTATTCAAATAATACCAGTAATTTTTAAAAGTTATTATCAATTTAGCATAAAAATTAAACCCAAATGTTCCCCTTTTGGGGTATGCAAGATTAATCAGGCACAAGGAAAAAATGCAACTAAATTAACAAATTGCCTCCAACATTTTCTATTTTTTAAGGGAAAAGAAAAAAAAGTATTTATGAATATTTCGCATACTATGTGGAAAATAAGATCTAATAACACATCAAAACGCATGGAATTCTTCAGATATGTATTTCTTTATGGTATCTTCTTCTTTGTGCTTCTTTGCTTTATGTCTGTTTATACTTCTTTATGTTATCATTTTTAGAAATTGCCAAATTTGCATTTCTTATTAAATTCTGTTTATCATGACATTGCTATGTAGTTCATTTTCATTATTAATGAAGTAGTCACAATTTCACACTTCCTTATATTTCTGCATTTTAAAAGCAAAAATTTGTTTTCATTTGAGTCTTTAATTTTTTAGTATTGTTGTTAAAGAAAACATTATTTATATAATCTTTGAATTAAAACATTGAATGAGTGGTTAGAATTTTCTACAAGACTCAAATTGTTTACATGTAAATGTCTTATTTCTGCAATGAAATCAGAGGGTCTTCCTATTAGATATTAACTGAATATTTACTCACCTTTCAAAAGAAATTTTTAAAAATCCCTGCCACAAGGACAACTTAGTAAAACATGGCTACCATATGATATCTAAATGATTAAGATTGAAAGTCAGTATGATAGTCCTCAACTAAACCCAATACAATGGGAATCATTGATTGGGTGCTAAAATTATAGCAAATGGGCCAGGCACAGTGGCTCACGCCTGTAATCCCAGCACTTTGGGAGGCTGAGGTGGGCAGATCACCTGAGGTCAGGAGCTGGAGACCAGCCTGGCCAACATGGCGAAACCCCGTCTAGCTGGATATGGTGGCACTTGCCTGTAGTCTCAGCTACTCAGGAGGCTGAGGCAGGAGAATCACTTGAACCGGGGAGGCAGAGGTTGCAGTGAGCTGAAATCGCCTCACTGCATTCCAGCCCAGGCAACAGTGAGACTCCGTCTCAAAAATAAATAATATGAAATAAAATTATTGCAAATGGTTTTGATATTGCTTTTTTATTAAAAAGGCAATAATTTCTTTTTAAACTCAGGACTCTGGAAACAATCAAATTAGTCAAAATTATGTGGGTTACTATATCCTGTTTTGTAAAACTATCAACTGGAACAGAATTATATGTAATCACCTTGTAAATCTGGCAACTAAGAGGGGGAATTTCTAGTTTGCATTTGGCACCAGGCTCAGATTCAGCAACAATGCAGAAACTATTAAACCACATTTAACTTTGCCCCCTTCTCTTCAAACCTATCCTTTTATTCAATTCTACTGACCACCCTGGTTTCTATGTGGTCTAAACAAACGGGGAACAACTTTTTACCCTGTCGTTATAGGAAAAAATGATATATCTTTGAGCAGGAAATCAGCAACCCAAAGTGGTGGCAGGATAATAATCCATCAGAGCTTTGGCCCTGTCACTGATGTTCCTTCAGGCCCATACATTCCTCCTACTTGGGCATGTGGTAGTGTCACCAGTGTGACAGTCTCCAGCTACTGCCTTAGGCTGTAGCAATAAACTGCAGCATGGGTATGGAGGGAAGGTAGGACAGGGAAGTAGAGACATGGTAAGAGGCTGGCACAATTGGAAGGGTGGCTGCACTGTAAGAAATAGGAAACAATAGGACAGTCATTGTGGCTTATGCCTGTAATCCCAGTATTTTGGGAGGCCAAGGCAGGAGGATCTCTTGAAGCCAGGAGTTTGAGACCAGCCTGGGCAACAAAGCAAGACCTCATCTCTACAAAAAAAAAAAAAAGAAAAAAAAGTGTTTTTAAATTAGCTGGGTGGAATTGGATGTACCTGTAGTCCCAGCTACTCAGGAGGCTAGGGTGGGAGGATCACTTGAGCCCAGAAGTTTGAGGCTGCAGTGAACTGTGATTACGCCACTGCACTCCAGCCTGGGCAACAGAGTGAGGCCTCATCTCTAAAATAAAAAATTAAAAAAAGAAACAGGGAACACAGAACAATAAAGTTGCAAGCAACATTCAGGTCTTGATGTGCTAGTAGAGTTGGGATTAAAAAGCAATTATAGCTTTTTGTACAGAGAAGTGACATTTATACAACTACAAGTTTTTTGGTAGATTCCAGTTTTTCTTACTTGTGTATTTATTCCCATACTCTTCCTTACTCCTTACCTTTTTTTTCTCTCTTAAAAAGCTCTCATAAGGTGACACTAGCGAAACGGCAGATTCAGGACCTCTGAAAATTCTCTCTTCTGTAAAAGCAATGAGAAAACTGGCAAAAATGGTCAGAATTTATGTTTTCCAAACTCTGGAAATTAATGAAGCCCTTTCAGAAATTTGGAAAGTATTTATTGGAGCAAAACAGCAGAATCATGGTAGCAACAGTGAGCTTTGTGGCATTTTAAACTTGTTCTATTCCCATCCCCACTGCTGATCTCAATGGTAACCTTGAAAACTAGCCATCCATATTCAAAGTGAAAACCAACAGCATGGCAGCCACTGGAGGGGGAAAAAGACAATTGGAGCACCTTCAAAATCCCATTCTCAAAGATCTGTCATTATTTGACTTGTCAGGTAATTCTCTAGGGATGCCTATTTGCAAGATTATCTTTATTTCACCTGATTCAGAGCTTCACCAGGCTCTTCTCTTGTACAGAGAATAGTCTTTTCTCTTGTACAGAGAATAGTCTTTTCTCTGGAGATTCTGTAGAAAACACAGGAATTGTTAACACTGTGGATGCATAGTCATGAATAACAGTTGGAATGAACAACAAGCTAACCAAAATGCTTAAAAAAATGGGGAAGTGGGGGAATCAGAAGTCCATAGGGGCTTTGATAAGTCCTTCTAATCCATAAAACCATGGTCGTACATTCTCAGAAAAAAGCTCAGAAAGGCCCTAAGCTCTCACCTTGGGGCTCACACAAGCAGGAAGTGAAGGCCCAGTCAGAGTTCTCAATTGCCTGGCTGAATGATGATGGCATATTCCAACATTCACATAGAGCCCCTTGCCAGAGATTAGGAGACTCATTGGTTCTAGGCATTGAAGAAAATCTCTGTTCAATTACTGGCTAATCATTATCCTAACTGAATACAGATTTCAGTGACCACACATGAAAAGGAACACAGACTTACAGAATTTATTAAATAAACAAAAACAACAGCAATAAACCCTGGGGAATTTGCTGGAGAAGAGGAAGATTCTGATTTCCAGAGTTCTCACATTATTGAAAATGCCAAATTTTAACAAAAACTTATGAGACACTTGAAGAAACAAGAAATTTGGCCTATGCATATTTTTTATAAAGCCTTCAATAACAAATGCCCCTTAGGAACCCTAAATATTGGAATAATTAGACAAAAATTTTATGCTATTTTAAATATGTTCACAGAATTTTTAAAAATGTTTAAAGTAATACAGGAAAATATGAGAATGCCTCATCTTGAAGGAACATTTTACTGGATGTAGAATACTTGGTTAGCAGTCTTTTCTTTCAGCATTTTGAATATATCATCTCTCTGCCTTCTGACCTCCATGATTTCTTATGAGAAATCACCTGTTAATCTTGTAGAGGATTCCTTGCATGAGATGAGTCATGGCCTTCTTGCTTCTTTGAAGAATCCCTCTTCGTCTTTTTCTTTTGAAAGTTTGATTATAATGTGTCGAGGTATGTATCTCCTTAGAGTTTATTGAGCTCCTTGGATGTGTAGATTAATGTCTTTTATTAGATTTGGATAAATTTCAGCCTTTTTTTTTCTTTTCTTTTCTTTTTTTTTTTTTTTTTTTTTTTTTTTTTTGCCCTTCTGGCTGGGACTATCTTTATGCATATGTTGGTATACTTGATGATATTTCACAGGTTTCTGGGGTTATATTAATTTTTATTCATTCTTTTTTATTCTGTCCTTCAGACAGAATAATCTCAGTTGGCCTGTCTTTAAGTTCACTGATTCTTTCTTCTGCCTACTCAAATCTGGTGTTGACCCCTTCCGGTAGATTTTTCATTTCAATTATTATACTTTTCAATTCCAGAGTATCTATTCAGTTCATTTAAAAAATAATATCTATCTATTGGTTTTCTCTATTTGTAAAAAAGAAGTAGACAATATGAATACATCTATAACAAGTAAAGAGATTGAATCGGTAATTAAAAACCTCCCACAAAAACACCTAGGACCAGATTACTTTGCTGATGAAAGCTACCAAACCATTAAAAAACACCAATCCTTTGCAAATTCTTTCAAAAAATGTAAAAGAACGAATGCAACCAAACTCATTGTAGGAGATCAGTTTTGCCCTGATACCAAAACCAGGCAAGGACAACACACACAAAAAAACAACTACAAACTAATATTCTTCACAAATATTTACCAAAAAAAAAATCCTCAACAAAATACTATCAAACCAAATTCAGCAACATAGAAAAAGTATTTTACACTATAGCAATGTGTAATTTGTCCCAGAATGTAAGGTCAATTTAGCACCTGAAAATCAATCAGTATAATATACTGTATTAATAGAATAAAAGGCAAAACCTCATGATTACCTCAATAAACACAGAAAAAGCATTTTGACAAAATCCAACATTCTTTTCTGATAAAACACTGAACCAACTAAAAAGTAAAGGAGAACTTCCTCAATCTGATGAAGTATATCTATTTATTTAAAAACCCACACCTAACATCATACTTAATAATAAAAGACAGAAAGGTTTCCTCCTAAAATCAGAAACAAGATAAGAATATCTGTTCTTACCACTTCTATTCAATATTGTACTGGGACATTATAGCCAGGGCAATTAGGTAAGAATAAGAAATAAAAAGCATCCATATTGGAAAGGAAGCAAAACCCTCTTATTTGCAGATGACATGATCTTGTGCATATAAAACCAAAATTCATCCACTGAAAAAACCATTAAAGATAATAAACAAGTTGGCAAGATGACAAAATACGAGATTAATATACAATAACCAGTTATATATCTATACACTAGCAATAAACAATATGAAAATGAAACTCAAAAACCAATTCCGTTTACAATAGCGTCAAAAAAATAAAATATTTAATACTTTAAAAACAAGGCTTACACACTGAAAACTATAAAACATCACTGAATGAAATTTTAAAAGACTTAAATAAAATAGATTTTTCATATTTATGGATTGGAAGACCTAATATTGTTAAGGTGGCACTACTCTTCAAAGTGATCTACAGATTCAATATAACCCGTCAAAATCCCTGCTGCCTTTTTTCCAGAACTTGACAGGCTGACGCTAAAATTCCAATGAAAATATAAAGGAAGCAGAATAGCTAAAACAATTTTGAAAAAAGAACTAAGCTAGAGGTCACACATGTCCCAGTTGCAAAGTTTATCCTAAAACTACATTAATCAAGATTATATGGGACTGGTATGAAGATATACATACATACATCAGTAGAATCAAAATAAAAGCCAGATATGTATAGTCAGTTGATTTTTTACATGGATGCCATGACAACTTAATGCAGAAAGGATAGTCTTTCAAGAAATTTGGCTGCGACAACTGAATATCCAGTTGCAAATGATAGAAATTGGACCCTTTCTTCATTTCCTAGTAAAAAAAAAAAATTAACTCAAAATGAATCATATTAATGGCTAACTATAAGAGCTAAAACTATGACTCTTGGAATTAAACATAGGTGTATATCTTAATGACCTTGAATTAGGCAATGTTTTCTTATGAATGACAAGTAAAGCACAAGCAACTTTATAAAGAATAAATAGATAAATTGGACTTCATCAACAATGAAAATGTTCGTGTTTTACGTACACTGTCAAAAAAATGAAAAGGCAATTCACAGAATGGGAGAAATATTTGCAAATCATCTACCAGATATATTCTAGCATCCAGTATATAAAACTATTACATGCAACTATTTAAATAAAAGAAACAAAACCACACTAATAAAAAAAGGGAAAAGATTTGAATAGACGTTTCTCCAGAGATCTGCAAATGGCTAAGAAGCACAGTAAAAGAAGCTCAACATCATTAGCTTTCAGGGAAAAACAAATCAAAACTATGAGATAACATTTCACATCCACTGGCAGGGTGGTCATCAGGAAGTAGGGCAATAACAAGTAATGTCAAAGACGTGGATAAACTAGAACCCTCATACTTTAGCTGGTGGGAATGTAAAATTATTCAGCCACTTTGGAAAACAGTTTGATTGTTAAGTTAAACATGAAATTATCAATTGACCCAGGAATTCCATTCTAAGAAAATTGAAAACATATATCCTTATAAAAACATGTACACAAATGTTTATAGCAACTCTGTTTATAATAGTCAAATGATGGAAGCAACCTAAATGTTCATAACCTAATGAATTCTTATGCAAAATGTGACATATTCACACAATGAAATATTATTCACCCATAAGAATGAAGAAAGTACTGACTTATGTTATAGTGTAGGTGAACCTTCAAAACATTATGCTAAGTGAAAGAAACCAGATGCAAAAGGCCACATATTATTCCATGTGTATAACACATCTCAAAATGGCAAATCTATATAGAGACAGAAAATTAATCAATGGTTGCCAGGCACTGGAGGGGGGAAGTGGGAAGGGACCGCTGATAGGTTTGGGGTTTCTTACTGAGCTGATAAAAATATTTTAGAAATAGATAATGATAATAGGTGCACAGTCTTGTGAATATATGAATAACAACTGAATTGTACACTTTAAAATAGTGAATTGTATCATGTGAATTATATATTAATTTTAAAAATTCTCTCATTATCTCCATCCACCCACCCCACCCTAATGGTCATAGTTATAGTTATTGATAAGGAATGGTGCTACATGGTCAAAGAAGAGATGTTTTCAACTTCTTTTTCAACCATATTAAGCCTTTAAGTAGACTGTGTACAGAGGAAAATCTTATTGCACCTTCTCCCAGCTCTCAACACACCAACATTTTATACAAATAAAATCAAGTTATTAATACCACAGATAAGCTAGAAGAGAAAATAAATTTTAAAAAGGCAAGACATGATGTTGTGTGTGAAAAGAACTTGAATCTTCCTGAAAACAAGGCTGATGATGTCCTTCCCGCTTTGAGAACCTCCGTGGGCTCCCATTACCTTTACAAAACAGCCCACATTTCTTTTTAGGACCTGCAAAACTTTACATTTCTAGCCTAATTTCCTAGAATCATACATGCACTCTTTAAACCCTACTCACATTAAATCTCTGTATTTTCTGAACATACTAAGATTTTTTTTTATGATTCAAAACCTTTAAATACACTTTTACCTCCAACCAGAAAGTAAGATTCTTTGCTTGAATTTCCTTAGAATAATTTTATATAGGTTTATCTTTTTGAAAACAGAAATTAATGGCTCAGTGGCTACTACATATAACTCAACCAATGAATTTGTATGTCTGTTTCTTTTGACAAACATCATCTTTATAGACTATTTCAGACATATAATGTCATCATTCTGTATATTGTGTTAGGAAAAATTATCAAAAACTTAGGACTAAGGCAAAAAGAAGTCTGCATGTCCTTTCAATGTCACACTGGAATATCGTCCAGGAGATCACTCACGGATTAATCATCTAGGGGAATGGAACTTTGGTTGTTTGATTATTAACTCCTAATTAAAGCCTAGACTGTGAAGTTTCATCTTACTTTGTAGATTTTTATTTTGAAGAGATGCAAATGAACACTTTTTGGCTAAAAAAAAAAAAATTAAAACACAAATATTATTGTTTTATTGACTATAGATTATTATGCTGTTGTGTATTTAATCCAGCAATTTTATTCTGACTTTCTTTCATCATTTTCTATAAGCATTCAGTTCCCCAAATACTCTTTGAAGCAATTTTATCATCCTGGTTGTTCCCTCATTAGTGAGTTGAATAAATCTTTGACTTGTTCTTATTCTGTATTCATATATGAGTTATGTCATTGCATTTTATGGCAATTTTACATTATGTACTAAATTAAGTTGCCCAGTTTTCAAAAATCTTCCTAAGAGTTGTACCATAATTAATTTTTCTCAACTCTATAGTATTTTCCACAAAAAAACTATACTGAAATTAAAAAGAAGATTGATACATTTCAAAACAACTGCTTTCTCCTGGCGCAATGCATTAAGTGTAAGTGATGAGCAGAGAGCCTCCTAGGCATGTACCCCTTCCTGCATCTGTTTCTTCAGAAAGATGTAAATGCAATGTCCTATTTTTACCCACAAACAAGTCCACGATGAGATATTATTTATGAAATGGTGAAATAAATAACCTCAATTTAACTGATGTAATAGCAAATGTGATTAATGGAATCCATGCAAAAGTTTGACTTATTTATTTGCCTTAATTGAATGCCTAATCATGACTCACAGATGTTAGAGTTAGGTTTTTTTTTTTTAATATGGGCATAAAATATGCAAACTTTTTGTCTAGTCCAGCTTCTTTTGGAGACTTAAATTAATATTCATTTTGCGATCCACTTCAATTGTACTGTTTCCTCAAACCTTGCCCAACAAATGTTAACAAAAATGTTTTTCAATGAAATCTACTCACTAATATAAAAAAAACCCAGAAAACAATAAACCAAAAAAAGTAGCTTGAAGTTTTACTATATTCATTTATAATGATTACTCAGAAAAACAGTATTAAAAACAAATTAATATGTGCCCAAAAGGGATAAAAGCTTCACAAATGTGTTTATAATCTAAAAGAAGATGACAGACACAATGTATGTGAGTTTTAAGAAAAGGAAAAGAAAGAAAAAGAAAATTGCCATCAGATTTATTTAAGGTATGAGGCATCAAGGTAACTCTAGGGCCAGGTAGACTCAAATTCAAGATATTCTAGTCTTCGGCTTATTATCTTTGGTGCAGTAACTACAAACTTATTCCTGGTGCTATGTTTATTTGTTAAAATTCTTCTGTTTTATGAATTACCTGGATTTTTAACTTCTTATTTTCTATCATATTTATCTAAAACACCAATAATATCCTGCCTCCTAAGTTTTTCTTTGAGTTCTGCTGCTTTTCTTATATATTTTATGTAAGAATAAAACTCTGAATTAAATAAATACATTTAAAATGGAAACTTAAAATTCCCTACAGAAAAAAATGCTATTTTAATAAAAATATAAATAATGTGTCAAAGAAAAATTCTATTTTAAGTTAATTTGCATCCTTTGGATATTGGGAAACTGATCTTTGGTTTCAGCTTTAATTCTTACAGGAAGCAAATGACTATATTTATATAACATTTTTCAATATGCTTAATTGCTCCAGTTGGAGATTCTTGTATTTCACTAATGAATTACTTTTCTATTGTGAAGAAATGTCTCTCTCAAAGGACAATCATTTGTTACACCTGAGCCTTCCTGGTCCCAGTTGTGCCACATGCTGCTTAATAATTTGCAATGATTTAGGAAGATTGCCATAACCACTCAATTACGTAAACAACAGCTTTGGATGCAATCTATATAGCATGAGACACATCCTTAGCCCACATTTAGAACTGTCTTGTTAATTATATAGAATCCAGCAACCACTAGGTTCTGAGTATTTCACAGACAGCAGGTAACCTGTCCTAGAGGACTAAAAGTAGATGCTCATTTTCTTTGGCCTGTCTAGGCAGCTGCAGCATAACCATACAGTGGAATATAGCAGTGGGAAAAAAGAAGTCAACTAAGGTTTAGGAAACCTGATTTCTAATTCTGGCTCTATTGCTTTTTAGGTTTTGACTCTCAGGTAATGATATTCTCTGACCTTCAGTATTCTTCCCTTCATAGAATGTGTGCTACAGCTGATAGTTTCTTAGACATTTGCCTAATCAATGGCCCATTTCTACGTAACCTAAATTAAAGGTTTAAGATATTTTGCAAATTGTACCAAAATGTTTATAAAAAGTCTTAGTAACTTATTTTTATGCAGCATTCTGAAACAACAAGATGAAAAATCAGTCAATCACTGTAAGACAGGGTAGCTCATTTAAAATTGTGATTGTCAAAAATGTTAATTACTTCTGGGCCAATGAGATAGAATTGCTAGGCAATTTACTTTAAGTAACATAGCTTTGTGGCCAGAATTAACCTTTCTATAAGGAAAAGAGACACATGTCCATGTGTCCAGGTAATGAAATTTGAAGGCCAGGTAATATGAGTGAGTTCTGAAAATAAGTTTTACTGAATTCGCAATTATACCTTGGACAGGTCCTACACAATTAAGGTGTAAAATATAAACCCCTTCTGGTTATACTTTAGACTGTTGAAAATAAGTACAGTGTATTAAAAATATATAGTTATCTAAATAAATGAATTATCTTGGTACATAAATAAAACATTCAGATTTAAAGTAAATCCTTTTAGCTTCATTTATTTATCATATCATTTCACTAATAATCTACTTGTGAAATTCAGTGTTATCTTCATATCAAATTTTTTGCCCTTCATAAGTAAATGAGTATTAATTTACAAAGACTAAAATGTCTAGGGAAATATGACTATACAATCCTCTTTACCTAGTACCTAGTATAGTGCAATAGAAATTTGAAATGTTTCCCGATGCTACTCTGCACAGTGCAAAGATCATAAATTTTGGGGTATATCTAGTTTTGTTCTCAGATAATTTCCGATGGTTACTGGGTAATCCATTTAGACTTTCTAGGATGCTTTTCCCCATGTGTAAAAACAGGCATAATAATATTATCCATGACCTTTTCAATGTGTAATAATATGACTCATTCATTTTCAGGATAGTATGTGTCTATGCACATTCATTCAAGTAAATTACTATTCCTATGTCTATATTCATCCCTTAAGAACAAGAAGGGCATTTGCTAATTTGTTCAGTAATAGGAAGGGGAATGTAGGAAGAGTGGAAGAACAAAACACCATTTTGCAATTTTTCAGCAGGAACACTGTTTCGTGATATCTGGATTGCAACGAGAGGACTAGAAGTCAAGGGGCTAGAATTATCTGAAGGGTCACTCTCGTATGTCTAGAGTTTAATCCTAGCCATCAGTTGGAGGCCAAACTTCTTCACAAGATGGCTGGGCATCAAGAGCAAATAGACAGAGAGAGAGGGGCTATGTATGTGCACAGTAGATGAAGCTATATTGCGTTTTATTACTTAGACTTCTGCTACATTCTATGAGTAGAAGCAGTTATAAAGGTCACCTAGGTTCAAAGGGAGGGGACATGGATCCCATCTCTCAATGGAGGAGTGTTGATGTCACGTTGTAAGAAAAACATGTGGCATGGGTTATATATTGCTACCATCTTCGCAAAACAATATCTGCTCAAGCCAGTATAAGGGCTTTTAATTTATATCACCAAAGTGAACTTCAGTAATAGTATAAGATTTGATTTATATCTTTCCCTGTCTAATGATAGGAAAAATTGTATTTCACTGTTGTTTCTTTTTATAATTAAATATACCAAACATTGTTTCACAAGTTATTTGCCACTTATATTTTTTCATGATTAAAAAAATTATTTGACATAATCAGTATGCTCCTGTGGGTATTCACCTGCTTAATAACAGTTTATAAAACATCTTCAAATATTACACTAAGGAAACAACAGTTTCTCAGTTTTGTTGAAAATATTTCCCCTGGTGTGCCATTTTATTTTCACTTTGTTTTATTGCATTATTTATTGTTTATAAACTTTTTAATATGGTTCCTATATTATATACCATGCTTATGATGTGTTCCTCATCCCAGGATTATAAAAATAATTTTTACTTGTATGCTAACTTTGTTCTTTATAAATTATATCAAAATAAATTCTATATAAATTAAATATAAGATCTAACATTTTTCAGGCTTTTAACTGTTCAGCTTCATTTGTTGAAGTAATCAAAATAACAACTAGTTTTAAAAATAGTAGTATCCAAAGAAAACAGACATTATCTGTTGAATAAGCTTATACCTCCTCTACCAGTTAGAAATATTAAAATTATATATTGATTCATATATATACTTGAGTCTCTTTCTGGATGCTTTATCATGGATCTCTCCCGTAATTCACTATCACTTTTTTAAATCATTACAGTATAAAAGTACATTTTAATATCTTAAAAGCCCCCCTCTGAACGTGGTTTGTAATTCATGAAGAGCTTTTCAATAATCAGTGCCCAACCTACTTCCTCCCTGATGATCTCATTCAGGCTCATGTCCATAGCAACAACTTCCTATTTATATCTCCAGGCCACATCTCTCCTGTGAGCCTTAAACTCTATTACCCACTGGAAGGTTGAACATGTCTCTGTTTCAACTGGTCAAAACTGAGCCCTTGAATATTTTTCCCAAGTCTCCTCCTCCTCCAGTCTTCTTTATTCAAATAAAGGGCACTATACCAGCTAATCAGATACCAAAATGAAAGTGAAAGTTAACATCATTGTAGCCAATCTTTACATGAGAGTAAAAATGGTTAAATTCTTGTAATAGAAAATTAAAATGGGGCTGGGCACGGTGGCTCACACCTGTAATCCCAGCACTTTGGGAGGCCGAGGCAGGCGGATCACGAGGTCAGGAGATCGAGACCATCCTGGCTAACAGGATGAAACCCCGTCTCTACTAAAAATACAAAAAAATTAGCCAGGTATTGTGGCGGACGCCTGCAGTCCCAGCTACTAGGGCGGCTGAGGTAGGAGAATGGCGTGAACCTGGGCGGCAGAGCTTGCAGCGAGCCGAGATCACGCCACTGCACTCCAGCCTGGGCAACAGAGCGAGGCTCTGTCTCAAAAAAAAAAAACAAAAAAAAAATTAAAGTGGGAAATTTGGCTTTTGGGGAGGCACAGTGTGGTTACATCTGCACTGCATCTATGATGTCAAAATCGGTACCTGGTTTAGCATGTGAACAAGGAGTGCTAAAAAAAAAAAAAAAAAAAAAGTTAAGGACCATTGATCCTGTGGAGCATTTCAAAAATTTATTTTTTTATTTATAGCAGGGGGTATGTGTCTTCAGCCTCTTTCTCAAAGTTATTGTGGTTTCCTGCTAGTTTGGGGGTGTTAACAATGCTATTAAGTCTGCCCATGAGTGTACTATTACACTTCTACATGTCTCATAAACAGCATTTTTTTCTTGAGAATATTTTATGTATTTTCCCATATATTTTTTAAAATCTAAATATGTAGTTGTGATTTCTAAGAAGTAAATGCAAATATTAATAATCATATATTAAAATAAGATTAACTTCTAATTTTTACTATTGTTAGACTGATGGTTTAAAATATAGCAACTTAATAAAATGTAAAATCAATAAAATAATATAAGGTGATTTTCAGAAAAACCTTAGCTGTATGTGGAACAAATTATGTAAAAAACCTTAGCTGTATGTGGAACAAATTATGTAATTGCATCACCACATTGCTCTATACCCAGCAGGAGGACTTATATAGACTGCACCATCTGATCTTCCTTGCACTTTTACTTCCAGTTGGTTTCATTCAATGACAGGGACCAGGTAGATATCAGAGAGCAGAAGTGGAGAGAGACACACAGACAGAGAGACAAACAGATAGATGTGTGTCTCTAACCCTACTACCACTGCTGGCAAGTTTTGATATTGAGTACATTGAACAATCTTAGCTCTGTTAGTTGGTCCATTTCCTGCTACCTAACTGTCGTCTGGCTGTAACATTGCCATACCTTCACCCCTGCAGGTCTTGAGGGGGTAAAAGCTTTTCACAGTTGCTACCCTGAGCTGCTTCACCATTCTTTGCTGGTTTCCACAATCCTGCCACCCTCCGTAAATGTTCTCTTCATTAAAATGTCTCCCATCACTTCTGTGAGAAAGCCTTATGTTTCCTGCCCTGACCTTGACTGATACAGGCTCCAACTTTGGTTCTTCTTCAGTTGTACTCATAAAGGGAAACAGTATAGCTCATGAACTCTACCATGACGGTCCCTACAAAGCTTTTCATAATCATTTACTACTCGTATTATTTTATAATTTCAGTTCAATTCAAACTTCCTTTGGGTGGTTTTCAATAAACCAACCACTAAGCAAATACTAGGATGATAAAGAGGAAGATAAGACAGAGTACGTTCCTCAAGAAGCTTGGTTTTTTCAGCAGACAATTCATAAACACTTGAAAAAGTTAAACAAGCTTATGTATGACAAAACGTTACAAATGAACACTAACAGACCATAAATATAATTTGAAACTAGAGAAGAAAACAATGACATAGTCTAACAGGAAAGGCTTTGTTGAGGAGGTGGGACTTTAATTGGATCTTGGGGGATAGAGATTCTTCAGTGTGATTCCACCATTGAATATTTCTTATCTTTTTTGTCACACAAAGAGTAATGTTTTTTTTCATTTAGATCCCTCTTTCAATGTCCTAGAGCCATTTATGGGCCACTTGAAATAGTGTCTACACATGACAGATAAATTGTTTTTCTTGCCTGACCTACCCTGAGTCAGGATAGGCTTTGAGAAGCGTAACAATTCCTTTGCTTATCCATCTGATGCACATTGTGCCACACTGTGTCAGGTATCAGGAAGATTTGCATGAGAAGGAGTCCAGAGAAGTTCTAGATGATCACTTTTGGATTTGCCAAAAGTGACCCAAAAAGACTCCATGGGGCAAGCAATAACCCAGGCTCTGAGGTCGCTGGATCTGTATCTAATTTCCAACTCCTCCAGCTACTGGTCATGTGATCTTGAGAAAATTACTTAATCTTTGTTGTCTCAGTTTCCTCTTTTATAAAATTGTGGTTTGCATGTCTTCTCAGCTTGTATCAAGAGAATTTGCTAAGCATATACAATAGCAAAGTCATAATTTGTGACATATTTTAGATCAACTAGCAAGCCTCAAAACAATTTCACTTTAACATTCATTTTATAAGTATTTCAGGATAATTTTTCATATAGAAAAGCAAAGCTTCACTGAAACATAGTCTTTTGGTGAGTCATACCTTAAATTTTAGGTTTATGTAAAAGGGGTATAATAATTGAGCTTTTGTCAATCCTTTTAATCTTTTAAATTTGTATTCCCTTGCGTAATGGCCTCAAACGACTTTTTAGTTAATAAATAAGCAATTGTGGTTTCAAAATACCAGTTGAATTCAGAGGCATAATTAATTACTGAAATTGAAAAAGAGTCCGTTAAATTACTAATTACAATGTAGAAATAGTCCTTAAGTCATGAATTCTGATTTTTTTAAAATTTCATTTATATTCCCTCTCTTTCATTTAATATTCTTCTCAAAAACAGCTTCTACTTTAAAAACAAAACAGTTTTAGATATGAAGGCCATATTTACGGAACCCAAATTAATGAGGAATTTCCATAACCTAAGATGGCATGGTCATTAAGAATAAAACCCCTAAAATTTTTACCTTGTGCCTGACCACAGAAAGTGATGTAAAGTACAATTATAGCCAGAAGAATTCTCCAACCCAAATGTGCTTGTTAAGTTTGTTTATCCAGTTGCACCACATGCCACACAGCTGTGAACTATTTAGAGGTTTACTAGACACTCCTGTCTAGGAATTGTTTCTTTCTTTCTGATTTTCTGCCTCATATCACACCGGGGACAATTTAATGTGACTACATTAAGTGTTTTCTGAACTGCTGCTATTTCTAAATAGTTCTGATGTCTCTGGGGCATACTTTCCTCAAAAGCCAGATTTTCTTAAGACTTTGCTTCAATTAATTTAGTACATTGAGCGTATAACTTGATATAAACAACAACAAATATTATTTTGTCTGACAAAGTCTAGGTTCTCAGGCTGAAACAGGGAGCAAGGCACACAGATGACTCTTTTCATGGGGAGTACATTATGGCGGGGAAGACCTAGAAGCAATAAATAAACAAACAATTAAGAAAAAAATATTCCAGAAAGACATGATATGGAAATAAGAGTTGGCTGGGCAACTACTTTCCTGGAAGATCTTTTACAAGTCTACTCTCTGAGGAAGCTAGAAGAGCATAATTCTCATCAAGAGGTAGCAAATCCCTATCATGCCTCCTTTTGCCTGCTGGAACTTTAGAGGGAGAAAGAGGAACAGGCATGACTGAAGACAATAAGTAAAAGAGCCAACAAGAAGGAATACAGAGCCAAACGTGGCCAGATGAACATGTGCCCACGGGAATATGTGGGCATACTGAGTGGCCAGCGCCACCACAGAGGCTCTAAGCCTATCAAGCTAAAGTCACGTACCTCAAGCCCTCTTCTTTACAGATGGCATCTAAAGAATGACAAGACTCACCCAATTCATATTTAGAGATTTTGAACCAGAGCTGGAAGTTAGACTTCCTGGTGTATTTCATTTACATATCTACCAAGAATTGCCTTCATCTGAGTTACTTGCAATGTGGGCACTAATAAATATGATTACTGAGCAAGAATCAAGGAATGATACCATGGGGTTTACAGTACCCACAAAATTAGATATCCACTAAATGTACTATGTGGCAGATAATAGATCAGTGTGTCAGTACACCTGAAAATTACTAATGAGACTGGCACAAGTTGCCTCTTCGAATGGGGCTATGGAGAAATGCAAGCTGTGCTCCTCTTCTCTAGGAAGCAAAGCAGCCTGAAATGTTTAAGATAAACAATCTTCTATTCTGTTCAAAGAGAGGCACTTGAGAACAGGCCCAACTAGAAACAAAGGAAAAATGGAGCTAAGATGATTAGTTTCTTAATTATTTGGAAGGAATTCTAGAGAAGATTAAAAAACATCATGGTCTGGTCTGTAGTTAAATCCCATGATATATAATTTTAGTGATCATCTGGGAGATGGCTAATGGCAGAGATAATTATAGAAATGCTGACACAGCAAAACACAGTCAAGGCCAAATTAATTCTCAACATGTATAGCCAAGACATAATAAGAAAATTCCATTGATGACAAGAAGATAAATCAGAAGTAACAATAAAATGGTGAGTTAGAGTAGGTGAGTAAATAGAGAAAATGGACTCAATTCCGCTTACTCTTTCACTATCTTCTTTCCACTAGTTTCATCCTAAACTGAGAGACCAACATCAAAAGAATCTTCTCAAGTTTCTGAGTGACGGCAAGAAACTAGACTACTGTTACCAAGGAACTTTTTAAAGCAAACTGCTTTTGCTGATATGAGGAGAAAGTTAATTAATAAGAAAATACCTTAAATGTGTTTTGAAGCTGTTAAAGGTGTGTAACAATTACTCTGAATTTATTATAGCACCAGTTAGAGACCCAGGAAAACTATAAAATTGCACATCAGGGCAGAGCTGAGAGACGACATCTGCTTTGGGATTGAAAAAAAAAAAAAAAAAAAAAAAAACAGAAAGGGAACAAGAGAAATAGCAAGTCATTTAACATTTGGAATTCAGGACTCCAGACTCATCTATAGGACCAAACTGCTCTTGAAATATACTAGATTTCCTTTAGCTCCAGAGGTTTTGCCTTCATCAAATGCCTGTAACACTCTTATTGTCAAAAGGAATAAGTGATGGTGAACACTGTGCCAGATAGGAGGTACCACACACAGGTTCAGCAAAAAGCAGAAGCAAGAGGTATATTTTTTGTTAGATCTTAGTTCATCCCTATGTAACAGACATTTCAGGGAAGGGAGGAGAAAATAACAAAGCTACCTATGAGCAAAGGTAAATGGGATTCCCTATCCTTGTTTCCCAGTTTCGGTCATGGTATTGCTTATCCATTATTAGTTATCCACTGCTGGGTAACAAATTACTCCCAAACTTAGCAGCTTCAAACAACAATAAACATGTATTATGTCACATAGTTTGTTTCAGAACTTTGGGAGTGGCTTAGCTGAATGGTTGTAGCTCCAGGTGCTTTTTGTGGTTGCAGTCAAGAAGTCAGCCCATTCACACAGCTGCAGACAAAAGGACTCGGTTCCTTGCAGGCTGAGGCCTGATTAGGCAGGGGGCCTGAGTGTCTCGCCACATGGACCTCTCCATAGGGCTGCTTTTCGTGGCATGGCAGCTGACTCCCCTCAGAACAGATGATCAAAAGCAGCAAAAGAGAAGCCTCACATGACTTTTGCCCTAGCCTTGGGAATCACACTCTTCCATTTCTACAAAATCCTATTGGTTACATAGCAGCCCTATCCAGTGTGGGAGGGAACTGTATACAGGCATGAATACCAGGAGTGGAAAACCACTAGAGACTGGCTACCATGGTCACTTACACACCAACATGAAACTTTCAGCCTTTCCACCTCCTACCACTTATACTATATTTAATGTTTTTCCTGTTATGGACTTTAAAAAAGAGGTCATCATAAGCAATAATATCCATGAAATCATGGATATCATGTGATCTTTATATTTATTTTTATTTTTATATATTAATTTCCAAATAAAAATAGAACTATTAAAACAAAATGTATGTTATCTTCTCATAGCAAGTCAAGCATCAGCAGTGTTATACATACTACCGTTTGTGAAGTACCACTAGCCACAAGCTCAAGCTGTTCTTGCTTGAGGGAGATCTTTATAAGCTCAGTGTAAGTCAGGAGGCATTTGTTTCACATGCCATCCTCACTTACACTAAATTCCCTAGAAGTCCAAGGTAATAGTACTTGGGGATAGGCTACAATGCTACAACAAAGCCATTTGCTATGGTGGTTATAACTGTCACTTGCCAGCCATCGTTTGTAATTACTTAAAACAGAAACAGTTTAAAGAATTAAACCAGAAGGGTAAAGCAGATTGTTCTCAGGACGTAAAACTAAACTCACCTTATTATGTATTGTTACACTCCTGTCCACTTTCATTACCAAAGGCAATAAAGCAATTTTAACTGTTCCCTGGAATGTCACCAGCAATAAGTGGTTTTGTTTTACTGTTCTGTTGAGCCGAATATAATAGTTATATTTTAGATCTCTTGCAACTGGGGAATCTAGAAATGCTTTCTGGTCTTTGTGAATTTATTAAAATATTTGATTTGGGTAACCTTGGTGTTACTTTAAGTATAGTCAGGGAAATCATGTCATAATCACTGAGTTTCATTAGCGACTGGCCCTTTTTAATCATAAAATTCAGTGTTCTGAAACCTATTGCCTGTTCTGTCCTACACTTGTGACTTTGTCTCTTCTCTTGATTGTACAGCCATGAGCCCTCATTATGCTTTCCTGAGGGTGTTGTATTTACTGGTGTCCTTCATTGCCAAAGGTGACAAGGCAGGGAATGTAAGAGTACAGCTGGCGGGAAGAATCTCTATTCCGAGTACACGGAGCATGTCCCATACTTCAGCCTGCAGAGCCCGTGACTACTAGCAGGGTCAAAATTGTGTCATTTAGGCTGGGCGCAGTGGCTTGCACCTGTAATCCTGGCACTTTGGGAGGCAAAGGTGGGTGGATCGCTTGAGCCCAGGAGTTTGAGACCAGCCTGGGCAACATGGCGAAACCCCATCTCTACTAAAACATACACACACACACACACACACACACACACACACACACACACACAACTAGCCAGGCGTGGTAGCACATGTCTGTGATCCCAGCTATGCAGGAGGCTGAGGCATGAGAATCTCTTGGACCCAGGAGGTGGAGGTTGCAGTGAGCCAAGATCACGCCACGACACTATAGCCTGGGTGACAGAGCTAGATGATTTCTCAAAAAAAAAAAAAAAAAAAAAAAGTCATTTTACCATATGCCTGTCAGGTTTACATTTTTTACTTCATTTGATAAGACAATGATTTATTTTATTTAAATTCTAAATTCATATCTGAATTAAAATAACTATTATATTGTTAAGTAGGTTTTCTTCATCATTATTTTTCAGAAAACTGGAGAAAGTGTAGGGAGCTCCAAAGCAGTACATACACTTACCACACCAATGCCATTATTTTCCAGAGTACTTCTTCCTCCTTCACCCAGTTTCTTTATTATGAAATTTAACTTCCAAGAATAAAGGTTTTTCCACTTACAACTAATATGCCCTATTCTGCTTCATGAAGAGTAGAGGGAGAAATAGCACCCAGGACTATTCTGGAGACATTAATACCTGATCTCTGTTGCACTGTTTGTGATTTGGGCATATTTTAAGGTAATTTATACAGTTATTATTTCCCTCTTTTTTGACATCCAGGTAAGAAGTGCAATGAATCTTCATGATCAAAAACTCATTAAAACTAAATAAAATAAAAATAAATGTACTTAAGTCTATAAATAATCATAGTGCTTTGTAGTTAAGGAAGTTAAGTAGTTAAGAAAAAAGAGTCCAGGCGGGGTGCAGTAGCTCACGCCTGTAATCCCAGAACTTTGGGAAGCCAAGGTGGATGGATCACCTGAGGTCAGGAGTTCGAGACCAGCCTGGCCTCGAACATGGTGAAACCCTGCCTCTACTAAAAATACAAAAATTAGCTGGGTGTGGTGACACACGCCTGTAATCCCAGCTACCTGGGAGGCTGAGGCAGGAGAATCGCTTGAACCTGGGAGGCAGAGGTTGCAGTGAGCCAAGATCGCACCATTGCACTCCATCCTGGGTGACAGAGCAAGACTCCATCTCAAAAAAAGAAAGAAAAAAGAAAAAGTGCAATTAGAGCTGGAGTTAAAAGTGGGGAGTCATGGTCAGGAGTTGTTCTTCATGTCTCTCAAACACCATGTGTTTTCTACCATCCTTGTTTCTCCCTTTGCATCTCCACTCTCCAGTGACTTTCTCTGCTTCCCACTGGACCCCCACTTTTACAATACATAACTATTTCAATGCCAGCCATTATCTAACATTTCTCGGTATGTCTCCGTTCAAATTAGAGAAAGAAAGAGGTCTGAATGTTATTTATACTTTCT
This sequence comes from Homo sapiens, assembly GCF_000001405.40. Classification (NCBI taxonomy): domain Eukaryota; kingdom Metazoa; phylum Chordata; class Mammalia; order Primates; family Hominidae; genus Homo; species Homo sapiens. The sequence goes on from NC_000002.12 coordinate 181,402,163, forward strand.
CCATAGAGATTCTAAGGAAGACAATATTAATGACAGTTCTTTGTTTACTGAATGGGACGAGGAATGTGCCAATAAAAGATTATATAAGAAATGAGATTTAAAATTTTTCAGGGAGAAGGAAAAGTTAAGAGAAAGATGAATCATCTTGAGAGACAATAAGACAATTTGATGAGTTGCTGGAAATGATACAGTGTTTAAATGAGAACTTCTGTTACATGTTTTTGTATATTGTGTGATAGAATTCTCTTTTGTTTCCTCATCGAACCTTCTGTAATATCTCTTTTGGCTAACCTTTGTGAGGCCAAGATTGCCTTCTGTGCCTGTGATTAAGAAGTGTTAAGTCCAGGTATAGCTTGAGAAAGCACAGAGACCACACTCAGTAATGTAGTCACACCTATGGAATAGAAAAACACCCAGACTCTTTAGTTTCCTAAACTAACAGCATTACTGTTAGTTTTGCAGCATTACTGACAAGAAATCATTCTCTCATACCCCAAATCCAGCCAAGATGAGCTCGTTTCTATAGGCCCCTTGTTTTTACATATTTCTGTGCCTTTGCTCATGTTATTCTACCTCCTCATCAAAAACCATTTCAGCAATTGTGGAAACTACTCTGCATCAACACCCAACCCAAATGCTACTCTTTGTAGCTAAAATTAACCTCTCCTTCTCAACTCTCATAGCACTTGGTTTGGTACTCATATAATACCTCTATCACATTTGCCTTGCATTAAACTTAATGATTGTATGCTTCATATATCCTATCAGAATATAAGCAACATCTTATATACCTCAGATTCTCCAAAGAAGCCAGGCTCAGTGCATGACATATATGAACACTCAGTAAATGTTTCTTGAATTAAATGAAAAGGTCAGTAACTCAGTTCGCTGTGTCTTTTTTTCCAGATTTTTACAGTACAACAGTAGAAAATAGTAAGCTAAAACATGTACACTTAAATAAATGCATTTTCATAATGAAGACATTTTGGCTTCTTACTGGTAAATAATGAGCTTTCCTCTACCTGCCATGTAGTCTGTTCTGAAGATAAATAGAAGTATGAATATGCAAACACTTTGGGAAGAGAAAACATGCTACATAAATAAGAGAGTGTTTATTGCTGTAACTACTACATGGAGTCCATCCTCATAACTCAGTGTTTCTCTGTATTATAGGGAATCATGATAGCTTAGGATAATCTGAAGTCCCCGAGTGAATGCTCCTCAAATTGTGAACTGTGGACCAGTACCAGTCTGAGAACTGTTACTAGTCTATACGGAGATAAGTATAAACATTGGGACTAAGCATTTAAAAATTTGTATAGCAATTTGATAGAATGACTGCTGAATTTAATAATAAATATGTGACTATATCCATATGCCTTTCTCTTATTAATTTCCTTTTGCCAGCAATAGATTTTCATTGATTATATAATACAGTTGATACACAACAGATTGCCAGCAAAAATAAAACAACATCAAAAAACCTGGTACTTCAATATAGATAGGTTGAGAACCAATGTTATAGATAATTCTCTCCAGAATGGAAGATACCCACATTATGAACATGGAAGTTCTGGGGAAAAGAAGGAACATAAATTTGTAGATATTGTGGGTTATAAAATACTAGTTTCAACAAAGGTTAATATAAAAGAACAAGAGAGTGAATGGTAATGAGAATAAAGCATAATGTGACAGTCTGATTCATAATATTCATTTTGATCATCTTTTTAAAGCTTTTTGTACATCTTTAACAATCTTCTGCAGGCTCCTCTCTCTAGGAACTGAACTTACATCTGGAACTTTCAGAGAAACTAACATTCTTTTCTGTTGTTAAGTGAATGTGGGGGTTTTGTTGGCTTGAAGAAAACAACTATGCACCCATTTAATTGATATTAACAGTAATTCCCCAGTCATCTATAAATTTTCTCTGTGAAAAAGTCCTTCAGGAAGCCAATAAATTATTGTCTTTAAAATACAATTGAGCTTTAGTAATCCTTTGCTTTTTTGCCAGTTTAACATTGACCTTTTATGAAAGTTTTCTTAAGTTGGGTCGAGATGACATTTGGAGCAAACAATATGTGGTCTTCTTATTGTCAGAACATTTTGTTTTTCCAGATTACCAAGATAACATATTTCACGGGGGTTTAGAATATGTTCTATAGATTTCTCAAACTACTGAAAATGATAATTTGCAAGTATATTAAAATTTAACATTTATGAATCATATTACAAATGTTGACTTGAGAAATCTTGGTTTCATTACTTAGATCACAAAATTGGAGGACGAGGACTGAATTAGACATCAAGCTTTGTGCTGTGCCTTCTGTGGTAGTATTGCTCAAAAAAGATTCTTCATGTAGGGGAGGTAGAGTTCCCAACAATGCATCCATTTAGACAAAACAGCGGGGTGTGCTGGGGGTGGGGGTTGTTGAGCCATTTATAAAATACCTTTAACTTTGCTATATTTCATTTGTGTTTTACTTCCTTTTGCTGCTAGGCAAATCTGGCCCCCTGCTGCACAGGTCCCATGTGAACTGAAATTGGGAAACTAAGAAGCCCTGTGTGATGGGTTTCTGGGGCTCACACACCATCTCTACTTTTCTCCTTCTACCTTTCAGGCTCTGATTATCTTCACTCATTTCACAAAGTAGCCCATTTTTCTTCAGCAGTCTTTAAAAAGGGGAATTGGGATGTTTTATGTAGATAATAATACTCCAATAAAGAGAAAATCAGTTTCCTGCTGACCAAATTGCTTCCTCTATATATTAATATCCAAATCTGCTCTAAAGCATGTGCATTTAAAGTTACTTCTTATATAACTGTTTGTGGGGGAGAGAGTAAAGAAAGTCTAAATTACACCCACTAAAAGTTCTGAAAGTTTTAACTTTTGAAATTCTTTAGTTCAGTAAGCACAGATTTAAATCCAAAAAGACAATCATTGTGAAAATGAGATGACTTCTTGATTTTTGACCTTATCTTTGCCTCTTGACCTTGCTATCTTAGGAATTCTTGATGGCCTTTTTCTGAATCTTTTTCCAATCTAACTTTAAGACTCTGTTCCCAAAGCATGCTGTAGGCGTAACACATTTTCTTCAGGCATGAGTTTAGCTGCAGCTGCTCCAGGACACACCCCCTGCAGACTCTTGACTTCCCAATCCATCAGACCATCCATCCCTCAACAGGCCTCCCATTCTCCTGCCTCTGCCTTCCCTCTCAATGTGATCAGATCCATCACATCTGATCCTAAGCTGCTTTAGGTATGTTGTTTTGATCTCCATTTGCCTTCTTCCCTGTTCTTATTGACAACGCAGGCTTCCTAAACACATAGTAGCTAGCTCCATCTCCATCATCACTCAGTTACCCCTTTTCTTTTAAATTCATCTTCACTCCCAAACCCAATTCTGACCTCAAGTGCTCAAGAGGAAAATCCAGACATCTTGGGATATGATCAGCCATCTTAATCATGAAATTGAGAGTGAGGGTGATTTCAACAGTGGCCAACCTTTCTCTGGCTCCACCCTATAGTTCTCTTTTACCCTTAGTTAAATTGTGAGCCCTATTTTGCGGAATGTACTTGTATCAATGACATTATTTTACCTATACCTGACCATTTACTAGAACTTAAATAATCTCAGTAACTCATGCTCCAATGGAAGCAGGAAGAGAGTCAGGCAAGCTTGATGTGTCTTGTTGTTTGGTGACAAGGTTCTTGACAGTATACCTCTATCATCTATGCTTATCTACTCTTGATTGTTTAAAAAGCTGCCAACTTAGAAACCTAAAATGCAATTTTCCATTGTGCTTACTACTTTCCACCCTCTCAGGCTGATGTCTATGCCTTGCCCTGAACTGCCCTCCACCTGCGGCATCCTATGTGAGCATTTCACTTGGCACCAGCAGCAGATGCTTTCTATGGCAAATCAGCTGTGAAAGCTCATCAGCCTAGACTTTTCACCCGAGTCCATTTAAACTTGAATGTATAAGATGTGACAGACATAACTAGGCGTATCTTTCCAATTTACCGTCTTAGCCTTATGCTTGGAACAAGCAAGAAGATTTGGTCTGTTCCTCAGGTATTAGGAAGAATACCAAAAGCTTCCTGTCATGAATAACACTCCTTTCTACACTAATCCTTCAAATCTCAGTGAATTTCTTGAGAACAAATAGAATTGACCTCTCCAGAGACTGACTTCTCTCTCATTGGGTTACAATATAACAAATTTCATCTTTTTGAAGTGAGCAATCTGTCAGTTTCAACACATAATTTCTCTTTTTCCCCATATTTACATCTGGAGCCAAAACTGATTCTTTTCACTTGCCAGCAACTCTCAGAAGAATTAAGATGGTTTTGTTTATACCTATGTATCTTTCTGTCTATCTATATACCTATTTACCCATCTATTATTTAATATGGTCCCTACCTTAGTCTCTGGTCTAGGTGACTGTCTTTTGAATGATCTCATGTACTCTCTCTTCTACTCACCTATCCATTGGTTTCTTCTTTCTTTCCACCTTATGGCTCCTGTTCCGCTGGCTTTCACCAGGCTAAGACTGTTTTGCTTTGCAGTTCCCTCCCTTTTCTGTCTGCTGCTCTGCTCCTAGACTAACACAATCCTATCGAACCTTTTGCTTATTATCATACTACCATGTGTGAGCTTCATTTCTGTGGAATGCTATCTCTGAGATGCTAGTCCTCTACACCTGTACAGATCACAACTGTCGAAGAAAACAAAAGCTAGATCCTGTCCACTGTTGTACTCCTGGTAGATGTACTTGGGAAAGCCACTTCAGTGCAATCCCAAGAATTGCCGATGCTGATATTTACATTGTAGATACACAATGTGGTCCATGTTCTAAGTGTTCCATACATATGCACTCATTAGATCCTTAGCAACCCAAGGAGGTTTGGAGCATCATCGTTCGCATTCACAGGTAAGAGATTGAGTCAAAGAAGGATAAGTGACATGCTGGTCACACAACTTGTCAGTGAGAACCAGGTTTGAGCCAGGGAGTTTGGTTCCAGAGCTCATGCTATTAACCACGATGCTCCAAATAGTGTTTCAACATCTAATACTTCTGCTTTCCATCTCTTCTCTTGGCTTCGTGAGGTTCTCCTACAGTCCCAGGCTCCTTTTCAGCCACATCCTGACAAACTAAAAGGAAATGAAGATTCCTTCTTGAACCTTGAAATCTCATGATTTCCTCTCTGCACACCACATCTTCATTTCTTTGTGCAAACTGAACTCAGTTCCTTTATCTTGATGGCCTTACTCATGACTCACTTTACCAAATATAGATAGACATTTGTAATCCTCTTACAAATGACATTTCCCGTCAGGAAGGGCAGCACCAGAGACAGCATAGCTCCTCTAAGGATGTGCACAGCCTCAACTCAGCTCCCAGCTCTTGAGATTGTAGAATGAAAGTCTTTATTTTCCTGTTTATATTACTTGATGACCATTACAGAGTTTAAGTCATTGTAAAGCACAGACAATTATTTGTAATCTGTTACCTTCTCAATGAGGGATGAAAACCAACCACATAATAAGGCAGGCTTTTAATCAGAACAGCTGGTGTGATGTCAAAGGAAGGAGCACTGGCTCACACACTCACAAGATGAGGTCCCACAGTAGGTCTTTGCAAGCTGAAGAGCAAGGAAATTCTGAGTCCCAAAGCTGAAGAAACTGGGAGTCTGATGTTTGAGGCCAGGAAGCATCCAGCACGGGAGAAAGATGTAGGCCAGAAGACTAAACCAGTCTAGTCTTTTCACGTTCTTCTGCCTGCCTTTATTTGGCTGTGCTAACAGCTGATTAGATGGTGCCCACCCAGATTAAGGGTGGGTCTGCCTTTCCCAGTCCACTGACTCAAATGTTAATCTCCTTTGGCAACACCCTCACAGACACACCCAGGATCAATACTTTGCATCCTTCAATCCAATCAAGCTGACACTCAGTATTAACCATCACATCTTCTGTGCTTGACACATAGTGGACCTTCAATAGATGTTTCATGAATGGCAATGGTTGTCTCAGCTGATTTATAACATAAAGTTAATGAGACCAAGTTCATATTCATTTGACTGAACATACTTCTTTTGGAACCAAAACACACTGTATCTTTATTTTCAGCCAGAAACTCACCATATACTGTATCCTTATTGCCATCACCCAAGTTACTCATTAGCCACAAAAGAAAATGAGCCAGAGAATGCTTCCAATTTAATATAACGTACAGAACTTTTCAACAAAGGCTGATAATGTCACTTTCATATACCAAGAGCAGCATAAGTATATAAATAGATAGATTGATTTAAGTAGATACATACATACGTGTAAATATACACATATACACACAATGCATATATGTGTGTGCATATATATAAAATATAGTGTATGTGTTTAAACTGAAAAGATGTGTGAATCGATGTTATCATTATGTGTATAATAGATTGTTATAATTGCAAGGGGAAAACAGTTAATTGCTCATTATCACAGGCCTGACACACATTGAAGTTTTAGTGTGTATTCGAATGATCCCACTGAATAGTTAATACATTTAAAGCAAATAAAAATAAAAGGCTTTTAAAAAATTGTGTTAAAGCTCTTTACACAACAACTTTTATTCCACTTTCTGTCAAAGCTTATGTGTTTCCAAGGGAGTACAGTAATTGTGCATTTTCTATTTTTAAATCATTCATTGTTCTAGTTAAATATTATGAATGTATGCCAATTCTTAAAAGAGCCATGCAGAGATAGTAGGTATAATTGTGTTGTACTCAAAATAAATTCATGGTTAAAGCAAATATTTAACAACTGCCAAATACTGGATTGCATGTAGAAAACGAATCCTGTATAGCTCTGGTAAATTAAAGCTTCAATCCAAACCTTCCTTCTGTGCTTTATAATTAGAAAACCAAATGAGGAACTTCTCTGGGCAGCCTGGTTTAAAAAGCCCACCTGTTTTCTGTTTTTGAAAATATATTTTTTCAAGTTAATATGTTTAAATAAAGGATTCAGATGACTCAAAAAAAAAAAACTGGAACTGAATTGTAGACTAAAGAATACCTTCTCGTATTTAAATTACTATGTATATTGTGGTATGCTGCAATATGTTAACTGGCTTATAAGACATTAATTACAAATAAAATGCACTGAAAAAGAATTGGACTCAGGGTATGCAAAGAAGACATCACTTGAGGTATGGCAACCTCCGCATGAGGTCACTCATCAAGCCTTATATCCAACGACTTTCTATTTTCTCCACATCAGCGGCCCACCATCTGGGTTCATCCTGGGTTTTGTAAGTATTCAAAACTATACTGAAATATTAAATCAGACATTCAACTCCCTGGTCATCAGTTTCCACTATTATCCCCACCACATCTGTCTTCAGCCTTTCAGGGACATTTGAGTCCCTTGAATTTATATTTCTCCCCCTACCACTAGTTTCCCTATGCATACTAAATTTTACGTTCCATCATTTCAAATATTTACTGTATAATTCCTTGACTCTTTTTTTCCTATTGTCCTTTAGTCTGAGTACTTGGAAAACCCCAGCCTTGGCTCAATCTAATTTTTCACCTTTTCTGAAATAATACCCATACTTCTCCTGTGCCTCTGTGGAAATTTCATGCAACCTTGCAGATTGGTGTCAGTCTAAACGCATGATTTTAAAACTTAACTAGGTTCTCAGAATTCTTTTCCCCAAAAATATTTACAAGTTTCTCTTTTTTTTTTTTTTTTTTTTTTTTGAGACGGAGTCTTTCTCTGTCGCCCAGGCTGGAGTGCAGTGGCGAGATCTCGGCTCACCGCAACCTCTGCCTCCCAGGTTCACGCCATTCTCCTGCCTCAGCCTCCCGAGTTGCTGGGACTACAGGTGCCCACCACTACGCCCAGCTAATTTTTTTGCATTTTTAGTAGAGACGGGGTTTCACCATGTTAGCCAGGATGGTCCCTATCTCCTGGCTTCGTGATCCGCCCGCCTCGGCCTCCCAAAGTGCTGGGATTAGAGGCATGAACCACCGCTGCCAGCCTTTCATTCTTAAATCTTCAAACCCATCACTCATTTTCACTTTCATCAGGTGACATTGCTTTTAGCTTCACATGGAAAAGAGAAGCTATCAAAGCAGAATAATCTCATTGTTGTATTCGGATTTCCCTGCATACCCAAACACACTTTCCTCCTGTGACTGTGGATAAGGGTCTCTTCTGTCTAACACTAGACTTTCTGTTAGGGGAAACTATTTTCTTTCACCTTCCTAGGGGACCATGCATCCATTGCTAGCCTCCTTTCCTACCATCCTCAATCTGTCTTTCTCTACTGAGTTATATGCACAAATAATGAAATCGTCAAATGAAATGATCAAATCTTCATCTCTGGGTGTTTCTTTGTGGATGCTACCCCTTCTCTCTTCAACCTTTACTAGCTAACTTTTTTGAAAGAATAGTCTACTTGCTATTTTCTTTTCCTTGTCTCCCATTTATGCCTTGGTTTGTCTATAATGTAGCTTCTACCTCCATCACACCTGTGAAAAGACTTTCACCAAGTCATAGATTACCCTTGTGCCTGTCACGATTCTAGCAGGAAAGAAATGGGATGAGACTGAGAAATACTTTAGATAAAATTGATAGAAATTCTAATTACAGGGGGCAGGACCAAGATAGCCGACTAGAAGCAGCGCCATTGGGAGGCTCTCATAGGAAAAAACCATAATAAGCGTGTGAATCCTTCACCGGCAACAAAGGTATCCAGGTTCCCTCATCAAAATTGAGTAGAAGACTGGCATGACCCACGGAGAGAAGGAAGAGCAGTGTGGTGTGGCAGCCCACCTGAGAGCCACACAGGGAAGTGTAACCCCCTCCCCCCAGCCAAGGGAGGTGGTGAGTGAGCCTGCTACACAGCTGGGGAAACTGCCTTTTCCACAGAACTGTGCAGCCCACAGATCAGAAGATCCCACTTGCAAACCAACGCTACCAGGGCCTAGCATCCCAAACCCGGAACAGCACAGATTCTTACAGCCTCTCAGCTGGAAACTGCTTAAGCCTACTGAACTCCCCAGGGGGAGTGGCGACCAGCACCAGCTGCAGCTGCCTTCTGTCTAAGCTCATTGAGCTCCTTGGGGGAGGGGCAGCAACCAGCATTGGGACTTGCAACTGCCTAACACACTAAGCTCCCTGGGTGGGGGAAGGGTGGCACCCATTTCTATAGCTCCAGGCTATGCTTTTCCTCTGCTGGAGCCACGGAGGCTGGATGGGGTCCCAAGACTTTTCCCCACAGCCCAACACACCGGCTGTGGCAGTCTGCAACCAGAGTGCCTCTTCAGGTCTAACCCTGACCCATCCTTCTTCAGCTGGGGGAGGATTCCCTGCAGGATCTCCAATAACTTCAGCCAGAGTCTCAGGGACAGAATTCAGGTCTCCCTGGGCCTGAGCCCCCAGGGGGATGGGTGGTCACAGTCTCTGTGGACCAGCAGACTTAGCCTCCCCTCCTGGTAGTTCTGGGAAATCCAGGCAGACCAGTGGGGTTTCCCCCAGTGAAACACACCCTCTCCACCAAGGGACAAAGTGCTTGGTTAAATGGGTCCTGCTCCCAATGTCACCCAACTGGGTGAGGCCCTCCAATGGGGGTTGTCAGACATCCTATATAGGAGCAATCCTACTGGCATCAGGTTGGTGCCCCTTGAGGTCAGAGGTCCCAGAAGAAAGAGCAGGCACCCATCTTTGCTGCTCTCCAGCCTCCTTGAGTGACATCTGCAGGCTTGGGAGCAAATCAGATGAATAAGGCCTGAAATGAACTTCCAGCAAATGGCAGCAGCCCTACAGAAGAGAGACCTAACTATTGACAGAAAAACAAACAAGCAGAAAGTGACACCAACAGCATCATCATCAGCAACAACGACAACAAAGAGGCCCCCATAAAACCCTATCCAAAGGTCGGCAGCCTCAAAGACCAAAACTAGACAAACTCACGAAGATGAGAAAGAATCAACAACAACAACAACAAAAAATGCTGAAAACCCAAAAGGCCAGAGTGTGTCTTCTCCAAATGATTGCAGTGTCTCTCCATCAAGGGTGAAGAACTGGACAGAGGATCAGATTGATGAATAGACAGAAGTAGGTTTCAGATGGGTAATAAAAAACTACGATGAGCTAAAGGAACACATTCTAACCCAATGCAAGAAGCTAAAAACCTTGACAAAATATTAGAGGAAATGCTAACTAGAATATCCAGTTTAGAGAGGTATATAAATGGCATGATGGAGCCTGAAAAACACAGCACGAGAACTTTGTGAAGCATACAAAAGTATCAGCAGCCAAATCAAACAAGTGGAATGAAAGATATCAAAGTTTGAAGGCCACCTTACTGAAATAAGACAGGCAGACAAGAATAGAGAAAAAAGAATGAAAAGGAATGAACAAAGCCTCCAAGAAATATGGGACTTCATAAAAAGACTGAACCTATGATTGATTGGAATACCAGAAGGAGACAGGGAGAATGGAAATAAACTGGAAAACACACTTCAGGATATTATCCAGGAGAACTTCCCCAACCTAGCAAGGCAGGCCAACATGCAAATTCAGGAAATACAGAGAACACCATTAAGATACTCCACAAGAAGATCAACCCCAAGACACATAATCATCAGATTATGTGTCAAAATGAAGAAAGGTCAAAATGAAGAAAAAACTGTTAAGGGCAGCTAGAAAGAAAGGCCAGGTTACCTACAAAAGGAAGCCCATCAGACTAACAGTGGACCTCTCAGCAGGAACTCTACAGACCAGAAGAGACTGGGGGCAAATATTCAATATTCTTTAAGAAAAGAATTTTCAACCCAGAATTTCATATCCAGTCAAACTAAGCTTCATAAGTGAAGGAGAAATAAAATCATTTCCAGACAAGCAAATGCTGAGGGATTTAGTTAGCACAAGGCCCCTTCTGCAAGAGCTCCTAAAAGAAACACTAAATATGGAAAGGAAAAACCGGTACCAGCCACTGCAAAACACACCAAAATATAAAGAACAATGACACTATGAAGAAACTGCATCAACTAGTGTGCAAAATAACCAAATAGCATCATGATGAGAGGATGAAATTCACACATAACAATACTAACCTTAAATGCAAATGGGCTAAATGCCCCAATTAAATGACACAGACTGACAAATTGGATAAGGAGTCAAGACCCCTTCAGTGTGCTGTATTCAGGAGACCCATCTTACATCCAAAGACACACAAAGGCTTAAAATAAAAGGATGGAGGAAAATTTACCAAGCAAATGGAAAGAAAAAAAAAAAAGAAAGCAAAGGTGGTAATCCTAATCTCTAAGAAAACAGACTTTAAACAAACAAAAATAAAAAAAGACAAAGAAGGGCATTACATAATGGTAAAGGGAATTATTCAACAAGAAGAGCTAACTATTCTAAATATATATGCACCCAATAAAGGAGCACCCAGATTCATAAAATAAGTTCTTAGTGACCTACAAAGAGACTTAGACTCCCACACAATAATAGTGGAAGACTTTAACACCCCACTGTCAGTATTAGATAAACGAGAGAGAAAATTAACAAAGATATTCAGGACTTGAACTCAGCTCTAGATCAAGTGGACCTGGTAGATATCTACAGAACTCTCTAAACCATATCAACAGAAAATACATTCTTCTCAGTGCCACATGGCACTTATTCTAAAATCGACTGCATAATTGGAAGTAAAACACTCCTCAGGAAATGCAAAAGAACTGAAATCATAACAAACAATCTCTCAGACCACAGTGCAATCAAATTAGAACTCAGGATTAAGAAACTCACTCGAACTCACAAAATTTCATGGAAATTGAACAACCTGCTCCTGAATGACTCCTGGGTAAATAATGAAATTAAGGCAGAAATCAGTAAGTTCTTTGAAACTAATGAGAAAAAAAGATAAAATATACCAGAGATAAATATACCAGATAAAATCTCTGAGACACAGCTAAAGCAGTGTTAAGAGGGAAATTTATAGCACTAAATGTCTACATCAGAAAGCTAGAAAGATTTCAAATTGACACCCTATCATCACAATTAAAAGAGCTAGAGATGCAAGAGTAAAGTAATCCAAAAGCTAGCAGAAGACAAGAAATAACTAAGATCAGAGAAGAATTGAAGGAGATAGAGACACAAAAAACCCTTCAAAAAGTCAATAAATCCAGGAGCTGTTTTTTTTTTTTGAAAAAATTAACAAAATAGATAGATCACTAGATAGATGCTAATGAATAAGAGAGAGAAGAATCAAATAGGCACAATAAAAAAATGATAAAGGAGATATCACCACCACAGAAATACAAACTACCATCAGAGAATAATATAAACACCCCTATGCAAATAAACTAGAAAATCTAGAAGACATGGATAAATTCCTGGACACATACACCCTCCCAAGACTAAACCAGGAAGAAGTTGAATCTCTGAATAGAGCAATAACAAGCTCTGAAATTGAGGCAGTAATTAATAGCCTACCAACCAAAAAAAGCCCAGGACCAGACAGATGCATAGCTGAATTCTACTGGAAGTACAAAGAGGAGCTGGTACCATTCCTTCTGAAACTATTCCAAGCAATGAAAAAGGAGGGACTCCTCCCCTAACTCATTTTATGAAGCCAGCATCATCCTGATACCAAAACTGGGAAGAGACACAACAAAAAAAGAAAACCTCAGGCCAATATCCCTGATGAACATCAATGTGAAAATTTTCAATAAAATACTGGCAAACCGAATCCAGCAACACATCAAAAAGCTTCTCCGCCACAGCCAAGTCAACTTCACCCCTCGGATGCAAGTCTGGTTCAACATACGCAAATCAGTAAACGTAATCCATCACATAAACAGAACCAATGACTAAAAAACACATTATTATCTTCATAGATGCAGAAAAGGCCTTTGATAAAATTCAACATCCCTTCATGTTAAAAACCCTCAATACACTAGGTACTGTTGGAACATATCTCAAAATAATAATTGGTATTTATGACAAACCCGCAGCCAATATCATATTGAATGGGCAAAAGCTGGAAGCATTCCCTTTGAAAACCAGTACAAGACAAGGATGCCCTCTCTCACCACTCCTATTCAACATAGTGTTGGAAGTTCTGGCCAGGGCAATCAGGCAAGAGAAAGAAATAAAGCGTATTCGAATCGGAAGAGAGGAAGTCAAGTTGTCTCTGTTTGCAGATGACATGATTTTATATTTAGAAAACCCCATCATCTCAACTCAAAAACCTCTTGACCTAATAAGCAACTTCAGTAAAGTCTCAATGTACAAAAATCACAAGCATTCCTTTACACCAACAATAGGCAAGCAGAGAGCCAAATCATGAATGATCTCCCCTTCATAATCGCTACAGAGAGAATAAAATACCTAGGAATAAGCTAACAAAAGATGTGAAGGACTTCTTCAAGGAGAACTAAACCACTGCTCAAAGAAATAAGAGAGGACACAAACAAATGGAAAAACATTCCATTCTCATGGATAGGAAGACTCAATATCATAAAAATGGCCATACCGCCCAAAGTAATTTACAGATTCAATGCTATTCCCATCAAATTACCATTGACACTCTTCACAGAATTAGAAAAAACTATTTTAAATTTCATACGGAATCAAGAAGACCCTGTATAGCCAAGATAATCCTAAGCAAAATGAACAAAGCTGGAGGCATCATGCTACCTGACTTCAAACTATACTACAAGGCTATAGTAACCAAAACAGCATGGTACTGGTTTCAAAACAGACATATAAACCAATGGAGAAGAACAGAGACCCCAGAAATAACACCACATATCTGTAACCATCTGATCTTTGGCAAACCTGACAAAAATAAACAATGGGGAAGGGATCTCGTATTCAGTAAATGGTGTTGGGAAAACTGGCTAGCCATATGCTGAAAATTGAAACTGGACCCCTTCCTTAAACCTTATACAAAAATTAACTCAAGATGGATTAAAGACTTAAATATAAAACCCAAAACCATAAAAACCTTAGAAGAAAACCTAGGCAATGCTATTCAGGACATAGGCATGGGCAAAGACTTCATGACAGAAATGCCAAAAGCAATTGTAACAAAAGCCAAAATTGGCAAACGGGATCTAATTAAATTAAAGAGCTTCTTCACAGCAAAAGAAACTAGCATCAGAGTGAACAGGCAACCTACAGAACGGGAGAAAATTTTTGCAATCTACCCTTCTGACAAAGGGCTAATATCCAGAATTTATGAGGAATTTAAACATATTTACAAGAAAAAGACAACCGCATCAAAAAGTGGGCAAAGGATATGAACAAACACTTCTCAAAAAAAGACACTGACATGGCCAAGAAACATATGAAAAAAAGCTCAACATCACTGATCATCAGAGAAATGCAAATCAAAACCACAATGAGATACAATCTCACAGCAGTCAGAATGGCAATTATTATAAAGTCAGGGAACAATAGATGTTGGCAAGGCTGTGGAGAAATAGGAATGCTTTTACACTGTTGGTGGGAAAGTAAATTAGTTCAGCCATTGTGGAAGACAGTGTGGCAATTCCTCATGGATCTAGAACCAGAAATACCATTTGACCCAGCAATCCCCATTACTGGGTATATACCCAAAGGAGTATAAATTATTTTACTATAAAGACACATGCACATGTATGTGTTATTATTGAGGCACTATTTACAATAGCAAAGACATAGAACAAACCCAAATGCCCATCAATGGTAAACTTGATAAAGAAAATGGGGCACATATACACCATGGAATACTATGCAGCCATTAAAAGGACAGAGATCATGTCCTTTGCAGGGACATGGATGAAGCTGGATGCCATCATCCTCAGCAAACTAACACAGGAACAGAAAACCAAACACCACATGTTCTCACTCATAAGTGGGAGTTGAACATTGAGAACACATAGACACAGAGAGGGGAACATCACACACTGGGGCCTGTTGGGGGGTGGTGGTGAGGGGAGGGAACTTAGAGAATGGGTCAATAGGTGCAGCAAACCACCATGGCACATGTAGGCCTATGTAACAAACCTGTACATTCTGCACGTGTAGCTTGTATTTTTTTTTTTAAGAAGAAAAGCAAAAAAAAAAAAAGAAATTCTAATTACAAGTAAATGTGTTAGGTCAAGGATGAATCCAAAATTTCTATTTCGGGCAATTGTAAGAATGATTGTTTCATTTGCTAAAGTAGGAAATACGAGTGGAAAGGATTTGAGGTTAGATACGATAGTTTAATTTTGACATGTTGATCTTGAGGTGTCTATGAGACTTCATAGTAAACATACACATAGACAGACAAGGAAGTGGGCCTGAAGCTCAGGAAAAATATCTGGGTTCAAAATAGTCTTGGGAATCATGAAGCTGTTGCTGATGACTGAAACAATAGGAATAGATGAGACCCACTGAGGGTCAATGAGAGGAAAACAGCTTTTGAAGAGCCATAGCTCTGAGGGCATCAGCATTTAAATAAAGGGATAGATACGGCAAAGCAGGCTGAGGTAAAAGACAGGTAGATTGCAGGGTCATAGGCCACAAAAGGAAAGTTTCAAGAAGTGGCCAAAATTGTTAAACACTACTATGAGCTTAAGGAAGATAAAGACCCAGAGGTGCATAATAGTGCTAACGATAAGTTTGTGCAGGTTACCTTCTGTTTGCCCTCCTTCTTCATCTGGCTCCATGACCCAGGGGTTTGACTAACATGGATGGCGTCGACGACTCTACTGCATTCTGTCTTCTATTGGAGTTAGAACAACAGTGAGCATTAGCATAAGGTGACAGGGAGGGAATGAGGGAGAACGGTGAGTGGGAATATGTATTTTCCCCACTCTGGATATGCCTCAGGCTATGTGTTACTGGACTTAAGGTCAGAATTTCTGCCTGCTTACCCCTTTTGGGCTAAAGTTTAAAATAGCTTCCTGCAGTTATTAGCACTGGGATACTGCACTACTACTTCGAAGTTATAACCTCATTGCAACCTCTAATTCTCTTTATAATTTTTCTTTCAGATACATTCCCCTTTCCAAATCCCTTATTCTGGTAAATGACAGCACTGTTTTCCCTTCATCTTCACTGCCTCTACACAAGTCTAGTCCACTATAAACTCACATCTGGGTTCCAGAAGCAGTCTCCTACCTGGTCCTTTGCTTCTTTTCCGGGCCCATGCTACAACCACCAGCCAGAGTATACTTTCTCTGACAAATCTGCTCATCTTCTTTTCTTTCTTTAAAAGGCCCAATAGCTTCACATTTTTCTAAGATAAAGTCAAAGTTTTTTATCCTAACTTGCAAGATTTACCCTCTCCTTTCTTAGGTATCAATATACTACATTTTAACAAAGCAAAATTGCTTTCAATTACATGAACTAGCCATGCTCAGTCTCACCTCTAGACCTTCATACATTATTTTCCTTCTACTTGGTAGACTGCTTGACTGCACTTCACCAGAAAATTCCTGCTTTGCATTCAGACCTCATTGTGAGTATCACTACCTTTGAGAACCCTTCTCTGATGACCCAAGGGTATTTTATGCCTCTCCTATCCTATTGCATTTGGTACTTCACAACATAAAACTTGTTTGACTTGTCTGTGTCCCTCTGGACTCCAGATGATGTGTGCTCAAGGACTGTGTCTTTGATTTTCACTGCTGTATCCCCACATCTAGCAGAGTTGCAAGCTTTCCTTTTTTTTTTTTTTTTTTTTTTTTTTGAGACGGAGTCTCGCTCTTTTGCCCAAGCTGGAGTGCAGTGGCACGATCTTGGCTCACTGCAAGCTCCGCCTCCCAGATTCACGCCATTCTCCTGCCTCAGCCTCCCAAGCAGCTAGGACTACAGGTACCTGCCACCACACCTGGGTAATTTTTTTTATTTTTAGTAGAGACAGGGTTTCACCGTGTTCACCAGGATGGTCTCGATCTCCTGACCTCGTGATCCGCCCGCCTCAGTCTCCCAAAGTGCTGGGATTACAGGTGCGAGCCACCACGCCTAGCCTGCAAGCATTTTTTAACGAATTAATGAAATTACCTTTGAAACTATAAAGGCATTTTACAGGAGTAAGATTAAAGTATATAATGGGTGAGGTTCAGAGAGGCTGCATCTGTCTTCATGGTATTATAATTCCATCTGAAGTTTTTCATTTATTCTGAGGTCAGTGGAAGCCACAAAATAGTCCTTAACAACAGAGTGATAAACAGAAGTTGTGTTTTAGAGAGAGAAATTTGTTTACTGTGAACAGGATAAACCAAAAGAGAGGAGAACCTGGATGCTGGGAAAACAACTTGGCAGACTGAGCGAATTCAGGCAACTAATGAAACTTTCTAAAACTGCTAAAGAAGATATATTTATGGGAGCTGTTCGAAAAACGTAGAGAGCAGGACTTGGATATTAAATGCACAGTAGATGGAGAAGTAAAAAATGGCAATGATTTTGATTCGTAGTAACTAAGGAGAATAGTGCTGTCATTTACCAGAATAAGGAAGTTGAAAAGGGGAATTTATCTAAAGGTAAAATTATAAAGAGAATTAGAGGCTGCAATGAGGTCATAACTTTTAAGTAGAAATGTTCTACTAAGAGACAGACTATAGGGCAGGACTAAAATGTCCCCATGGTTTATAAAAGAGAACATCTTTTTCTGACCCCAAAACATGTGTTCTGGCACCAAAAGAAGCGCCCTAGGACCTACGTTCTTTTTGTGAACTGCTGCCTAAATTCTGAGTCCTAGAAAAGACTAATAATGGTGGTGGACAGATGACAGAGAGGTATAAATTGCATCATGTGTACATACGTCCCCTCTTGAATGAGAGGCACAGTTGAAGAACAGGCAAGAAAAATTCAACAGTTTGGCTTTGTCTATTGTAAGTCACCACCTTGCTGAAACAAGATTTCTAATTACAGCAATAGTTTTTGCCACACTGCCTTGAGTTGATGTTTGTTAGTTGAGAGAATGCTTAAAATATGCAGAGAAATATTTTTTAATTTTTAAATGTTAGGAGTCTGTGTACATGTACATGATACGTATAACACAGCATGAGGGTAAATGGCCTCCATAGACTCTCTCTTCATTGTAAAAAATGAATTATCACCTGACAAAAAAATATTCACTACACATAAGGATATTTGAGTATTTTTAAAAGAAAAGAAAACATATTTACAAATCAGAAACCAGCTTTCTTGTTTCTCCCTCACAGTCATTTAGAGCTGTTTTGTGGGACTGATTTTTTTCCTCCCCCTTGAAAGGTCCATGACTTCAATTCTCTGGGTTTGGCAAGTGTTTAAAGGGACTCTTTCTTTTGTGGGTATTTTCTTGGGCTCTTCTGAGATCCCTCATTTCTAGCGATATCTCACCTGCACTTCTCAAGTTCTCTGCTGGTTCCATTGTTTCTCCCTCAGCCAGATAATCTAGTCACCCTGATTATCTAGTCACTGCTAGACTTTCGGCTGAGCCCCCTTAACCCTCCAGCAGCTTTCTGGGACAGAACCCAAGAAAACCCCAGATGGTTCTCATATGTAATCCTCATCCGGGCCCCTGTAGGCCATGCAGTTACTTCCAAGAGCAGAACTCTCCTCTGTCACCATGGGTTGCTTCAGCCAGTCACTTGTCATCATGAGACTCTCAGGCATGACTGCAGTTCATATGGGAGATGCATAGGAAACTCTGTGCATGGCCTCCTCAAAGCCCCTCTCACCTGACTCGAGGTAACAAAGGTACACCTTTCAACCCCAACCCTCTGTTCCTCAGAAAGAATCACAGCCCAATGACACTCCCCTTTAAGAATCCTCCTTTAAACGCTTTCTCCTCTCCTGACCTTTCTTAACTTCTCTAAAAGCTAGAAGGGTAGTTTGCTAAGCGAAGCAAAGTCTCCCTCTTGTACCAGTCTGTTGAACTTGGTTAGCACTTCATTTTGACAGTGGGGATGTACTTGTCAACTCTTGTTTGGGCCTCAGCAGAAACCCAAACAGCAGGACCCCTATGTAACATCCTGTTACCTATCACAATCATAAAATTAATATCAGTCTGTAAGACAAAGCTGTGTAAACAATGCCTAGAGAAGGCTAATGAGGAAGATTCTGACTGGTGGGATGAGAGATAAGGCCCAAGTGCCTGAAATATGTACAACTCATCTAACCTGATCTTTGGTATTTGTTTTTATAGAAACTATACTTTCAAATCCATATTGAACTTCAAAAAGAAACTTCTCTCTAGATCTATAAAGCAAAGTTACAAGGAGAAAGAAATGAGTGATGGTTTCACTTCAGAATATTTGCACGTGTATTTTGTATGAAAGACTAGATAACAAATGAGGGAGGTTTATTAACAATAAACACTAAATATATTCCACAAAATTATTCAGATATTGAAAGAATAGAGAAAGGCAAATTTCACTTTTAGCTCATTTTATTTTTTTAGATGTTTTAATTGCAGGAGGACTTACATGATCTGAGAAGATACCTGATCTCTTAGAACCTCATTTCAACCTGAACATATGACCTCAGAGGGACTCATTGCTCTTTGGAAACTCTTTAACCTTTACAACAAAGGCACGTGCATGGGATTCATGATTCCTAAAGGCTCGTATTGTTGTGTGTTAAATTGTGTTCTCTCAAAAGATATGTTGAATTCCCATTCCCTAGTATCTGTGAATATATCCTTATTTTTTAAAAAAGATTTCTACAGATGTAATCAGGTTAAAATGAGGCCATAGACGCACAGGGAAAATACCATGTGATAACAAAGGCAGAACTTGGAGTGATGCAGTTTCAAGCCAAGGAACACCAGGGAGTTGTAGCCGCCACCAGAGAGTAGGAGGAAGCAGGAGGAAATCTATCCAGAGCCAAAGAGGGAGCATAGCCTTGCTGACACTTTAATTCCAAATTACTATCTTCCAGATCTGTGAGATAATAAATGTCTATTGTTTTAAAACACCCAGTTTGTGGCATTTTGTTAGGGCAGCACTAGGAAACTAAAACACACAGAAAAGAAATTTTATTTGTAAATGCAGAAACTCTAAGTTAGTTTTCTTACAAGATTCAGGCCTCCACTAAGTGATTTTAGAAAGGTGCTTGGATTGGTGGTCTTTTTCTTGAGGAGTGGCATTTCCAGGTTTGGTGCTGATAGAGAGACTACCAATGGAATCAGTTGTTTCAGTTCAGCAACTGGGTCTTGTCCTTTCTGCCTTGTGTATTGATCTAAATAGATTCCAAGCCCCATGGCTCTGTAAAAAGAAACACTGTCATCTCTCAGAATGATTAAAGATCAGCTTGTAAAATTATTTGTAGAGATACGAATTGTAATTTTTTTTCCTGTTTTAGGAAAACATTGCAACATACAAGTAATTCAGTTAAAATTTCAGCCATCTCCATGGTTGAATAAAATACTTACAGCAACTACATTTTACCCAAAAAGCTTGTCAACTCAATGATAACAAAGATTTCTAGGTATTACTCTTTAACTACAAAATCCACAATTTAAGTAATAACTTCACTTTAGAGTATTTATAATCATATTTTTATATTGTTTTCATAAACAGGAGTCACTTATTTGCTGTTTCACAAATTTAAAAATCAAGGAGTCTATCTTTATGAAGTGATGCAATTGTTTTAAAATCATATTGAGGTGATGGTAGCACAACTCTAAATTTATAGAAATCATCATGTTATACACTTAAAATGAGTCAATTTTATGGCATTCAAATTTTACCTTAATAAATCTACTTAAAAACAAAGATTCTACTCTCCTAGTAGGAAATGGCAGTTCTACAGAATTCCTTGCAGATTCAGCATTTAGTAAATGATAATTGGTGATGGTATTTACATCACTCTGGTAATACTGAAAGCAAAACAGAGATACCATGGATCTATTGCAATTTCGTCTTGCTCAGAGATGAATGTGAATAACTAGGGCCCTGCTGGATGAAAGAAATTCCAGATACAATGACCCTCAGAGAATAGATGTTTCTCCTACTGTCGATCTACAGCATGGGATTATTTTTTTGAAGACATTTCAAGGAATTATCTTTACCAGAATTTGTAGAGGAGAAACATCTCTAGGAATGTTACGTCAAATATATCAATCTCTATAATACTCAATTTTAAACAAGTTGTAAACATGACCAAAAAAATACAAGCGGAATTCCACTCAAATGACACATCGTGTTAGAAAATAATTCTCTATTGCCTAATAGAAATATAAAAGCTATATAGGCCTAAATGCAGAAGTTTCTATTATTTGAGATAGATAAAGCATGCTGATCCTTTTTTAATTACTTAGCTTAATTATAACAGTCTTTAAGATGACAAATCCTTTGAATTGCAAGCAGAAGGAGAAATCATCTAGCATAAGAAATCAGCAAAAGGAGGATTTTCTTTGTAACGAAATCACTGTTGAGTATCTCTTCCAGTTCTCACAGACACATCCGCTTCTGCTTTTAAAAATGGGACTGGAGTATTACTTACCTCAGTGAGGTTTTATGGGGTTCTAGTTTTATAAACCTTCCAAAGTCATAATTCTATGAGAAGTACTATATGCAGAACAGCAATAATTCAGATTTTATATCATATTATGTTTAATTTTGATTTACTAGTTAAGCTCTGAGTTTTCATTTATTTTTGTTGATTTTCCTAACATTGACATTGTCAGAAATAATTTTTCACAATATTTTTATATTTTTTGCTTAAATCATCTTAAAACACTTTTATAGTAAATTATTTGTGTTAATCCATTTTCTGTTTATTAAACAAGTCATATAAAATATGATTTAACTAATATCTTGTGAAATTTTTTTTTTTTGCTCCTAGCAAGTAATAACCTTTGTAACTTGAAATATGATTGCGGCGTATTTGGCCTTATACTTTGAGACTATTTAAATAAATTTCCTGTAAGGGAAAAAATGTTACTTGCAAGTAATTTGATTTTGACTATTCTCTAATGTTAATAGACTTTGATAACATAGAAAAATTCCTTTTTAGCCATTTTTAGTCATTTTATTTTAAACGATGTTAAGTTCATTATTATTAAATATGTTTACCTCAGAAGTAATATCTGAATGTCAAAAAAGATAATACCAAAATAAAAAGTATTAATAATTAGAGTATATCTTGTGTTTATCTGTGACAATAGAACTGTGTTTAGAATTAGAAAGCCTGAGTTAAATCTGACTCCATGGCTAACTAGTTATGTGATTTGGGGGTATCATTAAGCTCTATATAATTTAGTTTCCTCGTTTGTAAAATTGGAGTAAATAAAATATGGCCAATCCACTGATAGGTAGTTATAAGTGTTAAATGAGTTGTATGCAAATGTAGAGTACCCTAGACAGAACTGTTAACAAGATACTAACAAGAACTGTTATCAAGGATAATGTTACTCTACTAATATGTAAATTCTTTCTTTCAGTACTTAAAGATAATGTTGCCTTGGTAAATTCAGGGTATCAATATCAATTTCCTCTTTGCACTGTTCCCAACTATACCTCCGCATCCCCACCCCCGACACACTGGTCATGTGAGAAGGGTTTAGTCAAGGAAATGTTAAAATGTATGACCTTGGAACCACTTGATTGATGTTTGCATCTATAAGAGACTCAATCTATGACTGACAGCTAGCCAATTGCCCTGTTTCATGACATATTTGCTCAGCAATGTTATCATACACTGAGTAAGTGAGTGAGTGGGGGACAGAAGAATGAGAAAGATAATTTTTCAGGAATTAAAATACATCCTATATATTCAGGATGGTGGTGCCCTGCCTTTCTTCCTTAGAGAAGGTGGGCCAATCAATAAACCAAAAAGATGTCACAATCCCACCTACACTGTCAACATTGACACAGGTGTATATGAGCTTCCATTCAGTGACTTTTCTTCCACAAATAGCTCTCAGGCTTACATTTTAGGAAATCTGAGTGTATCAAAGAGTCTTGCTCTTCCAGACTTATTTTACGTGCATCTTCAGTCTGCTCTGGGTGTCAAGAGGCCAATTTCTATAGGCTACATTAACCGTATTCTTACCCTCTTGCTTCTGGTTGACCTTAGTCATTGGGAGCCCCTGACGGAAGATTAAAGAGTACCAGGGGAAGAGATTTGTAAATTTTATTTCATGGCAGACCATGGGCTGTCAGTAACTTGGTTCCCCAACTGCCACAGCTCCTGTGGGGTAGCTCTCCATCGGCTACATCTACAGCTCTCTCTAGGACCCAATAGCTGCTCCCTCACCTTGCCTTTCAAGTCTAGTGGCAATCCTGGTGTTTTACCATCCCTTTTTAGGTACCCATAACGCTCACCTCAAACACTTTTAAATAGTCTCTTTGTTACAGTCAGTAGTTAGTCGGACACGAGCCGGGCAAGAGAGACACCCCTTCACGAATGTGAGGCAACCATCCAGTGATGGCCAGGCAGTTGTTAAGCTGTCTCCCTATAATAATAATTGGTCATAGCTGGTGCCAGGAAGAGGCTGTCTCCCAGTAGATAGAAACAACTGAAAGTAATGATCAGCAGCTTCCCCATAAGATCTCAGGAGTTGGGGAATGAGTTAAAGCATGTGCACTAAGAGGCAAAATGGTGAAATTTTAACTGACAGGAACACTCGACTGGTAAGGGAAGAAAGCCTCAGGGGAGCATGCGTACAACTTCAGTAAACACTGCACATGCGGTCTCTCCCACTTGCTGGTAGGGCACTGCACCTGCAGACAGCCCAACCCAAGAGACAAATCAGGGGATAAGGGATGCAGCCCCCCAGAAACATGCCAATCTATAAAACCCCAAGTCAAAAGTCAAATCACCCACTTGAATCTCTCAAGTCACCTGCTTGGCCCTTTTGAAGTGTACTTTACTTCCTTTCGTTCCTGTTCTAAACTTTTTAATAAACTTTAACTCTTGCTCTAATATTTGCCTGTCGCTTCTTCTGCCTTATGCTCCTTGGCCAAACTCTTTCTTCTGAGGCAGCAAGAATTGAGGTTCTCGCAGACTCGTACAGATTTGGCCCTGCTAACATACTTTGGTGCCATGTGACTTGGATATGTTCCGTAGTGGTAACGCCTTGATTAAATTTATTTCAATTACCCTTTTTGAGCATCCCAACCCTTTCCTGACAGGATCTCTACTGTTAACACTGAGACCAGTTTTTCCATAGACAAATTCTGCTTGCCAAATTCTTTCTCAGGCTAGTCATTGGTGTTTCTTGAGCCTTTGGAACTCAGTCCAATGTCAAATCATTGAGGATTATATTTTCGAGAGGGTAAATTGACTTTATGTGTATCTAAGAGACCACAAAGTATTTTCCACAAATGATTATGTGTAACTAAGCTCATAGCTCATGGATATACCACTGCCCCCATATACATCTTACAAACAATAAGAAAACACTATTCCAAAAATTATATTTCAAAGTTCAAAACAAGCTTAAGGGATTTTTTTTTAATTGCATTTTGGGAATACCTTTCACATACCACCTACCTAACTCCCACTAATTTCTCCAGGTGGGAAGGTAGAATCTACCAAGAAGGGAGGCCAGGGCCCTAAGACCTCCTTGATACATTGCTAAGGCACAAAGCAAAACACTAAAAACCACCTGTGATCTAAATTTATTACGAGGAAAGTGTTGTATAAACCGGTGGGACTCAAGGGTTGCTGTCTGGAAATCCTGATTTACTAAAAGAAGGAGAGATTTGTAGTTTCCATATCAAAGGGTGAGCTGAGCTGTGCAGAGTGGCCTTTGTTCATGTGGCAATTACAGTGTTTGCACACTTCTCAAGTGCTTGAAAAGGGTCCTCCTCCAGCATTAAGGTAGAGGGGGGCACTATTCATTTGCTTAACAAGCTACTTTCCCTCCTCTCTTCCTTTCCCTCCCCTCTAAAGATAATACAAAAAGATAAACAGCACCCTAAGGCCAATTTAAATAATCATAAATTTTCTATCAGAGAAGCTTGAAAAATACCCTTAATTTTCTTTGCCCTTTTTATTTTTTGCATATTTTCAAACACTTATGTGCTCACAGATACTGAGCATCTTAACACAGTGATTTATTTTATGGTGAAGTTTTAGTCACTGTGTAAAGCCTGTAGATTATTTTAACACTGTTTTTCAATAATATTACATAGAGAAGAGGTAAAACTGTTTCATAAAGCTTTCAAATATACAATAATGAGCTATCAATTCAAGTACGAACAGTATAATCTTAGAATAACTAAAATTATTATAACCAAATGTTCTTAAGACATGAGTTTTGGCCGGGCGCGGTGGCTCACGCCTGTAATCCCAGCACTTTGGGAGGCCGAGGCGGGCGGATCACGAGGTCAGGAGATCGAGACCATCCTGGCTAACACGGTGAAACCCCGTCTCTACTAAAAATACAAAAAATTAGCCAGGCGTGGTGGCGGGCGCCTGTAGTCCCAGCTACTCGGGAGGCTGAGGCAGGTGAATGGCGTGAACCCGGGAGGCGGAGCTTGCAGTGAGCCGAGATCGCGCCACTGCACTCCAGCCTGGGTGACAGAGCGAGACTCCGTCTCAAAAAAAAAAAAAAAAAAAGACATGAGTTTTGATGTTTTATCCTTTTTCACTTTTAATGGTGGTACTTTTGGGTAAATTATTGAATTTGTAGATTATTCTCAGAGGGGTGATTTCTGAAAAGCAGAATATTTTACAGTTAAAGAGTTAAACCACTTTTCAGGACAATATAATTATATTCATCTGTTCATCATTCAATCATGTTTGTGCTCAGATTTTCTCTTCACTGTAGAATAGTCAGTGGTGCAGGTTATTAGTTAAGCTACTAGATATGATCATTCATAAGATAAACTAGTGTGTCAGTATTTCCAACTAAGGCAATCAGTCAGGAGTTTCCCCTTTCCCTTTATTTATATTTTTCGGTGTGTTGGTGAATGTCTTATACATTTTAATATGTATAATAATTAAATGAATGCATCTAGTTATAAGTAATTTCATCTGGAATATAAGGCATGCTATATATAAAATTTGAAATTATAAACGCAGTTTGCAAATTATAGGTATGTGCATTCTACCAAGTAAAATATATATTTTTTGCATTTAGAATAAAAAATTATTTCTTGACCTCTTACCCCCCAAAAAATAATCTATAGCAGAAATGGATTTGAGCATGAATCTGAGCAAATTCCTTTTATTGCAATAAATAGCTTCTCATATAAGCTGTTAAATTGTACATTGTGCAATGGTACATTGGTGCTTTCCCAGAAAGGATCTCTATGGTGCTCTGAGTACAGCATGATATTGTCTATGATTGAGGAAACTTAAAATTATAGAACTGTATGTTTAGTCCATGTGTAAATTAAGTTATTGACCACAGACAAATTTATATTGTGGTAGCTTTTATTTACAAAGTCATTATTTTATGTAAACTAGAAGAATGTTGGGATTTGGGGGTTGATTTTTATAGAAGCACAGAGAATTAAATAGTTTTGCAAAAGGGTGGCACTGGACCTAACTCCCTGATACATAAATGTGTAGTTTATTATTACATGGCACTGTAGCACTTTAAAGGTTAATTTAAGAGACTCCATTCAATGATATTAAGGCAGTAGCCTGGGTAGGTAGGCATCCCTAAAGAGGAGCCATTCTGTTTCCAAAATGAGCTGATGGGCTAAAGCAAGTGTTTTAAAACTTTATTTTTAATAGTAAATAATACATTTTGCATCACAACCCAGTACACATTCACACTCACCCTAACATTTATAGAGTGTTGGAAACTAAATTTCCAATGGAAACTAAAATTTCACAAAACAATACTTACTGGAATTATAGTTGAAGTACTATTATACTACTCTATTCTATTCATACTTTTTCATATGTTGACTATGATCCAGTAAGTTATTTCATGTCCCATAAAAGAGTAGCACCCAGCAGTGTGCAAAGTATTAGAAAGTATGTTATAAAACTGGGATGTAGAATGAGGACCTGTTATTCTCTGATTTATAAGTGGAGGTGGCCCAGAAAACATGAACATTCTTTGATCAGTGTCATCTACAAATTCTTTCATTTTTTGCCTCAAAAGACAAGTTGGAAAGTGTGAGGCAGTACTCAGAAACTTGAAGCTTCTGATTCACTGTAACAAGTAAATGGAAACTTCTGAAATCTAAGTTGAATCACGCAATCTCATTAGTTAAATTTGTTTACAGATAGTAGATAGTAATTGATATTTATTTAGTTCATGACCGTTTGAAACAATAAATTAAGCCTACATTTGGGACAATCTCTTACTTCTGGCCATCTAGCAAAACAGCGACAAAGAAATGGGAACATCTCAGCCTCAATTTTCGTTCTTTTTCTGTCTTGGAAGGGGAAGCTGAGCTCTGCTCTCACCTGAGAATCTGAAGGGAAAAAAGTTACCTTTTTTTACACAAGGGAAAATCCAACATTATAGAATGTAATTGAACAGAAACTAGAATAATCTGTGGACTTCTGCTGGAACTTCTGCCAATTAAAAAAAAAATCTATTCATTTGGATTAAGTCACAACTCTGAGGTAAAATAGTGCCTTTTATCAGACATAATGGTCTGTAAGCTTCTAAAAAATTGACTGACTTAATTAAATGCCTTAGAATGAGCCAAATAGGTAAAACTAAATGCAACAAAATTCAGGATTTAGAAGTCAAGCAAGCCAAAATCATGAAGAAAAGAATCCAAAACCGAGCACACATGCAGGTAGCTTCCTGAGGGTTCTGGCGAATGAGGCGCTACCATGAAAGAAGAGCAGAACATGAAAGTGGGGTAGGAGGGCACC
Source organism: Homo sapiens (assembly GCF_000001405.40). Taxonomy (NCBI): domain Eukaryota; kingdom Metazoa; phylum Chordata; class Mammalia; order Primates; family Hominidae; genus Homo; species Homo sapiens. Next base: position 181,429,927 of record NC_000002.12, read on the forward strand.
CAAGATGGCTTTAGCCCCTGTATTATTTAGCATAAAAGGCCAAATTGTTATAATGCTATTACGGTAAGTCTTCACAGTGGAGTGGCTTTTAAAATGGCTTTTATTTCTTCCTTACATGTCAATCCAGAGCAAATAGGCAGCCTGCTGTGGTCCATACAGTCATTCTGGGATCAGGTCTTTCCATTTTCTCTCTCCATTATCATCTGGACTGTTGCCCTTAACCCCATGAGGGATGTTTCTAAGGAAATTTTCTTTAAATAGTATTTATTCCAGTTTATGGGAAGAGGAAAGAGCATCAACAAATATACGCCCAATGTTTTAAATCCCAGCATTACCAGAAAAGGGTCCTGATCCAGACCCCAAGAGAGGGTTCTTGGAACTCATGCAAGAGAGATTTTGAAGCAAGTTAAGGAATAAAAGGATGGGTCCTCCATAGGCCGAGCAGCCCCAAGGGCTACTGTTTCTCTATTTTGATGGTCATTTCCAGATTATATGCTAAACAAGGAGTGGATTATTCATGAGTTTTCCAGGAAAGTAGTGGGCAATTCCTCTGAACTGAGGGTTCTTCTCTTTTAGACCATATAGGGTAACTTCCTGACATTGCCATGGCTTTGTAAATTGTCATGGCACTGGTGGGAGTATCTTTTAGCATGCTAATGCATTATAATTAGCATGCAATGAGCAGTGAGGACCACTAGAGGTCCCTTTTATCACCGTCTTGGTTTTGATAGGTTTTGGCTGGCTTCTTTATTGCAATCTGTTTTATCAGCAAGGTCTTTGTGACCTGTATCTTGTGCTAACCTCCTGTCTCATCCTGTGGCTTACAATGCCTAACCTCCTGGGAATGCAGCCCAGTAGGTCTCAGCCTTATTTTACCCAGCCCCTATTCAAGATGGAGTAGCTCTGGTTCGAATGCCTCTGACACTAGGCCTGGAAGAGGTACACATCACTTCCATTTATTTTCCAATGGTGAAAATGAAGTCATGCAGTCATGCTTTTCTGAAAGGATTGACAAGGGGTGGCAGTGCTAGAAAATGTAGTTCCTGGTTTTGTGGTCACATCTTCAGCCCAACCGTATTACTAGAGCAGAAGAGGAGAATGAACTTTGGTGAACAGCCAGCAGTCCCTGCTGCAGCAACTTCTAAGCCTTGTTTAACAGAACAGTTCTGTGTCTGTTGTCCAAATGGAGACTGTGACATATGCAAGATGCAGTGACAATGTATAAAGCATTCTTAAAGGTGCAAATTTTACTGGAACATTTATCATTAGGTCATTGACATAAAGCCTTTTGAAAAATAACCTCTCACATTAATTTTAATCCAATTTTTCTATTAGCTTGGAATGCTTTACATTGCTAATATAAAGCTTCTGGGACTAAGGCCATGGTAAAAATGAATGTCTTTAATCGGTTCCAGATTTTTTAAATCTAACTTCTATTATAAATCTTGCTACTTGAATTTAACATATAGAATAACAGACAAGGTATGATAGACAAGCAATAAGCTTTAAAAACATAACAGAAATTAAGCTGAGTGTCAAAGTCTGATGATATCATCTATACTCAAAATATTCTTGCATATAAAGGAAATTGGTTTGAGTCCTTTACATGTAAAAAAATGCCCAACCCAGACAAAATTGTCTCTTAAATTTATGAATAATCTAGACTTAAATTTTAGTGTCTTAGAAGATGTTTTCTAAGGAAGTTTTCTTTAAATAGAATTTAATGTAAGGAAATATCAGTTTTCGGATAAGTGGAAAACTGTAATTTAAAACCCAATAGTTGGAAGACACCTTAGATTCTAATTTAAAATGTTCATTTCAATCTATGATTTTCTCTAAGAATCAGTACTTTTTTCCTAAATCTTTACAGGTAGCTCTCCCTTATATTGGTAAGAAAAAGTCTCTAATTCCAGCATCTAATGTGGTAGAGTTGCAGATGCCAAAGGTGTCAGCAGAGGGCTCAGATGGGTCTCCAGATAGTATTATTAAGGCACAATTTTCAAATCAAGAATTGCAAATGCATGTTATCACCTGAAACTACTTATTTAATTTTTCTTTAATAATTTTTGTTTTTATTTTAATGACTTTTGAGGTACAGGTGGTTTTTGGTTACATGGATAAATTTTTTAGTGGTAATTTCTGAGATTTTGGAGCACCCATCACTGGAGCAGTGTACGCTATACCCAATAGGTAGTCTTTTATCCCTCACCCCACTCCCAGCCATTGCACTCCACACACTGAGTCCTCAAAGTCCATTATATCATTCTTATGCCTTTGCATCCTCATAGCTTAGCTCCCACTTGTAAGTGAGAACATACAACATTTGGTTTTCCAGTTCTGCCTAAGTTACTTCCCTTAGAATAATGCCCTCCAGCTCCATCCAAGTTGGTGCAAAAGACATTATTTCATTCCTTTTTATGAATGAGTAGTATTCTATGGTATATGTATATATATATGCACATTTTTTTTCTTTATCCACTTGTTGGCTGATAGACACTTAGGTTGGTTTCATATCTTTGAAACTGTGAATTGTGCTGCTATAAACATGCATGTGCATGTGTCTTTTTCATATAATGACTTCTTTTTCCCCTGGATAGATACATTTAGTGGGATTGCTGGATCAAATGGTAGTTCTCTTAGTTCTTTAAGGAATCTCTGTACTGTTTTTCATAGTGGTTGTACTAGTTTACATTCCCACCAATAGTGTGAAAGTGTTCCCTTTTCACCACATCCATGCCAATCTATTGTTTTTGACTTTTTAGTTATGGCCATTCACGCAGTAGTAAGGTGTTATCTCGCTGTGGTTTTAATTTGCCTTTCCCTGGTAATTAGTGATGTTCAGCATTTTTTCATATGTTTGTTGGCTGCTTGTATACTTTCTTTTGAGAATTGTCTATTCATGTCCTTGGCCCACTTTTTGATGGGATTATTTGATTTTTTCTTGCTGATTTGTTTGAATTCCTTGTAGATTCTACATATTATTCCTTTGTAGGATGCATAGTTTGTGAATATTTTCTCCCACTCTGTAGGTTTTCTGTTTACTCTGCTGATTATTTCTTTTGCTATGCAGAAGCTTTTTAGTTTAATTAGGTCCCACTTATTTATTTATTTTTTGTTGCATTGCAAATTCAGTTTTTTAGATTTGTTAACATCCAATAAATTCAGCCCCATCTCTGGGTCTAAATGAGATCAAAGATGTCAATAAGATTTTTGCTATTCAGAGTTTTCATTAGGTCTCCAAATGAGTACCACTACTCTGTATTTTTTGTTTACAAACAACCCATCATCTTCTATTTTAACTGGCATATGAGTTTCTCTTTTAACTTCATAGATTTCATTCATGTAATCCACATATATTTGCTAGTCTACAATGTAAGACTGTTGTAGGTAATGACATTCAGTGATTAGCAAGATCAACTCATGTTTCAATATTTTAGTGGAGGTGACAGAATATAGACAAGTATATAAAGGACAAAAAGAAAACAGATAAGAAAAATAAAGCAGTGTCTTAGAGAGTCTGATCAGGAACATTGTCCCTGAGGAGGTGATACATGAACAGAAATAGGGGGGAAAGTCATGTGAAAATATGAAGAAAGAAACTTTCAAGCAAAAAAAAAGAAAGTGCCAATGGTATGAGATTAAAAAAAATAACCTCGCATTTTGGAGGAAGAGCAAAGAGCCGAGACTAGAATAAAATGAACAAAGCATGAGATGAGATTGTGATATAGTTTGGCTGTGTCCCCACCCAAATTTCATATTGAATTGTACCTCCCATAATTCCCAAGTGTCATGGGAGGGACCCAGTGGGAGATAATTGAATCATGGGGGATTGAGGGGAGTCTTTACCATGCTATTCTCATGATCATGAATAAGTCTCACGGAATCTGATGGTTTTATAAAGGGGAGTTCCTCTGCACATGCTCTCTCTTGCCTGCCACCACAGTAAGAAGTGACTTTGCTCCTCATTTGCCTTCCACCATGATTGTGAGGCCTCCCTAGCCATGTGGAACTGTGAGTCCATTAAACCTCTTTTTTTTTTTTTTTTTTTTTTTTGCAAATTACCCAGTTTTGGGTATGTCTTTATTAGCAATGTGAAAACAGACTAATACAGGTTGCAAAAGTTCACAGGACGTTTAAGCCATGACCAAGGGCATGGAGTTTATACTAAATGAAATGGAAAGCCGTTGGAGGGTTTGTAGCAGGGAAGTAACATGACTTGATTTATGGTTTTAAATGATCCTCCTGGCAGCCATCTGGAGGACTAATAGCAAGGGAATAAGAATGGAAGCATCAGCCCAAAGCTTCTGCAGAAATGAGAAAAGATTTTGGTTTAAACCAGTATGAAAGCAGTGAAAGTGATGCATACAATTTTCTTAAAAATTTCCTTTGGGCACTGTTAGTTACCTTCCCAGAAGCCCTCCCTACTTCCATTTCTTGCTAATAGTGCTCCAATGTTATGTGATGCATCAGCCCCAAGTGAAGAGTCACAATTGGGCCACTTGTGTGTAAGGATGTTTCAACATATAGAAGTCGATGTTATTTACTACATAAATAGACTTAAAAACAAAATCATTTGGTCATCTCAATAGATGCAGAAAATACTTTCCATAAAACTCAACATCTCTTTATGATAAAAAGCCTCAATAAACTAGACATCAAAGGAGCATACTTCAAAATAATCAGAGCCATCTATGACAAATCTACAGCCAACATATTGAACAGGGAAACATTTAAAGCATTTCTCCTAAGAATGCGACCAAGACAAAGATGTCCGCTTTCACCCCTCCTGTTTAGCATAGTAGTGGAAGTCCTAGCCAGAGCAATCAGGCAAGATAAAAAAATAAAAAGCACTCAAATTAGAAAAGAAGAAGTCAAATAATCTTTCTTCACTGGTGGTATGATCTTTATATCTAGAAAATTCTAAAGATTCCTTCACAAGACTCCTAGGCCTGATAAATGACTTCAGTAAAATTTTAGGAGACAAAATTAACACACACAATCAGTTGCATTTCTATACACCAACAATGCTCAAGCTGAGAACCAACTTAAGAAAGCAATCCCATTTGTAATCCTGCCCACCACCGCCCCCAAAAAAAGAAACTATCAAAACGTCTAGCAATAAATGGAGGACTTTCACCTCCATTTAACCAAGGAAGTGAAAGACCTCTATACGGAGAACTACAAAACACTGTGAAAGAAACTGGACAAACAAATGGTAAAACATCCCATGCTCATGGATAAGAAGAATTATTATTAAAATGACTATACTTTCTAAAGCAATCAACAGATTCAACACAATCCCTATCAAATTAACAATTTCCTTTTTCACAGAATTAGAAAAAGTAATTCTAAAATTCATATGGAAGCAAAAAGAGCCTAAATAGCCAAAGCAATCCTAAGCAAAAAGAACAAAGCCAGAGGCATCACATTACCCAACTTCAAACTATACTACAAGCCTATAGTAACCAAAACAGCATGTTATTGATACAAAAATAGACATACAGATCAATGGTATAGAATAGAGTACCCAGAAATAAAGCCACATAGCTACAATCCACTTATCTTTGACAAAGGCAGCTAACATAAACAATAGGGAAAGGACACCCTACTCAATAAATAGCGCAAGAAAACTGGCTAACCACATGCAGGAGAATAAAACTGGACCCCTACTTGTCATCCTATACAAAAATTAACTCAGTATGTATTAAAGACTTAAATGTAAGACCTCAAAAAATAAAAATCCTAGAAGAAAACCTGGGTATACTCTTCTGGACATGGGCTGAGGCAAAGAATTTATGACTGAGACCTCAAAAGCAAACAAGACCAAAGCAAAATTGACAACTGGAACCTAATTAAACTAAAGAGCTTCTGCATAGCAAAAGAAACTATCAACAGAGTAAGCAGACAACCTACAGAATGAGAGAAAATATTTGCGAACTACGTAAATATTTTTTGACAAAGAACTAATATCCAGAATATATAAGTAACTTAAACAAATCCACAAGAAAAAATAAATAACCGGATTAAAAAGTGAGCAATGGACATGTACAGATACTTTTCAAAAGAAGGCATACAAATATCCAAAAACATGAAAAAGTGCTCAACATCACTAATCATCAGAAAAATGTAAATTAAAGCCACACTGAGATACCATCTCATACCGATCAGAATGGGTATTAATAAAAGTCAAAAAATAACATTTCAAAAAAATTATAAAATTGTTTTCAGAAAGAAAAAGGAATACTTATACATTGTTGGTTGGAATGCAAATTGGTTCAACTACTGTGTAAATCAGCATAAAGATTCTCAAATAACTAAAAATAGAACTACCATTTGACCCAGCAATCCCACTATTGGGTATCTCCCCAAAGGAAAATAAATAGTTTTATTATAAAGAAATAGTTTTATTATAAAGATACCTGCCCTGGCATGTTCATCACAGCACTATTCACAATAGCAAAGTCACAGAGTCAACCTAAGTGTCCATCAACAGTTGAGTGGATAAAGAATATATATATATATATATATATATTCTTTATATATATTAAGAATATATAAAGAATATATAAAGAATAATATATATACTATATATAAATATATGTATATATAAAGAATATATATATATTCCATATTCTTTATATATTAAGAATATATGTGTATATATACTGGATAATTTTATATATATATATATATAATGGAATACTATGCAGCCATAAGAAAGAATGAAATCAAGTCATTCACAGCAACATAGATGGAGCTGGAGGTCATTATTTTAAATGAAATAACTCTGAAACAGGAAATCAAATACCATATATCCTCCCTTATAAGTGGGAGCTAAACAATGGGTCACATGGACATAAAGATGGAAATAATGAACACTGAGGATTCCAAAATAGGGGAGGATGGAGGGGGTGAGAGTTGAAAATTTACCTATTACATACAATGTTCACTATTTGAGTGATGGGTTTTCTAAAAGCCCAACCTCACCATTATGCAATATGCTGATGTAACAAACGTGCATGTGTGCCCCCAAATCTAAAATAAACAAGAAAAGATTGGTCCAATTATGTCCTGATCATCCCATTCTCCCTTGTTGACCATTGACTTGCATGGCATCCCACACAGCTCAGCATATCCTCCTTGTCCAAAAAAGACTTCAGAGATAGTCAACTGGGGAAATTTCTGCAAAGACTGTCACCTTACTAATGATAAAAGGAAAGGCATTCAGCCTAGTTCTTCCCTAAACCAAAAACTTGATTAATATGGGAACAGGTAGAAGAGTGGCAAAAGCAAACATTTTCCAAATTAAATGGACAATAAATTTGTGATAAACAGAGTGCAAAAATTGTTTTCATAACTTTTCAAATAATGATATGCTTTAGTTCTCTACAAAAGAGAACTAAAGTACCTAGATTTTTTTCAAACTTTATGTGACCATGGAACTCTCATTTGGGAAATAATAATCTTGTTCACAGAATCACTCTTCTTCAAAACACCGTTACTGGACAAAGGAGTGAATTTTACAGAATCAAATAGTATTTCTCAAAATCATGGCATATCAGTGATGTGCTTTGAAAGCCCACAGCAGTCTGTAAACATCTAAAAATTTAAGTGTTAAAATCTTTCTTGGTGAAAAAGATGAACTACTTGGGAGAATTTACCAAAATTAATGCTTAATGTTAAGATTTGGATTCTCAAAAATGTTATTAATTCTCAAGAATTAGAAACCTTGTTTATCTCAAAGTTCCTGTAAAGATATAGCTAGAAAATTGCTCCTTGTATTTTTCCCTTTCCATTATTAATTAAAATCATTATAAATTTCAGTTATTAGGGAAGCTGCTATCCTCCTCCTTCTCTTCCTTCTCCTCCAGAGGCAGGCAGGCAGACCCACAGGGAGGAAGGAAGAAAGAAAGAAAACAGGTAAAAGTATTTTTTATACATAGTTCCGTTTGGTGGTATTTCAAAAAGGGCATTTAATTTAAGTTAAGTATCTGTAACTACACTAGAAATTTTACCATGACAGTATCCAGACAGGGAGAGACAAGATTTCTAACTATAATTCATTGGATCTGGTCATTAAAAAATAGCATGCCACAAAATTTTATCTCATCTATAAAAAAGGATTTATATGACTTCTAACGAAATGCAAAATAGATTTTCATTACATAGTCTAATTTAATTTTTCAACCACAAGATATTGACCCAAAATATTGATTTACACTTAGCTGCTCAGTTCAGATTTTCTTTGCTGGCATTTCTGACAATGGCGTTTATACTTCACTGGTATAACTGTGTAATGAGATTCAAGTAAGAATACTCACTTAAAACTTTACTACCAAAGTGTGATCCATAGCCTAGCAGTTTGGTATCATCTGGGACATGTTAGAAATGCAGAATCTCAGGCCTCACCCAGACCTACTAAATCAGAATTTGCATTTTAACAAGATCTCCAGATGATTCACACCCACATTAAAATTTGAGACTCACTGTCTTGGAAGAGATTCTCCAGGTGTTTTGCTATCATTGGGGATTGTTTTGTCACCACCTGGGGGCGATCAGCAAGTTTTCCTAAGAACTTGACACTGCAATTTCTGCTTAACCACTTAAAATGTATGACCTACAACTGACTGAAAATACTGCTTAGAGTGCAATATACATAACAACTTTTGTGCAGATCTTACATTCTAATGTTGAATAGAAAATTAATTCCACAACTTGCCTATCTTCTCTCACTTTAGTAGAGCACAAGTTTACAAAGCGTGTGTGTGTGTGTCTGTTTCACAGTCACTTTACATCCCTAGTTAACATCAGAGCTGCCTTGGCTTCAAGTTTACCAGTTAGCAAAAATGCAAACAGCCAAGTCTGTGGCCACTAAATTCTCCAGAATAAGATTCCCACTTTATTGAAAGTATTTGGTTCCTTGGAAATGCTTCAAATTCTCCTAGATTCTGAAATCTCCAAGTTTATTTAAAACTCAACCTGCTCTCAGAAATATCACCAGGGCACCTGGGTGGGATGAGCTCACTTACAATTTCGAGACCTGATCTTCTCAAAGAAGATCTGACCTTCTCTGTCCGCCTATCTGAAATGCAACAACATAATTACATGCTGACCGCTCAGCCCAAGCACTGTGCCATGGGGGCAGTGAGACCAAGAAGACTTAACATCTGAGAATAGAGTCTGGCGTGTCATGTCCAAGTACAACCATGTCTTCGGCTGCATTCAGTATTTCCCTGCTGAGCCCAAAACTTGGCTTCTGTTGCCTCCTGCTTTTTCCAACCCTCCTTAATATAGCTACACTCTCCATGTGAGGTTTTTAAGCACTATGATTCATATGCCTATCACCTCCCTTCCTAAATTTGAAGAAACTGAAGTAGCTGGAATTTGGGGTAGTAAAGCTACCATGGTCCATTGTCATGCTTAGTGTCATCCTAAGAGGAGACAGGAAAATTAAAAATTAACACCAAAGCTGGTAGATGGAGATTTGTGGGAGGGTTTGGTATCTGGTAGTTATAGAAGAAAAAGAGAAGATGAGGCCTATGTCAGCAGAAAAGAGTGGGTAGGGAAATGAGATAACCAGCTGTATGGAAAAACCAATTTTCAGAACGAGCAGACTTCCTTTCCAGAGACTGATTTTTGGTCTTCATGCTGGTCCAGAGAATAAGCCTGTGATGATCTCAAAGGGCTGCCACTCAGGCCTCCCTCTTGGATAGAGCAAACATGCAGCCCCAGGGTCAGTTTCGAGACTAATTTTTCTCACCCATCTTCCCCCAGACACTCTAAGTCTTACAAACTATGTGTAACCCCTAATTGCTAAATCCCCGTTGTATTTGACCTGAAAGTCACATTCACGTGTAGGCCACTTTCTTCTTACAACTCTACACTTTCGGTCTTCTGAGACATTTTCCTGGTTTTCCTAGCTCTCTAATGATTCTTTCTTAGATCTAATTATGGTTTGCTTTTCCTCTGCTGGATCCAAAAGTTTATTATCCTCCAAGATTCTTTCCATTGCTCCCTTCTATTTTCCTTCCATATCTCTCCATCATCCACCTATATGTTAATAATGCTACTGAGATAATATCTTTAGCAAATATGTCTCTTCTGAGTCCCAAATTATATATATTAATTGTCTCTGGAACACATTTACTTGCATATCTCAGAAAATTCAAGCTCAACACCCTAATCAACTTTACCCTAATTATCCTCCCATTGAGACCTGTTCCCCTCCTTTACACCTTATCACACTGAATGGCATTACCCAGTCCCCCAAAACTGTGGACACCATGCTCAAGTTCTCCCTTGCCCTCACCCCGTCCCTTTCTCTTTAGCCATTTAAGATATTTAATTAGGGCTCTTGGCATCTTTCGACTATTCTAATAAATCAGTCATTTAACTAGACTGTCTGTTAATTTCCCATCGCTTCAATCTATGTAAGCATTTTAGTCTACTGCATAAGGTAATTTTTTCTGACTTCACTAAAAATCCATACTTCTTAGCATGGCATATAAGCTTGACACAATCTAAACTTTGCCTACCTCTTCTGTCTGTTCCCACCACTCCCTGTTCTATGACAGGTGCATAAAGTTTCCTGAGTTCACACTGTCTTAGTGCTCCACCTTATCTCCCTGGTAAGCACCTTCCCATACGGAGAGATTCAGGTGTTCCCCTCTGATAAAGCTTTACCTGACTCTCAGAATTGGCCACTCCTTTCTTTGTTCCCACACAGAATATTGCACTTTTTTAAAAGTATAGTATTTTATTTATTTGTTTTACATCAATCTCATTTGTACATACAGTAATTTCCTTGAATGTGGGATCCTGCCTTATTTATGTTTGTATTTGTAGCACCAGGCACACCTGGCATAGGGTAGGTGCCACTAAATATTCACAGAGAAAGAATGACTAGGCATAGAATGCTTTTGAAGAAAACAGCGAACTTGTATAAACTTTACTTGATGATGCCTAAAATTTGTCCATGAGGACAAAGCCAGTTTTAAAATCAAAAGCCTCTGGTAGACTGAACAGTATTTACAGTATAGGCTAAAGGGATAATATCAGAGTCATTCTTGTTGTGATAGGGGGATCCTGAAAGAAGCAAATTCGAGTTCTAAGTAAACTGACACTGACAGGTGGTGAGGGAGGTTGCAAAAGAAGAGGGGGGCAGATTTTAATCTGTTAACAGACATCTGAGTTACAAATCAGAGGGATATAGAAGAACAAGAAGGCTGCCTTTACGTGTTTCTTTCTTCAGTTCAACTCCCATACAGCATCTCTTTTGATGTTATTTACAAGTCAGACTATGATCTCACTTCAAACAATACTCTTAGCCTGTGTACACCTCCTGTCTCTTTTAACTGAGTTCTCTTGTGAAAAATAGGGAATTTCTCTGCGTTGAAGTCAAAAGCCCTTTGGAATTCCTGTCTGTGAAAGATTATCAAATGAGGTTATAAAATCTTGGACTTTTGTTGTTATTGTTCTTAAAGACAGTTCTCCTGAATTAAAAAAATGTCTGATGCTACTGACAGTCTGATTTAGAATGTGAGTCTATTATGAGGACAGCGAGAGAGGTTTAATCCTGTCCCCACCCCTTATTCTGCTCTTGTAGTTTTTATTTTATGAAAAACCTAAGGGACTCAAAGTTACACAAATGCCCATTGGCAGTATCTACTGTTAATACCAGCAATGATCCCATAACAAGGATTCATTTCAGTCAAGCCACTAAAATTTTATTTGATTCAATGAAAATTTTTTCAGTGGAGCTATGAAAGCATTTTTGCCCATCCCCTAAACTATTACTTGTTGAAAACTGAATTGAATTTCATAAAGATTTATGAGCACTTCCAAAATCACTTAACAGCCAAAAGCCATGCGGTAACTTCACCCATGTTTGAATAAAACGTGACGCTGGTGGAAGTTACAGTTGTAAAAAAGAGTGGTAAGATTAGATTTGAACCATTTCCACCCAGACCTTGCTTTATCTACTGCAGGGCCCACAGCTCTGCTGTTAGTCCATATCTGCTGGCCCTAAAGAATTATATAAGATTGCTAAAACCATGGGCCTTTACAGTGTCAGCTTATTAAATTTTAGTATAACACTCATAAATATGGACAGAAATATAGGAGGGGCAATTATGTCTCAAGGGTAAATAACCTGATAATCATTCTAGAGTTTGAAATAGATTTATTTTTATATTTATACTTGAATATAGGAAGGTCAGTGGTCCAGTAATTATTTTAAATAAAAAGTTTCATTGTGAAAACTGAACAAACATAGATCTAAAAATTCATTCTGCTTTATTTCATTCCTTCAGGTCCATTTTTTAATATTTAACTCATGCACGTGAACAGCACTAAGCTAATTAGAGTGGCTTCTCAAAACTGTCTTGATAAAGAGAATGATTAAGAGTTTGAATTTCCAAGACTTTCTTAATTTACAAAGAAAACAAATTGTCAATCTAAAATGAGCTAAGCTAGGAATTACATAAATAGGTGCTATCACCATTTAAAGGTAAGATTTCTTGGAGTAATCATAGGTGATTACTCAGGGTAGACTTTTTCTGATGTCTTCAGATACTGAGCTTCTCTTCTCTATACACAAATAACATATGTGTGTCTCTTCTCTATACATTGGGGGAAAAATAGTTTAGAAAAATAGTACATTTGGATACCTAACCAGACCTTGAACAAACACTGTCTCACTTGCTTGTTAAAATGTTATTGTTAACATGTTCCCTGGGCAATCTCCATATCTTTTTTCTTTTTTTTTTTTAAGACAGTCTTGCTCTGTCACCCAGGCTGGAGCACAAAGGTACAATCACGGCTCACTACAGGCTGAAGCAATCCTCCCTCCTCAGCCTCCCGAGTAGCTGGGACTATAGGAGCATGCCACCATGGTGGTTAATTTTTGTAGTTTTTGGAGAGACAGGATTTTGCCATGTTGCCCAGGCTGGTCTTGAACTCCTGGGTTCAAGCAATCCTCCCATCTCAGCCTGGCAAACTGCTGAGATTACAGGTGTCAGCCACTGGTCCCCACCAATCTCAGTATCTTTAAGATACCAAAGACAAGTCATAGAAGTTTCAGCTCTGTTCACAGCCATTTCCCAGGAACATATGGACCTGTTGCTGTTTGGTTAGTTTCCACCTGTTTCTGAAACCTTACATGTATGTTTTATACCATTGTCTATCATTTCATTGCACCATAAAATGCTGCTTAGATCTCAAGCTTTACTGCAGCTTGAGAAAATGTATTTTATAAAGATCTAAACAAGTATAATTTATTATTATTATGATCATTTACCAGAAGGCTACATATGTAAGAGCGCAAAGGAAAGGGAGTTTTAGGAAAGGCAATTGCAAAACACTAGAAAAGAGTGTTATCCAACAGTTCTGGAAAGAAAAGTTAGTTTCCTAATATGCTTACACTTAACGAGGCCATAATATGCTAAGAAGATGATATAGATAGATAGTTGATTACAGATATTGATATATAGACAGATAGATGTTGATGTTTATTCATGATTCATGTATTTCTTCTTCTTGTTGCATCTTCTCACCTTCTTGAATAGAGTTATCAACTGACTGAATGCTCTTTACCTGTTCATCTATCTGTGTATGGTTTTCTGATTCCTATTGTGTGAAAGAAGAGAGTTCTCTCTGAAATAATAAGTGTTCTCTTGCTGCCTATGAAAACTAAAAACAATAACATTTTGGAAATGAATATAACTTTAGTGACAATCTGATTTACCCCTTTCATTTTAATAACAAGACAGTTGTAAAAATACAAGGGCAGTTCCATTATTAGGAACTTCAGGTCACTCAAATCCCTGTTTAGTTTCTGAAACTGGTTTTAAATAAGCCTGCAGATTTTTATGTGAACCATGAAAAGAATAAGCAATATTTTTACATTCTACAAGTAAAATTTTTATATTATTATTTTGTTGAATTAGTATTACCAACCTTGTAGACAGAAGTAAAAAAAAGATTTGAATTTAAAATATTTACTTTTATCTGCCATTCTAACAAGTTTTTTTTAAAGAAATGAACAACATACAGTTTTAAAATCAAAATAGTTATTCTAGTTTCTGTAAACAGAGGAAATTTACTTTACTGGGTCAATACACTGTGTAACTGTTATAAACAAAGCTGATTTCCAGTGTATACCAAAAATAGCACATCCAAGCTGTCTGCTGGTCTTTCAATGCACAGACATGAGAGAGCTGATATTATTTTTTATTTGTAGTAATATGCACAATACTTGACTAATGAAAATTATAATTATTTTCCCCAAAATTCTGCTGGGTTCTAAACCCTTCAGGAACTTCAGTGCATTAAATTATTTCTCTTATTTCCTGGTATTGTTCTTACAAAGTCGTATAGCCTCATTTCACTGTTTTTTCTTCCTATTTACTGATGATATTTTAGTCTTTCATGTTCTGTTATCCTTCTATCTAGTCTACAAGGACTAATGTTTATGTCCCCTCAGTTTGGTCTGGTGAAAGAAAGAAATAAAGAGAGAGAAAGAGAAAGAAAAAGTAAGAATAAGTTTAAAGACTAATATTTAACTAAATTTATTTTAGTCCCCCATACAACCTTTTGCTACTTTGAAAATCCCACTATTATATTATATTTTTTGTGCTATATCCACAACATATTTTGTAATTTGTTTGAAATTGTTTCCTAGTTTTGAGTTAGCTTGCCAGCTATTGATGCATAAGAACATATTGTTAGCTTGTTTTGTGTTTTCAGGATGCTTGGATATATGTACATATGCTTGCTGTGTGATCTTACTTTTATAATTATACTTTTTTCACCATATTCCTTTCCAAGATGCCTGGAACTCTGTTTTGTCAAGATGAAGCCATGTGTATGAGAATCTTGCGGTAAAACACCGTTGTGTAGCAGTTTTACATAAAATAGATTCTAACTCCTGATAATAAAGGAAAGTGATGCTGCAGACTCTCTGTGTATCTTGTGAACCTTAGAGAGCCAGTGTGGACCAGTTGTTAAATCATCCCAGTGTATAAATTCAATCTTTCAGGTCAGATTACTTATGAGATAAAAGGTTGTCACATAATAACTATGTGCCCTGAGAGGAGAATGATTTTATACCAAGTCTTTTATATACTGTAACAAAAGGAGCAATTGTTTCTTCTTTTGAACTGAAGCATGAAATAGACTTGGTTTTAAAAGTAGCAGTAGTTTCAGGAGTTTTGAAAAGAAGTGTAAAAAGTAATATTTATCAAAATTACCCTCCTACTGCAGAAAAATTGCCCTGAACATCCCATCCAGAAGAAACCTCCCCATCCGTTCTCTATTATGCACCATCTTGTGTGGCATTTGACAGCTACTGGCTTGATCTGTCAATTTACCAAAGTAAAGGGAACATGCTGAGAGGGAAGGGAAAATAGATTATGTTTGGGGTGGATAGAAAGAAAGTGAGTTTGAAGCCAAACATGGATAGGATTAAGCCCCAGGCGAGAAATTCTAATTTATTTGGGTTGAGTAGAGGGAGGAACTATTAGGATACTCCTGAGGACAGATTTGAGAAATGACATATTGATAGTTACGCTGTAGAAAAAAACCTACTTGTATATATTAAAAAGTGACAAGCATATACTGAAAAGTGACAAGAAAAAATGGAAAGATTTATTTATTATTTATTACCATGTTGCCCTTTTGGAATGCCCATCTAAATAAGATAATGATCCCAACACTTTTTGCCATGGTATGCATGGCATCTCTCAGTAACACATAACAGGTGTTCAATAAATTTGTTGAATGAGTGAATAAGTATAAGCAAATACAGACATAAATAGCTCTTCATTAACTAACATAATCTTCCACATATATGTCATTGCCTTGATTTCAGATTTTTATACATCGTTTATTTCTGTAGGTAGTTCATTTCTAAAAAAATGATAATATTCATGATGATGATGCTAAAAGGGAAGAAAAGAGTGATGAAGGAGAAAGGTCTATTTACTCATTATTTATTATGTGCTAAACATTGTATTATGTGCTTTGCCCTCATGTACTCATTTTCCCCATCCAACAAGAGAAAACTTAATTATACAAATAAAAACCAGGTTTGAGCAATACTAACAAATCACTCAAGGTTCTGATTGACAGTTGTAGCAGACGCTGTTGATGCCCTACTCCTTGGGCCACATAAGCCCAACCTGTGGCTGGGTAGACAATCTCATAACATTGGCAGCTTCCTAGCTCCCACGTTTTTGTCTCTCATTGCTGCCTGGGCATACCTGGGACCTTGCTTGCTGGCGAACAGGTACAATCTGCAAGTGTGGGGAGGTGATCTCTCCACCAGTGGAGGATGAGAGTCCTTAGATAGATGCCTCAGCCTCTCAGTCTTTCAGGGATCAGGGATTCTGAGCCATGCCTCATACACTTTCTCAGCAGGTTTCAGAAGTCTTACAATTGAGGAGAAGCCTTTGTTTCATATTTCGTTTAAAGCAACCTTGTCATTGATACCTATATTAAAGCATCAGGGCCAAGTGTGGTGGCTCATGCCTGTAATCCCAGCACTTTGGGAGGCCAATGCAGGTAGATCACTTGAAGCCAGGAGTTCAAGAGCAGTCTGGCCAACATGGTGAACCCATCTCTACTAAAAAAAAATACAAAAAATTAGCTGGGTGTGATGACATGCACCTGTAGTTCCAACTACTCAGAGAATCACTTTAACCCAGGCTTGGGAAACAGAGTGAGACTCTGTCTTAAAAAAAAAAAAAAAAAAGCATCCAGAAATGTGGTCTAATAGTCTGTATCTGGATAGAAGAATTGAGCTTCTTGTTTCTGGTTGGGAATTTCAGTACTATTTAAAAAAAAAAAAAAAACTATCATCTGAGTTTGGATGCCCTAAAAGCTGACCTTGAGGCAAGCACTTGGGTGTAACAGTTTATTGTGGGCAAAGGGATGTCTTAGAAAGTTAGATTAGAGAGAGGCAGAGAAATTGTAAAAAATGTTTTATGCATCTCTAATTGTTTTACATGCTTTACCTTAGTAATTTTTTAAAATCTAATTTTAAAAAGTGTAACAAAAAACACTACTTGCCAGACGTATCTACATGAATGTCACACCAATACCTCAGACTTATCTCTAGAACCCAGCGAGCACTATCTAAACACACTCTCCATCTCCCCCAACACCATGCACCCCTCCACCCCACCCTGTTCTTCCCCATTCCAACTCTTCCATCTGGTTGCTTTATGTTTTGTTTTTCATGATATTACCAGTGTCTCTGTCACCAGGTCTAAAAATGCCGGTCATATTTTACTTCCTTTTAGTACCAACACCACACAATACACATCAGGTTTTTTCCCCAATGCCTTACGAGTTCTTTCATTTTCCCTGCCCTGCTCTTTATGTAAGTTTGGGTCTTGAAACTGCCTTTATGCCTACACCATTTATCAGCAACCAACTGTCTTTTGTCTCCTCATTGTATATGATATTTAATTTGACTACATTATATTATCTAAGGTATATCATATCTTCCTTTGTAAATTATAAACTGAGATTAGGACTCACTTTTTATACAGTTTCATATCTGCCAAAGGACTTAGCGTATTGTTTTGCATGTAATAATTAATGAACATAAACCTATACATTTCCAGCTTATGACATTAATGATGTAAAAAGCCAAAATCATGTAAAGGCCATTTAAAAAATACAGAGCACCTGCTACTTGCCAGGTAGCATATAAAGTGCTAGAGATATGGTGGTAAACAACAGGAGCAAAACAAAGGATGTTTTCTACTCTCAAATTCTAGTGAGAAAGATATAATGAAAAAATATATGATTATAAATTAAAGAGTTCTGGAGATAATGAACAGGATTGTCTGGCAGATAATATTATAGTGACCTATTTTAAATTGGATGGGCAGAAAGTCCTCTGTGAGGACATCTTTAAGCTGAGATGGAAGAAAGAGAAAGAGGAATTATGTGAAAAGTCAGAGGCTATGTGTCCGAGAAGAGGTAATAATATGGTAAAGACCTTGAGGATAAAAGAAACCTTGATGCACTTAAGGAAATTAAGAAAGGCCAATATGACAAAAGCCAAGTGATCCAGGGGGAGTGACCAATGCTAAGGCTGGTGCTGTAGTCAGAAGCCAGATCATAGGGTCCTTTTAGGCCACGTTGAGTGTGGTTTGTACTACAAGAAAGCGATGGAAAACTATTTAAAGGATTTAAGCAAAGGAGTAGTTGCCTGATTCATTTAGAATCTTGAAAGTTCACTTTAGCTTCTGTGCAGAAATTTGATGAGGTGGGGGAATGACAAAGGGAGACCACGTAGCAGATTCTTAAATAGCCCAGATGAAATTATCTTGTGAAATGGTAGTAGCTGTGCAAAAGAAGATTCACATAAGATGGGCTTGAGATATATTTTAGAGGTCAAATTGATAGGACCTTGTGACTGATGGATTCTTTGTTTAAGTTAGAGGGAGGTATTACTTTCCAAATTTCTGGCTTGAACAACTGGTCAGATAGAGTGCCCAGTTGTTTTGAAAAGAAAGAGATTGGGTGGAAGAATAGTTTAGATGAGAAGTCAGGGAACCAGAACTCAGTGTTAGGTATGTTACGCGCACAATGCCCACTATACATCCAAGTGGAGATGTCTGGTAGGCAGTAGAACAAATGAACCCGGAACTCTGAAGAAAGGTCAAGGCTGGAGACATAAACTGGAGACTCATGATATTTGTTTATTTATTTCATGTCAAACAATTGAGGGTATATTTAAATAACTCATGAAATAGCTGATTGATTAACAGATATTGCAACATGTATATAAAAAAATCAAACTTTTTTTTATTATTATACTTTACGTTCTAGGGTACATATGCACAACATGCAGGTTTGTTACATATGTACACATGTACCATGTTGGTGTGCTGCATCCATTAACTCATCATTTACATTAGGTATATCTCCTAATGCTCCTTCCCACCTCCCTGCACCCCATGACAGGCCCCGGTGTGTGATGCTCCCCTCTCTGTGTCCAAGTGTTCTCATTGTTCAATTCCCACCTATGAGTAGGAACATGTGGTGTTTGGTTTTTTGTCCTTGTGATAGTTTGCTGAGAATGATGATTTCCAGCTTCATCCATGTCCCTATAAAGGACATGAACTCATCCTTTTTTATGGCTGCATAGTATTCCGTGGTGTATATGTGCCACATTTTTTTAATCCAGTCTATCACTGATGGACATTTGGGTTGGTTCCAAGTCTTTGCTATTGTGAATAGTGCCGCAATAAACATACGTGTGCATGTGTCTTTATAGCAGCATGATTTATAGTCCTTTGGGCATATACCCAGTAATGGGATGGCTGGGTCAAATGGTATTTCTAGTTCTAGATCCTTGAGGAATTGCCACACTGTCTTCCACAATGGTTGAACCAGTTTACAGTCCCACCAACAGTGTAAAAGTGTTCCTATTTCTCCACATCCTCTCCAGCACCTGTTGTTTCCTGACTTTTTAATGATTGCCATTCTAATTGGTGTGAGATGGTATCTCATTGTGGTGTTGATTTGCATTTCTTTAATGGCCAGTGATGATGAGCATTTTTTCATCTGTCTTTTGGCTGCATAGATGTCTTCTTTTGAGAAGTGTCTGTTCATATCCTTTGCCCACTTGTTGATGGGGTTGTTTTTTTCTTGTAAATTTGTTTGAGTTCTTTGTAGATTCTGGATATTAGCCCTTTGTCAGATGAGTAGATTGCAAAAATTTTCTCCCATTCTGTAGGTTGCCTGTTCACTCTGATGGTAGTTTCTTTTGCTGTGCAGAAGCTCTTTAGTTTAATTAGATCCCATTTATCAATTTTGGCTTTTGTTGCCATTGCTTTTGGTGTTTTAGAAATGAAGTCCTTGCCCATGCCTATGTCCTGAATGGTATTGCCTAGGTTTTCTTCTAGGGTTTTTATGGTTTTAGGTCTAACATGTAAGTCTTTAATGCATCTTGAATTAATTTTTGTATAAGGTGTAAGGAAGGGATCCAGTTTTAGCTTTCTACATATGGCCAGCCAGTTTTCCCAGCACCATTTATTAAATAGGAAATCCTTTCCCCATTTCTTGTTTTTGTCAGGTTTGCCAAAGATCAGATGGTTGTAGATGTGTGGTATTATTTCTGAGGGCTCTGTTCTGTTCCATTGGTCTATATCTCTGTTTTGGTACCAGTACCGTGCTGTTTTGGTTACTGTAACCTTGTAGTATAGTTTGAAGTGAGGTAGCATGATGCCTCCGGCTTTGTTCTTTTGGCTTAGGATTGACTTGGCAATGCAGGCTCTTTTTTGGTTCCATATGAACTTTAAAGTAGTTTTTTCCAATTCTGTGAAGAAAGTCCTTGGTAGCTTGATGAGCATGGCATTGGATCTATAAATTACCTTGGGCAGTATGGCCATTTTCACGGTATCGGTTCTTCCTATCCATGAGCATGGAATGTTCTTCCATTTGTTTGTGTCCTCTTTTATTTTGTTGAGCAGTGGTTTGTAGTTCTCCTTGAAGAGGTCCTTCACATCCCTTGTAAGTTGGATTCCTAGGTATTTTATTCTCTTTGAAGCAATTGTGAATGGGAGTTCACTCATGATTTGGCTCTCTGTTTGTCTGTTATTGGTGTATAAGAATGCTTGTGATTTTTGCACATTGATTTTGTATCCTGAGACTTTGCTGAAGTTGCTTATCAGCTTAAGGAGATATTGGGCTGAGACAATGGGGTTTTCTAGATATACAATCATGTCGTCTGCAAACAGGGACAATTTGACTTCCTCTTTTCCTAATTGAATACCCTTTATTTCTTTCTTCTGCCTGATTGCCCTGGCCAGAACTTTCAACACTATGTTGAATAGGAGTGGTGAGAGAGGGCATCCCTGTCTTGTGCTAGTTTTCAAAGGGAATGCTTCCAATTTTTGCCCATTCAGGATGATATTGGCTGTGGGTTTGTCATAAATAGCTCTTATTATTTTGAGATACGTCCCATCAATACCTAATTTATTGAGAGTTTTTAGCATGAAGGGCTGCTGAATTTTGTCAAAGACCTTTTCTGCATCTATTGAGATAATCATGTGGTTTTTGTCTTTGGTTGTGTTTATATGCTGGATTACATTTATTGATTTGCGTATGTTGAACCAGCCTTGCATCCCAGGGATGAAGTCCACTTGATCATGGTGGATAAGCTTTTTGATGTGCTGCTGGATTCGGTTTTCCAGTATTTTACTGAGGATTTTTGCATTGATGTTCATCAGGGATATTGGTCTAAAATTCTCTTTTTTTGTTGTGTCTCTCTCAGCCTTTGGTATCAGGATGATGCTGGCCTCATAAAATGAGTTAGGGAGGATTCCCTCTTTTTCTATTGATTGGAATGGTTTCAGAAGGAATGGTACCAGCTCCTCCTTGTACCTCTGGTAGAATTCGGCTGTGAATCCGTCTGGTCCTGGACTTTTTTTGGTTGGTAGGCTATTAATTATTGCCTCAATTTCAGAGCCTGTTATTGATCTATTCAGGGATTCAACTTCTTCCTGGTTTAGCATTGGGAGGGTGTATGTGTCCAGGAATTTATCCATTTCTTCTAGATTTTCTAGTTTATTTGCGTAGAGGTGTTTATAGTATTCTCTTCAAACTTTATTTTTAATTGATACTTTTTTTTACCTGCTGAGTAAAAGAACGTTATGCAAAAGCAAAACAAGGATTCCTCAAGGATTTTAAAGCCAATTATTGGGTGTGTAGAATATAGTAAGATAATATAATTTAAATTGTACCTTCTACGTACTCTTTCTTTTGTACTCTTCTATGAGGATGTTTAACACAAAAAAAAAAGACAGTCACGGATAATTTTAGAGGATTGTTTCTTCAAGTATTTTAATTGTATCCCCCACTGACCATCCAATACAGTTATTTGATATTAGTTGTGAATATCTTTTTTCCTTTTTTAACTTTGTTTTATTATGGTACAATATACATATAAAATGTATCATCTTTACCATTTTAAGTGTAAAGTCCACTGGCAATAACTACATTTATATATATATTTTTCCCTTTATCGCCCTCCACCTACCGTTTCCTCTCCTATAGTAACTACCATTCTACTCTCTATGTTCATGAGATTTGCTTTTTAAGCTCCCACATATGAGTGAGGGCATGCAATATTTGTCTTTCTGTGCTTGGCTTAGTTCACTTAACATAATTGCCTCCAGGTCCATCCATGTTGCTGCAAATGACAGGATTTTAATTTTTTTATGGTTGAATTATATTCCATTATGTATGTATGTTTCTTTATCCATTCACTCATTGATGGGCACTTAGGTTGATTCCATATTTTAGCTATTGTGAATAGTGCTGCAATAAACATGGGAGTGTAGATATTTCTTCAATGTATTGATTTCCTTTCTTTAGGATATATACCCACAAGAATTGCCAGATCATATCATCGTTCTAGTTTTACTTTTTTGAGGAACCTCTATTCTGTTCTTCATAGTGGCTGTAATAACTTACATTTCTAGCAGCACTGTATGAGGGTTCCCCTTTGACCCCATTTTGTCACCGGCAACTGTTTTTGCCTTTTTTATATAAGCCATTTTAACTGGAGTGAGGTGATATCTCATTGTGGTTTTGATATTCATTTTTCTAATGATTAGTGATGTTGTACATGTTTTCTTATACCCGTTTGCCATTTGTATATCTTCTTTTGAGAAATATCTGTCGAGATCTTTTGCCAATTTTGAAATTACATTCTTTGTTAGGTTTTAGTTTTGTTGCTATTGAGTTGTTTGAGCTCCTTATATATTCTGGTTATTAATCCCTCATCAGATAGTGTGCCAATGTTTTCTCTCATTATGTGGGTTCTCTCTACATTTAGTTGATGTTTTCTTTGCTGTGCAGAAGCTTTTTAGCTTGATGTAATCTCATTTGTCTATTTTTGTTCAGGTTGCCTGTGCTTTTTAGGTCTTACACAAAAAAATCTTTGCCCAGACCAATATCTTAGAGCATTTCCCCAATGTTTTCTTTTAGTAATTTCATAATTTCAGGTCTATAATTCATTTTGATTTGGTTTTGGTGTATTGGTTATTTCAATAGATGCTGAGATAGCATTTGATAAAATTCAACATTCCTTTATGATAAAAATTCTCACCAAAATGGATATAGAAGGAACATACTTCAAAATAATGAAGGCCATATATGACAAACCTACAGTCAACATCATACTGAACACAGAAAAAATGAAGGCCTTTCCTCCAAGGACTGAAACAGACAAGGATACCCCCTCTTACCACTGTTATTCTACATAGTGCAGAAAGTCCTGGCCAGAGCTATCAGGCAAGAGGAAGAAAGGAAGGGTATCCAAACTGGAAAGGAAGAAGTGGTGAGAAAGTTTTAATTTTATTTTTTTGCATGTAGTTATTAAGTTTTCCTAGCACCATTTATTAAAGAGACTGTTTTTTTCCATTGTATGTTCTTTACAGCTTTGTCACAGATTAGTTGGTTGTAAGTGCATGGATTTATATGTGGATTCTCTATTCTGCTCCATTGGTCTATGTGTCTGTTTCTATGCCAATACTGTGCTGTTTTGGTTACTATAGCTTTGTAGTAAATTTTGAAGTTAGGTAGTGTGATGCCTCCAGCTTTGTTCTTTTTGCTCAGGATTGCTTTGGCTATTCAGGGTCTTTTGTGGTTTCTTATAAATTTTAGGAATTTTTCTGTTTCGTGAAGAATGTCATTTGTATTTTGATAGGAATTGCATTGAATCTGTAAATTGCTTTAGGTAGTATTGTAATTTTAACAATATTAGTTCTTCCAGTCTATCACGGAGTATATTTCTGGGTTTTTGTGTCCTCTTCGATTTCTTTTATCAGAGTTTTATTTATAGTTTTTCCTTGCATAGATATTTTACTTTTTTAGTTAAATTGATTCCTAGGTATTGTACATTTTTGTAGCTATTGTAAAAGGAACTGCTTTCTTGATTTTTATTCAGATTGTTCACTGTTGTCATATAAATGCTATTGATTTTTGTATGTTGATTTTGCATCCTGCAACTTTACTGAATCAGATCTAACAGCTTTTAGGTGGACTCTTTAGATTTTTCTAGGTATAAGATCATGTAGTCTGCAAACAAACCTAATTTGACTTCTTCCTTTCCAATTTGGATACCCTTCCTTTCTTCCTCTTGCCTGATAGCTCTGGCCAGGACTTTCTGTACTACGTAGAATAACAGTGGTGAGAGGGGGTATCCTTGTCTGTTTCAGCCCTTGGAGGAAAGGCCTTCATTTTTTCTGTGTTCAGTATGATGTTGACTGTAGGTTTGTCATATATGGCCTTCATTATTTTGAAGTATGTTCCTTCTATATCCATTTTGGTGAGAATTTTTATCATAAAGGAATGTTGAATTTTATCAAATGCTATCTCAGCATCTATTGAAATAAGTATACCGTTTCTGTTTTTGATTCTGTTAATGACTTATATTTAGATGGTATTTAAAGACATAGGAAATGGGTTAGATCTCCTAAAGAGGGAAGATGGAAAGAGAATGAAAGAGTTTCCAGAATATAGCCCTGGGGGTTTCCCGCACTTATGGCGGAGGGAAGGGAGCCATCAGAGGAAACTCAGAGTGGCCAGATAGAAAGGCAGGAAAAAGCTTAATAAGGTGGTATCATGAGAAGAGAGTCTTCCTAGAAGGAGAAATGCTTACTCTTGATAAAAACTGAAAAATAGGGTGAGTCCACATTAGAATTCTCGCTACTGGGGAGGACTTTCTACACAAGGTTAGAGATCACTTGTATTTTGTCTACTATAATTTTAGTGCATAATGCATTTTTTTGGCATATAGTGGGCACTTATATACATATTAATCTGATGACATTTAATAATTGAGTGCCCAAATATTTATGTCGAGTTGAGAGCTAGGGATAGGCATGAGTCTTTCTTAAACATCCTTCTCTTCTCCTTCCTCCACCCCCTCACTTGCCTTCAGAAGCATTGATCAGAGAGATAGCAGTATCTTCAGTTTTTTTTAAAGCAACATGAAACACACTTTATTCCTGCTAACATTAGGAAAAGCGAGCTGTTTTCCAAGCCCTGGAGGAAGGAAATTCAGCTAACTAACGTGAGGTAATGTAGGGTGGCTATTTCTTGAAAGGTAGTGAATCATAACTATAACCATACTATGGAAAAAAGTCCTGCCTTACCAACCACTCCACTGACTGCTTGTCACCAAAACTACGCTATGAAACGAATTGTGTTGAGTGGCTTTCATTGTAAAAGATTTTGGTGAAGGGAGGGAAAGAAACTGGTAGGGGTTCAGATCAGAAGATCTGGCTTTGCCAGTTTCTGGAGGGTGTCAGAATGGCTTCAACATACCTACTTCCTTGGCCTCAACTGGAGGTTTTGTAGCTGTAAACAAGAAGGATTGCATAGTTCAGAATAACGACACTGTAAGCTCATTGTGGAACTGGGTTAAAATCAGCATGTAGATCTACTAAGAAAGAAACACACTCAGCACTACTACAGAAAGAAACAGCCATGGGCCCTGATTGTTAGCTTTCTGGAAGCCATTTCATTTTTACAATAGATTTATCACACACTGTATTGACTTTTTCCAGTATAGAGTAAGAGAAAGTTAATATTCCTCATGTTTTGTCTGTTGACAGACTGAAAATAATTGCATTGAGTTTGGCTAGAATATCCTGTCATTCCATAAACATCTCAAACTCCACATGGCTAAAACTTAACCCATCCATGCCCCCATCTGCATGCACACATACATGCATATAACTTCATTTCTCAGTGTTTTTTTCTCCATGAATGGTAGCACCATTCTCTTTCAAGAAAGAGAAATACTTCCCCTTGGGATTATCCTATCTCTACTTATTGCTGCAGGGGCTTCCAAAATTAGGTTTTCTGTGTTCAGTCTTGCATTCACACTTCTGAAACCCAGAGCTGACCGAGACAAATTCTTCAACTTCCTGTCAGTCCCAACATAGATTTAAAATTCCTAACCTGGCTCATGAGGTTCACCATGTATTCCTGCTTCCCTAAGTCAGCCTCATATCACACCAACCTGTGTGTGGAGTGGCTAAATACTCTAGCCAGGCAAGCTCTCTCAGTTCTTCTACCTGGCTCCTCTGGAGCCCTCCTTATTGCTCATCCCATTCTTAGCCTGATTCAAGATTCCTGGTCCTTCAAATCTCTCTTTAAGTGTCCTTACCTGGATCTTTCTCTAGTTAGTACAAATTTTTCTATCTACCATTGGAGCGAACATTTTTTGAAACTTTGTATCAGTCCTGCCTTACTCTTGGTGGAATCCTGTGGTCCTAGTCAAGTGCCTGCTCCATGAATGTGCTGAATAAATGAATAAGCATTTTAATTGTGTATCTGTCATTAGTGTCAGATGTGTTATTTATTCCAGCATGGTTTTAGCACACAGACACACTCTTTGATGCAGACTTTTCTTTTCTTTTTACATATAGCAACAATAAAAAACTAGACTTTCATCTCCTGAAAATATCAGTCTAATAATCACCTATGGCTGTCTCTCTGGTTGCTGAAGGAAAAAAAAAAAAAAGGCAGGGCACACCTGGATTGCATTAGAATGAGACTCACTACCCAGTTCAGGTGTGTTGCGTTGTGGGTCTCCGGCACATTTCAGAGGCTCATTAGGACCCTGACCCCACACTGGGGTTTACACCCCTAAAAGCAGGTGTGTCCCGTGGCAACTGAGTGGGTGCGTGAAAAGGGGGGATCATCAATTACCAGCTGGAGCAATCCGAATCGGTTAAAGTGAATCAAGTCACAGTGCTTCCTTAACCCAACCTCTCTGTTGGGGTCAGCCACAGCCTAAACCGCCTGCCGTTCAGCCTGAGAGGCTGCTGCTAGCCTGCTCACGCATGCAGCCCGGGCTGCAGAGGAAGTGTGGGGAGGAAGGAAGTGGGTATAGAAGGGTGCTGAGATGTGGGTCTTGAAGAGAATAGCCATAACGTCTTTGTCACTAAAATGTTCCCCAGGGGCCTTCGGCGAGTCTTTTTGTTTGGTTTTTTGTTTTTAATCTGTGGCTCTTGATAATTTATCTAGTGGTTGCCTACACCTGAAAAACAAGACACAGTGTTTAACTATCAACGAAAGAACTGGACGGCTCCCCGCCGCAGTCCCACTCCCCGAGTTTGTGGCTGGCATTTGGGCCACGCCGGGCTGGGCGGTCACAGCGAGGGGCGCGCAGTTTGGGGTCACACAGCTCCGCTTCTAGGCCCCAACCACCGTTAAAAGGGGAAGCCCGTGCCCCATCAGGTCCGCTCTTGCTGAGCCCAGAGCCATCCCGCGCTCTGCGGGCTGGGAGGCCCGGGCCAGGACGCGAGTCCTGCGCAGCCGAGGTTCCCCAGCGCCCCCTGCAGCCGCGCGTAGGCAGAGACGGAGCCCGGCCCTGCGCCTCCGCACCACGCCCGGGACCCCACCCAGCGGCCCGTACCCGGAGAAGCAGCGCGAGCACCCGAAGCTCCCGGCTGGCGGCAGAAACCGGGAGTGGGGCCGGGCGAGTGCGCGGCATCCCAGGCCGGCCCGAACGCTCCGCCCGCGGTGGGCCGACTTCCCCTCCTCTTCCCTCTCTCCTTCCTTTAGCCCGCTGGCGCCGGACACGCTGCGCCTCATCTCTTGGGGCGTTCTTCCCCGTTGGCCAACCGTCGCATCCCGTGCAACTTTGGGGTAGTGGCCGTTTAGTGTTGAATGTTCCCCACCGAGAGCGCATGGCTTGGGAAGCGAGGCGCGAACCCGGCCCCCGAAGGGCCGCCGTCCGGGAGACGGTGATGCTGTTGCTGTGCCTGGGGGTCCCGACCGGCCGCCCCTACAACGTGGACACTGAGAGCGCGCTGCTTTACCAGGGCCCCCACAACACGCTGTTCGGCTACTCGGTCGTGCTGCACAGCCACGGGGCGAACCGATGGTGAGTAGAGTTGGACTGATGCGCCCTCAGCAGCTCAGAGCGGCGTGAGAATGGCGCCCTAGGGATTCCCTGCCCGATTCAAACTTTCCTCCCTCCCAAGGAGGCAGGAGGGAAACGCTGCGAGAGCCAGCTCGCTGGAAATCTGCCAGGGAAACTAACTTATCTTGGGGCGGCAGCGCCCCGGGTGCGTTATGGTGCAAGGTCTTGGAGCTTCGAGTCGGGGGTGGTGGGCGGAGGAGGAGGTGGGGAAGCTGCCCTGCTGCGGACTGCACATCTGTGGCGACAGGGAGCTCAGTGGGCAGCACAGCTCACGTCTGAGCGCACGTGCACGTGTCTCGCTTTAGGCTCCTAGTGGGTGCGCCCACTGCCAACTGGCTCGCCAACGCTTCAGTGATCAATCCCGGGGCGATTTACAGATGCAGGATCGGAAAGAATCCCGGCCAGACGTGCGAACAGCTCCAGCTGGGTGAGTTGGGTATGGGACCAGGAGTTAGTGACCTCCCGACCCCCCATGTGGACCCCACCATAGGGCAAGTCCTGGAAAGATTCACGTTGCCTGTTACTTCTGGTTTAAAGAGCATAAAGTTTTCAGTTTCAACTCCATCTCATCTTGCCTCCTTAATATAAAAGGGATTCCCTTTCTGTTAATATCGTTCTCCCTTTTCCTTATGGCAATGATTGCAGTACTCTGACAACTATGCTAGAGAAATTTCTTATGATACCTTCTCTTCATCTCTCCCCGTCTCTCCGTGTGTAAAGCACATTTTAGACTCTCTCAGCGTATTAAGGACAGGATCCAGCTAAGCCAAGACTTGAGAATTTTATTTCCATCTTTGACCTATCAACCCTCTTAAAGAACAGGCTAAGGAGCATATCAGGAATAGCAATTGGAATTGATCCCATATCCCGTCGTTTAACCTAAAGGCCTAAAAAAAAAAGTGATAGTTTTACTTACAATATACAATCTAAAAGAAAAGGAAAATTGGCATCTTCATCGTTAATGTAGTATAATTTTCCATTCCCAAAACCGTCATCCAAAACTCATGTTATATGGGTCCATCTTTTTGCAGTCATTTCTCAATGTCTCAGATTTGTGACAAGTTGAAAAATGTGTACTGATAGAGGGGAGAAGTTTCATGTTTCAAAGCCAAAGACAAGTTTGTTGCACACAGGCAAGTGGGGAAAGAGGAAGGAATATTAAATAACAAGACCTATCTTGTTCCAAAGTGTTACTGCTATATATATTGCTTAACTTTTTTCCCCTTAAAGCAACCCTGGGTCATGGTTGACATTGTTCCTAGTTTATGTATGAGGACTGTGGCTCAGAGTTGCAAATACCTTTTTAAAAGTTACTTAGCTAGTGACTGATAGGTGGGAACTAAAGTCAAACTAGGGTCTGAATGCGTCCAAAGTCTAAGCCATTTTCTTCCATGTATGTATCTTCAATGCAAATAAAATTAAGTGAATGGTTTAATATGTTGTCTGCTGAGCTGATGGGTCATCTGTAAACGGTGAATAAAATTGGTACTTCTTTATATTTCTTTGCTATAAATGGACTTTTGAGATTAGTTATTGGATCTTTAACTTCTTTTGTATTTTATAGTAGTCTTTGCTCTTTTTCAAACTGTGAAGCTGGTTCCCTTCATTCAGATGAATTCAGATAGAGTATAAACATAATGGAATTTTTACTTTTAACTCAGAGCACCTATAAAAGTCTACGAGTTGTCTGTAGCATGTAGAATAAGCCCTAGCCTCTTGTTAAGCATCCTCAATACCAGAAATCACAGTAGGAATGCATAAAACATTCACAGACCCATACATTTTGGAATGATTTTGCAAAGCATAATTTTCATTGCATGAGAGAGTTGTGGGTGAAGAATTAGGGAGTGGAGCCGACAACTTTGGTCTGCCAGAGGATCTTGGCAAGGTCTCAGGAGGGAGCAATTTTATTTCTGTTGTCCTGTCATAGTTTCCTGATCCATGACATTATAACTACTGATATTTAGTGCCTACTTCCTGTCTGGATGGACACTGAATCTATTTCTGGATGTCTGTGTTTAACTGGATAAATCATGACATAATACTGTATTAAATTTAAGATAATGCCTGTCAATGGAAGGAAAAAATTGTTTGGGCATGTGTAGCATGGGAGTTGACTGTTCTCAGAGAAATGTAAACATAGTAGATATGTCATAGATATGAATTAAATGAAGATCTTTTGGATGGATGAATGAATAAAAGTGGAGTGAAAATTTATCAACCTGACTGATGAGTAAGATAATTGATTAGAAATGATGAGCCAAACTGATTTTTAACTTTCAAAATTTTGGCCAATCTACAAGGTATTTACTGGGATGAAAGGAAAAAAGGCAAGATTCCTAGTCAGTCAATGAGTTAAAACATTAATAGTGATAGTAATGCCTTGAGTATTTGCCGAAGAGTTGACTGAAGTTATTTCTCATGTAACATTCTAAAGAATACAGATATCTTTTATTCCTCATGTAAAGAAACTGCCTCTCTATTCAGAATAAATTCAGTGGTAGCTTGAAGCTATAAAATAGGGATTGAGGCTACAGTCTAGAAATAAAACACTAAAAACAATACATTGGTAATAAAGATAATTTAGGATTCTTAGGTTTGTGGGCTATGCACTATTTTGTATGAAGAAGTTTCAAGAGTGTGTGTAAATATATATAAGCCATCTTCTGTAGAAGAGTGTGTGTGTGTGTGTGTGTGTGTGTGTGTGTGTGTGAATCTTCTGTATAAAATAGCTTCAGTTGTCCTGTTTCAAATGTGGGTGACTCTAATGTTTCAAAAATGCTTAGCTCAGTACTGACACATAATACATTCAAAAAATAGTGGTTCTTCTTTATTGTTTACTTAAATCTATTATCTGTATGTTATCTGTAACAAGCAGGCTGAGGTTAATAGGGACAATTGATAAACTGAACCAAAAGTTTAAAAATTAAAAGGTAATACATTAAAAGGTAGAAGTTGAAATGAAACACAATGAGAAATTTTTGTTGGCTGAAGAAAAAAATGTTATAATGATTAAAGATCGATCTGTGATTGCCATGTCAGTAAGGTATCTTCTTTCCTTTGGAATAGCTTTACTTGCTATCAAGAACCTGAAGGTGTAGGGTCTTCAAATGGTGCCCATCTCCCACACAATTAAAAATATCCACATGGACTAGTCTTTGAGTCTCTGTAGAATTTCAGATCAGTGGTTGATTCAGATAGACTCCTCCCCTCAAAAGAGAAGGTCCATATCTCGCCTACCCTACCCTCTGTGGACAAGGTGTCCCATATGGTATATTCATGCCATAAGCAGAAGTGAGCCTGCCTGTTTATCTAGAATGCCCAGGGTGAGAGACGTTAGGCATGAGATACCCCTTTTAGTCAAGCAAGTTGACTGCAGAGCCAGCACCAAGAGAGTTGCCTGGATAGTACCGCAAGGTGCTTTTCTTCCTGCATATATATTGTTGGCCTCCTTTTACCTCCCTGACTCCCCAAGAGACATCTCTTCTCTCACTTCTTTTGTACCAGAGGAAAGTGGTCTCTCTGCCAGGAGGGTCTGGGCCCAGACTTGCTCGTGAAGACTATATCTGAGGAGACCCAGGTGATTTCTACATGTCCACTTTCCACCCGGGCACTCTGCATCATCAGGCTTGTTTAAAGGAAACTTTAATCACAGCTGGTTCCTAAATTAAGGTGTCACAAATAATGACTCAATTAATATAGTTAAGCATAGTCCATCCATGGACTATCAATATTCAAATAGAACATAATAAAACATAGAAATGATTATCAAATTACACTAAAAAGATGGTCTTTATTTGGTTATTCAAATATGTTTCCAGATCTTTCATTACTTTGGAGTTACCACTGAAAGCATTATACACACACTAACTCTCATTTGGGTAATAGTCTAAAGTTATACAATTACACTATCCAGTATAGTATCCACTAACCACAGGTGGCTTTGAACACATAAAATGTGGCTAGTCAGCGATGAGAGGGCTGTAATGTAAATTACATACTGGCTTTTGAATACTTAGTATAAGAAAACTCATTAATTTTTATGATATATATTGAAACAAACACTTTAAAATTATTGATTACATAATATTTTGGATTTATTAGGCGAAATAAAATTTTAGGTTAAATAAAATTAATTTTATTTTTACTTTTTTCATGTGGCTATTATAAAATTTAAAATTTCCAATGGGCTTGTATTATATTTCTATTGGACAGCACTGCTGTAGAGAAACATTAAGTTCTCTGTGTAAAAATAACGCTATCTCTTTAGGAGATGCTTTCCTGATATTTATGCATAAATGAGTAGAACTTTCACTTTCTTTTCTAGACTAAGTGTTCTATAGTTACTGGGCCTTCAAGCTGCCTGCCTGTCCCTCTCTTACAGGAAAGACCCATCTCAAGTTAGTCACCATTACCCATATTTAGATTTCTTTCTGGAAATTTTATTACCTTAGCCAGCCTCCTGGTTCATATTATATAACCTATTTGAAAGAATTTAATTAGCATTGCATTATTAAACTAATGATTACCTAATCCTCACTTCTACTTGATTCATAGGAGTTATTAGCTTAACATTAAATAGCAAATATCTCACTGTTGAAACTTCAAATATGTTTTTCTTGATAACTTTTTACTTTTTCATTTGCAATGTGCTTTAAATTGTAGCTTATGAAGCTGAGATTGCAGATTGGTCATTTTGAAAAATCATCCCTGAATGAAGGCTGTTATACAATTATGTAGAAAATCAAGACAGAGAGCTTCACTAATAAACTATCAGGTTACCAGAAAGAAGTTTCCTTATTTCCAGCAGTTTCCCAAACTTTATGTCCCAAAAGGATGAGGTTTCCACCTAATTTGAGAGATGAGGCTTTCTAAATGCACTTTAGTTTTTGCCTTAAGTTTACTTGGTCACTGAGTGATATACCCAATGACTTGAAAATATATCCCCTTGGCAACAGTTCTAGGGTCAGATGCTGAAATCCGTTGCACATGTGGGTAATTTATCCATTCAGTTGTTCATTGAGGGATGCCTAAGGGCCTGAACCTGGGCATACAAAAGAAACATACTCCTTGTCCCAAAGGCTTTAAAGTTTATAAGATAGGTTATTATAGGAAAGTATGGTGAGATTTAATCTAGGTAAGACAATAAAGTGATGCATTCCTGAAGAATTGGTGTTCAAGTGGGGGAACTGAAAAATAATCAGAAGTTAGCCAGAGGAAGAGGCTATGGAAAAGTTTGCCAGAAAGAGCAAACTGTGTGTATAAAGACCCTGAAGTCTTTGAGAGCACGATGCTTTTGAAGAACTAAAAATTGTGTACAGTTGCACTATGGAGTGTGAGCTAAACTGTAGGTTAGAGAGGCAGGCAGGAATTACTTCTGATACAACTCTAAGTATGAATTTACCCTAGGATATTTAAAACTGGGGAGTGACATGATCAGATTTGTGTGTTTGACAGATTCTCTGGTTGCAGGTTAGTGAATGCTTTGGAGTAACTGGGTCAAGACTGAAGGCAATGAGGCAGTTGTAGGAAGATTTTGTTATAATTTAGACTACAGATGACAAGTGTCTGTACAAGGACACTGGCAATAGCAGTGGAGAAGAACATGGAGATTCTGAAGGTATTTAGGAGATAGCACTTGGTAATTATTGAATGAAAGAGATGAGTGAGAATGTTCCAAAGATGTTACTGAAGTTTCTAATTTGGGCTGTGACATGGATGATGATCCAATATACTGAAAAAGGGAAGAGCAGCAGGTTTTCTGGCAAAATGATGAGTTTCGTTGGCTTGAGATTCCTGTGAGACATAGAAGTAAAAATCTAGTGATCAGTTCTATGATCAGTTCCATGTATGGGTGTGGTAGACAGTAGAGAGGTCTGTACTAGCAAATCAGAGGTGAGTAATTGACGTAACCCCATTCACCTCCAAGGCTTTGATTACCATCTCTCTGGGGTAAATAGATCAAATGGCCAATGGCAAATTTCTAAGGATTCCTACAGTTCGAGAAGTGATTAGAATAGTGCTGCTCAAGTCTGGCTGTAACTTAAATTCTCATGCAGAGCTTTTAACAGTTCTGGTGGCCCATCTCAAACTACTAGAATCTCTGGGGTAAGTCTATAGGGCACCAGTAGTTTCCAGAGGTCCCCAGATGATTCCAGTATTCATCCATGCTTGAGAACCGCTGGAGAAGAAAAGAGGCTGAAAAAAAGGCTAAGAGGGTGAAGCCAAAGAGGTAGCAAGAAAAATCAGGTCAATCTGACATTAACCTGATTAAAGGAAGAGAGTGTTTTGAGAAGAGGTGAGTAGTTGGCAGTAGTAAAGGTTGCCAAGACATCAACCAGGGTGGTAAATTATGAGGTCTCATTAGATTTAGAGAATTAGTTCATTAGTAACCTCGGTAAGACAAGCTTTAATGGTGAATCCACTGCAGAGGGTTGAGAAGTGAGAAACAATAGCAAGCGTCAATAACTTTTAACTGGGTTCTTCCTTCATTAATACATTTTATTGATTACTTATGTATTGGAAATACACAGTTGAATAAGGCATGGTTAAAGCCCTTGAGTAACTCAGTTGAGATGATGGGAGAGACAGGTAAATGGACAATTAATTATGAGATAATGTAATAAGCATGACAATAGACAGGTACATAGTGATGAGAAGAAATGAATGGGAGAAGGCTTCCTGGAGGAGTGAAATCTGAGTAGTGGACCCAGTTCTGACTGGTTTTGAAGAGCACATGTAAGGGCTCAATAAATGTGAAATAATTTTCATCTTTTTCACATTTGGGCAAAATCCCCTGGGATTTGCTGCACATTTCAGCCTCATTCCAAAGTGTCTAGGTCCGCCTTGGGTTCCAAAGACTCATATCAGGTAGTTCAGACAGTAACACCTGCTCCTGAAATAGGGAGCTTGGAAATGACTGTCTTTAAAAGCAGGGATTTTTAATTTTGAGATTAGCTGGAAACATCAAATTAGAATATGGAAGTGGACATACAGGTGACAGGTCTGGGCTCAGTGTGCTTGTTCTCATTTTACCTCTGAGAATTTTTAAAAATCATAGAAAATCTTTTTTATATAAACTATGTAAAACACTATAATTCACAAAAATGTTCAGAAAATAGATTGTAGACTTAGTTCTAAAAACCCCTTTTATGGGACTCCTTGTGTGCAGTGGATTAGACATGTTCTTTTGACATTATGCCCTGTGTAGAAAATGCTGGTCAATGTGCACCATCTGTTTGTGAATCCCTTCAAGGTCTACCTCACCACAATACCAGTCTGTTTTCTTGCGGAAGTTTTCTAGAAGTCATTAGACTACAATCATTTTGTCTGCCAGTCATTGTCAATATCACATTTTATCCTTTAAACTCTGCCCAGAGAAACGTCCTTTGATATCTGTAACTCCTCATCTCATTCTGATCCTCTATTGGCCAGGATAATATGATACATTCCTCACTGGTTTTTCTCATGTATTTTTAAGCCTTCCTATCTTCCTGACCTCCTTTAATTCTTTCATTGCTGTCTTTTTTTCTTTTTCTTTTTCAACCATCCTACCCTGTGGATTCCAAAACCAAGCATGGAACTTTAATACTGACCACCAAGCATATTTCCCTGGAGTATTTTCTGTTTACATTTTTGTATTTTCTTGTTTCAAAGATAGACAAAGTGGCATCCACACATTAGTGATTGTTTTTCAAATGAATTTTTAAATCCAAGAGATTAATTGAAAACCATGGAGGTTCAGAATTTTCTTTCCTTATTTTCTAATGTTAGAGGTTTAAATATGCTCTTTTAATAGGTTGTTTCAGAATAGTATAGGTTTATTCAAAATGTCCATAGTTGAAAATAATGGAAAAGTACTAACAACTAATTGTCTGGCAGCATCAGATGGTGGTTGATAGTGTGAGTTTTAATCCCTTCCTTCCCCACTTACAAGTGGTGTGACCTTGGGCAAGTGCTTAGTCATCCCTTGTTTCAGATTCTGCATCCATAAAATTGGGATGATAATAGTATTGTCTACTTCATAGGGATGTTATGAAAAGTGAGTTAATACATGTCTTTGCATGTATTAAAACTGTGGTACGTAGTAAGCATGCAATAAGTATTAGTAATTAGAGACTAACTTTCCCTCTTTAAATTATGCTTACAAAATGTATCAGCTGGGGCACATTTTTCAGCTTTAGTTATTAAAAAGACTTGCGTACGTTTTCTGTGGGATTTTGAAGAAGTCCTGGCAGAGACCCCAAACCTAAAATCAAACCCAGAAGTGACCTAGTTGTTAGAGTTCTGAGGCCTCATGATGACTCAGGATCAGCCCAGATTTATAAAATTGCAACCATAAAGCTTGGCACTACTCTCTGGGGACATTTACCTCTTGAACTCTTTCTAAATAGAATAGAATAAGATAAAAAAAAATAGCTGAAATAACTGGCTTTTTCAGGACTACAATTATATAAACTGTTTCTCACATAAATTGAGCATGATTATTGGCCATTGTGAGATTTTATTTAGGCAATATGAAAAGATGACATTTAAACACATTTTTTTAAAAAAACATACTTTGAGAATGGTTTCCAACTTTGATGTTTTGCTCTTTTGACTCTTATTCTCCACTAGACTAGCTGGAGGAAAAGAGTTCTAGAAGTTTGGTACTTTTATGTCCTGTATCACCTCTAAAACCCAAGGATATTTTACTTTCCATCACCCAAAATTATTTTTATTGTAGAATTCATAAACATCATTATCTTTTAGAAACATTGCCACCAGGTTTAACTAGATGTGTGAAAAGAGTACATAGTTTAATATAGTCAATTATTATATGAATTAGTATTAATGGATTTAGTAAGTATTAGGACTTAAAAGGAAAAACTAAATTAAGGGGCCATTTTAATTAAAAAGCTAAAGACTGCTGATCAATTCTTGCAGCATTGTGAGCGCCCTCTGCTGGCTCAGTTCAAAGCACCATAATGCACGTACCCTGAGGAGCAGAGGCATTGATTATTTATTGACCACCTACTAGGTGCCAGGCATTCTTGCATACACAAGCATAAGTTTTCTGTCATCCTCATAGCCCTGCAATGGTAAATTTTGTCATGTTCTCATATTTGAATTGATTTTCTCACTTTTAATATATTTTTCCTAATCTGAAGTTATGTGAGTGAAGGGATTATATACTTTAATTATTGCTTTTATAAAAAATATCTTGAATGAATGACTCTTTATAAAATATGGAATTGGAACAAGGGTCATTCATGTTTTAGGATTAAGAAAAACTTTAGAGTGGAACAATTTGAAATGTATGGGTTTTGTCTTACAATGGAATAGAGCTTCAGCTTAAAAAAAAAAGACAGTTGGTGGAAGGTAAGGGCTTTTACTGCTTTTCTGAAACTTCACATCACATCATGAGTTTTGAAAGATCAGGTAAGTATATATGTTGTCTTAGTAGCCAGAAAGCCAGACTGAGAGCCCCAGTCAAATGTCTGAATTGGTGGGGAAGTGACAGTACGATGACGCAGGTAGATAAAGCAGGCATTTACTTGCATTAGAAAGTCCCAAGCTCTCCTAGCCAAAAAGTATTTCACTAGCACTGTCAAAAGTTATATAGAAAGAAGACCTTAGAGTCTGACCTTTTCCCTGGTCCTTCTTTCTTTAGTGGAAATGCCAAAATACTGAGAACCATTCTAAATGGAGGAAAAGAGCAGGGCAAGATAGGGAACAAGTAAGTGACCTTTTTCTTGAACAAGTGAAAGTCGATTGTACAGTCTGTGGGCATATTTGCTATATTTTATATATTTTCAGCTAAAAGCTTCAGAAAGTGGAATAGATTTCAGTTAATTCATATGTCTGGAATATTTCTAGAGTTCTATGCTATAGAGTGAAATAACTTAGAGATCAAAGATGCTATTTTTTAATTCTAATCTTTCCACTTACGGATTTGGGCAAGTTATTTGATTCCTTTAAGACTCAATTTTCTCTTCTGTAGGGTAGGATTAATAATACAGCAATCCTCTGCTACTACTGTGGGTGTAAAATGAGTTAATGTGTATGATTACAGTTCCCCAATAATGATATGCCACATATATTTTATGAGCCAGGTTATATGCTGCATTGCATGTGCAGCTTAATATGCTTACATTAATCTTTAATATGATGATGCCAATGGCAACTAACATTTGCATGTTTTCGCTGCCAGGCTGTCATCCAAGCACGTCACACATATCTCATTTACTCCACAGTCCTTGCAGAAACCCTCGGAGATAGGCATCTTCTGAGGACCCCAGCTGATTCTGTCTTAAGTCATCCCACTCACAAATCATCCTTTGTAAAGATCTTCAAACTCAGAGACTGTTTCCTTTCAGACCATCTGTTACTGTCTTAAAATTGAAGAAAATAATATTTTGGAAGAGAAGTAGGGGAGAATCATAGTAAAGAGAAAAGACCTCTCCAAAGCTTAGATCTCTGAGAGTTTGGTGATAATTATGCAGTAGTACATTCTAGTAAAGGATTTTTTTGTGGTGATATAATGTATTTCAAAATTCCCTCCCTCATACATACTGAGTTCCTGCCTACTGCATGTAAGGCACTATCTTGAGCTGTGGGAATGCTGCTGTCAACAAAAGTCAATCTGCCCTCATGGAGGTGACATACAAGGTCAAATATCTAATCTCCCATAGTCCCTGTCACACTTGGAGCAATGACACTAAAACTGGTGATATGAATAAGAATGAAAGGGGGAGGAGTAAAGAATGTATTTAACTAGCTTTGTAGTATTTCTTTGATCAAAATTCCTGTTCATTTGCATTTATATACACATTTATATATGCTGATACACATCAGTAGGAAGAAATAAACTGTAGTAAGCATGCATTTTTACATTTTCTTTCCCAAATTAAAAAAAATAGGAAAGAGAAAGGCTTAAAAGGAGATGGTTTTTAATGTGGCTTTGTTTTTTAAATATCTAGTGGAAAAATGCATTCAACTGTGGAAAGAATTAGTCATTCTAGTTGTTTAAAAGCAGGGAAAATTATCACCATGTTAATTTCTGCTGACCTCTTTTATGTTAAACCATGTAAAGTACTTTTTCAATTATGGAGCTGATTTGATTTACTAAGAGTTTAGATGAGTAATTTATGAACTGAATTGAAAACCAGATTATAAATCACTTCAGCCTGACATTTGGATAAAATATAATCTGAGGTTGTTTATGGTGTTCTGTCAGAGAAATTCATGAGAATTAGCTCTCATGGCAGTTCTAATAATCGTCATTTTTGACCAACTTAGAAATATTGTATTTCTACCCAAAGACAATTTGCTTAACATTTGATATTTCAATAGGTAACTAAACAAAGGGGGAACAAAGGATATTACTTTTATTTTTAAAACAGTAGGTTTTTAAATAATACAAGAAAAGGCATAACCATCTGTTAATACATCAAGCTTGTCCATGTGGTCCAGGATGGCTTTGAATGCTGCCCAACACCAATCCGTAAACTTAGAATGGCGATCATTAAAAAGTCAGGAAACAACAGGTGCTGGAGAGATTGTGGAGAAATAGGAACACTTTTACACTGTTGATGGGACTGTAAACTAGTTCAACCATTGTGGAAGACAGTGTGGCGATTCCTCAAGGATCTAGAACTAGAAAATACCATTTGACCCAGCCATCCCATGACTGGGTATATACCCAAAGGATTATAAATCATGCTGCTATAAAGACACATTCACATGTATGTTTATTGCGGCACTATTCTCAATAGCAAAGACTTGGAACCAACCCAAATGTCCATCAATGTAGACTGGATTAAGAAAATGTGGCACATATACACCATGAAATACTATGCAGCCATAAAAAAGGATGAGTTCATGTCCTTTGTAGGGACATGGATGAAATTGGAAATCATCATTCTCAGTAAACTATCACAAGAACAAAAAACCAAACACCGCATGTTCTCACTCACAGGTAGGAATTGAACAATGAGAACACTTGGACACAGGAAGGGGAACATCACACACCGGGGCCTGTCGTGGGGTGGGGGGATGGGGGAGGGATAGCATTAGGAGATATACCTAATGTAAATGACGAGTTAATGGGTACAGGACACCAACATGGCACATGTATACATATGTAACAAACCTGCATGTTGTGCACATGTACCCTGGAACTTAAAGTATAATAATAAAAAAAAAAGATATAAATGTTGGCAAGAATGTGGAAAAATGGGGAACCCTTGCCCACTGTTGATGGGAAAGTAAGTATAACTATAATGGAAAATAGTATGGAGATTCCTCAAAAATTTAAAAATAGAACTATTACAAGACTCAGCAATCTCACTGAAGGTATATATCCAAAGAAAATAAAATCAATATGTCAAAGAGGAAAAAAAATATGAGATTTTCTTGCAATTTTTTTTTTAGCTGATCAGTTATCATTAGTGTCAGTGTACTTTACGTATGGCCCAAAACAATTCTTCCAGTATGGCCCAGGGAAACCAAATATTGGACACCCCTGAGCTACATTGTAGAGCTATTGTTCACAAGCCCAACCATATGCTACAACTACCTGGGGGGCTTCAAAAAAATTCTTATGTCTGGTTCTTAACCCAGACATGTCAAGTCTGAGCCTCTAAGAGTGGGGCCCAAGTGGAGGTACTGGTTTCAAACTCCCTTCAGTTGATTCTAACGTCCAGTCAAGGCTGAGTACTGAGTGGAAAAGGAGTGGACTCAGGATCACACAGGTTAAGGGAGAAAAGCTTTGGAGAAGGCCATGATCACAAGCTGATCATGTAGCAGTCTTACTTCTTCTACCAAGATTCCGCAGGCACAACAAAAGAAAAGAGAAGCTGGGCATGGTGGTGGGCACCTATATCCCCAGCTACATAGGAGGCTGAAGTGGGAGGATTACAAGAGCCCAGGAGTTTGAGGCTGCAGTGAGCTATGATCACGCCAATGCACTGCAGCCTAGATGACAGAGTGAGATCCTATCTCCCTAAAAAATAAAAAGAGAAAAAGTCCCAGAAATTAAGAAAAAACCCAGAACACTAGGGGAAATTACAGGATGTTCTCTGAACAGATTCTAACCTGTAACCAGTACTTGAAAGTTACCTCAATATTATTGCTGTTGGGGGCTGCCTCTATGGTAAAAACAGTGTTAAGAAGTGAAAAGGGGAAACATATCTAAATGTAGTATATGTATTTGCTCACTTATTAAGATTGGTTTTTCTTCTGTGGAAGAATGATTGTTTCATGACTATTTCCATGAACTTTCTTTCTGGCTATGCATTCATTCTTTTTACACACATTTTGAATTAAGATATATGAAATAAGCAGAAGATGTTTAGTCAAACCATAATAGAAGCTTTGAATTGTTTTTCGTTTACTGACCTTTCCATTTCAGCACCCATTTCTGGGCTGTTTGTCGGGGGTGGGATTATGACAAAGATACAGTCCTGGGCAAGATGAATGAGGTCACTATTTACTAAGCCTTGGAAATAGGCCAGAAACATTGTAAATAAATAAATGTAGTTAACCTTAACAAAAATGAAAATACTTATTCCTACAAGATATTAATCAATTTCACCACAATTTCCTCTGAGTGATCGCATCCTGTGTGTCTAAGAACCCTTGAGTGCTGATGTTGAGAGTCATCTTTCAGTATCTAAGAGTGGATTAACTAACAACTGTATAGGAGATATTTGAAAATTAATGAATCAGAAATTTTATCTATATATTAGAAGGCAACTATTGTTTGGAACCACATTGTAACAGATATGAGATTACATCTAGTGGCATTTTGACCCCCACCCCACCAATTTCCCACTTACACACCTGCCATATGTTTTTCTATTTGGAATCTCTTCTGCTCACGGGTGAATGAACCACATCACTGGCTTCCTGGGAAAGCTCTTCCTACATTTATTCTTAAGTAAACATCTCTTTCTTGTGGCTTCTGGAGGGCTAATTGTTCTCCTATTTCTAAGAATCATTATTTTTAGCCTAGAACAAGAAGAAGGGAAGGGCATGAGCCACACTGGAAATAAAGTCCCAGGACTTTGGTGAGACTACATGGGACACATCTTAAAATAGCCTAATGATTTAGTGGCCCTTTTCCCAGAGAGCTGAGAGGCACTCATGTGGAGAGAAAGAAGTTTCAGGGAAGTGATGTTAGTAAGTGAGAAAGTGAGTAGTTTGTGGTGTGTGTAAACCTCAGTGTGAGCCTGGGCAGTGATGACATTGTGATGTTACCTGATGGAGCTAAAACTAAAACAAGAAGGAGGCAATGCAGAATATTAAATAGATAAGAGTTCATAATGCAAGAGTTTGTCTAGTCTTCACTTAGAAATTTACAAAACAGTTCAGCTAAGAAACCGATAACAATACACTATTTTTGCACATAATTTTTTGGCCATTTTCATTAAGCTATTTACATGGTACATTGTGGTTCTAAACTATTGTCTTTTTAATCTTCTGGGTGGCTCTCTCTAGAATAATAGATTTGTTTCTAAATATTGGATGTAATCGTAATGAAAGTGTCTATTATACACGCCATATTATTTGTGACCCCCATCCTCTCCTGTCCTTAATTTTCTTCTTGCTCAATTGTCTTAACTGAGTGTTGACTATAAATTCATAAAAATTTTAGTATTTTCAGAGGGAACTTATTAACATGGCTATTGTAGTAAATAACAGGAACTTCATGTAGACTGAATCTACCATTTGTTATCTATTTTTGACAGTAAACAATTGATTTTAGTGAAAACTGAAAATTGTATTATAATGAAAATTAAAATGCCTTGTTTGTCATTCTCTTTTAATTTAAATTTTGTTGGTTTGGCATTAGGTAGCCACAATAACAACTCCCTATTTTAGACCTTACCTATCTCCCACACACAATTTTTTTTCTCCTACCATCTTCCCTCTGTTTTCCCCTTCTCTTTTCGTGTCATTTCTCTCTTCATCCCTTCCTTTCTCAAGTTAACACGGAGACCTTATGTGTCCACCTGGACTGTTCTTTACCAAGGTTTGGGCCACAGCAAGACTCCTTTCCAATTCTAATAGCAACCATTGCCAATCAACCCCAGCATTCTTTGTCCAGACCTAGTCTTAGTCCTCCTCCCTTCAGTCTAGTTCTCCAGGAAGCCATTACCAGTTAGTGGGGGTTGCCATTTATTCTATGTGTATGCTGTCGAGAAAAACATTCTCTGCATTTCACAGTAACAGTGTTCCTGACCATGAGAACCACTTAGGGCAGGGGTCCCCAATCCCTGGGCTGTGGATGGGTACTGGCCCGTGGCCTGGTAGGAACTGGGCTGCACAGCAGGAGGTGAGCAGTGGACCAGTGAGCATTCCCGCCTGAGCTTTGCCTCTGTCAGATCAGTGGTGGCATTAGATTCTCGTAGGAGTGCAAACCCTATTACGAACTGCACAGCCGTGGGATCTAGGTTGTGCTTTCCTTAGCAGAATCTAATGCCAGATGATCTGAGGTGGAACAGTTTCATTCCAAACCT
The DNA here is from genome assembly GCF_000001405.40 of Homo sapiens. Taxonomy (NCBI): domain Eukaryota; kingdom Metazoa; phylum Chordata; class Mammalia; order Primates; family Hominidae; genus Homo; species Homo sapiens. The sequence goes on from NC_000002.12 coordinate 181,473,394, forward strand.
TACTACTGCCCATGGAAAAAATTGTCTTCACGAAACCAGTCCTTGGTGCCAAAAAGATTGGGAACCACTGACCTAGGGTAATCAGGGCCTCACCTGGATCTGCTGGAGCAGAATCTCCAGAGGAGGAGCTCAAACATTTTCTTCACTTCAGTTGTGATTAAAGGTTTTGTTTTTCCTGAATGACATTTTAGAAAACGAAAGTATAAACAAACATCTTCCCACACTCCTTAAACAAAATCTCTCCTACCCAGGAGACTTAGTGCAAATAATTTCACTTCTCAAATATTAGCCTTACCAGGCATAGTGGCTTATGCTGGTAATCCCAGCACTTTAGGAGGTCAAAGCAAGAGGATCACTTGAGGCAAGAGTTCAAGACCAGTATGGGTAACATAGTGAGACCCCCATTGGTACCAAAATAAAAATATTAGTTTGTATCTCTGTAAGTGTTCTGAGTTTGCCCAGGAAGCTACATTTAGGGGTCAACATTATAGGAGGAGACAAAGTGCCAATGATATAGAGAATGGTCACCATAAATTCATGAAAACTTGGTACCTAGTGACTAGTGTTCAAAATTAACAAACCGAAGTTCCACATCCTTATCCAATCAAATTGATGCTAATGTATTTATCTGCCAGGAATTAAGAACAGATGCAATAGAATTGTCATATGCCAACTGAAGAGGGTGAAAAGAAAGACAGCAAAAAGAATATTAGGATACTGCATCTTACTCTTCCCCAAAGTAACTTATTTAAAATTACTTAACATGGGATTTTAATAGGAACCCAGCTATAACACAAATAATTTTTTCTAACAAAAGAAAATAATGATCACTGTGAAGACCACTTCTTATATAGTATAGAAGTACTATCTAGTACATGAGCATTTTATTTATGTTTGGCTATTCATGCATTTGCCAAAGTATCTATTGAAGTTTTTTGTTTACTACTGAGATAATCTGGTTTCCAAATCACTTTTATCTCTGTTGAAAACATGAGTCATATTCCAATAAATGTAAACATAGGGCAGTTTCTTATAAACGCAAGGCATTATTGGTATGCTAATTGTATGTTCCACTTTCTGCATGCTTAATCATCACCTTCCAGCTCCAATAAATTGTACCTTAATTGCTGAGGATGTATTATAGTCTTTCTATTCTTAATATCTCAGTAGAAGAAACATTTTTAAAAGTGCTCTGATAATATTGCTTACGTTGTTAGATAAATGGCTAATTCTTTTCCAAACGTTAGACACAGCAGTTATAGTTGCACAACCTGGTATTAGCTTTAAGTGGTTTTCCCCACTCCTAGTCCTGTTAGCTATCTCTTATATGATTGAGTCTATCTTTTTATGGTGCTACCAGTCAGAGGTCATTTCTACAACCAAAGTCACCTTGTATTAGAGAATAATTAGTTGGCACAGAGTAATTCACATTTATCCTCACATTGTGCACTGAATATAAGATAGAGAAGTAGTTAACAGAAAAATACTGGGGATGAGTGCACAGTTTTCTCTTCTTTTGTAGAATGTTTTCAATACAACTGATAAAATTATTTTCACATGCTATAGGTAGCCCTAATGGAGAACCTTGTGGAAAGACTTGTTTGGAAGAGAGAGACAATCAGTGGTTGGGGGTCACACTTTCCAGACAGCCAGGAGAAAATGGATCCATCGTGGTAGGTATTGGAACTGGTCCACAGATCCATCGTGAAATCAGCTATCCTGGGTGCAGCTTTCACATCATTTGGTCTACTTTTATTTTATTCAGACTTGTGGGCATAGATGGAAAAATATATTTTACATAAAGAATGAAAATAAGCTCCCCACTGGTGGTTGCTATGGAGTGCCCCCTGATTTACGAACAGAACTGAGTAAAAGAATAGCTCCGTGTTATCAAGGTAAGGCATGATTTTGATACGAATTAGATAAAGATAAGTAAGTGAATACCTTTTAGTGTTTTAAATTTATGTTCAAGTTTAGATGTTCAGAGGAGAGGGAGATCTTCTAAGTAATTATGTTCTTTTTAACTACTCAATTTCTTTCTTTACCCAATTGCAATAGCATTATTTTTCATAAATGCACTTTGTGCTATAAAAATTCTACAATTTGAATAACTCTGAAATCTAGCTCTTTAACTACCCACTTTTGCATCAAATTTACTTTCAATTTGGTATAGGTGAGACTAGTACCCAGCAAATATAGGACATTTAAATTGTGAAATTATATTGGAAGTCTGATTAAAAAGAAAGACTTTAGGTTTCCTTTTTTACCTTTAGCTTCCAGGAGTAATTGGGAAGAATAATCAGTGTAAGCAAATCTTTCATTCGCACTCACTATCTCTTTTTCTAATTTACATGTTTTCCTTCAAGCAGCAAGAGATTCGTGTCTTGAGTTTGAAACATTTTTCTCATGGTAACTCTATGCTATAGGTAGCATCAGCAAGTACAGAGCTAGGACATAACAGAAGTGAGCAGAATTGGGGTGAATGTCAACAGAGCATGTCAGAGGATATCTGCAGCAAAACTAAAATCCAACAATGCGTCTTTAGGAGCTAAGAAACATATGAATGCAAATTCATAATTTTCTAACCACCCTCACTCAAAAAAAATCCCTCAGCACGCAAAGAAAAATTTTATTGGTTGGCAAAACTTTGGCCAAGTATTTGAGTTCAATTATGGGTGCTAATAAGACTTTGGTCTTTCTTCCTTGGAATGTGATGTCACAGAGCAGCTTATATTACATATATTCCTATTTTGCCTTCGGATACCCAAAAGATAAAAAAGTGAATATTGATTCTCAGTTGCAATAAAACTCAGTCTTGATTTCTGTATGTTTGCTGTCTTCTTTTTCCTAATAGTTTTCGGTTTATCTTTAAAATATTTTCATAGTAGAGTTTTTAGTTTTTCTCGGATATACATAGCCACATACTACAAAAATCTCAAGATGCCATAAACCTAACCCATCTACAATTGTAAAATACAGGATCAGGTAAGATATATTTTTTTAAAGGGATGAAAACTCCTGACCAGAAATGGTCATTATAAATGACTTACCAATTTATTGAAGTTTTCTGCTTAGCAAAGCCAAAAGGAAGCTGTGGTTCCAATTCTTATTTTCATAGAAGTTTACTTATATCATTTTTTGGAAGAAGCAAAGCTTTGCCCCCTTAGAAAGTTCCAAAAGCATTCATTCATGGGACTTTGTAATAATAGACCTTTATGTCCATGCAGATCTTGATTCAGTCTATATTTCAGTTGGGCAAAATCTAAGAAAGGACACTCTCTTCAATTAATGGTGTTAGCAATAGCAAAGACATGGAATCAACCTAAATGCACATCAATGTTGGATTGGATAAAGAAACTGTGATACATACACACTGTAGAATACTACACAGGCATAAAAAATAACGAGATTATGTCCTTTGCAGCAACTTATATGGAGCTGGAGGCCAATAACCTAAGCGAACTAACACAGGAACAGAAAACCAAATACCACATGTTCTCACTTATAAGTGGGAGCTAAACATTGAGTACATATGGACACAAGGGACACAAAGTAGGCACAAACACTAGGGCCTACCTGGTGGTAGACGGTGGGAGCAGAGAGAGGATTGAAAAACTACCTATCAGGTACTATGCCTATTACCTGCATGGGGAAATAATCTGTACATCAAACCCCTACAACACGCAATTTATCTATGCAACAAACTTGCACATGAACCCTGAACCTGAAAGTTTTTTTTTAAATGCCTTTGGGAAAATTGGCTATCTGCGTGCAAAAGAATGAAATTGAACGCTTATCTTAGCAAATATACCAAAGTCAACTAAAATGGATTAAAGACTTAAACACGATACCTGAAACCATAAAATTTCTAGTGGAAAACATAAGAGAAAAGCTACTTGACATTAGTCTAGGCAATGAGTTTTTGGAAATTACACCAAAAGCTCAAACAACAAAAGCAAAAATAAACAAATGAGACTATATTAGAAAGCTCCTGCATAGCAAGGGAGATAATCAACAGAGTGAAGAGACAGTCTGCAGAATGGGAAATAATATTCGCATAAGTCCTATATATTTAAAATGTATAAGGATCTCACCAACTCGATAGCAAAAAACCAAATAACTGATTAAAAATTAGTCAAGAGACCAAATGGCTTTCTTTCCAAAGAAGGCATCAAAATGGCCAATAAGTAGATGAAAAGGTGCTTAACATCACCAATCATCAAGGAAATGCAAATTACAAACCACTATGAAATATCACTTCACACCTATTAGAATTGTCATTATCAAAAAGGCAAGAGATAACAAGTGTTGGCGAAGGTGTGAAGAAAAGGGAACCCTTGCACACTGTTGGCTGGAATGTAAATTGGTACAGCCATTATAGAAAACAGTAGAGAAGTTACTCAAATTAAAAATAAAACTACCATATGGTCCAGCAATCCCTCTTCTGGGTATATATCCAAAGGAAATGAAATCAGTACCACATAAAGAGATCTGCGTTTTTATGTTCATTGCAGCAGCATTCACAATAGCCAAGTTACAGAAACAAGCTTAGTGTCCATTGACAGATGAATGAATGGATAAGGAATTGTGTGAGGTGTATATATACACACATATATACATAAACATATACAATGGAGTATTATTCAGCCTTTAAAAAAGGAAATTCTGACTTTTGTGACAACATGGATGACCCCGAAGGACATTATTTTAAGTGAAATAAGCTAGGCCCAGAAAGACAAATACTGTATGATCTCACCTATCTGTGGAATCTAAAAAAGTCAAATACATAGAGAAGAAGGTGAGCAGAGAGAGGGTTAGGAATAGGAAGATGTTGGTGAAAGATGTTGGCATTTGTGTAGGATGAATAAGTCTAGAGATCTAATGTACAGCATGAGGACTGGAGTTAATAATTGTGCACTGGAAATTTGCCAAGAGAGTAGATTTCACTCTAAATGCACAAAAAAGATGACCGTGAGGAGGTATGTAAAGTGTAGTAACTGTTTCACTATGTATACGCATATCAAACCTGATGTTGTACACCTTAGATATACACAGTAAAAAGAAAGCATGGGCTCAAAATCACAAATCCTACCTCTGTCTTACTCATTTGACAAAAATTTTTTGAGTATATGCTGTGTGTGCTTCCTATGAAGAAGCAGAGGGAGATATTTTTATTGCCATTTCATAGGGATATTTTGAATACTAATATGGAAGGGATTTGTTATATCAAGGTTACTGGTTTTTATTTTTAAAAAATACAAACTATAGACCTTAAAGGACATTTTTGTAAGGATTTAAGAAACAAATTATGGAGATTTTATCTTTAAGATAAAATTCTGAGTTGTTTTAATATTTCATTTTAGATTATGTGAAAAAATTTGGAGAAAATTTTGCATCATGTCAAGCTGGAATATCCAGTTTTTACACAAAGGTAATTGTTCAAAAAATAGCTGCTATAAATGTTTACATATAGAATCTTAATTCTTCTCATGGTTTGGAAGACTGATATGTTTTAAAGTAAAAATTGTGTAACATCTTCATCATGTCTCTTAAACTTGAGTATTACAACTTAATTTTTGCCACTCAAAATTCCACATATATTTCAATAAAATATCAATATTTAGGTGGCTATACTGCATAAGATGAATGAAAATCTATACTAAAGAACATTTCTTTCATCAACAATTTAATGAAAATCAAAAGTAGCTATGGTTAATTGTCTTGTTAACTTAGGTATTGAAAATATCAACCCAAGTATGTTATTTTAAATTTCTAGTTGAGGGGCAAAGGAAGAATATCAGTCTATATTTTTCATTAAATTATGATAATTGGGAAATTTAAGAATTTAATATCCCCTTAAATCAGATAGACAATATTCCCAAGATTTCTTACTCTCTTTCTAACATTCTAGGATATGTATGAAAGGGCACAGTTGTACTCAACCCCAAATCTCTCAGTTTTCTTAAAAACACACTGTGAATTCAGGAATGTTTTTTGACTCCATGAAGATCAGGCACTATATCAAGTTTGGGGTTGACAGTGTCTGCACATATTAACAGTTATATTAAAATGCTTACAAAGAAAATGCTTTCTTCAGTTTAAGTTGACTTTTTTTAAGTTTAGGATTGTTTAGGAGTATAGAAATATGCTAAAGATATTTAATTGCTGAAAGTGTTCATACTATACCAGGCAAGGGCATGCTCATTCCAATCTTCTCCTAAATTTTCCTCTGTATAACAAAATATGCCCCACATTCCATTGGACTTTTTTCCCTAAGCTAACATTATTAGAAATGTTTTCCCTAAGCTAACATTATTAGTCAGGGGTTCTTTGCAAATAGAAGTAAATTAAGTCTACTTTTTATTCTTTGGCAACACATGATTATCTCCATAATTAGCACTAATGAATTACCCACATACGATTTTCTTTAATAGGAACCACATTGCCTTTCTCCCAAAAGCTTACTCTAGCGTTCAGTACTTGTCCCTTCAACTTTTGAAATCCACTGATAAATGCATTGAATGAGAGTTTCAGAGTTTCTTCTCTGAGATTTCGCTTTTAGAAATCCATTAGCCAACTTCTCTGGCTTTTTTTTTTTCCTAGTATGTTTTAACTTCACAGAATATTCCTACTTCAGGAATTGATTATTATAAAAATATGTTCTCTTCACTATCGTGTATCTGGAGGAGGTTTGGGGTGGTGAGATTAAAGTTTAAATAATAATAGTTTTTTTTTTCTTACAGGATTTAATTGTGATGGGGGCCCCAGGATCATCTTACTGGACTGGCTCTCTTTTTGTCTACAATATAACTACAAATAAATACAAGGCTTTTTTAGACAAACAAAATCAAGTAAAATTTGGAAGTTATTTAGGTACTATAAAAATTGACAAACTTAAATGATCTGTGCCTTACAAATACTAGTACTGTAATTATAAATAAGGAAAATGTATTTTCCAAAGATCTAAATGGCCAGTATAATTACAGTAATAATTAGGCAGTTCAGAAACTGTCTCTTAAGGATAGGATTTATGAAACTTCAGTGAACTCAGTATTTTACATTTACACATGTGACTAAAATCATCAATATATAATTCTTAATAGAACTCCTAGTTTAGTTTACTCTTTGTAGTTCACTTTAGGAAACACTAGTAAGTTTCTATCTCTATGTAGTCAACTGATTATACAGGTTGTTTCTGTTGAGTGCCTCCCATATCTCAGGAACTTTTTGTGAGAACTTTACATGAATTAACTCATTTAAACATCTGCATAAGTAAGTATAGTTTCCTTAAGCACCAACTGAAAGCCAGTGGTACTGTCCACCACATTCTGGATGAGGGGCTCCATGAAGCACATGGGTCTAAAAACAGCTCATTGACCTTCACCTCATAAGTTCTTAGAATATTTCCCAGAGCTTAACTATTTTTATCATCTTCCTCCTCCTCACTGTCATCTCATAAGTCAATAGTAGGATACTTTATCATCTGTATTTCAACAGAAATGCAAACTTTTCTGGCATTAATGTCCATTACAAGAAAATAAATGCTTTTCCTATAGATTTTCAGAAAATCCAGCTTTGTTTAAACTGTATGTGTGTCAAATGTGAGCATCTTACACTCAGAAATAATTATAAAATAAGCACTCTTTCTTTCTATTCAAACAGAAGAAATTTCAAGTAGAAGAATTTGTTACAATTCAATGTTTTCTTGTTTATGATGAAAGGATACTTTGAAATCGTTCAAGAAATATAACTTGTTACGCCTTTTATCACATAAAATACGAACAATTTTTTGTCATCGAAAAGTCATCACAAAGATTTGGTGGCAAAAAAAGTTGAACTTCAGCAAGATGTTTATTTAAAGTTTAAAGTTTTCATTTCCCAATTGAGATTTTATATTTAATATACTCTAAAATATGTCTGTTGTAATCCTAGAAACTGATTATACTGCACCAGATGTAAAGATGCTATTTTCAATTTCTAGGACTCGGAAATACATACCATATGACTGCAGTTTTGTAAAACATATCAAAATTGCATAAAACATAATGAATGACCAATTTTGAGTATCTCTATGCTAAATATTCTTAACTGCTTAATGTAGTGATTTTGAATTCGGTATCATTTAATTTTATGATCTATTTTACCCATATTACCATATGATGTACTTTACCCAGGACTCTCATACTTTCTCCCTTTTCTTAAAGGATATTCAGTCGGAGCTGGTCATTTTCGGAGCCAGCATACTACCGAAGTAGTCGGAGGAGCTCCTCAACATGAGCAGATTGGTAAGGTAAGAATTACATTTTTATATTTATTTCTTCACAAAGGTTCAAATATATTGCATGAATAAGATATTAAAGGAGAAACTGTGAATGTTGTAAGGAAAGAAAGATTAGAAATGATGAACAGATTATTACATTTAGTGGAATTGGTGAAAGATGTTATGGTTTTAGAAGAAATTTAGCAAAAAACTTTCTGAAAAATTACAAAAGTCAAACGAGACATTGTTTTAAGAAAATTATAAGATAGAACTATCTAAAAATGTCCAGGGAGTATATGGTGAACAGTTTCACAGCTGAAAAGAAGTTGAGGTAGCTACATATTTTGTAGTAAGACTAGAAAGAAGGAAATATTATTCCTGGTTTTAGTTTTTGCTGTGTCGCTATGTGAACATTGGTCACCCAGCTTTTCTGAGCCTTACTTTTGAAAACTGAGGCAAACAACACTTCCGGTGCCCCCTCTATAGGATCAATAAGATAATTCCTGAGAAAATACTTTTGCAAGTAAGGCATATTAATGTAACAGTGGATCCCAAACCCTTTTGTGTCACTCTCAACAGGATTTATTTTTATATTTGAGCAATTAACTGCAAGTTGTAAAAATTCATGTTTTGATCAAACAGAAAGGAGTGGTGTTTTAAAAAATGTTATTCCTAAAAACTTTTCTAATTCTTTCCCTAATTACAGGCATATATATTCAGCATTGATGAAAAAGAACTAAATATCTTACATGAAATGAAAGGTAAAAAGGTAATATGTCTCTACCTTTAGTATCTCTGTGGGCTTTTGCGAGTAACCCTGCTTTTTTCTCAATGAGTGGATCTGGTTTGTTTTGGGACAGCTTGGATCGTACTTTGGAGCTTCTGTCTGTGCTGTGGACCTCAATGCAGATGGCTTCTCAGATCTGCTCGTGGGAGCACCCATGCAGAGCACCATCAGAGAGGAAGGAAGAGTGTTTGTGTACATCAACTCTGGCTCGGTATGTCCAAGTGCCCCAACTGGAAGCCATTTATGGAATTATGATCAAAACTCAAATTGGTCTTATTCCAGAGATCTGAGATTGTTTTCAGGTTTCTTTTATTGACAAAAGTTAAAATTCTAATACTGTACTGATGCTCTAAAAATTAAATGGAATATGATGATGAATGGGAAAGTTTCCCATTTTGATATTCCAGAACAATCTATGAAATAGATTGTTAGGGAGTTTCTCTGTTCACAGCTTGTATGTGTTCACTCTGGTAGCTGAAATTTCTTTCAGTTTTATGTTGATACTAATCTAATTTGAAAGAATAATTTTCATACCTCCTTCAAAATGTAGATTTCTTAATAGTTCTAGTTAAGGTCCTTATATAAATTATAAAATATTACTAGGACTAGAAGATGAAGAATTAAGTATTTTCAATTTCTTAATTTGAAAACAATTAGAAACAAGATGTGTTTTGTTAAAACATTAATTTTCATAATTCATATATATTATGCTCTTGATAAGAATATAAAATTGGCAAGGTTTATTCCACAGTGGATATATTAGTTGCATAAATAGGTAATTACTGACTGTGATTCAATTTTAAATTATTAGTGATAATTTGTGGTAGAAACTGACCACTTGATAATTCAAAGACTTCTGGCCTTATCTTGCCAGCCTAGATTCTTGGCGTTAAGTCAAAACAAAAAATTGGTGGAGTCTTAATGAAATCTTCTTGGCCCGTTCTTTGATTTGAAAACAAGAGTGGGCTTGTGAGAAGACCAGTTCATTTATAATGGCATAGCATTTTTCAGTCAGGATTCAACAAAGTGGACTCTGTTTCAAGAAAGTATTTGTAACTATGTTCAGTCAATGGTTTCAGAGCATTTAGCAAGTTCTTATATTAAGCATCAGACTAAACTCTACAATTTAAGAAAGAAAACATCTAGTCTCATAAATGGAAGATTCTCTAAGTTTGCAATATAGAGCAGGGAAGTTATTTATGCTTTGGTATTTCCTACACTGTATTTAACCTACATTTAATAGTAAAAGCAAATTATCTACACAGTGATCATTAAATCTCATAGTAGTAATATCAGATAATTTTCTTCCATTTCTATCTCCAAAAATAGTGGTCTTTGTACTTGCTACATCCTCGTGCTGCAAATTTCTCTTATTTTCCTCTTTACGACTAAACATCCACATGTATACCTAAAGTAAAGCAATATAGAATCATTTTCCCCCATTGAAATCTTAATCTCATTAAGAAAAAACAGATAAACCCTTCTACCCACTTGGCTACCCTCCTTTTCTTCCCTCATGCCTACCCTGAGGCACTACTCTTATGAAACACTTGGATTAAATTAATAATTGATTCCAGCTTTTAAATCCTCTGATGTAGATTAGTCTTCCTTTGTTCCATCTAACCTCTCATTTCTCAACTCTGAAATGGCACTAACCACTAAGTGGCATTTATTTACATTGATTTGATTTGGTATTGTGTGTTCTTCTACTGTAGTATAGATGCCTTGTGGAGAGAGATTGTCTGTCTTGTTTACCGTGGTTTCATCAGGGCTTGGAAGAGTCCTAGACAAGTAGGTGAAATTGTTTTTGAATGAACTCAAGAAAGAATGATACTTGAGTGACTGGCTTCTGCCTACTTGTACTAAAATAGCTCTCAGGGGTTCCTAGCGAACTCTCAGTCACCACTCTCTGTGACTAGGGAATACTTGAAGAAGAGTGATCACCTCTTCCTATTGAAACTCTCCTTCCAGAACTTCAGAGCCATTGCATTGTCTTAAGTCTATACCTTGTCTGTTCTCCCTGGAGCCTTTTCACCCTTCCACTCCTTAATTTGGACATTTGCCCAGGAGCCAAGCTGTTTTATCCCTGACTCCTTTGAATCAATCATTCACTGCTTCAGTGTCAGTGATTATATTTATAAAGATGATTCCCAGTCATCTTAGTTCATTTAAAATAAAATAAATGACATTTAGTGAGTATCTGAAATGTAACCAGGACTATAAAAAGAGCTAATAATCTTAGAGCTGACCCCAGGACTTCAGGATCTTTGTGAAGACACCAATGGGAGTAAACAATTGACTACAACATGGTACATGGCACATTATAAGTACATACAAAGTGGAAGAAGTGATTCCCTTTGGGTCAAGAAGCTTTTACAGAGGAAGTAGTGTTTGAGAAAGACAAAAATCAGAATTTTTCTATTGGAAAATTCACAAGTGAAGACACTTGACAAAGAGCATGTGTATGCTTAAGAGGTGCCAAGTAAATTTGAGAAGAATAAAGGACATGGCCTTTTTTTCTTTTTAATACAAAAGACTGACATGATCAAAGTTTCAGAAGAGAACTGGTAGCTGTTATTGCAACAGCCCATTATTACATTATTGAATGTCTTATTGTAGTAACTCATCTTCCTCCTTCCTAGTTATCAGTTGACTAATCTATGCTCCACTGCTGCTGGTTCCAAAGGCCAGCTTCAATCATGTCACTCCTCAACTCAGAAACCTTCAGTGTTTAGTATTATTCCCTAAATTAAGAGTAAATTTTCCTCGACAATCAAGACGCTACACTATAAGACTGCAATCTGACATTTTTGTCTCATTCATTATACATACCATTCATTAGAGCCAAATTCTTTGGAATTTGTTTTGCTGCTAGTTTTCTCTGTATATCAAAATTATGCTTATCCTTCAATAGCCTCCTGGCATGCCATTTCCTTTATGAAATGTCTTCTGTTATAATTAGATTTTTTTTTTTTGCGTCTCGATATTGTAAAGCAGTTTCTACTTCTCAGTCATTTATATGCTTGTGCTAAGCCTTCCCTATAACTGTGGGCTTATTGAAGAAAGGGAATGTGTTTTGTGCACACACTGCCTTGCCCCTTTTCACCTTTTCGCTCTTTGCACAGTGTGTTGTCTTTAGTAGAGGCTCAATAAATATTTGCTAAATTGAATTATCAAAATGATTTATTGGATTTTCAAAGCTAGAGATCATGAGTTTGACAATTTTTTATGTCCTCTGAGGTCTAATCATACTATTATGTGTTGACAGACTCAATAAATATTTATTGAATTGAACTGAGATGTGTGTACTAAAGCTCAGTCTGTAGTTTGTCCAACTTGTTTGACACATTAGAAAAAATCCATATCCAATTACAACAGTAAATCGTGTAAAGTTGTCAGGGAGTGTTATAATGACACGTTTTCTCTCCCTTTCTATCTAGGGAGCAGTAATGAATGCAATGGAAACAAACCTCGTTGGAAGTGACAAATATGCTGCAAGATTTGGGGAATCTATAGTTAATCTTGGCGACATTGACAATGATGGCTTTGAAGGTAATTAAAATTATCAAATTGGTACTTGATTTCTGCTTTTAAAATGGTTTATGGAAGAAAATATGATTAAAGTTTTGTATTGTTTTCCTTCCTATAGAAGATGGAGCCAGAATGGCATGCTAAGTTTTTTCTTTTCTTTAGTGTTATATATGACTTCTCCTCAATTGTCACCCATTGATCTTTACCACTGTTAATAATGGATGATATTCAAAATACCTTATTTCAGTGATTCTAAGGCACCATTGATTAGAAACTGCATTATTATTTATGTGTCCCTAAAAGCTACCTATTAAGCTGTTACACCCACCATTTTTCTGTTAAGGAAGATCCTGATTTCAGAAATAATAAAATATGGGCAGGAAATGTGTTATCATAGACTCATTGGACCACGGTATTTAACTATCAGTACAATAAAGACACTGACCAAACCCAACAGAGGCTGGCTGCAGAGCTGGAGCAGGGTTCTGGAAGCCCCTGCTCTGCCAGGCATTCCCTATAGCTATGTTGTGGAGGATCTGGGGAATTCAAGAAGAGATTCTGAGCAGGCCACTGGGAGGCCTGGGGACAGTGGCTGTTTACCCACTGATATTGACGTTTTTTATTAATTGAATAGATGGTAGTGTGGTAACTGTGCATATTGCCATGGATGTCAGTCCTGTTGTTGAAATCCCTGCATCTACTAGCATTTACTGTTAAAAATTTGCTTTTATCAATCTAGTTCTAAGTGGTAAGTAACTGAGTCTGTTAAAACTGTGCATAAAATGGTGAATAGGTTTAAGAGGAGAGTGTGCAGTTTCATGGAGTTCAGCACATAAGTATTTGATACTTATTTTTAGGGTTCATAATTGTCTTCTTGATAAGGCCATTGGCAATTAGTATACGGTAGTTTTAGGCTAAAGCTTTCTCAGAGATTAAAGTGCTGGGGTACTATAAATTCTCATCTCCTTAATGTCTTCTTGTACCTAGATACCACAATCTACTTTAAATATATAAAATGCATTATTCTACATAAAAAGTCAGTTATTGAATACATGCTTCCAGTGAACCTTCTTAAACGTAAAATAGTGTAACTTGTTATACAAGTATTACTGTTCTGGATTTTTTGTTTACTATTTTAAAACTGAAAGAAAAAAATAGGTGTATATACTTTTGGTTATTACGATTACACATAATTTTTTTAAAAAACATGTATGAATGGGAGCCTCTCTGTACCCCACCCATCACTAGCTTCCCCCTACTTCCCTTACCCTCCCAGGACCCCAGGTTGGGCATTGGCTCATTTTCATAAATAACCTCATCCCAGACAGGGGTGAGGGAAGGTGTTGTGGCTGTTTTGTTTAAATTGGAGCTGTAAGAGGGATCATGTCATATTTTATGCCCTTCCTAGAAAGGGGACGGGACACCTGGTTTGCATTCCTGTATTGACCACTGCTGCCGTCACTCGTCACATTGAGTTCACATCTCCTGAGAGTTTGTATAAATTCAGGTCAGCGCTGCTCCTATGCAGCCATCCAGTGTCATAGAAAAGCAATTCACTGATAACTGATCTCTCCATTCAGAAGTGTGCAGTTTTAATGTATAGCAATAAGAAATTGTTATTTATCTATTACAAGCCTGGTTTGATTAAAAACAAAAAATAAAATGTTATTATGCTTGATGTTACATCTCATAAGTAACCAGCAATTCTGTGATATTTATTGAACATTTATTTTGGGTCAGATGTACCATACCAGGTACAGAATATGTGCCATAATAAATGAAAATGAAGAAAATAGTGGCACCCTTTTTTATAGCTCTACCATCAAGTAGAAAATAAAATTAATACTTGAAAACATAAGCCTTATTTCGTGGCAAGTTTAAGGGTTCTACCTAATAAAGACCTATGGATAAAACCATGTTTATGCATTTTGATTTGTCATGTGTGTTGTATGAGACAACCCAATTCTTTCTTTTAAAAACACAAAATCACTGTTTAGTAAAACACTTATTTTGTCTATGATTTCTCTGTCTTGTTTTAATTGACACATTTAAAGAAGACCATTCACTATTTTTACTCTTTTGAATGTGAAAAGTATATGTATGTACACATGAGAAATTATTTTTGTGGCATCAAAATGTCAATGACAAATTTGAATTATTGTTAGAGCTGTAAAACTGTTGTGAGCATAGGCAAATTCCCTTATCAAAATTACTCTATACCTGGGAAAAGCCCAAGTAATTTTCCAGTGGTGTGAAGGACAGAGAGTGTTCGGTCGATGAGACTTAGGAAGAGGACTTCGGAGGTGACTTTCAGGGGACAGTGCAGTCTCTCAATTTGTATATGAGACCCTGGGCTTCACACAGCTCTTGTTTCACTGAAATCCCTCAGCACTCCACTCCTAAAGGTAATACCTTTATGTCTGGAAGGTTATTATGCAAATGATTTTTTAAAATATTCCTGCATATTTTTGTGCTATTTATAATGTCATTTATAATTCACCGCATATTTACATTTAGTGGCTACATTAACACTTCAGTGAGTGTTTATAATGCCATATATCTTTTTCTACTTGGTCCAGTTCTTTTTTTATTTTATTTTTTTTTTGAGATGGAGTCTCGCTGTGTCACCCAGGCCAGAGTGCAGTGGCATGATCTGGGCTCACTGCAAGCTCTGACTCCCGGGTTCATGCCATTCTCCTGCCTCAGCCTCCCGAGTAGCTGGGACTACAGGCACCCGCCACCACCCCAGCTAATTTTTTTGTGTTTTTAGTAGAGACAGGGTTTCACTGTGTTAACCAGGATGGTCTCTATCTCCTGACCTTGTGATCTGCCCGCCTTGGCCTCCAAAAATGCTGGGATTACAGGCATGAGCCACTGCACCCAGCCCTCCAGTTCTAATTTTATCTTCTATTTTGCCCATGAGTAGGCGTTTTCTATATTTTAGATATTAGCAAGACCATTGCTGATGTGGAAACAGGGCCAGTGTGTCCTAGTTCTTGGCTGAGGTCTTTTATTCCATTCCACCATGTCTGCCTGCATGAGGCAGCAGGAATTTACAAGTTATTTTTCTTTATGTGTTTCTTTATTACTTTGCCCCATCTTCTCTTATTTTATTTTTCTGGGGTGGATGGGTAAAGATACTTTGTGTTCATGGCAAGAAGTGTAGGATTATGAAGAAAGAGACTCCAACATTGGATGCAAATCACACTTAATGTCTTTTTATTATGCAAATTTTTGTGGTACTTTGCATAGCAAACCTAAGTTATCTTGGCATTTGTCATATCACTTTTCAATTGTTCTCAAATGGAAAAAAAATCAGACTCTATTTCCTGTGTCCTTAGAAAAGCAACACAAGCCATTTTCTAAAAAGATGACCAATTGATTTGGCAAAAATTTAGTGTAAAACTCATCAAAAGCATGAAAAAATCGGTCAGACAGACTAATGTACCTGACATGACCAACAGCAGATCACATTTTTTATTTCATATGTAAAATAGACTTGACCACTATTTATCGGTTTAGTTTCTTTTTTCACCTTGAGCCTTATTATCTGACTTTTAGACTATATGTCTGAATATTTTTAGAGCAGAACCATAACAAGTTCTACAATTGTAAATTACAAGCTGTACTATTATTTTGTGTGCACCTGAAATATTAATATATCGTCAAATCATTAAGTGAGCACTTCTGTTTTATTTGTTTATAGGGTACAAGTGAAATTTTGTTACATGCATCGATTACATAGCGATCAAGTCAGAGCTTGTGGGTATCCATCATCCAAATAACATACATTTTTACCCATTAAGTAATTTCTCATCATCCACCCCACACAACCTCTTTCCCTTCTGAGTCTTCATTGTCTATCAAAATGTAGCAGGACGAGCCACAGACAAAACTCTTCGGACGCCGAGTTAAAGAAGGAAGGGGTTTATTTGGTGGGGGGCATCGGCAAGACTCCTGTCTCAAGAGCCGAGCTCCCCAAGTGAGCAATTCTGTCCCTTTTAAGGGCTCACAACTCTAAGGGGGTGCACGTGAGAGGGTCGTGATTGATTGAGCAAGCAGGGGGTACGTGACTGGGGGCTGCATGCACCGGTAATTAGATCGGAACAAAACAGGATAGGGATTTTCACAGTGCTTTTCTATACAATGTCTGTAATCTATAGATAACATAACCAATTAGGTCGGGGTCGATCTATAACTACCAGGCCCAGGATGTGGGGCCAGGCTGTCTGCTTGTGGATTTCATTTCTGCCTTTTAGTTTTTACTTTTTCTTTCTTTGGAGGCAGAAATTGGGCATAAGTCAATATGAGGGGTGGTCTCCTCCTTTAATTCTACTTTATACATCCATGTGAACACATTTTTAAAGCACTGATTTATGAGTAAGAGCATGTGTTATTTTACTTTCTGTGCCTGGCTTGTTTCATTTAAGATAATGACATCCCCCACCAGTTCCATCCCTGTTGCTGCAGAATACATGATTTCATTTTTTTTTTTTATGGCTGAATAGTATTCGTGTGTGTGTGTGTGTGTGTGTGTGTGTGTGTGTGTGTGTGTCTGTGTGTGTGAGAGAGAACCTCTTTGACACAGAACAGGAATTGGTATTAGGAAGGGAAATTTGGGGGTATGACCTCTGTTGTTAATGAGTCTATAGAGCATGGGAATAGCACAGGATCTGGACCAGGCTGCAGGGTTTAAATCCCAGGTCCACAACATCCTGGCTCTGTCACCTTGAGCAGGTTATACCTTGTGCCTCAGTTTCCTCATCTGTAAAGTTGGAGTCAGAGTATTTATTTAATATGGTGGTTGTGAGAGTTACTTGGGTAAATCTGCACAAAGTCCATATCACAGTGCCTACATTGTAAACATAGTATAAGTGTTGGCTGACATACTAATAATTTTGATTTATACTAAAAGAATGAAATAAAATGTTCAGATAAGAAGTAAAAGCAATCATTAAATACCTATGTTCTGTATATTGTGTCCCAAATTAAGTTGCATAGGCTTGGAAAACATTTATTGTATATATTTCAAAACATATCTTTCTCATTTGAATAATGATAGCTAGAACTTTATTATATAACAGATCCAAGCGTAATCCAGGAAGAGTCTGAATCTATATATGTGATAGCCAGAGATTGAATATACCCAAGTGTCCTCTGTATGGAAAAAAATTTATCTGGGCCTTTTTAATATTTTGGCTGAAAAGGCTCATCTGTATTTTTCCTAAATATTTGCCTTAATCTAGATCACTCTTGCTAATAACAGGTACTGTAAGAATTACATCGCCGGGCGCGGTGGCTCACGCCTGTAATCCCAGCACTTTGGGAGGCCGAGACGGGCGGATCACGAGGTCAGGAGATCGAGACCATCCTGGCTAACACGGTGAAACCCCGTCTCTACTAAAAATACAAAAATTAGCCGGGCATGGTGGCGCGCGCCTGTAGTCCCAGCTACAAGGGAGGCTGAGGCAGGAGAATGGCGTGAACCCGGGAGGCGGAGCTTGCAGTGAGTCGAGATCGCGCCACTGCACTCCAGCCTGGGCGACAGAGCTAAACTCCGTCTCAAAAAAAAAAAAAAAAAAAAAAAAAAGAATTACATCAACCACTTCACTACCAAGGCTTGTTATTTTTTTCATGTGTTATGAAGAATCAATATATAGGAAATTCTAGAGATGTAACCACAGTGGTGGAAGTATAAACCCAGCCCTGATTAAAATAAATTGCTGTCTTCCCTTCAATGGCTATAAAATACTTTTCCCCACTCCTTCTTCTCACATCCCTCTTCTCCTCCTCCTCCTCTTTCTCTTCCTTACCATTCCTGCTCCTCTGTTCCTGTATGTATATATTCTGCACAAATCTGACTCCAGTTATTCCAAACCAATTGCCATTCTTCACATGTGCCATGCTGCCTATTGCTTCCCTGCCCTTGCACAGGCATTTCCCTGCCTCTAAATTGCATTTCCCCTTTTCTTCACCTGTCTATGACCTATGGATACTTTAATCTCATCTTGGGCATCATTTTCTATGAGAAGCCTTTTCTAATTTCCACCACTTCCTCCTCATATGCTGTGTTATTAGTCTATTCTTACTTGCCATTCCTCCCCACTAGACAATGAGTTTCCTATTGTGATACTGCCCTGTTTTGCCAGCTCCTGGCAATTGCCTGGAATATAGTAGGTGCTCACTAGCTGTCCGATGAATGAATAAATGAGTGGGCATATTTGTATATGAAAGTTTGAAAAACTTTGTACAAGTCAAAAGAGGCTAGCCTTTGTATGTCTAAACAAAGTAAATATAGGTGTCTACCATTTCTTTTTAACTGAAAATAGAAAAGCTTTTGCATTTTTAAAATTTTACATTGTTTAGCATGGAGTTATATATCAAAGATATTTTTATCCTCATTGAAATAGTAGCCCAAAATTACCACTATAGTTGATAAAATGATTTTCAATTTGATGGTAATAAGTAATATCATGAAGACAAACTACTTTAGGTTTCTATTAAATAAACCATTGCATATAAGTAAATATATGCATAAATAGACAATACTTGGTAAAATAATGAAATGCTCTTGCAACTGTAGAATATTATTTTTCTCCTTTGTGCTATATATTTATAGCATTTAAGCAACCATGTCATTTACTCAGGTTTTCTTATATTAGTTGATCAGATCTTTTTTCCCTTGGTATCATAGTCTGACATAATTATCAATAATACAGAAAGGTGATAAAATCATTATTTTACAGAACAAATCCTTTTTCTGAAATCCTGTGTGTCTGTGTGTGCAGATATCTCTAACAGATACCTTAATCATTTTCATTGGAATAGGAATTAAAAGTCATTTTGCAAATAAGGTAAGTCTAGACTCCCAAAATAAAAATTCTTATGATCAAATATTCATAGATTATGAGGTTATTACATGCGAGGCACTGCTCTAAGCACTTTACATAGGTCATATCCTTTTATGCTGAGAGTGGTTTTTATTATGATCCCATTATATAGGTGAGGGAATTGAAACACAGATTAAGAAATGGGCCCAACCTAGTGTGGCAGTGCCCAGTGGCAGAGCTCGGATCAGACCCCAGTGGTCTGGCTGTAGAGCCCGCGCTCTAATCATTTTGTTACACTGCCTCTCAGATGCTTCCACTCTGCTTTCTTCCATGTGCAAACTATTGTGTGCAATCCTGTATATGATGATGATAGTATTTTATTTTTTTCTGTCTGAGAAGACTGTTATTTTTCATAAAAGAGAGTTTTCTTATGTGATATGAATTAAGGTTCATAAGGTTAGTTTTCGAAGTTGCATTCTTTGTATCAAGAATTTATTTTTCCATTGTTTAAATTATTGGATAGATGTTGCTATCGGAGCTCCACAAGAAGATGACTTGCAAGGTGCTATTTATATTTACAATGGCCGTGCAGATGGGATCTCGTCAACCTTCTCACAGGTAAGGTACTATTCTATTTCCAAAAGAAGCATTGGTTATAATGCATATCCTTAAAACTTCCAGGGTTTATGTGGACTTATTTTTCTTAATTTTCTCATTCAAATACTTAACACTTTATTTCACCGTTTACTTATAGTGGCAAATGATCTTATTTTAAGGGATTAATAACTCTTCAAACTCCCTTTCTCCATAAATAAGAGTTGTAGTTCATTTCCACCCTAGCTTGTCTATAGCCCATTAAAGATTTCTCTTTGTATTTCATTAAATTGCATTCTGAGGTAATATCCATATGATTCTAAAATATGCCCATTTGGATTTGATTAACTGTGTCTTGGCCTTGTGGCTAGAGCCCCATATTTTGTGAAGATTGCACAGGGAGATCAAACACACATATGATTCTCTGGGTTTTTTTCACTGTTGAGTAGTAAGATGATAGCACTTTAATAATGTCTCAGGATCTTACTCTGACTTCACTTTTGTATGTTGAAAAATCATGGCATTTCAGTGCCTAGAAAAAAAATGACATTCATATGCAGAGAAGAAAAGTTTTTCCCTTGATATTTGCATGGAAATATTAGCTGGCACAGTTATTTTTGATTAGAAAAATGAGCAAATGGTTCTCTGTAATTGACATAAAAGAAATGTATTTGTCTAGTAAAAAAACTAATTTTCTTAGCACGAATATCAGCTTAATATTTATAAACCTGTATGTGAACATGAAATTAGATATGTGGAATAGAAAGTACATATCTGGCTAGGGTTGTTCTTGTTAAAAAGTCAGCTTTTATCAAAAGCCTCAGTCATAGGCTCCACTAAGTGATTATAGACATCTTGTTTTACAAATTCTTATTTAGTTATTCATGTTGGGCAAGGAAGTAAATAGAGAGCCTGAAGAGACCTAAGGAGGCCAGACATGGTGGTACACACCTGTAATCTCAGCTACTCAGGAGGCTGAGCTGGGAAGACTGCTTGAACCCAGGAGTTCAAGGCCAGCCCAGGTGCCATAGTGAGACCCCCACCTCTAAAAGACTTGAGAGGGAGTAAAGACTATTTCAGAAAATCTGTACAGCATAATTTTCCCTTTGCTCGCAAAGTAAATTTTTTTAGTCACAAATGTCACCTGTTCATTTCAAGCTGGAAAAATTTTGTCACCCTTAGAAGTATTTGATTTAACTAAAATGCAGCTTTGTTAGTAGATGTGCCAAGGCATGCCTGGGAAAGCTCATTATTTAGCTAAATCATTGCTTCTCTGGTATATTAGTATTCAAAAACTACTTCCCACTCAACTTTCCTATTTTTCAGAGAATTGAAGGACTTCAGATCAGCAAATCGTTAAGTATGTTTGGACAGTCTATATCAGGACAAATTGATGCAGATAATAATGGCTATGTAGGTGAGTAATTAGTTTATCATAATTTATAAATTGGAATAAGCTCTATCATAGATACTGCTTTATAGTGAAGTACGTAAAACTGGTATGAAAGACTTCATCTTACTGATAATTTTTTTTCTTCATTTTTAAAGTTCTCCTTAATTCATTCCTAAAATGATCAAGTAATTCCTCAGCTTAACAGTGCTAGTTACACAATGTTATAGTCTGTGTTTTTGAAAACATGAAAGCACTCATGAAAATCAAATATATGAGGAAAAGAAAGAAAATTTTTATTTAGAAAAATTTGAGTGAATGTTTCTAGTCCAAAAATTGAATTTTGTTTTAGTAAACTTGTTTTTGTCATAAAGTTTATGATATATCATAATGGGATGAATGTTGTACATGAATAGATTCAGAGAAAAGTGGAAAGAATCGTAAGATGTTAGCATATATTCTCTAATTTTCTATAAATAGTGTTTTAGGTAGTCAAAGGTGATACGTAGTTAAGTATTTATGGCTGAAAAATAATTCTCTTTGACTAATGATGATCATTAATCTGTGTTGTTTTTTATCCTCCAGATGTAGCAGTTGGTGCTTTTCGGTCTGATTCTGCTGTCTTGCTAAGGTAAGACTGATATATTTCACTGCTTAATTGCAATTTGGTTTAATTGTAAAATGATGGGAGGTGGTGTTTAAAATCAGCAGTGGTAGTGACCTCATGATGCTCTTTTGGTATTCTGAAGCTTAATTATTGATTTTTAGGGTATTTTTTTCACCTTACAGAGATATAATTAAATCATCAAAGTCAATATTTTTAGACATTTAAATAAAAAGTTATTTTGCCCTGTGCACAGAAATGTAATTAGTATGTACACACATAATAAGACTCATGAAATTACTTGGTGAATGTAAACTGAAAAAACAAACGCATTTCTCTCCTTAAGGAAAAATAATTCTGCAATTAACATTGCTACTTTTATTTCCTTCTCAGGACAAGACCTGTAGTAATTGTTGACGCTTCTTTAAGCCACCCTGAGTCAGTAAATAGAACGAAATTTGACTGTGTTGAAAATGGATGGCCTTCTGTGTGCATAGATCTAACACTTTGTTTCTCATATAAGGGCAAGGAAGTTCCAGGTTACATTGGTGGGTATGCCCTACAATATTAATGCTTGATGGGGTGCGGTTCATTCATTAATCCCACAATCCTGCTTGGAGCCCTCACCGGTTTTCACCACGGAGATCTTCTTTAGAGCGGGGGAGAGAAGCTACCTGATGCATGCTTTTCCTCTCCATCTTCCAGATTCTTGCGTTGTTCTAACCAATGAGTTGGGCACATTAGAAGGCTGTAGTTGTTTAGAGATTATGAGAAGCAAAGGACATAGTATCACTTGCTATATTAGTTTAAGGTAAACCAACTGAGCTTAACCTGTGAAATCTCTTTCTTCTTGACATTGGATAAAATTGACATTTTATCAAGTGTCAATAATTGAGGAAAGCCAGGCATGGTAGCTCATGTCTATAATCCCAGCACTTGAGGAGGCTGAGGCTTCAGCCCAGGAGGTCCAGGCTACAGCAAGCTGTCATCACACCACTGCATTCCAGCCCGGGCAATGGAATGAGACCCTGTCTCAAAAAAATAATAACCATAAAAATAAATATTAAAAAAATTGAAGAAGCTAGACTTGATTCTGATTTCTATAAATAATATGCTTGTTAATAATTTACTGCGACTACAAGCTCCTAAGAACCGTCACCTATGTCCCTCTGTATAGGCAACTCTCAATTATCTGCTCTGGAGAAAGTATCATTGATATAGCTCATCCAAAATATTGTGGTGGGGAATCCCAAATCATGTATATATGACTTTATAAGTATTTTTGCTAGCAGATTAATGTTCCTAATTATGTTTTATTTAGGCTAATATAAGAATAACTACTAGTGAAATGAGCCTGTGGTAGGAGAAGAGCATATCTGGGCATATCATTTAGAGATTAATAATTCACAACGTTTATGATCCCCTATTAGGACCTGTCAAGAGTTTATTGTATTCATGACCCTGCAGGCTGCTGTTATCTAAACATCGTGAAGGGCCCACATACTTATTAAATAATGCCATGGATATGTAATAGAGGTCTTAGTATGCATTAGGTACACAATGAGCCTGTACCTGAAAGGTACACAATGAGCCTGGCATCTCTACTTTAGATCAGACTCATTTTTAATAGTGTCCTGGAAAAGTCATGGCCAGAGCTACAGTAATAAGAGGGTGGACAAGCCTTCATCTAGTTATTGATTGGAAAATGGCAATTTGAGAGCCTGACCACAGAGTAAATTACACAGTAACACAGACAAGCTGAAGGATAATCTGAAAGACACACATTGAGTAGATGACGCTCTTTCCTTTTACATAAAACTAGTGTTTCCTCTACTAACAATTCCATTGTGACCAGATATTTTTAAAAATAGTTGAAGACAAACATACGAAACACATAAATAATCATCACATTATTGGAGAAGCATACCTTATAATTATCATAAAATGACTCCCAGGAGAAATAATTCACATGGCAAGCATGTTTAATAAAACCAGGACATTTTAACTCTTACTAATAGTGGATTTTTTTTCACCTTTTTCATTTACTTTTTTTCTGAACTCAGGGCAATGAACTTGTAGACAGCTATATCAATTGCAGTGCTATTTCTCTGAGGTATTGAATCTCAGTTATTATAATTTTGAAATCCAATTGGCTTGGACTTCATTATTTTCCAACTAAAAAGATGATTGAAGGATTTATTTGAAATGTGTAAAGAGTAATATAGATTTTATGCTTATGTTTCCTTGAAAAAAGTAGGTAAAATTCTTCTGGAAGTGTTACTCCTAAAATACAAATGAACATGTCAAGAATTACATAAATTCTTTAAACTATCACTTATGAATTATTGCCTCTATGTAGTGAGTGACACCTCAGCAGACTATTAGATTTAGCTTGCATGGCAAAGAACTCATTTAGATTCATGAAATGGTTCTCACTTTCTTGGTAAGATCTGGCTTGGACGTTTTTGTTAATTTTTTCTTTTTTCCTTTTTTTTTTCTTTCAAATTTGGAGATCTTCATGAGCAGATGAATATTTACTATTTCAGATTTGAAATAAACCCTGCCAAACTGCTAGAATATTTATTGAGAGAATTTTTTAAAAATTGCACAAATTAACACTGGAAGGTCAAACTAGAAACCAATAACACACAGAGGAAGGACAGATAATCAGGGCATAAGACTGGAAAGATGACATTTTTAAGAAAACCGTATATATAGATTTGACTTAATCATGTGTTCACTTCATGTATAAAAAAAAGCCTTCAAATCAGAAACAAATCTAAAATATAAAAAAGTCATATATAAAATTAGTCATATAACCACATAAGATAGAATTATTCCAAGTGACATTTGAGCAAAGTGCTGTGTCTATACTTCCTTAGTCAATGTTCTGAGAAAAAAAGGAATATGAAACATGCAAGACTTTTATTAGCAACAATTTTTATATTTTTGAAATTTTTATATAAAGATTAAGCAAATAACTAAAGATTTTAATGTTGTTAATAGAAACCTAGAGGAAAGTTCATAAATCTTTATAAAAGCAATTTTTAAAATTTGTATTTTTAATTGTTCCCTCTTTCATATTTCAGGTTAGTCTTTAAAAAGCTGTTTAATAAAGAGAATTCCAGATATTATTTCCAGTAGTCCATATAACTTTAACTATTATCACTTCAAAAATAACAATAGATGTATTTCAGTAATTAGATTAATTGCAATTCTCTATATTTTTGCAGTTTTGTTTTATAACATGAGTTTGGATGTGAACAGAAAGGCAGAGTCTCCACCAAGATTCTATTTCTCTTCTAATGGAACTTCTGACGTGATTACAGGAAGCATACAGGTGTCCAGCAGAGAAGCTAACTGTAGAACACATCAAGCATTTATGCGGGTAATGTAAGCTATTTTTTATTAATGAATATGTGAACTTCAACGTTGTTGATAGAGAGCAACTTATTGTATTGGTATCTTTTTATAAAATGTAGATAAAAGCAACTGTTACCCCTCCTGAACTATGACCTGTTGCTCCAGTTAAGGTATGAGACAATCTCAACCCAAGTAATTCAGAGTCCTCTTATTGTATCATCCTTTTTCACATTTATCACATTTGACCTCATCATTTGAAAACACTTGCCTTTTCCTTTCTAAAATTTCATTTCTCCTATCCCTCTTTATCTACTTGCCTAGAAATATACATCTTCAGTAGCTCAACTGAGCCTCAAATCTATTCCGTGGTACGTTTTTTGGGGTGGGTCAGGGGAGGCAGGGAAGTTAGTTTGTTTTTCATACGACTCCAGCGAAGCAGAATCCAACATGACTGCTTTTGGGTTATGTCTTTGTTTCCGTGCCAGCTTTGCCAGTGATGTCAGTGGGAACTCACACAGTTGTAGCATGGTGGGGATCATCTGTGGGCCAGGACGATAGCTCTCATGATGGTTTGGGGTATGTCCTGCCAAAGCACAGCCGATTTCATGTTTCTTTTATTAAAACACTCATTCCCAAACTGATCATCACATTCCTCACATTGGTCAAATTTTATCATATGAAGCTGTGCCAGGTCTTTTTCATTAGGGAACGGTGTACTTCATCAGAAAATCTATTGTCACAAAAAACCAAACTATTCCCAGGAGCCCTTTCTGGGATTTCAAATAGTAGCTTCAGCTTAGGGCTTAATTTTCCCTTAGATACTTATTCCAAGCAAATGCAAGCAAGCATCAAGACTCCAATACGCTATTAAATGCTAAGAGCAATAATCCCCATGCTATTTCCTCATTTCCCTTAACAGTTTTTATTGTTGTACTAGAATAAACCTATTAGATGGTTCAGAGCCAAAAGTATAGAATATTAATGTAACCATCATTTATATGGTAGGAATTAAAGAGGTTCTTTTTTTCATGCTTCATAGATGTCGTTTTACTTACCTTAGTCAATTGTAGAGACAAATATTGAAATCATTTTAAAGGCAATAAAAGGGCCAACATTAGATGTTCACAAAGAAATACATTGTGTTAAATTTGTAAAAGTGATCTGGTTTATTTAGTCCTGTGTTTCTTGGCATCGTTCCTGTAAATAAGGGATCATCAAAATTGTACAGCTTTTTCGGAGTAAATTTGTAGCAGAAATGATTAGCAGAGGTAAGTGTTGTGTTGCATGTATATTTGTAGTGTTACCATGGCTTTGATGGTAGCAGGATTCAGCCATTGCCTTTGTACCATATTGCAAATATTAAATGATAGCACTTACTGCTGGGATTGTACATGGCAGGGACTTTTTAAGAAATGCTCGTTTCCTTCAGTATCTTTTTCTCTTCCTAAGTTACCTTGCTTGTGTTTGGAACACTTTTAAAACTCGTATATAGAAAGGCAAAAAGTTACTCCAACCCTCTCCTTTGTAACAAACCCACACAGAAGATAAGAACCACAGTTGCAGCTACCCTGAACTTGAGTTCTGTCAAGGAGCTGTAGCTGTTACTTAAGAAGGTATAGGAATGTAATGATTGTACTTTCCCACCTCCACCAGGGTAATAGCCCAAGGCATTAGGAAACATTAACACTCTTAAGTTTCTACAGTCTGAAAGCATAAGACAGCAACCTGAATTCTTCCATCTTCCTAGAAAAGAAGACGCATAGCGGTTGGGATGCCTGGGTTGCTCCTGTGTTCCATAAAACGCATCTGGTACCATGGTACCAGGAGTGGGAATGTTAACATATGTATCTATTTTATCTCTGCATTCCTTACAATGAAATGAAGTGGCACTTGTTAATTATGTACTGGGGCCCACAACCCCCACTTGTCAGAGGACTCCCTGCCTGTCTGTTGGTTGGACATGGTTTACTTGTGTAGATGTCCCTACTGGCCATTCACTCCATTAATTTGATAGGTATTTATTGAGTACCCACATTGTGTCAAATTCTGTATATACCAGTGAATAAGACATAAAAACATCACTACCCTCATGGAGCTTATAGTCTACTGGGGTGAGAAAAAAATAATATGATAAAAATATACATTTTATAGTATTTTGGAAGATACAGGTGATAAAGGAAAAAGGAGGGCAGAGTACAGAAATGTGCAGTGCTGCAGAAGGAGTGAAGCGGAGAATTTTAAATAGGATACTCAGAATAGGCTTCATTCAGAAAGTGACATCTGAGCAAAGACGTGAAGAAAGTGAGGAAGTTACCCATGTAGATATCTAGGGCAGTTGTTCTTAGTTTTAGGGTGTAATAGCAACAACACCTGTAGGGCTTCTGAAAACACAAATTGCTGGCCCCCATCTAGAATCCCTGATTTAGTAGGTCTGCAGTAAGGGCTGAGAATGTGCATTTCTGCAAAGTTCCCAGAGGACCCATACTTTGAGAACAGCTGGTTCAGGAGAAGAGTATTCCAGCGAGAAAAGCTGAGTCAAAAGGCCTCAAGAATGTACCTGGTTATTTTAAAGAACAATGGGGAGGCAAGGATGGCTAGAAATGTAAGCAAAGGGAAGAATGGTGGAAGAAGAGATTATATAGAACCTGTGGCTTTTTCTCTGAGAGAAAGGGGGATCTATAACAGCATTTTGGCAGAGAAGTCACATGATCTAACATACGTATACAAAGGAACACTCTAGCTGCTGTGTTGTGAATAGAGTAGGAGATCAAGATTCGACACATGGAGAAGAGGCTACTGTGGCAACACAGGTGAGAGGATGGTTCCAACAAAAGTGGTGGCAGTGGATATGGTAAGAAGTAGTTGAAGTCAATTTGCTGACATCCAATTTACAATTTGCTGAGAGACTGGATGTCTGGCATCTGAGAAAGAGGCTCTGTGATGACTCCAGGGTCTTTAGCCTGAGCCACTTGGAAATGTAGTTTTCATCAATTGAGACAATATTGCAGGAGAACACCTTTTGAGTGGAAAATTCTAGAGTTCAGTCGTGGGCCTGCTTAGCTAGAGAGACCTATTTTAAATGTAAATATCAACTAAGGCTTTGTACATACTCATCTTGAGTTGAGGACAGGCAGAGAACAGGAAAGGTAACTTAATATATCTTTGGCATATGGATGGTATTTAAAGCCGTATTAAGATGGCTGAGATCAGAAGAGGGCCACCGTCTGTACTCTGGGCCGCTACAACATGAAGAGGTTGGCAAAAAGAGGCCCACAGAGGAGATAAGAAGGTCCAATCAGTAAGAAAGGAAGAAAATCAACAGTGTGGCATCCTGGAAGTGAAGTGAAAAAAGGGGAAAGCATGATGATGTTTTCTATACTGCAGCTTGATCAAATAAGATGAGGGCTGAAAACTCAACATTGGATTTATAATGCAGAGGCTGTTGGTGGTGGTGACAACAGCATTTCAGACATTAGTGGGGGAACGGGGGGAAGGAAAGGAATTGGAAGCGTCATAGGTTATTCTTTCAAAAAGTTTTGCCACAAAGGTGACCAAAGAAATGGAGCTGGGGGTCAGTAGCTGAACTGGAGTGAAGAGTTTTTTGGGGTTTTGTCTTTTAAGACAGGAGAAGTATTAGCATGTTTTTATGCTGATAGGCATGCTGCAATAGAGTGAAAAACTTGGGATATATGTGACAGGGGAGAAGAGCTGGAACTAAATTCTTGAAGGCAAAAAGGGAAGGATTAAATGTACAAGTGAAAGGGTTGGTTCTAGATAGGCATGTGCATGATTCATCTGAGTATGTGCTTGCAGATGCTGGGTAGATGTGGTGATGGGGACTGTAGAAGTTCTTGTCTGATTGCTTTAATAATCTCAGTGAACTAAGAAGCAAACTCATCAACTGGAGTAGGGATGGAGGAAGTGGCATTTGGAGTTTGGGAAGATGTGAAATAGTCTTCTAGGAGAATGGGAGAGTAACAAAATACAGGATGGTTGTCAGATGGTGTTTGGGACCACTTGCACTTATTGTCATAAACTGAGTGTAGCCTGTGTGCTTGTGTTTTTTTTCCCAGTCACATTCAGTCTTGCAGGAGTAGATGAAGAGTTACAATTAACCAGGGTTGTAGTTTGGTCAAGAGAGTGAAGCAAGCAAGGAGCATGCAGCGGGAGGGAATGTACAAGGGAATGGTTATATTTTTAGTTGTGAAGTTGAAGCAGGCTAAGGAGGGGAGGGGGCACACCAAGACGGTGAGGGACCAGGAAAGAAATTTGAATTGGAGATCCCAGGACAATCAGCAAATTGTTGGAATCGACTATTAAACGGATCGAGCTGCAAAGATGGCATAGATATTATAAAATACAAAAGCCCTTGGAGACCTAAAAGTGAGGAAAAGATTGAATTTTGCTTTTATTTTTGCTGACAATACTTTGATTACCTTATGCAAACAAAAGCCTTTAAATTTACTTACAAAATCCATTGTGTTCTTTGATGGCGGGGAATTCGGCTGTCAAAAAGACTCCAGATCTTAAGTTTAAAAAATTATTCTCTTTTAATCACAATTCTTTAGTTTTATGCTAGATCTTCTTGGACTAGAGGTGCATTTTTAATAGTCTAATAAGGATCTATATCACTGGCATGTAGATTTTTGTTCTGGCATGTTATTTTTCTGAGGCTATGTTTTCATTTATCCGGTTAGTAGGGGAATCAGTTTTCTTAAGTCTAATCATAATCAAAAGAGTATCACACAGGATTACTTTGCTTAACTGGTCAAAATTTGTTCCTCATAAAATAAGAAAGAAGGAAGAAATTGTCTTTTTTTTTTTTTTTTTTTTTTTGCTTTAAAAAATCCTTTGTATTTTAGTTGATTATAATTATGCCAAGCTTTAATTTTGGCCACCAGAGCCATACAATTATTAGATTTTGCTAATGAGTTAGAATGATATTTCTGTAATATAAAGGAAATGGTTAATTTCATTTATATCTTTTAGTGTTTTATCTATTGAAATCGTCTTCTATTAGACATTGCTTTTTCCTCTATGAAAAGATGTTTCCCCATTTATGTAAGTATATGAAAATCTTTGTTTTTGCTTTATTTAAATATACAACTTCATCAAATTGTGGAGATTTCTTAGGACAAGGGATAATTTTGAAGCAGTTTTGATTTAGGGAAACCCAAACTGTAACTTGAAGCAGTTTTTAGACATGTTAGAGCAGCCATGGTAGTGAAACTTCCCTTGAAATTTTGACAGATGATATCTCTTGGTTGAACTTGATGGATCCCTGCATCAAAATATCCACTGATATTTGAGAGGAGAAGAAGGGTGCTACATTGGGATAACAAAAGAAGCAATGAGATTTCCTGTTTGTCTGCATTTCCAACAAAGCTAGAAATACTGGCTTAGTTGCTGAACAAAGAATGCCTGTCCCCAGAGATATTCTGAGAGCCAGTGAATTCAGTGGCCTTCGCATGTTTTATTAAAATCATGACATCAATCTACCTGGGTAGATTAGTTAATTCTTTTCTTTGATTTCTCAAATTTCTGAATTTTAGATTTATGAAATGTGGGTTTATTTTGTTATGTAAATCTTTAGGTGACTTCTAAAACTCATCTTTTTTCCATAGTAGTTTCAGGAAAACGTGTATTTGATTAGTAAATACATTTTTTTGTAATTTTTTATTTCATTTGCTTATATTGTTGAGCAATACATGCACATAGTTTAATGAAATGTCATTTACTCCAAAGAAGAAATTTTTTAACAATAGCACACTATGGACTGATTCATATATGCAGACATTTCTGTGGAAAATCTAAGTGTGAGCAAACTATATCACTGTACTAATATTATGGTATTCTAAAAGTGAATTGATTATTATAACATGTGAATTCTTCATTAGATTGCAAGATCTTTGAGGCAGGATATTATCTTTTGCATATTTATATTCTTAGAGCTAGCACAATCCATTACATAAGGCAGAAACAATAAATATTTAACAAATTTATGGATGCTATGTTCTTGGTGCTATTTAAAAAATTCTATAAGAAAAATCTGAGAATGTTCTATTGGTATAATGGTTAGGGCATTTGTCTTAGGGGTGCTGTCTTTTCTCAGGAAATTGTAATGCTAGATGTCTGACTGTTCTGTACCACTTGAGCCAAGCTTACTAGATAAAGGGACTGCAATTATATAAGATGGTGATGGTTCAGGTACCAACCTGTGTCTTGGTCTCAGCTTTTCCTTCCCGAGCCCTGCATTAGCACCAGAGAGGTGTTTCCAAAATCTAGTCATATTCCTTGCTTAAAATCTTCCTATGTAAGAGCCTCCCCAGCCCCTTTTATGTGTAGATTAGGTGGCCCTACTTCTTCTGTATTTAGACATGCCTCTGTCAGAATATTCATGCCCCACACTGTCTATGTGGATTTGTGGAACATAGATTGTGACAGGTACTGACTTTCAGTTTTGTAACCCTAGAGCTGCCTTGGACACAGTAGGCCCATGAATAGATATCTTCAAATATTTATTCCTGACATTATTTTTTATTTAGTGATATCTTATAAATTTTTTTGCCCCACCAAGTTAACAGGAGGACATGGGCCTGTTGCTCAGCTCTCAAGTTGGCCAGAAATACAGATTTCCATGAAAGTCAAGCAAGAAGACAGACATTATGTAATTTCAGGCATGTGCTAATTTGCACGCTTGTGGGCACCCTATTTTATGTAATTGTCCATAAAAATGTGGCATGGAATCTTCATTATTTTTAATATAGATAGCACATGCCCATCCAAATTTTAAAATGTAAACAAATCTACTTTTTTACTCCCAAATATTTAATTAATCACTTCAAGACATTTTTGATATTACAGCTTTTGTCCTTAGGTGGAGCTGTTAAAGTTAAATAAGTGTGAATATCTGTCAAATACAGTTTTTGCAAGAGTGCATGTACATTTTATATATTGTAAGAAAAGCGTAATTAATAGCTAATTAGGATAATGAAAGTAATATACAACAGATGTAGAGAAGACCTTGTGGAAAATTAGTATGAATTAGATAGCATGTGATTTGGTCAAAGTAAGCTTGTTGAGAAGAATTAAAACAGTGGACATGTGGAGGGACAATCAGTGGCTGTCTAGCTCCTCCTACACCTAGGGAATGATTTAATCAAGTTTGCTATTACTTGAATACTCAGGGCTTCAAGCTGTTCCGTTTTCACAAGTCGATAACTTGGGATTTGGCCTTGATTTGCAGCATTCCTATACGGTCAAAGTTTCATGTTGAGATGATCACTTACCAAGTAATTTAATATAAGAATCTCTGTATAAGAATGGAAAAGTAATCAGGGATCTTGAGTACTCTCAGGCTCCAAATCTTCTAAATACCGTTTAATAAATAGAGCTCTATTCCTTGTTCTATAACTAATTTTCTATTTAATGTTGATGGTTGGCAGTAGTAGTTCAGTTTTCTTATTCCTTCCAAATGTTCACCAGAATCTCCTATTCTAGGAAACTGAAATTTAGTAATTTCTTAGCTGGCTTATATACCTGAAATTTGAAGCAACATACAAATCTTGTCAGGTCTGCTTTATGGACATTATGTCATTTAATCATCACAACAGTAAGGTATAAGTATAACCACCATAATTGTTATTATTCCTATTTTCAGATAACATAACTAAGCCATAGACAAATTAAGAAACTTGTCCAATGTTATGTAGATAATAAGTGGTGGACCCCAGATTTGAACACCAGTTCTTCACCTTCAGACCACTATTGCTTTTAACCACTATATACATAAATTGATAATGTTGTAAATGAAAAGAGAAAAAAGATTACATCCTTTCTGTTTATAATTACATAAAGACATAGAATAGATATAGTCTTTTATGTGGTGTGTGTCATCTTTATTAAATTACTTCGTTGATTTTTATCAAAAGTTACTATATAAATAATATAGCAACACAGCAATAATATGTGTGATAGGGATTTATTCCCTATTTCTTAAGGATTATTAATTGATGAGCTTTGAAAATAATCTATTCCTTATCTGCTTTGGGGCAGTAATGTTTAAGCCATATTGCAATCCTGAAATGTCTATAGATAAATAGAAACCTGGTCCACTGACATTACTTAGTAGGAGGTCTGTCAATTGCAGTGTCATGGGTCTACCTTGAGGAACTCATCTAGCATAATATAAACCTTAATTATGGTTGAAGCTAATATGTCTAGCCTGGGTGAAAATACTAGACTCTTTAATGGTCAAGAGGGAATTTGTTGAATCTATTTTTTAAGATGAGAAGAACTTATAGATTGAAACAGCCATATGAAAAGTAGAGTCAAAAACTGAGCCTTAAATTATTAGTATGAAAGACATCACAGTCTGTGACCAATTCATCAAATTATCTCCTGCGTATAGCAACAATTCTAATACCAAGAAAAACAAAAACTGCATAGATTTTCTCCACTTGTTTCCGTGTAGGTGGGCTATATGTGGTGATGTGAACTGCTCTCTCATATCCTGAGATCATTTCTACTTTTAATTTTTGCAGTGTCTAAATCTTATTTTATAGATTTCTCATCGACATGTCTTACTTTAGGTTTCTCAATTGAATTCTGTTATAAATCCTCTTAGGTTACTTTAGTAGTAAAATCTTATTAGCTTACCCTTTTAGATAAGGAGAAGTCTGTTTTGTTGAGTACCCTTTGAAAATCACATTTCTGTCTGCGTAGTGCTTGAACAGGTGCTTTCTAAGAGACACTGTGTTTTATATGCTACCTGATTTTCATATACATTTGCCCTGCAGTAACCCTGGGGGATTGATTCCAGGACCCCACTTGGATACAAAAATCCAAGGATCCTCAAGTCCCTTATATAAAATTGTGCCATATTTGCACTTAACCTTTGTAAATCCTCTCATATACTTTAAATCACCTCTAAATTACTTATAACATGTAATACAATGTAAATGCTATGTAAATACTTGTTATACTGTATTAGTTAGGGAATAATGACAAGAAAAAAAATCTGTACATGTTCAGCACTGATGCAACCATCCATTATTTGCCAACTATTTTTGATCCAAGGTGGCTGAACCCACAGATGTGGAACCGATGGGTACAGAGGGCTGACTCTCTTTGTTTTCATAGACTTGAGAGTCTAGGACACTTTTACTATCTAGTGAAGTGCTTACTTAATCGAATGACAAATGCTTTCAAAGATTTTTTTTTGTTTATTTCACTGTGTGTAAGCAAATAATTTTGAAAATAATGTGGAATTTTTTTAATGAGGATAGCAAGTAATCAAATGAAAAGAAAATCATTTGTAAGTTGATAGAAAATATTTTTAAAAGAAAATAATGTCTGCATATAGAAATAAAGGTTAAAATGTAAGAATTGTCAATCAGTTGTAATAAACTCGAGCTGTTTCTTTGGAGACAGAAGACAATGAATTTTAAAAATCTGATTATTGAAAAAAAAAACTTGTGACCACATATCAACAAGAATAGGAGTAAGAAATGCTGTGTAGACATAAGATATTAAGTTTAAATGAATGTTATACAGAGCAGAATGGATTGTGAATGGGTTACAATTTCTGTGTAACTGGTAAATAAATTCAAGAGTTCTTTGTGAAGTATAAAAGCACAATAAACTTAGAAAAAACAAAAACGGCTGGGCGCGGTGGTTCAAGCCTGTAATCCCAGCACTTTGGGAGGCCGAGTGGGGTGGATCACTTGAGGTCAGGAATTTGAGACCAGCCCTACCAACATGGTGAAACCTGGTCTTTACTAAAAATACAAAAATTAGCTGGATGTGGTTGTGCATGCCTGTAATTCCAGCTACTCGGGAGACTGAAGTGGGAGGATCACTTGAACCCAGGAGAGAGAGATTGTAGTGAGCTGAAATCACGCCACTGCCCTCAAGCCTGGGTGACAGAGCAAGACTGACTCAAAAACGAAAAATAAATAAATAAATAAATAAAAACTTTAACAACTAATAAGAAAATCAGTGAAGCGACCAGTGTATACAATTAGATGTACAAAACAAATACTTTTCCTATATACCATTCAGTATCTGTTAGAAAAGATAATAGAAAAGTTCCATAAAGAAAGAAAAGGGCTGGGTATGGTGGCTCACACCTGTAATCCCAGCTCTTTGGGAGGCCAAAACTGGAGGAGCCCTTGAGCCCAGGAGTTCAAGACTAGTCTGGGAAACATTGAAAGACCCTGTCTCTATAAATATGAAAAAATGGGCTGGGCATGGTGGTACACATCTGTAGTCCTAGCTACTCTGAAGGCTGAAGCAGAAGGATCGCTTGAGCCCAGGAGTTCAGAACTGTGGTGAGCTACACTTCACTCCAGTCTGCTGACAGAGGGACACATCCCATCTCTTAAAAAAAAAAAAAAAAAAAAAAAAAAAAAAAAAAAAAAAAAAAAAAACTAAAAAGGATGTTTTATAATAAATCTGGAGTCAAATGAATCAAATTCAATCAAAATGTTGTTGAGAGATATAAAGAGAAAATGTATAGGGTAAAGTTAAATGGGATAAAAAGCACCTTGAAATGATTTACAAAAAGTTTATCATGAAAAATGCTTATGTTATAATATCAAGTTATCTTTTAAATGCGTAGAAAATAGCATGGAAGAAAATACTCCCAAGTACAGAACTTTATAACTATTATTGGATAGTATTATTTTTCATTTTTATTTTTTTTGTGTTTTTCATAAGAAACGTAAATGATTTTGTGTGATATGAAAAAATATACATCTTCATTTTTTTAACGGTTTAGATAAAAGATAAGTATTTGCTTTGTCTTCCATGTATAGTGTTTGGCCCTTTTCAGGAAAGGAGTTTTATTTTTTTTTAATCTACGTGCTTGTTTTTGTTAATTCATATGGTGGTTATTTTCCTTAGAAAGATGTGCGGGACATCCTCACCCCAATTCAGATTGAAGCTGCTTACCACCTTGGTCCTCATGTCATCAGTAAACGAAGTACAGAGGAATTCCCACCACTTCAGCCAATTCTTCAGCAGAAGAAAGAAAAAGACATAATGAAAAAAACAGTAGGAATATTTTCCTTTATTCAAATTATTGTATGGCATTTAACTAAATTTTTAAAATATGGCATAATTCTGAAGAAGTGAACTATATGTCGGAATTTTTAAAAATACGAATTTTTAAAAACAAAAATAGATTTATTCATTTCTTTAAATTGTTTATATTCCCTTTAGGATATTGAACTGAATATTTTAAAATATGCATTTAATCACAACAGTAGATTCTCATATAAAATGCTGATGTTCTATTTTTAATGCCTTGCCAGTGAAGAAAGATATATTACTAGAGAGAAATCATAATGGGAGAAGATTGTATTTACAAGTTAGTTATTCAGTGTCATCATGTGTCCTCAGTTTATCTTCCTCTTCTCATTTTCTCCCTTGCTTTCATCCTACTCACAGATTCACTCATGTCTTCATAATCAAATTTTCTTGCTTAGTTTTACCCATTTACAGACACATGTATTTATGTTATACAATAATTTCTTTTTAAAAATTTCATTATATGCTTTTCAGCCACATCCCAGGATCAATTGCATTTGAGATGGATCCTACATTCTAACCAGTGAACCGTTTTCTAAATTATCTCAAAATATTTAAGTTTCACTGACAGTGTATTTATTCTCAGGAGTCCTGTTGTTCAGACCTTTAGTGTCTATCAACACAAAGACATAGGGTTTGTCCAAAAACAGGATGTGTCTGGGCATAGTAAAAAGCCTTCATTAAAATGTTCACTAATGACACACAGAATGTAAAAGATGAAAGGGACATTTAAAGGTCTAGTTCACATCCTGTCCAGACAAAATTGCCCCATAGTCACTTTAAGATAATTGAGCTTACAATCACCACTAGTCTAGTCTAGAATACAGGATCAAATGAAGATAACTGAAGAGCAGATTTTTCTCTACACCCTCATATGAAAATATTTACGGAAGTCAGGGGTTGTTTTTACTCTTCTTTTGAACTTCAGTTGTCAACATCAACTATTTGTAAATGTCTTTAATAGTGAAAATCTCAATATTGCAAGTACACAAGCCAAAACCTTAGCAATTGGTAGTTATATTAATTTATATTTTGATTCTTAGAACAACCTGCTTTACCAATAGAAATGGCAGAAAAAAAAATCATATTTATTTAGAGAGATATTTACACCTCTCCCCCAGCTGTAGGCACGCTATTTGACAGTACTCTAGTCACTTCACACTTAATGAGCCTGGCTCCTTCTGACTTTCTAGATCTCTCTTTGTTTTCTGCATCTGTCTCTCTCTACCTGTTCCCGTTACCTTCCCTTTTATCTCTCCCCATTTTTTCCTTTTGCCCAGCTTATGCCTTGGGTCTTCCTAGGTCCTTTGTAGTATTTATTGATCTTATTAAAAAGCTTCGAGTTAATTAAATTCTGAAACCCTTACTTATTTAATTTTGTTCAATATTTCCTCTAAGTAAAATTTCTAAGTATCTCCATGTAGCTAATTTCAATGAATATAAAATCACTGTCCCAACATCTGTCACAATTAAGTGCCATACTTACACGTAATAAATGGGATCAAACTGCAGCAACAGAAAATTGAGAGGAACCCAATGAAAAACATCTTGGCAGCTAATAAACTCCTTTAATGCCTTTCATTTAACTTTTTTTCCAAATCTTATTTCACTTAGAAAATTTGGGCTTTAAATTTTACCTATTTAGAACTTAGCTCTTTTAGCCCTGCAAGTAATTGTCATTTGAACCCTACTAATTCTCAAATTGAACTTTTTAAAAGAGATAAAATAAAGAGTTGTCAATTTGATGTATCAATTTTATTTTTCTCATGCATCACAGGTGTCGTCATCTTTAAAATATATATAAATATACTTGCTGATTAAATCAAAATAAAAAACGTTGTCTTTTTATTTCCAGATAAACTTTGCAAGGTTTTGTGCCCATGAAAATTGTTCTGCTGATTTACAGGTTTCTGCAAAGATTGGGTTTTTGAAGTAAGTATATGTGGTATATAGTCTCTGTTATTCATCGAGAGGGTGTAATGAGTGTGTGCATTTGCATTCCCAAAAGAAAAGGAACAAGAGCTAACCCTTGAAAATTAACAGCGTTTAAAGAATTAGCAACACAATGCTTAGTTTTTTATCGGCCAGAAAACTGGTTATATCACTCAGACTGATATATAATCCAAGTATGACAAATTTAAAAAGGAATAAACTATCTTGCTCTTCTAAATTCATAGAAGGGGAAACAGAGTAAAAAGGAAATAGATATGTGTTTTAGAATAGCATCTAACACATAGCAAAGACTGGATAAATGTTGGTTGCTGTCGTTATTTTATAATGGCAAATAAACCACTGCAATTTTGTATCATATCTGGATCCCCTATATTCAAATCATTTTGCATATCAAAAAGATGATGTGAAAACAAGGACCAGAGAGAGAGAATGAACACTTCAGGTTGAGGATTGATCATAGAAGGCAAGTGAAAGAAGGGAAGAAGATGCATCAGTGACAGGGCAGGGAAACGGGGAACTATTTTTGGGAGATTGGGATATAAATGGAGCAGCTTTAATCTGGGGCATGTTGAATTTGGAGGGACTTTTCTATGTGGCATTCCACTTGAAAATCTAGTTCAGGATTATGTTTGGAAGTTCCTCCATATATTAGTGACTTGTGAGATGGCCCAAGGGATAGAAATGTGAATTTCACAGAGGAAAAAAATTACAGATCAAATCTTGGAGGACAGTTTTATTCAAGGAGATTAAAAAGAATGGGGAGTCCCTGTAGGAGACTGAGAAGGCATCTTCAAGGAATTAAAGAGAACCAAGTCCCTGGTGAAATAGCCAATGGAGAATATAAAAAGGGAGACTTAATATTGTAAAATTTATAAAAAGATCAGATAACGTAATGTCTAAAGGTCATGGAAGTTGGCATTTATTAATAAAATGTGACGGGTGGTGAAAAAATGGGTATCACTGGCAAATGTTAAGATAGAACTCTCAGTGCAGAAGTAGCCAAATGACAGGATTAGTGATTAAAGAAAGGAGAGTATACTGGGAACAAGTAGGTTCAAGTGAGGTATTTTTATGTATTTATCAAATGTTGTTATTTGTTCAATTATTAGAAGATGTAAATGTGAGTGCCAGAGGCAGGGAAAAGAATAAATTGGAGGGAGACATCTTCAACTTAACTTCCAGCACATGCTTTTCAGTCCATACTTGAATTCCACTCTGAAGCATTTCACTGTTCACTTCCTCTTTTGAATGTCTTATCCTTTAATTTTCATGATACTATCCTACTCCCATTGTCTTAGTAGTTATTTAGCCCTTTCTTTTCAGCTGTTTTTGATGGATCTTTGGGTTTGGCACCCTAAATGGTCCTCCCTCAGCCCTTTCTCTCACTACCACATTCAACCTTGGTAGTCTTGCTCATAACTGCAATTTCAACTGGCATGCCTACACTGCTGATGCCTAAACCAGTGTCTCTTGAGTTTCACACCCACCTACATATCAAATTCCCTATTAGACATGTCCTTTTGGTTGCCCTATAGTTTCAATCTGTCCAGGCACTATCCAGGAATGACATGGACATTAGAAAGTTACCAAAGCCAGAAACCTAGGGCTCAATCTGCATTCTTTTCTCTTTCTTATTTCTGATATCCAGAATTATTAAGTACTACAATACTACCACCTAGATGTCTTTCTTATCCATCATGCTTTGCTATCTCTACCACTATTACTCCAAACTAGGCACTCACTATCCTACCTAGGTCACTAAGTTCTCCTGCTTTCTAGGATACTGGCCTTTGATTTTGCATTATTAACATACACATGTGATAACAGTGCTTCAGTGGCTCATTTTAGACTTAAAATCTAAACTCCTGGGTGGTATTTTTCACCAATTCCCCAGGAAGTTTTTCATCAATGGCTGAATACTTATGGTGGTTTGGCTGTGCCATGCTCTCCTGAACCTCTGTATCTTCTCACTTCTTCTGCCCATCTACCTGATTAACTTTTATTTATCTTTTAAATCTCACCTGTTTCCTAGGGGAAGCCCCCTGGTCTTCAGCTACTTAAACTTAAGTTCTGTTGTGCCCTTGGTCCTATGGCCCTGTGCTCACGATTATTGAAAGTCTGTCTCC
Source organism: Homo sapiens (assembly GCF_000001405.40). Classification (NCBI taxonomy): domain Eukaryota; kingdom Metazoa; phylum Chordata; class Mammalia; order Primates; family Hominidae; genus Homo; species Homo sapiens. The sequence goes on from NC_000002.12 coordinate 181,513,923, forward strand.
ACACTGTCCTGGAAGCTGCTGCAAAGCAGGGTCCTGTCATTTTTGTGTTCCCAATGCCTAACAGTGCCTGGAGTGCTGCAGGTGACTGGAGAGGTTTGCTGAGAATGGAACAAGATCCCAAAAGGGATCAGATTCATAGGTAGAGGAATTAGCCTTAGTTAAGAATCTCCTTATCTTGAGCTAACAAGCTATGAAAATATGTTTGACATTAAGAAATTTCAGTGTGGAAGGAAGGGAAATACAGAGAACTCATGGATGGCTAGGATAAAAAGCAAGTTTATATGTGGTAATTGAAGGCATTGAGGATATGTTTGGGAACTGAAAGGAATGGAAAAAATTCAAAATAGATTAAGGACAGGGAGTCAACTAGGAATAAGTAAAAAGGTTGACAAATAGGGTTGAGTACCCTACTGTGGTAGGATCACATATGGCTGAGAATCAATTATTTTCACTTAGGCAATGTCAGTTTAGCCTTGAGAGTCCATAGTTCAGGGCCAAAAAGCCTTGACCTATTTGATTGATGATTGGATTTTATACTTAAATTACCCAGATTAACTGTAATCCAGAAACAGAGACTACGGACTACTTTGTATCCCAGCATGTAGGGCAGTGCCTTTATTGATTTCTTAGTTGAATAACTTATAATCTTCCCATTTCTGTATTTATTTTCTTCCTAAACCGCTTAATTATCTTGGTGTTTTTACCCTCATGGGCCTTTGATAAGAAGACGAGCTGTGTGGGGGAAATCTTTTCTAAGCTGCAAGTAAAGGAGTGTTTTCATTTTCTTAAATCAGACACTTGTGCTATCACCTTTCATTGCAGTCTCTCTGGCCTATGAGAAAATGAGACATTGACATTTATAAGAAAATATTACTAACTATGCTTCTTTCCTGAATAATGAAAATGCATCTTAATGAATTATTTTTCTTTGTTACATGTTTTCTCACAACAAAATATCTGCTTTGCATTTTTAATTTAGAGTGATAATATTTCTTGCAGCCTATCAAACCCATTATGATTTTTAAATGGCATAATGATTTTAAATGAAGTATAAGGCTGTGTTTCTTAAGGTGTTGTCTCTGAGCCACCTTTATGAGAATCACCTGGATGCTTGAAAGAAATGCAGATTCCTAGGCCCCAGACCATCCACGTCAGAACTAAAGGGGACCAGGCCACAGATCTTCACAATTAATAGAGCTCCAAGTTCTTATCACACTGAAACCTAAGAACCAATGTTATGGTGGTGAAGAGCTTCCAGATTTGAAGTCAATCTGACCTGGTTCAAATCCCATATCTACTGTATTACTAGTGACCTTTTCAGAGAAGACTTTTAACTTCTCTAGACCTCTTTCCTCATTGCTAAGTGGGTAAAAATAGTACCGACTCATTAAGGTTGTCTTAAAGGGTAATAATGCAGGCCAAGTGCCTAGTGCAAAGCCTGATTTCCATGAAGACTCAATAAAAGTCATTACTATTTCTATTTTTGAAATATTATGGTTGGAATTTCTATAGATAAGCTTTTTTAGTTTGGCCATAAAATGAAACATTGCCAATTCTATACATAATTCTGCATATAAGCTTTATATCCTGAAAATATAGCTGCTGTGACTGGCTCAGTAGTTGCAGTCTTACAAGGTTTGAAGTGGCATGAATGTCCATATAAAGTAGTAGGCGCCATATTTTTTGTATCAACTAAGAAAGTTACAGGCTATGTATTTCTATTAGATAAATGATTATTTGAGGAACTTTCAAATGAGAGCCCTTCTAATTAATTTCTTAGACTCACAGTGAAAGGTTCTGACAAAGTGCTTTGTGTTTTGGTAAATTATACTCTATCAGACAGAAATATGTCTCTCCCACAGAGGTGTCCTCTCTCCTTTCTCAGAAACAGTAGGCGAATTGTGACCATATGTTCCATACATTCTCCCAGCTATAACTCTGCTGGCACTAATGGTATTTATGTGCCCCAGAGCTATAAACCTGTTTTAGGTAAATGTATTTACTCAGTAAAGAACATGAGTTTCTGAAGACTGCAATAATAAACTGTCAACAGTACGCTAAACAGTGCTTATCCACTCTCTCTCATCTCTTAAGTTGAGGCTTCCTCCTGTATGTCTAAATGCTTAGGACAATAAACTGCATTTATAAAGGACTTGCAGTGCAAAATAAAGATGAACCAACACGACTTCAAGATTACAAATATAATAGAAGGTATTAGCCATCACATAGGGAGTTTAAAATCAAATCCTTGAAACTCATGTAAATGATACCGCAATACATTTCTGCACCTCAGTTGTGCTTCCAGAATGAGTGATGTAAGCTTTCCCTGAACAATTGCTTCTGTATCTGCTAGGAATACTTTTAATTGCAAGTTTTAGAGTAATTAACTAATAGTGACTTAAACAATAAAGATATTATTTCGCATAATAAGCAGTCTTGAGGAAGGATGTTCACAGGTTTGGTGAACAGCTACCAAAGACTAGACATTGATGGTTATCTTTCCAGCTCTCTCAGCTTTTCCTCATGATCACAGTATAGCCAAGCAGCATCAAGCTTCCAAGCAAGAGAAAAGGGAAAAGAGCAAAAGTGCTTGGTCATCTTTAAGTTGCCCTTCCAGGAAGGGCAGTGCCTCATTTGATGTATTCTGATTAACCAGACGTGTGTTACCTGTTTATCCCTGATTCTGTTATGGTTGAAGGAGAATGGAGTCGTCATGATCACAGTAAATTGATCCTGAATCAATTATTTTGTTATTGTGATACATTCTCTGGAGTTGAACCTAGAGGTCTGTCTTCTGAAATATTAAGGGAATGCTGCCTGTCACCTGAATAATCTAGGGCTCTGTTGGCAGCTAAGAAGGGAAATCACTGTTGGCTAGACAATGAGCAAGGAGCAACATCTGCCACCATGCTGTTAATTCCCGAAAGAGCTAGTGTGATGAAATTGTCCATTTTTAAAATGGAAATAGTACGAATATTTGGCTCACTGACAGCATAAAGTTTTGGGAGAATGAATTATATGCTTTATAAACTAAGACATGCTAATTACTGGTTCAATCTTCCAATTTAAGTTTTTCTGCTGTTCTTCCCTTAACCTCAGTGAGTTTGCCTGTCTTTAATAAAATCTTCCTAAATGTCAGGTAACCTGTCTATTCCAACAGGCAAGAATTTTTCAGTATTGTCTTTTTCCCTGAAGTCAGTAGTAAAGGAAAAAAAGATAAAAATTGTACTTAGGCCTGTAGACTACTTGCTGCAGGTTACTCTTTTGTCAAATAAATGAGTCATGTATCTTGACATAGTGAAGTATGGTATCAGTTTACATTATATTTTATTCTAGCATCTTGATTAAAAACAAGTTAGCTATCAAGCCCTAATTCATTTTAGGGAGACAGGGTGAATTCATTATACTAAGACTTGGGGAGCATTTCTTGCAAAATAAAGCTATATTATTCACTCAGAAAAAAACATAGAGCCTGGTGCTGCGGTACATCATTTTTCTATTTTTCCTCTGTCACTTATTAAGTTATGATTCTGTATGTACACAGTACCTTGATTTGTTTAAGTTACATGGATTCTGTGCTGCTTTGTAAATTTCAAGTCTGCATTATGCATGTTTTAATGAAGAATGAACTATGAGTCCCAGGGACAGCTCTGGTTCAGTCTTGTCGCACTTCCAGATGTGCACCTGGTTCTTTATTATGTCTCACATAGGAAGCTGGTAGGTATCTTTCTGAGAGCATCTTGTTAATGAATCAATTTACAGTAAGATGTATATTTAGGGGAAAGAAAGTAGAATTGTAATTATGGTAATGGGGCAAAACAGCTTAAAAATGGAAAATAAACCAGGAGTCTAGCTGCTGAAATGTGAACATTGTGTTTCTCTTTAATTTGCTGTTGTCTTGGAACCTAGCTGTTTATGCAGTGCTTTCACCTTCTGTTGCTTGTCTAAGTGCCAACTTCTTTCCCAAAGGTGTTCAGTGACTAATGCTTTGGTTACAAGCCAGAATATTTTATAAATGTCTATTTCTGGGCAGCTCTTCTACAAGTCTTAATTAAACTTTAATGTCAAGCTGAAGTTTACTTTTAGAACCTCTTAGGTTGCTTTAGTCCTAACATGATTATAGAGTTTGGGGTGGGGGGGCAGGATGTGGGACAGCCATGTTCCCACACACTTCCTCTCTCCCATTTAACAGTGCCACCAAGCAGATTCATACTACTTAACCCCAAGGTTTACAACACAGGCACGAGTAAATCACAGCCATTCCCTAAAATGTTGTGGTAGCACACTGTCACTCAGACTCCTCCACCCTGCAGTGATACCCAGGGTTTGGAATTACTGCTTTGTTAGTTATTACACATTCTTCCAGCATATCCAACTGCTCAAATCAGGGATCCCAATGTAGAGATGATGCATGTGGAAGTAGCATTCTTTCCTTTCTTCTCCATGTCTGGAGGAGTTATGAGGACTGGGGGATCATTTTCTCTAATTCTCATATGGCTTATTGGGGTAAAGAACTGCATCCTATGCCATCTGAAATAATGAAGCTTCTATTATAGTCAGAATAGTACAAAATAGATTTCAATTAAATATGGTAATATGTTATATGTTTATTTTGTAATTAATTTACTCATCAATTGGATTGCTCTGTAGCAAGAGCCTGCATTTTTTTCTGTGAAGGGACAGATAGTACATATTTGAGTTTTTGTGGGACAGAGATCTCTGTCCCAACTACTCAACTCTGTCACTGCAGTGCAAAAGCATGTCTGTGTTCTCATAGAGCTTTATTTACTAAAGTAGGCAGACATGTGAATTTGGCCTTCAGGGAGTAGTTTACAGACCTCTACTCTATGATATGCTTGCTTTTTATATGGAAATTCTAAAGTATATATATTTTTATTAATTAAAAATAGTGCCTGATAGTATATTTTGTTTTTTAAACATAGTTTGTCAATATAACTTAGGCTGGTTGTGAAAGTAAGCCAAGATTCAAAGATTTTTAAGAAATTAATCCTCAGTTAAAAAATTATAAGAATCTCTCCTAGATAGAAACAAAGATAGATATAAATATGTATCTAGCCTACAGAATTACGTGTGTATGTTGACCAAAAAACTATAATAGTTCCAAAAATGGAAATTGTCAAAAGTCCCATGGATAATTGAAAGGATAAATAAGATGTGGCATATTCATAAAATGGACTATATACACCAATGATAAGAAACATTTTACAACTACATGTACCAATATGTTAATCTCACAAACAAAATTTTGAATAAAAGCCATGCAAAAGAACAGATACTCAAAGATTACATTACATTTATATAAAATACAAAACCGAACAAAACCAAGTTATATTATTAAAAATCAAGGAGGGTGAGGACAATAACTGGAAGAAAAAGCCCCAGAGGGTTTTTCAGTGGTGCTGCTAATATTTATTTCCTTGAGCTAGGTGCTTAACGCATGTATTCATAAAAAATATTGAGCTGTACAATCAGGATATGTGCATTTTTCTATGCATGTATTATACTCTGATAAGTTTAAAATAGAAAAAAAGAGGAAGAATTTTCTAGCATTAAGTGAAGTGTCCATTTTCTTAGAAGTTACATTAGAGTTATAAAAGTGGGGGGAAATATCCAAAATTATTTTATTTGCATATTCCGAGGTTCATAAGAATAACTCTCAAAAACCGTACCACATTTCCAGTTTGGATTTTGCCATGGTCATATGATGCCATTAATTCATAGGTCATTTCAGTAGGTTTATCACCACCAAAACATTAGGTTGTCTGGATGGGGGTACAGATCGCAATGTGGTAATGCTAGATATTTACTTTCTTAGTGAGACATTTGGAATTTGTATAGCATCACAGAACAGATAAACACGGTTTAAGGCTATAACGTGACAGTATTTATGCTGATACTTTCATAGACTTCTAACAGTCAATAACTTATCCAATAATTTCCCCAATTTTTTTCTGACATGTTGCTTGGACACCACCGAACCCTTCTTTACATTTAATACAGACATGTACTTACCTGCTTATATTTTTTGAAGACTGTGTTGTTAGGCTCTGAGAAAGCATGTGAATCACGATCCAGCATCTTCTCCCCAAGGCAAATTAGTCTAGTAGTGAGAGGAACCAGAGACTTGACATTGTGAAAATACTGCATTTTTATAGAGGTGCCCCGTGTGCTTTGAGAGAGGGAGAAGCTGCCACCTTACGCTGTTAGGGGAGAGCAATGCAGGGTGAAGGTGGTTAACAGTGAGTTTTGGCTGGAAGAACAACTGAGAATTATTGACGTCCAAGATAAATCTTGAAGAATAAGTACACGTCAGATGCATGAAGAGGAGATGTTGACATCAGAGTGCTAGTTTGAAGGAAGACGCAAAACATCCTGGTGTATTAGATGCCTGTTTATAGAAAAATATGACTGAAACAATGAATTGTGCAGTGAAAGTGAAGCAGGGGCCAACTCTGGAGGGCCTCTGTGTCATGCTAAGGAGTTGGAACTCTTATCTTGAAGGCAATGTATGGTTCTCAACAGACACCATTATCTAGTTTGCTTTCTTGAAAATGACCCTCTGGCAGTGTGAAGACTGGATTAAAGGAGAGGAGAAGGACTTGAGACAGATAAATCAATTAGAAACTCAATCCAAGTGAATTTAGGTTCAATCATGACATTTTCAGACTTAAAATTTCTTGAGGCAGCCAATTTAACCATAGTAGTAGAGAAAGAACAAGTATCATGTCTTTACTACCTCAGGCAAAAAGTGGTTTCCCAGAGCCCTCTATTCACAACACTTGCCCGTTTGTGTATCTTTTTTACATTTATTTACACATCTGTCCTTTATTATATCAGCTCTAGGAAGGAGTGAAGTGTGTTGGTATTTGGGAACGATGAACTTAGTGCCTGATTTATTGTACAGAAACTTTCAATTCATTCATGAATCTTCAAGTAATAATTAAAAGCAGAAATTTTGAAACATGTTCTTAAACTCTGTCCTTACATACTCTGTCTTTAATCAATTCACAAAAACAACTAAATTCCTACTGTATCTTTAGTATTTCCATAAATAGTTTATTCAAACACTAATCTTCTCTACAAATGTTGATTTGAATGACACAATTTAAACATTATTGAAGAAACTTTCTAAATTCTGCAGTGCTAGGTGGATATTTATCTTTTTTATCTATCCTCACCTGATATTTTGCTTTGGGTAAATGCTTCTCTACTTTTAACTAATTTTTCTGAATGTTAAATTACTAGATATCTAAGAACTTCTGTTCTTAGGGGAAAGTTTATAAAATGACATACTGTATTGGAAAGTTTTCCTTAGCACATAGCTGTTCTAACCCTCTCACTGGGAAAAAGAATGAACTGTAGAAATTTGCAATTGTTTCAAGACTTCAGAACATTCTAGCTGTGGCCTTTGAATAAGTTCCTTATGTCTCAAATACTTCATATTTAAAATATTTTAAGGACTTTATACAGTATACATAACCCAGATCTTCAGTGAATGGTAGGTAGTATGGAATAGGATGACTGAGGCTTAAAAATGCTAAATTACTTCCCCACCAGAAAGAACTGCTGGCAGTGCCAGGACTTGAACTCGTGCATATATATGGATTTACAGCAATCTATACTTTGCAATACACAGGAGGATGAAGCATTTCTCCAGTTCTGTTTTTAAATTTGGCCTAGTTACTGGTGGAGGTGACCAGCTGCTTCACAATTTAATTCTAGTCCAACAGATTTTAGTGCCACGCACTTGTGGGTGGACATAGTAGTTCTTCCTCATGCCTTGCTCACTTCTACCAAGTATTCCTTCTAGTCTTCTTTTCTACCAGTTCCTTCCATTTTCCTCCCTCGGTTCAGGCAGCAGCTAGTTCAATGTCTATTTTAGGCTTGCAAGAAAGAAAAGAAAAACTGCTTTGCCTTTAGAAAATGTTACGAAATAATCAGGAAAATGTTAAAATTATAGAAGCAAGAGGTTATGCAGAAAAGAAATGAGAAAAGATACGAGTTTAATTATAGCTCATTAAAGTTTCCTTGGGTAATAGGTGACTGAATTTATAAAAAACATGACAAAGAGTTCTTCTTAATATGGTTTTACATCTGCTTGCATAGGGTCAATCCCATGATTGTTTTTCCAAGAAAATTAGTATTTTATGTTCAGCATAAATTATATACATATATCCTTGTATGCATATAAGAGAGAGGGATTTTTATTTCCTAAACAAGAACTAAATAATATTACTTAATTTTTAGGCCCCATGAAAATAAAACATATCTTGCTGTTGGGAGTATGAAGACATTGATGTTGAATGTGTCCTTGTTTAATGCTGGAGATGATGCATATGAAACGACTCTACATGTCAAACTACCCGTGGGTCTTTATTTCATTAAGATTTTAGAGCTGGTAAGTACTGTAAACCACAATAGCATGATACTACTTGGTATTTTACTTAATTTTTTAAAAGTAAATGGTAGAATTCACTTCACTGATTTGGGGTATAAGTCTTAATATTTAGGCTCCTAGTTATTTTCAGACTTACTCTGTGCCCCTGCTCAGAATGGCAAGTTCTTGGGTCTTAAGTCCAAAGGCATCAGCCTCCTGTTTTCCAGTACTAGGAGTAGGAGGAAGCTGTTTGGGTGCCTTTACATTCTCACTGCCGTAGCCAGCACACGTCTGATGTTGGAACAGTATCCCCTTGATTGTGGTCCTTGCACAAGTAACATTGATCCTCCATCCTGGACTCCAGAGTTATAGTTCTTTATTTTAAGGTGACACTCAGACAATTAATAGAATTTTCTCTATTCTTTATCAAATTCGCTCATCTTTTGTCCAGGGACCACACCTTCATACCAATAGTGACCTTTGACCTCTCACGAATATCTGTTACCTTCTTTCTCTAGTGTTTGCGCTACTTGCAAAAGTAACAGTGGAAACTCAGATATTCACGGACAGTATTTTTAAAGCATTTTATACTTATTGCAATTATAACCTCATTACACCTATTGAGATTATAGCTATTTTGATTAAATACCTTAAACACATTCTCACATACCAGACAGAAGAGGACCATTAAAATATGAACCTTATGGATTCCTTGCCTCATGATTTTTCAAGGAATTCAGACCCTGGATTAAATAGGGAATATATCAAGATAAATGAAAGCTACAAGTCCAGAATTTTTTTTTTGTGGAGAATCTGTTTGAATACTAGAGTACACACATATATGTATATACACACACACATACACATACACATATATATACACACACATATATACACACATATATACATACATATATATACACATACATATATACACACATGCACACATATTTATATCATATGTCTATTTATCTCAAACATATAAATAGAAAATAGTTTTCCTAGAAAAGCAAATACTTCTGGGATGATATTCTTTTCAATAACCATCCTTAAACATATGTTACAAACTTTTTATTTCCTTCCTGTCCAAAACAGTTGTTTCATTTTTCCCATTAGGAAGAGAAGCAAATAAACTGTGAAGTCACAGATAACTCTGGCGTGGTACAACTTGACTGCAGTATTGGCTATATATATGTAGATCATCTCTCAAGGGTAAGTGTTTCATATTTATGGCTTTTGTTCACTATCATGAATATTTTTTTCTATTCTTCCCTATCTTTAGGTTGCATAGAAAATATTATAAATATTTTAGCTTGGGGTAGGTAGCTGAGTGATGAAATAAAACTGGTTCTTGAAATCTTTGAGCTTTGTGTTTATATTCTTGGCAATGTTTGCTGTTTTAAAGGGGGTGGCATGTTTACATCGAAATGGGCATGTGCATGTGTCAATCAGAATTCTGCTCCCCCTACACACCCTTCCCGAAAACCCCCACCCCCACCGCAGGTGGTCCTGTCTGCCAGGCATGTTACCTCTGCTATACAAAAAGGTGTTTTTGGCAAGAGTCTCCACTCAAGTTGTGAAAGCATTTCTAATTTTGTCTAGACTTGCCTGCGTTCACATTCAGAGACGTCTTTGTCTCTGAATGTTACGTGTGGATATGTGTGTACTTTAAAATAGCCACAAACCCAACAACTTCCCTGAATCTTATTGCCAAGGGAGGAGTAGCTGATGCCTTTACAATGGTTCAATTCTACATTCCATAGAACATAAACTTTTAAGAAAAAAATTCAGATTATAAAAAATGTACTTAAGATTTTTTTTAATGGGCTTTCCTGGTCTGTGTTTTACAGATAGATATTAGCTTTCTCCTGGATGTGAGCTCACTCAGCAGAGCGGAAGAGGACCTCAGTATCACAGTGCATGCTACCTGGTATAATTTATTGTTAATAAAATGAACTAGAAATATACCCCCATATTCTGAGGGGGGGGAATTAGGAGAACCGTAAAACTGTGTTCCATTAATTGTAAGAGAAAACTTCTCTTACGTGGTATGCTTTTAAAAGAACCAAACAACATAGTTAAATGGGAGTTACTGGCAATGTTTTAGCTCTTGAGCTATGTTAAGTATTTATTAGATTAGATTAGAGTAGACATGATGTGTCACGAATCAAACTGTGTATTTGAAATCAAAAACAGAATAAACAGTTTACAAGTAATAACTCTACAAGATTTAAAAGTGAGGGTAATGACTTCCATAGATATGTCTCCTAGAGTAAATAGGAAATCGTTAATGACTATTTCATGAGTGAAGTTTCAATATATTTTTTAAAATTCAGAATAAACGTCAAGATGGACTTCATTTTACCTAACACAACAACTTGGTCACCCTCTCATCCTAAAAATCTCTATAAGTAAAACTGATTATAAAGATACGTTAAGGCAGTACATGACTTGCTATACAGTTTAAAAAATTATATGATTGATGTGCTTTCTTTGATCATTAAGTCTTGCAAAAATACTTCTTCAACCTAAAGAGAGTAATAGATTTGTTTCTAAACTACCTATTTATTCTGGTTTTTGTACCACCTAGAACATAAATGTTAAAAAATCTTTTAATCTAATAAATGTAACTATTTGTTAAAAAAAAAAAAATTCCTCTATCTAGCATTAGAAGCAAATGATAACAGTTTAAATAATGAGAGAAATTTTCTGCCAACCTTGTCCTAAAAAATTTTTACTACCATATCTACTTTTATCCCCACTCCTCAAAAAGCATTTAAGCAAACCTCTGAGTATATTAGGTATACAGGGTATGTAATTAGTTCTCTCTGAAGATTTTTCTGCTTGGTGAATTCTAACAGGGTGTTTTCTGTTTGTATAGTGAAAATGAAGAGGAAATGGACAATCTAAAGCACAGCAGAGTGACTGTAGCAATACCTTTAAAATATGAGGTTAAGCTGACTGTTCATGGGTAAGTAGACATAAAGGCTTCCTTTCAAATTTAGAGCTGATTTACAGTTTCCTTGCTTCTTACATTAATGAAAAAACTGTATTCTAGAATTTTTTTAAAATAAAAAGGATACTCTATCTTTTAATAATTACCTCATTGTTATAGTCCCTTACTTAGCTGTCCATTATAATAATCCACTCTATAATCATCACTGATACTACATCAAACTAGTACCCAGCTGGAGGAGATTTCTTACTGTGAGAGCCCCAACAAGCTAGCAAGGCCACACTGAGCCTTTCAGCTGTGCACTGTGTAATCCTAATCTGGAATTAGGCAGTATGCAGTCTGCATAATCATACTTAATGCCCATGTCAAGTGTGAAGTTCAGAGAAGTGTGAACTTAGTCAAATCACTATTCTGCAGACCCGTATCTACACATGTGGCAAATGGATTGAGATGTGAGAGATCTGGCTGCAAGGTGTCCCTTGTCCACTTTTTATACCTATGGGATCACCAGATTCCTCAACCACAGTATCAGAATTCATTGCTTCCTCATGATTTTAATGATTGAGTGGATCCCCCTCTCATTCAAGAAGGAGATGTGTGGAGAAAGAATAAAAGGGGGCTTACGGAAACCTTCAGTAATTCCACTAGAACTTATTCATGGTGTTAGTCCTTAAAACTACATTTTTATGCAGTAGAAGATATGAGTTACAGAACAAATAGACAGATGAGCCTTTCCTGTTGCTCTAAATCTAAACCATCCCGCAGTCATCTTATCCACTTAGAAAGGTGATATACAGTCATGTAAATGTAAAATGTCAGTGTCTGATGGAATTGAGTATCAAGTTTGAGATAAAGCAAACGGGTGAAAAAAGGCCATTCACAGGAGAGTAAGACCTAGAGAATCACGAGTAAGCAAATAAAAAGTTCATTGCGTGTTTCCTGGTTTTCAGTGTTTATCTTGCCACTCCTCCTGGCTTATGATGAGTGTCTTCCTATTTTTCTGTTATTCACATCTCATTATTTTGAACAAGGTATGTTCACCTGTTAAACTGCCTAAATCTATGCTGGTTACTTTCCTGTTTCATGAGTTTCTAATTTGGTATTACCTAATATTAGCTGCCAAATGTGAGCACCTTATGGAGTAGAGATCTCCCTAGAAACATATTTCTTAGAGTTTATTGCAGATAAAAATGTCAAATCACAGGCCTTTAAAAGAGAGTGACAGCCTTGTATTGTAACAAAAAATTTATCATACTTAATAATGTTAGACTTGTTCCCCAGATTTGGGGTTCATTATAAGTAGCCAGCAGGGATCATGAGATGGGAAGAAATAATTCAAAAATGGGTAACATAAATTGAGGTATGAGAACCTTAGGAAAAAACTAAGAAGTTATCCCACATTACATTTGCCAAATTTACATGAATCACTTAAGGGCTGAAAGAGAAGGAATGGTCAGTAGAATGAAAAAGGTGTAGTGTCATGGAAAGCAAGAAAAGAATATCGGTGAGGGACAGATATTGTCACCCAGGTCAGAGCACATGGCCTTTTTTTTTTTTTTTTTTTTTTTTTTTTTTTTAAGAGTCTCGCTCTATTGCCCATGCTGGAGGGCAGCGGTGTGACCTCAGCTCACTGCAACCTCTGCTTCTCGGGTTCAAGCGATTCTCCTGCCTCAGCCTCCCGAGTAGCTGGTACTACAGGCACACGCCACCACGCCCAGCTAATTTTTTTTTGTATTTTTAGTAGAGATTGGGTTTCACCACGTTGGCCAGGCTGCCCTCAAACTCCTGACCTCAGGTGATGCGCCCTCCTCGGCCTCCCAAATTGCTGGGATTACAGGCATGAGCCACTGCTCCCGGCCCTAATTTAATTTCTTTTTAAATAAAATGTATATCTGACCACAAAACCAAAAGTATTCCATGGTGACTTGTAAATATGCTATAATCCAGACTATAGAAAAAGACTCTTTATAATACGTCATCGAATAAGACAGTTAATTAAATTTGAATTTGTTTTTACCAGGTTTGTAAACCCAACTTCATTTGTGTATGGATCAAATGATGAAAATGAGCCTGAAACGTGCATGGTGGAGAAAATGAACTTAACTTTCCATGTAAGAAAAGTTAATTGTGTTAATATTTGTAACAACCTAAAAGGATGTCACTGATGCATTGCTCCAAGGGACATTGTACACCTATGACGTCCTTCAGCCTCTGCAGACCACAGCTGGCTGGAATGGGGCAGCAGCAGTGGTACTCCTGCCTCTCAGACCCCTGCTGCTTTCCTTCCACTTGTCTTGTCCCTGATATTCAAGCCCATATTTCCTTACAGGACAGGTGAGAAAGAGCATGCAGGAACAGAGATAATGCCTGAAACAGGCAAAGTTATGGGATGAGCTGAATTTGCTAGAGACACATACAGAAAACAGGACAGGCCAAGGGAAGGCATCTTTGGGTGCAAATCAGTGAAATTTCTTCTTGGTTCAAGCGTATAAAAACCTCAGCACTACAAAGTAAAGGAGGCTCTTACCTCCCATCTCCATTTAAGATCACGTTGGTTAGCCTTTCAAGCCATAAGTTTATGACCTGTGACAAGTGCTTTATCAATTATTAAATAACCTTTTAAAGTAAAGAGTACTATCGTAATTCAGAAGTATTAGGAGACTGATGTAAACCTAAGTTTTTAAAAACATTTTTTGCTGTCAAACTGATATTTTTATTGTATCAAAGATGTTGGTGATTAGTAAATATAATTTCCAAAAAAAAATTCTTTGAACCAAAAGCACTGTCCAAGCATTCTTATAGAATAATCTATATTTGTGAGTAAATCTTGGATTAGGTATAATATTTTGTAAGACAATGCTTTTCAAAATGTGTATTAGAATCACTTGGGGTACCTATCCAGAATGCAAATTCCTTGGCTTTGCCCCAAATCTGTGGAAAAAGAATGACCTTGAAATCCTGTTGATTCTATGTATACTCCAATTTTTGTTACACTAGTTGATACTAATGTTGAAAAATTTTAGTTCTCCACTTTGAAGTCCCAAGAAATGCTCTTTAAAACCCAATGGGAGTTTGTGCTTTGATAAACTAAAACAGAAACCAAACCGGACTCTAGAATGTTTATTTATTAATTTACAATTAATAGTTAAAAAGTATTTTCTACTAAATGTATAATGTAGTGACTGGCACTGGAGAAACTTGCAGTATATAGGATTTCTGTGTCTAGTCAACTATGTAGATATTCTTAGAGGTTTAATTGTTGTTAGGCAAACAGATGTTTGTGATTTAGATATTTAATGGCATCCAGAAGACCTTGTCTGTAGTATTGGGCACTGCTAGGTATCTGTTGCTGACATTTCCTGCTGCAACTGCCCTGTGCTTTTATGGATTAGCAATTACCACCTGTTCCCAATTTGGAGACACTTTCTTCATCTATGTCACATGCATTCATAAAATGACTGCAGGTCTGCAAGTCATCTTTTTTAATCGAGGTATTGGGATGCATCTCTTTCTGACTTACTGTATTGGTTTTACAGTTAAGCTGCCAGTTCAGTAGGCTATATTTTGGCCCCATTTCCCTTTTCAGGAATCTTCAATCCCCAAATTTATCATCCTCTTATGCATTTTTTGACAAGTATTGTTAAAAACCTTTTGTGCTTTCTCAAAACCCAACAACATACTTTTCTTCTGAATGCATCAGCATATAGATCCTGAATAAAAATACATTTTTATTCACTTTCTCCTGCTGATTATCCCCTTAGCACAGAGTGCTTTTGCGATAACATCATAGGATTTAGAATTACAATACCTGAGTTTTGGTCATAACTCTTGTCATTTTTTAACTTTTATCTTGGGAACACTAAGAACACCTGTTAGCATTTCCCTTAGCTGGTGAATACCAAAATGTTGGCCTACCTCATGAGAACCAAATGATATTTTTAAAATATGTAATGTAACATACAAATATATATTGTTTATGTCTCCTAAGACTGTTTCTCCAATAAACCATCAGCCTGTACTTTTTGTTTTCAACAATACCAAAACTAGAAGGTTAGAAACAATGACTCATTTGAAATTATTAGCAAACTTTAAAAATTCTGACTATGGATATCCTGTCTCCCTTTGTTATGCAGCTGCCAACCATAAACCTCCACCACTATAAATGTTGCATGGAATATACGGGATCACCTAAAAGCTCACTGATATCTGTACTTACATTTATAGAAAACATTTAATTTGTTAAAAAATTTTTCCTTCTTATCAGGTTATCAACACTGGCAATAGTATGGCTCCCAATGTTAGTGTGGAAATAATGGTACCAAATTCTTTTAGCCCCCAAACTGATAAGCTGTTCAACATTTTGGATGTCCAGGTAAAAATGTATTTCTTCCATCTAACCTTTATTGTGTGTCTTAAATACTAAAATAAATGCAAACCAATCCTTTATTCGAGTAATGATGTGAAAATGGATAATTGTTAACTTACTTCAGTCACACTCTAAGCTATGAATTCACCATGCATTTATTGAGTTATGCTTTGAATATTATACATTTCTTTAGAACTATAGAGTTACAGTGCAACTTTTACATTTGATTTAAATAACAGAACTATATTCTACCATCTCCATTGAATAATTATTTTAAGATACATTGTTGTGTGATATGGACCTATAGAGGTAACTTCTATTAGTAGAATTCTTCATAAAACTTGAAACTACTGTGCAAATATGAGGATTATAGCCTTTTTTTAAGGAAGCACTATTCAAACCACTTCTTAAGAACCGATATTCTTGCACTGATGGTTCCATCAGAATTGTTTTGAGCTTAACAGGTTGAAGACAAAAGTCAACAAATCTACTAAATAGGTTTGAGGTCTGATTTTTAAAAATCCTATTTAAATTCCAGATTTAGAGAGAAGAATATGGTGTTATATTGTTTCGCCTATAAAGGCAAAGAAATATTTAATGTCATGCTAATGTTCCAATATCATTTTTCACATTTCTGCAAGGTTAAGGCCATTTTATCAGCTTAGAACCTATATCCAACCTGCTGTAATTTGGCTGGGTTTTTGTGTTTCTGCCACAGACATTTAATCACTCCCAAATCTGTCAAAAAAATTTCTACAATTTCAGAGGTACTTGATATATTTTAGCAAAGATAAGCTACTGGAACTTTTAAAACCAGGTTGCTTTTTGCTGTTTTTTCCAGTGTTGAAAGATAAGATTTCTCTTGCTTTCTGTCTTCATAGACTACTACTGGAGAATGCCACTTTGAAAATTATCAAAGAGTGTGTGCATTAGAGCAGCAAAAGAGTGCAATGCAGACCTTGAAAGGCATAGTCCGGTTCTTGTCCAAGACTGATAAGAGGCTATTGGTAAGTTTCAGTTTTTCAGGTTGTAGTTCCTGCTTTCCAACAGAGAAGTGAGACACTTAAAATCAAGTCAATGGGTTTGAGCTGTCACTTCAATAATAAGAGAGAAGACAAGTTTAGGTAGTATTCTTGCGTGGAAGGAACAAGCATGGTTGGAAAGTTGAGATAGACCCAGGGTCTATCCCATATATAAACATGTTGGCCGGGTGTGATGGCTCACGCCTGTAATCCCAGCACTTTGGGAGGCCGAGGTGGGCAGATCACAAGGTCAGGAGTTCGAGACCAGCCTGGCCAACAGAGTGAAACCCCGTCTCTACTAAAAATACAAAAATTAGACAGGTGCCTGTAATCCCAGCTACTCAGGAGGCTGAGGCAGGAGAATTGCTTGAATCCGGGAGGTGGAGGTTGCAGTGAGCCGAGATCACGCCACTGCACTCCAGCCTGGGTGACAGAGCAAGACTCCATCTCAAAAAGAAAAAAAAAAATGTTATACAGTTTCATTTTTTTATCTAACAAATGCCCACTATTTGCCAACAAGACATTGTTCCAGACCCTTCAGGACACCAAGAGGTTGTCTTCACCTGGGCAGCCTTTGTGGCATGGGTTAATTTTCATTCTTTTCAGCTTAGTGAATGTATGAAAAGAAACTGGAGAAGCATTCATCACCTTGAAATGATCCACGTTTTACAACAAACAAAGAATACGTAACTTAGCAAGACTCTGATTAGGAACATTTTTTAAAAATTCTGTCCCAGAAGATTATGTTAATACAAATAATAAGAACATATGCTGCAGTTTAAATACTTTATTATAATTTAGAAAACAAACATTCATGTCTTGTTTAAAGGTAATTTAAATGCCACTAAGGAAAGCAGATGTTTAATTTCATATTTATGGAAAGATGATTTTCAAAATGCCATTAGAGTATATATTAAATTCTATATAAAATATTTTAAAAATATTTTCCAATGTTGAAAATTTTAATGTAGCACTTTTATATTCCCTTCAAGTACTGCATAAAAGCTGATCCACATTGTTTAAATTTCTTGTGTAATTTTGGGAAAATGGAAAGTGGAAAAGAAGCCAGTGTTCATATCCAACTGGAAGGCCGGCCATCCATTTTAGAAATGGTAAGTAAGTCTAAAACATTGACAACTTGGTGGCTAAGTTTACATAAAATCTATAAATTCAGTCATATAGGCAGGATAGTATGAAGGCATTCAACAAATTAAATTTTAAATAAAATTTTGGAGTAAAACTCTAAAACTGTATTTCTATCACTTCAACTATCTACATTGACTAAGTGAAATGGCTTTAGAAATTAACAGGTAATAAAGGCTAAAATAGGCCAGGCACAGTGGCTCATGCCTGTAATCCCAGCACTTTGGGAGGCCAAGGCAGGAGGATCACTTGAGGCCAGGAGTTCGAGACCAGTTGTATTCCTAGGTAGATGTCTGGTGTTATTTCTGAGGTCTCTGTTCTGTTCCATTGGCCTCTGTATCTGTTTTGGTTAGCCTTGTAGTACAGTTTGAAGTCGGGTAGCCTGATGCCTCCAGCTTTCTTTTTGCTTAGGATTGTCTTGACTATATGGGCTCTTTTATGGTTCCATAGGAAATTTAAAGTAGTTTTTTCTAATTCTGTGAAGAAAGTCAATGGTAGCTTGATGGGAGTAGCCTTGAATCTGTAAATTACTTTGGGCAGTATGGCCATTTTCACGATATTGATTCTTCCTATCCATGAGCATAGAATATTTTTTTCCATTTGTTTGTGTCCTCTTATTTCCTTGAGCAGTGGTTTGTAGTGCTCCTTGAAGAGGTCCTTCACATCCCTTGTAAGTTGGATTCCTAGGTATTTTATTCTGTTTGTAGTGAATGGGAATTCACTCATGATTTGGCTCTCTGCTTGTCTATTATTGTATACGAATGCTTGTGACTTTTGCACATTGATTTTTGTATCCTGAGACTTTGCTGAAGTTGCTTATAAGCTTAAGGAGTTTTGGGGCTGAGACCATGGAGTTTTCTAAATATACAATCATGTCACCTGCAAACAATTTGACTTCCTCTCTTCCTATTTGAATACCCTTTGTTGCTTTCTCTTGCCTGATTGCCCTGGCCAGAACTTCCAATACTGTGTTGAATAGGAGTGGTGAGAGAGGGCATCCTTGTCTTGTGACGGTTTTCAAAGGGAATGCTTCCAGTTTTTGCCCATTCAGTATGATATTGGCTATGGGTTTGTCATAAATAGCTCTTATTGAGATATGTTCCATCAACACCTAGTTTATTGAGAGTTTTTAGCATGAAGGGATGATGAATTTTATTGAAGCCCTTTTATTTTAAAAATATAGCTAAGAAGAAAAACTAAGGCTTTCATAAAATCAAATAAAATCAAAATTCAACAACAAAAACATATTTAAATTTTAAAAATAATGAAATATATCTTGGACTTTTTCCTACAAAGGAGCATGTATATTTATGAGGAGTAGTTTGAGATGAAACTAGTTTTATGTGGAGTTCTGTTTTTCAGCTTTCTCATCTGTTCAATATGGATAAATGAGATGATTTTTATAAGCACTTAGTTCATGGAACATAGGAAGCCAAAGGAAATGGCAGCTGTTATGTTCAAGTGGAATTCTTGAAATTGCCAAACAGTGCTTAAGAGGAAGATACACTAGACAGGCAAAGAAGAAATATCCATTTTAGTTTCAACTGTGCTAAAAGCAAAGTCATTGAACCATCAGCAAGTCATTTAACCTTTTGCAGTTTGCCTTATCTTTTTCTCTAGGTCTAGGTTTTCCATCAGTGGCCATAATTGGCATTTTGAACCAGATAATTTTGTTTTGGGGGGTTGTCCTGTGCATTGTAGGATATTTAGTATCATCCTCAGCCTCTATACGCTCACTGCTGGTAGTACCACCTCCCACGTTCTGACACTTGACAGTTTCTTTAGACATTCCTGACTGTCCCTTAGGTGATAAAACCCTCCCTGCTGAGAACCACTGCTCTAGATCTATAGGAAGCTTGTCATTTTTGGCTCTAAAATGTTAAATAACATTTACACAATAGTTTTAAAGGTCATATCCCTCTTTAAGAATCTGACTAAATATATTCTCATCTCCCTCAGCAAATGCACACATGAAAACATCTCCTAAAGATTCTTAGAATTTATAAAGCCCTTCTACAGATCCCCAAGCTTCATGGATTCTGCGTTATAAAATCCTTGCTTTAGATAGTAAAGTTCTGAGTTCATCCACTGATTTTATATTTGAATTCTATAATGTATTTAATTTAGAAAGAAATAAAAAGCCCAAATAAGATAGATTCAATATGCGGTGGTGGGGTGGAGAACAATGGTAAATGGTAACTTACCTCTTTCTGTAGTCTAATATTTAAATCAAGTTATTTGCAAGGTAGCTGTTTAATCAAAGGATTTCAATAAAATGATACTATATAAATTAATACCAAGACCACACTTTGGGAACCAAAGGAGGCACTGCAGTTAATTTTAAGTGGTGAAATAAATTGGGGAAGGTAAATTGTGAAAACCTCTAGCTAGAAGGTAAAGATCCTGATAAATTATGTCTTTATGAAATAAACCAGGCTATGGTGATCCTTCTTTTATTAAACAGGATGAGACTTCAGCACTCAAGTTTGAAATAAGAGCAACAGGTTTTCCAGAGCCAAATCCAAGAGTAATTGAACTAAACAAGGATGAGAATGTTGCGCATGTAAGATTACCCTCTTAACTGCTACATTAAAATTATAGGAAAACACATTTCAAGGGTGTCTATAATTACTTCCTTCTGAGTAACTGAGTTGGGAAAGTAGAGTGTGACCAGCTCATGGAGGGCCCCCAATACTTGGTTGAGAGTTGGCATTTTCCACAACTGGCAGGAGGGAACAATACAGCAGTTCTTTCAGAGAGGTGAATTGGGCAGCAGTGAGAATTGAATAGATTGGAGGAAAAGTCATGGATACAGCCCATTACACTCACTGTTTCTGCTAAACAGTTACCAGTGTTTCCTGCAATTATATTAGAACCAGCAAGAAAATGGGCTGGGCAGTTCTAAATACTACTGGGGATTATGGCAGGGCTTTAAAGGAAATATAAGCAACGTTTTAAACTGATTTTTTTTTTTGGTTTTTGAGTTTTATTTTTCTTAACTCACGTAGGTTCTACTGGAAGGACTACATCATCAAAGACCCAAACGTTATTTCACCATAGTGATTATTTCAAGTAGCTTGCTACTTGGACTTATTGTACTTCTATTGATCTCATATGTTATGTGGAAGGTAAGCATTTAACAATTACCAACATTAGTCTACTAAAAATGACATTTTCTCAAAGCCAATTTGACTTCCAAGTTATTAGATTTAAATATTTCACTATTTGAATGTTAACTTTTTATGTTGCTCAGTACTGATCTCACATTTCTCTTCAACACCAAAGTCTTTCTAGAAAAATATGCATTCTTAATTTGTTTTGAAAGACAGACGTTCCTTTTAAAAAACCATTTGGAAAAGATTGCAAATTACACGGAATGTCAATTTTGGAGAGAATGTGGTGTGTATCACTGAGAATTTCTGCATTAAAAACAAAAATGTTTCTTTAACCCAGTATGTCCCCACTAATTTTTACTGATTACCTCTGTTAAACCTTTATGACTGATGTTACAAGGGATGCAGTTTAAGAAATATTGGTGTTAACTGCTTAGATATTAGAAATGAGTATAGTAGATAAGAGAGTGTTCATAACTATACACTAGTGATTATGTTATGCTATTTTCAGGCTGGCTTCTTTAAAAGACAATACAAATCTATCCTACAAGAAGAAAACAGAAGAGACAGTTGGAGTTATATCAACAGTAAAAGCAATGATGATTAAGGACTTCTTTCAAATTGAGAGAATGGAAAACAGACTCAGGTTGTAGTAAAGAAATTTAAAAGACACTGTTTACAAGAAAAAATGAATTTTGTTTGGACTTCTTTTACTCATGATCTTGTGACATATTATGTCTTCATGCAAGGGGAAAATCTCAGCAATGATTACTCTTTGAGATAGAAGAACTGCAAAGGTAATAATACAGCCAAAGATAATCTCTCAGCTTTTAAATGGGTAGAGAAACACTAAAGCATTCAATTTATTCAAGAAAAGTAAGCCCTTGAAGATATCTTGAAATGAAAGTATAACTGAGTTAAATTATACTGGAGAAGTCTTAGACTTGAAATACTACTTACCATATGTGCTTGCCTCAGTAAAATGAACCCCACTGGGTGGGCAGAGGTTCATTTCAAATACATCTTTGATACTTGTTCAAAATATGTTCTTTAAAAATATAATTTTTTAGAGAGCTGTTCCCAAATTTTCTAACGAGTGGACCATTATCACTTTAAAGCCCTTTATTTATAATACATTTCCTACGGGCTGTGTTCCAACAACCATTTTTTTTCAGCAGACTATGAATATTATAGTATTATAGGCCAAACTGGCAAACTTCAGACTGAACATGTACACTGGTTTGAGCTTAGTGAAATTACTTCTGGATAATTATTTTTTTATAATTATGGATTTCACCATCTTTCTTTCTGTATATATACATGTGTTTTTATGTAGGTATATATTTACCATTCTTCCTATCTATTCTTCCTATAACACACCTTTATCAAGCATACCCAGGAGTAATCTTCAAATCTTTTGTTATATTCTGAAACAAAAGATTGTGAGTGTTGCACTTTACCTGATACACGCTGATTTAGAAAATACAGAAACCATACCTCACTAATAACTTTAAAATCAAAGCTGTGCAAAGACTAGGGGGCCTATACTTCATATGTATTATGTACTATGTAAAATATTGACTATCACACAACTATTTCCTTGGATGTAATTCTTTGTTACCCTTTACAAGTATAAGTGTTACCTTACATGGAAACGAAGAAACAAAATTCATAAATTTAAATTCATAAATTTAGCTGAAAGATACTGATTCAATTTGTATACAGTGAATATAAATGAGACGACAGCAAAATTTTCATGAAATGTAAAATATTTTTATAGTTTGTTCATACTATATGAGGTTCTATTTTAAATGACTTTCTGGATTTTAAAAAATTTCTTTAAATACAATCATTTTTGTAATATTTATTTTATGCTTATGATCTAGATAATTGCAGAATATCATTTTATCTGACTCTGCCTTCATAAGAGAGCTGTGGCCGAATTTTGAACATCTGTTATAGGGAGTGATCAAATTAGAAGGCAATGTGGAAAAACAATTCTGGGAAAGATTTCTTTATATGAAGTCCCTGCCACTAGCCAGCCATCCTAATTGATGAAAGTTATCTGTTCACAGGCCTGCAGTGATGGTGAGGAATGTTCTGAGATTTGCGAAGGCATTTGAGTAGTGAAATGTAAGCACAAAACCTCCTGAACCCAGAGTGTGTATACACAGGAATAAACTTTATGACATTTATGTATTTTTAAAAAACTTTGTATCGTTATAAAAAGGCTAGTCATTCTTTCAGGAGAACATCTAGGATCATAGATGAAAAATCAAGCCCCGATTTAGAACTGTCTTCTCCAGGATGGTCTCTAAGGAAATTTACATTTGGTTCTTTCCTACTCAGAACTACTCAGAAACAACTATATATTTCAGGTTATCTGAGCACAGTGAAAGCAGAGTACTATGGTTGTCCAACACAGGCCTCTCAGATACAAGGGGAACACAATTACATATTGGGCTAGATTTTGCCCAGTTCAAAATAGTATTTGTTATCAACTTACTTTGTTACTTGTATCATGAATTTTAAAACCCTACCACTTTAAGAAGACAGGGATGGGTTATTCTTTTTTGGCAGGTAGGCTATATAACTATGTGATTTTGAAATTTAACTGCTCTGGATTAGGGAGCAGTGAATCAAGGCAGACTTATGAAATCTGTATTATATTTGTAACAGAATATAGGAAATTTAACATAATTGATGAGCTCAAATCCTGAAAAATGAAAGAATCCAAATTATTTCAGAATTATCTAGGTTAAATATTGATGTATTATGATGGTTGCAAAGTTTTTTTGTGTGTCCAATAAACACATTGTAAAAAAAAGAATTTGAATTGATATCTAAAAACAGAATTTGAATTGATATTTCATCTTGACTTTTAAAGCCCTAGAGGCTAATTGTTAGTAACATCAATTTCTATTAGGATATCCGTTTGGCCACACAGCAGGAGGTTAGAGCAATGGAGCATTACTGAGTTCCTCCCCCTGTCAGATCAGCAGCAGCATTAGATTCTCATAGAAGTGCGAACCATATGGTGAACTGGTATGTGAGGGATCTAGAGTGCCATGTTCCTCAAGAGAATCTAATGCCTGATGATCTGAGGTGGAACAGTTCATCCTGAAACCATTCCCCCATCCACGGAAAAATTGTCTTCCATGAAACTGGTCCCAAAAAGGGTGGGGACCACAGGTTTAAAGCATGGCCACATTTCTTTATATTAAAATTCTAGTTTGTACATTTCTTTTAGAAACAATTACATGTTACTTTGGAATCATTTCTTCCATGCTTCCTCCATAAAGACTGATAAGTCTTGGATGCAATCTGTAAAGAAAATACATTATTTCATCAACTTATTTTGTTGTTTTTCACATACACCTAATAAGTATGGTACACAATGCCAATGCCAAATACAAATTGATAACAAACACAGCATTCCCAACAGAGCTGTAATCTAGAAAACTGAGAAGGTCTGATTGATAAATCATCAACAACAATAATTGCTCTAAAACCTCCTTAACTGACTTCCTTGATTGTCCAATGCTCTCCATTACCTCTGTAAAACAGTCAGTTATGCCTCTAGAACACCCATGTCTAGTGGGCACCCCTGCATGCTTCTTCTAACCACTGAGTGTCACAATGCCTACCAAGAATGCGTTTGCAGGTTCCTAAACCTGTTTATACCAGTTGCTATGTAAAATTGTTCCCAAGGGAAGTTGAATGCTCTGTAAAGGCCTAATAAAAGCAAATTACTGAACAAAACATGTTACAGTAATTATGAGTGAGAGGAAACTAAGATGGAAGGATAAAAATCTAACACTTTACTATTCAGATGGCTCCACTAAAAGATTTAAGATCTTGATCCATTTTTAAAAATCCAAAATGGAAGTTGTAGACATTATCTGTAGTTTATGCACAACAATAAATTAGAAAGCCAATGTAGACACGCATAACCAAAGAAAATGCCTTGGGTCTACATAACAGTTGAATAAATGTAAAGTTGCTTTTTATTTATTGAAATTTGTGCATGTCTCTTTATGCTTCCCTGATTTACTGATTTTTTAAAAACTAACCAACTGCCTGCTTTGATAGTTCAGAGAAGAGAGCTTTCGTTGTAATATTAGATTTATGTTTACTGGTTGACAATAAGCGGTGAAATAAATAGACTTACCTAATATGGACCTCTGATGCAACTTCCATTAAGTCACCATCTACATTCCAAGGGAAACAATTTTCTGAAGCAGTTTCATCCTCCTCCTCCTCTGGATTATATCCACCAGTATTATTCCTTGGATGAACTTTTACTTCCTCAACAGTGTAAGTCTCAACAAATGGAAAATTGAACTAAAAATAAATACAAATAATCATTATACTTGGTTTATCTCTAGCTACTAACGCGAATCAAAGTTCACTGAGCCCTCTCTCACAAGTAAATATCAGCATGTATGCTGACATTTTAATAGCTTTGAGACTATGAACAGGGATCTCCAACTTTTTTTGGAAGAAGGAATCTCTTATCCAAAGCCTTTTGGGTTCTTTTAGATCTAGCACCTAGAAATCTTGTTTTATGACAAATAGTACATATCTGTGAGAAGTTACATAAAATAGTGATACTGTAGATTTTTCAATTAAAGATAATCTTTAATACTGGCCTGTAGATACAGAAGACATATAATCCATTATCAACTTGTCAATTAGTTTAGCTGACATAAAGCAAACTAGTACAAGTTTCACACTTGGAATTTAATTTGGAAGAACGCAAGTCTAAACTTCTGAAGATAAAATGGGATGTATGTCTTCTTTTAAAAGAGAAAGCCAATCAAATATGGATTTTAAAAGGTGTTTGCCTGCCCCATTCCCACTTTAACAATGGACACAAGCTGCAAGATCACTGTTTACTTACCACTATAGAATGGTGCAAGGTAAACTTCAACTTGCGTTTTTTCTTGTTTGCCTAAGGAAACTATACTGAAAAAGCACTATGTATTTTCTGACATAATTAAGAAAATATAGCCAAATAACTTGAGCAGAAATGTATAACTACTCATTTCAGTTTTCAGAAAAATGACATGAGATACATTCCTAATTAAACATCATCTACATAGTTTTTCCCCTTTTCCACATGTAAACCTCAATGAAACAGTTTTAAAAGTTGACAGAAAACTAATATTTTCCCCAACACCCATATTTTACATATGTAGATACCAAGGTCCAGCCAACTTTCCAGTTTATACTGTAAACACAGTTAAACAGTAGATGATATGATGGCATCAGCTGTTGTGACTGAGGTACAGAATTAGAGGGCCCCAAGCAAAACTGTTTGACAGTAACTGCGTTAGACCTCCTACCTCGGGTATAAAGCCTTGGCTACATGCCTCATCCTTGTAGAATTATCTACATAATCATTCATGTTAGTTGATAATTCATTTAAAACACACAACTGCCTGTTATGATCTAAATTATATTTCCCTCCACCACCCCAACTATGTTCAAGTCCTAACCCCTGGTACCTGTGAATGTCCCCTGTTTAGAAATAGGGTCTTTGCAGGTAGAATCAACTTAAGATGAAGTCATTAGGGCGGGACCTAATCCAATATGACTGATGTCCTTATGAGAGAAGAATGCCAAGGATGGCAGAGTCAGAGACTGGAGGGATGCAGCTGTAAGCCAAGGAATGTCAAGAATTGACAGCCACCACCAGTAAGTCTATTATCTTAAATCAGCAGTTGTCATGTGCACTCCTCACAAAATGAAGATCTAGCCATCCTTCAAATGCTTTAACTGTGAAGCCACAGACGCTGTTAAGTGGGACTTTCGGGAGCCAAGAGCTTAGTATCCTGTGTGAGGGTATGTTTGGGGCACGGGGAGGAGAAGTAAACAGTTACAATTTTGATACAGGGGAGTGCCATGATGGTGCAAGTGTGGAGTTCAACAGAGGAAACAAGAGGAGGCAAACAGGCTATGGATGTTGGGAAAGCTTCCCATTTGAATTGAGCCTTAAAGAACATATAAGATTTAGCCTGGAGAAGAAAGTCTGGAGAGAGGAAGCATTTACAAAACTAGAGGCAAACCATGGTCAAGCAACTACACAGAATTCAGTGTGACTCCTAGGTGCTCAACATCATGCCCCTTGGCCCTCAAATTCCTGTATTGAAATCCTCGCTCTGTATACCTCAGAACATAACTATATTTGGAGATAAGATCTTTAAAGAGACGATTAAGCTAAAATGATGTCTTTAGGCCCTCATCCAATACGACTGGTGTCCTTATAAGAAGAGGAAATTTGGACATAGGAAAAGGCATCGGGGATGAACAGAGGAAAGACCACTCACTTGTGGGTGCTGTGAGAAAGCAGCCATGTGCCAGCCAGAGAGAGAAGACTCAGGACAAACCAAACCTGCTGACATTGTCTTGCAGCTCTAGCCTCCAGAACCATGAAAGAAATACATTTCTGTTTGTTTAAGCCATCTTTTCTGTGGTATTTGTTATGGCAACCTTAGCCAATGAATAAAATGCCAAAACACTGGGAATGTGGTGGAGGGTGGTAATAAGAGGTGGGGTTGCAACACAGGCAGGGACCTGGATACAAAGGCCACGTGTTCCAGACTGAGGATATTCCATATTATTCTGACAACAAGAGAAAGGCACTGAAGAATTAAGCAGGAGAGAAATCCAATGTGTGTCTTAGAAAAAAGTTTCTCTAAAAAGAGGTATGGAAGACAAGACCAGAGAACCTGAAGGCCAAAAGGAGGCTACTGTAAGCAAGAAAGGATTAAAGTTTGAATTAAGGTGAGGGAGAAATTTTAGAAACATTTAAGAGGAGACCAACAGAACAAGTTAGGGGACTGGTAGTGAGGAATGAGGAAGAAGGAACAGTTCAGGGTAACCTGGATGGGTAGAAAGTGGTGCCATTGACCCGCACAGAGCAACGCAGAAGGAACAACTTTAGGGGAAAAGATAAGGTCGGCTGTAGACATGTTGGCCTCCAGATGCCGGTGAATTTCAGAACCTCTTCAGCATACAAGAAGACAGAGGTCCTGCAGATAAGACGAGATGACAGAACCCTTGGGAGTGCATGATGTTCAGACAGTTCAAAAGTGAGGGGCAATGAGGCCATCCAGGAGACGGCATCCTGAGAAGATGAGAGGGCTGCAAAGAAATCCTGGGGGAAGCACTCACATTTAAGGTTTTAAACTCCCTACCAAAAATGGTCACAATGAAAGAGAAAAGTGTGGACAGTGAGAAGGGGGGCAAAGCAATAGGATGGAGCTGCAAGGACTTTGAAGGGTAGTGTTCAGCCTCTATCTAATTTTACACAGAGATGGGGAAGGAACAGGAGCCACTCCGCACATGGTGGTTTCAATCTATTTTACAGTGTTATACAGTAACATTCGCTTATTCAACCTGGTAAAAATGGTTCAGAGAAGCAGATGTTACTCTCCTTAAACTGAATTGCCACATTTTCCTTCCTGAATACCAGCACTGCTATGAATTATGCAGTAGACATGATTTTTACATAGATCTGATTTTCATAATCTTACAAAATTTATATAAATTCACATTTTTAATGTCACCATGAAGGAAAGAGCCTAAATAAACACACCTGTGTGGATAATTAACAAATCAAATTAACATTGCTTGAAAGCAGTCACCCTGGGAATCAATCTTTCTTACTATATACACTATGCAAAATATTTTAGAATTCTTTGCAAAAAAAAAAAAAATAGCATGGATTTTAATTTTTGAAAGTTGATAAATAAATCAGAGTTAAGGCCAGTGAATCACACACAGGCAACTGTTTCTTGTGTCAAAAGCAAGATATGCCTCGTAGAGTACATGAGAAAATATGATAAATCCTGCATAATATTATCTCTTAGAAAACGTCTTCCTATCGATACAGATTTTTATTATTTTCTGTATGTCTGTCTTTATGTGTAAGGTAACCATTGCTTTTAAAATCAGAAGAAAGGTATATTGATTTAAAAAAATGAAGAAGAAGAATGTTTACAAAAATTGCCTGAGAGACTTGCCCCATAGGCAATTTCAAAAGAGACCTTCCATAAACAATTTGTGCAACATACACCTCCCCAAAATAAATACAGAACTTCTCAGGGGTACATTAATAGGTTAATACTATTTAAGTTCTCAAATAGAGGTACATGAATGAGGTTAATACTTACTTTACTTCTCATTTATTTAATAAAAAAGGATTCGGAAAAAATTCTACCAAGGTAATGACACTAATCTTGAGGAACATGGAATTTTGAGTGCTTTAAAATCATTTTCTTGTTTCTATTTTCTGACTTAAAAACAGCAATGAATATATAGTGCTTTGGGTTTTTTAAAAATTGGTTTTAATGTTTAGAAATTTATTAAAATGTGAAAGGGCATATATTCCTTTGAAAATCAATAAATCTCCATATTCCACCCAAACACATACATAAAACTGTTATGTAGGCTCACAACCTACATTATACCTGCTGATCTACTTTGACATATAAAGAAAGTGGGACTGTAATTTTTTATGATTTAAGTTCCTAAGCAGCCCAGTTAGTTGTTCAATACATGAGGATCAAATAATGTTACTGACAGATCAAACTTCATGAAGATGGCCTAAGAAAGTTTTAAAATATAATGAGGCAAAAATGGAGAGACTTGCTATGGCTAAGGTACATAAGCAAGGTTCAGCTGCCAGTCATTGGCTGGGTTTACTCTCCTCCTCCTCCCGTCTGTTATCTCCCAACTCTATCCAAGCACCATTTTATACCTTTAAGAATGTGTGGGCCGGACGTGGTGGCTCACGCCTGTAATCCCAGCACTTTGGGAGGCCGAGGTGGACACATCACGAGGTCAGGAGTTTCGAGACCAGCCTGACCAACATGGTGAAACCCTGTCTCTACCAAAAATATAAAAATTAGCTGGGCATGGAGGTGTGAGCCTGTAATCCCACCTACTCGGGAGGCTGAGGCAGGAGAATCGCTTGAACGTGGGAGGTGGAGGTTGCAGTGAGCAGACATCACGCCACTGCACTCCAGCCTGGGTGACACAGCAAGGCTCTAACTCAAAAAAAAAAAAAAAAAGAAAGAAAAAGAAAAAGTGTGAAACTATAGGGTTTTACAACCATACCTATGTACTTCAAAGACTCACAATTTCAGAAATTCACATAGTTCAAGGATCATTTTCCTAATAATCAGGTCAAAACAGCTGCCAAAATAATATGGCTTGTAATAGTTACTGTTTCTCTTTAAAGCAAATCACTTAAGTGGAAATGTATATCTTCACATATTCTCATTTTGAATGAATATTTGTATAAAACTGTCATATTTTTAAATACATATCTACAGATCTATTTCAATCAATGCAGATATGCAAACAAATGTCAGGAAGATCTAAAGATCATAACTTTAGAAAGTCTGCTGCCATAATATCAAGAAGGCTAAACTCTCAAATTTCACTTCTTTTCATTCTGAAGAACAGCCTGAGTATGGAATTTTATCCTTAATTTATTTCACATTGCAATATAACACTACATTTCCTATTTTATCTTTGTGGTTACAGATACATAACCACTAATTCATCATTCAAAAAAGGCCAATCTATATTAATCCTGGCGGATGCTTTTCAAAATTTGGATGAAATAGATTGGGAAAAAGAAGATTAATATATTCAGAAGAAAATAAAACCTTCTTATGAGGCAGGATTCGATGTCAATTCTTGCAGCATCTTTTTCTACATGATTAATAGCTTTGCAAATAAGTAACAAAAAGAATTTACTATACCTGATTTTTTACACTGGCATATCTTTTCAGGTGTTTTATAAATTCTGGCCGAGAAGTGTTTCGGGCAATTATAAGAGCCATACTTCCATTATTTAATCTGAAATTAAATATTTCTATTAGACATCAAGAAATTTACTAAGAGATTATACCAAAAATTATGACATACTGTTCCTTATAACAAGTATACTGTTTACTGAAAGTATTGGACAAGATAGATAAATCACCATGTTACGTTTACCTAAAATTCATAAACCGTATCTTGCTATTTTTTAAATGATGCAGGCTTTCAAATGAGTTTTATTAAATCACTGGCTTCCTTCTCAATAAGCTCTTACATTAGAGCATTTTACAAAGCAAACCATCAAGCGTCCTACTCACATATCAAGACATAATTTAAAATACAATGTAATTAGAAATTCTAAATGTGAAACTATGTTGTTAAAAGATGTATTATAGAAGAGTTAATATGCACAAGTTGTGTAACAAATAGCTCAACATTTTCTAAAATCTAAAGTGTGATTTAAATATTTATTTATAGACAGAAGGTCTAAGTGACATAGGAAATGAAATAAATCAAAGTGGCCTTTGGATGGATGAAATGGAGTGAACAAATGCTGCCACACATGTTCAGTTAAATGACTGAACATTTTAATCTTGCATAACTGTTCCATCCAATATAAGAGAGTGAAAATTCAGAGGTGTGATTTAGTGCCAAAACAGCCACTCACAAATGCATCAAGCTATAGAATGCAGTTTGCAGAAATACATACAAATGACTTCTAGCTTGATTTCAGTGCAAACATGAAGTTAATTTAAGAATAACAACAAAATAAAAAAAGAGCTCTTAGTATCTTATGAAAGCTCAAGTCAGAGCTGTAAGGGACCTTAGAGATTATCTCATCATTCGCTCATTTCATGTAGAGGGAAAAGACAACTCCAAGTTTAAGTGATTTGTTCAAAGGCACACAGAGAAAAAATGGTCATCAGCACCAATACTCCAGGTGCTCAGTATGCTTTCCATCATGCTTCTTCTTCCCAATTAAAAATAAACAGCACCAAAACGTTCATGGTAGTGTTACTGTGCATCTTTAATTGCATAATTTATAAACATTAAAAGCACTATCCTATGCCTGCTTTGCAATATTTACTTGAAATAGAAACACAACTTACATGGCTGGCACTGCTTTAAATGTCTCACATATATGAACACATTTAATCTTAGAATACTTAGAATATAAGAATATTAGTTCCTACTGGCAATTTGCACTGAGATATTCTAACATAAATTATTATTTATCATGGTGGGGGAAAAAGAAGAAAGTGAAATCTCCTGTTCAATCATCCTGAATCATCAGAAGCTACATCTCTGAAAAATCTCCGGTCAAATGAGTCTTGATCAAAAGGTCTTTGCAAAGATGGCATGTTGTGATTATAAACCACAGAAGAAATCTCTAATTAGTCATCCTTCTCTGAAAAATTCATTAATACTGATTAAGCCTGCAGAGTCAACAGTGGAATTCTAGTCAAGCAGAACATTTATGGAGTGGCTTTGAAGGAGCTATGAATCGATTGTTCCCAGAAGAGCAGGTCTACCCTCCCAAGAAGGTCCTTAAACAAACAGGGTTAGATAAACATTGTCTCAAGTCCTGCCAAACATAGCTCCTTGGTCAGCTAGCCACGTCTTCAAGTTTAGTCAGGGAAACTACATTATGAAAGCACACAGCTATCTAGGATTTCTGAAGGTGTCGGGGAAAACCACCAGGCTCAATTTCTAAATCACACAAGGTTCAAAATACTCCTTTGAAGTTTTAGCACTAGATGTAATTAATGAGGACCTTGCCATCTGGGTTTTCAATATCGAAGTTTGCAGTTTCTCTTTTTTCTTCTCTAACTTTGAATATTTCCCCGTTTATTGCCTATATTTCACAACACTCACGATCCTTTCTCCTACACTCTACAGGATTGGATTCAGGAAAGAAATATTTTCAGCCCCATAATGGACAGCTGATTAAGAAGAATGTGCAAGAGAAGGAATGTCTATATCCCATGGATAAAAAGATATATATAAGATGTCTCATATTTTATTCAATTGAAAATGTGGGCAGGAGATTGATATGCACTACTATTCACATTAAATAGAACTGAAATGTTTCTTTTGACTAAAAGTATCTGATATGGTTTGGCTTTGTGTTCCCACTCAAATCTCATCTTGTAGCTCTCATAATTCCCATGTGTTGTGGGAGAGACCTGGTGGGAGATAACTGAATCATGGGGGTGGGTCTTTCCTGTGCTGCTCTCATGGTAATGAATAAGTCTCATGAGATCTAATGGTTTTAAAAATAGGAGTTTCCCTGCACAAGCTCTCTTGTCTGCCGCCATGTGAGATGTGACTTTCATCTTCCACCATGATTGTGGAGCCTCCCCAGCAACGTGGAACTGTAAGTCCATTAAACCTCTTTCTTTTGTAAATTACCCAGTCTCGGGTATGTCTTTATCAGCAGCATGAAAACAGACTAATACAGTATCAAATATACATATGTGTGATTTTCATGCTAAGGATATTTATGTTTGCATTAAAGTTGGAAAGCAAAGACATTCACAAGAAATATCAGTATTTAATATAATGTTCTCCACAACTAAATGAATAAATCAAGTAAAGTAGGCATAAAATTCTATCAATAAAACTTAGGAAATATTATTTTAGCCTCAGTGACGTTAAATAGTCAATGATTATCTGATAATTATTCCAGTTCAACAGTTGTTCTCAACCTACTGTGATGACAAATCCCTTAGAATCTCTAATATACAAAGATAAACTACCTGTTAAGTTTCTAGCTAACCAACAGTTAATTGGATACCCTGGAAAAAAAATGGTCTATAAGAAATGTATCAACAATTCAATAAAAATGCTTACTAACCTGGTATTAGGTGCCAAGCCTCTAGGTGCCACTGAACACAGGCAAGGAATTGCCATAATGCTGACATTCAAGAACTGACCCTGGATCATTTGCCATTGATCATTACAGTCTAAAGGTAATGAAAGTGATTGGTTATTTTCCCTCACCAGAACAAAATGTCAACAGAACCTGGCACAGTTCTCAAGGAGATACTTTTCGACTCACCAGATTTGGGAGATCCCTGTGCCCTCCTAAAAGAAAGAAAACAAAACAAAGACATAAAACAGATAACGCGCGCACAGACACACAGACACACACAAATCTATTAAATATGAGAAAATTAGAGAACTCATCATTATATATGTTAAATACTTTCTTCAATTAGATAGTAAGTAAAAACGTACAATTTTGTTGCTGCCAACATAATGTGTTGATTCATTTAAAGGTAAACTAGTATTATAAGGAATAATAATGTACTATTTCTTTAAAGACTATAACCCTTCTTTAATATGGCTTTAATATTTGTATTACACACTAGACCAAAATTATCACGAGGGACAAAACTGTGTGTTTTGTTCATTTTTTGGTGCATTGTTGTATTCAAAGTGCCTGGCATATAGTAGGCACTCAAAAGAAAAGGGAAAGGGAAAAGGAAAGAAAGGGAAAAAAACAAAGGAAAGGAAAGAAAGGGGAAGGGAAGGGAAAAAGAGAACGGAAGGAGGGAGGGAGAGACAGGGGGAAGGAAGGGAGGAAAGAAGGAAGGAAAAAGAGAAAAAGGCTGAGTGAGT
The DNA here is from genome assembly GCF_000001405.40 of Homo sapiens. Taxonomy (NCBI): domain Eukaryota; kingdom Metazoa; phylum Chordata; class Mammalia; order Primates; family Hominidae; genus Homo; species Homo sapiens. Next base: position 181,548,385 of record NC_000002.12, read on the forward strand.
AGTTGTTTGCTTACTAGGACCTGTAAGAGTCTGTGATTCTATATTCTTTACTACTATGTTAGAAAAATAACCAAAGATCCTAAGTCTGATCAATTGTTTGTCAGAATGTTTTATGCTTTAAAGATACAGGTTATCTGTATTACATTGAGTTTTTACCTACCTTTCTTGCACATCATCAGAGCTGTTAAATGGTAAAAATGATATTTCACAGTCTTCTGCCCTAAAATGTAATGAAATTTGTTATTAACAGTCATTGAACCTGGGATACAATTTTTGGTTTAAGAAAAAGACTTACTTAAGTTTTGCCAGTGCCTTAACAACAGCAAAATCTCTCCGTTGGTTAGGGGACATCCATCGATATTTTTCTGCCAGAGCCAAAGTTCTTCCACCAAAGCCAAACATGGCTGAGAACCCAAAGCGAAGAAGCTTGCCAGCGGTGCTGAAGGTGCAGACGTCGACCAGCTGTACATGCCCTTGAATATTACATTAAATATTAATCAGTGAGTACAGTAGGACTTGTATCAAAACAGCAAACATAAGAGAGCATATTTATTGGCTTATAGGAGAATATCTAAAGGTACTGTAGACCATGAACATCCTCACTTTCTCTTCAGTTCCCTTTACCTATAACTACAATAATTACCATTTTTAACTTGTTCAGGTACTAGTGAAGAAACACAGAGTACTAAATTTTTCAGCTTATTGCTATTTCCTATAAAACATGGTCAAAGAAACGAAGTTAAAGTAGATAGGCAAGGTAAACACAGATTTAACAGTAGTTTAGTGTTACATATACCTGAGCTTATATGCTTTTTACCAATAGGGATAATAAAATATCTATAGACATCTACTGGCTGAAATTTTTTTCTGGTTATGTTTTTTCATTAATAACATAATCCTAGTCCTAGAGTCTTGGTACAGTCCTACATCAGTGTTGGATATACTTAAGGAGTATTCATTAATGTTCTTCATCTGGTTATAAAATTATAATTTTGAGCACACTACAATATTTTTTTTCTGTACAGATTACAATAAAACTTCATTTACTGCTCTTTACAAAGCAAGTATTTTGAAAAGACAGGCAATCCACATAGTAAAGCATTGCCTTTTGGTTTTTTAGTCAAACATTTCTCTACTCTAAGAGACAAAGAACCTGCCTTTTCTTAAAGTCTGATGGAAATAAGATGGCCTTCCTTATATAAATCAACATTTCCTTATAAAATATGAACTGCTTTGGAAGAATTCTTACCCATTATAATGTGCAATGTTGCAGTTATCACATGAGGAACTCCATGAAGAGAATGTGCCAATACATTGGTAGATCCTGCCAAAGCAATTTTAAAACATGCACTATTAGGGTAGAATGTGTTCAAACTAACATTTGCTTTTACTTTATGTAGATGTCATTCTTCAATGTTCAGATGAAAAATAAACGAGAATTTATAAAATCAGGAAAGTTAATGTGAATATTAGAAGTTTAAGTTCTTATTCACAGTATAGATGCACATCAAATGTCTACACATTTGTTCAATATTTAAAATACTTAGAAATTTAAAAATAGTTTATAGTAACCGCTTACAGCTTTTTTGATCACGAATGTCTATTTTCTACCTCCCAAATGCTAGCTATATCAAAGCCCACTCCATCCCAACCTTAATGAATGGGTTTTTAGCTTCAATGCCAAAATGAGGTGCCTCTGGGGAGCAGTGACAAATGCATACATAAATAAAAGAGAAAATAATCCAAATAATAACTCAGAAAAATAAAATAACTACAAACTACAAAAAATATGCTCTAAACACATTTAATGAATCTTAGAGGTAAGCTCTTAGCCAAATGAGAATCCCCTCTGTTATCTGACAAATGTCTCCTACATTGAAGAAAATGTTTAATTCAATTGTATTTCCCATGTATGAAGATTTGTATTTGAAACATTATGATTTCTGATTTTCATGATTATTAGAATTTAAGACACACCTGGATTTTCCCCACCAGTCCACAGAGGCAAAGAGCGCCCTAAGTCAGGCCCCTTTAATGTTTATGTGTAACTGAAATCTGAGATACAGGGGACTATACCAGCTAGCCCTTCCCATTCCCAGGAGGCTAAAGAGAATTTAAAATTATTAAGAACAGAATGAATGAAGCTACAATTTTTCTTGAATTAAAGAATATAATAAGTAAGTCCAATAATAGCCAAGAGCTGTGAAACCATGCATGTGGTGTGTTCCGGTTATGAAGGCAAAGACCAGTCCTCTGGATTTTGTTAATCAGAAGCATTCCTATGTGATCATACATAATTGCTTCAATTTGTGTTACTTTGAACTGATATGTACTTGGGTTGCTAAATTGGAGAAGCTGAGGCAGCTTAGCCATTATCAACCAAGAGGTCATTAATATCATAATTTTTTAGGTAACTAAGAATAAGCATATTTAATTATTATTAATTATAAATAAGCACAATTACTTCTAGTAATACCAGTGCAAAGAAAAGTTTATTTTAACTAAATGGCAAACTGGTTCCAACTGATTCACCAAAAGGCAAGTTATGCTGTGACCCTTGTTACTCAAAATACGGCCTACTGTCAAACAGGAATGACAATACTTGAGTGCTTATTAAAATTACTCTCATGAGTTGAGAAACAATGTCTTGTTCCTCAAGAAGACAATAATACCCATTCTCACCACTGTCATTAAAATAGTACTGGAAGTTCTAGCCAGAGCAATTAGGCAAGAGAAAGAAATAAAAGGCTTGCAAATCATAAATACGGAAGCTAAATTGCCTTTGTTTGTAGGCATGATCTTATTTATTTAGGAAACCCTAAAGGCTCCATGAATGAATTGTCAGAGCTAATAAACAAACTCAGTTAAGTTGCAGGACACAAAATCAACACACAAAAATCAGTAGCATTTCTGTACACTTACAACTATCTGAAAAAGAAATCAAGAAAACAATCCCTGCACAGCAAAATAAACCATCATCAGAGTGAACAGGCAACCTACAGAATGGGAGAAAATTTTTGCAATGTACCCATCTGACAAAGGTCTAACATCCAGAATCTACAAGGAACTTAAACATATTTATAAGAAAAAAAAATTCCATCAAAAAGTGGGCAAAGGATACGAACAGACACTTCTCAAAAGAAGACATTTATGTGGCCAACAAACATATAAAAAAAAAGCTAAATATCACTGATCATCAGAGAAATGCAAATCAAAACCACACTCACACCAGTCAGAATGGCGATTATTAAAAAGTCAATAAACAATAGATGCTGGTAAGGCTGTGGAGAAATGGGAATACTTTTACACTGTTGGTGTAATGAGATATCTGGGGGGTGGGACCCAAGTCTAAACATAAAAGTTTTATACATCTTATACACATAGCCTGAAGATAATTTTATATAATATTTAAAATATTTTTCTATATGAAACAAAGGTTTGACTGCACTTTGACTGCTACCTGTCACATGAGGTGTGGAATTTTCCAGTTGTGGCATCATGCTGGCACTCAAACATTTCTAATTTTGTAGCATTTTGGATTTTAAGTCTTCAGATTAGGGACAATCAGCCTGTTTATATACACAATGGAATACTATTTGGCATTAAAGAGGTCCTGTCATTTACAACACGTGGATAAACCTGGAGGACATTATGCTAGGTGAAATAAGACAGGCACAGAAAGGCAAATACTTACTTTTATGTAGAATCTGAAAAACTTAAACTCATAAAAGCGAAGAGTAAAATAGTGGTTACTGGGGCTAATGGGTGGGAAGGACTGGGGAGATACTGGTCCAGGATATAAAATTTCAGGTAAAAGGAATAAATTCAAGAGATCTGTTATACAACCTAGTGACTACAGTTGATACGGTTAGGCTTTGTGTCCCTACCGAAATCTCATCTTGAATTTTAATCCCCATAATCCCCACATGTCAAGGGAGAGACCAGGTAGGAGTAATTGAATCACGGGGGTGGTTTCCCCCATGCTGTTCTTGTGATAGTGAGTGAGTTCTCATGAGATCTGATGGTTTTATAAGGGACTCTTCCCCACTTCACTCAGCATTTCTCCTTCCTGCCACCTTGTGAAGAATGTGCCTTGCTTCTCCTTTGCCTTCCACCATGGTTGTAAGTTTCCTGAGGCCTCCCCAGCCATGCTGAACTGCAAGTCAATTAAACCTCTTTCCTTTATAAATTACCCAGTCTTGGGTATTTCCTTATTGCAGCATGAGAACAGGCTAAAACAATAGTTAGTAACAATGCATTATATACTTGGAAATTTCTAAGGGAGATTTTAAGTGTTCTCAATGTAAAATCAGTATGTGATCATTATGTCAATTTTATGCATGTTTATCTTTATTTAGCCATTTCACAATGTATACATGTTTCAAAACATCACATTGTACACAATAAATACATACAATTTTTGTCCATTTAAAAATAAGGATAATAGGTATTAAAACAGTAATAGCAGTATTAATGGAAGTAAAAAATATATTATTTTTAAAATGTTGCCTCTCAGGCCCCATTCCAGACACACTGATTCAGAGTCTGCAATTTATTAGATCCCCAGGTGGTTTGTATGCACAGTGACTTGGTGAGAAACTCCTCTGGAATGCATGGTCCAAGCAGCATCATTACCTGGGAGCTTGTTAAAAACGTACATTCCTGGGTTCTACCTCCAACTCATGGACTCAGAATGTGTTTGGAGGAGGGAGGACCCAGGTATCTCTGTTTTAGCAAGTTCACAAGGTGAGTCTATGGACCCTAAGTTTTGAGAACAAGTAGTGTAGAAACCTGTTACTCAGTGGATCTTTATCAAGGTCTTTCCAATGATCTTGTGGCCCTCTACAGCCTGCCCTTTGACCATCTAATTGCTAATAAATCTGGAATGGATCAGGAGAAAAGGAAGAAACAAGTCAATCCATTGTGCTTCCCAATCAGATTTGTGGTAAAGATTTTGGAGGAGGCCACATAATTAGAGTCAGATATTTAGGATTATCGATGGATTACAGTACTCCATGAAACACATTTCCTCCATTACCATGGTTAATTATGAGTAGACCGTAAAAGCATTCCTCTAGAAAGGCTATTAAAAAACATAATGTAATGTCATGTGCAATAGAGAATGACACATATCATGACTTAAGAAAATAAAGACCATTTATTCCCTGTGAGTTTGAAGTATGGTGGGTATGCCCAAGTACAAAATTTTTTTAGAATGCTAGAGATGGCTTTAAAAATTGTTTATGTCTTCTCAGGCTTTGCAACTTTTCTCTAATTCTGTAGAAGTTGGCAGTGATAACAGACATGACTAGAAGTCAGAAAATTATTTTAGTCATTGACTACTCATTAATCTGTATCTTAGTCTTTAAATGTGGTTTTTGACACTCTGAAGAAAAAAGGAAAGTTTATGAGAAAGTATATGTAAAATTGCAAAACGATAGCTTGTTCTATATTTTGTTGGGATAATCTGAAAGATGGATTACATTTTGTTTCAGGAAACTGTACTCTATTTGAAAAGATGTCTACATGCCAAAAGAACATGCTGCTCACATAAATAACAATGGCGTAATTTTAATGTTCTCACAAAAGCTATAAATGTTCTACCTCAAGGTAAACATTTTAATTAGCCTGAAAGTTATTTTTCTTAACACTACCAGAAACTTTGCCTACCACTTCCTCCTGAGAGCTGCTAAAATGTTCCAAATACAAAAAAGTAAGGACAGAAGTAGCAGTTCATGTAAAGAATTACTGATGAAATACCAGGGAGAAACTATGGAGGCAAAAAAAAAAAAAAAAAAAAAATGTCCTTGGAAGTGCAAGCACTTCTGCAGAACAATTAACTTAATTAACCAGATACCATGAATATTCATAAGGCTGTTAATGTCTCCCACATCCAAACAGATAAATGTGATGTAATGACTTCCTAGTCAAGCATATCTAAAATTCTCATGAAAACGGCACCTACACTTTGGTTCTTTGCCTGAAATATCATAGAAATTAACAGTCCCTCGGCAATATTTTATTCTCCTCAAATTAATTGGAAAGCATGAATTTATTTATGCAAACTCTATAGGAATATATGGTTCACAGCCATCAGTATGTGGCTTGAGCCTTGTTTTACAACAACTGGATTGCTTTTTTATTTTTATGTCCTCTCAGGCTTTTTTCTCCATTCCCCCTCCCCCTTTTAATCAGAGTCTCTCAGTATAGTTCCTTAGCACCAGTTCCCATAGCAACAAACACCATTCCTAATGGCCAGCAGTTCAAATACAGGCTTCTCCACATCTGATCCATTTGAGTCTGACCATAATTCAGCAGCTTAGTCTGTTGGCTCAGTGGATTAATTTACTAAACACTCTCCCTCTGGGTGTCTCTCTCCAGGAGGCAAATGGCTTCAAAGGCACACTGTCTCCTCATGTTCAGCTTGAAAACTTCCTGCCTAGTTCTAGTTCCCATTCTCTATCAAAAGCCCTGACTAGGCATACAGTCATCATATTAAATATACCCCACACATGACTTTCCCCTCCTATTAGATGGAATTAGAATGCTAGAACTCCTATGCAATGACCAGAATTTTGGCAGCATACTGTGTCTTCTAAACAAGACAGGTTAAAATGGCATTACTACAAATATCCAAAGAATACATAAAATGCTCCCCAAATCAGAAATACTCTTCAAAATTATAATAGTGATAAAACTAAATGCTATTTCTTTATAAAATCTGAATTACATACTAAAACATAAGAATAACCACCAGTTTTTATAGCCAACCACCAAATTTATGTCAAAGGCATACCTGTAGGGACACCCATCTTTCTATTTCTGATGTATGGCAGTCAATGAATGACCTCAGGAATTTAAGTACTAATGAAGTGTCCTAAGCACATCCACTTTGCATGGAAGGAAATGTTGGAAAGTTTCCACCATTATAGTCAGAACTACTAAAGTAAAGCAAAAAGGTCAAGAAATAAAATGCCATGAAAAGATGGCCCAAAATGCATCATTTTTCTCTTTGAGTCAAAATCATCTTGGTGTCTTCTACTTAGAAACCATTTTAGGTTTTCCTATATACTCTAGAATTATCAGATTATATCTGAATATCTCTCTCCTTTTAAATTCTGACTTTCTGAAAGACTTTACACTCTAAAAGGGCATTTGAATATCTTATGCTCTGTCAACTTATCAACAATACTAAGTATTCTAAAATCCATACTAAATGAATAGGGTTATCAAAATATGAATTTTTTTCAACAATGTGCATTATTTTCTATAATCATAGGGAAAAATATTTTGCTTTTTTAGTGATAATGTGTGACTTTTTAAAAGTTGATTCTTGTAATGGCCCTATGGGGATGGACATTATTAAACTTTTTTTTTTTTTTTTTTTTGAGACAGCCTCGCTCTGTCGCCCAGGCTGGAGTACAGTGGCACAATCTCAGCTCACTGCAACCTCTGCCTCCCAGGTTCAAGTTATTCTTCTGCCCCAGCTTCCCCAGTAGCTGGGATCACAGGCGCACACCACCATGCCCAGCTCATTTTTGTATTTTTAGTAGAGATAGGGTTTCACCATGTTGGCCAGGCTGGTCTTCAACTCCTGACCTCAGGTGATCCACTACCTCGGCCTCCCAAAGTGCTGGGATTACAGGTATAAGCCACTGCACCCGGCCTTATTAAACCTTTTAAATGTGTAATCAAGACTAATAAAGGCTAATTACCCACCCAAAGTCAAGTACCAAACTGAAATTCAAGTCCAGTCTCTCTTACCCTTAATGTCTGCTCTGCCAGGCTATTGAGTACCTCAAGTAATGCTATTTTGCCTAATTTTCCTTTATATATATATATGTTCATAAGGCTGTATATTATATATATATATAATACTTTAAATTCTAGGGTACATGTGCACAATGTGCAGGTTTGTTACATATGTATACATGTGCCATGTTGGTGTGCTGCACCCATTAACTCGTCATTTACATTAGGTATTTCTCCTAATGTTATCCCTCCCCACCTTCCCCCACCCCACAACAGGCCCCAGTGTGTGATGTTCCCCTTCCTGTGTCCAAGTGTTCTCATTGTTCATTTCCCACCTATGAGTGAGAACATGCGGTGTTTCGTTTTTTGTCCTTGTGATGGTTTGCTGAGAATGATGGTTTCCAGCTTCATCCATGTCCCTACAAAGGATATGAACTCATCATTTTTTATGGCTGCATAGTATTCCATGGTGTATATATGCCACATTTTCTTAATCCAGTCTATCATTGTTGGACATTTAGGTTGGTTCCAAGTCTTTGCTATTGTGAGTAGTGCCACAATAAACATATGTGTGTATGTGCCTTTATAGCAGTATGATTTATATTCCTTTGGGTATATACCCAGTAATGGGATGGCTGGATCAAATGGTATTTCTAGTTCTAGATCCCTGAGGAATTGCCACACTGTCTTCCACAATGGTTGAACTAGTTTACAGTCCCACCAATAGTGTAAAAGTGTTCCTATTTCTCCACATCCTCTCCAGCACCTGTTGTTTCCTGACTTTTTAATGATCACCATTCTACCTGGGGTGAGATGATATCTCATTGTGGTTTTGATTTGCATTTCTCTGATGGCCAGTGATGATGAGCATTTTTTCATGTGTCTTTTGGCTGCATAAATGTCTTCTTTTGAGAAGTGTCTGTTCATATCCTTCGCCCACTTGTTGATGGGGTTGTTTTTTTCTTGTAAATTCTTTTGAGTTCTTTGTAGATTCAGGATATTAGCCCTTTGTTAGATGAGTAGATTGCAAAAATTTTCTCCCTTTCTGTAGGTTGCCTGTTCACTCTGATGGTAGTTTCTTTTGCTGTGCAGAAGCTCTTGAGTTTAATTAGATCCCATTTGTCAATTTTGGCTTTTGTTGCCATTGCTTTTGGTGTTTTAGACACGAAGTCCTTGCCCATGCCTATGTCCTGAATGGTATTGCCTAGGTTTTCTTCTAGGGTTTTTATGGTTTTAAGTCTAATGTTTAAGTCTTTAATCCATCTTGAATTAATTTTTGTGTAAGGTGTAAGGAAGGGATCCTGTTTCAGCTTTCTGCATATGGCTAGCCAGTTTTCCCAGCACCGTTCGTTAAATAGGGATGAGTGATTGTGTAATACAATCAGCTTTTGAATGATGTTTCCCTCTTTTCTGGATCACAGTGTTGCTCTAACGGTTCTCCGTGTCTCTGACCTCTACTTTCTCCTGCTCCCAACCTCTAATCATTCCACACGGTGAGGCAAAATGAATCCTCCTGGAACAAGCTCCAATCAGGTTGCCCCCTTGCTCTGAAACATCCCATTATTCCCTACTGCTTATCAAATACAATTCAGAGCCCTTACTGTGGCATGTAGGAGCCTCCATGGTTGGGCCTATTTTGATACCATTATCTTCCACTGAATGGCCTTTTCACTATTCCTCAAACACTCCTGGGTTTTGCCTTTGCTTTATTACTTTTGCAGCCAAGAAAATAACTCATTCTCACCTTTTCAGGCCAGCTCCAACCCATTTTAAGACCTAATCCAAGTGTCATTTACTATATAAAGTCTTCTTTACATGCATTCACTTAATAGGCTTCACTGAGCATCACTGTGGCATAGTCTATTCTAGATGCTGAAAAATGGCAGTGAGTAGAAAGATTAAAAAGCCTTGCCCTTAAGAATCTCACCCTTCCAAACCTTATCCTCCCTTCCAGTCACAAGTAATTTTGGCATTCTCAAGGTTATCTGGTTATACATCAATTATGCAAGTTACCATATTCACCTCATATGGAATTGTAAGCAGCTAGACTGGAGTGGCCCTGTTTTGAAACTTCTTACCTGGTACTGTGTAATCAACAGATTTTTTATGCGAAGGGAGAATAATAACCATTCCATATACTGATGGTTTAACTATATATTAAACCCTTTACTAAACCAAACGTTAGTACTACAATAACCTTGTAATAAAGTGAATAATATATCTGTGATCCCTATTCTATAGATTAGAAAAATAAGGCTCAAAGAGATTAAATGACTTGTCAAAAGTCTCACATTTGCTAGTGGGGATGCCAGAAGTCTGGATCTTTCAAAGTCTGTTCATTAATTCTGTGTTGTGCTGTCTAGATTAGCAAGTAAGAAAGGAAAAGAGGGAGAAGGGTCAGTTTAATGAATCTGTAGCCACTCCCTTGCCTGCTGGTATTAAGCCAAGTGGAAGCTGTGCTCTGACAGGAGTCAGGATTCGGTCTGTTTCCATCCCAGCATTCTTCTGAGCTCTCAGAAGCAAAGCATGGGCTACTTCGCTAGCAGATCCATCTCCACCAACACAGACAACACTAGAAAAATACAAATCAAGCAAAGAAGGCAAAACTTCAGAATGATTGGTAATAAGTCATGAAATCTAGACTTCAAAATAGTTTACTAATTTGTAGTCTATGTGCATAACTGCTCACATGTACCTTTAAACATGTTAATATGTGTCAATGGGTAAGACAACACAAACACAACACAGGTAAGTTTACTTCACAAATATAATAACTAGATAATTCCCCATAGACAAAATAGCTTTAAGTGTGTTAAGAGATATGAAAACTTTTGAACATGTTAATTCACATCTGACCAGCGTTTTGCTCTGTTAACATCCAAAAGCATATCATTCTCATTTCTTGTTAATAATACTGTCATCTGCAATTCATTTAACTAACACCAACCAAAGTCATAAAATCCTGCTAATTCTCAATAAAGCTCTGAAAAGACAGATAGCAATAAAAATCATATAAAATATGAAGCTTTAAGAAACTGCTAATTATCATTACTATATGAATGTAGTAATTACAAACCTGACCTGAATTTCATCTCCTTGACATTATTGCTATACGGTGCTTCTAGATGTAATACTATTAGCCTTTGATCCTAGATAGTACTACTAGTATATTTTTTAAGACTTTATATCAAGTAGACTATGGGGGCAGAATCCATTAAAATAACACAGAAGTACCAGAAATTCATTTCATAATCATTTATGTTCAAAAGAAGCAAAATATTCTTACGTATCAAAATGTCACCAGTTAACCCAATGGAAAGTGGATTTTGCCTCAGTGAAAGCAGGTGTCACAACTCAAGGGCTACAAGGGCCCAGCAGGAATGGAAGAGTAGGCTCAATCTAAAGGCGCAGCCACTTCTTTGCTGTGGCCCACTCACATCACGTGTGAGGCCTAATGGACCCAGATCTGGTTTTTCTACAGAAGCCAGAGATTCTGATTTAAGGCTGAGTCTCCTAATTTGTAAATACTAAGCAACTAGCATTCAATATATTTAAAAACACTATTTCAAACAAAACTGTCTATGGGCCACAGTCAGCAGTAGTTACTGGTTCTCTAAGTTTAGGAAGCTCTGGAGGGTGGTGACCAAAGGCTGAAAGTGTCTTTCCAGTCAGTTCCCACCATCTTTCTCTCGGCCATCTATTCCCTCTAGTCCCCATCTTCCTCATCCCACTAGCTCCACATAGCCTGGGCAATCCAAGGCTACTCTGGTTAGAAGACTCAAGATATGACCCAGGTCATGTTTGATTAGGTGTGTTTTATTCTTATGTCTAAACTGATTCCAGAGGTTCGCAATATGACCACCTATTCAGAGAAAAGGAATGATGTTTACTAAGGACAAACTATATATCAGGTAATGTGTTTACTAATTTCTATTAAATCCTCAGAAGTCTGCAAAATAGGCCACAGTCCCATCTTTATGAATGAAAAAAACCAAGGTTTGACTTGAAACTTACCTGATTTCAAAAATCTCTATGAGATTTCTAATCTGTGAACTTAAACGTAACCCTCAATCCATGGCTGTCTAAATGCTGACATATGGGTGTGACCAAAAAGACTATGTGGAGTCATACCCAAAAAAATCTAATTTAGCACCAAATAACTTGACCCTTACATACATAGGATGCGAACACTTAACTCCTAGAATGTTGCATACAATTATAGCGTCATGCATATGTTAACATATTGCTAGAGTTATTAGAGGTGGCCTCCCTATGAGCATGTTCTGAAACATCTGAAATTTTGTCATAATACATTCTGTGTTAAATCTTTTGAAACTAATACAAATGACAATTATAACAATAAAGAAATATTTAGTGAATAATTACTATATATATATATCAGACATTTTCCTAAGCACTCTCCATGTATTAACTCATTTAAGTGGAGAAATAACTGTATGCAATAGGTAATATTACCTTCAATTTGCAGATTAGGAAACTAAAACATAGAAAGATAAAGTAACTTTTTCAAGATTGTACCACTAGTAAGTAATAGAACAGGGATTTGAAATAAGACATTTTGGTCTTAGAAGCTACAATATTATTCAATATATTAGATACCTTTTCTATATATGAAACCTAATAAAAATAGCCTTATGAGAATCTTATTATTTTGAAAAACAGTTTACCAGTAGAACCAGTGTGAAATTAAGTGAGTTAGAAAAAATATGTATTTATTTATGTTAACAACTATTCAATCATTAAGATCATGTTCAGGTAAAGTGACTCAACCTAGGAAATAAGTTTTGTAAAACAAAAATAAAATTCTAAGTCGCCAACTAACTGAATGGATCCTCCCCTTTTGGCCATGAAGGTCACAAAGAAAATCTGAAAAACTATTCAGGTCATAACAGGAAGGGAGGTTGGATATGCCTCCTTATACCCTCTTGTCTTTTGGAGTTTAGGCGCAAATGGCCAGCACTGGCATTAAGATGTAAATCATTGGCCAGGCTCATGCATGCAATTCCAGCACTTTGGGAGGCCAAGGGTGGATCACGAGGTCAGGAGTTCAAGATCATCCTGGCCAACATGGTGAAACCCCATCTCTATTAAAGAAACAAAAAATTAGCTGAGCATGGTGGTGCATGCCTGTAATCCCAGCTACTCAGGAGGCTGGGGCAGGAGAATTGCTTGAACCTGGGAGACAGAGGTTGCACTGAGCTGAGATTGCACCACTGCACTCCAGCCTGGGTGACAGGGTGAGAATTTATCTCAAAAAAAAAAAAAAAATAGATCATAAGACTGACAAAACAGACTTGGTAGCAATAAGATCCCCAACTCCAACCTGACTCTGGTATAGCATTAAATAACAAATAGCAGGCCCTAGAGGAAATCAAAGTATTTTATCCCAAAATGTATTTTGTTGACATATTTTGAAATGGCCCTGCAAAGCTATCATTTGCAGGAGAAATTTGCATTCTATAGAGAATCTCCTTCCCTTTCCAGGTCTTTTCCTGATCCAGGAGAGATTTAACTAAGAGTTTGATACCTTTTAAGGTCTGATAAGAGATATTGACCATCTATTCTCTCTGAAGCCTGATATCTGGAGGCTTCATCTACATAACAAGAACCTGTGCTTCCACAACTTCATTTATCTTTATTTTTATAATTTTTTATTTTATTTTATTTTATTTTTGAGACAGAGTCTCGCTCTGTTGCCCAGGCTGGAGAACAATGGTGTGATCTCAGCTCACTGCAACCTCTCCCTCCTGGGTTCAAGTGATTCTCCTGCTTCAGCCTCCCAAGTAGCTGAGACTACAGGCACACACCATCACACCCGGCTAATTTTTGCATTTTTACTAGAGATGGGGTTTTGCCATGTTGGCCAGGCTGATCTCAAACTCCTGACCTCAGGTGATCTCCCCTCTTCAGCCTTCTAAAGAGCTGGGATTACAGGTGTGAGCCACTGCTAAGCCACTGCACCCAGCCTACACCACCCCATTTATCTTAACTCAAGCATTTCTTTCTGCTGACTTCTAATCTTTCAGCAAAGCTTATCAACCAACTGACAATCAGAAAATCATTGAATTCATCTGTGAGCTCCCCTTCCCACCAGCTCCATGATATCCCGCCTCTCTGGGCCAAACCAATGAATACCCTACATTTATCGATTTATGTCTTTGGCTATAACTTCTGTATCCCCAAAATGTATAAAACCAAGTTGTAACCCAACTACTGTGGGCACATGTTCTCAGGACCCCCCTGGGGTTATCATAGGCCATGAGCACTCATATTTGGCTCAAAATAAACCTCTTTAAATATTTTACAGTTTGGTTTTTTTCATCAACAGCTTCTTACAAAAATATCACAAGAGTCTAAATATACAAGAAAGGCAAAAAGCAAAGTATTCAATCATTTATAGTGAGTTAATCACACTTGTGTCACTCTAAAACATAAACCTTAGAGTAACTAATCCTTTGCATGTGACAAATCTTGTTTTTAAAATAAGTAAACTCCTTGCCATGGCTCCAAACAGAATTATTCTGTCTAGAAAAGAAACACTGGGTGATAATATATCCTTTTTCAAAGAGTGATAAAGATTTTTTTAATGAATGTTTTTATACTTATCTATGAACCCATCATCTATGAAATGTTCAATATATTGTTGTAGTTTTGATTCACAGTTTTTTTTCTTTCTGGAAAAGTTTGTTTTTGTTTTTGCTTTTTACCTTACTAAGTAATACAGATATGTTCAATCTGATAAAATGTCAATATAATCCAAATAATGTCTACAACATTATGGGTCTAATTAATGGTGAAATGAACAAAAGAAAAGTAACTCAACAATTTTTTTAAAAATTCTGAAACAAATATTAATAGCGAGGAATTCATATATTTACAATTGCATAAAATCTATAGATTTTTAAAACTATACTCACACTTATAAATGCAAGTGTTACTGCTTCAAGTCTATGCAGCTGATATTCTTTTATTTTCCTTCCTAAAACTTCCTACTCATGCCCAGTAAAATAGGGAGCAATATAGAATCTGAAGCTCTCATAAGGTTTAACAGTGGATCTTAGAGTGTTTCCTAGGACACACTGCAGTGGAGAACTAGCTGTCATAAGTGCTGATACACTGTTTCTGTTGGGTTTAGAAATGTCACAAGATGTCTCATAGAAACATATGTAATTCATTAAAAAAAATAAATACAACTCCAAAATCTTAGGAAATAGCATTTCTTAAACATTACTTACCAAATTGTTTTGCTTTACTAAATACTATACATAGAATCTTTCTTGGCTCTTAACTTCTTCAGCCTGTATCTAGAAACCAAACTGTTAGGTGATTTCCTAATCACTCCCTATTAATAGTTCCACTAGTGTCAGACGGAGGTGCTTCAGGCCAAAGTTCTTAAAGAAATTTGAGTCTGTCTCTCATCAAAATGCCATAGCATTTTGGGGTTAACCTTCTCTCATCTCTGCACCTTTTCTATAAATTTCCCCCAAAATTTTCCTTTAGCCACTCTTTAGAACAGGTTCAGGAATAGAAAACTCACCAATGTAGAATATTCCATTTTCAAACAATTTTACTTGCAAGAGAATTGTTCCTTTGAAGTACCTGAAGAAACTATGTTTCTATTATTCTCCTCATATATCTCTCTATGTAATTCTAAGTACAGTGACTTAAAATTGCCAGTTTATTAAGATAATTACTCCAACTACCATATCAGCTTCTACTGGGAAAACTGACCCCACAAAAATAAATAAGCTATTTAAAGTGGTCCCCAACCTTTTTGGTACCAAGGACTTTTTTGTGGGAAGATAATTTTTCCATGGACTGCAGGGTGGGGTGGGAGACGGATGGTTTCAGGATGAAACTGTTCCACCTCAGATCATCAAGCATTAGATTCTCATCAAGAGCACGCAACCTAGATCCCTCGCATGACCAGTTATATCCCTCGCGTGCCCAGTTCACAATAGGGTTCGCACTCCTGTGAGAATCTAATGCTGCTGCTGACCTGACAGGAGGTGGAGCTCAGGCGGAAATGATCCCTCTCCTGCCACTCACCTCCTACTGTGCCTCCCAGTTCCTAAAAGGCCACTGACTGATATTCATCTGCAGTCTCGGAGTTGGGGACCCCTGATTTAAAGAGTCTTAGAACACGGAAGATGACTTTCAGTAGAAATTTGAAATTATTGTAAGTCTGAAATAAATCAGCATGCCATAGAGTTTAGAAACACTTACATAACTCAATTCATATAATGGTTAGGCCAAACTATTTGGTTTATAAAATATAATAACTGAAAAATCTATACATCTTTTAGCTCTACACTGAAAAATAACAACACCTGCCATGAAAAATAAATAAGGATTAAATATGTTCAGGTAAAGAGAAAAATATTATTGTACTACACTTCAGCAATCGTCTTTCTTCATTCTGCAAAGTTCTTTTCATCCCTTTACCCAGTACAAATACCAGTAAAACATATTGATAGATACTGCATTCAGCAGAACATTCTGTAATGCTGCTGTGTAAGAACAAGTTTAATATCTGTGATATCTTTATTCTCATTCTTTAATCAAGTTTTGAAGCAGGTACTCATTTGCAATGCAGCTACCTTCATGTACTCATGAGGTCTAGTGAGGGACTATGCAGCATATTCAAATAGGTAGTTGGTATGCATGATTCCCACAAGGACTTTTCTTAAATTGTATACTTGTAAGACAATTTTCTAAATGAAGCCTATTAATGTTTTTGTCTACCTCTAAGTATAAAGTTCTGAAGTAATCTCCTACCCCATATTTTTGATTCCCAATGTTTATATAATATTGCTATCTAGATTTACTTCCCTCAATTAGATTCCTTTTGGAAAAATCATGTTTTACTTACCACATTTTCTTTCTCAACAGCTATTGTTTTCTCCTCATCCAAAAAATAAATAAATAAATAAGCATTTCTGAAAAACAGCCCTGCCAATACTCCATTTTGATTGCATCACTTCCCTCCCCAGCACATTCAAATCAGTCTTTGGGAAGGTTAATGCCTTTCACTTTGGTGAAAGTACAGACCTAACTCCCTTTCCTGACCTTATGGGTCTTTGCCCCCTGCCCATCACCATGTAACACAAATAATTCACACACTTGTCAACTTTTTAAATTCTCAAATATCTACTCACGTAAAAAGAACTTCCCTAAAGGAATATAATATGTTTTAGTCTTACACATCAGTCCAACACTTTAGCAAATTGGTTCACCTAATTTTAAAAAATGGCAATGAAATTTATATCACTTGCCTTGGTTCTAACGTTTGCATGCCAGTGAACAATCTCTGTACACTCCAATGTATTGCGAACAATGGTTTCCGATGCCCACTGTGAATAACATACCTAAATTGTAGTCACTACATTATGAGATAATTAAAATTATTTCTTATTGTTTCTGGAAATAATGTATTTATTTACTTGTATTTATAAAATATCTTCCCTCAATCTATCACAGACAAGTTAACCAATGGGTAGCTATTAAACCTATCAATTAATTTGCAAAAGAAGATCATCATATAGTTATGCCATGTGACCAGTATAACATCTTCCATTAGTGCTTCTCTAGATATATGGTAAAAGCAAATAATTATAGATGCAAATGTATGCACATTAGTAAGTATAGAGTAGTACACTGTCATTTCCCAGTATTTTAATAATTAGATTCCTCTTTTTGCTTTCCTATGCCAGATCCTGAGAGATAGATGACCATGTCATATTATCATTAATTATTATTACATAGATATGAACAAGATAGAGCCAAAGTACATACACTACAAATATTTTTAAATGTTAGGTTCCAAATATGTAGCTAAAACTAGTGAAGGCATTTAATACATAAATGATATAACATATATTGATTAATAATATAACCTACCCATCAAATCCCTGGAGTTCACATTCCTTAAGCAGTGACAGAGCGTGCCCTTCATATTCCATTACTATTAAAAAAACACACACACATACACAAAGTGACAGTTTTAAACAATGATCACACTTTTTAACTTGTTCTGGCAAAATAATATGATAAACATATGGTCAAGTCATAAAACAGCATTTATTCTTGAATATTTATATTTTAATCATGGGCAAGAGGACTAAGTGTTACTGGCCTGATGTTTTATAGCTTTATGTAAGAGAAGGTCATATATTTGTTTCAACTACATAAAGTCATTTGGGAATATCCCACGCATAGTGGTTACCCAATTTGTCCTGGTGCCTGTTTAGTATTCCCTAAATAAGACACATGTCCTTTAAATCAGAGGCTTAGGAGGAGCAGTATTTTGGAAATAAGGCATATTAGCTGGCATTGAACAGTCAATCTTAAATCGGTTTGGCAACCTTACATGAATAAATTAGTCAAAAGGTTAGTGTAAGATTTACAAACCAGAAGAATGTGTACTGGAACTGTTAGACTAAAAAGAGGAAGAGTTGGATGTGAAAATACAAAGTAAAGCCAACACCAATTATAAGAGACCCAGACCCAAGAAGGAGGGTGGCACACAGGCCCACCAGAGCTCAGACCCTCCGAGGAAATGAATCTGTCACTCTGTATCGCTGTCTCCACAGTCACTGATGCCCTATGCAGTATCGTAAATGCCAGTGAAGACAGGATAAACGGGCACACTGCAGATGGCACCAAGCATCACAACCACATTTAGCATTTTCCAGGGCAGCTCTGCCAGAAGAGACAGCCCAGCTGTATCCACCCATCAAAGATTTCTGCTGACTGACATGACATTGCAGATGGATTTTTTGTGTAAGAATGTGTGTCATTATATGCAAGATTACATTAATCTTTCATGCTTGTCTGTCCCTGGTGCCAGCATGGTTCAAGCTTTTCCTACAATGTTTTTCGATATTGTTAAAAATTATTAGTCTTGGTGTCTAAAAGAATCATTCTGTATCCAGCAGTGTTACATTGTAATTCTCCCATAGCTTATTCAAAATGCCATTAACACTCACATGAATAAAACCTCTCTATATTAAATTCCAATCAGAAGAAAGCCATAATAAAACTACATATGAAACATTAATATTAATAAAGTTGAAAGGTTATCAAAGAAGATGTGTGCTGATCATTCATTTATAACTACAGCAAGTACTTACAACCTTAAAATGCAAAATAAAACATCTTACATATACACATTAAAAATAAGAATATCATGAAAAAATATTTATGCTAAGAATCAGTTCACCAAGCCTTACTTTTATACCAAAGCTTACATTGGTAAAGTTTTTCAGATCCAATAATGAGCTTTAGAACTGTGTTATTATTGAATGCTATTTTTATTTTTTTAATTTGTAATAGTCTTTTTTTGATATTGTGGGTGGAATTTGATTATACACTAATGCAACCTGCCTGAAAATAGCAATTTTTTAAGTAACATTGCAAAAGTCCAATAAAATCAAAGATCTAGAACAAAGAAACAAAATGAAAAGAACCTGACTATCTACATCTATAAAATATATTAGCAAAATGAACAAAATGAATTAGTCTTTGGCCTCAGGAATTTGCATTCTGGAGATAGACAATATATGCTAATGAAATAATGAATTATAATATGAAGTAATAGGTGGTTATACAAAACAATGTTAGGCAAAAGGATAAAGAGTGATCTGGATTACTATTTAAATATAGTAGAAAGGACCAAATATGTATTTAGACAGGCTATTGTGGGCCCTGGAATCAGTGACAGCCAGATTCAAATCATCCCCCTACAAACAAACAAAGAAAGGATTGCTAGATAAATGTAATTTCAAAAAATGTAACCCAGCCTCTTCTTTCATCTATTTGCCTTTTCCTATGAGATTGCCAACCTGTGCTCTTTCTAAATAGGAGATGTGAAGCCTTCACAGTTTACAGGTCTTTGAACACAATTCTCACTGCTGGGAATTTCCCCCTCCCCTCTTTGGTGCAAATGCAACTTCCTCAGGAAGACAAGAAAGTCTTAAGGTTGATATTCAATGTTGATGAGAAAATCACCTGAAATAAAATCAGGTGAGATTTGATTTGGACATAAGGAAACATTTCTTGGTTTGGTGATAAAATTCTAGTGTGGGATATGATACTGAAATGTCATTTTCTTTCCTGTCCTGTAGGTACTTTAAAGTTAGTAAGCTCAAAACAGAATCCATTATGTATACCTTCAAATATATTCTCTCTCAAATATATTGTTCTTTTTGTGTTCCATCATCTACCCCAAGACAGGAAAATGACTTCTTTCTAGAGTGTCCCTTTCCTCCACTCTCCAGAACCACTCCATGGCCAAGGCCAGTTGTTTCTGTCTTTAAATTATGCCATAGCATTCCTCCATTTCTCCCAGCTAATTCCCTAAATTAGCTGATTGATCTGATCACTAAATATCTTTCATGTGTAGACAAGTTAAGTATCTGTAACCAGAATATCTAAAATCCAAAACGCTTCAACATCTAAAAATTTTGGAGCAATGACATGGCGTTCAAAGTAAATGCTCATTGGAGTATTTTCTTTTTTTTTTTTTTTAATTTTTTTTTATTATACTTTTAAGTTTTAGGGTACATGTGCACATTGTGCAGGTTAGTTACATATGTATACATGTGCCATGCTGGTGCGCTGCACCCACTAACTCGTCATCTAGCATTAGGTATATCTCCCGATGCTATCCCTCCCCCCTCCCACCACCCCACAACTGTCCCCAGAGTGTGATATTCCCCTTCCTGTGTCCATGATTTTCAAATTAGAGAGATGCTGAAGTGGTTAAGTATAATGCAAATATTCCAAAAGCTAAAAACATCCTAAATCTGTAACAGTTCTGGTCCCAAGCCTTTCAGATAAGGGATACTCCACCTGTACTACAATAGCCTTTTATCTTGTCTCCCTCAAACCTCTCCCCCACTCTAGCCAGAATAACCATTTTCAGATACATATTTAATCATATCACTTTTTTGTATATACCCCATTAGTGAGTCTTCATCGTCCCCAGGTATAAAGTTCCAACTTCCTAACTCACATCTGAATGCTGGGAACAGGACTGGCCATATACACCCACAATTATTTAAGAGGTAACAAAAAGAATCTTTTACACAGAATTATCTTTCTCTCTAGCTAGATATGATGCATGAACATTTACTTTTCAGATTTTGTATTAAAATGCAGGTAAAATTGGAAGGAGTGATGCCTCAGGCTACTGGAATCTTTTGTGACACAGTTTCATTAGATGGCCTAGCTTTCTGCTGGGTGAGATTTAGAAAGGCAAGAGGCATTTCCAAGAAATGGAAGGCTTCAAGTAGAGCCATAAACAACCAGAGAAACACTATGAAGAGGCTTGTTAACAGCCATGTTAGAAGCGTGATTTTAGGAGAAAGAAGGGGAAAATGATAACAAACACCACTTTCTTGACAACTCTGCCCAGGAGGTAAAATTATCTGGTGACTAGGCACTCCCAAGAGCCCTGAGCTGGCAGAGATCAAGGTTTCCTTCAGATAAATGTCTTTGAGTATGATAATGATAATGACCATGATAAGGTCTAGCAGCTCTGTTAATGCAAAAAGTAACTGAAGGCGATGGAAGTACCTATCGTGAACAAGAGATGAGGGGCAGACAGGATATCTCTCTTCAAATATCTCAATGACTCCTATACAATAGATGGGGCACATTTATTTCATATTACTACAAGAGATAACATTAACTCTAGTACATAAAAATTACAAAGAGGCGAATGTCAGCTGACAAGTTCTCATTTTGTACAGTTTATGCCTAGCACAAAGGTACTTGGCTAACGGGAATGACGGATTTGCAATCTAACAAATGACTTTAGGCTGAATCTAGTGACCTTGGGCTGAATATTTTTGAAATATGAATATTTTGAAAGTATGAAATATTTTTTTCATAAATATTGAGCCAATATGCATACTGAAATGGTTTTATAAGCAAAGGATGAATTAGTCTGGAAGAAAGGGCACCTTTTTGTAAGTCAGCACAGAGGAGGTGCCTTTTCTAATCTGCCCAAAGGTACAGTAACTCTGAACATTCATAAGAATGTCAAACAGTATTGTCCAGTAACAACGTACTCTGCCTCTAGTGTAGGTGGCCAAGCCAAAGTTGAGTGCCACACACCTGTGCTCCACCCACAAGGAGAAAAATTGAACCATATGGCCTCGAAAGTTCTTTTCAGTCTGATTTCTCTGCTGCCTTAACTTTTTCACTCTATTGTACTATGAATTATCCTATGGATCTCTGATCCTCAAAATATCTGTCACACCTTTAATGGTACAATCTCTAAAACTTGCTTTGTTTCAGAAGCAAGAGAAATGATATCATATGCCAGCATGGGCTTATCGTTCATACTCTTCTTTGATTTGTGTACGAATAGGTAATTAGGAAAAAATAATTCTTTCCAGGTTCTCCCGGAAGTTTTTCTGATGCTATTAGATAAGATACTACCTTGGTGGTGGTAGCAGAGTGGGGATGCAACTTTAGCACAAATATTTCAAAAGATGCTGATCTATATTCAGAAGTAGTTAGGATTTCAGCACAACCCAAAATGAAAGAAGTGTGTTTTTATTAATGTGGTAAGATCCATTTTTAAAATAAATTTATGAAAAAATTACAGTACCTTATAGTGTATATATCTAGCTGTAATTCTTCATATTATACTTCATATTTATATAGCACTATTTCCTAATTAACTCATCATATAGGGTTTATTTTGTAATTCCAATTCCATTTGGACTCACCCATTCACACAAGGATACATTAAAACAATGTCCCACTGGACATGCAGAAGATATGTCCTCTTTCTGCTTTACTCTTCCATATACTTTCAAATAAAGTACGAATTCGATCTTACTATGACATAATTTTTGAAACTGAAACTAACAGTATTATGACCACCTTTCTGTAGTATAATATACAAAGTTTCAAATATATTATTTCAACTACAAAAATAACACTGTAAGATAGGCAGGAAGACTAAAACTTTTCAAATATTCACAGGTTTATTCAAGAAATATTTTTCATAAATATTGAGCCAATATGCATACTAAAATGGTTTTATAAGCAAATGATGTAATTTTATAAATTTGCCTGTAGGAGGAGTGTTAGGCAGCTAATAATTAGCCATTCTGCACAAATGTAAGTAAATTCTAAATTTGCTTTACGGAATATTCTATTGTTTTATGTTTAAATATGGTACTTAGTAATATTTACAAATTTAGAGAAAAAAATCCTAGAACATAATAGTTTTGTCTCCAATACAATTAAGAAGGAAAGCACATTTAGATGATTTCCTCTGCCTTAGTTCAGGCCTTGTATATCAGTTTTCTTGTCTCCAATCTCTTTTTCTCTCTTCCTTTTTAATTTTAATTCTGCTGGTGGAGTCATCTTTGCCAAACCAGATTGCAACAGTATGATAAAAAAAAATTTACACCAACTGTGGATCAATACACGATGAGTAAACTGCTGAGTGCAGCTTAAGGATCCATCCATAACCTGGAATTATACCTCCTGTAGTATACATTGTTGAGAGCCTTCCTAGAAGTCATTTTGCCCTTTCTTCTCCCTAACAGAATCCAGATTCAGCTGAGGCATTTCAGTCATCAGGAAAAGGGGATCTGTCCTCAGCCCCTGGGAAGAGTCTTGATGGTTAAATAAATGATTATTCCAGATTGACTGCGCTAATACAGTATCTGTGCCCAAACTTAAAAAAGGAAATTTTAATTCATCTTCAGGATTAAAGCATGTTGGGTCTCTCTTGCACACATATGCACACCTCTCCCCATCCCACTGGATATTAATAAGAAAGGATGAAATTCACTGGCAGCTATTTTATGATGATAGAGTAAGATTTCAGATAATGTAAAAACTGAGGAAAGTAGAGCAAAGTTATGGCACAAACTCTCCAGATGTATGGGTGTAACACACATGGACTCTCTCACATACACACACTCTCTCTCTCCGCCCCCCCTCCCAACTTTTACAGTACATGCCTGTTAGCCTGACTTCCTTCCCTCATTTTTTGTCTGCCTCTTAAAAACTGCCTAGTTCAAATGCTTTTCTTGAATCTTCCGATCAAAATATCACCTCTGAGACATCAAAGTTCTTTTATGTATACCCCAGTTATAATGGTTTTAAGCATTTTTTTGAATCTCTAATAATGTAGAAAGTCATCCAAGTATGATAGCTTATTCATCTCGCATCCTGCACTATGTTGAACACAGAGCAAGCATACAATGAGATTCCTGAAGTGAATGCTATATAGCAATATCCATGTTAAGCTGCTTTGTAGTATTCACATGTAAAAGCAATGAACAAAATAGTCATTGAGTATGCCAATATGTTTATTCAACTTTTAATTGTCTCACCCTAATACAAATCTCAAACTTTTCCTTCAGCCAATCTTTGGAAATCTTCAGTAGAAAGAAAACATAAATCTGAATTTTCTCTTTTACTTGTAAATCACCTCTAAATAAGCCGAAGGTCACAAACATAAAGGTTAACTTCTTCACTATAACTTTATTTTAATTCAAAAATTCCTCTTGAGTTTTTCATGGTAGTTTCTCTCGAACCTCTATAGTTATAGGCACATTTCATGGGGGCTGACCTTCCTACAAAACTTGCTTTTTTTTTTTTTTTGAACTTTCTTCTACCTCAATCCATCAGATCACTAGGTGTAGGTTTCAATGATATTATTAACATCTTGAAACTTATCTCCTTTGTTTACAGCTGAGTAAAGCCACATCACTGTGAATCCCTTCCCTAGGAATCTATAACTGGGACTAGGAAGTTCCAATTGCACTCTGGGCTTGTCCCCTGAGTAGGCTTATTTTATAATACTTTTCATCAATTAAAATTTATTGCAAATTTCCACTGTTAGCGAAGCCACATAGAAATAAAGCTAGGAAGGTTGCGATTCTCCATAGCATCGACTCTTCTACTCAGTTCCCCACCATACGAAAATAAGTCTCAAAGAAACAAAGAAATGTGACTACCAAATTAAAAAAATCAAAAAGGATATTACTAATCATCTATTAAGTTTAGCATTAACAAGTTTCTATTTTCCTTGGCACAAACCTAAGTACATTTCTTAGTTTAGACAACAAATTTAAGCTTCTAGCATCTCTAAATTCATCTATTAATAAAACCAGCAGTTCAGTGCTTAGTTTTGACCTAACCACCAGGGGTCAGAGTCAGAACGAAAACAACCCAAGGAAGAATTCCATGGAAAGACATCAACTATATAAGTGAGCAAAAAATCAATTTCTTGCCTAACTGCAAAATTAACGTGTAAGTAGCAAACATCTCCATGAAGATGTAAACAAGTATACAGCTTCCTTTGTAATTATATCTAACAATTGTTTAAGTCTGAAAAAATATCTGAAAAAATTCTAAAGAGAAAATATTAATATTCTAATAAAAATAACAAAAATAATTAAATTATAACCCTCGAGCTGGCTGCAGTAGGTTATGAAGACGTAAAAATGCTATAGATATTACAAGTAGTTTCCCAAGTTTGCATTAAGGACAAATTCAGATTATTTTGCTTTTGTATGTTTTTGTAGATGGTGAAATTATATTCTGAAAATTACTTACTTGTTACATCAGTTTTTATTCCTGCAAGCTTCAACAGAGGTTCAACCTTCTCATAATAAACCTGGGTAGCTTCTTTTTTGTGACTTTGGGGGTTAAGGAGTATTTTTAATGACTTCGGTCTGTTTGGAAAGCCTAAGAAGAAATTTTAAAGACAAAGTTGTAAAGTCCTTGTCATCATTTTTTTTCTTTCCCTTTAAAATGACACACAAGTCTGTTAGAATGTTATATGCATTTAAATAGTATTTGCTATTTTTATTTGAAATTCTTGCAAGAGTATTCTGAATATAACTTTATTTGAAAACATTTTCCTAGCTGTGAAATAGGTATATCCCTCTTAAAATAAATCATGAGTTAGAACAATATATTTAATTTATGAAGGAAGATGCAAAAAAAAGAGGCAACTTTGTGAATATTAGGCAGTGCTATGTGTATTTACCAAACCACAATATATCAAATGTTCTTTTAGCATTTGTTTCTGGAAAAAAAGCAATGGACTGTAACAAATAGAAGGGTACATTTCCTCTCCTTAGCTAAATGTGCTCATTATTGGAATTGGGCACCCCAGTGACCCCAGGGCTACCAACGCCTGACCTACTGATGAGTCCAGTGCAGAACAGAGGAAGCAGGGATGGGTCAGTGTCAGTACCAAGTGCAGTGCATGCTGGGAGTTAAAAAGAGGGTTTCGGTCAGAGTTCAAGCCTGAAAAGGGGCCAGGGGAGAAAGAACTCTTTTGGGAATTGGGAAAGCAACGCCTCTCAGCAGGGATTCAATGATAGTGCTGCCTCACAGTTGGGGCTGAGATTTGATACTACAATTTTCTGGGCTTGCAAGATGCTTATCTCTTCGAACCCAGTTGGAGCAGGTGCAAAGCAAATTTTCTGTTGTTAGGAAGGGGCAGGAGGGACTGAGGAGCAAAAAGAAAGCTGACAACCGTTTCTTTTACGGTAAGCTGCTCTCAGAGGGCCACGTTTAAAGATTAAACAAGCAGTTATTAACATCTATTTTTAATAAAAACCATTACTAAAAAGACAAGTGAAAATTGTCCACTACAAGAAGTCAGTGTTTCATACATCAAGTAGAGAGAATATTTTACTTCTCATTATATTTGATACAATAAAGTATTTCAACAGGACATACTGTTTTGATTTTAGGGAGAGTTTTAGACGAGGAAGAGATAGGGTCATGATAAACTCCTTAAACATTCCTGGTGAAACTGCCTAGGGCCCTTTTTGGTAAGAAGCCTGCATCAGCCTCCAATCACCCAGGCTGGAAACCTCAAAACCGTGCTCAATGCCTTCCTTTTTCCTTGCCACCTTTGAATGAGTGCTCAGATTCATAAGATGGTAGCCACTTGCTTCCATGCCTTCTCCCTTCTCCCACTGATGTCCTCTGACTTGGGGACCATGCCCAGGCATGCTGGCTGTCCTCCCCTTCCACTGCATCCTTTGGCATCACAGCTCTGGTCAGTGCTGCACAGTTCAAAGGCGGCTATGGCTCATTGCTGCCTGAAGAGCGAGCCCAAACCCCTTAAAATGACATTCAGAATCCTCCTGCTCCCAATCCCACTCACTCTCCTCGCCTTCCTCTGTTACACGCGTTAAAGAAACATGTATTGAGCACTTGTGCTAAGTACTGGGAAGAAGGGCCAAGGGATTAAGATATGATTCGTGCTTTAAAGGAGGAAGATGTATCCACAAATACAGACAGCACAAAACACAGAGGCTGGTTAACAGAGAAGGACAAAGTACAACAGAGTGTGTGAGAGAGGGTGGTTAATTCTTATTAGGGATCTGGAAAAGGCTTCAAGAGAAGGGAGTATCTGAGCAGGGTTTTTGGCTTGTGCTGTTTTCACCCCCTAAAATTTCCTCCCTCATTACCCCTCATCCCACCCCTGAGCAAAACAGCAGGGGTGAAAATTTTAGGCAGTGAGAGCTGCCTGAGCAAATAAATGGAGCTAAATGCAGAGGGTTTTTATGTTCCATTTCAACTTCCTCATCAAGGTCCAAAACCACTGTATTATTGCCAAATTCCTAGTCTGCCGGGCCTTCCTTTGTTCAGACAGTTTTTCCTTTAAGCTCCACCCCATCCCCACTTTTGTCAAAATTTTATGACTTTTCAAAGCTCACTTCAAACAACACTTCCTCAGTGAAGCCTTTCTTAATCAGCAACAGAGTTCACCTCTCTGAAGTTTGTCTCAGAGTAAGGCTTCTCTGCTCACACTTTACTCTATGTTCCTCTATTACTGATCTTTATACTATTTACATGAAAGGACGCAGATGGAAGACTCAAACTGAGAAAATACAATATTGAATAATAACAGTATTATACAACATTGAATTTTCTAAACACCCAACTTCATGAGTAATACTGACACTAAACAAACAAAAGATGAGAAGGGAACATTCTGTTCTATAGGATAATATTAAGGTAATTAATAAATATAGAAGAATTATACAGTGAGAAAAATCACTATTTTCAGTCATCACAATAATTACTGATTCAGGTAAGAATCACCAATGGGTGCCAAAGCCATCCAGTGACAGTCAGTTGGGGACAAAATATTTATATATTCTTAAACTCTGTCCCTCATCACTCCAATTATTAATACAAAGGGCACACTTTTAATGGAGACTAAAGGCATGAAAATTAAATGCAATGTGTGATTCTTGATTGGGTTTTTAAAATATCATGCAGGACAATATTGCTGTCCTTTAACTATGAAAGACTCAGCTTACTTTTACCGAAACACGACAGGCCAGGGAAGGTCAGATCACCCTCGAGCCTTACAGGCATTTACAAGGACTTTGGCTTTTGTAGAGAAAGAGGTGAAGCACGGTGAATTTCAATCAATGAAGCCATATAACCTTAGGTGTTGAAAGAAACACTCTGGCTGCTTTGCGGAAAGTAGATAAAGTAGGGCCAAGGGCCACCAAACAAGAACAGTTGCAATACTCCAGGTGGGAAATGGTTGTGCTTGGACTGAAGTGACTGCAGTGGAGGTTAAAAGTTAGATTCTACATGTATTTTGAAGGTATAGCTGACAGCATTTGTTGACTCTTTGGATATAGTATGTGAAAGAGAAGAGTCAAGGAATATTCAAATGTCTGGCTGGTAAGGGGAAAGTAAGGACTTAAGATGGGTGAGTACTAGTGAAAAATTGGTAGATTCAAATTGTGGTCTCAGAGAAAGTTGTCAGTAATGACAATAACAAGATCTAAGGAACTGGCATATTCATCAGAATTACCTGACGTGCTTCTTAAAACATAGATTCTGGGCTCCAGCCCCCAGAATTTTGGGCTTAGTAGTCTGGGGTGTGGTCTGCAGATTCATATTTATAACAGGTTCCCAGGTGCTGACGATGTCTGCAAAGGGGCCACATTTTGAGAACCAACATTCTAGAAATCATCCTCGTTGAAGGAGAGGAGACCAAAAACTGAAAGAATAGCTAAAGAAACATAACATTTTAATAGGAGTAATGTCAGAGAGAGTGAGAGTAAGATAGAGTTTAAGTCTTCAGGGAGTAAAGAAAATGACTCAGTAGTCTGCACAGGACTGCAACTAGTAGTGCCAGCTAGAGGTATCTAATGGATTGAGCTTCAACACTGAGAACTTTTAAGAGAGGAAAAAGGAATTATGGTCTCAAAATTTAAGTGAGATGGAAGGAAGACATTAAGATATTGACAATATCTCCAGGACCAGTGGTATGAAATGTATGGCAGAGAAACCAGTTACCACTTTAGAGGACTGCAAGGAAAGCTATACAGTCCTGGGAAAGCTGTGTCTCTATTACAACAAGAATGTGGGGGAAATACTTAGAAAGGAGGTTGAAAATAAAGGAGATTTTGCTAATAATGGACAATTCCAGAGGGTAGAGTAAAATGGTGTCTGGAGTTGAGGAGGGTTGGGGACAGTATCAGGCTAGGGGATGTACAGAGACTTAGAGGCATGGGAGGCCAGGTGATGAAGGGTTTTAGGCAGTGACATGGGGTGGAAGAGGTAAGAATTGTTTGCAGCAGTTATGGTTGGCGAGTAAGGCAGTAGGGGGAAGGGGTCTTGTCCCAAGCACATAGAGCTCTAAGAACTTGTCTTCCCTCCAGCTAATGTCAAAGCTGGGAAAGGAGCAATGCTGCCTGGAGCTGAAGGAGATCCAAAGCCCCTTTCCCTTTCAGCAGTCCTGGAAGTCCTGGAATCTGAACCTACATCTGTCTGACATGGCTATACTTTTCACCAAGTGACCTCACTGCAAACATTCTATATTTGAGAAACCCACGCTCATGCTAGACTGCTTTCTCTATAGGTAAATCATACACATGCTACAGAATTCAAAATCACCTTATTTAGCGCATTCACTGATATCTAGTTTCCTTCTTGCACAACAATCACTGATATCACTTTGAGAATCCTTCTAGAAATGTATCTATATACACGCATATATATACACACACGTATATATATACACACATATATATACACACACACATATATGTGTGTATATATATGTGTGTGGGGGGGTATGTGTATGTGTGTAGACAGAGAAAGAGAGAGAGAGAAAAGAGATAGAGAGATGAATGGTGTCTTGCTCTGTCACCCAAGCTGGAGTGCAGTGGCATGATCTTGGCTCACTACAACCTTTGCCTCCCAGGCTCAAGCAATCCTCTTGCCTCAGCCTCCCAAGTAGCTGGGACCACAGGCATACACCACCAGACCCAGCTAATTTTTATATTTTTTCTAGAGATGGGGTTTTGCCATGTTGGCCAGGCTCATCCTGAACTTGGAGTCAAGTGAATCACCTGCCTCAGTCTCCCAAAGTGCTAGGATTACAGGTATGAACCACCATGTTTGTCCTTGTCTAGGAATATTCTATGCATATACAAAAATGCACGTATATTCTACAGCTTTTCACATAGACAGCAGCTTCCCTACATGCTATTCTGTATCTTGCTTTTTCCTTTTACTGTATTTTAAAGATGACTCCATATCACTACATAGGATGCCATCTCACTCTATCTAAAGCTGCCTCATATTCATCTGGATGAATTTACTTCAATTCTTTTGTATGGATGAGTCCTTGAGGATAAATGTTCAGGTTGTTTCCAATCTTCCTTTACTGCAAATAACAATGCAATGAATGCTATTCTCCATCTATTTGATGCAAAATGGACAAACTTCTGGAAGTAGAATCACTGGATCAAAGAGTACGTACTCTTAAGGTTTTATCATATAGTGTTAAATCACTCACTACAGAAACAGCAGAGTTGCGACCAAAAGTGGACACTTGAGAAAAAGGAAATGGTCTCAAATCTTCACTCTGTCATTTATTAACTGTGTGACTTTGAATTACTTGTCTAACTTTTCTTCAAATTCCTCACGTGTAATACAGAAATAATGGTACTTTCTGGATAAGTTAATTGAGATAATTAAATGTAAAGTGCTTAGAAAAGCACCTGGCACAAAGTATTCAGTAAATTTTTCTCTTATTACTACCAATTTACACTCTACAAGGAATTTAGATTGCCTGTTTTCTTACATCCTTATAAACATAAACCCACAGTATGTTCAAACTTTTTGATCTTTGACAAATGAAAAGTGAAATACTGTATGTGACTCTAATTTCAATTTCCATTTCTCTTTTCATGAGAGGTTGTAAAATTTTGTAAATGTTTAAGAGTTATTTTTTCCATGAACTTTCTATGTATGTCACTTGCCAATTCTTCATATTTTCTTTGTCAATTATGGCAGTACTTTACACAGTAAGAAAACTAGGCTTGTTATGAGTTACAAATGCTTTTCCTAGTGTGTCATTTGCCTTAATAACTTATGTTTTCTCCATACTGAAAGTTTTCGCTTACACGGACCTATATTTGAATTTATCAATCATCTCTTTTATGGCCTCTGGGCTTTGTATGATATTTAAGAGTCCCCTTTTGAGACTTAAAAACTGCATTTTTCTTCTAATACTTTTATGGTCTCAATTTTATATTTTCAATTGTATCTGAAGTTCATTTTGATAAAAGGTAAAAAGTTGGGATTTGACTTTCATTTTTTCCAGATGGCTATCTACCTATCCCAACATTATTCATTGGAAAATCCATCTTTCCCCACAGATTTTAAATGCCACCTTTAGAGGTACTAAATTTTTGTATGTGTTTGGATCTCTTTCTGCACTGCCCATCTGAGATCCACTGATCTATTCATATGTCAGTACCATCTTTTAAACATTATAGTTTTATAATGACTTAATAGTCAATAAGACTGGTCTCTCATTACTTTAAAGAATTTTTCACATCTATTTTTGCTTATTTTTACATATGATCTTTGAAATAAGTTTGTCTAGCTTAAAAACATTCTCCTGGTATTTCACTGAGATTGCATTAAATATAAATTATCTTAAGATCAAATAATACTTTTGTGATGTTCAATTTTTCTGTATAGAAACATGGTATGTTTTTCCACATAAATAATCTCCTGTGTCCCTCAGTACCATGTTAAACATTTTAAGATAAGTGGTGAACAATTCTAGGTTTATCAGCTTTTCGTTGCTGCTGTCAACGTGTTTTTCCCCTAACTGATCTCCTAACTGGCTATAGCCTGCATATATCAAAACTATTGATTTCTATACCTAGCCCTTTCCTTAACTGCTTAATTGTAGGCCTTCCCTTTATTCACTTGGATTTTCCAGCTTAACAATTATTTTATCTGTAAATAATAATCATTTAATTTCCCCTTTCCAATGTTCATACCATTCATTTTCTTCAGCAGTCTACTTACATTAGTTCCACCAGAAAAATTTGACTAATAGTGCTCATAATAAAGGACATTCCTGTCAGTTCTAGAATAAGAAAACCTCAAATGTTTCTCCATGTAGGCTTTAAAATGTGATAAACATATTTATCATGTTGATAACCATATCCATCTATTCTATTAAGAGCTGTTTGACATAAGTAACACTGATCTCTAGTTTTCCTTTTTGAACTTGCATTGTCAGAATTTGGTATCAATTTCATGCAAGTTCTATAAATAAAATCTGGAGTTTTCTTTCCTTTTCTATCCTCTAAAATAGTTTAAATAGTATAGAAGTTTTCTGTTCCTGTTCCTTAAGGGTATAACGAACATCTCTGTGAAAATATCAGTCTGGTACTTTTTTAGAAGTACCAAAAAATGCCCGTTTCTTTGGTGTTAATTGATCTGTTTAGATTTCCTATGTCTTCTGGGTTCAGTTTGGTCATGTTCCCTTTCTTAGACAAGGTACTCACTCATTTTACCCTGCTACAAGGAGGCAACCCAGGTTTCCTCCTAGTTTCTAGACATATAGTCTTCCTCCTAACAGTAGCAATACTATTTCTCCCAATAATCAAAATTAATCATCTTTGCCAGCGTAGCATCTTCATTTTTTTCATTTGTTGTTTCAGTTATACAGTTCAGTAATGTGGCCAGGTTATTCTAAATGTCCAGTTCAATTGAACGACTATCATGTTCCCATGTGAAAGTATTGTTTCCTCACACTAAAACCTCAGTGTGTCAGCAAAGTTCAAAGTTGCAGAGGCAAGATGAAAAAATATTTTGAACATGTGATTAGATGTGAAGTAAAAGACAACACTTCTACCTCCACTTCTTGATTCATAGACCCCTGTATTATGTTTATGGAACTAAAAACTACTTTAATGTCACAAGGTTTCATCTTCCAGGTAGAATACAATATGCTACAACAGGAACATGGTAAGACCAGTGAATCCTGTAGTTGACAGCCAATTGCCTCACTTATTTTGATGTGAATGAGTCTCCTGATCAAAAGCAATATTATATAGGATGTCATATTATTGAATAAGGCTTTAATAAGGCCATGTTATTGCTGACAGAAACATGGTGGGCAGGGAATGCAAATCCAAACGTACAGTAAGCATTCATCGCAGCAGTGACAAACCACTGACCTTCCATAATGGAGCAAATCCAATGCAATCAACCTGCCACCAGGTGGCTGGCTGGTTGCTCTGGGACATGGTGCCATATCCAGGGCTCAAGGTTGATCTGTTTGCAGGTAGAACACTTGGCAATAGTGGCAATTCAATCAACCTTGGTAAGCAGCAGTGCTTATTAAATCCATTTATTTCTCCCATCCCTGCACCAGTGCTATTTTAAGTGTCCACTGCATAAGCCCTGAGGTTGCTTTGCAGTGATGCTGACTAACATCTGTAGAATAGGGCATCTTGCCTACCTATTTCCTCCTCTGAATGAATTTTCTTTGTTGAACGTTTACAAAAAAACATAAATCTCATTTTCTGTTCTTATTCTGTGAAAGTATACTTTCCACCTCATACATCTTTGTCACCAATCTTTCTCTTTCAACTCGACTAATTCACCAAACTCTGAACCACTGTCCATACACTGATAAACATCAATCCCTTGGCCATCACACCTTGACAATTAGTATCAACTGATTAAAATACCAGCCCCACTATTTGATGGGGGAATACTCTTGAGTGGGATTGTAATGCTTTAGCAGCTCATTTTTGTTGTATCATGCAGAACCATCTCTAAACTAGGTTCCTTTTATTTCCTTCAGTGTGCTGGTCATGGAAAATGTTTCATGAGGCTGCATATGTGTGGTGAAGAGGAAAAAGCAACACAGCAACAGTTGTAGGCCATCAGCATATTTAATGTACTACAGTCATATCTTCTTACCCTTTAGTAGTAGTATCGGTATAAAATGCCTTTCTACCTAAAATAGCTAGAATATTTTATTTTATTCAACTGAAATATTGTCAACATATATATATATATATATATGTTTTTTTTTTTTGAGATGGAGTCTCGCTCTGTCACCCAGGCTGAAGTGCAGTGGCTGGCGGGATCTTGGCTCACTCCAACCTCCGCCCCCTGGGTTCAAGTGATTCTCCCGCCTCAGCCTCCCAAGTAGCTGGGATTACTGGGATTACAGGTGCATGCCACCAAGCCCAGCTAATTTTTGTATTTTTAGTAAACACAGGGTTTCACATGTTGGCCAGGCTCGTCTTGAACTCCTGACTTCAGGTGATCCGCCCACCTCAGCCTCCTAAAGTACTGAGATTACAGGCATGAGCCATTGCACCTGGCCTCGTCAACATATGTTTCTAATAGACATCTCAAACTTAACATATTCAAAACTGATATTCTGACTTTCCCACCAAACCTAGTCTACCTATCCACAGTCTTGCCCATCTCACTAAACGACCACTTTATCTTTCCACTTTATCTTTGCTCAAGTCAGAAACTTTAGTGCCTTACTGTGAAAACTGGTAATTAAAAATTGCTTAATTAGTTAACTAAGCATTTATCCTACCTTTTTAATATGCGCTATATTTCTGGGTAATCAAATAACCCCAGTTGCGAAGTAACATCCATTTAAAAATAAAAACAAGGCCATTCATTTAGAAAAAAAAAAAAAGATTGAATTAGAAAGTCTCCATGTTGCCATCCCTAATTAAATAATTAGTTCAGGCAAGGATGATCAATGTGTGTT
The DNA here is from genome assembly GCF_000001405.40 of Homo sapiens. Taxonomy (NCBI): domain Eukaryota; kingdom Metazoa; phylum Chordata; class Mammalia; order Primates; family Hominidae; genus Homo; species Homo sapiens. The sequence goes on from NC_000002.12 coordinate 181,583,249, forward strand.
AAAACCATTAGGTGAAATATTTATTGAAAACTAGATATCTCTTCCCTACCCACCCCCCAACTCAACAAATTATCTAGTAGTTTCACATGAAACATTACAATAGAAGGATCAGGCTGTCACCTCCTTAGCTTAGCCTCATGAATAGTGAAATAGTCAGAATTAAGTGCTACCTAACATTAAGCACTAGAACTTATGAAGTATTCTTGCCCAAAGTATCAAACATGAATCTCAGTAAGCCTTTAGATTGAAAATTCAGTTTAGAGGAAATACAGGCAACAGAACAACAAGTTAAACGATATCACAAAGAAGCCATCGGATAGTGGTACAGCAGTAGTGCTCAAAGTATGGTCTTCAGAATGAAAGTCCAGCATCACCAGCAGCTCACTGGAAAGAGCAACTGAATCAAAATTTCTGAGAGTGGGGACTAGTAATCAGAGCTCTCCTAGTAACTCTTATGTATGATAAAATGTCTACAGGACAAATAATCTAGTCTCTTCCATAAGTCAATGTCAGAGAGAATAAAACATACGAAAAAACATGTTGTAATGTTACAGTTTAAATGTAATTAGTTAAATGAATGATTCTTGATCAGACACTAGTTGGTAAAAGTTAACTATAAAAGACATTATGGAAAATATGGAGAATTTGACTATGGACCAAGTATTAAATGTTAATAAGCAATTATCATTCATTGATTTGGCAGGTTAATGATATTTGGTTATCTGAAAAATATCTATTTTTAGAGCTACACACTGCAGCATTTTGGAGAGAACTATCACAATATCAACAATTTACTTTAGAACACATTGGCAGAATAAAATGTTTGAAGCAGATACAGAAAAATGTTAAGATCTGTAGAATCAAGGTGATAAAAATATGGGTGCCCACTGGAATACTGTTTATATTTTCTATATGTTTGACACTTTTCATAACAGAATATTCATGTAATCTTTGACTTATCCTCTTAATAACCGCCATATTGGCCAGGCATGGTGGCTCACTCCTATAATCCCAGCACTTTGAGAGGCTGAGGTAGGAGGAATGCTTGAGGCCAGGAGTTAAAGGCTACCCTAGGCAACACAGAGAGATATTGTCTCTACAGAAAAAAAAAAAGTTGGCTGGATACAGTGGCATATGCCTGTAATCTCAACTACTAGGGAGGTTGAGGTGGGAGGATCACTTGATATCAAGAGTCTGAGGCTTCCATGAGCTATGGTCACACCATTGCACTCCAGCCTGGACAACAGAGCAAGACCTTGTCTCAGAAAAGAAAAAAAAAATCTGCCATGTCTATGTTGGTAAATGACATGTCTCTGTCAGCCAGTTCTATCTGGAAAAATGAATCCAAAGTCTAAGCATGTCTCACCATCTCTCCCACTCCCAGCTTAATTTAAGTCACCATCTTTTGCCTGGATTAATCCATTTTTCATTTAACCTGTCTCCTGCTTGCCTGTATCAATTATTCCATCCACTCATATATACACCACTCTCTCCACTTAGTGGCCACATATCCATTTTAAAAGGAAATTATGTTACTTTTCTATTAAAATCCCCAAATAGCTCCCCGGTTTTTTTTGTTTTTGTTTTTGTTTTTTTCAGAATAAAAGTAAAAACTCATACAAAGCTTGTAAGGCCCTTCATGACCCACCCTCAGCCGCATTTGTGACCTACTCTTTCCCCTGCTGACTCCACTTGAACATGACTTTCTTGCTCAATTCTTTGCACTTTTCGTTTCCTCTGCTTGGACCATGTTTTCCTTCATATATCGATATGGCTCTCTTTCCCCATTACTTTCAGCTTTCTTCTAAAACTCCACAGTCAATGAAGCCTTCCTTGCCCACTGTGTATAGAAGAGGAAATATTTTCATCTGATTGCCTGGTAGTACATACCATCACTTGACATAATAGAAATACATTTATTTGATTTTTTTGAATTCCCCCTCTACCACTAGGATTTAAGCTCCTTGAGGTCAAGAACTTCATGATTCTGCTCTCTGCTATGTTTACTAGTTCCTAGAATAGTGTCTGGCACACAGTAGGTGCCCAATAAATATAAATAAATAACTAATATTCTTTTAAAAACCCCAAATTAAAAAATAAGTTATAAAGCTGCGATTTCAACTGCATTAAAGAAAACAAAAGCACAACACTGCAAAACAATCATTTAAGCAAAAAGCTTCTCTTTAAATTGGTATTTTATAAAGGAAGTCTAAAATTACAACTATTTCTATTAATTCCTAAAATAAGACAAAAATACTTAATAAAGAACCAGAGTTATCAAAGTTAAGTTTTCTGATAGGTATCTAGATCCCTTAGAAAAAATATTTAGCATGAAAAAACAAGCAACCCCTTATTACTGCCAAGTTTTAAAAACAAAAAAGCAATTCAGTCTCTATCTCATGTCTACTCCTTATATCTACAAACTTAAAGTCAATAGAAAAATCATATTTGAGAACTGGTAAAAAATCTTTTCTAAATTAAAACTCTAAATTAATAGTAGCATTGAAAATAAACACCGACCCTTTTGCTCAGAACTTAAATCAGTTTGCCTTCCAGAAACAAGTCATCAGTGATAAAATCAGACAGTGGACCTGAAAGCAGCAGCCCGTATGACACTAGTTTGTTTTGAAAAGCAAGCCCATTGCCTTATCCTAGACTTGAACTCAGAGTGCTGTCTCTCATCCCCATCGGGGCACAGAGCTTCATCATCTCACAAGAGAAAGGAAAATGCAAAAAAGCAGGTGGCCCAGGGGATGACAACCAGTAAGGAAAGATGAAGCCAAGACAAAATTCACCCTATGAAACTGCCAAATGATGCAGTAAACCTATCTCCCATGAAAGGAACTGTAACAATAAGATGACCTTAGTCACTAGGTTAGGAAGGTAAGAAAAAAAAGCCTTTAGATTGCAAGAAAATTGATAAAAAGGGAACAGCTTAATTTTTTTCATGAGAAAACAGACACACATCCTAACCCTCTTGACTAAACAATTAACATTTTTAGGTGACCTAGAAATAAAGTATAATGTAAGGACTTATGTAAAGTCATTAGGTACAAATAACTCTCTGGAAAACATTTTTAAAATGCTCCAACACAAGGCATCAGGTAGTCATGACCTTGCTCTGCTCTCATCCAATTATGACAAACTGTTTAATATGAAAGCTATATTGAGACACCTAAATCCCCTAAACTCCTTGAAAAAAAAAGATGAATTTCAAAGTGGTAATTATCACTTATTCATAACTTGACAACAGTGTAAGCATCCCCCAAGTAGACAATCCAAGATTAAAATATAGGTATAATTCAACATTAATATGCAACTGACTTGGTTCTCAGTCCTTTGGTAACTTCCCAATTCATACTCTAGAGTACAGACCTTTTTAGCACGCCAGTTTGCAATGAACCAGCAATGTAAAACAGAATGGCCAACTGTTCCTCTGTTGGTAACAAATGTGCTAATATATACTAGTTTAAACTTGATCTATCAGTGAGTCAATGAACCGTGAAGGGTGGGGGTTAATCAGGGTGTTCTCCAAACAAAGGCTCATGAGAGCGGCAGGGACGCCACTCCCAGACTCACATCTGTGCTGTTTTGAGTGCAGCATGATGGAAATGGCATGGTGTTCATCAAAGTTAAGAGCCCAGAACCTTGTCATACTCTTGTGTATATTCACCACTATTTTACACAGAAAAGCAACCAAGTTGTTGCAAAGATAAAACCCAAACACAGGAAATAGAAACCTCAGTTAACCACAAGTCTCAGGAGCTATTAATATTAAACTATGCCCAGTTAATGTGTAACAGTGATGGTAAAAGCCTTTCCTACATAAGATTTGACAACTTTCCAGTAGAGGTCTGAGTTAGAGATATTTTATATTGGCAATTTATATTAAAATGCATCAATTTCACCTTATTATCCACAAAAGCTTATAGATGCAGATCTTTACATACACAGATGAAAATAATTTTAATGCCGTAAGTCAAAGTAAAAACAAAGCCATGTAACTTCTAAATTTACATGCAGCCCAGCAATGTAAACATATCTCTGTTTCTAATAGCTAAAACTGACTGAACAGTAATTAGCAGAATCACCTGCTGCCGGAATAATCACCTCAATACTTCAGAATTTAAATGATAAAAGAGCTAAGACTATTTAAATAGAGAGCAAGAGAACAGCGAAGAAGAAAAATTCAGCCAAATGTGTCATCCATATATCTTTATCATTTTTTATCCTGATATAATGAATTTTTACTCATTTTAGAAGATGCTATAGAGTAGACCTATTTAACTATATCACTTTTCCTAATTAAAAATCCAGACTAAAAAGAGATATACGTAACTGGCTTTAGGAAATTCTTTTTCCCTACTCTACATAGAAGTCAACCACAAAATTAGTTAAAATAATTAGCATTTAAATACAATTAACCTCATAAAAAATCCAATTCAAATGATAGTTGTATATTTAATCCTTCATGAACTAGAAAATTATAAAATTATTAGAGAACACTTTTATGAATATGTTTTACCTTAATGATTTTATCAATTAAAAAGCTTTTTCAAAGTATCCTTTCTGGATCATATGTAAGTAATTAGGTGTGGCTTTTAAGATAAATTTTTAGTTATTTGCAGGGCCTCCAAAAAAAATAATTTTTAGCATTCCAAGAACATATGTTCCATTATAAAGAGTCGTGAAAAGACTTGTGTACTATATGTTGAAGACCAATTAGAGAGTTTAAAATTTTTAATTAAAAATAAACTGTATATTTATCATGTACATCATGTTGTTTTGAAATATATATACATTGTGAAATGGCTAAATTGAGCCAATTTACATATGCATTATCTCACATACTTATCATTTTGTGGTATGAACAGAAAATCTACTCTTAACAATTTTCAAGTATACTTTATAATTAACTATACTCACCATGGTATACAATAGACCTCTTGAACTTCTTCCTCCTATCTAACTGAAATCCTGTATCCCGTGACCAACATCTCCTTGATCCCTCAGCCTATCGCATACCCCTGGTCACTACCATTCTATTCTACTTCCTTGAGTTCAACTTTTAAAATTCCACATATAGGAAAGATCATGTGGTATTTTTCTTTTGGTGGCTGGCTTATTACACTCAGCTAATGTCCTCCAGGTTCAACCACGTTGTGGCAAATGACAGGATTTCCTTCTCTTCAAAGGCTGAATGGTATCCCATTGTGTATACACACCATATTTTCTTTATCACTTGTCCATTGATAGATACTCAGATTGATCCCTTATCTTGGCTATTGGGAACAATGCTGCAATAATCACTAAAATACAGTTCTCTTCAATATACTGATTTCCTTTGGATATATTCCCAGTCGTGGAATTGCTGGATCATATGGTAGTTCTACTTTAAACTGTTTGAGGAACCTCCATTCTCTTTTCCATCACAGCTATACTAATTTACACTGTCACTAACAGTGGGCTAGAGTTCCTTTTTCTCCACACCCCACCAATACTTATCTTTTATCTTTCTGATAACAGCCATTCTAACAAGTGTGAGGCGATATCTCACTGTGGTTTTAATTTGCATTTCCCTGATTGTTAGTGATGCTGAGTATTTTTTCATGTTGTCCATTGGTATGTCTTCTTTCGAGAAATGTCTATTCAGATCCTTTGCTCATTTTTTATTCATGTTATTTGTTTTCTTGCTATTGAGTTGTTGCAGTTCTTTATATACCTTGGATATTAACCCTCTGTCAGATGTGTGGCTTAGAAATATTTTCTCCCATTCCATAGGTTGTCTCTTCACTCAACTGACTGTTCCCTTTGCTGTGAAGAGCTTTTGGGTTTGATGTAATCCAACGTACCTATTTTTGCTTTTGTTGCCTGTTCAAGTTCACATCTTAAAAATGATTGCCAGACTTAAATATAAATATTTCTATTGGTGTATCCTTTCTACCATATTAAGAACTGTGGCTCCCAACAACAAGGCATCTGCCCATTTGCCCAATTGTATGATGTATAAAAACTACTTTCAGAAAAGTGGCAGCCAAACCACTAAGAAAAGTAAACTTGCTGAAATGAGTTCAAGATTTATTGGCAGCTCTTTTTTTGGCCCCTAGACTGAAAGTATATATTTCAAGTACTGTGTTCAAAAGTTACTTGGGTTAGCTTTTTCCACCTTTCATAATAGTAATATTATTGCCAGACCAATGGCATGAAGTATTCAACGTCATGAAGCTTTACGCCTATGTTTTCTTTCTAGGAAGAAAGGATACACAAGTAAAAATCTTCATATTTAAGTCTTTAATTCATTTTGTTCCAGTCTATCTGGGACAAAGATGGACTTTTCAATAACTTGTTTTGGGACAACTGGGTAACAACTATTTGGGAAAAAATAGGATCAATACCTTCTACCATACAAAAAATAAACTCCAAATGGACTAGAGATCTAAAATTCAACTATGCAAGTACTAGAAGAAAACATGGGTGAATTTATCTATAAGTTGAGTGTAAAGAAAGTCTTACTACAATGCAAAAGCCAGAGCCAATAAAGAAAAAGTGTGTAAATTTAACTCCACAAAAGGTATGTATGTATGTATGTATTTAGAGAAATGGTCTCACTCTGTTGCCTAGGCTGGAGTGCAATGGCACAATCACTGCTCACTGCAGCCTTGACCTCCCCAGGCTCATGTGACCAGCCCGAGTAACTGGGACTACTGGTGCATGCTACCACACCCAGCTAATTTTTTTTTTTTTCTTTTTTGGTAGAGAGAGGTTTTTCCCATGTTGCCCAGGCTGGTCTGTCCAGTTCCTGGGCGCAAATGATTCAACCACCTTGACCTCCCATAGTGCTGAGATTACAGGAATGAGCCACTGCACCTGGCCCATAATGGTTTTGTTTATATATTTATTTAATTTTGAGACAGAGTCTCACTCTGTTGCCCACTCTGGAGTGCAGTGGCACGATCTTGACTCACTGCAACCTCCACCTGCTGGGTTCAAGTGATTCTCATGCCTCAGCCTCCTGAGTAGCTGGGATCACAAGCATGTGCCACCAAGCCCAGCTAATGTTCTTCTATTTTTAGTAGAGACAGGGTTTCACTGTGTTGGTCAGGCTGGTCTGGAACTCCTGGCCTTAAATGAGCTGCCCACCTCAGCCTTCCAAAGTGCTGGAATTACAGGTGTGAGCCACTGCACCTGGGCCCATAAAAGGTTTTAATTAAAAACTTTTCATGAAAAAAAAATCGTTATAAGAGAAAAGTTATATATTGGGAGAAAAATATTTGTAACATATCAAATAAAATGGCTAATATTCCTGAAATATAAAGAACTTGTCAGAATTGAGGAGGAAAAAAAACCAAAAGTATTATGGAATATGGGAAAATAATATGAAGATAATTCACAAGATATTAAGAATAGCCCTGAGACTAGCCGAACTTGAAAAGATGCTGAACTTTAATGTATTAAAACTATATTGATATACCATTGTTTACCTATCGCATTGGAAAAATTCTAAAACATAAAAGTACTTAAAACATACAATCTGTTGGTGAGGCTTTGAAGTAATGGACGCTGTTATACGTTGCTGGTAAATATTTTAAAAATGATATAAACCCCATGGAAAGGAATTTATCAATATCTAACAAAACTACACATGTGCTTAACCTTTAACCCAGAAATCTATGTCTAGAAATTTACCAAGGTACGATATGCACAAAGTTTACTGCAGCATTATTAGTAATTGCAGATACTAGAAACAGTCAAAATGTCCACACATGGGGAAGTGAATAAAATATGGTACAGACAACACAATGAAGTCTTATACAGCTATTAAAAAATATAAGGAAGCTCTCTGTGACACGATATGGAGTGATTTCCAGTATATGCTGTTAAGTTTAAAAGGAAAGTGGCAAAGTACATACTGAACGTTACTTTCTGTGTAAAAAAGTATAAAAATTTAAAAAACATACATATATGAGGTAACTTTTCAAATAGGAATATAAGTAAGATAAACTAGAAACCAGTGCAATCGGTTACCTATAAGGGGTAAGAGAGATGAGGTGGAAATGATACAGGAAGGAGTGTTTTCTTCTTTTGGAAACATGTTAATGTCCTACATATTAAATATATATAATGAAATTAATGAAGATAGAGAGAAAAAAACTGAATATAGAAACAAAGCCAACTGTATTTCAAGTAAATAATATTACTATTATGAAAGGTGGAAAAAGCTAACCCAAATAATTTTTGAACACAATACTTGAAATATATACTTTCAGTCTAGGGGCCAAAAAAAGAGCTGCCAATAAATCTTGAACTCATTTCAGCAAGTTTATTTTTCTTAGTGGTTTGGCTGCCACTTTTCTCAAAGTAGTTTTTATACATCATACGATTGGGCAAATGGGCACATGCCTTGTTGTTGGGAGCCACAGTTCTTAATATGGAAGAAAGGATACACAAATACAAAGGAGAGACACAGGGAAGAATCTTGTAGGATTGGATAGATCCTAGCAAGATCAATATAAACTTATGATTTCTAATAAATATGTCCTAACTCCGTCAGCTACAAGAGTCTACAAGGTATGACCTCCTAACCACTAGGAGTATATTTAGCTCCCAGATGTTGGTTTCCCAATACTGTTCCCCACCAAAATAAACAAGAGTTTCTTAGAGAAATGGCTGATTCCTGGGCTGGGGCAAGGAAGGTGTGAGATAAACCTAGAATATTCTGTTGTGCCGAAAAGTGAGATGTGCCAAATTGATGGAAACAGGTTGAAAAGCCACATTAGAGAGTTTTAAGAAGTTTCTTAAAATGTCTTCACCTCTATATCTCAAAGGAAACTCAATTTCAACTTGTATAAAGGGAAGACTTCTTTATCTTTCTCCCTCCCTACACCTTCTCCTTTATTTCAGTTCCAAGCACTTACATCCACCAGTACAAGAAATCTGAATCATCTTTCTCTTTCTCTCTCTTGACTCAGCTGATTTAATGTTATAAACATTTTAAATGTTTCTCTCATCTCCTGGGTCTGACAGCTCTAAAATTGCCAGATCAATTTCAACTGTTACTTACAGACATGTTAGCAACATGAGAATGGTATCAACTATATAACTAATATGAGCAAAGTTTATTGTTTTAACCAGAAGTCAAATATAGAGCAGTATTTTAGAACCAGCCCTCAAACACAGAGAACACAGATTACATAAGTATTAACTATAAAATATTTTATTGGCACCTATCACTTTTTGAGTATTTATATATTTGACGCCCAGTTACATATACAACCAAGGTAGGCATCATAAGGATAGCACAATCTGAATGGCATATCAAAGACAGCAACTAATATGCTTCACTGGATTTAAAATTAGATTCTCTCTGCAGCAACATTACAGGCTATGGAGTACGCCTCCTAACTTTTCAAGTGTCAGGAGAGCATGGTGGGTTAAGAACATGGACTGTGGGGACAGACTGCCTGAGTTTGAATCCCAATTTCACAACTTTATAGCTGCATGACCTTATCTGTAAAATGTAATCATAGTTTCTTGTCTCAGGGATGTTGTGAAAATTAACATCTGTTGGTAATGTGAAACACAGTACATTCCATGACACACCAAGAAATCATGATGATGATGATGACGGTGATAATGATGAATTCTATTAGTATAATGGCAATCTCTCTCACCCTCTCCTCTGGAAAGACAATGCTTAATCTTGGTCTCAAAGGGCTAAAGAGTTTGGGGCTATGGATTCTATAGAAGCTCAATACATACCTGGAGAGCTATACAATAATAGTAAGAGTTACCCTTTATTGAGTACCTGCTGCTTTGCATACATTACACATTTAAGCATCTCAGTAACCTAGCTAGATTGGCATTATCAACTTCCCTTTACAGATAGGAGACCATAGAAGACATAAAGACCCCAAGTAAGTGGTAAAGCTAGGGACCAAACCCAGATTATCCATATAAAAATTCTATCAGTCACAATGACTAATTGATTAATCTGAATGATGTGTTTTCCATTCAAGTAAAAAGAGATAAATAGAGGACCCATCCATGCTATCTAGCGTGATCATCCTTCCCACATATCTGGTGGGACAAGGATAAGTAAGTCACCTCATTTCTGACAGATTTACTAATATCCGTGGTAAACAGTTTAAAGAGCTTCAAAATAAACATTTGTGGAGTTAGGACTTGAAAGTCTTTTGATTCTGTATGTACTGCAAAATGAAAATTTTTATTTTTGAAAAGATAGACAATTCAGAAGTATATAAAGAATTCCATCATTTCCTTTTGGAAAAAAAAAAAAAACTAAAACACCACTGGTAAAAGTTGGGCATTAGACTGCCTAGAGCTTACCTATTCTGCTCCAAACTTGGAGAACAGGAAAGTTCTGTTCCCTTAGATTTCAAAGGACCCTCTCTTTTGCCAATATAAAGGGTTCACAGCTTGATGGCTTTCCTTGCTAACCAAATTTATCAGTTTCTCATCTACAAATCCCTCAACCTGCATAGCCCATTGATGGACTCCTTTCCAGTGTTGCGACATTTTTAATATACTTGACAATAATATACTTAGTCCCAAATACACAGCATAGTCAGTTATACCCTGCCTTTCCAGAAAACACTACTAAAAAAAAAAAAAAAAAGAATGTATTTTTGAATCAGAAGGCCTGGATAGGAATCTTGTTCTACCACTTTATAAGCACCTTACCCAAAGCAAGTCAACCAATCTCTCAGAGTGCTGATTCCTTAGCCATCTGTGAGGATTAAAAAATATTGACCACAATAAAAGTGCTGTGATAAGGATTAAATGAGTTGGTTTATAACAGAAGCAACTAGAATAATGCCTACCACATAATAGATAAGGAGAATACTCAGTTCACTTCACCAACATTTACTGAGCTATGCAGTGTGCCAAGTGTTAGAAATAAAAAATAAAATTTATTGAACACTTATTATATGTGAAACTCTGTTTCAAGTACTTACTAATCTCTGTGCTAAGAAGAGTTACAGTCTTCTTACAGTAGAAGTATCCCCTTTGTGAGCCCACAGTTAGCATTAAGTGATGATGTTTTCTATCAGAGTATCAGCAGTGCCAGGAACATATAAAAGAGTAAGTGCCTGGTTTGCTCAGGTACAGTTAGTTTTGCAGAGGATCACCTGGTTTGTATCAGACCTTGAACTTCAAACCAGATTTCACTAGGCAAACAAGAGATGGGGGGCATTCTAGACAGAGGGAAGTCCCTAGCTCTGTCACGTAATTAGCAAGTGGGAAGGCAATGACACAAAAGAGAACACAGCTTGGCATCAGATGCTATGAAGGGCCCAGGAACCTGACCACACACACAGGCTTCGCCTTTGCCTATCTCTGCTCCTTCCACTGAAAAAATAACAAAGGTGTGAAACTAGTAAAAACAGAAAGTGAACTTCTTCAAAATATATAATTTTACACCTAATGTATTTTTTTCAAAAAATATAGTAAAAAACGGTGCTTTTGCTTTAAAGATGATCGACAAGGAGAAAAAAATGGTTGATTTGAAAACTATTACCAGAATGCTTCAGCACATAGCTGCTGCAAATATCCATCTACCTGCCTCAAACAACAAATATATTCATACACAATTATAACAAAATTCCTGGAGTTACATATAATATCTGTATAAATACCACACAATTTTATTATCATTAATGATAGTCTAATGAATGCTGGGGGCTTAATGATTTGTTGCCTAATTTAAAGTATTATGTATTTCCTATTTATTCATACTGTGAGAGTAGAACTTTATTACTTTTTACATCATTTATTTTCAGTGACAGAAGTTATTAAGTGATAATCCATTATACTCTCATCTAAGGATTGAGTCAATGTTTTATCTAATTCTGTAGATTTACAGAATTTGTGTTTTGCTTAGGAAACCCTGCTAAACATAAAGCCTGGTAATCTGTCACAAATCAGTGTGTTTATATGTGTTTTTAAAATTCCTTTAACAAAAAGAAATGTCTGCCATTTTTTTTTTCATAGTGCACACCCAATTCAGGCCAAGACATTTGAGAAATCTCAATAATAGCAACAGTCATGAGGAAACTTTTTTAAGTATTGAGAAATTATGAATGCTGACCCTACGGGTTGCCCTGCTTCAAGAGTTTGGAGTTCTGAATCATCATGATTAGAAAAGAACACTAGAGCGGGACAACTTTCAAACAAGATGATATGGATACTTTCTAGCAGGTGTATGAAGTCCTTGTTTTTACAGTAGAGTCTAAATCTACTATAAATCTAAACACAGTAAATAAAGTATACTTAATAGGTATTGTAGAGTAACTGATGACCTGCTAGAATGACACATCAGTTAAGGGTTCCTGCTCCAGATTCAGACATGTACAGATTTATTCCCAGCTCCTCCTCTACCATCTACCGGTTGTTTAACCTTGTTAACTGATTTTTACATTATGTAAGCCTTAGTTTTTTCATTTATAAACTAAGAGATGATAATGATAATAAAATTCACTTAATTATACTATTTTCTAAGTCATGCATTGTTTTCATTCTTCAAACCTCACAGCAAAACTCATAATTTTATTTCCCTTCTTACATGAAAACATATTTGTAGTTCTTGATGCTATTATTATGAAGATTTAATGAGATAATTCATAAAAGTTGCTATCAAAAAATGGAACCTACTAAATGCTTAATAAACATCAGCTATTATCATTAGGATTTACATTTTTATAATAATGACTTTAGTAAAGGAAGACATGTTAACTTATTTAACAGCATGAAAACAATTCAACATTTTACTGAAAATGTTTAGAGAATCTTCAATTAGCATTTTGAATATAATCACATAAGATCTGACAAAGTTTATCTAAATTGTTTCTCCGAAGAAGTTTTGTTACACAAAGCACAGTCAAAAGGGCTTCTTCCTAGCAAAAGAATTTGAAATATATCAGAAATAAGATGACAATGAATATACTTCTTAACTCTTATTCTCAGGATACTCTGTCAATGACTAAAGCAGAAATATAATTTTCTTGTATAAGACACCAATTACTTGTTTTTAGTATAATTATGACCAATTACATGTAAAAATATAACCCTCTCTTAGAATAAAAATGCCACCAGGGCCCGTGAGAAGCCCTAGGGAAGACTGCCTGATGTTACTTATCCCAAGTATAAATAGAATGAATCACTTCTGAAGAGCTAATTGCTTTTAGCTGAAAGGGTAGAGGTTATGAGCTAGGGCTGTTGATGGACAAAGAGAAACACTGCAGGAACCTTTGCCATGTCTGTCAACCTTTTCCAAGCATCCCATAAACCAGTCATACAGTAAAACTCTTGGAAAATAAGTGAGAATTTTACATGAATCAGGAATGGGTATTGCTTAACTTTTAATAATATTTAATAAGAATATAGCATGTTCTGTCACCTATAATTAATCCCTGGAAAGGTTTCTTTGGTTAAGTGTGGCATTCAGGGTTCTACATAAGTTCATTCAATCAAACTGTGCTGATGAGATCTTGGCTGTCCATGGTACTTGGTCCTGGCAACACATTAGAATCCCTGGAGAGACTTTTAAAGAAAGCCCATGCCTGGAACCCACTGAGACTTATTTTATCAGAACCTCTCAATCCTCGGACTCAGGAATAAGTCCTAAGAAGGATGAAATTCTAAAAAGTGATATTCATGTGTACATATGTCATAACATAAATGCTATCCTTTTTTAATAGCACCCTATTTATATTTTCAATTTCTCTTTTTTGATCATTTTTCACATACTTATTTGACATTCTCTGCTTGCTTTATTATGTGGAGGTCTTGGCAGTCTAATGATAGTTTGTTATGTCTGCAGACTCCTACAGTGAATTTTTCCCACCACTACTTACTAGAGTAGAAAGGGTTCAAATCTCAAACTAACATGCTATCAGTCCAAGATAAATAGTAGTTTTTCCTATTCTTTTATTGAGCAAATTTTACATAATACCTATGTTTTCATACATTTATATTTTCAGTTACAATTCTGATAAAATTAGGAGTTTGGTTTAAAAAGATTTTCTTTTGTTAACAATCCTTTAAAGACTTAACCAGTGCCACTAGTCTTTCAGAATTTAATACAAACTAGTTTTTTTCTCCTTCTTTTTTCCAACATAGCTGACCACAGACCTTGGATGCCAGCTCTTCTTAGAAAGAAGATCAAAGTTACTGTCAAATGGACAAGTTTCTAATGGAAAACTGGGGAAAGAGAGCCAGGACCTTTTGGAGTGCCCATGGGAAGAAGCTGGGGTGCAGAAAGGAAAAGTAGCTAGAGTCTGGCAGAGATCAACCCCCAAAGAATTCAAGGCCCCACCCTTGTGACCCAGGGCAATGTTATTGGTGGTAATTTAGGAATTTCCCAGGGATAGAGAACTGGGTGGCCAGCTCCTGCAGGGGTTCCCATACTCCCCTCAGACACAAACTGAGATGGTGGTCACCATATTGCTTGTGCACCAGTGGTGGGCCTCTGCTCTGCCCAGGGATTCTCTACCCTTGAGTCTCTGTAGCACCAGATCCCCAGCAAACATACCTCATAACCTGTTCTGACTTTGAAAAGCCCAGGGGGCCAGCAAGTTCCCAGGGAGCTATGGAACCTCTAGAGATCTAACCCCCCTAGTGTAGGCCACCTATAAGGGAGAGGGACACAACTTGCCAAAACCCCTTTGGGACAAAGGAAAGGTGGGCACAGTGCCAATCGCTAAAGGGGGCAACACCATGTCAAGGAACGGATATGGAGAGGGGGTCATCTGTGGCAATACCCTCCCACCCCACACGCTGTTGAAGACGCAGCAGTGGTTCTTCCCACTGGGGGCCAGCACAGGTACTCGAAGAAAGAGTTTTTCATGGTTTTCAAGATGGCTCCACCCCTGCTGAAAGTGAGAATGCCACTTAGGCTTACATAAAGGGTGGGGCCCAACTCCCCATCCCTACACAGAGCAGCAGTGTCCCAGCAATGGAGGACATACAAGTCATGGAGTTGTCTGCCCTAGACTGGGGGAAGAGGCTCTGCCCCAAGACCATTTTGGTGGTTGCCTTCAGAGGGGCATATGCATAACCTACAGACAGACTATGGCTGGGAACCCAAGGAAAAAATCTTTATGAACTGAAGGTCATGAGCCCTCTGATGGGGTATGATAGAAAAGCAGATCACATTCCTGCATGAGGAGCTAGTGCACCTCCCCCTATCTCCCCCCAACCAGCGACCCCAAAGGCCTCGGCACACACCAACAGAATCTCTTCCTGTCACTCCCCTGTCAGGACAGGTGCTTCTACTGGACATCAGCCTAACTGAGGGCAAGCTGGTTCTTATTTTTTAAGTGCCATCTACTGGATTGCAGCCTGAACTGTACTATCAAATAAAAAGCCCACTACCAGAAAGGCTTAGCACTACTCCACAAAATAAGCTTCCTGAGACTTCTGCACCCTCAGCCCCACATGAGATAGAGTGTCAGCTCACAAATCCAATACATTGCTACAATAAGCAGCATTTAAGAAAGCTACCACGCCCAAGGAATCCATAAAGAGCCTTGGCCCCCTGAAAGCACCCAGAAACAAAGTTGAATGATCACACACAACATACACCATAGTCATACCCTCAAGGGGAAAAAAAAAAAAAGTTTAAGTCCCGCCCAACCAATAGGAAATTCAAAAATAAGAATCAACAGCTCCCTCAGATAAGAAGGAATCTGCCCAAGAACTCCAACACTACAAAAAGAGTGTCTTCATACCTCCAAAGAATTGCACTAGCTCTATAGCAATGGATCCTAACCAAGTTGAAAACTTTGAAATGACAGACTAAAAAAACAAAATATGTATTGCAAGGAAACTCAGTGAGAGCCAAGAGAAATTTAAAATCCATTTCAAATAAACCAGAAACACAATGCAGGATATGAAACATGAGATAGCCATATTAAGATAAAACCAAATAGAACTTTTGGAATTGAAAAATTCACTAAAGGGAACATCAAAATACACTTGGAAGCAGGCCAGGCATGGTGGCTCACACCTGTAATCACAGCACTTTGGGAGGCCAAGATGGGTAAATCACCTGAGTTCAGGAGTTCGAGACCAGCTCAGCCAACATGGCAAAACCTTGTCTCTACTAAAAAATACAAAAATTAGTCGGGGGTGGTGGCACTCGCCCGTAATCCCAGCTACTCCAGAAGGTGAGGCAGGAGAATCGCTTGAACCCAGGAGGCAGAGGTTGCAGTGAGTCAAGATCATGCCACTGCACTCCAGCCTAGGCAACAGAGTGAGACTCCATCTCAAAACAAAACAAAACAAAACAAAACAACACTTGGAAGTTTTAACAACAGACTACACCAAGCAGAAGACAAGATTTCAGAGCTTGAAGACCACCTTTTCAAATTAACCCAGTTAGACAAACATAAAGAATCTGAAAAATGAACAAAGCCTTTGATAAATATGGGATTATGTAAAGCAACCAAACCTATGACTTACTGGCATTCTTGATGGAGAAGAGGAAGAAGTAAGCAAATTGGAAAACATATTTGAGGCAATAATTCAGGAAAATTTCCCTAATCTTGCCAGAGAGGTTAACATCCAGATACAAGAAATTCAGAAAACACCTGCAAGATACAAGATGACCATCCCCAAGGAATATAGTCCATCAGACTATGCAAGGTCAACACCAAAGAAAAAATATGAAAGGCATCTAGAGAAAAGGGCCAAATTACCTATAAAGGAAATCCAATCAGACTAATAGAGGACTTCTCAGCAGAAACCTTACAAGCAAGAAGAGATCAGGGGCCTACTTTTAGCCTCCTTAAAGAAAAAAGAAAATGCCAGCCAAGAATTTCATAATCTGCCAAATTAAGCTTCATAAATGAAGGAGAAATAAAGTCTTTCCCAGGCAAGAAAACACTAAGGGAATTTGTTACCACCACACCTGCCATACAAGAAATACTCCAAGGAGTTCTAAACATGGAAACAAAAGAACAATACTTGCTACCATATAAGCACACAAAAGTACAAGGCTCAGAGATCTTATAGAGCAATTACACAATTCAAACTAGAAAGCAACTACTTAACAATACACAAATATCAAATGTATAGGAACAAAACCTCAAATATCAATATTAACTTAGAACATAAATGGCCTAAATGCTCCACTTAAAGGACATAAAGTGGCAAATTAGATTTTTTAAATGACCTAACCTTCTGCTGAATTCAAGAGACCCATCTCACATGTAATGACAACCATGGGCTCAAAGTGAAGGGATGGAGAAAGATCTAGCATGCAAATAGAAAATTAAAAAAGAACAGATGTTGCTATACTTGTATGAGAAGAAACAGACATTAAACCAACAACATCAAAAAGAGACAAAGGAGGGCATTATATAAAGGGTTCAATTCAACCAGAAGATTTAACTATCCTAAATAAATATGCACTCAATGTTGGAGCACCCAGGTTCATAAAACAAATACTACTAGACCTATGGGGAAAAAAAGCTATACAATAATAGTGGGGGACTTCAACACCCCACTCACAGCACCAGACAGATCACCATGGCAGAAAACTAACAAAGGTATACACTGGACTTAAATCAGACTCTTGACCAAATGGACCTGACAGACATCTGCAGAATATTCCACCCAACAACACAAAATATACATTTTTCACATCTGTACATGGAACATTCTCTAAAATTGACCACATAGTCGTAAGTCACATCTCAATAAGATAAAAAAAATCAAAATCAATGCAAGTGTCTTCTGAGGTCACAATGAAATAAAATTAGAAATGAAGAACAAGAGGAATTCTCAAAACGACACAAATACATGGAAACTAAACAACCTGCACCTGAATTCTGAAAAAACAAAATTAATGCATAAATCAAAAAAATTGAAACATGAAAATTGAAACACAACATACCAAAACCCCTGGGATAGGCACTTTAATGAATACCAGAACTACATGGACCTGCAATTGAAAGAAGATTCTTAAAGAAAAAACTTCTTGAGATATTAGTTTTAAGAGAAGTGCCAGCCAGGTGCGGTGGCTAACACCTGTAATCCCAGCACTTTGGGAGGCCAAGGTGGGCAGATTGCCTGAGCTCAGGAGTTCAAGACCAGCCTGGCCAACATGGCGAAACCCCATCTCTACTAAGTAATACAAAAATTAGCCAGGCGTAGTGGCGGGTGCCTGTAATCCCAGCTACTCGGGAGGCTGAGGCAGGGAGAATTGCTCAAACCCGGGAGGCAAAGGGTGCAGTGAGCCAAGATCACGCCACTGTACTCCAGCCAGGGTGACAGAGTGAGACTCCATTTAAAAATAAAAAATAAACAAAATTTTTTAAAAGTGCCAGTGTAACACAAGAATTGGTAGAGAGCTTTGGAGCCTCAACCATTCATTTGTGTCTGATGAAGATAGCCAAGAACTGTCTTTGTGGGGAGTAGGATAAGGAGTTGGCATCTCCTACAGGCCTCCCTGAGTCCACTTTGGTGCAGAGATGGAGCAGTAATGTATCAGTCAGTCTTGGTTAGGTTTCTTCACTCTCATTAGAGGATTTTAACAGTTTGTTTGTATGAGTTGATTTTAAAAGTCAATCTATTTGCTTTTAATCAGCAAAATCACTCTGTACTCAAAGACCATGCCAGAGAATGACTCCCTGAGTGCCTCCAGCTCTTATCAAAATCAAAGTTTCAAAAAGTAACATTTTCAGAGGATGGTAGACTAAAGGATATGTAGTTTATTCATCTCTGTAATTTGTCTAGATTTTAACCCTAGATCAAACAAAAACATCACTCATTAAGCTGAATAAATATTTGGACATTGTTTTTTGTTGTTGTTTTTGTTTTTGACAAGTCCCTCTACTCCTATAAAATTGCTTTTACTGAATTGAGCTTTGTTGTGATGTCCTCTGCTTCTTACTTTCTCTTGGTTTTATGGCTGAGATATATTGAGGAAGTTGCCTCAGTGTAGCCCTTCATAAGCCCCATGGGAGAAGAGTTCCTCAGACCTTAAGCGCAAGAATGAGCTTTGACTCTCCTAATTAAATGACATATCCTTATTTTATAGACAAGACCATGCAAGTTTTATGTATTCCTGGTCATGTTAATCAATTTACTTCCACTGAAATTATTAATTTTCATTTTTACTTTTTAAATCACTTGACATAAATTTCAAATAACACTGTAAAGGATTCACTATTAAAGTGCTTTTATTTAATTATACATATTCTCTATGTTTCCAGAGAGATAAACTAAACTACAGCCTCTGTGGGTTCTTGTCTTCTTGAAATAACCAAGTCTTCTTGGAAGTCCCAAAGGGGCTAGCAGGGAAGCATGGAGCCACTTAGTAAGAGGGTCTTCCAATTTTAATGTAATGTCACTTCAGCTCATCTCGCATGAGCATAGCTTTATTGGCTGGCTGCCTTTGATCAACTTGGGTCCTCATGGTTTTCTTCATCAATGATGCTGGAACTGGAAATTTCTAACATGCCTCTGTGACTGCTCTTTGTCTAGCACCCATTTCTATCCTGTGCCATCTAACCCTAAACTGTGCCATCAACTATACAAGCTGCCTCTACTCTGATCTGACTGATGCAGCAAACAAGAAGAAATGAATTAACAGAAAAACAAGCAAGATTCATAAATCTAAGACAAAAAAAATAAATCCTAAGATCATATTTTAACTAGATAACTTCTAGAAATCCAAATTGCATTATATTTGTACTTATGAATTGCATTATATTTGTACTTATGAATTTTATTTAGTATGCAAAATATGAAAATGTCATTTAGAAATTTCAGATACACTGAATTCATTAAGAGATATATCCTAATAAACATGTTCTCTTTTCTCTGGAAATTAACCTTTAGAAAAAGCTACTGTGAAATAGGTAATTCTCAATTACCAGAGTATAAAGCATGGCCTCTTAAGATTATTCAAAAAAATCTTATTTTCAGGCCACAGAGTACAAATACACACTTGCCATCAATGTGTGAGTGGAAGGAGAATACATTCTTATATAGTTCAAAAAAGACATTAATAGAAAAATAAATACGCTTCTAAAAACAACTCTCAGGTGAACTAAATTATTTAAGTATTTTATTTCAGATTATTGAAGCTTCTTCATGAAAATAGTCATTCAAGAGTTACTTCCTAACTCATTCTATGAGGCCAGTATTACCCTGATGCCAAAGTCAGACAAACAGTACAGAAAAACTACAGAACAATATGTTTTATGAATATTGATGCAAACATACTCAACAAAATATTAACAAACCAAATTCAATAGCATCTTTAAAAGATTATACACCATGGCCATTGGGGAGTTATTCCTGGAATGCAAGGATGTTAAACATATGAAAATCAATTAATATAAGATACCACATTAACAGGATGTAGGGAAAAATATGATTATCTCAATTAATGTAGAAAAAGTATTTAGCAAATTTCAACACTTTCTCACGACAAAAACTAGGAACAGAAGGAAACTATCTCAACATCACTAAAGTTGTTTTTACTCAAAACATGTCTAGATTAATCATGTATATCAAGGAAACTGGGCTGATTAAAATTTCCCATGAGGAGTACTTACCTGCCAATATTTTCTTGAACTGTCTAAACCATATGTCACAGTGGTCTTCACTTAAATTAATAAGATCAAGTGTAGAATTCTTTAGTTTATTTTGTTCCTTTTTCAAGCAGATGAAGAGTGTGATACCTAATAAAGTACCACTTCTCTGCTGTTTAACAGAACAACGCCGTTTCAGTTTCACAGAGAATATGTCTTTGAGTTCAATAAATTCTTCTTTACATAGCAAGTCATACTTAGAATCACCTGAAAAAAAAATAAATTTTCCAATTAAAACCATTGTGTTTCATAGAGAGGAACAACAGACACTGGGGCTTACCAGAGGGTAGAAAGTGAGCAAAGGGAGAGGATCAAGAAAAATAACTAATGGGTACTGGGCTTAATACCTGGGTGATGAAATAATCTGTACAACAAACCCCCATGACACAAATGTACCTATATAACAAACCTGCACGTGTACCCCAGAACCTAAAAGTTAAAAAATAAAATGAATTACTAGTAAGAAATAAAAATTGTGACCATATCTTAAATGTATGAATAATAGTTAAAACCAAAAAAATTCATCATTTGTAATTTTATGGATTGCCCTTTATGCCAGTCCCTACGTGAGATGGAAAGGGGAAGAAAAGAAAAATTGGGTTTATTTTGTCAAGAATTAGATTAAAAATAGAATAAATGGAAGAGAGTCCCTGCCACACAGGCCTACAACATTCGACATCTGAGGATAGTCAATGTATGAAGAATTCCAAGAACATAAACAAAGCGACATTTTAGTAATAAATTGGTGTCACATAAGGAGCTCTTTGGTACTAAGGATAGAGTAAAGTAACAGAAAAAATAGAATTCACTAACAGAAGTGACTTTATGACAAATTGTTGAAGGCAGCCTTAACGAAAAGGAAATATACATTCCCATTAAAGTAACACATGCAAAGAGGAAGCAGAAGTACAATTATTGTGAGTAGGAAACATTATAAACTCTGTCAATCTAGGAGGAAATAGCCCCCTGAATTTAACCATAATCAGACTTAAAAAAAAATAGTGGCATAAAATTTTCATGACTTATCTTTAAACCATAGGTCAGAAAATAATTATTGTGGAAAAGACCATTTCAATTGACTCTCAAAGTAGAAGTGTTTTAGACCTTAAAAAAAGACTTCCAAAACTTCTGCTTTGGCCAATGTGGAATAATAAGAAACTAGTTTTACCTTTCACCTAAAACTACAAAAGCACACAAGATACGTGAAACAGTAGTTTTCAGACATTGGACATCAGGTAACACAGGACAGTGAAGCCGAAGAGGAGGAAAACAAAGTGGACCCTACGACCGCCCCAACCTATTGCCTGCAGAGAATCTCCAGGTCACAGGGCAGATACAGGAATCCTGGTGGGGCCTGGTGATCTCCCTGAGTTAAGGAGAACTGGGGGTTCAGGAAGGCTAAGGGGACTAGAGTTCACTGTGCAATTTACTACAGAAGAGAAAGCTGAACAGTGAACACTGTAGATTTGCAGAGGTCCCCTTGAGACTTTAGCTGAAAGTATTGATCAGCAGATGTACAAAGCCAGATAAGAACTACTAGAAGAATTAACAGTACAATGCTTAGAGATGACACAGGTGTTCCTACCAGCTGAAGTGGAAAAACATGGAAATTCATATGACATTATGGTAAGTATTTAGAAGAGTATTGGTCCTTAGTGAGCTGGCTAAAGACTGCTGTGATTCCACCTAACAAAACTTAAAAGCAAGCCTCTCAAAAGGATGTCACTTTTTCCAGGTAACTTAACTACATCCTAGAACAATGCCAAAAAAATATTTACAGGAATAGAAAAAAAATTCAGCCATCCTGCACAGTAAAATTCACAATGTCACTCATCTAATCCAAAATCACTAGACAAGCAAAGAAGCAGAAAACATATGAACCAAAATAGGAGAAAAAGTAATCAGTAGAAATACATGCAGAAATGACTCGAGTGCTAAAAGTAACAGAAAGCAGAGACCCTCTCTCAGCTTTTTAGTCCTTGAAGTATGAACAATGTTATCCTCCGATTGGAGTGAGGATGTTCATATGCTCACTAAGAAGTTCCTTGCTTGCATTCTCAGGGGCATTTTTGGCCTCTCCCAACTATTCTGCAAGCTATAGTCTGATTGCTCACAAAGTATACATACCACTAAAAAAAAGAAAGCATGGAAGGAATGAAAGAGAGAAGGCAAGTAAAAGGGAAATTAAAAAAAGGAAGAGTGAAAAAGAAAGAGAAAGAAAGAAAAAGACAGAAGGAAAGGAAAGGCAAGACAGAGAGAAGGGGACAAGGAGAAGGAGACAGACGGAGAGGAGGGAAGACAGGAAGGAAAGAAGAAAAAGGAAAGAAAGGAAAAGAAAGACAGGAAGGAAAGGAAGGAAGGGAGGATGGAAGACAAGGAGGAAGACAGGGAGTGGGGGGTGGGAGGAAGACAGGGAGGGAGGGGGAGGGGGACAGAGAAGGAGGGGAAAGGTTGGGAGGGGTTAGGGAGAGGAGGGGGAGGGAGAAGAGGGGGAGGGAGAGGAGGGGGAGGGGAGGGGAGAGGAGGGGGAGGGGAGGGGAGAGGAGGGGGAGGGGAGGGGGGAGGAGAGGGGAGGGGAGAGGAGGGGGAGGGGAGGGTAGGGGAGAGGAGAGGGTAGGGGAGACGAGGGGGAGGGGAGGGGGGAGGAGAGGGTAGGGGAGAGGAGGGGGAGGGGAGGGGGGAGGAGAGGGTAGGGGAGAAGGGGGAGGGTAGGGAAGAGGGAACGGAAAGGCCTTTTTCTCAATTATTGTGGTCATGGGATAGGGTAACACTAAACATTTTTTGGTCTTCTATTTCTTAGAAGGCTCAAGTTTCAGTTCTTCTCCTGGTCCATTTCTACAGTCACCCAGTGACCTAAAACTCAACACCCTCAAAGTATCAATTCAACAGGCTCTTTTTCCTTCAGGTATCAGAAAATCAAACAATCATTACTATTACTAAAATCACCACTTAATCAGAGTAAAAGTATTTTAGTGAAATGCTCTGTGTGTCTTTATAAAATGAATGGTTTGTCCTGTCCCGGTCAGTAAATACTAATTGATTAACCCTCATCAGTAAGACTGACTTTTCTCTAGAACATCAATTCCCAAACTCTTTAGTCTCAGGCCCCACTGTGCACCCTTAAAGACTGAGGGCCGCAAATAACTTTGGTTTATGTAGGTTATATCTATCTATAATTATTGTATTCAAAATTAAAACCAAGCATTTTTAAAGGACAAAAATGCAAAGCACAAAGCACACACTCCATTAGGGCAAGGCTATCGCCACATATCCCATAGCTTCTGGAAAACTCCACCGTATCCTTGGAGAGAAGGAGAGTGATATACATTCTTAGCAATATTATAAAAACAGTTGTGACCTCACCAACCCTGAGAGTCCCTGGACCGCACTTTGAAAATGCTACTTTAACACATTTTAGATTGCTTGTTCCCCTTGATCATATTATGAAGTTATAGCCTTTTACAAATTCAACATTACAATTAACTAAAATTCTTGTCTCCATTTTAACACTCATGCTTGTCACAGACTGAACAGTGAGAGTCCCTTCAATCTAACTCCTTTGTTACGAACTATAGATGTTTTTGAAAACAGCCCTTCTCTTATAAAAACAGTGTTTCAAGCTCATCTGGATTCCCCAAGAAGTCCTGGTTCCCTTAAGGAAGAATATATTAGAAACAAAAAGCTGGATAGTATATGCAAAGGAAACCAAACTCAGTCACAGCAAATCATTGGTGGTACACTTGCATCTGGTCAGCATATTACCAGTCATTTGCACCTGTTGAGCAAGTAGGCTTATGGCCAGGGTCCCCAAAATGCTTGGGAGAGACCAGGGAAGTCTTGCACCCTTCCTCTACCCTCAAGAATGAAAGCAAGCAGGCTTACCAAAGGTCCTGAAAAATCCTCACCCTATGATGGACTACATGGGAAATACTGTCCTGTGAAGTTTAAGGAAGCTTGTCTTCCACACGGGGGTGTTACTGGGTGTCCGCTTCACATAGGTGAATGCATATAGATAAGATGTATCTCTTACCCACCTTAAAATAACTTGTAGGCTTGGTTATATTTGTGGGTATTTTCCAAAAATCAGCTAGTCAAACAATTAATGAAACTGAATATCTTTTCATTTCTTTTTCTTTAAGACACAGAGTCTTCTTATGTTTGCCCAGTCTAGAATGGAGTGGTTATTCACAGGTGTGACTGTGGTGCACTACAGCCCTGAACTCCTGGGCTCAAGTGATCCTCCTGCCTCAGCCTCCCTAGTAACTGGGACCACAGGTGTGCATCATCACACCCAGCTCACTTTTTTTTTTTTAAGAGTTGCCTCTACACATGCTTTGCCTTATTCTAAACGGTTGTCTATTTTTTTCTTACCAATCTTTAAAGTCCTTCAAATAATCTTGAAATTAGTCCCTTATTATATAGGTTGCAAATAACTTCTTCTAGACTAATTTTATAATATTAGTTATGGTCTTGTATCACATATAAATTGAGAGTCTCTTTTTATGTAGTCAAACCTAGAACAATAAGAGCACAAAGGAAGGAAGCTGGGGGATGGAGCGGGGTGGGGGGAGGGGACAAACAGCCACTGAGGGAAAGAAAAAATGAAAGTGATGAAATAAACTCTTTTAACTTTTCATTGAAGTCCTGTACTTCAGTCTGAATTTAACATGTTTGTGCTTTACTTAACAACTCAATGACTATTCCAATGTAAAATATCTTGTAAATTGCAAATTTAAAGATACTAAACCAAAAGCCAACATCACACTTACTGAAATCCAGAAGGATTTCCAAAAACAGGGCAAGAATACCTATTATTACTCATAGCATTCAATTATTCTAGGCATTCTAGTCAGTACATAAGGAAAGTGAAATAAAAGACAGTAATTGATGGATTTAAGGGGAAAGGAGGAGTTGAAACTAACTATTTAAAGATGTTATCATAATTTTTTTTGTAAAATCCAAAATAATAAACTTAATGCCATTAGGCCTAATAAAAAATATGCAGTGAGGAAGCTGGCTACAAATATGTCTACACCCAAGAAGAAGGTATAATGGAGATAAAAAAAATTCCCATATCAATTAGCATATTATATCTAGGAATAAACTTAGCAAAATGATTCTAGACTCGTGTGGGATAAAGAGCCATTCAAAATCTACTGAGAGACAAAGGATTGAATAAGTGGAGATACAACAAGTTCCAAGATTACATATTTTCCATGCCAGTATTCTCTTTATTTTCTTTTATTATTATACTTTAAGTTTCAGGGTACATGTGCACATTGTGCAGCTGAGTTACATATGTATACATGTGCCACGCTGGTGTGCTGCACCCACTAACTCGTCATCTAGCATTAGGTATATCTCCCAATGCTATCCCTCCCCCCTCCCCCCACCCCAAGTAACTACTTATAATAGAACTTCAATCAAAATCTCCGTGGTATTTTTTGATGTAAGGAATGGACAAGGAATCTCATAAAATATTTGAAAATTCTCTTGGAATAAATATATTACAGTAAGAAAATGTTTTAAAAGCAATGAGGGGGCCAGGCACAGTGGCTCACACCTGTAATCCCAGCACTTTGGGAGGCCGAGAAGGGCAGATCACCTGAGATCAGAAGTTCGAGACCAGCCTGGCCACCATGGTGAAACCCTGTCTCTACTAAAAAAAAAAAAAAAAAAAAAAATTTGCCAGGTGTAGTGGCACACACCTGTAATCCCAGCTACTCAAGAGGTTGAGGCAGGAGAATCCCTTGAACCCAGGAGGCGGAGGTTGCAGTGAGCCAAGTTCATGCCACTGCACTCCAGCCTGGGTGACTGAAACTCTGTCTCTAAATAAATAAATAAATAAATGAAGTAATGAGGGGGAGTACACACCCTATCAGATATATTTGGTAAAGCTATTACAATAGAAGTATCTAGGAATAGAGAAATGAATAGATCAGGAAACAATTACACATTTAAAAATTCACTGATGTGATAATGGTGGCATCTAAGCGCCGCTAGAAATAGCAAAGGATGATTTAGAACTGACTAATCTTTTGTAAAGAAAAATAGGGCCCTATTTCATAATATACACCAATATTTGTATATTAGAAATTTACGTAACCTTAAATAGAAAAGCCGTAAGACACAAAGGAAGACAGACATCAATATATTTAACATTAAAATTATTGAATACCTAATAAAGACCTCAAAAGTCCTAAAGACTCATAAAAAGTCATAAGCAAAGGCCAAATGGACAGAAATATTTGCAACATATGACAGTTACATAATCTATTTAATCAAGAAAAACACTTTAATGGTAAAGTACATAAAAGACCCAAGCAGGCATTTCACAAAAGAAGAAATGCAAATTGACCAATGAACAAATGAAAAAGTTCAATCTAATTAGTAATCAAAGAAATGCAAATTAAAACAACAAGATACCACTTTTTGCCTTTTAGATTGGCACAAGATCAAAAATAATGCTAAATGATGGTGCAACTAAAGGGAAGTAGCCCCAGTGCTGGTGGGAATGCAAAAATGGTAATTGCTGGAGAACAAGTTGGGAATATGTATCAAAAGACTTTAAAATGTTAATTGCACTAATATTTATAATAACAAAAGTATCTGAAGCAATATTCATGCTCTTCAATAGGAGAATGGTTGAATAAATCATAGTCATCTTCTGCAGCTCATAAATGAGTAAGTGAAATCTCTGTATTCTGGTCTGGAAAGACATTCATGCTAAGAGGTATGAAAAAGTAGAATAAAAGCAAGTTACAAAGTAATCTGAGGGATCTGATCCTGCTTTTATTAAAGGAGATAAAAAGAAATCCCAGTGGAAAACACACAACAAATTTAACACTGGTTACCTATTAAATATGCAATATGAGGTATGAAATATGAGACTAATTTTTTCTTATGAAGCTCCATAATTTTCCTTTCTTGTAATCAGAATTATAATTATTTTTAATGTAGAAAAGGAAAATTCTTTAAAATATACCTGGTTTTGATCCAGCAATTTACTTCCAGGAATTTACTCTAAGGGAATAAATATGCACAATTTAGCTAAAATAATACTTATCCAGGCCAGACGTGGTGGCTCACGGCCTGTAATCCCAGCACTTTGGGAGGCTGAGGTGGGCGGATCACAGGGTCAGGAGTTTGAGACCAGCCTGACCAACATGCTGAAATCCCATCTCTACTAAAAATACAAAAATGAGCCAGGCATGATGGTGTGCACCTGTAACCCCAGCTACTCAGGAGGTGGAGGCAGGAGAATCGCTTGAACCCAGGAGGCGGAGGTTGCAGTGAGCCAAGATCACACCATTGCACTTCAGCCTGGGCAACAGAGTGAAACTCCATCTCAAAAAAATAATAATAATAAATAAAAATACTTACTTACCCAAGCATTATTTGAGTGAAACTTGGAAACAACCTAAATGTACAATAATGGAGTATTGGTTTTGTTAAAAAAAAGTATATTCATATAACAGAAGGCTACTCAGCTATTAAAATGTAGAGGTCAGTGTAGTGGCTAATGCCTGTGATTGCAGTGTTTTGGGAGGCTGAGGCAGGAGGATAACTTGAGCCCAGGAGTTTGAGACCAGCCTGGGCAACATAGTGAGACCTCATCTCTACAAAAAAATAAAAAATAAACAAACAAACAAAATAAACCAAATAAGCTGGGCATGGTGGTGCTTTCCTGTGGTCCCAGCTACTCAGGAGGCTGAGGTAGGAGGATTCCTTTAGCCCAGGACCTCCAGCCTCCAGTGAGCTGAGATCACACTACTGCACTCAAGCCTGGGCAACAGAGTGAGACCCTGTCTCAAAAGTAAATAAAATGCCGGGCTGACTAGAAAGATGTTCAAAATAGTACAGCACATTTCCATTACTGTTTTGTATATATTTATAGAATACATATGTGTAATGCTTTCATATGCATGTAAGCATGAATATGCATATGAAAATTTGAATGGTAATGACACTGTAGTTTGCTTATATAAATGTCTAATTTGTCTTCAGTGAAAATATTTCTGTGATCGATTGAAAAAAAGATTGTTTCACTTGCTTATCCTAAAATAGTTTGATTAGTTTAAATTTAAAAATTTCCATTCTCTAAAAAATAAGGGTAGCTAATAATGAACATGTGTTACACACCAAACGCTGTTCTCTGTACTTCATTTGTATTATCTAATTTAATCTCTACAACAAAAACTAGATGCTTTTTCCTAAAAGAGAAGAAACTGAAGACGGAATGTAAGTAACTTGTCTGTGGTCACACATCTGGTAGGAACAGATCTAAGATTTGAATCCAAGCATTTTGGATGATTTTTACTACAACTCGTTAACAACAGACCCATGTAAAGACCTTCTTCAAGGAAACAATCACTAACCCTGTCATCTGTTTTGTTTTTTATTAAGGTATAAATTACCAACAAAAATTACAGATTTGTAAGGGCATAATTCCATGAGTTTTTTTAAGTATATGCACTCACATAACCACTATCCCAATAAAGATACAGAATTTTCCCACTATTATAGAAAGCTCCCTCATACCACTCTCTAGTTATTCCCTCAGGACCATGATTTTTTTACTATAGCTAAGTTTTGCCTTTTCTAGAACTTCATATAAATGTAACCATAAAGTATGTGCTTCTTTGTATCTGGTTTATTTTACTCAACTTTAAGGTTTTTAGATTTATCCACAGTGTTCTCATACTTAATTGGATTAATAAGTGTCAAGAAATTAAACATATTAAATATTATAAGATTAATAATGGACTTTTAAAAAAAACTAATGTATGACTCTCCTTGGAGGACTTATTGGTCCCATCTTCCTCAATCTCCAACCACTTGCTAATTTTTTCTTCCAAATTATTTTTTAATTACAACTTTATTTTTTGCTGTTTTATTACAGTATAATTGACCAATGAAAATCATATATATTTATGTATATATTACAATATAATTGACCACTAAAAATTGTATCTATGCTGTATAAGATATTATAAAGAAAAAGCAGTATTTTTCTGATTCATATGGAAAATGAAATGAGGTACAAGATCAGTACCATACACGTTTACAATGTGAAATGATTAAAATCAAGCTAAGTAACATATTCATTACCTCACACCTTTTTTTGGTGTGTTGTAAGAACATTTAAGACGTAGTCTCTTAGTGATTTTCAGGTATTAGCAATTTTCAAGTATACATTATTAGCCATAGTCACAATGCTATACAATAGATCCAGAACTTATTCATTCTGTCTAACTGAAATTTTATACCTTTAACCATCATCCCCTTGCTTCCCCTCCCCCAGCTCTTGACAACCGCAATTGTACTCTCTGCTTCTATAAGTTTGACTTTTTTGGATTCCACATATAAGTGAGATCATCTGTTTTTAAATCTAGCCAAATTTAAAACAGTAGGTGAACCACAGTTCTGCCTGCAGTCCTTAGGAAAACAGCAAGACAGCATATGTATAAATTAACTGAAGAGTATTTCATCAGAAACTGGGGCTGCCTTCAAGGAGATGCGAGGTTAGACTGCAGCAACCAGGAGGACCCAACAGTGAAAATTCTGAAAATCCTTGTAAGGCTCTGAGCAGTATTTCCTGCTTTTCCAGCTCAAGCTTCCAATCTCTACTCCTGCATTTGTGTACAGATCAAAATCTGAGGTTTTCACACGAATGGTCTTTTTGCCAATGTTACAAGAAGAAATTAAAAAGAAAAACTGTAGGCTTAGAAGAAATTAAAAAGAAAAACTATAGGCTTAGAAGAAATATTTAGTTCTTATTTGAAATTAGTAATTTGTGAATTCTTTTACAAATGTATAACAATAGACAAATGTTCTTCAGCACTCCATTTTTCACAACAGTGAAACACTGTAAATCTCTCAGGTGTCAATATCTCACATAGAAAATCTGATCTATTACTCATTTTGGCAATATTAACCATTTATGCTACATGAATAAATGTGACCAGTTCTAATCACAAGAGTCACTTGATTTTGCATATAACTAGTTCCTAACATATATGAACATGTATATAATATTAGTTTTAAGGAAAATTGTTTTCTCACTCTGAATATAGTCTTTGGGAATAAAACTTGTTAGTATTCTATAAACAAGCTTAAAATGTTTTTATTTAAAGTCTTGAGCCATCTAAATATTGTTTAATGAGTTATCAGATTAGATGGTGCTTTGCTATGTCTTTGTATTGTTACCGAAGTTCTTATATGAGGAGTGGACCAGCTGGCTCTGTGGGGTCGCAGGCCACTGGCTTCCTAGACTTGAGAGAGAGCTAAAGCAGAAGGCTTCTGAGGTTTCTCAGGTTTCCAGGTGAAAAGCCCTCCAGCTAACTTCAGTGAAGGTTGAAGGTTCAAGGTTCTAGAGATCATCTGATAAGATCAGCTGAAATCTAAAAAGGTCTTTCTTTCTTTTCAACCCCCACTGCAAAACATTTATTTTTTGGACATTCTTAGAATATACAAATACTTATGGGAAACATAATTAAAGAGAAAAAAGGGAAAACAAACCATACTGAGAGAAAAAACTGTTGTCTTGGGTATATTTAAAAATGGACTTCTTATCTATACACCTTTACGGTATCACCTTAAGAATGACTCAGACTCATTTTATTTTCCATATGAATCACAAAAATACTGCTTTTTGTTTATAAAATTTTACTTATAAATTTTTGAGTGCTGAAAAAATATTACATCTTTTATGTCTGCTTCAGTTGTCATCTACAAGATAACTACTCTGATTCCCATGCTAGCCACTTCTGTTATAGTACAAGTTTCTGCTAGAAATAAAAGCAATTGTTTTCCTAATTGTATGTAAAAGCTACATTTCCATATACAGCCCAATACATACAGACAGTATAGTAAAAGAGGAGTTAAAAAAAAATCACCACATACTTTGGGGCATGTATTTTAAATATAACTTTAATTCTACCTTAATGTTAAAACATACCTTTATTGGTAAAAAATATGAAGTGAAACTCTATTCATAAATTGATATTTGATATCAGTAGATAAAAATATAGAAATCATCTATTGACACTTTTTTGCAAGTTATGATAATTAAATCCTTATGAATGACATATAATTTTGCTTGGCGGCATGTGGTTTATTATTTGAAATCTACTGGTTCATTAGTATCATACTGGTTATAGCTAGTTGTTTCAGAACATTAACTGTCCTCTCACATTACTTACAGAGATACTGGGGACCATCTGTTCTTGCAAGGAACTTAAGTATACATCTACTGGGTATCATGCTATTTATTTAATTCAGCACCCACTTCCTATTGTTGTATTTTTTTGGGGGGAAAAGTCAACTTAATTACAGGGAATAAAGATAACCTCTCCTGGCAGGTTACCTTGTCACCATGAGAGCAAAGCGGGACCTGCTTAAAGTAGGTTACTTACGGTGGTTAATAAGAAGAGCAAAACCAACAAGACTTAAGAATATTTAGCAAAGGTTTAACAAAAATAGAACAGCGAATGGCACTTTTAAAAATATTACTGTAAGCCTCGGGCTTGTCTAAATCAATCTTGGCACATCTGTCTGATGTAGACCGTAAACAGGATTAGAGCTGGATTTATCTGCTTGGCGCTAATTGTGCTCACAGTTTCTGCACATGTCCACTTTTTAAAATACTGCCTGAAAAACAGGCCTGCCTGATAGATGGCTCCCACAACATAGTGTATACACACACTTATGGTATATTAGATGGTTAAGCAATGTGATGTCTAACAATTTTTTTGGCTCTTCAGAATTGGTTATCTAATCCCCTAATTAAAAATACAAAATTCTGTTTGAATACACCACATACTGAGATAAATCTGTGAAGCAAGGGACCAATAAATTTAAACACACTTTAATTGTTAGAAGAAAACACAATTTAATTGTTAATAATCAGGTTAAACTAGGGTTTAAACAAATAGGGCTGCTCCTGTAGTTTACTGAAAACCCATCACAATATAATACTATCCTCAAGAATTATGACATAACATTTATTAGCAGAAAAGCTTAAGTTCCTAAATACATACATATATCAAGAGTTACAACGAAGTAGGCTTCTTATCTAGTAAAAGAATTAGAGGGAAATTTTTGAACTTATTTTCAGAGAGAAAGACAGAAAATTACAGTCCAATCGCAAATGTCACATTGTTATCGGATCAAATAAAAAATAGTGAATTTCCAACTGCAATTTTTTTCCATTTAGTTGTTTCTATCATGTGTAAATGGCTGAGATACTTCTTAAGAATGTAAGCATTTGAGGATATACAGATATTTTCATGTGAAGTCTAAGATGAATCAATGAAACAGTCAAAAATCTAAATTTTTTTTTTTTTTTTTTTTTTTTTAAGACAGAGTCTCACTCTGTCACCCAGGCTGAAGTGCAGTGGTGCGATCTTGGCTCACTGCAAGCTCCGCCTCCCAGGTTCACACCATTCTCTTGCTTCAGCCTCCCAAGTAGCTAGGACCACAGGCGCTCGCCACCATGCCCGGCTAATTTTTGTATTTTTAGTAGAGACGGTGTTTCACTGTGTTAGCCAGGACGGTCTCAATCTCCTGACCTCGTGATCCGCCTGCCTCGGCCTCCCAAAGTGTTGGGATTACAGGTGTGAGCCACCGCACCCAGCCTAAATGTTATTCTTTGAGCTTTAAAATACAGACAATAAAAATGCTAATCTTTAATACCTATGATGTAAAAGTGACATTAAAAATGTTAAATTACATGGTGTATGTTTAATCATAAATACCACATAAAATTGGTAAATTCTTTGAAAAAGAACAGTATAATAGAAATGAGAGCTGTTTGACTTTCAATCATAGACAATCTTCTAAAGCTTTTTTCTGGATATATGATTTATTCACATTCCAAATATCCTGGCTAGTTCTTAGAAATTAATTTTCCTAGATCTCTACCATTAATAAAAAGGTAGGTGTATACACATAGTCTTGTTTTATATAAACAAATATTCAGGAGAAATTGGTGAATTAAGTAAATCTTTTCAGTGCTTATGATAAATTAAAACACCTTCATCAGCAATTCTCAATGTGTAGTCTCAAAGAGTATACAGGGTAAAAACGATTTTTATAATAATACTAAAGATGTCATTTACCATTCCTACCATATTAACATTTGCACTAAAGGTACAAAAGAAATAGTGGGTAAAACTCCTGGAGTGTCAGTATGAATCAAGGTGGAGCACCAAATTTTACTAATAATTGCTGCATTCTTCATTAACTCAAACTCAGTTTAAAAAATCCAGTTTCATTTAACTGTTCTTGATGAAGCAATAACACTTATTTTTAAAAAAATCTCCACCCTTGAGTATATTTTTAAAAATGTTATGAGTAATAACAATGGAAAGTATACATACAGCATTTCTGCTACAAATCGAAGTGGTGGTTTGCTCCAGGAGAAACACTTATATCATTTCAGTCGCAGCTGAACTAGCTGTTTTTCATAGAACACCACTTTTTACTTGAAAGATCAACTGACAATACAGACTCTGGTATTGAGGCAGCAGCATTTGGTAAACACTTTCTGGAAAATGAACAAAGTGAGTCAGTCACTAAGCAAAGCAACTGAGAGCTTTGTCAATGATAAAATATAAAGTTTTGAGTAAAATTAAAATTTTGTAAAACTTGTAAGTGTGATGATGATCTTAACAGCTTTCTAATCTCAAAGAATTTTCTGATGAGACTGGCAGTGACATTAGACTTTTTAAAATATATTATAATAAAAATTATCAACATTTAGAAACTGTATAATAGTAAACCAAATTTTCCAAAAGGCCAATACAGGATGTTATAAAATCATACGTGGGCAAAATATCCATTCAAAGTACAAGACAGACCAATAAATTTTCAAATAGCAAACTACAATTAAATAGATATGTTTTCAGATTTCAAATTATAACCAGCCTTTAAGAAATTAGCACTTGATAAGTTTTGCTATAGTATCAAAGGACAATATCCACAATTATCTGAACATATTAAAAGATGTTTCCTTTTCAGCTGCACATCTGTGTAAAACTGTATTTTCCTTAGATACTTGAATCAAAGCAACATATTCACAACAGACTGGATGAAGAAGCATTCTGAGATTTCAGCTGTCTTCTATTAAGCCAGAGTTGAAAAAACTCAGAAAGTCAAATACCACATGTTCTCACTTTAAGTGGGTACTAAATAATGTGTACATAGGAACAGAGTGTGGAATGATAGACAAAGGAGACTCAAGAGAGTGAGAAGGGGGTGGGTGTTGAAAAATTATTTAATGGGTGCAACGTATGTTATTTGGGTGAAGATACACTAAATTCTCAGACTTCACCACTAAGCAATATATCCGTGCAACAAAATTGCACTTGTACCCCTTAAACTTACACAATATTTTTTTTTTTTTTTTAGAAAAGGGAGATTTGAAAAAATTTAAAATAGAAGAGTGGTACTGCTTTTTTGATTGTTTTGGAAAATAGTTATTTTTAATACAAATATGTTATTTATGTTAATATGCAATGAACTTACTGTTATTTTTATTTTTATTTTTTTTATTTTTTTGAGACAGAGTCTCACTCTGTTGCCCAGGCTAGAGTCCAGTGGCGCAATCTCGGCTCACGGCAACCTCCATCTCCCTGGGTTCAAGTGATTCTCGTGCCTCAGCCTCCTGAGTAGCTGGGATTACAGGCGCCCACCACCACACCTGGCTAATTTTTGTATTTTAGTAGAGACAGGGTTTCACCATGTTGGCTGGTCTCGAACTCCTGACCTCAAGTGATCCACCCGCCTCGGCCTCGCATAGTGTTGAGATTACAGGTGTGGGCCACCATGCCCATCTTTTTGGTTATTTTTAAATAGTAAATATTTTTAATGTCTATTTAATTTCTAATACAACAAATATCAATGGTTATAACTTAAATAAATGGTCTTTGTGGTTTTCAACGATTTAAGAGTATAAAAGGGTTCCAAGACCAAAAAGCTTGAGAACTCCTGGTATATAGTCTTATAAAGACAGGCATAGCCTTATGAAAATTAAGCCTAAAATGGCATGATTTATGCATTGCATCTTTCTTCACCTTGTATTAAATACCTAAGATTTTATTACTAGATTGTTTTTACACCATCTATGCAACAAGTTCCTACTACATCTGAAACATCATGAAATAAAGCAATTTTAAATATTTCATATTCTATACCCCAAGTTCATCATGCAATGTGATTGGCTTTCATCATTTTCATTCATTTCAAGAAGGGCAATTTTGTTGAGATCATTTGTTCCTTGATTTTACTACCTACTTATGTATTTGCCCAGACCTTTCCTTTTATATGTCCACTTCCATCTCAGTCCCTCAGGAAAAACATTTATAAATGTATAGGGTTGGGGGAGGTCTCCAAGAATGGCACCAACAGAAAACATGACCTTAATGGATTCATCTTAATCAAAAACCTAGTCTTTTTTTTTTTGGCATTATCAGTTCAGCTACACAGATCAGTTTGTATATACAGTTCATATATATCATACCAGATGATCTTTGCACCAATTCCTCCTGAGCCTCAGATTATGGTAATTGGCCCTTTCTCCAGCTTCTCAGCAATTCACTTCAACAATATCTTCATCATTATCTTCATCTCTAATCTCTGTATCCCAGCACCTAGCTTAATGCTTCAAACACAGGCTAGGCTTCCAATAAAAGTTTTTTATTGACTGTATTTACTATCAATCAGAAAATCCCTTAATCACACTGTATACATTTCCACCTCTGGACCTTTGCTCCTTCATTTCCTAGCACATGGAAGGCTTTCTTGACTCTAGTCTTTTCAAATATTAACCAACTGTCGAAGCACATTGAGCCACTCTTCTAAACAATAACCTTCATTTCTCAGTCCCTCTGAGCTCTTAGGGCCCACTACTACTCAGTTGACATTTAATCGCATATCAGAAGTTATTAACTTACCAGAGGGTGAAGGTTCAAAGGTCTTTGAAAGCCTTTAATAACTTGTTATAAAATACTAATTAAATGGTGGTTTTAAGATGGTAGTAGTGGGAGAGGTTAGAGAAAGAATAAAACTGTAGTAGTTCAAGGTAAGTCTGAAAGTTTACTTCTTTCATTTAACAAGTTTGAATACCTACTACATTCGAGGCACTTCTTTGTGTATATTAAAATGTTAATATTAGTGTAACTGAACCTCCATGGGCAACTGTTGCTATGAGAACAAAGGAAAAAGTGCTTAAACCTTTTGTGGCCTGAACTTGCTGGACTGTAGGAACAGGATGAGATGTAAACCACAATGATGGTTTCTATTGCCAGGGTGTAAGGATTATGTCTGGGCATGGGCTTCCTTATTGGTAAAGACCCTTACATACAGTTCAACTCACTAATACTCTTTTTTTCCTGAGGACCTCAAGGATAGTCATATGTACTTTGCTCTCACTTTTGTCATTATTGTCAGCCAAGGTAGTACCTCTGCAGGTCAGATCCCATTACTTCCCAGCAGTCACGGTGAGGATATCGCACAGCCCTCTAAATTGTCCAAAGGGTTCTGCTACTTAGAAACACTAAAAGTCTGACTTTTATACCATGCCCATTCAGTTATCCCCTCAATGCTCTCAATATTTGATCATAAGATGACAAAAAAGTATTCAGAACAACTGTTGAAAGTTCAGAGTATTTGAACTCGGCACAGGCAGATCTGTGTTGCTGGAAGGGAGAAGAAACTTTACCTGAGAGATTAAAGTAATTGTTATTTTTACTTGAAGTGTCCAGTGGTCCTAGGACCAGGAAAGAGGTAGAAGAGATTCACCTAACAGCCTCTAGGATACCTGAACTCCTCAGTCTACCTTCCTGATGCCAGCAATGGGACCACTGTGGTCAGGGATCACTTTGGGGTGCACAGTGGCAGGGAATAGAGGGAAGATAAAAAGAAACTGTCAGAAGCCTTGTTGACCGAACATCCAAAAGTAAGCTTCAAACACACATATAATTCAAGATGTTCTAAAAAGTATTTGTAAAACTTTATTTATTCATATGATGAGTATTTTTAGGCCCAGACTTACTGAAGACAAAGGGAAGGTGATAAGCAATTTTAATATAGCTTATAATTGGTTTGATTTTTAAAATCCAAGTTAACAACATTCAAGACAAAGGTCATGTTTATTTTTAATATGCTAGGCAAATGGGGGATATGAACCTTTCATTTCCACAATTAAAAGAATATAGTTGACAAATATATTTGGTTTTCATTTTTGCCATTGAAAAAAGAGTTAAGTAAATCAGTAAGAATTGTTTCCACAAGAAAGAAAAATTACAAGGAAATTACTTATAAAATGTAGTCAAATTTCCTAAGTCTCTAAGTTATTTTCAGTTGGACTTACTCAAAATGTAAGGAAAAAAATTAAGTCTTAATAAAATTGTAAGTCTTAATAAAAACTTTAAATTTTAATAAACACACATATAATTCACAAATTATGCCAGTCAGCTGATATAGTTTAGGCTCCTAGTCACATGAAATATGATACCCTACAACGTATTTGAAGTAAAACAAAATTTTAACCATTTTGGAGTAGAAATTAGAGGAAGCCAATTTTATTGAAAAAGCCTTAAATTGATTCAAAGAGTCTGATACTAAAATAAGCTAAATGTTTATACCTTGGCAGTCTACATAGATGGTAATTATACAAGTGTGTCTCCACTTTATAATAGTTTTAAAATTATAATTTCTTCTCCATGCCTTTCATCATAACACAATTACTACCGCATAGTTAGTACTATGATAAGAAGCCAAAACTAAAGGTGAAGTTGAGAAAGTATTACCTGATGAGAAAATTTTGGAGAAAACATAAACATTCTAGATCAAGTATTTTATATACTTAGGTACATTATGTAGCATGTAATCAATGTAAAATAGCTTACAGGATTACAGCAAGCCATCTTCTCCTCTGTGCTGTAATACTGTCAGTTTTTTTTTAGAAAGATAAATTTGATATCAATACGATGTGACACAACTGCATCAAACCTTAATTTCACTCACAGTAAGAAGTCACAGGATTAAATAACACTGTGCAGTCTTTTAGAAAAGTTTATTGCTTCCAGATGGATTCAAGTTTCCTTTCAGCCCTGATTACATCTAATATGCACAGGGTGCCAACATTATAAAGGACAGAGTCAAAAATATCATTTATATAGATAGCAAGAGGTGAAGCAGGGGAACTCTGGCTTCTAAATAGGTTCTGCTAATCAAGTCTTAACTATTTTTAAGAAATCACAATCAGCATTTAATGAAAAACAAACATCATACTATATAAATGTCTTCAATAATGGCTGTTCCACAGAAAAACACAAATCTACACTAAAGTAGCCATAAAGTGACTCCTAGCTCAAGCCGCATGCTCTTTGCCCCCATGTTGGGCTGTGCCATGTGTCACACCGCATGGGGCTTGCTACCAACATGTCCACCTGTGCCTCTGTGGCAGAAGAGGCATCCATTTTTATTTCATTTAGTAGGAGGACTATTGAATATAAGCCATTGCAATCAGATATAAAGACCTTCAAAAATAGTGACTACTCAAAGGCATGTTTGCTAACTTGAAGGCTGCACACAAATGACCACTATATTTAAAAGAACATTTTCTTATGCAACTGAAGTACCACTAACAAAATAAATGAAGTCTTTTTCATAAAACCCCCCAAAAGTACTCTCCATAATGCAAATTAAAAATAAAATCACATCCATTCTATCTAATCTTGGGGAGAAAAACAAAAATGATTGAAGGATTTCAGTCAGTAGATCACATGTCATCTTTTTAAAATATATTAAAACTAAGAATACTTCTGTATTTCCCATTTTCTTAAAAATTGTTCAAATGTCACCCTGAAAAATTTATACAAATTACAAAGTTGATTGAATATAAATGTTAAACAATTTATTATGATTCCTTAAAACAGATTAGCAATTTAAATACAATTATGGTCCCAAAGCTCTGAAGAGGAGGAAAATGATTTCTGGAAACACATAAAATCTTTCTTACTGGAGAACTGTTTGAGAATGTGGGACTACAATAATTCCTGCTCATGCCTAACTTTCTCCTGTGGAGTACACTTAACCAAAACTAAGACAAATATCATTATGATACTTTATTACTCATAATTCTTTAGAGAGACTAAGTTCCTCTATGTAAGGAAAGTGAATGCTAAAATTTCAGGTGATCCTCACAAGTTTTTCACTATCTTGTATTTTCGATTCGTTCCATAAGTCATACTTAAAATGAATGTAGTAAAAATTTTAAGTAGATTAAAATAGTGATAATATCTTTTAGATTGAAATAGTGATAATATCTTTCAACTATCTATCAACTGCTTAAAAATGCTTGAAGACACAAGGTGATCAGAAAAGGATGAAATTACATTAAAATGTAACTTGAAGTTACAGGCCAAATCAATAATAGATCAATAAAACAGAGTTCAACCAGTTAGGCTACCAGGAACTAAAATGGATAATGGGTTTTATGTCAGCACATGACTCATCCATTAAGTATTTCACATATCCCTAATACTAATAAGTGTTTGTGTTAACTATCCCTAATCAAATAGTACTTTGTTTCCAATAATGATTATTCTTAAACTGGCCACTGTCTTCTAAATAGTATGTATTTGAGTGAAAAATGATTTGAGCTTCACTCTTTCAATATCGTTAATTGGAAACCTTCCACATGCCAGTCTTGTTCCACACAGAGAAGCCTTTTAGACAGAGATCTTCCTTGACTACCCAATAAATAATCGTTGAACAAAGATTGGAACAAAATAAGGGAGCATGCTGTGTAGGTACGGGTCTAGAATCTCTCATCTGCAATTCTGAAATCCCCAAAGCTCCAAAAACATTTTTTTCTTAAGTCATTTGGCAGCAAATCTTGAGCTGACCTCATTCTGCAGCTGAACTGACAATGAGAGTTGAGTCTTTACTCATCCCTCTTAGCATGGGCATTCTTAATGTTTCATTCAGAAATATTATTTAATTATGAAATGCTACCACAAACCAGCTGTGAGTGTTATGTAATATATTATATATACCCCATTTTAGCTCTCTAAAATCAGTAAATATCTGAATTTTAACACATAGCTGGTTCCAAGGGTTTCTGGGCAAAGGGAACAGTAAGCATCAAGGTCCTGTGGCAAATGCATACTTGGTGTGTTCAAGGAACGGTAAGATGTGGCTGGTGCTAGTGAGAAAGCAGGAGAGGGATAAGACATAAGAGTAGAGGGATCAGGCACAAGTAGCCCATGTAGGGTAATATAGACTACATTAAGGACATTGGATTTTATGCTGAACATGCAGAAGAACGATGTGCTCTAATGTACACTTTAAAATTAACATCTGGGCCAGACATGGTGGCTCATGCCTATAATCCCAACACTTTGGGAGGCTGGCACAGAAGGATTACTTCAGGCCAGGAGTTCAAGACTAGACTGGGCAGCAAAGGGAGACCCCATCTCTAGTAAAAGTTAAAAAAAAAAAAAAATTAGTCAAGTGTGGTTGTGTGCCTGTAGTCCTAGCTACTGGAGAAGCTAAGGCAGGAGGATCACTTGAGCCCAGGAATTAAAGGCTACAGCGAGCTATGATCACCAGTGCATTCCAGCCAAGGCGAAAGTAAGACCCAATCTTAAAACAAACAAAAACGAAATTGCTACATGGAGAACAGACTGATGGGGGACATCGTTGGACAGACACTACTCCAGATGAGAAATACAATACTCCAGGTGAGAAATGAGAGTGTATAACACCAAGTGGTGACAATGATGCTGCTCAAGCGTGGATATATTTCCAAGGAAGAGGCAACAGGATTTGTTGATAGGTTGGATGTAGAATGAAAGACAAAGGGTGGAATGTAGCAAGTCTCCAAGTGTTTTTGGTTTGGACAATCAGAATAATGAAGTTCCCACTTACTGAAATGGGAAAATCTATAGGAGGTACATATTTAGAGGCTGCAGGAGAAAATGTGGAGTTTGTTGTAGAACATAAGTTTGAGAAGTTTATTAGACCTCTAATATTTAAGTAGAAGATTTATAAAACTGGAATTCAGAGGAGAGGTCTAGACTAGAGTTAC
Organism: Homo sapiens; assembly: GCF_000001405.40. Lineage (NCBI taxonomy): Eukaryota > Metazoa > Chordata > Mammalia > Primates > Hominidae > Homo > Homo sapiens. The sequence goes on from NC_000002.12 coordinate 181,624,973, forward strand.
AAATTTGAAAGACATGAGCATTTAGATAGTATTTGAAGCCAGAAACTAGAGAAGGTCCAACCAGAGAAAACAGAAACAGAGACAATAAGAAGTCAGAGGACAGACATGGGAAAATGAGAATACCCAAGAATGGAGACTGGGAAAAAGCAGCCCAATGGGGTAGGAGGAGAACCAAAAGAATGACATCCAAGAAGGTAGGTGAAGAAAGCTGTATCAAGGAGCATAGTGTGACTACTTGTCAGACTCTTAGTAGGTCAAGTCAGATGAGGACTGACCTTGACGAGTAAGCTGTAGAGTGACAGGGGTCAAGTCTGGCCACAGGAGATTCAAGAAGGAATGAAAAACAGAGTGAATGTATAAGTTATCTAGCTAGAAAGTTGGGGGGTGGGGTGAGCAAAAAAAAAAAATAAATGGGACCAGGTGCTCTACAAAGATTAGTTCAGTTAATCCTCACAATAGTTCTATAAGGTAGAAATCACCTCACTTTACATATGAAAATGTAGAAGACAAATGGTATGCCATGTTTTAAATGAGAATGTTAGAATTTGATAGCAAGTATACCTCATTATCAAAGTTTATCCTCTTATAGTACCACACAGCTTCCTACCAATTTACCATATAAATAAACAAATATTGAGAAAATGGCATCGTGTTCTCAGAAAGGACACTGGTGTAGGAAGAGAAAGCCTTAGATTTAGTCCCCAACTCTGTCACCAATCTTGAGGGAAATGCTTTCACTTTTGAGCCTGACGGGTCATTCCTAAAACAAGAGGATTAGAATAGATGCATTCATTCATTCAACGAATATTTGTTTAATCTCTATGTGCTGGAAACTATTCTAGGAGTTAGAGAAACAGGGGCAAACAAAACAGAAACTTACCCTGTGGTAAGAAAAATGATATTTAATTTAATCTAAAGTTTCTTTCATGCCTAAAACGCTATATTGTTTAATAGACAAAAATTCTGTTCTATGTAGTGCAAATAAGTTTAGATTAATTGTGTCAGTGAATGCTCACTACACCATAAACTGGGTGCCATTATTATGATCCCATTTTACAGATTGTGAGGAAGGACAGATAAGCTTAGAGTTTAAATAGCTTGCCCCAGTCTCAAGAGTGGCAAATTCCAAATTCTAACAGATATTCTGACCCCAAAAAACCACCCTTCAATTACTTTAAAGAGTATAGTAATACACTATTATAATACTTCATTTGACTGGTGTTTACCTCTCCCTTCCTGTTATTTTACTTTTTTTGATGGATCTCTGAATGTTCAAAATGGAAAACAATGAAGACTAAGAGAAAAAGCGAACAACAGAGGAACTGCAGTAGAAGTGAATAATGATATTTGCTTGAAAAAAACTCAAGAAAAACCAATATAGTGGAGTAACAAGAACAAAAAAGAGATCTGAGAAGGCACAGGAAGGAAAGAACAGCCGCCATTGAGATGGTGGCTCTGGTCAGTCACCCACTGATGCCACATGCCTAATTGTACAGGACAGTTAGCAGGTGGGTCAACCACAGCTCCCCAGGTTTGCTCTATCAGAGGGGACTGGCTTCTCCTATTCTCTGCCAAATCACCCAAACAAGTTGTCCATTTAAGAACCCGACCAAGAAGCCAAACCTCTAATGAGTCTGACAAAGTAAATATGCTCCCTAAATTCCTCAGAAAGGAAATCAAGGTACTGTTAGATACATTTTGGTATGATCATGTTAAAAAGGAAAGCAATTCTTGAGAGTGGGTACTGGGGAAAAAGGAGAGATCCTTATACAAATCAGAAGAGGATAAAAGATGCAGGGATGAGTCACTGGCCTTACTACCAGAGAGGTCATCTTCTGATTTTCAGCAGACAACCAGTATCTGGCTCTTGCCTTTGGATTAGGGATCTCCAGCCAGCACTAGGTCCACATGGACTCTCACTGGCTGGAAGCCAGTTTATCTTCCCTAGCTTTCAACATAGAGAGGTGATATGAGAGTAGCTGGATTTTCCTTTCTGAAGAATTATTCTTATAATACAGTATTTGCCCCTAGTAGTCTGAAGATATTTAGAGATTGTATTGGTTTCATATTGCTTGTAGAGGCAAGAAACATATTTTCTATCAATAATCTATTTAGCTGCAAAATTTGAGTGTCTCTTCTATGCCAAGTGTTTTCTGACCTAAATATTGAGGATTTGAGGTTGATTAAATATGGTTCTTTCCCTGTAGCAGTTTGGTACAATGGAGAATGGAAACTAACCGTCACGTGGACCTTCACCAAGTTCTTATTTTCAATTTACTGCCTTACAAAAGGGGGCATCCTGAGTGCCTCCTAAAGCAAACTAGGAAACCCTCATTAGTAAAAAGGTTCTACTAAGAAATTTACAGGATACATTAAGAGGAGAAACATAGAAATTGAGAGATACAGAAAAGAATGAAAAGATATCATTGAAATAAGAGCAAGAAGAAAAAATTACCAGGAGTTGCCTCATGTGATGCTGCTACTCTTGCTGTTCCTAGGGAGGAATAAATCTTTTCCCAAACATTTTGGGGAAATCTATCAAATTCCATTTGTACTCATCCTAAAAACTTTTAGGTGTCCTAGTCACAATGCAAAATTCTTTACCAATTCCAACCCAGGATAGGATGAGTATTTCTTTTGACGAAAACTAATAATCATGTAGTGGGGAATAGAAATTTGATGACAATCATCTGGTTTCATCATCTTGTGGTTTTCCTCTGGATCCTGAGAGTTCAGCTATAGAAATACACAGACTTTGCCGAAGAGGAAAACATTCCCACACCCCATGGCTGTAAGGAACACTGCATACATCACTGTCCTCAGTACTAAAACACTAGATGTTGCGATAGCACACCAGCCCTGAAATGTGCCACTCTTATTAGTCACCATCTTTTCTTAACAGATGGCAAAACTGTGCTACAGCAATATTCTACTGATGAAGGAGCTGTTAGGAATTAGAAACTAGGTGATAGCACATTTATAAAATCATCATCAACAACAAAAAATACATGCTGATCATTAAGATATGTAAAATAAGATACACGACAGGAATCATTTAAGAACATTCTCAAAACATAAATGTCTTGTCCTGAAGGTTTCATTTGTGCTCAGAACATTTTTTTGTGTTAAAAAAAAATTAGATGACCTTGGTAGTAATCAGCTATTTAGACCATGACCACTGACAAACTCTTATTTAAGCTTCAGACTCCAAAACGCAACACCATCAACTTCAGAAATTTTTGTAAGGACAACCTTGTAGCTACTTATTTAAGAAATGGTTTGCACAGTGGTTCTCAAATTGACCTCCAGATAATTCTCCATAACCCAGTCCTAAGGAGCTCTGTCGTACTTTACCTATTGGGAGAAGAGAAAGAGGGTGTTTTAAAATGGCCTTGGAATGGAAGAGATAATACAGAAAGTACTGTTTTAATACAGTCATTGGTAAAAATAACTATGGATTTGTTCCAAAGAGTTACTGGCATGCTTAAAGATCAGAGATCAGTTCATTTGTTTGAAATGCTCTATTTTCAGTGGGCATAAAAAAGGCAGTAACCCCCAAAGATTAGTCCAAAGCCTCAGTATCAATACACATATTAGGATTTGGAATCCTGGAAACCTCTTCCAAAAAGCTGTTCAAACAACTTTCAAATAATGAAATTGAGATCTTTTCTGCTCTTCAAGGGGATACATGATCTAAAGTTTGCGCAAGTTCATTTTCCTTTTAATGTACGTATTTTAGAATTAGATTTTGTAATATATGCATGCAGTTACCACCTACACAAGATTATTATAATCTAACCCAAGTAATTACTGCTGAGATCAGCAAGTTAATGTCCTTTGTTTGCCAAATTTTTGTTTCCCCAAGAACAAATCCCACTCAATAAAGATGTGTTTCCAGGATACATATAATTATGCTGGGTACAACATCTGTTGCTTTGCATTTTCAGAGCCTTACCAAATCAAGATAAGAACACGCTTCTATGTCTACTTTAGAGAGAATGACTAGAGTAGTAAAAGCTTAAATACTCAGAAGATTTTTCAAAAAGCAGTATTCATCAAAAACAGAAGCAAATTCTAATTTAACTATTTCCAAATTGAATTAACTCATTTTAGTCCTTATCTTTTAACACAATTATATCATTTTTCAATATGATTCAATAATCCTGAAAATTATCTTTCCTATGATTTTATATAAGAATCTTAGTTCTATTAACTTCAACCTCAGTTATCTTTCAGAAGCAGAATGCCTAACCAAAAAAAAAGGTAATCACTTATGATCAAGAACAGCAGAAAAATAATATTGGTGCCCTCTTTTCTGGTATTTCCTCTCAGGAACACAGTGGATTTAGATAACAGGGCAGTGTTGCACTTTTAAATGTAGGTCAGTATTCTGATTGTAGTAGGAAAGTAAATGCTCAGACCTGAATAAAGCAGGGTAATAGCCACCTAAGTCAATGTTCTGCATGGCCTTTTAAGGTTGCCCCCAGCAACCTGGTAATCCTAAGAACTTTTCAGTATGGAAGGTAATTACTTATTGGCAAGATTTATCAGGAAGACACAAAATAAACACTGATTTCAGTACCAAAATATGAAATAAACATGTAATAAATGGGGGGGTGGTTCTGACACTACTCTCTCCTCAAACATTAGTAGTCATAGGCAAAAAAAAAAAAACTCAGTTATGAATTCATACTTTCAGAAAACTTTAGAACAAGCAAATTCATGACATTGTTAGTGATATTCAGATGTATTTCACTATCTTTGAGGGCTACTATTTCTCCTGTCCATATAACTATTATTATTTGTGCTATATTTAGACTGATTAGATTGACCAAGTTCCACAGAGTTAGAGTTGAGAAAACCTACTTAAAATGTAAAAAATTACCCATCTTTCCAAGCCATTTTAATATGTTCCTTCTCACTTAACAATTCTTTATTTCTTAGTGTTATATATCATTTTTAAGTAATCACACATTAACCATTGTCTTGGAAAAAAAAAAAAAAAACACAAGAAGCCTCACCTCACTATTAATAGGAATTTAAGGGGAAGAATAAAACCCACTTTTTTTTTTCTTTGAGACAAGTTCTCACTCTGTAACCCAGGGCTGAAGTGAAGTGGTGTGATCTCTGCTCACTGTGACCTCTGCCTCCTGGGCTGTAGCAATCCTCCAGCCTCAGCCTCACCCTCTTGAGTAGGTGGGACTAGAGGTGAACGCCACCAAGCCCAGCTAATTCCCCCACTCCCCCTGCCCCCCCAGAGTCGGGGTTTTGCCATGTTTCCCAGGCTGATCTTGAACTTCTGGGCTTAAGCAATCTACCTTCCCTGGCCTCCCAAAGTGCTGGGATTACAGGTGTGAGCCACCACACCTGGCCAAAATCCACTCTCAAGGTTGGAAAAGATTTAGGTAAAGGAAAACTATAGCAAATCACGTGTTATGGACTGACTTGTGTTCCCCTAAAATATGTTTAAGCCCTAACCCCCAGTGTGACTGTATTTAGAGACAGGGCCTTAAATAGGGTAATTAGGTTAAATGAGGTCATAGCATAGGGTCCTAATCCAATAGGACTGGTGTTCTTACAAGGAAGACACCAGAGATCTCTATCCATGCAGGCAAAAAGAAAAGGCCACGTGAGGATGCTGTATGAAGGTGGCCACCTGAAAGCCAGGAAGAGAACCCTCTTCAGAAACCAACCCCAATGGCACCTTGATTTTGGACTTCTAGCCTCAAGAACTGTGAGAAGATAAATTTCTGTTCAAGCCTCCCAGGCTGTAGTATTTTGCTATGGCAGCTGTAGCAGACTCCTATACTATCCTGCCTTGACTTATCTTCAGTTTTAATTTCTACTTTAGCATCTCTGAATTTTCTTCAAAGGGTGACCTGTTGTCGTATTGCCATATCAAGGAAAACATGGCAAGCAGAGAAACTGATTGTATCTTTTTTCATTTCTGTGTTCCAATATTTCCAAATGTGGGCACTGAAGAATATTTAACGCCAATGAGTGAAAAACCAAATAATTTCTTAGCTTATTAATTAGAATGCCAGATTATATTGGGAGGCCATTGAATTATTTTAGGTGGGAATTAGTCAACATAGCAAGGGATGCAATACAGTCTAGGGAGTACAAATAAAGGTAACTGAGAACCTTGTGTAAGATTTGAAAGCACCATTTACAAGAATTTCTCATGCTGCCCACTTGAAAGGTAAAGATGAAATTTCTCAAGTCTTCTATATTTTTACTCCCAGGTTTTCACTGGTTCTTTAAAAGTCTTTTCTTCATTACTTTTTAAAAAATTGTTTTATTTTTCTGGTTCTTTAAAAGTCTTGTGATTGAACTAGAACCAGAGCTTCTCAGAGCTTCCAAACCCAGGAGAAATCAGCATAGATACACACCTGGAAAGTTAAGAGTCAAGATTAGCCCAGGGCTAAGTGGAGAAACAGGCACACTGGAAAAGGTTCATCAAAGCCCAGAGGCCAACTAGAAAAATGGCCCTTTAACCACTTCACATCTCATTCCCTTTACACCCCTCCACCCCACCTTCCCCCATGCTAATGCTGCTTTTTGCACCTTACACCCCTCCACAGCACCCCCCTTCATGCTAATGCTGCTTTCCACATGACCTCTGTCCTAGGAGCTCATGCTCTCATTTAAAGGGTTTGAAGGGAGGGCTTGAGGAAGGTCCCATATGGAGGAAAACTTTGCCTCAAGCAAAGCACTCTCCCCTTTTACCACCCACCCTGCTATTTATCCTCTCCAAGGCCCAAACATGACTTAAGAGTCTCAGAAAAGGGCTCTCGAGTATGGAAAGGGGAAAGAGAAGGAAATGGGAATAGAGTTTATTCTGAGTTTCTCTAAAGGTAACCAAGCTGGGCTGTCACATTTTGCTTTTCCCTATGTCATTTTTACCCCAACCATTGTTAAACTAAACCATCTGTAGATATTAAAATACCATTTTCAGGAAAGCATTTATCTGAAAGAAGAAAATATATAGTACTAAATTTAGTATTTTGAGGACAAATTTAAATAAAACTATGTAAATAGTGAGTTTATTTATATTTCTGAATAATTTATTGCAAAGATAAATACATCAGTATTTTAAAAGTGTTTCCAGTTTGTTGTTTTTCACTAGTTTTTGTATCTTTGCCTTTGCCAAATCTAAAATTCTCAACCTTACATTACATTCTATATCATCCATAAACTTTGAGAAGTATTATTAAATTTCAGTGGTTAAGAGAACTTTTTAATCTAAAAATATTTATCCTAAGACACCATTAGATTTTTTTCTCATATAGAGGGATTAGAGGAACAAAGGAAAGAAATCCAATTATTTAAAACAGAAATCCCTTAACACTGGGATTTTGTTTTAATTATAAAGAGTGTGTCTTATTAAAAACAAAACAAAGCCTTGTCCTTTAAGGGAGAAACGCAATGTTCCTCTAGTGAACGAGCATGCAAGAGTTCCCATAGAATGATTAAACAAATTAACTTTGCTATTCTTCAATTTCCGATGATATAATTGACTTATTAAAAAGAACATCAAGTAAACAATTACGGGTGCACCTGTTCAGGGTGTCATACCAAGCACCATACAAAGTTAATGGGAATATTTCTATTTTCTTCACCCCCACGATAGGCAAAACTTACTGTACTAAAACCAAACAAGTATAGGCAGTAGTAAGTATCAGAGGAAAATTGTTAAAGAGTCTTTTAAACTTTAAATGTTACTCCAGACATACCCAGTACCTGAAGGCGCTTTTCCATGAATCTCCTCCCTCATCCTGTGGCTCCTCCAGGGCCTTGGATAGGGTAGTGGGGACAGACAGATGGGAAGCTACAACTCAAAGTAAATGGCCTGCTCCTCAGGAGGCAGAAAGGTCACTAGGGACTTTCCTTACTTGGTCCTACTCCAGTCCTACTCATAGGGAAACTAAACCACAATTTAGGGAAATTATACTAACCAGCTGACTTAAATGGTTGAGTGCTGGGCCCAGAGAGCTGAGGGAAATCTCTCTTTCTCAGGGGACACAGAGGCGCCTGACTCTCCTATTTCAGGCCTAAATGAAAGCTACTTAGACACTCAGCATAGCCACGCTTGGGTTTTGTCACTGAAACTAAAGCTTCCAGTCACCCTGCCACCTCTGGCAGAATGGAGTTTGGAGTAGAAGGCACACAGATATCACAGAGGCCCAAACTGAGCCATGAAAGGTGCCACACCTAATGCAACTGGCAAGGGCCTCAGCTCAGTTTCAGCCAAGTGGGGACAGAAGGTTGTCCTAATGACATAAGTCACCCAAGGGACAAAAAGGGGACTAAGAGCAGCAAGGATGACTGAATGAGCACGGAGATGGAAATGATGACATGCTTCGAGGCTGAGGGAGGACAACAGCTGATACACAGAAAGCAGATGAGTAGAAAATAAAAGTAAATTGTTCTAGTTATTATCTTAAACAGAGGGATAGGCTGTAACACAGGACACACTTTCTTGGGTTTAGGTTTGGTATCAAGTGTGAACATAATACAAAATTGTATTGATAGCATCCTCTAATAAAATAAATTTGGAAAGGTAGTTTTGTTTGTTCTTTGTTTTGTTGATGTTCCAGGTTTAAGTCCAATAAATAAAAGTTCATATTGTTTTTGAATAAATAGCTGTCTTTAAAAATGCAAGAGAAACAAAAAGAAAAGCAGAAGAGAAAGCGTCGGGCAATGGAAATCTCAATTGTTGCTTTTCAGTCAAGATCATGAAAAGCAAGTAAAAGAAGGGATCCTAACTACAATAGAATGAGTGTCTTCTTTTACTTAGAAATTTCTCTAGTCTCCATAAAGTAAAGATTTCACAGTTTTGTAGAAATTCCACTTCCTTTTTCTTTGCCTGTCTTCACACACGCATCAAAGAAACTAAGTAAGATTAGCAATTAGCACAGGATATAAACTGACCAAGGATACACCACAACTACTACATACTTATCAAATTCAGAGAGTACTTTCAGGACCAATAGACAGAAATTTTCAACTTAAGATTTTGGAACCTAAAGGATCCATTAAAAGGGCACTTTTCAATTTTAAAGTGTCAATCAATGACAAAAATTTAAAGGCACAATCATCATGAAAAAGGTATTTTTAAAATAACATCCATAGACAGCTTCGGTTTCTCTCTGAATTATGCCATAAAACTGACTCAATTTTGTTAATATCAATAGCATAAAAACGAGAAAGGAATACAACTCAAATATTGTAGATTCACGTTAAAAAGTGACTGACAGGTCAAATTCTAAAAAAGAAACAGTAGATACCACCACAAAACTAGCAGATGTTTCTTGGGGTCATTTGTACAAAAACATAAGCATATGTTAAAGAAATCTGACACTATCATGGAATCAGTTGGTGTCTAAAATAATAGCAGCTCCTTATGGCAATATGATAATATCCGTATCAAATGCACAACACATTATGTTGCAACAGTATGTGCAGACAAAAGAGCATCAGTAGCAGCAGTAATGACCAGTGGTCTCATTAAGGTGAAAAAAATTTTTTCCAGTGCATAGTACTGGTTAACAGTAAATTGAACATGATAGACAGTACGTAGAATTTTCAGAGTTTAAATTTACCTGATTTTATTGAAACTCTTATAAAGGGACTTACCAAATAAGACTGAAGTTTTTACAGGGACCTCTAACATGGGTTTTCTGATTTATCCAGTCTACTCAAGAATAATGAAAAAGATCATTGTTATTCTCAAAGTTAATGAACATACTTGGTTAGTTTAAGATATAAACAAGAACTCTTCACTTCAAAATCAGTTATTTCAACCTGATGTCCTATACCCGCTAGTTAAGCAATAAGTAACTGCTGCAACATTATTTTAATGTAAAGCAACACATAACTTAGTAGTGTATTATCACCTTCAATAGCAGAAGGCTGAGATCTTCTAGAATATTCCTTTGGAACTAGCCATATCACACAAAAAAGGACAATGTACACAATGAATGCTAATTAAACATTACTGACTGAAAATCTTTGAAAAGTAAAGGCCAAAAGGCATTCCATAGTTTTCCTAATTGTTGGGACTCATATTATTCTCTAAGAAGGTCAAATTTGAAAAGGCACTTAGAATTTCAATGCACATATTTTCCATGCAGAAGAACTGGATGTAAGATGAGTCTGGCATGTACCTACAAAGGTCTTCAAGTGCCAAGAACATTTCATAAAAATAAAGCTCACCCATGAGATATTTCCAGAGTAGGTTTGATCCCAATGAAAAACATTAAAATAACCTGTAAAATGACAGGTGTGTTATTAGTTCAGAAGCTAGGGTACCAAGACATATTGTTTTTTCCTCAAATATGAAAAATGCTAAATTTAAAAAATAAAAATAACTTTTAGAGAAATTTATTTCTACTTTTTAAAAAACATAAATCACATGACAAAAATGTATCCATGTTATTTATTTTACTGTGTCTAAATATCTAGATAAATGGGTGAGGAATGGAAATTTTAAAATGTATTATGTTCACCAAGATTTCAACTGTAATAAGTTTTTATCTGTATGATGAAAACCACAACAAAACATACTGTCATCCCTTTACACCTTCAAAACATGAAAACATACTTAAAATATAAGGAAACCAATACATGCTAACAGCTGCTCAATTGTATTGATCTTATTTTTCCTGCACAGATGGACACTAAACAGTGCTTTGAATTATGTTTGTAACATTTAGTAAACTTAAAAGCTTAATTTGGGGTAAATATTAATTACTTGTATTAGACAAAATAATACCAACATGGATATTTTAAGAAGTAAATGAAGAACTTTTAAGCTTAAAATGGTATGAACAGCTATTTTCCACAGATAAAAACTGACATCTTTACAAATGACTATTTCACTGACTTTTTACACTCCAATAATGCAGAAATATTATGAATGTATAAAGATTACATTATTTACTAACATCTAATGAATAATGTTTTCTGAAAATAGAGCGCTTTAAACTATGATTATTTTTAAGTAGCCTCTACTCTAATAAGAAACAGGATACACAAGGAAAGAGCCTAGGGCTCATAGGAAATACAGATCTTAGGCTTAAAAGGGTTCAACTTACAGTCCTTCAGGAGCAATTTCTCCAGTTTGTGTACTTTTCAAGCTACTTCCCTTCTGTTTACATATTTTGCTAGTCACTAGCACATTTGATGCTAAGATTTGGTAGAATATATTTCAAATAAGATGCTTCTCATTCTGCTGATTTAAAAACGAATTTGCGCAGCGTCTACTATCTATCCCACTGCCCAAGCTAGAAATCTCACCATCACCATTATTTATTTCCCTTTTAAGCCTCACATCCCCCAAATTTTGTCTTTGACAATATCCCTTGCATCCAGGCTTACCTTGCCATTCTCCCAGCTTTGCAGCCACTGCCCCCTGATCTGCTGGATCAGCCATCACACTGGGCTCCTCAGTGTGGAGCCCATTTATAATCTATCCTGCTACCTAATTTACCAAAAAAAAAAACAGAAATACTTGATCTCACCTAATGCCCAGCCTTTGTCACACCTTCCTCAATTTTCAGGTTGAGACGCCAACTTCCTTGCATGCTATTCAAAGTCCTGTATAAACTACTGACTAAAAACAAAGCACTGTCATCTCCCCCATAAATAAGACAATGTTATTTTCCAAATAGGCCAAAGCATCCTTTTCTGGAGATTTTTCAAAATTTTCTTTTTCTAGAATGGTTTCCTTGCTCCTTTGTCTGTCTTGCTAACTCCAAATCATACTTCAAGGCCCACATTAAAGTTTACCCTCGAACCTCTCTGTAGCTTTTCCTGACTTCCCCCTCAGCCCGCCCAACAGAGAATGATTTTCTCCTTTACCTATTTTTCCATGTGCATTTATAATGCTCTGTAAGTACTAAGTTGCACACAAAATAGATCATGTAGTTATTCTTTTGTCAATATATCTTCCTGAAGATTGTGAATATCTGAAGACAGAAATCATGTCAAATTGATTACAGAATCCTGGAACCTTCTAGAGACCCCATAATTGGTGCTCCCTAAATGTTAGGAGGACTACAGTAAAAACATGAATGATTTAACAAGAAAAATGCAAATTTAAACTATGCTGAGATATCATTTATTATGTATCAGGCTGTTTTTTTAAAGTTTGGCAATAAACTCTTCTGGAGAAATTTTCAGGAAATACATGCCCTTATACAATAATGATTTTAAAAAGCAAAATTGCACAACCCTTTTGAAAGAATTTGGTAATATTGAGCAAAATTATTAACACATTTATTCTTTGACTCAACAATCTCACTTCTAGGCATCTATCCTAAAAGCACATTGAAAAACAAAAAACGGAAAGTAAAGTTTTTTATTAAACCACTATTTGCGATAACAAAAATGACTAGAAACAATCCAAATTTCTCCAACAGAGAGGTCAATAAACGATAGTACATAATGGATTTTGATGCTGATGTAAAGCGCTACAGAGTGAACTTCTGGGCATATTGCTAAGTAAGAAAGAAATCAAGGTAGAAAAACACATATATTGTACATGTGTTTAAGACGGTGGGTACTGTGGGGGTAATGAAAAGAATATATGCACATGTTTATTTATATAAAATAAAAGAACAACCCAGAGCTTTGAGGAACAAATAAGCTTTCCTACCTACAGGAAGGAAGGAAAAGCATAGAAGGGAAACATAAAAGCTATACTTCCTAGAATATAGTTTGTTTAGTAGATTTGATTTTGGAACCATATAAGTATTTCACGTAATTATAAAATTGATTTTTAAAAAAGAAATGCCTAAACATCAAAAGCAAAATGAAACAATAATACAAAAAACAAATAAGTTGGGGGTATAACTTCACAGATATGAATTATTCCAAGTGTCTTTAAAACATAGTAATTTGACTACACCTCCCTAGTAGTGTACACTCTATGAACAAAAAAAAAAATTGCAGGACTATCTTAAGTGGGTTTCAGTAATTATACTTTTGATTGGCAGCATTGGTGTTGTTACTCTATTGTGTCTACATAATGCAGGATAAAGCAAATGAGTAATGATGTTGTTATAGTTAGGAATCAGGACTTTAAGGGTAGGAGAAAAGAGACAATGTGAAAAGCTTAGGCCTGCACTTGAATTGGAAGTATCAGCATAATCCTATGATACATTTTTTCTTTAAAAACAAAACAAAAAAACCCAACATATTTTCTAGCTCTGTTCTTTGAAAAACCTAAGTAACAAGGTACACATAGGGGAAGTTTTAGCAATGATGTTGCTTAGTTCTCAAATTGAGGTCTCTAATACCACTATCCAGTAAAAGGAACCAGGACCCTCTGATGATGAGCTTGATTCCATATCTCAAGCATGAAATGTTCAAGATGAACCTGGAATATCTTGCCATTCCAGAAAGCAGGGAAGCTATCAGACAGCTGAGTGAATGTCAAAAGAACTCAGAAGTCAAGATGAAGGGGCTCCCATTGGTCTAAAAATCCAAAATGTGACAATTTGAAGATCAGTAAAAATAATCATTGCTGTGAATTGAAAAACATTTAATAGGTTTAAATCCTTGAGTTTATAGTGATCATAACAATAAAAAAACCTCATTGGTCATGGTGGATGCTAGGATCCATCTTTGAGGATGAACTTGCCATGCCATCCCAATGAGTGTAGTCATTATAATGGCCACCAGGGATTCGTACCCTCAAGCTCCACCTCAACTTCAGAGGAGTTGAGGTCCTACATTTCCAAGGCAGCCCACAGCCTGTGACAGCACAGCTGAAGTTTGGCCACTTTTGCCCAAGGCAGGACTCCTAATGGGCAATCTTTTTCCCAAGTCCTCACCCTAGGTAAGCAAAAATCTTGTGACATCTGATCATGGTCTGAGGCTCTCCCTTCCCCAACCTGCCTCATCCCCTTTACGGGTATCAGAGTGATGGCCATCCCAGTCTGAAGGTTATTCTTGCCCATGAGAAACTATAGGCCAAACTAGTTTGTTCAAAACATAAATTGAAAGGAAAAAAAAGGAAGAAGAATCTGTGGATGAGAAAATTTAAAAGGCATAGCCATCAGCTATAATATGGACCTCATTTCAAGGTTGACATATTTAAAAAATAGAGAAAATATCAGGAAAATCTGGACACTAACTGGATATGTAAAACTATAAAGATTATTTTAAATTTGAAGAGTAGTAATATGATTTTTTAGAAAATCTTTATCTCCTAGAGATACATGCTGAGATGCTTACAGATGAAATTATATGATGCCTAGGAATTACTTCAATCATTCCAGGGGAAGAAGGGATGTGGGTAGAGTATAGATGAAATAAGACTGGCCATAAATTGAAAACTGTTTAAACTCAGTAATGGGTCACATAGAGCTTCACCCCTCTTAGGGTTGAACATGAGGACTTATTACATAATTATTCCTACATTTGGGTATGTTTGGTGGTTTCCATAAAAAAAATTAGATTTAAAAAAACTTGTTAAAAACTCCAATTTATCACTCCCATTTTCTTCATTTGTTCAGAAACTGGAAGTGGCCAGAGAAATGGAATAAGCTGTTGATGATGGAACTGTCTTAAAAGCCTGAAAGAAGTCAGATAATGTTGTTTCAAAGGTTTTTATTATTTTGGTTCAGACCATGATGCTTTACTACCACCAACTCAGATGTCAGATAGACTCTTGCTTGCTTAACTGGGGAAGCAACATAACCAAATGGGGACAGTGCAGGCTCTGGAGTCAGACTGCCTAGCTTTGAACCCCAGCAACTGAAATTACTGGTATGACCTTGGGCAAGTTATTTAACACCTCTGGGCCCTAGGGATAAAAATTCTATCTAGACTACATAGTTTCTTTGCTAAGGTTAAACAAGATAAGATACTTAGCACAGAACCTGGCAGAGTAAACAAATCTAAGTGTTCACTATTTTCAGTCAAGCACTGGGCACTGCTGTGTAGCAGCAGTGGTAGTTTCCAGAACACTGTTTCTAATGAAAATCTAGGAATGTACATGGGAATTCCCTGATGCCAGCTGGTACATTATTTTAGACTTACCCTTAGGCTTAACATAAGTTCATAACACCATGCCAATGACAAAAACAAAAACGCTCACCAATGGTAACTATTTTTGGTGCCTATACCTTCCTGATTGCCTGTCTACCTCTGAATTCAGTCACCCATTACACTAAGTTTCCTCATATTCTGGTTTGCATGCCAAAAGTTTGCAAATGGTTTAATGTCCTTCAACTTCATGCCTCTCTCTCCTTTGTGTTTCTCCTCCTAGCTTATACCAATTTTGGCCAACACAAGAGCATTTAGAGTCATGGCTGAGAGTTCCTTCCTGTTGCTCACCACACCCACGTACACATGTAGACACACACAATCAAAACTCACCTGCTCAGCATATACTACCCCCGTCATTGGCATAGTGCTTCTAAAACTTGGGTAGGAATACGGTCAGAAGTCTGTGTTTAGGATTTTAATGATGCTTGTAGACTTGTCAATGTCTGAAATGTAATCTAATAACCCAATCAAGTGGCAGGCTAGGTGGGATAACAAGTGATATGGTTATGATCAGTATTCTAGTGCTGAGATTACACAACTGCAATGAATTTATCTACTACATCCCTGACCATTTCAACAAGGACGGTCCATTTTCTCAAATTACAGAGGGTACAAAAACATCCAGTCTAGGCAATAGCATCTTCCTGCATACCCAATTGCTCTGTTCTCTATATCCATTGCCCTGGTTCTCTATTCCTTTAGCTTTGCCATGTTTGGATTTCTGCAATTCACTTCAGAACTTCCTACTTTGGACAACCCCATCTGGATTGCCCTCTCTGGTTTAATGACCTTGGTCCAGTCTATCTGATTCTCAATTTGTGTGTCCCTTGGCTTCAATGAACCCACTCCTAGGGGAATAGTTCTGTGCCAGTTCCAGCCCCAGAGGGCCCCATCCGGGATGCAGGAAAGAGAGAGAGGAAGGGTCCACAAAAGTAGATCAGTTTTAAAAAGTGTTTGCCTTCAGATGCTGCCATGTGGACATAGCATATTTAGGAATAACATTAGTCTCCAGACGTTCACAGGGTCAGAGTACACAGACTAAGAGAGTTACCATTTCAAATCTATGTACTATTCTTGTAGTAAGAAACAGATTGAATTTGCCAAATTTCAGTTCAAACAATGTATCACAATGACCATGAAAAATACAATGATTTCTATAGACAAGACTTCAACTTTACTAGTAACCAACTAATCTACACATAATAAAAATATTTTTTGTACACACAAAATATGTTAATATATGTGTGTATATATGTATATATGTGTATGCATATATATATATATATATATATATATATATATATATATATATACATATATATACACATATTTTTTTCCCTGAGATGGGGTCTTGCTATGTTGCCCAGGCTGGCCTCGAACTCCTGGGCTCAAGCAATCCTCCCATCTCAGCCTCCCAAAGTACTAGGATTACAGGTATGAGCTACCGTGGCCAGCCCACGAAATATGTTAAAGGACTCTGCCACTTTGAAATCTCTAAACTCAGTTGCTTTATCTTTAAATAGGCAGCTCAAATTGCATAACCATATCAGTTCTACATTCAGGTTCATTTTTCAAAAGCTATATCTTCCTTTCTATGTAGAAACAAAGACTAAAATGAAAACTTGGGAAGAAAGTAAACAAACATTTTCAACTCTCCATGTGTCAGAGCTGTGTTGTACAATGCAGTTGCCACTTGCTACATGCAGTTATTGAATTCAAATTAATAAAAATTAAATATAATTAAAAATTCAGTTTCTCAGTCACACTAGCCATGTTTCTGTTCAATAGCCACATGTAGCTGGTGGTAACTGTATTGAACACTTCAGATATAGTGCACTCCCATCATTTCAGGAAGTCTAACTGGACAGCCCTGCTTTAGAAAATTCACTCTACATTTGTTTTCTGTGAGACCCAACCTACCCTAACAAAAAGCTAAAACTTTTGAGGCTATTTTTATGATAAATTAGTAGACCTGTCAAAACATTTTAAAACTTTATAAGCAGATAGTATTTGCAGTTACTATGGAAATTTGAGTCTTTGCATACATCTTAAAAATTTCCTCAAATTTGACAGCTTAGAAACAGAACTAAATTTTTTTCTAAAGAGGCTTTTTTCTTAACGTGTAGACTGATGAATCAAAGCATCATGTTTTACTGAGTAATTAGTCCTTCAATAATTCACATGAGTAATAGGTCATATTGGGGTTTAACCCCTGCTTCCATTATTTCTGACCACACAGTCTACCAACAGATGTCTCACTTGGGGTGTACACAACAGAACACCCGGTATCCATTTCACGTACATCTGTTCCCAAACAGCTTAGACAGATTAATACTTAGAATATACTTTGCTCTACTAAGTCTCACGTAATCACCAACTCTTGTTTTGAAATTGTTTTTTCTCATTTTCATATTTTTGCACATTATCTTTTAAACTGCTAAGTGTCAAGTAAATACTTACATAAACTTAAAGCTCAAGAAAATCATTTTGACTCTCTTGTAACAATAAGAAACACTTTCCAGACCTTATTTTGAAGCTCAGCCTTCTCAGATTTTCTAGTCACTGCTCTAATTCAGCTGAGCTCTGAGTTGTGGCAGGAATACTCTTTTGAAAAAAACATAACATGAAATTTGTAACTTGAGATAGTAAGTATATGAAAAATAGAGTTATAAGCCATAATTATGATTCAAAGGCCTAGTTTTATTTTTTTTAAAATCTTTGAAACATACTATTTGAATGCTAATCAAGCATTGTATAAAATCTTTACTCAGAAATTTGATAGAGGATACAGAGAAACGAATGAAGAATGGATGAGCTAGTCCTTTTGTCCATCATGAAATAGCTGCTTAAAGCTAGCCTCAACCAATTCTTTTCCTCCAGAAAATGGTTTCTTCCTTTCCAATGACAATACCTACACCAAAGCGATTGCCCACCTCTAGTCACTGTGCCCTAAAGCTGAGTAAGGCGAGCAAAGGGCTTTGACTTATATTTCCCAGGTGGTTCCTCTAATTAGAAATTCATGAGGGCTCTGAAGTTCCTGATGTAAAATACAACACCCCTCCACACACACCAGACAGTGGGCCCCATTGACCATCAAACCTTACTGAGATTTATTTAATTTGACAAAATTCCCTAATGCCTAAAGGCCATAGAAATAGGTATTTTCTTTAAAATGAAAGTTCATAGGTGGTCAGAACTGATAGTACTTAGAGACAATATAATATAAGCCCTTCATTTTGCCAGTGAATAAACAGTAACTCAGACATGTTAAACAACCTGTCCAAAGTCTGTTATGCACCTTGCTATCTGTTGAGACAAGATCTTAGGGCCTTCAGCGGCCACTGCTGAAATCTTTCCTACACCACAGATGGGAGCAGATTATAGAGAGCTGGAGGAGGGAAGCTATAAAAGATCCTGTAGTGCTTTTCATACTTCAAGGTGTTATCCATTAGGAAATTGTGAAGTTAATTTCACAAATCATAATGAGCATTTGTTTGCAATGGAAACAGAGCATATCAGAGTGACTCTTAAATGGCAATGGTAAGAATTGTTTTGTGAAACTTTTGTTTTAGACAAATCACATATCAGCACAGAAATCTGTATAGTATCTGTCAATCCCTAAAGGGCCGTCATTTCAGAGGACTGAGGAAAAGTGGAGGAGACACATGTTTCCAACATGAGATAGCACTGTGAGCATTTGGCATCTCTGTCACAGAGATCCCTAAATTGATCACTCTTAAACATACTAATATATGAGCTTAACATTGCCTAATCTTACCCATTACTTACTCTCCCCATCAGCTTTTCCTTTACGGGAAATAATGACATTATATTTATTCACACAGGACAGTAAACAAATCTTTCTTTGGGGAGGCACAAAAAAATGCCTGACTCTTCTGCTTTAATCGAACATTTCAAATAAAAGCTTACCCCTTGTTAAACAGATGTCCCAAAAGTTTTTCCTTGGTTGAGATGTAAAACAATGCCAACAGGTGATCAGCGATGCTTTTGAAAATACTGAACTCTGAAAATATCTGATCCAGTATCAGCACAAGCTAAGGGCTAAATCATGAAATACGCAAATAAGTCTGTGGCATCTGTCCATGTCCCCTTTCTGAGGTGTATTCTTAATTTTTGACTTCTCACACCCAGTCCCTGGCACCATACTGGGGGTTGGCCCCACTGGGCACAGCACTTGACCTGCTCTGCCTTGGCAGGGTCCCATGACCCAGAGTGGTCTGACCTTTCACACTTGACTTCAAAAACAGTCACCTGATCCCTTCATCATTTCTTCAGGATTTTTCTCATAGGTCACAGCTAGCTTGATAATTACCTTATTTTAACATAAATAAACCCATGTATGATTCTATAATTAAAATGACCATAATTTAAGATTGTAATAGAAAGATCATCAGGCACCACTGTAGTCAATGAAAAAGATATTTTCTGAATTGATGATGCTCTTTCGTAAACACAGTTTATATTATAATGGCAGCATCCTAATCTATTTAAGCCCTGCTCAGTATTTTCTACTCTGCAGCTGAGCAACATGGAACCTTCCTGCCATGAACCTCACATCAGAGAAGTGGATGAACCTTAACTCTTACGATAGAAATCCTGGAATAACGCAAAGTTGAAAAGAACCTCAAGGAGCTTAACATATAATGGGGGAAAAAAACAATCAAAGTTGCATTCAATGTCTCAGTATAGGAGATCCAATTATGCCTAAAGAGAAAACAACTGTAATGAATCTTCATTAATTTTAATGAATGTAAACATGAATCATTCAAATAAAAAAAAGCACAAAGGAAGCTAATTCCCAGCAGCTGGAACAGCAAGAAAGCTTGTGTAGAGAACTAGTTTTGTAATTCTTTCAATTACAGGATGGTAAAATATGAGGAAACTACTGAGAAATGAGGATGCAGAGATAGGCAGGAGCCAAGCATGGAAATCTTATGCCATGTTGAAGAGTGTGTCTCTCATCCTGTTTTCTACTTCAGTGGGCTTTAAACAAGACAGTCACATTCCTGCTAGGCAAAGAGGGAACCCAAACAGACAGACTCAGGATCATTTACCCACCACTCCAATCAAGGCACCCATACTTTTATGTGTTATATACTGGCGATTCATTTAAGAATTTTTTTTAAAAAAGAGTTTTGATGTTTAAAAAGGGGGAGAGGGGAATACTGCCTTTGTAGTTAATGAGGAGTTGGTATCAAGTATATAGGAATGTAGTCACCAAGTTATAATAGAATAGGCAAAACTAAAGTTCATGAGGCCAGTAAACCAGTAACAAATTCATTCATTCAATAAATATTATCTATATGCCAGGCACTCTTCAAGGTGCTGACAGTAAAGAAAAAACATATTCTGAATATCTTCCCTCTCCTCCATCTAGATTTAGTTTCTATCCTCCACCTGCCCTGTTCACTGGGAGGCCATACTGCATGGACTGCATCAAGTGCTCCCCTTGCCCTCTGGCTTAAAGTTGGCTTTGGACTGTGAAATGGGCCAGAAAAGAAGGAACTTGGGTAATTTAGGATTAGTGAGGATTAGTGAGGTAATCAGCCAAGCTGAGGCAAAGGCCACAGCTCCTGCCTAGTGGCCTCCTCTACATAGTCTCTCTGAATCCAGGTTCAGGCACCTGCTCTTTCACTATGCCCTTTTGGGCTTAAAAATGGTATCACCTGCCCAATGATTACTAGTCCCAAGAGTACTTCACTATCTCTATATCTACAGCTTTATAAATACTGACTTTTAAAAATTCTTCTCAAGTTACTCTAATATAAATGTGCCATTTTTTTTCCTATTAGGACAGTCACTAATATAACAGACAAATCCTTGCCATCTTGAAGTGGGGTGGTAATAGAAAGGACAGAGATCAGAAATTATATAGTATACAAGGAGATAAATGCCACTGAGGAATATAAGGCAATACAGGGAACCAGGAAGTATGTAGCAGATGGGAATTTTATACAGGTGACCAGAGAAAGCCTTACTAAGAAGCTAACATTTGTGCACAGGTTCAAAGGAGGTGAAGGAGTAGGTCAAGTGAGAGACTTTGAAGGCCTGAGCTAGGGTAGTGATTGGTCGGACAGAGAAGGATGGCAGATTGGAGAAATACCAAGTAAATAAAGTAGGCAGGATTGGTGGGTGTTTAGAAATAGTGAGTAAGGGACAGTGAGGCTAGAGTTACCTTCAGAATCCTGACTTAGATAACATTCCAGATAGCTTCCTAAATACTCCTTCACTTATTAAGCCAAAATATTCACTACTTACATATGCAATTGTATTATCTAACCCACATAAGCTACAAGCTAATTCTAGTTATCCTAGTTATTGTCCCATAACTTACACAAACCTAAATAGCAAAGTTAAACATTCTGACAGCTGATGCTGAATAATTAGTGAGTTCCATAACCATGATAGGGAACAAAAGATCAGAGTTAGTCTACGGAGCAAGGAAAGTTGCTTTTCTTGTAAACTTACTAAATATATGGCACTTCTGGAGGTAGATGATGGTAGATGAGAACCACAGTGTGCAATACTGACCAGAAAGCATGTAATGAGGAACAGCAGATCAGACCACAGTCCTTGGGACTCCACCATTTGGCAGGCAGATAGAATGAAGTTCCCATGAGAGACTGATAAACTAGGTGCTGGTGGTATTACAAAAACCAAGAGAGTTAAGTCAAAGTCAAATGAAGGAGAAATACAGAAAATAAGGACTGAAAATTTCCACTTCATTGAGCAATTAGAAGACTTCTGCTAATCTCTGCCTGAAGAGTTTCAGTAGAGAAAGAACAAAGCCAGGTCTCAGATGGTTGAAGAATAATTAAGAGGTGAACTAATGGAGATGGTCAGAGTAAGCCAATTTTTCTAGGAGATTATCAGAGCAAGTGAGAAAAAAATAAAAATAAAAAGCAAGGTAGCAGCTAAAGAGAAAAGCTTGTAGGATCAAGGCAGGGAACTGTTAGAATGGGAGAGTCTTGAACATATCTCTGCTTAAGTGAAAGAGCTGGTAGAGAATGAAGGCTAAAAACCAAAGAAAGAAAGTGTAACAGATGAAACAAATTTCTAGATGAAGCTGAAGAGATGGGATGGGTTTGCCTTCAATAGAGATGACTACATCTATTCTGTGGTCATGAATGGAAGCGAATGAAGGCTGAAGGTCACTAAAATGGAAAAGGTCTAGAAAGTCTGAAGCTGTAATAATGATTGCAATATGACCACCACCACTGGCTAGACTTTAGATAAAGAACACTGTGAGCCAGACAACAAAGTTTTAAATAAACATAGAAGAAAAGCTGGAAAATCATACTTTCTCTTCCCTGGGGAGCCCAAAAGACAGCTTGTCAGCCCTCCGAGCCTGCAAGTGTCCAGCCTGACAACTAGCATGACATGCCTGTCCCTAGCAAAACTATACCACCATCAAAAACTCCTGCAGCCTAGGCCACTGAGGAAATCAGACATTGCTGTGAAGATTACAGCTGACGAAACTACACAGAGACCATGGTACTGAATCCACCCCAAACCAAAGCCAATGTACCATACCCAACCAACACTCTAGGACCCATCTACAGGAAAAGTCTCTCCCTGTGAAAGCTACTGCATACAACTGGAAAATGTGACTATTCCACTAGATGTGCAGATGTCACAAGAAACATGAAAAAGCAAGGACACACGACACTGCCAAAGGAACACAGTGAGTCTCTAGTAACAGACCCCAAAGAAAAGGGTGTTTATAAAATGCCTGAAACAAAATTAAAAATAATGATCTTAAAAAAATTCAGCAGGCTACAAGAGAATACAAACAACCCAATGAAATCAGGAAAGTTATAAAATGAGAAATTAAAACAAGATCTATCATTTAAAACACAGAAATCTGAAGAATGCAGTGAATAAAAGACACAATCGAGAGCTTCAAGAATAGACCAGATCAAGCAGAAGAAAGAATTTCAAAATCTGAAAATAGGTTTTGTGAAATAACCCAAAGTTTAAAAAAAACTAAGCAAAGAAATTTTTGCATTATAGAACTGGCAGATGGAGAAAAGTTGAAGAAAGGCACAGAAAACCTATTTAATGAAATAATAGCTAAAAACTTCCCAAATATTGGGGGAGATATAGACATCCAGATGAAGGAACCACAAAGATTCCCAATTAGATTAAACCCAAAAAGATTCTCTCTGTGGCACATTATAGTCAAACTGTCAAAAGTTGAAGACAGAGAATTCTAAAATCTGCAAGAGAAAAGCATCAAGTTACATGTAAGGGAATCCTAATTAGACTATCAGTAGATTTCTCATCAGTAACATTAAATTACTGATGTATGCCAGGAGAGAAAGGGATAATTTATTCAAGATGCTAAAAGAACAAAAAAAAACGAGTCTCGGCCAAGGACAAAAGATACTATATCCAGCAAAACTATCCTGGAGGAGAATAAAGGCCTTCCCAGACAAACAAAAGCTGAGGGAATTCACTCCTACACCAGCCTTACAAGCAATGTTTACAGGAGTGCTACAGCTGTAAATGAAAAAATGATAACTATCATGAACACATGTGAGAATATAAACCTCACCAATAGAGGTAAATGTATAAATCCAACTCAGAATTCCCCAGTGATATCATGTTACTATGTAAACCTGTCGATCCTCTAGATGAAGGTTTAAAGTACAACTGGTCAAAAACAACAACAGCTACAATGGCTAGGGAACACATACTAAAGAAATAAAGGCAACAAAAATATAAATTAGGGATGGCGGAGGAAAAAAGTCTAGAGTATTTTTATGTGACCAAAGTTAACTTGCTATCAGCTTAAAATAGTTTATTATAACTACAAGACTTTTTATGTTAGCCCCATGGTACCCACAAAGAAAGCAATTACAACAGATACATAAACAAGAGATAGAAGGAAAACAAAGCTTAGGACCACAGAAAATGACCAAACCACAGAGGTAAACAAGAGAGAAAGAAGAACTGAGAATCTACAAGACAACCAGAAAACAAGTAACAAAATGGGAGAAATAAGTTCTTATCAATAAAAACCTTGAATGTAAATAAATTATCTAATGAAAAGATATAAAGTAGCTGCAGGACTGGAAAAAAAACTCAGCTACATGCTGCCTAAAAGAGGCTTACCTCACCGTTAAAGACAGACTGAAAGTGAAGAAATGGAAAAAGATATTCCATGCAATCAGAATCCAAAAGTGAGCAGGAGTAGCAATACTCATATCAGACAAAATAGACTTTAAGTCAAAAACTGTAAAAAGAGACAAAGAAGGTCATAATATGATAAAGGGATCAATTCAACAACAGGATATAACAATTATAAACATACATGTACCTAATACCTAAGTACCCAGATACATACAGCAAATATTCAACCTAAAGAGATAAACTCCAATACAATAATAGTAAGAGACTTTAACAGCCCACTTTCAATAATGAATAAATTATCTAGACATACATACACAAACACACACAGAGAGATCAAGAAATATTGGACTTAAGCTGAACCATAGACCAAATGCACCTAGCAGACACTTACAGAACATTCCGTCCAACAGCTGCAGATACACATTCTTCTCAAATGCACATGGAACATTCTTGAGGAGAGATCACATGTTAGGCCACAAAACAAGTCTTAACAAATTTTAAAAGATTAAGATAATATCAAGTATCTTTACTGACCACAGCGTTATAATACTAGAAATCAGGCCAGGTGCAGTGGCTCATGGCTGTAATCCCAGCACTTTGGGAAGCCAAGGTGGGCAGGTTGCTTGAGCCCAGCAATTTGAGAACAGCCTGGGCAACATGGCAAAACGGCGAAAGCCATCTCTACTAAACATACAAAACAAAACAAACAAAAACAAAAAACAAATTTAACCAGGCACAGTGACACACACCTGTAGGCACAGTGACACACACCTGTAGTCCCAGCTACTTGGGAGGCTGAGGTGAGAGGATTGCTTGAGCCCAGGAGGCAGAGATTGCAGTAAGCCAAGATCGTGCCTCTGCACTTGGGCCTGGGAGACAAAGCAATACAGAAGGGAGGGAGGGAGGGAGGGAGGGAGGGAGGGAGGAAGGAAGGAAGGAAGGAAGGAAGGAAGGAAGGAAGGAAGGAAGGAAGGAAAGAAGGAAGGAGAAAGAAAAGAAATAAACTAGAAATCAACAATGAGAAAAACTGACAACTTCACAAATCATGGAGACAAAATGCTCCTAAACAACCAATGGGTCAGTGAAGAAATTAAAAAGGAAATTAAAATTTTTCTTGAGACAAGTGAGAATGAAAATATACCATAACAAAACCTACGAAACATAGCACAAGCAGTTTTAAGAGGTAAGTTTATAGTATTAAATGCCCATATCAAAAAAGACAACAGATTTCTGACAAACAGCCTAATGATGAACCTCAAGGCACTACAAAATTAAGAACAAACTAATCGGCCAGGCATTGTGGCTCATGCCTGTAATCCCAGCACTTTGGGAGGCCACGGCAGGCAGAACACCTGAGGTCGGGAGTTCGAGACCAGCCTGACCAACATGGAGAAACCCCGTCTCTACTAAAAATACAAAATTAGCTAGGTGTGGTGGCACATGCCTATAATCCCAGCTACTCAGGAAGGCTGAGGCAGTAGAATTGCTTGAACCCAGGAGGCAGAGGTTGCGGTGAGCCGAGATCACACCATTGCACTCCAGCCTGGGCAACAAGAGCGAAACTCCATCTCAAAAAAAAAGAAAGAAAGAAAAAAAAGAACAGAACAAACTAATCCCAAAGTTGGTAGAAGTAAGGAAGTAATTCAACTCAGAGGAGAAATAAATGAAATAGAGACTAAAAATAATTTCAAAAGATGAACAAAATTTAGAGTTGGTTTTCAACAAGTTTCATCAAATTTGATAACATAGAAAAAACGAAGTCCCCGACACATACAACCTATCAAGATTAAGTTAGGAAGACATAAAATCTGACCAGACCAATAATAAGTGAGGAAATTGAATCAGTAATAAAGTCTTTCATCAAAGAAAGGCCCAGAAACGAATGGCTTCACTGCTGAACTCAACCAAACATTTAACAAACCAATATCAATTCCTCTCAAAATATTTCAGAAAACTGAAGCAAAGGGAATACTTCCAAACTCATTTCATGAGTCAAGCATCACCCTAATTCCAAAATCAGATAACAATACAACACAGGAAACTATAGTACAATATCCCTGATGAACATAGGTGCAAAAATTCTCAAGATATTAGCAAACCAAATCCAACAGCACATTAGAAAGATAACTTGCTACATTCAAGTGCGATTCATCACTGGGATCAGAGGCATGCAAGAATGGTTTAACATACACAAAGCAGTAAATGTGATACACATTAACAAAGACAAAAACTGTATGATCATTTTAATAGATGCATTAAAAGCCTTTGACAAAATGTGGCATAATTTCATGATTAAAAACCCAACAAATTAGGTATGGAAAGTTTGTACTTCAACACAAAGGCCACATATGACAAATCCACAGCTAACATCATACTGAATGGGAAAAGACCAATAACGAGATCAATTCTAAGATCAATAACAAGGAAAGGATGGCCACTTACACAATTTCTATTCAACATACTACTGAAAGTTCTAGCCAGATAAACTGGGCAAGAGAAAGAAGTAACGAGCATCCAAATTAGAAAGAAGCATGTCAAACTGTCCCTGTTTGCAGAAGATATGATCTTATAGATAGAAAACCCAAAATGCTCCACAAAAGAACTGTTAGAATTCAGTAAAGTTGCAAGACACAAAATCAACATATAAAAATCAGTAGCATTTCTATACACTAATATTGTACTATGTGAAAAATCAAGAAAACAATTCCATTTATAGTACTTTTTTAAAAAAAAAGATACCTAGAAATAAACAACCAAGGAAGTGAAAGAATCTCTACACTGAAAAGTATAAAACTTTGATGAAAGAAATTATCTTCCCACATCAATAAATGGGAAGATAGTACATGTTCATGGATTGAAATAATTATATTGTTAAAATGGCCATACTACCCAAAGTGATCTATGGATTTAATGCAATTGCTATCAGAATACCAACACCATTCTTTACAGAAATGTTACAATCTGAAAATTCATGCAGAACCACAAAAAAAACCCCAAATAGCCAAAGCAACCCTGAGCAAAAAGAACAAAACTGGAAGTATCATACTACCTGACTTCGAAATATACGATAAAA
Organism: Homo sapiens; assembly: GCF_000001405.40. NCBI lineage: Eukaryota > Metazoa > Chordata > Mammalia > Primates > Hominidae > Homo > Homo sapiens. The sequence goes on from NC_000002.12 coordinate 181,652,262, forward strand.
CTATATCAACACAGCATGGTACTAGCATAAAACCAGACAGACCCATGAAATAAAATGGAAAGCCCAGAAATAAATTTTTGCACCTACAACAGCCAACTGAATTTTTAAGATGTCAAGAACATGCACTGGGAAAAAGACAGTCTCTTCAACAAATGGTACTAGGAAAATCAGATATTCACATGCAGAAGAATGAGATTAAACCCCTCCCTCTCACCATATACAAAAATAAAAATAGATTAAAGATTTAAAATGTAAAACTTGAAAACTATGAAATTACAAGAAAAAAGGGAAATTATTCTCGACACTGACCTGAGCAAGGATTTTTAAAATAAGACCTCAAAAGCATAGACAAAATAAGATTACATCAAACTAAAAAACTTTGCACCTTGAAGAAAACTATTAACAAAGTGAAAACAGCTGCAGAATGGGAGAAAAATATTTGCAATCTATACATGCGACAAAGGGATAAAATCCAAAATATATAAGAAAATTAATTCAACAGATAAAATAATAATGACTTTTTTTTTTTTTTGAGATGAAGTCTCACTCTGTTACCAGGCTGGAGTGCAGTGGCACTATCTCGGCTCACTGCAATCTCCACCTCCTGGGTTCAAGCAATTCTCCTGCCTCAGCCTCCCAAGTAGCTGTGACTACAGGCATGTGCCACCACACCCGGCTAATTTTTGTATTTTTAGTACAGACGGGGTTTCATCATGTTGGCTAGGATGGTCTCGATCTTCTGACCTCGTGATCTGCCCGCCTCGGCCTCCCAAAGTGCTGGGATTACAGGCGTGAGCCACTGTGCCTGGCCAACTTGATTTTTTAAATGGGCAAACGACTTTAATTGATAGGTCTCAAAAGAAGACATATAAATGATCAACAGGTGCATTTAAAAGATACTTGACATCACTAATCATCAGGGAAATGCAAATCAAAACCACAATTAGATACACCTCACTCCAGTTAGAATGGCTATTGCCAAAAAGACAAAAGAAAATAAGTACTGACACAGATATGGAGAAAAGGGAACACTTACACACCGGTGGTATGATTGTAAACTAGTACAGTCAATATGGAAAACAGCATGGAAGTTCCTAAAACAATTAAAAATAGAAGTATCATATGATCCAGCAATCCCACTACCAGGTATGCATCCAAAGGAAATAAAATGAGTATGTTGAAGAGATCTGCAATCCCATATTTACTGCAGCACTATTCACAATGGCCAAGATATGGAATCAACCTAAGCGTACAACAATGGATGAATAAAGAAAATGTGATACAGAAACATAATGGAATACTAGTCAGCCATTAAAAAATAAAGTCCTGTCAATTGTGAATGCTAAGCCTGGAGGACATCGTGTTAAGAGAAGTAACCCAGACACAGAAAGACAAATACCACATGTCACTCACATGTAGAATCTTTTTCTATTATAAAAGGTTGATATAGATAAGGCAGAGATTAGAATAGTTACCAGAGACTGGGAAGGGGAGGGGAGAAGGAAGGATGGAGAGAGGTTAGTCAAAAGACACAAAGTTACAACTAGGTAGGAAGAATAAATTCTGGTGTTTTGTTGCATAGTATGGTGACTATGGTTAACAGTAAAATACTATATATTACAAAATAACTAGAAGAGAGTCTTTTGAATGTTCTAACCCACAAGGAAATAATGAAAGTGTGAGGTGAAGGATAACTAACTACTTTGATTGGATAATTGTACAACGTAAATATCAAAACATCAAATAGTATCTCATAAATATATACAATTACAATGTGTCAATTAAATTTTTTTAAACAATTAAAAAGTTATTAGACCAGCTGTTGGATCTGGTTGAGTTAATGTGCTTAAGAAGCACATGCATAACTTTATATCACACATTTAAAATATTTCTCTACTTAAAAAAAAAAAAAATCCCCAAAAAGCGCTGATACTTTGTGCCTCCCAAATTGACTTATAGCCTCTTTTCGAAAGCCTCACTTCTACAGGGAAGGGTAATAACACATCCATTATTCCAGGTCATCCCTGAACCCAATAAAAAGAACTACAATTACTACGGTTATGCTCATTTACCCTGCCAACAAGACCATCAATTTGTCCCAATTTTGGCAGTCAGAGCCTTCATAAAATACATTAATGTCTTTGCTTATTACTCAAGATGGAAAATTAGAAAAAGATCACATAGTATTTTATTTCATCAGTGAAAACAAAGTACTATGAGGTTTAAAAACTAAGCAATCTTGAAAACATACGTATGTTCTAATAATCTCCAGTGATCTCCCCTACCCACCCTCATCCTTTTCTGAGGCAGCCAGTCACTTGCCAACCAGCAATGGACATGCTCTCCCCCCACCACATCCTACCATATCATGTCCTCCCAAGTACAGTAACTTTGATGTAGCTCCCTCTTCCATTTAATCTTTTACCACTCACATCTAAGCTTATTCAACAACAGAGCATTTCTAACATTTAAATATATCATCTCTTAATATCTCCTTCTTATTTCCCAGTGTTTGTTTTTGTTTGTTTGTTGTGCTTTTTGAGATGGAGATTCACTCTTGTTGCCCAGGCTGGAGTGCAGTGGTGTGATCTCCGCTCACAGCAACCTCCAACTCCCAGGTTCAAGCAATTCACCTGCCTCAGCCTCCCAAGTAGCTGGGATTACAGGGACACACCACGCCTGGCTATATTTTACCTAAATAAAACATCTCTTGGTTTCTTCCATAAACAGAAGTACTTACTAAGGCTCTAGGCTTCTGTGCCCCCAATTTTAGAGGCCCAAAGTGGTTTGAATACCAGGTATTAATTACAAAGAAAAAGGGTACACCTGTATGAAGGAAAAGACCACCAAATGGTTTTAGGGCATAATTAAACAAAGAATCAGTACTTGCAACCTTTAAAGTTACAAATCTGTCAAGATGTATTTTAAACTCTACTGCCAGGGGTGCACTAATTAAACCTATTTTACCTTAATCACCACTCAATATAAAACAGCATTTCTTTTCTCATGTCATTGTTTGCTTTTTTTGTACACAAATACTGCAACATTGGTTTGTATGACCTCTCATTGCACAATGTCTCATTTTAATTCTATAGCATTTCAGCTGCACTGTAGGTTAAACTGGCTCTTTGGGCTAATCCAAACTGTAATTATAAACTTCTATATTGCATAACTCGAATTGCCTGAAAGACTTACAAATAATTCCATAGCTATATCCCTAGCTTTTAACTTAAAAGGTTCAAGAAAATACTACACCTTGGTTTTTAAAACACCTGAAAACACTTTAAGGTCAAAGACTGTTTTCGTGAAGCGAGCGAGCATGGCACATGCAGCACAGGCAGAATTCACAATCGCAACCAGTGCTGAATCCCTGGCTAGTTGGTTTCATTTTGTTAGACTTTTGAGCAAGACTTTAAGACAGTGAGTCTATTCTGTAACATAAATACCACACTGTGTCTTGTTTTCCAACAGGGGAAGGCAATTTTTTTAATTTCATAAATTTGTATTTAGCTAAAAGAGGTTGAATACCAAATTCCATCTCCCCCAAGTCATCTCCTCGCAAGTAGAGTAACCTTGATGTAGTTCCTCCCCCATTTCATCTGTCTTTCACCGCTCACATCTAAGCTAATTCAACAATGGGGAGTATTTCTCGAGTTTGGACTTAGAAATAAGACTATATGAAAGTCTACTTATAAGACTTGCAAAATGGTCTTTATAAAATATCTGTTAAGTCTATAAGGCTATTTGACTAAGACGTGAAAATAGACTCGAAGTATTTGTTGTAAACTACAGCATTATAACTTTTTTAGGTAACTAAAATTTTAAGTCAATAAAAGGCAAACGTTAAGCAAACCGCTTGACGTAACTAAGCATCGCAAAACTGTGATCCAATAATCTAGGGTCAATATTAAAAATCAAAAGTTTCTAGACCGAGCCTGAAGAAGTCTTAATTCTAGACAATGGCAAGGAAGGTGAGGGGCAGAAAAAAACCCAGAAACACTCCCAAAGCTCTGGAGTTACATTTTCAAGTCAGCAAAATGAGAGTTGGATTCAGAACTCTTGTGTAGGCATAATCTGTGAGATGTTTATAGTTTCAATGTACCATCAAAGTTAATGGATTAAAACTTTTTCAACTTGGAGGGGAGGAGTAGTTGACCTTCTCACATTTGTAAATTACCTCCCCTTTGGGGCTCAAGATTTTCTGCTGAGACTCTGAGCAAAAGCTGCTTGTGACGTTTGCCCGGGGAAGGTCTCGGAGGCGGGAAAAGGCTAGGTAGCGAAAGAATCCCTGGGGGTTCTGGGATGGGGCGAGAGGCGTGAGTTCCCAGTTGGGAAGGAGGAGGCGGCGACTTGGGGACTCGGTAACCTGTCCGGGCAGTGAGGCGAGCACGGGGAGGGGAGGCGAGAAAAGGGGAGGGTGGAGCAAAAGCTCGTGGGTGTAGGCCTTGGGCCGGGGAGAGGGAGGAAGCGCGGAGGGAGGCGAAGACGCTTGGGGCCGGGCACTCACCCGCCGGGCGCTCGGGCTGAATGGGCCGCCACCGCAGTGCTCGCTCGCTCAGCACCACGTCACAACTGTCCCTCCCGATCTCGAAGATGCCCCGGAGCAGAATCCGCTCGGCCGCCGCCTCCGTCTGCTGCGGGGACGTTAACAGCGCCGGAGGCACAGCGGCAGCCTCCGGGGGCGCCTCTTCCTCCCGGCCGCCCTCCAGGGCACTCACCCGGTTCCTGCGCCTCCTCCAGGGCATGGCGGAGTCGCAGGCTGGGCCCGAGCCAGGGGTCCGGGGAGGCCTTTGGAGAAGGAGGTGGAGGGCGCGGCAGCCCCAGCTCTAGCCGCGTCCAGCGCTGCCACAGCAACGGCGCGCAGGGCAGGGACCCAGGAGGGAGGCGGGGCCGCGCCTGACCCAGTCCAGCACCCTGGCCTGCCAGCCTCGCCGCTTCGCCACTCACCACAAAAAGACCCAGCTGCAAGAGGAAGAATAAGTGGCTCCCTCCGCCTAGCTTCTCCTGTAAAGTACGATTTCGTACTTTTCGTTACCCTCGAGTTAAACCAGCCCTCCTCAATCTTAAACTTGCATATAATCGCTTGGGCATCTTGTTCAAATGGAGATTCTTATTGCATAGGTGTGGGACTGGCCCCCAGATACCACATATCTAAGAAAATACTAGGTGATGGATCCCACTGGCCAAGGAACACACTTAGAGTTGCAAGGGTGGAAGCCTCTGTTTTTCCACCTCCTTTCCAGAGGGTTCCCTGGAGAGCACAGGTGACGCTTTACAACCCTGTTTCAGAGTAGTAGCGCACTTCCCAAAACCCCTGAGGGGAAGCTAGAGATAAGGCCCTGGTTTGCATAGACAAATTTGCATCTGACAAATTCAGTATTAAAGGTAAGTGCCTCCAGGTGTAAGTATTTAGGGTCCTACTTTCCCCCAAGGTAGCGCCTCTGCAGTCTTGTCTTTGCCTGGATCTTGCACTCCCTTGAGGGAGATTACAAGCAGCAGGGCTTCACTTTCACGCACTGCCATAAAGAAGTGTCACCTGGAAAAGGAGAAGAGCCCTGGGGGGGTTCACCCTTTTCTCCTGATAACTGAGATTTCTAAAATCAGCTGCTCATTAATTTTGATAACACAGAGAGTCTGGAGGCTAGTGATTCTCAATTGTGGTTGCACATTAAAGTTACATAGGGAACTTTTGAAAACCCAAATGTCCAGGCCACGCTCAAGACAACTAAGCTGGAATCTCTGGAGGCGAGACCCAGACTTCCGGATTTTTAAAAGTTCCCAGGTAATTCCAATGTTCAGCCAAGGCTGATAATGGCTGCTCTAAGCAGGGTGATAAAACAGGGAGCTGAGTACTTGTAATGGGGAAGCAGTCAGGAAGAAAGTGAGTCCCTGGGAAGAGGAGCAGAGTGGGAAGTAAAGCAGAAGGCTTTTTTTTTTTTTAAACAAGATCATTATCATCATATTGAAAAGAAGGAGTAGGGGAGTTGAAAAGGAAATTAAATTCATAGGGTTGTAGATCTAGTTCCAGTGTTCTAGTGCCTAAACAGTTCTATCATAGAGGCAGCAAATTCTTAATTCTGTCCTCATTCCTGGTCACACTGCAGAGTCACAGAAAGAGCTAACTATAGCAGGAGTTTCTCAAGGTTCTTAGCTCAGACGGTTTGTAGGCCTAACCAAATCCCTACCAAACATAAAGCACTGTGCACCAGTTAAGCTAGGACTCTTACTGTTTAATGCTCCGACAATAAGTACCCAAGCTTCGAGGAAAAGCAAGGAAGAGCTTCAGTTTGATCTGACTGCAGTGAGCTATTTCTTAGAGCAGAAGTGCAGCTGCTGCTAAACCCCATGCAGGCTTCAGGTGGCTCTGTTCAGCAGTCATTAGAGGGAAAAGGACGGTGCCCTTCGCAGAATGAGTTGCAGTTCTGGAGTCAGCATCTTGTATTCACAGCTGTTAGGCAATCAACACAATTAGAGCTCACTGGCATTTTAAAAGCTCACCCAGAGCCAGTGCAAACAGGCCAAGCCAATGGCTACTCCTTAGGAGCTTTGCAAAGGGGCAAGTTGCCATTTTTCAAGCTTCACTCAAGCCAGGAAGTCAAAAACACTGGCTTTGAATTGTCCTGAAGATGGAAGTAATAAGGATTGTGTTTCCTTCTTTCTTTCTTTTTCCTTTGATAAGCTGCCTTCTTCCAGGGCTGGAGTGCCCTAGGGCTCTCTTTAGGATCTATCCACACACTGTCCCGTGCTTTATGTACCATCCAGGGTTCTGCAAATGATGTCACCAGCTCCAACCACTCTCCTGAACTTTAGGTATTATGTCCAGCTCCCTACCTGACATCTCTACTTGGCTGTCCAATAAGCTTCTAAAACATATCTAAAACCAGACTCATGATTTTCCATCACAAACCTGTCCCTCTCAGAATGTTTCAAATCTGTAGTATCAAAATCCTTGATATCATCCATGTCTCCTTTGTCTCATGCCTTCAATCCAATCTACCAGCAAATCCTGTCCATTCTGTCTAGAACATATAGTCCTTTCTGCCTGCTGTCATTGCAGTCTGCACTTCTGCACCCCTCAGCTGGACAACTTCAGTCTCCGCTCTCCCAACCCAGCTCTCTGCTTTCGGTTTCCCCTGTGCTGGCACCTCCAGCCCAGAGCCAATTTTCCATTTTGGAGTTACATTGTGCCTTTAAAAAATAACGAGAGCATATAACCCTGCTCACAGCCTTCCATTGACTTCCCATTATTCTTGGAATAAAGTCAAAATGCTTAGCAAGGCGAGAGGTCCTTTATAATCTGGACCCTGGCTATGTCTCCGAGATCACCTACTAACTTTTTCCCCTTGCTCATTCACACAAAGCCTTCTTGCCAGTCCTCAAACACATTGAGAAGAATAATCCCTTCTCAGAGCATTCGCTTTTGCTGTTCCCTCTGACTGGAATGCTTTTCTCCCCACCAGATGGTTCATTCTTTCACTTTGCTCATTTTTCTGTTTAAAGGCCACCACCTCAAAGAGGCCATTCCTGAGCACCCTCCATAATTCACCATCCTGTAAACCTGTGTATTCATTTCTTACTGCTGCTGTATCTAATTACCACAAATTTAGTGACTTGAAACAAAACCAATGCATTGTTTTACATTTCTGGAGGTCAGAAATCCAAAATCAGTTTCACAGGACTAAAATCAAGGTGCCAGCAGGCCTATATATTCCTTCTGTAGGCTCTAGAGGAAAATATATCTCCTCTTTTCTGGCTTCTAGAGCAGCAGTCCCCAACCTTTTTGGCACCAGGGACTGGTTTTGTGGAAGACAGTTTTTCCACGGATGGGGGCAGTTTGAAGGGGTGAGCATTTTGGAGGCATTAGATTCTCATAAGGAGCACAAACTAGATCCCTTGCATGTGCAGTTCACAGTAGGATTCAGGCTGCTATGAGAATCTGATGCTGCCACTGACCTGACAGGAGACAGGGCTCAGGTGGTAAAACTTGCTTGTCCACCAGTCACCACTCACCGCCTGCTGGGCAGCCTGGTTCCAAACAGGCCACAGACAGGTACTGGTCCATGGCCCAGAGACTGGGGACCCCTTTTCTAAAGGTCACCTGTGGATTTTGTTTTGTTCTGTTTTGTTTGTTTTGGCTCATGTTCACTTTTTCCAACTTCAAAGCCAGCAGTCTAACATCTCTCCTCTTTGCTTCTATCCTTAAATCGTCTCTTTTCCTCTGTCTTTGACCTTTGTCCCCCGTCTTAGATAAGGACTCTTATGATTACATTGGGCCTGCCCAGATAACCCTTAATTATGTTTTCAAAGCCTCTTTTGCTATGTAAGGTAACATATTCACAGGTTCTGGGGATTGAAACATGGACATCTTCACGCTGCCATTAATCTCTCTACCATAACCTGCTTTAGTATTCTTTACAGCACTTACTATTAATTCTTATTACATACTTCTTTGTTTATTGTCTAGCTTCCCCACTAAGTTAGTGTACTTAGTAACAATACTGAAATACAGAGAACACTCAGTAAATTTTAAGTTTGTTAGAATATAAGCCCCCTGATGGCAGAGAATTTATCTTGTTCACCATTAAATCCCCAGTATCTATCACAGTTCTTAGTACACAGTAAGTGCTCAATTAATATCTGAAAGAATGAACTTCTTCAACATTTATCTATAACAATAATACCAAGATACCCCAATTATTTCACGTTAGTTCCTGAAGATCAATTGTCTCATTAGTGATTCATGTGTATATATATATATGTTTATATATATGTGTGTGTGTGTGTGTGTGTATATATATATATATATATATGTAAAATACTAATGCATGAAAATTGCTTTCAAAAAACTTTCAGGAAGCTTCCTGAACATAGCTTTCCCTCCTTTGGCTGAAGCTTGGGTATTTGTTTCCAGAGCATTAAACAGTACAGGTCCTAGTTTAAAAGGCACTTTGTTGCTTTATGTTTGGAAGGGATTTGACTAGATCTGGAAACACAGTCTCCATCCCTGGTTCTTAAAAATCCAAGTCTGAGTAGAAGACTGTAAAATATATCCTGCTATTGTTAACATTGCTTTCAGGAGGCCTTTAAGTATGCTCTGAAAACAAATACCCAAACTTCCAGAAGAAGGGCAGCAAATCCCCAAGTAATAGGCCAATGAGACAGACTCTGGAAGTCTGGGCCACCTTCTCAGTGCCACAGATAGAGGGAGAAAAATTCACAGCCGACAGAGACATTCAGACCCACTGCAATGAGGGCAACAGACAAGGAAGTCTAATTCCAGTCAGGACCAACTGCCATGGATCTGAATTTTAGCCAGTGGGTAATCCTGTGGTAGTCCCTTTGATCTCCCTGAGTCTCTGCTGAAGTTTGGAGTTTATGTGACAAGTGATTGAGGGCTTATGCTATCATCAACATAGTTCTTTCTCAAACTCCAGTTTATAGAATTTTTTTTTTATTAAGAACTTCTCACTGCAGGTAGAATAAAATCCAAACTTCTATTATGACATATGAGACACCATGTTGTCCAATTCCTGCCCACCTGCTCAAACCCTCTTTTCTATCAGTTTTCTCCTATTATTAGTATGTGTCCTACCACACTGGCCTTCATTCTACTCTCCAGATAAGCCAAGTGCATTCTCATTTAGGGCCTCTGCTGTTGCTGTCTACTCTGTCTGGAACACTTTTCACCATGGTAGAGCTCCCCATGGTGCCCAGGCCAACTTCTTGTCACCTCAGAAGGTCTTCCCTGCCCAACCATTCCAAAATTGACCTCTATTCAATAATATTTTCTTAATTGCACTTTACACCATGTAAAAGTATGTAGTTGATTTATAATGTTTACTTATTTCTGTCTCCTCTCTTATATCAGATTAGTACCTCAGTTGAGAATAGTGATTTAATCTGCTTATTTATGGCTCTATCTCTTGTGCCTGAAACAGTGCATTTATATAACAGATGCTCAATAAATGTGTTAAATGCATGATAAGTAAACTTTTTAAATTTAATTCCTTTATTAATTTCAGATATTTAACATGTCTCAATGGTGAGAAGAAAGGTTAATAACAGCAAATTGTATTTACTTTCTCCGTGTCAATATATATTTTGAGTGAGGTGAGTTTTAGTTGTGTCCACCTCTCAAACACTTGTAATGCTAAGTGGGCACATCATCAGTGTATCAAGGGGACTGCTTCCCTCTCATGCTGAGTGGGAATTTTGTCAGAATGTTCCTGCTATTCTGGCTCCTGCTGCCCAAAAGGTACAGGGCCATATGTCCCTACAACAATTACAGAAAAAAATAGAACAAATCCTAGAATCCCGCCAAGTCAGAATATCAAGTTTTCTGCACATACCAGTTTTTTGTACTCAGATGGAAACTGTTAAAAGTGAATTGCTCAGCTGTATTCTAAGACACATCTCACCCAATATGATCTCTAGCATCTCAATCAGCAGTAACAAGAAATAACACAGGCAAGAAAAGTAGGCCCTCCCTTTTCCTTTCCTCAAGTTTTTAAAAGCTCCTTTTTAGATAGGTTCTAATATTCATAAACTTGGAACAAAAAAATGAAATGTATTTCCAGCAAATAGGGAGCTTGAAATATTCTCACAGTAATTGCTAGCAATGCTGTATTGTAGAGTCTTGAATTAGGTGTAACCAGGCACACAAATGAAATAGGCAGTTTAAGTCAGAAATCTATCCTCATTTTCTATACTATATGTATATATGGTTTCTATGATAGCTATGAAAAAGGCATTATACTAAGTGGCAACATCCCTTCTCACTATTGAAAATAGCTGACTAATGTATACATCTATATACCCACAAAAATAAAAATAAATTTTAAAAAGAAAGAAAATAGCTCACTTTCTTGAACTTCTTACCCATAGGCATCAAAAAATTTGACACTAGACTTGCTGTCTTTGACTTTTGCCTCATTATTCATCACCATTTGGAGGCACTTCAGTGCCTGTGTCAACAACCTGAACAACTAAGAGTGGTTTACAAATAAGATTTTATTTCTGACATTAAAAGAGGTCCAGAGTCAGGCTGTTCCTGGGTTGGTTCATCCCATATGATGTCATTAGAAATCAAGAGCTTTTGTAGGTTGCCTGTTCACTCTGATGGTAGTTTCTTTTGCCGTACAGAAGCTCTTTAGTTTAATTAGATCCCATTTGTCAATTTTGTCTTTTGTTGCCATTGCTTTTCGTGTTTTAGACATGAAGTCCTTGCCCATGCCTATGTCCTGAATGGTATTGCCTAGGTTTTCTTCTAGGGTTTTTATGGTTTTAGGTCTAACGTTTAAGTCTTTAATCCATCTTGAATTGATTTTTGTATAAGGTGTAAGGAAGGGATCCAGTTTCAGCTTTCTACATATGGCTAACCAGTTTTCCCAGCACCATTTATTAAATAGGGAATCCTTTCCCCATTGCTTGTTTTTCTCAGGTTTGTCAAAGATCAGATAGTTGTAGATATGCGGCGTTATTTCTGAGGGCTCTGCTGTGTTCCATTGATCTATATCTCTGTTTTGGTACCAGTACCATGCTGTTTTGGTTACTGAAGCCTTGTAGTATAGTTTGAAGTCAGGTAGTGTGATGCCTCCAAGCTTTGTTCTTTTGGCTTAGGATTGACTTGGCGATGCGGGCTCTTTTTTGGTTCCATATGAATTTTAAAGTAGTTTTTTCCAATTCTGTGAAGAAAGTCATTGGTAGCTTGATGGGGATGGCATTGAATCTGTAAATTACCTTGGGCAGTATGGCCATTTTCACGATATTGATTCTTCCTACCCACGAGCATGGGAGAAAATTTTTGCAACCTACTCATCTGACAAAGGGCTAATATCCAGAATCTACAATGAACTCAAACAAATTTACAAGAAAAAAAAAACAACCCCATCAAAAAGTGGGCAAAGGACATGAACAGACACTTCTCAAAAGAAGACATTTATGCAGTCAAAAAACACATGAAAAAATGCTCATCACCACTGACCATCAGAGAAATGCAAATCAAAACCACAATGAGATACCATCTCACACCAGTTAGAATGGCAATCATTAAAAAGTGAGGAAACAACAGGTGCTGGAGAGGATGTGGAGAAATAGGAACACTTTTACACTGTTGGACTGTGAACTAGTTCAACCATTGTGGAAGTCAGTGTGGCGATTCCTCAGGGATCTAGAAGTAGAAATACCATTTGACCCAGCCATCCCATCACTGGGTATATACCCAAAGGACTATAAATCATGCTGCTATAAAGACGCATGCACACGTATGTTTATTGCGGCACTATTCACAATAGCAAAGACTTGGAACCAACCCAAATGTCCAACAATGATAGACTGGATTAAGAAAATGTGGCACATATACAGCATGGAATACTATGCAGCCATAAAAAATGATGAGTTCATGTCCCTTGTAGGGACATGGATGAAATTGGAAATCATCATTCTCAGTAAACTATCACAAGAACAAAAAACCAAACACTGCATATTCTCACTCATAGGTGGGAATTGAACAATGAGATCACATGGACACAGGAAGGGGAACATCACACTCTGGGGACTGTTGTGGGGTGGGGGGAGGGGGGAGGGATAGCATTAGGAGATATACCTAATGCTAGACGACGAGTTAGTGGGTGCAGCGCACCAGCATAGCACATGTATACATATGTAACTAACCTGCACAATGTGCACATGTACCCTAAAACTTAAAGTATAATAATAAAATTTAAAAAAAAAAAAAAAAGAAAAGAAATCAAGAGCTTTGTAGCTTTCTACTTCACTATCACCAGGTAGCAACAAGGATTCTATTGTTGGCCCCGAGATGGCTGCAGGAGTGCTAAGCATCATACCCTCTCCCAAAAAATGTCCAAAAGCAAGAATGGAAGGGGCATTTGTAGGTTTTCCTTGGGCATTTCTTTTTTCTTAACCAGAAAAAAAAATATTTTCAAAAATCCCACCCAGCAGACCTCCTATCATGTCCTATTGTTTAGAATTGGGCAACATGCCTGTGCTGTAGCTTCCAGAGAGACTGGGAAAGGTGTTTTCAGCTTCCAGGTGGGAGGTGAGACCTACTAAAAAGGAAAAAGAATTTGGGGATGAATATTGATGAGGCAACTAACAGTGTGCTATCTCCTTTTTCCCCCCAGGCTGTATAATTCATCTACAACTGGATAACAAAAAAACTTTAAATGTATTGACTTAAAGCAACAATGATTTGTTATTCATTATGATTCTGTGAGTTGGATGAAGTCAGCTCAGTAGTTCCGCTCTATGAGGTATCAACTGAATGTACTTACATTTAGCTGGAAGCTCAGCTGGGGCTGAAATATCCAAGATGGCTTCATTTGCATGTCTGGCATCTCATCTGGAGCGGCTGGAATGGGTGGAAACTAGCTGGGCCTATCTCTTTTCATGTGGTCCCTCATGATGAGTAGTCTAGCCTGAGCTTTTAAAAAATGACATTGAGTTTCAAGAGAGTAAAAGCAGAAGCTGTCATGCCTCTTAAGGCCCAGGTCTAGAATTGGAATAGCATTACTTTTGCTTCTTGCTGTTAGTCAAACAAGTCACAAGGGGAAATGGAAATAAAGCCCTTCAGTTGCTGGCAGGTGAAACAGTCACATTAAAAAAGGGAATGTATATATGGACAGAAGGAATTTTTGGCAGCCGTCTTTGCAGATAGGCTAATACAGTGGACCCTGTGGGTGTGGTTGTCAGTGGTTAACATCCCTCCCATTTGCAAAATATGTTCACTTTCTTTCAAGTCTCACCCAATTATGATATCAAGTGAAAAATCCAGTATCTCATAAATGTCGCTCTTTGAGTGTGCTCCTCTTATTCTGGGAACCTAGGAACTAAAAACACATGTTATCGTCCCACACAAATCCAACATACAATAATGAGACAGAGGATAATCAAGATAGATGCACCCATTCAAAAGGGAAAAATATAGAAAGCATATCACAGTCACTGGTCCATAGCAATTCTGAAATTCAGGAGAGCATATGTTGCCAGTTTCATAGACCCTGAGAAAGAAAATGTTCCTATCTCACATCCAGATCTGCTCTCTGAGAGTGGTTCCCTAATTCATCATTCTCAGCAGCTCTTGGCTCTAGCCTCTGGGCTTTTGGTTCTGCCTCCATTTTATTCTTCTTTTCAGCAAGAAATGGCCCATGATTACAGCCAAGTAGCTTTTTCAGCCTTCTTTTTGTCCATAAAACATTGGAGGTACAGAGGCTTTTAATGTTAAACTTGTAAACCAAACATAAAATTCCAAGCCACCCAACCATCTCAATGGACCCCTCCTCTCAGCCAAGGACATTCCAAAGTTAACCTGAAAAACTAGTTCATGCCATGATGGGAAAAGGGACTCAGACATGCCTCATTATACTCTCCTCCCTTTTGGAATTCAGGCACAGCTGACCAGCATTAACATCAACACTGAGACCTAAAGACTGTTAGAACAGACTCTTTTAAGTCTGATAAGAAACCTTTACAATCTAATGTCTCTGAAGCCTGCTACCTAAAGCTTCATCTGCATGATAAATTCCCTTTTATTAATTCCAGGTCTTAAGATAATAACTCAACCAATTCCCAATCAGAAAACCTTTGAATCTGCCTGTGACCTGCAAGCCTCCACTTTCAGTAGTCCTGCTTCTCTGGACTGAGCTAATATTCATCTTACATGTATCGATTGATGTCTTATGTCTCCCTAAATGTATAAAGCCAAGCTGTAGCCTGATCACCTTGGGCACATGTCATCAGGACCTTCTGAGGCTGTGTCACAGGCATGTCCTTAACATTGGAAAAATGAACTTCTAAATTGACTGAGGCTTGTCACAGATACTTTTAGCTTACAAACTGTTTGTAAATGGACAAAACTCCTACAGAAACTTTGTGAGCTTACTTTATGTAGTTCACTTATCTTACGGATATCATGTACATGTGTGAATTGTGATATAATAAGAAATATGTATTTTGATCTTCATCACTGGCTTCTGGACAGAGCTCCTAAAATCCTTGTAATTCCCAAGAGATAAAAGCAAAAATTGAATTTTTTGTTGTTGTTGTTATAGTATTAGTCTTTTGTCCCTAGCTCCTGAAACAACTCAGAAAGATAAAGGAAAAAGGCGCATCTTTTGTTATTCAAAACATCCCTTTCAACCACACCTGAGTTTATGATAATGAGGTGACTTTCAGAAGCCCCCTAAGGATCAGGGGACTAGTTGCCAGGGAAGCTCACCCTGTGATTACAGAGTTGGAACTTTTAGCTTCACCCCCAATGTTGAGGGAGGGGAAAGGGGCTGGAGGTTAAGTTAATCACCAATGCCAGTATTTCATGAATCATTCCTACTTGATAAAGCTCCATAAAAGCCCTAAATGAAGGAGTTCTGAGAGCTTCTGGGTTGGTGAACACATGGAGGTGCTGAGAGAGTTGTGCTCCATGCCTCTCCCCCATTTTTCACCCTATGAATCTATTCCATTTGGCTGTTTCTGAGTTATATCCTTTATAATAAATTGGTAACCATAAGTAAATGTTTCCCAGAGTTTTGTGAGCCATTCTAGCAAATTATTGAAAGAAAGAGGGGTTTCCTCCAATGTATAGCTCGTCCTTCAGAAGTAAATGAAGTTGAGACTTGTGATTGACATCTAAAGTGGGGGGTAGTCTTTTGGGGCTAAGCCTTTAATCTGCGGGTCTGCACTGACTCTGGGCAGTTGTGTGAGAATCGAGTTGAATTGTAGGACATCCAGGAAGTGTCCAGCAAGAACTAAAGAATTGCTTAGTGTGTGAAAAACTCCACATTTGTTGTCAGAAGGGTTATATGAAAGAACGGAAGGAAAAACAGGGTTTTTTTTCTTTTTAATATGATATATATGATATGTAACAGATATGTATATAAAGTATCATATTATGCAAAAGCAATTCCCTCAAATTTTTTTGAGACTGGCCTCTCTCAACTTTGGGTCCAAGTCAGGTTATTGTGGTATATGCTCCTAATATGCTTAGAAGCACTTTTGTCCAGGTGAGCTGTGCCTTCTAGCCACACTCTTGATTGAGGCTTGCCCTTATGACATGTTTAATTGGAAGTACCCTACTTTTCATCTTTGCTTTGGGGCTAATTTCTTGCTATCAGAATAATTTTCCAGCCAGAGAGTCTGCCTGGGACCCCCTATAGTTCTTCTAAATTATGCTCGCTTATCTCTCCCTTGTAAAACCCTATCTCATATAGTTAAGAGAAGCCAATTAGCCTTACAATATTCTGCCAAAAATCTCCTTACCCAGATCTACAAGTTCGTTAGGTATTTTTTCTATCTTCCAACTTACTGCAGAATTGTTCAGGACCATCCTTGCCCATGTACCAGATGGATCAACTCTGCTTTTCTGAGCCCCATGGTGTTTCACTTCAACGTCTCTCTTACCAGTGCTTTCACTTCTGTTGTCCAAATGCCATAAAACACTACCACTGCTAAGTATTGGCCATTGAGAAAATGCTGAAAAATTAGATGGATTAAGACCACTACAAACTACTATAATATCATGGTCTCTGAATTTGCTTGGCCCTAAGCCCTGCTGCCCTATTATTGATGAGTCTTGATGAAACTTTCTCTTTCTATCCTTAGAGACATTATTCTAAACCTTCAGTGTTCTCCTTTAACTCCCCTAGTCAGAAGGTCAACATGCCTCCACTGTCACATAACAGGACCTGGTAAGAATAAACTTCTGCTACTCTGTTACCCTTACTGCTAACATTCTCTCTTTCTACCCTGACTCCTATATCTGGATATAAGTCCTTCCAGTTTAATGTAATTCTGTACCTATGTTACAGGTCTTCTACCCTCCACTCTACCCAACACCTTCCTCAATTTCGTCTTCACTATGTCCAGGGTTTTCTCCATCTTAGTGTATAAAAATGAGCAAGCAACAACAAAATCAAAGCCTCTCTTGTATCAGGCAATTCTTGTGTGTGACCAAAAACCCATCTCAAACCAGCTTAAGTTAATAAAACCTACTTAGAGGCGTAGGGATGGCTTATGGAAAGACTTAATCCACAGTTCAAATAATATAATGCAAAAAACAATTCCCCTTTCTTTCTTCACTCTGCTTTCTACTGGGTGAGAATCATCCTCTGCTCCCCGTCTATCTTTCTACCCTACTCTAATTCTCCCCTCCAAGTACTGAAATGCTGCCACATTCCAGACCTCTAATCCACACACATACCACATTTGTCACAAGAAAGGCACATGTCTCTGTTGATATTTCTTACATAAAAAGGATGTTTCTCTATTCCAATAAAGTCTTCTTGCATAACATTTTGTCTTAATAAGTTAGCATTTTTATCAGTCAGCAGAGGCAGAGTTATGATGTGGTTTTTAAATTTTTTCAGTGGCTTAAAAAAATAAAATTTTATTCCTTACTGATGTTCACCTGACTAAAGGTGGGCACAAAATGAAAAAGAAAGCAAGCATAAGAAATGAAAGTACCAACTATCCCAAAACAAACAGACCAATCAAGATTAAAAACAAGACAGATCCCCAGATCTACATAAAACCAAAACTTATAATGAAATACATTCAGATGAAATACACACTAACTTGTATTTAGAGCAATCAAAATAGACAAATAATCAGATGAAAGCCCCATATAACTAAAGGTGAAGTCTTAGCCTCTTAAGCTCACCAGAAGAGTACTGGCTCAAGGTCCTATAAAACCCAAAAATAGAGACAGAATTTTTAGAAGTCATGGCACTTAAATTCATTTGGACTAGAATTTTTTTAAAATTATGTACTTTAAAATATGAACTTGTGTGTTAAATGAGTGTCTATGAAATCGGGAAAGTGCTACATTTGTTCTTTCAAAAGCTCTATTAATATATATGCTAATCCACAAATCAAATAAATATGACATTTTCTTCACATGAAGAATACATAATAGCTGATATTTGATAATTTTTTGTGAGTTCAAAGATGAGACTTTAAAAAAATTACCCATAGTTTATTGGCTAGGCCCATTCACACTTCACTAAATGTAGATGTCAGTTTAAGTCATTCACATGAATAATAAACAATAAAACTTTTATATAATTCAGATGTTTATTAAACAGCTGTTTTTTGTCAGCTTGTTTAAATGTCAAACCCGATACCAACTACGTATACTGGTTGTTATATACTGTATCATTAAAAGTTTAAGAAGACATTTTCAGAAGAATTTAAATGAACTCTCCTATACTTATATATATTTAACATCAATTCATTAGAGATTTTAGTATACCTATCAGTTTCCTAGGGCTGCCATAACAAATCACCAGCAACTGGGTAGCTTAAGACAACAGAAATGTATTATATTACAGTTCTGGAGACAAGAAGTTTAAAATCAAGGTGTCAGCAGGGTTGATTCCTTCTTAGGGATTCAGAAGGAGAAGCTGAGAATTCCTGTCTCTTTCCCAGCTTCTGATGTGGGCCCCAAATCCTTGGGGCCCCTTGATTTGTAGACACATCACTCCAGTCTCTGTCTTTGCCTTCACATGCCATTCTTCCTGTATGCTGTGTGTCTGTGTGTTCTGTCTGCTTCTTATCAGGACATCAGTGATTGGATTTAGGGCCCACCGTAATCCAGCATGAACTTGTATCAATTTACATCTTATATCTTAATTAAATCTGGAAAGACAATATTTCAAATGAGGCCACATTTTGAGGTTCTGGATGGACATAAATTTGGGAGAGAGGTGGGCAAGGGAAGGGGATACTACTCAACCAAGTATAGCATATGTGTGCACACACACACACACACACACACACACACACCATATATACACATATATATATATACGTTTTCCCTTGACAATATGTTTTAATATAAATGCACCAGTAGTTAATTAGACAAAAAATAAAACCTGGGAAGCAAAGATCTCTTCGCTTAATATTTTTAATATGCCAGTCAGAATCAAAGAATCATTAATTTATTTATCCAAAAATCTTATGTTATTTTAAGGTATCTAAACAAGTAGCCTTGCCTCTATTAACAAAGAAATTCTTCTAGTAAAGAAATATTGTGATAAATATCACTACTTAGGTTTAGTTATAATTTATATCCATTTGTACTATCATTTATTATGTATTTAGGCACTGGCTAGAATAAAGATTATTCAGTTAACAAACAATGACAAGTGATGTTATCTCAAATCATTTTTTTTTTGAGACAGGGTCTCACTTTGTCACCCAGGCTGGAGTACAGTGGTACAATCACGTCTCACTGCAGCCTTGACCTCCCCAGGCTCAGGTGATCCTCCCACCTGAGCCTCCCGAGTAGCTGGGACTATAGATGCATGCCATCATGCACCACTAGTTTTTGTATTTTTTGTAGACACGAGGTTTCACCATATTGCCCAGACTGGTCTTGAACTCCTAGGCTCAAACTATCCACCCCCATTGGCCTCTCAAAAGTGCTGGGATTACAGGTGTGAGCCACTGCACCCAACCACCGAATTTTCTTTTTAGAACACTCTATTATCCTCTTTCTGCTTTGATGTTAACATTACTTAGTCACGTACCTGCTATGAATAAACAAGCACTACAATTGTTAGTGACACCAGTGGAAAGGGATTAACAGTTCTCTTAAGCATTGCAATACCCCTTCATTGACGTCACCAAAAGTGATGGTGATCTCTTAACTGACACCATTGAGCGCGAACACTAAAAAGATAGTATTGATGTGCTAAGTTTATACACTGAACCCTTCAAAATAGAAATTATGAGCTACAGTAATTTTACATAACACTAAAAATAGAACAAGTGCAATTACTGAAAGAATAATGAACAGAAAGGAAAAAATAATATGCATTGAAATACATGGTCTGGAAAAAGCCTATAATAGTTTTTCTTTTATTCCAATTCCAGATTATATTTAACCAATTGATATCAATAAAAAGAAACAATGACAGACAACTCATGATCCTCAAAAAGGAAGTGGGGGGAGTTTGGTGCCATGCAATATAATAAGAAATTAGTTTCAATTGTTTTCTTTTTATAGAATTAATGTTTATAACACTTGCTGGACTGAAAATAATTTGTGGTCCTCTCCATTCTCAACTGATTTGACTTATAGCATAGTGGTTAAGGCAACAGGCTTTAGCATCACATTAGTGCTCTTCAGTTCCCTTGGAAAGTTAATATTTATTGAGGATCCTCTAGGTCTTCTAAGCACCAGAGGAACAGCAACACACAGAAGAGACAACTTTGTCTCTGTTTCTCAGGTGCTCAGAAGACCTAGAGATAGATAGTTTAAAATTAAGCTATACAAGTAAATACATAAGATAACATTTGATAGGCAAATGCTCTGGAAAGAGGGAGGGGCAATACAGTGATTTTGGTGGAGTTGAAGTCAGTTGCTATTTTAAATGGGAATCAGTAAAAGCTTCTTTGAGGAAGTGGCAATGAAAGAAAAACCTGAATGAAGAAAGGAAGACAGGAATGCAAATATCTAGGTATCTCAACTTCCTGAAGTTTCCCCATCTATAAATAAGGCAGGAGGGTGCTTTGATGATGAAATATGAAAGTGAATGAAAAGCACTTAGCAGTGGGCTAGTGTGTGAAGCCATCTCTCTGGTTGGCTGTCCTTAGACATGAAAGTGTAAAGCAGGTTAGCTTTTGATCTTGTTAAAAGAAAAGTCAGTTACCAAATTACTTCATATATGCTAGATTGAACTTACTCTATCTCTCCATATCATTTCACAATTGGATCCATCTCTTAGAATTGTGGATCTGTAGAGATGGTTATTGTCACCATCCATCTACCTCTAAATTAACTGGGCAAATAACATAATAATGCTTAGATGGCCAAATCCACATTTAATGTATCTGAAGATTTAATCCAGCATTAACATAATACTCTGCATTTTAAAATTAGCAATTTCTCCTGAAGTCCCCAGAGACTGTGGCCCTGTCTTGTCAATGCCACTAGTTTGGCTGCACAGTTAATTCCATCAGAGCCACTGGACCAAGCCTTAGTGTATGTGAAGAGAGTCCATGAGTCAATTGCCAGCACAGAATTCTTCCTGTCATAGGAAGGCAGATGATCTCAACTTTTGAGTGCATACAGTGCAGATTTCTAGTTGAATGGTTCTTGACAATAGTGTCCTCTGAAACATAATGCCTGGCCAGGAGCCAATGATTATGCCACCATACAAATCACTGTGCATCTGACGCCAGAACGCCTCTTTGCAATGGTAACAACAAGAGTTCTCAGTCCTGGTGTTCCACAAGATGTTGCATTGGCTCTTTTATTCTTCA
Organism: Homo sapiens; assembly: GCF_000001405.40. Taxonomy (NCBI): domain Eukaryota; kingdom Metazoa; phylum Chordata; class Mammalia; order Primates; family Hominidae; genus Homo; species Homo sapiens. The sequence goes on from NC_000002.12 coordinate 181,673,541, forward strand.
TCAGACCCTGGAATTAAATATTTTATTTAGATGATTTTCAGGAAATAAGTGGTGTTAGAGAGAGAGAAAAGGAGAAGTGAGGAGGTTTTTGTGTAGTTTAAGAAGCAGTTTTGCTATTTTACATTTCCCATTAGGAGAAAATTAGCCAATATTTTGAAACCTAGTTTTATTAATTGCTTAATAGGTATTTTCACTTTAAATTTCTTGTATAATTATAGAACTAAAACAGCTTGATTCAAACTGTTAGCTAATGATCCATATATCATTTTAGTAATTGCTAGCTTCTTTCAGAAAATGCATTAATTTTGTAAGAATGTAAGGACTTTCAAATGTAAAAACAGAGAGATTTTAAGATAAATTAGAACACAAAATTTATTTCAAATGGTATTTTACTGTAACATATTATAAACCTAAAATTAGTAGAACACTCTTGATATTATAATCTTTCATTTTAATTTATATATAATTGTTTTAATGATTAAAAGTAGATAGATCATACTATATAGCTGCAATTGGTTATATAAAGTAAAATATGTTATGTGAAGTGTTCCTATTCAATAGTAATTATGCATGTTACAATATTTAGCCCAATTTCATCTTTATGAAATTTCCCCCTGATTTTACATACCAGCTTTTTCTAGAAATAACTATTCATAGGATTTTCACATTAAACAAGTATACCTAAGCATCTTATTTGATAGGAATAGTCGTGGCTCAAGATGAAGAAACAGATAGAATCCCAAATATTATTCATGACAAGCATTAAACAGCAAAACTAAACGAAATATTTTTTCCAGTGAAGCCAAACTTGCCAGCATTTTTTTTTGGTTGGTTTTCATTTAGTAAAATATGTTCTTTTCTTACAAACTGGGTATAAGCATTAGCCAATTACAAAAACTGTAAGAGTCTCTTTTAAATATGGGTAGGAATTCATAAAAGAAGATAATTTAAAATGTTTCTTATGGTTTGAAAATGCCTTCCAAATATTCATTAAACATTTAAGTGAGTAAATTTGTAGAATATGTTTCTGACATTGGCACTGGTTCTGTGGTATTTCTCTGATCAGATGGAAGTGCTATGTGTTATGCAGAGTGCATGCAGTTCATTCATGCATAAACAATATCATTTTCATAAATTAAATCCTCCCCTGCAGAAGGAACATCTGTGCCTGCCTTTGAATAAAAGATGGTGGCATGTGAGTTACTCCTTGACTGACTGAAAGAATCCCTATGTTTTAGAATGAAGTTGTATTGGCAAAATGGGAAGAAAAAAAAAAAAAACCTAACTTTTAGTCTTCATTTCTACCTTACAAAAGAACACAGTCTAGATTTCCCTGTTTGCTATTTTGGAAGCTGGAATTCTCAAAATGGCATTCTTTTATTTCTTCTCTTCACTACAGCAACAGATTTTAGTTTGCATGAAGATGTCTAATTTTAATTGCAGGTGAAATTGAGCTACTTAATAGGTTAGATCAGATCTGAATGCTCACTTCATTACCTCCTACACTGGAAGGCTGGTAGTATTCAAGTATCATATCAGTATTATGTCTCTTAAAGTAAGAACAGTGAGAACAATCCAGGATATAGAAAGCAACAGCTTGATTCCAAAATAACAACTCTGATTCACTTGGAATGAGATTGCTGCATTTTAGATAAAGTTGGGACTAACTTAAAAGTATTTCTGTCATGTGATGAAGGCTGATAGAAAACATGTTAAAATAATATATTTTAAATTGCTCTCAAACATTTTTTTAACGTCGAAGTATTCCTTACTGCTTCTGTCACAGCTTGACGCAGCCTCATTGGCAATGTTATTAGTATGGCTAATTGTTCCTGTCCATTACATTACTCACATTTTTCTGGAGCAGCTTGCTAAATGAGGTCAGCTTTCTGGAACCCCTAAATCACCAATGAGAAGGAGATTAAAGGAACAAGCTTGGGAAGGGGGGTAGTCATCCAATGTGGCACCCGAATCAGAGTAGAAACAATGGAGTTACTAATGACAGTAATCAGAGCACCACAGTAGAGCCAGGGCACAAGTGCCAAAATGATATTCCCTAGGAATCATGACTGTCAGTCAATACATCCAGAGGAAAAGAAATGCCAAACTGTTTTTTTTTTTTTGAAGTGGACTTAACAATAGACAGAATCATCCATAAGTTTTTCCAGTGAGTTGTGTTCATGAAACAACAGAATAGTGCCCCAAAGGGTGGGGGGAGGAAATAATTACACCTTCCTAAATACAGTACAAATAGTGTGTTCTTCAGTACAAATAATCCATTATGCTTTTTCTTGGAAAAATGATGGAAATCATCACAAGATGTTAATAGAACAATTATAAAATGTTACTTCTCTTGGATTCTTTAAATTAATTAACTCATTTCCCTTTGGTACTTCCTAAAGGTGTATAAATTTTTCTGGGACAGTACTAGTTTGCAAGATAAAACTGTTTAGTTCAGAAAAATGTACAGATAACAGAAGACCAAGAAAATAGTAATGTTTTATACATCTTAAATGTATAGACAAACTAAGCTAGGATACTTGTTTATGTCTTGCTTGTTAATAATTATTAAAATCCACCTTTTAAAAAAAGAAATAGAAGAAAACATGTAACAATCATTTTTAAAAATGGAAATAAAAAACCTAAAGGCTAAGCCACTTAAAACAAAGAAAAAAACACACTGTTTGTACTGCCGTCCAGTCCCATATTCCAAATAATGAAATATCAGTTAGGTCTTTTCATTATCTACATAGAACTGGTGACTCCCTGTGCAAGATAAACAGACAAGAGCATATGCCAAGGTAAACTTTTTTCTTTTCTTTTATTCTACATATAGTGTTTAGTATTTTTTAACTCAGCAAAAAAGCAACTACTTTCCCCAAAAATAAAAACAGAATCCCTTTAAGAAGAAATGCAACAATTGCTCTCACTTTCAATACTATTTTATTGCAACTGGATGAATGTTTTCTAAATTGTGCATTACACCATAATATACAGGATTACAAACAAAATTACAGTACAGATCGATTCCAGTGGTACCAGCATCACATCTCAAACAGCACTTATTCTGGACTGCATTTTACATGCAATAGCTATTGTTCTAATTATGAATTAAATGGTTTGAATTTATTTAAGCTACTGTACTAATTGACTACTATAGATATAAATCCCAACATTAACAACCTGATTAGATTTAGGCTCAGATTTATTACATGAATATATGACAAACCACCATTTTTGTGACTATGTATAAAATCATGCATTTATATTTTCTGGAAACATCAATAGCTTCAGATTCTCTGTAAAATCATGGAATGCAAAGGAGTAAAAGACTAAAAAGTAACAGTGCAAATTGTATGTGATAGTCAAGCAGCTTTTGATTTAAAGAAGGGTATGTTGGCATTTATTTATAATATGTATATACAAGCTTGTGCAAGTAATGTGTTGAATTGATATGTTTTGATAGGGAATGTATCTCTTAATTTTTTCTTCTCTTGAAAATTATGATTCTGGTTTTTATTTTAGGGAGACGGAAAGACTTTAAAGTGAAATGAATTGCTCAAATTGTGCAATTTTTTTTTTTTTTTTTTTTTTTTTTTTTTTTTTACAATTGGAGAGGAAAGAAGTGCTAAGGCAACACAATAACTTTCTAAGCACTTTTCTGCTGGTTTAAATTAGTTAAATTATTTTGTATAAATTAGATATAATTCTACTTTTCTGATATGTATAAAAATTGATGAAGCTGCATGGTTTTAAAATAGGAAATCCACATTATAAAAAGTCATTAAAAATTCTGTACAAAATCACAACAAAATAATTCAGCATGGGAAAGGTAACAAGTAGTAAAATGCTGGTTGAAAAATATATATTTATATATATTTTAATTGGCCCATTACTAGTTTAAAAATTGCATAGATCCTAATTATTGCTTGTGATTTTGTTATCCCGATCAGATAATTAATACGATCTGAATACAGCCACACCAAATTCGTGGTGTATTTTTTAAACTTTACTGTATTTTTTTATTTTTTAAATAGAAGAGCTATAGAAAATAATACATAAGGTGAACAGGAACTTTGATCCCCTGTTTCTTCCAAAGGCAGTAATGACAATAAATACATATATCACTTGAAGCTTGGAGTATTTGCACTTTGCAGCAGTAGTACCCAAAGGGCTGCCTTTTGTAAACACGACAGTCACTGTAAGCACAGTGGGTTCGTTTCCCGGAAATGGTGAAACTGGCGTGCCTCTAATCATGAAATATGGCATTGAGCTGGGCACTCATGACTCGCTCATGATGTGAATGGCTATCGAAGGACATAATATTGTCTATGGGGATCTCGCAGCGAGGGGCAGCGGTGCCTGAGAAGATTGATCCGTGGCTTTGGGCCCCTGCCAGTGTCGCTGCAGGATAGTGCATGGTAAAGGCATAATTTTTCTCAAACTCGGCGGACGGTTCGTGTTTGAAAGAGAAGTTGCCATTGATGCTGAGCGGCGGGCTGAGGGGTCCATCAAAGGAAGGGCTGGTGCAATCAGTCAGAGGGCTTTCAAAGAAGGGCTCCAGCGCTGCGCTGTAGGCGTGCGGCGGAGGCTTAACGTGGAAGACATGGGAGCTGTCCATGGTACCGTAAGGCGGACTGGGCAGCCCAGGCGACTGGTAGGAGTAGGGGTGTACAGGGAAGGAAGCGCTGGCCGTCGGCAGGTGGGGGGGCATGTCCTGGTTCTGCTCAGGCAGAAAAGTCCGAGGATTGAGTTGCAGGCAGCCCGCAACCAGGTTGGTGGTGGGTTGGGATAAGCCCTTGCAAAGCGTCTGAACGAAGGAGACCAGGTCTGGGCTTTTGCCTGAGCGCAGGATCTCCGACAGAGCCCAGATGTAGTTCTTGGCCAAGCGCAGAGTCTCGATTTTGGACAGCTTCTGCGTCTTAGAATAGCAAGGCACCACCTTGCGCAGGTTGTCTAGCGCCGCGTTCAGTCCGTGCATGCGGTTCCGCTCCCGGGCGTTAGCCTTCATGCGTCTCAATTTAAAACGCTCCAGGCGAGCCTTAGTCATCTTCTTCTTTTTGGGGCCGCGTCTCTTGGGCTTTTGATCGTCATCCTCCTCTTCCTCTTCTTCCTCCTCTTCCAGGTCCTCATCTTCGTCCTCCTCCTCTCCCCCGTTCCTCAGTGAGTCCTCCTCTGCGTTCATGGTTTCGAGGTCGTCCTCCTTCTTGTCTGCCTCGTGCTCCTCGTCCTGAGAACTGAGACACTCGTCTGTCCAGCTTGGAGGACCTTGGGGCTGAGGCTCGCCCATCAGCCCACTCTCGCTGTACGATTTGGTCATGTTTCGATTTCCTACATTCAACAAGGGAGAGGCAAACAGAAAGAAAAGCAGAAAAACGCTATATTCAAAAGCCAGATACGCCTTCAGCTTCCACTCCCTAAACCTGTACAAATGCTTGCGAAAAGTACCTGCCCATTACAAAATGAATGCCTCTGAGAAAAAGTTAAATGCAGTGTTTTATAATGGCGCGTGCGTGTGCCCCGCTAGTACGTAGGAGTGAGGACAGGACTGGGGGAGGGTAGTGAATATGTATATGTGTACACCACTCACGCATATGTGTTTGTATCCTAGTGATTAACTTAAATGTGTTTATGGTGGTTGCCCGACAGGATAATGTGTGTGGAAATGACTGTACATTTCAGCGACTTCATGTTTATCCAAATGTGTTCAAAGTTACTCACAACTCCATAAAAAAAAAAAAAAGCTGTAAAATCACACATTCTACTTCCATTTCTGTCCTGGCTTCCAGATACTTAGCGATTTAAGTTGAACAGCCATTGCGTAATTTACTAATACTGGCAGCGATTTTTAAGAAGATTACATCGACGGGATACTGAAAAGCAAATGCAGAAAGGAGGAAAAATAGTTTCCACCAAATTGTTTCACCATCAATGTAACATTTGGCAACAAAAGTGGACAGGGTCTTCCACCCCTCCCTCGCCTTTCTTTTCTTGCCTTCCATCTCTGGCCCACCGCTAAATTTCCACCTTGTACAAAAGCGCTAGCTGCAGGGCGAGGGCTGGGGGCGCGGCGCAGAGCGCTCTCCCACGCGCCGGGGATCAGGTGCGGAAGGCTCCTCTCTAATAAACAGCCCATTGAAAGGGCCGCCCGCTCTTTATTGGGGCTTTTCAAAGTTCGCCTCAAACCTCCCTTTAAAAGATTGAGTAATTATAATGGTCAGCGATTGGCAACCGCGAAGTTGCCGCTTCTAGTAAGGAAAATAAAAAGCCTTTAGTAAAACAACTGAATTTCTGGCTCCAGTAGTGGCTGCTGGGGACTTGGCCGCCTCTGGAGCGGTAACAGGTAGCAGGAGTGAGTCCCTCTCCCTTTCTCCACTTTCCCCCCTCTCAACTAAACTATCTCTGAACCTGATTTATTTTCCATGGTGTGAATACTCAAGGTATCCATGTCCCTTTCATTCACTGAAAACACAGCTTGACACTCCCAATGTGCGTAAAATACATGCACACAAAATATATATTGATAACATAGATTTTTTTTTCTTACTGTAAGAAGTGAGAAAGTGAAGTCATTATTGCTTTTGGGACTTTAAAATCAGCACTAGCAGATAATCATAGTTACCGTGCATTCTTTTAAAAAATCCAAGAAGCTCCTATGCTATCCACAAAAGAAACCCAAATTTTTAAAATTTAAATTAGAAAGCCTGCAGGGGGTACTTGAGTGACACGACTCATTATGTGTGAGTACTTATGGGCAATTATGGAGGGGGATGCTGGTCTCAATACACATACACACTCTCGCAAACGCACACATACAGAATATGTAGGTTCATCAGTCTTCAGTTATTGCTTCTATTCTGGGGCAAAAAAATGAAAGAACTGTAATTACCTTTGTTGTTAGTAGGTCCTGAGCAGTGATAGTCTCATAACCCTGGGGCCTCCGGACGCCGCGCCTCCTGCGTGGGCGAATTCCTCGTGTCGTGGCCGCGCGGGCGCTCAGGTTATATAGCCCAGTTAGTGATGCTAAGCGCGGGCGGGGCCGCTAGCTGAGGGGCTAGCAGGTCTATGCGCCTGACGCCTGCGCACGCGTCCAGGCTGTGCGCTCCCCGTTCTCCCCTCCTCCCCACTTCTCCCCACGCCTTGCTCGTCTCCCGCCCTCCTCCGACAACCGCTCCCCTCACCCTCCACCCCTACCCCCGCCCCTCCTCCTTCCTCCCCGGCATGCGCCATATGGTCTTCCCGGTCCAGCCAAGAGCCTGGAACCACGTGACCTGCCCATTTGTATGCCGCGGAGCGCTCCATTCCGGCCCCTTTGTGGCCAGAAGAAAGTGGCCCATCTGTCGCCAGTTAGAGACTCCGCGGACCTGTTTTTACCCGCAGGAGAGATTAACCCTTTCAGGCGGCAGAAGGGACGGGGATAGAGGGGGGAGGGGATTTGAGGGAAGGAAGGGAAAAGCTAATGTTAACTAGGTCTAGATCAGAGCGAGTGGCCTGCTTTCGCGCCGGAAGTAGGACAGAGGTGAAAGAGGCAGAAGCGGGGAGACTGAGGCACGCAGTGAAGAGTCCTCGCTCCTTTCGATTTCTTGTCCTGACACTGGCATCCAGAGCAGCATGACTCCTTGCCCTCTCTGAAAGGCCCATCCCTTGGCTTCTTCTCCTTGGCAGACGCTTTGATCATTGGCGCCAAAGGATGGCTTCTCCTAATCTCCGTCGGCCCCTCTAAGCAAACATATACGCCATATAAAAGCGGCTTCATCTGTAAACGCAGCGTTGAGATTAGTTCCCCAACCTCCCTAACCGGATCGTCCTCTCCCAGTTCCTTCAGTACAGAAAAGTTGTACCTGCCATTCTATCCCTACCATACGTGCAATTCTTCATGTCCTGACCTTCAGCTACGACTGTTCCTCCAGACCCTCTCACTACGTCAGTCCCCACCTCCATCCCCAGGATCTTGTCCTCAAAGCGAGCTAGTTCTCGCGAGGAGGCCTTGGTTCCATTGGCCTTTGCGCTCTCTTATGTGGGAGCTGGGGACTTCTTTGACGGTTGTATTCTGCCTTTTAACCATGGCCACTGGGTTGCTGGAAAGGGCACCCTCACTCAGCCAGTCCAGGGACGCTTCTGGTTCCCTGGCCAGCCCGCCCTGGACGGCCTCGGCTCTCTAGTCCAGGCATTGACCACAAGTACGGTGGTGGACACCTCGCCACAGCCGGACCTGCGCTCTTGCTCCCCTCAGTCTCGGGTCTGTATAAGATACTTGATTCAGACAAGCGTTTTCAAAGAGAAGATGCAATGGGCCTGTGCTGAACGGGTCTTTCCGATCTCTTTCTAGAAACGCCTTTAGCACAACCCCGGAAGGATTAATGGCTGCGAACTCCTCCAGACTTCAAAGCCTCTGATTTGAAACTCCCAACTTGAAGGTCAAGCAAAGACCACAGAAATTCTCGACCAGTTCTGAAGGAGCCATATTGTTGCCCAAATAGCAATTCTTTACTCTTTTCGAACAAGGGTTTTCCAGAATAATAGATTTTAAAAAGAAAGAAAGAAACTGGCCTGTCTACTCGTTCTTTCCCAGCTTTGCCTCTAATCCTTCATTAACTAACTCCTTACCCCCTCCCAGACCTGAAACCCTCTGCAATAAATACCTCTTACGTGAATTGCTTATTTAAAGGCAATTGCACTAAACATCCCTCGAGTTTGCAAACAGCGACAGGGTTGAGAGGCTGGATTGGGGTGCATCTGGGAGAGGGTGGGGACGGGAGGAGAGAGTAGGGGTAGAGGAAGAGGGTCCTAGCCAGATCCCCGGTGTCTGAAGGTAGCAGGTGCAGCCTTCCCTGCACAGTACTAATCTAAAAGGGGAAGAAAAGAGTTGTGCCACCGAAGCGTGGCGTGAATCGTTGTGGGGTTCTGGAGTTTTGCTTGCTTTTCTACATTCACTTGGCTGACAAAGCGCATAGGGGAGGATAAAATAATTCACCCAGGAGCCTGGGCCCAGGATTTACCCCTGTACTGTCTGTATCTTCAGTGTTGGGCTAAAACTCGAGGGCGTCGGAGTACTAGCCCTTAGAAGATAGTACACAGCCCGACGTTTGCGGCAGGGCCAGGTTAAGTACTGCCCCTCACCCGGCAGCTGCCCCGACTGGCAGCACACTATGCCGCAGGCATATGCAACTCGTGCCTAGGCTCTCATTTTTCCAACTTTGGGGAGTTCCGGAGGAGAACTGGGGACGGAGTGGGAGAAAGGACTCCAGCTAGCTTCGAGGTCAGGGGTAGCCTAGAGGTCCCTCTGCTAAATCCTTGTCCTCACCCCCAGAAAGCAGAAACCTCCAGTTCGCGACATCCTGTGCAATACAGGAGAATTATGGTGGAGTCAGATGTTCTTGAGCAAGAGGGACGCCCGAGTGTTTTGCCAGACGGAGACTCAAATGCGTAAAGTGCGGGAATTACTAGTCTGTTTCCTCCCTCTACCCTTGATAAATTCATCTCTAATCCCACTGCGCGTTGTTCGCTCAGGCCTGGAGATTTGTACAAAGGAAAGGCCACTCCAGGATGTTTCAGAGACAGGGCTGAGGTTGGGTCTCACGGTAGCTGTCCTTGGGCTTCCCATCCCGCAGCGCTCCGATGTGACCCTCCTCTGCGCGGAAAATTTCGACCCGGGGCGCCGGCATCGCGACGCTCAGCCAGTGCCCGCGAGGCTCCCAGGAGATGCGGGGTAGTAAGGCCCTAAAAAGAGGAGCCTGGACACGGCCTGGATTGAGGTGCGTTTTGTTTGGGGTTGAAGGCGCGAGAAATTGGGGCGAGAGAAGAGAGTCAGCCGGATCCCGGAGAGGACAGAGCTGAAGGCGCGGCGGGGCTTAGCACTGAGGACCTTCTCCGCGGCCCCGCTCCTCCTCCTTATTTTCTTCTCTTTGGACTTGTTTGGACGGTTGCACACTTTTCCCCCTCCTGATTCCCTAAGTTTTTTGTCTCTCCCCTCGCTGCCCGTTAGCTGTACTCCCCCAGCTCCCGTCCCTACTGGGCGCTGCAGGCTACCCAGCGGCACGCGAACCGCACGCGCGGACAACAAAAGCCTCTTTCATGACTCACTGCCCTCGAGCAATGCCCCAAATCTGCCGCCTCCCGGGTCCCCGCTCTGAGCGCGCGGCGCGGGCCGGGCGTCCCGGCCGTTACAGCGGCAGCCGGAGCGCCCGCGGGAAGGGGGGCGGGAGGAGGCGTGTGGCCAGGGGTGGGGAGAGGGGAGTGTGGCCTGGGCCGGGCGGAGGGGAAGGGGGAGGCATGTGGGAGGATGGGGGTGGGGAAGGGATGGAGGCGTGTGGCCCGGACGTAGGGGGTGGGAAGCGTGTGGCTGGAGGCGAAAGCGGGGAGCGGGAGGTCGGGGGCGAAGCATTCACAGGGCCAAGATAAAGCGCAGGGGCCGGGCCGGCGTCCCTGGCGGTGACCTGTTTCTCAGGGAAACAGATGCTCGCTCTTGCAAAGGGAGGTTTGCGTTCAATGAAAGGATCAAGTGTGGCCAGGGCAGCCCGGCCGACCTCGAGAGGTTCCCGCGTCCTCTCCCCGCCCTGCCTAGGAGTGGGGTGTCGGGGCCTGGGCGCGGGAGAGCGGAGTGAGGGGGCCGGGTGGCTGAGGGGCCCGCGAGACCGTGGGGCTCAGGGGCCGCAGGAACGGAGGGCTGAGAGCTGCAGGTCCTGCACAGGCTGGGTAGCTCGGAGGCTCTTGAGAGCTTCGGGGGATGAAGGGGGGTTGATGCGGGTTCTGACCAGACCGCCGACGCGGCGCCTCCGCCCCGGGGGAGGCAGTTGGGCTCCCGGGTCCTGGCCTGAGGCTGGAGCTGCCCAGGCTCGACAGGCAGGCGACCCGGGAGAGCCAAGAGCAACGAGAGACGCTATTAAAATGCCTCGCCGTCGCCCCGAGCGCAAAACCCATCCTCCCCAAATCTCCTGGGCTTGCGGCATAATCTTAATTAAGATAATTGATTCATATTGCACCTGCGAGAACGGAAAAAATTGATTTCAACCCCCAACCCCACAAATCGCTTAGAGCTATTGGATGGAGCACGACGCGACTGTGATTTAGGGAGTGATTTAGTGCCGGGCTTCCCCAGCTCGGCCTGCCTGGGCCTTTTTATTTATTATTTATGCCCTCCCGGTCCCGACGGGGCTTTGGTGGCTCCTTTGTCGGCTCCCACAGGCCTTGGAAGGACTTGTCTCTGATTCCCTGTCAGGATCCAGGGGCTTTCCTTAAACCATCCAACACTCAGAATCAACAACGTAAAATCAACTCAGTAGGAGTATCTTGGCAGTCGTAGGTCACGGGCACAATTGCTCAAGGCCTCGTGCGTCCGATGCCCTGTGTGTGCAAAAGTGTGTGATTGCACTTGAATGTACGTGTGTGAATCCGTGTGTGTGCAAGATTATGTGAATGTGTGTGCAAATCGTGTGTGCATATAATGAGTGTGTGATTGTTAGTGTGTATGTGAACATATGAGTGTGTGCAGGTGTGTGTCAATGAATGTGAATGTGTATGTGAAAGTGGGCATAAGTGGATGGGTGTGAGAGTGTTAAGTGTATGTCCACGGTCGCACCTGCTTTCGGGTGAGGAGCGTGAGCAGAGGGCGCACACCTGTTTCCCGGGGATCGAGGAACAGCTTGCTGTCCAAAGGGGATCGCAGGGCCAGGGAACTGACAAGCACACGCTATTTGCCAACCTTTGCCTTAATAGAAAGAAGCAAGCAAACAAAAATCCTCGGTAGCTGTGTGTAGCTTCAGGAGTGGAGAGCCGAGACACACCGACGGCGCCGGAGCGTCGCAAGAACAATGGTTGCTGCAGTGGGTTGGGAGAGAGGACCCGGACAAGTTCCTAAAGGCACGGGAGGAACGCGGGCAAACCAGGTTTAGGGCCCCAGGCGAATTGTGGAAGGAATGACTTCCTCAACCTATCAGCACCGTGGACAATTCCCACTCCAACGGCCCTGACCTTCGGCCTACTAGATTCAGCAAAAATCTCTCTTCCTCCCTTGCTTCCTCCTTTCCTTCCTCCCTTCCTCCTTTCCTTCCTGCCTTCCCTCCCTCCCCTTCCTCCTCCTTTCCTTCCTTTCCTCCCTCCCCTTCTTCCTCCTTTCTTTCCCTTCCTCCTTTCCACTCTTCCCTGTTTGCTTTGTTTCAAAAACAAAAACAAACAAACAAAAAACATGGGGCGCCATGACTGAGCTTTTAGTCAAAGAGACCTGTAAGTCTGCATCTAATTAGGCACATATTCACAGTAAGTTTCCTATAAAACTAGGTAGCCAGATTTAGGGGCAAGGAAAGAGCTTAAACTATAATTTGAGCTGGCTAGTCTGAAACAAAGACAGAAATCATAAATTGAATAGCTTTCAAAAAGATAGTCATTATTCCAATATTTGCACTTATTTGCCACACAGCTTCAAAACCAAAATGAATTTCTTGTTTACTGTCCATAGAAATAATAAAATATCTCTAAAAATGTTTTTGATTTTGCTTGTGTTTTATGGAGTATAAGTTTTATTGAAAATATAAAATCTTTTTCACCACCACTTTATCAACATTTCAGTTATTTCATACTGTAAACAATTTCTGGTAAATTCATGAAAAAATAAGCCAACAGAAGTTAAATGGCATTATTCACTCAGATTCAGTGAGCCACACAATTAGCTAAATCATGCCAGATCTAAAATATTGCATAATGAGTAGTCATAACTTATCCAGCATATACTGGAAAAGTCTAGTAAAGACATAACTGAGAAGAGAAAGCTCCTTTGGTACTTTGAACATCTGAGAAATATATACACCATATCCCCCTCCCCCACCACACACTTATTGATGTAATTTTCAAAACATCATTATTATTAGTAAACAGAATCCTTATCAAGTATTATTCACACTTCACTGTAATGAGAAATATAATCATTTTTGATTAAAGAATTCATCCCTGGAGTCTCACCTTCTTTAAATAAAATGTCTTCTTTCCTTTATAACAAATGCATTTCACTCAAATTAAATATTGATAATTTGACCTTTTATGTCTTTAACTAATCAAAGGGGGAAAATTCCAAATGTAGATCTCGGAGTTTGGCCTTGGTGGGTCTTTCCGCTTGAGTAGGCACTGAGATTAAAGGAGTCAAACTTCCTCTTTCACTGCTCTCTCCTTGCACTAATTGCTTATGCAAAAAATGCAGATTTGTATTAATTAGTAACTCCACTGATTAGTTCTGTGGTATTTTCACATAATAAATCATGCTGCAGACATGAATTTTGGCACATCACCCAGTGGTGGCTCGGCTGCAATACGGGTTTCTTATTAAAATAAAATCTCTGACTAAATCTACCTTTCGGATGTAGGTACTGTGAGCAGCCACCTGCTGGGAGCACCTGCCATGGGAAATTACTTTCACTCAGTGACAAACCACTTTAGGGGCTCAAACAGAACAATTTGATTATGAGGTTAGGCTCTAATAATAAACAAATAGTTAAACACATACATACATACGTGACACAAATGTGTCTAAGCTTTAGACACATTTTGCAGACCATGATGTAACAACAGATAATTTACTTGTAATGGGACTAGATGTTTAAAAACAACTTCCCAAGTCATCAATAAATACCTCAGTCTGTTTTCCTCCTGTAACATCTTTGCTCATTTGTGAGATGGTCTGGTATTTTGAGACTCTCACAAAACTCACCCTTATTGACTTTACCCACTCCCCAGGCAGGCAAGCTAGTTCTGGAAGGAAAAGAGCCACAAAAGTATCAAGGAGAGGAATATGAATGCCAACAGCCCTCCCAGAGGGAACTGGGCACCCCTGCCATCCTAGCATCAGATGAGAAGCTGTGAGGCCAGACACCTACAGTTGCGTGATGTGAGGCAAATTCTTCCTTTCCCATTGTTCACTATACAAACTTTTACACAACTTCTTCCTTTTGAAAAGTATTTAATTTGATAAAGCAGATTACAACCAATCTTGCCAAGACTATGAATTAGGCCCAGGTGTTTTCTGTGCTCTTTTAACCCTTTACGTGCCCTTGTTTTCTAATCACTAGTGACGCCTTTCCAAGACCCCTCAGGTGCTCTCAGCACCTTTATGTTCTTTCTGTTACCTGCCAATCTATACCTGCTGCTTGTTGCAAGGAACCTGGAAATTTACGCATCTTAAGAGGTTGAGAATGACGCTGAATCTGATGCCTGTACCTGGGGAGGTTGCAGAATCACAAGGTACAAAGAAAAAAAATAAAAATATTGACATTCAGAGATTAATAAAGGCTAAGAAAGGTATATTTCAGATGGAGGCTGGGACATGACATTCTGTTCAGTTTGTGCTAACGCAGGTCACAGCCTCCATCTTCCTTCATGACTTGTCCTGAGGCAGGTGGGTATGTGGAGGCTGGGAATTGTGAAGCCTCTAGGGAGGCTCTCTCTCTCTCTCGACATCATTTACTAACCCTTTCAAACTTAGGTGGTGAAAGGAAGAGGTCATTTATTTTGTGATGTTTTTATTTATTTGTCTTCGATGTGGGCAATTATTTATTTATTTATTTTGAGATGGAATTTCGCTCTTGTTGCCCAGGCTGGAGTGCAATGGCACGATCTCGGCTCACCACAACCTCCGCCTTCTGGGTTCAAGCAATTCTCCTGCCTCAGCCTCCCGTGTAGCTGGGATTACAGGCACGTGCCACCACGCCCGGCTAATTTTTGTATTTTTGGTAGAGACGGGGTTTCCCCATGTTGGTCAGGCTGGTCTCGAACTCCTGGCTCTGGTGATCCGCCCACCTCGGCCTCCCAAAGTGCTGGGATTACAGGCGTGAGCCACCGCACCTGGCCTGGCAGTTTTTTAAAGAAGTTAACCCAAAAGTCAGGAAAGAACATAAAATTTAAAGCAGCTAAGTCAAATATGCTTTTTCTCCTTTGAATTTACCCTGGATCCTACTTCTTCTGGAATCACATGGACTAGATTAATAGTCTCTCATGAAAAACCAACAGACAAAAAACAAAACAAAAATAACAGTCCTAAATTTTTATGTTTGTCCACAATGCTAGTGTGGTAGACAATATGGAGAGCACCAGGGCTGAGCATAAGCAAAGGCTATAAAACTGATTCAGGTTTTCTTCAGAGAGCTTGTCTCCTCCTTCCCCTCCTTTCAGAAACTGCTGATTCACTGGGCAATAAGCGTATTAGCAAATCTATATTGAATGCCATTATGTGCCAGGCACTGTGCTGCTAGGTGCTAGGGGCACAGGAGTAAATAGACATTAGATTCAGCTTTCTTGACGCTTTCTTTCTAGTGGGAGAGATGGACTTTAACGAGGTTTACTCACAAGTGAGTATGTACCTACCCAACTTGAAACAAGTGCAGGAGTACTCAATACCCAATCTCACTTCCTTCTTGTGTGCCTTTCTAGAGTAAACAGTCTGGAAAATTAAAACAAATAAATTAATTAAAAGTTTCCTATGTGTCCTAGTTGTGGTATACATTCTGCTAATCAGATGCATTAGACTTTTATTCAGAACCAGTTACTTGAGAGAGCCAGGAGACAGAAGATTTATTTGTCTGGCACAAATTCTAGTGCAAGTAAAGCCAGCAAGTGTGGTGACAGCTTTCTGATCAGGACTCAAGCAAAGGTGGAAGCTTTCTTAGCCTAGTTTTGTGGTATGGTTTTTGATACTCTTCCTGGAATCTCAGGCTAGAGTCTGTTTCTTCAAGCCTCCTAACACATTTCTTGTAAAGCTCTCCAGGTGATGAGGGACACTAAAGTTTGAAAACCCCTAATGGTTCTCAATAACACACCACACCTATCTTCTGATCTCTTACATCAAGGAGCAAAAACTGAGAATTATAATGACAACATTTGGGAAGATTTAAATAGCTCCAGCTACTCTGAATACTCAAGTTCCACTGAAAGCCTTCTTTTACAACATAAGCACTCCCTCCTGCCATATCAAATGAGGCTGATCTTGGTTTGCTTGAAGGTTCCTCTGACATACTCAACTTGCAAGAGGATGTAAATCCTCTTTATAACCCATTCCTTCCCCTTACTATTGCTTCCAACCTGTGACTAATAGGGCTCAGGTAGGACAAGAACAATTTTGTACCTAGAAGAAGGCTACTAAGTAATTGCAAGATTTTGTTCATTTTTATCGTGCTCAATGTGGGGGCAAATGTGCGGGTATAGATTTTGCAGATGCTAGCCTGGGGGGATAGAATATTACTTTAGATCAGGCTGAATTTCTGAATACTGTTGTAATTGTTATTAATTCTGGATTCAAAGTGCTGCTGAAACCTCTGAGTATAGTTTTCATTGTCTGCTCCGAAGGTTGAATAAAATATACATTCAAAGCTGACCTACATTGCATGAAGCTTAAATACCAAAAATTTCTCAAAGTGATGTAGAAAAAGCAACCCAAAGTTTTAGACAGAAAAGGTTAGAGTCAATTCATTATAGGCAAACTTCTCACCTACCTCCTAACTATCCTCAACACATGTGCATTTCCTTGGGAGGGACAGCATCTTTGAAAAATCCCCTTCAGGCTGGGAAGGAAGGTGGACAATGTTACTATTAAATGGGATCCCTGATAGAAATTGGGATAATTGGTTTCTGGGATGACGGTCCAGGGGGCACACAAAAGAGTCAGAGACAAAGTGGGATTTTTACTACAACCCACAGTAATTGGGGTGATCTAACACAGGAAAACCTGTGGCAGTGTCTTAACCTTTCATGGGATTCATATAATTGTATGAGGTCTGAAAAATAATAACAATAATACATGGGATGATAAAACCTGATCAAGGCTTGTCATGAATTACCATGATGTCATGATAGCTGCTCACTCAATTCTGAAACTTGAGTTTATTTCCAAACATTGAATATAGAGGAAGCCAGGTAACCTGAAGAAGGACCTTGTGATATCATCAGAAGTACTTCCTGTAAATCTTTCTCCCAGCCTTCTCCAGAAGTATCTTTGGTTATTTACCATGGTAACTGTGTAGTGGGAGATGGGAAATAGCCAGATCTTTCAGGGAGTATTGGCTCCTGAATATAAATGAACACGATGCAGAATGTCACTGTGATGTATCTGGCAGAATCTGGGATGCATGCAGTTTAGGTGACAATTGGATTTGCGGGCCTAATTCTGTCACAATGGCACTTATAGGTCTGTAAAAGCATCCTGTGATTGTTTCCACATTTCCTTCATATAGAGATGAGTGAATGTCCATGCTTCCTTTCTGACCCCCAAAATGAGGGTCATTATGGGAGAAAAAGTCAAATCTTGAGCTTCCTCTTCTTACCAAAAGTACAACTGCACACTGGGGGAATTGCAGAGATTGATCAGCATCAAAGATTTGAAAGACGTCAAGTGATATGACAGTAGCCACTAGTTATCTCCCATTAGCTGTACTCTCTTTTTCTCTCACAGAAAGAATATCTCCAAATTTTACCTAGGGTAACAGTCATTCTGAAAAAAGACTACATTTCCTGTCACATTGCAGCTGCATATGACCATGTGATTAAGTTTTGGCCAATGGGATGTGAGTGACAGTGACGAGAACAACTCCTGGATCTTGTCATTAAAATAAAGTGATGTGTCTATACCTTCTTCTTTCTCCTTTGTGCTGGCTGAAATGCAGACCCAAGGCACCACCATAGAGACAATGTGGCTGGCAATAAGATAGAAGGAATTGGGTCATTGATAGCATAACCATACTAGCTCTAGTCTGCTTACACAAGGACTTTCATTTGAATGAGAAAGAAATTTTTATTTTGTTTATGCTGTATCATTGTGAATCTCTCTCCAGCAACTGAATTCATATGCTAACAAACATAGGTAGTGATCCCTGTCACATCTCCATTATAGAACCCCTTTCCTTGCCTTGTGCAGATGAGAATCTTTAAGAATGTCAGTAGAATTACTGTACACTTATTCTTGGCCCACTGCAACCTCCACCTTCCGGGCTCAAGAGATTCTCCAGAGTAGCTGGGATTACAGGCACCCAACACCATGCCCAGCTATTTTTTTTTTTTTAAATTTTTAGTAGAGATGGGGTTTCACTATGTTGGCCAGGCTGGTTTTGAACTCCTGACCTCAAGTGATCTGCACACCCCGGCCTCACAATCAAGTAGTGATTTTTCAATGCAGATGCTATTCCACATGATATCTTTTAGTTGAGTAAATCAACACAATCCTGACACGTGACATTCAGCGTTTGTTCTGGCAATTTTTTTTATAAGAGGAAAAGGGTCTCACTATGTTGCCCAGGCTATCTCGAACTCCTGGCCTCAAGCAATCCTCCTGCCCTGAGTAGCTGGGATTACAGGCTTGAGCCATAATGCCAAACTAAAAACTTTTTGAAAAATCCCAATAAGTAAAGAGCACAAGAAGTAGCTTGCTTTGAGATATTCTATTTCAGGTATACCAACTATTTCACTCCTTGTAATATAGGAGGTGGCAGACACCCTAATTGCATCAAAAAGGTGCATGATTGACAGAGAGTGAGGAGTAAATCCAAGGAAAATTTAGGGTCCTGATATCTCAGTGAAAATACGGGGGATCAAATGAAATGGGGCAAACTGAGATTCTTCCAAAATAAAAAGCAATTTACTTCACTTTGCACCATCTATGACTAATATATTTTGCAGAGTTTTCCTCCCAAGATTATTAAATTAGATTAAATTAATTTAATTGAAGAGAAAGGGAAGCTAAATAAAGTCACTGTTCTTATCCATATCTAACTTTTGATTTTTTTTTTGGTGGTTATAAACAGCCTGGACAAATGGCTTGAAATATGAAAGACCTAGTACTTTTCATAGTTTGAATAAATTCTATACAGTGTGGGATAGGAAAGCCACAAATGATTTGCAATGTGAAGAAAACTTATTGTATAGATAGTTAGGAGATAACTTTAAAAATGTGAAATAAGGAAGTCAAAGATGCAAGGAAGAAATGTGCACGGTTAAATAAAATGAGAAACTAGAAGAATAAAATGAGTAAAATTATATATATGTAAGGTTTTTGAAAAAGAATCTTCACAAATTTCCCATGGAAATGTAAACTGGTATGGCCATTGTAGAAACATTCACATGGTTTCTCAAAACGTGGGAGTTAACATATGACTGAGCAATTTTACTCCTAGGTATATCCCTAAGAATAGGGAAGAAATATCCCTAAGAAACTAGAAAATATATTATCGTAAAAACTTGTACACAAATGTTCATAGCAACATTATTTGTAATAGTTCAAAAGTAGAAACAAGCCAAGTATCTATCATCTGATAAATGGATAACAAATTTGGTATATCCATACAATAGAATATTATTCAGCTATAAAAATAATAAATGCTACAACAAAAACAATCACTTGAGACACTATGCTAAGTGAAATAAGCCAATCACAAAAGGACAAATACTGTATTATTCTACGTATATGAGGTATCTAGAGTAGTTACAGTCATAGAGACAGAATGCAGTTTAGTGATTTCCCGGGACTGGAAGGAGGGAAGAATGGAGAGTAAACAGCTAGTGGGTAATGGGTTTCTTTCCAGGGTGATGAAAATATTCTGGAATTAGATAATGGTAATGGTTGCTCAACTCTATAAGTACACCAAAAACCACTGAATTGTATACTTCAAAATGGTGAATCTTATGGAATGTTAATTAGAGCTCATTTTTAAAAAATGAGTGGGAAATGCAATTGCAATATGTCTTCTCTTACCTTGTATGACACCATATGCTCTTGTTTTCTCTTTACCTCTTCGACCACTCTTTATGAGTTACTGTGCAGATTTCTCTTTTGCTCATCCCTTAAATCTTTGGTTTTCCTCAGGATTCTCTCCTAGGCTTTCTTCTGTTTTCTTCTTACACAATCTCTGCATTAGTTAGTAAGGCAGTTAATGCTTTGAACAATTTTCATATGCACAAATTTCATTTATTACTGTTCAGTTAAATGACACTAGACCCCACATGGTTTAAATTTCAGTTACGCAGTGTATTAATTGTGAGTAACTGCTTAACGTATAAGCTTCACTGCTAGCTCTTTAGTACACGAATCTCTATGTAAATAACAGACATATATCATGGTCAGTGACCAATCACATCAGTTGTTTCAAATTCTGTTAGTGATTGGTCACTGCCCATCTGTTATTTAGTTTATGCACAGACAGCAAAGCCTTAGTTGGGTGGCCTCCTTCTTTCCTAGTATTAAACCCATATGACATTAAAGAAATGAATATTAGAGAAAAGTGACCAACAGCAATTAAAGTGCAGCAAATAAATTAAAAACGATAATGCTGGAAGTGAAATTGAATGTGATGAGGAGATTTGAAAATGGAGACAGCAAAGTGAAGACAGGATGAGACCTAGGCCTGCCTGAAGCTAGTGAACAAATGATGTTGAAGAAGTCAGATCATTCAAAAACAAGGTAATGTAGCTTCAACATTGTTTAGTTTAAGTTGCACTCAGAACAGAAAGCTGCTTAGGGTAAAAATGGAGCATTTACTTCTACTTAGGATTGAACAGTGTAGTGAAAACAAAAACCCAATCAGCTTAACAACTATCATGCAGGCCAAACTCTGAAGTCAGGTGCTGCATTGAAAGGAATCAGTAATTACAAGGAGACCGAAGATAAATGTTTCCCTGACAGTGAAGGCAGATTTTAGTGTTTTAGAAACTGGCATGACTTCACAGTGTTTGAATTGAACATTAATGGGATTTTGGAAGAAATAGCTGACTGGGAATGTTGACACTTGCTATTCAAAAGACTCTAGGCTGGCAGCCACAGGAACTTCATTAAGGCAAATGTATAGACTTAAAAGAGTAAAGTGGTTGTGACAAAAAGGATGACAATATCCCAGAGGAAGTAACCACAGTAAAGAAAAACAGGCGGGCCGTAGGAGGAAGATGGCGGTGGGGTCGCGCGTTACCCGGGAGGAGATTAAGACGGAGCCAGAGAACCCGATCAACCGTGAGAAAACATGCCTGCTGCTGCTGCGCATCTTCACCACCAATAATGGCCACCACCACCGAACGGACGAGTTTTCCCGGGGAAACGTACAGTCCAGAGAGTTGCAGATCTACGCTTGGATGGATGCAACCTTGAAAGAACTGACAAGCTTGGTAAAAGAAGTCTACCCAGAAGCTAGAAAGAAGGGCACTCTCTTCAATTTTGCAGTCGTTTTTACAGATGTTAAAAGACCTGGCTATCGAGTTAAGGAAGTTGGTAGCACCAAGTCTGGCAGAAAGGGGACTGATGATTCCATGACCCTGCCGTCGCAGAAGTTCCAGGTAGATTACTTGGACATAGCAATTACCCCTCCGCATCGGGCACCACCTCCTTCAGGGCACATGAGACCACATTAAATTCTATTTACTATTTCTTGTGTTTATTTTTTGGTCAGTTATGTAAAATAAACTTACTCTTTTTCCTCCCCAGATTATTGTCATTAAGCCTTTGAATTCTAAGCAAATTATAATCCATCATCTATTTAGGAATTAGATTTGGATGTGCTATTGTATAATTACTAATACAAAGTCCATATGTTTCCAGCCTTTTTGTAAAATATGAAGAAATGCTCTTAGCATTCTATGTAAAACTGTACTGTTAAATATATGTGTGTAATAAAAAAAGCAACAGAAAAACAGACAAAAACCCTTCAAATTAAAGGAAATCTCAGAGATATTTTACAGCATTGAAAGGGCAAAAAGTAAAATGTTGGAAGGTGATCCAAACTTATAAAGGAGTGTAATAATTCACTAAGAAAAAATGCTTGTCCAAACTACTTTTGATACACTTTTACAAAGAAATACAACATTTGAACGCTTAATTATCTAATAAATTTTAGTATACTAAATAAATATTAATTTTATAAGTTTTTAGTTTCTCAAAATAAGAGTCTTCTTTAATATTTTAACAAAAAAATCTAAAGGTCTTGGACCAACTTTTCAGAGTTTCAGCTTGTAAAGTCATTTTTATTTATTTATTTATTTTTAAGACAGAGTCTCACTCTCACCCAGGCTGGAGTGCAGTGGCATGGTCTCGGCTCACTGCAACTTCCACCTCCTGGTTTCAAGCAATACTCCCACCTCAGTCCTGAGTAGCTGGAACTACAGGCATGCGCCACCACACCCGGCTAATTTTTGTATTTTTAGTAGAGACAGCGTTTCGCCAGGCTGGTCTCGAACTCCTGACGTCAAGCGATCCGCTGCCTCACCCTCCCAAAGTGCTGGGATTACAGGCATGAGCCACTGCACCTGGTGGTAAAGTCATTTTTTATGGTCCTGCACTACTATGCAGAGCTAGGGCTGCCTATATTCATTAGGATACAACTCAAACTGGTATAAGAAAAGCAGGCACTTCATTGGCTCACATATTTGAAATGCCTAGTCTTTGGTCTTGCTTCAGGCATGGCTGGATTCAGATTTGAAATGACATAAAAAGAACTCAATTACCCTTCATCTCAAACTTATATATTAGATTCCTTCTCAGGCTCAATGTGATGGCCTCCAGTTACTATCATCCTCATGGTGGCAAGATGGCTTCAACAGCTCTAATTTCATATTTTTCCTGGTTCCTAGGAAAACCTGGTTCCTGGTTCATATTTTTCATAGGTTCCTAGTCTAATGGAATTGAGTGGAGTAGACTTTTATTTCTAAGTCAGCAACTCCTGCACACATCCTTAGACTGACATTTACTTTACTAGTTGAGGCTGCCAACCTTACACCCCAATCACTGTGGCCAGGTGTGTTTCATATTCTATCCTTGGGGACAAATTTAGGCGGAGCCCCATCCAAATCACACAGATTATTGGTGAAGAAATGCAAAATACTCCAAAAAATTAAGGAGAATATGCTGGCAGACAGACAATAAACATCTATGAACTACCCTTGGTCCTACACCTTTAATTATCCCCCACATGAGAAGGGCTCCAAGATCTGTCCAGAAATTATGAAGTATGTTCCCTAACAAGACAACTCCCCTTGGATTCCCTGCAAATACCTCAAAATCAATGTGTTTGAAGGTGAACCTCTTATGTCCTCCACCCCCAACCCCAACCAAGTCTATGTCTCCTCTTCGTTCTCTATCTCAATGCATGTCATCACTATCCACGTTAGTTGCTCACACTAGAAATCTGGGAAATAGCTTAACTCCTTACTCTCCCTCACCCAAGACTAAAATTAATCACCAATAGACTCTTGTTAACTGTAACCCTGGTATTTTTTAATTCAACCTATTTCTCTTCATCAATACTTCTCTTGTCTCATTTCAGCTGCCATCTTTATCTTTTGCCTGCATCTCAGCAATAACCTTTTTAACTTAATGCCCAGTCATTGCTTTTGGTTTTTAAAAGGTTTGTTAAAACACACATGACATAAAATTTGCTTTTTTTTTTTTTTTTTTTGGTGGAAACTCTCTCTGTCGCCCAGGCTGGAGTGCAGTGTTGCAGTCTTGGCTCACTGCAACCTCCGCCTCCTGGGTTCAAGTGATTCTCCTGCCTCAGCTTCCCAAGTAGCTGGGACCACCGGTGCATGCCACCATGCCCAGCTACTTTCTCTGTATTTTTGTAGAGACAGGGTTTCACCATGTTATCCAGGATGGTCTCGATCTCCTGCGCTTGTGATCTGCCCACCTTGGCCTCCCAAAGTGCTGGGATTATAGGCATGAGCCACCGTGCCCGGCCATCTTAACCATTTTTAAGTGTACAGTTCACTAATATTAAAAACATTCACATTGTTTTGCAACCGTCACCACCATTGATTTCCAGAGCTCTTTTCATCTTGCAAAACTGAAACTCTCTACCAGTTAAACGATAATTCCCCTTTTTTCTTCCCCTATCCCTGGCAACCACTATTCTACTTTCTGTCTCTCTGATTTTGACTATTCTAGGTACCTCATATAAGTGGGATCAAGTGGTATTTGTCTTTCTGTAATTAGCTTATTTCAGTTAGCATGTATCAGAATTTCCTTCACTTTTAAGGCTTGAATGACACCCTGTTGTATGTATATATCATATTTTGCTTACCCATTTATCTATCTATGGATACTTGGCTAGCTTTCATGTTTTAGATATTGTAAATAAGGTTGTTATGAACATGGGTGTACAAATATCTCTTTGATCCTTCTTTCAATTCTCCTGGGTATATATCCAGAAGTGGAATTGCTGGACTATGTGGTAATTCTATTTTTAATTTTTTGAGGAAGTGCCATACTGCTTTTCACAGTGACTGCAACATTTTATGTTACTAACAATAGTGCACAAGGGTTTCAGTTTCTTCACATCCTCACCCACCAATACTTGTTCTGTTCTGTTTTTTTTTTTTTTTTGATAGTAGCCATCTTATGGGTGTGAGACACTAGACAATTGATTATCTTCTAAACTTTTTCCATACTGTAGCCAGAATTATCTTCAGTAAACATATCATGATCACGTAACCTTCAGTTGCATGTTTAAATCCTTCAGTGGCTTCTCATTAACTTCAGGATAGTCTGACCTCCTTTAACATGTTTTATAAAAACTCATTCATGATTTCTTCCCTGGCTAACTTTTCTAGCCTTACTTCTCAACTGCTCCCTTTTCCACCTCTTCCCCCTATAGCTCATCCTCCACTTCCTATATACACATATACACTCTATGCATCAGTCACTCTGAAATTTGTTCAGGTCTGTGAAAATGCTATACTTCCCCTCATCCCCAACACTATTCCTTCTGACAGATGCGCTTTCTCCCTCATCACCTGGCCAACTCCTGCTTATCCTTGAGGTCTCAAGATAGCATTTTCTCCAGGAAAATTCCTTAATAAATTCCCTCCACCAAGCTTCATTAGTACCCTTACTGTGTGTTCCCAGAGCACTCAACCTTTGCCCTAACAAAGTACTCTGTGTCAATCACACTCTGTAACTGTCTGCTTACTTATCACCTTTCCTCTAATTCCATGCTGGCCTATGTGGCTCTTGGACACTAAACTGTAACTAGTATGACTGAGGAACTGAATTCTTAATTTCAATTGCTACAAATTGTAAATTAACACTGATATCTGAATCAGTTACAGTAAAAATTTAAAGATGTTTGGAACAACTTGGGTATGTGAGTCTACTTTTTCAACTGTAAGTTGATGAGATCTAAATACAGATGAGAATTAAGCATCTGAATTGAGATGTGCTGTAAGTATAAAATACATTGAATTTTGAAGACTTAGTACAAAATAAGGAATATAACTTTTTAGATAGGTTACCTGTAGAAATAATATTTTTGATATAGCAGTTTACATAAACTATTTAAATCAATCTTATTTATAATTCAGTCACTTTTTAGTATAGCCACTAGAAATTTTTAATTACATATGTGGCTTACCTTATATTTCTATTAAACAGCACTGACCTAGACTATAAATTCTGTGGAGACAGGAATCACAACTGTCTTCTTTACTTATTTTTAAAATTTTTATAGCATTCACCATGCGTTGGGTGTTAATCTATGCATTAACTAGGAATTGCAAGCATTAACTATTTTGATCCTTTTAACAACCTTTTGAGCTAAGTAGTATCATTATCCACATTATACATATGAAGAAATTTACACAAAAGGATTCACTTAACTAGATCAAGGTCACAGAGTTGACCCTATGGAGTTAGACTGTAGAGGGGATACAGAAATTATACTCCCAATAACTTTGTTATACTGTTTCTTGTTGGTTCTCTTATTACAGGTGTCCAGAGAAAGAATTACTACCCAACTTTTTAAATTAACAACCATCATGATTCAATTACTCTTTTAAAATTAATCAATCTGTTCATTCCATAAGTATTAATTGAACTCTTAGTGCCAGGTACTGTGCTGGGTAATAAGGACTCTAAGTTGAGTGAAACAAATGCTTTATTTATAAAGAAACTCTTTCTGATGGTGGTGACAATCATATAATGAAATAATAATAACAAAATATTATACAACACAAATATACATGAAGAATCACCCATATCAGCCTGGAGAAGAGGAACAGGAGGGAAAAAGTGAGAGAACATCTTGAACAATGAGTAGGAGTAAACTAAAAGTCGGTGAGTGGGAGGGGAGAGGTAGTTGAAGCAGGCGAGAAGGTGAGCAGAGCTAAGAAATAGCCTGGTGTTGGCCAGGCACGGTGGCTCACACCTGTAATCCCAGCACTTTGGGAGGCCGAGGTGGGCAGATCACAAGGTCAGGAGATCGAGACCATCCTGGCTAACACGGTGAAACCCCATCTCTACTAAAAATATGAAAAATTAGCCGGGCATGGTGGCGGGCACCTGTAGTCCCAGCTACTCGGGAGGCTGAGGTAAGAGAGTGGCGTGCACCGGGCAGGCGGAGCTTGCAGTGAGCAGAGATCACGCCACTGCACTCCAGCCTGGGTGATAGAGCAAGACTCCGTCTGAAAAAAAAAAAAAGAGCCTGGTGTCGGTCATGGAAGTGGCTTAAGGCAGTACATAACAAGTTCATATTTACCTACATAAAAGATCACCCTGGGTGAAGTTGGAAAAGAGATTGGTGGAAAGTAATTATCACTTAAACCAGAGAAACAATTAAAAGCCTATTGCTCTAGCTCTGAACACAGATGACAGTAGTTTACATTAAAATGGGGGCAGTGGTGAAGGAATAGACATATTTTCAAGATATTTAAAGGATAAGACCCAACTTGATATTTGGTTGGCAGAAAGGTGGGGGCGGGGATTTGTTGCAGATATTTCAAGTTATTTAGTCAATATGTATTTTCACTTTTTTCCTGCTAAAGGAACTCTGGCTTTCTGAGGAGCCAATGTGTTCATCTTGAATAAATGGATCTTGTTTGGAATAGTTCAATTATAACAATCCTGTTCCCTGTTTTCTCAGTCTCCCTTATAGCTGGGGTAGTGATCCGGCCTATTCTGCACAGTGAACTGTAAAGAGAAGTCTACTAGGAGGCTCTTCAGGAAAAGCTGTTTCCTTGTAAAAGAGACTCACAAGACTGCTTCTTTCTACTTCTTTTTTTTTTTTTTTTTTTTTTTTTTTTTTTTTTGAGACGGAGTCTCGCTCTGCCGCCCAGGCTGGAGTGCAGTGGCGCGATCTCGGCTCACTGCAAGCTCCGCCTCCCGGGTTCACGCCATTCTCCTGCCTCAGCCTCCCGAGTAGCTGGGACTACAGGCGCCCGCTACCACGCCCGGCTAATTTTTTGTATTTTTAGTAGAGACGGGGTTTCACCGTGTTAGCCAGGATGGTCTCGATCTCCTGACCTCGTGATCCGCCCGCCTCGGCCTCCCAAAGTGCTGGGATTACAGGCGTGAGCCACCGCGCCCGGCCTTCTTTCTACTTCTGTTTCTTTTGAACATGAAGGAGATGCAGTTCTTTCTCAATTCCATCAGGGAATACCACACGAATTGTAGAAATATTGCTGGACATTTTTAGGTTATTGAATCAACACCACAGCAATCTGCCTTGAACCTACTTATGTGAGAAAAAGAAAACAACAACATTTAAGCTACTGTAAATTGAGTTGTCCATAACTTGTAACTGCACATAACTATTTGATATTGGGTTAAATGAGTAGTCAAGGGTTTTCTCTGGTTTCTGATTTAAGCAATTAGGTAAGTGGTACAGGGAAGTCTGGGAGTAGAGCAAGGTTAATGAGAAATTTGTTGGGCTAAAGACTGTTTATGCTAAGTTTGATGGTTGTGTGCACATCCAGGTGACAAGTGGACCATTTGATATACATGTTCAAATTTTGAAAGAGAGCTCTGCCCTTGAGACACAGATTTGGGACACATGAGCATAGTAGCATCAATTCATCTAGAAAGAGAAAGATACATAAAAGAAAAATATATTGCATATAAAATCATACCTTTCAAGTACAAATATGACATGCAATTACCAGCCTCACCTCAAGATATGTAGAGCTGGGATGTTATCTGGCTGCCTAGTTTGAAGATAGGATACAACATCACTTGAATATAGACTAGAAGCATGTAAGAAAATAATGAAATCCAGTAGCAATATGTAGGTTTGGGTTCCTTAAAAGTAGACCCTGAGACAAAAATTCAAGTTATTTGTGAAGTTATCCCAGCACACATAGGTAGGAGAGTGGAGAGAAGTGATTTAGGAAAATTAAGGAAGTTAACAAAGGATGTGTTATCAGGCAATTACTTCTGTGGGTAACTGGAGCTTTTACTGCTGGAGAAATCACAGAGCCATTATGCAACATATGCCTCAGAGTTATTCCACCTGGGTATGAGAGACCTGGCCTGTGTATAGGCCAATTTCTGTTGATTAGTACTAAAGGCTGCTCCTACGTGCACAGGCAGAACAGGCTCTACAATGAGATGCAGGTGCTGGCAGTTGAAAGTCTGTCTAGCATACACTGTAATGGTAAGGTCCAAGGATTATGGGTGAGGATTATTGTCAGCATCTGAGATGGAGCATAATCAAAGCCAGGAAAGCCATAGGATAACAATGGGGCCATTAGAAAAGGATAAGAAGAGTTAAAACAAAAAAGGAGACAGAGTCTAAGGGAATTTTCTGAGTTAAACAAGGTGTTTACAGTGACTCAGATTATTCCAGCCATCTTGGGTATCAGCAAGAAGAGACCTAAGGAACACTATGCTATAAAACTGCAACTTTGGTGGCATTTGAAAAGTAATTCCTGCTTTTACTACTAACTCTTAATTCTCAGCAGACTAAAAATACATTTTCCCATCTTAAAAAAGAACAGTCCTTGAGAGAAAATGAAACAAAGCAACCAAAACCTCTGTCCACTCCTAAAATATTTCACTCCATCTTGTTTTTCTTCTTGTAGTTGTTTTGTAATTTTAAAAAATTTAACTTTCATTTTAAGTTCAGGTGTACATGAGCAGGTTTGTTTCATAGGTAAAACTGTGTCATGGGGATTTGTTGTACAGATTATTTCATTACCCAGGTATTAAGCCTAGTATCCATTAGTTATTTTTCCTGATCCCTCTCCCCTCACTTCTCCCACCCTCCAACCTCCACCCTCCAATAGGCCCCAGTGTGTGTTGTTCCCTTCTTTGTGTCCATGTGTTCTCATCATTTAGCTCCCACTTATAAGTGAGAACATATGGTATTTGGTTTTCTGTTTCTATGTTAGTTTGCTAAGGATAATGGCCTCCAGCTTCATCAATGTTCCTACGAAGGGCATGATCTTTTTCTTTTTCATGGCTGCATAGTATTCCATGGCCTATGTATTAGCCTGTTTTCACACTGCTATAAAGAAATGTCCGAAACTGCATAATTTATGAAGAAAAGAGGTTTAATTGACTTACAGTTCCGCATGGCTGGGGAGGCCTCAGGAAACTTACAATCATGTGAAATGGGAAGAAGGCACATCCTACATTGCAGCAGGCAAGAGAAGTGAAGTGCAAGCAAAGGAAAAACTGCCACTTTTAAAACCATCAGATCTCATAAGACTCACTCACTATAATGAGAACAGCATGGGGGAAAACGGCCCCCATAATCCAATCACCTGTCATCATTTTTCTCCCTTGATACATGGGGATTATAATTCAAGATGAGATTTGGGTGGGGACACAGAGCCAAACCATATAATTCTGCCACTGGCCTCTCCAAAATGTCATGTCTTCACATTTCAAAACACAATCATGACTTCCCAACAGTCCCCCAAAGTCTTAACTCATTCCAGCATTAACTCAAAAGTCCAAGTCCAAAGTCTCATCCAAGACAAGTCCCTTCCACCTATGAGCCTTAAAATCAAAATCAAGTTGGTTACTTTCAAGATACAATGAGGGTACAGGCATTGGGTAAATGTTCCCATTTCAAATGGGAGAAATTCGCCAAAATGAAGGGGCCACAGGCCCCGTGCAAGTCAGAAACCCAGCCAGGCAGTCATTAAATCTTAAAACTCCAAAGTAATCTCCTTTGACTCCACGTCTCACCCAGGGTACTTTGATACAAAGGTTGTACTCTCAATGCCTTGGGTAGCTCCCTCATGGGCTGGCGTTGAGTGTCTGCAGCTTTTCCAGGTGCAAGGTGCAAGCTGTCGGTAGATCTACATTTCTGGAGACTGGAGGATGGTGGCCCTCACCTCACAGCTCCACTAGGCAGTACCCCAGTGGGAATTCTGTGAGGGAGCTCCAACCCCACATTTCCCTTCCATACTGCCCTAGCAGAGGTTTTCCATGAGGGCTCCACCCCTGCAGCAGACTTAGGCCTGGACATCCAGGCATTTCCATACGTCCGCCGAAATCTAGGTAGAGGTTTCCAAGCTCAATTCTTGTCTTCTGTGCAACTAACTGCAGGCCCAACACCACGTGGAAGCTGCCAAGGCTTGCAGCTTGAACCCTCTGAAGCAATGGCCCAAGCTGTACCTTGACCCCTGTTAGCCACAGCCAGAGCTAGAACAGCTGGGATGCAGGGCACCAAGTCTTGAGACTGCACAGAGTTGTGGGGTCCTGGACCCAGCCCACAAAACCATTTTTCCCTCCTAGGCCTGGCCTGTGATGGGAGGGGCTGCTGCAAAGATCTCTGACATGCCCTGGAGACATTTTCCCCATTGTCTTGGCTATTATAATAACATTTGGCTCCTTGTTACTTATGCAAATTTCATATCCAGCTTGAATTCCTCCCCAGGAAATGAGTTTTTTCTTTCTACTACATAGTCAGGCTGCAAATTTTCCAAACCTTTATGCTCTGCTTTCATTTTATACGTAAGTTTCAATTTCAAACCATTTATTTGTGAAGGCATAAAACTGAAAGCTTTCAGAATCAACCAGGTCACCTCTTGAATGTTTTGCTATTTAGAAATTTCTTCCACCAGATACTGTTGCAGGAAGTCAGGAACCCCAAATGGAGGGACTGGCTGAAGCTGCAGCAAAAGAACATAAATTGTGAAGATTTCATGGACATTTATTAGTTCCCAAAATTAATACTTTTATAATTTCTTACGCCTGTCTTACTTTAATCTCTTAATCCCATCATCTTCATAAGCTGAGGATGTATGTTGCCTCAGAACCCTGTGCTTACTGTCTTCTTCTGAGCCCTCCAAACTATTCCAACTTTTGCCTGTTACCCAGCTCCAAAGTTGCTTCCACATTTTTGGGTATCTTTATAGCAGTATCCCACTCTGCTCGTACCAATTCTCTGTATTAGTCCATTTTCACACAGCTATAAAGAAATGCCTGAGACTGGGTAATTTAAAAGAAAAGAGGCTTAATTGATCACAGTATTGCATGGCTGGGAAGGCCTCGGAAACTTACAATCATGGTGGAAGGGGACACAGGGACATCTTACATGCTGACATGCAAGAAAACTGAAGTGTAAACACAGGAAAAACTGCTACTTTTAAAACCATCAGATCTCATGAGACTCACTCACTATCATGAGAACAGCATGGGGGAAACAGCCCCCATAATGCAATCACCTCCCATCAGGTTCCTACCATCACACATGGAGATTACAATTCTAGATGAGATTTGGGTGGAGACACAGAGCCAAACCATATCAGTGTATATGCACCACATTTTCTTTATTTATCAATGATGGGCATAAAGGTTGATTCCATGTCTTTGAGGAATCACCATACTGTCTTCCACAATGGCTGAACTAATTTACACTCCCACCAAGAGTGCATAAGTGTTCATATCTCTCTACAACCTCGCCAGCATCTGTTATTTTTTGACTTTTTAGTAGCAGCTATTCTGACTGGTGCGAGATGGTATCTCGTTGTGGTTTTGATTTGTATTTCCCTAATGAGAGTGTTGTTGTGCTTTTTTTCATATGCTTGTTGGCCACATGTATGTCTTCTTTTGAAAAGTGTTCATGTCCTTGCCCACTTTTTAATGGGATTGTCTTTGAAACTAATGAGAACAAAGATAAAACATACCAGAATCTCTGGGACACAGCTAAGGCAATGTTAAGTGGGATATTTATAGCACTAAATGCCCACATCAAAAAGTTAGAAAGATCTCAATTTAACAACCTAACATCACAATTAAAAGAACTAGAGAAACAAGAGTAAACCAATCCCAAAGCTAGCAGAAGACAGGAAATAACCAAAATCAGAGCGAACTCAGAGGAGATTGAGACATGAAAAACCATTAAAAAGATCAATGAATCCAGGACCTGTTTTTCTGAAAAAATTAATAAAATATATAGACTGCTAGCTAGACTAATAAAGAAGAAAAGAGAGAAGATCCAAATAAATACAATCAGAAACAAGAAGGGTGGTATTAATACTCACCACACAGTAATACAAATAACCATCAGATAATATTATGAACTCTTATATGCACATAAACTAGAAAATCTAGAAGAAATAAATACATTCCTGGACACGTACACCTTCCCAAGACCAAACCAGGAAAAAAATTGCTCCATCTATTTTAGTGGAAGGAACATTCTCAATACAATTCTTTTGAGATTTTGGAAGATAAAATGAAAGTACTCCTATTTTTGTGATAATTTGTTAGTGACTGACTTATCTTAGGTTCAATGCCAATACATTGATGAGCTAGAATCTTTTATATGACATTTCTATGCCAGAAAATGCTGTTAAATTCCTGAAAGGGCTAGTATATTGTGATGTGAATTATATGGAACTGAAGGAGGGCCACATCTGTAATCAGAGATGAAAATATGTTGCTGACAGTCTGATTTTCGCAGTTTGCTTATGGAGTTTGTTTTTAATAACTGGATAACCTATATGCAGTCATACTTCTCATTGAGTTTGAAATTTTGCCATGTGGGAATCCAAAAGAGGCTTATGCTAAAGGATGGCTGATGTGCCCTGATGATTTAGAATACATCAGACTCAAATGACCCAGTATTTGATAAGCTGTCTGTCCCCAAGGTCAGGCTTTCCTGCTGACATTTCAGAGGCTTCCTATGAATGCAGATAAACCTGACCATTACAAAAGAACTGAAAGTTGGTTGATCCATGAATACTTTATTTGAAGGAGAATATATTATGTTATATCTGGCTACAAAAGCCCAAGAAATTTAATTGACTATTCTGAAACATCTCACACATTTCTTGTGATTGCTTATATGGTAGGGTAATGTTTGAAACACCATTGTAGGACAGCATGGTGGTGGTCCTGGCTTTGATCTAATGCCTGATGTGTGTAGAACACATTGTAAACACCTAAGAGAAAGACTTCTTTTTTCAGGGGGAAATCTTAGTTCCTTGTAGCACAACACCCTGCATGCTGAGTACACACAACATTTTTTTAGAGAAAGAAAATACAAAATCTCTTAGTGCATTCTCTGTGAATAACTTTCCCCAAATGGTGATGAGAACATAGCAAAATCATGCACAAGTTAAGTAACTGTGATAAACAGCTTCTAAAAAGTTGTGATTCGAGTAAGAACATTAGAATATGCATTGTTTTCAAGCAGAAATTTTCAAAATTGAATGAATTATTGAGGCATATCTATTGTAAATCTCTCAGTTTCCTGCTTTAATAAAAAAGCCTAAACCAAAATGCAATAAAACAAATGTAAATAAAAACATCAGATGGCTAGCTTAGGCAGAGTCAGGAAATACAAGGCTTAAGTTCAGCACCTTAGTTGTCCTGTTTTGACACCTCCAAATGTGTCCTTAAGGGAATGAGAAGTTTGTTTTGAAAATATCTGCCATACGGCCTATCTGTTCCTCCTCCTGCTCTCCCAAACGATGCTGATTCAAGTCTTCTTTTAAAACAAAGCTAATATTCAAATTTTTAACTACTCACTTGGGATTAAGGACTAATTTACATTCCAGTTCAAACAGAAGGAGAAGACTTGGCTGGAGGTGGGGGTAGTGGGTGGATTGTGGTGGTTGGGAGGGGTGTTCCATAGTCGTTCATGCCTGTAATCTCAGTATTTTGGGAGGCCAAGGTGGGAAGACTACTTGAGGCCAGGAGTTTGAGACCAGCCTGGGCAATATAGGGAAACCACGTCTCTACAAAAAATTAAAAAATTAACCGGGCATGGTGGTGCTCACCTGTGGTCCCAGCTACTGGGAGGCTGAGGTGGGAGGATCACTTGAGCCCAGGAGTTCAAGCCTGCAGTGAGCTATGATTATGCCACTGCAGTCTAGCCTGGGCAACAGAGATCTTACCTCTAAAAACAAAACAAAAAACAGAAAGGTATAATTAATAAAGACAAAATAAAGGGGCAAGAAAAACGTTTTGCAATTCATTTTGAACATAAATTCTGGCTATAAGTATTGTATTTGGAGAGGAGAAAAAAGAGGATGCATCACTGCAGTGCTTTAGTCTGTCCTTTTCTACCCAGGTACAAATTTAATTCCAGGACCTTTCCTAACCTAGAACTTACTTTCCACATTCTATCAGAGTCCAACTCTCACTTTCTTTCAATCTCCTCTTATGTAATCTAGGTATATTCCTATACTACACCTCCAGGCAACATGTTTGCATTATAATAAGGGCCTTCTGGAAATAATGCATTTTACCAAAGGAGTCATTCAAATGGTGGGAATTTGGAGTAGTATAACAGGCCATAGAAAGATACATTTGGGAAAGTAGGTCTTTTCAAATCTTGTACATGTTCCATCCAGACCCGCACCAGTGTTCTTAGAATAGGACTTCCTAAGATATATGTTGCAAAATACTAGTACTTGGAATTGCTGTATAGGAGAATGAATTTGCATGATCAAGTAAAACACCTGGTACCATGTGTCCCCTTGGAGGGTCACAAGGACAAAGTAAAGGTCCTAAGAAATCCTGTAGTAAATGTTAGGGTTAGGGAATTTACTTCACTTCAAACTATCAAGATAGTCTGTCACCTTTTCATGGATGCTGGCAGAAGACATGAGATTCCTGGGTCAGAAATAAAGAACATGACGATGGCACAGCATGTAGCATGAGCATCATGCGAACCTTGATTCTCCTTGCCTTCTAAGACCCACAAGGAGATGCAGAGGGGACCCACTGGATGCTGTCCATGCAATGGGTTTATGTTGCAGTCAGAGAATTCACCTTTAAGCTTGGGGAATCCAACTCTTTTTTTTAGCAAGCCCATTTTTATCCCAGAGAGAGACTTTACCTCATTATTCACGGTAATGGTTACCCACTGCCAATACAACCATGATAAATGTGCTAGGAAAAGAGTGATCAGGGTCTTACAATGGTGCCTTGGCTGGCAACAATATACAGGGTTGCTCTGGGACGATAGGAGATTACTTCTCCTAACAGTAACAAAATGTACTCACTGTTATTTAATCTAGAAATTCCCAATATGTTTGACTAGACAACAACATTCAGTGGAACATATTTTGAGAAAGTCGATTTCCATTTGTTCTCAATTTTGGACTTCACATAATGGAAGTGGGTCAGGGCTTTTGACTTTAGGTTCCTCCATGTTTTTTTTTTTAATTTTTAAAAATGTTATTAATATAAGGGAGAGTTTTTCAAACATGGGACCAGACAGGCAATTTTTTCCAGGATTTACACTTCCTCCCAGTTTGTCTTTGAACCAAATATAGATCTCATATATGCTTTTCGTTTTCCAGTCAATGCATAAGATAATCACTTACAAGACCAAATAAAAATGATTGCAGAATTTTCTGTGATTAATTATAATTCTAGTTTTATCATTTAGGCTTCTATTGAGTGGAATCCCCGCTGGAATTTTAAATAACACCCCTGTTACTGAAGCTCTGTTTCATTCTGCCCGGCCTTTATCTTTCTCCTAATATGAAGAATCTCCAAAAATATAACTCCTTTAACCAATTCCAGAGATCATTCCTTTAGAGTAAAGAAGAGAATTATAGCTTAGTTATATGATTTCATTCATCCCTTGGCCACCTTTTTCATCTTTCTCCTGAACCTTGATCATACCTCTCTACCCTTTCATCCTGACCTCTTCTGATTGTGGAGAATTCTTCTGGAAGTCATTCTTTGTGTTTCCACCTCTCTCTCTTTTCCCTCCATTTTTGGGGGCCTGGGTGCTATTTTAATTAAATTACCATGTAGACTTTCATTTTCTCATCTGTTGAATTCACTCCAGCAATGTGCAATTGATGGCTGCTCTTCTCTTGTTCCTTTTCTCAAACTTTATCTTTTTTTAACCGGTTCATAATATTTGTACATATTTGTGGGGTGCATGTGATATTTTGATACATGCATACAACGTATAATGACTAAATCAGGGTAATCGAGATATCCATCACCTGTAACATTTATCTTTTCTGTATGTTGGGAACATTCCAGTTCTTTTCCTTTAATTATTTTAAATGATATGATAAATTACGGCTCAAACTTTATCTTGATCATTTACAGCCTAATTGTCACTCGTATCTTCATCATTGTTAGAATGTCTCTAAATAGCAGACTTTTCAACCTCCTTTTAAAATTGTAATCCCATGACCTTCTTTTTGTTGTTAAGTCTTGCATTATTTTGTAAAGATGAAAAGGCATGAGTTGATCTTTCAAATCTTGTACTTATACACCCAGTAAAACATAGCATTAGATTTTCCTTTTGGCTTTAATTAACTAAGATATATATCTTCTATCAAAAATTTAAATTTTTGTATATAAAGATACTTACTTTTACCTTTATTTTTATTTTGTATTATAAATGATTGTTCTCAGTTCTCTCTGTAACAATATTTCACATATTCAATAGAACTGTGTTTAATTGCAGTTCCAACATGATATTTCCTTGAAATTAAGGGTGGTAAACATCTGTTTGCTTATCTTATAACTCTAAAAGTGGAAGCTGAATCAAATGTGCATGATAAATCATTAGCCATGAATCAGTCTTACATATGGTAAGACTGTTGTTTTCCCCTAGATCATTGCAGGGTATTGGAATTTTTCAAAATGACTACATACCTATATTGCAGTCATTTAACCTGATTCTTCTTTGACATTTCCTCATTAGGAAATTGGGCCACATCTAAACGCATAGCTGGTTTGGCTTTAGAAACCACACATTTCTACACAAATGATCAAGCTGGCCATACAGCCAAGCAAACACATTTCTTTCAGTATAGGAGGTGCCCCAGTGACTTGAGGGAATCAGAGTTTCTCTGAATATCTCATCAAATAACAGAAAGATAAGAGACCCTTGGAACTATCCAGGTGGAGACATTTTTTTAATAAGATTGGTAGCTCTGGCCTCATGCCACATATTCAGTTAGTTTTCAGGAAATTTATTATTTGGAAGCAGCTAAAACCTACAGGGCCTCAGTAAATTTCTGCTTTTATATTTTTATGGGAAAGTTTATTTTTAGGTCTGATTTTTCTGCCCTACCACCACCCTCCAAAAAAGCATTCTTGTTCTAGAAATAGGAAACTAAAGTAATCAGAGGGAGGGAAGACTTTCCAGGTGAAGATAAAATTGTCCCCCACCCCTCACAAACTAGAATGATTTAGTACCAAGAAAGATGAAAAAAATGAGTCCATGAAATCACTAGGACAGAGCTAGGATGAATAATTCCGCTGACTACTTTGTGCTACTCCAGGTGCACAGATCAGAGACAAAAATACCTGCCCTCATGGAGTATATACTTTAGTGGAGGGAGACAGACAATAAACTATGAAAGTGTATTGATATGGTTTGGCTCTATGTCCCCACCCAAATCTCATCTTGAATTGTACTCCCATAATTCCCATGTGTTGTAGGAGGGACCTGGTGGGAGATAATTTGAATCATGGGGGTAGTTTCTCACTTACTGTTCTCATGGTAGTGAATAAGTCTCATGAGATCTGATGGTTTATCAGGGGTTTCTGCTTTTGCATCTTCCTGATTTTCTCTTGCTGCTGTCATGTAAGAAGTGCCCTTTACCTCCCACCATGATTCTGAGGCCTCCCCAGCCATGTGGAACTGTAAGTCCAATTAAACCTCTTTTTCTTCCCAGTCTTGGGTATCTCTTTATTAGTAGCATGAAAATGAACTGACACAGTAAATTTGTACCAGTAAAGTGGGGCATTGCTGAAAGATACGCAAAAATGTGGAAGCAACTTTGGAATTGGGTAACAGCAGAGGTTGGAACAATTTGGAGGGCTCAGAAGAAGACAGGAAAATGTGGGAAGTTTAGAACCTCCTAGAGACTTGTTGAATGGTTTTGACAAAAGTGCTGATAGTGATATGAGCAATAAGGTCCATGCTGAAGTGCTCTCAGATGGAGATGAGGAACTTTTTGGGAACTGGAGCAAAGGTGACTCTTATTATGTTTTAGCAAAGAGACTGGTGGCATTTTGCCCCTGACCTAGAGATTTGTGGAACTTTGAATTTGAGAGAGATGATTTAAGGTATCTGGCGGAAGAAATTTCTAAGCAGCAAAGCATTCAAAAGGTGACTTGGGTACTGTTAAAACATTACATTTAAAAAAGGAAACAGCATAAAAGTTCAAAAAATTTGCAGGCTGATGATGCAGTACAAAAGAAAAACCCATTTTTTTGAGGAAAAATTCAAGTTGTCTGCAGCAATTTGCGTAAGTAACAAGGAGGCGAATGTTAATCCCCAACACATTGGGGAAAATGTCCCCAAGGTATGTCAGAGGTCTTCACGGCAGACCCACCCATCACAGACCTGGAAGCCTAGAAGGAAAAAATAATTTTGTGGGCCGGGCCCAGGGTCCCCATGCTGTGTGCAGCCTTGGAACTTGGTGCCCTGCATCCCAGCTGCTCCAGCTGTTGCTAAAAGGGGCCAAGGTACAGCTTGGCCCATGGTTTCAGAGGATGCAAGCCCCAGATTTTGGCAGCTTCCATGTGGTGTTGAGCCTGCGGGTGCACAGAAGTTAATAACTGAGGTTTGGGAACCTCCACCTAGATTTCAGAATATGTATGGAAATGCCTGGATGACCAGGCAGAGGGGGTGGGGCCCTCATGGAGAACCTCTGCTAGGGCAGTGCAAAAAGGAAATATGGAGTCAGAACCCCCACACAGAGTCCCTACTGGGGCACTGCCTAGTGGAGCTGTGAGAAGAGGGCCGCCATCCTCCAGACCCCAGAATGGTAGATCCACCAACACTTGGCACCATGTGCCTGGAAAAGCCACAGACACACTCAATGTCAGCCCATGAGAGCAGCCAGTAGGGAGGCTGTACCCTGCAAAGCCACAGGGGCAGAGCTGCCCAAGACTATGGGAAACTACCTCTTGCATCGCCGTGAACTGGATATGAGACATGGAGTCAAAGGAAATCATTTTGGAACTTTAGTATTTGACTGCCCCGCTGGACTTCAGACTTGCATGGGCCTGTAACCCCTTTGTTTTGACCAATTTCTCCCATTTGGAATGGCTGTATTTACCCAATACCTGTACCCCCATTGTATCTAGGAAGTAACTAGTTTGCTTTTGATTTTACAGGCTCATAGACGGAAGGGACTTGCTTTGTCTCAGATGAGACTTTGGACTGTAGACTTTTGGGTTAATGCTGAAATGAGTTAAGACTTTGGGGACCATTGGGAAGGCATGATTGGTGTTGAAATGTGAGGACATGAGATTTGGAGGGGTCAGGGGTGGAATGATATGTTTTGGCTCTGTGTCCCCAATCAAATCTCACCTTGAATTGTATTCCCATAATTCCCATGTGTTGTGGGAGGGGAAGGACCTGGTGGGAGATAATTTGAATCCTGGGGGCAGTTTCCCCCATACTGTTCTCGTGGTAGTGAATAAGTCTCACAAAATCTGATGGTTTATCAGGGGTTTCCACTTTTGCATCTTCCTCATTTTCTCTTGCTGCTGCCAGGTAAGAAGTGCCTTTCACCACCCCTGCCATGATTCTGAGGCCTCCCCAGCCATGCAGAACTGTAAGTCTAATTAAACCTCTTTTTCTCCCCAGTCTCCAGTATGTCTTTATCAACAGAATGAAAATGGACTGATACATGTATTAGGTGTAATAAGAGCTAAGGAGAAAAATAAAGCAGGGAGAGGGATAGGAACATTGGCGGTGGGTAGGGGGAATGGATTCGATGGTCAGAAAATACTCTACGCTGAATGTTGCATTTGAATAAAAATTTGAAGCAGGTAAGGGAGAGAGCCACACAGAAATCTGGGGGAAGTGCATTTTAGGTGCAAAGGCCTTGAGGCAGGATCATGTCTGGCAGTTACAGAAGAAACAAAAAGGCCAAGCTAGAGGAAGCAAGTTAGAAGAACAAGCAAGGAGGCTGAAGCAAAGAAATAAAGGAGAGTCTCAGCTGACAAAGTCAGAAAGGTAACGTGAGGGAGGCAGATGATATAAGGCTGATATGGTTTGGCTGTGTCCCCACCCAAATCTCATCTTGAATTATAGCTCCCATAATTCCCACACGTCATTAGAGGGACCCTGTGGGAGGTAGTTGAATCATGGGGGCAGGTCTTTCCCATGCTGTTCTAGTGATAGTGCATAAGTCTCAAGAGATCTGATGGTTTTATAAGGGAGAGTTCCCTTACACAAGCTCCCTTGCCTGTTGCCATATTGGATATGCCTTTACTCCTCCTTCACCTTCCACCATGATTGTGAGGCCTCCCCAGCCATGTGGAACTGTGAGTCCGTTAAACCTCTTTTTCTTTATAAATTACCCAGTCTCCGGTATGTCTTTATTAGCAGCGTGAGAACGGACTGATATAAAGGCCTTATAGGACATTATAAGAATGTTGTGTAAGAACATCGTCCCTGCCTTCACAGAGTTTATAATAGAGGAGAAAATAAACAATAATGATAAAATGAGATGCCTATTAAAATTAGGAAAGTACATGATGCTATGGAGTCGTAGAGTGGTGGGTCCTAATGTGCTCTAGTGAACTCTTTCTATTAAGAAATAATGTTCTCATTGAGATCTACAATGTGAACCAGAATTAGATAGATGGAGGTGTGGTGGCTATGCCTATAGAAGAGGAGTAAATTGCAGCTGCTGCTGGAGCACAAGCAGGATCAGGAAAAATAAACAATCCTGATGTGAACATACTAGGAACTGGAAAGAAATCTTATGACCGAAGTTAAACAACAAGTGGGGTAGTTGTTGTTGCAAGATGAAGCTAGAAAACTGGGAGACAGCTAGATTCTAAAAAAGGCTTGTAGACTACAAGAGTGTGGATTTTACTTGAAAGCACTAGGGAGCCATAGAAGATTGTAAATGGGTGGGGGGGTGCATTACATGATCAGGTCTATCTTTCTGAAAGATCACTCTAGATGAAGAGAGCAGATTGAGAGGAGCAAGCTGTGTGAAAGGGGAAACAGTTAACCTACTCGTGCAATACTGCAGGGAGGAGGTAATGGTGCTGTTGAACTTTACTGGTAGCAGTGGGAATGGACAGAGACAGACATGGACACAACTGAGACATTTAGGGATTAGAACAGATAGGACTGGGAGATTGATTGGGATGTGGAGTTTCTGGTACGGAAGGTTAAAATAGAAAGAAGGATCAAAGACGTCATTCAAATTTCTGACTTCGACCACTTGATGGATGGCTACAAATAGGGAACAAAGGAGAAAGTACAAGATTAGAGATGGAATTTGGCTTTCAGAAAATGCCACTGATGTACCTCAGAACAGCAATGACTGTATTTGTTTTCCGTAATTCCTTCTCCTAACTGAAAATTTAAAGATAATTGAATCAAATTGTTCCTTGGGTGACTTAGTTTTATATCTATACTTAACACAGGAATATCATTTCAAGGTGGCATTTCCTACAGATCTTCCCATAAGTCTGTGTATGTTCCTTAGACAGTGGTTTCAGAAATCACCAAATGATACAGGTAGAAAACATAGCTAAGCACGTGGCGCCATCTTCAGGACAGTTTGTTAAAAGCTTATAAACCAACCAGACTGAAAGGCAAGTTTCTCACAACAGAACACTGACTGACTCCATCTTGTTTGGTAATAAGGAGCTGAAAAAAATGTTTCTGCCAGCTCCAATTGTGTGACCAAACTCTTTGTCTTCATGAGAACTGTAGTTTATCACAGGATATAGAAAAGATGGTAGCAGATTTTTCTTCAAAATCCTTCCAGTTTGAAAGTGTCTGTGAGCTGGAAAATGAGCTTTTGCTGTGGAGGAGACAAGAAACTATGGCACCATCCCTTCAGGTTTTTTGCCTTGGTATTCAGATTCTCTGGTGATTTTCCCATTTTAGATATTTATGTTCTGTTCTTTACTAGGTGCTTCATTAAATATGTGGTCAAGTGGAATTTAACTTATAAGCATTCACAATGCTTTACAAATGCATGAATATAAAAAGTAGGGGGGAAAACATTTGTCAGATTTTGTACCCAAGGTTTTGGTTCAGGGAAAGCAGTCTTATAGATTTATACAGTCTCCATTTTAAAAATAAAAGGTTGTTAATAAGAAATCAATAGTAGACCCATAGCTAACCACATAAGAAAGACAAATAGAGCTTACTAGATGACTTTTATTTTTCAAATCCTCTCAGCTTGTAATTATTCTATTTGAGTAAGCTCCACCTTTTCTTTGTGCAGAGTTGGGCTATAAAGACACACACATATACATGTGTTTGTCATAATGTATCTGCCACCTTTCTGTGCTGGATGTGGTGTTTAACCTACACTGAGCATTTGGCATGGCCTCGCTGAATAACTGGGAGGTAAACTGCTTGGCTTTTACATGGAGGCAAATGCTTTCTACCATCTTGCAGCATTCACTCACAAATGGGCTTTCTTTCTAAACTTTTCTCATTAGAATGTATGCCTTGGGTTGAGGAATCTTAAATCCCAGAGTTCCTTTCAATCCTGAAAGAGGTAACATGTTAAGCTAAATTCCATTTCTGTATAAACTGAGGCCCTGGCCGCCCCATCAATGATGGGTTTGGGTTTCCTAGAGTCTGAATGGGGCTTATGACAGGTGGGCAGAAAGAGGGTATACACAGAAGGTATAGTATCTTATAGTAATTACGTGTTTACAACAGACCAGGTGCTTTACATGGGTTATTTCACGTAATCCTCATAACAACCTATGGACACTTTTTAAATGAATGAGTATTTTTAATATCTGTATTTTACAGATCAGGAAACAAAAACAGAGAATGAAATAATTTGCCCAAGGTCTTACACTCTCCTTTAAAGTAAACTTATAGAAATGAATTCTAACTCAGGCATTCACCCTCTAAACCCGACAAGCTTGATAGAAACCTCAAACTACCCTTAAATTGAAAATATCCTTATGGCACAGACCTGAAATAAACCTCCAATCAAGAATCAAGCCAATAATTCAGTAGAAGATTCAGAGAGCAAAAGATTTGGAACTGAAGGCAGAGGGCAGAACCCGGAATGATTCTCTGGAGTGCAGAAGTTCTTTTTAATGGTTCGAGAGTCTTGGAACTGCTTGGGCCACATGTGACAACACAGGTCCTTGAGACTTCAGAGGGTGAGTGTGGGAGAGACTGGCACTGCCACAGATGAGCCTGGAGGAATCCGGGAATTTACCATTGTCCTCTTCACAATTGTTTTTAGGATCAAGCCTAGAGATAAAGAGCCATGGTCTCTGAAAATAATGTTGAAAACACACTTACAACACAGCAGAAGCAGAAATAAATGACATATTTCACTCTGTTCATTCAGGCAGAGGTGGGTGCACAGAACATGGTGCTGCAATGGTCTCCTGAAGCTGAGGCCAGCTAACAGGCCCGCAGGCAAGTCAATGGGATGACCAGCAAGTGGGTGGCACCAGCAACAGGGACAAGCATACGGCTTAGAGTCTGAAACCCTGGTTCCAGGCTGAACACTGTCACTGACTATATGACTCTGGGCAATTCATTTAAATTATCTGAACTTTAATTTACTCAGCTGAAAAATGGCTGTAATAGCCACCAAATAGGATTGTTGGGGTATCAGAGAAATCACGTGTGTGAAACACTGTACGCTTTAATACTCACTGAGGGCCTTGTGTGTGCTACACATTAGGAATAGAAAATTGAGACACAGTTCTTGCTCTGAAGAAGTTTGCAATCTAATGATATACACTGTAAATGTTCATTCTCTTTATTCTTATAAGCCCCTCTTCTTTCTAATTCTCCCCCATCCCCTTAATTTGGATTTTGTCTTAAGTTTAGGTTTTCTCAAAAGCAGATCCTTAGGCAAGGACTTGCACACAAGGGGTTTATTTGGAGATGCAAATAAACAGATGAGGTGAGAAAAAGTGACATAGGAAAGGCAAAATCGCCAATATAGGGTGCACTGTTAAGTCGACTACCATGACAGGCCACTCTGGAAAATGCTGCAAAACACACAACTCAGAGATTTTTCTACTTGAGGCAGCGGGGAGCTAGAGTATTTTTACACCAACTTCCATTCATCAATAGTAGAAGGCTTCTTTTACTGGGTGTCAACTCCCAGGCACTTTTGTCCTGCCAGGTGTATGGGCAGAATGTATCTCGCAGCAGCTTCTGAAAAAGGTCTTGGTCAAAGAAATGGAGATACTGGCAGTTGGAAAGTGGCTGGTGCACACTGAGGTCAAAAGAGCCAGGGACTGGGCAGGGTGTTGACAGCATCTGCAAAGATTGGCCCATTCGTCCGCGGGTTCCTGGGTGGGCTCCCTCTTTCCCTACCACCCAAGGCAAAACCAAGAGAGAAGGATTTTTCAACAACACTGTAG
The DNA here is from genome assembly GCF_000001405.40 of Homo sapiens. Classification (NCBI taxonomy): domain Eukaryota; kingdom Metazoa; phylum Chordata; class Mammalia; order Primates; family Hominidae; genus Homo; species Homo sapiens. Next base: position 181,718,044 of record NC_000002.12, read on the forward strand.
AGGCAGGAAATAAAAAGATGTGTGGATTGGTGGTTCTTAAATGTATGCTAATGCTGTCTAGTGGCAACTTTGACTCATGAATCATTGCGCTTTTTCAGAAATGAGGCAGAACTATAGGTCAGTAGAACTATTGTTTAATGGTTCAACTTTCTGTGATAATAGAAATATTCTATATCTTCACTGTATAGTATAGTAGCCACAAGTAACTTGAGCCCATGAATGTGGTAGGTGTGACTGAGGAACTGCATTTTCACTTTTATTTAATTTCAATTAATTTAAATCACCTGTGGCTAGTGGCTACCATATTAGACAATATAGCTTTAGAGTATTTAAAACTATGTTTCATTATTCACAAGTCATCTTAATAATTTTTAAAATAAAGGATAGAGGTAAATAAGTTATATTAATGAGTGTTAAAATCAATATTAAGCTGATTTTTTTTTTTTGAGATGGAGTCTCACTCTATTGTCCAAGCTGGAGTGCAGTGGCTCAATCACAGTTCACTGCAGCCTCGACCACTTGGGCTCAAGTGATCCTTTCACCTAAGCCTCCTGAGTAGTTGAGACCACAGGTGGACATCATTACGCCTGGCTAATTTTTTTTATTATTATTTGTAGAGATGAGGTATCACTATGTTGCCCAGGCTGGTCTCAAACTCCTGGGCTCAAGTGATCCCCTGGCATTGACCTCCCAAAGCGCTGAGATTATGGGCATGAACCACCGCAACCAGTCTTAAGCTGCTTTTAACAACATTAAATGGAAATTGAGCTGAGGTCACAACCAAATATCACTATTCTAATAGAAACTTTGGGACATGGGAATAAATATGAAATCTTATCTACATTTATTATAAAATCTATGATAACAATTTTAGTAGTCAAATTTCTAAAGTTTGACATAATACTGTAGGAACAATAATATCTCAGCAGCTCTACTGCATATTGATGATTCTAAGTAAAGGATCACTTTGGATTGATTACTGTTGATGGAGGAGAAAGATATTTTGAGATACAGGATTTTTCTTTATAATCTTTTCTTCACAATCTCACTAATTATATCTCATATTATTATACAAATTTCTATAAATATTTGTCGACTCAAAATCTATATATAGCATACTTTACAATTTTAACTGTTTACTAGATTTACATTCTCTCTTAAAAGTCATATTAATTGTAATCTAGTTTCCACTGTAACTATTTGAAAGTCTTTAATAATTGTTTTTGTACCTAATTAATAGCTTTCAGAATCATCATTATTGCCATATTTTACGCCTACAGTTTGTTCTACTATAATATGTGTTTCTGCACTGTGAATCAGCTCATATGCACTAGGATCAGAGGATGGTGTTATCTTGGGGATCACATTGGTTTACATGGAATATTTTCCAGCATATTAATGTTTTGTACCAGTGTGTAATGGCATCTGAATGCAAAGTGCACTAACCCAGCTGAATGTCTTGAGCTGGGTTGCACTGTGCCATTCATTCACCATGCTCCTCTTGGCTCCCTGGCAACATGCTCTTTCCTGGAGGTACTTATGGCATGGTTCTCCCTGATCTTTGTGTACTTTGCCCTCATCTCCATAACTCAGCAGCCCCAATCCTTCATCGTATTCCCTTCCACAGATTAGTTTTAGGGTTTTGTTGTTATTCTTTGCGAAGTCCTATTTATACAGTAGTATTTCTTTATTTATTAGTCATTTAACTTTTCAATAGCTGTGCTGGCATTTTTACTAGGATTATCATTTTTGTTAGCACATTAATTATAAAGTTTGTATGTTTTGAGTGGAATTGCATACAATTAGAGTGACTTCACCCTGATACTATTTTGCATCTATTGTTTTTAGTGTATAATCTTGTAGACTTGAGTTCACTTCTTTTTAAAGAAATACATTTGTTGCATTAAGGCAAAACAACTGTGCATCAGTTTTTCAATTGAATGAGAAGATAGCAACAAAAACAATAACAAAAATCATAAGGAGGTCTAGACTCCAGATTGCGATTAGAATGATTGCCTACATTTGAAAGTGAATATTCAGATATGAACGATGTTTCAAATTATATGCTTTGTTTATGTTATTGGTTTTCTTAAGCCAATTAGATATGATGGTAATTTCCAAATAATCTCACTGGTCACATATAAGTCCTGGGATGCCAGAAATGACAGTGAAGTTGGTTATTCATGATCTTCCAAAATCCTAGATCAAAGACAAATGAAAGCATAGATGTTGGCTGAATACTTAGGCCAAAGACAAAGTTCTATGTCTCTATTAGAAAGAAATAAATGCACACTGGCCTACATAAATTTTATTTATATATAAAATTTAAGTATATGTAAGTATATATATATGTATAATTTAAGTATATTTGTATACATATATCGGTTTTTTTTTTTTTTGAGATTTTGGTACATGTTCTTTTTAGGTCCTAAAAAGCCTAAAGAATGGCCAGGTGTGGTGGCTTATGCCTGTAATCCCCACACTTTAGGGGGCTAAGGTGGGTGGATCACAAGGTCAGGAGTTCGAGACCTGCCTGACCAACATGGTGAAACCCTGTCTCTACTAAAATTACAAAAATTAGCTGGGTGTGGTGGCAGGCGCCTATAATCCCAGCTACTCAGGAGACTGAGGCAGGAGAATCACTTGAACTCGGGAGGCAGAGGTTGCAGTGAGCCTAGATCACACCATTGTAGTCCATCCTGGATGACAGAGTGAGACTCTGTCTCAAAAAAAAAAAAAAAAGCCTGAAAAATATAACACACTTCTTCCCCATTTAGGGGGCCTCCTCTTTGGCCAAATATAATGCTGTTTCTTAGAATATATATGTAGAAAAAGCATCCATGAATGGCATGTTCATTCTCAGGAGTTTGAGTGCTTGTATCTCAGATCAAAGAAGTTTGTTAGCAAGTGGTATTAATATTTTGGGAGAAGTTGTTTCCTAGGTGTATGTTTGTAGGGAGGCAGTATAAAGATCAATTCATATGTACCCAACTCAGTTTAGTGCCCTTAAGGTATTTGTCTTTTGAAGAAAACTACAATAATATTAACATCCCTTAAAATGTATGTGCATTAATTTCAGTTACATACTTTTAACTGCCTGCCATCAAATTTAGGGCTTCACACTGCCAGTATAACTCAGGAATGCTGCCCAGTGGCAAACAGCAAAGACTAAGATGAATTTGGAGCTTGATGCAAAATGTTCTCTGGGTCAGTATCCACCATTCCAGGTGCCATCTGGAGATCAAGTGCCTGGAGATTGTGCCTTGAGACATTCTATTGGTTAGAAAGGCAGACTCTGGGTTCAAAGCTCAGCTACGTCACCTCTCTGCTGTGTAAACTTGGTAAATTACTTAATATCTTTGTCTCAATTTTCTCTTTTTTGAAAGTCTGGGTAAAATGATTCCAATTATTTTGGGTTGCTGAGAGGATTAAATGAAATAAACATTAAGTAATTAGCATAATGCCTGGCACATTATAAATGTTTGATGCATGCTAGCCTTCATGATGATGAGGTTTTCTGAGTGTTTTTTTTCCAAGTTATAAGTAAAATCGTGACTGTGAAATAGCTAGTATTGCAAAGAGGCTCCCAGCTGAAAAGCCATAGAATGCTGTCATCACTGGAGTCAGGATTAAGGTAATCAGTCATATTGAAAAGGCAAACTGATCACCAGCATTGATTAACTACATGGAAGCAGAGCATCTGACCCCATAGACAAGAGGATGTTACATTATGACCAAACAAAAATTCCTGTCAAAAAGAACATGGGAACTAATGCAACTAATGGCCTAGGCTAATAACTACCATGCAATTGGATACGCCAGTGACATTTGGTCTATCTCATGAACAAGCATTTTGATATATTCTTTTTTCACAACCCATATATTTCCAGTATACATTCATGTGATATACCTTAAAAGGACATAATGTCTATGACCACATGTTGAGAACTCATGGAGGGCATGGGTAAGAGTACAGGCTCTGGTTTCACATTTTCCAGCTCTTCCATGAACCAGATGTGTAATTCTGGCAAATTGCTAAAGACTCTGAGTCTTGGTTTTCTCATCTGTACAATGGAGGTAAAAATGATTCCTACTGCATAGATTTATTATGATGACTATACAGTTTAATTGACATCGAATATATGGTGCCTTGGGCATAATTAAATAGTCAATAAATACTACCTATTAATAGTTGTAAATTATCATTATTTTTAAGCATTTATAAGTGATCCACCATTTTACAGAGACTTAAACATCACCTATGTCCAGAGTTCCTGCTATGCATGTTAGGTCATATATCTGAAAATGAGTGGAAATGGCAGTTAAGAAGGAGGCACAGAGCAAGTTTCTATTTCTAAATGGAAATAGAGTTAGAAATAGAATTTCTCTAACAGTGAGTTAGACTAGCATTCCACTAGTCAGAATCTATGACCTTACAACATCTAATTGTGTGCCCAAGAGGAAAAGACATGAGTTTTGAAACGGATCCTAGCCTCTGCCCCAGACACTTTTGTATAAAGTTACTATATTACCTTTTAAAATAGGGACCATAATACAAATTTGTAATCTAACTAGGAACAAGAGAAAACTGAATTGTAGCTGGAGATTCAGGAACAACTGAACTCAATATATCTCATTACTACAGAATAAAGATCTATGAATTAATTTTTATGCAAATCAAAATTCAATTTCTTCGGAAAGCTCTTTGATGATTACAAGAACAAAAACTAGCAGTTAATTCTTAATCTGGATGAGGCACTGTGCTAAGAGCTTTATACATTTATCTAATTTACTTACTGTTGCTATACCTTAATGAAGTAGGAGTGATTATTTCTATTTTATATACTGAATTTCTATTTTATACTGAATCCCAAGAAAGTCAACATCCAAGAAATGTACTGCCTTGCCCAAGATCATAGAGACAGTACAAGGTGGAATACAGGCTGGGCGCGGTGACTCACACCTGTAATCCCAGCACTTTGGGAGGCTGAGGCAGGCAGATCACCAGGTCAGGAGATCGAGACCATCCTGGCCAACATGGTGAAACCCCATCTCTACTAAAAATACAAAAAAATTAGCCAGGTGTGGCAGCGTGCTCCTGTAGTCCCAGCTACTCAGGAGGCTAAGACAGGAGAATTGCTTGAACTTGGGAGGCAGAGGCTGCAGTAAGCCGAGATGGGGCCACTGCACTCCAGCCTGGCAACTGAGTGAAACTCCGTCTCAAAAAAAAAAAAAAAAAAAAAAGAAGTGGAATAGAAATGCAAACACAGGTTTTGTTCCCAAAGCCATGAGACTCTACTGCTTCTTGTAACTTCTAATCATTCCTCTATTCAGAAATCCTTGTGTATAACCATCTGATGCTCCTATATGTCTCTCTGCAAATGTTGATTTCTAAGCTGTATTGGTTAATTATTACTGTGTAACAAACACTCTTAAAGTACTGAGCTTTAAAGCAAGAATGACTTGTTATTTCTCAAGATTCTGCAGGTTCACTGGATGGTTTTTCTCTTTCAGTTGGGATTGGCTGGAGTCACATATGAAGCTGTATCCAACTGGTGGCTGGCTGGGCTGGCTGGAGGGTCCAAGAAAGCTCCTCTCACATGCCTGGGGCCCTTGTGTTATCAGCTGTGATACCTAAATTCTCCTTCATGTGGAGTCTCTCCTCATAGCTTTTTCTCTTCCAGAACCTCTCCACTATTTTTATAGAATAGTCTGGAATTCCTTACAGCATAGAGGCTGTCTTCCAATAGCAAGAAAATAGAGGCTCCCAGTCCTCTTTAGGGCGAGGCCCAGAACTGGCTCAGCATCACTTCTGCCGCATTCTATTGGTCAAAGGAGTCATGAGCCTAGCTCAGATTAAAAGAGTGGGGAAAGAGATTTCACTGCTCAGTGGAAGAAGCAGCAAATAATTTATGGCCATCCTTTAATCCACCACATGCCATTCTTTGTAGGAACATCTGGCACTGCCATCCAACTAAACCCCTGAAGGGAACATCTGGATCTTCTTGAGGTTGCAATTGGTTCTTAACAGCTAGAACTATGCTCTTCTGCACACAATGAGTCTAAAAAATTTTGATTAATTGAAAGTAGAAAAACCACAATCTATTAAATTTCCGTGGGAGAAAAAGCAGCTAGAACACTCACAACAGAACAGAGACCCTGAGGACATCTTAGGCTTATCACCTGTGGAATTTGTTAAATAACTCCTTCCAATCATTTTCTTTCCAGAGAAACTGTGGCAATGCACCTACATCGCTTTATGGGTTCTCTGCTTCTGTGCATGCCCAGTCTTAGAGGCTCACGGATCATCTACTTGTCTGAGCTGAAATATGGAGGCTTTCTACTGATTTGCATCTGAAAATCACAAAAAGTGGTACATTTGGAATTTAGGGCAAATGATAATTTAACATTGTACAATGAACTAACAATCGCATCAAAAGATTCTGCTAAAATGATTGTCCATTTTTTGTTGGCTGTCTATTAGAAGAAAAAGTTACTTAGGGCACACATAAAAAATATGTTGGCTCTCACATGATCTATTTTCAAGCATAGGTGGCTAATAGGGCTCACCCTAGACATGATAATCTTGGCTATAGAGTATGGCATCAGCCCTTAATTGTTCACTACTTTATAAGGGATTTTTTTTCTAGGTAAGGCATACACACACATGTGTACAAGCCAATAAATAAATAATAAAAGGTGATAAAGTTGTAAGTTGTACAAGTATAAAACTATGAGACTGAATAGGAATCAGCAATTGGGTAACCTTATCAGTAAAACACAGGGATGCCCCTTGTGAAAGTGAAACAGCTTGGTTAAATTTGCCCTGTCTTTCTTTGCAGTAAACATCCAAAACCATGCATTCACATATGGTTTGCTGTAGTAGAAGTAACACCTTTTGCTTCCATTCCAGCCTCCTTATTTGCCAAGATCCCTGTAAGCAGATAATGACAAAAATTTATGAGGGTTAGATCCAAAAACAAAGGCCTGGAGGCATATTGTTGGAAAGATAAAAACTGCTTTTTTGGGACTTCTCTATTTCTTTATTACCTGAGAAAAGATGGAGTAGTAATTGACATGTGGTTCTTGACAGATGTTGACAAGGGAAAAGCATGTCACTAAGCCCCTCGGAGTTTTTGCAAAGGATTATGATGCTTGTCTCCATGTTCCATAACCTCAAGAGTACAATCAAATATCCTCCCTTACTCCAAGTGCCAAACAGACATCCATGCAGATGCTATAGGACTATATCAGCATCTGGCCAAAGAATATAATTCTCTTGTCTCACATAAAGGGTATACACAATAGAGACCATTGAAAGTGGAGTGAGTGCTTTGATATATTCTATTGTTAATCTCTCTTGAAATAGAGTGATTTTTGTGGAGAAGTAATTCACCAAAAATTTTCCTTTTTAACACTCAGAGCTTGTATCGTGGCATGCACTATAAAATTAAACAATTTATTGTTTTGCTCCAAAATTGTATCCATATTTTTATTAGATAAAATAGTAGGATGATAGGAATATTAACAAATATGCTATTAGAATAGTACTGGATGAGAGTAAGAATTAGATTTAGACAGGAAACATTTTCTCCGTATTTGCCAAACATCCAGATGAAAAGTTGAAAATTTTTCAGTCATGCAGATGTTCTAAATATCCAGATGTTATGTAGAGAAGATATTTGGCAACAAACAAAACTTTCTTTATTCATCCATATGTTTCATTCTACTTTCATTTTGTAGAAAATTGTAGAATAATGGAAATTACAAGCATATTTTAGTTTATGAAACCAAAAATCAAGCAAAATGTAGTAATACTATTTTCACATTTCTTTTCAGTATGTCTGCGGTAGTAAACTAAGAATTCCTAGGGCTTTAATGAAAGAAGAATTGTTTATGATTTTAAAAAATCACACTGATCTGATTTCAGTATGCGCTGTATTCCTTTCTCACTTTATATTACTCCATGTTTTAATAATATGGCTAAATAATGATTTGAGATTTTCATTTGCTTTAGCCCTTATATTTTTAAGTTTACCTCTCTTTTCTGTATTAACTCCAGCAGTAGTTTCTGTGGTTCTACCAGAGAGGGAGTACATATCAGAGTGAAGGGCACAAATAGCTATAAATCACCCTAAATTTGGTTTCCAAAACTTAAGCCTCAAAGAAAAGAGTCTGGTTAATATGAGGAAAAATAAAGACACACATTTTTTCTTGGACTTCTAAATTTGTGGGCAGATAAACTAAAATTGAATAGTGCATGCAGAGGTTATACTATCATGATTGTATCAGTCAGCTTAGGTGAGCTTAGGTATGCTTTAGGAACAATCAAGTCCAAAATCTCTTCGTAAAAGCAAAGGGTTATTTCTAACACTACATGTCTGCTCTGGATTCTCTCTACTGGATATTTAAACTGAAGGAGAACCTCCTTGTTGAAACAATGACTTTCCTGTGACAAAAGGGGGAAAGAGCCAGGCATATTGGCACACATCGGTAATCCCAGCTCCTCAGGAGGCTGAGGTGGGAGGATAGCTTGAACCCAAGAGTTCAAGACCCACCTGGGCAACATAGCAAGATTCCATCTCAAAAAAAAGGGGAGAGAAAAAGAATAATGGTGGATCCCACAATGGCTCTTAAATCTTCTGTTCAGAAGTAACCTATGCTACTTCTGCTCAAAAATAATTGGACGAATCAAGTCATATGACCAATCCTGATATCTTTGGCCAGTAATTACAATCTTAATATTGGGACAGGCTCTAAGGGAAAGATTTGGCAGGGAGTGGAAACATTTTTACCTCAATACAATACCACAGTTCTCATTTTAAGCATGCATTATGTGCTTAATTGTTCATATTTCTGGGTTAGATGTGTCAAAATAGTTATTCATCTACATTTTCCCCATGGGAGAATGTAAAATATGAGAGAAAACAACACTTAAGACAGATAGAAAACAGGATGAAAAGAGTGAAGCAGTGTTGGATGTTTCCAGATAAGTATGCAGTATTGTTTTATAAATCACATACAGAAGGACAGTAAATTCATGTTCAGAATAGAGGAAACTGGTCTCCATCTTATCAAATTGAAAAAAGTTTGTGAAGGAAAAGTTTGTGGCTTAGGAGCCATTTGAATGGGGGAGAAAAGTAATAAATAATGATAACTAACATTTGAGTGTCCTCTTACAATTTATAACTGTAATTTTATTTAATACTTTTAGCAACCACCTGAGGGAGATAGCATTGCTTCCATTTACAAGTGAGGACACTGAGGCTCAGGTTAAATGGTTGGCCCACATTTTCAGAATAAGTTTCAGAAGGAGAATTTGAGCAATTGCTCTACTTCTGTACATTGTATGCTTTACACACAGAAAAGGATGAGCCAGGAAAAGCATGTGGCGTACGTCAGGAGAGGGTCCCAAATGAGGGGATAGAATGGAAGGAAATGGCCCAAGCACAGTGTTGGATTTGGTTGGTGGAATTCTCCTATGTGAGAATATGAAGGAAGTGAAGCAGTCAGGTATATGTGACCTCAAGTGTTTTGAAGTCCTTAATTGGTGATATGGGAAGAAATACAATGATTTACTTAAGAAATATTTGTTGAAGACCTGCAGACAAGATGATAGACAAGGAAGGCATTGCCAATACAGATTGTGGACATGGAAGAACTTAGCTGCGCCTAAAAGTTAGGTTAAAATTTTTTTTTTTTTTTTTTTTTTTGAGACGGAGTCTCGCTCTGTCGCCCAGGCTGGAGTGCAGTGGCGCGATCTCGGCTCACTGCAAGCTCCGCCTCCCGGGTTCACGCCATTCTCCTGCCTCAGCCTCCCGAGTAGCTGGGACTACAGGCACCCGCTACCACGCCCGGCTAATTTTTTGTATTTTTAGTAGAGACGGGGTTTCACCGTGTTAGCCAGGATGGTCTCGATCTCCTGACCTCGTGATCCGCCCGCCTCGGCCTCCCAAAGTGCTGGGATTACAGGCGTGAGCCACCGCGCCCAGCCAGGTTAAAATTTTTAATAATTTAATTCTATTTTCCATCCCCCACCTTCAGCTGCCTTAGGCTAGCAGGATATTAAGCAAAACTGTTCATAATTATTAGAATTATAAGGAAAGATTGGAAAATGGGTCTTGGTTCTCTTTGGAGAAGGATATTGATTCCTGTCGTTAGTGGAAAGAGCCAGGGTACTAGCATTGTTGAAAAAAATCGTGAGGTTGACCACTTCTGGCCAGAGACAACAGTGAGGAATGTTCCAATGGATTTGGTTTCTGTGTTCATTCAAGTCTTCTGAGAAGTAGTCACCAAGATGAGACTAGACCTGCAAGAGATATGTTTGGTGAAAAACCTATGAAGGATAGCAGGGAGGGAGCAGGAGAAGGTAGGGAAAGCACTCAGACTATGATGCAGGTCTCACACTTGTGAAAGAGAGGGGAAACAGAAGAGTTGGGTAGAAAGGGTCTCAGGTTGCAGTGGAGTTTTAAGAAAGTTTTGGCCAGGCTTGAGAAGCTGGGGTGTTCTCAAACCAAAATGGCTAGACACAGGAATTCTGTGTCTAGTGGGAATGGGCTGGGAATACTACCCTCGTTCCACTCAGTCTTTGGCTGGCAGCTCCCAGTGGAAGATGTGGCCTCAGTGTGAACACAGTAATGGATCTAGAGGAGCAGGAATTGGGGCCATCAGTCAACTATGCTCCCCACAGCAGGAGATATGTACCACCACAGTCCACCCCTTGCACTGCGAGCATCTACTTCTCCATTCAGGTTTGGGGGAGAATTCCTCCATGGCTCCCATCAGCCTCCCTTCATGAGGGGATCTTAGAGGGAAGTTAGTGGAACACATTATGGTCCCTGTCACTGCAGTTGGTCTCAGGGCTATAACTGGTATTCATCCCCTTACTCCTCTATTATGAATTCTAAATTCCCTGCCTCCCCCGCCCTCGCTCAGCTACCACCTTGGCATGTGTAATTGCCTTACCTGGTGATATTATCTGAATCTTTATTTCTAAGGTATCTGGGCTTCTGGCAATAATACATTTCTCAGACCAGGTTGCTCTACATGTTTGTTAACCACTATAGTGGGCCAAAGATGTATCAGGAGGTGCCCAGTTGGATCACCTGAGTTGTACACATATTCCTTCCTAGCCCTATTGGTTAAAAGCAGCCCTACCTCCTCCGGCTGATCATGGTAAATTACCCTGCCAGAAAGGTTATTCTTTTCCTGATCTGCTTGTCCATGGACACAAGGAGTCCAAAGTGCCCTGGTAGAAGTCAGAGCTTATAGTTTAATGGTAACCTTTCTTTAGCTCCTGAAATGAGAGTTCTCTCTTTGCAGACCAGTACTTCTAAGCTTGTAGAGTTCATAACTGTGGGAAATATGAGAACCACCCCCTCTAGTGTATTGTTTGGAAGGATGGTAAGTGGGACCAATCCTGCTTCTACTCCTTGGTTCCCAGTTCCATGTAGTTTTCCTGTTAGGAATACAGCACCATATGGAAGTTTCTGATTTAATGCACATACTGCATCCTGAAGAATGGTACCCTATCTTTTCAGAGAATTGCCTCTGAGCTGAAGCTTCATCTATGTCTTTAGGAGGTTATCCAAGTACTCTCTAAGGCTGGCTGCTTATGCATGTGCTTATGCATAAGATCAGTGGATGCGATGGTCTTGTCAGAGATCCAGCCTTCTGAGTAGGGTGGTATATGACAAGATCAGTGTATCTTATCCAATGTGTCCAGTCCTGTACTTCCTTCATTTTGAAGTGGTTACCCTGGTTGGATGCTATGCTGCACAGGATCCATGCCTGTGGATTAAGGCAGTTCATAAGTCCCTAGATAGCAGAGCTGGCTAAGGCTCTGTAAGCAGCAAAGGCAAATCTACACTTGAAATGGGTATCCTTTCCTGTGATGATGAACCAATGGCTTCTCTAGAATGGACGGAGCCCAGTGTAGCCAATTTGCCATGAAGTAGCTGGTTGGTCTTTATCAAATATAGTACCATGCCAGGGGCTTGGTATTGAAATTCAGAGGCAGAGATAATTACATTGGCCTTGTAAATAGGAGTCTATGCTGATGGACTTGCCCACAGCCTTTGTACTCACAGGCTGTTTCTGGAGTGGCCAATGAGAAAGAATAGCTAACATCAACCAGGCAAATCATTTTGTGGACTTTGTTGTTCAATACTTCTTCAATGGTAGATGCTTTCTGGTGGCAGTTAACATGTAATACAAAAACACATTTTGCGCAACTCCCACATGTCCCACATGCCTCTCCTGACAACTTCTTGCATCTTATTTTCTAGTCCTTTTTCTTCCAAGCCCCTACCAATTGGCCAATGTCTAGGAATCTTTATATATTCTCACCTTGGACCACTTCTCCTTGCATATCAAAAGAATAATCAAGTACACTGTTCTTAGCTGTGCCCAATGGGAAGATTTTTTCCTTTCCACTGTTTCTCAAGGGTACCCCTGAATGTGTCTGTAATGCAGTCACTGTCCATTTGCAGTCAAATTCTGGTCCTACACCATATGGGTCCTGCAGTCAAGGGCCTCTCTACACCATATGCCCTAACTATGAAATGAGCCTGGAAAAAACTTTTCAAATAGATATTTCTCATGCTGTAGCATATAAGTTATGTATTTTCTTTTCTTAGTCTCTTATTTTATATGCATTTGATGCCTCAAAAACAAGAATTGTATATTCTAATGAATAAACCAAAAATATACATATCTTCTTCCAAGGTGCCAAACTTGACAGTATTCAGGAATATATCTTATTTGCATGCACATTTGTGTTTATTCTAAATTAAAAGAAAATAAATGTATACAAGCCCAATCCTTGCTTGCATGAATATCTTTCTCACTAATTGTTTCCTACTGTATTTCCACCCAGAAAAGCAGGAAGCTGAAATCATTTACAGTTAGTAAAGCAATACCATTGCCATGCTTTTTAATACACAACAAACCATAATTGGATGATCAACAATTTCTGTATGCTTTAGCAACAATCAAGTCCAAAATCTCTTTGTAAAAGCAAAGGATTATTTCTAACACTACATATCTGCTATGGATTCTCTCTACTGGATATTTAAACTGAAGGAGAACCTCTTTATTGAAACACTGACTTTCTTGTGACAAAAGGGGGAAAGAGCCAGGCATAGTGGCACACATCTGTAATCCCAGCTCCTCAGAAGGCTGAGGTGGGAGGATTGCTTGAACCCAGGAGTTCAAGACCAACCTGGGCAACATAGCAAGATTCCATCTCAAAAAAGGGGGGAGAAAAAGAATAATGGTGCACCCCACAATGGCTCTTAAATCTTCTGTTCAGAAGTGACCTATGTCACTTCTGCTAAAAAATAATTGGAGAATCAAGTCATATGACTAATTCTGATATCTTTGGGCAGTAAGTACAATCTTAACAGGCTCTAAGGGAAATATTTGGCAGGGAGTGGCAATATTTTTACCTCAATACAACTTGCCACAATTCTCATTTTAAGCATGCATTATGTGCTTAATTGTTCAGATTTCTGGGTTAGATATGTCAAAATAGTTATTTGTCTATATTTTCCCCATGGGAGAATGTAAAATATAAGAGAAAACATCACCTAAGACAGATAGAGGTTCCGTTCCAAGGCGGCCGAATAGGAACAGCTCTGGTCTACAGCTCCCAGCGTGATCGACAGAGAAGATGGGTGATTTCTGCATTTCCAACTGAGGTACCTGGTTCATCTCACTGGGACTGGTTGGACAGTGGGTGCAGCCCACAGAGGGCAAGCCAAAGCAGGGCGGGGCATTGCCTCACCCAGGAAGTGCAAGGGGTTGGGGGATTTCCCTTTCCTAGCCAAGGGAAGCCGTGACAGACGGTACCTGCAAAAATGGGTCACTCCTGCCCAAATACTGCACTTTTCCAATGGTCTTAACAAATGGCACACCAGGAGATTATATCCCATGCCTGGCTTGGCAGGTCCCATGCCCAGAGAGCCTTGCTCACTACTAGCACAGCAGTCTGAGATTGACCTGCAAGGCAGCAGCCTGGCATGGGGCGGGGTGTCTGCCATTGCTGAGGCTTGAGTAGGCAAACAAAGTAGCTGGGGAAGCTCGAACTGGGTGGAGCCCACCGCAGCTCAGCAAGGCCTGTTGCCTCTGTAGACTCCACATCTGGGGGCAGGGTGTAGCTGAACAAAAGGTGGCAGAAACTTCTGCAGACTTAAATGTCTCTGGCTGACAGCTCTGAAGAGACCAGTGGTTCTTCCAGCATGGTGTTTGAGCTCGAAGAATGTACAGACTGCCTCCTCAAGTGGGTCCCTGACCTCCGTGTAGCCTAACTGGGAGAAACCTCCCAGTAGGGGCTGACTGACACTTCATATAGGCGGATGCCCCTCTGGGACAAAGCTTCCAGAGGAAGGATCAGGTAGCAATATTTGCTGTTCTGCAATATTTGCTGTTCTGCAGCCTCTGCTGGTGATACCCAGGAAAACAGGGTCTGGAGTGGACCTCCAGCAAACTCCAACAGACCTGCAGCTGAGGGACCTGACTGTTAGAAGGAAAACTGATAAGCAGAAATGAATAGCATCAACATCAACAAAAAGGACATCAACAAAAAGGACATCTACACCAAAACCCCATCTGTAGCTCACCATAATCAAAGACCAAAGGTAGATGAAACCACAAAGATGGCGAGAAACAAGAGCATAAAAGCTGAAAATTCTAAAGACCAGGGCACCTCTTCTCCTCCAAAGGATTGCAGCTCCTTTCCAGCAATGGAACAAAGCTGGATGGAGAATGGCTTTGACAAGTTGACAGAAGTAGGCTTCAGAAGATCGGTAATAACAAACTTTTCTGAGCTAAAGGAGGATGTTCAAACCCATTGCAAGGAACCTAAAAATCTTGAAAAGAGATTAGATGAATGTCTAACTAGAATAAACAGTGAAGAGAAGACCTTAAATGACCTGATAGAGCTGAAAAACCTGGCACAAGCACTATATTACGCATGTACAAGCTTCAATAGCCAATTCGATCAAGTGGAAGAAAGGGTATCAGTGATTGAAGATCAAATTAATGAAAAAAAGTGAGAAGAGAAGTTTAGAGAAAAAAGAGTAAAAAGACATGAACAAAAGCTCCAAGAAATATGGGACTATGTGAAAAGACCAAATTTACATTTCACTGGTGTCCCTGAAAGTGACAGGGAAAATGGAAGTTGGAAGACATTCTTCAGGATATTAGCCAGGAGAAATTCCCCAACCTAGCAAGGCAGGCCAACATTCAAATTCAGGAAATACAGAGAACACCACAAAGACACTCCTTGAGAAGAGCAAAACCAAGACACACAATTGTCAGATTCAACAAGGTTGAAGTGAAGGAAAAAATATTAAGGGCAGCCAGAGAGAAAGGTCGGGTTACCCACAAAGGGAAGCCAATCAGACTAACAGTGGATCTCTTGGCAGAAACTCTACAAGCCAGAAGAGAGTGGGGGCCAATATTCAACATTTTCAAAGAAAAGAATTTTCAACCCAGAATTTCATATCCAGCCAAAGTAAGCCTCATAAGTGAAGGAGAAATAAAATCTTTTACAGACAAGCAAATGCTGAGAGATTTTGTCACCACCAGGCCTGCCTTACAAGAGCTCCTGAAGGAAGCACTAAACATGGAAAGAAACAACCGGCACCAGCCACTGCAAAACATGCCAAATTGTAAAGACCATCAATGCTATGAAGAAACTGCATCAACTAACAGGCAAAATTACCAGCTAACATCAAAATGACAGGATCAAATTCACACATGACAATATTAACCTAAAATGTAAATGGGCTAAATGCCCCAATTAAAAGACACAGACTGGCAAATTGGATAAAGAGTCAAGACCCATCAGTGTGCTGTATTCAGGAGACCCATCTCATTGCAGAGACACACATAGGCTCAAAATAAAGGGATGGAGGAAGATTTACCAAGCAAATGGAAAGCAAAAAAAAAGCAGAGGTTGCAATGCTAGTCTCTGATAAAACAGACTTTAAGCCAATAAAGATGAAAAGAGACAAAGAAGGCCATTACATAATGGTAAAGAGATCAATTCAACAAGAAGAGCTAACTATCCTAAATATATATGCACCCAATACAGGAGCACCCAGATTCATAAAGCAAGTCCTTAGAGACCTGCAAAGAGACTTAGACTCCCACACAATGATAATGGGAGACTTTAACACCCCACTGTCAATATTATACAGATCAACAAAACAGAAGGTTAAAAAGGATATCCAGGACTTGAACTCAGCTCTGCACCAAGCAGACCTAATAGACATCTTCAGAACTCTCCACCCCAAATCAACAGAATATACATTCTTCTCAGCACCACATTGCACTTACTGCAAAATTGACCATGTAATTGGAAGTAAAGCACTCCTCAGCAAATGTAAAAAAACAGAAATCACAACAAACTGTCTCTCAGACCACAGTGCAATCAAATTAGAACTCGGGATATAAGAAACTCACTAAAAACCACACAACTACATGGAAACTGAACAACCTGCTCCTAAATGACTACAGGGTAAATAACGAAATGAAGGCAGAAATAAAGATGTTCTTTAAAACCAAAGAGAACAAAACTACACCATACCAGAATCTCTGGGACACATTTAAAGCAGTGTGTAGAGGGAAATCTATAGCACTAAATACCCACAAGAGAAAGCAGGAAAGATCTAAAATCAACACCCTAACATCACAATTAAAAGAACTAGAGAAACAAGGGCAAACAAATTCAAAAGCTAGGAGAAGGCAAGAAATAACTAAGATCAGAGCAGAACAGAAGGAGATAAAGACCCAAAAAAATCCTTCAAAACATCAATGAACCCAGGAGCTGATTTTTTGAAAAGATCAACAAAACTGATAGACTGCTAACTAGACTAATAAAGAAGAAAAGAGAGAAGAATCAAATAGATGCAATAAAAAATGATAAAGGGGATATCACCACTGATCCCACAGAAATACAAACTACCATCAGAGAATACTATAAACACCTCTATGCAAATAAAATAGAAAATCTAGAAGAAATGGATAAATTCCTGGACACATACACCCTCCTAAGACTAAACCAGGAAGAAGTTGAGTTTCTGAATAGACCAATAACAGGCTCTGAAATTGAGGCAATAATTAATAGCCTACCAACCAAAAAAAGTCCAGGATCAGTTGGATTCACAGCCGAATTCTACCAGAGGTACAAAGAGGAGTTGGTACCATCCCTTCTGAAACTATTCCAATCAATAGAAAAAGAGGGAATCCTCGCTAACTCATTTTATGAGGCCAGCATCATCCTGATACCAAAGCCTGGCAGAGACACAGCAAAAAAAGAGAATTTTAGACCAATATCCCTGATGAACATTTATGTGAAAATCCTCAATAAAATACTGGCAAACCAAATCCAGCAGCACATCAAAAAGCTTATCCACCATGATCAAGTCAGCTTCATCCCTGGGATGCAAGGCTGTTTCAACATACACAAATCAATAAACATAATCCATCATATAAACAGAACCAACAACAAAAACCACATGATTATCTCAATAGATGCAGGAAAGGCCTTTGACCAAATTCAATATCCCTTCATGCTAAGAACTCTCAATAAACTAGGTACTGATGGAACATATCTCAAAATAATAAGAGCTACTTATGACAAACCCACAGCCAATATCATACTGAATGGGCAAAAGCTGGAAGCATTCCCTTTGAAAACTGGGAGAAGACAAGGATGCCTTCTCTCACCACTCCTATTCAACATAGTGTTGGAAGTTCTGGCCAGGGCAATCAGGCAAAAGAAAGAAATAAAGGGTATTCGATTAGGAAAAGAGGAAGCCAAATTGTCCCTGTTTGCAGATGACATGATTGTATATCTAGAAAACTCCATCATCTCAGCCCAAAATCTCCTTAAGCTGATAAGCAACTTCACCAAAGGTTCAGGATACAAAATCAATGTGCAAAAATCATAAGCATGCCTATACGCCAATAACAGACAAACAGAGAGCCAAATCATGAGTGAACTCCCATTCACAATTGCTTCAAAGAGAATAAAATACCTAGGAATCCAACTTACAAGGGATGTGAGGGACCTCTTCAAGGAAAACTACAAACGACTGCTCAACAAAATAAAAGAGGACACAAACAAATGGAAGAACATTCCATGGTTATGGATCGCAAGAATCAATCTCATGAAAATGGCCATACTGCCCAAGGTAATTTGTAGATTCAATGCCATCCCCGTCAAGCTACCAATGGCTTTCTTCACGGAATTGGGAAAAACGACTTTGAAGTTCATATGGAACCAAAAAAGAGCCCACATCAAGACAATCCTAAGCAAAAAGAACAAAACTGGAGGCATGCTACCTGATTTCAAACTATACTACAAGACTACAGTAACCAAAACAGCACGGTACTGGTACCAAAACAGAGATATAGACCAATGGAACAGAACAGAGCCCTCAGAAATAATACCACACATCTACAACCATTTGACATTTGACAAATCTGACAAAAACAAGAAATGGGGAAAGGATTACCTATTTAATAAATGGTGCTGGGAAAACTGGTTAGTCATATGCAGAAAGCTGAAACTGGATCCCTTCCTTACACCTTATACAAAAATTAATTCAAGATGGTTTAAAGACTTAAATGTTAGACCTAAAACCATAAAAACCCTAGAAGAAAACCTAGGCAATACCATTCAGGACATAGGCATGGGCAAAGACTTCATGACTAAAACACCAAAAGCAATGGCAACAAAAGCCAAAATTGACAAATGGGATGTAATTAAACTAAAGAACTTCTGCACAGCAAAAAAAAAAACTACCATCAGAGTGAACAGGTAACCTACAGAATGTGAGAAATTTTTTGCAATCTATCCTTCTGACAAAGGGTTAAAATCCAGAATCTACAAAGAACTTAAACAAATTTACAAGAAAAAAACAAACAACCCCATCAAAAAGTGGGTAAAGGATATGAACAGACACTTCTTAAAAGAAGACATTTATGCAGCCAACAGACACATGAAAAAATGCTCATCATCACTGATCATCAAAGAAATGCAAATCAACACCACAATGAGATACCATCTCACACCAGTTACAATGGCGATCATTAAAAAGTCAGGAAACAACAGATGCTGGAGAGGATCTGGAGAAATAGGAATGCTGTTACACTGTTGGTGGGACTGTAAACTATTTCAGCCATTGAGGAAGACAGTGTGGCGATTCCTCAAGGATCGAACTAGAAATACCATTTGACCCAGTGATCCCATTACTGGGTATATATCCAAAGGATTATAAATCATTCTACTATAAAGACACATGCACATGTATGTTTATTGCGGCACTATACAGAATAGCAAAGACTTGGAACCAACCCAAATGTTCATCAATGATAGACTGGATAAAGAAAATGTGGCACATATACACCATGGAATACTATGCAGCCATAAAAAAGGATGAGTTCATGTCCTTTGCAGGGACATGGATGCCGCTGGAAACCATCATTTTGAGCAAGCTATCACAAGGACAGAAAACCAAACACCGCATGTTCTCACTCATAGGTGGGAATTGAACAATGAGAACACTTGGACACAAGGTGGGGAACAACACACCCCGGGGCCTGTTGTGGGGTGGGGGGAGGCGGGAGGGATAGCATTAGGAGAAATACCTAATGTAAATGACAAGTTAATGGGTGCAGCAAACCAACATGGCACATGTATACATATGTAACAAACCCGCACATTGTGCACATGTACCCTAGAACTTAAAGTATATATGTATATAAAAAAAAAGACAGATAGAAAACAGGATGAGAAGAGTGAAGCAGTGTTGGATGTTTCCAGATAGGTATGCAGTATTGTTTTATAACTCACATATAGAAGAAGAGTAAATTCTGTGTTTTTCTTTTCTTTTTTTCCCCCTCAAGGATGTGACTTCAAAGATTATAGTTTATTGTAACCTTATTTGGCTCTGAGTGCTTTCAGTGGTGAAGGCTCTGTATGATTTCCTTGGTTATAGGAAGTCTTTCTCAGATGCTGGTTGTATTAATGATGTGCTGAATGTGTAAGCAGGTTTACTGTATACTGTGGGGTTGGGATGGCAGAGGTCTCATGATGCTTATCTCATTCTCCAGTGGTGTCCTTTTAATTTATTTTTTCCCCAGTATTTTATTCATTGGTTTGAGCTGTTCAGGTTTTAGGCCAGTAGGAGATGCTCACGGATAAAAGCCAGCTGTGGCTAAAGCAGGTGGTAAATGCAATACCCAATGGTGGGCAGAGTTATAGAACATCTTAAAAAAAAAAAAAAAAAGAGTCATAGGTTTAAACCAGAAGCTAATAGCCATGCCAACTTTGTCAGACTACACCATTTTCTCCTCTATAAATGGGAATGATAATAATATGAACCCTGCAACGTTTTGTTAAAGTTTAATATAAAAAACATGTAACTAATAGAATGCCTAGCACATAGCTGTTTAATAAAATTTCCTATTATACTCTGATTTTATGCAGTTAAACCTTATGAAGCTGCCAACATTTGATCTTTTTAACCTACAAAAATTGTAATTTCAATGTTTCATGAAAGGAGAACAGGTTAACACTCCCCTATCCGGCCTTTGGGCCTAATAGCATACATACAGTTCAGGCATTGCCACCTTGTGGAATCTAACCATCATTTTTACAAAGTTCCAGTTAGATCACAGGAATAAGCTTTAGTGATCTATTGCACTGCGTCTTGAACATGGTTAATGATATGGTTTGGATCTTTGTCCCCACGCAATCTCATGTTCAACTGTAATCACCAGTGTTGGAGGTGGGGCCTGGAAGGAGGTGATTGGATCAAAGGGGTGGAGTTCTCATTAGTAGATTAGCACTATCTCCTCGGTGATGTTCTTGTGATAGTGAGTTATCATGAGATCTGGTTGTTTAAAAGTGTGTAGCACCTCTTCCCTCTCTCTCTTCCTCCTGCTCTAGCCTTGTGAGATGTCTCACTCCTCCTCTGCCTTCTGCCATGATTGAAAGATCCCTGAGGCCTCACCAGAAGCAGATGCTGCCATGCTTCCTGTACAGCCTGCAGAACCATAAGCCAATTATTAATCCTCTTTTATTTATAAATTACCCAGTCTCAGGTATTTCTTGATAGTAAAACAAGGATGGACTAACACAGTTAATAACAATGTATATTTCAAAATCGCTAGAATGATAGATTTTTAATGTTCTCACCACAAAAAAATGATGTCAGATGATGGCTATGTTAATTAGCTTGACTGAATCTTTCTATGCTGTGTATACATATATCAAACCATCACATTATACTACATAAATATACACAATTATTTGTCAATTAAAAAATGGTAATTTCATGTGATCTAACCTGTTATTAACAAAGGTATGTATAATTCAATCCCAATTCCTAAAATGCCTAAGATTCTAAGAATCAGATTTAGGATCTAATGTTTATGATTTGATAAACATCAAATCATAACAATTTCTAAGAATTCTTTTGATTTCTAAGAATTATTTATTGTTTTATAGCAAAAAAATAGGATGATAATGTAGAAGTTAGAATTCTTCTTTTTGGTTCCATGCCATTTCAAATGATTAGGATTACCTCTGATCTGTGGTCTATGCCTTGGGTGTAAACTCCTTGATTAGACAGAATTCCAAAACCCACATGACTGGGAAGTACATCTCACAAACTAAAGGTGGGGGAGGACGGAAGGAAGGGAGATACGTGAACAGAGAAGTCATATAGTACATCTTCCATTCCCCAGCCTTATGCTCTGACAATTAAAGCCAATTACCAAGGAGAATTCAGGCAATAATGTTAACTGATGGTGTCCATGTCAATTTGTTCTCTCGAAGCAGCTGAAAAAAAGTGTGAGAATAAATGGACATTTCTGTAAATAATTTTTTTTTTTGCAAATTCTGGCATATTTCTTACAAGTGTTGGAGCTTTAGTATTTGTACTCTCCCATGGGCTAGAATTGAAAATTTCTATTATAATTACTTTCAGCTACTGAAGTCATGTAGGTCCATTTGAGGTATTTGCATAAGTGTATTTTAAGGCAATCTATTTTCTAACATTAAGTAAGTGCTTGACACTTTAATTATAACTCATCAAGAAAGACCATCTATTTACCTGTCTGTTATCAAAATTTCTAAATTATAGATTGAGGAAAAATGTGAATGCCAGCTGTACTTAAAAGAAATAATAATAATTTACTTATGCAAGAAAATTATAGAGTGCATACACTAAGCTACGATGGATAATGCTTTGGTAAACTAATTGGATATATCAGTTATATCATTATTCTAGAACCTATATTTCTAACCACTCATATTAAAATACAACAAATTCCCACTACCTGGATTCTTTACATATACAAAGAAAGGCACAAGTCATAAAAAAAAGAAAAAAAAAGAAACTACCTATAAAAATGACTACTAATAACTAATAACTTATAGCTTAAATGACAACTTAAACTATAATCTATTGCTTTAGCAGAGATATCACTATTATAATTGTTCATTTATACTTGGAATGACCAAAAAAATGTTTTTTTTTAGATGACAAACAGGCACAGTTCTGAAAAATGAAAAACTTTCTGTACCAGCAAAGCTGAGAAGATGAATCCTGAAACATTTAATCAATTTTAAAAAATTTCCTCATAGATCAAAGCAAAGATTACTGCAAAGTTTTATGAATCAACATTGGGTTCATAGCTTAGGTCTAAGAGAGGGGAAAAAATATATCAGGAAACAAACGAACAATAAGTGCAGCCAGTTGTCAGTCTAGAAATATGGCAGATGGTTAAAATCAGAAGTCATATAGTTAACTCAAAGAGCCAAGGTCCAAACCACCAGGCAGAAGTTATGAGAAGAACACCACTGAGTTCCAACCTCCAAACTGGGGATAGAAGCTGAGCAGAGGTGCCTAGTCACAGAACCCAAAAGGTAGTTGTTTTTTGTTTTCTGTGCTTTAAAAATACAACAGAAGACAATGGCTGGCCCTCTCTGGCATGGTCAGTCTACAGCCAAGTATGAGCTGATTGAGTGTTGCACCTGTCCAACAAAATCAGGACGTGTTCTTATTTCCTAGAGGTCATTGTAAGGGACTGTGAGGGTGTAGACAAGTCAGCAGCAATCAGATACACTGAACACTCTTGGACTAACTCACCTTGCCCAGGTGACATTTTTGCATGTTTGTTTATTTCAGGACAGGAGAAAGAGAACCAGAAATTTGAGCTGTTTTGCATGGCAAATGTGGACAATCTTTAGAAAAAAAAATTTCTCGTTATTACTTTTAGTTGGCATTAGGACTGGACTCCAGTTCTCTCCTCAGGAAAGTAGAGTGTTGGGCCTGTTTGGCTCCTTCATTGGAACCAATAGGAGAGAAGCAACAAGTGAAGGGGGAAATGACTTAATTGAATAGTTTGTAACTTTGAAACATGCCATAATCCGTTTCCGTATTCCACAGAGAACGCACTTGATTTTCCTTGATGATTTTCCACTCCTGCCCTGAGCATTTGCAGAGTGTAAATCAGAGACTGAGAGGCACCAGCAGCCCATTCTACTCCTGGGATAATAAAAACACATGCCCTAGAGCTTCAGTTAGTGGGTTCCCAACCCATCAACAAATGGAATTTCTAACATTGCTCCCTAGTGATTGTATTAATGGGATAATTTTCTCTGACAGGATGTATTTTTTCTGAAATTATCTGAAGTTTCCTCTTCCAAACTCTATCTTACTGCCCACTCCCATGATTATCTCCTTGTGCAATGGAAAACAATATCAACCCCCATGTTAGTTTTCTATTTTTAGACCTGGTTTGGTCAGTCTATACAGTAAAATGGTTTATATTTAGCTCCTAAGTTTCTCCTGTTAGTAATTCAGACTCGTCACTCCCTTAGTCATTTTTATTGGCTGGTTGGTTGTCAGTTTCATGATGCTTGACCTAAGAATGAAGACAGTATTTCCAGGGATAGCTCATAAGGGTGGGGTCAGATATTTTTGTCTATAGACTATAATGAATCTATATATACCTTGGAAGCCAGTCTAACTTCTTACCCTTTTTCAACCCATATATTTTTAGCCTCACATGATAAATTCTGAGTTATTTTTATTAATGATATCTTCTCATCTTGGAAAACAGTTCCTATGGTATGTTGTTATCCCTAGAACTTAGCCCATATGCCTGCAACATAGTTAGAACTCAAGATATACTTGATGAATAAATGAATAAATAAATGATTCAAACATTACTGGTAAGAGTTATTTCCAAATTATTTTTTGTCTGGATTTATAAGATTAAATTTTTTTTCTATTTTTCTTTAACATCTTTTAGTGTTTTACTTCAATTGAGGTGTGTTATCAGTTCAACTATTAGAGTACAATCTCATACTCTACAAGCACATATGTCCATGTTTTGCATAAAATTTGTGGGGTCACATGACTTCAATGATCTTTGCCATAGGATTTCTGGCCTGGTAAGTGACTTTAGAAATCATCTGGTCTGATTCCAACATTTTGTAGACTTTAAACCTGACAACTAGGAAAGATTCTACGGGATATAGTTAAATGTTTTCTATTATAATCTTCTCTTTTGTTCACACTTTATTCTTTGTATTTGAAGACCATACCATGTCGTCCGGAATGGTCAACTCTTTCATACCACTCAAACATACATTTTTTTCTTACATTTGAAAATCTAGCTACTGTTTTAAAGGACTTATCTCCATCTGTGTTTCAAATTCAGCAATTTGCAAGCTCTCTGGTGATCCACTGATGATCCCTGAAGTTTCCTAGATCAAAACGGTTAATTCTAGATAGTTAAAAGTTGACCTTTTAGAGTTCTGAGATTCATTGAGGTCCATAATCAGCATCCATCTGAGGTTCTTGCTGTGGTCTCTTTTCTGCATGTAATTATTTTCCTTCGTATGTTTGCCCTTTTGATTATACGTGGAATTTTGAGGTTGGTCGCTTGGTGGCACTGTAGTTAATAGCTTGATTTTCTTGTGTATTTTTCCACTGCCTTCATAGCTTTTGTTTTTAAATTGCAATTATGTGAAATATGTGCGACTTTTAAATTCTGCTGCAGGTGAAATGATTTAATGACTCTTGACTTCTGGATTAATTTTAAGCATTATAAACATTGTGAAAACAGACTCTTGCTAATAATGATCATTATCGTAATGGCTTGAGGCATAATCATTTACTAACATTAGCCAAGTGATTAAAATCCATCATGAGTTTAATTTGAAAAAATTTTGTTCCTTTGCAATAAATGGCTAATGATATTAGCCTCATCTTTGTGAGGCCAAAACTTATCATATGACTTTGTACTTTCACTACTTGATAGAAATCTTCTCTTTTTAACACAGGCCATATTATCCCTATTGTTTACCAAGCCTGTGGTGTTCTCTATATTGGTACTGAACTGGGCCATGTGGTGCACAATGTACATGCAATTGTCACTTTTCTTTTATGGCCCTGCTATTTGATAATTTGTCATTTTACAAAGCAAGTGACCTTAACAGATGTTAAAATTAATTACCATGGCCAGTCAAACCTGTAGGGAAAGGGAAACATTCTCATTTTATGACTCATTTTTGTCAAAACTGGTTATGATATTTATAATAATCAGATTTTTTGATATATTTGTATAACTTTGTAACGATGCCTTTAAAAAGTGTCCAATCTTAAAGTTAGTAATAATTTTCCAAAAATATTATCTTTCAACTGATTTTTTTTCTTTCTACCTCTTCTCTCTACAACCCTCTGCCCTGCTCACAGACCAGCATTCTGGAGAGACTGAGTTTTGAAACAACCGAAGGAAAGTGATTAGAGAGCAAGTGTGTAGTTGCCATTTTTTTCCCCCCACAAAGAACCTGAGTCTGGACTTTAAATTTACTTACTGCCTCATTATTTCCTTTGATGAATCGTGCAAAAATCTTGACCTTCAAGGGTACTCTACCCAGCAGATGCCCATGAGGATAATGATCTTATTTCCAAAACACCTTAAACAATTAGAAAAGGAAAAAAATAAGTATAACAAACAACCCCCAGAATAAACAAACTTTGGCAACTGTGGAAGGGAAAAACCTGTATTTCTTAATGGGTACTATTTTGTTTCCAGAAGTTTTCCCCAAACGAAACAACCAGGTGAATATCGCACACTGACTGATATTAGAGATTAGCCTTCCACAGGCTCACTGATGAACTGTAATCTTTATGGCTGTGTTAGCTGTTTCCTCTTCAAAACAAGTCAATGTTGTTATTCTCATTTTTTAAAGAACCAGAGAGACCCACGATGGAGAATTAACATGCCCAAGATTGTTTAGTGAGTGGGTAGAAGGCATGTTAATTGGCCATTGAATGCTATGTAAAAACTACACACTTGCTCTCTAATCAATTTCTTTCAGTTATTTCAAAACTCAATCTCTTCAGAATGCTGGTCTGTGAGCAGGGCAGAGGATTGCAGAGGTAAGAGGTAAAAAGAATAAAAATCCCCGAAGGAAAATCATAAAATTTAAAAGTCACATACAGAATTTACTATTACATATATGTGTGTGTGTATGTGTGTGTGTGGTTTTTTTTTAATTTTTTTTTTTGAGATGGAATCTCACTCTTGTTGCCCAGGCTGGAGTGCAATGGTGCAACCTTGGCTCACTGCAACCTCCACCTCCTGGGTTCAAGCGATTCTCCTGCCTCAGCCTCCTGAGTAGCTGAAATTACAGGTGCCTGCCACCACGCCTGGCTAATTTTTTGTATTTTTAGTAAAGATGGGGTTTTCTCCATGTTGGCCAGGCTGGTCTTGAACTCTTGACCTTAGGTGATCCACCCCACTCGGCCTCCCAAAGGCCTGGGATTACAGGTGTGAACCACTGCGCCTGGCCTACTATAATATCTTAATGAGGTAAAAGTCACAGATTTTCAGTCAAATTATGAGCATTAGTAACTCCCTGAGCTAAAGCTAGCCATTAATTATTCAAAAACATAGTGTGCAGCACCTACTCCATGTAACATGTTGGGCATTAGGGACACTAGGGAAGTTAGTATAGCCAAGGTGACCCCTCTAATGATTTATAATACTGCAAACCTGCCCCAAATACTTGTGTTACATGGTTAAATAGCATGTCTTTTAGTTAACAGTAAAGTCAAAATATGGAATCTAGCAAAATTTATTAGAATAGAATCAACCATAAGAAAACTAGTTCCAGAAAACTGAGTTCCAGAAAAGTAACACCACTTATTCAAGATCTCATAGCTAGACAGTGGCAAAGAGAAGTTGATTACCAGTATTTTATTTTATTTTTATTTTATTTTATTTTAATTTTTGAGACAGGGTCTTGCTCTGTCACCCAGGCTGGAGTGTAGTGTCGCAATCTCGGCTCACTGCAACCTCTACCTCCTGGGTTCAAGCGATTCTTGTGCTTCAACCTCCTGAGTAGCTGGGATTACAGACGTGCACCACCACACCCAGCTAATTTTTGTAGTTTTAGTATGAATGGGGTTTCACCATGTTGGCCAGTCTGATCTCGAACTCTTGGCCTCATGTGATCCACCCACCTTGGCCTCCAAAGTGCTGGGATTACAGGCGTGAGCCACCTTTGCCCAGCCTTGATTTCCACTTTTTAAGAGTTCACTCTATTGTAAAATACTCTTTTCCAAAGACCATCCAAAATAAGAATCTTAATTCCCCAAACCTATATATAATAAGTGTATACTGAGATAGATTTTTTTAACCTGTGGGATGATACAATAGAATGTAATAATGATTTATGTTTGTATGAATGTGCATCTCAATAGGAACTACCCAATGAAATTTTATATGGCTTAAAGATATGAAAATTGTTTTCGCTGTGTTTTATGAAGCCTTAATAATGACTCTAATGCATTTGTGGACTGAAAATTTTCCCTTTTCAAATAAAGAGGGAAAAACATATCCTTCTACAGGAAATAGCGACCATAAATCTGTTTTGTGGTAACAGATTTATTATTTCCAATACATTTTTTAAAAGTGCTTTTGGTTGTTGCTGCTGTTGTTTGAAAGTTCTTTGTTCTAGTTATTTAGTACCTTTCAGCCAATAAAAGTTTATAAATTCACATGTCAAGTTTTATAAAACTTTTCATTTCCTTATTAAGGTGTTTTTAATAATTATTTTAATATTTCTAATATTTAAGAACAATTAAACTATGATGATGATATTAAAATCATACTATGACAAAATCCAGACTCTGTAGAGCAAAATGGGGTTTCAGGACAGGCGGAGACAGACTGAGCTGCTGGTCCATTAAGGCTGCCAGGTAATGGTCTGACCACTTATCTGCTGAATTTCCTGCTAGCCAGACATGATCACATCAATTTCCTTCATAGGCAATTCTTACACAGTTATAACTTTGAGGGGGAGCAAAGTCATTTTAGAATCTGAACACCAGGACCAGGAGTTAATTGAGCCCCTCCACCAGGAAGGAACAGTAACTCCTACCCTGTTTGGAAAATTTCATTGTGAAGAATGTAGTGTATGCCACATTGTGAAAGATGTCTCACAAAAAACTCAGAAATTAAACCACATATATTTTATTTCCTTTGTTGTTGTTCGATTGGCATGAAAAAATTTTGCCAAGGAAAGAGGATTTAAGATTTTTATTTTTCCTTTTCTTTTTAAAAAATCCCCAAATGACAAGAATGTCTGCTTTTCGCAAAATATGTACATAAAAGTTTATCTTGATGGCCATACTACTTTTCTCAGTTAGGGGAAACAGCTATACCAACTGTTGTGTCCATTTATTCAGTTTTTCTTTTAACAATTCATTGCTTTTCTTGATCACTTTACTAAATCTCTACAGAAATGACTTTAAATTTGCCTAGATTCGAACTTCATATAAATGGATTCATATGCTCTCTTTTGTGATTTGCTTCCTTCACTCAGCATTATGTTTCCAGGTTCTTCCATGTTGACAAATGCTTTCTATGAGTCATCCTTTTGCACTGTTATGTAGTTTTCTATTGTACGACTAGCAACATTCAATTATCCATTCTGTAGTTAATGTACATATGAGTTGTTTCCAGCATTTTGCTGCTGTGAGTAGAACTTCTCTAACATTCTTGGACTTGACTCCAGATGCACATGTCTAACAGTTTTTCTAAGCTGCATACCTAAGAATAAATTTGCTGAGCCAGAGGGTATTTTTTCCAAAGTAGTTGTACCAATTACCCACCCACAAGCAATGGATAAGAGCTCTATTGCTCCAACCCAGGCAAGACTTGAAATTCTCCAACTTTAAAAAATTGTGGCCAAACAGAAGAGTAAAAAATTGGTATTTCACTGTGGTTCTAATTTGCATGTCTTTGATTTCTAACAAGGTTACATATTTATGTTTTCTGCCCACTTTCCTACTACATTATTCATCTTTCCCTATTAACTTATAGGTTTTCTTTAAATATTTTGGATTCTAATCCTCCACTGGTTATGCTCTTATAAATATCTTTTGCCAGTTTGTGACTTGTATTTTAACTTTTTAAAAAACAGTACACATAATAAATATGTGCTCTTAATTTTAATGTAGTAAAAATTATCTGTATTAGACCATTCTTGCATTGCTATAAAGAATACTTGAAACTGGGTAATTTATAAAGAAGAGAGATTTAATTAGCTCATAGTTCTGCAGGCTTTATGGGAAGCATGGTGCTGACATCTGCTTCTGGTGAGGCCTCAGGAAACTTACAGTCATGGCAGAAAGCAAACGGGGAGGCAGCATGTCACATGGCGAGAGCAGGAGCAAGAGAGTGAGGTTAGGGGAGGTCCTAGACTTTTAAGCAACCAGATCTCACATGATCTAACTGAGTGAGAACTCACCACCAAGGAGATAGTGCTAAACTATTCATGAGGGATGATCTGCCCCCATGATCCTGTTACCTCCCAACAGGCCACACCTCCAACACTAAGAATCATATTTTAGAATAAATATGATGTGATGCTGAGAAGAATTTATATTCTGTTGATTTTGGGTGGAGTGTTCTGTAGATGTCTATTAGGTCCTCTTGGTCCAGAGTTGAGTTCAAGTCCTGAATATCCTTGTTAATTTTCTGTCTCGTTGATCTAATATTGACAGTTGGGTATTAAAGTCTCCCACTATTACTGTGTGGGAGTCTAAATTTCTTTGTAAGTCTCTAGGAATTTGCTTCATGGACCTGGGTGCTCCTGTATTGGGTGCATATATATTTAGGATAGTTAGTTCTTCTTGTTGCATTGATCTATTTACCATTATGTAATGCCCTTCTTTGTCTCTTTTGATCATCTGTTTTATCAGAGACTAGGATTGCAAACCCTGCTTTTTTTGCTTTCCATTTGCTTGGTAGATCTTCCTCCATCCCTTTATTTTGAGCCTATATGTGTCTTTGCACGTGAAATGGGTCTCCTGAATATAGCACACCAATCGGTATTGACTCTTTATCCAATTTGCCAGTCTGTGTCTTTTAATTGGGGCATTTAGCCCATTTACATTTAAGGTTAATATTGTTATGTGTGAATTTGATCCTGTCATTATGATGCTAGCTGGTTATTTTGCCCGTTAGTTGTTGCAGTTTCTTCATAGCATCTATGGTCTTTACAATTTGGTATGTTTTTGCAGTGGCTGGTACTATTTTTTCCTTTCCATATTTAGTGCTTCCTTCAGGAGCTCTTGTAAGGCAGTCCTGGTGGTGACAAAAATCTCTCAGCATGTGCTTGTCTGTAAAGGATTTTATTTCTACTTCACTTATGAAGCTTAGTTTGGCTGGATATGAAATTCTGGGTTGAAAATTCTTTTCTTTAATAATGTTGAATATTGGCCCCCTGTCTCTTCTGGCTTGTAGGGTTTCTGCAGAGAGATCCACTGTTAGTCTGATGGGCTTCTCTTTGTGGGTAACCCGACCTTTCTTTCAGATTGCCCTTAACATTTTTTCCTTCATTTAAATCTTGGTGAATCTGTCAATTATGTGCCTTGGGGTTGCTCTTCTCGAGGAGTATCTTTGTGGTGTTCTCTGTATTTCCTGAATTTGAATGTTGTCCTGTCTTGCTAGTTGGGGAAGTTCTCCTGGATAATATCCTGAAGAATGTTTTCCAACTTGGTTCCATTCTCCCCGTCACTTTCAGGTACACCAATCAAATGTAGGTTTGGTATTTTCACATAGTTGCATATTTCTTGGAGGATTTGTTCATTCTTTTTTCTCTAATCTTGTCTGCAGGCTTTATTTCATTATGCTGATTTTCAATCTCTGATATCCTTTCTTCCGCTTGATTGATTCGACTATTGATACTTGTGTGTGCTTCACAAAGTTCTCATGCTGTGTTTTTCAGCTCCATTGGGTCATTTGTGTTCTTCTTTAAACTGGTTATTTTAGTTAGAAATTCCTCTAACCTTTTATCAAGGTTCTTAGCTTCCTTGCATTGGGTTAGAACATGCTCCTTTAGCTCGGAGGGGTTTTTATTATTCACCTTCTGAAGCCTACTTCTGTCAACTCGTCAAACTCATTCTACTTCCAGTTTTGTTCCCATGCTGGCAAGGAGTTGTGATCCTTTGGAGGAGAAGAGGCATTCTGTTTTTCGGAATTTTCAGCCTTTTTGCACTGGTTTTTCTTCATCTTCCTGGATTTATCTACCATTGGTCTTTGATGTTGGTGACCTTCAGATGGGGTTTTTGTGTGGATGTCCTTTTGGTTGATGTTGATGATATTCCCTTCTGTTTGTTAGTTTTCCTTCTAACAGTCAGGCCCCTTTGCTGCAGGTCGCTGGAGTTTGCTGGAGGTCCACTCCTGACCCTGTTTGCCTGGGTACAACCAGCAAAGGCTACAGAACAGCAAAGATTGCTGCCTGTTCCTTCCTCTGGAAGCTTCGTCCCAGAGGCGCACCTGCCAGATGCCAGCTGGAGCTCTCCTGTATGAGGTGTCTGTCAATCCCTGCTGGGAAGTGTCTCCCAGTCGGGAGGCACAGGGGTTATGGACCCACTTGAGCAGGCAGTTTGTCCCTTAGCAGAGCTCGAGCTCTGTGCTGGGAGATCCAATGGTCTCTTCAGAGCCAGCAGGCAGGAAGTTTAAGTCTGTTGAAGCTGTGCTCACAGCCACCCCTTCCCCCAGGTGCTCTGTCCCAGAGAGATGGGAGTTTTATCTATAAGCCCCTGACTGGGACTGCTGCCTTTCTTTCAGAGATGCCCTGCGCAGAGAGGAGGAATCTAGAGAGGTAGTCTGGCTACAGCAGCTTTTTGGCACTGTGGTAGGCTCCTCCCAGTTTGAACTTCCCAGTGGCTTTGTTTACACTGTGAGGGGAAATCTGCCTACTCCAGCCTCAGTGATGCCAGATGCCCCTCCCCCCACCAAGCTCCAGGGTCCCAGGTCAACTTCAGACGGCCTTGCTGGCAGCGAGAATTTCAAACCAGTGGATCTTAGCTTGCTGGGCTTTGTGGGGGTGGGATCCGCTGAGCTGGACTACTTGGCTCCCTGGTGTCAGCCCCCTTTCCGGGGAAGTGAATGGTTCTGTCTCACTGGCATTCCAGGCGCCACTGGGGTGTGAAAAATACTCCTGCAGCTAGCTTGGTGTCCGCCCAAACAGCCGCCCAGTTTTGTGCTTGAAACCCAGGTCCCTGGTGGTGTAGACATCCGAGGGGATCACCTGGTCTGTGGGTTGTGGAGATGGTGGGAAAAGCATAGTATCTGTGCTGGAATGCACCATTCCTCATGGCACAGTCCCTCAGGGCTTCCCTTGGCTAGGGGAGGGAGTTCCCTGGCCCCTTGCGCTTCCCTAAAGGAAGTAAACCATGCAAACCAAAAGAAAGCCTGATTTTTGAGACATTCAGTTCTTTCAAGGTCTATATAGGAACAAAAGAAAGTGGGAAAAGAAGCCTTTGAAGATTGACTCCTGCCTACATTTCCAGCCTGTTTCTCTTGCTACTCCACTGGAGCTTCCCACATGCCTACTAGTCTGAATTGCTTTCATTTCTCCCAACTGCCATGTTTCATTGCTTCCGCACCTTTGTACAGACTGTTTCTCCTCTGCCTGGAATGCCTTTCTGTCCTCTTCATCCTTCCCATGGCTAACTTGAACTCATTGTTCAGCACTGGGTTAAGCCTGGTCTCCTTCAGGAAGCCATTACTAAAGGAGGTGCCTATTCTCCATGGCTCTGTGACCCCTTTATTAGTCCTTGCTTTACCTATGCTGCAACTGCCTGTGTACTTGTATGTCTCCCCAGCTGTAAATTAGCACCTTCAGGGCAAAGACTGTATCCTTTATCATGGTACTATGCACATCTAATATTTGTTAGATCAATGGTAAAATTTGTGGATTTGTTATACACCTTGGGTATCATTGTAATGATTGCCATCAGTAGAGTTAAGATGAAATATCCTAGAGCTGGGCCGGGTGCGGCTCAGGCCTGTGATCCCAGCACTTTAGCAGGCTGAGGTGGCTGGATCACCTAAGGTCAGGAACTGGAAACCAGCCTGGCCAGCATGGTGAAATTCCATCTCCACTAAAAATACAAAATTAGCTGGGCATGGTGGTGGGTGCCTGTAATCCCAGCTATTCGGGAGGCTGAGGCAGAAGAATCACTTGAACCCTGGAGGCAGAGGTTGCAGTGAGCTATCATGCCACTGTACTCCAGCCTGGGCAACAGAGCAAGACTCTGTCAAAAAAAAAAAAAAAAGAGAAAGAAAGGAAGGAAGGGAAGGGAAGGAGAAGGGAATGGGAAGAGAAGGGGAAGGGAATGGGAAGGAAAAGGGAAGGGGAAGTGAAGGGGAAAGGAAAGGGAAAGGAAGGGGAAGCGAAGGGAAAAGATCCTAGAACCTGGGGCCCTGAGTTCTTGGTGTTCTTGGGAGTTGTCCCTTTGCGGTGCTGGTCTCACTGGAACATCTGAAAATTGTCACTCCGTATAACTTTTGGTGTTTTCTTTCAACTTCTGGTCAAATGATCATAGACTGCCCTACACTGTGCTCAGGAATTTAAGGGTTAAAATAGGAAGAAATTCTTGTATTCAGAGATGACTGTGCTTCTGGAAATCTACCTACCCGTCTGCTACTGACACCTATTTTAGGCATGGTATGTACAATGGAAGGCCCATTCTTTTATTAGGGAAACTTTCATGGGCTATGTACACATATATATTATTGATGATGAACATGAGAATGTCCCTAGTTCAAGTCGTGGGCATTGTAGAATGAACATAATAGCTTTTTTTCTTCTGCTAAATCACATGGTAGAACTTAAAGCTTCATTCCACAGCATTTTTGCCTTATATAAGAGCAACCCTCTCTTCCCCAAAAGATTCAGCCATAATATTCTTTATCTTTGAAGGCTGCTTGTGTAGTTTGCATAGTTTTCTCTGTCTCTTCCTGATTAGAGGTTGGCATCTAAATACTTTCTCTGATCTTATCACTGCTGCAATGTATTCCTCGAACAGAGTGTTGCAATTTAGATTTCTTTTGTCTCATTAACCAAGTGATTTGCTGGAATACTATCAGCAGTGACATCATCACATTTGCTTTGGTAGTTGACATCTTAGGTTATCAATGGAAGCATTGTAAGAAACTGTACAGGGTCAAGATCCATTTTGTTTAGAGAATTTGTACAGTATGTGGGCTGAGAATTCTCAAAGCCCATGCTTCATAGGATGTGAAGGGAATCTCAAATATTATGTTCTTAAGTTCAGCATGGCTATTATACACTGCACTTTATTTCTCCCTGAGGATAGGGGTTGAGAACGAGTTGATACAAAAACAAAGATAAATTACTGATACTTTCTATTTAATGATGTGTTGTAACAGATAAAATTATCTGAGAACTAATTGTTCTCAATCTTGGCAGGCACTAAGTTTCAAATGTACCTATTGATATTACAGGAGTGAAGCAGTCCTGAAAGTGTTGGTAGCTGCTTTTGATGCAGTGGAATGAATTTGTTTCCTGTGCAACTCTGCAAGGGTAAGATGGATATAAAACTTGCAGACAAGACTACCTTCAGAAACTGAATAGGGAATGAAAAATCTATGAAACATCAGAGGTACCTTTTAGTCTCAACCTTTTTGAAAAATCGGTCACAGTGTGCCTTTATCAATTCTTTGTTCAGAAATTTTTCCTGTGGTTCATATTGCTTTTGTAAAATATCAGACACTGGCTCTAATTGTGGGTGGATACAGAGCTATCTAAATGTTTATATATGGAGACCCATACAAGATCCACCTGTTCCAAAATGCCTCCTTCAAGGACCTAAAATTCCCATCCTTTGAGACATTTCTATGGATTAAGACATAGTGTCCAAATGTTCCCACAACAGGTTCTCATGTCAGTAGAAAAGAGAAGCCATCAGGACTAGCCCTGTTCCACTAAACCTATTAATAATCAATACATATCAATATATTGGTTTTGTTGTTATTTTTGTTTGGTTTGGCTTGGTTTTAGTTTTGTGTGTAATTTATTGGAACCACTAGTTGTCATCTTGGAAATCAGGAGAGAGTACATGCAATAAATAAGGTAAGATTTGTTTTTTCCAGTGCTAAGAAACTTGTTCCACTTATTTTTAGGGTAGCACTAACACTAAAAATGCAATTTTGAAGTAGAAAGAAAAGTGTCACCCACAAATAGAATCCCAGATGTGCCCAGGTCCGGAAGCAGGTAAAAACACAGCTTCTGGGAAAGAAACCTAGAAAGTGACTGAAGGCGATTGAAATCGACCCAATAATAGTTTAGGGAAAAGAATCAGAAGAGAGACAGCACAATCTCTACACCGGGTTGTGGGGCTCAGACAAGTTGCTAACATTGGCTTCTTTGTGTTGCTGCTGAAATGGCATCCATGTCCCACAAGTTTTAAGGGGAAGCCATATGAGCTCCTTGGAATGCTGGGTGTTGAGTAACTGTAGGAAGATTAGCCTCATTATGTTTTCTGAGAATGCCTTTTGTTGATTCCACTGCCCCAAGCATTTGGAAGATAAATGTTTAAATTCAGAATTTAGGCTCTCATCAAGCTCTTGGAACATCCACGAAAATTACAACTATCATTACTATACTATACTATTTTCTCCTATCTCTCTTTACTTTTACTCAAAAACATCGATCAAATTTTCAAGTCATAGACAGAACTGGGCTGTACACAGTGACTCTGAATTCAAATGCTGAGTTCCTTTTATAAACCTGTTACCTTGGTTGCTGGCTAGAATTCTTTGAAGCATTAACGTGGATTTACACTGTCGCATAGGCTTCCAAGGAAGGAACTGTGTGAAAGCAGAAATGGGGTGTTTCCATAGAGAGCCCATTATCTTGCTAGATATAGCCCTAATCTGTTGACCATGGCATAGCTCATGTTTCATTTGAAAGGATTGCTTTTTCCTGAGAAGGGAGGGACAGTCCTTTTTCCTGGGCACAAGTCATAAATCTTGTTTTTTTCCTGTTCCACTTTGCAATTTTCTTGGAAAATTGGTATTTTATAGTAATCTCAGTTAAATACACATAAGGAGAAAGACAGCACATCTAACTCTATGATTCTGAAAAGATAAGATGATCTATTTAACTCATTATTTTGTTTCTTTCAAATAAACGTAGTCACAACTTTGTCTTAGCTCTTTGGGGGAAAACCACTAAATAAATCCAATAAAGTTTGAATTTGCTTATCATGTCCATTTTATCCTTTATAAAAGAGCTTTCAGTGTTTCTGACTTCCTGTCTGTTCTGCACTTACAAATCAACTCCCTTATACCCGACCCTGCAAGTCCCCAAAACTATAGTAAATTTATTCTAGGAGGAAAAGCCAGAAACTCAAATAAGATATTTGTAGCTGAAAACATACATGTCAAACTGAGTATCTCCAAAGGGGGAAATTACAACTCATATATGGAAATTTCTCAAGTCTCATAGACATATATGTAATTTAAAATAGCAACCAATTTCAGTAATCTGGTCCTAATTCTGCCTTTCTGTGTATCCATGAATATATTTGTCTGGTTTAACTGGGTATGGGGAAGAAAATAGGCGCAAAAGATCAGGACCTCACCTAACTTCCCAAATGCTAATCTACATGTTTTTCTTTAAGCTTATATTGTATAAAGTGCTGATTTTAAAAGTTATGATTGAAAATGCAAGGCACTGTGTGATCCTCCTCTGGCCTGGGGTGTTTGAATGTATGCATATATAAGAGAAAAAAATCATCACAGACCACATGTAAAGATATAGTTGCCTATGGGTATGTCAAGTATGAAAAACTGCTGTCATTTATAACCCCTGGCAGACCACAGGTTATGCCTTGGGTTTGTTACCTTGGTGTACACTGTCATTTTGTAGTCATCCATGTGTTATAGAATGAAGACTTTTCTTGACAAAATGTGGCCAAACAACATATCAGTCATGACTTCCAGAGGTAGAAAGTGAAGCATGCAGTATTCTGGCATGATGAGACAGGTTAAATAACTTCTGCAGAGTAATGATGGCAAAAACATAGATTACACACCACAGCATTTATTCTCTTTCTTTCTACTATTATATCTGAAGTAACATTTTCACTCTTTATAACTCTAAACTCACAATGTTTACATTTATAGAGAGATGCATGAAATGAAAAATTTAGAGCTTGCTGTATTAGTAGAATTGATAATATGGCTTTGAAGGAAAGATAATTTATAACTTGACCCTGAGAACAGCATGGAAATCAGTCAAAGCAAGTTAACTTAATATGATCCACAAGTCATGGCATATCCAATCCTTTCTTAAATGATTTTCATTCCCAGTTTATAAAACCCTGCGGCGGAACTTGTTGCATAAATTTACATTGTTATGCCTCTTTTAGTTTTATTGAGACTACCCTGCCCCCTCCCCCATTCAGGCACCAAGGAAAACTCATTGAATCTCAAATCCCAGGGTAGAATGAATAGTCTGTTTTCAATCTGTTTTTATTCTTTATTATTTCAGATACTTCAATAATCTCACCTTGAGGTTCATATTTTTGTTCTGCACAGTACTCCTGAAGACGCTCTACTCTTTCAGCTCCTCTCTTGCTCTGCATCAGCTCAGAGCACTGCACCAATGACAGTTTCATTGGCCAAATCAGCTCAATGGTTGCAACACACGAAATATGTATAACTTAGATTTCTTCAAAGATTTTATAGAAGAGGCTGCTGACAGTGGAATAAGGAAATGGAAGGTAAAACATGAGATGGAGAGAGGAAGGAGGGACTTGGAAATCTAGGTGGGAGAAGAGCAAGAACACAGATATGGAGAGAGTGTGGCTAGCAAG
This sequence comes from Homo sapiens, assembly GCF_000001405.40. NCBI lineage: Eukaryota > Metazoa > Chordata > Mammalia > Primates > Hominidae > Homo > Homo sapiens. The sequence goes on from NC_000002.12 coordinate 181,756,287, forward strand.
ATGGGGTGTGCAGTAGAGAAGAAAGAGCCAGGAAGTCAAAAATAAGGAAAATGGGGAGATGCAGGACCGCGTGGTGTTCTTAAAGGTTGTGAATGATAGAAGAGAGAAAACACTGACATTTTTAGTCATTCTTCTCTTGAGGGCAGAACGTGCTTCAGAGTGTTAACTGCTGCTCCATCTTAGCTGAGTTCAGATGTATTTGTCTCTAGAATGTGTCGAGGAACTTTCTGGATGAAGAAAACGACAGCCAACTACCCATCACAGCAGTCTGTTGCTCTGATCTGCCACTGGGGTTTTCATAAGGAAAGGTGAGGATATGTGTATGTGTGTATCCATATTTTCTCAACTATTTGAGGGCCATACAATGGAATGTGAGCATTCGGGATCTCCAACGAAACATCCTCCAGTGATATATTTGGTACAGTGGCTTTGGATTACCACAGCTAATATTTACTGAGCCCATGAGCCAGTTGCTATGCTTCTCTCTTCACAGAGATTAGTTCATTTAATCCACAGACCCTAAGTAAGACTTAGAATTTCACAGAGCTTCATTCTACACATCAGGAAACTGAGGCGTACAGAGGCAAAATAACATCTCTGAGCTAGTAAGTGTTGGAATTAGATTTTTGTATCTTAAAATGTAAACTCAATAAAGAGTATATATTTGATTTCAGTCTAGGCTCTACAAAAGCATTAAGAGTGAAGATACAGCTAACAAATGCTTGACAATTTTGTATTTAAATTGGTAATCTGTTATTTTTAAGATGTTTGAATTCTTTTTAATTACTCAGCGATCTTGCCCCTATTAACATATTAACATGTTAATAAAGCCAGTGGATTTCCTAACCCTTCCTGAGCAGAGTACAAGCTCTCTTTTAGAAGTCATTAGAGAATTTAAAAAAGCAGAATGTCATCTCTAGCACAGGCCTCTGTATAAAAGGGCCAATTGAGCTCCATACTAATAGGCCTAGTTTATTGAATCCCTCCTTTTTATAATATGCCTAATGTAATAATCTAAGGACAATTGAAAATTCAACTTCATTCTTCATTATAGGACTGTCCCTTTTCTCACTCTGCCTTATGAAACCTCTCTGGGCATAGTACTCCCATTGAATTCAAGGGAGGCTTAATGCTTGGATAATTCCAAAGGGTGCAGAGGATAGTTTAGATTTTCTTGGAAATGTCTGCCATATTCTCTCACACTCGAAACTGTGCATAGCACTTGTGCACTAAAAGAGTCCTGTGAGTCGGCCAAGCGTGGTGGCTCACACCTGTAATCCCAGCACTTTGGGAGGCCAAGGCGGGCAGATCACAAGGTCAGGAGATGGAGACCATTCTGGCTAACATGGTGAAACCTGTCTCTACTAAAAACACAAAAAATTAGCCGGGCGTGGTGGTGAGTGCCTGTAGTCCCAGCTACTTGGGAGGCTGAGCCAGGAGAATGGTGTGAACCCGGGAGGCGGAGCTTGCAGTGAGCAGAGATTGCACCACTGCATTCCAGCCTGGGCAACAGAGTGAGACTCCATCTGAAAAAAAAAAGAGTCCTGCGAGTGTTAAGTCCGTGATGGTAATAGTGCTCCCTTAAATTCAATGTGAGTTCTTCAATGAGATGGGATGATATTAACTTGCATTTTGACTGTTTTGATTGCCTGGCCCCTGCAGGAACTGGTCATTAAATTACTCAATACCCTTTTTTTAATTTTAAATTTTTAATTTTCATTTTTTAGAGACAGAGTCTAGTTCTGCTGCCTAGGCTTGAGTGCAATGGTGTGATCACAACTCATGGCATCCTCAAACTTCTGGCCTCAAGTGATCCTCCCACCTCAGCCTCTTAAAGTGCTTGGATTACAGGTGTGAGCTGCTACACCTGGCCAAATTAATCATTATCTTATTAAGCTTTATTTTTGCTGTTTATGAAGAATTTTATACCTGCCATGTGCTAAGTGCTTTTGATAGATCAACTTTCTTTAGTCCCTACACTAGTGCCTTAAGCTAAGAAACATTATTATACATAAGGAAGAACTGAGACTTACATGTCACAGCATAAGGTAGGGCTCAGATTTGAACCATCAGTCTGACACCAGAGTCCATATTCTCACCCACTATGTGATGTGACCTTTCCATTTCAGGACCTCATTGTAGCCACCTCATTAGCTCTTTCAGGCCAATAGATCACTGGCATCTAGCCAAGATCTAAGGGAACCTGTACCATGCAGTGGATAGAAGAACCACATATTTAGGTGTGGGAGGTAATATACAAAGTGTATGTCAGTCTGTCTTGGTACAGGGATGTCACCTTTCCTAGCATACGTCATCACAAAATCAGAATCATATTGGTTAAAAGTGTTATAAATTGAACCCAAGGGATCAGCTAGTCCCCATTTTCTCTCTAGAGCAGAACAGCTGACACACAAAACAGGTTGGGTGAATTATTCCTTAGGTCTAAAAGCAGTATGATTTAATGGCAACAACACTGAACTGAGCAACGAGAGGATCAAGGTGTTAATTCCCATAAAACAGATTTATCAGGACCCAGTTCTGTTCATCTGTAATTGTAGTACCAAGGGATGTGTCCATTTATTTAGTCAACATTGACATATTATTAAATGCTTACCATAAACCAAACCCTAAGCTAGAGGTTGGGATATCAAGACTGCAAGGGATAGTCACTCCCACGTAGAAGCTTATAGTTTGGAGGAGGGGATAAGACAAGTAAGTAATTGTAATTCTGAGTGGTGAGTGCAAAGATGGAAATATACAGACTGTTCTGTGACAACACCTAGTGAAGGGACTTGGCCTAGTTGTGGGCAGAGGTGTTTAGGGCAAAGCTTCTTGCAGAAGGTGAGTGAGAATGGACAAATCCTGGAGGAGGAAAACAAGTCCTCCAGATCAAGAGGTTGTAAGGAGTGGGTGGAAAGGAAAAAGAAAGGGCACTTCAGGAGGAGGGAACAATGTACAGAGCCTAGGGGTGAGTAGTATATCTGCAGAACTTCAAGGAGCTCAGAATGACTGGAACTCGGTGGATGTGTGAATTGTGAGCGTGCCCCTTGCATGCATGTGGGCTGGTGGGCAAGGGAGGGTGGATTGATCAGAAGAAATGGGGAAGATGAAGCTGCAGAGCTAATCAGGAACCAGTGGGTGAAAAGCCTTAAATACTATGAATATCCTGACCCAACTACAATGGGAAACTTCTAAAGTTCTAAATTCCGAGTTTTAAGGAAGGGGGTGGCATAATTAAATCAGTATTATTTTATTTTTCTTCAAGTTTTAAGTTCTGGAGTACACGTGCAGGATATGCAGGTTTGTTACATAGATAGATGTGTGCCATGGTGGTTTACTGCACAGATTCACCTAGGTATTAAGCCCAGGATGCATTAGCTATTCTTCCTGATGCTCTCCTTGACTCCACCCCCAACAGGTGCCAGTGTGTGTTGCTCCCTTTCCTCTGTCCCTATGTTCTCATTGTTCAGTTCCCACTTATAAGTGGGAACATGTGGTGTTTGGTTTTCTGTTCCTGCGTTAGTTTACTGAGGATAACGGCTTCTAGCTCCACCCATTTCCCTGCAAAGGACATGATCTCATTCCTTTTTATGGCTGCATAGTATTCCATGGTGTATATGTACCACATTTTCTTTATCCAGTCTATCATTGATGGGCGTTTGGGTTGAATTCATGTTTGTTATTGTGAATAGTGCTCCAATGAATATACATGTGCATGTGTCTTTATAATAGAATGTACATCAGTATTTTTAAAGGGCATTGTGGAGATAGTGTGGAGAATAATTTGTGGATGCAAACCTGGAGACAAGTAGGTTGGGTAGGAGGCTGGGGGTTCTTTTCTAAGCCAGTAGTTTTTTAATTTGAGCGAGCAACAAAATCACCTAAAGAGCTTGTGAAAACAGATTGCAGGGCTCCAGCCCCAGTTTTTGGGTCAGTAGGTCTTGAGTGTGGCCTAAGAGCATGCATTTCTATCAAGTTGCTAAGTGATACTGATGCTGAGTGTCCAGGGACTACACTTGGAGAACGACTGTTTGAAGCAATGTTGATTGCTAATTGTGAAGTTCTAGGATTCTTCCTTAGGGACATTCAGGCCTTGATTAAAAAGCAGTTTTACTTTCATGAATCTATATTCTTGTAAAACACACTCATTCCACCCAAAAGCCTTTTTTATAAGATGAACATGGGCCTACTGATAAATGGAATTAATTATTGTTGTCCTAGATCATTCTTATTTGTTTCAGTTTTGTTTCTTCTGTTTTCCAAAACTGAATTTTATTTGACATGTCAGAGAAAAATTTCTTGGTACATCCAGTCATTTGCAGCAGGATTAAAAGACTGAAATGCCACTGCAGTTGACGAAAAACCCTTTGTCAGACTGAAATACAATAGACCAATTGAAGGCTGTAATACTTGGGCTCAGATTTTAGAAATGAAACCTTGTCAAGGGTGGAGTCTTATCTACTTTAAGTGGATTAAAAAATCCACTCCTCCTATTTTGATGCTGGAAAAAGAAAAAGAGGTTATAACTGCAAACTGCATACAAACCCGGTAATCACACATTCTTTTTCTTATCAAGTCTCAAAGAAGGAACATTATATCAAAGAGAAACAATCCCTCTTCAGAAAAAAGGAACTCAGTTACTTTAGAACAAAGCCTGCATGTCCCTAAGTCTCAGTATAATTGAAACAAAAAAGTTCTGTGTTAGGTTTTTTCATCTAAAGACAGTAAAAGTATAAAACTGTCAGGCTGCTCTTTCTTGATGGCAGACTATTCAGACTGCTAAATTATCTTAACAGCACAGTCTATTAGTGCTGAAATATATCCATCTTATAAAAAATATGAGATCAAAATGAACAGTTAACATGTCATAATTTACTAAGACCATTTCCTAGGAGTTTTCTTCCTGTGATTCTACATGGATTCTCTTTCCTTCATCCATGAGGCGTGACTTCAGCAATACTCTGAATTCTTGGTATCAGGTGTCTTTTTCAGAAAGATTCACCTCATTATGTTTGGCCAGAGTGTCCGGGTTACAATCAGTTGCAATATATTGATGTCAAAACTCCCTTGAAAATGTGAGCATGCCTCCATGTTAATAAAAAAAAGTCAACCATCTACATTTTTTTTTAAGAGACAAGGTCTCACTCTGTTGACCAGGCTGGAGTGCAGTGGCATGATCATAGATCATGGCAGTCTCAAAGTCTTGGGTTCAAGCAATCCTCCTGCCCTCACCCTCCCTAGTAACTGGGACTACAGGCACACAATGCTGCTATTTATTTATTTAGTAGAGACAGGGGTCTTGCTTTGTTGCCCAAGATGGTCATGTACTCCTGGCTTCAATCCTCCTGCCTCAGCCACTCAAAATGCTGGGATTACAGGCATAAGCCACCATACCTGGCTACATCTTAACAGAAGGTTAAGTACAGTCAGAATAACCAATGAAAGGGGCTAATGGAGCTGATTATACCAATTCGGGCAGTCTCTGCTAATAACTCAGTTTGCAAACTCACAATCGGTTTCACTAGAAAGGATTACAGCATCCCAAGCAGTGGGTCTTAATTATAATTACAGGTGTGGCATAGACTGCAGGAGCAGATGAACTCATTAGAAACAAAGATTCGCTCTGCTAGATCATCTATCTTTACTAAAGAACAAAGAGCAGTAGCATGAATAAGTGAGTTACCATGTAAACAAATTAAGCAATCAGTAACATACAAACAGAATGCATGTTCCTCAGCCAATTTACACGCTTCTCTGTTACAAAGAAACTCTCTCTACCACCTCTGTCCTTTCTCTGGTGGAGGTGGGTTTTTCTTCTCTGCACTCTCCAACCTCCAGTTGGTGGGCAGGGGCTGACGGGGTAACAGTAATGAAATCTTATTCCTTTCATCTTTCACCATCTCCCTTCATCTCCAGTCCTATTGTGCAACTATCACAAGAGGACAGCATAGGCAATGACCTTGAATGAGAATGTTAAGGCTTCAGTTTTCTCTCAGCTAGAAGGAGGACAGAAACCACACTTTTTTTTAGGGCTTGGATACTACAGTGATAGGCACTGATTTAATTTTTCTCTAAAAAGTTCTCTTTTAGTCGAACAGCGAATTAGGTCGGATTTGAGGCTAATTGGAGCAACATGGTTTACTTCTTGACTTCCAGCATTTTATAAAAGCAGTTTACAGGGCTAGAAGCCAATTCCCCACTGGCAAAGTGAATCAAAAGAATACTGCAATTATGCAAATGATCAAGAAATAAAGAAAAAAATGCTACAACAAAAGATCCTATTTGCCTACACTTAGGTGGGGCAATTGTACCCCCTTTCTCTATTTTTGTTTGTCTGTGTTCTCCAAGATGGATCTACTCCAAGTGGGCTGAATGATGAAGGATATAATATTGAGGGCCTCACAGGGGTTTGAGTTCCAGTGGGGCCCTTCAGATGATGATCATGAAATGGATTATAAGCCCTTCCAGGCAAGCAAGACTTTTAACTTGGTACTGTACTGTTTTATAACATCTTCTCGCCTTGGATGTGAAGTGTATTGAGGCCAGCAAAAAGGCATTACAAAGATGCAAAAAGAAAAATAAGATCGAAAACTGACAAAAGAAATCCTTAAGAAAGGTATCCATTGAGCCATGGTCTCAAGGAATCTCGGAAGCTTTCATGATCAGGTAAATTAATTCTCCCCACTTACTCAACCCTTACGCTTATCAGCATCTTATTCTAATCTAGAGATCATTGAAAATGAGGGGGTGGGGCTTAACCTCTCAAGTGGTTGTCCTCCTCATTCCACACTGGCAAGAGTGCACATATCTGGGAAAATAACATGCGTCTCACCTACGTAAGCCTGTTAGTGTTTGAAGTCAATAAAGCACTTGAAAAGAAATAGCATTTGAAATAATCTTCACTGTGGTCTTTAATGCTGATGGTTAAATTAAGGGCAACCCTTACCTTCTTTTACTTTGCTTTCATAATACTTTCCACTGGGCAATATTACTATAACTATAGGGGCCAAAGTAAAACTTCCCTTTGCTTTTCGAAGGTTCTCTGAAAATCAACTGACAGTAGGCAGATTAACAAGAGAAAAGTCATACAAATTTATTAATGTGTACAGGAGAGAATCCCAGAGGGAAAATCAACCACGCAGTGGGATACAGATGGTTATACACCCTTCTTTATAGGGAAAGGGGAGATAAGGAATTGTGGATGATATTAGGGGAGTAGTAAGTGATTTTTAGGGGAATTCAATGGGCTTAAAGAACATTGTATGCAATGGCCTGGGACAAAGTCGACTGGGCCTGCAGAGAAGACAATAGCTTGTGACAAAAGTCCATCCAGGTGTTGTTGACAGACTTCAGTCTTTCTTCCTGTGATATTTCAGTTCCTGAAAACTGAAGGAAGCGACCAGAGGTAATTGCTTTCTCTTTTGGTGTGTTCCGACTTTAGGCAGATAAGAGAACTTTAGGGAATAACTTCATCCTGTGCTTTGGAAGAGACAGAAGATTGAGAGAGAGGTGGGGGTAGGTCAGAAAGACCTTGAAACTTCTTCAGTTCACCATGTTAAAGCACCATTTTATTGTGCAGTAGCCCAATGTTGGCTCACCCCAACCTCTAACCCCCTGGGTTCAAGAGATTCTCCTGCCTCAGCGTCCGGAGTAGCTGGGATTACAGGCGCCCATCACCACACCCGGCTAATTTTTGTATTTTTAGTAGAGACAGGGTTTCACCCTGTTGGCCAGGCTGGTCTCAAACTCCTGACCTCAAGTGATCCTCCCACCTTGGCCTCCCAAAGTGCTGGGATTACAGGCGTGAGCCACTGTGCCCAGCTAATTACTCTTAATTCTATTCCAATTAATGTGTGCTAGGTTAAAATTCCACCCAGATCTTGACTTCTAGAATATTTTGATGAACCATTTGCTGCCACATCTGCATGCCAGACTTCTTATCTGATTTCCTACACTGCATGAAAACACCGTCAGCCAGGGGACGTGCCTTATCTGTCTGTTGCAGAGAAGGCTCCATCTGTCCTTTGCAGAAGAAACTGAAGGCCTTGTCTGTAACAGCTCTTGGCTGTAGCATCTTGGCTCCCCAAAAGAAGAGCATCTTCCCTCTTCTCTACTAGCCCCAGAACGAGTGTGCCTGCAAGCAATTCCACAGTGACCCCTTTTCACAACAATTTGGAGCCAAATAAATAATTAAGAAAGATAAAGGATTCAGAGAGGCCTGTCTCAGTCCTCTCCTCCCACATGGGGGCTGGGAACACCACCCCAGGACCTGTGTCTCATGTGACAAGAGCATCAGACCTGGCTTTGTGCAGGTTTTCAGGCAGAGCCCAGCAGCCTTAGTATCTATGCTTTGTGGACTGGAGCAAACTGTAACCAGAAAGCCGGTCAGCTAGTCCTGGGAAACAATAGAAGTCACTATTGAAAGGAGCTTGCTTGTCAAAGACTAATCTTTAATAACTTTCAAAGGGCTTGGCCCTCTCATTAGTCTTTGTTCCACCTGCTGGAGGGGATAATGCTGCCATTCTTTTGTTACAATGTCCAGGCCTTGCTTTTGACTAGCCACACTTGATAAACACTGAACTTTCTCCTCTGTCATTGAGGGCCCCAGTTGCCAAACCAATGTCTACAAACTAATAAAGGGCATGCAATTTTGTGTATTGAAAACATGGAAATAAGACTACCATATATCTATTTCTATGCATATTTTCAGGGGTGTCTCCCCAACCAGATTCCTAAGAAAGAGCTGCCCATCACCAAGAGCTTTATGCTCGTCATAGGCTGGGTGTGGTGGCTCATGCCTGTAATCCTAGCACTTTGGAAGGCCAAAGCAGGTGGATTGCTTGAGCTCAGGAGTTCAAGACCAGCCTGGGCCATATGGTGAAACCTTGTCTCTACTAAAATACAAAAAAATTAGCTGGGCACGGCGGCATGTGCCTGTAATCCCAGCTACTTGGGAGGCTGAGGCAAGAGAATCACCTGAACCCGGGAGGCAGAGGTTTCAGTGAGCTGAGATCATGCCATTGCACTCCAGCATGGGTGACAGAGTGAGACTCCATCTCAAAAAAAAAAAAAAAAAGAAAAAAGAAAAGAGCTTTATGCTCATCATAAAGCTCTTAATTACTTTAACAAATGCATTCCCCAATCCCTTTTATCAGTAGTCACCCTCCAGTTGGAAACTCCTTATCCAAAGCCAAATTTCTCATATGAAGGAAGTTGTTTTTATTTAAGACTTTAATTCACATACAACAATAAAAATAGTTGAGGAAAGATGCAGGAGTCTTATTTTGTCATTTCTTAATAGGTTCCTTTATAGTTCCTCCTGCCAGCCTTACTCCACTTTAGCTTACAGGTGTATACTTCTAAACAACAGATCCATTCTCTCTTATCTGCAATAACTAACAGGACACCACAAACATAAAATGAAATTACCTTCATTACTGATTTTATTACTGCTCATGATTAATGGGCAAAGTGTTTAATTCTCTCATTTCTCACAACAACGACTCTTAGGTTAGGTGCTATTATTATTATCTCACTTTAGAGATGAGGAAACAGAAGAAAGAAGAACCATGGAGGGGTAGATGGAGGGGTGTGGGGAAGGTGTTAAGAGTTGAATGCAGCCAGATCTGTGAATTTAAGTGTAATGATGATGAAAAATTTTCCCCTTCCAAAGAGTAACATAGGGTGAGAACTTGGTAAGCTTTTCCCTCAAACTCAACTTTTTCTTTTTTCTGCCCCTAGCCCCCCACCAACCACCCAAAAAAGAGCTTGGATTTACCAGGAAATGACATTTAAACCAGCATTAATTTTACTCTTCTCGTCATAGCTAATGCCATCAGGCTTTGTGTGAATACTTTGCACCCCTTTTGGTTTGACACAAAGAGTGCTATAATTTTATGCTTTATACATTTATGTTGTCTAACAGACTAGATCTGCTACCTAACAGAGCAATCTGCATGTGACATTAAACTTCCAGAGGAAGCCACTATCCTACTCTTGGAGAATGAGTCACAGCTTAATGGGAGAGGTAGGGATGGAGGTGCTTTTATGTGTCTTCAGTATTCAACTTACTCTTCTCTTTGAGGTATTCAAGGAAGCCAGGCCCACTCTGGAGAAGGAAAGGGTAACAGCCTCTTAGAAATGGGCCACAGGCTTTATGCCTGTAAAAGATACATCATGACACCTTTTCAATTGGTTACCTAACTGATCTCTCAGCAGTATAGCAGAGGGAGAGGATGTAAACATCTCTAGTTAGAGGATGAGATAGTTAAGGACTAATAAAGTAAAATAACTTTATGAGAAGGGTATAAATTTGAGTGCCATTATCAGAATGCTGTAGTGTTTTTTTTTTAAATTTTTTATTATACTTGAAGTTTTAGGGTACATGTGCACAACGTGCAGGTTTTTACATATGTATACATGTGCCATGTTGGTGTGCGGCACCCATTAACTCATCATTTAACATTAGGTATATCTCCTAATGCTATCCCTCCCCCTCCCCAACCCCACAACAGGCCTCAGTATGTGATGTTCCCCTTCCTGTGTCCATGTGTTCTCATTGTTCAATTCCCACCTATGAGTGAGAACATGCGGTGTTTGGTTTTTTGTCCTTGCGATAGTTTGCTGAGAATGATAGTTTCCAGCTTCATCCATGTCCCCACAAAGGACATGAACTCATCATTTTTTATGGCTGCATAGTATTCCATGGTGTATATGTGCCACATTTTCTTAATCCAGTCTATCATTGATGGACTTTTGGGTTGGTTCCAAGTCTTTGCTATTGTGAATAGTGCCGCCATAAACATACATGTGCACGTGCCTTTATAGCAGCATGATTTATAATCCTTTGGGTATATACCCAGTAATGGGATGGCTGGGTCAAATGGTATTTCTAATTCTAGGTCCCTGAGGAATCACCACACTCTCTTCCACAGTGGTTGAACTAGTTTACAGTCCCACCAACAGTGTAAAAGTGTTCCTGTTTCTCCACATCCTCTCCAGCACCTGTTGTTTCCTGACTTTTTAATGATCGCCATTCTAACTGGTGTGAGATGGTATCTCATTGTGGTTTTGATTTGCATTTCTCTGATGGCCAGTGATGATGAGCATTTTTTCATGTGTCTTTTGGCTGCGTAAATGTCTTCTTTTGAGAAATGTCTGTTCATATCCTTCACCCATTTGTTGATGGGGTTGTTTGTTTTTTTCTTGTAAATTTGTTTGAGTTAATTGTAGATTCTGGATATTAGCCCTTTGTCAGATGAGTAGATTGCAAAAATGTTCTCCCATTCTGTAGGTTGCCTGTTCACTCTGATGGTAGTTTCTGTTGCTGTGCAGAAACTCTTTAGTTTAATTAGATCCCATTTATCAGTTTTGGCTTTTGTTGCCATTGCTTTTGGTGTTTTAGACATGAAGTCCTTGCCCAAGCCTATGTCCTGAATGGTATTGCCTAGATTTTCTTCTAGGGTTTTTATGGTTTTAGGTCTAACATTTAAGTCTTTAATCCATCTTGAATTAGTTTTTGTATAAGGTGTAAGGAGGGGATCCAGTTTCAGCTTTCTACATATGGCTAGCCAGTTTTCCCAGCACCATTTATTAAATAGGGAATCCTTTTCCCATTTCTTGTTTTTGTCAGATTTGTCAAAGATCAGATAGTTGTAGATATGTGGCATTATTTTTGAGGGCTCTGTTCTCTTCCATTGGTCTATATCTCTGTTTTGGTACCAGTACCATGCTGTTTTGGTTACTGTAGCCTTGTAGTATAGTTTGAAGTCAGGTAGTGTGATGCCTCCAGCTTTGTTCTTTTTGCTTAGGATTGACTTGGCAATGCAGTCTCTTTTTTGGTTCCATATGAACTTTAAAGTAGTTTTTTCCAATTCTGTGAAGAAAGGCATTGGTAGCTTGATGGGGATGGCATTGAATCTATAAATTACCTTGGGCAGTATCGCCATTTTCACAATATTGATTCTTCCTACCCATGAGCATGGAATGTTCTTCCATTTGTTTGTATCCTCTTTTGTTTCGTTGAGTAGTGGTTTGTAGTTCTCCTTGAAGAGGTCCTTCACATCCCTTGTAAGTTGGATTCCTAGGTATTTTATTCTCTTTGAAGCAATTGTGAATGGGAGTTCACTCGTGATTTGGCTCTCTGTTTGTCTGTTATTGGTGTATAAGAATGCTGTGATTTTTGCACATTGATTTTGTATCCTGAGACTTTGCTGAAGTTGCTTATCAGCTTAAGGAGATTTTGGGCTGAGATGATGGGGTTTTCTAGATATACAATCGTGTCATCTGCAAACAGGGACAATTTGACTTCCTCTTTTCCTAATTGAATACCTGCCTGATTGCCCTGGCCAGAACTTCCAACACTATGTTGAATAGGAGTGGTGAGAGAGGGCATGCCTGTCTTGTGCCAGTTTTCAAAGGGAATGCTTCCAGTTTTTGCCCATTCAGTATGATATTGGCTGTGGGTTTGTCATAAATAGCTCTTATTATTTTGAGATACGTCCCATCAATACCTAATTTATTGAGAGTTTTTAGCATGAATGGCTGTTGGATTTTGTCAAAGGCCTTTTCTGCATCTGTTGAGATAATTATGTGGTTTTTGTCATTGGTTCTGTTTATATGCTGGCTTTTGTTTATTGATTTGCATATGTTGAACCAGCCTTGCATCCCAGGGATGAAGCCCACTTGATCATGGTGGATAAGCTTTTTTATGTGCTGCTGGATTTGTTTTGCCAGTATTTTGTTGAGGATTTTTGCATCAATGTTCATCAGGGATATTGGTCTAAAATTCTCTTTTTTTGTTGTGTCTCTGCCAGGCTTTGGTATCAGGTTGATGCTGGCCTCATAAAATGAGTTAGGGAGGATTCCCTCTTTTTCTATTGATTGGAATAGTTTCAGAAGGAATGGTACCAGCTCCTCCTTATACGTCTGGTAGAATTTGGCTCTGAATCCATCTGGTCCTGGACTTTTTTTGGTTGGTAAGCTATTAATTATTGCCTCAACTTCAGAGCCCATTATTGGTCTATTCAGAGTTTCAACTTCTTCCTAGTTCAGTCTTGGGAGGGTGTATGTGTTGAGGAATTTATCCATTTCTTGTAGATTTTCTAGTTTATTTGTGCAGAGGTGTTTCTAGTATTCACTGATGGTAGTTTGTATTTCTGCGGGATCGGTGGTGATATCCCCTTTATCATTTTTTATTGTGCCTGTTTGATTCTTCTCTCTTTTCTTCTTTATTAGTCTTGCTAGTGGTCTATCAATTTTGTTGATATTTTCAAAAAACCAGCTCCTGGATTCATTGATTTTTTGAAGGGTTTTTTTGTGTCTCTATTTCCTTCAGTTCTGCTCTGATCTTAGTTATTCTTGCCTTCTGATAGCTTTTGAATGTGTTTGCTCTTGCTTCTCTAATTCTTTTAATTGTGATGTTAGGGTGTCAATGTTAGATCTTTCCTGCCTTCTCTTGTGGGCATTTAGTACTATAAATTTCCCTCTACACACTGCTTTAAATGTGTCCCAGAGATTCTGGTATGTTGTGTCTTTGTTCTTGTTGCTTTCAAAGAACATCTTTATTTCTGCCTTCATTTCGTTATGTACTCAGTAGTCAGAATGCTGTAGTCTAAAGCATCCCTTCTACCAATGCTTTCTAGGCAGCAACATAAAAATATCTTTCTATGTTTCTGAAACTGTTAGGTTGTCTTTCAAATATAGTGAAGTTTTTGTGCTCAAAATCTAAACTCAGTTTTAAATGAACACTTACAAGATTGTTGCAGACATTCTCCAGGCATCCACAGGCTTGCTTGTATTAAAAATTGCTTTATACAAATAAATAATTGGAGTATTGAGGAGAGCTATTGATGGTCTTGGTTTTTTACTCTCACAGCTAGCTCCTTTTAATTTTCATTGTGGAATAATGCAGTATTTCTCAAATAAATAAGACCTCCTTCAGTGTTGTGAGTATCTATGCTGGTCTTTAATAACTGGCATAGGTGGTTGATGGCAAGAGGCCTTTAGGCACATACCTAACAAGGCCTTTAGGCTTTCATTGTTACCTAATCCCACAAGATCTGTCATGTTTTATTGGCTTCTCTGGTTAGTCATTGTATGGTTTGGCACTATAGTAAAATTTCACATTTTTGGAAACAATAGTGTGAACAAAGATCAGAGTTTTTTTTTTTCTGTTATGTGTTATTCAATTTGCTCTGATGCTTTTTTAAAAAAAAACTTATTCAGCCAATTATATACTCTCTCCTATAGTAGCCCAATCTTTTGATCAGGGGTATTAGATTCATGACTTGTATTTGAGGACTTTGTGGATAGGGAAAGGTGTGATTGCACTCGTGGAGAAATAAAGATTGAGCTAGTAGCTTGGAAGAGAAGAAACGGGTATTTATTATAGTGGAGGCAGATAATTCATTAGAATAATGGCAAGTCTATAACATGCTGTAGCTAGCTGTGCCTGTGTGTTTGTGTGTGTATGTGTCTGTGTGTATTGTGTTACATACCCTATTAATTCTTTAGTATGTAGTCTGTAGGCACTGGTACAGTGGTACTGGCAAAGCATTTAGAATACTATAGGCCCTTAGTAAACGTTAGGAAACCCAACTTAGAATTTTTTTAAATGTAAAGTTTTCTTTTCTAGGTAGGCAGTCAAAGGCTTTTTTCCCCTCCATTCTTAAGAAAGGATTACTAAAAAGAAAACTTCTCAGAATATCGGTCCTTTGTTTTCTAGTTCTCTCTAACTTTAGGTAAGAACATTTGAAGTTCAATTTTGAAATTTAAAAATGTTTTAATTTAGCATCTATTATGTACCAATCAATGTATAATTACACTGAAACACAGAGAACACTGTCCTCTGATTTCCCAAAACTTACCATCTTAGTACTGGAAAATATAGGTTTTTTTAAAATATTCTAGAGCATATTTAAAATTTAAGCTTGTGTTGTAAATTTTAGATCCAAATCTTTTGTTATCTGGGCAGATTTTATCTTTATAGAAAAGGGATAGATGCGAATCCAGTGATCCTGCTTCTTGTTTTGTCAATAAACAACTATAGTTTTTGTACCTAATTATCTCTTCTTAGTTAGCTATTATTTATTGATTCTTTTTTCTTTCTGGGCCATGAACAAAAATGAATGTGGCTTATTGTGACACTAATGTTTTATTTCCTGTGGTTTTTAACAAAGTAGCTCCAATACCAAACAGAAGAAGCTGCAGCATCTTGCCAGAACTTGGGAACAGCAAACTTATTAAATCCCAAGGAATGAGCTCTTGAAAACTTTACCAGTGTTTGCTATTTCACGGAGCTATTCTGGACCTCAGCTGCCATTGACAGCTGTGAAACTGGCAGCTCAGAGACACAAGAAAGATGTATCATTTATCTCAACTTAGCCATATTTTCTAGAGTCTAGGAAGCAACTCAAATGTTTCTCAGCGGGTTAACCTGAAGGTTTTTCTCAGTTGCCTTGAGGGTTCTCAGTGAAGACAGCTTGCTGATTTGTACATAAATCATAATTTTCTAGAAATCATGGCTAATTCCAAGCTCTATTAGGATGTCTGGACAGTAGCTGAACAGCCTTTTGGCAGGAAGTACTAGGAGGGAGACGGGGATGCAGAGTGCAATTCCATATCATCACTCAATAGAAGTTTAGAAGGTGAGGAAAGTATATGGAGGTTAGTTGTTGATGTGTTAATGCTCATAGCTATACATTTAGGATGGGTCTTTATATTCAGTCTAAATTCATCTTCAAATATCTGTTTAGGATGGGTAATGGGTGAACGTATCTTTCAAAATCTAAGCAGAGATCTAAGTGCTGCCCCCTTTTTTCTAGAAACCACCAGGAAAATACATTTCTAGTCTTATGTATTCTCTTCAGTTTGCTAATTGCATTCTGATTTGTCACTGAATTTGTCATGAATTGATTTCTGTATCTCCATCTGAACACTACTGGGATTTTACAAGTTTATGACTATTCCATCTCCTTCCCAAAAGAATTTAAGGGAGCTTATAAAAATATAACCAATAATTTTTTGTAACTTTAAGGCTCATGTTCCAAATGCAAAAAGTCCTTAAGATTTACTTTTAAATAATTATGGCAAACGTGAACTAACCAGAAGTAACAGGTAAGCAGCAAAAATAAATTTTACTTCATGTGATTTTCCCTGGTCTTATCATCACAGTAATAACTAAGAAGAGTCTGCCACCTAAAACTGGGCAGAGCTGCTGGGCTAGCCAAAGTCAGTACCACACGCCCAGGAGTGTTGTCAGAACGCTCTTGCTTTCATCACCCTTGGGTGTTCATGGAGGAGGGATGACACTAAGAGGAATGCAGCCAAACAGTAATTGTTAGGTGGCACCTTCTGCTGGGAAATAAGATAATTAAGTAATTGCCTTCATTTCATACCACCACTTACGGATACCATGGCCTATCTTTGGGAAAAATAATAACCCTTAAACTGGACCAAGCCCATACTTTATAACATATAATTTTCAGGGCTCTGCATTGTTTAGCATTTGAGATTGCTGTTTGGATACATTTCAAAGGAACACAGACAAGTTGGCTAACCAAGTTAACCTGGCTAACCTGAACCAGCTAACCTGGACCTCTTCAGAAAGTGATTATCCAGGCTGAATCTTTCAGGATCTCGTCTTCCCCCTCCTATTTCCCTCTCCATCATATTACTGTGTTCATACCTTATTGGTGCTGACAGCAGAAATGTTGGCTGAAACTGTCAGGAAAAGCACAGTCAGTCCAAATTGAAGGACATTAGGCATGTAGATGAAAGATTTGGTGGGAAATGAAATATGGTTTTAAATGAATTTTAAGTAAGTTTTCAGATCCATAATATCTTGGATTAAGAAAAAAAAGTACCTTTTTATGTTCTTCTCAACTATAAATGTGTGCAAGTGAATCCCATTTTTTACAATCAGTTAGCAAATACCGTCTTTCCCCATTGGTTTCCCCATAGTATTGTCACAGATTTACACTTCTCCAAAGAAGAGTTTTACTACTTGCTTTCTTCCCATTTGCTTCTCTGCCCTCTTCAGGAAGTCACCTGACTTCCTCTTCTATCATTCTGATAGCATAATTCTCCCCAGGGTCACTAAATGCCTTCTTAATTGCCAAATCCATTGGATGTTTTCAGTCCTTATCTTGCTGGGCCTCTGCTGCATTTGGTGCTATGGATCATTCTTTATTTTTTGAAGCTTCCTTTTCTCTTAATATTTGCTAAACTGCAGCCCTCTAGCTATTCTTGTATCATTCTGACCATCCTTTTCCAGAAACCTCTTCTTCTACCCATAATATAAATGTTGCCATACTCTTGGGTCACATCTTCCATATACCGCTCTTCTCATTCCAGATGCTTCATCTGAGTAAAATTGTTATGATCTGAATGTTTGTGTTCTCTCCAAGTTCATGTGTTGAAACCTAATCTCCAATGCGATGGTATTAGAAGGCAGGGCCTTTGGGAGATGATTACATCAAGAAGGCTCCTCCCTCATGAATGGAATTAGTGCCTTTATAAGAGGTCCCAAAGAGCTACCTTGCCCCTTTGTCCATGTGAGAACATAGCTAGAACGTGCTGTCTGTGAGGAACAGGCCTTCACGAGAAACTGAATCTGCTGGTGCTTTGATCTTGGACTTCCCAGCTTCCAGAGCTGTGAGGAATAAATATTTTTTGCTTATAAGCCACCCAAGTTATGGTATTTTTGTTATAGCAACCAAAACAGATTAAGATAAAAATCTCTTGTGATTGAACTCATACCTGCTTGCTAATGACTACCATACATATATATGCACGTATATTTGGGGGGGTGTGTGTGTTCAGTCTCTTCTTCAAGTTTTAAATTTTTACATCTATTTTCTATTGGTCATTGTCACCTAGATAGCTCACTGGCCTCTCAAGTGGAACTGACTGTGTTGAATTTCATCTTTCCTCTTCCATTGGCTCCTCTTAGAGTATAGTAGTTCCCCTTTATCCGTGGGGGATGCATTCCAAGACCCCCAGTAAATACCAAAAACCTCTGGTAGAACCAAGTCCCATTGTCCTCATTTAGAACATGTTTTTCCTCATGCCTTCCACCCACAAATTTAATGCCTTTTCTTTCATAACTAAGTACTTATCATGCACTTTGACTATGACTTTTGCAGTTTGAGGTGTGACAGCAAAACTAGCACAGATTTCTTTTTCTTGCTTCAAAATCTCATAGGTAGAAGATTCACTCTTACTATACATCTTAGCAACCTCAGCATATGATTTTTTTTCTTTCCTTATTAAGTGGAGAACTTTTACTTTTTTAGTTAAAGGAAGCACTTTATAGCTTCTCTTTGGCATTTCCATGTTGCCGGCATCACTACTCTTGTGCTTTGGGGCCACTATTAAGTAAAATAAGAGTGACTTAGGCACAATCGCAGCAAATTGCTATGGCTGATCTGATATACAAGACAGCTACTAGGATGCATAACATCTACAGTGTGGATATGATGGACAAAGGGATGATTCATGTCACGGGTGGGGTGGAGTGGGATGGTATGAGATTTCATCATACTACTCAGAATGGCATGCAATTTAAAACTTATGAATTGTTTATTTCTGGAATATTCCATTTAATATTTTCAGACCACAGTTGACTGCAGGTAACTGAAACCACAGAAAGCGAAACTGGATAAGGGGGAACTACTGCATTCTCTTTCCTTTGTTGACTGCACCAAACTTTCAATTACTCAAATGAAAAATCCGGAAGTTTGTTTTACACCTCTTACCCTATCAGTTGTCTTGCCTGGCTAGATTTGTCTCCAAATCCATCTTGAGTGAATTCCTTTTCTCCATTCCTACTACCACAACCTTAGTTAGGATCTTTGTCATCTCTTGCTTACATTAATGTAAGTTTTCTAACTGTTCTTGCTCCTCTAGCCTTTCTACTCAAATGTATCCTCCACAAGACTATCTGAAAGCTCTAATGAAAATAGAAATTTGGCCCATTTTGCTCCCTTGTTTAAATGTCTTCAACAGCTATTCATCGTCTATACTGTCTTACGGATCCTCTACAGAGCACTTAAAATTCTTTATATGAAAATAGGCTTCTAGGCCAGGCACAGTGGCTCACACCTGTAATCCCAGCACTTTGGGAGGCCGAGGCGGGCAGATCAGGAGTTTGAGACAAGCCTGGCCAACATGGTGAAACCCCATCCCTACTAAAAATACAAAATTAGCCGGGCGTGGTGGCATGCACATGTAGTCCCAGCTACTTGGGAGGCTGAGGCAGGAGAATCGCTTGAACCCAGGAGGTGGAGGTTGCAGTGAGCCGAGATCATGCCACTGCACTCCAGCCTGGCGACAGAGTGAGACTCCATCTCAAAACAAGAAAAAAAAAAAAAAAGGAAAAGAAATAAAAAGAAAATAGGCTTCTCCGCAAACTGCATACCACTGATCTTTCTTGCCATTGTCGGTTGTATGCTAAGCTTCCATATCAACTTGCTTACTGTTCTCTGTAAATGCTGTTTCTTACCTGTAAGGCTTTTTTTTTTTTTTTTTTTTTTTTTTTTTAGATCTGGTCTCATATTGTTGGAATGGTCTTTCCTGCCTAATTTACCAGCAGCTAACTCCTACTCATGCTTTAAGGCTTAGATCTGGTATTACATCTGCCAAGAATTTTCTGAAACCTTCCAAGTAAGATTCACAAGTGATATGGTGCTGTATAGCATTAAAATTATAAATTTTAAATTCACCTCTAGCATTAAACTATAGACTCTGAAGTCAGACAGTTTCATATTAGCATATTCCACATGGCTTCCATAGTACATTGCATACAATAGGCACTCAGTGAATGTTGGATGACTGCACAATAGTTAAGTGTTGATTAAATATTGGTATGTGCCTTACCTAATACTCTTGGGTACCAGTATCTATTGATTTATGATTGCTAGATCTTTCATGTCTTATAGTTTCTTCCCAAGTGCTATGTATTTAAGATTTCTTAACAATTATATTACTTTTACAGAAATTTTATAATAATAGTTCTTGTAAGTTTTAACTCCTCAGATAGCTAACTCCTTCAGAGGCTTTAATTTATATTTTTATAAAACAGTTATATGTTCTCTGCCAACACCTACAGGTTTTTCTGGAAACCGCTGTAAAAAAGGAAAGCAACTTCAACACGCATTTCTAACTCATTGATATGCCAAGTTCCTTTTGGAATGATAAGTTGCCAAGGACCAAAGCACTGTGACTTGTCATCCCCAGTGAATGAGAGGAAGAGGTGGTGTGGAAAGAACATCCTGTTGTGCAGAACCTCAGTAACTAAAGTGTTGTCATCTCACATTATTTTTTTTTGTCATTAGTGCATCTGTTTAATCTTATACTGCCCCTGATACTACATGGTTGACTTAGATAACTAAAATCCAGATGATCCAAACAAGCTGGAGCAAAAGAAAAGCAGTACAGTTTGAGCGAATTCCTTACTTCACAGTCCTAAGTGGTAATAGTAGCGCACGAGACAGTTCTGAGTCTCACAAGCCCCATCTTCCAGCTCCTGAAGATCTTGGAATGTTATAATGCCAATCCCAATGACTTTGCCTTAGCTCACCTATCAGACCCATGGCATTACCAGAAACAATATAGTTCTATTTTAGAAAAATACATAGTTTGAGAATATCAAGCACTATAGAAGCAAGTTTTCATTAATAACAATACTTGAGGTCAGGCACTGTGGCTCATGCCTGTGATCCCCTCAATTTGGGAAGCCAAGGTGGGTGGATCACTTGAGCCCAGGAGTTCCAGACCAGCCTGGGCAACATAGGGAGACCTCATCTTTACAAAAAAAATTAAAAAATCATTCAGGCATGTTGGCATATACCTGTAGTCCCAGCTACTAGGGAGGCTGAGGTGGGAGGATCATTTTAGCCAAGGAGTTTGAGGCTACAGTAAGCCATGATCACACCACTACACTCAAGCCTGGGTGACACAGTGAGTCCCTGTCTTAAAAATAAAGTAAAATAAAACAAAGTAAAACTTTTTATTAAAAAAACCCACAATATTTGCTTTCTATAAAAAATAGTTCTACTAGTTGAGTGTGTACTATTTCAAGCATGCGGTACTTGCTGTACATGTTCTCTTGCTTAATCTATACATTAATATTCTGAAATAATATCCAATTTTAATACATGTAAACCAAAGCTCAGAGGGAATAAGTACTTTGCTTAAGGTTATATGGTTGGTAAGTACCTGAACTGAGATGAAAATGTAAGTCAGTTTTTGTCTCGATTTAAGTATTCTAAAACTCATTGTTCTTTTTGCTAAAATATAGCTCAGTTTTACTCTTACAGTACTGTTGGATATTTTTTTATCTTTAAGTAACTATACATTGAAAGTATTGAATATTTCATTTCAAATTCTTGAGGGAAGGGTACATTTATTACTGTCAGTCTCAAATGCAAGAACTTGACAAATGTTAGCCATAATTAAGTGTTAGCATTTGCTATGTATTTTAAAGTACAAATGACAGTGCTAAGCACTTTCATTCACAAGGAAGGATGCGAAATATCTCTTGCTTTCATGGGTCATATAACCTGTTTGGTTAGTCAGTCCCTGTATTTGTGATGACAGCTTAGCAAATTGATAGTGCTTATCTTTATGGCTCTTTAGTTGAACTTGATTTTGATCTATTGAAATGGAAGTATTGGAAGTACTAACTTCACATTACTTACACACTCACAAAATATGAGTTTATCAAACATGAGAAAAATTATTTAAAGAAACGATAACACTGGCCTTTAAGCCCATTTGAAGTTCTGTACTTTTTCGTAGTCTGCAGGAAACTTACATCTTCAGAAACTCACTCAGAAGCATTCTTGAGTTATGAGACAAATCATTAATAATTAGGAACTCTAACATGAAGTTTCCAAATCCTTGAAATCTTCCTAAGGAAAGGAGATATACACCCTTAATATGAAATTGAACCTTTTGTTTCTTTTCTAATAAGGGCAGGGCTGATTTTATCTTATTTGAAAAAATATTTTGATTTTGTCATTTTATTTTAATAAAAACATCTAGCTGAATTCCTTCTTTGCTGTTTTCTCAAGTTTATCTTGGCTAGATGAAATTCTCTTTCCTGATGTTAGATTAAAATGTAAAATGTGGTTAATTGCACTTTCCTGCATACTATCATCTTTAAAAATTAAGTTAGAGAAGGTGAGAAATGGGCTTATACCTTCACCTTTCCTTTAAAAATAAAACAGATGTTAATTATTATGTGGACATACCATATTATAAAGTTATACCATAGAGTCATAGTTTCCCAGAAGTATGTCAATATTATATTTTAAATTGCAAAGAAAAGATTATATCAGCATAATAGTTAGATCCAATGAACTGAGAGACACAATTTTATGGGATAGCTATTAATGAGTTGCACAGTTCAAATACAACTTCTGAGTTCACTTAAATCTAGCTGTGCTATGTAAAAAGACAAAGGAGGCAGTGAGAGCTTAGCTGGGTTTCAAACCCATAAAGCTGGCTCTGAACAGCATGAGTCACTCAGAGATAAAGGCATTCAGTGATTTACTTGAATCCATTCGGTGCCAGCCTGGAAAAGATTTGGGAAATTAGCAGTGTCCTCACTTTTTTGATGGCGTGGCTAAAGAAAGGCTAATTCATGAAAAGGAGAAACCCTTTTCATTTGACATTGGATTTCCTCCTAGCTCAAACACAAATGGCATTACTAATAACACAATGTGCTGGGAGACTAGCAGGATATTGTGTCCCTTTAAGAATAGGCTACCATCTTGAGCATAATAACTAACTGGTGACCTGGGTAATTTTGAATCCATAAACAATTTCATTTGACAGATTATCCCTTCTTGCTTAAAAAAAAAAAAGACATCAATAAGAGTTCACTAATTTCCCAAGCAGCTGTGATTTGTAATGAACTTGACAGTTTCCATTTTTACTCTGTGAATGATTTCTTGGCCTGGTTAGAACGTTTGATTCAGGTACATGCAGATTCTTTGTGGAACATTAGACTGATAAACTATGCTTACAATGAGAAAGTACATTATCTGCCATCTTTTCTCTTTGAAGATGTTGACAGTCTGACCATAATTTGACCATTAGCATAACTGAGAAATTGGGCTATGTTAAGTTAACCACAAACTCATCATCATGACCCTAGATGGTATTTGAGTCTCCTCCCCAAAGACAGCACTGCCTCTTCTGAATTCAGGAAAGATGTCAGAGCTCATTTCCGGTTCATCAAGGCCCACACAGGGTCTCCTTGTCAGTGGGTGGAATGATATAGAATGTATGCTGGGACCTTCCCAGAGATGGAATGAAAGAAACAGGAAACAGTTACTTAATGCTAAGAGCTTGTCAACCCCAGACTTCAGGAAAGACCAGAAGGTGATCAATCATACTTTGACCTGAATGCATGTTTTGTCACATTATATCTGTAGGAGCTGCAGCCATGCTTTATGTCTTCCTGTTGGCTTCCTTATTCAGAAAGCACCAACCTAGGGTTGATGGCTGTTCTTGCCCTCCAAGGTCACTTCATGGCTGAAACTTGAATGGGTTTCATTGTATCTTTAAGAGCAGCTCTTTCCTCAGTTTTCTAGTTACTAGCCTTGACAACCTGGAAAGAGTGTTTTACTTATCCTCCTTAATGTCCTCTGCACACGCAGATGATTTGCAGGGAGTATGATTCTACTTCTGGCCTTGGTTTCCCTCCCACCTAAAGTTTCTCTCTCTGTAATTGGCACAGTCTCCTGATACATGGATTGGAGTTAAACTTATTTTAAAACCTGATTTCTGCTAATGTGCATATATCATCCCTAGTTCAATAATAAACCTTTTTTGTTGTTGCTCCTAGCATAATTTGTAAATTACTTCCCAGAGCCGCCTTTACTAAATGTCTGTGACCTTATTGTCAAGAAAGGCTTGACAAGCAGAAGCTGCTGCCTGGGGGCTGGAATGTCCCACTTCCTGTTCTTTCTCTCCAAGCTGCAGCATTGTATCCAAACAAAAACTGAACTCAGTGCACATGTGACCCAGAATTAGTTTGAAATGAAACTCTCTGAAGATGAAAAACTTTACACATTAACTCCTTGTTCCACTCCATCTACTTGCAGTGCTAAGACCACAAAGAGGGCCTTTTAAAAAGAACCAAAATAAACAAATGGATAGCTCAAGCTGTGGATAGAAAAAACAAGCAAACAGCAGCTGCATATAGCATCAGATTAACTGCTGCTGAGCTCTGACAAAATGGCAAGAATCTAAGACAAAGGAGTAGTACTGTTCAAGTAAATGAACCCATAGCCTTGGACTCTACTCAATCCCAGGAGGGTATTTTAGTGTAAAGGAAATCAGTTCTTGGACCCAAACCAAGGGTGTTTATGACTAGAAGGAGCAAAAGAATCCTATGTCTTCACTACAAAAGTACCATTCCTACAGAACCATTTCTTCTGTTATAGAAGCCTGGAAGAACTACCACACCATTCTTCTGTTATAGACACCTGGAACTCATCTTGATGTTTTCCTTGTAGCCATGACTCTAGTTTTTCTATCAATCATTTACTAAGATACTATAAAGAAAGGGCACAAAGCTAGATATTAAACTGGAGGTTTGCTTTCCTTCCTTTAGGAGATGATTTAGCAATAAGTCACAATATGAATGGAAACAGGAAATCACCAGCCAATCACCAAGGTGGCTTCCTTTAAGATGACAGATATAAGGAAAGAAAGCTCAATTTTTAAAGAGGAGTTGCCACCCAGGAGAGGGAAGAAGTTGGGAAGAGGGAAGGAGTTGGAAAGATGGTGATCTGGGGTCCATGAGGAGGTAGTAAGTACCTAGCAGGTGGCTGTGAGCTGTGAGAAGGCTGAGCACCAGGGCTATAAATCCCCTGGGTTCTTGCCAGGCAGGGAATAAAAACCCATGGCTGAGTATGACACTGTTTGTGGTGGCAGAGGTGGGGGTGCCTTTCCCCTAGGAGCCTCTGTGGCAGGGCTCTGCTGTAGTCCTAGTGGTAGCCATTGGAACAGTGGGCCTTGCCTGTGCAGGGTTCTGAGGCAACCTTTAGGGCATAGGCAGCACTTCCCCTTTCTTAAGCCCACTCACTCCCTGCCTCCTCCCCAGTGAGATCCCTAGAACCCAGCATTCATAAAGACTTTTCATGGCTAATGAGCAACAAAGCAGTGCCCAGCAAGATAAGTACAATACAACCTGAATTTACACTGTTCAACACCAGTGAGTTAGCCAAAACTTGAAAGAGCTATAACTCACAAGGCATGGCCACCCTGTGGGAGGAATCCACCAGGATGTGCCCACATATCACTGAAGATGGGAAGCACTTCCCCACCCTGAATATTTGCTTCCATAGAGTAGGATGCTACCTTGGTTTCTGTGGTTGCTACAGGAGCTGGGGTTTGCTATCAGCTTGTATCCTTTACTCACAAGTTTCCAAGGCCAAGTTCTTAAGCCACTAGTATCATTCCCTGTTATCAGGGCTTTGACAGAGTCCAAGGTAGGCAATATTCCCTTTTCCTGGACTCCAACATTTTCCTAAGCATTAACGAATCCCTGGATATGCAATCAGGAAGGAATGGGAGCTCTGGATGAGGGATAGAAAGGACTTCTCTTGCAGGTGGAGATAATGAGATGTTGCACATCAAGGCAAATTAACTGTACAGTGGGGTGATTAACTAACTGAGGGGGTCCTCAGGATATTGAACTTTTAGTGCTAAAAGGAAAATCCTGGGCAAACCAAGATGAATGGGTTATCTGTTGCACATCAAACTGTACAAGGGATGCACTTTTTTTTTTTTCTGTATATGGAATAAAACTTTGAGTTCTGCTCATTTGGAACTTGATTCAAATAGGGGCTGATAAACACATATTTGACAAATTATATAATAAACATATATGTAGCACACAATCAAGAGGAAAAAAATCAAAGTTTTCTGCAAGCACTTACACATTGACAGAGATCTGTCAATGTAACAGTGTTCTTATGTTATGCTTTAAAGTGAGATTCAAGACTTTCAACTGGAAAGTGCTACTCTAAAGTCCTTCTGTATACTGAACAGTAAATTATTAAGTTTGGAGCAAAGGAAAAAAATACAATTTGAGATAACAAACACTGTGGAAACTGTGAAATAAATGAGTTTTGTCATTTTCCCCCCAGAATATTTTCTTGCTTTGGCCACTGGAAATGAGGATGTTTCTATCTATATTTTTTCACTTATGAAATTTTTCCTTTCTACTCCCACTGTAGTAAGTTGAATAGTGCCCTTCCCAAAATTTATGTCACTTGGAACTTTAAAATATGACCTTATTTAGAAAGAGACTTTGCAGAGGTAACTAGTTAAAGATGTCAAGATAGAATCATCCTAGGTTTAGGGTGGGCCCTAAGTCCAATGACTGGTGTCCTTATAAGAAGAGTAAAGGAAACAGAGACACAGGGAGGAATGCTGTGTGAAGATTGAGGCAGAGATTAGAGTTATACAGCTGCAAGCCTAGGAAGGCCTGGGGCCACCTCCTGTGCTGGAAAGGTCAAGGAACCTTTCTTCCCTACAGACTTCAAAGGGAACTCACCCTGCTGACACCTTGGTTTCAGTATTCTGGCCTCCAGAACTATGAGAGAATAAATTTCTGTTGTTTTAAGACAAGAAGTCTGTGATAATTTGTTATGGCAGCCCTGGGAAACTAATACACCCACTAAATAAATGTTGAACAAATGGTTTGCTATTGTCTGGGTTTTGGTCCAACCCTGTTCTCTGGTTTCTGGCAAGTGCAATAGGGAATAAGTCGTGCACTTTTCATTAGGAAACACTAGCAGAAAGGAGGTTTGGATGCAAAACGGATTTCAGAATTAGACATATTGAGTTTCAGTTGTCTGTGCCATATGTAAGTGGAGATGTTGAAGTGTCAATCAGATGTATCATTATGGATTTCAGAGTCCAGGTTTGGGCTGGGTATATATGTTGAAATTTATCTGCATACAAATGGTACATGAAACACAGAAGTGGTTAAGAGTGCCTAGGAAGTGAGTGAGAAAAGATGAGCACTTCAAACAGTTCCCCAAGGTGTCCCATCATTCAAAATGGACTAGAGGAGAAAGAGATACTAAAGGAGACTGGGAGGGAAAAATAGAGAAGACAGAGAAAAGCCAGGAAAGGAAGTGGCATATCAGCCAGAGAAGGGGGCTATTTCAAGAAGAAGAGAACATTCCCCATTTTGAATGCTGAGAAGATGTCAGATAAGATCCAGATTGAAACTGGCCATTGGTGTTAGCAACACAAAGGTCACTGGTGACTTAAACAAGAGTAGTTTAGGCAGAGTGGTATTCAGATTGAAGTAGGTTAAGAAGTATATACATATTTGAAATATTTTAATACATTTTGTAAAAGGAAGAAAGAAATTCAAGATAGCAAGCCTTGCAAAGTTTGGCTGTGAAGGAGAGCAGGACAGGAGGGTTGTGTGTGTGTTAAGATGAAAAAGACTTAGGCAAGTTTAAATGCTGTTGAAAGGGAATGTTAAGGGGGAGAGTTAATGAGAGGAAATGAGTTTGAGGATACAGTGAGGGGGAGAGTAGAGATAATAGTGCAAAGTCTATATAGAAGGTGATCACAGATGGGATTCACAAGACACATGGAGGAATTTGGGCTTAGATAGGAGGGGGAATCCTTTCCTCCCCTGTAACAGCAGGGAAGTTAAAGAGAGGTGAGAGTAGCTGTGGACAAGCAGGTCACAGACTTTTTTTGATGGGAGGCCAAGGCTATGTTATCATCTAACGTGTATATTTTCCCAGAATATTAAAAGGCTATACATTTACTTTCTTCTAGTTCATATTGTACACTATGCTGAGATTCCCTTCTCTGCCTATAATTAATTCAAATCAGTGATATGTTAGGGTAGTGACTTCTCTAAAACTTCAGGCCATATAACTAGGTATATTGTGTCAGGGCGCTATGCTATTCTTATAAAATAAAGAGTTCTACAATTACATTTGGTCATTAATATCACCAGAAAATCTCACACATATCCATAGAATGAAATGTTTTGCTACCTTCCCAAGAGAGAATAATTGTGTTTTCAAAAAGGAAAAAAATATGGTATATTCATGAAAAGAATTGTTTTGAGGATTTGTTGACTTAACCAAATTTTTAAAAATGTAAGCAGTCTTATAATAGCATAATTGTTTTATGATTATTCCCAAAGTAAACTGAGTAAATATTGGAATGTGGGGCTGTTCATACATTTACACACAGTGTAAAGCAAGTATAATGATAGATACAGAGATAAGTGATTAGGTAGGTGGGTAGGTAGTGAAACTCCTTAACATCTATCCTACTGCTCCTGTTACCAGGCACATGATTAAGCTATAGCAGCTGGCTGTTGATTTAACCTTTGAGTTTTCTGGCTCCCGGCATGTAAGAATCCTAACATTATGCCTGAGCAACACTGAATAATAAGCCAGATACTGCTTTGAAAATGTGTGTGGTCCCACACATATAATTTTTTTTGATGAGCTGTTTTTCTTTTAACCTTAATCCTTTTAGTTTGTTATGAAATTCCTTATGGCATAATCACCCCCAGGAATGGCAAGGATAGAGCCTTTTCCCTCGCAACCCTCCCACCCCACCCATTTTCTTTGACGTGACAATTATTGTCTGATAATGATGTGGTAGAAACAGCAGCATGCTTGAGAATCAAGATTTAACTACGAATGAATGTCAATTCACTACTTTAACCTAGTACTTTCATTTTGATCCTGTACATGTTAGCCTTCTGATCTATGGTTCATAAGCTGTTCTATTTGAGTGTATTACTGGGAGGCAGGTGTTCTATTTGAGTGTATTACCGGCAATTACTTCCCATCATTGAAGTTAAGTAAATTTTGCCACACTTTATCTTTTGTTTTATAAATCACAGCAGGTACCATAATTCATTTCAGTAATTTATTCATAGGACAATTATATAGTTATTAATGGAATAGTAATGGAGTAAAGGTTTTCTTTTAAAACCCAAGTACTGTACCTTTAAAAATATCCTAGACTTTATCAGTCTTCTGATAACAAAATACTAATAACTTTTCATTTACATTTTAAAAGGAAACACTATATCTGTATATACTTTTTCAGTTTCTAAATTTTAGTTGTGGACTTGTAATTCCAAGTTATAAAACTGTCATTTAGAGAATATTGGGTTTTATTATTGAAATGGGAAGGTTAAAAAATGGTGATACAGAGAACATTATACATTTAAATTTTCAGGATTGGCAAATTGGGTTCATATAGGCCCCTAAAAATGTTTGTGGAAACCAACAAACAAACTGGAATAAGAGTTCAGAGAACAAGGGTCTAAGGTTATATACAACTGACTGCAAGATCTTCAGCAAATCATTCAATGTCTCTAAGCTCCTCTTTCCTGGATCATAAAAGAAGTGTATCAGACTAGACATTCGTTCTAATACTCTTTTTAGCTCTAACATTTTCAGGACAACCACACTTTATGGGTCAGAGAGTAATAACTATAAATAATGATTTATTTCTTCCAGAAAAAACATGCTCAATAAATTACTGTATTACAAAACACAGGAGGAGCCTAGCCTAATAAAAAGGACATGGAATGAGTCAGACTGAGGCTGAAATCCTAGCTTCACCATTACTGGCCTTAAGCAGTTCTGCCAGTTTCCTCACCCCTCCAGGTAGAATGCTATCTCTGCTTTATTGTTTTTATCATGGAGGATTGCTATGAAGATAAAGGTGTCAAGCACAATTTAGGTGCTCAATAGGTTATGTATGTTCTTGACTCCTTTTAAAATTTCATTGAAAATGCAAAGTATATGTGTAGTAGATGTCTAGGGGTATAAGATTAGTCACACAGTATAAGAAAGAAGCATTAAAAATGGCCAGAAAAATTCCCAAGTCACGAGATTGAGGCAAGGAGTTTCTAAATAAGGTCAGTAACTGCATACTGGGGAAGTGGGATAATGATGTTAACTCAAAGTAGAACTCCATTATAGTTAGCATTAAGAAATACACCAATGTAGGAAATAAGGCAAAGGGAATAGAAAGACTATTAAAAAATAAAAAATAAAAAAAACCATCCTCAACAAGCAGGAAGTCAATTAACTCAACAGCAAAAATCAGCCAGGTAGGAAGGTTTGTGAAGGGAAATCAGTGGAATGAGAATTTTTTCGTGTGTCCAGGCATGAGCAAGGTGCTGGGCTGAATTCTCATTAACAGACCTGACCTAAACTTTCTTGACCTCCTCTGGCTGCTTTTCTCAGTACATTTTTGACACAGAAGTGCACTGGACTAGAAATCGGAATGCTCACTCTGCTGTGCTGTGGAAATGTGATTGTAAATGAGTCTCATTACCTTGAAGCCTGTTTTCTCCTACCTAGAGAATGCATTGTAAGGAAAGAATGATGCAATATAAGCTGCTCCTAGGTCATCCATATTCCAAAGGTGCAACCCTTAATTTTCAAATCATAATTTTGGAGTGAACCTTCCAATGGTCTATTTGCTTGAAATAAGCTCCTCTCAAAGTTTTACCCCAGCTATTTCTGAGAGTTCCTCAGGGATCTCGTGATCTCTGATAGAATCCTTACAGTTTCTTCTGATCTCTTTCTTCCATTTCCCTGTTGATTCTGTTGTTGCTCACACTTTTGAGGTAATCATTTGGGAAAACGGTACCCTACAGGCATTCCTGCTCTCAGAACTGGGCAAAGGTGCTTGCTTCAACCTTCCTCCAGCCATGCTGCTCTCCATGGGGTGTGAAATCCATTGGGTTTACTTCCCCTTTTCTAGACCATGCTCTAGGTACCAAGGACTCAAGACTCTTCTGCTTAGAAGGACTTCTAAGGCCCTTCATTCTGAGGCTAACACATGCCAGTGTGCAACTCTGGGGGCTCAAAGTGCAGCAAAAGGTGACTGTTTTCTGTGGGAGTGTGTGTGGAGCTTGGAAGCATGACCTGGGATATCCACACATGGTGAGCAAGGCCCTTCCTCATATGAGACAGAGAGAGTGAGCATGGAAAAAGAAGGCTGTGGGTGTCGGCAGGAGAGAGAGGAGGGGGTGGAGAATTCTAAATTTCAACTGTCCTTCAAGTCATTATGAAGAGAGATTTGTCAAGGTAGAGGATGAGACATATTCCAGGAAATTAGGTAGCTTGATTTATAACATTTAAATATTTGGACATAGGTATGCAAGTCTCCTCTGTGCTCCTGCCCAGGCCTGTGGATGCTGGGGTAGACCTGTCTGAGGTGAAGTGATCACCACTGATACCTCTTCAGCACTAGGGAGGGCTCTAATTCCTCTTAGCGCAGGTGACACCAGTCTGTGAGTTTAACAAGATCTCCTTGAAGGCCTGGAAATAATATAAGTCTAATACAAAGTAACCAACAGCTATTATCAGTGGTGGTTACTTAGGATTCACAGACCCAACTGGACTGCAGAGTTCCTTACACACTCCCACAGCTTCTGGGATCATGGAGACCAGCTCAAACCCACAAATGGGAGTCTCCAGACACCTCCAAACACTAGTCTAGGCCTGTTTATTGTGGTTCCTGTTGTTTTAAATGAAGTCATACTTGTTTCATTGATTGACAGTGGCACTATCTGTTTCCTTCAGATGAGATACCACTTCCCCCTCAGCCTCTACTTGTGTGTTATATGACAACAGTGGCCTGGAAGAGATCATCACAGTTGTTCCCCTTATTTATCAAAATCCCGATTGTTTTATTTTAAACAGCACACATCTGAGCTAGTAACAGTTTGGTCCAAGCAGCAGAGCACAAACCCAACACCAATTTCCTGTCACAGCCTCACCTGCAATGGGAGATGGGAGAACGATGAGATTGATAGGTCCCTCCTGTCACAGCCTGGTCTCAATTCCTAGACTCCTGTGAACAACTATCTGGATTAAAAAAAGACAAACTAGCTGGGCACGGTGGCTCATGGCTGTAATCCCAGCACTTTGGGAAGCTGAGTCAGGTGAATCGCTTGAGCCCAGGAGTTTGTGACCAGTTGGGCAACATGGTGAAACATTGTCTCTACTAAAAACATAGAGATTAGCTGGACGTGGTGGCATGCACCTGTAGTCCTAGCTACCTGGGGAATTGAGGCATGAGAATTGCTTGAACCTGGGAGGTGGAGGTTGCAGTGAGCTGGGATGGGCCACTGAACTCCAGCCTGGGCAACAGAGTGAGACTCCATCTCAGAACAAAACAAGAGACACAAACCTTCCAAGAACAAGATTTTTTTTTTTTTTAAATCATAAGGCAGTCTAAACTAAGACTAGGGCAGAGAAGAATTCTCTAAATCTCCAGGGCTGAAGTCTGCTAATAGTCTCAATTATGGAATCAAGTAGAACTGAATATATCTGTCTGAAGCAGCAGCACTTGGGTTAAATTTTTATAATCCAGAGATTCCTGAAAATATGGGTTTCCATCTATATCTTCAAGATTTTAAAAGCTCACCAAAGTCAATTCTCCCAGAGCAAAATGAGGTATAAACTGCCCACTACCCCTCTCGGCTTGTCAGTTTTCAATCTTCAAAATTATTGGAATCAAATATCCACTATACATAATTAAATATGTGTACTACTAAAGACATTAGTATTTATTACTAACATGAATAATATCTGTCCTGTCTGTATCATGCACCACTGTGAGGCCTGAAAAAAAGGGGATGTAGTGCAAGAGTAACACAGTAGCACTAGTAATACCATCAAGCAGGGATAGCCCAAGCGCAGTACTGTTACACACATGGTTTTGAAAAGCAGGTTGCAAACCATAAAATGATCCAAAGGTTAGGTAATTCTGTCACCTTTCCCTTCCTTACTGAGGCTAGCTGTTCTGGTGAACATATTTGGATTCAATTCAATGTTTTATTGAGTGTCTTCTAAGTACAAGTTAGTATGATAGGTGGTGAAACTCAAACTATCCCCTTGGCTCAAAGCAACATTTTCAATGTTACTGCTCAGCCGCACTTATACACAGCCTGGAAAACCTGTAAGAGCTCTGCTGCTGCTGAAGACCAAGGATTTCTTTTGTTTTTCTCCATTTTCCTTAGTCATTTTACATGAACAGGGAGAAAGAATGTTAGGATCTTCCTTCATCTAACAAATGAATCATTTTGTTTTGTTAGCATGAATACTATCTGGAACATACAGCTATAATGGTAAAGACTGAATTCTAGAGTCAGCAGACCTGTTTTCAACTCTTAACAGTTGAGTTATTTAACATCATCAATTCAATTCAGACTTTGATCGTATGTCAAATTGGATTGAGGATAGGATCTATCTCATGGGAAGGCTGTGAAGATTAAGGGGGATAACAAATATGAAGTATGTAGCGCAGTAAGGACTCAAATATTAATCATTTTAAATTAGTAATTGTATTATTTCTAAACTGGGTGCTTGCTAAAGAAGATACACAGATTGTAAAATGAGATCTCCATTGTCAAGTATAGAATCCTTCTACATGGAATAAGCTGTACACCAATAATGTCATTTACCCTAAGAGACATATAGAAACTCTTTGTTATCCAGAATGCCATCTATGCAAAATATATTTAAGAGATGGGAAGTGAAAAATGAATCAATGCAGCTAAACTAGGTACCAGACAGTACATATATACCTTGTACAAGTGATGGGTCCAAAATAGTAGATGACTAATTGCCAACAGTAGATTTTTGTTGTAGTTACCTACAAGAGTAATCATGATTCTTCTCATGTGGCACTATTATTATTGATCTTTCACAGAAAGAGTCATGTTATCCATGCTCATGTGCAATGGACAAAGCTTTTCCAACTTCGTCCTGTTCTAGATGTTACATGCCAGAAGTTCACTCCTGCAATCAGCAAGTGGGACACAGGTAGAGAAAGACAGAGATTTCAAAGCCACACAGACAGAGCAGTCATTCCCAGACAGTCACTAACTCCACACCCACATTCAGTAGAGAGCACTGAAGGAAAGCCTTATCTGCACTTTCGAAGCTGATACGACAGATTTTAAGGTCTATCACTGAGCATCTGTGGACTCAGAGATAGAGAATGTCCTGAAAAATAGTAATAAGGTCCATGATAGAAGGAAATAACATGAGCTAAAATACACATAAAGGATTTAGAAGAGTTCTGCGAATGTGGAAAGTCCTTAAGAAAAGTGAGCTTTTATTATTATTTTTTGTAGGAAAAAAGCGACTTGGACCCACAAAACAGCAACAATGGAAACTGGACAGCTGAAAAATATGTAGAACCATTGGCAACTTAGAAATTTAGACCCCCAAATCACCAAAGAATATTTTATTTTTTCAACAGAACAAATTCCTTAGTAGATAGGGGCACTTGTAATACACTTGAAGACTTTCTTGTGGTTGATTTCATGTGTGGGTTAACTCTAAAGTAATCTGCATATACAGATTATTCCTTAGTTTTAAATTTGTCATCTTTATAAAGTTCCAACCTAAAACCCTTCCAGGTATTATTACACCCGAGAGTATACGGATCTACCTTAGCTGTTAAAGTCTGAGGGCCCACCCAGAGCGGGCAGATCAGATAAGCACGTCACCCCACAGGAAGCTGCTTTCAGTTGTTTGCTGGGGCATGCCTTGGTATCAGTCACAGATGTTACTCAAAGATGAGACCCCTTCAGCCCTTATTCAAAGCCCTTTTACTCTTCTTTGTTCCAATTCTGTAATAAACATTTATCGAATTTTAGATACTGACAAGGCCAGGAATATATGTCTGGCCAGCCACAGCCAGGTAAACATCATACGCAAACTAAAAGACAAATGCAGTCAGGGGAGCTGTGAACACGTTCAAGCCCCTGAACTATGACCTGTGCTTTGAGTTCTGTGTGAGACTGAAAAAGACAAACAGAAGAGTTGCCTGTTAGAGATAGTTTTGTTTTTCTGGTTTTAAAGATATAATCCTTAGATTTGTAAATCATTCTTGGTAAGGGGGAGACACTGCTTTCCAGTTGTCTACCATTTCACTTACCTGAACTTTTTGAATGCACAGTCCTATACATTCTTTGTCAGTACATTGATTTTAAAGTCGTTTTATAAAAGTTAATGACTCACGGGGCCATCTGTGCAACTTAAACACAATGGCAACCTATGCAGGTGGTTGCTGTGTGTCATATACTGTGCCTGCTGTGTATATTTCTTCTAATTAGTCATACATCCTGAATCAGTTAAGGATGACTGTGGTGAGAAATACAAATCATACCAGGACTGCTTTTAGCCTGACCTATGGTGAACTTGAATGAGTAAAGTACTCCCTGGAGAGAAAATTGCTCACTGTATAGGTAGGCGTACTCCTTTCTTTCAAGGCAACAGGATACATTTAACAACAAGGAAAAAGGAGTTTATCAAATATATCCTGAGTAAGACCCTTTGGTGGCGGGTTGTTTTTCAGGCTCAATTTCTTGGCTTCTCAGATCTATCCTTTAGAAAAAAAAAAAAAGAGTAGTCCAAAAGCTGAAATTCATCAAGAAACATATCCTGTTCATGAAGGAGTCCTAGTGGAGGATGGAAACAACTTTAATTTAGGTTCTAGTAAGCAGTCTGGGATGATTTTCAGATAAACCATGAAGCCATCAACTTGTATTTAATTTGCTGTCATAAAATTTAATTACTCTCAAGCAAAACAAGTTCTAATTAGATGTGATATGAAAAAATTAAAACACAGCATATTAACAAGTGAAACTGATCTCTAGATAATAAAAGTGAGAGAAAGTACATATTGAACTTAAGGAGTGGTCTGGAAAGAGTACCAACAACTAAACGAGGAAAATTTAGTGTGGTCGTGGTAGGAGGAAAGGTAGCCAAAGGAAAGAATCCTGTGTTAATGAGCCTCTGGTCAGTGACTGAGACTGTAGAAAAGAGTAAAAAATAAAATGAAAAAAGTCAAAGGAATTCTAGGTTGTCTGCACTCACCTCATTATACAACAGATGAAGAAACTGAGGCCTCTCATGGCAAAGTGACTTGTTCAAGGACACAAAGCAAGACAATGTTATTACTAAGGCATATGTGTGTCCTCTTCTTCATTGTTAGGTAATGTATGCTAAAGTATAGTGGGCACTGTCTTCATATTTGGATGTGAAGAGAGGCAGTTTCTAGTAGTATTTAAGATGATAGGTAGACTACCAATAAAATAATTTGCTAAATATACATGATACTCATTTAAAATAGATTCCTTCTACCAGTAATGTCACAACTGGTAGTGTATGGAGGGTTTTGTCCATGTAATCCAAATTTGTGGCAAATTTTAGAAATTTTTCTTGGGAAAGGATATTTAATAAGAAAGTGATACAAACTTGAAATATAGCTTTAACAATCAATAAATTATCTAAGTACTTTTAAATGGACTGGAAGACCGAAGAAGATGTACAGATGGCAAACAAGTGTATGAAAAGGTGATCAACATCATTTGTCACTGGGAAATTAAAAATTAAAACAACAATGAGATTATACTACACACCTATTAGAGTGGCTAAAATTCCAAAAACAGATAATATCAATTGCTGGTGAGGATGTGGAAAAAGGAACTCTCATTGATTGCTGGCAGAAATGCAAAATAGTCTAGCCATTTTGGAAAGCAGTTTGGCAGTTTGCAGGAAGCTAAACATAGTCCTAACATATGATCTAGCAATTGTTCTAGGTGTTTACCCAACTGAATTGAAAACTTATGTCTACCCCCAAATCGCCATGCAAATGTTTAGAGCAGCTTCATTCATAATTGTCCCAAACTGGAAGCAACCAAGATGTTCTTCACCAGGTGAATGAATGAAAAAAAAAAAAAAAAAACTATGGTACATCCATACAATGGAGTACTATTCAGTAATAAAAAGGAAATGAGCCATCAAGGAATGAAAAGACATGGATGAATTTTAAATGCATATTGCTATGTCAAAGAAGTCTGTCTGAAAGGCTATATGCAGTATGATTCCAATTATATGACATTCTGGAAAAGACAAAACTACAGAGATGGAAGCAATTAGTGATTGCCAGAGGTTTGGTGTGGGAGAAGGGGAGCACAGAACAAGTGCGGCTCAGGAGAAGTTTTAGAGCAATGAAGCTATTCTGTATGGTATAACTGTGGATAAGTGTCACTATGTATTTGTCAAAATCCATAGAAATGTACAATAGAGAGAGGAGAGCTTAATGTATACAAATTAAAGAAAAATCATTTATGAGGTTGGGAGAATCCCAAGATGAAATGTCCAACATGACAAAGATTGTAACTGTATTACAAATGTGTGAAACAACCTCACTGTAGGTTTTATAGGGGAAGGTTACTGACCTAAGTAACTGGAAATGAGTGAGGCCTGTATGACTAAAAAAGATGGCAAAAGAAATTATACATAAGCACTATATACTCATTAATGAAGTTGTTTCCCACAGGGATAAAAGTTTTAATACCATTATACACATATACTAAAATTGAACAATTAAATAAATGGATGATGAGTATTAGATGTCAGATATCTCACTTTTGGAAAGAGAGGTTACAGATAAACAAGGGGACGAGGCCAGAATAACCCACGTGGTAACGGATTAGTCAGAAGCATCAGTATGAATTCATGTTTAGCTTCATATAGCTAAAACATGGTCACATATGGAAATATTTAGAGATATGTGCATATGTATAGGCTAGTATTCACACAGATATCTTGCTGATCTGTCAGCTGAGAGGCCCAAGAAGCAATGACAGTTTAGTAGCATGGACACTAAGCATCGAGTTCTTGGGTTCCCATACCATTCTGCAATAAAAGGAATGAGGGCTTCTTGGGGGAAATGTCTGATTCTAAGACTGGAACAAGAAATATACAAGTAAGATTTGTGTATTTGTAGTACCACAAAAAAGGAAGTACTCAGAAAAAGCCAAAAAACAAACAAAACACAATGATAGGGGCACATCAAAGGGACACAAGATCTCACTGAAAGAGCTCCCAGTAGTAAAAATTGGAACAATTTGAGCAACCATAATAAATAAAGTAGCATCAGATTATAACCCAAAGTATAAAATAAATATTCAAGTAGCATTGGATTATAATCTAAGGTATAAAAATTATTCAACCAAAATAAATAAAGTAGCATCAGATTATAATCCAAAGTATAAAATAAATATTCATGAATCCATACTGACATAAATGATTGAATAAATAAATAAATAGAAGGAGAAGAGACCACCTCCCTTGCAGAAATATTTCAAATAATTTAGGTAGATAGTCCTCAAGGAGGTAGAGCATAATTCCCGAGTCCTTAAGTGGGAGCTGTGCATAGGGACTCCCTACCAACGAGTACATGATAGAAAGCGGTGAGGAGAATAACTTCATAGTGGAGACACGTGATAAACACATCTCAGCCAGGTGATCACCACCAACAGTGATATCAATATATCACCGTAGTGATGGCAATATGCCCTTGACAGATGTGATGAAAATGGCATTTTAACTTTTTGAGCTTTCTCCCAAAAACGCATAACCTCAGTTTAATTGTTAGTCAAATCCCAACCGAGGGATATTTTATAAACTATCGGACCAGTACTTCTCAAAACTAAATGTTATCAAAAACAAGGTATGAGCCAGACGTGATGGCTCATGCCCGTAATCCCAGCACTTTGGGAGGCCAAGGCAGGAGGATCACTTGAACCCAGGAGTTTGGGATAATGAGACCTCGTCCCTGCAAAAATTTAAGAAAAATTGGCGGGGTGTGGTGGTGCACGCCTGTTCCAGCTACTAAGGGGGCTAAGGCAGGAGGATCACTTGAGCCCGGGAGATTGAGGCTGCAGTAAGCCATGATTGTGCCAGTGCACTCCAGCCTGGGTAACAAAGTGAGACCCTGTCTCAAAAACAAAAAACAGACAAAACCAAAAAACAAGGTAAGTTTGAGAAACTGACATAGCCAAGAAGAGTCTACAGAGACATAATACTACATGCAATATGGTACCTTGGATGGGATCCTGACACAGAAAATGAACATTAGGTAAAAATGAAAGAAAACTGATTAAAGTATGCACTTTAGTTAATAATGTGTCAATATTGGTTCATTAAGTGTAGAAGGTATATCATACTAATGTAAGATATTAATAATAAGGGAAACTGGGTGTGGTGTATATGGAAAGTCTCTGTACTATCTTCCCAATTTTTTTTCATACTGTTCTAAAACAAGAAAAGTTTACTTAAAAAATGTGTTGGGGGAAGAGGTTCATATTGGGGTGTTGAGTTTCATATGTTTGCAGGACAAATAATGAGATTAGGTGTTCCACAATGCCCTGAATCATAGGGCTGGCCATTTTGATCTTGCCAATAGTTTCAAAGTAATTTTTTTAAAGTAATTTTTTTTAGAGGTAGAGGGGTGGAAATTGTTTCAACAGGTATGTACTACTGTATTTTAAGATGGAATGAAGTGGGAAACACTATTTTACTTTAATCTTAGAGGATATTAATATCACAAAAGTAATATATTTTTAATACTCACCTTACATTTCTTCAGGTTTCCAGTTCCACAGATGACCAATTAGTAACCAGGGATCAGTTGAAAGAAGAAAAATCTTGATGTTTTCTACATTGGGAAATACAATTATGTATCACTTCATGATGGATATATACTCTGAGAAATGCATCATTAGGCAATTTTGTCCTTGCGAGCATTACAGAGTGCACTTACACAAACCTAGATGGTACAGCCTACTATACACCCAGGTTATATTGTACAGTCTATTGCTCCTAGGTCGCAAACCTATATAGCATGTTACTGTACTGAATACTGCATTCAGTTGTGATACAATGGTATTTGTGTATCTAAACATATCTAAACATAGAAAAGGTACATTAAAAATTCAGTATCATAATCTTATGGGACCACCAGTACACATGTGGTTCATCACTAACTGAAACGGTGTTATGCAGCACTTTACTATACTAAACATAGAGTCTTTAGGATTTTCCATGCTAAAATCTTTCTGAAATGATACATTCTCAGCACATTCAATTGTTCAGGGACAGACCATCTAGTTTGTAAATTCTGCATTTCTTTAGCTTTCCTCATTATCCTCTCTGCCAGTCTATCATTAGATGGAAAAAGATTATTTTTACAGGGTGAAAAGAAAAAACACAGAGCATCAAAAGTATTACCCAAAATGGGCTTCTTGAATTATCTGCAGATCTGATTTTTGTATGCTATTTTTCCCACTTAATGCACTGTCACTTGGCCATATCTGGGCATATTTCAGATGCCTAGAATTGAGATTG
This sequence comes from Homo sapiens, assembly GCF_000001405.40. Taxonomy (NCBI): domain Eukaryota; kingdom Metazoa; phylum Chordata; class Mammalia; order Primates; family Hominidae; genus Homo; species Homo sapiens. The sequence goes on from NC_000002.12 coordinate 181,796,543, forward strand.
TTAGCAGAAAGCAGTCCTGCAAGCAGATTGTTCATGGTTCAGAATCTCCTGTCCTTTCTTCACTCTGACCAAGTCACACTTGCTGATGGCCTTGGGTTTATAAGGCATCCTTAAAGATCCACTTAACTTTGTGCTCAGAACTGATGCTGACTTCAAGTGTGATCTGGTCATCAGGTTGCCGGTATCCAATATGAGACTTTACCAACTTAGAGGCGGATGAATCATCAGTACCATTTCTTCCCACACCTGAATCCTGCTTAGAGGCCTTGGCCTCAAATACGCCTTTTATAATCTCTTACAGGAGAAAATTAGCAGCAAAGTCTTAGGCCATTTAATGAACTTGTAACATGTTTGAGAGCAAGGGAAACAAAGAGGTTTTTACAAAAGTTGGGCCAATCTGTAAACACAGTACTGATCAAATTCCAGCAAACCTAAACTAGAGGGCACACATACTAAATATCCTACAGTTTCAGTTTTCTTAATAACCAGCAACAGAGTGTTGCGTTCATAACACAACACAATTCTTTCACTTTCCATCATTCTCTTTATTTCTGCATATACTCTATGTCAGTCTTTCAAACACACTATTCTTCAATAGCTTGTGCTAATCTGCTCTCATATCACTTTCTCAACATCTTACCAGACCACTGAGCACACACTAATGCCACTGGAACGTTTTCTATAGTGTGAGTGTGTATGTGTTTGTGTGTGAGTGTGAGTGGGTGTGCATGTCAGGAGGGAGTAATTTCTTTCATAGGCCAACATAAATGAAAGGCTCTTACTAGCTTTGTGGAGACAATTTCAGCTCTTTTGGTCAAAGGAAAGGGAATTTACTAGGATAAGGGCCCCATGTCCATGTAAAATGACACACTAACTTCCCAACCAAGTCAGACAAGAAAATTTACAATGAAGGGTGAGCTTCTTATAGCCAGGTAGCCATTGTGGCCCACATGAAAGGCTGGCTGTTCTTTCCCTCTATAGAGAGCATGGGCTAAGAAAGTCGGCAAGTCGGGTGTCTTGTGAATCACCTCTACAATGGCATGGGGTCTGGGTACGCAGGGGACAGGAGGGTAAAGGAGGTGAATGAATGAGAAGGGTACATGGTCATGCCTCTGTTTCATGAGTCTTTCTTTGCTTTGATAGCTTGTGTCATGTGTGAAAGGGGCGGTAAAATTTAGGTTTTTTTAAAAAGTCTGATAGCTGTGAGTTTTCTGGGGCTGCTATAACAGAGTACCACAAACTTGGGGGCTTAGAACAACAGAAATGTATTATCTCAAAATTCTGGAGGCCGGAAGTCTGATATCAAGATGTTGGCAAGGCCATGCTCCTTTCAAGGGCATTAGGGAAGGTTCTTTTCCAGGCCCCTCTCCTAGCTTCTGAGAGCTCCTTGCCTTATGGCAGTATAATTCCAATCTTCACATGATATTCCTGTGTGCATGTCTCTGTGTCCAAATTTCCCCTTTATATAAAGGCATGAGTCATATTGGTTAAGGGGACTACAGTACTCCATTATAGCTTCATCTTAACTGTATCTTCAACAACGCTATTTCCAAATAAGATCACATTCTGAGGTACTGGGGATTAGAACTCCAGTGTGTGAATTTTTACACAGTTCAATTCATAAGAACATCAAACTGTATACAGACACTTGGCAATTATCCTGAAAAGAGCAGTTCTTTGAGTTGATACGTCTCTGTGCTAGAAGCCTTTCTTTTTGATCTGTGAAGTAATTAAACCAGTGTTCTGGCCAGGATATGTTGAAATCATAACAATGGCATGAATTTGGGCTGGATATAATTGTACATTTTTTTAGGTAAAATTACAATATTTATGTTAAAATAATATGAAATATTTGCAGAACAAAAGCTTTAATATGTGTGATCCATTTTCCTTTGAATTCAAAATATACCTGCAGATGGAAATACACAAAGGTATTAAAAGCAGTTATTACAGGTGGGAAGGAATAGAAAGTCTTTCTTTTCTTCCCTTTCTGATTTTCAAATTGTATAGCTAGCAGGATTTTTTTTTTAATACTTTAAGTTCTAGGGTACATGTGCACAACGTGCAGGTTTGATACATAGGTATACATGTGCCATGTTGGTTTGCTGCACCTATCAGTCATTTACATTAGGTATTTCTCCTAATGCTATCCCTCCCCCAGGCCTCCACCCCCCCGAAAAGCCCCAGTGTGTGATGTTCCCCACACTGTGTCCAAGTAATCTCATTGTTCAATTCCCACCTATAAGTGAGAACATGTGGTGTTTGGTTTTCTGTCCTTGTGGTAATTTGCTGAGAATGATGGTTTCCAGTTTCATCCATGTCCCTGCAAAGGACATGAACTCATCCTTTTTTATGGCTGCATTGTATTTCACGGTGTATACGTGCCATATTTTCTTTATCCAGTCTATCATTGATGGACATTTGGGTTGGTTCCAAGTCTTTGCTATTGTGAATAGAGCTGCAATAAACATACGTGTGCATGTGTGTTTATAGTAGCATGATTTATAATCCTTTGGGTATATACCCAGTAATGGGATCGCTGGGTCAAATGGTATTTCTAGTTCTAGATCCTTGAGGAATTGCCACACTGTCTGCCACAATGGTTGAACTAATTTACACTCCCACCAACAGTGTAAAAGCTTTCCTATTTCTCCACATCCTCTCCAGGATCTTGTTGTTTCCTGAGTTTTTAATGATTGCCATTCTAACTGGCATGAGATAGTATCTCAATGTGGTGTTGATTTGCATTTCTCTAATGACCAGTGATGATGAGCATTTTTTCATGTGTCTGTTGGCTGCATAGATGTCTTCTTTTGAGAAGTGTCTCTTTATATCCTTTGCCCACTTTTTGATGGGGTTGTTTGTTTTTTTCTTGTAAATATGTTTAAGTTCTTTGTAGATTCTGGATATTAGCCCTTTGTCAGATGGGTAGATTGCAAAAATTTTCTCCCATTCTGTAAGTTGCCTGTTCACTCTGATGGTAGTTTCTTTTGCTGTGCAGAAGCTCTTTAGTTTAATTAGATTCCATTTGTCTATTTTGGCTTTCGTTGCCATTGCTTTTGGTGTTTTAGTCATGAAGTCCTTGACCATGCCTATGTCCTGAATTGTACTGCCTAGGTTTTCTTCTAGGATTTTTATGGTTTTACGTCTAACATTTAAGTCTTTAATCCATCTTGAATTAATTTTTGTATAAGGTGTAAGGAAGGGATCCAGTTTCAGCTTTCTGCATATGTCTAGCCAGTTTTCCCAGCACCATTTATTCAATAGGGAATCCTTTCCCCATTTCTTATTTTTGTCAGGTTTGTCAAAGATCAGATGATTGTGGATGTGTGGTATTATTTCTGAGGGCTGTGTTCTGTTGCAGTGGTCTGTATCTCTGTTTTGGTACCAGTACCATGCTGTTTTCGTTACTCTAGGCTTGTAGTATAGTTTGACGTCAGGTAGTGTGATGCCTCCAGCTTTGTTCTTTTGGCTTAGGATTGTCTTGGCAATGCAGGCTCTTTTTTGATTCCATATGAACTTTAAAGCAGTTTTTTCCAATTCTGTGAAGAAAGTCATTGGTAGCTTGATGGGGATGGCATTGAATCTATAAATTACCTTGGGCTGTATGGCCATTTTCATGATATAGATTCTTCCTATCCATGAGCATGGAATGTTTTTTCATTTGTTTGTGTCCTCTTTTATTTCACTGAGCAGTGGTTTGTAGTTCTCCTTGAAGAGGTCCTTCATGTCCCTTGTAAGTTGGATTCCTAGGTATTTTATTCTCTTTGAAGCAATTGTGAATGGGAGTTCACTCGTGATTTGGTTCTCTGTCTGCTACTGGTATGTAGGAATGCTTGTGATTTTTGTACATTGATTTTGTATCCTGAGACTTTGCTGAATTTGCTTATCAGCTTAAGGAGATCTTAGGCTGAGACGATGGGGTTTTCTAAATATACAGTCATGTCATCTGCAAACAGGGACAATTTGACTTCCTCGTTTCCCAATTAAATACCCTTTATTTCTTTCTGTTGTCTGATTGCCCTGGCCAGAACTTCCAACACTATGTTGAATAGGAGTGGTGAGAGAGGGCATCCCTGTCTTGTGCCAGTTTTCAAAGGGAATGCTTCCAGTTTTTGCCCATTAAGTATGATATTGGCTGTGGATTTGTCATAAATAGCTCTTATTATTTTGAGATACGTTCCATCTATACCTAGTTTATTGAGAGTCCTTAGCATGAAGGGCTGTTGAATTTTGTCAAAGGCCTTTTCTGCATCTATTGAGATAATCATGTGGTTTTTGTCTTTGGTTCTGTTTATGTGATGGATTATGTTTATTAATTTGCGTATGTTGAACCAGCCTTGCATCCCAGGGATGAAACCAACCTGATCATGGTGGATAAGCTTTTTTATGTGCTGCTGGATTTGTTTTGCCAGTATTTTATTGAGGATTTTTGCATCAGTGTTCATCAGGGATATAGGTCTAAAATTCTCTTTTGTTGTTGTGTCTCTGCCAGGCTTTGGTATCAGGATGATGTTGGCCTCAAAATGAGTTGGGGAGGATTCCCTATTTTTCTATTGATTGGAATAGTTTCAGAAGGAACAGTACCAGCTCCTCTTTGTACCTCTGGTAGAATTCGGCTGTGAATCCCTCTGGTCCTGGACTTTTTTTGGTTGGTAGGATACTAATTATTGCCTCAATTTCAGAGCCTGTTGTTGGTCTATTCAGAGATTCAACTTCTTCCTGGTTTAGTCTTAGGAGGGTGTATGTGTCCAGGAATTTATCCATTTCTTCTGGATTTTCTAGTTTATTTGCATAGAGGTGTTTATAGTATTCTCTGATGGTAGTTTGTATTTCTGTGGGATCGGTGGTGATATCCCCTTTATCATTTTTTTATTGTGCCTATTTGAATCTTCTCTCTTTTCTTTATTAGTCTTGCTAGTGGTCTATCAATTTTGTTAATCTTTTCAAAAAACCAGCTCCTGGGTTCATCAATTTTTTGAAGGGTTTTTTGTGTCTCTATCTCTTTCAGTTCTGCTCTGATCTTAGTTATTTCTTGCCTTCTGCTAGCTTTTGAATGTGTTTGCTCTTCCTTCTCTAGTTGTTTTAATTGCGATGTTAGGGTGTCAATTTTAGATCTCTCCTGCTTTCTCTTGTGGGCATTTGGTGCTATAAATTTCCCTCCACACACTGCTTTAAATGTGTCCCAGAGATTCTGATACGTTGTGTCTTTGTTCTCATTGGTTTCAAAGAACATCTTTATTTCTGCCTTCATTTCGTTATTTACCCAGTAGTCATTTAGGAGCAAGTTGTTCAGTTTCCATGTAGCTGTGCAGTTTTGAATGAGTTTCTTAATCCTTAGCTCTAATTTGATTGCATTGTGGTCTGAGAGACAGTTTGTTTTGATTTCTGTTCTTTTACATTTGCTGAGGAGTGCTTTACTTCCAATTATGTGGTCAATTTTAGAATAAGTGCAATGTGATGCTGAGAAGAATGTAAATTCTATTGATTTGTGTTGGAGAGTTCTGTAGATATCTATTAGCTCCGGTTGGTGCAGAGCTGAGTTCAAGTCCTGGATAGCCTTGTTAACCTTCTGTCTCGTTGATCTAATATTGGCAGTGGGGTGTTAAAGTCTCCCATTATTATTGTGTGGGAGTCTAAGTCTCTTTCTATGTCTCTAAGGACTTGCTTTATGAATCTGCGTGCTCCTGTATTGGGTGCATATATATTTAGGATAGTTAGCTCTTCTTGTTGAATTGATCCCTTTACCATTATGTAATGGCCTTCTTTGTCTCTTTTGATCTTTGTTGGTTTAAAGTCTGTTTTATCAGAGACTAGGATTGCAACCCCTGCTTTGTTTTGCTTTGCATTTGCTTGGTATATCTTCCTCCATCCCTTTACTTTGAGCCTATGTGTGTTTTTGCACATGAGACGGATCTCCTGAAAACAGCACACTGATGGGTCTTGACTCTTTATCCAGTTTGCCAGCCTGTGTCTTTTAATTGGGGCATTTAGCCCATTTACATTTAAGTTTAATATTGTTATGTGAGAATTAGATCCTGTCATTATGATGTTAGCTGGTTATTTTGACCATTAGTTGATGCAGTTTTTTCATAGCATGGATGGTCTTTATAATTTGGCATGTTTTTGCAGCAACTGGTACTGGTTGTTCCTTTCTATGTTTAGTGCTTCCTTCAGGAGCTCTTATAAGGCAGGCCTGGTGGTGACAAAATCTCTCAGCATTTGCTTGTCTGTAAAAAATTGTATTTCTCCTTCACTTATGAAGCTTAGTTTGGCCAGATATGAAATTCTGGGTTGAAAATTCTTTTCTTCAAAAATGTTGAATATTGGCCGCCACTCTCTTCTAACTTGTAGGGTTTCTGCAGATAGATCTGCTGTTAGTCTGATGGGCTTTGCTTTGTGGGTAACTCGACCTTTCTCTCTGGCTGCCCTTAACACTTTTTCCTTCATTTCAACCTCGGTGAATCTGATAATTATGTGTCTTGGGGTTACTTCTCTTGAGGAGTATCTTTATGGTGTTGTCTGTATTTCCTGAATTTGAATGTTGGCCTGCCTTGCTAGATTGGGGAAGTTCTCCTGGATAATATCCTGAAGGGTGTTTTCCACCTTGGTTCCATTCTTCACATCACTTTCAGGTACACCAATCGAACATAGATTTGGTCTTTTCACATAATCCCATATTTCTTGGAAGCTTTGTTGATTTCTTTTTACTCTTTTTTCTCTAACCTTGTCTTCTTGCTTTATTTCATTAATTTGATCTTCAATCACTGATACCCTTTCTTCCACTTGATCAAATAGGCTATTGAAGCTTGTGCATGTGTCACCAAGTTCTCGTGCCATGGTTTCAGATCCATCAGGTCATTTAAGGTCTTCTGTACACTGTTTATTCTAGTTAGCCATTCATCTAACCTTTTCCAAGATTTTTAGCTTCCTTGCAATGGGCTGGGACATGCTCCTTTAGCTCAGAGAAGTTTGTTATTACCGACCTTCTGAAGCCTACTTCTGTCAACTCATCAAAGTCATTCTCTGTCCAGCTTCGTTCCGTTGCTGACGAGGAGCTACGATCCTTTGGAGTAGAAGAGGTGCTCTGATTTTTAGAATTTTCAGCTTTTCTGCTCTGATTTCTCCCCATCTTTGTGGTTTTATCTACCTTTGGTCTTTGATGTTGGTGACCTACAGTGGGGTTTTGGTGTAGATGTCCTTTTTATTGATGTTGATGCTATTCCTTTCTGTTTGTTAGTTTTCCTTTTAACAGTCATGTCCCTCAGCTGCAGGTCTATTGGAGTTTGCTGGAGGTCCACTCCAGACCCTGTTTGCCTGGGTGTCACCAGCAGAGGCTGCAGAACAGCAAATATTGCAGAATAGCAAATATTGCTGCCTGATCCTTCTCCAGAATCTTCATCCCAGAGGGGCACCTGCCTATATGAGGTGTCTGTTGGCTCCTACTGGGAGGTGTCTCCCAGTTAGGCTACACAGGGGTCAGGGACCCACTTGAAGAGGCAGTCTGTCTGTTCTCAGAGCTCAAACGCCATGCTGGGAGAACCACCACTCTCTTCAGAGCTGTCGGACAGGGACGTTTAAGTCCGTAGAAGTTGTCTGCTGCCTTTTGTTCACCTAAGCCCTGCCCACAGAGGTGGAGTCTAGTGGCAGTAGGCCTTGCTGAGCTGCGGTGGGCTCCGCCCAGTTCGAGCTCCCCAGCAGCTTTGTTTACTTATTCAAGCCTCAGTAATGGCAGACACCCCTCCCCCATCCAGGCTGCCACCTCGTATTTTGATCTCAAGACTGCTGTGCTAGCAGTGAGCAAGGCTCTGTGGGCGTGGGACCTGCCAAGTCAGGCATGGGAGAGAATCTCCTTGTCTGCTGGTTGTTAAGACCTTGGGAAAAGCACAGTATTTGGGTGGGAGTGTCCCATTTTTCCAGGTACAGTCTGTCACAACTTCCCTTGGCTAGGAAAGGGAAATCCCCCAATCCCTTGCACTTTCCAGGTGAGGTGATGTCCCACCCTGCTTTGGCTCACCCTCCATGGGCTGCACCCACTGACCAACTGGTCTCAATGTGATGAACCAGGTACCTCAGTTGGAAATGCAGAAATCACCTGTCTTCTGCGTCAATCACGCTGGGAGCTGCAGACTGGAGCTGTTCCTATTTGGCCATCTTGGAACAGATCTCAATTGTATATCTCTTCAAAAGGTAAATTGTCTCTTTAGAAATAACCCATTTGTTTATCAAAATGTTCATCTTCTTACTTCGATGAGACTACCATTTCCTTTAGTGTACTTCCAAAATGCCTCCTGAATAATTCTGCATCCTCATTTTCCAACTTGGTGAAAATGCTTGAGGAGCAGTCAATTAGAAGCAATGGGGCATATGGTGATTTTATGATCAGTAAACTATGTAGAATGGGATTCTCTTATTTTTTTCCCTGATGCTTTGGTCCTTGCTGAAACTCTGCATTTCTTAAAACTTGAGGAGAAACAATAATTTTAGTTGTTTGGTGTAAGACAGATAGCATTTCAGAATTAATTCTGCAGTGAATTAGAAGTTCTAGAGTGGCTAATACATCTAGTGGACTCCAGATCTCTGATTCTATACTAAGTTTTAATAGTTCCATGTTAACTTTATTCTAAAAATGAATCCATCAAAGGTTTCCCATTGTGAACATGCTTATTGTTAATTAACAATAGAATGTAACATACAATAAAGAAGAAGTATGGGCTTGGCAAAAGCATTCAACTGTTACTTTTTAAAGAAACTAGAGTCTGAATAGGAAGTGAATCATACTTTTTGTTTTTTTAAACTTCACAACAAACCCAGAATTCTTATTTTACTTCACTGAGAGAAAGTCTGAGAACCTTGATATTCTCCAGAGCACATAACAGATGCAGTGATAATTCTAAGCCTTAGACATTTGGCATAGTTGAGGTTTTATGACAAGGTATTCTGGCAGAAGAGAGAAGACCCTAATGAGCAAAGTAACCTTGTTAACCTTTAAAGTATTGTCCTTTTGGATCCCATGAGGTTTTTTAACAGATACATCATTTGTTTAGATCATTTCAGTTCTATGACTTGATATATTTCCAAAACTGGCTTCAAGGTCTTATTTATTTTATCCTCCAAATGAGCCTAGTAAAGTAGAAACATAACTGCATTGTTGAAAGTCATTTGTGGTTTGCAAGCTTCTTCTGTCTTCCTTCCCATAAAATACAATTTAGTACTTAAGCTTTTTCTTTCAATAATGTATGCTAAAGCATTGTCCATCGATGCCACATTTCCCTTTATATGTTACAAATAAGGGTGGCTGTGTGAAATAAGACGATATCTGATTACGTGGCCTGGAACTTCCTCTTTCCTAGTTTTTGCACAGCTACAAGGCTGAGAGTTAAACAAAGGGAAGGGGACAGTAAGACCTAGTGAGAGCCAGACATGAAGCCTGCTGTGACAGTGGCTGCCCCAAGTTTGGAGGGACCTCAGGAGACCCACTTTATTCTAGGTCCAGGAGGAGACTGGCCTCTGCTTGCTTTAAATATAGACTTCATGGATGCAGCAAGGAGGGTCTGAAGTTTACAGGGAAAGGCAAGGATTTTGTAGCTCTTAGGAGCTTCGTTATTACCATCAGGTAGCTGCCAAGCTCAGCCCCCTTTTGCTTGGCAATCAGTCTGAGTACTCTTTCCCCTCCTGCCAACTTGCCCAAGGAAGGCCTGAGCCACATGCTACTAAGTAACAATTTGCCAAATATACTAATTTCCTTTTGGTTATTTGTCCTCTAGAAGCCCAGCATTTCTGAAATCACTAAAACTTCACTGTGTGGAAACTATCACACACACATTTATTTTTGCTTCTCTCTTCATTACAGGGATAGGAAAGTGCATATATTAGGAGAGTTTTACCTCCATGGCATTTGCTGCTTTTACGCCATTATGTAGTGATAATAGTAGAGAATATAGGCGGAAGAAGAAAGCCCCCCTCCCACCAAAACAAACAACATTATTAAAAATTAGCCCTTGCAGAGAAAAAGAAGTGCTTATACACTGTTGGTGTGTAAATTAGTTCAACCATTGTGGAAAGCAGTGTGACGATTCCTCAAAGAGCTAAAAACAGAACCACGATTCAACCCAGCAATCCCATTCAACCCAGCAATCCATTCAACCCAGCAATCCCATTACCGGGTATATACCCCAAGGAATATAAATTGTTCTATCATAAAGACACATGCATACGTATGTTCACTGCAGCACTATTCACAATAGCAAAGACATAGAATCAACCTAAATGCCCATCAATGATAGACTAGATAAAGAAAATATGGTACATATACACCATGGAATACTATGCAGCCACAAAAGAGAAAGGGATCATGTCATTTGCAAGAACATGGCTGGAGCTAAAGGCCATTATCCTTAGGAAACTAACACAGGAACAGAAAACCAAATACTACCTCTTCTCACTTTTAAGTGGGAGCTAAGTGATGAGTACACATGGACACAGAGAGAGGAACAATACACACTGGGTCTTCCTGGAGGGTGGAAGGTGAGAGGAGGGAGAGGATTAAGAAAAATAATTAATGGGTACTAGGCTTAATATGTGGGTGACAAAATAATCTGTACGACAAACCTCCATGATGTGGGTTTACCTATATAACAAGTCTTCACATGTACTCCTGAACTTAAGAGTTAAAAAAAAAGATTAACCTTTACTGCATGCTGCCTCTGCACCAGACACTGAGTTAACCATTGCACGTGTATTATTTTAGTTAGCCCTCAAAACAGCTTGAAGAGGTTGGTTTGAGAGATTGGGTGTCTGACAGGTCACACAGTTTTGTATGCATGATCCATCAAACTTACCTTTATCCCATTCTTTAGAATGGGATGGAAACCTACGACTGTCTATTACAGAGTGAAGCTCTTAATTGTGCTACATATTGGCTACCTTTCTTTCCCTGTCCCATTTAGTTTGTGATGGGAATAGAACAGGAGCATAGGAAGAAAATGAATAGTTACAAATCAACTCAGTAGAGAGTAATTAGAATGTGTGTACTGTCTACTTATTGACTGTAAATTGTGATTTGCTAGCGTCCTGGGTTGTGAATGCTTGCTAGCAGGGTTCATCAGTACATAATTACCTAACATTGCTAAATGTGGCCAGGAGAGTCTGTCCTTTGATGAACCCAAGTGTGAGAGAGAGATCTTAGGTTTCTGGATTAAGATTCTTCCTGAGATTTGTAACCTCAAACATTTGGCCAGCTTCCTTACCGTGCATCCCCAGTCTGAACCCCAAAGGATTCTTAGGCAGAATGGACTAGTTCATTAAGCATCTTTCCACTGGCTGTGGGTTTGAGTGCCTATGCTCTGTCCTAAAGCATCCACAACTGATTTCTACTCTTGAAGTCTGGGGGTTAGACATGAGCTGGTCCCGAACTCAGGTAGTGAACTCTGTCTGGCTTGAATCTTCCTATAGGAAGATTATAGGAACCAGTCTAGGAACTGAGTGCTGTACAATGCAGAATTGATTGGCTACTATGTCACAACTAAAAAATGATATCTGGATGCCCTGAGATTATTTGGACCTGTGTTTTCCTTCAAAGAAAAGTAATTTTTATTTGCTTTTTAGAAATCCACTTTTGTTAAATAATAACAAGATATTTTTTAAAAATACAGACTATATAAAAAGAAAACTATAAACCATAGTTCCATTGCCCAAAGATCAACACTAACAGGTCTATTAACATCCAGTCTTTTTTCTAGTTTTATTAAAGAGAAGTGTGTGTATGCATGTGTTTACATTAAAAATTATTTGCACCTTATTAATTGGTCCTTAGTAATATTTGTTGAGTAAATGAAAAATTAACATTAGATTCTGACATTTTTTTCAGAGGAATTTTTAAATACACAATTACAGTGTTGTCCCCATAATGAGATACACATTTCATAATAAAATTATTTACTTTGAATCCAAATGCTATCGTGAGAGTAATTTGGCACCAACAATATCACATTATTAAAAGAATATTAATGTGGTCAGTTTAGTCAGGTGTGGTTTGTTTTTTAGGACTTCTCTGATGTGATGAATATATTACGTGTTGATGGTAATAATGATTGCTAACATATACTGAGTGCTTAGAATACATTAGCAATTAGGAAAATTTCTCATTGCTCTCCATTTATTAACTAATTTAATATTCAAAACAGCCATAAGATTACCTGCAGGTTACACAGGAAGAAACTAAACTAGTTTTCTCCAGGTCACACAGTTAATGAGTAGCGGAACAGGGATATGAACCCAGGCAGTCTGGGTCCAAAGCCTTTGAGTATAGCTACCATACTATAACAGGACACTCTTCCAGGCATATTATACCATGATTTCCCTTTCTGGAATTTTTATGTTAGTTAATCATTAGTCAATTTGAGTATATTTTCACTAGGTATTACATTTAATATACTTTTGAGAGCAAGTAACAGAAAATATTACTCAAACTGGCTTAAACCAGTGGTTCTCAAACTTTAGTCTGCATCAGAATCCCCTGAAGGGCATCTTAAAGCATGGATTGCTGAGCTAGCTCCACCCTGAGTTTCTGATTCTACATTTCTGGGATAGGGCTTTAGATTTTGTATTTGAACAGATTCCCAGGTGAGGCTGATGCTTCTGGTCTAGGACTATGCTTGGAGAAAACTCACTGACCTTAGTCAAGATTTATGCCTTAGGCTGGCTTAATACAATTCTATGGCTCTATTCCTCTGCATCCCTCTTAGCTATTATCTCCTCTGTGTATCTTCCTAATCTTCAAACCATAGCAAGATGACTGCAGCCGTTTTAAGCCTTGAATCTATGCACAAAAGTATCCAACAAAGGAGAACCCAGTTATTTCAGCAATTTTTGTAAGAACAAGGAAATTCCTTTATCAACGACTTTGAAAAATTTCTTTGGGTCTTGACCTACATTAGATCACCTCTCTGTTGAATAAATTCTAATGGACAGGAGAGCTCTGCTTGCTGATTGGCTTAGGCTTAGGTGGAAAAAGAGAACTTTTCTATTTAGTCTTCCTTTCTACTGTTTAGGTTCAAAGCACGTTTTTTAAAAAAGCATTTCCTTTTTCAGGCAAAATCTTCAGAATCTATCTCTGAAAAACTGTAGACTACAAAATGTTACCTTCCCAAGTCAACTTTAAAGCTAATACTTTAAGTTTACATATTAATAGCAATATAACAATATTTACAGTGATAGAACAAATGCATGTATTTAAACAGTGCCTTTACACATACTACTGAACAAGATTTTTCTCCTAAATACCTATCTATATCCAAAGTCTCACTGTAGTTATGAAGAGGTCATTGATTTATATACAGTGCCTGCAAAATGCTACAAGCCGCACTTCACTGCATTGTCCAATTTTATCTGCTTGCCAATCTTAATAATTAGGCCATATTATTATCTATGTTTTGCAGATAAGGGCTATAAAGCATCTATACTATAATAGTACACATCTAATTTAACTTAAATGAATATAACAATTTATTTTTCTTGAAACTGTATAATGTCTACCATGGTAGAATATATAATTGTTTCAGAAATCATCCCTATGAGGTACATATAAAAAATAACCAATCTTGGGCTGGGCACGGTGGCTCATGCCTATAATCCCAGCACTTTGGGAGGCTGAGGCGGGTGGATCACGAGGTCAGGAGATTGAGACCATCCTGGCTAACACGGTGAAACCCCGTCTCTACTAAAAATACAAAAAAATTAGCCCGGTTTGGTGGTGGGTGCCTGTAGTCCCAGCTACTCAGAAGGCTGAGGCAGGAGAATGGCGTGAACCCAGGAGACAGAGGTTGCAGTGAGCTGAGATCGTGCCACTGCACTCTAGCCTGGGCGACAAAGCGAGACTCCATCTCAAAAAATAAAATAAAAATAACTAATCTTAAGGGAGTTATGCTGATGTATGTTGTTTTCATATCTAGTTTAATTAAATTTAAATGTCTATACTTAAGTATTTATTATGTATATTATGTATTATGTATGAAACACACATAATATATATTTATTTTACATATACATACAAAATGTGTGTGTGTGTTTAGAGAGAGTGAGAAAAAAATCTCTTATTATAATGCCTGGCTCATTGAAAGTACCCTATGATAATGTCATATTTTTATTTAATTCAATGTAACAGCTATTTATTGGGGAACTATTAGCTATGAAGTATTGTGCAAGGAAATGAGTAGCTATTAATATATACTGACATTAAACACCGTATATTAAACACCAGGCCCTTTAACATAGGCTCTTCTTAATATACTCATTACAGAGGTAATTTCTCAAGCAAATTAGTCGTGTAACTTGTCTCTTGATAACAGCACGGGGAGTTAAGACTGCCAAAATCAACAGCGTATTTCAAAGGCTTCCAGGTTCTCTGTAACAAAGGCTGAGTAAGCCATGACTCATAATCGGGAAACTTCTATTTGAGGGCCTGATTATCTTTCTTCATATCTGGGGTGTGGGAAAGACTGGTAGCAGTGGGCAGCAGGCTAGGGAGGAGTTCCGTTCTGTTTCCAGGGCCACAAAGGGAGTGAGAAGCACATAGTGAAAGTTCTCCAGAGTAGCTTTTTCTCTTTCAAGGGAGCCCTAGAGACACACAGAGTGATCTGAAACATATTCGGGACAATTGAGTTGTTAGAATTCATGATTTACTGCATTATCTGGTTAAGTCCATCATGTACCATCACCCAGGAGTCAACTAGCCTCTGACTTGCACCAAGCCACTCTGGGTTGCTTGCTGCTTCTGTCTGTGTGTTTTATTTATTTATGTGGGCAGGAGGAGGGGGGAGTAGGGTTGGAGGAGGGAGGAGAAGGGTTAGGGGAGGTATGTTTTTAAGGCCCCATTTTGAACCTGCACATAATATAATTGAAAGAGAACAGTTTTCCAGTTGCGCAGAAACGCATCTAAATTTTGGCTATCATGTACCATTGTGTGGCCTTGGGTAATGCCTTAACATTTCTGAATCACAGTTTCCTGTTGTTTAAGACAGTGACATTATCTGCATAGTGGATTTGTTGTAAAAAATTAATTAGAGTGCAAGTGAAAAAGAGCCATCGCAATGCCTGGCATATAGTAAGCTCTCAAAATGAGGAATAAAAAAAGAAACCTAGTGAGTTGGTGTTATGCTAAATAACCATTATATTTAAAATGACTAAGTAATTTATATCCCAAAGATGTTTTTGAGAATAAAAGGATCACTATTAATAATTAGGTCAGGGCTGAGTGCAGTGGCTCATGCCTGTAATCCCAGCACTTTGGAAGGCCGAGGTAGACAGATCGCTTGAGCTCAGGAGTTCGAGACTAGCCTGGGGAATACAGCAAAACCTCATCTCTACAAAAAATGTGATGGCGCACCCCTGTAGTCCCAGCTACTTGGGGCGCTGAGGTGGGAGAATTCACTGGAGCCAGAGAGGCAGAGGTTACAGTGAGCCGAGATCAAAACACTTCACCACAGCCTGGATGAGACAGCGATATCCTGTCTCAAAAAAATAAAAATAAAAATAAAAATTAGCTCAGAACAACAGACCAAACAAGCACTGTCCTGAGCAAATCTGAAGGCATACTCCTTCTAATTATAATCATGCTGCTCTATTGATGGGGCTAAAGGTAGGAGTCAGAAGTCCTTATTTCTTGAGATCATAAATTTGTAATCACATAACTTTTCTCTAGGTTTCTCTCAGATACTTAATGGTTGTCATTAGATCATGCATACAATATAGTCCGTGATAAGTGATAGGGTAGAGAAAGGAATGTGGATGGCCCAGTTTTCTTCTTCCCCTAAACTGAAAAAAACCTAAATCTCACTTTTTCCCCTAAACTGAAAAAAAAAAAAAAAGAGAGAGAGAAATCTCCCTCTTGCCTGAACAGCAACTGCAAGGCTTAGAACCCACAAAAATACCACTTAGCTCAGACATCAGAGAAATGTCTGTGCAGTTGGTGGGCTGAAGGTAGGGAGGAGAGTTTTCATAAAAGTTTGCTTTGTAATTCCATAATTTAAGCTCATGATCTGGAAAGTATTTCCTCCTTCCTGTTGTTGTGTAATCCAGGATATACTTTTATGATATACTCGATGGCATTCAAGACAATGACTAAATTCAGAGGCAGTGGAATATTGTTATACCTCCTAATTTAAATTCCTATTTTATATGGCACAAAGAGTCCTGCCATTCTCCTAAAGAAACTTTTAAAAAATGGAGGCTAAAAAGAAGAAATGTGATCATTTTAAACACTTTATATTTTGTAAAATTCCAATTTTAAAACGTGGGAAAAGAAATACAATGTATAAAACAGATACATTAAAAATCTGGCATTATCTCTTTATTTTGAATATTGATCCTGAACTGTCTTAACTTTTGCTGTTAAATTCTGACTTTTCTAAGAAATCAAAAGGAGGCACTTTGATCCTTGATCCAAGAAATTGTCTGGGCCTTACCATTTACATTTTAGGAAAGAAGTCTAGAAAAAGTCAAGCTAAAAGGCTGTATGCTACTTCACCTGGCCACTCTCCTACTCACAAAAGTGAACCTGGGCAGATCCTTTATTGGTTCATTCATTCATTCATTTAACAGGAATTTATTATGCTCCTACTAAGTGCCATATTCCAGGCCAAATGCTGGAGATTCAAGCATGGTCATGCCATTTCCAGGCTTAATGTCCAATGAAGCAGATGGCATTGCTGTGAAGAATTATTACTAGAAAACAAGATCAAGATTAATGACAGAGGAAGCTCAAGACACTTTGAGAGCCCACAGTAGTCTATGGGTCAGGGAAGGCTCTCTGAATATGGATCTTTCTCCAGCCGAGTAAGGTGAGCAGGAATTGGTCATTTTATAATAGAAATGGTGTCCAAGGCAGAAGGACAATCTGTGAGGGAGGGGAAAAAAGAGAGAAGTTGGTGTGAGGATCTGAAAATATACAAGTATGGCTAGAATGAGGGCACTCAGTCACCATGAGGCTAAAGAGACAAGCAAGGGCCCAATTATAGAGGCTTTGAAGTCATATTAGGAGTTCAGGGTTTACCCTGTTGATAGCTGGGGTGTCTCTAAACATTGAGCGATTTTATGAAAAAGGTTGACATGATCAAGTGTGCATTTTATAGAGAGAATTCTAGCTTCAGAAGATCAATTAGAGAATGACATAATGGTCAAGATCAAAATTAATAGCAATTTCTACAAAGATGTTGTCATTGGAAATGGAGAAATTTAGGAAGGAATATTAACAGGACATGGTGATTCCTGAGTAGATGGTGATGCCCCTAAATGACATGGAGAATATAAGGAGAAGAAGTGGGTTTAGAAGGTGGTGATAACCGTCAAACAGTTGAATGTGAAATGTCCTTAACATATTCAAGTGAAGATTTCCAACAGAAAGTTGATTTTATGGTCCAAGGGCTCAGGAGGGCATGGTGAACCATATTTAGAGACTGGGGAGTCCTTAGGGTATAAGTGGCCTTTGAAGCCTAGGGAGTAAATGAGACACCCTGAAGTCAGTAGGCAGAATGAGAGAAGAAGCGGGTCAAGGACAGTCTCCCAAGGAACATCAACATATAAAGGAGCAGGAGGGCCACTCTTGTGTTTATCTGGCCCTGAGGTTTCAAAAGGTCTTCATAACAACAGGAAGCATGTGACCGAGATCTAACTGGTGATAAGATGAACTGTCTGATATTATGCATGGGGTTAGAGTGTCAGTCAATATCTACTGGTAGTTCTAAAACTAGATTCCAACTTGAGAAAAACATTTCTTGATGTCCCGTGGAAATGAAGAGGAGTCATAGTCTGACTATGTCACCAATGTTTCTGCAGTTTCTTTGCTTTTCTTTCCCTTCTTTGGTAATGCTCCATCCAGCACATGCTGGCCTGGCAACATTCCAGGTATAAACAGCTTAAAGACTGCTCTCAGTTTATTCTTACATAATATTCTCACTTGTATTATAGAAAAAGGAAGTTTTATGATAGAGTTAGTTGGAAAATAAACCATATGCTTAACCTAGCCATAAACTATACTTAGAAAGACCAAAAATACCTGAAGTGGTAATTCAAGACTCACTTTTCTCAATAATCTCATAAAAAATAAGGAATGCAAAGGTCCTGATAAAAGTTTTTAAATATACACTGACAATGAAATAGATGCTCTTATATTTCTGTTTCCAGTCTGCGTCACATCCACTTACACACACTGTCTCTTCATTCTAATAGACAAATCTTAGAATGAAGGCATGCTAAATCTGAAAAGATCTCAAAGAGAGCTTCTAACTCAAGCCCCCTTCCCACTGGCCCCTTGCCTACTTTCTAGATGAGAAACATAAGATGCTGGAATGATAACACTAAGAACTTTTACATGTCGCTGTATATGTAAATAATAATGTTTACCTTCAAGAGAAAATAAGTTAATCACATTGGCTAATATCCTCAGCTCTCAGAATTGACTATCTGGGTTTGACCTTGGGCAAATTACTTAACCTCTCATTTCCTTAGCTTTTGCACCTATAAAATTAGTTAATGATAGTATCTATTCACAGATGGGAGATAATTCTCCACAGGTTTCTCACATTTTTGCCTGTCTTGAGTGCAGAAACACTGATAATTCTTGTTTCAGACTATATTTTTAAAGATGTTAGTATAGCAAACTGCCTTGAAAGATACATACAGTGTTTTCCTCCAGAGCAAAGGGCTGGTGTGCTGACTGTCTAGCATAATAGAGATAGTATCTCCCTCTGGAGCAAAGGTGAGCATACTTCCTGCCTTTTTGAAATATTTGGGTTCCCTAATCTCAGGGTTTCTGTCCTGTAAGAGTACCATCTCCAAAAGTAGGTGTCATCTGGCCCTCAGAGAATTGGTACAAATGGTGGTACTCTATTATTCTTGATGTGAATACAAGTTGAGCAACCCTAATCCCAAAATTCAAAATCCAAAATGCTCCAAAATCTGAAATGTTTGGAGTACCGACATACCACCACATCTGGGAAATTGCACACCTGACCTCGTGTGATGAGCCACAGTCAAAAGGCAGTAAGAACTTTTGTTTCATGTACAAATATTTTAGAAAATATTTTATAAAATTATCAATTACCTTCAGGCGATGTGTATAAGGTATACGTGAAACATAAATGAATTTAGTGTATAGACTTTGGTCCCATTCTCAAGATGTCTCCTTACATACATCCAAATATTCCAAAATCTGAAAAATCCCAAATCTGAAACACTTCTTGTCCCAAGATAAGAGATAATCAACCTGTAATGAAGTCCTCTGTCTCTGACCCAGGAGTCTCATATCTTTTGTCAGGATCCATGCATTTGTGACAAGCTAGCATGTTAGCTTACAAGTATGGTAAAATCTCAGACTCTTCACAGTTCTTGGCAATGGATTTTGGTTAAGAAATCAGTAAATAAACATAAATTGCTCAGAAGAGTATTTGACACAAAGCAACTAAAGACCCGTTAAATCAGTCATACCCCTTCAATAAGCCACTCAAAAACAGCCTCATTCTAACTGTATGCTCTTGGGTAGAATGTGACATTTTTAAAAAATATATAATATGAAGATAATAAACTTTTATGAATTTTCTTATTTACCTCTCTCCAACTCTCCCTGCCTCACTACTCACACATTTGAATATCATGTTTTCAATTGTGGGAAGGTTAAAATCAATATGTAGTGTGACCAATGTTTGAGTGACAGTGTTTCTAAAAAAATTCAAAGTTTTCTCCATTATCATCAACTCATTTTGTTATTTCTCTTTCTGATTCACTACATCAGCTCTTTTAAAACACTGGTGACTTTTTTTCCTGATGTGTGTTGTATGCTATTTTCAGAGTTCTGTTTTCTATCTGTAAGCCTGTCAAACATAGTAGCTCCATCTTTTAAAAATAATGTTTCACCTTTTCTTTTTTTCTATACTATAACTCATACTTTTGAAAAATCAGCATGACCTTTTTCATTCTTGATCAACACTTAACATAAGAGCCTCCCTGAAGCAAAAGGAAGTAACTAGAAGAGACAATATGCTGAATGATCAGGATGTGGGGCCTAAATCTTGGCTTATACCCAGCTGGTGTACTTGACCACCAACTTTATGTAAGTTTAGGGATTTCAAAATCCCCCATGTCTCCAGATCTTTTGAACACTGATTTGCCATGATCTTTGGTCATTATCAGTTTAGACAGATAGGGGCCTTGTCTTTAGCTGGCCACTGTTAAAACACCATAGTCAAGGATGATGATTATTAGAATAACTACTTATCAACTAAAGCTCCAAGAACATGAGCATTTTACTGTGCAGGGAGAAAACAGGGAGTAAGAAAAGAGTGTCCAGAGTGAGATCTGTATCTGGGCAGAACACAGGAGGACATGATACTAGAGAGGTCTAGAATTTGGCAATGTATGGGAACTTGGAAGGCTTTATTTATTTCCTTATGTGTCCATCAATGGGGAAACTACACGAAGGATGAAAATGATAAGAGGTAGACTCTGCTTTTAAAGTACTTCTAGTCTAGCTGGGGAAATTAATCCCACACAACCTAGGTAGAACACTGTATGTAATTGTGTTTGTGGTATAGACATAACTATACATATTAACAAGGCTATTGACTTTATACAGGACTATTAAGACTTCAAAGAAGGGAGACATTCTTAACTCGGGATTATTGACAGCTTTCTCTGGAAATGGCAATGAAAAATTAGAGGAGAAAGGAGAGTGGTCAAAGAAAGGAACAGCAATGTACGCTCTGCCAATACAGGGGTTGTGTGGGAGCAGTTACCAAAAGATGAGGCAAAACAGTTTCCAGTACAATTTGGCTTTGAGCTGGGGACACCTTAGAAGGGAGACCTGGAGTTTGTGTGTGGCCATGACTCATACAAAACTCTGTCATTCAATTCCTATATTTGTAAAAACAAATTAAATGGAATTTGCTTGTTACTCTCCTAATTTGTGATGTGTTTGGCTCCATTAGGTTATAGCAGGCATTACCTGAAAGCATCTATTATATGGCAATTTTGGCATGGTATTAAGGACTGAATTAATAGAACCCTATAAGCCCTATTTTTGCCCTGTAGATGATTATAATATTGTAACCAGATATACTAAGGAAACACTGATAATGGGAATATCATTAGCACATTCTTTGTAAGATGACTGGAAATGAGTGGCCTGTGCTGTAATACTCTGCTTTCAGTTACTCTGTCCTTGTTCCTCAGCCTTCTCTTCTCTAAGTTCTAATTTCTTCTCAAACTTGCTAGGTAAATCTTGGCAGAAAGTTTAGCAAGCTATATCTAGGAGATAGTAAAAGAATCACATTTCAGGATGTGGGAAATCCTGCATTTGGCCTTTCTGGATCTTGAAGAGATACTGCTTTAAGGATTGAAGGCCAGCTCTCCTCTTGGAAAAATTTTGCAGATAATTGCCAATGATATGTACATTACAACAGGATCAGAGTTTTCAAAGTGAATCCAATTGGTGAGAAGGAATATTTCAACAGAATAAGAACTAAAGAATTTAGTGAATTTAGACCCACTCCTAATACTTCAAATAGCAGCTTTATTTTTCCCTCAGAGAAGTCATTGCCAAAATGGACATACAGAAAAACCAGCGGTTAATTAAAAAAACCCATTAGCTTGAATCATGAAGAAATAATGATAAGAACCAGGGCTGGTTCCTCTCAATTTTGACCTTTTGTTTTACTGTTCAATGTAGAATTTTTGATAATGTTTGGATTCAGTACAGTGAAGATTTATCTTGTGTAGTGAACTCTATAAAGAACAGACTTGACTTGGAAATAACTTACTGGCTTAAAAAGAGTCACTTAACAATTTCTTTGGCAGTAAATAAGGCATAATGCTATTGCTTATGGTTTTTGTTAGCTGGGTTTTTTTCCTGGTGAAAAGAGATGTTGAATAAGAATTTCTTTCTTACAAAAGCTTTGGTATTATTAACATAATTGACTAGGATTTGAAATTCTATGAAAACAAATGCCCTTTCACCAGTTCTTGTTTTGAATATGTGTATTCATTTAGTGCTTACTTGAGGATTTAGGATCTTGTTCACTATTGTTCTTTAGGATAACTTTGAAGAAAATATTGTTGTATGAAACCATGGATGGTATTAACAAAGCTAATATCCCGGATGTTTTATGAATACTTTTATGGATCCTGATATTTTATGAATACACAAGCTTCATTGAAAATATTTTTTCCATTTTATTTTCTTAAGTAGAATTTTCTATATTGAAAAGTATAAGACTAAAAAGATCAGAGTGCCATAACAAGGGAGAAGGATGACCATATAAAGTGTGGGAAGAGGTTCAGTAGGTATTTTCTCTAGACATTAAGGAGATAATGTGCTAGACAGTTCCTGGAACATAGTCAGAGCTTTGATGTATTGTTTTTGGTTGATTGATATACTAAGGAAATGGTTGCCCTTCACTGTCAGAAGTGAACATAGGATGTGAAAAGTAAATAAAGCCTGAAAGGGCAGCTTATACTGTATCATTTTAAATTCTTTCTGTCTCTGGGCACCACACTTCCCCACAGCTTGTTTTATAAAGGCCTATAGTATGGCAAAGATTCAGGAGGAATGAATAATAGGGCCTCTGAGCAGGGGAAAAGAGAAAAGAAAGATCTGAAATGAAGGTGGGGCTCTGAGTTAGAAGCAAAAGTATACTTTCGAGGAAGGTGGTATAATCTCTGATTTAAGAAATCTGTAGTACTAAAGGGGGAAAAATATATCAGAGAAGTAGAACTGGAAAATGGGGCTTTGGATCCAAATTGTACACATCATTGGCTTCTCCAGTATCAGCTATGTGTTCCCAGCTCATGGCAGGGAAGAGCCCTGAGGGATTCTCGTCATTACTTCCTCACCTTGGGGTAGCTTGAACTCTGAGGAGGTAAAGCAGGGACTGTTTCCTGATACTGTATATCCCTAAACTCTTTGATCGCTTTTTTTTTTCAGTCCCCTGATGGGGTAATTAGTAATAGTAATTCCTAGCTACCCCAGAACTAGGAACAAAGCCTAATTCCTTTTGGAAAAAAAGATTCTAATGCCAGCCTCATAATTAATGGAATATCTAAAATGTGGGCTAATGGCCTCTGTGTGTTTCAATTTCCTCTTTTAATAAACAATCTCTACTGATATCCTGTGTTAAGATTAAAGATATACAACACTTTTAGAGGAATAAGGCATAAGATTTGTATCTGAGTTAGTAGTACACTTTATTTTGTGCTTAGCATGGGAAGAGCCTCAGACAAGGTACCTGTGTGGAATTCTGATGCATCTGCCGTTAGAAATCTTTAGGATTTGTTCTTGTATTTGTTTGTGGGAGGGTGTTGAGGAGGGGCAGATAGTGCAGGAAATAGAAAAGGGACCAAATAAAGTGAAATGGCTATGAAGAAGACCAAAGGGTACCCTTCTTATGTGATTCACTTAAACTTCACCTAGGAATGTGCTTTTGTTTTCTACATTGAAATAAAACAGATGTTTAAAGGGATTCTTTCTTATAGCATGGTTATTTATGTCAGTGTTACTTCTTTTATTTACCTACAAACTCCTTGAGGACAGAAGCCATGTCTCATATTTTCTACTCTTACAAGATATATCATAGAGACATTCACTCATAAAGAGTCCATAAACATCTAGTGTGTGAATATGATCTGCTTATTTTGCCAGTTGCTATATGGAAATAAATCTCTAGTCACATGCTATGTAATGATAGTGGTGGGCACAGATAATAAAAAGGGACTGGATAAATGGGTCAGCAGACTGTGGTTTCCATTTCCAAAAAGTGCTTTAAATGGTCAAGGAAAATTTATTTATTTATTTACTGAGACGGAGTCTCACTCTGTCACCCAGCCTGGGGTATAGTGTTGCCACCTCAGCTCACTGCAACATTTGTCTCCAGGGTTCATGGGATTCTCCTGCCTTAGGCTCCCAAATAGCTGGGATTACAGATGTGTACAACCACGCCTAGCTAATTTTTGTATTTTTATTGGAGACGGGTTTTCACCATGTTGGCCAGGCTGGTCTCGAACTCCTGACCTCAGGTGATCCACCCACCTCGGCCTCCCAAAGTGCTGGAATTACAGGCATGAGCGACCGTGCCCTGCTGGTAAGGGAAAAATTTTAAGAACTGCTAAAGATTCATCATTTATATATGGTCATCATTCAAATTTCTGTGCTTTTTTGCTTGTTTTTAATTAGGGCCCGCTATCATTCCCAAAATATATGTTCCTCAACAACTGACTCTATCTTTCATCATCTTTAGGACAAAGAATACCAGCTCTCTTTAAAGTAGTGCTTTGAAATATAGTTTGGGAGGTAAATATAGATGTAAAATTGTATCTCCTAGCTCAAAGAGAACTGTTGAAAGAAAGGTAGCTGCTTTGTTTTTCTAGAATGTCAGTGTCACTATTTTTACAGCTCCTTTTGAGAAACACTAATTTGTGAAAGGAAAGCATCTCAGAAGTTAAAGTTGATGGTTTAAATTCTTATGCCTGTTGTGTTCTGAGGAACATAATTAATGGGAAGATAACAAGAGGCTGAATACAGCCTTGTTAAACTTATTCACAGAGCCAGTGAAATGATTCTGAATTGAACTTTCAAAGTCTGAAAGAAGAAAGTGTAGTATGCTTTAGACAGAAAGCCACAGGGTGATTGGGAAAATGCGAGATATGAGCAGGTGTTATGGTAGCATTCTAGTGAAGTTTCCAAACTGTCAGAATAAGCAAGGTCCCTTCCCACACTGATAAACACATACTTGTAGATGGCATTCCACTCTTTGAGGCAGACTTAAATAGTATGTTCGTTTATTAGTGTCTGGAAAGGGATGCCAGTGAAAAACTTGCAAATTTGGTCCATTTCAAGAAATCAAACCTAAACTTGTTGCTGTCAATCATTTTTTGATAGATTTAATAAGGAAACCACTTTGTGGGCAGACTTAAGACATGGAAACTGTCATTTGCACTATGGAGAAGTTTCAAGAAAAAAAAGCAGCTATGGTTAAAAATCAAGAAAGAACTGCCAACTTCAGGACCTAGATTTCTTTATACCTGTATAACTTACTTTTGAGTTTTTTGAGGGGAGGCGGAATTTGGGATTTTATCTTTCTCTTGTTATCATTGGTCCTTCCATGTCACCCCATTGCTGCTAGGAAAATTACATGGTCAGGCTGAGTGTAGTGGCTTACCCCTGTAATCCCAGCACTTCGGAAGGCTGAAAAGTGGGAGGATTGCTTGAGCCCTTGAGTTTGAGACCAGCCTGGGCAACATAAGGAGAACCCTCTCTCTACAAAAAATTTAACAATAAAAATTAAGCTGGGAGCAAGATGCTGCATACCTATAGTCCCAGCTACTGGGAAAGCTGAGGTGGGAGGATCACTTGAGCTCAGGAAGCTGAGGCTGCAATGAGCTATCATCATGCCACTGCGTTCCAGGCTGGGTGACACAGCAAGACCCTATCTCAAAATAAAATAAAAAATAACATGGTCACATGATATTAATGATAGTTATGTAGAGTTTCCTTTGTGGACATTTAACTTTGGGGCAAAATTGAGGTTGAGTTATATGACTCAAGATGGAGATAGGGAGAAGGTTGGTGGCAGTGAGAATATTGCTATTAGAAAACAAGTGGGAGAGACCAGCTCGAATCTGAGAAATACCCCGGGGACAGGCCTTGCCAAGGCCACAGAACTATTTCCAATGGCAGGAGCTGGAGTTGAGGTCATCTACACAGCTACTGACAAGTTAGTGGGTGGGTACTGGGTAGGAAGGGAGGTGTCTTGGTCTCTCACTTAAAGCTTCTGTGTGAGGAGATTTCATAACAGAATATTTTCCTGAAGGAAATTACTGCTGCTATATACGTAGTACTCTGCGAAACAAGGATACTGAGTAATTATTAGTTCAGCGAATAAGAGAGTGAATAAATATTTTTTTCCCCATGGAAGTTCTTTTCTATTAGGATAAGTTTATATAGTCCATCCAAATGTATCCTAATTTATCTATTAGGATAAATTTATACAGTCAATCCATATACATACATGTAGAATGTAACAAATATTTTTATTGACTTTCTACATGCTGTATTACATTGTCTAGGAGTGTTATGTGGATAACATTACAAAGGGAAACTATATTGAGTTTTAAATCAGTGATTTAAAAGCAGGATTTTACAAATACTAGTAACAGTCATAACTTTCATTTGAGTGCTTACCAAGTCTCATATTCTGCTGAGTCTCGTACATGTATCATGTCTTTTTGTGTTCACAGAAAAAAAAAACCAATGAGGTCAGTATGAGCATTCCCCTTTTACACAGGAAACAGACTGAGATCGCTAAGCCATATGCTGAAAATTGCAAAGCTAGTAAGGGACAGAGCAAGGGGTTACATTCAGAGGGGTCAGACTCCAAGTCACACCATCTTTTAAAAAAGTTGTACTAATTTATGGGGTACTTGTGTAATTTTGTTACATGCACAGATTGCATGGTGATTAAGCTAGGTCTCAGTTATCTATCACTAACATGATGTACATTTTACCCATTAACCAGTTTCTCATCATCCTCCCTGCTCCAAGCCTCTCACCATTCTGAGTCTCCATTATCCATAATTCTACTCTATGTCCACATGAATACTTTTTAGTACCTATTTTTGAGAACATGTGGCATCTGTCTTTCTGTGCCTGATTTGTTTTACTTAAGATAATGACCTTCAGTTCCATCTTTGTTGCTGCAAAGACATGATTTCACTTTTTATGGCTGAATAGTATTCCATTGTGTGTATGTGTGTGGTGTATACACACATACGTATATACATATACACATACTTTACACAGGAAACAGACACTCAGATTATTAAAGCATACACTGAAAATTGCACAGCTAGTAAGGGACAGAGAAAGGGGTTACATTCAGAGTAGTCCGATTCCAAGATATGTGTGTGTGTGTATACACCACACAGATACACACACACACACACACACACACACATATATTTCTGAGTCTCACTCTGTCATCCAGGCTGGAATGCAGTGGCACAAACATGGCTCACTGCAGCCTTGACTTCCTTGGCTCAAGCAATCCTATTGAGTAGCCAGGACTACAGGTGCATGACACTATGCCCAGCTAATTTTTTTTTATTTTTTCAAGAGACAGGTCCTCACCATATTCCCCAGGCTAGTCTCGAATTCCTGGCCACAAGAAATCCTCCACCTTGGACTCACAAAGTACTGGGATTACAGGCATGAGTCACCATGCCTGGCCTCCATTACATATATACATACACCACATTTTCTCTCTCTCTTCATCTGGCGATAGACATTTAGGTTGATTCCATATATTCTATTGTGAATAGTGCTGCAACTGCAGATATCTTTTTGATATATTTATTTCTTTTTCCTTTAGGAAGATATTCAGTAGTGGAATTACTAGATCAAATGGTAGTTCTATTTTATTTTAGTTGTTTGAGAAATCTCCATACTATTTTCCATACAGGTTGTACTAATTTACATTCCCATCAATAATTTAACAGTTCATTTTATCCGCATCCTCATTAACATTTGCTATTTTTTGACTTTTTACTAATACTCATTCCAACTGAGGTAAGATGATATCTCATTGTGGTTTTGATTTGGGTTTTCCTGATGGTTAGTGATCATGAGTATTTTTTCATATACCTGTTGGCCTTTTGTAGTCCTCTTTTTGAAAAATGTCTATTCATGTTCTTTGCCCACTTTTTAATGAAATTGGTTTGTTGTTGTTGTTGAGTTCCTTGTATATTCTGGATATTGGTCTCCTGTTGGATGTGTACAAATATTTTCTCCCATTCAACAGGTAGTCTCTTCACTCTGTTATTTCTTTTTCTGTGCAAAAGCTTAAGTCCCAGTTGCTTATTTTTGTTTCTGTTGTCCATGCTTTTAAGGTCTTAGTCCTAAATTCTTGGCCTAGACCAGTGTCCAGATGAGTTTTCTGTAGGTTTTCTTCTCCTAATTTTATAGTTTGGGGTTTTACATTTAAGTCTTTAATCCCTCTTGAGTTGATTTTTGTATATGGTGAGTTAGGAGTCCAGTTTCATTTTTCGGCTTGTGGCTATCTAATTTTCTCAGCACCATTTATTGAAGAGGGCATTCTTCCCCCAGTGTATGTTCTTCTTGGCTTTGTCGAAGATCAGTTGACTATAAACATGACAAGGTATGCATTCTTAAATCTAAATTATCTTATATATACAGTCAATGAATATTTTAAATTTTTTTGAGATGTAGGCCTATTTAAGAATATAAAAAAGCTATAGTTCCCTCCCCAAGACTAAATATACGTATGTACGTTGACATGTAATTTCCAGGTATATGGACATACATCCTGCCACCCCTCCCATTATGAACCCCATGTTATTCATATAAATACCAGCCTTAAAAAGGCAGAAAATCTACAAAATTATGTTGAGAAATGGAAAGAAATATGAAAATTACAATAAAAAGTTTTCTGAAGGCCTCACCGCAGAAATAAATATTAAGAGGAAAATTCAGGGGCACTGAATTTGAGAGTAGTTGCATGTTCAAGCATGGAATTTGCTGCACCACTACTTCAAACACCTACAAATCTTTCCTATTCACAGTGTTAAATTGCATAAGGTTTCTTCTCCCCTTGTTCCTTTCACCTTCTTCTGTAATCCTATACACCCCTCTTGTCTCCTTGATTCTTGGAATCCTCAAGTATTTAGTGCCTACTACACATCAGGCACTCTTCTGAGTGTTTGTGATATACCAGCAAAAGGAAAAAGGAAAAACAGAGGGACAGAAAATCACTGTCTTCCTGGAGTTTATATTTTAGTGGGAAGACAAATGATAAAAAGAAATCTACAAAAGAAAATACATATTATGTTAGAAAGTGATAAATGCTATGGGGAAAACATTGGGCAAATTGGGGCTAGAAGAATGACAGGTTGCAATTTAAAGAGGATGGTCCAGGATAGCCTCATTGAGAAGGGCATATTTAGGCAAAGATTTGAAGGCATTAACCCTGTGACTTTTGGAGAAAACACTGTTCTAGACAGAGGGCACAGCCAGTGTCTAAGTCCAAGGCAGGAGGGTGCTTGATGTGTTTCAGGCACAGTGTGGAGGGTGTGGAGCCACATGGAGTGAGTGAAGAGGTAGAACTAGGAGATGCGATCGCAGAGGTAAGGGGTGGAGCAGAACATACAGGGTCAAGGTGGCCTTATAAGATCTTTGACGTTTACACTGAGAAAAATGGAAAATCAATGTAGATTTTGAGCAGAGTGGCATAATCTGACATAGGATTTAAATGAATCACTCTAGCTGCTGTATTAAGAAGACCGTAGCAAGCAAGGGTAGAAGTTACAAAAACAGTTAGGAGGCTTTTTAATAATCTAGGTGAGGAAGAGTGATAGATTGTAAGTAGAACTGAGTAGTTGAATTCTGCATATATTTTGTCATAAAAGGTTTTCCTACTGTATGTTTCTCTCTATGCACTGCTTTAGCTGCATCCCACAAATTGATTTGTTATGCTTTAATTTCATTCAATTCAAAATGATTTCTAATTTCCCTTGTAATTTCCTCTTTTGACAAATGGATAATTTAGAAATAATTACTTTTATTTTCTAATATTTGGAGATTTTCTAGATGTCTTTTTGAGAGGTCTCAAACATTTTACATTATTTCAATTAACTTAAGTGTATTAATGTATTAAGATTTGTTGTATGACCCAGAAGATGGTGATTCTTAATAAATGTTCCATATTAAGTTGAAAAAAAAATGTGTACTCAACAATTGGTGAAGTGTTCTCCCTATATAAGCTCAAACTGATAGATAATGTTGTTCAGGTCTTCTATATCCTTAAAGATTTTCTTTATTTTTGTCCTGTCAATTCCTGCAAGAATAGTGTTGAAATCTCCAACCACAATTGTGGATTTGCTTTATTTTTATCAATTTTTGCTTCATGTATTTTTAAGTCCTTTTACTAAATGCCTACACATGTAGAACAATAATGCTTTCTTGGAGAACCAATCCCTTTATCATTATGTAATATCTCTCTTTATCCCTGGTAAATGTCATTGAGTCCTACTTCAGTTATTCATATAGCTACTCTCGTTTTCTTTTGTTTAGTTTTAACGGTGTATCTTTTCCCATCTCTTTACTTTGTACTTATGTCTTACATTTAAAATAAATTTCTTATAGATAGTGTACAGTTGGATCTTGCTTTAAAAAAATCTAATTTGACAATATTTATCTGAAATTGTTGTGTTTATATTGTTTACATTTAATTATTTGTGGTTTGATTCAACTACCATCTTACTAGCTTTTCCTAATGTTCCATCTGTTCTTAGTTTCTTTTCTCCTATTTTTATTTTCACCTTCTTTTGGATTTTTTTAAAATTCTGTTTTATTCCTACCATGGGCATATTAGATATACCTTTCTATAAATATTTTAGTTATTTCTGTATATTTTAAAATATACATGTTTAATTAATCAGGATATACCTTAAAATATACTACTTTATATGTAGTATAAGAACCTTAAAACAGTATATATCCAATTCCTTCCTCCCAACTTTGGTGCATTTTTTTTTTTTTTTTTTGAGACAGTGTCTCACTCTTGTTGCCCAGGCTAGAGTGCAATGGCACGGTCTCTGCTCACTGCAACCTCTGCCTTCCGGGTTCAAGCAATTCTCCTGCCTCAGCCTCCTGAACAGCTGGAAATACAGGCGCCCGCCACCACGCCTGGCTAATTTTTTGTATTTTTAGTAGAGACAGGGTTTCGCCATATTGGCCAGGCTTGTCTCGAACTCCTGACCTTGTGATCCATCTTCCTCAGCCTCCCAAAGTGCTGGGATTACAGGTGTGAGCCACCAAGCCTGGCCACGTTTTACTTTTACATTTGCGACAAGCATATAATGCATTACTACTGTTTTTGCTTTAGATAATCAATTGTTTTTGAGAGCAAATTAAAGTAAGACAATTTTCTGTTACTTTGATTTATTTAATTTCCAGCACTCTTCATCTCTTTATATAGATCCAGGTTTATGGCGGGTCTAATATTTGTTTTGATTGAAGAACTTCCTAAATTTGAAATTTTAAATGCAGACCCTATGAGATTTCCAGACATATTAGGTGCAGCCACGGAAGGAAAAGCCAAAGATGACCCTAGAGTTTATAATAGAGGTGATGATAAATCACGATGATCACAGCAAATAATTAAAATAATTATTTAGGAGGGGATACGGGTATAAAAACAAATTCAGCTCTAAAAGAGGAAAACCACTTGATACACCAAATATATTTTGTAATCCAGATATTTGGTATGAATTTTTCTACACCTCAAAGTTCAAATTTCAATGACCTGTAGAAGTTCCAGGCTTTTCATAATTCCCAAGGAGGTGGAGGAGGGATTAGATGCTGTGTATGACTCCCCTATCGACGGATGCCTAACTCTTCTCTTCCACTTCAGTCTGGATAAAAAACTCAGTCCCTTCACTGGTTTCAACAAGAAATCTACTCTCCTGTTATGCTAAAGCCCTGTTAACCTCAGTAGGGAAGGCACCAGGTTCAAGAGGCCTAAGAGACCCGCAGCCAGCAAAGGAGACGTGGGGCTTTATTAGAGGCTCAGGAAAGAGTCCAGTGGTGGCAGCCTGGACAGGAGAACCTCCTTACATACAGAAATGTTCCAGTGGCAATGAGCTAGACAAGATATCTGCCTTACTTACAGTCCGGTGGCAGCTGGCTGGACAACACAACTGCATGGCCCAGTGGTAGCGGCTGGTCAGGAAAATAGCAACCACTTGCAAACAGCATGCAGTTGATAGGGCATTTTCACTTAACACCCTCCACCTGATGACCTCCACTTGACAACCTTCATTTGATCCAGAACTCAGGGCCTCAATCCCCTGTACAGCCTGTGTTCCACAGGATGGGCCAGGGCTCAGATGTTTATCATAAAGAACAAATGCCTGAGTTGGCCACTTCCGGATTCCCGAGCTCAGAAAACACATTCAGATATAACTATCCTGTAGGTTCATTCTAAGGGTATGCCTAAGTTACTGCTATCAGGTGGATTTACCCTACATCCTCCCCACACTCCACCCCTCCTTACACATTTATCAGTTTTTCTTAACTCATTTTCATTCCCTCTTGTGATCTTCCTTCCCTTCCTATGAAATTGCTTCCTGTGAGTTCCAAATTCTTTCCCTTATTTTAGGCAGAATATGTATCTCCTACACTCAGCATTACATAGACAACCCCTTAAAGAGGTTATCAGAATGAAGGAGGCAGGCCAGACATGATGGCTCACAACTGTAATCCCAGCACTTTGAGAGGTTCAGGCAAGAGGATCACTAGAGGCCAGGAGTTTGAGACCAGCCTGGGCAACATAGTGAGACCCCCATTTCTACAAAAAAAAGAAAAATAAATGGAGTTATGATTGCACCACTGCATTCCAGCCTGGACCACAAAGCAAGACCCTGTTTCTAAAAAGATAAATAAATAAATGAGGCATCAGGATCTTCCCTTTTTAGAGATTCAGCTTTATAAATATAACCTATTGGCACAGGTAAAATTTCCTAGGGATTTGCATGCGGGAGTTTACTAGAAGTGCTTTTGAAAGCTGTATCTGTGAAGGTGCAAGAAAAACAACACAGGGCAGAGGCAGAAGTGAAATGAGGTGTGGTTGAAACATTTGCCTTACCTAGTGCCACAGAGACCTTGCAAGGTTGAAATGCTCCTACAAAGATGTCCTTCATTACAGAATCAATCACTGGATATAGGCTGCCCCAAAGAATTGGGGCATAGATTTGCGCAAGGCAGTTTCCTTCAGCTGAGAGCACAGAGTTGGACACAGCTGCTAGTTGTCAGAGCCAATACCCCAGGCATCTGGAGTGTGCCCTGATCATGAAGGGGATCTGGGAGGTATTCAAATGTATCCACTACAATCCAGCCTGTGCCACTCCACTCCACTAGCCTCATATAGTATGTTCCCCCCACAAGGGAACAACACTTCCAAAATTGTAATTTGTCTCCTACTTACAATTCTGGAAAAATTTTAAGAGGAAGTTTAGTGGGACAAGCTACAATGTCAGCCCTTCTCCCGTCCCCCTCCTTCCTCCCAACCCCTTGCCATTATCCTACCCCCACCTCTACCCCTCCAGCTATTCTCTAGATTGCACCTGATGTTTCTAGTCTCTCTCATCTACTTACCCCATCTACTAGATTCCTCTCACCCTTAACTATCTTTTCTGTTCATCTTGGTTACTTACCTGGTGGGATGACCCAGACCCTTCTCCCTGAGGGGGTCTGGGCCCCTAGTTGCTGTGCCTTTCTCAGGATTAAGTTCTGCATGTGTCCATTTACCACCAAAATTGGTCAGGAGAATACCAAGAGCCCTCCTCCTTCTCTCCCAACAGATCACCTGAGTACCTTCATCTTCAGTCCTCCCCCTACCATGAATTCCATTTGCCTGTTAAATATTCTCCTCCTGCTCCACTTGGAAAGATCGCATTAGTAACGATTATGAGAAAGTATTTCTCATAATCTAAAAGGATTTCCATTTACTGCCTTTATGTTATTACTTCAACCTGGAATTTCCCTCCTATTCCATCATCCCGAATCCTCCATAAAATATTTTTATGATCCAACTCAAATCTTTCAGGAAGTGAGACATTAATAAATTGAGTCTCCATGAAGAAACTCCTGTCAAAAATAGATCTTCCCTCCTCTGAACACCCTGCAATCTTTAATGTTAGAGCTAACATCTTACTATCTTTATATCGCTGCACAAAGCACACAGCAGGTGCATAAAGTTGGATGAATAAATGTCTTAGCACCTTACGCTTGGGACACACAGCCTTGTATTATATTTTGGAGTCATTTATCTGTCCTGTAAGTTAAAAATCTCCTTGAAGTCAGAGACCAGGTCACAATTTTGATTTTTATCACATCTCGCAAAATGTCTTTACATCAAGTTAGAACCAGTTAACGTGTTAAAAGAATTACTGTTAACCCAGGACACATGAGAAGAGAAGCTGACTCATGCTGTTATTACAGGAATAGATTCCATCTATCCTATAGGGTTTTCTGCAGGTGCAGTGGCCATTTAGAAGTGTCCTGAATCGAGGCTTGGGGGACAAACTTTTGTTCTCTGCATTGCCTAGGCATTGGATGTCCTCTGTGTGCCAGGGAGAGCAGATAGCCTTGGGTGAGACAGCTTCCTTCACCTAAGGGCAAGTCCTCAAATAGGACACAGCTGTGAGCCCTCAGCATCCCAAATTCCAGTCAACTAGGATAGTGACTACCTTGATTCTAAAAGGCGATCTGGGTGGCACACAACAGCATTAAATATAGCATCCCTGAGTGGGGAAAACACAGACACTGGTCACGTTTCATGAAAAATCCTCTTCTTGAGGCATGGGGGGAAAGAACATGGAATTTACCTGTAGCACCCAAGCCTCAACCTCCTCCTCTGAGCCCACATAAGTCCCTTTTCTCTTTGGGGATTTGGACTAGCCCTTGAGGTATTGATTTCTGGCTCTGCTCTATCACTTGGATACTGGGAAGATTTCTCCTCCTTACCTGCACAGTGCTTGTCCTCATACTAGTACTGTCACTGCGTCAGCCTAATCAGGAGGCATCTCCTTACATTAGTAAGATATCCCATGATATGTGAATTGCTGAGGGCTATGCAATTGTTCCTAAGGATCATAGCAGTAGAAAATATGGGGCCTGAAAAAATACATTTCTTTTCAGTATATTCTACCATCTTCTACTCTCAGAATAAAGGCTTACTTCTGGGTTAATGACACCTACATACAGGGAAGGTGCGTCAGGCTCTGTTCTTCTTAGCTCCTAACTGCATGATCTCTGCCTCCTACAAAAAGGATCCAGAATATCTATGGGGCATTTTTTTTGCAAGGATGACCTATCTACTTGGTTCCTCCTTGTTTTTTACTTCAATTTCCAGATAGCTATGGAAAGTCTCCCAGAGCAAGTATCATTTCCTAGAAAATACTGATATTTTCTTTTTTTTTTTTTATTATACTTTAAGTTTTAGGGTATTTCTATAACCAAATTTGAAGAGGGGAAGGGAAGACACTTTCATTTCATCTGGCAACTCTATACACTTTCCTGAATGTGCACCACACAAATGGGAACCACCTAAATGTGATTTGTACTTGGACGGTCACAGGTATTCTCTCTGCAGTCAGATCTCATAAACTAAAAGTAAATTAATGAACCTGGTCTCTCCCTAGGACTTCCCACTTTTTCTGGATTTTGGGCCAGAGCAGAGGTTAGAGAAAATTTCCTGGGACCCTACTTGCAGGGAAGTTAATTGACTGGGAAGGCTGTTAAACCAGCATCATCATCATCATCTTCAATTTTCAAGTCTCAACTGAAACCTTCAGTTCAACTCTGCCATTTGGTTTGGTTGCGTAAAGACATCGGTCATCCTTTTCTCTTCTCTTCTTGTGTAAAGATTTGCTAACAAGGATAATTTAGATCTCCCATGAGTTTTAAAGCTTCTCTTATAATGCCTTACTGTATATTGCTCTTGTAATAACATGCTTCAGCTGAACCTGATTTTCCAAACTGTTCAATAGCACCTTGTCATATGGCTTATTGCAAAATACTCTAGTATCAACACACATCCAGGGAGCTTTTCTCCTTCCTGTTGGTACATGGTGGGCAAGTGGATTCACGAGTTCCAGCAACTCGTCACAGTATCAAGTATGCTTTTTGATGCTGTCAAGGATTTCGTCAATGAGGTGAAGCCCTGGCAGGACTGAGATCATGTGTACCTCCTAATGCCAGGCCCTGTAAACTTTCTTTTCATCTCCTTCACGCTCCTGCTTCAGAAACATACCACTACTGCAACACAGGATGCTCTCTTCAAACTCAAAATCCTTCTGTCTGTTCCCTGAACTGGACTTTCTGAAAGTGTGTTTAGCTAATGGTCAACAGGTAGTTCTCCTGAGGCTGCAATGCTTAACCTGATAACCGATTCAATAGATCAGGATCTGATCTATTGACAGTCCCCAGGATCAAAGGGACTCTCAACAAATGCATCAAGGTAGCAATATATGATCAGGCAAAGCACGCTTCTTCCAAAATGAATGTTGTATTTTAGAGTATGCTGAGGTAAACTTCTAAAAAAGACCCTCACCTGCAACTTGGGGTTTTTGGGGGTCGTTTAATGGTATGATACCTCGTTTAGCTTAAAATATTCAATGTTGAACAGCGTGTCCATATGTAAAAATGAAAGGCACAGTTGATCTCAGAGTAGATCTCTACCTTGGGCTCCCTATGAGTCTGTTATAAAATTATTCTCTAAGATTTTTAGAAAGATAATATTTAACATTGAGAGTCTTTGAGGCACATCCTGGAAATCCACAGAAGGCCTTTTGAAAGAGTTTATGAGATATTACCTTAAATCCTTCTAATGTCTTAAGAAAAGGTTTTACAGCCACACACTTGAATTCATATTTATCATGTTTTCTGACAGCATTCTGGATTTGATCTTTGCCCCAGAGTTCTTTCTTGTTTTTGAGGGTTGTCTTCTGGGAGAGACTAGAGATGAAAAATAGTTTTATTTCTGAACTCAGTAAATTTTGTCCCACTTATATTTGTTTTCATTCTGCTCAAAAAAAATGAGTAATTTCTTCCTTAGCTTATATCCCTTTGCCTTCATTTTATGATATTCAGCTTAAATAAATAACTTGTCATTTTCAACACTTAGCCTAGAAATATACTTAGCCAGATCAATTAATTCATTAGGTACATTTCTATTTTTACAGGTGACAGATTTCCTAAACTTTCCACCACTACATATCCAAGGGCTCCTATCTTCCAGGCTCAAATAACATTTCACTCGCTCTTCTTTAAGCCTTCACTGATACCCTCTTTGAGGCTCACTGGTCCTAGAAACACTTTATTTCCGAGAAATAATAATCTGTTACTCTTGCTACATAGTAAATCTACCCAAAACCTAGTTGTGTAACACAACATTTATTTTGTCTTGCTCATGATTTTGTTTAACAAATTTTGGGAAGGCCTCTGCTGGGCAGATCCTACCTCAAGCCTCTCTTGCAGTTTTAGTCAAATGTTGGTTAGGGCTATAATCATCTGATTGGGCTGGACATCTAAAGCTCGCTCTCATGGCCAGCAGTTGACATTAGCTGCCAACCAGAGTGCCCACAGGCAGCCTCTATGTATAGCTTAGCTTCCTCATATCATGGCAGCTTCTGGTAGGTGGACTTCTTAAATGGCAACTCAGAACCCCATATGTGAGCATTCTCATGAAAAAGGTGGAAGTCGTATCACCTTCTATGATCTAGCTTTAGAAATTATATAGCATCAGTTGTCCCAAATTCTATTAGTTAAACATGCTCAGATTTAAGGTGAGGGAATTCTGTGAGTTAAACACCTCAGATTTAAAGTTAGGAAATGCGTATTCACTTCTCAATTTCAGAAATGTCTAAAAATTTTGCAGCCACTTTTAAAAGCCCACCACATGGTGCCTTGCTGTTAGGCTTTCTCGTGTATTACCAGCCATGTGATGGTACCAAACAGATAAGGGATGTTGTATAAGCATTTGTCGAAGTCATGAATTTTGGTAGGGAAATAAAAGGAATTCTGTGAGTGACAGTAAAACTAATAAGGCACCATGTGAGGTCTCTTTCTCTTGGTTCTTCAAGAAGAGAAGAGACGCTACTTTTGCCTCTGTTGCATGATGTAATCACCTGTCTGTCTAAAGGTAAAGGACTGACTAGTGTTCTTCTCTTGTTTTTTTTTATTTTTTATTTTTTTTATTTTTTTATTTTTTGACCATTCTAGGCCTAAGAGACAGACTCCTAGATTGCTGTATTAGTCTGTATCATACTGCTATAAAGAAAGACCTGAGACTGGGTAATTTATAAACAAGAGAGGTTTAATTGACTCACAGTTCTGCATGGCTGAGGAAGCCCCAGGAAATTTACAATCATGGTGGAGGGCAAAGGGGAAGCAAGGCACATCTTACATGGTGGTAGGAGAGAGAAAGAGAGCATGGGGGATGGGAGAGTGCCACACTTTAAAACCATCAGCCCTAGTGAGAACTCATTATCACGAGAACAGCAAGGGAGAAATCTGCCCGCATGATCCAATCATCTTCCACCAGGCTCCTCCTACAACACGTGGGGATTAAAATTCAAGATGAGATTTGGGTGAGGACACAGAGCCAAACCATATAAATTGCCAAATCTTTTATTTGAATTTTCAAAAAGGAGTCAGATTTCCATACTCCAAGAAGATGTGGAGTTATGATAATCTGGTAGCAACCTTGAGTAACATAAGGCAAACAAGTGATCTTGAAGAAGTAGGGATGCTCTTCAAGTCCTCCGTTCCAGGGAGTAACTTTGGCCACACAGCTATATAACTGAACGTCTTTCTCTGTTCTAAGTTAGTCTCAGTATCATAAAGGGTCTTAATTTTCTTCTGTTACTGGATACAGGGAAATTATTCATGTGGAGGAGAGGAGCTCCAGGAATATTATATGCCAAGACCGAATACCTAGACTCCAAATTAGGATGAGTTTCAGTAAATGCACTTTTTATACATCATAAAAAGTTATAAACAGAACAAAAGCCTTAAAAAGTTTGGTTATTGTCCCTTAACACTCCCATGCAACAAGTTATTACTTTCATAAATGGAAATATCTAGTGAGAAATGGCATCTTGTTCGAAGCTTTTGAAACAAAACAATTTCTGTGATGCATGTCTAGCGATGCCAAGAAGTCCATCTGCCAGCCAGAATTTCATCCTTTAAAAACCTTGTTATGGCAGCACAAAAGAACACAATAAGATTTGTTTAGAGTGTCAGTTTTCCATCTCTGGGCTAAAGGGATTAGGTCTAAATTGCACATCATTAGGTAAGACTGTGCATGAAAATGTTTGCTTCTTTTGTCCGTAAAATTACTTGCTGTTATTTTAGAAATAGCCAAAAAATATTAATTGGACTAAATAAACCCATTAATAGCATCATAAGCAGTAGATTTATCAGTCATTCTCGTTTATGTTGTTATTTGACACACAAAAGTAGTGGGAAGTTTCAAGTACAAATGTTTATTGGACATGGCAAGAGGTTGAGGAGAGGCCATATAGTGTGGTAGTTAAAAGCATATATTTTAGAGTTAGTCTGGGTTTTAGAGTTAGATTGGGTTTTAGCCCTTCTGGTAAATAACTGTAACTTCAGGAATATAACTTCTCTGTGGCTCATTTTCCTCACTTGTAACATTGAATATCAGTGCTTAGTAGAGAGTAGATGCACAGTTAACAATTTGGGTAAGAATGAGCACACAATTTCAATATGTTGTGTGTGTGTGTGTGTGTGTGTGTGTGTGTGTGTGTGTGTAAGAGAGAAAGAATGAGAATATTTTTGGAGGAGTACATACATAGAGTATATTATTGAAGACAATAGGGATATGATGGTCAGTTTTTAGTATACTGATGATGAGATTTTGAATTTCGAAGATGTTGGAACCGAACAAGAATAAAATGTCAAGGGGCTTATGATGATATACATCACTTTGAGAGAGCCACTTGACTCTTGTACCTAGTACAAAGCAGAAAGCCCAAAGCATTTCTCATGTCTCAGCAAGGCTCAGCCGTCTACTAGATGAAAAAGTTGGAAAGCCACCAGGCCATTACTTGTCATAGTAATCAACTTAAAGGTATTTTCATTTTATTATGGGTGGGAAGTTCAGTATGATATACAAATAAAAGGCAACTTTCCTGAGAAAGAAGACTGGCGAAGGAGTGGAGGAAAGATTTAGAGGTTGCCTAGCCCTTTCTTCCTTTTTGAAATGAACTGGTAAGGTCATCCTTGCTCTTAATTCTTGTATGTTAGGCAATTTGGAAGAAAAACATCTGCAATATAATGCTGTAATCTTGCCATTATCAATTAGGATAATCATTTCCATTGCTAAGGCTTATTTCTATAATGATCTTGTTCAAAAAAATAAGATTTAGACATGTATGTAAAGAAATCGAGTATAGAGGGCAAATTTCTAGATTTTAAAAAATGCTTTCACCAAAAATAGGTTTTTATTTCCTTTAAATGCTGTCCTATTCAAAAACAATGCTTTTAACACCCTTCACACAACCTTTTAAAATATTACTTATGAATCTATGCACCTTGATAAAATGTTTCCTGTTTTTCATTCCCCAAGGCTAAGGTGACATAATTATTAGCTTTCGATAGGGTTAAACAATAACTACCCATGCTTAGTTTTGTGAAAGTACAGAAAACAAATATACCTTGAAGCCCTGTAACAGTTGAAAAAGTTCCCATACTTTGGCTCTTTCTTTTCTTTTTCCTAGAAGAGCACAGAAGAATTGGAAGAAAAAGAACAATACTTTTAAATAAATGTTTTATCCGCTTCTAGTGCTGAATATATCCTTTCTATCCCTAAATTTTAACCATGTAATATTTTTTAATGGGGACTATTTTTAATCCTCTGTAGTAGCAGTTACAATATACCAGGTAATATTCTAGATGTAGGGAGTACACCAGTAAATAGGACAGATCAAAACCCCCGCTATCTGGAGCTTACAGTCTACTGGGGGAGACAGAAAATGAACAATATAAGTAAGTATAGAATGCGTCAATAAGCATAGAATGAAAGAAAAAATAAGGTAGGAAGAGAATGCGGAGTGTCAGTGGGGTGGGCAGGGGCTGCAGTTTTAGAGAAGGTGGTTAGGGAAGGGCTTTTGAGAAGATGACAGTTAAGGGAAGATGTGAGGGAAATGAAGGAGGATGCTTTGTTTTAAAGAACAGTTGGTGGACCGAGTGCAGTCAGCCAGGGGAGAGTATGAGAAATGAAAAGTAAGAGGAGGTCAGCTTGGTAGTCTACTGTGACGACTTTGGCTTCTATGCCATTACATTAAATGGCATTGCAGGTAGAGGTGGGAGGCCATTATAGGTCTGGCTACATCTTCTGTACATCTCCACCCTTCTCCATTCTGTTCTCTGGCCCAGAGAAGCTGAAATATATTTTCCTATTTTCCCTTATGACCAATCATACTTCCTTTTGGCCACCTTCCTCCTCTTTCAATTGTCCAAAGGTTCCTTCTGTTAGAGAAGCAGACACACCAAGCTACCTGTGTTTCCCTGGATCAGTAGCTCTCAACAGTGGCCGTAAGCCCACGTGTGTCAGTCCCACACTTATTAAAATGCAGATTAGTCAGCCTCCCTCAATGCATATTCAGTCAGTATTTCTACAACTGGGGCTTGAGAATCTGCATGTTTGAAAATTTTCCCAGGGCATTTCTTGTAAAGTCTGAAAATTAGAATCCTAGATTATAGAAACAACACCCTTCTGATGGGCATCCAAGTGGTTTCTTAAACCTAATTTTTTTCTAATCTCCAAAAAGGAGAACTTAGAAATAATTTGTTTGTCTCTGCTCTATTTTGACTGAGTATAATCTGCTAGGCTTTTATTTCTAGTTTATTCAATGCCTATAAAATATTTCATTTTGTGATGTATTTTGTAATTTTTTTTTTTTGAGACAGAGTCTCACTCTGTTGCCCAGACTGAAGTGCAGTGGCATGATCTCAGCTCACTGCAACCTCTGCCTCCTGGGTTCAAGCTATTCTCCTGCCTCAGCCTCCAGAGTAACTGGGATTACAGGCACGCACCACCACACCTGGCTAATTTTTTGTATTTTTAGTAGAGACGGGGTTTCACCATGTTAGCCAGGCTGGTCTTGAACCCCTGACCTCAAGTGATCCACCCACCTCGGCCTCCCAAAGTGATGGGATTACAGGTGTGAGCCACCGTGCGCAGCCCAGTATTTCATCATTAAGTACTATCCAAAAGAATCATTTTGCACATTTCTCATCAATTTGTGTAACATGAGATTCAACGTCTGGCTTGAAATTTTATAAACTGTGAAAAGATTATGACTTTCATGTTTTTTACTAAGTCTAATCCCATGACAGATTATTCCATATATTTTTGTATAAGAGTACTGATTTTATTTTTATTTGCATGCTAATGTTTCTATGATAAATTATATTTCAACATTTTACTTGTATTACAAATAAAGTCATTCAAAAATTACTAATCAATGCTATGCTTTTATGCGTTTCTCTGAGTTGTAGAGGGGAAATGAGTCTGTGACTTAGATGGTTATAGAATTTGTCATGAGGAATCTATGTTTCCCAAAAGTGTATGCAACACTGCTTTCACATTACACCCAATCTTCTGGAAGACAGACACTAGGTTGATATTTTCCAGAATTTCTGTTACAATTTCCAGAGTTTAGCACTTTTAAACAAATATTGTCCTTTCATTTTCTTCAGATTTCATAGGTGGATTTCCCCACACCAGAAATTATTTCAAGATATTAGGGCAAATCAAGGTTGTCATAAATAAAGAACAAGGCAGAGGTAAAGTCATGTGCCAAGCAGATAATAAATATCTAGCTGAGTAGCTAAATGCAGTCCCATCAAAGAAGACTGATTCTATTGGTCTCTTATTAATAATGTTGAATTATTTCCTGACACAGAATGGGTGTGGTATATTGATTGCAAGAGCTGCGTAATAGATTGGGCTGAGATTTAAATTAAACCAGCCTTCTAAGCTGGAAAGGATCAGATGATGGAGTCTTTATGTTCCACTTTGGCTGAACTGTGTTTATGGTGAACACACAAAAGCATGCATTTCCTTTCAAACGTTAAGATTTGCAGCTGTTGGTTAAAAATATATCCAAAATGGTACCAAAAGCAAATGGTCCATACATTTTAAGAATGTAAGGAAAAGGCTGATGAATTTTTTTACAAATTACATTGCATGAGATAAAATGTCTCATAAGAAAAGACTCTTAGAGAATTTCTACTCCTCTATGCCTCTGGTTAAATTATTTAAGTCAATGTGTTTAACATGAATGCATTTTTCAGAAAGAGAAAAAAATTTCCACATTTAAAATAATTGTGCATTTTCTTTTATTAGCAAAAAGGCTTATAAAACCTCCAGATTCTAGAAGTATAGAAGAATAAATAAGGAGTAACATGTAAAAAAGGGAGAGAAAATAATTTTGTATTATATACACCAAAAGTCTTTATTTACATTAAGATTTTTACATAGGGATTATATAGGATTTTGGAAATCCTAAATTTGAAATGAACCTTGAAATTTATCAAGTTCAGAACTACTAATAATAACAACAATTATGTTAATAATATAGCTAAATTTTGAGCACTTATAATCTGCTGCAAATTTTTAAAAGAAGCTTTACATATGTAATCTTAGTCAATCCTCACAACAACCCTATGATGTAAATATTATTAACTTCATTTGACATTATGATAAAGGAACTGAGACACAGAGTGTTTAAAAATTCTGCGTGAGGTCATAGAGCTAGCAAGTGGAAGAGTCAGTATTAAGACTGAAGAAACACTTGTAAAATTAGC
The DNA here is from genome assembly GCF_000001405.40 of Homo sapiens. Lineage (NCBI taxonomy): Eukaryota > Metazoa > Chordata > Mammalia > Primates > Hominidae > Homo > Homo sapiens. The sequence goes on from NC_000002.12 coordinate 181,839,999, forward strand.
CCAGCCAGTTCTGTCCAGGGAAAGTGTACACAGCTGTAGAGAGTATGATTTGAAGATGCCAGAAGGTCTACCCAAGGTCTATCCAAACACAGTACCTTCAGCAGTTTACAACACTGCTTCAAATTCCCACCAATAAAGAAAGTGCTTTGTGCTAAGTTATTGCCTAGAAAGGACATGTGTTTAAAATATTACCTAAGAAGAATTGCTCATTAATGATAGCAAGACAAGGTGGACAGATTTTAGGGAAATTTGGATGATAAAAGAGAGAAAAAAAAAGAGCTGTTGGAGGTAAAGCATCATGGTATATACTTTTCTTCAATCCTGGAAAAGTGGAAGGGTAATGAAGATAAAAATCATCTAATTTGGTTTTGATTGGATATGGAAATTGTGCATCTTAAGTTGTCTTCTCATTTGGGAGGTATAACCGTAATAGATAGTTAAAGCTTTACCATTTGCAATTGTTAAGTTTAATTAATAGCAAAAATAATCTAGGTATAATATATTTGCAATTGTTAAGTTTGATTAATAGCAAAAATTGTCTAGGTATAATATAGCAAAAATTATCTATGTATAATATCTAGGCAAGTCAAGGAGACTTGCCTCCTTGAGCAGAGATTCTTAAACAAGGGTCCACATAAGAACCCCTATTGATATATGAAATTTCAAGTATGTATGTGAGAATACACAGCACCCTAAAAAGATTGTCCAAATTCATTAAATTCTCATGTGGATGTAAATCTTTTAAAACTGTCAAGATAGCATAGAATCAACCTAGCACAGCTGAACTTCTTACATATCATCCAAAATTAGTGCCTTCTGGAAGTGGTCTTTAACAGCTAAGAGAATAATAAATATCACATACAACTGTTTTGAATTTTGTATCCTAATGAGCACCTAGAGCTACATTTAAGCTGATATTTTAGAAAGCAAAATATGATATCAAAATACTCAAGATAATATCGCACACCACTGGTTTGCTAGAACTACCTTTTACTTTTCCAGTGTGTTTCTGCAGCAACAGATGCAACTATTTGGGATTGGGGTTTTAAGTAAAGAATATGCTACAAGGAAATGAGAAGGTATGTCAATAGATGTTCTTAGCAAAGAGTTAGGCAATTGGAGTCAGCAGTCTATTAATTAAAAATACTTTCCAAAATGAACAAACTGATCTGACTTTCTTGATGAGTTATTACCAGGTTCCTTTCAGCTCTTAAAACATTTGCTTTACTCTGTTTAACAACAAATGTGGGCCAATTGCTGTGAGTTAATTGAAAAGGATTGTTTTCTAGTTGCCAAGAAACAGTGCTTTCTTACATTATGCCGGCCATTATGTGCGCAGATCAAGCTTCCTGATTTTTCTTTTAGGGTTTAAGAATATAGGCTGCTGTGATTTAGCTGTCCCTTGAGGAGAGGAGAGCAAATCAAGAAGGCTTTTGGGAGTGTTGTTCTATTTCAATTTACCAGGTAGGATTTGGATTTGAAAGTGCTACCTTCTTTCTTGTGCTTAACTTTTCCTAAATCACTTAAATGCTTTTATGTTGAGTGAATGAGTAGATCTAAAATAATGATATTACTTGACAGAGTTTCATGTAAGATCATGCCACATTGATATTCTTCCAGTTGAAGATTCTGAGAAAAAAGAGAAAAAGAGATAGAGATAATAATAGATGTCTGTGAGACTGGTTCTAGAGCTTGTTGTTGGTTTCAGAGTAGTGAATATATGTAAATCAAGAGGTTGTGAGTGTGCTTAGCGTTGAAATATTGATATTGCTTTGGAAGCAAATATCATTATGTCTCTTTAAAGGAAAGATTTCAAATCTTGTTTGGTTCCAACTACAAAATGGGCTTTATAGCTTGTTAACTTCAGAAAGATTAGTTGATCTTGTATCTAAGTATAACTTGGTTACTTCTGGCTCTTAAAAAAACACACCTGTATATATTTTCAGCATCTTTTTTTCCTCTTTTTTGTTGACTATTTTCTTGATGATTTTCCTTTAACAATGAAGGTAAAATTAGGGTCCTTGCACTTAATGGAGTATACTAACAGGTATGATACACACAAAAAAAGGCATTTGTCATGCTCAGGAAGAAAAGCAACATTTCCTTTTCTTTTCTCTCTCTCTTTTACTTTGGATCATTTGAATTAAAAGAAAAACAGCATTTGTTGATTCAAAATTAGTAGCTTCCAGGCTCACAAATGCAGTGCTCACTGTGTGTAATGTAGGGCAAGGGTTGAAAAGGACTCCATGAGTTAAGTTCATTAGGTCAAAGCATCATCCCATTCTTGAATTCATGCTTTCATAGGTTTAGGTTGAACTCTGCAAGTTCGTGAACTTATACTTAGCATCATGGAGTTTACATTGATTGCACGTTGAAAGCAGGTCTTGCCAACTTTGCAGATGAACCTAGCTGAAAGCTGTTATTTATCCTTTCTTTCAAAGATTTTACCTCCTGTCTTGCATACTTCTGGGTTTCTTTAGGAACATATTTCCTTTAAAAGGAAGATCACCAAAATGGATACAAGTCAGGTCAAATATTTGTTGTCTCATTAGGTACGTTTCCATTTGTTCAGGGTTTGAAGCCACCTAAGTATAAATATGACCTGTGTAATGTGAACCCTAGTTAATGCGGGAAAGAAATGATTGCAGCATGCCTTTATCTGGTAATATGATTTGGGTTTTCCACATGTGAACAAACACTTTGGTAAGGAAACTATTATGTGAAATAATGTCAATGAAGTGATAGTTGAATATGAACATGCAATCCATTCATTTATTTTTAACTCTTCATACCGGAGTCTCCTTTCTTGAGTTTACTATTTATGTTTTAATTAAAATAAAGAATCACAGTACCACCGGCTTTCACAAATTCATTACACTGCATTTTTAATTCGTATAATAGTAAAATTGAAGTAGCTCATTTAAATAAATGCGTGGTTTGTGGCTATGTATGCTTGCTGTGATATTACCATTTTTAGTTTTGTTAGGATTTTGCATTTCTTTCCAAGCAAGATGCAATTAAACAATTCTGTTGTAGTTTACATTCTTTTCTTCACTTTTTTTCTGGCCAAAAAGTGCTCTTTTTCCTGAAAATGTACTCTTGATATTATTGGTACTATGGTGCTTAAAATATCTATGCTGGTGAAAATTTTTACTTAGTCCTTTTTTTTTTTTTTGGCCACTGCTAGAGCAAGGTGACATGTGATTGTGTGGGGTGGGTGGAGTGGTTTGAAAATCAGCCTGAGATGGTACCTTATAAGTAGATTTCTCTCCATATCTAGCACACTGTTTCTTCTTTGTCAGTATAGCAGAGTGGTTGTGACATTAATAAAATACCTACATAGGAAATATTTGGTAGTGCAACAAAAAACCTTGGTTTCATCTCTGAAAATTTTTTGTTTAATAAATATTAAGTGATATTAATTTGCTTCTCTGTGGATTAAAAATTTTGTAAAAAGAATAATGTCCATCTAGGTTGGGATGGAAATTAGGCTATACAATTTTTGTTCATCCTTAATTAAGGAGAGACTGAATTGCATTCATTGGTAGTTTGTAGAACATAGTGATTGATATTCCATAAAATCATAAGGGCATTTATTGCTTATTGAATCTAATGGCTTTAAAACTTTATTGTGAGGAACCTTAGAAATTCCCAAAAGCATTATAACAAGGATGGATATGTAGAAGAGGGAGGGAATGGTTAGCTCTTGGTGTGGAGTAAATAAGCCATGTTTCAACTAGCCCATGGTTTTTAAATTTGTCTGCAAGAACACAGATAGTGTAAGAGATTTTGGCAAACTTTTCATGACAATAGAATACACTGGATTTACTCTATAGCATTACTCTGATCAACCATTCGAGAAATCCAGTCAAGTATGAGGTTAACTTGACATATCTCATTTATAGTGAACTCAAGATGCTTTTTGATAACCAGTTCTCCTATTGCAGGCACTCAGCATTTCTTTCATTGTTCTAGAATTTAGAATTATTTCAGGGATCCTTACTAAGTAGTTTATCAATTTTTTTAAAAGTCTACCTACTTTTTTTTTTTGAAATTGGGTTATTTATCTTATGGTACTTTTTTTTTTTTTTTTTACAGGTTCTTGCTATGTAGCCCAGGCTGGTCTTAAACCCCTGGCCTCAAACAATTCTGCCTGGGTCTCCCAAAGTGTTCGATTATAGGCATGTGCCACTGTGCTCAGCCTATGGGTCATCTTTTGAACGTTGTTTCAAGGATTTCTGAAAACATTATTGTGCCTTTGATTGCTAATTTCCCTCATAGTCTTTTGGTATGAAATTTACCTAAGTTTAGAAATTCAGAACAATATATATATTAATAAAGTGCTTTCTTATTATCTATTTTCCTAAAAATGTTCCCTATAATATTAGATCATTCACCTAAATGAAGGAGATAGATATATACAAAATATTACAATAATTTTAATTGTTCTATTGTTTATATAAATACAATTAGTACCAATCTTCAATCTTGCTCTGATACCCATAGGGACATTCCTTTCTTTTTGCCTTAAAATTTTTGTTATGCTGAAATTTTAACCCTTTCCTCAACTGCTGTGGTGTTATTTCTCATATGTTCCTATTTCCATGTTTTCTGTAGACATTTCTAATACTTCAGAGTGCTTGCTCTCTCTTTCTTTTCCTTTTGAGTAGTTCTCAGTTTGGCAATGTGTGAAGATGTTTTTTTGGTTGTCACAACAAGGGGGTGGAGTACTCCTGGCATCTCATAGGCAGAGGACAGGCAGGCTGCTAAACATCATACAATACATGGACACTCCCCCACAACAAAGAAGTGTTCAATTCCAAATGTCAATAAGAAACCCTGCTTTACAGGTCTCATATATCTGATTGTGGCTAAACACATAATTATGGGTCAGAATTTTTGTTTTGAGAATGTCTTCAAGTCCCATGTAACTTTATTCCTTTTATTCATAATATTAGCCTATAAGATCACACCTATTTGTTAATTGAACATTCTGGAATCTGCCTATTTAAAGTCTAGGAATCATGATCTGACTGGATTATCCAGTTTTCTCTTCCTTGATTATTACCAGTAAAATGACAATGGTCACATTATCTTTAAGCTGTGCGTATAACTAAATAGTGCTTTGTCTGAATGACTTGTGGATTATTTCCCCCATTGCTTCTAAAAGCAATGGATAAAGAAGGATTCATTAAAGCAAGACAATAATCATCTGTTGAATCACTGTGCTCCTGGATTTCCATGCCCAAATCATTTTTCAATAGTGATTTGCTCATTCTACAGATATTTCATTCTATAGAATATAATCATTTGCTCATTCTACAGATATTTATTCAGCATCTATAAAAAGAAAAGGACAAGAAAAAATGAAAAAATGAAAAGAAATGAAAAAATGAAACAAAATAGAGGGAAAAAAAAAAGCAGTAATGTATCTTTCCAGTGCAACCATAACTCAGAGTAATTCTTTTCCTCTGGTGAATATCTGTCTCTAGTGAATTCTTTAAAATTCCTTACTTATTTTATATTTTATTACTCAATGGTCTGGGGTGAAGCTATTAGTTTCTTTTTTAGGAGGGGAATGAGAAGCATAAGTGAAGCAGAGTATTATAATTTTAATATTCTGATATTGCTATTTCATGTTATTTTGTAGTTTCTTCCCTTCCTTCCTTAATGCTTCTGTTTGTTTTGTTTGTTTGTTTGTTTGTTTTTGAGACATGGGCTCACTCCTAGAGTGCAGTGGCATAATCTCAGCTTACTGCAACCTCTGCCTCTAGGCCTCAGGTGATCCTCCCACTTCAGCCTCCCAAGTAGCTGGGATTACTGGCACATACCACCACCATTTTGTATTTTTTTGTAAAAACAGGGTTTCGCCATATTGCATAGGCTGGTCTCAAACTCCTGGACTCAAGTAATCCTCTTGCCTTGCCTTCCAAAGTGTTGGGATTACAGGTGTGAGCCACCTCGACCAACCTTGTTTACATGATATATGCAGAAATACATGCATCTTCCTGTTAAATGTTCTACTACTGTGTTAAAATATGAAGAAAAATTTGATGCTCTAAAATTCTCACTTTGTAAAGCTATAAATTTTAAGTAATCATTTAACTTACTACGATTTTATTTACCAAAAGATGATTCCTCTTCTCTTCAAATTAGAAATTGAATTTTGCTCACTAGGGGTTTATTGGCATACAAAATTCCAAAGAAACAATACAAATAATAGCTATAGAAAATGTTTAAAAATTGTATGAGTATATTTTTGGAGTTTATTGAAAATGAGAGATATTCTAATACTTTGCCTTATAATTTTCTAGTGATGATTTTGAAAAAAATTAATTTTATCTTAAAAGTCTTAGTGGTAACTGACAGATTGCAATGAAATTGCCTTTGTTATGCAAGCAAAACAAAGAGGAGTCATTTGTTCTTTGAAGTCCAGACTTTGCAATTTATTAGCTCTCCAAATGTGAGTAAGTTACTTAGTCTTTATGAACCTAGATTTCTTCTACTGTGAACTGGATAAAAATATTTATCTAATAGTGTCATTATGGAAACTAAATGCACAAATACAGTTTAGTACTCGTCACAGAGAAATTATGTAATGATATGAAGTTCCCCTTTCTTCATAACTTTAGGCCTAGGCTATCAAAATTCATTCACAGAAAAGACTCTAAACGAACCTTAAAGATCATCTAGTGTACCACACGTGATGCTTGCATAGTTTAATGTTCCCCTGGTAACTAGCTTATACTTTATTAGCTTTAATAAAATAAAAACTGTTACCTCCTAAGGCAACAGACATTTATAAATATTATGTTGAAACCTATGAAATTGCTACTTGTGTAGGCCAAAACAGCCCAATATTGACAAATTTTATATGAGTCAACCCAGTAAATATAACATAGCCAATCCTATTTCTGCAAAGAATTCTATATTATGAAAGATTGACATGACTTGATAAGGTTATAGACATAGTTCTATTAAAAAACATTATAAAAAGACACTGCTAGGGAGAGAGAGTATAATCAATAAGAGCTTAGAGCAGAGGTTAACAAACCGCAGTCTATGGGCCAAATCCAGCCCACTACTTGTTTTTGTATAGCCTGTGTGGTAAGAATTGTTTTTACATTTTTAGACAGTTGGAAAAAAATCAAAAGAAGGACAATACTTTGTGACACATGGAAATTATATGAAATTTAAATTTCTGTGTCCATAAATAAAGTTTTATTGGAGCAGAGCCATATACCTGCATGTACATATTGTCTAAGTCTACTTTTGTGCTCCAGAGACAGAGTTAAATAGTTAAGACAGAGATTTTATGGTTTATAAACTTGAAGTATTTACTACCTCAACCTTTACAACAAAGGTTTGCTGACCCCTGCCCTAAAGTCAGACTGCCTGCTTTCAAATGCCAGTGTCAACACTTCTTGGCTGTGTGATTTAGTCAAGTTACTTAACTTTCCTAAGCCTCAATTTCCACATTTTAAAATGAGCATAATAATAGTCCTTACCTCAAGGATAATTGTAACTGCCTAGTATATCATAAGTACTCTATAAATATTACTATAATTATTAATATTATTTGGAGGTGCCATTGTAAATGACTTTAAAACCCCTTAGATTGTAGCCCAGCTTCTGTAGCTGAAAAGCTTAGATGGGCTACAATTGTTGTATCACCATATTATGACATGAAGTCCAAACAACAGTCACCAGCATTCTGTGGACTTTAATAGTAAAATGTTACCACTTGCTCATATAAATGATTTTAATATTTACATCTCATTCATACCAAATGGATCATTTCAAGTTAAAAATATTTAAGCTTCTAAATGTGCAATTGCTAAGCTGCAAAGTAGGGGCTGTTTTCTCCCTGGGACAATGAACATCTGCTGAAACAATTTGTCCGACGGAGCATTTGCCTCTGCTGGCCTTTTATTTTTCTTTTTTTTCAGAAATGGAAAAAGGATCATTGTTTAACTTCAACTCTTCTAAACCAAGAAACAGTTTCTCTTGGGACTACATGTTTCTAGGATTTGGGAAAGTAAAGGGGCCTTAGCTTTTTATTTATTTTTTCTTATTTTCCAGTAAGGGTAAGTGGAGTTTTACTTAGAATGCCATATTCTTTTTTCCATTTTATTTTAATATTGTTTGAAAGACCACAGGCCTTTCTAGATGATTTTAAGATTTGTGTATTGAATTGATCTCTGCAGCACTTTCTAAATCTGAGAGAGAGTGGGAGTGGGGTTAGTGGTTGTCAAACAGCAGAAAAGGAGTCAGGTTTTAAATTAGAAAGGCTTTTGAGAAATAGCCCAGATCTATTACTTTTTGTTTGCAAAGTCAGAGGGGTTTGGAGGGAAGATGATCCAAAATCTTGAAAATAAAATAAAATCCTCTCAAAGCTAACATCTAATAGCCTACTAGAGATAACGGATGGGTAAGGAGAACTGCTGATAAACTTCAAGTCCAGGACTTATCAGTCAGCTTTCTTCTCCAGCTTTTCTACATTGATTTCCCCAGGGAAAGTTGAAGAGAGGACACTTAAGGCACTCAGCTTTATAATGCATACTTAAGAAGTCAGTGAATAATAACTACTAGAATTCTCTGGGTAAACCAGTTTGAATTAAAGATGCATTTCCTTTTGTTTCCTTGCTTTAAAGCAGGGGTTCTTGGTCTTTCGAGGTTACATCGAGAGCAGTGAGTCATATCCAAAATGAGGAAAGGAGCATAGAAATTTGTCAAATTTCTTGTTGATTCATAAGAAGGAGCATAAAGTATTATTCACAGTTCTATTTGCTAGAAAAAATTGATGAACTTTGCTATGTCCAAATAGAATAAATTCTATAATATATAAATTATTTCTGATTTTTAAATATTCAACCTAGTATTTTCCTGATAAAATGGTCAAGTATGTAAATAAAAACAGTATAGCTATCAAGTCAAAAGTTTTTGCCACTTGTTTGTATTTTGTCAGTCAATTAAAATCTTTAACATTCTTTGTTACAGAGGCTTAAGATGCTTGCAGGGTGGAGGGAAATTTTCCTTTGAGTGAACTGTTAGAATCTTTTGGATGATAGTCAAACACTTCTGTAATTTCCTTCACCATTTTTAGCTCCTTTTGGCATCATTTATTTCAAGTATGTCCCTGGAATGTCAAGAAGATGCCATTATTTTAAATGTTGTGTTTTAATATAATATCAAGCTAAATTTGTTCCTAGAGAACTCAGAAATAAAGGTAGAGTTCTTTTTTCTTATCTTTTAGCAAAATGGAAAACTTCAAAGATCAAATGGAGCCTTTGATCAATCTCCTACCTATGAAAGCAGATTAGAATTTTTATCCTCTGGCTACAGTCAATACAGATTTATGTGTTGTAGGAAAAAGAACTGAGTCAAAGGGAAACTAGAAGCTAGACCTCTCACTCAAATATTTGGTCCAAAGTCAGCTGCATTGTTCTGTCCTGATACTGGCTTTTGAGTGTTCTTCATTTAAACCTTTAGAAGAATGATTTGGGTAATACTTTGGAATAAACTTCCTATGGTTATTTCTGAAGTTGAATACATCTACAATTCGAAATTCTATAATTCCTGGCTACTGTAATTCCCTTAAACATACATGTGAAGTTCATTGTGCTGGCACCAGTAGGCACAGCGAAAGAAAGAGCCAGGAGGGACCTCATTAGATCATCTAATTCATACCAAAATCATTCAAAACTGAGTCAAAGGTTTCCAAAGGATTTGTTACAACTGCAATGGCAATATAATTAGGTCTGTAACAATAAAAGAGGCTTGCTTGCCTTTCTGATCAAGAATCATTACAATATCAAACAAAAGATGAATTCTTTCCTAAGAATCTTATGCTAATTCAGGTCTCTACAAGCACTCCAGGAACAAGATCCTTTTTAGTTACCAAGATCATGGTTAAGTGTGATTTTGGCCCAAAGGCTTAAAAAGCAAAGCACATATGATGTGTCCCACTGGTCTATGGGCTAGTTCTCTTTTCATTCCTATGCTCTAGATTTTTTTCTATCCTTGTTATATTGAGAAACAATAAGTATAAGTATTTTTAGCTGGCTTACCTGAATTAATCTCTTACAGGGCTGACATATTTAAACTAACAACAGCAAATATTTAACAGAGAAAACTCTCCCTGCTCTTAATTTCTAGCTCCTATCCCACTATTTTTAGCTTTGTGGCCTTGGGCAAGTCATTTAAATTCTCTGGATCTCAGTTTCTCCTTCTGTATAAAGTAAGAGAATGAATCTAGATGACTAAAAGAATCTCTTTTAGCTCTGACAGTCTATACCCCAGTCTATCATAAAGCTAAACTAAAACAATTCTGTGACCTTTATCAGGAAGAAAGGACAGTGGGAGGGAGACACGTTAGGAATGTTCTCTCATTTCTCCCACTCACACAACTGCTGCTGCAAAGGGCTCAAGTTGGTGACCCCAAATTTTACTAGTTATGTTAATTATTTGGGTAAATTTTCATGCAAAGCTTATGTATTTGAAGCTGAAGGGGAGAGAGATTCTAAGTTGTAATCTTTAATTTTTTCAAAATTTGAGGCCAATTTTAAGGCTTGAAACCTGTTGTTCTAGAATAGACCATTGAGTAACATATGTATTTGTTTCTCAGGAAATAACAGCTAACTGAAGTTATTATTCCTTCTTATTAATAAAATATAATTTTTCATCTTTTCTGCCCAAATTTGTGATAAATGTGCTTACTCCTATAAATGGCTTATATTTCTCTTTAGCACTCCTATGCTGAAACTCTCCAAAAATGTTCAAAATACTCACATTCTAGTAATAAAATATTGCTAAAGGTGTACTTTTAATGAGTTTATTCCATGCACACAAACAAATAGTTTTTTTCTTATAGTCTGACTCCTTATCGTAGCTATTAGTGGAGGAAGAGAAGGAGAAAATTTTATTGATGAATTTCCTATTGCTATTTTTGAAATTTCCTCAAATGACAGATATATCCAGAGAGAACTATGGCTATGAGAAAACTATTTGAGAGGTCTGCTAATTGTAAACTAAGCAATTTCAGTCAGACAGTGTAATTAACAGACTGGGTATAGGAAAAGGAGCTAGTTATGTTTCATTTCCTGAATTTTTATGTCTAAAAACAGAAATGTTTTATCCACTTCCCATTTTGTAAAGCTATTGCAAAAATTTCCTGCCATCACAAATGTTAGAGATAGTGTGTTTTACTAAAAAGTTGTATGTGGAAAGCCTACTAAATTTATGCCAAAGTGTCACTGTAGACATGGTTTAACATGAAAGATCAAGGAGTATATCTTGTGTTTTTGTTCTTAGAGAGAGGATCTTGGATCTTGCCATGTTGCCCAGGGTGGTCTGAAACTGAAAGCATATCTTTTCTATTAGATGATGTTATGAACCAGTCTTAGTGACAAGTTAAATAATCTTTCAAAGACAAAAACAATTCTTCATTTTAACTGCCACCTGCTTAGTATGTCAGGATGGTGAAAATATTTCAGTGACACCATTGACTATTGTTATTCATTGCAAATAATTGTACATGCCAGATAGTAGATGTAACAAGAGCCAGTGACCAATTACAATGCTAATGTATGTATTTTTCCGTCACTACTGAAAAAAGGAAATGAATTTAATTTTAACATTTCCACAGTCTATAAAACCTAATTCATGTAAAGTTAAAAATAGATCCATATTATAGAATCAAAATCATGTAAACAGTTTTATTCATTTTAATGGAAGAATATACAAATACAGAGGACACTCCAAACCAAGCACTGATGGCTTTTTACTTTAAAAACCTCTCATTTTCCAGTTTATTTTCAAGGAACATTCTATTAAATCTTACTTGAAAATCAAGAGTAGCCTACAGATTTAATTGATCTCAACAGGGGGAGAAAATGATCTAATTTTTCATTAGAGTTCCTGTGGTAACCACAGAGAGAGCCAGTAACTTGGTAAATACAGTTATGTCTCTATGGGCCTGTGAAAAGCAGAATGAAGAACATGACTGTATAAAAGGTTAACCCATGAGGATAATTTCCAAGTACATCATTTATTTTCACTGCCCTGCATCAAGGAGGCCTCATTGGAGAATAATTTAAACAATAAGAAAACAAACTTAAAAAAGATTAGATAAAATGTTTTCATATGTTTTTCTGAAAGAATCTATTTCACAGGCTCAGTACATATTCCAGATATAAAGGCACTAGCTTTTTACTGGAATTTAGATATTTTCACTAATTCAGAAGTCTTAACAAAATTCTACCTATTGCTGAAGCACTAAGAAGAGATTCATTAAGATTAACAATTTTCCAATATTATCTCTCCTCCAGACAATATTATTTTGTTGTGTTCCAACACTCAGCTCTTCCATCATTTAACTGGTACCTTTCATATATGATACAGATCATAGCTTTTTTTTTTTTTTTTTTGGGAGATGGAGTCTCGCTCTCTTACCAGGCTGGAGTGCAGTGGTGTGATCTCAGCTCACTGCAACCTCTGCCTCCAGGGTTCAAGAGATTCTCCTGCCTCAGCCTCCCAAGTAGCTGGGACTACAGGTGGCGCCACCACGCCCAGCTAATTTTTGTATTTTTAGTAGAGATGGGTTTCACCATGTTGGCCAGGATGGTCTCGATCTCTTGACCTCATGATCCACCCGCCTCGGCCTCCCAAAGTGCTGGGATTACAGGCATGAGCCACCACACCTGGGCAATCATAGCTCTTTTAATACTCTGAGCCATTAGGTATTTGTCCCAGATAATCTACATTCACAAATAGAGGAGTACTTTCATTTTTACACAGAAGTGAAGAAGGAAATTTATAAGTTAGAATTCTTAAGAAAGATAATTGAAAAGATTCTTAGATGTTTACCCACGTATTGGCTGTCTGGGTGGCTCTAATTATCCAACTTGCTCGGAGTTTTGTAGCCTTACAATAGTTGAATAAAAATGACCCCACTTTTGTCCCTACCCTGGGTCTCATAAATAGTGTGAAACACATCATTTTCTTTTTTCCCCTGCTGCATCCCCACCTCCCATTTCACTTCTTATTGCTATCCCCTTCTATCCATTCTGCATGGACCCAGATGTGAAACGCATGTGTTTTCATTTATTTCCATAAAACACATTCACACCAGGCAGTGGGGCTGAAGATTTGTTGTGTGTCTTGGAATACAAGGGCATTATATTCACAGCACAGCACAGCCCATAGCATTAACCTAAGTATCAAACATCCCTGTTCTTTAGCAGGACTGGCCACCAGCCAGCCCATTTTCTCAGGACCTGGCTCTGGATGTCTTGCTGGGCCATCTTCTTTACCTTCTGTTATCTTCCATTGCTTTCCCTAGTCTTGAAACACTTGACTCACCTATCTCTAGCTGAAGCAAAACATTCTTCTTACTTTATTATGCAAGCAATATAATTTCATTTATCAAATTGCTAGCTCATTTTAGACAACTTCCAAATGCAGAACCAAAGATGGCTCACCAAGGTGTTTTTGCTAAACTGGGAAATTTTTTCCATGAGAAATTCTTTCACCTGCTTTTATCCTATCTGGCCCCTCCCATCTATCACCACACCCACACAGATCCCTACACAAGGTTTTGTAGCACATTCTACCTGTTGAAGGCGATTCAGCCAGCAAAAATTTAGGCTTTGAAGGACACTTGGAAGAGACCTGGGATTCATTTCCATTTCTCCCCATTCCTTTCCAAACATAGCCAACCCTAAGTCCTGTTGATTCTACAGTACTTGAAACACTTCACTGCCCTTTGCTGCTACTCTAGTCCAAGCCACCATTATCTTTTCACCAGGATTAGTGCCAACAGCCTCCCAACCTATTTTTGGGAGAAAAAAACTTTTCCTCTACCAACTTTATTGGTTGGTAGTGGTTGAGAGGTGTGGGGGAGGCTGAAAATTAATTGACAATGACAGATTAAATGGAGAAAAGTTTATTTTCACATGCATGAGGGAGCACTCCATAACAGGTGGCTCTATAAACAGCTAGGGGTAAGGGTTTATATACTAGCTTAATAAAGGGGGAGTTTAGGGTTTCAAATAACAGAGGTTTTAATTAGGATTCTTTATACTTTTTTTTTTAATGTCCCAGTTCTCAAGGCTCAAGTGCCTCTCTTATAGAGACTACCCAGGATGGGTGATTTGTGGCAGCTGACTCTACTTTTGTCAGATAAGGGAAGTTCAGATAAGACTTTTTTCTGCATCTGTTAGAGCTCAGGTGTTTTCACTTTGAAGAAATCTTCATACCATTTTGGTGGGTTGTTGGTCCCTATGCCGTCTCCCTACTTCCAGTCTTATCCCCCACAAATCTGTTCTCCACATTACAGCCAGAATGACATTTCTAAAACACCTGATCATGGCACTCCCCTTCTTAAAAAAACTTCAGTGGCTTTTCACTGCCAAGGATTATGATTTATAATCCTAGATTTACCAACTTGCCTAATAAAGCTTAAAGAACAAAAGGCTAAAATTGTATAAATCTAGCCTAGTTGGCTAAAGTTGATTTCCATGGCAGGAGAGGTAAGGCAAGCTGCATAAATTATGGTATACAAAAAGTTAGTCTTTAGTGCCATCCCACATTTGTATCATTTCTGATTTCACTTCTGAAAATCACTGCTTTGGGCTATATGCCAGGTATTAAATCTTTTTCTCTTTCCTTAAATTTTAATTAGCACTTCATTCCTTCAGGGCCTTACCGAAATGCCTGGCTAAGTTCATAAGCTTATTCTTATGAGTGTTAATAAGTTAATGTACTATGAATTTCCACATGCGGTGTTTCTATTTCACCAAGGCCCTTCATGATTTACTCCACAGGGTGACTGTAAAAGGCATTTTAGACCCTGAAGCAAAACACTGAGGAGAAATTTTGAGCAATGGGCTTTTGAGCACCTTTTAAATGATAGGCTTTTTGCACTGCCTATGAATAGAACTGGTCCTGGAGGGAAGAATTCTATTGCCTTTGTGTAATCTGAGCCCCTCTAGAAGAGTTCATGCACCTCTATATGGCCTTATTATGTAGGACAGCTTCAGTGACTACAGTGATATTTTGCTAACCATCTGCGATTTCTACTTGAATTGACCATTTTTAATAGCTTTATTTAGATATAATTTACATGCCCTAAAATTCACCCATTTAAAATGTACGTTTCAATAATTGTTTGTATATTGACAGACTTGTGCAACCATCACTACTATCTAATTTTCAAATATTCTCATCATCCCCAAAAGAAGCCCTATACTCTCATTAGCAGTCATTCTCTATTTCTGATTCCAATACCCCAGCCCAGCACTGGGTAACAAATGGTCTATTTTCTGGCTCTATAGATTTCCCCACTCTGGATTTTTCATATTATTACAATTATACAGTATGTAATCTTTCTTTTTTGACTGGCTTCTTTCATCTAGCATAATGTTTTCAAGGTTCATCCATATTGTAGCATGTGTTAACACTTAATTCCTTTTAATTGCCAAATAATATTTTATTATAAGAATATACCACAATTGTTTATTCATAATCAGTTACTGGACATTTGGGTTGTTTCCACTTTTTAGCTACTATGACTAATGCTGCTGTGAATATAGATATACAAGTTTGTGTGTGGACATGTTTTCAATTCTCTTGTGTATATACCTAGTTGTGGAATTGCTAGATCATACAGTAATTCTATGTTTAGCATTTTGAGGAATTGACAGATTGTTTTCAAAGTGGCTACACCAGTTTACATTCCCATCAGCAATGTATGAGGGTTCCAATTTCTCTGCATCCTAACGACCCCTTTTATTGCTATCCTATGTGTATAAAGTAGTATCTCATTATAATTTTGATTTGCATGTCCCTAATAACTAATAAGGTTGATCATATTTTCATGTGCTTTTGGCCATTTGTATATCTTCTTTGGAGAAATGCCTATTAAAATCCTTTTCTAGTTTTTATTTTCTAAAAAATTATCCAGTTGTGAGTTGTTTATATATTCTTTATATATGACTTGCAAATATTGTTTCCCATTCTGTGGGCTGTCTTTCCTTTCTTGTTGTTGTCTTTTGAAACATTAAACTTTCTAATATTAAAGAAGTCAAATTTATCTATTTTTTGTTGCTTATATTTTTGGAGTCATATCCAAGAAGCCATTGCCTAACCCAATGTCATATTTACTCATGTTTTCTTCTACGAGTTTTATAATTTTAACTTTTACTTAAGTTCTTTGATCCATTTTGAAACAATTTTTGTATAGAGTGTGAGATAGGGGTCTACCTTAATTCTTTTCCACGTACTTATTCAGTTGTCCTAGTGCCATATTTTGAAGTTAACTGTGGTTTTAAACCACTAACAAGGAAGCTATAACTTTAGTAGTTATGTTAGTTATCTGTCACTGAGTACCCTAGCAAGCAAATTCAACTCTGAGGGGCTTTATGTATCAATATTTGTTCTGTAAATTTGTACACATTGTACACTGTTCTTGCTTTTGAATATTGTGTTGGTATTGTTCTTTTAAATATCTCAGATGTTTGGATGTATTTCTTACCTCCAAAAAATTATTTACTATATTTAAGGTGAAAATGGATGACAATTTTCAAAAGTAATTTAATCTTGACCTACACAGAACTTAGAAATTCATCCATTTATTCCCTTCACAAACACTTATTGAGGAAAAAATATGTGCCAGGTATTCAATACTGAGGATTTAATAATGAACAAAACATAGTCCCTGTCCTCAAGGAACAGTTTGTAGAGAGAAGAGGTGAAAAGTGTATGAAAATAGGTATATAATAGGTCAGATATCAATATGTGTTATAAAGAAAATGAAAGAGTAAGAGGATACAGAGTGATACAGAAAGGGGTTACTATAAATAGTATAGCATAGCATCTATTTATATAAACCTGCTATATTATAAATAGTATAGTTATCTATTTATATAATAGTATAGTATAGTTATCTATTTATATAATAGTATAGTATAGTTATCTATTTATATAATAGTATAGTATAGTTATCTATTTAGATAAATAGATAACTATAGCTATTTATTAGTAAAGCAGATATACTAATAAAGAGTGTTGCATACAATGGGAACAGCAAGTGCTGAAATCTGAGATTCAGTGTGCTTGGTTCAGCTCAATTTTTCCCTTTCTTCTATTTCTAACAGAAATGGCATAATTTCTGTACTAACTCCATTTACCACAGTTTCTTTTCAAAAAGGATTTAGCCATAATGGATTATACATTGTATCATACCTAAGAAGATTTGTTTAGATAATGTTTCAAAATTCAATACATTTACAAACTAAAACAACTAACAAAACATTTTACTATGATACATTTTGCATCCTTGCAGAAGCACTATTTATGATGTTGTAACTTCAATCCAATTCAACAAACTTTATTGAGCACCTATGGTGATATTTCCAAAGTTATAATCTGTGGATCATATTTGTGGTTTAGAACTTCCACTAGAGACTTGACAATTGTTTAGGTAATTAGGAATAGTTAGTTAAGACTTAGTAATTTATGATAACTAGATTTATATTTTGACAATGCAGAAGGTAGTCAACATTGTCACTGGAATGACTTAATTCCAAGGAGCTATATGTTGAGAAATCTGGATAGTTTATAAACAGTCTACCTTGAGCATCATCAGTTATGACACACTGGGTGTGTACAGTGGGATCAGTTCATCACTTATGCCATATATGGCTCTGGTGATTCAATGACTCACTGGAGCTAATGTTGGAAATTAGACGTTGTTACCTATGTACTATGTTCCCACTGAATATTAATATCCAAAGAAAAAATCTACTTGCTACAAAAAGGTTCAGTGCATTTTACAGTCATTACTGTCTTCAATAGTCATTACTTTTCAGGAACAATACCCTGAAAATCCATGCCCCACCTTTCTCTGTTCGTCCTTGCCCCTGTTTGTGATCCCTATTTCAGATTACCTAGGGCAGCTAGCTAATATTCTGTGGCCTAGATATGTGAAAGTAAGATGATATAATACCTTCCCTATTTAGACTCGAATATTCCAAGGTTTCCCCAAATCTTCACATTTACTAGATGATCCTAGGTGCACTTAGACTTGCTCTCTGTATTTTGGCAGATAAAGCAAACATCCCTAAGTTTCAATGTTTCCAAGGAGTACCACTGCAAGTTGGTCTATGATTGAGGCATATACACAGTAAAAAAATTAAATTAAAAAATTAAAATGCAATTATAGAATGCCCTCTTGCCTTTACATCAAATATATTCAATTATTATCTACTGCTTATGGTAAAATAATCCTTCTTGACCCTGACTTCACATTAAGACTATTTTCTCTTGGCTAGCATTTCTTATGTTCTATTTTCCACATTAAATTGTATATGTGTCATTTGACTGTCATGACCTAGAAGCATATTCATATTCTGCCTGTAGAGGGTTCTCAAAAAGTATTTACTAATTTATTATTACTATGCTTTGAAGTATTAGGGAGATAAATAGCACAATGATCCCATCGGGTTCAACTTTGTTTCTATTTCGGTTTTTGGTTTTGCTTGTTTAGTAAGATTTGGGTTTTTTTTTTTTTTTAAATAGAAGATGAGTGGGAAGAAAAGTTTAAAGTGTGTTATTTCTTTAGTAATATTTTTTCTTGTTTTACCTGCCTTGTAATCAGAAATAGATTTTAACTTTAAAAAAACATTGTGAGTCCTAATTGCTATTTCCTTTAAATGTGGCCGAAGTGACCGTCTTTAAAGGGTGTTACCAGATTTAAGCTTTGCCAAGTAAGGAAGGTGGAGCTGTGTGGGAATGAGGTTTTGTTTAATCAGGTTGTATAATATTTTGCTGAGACATGTTAGGGAAAGCAATCCAATGTGATGTGGACTCAGTATGAAATCACAGTCTGAAACTCACCTTATAAAATTTAGAGAACTTTTGCCATCCTCTTATAAAATTATATAGCAGTAATGCTAGGAAAATGAACTCTTGATTCAATGTATACATACAAGCCCTTCCCTAACATTTATGGGACTAGAAAGAGCACAAGTAGTGGCCCACATACAATATGCTGAATTATAAACCGTCCTAAATATCTTTAATTGAGTGGGTTCTATCCTCCTACCTTAGAAAATATACCTAAAGGCAAGGTTCAAATTTAAATTAAAATTCTTTGATTCCTTGTAGCTTCATGTTGAAGAAGTAGAGATGCTGGAAGATCCTGATTTAAAGCACATAGCCCAGGCCCCTCCTTGCACCTGCTCCCATCACCAGCTCCCACAACCAGCTCCTCCTTGCAAGATGAGGGATCTCAAGAGTATGCATGAAGCCACTTCTGCCCACATATCCAAATTCCATCCAGACACCGTGCAAACAGCTGCCACTTGAGCATTCCTCAGGCCTAGAAGTGTTTCATACCCATGGGATAGTCCATTCCTGGAAACAGGCCTGTGGAAGAAGCTGAAGCAGGTACATGGCCATTTGGGGGTGGGGAATGAAATTCAGGGATTTCAAGTAACCACAGAAGGCAAAGAAGAGGTTATGGCTCAAGCTATGGGTGGGTATAATCCTTTGATTCCAAAATTCTTTGTCCTGGTCAAAGAACTGTAGCCAGAGGAGGGACAGAGAGATTCTCTGAAGCATGAGGCCCACAACAGAGACCCTCTTGCCTGGGATAAAAGTCATACTCTGTAGTGTGTGTGAACACACATATGTATATCAACAATGCCAAGCCCCATATAATCATGTATTGATTATCTTATCTAAGGGAGAGCTATAATGTTATAAATGACCCAAAAGAGTGAGTAATACAACACATTTGTGACTGGGTATATACTGCAATGATTAGTTGATTGTAGATATAGAAATACTTCATTTTACTAAAAAAAAGACTGAAGCCCCTCTCAGAAAAGCTTGGAAAGCTACCAAGTTTCCCTAATTTATACACTGAAGGATCAATTTCATCTTGCTCCTTGCTGGACTGCACTGCACTGCACTGCCTGCACTAGCAAAAATGCTGACTTGGTGATGCCCACTTCAACTAGGTTCCTCCTCTCTCACTGGTGGCTTCACATCCTCTTCCTTTGAGTGTCCTTGATCTTCTTGTATGCATGCTGGAAGGGGCTCTCTTCAAAGTTCTTAACACTTTAATCCCCTGAGCCACCAACTACCTTTGGCAAAGGAGAGAATTGAAGCTCAATCTTCAGTCTTTGGAATAAAAAATATTGAAGCCTTAACTATATTTACTTTTGTGATAGGTCGATATAGAGAGAAGATAATTAGAAAAATGGAGCATATGAATATGAAACAATTACCTTATTATGTGTGAATGTGAATTTTTTTAAAGAGTTAATGTTTTAGCTAAGGTCTGTATTTCAGGAGTGCAGAAGTCAAAGATGAGTGTGGGACATAGGAGAAGCTATCAAGTTATATAAAATGCAGTAAAGTAATTCTTAATAAAAATGGCAGCAGATGTCTGAGCAAATATTACAAATACTTACATGTGAACTATTCTGCTATAATGCTATATTTAATAGTCAGATAACTTGAAACAGTGAATTTAATCTGTTGTGATCTGATTTGCCAGAATTTGCAACGAGACAATATATTTTACTAATATTTTAAGTGATCCACATCCTGGATTATGATCATTACATCTTTGGGCTTCCTTATTGCCTAACCATGTTCTCAAATATTTTATTACTCTGTGAAGAAGAAAGTGGTTAATTGGCATGTATAAATCAACAGAGCAAGTAAGCAAGAGTATAAGATCCCTGAGGATAAGGATGTCCTGTTTGCTCACCACCGTATTTCTAGAAACCTAGAACCTAAAACAGTTTATATATAGTATGGCTCTCAGTAAGTATTTGTTGGCTAACAAAATAATAATAGAAGTAATAAGAGAATAATATAACTAATGGAAATAATTTATATCAAGTGCCAGCTCTGGCCCGAGGAATAGTATTTTAGTACGATAGTGTTAGGTTGATTAGTATTTTCTATACTCTATGGCATTAAATCTTCTGGTATAGATGAAGAAAATGAGGTTCAATGAGGTTATATAACTTTCCCAAGATAACACAGCTTGTGAAATGATGGACTTACCTATAAATATCATAAGTGATCAAATATTAATCTTGATATAATTTATTAATATAATCAAATATGTGAATGAAAATAATAAAATAACTCTTGTTATTGGCACATCTGGAGTATAACAGGTATATATGGCCAGTCACTTCCTTTCAAAGTTGGAATCTTGGTTTGAAATAGGGAAGTCAGGAATCTGGGATGTAAAATCACAAAACTCTGTGCCCTAAGTGGTCCCGGTTCCTCTGACTCAGTGAGAGCAGAATTCCCAAGCAGACTTTTGATCTCTTTCTCGTAGTAATTAGTGGTCGAGGGCCTATTATGGCCGCACTTGGTGGGAAGAACAAAGGAGGGCAGAAATCAAACGGCTTCTGCCCTTCGCTGTCACTTGCTCTCCTGAACATTTCTTTCCAACTTGCTGCCTTCCTGGACTCTGGGCTTTGGTTACTCAGAACAATGGTCCTTGCAAGCTCACGTTGGCCTTACCTGACTTCCCTGGACTCCAGCCTGAAGTATAACAACTTTGTGCCCCTCCCAGCCTTGTCTCTACCTCCCATAGCCTTCCTGAGGCTCTCTAAGTCAGTGACTGCCAGAACCTCCTACCTGGCTAGTTAGACTCCTGTGCATTTTGTCTTAGTCTGGGCAACCTCACAACCACCTAAGAAATGAACTGCAGAAAACCTTAGCAGTTCTTAAAAAAAAATTGGGGAAAATAAATTAGCTCTTATTCTAAATTACATTATCTGTTAGTATATTATAGTACTTATATGGTCTTTTCTCTGTTCATATAGGCCTAAAAGATGAATCTTTAAGGATGTAATGAGTATCTGGTGACCATTTTTGTTTGTCTGCAGGTACCTGGCAGTTGCAAAAAGGCTGGAGTGTGTTTGTGTGTGTGTGATTTGGGTTACTTTGGATTGTTTTGCTAAGGTGTTGTTAATGTTAGTTAGGGCCGAAATGAAATTGTCTTGCAAAAAACACAATGATGTCTTAACTGTAAATACTGATCAAACCAAATAAACTCACATCATATGCTATTCCTACCATAAGCAGCAAGTATCTTTACACGGGATGACAGACTGACCACCAGGATTTAAAACAGTTAATAATATCGTCCCATATTTTAATATCTCTAGGGGATCGTTTTACTCATCAAGGGCAGAGTCAGAGGAGGAGAGGGAAAGAAACAGAGAGAAAATGTTAACTGGCCTTACCTAACAAGAGCTGAGCTAGTGTTATCTATATTGTTTCACTGCAAAATTATATGTCTTCAAAAAATGTCCCTGTTCTTAAATGTGAATTTTATTATCATAAAAACCTTTTCAAAGTCCTAATAGGAAAGGTTATCAAAGTGTTTTCTCATTTCTAACCTGAGAAACTAAACAACAGCTAGATAAAATCTGGGAAGTTCTTCAACTGAACCAATTTGCTTAACAGCTGATATTAAATATTTGATTAAAATTTTACTTCTCAAAACTCAGTTTGGAATTGTAGTGAATGTTAATTTCAGAATGTCTCAGAGTAAAGGTACTTTTATATTGTCACTAGATTGGTCTATAGATTGGGTACCCACTAGATTGGGTATGTCTGTTTTCTGAGCTAAAACTGTTGGCATCTGGGAGTTTTGTGAATTCATTTGAAGGTGGAATGGCATATAAAATGAACAATGGAGTGGGAATGTGGGAATAAGAATTCCACTGGCTTCTGGTTCTATTAGCTTTGTCAATAACTAGTTTAGTGAGCTTGAGCAGGTCATTTAACCCCTATTGGCCTTAAAATTTTTCTTTGCAAATGAGGGGCTGAGCTTTGATATCTAAGGTCAATTAAAGCTATGGAATCATGTGACTCTTCCACAAGTTTCTTTCAAAATACACATTGCTTATTTATTTATATCTGAGCCTATCTTAAAGGTTTTACTGGACTTTATCCAATCATAGCTTCAGCAAACAATACGGCCACAGAAAGCCTACTTGCGTCACTTGGTTTTATTTTTTCACGCTCAAACAATACCTGGCAAACAAAAAAAAGGTTTCTGAATTGTGATTGGCACAATGATACATGGTCAGCTGCACTGAGAATTTAGGCAAACTATATACATAGTCAGGGTGCAGAATGAAGGTGAGGGCTGATTTGTAGTTACTTGCATTTGTGAACCAAACAAATGTTGTAAATTGTGGGTGTGAGACGAATGCCAAAACCCAACAATTTTACTACTCTCCTACTCATTTGGCTTTTCCACTAGAATGCACACACACGCAGCAACATTTTCTGGTTTTCTCTCCTAGATCTTCCATTGAATGTACCACCATAGTCCATGCTTATTGTTTGCACTTCCTTGTTTCCGTGACATTACACAACCTTCTGCCTCTGCTCTCCTTTCCATATCTTAAATTTAGTCATACTACAAGACATATTCCTAAATCTTTTGGTCTTCTGTATTGGATCTCGCTCCCTTAGCGTTTTCTGAACTGCAATTGTCACTAATATGTGGATAGCTCCACAATTTACATCTTTGATCACTTTTATATAGTTTAAAACTAACTTATTATTAACTAATTTATTCAATAGACAGGAGATATATTATGAAAGGATTATTTTAGGTACAATGAAGTATTTGAGAAATTTTTTTTTAATATGTCCTTTCAAGAAAGAAGTGGTATATGATGTGTATCAATTCTTGCTGAATGCTTAGAAGGCATCCACAATTTTGAATAGGACTAAATTAGATATCCTATTTTTATTTTTACTTTTTTGAAACAGGGTCTCACTCTGCCACCCAGGCTGGAGTATGGTGGCACAATCATGGCTCCATGCAGCCTCAACCTCCCATGCTCAAGTGATCCTCCCACCTCAGCCTCCCAAGTACCTGGGAATACAGGCGTGTGCCACCACACCTGGCTCTCTCTCTCTCTCTCTATATATATATATATATTTTTTTTTTTGTAGAGACAGGGTCCCACTATGTGGTCCAGGCTAGTCTCAAACTCCTCTGCTCAAGCAGTCCTCCCATCTCAGCCTCCCAAAGTGCTAAGATTACAAGTATGAGCCACTGTGCCTGGCTCCCACTATTTTTAGAAAGTCAGTAACTCATGATCTTTTATGATTTAGAAGTTATTTAGAGGAAAGAGAATTCAAGAATAAGACTTTTGGGGTTTTAGAATATATTAATTTCTATGTCAAAGAAATCTTGCTCTTGTTTATAAAACATAAGATGCTGAAATACTGCCATTATTTGAAACATGACTGTAGTCAAATTATTCCTCCTCTTATTCTCCAGTACCCTACTTTCCACACCTGTGGCCCAAGTCAGCATTCCTCATCTTTGTTTATGATAATCATCATTGCTGTGGTCACCCAGCCTTAAAATATTAATCAAGCCTATGGTTCTTCCCTTTCCCTCTTCCTTGTGCTCCAGTATCTTGTCAGACATTGAATTCTACAAATTCCTGCTTCATATTATCTTTCAAAAGCACCCTTTGTATTCCTTTCGGCCCCATCCCAAGTCAATGTTCTCACACCCTGCATCTGCAATATTGCAACAGTCTTTTAGCTGCAGTCTAAATTCCATAACTCCCTTCTAAATCCCTACTGAAACCCTCCAGTTGAATCTTTGTAAAGCATTTTACCCAACTCATTGCCATTAGTAGCTCTCCAATGACTAAAGAATAAAGTCTAAATCCCTCACTTTCAAGAACCTACCACAAATTATCTAATCTGTTCAAGAAAAGTTTAACTGCTATATTTAGAAAAAGGAGAGAGATTGTTCATAACTGAGAACTTAATGTAAGGGGAGTTTTGATTTTTAGTGTAGTTTGTTTGTTTGCTTAATCTCCTATCTGAAATAAAAATATAATAACTGTGAAAATATATTTTTAAGCAAATAAATTGACAAAGAATGCAGAAAGCAGAGGGATCTAGGATTCTTGTCTAAGTGAACTTGGGGACCTCCTAGATATCACCAGAATGCTTTAGAAGCTTACGGAAGTAATATATTGAATGAGAACATTTAGTATCAAGGTTAGACTAAAAGTGAAGCAGGAATTTAATATGTTTATATATTGAGGCCTATGAGAAAGACTTATGGGCTAAACTAAGAAAATTATAATTATTCTAAATATTTGGTATTTTTCCTTAATTTGGAATGAAATACCTTAAAACATATTTTAAGAAGGATCTTAATGAGATCCTTTTTGAATCTATACAACTTACTCAATAGAAAGAGCAAAAGTACTGCCTCATAAGATTTTCTGAAAGCTGAAAATACATGAAAATAAAGATCCTCAAATATAACATCCTTGTATTATCTAGTAGAACTGGTAGCTCAATCCAATTATTTGAACCACACTCTAGAAGTTATGCAACAAAGTGAAATGCAGTATAGAACTTATGAGTGCTCTGGAGTTAAGACTGTCCGGTTTCAGATCCTAGTGAAGTCCTTATTAGCTGTGTATCCTTGGACAAGGTACTTAATCTTTCCATGTTTTAGTTTCCTGAACTATAAAATATTGGTAATAACACTATATACTTCATAAAGTTTTGCTGAGCAATAAATGAGATCATGCATGCAAGGTGCTTAGAAAAGGCACCAAGTACATATTTGGGTACATATTAACAATCCTACAACTTAAGCAGTGTTCTACTTATTTTACAGATAGGAACCAAGCCATGAAGAGATTGAGACTTGCCCAAGATAATACTACTACTAAGTGCTCAGCCTCCACAACTCCAAAATCTTTGCTCTTTTCCCACGTAGCTTCATTGTTTTTGTATTGCTGGAGATATAATAATGGATAAGACACAGGCCCTCCTTTCAAGGATAACACTTTAAATAGAGAAAAAAACAAGTGAATGGACAATTCTATATAAGTGTTCTGGGGGCACTGGTAATGAGGCATTTAACCCAGCATTGAAGGGCTGGGGATGGCTTATGTAGAGGTTTGCAGGTAAACTAGGTCTTGAAATGTGAGTAGGAATTAGGTCATGGGTTTGGGCGGGTAGAAAGTATCCTAAGTAGAAGAAATGTCAGGCAAAGGAGTGGAGAGGATGCTGTACGTGCAAAGGGGCAAAGGCTGTGCGAAGACATGGGACAGTAGTATTTGCAATAGCTCATGAGGCTGGAATATGGAATTTAGCATAGGGTGGAGGACTGATTTTAAAGGGATAAGGTTAAAGAAGTTCTCTTTCACCAACCATGGAAATACAA
The DNA here is from genome assembly GCF_000001405.40 of Homo sapiens. NCBI lineage: Eukaryota > Metazoa > Chordata > Mammalia > Primates > Hominidae > Homo > Homo sapiens. The sequence continues at coordinate 181,866,271 of NC_000002.12, forward strand.
ATCAAGGAGGAGGAGTACAAATGCATGTACACAATGATGTATACCCTGGAGCCAAATAATCAGTATCCTTAGATGTGTAGGCTGGTGCTCATAGACATTGAGGCATAGGCTAAAATCCTTTTAAATATAATGTATGCCACAGGCTTGAGGAAATCAAACGTATCTATAGGTAATATATACTTCACAGAAAAAATAACCTTATTAGCAACGGAGAGAACTCCTTCTAGACTCCTTCTAGATATCTTTTCCTAAGGAAATTTATCTACATTCAAATTATATGTTCAAATTCCTGTGTTTCTAATAGGAAAGCATCTTTCTGACTTGTGTGAAAAATATTATTGGTAGTGTTTTACTGTAACCTTTATCATGGCAATAGATCAACCAAGTTACACCTAGTAACCAAGTCAGTGCCCATAGATGGGCTACAGAGAAGAAGTGTTGAGTTAAGGATCTACTCCTAAAGATATATTATCTCAAGATATATTAACAGTGGGTTTCAGCCATTGTGGAAAGCAGTATGGTGATTGAGCTAAAAGTAAAACTACCATTTGACCCAGCAATCCCATTACTGGGTATATACCCGGAATAATATAAATTATTCTCCCATAAAGACACATGCATATGAATGTTCACTGCACATTCACAGTAACAAAGACATGGAATCAACCTAAATGCCCATCGATGACCGCCATAGAATACTATGCAGCCAAAGAAAAGAGCAAGATCATGTCTTTTGAAGGAACATGGATGAAGCTGGAGGCCATTATCCTTAGCAAACTAATGCAGGAACAGAAAACCAAAGACCGCATATTCTCACTTATAAGTGGGAACTAAATAATAAGAACTTATGAACGCAAAGAAGGAAACAACAGACACTGGGGTCTCCTTGATGGGGGAGGGTGAGAGGAGGGAGAGGAGCAGAAAAGATAACTTGGTAACTGGGCTTAATACCTGGGTGATGAAATAATATGTATGACAAACCCCCATGACACGTTGTACCTATGTAACAAATCTTCATGTGTACCCCCAAACCTAAAATAAAAGTTTAAAAACATGGGTTTCACTAGTCAGTGCAAGTTTACTGTTGAAAACATTTATCAAGAACTAATTAAAATATAAAACGAGTTGGGCACCTTAGGAAATTTCAGTATAGTACTTTCTTAACTATGAAAGACAACCTTGTACATAAAAAAGTAGTCCATCTAATGCCTCCCTGTATAGTTTGTGAAAAAGTTATTTGTATGGTGCCAGCATGTTGAGAAACCATATATATTAACAATACTAATTTCAGATTCAGTGCAACTTCTCGTGATATCATTAACCAATAAAGTGTGTGCTAAGTGCCAGGCACTAGGGATACTGTGAGTAATATATAGTTGTCCCTACAAAGAACTCATTTTATATGGATAAAAACAGAAATATTCATGATGTAACATAGTAAGTACAAAAATAGAAATATGCATCAAACTCATATCGGACTTGATAATCAAGAGAGGGCATCCCAAACCTGAGAAAAAAGATGATAATTACGCAGTTTGGTGTTTTTTTTCTCCAGCAACTAGATGTGGGAGGGTTGAATCATTTTATGTAGGTCAGAAAAACATCTGATTAGCACTAACTTGTCTAGATTTGATCCTAATTCAAATAAATGATAATGTTACTGGAATTGTTAGTTCCCTTATCTTTTAAAACATTCTGGTCTCCCTTATAAGTGCTTTAAAAATGCAAATGTTGTAATTTGCACCTGCTTAATTAGAACTGTTTCCTTAGATTATGTAACATATCATAAAATATTTTTTAAAGTCATCTCACTAGCTAACATGTGATAGTGTTCCTAAGAACACTGAATGTGGATATCATAATTTATATAAAATAAGATTGCTCTGAGACCGAAAGCTACAAAACATATTTTCTCTTTTTTATTTTTATTTCACTTTCTGCAGTTTCAGTTACAAAACATATTTCTCTAAAAATGTGAAGAAATTTTGTTGTTGTTGCCTTTAAAGCAGGAAAGTTTTAATTAATCTGTGAGCTGCTGTAATCTGAATTCTTTAATTTATAATGGATAAAGCATAATTTTTAATCTGAACAATATTTAATGTATATAGCTAGCTTGGATCAGATCTTATATTTCCTCATGTACACAGAGAAGTTCATGTTTAGTATCTCCTTGACTTTTCCATGTAAAGTTGACATCAGCTTCCATTGTCAATGAAGCTGTTAATTTCTTTTGGCTATTCCAAACAAAGTAAGCATCACTTCTTCAACTTGTTTCCTTCTTTCCCAAGTTTCTCATCCCCAATAATCATATGGCAGTAATGCTGATTTTAAAGTCGATCAGAAGGATTATTGAATATGGGATATGTGTTTCATTTTAAAAACTAGTATCTGCCTATTTTTCAAATTGTAGAAAAGAAACAGTCCCATTTCCATGTATTTAAACACACCATGTTGAAATGTATCAAATTAATTTTAAACAAATTTCCTAGTTATGATAGAACTAACCAGAATAGAGAGAAATAAATATTTCCAGGCCTCCCCAAATGTTAGAAACATGAAATAATTTTCATCTCTTGTAATATTTAAAAAGGCATCCTAATATATTTGAAGGTAAGTAATACCCATTTTACATATAAATATTTGACTATTTCATGTTTGTAATGATACCACAGTTCACTTATAGATGAAAATGTTTCCAGATTTTAAAGTGCTTTGTATTTGCTTGATCCTCATAATCCTCACAATAACTCTAGAGAGTGAGAAGTGTTTTTCAATCATCTTTGTTAATCAGAGAAAATAGAAAAAGGTTGTATGTTTACAACAGTAGTCAGCAAACTATAGCCTGAAGGCCAAATCTCATCTACTACCTGTTTTTGAAAATAAAGTTTTATTAAAAGACAGCCCCATGTTCATTCATTTACATATTGCATTTGGCTGCTTTTGTGCTATAATGGCAAAATTGAGTAGTTGTAATTGAGACTCGTAGGCCCACAAAGTCTACTAAGGCCACAAAATCTATTAAAACTATAAGACTACGACTATAAGGCCAAGAAGTCTACTAAGTCTATAATGCCTACAAATTTGCTACCTGGGCCAGGCGCGATGGCTCACGCCTGTAATACTAGCACTTTGGGAGGCTGAGTTGGGCAGATCACGAGGTCAGGAGATTGAGACCATCCTGGCTAACACGGTGAAACCTGTCTCTAATAAAAATAAAAAATAAAAAATTAGCCGGGCATGATGGCGGGTGCCTGTAGTCCCAGCTACTCAGGAGGCTGAGGCAGGAGAATGGCATGAACCCAGGAGGCGGAGCTTGCAGTGAGCTGAGATCCCGCCACTGCACTCCAGCCTGGGTGACAGAGCAAGATTCCTTCTCAAAAATAAAAAAAAAAAGTTGCTACCTGACCTCTTATGAAAAAAAATTTCTGACCCTGACCCTGTTATACATAAGTTTTTTCTTAAGAATTGTATTTTAAGACACCAATTTAAAATTATTTTTCTCACTTTATGATGTCAAAATTTATGTGCCACGTTATATGTACATTTTCTGTGAGAAATCTGCATACTGCAAGAGATGAAATAGAATTTCATAGCATTTAATGTTGATATTTTACAATAAAGGCATATCAGAAAATGCATGTGAACAAAATAATTAGAAGAATTTTGGTTTGTTGATAACAATATAACTAGCATGAAGTATTCCAAAAAAGTCTCATTTTAAACTTAAACTAATACTATTCTAATTTAGTATGGCTTGCAATTCTATTCATATTGATACTTTAGGTTAGCTTGCACTAAGCTTGTTCTTCATAGAAACAATTACCAAACAGTTCCTGTAGCCTTAGAATATGCAGTAAGGCTAATTTAACCTTACTTTTGGGCATCTTTTTCATTTCAGGAGGTTTTAAACTTGAACGCAAACGTCTGGCTCTTTCTTTAGAAACATCATCTTCAGAGTAGATGTGCTACACTTCTATGATATATAAAATTGTACCAAGGATAATAAATTCTCACCAGTTGAACATAAAATGAACTAAATCTATATTTTCTAGTAGGGGCACATAATAATTTCAAATGACAAGGTTTGCCTCTTGCCTTTCTCCCCTTAAAATACTTAACTTTGGAGAAATTGGAAAAAACAGACTTTTCTTTATTATTACTAGAAATTTGAGGAAAATTTGATTTGGAGCATAAAAGAAAGAACTGAGATAGATAAATGGTACACGAATGTAAAGTTAGATTTTCAAAAAATGAAACTGCAACATTTTAACCACCAGGATGCTTTTCTTTTGGTTTTTATTTTGATGTATTTGAGTTATTTAAAAATACTGGGTTCTTTTCCTTAAAGCCACAAAGTCAACATCTTTCTAAAAAGGAATACACAACCAATTTTCAACTTTCCTTTCATGGCCTTTCTATTCTTGTGGGCCTTATCAACAGCAATTATATTCAAGTGTTTATGGGTGGCATCTATTCCAGAAACTTGTATGTGTAGTATCTTCTGAGCATCATCTTTAATTTACTCATGTTTTTCTTATAACTTTCAGATTAATTAAGCCAAACAAAATATTGATGAGCTACTAAATCCAAGGCACTGATACAGTTTGAGAGAAAATCTTATTTGACATTCTCCATTATTTGATGCTTAGCTACTCTTCTCTCAAGGAATGGTCAATTGAGACAGAGTTGAATGGAGCCAAAATAAAAACATTACATCCTATTTGTCCTAGCTGCACTCCCACTTATGCCTCAATGGATTCAGTAGCTTTATAGCTATATTCCTCTAAGAATAAACATACTTTCATAATATACAGAAAAGCCCAATAGCTCCCTTTCTTTCTTATCTAACTTCTTTACCGTTCCCCTCGCCTTCAGACTTTCCCTAATCAAAATCATACTTCCCGTCAAATCTTTTTTTTTTTTATTATAGTGCTTTTAAAGATGGTTGATGTATGTATGGGAGGAGGGAGAGTAAATGTGACCAGGAATTCCTCATTGCTTTTCCAGGCAAAAAAGTTCCCCTTTGATTCACCTCAGATCTCAAATGGTTTTTCACATTCAAAAACGTGATTTTAAAGCAATGCCTATATCTCTAAGATGATAATTGGCTTATACTGCAGTTCCTTATTATGGTCCTAATTAGTGTGCAAGTTTCTGGGTATCAAATCTTAGTACTCAATTCCTATTAAGTTAGGTAAATCATCTTGTACGAAAGGTAACACAACACTTTAATGAATGGGAAAAATTTACATGGACTGAATATTTTAAAGTATTATTTTTAATTGACACAAAATTGTACATATTTATGGGCTAAGTGTGATATTTCAATACGTGTGTACAATGTGTAATGATCAAATAAGAGTCATTAGCATATTCGTTATTTCAAACATGAATCATTTCTTTGAGTTGAAAACATTCAAAAAAGAACGAAATTCTGAATATTCTCAATTTAAGCATATTTAAATTATTTATATAAGTTTTCAATAATAAGTGCACTGTGTTAAATGTCACTAAATTTTGTAAGTTATATGTACAATTTATTTCTAAAGTTTAATTCATTAGAAATGACTTTAACAATAAATATTTATAAAATTATATATATGCATACACACATATATACAAATACACACATGTAGATGACTTGGCTTTTCTATTGAGATTTTCACATTATAAGTCTATTTTGTAAACTGGAATATTTTGGTAAAAAAACTAGCAGCAGTATCAACAGTTGTTGTGATCAAGCCGAATATGGCACTTTTTTATTGATAGCTGAGTCAAGTTGATCTGATGAGAAAACCAGGCATTCTAAAAAATTTATAGATGTTGGCAGTCACATTAAAGTATGCTGCAGTTAAAAGTAGCAACAGTTTATTTAACAGGTTGCCTGAATCAAGTGGAACTTACTGTTTTTTGCCTGCCTTTTTTTTTCCATTTACAAATGAACCGGTGCAACATAGAAATAGTTTTTAAATATAGCCAAACTGAAATGTCCCAATTTCACCAATATATTTTATTAACTGGAGTGGTAGTACTTTTTAGTGGTATTTGCCTGACACTGGGTTTGTGTATTTCTTCACACATTCTGTTAAGTGAACACATGCCAAAGCAAATATCTGAATGATATTTATACCAGATTGTTTCTATGTAGGAAAACTATGTTACACTGCTTGCATCCTTGAAGTTATACAGAAGTTTAGAAGTCAAGAATATTGAATACTAACTTTGGTTACTTAAAAAATGCTACCTCAAAGTAGAACTTTCAAAACTGAAATTTACTGATAAAAGGTAATCCACAAACCAGAATACAAATGAAACACAATTTTTCAAATTGTTAATCAATCCTAGATTCTTATTTTTATCAAACATTATAAAACATTTTTTTCTAAGGAAACATAAGAAAAAATATTGACCTAATACAACTACAGAACATTGAAATAGCATAGGCATGAATCTTTTTTTCCTTTTCATTTGTCTGGACTGATGCTTGCATTATGAAGCTTCTCAGCCTCTATGTATGACCTCTGACAGCCAAGTTCATTGTTTTTAAGGTTGAGGAAAGAGATTTGGTCAAGCCCGCACAATGGAATTCACGGATTTGAACAATGAATAAACAAACTTTGGTAGAGAAATTTCTAGTATGTTTCAGAATGCAAGGGCAGATGGAGACTATAGGAGAGCGTTAAGAATAAACCAGTTAGTTAGTAGTCAGAACAACAGAATGCTAAACTCATACTGAGAGTAGAACACCACATGGACTGGAAAACTCAGAAAGAGCTTTCTGGAAAAGGTAAATGTTGAAAGACTCAAGCAAGAGAGGAAGATAAAGGAGATGACATTCTTGGTGGACAGAAACAACAGAGATGAAGCGGGGGTGGGGGCAGGGGTCATGTTCACTAAAGAGAAAGAAGGTAGATTCAAATGGAGAAAAGTGTTTCTGTAAGTGGATAGGCTTCAATTGTAAATGGGGTCATATTGAAGAAGGACTTTTTTTTAATCATTCTTTTTTTTTTTTTTTTTTTTTTTTTTTTTGTCTGAGATAGAGTATCACTCTGTCTCCCAGGCTGGAATGCAGCAGTGCATATACATTAAGATATTTTGCTTATGGTAAGTTCTATTAGTTTGAGAAATATTTGAAGTAAAACAGTCTTTCTTAGGGTAGTATAGAAATATTATTTGACTATATTGGAAAAACAATGGATATTACCAAAGATTTGAGTTAAAAGATGCTGGAGAAATGTTCTTTTCCATTTATCAGTTTTATTTCCAGTTTTTGTTGTTGTTGTTGTTATGCAAGATGTAGAGACAAAATTTTACCTAGTATGAATAAATAATAAAAAGAGGGAATCCTTGGACTGGAAATATCTTTCCAAGGTAAATTCAATGAATGACCCTTAGAGTTTATTGTGTGATTATTAATTTTTAAGGGAGAGCAAATCAATATTTTAAAAAAGTAACAGATCTTGATACATAGGTTAAAATGAATTCCAAACAAAAAGCATCCTACAAAAAGATTTATCTTCTAAATATATTTCTTCAATTGTCAATGTTTTTAGACCACCTAATTAAAATGTTAAATGTTTCTGCTCCTCCTTTTTGTTCTCTCAAGTTCACTGTTCTTATTTTGGGGTATGTGTGTTTGCATGCATGTATGTGCCATGTTTTTTTGTTTCTACATTCTGATACAGAGAATATTAATTTTTTTCTAAGGAGCAAATTTTTTCCTTTTTGGGACTCACCTGGTTTTGCTGAATGAACACTAAAATATGCTTGTTGGGGGGTGTATAAGAGATGTCTGTCAAGAAGTATGTTTAAGTGAGAATAGTGGTAATCTGACAGTATTTTAACATGAATGCTTTTTATGCTATAACTGCAATGTTTCTGTTTTTCTTAGATAAGAAAACTTGGAAGGAAAGCTGAATTGTATTTAAGTAAGATTGTGTTAGGAAAGAGAGAGGAGAAGAGTGATGAGGTGGCTAGAGATCAGAGCAGAATTTGAAGGGTACTGCTATGTCAGGTGACAATGTGTACTGTAAACTTCTTGGTGTTCCCTCCTTCCATTTCCCACCCCTGGAAATGTTTAGTAAAACTGATTTTACTTGCTCTGGTTTTGTGAGTCTGGATCTGCCTTAATGATGGGCATGGAGGAAAGAGCAGAGAGAGGCTTCTTGTGTGGGGGGGACATCCACCGCTAGGCCACTCACAAGCATAAATGTGCACACATACTCACAGATATGCACACAAATGTATATCACCATTTGTGATAGACATCTGTATAAGCCTATAAGCTTAGACCATTTTCCCCACTGACCATGAGAAGTCACTTCGTGTAAAACTTCCTCTGTTCTAGAATCACTGTGGTTATACCAATGGTAGAATTTTAAGAGTATTCACAAACCTGGTTTGGGCTTCTGGTAAATCTCTGGACGCGAATAGAAAATGTCAACTTCTATTGCTTCCAGGGCCACACAGACTGTAAAATTATCTAAAAATTTTCCATTGTTTATCTTATTTTCTTTTGCCTGAGATTACTTTGTTCTTTTGGGATACTAAGAGGCAAAACTATAAACTTATATGGATAAAAGATTACATTCTAACTTTTACTCATAACTCAAGAAACACCAGGTAGAAGTTACTGAATTACTGCTTTTCATGATGGTGGTGTTATAAATATAGCCCTCTTAATTCTTAAAACAAGTGGCTACTGTCAAAAAAGCCTTTTATCATATCATTAATTTTAATATTGGATAATCTCTGTGGTAAGGCTTAATTGTTAAGTGCTTTGACAATTAAGAAAGTATCTGCCCCACCTTTACATCTTTTATATCATATCCTCATTTGTCCTATAGTAACAATAATATTTTCTGAACTACAATAGATCTTAGAAATCATCAAATCCAGCCAAACCATACAGATGAATACATCAACATGTTATGTATTTTGCAAAAATAATCTTTATGAAGTGCTACACAAAGACATAAAATTATGAATTCTTAAAACATAGATGCATTTTATATTGAAGAACCTACACAGAGATTTTTTGAAAATACAAACTATAATTTCTAAGTTGACACTTAGGGACGAACAATATGTTATCATCCTGCTCAATGACAGAGATGATAAAACTCTGTCAGTTAGTACACTTTGGGCTATAAGTAACAGAAAATGCAGAGAGAACTTGCTTAACAGCAAGGAAAATTTGCCCAATATTAATTAAAATGTTTGGAATTAGGACAGTTCCAGATTTGGCTCATACAGCAGCTCAATTACTTCTTCATTGAGCCAGAGTCTTTCTTTCTCTTTTTTCATCCGCACCAACTGGAATTGCCGGATTAAATACATACATCACTGAAATCTGAATTTTGGAAAAACAATGCATAATTTTAAGGTGCATCCCATGCAATACTATTTGTTATCTAAAACTGGTATTTAACTGGATGCCCTGCATTTCTGTTTTCCAAATGTGGGAACCTTGTCAGCATATTGGTTTATCTTCTTAGGCCAGCCTCTCTCATGGCCACGAGATGGCTGCCATAGCTCTTAGTGTTATGTGAAGATGCCAATATCCACTGGCATAAAAGTGATTCTTTTGGTAAAGAAGAAGGTGGAGGAATGGTGGTTTGATAGCTAACCAACAATATAAATCACCAAGGCAAATCTGATTTTTTGTTGATTAAAACATAGTTTCTGCCAATATTAAGTACTTAGTTCTGTAACAGGATATAATTTACCCTGCCTTCTGATTTAAGGACAGAAAGTTATCGACTGTAGTATTTATGTAGAAGTTTCTGGCCCTTATTTTTCTTCTGTGAAAATGTATATTTTGTTTTGAGACTCTTTGTTAGATCTGGGAAATCCCCTATCACTGAATCTGAAATAATTTTCATTGAGACTGAAATGAGGGAAGGAGACGGCTCATTTGCAGTTTCCCCTTTTCCACAATATTCCCGGGGCACATAGTAAGCAGTTCTCCATGTTCATCATTCTTTTCTCCTCCCTTATATGTTAGTTGTTCACATTACCCCTAGCCAAATTCCATCTTAATTTTCCATGTTCCCTTCCTCCTTCCACTAATCCTCCTTTTAAAATGTGTCTTTATCTTCAGGCCCCTATTTATACTTAAGTGATAATGATTTTAAATGGGCTGAACTAATCTGTGTTAATATTACTATATTAATATTACTGTGTTAATATTTACTTTGTTAATGTGTTGGACCTCTGGGGTAATTTAAGCCTTTTATCATTTCAAAAGTTCAACCCCGTTAAAAAGCTCTTCAGGAATGCTGCCAGTTTGGGCACCTTAGTGGCACAGCACTTTTGGCTTCCCCATCAAGCTCAGAGAGGTAGGTGACTAAAAGAAAGAGAGGCCTGTATGACTGCTCTCTGCAGTCTGTTCATCATGGCTGTCTGGTCTCTGTACTTACTTTATCTTAGATTATTCTCTCATCAGACTCACACTGCAATCCACTGGTCTCTGAAGTCCTTTTCTCCACCCCTTCCTGTCTCATCCTGAGTGATTCATCTGTGACTTCAGTATTTATAGGGATGCCCCACCCAGCACCCTAGACTCATAATTTCTTGACCTCCTCTTCTACAGAGGCTTTTAATGCCTTTGGACGTCAGTGTTCTCCCAGTGCCACACCCCAGTGCTACCTAGTCATCCAGTAATTCTTCACCTCCTACAATTACACTTCAAAATCCTGTGTTGCAATCTAAGCTCCTGCCCCTTTCAACGATCTTACTGCCCCTTACTTCTATCAGGCTAGCCCACTGACCTCATAAGGAATTTAAAACCTTAGGAAAATAGCAAAGAACCAAGTATTTGAGCGCCTCTACAAACCCACTTGCTTCACTCCTGCCTTCTCTCTTCCAAGCAGTCTGCACTCTGTGGATTATCTCAACAACTAAGCCCTCATTTTCCTCCATATCTCGAACTTCTATCACATTCAACCTCTGAACTCCTATCCTGGATGAATCTTAAAACATTGGTCTTTTGAAATTCAACACCTATGTACCTAAATCTGCTTAATAAACTCATATCATTGACATGTGGGCCTTTTAGAATGTTGAACAATTAGGAGGCAGCATTGCAAAGTGGTTCAGAGCATGAAGCTCAGTTCCTGGCTCCTCCACTAGCTGAGTGCCTTTGGGAAAATAGCATGACCACTTTGTGCCTGATTTTCTTCTTCTGCAAAAAGAATAATTGAACATATCTCACAGGTATGTTACTGTGAGCAAACGAGTTAATCTTTACAAGGTGCTTAACTGTTGAATAAATGAATATTTTACTGCTTCCTTGTAGTTTTATTTCCATTTTGAATAATAGCTATTCAAAATCTTTACCCTTTTAAGTTATCCAAACAGCTCAGGCTCCATCACTTCAGCAGATTATCTGGCCTAGTTCTTAGAATACATATAGGACATTAGGTGTGAATGCATTTAAATTATCTCCCCCTGAAAATTTAAGCACATTGGTGCATTTATATCTCCTTTCCATCTAAAAAAAGACCTTCTAAAGTTAATTTTTTTCTTCTTCTCCTCAAGATCTTATCTTTTCAAATATCTAACCTGTCTTTATTTGTTCCTGTCTTTAGCTAATAAACATATGTTATTCCCATGTATCCCTGACAAAAAATAATAAAAAATCCTTTTTCAATCATACATTTCTTTTAGCTATTTTCCTATTTCCATCCTTCCTTTTATTGTGCATATGTGTTTGTGTATGTATGTGTATATATGTGTTTGTGTATGTATGTGTGTATGTGTATATATGTGTATGTGTGTATATATGTATATATGTGTATATATGTATGTATATGTGTGTATATATGCATATATGTATATATGTGTATATATGTGTATGTGTATATATGTATATATGTGTATATATGTGTATGTGTATATATGTATGTGTATATATGATATATATGTGTGTATGTGTATATATGTATATGTATATATGTGTGTATATGTATATATGTGTGTGTATGTGTATATATGTTTGTGTATGTATGTGTGTATACACGTACGCACATATATATTATACATATGCCTGTCTACATTTGCTGTTTCTATCTTACCTCCCTCATTACTGCATTAATGAGAAATTATAAGTAAGAATGTCTAACACTACAATTAACTGGTAATTAACTCAGAAGGGTCAAAACTTCAGAATTTTGCTTTTTCTCAGGCTTAGCCAAGTATAGACATCTGTGATTTTGAATAGCCATATATTTGTATAATGGCTTTCCGGCTCTTTTGTTCTGTTAGCCAATTCATTGTTTTATTTTGAATACCCCTGCTATTTCCTATTTCTCTCTCTTAAAAGGAACCAGCCCACAGATTCCCACTCTAATCAAGGTGTCCTTCTTCATGATTTCACCACATTTATTGCCAAAGTCAGCAATAAACATCTATATTGCCAAATCCAGAGGTTAATTCTCAGTGTTCATTTTAACTTCTCAGGAAGATGGTGGTGTTGATCATTTCCTTCTCTTTAAAACCCTTTTTTACAGTCATCTTCTGGACAACACTTTCTCTTCGTTCTCTTCCTACCTCACTAGTTGATTTTTCTCAGCCTCCTTTGCTGGGATCTTCTCATTTATCTGCCTCTAAATTGTGGAATACCCAAGACACTATCCTTGGACATCTCCTCTTTTCATTCTTCACCAACCCCTCCCTGGTGGCCCCAACTAGTTTTCAGCTTTAGATACCATCTATATGCTTATGACTCCTTAATTTATATTCCAGTCCAAAATTTTCCTCGCAACTCTGTATCTGTATCCTTCTGCCCATTCAGTATCACTACTTGAATGCCTAACAGGCTTTTCAAACTTAACATAGTCAACAAACTTTTGTTTCCCTGAAAACTGCTCCACTGGAAGTCTTAACCATCTCAGTCTTCTTACTCCAGTCTTCTAGTTGCACATCTCAAAAAAAAATTCTTTCTGTATTCCTTTCTTTCTTTGACATACCACCTCACATGAATAAACAAATCCTATTGACTTTATCTTCATAATCCTCATCAGTTATCATTTCCATAGCTCCCACTCTGGTACAATCCTAGATTATTTCATAATCCTCTTGTTTTTTTTCTCTACCTCTATCTCAACCCCATTAGTTTATTTTACACATAGTATTTAGTCTTTTAAAACATAAGTCAGCCCATGGCATCCCTTTGCTAAGCATCGCAAATGATCTCTGTTCTTTCAAGTGGTTCTCCTCTGCCTCGCTTACTTCCTACCACTCTCTCCTCACCCAGAAGAGTGTATGAACTTAAGAGAGAGCTCTTCTCAGAACAATAAAGCTGGTAGAAGAATAAAAGCCAATGAAGGAGACTCAGAAGTAGGAGAATCCTAAAATGTAAGGTCAAGAAAGAAATTAGATGAGGAGTCAATCCTACCAAAAGCTATGAGAATACTATAAAATGAGAGCTGAAAAGTATCCACTGGATTTGGTGTTTTAGAGGTCATTGATGATTATTGCCTCAGTAGGTTTGGAATAGCTTACTTGGAAAATAGGAATAGGGCTGACCAAGAACATATAAAAACATGGCTGTCTGGTATTAATGGTTCAAAACACACACACACACACACACACACACACACACACACACACACAATCTCTCTCTATAGATATAGATATAGATATATATACACCAAACTTTTATCCAGAGTTTCATCTCTGAGTGGTATTTCTGAATGCTTGGGGCTACATCTCCATCTGCATGTATTATATGCACATCACATCTAGTATGTCCAGTGATGTACTAATTTCCCTTCTTCTACCTTATTCTCCTTACTCTCAACCAAATTAACCCCAAATACTCAATCCTTGTAAATTGTCTATCATGTAGAATGACACAAATACCTACCCATTGATCTAAAGTAGAAAACAAATCTTAGGGGTCATTCTAGTTCTTCTTCCTCACCCATTTCTAATCTGTCAAATCTGACTGTAGCTTCTGTCTCCACTGAGTCTTTATCAACCTACCTCCTTCCCCTACTCATAAGCTTCCTAACTAGTTCTCTTGTCTGAGGACTTCCCATGTCCTACTCCTTCAATTATTCAGTTGCTAGTTTTCTGTCTATAAAACACTTTCATTACAAACTGAAGGCTGCTTTCTACTTCCTACTGGCAATAAGACAATCCCTTAGAGTAGTGCACTAAGACCTTAGAAACTGGTTCTCACCTACCATTCTGACTTCAATTTATGACAGTTCCCCACTTAGTATAATCAAACATTGCATAGAGTTATGCTCATACTTCTGTGCATTCTAGCAATATAGTATGATATGTCATGTTTTCAGTATTATTTGATTCACTTCATTTCTACTGTATTCTTTCCAGGCCCCTGACTACACTAGTTCAATCACATGTGATGACAGTCTTTGGAGTAGCTATGACCAGAGGAAACATCACTTTCTGCTAGACCTCATGTAGCCATTTTAAAGATGGTAGGGGAGAGGCATGGCAAGGTGTGGCTGTGGTAAAGGGAAGAGTGCACTAACTCTGATGTAGCATATTATTATGCTGGTGCCCACAGTGCAGATATGGGTAAAATTTACTATGGATTCTTCACACAATTTATGACAGTTCCTCATTTGTCTTGGTATAATCAAACATTGCATGGGGTTATGCGCATACCCCTGCACATTCTTCCTGCTTTTGGAATAAGTAACTAGAGCTTTCAAAATTCAGATAATTTTTTTGTCCCTAAATTGCAAATACAATTTCAAAAAGTTTGGAAAAGAAAAAAAAGCCAGCCATAATGTTGCCACTTTAACAGAACATATTTGTTCATTTCTGTCTTAATAATCCTCTATGGATGTACACATTTGTATAGCAAATATAAAATTTTGCATAATTTTCTCATATATTTTATTTGGCTATTCCTTGTCATGTTGCAAAAAAGGAACATCAAAAGTAACAAAATATTATTTTGAGAAAAGGAGAAAATGGAAGAAGAAGAATAAAACAGGGATGGGGACAAAAAGGATCTATGAATAAGGTTTAAGATGTATACCATGATAACCTACTCATCTCCCACAGTTGAGCTCCACATTTGGTTCTCAATTTCTCCAGCAGTCAATGTGAAAACAGAAATTTGTCTGTTATCCAATCCCCAGTATCCATGTGATGTAAAAAAATGTTCTGGTAATTTCAATCATTCTTGGAACAAATATTGTCAAAAGAAATTTCTCTTGAGATCCTTCTAAAGAGAATACAGGGTGACATACCATCAACGTTCAGGTAGGTAGATTCCTTCTCAGAGATAGTACATTCTTATTTCATGTCTTTGCTCATGTTGATAATCAAAACAGGCAAGTGCCATTGCACAAATCACAGAATGATTTTTGAAAAAGCCATCTTTTTGGAAAACATTTGATATTATTAAGGCATTCATCTCTTAAAGTTACAGTAGTGGCCAAATTGTTATCCTTTAGATAAACTTTCTGAATATTGTTTTTCTTTAAGATACAGTTTGAGATGGTTTTAATATTACCTACATGAAATCTTAAAACTCCAGGTTTTATATCTGGCAGTGGATGCTTCCTTGGAAGGCCAGAGTTTAGGTTGAGAAGCAAAAATCCTCACTTTCTGATTATGAACATGTTTCCCTTTGAGGAAGTCTTCTGAGAATGTGGCTGGACAGAGATGTTACAGTCTTGGGCTTTTGTCTCTTGTGGAGAATAGGATGTTATCCTAAGAGAACTAAAACATAAGTTGAATAACATACTCAGGTTCATAGAGGTTCTGTCCCCAGTCCTGAGTCTTCTCCAGAAATGTGGCTAGATAGAGCTATAAATTTTGGACCTGAAGTATCAACTTCACTGAGGAATGTTAACAATGCATGCTGGTAAGAAACCTGGATACTAAAATCTTTATTTTTCCATTTTCTGAGCTTTTGAGAAGATTTGTTAAGATAAAAGCAGTTAAAAATATTTGGCTTTATGTTTTTAGGGCTGTTCAGATACCTTGTTCATATGAAAAGAAAATCCTTCTGACTACAACCTAGATATGATTTATCTTACACATTCATTTTCTCTGCTGAAATGCATATAACTTTAGATACATGGTGACATTTTAAAGATATTCAAACAACACTGTACATATCTCAAGGCAGATGTAATCATCTGACAGGAATGGTGCAGGTCTAGTGTAGTCCTTTCCAGAGATTCCCAGAGGGGAATAGGATGACTACTTGACTATTAAATGCGATATCTCTATATGAAGTGGAAGATTTATCAAATAACCAACTTATGAATAAAGGCTCGTGGTATTGCATATTACTGTGTGGAAAATCTGTGGTAAATTTTACCCATATCTCCACTATGGGCACTAGCATAATGGGCTACATCAGAGTTAGTTCACTCCTCCCTTAACCACAGCTACACCATGCCACTCCTCACCCCTACCATCTTTAAAATGGCTATGTGAGGTATAGCAGAAAATGATGTTTCCTCTCGTTTAAACTCTGGTCATAGCTGCTCCAAAGGCCATCCCATGTGACTGAACTAGTGTAGTCAGAGGCCTGGAAAGAGTACAGTAGGATGGAATCTTTCAAACGATATTGAAAAGTTGACATATCATACTATACTGCTAGATTGTCTGTAAAATTTATTTCATAATGGCCATAAAATATTTTATAGAGCAGCTATATCATAATGTAACTACACCTTCTTTTATTACTTATTATTTTGATTTTCCTACATAAATAAGACATGAATGAATATTTTTACTCACAGTTTTTTCCTTCTACTCTATGAGGCACACAGTAAAGATTGGAGTATAATTTATGGTAATACAAAAAGTGCGAACTAGCTGTGCCATATTAGGAAGAGGAAAAGCAAAATAAGAAAGTAACAGGAAAGAAAAAAGAAGAAGGAATGAAGAGGAGGAGGAAGAAGAGGAGGAGGGATGAGATGATCACCCAGAAGGTCTTCCATTATAGGATGGAATGGCAGGACAAGCCTGTTTTGGTCATTATGGTAACACAGAGGCTTTACAGTAGCTGGCATATTCAATAAACATTTGTTGAATGAATGAGTGAAAAATGAAAAATATAAATGACATATATCCAGTGAGCAGAACTATGTGCATGATGGTATCCCATCAGTTCATAAGCTAGATTTGGACCCATGTGAGAATGTGTATACTAGGTTCCTAATTTCTTTTAAATTGTCAAGGAGACAGTAGAGACATGTCTGCCTGCGTTTAACCAGAACTTCCCTGATCACAAACCAACAGATATTCCTAAGTCTCCTAAAAAACCTTTTGAGTGATTGTTGCAAATATTCTGAGAATATGTGCTTCATATTCTCAGTATAAATGATTTTGGTTTATAATATCATTTATTTGTTGATTAATGCTTTTAAAATGTATTGATTTTATCTGCAATGTCTTCACTCATATCAGGTTTCTCTAAAGTATATATATGAGAAATGTTTATGATATACACTATTATGTTAACGTTAAAGTGTTAACATCCTTATACAGTCATGCATCACTTAGTGACTAGAATATATTCTGAAGATGCATCCTTAGGCAATTTTGTCTTTGTGTGAAAATCACAGGGGGTTCTTATACATACCTAGATGATACAGTCTATTGCTCTGAGGCTACAAACCTGTACAGTATGTTACTCTACTGAATACTGTAGGCAATAGTAATACAGAAGCAAGTATCTGTATATGTAAACATTAAAAAGGTACAGTGAAACTTCAGTATTATAATCTTAGGGACCACCATTATATATGTGGTCCATCATTGGCCAAAACCTTGTTATGTGGCATATGACCCTAATTGCTGCCCATACCTTCCTGATCAAAGTATTGTGTGGTGGAGTGGGAAGCACACTGAACTGATGATAGGGATTCTTGCTCCTAATTCTCTCACTAACTAGTTGGCTGACCTCAGGCAGGCTACTTAAAGTTTCAAGCTCAGTTTTCCTTCCCTGTAAAATGGAGTTGTAGGAGGCAATTCCCTCCCCAGGATTCCATTCACTTAAGGGTCACACTGACCCTCTGCCCATCAGCTATAAGTGAAGAATCCTTTCAGTATGATGAGACTAAGTGACTGCTAATGTTTCTCTAACAGTGGGGCTGAAATACTATGAGACCATCGCATATGGTAGGTAACAGCATGGGCTTTAGGTGTAGAGTAAGTCCTGGTTCTTCTCTGTCACTTTCTAGTATGTAGCCTGGGGCAAGTATTAACCTTTCAGAGGCTCAGTTTCCCAATCTATAAAGTGAGAATAATACAAACACTTACAGTTTTTGTATTAAATGAGACAGTGTAAATCCAGCCCAAAATACTGTGTCTGACACAATAGAAGTGCTCAGTCAAAAGCATCCATTTTTAACACTGTTATTTCCTTGGCTCCACTGAAATAACTGCTCTTCTAGTAGTACTTCTCCAAACTGATTATCAGTACTATTGTAATTATAGTACTTAAAGGATTTTAAGGTGCCAACTTGGGCTGACCTGTTTAAAAATAATTGGAAAGACATGGGCTCGGGGGATCTTTAACAATTAAGCAAAACAACCTGTGTGCTGACCTTTACCCTGTGGTTCTTTTATTTAACAACAGTCTATTAATAAACACAGCTTTAGTTCTTTAATACTAATGTAATCCAAGCCAAATATGCTACCTAACAGCTGTAATAAACTTTCTTGCCCCAAAGAAATTTTGATGAAAATTTGCCTCACTTTTCAGTTTGTTTTGAAAGATTATGGAGAAGCTCTTGAGTTCCTATCAATAAATATTAAGTCTCCTTAGTTTTTTATTATATGTAGATTAAATTTAAATAGAAACAAATGAGATAAAGTCGTTCCTAGATTGGTGAGAGAATTTTTGAAGGCTGTATAAGTTGTTACTTTATAATTTTAAAACAATTACTTAACCATAAAAGGGAAGGAAAAAAAAGTCCCCAAAATGTAGGAAACCAGAGTACTTGCTTTGCTGTTAATTATAGCAGGAAATACCTGCGTGTTTATCATGACCCTGTACTTCCATAGTCACATTAACTTTTAAACAGTTTTCATTCCCTTTACCAACAATTGTCAGCCTGCCTTGTGGAAACTGATCATTTGCAAGGGAGTTCAAGGAGATTACTTGCTTAATTAAATCAGTAGTAACTGGCTTCTTCCCACAACTTGGGGATGGACCATTTGTAAACAGGCAACACTACTAAGTGTAGGAACCTCTATAACACCTGTTAATTGGCTCACAATAACCTTCGGGGTCAACTTATGCTAAAGATTACTTGAGGACTCTCAAATTTTATAGCAAGTGTTCTATGTTACCATTATGTGTTTAAGAATTTCTTCTTAATGATTCCATGTTTCTTTCCATTCATGAGATGTGAGCCTCAACTGATCTGTAGCAGGTTGTGGAAAAGTAATCACTATATTTCTGCTAGAAAGTTATCCGCAGGATACAGGATACGTCATATGTTCCATAGACACATAAGAATCTACATTGATATATAAATCTGTAATATTTGCATGTTAAATATCTAAAATTCAACAAGCCATGGTATAGACTTGTTTTAATTATAATAATTCAATTTTTAAAGTTTCTTAAAAAGTAGCTTATTATTTTCAATCTCCATAGCTCTATCTCCTTTAATATTTTATTATTTGATTGACTCTCATGAGACTTGTTTTAAAAGCAATTTGAGAGGATTGCATATTGCATTTATATAACATTTTCTAATTGCCTATGGTAACTATTTGTCAAATACACATTTAATCAAAAGAATTGGGCTATTAAATGTATATGTTTTATAGCTTCTGAATTAGAGACAAAAAGGGGGACTTAATCTGTTGCTTAGCTATTGTGTATCTGCTCATCATCACAGTGTAAAATGAAGTGTCGTTGTTTTGAAGTCCTACCTGCTCAACCTAGTACTTTTTAGTTGGTGATGGGATTTGGTGGAGTTGAATGTAAAGAACTAGCCAAAACTGGTTTACCAGAATCCTGTCTTGAGTGTGGCAGAAGACCTGTTCTTTCCCCATTTTGTCCACCCTCAAACTTGCCAAGCCTTGTTCGCTTTGGCTTTATTTTTAAAATGCATTTCTGGTGAGTGAGGAAAGGTTTTGTACTGTGTTTTCAAGTGACTCACCCAAAATAACTCCATTCAACTTGTAAACGGTCCTGTTCTGAATGCAGATTGTATTTGTTCTGAGATGGGCATAAAGGAGCTGCAGAAGGGAGATTAGAGAAGGGAAACGTGCTGGGAGAGGCCGGTGCAGTTTATATTTATTCAGGTTCAGGCACATACCACAATTATTTTTTTTTTCAAAGACTTGTGTGTGTGTGTGTATGCTAAAGAACCGTTACAAGGTGTGTACCATTTAAAGCTCTTCAAGGTACAGCAGTATTAGATAGATGTATGGTTCATCTAATCACGAACCTTCCTTTCCTGGTCTTCATAAAATACAGAAAGAGAAATTTACATGAAAATATATAATTTCAAATATATGCATAGTGAGCTGTAATTTTTTTAAAGTTCTAAATGGCTCCAAAGAGAAAGTAATCATATACATAAACAAAAGAGCTAGAATATAATCTTAAATATGGAAGAGAAATTAACTATATAATAGGACAGTGCTAACACTGGGAATAATGACATCCTCCTGTTCGGTTGTGTGTTGCAGAAAAATTCTTAATATCATCTGGCATGGGTATAGACTGTGCATTTCATATGGACAGATATACCTTTTTAAAAGCTTTTATGATTCAAAATATCAGAGACTTTTAAAAGCAACATTTTAGGGCAGGGCTGAGAAGAAAAAGTAAAAGGATTGATCCAAACTTGAGAATTAGGCTTCATAGATAGAAAGCCAAAATGTTTGTAATTCATGTGTAACTATGTTCAGTAAAAAGGATTTCAAAACTCCTTTGAGTTGTTTTATGAATTCGTGAAACAGAACAAATAGTCTATTCTGTTACATAATCTTGCTTCACTTCATTGTTAAGAATAGATGAGCCATTCTTACCTGTTGCTCAGAAACACCAGAGAATTGAGCCACTGAAAAGAAAACAAACTGGCCACAAGGTTTCACTGAGAAAAGAGTAAATTTAGCATTATGTGGCAAACTGAATAAATTGTGATCTGAGAATGAGTGATAAAACGACAAGCTTTTAACATGCACAAAATCAGAAAGTATATAAACTGGTAATTTACCCAGACTGTATAAATAATTTGCAAGGCAAAATTCTAGTGGTATTAACACCTGCTTCTCCTTCTTATCTGTACTTGGGAAAATAAGAGAAATCAAAATAACGGACTATTCTACATATTAATGCTTCCTTATGAGGAAAAGAAACTAATCTAAAAATCCTTGAATTTTTGCTAATATGGAAGAACTCTAAGATCAAAGGTTTATAGGCTTTAAACATGTAATTCTATTGCTTTAACATATATACAATAACCAGAAATACTAAAATCAGAAATACTTTAATAATTAATAATGGTCTCAAAAATAGAGGAATATATCAATAACCCAATCTAAGTCAGACTAACCAGCATTCCTCATAGTTCAATTACATGATTTGTAAATAAATCTCTGAAAATTTTTGAAGTGTTTACTCTTATTTATTAATATTTTTTCTTTTATTCTCTTTTATGCTATTGCAAATTATTTCACTGGTATCCCTGGAAATGTTAATGGATACATTGAGGGGCCAAAAAGATTTACTGTTGAAATAAATTTTATAACTATTGGGTTTAAAAAATTAAAGTTTTAAAAAACAAGTTTTGAAGACGTCTCAAGTCTTTAACATTCATTGTGACTGGGCTGGGGTGGAGGAAGAGGAGGGGGTATAATATGCAGTGTTTTCCATTCTTATTTTATATAGAATTTTTTTCTCCAGGCAATACTATCAAAATATAAAATGCTACTTTGTTCATTTAACCTGATATTCTACTTAACCTTATACCTCTGAGGCCCCTTTTGTCTTAACAAAAGATGAGAATTTGAAGAAATAACTGCAACTCTACCACTCTCTAATCAGATTCTAAATAATTAAGATTTTGATGCACAAAATACAATTTTTGAGCATATAAATATTATTAAAGAAACAATACCATAACTACAACCAAAATGGCTTAGCCTACCCAATAGTAAATCTTGTTTTGCAATTTTAAATATCTAATTAAACCAAGAACAATGTTTCCCTTATGATTCATGCTTTCCCATATAAAACTGCCTGATTTAACCAAAGTATACGTTTTCTATCTTTGCCTGAACTTATGCCAATTTTAAAATACAGCTGCATAAGCATGATGATAGATGCCATTTGCTAATATGAGAATTATTCCCCCATATGAAATTGATTTATTTTTTGCTTTCTGCAATATAATCATTCTAATAGCTATACTGAGCACCTACATTATTTCTTGTGAGATTCACATCAATTTGGGAAGGTAGTTATCATGATTGCTATTTCAAAGATGAGAAAAGTCATGGCCTTGGGATATTAGCTGTCTTGCCTTATACCATACAGCTAGAAAAAGAGGGAAACATTTCAAACTTCAGTCTAACACCAAAGACCACGTTGCTTCCACTATGTCATGCTGGATGGAATTATCCACATTTAATATACATTTCTTTCTTTTTCCACCTTGCAAACATCATTGATTCAGACAATACTCTTTTTTTTTTTTTTTTTTGAGACAGCGTTTCACTCTTTTTGCCCAGGCTGGAGTGCAATGGCACAATCTCAGCTCACCGCAACCTCTGCCTCCTGGGTTCAAGCTATTCTCCTGCCTTAGCCTCCCAAGTTGGTGGAATTACAGGCATTCGCCACCATGCATGGCTAATTTTGTATTTTTAGTAGAGACAGGGTTTCTCCATGTTGGTCAGGCTGGTCTCAAACTCCTGACCTCAGGTGATCTGCCCCGCCTCAGCCTCCCAAAGTGCTGGGATTACAGGTGTGAGCCACCATGCCTGGCCCAGACAATACTCTTTATGTAGAGCTTCGCAATGTATATTTGCAGTTGGTGTACAAGATAGTACTTGTTTGGGAGAAAATCCTCGAAGAAGCAAACATGCAGACTTTCTTCATGTGTAGTATTCATTATCGAATAAATGAAATACCTTGGGCATTTTAAAACATCTGTAAAAGTTGAGAATACAATGAAAAAACCTTACTTTTCAAGGCAATAGCATACTACTTCAAGGATTTCCTTCTCTATTACTTCTATACCCTCAACATATTTCATTAAAAAATGCCATGTAGAAGAAAGCACACATTTGTGCTACCGGAAACTGAATAATGTATATATTCTACTTTGTTACCTGCTGGTAATTTTTCCCCCTTATTACTTGACTCTGGTTGTTTGATTTTTTTTTAAACTATGGTTAATTATTGCCTTTCACAAGAATTCTTTGTTGTTGTCATCTGAAAGTGTATTTAAACAACTGCAAACCTAAATAAAATATAAGCATTATAGAAATAACATGAAGCAAATTTTAAAATAATCAATTTAGGTGTCTCTTTGAAGAACACAGAAAACAGAAACTACCTCAAGAAGACCCATTATCCCTTGTGGGATCAGCATTTAAAAGTGTAAGGGGTGCAAGAATACTGAAGAATGTTCTATCATCTCTCACAATTTACAATCTGGCTAGTAAGCCAAACATACCTTCCAGGGCCAGTCATATTATTTACTCTACAATCCAGTCCCCAAATAAATGACATAGACATGCTGTTGTATATCAGATCCCTGTGGGAGGGGTGTGATCAGGAGTGGTGGAATGGTGGAGTCAAAAAGTTCTGGCTTAGCTAGATTTTGAAAGTCATGAAGGTAGTGGACAGAAAGAACAGGAATGAATTAATTAGCAAAGACAGAGTAGGCAACAGCACTTAGATATGATAGAATTGAAGCTGGGAGCAGCAGAGGAACAGGGTGGATACGTAAGAACCCTGGATAAAACTTTGAAGGCAGCATATTTTGTGGCACTTGACCAGCCCTTTCAATGCTTCTTCTTAGGTACCTTCTTTATTCATTCTCTTTTTCATCTTCCACACAGGCAGCGAGACTCTGACCTATTTTGGAGAGCCATTAAACTGTTAGCTGCATCCTACTACAGGACCCTTGAAGGCTGAGAAAGTCTTATAGGTTCAAAGAAAAGATTTTCTAGTAGTGAAATTTCAAGCCATAGAGATATTAATATCACTGTTCTAACTCCCCTGACATTTGGCAGTACATAGATGAGACTCAGGAGAATATTATGATGGTTCTGGAAAGCTAGTCTGGATTTTGGATTTGATCTTGGGGATATTAGTAAACCATTAGAAGATGTCTTGGAATTGTAAATCTAGAGCAATGCGCTAGAAAGGAGATAGGAAAGAATGAAGGCAGGAAAATCAGTGTGCTATTTTAGTAGTCTATGACTTATGTGTAAATGCCTGGACAAAAACTAGGCACTATTTCATCTCCAGAGCATTCTTCATTCCAAATTCTCCAAAAGTTATGGTTTCCTGTAGCTATCAATGACAATGCACTTAATTACCTTGTAATTCGAATGCTTCCATTAGGAATTTTACTATGCTCTGGATTTTAATTTCAAATGAAAAATAATTCCTTCCTTAAAATATTTTGTCTACGCAAAATATTCTTTTCAATCACGTTAAGATTTTAAAAAGTGTTCTAACTTGTTCTTCAGAGCATAGCCAAGTACAATAAAATATTGGAAGCCTTACTTATATGTATAGTTCAGATGTAACATTTAGGGGAACAATGCTGCTTGATAGGTCTGTCACATTGTGTCTGGTTTTGGATAGAATTTGAGTATTTTTGCTAATGAGAATTTAAACATAACAAAACGGAATGCCAAAGCTGGCTTTAAAAAGTTTTGAACCCTGACATCATTTGTTTCTTGTATCATGCTGTCTCACCAAAATCCAAGCAACTATCTCCACATTGTCCCAATTGTTTCCTCTATTCTCCCTCACCAAAGTCCAACTTCAATGTGAAATTTCCAGATTAAATATCCTTTCACAATTCATTTTCATTCATAACATAAACACGATAAATAACTTTAAGTATGAAAGTAGCACTCCAGGAAGCTTAGTCTTTTGCAGTTTTTACATTTTGGCAACACCAATCAAGCACCTCTTTCCGTCCTTACCCCAATTCCTTGGACACTAAAGAGTCTATATTCAGGCGACTCTTTCAAGTGTATGTTTCAGGGTGCCCAAGCAGACACTTGTTTTCTCGCGGGGGATGTTTTGTGAGACTTGGCCTCCCCACTTACGTTCTATTTTTAGGTGAGGGAGGAGGAGGAGGAGAGGAGGAAAGATTATTAACAAACTAATCTTGCCCATTCCGCGGGCAGTAGTCGGGGGCTGGCCTGCTCCGCGTCGCGCCGGGCGCGCCCCGCCCTACCGCGCCCCGCGCGGCCCCGGCCGGAAGGGGGCGTGGGCCGCCGCCGAGGGAAGGCGCGCAGACGCGCAGCGGCCGGCCTGCTCCGGGCGCGTCAGGCAGGGGGTGGGGAGCAGGGGCCGGGCGGGCGCTCGGCTCCCAGCCGCGCTCCCTCGGGCCACTAGCGCTCCCGCGCGCGCCCGGCCGCCTTCATGTGAAGCGCCGGCCCTCCGCCCCTTCCCTCCCCTTCCTTCCCTCCCTCCCTCCCTGTCCCCTCCTCCTCCTCCTCCTCCTCCGGCGCCCGCTTCAGCTCCCCGGGGCCCCCTGCCCGGCCGGGCGCTGACAGCAAGGGCGGGGGTCCCTGCCGCCGCCTTGTCTCGCGCAGGGTCCGGCTGGGGTAGCGGAGCCCCCAGTGCGGCCATGGACCGGCCCCTGTCGTCGTCGGCGGAGGCGGAGGAGGAACTGGAGTGGCAAGTGGCGAGTCGCAGGAGGAAGGCCTGGGCCAAGTGCCGCAGCTCCTGGCAAGCGTCGGAGACGGAGGATCTGTCCACAGAAGCGACGACGCAGGACGAGGAGGAGGACGAGGAGGAGGACCTCCCCGGCGCGCAGCTGCCGGCAGCGGGGGGAAGAGGTCGGTGCTCCCGGCCGGGCTCCGGGGGGAGGCTGGTGGGCTGGGGAGAGTCTCGTGCGCCCTGGGCGCCTGCCACGAGTTCTGGGAGAGCCTCGGGCACGGTAGGCCGAGGGGAGAGGGGACACTTCCGACCTTCAAACGCGCGCGCTGAACGAGGCGCCCCCAGCGTCAACACAGACAACTGGGTGCCATCCGATTTCCCTGCCAAGGGACACTGAGACGTGTCGCTTAGGCTGCATTTGCCGTGGTAGATTTTCCTACTTGGGAGGGTCCAGGGTGACTCCGCCGTCGTAGTGCTCCTGGGTGGTAACGTGCTGTCCCCTCTCTCTACCCCCAGGAAACGTGCCCAACGAGAAGATCGCGATATGGCTCAAGGACTGCCGGTGAGTGCTCCCTGGTCCGCCCGCGTCCCGGGGGAGATCCGTGCGGACGGGACGCCGGAGCAGAGCCACTCGGGCCGCGTCCCTGTGGGTCCCGCGACCGTTGTAAGCTACAAACCGGAAAGTGAGCCGGCGGATAGCTTCCTCCTCTAAGCGATTAGAAATGGAAGTGCTGTGACCGCTGATTATTTGGTGACCGTGTTGACTTTACAGTTAGGACTTGAGCTACTCACGCATCGTGTTAGCATCAGAGATCAGAAATCCAGAACAGATAATCATGCCATATTTGTTCTGTTTTTATTTGAAAGAATTCTCACATCTCGAACAGGATATTTTGTTTTGCTTTAGTTTTGGCATCTGTACAACTGGCACGGAATCATTTTCCTTTCAAATGTGTTTTAGACGAGTTTAATTTACCTAACTACACTAAATGGGCTTTAATTTTGTTTCTGTTTGGGGAGCTATTAAAACTAGCTAACTTTGTACTTATAGTTTACTTCTTGAACATGGAATTGTCAGATGGCACTGGAATTCTCAGGGAATAGAACTTTTAAAAGCATTCAGACTGCATAAATCTGTTTAATTACATGCTTTGGCAACTGGTACAAAAATGTTTGATAAAATACAGAGGAGATGAATCATGTTGCACGTAAATCTGACTACAGCAAAATGTACTTGTTTCTTATTCCACTTTGCTAGTTGTAAAATCAGGAATGTAGCCTTTAAACTTTTGTTGGTGTTTGCTTTCGAGCATATTTTTGCTTTCTCAATTTAGATTTTCTTAATATTTTGTTCAAATATTAGAGTTAGGGTAGTTTGTTTTGTTTTGTTGTGGAAAGTGATTCATATGCCAGTTTGCCTCCTCTAAAGACAGACAAGATATTGGCTACCATGATATTAATGCCTTGTTTTGATGAATCGACTGGAACCTTATTGAACACTCTTTATTACAGAACTCGTACCCTTTATTGGAAGTGTCATAGACCCTTCTGAAATATGATGACATATATGGAATAACTTCTGTTTAAAGATGCACAGAGGCAAATACACTGCTTGAAGTCCTTGGACCCCAGATTTACAATCTAGCTGTAAATCAATCTCCCAGTTTTCAGATAAGCCTTAGATATTAGATACTTCACTCAAAGTATGGATCAAGAAATTGTATTAATGTGCTATTGGTTCATTTAATTGTTAAATACTAAAATAGTCTATAATGTAAAAGCTTGAAATTTTGAATGTACATGTTCAAGACCTTTTGGGTGAGATCTGATAAAACTAGTATCTTTCAGGTTTCCACTTAGAAATGTGTTTGAGAAGTTGTTTTGTAACTTTTACTTAAGTCCTTTAAAGCCTCCAATCTGACTCTTTATTTAAATACAGTCCTAAGTACAGTATTGGCTTACTTTAGGTTTCTTAAAATAGGCTTAGCATTACAAATACATTTATAATGTTTTATTGTTTAAATTCAAGTGCATATTCAAAAGAATTTTAAAAATTAAGAACAAGAGAAGAATCACACTATAGTTTAATGACATATAGGATTTAAGATTGTATAAGAGATCCTATCAATTAGACAGTAAATAAGTGCATCTTTTTTGAGACAAATGCAGTAGGCAAATGTTGACATTCACCAGGGCACAGTCAATCCCTGACAATTTCAGAAGTTTTGTTGCCAATACTGATTTATGTGGGCAGATTCTGTAGTCTGCTGCTCCTTCTCTCATGGATTACCTTCTTGTTCCTACAGTTGCACCTATTCTACACAAGAGTGGCATTCATTTGTATCCAGGAAAGCTAGAACAAGTAGTCTTTTAATCTTGGCTATATTATCACAGATTCGACTTAGGATATGTTGCATCTGTATTTTTGTTTTAAATAACAACTCAAGTTCCTTCTCAGAGTTGGGCATCTATGTATTTTGTTTATTATGTACAAATGACCTGAAGACAGCATTTTACCCACTTGATAAGTTCTCAAATAGTCTTTGTTTCTTAGTGCCGTCCATATCCTGAATAAAGATACCGTGTTTTCTTTCCTTAAAGGGAGTCTTTATTTTGATAACCATTTGTGGGGGGACTAAGTAAAAACTGCTTGAATTAACATTTAAGAAATGGTAGAGATTTTGATAGAATTTGGAAGGGAGCAACTATAAAAGTAAGATATTTGTTTTCGAAGGAGGATTCCTGTTACTCTGCTTATCTACCATTTTCTGTTAGTGCATAGACCAGTAGAGACATCTGTGGACAGAGTAATACAATGTTTACATCCAAGAAAGTAGCCATCAGGGAAGGATGACTTTTTAAAGACATACATTAGAATTTTATTAAAATATATGCAAAAAATAGATTAAAGCTTTTATTAATATATTTATGGTAATTGCTTGTGATTCTTTTACGTTTCAAAAGCACTAAGTTTTAAAGAGCTGCCATTGTTAGTATACTTGTAGAAAGTTTTAACCTTTAATTGGCATTTCAGTAACATTTCCTTGAAACTGATATTTTCATGATTGATCCCATGTCTCGTGAATTTTTAACAGCTATAAATTGTTACTGAAGAAAGGTGTGCATCACAAAACAGACCCTCCAATATAAAACAATGTGTTTCTTACTATAACTTGGTTTCAGAGAATTAAAAGTGTTTATTTTTGTATTTGAAAAAAAGATATTTCTCTCATCTGTATTTGAACTACAAGAATGAAAAAATTTTAGCAATGGCTAATCTTAATGTTGATTCTCAAGTCAACTTTTTAGTAATTTTCAAAGTTAAATGAAGAATATATATATTTTTTAGCTTAAAAACAAAGCGAATCTCAAGCTTCTACATTTACATAAAAAGATAGTTGTTGGGGCAAGGGGGAGGCATTAGGTGATGCTCTGAAATGCTAGTGATAGATTAACAGATGAGGTTTAAGGAAACTATTGGGCCTCATTTCCAACTACTCTTCACTTTTTAATTTTATTAAGGTTAAGTTACCTATGACTGAAGATTTGTTTTCTTCTAATTCTGTTTTCTTTTTTGATGGAAGGGGTTGAGAAGAACAGACATTTTCTTAATGCTTATTGTCAGTCATTCTCTCTTTTTTGCAAAGAAAAATGCCAATTCAAATCATTTGTCATTGCCATTTTTGCCCCTAATTGTTAGCACATCAGACATGATTAAATCATTCCTGCTGAACTGACCTGATGGCAGGTATTTGCTTAGTTAGTGAATATTACTTATGTAATCTACTTGCATTCCTTGTGTGTTTTTGGAGGAGAGTTTAACTGTGATTAGAAGCTTATTGAGCTGTAACTCTTTAAGTAAGGCTGTGTAATGACAACTTTCCAAATAGCCTTTCACAAGACTAAGGCTTATACGTTTATATGGTTTCAGTACACCTTTGGGAGCCTCACTGGATGAACAAAGCAGTAGTACACTCAAGGGTAAGAGAAGGTTGCCTTTCTAAATCTGTTCTTTATGACAGTTCTACTTCTTTGTCCTCTGGGTAAAAGTGTATATATGACTTATAAAAGTGATATTCATGTTTATAGTATATGCTATTCTGAGCTAGAAGCAAAATGGAGAAACTTTGTTATAAACCGTAAAACAGTAGGGAGTTTAAGCAAATTGCCTAGCCTTTTCACAACGTGAAACTTATATCTTTATTGTCCAGTTAGGTATTATAAAGACTAATTAAATATGAATATATAATATGCAAATATAAGGAAAATACTTATTGAGTGAACAAAAGTTTAGTCAACTTTCGTGCAGCATTTCTTTGCTTACATTTACTGAAATTGCCACACCTAAAATTTTACCACCTGTTCAAGACAGAATTCTAAAGTTCAAAGTACAACAAGCATGTGCAGGCAGTGGCAAGGCATATAAAAAAACATTTACAGTGTCAGGAAAATCCAGCTCCTGACTTAATATGAGATGGATAAGAAGAATATTTGCTCCAGGATCTGGTTTTCCATGAAACTCTTGGTATGTAGTCTGATTGAACATCTTCAAAAATATAAGTTTAAAACAGCCTATAGGTTGGCTTCTGAGAACTTTATGTTGCTGGAAAAGTGGTTTCTTTACGTTAAAGTAAAAGCTTATACCTGCTTCTTGAAGTTATATAATCAGAATAATGTCTGAGTACATTCAAGTCTGAAAGATTTTACTGTATAAGATATTTTGCTGGGTGAATTTAACTAAAACAGTGATTTTATATGAGGGTGGAGAGGAACAGAACACCAGGATGAGTTTTCAAATGTGTCTTTCAGGTGTGCTTGTGAGAAATGGAGGAAGTTTTGAAGATGATTTGTCATTGGGAGCTGAAGGTATGTTTGTTTGGAAGAACTGTATTTTTGTGTAGTTTTCAAATTTAAAAAAAATGAGAAAGCTGAATGGTTTCAGGTTTATGATCCTCAAGCTAAATTTAAAGGTCTTGAAAATGGCTCAGGCATATTTTACATTACCTTTCTTTGTTAATAATCTAGTCATAGTCTGTAGGATACATGTAGGGATGACTCTGAAAAACTATGTGAAGTGTCCATCTGTCTTTCTTGGACTAAATGCTTAAAGGAACAGTTTGTAACAAACCGTGGTAATATAACTGAGGGAAGAATTGTCCTGAAAAAGGAAGGACACTTAAATATTTATACATGGGAAAACAAAATTGAAGCTTATTTTTAGCGCAAAATAGACTTATGTCATACTTACAGCTGCAGCTTGTCTTTCTCTTTGCATTTAAGTGTCTCCTGTCTTTTCCCCATTTTCCTGATTTTTAGAAAATTAAAGGGGAAAGACAAAATAGCAGAGCTAATAGAATTTTATTAGAAATCATGCTGGTGTTTATTCCAGAAAGCATTAGATTTTAAAAAGTGTGTTGTGCTATTTAAAAGTTTTTACAAGTTATGTAATGTTTTCCAGTAGATTTATAATAAAGCTTTCTTGTACAAAAAATAAGAATTTTTAATTATTTTACTGGTGTTTTAAAAGCTATTTTATAGCTCATTGATCAAATTGCATAGATTATTCATAGCTGTATAGCTCAGTTATTAATGTGTACTTTTTTAAAAAAAACAAGGATTTTTAAAAAGTCTTTAAAGCTTACAAGTTGGTGAATAGTGAATTTATACATTGAATTTAATATTCTTGATTTTTTCCTGTTTCAAATGCATCTGTAAAGTAAATTACTTATTTAGAACCTTCTAACATTTAAAACTCTGGAATATGCAAATATATTAGTTCTTATTATTTCTGTTCATATATTTTCAAGCTCTATAAAGAGCTTAAACTTACTGATTCCCACTCAGTACAATTG
This sequence comes from Homo sapiens, assembly GCF_000001405.40. Lineage (NCBI taxonomy): Eukaryota > Metazoa > Chordata > Mammalia > Primates > Hominidae > Homo > Homo sapiens. Next base: position 181,897,951 of record NC_000002.12, read on the forward strand.
AACATGTTGTCAATCCGTTATTAAAATGCACTTTGCACTTTTGATATTTGCCTTGGTAGTTTGATAATATTGAATGATTTTATTGGAAACCAGAACCTAAAAAGGAGTCTCATGAAAGAGTAAATCTATTATGTTGTTTTACTGAAAATTATTTCAAGGCTATTTCCATTCATTAAGTAAATAATTACTGAGTGCTGTGAGTTAGGCACCTTTCTGGTGGATGTACAAAGAAACACAAAATTGTCATAACTTTGTAGATCAGAAATGAAAAGCAATTCATGTGTGCTGAAATAGATGTGTTTATAATTAATTTTATTCTTTGTATTTGTCTATAAATTTAACTTTAAACATTAACACTTACCTGTTTAGAACTTTAAGCTAAAGTTCTATCATAAAGTTGAAAGGCAATTTTTAAAAGAAAGTTTATATTGAAATAAGTAGAAATTTTCATGTTATATGTGTGAAAAATCAGTTATAACCTTAAAAAAAATTCACATTAGAAACTGACATATACTATTGCCACACTTAATGTTAAATCATGTTTTCCTCTTAAGATATTATTCATTAATAGCTTTTAAATTTAATAATTAGTACCACATATATGGTACATATCTTCCTCATTACTTATTTCTAACCTGTTAAAGAAATTTAACTGGTTCCCTATACGTTTTTTTATTTTAAGCACTCAAGTGAGAGTAGTTAGTTTCATGTTGCCACAACACAAAAACACCCTTCAAAAGCTCCTGGCCCTGTTCTTATCTATCTGTATATCACTTTTAATAATGCAGATTTAATGGACCAAGATAAGTGTTTAATATATTTGGCATTTAATTCTAATATTGTAGGTAATTAGATTTCTTGATAATTGTATCATAGTAGTTATAGTCCTACTAACAATTGTGCTCTACGTTTATTGTTTTTACCTGTAGCCAACCACCTCCATGAAAGTGATGCTCAAATTGAAAACTGGTATGTAGCTGTTTTGTTCTATTTCTTTTAAAAAATGAAGACCTTTAATGAAAATAAAGTTATAAAGTTTTATATAATCTGATTTTGTTCGTAGCAATAATATCTTGGCCAAAGAGAGAAGATTACAGTTTCATCAGAAAGGGAGAAGTATGAATTCCACTGGATCTGGGAAAAGTAGTGGGACAGTTTCAAGGTAACTTATTCTGAAATTGTGTTGGAATTACATTGTGCTATAGATGACCTACTCTTATCATTTTTTCAATCTTGGATTTGACCTTGATCATATGAAATCAGAAAGAACACAAAAAGAGCGTTTCCTGTACCAGCACAACTGATAGGAGCTTTTTGTTTTGTTTTGTTTTGTTTTGTTTTACTTTGAGATTAAATAAAATGCAATAAATAGGCTTATACTGCTGCTGGAACCCATAAATGAGTATTTTGAGCCCTCTCAACAGCCTGAAAGAGGAACTCCATAGCGGAGTAACTTGTAGTTGTAGAGAACCAAAATTCATTGTTAAGGACTTGAGTTAACTCTGACACAAAAATCAGAATAAATTTTTCTAAGTTACAGCTTGATATTTAAGCATACTTTTTTTCAACACATTAAACCAAAGATCTTTCAAATATATAGTATAGCCAGGCCCAGTGGCTGACACCGGTAATCCCAGTGCTTTGGAGTGTCAAAGTGGGTGGATTACTTGAGCTTAGGAATTCAAGACCAGCCTGAGCAATATGGGGAAACGGCGAAACCCTGTCTTTACAAAAAATGCAAAAATTAGCTGGGTATGGTGGGATCCACCTGTAGTCACAACCACTTGGAAGGCTGAAGTGGTACCCAGGAGGTTGAGGCTGCAGTGAGCTATAATTGTGCCACTCCATTTCAACTTGGCTGACAGAGTGAGACGCTGTCTCAAAAAAGCCAAACAGAAAAATACCCTTGCCCCTCTCCCGCCCGCACATATAGTATATTAAAATACATCAGTGCATGTGCCTATGGAATCCAGTTTAAACTGTTATCCAAATTATAATATTAGAATCTGAGCATTTTGTCTGAAACAAATTGAAATGTCTCTCTGTTGAAGTTCCATCTCTAACTTTCCTGTTTTCTTCAGTGAGTCTTAGAAAGCTTGGATTATCACTGGTATGAGAGAGAAGGGATACTAAATATTTAATTCCCAATAGGATTAGAGTAGTTACCTTTGTGTAACCCACACTCTCTGTACCTTACTCCTCCTACTTCCTGAGTGGAAGTGGTTGGAGAGAAGTTGAAAGTAAGCTCCTCCCTCGCTTCTCTGAAATCAGCTTGTTATCTTTATTGTTCCTCCTAGGACAATTGCCACTCCTAGGACAAGGATAACAGAAAAGCTCAAATTTCACAAAATGTCCCTCAGTTCCTTTTAATTTCTGCTTTAATCTGTTCATTCCTTATTCTTCATCATCTGTCTTCTACTTGTTTTAGCTGCTTTACAGGGAATCTCTTAAAATGACAAAACAAATAAGGTGAGGAATCACGTAGGGAATCTCTGACTGTGTTCGTTGGGGTTAGCTCTTTTCTGCAACTCTAGCAACTTGAGACAATGAACCCTTTATAAGGGCTATTTATTCCCCAGTACACATGTGTAAACATGGTAAAATAAATAATGGTTTCCAGAGCAGAAGCTGAGAAAAAAGATTTTATCACAGGAAATCAGTAATATGTATTCATTTATAATGTGGTGTGGACTATCAATTTATTTTATATTTTCATGTTTCCTTTTTTGCCCCCTTTTTTTGTAGTGTTTCAGAATTGTTGGAACTTTATGAGGAAGATCCTGAAGAAATTCTTTATAATCTTGGATTTGGACGTGATGAACCAGATATTGCTTCTAAAATTCCTTCCAGATTTTTTAATTCATCATCCTTTGCCAAAGGGATAGATATTAAAGTATTTTTGAGTGCTCAGATGCAACGGATGGAAGTAGAAAACCCAAATTATGCTTTAACAAGTAAGATTTTTAAGTGTTAGGCATATTATTTTCTTAAATTATAGCATCTACAGCAAGATGGTCTTATTTTAAAGCCTTAATTTTCAGGAATAGCACTGGAAAGTAAAGAGATTGATTAACGCAAAAGCCATTTTTACATGTTAAAATTAAGCTATTTTATTACTCCATTTATAGTGGTTAATTTGCCTATTTTTCCCCTCCTCCCCAATTCCTGACTTAAGTGCTACCATAACTTATTTGCAGAACCTTATTGTTGTCTACAGATTGCTTTTATTCAAGAAGAAAAGAAGTAGGAGAGGAGCCTTGTTAATCTTAAATGAAGTCAGTCTGTTTCAGGAACTAGTCTGGCTAATTTGATCAGTTTCACTCATATCTTTGCTTGTTTTCTTTCTGTTAGCCAAAGATTCCAAAAATAGGATTCCAATCCTGCATTGTTCATGGATCAGTTTTAAGAGATCAATAAATCCCTCACCCTGCAAATTAGGTATAAAATATATGCTTACATGCATTTTCTTAGGAGAATTTTGAAAGAGTCTTAATGGAGTTCAAGACTTCAGAATAGAATCACAACTGTAGATTCAATAGCTAGTTCTTTCTGTTTTATTCAATGTTGCCATTATGCTTTGTGCTTATTTCTGATTTTTTAAAAATACAAATTCTAGTGCTTAGAGTAAAAATCTTGCTCCTTCCCACCCAGTGAATGTAGAGAAGGTTTAAGTGTTAGATGAGGAAAAAATAGGGTTTTATAATCTTTGTGATCTAAGTGTAGTTTTTGGAATTCTAAACAATAATATGCATTTAATATATGTGTATGTATATATATAAATATAAACATATCATTAATATTGTTTCTTTTGGTAGGCCGTTTTCGTCAAATTGAAGTGCTTACTACTGTGGCCAATGCGTTTTCTTCTTTATATTCTCAAGTCTCCGGGACGCCCCTGCAGAGAATTGGAAGTATGTCCTCAGTGACCTCTAACAAGGAGACAGACCCACCTCCACCTTTAACTCGAAGTAACACTGCAAATCGTTTAATGAAAACACTCTCAAAACTGAATTTATGTGTTGATAAAACAGAGAAAGGAGAAAGTAGTAGTCCTTCTCCATCAGCTGAAAAAGGAAAGATTCTAAATGTTTCAGTGATTGAAGAAAGTGGCAATAAAAACGATCAAAAGTCTCAAAAAATTATGAAGAAGAAAGAGTCATCTTCTATGTTGGCTACAGTTAAAGAAGAAGTCTCTGGTAGTTCAGCAGCTGTTACGGAGAATGCTGATAGTGATAGAATTTCTGATGAAGCAAATAGTAATTTTAACCAAGGAACTGAAAATGAACAAAGTAAAGAAACTCAAAGTCATGAGAGTAAACTGGGTGAGGAATCTGGTATTGTAGAATCCAAATTAGATAGTGATTTCAACATATCCAGCCACAGTGAGCTGGAAAATAGCAGTGAGCTGAAAAGTGTCCATATATCCACACCTGAAAAAGAGCCTTGTGCACCACTGACAATACCATCCATAAGAAATATAATGACACAGCAGAAGGACTCCTTCGAAATGGAAGAGGTAGGTAAAAAATTACTGAGACTGGTTTCAAGTTGCAGACTAGGAAAAAAAGTACCAAAAATGCTTATAAAATGAGAGGTAGCTAATAGATTTATACTAGAAAAATTTATTCTAATTTTGACTTTCCAGGTTTATGTTTCACAAACCAAGAATTGGTCTCAGGATAATGTGATGTCGAGGTAATGGGACAGTTCAGTAACTCCTCCAGATCTTTATCCACTAGTTGATATTTGAACCTTAACCCTCTTTTCTCTCTCAAGGGTAAGATTTTGATGCTCAAGAAAGCCCTGAGAGAGTATATTTAAATTCAAAGCAATATTGCATAATAGTTAGAAACACAGGCTTTGAAATCAAACAGGGCTTTGAGTTTTGTCTGCCACTGAATGACTGTATGCCTTTGGGCAAGCTTTTCTTAACATATCTCAGTGGTAAGGATATGTGAAGGCGGCTTTGGGGATAGTTCTTGTTATATGACTGGAAAGAACATGAAGATATTACGTACCTGCATGGGGAGGATAGGGACCCTAGAATTAGCAGGTTTGAAAGGCCACTGAATAGGGTTTCTGCAAGCCCAAAAGACCAATGTTTGGTTACTTGTTATTTGTGTCCAGTAATATACCTGATAGTTAACATAAATTTTTAATTGGAAAAGATAAAAGATACTTATTTTGAATGAGGTTCAGCTAAAACTGCTTCTGAATAGTAGGAGCTGAATAGCTTGGGGCAGGAAAACTGATTTTACCAAGCATCTACCCTGTGCTGGGCACTGTTCTTGGCTCTTGAAGTACTTCATTGCAGTCTGTGAGGCACATGGTAGTGGTCTCATTTTATACATGAGGAAACTGAGGCATATGTATGCTAATGAAGAGTTGTGGCTATAAATTATATAATGCGCAATTTGTCTTTTGTAATTTATTACATTAGATGCGTTTTAGTAATAGTTCACAGTAGTTTTAACATCACACACCATTATTTTAGGGAATTAGAAAATGAAATAATTGATTCAGCTCATAAATGTCCTCTTAGGTGAGTGTCTCTCTCTCTTGCTCCCTCCCTCCCTCCCTCAGATTAGTGAAGATTTTTCATTTATTGTAAAATTTCAGTTGCTGATACAGATTTTTGCCTTTTTGTGGTCTGTTAATACTTTAATTACAACTGAATAGTGAAATAAAAAGGGAGTAGGAGCAGCACCTTGGAATATTTTACATTTTGAGCTTTTTTTCTTTTATTTCTTTGTATATGTTTATATTTCTTCTATCTTTTTACCTCCTGGTATAATTTATTTCTCATCGTAATGAGTATGGAAGATGACTGTGATGACTACATTAAAACCTCTGTTTGTTCTTTTTCACTCTGATAACTTTTTGACTTTGTTTTGGTCTAAACTTGTTCCAGCACTCATAATTAAAGTGTAAATTTTTGCCTACCATTAGGGCCCTCTTCTATGACAATTAGATATGGCAGTTAATTTCCTTGTTTAATACAATAGCAGAGCATAAAGATCTAAACAAATTATGTTAGGTAATTGCAAATCTGATATTGGCGACTCCGAGTGAACAACACTCATATTTTCAAGTAAGTCACTCTTCAAAGAAGTCAAGGAAGTTTATTTTTAATTTCTAAAATTCCTGAATTCTAAGCTGTAGTTTTTAAAATTTTTTAAGATGCCATACACAAAAGGTTTTTTAAACACTTATAAAGTGCTAGATGTACTTTTGTGGCAAGTTAACCTTTAATGATAGTCTGGGGGTTTTTTGCCCCCTCTACTGGCAAAAAAGGTTAATGAAGAAAGCAATGTAGCATTGACGTGAACATTTTTTTGAAGTACAAGATTACATGCATTGGTGGAAGAATAATGGGAGATTTTTTTTTTAAATGAATTTATGGTCGACCACAGCTACATTGTAAATATGGGGAATTTTAAAGAAAATAATGTATCTTCAGATATATTTAAAATATGGATAAAAACCTCCTGGAAGTGTGTTTTCATCCCTAAGGGAACATTAAAGAGAGCTTGTAGAACAATGGATAAAGGAAATAATGTGTTAACTTTAATTTCCTCTTCTCCCAAACACTTGAATCATATTGACAAATGAAGAGAACAATCTTATTGAAACTGACTTTTAGATCCTATTCAGTGTAGTTTGTTGCTATTTTTCTTTTGGACCTCTTTCCATGAGGTTTGATTCTTGCTGGGAATTTTCTTCTTGTGAAAACCATGAGTAAATATAAGTTAGAGCTCCCTCTGTCTCAGTAAATCAGTTCTCAGAAACATTATCTGAGCATGAGCTGCTTTAGGAAGCTAGGAAGGAGAAAATGTTGCAGATATGTTGACTGCATGAAGCTGCCTAATCCATCTGAGACAAGAGGTAAGATCCAACAGTCACCAGAAGCAAAGAGACAAAATACTTAAATGTAAAGAGAGCTAAATAGATGATGAGACTGCTCCTGGCCTGGTACAATGAAGTGTCTGTTTCTTATGTTAGAAAAGGAAAAGGCCAGAGACTTTCAGTTAAAAGTCAACTTGCCTTATAAAGTGTCTTGTAGACTGTTTAAAATAGTTATGAATGTTTATAACGATGTTTTTTCTTTTTTTTTTTTTTTTGAGACGGAGTCGCGCATTGTCACCCGGGAGTGCAGTGGTGCAATCTTGGCTAACTGCAACGTCTGCCTCCTGGGTTCATGTAATTCTCCTGCCTCAGCTTCCTGAGTAGCTGGGATTACAGGCACATACCACCACAGCCAGCTAATTTTTTGTATTTTTAGTAGAGATGGGGTTTCACTACGTTGGCCAGGCTGGTCTCAAACTCCTGACCTCGTGATCTGACCACCTCGGCCTCCCAAAATGCTGGGATTACAGGTGTGAGCCACCACACCCAGCCTATAACTATTTATAAAAAGTTATTAAATCCTGTTCTTGAATTTCTAATTATTCCAAATGACTTGCTTCATTAATTCTTGTGTTCTTCTTGAATGGCTTATTTTGAATACGTCATGGTAACTCTCTGAAGCCATAGATTAGTAGTGTGAATGATTCACAAGTTAAACCAAAATGATCCTTCTCAAGCAGATGTTCATCTTTTAGATGTAAAGGAAAAACTTAAGAAGGAGAACTTTTATCTCAGCATTTCTGTAAGAAGTTGACTGTGTGGTCTTCTTGACCTTTAAATGAATTTTTATTTAAATATAACCATTATTGGATATACACATAATCTTTTTTAAGCTACTGATGTGTTAGTAACTGTTTCTAATCCTGTCTTCATACTAATTATTGATTTAACTAATGTACTTGACTTCTCATTTTTAGCTGTTAAGTTTTAGGATTTTTCTATGTTTATTGGTCTGAGTTAAAATAATCCCACATCAGTCAGATATTTGACAGATAATTAAGTTGTTCCTTTGGCCTTTTAAATGTAACTGTGTATGTTTTGAAGATAAGCCTGCCCTGGAATATGAACTCTAACATATGACATGCACAGATATCTGCTACTCTAAAGCCCAATTAACCACTGTTTTGTTATTTGATATTTACCTAAAAGACCTTAGTCAATTTTTATTGAAAATTTACCTGACAGTAAAAATAAATGATATTTTTGTGTGTATGTGTAAAACTCGATAGTATTTGTTTAAGATAAACATTTGCAAGTAATTTATAGAATCATAAACTAGTACGGAAAGAGATACTTTATTCATTTTCTAGTTTCTTCCCTTTACAAATGAGGAAGCATCCCCTCCCTCATTTGATATTGTTTTATAGCAGTGGTTCTTCACCATCTTTCTGAGGGCTATAATATTCCTTTTGATATCAGTGCTTCACAGGGGGAAGGAGCACAGCGGGTGTCAGTGGAGGATGGCAGAGGAGGATCTCCTGTTGTACATTCTTACTACTTTACTGTTTGAAAGTACTTTGACTTACAGTTACATTTGATCACCCCAAGGACCTATGAGGTAGAAATTTTAATTTTAATTTTGCTGTTAATTTTAATTTTGAGGCTGAGCATGGTGATTCACACCTGTAATCCCAGCACTGTGTGGAGGCTGAGGCAGGAGGATCACTTGAGCCCAGAAGTTAGAGACCAGCCTGGACAACATAGCATGACTTGTCTCTACAAATAGTTTTAAAATTAGCCGTGCATGGTGGTGCATGTCTGTAGTCCCACTTCTCCAAAGGCTGAGGTGGGAGAATCACTTGAGCCCAGGCAGTTGAGGCTGCAGTGAGCCATGATTCCACCACTGCACTCCAGCCTGGGCAACAGAACGAGACCTTGTTTCAAAAAAATGAAATAAAAAAAAAAAATACGGATATTTATCGCAGATAATTGTCAGAGGCCGTTAGCCAGTAAGTGGCATGAATAAGACTTGAATTCACGTTACTTGTGACTATACTATACAACTTGGTGAAGGTCAGATATGTTGGTATGGTCAGGCATTGTACAAGAACTAATCATCTGATGCACAGCACCATGCTACTACTTTGGAAAAAGAATGATTTCCTCTGACATTTTTTTGAGCTGTCATTAAAAATTAGACAGAATTGTAATTTCTAAAGCTCTAGTTTTGATTTTCTTTGAAAACCATTTTGATATACAATGTTTATTCAATGATGACAGCTATACAGTCTCTTTTTAAACTTTAGAGGAAGGGTTATTTGAGTTAGAACATCCATGTATTGCTGTCCTGTGCAATACAATACAGTAGTATTGTGCCTAGAAGATCCCTCTTAGTCAAGGTAAACATGACAGCTGTTAAGAAACCAAAGTGGTTCACTGAAACAAAAAGTACATTTTTTAAACAAGAGAAAGAAACCAAAGTGAGTGCCTGTCATTTTAGCAGAACATTGATTTAGAAAGATACAGTCATTGTTTCATGAAAACTTTTTTAAATGAAGTAACCCAAATGTGTGGGTTATTCTAAAGCTGTTTTTCATCTTTGAATCCCAAAACATTGAGACCATGCAATTTTATCACTTTGGTTTAGTGGTTTTTTTTTTTTTTTATATTATGAAACAGTTTTGTTATGAAAAGTTTCAAACTTACTTGAAGATTAGAGAAAATAATATCATGAACACCCATTACTCATCATTCTAATTCAGTTTTATTTGGCTATTCTTGTTAATTATGAAAGGCTGCTTATAGCAAATGACCAGAATTCTACGGAGCATTTGAAACCACTGAATAGGGAAAATCTTGTCACATAAATCTAAATTCTGTGTTCTATATTTGCTTCATAATTCTCTGTGGTGTACCCCATCTCAAATTTGACTGCCGCCTTTTGCACAATTGTGACCAATAATAAAATAAGAAATTCACCCATTATCACTAGCATGTATGTTTCTCTCTTCAGCAAGTGGGTACTCTGATTTTGCTGAGTAAACAAGAAGAATCCCAACTTTAGTTTTATTAGTAAAATGTGACTGTCTCAGCTTTTTGAAGTGCTCCTTTCTTGCACTTAATTATGGAGTTTGTAGTAAAAGGAGAGAGTAGATTTGTTTTTGCCATTGAGTAGCATCTTGAAGAATAGAATGCTGATGATATGTGTTTATTAAAGTCATGTTATTTTGTGATTAATTTCATAAGTCTAAGGAAATAGAATATGTGATAATTCTGTGTTTAAAGGTGAGCAGCCGGGTGCGGCGGCTCACACCTTTAATCCCAGCACTTGGAAGGCTGTGGCAGGTGGATCGCTTGAGCCCAGGAGTTTGAGACCCCAGCCTGGGCAACATGGTGAAACCCCATCTCTACCAAAAATACAAAAATTACCCAGTCTCATAACCCAGTCTCAAAATAAATAAATAGATTAAATTTAAAAAAAACATGACAGTGAGAGATTTGGTATATTAATGCTGTGCCTGAGCCAGTATTCCTAGAACATAAATGCAGAGGCATTGGAATTCTGCTATAATTTTTTGATCTGGTTGATATTTACTTTACAGAAAGATACTTGAAGTAGACCGAGCCTGAATAGAAGCTAATAATAGACATTTTATTGAATATAAAAAGAAAACGCACATTGTTCCCTTGCATACAAGACAATGGTTTTCCTGTTGAACATGTATCTGCTGCTTTGAAGAATTATTCTAATTTTAACAAGATAACAAAGAATAGTAGAATCTATTTTTATATATCTGATCTACAGGTGATGGTTTTGCATGAGTAGTGTGCTTTCAGTTTTCAAAAGATTCATAAACTTCGGTTCCTGGAGCTATGTAGAGCAAAGAAATCACAAATTAGAGCAAATTTTAAATTGGGTAATACTATCTTTAACCTTTGGGCTTTTAAAAATGTTGGTTATTTCACTCTTATTCCTTTGGAATATTTCTTATTCTTGAATAGCTTCATAACTAAAAACTACCAGAGTTTTCCCTAAAATGTGTTAACTATTAGCGCTTTGATTTTTTTTTTCAAGGTTGAAAACCCATATGTTCAGCTAGGTACCACACTTTACTAGGATGTTCTTTATGATTTAAGAACCAATCATTACAGAGTAAAGTGACAGAAATTACCGTGCATCTTGCCCATTCCCTATGTATTTAATGTTGACATAGAGTTAATTATGTTAGAATAGACAGAGTGTTTGTGGGGTGGAGGTGGTGATTTAGGAATCTGAAAATTTCTAAATTATGTACTTGTGCAGATAGAAAAATAAACACAAAAAGACAACTAAGTTTGATATGTTCTTTGAACAGTGTTTTCAGGGAAGATTTATGGTTAATATCTTTCATTATTTTAGTTCTGTAATGAAACCTGCTTTTCCACATACAGCTCCCAAGTTATGTCTTGAAAGAATTTCAGGACAAAGCAGTCTTAAACCTGAGCAATTTTTGATACCTGAAAGTTTGGGGGAGTTTAGAAATTCTGCAGTGGTAGCACTGTGTTCTATTTTCAAAGATGCGAGACTTATAATTACCTCAACTGTGTGTTGGTCATAATGTGCTGTAGTGAGTGTATTAGTGTTTCTCCTGGGATTTACCCTACTTTGAAGTTTAACGTATAGAGAACTTTTCCTTATGGATCTGTTTTTCATATAATAGCAACATTTTTTTTGAATGAAGCAGTTATTAAAATTTATTCAAGGTTGAAAACCCATATGTTGGGCTAGTTTGCACACTTGACTACGATGTTCTTTACTATTTAAGAACTAACCGTTACAGGGTAAAATGATGGAAGCTAGTGCACGTCTGATGCACTAATTTCCATCAGTTATTTTTCTTTGCTACAAACTTGAGTGCTGTTGTTAACTGGAAAATAGATCAGAAAATTTAGTTGTGGAGCATTCTAATAATTTTGAGGTCAGATTTCTTAAAGTTTGAATATATATATAATGTTTTGGTGCACTTGAGTTAGGTTGATTTGTTTAATAGATATTTATTCAAGAAGTTATACTTGTTTGCCTTAGATTCATTTGGTTTTAACTACTTAAAACTCTTCTTAAGGTTCAAAGTACGGAGGGAGAAGCTCCTCATGTTCCAGCCACTTACCAGCTAGGTCTTACGAAGTCGAAAAGAGGTAAGTGGACCAGTATCCACTAGTTCTGAGCACATTATCAAATATTAGTTGATTTGGAAAAGGGGTTTTATGTATCAGTATTTGTAGTATTTATGAGTGTGAAAAGGCAAAGAACACACACAGGTAGGCATGATTCACTATTGTTTGTAGAACTTTTTTTGTATTTTTTAAAAGACTTTTTAAAAATTAGTTTGCTAATTAGTTTGCTTATTCTGGAATGACCTCATTACACAATTGTGTGTGCTCTAAGTATTTTACACTATTGCATAAGAGCTAGTTGGGAAGTGATAGAGCAATGGATTAAGACTACCTTTTACATTGTTATGACTGAAAAATATACTGGTATTATCTATCTTTGGTGTTTCACTATATAAATATAGCTCCTAGGTATAACACATGAATATTCCTCTAGCAAAACCCACCAATTTTTTAGCAATAGTTAAAGCTAGTTAAATTCAAACTATGGGTCGAAGGTGAGTGGTTGTAGATACTGTTCCTCTCTTAAATTATTAATTATTGACCAAAGAACCTTTGAATCCATCCCTTTCACTTTTAACTTGCAACAACAACAACAACAAAAATGTGTGATCTTTGGATTTACAAAACTTTTGAGCTTTAGAGAAAGGGAAAGAGGAAGAAGTGAAAATGACCACTGAAGGTAGGACTGTTTATTTTTGAAACTTTACACATGCTGAACCACCCTGTTTTTTTTTTAAACAAAGATTCGTATGTATGTTCCTAGAATAGGAAATTACATGTTTGTTGTCTCCTGATCTCTGAAATTACTTCACAGGAGACAATTTGCATAAATTTTTTTCTTTTATTGCAATATGGTATTAAGAAACAAGAGCTTCACTCTCACTCGGTCACTGCAGCTCTGGTTAGACTCAAAATTGAACTTTACTATTTAATTTTCTTCCCCTTGTAAGTTCATAAATTTATGTATGTGTTTCTGAGCTGAGTTCATGGTCATCAAGAAGTGTTTGCTTTAGATAGGTAGACAGGGGATACATTGGAAAAAGCAGCTTGCCATGCATTAAAAGGAGGATAAGAAAACAATAAAATTACTTTAAGGTGTTTTAAGAGCAAGATCCCTGTAGTAGGAATGATTAGATGTGGTTTATATTCATATCTGGGTTTTTTCCTTTTCTTAGTCAGATTTTTATAAAGTAACAGTAAAATGGTTCTGTGTGTCTGTGTGCATGAGAGAGAAGAGAGAACAACATAGTTTTCATCATCTTGAAAAGTATCCTATATCCTATGTAAGTATCTTAGATTGATCATAACTGTAGAGTTAGAAACACTCGTAATATATTTACTTCAAAAGTTTAGGAAAAATGCATATAGCAGTTTGATAATAGGACTTTTGAAATCAAAATTATCTTAATCTCAAATCCAGTCCAAGATTTACATACTGAAGCCCAGAGAGGTTTAGTGACTTAATGTTTGTTACAAGTTAGCATTCGGTAGTTATGTTGAGAAAAGTTCAACATTTTTCTTATTAAAGAAGACATACAATATTTTCTTTAGTCTAGGAGAGAATAGATAGACAGTTGTTTGGTTTCTTTATGATGATACTAGACAAAGTTTCCAGATTTTTTTCTCACTTTAATGTTTCCTCTAACTTCCTAGTTTTTAATTAGAAATCATATATTGTATCTTTAGGACAGAGATCTAATCCTTTTTTATAGTTCCATCTTTTTCTGTTGAGAACTGTGTTTTTGGAAACAGAAGTGTCTGACTAAAGAACCTAGATTGTGATTTATGGTTTACAAAATAGTTTCCCCTACATTCTACTTAGTTTCTGAAGTAGCCCTGTGAGATAGATAGAAGAATTATTATTATCTCGTTTTGCAGAGGAGAGAAGCTATATTGCTTATGACGAGAAACACAGCAAGAACTTGAACCCAGGCCTCCTTGTTTTACCCATTGCCCCAAACCTGCTCTGAAGTCTGAGCAGTCTACCTGCATTATGACCCAAACTGTGTACTTAGACAGGGCTTAGCAACTGTGAGGTGAACTTGGCAGACTGTACTCTCTTGCAGATAAAACATACCTTAGCAGAGAGAACCAGTCAGAGCTGCTCACTCTGTCTTCCCTGCACTCAGGCACCTGCCCTTGCCTAGCCAGATAGACAGTTTCACTTCTAAATCGTTTAAATGACTGCATTATTCTTTTGTTGCTTTAAGGAAATGGGTATCATTGATTGAGGTCAGCAAACATTTATTCTCAGCTTATTCTAGGTACTGGGATACAAAGAAGAATAGTTTCTGCCTTCAAAAGGCTCACAATCTAGTTTAAAGATATGAAAATACGTAATTATAGTGATAACTGCTATAGCATAAGATGTTAATCATTTTACCAAGAATATAATGCCTTATCAGTACTGGTGGTAACAGCTTATTGCAGTTCAGTTTCACAAGTATTCCAATTTACGTAGGCTTATCAAGGATATGGAATAATTCCTTATATTTCATTTTGCAGTCTTGTTACTATCAAAATGATATTACAAAATTATTCTAAATTTTTAATGGGAAAAATGTATTCCATGGAAACTGAGTCTATAGTGGGGTATTTTTCAAACCAAGTTGACTTTAATAGATTTTAAATTTTATTTAATTATATTATCTGGCTCTTTTTCTATGTGGTTCATATCTTAAATGAATATGGTTTTGGTAAACACACTTTATTTAGCCTTTTGCTTTTGAAGTTCTGCAGAACTTTGCTGTCTCTTGAAGCTTCTGCCTTGATGAATGTAAGAACTGTACAGTCTCTCCCATTGTGGTAGTTGTAGTGTGGATAGAATGTGAACATACTTGCTATGCTTAGTTGGCCTTTTTACTTATGTAAAACATTATAGATCATACTAACCAGGAATTAGAATTTTGAGGCAGAAAAATAAGCAGAAAGATTTTATAAGATTAACAATATTATGTTGTAGTTGAACCTATTTGGTTGAGTTTTATGTAATTTTTATGAAAGAATTGTTTCATACCTTATACATTTGCATCATTTAAAACATCATAAAACACCAGAGACATTTAAGTATGCTTGCATTTCAGATTATTTAATTTACTGGCCTTAATTGTATTTATTTATTTATTTATTTTTTTTGAGACGGAGTCTTGCTCTGTCGCCCAGGCTGGAGTGCAGTGGCACAATCTTGGCTCACTGCAACCTCCACCTCCCAGGTTTACTCCATTCTCCTGCCTCAGCCTCTCGAGTAGCTGGGACTACAGGCACCCGCTACCACGCCTGGCTAATTTTTTGTATTTTTAGTACAGACGGGCTTTTACCGTGTTAGCCAGGATGGTCTCGATCTCCTAACCTCGTGATCCGCCCGCCTCAGCCTCCCAAAGTGCTGGGATTACAGGCATGAGCCACCGCGCCCAGCCCTAACTGTGTTTTTTAAATTGGGAAGATAATAGAAATCTTTACACACTATGCTCTCTATATGAACTTCTAAATTTACCTCCTAAATATCTTTACATATTTACATAATGGAAATGGTTTACTTTGGGACTTCTGTTTTTATTAGAGCCATCTTTTACTTCAGTTTTCCTCCAAGGATAAAACATTGATTGGATTTACCAAAATAGATTATAATTAGAGCTTAATTAATGAGCGAATACCGAGAGATTCTAATAGAAGATCTGATACAGTTTTTGTTTGAATTTGAGTTACCTCCTGTACTTTGAAGACATAATTTTGCATAAGTAATGCATATTTTTCTAAGAAGCAGTCAAATATTGTGTATCTTATATCTGCTGGGAATCATATCTCTGTAGTAATATTGCTCTCAGTAATTTCTTATAGCCACTTTTTTTATTTATAGATCATCTGTTTCTTATAGCCACATTTTTTTATTCATAGATCATCTGTTACGTACTGCAAGTCAGCATTCCGATAGCAGTGGTTTTGCTGAAGATTCTACAGACTGCCTATCCCTTAATCATCTTCAGGTAAAATTTTCTGTTCTAATAGGCACTATGATTAACTTCCTCATTTTAAGGTGGTTTTTGTATTACTATATATTTTAATATTGAGTCTGTATAATCTTTATTTTTCAAGTGACAGAACAAAACTCCTGGCATGTAGATGTTATCTAAGCATTTGACTATAAATTTTAGATTTCATTAATTCTTCTCTCTGAATATGTTTTTAAAAATATCTATCTTCCCCTTAATTTTTGGACCACCAGTAAACAGAGATTATTGTGATCATTAACCTGTTTTGTCTGTTGTTTTTCTTATTTTTTTAACCATCATTATATTTCATTATTTTACAGTAATTGTTTTGCCTATTTAATAACTGACATTAATTGTGGACCTATAGCTTGCTGAGTGTTATACTGATTTTTACACTAGGTTGTGTGAGATAACCCAGAGAACAGGCACATCTTTATCCCCAAGAAGCATATAGTCTATATGTAGAGTACACAGAATGCACAGAAAAAGCATTTGAAACATTTTTTAAGCAAATTCTAAAGAAAATTGGGATGAGAAAACTCCCAAAGAGCCTTTAGGAACATAGCATTTAAGGGGTAAACAGACAAGAGGCATATGTAAGTTCACTGAGAAAGAGTAATTAAGTGAACAGAAACACTGGGAGATGGAGGAGAAACTTTCAGAAGGTATGGAAGAAAAGATAGGAATGTTGACTGGTTTTCAAATATGAATGATAGCTTAAGAGTGAGGGGTCTTTTTGTCCTTTTATAATAACATGAAATGACTTGGGGAAAGTGTTCAGCTAAGGGAAATAACCGTAAGAGAAGAACTGATTCAGAAAAATCCGGGCTGAAACTGGAGAGATACCCTGGTCTTGGAGAGGATATGATCAGGAACCCAGGTTGGAGGGATTCGCTTTGAGTTTCCTTTCAGAATGGAGAGAAGGAGGGAATGATGGGGAGAGATACAAGGAAGTTTTTAGATGTTGGGGAAGAATGTTAGGAAGTGTTTGTCCATTTTCTCTATGAGTCAGTGTGTTGTATTGAAAGGAAAGGGGGAGGTTGTTGGAAAGGGAATTTTAGGAAAACAGTGAAGTTCTGAAATAATCTTTGTGAGAAAGTGAGAGGAAGGAGGGATGTGGTTGCTGCTCAGGAGCAATAAAACAATTTTGAGCAACAGCAGGGCCACAACTGCAGTGGAGACAGTGAAATTATAGAAGCACCATGTTGGTTTGGTATTTTGTTAGTGACTCTTCTTACATATATTCTTCATCTTTCCACCTATTTTCTTTTCACAGGTTCAGGAGTCCTTGCAGGCTATGGGGAGTAGTGCTGATAGTTGTGACAGTGAGACAACAGTTACGTCACTTGGTGAAGACCTTGCCACACCAACAGCACAAGACCAGCCTTATTTTAATGAATCAGAGGAGGAGTCTCTTGTCCCTCTTCAGAAGGGACTAGAGAAGGCAGCAGCAGTTGCAGACAAAAGAAAATCAGGTAGCCAGGATTTCCCTCAGTGCAACACCATTGAGAATACAGGAACTAAACAGTCCACCTGTAGTCCAGGGGATCATATCATTGAAATTACTGAAGTGGAAGAGGATTTGTTTCCAGCAGAGACAGTAGAGCTACTGAGGGAAGCAAGTGCTGAAAGTGATGTGGGTAAAAGCAGTGAAAGTGAATTTACTCAGTATACCACACACCATATTCTGAAATCATTGGCTTCTATTGAAGCTAAATGCAGTGATATGAGCTCTGAAAATACAACTGGGCCTCCCTCT
Source organism: Homo sapiens (assembly GCF_000001405.40). Taxonomy (NCBI): domain Eukaryota; kingdom Metazoa; phylum Chordata; class Mammalia; order Primates; family Hominidae; genus Homo; species Homo sapiens. Next base: position 181,915,699 of record NC_000002.12, read on the forward strand.
TCCATGGACAGAGTTAATACAGCTTTGCAAAGAGCTCAAATGAAGGTTTGCAGTCTGTCTAATCAAAGGATGGGGCGTAGCCTGCTAAAATCAAAAGATTTGTTAAAACAAAGGTACTTATTTGCAAAAGCTGGCTATCCTCTAAGAAGGTCTCAGTCTTTACCAACCACCTTATTGAGCCCAGTAAGGGTTGTGTCCTCTGTCAATGTTCGATTATCTCCAGGAAAAGAGACCAGATGCAGCCCACCTTCCTTCACCTATAAGTACACACCTGAAGAGGAGCAGGAATTGGAAAAGCGGGTGATGGAACATGATGGTCAGTCTTTAGTTAAATCGACCATTTTCATCTCTCCATCATCTGTGAAGAAAGAAGAAGCCCCCCAGAGTGAGGCGCCGCGGGTGGAGGAATGCCATCATGGAAGGACTCCTACCTGTTCACGGCTTGCTCCACCACCAATGTCTCAGTCTACCTGTTCCCTTCATTCCATCCACTCTGAGTGGCAAGAAAGGCCCCTGTGTGAGCACACAAGAACTCTGAGCACTCACAGTGTTCCCAACATATCAGGGGCTACTTGTAGTGCCTTCGCTTCCCCTTTCGGGTGTCCTTACTCACATAGACATGCCACCTACCCTTACCGAGTGTGCTCTGTGAATCCTCCTTCAGCCATAGAAATGCAGTTGCGAAGAGTATTACATGATATTAGAAACTCACTGCAGAATCTTTCACAGGTATGAGAAAAAGTATGTTATCATTAGCTTTTTTCTTTTACTGCTCTGAGCACTTTTTAATTCACAGAGAAGCTAAGGCACATCAAGTATGAACTACCTCAGCTTTATTTTCTGACATGTCTAAACTTAATCTGCATCTGCCTTCGTTTTCTATCTTCCCTCCTGTTTCAAGGGAGAAGCTGTAACTAACCCTGATCAAAGTCGATTTCTCTGCTCACAAGTCTGTCTCCTTTCCAAGAGGAGAGATTTTTCTCGTTAAGTATCCTCCCATTTTTAGTCTATCATCCACTGTCTTTGTTTTAGTCTAGAATCTTTTGTCATTTCTATTATTAAAAAATCTTCCCTCTTAAAGTTCTTTCTCTCTTTCTCTCTGCTATTTGAACATGTTGACTACCTTTTCCTTTTCCAAGTTTTCTCCCTGTTGGCTTCTGTGGCACCACGTTCTCCTGGTTCTGCTCGTAGCTCTCTGACTAAGCTTTCCCCTTCACCTACTGACCCTCGATGCTGTGCACAGAGTTAGTCTACTTCCACTGGACTCAAAGACTGGAACTACTCCAGACCAGAAAATAACAAATCAGGTAAAGTGTGAATTTGATTTAAAATGCTCTGTATGTCTTGTCACTTTTAAAGTCATTCTCAGATTTGTTAGTAGACTGGAAATAATTTTCCCAAAAAAATTTTGAAAATAAGTACGTTGTCTTCAGTTTTGCCTTTTACATTTTCTTGAACATTCTCTCTGAATGAATCATGTTTAGACAATTGAGGGATTGAAGAAAATGACAATGTAATATAGTCATGAGAGCATTCAACAAAGAGTCAGGAGGCCTAGAATGAATGTAATAGACCTCTTATCATGACATAGTAGACAGGGAGCCACTTGGAAAGTAAAAATCAAAGGTGTAACTTCTCAAGTTATAATAAGATATACCTCCTCTTAACTGTAAGTTTTATCCTCATGACAATTGTCCCCTAACAGTTTTCTGTTTAAACAGAATGTGGGTGTTTCTTATTCCTCCTTACAAAATATAGTTCTGTCTGTGATGGAACTTGCAGCTGTGATTATGTCAAGCTGGGGATTTCCAGGACCCTGTCCACCAGTACCGTGGTGCATCTTTCTAGGCCACCTAGTTCTTCTGCTCCAGCTGTGGTCTCTTTCTCCTGGATATCCCAGCAATAACTCAGCTAATACATCTCCCCATGCCTACCCCACCCTACACTAGTGGACAGGTGCTTTCTATGATGTGGTCTCTGACTATCTCTCCAGCCTCATTCCTTAGCTGTAGGATTGTGCACAGGTCTCTAAACAGTTGTGTGTTCTTAGGTATCTGCACATGGCTGATTTTGTGTTTTGTTTTTTTAAAATAAAAAGATGAAGTTTCTGTTTCTCGCCCACGTGGAGTGCTGGAGACAGTGGTGTAATCATGGCTCCCTGCAGTCTTGAACTCCTGGGCTCAAGTGATCCTCCTGCCTTGGCCTCCCAAAGTACTGGGACTATAAGCCACTTTTTTTTAACCGAGATCACCCAGTCTTTGCCTTTCTTTGCATAATCAAGCCCTATTTACTGTTAAGGCTCAGTTCAAGTAGTGTTACCACTTTTGGGAAAGTTCACGTAATCTGAATTTTTCTGTGTTCATCATAGCACTCCTTCCACAGTATTAGAATTTTTTTAAAATTTCCTTTATTTTTCTTTACACTGTGAGAACACCTGAAGGCTGGGAATACCTTTTATGTTTTTATCTCACTGCCTAAAATAGTGGCATATAGGAAATGCTAAGATGTCTGAGAAAGACGACAATGATTGCTTGCTCTCCAGCAAAGTTAATAATCACTATAATCTCATGATGATATTTGCAATGGCTTCTACATTTTTGCGTTTTGATTTTGTTTTTTTTTAGTTTCGCAAGAGGGAAGTCCTGAAAGAAATAGATGTGAACTATGTTCCTTCGCCTCCTCCTCCCACGTAGATTGACTTATACCTGGAACAGCTAGCAGTACTAGGTGTCATTGGGAACTGATTTCTTTTTTCCTGCTTACAATATGAAGGTTTTTTGGATCCTTTTGTCTTAAAGAGAAAAATATATAGGCCCCAAATTCTGCCTTTTAACCCCTTAAGTGATTTGGAAGTATTCACTTTAACATTGGTTTTAATCCTACTTTTACTTTTTTGAAGTACCCTATGATGAGAGGACCTGATCCTGCTGCTGCTCCATATAGTACTCAGAAATCATCTGTTCTACCTCTTTATGAAGTAAGTTCTTTCTTACATCTTTGTGTTCCAAAATAATTTGTAGAATTTAGAAGTGTAATTTTGTTATATTGCATTCTAGAATACTTTTCAGGAGCTCCAGGTAATGAGGCGGAGCCTGAATTTGTTTAGAACACAAATGATGGATTTAGAATTGGCAATGCTGCGTCAGCAAACCATGGTTTATCATCATATGACTGAGGAGGAGAGGTAAAAGTTCATTTTGTCTTAGCACACCTCAAAAAGCTTTTCATTCAAAGTCTTCTCAACTTATATTTTTTAAAATTAGGTTTTGATTCTACTGCTGTGTACCTTGTATCTGTTTTGTGAACCAGTGTAGATAAGATTAGTCATAGATAGTGTTTTACTAAGTAAACTTGTATGCCTTCAATATCCTAAGGGTAGTGGTAACCTGCTTTCCCGTGTTTGAGATATTTGTGAGAGGATAGGGGAAGAAAGACTAATGTCCTTGTGGATACACCTATTGTAGTTGATATTGTACTAATTTCTAGAACCTGAGATTTCCATGCCTTCTGTTAGCATATAGTAGTTGTTGAAAGATTTGTGATTAGGAATCTCCAAACTGCATTTTTCCAATTTTGTGCCCTTCACCATACCAATAGGTTTGAAGTTGATCAGCTCCAGGGTTTGAGAAATTCAGTCCGAATGGAACTTCAGGACCTGGAACTGCAGCTGGAGGAGCGCCTGCTGGGCCTGGAGGAGCAGCTTCGTGCTGTGCGCATGCCTTCACCCTTCCGCTCCTCCGCACTCATGGTACGCTACCTGGAGGGTGGTCGGAGTTTTCACCAAAGGTTTATTTATAATGTTCCAATAATTTAGGACGTGTGCCTTCATTTCAAGTCATTTATTTTAATGGTATTAAAAGCATGCATACTGTTTAAGGAGCTTTCCCACAAATCAGTTGAATGTACAATTTGTAATAATTGTCATAAATAGTATATTTAGAAATATGTTGAAAATTTTTAATGATAAATTTTAATAACAGGAAAGAATAAGGGCTTATACGAAAGTTGAGGGTTTTTAAAGGAAAAATGCTAGTGAATTAACATATGACTAATGTAAATTTTAATTGTTGCATGTAACTGCAGAGAACACAGATGCATATTTTGCTGTTTTTTTTTCTTTCATGCCTTTAAATAAAAAAGTGTTCCTTTTAAACTTTTTCTTTATTTTGGATTCTTTTCCATTTGTTTTTAAAGGAATCAAATGATACCTGTATATTTTCATACATATATATACATACACATACATATATGTATTTTCCTAAATATATAGATATATATCCAAGAGAATAAAAAGAAACATGTTTTTGTACCACTTTTCATACTTCTAATGTTTCTTTCCATAACATTTGAACTTCAACAGTTGTATTATTTTTGCAAATATCTTTGAAGTTGTAGAATATGTTGCTTTGAAATGCTGAAATAGTGAATTATTCTTTGTTACCTTAACAATGTATTTGATTTTGTTAAAAAGAAATGGATGAATATACACACATACAATTATGTGTGTATATACTATAAATGAAGTAGAATAAACAATGGTGTATAAACACATATATGTATAGCATAGACTAAGGATGTTCTGTATTGCTAATGAATGTACTTTTCAACATGGTTTTGATTTATCATTCTGAGAAGTGTATGTTGGTGACGGGAGAACTAGAACATCCTTTTTGCATATTGTATCAGTTTTAACTCACAATAATGCATTTTATGGGATCTGTGACACTTGAGAGTAACCTTTGTGACATAAAGGGATGCTTCCAGGCACTAATTAGCCAATTAATTTTATTATAAAAGTCTTGTGATTTGAAAAAATATATATGTACATTATAATTATATATGCATGTATGTATATATACACACACATATACATATATATATTGTTCTTACCTTTTCAGGGAATGTGTGGCAGTAGAAGCGCTGATAACTTGTCATGCCCTTCTCCATTGAATGTAATGGAACCAGTAAGCTTCTTTCCTCTTAAATCACTGGGGAAGGGAATGATACAACATTTCAGACACATAGTTTCCCTAGTTTAGATGAAATATATGTTTATTTTAAATACATAATTTGATAAATTATTGTTGATTGGAAGTGACTTTCACCTTTGAAAGTCCATTGCTGTCTGAAGCCACTAGAAAGCCACCTGAATTGCAATAGTGATTTATCTTTCTGACTAAAGGAGGTAATGCACCATAAAAACATGTACAGTGGCTCATGCCTGTAATCCCAGCACTTTATTTAAATGGTTGAGGTGGAAGGATTGCTTCAAGCCAGGAGTTTGAGACCAGCCTAGTCAACAAAATGAGACCCTTTCTCTACAGAAAATTTAAAAATCAGCCAGGCATGGTGATATGTGCCTGTAGTCCCAGTTACTCAGGAGGCTGAGGCGGGAGGATTGCTTGAGGCCAGGAGCTCAAGGCTACAGTGAGCTATGATTGTGCCACTGCACTCCAGCCTGGGTGACAGAGCAAGACCCTGTCTTTAAAAAATAATAAGCCAGGTGTGGTGGCTCATGCCTGTAATCCCAGCATTTTGGGAGGCTGAGGCAAGTGGATCACCTGAGGTCAGGAGTTGAAGACCAGCCTGACCAACATGGTGAAACCGCATCTCTACTAAAAATACAAAAATTAGCTGGGCATGGTGGCAGGCATCTGTAATCCCAGCTACTTGGGAGGCTGAGGCAGGAGACTTGCTTGAACCCGGGAGGCGGAGGTTGCAGTGAGCCGAGATCAAGCCATTGCACTCCAGCCTGGGTGACAGAGTGAGACTCCATCTCAAAAAAAAAAAGAAAATTGATTTTTAATTTACATTTCAGGAGACATGTGCTTTCACAGTTTGATCCTGGTTCTTTAGGTAGTTAGAGCTGTAACATGACCACGTTTTTAACAGAAATCTGTCTTTATTGTGTTAGACAGATTGGTTCATTTGGGGGCAAAAGCACTATGAGTAACTATTTTTCACTAGTTACTCTTCCTTACAAGTGATTTGGACACTTTGGTGGTAACAAGTAAAATTTCATCCTACTATGTATTCTGTTTACCTGTTTTGTTGCTTCATCTCAATAGGAATTTAAATTTTACTTACCATTTTTGCAAATAAAATTGAGTAGTTATTAAATTAATGGAATAGATTTATGTCTTTACAAATTACATGATTTTAGGCAATAATGACAACCAGGACTTTAACCTTTTTAGCTACCAATCTTAATTCCAAGAGAGAAGAATAACATTTTTTTATGATCTCCAGGTCACTGAACTGATGCAGGAGCAGTCATACCTGAAGTCTGAATTGGGCCTGGGACTTGGAGAAATGGGATTTGAAATTCCTCCTGGAGAAAGCTCAGAATCTGTTTTTTCCCAAGCAACATCAGAATCATCTTCTGTATGTTCTGGTCCCTCTCATGCTAACAGAAGAACTGGAGTACCTTCTACTGCCTCAGTGGGCAAATCCAAAACCCCATTAGTGGCAAGGAAGAAAGTGTTCCGAGCATCGGTGGCTCTAACGCCAACAGCTCCTTCTAGAACAGGCTCTGTGCAGACACCTCCAGATTTGGAAAGTTCTGAGGAAGTTGATGCAGCTGAAGGAGCCCCAGAAGTTGTAGGACCTAAATCTGAAGTGGAAGAAGGGCATGGAAAACTCCCATCAATGCCAGCTGCTGAGGAAATGCATAAAAATGTGGAGCAAGATGAGTTGCAGCAAGTCATACGGGAGGTGGGTAAAATCTGTGTTTCATTCATTTATTTGGAGGTATATGTTAGAGGAGATTTTGTCTGAATATTAATTATTTACAGAATGTTCTTTTGATTCACTGTATTCAATAATTTTCACAGAGCTTTTAAATTAGCTTTCCTGTTGATCAAGTTTGTGTCAATTAAGATATATTTGTAATGGCATTTCTGCAAATTTCATACTCTAATGTGAAATAATTACAATTCTCTGTGTTCAGTATGGTGAAAAAGATATGTGAAGGACTCAAAATAAACATGACGTACTCTTTGGACCTCTTGTTTCCACATCTACAAAATGAGGATTTACAGTTTAGATCTCTTCGAGGATTAAAAACTGCATTTTATAGCTGGACGTGGTGGCATGTGCCTGTAGTCCCAGCTACTCGGGAGGCTGGGGTAGGAGAATTGCTTGAACCTGGGAGGCGGAGGTTGCAGTGAGCCAAGATCATGCCATTGCACTCCAGCCTGGGCAGCAGAGCAAGACTCCATCTCAAAAAAAAAAGAAACTGCATTTTATAATTACAATTGATAGGAGAAAATGATTTTGTGATTTTAATAAGTATAAATAGATTGATTTGGTTTGGTGTTTTTTATTCAAAAATCAAAATATACGAAGAAAAGAGGGTTTGCCCTAGGTGATAGCAGCATAAGAACTTGAAGAATTACCATAGTTATGGATGACCAAAAGAACTGCAAAAGGAAATTACATATGATTAGTAGTGAAAGTTCAAAAGTTGAGAAAATTAGTAAAATAAATGTTTTTTGCACTGAGATCAGGTAATAGGAAGGAATAGAATATATCGTTTAAACAGCTCAATGCAATTATCTCTGTTTACCTAGTAGTATTCTGTGGATTAAATTGTACATAAGCAAATGTGAAATTTGCTGTATATGCAGTTCTCTAGTATTTCAATCATGTTGAATCAAATCACATTTTCAAAACAAGCATTATAGCAGAAGACTTCATATCTGTAATTTATTTTCATGATATGACTCTACCAACTAAATGTTTAAAAGGTCTTAATTCTATAAATTTATTTTTCCTACAAATGTAATTATTTTTGTAAATTGGTTTTGGCTGCCTAATGTTTAGCAAACTCAGCATTCACCCTACTCGGTCAGGTGTGTCTATGATTAATAATCCATTCCTGTTTACATGTTTTATATCAAAGATTAGTTTTTGAGTGAAATTATGTAATTATTCTTCTCCACACTATATTTGCTAACTGAGGAAGTGGGTTTTAAGGTAATTTTTTTTTTTCTAGAAATGTGATGGTTTTGTTCCCCTTAGCTTGCTTTGGTATGAAAGTTTTCTTTGAAAACTTTATATTGCTCTTTTAAAACAAATACTCCATTCAATGCACACTTGAATCCTCATTTTTAGAATTTTAATGGCCTGATATGTCCTGTAGGTGATTTCCTAAGAATAAAGTGTTCATTTCAGACTAGAACATTGATTCTTTGGCTTATAAGACACAGCATATAGAAAATTTAGTTATTCCCATTAGGCTGCCTTGGTCCTAGAGAATTAATCATTTAAAAGAACCTCTCATTAAATATGAAAGATTTTATAATTTGCAAACACTTAAGCTGGTATGCAAGGCAAATGTTCAAAGAATTTTTCAGAATTTGTTATTTAAACCATTAATTAGAAACTACTTAGTTCTGAATTTGGCATAGGCTTGAGGAAATTGGGTTTAACATTTATTCTTTTACTGTCTACAAAGGGCCTACCCAGCAAAATATGTATAGATCAAACAAGGCATAAGAGGAGTATTGTTGTACTTAAGAAAACAAATTATTTTGAAGTACTTTAAAAGCATATTTAATAGTTTAATGCCAGTTATAATTTAAAAAATTATGTTAATATTCTCTTAGTTACAATAGTTTTCTGTTTATAAAGTATTTAAAATTTAGTTTGGTTTTTATTCCAGTCATTCAAATTGGTAACCTTTTTACCTAAATACATACTGTACTAAATTCCAATTTTTTAAAATCTTGGTGTACAGCTACCAAGAAAATTAAATTAGATTCTGTCTTCCTAGCAGATCTGAGCCCCTAATCCCATTAACAAAGCCACCATTCAGGAAGGCAAGATTTAATCTTGGGTTGAACAGTTTTGCAGGTGAGGATTAAGCATGTTTGGCAGGCACTTTCAGGAAAGTTTTCTTACTGCGTTCATGGATGCATGAAAACAATGGTATCTGTCAGGCCTTTGTTTCTTTCGTTGTACCATTAAGTGAGGTTTTTAAAAAGAGGGTTTTCATCATTTATAATGTGTTAATACAGTAGAATTCTTTTTTTGAAGGACAACATTGAAAGTCTTTTCAGACAAATATTTAATACACTAATTACATAGCTAAACTTTTGTCATATTAAAGATACCTCTTTTCTGCATGTGCATTGTACTAGGAAAAAAGTACACACTGTCTTAAAATTTGCCCAAGTCATCTGTGATGTATGTGATCAGTGGCCTGAAACTGTTTGCAGTTACTTTAAAAATGTATAAATGTGTGTAAATAAAAAGATTACTTAATAGGATGAATGAATACATGCCCACAGAAGCCAATTCAGCAAAATTAAATGTCAAGGAGTAAACATAGATTGCTTTGTGTTTAGAGAGTTATTTGTTAATTAGAGTTCATAGACTTGATTCATGCCTTTTGGGATCTTTATTAGAGCACGTCTGACATGTTTTACCCATGTATTTTGGTAAATACACAGCTTGCTCATGTGTTCTTATGGAAATTTCTTTTAGTGATCACTTGTAATAGCTGCCACTTAGTAGGCACTCAGTAAGTGCATAATAAGTGGATGTGTTCCCACATACTTCAGACTTGTAGTCAGTCTTTTTGTATTGTCGATCAGCATGACTTTCTCAATCTCAGGTAGTCTGTATTTAGCCTACATTTTTTTGGAAATTATGCTCATAAAGGTAATTTTACCATCCATCCCAGGGTAGTTTCCTCACTTCTAATCCTTCCAACCTCTCCATAGCATGGGAGACTTTAGAACTAAATTATTTGTCCATGCATTTATTCATTCAATAAATTAATAAAGACATTGTATCATTTTCAGGGCCATTTTATCTGTAGTCTGCTTTCGTTTTTCTGCTTTCTCTTCCTTTTTGTGTCTGATATTGTCTCTCACCCTTGTGCTTTCTCACTCTCTCATTGATTCATTCATTCAGACGCTTACTGAGTTCTTACTGTATGCTGAGATACACTGATAAATGAGACCTGACCTGCTCGCTGAAGGAGCTCACAGTACACCTTCCATCTGACCTCACCCTTCCTATTCTGATTCCCTTCTGCTCTCTAGAGGGAACTGTCTTGGCAGTCAGGCTCCATTATACTCCCCTCTTATTTGAGACCGTCTTGCTACAGAGTTTTCTATCTCCACTGTCATCTGAAATTGTTCTTTCTTTGTTGTGACATACCATGTAAAAGCTGCCATTCTCTGAGAATTTTGTCCCACACTAGTCTCTCATTTATCAAAATTTTTTGTTCTTATGTCATTAATGAATCAATAAATTATTTTTCCTTTAGTATTTTATGAAACCGACGAGGTGTGGTGGCTCACGCCTGTAATCACAGCACTTTGGGAGGCCGAGGTGGGCGGATCACCTGAGGTCAGGAGTTCGAGACCAGCCTGGCCAACATGGTGAAACCCCATCTCTACTAAAAATACAAAAATTAGCCAGGTGTGGTGGTAATCCCAGCTATGCAGGAGGCTGAGGCAGGAGAATTACTTGAACGTGGGAGGCAGAGGTTGCAGTGAGCCGAGATTGCGCCCCTACACTCCACTCTGGATGACACAGCAAGACTCTGTCACAAAAATAAATAAATAAGAAATATATTTTATGAAACAGTATTCATTTTGTGTCCATTGAGATTATATCATGCTTGATGGTAGGGATTCTTTTATACTTTATTCCAATAATGCCTGTACTCCCAAAAAAGATTGGCACACATTCCTGGTTTGTCAAGAATACATTTTGGCGACTGGGCGCGGTGGCTCACGCCTGTAATCCCAGCACTTTGGGAGGCCAAGGCGGGTGGATCACAAGGTCAGGAGATCGAGACCATCTTGGCTAACATGGTGAAACCCCGTCTCTACTAAAAATACAAAAAATTAGCCGGGCGTGGTGGCGGGTGCCTGTAGTCCCAGCTACTCAGGAGGCTGAAGCAGGAGAATGGCGTGAACCCAGGAGGCGGAGCTTGCAGTGAGCCGATATTGTACCGCTGCACTCCAACCTGGGTGACAGAGTGAGAATCCATCTCAAAAAAAAAAAAAAAAAAGAGAATACATTTTGGCTAGTTTGTTTTTTGAGTGATGAAGAATAATGAGATATAATAAAATGGCCATATTGCATTGGTAGCAGGACTGGAAAGACTATACTCATTGTTGTGAATATAGATTTGCAGTGGTCCTAATTCAGTATGTTGTATTTCTGTTTATATACTGTGACTAAGAGATTCTGGTTTTTAAAATATTTGTATCCAACACATACTTGTTTGAAAAGTAAATCTGAAGTGCTGTGTGCTTCAGAATCTTCTGATGTTGTTTAAAGTTTAGAAATATTGATAAAAGGTAAAGTGAAAAGCTTATAGTATTTAAATATATTCCAGTACAGATGGTTGGTAGCTAAGGAGTGTTTTGTTTCTTTAAATAACTATGTATAAATCTATGTATTGTGTACCAATTTTGCATGATAGACTAATACAGGACCATTTTTGGAAAGATTATAGTTAAGATGTGTTTGAGATGTACTTAGGAACATTGTAGGAAATAAATCAATTTGGCTGACAGGAAACTGGAAATGTAGAATTTTTAAAAGCTTGTTGAGAGTATCTTGAGTGCTTATTTGGGAACACATTATCACTTTATTTCAGGAAATACACATTTATAGCTTTCACAAAGGGCTATTTAAAAGTGATGCTGTATCATTAGAGAGAAAAGGTGGAGATAGGCATATGTAAGTGTTTGGACACCTGTAGAAGAAAATCCTGATGGAATTGTCATTTCCTCAGGTCTGTTTGCCTTTTCCAACAATAAAATGAGATGTATATCCTCATATCCTATATGCATATTGGAAACAAAAGCTTAGATGGCTGGCAGTGATACCATGCAACTAAAGAAAAAGTTATTTCTTTAGAGTTTATGGTTGTTTTGAGGATGTTTTTTATATTATAAAATAAATTGTACTAAATGATAATTTCTTCTTCCCATTTTAAATGTGTTAGGTTGAACAATATGTCTTTAGATACCTTGCTGTCAGTTGGCATAAACAGGCAGTATACCTGTATACTATTTTGCCTCTAAAAGATTTTCTCAGCAATGAGAGCACTTGTGTCTCTGCTGATTACCTTACAAAGTTAGACAATACTAAAAACATTTAAGAAGTCCTTCCAGATTATTTTTTTGACATGAGGTAAAGTATTTACTAGAAGTTTTTTAACTTATGAAATAACATTTTCTAATGTCCTCACCTTATGAATTGTGATATTTGTAATCTAGTTAGCTGAACAATTCTAGACCAGTCCTTGGGAGTCTGATCTGGGTTGGATGATAGATGGACTCGATTCCCCACTCCCTCTCTGTATTGCAGGGAGATTCACATGAAGGTGAAATTAAGAAATTGAATGCTATTTGTATTTTTTCCAAAAACAGGAAAAAATGAATTCCATTCATATTGGTAAATTTTTGTTTTATTGTTTTTCCAATCTAGATTAAAGAGTCTATTGTTGGGGAAATCAGACGGGAAATTGTAAGTGGACTTTTGGCAGCAGTATCTTCAAGTAAAGCGTCTAATTCTAAGCAAGATTATCATTAAACAGAAATTATAGGTAAATTTTTCTGAGTTTCTTTGTTGAGCTAAATGTAAATAGTAACTGGCATTTTATTCTTTGTTTTGTTAGTATACAGGTTTGGTTCTCTAGTTAAATTTTGAGTTTTAGAATGTATGTAATATGTTATTTTACAATGTGAAAATTTCACACAAGCCTATTTGAAGTGTAAGTCAAATCCCATAATACAAATCTCCAAGGAATTACTTATATTGGGTCATTCTACTGAAATTTCATTATAGTAATAAATCCTGGAATTGGACCTTCAAACCTGAATCTTATTTTGATTATAATGGTATTTCAGATGTATAGTTTTAAAGAACAAGATTTTGTGAATTAATCACAACTTCCTTTTTTTTTTTTTTGAGACAGAGTCTCGCTCTGTCGCCCAGGCTGGAGTGCAGTGGCGGGATCTCGGCTCACTGCAAGCTCCGCCTCCCGGGTTCACGCCATTCTCCTGCCTCAGCCTCCCAAGTAGCTGGGACTACAGGCGCCAGCCACTACGCCCGGCTAATTTTTTGTATTTTTTAGTAGAGACGGGGTTTCACCGTTTTAGCCGGGATGGTCTCGATCTCCTGACCTCGTGATCCGCCCGCCTCGGCCTCCCAAAGTGCTGGGATTACAGGCGTGAGCCACCGCGCCCGGCCGAATTAATCACAACTTCTAAGTATCTTTCCTAATTATTTTTATCTTTTAAAGAAACATATCCCATAGATTCATTTCTAATAATAATTTATTTCAAAAAACTCTTTTATATGTCTGTCTTAGTAAAACGAATTACTTTCATTTTATCTCGTAGCTCTAATTACATTAAAAAATTTTTTTGTAGAGATGGGGTCTTGCTATGTTGCCCACGCTAGTCTTAAACTCCTAGCCTCAAGCGATCCTCCTGCTTTAGCTCTAACTTCATTTTATATAATATATATTAATAATAATTCTTGGTGAATGCAAAAAGAAAGAATAAGTTGAGTAGAATAGAACTAAAAATATTCATTGAATAAGACATGAGAAACAAATGTAATTTGAAAAGTATAATATACAATTTCAGATATAGGAAATTGGAAAGTATTTTAATAAATTATGTCACAAAGCAATTAATAGGAATTATTTTTTTTAAAGCCAGGGATATAAGAATTAACTCTCAGGAAGATGTATAGAGATTACAGGATAATCATGTTTCTGTGTATATATATTTGCATAAAATTCTCATCTTCCTTTAAAGAAGCTTTTAATAACAGTATTTGAAAGAGGTTTAAAACTGACTTCTCTTTTCTTTTTTAAGGTTGGCATGGATCCTATTAGCTGTGTAATACTGGAATTATCAATGATATGCACTGGTGGAGGTGTTATTTGTGCTTTAGAAGATACTTGCTGTTGAGCTGGGCTACTGTATACAGTGTACAATGTGTATTTCTTCAACCATATATTTTAAAAAGACGTACATAGAAACTTAGGCACTTTGCTATTTCTTTTCTAAACTATCAAAAACTCTAGCAGTTTGAAAAGCCTAATATTTATTTGTATGTCAGTATTTTTCATTTGATTCCCTATTAGAATTAATTTTAAAACTTGAAGACTTCCAGACTTATCCAACTTATAAATAACATATTTCTTCAGACTAACATCTTAAAACACTGACCTCTATGAGGTATTTACTGTGCAATAACTGATTCATTTTTTTCAGAGCTTGAAGCATCCAATGATTTTTCCCTCCACTGCTGTTAATTAATGTCACTTCCAAGAAGAAAAACTGTTCTGTTGTAAAAAATATAATTGCTCTTAATTCTTGGGGAGGTTACTAATAGCAGTAGGATAGAATTTTATGAGGTTACCTACAACTACTTAATGTACTTACACTGTAAGCCTTGTTGCTTTACCCAAGACAAATGTAATTTTATCATTGCTTATGTAGTATTTTTCTTTTGGAAATGTGCCTTATGTTAAACACTATGTACTTTTACTTTTTGCATTGTCCAGACTTCTTTATTAGATGGAGATGTTTCTTTTTCTGTCTTCTAGACTAAATAGAGTATCATCCAAATAATGGGGCCTATGACTTGAATGAATAGAAATGAATAAGCTGGTGTTTGTTTTTTCAAAATGGAAGTAATTTAGATTTGTTCTCCTCATACATAAAATGATTTTAGTTCAGTTTTAACCAGTGAAAACTTTGTTTTTATGAAAAAAAAGGAAAATGGTTTCCCATTTGGTTTTATATGTGTTAAATAAATGTGTAAAGTAACCACCAAATGTTATTAGAATTTTTCTTCTAGCATTTATAATTTTTTCAACTCCTATTGTGTTTCTTTGTGTGTGATATTTTAATCAAAAGTGGTTGAGTTGTTAACAGTGTTCTTTGAAAGAATCTCTAAAAGGCTTATAAATGTTTGAAATATCACACAAAGGCTGATTTCTAAAATATATATATATTAAAACAATAAAGTATTTATTTTGCCTAAAGTGTTTTAGTGGTTTCTTAAACTGCAACATGAAGATTTTGAATTAGATTTGATAGGTAACAAATGAGGTCCAAAAGAATTGCAGCATATAACCCAATAGAGTGATACTCTCTTTTCCTAGGGAAGTGTTATGATACTTTAAAAAAACAATGCTTTAAAAAATGCTGTTTAAGACTAGACCACCCTGGAGAGAGGGCATGATTGAGGCCTCTTTGGCTTATCTAGTTCTGTGGTCATGATAATTACCATCAGAGGTCAAATAAAACTTCTCTTTAAAAATAAGCTATTAAACTACAAACAATAGATATTAAAATACTATTTAACTCTTTGTTCAATAACAGCAGTAATAACACCTATCAACCAAATGCCCCAATTTTTTTTTTATACTTTAAGTTTTAGGGTACATGTGCACAACATGCAGGTTTGTTACGTATGTATACATGTGCCATGTTGGTGTGCTGCATGCAGTAACTCGTCATTTAACATTAGGTATGTCTCCTAATGCTATCCCTCCCCCCTTCCCCCACCCCACAACAGGCCCTGGTGTGTGATGTTCCCCTTCCTGTGTCCATGTGTTCTCATTGTTCAATTCCCATCTATGAGTGAGAACATGCAGTGTTTGGTTTTTTGTCCTTGCAGTAGTTTGCTGAGAATGATGGTTTCCAGCTTCATTCATGTCCCCACAAAGGACATGAACTCATCATTTTTTATGGCTGCATAGTATTCCATGGTGTATATGTGCCACATTTTCTTAATCCAGTCTATCATTGTTGGACATTTGGGTTGGTTCCAAGTCTTTGCTATTGTGAATAGTGCTACAATAAACATACGTGTGCATGTGTCTTTATAGCAGCATGATTTATAATCCTTTGGGTATATACCCAGTAATGGGATGGCTGGGTCAAATGGTATTTCTAGTTCTAGATCCTTGAGGAATCGCCACACTGACTTCCACAATGGTTGAACTAGTTTACAATCCCACCCCTAAATGCCCCATATTAATAGAAATATAGTAATCAACGATTTTAACTATTTAGTTTTGAAGTCACTTTTAGTTAATTTTTGACAACACAAGATACCCAGATTTTGATAATCAAAATTAGAAATATAACAGTTGCAATAATAGGCTGAGACAATCAGCAAATTACCTACATAGTATATGAATCAAATAAGAGGAGTCTCAACAACTATCAGAGTTTTATGTTCCTTCTCCCCACTTTATTGTGTACTTAACATTTGAAAGCTATCAAGTTCAAGCCACCGTGCTAGCTGCTATGTGGAAATGAAAAATGAAAGGGTCAAAAAAAAGACAAAGTCAAGGCATCTTTTAATTTATGGATACGTTTAGAAGTGTCAATGAATAACTAAAATAATTTGAGAGACTATAGCCTGGGGTGGTCAGAGAAGCCTACCAAGGAGATGAGATTTGAGTAAAGTCTTAAAAGTAGTCAAGAACATTAGCAAAAGTTATCAAGAATACATAGAGTTTGAATTACCATGTACATGATCAAAGCAATACTTTTTAAATGCCAGGTTCATTGTGTGTATTGTGCTAAGAGCTTGCACAAAGCATAGAAGAGAAAGAAACTTGAAATGGTGATTTTGATGTTTGGAGTTGCTATGAATGATATACCATGAGAAAAACAGGCAGATTTTGAAGTACATTTCAGATTTGAAGTACATTTGAAAAATTCTCAGATTTGAAGTACATTTCTTTCCTCTAAATATATTCAGTTGAATTTCATACATTTAAAAGTACCGAATATTTGCTCAGCTGGCCATCTTCAACCTTTTCAGAGGAACATAAGAATGCAGTAAAGTGTATATAAAAGAATGTAAAGAGAACGTAAGTTTGGGCAGTTTCTGGAGAATTGCTGCATTGCCCATGTTCTTCACCTGTACAAATGGGAGTGTGGTCTTAGGGAAGGAATTAAGCAAAACTGAAGTGTATGTTCTTCTAGAATTTTTCCTCTCCTGGAAAGAAGGAAATTATAGCACTCCTAGGAAGTGGGAAGAGGAAACATCCTATCACCTTTTAATTGAAGCTGAGGGTCTACACTTTTAAGCATCACTTAGAGTTACTTATGAATATTGGAAACATTTAATTAGCACTTATTCTAATTGCATTCTAAATGTATAAAGTTAAAATGTCATAACTAATAGTTCCTCTCCTATACAGTTTCTTCTATGTATTGCTATTGAATGAGGCCTTTTCCTTTTTGTTCTCATTTCCACAACTGATGTTCCATTAGTCATATTGAGTAAATAACAGTTTATATACAGTGTCAGTGTAATAAATAATACTGTCACAAATCATAAGTAATAACTTGCATACAGAATGTCAGTGCTCAGCAGGGAGTTACAAATATATTAAAAGATAATGCATATCAGACAAATATCAGAGTCCATTTTCCTCACAAGGGTCTTTCTGCACACCCAAAGGAGAAAGACTTAAATTTTTGTGAACAATGAGCTTATTTGCTCACTCTATCATGGTAGTATTAGTACCTGTTTCTCAGTTGATAGAGAAGAATGTAAAGGAACTTTGCACAGCGCTTGGCACAGCTCAGTAAGTTAGCTGTTATGGTGATAGCAAAGATGGGTAAAGATAGGTGACAGGTAGATGAGTTTTGGCAAGTCAAAGCATTAAATGGGAAGGACAGAATATGGACTTATAGATCCAGGACTGACCTTTTCAACTTTAATGTGTTCTTTCAAGCAGTTGAACTAGGAACTGGTACCAGACTGCCGATTCTGATATAGCAGGTGAACATTAATTACTGGTTTTAACATTTTCAAGAAATTTTGTTATTTGAAACCAAAAAACTGGTCATGGAATACCATTTAGAACAGTGCTTCTCAAACTTTAATCATACAAATCAAATTACCTGAGAATCTGTAAAAAGGAAAATTCTGATTGAGGTCTGGGTCCTACCTTCTAGGATTGAATTTCTGCATTTCAAGAAGCTCCCAGGTGAGGTTGATGGTGCTGCCATGGACTGCACTTTAGTAGCAAGGACTTAGGATAGTAGGTCTTCACTACCTGTCTGCTAGATGCTTCAAAGGAAGGAAATTGTTAAGTAGGAAAAGGATTTTAATCTCCAAGGGTACGTCATCTTACAGGCCCCTTCAAGAAACTTTTCATTATAGCCAAAGTTCAAAATGAAGAACAAATGTAAGCAAAGCACATAGAAAGGAGACCTCAGGAGGGCCCACCCAAGGCATTGTGGAATTGTGCAATGGCCAACGAATGATCACAGTAAAAGAAAAAAAATTGCTGATTGCTGTTGATGGCAATGAATAGTAAGTCCTTATATTGTGTAGATTGGATGTTGAGAAAATGCAAAGACCATCTGAGTGCTTCTAGAATCAACCAGTCAAGAACCAGAATGAGACCCAAAAAAGAATTAGTCTAGAGATGCTGCAGAAAGAGATCGGATCTGGGATATGGAATTTATTTATAGCCGTTGGAGTTTGAAGGAGTTTATCATTCCTTTCAGAGAGATTCATGATATTTCACCTCTGCAGAGCACACTAATTTCTTATTCGTGTTCCTGAGTTAATTGTTTAGTAAATCCATGTACTGATGATTCATGGTTTTGCTTCGGTACATCTCAAATAATTTTATTATTTCAGCAGTCCAAGATAAAAAAGAAAAAGGCCCCTGAAGTATAAAGCAGACATCTGAGGAGTAGATTCACAAATATCTGTTAGAACTCTGTGCCTGGGCAGAGACTGCTCTTGATAGAATCAGCAGGGTCATCAGTTAAATCTCAGTTGTGAATGTCTTGATTTATGTTTAGTCAAAAAGGACTTGCATTGTTATTAACCTATTGATATCTGTAAAATATAGACATTTCAATAAGATGATGTGTTTACCCAATCTTCTTTAGTCTGTGATGACAAATGGGAATGCATTAATGATGACAGATATATTTTTCTTTTTCCATCATGTGTTGAAAGATATGTTCCTCTCCTAAATCTCATGCATTAATATTGGGGCTCCCCGAGAGTTATTCATACATCTTCATGACAGTCCTAATACGTCAATTCTAAGTGCTTTGCTCTTCTCTTGCTCTCTCTGTTGAGGGACCCAGTGCTCCCCTGCCCTTCTGCTGGGGTCCTCAATCGGCCAAGGTTATGATGATAACACACTGTATGGAAGTGGAGGGAGTGCTTCTCTTGCTGAATTACCCCTTACTACCTTAGCAGCATAGCAGCATTGCTTATAACCCAGCTTTCTCATATGAATCCCTTGTGAAAGAATCTTAGGTCATTTCTGCTTTCAGACACATCTTCATGGGGCTTGGCCATGGGTGAAAGCGCTTGAGGCAGACATTTCGCTGTCCTTCCTATCCTCTCTTCTCCTCTAATGCTGGCAAGCTCTCTCGCTCTCTGCTAAAATGCCCCCATTTAAATCAACTCATTCAAATCTACCTTGGCTGAATCATAGTAGGAACACAGTGTGGGACCAAACTGTTCCCTCCTACTTTCAGAAACAGACATGCATTTTAATGACAGATATGAGCATTCATATTTTAACTGTTCTATTCTGAAACCTTACCACAATTAATTTCATTCGACCAACACTTAATAAGCTATTGAGTATAAGGAACTAATGACAAAATTAAATTTTTAATGACCTGATTATACCATTTACTAATTTACTAATTTTACTAGCATTCGAGTCAAGTCTTTCAAAATTCACAAAAGTGAATTTTTATTTTGATGTAACTTATTAGTTTTTCAATTGTTGTATAAAAAGCTGAAAGCAGAACGCAAATAACATCATGATTTCATCAGGTATATTCCTAAACCATTTTTTAGAGTAGATATAATTCTCTAGAAGTCTTTGGTTGGTCCATTCTGCTCTATAATGGGAAAGAGAAATGAATGAAATGGCTCATAATTGCCTAGATTCTGGATACATATTATGGCAGAAATTATTTTTAGAGGAGCATAGAAACATTGAAGGAAACAATTCATCATCAGAAGTGTAGATGGATTATAGTATACAGTTGTAATTATTACTCAGGATTTTAGGGCAATTTTTCCCAATCAGGGTTAACCTCCCACAGGTTTTGAATTTGTGTCTAACAGTCCACTTATATTATTTCTTGGTTGATGGATTAGCTGCATTATGGCAAAGCTGGCTGCAAAACAAGTTTCTCTAAAATACTTTATACTTTCCAGTTAATAACAAAAGGAAAGGGAAAAGAGAAAGAGGCAGTTGGGAGAATTAGTAACAGGCTAAATTTAGACCTTTTAATGAGAAAAATTCTTCTACTATGAAAAAATTCCAACCACTGGTACTCTTAGAGCAATATGTATTTTTTTAATAGTGTGTTCTCAATTTCAGCATTACCGTTCTGCTCTTTTCTTCTTGCCCTTCAAGAAATTCCCTTGAAATTTCAGGTTGTGTAAAACAAGCTAGTTCTTGATCGGATCAGACCTGTATGTTTGAGTCTGTGTACTGAGCCTGCTAAACACCAAAGACATCTGTGTTCACTTCTTTTTCAAAGAAAATAGTGCTGAAAACATACATAACTGAAGGGAGTAGAAAAATGTAAACATTGATGGGTCCAATTTAGAGGCAGATAGACCTCGATTCCAGACCTAGCATTGCCACTTTCATACCTGTCTAAGTCTCACCTTCCTGTAAAATGAGAAGTAACAATTGTACCTACCTCTTTGGTTTATTGAGGAGATTAACAAGTGTAATAGCACAGGGATATTTAGTTAGCTGCCTAGTATATGGTAAGAGCTCCATAAATATTAGCTATTAGCAAGAGGTAATAATAGTAGAAGAAAAATACAAAATATATAGCAGTATATTAAAATATCAAGATGATACACTGCATTGGTTATCTGAATCCAACATGAGAGAAAATACAGTTGATTTTATTCCAACTTTATGTTAAACCATTAAATGTAAAAATTATGTAATTAGTCCTGCCTAATCTTTATTTAATTCAGGGAAAGTTCAATGTGAGTTACATTTTTCAGAAGTCTCTCTAACTATTTTGAAGAATACACTTAATTGGCACCATTAATTGGGATCATCAATTAGGATAGTTGCCGATGATAAAATGCATCATCCTGTATCACTTACTTAGATTTGGAGCTTCAGAAAACTGGCATTTTTAGTTCGGTTATTTGTAGCCCTTTAGTGTATTTTTATAAGAATGCCTTGACACTAATATTCTCTGATGATTATCCTGTTTCTCTTCCGTGTTTCTTATTTTTAAAAATCAATTAATGAACAATTGAACTGAGCTTTTAAAAACCTTCTAGCATAGTGATTCTCAGCGGGGCAAGGGCAGTTATCAGAGTATGTGTTGTGTGTGTATATTTGCATGTGTGAATGTACACACATATGTATGGGCATGTCGTTTTTATTCAGTTTTGTGATTTTTTTGTTTGGAAAATACTTTATTGAAATACAAACTATAGAAAAGAGCCTTTTAAAATTTCCTGAGCTGGTGAATATAGGTTTTTTAAAAGTTGAGAACAAACTTTCTAACAAATTAAGCCATTTATACTTGCTAGCATTCAGAATTAAATGATTTGATTTGTTATCAACATAGAAATATTACAAATAAAATATAATCTATCCAGTGTTCATTGTAATATTTACTTTTGAAAGGTTCTGCTCTTCAGAATATTAGAATTCTAACGGATGTGTGATAGCCAAGTGATTTTCAACTTGATTTAATTCTGAAAGACATACAATCTAAAGTTGAATAAATATTCAATAGCTAGATATTACAGAAAATTTGAACAACAATTTTTAAAACACTACTGTGGAACAGGCAGCATCTTCCTGCTAGAGGGAAGAATGTACAGCTCTGGGTCAGCTGGTTGCTGAGAGAGGAACACTTACTTAACTATGACTCGTGTATCTTAAGAGATTGAGAATCAGGAAGTGTGGACATCAGTATTTTGTGACCTTGCCATTTCATTACAAGCAAGAAAAAGAAGAGGCACTTAGGGGAAGTGACGGCCACTGCCAACTTTTTGTTTCCTATTCAAACAAGGAACATTTAGGCATCTCCAAAATATTCTGGTACAATGCTAGAAAAACATTCTGTATGCAGCAAGTGCCTCTTCTCAGCCCATCTATTTTTATGGTTGCTGGTGAGAAACTTCATAGCTATCTCCCTAAAAATTAAGAGGCTTTTAATTGAGGTGCTGATCTATAAACACAACTATAAAGAAAGCTTCACAATATCCATAAAAAGCCCCTGGCTTGGTGGTTATTTTGTTACTAAACTGTGTATTTGGCTTCTCCTCAAGAAGAAATGTGTGAGTGGTTTTATATACTTGAGCCCCTCTCTACAGATTCTAAGTACATAAAAGTACATTTATAGATTATACTGTAAGTAATTTCTTTCCCTTCAAGGGGATATTATATACAAAGATCATGCCATCTGAAGCATTAGCCATTTTGGATTACTTTTTACATTTTCCCTTGTTGAAATAGCTAAGTAAAAGTTCCACTAAGGTCCAATTACACTTAGCAAATATGTTTTATCTATTGTATGCCAGGTACTTGGCTTCTTCTCACCAAGTCATGAGATTCTATAATAACTCCTTCATATCCAGTTGTCCCTACTGTTAATGTCTTAGTTTCCACCCTCTTACTTCTTGAATTATGGCACTATTTCCCACCTGGGCCTTTCTGCCTACCAGAGTTTGCCAGTAAGCCCATATTTTTCCATTTTGTTAGAGTGGTTGTTCTAAATGCAAATATGATCCTGTCACCTCCTCACTCCTATTGCTCAGTGTCATCCATGGATGTCTCATTGTTTTTGAGTTAAAGTCCAAATGCATCCCTTTCTTTCTTTTTCTTTTTGAGATGGGGCCTCACTCTGTTTCCAGGCTGGAGTGCAGTGGTGCAATCACCGCTCACTGAAGCCTCAACCTCCCAGACTCAGATGATCCATCCATCTCAGCCTCCCAGGTAGCTGAGACTACAGGCACGTGTCAACACACCCAGCTAATTTTTGTAATTTTGTTGAGATAGGGTCTCATTATGTTGCCCAGGTTGATCTCAAGCTCCTGGGCTCAAGCAATCTGCCCATCTCAGACTCCCAAAGTGCTGGGATTACAGGTGTGAGCCACTGCGCCCAGCCAAATGCATCCCTTTCCTTTCTCCAATCCTCATTTCTTGAATCCCTCAATATGCAACTGTGCTTCAGTCATACTCAACCATGCTGCTCCATGCTTCCCTGTATTTGCAAGTTTTGCCCTCTCTGCTTGGAAGTCCTTTCCTTTTTCTCCGATGCCACCCATGCTTCAAACATCTATCTCTCCATGAAGCCCTTTGTGACCCACCAAGCAGAAATCACCGCTTTGTGTTTCCAATGTACCTAGGACATACATTTAAATGTGTGTGTGTACATATGTGTGTGTGCAGATGCATATTAGCTTTATTGAAATATTCACAGATCATAAAATTCACTCATTTAATAATACATACAAATCAACGGTCTTTAGTATGTTTACAGAGTTCTGCAACCATCATCACAATTAATTTTAAAACATTTTCATTACCCCCTAAAACTCCCAGTACCCACTAGCAGTCACTCCTTATTTCTCCTCAACCCACACCCACCATAGCTCTAGGTAGCTACTAATCTGCTTCCTGTCTCTATAGACTTGCCTATTCTGGACATTTCATATAAATGGAATCATACCATGTGTGACTTTTTGTGGCTGGTTTCCTCACTTAGAATAATGTTTGCAAGGTTTATCATGTTGTAGCATACCTCAGTACTTTGTCCTTTTTTATTGCCAAATAATATTCCCTTATATATACATGCCGGCATTATATGAATATGCCCTCATTTTGTTTACCTATTTATCAGCTGATAGACATTTGGGACATTTGGGTTCTTTCCATTCTTTGTTTATTATAAATAATGCTGCTATGAACATTTATGTGCAAGTTTTTCTAAAGACACGTGTTTTCATTCCTTTTGCGTAGACAGCTAGGAGTGGATTTGCTGGGTCATATGGTAACTCTATGTTTAACATTTTGAGGATCGTCTTTTTTTTTTTTTTTTTTTTGAGATGGAGTGTCGCTCTGTCACCCAGGCTGGAGTGCAGTGGTGCAATATTGGCTCACTACAACCTCCACCTCCTGGGTTCAAGTGATTCTTCTGCCTCAGCCTCCCAAGTAGCTAGGACTACAGGCACACACCACCACGCCCAGCTAATTTTTGTATTTTTAGTACAGACAGGGTTTCATCATGTTGGCCAGGATGGTCTTGATCTCCTGACCTCGTGATCCACTCACCTTGGCCTCCCAAAGTGCTGGGATTACAGGTATGAGCCATTGCACCTGGCCAAGGATTGTCTTCTAAAGTGACTGAACAACTCTACATCCATCAGTAATGTATGGGGGTTGCAATTTTTCCACATCCTTGCTAAACTTGTAGTGGTCAGTCTTTTTTTATTCTAACCATTCTAGCAGGTGTGAGGTGGTAGCTCATCGTGGTTTTCATGTGCATTTCCCTGAATGATGTTGAGCATCTTTTTGTGCACTTATTGGGCATTTATATATCTTCTTTGGAGAAATGTCTGCTTACATCATTTAACCATTGTTTTTAAAGTGAGTTATTTGTCTTCCTATTATTGAGTATGTGAAGTCTTTACGTTTTCTAGGTGCAAGTTCCTTAGATGCAAGTTCCTTAGATACAGGATTTGCAACATTTTTCTCCTATTTTATGGGTTGTCTTTTCATCTTCTTGATAGTGTGCTTTGAAGCTTGAAAGATTTTAGTTTGGATAAAATTTAATTGATCTATTTCTGTCTTTTGTTGCATCTGCATTTTGGTGTCATATCTAAGAAACCATTGCTTAGCCCAGGTCATAAAGATTTACTCTTATTTATTGCCTAAGAATTTTATAATTTTAGCTCTTAAATTTATGTATTTTATTCCTGTTGAGTTAATTTTTGTACATGGTGTAAGTTAATGGTCCGATTCTATTTATTTTCATGTGTGTGTAGTACATATCTTTTAATTTTTTTCATTTATTATACTATATTGCAATTAACCATTTAGTCTTCCCAATTATAATAAGACAGAAACATGCCTTACCTACTATCATATACCTAGCACAGTGTTTGGTATGTAGTAAGTGTTCTATAAATATTTGTTAAATGGAGTTGAACTAAATGGAAAATATTGACTTTTCCTCCATTATTAAAAACAACAGATAATTTTTATTGAGATATGTAATTATTTAAATTTTAGTATGATAATGTTTTACAAGAATATGTCCACTTTATGAACATAAGGATTTCCAAACTCGGTCAGATCTATAATCCATCTAGATATATTTTGTTTACTGTCAGGGAAGAAGAAGAGCTATATTATGGAGTGTTTAATTCTTCTCCATAATTTTGACATCATTGATAAAAAATATATCCTCTGAATTATTAATGTCTCTATGCAATTCTTTGTTTACTTAATGTGGCAGATTATATTTTTTAAAGATAGGTCCAAAAGAATCTCCTATCCCAACTACTCTTCTAAAACTTTGCAATTTCCTCATTAAGAACTGTAGTCTGTATGTCTTCCTCCTCTTGCAACTGGTTGGTCTCTGTGACTGCTTTTGAACAATATGAAAAATAGAATGTGGTGAAGGTAATAACCTGTGACTTTCAAGGTTAGAACATGAAAAATGCCATGCACTTTTATCTGATTCTCTTTGAATTCTTGGTCTTGGAACCCAAACATCATACTGTCAGGAAGACCAAGAAGCCTGGGAAGAGGCCTACATGGAGGAAGACAGAAGCTTCTGGCCTTTGGCCCTGGAGGAACTCCCAGCCAACAGACAGCACCAAATCGCCAATCATATGAGAAAGTTATCATGAACGTGGATTCTCCACCGCTAGTCAAGCCACCCCAGGTGATATCACAATGAATTGAAACAAGTTGTCCCTGTTAAGCCCTGCCTGAATTGTGAATTCATGAACGAAATGAATGATTGCTGTTGCTTCAAGACACTAAGCTTTCAGGATACTTTATGTGCGCATAGATATCTGTGACAAATTTTGGTATCTAGAAGTAGGATGCTGCCATAACAAAACCCTATATTTGGGCATTGGCTTTGGGCCTGGACTGTGGGAAGCAGCTGGAAGGGCTTTGAAGAGATGCTTAGTGAAAACCAAAGGCTCTCAAGTAGACTGCTAGTGGAAACCTGAAAGACCTTGAGGAGGCTCTCAGTGAAGGTTTAAAGGAAAGTGAGGACAATGGTATTGGAAGCTAAAGGAATGGGAAGCCTTGTTGGATGACGGCACAGAGTTTGCCAACATAATCATCTGTGTTAATGTGGCAAAGTGGAAATATACCTGCTAAACTCAATGATCTAGTTAAGATTTCCAGGCAGAATATTCAAAATGCCACCTGATTTTTTTTTCATCACCTATGATAAAATGTGAGACAAGAGAGATGAGCTAAAAATAACCTTTAAATATAAAAGAGTCAGAACTTGCCAGGTTTGAAATAAAATTGTGTCTTATGCCCTGATCCTCTAAAAACAATTACTAAATTAAAAATGGCTCTGGAAAAGATAAAATCAAGGGTGGATCCATAAGATTCTTTGTTAGTACTTAAGAAAGATTTAAGAGAGTGGCTCACAAAACATTTCAAACAGAAAAAGGTATTTTTATGGATCTTAAGGCCTGCCTGGCCATCTCTTCTCTGTTAAATAATTGGGTGCTCAAGTGCCCAAGACTCCTAAGGATATATTCCCATAGGAGTCTCAAGAAAACCCCAAATAGATAAGGGCTTATCTTGAAGAGCTTTGCAAATTTGGTTTTTGTCTAACGGAGTTGGTTATCAATTGATACACAGAAATCTACAAGGATTTTTAAAGAATGTATTAACTTGAGCTGAAGGTAGAGGAAACAATATAAAACAAAGAAGGCTTTGGATCTTCAAATGTTTAGAGTTTGGAAGCAGGCCTTCTCACACTACTGTTTTGTAGCATCAGATTATGCATTGCCTTGCTTGGGTAAATCATTCTCCTGTATGTGTCTTAAATCTTCATGTTTCTGTCTTCAAAGGGCATTTCATATTTCTAATATGACTGGGATTTGAGGAACAAGATGTTGTTTCCAATCCATCACTTTAGGAGGTTTTAAGGGCTTCAAATAAACTATCACTCTGACTCAGAAAAACACTAGACATTTTTTTCTTTCAGAATGAGGTCTCTTCCAACCCACTACCTATTATCAACATCCCTTTTACAGTTTATGATCCCCTTGTATCTATTTTCTGGCTTTATTTTCTATTTCTTAAAATGCATCAGCCAGGACTACATCTAATGCCTCAGAACAGATGTATGTTGCTTTTGCCAGATAAGAACAATGTTATATGTTTGTTTACCACAGTAGTACTCTTTTTGATGATCATGGAGATTATATTGTTTTACTAAATATGGTATAGTTGGAAGATTACATAAGTATCTTTGGCCATAAATCTCAGAACAAGGAGGTTACCGTTTTAACTGCTTAGATTAGGAACAGTTCAAGGATTATTGGAAATAAAGTAGGAAGCACATATCTTACCAAATGTGGTTGGTAGAAACAGTAAATATTGGCAGAATCCTGTTTGAATAGTGATGAAGGATTATTCTGTGTTTTCTATTATTCACTTCAATGATGTTGAATTTGAGGAGGTGAAGTGGAGCCTAAATACATCTGGAAGATTTCCTTTTGCATTTGGCATTTGGGGACTGGAAGATGGTGTTGCAACAGGTACATATTTGGAATTGTCTCAGACCTTGTGTGAAGTATGTCTCTCCCTGTTCAGTATGCATTTGGAGTGTCAAGAGTAACTAAGTACCAGTTGAGCTACATTCCTCATGAAACAATCTTATTATGGCAAACCCAAAGACCTTAGCCCTGGTGATAATTTCCAGAGTGAAGTGTTCACAAGATGAAATGGAAAAACATCAGCAGCCCATCTTTTTCTTTGTCATCTTTGTTTATGAAAGCCTAAAAATGTGAATGAGCTTTCCTTGTTTGTGTTTCCCAAGCTTAATAAGGACATACATGGAATTTGTCAATGTGAATTAACAATTCTATTCATGTTCTATACAAGTGGCTTTCTACTGTTTGAACAACCAGTCCCTTTTGCTGGATTTAAAGTTATTTACTTACAAAGAAACAAACTCAATTTGCTCCAATTATTAACTAAAGACCTAATGTTGATTTATGGTGCAATCTCACTTTTTAGTTCCTTATCATTTAATTAGTCTACTTTTGTACCGAATAACAGAGGGAACGTCAGGTCTTCATTTCTGATTTACTATAGCAGGATAACTTTTTTCATGCTGGTTTATGTTTGTTTTCCTAGTATTTTGCTCACTCTATTTAGAAGAAAAAGGCCAAGCCTTACAATCGCTTGCCTCAGGGTTGTGATGCAGGACTGATTTTCCAATATCAAAGGAAAATAGGCTGCTATCCTAGACTAGGCGCTCCACAGTACTCCACTCTGACCTTCGCCTTTTAACTGTTATTTGAGAAAAACCACCACTGCCAGCACCACCAGACAGCAACAACAACCTTAATATGTCAGGGTCCCTGGAGAACCGGGTATGGTACAGGCTGGGTATTCTCAGATGAGACACTCGCTGTTCAACTCAGATTACTCTTAGAGAAAAAGAACTTCCTGTAGAGAGAAGAACACACACCCTTTGTATAAGATAGTTCTCAGGGAGATGAAGGGACAAACTTTTGTGAACTTCAAAGTTCATTTAAAAGTAAACAATCTAATAGAACTTCCTGTCACTGGATTAGAAGGAAGTTAGGGACTTTAGACAAAAGACAAGGGACAAAAGAATTTAGGGGATTTCTTAAATTTGTAGTTTTCCCATGTTTGTTTGTTTTTTAATGTTCTTAATGTTCTTCTGCTTTCCCAAAATGATCATCAGTGATAAACATACATCAAAAAAGATATGTGCACAGCATCCTCCCCCTTATGCCTGGGACATATGATCCAAGAGGTTTTGAAGATGCCTGAAATCCCAGATAGTACTGAGCCCCCTATACGCTATGCTTTTTCCTATACTTAGATAACTATGTTAAAGTTTAGTTTACAAATTAGGTAAGTAAGAGGTTAACAATGATAACTAATAATAAAATAGAACAATTGTACCAATATACTACAATAAAAGTTATGTGAATAGGATCTCTCTCCCAAATATCTTACTGTACTCAACATTCTTGTGATGACGTGAGATGACAAATGCCTACGTGATGAGATGAAATGAGATGAATGATGTAGGCACTCTGATGTAGAGGTAGGCTACATTTGGATCATCTGCTTTTGGGTGATCTTGCATCATGGAGCCATGACATTGTCGATGGTTGGATGTCAGGAGCAGATAACGTCAATGACTAATGGGCAGGCGGCACGTACAGCGTGGATACTCTGTGCAAAGGGGTGGTTCACATAGCGGGCAGGACAGAGAGAGACATCCTGAGATTTCCCCATGCTCCTCAGAATGGCACACAATTTAACACTTGTTAATTATTTCTGGAGTTTTCCATTTAATAGTTTTGAATCGGCATTTACCACAGGTAACTCAAATTGCAAAGAACGAAATCATGGATGAGGGGTCAGGGGTGGGCTACAGTACTTTTCTCGGGGATCAGGTAGTGAAACTGTGCCCAGTGTTTAGACACTCTTGGGGGAAAAGTCCAAAGAATGTTGTAAAAAGAGGGACTCTCATCTGGTGAAAATTTGTTGATCCCATGCTGTTTGACTGATCCTACAACACAAATGAGGTGGGTATTTAATTCATTCAATGTGAATTGAATGTGCAGAAATGAAATTTTTTTATTTCCCTAAAACTGATGCTCATCATGTCCATTTGTATTTGGTGCTTATCAAAGTATAAATTTCAAAAAATTAAAAACACGATTCAAATATAAAATCAACAAATGTCAAAGACTGAATTAATAATCGAGGAAACTAGAGGGATAGTAAAGCTAATTGCAAAATGCACAGGACAAGCAGAAATATTACAGTACTTGGAAAAAATACTGAAATAAGATGATTACATTAAAATTTAAAACATTGGGTTTTACTCTTTTCTATCAGAACTTATTTATATCTCTACAGAGCAAAATTAATTTGAAATGTTATTGAACAAAAATTATTTGAATTTCTGTCAGCTTTCTACAAATCAACATTTCCTTTTTTAGAATTGTAATATACTTTAATTAATAGAAAACAGTAAGTTGAAAGAAAGCTATATACCCTTAGAGAATCAACCTGTTGTCTGTTTTCAACTTTGGGATTTTCCCTTTTAATGTGCTGATGTAATTAATTATATTTTCCCTCAAACTGGGAAGTACAGGGTAATTTCTTCTGATTTATAATTCCAATAAGGTGGTACATTGTAATATCAATTATTTTGACATTTATTTCATGCAAAATGTGAACCAGTATTGATTTAAAAAAATTTTAAGTGCATTCAGAAGTCTTAAAATAAAATGGTTAATGAAACTAAAGGCTTAATGAATTTTAAATACAAAGTGTATGAATATATTATAAAATATAATTTAAATCATGATTTATAAAAATATAAATGCCAAACACTATCATTTTATTATAAACCAACAAAAAATTTAGAAAAACAAAGTATTAAATCAAATACTCTAAAAGTGCTAAAAGTTTAATTAATCATAAGAAATAACATTATTCAATTTTAAATTACAAAAGAAAACAATATCTGTGAATGGTGATGTGGTTAAGTGACAAGGTTACTTTTGTGTAAATTGTTCCAGATGCTGAAAAACGCTTTTTGACTTTAGTCAGAATAGTGTGACCTCTAACTCCAATTTGAGTATTGTGGAGGTGTAAAAGAGATGCTTTCTAAATGAGGACACCATTGTTTCATGTAAGGTTTTGAAGTGGTGCAACTACTCTCCAGGAATGTCTCAAGATGTAATAATGTAAGATGTAAATAATACCAGTTCTACTGCCTACCCTTCAACTCTGGCTACTTTAAAGACTTTCTTCCTAATATAGTAGTTCCCCCTTATCCTGGAGGGATATATTCCAAGACTCCTAGTAGATGCCTAAAATTGTGAATAGGTAGGAACCTGATTGCTGTCAGTCAGAACACATTTCTGTTCATGTCTTCTGCACACACATTTCATGTCTTTTCCAACTTAACTAAACACTTATCACACACTGTGGTAACAACTTTCACAATTTGAAGTGAGACAGCAAAATGAGCACAAATTTCTTTTTTCTTCCCACTTTCATGGACAGAAGATTCATTTTTAATGTAGATCTTAGCAACTTCAGCATATATTTTTTGCCTTTTTTTTAAAGTCAAGAACTTTCACCTTTTCACTTAAAGGATGCACTTTATGGCTCCTCTTTGGCATATCCAATAGCCAGCATCACTACTCTTGTACTTTGGAGCCATTATTAAGTAAAATAAGGGTTACTGGAACACAAGCACTGTGATAGGTCTTCTGTATTTAAATAAGCCCTATGCCATTTCCATTATATGGTGCCCACCCTCATCTAGTATGGAATACTCTTTGAGGCTGCTTCCAATTAGAATTCCAGGCCCAGAGTGAAAAAAAGCTGTTTCTGCCCATAGTTCAGAGATATTTGGGCATTTTTGTCATGCAGCTTACTGTCCAACCCACCCTTCTCCCTACCTGAGTTGGAAGCAGGGCAGGGGCCTCTCTGTAAACTCACCTATGACTCACTTACCTGCTCTGCTTATTTTCAAGATTCTTTTCATACCAAAGAAGGTTTGTTATTTTTTTGTTTCCTTTTTTTGGGCTGGAAGACTGTTCTCATGTCATTTCCTGTATCATTTATATTTAAAGATTTTTAGTAAAATGATTTTCTCAGCCTTCCAGGTTTTGTTTCTTGATATTGAAAGGAAAAATTACAGAATTTTTAAAACAAAAAAAAAAAAAACAAAACAAACTCTGTATTTCTATCTCTTGCTTGCCTCTTGAAATTGAAAATAAATTTAAGAATTTTCTTGCTGAAACTAATTTGAGGGGTCTGTTTTTGAAAGCGAAAAGCCAAACTCTAAAAACTTTATATATTCTAACTATAATAATCTTATTCTTCCCGAAGTAATGAATATCTCTAATTGAATAGGGATAAGATTTTAAAAAGATACAAGGAAGTGCCAAAAAGAAAAGCATAGTAACGTATTCAAAAGTATTACCTCACTACACAAATAGAATACAAGATTTTCTACTGACACATAAAAAAAAAAAAGAACTAGGTAACCACAAAGAATTGTTTTAAAATAGCAGTATTGAGTTCTAAGCTACTTTTCTCTCTTTTCCTTGTCCATGGAACTGCTAGAACTCAGATGTTGAAGTCATTTTCTTCCTTGGCAGAGTTTCTGGTATGGATTCCTTATAGCTAGTGTGCATTTGCTGCTCCCCCTCACTCCACTGGTCTCTGGATTGCTGCCTGTCTACCATCTTCTATATCATACCTTGGAGTGTCATGTTGGGGTTTGCTGAGATCCCTCCATCTCTCGAAGTCCCAGGGTGTGCTTGGGCTCTTCTAGCAAATAATACTTCCCAGTAGTATTTTTGTGTGTGTGTGGTTTCTGTGTAGAGCAGTCTTTTTCATTTGCTCAGATTCTATTAATAATCCCATGTGTCATAAGCGTTTTGTATCCTTTTTAATTTTTTGAGAAATTAGAGTAATATTCCTCATAGGCAGAGTCAGAGGACAATTCATATGGCATTTGATTGAGTCACCTCAAAGTATCACCTTGTACTGCAAAATCAACCAGTTTCCTATGTGTCAATGGAAACATCTGGATGTTCCTTTCCTGGAGCTTTGTTTTATTTTGTTTTCTTTCTTTCTTTCTTTCTTTCTTTCTTTCTTTCTTTCTTTCTTTCTTTCTTTCTTTCTTTCTTTCTTCCTTTCTTTCCTTCTTTCTTTCCTTCTTTCTTTCTGTTTTTTTTGACATGTTCTCTAGTTCATTGCAATCTTGAACTCCTGGGTTCAAAGGATCATCCAGCCTCAGCCTCTGAAATAGCTGGGACTACAGGCGCACCACTGTGCTTGTCTAATTTTGTTTTGTTTTGTTTTTTAATAGAGATGGAGTCTCGCCATTTTGAGCAGGCTGATTTTGAACTCCTGGACTCAAGCGACCCTCCCTCCTTGGCTTCCCAAAGTGCTGGGATTATAGGTGTAAGCTACCAAACCTGGCTACTGGAGTTTTGTAGATATCTGGCATATTCTCTGAGAGGCATTGGTGTTGCCTTTATCCTCTTGTTTTTGGAGTTTTAGTTCTTGATTCCCTTTTTCCTCTGGAGTCCATTTACAACTTCTTCTTGGGGACCATCAGAATCTTTCTCAAATATACCCACTGACATTTTGTCCTGACATGTTAGAATTTTGGGTGAATATACAAATTAGGAATTTCTGGAATCCAACTCAAGCTGGTTAAATGACAGAGGGATTTATTGGCCCATAATTGGAAGCTGACATGTAAGTTGGCTCCAGGGTTGGCTTGAGTCAGCTACTCAACAGTTTCCTTTTATCTCCTCTCTGCCTCTGGCAGGGTCAGCTTCTTCTGAAGCTGGCTCTACTTTGTAGTCACAAAATAGTTGTGTCAACTCTCATAGCAATGTGGAGAAGCACATCTATGGAGGAAGAAGCTTACATTCATGGCAGAAGGTGAATGGGGAGCAGGCATGTCTTACACGGCAGCAGCAGGAGCAAGAGAGTGAGTCGGGAGGTGCTACACATTTTTAAAGGATCATATCTCAGGAAAACT
The DNA here is from genome assembly GCF_000001405.40 of Homo sapiens. Taxonomy (NCBI): domain Eukaryota; kingdom Metazoa; phylum Chordata; class Mammalia; order Primates; family Hominidae; genus Homo; species Homo sapiens. The sequence continues at coordinate 181,949,544 of NC_000002.12, forward strand.
CACTGTTCAGTGCAAGGACAGTATCATGGGGGATGGTGCTAAACCATTCATGAGAAATCTGCCCCCATGATCCAATCACTTCCCACCAGACCCCACCTCCAACATTGGAGATACAATTCAACATGAGATTTGGGTGGTGACACATATGCAAACCCTATCATATGACCTTTGTGTCAGGGACTAGCATATGTGCTAAAGATTCTACATACGTATTTCTGAAATGGTTCAGGGTGTCTGCCCAGCCTATTACTGCCTTTCTTTGAGAGTTTCCCTTACCAGAAGATGGACTTATTATAGCTTGTTTGTTTGATGAAGTTGATTGGATTAAGAATAGTTATTTGGTCCACATTAAGCCAATTATCTTCCCTAGGATTTTTTTTTCACTGTATTTTAAAAATACCGTCTCTAGAAATTTTGAGGTGGGATTCAAACTAGTCAGTTTCTGCTGGTGTGTGGGAGCAGAACAGATATATTCCAAAATAGAACACTAGAAGCTTGGGGTGGCCATTTTTTATATGTGCACAGAGAAACAGGATGGATTGTGAGCAGAGTTAAGGTAGTATTAGGGCCCAAAGAGGCAAAGACAAAGAAAAGCGTCCTTGGTTCCTGATGACTTTCACATTCATGGTTCAGCTGCACCTTGGGCCCATTATCTGTGCAATAGGTTTTTCAAATGAGGCACAAAGATAAAGAACAATATAATAGATTCCAAGGAATAATTATCTCTCCCTACCCAATGCCTCATAAGCTAAAGTGGGGTGCTAGACTGCCTGTGCATGATTTGCTAAGGGATAATCAAGATGGTTCTGTCAGCATGGTCATGTACCCCAGCTAGTATAACAGGGAAAACTTGGAGAACAGAGGTTTTTGTGTGAACTTTGAATGGTCTCCTCTGCCCCTCCTCATGGAAATAGCAGGATGCTTTATCTAAGCTCAAGCCAATGTGTAGGGCTTCATGGGGACTGTGAGGAGATTTTGATATCTGTATCCTGGAGATTAATGGACATAGTCAGTAGTGTTTAACTTAAGTCTGAAAAGTCTAAAGTCAAGGGATATAAAAGGAATCCACTGGGGCACTGGGAGTAGGCTGCACTTCCACTCAAATTGGCTCCTGGTTAAAAAAAAAAAAAAAGAAAGAGAGACCCTCTCCTCCCCTAACCCTGCAAAAGAGAGTTGACCTGGGGTTATCTTAAAACAGAAACTCTTAAATGACTACCTCAGTGGGTTGTATACATGAAAAAATGGTGTGTTACTGGGTGCTCAAAATGGAGCTATCCAGAAGAAGGCATTGCCAAGGTCAAAGAAACTACATTGCAGATCTTGAGTGAGAAGCTCTGAAGAAGCAACAAAAGTGTCCAACCAAGAAAGACTCAGCAATGCATCTGCTGTCCAGAGAGCATGAAAGCCACATTTTATCAGCTGCATAACCCAGCTCCTTCCTCTGGTCCCTCTTTCCTTAGTCTGACTTTGGAGAAGCCAGAGCCGTGGCTTACACAGTGTGGGAGGAGGCAGAGTTAGGAACTTCTTAAGAAACCAGCCACATCCCCACCCCACCTTCAGCCTCCATTCTGGGAATGAGGAAAGCTTGACACTGAATAAGAATTTAGATATTCTATTTCTTTACTGAACTGAACTCTAGCTTGGGTATTATTAGAGTAGCTGATATGTTTAATGCCAAAACATTACCTAAGAATGAATACACCAACTATGGACTTTATCTATAGTTTTATCTTTAATAGTGAGAAATAATACATCATTTTCTTTTCACATTTTATCACTGATGGAGGTATCACATAATCATATTAATGTATCTGCAGGATAGATGTTATCTTAGTAGGAATTATTTTCTTCCCTCTGTAATTAAGGAAACTGAAGCTCACAGAGTTTAAGTAAGTTTCCTAAGGTCCCACAACCAACAGTCAAAAGAACAAGGCTATGAAACATGAATGTTTCAGTCAAACAGTCATTCCCTTCCTGCACGCTGCACTGAACCTCAAGGACCAACAAAGAACTTGAGAATTCAAAGTGGGCAAGATTTTATCTAATTTGGGGAAACAAGGAGTGTTCATGCAAGGGGAATGGTTCATGAAATGGACTTTCAGGATGAATAGGTTTTTAGCAAACAGAGATGAGAGGAAAATAATTCTAGGACAGAAGTGACTAAACTAAGAAACTGAGGCTGGATAGGGTGTAGTCTACAAACTGTGGTAGTCTAATCTGGATACGTATAAGGTCGAGGAAGGGTTAGGGAAAGAGAAGTCTGGAAACACTGTGGGGCAATAGAATGGTAATTCTTTACTTTTTACCTTACTCCCTCTTCTGCAACTGCCTCTTATTCTTTGAGAAAAAAAGGAAGATATACTTTTCATATGATTTGGAAAGCAGAGATTATGTGCTAACATCTCACTTGGTATAGGGAAAAACTGCAAGAATTTTTTAGAGAGGTGGACCTAGTTTCAAATCCATTACTACTATAAGAATATACTATTTCTGAAACTCAATTTCCTTGTCTGTAGAGCAAAAAAATTACTCCATAGTACCACAGTGGAGGATAAATAAAATAAGATGAATATGATACACAATTATAAAATAACTGTGTGACCTTAAGCAAATTACAAATGTCATGTCTCTGTTCCTCAGTTTGCCCACCCCATTGTGTTGTCAATGACATGTTATATCACTGTTTGAAGGACTTTACAGCAAAAAAAGGTATTCTTATAAATGCTCAGTAGATGTCAAGCTTAATTTTGTATGTGTCCAAAATTAAACCTTTACATTTTAGTTACATAAAAAGGTCCTTTAAGTGAGGGTAAGAGAACATTTAAACTGAAAGTTATATATACTAGGCCTGAAATTTTTAATGGCCTTATTTAAAATGAATATAAAGGTACTTAAGGAAGGTAGCAGTTGTAGGCTTTCTTTTCTTAGGAAATCAATACTCATAAAACTCAAGGTTGGAAATGAGAATTAAAAACCACAGTGAGTTTATTTTAAAACATGTAGTCTGTCATCTTTATTTTCCCTTTGGATTACATAGTGTTTATACCCTGAGGTCTATTTATGTTGCTGCAACTCTTTCACTGACTTTGAAGTGAACTTTGTATGGTGCTAGAATCAGAGCACTAGGGCTTAGAGATCATGTATTCCAACCCTCTCATTTAAAAAGAGTAAATTAAGGTAAGAGAGTAAAGCGAATTTCCCTGATATCTTTGTTTCCTCTGAGATGTAAAAATCTCTGTTGTTCTTAACCACCAGGCTAAGTTCAGTGACAGCAAGAGTCATCCTAGTTCAGCCCCTAACATGGCCCCTGATCCTCCCCTTAACCTAGACAGTGCCTGGCACTTAGCAGACACTCCACTTATAGTTCTGGAAAAAAAGCACTTATCTCTGAGCAAAGTCTTTTACTCTCATTAGAAACTCTCTGGCATTCCTGGTATGGCTTAGGAGACTAATCACTGATAATAAATAAATAAATAAATAAATAAATAAATAAATAAATAATAAATTCCTGCTGTTCTTCTCCCAAATACATGCCTCATGGAGTTGCCTGCAGGAGAAAGAGTTCCACAGCAAATCAATACCTGCAATTTAAAGGATTCTACTCTTGCCAGGTGTGATGGCTCATGCTTGTAATCCCAGCACTTTGGGAGGCTGGGGTAGGAGGATTGCTTGGGGCCAGGAATTTGAAACCATCCTGGTCAATATAGCAAGACCCCGTCTTTACAAAAAAATTAAAAATTTAGCTAGGCGTGGTGTTGCCCACCTGTAGTCCCAGCTACTCAGGTGGCTGAGGCATGAGGATTGCTTGAGGGATTGCTTGAGCCTGGGAGGTCAAGGCGGAAGTGAGCTGTGATCGCACCACTGTACTCCAGGCTGGGTGACAGGGTGAGAGGCTCTCTCAAAAACAAACAAACACACAAAAACGAGGATTCTATTCTTGTAACTTCAAACCAATAAAAATAAGGATTCTACTCTTATAACTTCTCACCAGCAGATTCATTTAAAACCATTATTTCTTCTGTCCAGAGCATCCTAATACATGCAACTGCTCTCATCCAACTGGCAAGCACACAGATTTACTAGCAAAGTTTAGTACCTGTTGGTCAGAAGACTGCCTATTTCTTCTGGGTATCTCTTCAATGTTCCAGGAAACAAATTTCATTTATTCTTATAAGTCTGACTGTCCCAGACAAAGTTACTGTATGTACAAAAATCTGTGTATTTCTTTTGGTGTGATTCAGATGCAAGCAGAAATGAATTTTATTCATATTGTTATCTTTAAGACTGTGTGGGTTGGAGAAGGATTCATAGACAACAAAACAGGAAAAGATTAAGTCAAACAAAACAACTTAGTGGTTTTGTAATTTTGGAGGCTTTTGTCTGAAGGGAGATAGCTAAAGCTTGACAAAGGCTTCCTATGTGTGAGTAGAAGAGACAGCTCTTTTCCCTCTTCATTGGGGCAAGCACCATAGTAATTAGATTTAAAGGACACCAATAGACTTTTTTATTAGAACCAGATAACTTTCTGGTGTTTCTCAAATGAGAGAAAGGCACCTCCATGGAATGTCTTTCATCCGTTTTCAAATTCTACCAAGCCCAGTTCTTCTGCAAACTTCACCTAATGTATGTGTGATCTACAGCTGTGGTTTACAAACTGAATTCAGGTGGCCAGGCAGGGACCCCTCCCCCCGCGCCCCACTACCCGCTAACCGCCTCCCGCCACACACACACACACACACACACACACACACACCCCGCGCGCGCGCACACACACACACCCCACCCCACCACCCCGACCTCCACATACATTCCCCCGACCCCCTCCAGCAGTGAAGTCTAAGAGCACCGCGAAGTAATTTAAATTTTCGAGGGAAAGCACAGCGCCATCTGTCGGACATCATGCCAATTACTCTTGTTAAGTTCCTACCTGACGGTTACTTTATACTTTGAACTGCTAGGTACTCCTTTTGGCCTAAGGACACAGTGAAAAATGTACCGAGACCTTGGAGAGCCACGAACCAAGAAACTTCAGAAACCTCTGATATCTGATCAAGAGTTAAGAGACGTCAGAATCATCACAACTGACAAAAGGTTAGGAAAAAATTCTAAACATTTCTATTTCCTACAGACTTCCCCATTATATTTTTGGCTGCCTAAACAGAAACAGACTTCCATGATCAGGAGCTGGGCTCTGGCAGTTAACATTTTATTGCCATTTTACTGGTTATGAACTCTTTCTATGATATCTTCGTATCTATATGAATAGATAGGTGATATGTATCAGTATGTATGTGTTTAAAGAGAGATTTTTTTTCCCTAGGCATGTCTCCATACATAAATATTTTTAAAAGTTAAAAACATGGGTTCCATGTTTCGAAATGGCTAGGACAGGAGCTGTGGAGTTCTCAAATCCTAATTGAGGGCTGTCTCAGGGAAAGGTGCTGATACAAAAATCAGTCTCATCCTAGGTGACCTCTGTCAGCTTTATAAGCTCTTTGATGACTTATTATTCCATTTATAAAACAAAGAGAATAATACAGATGTTATTGAGGTTCGTGTTTATAAAATATTCTAAGATGGCCAGATGAAAAGTGTGACTCACAGGAAATGCCAAATCTGAAATAAATCATCCTTCTGAGTCACAACAAATACCTTTCAATGTGATGGAAACTTGATATTTGAAAACTCCCTTGATTAGATTCCTGTTTTCATCAGCTGTACTTTTCCTATGAAATTTGTTTACATATTTCTTTCCTCTTTACCATGCTTTCAAATTGGTTGACATTTATAACTTGAAAGAGGACCATTGAAAAATTACTTAAGGGAGACCAGCACAAATACAATTTTTTTTTCCACCAGGGAAAGGCCATGTGCGTGTGTTTAAATGTAATTATCGTTTCCCTTTTGATTTTTGTCAATCAAGGAAATAGTGTTACTAAAATGTCTGATTGTTTTATCTCATCACTACCAACAAAAACTGTTCCATTACAGTCTGTGAGGCTTTCTATTTTAGAGTGTTTTCTAGGCAATATGTGGTAATTCAAAGAGATCAAAGTAAATGTCTCCACCTCAATTCATACAAGCCTTGATAATAATATATTTTCAAAACTTGTCCATTCTAAAGTAACATTTGTCTACTAAGCCCTTTTTTGGGGGAAATTTAAATTAGTGGGAGGAGCTTATACACTATCTTTTTCATAAATAACACTTTTCTTGATTATTAAGAAGTAAATAAAATGATCTTCAATTCTAGCACACAGAGATAAGCGCCATTGAAATGTTGGTGTGCTTTGGTCTAGTCTTTTGTCTATGCATGTTTTAATATTATATACTTTTTAAATTTTATTAATCTCATTTTGTGTTACAGTTTCTTTTTTATTAAGTTGTGCAGGTTTGTTACATAGGTACACATGTGCCATGGTGGTTTGCTGCACCCATCAACCCATCATCTATGTTAGGTATTTCTCCTAATGCTATCCCTCCCCTATCTCCTCCCCACCTCCCCGCCGCCACCCCTGCCCACAGGCCTGGCGTGTGAGGTTCCCCTCCCTGTGCCCATATGTTCTCACTTTTCAACTCCCACTTATGAGTGAGAACATGTGGTGTTTGGTTTTCTGTTCTTGTGTTAGTTTGCTGAGAATGATGGTTTCCAGCTTCATCCATGTCCTTGCAAAGGACATGAACTCATTCTTTCTTATGGCTGCATAGTATTCCATGGTGTATATGTGCCACATTTTCTTTATCCAGTCTATCATTGATGGGCATTTGGGTTGGTTCCAAGTCTTTGCTATTGTGAACAGTGCTGCAATAAACATACGTGTGCATGTGTCTTTATAGTAGAATGATTTATAATCCTTGGGGTATATACCCAGTAATGGGATTGCTGGGTCAAGTATTTCTAGTTCTAGATCCTTGAGGAATCGCCACACTGTCTGCCACAATGGTTGAACTAATTTACACTCCCACCAACAGTGTAAAAGTATTTCTATTTCTCCACATCCTCTCCAGCATCTGTTATTTCCTGACTTTTTAATGATCGCCATTCTAACTGGTGTGAGATGGTATCTCCTTGTGGTTTTGATTTGCATTTCTCTGATGACCAGTGATCATGAGCATTTTTTCATGTTTTTTTGGCCACATAAATGTCTTCTTTTGAAAAGTATCTGTTCATATCCTTCATGTTACAGTTTCTTTTGGTAATTTTGATTACCATTCACTCCAATTAAGTCAGTCATGTAATATTTAACATATTTTTGCATGTGTTTAAAAAATGGCAATTTCAGATTATTTTAGATACTGTAAGTAAATTGAAATTGTGAAGTATAGATTTAAATGTATTATTTTTGAAATTTCCATCTGAAATGTTACATAATTTTGTTTGTTGAGTCACTCTGTAATTAATTCTAAAGCTCAAACCATGAGCTGTTCACACTGTTAAACCTTAAAATTGATTTGGGACCAGAAAAATTTCATCAGCTGTTTTAATTTAAATAAGTATGCATGTGCTTTGCCACTGGATAATTGTGCTAACTCAGGCCAGGTGCAGTGGTTCACGCCTGTAATCTCACCACTTTGGGAGGCTGAGGTGGGCGGATTATCTGAGGTCAGGAGTTCGAGAACAGCCTGGCCAAAATGATGAAGCTCTGTCTCTACCAAAAATACAAAAATTAGCCAGGCATGGTAGTGCACCCCTGTAATCCCAGCTATTCAGGAGGCTGAGGCAGAATTGCTTGAACCCGGGAGGTGGAGGTTGTGGTAAGCCGAGGTAGCGCCACTGCACTTCAACCTGGGCGACAGAGTGAGACTCTGTCTTAAAAAGAGAAGAAAAAAATTGTGCTAACTCTTATCAAGCAAGCCCTTGAAATTCCACTCAATTCATGAAGCCATCTCAGTTTCTTCTGGGACAGGTAGTAATTTACCCATTCTCAACCATTTAGAAATATTATTAAGTCCCTTTAACTTACTGAATCATAACAGACATTCATTCCATTGTTTATACGTAAAATTACTAAATATTAGTTATTGGGTAGTCCTAGATAAAATTTATGAAGTTAGGGTGTCTTCTTCTCAAAACTGTTTCTGTTTTGAGTATTCTTTATTTTCTTCTTATACCCAAATAATCAAAATCTGATAATTCCCATTGCATACCTTAGGAATCTGTCTCCCATGCCCCACTCAGCTCCCCTTTCCTTGCAAGGCTTGTACTTTGGACTTTTCTGAACACCACGCCTTACCCCATACTCATCAGCCAATGTTGATTCTTCTGGTGGCTGAGGGTCTTGTTGGATGACTGCATTGCTAATCTTGCCATTGCATTTCGCTAAAGTGCAAATAATTGATAAATGATTCATGAGTCATGCCTCCCAGAGTGTGTACTCATTTAATTAATGGAAGGCTTCGAAGGCTTAATTCCTAAGAGGGACTGAGTAATAATGAAAGTAGATTGAAGTATTTTGAAGGGTAGTGAGGGAAAGAAAGCTACACCCGTGTGATAACTGGGTTTCCAATATAGCTGTTTTCAGTCTGATTCTCAGAGGCTGACTTTGATATAAGAACATTTGAGCAGGAGATATGCTAAGGAAGCGCTCCCAAGAAAAATCAGCAGGGGGGCTTAATGGAAGCAGAACAGGGAAGTGGAAGTAGCTAAGCAAGGACTAATTTCAGGTCAACTCCCTTTCTCAGCCCGATCCTGCAGGGAGTTGTGCAAAGGAAATTACATTACTGATTTTGTCCTGGCTTGAGGAAAGGGAGTCATTTTCCATAGCTTGCCCTGTGGTGGCCATAAACTCCCTGGCACTTCCTGCTATAAGTATGGCCAAAAAGGCTGCAGTAAACCAAGGACAGTCCCCTTGGTTTTGAGACTGTGAGCTGTTAGAAGTACAAATACAAAAGCTGGGGATGGGCATAGGAATCATAAGGAGGCTCCATAGGGATGTGGATGAAGCACCATCTGTATATACTGCAATGGCATGAACTTAAGAGGGAACAGAGTGGATGAACAATATCCATGCAGCCATGAGTTGGGCAGTGGGTCCTTCTTCCTGAAGGTAATTACAGCACCAGATCAAGATATAGAATAGAAGTCTTTCTTGTACTCACTTCCCATCAATAGACCCCTTGAAAAGGTAATCAGTACTCTGATTACACTTAGTTTTGCTTGCTTTGTAGCCTTATGTAAATAAATCATACACTATGTACTCTTCTTTGTCTGTCTTTTATATCTGACTTATTGAGATGCATCCACATTGTAGCATCTAGAGGGTGGTCATTCTTTTTCATTGCTGTGGAGTATTCAATTATATAACTGTTTCACTATTTATTCTACTGCTGATGGGTGTTTGGGCTATTTCCAATTTGGGGCTATTATGAGTAATGCTGTTATAAATTTCTTTTAAGTGTATTTTGAGGCACAAATGTTTGCATTTCTGCAAGAAATGTGTAAATACCTGAGAGTAGAGTTGACTGCATAGACTACACATATGTTAAGCGTTAGTATAATAGATATTACCATATAGTTTCCCAAAGTGATTATAGCATTTTAACTCCCACTAGCAGTATATGTGAATTTCAGTTACTCTACATTCTCTACAATACTTGGGAGCCTCAGTCTGTAAATTTTAGTCATTCTAAATGCATAGCTTGTTTTTTAAACTGTCAGTAAATTGAAAACCTACGATTAAGAATTTTGTAGAAATTTCCCTTGATATTAGCAACCTCATTTTGAGAATGCCAATATTAGTAAATAACTACTCTCCCCACACATATGCTAAGTGCTAAATATTATTATTTATTTACTCAACTGATAAACTTGTTTTTTATTTTTAAGCATTTGGATCTGAATCAACAAGATGTCTCTCATATTGTGTATTGTGAGTAATTAATGGTTATGTCTATTTAAATTTGCTTTATACAGAGCAAAGTTTCATGCTACATAACCCATCAACTAGTTAATACATATCTTTAAAAAACATTTTAGGTTGGCTAGTCTTTAGCCTAGAACTTTCTAGCTCCAATTTAAAATTAAGACATTCCAGCAAAATATGTGGGAATATTTTGACATCTGTATGTATGTATATAGTAGGAAATGAGTCATTTTAGTGTCAGCTGAAAAAAAAGCCACATTTTAGGTGTATGAGACTATTTTTAAAAGTTGTAATTTTCTGTAGACTGAAACCTGATAGCAGGTGAGAGAGAGGTAGCTGTCTGTCCATGCATGGACTGTAATTGGAGAAAGCTTTGAGCAGTATGCCTGTCCTCCAGTATCACTGTCACTATACATCATTTTACTAGTATGACTTTAGCTTTTTAAGTGTTTTAGGACTCTGCAGTATCCAGTTAATAATGTTTTTAACTTAGGTAGTAGCCATGCTGCAAAATAAGAAGCCATTGTAGGAGGCTCCAATGATCTAAAAAAAATTAGGCTTTTATTAGATGGCAAATTTGTTCAACCATGTGATTCTTGTGTTAATTTTTCTCCTTATAACTAAAAGAGTCTTACAAAATAAAAGGTAAATATTGCCTCAAAAATTGTGGATACCTGTATAAAGCATCTGCCCTCGATCCTTATCAGCTAACACCTGCTTTATAAATTAATACCTTATCAGAGATTTGTAGAGTTAGCTACAGAGTAAGTCATTAAGACGTGGTGGTTGAAAGAAAGAAAACCAAAAATTATAGTGGAGAACTGTCTAGAGGGAAAGAAGATCTGCTTATAAATTACAGAAAACAACAACAATTTTAAAAATAATAAGTTTTTCACAATTTTTCCAAAGCCTGCCTCTGCTCATTTTAGGATGAGCACAAACCATATGGCTTCTATCTGGAGGCACTGTGAGATCAGTGGTCTGGTAATGTCTGTTGATTTCCAGTATCAAATTCATAGAAGCATACAGTAAGTAAAAGAGAAAGAGTCTTGGCAATTTTGTAGTTTTTGTTCTTTCATCCAAACAGGAAAACTGGAGCTCTGCAAAGAGTGAAGAACAACCTCAATGTCACATGAAACGTTTTCCATCCTCCATTTCCACCTATTTCTCCAAACACCTCTCTCTCCCCCTCTCTTCAACAGTTTCTATTAGTGTTTTCCGTTAACACAAAACTCAGAATTCTCTCTGCCATGGGCCCTTGTGTTTTTTGATGTTTGTGTCCTTTTTATGCAGTCTCTCCACTTACAGGCAACTGTGTCAGGCAGTGGGGACAGCTGAAATGTTGATGCTGCCATCTGGGAATCACTTTCTTGTGGGGGTCACTCATGTAAACAAAGAACACTTGCTCTAAAGTACAACGTAATCAAATCATGAAAATTATGAAACAAAACAAGCTCTAGCTCCCCTTCTGTGCCCGTATGAATTACAGAAATTCCATTGAAATGCGTTGAAATGATAGCAAACATTTTAGTAGACAATTCCATAATATACCCTGATTTTAAAAGATGGACTCAGACCAGAAATTTTGAGTGATTCTTGGAAGGTAAAGGGCAGATAAAATCACTTTGCTGGAGAAATCAGAAGAGGGACAACTGCAAAATAAAGGCTGTAACAGGAGCGTGTGTCACATCATCATAGCAGTTTTCTTGTCTTCCTTCCCTCCCTTCCTTCCTTCCTTTCACCTCTGAACTTTTTATTGACCTCCTGCTCCCCAAAGGGTACCCTGCTTCTGCTGGCTTGATGTCTTAGAACTTTGGTGTCATTGGTCTCAGACACCACTTTGCGGCGGGTGGTGGTCTTTGGATGGTTTGCATGGAGTTGCTGTTGTCCAGGGCATCACCAAGATTGAAGTCATCATCATCAAGCAGGCGGTGGTAGGTGGCGCTCTCAGCCTCCAGCTTGACCTTGATGTTCAGCAGAGCCTCGTACTCCCCGATCTGGTGCTGTCCCTCTGCCCGGCTCTGTGCCATCTCTGACTCCAGGTGCAGCAGGATCCTGTTGAGCTGCTCCATCTGCAGGGTGTAGCGGGCCTCCACCTCCCTCAGGCTGTTCTCCAAGCTGGCCTTCAGATTTCTCATGGAGTCCAGGTCCATCTTTAAGGACTGGACTGTACGTCTCAGCTCCGTGAGCGTCATCTCAGCATCTCCAACCTTGGTGGACTGCGTAGTGACCACTGTGGTGCTCTTCTCAATCTGCTGAGACCAGCACTTGTCCAGCTCCTCTCAGTTCTTTCGAGTCAGCTCATCATATTGGGCCCGGATATCTGCTATGATCTTGGCAAGGTCCTGAGATTTGGGGGCATCTACCTCCACGGTCAACTCAGAGCTGGCAATCTGGGCTTGTAGGCCTTTTACTTCCTCTTCGTGGTTCTTCTTCATGAAGAGCAGCTCCTCCTTGAGAGCCTCCATCTCTGTCTCCAGTGGCAGCCAAGTGACATTGGTCATCAGTGACCTTGTGGAGCCCATGGATGTCACTCCCCACAGACGGGTGCATGGCCAGCTCTGTCTCATACTTGACTCTAAAGTCATCGGCTGCAAGACAGGCATTGTCAATCTGCAAAACGATGCCGGCATTGTCCACAGTATTTGCGAAGATCTGAACCCTCAGGTCCTCGATGGTCTTGAGGTAATGACTCCAGTCTCTGACCTGGAGTCCCTTCTTCTCCAGGTGCTCCCGGATTTTGCTCTCCAGCTTCCGGTTCTTGGTCTCCAGGCTCCTCACTCTGTCCAGGTAGGAGGCCAGACGGTCATTCAGGCTTTGCATTGTCTCCTTCTTATTCTGGATGCCTCCCATTCCTGCCAGACCCCCGGCCATCCCCGCGGCCAGGTCCCCGGACCCCATGCCACCCCGGAAGCTGGTGGAGCGGGACACGGATATCCGGGAACCAGAGCCCCCGGCGCCTGCATAGACGCTGGCCATGCAGCTGGCCGGCCGGGCGCCGTAGTTGGACACCTGGACAGAGCCCAGGAACAGGTAGTTGGTGGAGAAGATGGAGCGAGTGGTGAAGCTCATGCTATCCAGGGAGGAGAGTGAGAGGACAGGACTCAGGCTTTGCCGACCCGTCATAGCAGTTTTCTAAGGAACCTGCAGAGAAACATCAAGCTCAGATCGAACAAAGCAAAGAGCGGGAGGGGCCCTTGGGCCAAGTATCAGGGCAATAAATTAAAGACTTTATTTGAATAATCTGGGTCCCACCCTCTAGCCTCAATAAGCAGCTGTTGACCCCAGCAGTGTTTACTCCAGAATGAAGCCTAGAGGGGTGTTTGTTTGATATACAGTGAGTTTTCCTAGGAGAGTCCCTTTTGTATGAGACTGTGGCTGGAGATAAAGGAAAGCGGAGCCTGAGCTAACCAGGGACCTTCACATCCACATGAAGACAGGGGAAGGAAGGAGAATCACTGATTCCCTTTGTCTGCAGGACACATTTGAGAGGGGGGATCTCTGAAGTAGGAGTTCAGACACAGGATACTCCCAGGGTGGGTAGTATACAAGGTAATATACAACACAGAGCAGGGCTGCCGATCCCCAAGACTCTAAATAAAAGTTATTTGTAAACCCTGGAGGTTTATCAGTCTGGCCTCCTCTCAAACATTCAAGGCAAGTTTCTATGTTCAGAGCTTATATTCAGTGACAATAAAAGAGGGTCTCATTTGATCTGATGAAATACAATACAAACATTATCTAACAATTCCGTTTGATAAAGATCATTATAAATAGCAACCCCCAAACCATAAACTTGCTAAATAAATTTAGGATAAAAGCAAGTCATTAAAAATATTTAAAAGATCCAAAATGTTTCTGAGTAGCATGAATAGAAAAAACACTATCCACATTTAAACATACCCTAATATAATTTCAGAATACCAAGGATAAATATGAAATTCGAAAAGTTGGCCAGGCGCAATGGCTTACGCCTGTAATCCCAGCACTTTGGGGGGCCGAAGCGGGTGGACCACGAGGTCAGGAGTTCAAGACCAGCCTGGCCAACATGGTGAAACCCCCTCTCTCCTAAAAATATAAAAATTATCTGGGCATGGTGGTGCGTTCCTGTAATCCCAGCTACTCAGGAGGCTGCAGCAGGAGAATTGCTTCAACTGGGACCCGGGAGGCAGAGGTTGCAGTGAGCCAAGATTGGGCCACTGCACTCCAGTCTGGGCTACAGAGAGAAACTCTGTCTCAAAAAACAAACCAACAAACAAAAATCCAAAAGTTTTTCAAGAGAAAAAAACCCAGATTGCTAATGATAGAGTTCCCATGTTGAAAGTGAAGGAATAATATTGAAGTTGTGAAAGACAAAAATATTAACCTAGAGTTCTTTTTTGCTTGTTTTTTTTTTAATTTTAATTTTAAAAAAAATTTCATGAGTACACAGTAGGCTTATGTATTTATGAGGTACGTAAGATATTTTGATACAGGCATACAATGCATAATAATTAACTAGGAGTAAATGGGGTATCCATCACCTCAAACATTTATCCTTTCTTTGTGATAGAAACAATTCAATTATAACTTTTAGTTATTTTAAATGTATAATGAATTATTGTTGACTGTATTCACCCTGTTGTGCTATCAAATACCAGATCTTATTTATTCTATATAAATATATTTTTGTACGCATTAACCAGCCCTACTCCCTCACTCCACAAGTACACGTCCCAGCCTCTTGTAACCATCATTCTGCTCTCTGTTGCCATGAGTTCAATTGTTTTAATTTTTAGCTCCCACAAAAAATGGAGAACATACAAAGTTTGTCTTCCTGTGCTTGGCTTATTTCACTTAATTAACATAATGACTTCCAGTTCCATCCATGCTGTTGCAAATGACAAGATTTCATTCTTTTTCATTGCTGAATAGTGCTCCAAAGAAAATATGTACCACAGTTTCTTTATCCATTGGTTTGTTGATGGACACTTAGGTTGCTTCTAAATCTTGACTATTATGAATAGTGCTACAATAAACATGAGGGAGCATATATCTGTTCAATTTACTGATTTCCTTTCTTTTGGGTATACACTAAGCAGTGGAATTACTGGATCATATGGTAGCTCTATTTTTTAGTTTTTTAAGGAACCTCCATACTATTCTCCATAGTGGCTATACTAATTTACATTCCCACCAATGGGGTACAGAGTTTCCTGTTTTGCTACATCTTCAATAGGATTTGTTATTATCTGTCTTTTGGAAAAAAAGCCGTTTTAACTTGGGTGAGATGACATCTCACTGTAGTTTATTTTATTTATTTATTTATTTATTTATTGAAACAGAGTCTCACCCTGTTACCCAGGCTGAAGTGCAGTGGTGCAATCTCAGCTCACTACAACATCCGCCTCCCGGGTTCAAGAGATTCTCCTGCCACAGGCTCCAGAGTAGCTGGGATTACAGCAGCCTGCCACCATGCCTGGCAAATTTTTGTATTTTTAGTAGAGACAGGGCTTCACCATGTTGGTCAGGCTGGTCTCAAACTCCTGACCTCAGGTCATCCACCCACTTTGGCCTCCCAAAATGCTGGGATTACAGGCGTGAGCCATCGCACTCGGCCCAACATCTCATTGTAGTTTAGTATGCATATCTCTGATGATCAATGATGTTGAGTGCCTTTTCATATACCTGTTTGCCATTTATATATCTTCTTTTGATAAATCTGTATTCAGATCTTTTCTCCATTTTTAAATTGGATTATTAGATTTTTTTCCTATAGAGTTGTTTGAGCTCCTTATATTTTTGTTATTAATCCCTTGTCATAAGAATAGTTTGCAAACATTTTCTGCCATTTTATGGAGTGTCTTTTTACTTTGTTGATTGTTTCCTCTGCTATGCAGA
The DNA here is from genome assembly GCF_000001405.40 of Homo sapiens. Classification (NCBI taxonomy): domain Eukaryota; kingdom Metazoa; phylum Chordata; class Mammalia; order Primates; family Hominidae; genus Homo; species Homo sapiens. Next base: position 181,965,287 of record NC_000002.12, read on the forward strand.
ATCTTTTTAACTTGATGTGATCCTATTTATCCATTTTTGCTTTAGTTGCCTGTGCTTGTCAGATATTACTCAAGAAATCTTTGCCCACTCCAATGTCCTGAAGGATTTCATCAATGTTTTCTTTTAATGGTTTCATAGTTTGGGGTTCTTGATTTAAGTCTTTAATCCATTTTGATTTGATTTTTGTACATGGCAAGAGATAGGGGTCAAGTTTCATTCTTCTGCATATAAATATTCAGTTTTCCTGGCACCATTTATTGAAGAAACTGTCTTTTCCTCAATGTATGTTCTTGACATCTTTGTTGAAAATGAGTTCACTGTAGCTGTGTATATTTGTTTCCGGGTTCTCAGTTTGGTTCCATTGGTCTGTGTCTGTTTTTATGCCAGTAACCAAAACCATGCTGTTTTGGTTACTACAGCTTTAAAGTATAATTTGAAGTCAGGTAATGTGATCCCTTCAGTTTTGTTCTTTTTGCTCGGGATAGCTTTGGCTATTCTGGATCTTTGGTGGTTCCATATAAATTTTGGGATAGTTTTTTCTATTTCCATGAAGAATGTCATTGGTATTTGGATGGGGCTTGCACTGAATCTGTAGATTGCTTTAGGGAGTATGGACATTTTAACAATATTAACTCTTCCAATCCATGAAGATGAAATATTTTTGCACTCTTTCATTTCCTCTTTATTTTATTTCATTAGTGTTTTATAGTTTTCATTGTAAATATTTCACTTCTTTGGTTAAGTTTATTCCCAGGTATTTTATTTTATTTTGCTTGTAGCAATTGTAAAGGTAATTATTTTTTGATTTCCTTTTCAGATTGTTCACTGTTGGCATATAGAAGCACTACTAATTTTTATATGTTAATTTTGTATGCTGCAGCTTTTCTGAATTTGTTTATGAGTTCTAATAGGTTTTTGGTGGAGGCTTTAGGTTTTTACAAATATAAGATTATGTCATCTGCTGAGAAGGATGATTTGACTTCTTCCTTTCCAATTTGGAGGCACTTTATTTCTTTTTCTTATCTGATTTTTCCCTTGTACTTCCAGTACCATGTTGAATAACAGTGGTGAAAGTGGACATCATGGTCATGTTCCAAATCTTAGAGGAAAGCCTTTCAGTTTTTCCCCATTCAGTATGATACTAGCTGTGGGTATGTCATATATGGCTTTTATTGCATTGAGGTATGTGTCTTCTATACCCAGTTTTTTTAGTATTTTTTTTCATCATAAAAGGATATTGAATTTTATCAAATGCATTTTCAGCATCAGTTGCAATGATCATATGGCTTTTGTCCTTCATTCTGCTAATATGATGTATCACATTCATTGATTTCTGTATGTTGGACCATCCTTGTATTCCTGTGAAAAATCTCTGTTGTTCACGATGAATGATCTTTTTAATGTGTTACTGAATTCAGTTTGCTAGTATTTTGTTAAGGGTTTTTGCATCGATATTCAGAGATATTGACCTGTGATTTTCTTTATTTGATGTGTCTGTCTAGTTTTGATTTCAGGGTAATAATACTTGCCTCATAGAATGAGTTTGGAAGTATTTCTTTCTCTTCTATTTTTCAGAATAGTTTGAGTAGGATTGGTATTAGTCCTTCTTTAATTGTTTGGTAATATTTAGCAGTGAAGCCATGGGGGGTGCTTGGCTTTTCCTTACTGGGAGACTTTTTATTATAGCATTGATCTTGTTGCTTATTATTGGTCTTTTCAGGTTTTAAACTTCTTCAGTCTTGGTAGGTTGTAGGTGTCTAGGAATTCATCCATTTTTTCTAGGTTTTCCAATTTATTGGCATATGGTTGCTCATAGTGGTCTCTAATCATCCTTTGAATTTCTGTGTTATTTGTTGTAATGTCTTCTTTTTTGTCTCTGATTTTATTTATTTGAGTCTTCTCTCGTTTTTTGTTAGTAAGTCTGGCTAAAAGTTTGTTGGTTTTATCTTTTCAAAAAACCAAATTTTCCCTTTATTAATCTCATATTTTTTGGTTTCAATTTCATTTATTTCTGCTCTGATACCTGTGGGGTTTTTTTTCTTGTACTAATTTTGGGTTTGGTTTGCTCTTGATTTTCTACATCTTTAACAGGCATTGTAAGGTTGGTCATGTGAAGATTTTCCACTTTGTTGATGTGGGTGCTTATTGCTATAAACTTTCTTCTTAGTACTGTTTTTGCTGTATCCTACAGGTTTTGGTACAATGTGTTTCCATTTTCATTTATTTCAAGAAATTCTTCAACTTCCTTCTTAATTTTTTAATTGATCCACTGGTCATTCAGGAGCATATTATTTAATTTCCATATGTTTGTAAAGTCCCAAAGTTTGTGTTTCTGTTGTTATCAATTTTCCTTCCTTCCTTCCTCCCTCCCTCCCTCCTTCTCTCTCTCTTTCCTTCCTTCCTTCCTTTCTTTCTCTTTCTTTCTTTCATTCTTTCTTTCTTTTCTGAGATGGAGTTTCACTCTTGTTGCCCAGGCTGGAGTGCAATGGCACATTCTTGGCTCACTGCAACCTCCGCCTTCCAGGTTCAAGCAATTCTCCTGCCTCAGCCTCCAGAGTAGCTGGGATTACAGGCACGAGCCACCATGCCTGGCTAATTTTGTGTTTTTAGTAGAGAGGGGATTTCTTCATGTTGGTCAAGCTGGTCTCAAACTCCCAATCTCAGGTGATCCACCCGCCTTGGTCTCCCAAAGTGCTGGGATTGCAGGCATAAGCCACTGTGCCCGGCCTGTTATCGATTTCTAGTTTTACTCCATTGTGATCAGAGAAAATACTTGATATGATTCCAGTTATGTTTTTAATTTATTAAAACTTGTTTTGTGGCCTAACATGTTGTCTGATCTTGAGAATGATTCAGGTGCTGAGGAGAAGATTATGTATTCTTTAGTTGTTGGATGAAATGTTTTGTAAATATCTTTTGGGACCATTTGGTCTGTAGCATAGATTAAGTCCAAAGTTTCTTTGTTGATTTTCTGTTTAGATGATCTGTCCAGTGCTACAGTGGGGTGTTGAAGTCTCCAGCTATTATTGTATTAGCATCCATCTCTCTCTTTAATGCTAGTAATATTTGCTTTACATATCTGGATACTCCAGGGTTGGGTTTATACGTTTATAGTTGTTATATCCTCTTGCTAAAATGGACCTCTTTTTCATTATATAATGACCTTTTTGTCCTTTTTATAGTTTTTGTCTTGAAGTCTATTTTGTCTAATATAAGTATAGTTACTCCTGTTCTATTTTGGTTTCCATTTACATGGAATGTCTTTTCCCATCCCTTTATTTTCAGTCTATGTGTATTTTTATAGGTGGAGTGTGTTTCCTGTAGGGAACAGATAATTGGGTCTTGTTTTGTGATCCGTTCAGCCACTCTATGGCTTTTGATTGGAGAGTTTAGTTCTTTTACATTCAATGTTATTATTGATAATGAAGGACTCACTACTGCCATTTTATTATTTGTTTTCTGGTTGTTTTGTGGTCTTCTCCTCTTTCTTTACTTCTTTCCTTTTAGTGAAGGTGATTTTCTCTGGTTTTAAATTAAATTTTCTTTAATTTATTGCTTTTTATTTTTGTGTATCTGTTGTATGTTTTTTGATTTGAGGTTACTTGAGGCTTGTAAATATCATCTTACAACACATTATTTTAAAATGATGGATTCATAATGATTACAAAAACAAACAAGCAAAGAGAAAACAAATAAAATCTGTAAATTTTAACTTGATATCCCCCTGCTTTTTAACTTTCTGTTATTTCTATTTGTGTCTTATTGTACTTCTTATCCTTCCAACTTTGTTGTAGTTATTATTTTTGATAGGTTTATTGTTTAGTCTTTCTACTCAATATATGAGTAGTTTACACACCACAATTGCAGTATTATAATATTCTGTTTTTCTGTGTACTATTACCAGTGAGTTTTATACCTTCAGATAATTTCTTATTGCTATTAATGTCTTTTAATTTTGTACTGGAGAACTCCCTTTAGCATTTCTTGTAGGACAGGGCTAATGTTGATGAAATCTTTCAGCTTTTGTTTGGGAAAGTATTTATTTCTCCTTCATGTTTGAAGGATATTTTCTCTGGTTATACTATTCTAAGATACATATTTTTTTCTTTTAGCACTTTATATATGTCACACCACTCTCTCCTGGCCTATATGCCTGTATGATTTCCATTGAGAAGTCTACTGCCAGATATATTGGAACTTCTTTGTTATTTGTTGTTTTCTTTTTCCCTCTTGCTACTTTTGGAATCCTTTCTTTATCCTAGACCTTTGGGAGTTTGATTATTAAATATCTTGAGGTAGTCTTATTTGAGTTAAATCTGCTTGGTGTTGCATAACCTTCTTGTACTGGTATCTTGATATCTTTCTCCAGTTTTGGGAAATTTTCTGTTATTTCTTTGAATAAACTTTCTACCCCTGTCTCTCTCTCTACCTTGCCTTACAGCCAAAAACTCTTAGATTTACTATTTGAGGCTATTTTGTAGATCTTGTAGGCATGCTTGTTTTTTATTCTTGTTCTTTTGTCTCCTCTGACTATGTGTTTTCAAACAGCCTGTCTTCAAGTTCATCAGTTCTTTCTTCTGCCTGATCAATTCTGCTGTTGAGACTCTGATGCATTCTTCATTATGTCAATTGTATTTTTCAAATCCAGAATTTCTGTTTGATTCTGTTTAATTATTCCAATCTCTTTGTTAAATTTATCTGATAAGATTCTGAATTCCTTCTCTGTGTTATCATGAATTTCATTGAAGTTGCTCAAAACAGCTATTTTGAATTCTCTGTCTTGAAAGGTCACATATCACATATCTCTCTGTCTCCAGGATTGGTCCATGGTGTCTTGTGCCTTATTTAGTTTTTTTTTTTTTCCTTTGAGGTCATGTTTTCCTGGATGGTCTTGATGCATGTGGTTGTTTATTGGTGTCTGGGCGTTGAAGGATTAGGTATTTATTATAGTCTTTGCAGTCTGTGCTTATTTGTACCCATCCTTCTTGAGAAGGCTTTCAGGGTATTTGAAGGGACTTGCATGTTGTGATCTAAGATATTGGTCATTGCAGCCATATCTGCATTAGGGGGCACTCCAAGCCTAGTAATGCTGTGAATCTTCCACCCTCATAGAGGTACCACCTTGGTGGTCTTGGATAAGATCTTGAAGTATTCTCTGGATTACCAGGCAGAGACTCTTCTTCTCTTCTCTTACATTTCCCCAAACAGAGTTTTTCTCTCAGTGCCGAGCTGTGCAAAGCCAGCACAGCCCTAGGTCTTGACCAAAGTCCATGATAACCACTGCTTGGCTATCACCTATGTTTGCTCAAGGGCCTAGGTCTCTACAATCAGCAGGTGGCAAAGCCAGCCAGGCTTATGGCTTTTCCTTCAGGTGGCAATTTCTCCCTGGCCATGGGTGGGTCCTGAGATGCTGTCCATTAGCCAGGGCCTGGAGTCAGGAAGCTTAGGAATCTACCTAATGTTCTATTCTACTGCAAATGAGCTGGCACCCAAGCCATAAGACAAAGTCCTTCCTACTCTTCCATCTCCTTTCCACAAGCAGAGGGGACTCCTTCTGTGGCCACCACTGCCCCAGTTCACGGAGAGTACTGACTGGCTACCACTGATGTTCACTCAAGGCTCAGGGGCTGTTTAGTCAGCTCATGGTGAATGCTGCCAGGCCTGGGCTGTCCCTTCAGGCCAGTGGGCTCCCCTCTATTTCAGGACAGGTCCAGAAATGCTATCCAGGAGCCAAGGCCTGGAATCAGGAGCCCAAAGAGCCCACCTAGTGCTCTACCCCATTGTGACCAGGCTGTTTCCATGCCACAAGACAAAGTCTCCTTTACTCTTCTGTTTCCATTTCTCAAGCAGAATGAGTCTCTCACCACAGCCATGACAGCTGGGAATGTGCTAGTCACACCTGAAGCCAGCACATCTCTGAGTTACACCCAAGGCCCACAGCGAGTACTGCCTATCACTGCTGATTATTCAGGCCCAAGGGCTCTTTAATCAGCACTTGGCAAATCCTGCCAGGACTGGGTCCATCCCTTCAAGGCAGCGAGTTTCCTTTTCATCGAGGGTGTGTCTAGAAATGTCCAGGAGCTAGGTCCTGGAATGGGGGACTCAGGACTCTGCCTGTGGCCCTATTCTACTGTGGCTGAGCTGGTATCCAAGTTGCAAGACAAAGTCCTCTTTAATGTCCCCTCTACTCTCCTCAAACAGAAGGAAGGAGTCTCTTTTGGTGCTACAAGCTGTGCTGCCTGGGGTTGGGGAGTTGGCACAAGCACTCCCTTGGCCACCCCAGCTGGTGTCTCACTAGGTCACGTTCCCTGCAAGTCCCCTCACTCCACACTTAGCACAGCACCAGACCTTGCCAAGGAATTGCAGTCCTTGAGGCATAGATTGCCTTTCAGGTTTATTTAGGGCCCCAGAGTACTGTAGGCCATGGTCTTGAGGCTTGGTAGAACTCAGGTTCTGACTGTTGGGATGGATGATTCCTTTCTGTCTAGGGCTCATATAAATGCTCCCTCTATAGATGCCGGCTTAGTTCTGCCTGATGTTGCTTTCTGTTGTGCCAGGGCAACACTGAGTTCCAATGCAGTCCCACAATCCCTTTGCTCTCCTTTCCTCAAGTGCACAGATTCTCTTTGCTGCACCACATGGCCACTGCTGGGGGATGGAGAAGGGATGGTGTCTGCAATTCAAGCGTATCTTTACTACCCTCTTCAGTGCCTCTTCCAGTGATATAAACTTAAAACCAGGTATTGTGATTGCTCACATGATTTTTTTGGTTCTCATGAAGGACTTTTGTGTGAATAGTCATTTAATTTGGTGTTTCTGCCAAGGGGACAATTGGTAGAGACTTTTATTTGGCTATCATTCTCTGTCTCCTCTCTCAATCTGGAGTTCTTTACTCAGCCAAATTCACTAATGTGGGAAGGGAAAGAAAGTCATTTTTAGATATTCGAAGTCTTGGAAAGTTTAATACCTATGAATCATTTCTATAAAGCTTACTAAAGAATATACTTCAGTAAGTCAGAGAATAAATCCAAGACAAAATGTGTGATGTACGAAAAATGGCGAACAAATAGATGATTTCACTGTGGCAGATGAGTGAAGCCTGTGGAAAAGGTCATGCTGAGCATCTTGTTTCTTTGGAGGTGTATGTGGACAATAAACGTGTATTCATCCATTATATAAATTATTCGTGTAATTACTTTTTAATAGGACAAAAAAAAAACACAATACATCAACAAAGTCCAGAGGATTGAGCAACAAAGCACTTGGAGGACATTTTAGCAGAAGGAGCATTTGAACTTGGTCCTAAAAGTAGAGATGTTTGCTAAGTAGCAAACATAGGGTGGAAGGGTGCTCTGAGTCACTACAAGTGACCATATGTACAAAGTGAAAGGACTTGGGTTATTCAAGAAAGAGTAAGTTCAGTGGTGATTATGGGGTACATGGCCTGAGGTGCGCCTAGAAAATAAAGTTTTAATTTCTATTTTCTATAGAGTGCCAGATGATGAGCTAAACTGATTTCCTTATCATACTTTCTTAATTACCTACTCCTATCATTCATTTTGTTCCATGACTCATTATTTGTACTGGAAAATAAAGCTTAGCACATTACAACCTGCTAGAAATTTCATGTTCTTTCTGAATTAAGAATTATCTGTTTGCTTCCAAACTCATTATGCATATATTACACAAGCAGTATAATGAGTCATATGTTACGCTTTTTAAAACTGGATCATTAAGAAATCGTAAGAACAGATGTATAACAGTTCAAAATCTCAAGAAGCAGAGACTATGGGATGGCACTGGTGATCCCCAAAACAGGTTGCTGTGGCATAAATATGATCAGTAAGCATCTTTGACTCATAGGCCAGACCAGGCCCACCCCAGACCACCATGACCAAGACACAGAGGCAAATGCTCTCAGTCAATATAGGTTTCATGTTCTTACCGAGACATTTGCTTTTACTGGAAGTGACTCATCCTAATCAGAAAATTATTTTATTTTTAATGCTCCGTTATTTGTAGATATGAATAAGCCTACATTCTGCATGGAAACATAGGCAAGCACTCAAGAACAGCTCTTTTGCAGAGTTTACGCAGAGCCAGAAGATTGCTAAACTGAAGCAACATAAGTCCAAAACTTGAAATCATTTATAAAGAACTTATTTTTGTTTAAATAGATGTTAGAACTCAGAGAACATATACAAAGTACTAAATGTGTGTATACCATTTACATAGCAGATAGGGAGGTAAGCAGAAGAAGCAAGACAGGAGAGAGCTATTTGTCAAGTTTTATAGTGATAATAAAAAAGGCAAGACGAATGTTTCAGTGTCAACTGAGAGCTGATCATTTGTTGAAGATTAAAGGCAGAAGAAAAGGGACTTTTGGCAAAGCAGATCTTTCTGTAACGCTGTTAGTACAAAAAATAATTGGCTGCCTTTTGCAGAGATGTTCTAATCAAATACATTTCTTGAAAAAGTAAAGGCATACTCAGGATGAATACAGCATGTAATGTATGGCCCCACTGACATCTACATTCTATGAAACTTTCAAATTATATTTATATTTAATTTAAATTTACATCCCTGTTTTCTTTTTAAAAAATATTTTGAAAAGGTTGTCTAATCAATTACTGTTAGCACCAACTTTTTATTTCTGGGGATTGATTAATTAGTTTGTGGGTTATGCAGACATTTGATGACTTGTTTTTTCCTTGTATCTTGCCTTTTAAACATTATGTTAAATAGTAGCATTTTACCAAGATTGAGAGATAAGAGTTGAAATTTAAATCAGTCAATTATGCTACCTTGGAGTATTTATAAGGCTTTATATATGGGTGGGTAGAGACTTTAAGGTAAAAAAAAGTCATTAAGGAAAGAGAAATGGAACCAATATCTAGAGTTGACTTAAATCATGTATTTGCTGTTTGTCCTCTTTCCCACAGGAATCTAAGAGATGGTTGTGAATATTAATTAAAATAACATACAGAAGATTATACTCTGAGAATATTTCTTACTTGATATTTATCTATGTTACATAAATTCCAAATTGGATTCCATAGAGTATATTTGAAGGTGCAAATGAATTGAACAGAAGATGCTGTTAAAATATTTCACAAAACAACCAGAAATTCAATGAAAGTATCTTAACTGCACTTTAATATTATCACAGAATATATATATTCTAGTCTTGTCACAAACTGTAATTGGAAAAGACTGTGATCATACTCCCTTGCACAAAGATTTGGTATCCATTCTGAGATTGGATTCTTCTAGAATAAATATGAATCTGAAGCATCTCCATGTCAACCTTATATACAGTGGACCCTTCCTGGAATTGAGGAACTCAGATTTTCCAATTGTGCTATGTGATTTTCAGAAACAATTTGAGAATGTTCAGGTGTAAAGGTGTGAAATGGAGAAGACAGTCACTTGGGGTTGGAAGACACCCTTTGCCTGAGAACTATAAATCAGAATGCTCACTGGTTTCCAGAGAAAGTGAGAGTAGTTAGGCAGCAGTAGCTGCCTGGAACTACCTGATTTTCCACTAGCTATACCTGAACATCGTTTAAAAGGTTATACATATTTTAAAGTGCTTCACCATTATTAGGAGTGCAGTCTTTCCTGTCTTCAATCATTTGTAATGTCTCTCAATAAAGGCAGTACCCCAAATGCTTTTCCTGATACCTGCAAAATAAATGAAAGGAGTCCACTAAAATTCTGATGACTGTCAAGATTGTGTCAGACATCAATCATATGGGGTTACAAGGCACTGACTTAAGGGACTCTTAAAACCCTGCTTTGAAAAATTATAATATAAAATTTTGGGGGTAATTTAGATCAGTGTTCCTGATGAAATGTTTTGAAGAACTAAACTGGAGATAGTACATCAGCCTGGTAGTTATTTGTTGCCTTTTTTTTTTTTTTTTTTTTAGAATGTTTTCTCTCTTCAAGATTCTCTTTTGAAAGACATCTAAAAAGGTAAGACTGGGCAAGACTTTGAGAGAATTTGTTCTTTCAAGTCTTCCCTGATTGATAACTATTGCTAAAATATAGTTCATGGTTTGCCTACATCAGTGATGGTGCATAATACTATTTATATTTTGAACATTTCCTCTGAGTAGAAAATGTGAAGTTCATTCAAATTTATGGAGCTTCATCTTCGACTGTGTTTATTCTCTCTCTTTTTTCTCTCTCAGACAACACATTCATTTATTCTGTTTTAACTATGTAAAAAAATAAGAATATGTTGCACTTGTTATCCATAGCTTAAAGAAAGAATTAACAAAGCTAAACCAATAAAATAATAGCTATTTAACAGGAAGCTATAAGAAAACACTCTCCTGGTTCTTTCTCTTTTTATTTTTTATTTTATTATTATTATAATACTTTAAGTTTTAGGGTACATGTGCACAATTATTATTGTAGTTCGTTTCCATTGTATTACATATGTCAAGTACAATGCATATTGAAAGGCCCTCTGTGTACCTATAATATTGCTCTTATAGGTAAATGTAAGAATGTTAGGAACAGTGTTCTTTTGCATTAAGTAAGGGAGGTAAATTCAATATGATTTTGGAAATAATGATCTCATCCAAAGTAGCTTGTCCTTCATTAGAAGACAAAGCATGTTTTTTTGAAAAAGAGCTCTATTTTAATTTCTCTGATTTAAGAGAGGGTGTGAAAAATCTTTTTCTGCATCAAAATGCAAAAGAACCTTAAAAATATTATTTAAAATTATCTTTGTTATTCTGGCTCTTAATTTTTTATTAAAAAATTCAAATGTGCTCATTGTATAACATAGAAAATCATAAAGAGAAAATATATAACCTATAAACTCACCATCCAGAGACAACCCCATTAACATCTCAGAATATATTCTTCCAAACATTTTTCACACATCACACACAAAAGTATAAGTAAGCGTGTATGTATATGTCAGTAGGTGTTTAATGCATGAGTACATGCATGTGTATATATGGATACAAATCTATAATGAAATTATACTAGATACAGCTATACTATTTAAACATTGTGTGAAATTTTTGAAAATTATTTGGAAACCCTACCAACAACAGAGTTCTAGAAGTTACTCTGAATCCAAACCAAATAAAATCTTATAACATTATTTTCTTCCATTGTATTACCAAACTATTTAAAATGTGAAGAATTTTGCAAATGGGTTATTTATTCATTTATTTATTTATATCGTTGAGTAAGAGGATCATACCTATAATCTCCTACAAAGGCTACTGGCCTACTGTTCAGGAATCCTGAGTAATTCTCCTCACCTTAATATAAATTTTATCTATATATCTGTATATCTATATCTATATCTATATCTGTATCTATCTATTCCTCACTCCTCTCTGTCTCTTGAGTATTTTAAACATCTTTCCCCTCTGGCTACCTCCTTGCAGCCCAGGACATATTCAAGTCTGGTTCATCTATAAAATAAATCTAAAAAGCTCCACTCCACTCTTGCTCTTGCTCTCTACTGTAAGGTCCCATGTTTGAAGGAGGCTTTCTTTTAACTGTCAAGGTGTTTTTTAAAGAACTTGCCTAAATTATGGGCCAGGCACAATGGCTTATGCCTGTAATCCCAGCACTTTGGGATGCTGAGGCAGGTGGATCACTTGAGGCCAGGAGTTCAAGACCAGCCTGGGCAACATAGCGAGACCCTGTCTCTACTAAAAATACAAAAATTAGCTTGGCATGGTGACACATGCCTGTAATCCCAGCTACCTGGAGGCTGAGGCATGAGAATCACTTGAACCCAGGTGGAGGTTGCAGTGAGCTGAGATCGTGCCATTGCACTCCAGCCTGGGCAACAGAGTGAGAATCTATCTAAAAAAAAAAAAAAAAAAAAAAAAAAAAAAAAAAAAAAAAAGCTAGGCTAATTTTTTATCACCTACCTATTTCCCACTCTTTCCCTCAATATAACTACTAGAATTCAGTGGATAATTTTTAGATGTTTGTAATTACATCCTCTGTAGTTTTGACATGCTGATCACATGTTTCCTAAAGAAACTCTCTTCAATCTTTATTTCCATGTTGTTATTCTTTCCTGGTCTTCTTACTCCTCTGATTGTATTTTTGTGTGTGTGTGTTTGTTTCCATTTTGTCCTCTTTTCCCCCTTAACATTTGGGTTTATCAGAATTCTACACTTTTTTCTTATCTTTGCATTCCACAAACTGCTTGGATTAATTTATCTATCCCCATGTCTTTCAGGGCTTATTTGACAAGGACTCATATATTATGTGTATACCTTCAAGACAGACCACTCTTCTGTGTTATAAAATAGAAAACTGTAAGAATAATACTAATGATTTTTAAAGTGCCTAACAGGACACTTTAAAAAGTGTGGTGGCTCATGCCCGTAATCCCAGCACTTTGGAGGCCAGCAACCATTTTTTATGTCCATAGTTTCTGTAGGTCAAGAATCCAGGTAAGGCAAAGTGAAGATGACTTGTCTCTGCTCCACTATGTTGAGGGCCTCAGTTGGAACTCTCACAACTGGAGCTGACTCACGTGGCTGGGGACTGGAATTACCCGGAGGCTTCTTCACTCACATGTCTCATGGGGTAGCTGTGATGACTCAAAGTCTGGGCTCCACTGGGGCTGTTGACAGGAATCAGCATGTGACATCTTGTATTAGTCTGTTTTCATGCTGCTAATAAAGACCTACCTGAGACTGGGTGGTTTATAAAGCAGAGAGGTTTAATGGACTCATGGTTTCACATGGCTGGGGAGGCCTCACAATCATGGTGGAAGACAAAGAAAGAACAAAGGGATGTCTTATATGGCGGCAGGCAAGGGGGCTTGTGCAGGGGAAGTCCCAGTTATAAAACCATCAGATCTTATGAGACTTATTCACTACCACAAGAAAAGTATGGCAAAACCACTCCCATGATTCAATTAACTCCACCTGGCCCTGCCCTTAACACATGGGGATTATCACAATTCAGAGTGAGATTTGGTGGGGACACAGTCAAACCTCTGCATGCGACTTGGGCTTTTCACTGAATACCTTCTGGGTTCTGAATGTGCCTCATGACAGAACATTTGGAGAGTAGGCAGACAGAGCAATGCCAGAGTGTTTTTCTTTGCACCATGATGTCTGGGGCATCAGATCAGAGACTCAAACAGCTGGAGATGACTTGAATAGCTAGGGATTAGAATGCTTTGGAAGCTTCTTAACTCGCATGGCTGACACCTGGGCAAAAATGACTCACAGGTCAGGCTCAGTTGAGGGTGCCCACTGGAGTACTCACAGGTGGTCTCCATGTGGCTTTGCCTTCTTCACAGTGCAGTGGCTGTTTTCTGAGAGGGAGCAGTCCTAGCTGGAGGGACTGGAGGGGTGTTACACAGGAACTGAGTGGAATGAGCATGGCCTTTTATGAACCAGCCTCAGTAGTCAGGAAGCATCACCTTCTCTGTGTTCTATAGTTTACATATGAGTCACTTAGGCCAGCCGAGATTTGAAGGGAATTAGACTACAACTCTTGGTGGGAGAATAGTAAGGGCCATTTCAGAAAAATATGGGGAATGAGAGAGATTGTTTCTTCCATTTTTGCAAAAATAGATACCCCAATACCCCTAACTGAGCCTAGCTTTTGAGTCATTCTTGCCCAGGTGTCAGGCATGTGAGTAAAGAAGCCTCCAGAGCATTCTAATCCCTGGCTATTCAAGTCATCTCCAGCTGTTTGAGTCACAATTATGCCATGTGCTGAACAGTTTTCATGAATTACCTCTTGGAATCCTTATATCAATTCTATGAAATAGTTAAGAGTTTTATCCTTATTTTAAATTTTAATATTCACTAATTTTAACAATGAGAAAATGTAAGGAGTATTTCCATCTAGATAACATACTTGGACTAAACCAAGTCTAGAGTAATTGATTTTTATTGTTGTTCTACATCTTATCCTTACATTTTACCATTTAGTGAGTGATATGACCCCATATACTAGGCTGCTAAATCTGAATTCGTAGTTCATCATTGTTCCAACTCTCTCTTCCGTTATTATCATCCAATTTCATTAAATAACTATATTCTATGCATCTCCCTCTCCATTTTCACTGCTATTACTTTATTTGAGGCTTTTTTTCATTTCTTGAGTAGATTTTTATACATCCTCAGATAATCTTGTCTCTGGTCTTGACCCATTCCAATCTACTTCTACATGGGCACCACAGTGATCATTCTTTAAAAAACCTAAATCAAATTGCCATACTCTCTTATGTGAATCTCTTTAGTTCCTGTCACTGCCTTCAGAGTAAATCCCACATTTCTTTGCATGGGCAAGAATGACTCAAAAGCTAGGCTCAGTTGGGGGTATCGGGGTATCTACTTTTGCAAAGAAATGTGCATGGCATGCAATGTTGTCATTTCTTCCTCTAGGTCAGGGACTGAGTGAAGATAACTGGGTGTAAATAGAGTGTACGTAGTGTTAGAGGCGATGGAGCCTGTCTCTATGTAAAAATCACTTCTTTGCATAGAGAGGGCAGCTCTGTGACCTTGTGGATATCAGGGCCCAGCTTTGCAAGACTTTCTATTTTATTGAGAAGCTGAATATCTTTATTTTTGTGTGTTTTTGTGTATTTTTAAACATGGTAGCAATTAAAAACAACAACAACACCTGTAGGCAAATAAAAGAATGTCTGTGGCTCACAGTCAGACATCACCCTCCTACCTAGGTCCCCTTTCCACTTCCTATAACTCCTTTTGATCATGGCGTCACCAGCTCTATGGTGCTTATTTTTATAGGATTCTGCCTTCTTCTCTCAACTGTATGTTCTTTAGAGGTTGGGATCTTATTGTATTTGTGTTTGTATCACTGTGTCTGTCATAGAATGAGATACTCAATAAATATTTGTTGGATGTATAAATAATATTTATGAAAGCATTTTGGAAATGAATATATTTCTAGGTATACTCAGCAATTACAAGTCCAACTTCATTTAATAATCATCTCTCCAAAACAAAAAGCAGGGAGAGGCTAACATTAAGCTATGGAAATCCATAAAAGTGAAAGGTACCAAAACAAATGAAAAGGGAGATAGGTAGACAAGGGGTGAGAGCGAATTCCAAGTCTTCCTCACGTTATTCCTGTGCCTTTGCTGGACTTGAGCTAAAGCCTGTTTAAAAGTCTACAATGTCTAAAATTTCTAAGACTGTCCACACTGGGCTGTGATTGACTGTGTCCCCATGACACTCCTATTCCTGGGCTGTCCATTGAGCTGTTTCCCCAAAGTGGCATCAGTAAAGACCTACAGTGCCTCGGCTCTACAAATCTCTGTAGCTCCCTCTCTCTGATGTCAACTCACTGCTATAGCATCATGGCTAATATGGACTTGCTACAAACTCTTCATGGGTTTATGGCTTTCTTTAGTGAAACTGCCTCAACAAGAATAGAGATTAAACATAATTGAGTGACTACTCAGGAAAATTATACATTAAAAAATAGTGTCTGCATGGTTAGAGAAAAAAAATACTGAGTATGTAACACACTAATAATTCTTCAGTTCAATTCAGCACTCATATACACTCTACTGATTGATATGAGGATTCTAGAGTAAGTCAAAATTGTTAGAGTTAGTGAAGATGAGAACATGCAATCACAAAACAAATAAGGAGAAGTTTTTTTTTTTTTTTTTTTGAGACGGAGTCTCGCTCTGTCGCCCAGGCTGGAGTGCAGTGGCGGGATCTCGGCTCACTGCAAGCTCCGCCTCCCGGGTTCACGCCATTCTCCTGCCTCAGCCTCCCAAGTAGCTGGGACTACAGGCGCCCGCCACTACGCCCGGCTAATTTTTTGTATTTTTAGTAGAGACGGGGTTTCACCGTTTTAGCCGGGATGGTCTCGATCTCCTGACCTCGTGATCCGCCCGCCTCGGCCTCCCAAAGTGCTGGGATTACAGGCGTGAGCCACCGTGCCCGGCCAAGGAGAAGTTTTAAAGAACACAGTAGGCACTAAATAAATGTGGAATGAATGAATCATTGATGTTTGCCTTTAAGCCTGATAGAGATTGCAAGTATTTTATACTTAAGTGCTGTGGGAATTCAGATTTTAATATGAGATTGCAATATAGTGAGCTTAGTCTGGTAAGGCTTCTTATAGCTGTAGATCTGAAAAAATATCATATTTAAAATTGCATGGTTGAACTTATAGGACATTCTGAAAGAGTTAAAATATGGCTAATAATTTCCATGGGGGAAATTTAATTTAAATGAGCACTTGGAAAGAGTGGTTCATTTCACTTATATTACTGGGATTCGACCACATTTTATAGATAGGCCTCTTTGCCTCAATTAGGTATCAATGGTTCAGTAATAATTTAATATTAATATGAAGGTTTTGGAGTTCTCCAACAGGTTACATTGAATATAATTGAGATAATTCTATGAAAGCCCAATAATATTGTCACTCTCCCATGCATCTGTTTTCTTTGATGGAGGAAATGAATGAAGTTACAACTAGAATTGAAGGAGGACATACAAGGGAGTGCATCTGAAATGTGACTGCCAGCATTTGGGTTTTAAATAGAAGAGACAGAAAATCATTGCATTAGGGCTAGAAATCTTTTCAATGGACTCATATCTAGATGATATTGTATTTTTTCTGCTTTTGTTCATTATTGTATTTCCAGCATTTAATGTAGTCATGTGTAATACATATTTGCTTTTATTTTTGATGGCATTTAGTTAGCCAACCAATTGTTAAACAAAGTCACGTCTCATATATCTGCATAACTTTCAAGATTCATGAATTCAAGATATTTAAAACAAAGCCTGGAATAGAAAATACATTAAAAAGTTTAAAAATTTGCTTTTCCCTCTCCACCCCTCTCCTCTCTTCCCCTTTCTTTCCCTTCTCTTCCCTCAAAGAAAGCACTTGTTAATATCAGGTAACAATTAAAAAACAAGTATTGACAGTTATCAGATAAAGAAAAATAACTCTAAAAACAGTCATAAGAACTATGTATCTATGGTATTTGGAGGCAGTTACTATAGCAAGAAATACTAACAGCAAGGTGTAGGGCTTGAAAGGGTGAGCCATAGTCTTTTGGAAAATTCAGTTTATTGGAACACCTTACGTTTCTTGATAGTATTAGATAAAGCCTAATTGGACTTATTTAGTAACTACTAGATGACGAGCATCTTGCTTGTTATGTTTATGTTTAAGATAGGATGGGATTTGCAGTCTAGGAGAAGAGGCAAAAGAAACACATAGGAAATTATTATAGAATAACATAAAACTATATATAATTAAATACCAGGAGAGGGAACAAATTGAGTGATTCTTCTTGTGTGGAGAATCTGAAGGTCTCTTTCTAAGGAGGTGGAATTAGAGAATGAATATAATTTGGGTTAAAAAAGGGAGCGGGGAGGCAGGATGGCTTCCAGGGAGGTAGGGGAGGCCACAGAAAGACTGGTGGTAAGGTGAACTGCGGCAGCCTGTAGGAGGGTCTTGAGGAATCATGCAAAGTAGGGCAAGATAGATATTATAGTGTAAAATCAGGAAGGCCTAATGGCCTATTTTCCTAATGTTTTTCCATCTTTACTCCAGTATCACTTACTTTGAAGAGAGACTATAGTTGTTGCTTGTTCTAGAGGCCTTTTTAATCTTTAATGATTGAACCCATTACTTTTAAAGAGCAACGGAGAGGATTCCTTTTTCAGTCAGTTTGGTGGTACAACATCCAACTTTAGGCTCTCCTTTCTATATTGATATCTAATTTGCAATGATTGAGTATCTTGATTAATAGTATCCTAGTCATGCTACTTGCTTCTCTTTCATTCATATACCACGTCATCTTAAGATCTTTTACCATGGAATTGATGTGGTCAGAACCTCTAACCACTGCGGAGATTCTGTTGACTGCCACTGACTTCTCTACTGGCCTTATATTATAGTGGCCATCATGATGCTGTTGTGATTAAAAGCCCAAGCCCTATGCAAAATTGCCCGGGTTTGAAACTGGGCTTTGCCATATATTAGCTGGATGACCCCGGACAAATTATCTAAACTCTCTGACTCCCGATTACCTAATTTTAAATTGAGGATAGCAATAATATCTACCTCAAACAGTTGTCGGAATAAATTAATGCAGATAAAGCACTTAGAATAATTCCTGGCACATGGTATCATATAAGGGTTAATTATTACTCTTGTCTCTAATAGGGATAAAAAAATGTGCACTTAATATTTAGGAAAATTATACCCCCCATGCAAACTCTATATTAACATTTTTTAGATTATTTTACATTTAAGTTGCATTTTAAGTAGTTCTTCAAGTAAGAATTTAGCTTTAAAAGGACTTCAAATACCTTTTAACACAATCTCTCCTCTAGTGCCATAGCAAAAGGCCTGGTGTGGAGTAGACTATAGTATCTACTCAACAAATATTTGCTATGTGAATAAATAAAGTTGCAAAATACTAAACATTCAAAAGACATGTAGGTAGTTATTATGATAAATAGAGTTATGCTTCATTCTTTAAGAATACAGAGAGGTGAGTTTAAACCCAATGTGGAGAACAGTAAATCTACAAAGGCTTCCTAGAAGCAATGATACTTAACTGAATCTTAATGGACACACAGGAGTTGGCCTCATAAAAAACAAGAAGCTTAAAGGGTCTAGATAGCCCATTTACAATATTGTCTCTGATCAACCTATTCAAAATAGGGCAATTAGTTAATGAGAACCATTTTATTGGTATTTATACCAAACACATATATGAAATTTCACTTTATCACCTATTATTCTAAGTGGAATCAAATTATTCCAAGTAGATAGATATTCTTAGTGATTCTGGTTGAAAATGTGTATGTTGAAGCCTTTTGAAAAATCTGGCTGAAAGAAAAATAATAGCTATCTTTTATTGAGTGATTCCGTGCTGGCCTTGTAATGAGCTCTTTTCAGGAATTGAGTAATCTAAACCTCACAAGAAGAAAGTTCTCCTACTGCCCAAACTGATAAACTTGGTAAGTAGCAGAGCTAGAGCTTGAACTCAAGGTTGCCAAGTGCATGTTCTTAATTATTACATTATGTGAAGTTTTGTATTAACTCCTCACTAAAAATACTGTCTTGTCTTGCTTTCCTTTTATATAATTTGAAGATATATTCAAAGAAATAACTTCATTAATGATATCAATTTAGATTTTATTTCTGGAGACTTTTGTAAACTGTTACATAAAATGTAATTTATAAATTTCCCTTCGACACTACACGGATAAACTCATCACAAGATTTCTTGCTAGTCAGCACTGTTCTCCACTAAAAGTGCTTTCACATCCACATCTTTGCTTTTTCCCCTAGTGAATATAGAAAACTACTTCAATAATGCATATTCCTTTCTATATTCCTTCAACAGAATGTTGCCTATTTAAATCATTAAGATGGATTCCTAGTACAGAATCAAAATTTAAAAAATAAAAACTTCAATTGTAAATACCTGGAATCATAGTCGATGTCTAAATATATTAAGTACATCCAAAAACATATTTACAAATCTAGTATTCATCACATAATGCCTCTCAAGAAAGCAGAGATCTCAAGCAGTTTCATTTTCACACTTCCTTCATAAAAGTATTCGAATGCATGAAGGCCATCTGGCTATGTTACTACCTCCCCTTTAACATTAACTAATGTGGCAATCAGGCTAGTGTCCCACTGTTCCCTGACCACTAGCCAATATCAACCCTCTGAACATTACCCACTTCATGCTTTTTTCAAGTCCTTATCTTTACATACATTTCTACTGTTGACAACAAGCCATAATGTTGACTACCATTAGGTTTCTACTAATGTTTTCCAGTCATATTCTTCCAAGTCAGAGAATGTAACTGGCTCCACCAGGAAATAAAATAGAGGTCATTGAAGCAGCAGTGACTTCCAAGCTGTTTGCTAAATTTAGCAGCACAATACTTTCCACTCTAATGAAAACTGTGAACTGCAATTTTAGAATGTTGGAACAGGATGGGACTTTAAAGGTCATTGAGTCCAATCCCCTCATTTTTCTGATGGAAGTGTGGAGGCCTAGACGTAGCCAGTAATTTTCTGGAGGCCACAGAGCTTGTTAATTATGAAGATGGAACTCGAACTAAGATCTGCTCAGCCCTGCAGTAATGCTGCCCTCACTACACCACAGATGCTCTGCCTCCTAGGATGAGTTTAAACTAACCAGATCTTATAGCATAAACATAGCTGATATTATTGGTTGTGGCTTACCCTCCATGGCCATTCAACTGTTTCGTGGCTGAATGTGAAATAGCAAAGGTATCTGACTTATAAGTTGCTGAGAGAAATGATTCCATACCTAAACCCTGCCCCCAACTCTAAAAACTTCCTGCTTGATGTTCATCAATAATGAATGGCCCATCCCTGCAATACTCAGAGGGAGCTTACATTGCACTTTTGAGCAGCCGGTTAGTAATGTACAGTGGATAGAGCCTTTCTTTCAAATCCCAGGGCAGTGGGTCCTTCAAGGCTAGCATTGCATTTTCAATTAGCTGCTGAGTGAATGCTTGGCATGTGTATTAGTGAAGAGGCACACAATTAGCGTATTGTTCCTTTCTGTATTGTGCTGAGAGGATCCAAGGGATTGGTGGGGGAACAGGCAAGCCAGGCATCACCGTGGATGTTGAAGAAGGGGGTTACTCAAACCTCGGCATCTTCACTTGCTCGATCTGGAATTACAGCTATTTATTACGAAGCACTCTGTGTGGCTTAGTGGAGTGTGTCTGAGGAAACACATCCCGGACACCACTTAGGGTTAGTCTTTCTGAGCTCTTCACATCTCTGACTAATTATCATCATTACCATGGAGCCCAACAGTCCCAAAAAGATACAGTTTGCCGTGCCTGTATTCCAGAGTCAGATTGCACCTGAAGCAGCAGAGCAGGTATGTGAAATTGCATGGAGAACCATTCCTGTACATAAGGTAATATGAACATGCATTCTGGTTATTAATTGAAAGGTTCTTTACCTTTTGATTTTGCTAACTCTGACTTTCAAGATAATGTAAACAAGAAATAAGTTGGTTTTTACACATACTTGTATTTAAATTGCATTGGGAGAACTATTGTCTAAAATGTAACACTTCATTTGATACAAAATTAGCACCTCTGAGGGGAAAATGGCTCTGTAAGCAATTCAGATATGGATTCATAAATCTGTTCATTTTTGCTCATTAAAATAACAGTTTCAACATTTAGAGCAACTTTTAAAAATTATCAAAATGAGCAACATTTTATTTCATTTTTTATAAAATAAAATGATTGATTTAGCAATAAAATCATTAAATCCTGCAATAGTTTGAGACTATAGGCCTAATACTTTATTTTCATATGTTTTATTATTGTGGACACAAAACAATGATTATAAGTTTATATAATATATTACAGCTAGGATTTGTAGCTTTTTGTACAGTTTTAAAATCGTTTTGTTCAGACATTACAAACAGTGTTTTAACATTTCCTAGATTCTTTGTCCATGTCTAATATTGGTTTACATCTGTATCACCTTTCATATTCAGATTTACTTAGATTCTTGATGCAATGGCATCTCTTAGAACTGCAACTGTGAGGAGGCAAAAGCAAAGAAATTTATGAGGACATCAACCTAATCCATTCATTTCTTAAAACTTAAATTATTCTTGAATCCTTTTCCAAGTATTTGATATAAAGTCTTAAAAATAATTATTTAATCCGTGACTCATAGTGTTTCAGGATGTTTTGAAATCTGAGGTAGATGCACCTAGACTCAGGCCAGATAAATGTATCCTTGAACATGTGTCTATCCATGCTGAATGGGATGTTGCTTCTATCTTGGACAGGATGTCATTGATAAATTTTATTATCTATCCTACTGACACTTACTTTGGGTATTTACCCATAAATGAATATAATAAACAAATAAAGGATATTATATTCAAGGGATTCTGACAATACTATGCTCCTGTAACTCTTAAAATGAAAAAAAAAAACTTTAGAGTTTGTAATAAGTTGCATATTCTCATAAGATCCATATTTATTCTTCATTTGTTTATTTGTTCTAAATATTATACTAGAAAATAAAAAAGTTAACAAAATTAATTGAAATTCAAAGCTTATGCTGTTGATTTAACTCTGGTACCTGCTAGAAATAGGTTTCCAAGCTCTTCCTTATCCTGTTTAAAAATAAGGGTAATGAATCTTGAAAGCACCACCAATGTTATGAGGCTCCAAGCAAGCCACTAACATTATCAGGTCAACCCTGTACCTTCATTGTAAATTAATTTTCTGTTGTATCATTCAGTTGTATATAATTATTTCTTTTCCGTGGAAATGTAGCTTTTTGGTCAAAGAGGGTGATACTTCTATCAGACAGTTCAATTCTGTGGCTTTCTATTATTTCAAAATAAAATTAGTGAGCACCTTCCATGTGTCCTCCAGAAATTTGCTTTTGCATGTGGGGAAAAGATGAGGGTGAGACAGCTTTGCAAGCTGCAGAGTAACCTGGAGCAGTGTCTAATACTCACTGATATTAGCTGGGCTTTTGTCGTTCACAGATCAGGAAAAGAAGACCTACACCAGCATCACTTGTGATTCTCAATGAGCATAACCCCCCAGGTAAAGAAGCATGATGTGTTTCACACTGATGGAACAGAATGGAATTGTTTAAAGAACATCAAAGTACATGTCGTACTGAAAAGTTTCAATTTAGGATTTCACAGTTAGCAATACTCTAGAAAGCTAATCTATAAAATGGATCGTAAACAGAATCAGAAATAAATATTACAGGAATAATCTCAAGCCACAGCCTGTATTTCCTCTAGAATATCATAAGTGATGATATGCTATGAAATATTTTGCTAGCACTGGCTGTCATATGTTCAGGTGTTTGTATGGAACCTGGATTACTGCTTATTAATGAGGCTGGTGGAAAGCTGTTTAATTAGGTTTAAAAGCTCAAATTACAGCCCTAGAGATGCTTATATCTTTACAGAGTAAGTTTTTTATATGGAAAAGGTTGACATGGGGTGGGCAATGACCCAGCGTTGGCTTCAGCTTTGCTGATGACGTCATCTCTGAATAATGCAATTGACAAGTAACCAGATCAATTTTCAGCACTGCCTATTTGAGAGCCATTCTGAATGGCTGAATCCATTTGTTGAGGTTTTATTTTCCATTTCCTGTAAAAATGAAAACCGCATTATTATTCCGGATAAAAGACTATGATCTGTAATCCACAAACATTATTTACTTATTGAAGCGGGGTGATTTTTAGTCTCACATTTAAGTGCTGCTTCTGGATATACAAGTAGGATAGGAAAGGTCATGACATTAATTTGCAACCAGGCAGAACTTGGTGTTGGATTTTTTTGCAGGTATAAACAATAATGGGTGGACAAAAGGAGTTTAAACAGTGGAAACATAATATGTCTAATAATAGACTGTAGCGAGTGATCTAAGAATACCAGGGTGAAATAGTCCTTGACTTTTTCAGACTCTTTTCTAATTAGAGAAACATATAAAAAGAACGTAAACTAATAGGCTATTCATCATTTAGCCCAAATCCAAGAAAATTTTCAGGTGATGGAAAATAAGTAAGCTAATTTATTTCTGTTGAAAATGAATAATTATAATTTGATCCTATAACTTTAGGGTGCCATTGCATTTAAAATTATTTTCAAATATATTATCTCAATAAATCTTAACTTACTTATATTTGGTTAAATAAGAGGTGCAAATGATATGTAATTATAATTCTAAAATAAATACAAGTATAAAGATAAGTCTTCTCGATTTGGGGGTAATTTTATAGCAATTTTCCATCACTGCCTTGCTCATGGTAGCAAACATTTCTGTAATGTCCTAAAACTTTCCTCCCTATGCCTGCCTTAAGGTGTACTGCACAACTTGATTTCCAGGTGTTCTATCTCCTGGAGAGCAGTTTTCAGAGGTCTATAGGCATCATTGCTGTTTGAACATAGTGAAGTCATGTAAGTGACCTTCATCCTCTCATTTGAACTCCCAAAATAGCAGCTACATTCTCTTGAGTGCCAAATATGTGCCATTTGGATGAGGAAAGTGTGTATCAGAGAGGTGAAGTGATTTTTGTGGCTATTCCACTAGAAGTGACGGATTCCAGAGACAAATGCAGGTAATTCTGATACTGAAGCCCATACATTTCCACTGGCACTGGCTTTGAAAATATCAGTTTGCACTACATGGTGAAGGCTTTATAATGTGACTAGTCATTCAGGCCCTATAAACAAGCAAATCCAAACAAAGTAAATCCATTTTCTGGACCACTTATCTTAGTAGATTAAGGAATTGTACTTAAATATCCCTGGGAATAAGATTCAGTTTTTCTCTAGAAACCTTTTTTTTTGTCAGATCTCCCAATTACTAGATGGCATTGTCCCTTTTCTCTAATTGACCTCATACTTCTCTTTGTTTTTTAAGCACCACTGGAGACAAATTAGATGCAAATAGCATCTCACAGAGAACTACTTTATTTTAGTACATCACCTGCCTGCATCTTCCTCCCCCTTTATGGAAACTAGAATAGTCTACAAAGAATTAATCAGCTTTTGGCTGTGTATAGGACTTGGATAAGTGTGCATGGCAACTAGAGATTTTGGACTAGTGATGGATTTTTGTAGTAAAACCCTTAAAAGCTTATAGTTTTCCCAGTAAAAATGATCTAGCACCAAGCTTACTGGGGAAATAACTCTAAAGATAAAACAACAACAACAACAAAGAAACAAACAGCAAAAAAAGAACACTAAACCAAATCAAACTTGGATACTGGTCTTAACTAGCCATGTGATGTGATCTTGGGAAAGGGATATCTCCAAGCTTTCTTTTCTTTCTTTTTTTTTTGAGACAGTCACCCTCTGTCGCCCAGGCTTGAGTGCAGTGGCGCGATCTCAGCTCACTGCAAGCTCCACCTCCGGGGTTCACGCCATTCTCCTGCCTCAGCCTCCCGAGCAGCTGGGACTACAGGCTCCTGCCACCACGCCCGGCTAATTTTTTTGTATTTTTTTTTTAGTAGAGACGGGGTTTCACCGTGTTAGCCGGATGGTCTCGATCTCCTGACCTCGCTATCCGCCCGCCTCGGCCTCCCTAAGGGCTGGGATTACAGGCCTGAGCCACAGCGCCCGGCCTCCAAGCTTTATTTTCTCATCTATAAAATAGGGATCATAGTGTTCTTTCTTTCAACCTCACAGGGTTGTAGTAATGATCAAAAGAGTTACCATGAACATGACTTAAAAATTGCAAAGTGCAACAAAGATTAGGTATCATTAACTGATGTGTTCGGGAATACAATATTTGCATGTGATATTTAAGAACAAAGATATAACAAGAAAAACAGAATCTTCATAATCTCATCTGTTCTAAATATTTCTGCGCGATCCAACAGTTTCTTTTCCACACATTATTTGAACACTCTCTATCAAACAACAAAACAAATAAGAGTAACAACGAAAACACTCATAAGTGTTAAATGACCATTTTTAAGCAACTGTTTCTCCTGTCCCCCAAAAGCAATATGTTGTTTGAAAAACAAAAGCTGGGTGCAGCTTTAAATCCTGGTAAAACTAAACAAATCTCTTCAATTCACTGAAATTGGCCAGGGAATAATTGGCTGTTCTTGGACTCACCTGTCATTAATGCTGTTTAAAATTCAAAACCCTGCAAATCTTTCTTTATTGTCAATTAATAAAGCAAAGAAAATTAAATTCTTCATTATAGAAACATAAGTAATAAAACATTCCAATTCATATGACAAGATCAGTGTACTGCAATCACTGTTAAATGGATTAGACATAGCTTGCTTTTTTTTTTAACCTTTTGAAGTGTTTGCAGGAAGAGTAAATTATAGGAGTATTTGAAAGAATGATTATATATATTCTGTTTATATTTTGTAGAGGAAAAATAGAAAGATATTTCAAGATGTATATTCAGATTTTTTGTTTGCTAGTTCATCTATGCTGGTCTAAACACATAGATGAGATAGGCACCTGATTAGTTGTATTCTAGGGGCAGCATAATGTCCCATCAGTCCCTTTCTGACAAATAACCTAGAACTCTCAGCAGTAGAAGCACTATGTAAACAGATACTTAATCTGTTAAGGATATATCACCCTCTGGCATGGGTTAGTAAATCAGTTTAACTCAAAATAGTGGGAGATGAAACTAAAATTTTTAAATTGAAGGCATGAGTCAGGGAAAGTTTAGTAACAGAGGTGTGTCTTTAGGGTAGAAAAAGCAGAAACAATGTATTTGCTCCTAGGAATAACTCTCAACAGTCAGGTGGCAGCAAAAAGATACTGAAAAACTGAGATAGGGGAAGTAGGGAATCGCCAAAGTTCCCTATATTTCGTCTTTTTCAAATGTTTTCTGGGGCTACCAACATGAGTGACCTTTGTAGCAAACTGCCTCTCTGTATTTTCAGTTCCTCTTCTGATTAAGGGCCTCTTTATGATAAGCTCTCTGAAGCTACACAGGAGAGCATTATTATCTATTCTTATACTGTGTGCTGTTTGCTTTTACTTTTGTATAATCTGTAGTGAACTGGTTTGGTTCCTATATATTTTTTTTTATCTAGAGAGCTGCTTATGTGTAAATCCTCTCTGTAGGGAAATAAATGGCAAAGATACTTTCTGTAATTTATTCCATCACATCTATAGATATTTTAAGTCTACTTAAAAACAAGTAATGTCTTAAGTAGACTTATGAAAAGACTGTATATTTGGCTACCAGCGTTTGAAATCTAGAGTTGGAAAATAATTTCAGAAAATACCTACTTTAACCACACATCTTCATGACAGACATACATAAACCAACCCAAGTCCCTGAGACTCGCTCCATTTTATATACCTCAGAGAAGAATCCATAATTAACCGGGCTTTTCAACTCCAGCTCTGATAATTTCAGATGTTAGAAAATGATTTCTTATACCAAACTTAAATATAAATTCCCCACTTTATTCTAAAATAACTTCATTTGTTCTCTGCAATAAAAAGTCATTTTCTCACCTTTTAAAAAATATGAATGAATGATTATTTTCTTTTATTCTCAATCTCCCTAAGGGCTTTAATAAACTCTATCCGAATTCTCCCTATTGCTCTGCCTTTGAAGCCCAGAGCTGGACACAGTCTTCCAGTAAAAAGCCAGCCTAGACCAGGTCTTCTGAATATTAAAGTTTGTGGCATCCATTGTTTTCCATTTACCGTTAAGCAGAGACAATATGGTTACAGTTATATTTAATGGACCTGACGCCTACTAAACATGAGTGAGCTGTATGAGGCCTGGAGATAAGTGCAGATTTGGGTAAGTACCCAGGAGTTTTGACGTCATTTAAAAGCTCACTGTACATCTAAAAAGTGGAATCCGAAGCATAAGGTAAAATAGTTTTTTGAGTATATTTATTGAACTTCCTATCACAGCCAAATTTTGGGGAAATCGACTTTATCTTTGACCCTTTTAGTGTCAAATATCCTTTGAAATCAAGAATAAAAACAAAGGTTGTTCTCACATGCCTCAGGTTCCCAAAAGTTAGTTAATAGGAGACATAAGAGATATATGATACTAAATATAATACTATCTCCTTTCAAATTTGATAGCAGGCCTGGTCATTAGAGAGAACTGAGATGTGCAATTGCTTTGGCTATTCATTTCCAGAAACGAAAAAGAAGCCACAGTTTATACTGTATGTAGCATATTACTTTCTAAATGAGGCATACGTTTCAGGATTCTGAAACTAAGTTAAAAAAACAGATTTTGAAGCCTCTAGATTGGATTCCTGAGACACTGGATGATAGCTAGGAAATAATGCTGGACTAAGATTGAATTGTTCAAAACGCAAGGGGGCTCCAGAAATTTCTGGTGATTATTTTTTAATCCAAAAATAACAGGAAGTTTTTCAGGGTCAACAAAATGAAAGTAGAAATTTATTTCCAGTATTAAGGCATCACATGCACAAAATCTCTCTTCATGGAGACCCTCTATTTTGCAAAATGAATGATTGTGTTGTCAAGAGAAAATTGGGCTCCAGGGACCATACTGAGAAGTTTCTGGGGACTCTTAAAGATGAGTAAGACATTATCAGGCCCAGATCTTGAGGTACCAGCCACCCCCAGGGACCTCCAATTAAATGTATTCAAATAAACGCTATACTGGCCCATTGTCCACATACTTATGTTGCATTTTAAATGGTCTCATTTGAATGTGGTTGTAATTCATTTGAATCCACAATCTTGCCTTGTCTGTATTAATGACAATACAAAAAAATGGTCCAGTGTTTGAAGATCATTGAAGTGTTAGCTAGTATTAATTTTTAAGAAATTGTAAAAAAGCCTATTTATTTCCCTCAGCATTTATTTTTATGAGTTATTGAATGCTGAATGATTTTTTAAAAAGTTACACATGTGGCTTTCAGTGATTCATGTACTGTACAATTAATTGACTTATTTTCCCTTAACTCTTCAGTATGTGCAGCTAAATAGCCCAATCAGTTGGAATAATTGTGAGCCAAAGATGAGGTTCCAGTTCTTGATAGTGACAAGGCTTGCTACATTGTAAGTTTTCAAAGTAACTTGTCCAATCTTCAAAATAAATGAAAAAAAAATGAAAGGGACCTGCATTTCTTATTCAAAGATGGCCCAGCTTTTTTCTAATCCAGATGATGTTAGTCATTGGCAAATAGTTTTCCCAAAAAACAGTAGTAGTGGGTAAGAAAAAAAAAAGATCTATAGTACCCCCTAATTCATCAGGAGAGGAAGATACAATTGTGTAAGTATTATGTATCCTATATTGTAGTGTTGGTTTAACTGAGCATGCCCTGTTTGCCAATATAATTTTTGTGGAATATGAGTTCTTAAGATTTTTTTAAAATAAGCATGCTACTGATGCTTAGGTTTTTCATAAGGTTATGAAAAACATTATTGCAAATAATTGACATATTTGTGGCCAATTTGTGTTTGACCAAAATGAAATTCATATTCCAACAGTATGTAGAAAGAAAAAAAATGTAAGGATTGAGTATAAAAATCTTTTAGAGATATCTATCAAATACTCTTGTTGCTCAATTTTCATTCCACTCCATTTTTATTCACTTCTTTTCATACATCATCTCTGTTCTATATTCTGGCTAACCTTTCTTTATTTATTGAAGTAGTTCTCTCATGCTGACTTTTAAGACTTAGTCTAGACTGTCTCATTTGCATAAATCAGTCTCTGTCTTTTTCACGAATTTCTCTTATTTAAATAAACTTCAGCACAAGACTCACTTAAATTGCAAAAGATTTCCCTGAATAATCTGACCCATTGTCTGGTCATGTTAGTCTAATATTCTTCTCTTAGTTTCTACTCTTAAAGCTGTTTATTGGTTTATACATTCAATTCAATTTATTGAGTCCTTATTCTAAATCCTCTGGGAACATGTGGTCTAGGTAACAGAGAATATTATGTCTGGATGTACCATGATACAATTGTAATAACAGAAATCCGTGTTGCTGAAACCACAGTAAAGCTAATTCTGGCCAAGGCATAGAGGCACTTATTTATTATGCTTCCTAGTCTATAAAGCATTTGCATGACTTATTTTGATCTTTGGGCTTTAAGCTATTAAGGATTGAGGTCAGAGCTAAAATTTTACTGTTTATTCCAACTTACTAGTAGAGTAGATGTTAAATGCCTGTGAACGATTCAAAGTCAATCCTTCAACCTTTTTTTGGCACCAGCTCTGGTTAAAGCACAATGTTACTCTTCTAGGGGATAAAACAGGTAAATTAATTATCAATGCTATCCACATGGAGAAACTTATCTGAGACATATTTACAATCTGACATATGCATTTTTGTAGTAAAAACAATAGTATATGCCAAAAATACAAAATATATTTCATTCAGTAAAGAAGTGTCTGTCACAGGATTTTTAAAGATTAGATTAAAATGTTGTACAGTACACAGACTAGATGCCTGATAAATGACAATGATTACTTTGGGGAGGCAGACATGTAATACTTAAGAGTAGAGGCTTTGGAATCACTCAGGTCTGGATATAAATCTTAGATGGCTGTTTACTGCCTGAGTTTCCTCAGAAAAATAGCGCATCCTCCTAAGACCCAAGAAGCCACATGAGGTAGTTGGGCTCATGTGTCATCAAAATACATGTGTTTTCCCACACCACTAAATATAGAATACATTAATTTCAAAGAACTCTAGTCTGAGTCCATTGAATAAATAGGTGTCTGCATAGTAATAGACACAGATGACATCATTGTCAGTTGTTCTGGGTAGCTTAACAGTTGTTCAGTTTCAAATTTGATAGAAAAAATTACTAACAGTTCTTTCTAATTGCTTCTAGTTGATAGTCATATTCCACAAGACCATAAATTAGGGGACCTCTAACAATAAATCTAGCTAAGCTGTGTGCTTGATGGAAAAAGATTACTTCTAAATTTCTTCCTTTTTTTTTTTTTTGGAATTATTCAGGAGCAAGCCCTGGAGCCTTGGGATTTTTCTGTCTTTTCTCTCATCATTTTCTAGGCATCACTTCCACTAAGTAGTGATCTGACACAGTTTCCACAATTCCAGACACAATTCCAGACAGAATTTACCAGGGGCTTAAGCAGAAATGCCCCGGGACCTGGGCAGGTGACATAGATGAGAGCCTGGGCCCTAAGAAGGACAGTAGGCTGTGGTGGGGACTGTAGTCTACTTGGAGAACACAAGCTCCATCCAAGGCTTTCAAATTAAACAGATAAAACTGCAAAGGACATTGAGAAAGCACTATAACAGGTTGGAACACCTAAGTGGTAAGATTTTAGAGATACTGGAAAGTATCTCCCTAAATTAGTTTCCATACTACCTGAAATCTTACCTTTTGCAGTTGTTGCTATAACTTCTAAAACACAAGTACTCTGAAGATATAACACGTTGTCCTTGACACCTTAGAAAAATTGCCTACCTGGAGCTCAGGAAGGACCTGTGAAAGCCAGAGGTGGAGGGAAAGGCATGTCCTAAACAAATGTCCCAGCTGTGACAATCAGGGGGCTCAGAATTCACCTTCTCCCTCCCAGTCTGTGTGCGGTCTCTGCCCTCTCCATACTCATTTCAGATCTTCCCTAATACTTCAGGGGTTCCCAGCACATGTTGGAAAATGTTACACCTATATCTGTGAGTCTTCTCTGGGCTTGGGTAGAATATTATCTTTGTGACTCTACTTCATTTAGAATAATTTGATATAGTAAAAATTAGTGTTTAACAAAGCCATTTGTGAAATAAGTTGCCAAAATCCACATCATGAAAGACATATATTGACAATCTGATTAGAACACAATTACAATTTGACCTTGGTAATAATGCTGAGGAAAAAAAGGACTGTGCAAACTAAAAAGCTAGAGAATTTATAATCTTTCATGTTTTTTTCATTCTCTGGGAGCAATTTTCCATCATTACGGAAAACAATTTTCAGAATTACACTCTTTACATATAAATACATATTGACTTGCTTGTGAAAATAGAACTGGATGCACAACATAGAAGAATGAGAAGTTATTTTGGAATCCAATTTTTAGAATACTTTGCCTCAATGATGCAATATCATTTTATGCTTTTTCCCCTGTCTGATGATAAATAACAGAGTATTAGAAGACATATACACAGCCGGGCGCGGTGGCTCACGCCTGTAATTCCAGCACTTTGGGAGGCCGAGGCGGGCGGATCACGAGGTCAGGAGATCGAGACCATCCTGGCTAACATGGTGAAACCCTGTCTTTACTAGAAATACAAAACATTAGCTGGGCGCGGTGGCGGGCGCCTGTTGTCCCAGCTACTCCGGAGGCTGAGGCAGGAGAAAGGCGTGAACCCGGGAGGCGGAGCTTGCAGTGAATTGACATTGCGCCACTGCACTCCAGCCTGGGCGACAGAGCAAGACTCCGTCTCAAAAAAAAAAAAAAAAAGAAAAGAAGACATATACACAAATATTTACATGCATGAACACACGTACACATGATGCACACAGAGGTAGATATCCAACTGTATGTAAAAAAAAGACCCCACGTGGACTACTTAACCAAGTAATAAATCCATATCCACTAAGTAACCTGACTTACAAAAGAGGCCTGAACCTGCCAAAGTGTCTTGAAAAGCTTTGAAAATTCAGGTTTTAAATGGAATAAGCTAATAATAATTTTTTTGTTTCTAACATCTTGAATTAAAAACCAACAGATTAAAAGCAAATTGTATTATTTTAAAATCCAACCTTGAATAAAAAACATTGAAATTATTGGCATGGATTCAAGTAATGAGATTGATTAAATTATTTTTTAAAAAGTAAAGAGTATTTTAAAGAATAAATTGCATGTATTGAATATTAACAATACTTTAAGATTATATTCTCATTTGAGTAGGTTTCATATGCCCATTTTCATGATTTACGGACAGAAGTATTATAATTAGATGTAGAAATTGAGCTCCTCCAGCTACCACCTGAAAGTCAATGTCTAACTAAAATGCATCATCCATATTTGAAGACAACTTTTCAACTATTGACTTCAGCATTACAGTTAATTTTATCCCCATTCTTCTAATCACTAAACCACACAACGTTAGGATCATCTCTGGCTCCTCTATCTCTCCTTCATGTCTTAAATATAGCAATGTTTTTTCTGTTAACTCCATTCTATAGGTTGAACCTGTCCTATGTGTTTTTATTGTTTCTGCTGTGTCTGTGACACATATTGCTTTATTCTGAACTCACACTGTAACTTTCAAACTAGTTTTCTTTGACTTTGACACTGGGAGGCCATTTTGTGTAGGACTAAGAGCCTAACCTTAGAATCAGTGAACATGGGTTTCATTCGTGGCATGAGTAAATGTCTGAGTCTTAGTTTCCTCCTCCAGGAAGCAGGGATCCTGGTAACACTGGCATTGGTTGTGTTGCTGGAATCAAGTGAGATCATGCATGCTGGCAACACTATTGATGCTAGGCTCGGTCTTTGCCCATTCTGGTTTGTGTGAGAGGCTTTTGGCAGACATAATTATATGATATGTGATCGACTATGGCAGCTTTACTTTCATAATTGATTTGTCATAAGCTCTAATTTGTATCCTGTGATTTATCTGCCCTAGCTTGTAATTAGTTAAGATAAGGCACCTGGAGTCTTCTCATGAATAGCTCATCGATTTCATCATAATATACACATCATTCTCATTCCTTCTTTTGAATAAGTCAGCCATTATAGAATCTTATTACACAAATTGTTGACAACTGCACTAAAGCTGAGGCTTGATTAAAAGGAAACGAACAGAAGAAAGGGAGATGATTGTTAGATTATGGTTAATGTTACCACTTAACTTCCTCCTTTATTTTTGTGGAGGGCTCATAAAGCAGAACACAGGAACCTTGTTTATTTGCCATAGAGAACTTCCTATTTAAAATAATTTTTCAAAATGCGTAAAGATTTCCGATCAACTAGGAACAGGCTTAAGCTGGATTTGCTTCCCAAAACACTTTTAAGAATATCCACTCTTTCTTCGTGAATTTTAAGCACTTCTCACCTGCTTCTAATGGTTAAAAGGTTTTCAAGAAAGAATGCCAGAGACCCACTCACCATCACATTTCAGTGAAGCAAAACAGCATGAATGATTGGACTAAAACGGATCATCTCAATTTCTACCACAGGTCATTTTACTTGGTGAATAGCCCAGAGTTCCTGCTTCACTTAGCCAATAAAGGACAATTTTTTACTTAAGGGTCTGGAGATGTCTGCAAATATTTTCACACATTCTAGATCTACAGTACGCAGCCATCATTGGAATCAAGACAAACACCAGCTGTACTTTTCATTTAGACAGTTACAGAATAAGCAACATATTCAAAATATATTTTGAAACATGTTTAGGACACAAAAGAGAAAAAATGCCTCTAAGCAACAAGTAAAATAATTTAAAAAGAAAAACATACCAACTCAAAAGCAAATTTAAAGGGGGTTACAGAAATGTATCTTACTTTTGGTAGATTTACAGTTTGCAAATCCATTTGTTCTATAATACATGTCCTTACAAACTCTATCAAATGAATATTTTAAACTCCATTTTACAGAGAGAGGGTGATGGGTGAGCTGTTCAAGGTCAAAAGAGCTATTTCAGTAAGTAGGTCTGTAATGTACATATAGATTGTGTAACCAAGGTCAATGTACTTCCTACTACATTAATAACATCTTTATTTCTGTAAATAAGCAACACAGCACTCTTTCTATTTTATTTGTCTTTTTCATGGAATAAAATATAAGCAAGCTCCTCTTTGTAGCTTGGCCATGTGAGATTCTGTTTGATATAATATATCCCAATATGTATTTCATCTTTATTCCAAAATGAGTTGGTTTTGAAGTGGTAATTCTATACTTTTTTCTTTCTCTTCTTTTGTATTTATTAGTTAAGAAGACTGCTTTAGCATTGCTTATACTAGATATTTTATTCTATAAGCTAAAAACAAAAAAAAAAAGATAACCAAATAGAAAAAAGTAAATATCATCCATTATTCCCTCTTAGAGATGAACCCCGTTTTTTATTCATCTCTGTTTGCTTACCTATATATATCCATTTATTTTAAGAAATCATTATCTTGACTTAAATCATCATTAGTTGTGAGGCTGAGGGACATCTGGATTCTAGTTAACTCAAAACATGACCGATTTGTGCACATACAGTCATCTTCCCTTCCCTTCCATTTTAGTTCTTCTTGTCCTGTGAGACTCAGATCAAACCTCCCTTCCTTCATGAAACCTTTTTGGACCACTCCAGCTAGAAGGTTTTGCACGAGTAAGCATAATATGTCATGACACCAAACCAGGCTTGTTCTACCAGCTAGCAGTAAGTCAGTCATTGTGATGGTGGCCTTTGCAAAACAGAAAAGATTTTATTCACAAGGCTGCTGGGAGAGTAAATGAGAGAACAAATCTCAAACCCACCTCCCTGAAATCAGGGCTTGGTAGTACTTATGGGATAGAAACGGGGTTGGTCTAAAGTGTGGGGAAAGGTGATTGTTGGGTAGGAAAGGTGAGATAATCAGGATTCTGTCCAAGTGTAATCAATCTACATGGCTCTTCATAGGATGCATGTTCCAAAAATAGTGGCATTAGCATGATCTGAGGGTGGAGATTTTGGGCCTCCTGACATCAAAAGGTCACATTTTGGGCAACCAGGCAGGCCAAGCTGGAGGATCAGTAATCTCAACTAATTGGAATTGGACAAGAGTTTGCCCCCTTGCTCCTGAAAAACAACTTTTAGCAACAGTTACCATAGAGACATACACATTAGAGATATTATCTATAAGGAAGCTAATGAAAGTTTAGTTATGTATTATTTGGTTATGTGACTTTTAGCTATCTAGGTTTTAAGACCAACTAGAAGTAAGCCATTAAAGGTGAACAAGGCAGGTTAAGCTTGGTGGGCTTAATCAGGTTAGTCCTCGGTTTCAGTGATTGGATCTATTAATACATTTGCTCCAATCGATTGCTCAATGCCTTTCTGTCACCTGATAATGCCCTGAAGGAATAGATCTTGGAATTAATAAAATTTAATGTGGATGGAAAGAAGAAAGATCCATGTATATGAGGCCTTATAATTCCTCTCTGGATAGGATGGCTGCAAATAAAGCTCTGAGGATGGAGCAACCCTCACTGTGGAAGGAAAATAGAGGTCATTAAAACTAACCTGAGTGTTCCATGAGGTTTATTCTTGTCCTCCCAGTTCACAGATACCTACACTTGCTGATGCATAACCCATTGGATTATTATGAGCTCCTACATAAAATATTTATGGGCATAATTTAAAGTGGCCTTTGAAGCACAAAACACAGGCTGACCAAAGTTTTGGAATCATCTCAACAAGAATGAATTTTAGTAGTAGAAGACTTGAGCTGGTTGTTTCACTGTTTTAGTGTAGACATGCTTTGAGATAGGCATCACAGGTAATTAGTGACTGCAGATGCATAGACAATTTTGCATAATAATGATTTTGGGACTTCTGGAGTTTTAGAGGACAATTGAAAGACTGAGCGTGTTTTGTTTAATGACCAATTTTATTCTTTTGCTGTCTTTAAATTATTCACATCTGATTTTAAAGTGTCAATAAAATGGTAATGCTGGAAAACTGAATACACAATCAATTTGGCTGCTTTCTTCTAAGAATATAGGAGCTCAAGAGTCCAATTCAATGCCATCAGATAGTAACCATCTCTGTCCTACTGGATGGTCATATACTTTCCTTCCATGTGAACTTGGTATGTGCCCAGATAAATAGGGGCTAGGTTTTATTTTCATTTCCTTTGAGTTGTAAAATAAACATTTTACAACTTAAATTATTTCCTTTGTTAGCAATAAACTATCAGGGAATAGTTAGCAACCCTCCAGTCAGTACTGAAAATCAAACAGTTCATTACATATTAAATGCATTTAAAATCATACAACTTCACTCCAAAATCCATTTGATGTGTTTTCTGGTAAGATTTCTATGTAAGCAGAACTTAATGATTGTACGAGAAATCACTTTAGAGTGGACTTTGTACTATATCCTTCCTTTCCCTCACCTTATACACAAGGAATCTATAGAAACAACTTATTTTTACCCTACTGAATTATTTGCAGTCATATACGTATAGCTTCACATTACAACATTCCAGCTGCTATATTATTTTCTGACTGAGTCAGATAAGATTATGTTCCATGTATTTCTGTTATCTGGGTGCTTATTAACATGCGTATCATTGTGGACATATTGCTGTTATATTGTATAACAATGAGCTTATAGCAGGCACCAGCACCCTTTCCTTATTTCCAGCTTAGAATGTTGATATTCTTCTTAGCATTTTTTCCTGACATACTACAACCCACTTTCCATCAAGGTATTTTTTTTTCTTTTCAGTATTAAAATTTTTCTGTGTAGTAGCTAGAGTTTGCAATTGTCTCATTGTTTTTAGAACTATAGGTCTACCTTTCACTCCAGTAAAAAATCTGAAAAACTTTAGTATGAAATTCCTTATGAGAAAATAACTTTTTAAGATATGATATAAACTTGAAACTGACATAAAATAAATTGAGAAGGAATAAAAAACGATTACCTGCTCCAAATTTTATACTCTAAGAAATATATGTAAACTGAAACAAAATAATACCAAACAATAACAACAAAAACAAACCTTTGTTTCCACAGAAGTTATTGGATTTATATTTTTATTAATAAAAATTATTATGTAATAATGAGCAAGATTCCTTGGGCTTAAAGTAATATTTGAATCCCAGCTCTTTATTCATAATCTTGGTTAAATGTCTGATAAAGAAAAGAATGGCTAAGACTAATGCACCAAAATGATATTTCAAAGAACTGAAAAACAAAATATTAGAGGATTTTCATGACATTGTTTATTAATATGCTTCATGATCTAGACTGATTTACATGCTTTAAAATCTCAAAATTTAAATATTCTAATACCCTCATGAAATCCCATCAAACATTTGAGAGCAGAAAGATATATTTGAAATTTGTGTTTATAAGATCACCCCCTAGTATCTGTACATAGTCATTCTCACCTTCGTCTTCCATAACTGGTAGAATCATACCACCAAGAGTGATGCCATAAACCTCCCCCCCCCCACAACCCTGAAATCCCCCAGAACTGTCATCAACTATTATATTGGGAGAAAATTGACCTGTATTCTTTCCCATAGTCAAGCAAACCACAGGGAGTTTCCTTCAGCAGTGGAGGTTAACAACATTCTGCCAAACTATCAACATATAGGGGAAATGGGCCCACTGAATTACAAAGGAGTCACATAAATTGTCAATTTTTAAACTACTGTGATAAAGATATTTGCAATTTGTGCTTACATTTGAGATCTGCTCTGCATAATCTTGCCTCATCTTTTCCAAACAGTAGTCTTGTATTTCACTACCTTTGCTCACCCATTGCTCCTACAACTATAACACTTAGATTTCTTAGTCTGAAGAAATACAAAACCTGTAAATCTACTTTGCTTTATTCTTAGGCCTGGACCTGCATCTCTGGCCAGACTGGCTAATTGTCTTCTAAACCATTTCTACCTTAAACCTTTGATAGAATTTTTTTTCTACTTAGAATGCCTTCACCAGTACCCTATTTTACTAAATACTTGCATTTTTTAAGATACTCAGATTCCATTTTATTTCATTTTTGGACATGGACATACAAGAAATATGTTTTCTTGCAGCTCAGAGCTGAAAAAATATCACTAAGTAGAGTACAGTTAGGTAGCAGTTTATATCTCTGAA
The DNA here is from genome assembly GCF_000001405.40 of Homo sapiens. NCBI lineage: Eukaryota > Metazoa > Chordata > Mammalia > Primates > Hominidae > Homo > Homo sapiens. The sequence goes on from NC_000002.12 coordinate 182,003,595, forward strand.
TTTCCTACATTCTACCAAAAGAGGACATAAATCAGTCTTGTAGCATCTCCAAGCTAATAAACTCAATAGTCAGCCTCTATGATTTTTGCTGGATGTGTGTGTGTGTGTGTGTGTAGTGTGTGTGTATGTAAAATGGACACTACCATTTGGACTTTGCACAAATTTAATTATTAAAAAAAAGGAATGCTCAATAGCCTCCCAAGCTCCCACTAAAACCATCCCCTTTTCATTAACTTTGAAATAGATTGTTTCATAAACAAATCAGGTACACAGTAAAATTGATAAAAGCTTGAGTAGGAACACATAGCCCAGTTTTGATCTCAGCTCTATGCTGGATTACTTTCTCCAGGAATTTCAACTGATGATTAGTCAGATTCCACTTGACCATTTCCAGTGGTTAGGATTTTGGCTGGTTTTGAAGCATCACGGCTCTGACTGGAGAGCTCTAATTGTTAGAAAGGCGTGCCATATACCTAGTTAAAATATCTTTTCTGAAGCTTTCTCCTGTTAGTCTTGGTCAATTCTTTTAAAAGATCTCAGAAAAAGTGTAATACTTCTTCCAGTTGAACACCCTTCCTGTGTTTAGGGGCAGACATCTCATTTGCTCTAAGTCCTGTCTTATCTAAAATTTGCAGGTATGTTTAACTTTACAATTATGAAATATTTTTAGATGTCTCATTATTCTACTCCCTAGCAATACACAGATTTTCAGTATAGCACCAACATTTCATTCATTTAACAGATAGTTACTGAGGCCAGGTAATGTGCTGAGTTGAGGATTCACAATGAAAGGTGATGGAGTTTGTGATGGCAGAAATATAGGATGGTTTAAAAGCACACAGTAGGAACACATAGCCCAGTCAATGATAGGGAGGGTAAGGAAGAGTATGCTGAAATCTTAGGGTGAAGGCAGGGAAGACTATCCAAGACACAAAGAAAAGTAGAGGCAAAAGCCCAGAAACATGACAAGGCATTAGAGATTCAATGCTATGAATGGAGCCTGTTATGTGTGGCATGGTGTGCCATTAGGTGGAGGGTGGAGATTTGGCAGGTGCCATGTTGGCAGGCATTGTAAACATCTCAAAAGAGTTAGGATTAGGAACCACGAGATGGTTTTCAGCAGGAGGGCTCACCAGCAGGAGGGCTCACATGCTCATTTTTTATTTTAAGAAGGTCCCTGTGGCTGCAGAAAAAGAAACCTGAGTGCATAGAGATTTAGTGAACTTAATGATTTATTGGATGGCAAAATTGGAGGTGGTGATAAGAAAGAGTACTGGAGTACTGAATTAAAGCTATAGATGCTGGGGCCTTTTCTAACAAGACAGAAGCCATTTGGGAGAGTGGGGATGGTAATGAATTCAGAATGGAACCCATTACTCTAGACATGGTAGATAAAATAGCCCTCATTCTAATCTCATATGAAATATTCATAACATTCCTGGAAGTAATGGCTCAATAATGGAGCTGCTAGTATTATAAACTAATTTATTAGATGTTTTTAGAGTAAGCACAATGTGCTTATAAAAAACAGAAATGTTTACCTAGTAATTATTACTTTGATAACGTTGGCAATATATATACTATAGGCTCAATATAACTATCTTAAAAACAATTACTGCTCTTAATCATTAAAGTAAATTCAATTAGACATGTACATCATTAGCTAAGCAATTTAGATTAGTTACTCATATCTACTGATCTGCTGAGCAGTCACTGACATGCTGCCAGAAAATCTGGAGCATGGGATATTATCTCCGCTCTGACAACTGCTCCACATATAGGGGTTCTAAGGAATAGCTAATCTTAAAATGTATGGCCTCAGTTCAATATATCCATTCATATTCAAAGTCTAATGGGAGCAACATTTTTCATTCTTCTTTGATGAGTTTTATATCTTTCATTTTCAATTTTTAGGAAAGTGAGCATGTGTGACTGAACAAGTTATCTAAATATGGTTTTGGAATTTTGAAGATTTGTGAGTTAGAAGTAGCAAATTGTTTCTATCTGTAACTAGGGGCATCTGTTATATACAACATAAACACATATTTTGCATCATTTGTGTTATTTATACAATTATTTTCAAGTCTCAAATACGAGCTTACTACACTAACCATTTTCTTATTCTCTTCAGTGCCAATCTTAGAAAAATTATATTGCTTGCCAGGTAGTGTGGTATAACAGAAGAGGTTAACGTTGGAACCAAAAAGACCTAGGTTTGAATGTCATTTACTAGGTCTGTCACTTTAAGCAAGCTACCCAATCTTATGAGCTTCAGTTTACTCACATGTAAAATGTAACTAATAATGCCTACTTCACAGGGTAGTTTAAAAGATGAAAATAATAAATAAAAATGTTTGGCATTATGGCATCACAGTATTAGAGCCAAAAGTACTCACAGTAAATAAAACATTAATAGTTTGGAAGTTGTTGAAACAAAAAGAATATTCTTTTTTTCTTTCCTTAGCTGGAGATTCTGCCAATCTCATCATTGCATTTGTTATTTATGTTTGATGGTGATTTTATGAATTGAGGGATGAAGGGTCCCCAAAGATCAGTAGTTGAAATTAAAGAACTAGCAACTTAAAAGTCAATGAAAGAGAATTTGGGTTAATTTTATATTATTATCCATGATCTTACTAAATAAAGACTTCATGATATATGGAAGTGAGGCTTTGGTTATAAAAGATCAAAGACATACACTTTGATCTTCACTAGAACCTTTGAAGACTCTTAAAAATATTGCCTTTTTATTTCTTAGCCAGAAAATAAGGATTAGATGAGAGAGACTAAATGTGGATTTAAAGTTAATCGGATCTGCATATATGATATACAGCATTGATGAAACAAGATTTCCTAAGAAGAAAAAGAAGTGATACTTCAGCCAGTTTGTCCATAATTTCTGGTGACACACATTGGTTCTCAGGCCCGAAGGATAAGTGTTGCTGCTGAATGTGGTTACAATTTTTAGCAAAATCACATGGATCAATTGAAAATTCTCTAGACATGTTTTCTGGCTGGTCTGTTCCTTTTTAACAACTGTCTTAAGTTTTAAGCAGTTTCTTCTTGAAAGGCAGATGTGCTGAAACGTGTGTGAAGCCATGTGCCATTAGGAGTATAACACAAAGAAGTTGAAACACAACCCTGTACATGAACCATTATTGAAGTATTTGAGTTATTACAAAACAGCAAGAATCCTAAAGTCTTGAGCAATTATCAAAGTGACAATCATGGACATTGTAATGTTAGGATTTCAACTGGTTAATCTGCCTTCTTATTGCTTGTTGATAGCTTTCAGAGTGTTCATCATGTTGGTCTTCAAAATGAAGATGTAGTAGATATTTCCTTGTATAACTGGTTAGGTTATTTTATATATTCTCATGTTTCAGCTATAAAAATTGCTTATTGGTTTTTGTTTATTTATGCGGAGGACATAAGGGAATACTTAAAAAACTAAAACAATAATAACTAATCTAGATTTTAATCTCAAGTCTGCCATGATCTAGCTAGATAAAGGGCTAATTGCGTCATGTCTTTAGAGTTTCATTTTTTGAACCTATGAAATTAAGAAGTTTGATAAGATGACATTCTTGATCCTTGTGTTGAAATTTAACAATTTTAGTTATTGTTGGACACACACACATACACACAGGTCTATCTACGTATACACTAACATACCACATAACTGATTTCTCATGATGTTTCATCATTCTGTGGTTGTATATTATGGCTTGCTTATTTTCTACAATATCAATAAGAATACTAACATACTACTAATTCTATAGTTACATTTTATTCTACATTTAAATTATATTTAATATCCAATTGAAATTCCATTCTAAGCCTAACATTTCATAGCAGACACCACTTGAATTTTGATCCCCAAATCTGTGTTGTACATAGTGCCTTATTTGGAATTCTATGCTTTTGAGAATAACGCCACATTAAGGCATATGGTGGTGGAATAAAAGAGAACTAGATAGTAGTGGATTTTGTCCTGACTTCCACTAACCAAGTAACCTTAGTAAGGCAATTTGTCTTTCTTTTCCCAGGCCATGTTTTCCCCATTAGGCAACAGAGGCAAAGTGCCTGGAGACTAGGAGTTTTATCTGGACCTATCAAAAAATGTAAGGCCTGAAAATTTTCAGTGCATTCAGTATATGTAAAAATGTATCAAAATAGAAATCAAGGCTAGGCGCGGTGGCTCACGCCTGTAATCCCAGCACTTTGGGAGGCTGAGGCGGGTGGATCACGAGGTCAGGAGATCGAGACCATCCTGGCTAACACGGTGAAACCCCGTCTCTGCTAAAAATAATTTTAAAAAAACTTAGCCGGGAGTGGTGGTGGGTGTCTGTAGTCCCAGCTACTCGGGAGGCTGAGGCAGGAGAATGGCGTGAACCTAGGAGGTGGAGCTTGCAGTGAGCTGAGATCGCGCCACTGCACTCCGGCCTGGGCGAAAGAGCGAGACTCCGTCTCAAAAAAAACAAACAAATAAATAAAAAAATAAAATAAAATGAAATCAATACTTTTGCATAAATGTCTATAAACAGATTACATTTAGTGTGAGGTATGAGTGAATTGTATTATGCTTGATGTAATATGGGATAGACCCCTCAAGGTCATTGCCAATGCCTTTGGTTAAGGCAAACTGGTAGAGAGGGACAGACTCAATAGTTTCAAAGGACCCTTCCATCTTTAACACTTCATCATTATATTCACTGTTTTAAAATAATGTTTTTATTATCATTCTTGATGGCTTACAATAAAAAAAAACAGAAAATGGACTTCTCTGATAAATTTACTTTGAAGGTAGTAGTGTAAAGCAAGAAGGTTTTGATGTGAGATAGATGTGGGTTTATATCTCAGTTTTACCACTTAGCCATCGAAGGATCCTACAAAAGCGACATAATGTTTGTGAAATGTAGTTTCTTTTTAGAAATTTTATTTTTATGGGCATATAGTAGGTGAATATATTTATGGGGTACATGGGATATTTTGATACAAGCATACAATGTGTAGTAATCACATTAGGGTTAGTAAGGTATCCATCACCTCAAGCATTTACCATTCCTTTGTGTTACAAATATTCTCGTTATACCATTTAACTTATTTTAAAATGCACAATAAATTATTGTTGACTGTTATCACCCTGTTGTGCTATCAAATACTAGCTCTTATTCATTCTCCGTTTAGTCCCCACTATCATTCCTAGTCTCTGGTAACCATCATTCTACTCTCCATCACCATGTGTTTGTTTCAATTTTTAACTCCCACAAATAAGCGGGAACATGTGAAGCTTGTCTTTCTGTGTTTATTCCACTTAACATAATGATGTCCAGTTCTATCCATGTTGTTACAAATGACAGGACCTCATTCTTTTTTATGGCTGAAGAGTAGTCTATTGTGTTTACGTATCACATTTTGTTATCCATTCATCTGTTGATGGACACTTAGATTGCTTCCAAATCTTGGCTATTATGAATAATACTACAATAAACATGAGAGTACAGATATCTCTTCAATACACTGATTTCTTTTCTTTTGGTACAAATTATCAATGGGATTACTGGGTCATATGATAGTTCTATTTTTAGTTTTTTTCAGGAACCTCCATACTCTTCTCCAAAGTAGCTGTACAAATTTACATTCCCACCAGCAGCATGTGAGGGTTTCCTTTTCTGCACATCCTCACCAGCATTTGTTATTGCCTAACTTTTGGATAAAAGCCACTTTAACTGGCATGAGATGATATCTCATAGTAGTTTTGATTTGCATACCTCTGATGATCAATGACTTTGAGCACCTTTTCATATACCTATTTGCCATTTGTATCTCTTCAGAAATGTCTATTCAGATCTTTCGCCCATTTTTAAATCAGATTATTATGGTGTTTGCCTATACTGTTGCTTGAGTTCCTTATATATTCTGGTTATTATCCCTTTGTCATATGAGTAGTTTTGAATATTTTCTCCCATTCGGTGGGGGTGTCTATTCACTTTGTTTGTTGTATCCTTTGCTGTGCAGAAGCTTTCTAACTGGATATGATTCTATTTGTCCATTTTTGCTTAGTTGCCTGTGCTTGTGAGGTATCATTCAAGAAATATTTGCTAAGACCAAATCCTGGAGAGTTTCCCCAATGTTTTCTCTTAGTTTCATAATTTGAGGTCTTAGATTTAAGTCTTTAATCTATTTTGATTGGATTTTTGTTTATGGTGAGAGATAGGGGTCTAGTTTTATTCTTCTGCATATGGATATCCAGTTTTTCCAGAACTAATTTATTAAAGAGACTGTCCTTCCCTTGTTATACGTTTTTTTCACTTTGGTCAAAAATGAATTCACTGTAGGTGTGTGGATTTGTTTCTGGGTTCTCAATTCTGTTCCATTGGTCTGTGTGTCTGTTTTTATGCTAGGATCATGCTGTTTTGGTTACTATAGCTCTGTAGTATAAAGTCAGGTAATGTGATTCCTCCAGTTTTGTTCTTTTTGCTCAGGATTGTTTGGGCTATTCTAGCTCTTTTGTGATTCCTGTAAATTTTAGGATAGTTTTTTTTTTCTATTTCTGTGAAAAGTGTCATTGGTATTTTTATGGGGATTACATTGAATTTCTAGACTGTTTTGGGTACTATGGATATTTTAACAATATTTGTTCTTCCAATTCATGAACATGAAATATTTTTGCATTTTTTTGTGTCCTTTTCATTTTCTTTCATCAAAGTTTTACAGTTTTCATTGTAGAAATCTTTTACTTCTTTAATTAAGTTTATTCCCAGGTATTTTATTTTATTTGTAGCTATTTTAAAGATAATTACTTCCCTGATTCCTTTTACAGATTGTTTACTGTTGCCATATAGAAATGCTACTGATGTTTGTATGTTAATATTGTATCCTACAACTTTACTGAATTAGTTTACCAGTTATACTAGTTTTTTGGTGGAGTCTTCAGGTTTTTCCAAATATAAGATCATGTTGTCTACAAACAAGGATAATTTAGCTGCTTCTTTTACAATTCAGAGGCACTTTATTTCTTTTTCTTATCTAATTTCTCTAGCTAGGATTTCTAGTACTATGTTAAATAACAATGGTGAAAGTGGTCGGCCTTATTGTGTTTTAGGTCTAAGAGGAAAGCCTTTCAGTTTTCCCCCATTCAGTATGATACTAGCTTGTGGATTTGTCATATATGGCTTTCCTGTGTGGAGGTATGTACCTTCTATTCCAAATTTCTGAGGGTTTTTATCATACAGGGATACTGAATTTTGTCAAATGCTTTTTCATCATCAATTGCAATGATCATATGGTGTTAGTCCTTTATTTTATTGCTATAATGTATCACATCGTTTGATTTGTGTATGTTGAACCATTCTTGCATCCCTGGGATAAATCCCACTTGGTCATGATGAATAATCTTTTTAATGTGTTATTGAATTCCATTTGCTAGTATTTTGTTGAGAATTTTTGCATCATTGTTCAGGGATATTGGCCTGTAGTTTTCTTTACTTTGATGTGTCTTTGTCTGGTTTTGGTATCATGGTCCTTCTGGCCTCATAGGATGAGTTTGGAAGCATTCCCTTCTCTGCTGTTTTTCAGAATAGTTTGAGTAGGATCAGTGTTAGTTCTTTAAATGACGGGTAAAATTCAGCAGTGAAGCTATTGGGTGCCAGGCTTTTCTTAGTTGGGAGACTTTATAATGGCTTCAATCTCATTACCTGCTATTGCTCCATTCAGGTTTTGGATTTCTTCAGGACTCTATTTTGATAGGTTGTATGTGTCTAGGAATTTATCCATTTCTTCAAGGTTTTCAAATTTATTGACATATAGCCATTCATAGTAGTCTCTAATGATCCTTTGAATTTCTGCCATATTGGTTATGAGGTCTCCATTTTTGTCTCTTATTTTATTTATTTGAATCTTCTGTCTTTTTTCCTTCATCTGGCTAAAAGTTTGTTGATTCTGTTTATCTTTTCAAAAACCCAACTTTTCATTTCATTGATTTTTTATTTACTAATTCATTTGTTTCAATTCCATTTTCTACTGCTTTGTTCTTTATGGTTTATTTTCTTGTACTAATTTCAGGTTTGGTTTGCTCTTGCTTTTCTAGTTCCTTAAGATGCATTGTAAGGTTGGTTATTTGAAGTTCTTCTACTTTGTATGTAGGCACTTATTGCTATCAACTTTCCTCTTAGTACTGTTTTTGCTGTATCCCACAGGTTTTGGTATGTTGTGTTTCTATTTTCATTTGTTTCAAGAAATTCTTCAACTTCCTTCTTAATTTCTTCATTGACCCATTGGTCATTCAGGAGCTTATTACTTAATTCTGATGTGTGTGTGTATAGTTTCCAAAGTTTCTCTTCTTATTGATTTTTAATGTTATTCCACTGTGGTCTGAGAAATATTTGAAATTATTTCATTTTCTTTGAATTTGTTAAGACTTGTTTTGTGGCCTAACATATGGTCTCTCCTTGATAATGAGCTACCTGCTGAGAAGAAGAAGGTGTATTTTATGGCCATTGGATAACCTGTAAATATCTATTAGGTCCATTTTATCTATAGTGTAAATTAGGTGTTATGTTTCTTTGTTGATTTTCTGTCTGGATGATCTGTCCAATGCTGAAAGTGGATGTTGATGTCTCCAGGTATTATTGTATTGTGATTTATATCTCTCTTTAATAATATTTCCTTTCTATATCTGTGTGCTTCATGGGTGGGTGCATATATGTTTACAATTGTTAAATCCCCTTGCTAAACTGACCCCTTCATCATTGTATAATGACCCTCTTTGTCTCTTCTTATAGTTTTTCTCTCAAAGTTTGTTTTGCCTGATATAAGTACAGCATATATTGTATGTCATTTCTGGTTTTTGTTGGCATGGAATATCTTTTTTGATCCCTTTATGTTCAGTCTATGTGTGTCTTTATAGGTGAAGTGTGTTTCTTGTAGGCAACATAGTTGGGTCTTTTTAAAAAAAACCTTTTAGCCACTCTATGTCTTTTGACTGGAGAGTTTAGTCCATTTACATTTAATGTTATTATTGGCAAGTAAGGACTTGCTATGGCCATTTCGTTATTTGTTTTCTGGTTGTTTTGTGGTCTTCCTTCAGTCCTTGTCTTCCTTTCAATGAAGGTGATTTTTCTCTGGTAGTATGCATTAATTCTTGCTTTTTATTTTTTGCGTGTCTTCTGTATGTTTTGTGATTTGAGATTATCATGAGGCTTGCCAATAACATCTTATAAGACATTATTTTAAGCTGATGACAACATCACACTGATTGCAAAAACAAACAACTAAGAAACAGGCAAAGAGAAAACTAATAAAAACTGTTGATTATAACTTCATACACCCCCACCGCTTTTTAACTTTTTATTGTTTCTATTTATGTGCTATTGTACTTTCTATGTATTTAAAAATTGTTGTAATTATAATTTTTGATGGGTGCATCATTTAATCTTATTACTCAAGATATGAATAGTTTGCACACCATAGTTACAGTGTCATAATATTCTCCATTTTTCTGTGTACTTACCATTTCCAGTAAGTTTTGTACCTTCAGATGATTTCTTATTGCTCATTAATGTTCTTTTCTTTCAGACTGAAGAACTTCCGTTAGCATTTCATATAGGACAGATTTGGTGTTGTTGAGATCTGTCAGCTTTTGTTTGTCAGGGAGTCTTTATTTCTCCTTCATGATTGAAGGATTTTTCACTGTACATACTATTCTAGGGTAAAAGTTTGCATTTTTTCCCCCTTCATCACTTTAAATATGTCATGACACTCTCTCCTGGCCTGTAAGGTTTCCATTGAGAAGTCTGCTGCCAGATATATTGTAGCTCTGTTGTATGTTATTTTTTGTTTCTTTTCTCTTGCTGCTTTTAGGATCCTTTCTTTATCCTTGATCTTTGGGAGTTTATTGTCTTGAGATAGTCTTCTTTGGGTTAAATCTGCTTGGTGTTCTATACCCTCCCTATAATTGAATATTGATATCTTTCTCTAGGTCTGGGAAGTTTTCTGTTATTATTACTTTGAATAAACTTTCTATACCTATCTCTTTCATCACCTCCTCTTTAAGACCATCAACTCTTAGATTTGCCCTTTTGAGGCTATTTTCTAGATCTTGCAGGCATGCTTAATTCTTATCTATTCTTTTTCTTTTGTCTCCCCGATTGTGTATTTTCAAATAGCCTACCTTCAAGCTCACCATTTCTTTCTGCTGCTTGATCAGTTCTGCTATTAAGAGACTCAGATATGTTTTTCAGTACATCAATAGAATTTTTCAGCTCTAGAATTTCTGCTTAATTTTTAAAAATTATTTCAATCTCTTGTTAAATTTATCTGATAGGATTCTGAATTCCTTTTCTGTGTTATCTTGAATTTCATTGAGCTTGCTCAAAACAACTATTTTGAATTCTCTGTCTAAAAGTTTACATATCTCTGTCACTCCTGGTTGGTCCCCAGTACCATATTTAGTTAGTTGTCGAGGTCATGTTTTCCTGGATGGTCTTGATGTTTGTTCATATTCTTCGATTTTGGGGCACTGAAGAATCAGGTGTTGATTGTGGTCTTTATAGTCTAACCTTGTTTGTACCTGTTCTTCTTGAGAAGGCTTTCCAAGTATTGAAAGGGCATTGAGTGTTGTTATCTACCTGGTCACTGTAGCTGTATCTGCATTAGGAGGCACCCAAAGCCCAGTAATTCTGTGATTCTTCAAGACTCATAGAGGTACTGCCTTGGGGGTCTTGTTAAAATCTGAGGGACTTTCCTAGATTACCTAGCAGAAGCTCTTGTTATCTTTCATTACTTTCCCCCAAACAAACAGAATCTCTCTCTCTCTGTGCTGAGCTGTGTAGAACTCTGGGAGAAGTGATGCAGGCGTCGTGTGGCCACCACTGGGACTGCACTGGTTCAGACCCAAGCCAGCACAGCACCGAGTCTTGCCCAAGGCCCATGGCAACCACTGCCTGGCTACTGCCAATTGTCACTCAAGGCCCAAGGGCTCTTCAGTCAGTAAGTGGCGAATCCAGCCAGGCTGATGTCCTTCCCTTCACAGCGGCAAACCCTACTCCATCCCAGGGTAGATCTAGAAATGTTGTCTGGGAGCCAGAGCCTAGAACAGGGAACGTTAGTAACCTACTTGGTGCTCCTTTCTACTGTGGCTGAGCTAGCACCCTAGCTGCAAAACAAAGTCCTTCCCACTCTTCCATCTCATTTCCTCAAGCAGAAGGAGACTCTCTTTGTGGCTACCACTTCCCCAGGTCCATGGTGAGTACTGCCTGGCTACCACCAATGTTCACTCAAGGCCCAAGGACTCTTTAGTCAGCTTGTAGTGAACGCTGCCAGGCCTGAGTCTCTCCCTTCAGGGCAGTGTGGGCTCCCATCTTGCTCAGGGCGGGTGCGGAAATGCTGTCCAGAAGCCATAGCTAGAATCAAGGACCCTAGAAGTCCTCTTGGTGCTCTACTCCATTGTGACTGAACTGGTACCCAAGCTGCAAGACAAAGTCCCCTTTAGTCTTCCCTCTCCTTTCTTCTAGCAGAAGGAGTCCGATATGGTTTGGCTGTATCCCCACCCAAATCTCATCTTGAATTGTAGCTTCCATAATTCCCATATGTTGTGGGAGTGACCTGGTGGGAGATAATTGAATCATGGGGGCAGTTTACCCCGTACTGTTCTCGTAGTAGTGAATAAGTCTCATGAGATGTGATGGTTTTATAAGGTTCTCATTCTCTCTTCCCTGCTGCCATGTAAGATGTGACTTGCTCCTTCTTGCCTTCTGCCATAATTGTGAGGCCTCCCTAGCCATGTGGAACTGTGAGTGAATTAAACCTCTTTCCTTTATAATTACCCAGTCTCTGTTATATCTTTATCAGCAGTGTGCAAATGGACTAATACAGAGTCTCTCCCTCTGTATTAGTCACTGCAGCTGAGATTATGTTGGGTCACATCTAAAGCTGACACAGCACTGGCTCTCACCTAAGGCCCATGGTGAATACTGCTGGCTCCAGCTGATGTTTATTCAATGCCCAAGAAAATGTCAGTCAGCAGGTGATGAATCTTGCTAGTACTGCTTCCTTCCCTTCAAGGCAGTGGGTTCCTTTCTGGCCCAGGGTATGTCTAGAAATGTCATCCAGGAGCTAGGGCCTGGAATGGGGGGTCTTAGGGCTCTGCTTGGTGCCCTGTTCCACTGTGGCTGAGCTGGATCTAAGTCGCAAAAAAGTCCTCTTTATTCTATTGTCTGCTCTTCTCAAGCAGAGTAAAGGGGTCTCTCCCAGAGCTGCGAGCTTCACTGCCTGTGGTTAAGGGATGGGTGATGACTCAAGCACTCCTTTGGCTGCCCTGGCTGGTATCTCACTAGGTCATTTGCACCCCATGTGTGCGTGTGCCGGCTCCGAGCCCAGCACAGCACTAGGACTTGCCCAGGAATTGCAGTCTTTGTGGCCTAGATTGCCTTTCAAACATACTTAGGACCCCAGAGTGCTTTAGCTTGTGTTGGTGGGACTACCTGAGTCTCAGGATTCCAGCCACTGGGATGAGTGCTTCCCCCTCTGGCTAGGGCTGGTCTAAATGCCCCCTCCATGGGCATCCAATGCGAAGACTCACAATCTCTGAACTCTCTCTCCCACAAGCACACAGATTCTCTCTCCCCACCATGTGGTCACTGCTGGAGAATGGGGGAGGGGTGGCATCAGCAATTCAGGACTGTCTTTTCTACCTTCTTCCATGCCTCTTTCAGTGATATGACATTAAAACCAGAGATTGTGATTGCTCATTTGATTTTTGGTTCTTTCTTATGAAGTTGCTTTCTTGTGTGGATAGTTGTTCAATTTGGTATTCCTACAGGTGGGGAGGGGATGACTGCTAGAGGCTTCTATTTGGCCATCTTGCTCTGCTACCTCTTGAAATGCAATTTCTTTATCTGGAATATAGTGTAGTATTATTCACTTTATGTAAATATTAATATGAAGATTAAATGAAATAATACAGTTATTGGTACATGGTAGTGGTCTAATAAAAGTTTTCTTTTTCCTTCCATTTTAAACATGAAAGTCCATTGAACTGGTATTTTTATACAAGTAGTTATGCATATATTTGAAAGAGAAACTGATTTCTAGTCTTTTCTAGCTGAAATATGATAATACTACAGCTTCTATAAAACATAGGAACCATTTAGTCAGAATACACATCTAATTTTGTCCTTGTTTCTGATAACAAACTGTGAGTCTGAGTTCCTGATTTTATTGTCAGTTGTACTTATCCTTCTGTTAGCAACTTAAAAGTGGTTAGACATCTGTTTAAGTTTTATGTCGTTTTTATAGGGTAGGCCCTAAAGTATCTAATTTGTGTGATTCATAGCCAAATTTCCAATTACAGGAGTAAAGTTTCAATCTTATTTTAATCCATAATCCAAAAGGAATTTTTCCTTGTCATCACAAATTCATGACAGTATATAGTTTACCCATCTTTGAACAGGTTGAGCCATCTTTGAAGTCTTTGCCAAATACTTGGTAGGCCAACAGGCTTTATAAGTTTCTTCTAACAGTAGACATTCTAAGTGAATCAACTATATCTTTAGTGCATTTATTTATTTATGCATGTATTAAGTATACATTTAGCAATAAGTTAACTGATTATAAAAATTACATTTCTGGAAACACACTCATATATGTATGTATATATATAATCAAAATTTATCAATACATTTTAGAGTTATTAATTTATATTGGGGGACTGGTCTAAGTCCATATTTTAACTCTATAACCACTATCCAGCTACCTTTTCATATTGTTAAATCACTATCACCAGAATTTTTTAAATTCACTCTAATTTTTATATAACTTACTTCAAAAGTTATACTTATTTCTCCTTGCTCATTGTTTTTGCTTATATGGCTTAAAGTTTGTATATCAACAAAAAATGAGTGATTTTAGAGTTAGGTAAGAGGCTAGCAGTACAATTGCACAGTAGAATGTTAACATTTAAAGAATATAGGGGTGAATTGAAATAATTTTTCACTTATTTAATCAATTAATAACTATTAAGCACTAACTACATGTTCTAGGTACTGTAGATGCAGTGATGAAGAAAACAATTTATTCTGTGAGTTTGTGTTTTGTCAGCAAGAGAAATAAATTAAAACGTATAGTGCTATATTTGTCAAAATACATTCATTTACTTCCATGTATTTAATAGGAGTTTACTGCAGAACATGTTGTTTTCATAGAACTGTCATACTGTACATCTATTGTTAGTCTCAAAAGAGATGTATGTTGAAAAAGCTCTAGATTTCTGGGATAAGTCAACAAAGGGAAAGATCATACTTTTTTGTTTTGCATTGTAAAACAATGTGCTGTTTACATTGAGGAATGATCATTATTCTAAATTAATGTCAGATAAAAGAACATGGTTATAATTTAAGTTATAGTTTGAGACTTTATGTATTATACATTCAGACTAATCAATAATAGTTATTTCTATTGATTTCCTTCAAATTTTATATTTGTAATCCTGTCTTCTTAAATATTTAAAGCAAAAAATGGACAGTAATGTGAAAAAACGACTTTATACTATAAAGCTCTCAGCTATAATGATCTACCTAAACTAAGACCAAATAAAAACATTGAGAGTATAATTCCTAAGTCTAGTTTCTATGCTGGATGTGTTAGGATAAACCAGATCTCTGATTAGCGAGCTTACAAACTAGTTTAAGGAAACAAGACAAGGAAATTAGAACAGCTAACAGAAATGAGAAACAATATAAAGGAGTTGCAATAAGTAGATGATTCATTATTTAATAATGATGTCAACAGTAAATGCTGTAAGTGTTTGGAAGAGTGAGAACTCTAAGAAGATTGATGTTTTTAGAATTGACTTCATGGAAGAGTTGGAGTTACATTCCAGGCATAGCTTGTGGAAAATCATGGAGGGAGACCTTATAAAGTTTAGATTGTTCAGGCCAGTTAGACTAGAGCAGATGGCTAACACAGATCAGTGAGAATTTAGGTGTGTGGGGACCAGAGGGTTCAGGATGAATAATTCTGAATTTCTCTTGCAAAATAAAAATTATTGTCATTCTATGAGCTAGAACATGATGTGATTAAATGAGGTTCAGTCTTGCAGCATGCAATTTGAAACATGGAGTGGCATGAAAGTCAGTTAGGAGACCAGTGGAATAGTGTAGGAACGAATGATAAGGATCTGACTGGGGGATGGGAAAGCAATCGATTGAAAAAGACTAATTTCTGAGGCACTGAGAAAAATGAATCAACTGATGACTTGAATCATTGATTGGCTACTGAGTATAAAATGAGGATGATGAGAGAGTCAAGCAGGAGTCTTAAGTATGGATAATTGGGTAATTAGAAACCTGGAAAAGGAAAATACTTTTGTGGTGAAAATTAAGTTAGTCATTTACGAAAGTATAGTGAACATATATATCTATATTATAATATATTAAACACAGATAGTGAATGCAACATTACATTACTGAGATGTTATTATAAGTATATTTATGCCATGAAAAAATTCTTATACACAACAACTCAACTTCAAAAATAAGACCAAATGTAGAGATTATTTGAAAGAGTAAAGGTTTGTATCATTATAGATACAGCTTGAAGTTATCTAAGTCTTGTCAATCTGTGGAGCTAGATGTGGTCTTATTTACAATAATTCCTGAAGTTTCTTTGCATGGTAGCCATTACCTGCTAATGTGGGCCCTCCAGCCCCATGCAAAGTACTTTCTCTCATCAAATATTTTTGCCATCCCTTGGGTGGAGTATCACATGTGTACAATTTCCCATGATTTTTACAGCTCTACTGGGCACAGCTGCTACAACTTCACGCCATTTCAACCAGAAGGCACGTATTTTCTTAGTTGGTGGCCACCCTCAGCTCTGAGCCTGCTGATGATACAATGGTACTATGCTGTTTGTTCAAAAATGATTATTCTTTTTATTAACCCTTTAGAAGCGTCCCAAAATACTTAGGGCAGGTTTATTACAGAGAATGGGTAAGTGTCTCATTCAGTTTTTACTTATAGCTCTTTTCCCCATTTTTGAAGAGAAAATGAGTTCAGGGAGGTTAAGTAATGAGCCTGATACCATATAACAAATCAGTGGCAGAGCTAGAGTTTGAACTCAGAGATCTGATCACAAATCCAGTGTTCTTAAACACAGAATTTTTATGAAAGACATCCAGTTTCATAAGACAGCATTGAAATAAGCTCCAGGGATCAGATCCAGAAGTTTATCAAATCAGCAAAACATATTAAATAGAAATTCCTGAGCTGAAGCCAAGCTTAGCAACTAATTTGATGAAGTGTTCTTCAGAGTAAGCAGTGGCATATAGATCCATCTCTGTAACAGCGACTTGAGAACATCAGATATACTAAATAAATGAGATGCTTAAGAAATCAGTTCCCTGAAACTACGACCATTTGAAACTGGTTTAAACCAGTTAACTATTTGTCTGACATTTAATATTGAAGCCTCATTAGAGACATAATTAGTTTTCAGAGGAGCAGGAGATTGCTGATGACTGTAAAGATTTAAAGGACTACAGTGCCCTATGTGTATTTAAATTAAAGTAGCATCATTTTGATTTGGTAAGCTATTTTAGTATATTTAAAAATATTCATACTGTGATTCCTGATAAGTAAGATCTGAGGTAAACAGATTATATGTTTTAATTCCCACATTATAACTGCATAGAATTAGATGAAAGAAGAGTAATATCTTAGATAAAATATCTTATTAGACATGTTCATGCGTTCTGGAATTGGGGGTTAGAGAATGAGAAGGACTGTGCAACTTGTACTTTCCTATCCCTCTGTCTTTTTGAGAGCCACATGAGGATTCTCTTTGAGCATGAAGGGCCTAAGGGTAAAGGTAAACGTTTGCAGAAGCCTAGAGTAGAATAAGTCGTTCCCTAGAGGCCCCTCACATTTTGAACACTGTTTTGCATCTGTTTCCCTGACAGCCTCAGAAGAAACCACAACTCTTCTCAACATGAAGTTTCTTCTAATGTTCTTTGATTCTTTTTCTCTTCTCTTTCCATAAGGGGTTTAAAGTCCTATCCTTTCTGGTATCCTGATCCTCTCTTTCCCCACTGTCTTCCTTTCTTCTGCTTTTTAAAGTGAGTAGGAGCCCATATCTTAAGAGAAAGAAAAAGAAAATACTTTTGTTCTGACCTTCCCCAACCTTTTCTATATGGTATTTCATTTCTTTCTGGCTGTTTATGAGTCAGCTTTCCAAAGGTTAGTCTGACTTTGTTTTTGGATTCTCATTAGTCACTGAACCCACTTCAATTTGGCTTTCTCTAAATCTCCTCTCTAGAAGGTCACTTTATCCAAATACACTTGTCTGTGCTTATCTGTCTTGATATCTAAGCTTCTGTTGAAAATGCTGACAGTTTTCTTCTTGAAATTCTCTCCACCCTTTGTTTTCATGATCCCACGCCCTCTTTTTCTGTAATACCCTGGGTGACTTCTCTTTCTCAATATTGTTGGCTGGTAACCCCTGTCCCTCCTACCCTCCATCATGGGAAAGAATGGGCTGGAGTGTAAATGAATCTTTGGTAATTCAGGCAGAATCTAGATTGTTGTCTCTCATGCATGTGGTAGAAAGAGTCCTTAATTGTTTAGGAAGAAGTGAGGAGTAGACCTTTGTGAAGTTTCTTTGGGGTATAAGAAGCTATTCATATGGCCCAAGCCATCAAATTTTATGGTTATTCTTTCTCTCTCTCTCTTTTTTTTTTTTTTTTTTTTTTTTTTTAATGGAGTCTCGCTCTGTCACCAGGCTGGAGTGCAGTGGCACGATCTCATCTCACTGCAACCTCCGCCCCTTGGGTTCATGCAACTCTCCTGCCTCAGCCTCCCGAGTAGCTGGGACTACAGGTGCGAGACACCACGCCTGGCTAATTTTTGTATTTTTAGTAGAGACAGGGTTTCACCATGTTGGCCAGGATGGTCTTTATCTCTTGACCTCATGATCCTCCCACCTCGGCCTCCCAAAGTGCTGAGATTACAGGCGTGAGCCTCACGCCCAGCCAAAAAAAATGGTTATTTTCTTAAGATTTTAGATTCCTTAATATAAGAAAGAAGATGATGGCAATTTCTCTCTGCCTTTTAAAAACTGCTCCTGAAAAGAAAAAGTATCAGACAGAAAAGAGCTAAAGAGGTTAAAGGAAGGCAGGTAAAGGAGCAACTAATATGGTCTAGAAAGTATCAGGATATATTTATCCTTTCCTACACAAAACAGAAAGTGGTCATTTTAAAGAAATGAACGAACACTTTAGACATTAGAGCTAATCACCTGACACATTGCTTGATACTTATCTGTGAGGCAGCCAGAAATAGCAGGGGGAGGAGAGACCCCAGTAGAAACGCTCTAAGCCAATAGGGCTACAATCAGAGTTAAAAAGCAAGAAAGATTCTAAAATGCATTGGCAATGAACCACTTATGAGTAGATATTTCTTTCAGTCATGATCTAAATTGTATGTTTTCTTAAGAAATGTCAAACTGAATTAGTACCTAGTGTTTACTTAACTTGTGCTATTGTTTAAATTAAACAAATAATTTAATTAAAGAAACCACTACATGCTGTAAGACATAAATTGATGAAAATTTTTTGGTTAACACCATCTTCACCTGAAGTCAATTTATGTTTTCAATTAAATTAAAAAATATTTAGTGAGCATAGGCTAAATACCACTTTGCAAGGCTCTGGGGGGAAATCAGAGATAAAGCAAAATTCATAAATCTGGGTATAGACAATTTAATAAAGTTGCCTTCATTCTTTGTGAAATTAAAAAAGTAAAACCTGTAGGAAAGTAATAAGATAAAACTAGCAGCACCAAAAGAGGCAAACCAGTAAATCTCCATGCCATGAACTTTAAAATGTGGCAGTGAAGGAAAGAAATAGACTCTATCCCAACTCAGAGTGGCTGTTTACTCCTACTCCATCCCCACACACATACGTAGCACAAAATAATTCTGTGAATTTTTATTTAAAACATCCAATTTGAAAAGACTTTGATTAAAGGTGATTTCTATACAGATTTCCAAATCTTACAGGAGACAATAAAACCCTGAAGAGTAGTAACTATTAACCACTACTGTAGAATCTCAGGATCTTAGTAGAAGCTTGAGAGACCATTAGAAATCATCATGGCCAGGCTTCCATAATTAATGAGAAGAATAAGTGTATCTCCCTTATAAATAATGAATGTTGCTAACAGGTGGAGTGAACCCTAATGCAAGAAATTTAACAGTATGTTGAAGAAATATCAGAGCCAAGACCAGTGATGCCCTCCTTCCCCACTCATCCTTAGACATATGCTTAGGTTATGCAAAAGTGGATGTAGAAATACCCAATTCTCACTTGTAACTTGTGGCAAGAAGATAATAAATTAATGTGGAAATAATATCAAGAATGATCTATAGTTTGTCGTATCAAAATATAAAGAAATGGAATAGCAACTTTGTAAATATAACACATAGAGACAAATGTAAAAAACCACAATGTAGCTTGCTACAGGCAGATTAAGTAGGCAATATAGAAAAATTATCATGCAAGAAACAGAAAAAAATTTATTTGTCAATGCTCAGTGATGCAGAAATACTGAGTAACAACATGACTCTCATGATCCCACAGCTAAAAATTCAGATGATAAGAAGAAACAGTGAAATAAAATGGAAAGAATATACCAAAATGGTACCACTACTGAATTGATGAATAAATTACAAATAAAAAGGAAAATATAATAGGCAAGCTAAAAGTGAAATTACTGATCTGGATGAAAAGCTTGAGTTCATGTGTAGGGAAAAGACATGGAAACAACTTGAAAAAAAGAGTGAGGGCAAAGACAATCCAACATAAGGACAATTGGTGTCACCCTTGGCAACTGCCCCACCTCCAACAAAAGAAAACAACAAAAACAAATTATATAGTATCAAATTTTAAACTATAATACTGGAGTTGAAAGGACATTGATGATCCAACAACAACTTGCCTAGTGTGCTTAAGATAAAATATTATTATTAAATTATTGATTTTTTTTTAAGACAGGATTTTCCTCTGGTTCCTCAGGCTGGAGTACAGTGGCACAACCATAACTCACTGCAGCCTTGGTCTCCTGGGCTAAAGCAATCTTCTCACCTCAGCTTCTCACATAGCTGGGACTACAGGCATGCACCATCATGCCTGGCTAATTTTTAATTTATTGTTTTTAATTTTTTTTTGTAGAAACCAGGTCTCACTGTTTTGCCAGGCTGGTCTTGAACTCCTGTGCTCAAGCAATCCTCCCACCTTGGCCTCTCAGAGTGCTGGGGTTACAGGTATGACTCACCGTTCTCTCCCTGAAATTTAATAATAATTATTCAGATGTACAGGCATAAAAAGCAAATTTCTCCTTCTCATAATAGCGCTAAATTACAGAATATGGTAGGAGCAATATCCACATGATTTTAAAGGAAAGTGTGACCCAACATATATTTAAACCAGACAAATTATTTTTGTATTTCAAGGTACAGATATTCTCAAGCATGTAAGAATTAAAAACAGTTTTCTATGAGGCTTTCTAAAAAATAATTAATGATGAAATTCACTAAATCTGAGCAAGTTAAAAAGGACTTAGCATGAAGAAGCTGTGATACAAACAGTATTTGTGAGTGTATATCAATCCTTAGAATTAAGGTTAAATAACTATGTTTTGGAAGAGAATGTAAACATTATATCCCGAAATATAAGAATTAGAACCAAAAAATTTAAGGGTTACAAAAACAGTTTGAGGACAAATTAAAGTACTAATTTTTAAAATATTTCAGAGCACAGTCAATTGATAACCACTACACTTGAAATATTGTTAAAATAATATTCTCTATTTTTTCACAATGTAAAATTATCTTTAAAGAGCTGTTACCTCTCGGTGAAGAAATATTTATTTGAAATTTACTAACTTCTAGAAATTTACATCACTATCTTTTTGTTCATTAAATTGAAGAAGTATTATAGAACCTGTAAAAACTAGCAATATCTTGGGAGGCCGAGGTGGGCAGATTTCCTGAGCTCAGGAGTTCGAGACCAGCCTGCAACACGGTGAAACCTTGTTTCTACTAAAATACAAAAAATTAGCCAGGCATGGCAGCATGAGCCTGTAGTCCCAGCTACTCAGGAGGTTGAGGCAGGATAATTGCTTGAACCCAGGAGGCAGAGGTTGCAGTGAGCTGAGATCATGCCACTGCACTCCAGCCTGGGCAACAAAGCAAGAATCTGTCTCAAAAAACAAACAAACAAACAAACAAACAAACAAACAAAAATACTAGCAATATCGTGGATAGTAGAAATCCATTAAATTAAAAAATTAATATATTCTTCTTTTTTTTTTTTTAATGGGTACAATGTATGTTATTTGGGTGAGGAATATACACTAAAAGCTATGACTTGACAACCACCCAATCTCTGCACATAACAAAGTTGCACATGTACTGCATAAATTTGTGCAAAAAATAAAACAGGTTCTATACTCTTTATAAGGCAATTATTGACTTAAAGAGTAAATTGTTTCTCTTTCTCTTTGCCAAACCTCAAGTAAATAAAATTATTATTATTATTATTATTATTATTTATTTATTTATTTATTTTTATTATACTTTAAGTTTTAGGGTACATGTGCACATTGTGCAGGTTAGTTACATATGTATACATGTGCCATGCTGGTGCGCTGCACCCACTAACTCATCATCTAGCATTAGGTATATCTCCCAATGCTATCCCTCCCACCTCCCCCAACCCCACCACAGTCCCCAGAGTGTGATATTCCCCTTCCTGTGTCCATGTGATCTCATTGTTCAATTGCCACCTATGAGTGAGAATATGCGGTGTTTGGTTTTTTGTTCTTGCGATAGTTTACTGAGAATGATGATTTCCAATTTCATCCATGTCCCTACAAAGGACATGAACTCATCATTTTTTATGGCTGCATAGTATTCCATGGTGTATATGTGCCACATTTTCTTAATCCAGTCTATCATTGTTGGACATTTGGGTTGGTTCCAAGTCTTTGCTATTGTGAATAATGCCGCAATAAACATACGTGTGCATGTGTCTTTATAGCAGCATGATTTATAGTCCTTTGGGTATATACCCAGTAATGGGATGGCTGGGTCAAATGGTATTTCTAGTTCTAGATCCCTGAGGAGTCGCCACACTGACTTCCACAATGGTTGAACTAGTTTACAGTCCCACCAACGGTGTAAAAGTGTTCCTATTTCTCCACATCCTCTCCAGCACCTGTTGTTTCCTGACTTTTTAATGATCGCCATTCTAACTGGTGTGAGATGGTATCTCATTGTGGTTTTGATTTGCATTTCTCTGCTGGCCAGTGATGATGAGCATTTTTTCATGTGTTTTTTGGCTGCATAAATGTCTTCTTTTGAGAAGTGTCTGTTCATGTCCTTCGCCCACTTTTTGATGGGGTTGTTTGTTTTTTTCTTGTAAATTTGTTTGAGTTCATTGTAGATTCTGGATATTAGCCCTTTGTCAGATGAGTAGGTTGCGAAAATTTTCTCCCATTTTGTAGGTTGCCTGTTCACTCTGATGGTAGTTTCTTTTGCTGTGCAGAAGCTCTTTAGTTTAATTAGATCCCATTTGTCAATTTTGTCTTTTGTTGCCATTGCTTTTGGTGTTTTGGACATGAAGTCCTTGCCCATGCCTATGTCCTGAATGGTAATGCCTAGGTTTTCTTCTCGGGTTTTTATGGTTTTAGGTCTAACGTTTAAGTCTTTAATCCATCTTGAATTGATTTTTGTATAAGGTGTAAGGAAGGGATCCAGTTTCAGCTTTCTACATATGTCTAGCCAGTTTTCCCAGCACCATTTATTAAATAGGGAATCCTTTCCCCATTGCTTGTTTTTGTCAGGTTTGTCAAAGATCAGATAGTTGTAGATATGCGGCGTTATTTCTGAGGGCTGTGTTCTGTTCCATTGATCTATATCTCTGTTTTGGTACCAGTACCATGCTGTTTTGGTTACTGTAGGCTTGTAGTATAGTTTGAAGTCAGGTAGTGTGATGCCTCCAGCTTCGTTCTTTTGGCTTAGGATTGACTTGGCAATGCGGGCTCTTTTTTGGCTCCATATGAACTTTAAAGTAGTTTTTTACAATTCTGTGAAGAAAGTCATTGGTAGCTTGATGGGGATGGCATTGAATCTGTAAATTACCTTGGGCAGTATGGCCATTTTCACGATATTGATTCTTCCTACCCATGAGCATAGAATGTTCTTCCATTTGTTTGTATCCTCTTTTATTTCCTTGAGCAGTGGTTTGTAGTTCTCCTTGAAGAGGTCCTTCACATCCCTTGTAAGTTGGATTCCTAGGTATTTTATTCTCTTTGAAGCAATTGTGAATGGGAGTTCACTCATGATTTGGCTCTCTGTTTGTCTGTTGTTGGTGTATAAGAATGCTTGTGATTTTTGTACATTGATTTTGTATCCTGAGACTTTGCTGAAGTTGCTTATCAGCTTAAGGAGATTTTGGGCTGTGACCATGGGGTTTTCTAGATATACAATCATGTCGTCTGCAAACAGGGACAATTTGACTTCCTCTTTTCCTAATTGAATACCCTTTATTTCCTTCTCCTGCCTAATTGCCCTGGCCAGAACTTCCAACACTATGTTGAATAGGAGTGGTGAGAGAGGGCATCCCTGTCTTGTGCCAGTTTTCAAAGGGAATGCTTCCAGTTTTTGCCCATTTAGTATGATATTGGCTGTGGGTCTGTCATAGATAGCTCTTATTATTTTGAAATACGTCCCATCAATACCTAATTTATTGAGAGTTTTTAGCATGAAGGGTTGTTGAATTTTGTCAAAGGCCTTTTCTGCATCTATTGAGATAATCATGTGGTTTTTGTCTTTGGCTCTGTTTATATGCTGGATTACATCTATTGATTTGCGTATATTGAACCAGCCTTGCATCCCAGGGATGAAGCCCACTTGATCATGGTGGATAAGCTTTTTGATGTGCTGCTGGATTCGGTTTGCCAGTATTTTATTGAGGATTTTTGCATCAATGTTCATCAAGGATATTGGTCTAAAATTCTCTTTTTTGGTTGTGTCTCTGCCTGGCTTTGGTATCAGAATGATGCTAGCCTCATAAAATGAGTTAGGGAGGAGTCCCTCTTTTTCTATTCATTGGAATAGTTTCAGAAGGAATGGTACCAGTTCCTCCTTGTACCTCTGGTAGAATTCGGCTGTGAATCCATCTGGTCCTGGACTCTTTTTGGTTGGTAAACTATTGATTATTGCCACAATTTCAGCTCCTGTTATTGGTTTATTCAGAGATTCAACTACTTCCTGGTTTAGTCTTGGGAGAGTGTATGTGTCGAGGAATTTATCCATTTCTTCTAGATTTTCTAGTTTATTTGCGTAGAGGTGTTTGTAGTATTCTCTGATGGTAGTTTGTATTTCTGTGGGATCGGTGGTGATATCCCCTTTATCATTTTTTATTGTGTCTATTTGATTCTTCTCTCTTTTTTTCTTTCTTAGTCTTGCTAGCGGTCTATCAATTTTGTTGATCCTTTCAAAAAACCAGCTCCTGGATTCATTAATTTTTTGAAGGGTTTTTTGTGTCTCTATTTCCTTCAGTTCTGCTCTGATTTTAGTTATTTCTTGCCTTCTGCTAGCTTTTGAATGTGTTTGCTCTTGCTTTTCTAGTTCTTTTAATTGTGATGTTAGGGTGTCAATTTTGGATCTTTCCTGCTTTCTCTTGTGGGCATTTAGTGCTATAAATTTCCCTCTACACACTGCTTTGAATGCATCCCAGAGATTCTGGTATGTTGTGTCTTTGTTCTCATTGGTTTCAAAGAACATCTTTATTTCTGCCTTCATTTCATTATGTATCCAGTAGTCATTCAGGAGCAGGTTCTTCAGTTTCCATGTAGTTGAGCGGTTTTGAGTGAGATTCTTAATCCTGAGTTCTAGTTTGATTGCATTGTGGTCTGAGAGATAGTTTGTTATAATCTCTGTTCTTTTACATTTGCTGAGGAAAGCTTTACTTCCAAGTATGTGGTCAATTTTGGAATAGGTGTGGTGTGGTGCTGAAAAAAGTGTATATTTTGTTGATTTGGGGTGGAGAGTTCTGTAGATGTCTATTAGGTCTGCTTGGTGGAGAGCTGAGTTCAATTCCTGGGTATCCTTGTTGACTTTCTGTCTCGTTGGTCTGTCTAATGTTGACAGTGGGGTGTTAAAGTCTCCCATTATTAATGTGTGGGAGTCTAAGTCTCTTTGTAGGTCACTCAGGACTTGCTTTATGAATCTGGGTGCTCCTGTATTGGGTGCATATATATTTAGGATAGTTAGCTCTTCTTGTTGAATTGATCCCTTTACCATTATGTAATGGCCTTCTTTGTCTCTTTTGATCTTTGTTGGTTTAAAGTCTGTTTTATCAGAGACTAGGATTGCAACCCCTGCCTTTTTTTGTTTTCCCTTGGCTTGGTAGATCTTCCTCCATCCTTTTATTTTGAGCCTATGTGTGTCTCGGCATGTGAGATGGGTTTCCTGAATACAGCACACTGATGGGTCTTGACTCTTTATCCAATTTGCCAGTCTGTGTCTTTTAATTGGAGCATTTAGTCCATTTACATTTAAAGTTAATATTGTCATGTGTGAATTTGATCCTGTCATTATGATGTTAGCTGGTTATTTTGCTCGTTAGTTGATGCAGTTTCTTCCTAGTCTCGATGGTCTTTACATTTTGGCATGATTTTGTAGCGGCTGGTACCGGTTGTTCCTTTCCATGTTTAGCACTTCCTTCAGGAGCTCTTTTAGGGCAGGCCTGGTGGTGACCAAATCTCTCAGCATTTGCTTGTCTGTAAAGTATTTTATTTCTCCTTCACTTATGAATCTTAGTTTGGCTGGATATGAAATTCTGGGTTGAAAATTCTTTTCTTTAAGAATGTTGAATATTGGCCCCCACTCTCTTCTGGCTTGTAGGGTTTCTGCTGAGAGATCCGCTGTTAGTCTGATGGGCTTCCCTTTGAGGGTAACCCGACCTTTCTCTCTGGCTGCCCTTAACATTTTTTCCTTCATTTCAACTTTGGTGAATCTGACAATTATGTGTCTTGGAGTTGCTCTTCTCGAGGAGTATCTTTGTGGCGTTCTGTGTATTTCCTGAATCTGAACGTTGGCCTGCCTTGCTAGATTGGGGAAGTTCTCCTGGATAATATCCTGCAGAGTGTTTTCCAACTTGGTTCCATTCTCCCCATCACTTTCAGGTACACCAATCAGACGTAGATTTGGTCTTTTCACATAGTCCCATATTTCTTGGAGGCTTTGCTCATTTCTTTTTATTCTTTTTTCTCTAAACTTCCCTTCTCGCTTCATTTCATTCATTTCATCTTCCATTGCTGATACCCTTTCTTCCAGTTGATCGCATCGGCTCCTGAGGCTTCTGCATTCTTCACGTAGTTCTCGAGCCTTGGTTTTCAGCTCCATCAGCTCCTTTAAGCACTTCTCTGTATTGGTTATTCTAGTTATACATTCTTCTAAATTTTTTTCAAAGTTTTCAACTTCTTTGCCTTTGGTTTGAATGTCCTCCCATAGCTCAGGGTAATTTGATCGTCTGAAGCCTTCTTCTCTCAGCTCGTCAAAGTCATTCTCCATCCAGCTTTGTTCCATTGCTGGTGAAGAACTGCGTTCCTTTGGAGGAGGAGAGGCACTCTGTGTTTTAGAGTTTCCCGTTTTTCTGTTCTGTTTTTTCCCCATCTTTGTGGTTTTATCTACTTTTGGTCTTTGATGAGGGTGATGTACAGATGGGTTTTTGGTGTGGATGTCCTTTCTGTTTGTTAGTTTTCCTTCTAACAGACAGGACCCTCAGCTGCAGGTCTGTTGGAATACCCTGCCGTGTGAGATGTCAGTGTGCCCCTGCTGGGGGGTGCCTCCCAGTTAGGCTGCTCGGGGGTCAGGGGTCAGGGACCCACTTGAGGAGGCAGTCTGCCCGTTCTCAGATCTCCAGCTGCATGCTGGGAGAACCACTGCTCTCTTCAAAGCTGTCAGACAGGGACATTTAAGTCTGCAGAGGTTACTGCTGTCTTTTTGTTTGTCTGTGCCCTGCCCCCAGAGGTGGAGCCTACAGAGGCAGGCAGGCCTCCTTGAGCTGTGGTGGGCTCCACACAGTTCGAGCTTCCCAGCTGCTTTGTTTACCTAAGCAAGCCTGGGCAATGGCGGGTGCCCCTCCCCTAGCCTCGCTGCCGCCTTGCAGTTTGATCTCAGACTGCTGTGCTAGCAATCAGTGAGACTCTGTGGGCGTAGGACCCTCTGAGCCAGGTGCCGGATATAATCTCGTGGTGCGCCGTTTTTTAAGCCGGTCCGAAAAGCACAATATTCGGGTGGGAGTGACCCGATTTCCCAGGTGAGTCCGTCATCCCTTTCTTTGACTCGGAAAGGGAACTCCCTGACCCCTTGCGCTTCCCAAGTGAGGCAATGCCTCACCCTGCTTCGGCTTGCGCAAGGTGCGCGCACCCACTGACCTGCGCCCACTGTCTGGCACTCCCTAGTGAGATGAACCCGGTACCTCAGATGGAAATGCAGAAATCACCTGTCTTCTGCATAGCTCACGCTGGGAGCTGTAGACCGGAGCTGTTCCTATTCGGCCATCTTGGCTCCTCCCCCTATATTCTTCTATATGTGTTTATGTAACAAGAATTATCTGGCATAAGATTCACCTGATAATGATGATTATATTTGGATAGTAATATTGAGTGGCTTTCTTCACTATAGTGGACTGTCTTGCTTGAATTTTAAGAAGTGGACATTATTTTTATGTGAAGAAAAAAGTCGTTAAGTTGCTAAACATTCGGATAAAAATGTTTGGAGGCAAAAATAAAGTAAAAAAATTTAAATCATTTACTTAACTTAGTTATAGCCTGGAGAATTTGTATTTATGACTTAGGATGTCATCATTTCTTCAAACACATTTTTTAAAAGAATTCAACAATATGTTAAAGGAGAAATCAAAAGCCTTGCTGTAATTACTTAGGCATAATTTGTATTACAATAGCCTCACTTCTTATTTTCTTATCAAATATCATTTTAGTCCCATTGCAATATGAACACTGATACAGCTCTTTGACCACACACATTGTTTTCCCATGATCAACAGCTGCTGAAATGTTTTACTAGAAACTTCAAAATTTATA
Organism: Homo sapiens; assembly: GCF_000001405.40. Classification (NCBI taxonomy): domain Eukaryota; kingdom Metazoa; phylum Chordata; class Mammalia; order Primates; family Hominidae; genus Homo; species Homo sapiens. The sequence continues at coordinate 182,031,767 of NC_000002.12, forward strand.
AATTCTATAATTTATGGTTTATATATTCTACTATGAGTAATTCTACTACTTAGCCAAACCTACCTAGAAGATTTTGTTAAAAGAAAAAAAGATTGATATTCACTTAGGAAGCATGTATGTATGATAAAGAAATTGTACCATATCTTATTTTTTCCACATTCCAGATCATAGCCCAATCTTAAACTCGGGAGATTGTTGGAGAGAGTTAGAAATTTTGGTGCCCCTTCATGGGGAAGTCCTATGGGTATCAGTTTAAAGTTTAGTATTTATTTTTGCATTGGTAGAAGGTAACTTGTTCTTTCCTAAACATTTAAATTTGTGGTTACAGTGATGTAATACACCAACAAATCATAGCAGATAAACATGGAAACTGGCCTTCTGAAATGTTCATAGTTCAGCCAAAAGTCAAGGGGGCCATCCCTTTCAACTGAGCTAATCCAATCTAAAGAAGAGTTAACATATTGGTTTCATCAGAACTGAATATCAACTATTGCATTTGTTTCTAGACGTGGTTAACTTTTTCACCTCTTTCAAACCTTGCTTTAATGTCGGTTTCTCAATGAGACCTACCCTGTCTACCATATTTAGTTTGCAAACCCATTACTCTGCACTACTGGTTCGTTTTTCCATAATACTTATTACCATCCAACATACCATATAATTAACTTATTTATTGTGTTTATTGTTTATGTCTCCATTACTAAGGGGAAAAGATCTTTGTCAGGTTTTTGTTCACTGGTATATTCCAGGAGCCTAGAGCAGTTTCTGATACATAGTGGGCCCCACCACATACTTATTTTTGATGAATTTATTTCCATTATGTTCAGTGTCTCCATTCGTGCTGAAAGGCAGTATAGTTAGCAGTGTGGGCTCAAAGTTAGACTGCTTGGGTTCAGGTTCTAGTTCCACTACTTACAAGCTGTGTGAGCTGCCCTGGATTATACAATGCCAGAGGTTCAATTTTCTCATCTATAAAAATGTTAATAATTCCACTACCTATTATGAGGATTAGAATAGCGTGATGGGATGAATAATGCCCAACATACTAAGTGCTCGATAAATATTAATGCTTTCTCCTTAAGTTATCAATATATTCAAGCCTCTTATTTTAAAAACAAAACTTCTCTTGAGCTCTCTAGGCATTACCTCATCTTCTGCCCTTCAGAGACAAACTTCTTGAGAGAGTTGTTGCAAATTCTTTATCTTTTATTTCATTTTAGCCTGTTGCAGTCTGACTTTACCCCCAAATTCACTCCACTCCAATTGCTTTGTTAAAAGTTACTATTAATAATTATCCAATAATTGCCAAATCCAGTAATCATTTTTAAAGTCCTTGATCCCTCTCTACTACTTAACATTGTTAGCTATGTTAACTTTCTTGCAATTCTTTTCTTCCCTGATTTTTGTGATGTCCTCCTTTCCTTGCCACATCTTGCTCTGCTCCTAAGTTTCCTACCACACAAACAATGATCTTTCTAGAGCTTGTAATACCTATTCTCCTCATGACACCTATACTTACTCTCTTAATTTTATTTACTCTCATAGTCTAAAACTGTCAGTCATATACTGATAACTTTCAAATCAGTGTCTTGAGCCAAAAATATTGCCTGATCTTTAGACGTCCATGTTTAAAAATCATCTGGATGTTTAACTCTGGTTGTCCCAGAGGCATATCAATTTAACATGTCTAAAAGTGAATTTATGACTTCCTTTAACTTTCCAAACTTGCTCCTTGTTATGTATTCTTTAAAAACCAACTAATAATCAATTTTTGCCCATTTTGTCTCTTAAAATATTTCTCAAATGTGGCCCACATCTCCCTTATGACCACTGCTTAACTCAGGTCCTTATCATCTCCATTCTTTTACGATAACCTTGTCTCACTCCTTGTGCCAACTTTGCCGTTACCCTTCTCTTTTCCAACAGTCATATTCTTAAAATACACATCTGACCACACTATTCCTCTATTTATGAAGCCCTTCAAAAATTTTCTAAGAAGTGCAGAAAAAGTTCCAAGCTCATTTGTGTGATATTAAAGGCCCGCCACAATGTTTCCTATTTACCTTTTCAATCTCATCCTTACGCTAAATCGCTTTGAACTGCTTCTAGGTACCAGGACGCAGAAAAGTTTTAGAAATGTATCATTGTATTCATGATATTCTCTGTTCCTGCAAAACTCTTCTGATCTTTCAGTGGCTAATTCCTCCTTTGTCAAGATTCAGGTTTAGAATCAAGAAGGCTTTTTAACTCCAGGCTATAATGTGTGTCTTCTAGAATTTTCTAGAATGTGTAGTGTTTTTTGACCCCATGAGCACACCATAATACATTTATTTATTAGTTTATTCAATCAATGAAATATTTTTGAGTGCCTACTATGTCTAGGAAACTGCCCTATTCAGAATAGAGGCAAAATCATTTTCTTATACATTGTGCTATTAAGGACAGGAAGACAAAGTTAAATCAATCACTACACAAATGTTTAATTTATGATAATTGTGATAAATGCTATCAAGTTGGATTAAAAGGTGGCATCAGAGTATATAACAAGACAGATGTAGCTTAGTCTAGGTGGTCCAAGAGGGCTCAGTCATGGAATTAATACTTTCAGTGCAAAATATGGAAGAGATAGAGTGTATATTTTTTAATTAGAAGGAAAAATATGTACAAAAGCCCTGAGGTGGGAAGAAGAATAACATGTTTGAGGAACAAAAAGAAGGTCATTGAGGCTGGAGAGCAGAGAGGTGGCAGAAAAAGCAGCATGACATGACACATTGATGTTTTTATATTAAACTGTTTCTCCACAAATAGACTATAAACTTTTAAGGGCAGGACTGGTTTGACTGATGTTTTAATTACTCATACCTATTCGAATTAATTCTGGTCAATTTAAGTAGAAGGCTTAAGTTGGAAGGATGTTAAGTCAGAAATGTGCGAATGTCAATAAGTGGGCAGGCCACAAGTAGATCCAGGTATCTAAAAGGCAGTCTCATCAAACTTATCCAAAGAGGAAAAATGTAACTCCTCAAAAGTTATTAGGTTGCTGTTGGAAAGAAAATAGGAGGGTAGGCCACCAAAATCAGCAAATGTTCACATCATTTATCATGGTCCTAGGCACATATTAGGAATACAATGAATGTTTTATGGATTGAACTGTACTCCTGTGGCTCCTTACACACCTTTAATGCACTACATTGTGATTATTTTGGGTCTGTCTCTTTTTGAAAGAAAGGACTGTGTCTGATTGCACTTTTTATTCCCAATACCTAGCCCAGTGCCTGGCACCTCCTTGTTGCTCAATAAATGCTTTGTGAGGGAATGGGAAGTGACTGTATGCCCATGTGCACATCTGTTAAATAGTTCTGTAGTCTTGACTGTGAATCTGGGCTCTTCATCGCCACATCACCTTGCTTCCTCCCATCCCCATCATTGAATAGAGTGCCGAATTCACAGTGAAAGTTTATAGCATGAATGAATGGCAAAAATGGTTGTTATTATACAAAGCTGCTTTTACATTCAAACATTCAAATGCCTAAGTAAAATATTTTTTCACAATATTTCATCAGCTTTTAGTAACTATTTAATTCTCAATTTTTCAACTGTAAGCCTCTAACAAATCATGTAAGTGCCTTACTTAAAAGAAATTGCCATGAGGAATTATGCATAATTTGTTTCTTCATAGAATTTACTTCTTGGCATTTGATATAGTTTGTCTCTGTGTCCCCACCCAAATCTCATGTTAAGTTGTGATCCAGAGTGTTTGAGGTGAGGCCTGGTGGGAGGTGATTGAATCATGGGGGTGGTTTCTAATGTTTTAGCACCATCCCTCAAGTGCTGTCTCATGACAAAGTTCTCATGAGACCTGGTTGTTTGAAAGTGTGTAGCACCTCCCCCTTCGCTCTCTCTCTCTCATGCTGGCCAAGTGAAGATGCACTTGCTACCCCTTTGCCTTCTGCCGTGATTGTAAGTTTCCCGAGGCCTCCTCAGCCATGCCTCCTGTGCAGCCTATGGAACTGTGAGTCAATTAAACCTCTCTTCTTTATAAATTACCCAGTATCAGGTAGTGCTTTATAGCAGTGTGAGAACAGACTAATACAGTATTCTTGCTACCAATTCTAAATATCCCAAGGGGAAAAAGCTTAATTGTTTCTGACTAATCCTAGAATGATTATACTATAAAGACTCATGCTATGTATGCTATACTCCCTCATTTCATTGTGTGTTTATACACACACACACACACACACATTTGCTTTTCCACATACAGGGATTGTGACTGAGCAGCAGAAGAGAAAACGGGCTCTCCAAAACAAGTCCTTTCAACAAAGTGAGTTAGAAGGCTGAAACTACAAATTCAACCTGAATTTGATTTCAATTTATTTGGTAACACAAAAAGCCCTTTTCCTTCTTACAATCTCTGTAACTCTATTTAGATAGTTTCTCCTCTTGAGGACTCAGTTGCTGTGCTTTGAACTGGTTTCAAATCCTGGTTTCTCCATTAATTATGTGACTTGCTTCTTTTATTGCCTGTAAATGGAGGCTGATAATAACCACTCAATAGTTTTGTTGAGATTAAATAGAATATAACATGTTAAAATGCTTAGCACAGTCCTGATACAAACTAAGTACTTATTAAATAGTTACTGGATTATTACTATTATTATTTGTTGCTTATTTCATGTATATAACTAAAATGCACAAACATTTTTAAACATGAAATTACTACACAGGTATACTAATACTTAATTCTGCTTTTCTGCATAAACATAATTTTTAGTATTTAGATAGTTAAAATAACTACATTTATCTAGGTGATCTCTAAGGTATCTCTGCATTCTACTATCAACATTTCATAATTCTAAATTTATTGAGAATAGAAACCGTTATTATTATAACTTAACCTGATATATACATTCTCTCTGTCTCTCTCTCTATGTGTTTGTGTGTGTGTGTGTGTATATATATAAAACATAATGGCAAATACCACAATTACTTTTGCACCAACCTAATATGTGTGTGTATGTGTATGTATAATACATGTACTATTAAATGACACATTTGTAAGTTGTAAGTTGCATTTTCAAGGTGAACTCACTAGAAGCCTGGATTTTTATCCTACCCTTCTGTTATATTAGCATGTTTCAATAAAGATAAGACCTTAGATGTTCAGTTTTTAGAAATAACACAAAGGTGAAAAAAGGAACACATAACAACATGTGAATTTCAAAGAGAGAGTGGATTTGTAGCAATTGTATTAGAGAGGCTAAATACCAGAACGGATTGAGGCTTGAAAATAACATACCATTAAACATATACATAAAATAGCTTTTAGATTCTCTAGGAGCAAAAAGAAGAAGGGCATTCCCAGTTGCTTTGTTACAATGCCAGAATATTAGATTAAAAACAAAAACAAACAAAAAAGGCAGAGGTTGTTGACTCATATTTCTTTCACAGTTTTCTACAAGAGAAATTCTCCTCCAAGTGAGGATGAAATGTAAATATTGTTAAAGAAGACTTGAATCTAAGTTCAGTAATAAAATAGGAGAGCTTGTTATTTAGCCTTCTAGGCTCAGGAAGCACTTTGGGAGGCCAAGGCCAGAGGATCACGAGGTCAAGAGATTGAGGCCATCCTGGCCAACACGGTGAAACCCCGTCTCTACTAAAAATACAAAAATTAGCTGGGTGTGGTGGTGGGTGCCTGTAGTTCCAGCTACTCGGGAGGCTGAGGCAGGAGAATCGCTTGAACCTGGGAGGCAGAAGTTGCAGTGAGCCGAGATCACGCCACTGCACTCCAGCCTGGTGACAGAGCAAGAATCCATCTCAAAAAAAAAAAAAATGTGTAAAACCAAGCAATTAAAGAATAGCAATTATAATCAACAAGCTATTGATGGCAACCTATAAAGATACAGGTGAAATAAATGAGCTGCAAGTAATCATGATGTTTATGAACAAGAAAACCTCAGAGTTTAGAAACTATGAACTGTTAATTTCACCTGAATTTGAAGCAAAATCTATTACAGACATCTCAGTAACCTAAAATGTCATTTCCTAGAAACAAGAGTAGGCTCATTAAAAGCAAATCACTTCCTCACAACTTTATTTCTACACTTTTATTAGATTATTCTATTAATTGATCAAAGTCATGCTGAAACCACATATATATCAGTAAGATATTTGGAAAATATCTCCTGATAGCTCTATATTTACTGTGGAGAATAATTGGGTTATAATATTAATATATTCAGGCAATTTCTATTTATATTTATATGTATTTTATTTTATATATATATTTGAGATAAGGTCTCACTCTGTTGCCCAGGCTGGAGTGCAGTGGCCTGATCATGGCTCACTGCAGCCTCCACTTCCTGGGCTCATTCCATCCTTCCACCTCAGTCTCCCAAGTAGCTGGGACTACAGGCACACACCACCATGACCAGCTAATGTTTTGTGGTTTTTGTAGATATAAGGTTTTACCATGTTGGCCAGGCTGGTCTTGAACTTCTGAGCTCAAGCAATCTGCCCGCCTCGGCCTCCCAAACTGCTGAGATTATAGGCACGAGCCACTGCACCCAGCCTTATTCATAATTTTTAAACTAACTATCCCTGTAGATTAGTGGATACATGGGCACCTGGAGTAAACTATCTTAGTGGTTTGCTTCTTCTGTCTCAATATTTGCATCCTTATATTTGTTTGATATTTTTTATTGACGACTTTAAGTGAAGTGTTGTTAATGCCCCCAAACTGAAAAGATATATGTAGGCATTGAATGGCAGGATCAAAGCTGAGGAGATCCTGACAAGCCATTTAGATAGGTTGAAACCCTTCAAGATTAGCTCTATCAGGGAAGAATGTAAGATCTTGTTTTTAACTAGTTAAAGTCGACTGCATACAGAAGAAAGGAAAAGGGTTTTTGTGAATCAAATCCATGGATTTAAAAAAGCAATAGGCTGTGTGTGCCTAATGTGTTTGGCAGCTGATACAGTCCTTCATGACATTAAGAGAGCTATGACACACCCTCATCAGGAATGTAGTGCTCAGTTCTAAGGATCAGCTTTTAAGAGTCATCAACTGCTATAAGTAACAAGGATGTGGGCAGAAGCTCCAGGCAGGTAGATTTTAGCTTAGAATAGAAAATAATTTTCTAATTGTTATTTCATTTTTTTATGAGAGGTTGTTTCAAAAGTCCTTAATTCACTCCCTTTTATTTAAACTGTGTAAGCTGTTATTGAAAGTCTGTTAAGACACACAGAAAGGATCCTTGCTTTGAGTACGAGTTTGGAGTAGATGTTCTTTATGTTCTTCCACACAATTCTAAACTTGTATACTCTATTTGTCCATAATATTGCAACATTTACTTTTCAATTTATATAAGTATTGATCTTCTTTTCTATGGTTGCTGTTAAGCAGAAGGAATATTTCCACTAGGATGAGAAATATGAACTTGTTACTGGCCTATTTTGAATTCCTTTCCTATGTTATCATCTTTGATTGTTCCATATAATTTTGATTGAAAGTGTCATAGAGGTAATCTGCAAATGGTACTGCTCAAACCAGCTTCCTGTTAGAGATGTCTCATTTTGTAGCTTTTGGAGTATAAGTGGGTTTTGGGTTGTTGTTGTTGTTGTTGTTCTTTGTTTTTGAGACAGATCTCACTCTGTCTCCTAGGCTAGAATGCAGTGGTATGATCATGGCTCACTGCAGCCTTGACCTCCCCGACTCAGGTAATTCTCTAACCTCAGCCTCCTAAGTAGCTGGGACTCTAGGCGTGTGCCATGATGCCCAGCTAGTTTTTTGTGTATTTGTAGAGCTAAGATCTCATTATTTTGCCCAAGCTGGTCTTGAACTCCCAGGCTTAAGTGATCCTCCCACCTTGGCCTCCCAAAGTACTGAGATTACAGGTGTGAGCCACCACTCCTGGCACAAGGGGTTTTTGGTTACGTAGACGAATTGTATAGTGGTGAAATCTAAGATTTTAGTGCATTTGACATCTAAGTAGTGTATATTGTACCCAATATGTAGTTTTTAATCCTTCACCCCCCTCACCCTCTCCCAATTCTGAGTCTCCAAAGTCCATTATTTCACTCTGTATGTCTTTGTGTACCCATAGCTTATCTCCAATTATAAATGAGAACATACAATATTAGTTTTATTCATTCCTGAATTACTTCATTCAGAATAATGGCCTCTAGCTCCATCCAAGTTGCTGCAAAAGACATTATTTCATTCTTTTTATAGCTGAGTAGTATTCCATGGTGTATAGATACCACATTTTCTTCATCCACTCATTAGTTGATGGGCACTTAGGTTGGTACCATATCTTTGCAATTGTGAATTTTGCAACAATAAACATATGCATGTGGGTGCTTTTTGATATATTCACTTCTTTTCCTTTGGGTAGATACCCAGTAGTGAGATTGCTAGATCAAATAGTAAATCTACTTTTAGTCCTTTGAGAATACTCCATACTGTTTTCCTTAAAGGTTGCACTAGTTTACATCCCCACCAGCAGTTTTTAAGCATTCCCTTCTCACCACATCCATACCAACATTTATTGTTTTTTGACTTTTTAATAGTGGTCATTCTTGCAGGAGTAAGGTGTATCTCATTGTGGTTTTAATTTGCATTTCCCTGATGATTAGTGATATTGAGCATTTTCTTCATACATTTATTGGCCATCGGTATATCTTCTTTTGAGAGCTGCCTATTCATGTCATTTGCCCACTTTTTAATGGGATTATTTATTTTTTTTCTTGCAGATTTGTTTGAGTTGCTTGTAGATTCTGGATATTGGTCCTTTGTTGGATGCATAGTTTGCAAATATTTTCTCCCATTTCATGGGTTTTCTGTTTATTCCAATGATTATTATTTTGCCATGTACAAGCTTTTTGGTTTAAATAAATCCCATTTATATATTTTTGTTTTTGTTGCATTTGCTTTTGAGGTCTTAGTCATGAATTCTTTGCCTAGGCCAATGTCTTACAGAGTTTTTCCTAGGTTATCTTATAGAATTTTTATGGCTTCAGGTCTTAGATTTAAGACTCTGATCCATCTTGACTTGATTTTTATATATAGTGAGAGGTAGGGACCCAGTTTTCTCTACATGTGGCTTGCCAGTTTTCCTAGCACCATTTATTGAATAGGGTGTCTTGTCCCTAGTTTATGTTTTTGTATGCTTTGTCAAAGATTATTTAGTTGTAAGTAACTGGCTTTATTTCTGGGTTCTCTATTCTGTTCCATTGGTCTAGGTGTCTACTTTTATACCAGTACCATGTTGTTTTGGTAGCTATAGCCTTGTAGAATAATTTTAATTCCTGTAATGCGATACGTCCAGATTTGTTCATTTTGCATAGGATTGCTTTGCTCTTCAGGCTCCTTTTTGGTTCCATTTGAATTTTAGGGTTGTTGTTTTCTAATTCTGTGAAAAATGATGTTGATATCTTTATAGGAATTGCATTGGATGTGTTTTAATCTAAGTTTCTTCACAATTTTAAAAAATGGAATATGTCATCGACATTAGATATGGACTTCTTATGAAGCACTTCTCTTACTAAAAATTGTTCCAGGCCTGGCGTGGTAGCTCACGCCTGTAATCCCAGCATTTTGGGAGGCCAAGGTGGGTGGATCACCTGAGGTCAGGAGTTTGAGACCAGCCTGGCCAACATGGTAAAACTCTATCTCTACTAAAAATACAAAAATTAGCCAGTTGTGGCGGCAGCTGCCTGTACTCCCAGCTACTTGGGAGGCTAAGGCAGGAAAATTGCTGGAACCCGGGAGGCGGAGGTTGCAGTGAACTGAGGTCATGCCATTGACTCCAGTCTAGGATGACAACAGAGAGACTCTGTCTCAAAAAAAAAAAAAAAAAAAAAATTGTCCCAAATGTAGCCACTTTCGGTATATAAACTGTATGAGCTAAGAAAATGCAATCAAAAAAGTTTAAAAATAAGAAAAGAAAAGCAAAAAAATTATCATAGTAGACCAAAGGGGTCATATAACATACGTCCGTATGTTCTTTCATGTGTTAATATAGTTGCCCTTTACCCAGCAACAAAATGTCATCATGTTTGCTTCCTTCTCCAAATTCATAACCTCTGTTTATTCTGCTTTTGGCAGCTTTATAGTGCTTAAAGTTTAATTTATAATGTATTTATCTACATTCCTTTGATCTAATATGTGGTTATTTCGTATATGTGTTTGTATCCCATTTTTCCAACTATTTTTTGAACTTCTGGTAATCTGGGTCAGTCATACTTTTTCCTTTTCCGTGTATGTAGCTCCTTCTCTTCCACTTATCTGTCAGTATATGTTGTATTTAACACATCTTACTCACGTTGAATTGTGATAATTGAATTATGTAGTTGTATTCACTGAAGAAGGTTTTCTGGAATAGAATAGAAAGTATGACTCCTTTTTTTACTCTACTTATTTGGTAAAATTTCAATTAACATTAAAGAAGAATAAATACTTCTTGATCTTTGTTCAATGAAGTTCAAGGATGTATTATTTCATGTCACAGATAAATATGAAAAATGAGTGACTTAAAGTCTCTGGAATGCAGAGACTAGAAAAGGATTTGGATGGAAGTACTTTATCTGGGATGGAATTTCAGAAAGCAAGAATAAGTGAGAGAAGGAGTAAATAAAAGACTCATTATCAAGGTCATTGCTGTGAAATGAAGGCTTGACTGTGTTGGGACCTCCTAAGATGCATCTAGCCTACCTTGCTGGGGCTGCCCACTGAAAACAGGAGGCTGAAGTTTTCACTCACTGGCTTCAGTCCTCTAGTGGTTGTGAACTGTCCCCCAAGAGCATTAACTTCACCTGCATTTGATTCTTCTAGGGTCAGAGAATGCCCTAGGGAGAAAGAGGAAAGATGCATGTGGCATGAGGTTGAGGTGGAATGAAGTAAACAAGAGCCTATTAGTCCTCTGCTACAATAGCAGAATTGTAATGCCTTATACCTTGGTCTGGAATGTTGTGTTCAGTTCTGTGCACCAGCTTTTGAGAGGTGGCATCAAGTCATGAGACAAACAGGAAAACATGGTACTGAAACCAAGTCACATTAAAAGGTACCAGGGAAGCTGGAGGTATTAGCTTTAAGAGAAGAACAGAAAATGAGATATGTTCGGTCAACTAGAGATGATTGTGAGCCTTTCTGGATGCAGGGCATCTGAAACATCTGCTACAATAAGAATCCTTAAAAAACTTGAACAACAATATTTGTTTAAAAACTTTCTCCTTAACCTTAAAAAATATGTAAGCAACTGCAAACAATGAGCCACCAGAAAAATTTTTAAAAAATTGACTATTAAAACATAATGGCCAAACATTAGAAAAGCAAAAGAGCACACAACTCAGCATTTTTGCCAGTTCACTACTCACAGAGTTATATTTAGATGAATGCAAAATGCATTTGGTCAACCACTTCGTATTCAAATTCATGTGTGTGGAAGTAAATTTGATCCATCTGTGTCTGGATTATTTTCTTAAACCACCAAAATTTTATTTTACAAGAACAGATTTCCAAAGAGTCTTGTGATACCCTCAACTTCCTGCCAAGCCTCCTCAAAAGGTCTGAAATATGGTTATTATATACTGAACTCAAAATACTTATTTAAAAACTTTAATAAGCAAAATAACAAGCAAAAGGATATCTGATTTATCTGCCGTAATGTTATTTATGTTGAAATCGAGCATAGAACATGAAAAAAATAGGAGAAAGCTCTATAAAGTATCTATTTTTTTCCACATATATGCCCAGACATGGTATGATACAAATGATCTACCTAAACAGCACGCCATGTGTAAGCAGTTTACACATGTGCCACTCATGTAAATGTGGAGTAGCTGATCCGGGACAACTTCATGCCTACCCTGAAGAGTATGCTGACGTAAGTTGTATAGGTTACCATGAGGTTTCCCCTCGAATCCTTGGTTTCTCTTGTGTCTTTTTACAGGCCTCTTCCCTGCAGTCTATTCCTTATTTGTTGCTATTACTCAGAGTTGCTACCTTGGCCCTCTGCTTCTCTAGTCCTCCACCGTCTTCCTGGGCATTCTCATCCTCTCTCATGGCTTTATTGACCCCCTAGGTGCTGAAGACTCCTAAATCTGTGTCTTCAGCTCCGCTTTCACTACTGAGAGTGACTATATCTGAATTCTACCCACTTGGATAATCAGTAAGCACCACAATATGAACAATTCCATGAACTCAAAATCTAAGCCAGAAACTGCATGTAATGTTTGACTCACTTTTCCTGTCACCTGTTCCCCCACCCTCACCTATGTCGAGTCATTGTGCAAGTCGAGTCCATTCTTTCTCTTAAGCATCTCTCTCACCTGGTTCCACCTTCATCATCCATCACCTGAATAACTGCAATGTCTTCCTAACTGAGCTACCTGTATCCAGGATGGACTCCTCCAATTCATTCTCCACATAACTGTCAGAATGATCTTTCTACGAAAGAAATCTGGTCATGCCTCTTTCTGCTTAAAACCCTTCATTGGTTTTCCATCACTTTTGGAATAAACTACAAACTTCATACAGTTTCAAATCCCTGAATCATCTAGTCTTACTAAATCTTCAACCCCTTCTCTCTGAACTCACCCCTGGCATTCTATAGTCCAAATATTTGAGCTTTTTCTAATTTCTAAAAAACGTCATGCTCTCTCACACCTCAGGGAGATTCCCACAAGCTGTTTCATCTGATGAAAATCTTTTCTCATCTCCAGTCTTACCCCACCCAACTTCCTTGCCCACTCACCTTTGCTGGCCATCTCAGCAGCAAGCTTATAAAGATTTATTTCCTTTAAGGAAAAAAATGATAAGATAGATGCCCCTGATATATGCTTCTCGCACACTCGGTGCTTCGTCTGTTGCAGCACTTATTTATCATACTGTACTGTGGTTGCTTTTTAATCATCTGTCTTTTTCAATAGAGTTTAAACTCCCCAGGAGGGTGGGAACTTAGTTCCTAAAAGGATGCATAGCACAGAGTATATATGCAATAAATTATTGTTAAAATATTGGGCACATTTTGATCCATAGTGACAGACAACCTTACATATAAGACACAGATTATCATAGGCGTTAATCTACAAACTGCATTTAAATGTGTTTTTATTCTATTTTTCTCTTTTATCACCATTATGAGAAAAAAATGGTTAGTTTAAGGCTTATACAAAGATAAAGTTCCTTTTCCTTCATCTTTCTGTCTCTCTATCTATAGATATATGTATATTCTGTTTTCCTATCTGAACTTGGTGCCAAACATATTGAGCTGGTATCTTGTTACATGTCTGTCCTTTCACAGTTCTTCCATATAGCTACTAGAAATAATCACTACAGTTTAGAACACACTGTGCAACCCTCAAGTAAATTACATTTGAGACAAGAAAACTGAGAAACTGCATGAAGGTTAAGATTTTCGGGATAGGTAAAAATAGCAAGAGCTGAAAACAGAATCCAATTACACAGGTATTTAATCCTTCAATCTTTAAAACTCAATAAATAAAGCATTGCTTTTTTTGAGGCATGTTATTTAGGATGAAAAGTGAATGTTTATTTCAGATGATCAAGTGACAAAAACTAACTTCTATATTTTTCAAGTCGATAAAAACTTATAGAAAGTGAAATAGGATTTTAAGGATATTTTTCCATTGACCTCTCTTTCTGTTAGTAACAAAAAAAAAAAAACTTCCATTGATGATAGGATGCCTTCAGTTGATTAAGCCATGAAAAGATTACCACTTTGTTTATAATCATCCATATGTATTTAATGTGTACAGTAACATCTTGTGATTTTAAGAATAAATTTTCCATCTATAACTAAAAAATAAAAGTTTTCCTCTTGTTATACAGAGTTCTAGTTAAAGAGAATGTTGCTTTATTTTATGTTATTTTTATAATGGTTGGTTTACTCATAATAGTGATACTCAGATACAATTATTTTGAAATTTGCAATGGTTATATCTACACAGTTCAAAATGCAAAAGGGTTTGGAAAAAATAAATGATTCATCCATGCAAGATATAAAATAGCATAGCTATAAAATAAGAATATGACTTAAATGAGCAATTCTGTGATTTGGCAATTTGATCAAAGTAGAAAAGCTTCAAAATTATCAAATATCCAATCATATTTGTCTTTATAAGAATACAATGAAACCTAATTTTATTTTACCTTTTACTGTATATATATTTAAAATATACAACATGATGTTTTGATATACTTACCTTAATATACATATGCATAGTGAAGTGTTTACTACAATCAAGCAAATTAACAAACCAAGTATCTCATATAGTTACTTTTTTCTTTCTCTCCCCTCCTACATTTCCTTCCTTCCTTCCTTCCTTCCTTCCTTCCTTCCTTCCTTCCTTCTTCCTTCCTTTCCTCCTTTATTTCATGGTAAGAGTACCTAAAATCTACTCTCTTAGCAAAGTACCAGTGTGAATACATTATTAACTATAGACCTCCTGTTGTACATTAGTTCTCTAGATTTACTTAACCTACATAATGCAACTTTGTACTTTGACCTATATCATCCCATTCCCCCTGCCCTTACCCCATCCCTAGTAACCACTGTTCCACTCTCTGTGAAACCCAATATTAAACATAGCTTTGCTTCAGTTTTTATACATGAATGATAATCCCCAAATTAGTCATAGAAATTATTAACTAGCAATTCAAAGGCGAAGTGGCTCATGCCTGTAATCCCAGCACTTTGGGAGGCCGAGGCAGGCAGATCACAAGGTCAAGAGATCGAGACCTTCCTGGCCAACATGGTGAAACCTCGTCTCTACTCAAAAAAAAAAAAAAAAATACTAAAAGTAGCCTGACGTGGTGGCATGCGCCTGTGATCCCAGCTACTCGGGAGGCTGAGGCAGGAGAATCACTTGAACCCAGGAGGTGGAGGTTGCAGTGAGCCGAGATTGCGCCACTGCATTCCAGCCTGGCAACAGAGCGAGTCTCTGTCTCAAGAAAAAAAAAAAAAAGAAAGAAATACGTTGATAATAATTTTAAGTTGGACAATCATGGCAAGTAATTAAATGTACAATATATAAAGAAATATTTTACAAGTTTACCTTTATATTCCAATATCTTCTCTAGAAATGAAAATCTGTTACATGTGCTCTGGCTGACTAATGCAAGTTACAAAGCAGATTTAGTAAGTCACTGTCAATGTTAGCGACCTATGTGGAAAAAAAAAGAAAACGTTTCTGTGAAGTAAAAAGAGAACTAAATATTTCAAATAGTGGTAAGCAGCTAATTCTATTCTAATTCCAGTGCCTCTCAGAACCATCTTTAAAGTGAATGCTCTCAAAATTTCCTGTCATCATCATTCAAATTGTTAACGTTTGAATAATTTTCTCATGCTCACCTCAATTATTTCCCCTACTTCTACTTGTAAGGAAATTGGTCATAAGACTTTATTTGGAGACTCTGATGAGAATACTTTTGTGATATCTTATGTAGAAAAATGAAATATTAGTGTTTTAAAATGACTAACACCTAAATTATTCAAATCCTATTTAAAGGAATCTATAGATCAAAATGACATAAAAATATATTATTGGAAAAGGATTAAATGCACATTGAATAATTACATCATTAGTTTTCCAACATTGCCTAAAACATCTAATAATTATTTCTAATCTGTAAAAGTTATGTTAAAAGTATGTTTACAATCAGTTCTCTACTCAAAAGAAGATACACTTTTTTAAAAAACTAGAATTACTGGAATAAATATTGCTGTTTAAACTGATGTCATCCCCAAAGAAAACCCATCCATTAAGTGAACCAACTTATTTTTCTGGAGCAAATTGGCAAATTCAAACTCCAAGAAGGCAGAAAAAATTGTACCAGTGATTGAAAAATCACTACTGATAAGATGATGCAATAGTTCTTTGGCTCTCATATAAAATGGTTGTGTGGTAGGATAAAATATGTCTTATAAGAGAAACTAAGTTCATAAAAATTGAGAATACTAATGAAAAGCAGACTCTTGAGGTTTCAAATAATCTGCTTTTTCTGCTCTTCTTTTACTGTGCTTGGAAGTGGCAGCAGAAATTATGAAATATAAGCAGAAAGGTAGTTTGGAAGATTTCCAACCTGAATCATGAGATAATTACTAGTTGAGAGTTCTTTTTGAATAAATCAACATAATCCATCTTGTGTTTTCTTTGTCATTTCTACCACTATTTCCACAGAGAATATCTTATACCAGGTTCTTATTGGCATCCCCTAAAATGAGCCATTTTAGGGGGTTCAGAGAGATAAAAATCTATTAAGTAATGAGGTTGTGTTCCCACTTTCATCATTTAAAATGGAAAGCTATAAATAATATTGAAAGAAAAATACAGCTGTGTGAATCTTGGCACAACAGGGTAAAACTATTCTTACCATTTTCTTCTTTTCTCCACATTCCCCTTTCCAGTGCATATAACTTTATTATTCTGGTGGTTTCAGTTTGGGCCCCAGTTTTGACTAACTCTAAGAACTCAAAGAAAAACACAACTGAAACCACTACCTAGTGGCTTAACGTGAAGCCCCAAATGATAGGCCTTCAACGGAGCCCAGCAAAGGGCTTATAAGCACAGCTCATTTTGGAAAGGGGAGAGTTTGATAAGTCAGGAAGACAGGCTTCACTATAGCTGGCTTAGGAGATTTTCATAGCCCTATTACATTTAGCCTTACTAAAAAGAAATTATAATTCTAATCCTCTGCTATACGTAAGAAATACATGATAGATTTCTCTGGCACTTTGAACAGATTGATTTTATGCTAGAATGCTAATAACACAAGGAAATGGCAAATATACATGCAAAATGAAATTGAGCTGTGCATAACAATTTCTTTCATTTCTCTTTGATTTATTCCCATTCAATTCTGAAGGCTCATGGGTCAATGATTGTATTGAATTAGTAGATCTAAAGCCTTCTATGGAATTTTTTGTTTTTGTCCCCTCCTTATATTGTTCAACTGTAGATGACCTAGTCAATAGTTGTAATCCAAAGGTCGCTGTAAAGAAAGAGATTCTACCTTCAAACATGTTAGATACAGTCTACTGCCCTACCACCCTGAAAGCGCCCCATCTCATTTGATCTTGGAAGCTAAGCAGTGTTGAGCCTGGTGAGTAGTTGGATGGGAAACATGTTGGATACAAAAATGGAGAATCTGCTGAAATGTGATAATTGAGATTTCACTGTTGTTTTCAGAGATCTGATGGTAAATTCCTTTGGAGACTGTCAAAGATAGCACCGATGTCCTTATGATTAAATCTCTGAGGCAGGCCAGGCATGGAGGCTCACGCCTGTAATCCCAGAACTTTAGGAGGCTGAGGCAGGCGGATCACCTGAGGTCATGAGTTCGACACCAATCTGGCCAACATGGTGAAACCCCATCTCTACTAATACAAAAGTGAGCTGGGTGTGGTGGCGGGTGCCTGTAGTCCCAGCTACTTAGGAGGCAGAGGCAGGAGAATCACTTGAGCCTGGGAAGTGGAGGTTGCCATGAGCCAAGATCATGCCACCACTGCACTCCAGTCTGGGTAACAGAATGAGATTCCATCTCAAAAAAAAAAAAAAAAAAATCTCTCTAGGGCACCTCAAAAAGAGGAACATAAATTGTTTTTCTCCGTTGCTACTTCTCTACACAATTATTTTTTTCCCACAAAATAGTGCAGGAAAAGATTATAAACAAAAGCTAATGAAAATATACTAAGGTTTTGAATAGTGTCCCAGTTTGCAGCCTTGGCTGAATATAATCCCTTGGCTGCAAACTGGGATACTATTCAACTTATTACACAGAGGGGTGGAACATCAAACTGAGAGATATGCTAAGCATTCTTTCAGGCCCCAAAACATGCAGGGGTTTACCTTTTCCTCTGTGAGGCAAAATAGGAAACTGATCATGTATTCCAATAATAAATTGTGCTAGGAAAGTCCCAATTTTAGTTTTAATACAATTCAGTTTACCTCTGATTTGTATATTTTCTAGGCCTTTCAACTAATGGTCTGTGGTCTTTGTATTTTTTAAATTTACGTTCTGTTTTCAAGAGATTTCCATATTATTTATTCACTTACCCAGTATAGCTTCAGAAACTCTCAAATGTCTTAAGGCAGAGACAAATTGCATGTTTTAATTCCCTGAAGTCTTCAATTTTATCACTCTAGTATTACACAATTGCCAAAATATCTTGTGGATTTTCTGTTCTCCTGTAGTGGGGCTCTGCCAGAGGCCAAATTTGAATAGTGAGCCTCTAGTTCTGAATGTCTCTGCTCTCTGTAGTTTTCTTTGCTTTGTCAGGTCTTGCTGTCTTTTATAATTTATCCTATTTTTATAGTTCTGTTAAACAATATCATTGGCCTGCTGTAAACCGATCCATACTACTTCAAGCAAAACTGCAAAATTTAATATCAAGGCAAGTTTTTTGTTTGTTTACTTTCCTAGTTTTATATAGATTATCCCCTATAGTTTCTACTCAGTTTTCTAGTAACTATTCTCCTCTCACAGCCAGGCTGTCAGTGGCTGTGTCTCTGATGCTAATGCTTGATTTCATAGAAGTTT
Organism: Homo sapiens; assembly: GCF_000001405.40. NCBI lineage: Eukaryota > Metazoa > Chordata > Mammalia > Primates > Hominidae > Homo > Homo sapiens. The sequence continues at coordinate 182,050,329 of NC_000002.12, forward strand.
ATCTTCACCATCTGTTTATACCACCTTGCTATCTTGTACCGTTCTTTAAAAAGCCTAATTTTGGTCTTTAGGACTAAATTATCTCTCAGAACTCCACTCCATCTGCTGACTTTATTTCAGTTTGGTCTTTTGGATACAAAAGTGCTGCCTCTGCAGCCCACTCTCCACCCTCCAAGCCTCTGCTTGTGTATTCTGTTCATGTGTTAATTCTGAACAGCATGTCAGGACTACCTGCTCAGATGCCAGCCTTACCTGGTTCTCTGATCATAGTGTCACACTGTAGCAATAAGTCATCCACTGATTTCACAGCCTTGCCTATTTATTTGATTCTTCCAGATCCTAGCCAAATTAAACACTAATCTTACCTCAGTCATATCTGTTCACCTGTCATCCACAAGCCAATACTTAAACTTCGGCAAAAAGCACAGTATAAAACACATGCAAAACTGACAGGAAATTTCAAGAGAAAAACATTTTAATATAGAAGATTTTTCCACTTCATTTATTAATCTCAGTGTACTCTGCATACATTTCCTAGAGTATGAGTCTCAGAACACATTGTACTACAATTTCATCCAGATTTTTATTACAGCAGTCAACATTTTCTCTTGAGTAACTTTAAAAAGAGAATCAAACACATCCTGCCTTCAGACAAAAACAAAACAACAGCAGCAGCTGAGCTTCTCATGATGCAGCGAGATACACAGGCTGGATGTGAAAATAACCTATCCTCACCTGAATACTTTGAATTTCATGGAGGAAATTGATGGAGAAAGGTGCGGTATTTTGTTTTAAGCACTAACTCAACAGAAGAGTAAAAGAAGTGGGGAAAGAATATATGCATGATTGAGACTTTTATTCTGCAATCTTATTAGTGTTTTTTGTGCAAAATATGTTCTTAGTGCCTCCTGAAAGATAGAAGAAAAACTTAAATGCTGACCAGTGTTTAAAGTCTGTGGAATTGTAGCCATCACTCTCTTGTTACAGATTAAAGGAGGTGGAGAGGTAAAGAATCAGCCTCCAGTAATGGTTACCATGAGAGGTGTAATACTGTAGTTGAATGAATGACTTTTCCAGTGCAGGCCTATACAGGGAGAAGTGATAATATTCATAAGGCTTAGCCATGGTTTTTTTCTGGTAGCTAAATATTACCACCACATCAGTTACAGTATTTCCATTGATAGACATTTAAAAAAAACGGTCACGAAATAACTTTATCACCATACTTCATAAACTTACATGGCCTCTATTTTTCAATTTAAACTTCAGTGTGAAAAGATGTGGAATTTTCACAGCTGTGCTAGGTGAGTCCCACTGCCTTAGAAAACAATTAGACAACACTTCTTAATCATAAAATTTACTCACACATTAGAGTGAACTTGATATTGACATAATGACCTCTCTATGTTTATTCCCACTGTTTAAATACAGTTAAACCATTTGTTTTTTGATATTAGAGTGTATATGAGATGTTTTAGGTTTAGTGGAGATTGAGAGTTAATATTTTACAAAACCCTTTTTTAAATTGTGATAATACTGGTGCGCATCTGCAATCCCAGCTACTCAGGAGGCTGAGGCAGGAGAATTGCTTGAACCAGGAGGCTGAGGTTGCAGTGAGCCGCTGAGATCGCGCCGTTGCACTCCAGCCTGGGCGACACAGTGAGACTCTGTCTCAAAAAAAAAAAAATCATGATAATACAATGATTAATACTTAATATTTTTGACAAAATTATTAAGCATCAATTCTAGATTGATGATTTTTAAATAATACATTTGATAGAAGTTAAAAGGTATCAAATACCGTTGTATCTAACAAAAATGCTAGCAATATAAATAAAAACTTAGCTTTTAGTTTTTCTTTGTGGCTCCAGGTAATTCAGGAAATTTCTCTAACCTCTTTCCTAGGATTAGTTTTAAGGGATGGGATAAAAGTAAATCATCAGATTAAAAAAGTGTCAATGGAATGGTGAGAAAAACACGTATCATTGAACACAAATCTAGTCTCTGTCATGGCAAGAAAAGAATATTGGGAAATCTCAATTTCCTTTCTCCTGTTAGAGCAGACATGCTTGGCTCTATCAGCTAATAGTTATTTTTAGACAATGCCAAAGGAATGCCTTGATAAGTGAAATAATCAAGTTTATTTCTTTTGTGTGTCATATCATCCCACACAGCAATGGTAGTTTTGTGAAATTTAATTCGATTTCGGTGAATTCTACCTAACTAACTGGTTTAGGATTGCCCACAATCCTACATTCTCCTCTGACACTCACCTGCTTATGTATCTCACATTAATATGACAAAAGTGAGGCCATCACCCCAACACAGCAGGCTGCCACTTCACTGCTCAACTTGCCCTGTTGTAAATTAAGAAAAAGATATTATCCACTTAATCTTAGGATTAGTATTTGTGTTTTAACCTTTTGTTGTAAAATTAATCGAAATCACAAAACATACAATTTTTATTAACATGTTTGAATATTTTTAGTAAAATAAAATCATAATTTATTGACAGATGACTAAAATAGACTGACTTCCTGTCAGCTCATTAGAATAGCTCCCAAATGAGTGAGCCAAGAAAAAAAAATCGTATGTTTGAATTCTAAACAAAATATGGCAATATGTTTCCCTTTTAAAAAGAAATTTTCTGTTTCTTGGTACTCACCAAATATTCAGAATAAGGAGGAAATTGAAGTTATTTTGGAACCAAGAAAAACAGGCTTAGTACACAAAACAAAAGTGTATGTTTTTAAAAGAAAGGACTTTTATGTTGATAATTTCATCCGTTCAAGAAGGATATTAGTATGAAAAACAAACCAATTCTGCTCTTAGAGTAGGACAAAATTAGCTTTGGAAACAATTGTCTGCAGTTTCCTCCATCTTCCATTCTGTTTGAAGATGTATAATCTAGTTGTGGTGAAAAATGTTTTCAGCTAAAGGGTTTATACAATGTACAAATATTTGTTTTATTCACTTTGAGCGAATAGTTGATCTTTTATTTTTAAACACTTTGGAATGTATAAATATAAGTTGATCTTATTCATTGATAAAATAAAGGTCATTGTAACTATTGATCTTTTTCGATTGTCTGAAAATGGCTGTATTTTGTCATTTTTGAATACAACTTAGTGGGTAGAAAAATAGTTTTGTTTACTTCCATGCCTTTGCCTTTGCCATTTGTTATTGCAGGTGAGATTTTTCCACAGTTAATAATTGTCCTTTCTAGCTCTCATTACCCTTAAGATTTCTCTTTAAATGTGATGTTATAAACTTTTACTTCCATGGTCTGGGCGTAGAGTTATTTTCATTAACTTTCTTGGCATCTGTTTTATTTATAATATTTATGTATCTCTTCACTTATAAAACATTTTCTAACATTTCTTTTATCCTCTCATTCTAAATCTGCTCTTTTATATGATTTTGCAGATTTTTATTTATTTATTTATTTATTTTATTTATTTATTCTTTTGAGACAGAATTTTGCTCCTGTTGCCTAGGCTGGAGTGCAGTGGTGTGATCTCAGCTCACCACAACCTCCGCCTCCCAGGTTCAAGTGATTCTCCTGCCTCAGCCTTCTGAGTAGCTGGGACTACAGGTGCCTGCCATCACGCCCGGCTAATTTTATATTTTCCTCTGGGATTAGTGCTGGGATTACAGGCGTGAGCCACCACCCCCGGCCAGATTCTTTAATCTCTTCCTTATGTCTGTTTACCTTTGTTTCATGTATTTTATATCTTTATATTTTGGTATTGGATTTGGGTAAATTTCTCAGTAACATTTTTGATGTATTAATTTTCTCTTAAATTATTTCCAATCTTGAATTTTTGTTGTCATAATTTGTTTCTTTTAACTTTTAATTTGGAAATAAAAGATTCACAGAAAGTTTTAAACATAGCCTGGAGAGGTTCCAGGTTCCTTTCACTGAGTTTTCTGTAATGGTAACATTTATAGTACAATAACAAAACCATGAAATTGACATGAGTACAATGTGTGCTTATAGTTTTATGGCATTTTATCTCTTATGTAGATTTGTATACCTACTATGGCAATCAAATAGAATTATTCCATCACCACAAAGATCTCCCTCTTGCTACTACTTTATATTTATACTCACTCCTTCCTCCTCTCACTATTCTTGATCCCTGGCAACTACTAATCTCTTCTCCATCTTGAATAACAAAATGTCATTCAAGAATGTTATATGAATTGAATTACACAGTATGTGACCTTTTGAAATTGGCTTTTTTTTTTCACTCAACATAATGCCCTTGTGTATAGTTAGATTATTTTGATTTTTATCCACTGTGCCAATGTGTGTGTGTAAGTGTGTGTGTGTGTGTGTCTTTCTTTTTGAGACAGTTTTGCTCTGTCACCCAGGCTAGAATGCAGTGGTATGATCTCAGCTCACTGCAGCCTCTGCCTCCTGGGTTCAAGTGACTGTCCTGCCTCAGCCTCCTTGGTAGCTGGAATTATAGGTGTGTGCCACCACACCTGGCTAATTTTCATATTTTTAGTAGAGACAGGGTTTCACCATGTTGGCTAGGCTGGTCTCGAACTCCTGACCTCAGGTGATCCACCTGCGTTGGCCTCCCAAAGTGCTGGGATTACAGGCATGAGCCACCACACCTGGCCCAGTGTGTTTTTTAATTGGTTTACTTGGGCCATTTATATTTAATATAATTACTGCTATGTTAGGACTTACATCTACCATTTTAGTTTTCCAGTTGTCATTTTGTTTTTAGTTTCTGGTTTTTTTTTTATCTTTGCCTAGGTTACTTGAACATTTTTATAATTCCATTTTGATGTATCTGTAACATTTCTGAGTGTATCTCTTTGTATGGATTTTTAGCAATTGTGCTATTATGCATACATACTTATCACAGTTTGCTGGTGCCAACTTTTATCAGAGTATAGAAACTTCCCTCTAAGTGTCTTTACTTCCCTCTAAGTCTCTTTACCATCTCTTACTTATATGATTGTCTTAAATATTCCCTCTATATAGGTTGAGAACCATAATTTTTTATCTACTTGGCAAACATAATGTAGACAATTCAAGAGAGGTAGCAAAATCTATGATATTTACTCACATTTTTGCTTTTTCCATTATTCTTCTTTTCTTCCTGGTGTTCTAAGACTCCTTTTTTCAATCCTTTTTCTTCTGGTTATAGAGGACTTCCTTTGCCATTCATTTAGGGTATATCTGCTAGTGAGGGTATATCTGCTACTGGCAAATTCTCTTGGTTTCCTTTGTCTAATGGTGGATAAAGAAAAACTTTATTTCTCTTTCATTCCTAAAGGATGATTTTACTGAATATTGAATTCTACAGTTGATAGTTCATTTTGTTCAGTACTTGAAGACCGTTGTGCTGCTTCCTTCTGGCTTCATGATTTCTCATGAGAAATTATGCTTTCTTCTTCATCTCTTTGTAAGTCCAAAATATATGCATTTTAGAGACATTTTAAAACTGCTTTGATGTTTTCAAATTGCTCTGATGTTTTCATTTCACCTGGAAGAATTCATCTTCCACTTGCTTTTTAAGCAGCATTCCTAAAAAAGAATTTTCATTTTCTTCTTATGTTTTGAAATTTTAATTTTCAACTCCTTGTGAATGGGAGTTTTCTCTCCTTTATGCTCATTCTTCCTTGTTAATGTTCTTGAGTCTTTCTTTATTCAATACTATATACTTGTCATCTAGAATGAGATCCTAATTGGGACATCAAGGACTCCTGTTTTATGATGATACTAGAAGTAAAGCAGAGGCACTTACCTGGCTTGTGGTGGCTTGTTCTAAAATGACCACTTTCTCCCGTCTCGCTAGATACACAGATGAGTGCCTTTCTCAACACAGATGAGAGAGCCCTGCTTCCACTTCCAGGCAGCAAGTCTGGCCTTTGTCTTTCACACGAAGTCAGTTCTGCTGAGAGATTAGAAGTTCTAGTTGCCTCAGTCGACTTCTGGATCTAAAGACTTTCAGGCCCCATGGTTTCCAACCTGCTTATTGCATTTTGCTTTTCTTGTATTTATGGTCCTTGGAGATGTTTAACTAATTTTTGACTGTGGCTCTATCTTTTTAGTCATCTCTTTTTGTATTTAGTCTGCCATTGCTATTGCTTTTGAGCAGAAGAGTCTTCAAAGAATGAATTTACAAGACTGTTTTTATTGGAAGCCCTCCAATTTCCACTAAACTGACTTTTTTCCTCACATTTCCAAAATAGGTGCCTAAAATGAAGATTCAAGTGACCCTCTGTTATCTAAATTCATCAAAAGTCTGTATCTTTGGGGTTTAGTCTAAGAAATTGAGTCTCTTCTTACCAAAGCATTCTATATATGGGTCAGTGCTCTTTAGCAGCCAATATCCAGAATAAATCATTCCTTTCCATGGTTTTAGTTATTGTCTAAGGCTAGTTTCTGTAAAATTATATGTTTGATTTGACCTTGCCTACCGCTTATTTTTAATTTGTCTTATACATATTGTACTTGAAATAGATATCTTCTCAATCTCTAGAAACCAACAGAGGGAAGTCATACATCCTTATTTTTCCTCTAAGATTCCCTTTGAGCCACTTAGGCAATATTTATAAGAATTTGAGTGTCTGTAGCATTTGAACCTAGTACATTGATTTTTAAAAATGGAAGTAATGGATTCTGCCTTAAAAAGTTTGCAAACTGAACACTTAAAAATTGTTAAAAGTATGTATTTAGCACCTACTATGAGCAAATAATTGCACTACTATTGTAATTTGGAATGCAGAGAAGCAGCAAACAGATGGTCTGGTTTTATGAAACATAGGCATTAAGATAAATTTATTTGACAGGTTGTTATTGTGTGTCAGCTATGCTATTGTGCTCAGAGATGTGGAAAAATCAAACATAGAGGATAATCCTCATTCTTTTGCAGGTTGCCTGGGGAGATAAAAACACTAATGGACATGATATAGGGAATATGGTGATAAGTTCTATGAGACAGGAGTAAAGGAAGTGCTGTGGGTGTTGGTTGGGGAAGAGATGAGTTCCAATTGAGCATAGGAGAGACATGAATTGGGAAAGATTTCCCAGAGGAAATGCTGTTTGAACAGAACTCTGAGGGATAGTAGTATTTGGTATGAGGGCAGGAGTTTTCTGGATATGGGGAATAAATGCACAGAAGCAGCAAGCTGGGGGATATGTATAATCAAACAGATACTAGTGGTATTTTATTTTATGCTTTGTTCCATTATCTCCCCACATTCAGTCAGTAAGTAAATCAAGGTAAAGTGCTCCCATCATTATGGACTTATTTGAAAATTGTTTAACTCCCCATTTTTTCCTCTAACACATTTTTACTTGCATCAGCTTTCAACAACTTCAACTAAACTTTGAAATATTCTCTTTGTAAGCTCACTCTTGCCCTTCCTTATACCTCTTTAATTGGCCCTATATAACACTTTTAAATGATATTTTCATGACCTTGTTTTTAGTTACATTGTCTACTTTCTAATCATGACTCTCTGTTGCTCTTCAAAATACACGCAGAATTCTGACAGTAAGAACAAAAATGTACTCTTAGGGTGATTTTATTTGGATTTAGTGATTTTTTATTTTTCAAGTTTTTATTAATGGGCTTAATTTTTTTAAAGAGTTTTAGATTTACGGAAAAATTGAACGAAGGGCACATTGAGTCCCATGGAGCACCTTCTTCACACACAGTTTCCCTATTCTTAATATTCTAAGTCATTACTATTTAATTGTTACAATTAATAACCCAATAATGATTTTTTTAATTAACTGAAACCCATAGTTTATTGAGATAGTTTTATAATGCCTTTTTTTCTGTTCCAGAATCCCATTTAGGATACCTCATTACATTTAATTGTCATGTCTCCTTAGGCTCCTCTTGGCTATGACAGTCTCTCAGACTTTTCTTGTTTTTCATGACCTTGACAGTTTTGAAGAGTACTAGTCAGCAATCTTGTACAATGCCCTTGTATTGGGATTTATCTGATGTTTTTCTCATGACTAGACTAGGCTTAAGGGGTTTGAGGAGGAAGATCATTGATATAAAGTCTCGTCTTCATAGCATCATAGCAAGGGATCAACATGATTTATGACTTGTGTTGCCCTTGGTCACCTGGCAGAATTAAGTTTCCCACCATAAAGATACTCATTCCCTCCTGCTCCTTTTCCATACTGCACTCTTTGGAGGGAAGTTATAGTCTGTACTTAAGGAGTGGGAAATTGTGCTCTCATTTTTTCATTTTTTTATTCCTCAAAACAAACTTATGAGAAAATGAGGAAGGCAGAGTAAGAATTATTATGCTTCCTCTTTCCCATTTCACACATGAGGAAAACTCTGTAATTCAGGAATTTTACGTGGCTTAAGTGTGGTCACGACAGACAAATGGAAGAAACAGTATTAGATATTATGTATGCTCTACAGTGCTTTCTCCAAGACAGATTTTTCTGCCAGCCTCAACCATGGCTCTTTAGGCTTTCCTTAGCGTTGTCTCTGCATTCTGCCCGTTTCTTAGTTTTTATAGTTCTCATTCTATTATAGTTCACTTTTCCTTATTTTTTGACAATGTTCTTTTTGTTTCCTTTGCTCTTACACTTCATTTTTGTAGGCATTTAATTTTTTATTACAACTAGTTTTCCAAAATTGAATGAGATCTCATTGACAAAGACAAGGAGACGCTGGGTGTTTGTAGTTCACGTGTGTATCCACATGCATTCTCAGTTTGTCCTGTTCCTTTCATGAATTTAAATATCTTAAGGGCATTCTAACTAATCAATACTCAAAACAGAAATTTCTGTTTCTATCTTCATCTTTAATGATGACAATATTTCTTAAAATGTTATACTTAGATGAGTTTTACATTTTCCTCCCAAACCAAGAAATTTCTTCTTTCAGACTAAGTGGTCCTTGAGAAATGGAGAAATATAGACAAGATATGGCTGGAATAGCTACAAAAGCCTCTTTCAGAAAATTTATAGTTTTTGATTATGGGTAATCTACTAACACACTGATTTTGTTCAACCCTACTCCAAAATAGTATTTTTTTTTTCTGGTTTGATGAGAGAGCTAAACAATATTTGAAGACAGGGGTATATTCTTATGCTTCATGTGGGATCCAGTTTCCTAAAGACTTCTGGGACTGCCAACGGGGTCAGAATTTGAGGCCCTGAGGGAAAAAAAAGGAGACATTATTAAGAACATTTTGATGTTTTTGTTTAAAGAGCTGGCAACTATGATCTGTTATTGGCTTCCGTTGTACCTTTGTCTGAGTCAATTTGACCTGAAAAGTTAGTTATTTAATTTTCACTTTTCAATTTCAAGACAAGAATATAAGACTGAATTTTTTTAATCCTTGCCTTCACGACATAAATAATTGATTTTATCAGCAGAACTCAACAACAACAACAACAACAACAACAAAACAAACCTTTTTTCATTGAAATATTTAACAGTGAGGCCCTCATAATTGCCTTGGGAAAACACTGTTTTAGTGGGCATTGTAGTGAGACAGTAGGGAAAGTAAAAATCTGAATGATCAGATCCCATTGTGTTTCTAAAACATAAAGTTATAGGTCCTGGGTTGGATTTTGTAAACTCCTAATCAAAAGCAAAATATTAAGGAACCCCACTGGCATTTAATCATCCAATGGATCACAGTACATTGTTACAGTGGATCATATTTGATATTTAATAATAATGTGATAGCAAAAAATAGTGCACATTGATAGACAGGATTGTTCAATTTAGTATATCCATAGCTGCCTGAAAATGCCCCACATACTTACAGTCATTGCATCAGACACTTGTGATTGCCATACTAAACTGTCTGTCCTCCCTTATATAAAGAAAGTACAATGTATCAGAAGTTTCCATAACTTTTTAACATTTAGTAAGCAAGATATCAGATTAGAATAAACAATGGTTCCATATACTATTCCCATTCTAGCTGTTTAGCCAGTTTGTTCTCTTACTATATGAAATATCAACTTCAGGCATGGTTGGATTTATAGAGAAATTCTACTACATATATGTATATATTTGTGTGCATATATATGTATATCCACATACATATGTATACACTGCTTTTTTGTTGCAAAAGTAATACATGCTTGTTATAAAAAGAAAAGCAGTACAGATAGGGATAAAACAGAATGTGTTATTCAATCACCCCAGGATAACTACAGTTAACATATTGGTAGTCTTCTATGCATATATATATCACTTTATCTACATACATCTATCCTTTATTAAATAAAAATACCATTCATTTAGTTTTGAAATATTTTTCACTTATATAGCATGTATTTTCATGTCAATACAGATCTACATCATTGTCTTTAAGCAGATATTATTTGATGAACTTCTCATTCAGTTTTTGGATCATGGGGTTAGTCTTTGAGCCTTGGGCCTAGCATAAGGATCAGGAAAGAGGAACTAGGTGAAGAAGCCAAGAGGCAGAGGCCATACAATGTAGGTGACGAGGTAAAAAAGAAACCCAGCCCAGAACATCTTCCTGCTGTGGAAGGGGCATGTGTAAGCACCTCTTCCTCCATCTCACCGTTCCTCACAACCCTTCATACACAGCACAATCATAAGAAGCCACCCAAGCACTGTCATAAGAAATATTTGATGGAGCAATTAGTTCTTTCCAGATACATATATAGAGAGGATACTGCCTTCCTTGTAGTCATGGTGATTGGACTGAGTGGGAAAGGAGATTTGATTTGGGTAGTGACAAACTTGAGGAAATTTGACAAAGGCTCTCATTAATGGATAGTGGCAGAGGAGAGGAGGTTCCTGACACCTTAACTGTGAGGCTGATGACACCTAACTTTGTTCCAAGAGTCACTTCCCTGGTCCCCTTTCTGGACTGCTGAAAGGTGAGAAATCTGGGATGTCAAGAGGAAAGCTTTTTCTATACCTTTTTTGAAACTTTGGGAGAAGGTTATATCAAAAGGAAACCACCCACCTCTGTCCTCCTCTCCTTCTTAGCTGTAAGTTGTAGTTTTTGTATAAGGCAATTATTAAATCATTTTTATCCGTGTTGTTGAAAATGTTAATATATATATTACAAGAAAGAATATTACATGCCTAATACATTCTACCTACTTCTCTTACAGAAATAGATGACAAGAGGGGGCCCAACACACAAGGGGAAGTAAGTTTTTAAAAATATTTTGTATAAATGTGTTCAAATCAATTAAAAATGCAAAAATTTGCTTGATTTGATGTGATATAAATAATGATACAACTGTAATAAAACTTTAGATTGCTCCTTCTGACTGAATAAACAGTAATATAGTGTCATTAAAATCTCTGCCTCTCAGTTACCTTTATTCTCTACCTATGTAATGCTAACCCCTGAAAAAACTTTTAAAATAAAACATCACTTTTAATGGCAAAATGTGGTATTGACAACTTCAATTTATTGAGTGATTATATATGCACACCACAGGCTAAGCCAAGTAATGCTGGAACCCCAGAGCAAGGAGATGGGGTTGGAGGGATGACACCTCTTACAGGGTCTTCTGGTATGTGGAGCCAAAAGTCTGAGGCCAGAGTCTAGGGGGACTGAAGTCTCCAAAGCCTGAGTAAACAGATCCAACGGGTTCACCTAGAAATGTACTCAGATTTAAATTCAGCAGGCTGTCTGAACACTGTCACTCTCTATTCCCTCCACATACATGTGTAGGAGTTTATATAGAAAATAGAAACCAGGAGAGGCCAGGAGAGCATATAATATAGAATATATGAAACACAAAGTGAATAAACTAGTTCCCAGAAATGAAATAAATATTGAATAGGATGCTGTGCAGGGTTACCTAATCAATTCCCTTGATCGTAGGTGTAGGCAAACAGCAATACTTAAAGAGAAAAATGTAGAATGGACAAAATATCAAATAGTATATCACAAGACTTTTCTGAAAATTTTGTGAAACAGTAAAAGTGGAAAAGCTTTCAAAACTAAACTCTTACATAAATATAAATTAGTTTTTATTAGTAAGTTTACACTGTGTTACTAAACAACAACAATAAAAAAATTTCTGTAGATTTAATTTTCTATTTGATCTTTAAATATGTGTATGGAAGTAAATATTAAAAATCCCTAAACTGATTCGTTCTCAAAACCAGCCAGATGTGACTGAAACAGTAGAAGTGCCCCAGAAATGTCAATCATCCACATATTTAACATTAATGTAGAGTCACCCTGTCTACACCTGTGCATAGTATGTAGGTATCACAAAACTCTATTCTGGAGAAATTTGCTTACACTATTTGCTCATCTGCTATGGATTTGGTAACTGTTTTGTTGAAAGGTTTAGTTTTTAATTGATTGCTTTTGCATCAGATAAATAACATCTCGATGATACCTTTGAGGGCAGTTAATCTTTAGCAAGCACAAGGAAAGAGGCCTCAAGCTCTATTTACAACTTTGTAAAACAGTTTCTAGTTTAAACTTTGTACATTATGTTCTTGCTAATGTGCATAGCAAGCCTGGAACAATCTTCAAAAAGTATGTTGTAACTATTTACACTTGAGCTTTTCAAAGCAAAAATAATTGCCCCAGATGCAAAAACTCATTGATTAAGACCCGTACACTTGCCACATTAAAACATAAATCAACATGCTATTAAAATGGAGTCTTTGGCATTTTCCGATTGGGGGTTAGACCATGTAATTTATTAAATGAATAATATGTATATCCATTATATAGGGCTCTGTATCCTTATCTGTATTTTGACCCTGAAATAAGTTCTTATTTTTGTCATTTTGAAATGCAAAATCTCTTCAATAACTTTATCCTGATCCAATAATGCTTAGGTAAGAGTGTCACATAACAGTTTTATTAGGAAAGGACTTATCTTTTTTTTTAACATATGAAGAATGTTACCTCAACATTATAATTCCAAGTAAATGGAGGTAATAGTTGAACATGTCAATTCAAGAGGGTTAAAGATTGCTGTTACTTTCCAAGGATCTTCATTGTTCCTCTTGAATCACTCAATAACCCCACGAACAGATACTATTATTCCCTGGACATAGCTTTTGGAATATACTTTGTCATGGAACTCAGACTGTTTTTCTCTCAAATGAAAAGGATTGGTGTCTCTTTTTCTCTTTCTTTTTAAAATAAATTAATGTTATTAGGTGGGAAAGTAAAATGATTTCAAGGCTGCCATGAATGAAGAATTTTATGATTAAGTAGACCCTACAACTCCATGTATCTCTTAAGTCTGTGATATCACTAACATGTATATAATTTCTCATTAATTAGATTCTATTTCATGACAGGGAGAAATCAGAAAGCTTTTCATAACATGGCACAGTATTTATTTCCCTCACAGGTCTGATGGCATCGTACTTTGTATCCAAATCTAAGGCTTTTACTTTTTTCTCTTTCTCCACAGTTACAGAATGCATCCCCTAAGCAAAGGAAGCAGAGTGTGTACACACCACCCACCATAAAAGGTACTGTTCAGGTACTGTTTCGGGTTGTCATGAGTGGTGAATCATGGCTGGTCGGCCGTCTGTTCTCTAGGACCACATATCTGATGATAAGCTAGATCTAGTCTCAGCTCTACAACTTAACAGTGTTATGTTCAGTAAGATATCTTATCTACTTAAAACTTAGTTTCATCAAGAGTAAAATATGGGGTTGAAAAAGAAATAGCTAGTGATCTCAGAATTTCAGTCTAGAAATTCAGTTTCCAAAATAATGACAAAGATTTTTTTTTACCGTTATTCGCATACTTCCTTAAAGAGATTTTCCCAGAAGCCCTAATTACTCTTGCCAGTGTTGGCAGATGATTACTGTTTTTCTCTTGGCTAAAGCAAAGCAGAATAACTTGAATTTCAGGGAGACTGAGGATGAAGTGTTGCCTCATTGTATTGTGTCAGGAGCAGCTCTAAGAAACTCAATCAAACCAGCTATTCACTGTACATGTAACTACTGTTGAAACAACAACTAAGAATCTAGTTCAGATTCTGAAATTTTCCCCAGAATTGGAACTGCTAAAAGAAGACCTGTCAGTATCTTGACCAACATCAGTTCCAGGGAAAGCATCTCTTATTTCTCACACTGAAATGTTCTTGATTTGAGGTAGAGTCTGTCCAGTCTACTCTCTCATGTTTTTTCCAGTCTGGTGCTTGGGCTGTGGGCCCAGTGGCTGATCATACTCAATTTGTCCAGCTCAGTTTCAACTGCATGAGAGGCCAGCTGAGCAGCTTCCTCTGGAGTTTGGAGAGAGGGCTAAATTGGGAGTGAAATTTCCCACTCTGTATTTGCTCTAGATTTGGGGCCTATTCAGGGAGGCGGGATATAAATGGACACATTAATAGCTACTTTCAGTAGACTTCCTTCCTCATGCAGCTATAAAACACCATGTTTGCTTGTTCATAAGACTGCAGAACATAATACAATCATCAGCATTGTAGTTTATTCCAGGGTAATTATTGAGACTACTAGGCATCTCTCTCTGAAGATAAGTTTAATCATTTTAAAGATATTTTCCCCGTTGTAAGTGATTTTGTACTTTCAAGACACATCAGTTTTGGCATGAATGGGCAACAAGGAAAAATATATGTTCACTCATTTAATGATTTCCTCTGCTCTATTTTAGGTTCACTTAAACTAAATAAAGTAATACTGTTCTCATGTCCTCAGAGAATAATACTATTATTTTTAAAGGAAAATCTTAAACCGAAAGTCTCAAGGGCCGATGATGTTCATTATATTTAGTTCTCAAATATCAAAAGAATGTGGGATCATAACATTTAGAGAAGTTAGTCCTGTTACACATTTTTGCATAAAGCCTTATACTCTCAAGTCTCCCCGAGATACTCATTTAATGATAATCATTTGTGGTCATAAGTTAATGGCTTGAGAAAGCACAGTAATTGTTTCAAGAGGATATCAGGGTATTACTACAAGTCACATAGGTTCTCATTTATAATCAGAAATGATTTGGAAGTCCCCTGCTTATGATAAAAGAAAAGAGAAAGCTAAATGCAAATATTTTATTTGGTTTACCTGTCCCTAAGAGCTAGAAATAAATATTTTAAGACAAAATGAAGCAATGGTAACATATGGCATCTTGTGAGCACATCAAGAGGCTTCAATTATAAAAAAGATGAAAGAACAAAGGAAATGTTATTAAGATCTTAAATATAATGATACAATTGCTCTGAAATGTATAATTCTTCAAATTGCAGTTGAATGGAACATGCAGTTATTGAGTGTAAAAACATTTGCTGAGGGCACCATGGTACATGCTTATAGTCTCAGCTACTTGGGAGGCTGAGGTAGGAGGATGGCTTGAGCCCAGGAGTTGGAGGCTATAGGGCATTATGATTATGCCTGTGAATAGCCACTGCATGCCAGCCTGGGCAATATAGTGAGACCCAGTCTCTAAAAAAAATTCTAAAAAGAAAAAAAGAATTTGTACTCACAGATCCTTGTTCTACATCTTGTCATTTGTGAATTTTTAAATGACAGATATCTAAATATTTCAAGATATCTATTAGGTCTTTGTCTCATGCTAAATTTTCTTTTTTCCAGGTTGAAATATCTTGATGTCAGTTATACCTGTTATTTAGTTATTTTGCCTTCATTCTTGATCTTATAATAAGCTCCACTTTGCCTGTATCATTCTAGAAGTCCATCATTCAAAATGAATCTAATGGTTAAGATGTGTTCTGATCAGAAACTTGTGGAGACTTCAATTATGCCTGAAACCTCCTTCAACCCAGATACTTTAATTCTATTAATGCAACCCAAAATCTTATCAGCTTTTTGTGGCAGCATTACACATTGTTGGCAAATAGTGAGCTGACTATAAAATCAAAATGTCCAAGTATTTTACAGGTACAGCTTTCCATATTATTCACCATGTATTCCCCATACTGATGTCTTAAATTTGTTTATATCAGAAACTAATACAGTACTGTCATCTCAATTGAATTGCCTATGTTGGAGACAGATTGTTACATCGGCATGTTATATTTTGTATCCTGACTCTATTATTCATTCTATTTTCAGCTATCTCAATTGTGTGTCATCATAGATAAGATAAACCTATTTTGTTATTTTTATCTGATCCATAACAAATGTATGAAACAAAACACAGCTAAAAGAGAGCCCTGCAGCAGCCCATATATCCCCTTCTAATTCACATTGATCCCCTTGTCACCATCATTAAACCATTTATCAAATAGACTTATTATATCAGGGTTCCATCCCTTCATCAGAGGTTATCATCAGCACTCCTATTAGATAAATTGTTGTATTTCAGATGCCTTGTGCTAACCATGAGTCATAAATTTATGATATATATTGTGCATAAAAATGACAGAAGTTGAAGTTTGCATAGAAAACAGACTTTTTCATTATCTTGTGTAATATTGTGTTTCATGATTATGCACAGAAAGTTCAGATTATCAGAAAAATGACAGCTGATGACTAATACCCACGTACATTTCTCTGGTGTTTATATGGTGGTCAGCCCTGTAATTTACAGAACAGCCAATTAAATTATTGTTGGACTGCTTGAATCATGTTTTCAGAAAAGTGGATTTGGATGTTAGGACAGGAAATGGCTGACTCATTTCTATCCCAATTTTGTGTGTGTGTCTGTGTGTGTGTGTGTTTGTGTGTGTGTGTGTGTGTGTGTGTGTTTTACTGGAATGCAAATGCCTTCTACTGAAGAAAGCAAAGTAAGTGCTATTGATTTAAACGGAAATTGGAACATTAAACAAAGCAGCTGACTTAAAAATGACTTTGTAGAGCAGGGCCTATTAGTATTGCATTACCATTCTTAATGCATAGCCAGTCAGATTTTTCATTTACTTCTGTAAAACATCTTTTTCCTCCCATTCTTCATGATTTCTTGTAAAGACTTCAGTATCTAGATATTTTTCTTCTAAGTCAAACAGACTTCTGATATGTCAAAAATACCTTTGTATGCTTACAGCATTTTAACACTGAAGCTTTTTTTTTTCTCCAAGGATGGCTATGATCTTGATTTTTTTTTCAACCCCTTCTCATAATAAAGAAATAAATACAAATACAGAATAAATCAGAGAGCAAATCAACCTGGACAAATAAGAAGGCTAACATGGATTTTGGAGGGTGGAAGATGAAAGTGGCAATAATGGCAAGAATAAGACGTACTTCAGATCACCAAATGAAACATGATCTTCCAATCAGGGAAAACTGCTGATCATGGTGATTTCCTGGAACTCAATATGAAAGGACATGGACTTTGGCGGACAAGCCATCACGGTTCCACCCTCAATGCCACCACTTATTAGCTGTGCAACCTTCAGAAAATCAATGGGTTGTTCACCCCACAAAACAACAACAAAGAAAAATATATTCAAATATGCTGGATGTATTTGGGAAGTAGAAATGAAGATTATGACCCAAGACGCACAGTTAAGGCAAGCCACATATGCATCCGCAGTGGGAAGGGTAAAGGGAAGTTTTATTGGCACAGGGGGAAGTTCATGTAAGGTACTTGGAAACAGAGTTTATTAGTTTCGGACACTCAGAGCCAGATTTGGCATCAGTTAATTGCCAATATAATTGAATGGCAATTTAATTACATTGCTGGACATACCTGTCCAGTAATGGCTGCAGATGCCATTACTGAACCGGTATTCTTTTGAGAACATCTTATCTGAATTGCAGTAGTCCTAAAGAAAGAATTTCTTGGGAGGTTATTTTAGCAAGTCCTTGAGACAGTCTTTATCTCAGCCATATAACATGAACTCCTCCTTTTGGCTTTTTGCTTTAGTGTGTTTGGGCCTGACAAAAAAGTGATTTCATCCTAGTATCTGCAACTTTCACAGGATTAGCCTGTCTCACTTCTCTCATGGGGAAAATGAAAGTGTTGTTTACCACATATGATTGCTGTAGGGACTGAATGAAACAAAATGTGTAAAGAAAATGCTTAGATCAGGCACACAATATGTGGAACTATTTTGAATAATTATTTGAACCCTGAATTGAGAGTGGCGAATACTCCTCCTCCGTTTCTGCTTCACCCTGCAGCATGAAGGAATGATTTTGAGAGAGACAGAGGAGAGGTGAAAGGACTTCCAGGAGAATAAAATAGCTTTGTTTTCATCCCAGTGAGACTTGAAAAGTCGGGTTTAAGATGCCTAGATGTAAAATCCATGTGGATTACCACGCTTGCAACATTCACTCCACTTTTGTTTAGCACTAAGCCTCAGGTCGGCGTGTGAAGTTTATCTTCAACATTTTGCTTTCTTTTAAACAAATGTGGCTTTTCCCTCATTTCACCTAGCTCCGGTCCTCAGACATCATGTCCTTTATTTTCCGACTATTATAACATTCCTGTAAGAGATACTGATATTTCAATTAATAAGCCTTGCAGTTCAAAAAAGTTGAAAAACAAAATGATAGCTGATGTTGAATTTTGGGGTGCTATAGCAGATTATGCAATAAATATTTCTTGCCAGAGGGATGAGAAGGAAATCATCACACCATATAAATGCAGCCTACGCTTAGGCAACATAGGTAAATTAACCATGGCTGTATTGGAATGTGACCAGTTCACTCTTCCTGATTTCAAATCTCCTTAAAATTATGACTCAAAAAAACTCTCAAAAGGAATAGACTGCTGTAATATCCTGTTCTCATTACCCGTCGCACATTGAAAATTGAAGGCAGGAAGAGAAGGCAGCAAGATCTCTTAGCCTCTCATCAGGCCATCTCCACCACACTACATTCCTTTTATAAACACTCCTGTCCCTCTGTGGGTGTTCTTCAGGTATTCATCACATTTTCCTTTCTAAATCTTGGCTTTTTTGTTTGTGCTGGCTCAGTTTGTTTACTGTGTAGGGTGGGGCATATTTATGCAGCTCAAGAAACATTTTGACAGATTTCTAGATAACAAGGAACATTCTAAATATATACAAGTCTCGCTTTCTTTTTTTTTTTTTTAAACCCAAGTATGCTCCTATTTCCAGACCCACTTCCTCTGGTTCTCTTTAATTTCTTCCACTGAGTTTTATGCTCATCTTTCCTCACATCTTTGGATGTGGAGGGTGGAGTCAGGTTGGAGAAGCAATTTGAGAATGTACCTTTCTTGCAAGTCACTAAGGTATCTTTTTTTTTTTGGAGGTCAACATTGAGAGAGAATGAAGGAAGAGGAAAATACCAGCAAGTATGGGTGAACTTCATCTTTTATGACATTGTCATGGATTATTAGGTTAAAAGGTTTAAAAGACCTTGAGATAAATCAAATTGAATTGCAAATTTAAAACAGAGTCCAGTAACTTAATTAATCTCATGTGATGCCACTTAAACATTGGAAAAGAAGAGCACCATTTGTCAATATGGTTCCATTCATTTGTCTATATATATGTTAACCTATTTTAAAATTAATTAATCTTTTAAATTTATATTTCTCTGTATAAATAACATAACAGCTTTTAAAATTGCTTTCTATTTGAGAAGCAGGGAAAAAGATAAACTTTTGCATTGGGTTTGAATAGCTGAATCAAGAATCAGTTTCTTTAAATATTTCCCAAATAAGCAAATAGCAACATTCAATTGTGTAAGTACTAATAACACACTGCCACAATCACATATGAGCCTTTGCCATGTGTGGAATGCTGCATTAAAGTGGGGTGGATGCAGAGGTGAAAAGCAGAGCCCTGGCCCTGTGGGAGACCAGTCTGGAGGAAGCAACATACAAGTGGATAGAGCATAGCATGGTAAGTCCTTTAATAGGGATTTAGACAAAGACATCTGGAGATGGGAGGAGACTCGCCACAGGCTTACTGGACAGGAGGGTAAGGCCACTTTCAGATCACAGAAGGGACAGTCATATTTACATATAAGTCTGGAGAGTAAAATGGACTAGGTCATGGAAAAGTGGAATACGTGGCTCATACCATGATCATTCCTCCTGCTCATGCACACTTGTGAAGCATTTAAGATGATGCTGTAATGTGGGCAGTTAAATTCTGCATGGACCATCACAAAGAACTTTGCTGCCATGCAAAGACTAAATAGGTCTCATTAATGGGACTATGTAGATAATATCACTTTCCAAAGCATTTGAAGCCCTTGTTCATTTGATTCCAATTTAAAATTTCTGCTTCACATCTTTGTCTTTCTTCTTAATAATATTACCTTTAAAACAGAATAAATCCCAACCAAAATTACATGTTTTAAAGTTAGATTTTATATTTTAGAACAGGTTTGGATTTGTAGAAAAATTCTGAAGATAGTACAGAGAGTTTTCATATACCCCATATCCAGTTTTCCCTATTATTTATGTCTCATGTTAGTATGGCACAGTTATAATTGGTAAATCAATAGTTGTATAAAACAGTTCTTGCATTGCTATAAAGAAATACCTGAGACTGGGTAATTTATAAAGAAAAGAGGTTTAATTGGCTTATAGTTCCACAGGCTGTACAGGAAGCATGATGCTAGCACCTGCTCGGCTTCTGGGGAGGCCTCAGAAAACTTGCAGTCATGGCAGAAGGTGAAGGGGGAGCCAGCACTTTCCATGGCTGGAGTAGGAGGAAGAGAGGGAGGAGGGGGTGCTACACACTGTTAAACAACCAGATCTCACAATAACTCCCTCACACACTATCAGGAGAACAGCACTGAGTGGGTGGTGCTAACCCATTCATGAAGGATCCACCCCTATGATCCAATCACCTCCCACCAAGCCCCACCTCCAACACTGGGGATTACAATTGTACATGAGATTTGGATGGGGACACAGATCCATGCCTTATCAATATGTATACGTTGTTATTAACTAAAGCCCATATTTTCTTGGTATCTATTTAGTTTTTTTCCTAATGTCTTCTCTTCTATTCTAGGAATCTATCCAGCATACCACATTATGTGTGGTTTCATGTCTCCTTAGGCTCCTCTGGGATGTGACAATTTCTCAGACGTCCCTTGTTTGTGATGACCTTAAACGTTTTGAGGAATACTGGTTAGGTATTTTCTAGAATATCCCTGTACCGGGATTTGACTGATGTTTTTCTCAGGATTATATTGAGGTAGTGGATTTTTGGAAGAAAGACAGCAGAGATAAAGTAACATTTCATCCCATGATACGAGGGGCACATACTACCAATATGGTTTATCGCTGTTAATTTTGACCTTGATCACCTGGCTGAGGTAGTAGTTTTGGAGATTCTTCACTGTAAAGTTATCCTTTTTTTACTCCGTTTCCATACTGTACTCTTTGGAAGGAAGTCACTGTGTGTAGTACCCATTTAAAGAGTGGGAAGCTGCACTCTACTTCCTTGAAGGAAATGTCCTGTACACACATAAATCATTTGAAATTCTTTTGCACAGATTTGTTTCTCCTCCTCCATTGATTTATCTGTTCATTTATTTTCATCATTATGGACACATGGATATTCATTTTATACTTTGGATTATAACTCAATACTATATTACTTACTTTGTTGCTCAAATAGTTCCTGTTTTGGCCTTTGGGAACTTTTTCCATTGACTCCTGTGTCCCATTGACATATTCCATTAATGTCAGGGTGTTGGTTTGTTTTAGAATATCTTTACTTTCTGGGACTACAAGATTCTCTAGGCTCATTTTATGTATTTCTTGTCCCAGTCCTAGAACCAGCCTTTTCTCCAAGGAGCTCTCAAATATAATTTGAATTCCTATTTGAGTCAGTATTCTACAAAATATATGTGTGAATAAGCATGTGGTTGCTAAAAATGGAGAAATCTATCTCCTTGCAAAAATGTGTGTACACCACGTCCATTAATGTAGGCGCTATCAGTATGCTAAGGTGTACACACTCCACTCATACTAATGCTAATAGGAATCTCAGGAAGTAAAAACAATTCCTCATTACTAGAATAGGCAGATGCCATTTTTATGGACTTGCTCTCCTTTGTTTTATGCCTAATGGAGTGTTCCCTGATGTTTTCTGAGATGAGATTTGTATTATCCCTTTATAAATGTGGAATTAATAATAGACTGGCAGCCTTCTTGACGCTTAGCTGTTTGCTTTACTTAAATCAAAGATTTTAAAAAAGATGTTTATAATACCTTACAGTTGTGTAGTGTAGTGCTTCAACATATACAATGTGCTTTTGTATAATTATTTGGCTTTTATAGAAAACTATGAAAGGTAACTAAAATAGTTTATTTTGGAGGAAAGTGTGGATTACAGAGGAGCAGGGTTCCCATGTTAAGTGTCCTTCCCCTTTACAAAACTAAGTCATGACCTGAGCCTTTTTTTAGGGTGTCCTATGAAGTTTTGTTAGAATAGCAACGGGCCTCATTTTTTCCATTTGCCCATCTATCCTGTTTGCCCTAACTAAAATACAGAGACCATGCAACCTTATAGCTTGATGGAAAATTTTTACAAGATCTTTTTATACCAATGTTTTTACAAAATGCTTGGTATCTTTGTTTTTAATAATTTTAAACTCGTGTTATTGATCCTTATGTAATAACAGTTTTGTACTCAAACCAAGCTTGCCTTTAATCTTGTCTGTCTCCAGCTTCTCTCCCTCTCCCAGACAGCTGACCACACAAATCTGACTGTTTTGTTTTAGATTCCTTCAAGTGTTCACTAATTCCTTTAGAGTAAGTCCCTGGAAATGATGTACAGGTCTCTTTATGACCTTGCCTCTTCACTCCTGTCCTGCCTTGCCTCCGGCCACAGCCTTCTTTTTTCCATGCTGCAGCAATGCTGAGCTGCATTCAGTTCTTTGAAAATAATACGTGGTTTCTGGCCTCTATGCTTTTGTTCTGCAGTGTTATTTACATAGAGGCGTTTCTTCGTCCGCCTTCCTGCCAGTTCTAAATCCTTTTAGCTGTGCTTCTTTGAGACTGAGAATGCATTTTATATACCTATATATGTGATATCTGTAATTCCTTCTAGCTAGACTGCGGAGCCCTTGAGGGCAGGGCCCATGTCCTATTTGTCTTCCAGGAGCATTCTGATCTGTCTTCTATTTGAATTTTAGAAGACTCCTAGTCAATGGTGAATCAGTGAGTAAATAATCTTTCTGATTTAAAAATAAGCATCATTGGCTTAATTTTAGCCACATTGAACAAAATTATAAATTCATTCACTGACTCACACCTTCATTCTAGACTCTAATAAAATGCTTGCTGTCTGTCTTCCAGGTCATTTATTAGGCTCTTTTAGTTCAAGATAAGCTAATACAGTCCCTGTTTATATGAAAAATGTTGTCAAATGAAAAAGAAAGTTATTTAAAAAATTGTAACTTGTAAGTTCCCTGAGATTGATATGGACAATGACATTAGAACACAGAGAAGGAAATAGCTGGCACTTCCTGTCACAGCTAGGGAAGACTGTACAGAAGAAATGAATGGCATCTGTAAGTTGAGGGATGAGTGAGATTTTGCTAGAGAAATATCAGGGGTAGATTCCAGAAAGAGGGTTTGGCAGACCTGAAGGCACAGAATGTGAATGGGCACGTGAACTTTGAACACTGTGGGGTGGGGGCAGAAACTGTGGAGGAGAAAACACTGAACAGATGCAGGGGACTTGTCAAAGGTCTCCTGTGTCCTGTGCAAAAAAGTTGGGATTGTATCCCGAGACAATAGAGCACTTTTGGATAATTTTGAAGATTGCTTGACACGTTGCCATATTTCTTGTGAGTGCTTTGAAGATTTGGGACCAGGGCAAAAGGACAAAGTAGTTAAAAATTCTTCTTCTTTTTTTTTTTTTTTTTTGAGACGGAGTCTCACTCTGTCGCCCAGGCTGGAGTGCAGTGGCGCGATCTCGGCTCACTGCAAGCTCTGCCTCCCGGGTTCACACCATTCTTCTGCCTCAGCCTCCCAAGTAGCTGGGACTACAGGCGCCCGCCATCACGCCCGGCTAATTTTTTGTACTTTTAGTAGAGACGGGGTTTCACCATATTAGCCAGGATGGTCTCCATCTCCTGACCTCATGATCCGCCCGCCTCAGCCTCCCAAAGTGCTAGGGTTACAGGCGTGAGACACTGCGCCCAGCCAAAAATTCTTCTATGATAAGTTGTATTTGCCTCAGTTTATCTGCTTGTTCCCAGTGCTCTTATTTCTACAAGAATGGACAACTGTTAGCACCAATCTTTCTTTTTCTTTCATGCATTTAGACTTTCTAAGTAGTAGCTATGACTTTGATATGCCAAAATACTCATCATATTTTCTTCCAGAATAGATCAATTGAAATCCTTGTAAAATGTGTTAAAATATAAAAATGTCAAGATAAATTGAGAAATTGGTTCTTAGTGGGGCAAACTTAAGATTACATTCTTCACAAACTTGTCCTGGTCTATAACATTTTCCCTCCTAAAACTTTATATTCTTGCCTGAACTTCAAAAAGGAGCCTGATCTGCAAGATAATTTTAAGAACAGTTTTATTAATTCCTTTCTCAATAGGCTGTCATGACAAAATACCCAACACCTCAGTTGTGGCAGAACTAGATGCACTCTTTCTGTTGAGTGTTTTCTGTGGGACAGTAAAGATACCAGCAATGCTGTCAAACAGTATACAAATATTTATTAAACTTGTACTCTGTGCAACATTCTGAGATCTGTGTTACTTTAAACAAATTAACTACCAAATTCTAAACACCCTAGGTCAGATTTTGAGGAAGGTTTACAGTTTTGGATTTTTCATTAAGAGAAAAAATACCAAGCAGGATAAGAATGTTCAAAGGTTAGAATTTCAGGAAATTGCTATGTGCACAATATAAAAATTATGTGATAAGCATTGAATTTATGATCTGTATTCTACATTGCATCCTTTCTGGTATAATTACCAATGGGAGCTATGTTGTACTTTCATTATCCTTGGTAGGTATACTGAAGCTATCATTTTATTCTTTTTTATGTATAAATTTGTCACATTTTATTTTCAAAACCAAACTTAAAATGATTTTAATTGACTTCCAACAGGCGATCTTAGGAAAAGATTCTCCCATGCTTTCATCCATGTAATACCCACAAGGCAACTCATTTCCAAATACAGCTAAAGCTAGAATTGTTATAGAGCCTCTGAGAGCTTGAAATGGCTATCATTTGCCTTCTGAATCTGAGGCCATCAGCAGCCTATTACTAAATATTTAATTCTTAAAAGCCAGTTGGTCCTCTTAGACCATGGCAGTCTAAGAACCAATGAAAAGGAAGTAGGAAGTAGAAGTAAGGCACAAGATGGCTGCAGGAGATATGAGAGCAGGCTGCCTGATGAGCAGAGGCAGAAACACATAAAATTTACACACCATCACTGCGTAGGACAAAGATGATCAAAACAATGATTCAGTCACTAAGAAAATAATTACACTATTTCTATTGTAATGCATATTTTAAAAGGCAGGAAAGTGGTTTGAATCCCACTTTTCAAAAGCATTTTTAAATTCTTGTTGACAATTAACTCTATGCACTACTCTATGTCCATTTCAGGTTAAACTATGAAGTCTGAGCATCTCACTTCAAATTTTGGAGTTTCCTTTTGGGTTTCAATTGATAATCTTGAGATGATAAGCTTTGCCTCAACTTACAGTACTTCTGTGAAAAAATATATTTTATGTATCAAAAATTGTCACTGGATGATAATGCTCACATTATGTAAAAATAGGTCTCAAAACATATTTTTGTGTGGCAAAAATAAAAAAATTAAAGTAGTTTAAATGCTTTTTTTAGTATATGCTTATAATGTATTATTTTATCTTTAAGTTTTACATTTAGTCCCACAGCTTATTATGTTGATTTTTGCCTTGAAAAAGTTTACTCTGTGATTGTAGGAATTAGTCTGGATCTTTTAGAACAGTTCTTAATATCTCTAAAGTTATCTATAAATCAAGGATTTTGAACTTTTTTTTTTCTTTTCTTTTTTTTTTTTTTTTTTTTTTTTTTTTTTTTTTTTTTTTTGAGACGGAGTCTCGCTTTGTCTCCTGGCTCACTGCAAGCTCTGCCTCCCAGGTTCACGCCATTCTCCTGCCTCAGCCTCCTGAGTAGCTGGGACTACAGGTGCCCGCTACCACGCCCGACTAATTTTTTTTTTTTGTATGAACTTCTATAATAGAAAAAAGGGACCAAAAGAGAAATCCTCTCCTACTGTCTGTTCATCTTTTTTAAAAATGCAAGCAAGAAGTACTTGTTCCTGCCTTTGATGTTATTGAAGAAATAATATATGTAAAAATCAGGAGAATGGAGGGAAAGAGCATTGGATCTGTGATTTCATACACTGCACTCATTTATGCTTTAAGTCCTGATGGTTAATGAAGTCAATCAGAACCCCCCCACCCCAAACCTCCTAACTCTACCATTATTCCTTGATGTAATTCCCTCTTTGTGCAATAAGTTAATTAGTACTTTTACAATAATTTTCTTCAAAATACTTTTCTATTAATCTTTCTCAATTATGTATGGCTGTAGTATCTTGCTTATGCTATTTTCTTCAACATTTTAATTTTTCTACTATTAACAAACTTAATTGGATTTTAAATAACACATCTGTAAATCCTACCACGAAGAAATATGGAAGAGTGTTGTTTGCCAAAGATTCTTAGCCTATCTGATGTTGATCCCTGTATACTCCTTTGTACCAGTCTTACTCATCCTAAACTTTGTAAAAATAATAATGGAATTAGTTTTTCTTTGGGCCTTTCTTAGAAGATGGTAGGCAGTGTCATTTGATTATTATTAATTAATTTTTTACAGTTACTTGGGCATACAAATGTGTCCTAGACATAATGAAAACTTCTAGTCTACCTTCAAATTTTTAGAAAATTACTACGTGAATACTCATTTGTGTAAATGAAAACGAAAACTCTCTTTTATGACCTCAAAGAACCTCAAAGAATGGCAAAATAGGTTTCAAGTTTCAGATATGTAAACATTGCTACATTAAACTGTTTGTTTTAAAGTAACATAAAATGTCATAAACTTACTTTTTTTGGATTAAGATACATTTTGTGAGAGCTGAACCATGATAAAAAGGAGAAACGCCTGATCGTCTTAATTTTTATGTGAATCGACTTTAATTAACATATAAATGTTTTGAAAAATATCACAGGGCCTCACTGGCAATGTCAAAGCTTTATTTCATTTTATTAAGATTAATTAATTGTTGAATCACCACATGTCCCATGTTTTACTTATAAGGCCAAACCAAAGAATTCTTTGCATCTATATCAGCATCCTTAGCTTTTCAGACAGGCATTTTAATCTCTTCTGATCTCTGAGATAAATATATTTTTTCACGTAATTATGTAATTACTCAATAGACCAGAGCAGATCCCATGGAGCCACTGCAGTGTGTGCTGTATAAATAATGTTCTGTTCTACCCCTGATAATTGGCCAGTAGAGCCTCCTAGGAGAGTTTTTATCCCTTGAATAAACACTACATAGGCAAGGAGGGTTGACTCAGTATTTTCTTCATTGGCAATGAAACAGAAGCACTTCACACTCAGTGCTTATTAGATCATTTTAAAAAGAACACAGTGCTTATGACCCTACAGCTCCCTCTGCTGGTTCACAAAGTTTAAAAAGTACAAGTAGAAAATAATGTTTAAGAAGTGGAACCCTTGCCGGGCGTGGTGGCTCACGCCTGTAATGCCAACCCTTTGGGAGGCCAAGGAGGACGGCTTGAGATCAGGAGTTTGAGACCAGTCTGGCTAACATGGTAAAACCCCTATCTCTACTTGAAAATGCAAAAAAATTAGCCGGGTGTGTGGCGCACACCTGTTGTCCCAGCTACTCCGGAGTCTGAGGCAGGAGAATCGCTTGAGCCCGGGTGGCAGAGGCTGCAGTGAGCTGAGACCGTGCCACTGCACTCCAGCCTGGGTGAAAAGAACCTGAGCCCCTTAGGAGAAAAATATGTCATTTTTGGTATGAAATGGGGTTAAACTAAGGGAATAAGCAACAGAAAGTCTTCTTATTTTTATGATTATTAAATTGTGAGCCACCTTACTCACCATCTGTCTTTAATCATCCAAGCATATGTATTCCTGTCGTGTCTTACTTTTTGCAGTAAAAAGCAGGCTCTAGATAGAGTAGGCAGGTATTTTTTTCAGGACAACCGTAACCAAAGTGAGCTTCATGAGTCTATCAGCCCCACATTAACAGCTCTATTCCTTCATAAGGCAGATTATTATTCATAGGGGTCCTTAAGGTACCTTTACTCCATATGAAGGAGTGGCAAATGAAAGATGTAAAGAAATGAACATCTTCTTCAGACTGACTAGTTAAAATCCTATGTATCTCATCTTTCTGATATTGATAACCACCTTCATTTGGTACGGGAAAAAATAGCAGAAAGAAGGAGAACTGGAGTAGGAGAAACGTGGGCTTGAATCCCAGCTCTGACAATTCAAATCTGTGTCGTCTTCTTCCAGTTATTTAACCTTTATACTCTTTCTTGTTCACATCTATAATTTGAAGATAACCTCAGAGAGTCATGTGAGTGAAAAATAAAGTAATATATGTATAGTGCCCAATATGTAGCAGGTGTGTTTTAATTGTAGTAAACACTACTCCTGAGAAATCTGGGTTTCTGCCCCAACCAACAGAATGACACAGAGAATGTCAAAGAGAAATCATTTCCCTTCCAAACATTCTGAAAGTATGGCCAGGCAACATACAGTCAATCATATAAAATACATAGTTTTTATTTAAAGAAGTTAATGTGATGTGACTTTTCCATAGTTACACAATCTGCAATCAAATTCTATTTATTTTTTGATATGGAGACAAGATCAGAAATATAGTTGACTCTACAGAATTGTAGGTTCCAGAAACCATTAAATCAGGCTATAAAAGAAGCTATGTAAACACTATATTCTGATGAAGAGGATTTAGATAATGAGTTGTAGAGGTTGTCATAGATTATTACAAATAAATTCACGTCTCTGATAGCTCTCTATTGCTACTTACATAGCAGATGTGTTTATTTTAGTATATTAGGTTTTGACAAGACAGTAAACAATGGTTTTATAATCTAATAGCTAGATAAGGAAAAATGGTTTGAGCCTAATGTCTTACGTATTCTGAACAACAGTTTGCCTTCAGGTAATGCTGCGCTGTGTCTTGTTCCCTATACACAGGTTAGGTCATTCTTTATTATCAGGTAATAAAAAATAATAGAGGAAGTATAAGCAGTGGCTAAGTGCAAAAATCTGAAGCCTGAGAATCTCAGTTTGAATTCTAGTTCCATTTAACTGTCTGACCTTGAGAGAGTGGGTTGGATGCCTCATCTGTGCTTCATTTTCTTTGCTTCTAAAATGGAGGTAATAAAAGTGTGCACTTTGTATCAGTTTTCAAGGACTGCCTTAATAGATTCCCACAAACTTGGTACTTAACACAAAAGAAATGTTTCCTCTCACAGTTGGTGAAGCTAGATGTCTAAAAACCAAGGTATCAGTAGGGCCATGCTCCCACTGAAGGCTGTAGGGAAGATTCCTTCCTTGCCTCTTCCAGTTTCTGGTGGCCCCAGGTGTTCTTCAGCAAGTCCTCAGGTGTTTCTGGGAGTGGAACTCGTTTCTGTCTCACTCTTCCCGTGGCCTGCTCTTCTGTGTCTCTGTGTGTTGTTTCCTCTTCTTGTAAGTACATCAGTTATTGGATTTAGAATATTGGCTACTTCATCCTGTCGAGCCTCATTTTAATTACATCTGCAAAGGCCTTATTTTCAAATAAGGTCACATTCTGATGTTCCAAGTGGACATGAATTTTTGGAGGACACTATTCAACCCAATACATACCTCACTGGTTTTGAGGATTAAATAGGTTGCTATACATAAAGCACTAGAACAATGCCTGTTGCAGAAGTTTTAGTTAAGGTGACTTCTAAAATGCCATGCATAGTTCAAGCCATTTCCAGTTTCACCTAAGTTACAGATTTCCCATTGCATATCTTCTCGACAGCACATCCCCCAATAGTCTGCTCTATCTTAAACTTAAGCCATCTAAAACTGCCTTTATGTTCATCCCCAAACGAAAACCAGGGGATCCTCCAATTCCTGTAAATGGTATCACTATCCCCCATTTGCTCAGATTCAAAGCCTCAACATCATTTATAACGACTTCGTCTTCTTTGTTGCCATAACTAATCAACCTTTTGGTCCTGTAGAGTGGATCTTGAGAGAAGTTCACTTGTTATATTCTCATTTCTCCTTTTCCAGGTCAGGCTTTCTTTAACATTCACCCAGATAAAAAGCAGAGTAATACCGTAACACAATACATCACGTAATACACATTCACACATATTTCAGATAGAAACAGAACTATATTTCCTCTAATTCAGACTATATGTCTATTTAATGACAATGAGAAATATGAAATATCCAGTAAGTTGGCCTTATTTAGTGGCCCTGCATACAAGCTGACTCATTGCAGAAAAGGAGAAGCTTTAAGGGGAAAAAAAAAGGAAAATATTAACTGCTTCTAACCCACAACATTTAAATAAAGCCATTTTAATATGCATTGATTATGTTCAGCCATTTTATAGCTCTGGCCTCAGTTTTCTTATTGGTAAAATATGACCTTGAGAAAGTTATTTAAATTCCCTAATCATAAAGGTACATACTCATAAGGTTTTCGTAAAAATGAAATGAAAAAACTGTATGTAAAATGCTTCAGCATAGTACTATGCCCCTCATCCATGGTCAAGAAATACTAGTCATTAGATATAATTTTAGCATCATATTGACATAAACTCTTTAAAACTCTTACACTTATTTGGTTGCTACTTCATTTGATGATTAACTTCATTTAAAGCATATTTCCAGGTTTGATTGCATTTTAACAAGAGAGTGAGGTTTGTGCTCAGTGTGTGCAGTTGTTGGGAAGAATTTGGTTTCTACATCTTTAGCTGCTATTGGGCAAATGGAGAGGTAAGTAGTATACTCTTTCTGAGCATAGTGCCAACTGGTGTCCATATTTATACAAAAGGGGGTTAAAGGGAACGAGAAAAAGCACACAGTAAGCATTCAACAAATAGCGGCTATCAGTATTGTATAATTTTTTTTCAAGTTTCAGTTTCCGGGTGAATACAAATGAGTGCCTTAACCTCTTTTCAGTCTTCTTTCAAAGAGAAGATTCAATACATTGCAGTTGCAGTAGTTATAGAAAGTAGCTAAACAGAGAAGAGTAGAAAATTGTGATAGAAAATTTGAAATCCTTATATTTCTTTTGCTAGATTAATCAACATATATTCAGCACCTATTGAGTGTTGATTCTGAAAAGCATTGATCAGATAAAAGTGATCATTTAGTAAAGCAAATGAGAGAAACTTAATTCTAAAATACAGCTATCAGAGTTAACTTACAAATGAACTTCGATAACTTCTGGATGCATTTTGTAAAAAAAAAGTATTGTGTCATATTAAAATATGTCATAATAAAAACTCCTGCACTTAGCAGGAATTACATTAACTATGTCTAATGTGTGCGGTTGAAAAGCCACTTCAACCACTCATCACGTACACCTCATATCCTGCCTGCATAAAAGGCTGTGCCCATTTCACTATGGATATAGATTTGTTTATCCTGCATATTACCAATTCCGTATGTCCACATAAAAAGTCATAAATATCAGGGAGAAAAGCTTCATGTGCAGAAACTTTGTAGTTAATGGGAAAGCAAATACCAAGTTCTGACTACATACCTCCCTATGCCTATTTTTTTTAAAAAAAGGTCTTTTTTATTCCTGAAGCTTAAAGAAATAAACAAAAGCTATTACTTTGACAAAGCAGACACCAACATAATGAGATTTGAGCAGGATTCTGTATTTCCCTTTATCTACCACTCTGTTTTCCATAAGGGGACACAAAGACATTTTTTACACTTAATCTTGTGAGCTAGTTAGGAATTCTCACTTCACCCATGCAAAGAATAGAAACAAACTCATAAAGCAACAGATGAATGCATGCATGTGAAATTGGAAGTCATTTGCATTTAAAGTGATAGAACTTAGGTAAACAGAGGGGATGCATTTAGGATAATATTTTCTTTCAGGACTCAAAGTTCTCAAAAGAAAATATCTCACCTGGTTTTCAAGCAGGTTTCAAATTATGTTTGACAAACATGGGACATCGTCTCTAAAGCATGTGTGCACGTGTCTGGCATAAAATCAAGGGTGGAAAGTTACCCTGAAGGTCAAACGGACAAGGTTTTCTGAGTTTCTGCTTGGCCTGGTAAGACAGCCTTGGTCATGGAGGAGGCCTGATTCTGAAGACTGGGTCAATTCTGTCACTTGCATTTGTTTACTGCCCTGCCTTCGCTGGCTCTGCATCTGAGTCGCGGAAGAACATAGACTCAATAAGTACTGAATATATGTTGATTATTCCAGCAATAGAAATATAAGAATTTCAAGATTGATCTATTTTAACAAAAGCACTGTTAAACATTGAAGACCTAAGTAATATTACTAGAGGATCTCTCTGATCAACTATAACATACAGGCAGAAAGGGCATCCTTTCCTGTGTTGCCCCAGACCACCCTTTGACTTGGTCACAGAAGGATTCCAGTTAGCAATGCTTTATGGAGCAAAAAGGTACCTGTTGGGAAGCTGCAACACTTGGTGGAGTCTAATAATACCCAGCGGGAGACCACGGTACCCGGTGGGATAGAATCAACACAGCCCAACTGGAATACAGATATTTGGGAACACTGTTAGATATGTATACTCAGAAAAGCCTTGGAACATGACCAGAGCATAATAGATTCTTAAAGGGGCCTTAGGTGAGTCCTAGAGTCAAAAAGAAGTTTGAGGTATTTGTGATATTAGAATCTCATAAATTCTCCAGGCTGCTAAAGTCTAGAAGTCAAGTTACAAAAGAAAGATTAGATTATTGTCATACTTTCAATTGTGTACAAGTTTTTGGTTTCAGTCTTCAAAACAAAGATTTGAATAATTAGGTTGAAAGTGAATTTTTTCATATATATTTATTTTTATTTCAATAGTTTTAGAGGTACAGGTGGTTTTTGGTTACACGGATGAATTGTATAGTGGTGAAGTCTGAAATTGTGATGCTGCCATCATACAAGTGCTGTATATTGTAACTGATATGTAGTTTTTTAGCTCTCACCCCTCTCTCATCCTGCCCATTTCTGAGTCTCCAATGTCTGTTATACAACTCTGTGGCATAATGTATACCCTTGTGGACCTATAGCTTAGCTCCCTCTTGTAATCAGGAACATATGGTATTTGGCTTCCCATTCCTGAGTCACTTCACTTAGAATAATGGCCTCCAACTACATCCAAGTTGTTGCAAAGGATATTTTTTTTCTTTTTTAATGCCTGAGTAGTATTCTACAGTGTATATACACCACATTTTCTTTATCCGATCATTGGTTGATGGGCACTTAGTTTTGTTCCATATCTTTGTAATTGTGAATTTTGTGCTGTGATAAACACATGTGTACAGGTGTCTTTTTGCTATAATGACTTCTTTTCCTTTGGGTAGATAACCATCAGTGAGATTGCTAGATCAAATGATAGATCTACTATTAGTTCTTCGAGAAATCTCCATACTGTTTTCCATAGAGGTTGTACTAATTAAAATTTCCACCAGCAGTGTATAAGCGTTCTCTTTCACCACATCCAAATCAGCATCTGTTACTTTTTAACTTTTTAATAATTACCATTCTGGCTGGGGTGAGGTCGTATTTCATTGTGGTTTTAATCTGCATTTCCCTGATTATTAGTGATGTTGAACATTTTAAAATGTTTGTTGGTCATTTATGTATATCTTCTATTGAGAGCTATCTATTCATGTCATTTGCCTAATTTTTAATGGGATTATTTGTGTTTTTTTTTATTTTATTTGTTTGAATTTCTTGCAGAGTCTTGTTACTAGTCCTTTGTTGGAAGCACAGTTTGCAAGTATTTTCTCCCATTCTGTGGGTTGTCTGTTTACTCTGATAATTATTTCTTTTTCTGTGCAGGAGCTTTTTAGTTTAATTAGGTCCCGTTTATTTATTTTTGTTTTTGTTGCATTTGCTTTAAGTGTCTTAGTCATAAATTCTTTGCCTAGCCAATGTCCAGAAGAGTTTTTCCTAGGTTTTATTTTAAGATTTTTATGATTTCAACTGTTAGATGTAAGTCTTTAATCCAATTTGAGTTGATTTTTGTATGTGGTGAGAGAGAAGGACCCTGTTTCATTCTTCTACATGTGGCTATCCAGTTTTCTCAGCGCCATTTATTAAGTAGGGTGTCCTTTCCCCATTTTATGTTTTTGTATGCTTCATTTAAGATCAGCTGGCTGTATTTGGTTTTATTTCTGGGTTACCTATTCTGTTTTATTGGTCTATGCATCTACTTTTATGCCAATACCATGCTGTTTTGGTTACTATAGCCTTGTAGTATAATTTGAAGTTGGCTAATGTGATGCCACCAGATTTGTTCATCTTACACAGAGTTACTTTGGCTATTCATTTTTGTTCTTATTAATTTAAGGATTGTTTTCTTAATTCTGTGAAAAAATGATGTTGATGTTTTGATAGGAATTGCATTGAGTCTATAGATTGCTTTGGGTAGTATGGCCATTTCACAATATTGATTCTTCTAATTCATGAGCATGAGATGTATTTCCATTTGTTCGTGTCACCTATAATTTTTTTCAACAGTATTTTATAGTTCTTGTAGAGATCTTTTACCTCCTTGGTTAAGTATATTCCTAGGTATTTTATTTTATTTTTTGGCAGCTATTGTTAGAGATTAAATTGTTGATTTAATTCTCAGCTTGGTCATTGTTGGTGTGCTACTGATTTGTGTACATTGCATCATATAGTGATACTGATTTGTGTACATTGATTTTGCTGAATTCATATAAATCTAGGAGTATTTTGGATGGATCTTTGGGATTTTCTAGGTATATAATCATATCATTAGCAAACAGAGATTGTTTGACTTCCTGTTTTCCAATTTGAATGCCCTTTATTTCTTTCCCTTATCTAATTGCTCTGGCTAGGACTTCCTGAAGGTAAAACTTATTTTTTTCTTATCTATTTTACTTTGCAAGTTTTCCCTCTGTACATCCATCTGTATACACATAAACACACACACTAGTCTCTAAAAAAGTAAAATGTTATGAATATTCATCCTTTAATTGTAGAAAATGTGTAGTTACAAATTTTTTTCTAAAATGTTTATCAAAAGTATAAGTAGCTTTACCCTTCAGCCCCCATTCGAGTATGAACGTGAATATGGGTGCCAAAGATGGTACTTCTAGAAGATAATTAAATTCTGGTTCAATTTACTTTAGACAAAATGGGAAATGTCTTATCTTTTGTTGCCTCTAGCTTTTCACACTAAAAACAAACCCTAAAGAATTTGCTGCATGTAATGTTTTTGCTGCCTAAGGCAACTGTCTGCTCTGGCTATACAACAGAATCTATTCTAGTTATATTTGTTGAAGTTCAAATATTTGTAGTTTATTTTCAATGAAGAAATGACACTGCAACATGCCACGGGGGAAACTTGTAAAATGGGGCGGGTGAGCAGGGAACAGATAGGAAAGCTAATCACATAACACACATGTTTGTTCTACTTTGCCCTCCAGAATATCTTAGTTTTCTGGTCAAATGGAAATGTATTGATAAATCCATAAGAAAACCCCTAGATGGGTCATAAAGTAAAAAATTTTAAATGATATCAC
This sequence comes from Homo sapiens, assembly GCF_000001405.40. Lineage (NCBI taxonomy): Eukaryota > Metazoa > Chordata > Mammalia > Primates > Hominidae > Homo > Homo sapiens. Next base: position 182,085,968 of record NC_000002.12, read on the forward strand.
AAAATAACACAGAAGAAATATGTATACTAATCAGATATTAGATCTGGAAATATAAATATATTTACAAAATGTGTTTAAAATATAAGTGCAAAGTTAAGATTTTATAAAGAAAAAAACATGAGAAACAGGATTATAGATACCAAGAGGAAAATATTGCAATAGCTAAAACATTATTGAAAGATAAATGACAGACTAGAAAAGAAGTAGAAAAAAATGTTATCATCATTATATCAAGAGCTGTCACAAGTTAAGCTGTCATAAGCTAACACTTTAAAGGAAAGATGAATAAAAGTTGTAAACAGGCAATTTATAGAAAAATGATTGTGTTCCCAAAATAAAAAAGTTAAATCTCATTTATAATTGAAAAAATATAAAGCAAAGCAATCTACCAATTTTGAATTTTTCTTTAAAAGGATCATACTTAAACTTTGTAAGAGTGTGGGAAAAGATACACTCATGCATTGTTACAGAAATGGAAATCGATACCACTTTTTCAAGAAACAGAAAAACAAGTGACCTCTTGTTATAGGATTCTGCATTTATGAATCTGTTATAAATGTGATGTGAGGAAATTGCATACCAGAAAACATTAAGTGAAAAAAGCTGGATTCATAATTACCTGTATATTTGTATTATCTGCTGTATGATCTCAATTTTATAGAGAAAACGGAAGAAAATACAGCAAATATGCACAATAGTTACCAGTATGAGAGACTGTTTTACACCAAGATAGGAACTTAAGAATTAAAACTATAAGGCTCTATATATGTACACTATACTAATGAATACATATATGTATCCCTGATATGAAACATATAAATTCATTAATTAACACAGTAACTGTCTGTGTAAGACCTGCTATATGATTGGTCTGACAGAGATCTTAAACTTAACACGTCCCTGACAGAAACCCAGATTTTCTTCTGTCCCCTACCAGTATCTTCACTACAGGGGAGAAAATACCAAAAAAAAAAACAAAAACACTTCTTTCTCTCAGTTAATGGCCTCTTCATCCTTCTAGTTGCACAGGCCAAACACTTTAGTCTTTTTTATATTTCTTTTTAACTCTCACATTTCACATCCAAGCTACCAGGAAATCCCACTGGCTCTACCCTCAAAAAAATATACAATTACTTCTCACAAAGCCAGTTGTTATCATTGTTGTTTGAGCTGTCGATAGTTTTCACCTGGACTACTGCAGTAACCTCTAAATGGGCCGTATTGTACACCTTTGTACACTGCAGTTTATTCTTAATACATCAGAGTGATTCTTTATAGTCCTCGTAATGCCTGCAAGGCCCAGGAGCTGTAGCCTGTGACCTGTCTGACCTCTTGCCTGCCACTCTCCCACCAGCTTGCTCTGCCTGAAGCACCTGGCTTCTTTGTTGTTCCTTAAAAATGCCAGTCACCCACTTGCCTTTAGGGTCTTTGCACAACTGCTGAATTCTGTTCCTCTACTCTATATTTTCCCATGCTGCTTTCATCTTTTTAACAAATTTTATCATTTACTTATTAATCACATATGATGCTTAATATCTGGACTTTCCCACTAAAAATAAACTCCATAAGGTCAGGAATTTTTGTTTTTTGTGTGTGTGCATATTCCAGTATACCAAAGTATGCCTGGCACACAGTAGGTACTCAGGAAATATCTGTTGAGTGAATGAATGGACTCTGAGTGACTGTGACTATAAGCTCCTTGAAAAAGTGACCATGTCTGTTTTGGTCATTAATGGATCCCCAGATCCCAGCACACTATTTAGCACTTGGCACTGAATAAATGAAGGAGAATTAGATGTGGGTTGTTCAACCGTGACACAACTTTTGGTCAGAGTCCATAGTTTATAATATCATGTATTTTTCTTTGTTGCTCAAAATTGGAAATACTTACAAAGCTTTATAAGCTACACAAAGGTAATGCATAATAGTTAATGAGCTCTCACAGGGCATAACCATAGGCTAGGAAGTGGAGCGATGGCATTCTAGTGCTGCAAATGATGCAATGAAAATGACCTGATCCAAATGCTGTCACCATCTTCCAGAAGAAGAATGATCTCTTGCTGGCTTTCTTTTAAGTAATAAGATTATTTTTCATAGCTTTCAGTAGTTTTTTTTTTTAACTTTCATGGAAGTTTCCCTCTGACTTTTTATTTTGAAAAATTTAAAGCCTACATCCATTTCCCATCTGCAGACAGACACTGCATGGTATTTAAAGATTTACGGGTAGATCTCTTAGGTAATTGCCTTGAATGTTTCCCTCTGTGGTTTGCTGGGATAACCAGTGAAGATGCAAGCAAATCTTATAACAATTCTCCATTTCCTACTCAGGGCCTTTACTATCAGTAGATTTTGAGCTCAATGCTTTAGGCTATTAAAAACAAATACTTCTAACATGTTCTCGGACCTCTTGCTGTGAAAATCTTCTAGTCAATGATTAAATTTCAAGAGCCTGAACCATCACTAAACTAGTAACCATTGTTGGATAAATTTGGGAAGAGGTTTGTTGATGCTCATCTAAGCAGCCCCATATGTGGAGTTTGTTTTTCTCCTTGGTTATCAGAGTTTGTGGGTAGCAGTCAAGGCGATGGGGACATAGAATGAGGCTGTAACCAAGGAATACATGTTGGTGACTTCCATGACTAGTAAGAGTTTGGCAGTGAGGCAAGGCTAATGGGGGGTTTGGCAGTTTTCTTATCACTTGATTCTTTTTGCCTTGGAAAGTTGCATCGGTATTCCAACTACACTGACTATTTCTTTTTCTCTACTTCTTAGTAATGTGTTCTTCCCTTAGTCCTATGTGTTTGGTTTAATGTAATTAAGACTAATACAAACCAATTTGCTAATAGGATTACTAGTAGCAAGCACACTATAAATATGCTTAGCCTAAATGAATCACAATCATTCCCTGGTGCACGCAACATTCCTTATTCAACATTCCTTATTCAAATTCATTTACTCTATCTTAATAAAATCCCAATAGGAACTAGAAACTCTAGGCCTTTTAAACAGAGTCAGATAACCTCAAATGCTAGAGAGGAAGAATAAATAGAAATTTGGACCTTCTTTTATCTAGACAGCCAGGTCAAACTGGCCCTGTGCAGGACCACCATTTATTTCTTGGTTTTGTAAACTGAATCCTGTGATTACAGTGGAAATCCAGCTCTGTTCAAGAATTTTTTTCAAAGGCATGTCCAGCTGGAGCCAGACAATTCTGAAATAGATCCCAGCTGTTTGGATCATCTGAACCCGAGAATAACTAAATGCTGCCACTGAAAGCACTATCAGTAGTAAATTCTCATTTGAAGTTGTAGGTAGCTAGAATGCCAAATCCTTAAAGACCACCCCTATTTAGCAGCAGCTTGGAAAGGGTAGTAGAAGGAAGAGATTAATTCTTACTTGTGGTTTTAACTGGCCCAACTACCACAATCCATTTGGTAACTAAAATTTGTTCCAAGCATGAGCATGCTTAGATGGGCATATTTCAAAGTTGGAAAAGCTGGCCCTTTTCTAGGAAATCTTCAGATTTTTCTAACTTTGAGTTAAATGTTTCATGTATATCTTCAATAATCATAATTGTTTATGGATTGTGTATTTTGTCTCATATTTAACTTCTTTATCTTTTTATAAATGCAAGCAGGTATAGATATTTCCATAGCTAAAGTCTCATTTTCATTACACATACAAAACAGGTATTATTTAAAACAACGATATTCAAAGAGTAACATGGTAGATAACTAGAGGGTAGTTTCCTTTATTCACAATAATCATCACTACACTGTTAATTAATCTGATTGTATTTTGTCTCAGTCATATGCTTTGTTACTAATAAGATAAATAACAGTACATATCAATTTCTAAAAATTAGGTTTTATAATTTTGTTCTCCAGGTAAATAAGCCTCATAAGTTTTACTCTGTACTCATCATTATCTTCTAATGGCATAAATATTTTACAGCAATTTTAATATATTTAAATACAATTTTTAAATGCTTATAATATATTATCTTTTTATACTTACATATTCATAAGTAATATATTTGAATTTGGTTTTCACCTGAAAGTCTAACCAAAAGCAAATCTTTTCAAATATAAATATTTAGTCTCTCAAGAAATAGATTCATTTTCCTTTAGTATACGTTCTGTACACTTAATTTGTTCATTCCTATCTATGTAGAATTAATAAACCTATCCTACAAAAATACTCTGTGTACAGATGAATGCTAATTCTAATTGGGCAGCCGTTTGGAACTAAAGCCAAAATTCATTTTATTACCTGATATTATGTCAAACTACAGTTAAACAATTCTCTTGAACTATAAATTCTGTGTGTGTGTGTGTGTGTGTGTGTGTCAGAGAGAGACAGAGAGCAAGAGAGAAAAACTGAGAGAGAGACAGAAAGAGATGAAGCTGTGTAGTTCGATATGCTTTCTTAAAATAAGGCTGTGGGGAGGTAATTGGTAAAGAATGTTTTCCCAATCTTAAACAAGTAGTAAATTAGGTGATATTTTCTATTTATAACCGGTAAAAACCAGACAAGAATTTCTTTCTGCTACAACTTGCTGAACAGAGCATTTAAAACCTTTAATGACTAGATGAGTTCATTTTCTTTAAATGCTGTGCTTAATATTTAAGCTACATCTTATTTGAAATGTTAGTTTAGGATAAATAAATAAAACATTCCAGATGCAATCTTCCAGCAACGACATTCCAGCAATTTCCCTGAGAATAAAGTCAGAGAATATTCCAGGTTTTGAACGTCAAGTGTTTTCAGATGATAACTAGTAAGTTTTCCAAAACATCTAAAGTTTCAAACAAAAACTTTTAAAAAGCCTTTTCAAAAAAAGAAAAGAAACCAAATTCTCCATTTACACATGTACAGTCTTCACAGTTGAATGAGAATATAAACCATTACTTAAAAACATAAAAACTTTAAAGTTTGAGAATAAAAATAGACAATCTACTTCCTAGGGCAAGTGGAATTGTCCACAAGTCCTACCTTCCTTTCCCAGAAACAAGTAATCAAAACTGTTAACCAAGACCAGGATTAAAAAAGAATAAATGAGCTAATAGTTTTGGACATGTTGAGTTTATAGTGCCTGTATTGATGAAGGACTTTTCTTCAACCTTAAAGGAGTAATAAATTACCTTGAGCAAATAATTTCACTTAAATCTATGTAGGAAAAGCAGAAAAACAGAGCACAAAGGAGACTGAGAAGGAGAATTAATTAAAAGTAGTAGGGAGACTGCCCCACACCCAGAAGAATTATATCTCAGAAGCCAAGGGAAGTCAAATATTCAGGAAAAAGTGAATACTTAACAGTGGCAAAGACTGAAATATGATGAAATATTAAAATGTAAGAAACACTAGTTGGGTTAAGTGAATCAAAGTCTATCTATAAACAATTTCAGTAAAGAGATTGGGGTGTAAATCACACTGGATAGGTGGATGAGTGAACAGGCGGTGAGAAAGAGAAAGTGGAGCCAGCTGCAAAGACAGCTGTTTTTCTTAAAAAAAAAATAATAAAAAAAAAAGGTAAATACACTAGTAAGAGGAATGTGCAGGGTTAAAGGATTTTTTTATTTGCTTGCTTATTTCTAGGATAGAAGATACTTGAGTTATGTTTTGTAAACTGAAGGGAAGAAGGGAGTAGAGAGGATACAAAGAAGTTCTACAAAACCCTGAGGAGACTGGAGTTAGGATGTGTATGGACATCCCACCCGGCACCATCAGCACTTCCAATGACCCCATGCCCTGCTTGTTTTTCTTTTCTCTGTAGCACTGATTACCTTCAATAGTGCTATATACCTCACCTATTTGTTCCAATTATTCTTTCTCTCACTTACCTTTCCACCCTCAATCTCCTTTGGGATATTCTCATTTCCCACCATTTCCACTTACCCTTTAGATGCACCTGACTTCCCAGGGCTTTATAAAGTTTACAGATCTTTGTCTTTTGTTCTTTCTTATATTTTAAGCCCCTAGAACATAGTGACACTCAATAATTATGTGTTAAATAAAAATATGTTGGATTGTAGAATTTAAAAAAATGTAGGGATGAGTCTGAAAGTCTGCATTTTTTACCTACAAAGTAGGAATAATTAAGCTGCATGGAAGGAGGGCTAGAGAGAGTGTATTAGTCCGTTTTCATGCTGCTGATAAAGACATACCTGAGACCAGGCAATTTACAAAAGAAAGAGGTTTATTGGACTTACAGTTCCACATGGCTGGGGAGGCCTCAGAATCATGGTTAGCAGCAGACAGAAAGAGAACTTGTGCAGAGAAACTCCCATTTTTAAAACCATAACATCTGTGAGACCCATTCATAATCATGAGAACAGCATGGGAGAGACCTGCTCCTATGATTCAACCATCTCCCACCGGGTCTCTCCCACAATATATGGGAATTATGGGAGATACAAGATGAGATTTGGGTGGGGACACAGAACCAAATCATATCATTCAGCCCCTGGCCCCTCCCAAATCTCATTTCTTCACATTTCAAAGCCCATCATGCCTTCCCAACAGTCTCCCAAATTCTCAACTCATTTCATCATTAACTCCAAAGTCCACAGTCCAAATTCTCATCTGAGACAAGGCAAATCCCTTCCACCTATAAGCCTGTAAAATCAAAAGCAAATTATATACTTCCTAGATCTAATGGCGGTACAGGCATTGGTAAATACAGCCATTCCAAATGGGAGTAATTGGCCAAAACAAAGGTGCTACAGGCCCAATGCAAGTCCAAAATCCAGCAGGATAGTCAAATCTTAAAGCTCCAAAGTGATCTCCTTTGACTCCATGTCTCACATCTAGGTCACACTGATGCAAGAGGTAGGTCCCCATAGTCTTGGGCAGCTCTATCCCTGTGGCTTTGCAGGGTACAGCCTCCCTTCTGGCCGCTTTCACAGGCTGGCATTGAGTATCTGCAGCTTTTCCAGGTGCACAATGCAAGCTGTCAGTGGATCTACCATTCTGGGGTCTGAAGGACGGTGGCCCTCTTCTGACAGCTCCACTAGTTGATGCCCCAGCAGGGACTCTTTGTGGGGGCTTTGACCCCACATTTCCCCTCTGCACTGCCGCAGCAGAAATTCTCCATGAGGGCCCTAACCCCTGCAGCAAGCATCTGCCTGGACATCCATGCATTTCCATACATCCTTTAAAATCTAGGTGGAGGTTCCCAAACCACAATTCTTGACTTCTGTACACTATCAGGCTCAACACCATGTAGAAGCTGCCAAGGATTGGGGCTTCCACCCTCTGAAGCCACAGCCTGAGCTCTACATTGGCCCCTTTCAGCCACAGCTGGAGTAGCTGGGACCCAGGGCACCAAGTCCCTAGGCTGCACACAGCATGGAGACCCTGGACCTGGCCCACGAAACCACTTTTTCCTCCAGGAAAAAGGCTCCAGGCCTGTGATGGGAAAGGCTGCTGAAAAGACTTCTGACATGTCCTGGAGACATTTTCCCCATTGTATTGGGGATTAACATTCAGCTCCTCGTTACTTATGCAAATTTCTCCAGCCAGTTTGAATTTCTGTTCAGAAAATGCGATTTTCTTTTCTATTCCATTATCAGACTGCAAATTTTCCAAACATTTATGCTCTGCTTCCCTTATAAAACTGAATGCCTTTAACAGCACCCTAGTCACCTCTTAATGCTTTGCTGCTTAGAAATTTCTTCTGCCAGATACCCTAAATCAACTCTCTCAAGGTCAAAGTTCCACAAATCTTTGGCAAAAGCAAAATGCCACCAGTCCCTTTGCTAAAACATAATAAGAGTCACCTTTGCTCCAATTCCCAATAAGTTCCTCATTTCCATCTGAGACCACTTCAGCCTGGACATTATTGTCCATGTGACTTTCAGCATTTTGGTCAAAGCCATTCAACAAGCCTCTAGGAAGTTTCAAACTTTTCCACATTTTCCTGTCTTTTTCTGAGCCCTTCAAACTGTTCCAACTCCTGCCTGCTACCCAGTTCCAAAGTCTCTTCCACATTTTCTGGTATCTGTTTAGCGGTGCACCACTCTGCTCATACCAATTTATTGTATTAGTCCATTTTCACACTGCTGATGAAGACATACCAGAGACTGGGCAATTTACAAAAGAAAGTCATGATCTTCAGTAGGCTAGTCATTATTGGACTTACAGTTCCACATGGCTGGAGAGGCCTCACAATCTTGGTGGAAGGCAAGGAGGAGCAAGTCACATCTTATGTGGATGGTGGCAGGCAAAAAAAGAGCTTGTGCAGAGAAACTCCCACTTATAAAACCATCAGAGACCCATTTGCTATTACAAGAACAGCATGGGAAAGACCTGCCCCCATAATTCAACCATCTCCTACCAGGTCCCTCCCACAACACGTGGGAATTACGGGAGATACAAGATGAGATTTGGGTGGGAACACAGAGCCATACCATATCAGAGAGATTTCAAATATACTGAAAGTTAAACATTCAGTACAGACTGGTCCCCAATATGACAATTTTTCAAGTTTAGCCTGGTGGGAAAGCTATATGAATTCAGTAGAAAAAGTACTTTAAATTTTGAATTTTGATCTCTTTCCAGGCTAATGACAGGAAGTATGATAGTCTCTTGTGATGCTGGGCAGTGGCAGTGAGCTACAGCTCTGGGTCAGCCATATGTTCAGGAGGGCAGACAACCGACAGTCTAGAGTGAACTGTGTTGTGATACGATTTTGCCCAACTGTAGGCTAATGTAAGTGTTTAGGCTGGAGGTTGCACTTTTTTGAATTGCAGATGTGTAAAAAATCAGACCTTGCGATGACCTTGAGCAGTAGGATATATATAACTCCCACATGCTTAGTGTTCCAATAATGGAACAGTAGGCATAAATGGATTAAGGTAGGCCAGGCCAAGCTATGATCTTCAATAGGCTAGGTATATTAGATGCATTGTTGACTAGTGACGTTTCAACTTACTATGGGTTTATCACAATGTATCCCCATTGTAAGCCAAGGAGTATCTATGTATAGATCAAAGGTCATTCGTGGAAGCTCATGAACCCCATTTAAGAAGTGGCATGTTGGCCAGGAGCGGTTGCTCATGCCTGTAATCCCAGCACTCTGGGAGGCCGAGGCAGGCGGATCATGAGGTCAGGAGTTGAAGACCAACCTGGCCAACATGGTGAAACCCCATCTCTACTAAAAATACAAAAAAAAGAAAAAATCAGCTGGGTGTGGTGGCATGGACCTGTAGTCCCAGCTGCTGTGGAGGCTGAGGTGGGAGAATCGCTTGAACCCCAGAGGCAGAGGTTGCAGTGAGCTGAGATCGTGCCACTGTATTCCAGCCTGGGTGACAGAGCGAGACTCCATCTCAAATAAAAAAATTAAAAAAAAAGGAGTGACATGGTTTACTTACCCTATATAATCTTTTTAAAATTAGCTGCTATCATTAAACATTATTTAACATGACATTTTAGATATTTGGCTTGTCTCAGAAAGTAAGAAGATGTAGCCATATGGTCGTCATTTACAAAGTTCCCACCATTCATTATTGTATCCCTAAACCCTAAGTTTAATGTCAGCTGTCTTTTATTATTAAGCTTGTGCTATTGTCTTTTAGTGTGGCTCCTTTATCACTTCTGTCACTCCCTTGGCCTCTTTATGTGGTAGTGTCTATAATCCATAATATTGGTAGTTTTCAATGTATAAATAAGTTGTCTTCCAATGGGGCTGCAGAGGAGAAAAAGTAATATCTTTTCTTTACCCATCAGATGGGTAGTAACTGGCCAGGAGCAGTGGCTCATGCCTGTAATCCTAGCACCTTGGAAGGCCAAGGCAAAAGGATCCCTTGAAGTCAGGAGTTTGAGACCAGCCTGGCCAACATAGTAAAACCCCATCTCTTAGTTGGGCATGGTGGCCTGTGCCTGTAGTCCCAGCTACTCAGGAAGCTGAAGCAGGAGAATCTCTTGAATCCAGGAGGTGGAGATTACAGTGAGCCAAGATCGCGCCACTGCACTCCAGCCTGGGCAACAGAGCAGGACTCTGTCTCAGACACACACAAAAAAACTCTAAAAAAAAAAAAAAGGTAGTACCTGATACCCCATAAAGAAAGACAGATTAAAAAGACAAAAGCATAATACATTTATTTAAATGAAGTTTTACAAGCCTTCAGAAATGAAACCCGAAATTCTAGAGAAAACTGTGTATTTTTATGCTGTCTGATGAAAGAAGTAGGTAGTTGTGGGAAAACATAATTGGACAAAAAGGGCTATAATTTAATGGTAAAAACGGGGGAATTTAGCAAGCCTTGTTTGTTCAGATCCTTTTTGGCTTCTGGGTACAGGGTGGGACTTCTCTGGATTGAGGGTCATATGACCCTACTTTCAGGCAAGGAAGGTCAGAGAATTTCTTTATGACCATGTTTCAGTGGAGAAAGGCAGGAGAAAGACAGAGTGACCTTGCTTCTGTGGATTTCTGATTCGTTAAGGTGCCATCTTTTGGGGTATTGTATTCTGAGTCCGTACACGGCTTTCCAATGCCCTTAGAAATAGATCAAATTTCTTAGCTTAGCTAATCAGGCCCTACATGATCTGGTGGCTCCGACTCCCGTGACCTCCCCTCGCAAATCTACACCTGGCTTTAAATGCGCTCCTATTTTCTATCTTCAGTGGTCCTTTTTCTTGTTCTTAAATAGGCCAAGCAGCTTTTAGCCTTTATATTTTCAGTTTACTTTACTGGGATTCCCTTCCTCCAGATGATTAACATGGCTGGTTCCTTTGTTATCTCCCAACAGTGAGAGTGAAGGCCATAGTTCTCTTTCCGCAAAACCCTGATTCCTGTCCTAATTTTGCCACCCACACACACATTTGTTATCAAGTAGCTCCTTCTGTCAAAATCATGCAAGTTGTTCTGAAATTTCAATACAACTCAGCCTTCTGTCCTTTCAAGTTCTTCTAACTTCCATGAAAAGCTTGCTCAAGAAACAGCTGACAATTTCTTGGTGTCAGGATTAATTTAAACTTTTAGTCAGAATCAGGTGACAAAGACTGCACACAGAACAGACTGGAATCCTAAAACTGGGTTGCAGTCTGAAGAACATACACTATTACTAGACTTTTAAGCCCATTTATGCAAATGCAAGGGTACCTATTCGATATGTCCAGCTAACAGACATATCTCTGATACCACTCATTTCTCCAAAGAAAAATTATTTCTAGCACACTATATGCTAATTAATAAACTTTCTGGTCTTGATTGGAGTTACAAATATTGCTCTTCTGGAGGAGGTTTTTCATTAGAGTCCTTTAAATGTTCACTAACTAGTCCTCGAGTGGTAGTTTTCATTAATGTACTTGAAATATTTACCTGCCACCCCTAATGTGCTAGGTTAAAACACAGACTCACTCCTGAACACATACACTCACACATCACACATTCTCTCTTCTGATTTGTCTTCTAGTAAGTTATAGAAAACATAAGTATTGGGAATCGCTTCTGTATAGTACAAATGAGTGAGAATCCTTCCACTGCTACCCCCACCACAAACAACCACATACACACCAGTTCTAAGTGAATTGACAGGGGAATAAAAACTTAGTTTACTACTGGGATGGGGACTAAGAATCATTGGTTCACCCCTTTAGTCTTTCCATGAAACTGGTGAGATTTAAAGAAATTGTTTCTGGCACCTCCCATTTAACTTGGAATGTATTTTGTGACAGAAACAAGGCCTGTCTTAATTTGGCTTGAAATGGATCTGTTGGTTGTGCATTTCTGTATCTTTATGTGTTAAGTAGCTATTTCAGTCTTCCCAGAATGACTCTCATAAAACCTAGATTATGATTCTCCACTTCTTCTCTTCCTGCTCTCTCAGTAAATCATTGCACACAGGTGTACATGAGCAATTTATAATATACTGATCATTTTAAAGAATAAACTGAAGAGAGGGTTTCATATCAAATACTCCAAGGCAAACTCTTCTAAAATCATCTTGAGACATATCTCTTCTTTCAGGTCTCTTTTACCTCTCACGTGATCAAACAGATGTTTTTTTCTTCCTCTTTTCTTCCCCCAGACACTGCTCAGCTTCTGCTTAGTCCTTCTCTTCTTCTCTTCCAAAAGAAAAAGTGTTTCTTTTCTTTTACACGTGTAATAATCCTACCATGTCTCCATATCCTAGATGACAATTGATAACAGACACCCCCAACCCCTGGCCTCTACCATGAACAAGTTTATTGAAACAGCAAATGTAGGCCTTTCCTTCTAGAAGATTTGTATACCAGCAGCCTAGAAAAAAAAATTCCTCACACTGTTGCATTTGTACTTGTAGAAATATAGATTGAGTTCTCTGCACCACATGTATTTTTTGAAGCAGAAACTCATTTTAATTTGGAGATTTCTTGAGTAATAGAAACAAAAAATGCTCATTAACTTTGGATTTTCTTCAAATGTGATGGATGTGGTTTCTTATGATGATATTTCATGTATAACAAAAAGGCACAAGCTATTCTGTCTCAACACACACTAATCTAAAGTTATTTATGTAAAGAGTATTAACTTAAGAACAAATATCTAAAATAAGTAAGAGATCACCACAAGCTTTCTAAAATAATTTTGTTGAAAAAAATGAAAAATGTGATTCTAATAATCTACTTCTTCGACAGATGTAATCTGTCTCCCTACATTCTTCTGGTGATCATATTTTCTAGAAAAAAAATCAGAATTAAGAATATTTGTAATTTTGTAATAATATTAATGCAAGAAGTAGTTCAGATATTGGATTTCCTGGGACATTTCCATAATGTATGGGAAAAGTACTTCAGAACACTTGAAATTAGTACTGTCTTTGAAATATGTCTGCCTTATTCCAAAGTAAGCCCTACAAATAGAAAACAGGAAGCTATCTAAATATTATGATCTAAGGGACAGTACAAAGTCCTATGCCTTGCATTATCTTTACCTATCATAGTCTTTCTCAATGCCTGGACTAAAATTGCCATTACTTGAACGTTTCTTCTCAGGTATGAGAAAGTAATCTGTATTCTTCAGAAAAATATTGTTAAAATGTTTACTATTTTTTATTGCAAGGTGATGGGGGAGGTCACCAAATTAGTAATAACTTGTGACTAGAAAAATTAAGATCCTGGCAGAATGAGAAATTACACCATGGGGTGGGGGAAAACTAGATTTGAATTCAGGAACTTTGAGTTCCAGTGCTAGCTGTGATGTTGACTTGTCAAGAGATCATGGGCAACTCATGTAATCTTCAGCAGCCACAATTTCTCCAGTTTTGGAATAGAGTTAGTAGCAGTAGTACTTCCCAGTTTGATTTTTGCCTTAAAAAATTGAAAAGTGCTTTAGGATCAGGAAACTAATAGGGGAAGCAGAAGGGAATCGACTTTGGGTTGGCTAATGCTAATCATAAATATTGATAATATAGAATGAAGGTGCAAAGGAAAGAAGGAGGATGAAATTTCCAAAGTCATCCCTCCTGCCCCCACAAGACAGGTTAGCTGTCTCATGGGAACGCTGAGGTAAGTCATGCTTAAACAAAACCTCACTCTTACCTAGAATTGGCTGTGACCATAATACAAGGATAATTTAGGCAAGTGGGAGAATACAGATAAACAACAACAATAAAAATATGTATGGCATCAAGAATTATAGAATCATGGATCCTGGTTACTTATATTTTCAAAGCCAAATTGAAATAATGTGTTAGATAAGGAGGAAGCTCAAAGACTAATTTATTGGAGGATTTAAACAATTTTTCTTTGCTATGTTTCCCTAGAGACTTTAGGAGATTGCTTTTAAAGTCTTGTGCTATCATGCATGTCAGTATCTGATACAGTTTTATCCATAATTTACTAAAGGAGTAACAGTGGCACAGTGAAAGCTGACTGACCATAAATGCTTAGGGCTTTGTAGTATTAATATTATCGCCTCAGGAACCAAGGAAAGTATGAAATCAGCTGTGAAGATTTTGACCTCTGACCTGCAAGTCTATGATATATATCCCTTAAATAGGTGCCTTGTCCATAGGGAGACGATTAGAGACTTAACAAAAAAAAAGTCCCAAACTTTCTCTATTACCTCAGTTGTGGTACCGAGTCTAATGTTTAGACGTAACTTGAAAGATACTCCTGAGATAAAATGAAATATTTCCCATCTCTTTTTCTCAGTTCATCATAAGTGTCATTCAGAGGTAATGATACAGAAGAAAAAAGTACTTAAGTTGCCTTTCATTTCCCTTTTCTGTCTTCCATCTCAAAAGGAGATTCCAGGGAAGATATAAGACAGAGAGAGGCTGGGCGTAGTGGCTCACCCCTGTAGTCCCGGCACTTTGGGAGGCTGAGGCGGGTGAATCACGAGGTCAAGAGATTGAGACCATCCTAGCCAACATGATGAAACCCCATCTCTACTAAAAATACATAAATTAGCTGGGCATGGTGGTGCGTGCCTGTAGTCCCAGCTACTCGGGAGGCTGAGGCAGGAGAATCGCTTGAACCTGGGAGGTGGAGGTTGCAGTGAGCCGAGATCTCGCCACTGCACTCCCCACTAGCAACAGAGCGAGATTCCATCTCGGAAAAAAAAAAAAAAGACGGGGAGAATGCAAAAGTTAGGACACTTTGACACATCAAAAATCAAGTACAATTGGCTTAGGCAAAAGGGAAATTTATTGAAAGATTACTTGGTCACTTCCATTATTAAGTGAAAACCAACACCCAGGAAAGGAAGGAGGCAGCCTGCTGAACCTCAGGAAATAAAGGCTGCCTCTTTCCCATTCCCTTTGTTCCCTTTGTTCGCCTGTCTACTTCAGCCTCCACACCAGCTGCTGCCACCTTAAGTAGGAAACAGCGGTCATCAGGAGCAAACAATATCTTATGCCATTTACAATTCAAAAACTCCGTAATGATGACTTGGTTCTAGACAGCAAGATCATGGAGGAAGGATCGCGATTGTCCCAATGGTCAGAGGACAAGGCTGCATAAGAAGCAGGCAGGGCTGATTGTTTTCCCATGTTTGGTGGTCATGAGAAGAGCGGTTCCTGAAAGAAGGGGAGTGGGGAAAGTAATTCCCTATAAGAAAGGGAAGGTGGAGAGCACTGCTGAAAGAACTAAACAGTAGATCGCCATCATAAAGAACAAATTAGGAATATCTAGGGGATAATGTT
Source organism: Homo sapiens (assembly GCF_000001405.40). NCBI lineage: Eukaryota > Metazoa > Chordata > Mammalia > Primates > Hominidae > Homo > Homo sapiens. The sequence goes on from NC_000002.12 coordinate 182,101,099, forward strand.
ACTCGGTGAGAAATAAACAAGCCTTCCTTAGAAACTTAGAAAATTATACCCTTTATTTCTGACTACTTCAAATTATGTTCTGGTAGTACCATTGGTGAATTTCCCGAGCAGGCAGCCTCCAATTGTAGAAAAGAATTGTGTTCCCAAAATTGACTTGTAAGGAGTTTGGATCTGAGAATACACAGAAACAATGCTACCAATGGTGTTTTTGCTTTTAGGTCAGTTTATAGGAGCAGAATCCTTAATATGCCTAAATTATTATACTAACAGTCCATTTCAATGTCACCAAATATCCATAAGAGAATCTTTCTCAAGAGTCCAGCTTCTGAGTACCATGAAATACATTTTACCTCCTAGTGGTGATTTCTTTTTACTGCATCAGGTCATGGTTGGGTAGATAAAGCATGAAAGGGAACTCTGCTGGGACTCCCAGGAAGTAGCAGTTTATTTGCTTTCTGTGTTGCTTTCTGATGCAGAGAATATGGAATAAAAGGCTGACAACCTGTGTTGTAGATTGAGTAACTGTTTCTTGCTCTGTGACTTCAGAAAACAGGCCTTGGTTTTCACATCTGTAATACGGTGTTGGTATGTGTACGTGTGCATATATGTGTGCTGGGAGCCAGGTGGACTGCCTTTTAAATTCAGCACTACCTTTTGAAGTTCTTTCCACCCTAAAAAGTCATGCTTCTGTGCTGAGAAAAGCACTTTCTCAAAGCCCTGTTACTGCTGAAGGGAAGGCTGCCCTCTGGGCCAGTAACTAGGTGGGGAGGAGACTAGAAGAGAGCAGCTCAGGAAAACAAGCTGCACTCCTTCAATGTCTGCTGATCTATATGAAGGCCTCCCTAGTAAAGCCAAGGGGGGTTTCTCACCACTCTCCTTTTTTGAGGTTCCCTGTATTAATAAATGAAGGAATGACAAAATAGGATTGTAAAAATTATGGAATTGTGAATATTTTCATTTGACAAATTAGCACAACAGAAATTATGATATAATTGAGCTACTAAGAATTAACTATAATATTTATAAAAAATCATTTATGGTACAATCTAAAGTAGTTCAGTAATTGAGTGTATGTGTGAAGTTTTATGAGAGACATGGAAAACATATTGTCAATAAATATGTCTGTTATTCTATATATGAACTCACCTGGAGATAGCATCAAAGACCTAATTTATGGCCACTTTTGTATGAAGCCCTAGTCAAAGGGCCTTTCTAGTAACTTTTGTGAGATGCCCTGTTCCCTCATGTTAGTAAAGTTATAGACTATTTCTAGTTAGAGTATCAAATCAGAAATAACAGTGCCGCACATTCTCAATGATCTCATTTTCCCTAATCATGTGATTGGTTATCTTATCAATTCTATTTTTTTCTCAGAGTAGTTTCTATCATTTGAGGAAGAAATAAAAGAATAAATATCCAAATAAAGATAACTAGACTAGCTGCACAATTACTTTGGGAAAAAAATTGAAATGATTATAAATCATATGCAGTGTGATAAGTCATGGACACAAGTTCAGGATACTTATTCCTCTCAAATTGTGGATTCAAATGAAATTCAATATGGGATTTTGAAAATACATCAATTTTATCAATGTTTAAAAAATTTTGTAACACAAAGATGATTTTTTTTGTAAATGTAATATATGTATGCTGAAAGTAAGGTTGTTTTCCCTACCTAGAGGAGCATTTGAAAATTTAGAAATAATGATATTTTATTAATTTTCTTATTTTTGAGGCAGGGTCTTGCTATGTTGCCCAGGCTGGAGTGCAGTGGTGCACCATCACAGCTCACTGCACTCCTGGACTCAAGTGAACCTCTCACCTCAGCTTCCCAAGCAGCTGAGACTACAGGTACACACCACCATGCATGGCTGATTTATTTTTTTATAGAGATGGGGTTTCGCCATGTTGCCCAGGCTGGTCTCAAACTCCTGGGCTCAAGCAATCCACCTGCCTTGGCCTCCCAGATTACTGGGATTACAGGTGTGAGCCCCGCTTCCGGCCAAGCCGTGATCTTAAAGCAATTCATTTATAATGTCTAAAAGTTGGGGGGAGGTTCTGATTTTGTTATTTAAAAAAAAATCTCAAGTTAGTGATACTTGTGTTGAGAAACTAAGTAAATTAAACACTTTTTCCCCTAGTTATTAAATTTGAATAGAGTGGAAATAACAAAAAGTTATCATTTTAAGCAAGAATTTTGTTTAATATTTTTTCTCTTTCATGTAATCTGTATGAAATTGCTAGTCCTTATAAAAGTTGAGCAATACATTGCTCCTTTGCTTTAAGTATTCTTCAGAAAATTTTGTAAATAGGAAGAATTAAAGAAGAGGTATTAGCTTATCTATGGAGTTTGTTAAAATCTATGTAAAAAGAAGAGAGGCTGTGATGTTACATGTGGAAGACAACTAAAACAGACCAACTGTAGGGCAGCAAATGAAAGAAGAAAGTAGGTCAGCGAGCCCCCTGGCGAACAACAAATTGCTATTATTTAAAAGGATGGTCAGAGAGTAAAACTGCCTGTGAACAAGAATGCTTAAGTGAACAATGGTAAATCTGATAGAAAAGCAGGGTCAGAGCAAAACAGTTGCAAAGCTCAGAGTGTAAACTGCATGTCCTCAGGTCAAGCAGAGGATGAAAAGCAGAACAATCTCCTCATTCAAGAAACTTCCTGGCGGCCAGCAAGCTGAGTAATGAGAAACAAACTGAGTGGAGGCCTTCCACAGAGTAAGTAGAAGCAAACAGCCTCAGGATATGGAGGGAATCGAGCAGATTTTGAGACTATAAACTCATCAGGATTCACACTTTCGATAAAAGAAAAGTTTCAGTAACAGGAGAATCACTGAGGGGACCAAAATACTTAATCAAATCTGTTGTCATCACTTACTTGTAAAAGCCATGGACCCGATGGGATTAATTAAGTGTGTTTGGTGATCAGAAAGCATTGTCAGGGAAAGCACCATTCCTTATTTTCATTTTTAAGATTTACTGTGCTTTTTCTTGCCACTAGGTAAAATTTGAGGATCAATTATATAAGATCATGTTGTCTGCAAACAAGGGCAATTTAACTTCTTCCTTTCTAATCTGTGTGACTTGTATTGCTTTTTCTTGCCTACTTGCTCTAGCTAGGACTTCCAATACTATGTAGAATAGAAGAGGTGACAGTGGGAACTCTTGTCTTGTTTCTGGTCTTCCATTGAGTATGATGTTAGCTATGGGGTTGTCATACATATATGGTCTTTATTAGGTTGAGGTATACTCCTTTTATACCTAATTTGTTAAGTGGTTTTATCATCCATTTATTATGAAATGATGTTGAATTTTGTCAAATACTTTTTCTGCACCTATTGAGGTGATCATATGGTTTTTATTCTTTATTCAGTTAATGTGGTGTATCACACTTATTGATTTGTATATGTTGAACCATCTTTGCATCCCAGGCATAAATCCCAGTTGATCATAATGTGTGATCCTTTTAATGTGCTATTGAATTTGATTTACTAGTATTTAGGTGATTTACTAGTATTTAGGATCCTTTCAATGTGCTATTGAATTTGATTTACTAGTGTTTATTTAGGTGAGGATTTTGCATCTATGTTCATCAAGGATATTGGTTTGTAATTTTCTTTTCTTGTGGCATCCTTTTGTGGCTTTGGTATAAGGTTAATGCTGGTCTCTTAAAATGAGTTTAGAAGTGTTCCCTCATCTTCAGTATTTTGGAAGATTTTGTTAAAGTTTGGTATTAGTTGTTTAAATGTTTGGCGGAATTCAGCCGTGAAGCCATCATGTCCTGGGCTTTTCTTTGAAGGGAGACTTTTTATTACTGACTCAATTGCCTTACTTGTTATTAATCTGTTCATGTTTTCGTGGCATTAGAAATATTTTAGCAGAATGGAAGAAACTGACAATGCAAAAGAGAGTGGCTAAAATTTTAGGAGTGTTCTTTGAAAGGGGAAGAGATATTGTAAAAAAAAATGAGGGGTGGAAAAAAAATGAAGGTTGAATCTTAGGAGATAAGGCAGATATATGGGTGCAGATTCAAATATATTAGTAGATTTGGCCAGGCTGATGTCATTTCTTTAATGATTGCTTTGCTTTACTATGTAAAATCAGCTGAGTTTGAGGAAGGTGTGGGAATGTTGAAGATTTGAGGAGTGAATAGCATTCTGAGACAATTTAAGACAGATTTAAAGAGGGAAATAGAGTAGATTTTTCAGGAAATGTTGAAGCCCACTTAAAAATTGTGGTCAAAAATTTTATGTGACATCCGTCAGCATAGTTTTAGGCTTTTGTCAGTTGTGCTTCTCCATTGGGGTTCAGGCATTCTGTAATTACAGAGAGGTGGATTTTTATCACAATTGTAGGTTTGTCAGATGAGTACCACAGAAGAGAGAAGGGCAAAGGTGTGGGGGTCTAGGTAAGGAAGCTTTATAGTGACGGGAGAGGGAATGGGTCATCTTGGTGGAGACTGAAGTCTTCAAGAATGATTTTAGGAGAACTGGTATAAAGAAATTTAGGGAAGTGCTATAATCTCCAGAGAATTTGATATGATCATGAAGTTGGTAGATGACAGCATAAAAGAAAGGAAGATTTGATATAGTCTGATAGCAGGTGCTTCCAAGAAGCTGAATGTTTCATTGGCAGCAGGAGAAACGCAGTAGCTGTGTTTTAAATCCAACTGAGGGTATATCACAATGGTATTGGGGAGGATGGGGATTTCCCATACACAATTCAACGCTATGGATGTATTAGTTTGCTAGGGTTGCCATCACAATGTGCCATAACAACCACAACTGGGTGGTTGAAGCAGCAGAAATGTATTGTCTCACAGTTTTGGAGACCAGAACCCTGAGACAACGGTGTCCTCAGAGTTTGTTTCCTCTGAGGGCTGAAGGAAAATCTGTGTCATGCCTCTCTCCTAGTGTCTAGTAGCCTCAGATTTTCCTTGGCTTATAGATGGTGTTCTCTGTGTGTTTTCATATCATTTTCCTTCTGTACAAAACTGTCTCTGTGTTCAAATTTCTCCCTTTTTTAAGGATACAATTGATACAGGAGTGGGGCAGGGAAGTACTGGGTAGAGAAGGGCTGTGTCCCTAGCAAGGGCTCCACCCTCGGGCCTGTGCCCAGGGGACCTAAGTGAGGACAGGCACTCCTGCTTTCAAGCCCCAATGTTGCATTTTCCAAGACCACTCTGGCCTGCCATGCCCCTATCTTGTGCCTATAAGAACCCTGAGATCCTAGCAGGCATACAAACGAGCAGCTAGATATTTAGAGGAGCAGAGGGGCAAAAAAGTGCACAGACAAGCACCAGCAGACGCTGTCAGGACATCGATGATGTGGACACCAAGGGGAATTTGGTTGAGGGTGGTGGTCGGACGAGAGCCCAGCCACTGAGTGGCCTGACTCCAGGGGAAGATCACCTTCCCACTCCATCCCACTTCTGGCTCCCCATCCATCTGCTGAGAGCTACCTCCACCACTCAGTAAAACCTTGAACTCATTCTCCAAGCCCATATGTGATCCAATTTTTTTCTTTTTTGGTACACTTGGGCAAGAATCCCCGGATACAGAAAGCCCTCTGTCTTTGCCATAAGGCATGGGGCCTAATTGAGCTGATTAACACAAGCCACCTGCAGACAGCACAACTAAAAAACTAAAAAACTGAAAAACTAAAAAAGCACACTGTAATATGCACCACTAGGGCTTCAGGAGCTGTAAACACTCAATCCTAGACCCTGATGTGGGGTTGGAGCCCCACGACTTGCCAGTGTGCATGCTCCCCATAGAGGTTTGAGCAGGGGGACACCAGAAGAAGCAAGCCACACCCCCACTGCATGCCCTTCGAGGGGTATAAGGAAAAACTCCTCCCATTTCACAGTCATTTTGGACTAGAGCCCAATCTTATGACCTCACTTTAACTTGAGGAACTGTTAAGACACTATTTTCAAATAAAGTCACATTTACAGATACTGAGGGCTATGAATTCAACATCTTTTTGGGGCACACAATTCAATCTATAACAGTGGGCTTTCCTTAAATTCTTCCAATGGTAATACATTGCCAGGGGAAAATGAACTTGCCAGAAACTTTGGTAATCTTTATTAATTTTTAAAATTTGTAATCTTTCAATATGTCATGGTCTGAGCAAAAATTGACTTTTAAGTAGAGACGTCAGAATTTGCATGATTCCAATGAAGTATTTTTGCCCAGAATTCTTCTAATCTAGGTATTAGAATGCTTAAAATTCATCAGTTCTTTCAGATTAAACGTTGTCCCCATCCTTGCCATTGTTTAAAATTCAAGCATTCTTGTCTGAGAGTCATTCCTGCCTTATTTTCCTGGAGATGTCATGGATATGAGAAAAATGTTTATAAAAACACTTTTAAAAATACAAAAACATTGTAGAGACGGAACGAAAAACAAATTAACAAGGTTTTACAAGTGGTGAGACCTAGTGTTGGCCTACTCCTCACCTTCTCTTATGCAACTGGACACAGCTTTACTGATGGTCTTATTTTGAACTCATGACTACAGAACCTCTGATGGGCACTTAGTACTTTCTGACAGGCACACTACCTTTCCTTAGTTCATTCTCTCTTCCACTCTCTGAGATGTCTATTACAGTGTATCCTTTCTCTGCAAACCTCCAGCACATCCTCCTCTTTCTCAGTCTTATCTAATGAGCTTGCTTTCTACTTTGAGAAAACCAAAGCCATGAGAAGAGAACTTTTGGACTCCCACCATGAGGTCTTCTCGCCTACCACATCTGTTCCTTTTCATAGCCTGCCTTTCTGCTTGCTATTGTAGGTGAACGTTTTGTGCTTTTCTCTAACAGCAACTCCTTCAGTTGTGCAATATAGCTATCCCCACCTGCATTCTGAAACATTGCTCTAGAAATTCTTCCGTCTGTTTTCTATGTCATAGTTTTCCTCCTCCCTATGGGATCATACCCATCAACAAACAAGTATCCTCTATTGTTTCCTAGGTTAAAAAATTCCTGTTTGGATGGAAATGTTTGTTATCTTGAATGTAGTAATGGTGTCACAGATGCTAACATCTGTCAAAACTGATAAAATTGTACACCTTGAATATGTGCAGTTTACTGTATTTCAAATATACCTCAATAAAATAGGAAAAAATTCTATTTGACCTCACTGTTCCTATAGCTAATACAGTATTTCTTAGCTCTCTCTTGCAGAAGAACTTCTTGGAGTAGTTGGGTACATTCACTGCTTTCATCTCTTCTCTTTTCAGACTCCTGGACAGTCTTCTTTTTCTGTGCCATCCTGTTCTCTTTGCACTCTTAATGTTGGAGTACTCCAGGGCTCAGCTTTTGAACATGTTTTCTTCTTTACTCATTCCCTTTCTCGGGGATCTTCAACTGTTTAACGGTTTTAAATGTTGTCTACATAATGATGACTTCCACATTAATACCTGAGCCCAGAATTCTCTTCTGAATTTCAGACACATAATAACCATATATTCATTTGGGTATACATTGTAACTATCAAATTTACTATGTTTGGCATCAGATATTCCATATAAAACTTTCTTCATCTAAATCTTCCCCATCTTAGTTAATGATTATTCCATTTTTTCTGTTACCTTGGCCAAAAACTTTGGTGACATACTTGACTGTCTTCTTTTTCTTATAATCCATATCCAGTTTTCCAGCAAATACTATTGATTCTGTCTTCCAAGGTTTTGCAGTTATTAATAAAGCTGCTATAAATATCTATGTGCAGGTTTTTTGTGTGGACATCAGTTTTCGATTCATTTGGGTAAATACAAAGCAGTGATTTCTGGATTGTATAGTATGTTTACTTTTGTAGGAAATTGCCAAACTCTCTCTCAAAGTTGCTGTACTATTTCTCATTTCTGTTGCTCCCTGTCTTCGCTAGCATTTCTCAGTGTTTTGTCAGGTGTTGTCAGTGTTTTGGATTTCAGCCACTCTCATAGGTGTGCAGTAGTATCTCATTGTTTTAATTTGCAGTTCTTAATGAAAGATGATGTTGAACATCTTTTCATATGCTTACTTGCCATCTATGTATCTCCTTGGCTGTTCAGACCTTTTTTTTCCATTCTTAATTGGATTGTTTGTTTCCTTACTGTTGAGTTTTAAGAGTCCTTTGTATGTTTTGGATAGTAGCCCTTTTATCAGGTGTGTCTTTTGCAAACATTTTCTCTCAGTCTATGGCTTGTATTCGCATCCTTTACATTGTTTTTCACAGAGCAGATGTTTTAATTTTAATGAAGAACAGCTTACCTGTTTCTTTTCTTTCATGGATTATGTCTTTGGTGTTGAACCTAAAAAGCCATCCCCATATTTAAGGCTACCCAGGTATTCTCCTATGTTATTTTCTAGGAGTATCATAAATGTGTGTTTTACATTGAAGTCTGGATCAATTTGGGTTTTTTTGGTGAAGAGTGTAGTGTCTGAATCTAGATTATTATATTTTTTTGCATGTGGATGTCCAGTTGTTCAAGTTCCCGTTTGTTGGAAAGACTGTCTTTGCTCCATTGTATTCCCTTTTCTCCTTTGTCAAAGATTAGTTGACTACATTTACATGAGTCAGTTTCTGGACTCTCTATGCTGTTCCATTGTTCTCTTTGTCTGTTTTTTCACCACACACTCTCTTGATTACTGTAGTTTTATAGTAAGTCTTAAACTAAAGTAGCATCAGTTCCCCACCTCCAGAGGTCCCTTCAAGTTCCCACCTTAGCTGCTGGCCAGATTCAGCCACCACTGGGCATGTTCACAAATTATCTCGTTGATGATGACTGAGAGTCAGTTGAAGTTGTAATATTTGTGCTCCATAAAAAGCATATCAGGACTGACATATATAACTAGAATGCAAATTTATTAATTCAAAATAAGAAATGTCATCGTCAGGTGAACATAAGACTAGCCTAATCCGTGCCTTCTCTCCTAGTAAGCAAGCTGGTGTTCTATTGCCCAGCAAGTTTACTACAATTCACAATAATACAGAGTATACCTCAAGACAGCTAAAAGACAGGATTTTAAATGTTTTTACCACAAATAAATTATTAATAAACATTTGAGGTAATGGATATACTATCTACTCTGATTTGATCATTTCAAAATAAATGTATCAAAATATCACTCTGTACTCCGTATTTATATTAAAATTAATGAAAAATAAAATTTAATAAGGTTCATTATTAAAATAAATAATACATTGTTATATGTTAATTAAAATAAAATATAACTTTAAAAACTGATATATAAAACCAGAATGTTTATTTATCAATTCAAAATAAATGACTACTATCAGGTGAAGACAATATTATTCTAGTCAGAGCCTTCTCTCCTTGTATGCTAGCTCTGTTGCTATCAGAGGTTTTCCTTGGTGAGCTCAGAGTCAGAGCTGGGTGATTGAATTATGTGACTGGGGCATACACTGGCAACAGTCTGTGGTAGCCTGTGGTAACCATTGCTTTAATAGGGAAGTACCCTGCCCAGAGGACAGAGCCTTTAAAATGCCAGCACAGGATGTTATTCTCTGGACATGGTAAAAGAAACACACACAACATTTGCTTCTGTGGCTGTAAATGCAACTCTCCTTTTGTTATTTTATTTTTAATGCTTTCAAGGCTAACCACTGACTCCTGCTGATCGATGCATTCTTTATTTTAGATATGCTATTGTGTTCAATCAATTGCAGTCAAGTCTTGCAGGCTAGGGAGCCATTCTGTCTCTTTCTAAAGTGAAATTGCCTAAACATTGTTTAGCTCCATTATGTGTAGGCTTAAAAATTTAACTCTACTTCTAAATTCATGGGGAATGCATTAGCTTCAGAAGAAAAATGGGCACTAGAGGGGCACATGACTGTGGAGGGCAAAAGCAGCAATCAGTCTATTAAAGTAATTCTCATCCTGGGCCAAGCAGCAGAATCCTTGCAACATTTTTAAAAAGAGAGAGAGAGATGATAAAGATGTGGGCTCTTTACGTTTTGATAAATGATACCATATTACTTTCCAAAGATATTGTTTGAATTCATATTTCTAATATTAATATGTAATAGTACCTTCTTCCCTACCTTCTTAGTATTTACTGCTAAACCTTTTATCTCAGCTTTGCTATTGGGTAACAGTTTTGGTAAAATATAGGTAAAAATATACAAAACATACTTATGAATAGCACATAAACATGTTGTCCCTATTTCCATGGATGATGAAGAGAAAATCATATTGCACGTTTATTCTTCTGCAAAGAAATGATGGCTTAAGTAATGGGGAGTTAAAGGATCATGTGTTGATTTGCAGCTTATATTAATTGGCTAGTCATTATATTAGAACAGAGATTAACTGTGCTGTCTACATATAATTTACGTCAAATAAAATAGAAAGGGATACATTTATGGTGAGTTCAGGAAATAATATGCTTTTAATTTTGAAATAAAATCAATATGTCCCTTGTTGTCTGTGACCTTCAGGATGTTAATGTATAGTTCTTTATTATAAATGAATGACAAGAGGATTGAACAATTACAATAAATATAAAAGCATTTTGAGAAATGTGAAATCTGAGAGATGGTGGACCTTTACTGAGGGGCCTTTCTGTTTTATATTATAGACTAAATATTATAGATTAAATTATATTGAGTCATAAAATTATAAATATATATAACTATACATACAATTATATAGAAATTATATTCCTAGCATTATTTTTGTGATAAACCTTAGGGTGCCAATACTCAAGGAACCCTTAGAAAGCCATCTTTCTAAGCCCACTGAAATCACTCCTTTGTATATAGGATGATTTCAGAAAATCAATGCCTGTTAAATCTATTTGCAAAAAGTTTTTGCGATAGGCACCAGGTTTGCTGTTTCCCATAATCTAATGAGTATGTTGCTCAATAAATGACAGTCCAAATTACTATCCATTGACTCGGAGCTCTTCTTTTCATTATCAGAATTTTCCTAATGCACCATTTGTTTTACTGATCCATAGCGCTTCTTCACTGAATTAGCTTCATTACATGCACACCATCGCCTTTTGGCTGACCTTCCCATCTGATTTGTACCTGTTTCTTTTTCATGCTCAGCACACAGTAGGGGCTTTATTATATTTAACACATACTGCTTGATGACTATGTCTCATCTCTACAGACTAGACCACAATATTTTTTTCTGTGTTTCCCAGAGTTCAGTCCAGGTTTGGGAACTGATCTAAATGCTATTTCTAACTTGGTTTTATCCTAGGAGTGTTCCTGGGCAAGGTTAAATTCTATTATCTTTCTGACTCCAAATTCTATTGAAAATCATGACAACCACAATAACAAAAGGATTGAAAAGTTATACCGAAATCTATCCATGATGTAATATCTTCTGATAATGAAAAGGGCCTCATGATCTTGAGTCACCATAGTTTTCTCAAATTCTAACTTTCTAAGAAATCAATAACAGTGGAAGATTAGGTCCTCGGAACCCAGGTAAAGAGCCCCCAATAGGAGTTAAGGGCCAAAGTTTGTGTCCCAGCTCAGCCAATAACCACTATGGGAATTTAAGCAAGTCACTTTACCATCTGAAACTGTTTCTTCATCTTTAAAGAGAGTAGAATTCAAATTCATAATTACTTGCAGATCAGAGACCCCACTGAGATTCTGCTGAAAACTATTGACCTCCTTCCCTGAAAAAGCACAAATACACTATAAATAGAATTCCAAGAAGGTCAGAAGCTCTTTAAAATCCACACATAGATTCCCTAAAGGACTTTAGAATGATTTACAATGGTCTAAAATATGTAGTTGAAAAAAATAAAATAAATCTATTTACATTTGCTACTCCCTATGTGAATTAGTTTTAAAATGTGTATTTGGGCCATTATATCATTTGACATTATAATTACTTTTTTGTAACTTATAGTACTCAAAACAGAGCTAATTTTTCAATAGTACAGAATATTTCCTTTGTGGATTAATAGCATCCTAGGATCTGCAAGGTTACGTGTTCACCCTGCTACTTAATGCAGGAATTATCTATAACCTGCCTCAGAGATGAAACTATAGCTTTGACTTGAACATGTACAGTGATGAGGAACTCACTCATTTGTTTATTTCTGGGCAAACATAAAGAATTTGGGAATTTCCTTTTTTATATTGAGTTATAATCTGCCTATACACATAAATGTCAGCCATTGACTCTATTTCTGCTCTTGGAAGCTACATAGATTAATTTTATTTCCTTTTCCAGTATTTTAGGAATTCAAAGTCAGGCTCTATTGTCCTCTATTAATTTCCTCTATGCTAAATATTCCAGTTTCATCTATAATTCCTCCAGAAAAGTGATGTCATAAAACTACCTTTTATCTCAATTCCCTTCTTAAACTAGTCCTCTTAAAATGCAGATGAGAACTAGGCAGCATGTTGCAGGAAAAGTCTGACCAACACGTGGTTAGAGAGCAATTCCCTTTCTCGTACTGCCAACTTCGCCACTAGGAATACCACCAACACTGCCAGGAGCTCTGTGCCTAGAAACACCAGGTCAAGTGAAATTGTGGTCACCTAAAATCCCTAACTATAATTAATTAAGGTTGCCCTTATACTCTTTTTTTTTTTTTAGAACTAAATTAACCTTTCTAAAAACAAAAATTCTGTTGAACTCTACCTTAATTGCTTAGACCATCATTCCAGCTCTTGGAAACCTTTACTCTTTGCCATTCATGTCATCTTTTCTTACAAATTTTGTGTTATCTACAAATGTAATGAGCCTCCTGTCTTTGGCTTCAGATTAATTGATTAAAAATATTGGCCTGTGGTTTGCCAAATATAAACCTCCCTCTATGGATTCAGTATTCAAAATTCTTCACTCAGTTACTTCACAACTTTTTTGAATCCACATTTAACCATTTGATCTACAGAATAGAGAAGAGAATAAGTATTATATTCTGCTTAGGGTCAAAATTTATTTCTTTTCCTTTTCTTCTTTTATTGTCTGCTTTCTTTTCTTCATTCCTTCACATTTTCATATGGCATATCCTTGTCTTCTAAATGGTCCCTTTTCCTGTGTGCTCATTTTGCTTCGAAGAAAAGAACCTTCAATGTGTTTTTTGGGATTCCTTGGTTTTCCGCCCATATGCAGCCCTAGCTGAGTCTGCACTTGCTCCTGAGGCTGATTGCCCTGTGCCAAGCCTCAAACCCTGTGCAGGGGAGGGATTTCCCTGATGCTTATTAGCATCTGGCAGAGGACGAAGCTCTGAGAATTTCAACAACATCCCCAGACCAATTCATTTTCATCCATCTCTAGAATTACATCAAATGTAAGTCTCCTCAAACATCAAATGGGGGTTTAAAGAAAATTAAACACAAATTATACGTGTGTTTTGGGATGCAGGAGAGGTGTAGGGAGAAAGAAATTATTACATAGTCCTCAGCAGGCTTCTCACTTTAATCTCAGCATTATTGCATCTATAATCAGATGAATATTGATGACAGGAAAAGAGAGAGATTGCCTTGAAGGCTGCTTCAAGGCACACATCAACCAATTGTTCATTATCCAATTGAAAGATGGTATTAGAGTAAACTGCTTTGGGAATCAAAGAATTCGTGGTAGATATTCTGCTGAACAGCTCTGTGGTAACATGTCACCTGCTCCTGCCTCATCAAAATGTTTCACCTGGAAATAGTAATGCCACAATTGTATAGGGCTAAGGAAGACCTTCTAACATTTGTCCAAGCGAGTGATTTTACTTTGAAAAAGGTTTGGCTTTTTCGTATAACTTTGTGACTATTATTATTATAAAATAAATTAAATGTTGTTCAGGGTAAACAAGCAGACCTATTCTCAAGTGTGGAAAGTGGGTGATTAATGGATTAATGAGTTAAACATCTTAATTACTGATTTTTTCCTTTATATTGAATCCCCTCATTTAGACAAATCAATAAGGACATTAGATTATTACCTCTTATTTAAAGAACATTATCTCAAACACAGATTTATTACTCTTGAGTTACCTTGTGAATGAAAAAGATGAGCTCTGGAGTCATTAGAACCTTTGCAAACCTGGCAAGATATAGTCAACCTCAGCTAAGGAAGAAGAGTGGTAGGTGGCTGAATGATTACTGTGTCTTAATATTTCAGAGGGAACCCCAAGACCTTGGTGCCAGGTTAATTGGTACTTCAAACCTATGATAAATCCTAGAGAATGATGGAAAGTTTGGGTCAGCAGCCAAAAAGCTAAAGGTGAAAATGAATCAGTGTCTCTTAATAATGGAACTTTATGACTTACTCATTCATACCCTCATTAATTCATTCAGTATATATTGAGAGACTATGATGTGTCAGAACTTCTCTTAGCATCACAATACTCTTACAACCTTGTACAAATCCTTTATCTTCTCTAAGTCTAAATTTTACTAGACAGGTGTTTACCACAAGGAGTTGTGAGGTTTAGTGAGTCATGTATGTAAGACTCAAGCAGAGTGACTGGTTGGACACTTAATAAACCCTCTTCCCTTTCCCTGAGCACTGAGACCTCCTTTTCAGGTAATTTATGATAATGTGAAGTGAATTCCATGTCTTAGCAACAAATTTCTCCCTACAGTCTTAGATCAAGAAGAATTGTGAGTAATGTAAGTTTTCAGATGAAATTAAAGTATTTAAATATTATTACAAGTGATAAAATATTTTTGCAATCCATGAAGTCCAAGGACGTCACTGTTTGCCAAATAGCATTCTGAGGCTTGCTGACAGCCGTACATGCAAACTTACACATTTCTTGAGACTCTTTGTTTTATAGCAAACATGAGGAATGACTTCCTTTCATTTATCAATTCTTACTAGAGTGTTTTTTAGTAATACTTAAAAAATCTAATAAACTAATTTTATAAGGTACAAAAAAGTGTAAAATTGCCCACGTTAACTATCACTATATGCAGAAAGTTTCAGCTACTCTGATATCTTAACAGAATAGACTCGAGGGAAATGAAAGATAATTTTGTAGATTGAGTGTGGTTGTTGTAATTGTCTTCTGATTTATACTCTAAATTTGAAATAATTTTGAAAAAAATCTAAAGATAGATTATTGTGGAACTGCCAAATGCATATACCAAACTGTTACTTCATTAATTCAATCAATGATTTAGACAATAAATATTAATGAGTACCTACTGTTTGCTAGGCACTGTGCCTGGGACTCCAAATTAAATTACATATTTCTCAGCATCGAGGAGTTTTCTCTGATGAGAAAGAGATGTAAACAAATACAGTTCTGTAAGGTAATTGACAATAGATGTTCTAAGAGCAGGGGGGAATATGAGAAAGTCTATCTACATGGGGAATTGGGGTAGCCATCAGAGAGGAGGCAAGCTGACACGAGAAGGGTGAGTGGGAGATTATCATGTGTGTGTGTAGGATGAAGATGTCTGGCAATGAGAACAGAACAAGAAAAGTATGAAAGCCTGAGGGAGCCTGGAGTAGCCCGGGGGAAAAGTAGGTTAGTGTTGTTAAGTGTAAATTACCCTGAAAGCAGGAAAGGCTGGTGAGAAATGGTAGAGAGCCCAGATTATAAGAGCCTTGTATAGCAGGCAAATGTATGCCAATGTTTTTCCCACTGTATAGGTTGTGGGGGAAGTTATTGAAGAATTTTGAAGAGAGAAGTTCCATAATCACTTTGGTATGTTTAGGTTCTGAAAGAAGATTCACAATATTCTGATTGTTTTGTTGTTTATAAGTTACAGAAATGGCACGCACACCCTTTTGTTCCTAGGGGTTTCAATAGTTCTTGTTGTAATAGAATTGAGGGATGCCAAAAGCAATATTTGAACTAAGTGATACATTAGAATTATAATAAGAATCTGTGAGCAGATTTTTAGTTAACAGGTTTTTAATAGGCTGTGATGCAATCCCTAATGGAGAAGCTTTAATTATGAAAGATAGCCTGCCTCTAATGGAAATTCAGCTGGGTATGTTTTTATTGCTCAGTGAATTAAAAGGTTTATATAGGATTACATTGTTAAGATTCTTGGAGAAAAACATATAAACACCAAATGAAAACTTTGCACTCTTTTCTTTATCTTTTGCAGCAAAGCGGTTAATATTCCAGAAATGAAAATCATTTAAATTTTGCATAATTTTTATAATTTCAGGGGTTAAGCATCTGAAAGGCCAGAATGAATCAGCATTCCCTGAAGAAGAAGAAGGCACCAATGAAAGAGAGGAGCAGCGGGACCATTAATTACTGGTCTGCAGCAAGAAGGCTTCTTGGAAATAACTGAACTATTAACTTTTCTGAGTATACCATGGAATTCCACTGCTTGACTTCCAGAAGCATCCTCCATCTCTGCACCCCACACTCATACAGTAGCTATGCACATCCTGGAAGTCTCCTTGACTGAACTTTAGAACTAAGTACACATTGTTCCACATCACTTATAATTAAAGAATAAGCATTTATTTTACAGTGATTCTTCTTTTTAACTATGTAAAAATTTGCATACATGTGACTGTTCTAACTTTAATACTGCCAGAGCTTAATCCTTGATGTCCTACTGATAAGGTTTGCATTCTAACAACACATGTAAATAACATCACTTTAAGAGTAAAAAATAAATAGTAAACACATTTAGACATGAGTGTGTGTGTGTGTGTGTGTGGGTTTAGCTTAAAGAGAAATATCTAATAAAGCTTTTAGCTTGAGATTTGCATTGATCATATTTCTGTATTCAGAACAGAACACAATGTTCATTTTTAAATGATGAAGAAATGCCAGTTTTCTTGATTCAATACACCACAATATTAGATACTAAACATCTTTTTCCCACCAACAACACATTAATGGTTGATTATACAACTACAGAATTCTCTTCATTTTCTAAGCTGCAAGATATATATTTCCCAGCATTTTCTCTAGTTATTAAGAAAGAAGAATGATAAATCCAAAAATCTATGCCAAATCTTCCTACCTCCTCTTTTAGCTATTACTTGAAATTTGGGCCATCTATTTCCTATTGCATTTTGATAAATAATATAGCAGTTTATAAATCTTCCATATCATAAAATAAGAAATTCCATTAATTCATTCATATAGTCATTTATTCATTAATTAAACAAATATCTTTTATGAGCTTATCCCTAGGAAGGTACTATGCTGCGAATTATAGAAATAAAAGAAAGATACTTTTACCCCTATAGAACTGGCAGAAAAGATAAAGCATTAGCATAAAGCAAGATTTTATATGACAGTGTATATTTATTGAATATGGCTTTTTCATAATTTAAAATTCTGGGCATTTTGAACAATTTTAATTATACATTATTTGTGAAGGCAAAGTATCTAAACTACAAAATTTAGGGGGAATGGAAGAATACTCAGTTTGGTCCTTTATTAATAATATTAATGAAATTCAAATGTATCATGGATAAAAAATAAAAAGATTTCTCAAAAGTCAGTAAAGGACAAATGAAGGCAGGAAGAAAAAATCAAATGTGTAATCCACTGTGGGATCTTAATATCAAGATTCAAATATGTAAAATGATTGCTTTTAATTTTGAATATGAGTTTTGTAATGTAGAAGTTAAGAGAGTTTTATGGAGCTATAAAGAATGCAGTGAGTTGACAACCATTTTCCTTAGTATTTTTCCCCAAGAAAATAAGTGTGAAACCCGTTGATAAGCATACCACATGTATAAATGACTATTCTAGATTCCTCTCTCTCTCCTTCTGTTCCTTTCTTCTGTCTTTCTCCCTCCCTCCTTCTCTTCCTTTCTTTCTTCCTTTTCTCTCTCCCTCTCTCCCCTTCTCCCTCTCCTTCTCTGTCTTTCTCCACCCCTCCCATGACTTTTTCTTTTTTTTTTAAATTATACTTTAAGCTTTAGGGTACATGTGCACAACATGCAGGTTTGTTACATATGTATACATGTGCCGTGTTGGTGTGCTGCATGCATTAACTCGTCATTTAACATTAGGTATATCTCCTAATGCTATCCCTCCCCCCACCACCCACCCCACAGCAGGCCCCGGTGTGTGATGTTCCCCTTCCTGTGTCCGTGTGTTCTCACTGTTCAATTCCCACCTATGAGTGGGAACATGTGGTGTTTGGTTTTTTTGTCCTTGCAATAGTTTGCTGAGAATGATGGTTTCCAGCTTTATCCATGTCCCTACAAAGGACATGAACTCATCATTTTTTATGGCTGCATAGTATTCCATGGTGTATATGTGCCACATTTTCTTAATCCAGTCTATCATTGTTGGACATTTGGGTTGGTTCCAAGTCTTTGCTATTGTGAATAGTGCCGCAATAAACATACGTGTGCGTGTGTCTTTATAGCAGCATGATTTATAATCCTTTGGGTATATACCCAGTAATGGGATGGCTGGGTCAAATGGTATTTCTACTTCTAGATCCCTGAGGAATCACCACACTGACTTCCACAATGGTTGAACTAGTTTACAGTCCCAACAACAGTGTAAAAGTGTTCCTATTTCTCCACATCCTCTCCAGCACCTGTTGTTTCCTGACTTTTTAATGATCACCATTCCAACTGGTGTGAGATGGTATCTCATTGTGGTTTTGATTTGCATTTCTCTGATGGCCAGTGATGATGAGCATTTTTTCATGTGTCTGTTGGCTGCATAAATGTCTTCTTTTGAGAAGTGTCTGTTCATATCCTTCAGCCACTTTTTGATGGGGTTGTTTGTTTTTTTCTTGTAAGTTTTTTGGAGTTCACTATAGATTCTGGATATTAGCCCTTTGTCAGATGAGTAGATTGCAAAAATGTTCTCCCATTTTGTAGGTTGCCTGTTCACTCTGATGGTAGTTTCTTTCGCTGTGCAGAAGGTCTTTAGTTTAATTAGATCCCATTTGTCAGTTTTGGCTTTTGTTGCCATTGCTTTTGGTGTTTTAGGCATGAAGTCCTTGCCCATGCCTATGTCCTGAATGGTATTGCCTAGGTTTTCTTCTAGGGTTTTTATGGTTTTAGGTCTAACATTTAAGTCTTTAATCCATCTCGAATTAATTTTTGTATAAGGTGTAAGGAAGGGATCCAGTTTCAGCTTTCTACATATGGCTAGCCAGTTTTCCCAGCACCATTTATTAAATAAGGAATCCTTTCCCCATTTCTTGTTTTTGCCAGGTTTGTCAAAGATCAGATGGTTGTAGATATGCGGCATTATTTCTGAGGGCTCTGTTTTGTTCCATTGGTCTATATCTGTTTTGGCACCAGTACCATGCTGTTTTGGTTACTGTAGCCTTGTAGCTGAAGGAAGTAGAGACACAAAAAACCCTTCAAAAAATCATTGAATCCAGGAGCTGGTTTTTTGAAAAGATCAACAAAATTGATAGATCGCTAGCAAGACTAATAAAGAAGAAAAGAGAGAAGAATCAAATAGATGCAATAAAAAATGATAAAGGGGATATCACCACCGATCCCCTGACTTTTTCTTTGTTAAGCCAAAACTTTCTGGAATTTCTATACCACCTGCTATGACTCTTTGTTTATTTCTCAAGTTTCTCTCTACTTAAAACCTGATTAAGGCCCTTATTTATTTTAAGTGATTTTGAATTACTTGTGTTTGGAAAACATCTCAATGCCCCTTGAGAGTATTTGAGACACCCTGAGGTGCTAAACATAACATTGCCCTTCCCTTTCCTTGAACAGATGCTTTTAAAATGCTTTTTCAAAGGGACTCAGGCAAACAAAAAGAAACCAAAGCTTTTGCTGATTTTGTAACATCATTTAGGGTAATATACAGTATAGCTTCTGGATTTTTCTGTTCTGTTCTCCATTCCTAAAAAAAAACACAAAGAAATCAAAATTAAGAACATAAGTTTTCTTTGGGAAATGGTTTCTTCCATTCTGTTCTCCACTCTCAAAACACAGAGAGAATTCAATTAAAAGCTTAAGTTTTCTTTGAGAAATATGTTGACTTTCTCAGAAATTTGAAGGAAACCAGTTGAGATAATGGCTTTTCACTTTACTTTTCACACAATTATAGTTTTCAAAAAAATTTTTTTCTAGAAGCCAACTTGGCTTCAGTTTGGAAGAATGGGCAAAGAAACTGACCAAAGCAAAGCAAAACAGAAACTATATTTCCCAGACCACATTTATAATATAATTGTTTGTAGCTGGACTTTGAGTCATTCTGACTTGGATTCAACTCCAGGCTCTACCAGATTTCAGACTCAGTTTCTTCATTTGTAAAATAGGTACAATCATACCTAACCTGCTGGGTTGTTGTGAGGCTTAAATGAGATAAGACCTATAAAATACTTAGCCAAGCTTAGTGAGCATTTAATAATTGGTATTTATTATTATTAGAGTTAGAAAGGACCTCAGAGGCCTTCTATCTTAACTTTATCTACTTCATGATCCTCTTCAACATCATGAACAAGTGATTAATCACCCCACTTATTTTACTTTTTATTTTTATTTATTTATTTATTTTTTGAGATGGAGTCTCGCTCTGTCACCAGGCTGGAGTACAGTGGCACCATCTCGGCTTACTGAAACCTCCACCTCCCGGGTTCAAGCGATTCCCCTGCCTCAGCCTCCCAAGTAGCTGGGACTGCAGGTGCCCACCACCACGCCCAGCTGATTTTTGTTTGTTTGTTTGTTTTGTATTTTAGTAGAGACGGGGTTTCGCCATATTGTCCAGGATGGTCTCGATATCCTGACCTCATAATCCGCCCGCCTCAGCCTCCCAAAGTGCTGGGATTACAGGCGTGAGCCCCCGTTCCCGGCCTACCCTACTTATTCTTGAATAACTCCAGTTCCAAGCCAACCAAAAGTTTTGATTGTTCTTCTATGTGTTAAACTCTCCCCTTCTACACCTTTCCTGCTTCTTTGATTCATCTCTGAAAACTCCAGATATTAAAGAACATTCTGATGTCATTTCTTTGATAAAATGTCATCAGTTCCTCCCAAACTTCTCTTCTCCTCCTGGCCACTCACTTTTGGATCCTGTTTAGTTGTTTACACTGACTCTAAGAAAGGCTCTGTCAGGTGAATAAGTTAGGGGTTATTTTTCTATCCTCTTATACGTGAGGAACAGGCAGACTGTGGCAGAGTCAGGCAGGATTCTTGACTAGAGTTATTTCTATTGGACGATAATTTTGTAACCCTTTATTCTTCCCAGAGTTATCCAAGGTAAGGGTATTTATAAAAAAAAATTACTCACTAATTTTTTTACCATTCACTTTTAGTGTTAATTTAATATATGCCAATGTTTTATACATTATGGAGAACAACATAATTTTAGGTTGGCCAGGAAAAATCCTTTTTTTTATAGTTACAAATATGATTATAATGTGTATTAGAAGAAATACATATCCAGCAACCCCAAATCCATGATTCCATACCTATTATGCTTAGGATGAGGCAAGTTTAAAGTGTGAGTATATTTTAGGTTTATTTAAAGAAAAATTTAGTAAAAGTGGTACCCCAATCAAAAAAGTAATATATAATTGAACGAAAGTTTGGAAGCACTAGTTTTTTGTTTTTTTGAGGAAATGATAATTTTATTGGGATTGCTAGCTAACCACTTTGGCTCTGTAGGGACAATGCACCCATTTCAACAGATGCATATTTAAATATGGAAAGATAAAATGGCATGATGTGTGAGATTTACTTTTAAATACGTAAGCCAAAACAGACATAAAGTAAGCAAGAAAAAAAAGAAAAAATATTGTTAGATAAATCAAGTAGGTGAAGTGTTCAAGAAACTAGGTCAGTGGTACTGTGAGATGTCCTACATTCTGGAGTTGTCTCTGTTTTTTCCTGGCACTATTTATTTATTTATTTTAGTTTATTATTATACTCTAAGTTCTGGGATACCTGTGCAGAACGTACAGGTTTGTTACATAGGTATACAGGTGCCATGGTGGTTTGCTGCACCCATCAACCTGTCATCTACATTAGGTATTTCTCCTAATGCTATCCCTCCTCTAGCCCCCCGCCTTGACAGGCCCCTGTGTGTGATGCTCCCCTCCCTGTGCCCATATGTTCTCATTGTCTAACTTCCACTTATGAGTGAAAACATGTGGTGTTTGCTTTTCTGTTCCTGTGTTAGTTTGCTCAGAATGATGGTTTCCAGCTTCATCCATGTGCCTGCAAAGGACAAGAACTCATTCTTTTTATGGCTGCATAGTATTCCATGGTGTATATGTGCCACATTTTATTTATCCAGTCAATCATTGATGGACATTTGGGTTGGTTCCAAGTCTTTGCTTTTGTGAATAGTGCCACAATAAACATACGTGTGCGTGTGTCTTTATAGTAGAATGATTTATAATCCTTTAGGTATGTACCCAGAAATGGAATTGCTGGGTCAAATGGTATTTCTGGTTCTAGATCCTTGAGAAATCTCCACACTGTCTTCCACAATGGTTGAACTAGTTTACACTCCCACCAACAATGTAAAAGTGTTCCTATTTCTTCACATCCTCTCCAGCATCTATTGTTTCCTGACTTTTTAATGATCGCCATTTTAACTAGCCTGAGATGTTATCTCATGGTGGTTTTGATTTGCATTTCTCTAGTGACCAGTGATGATGAGCTTTTTATCATACGTTTGTTGACCGCATAAATGTCTTCTTTTGAAAAGTGTCTGTTCGTATCCTTTGCCCACTTTTTGATGGGGTTGTTTGTTTTTTTCTTGTAAATTTGTTTAAGTTCCTTATAGATTCTGGATATTAGCCCTTTATCAAATAGATAGATTGCAAAACTTTTCTCCCATTCTGTAGGTTGCCTGTTCACTCTGATGGTAGTTTCTTTTGCCGTACAGAAGCTCTTTAGTTTAATTGGATCCCATTTGTCAATTTTGGCTTTTGTTGCCATTGCTTTTGGTGTTTTACTCATGAAAACTTTGCCCATCCCTATGTCGTGAATGGTATTGCCTAGGTTTTCTTATAGGGTTTTTATGGTTTTAGTTCTAACATTTAAATCTTTAATCCATCTTCAGTTAATTTTTGTATAAGGTTTAAGGAAGGGGTCCAGTTTCAGCTTTCTGCATATGGCTAGCCAGTTTTCCCCAACACCATTTATTAAATAGGGAATCCTTTCCACATTGCTTGTTTTTGTCAGGACTGTCAAAGATCAGATAGTTGTAGATGTGTGGCATTATTTCTGAGGCCTCTGTTCTGTTCCCTTGGTCTATATATCTGTTTTGGTACCAGTACCATGCTGTTTTGGTTACTGTACCTTTGTAGTATAGTTTGAAGTCAGGTAGTGT
Organism: Homo sapiens; assembly: GCF_000001405.40. Taxonomy (NCBI): domain Eukaryota; kingdom Metazoa; phylum Chordata; class Mammalia; order Primates; family Hominidae; genus Homo; species Homo sapiens. The sequence goes on from NC_000002.12 coordinate 182,124,289, forward strand.
TATGCCTCCAGCTTTGTTTTTTTTTGTTTTTTTTTTTTGTTTTTTTTTTTGTTTTTTTTTTTTTGCTTAGGATTGTCTTGGCTATACAGGCTCTTTTTTTGGTTCCATATCAAGTTTAAAGTAGTTTTTTTCTAATTCTATGAAGAAAGTCAATGGGATCTTGATGGGAATAGCATTGAATCTATAAATTACTTTGGGCAGTATGGCCATTTTCATGATATTGACTCTTCCTATTCATGAGGATGGAATGTTTTTCCATTTGTTTGTGTCCTCTCTTATTTCCTTGAGCAGTGGTTTGTAGTTCTCCTTAGAGAGGTCCTTCACATCCCTCGTAAGTTGCATTCCTAGGTGTTTTACTATCTTTGTAGCAATTGTGAATGGGTGTTCACATGATTTTGCTCTCTGTTTGTCTATTATTGGTGTATAGGAATGCTTGTGATTTTTGCAAATTGATTTTGTATCCTGAGACTTCACTGAAGTTGCTTATCAGCTGAAAGAGTTTTTGGACTGAGATGATGGGATTTTCTAAATATATAATTGTGTCATCTGCAAACAGAGATAATTTGACTTCCCCTCTTCCTATTTTAATACCCTTTATCTTTCTCTTGCCTGATTGCCCTGGCCAGATCTTCCAATACTATGTTGAATAGGAGTGGTGAGAGGGGGCATCCTTGTCTTGCATAAGACAAAGTTTTCAAAGGGAATGGTAGAATTTTGCCCATTCAGTATGATATTGGCTGTGGATTTCTCATAAATAGCTCTTATTATTTTGAGATAAGTTCCATCAATACATAGTTTGTTGAGTGTTTTTAGCATGAAGGAGTGTTGAATTTTATCAAAGGCCTTTTTCTGCATCTATTGAGATAATTGTGTGCTTTTTGTCATTGGTTCTGTTTATGTGATGGATGATGTTTATTGATTTGTGTATGTTGAACCAGCCTTGCATCCTAGGGATGAAGCCAACTCAATCACAGTAGATAAGCTTTTTGCTGTGCTGCTGGATTCGGTTTGGCAGTATTTTATTGAGGGTTTTCACATCGATGTTCATCAGGTATATTGGCCTGAAATTTTCTTTTTTTGTTGTGTCTCTGCCAGGTTTCAGTATCATGATGATGCTAGCCTCATAAAATGAGTTAGGGAGGAGTCCCTCTTTTTCTATGTTTGGAATAGTTTTAGAAGGAAAGGTACCAGCTCCTCTTTGTACCTCTGGTAGAATTTGGCTGTGAATCCATCTGGTCCTGGGCTTTTTGGTTGGTAGGGTATTAATTACTGCCTCAATTTCAGAACTTGTTATTGCTCTATTCGGGGATTTGATTTCTTCCTAGTTTAGTCTTGGGAGAGTGTATATGTCCTGGAATTTATCCATTTCTTCTAGATTTTCTAGTTTATTTGTGTAGAGATGTTTATAGTATTTTCTGATGGTAGTTAATATTTTTGTGGGATCAGTGGTGATATCCCCTTTATAACTTTTTAATGTGTCTATTTGATTCTTCTCTCTTTTCTTCCTTATTAGTCTGGCTAGCAGTCTATCTATTTTGTTAATCTTTTCAAAGAAAATCTTTTCAAAGAAACAGCTCCTGGATTCATTGATTTTTTGAAGGGATTTTTGTGTCTCTATCTCCTTCACTTCTGCTCTGCTATTAGTTGTTTCTTGTCTTCTGCAAGCTTTTGAATTTGTTTGTTCTTGCTTCTCTACTTCTTTTAATTGTGATGTTAGGGTGTCAATTTTAGATCTTTCCCACTTTCTAATGTGGGCATTTAGGGAAGCACTGGTTTTAAATATTGTCATAGCAAACAACTTAAGTGTAAGTATTACAGAGTTCATTTAATTGTAATATAGATTTATGCATTCATAAATAAACCATATATATTGTATTTTTTTAAAAGTCTTTATATGTTTTTTTGGCCACTATCAAAAAGCAAACAGTTTAATTGCAAAATGAATAATAGAAAAAGCATGTCTACTTATGTTAAAGTGTCTATATACATATACAATTTTTAATATTTGCTTTCTCTGAGTAAGCAGAATGTAGAAGAAATGCCTTTACTTATTTTCTAACTCAGTGATTCCAAAAACCAGTCCTCAAAGCTCCATTAGTTGCATTAATTAATAAGAAATGTCTATGTTGCTGAAATGTCTATTTTGTCTATGTTAACAAAATTAAATTGTTAGATTTTATAACATCATAACATTTTGAAGAACTATATCAGAGAAGAGCTTTATAAAAATGCTAGGGGGAATGTTTGGTTTTAAATGACATTTTAAGTGAGTAAACATCTCACGTAATATGTGAGATGCAAACATCTCACATAATTCACACAGCAATGCAGCATTGTCCTGTAAATTCTGAAATAATCAACATGAATGATAGGTGCCTGATGACATTTTGTAAAGAGACTACCACTCAACCGTAGGTCTTTCCTTGACATTTATTTTGTGGACACAGACATTGTGTGTAGGGGTGCAGCCACTTCCCCTACTGAATATAATAATATATTTCATGCAGGCAATGGAGACTTGGTGTATAGAGGGAAGATGAACAAGAGACTGGATTAGAGAGAAAAGTAGGTAAAGGAGGGAATTTGTAACTTGGAGACAAGGGAAAAATTCTTGATGAAGTAAATTAAAATGATATTGGATTCATCTTTGTTTTTAATTTCTTACGCTATAAACATGACTTAACAGGGTTTTCCCTTTTCTCTGAATTTCAGTAACAATGAAGCTAATTCGAAGGAACGAACATAGTGAGAATCCCAGCAGTATATAAAATTACCATATTAGAATCCTGAAAGTAACAGAATATTAGAGTATATTCAGCAAATAATTCTTCAGACAAAGTGTTAACTTACAAGGCAGACAGTTACCAGAAGTCCAGCTGAACTTTGGTGACATAAACTTGTAAGGTTTGTGGAGCACATTACCATGACTTTGTTTTCAAGAGGTGAGAGCAGTCTAGAGGGGCTAGCATTTTCTGAGCTGGAAAATGAGTCACAGTTCTGGTCTATGGCCCTCATTTTACAGGTAGAAAAAGTGAGGCCTAGAGAATTTTTCTTCAAATTTACATTTAGAAAGTTCAAAATTGTGTCATGTAGAAAATTATTTGGCAGCAAATAAAAGAAAAACCAGCAAACAACGGTGTAGAGATATGTTTATGTCAAGTAATAAAATGTCTAGGACTGGAATAGTGAATCAAGACACCAACAAGCAACAGGCAATTTTCATTTTTCTCAACATTCTCAGAGTTGTAAACTCACATCTCAACCAAGCTGCTGCTCCAAGCATCTGGTCGGTCCAAGTAGAAAGAACAGTGGGAAGAAAAGGGGAAGAACCAATAACAAAGAAGCAAAACTTTTTTAGAAATCTTGAACTAATGTCTCGTAGGCCAGAACTGTGTCACCGGACTATCCCTTGATGCAACAGTGTTGGAGAAAGTAAATATTTTTAACCAGGTGCCTTGCCACATCCCAGCTAAATTAGGGTTCTCATAGTGAAAGTCAGCATAGGTATTTGTTGAACGTTCAGCAGTATCTGATTCCCAAGTGAACAGAGTTTTGGGATTTTCTTCTTCCTTAAGGCATTTAAATGAACCACAGACTATTCATATTTGTCAAGGAGTTAAAAATATTAACATTCTGTAGACATTTTTGCCAATTAAAAATGCATATATTAGGTAATACGGGCTGGATAGAACCAGTCAGATATTATTAACTGTTCTGTGCTGTTTTTCATAGGATTATTTGGTGAAGTTTTAAAAGGTATCCTTTACAAACACAAGACCAAAATTCTAGTTCATTATTCAATAAATATGTAGGAATACCTATGACATGCTAAACATTGTTTAAGTGCTGCTGATTCTAGGTATTAATAAGAAGTGAGAGTCCTTAAACTCATGGGTGTATATTTTAGTGTTTGAAGGCAGTCAAATACATGTAAACTAATAAAGTAATGAAATCATTTCTGATAATGATAAGTTTCTGGAAGGAAATAAAATGGTAATATTGCAAAAGGTAGCGTCTCCTTTTTATCAAAGCTGTGTGACATTGGGCAAGTCCCTTAACCACTCTAGAACTGAGTTTTCTGCTCGGTAAAACGTGGAGAATTATATAATAGAAGATCAGAGAATCTTGTCAGGGCCCCTCTGACTCTAAGATCTGTTTCTCCTTTCTAATTTTCTTTCAAGAACTGCAGGCAAGTTGTAAAGGAAAAAAGAAGAGATGAGAATAGACAGAAAGCAGCAGTATTATGAGAATATGGGCTCAGAAGAGAAATGATATCTGTGTGCTTGTATGACAGCCAACGGAATAAAATTGCTTGAGTTAGAAATGCATGAACACACATATGCATATGTATGTACGTATGTATATATGCATGTATGTATGTAATAAAATGAGCATTGTAACCAGTTGATTTTTGTCTTTTAAAACTTCCCTTTAGAAAATGACCTAAATAGTGACGATCAGTTTTTTTGCTTGTTGTTTGTTTTTAAAATTTAGAAGTTCTTCCAGGAAAACTTTCCTCTTACAAATCACTAATTGGATAATTGACTCTATCCTAGCATACAAGCTTTGTTGCTACTAAGTGCTGCATACCAGATTTTTCCCTTTACAGAGATTTACATGACATGGTATTAAATCCTCTGGAAAGTTTCCACTGTGTTCTGAAGTATTTTCTTTTTCTCCTCCAGGTGCAAAATGAGTTGATAACAACCAGAAGTTGACTTGTTAGTGCTGTGCTTCTACTCGAGCTTGGAAAAATCCCAACACAAAACAAACACCACCTCCGATTCCATCATGATGCCACGTTGCTTTCTACTGGATTACCTCCTGAAGCACTTTAGATATTTTATACATAAGTATTGACATGTTTTTCAGAAGCTGTTTCTTCACTTATTGCTTTTTTCTAATAATTTTTATTACACCATTTGCCAAGTCCTTCCCTTTGGTTTTAGTTTATTCCTCTCTACAACTAAAAAAGGGATCTTGAGTTTAGGTACATTTTAAGTGATTCATTTTTAGTTTTTCTAATTCTGGAATCTGAGCCTTCTCTTACAACAGGGAGTCTTTCAAAAACATTTTTTTGTTTCTTTTTCAAATTCCACTGTGTTTATTTATTGCCTTGTTTCTTTTTCAAATTCCATTGGTCTTGATTTAATTTAGTTCCACAGATTTTACTGATAGTCTACTACCTGCCAACTACTGAATTATGCAGCAGACTTATAAAAATAAAAAGGCTATTTTATTGTTATTGCCATCCTGCTAGTAAAGATTTATTCAATTATTTATAATTAATTAAGTGGCTTCACCTATATTTCTGTTAATAATCACATTAATTATGTATGACAGGTAGGATTTATGTTATAGATAAGAAAACTAGAGTCCAAAGAAAATAAGTGTCCCCAAATGAACCAATAATCCAACAAACGCTTCCACTAACTAGCTTCTGACCTGTTTGAGTTGTGATAGATTTTAGAATAAAAAAGCCTATCCTCCTTAGGAGCCATAGACTTTTATTCTTTCTTATACTGTCTTATATATTGACTTAGAGCTAAACTTCCTCCAATTCAGACATAAAGCATAGGCAGATACTTTTGCTAATGAGGCTAAGCTGGGAAGAAAACCCTGAGTTCTACTTTAATTCTTGGGCATTGACTTCAAACTAAGATGACTTATAAGAAATAAAAGAAGTAAATTTGAAACTTTAATAAAAAAAGTACATGGTTCATTTAAAAATGTTTCCTATGTCTAAATCTATATTTTAAAAATAACCTTTATCATGTAAAATGAGAGAATTGCTGAGTTTATGACAATCTTAGGTATAACCTTTTCTTAAAGAACAAGGCATCAATCTTTAATTTGTTTCCCTTTCTTGATTTCTCATAAGTTGCAAAATAAAAATAAAAATAATTTCACAAATTGTTCATTATTATTATCCTCCCTACTTGCCCCAGGATTTAAGTACTAACTTTTACTTCCTACTCTTAGACTTTGTATTGCCAAAGAAATAAAATATGAAAAAGCATAATCACCCAGACCTACCTGCGGAATTGTGGATTATGCTGTAGATATTAGATCATTGAAAGGAACAATATACTACTTAATGAGGAGCCAAAGACAACATTCTACCTGCTGCTCCCTTCAAGCTGAGGAATGAGTTTAATTGACTTCAAAGTCCCATTATTCTCAAAAGTAGCAAAGGTACAACATGGCTTTGCATGAATCAAAGGAAGGGAACAACAAGAACTTAAAAAAATAGTTTGCAGATGGTTGAACATCTCTTTAATAATTAGAGAAGAATATCTTTTCTTTCTTTATTGTTTACAGATACCAACATTTTTCAAAGCCTTGCAGTAGATGAGTGAGTCTCCTGTTACATTTCTCCTGCAGCATATATTCTGTGGATGTGTTTTCCTAAGCAGACTAATTATATGTTGCTCTCTTCTTTTACCCTAATGAAACATAGATTTTTCTGTTTTGAATTTGTCACTTGTTTGTTACATTTGTCAAGTGTTTTAAATATTACATTGGTCCTTTATTTGCTTTTGAGAACACCCAATAGTTTAAAAATTAAAATGACATGAAGGTCAATTCTAAGACAGGAATGATACTACTAAATCCTGGACTTGCCTATGATAACAAGCTCGAGCTACACACTTTTATTGTCAGAATAAATGGAATATATAGGAAGGAGTTAATTGGAACTGGTTAGTACCTAAATAAGATTTTTCAAAGTAAGTTTTTTGTCGTATTGGCAGAACAGTGTTAAAAAATAGACATTGTCATCATAAACACCCACAACTATATCTGTAGAAGATAATTTAATGCAATATTCTGGGGAAAATACAGTTGCCAAAATTAATCTCCTTGTTTTCTTTCATTGTGCAATGTGGAGTTAAATTTTTTTTCTATTGAGCAGTGTGTGTGTGTGTTTGTGTCTATAATTTATATATGTGCTTGTATACATTTCTATATACACATGTATGTGTATGCAAAATATGTATATATACACATATATATAAAATGTACACTAAATATGTATATATGTATATTCATAAAATGTTTTGCTGTATGGAAATAAAAAAGAAGGTTTCTAAAGGAAAGATAGAGAAGAAATTTAACCTGATTTCTATTAAATTAAGCACAGAGAAATAAAACTTTACTAAAGGGCCAGGTGCAGTGGCTCAAGCCTGTAATCCCAGCACTTTGTGAGGCCAAGGCTGGCAGATCACTTGAGGTCAGGTGTTTGAGAATAGCCTGGCCACATGGTGAAACCCTGTCTCTACTAAAAACACAAAAATTAGCCGGGCATGGTGGCATGTGCCTTTAGTCCCAGCTACTCAGGAGGCTGAGGCAGGAGAATTATTAGTCCCCAGGGTGGCTAGCAGGGCCTAGGGAAGCTGGAGATCCTGGGGTGACTGTCCCTGGCAGAGCTGGAGGTTGCAGTCACTGTCCCTGGAGTTGGAGGTTGCAGTGAGCCGATATCGCGCCACTGCACTCCAGCCTGGGTGACAGAGCGAGACTCCATCTCAAAACAAAACAAAACAAAAACAGAAAAACACTTTACTAAACAAATACCTCCCAAAGTTATAATTTCCATATTCTTGTCTGTTAGGGAGAAGCCAGGTGAGAACAGAGGAGGACATCCAGAGTAAACTGGACACAGTAACAGAGGTGAGGAGGTCCTCACAAAGGGTGCCTCCGGTGAAAAGAGAAAGATAGCCAGAGGGAGAGGACCCGAGGGAGGGCAAGGCCAGCTCCTTCCCTCTCCCTCTCTGGCCACACAACTTATTCTTAGCAGCTTCCTGTCCACTGCTGCTAAGTCATTTCCACATGAACGCGTCTTTTGCACCATGGCTATTTTCCTTTTGCCCCCATTTCTGTCTGAGGAAAGGTTTGATGGTGATTTCAGTGTTGACACACTCGACTTTTAGACTGCAGCTGACTTACCATGCTTGTTGAATGAGTCTGTTCCTCTCACATGGACAGTTTCCACTTATGAAAAGTCCCTTCCTTTTTCATTTCCTCTGCAGAAAGCTTGTTTTGCTAATGAGGAGTCCATGAAATTGGGGGAGTTTGCTGCTGTGTGTGTGTGTGTGTGTGTGTTTGTGTGTGTGTGTGTATGTGTATGTGTACATAGTTTTCCTCTTTGAGAAATTGCTATTGTTGCTTCTCAGTGCACCTGGATGTCTGAAGATATTTTTTATTTAACGAGCTGTCTAGGAAATACAAAGGTTACTGTTATTTTATCTTTATGTTGATATTTTTCTGTTTAATATTTGCATTAAAATTGTTCCCCCAAATAGAATATCTACATGATATAGCAACCAGTGAACAAATCAACATATCTACCTACACATATATATATAAATCTATATATTAATCTCTCTCTGTATCTAATTAATATATATGTATAATTTAGCCTTCCTCTCAAGCAAGGACATAAGTGGTAAATTAATGATAATATAATCTTTACTATGGAATGGCTGGTCTACTCTGCATGGAGCAACCTCTCCATCATGTGGACTTTTAAGATATTGCTACTAAAGTTAAAGCCATGCTATGCTCTTGAAACTGTAAATATCAATTAATTTTAAAAGAAAGGGGTGAAGCTCTAGGTAGGTTTTTATTTGTATAGCTCATATTATTTCTGTTTTTCTATGTGTCAGGTGATATTCTCAGCACCTTGTATAGAACATTTCACTTAATCATTCCAAAAGTACCTATTAGATAGGCACTTTAATTATTTCCATTTTATAGATGAAAAAATTTAGGCTTGTCCAAGACCACAGCACTGGTAAGTGACAAAGTGAAGTCCAAAATTGAACTGAAGGCCAAATTTCATGAGCTATCTTGGGTGAGATATTTCTTGCCTCAAGTCTTCCACATAAAATGTAACAAATTTAATGGTATCTGGATAAATACAAAATAATATTATTTTCTGTTCATCAAGGGCCAAAAAATGGGTCAGATACTGTCTGGACCCTTTAAATATTCTTTGTCATTATTTTACCATTCTATCAAAGTATTAATGGTTAAGAAATGTCTTCAGATTAGAAAATGTTACAGTTAGCAGCTACCAACCACCAATGACTAAGAATTAGTCATTATTGTTCTAAATCCTGTATGGTTCCCATTATTAATCGTCAAGGCTGTAGGAAATCAACTAGGAAATGTGAACTTTTCTTCTTAGCAAAGTTTAGGATTTGCTGTTATGAACATATCTCTACACCAGCAGACCCAACTCCCCAAGCATACAGACAAGAGAGAGATGAAGAGATCTTACTGTTTCTCTCACATAATTCAGGTTTGCTTTTAGTATGCTATTAAGAATTGATGCACTCCCCATTTGTCTGCTCTGAGAAAAAAAACATAAATGGCTTTTGGGATTTTGCAGATCTAAAGTGCTTGAAAAGTGGGTCTTATTTTGACTAAATTAACTGGAGATGTTATCTGAAAAGGACTGACTCAATCACATACCAAGCAGGACAAATAATAATACACTTTTCCTTCCTGCCTTCATTCATTTATTCACATCCATTTATTCCACAAATATTTACTGAACATTTACAGTGTGTAAAACTCAGTGCTTTTTTCCCTAAAAATCTAGCAGCAAGTGTATGACAGAGAGCTGCAATTCTTTCGCACAGAGGGATAGCAGATCAGTGTTCATCCAAAGAGGAGATGGAGTTCTGGTTAGAGGAATGAGAAGAGGCTTTGCAAGAGAGCAGGCAAATGCACAGATCCTTAGAGGAAGAAGGGACAGGGACAGGTAAAGATGACAAAGGGAGCAGCAAGACTCAGGTAGAAGAGGCACTCAGTGCAAAGGCATCAGGAACAGTGAATACTGTAATGAAGGCTAGACTGAAAATGGGCTGGGTTAGGCTGTGAGGGGCTTTGAAAATTATGCTAAGGAGTTTAAGCTTTACCTGCTGGCCAGTGGCTCTCAAAGTGAGATCCCCAGTCTACCAGCATTAGCTTTGCTTCAGGCCCATCCCAGAACTACTGAATCAGAGTCTCTGGGGATGGGGCTTAGACTTCTGTAGTTTAACAAACCCTTAAGGCCATGTTGATGCATGCTAAGGGTTGAGAACCAGTGCTGTAGCCAGGCCTTCCAAACGGATGTGTGTACTGGGAATGAGTGGCAGGTGTGCTGGAGATAGATAGTGACATTTGCAGTCCTCAGGGTGGCTAGCAGGGCCTGGAGAAGCTGGAGCTCCTGGGGTGACTGTCCCTGGCAGAAGCAGCCTCATTCTTTTTCCTAGGGTACCAAGTTCTTTGACCTGAAATAGTAGTGCTGTGCAGAGCAGGCCTGTGGGCCAAATTTGCCATGTAGCTGGTCTTTGCATGCTCTCTCCCCACCAGCTAAGAATAGTTTACACTTTTAAATGGTTGTGAAGGAGAAAAGGAAGAGAAAGGAGAAGGATCAGAAGAAACAGAAGGAGGAGGAGAAGAAAATGATGAAGGAGGAGGAGAAAGGAAAGGAGAAGAGGGGGAGGAGGAGCAGCAGGATGAGGGTGGTATAATGGTATGTGGCTTCCAAAGCCTAAAATATTTACTATCTGACCCTTTACAGAAAAATTTTGCTGACCTCTGATGTAGACAAGGAGAAATTGTTTTTAAGAAAAGGAGCAATATTTCCAAAGAATTCATTAGGGAGATTTAGCATAACAACTGTATACAGAAAAGACTAAGTAAAAAGAGCTGGAAAGAGAAGCCAAATGTTCAACACAGGTAAAGTGGTAAAGACTTAAAGAATGCAACGCTCTTTGATTAGAAAGAAGAAATGAGTCTATAATCCTTATAGAAATTATACGCTTTAAATTGACCCAAGCACAATGCCATGGCAAGGTTCTCAACAGCTGAAGAAATCATAGATTCTCTCAAGTTCAGCAATCTCTTGAAGTTTGGTTTAGTTTTGAAAGAGTAAAACGATGCTGAGGGCATGAACTCTGAAATCAGAATCCCAAGCCTGCATCTTCCAGGATGGAAGACCATGAATGCATTGCTTCTCCTAGCTTTGTCTCAGTCCTCCTCTCTATAAAATGGATATAACAGTAATATTTATCTCTTAGGATTGCTGTGAGAAATAAGTTGGTAGAGACACGAAACTTAGAACTTAGCAGACTTATGTAAGCACTCAATGAATTTTAGCGATTACATGTTCAGATATAAAAACTGTAATTACTTTTGCACCAACCTAATAGGTTTGCATCACATAGCCAGGAACAAATGCCAATATAAATGAACAAACAATAGCTAACACTAAGGTACATGAATCAACAGGCTCTAAGTTCCTTACCTCTATCAATATACTTACTTCTTGCAACAATCTTAAGAGGTAAACCCCGAAAGGCTTCAGGAATATATAGCTGCCTTCAACTTAACAAATTCAATCAAAAACAGTCAGGCTATGTTGTGTGCAAGCCGTGTTAGGCTATGGGAAAACAAAGTAACAAAACATAAACCCCTGACCCCATGGAATGTCTAGTCTACCTTGCAGACTAAGTGAAGAATGCTATGTAGATGCTATCTGTAACAACAACAAAATGGAGTTTGTTTACAAATAAGAGATTAAATGCATATTACTTTTGTAATCTGAGACAGATATCATTCAAACTATCATTTAAAAGGCGCTGTAGCTGTCACTTGCTTCTGTTTTTCAGTGGGAAAATTGTGATTTCAATGAGTGGAGCAGGAGTTAGAAAACAAGGAGTTTAGAAACTTGAAATCTCTAATTTACTTTATGTCTTTTTTTTTTTTTTTTTGAGATGGAGTCTTGCCCTGTCGCCCAGGCTGGAGTGCAATGGCGCTATCTCCTCTCACTGCAAACTCCACCTCCCGGGTTCAAATGATTCTCCTGCCTCAGCCTCCCGAGTAGCTGGGACTACAGGCACACACCACCAAGCCTGGCTAATTTTTGTATTTTTAGTAGAGACAGAGTTTCATCATCTTGGCTAGGCTGGTCTCAAACTCCTGACATCATGATCTGCCCACCGCAGCCTCTCAAAGTGCTGGGATTACAGGTGTGAGGCATTGTGCCCGTCTGAAATCTCTAATTTAATATTTCATCTGAAACCACCAAGTTTTTATATGCCCACACACACACTCATACACACAAACACACACACATACTAAGGTAAAATTGATTCATGCTTGATGCACAGGTATATTCTTAATTCTAAATAGACATTTTTATTTTCACTTGTTCATATGCATGTATGATATTATTCATCAGAAAATCAATTTTTAATAATGAACTCTAGTACACTTTAATACCTTTTAGAATGAGTACATTAAAAAGGACATATTTTATATCTATATTTAAGTAATAATTTAGAAATGCTAAGATGGAATGCCAATGAAGTTGAGGGTAAAAGTAAACATTTCATCAACATCCAAAGTCAAGGATTTTGAAAAAAAAATTTTTTTAAGGAGTATGTGATCTCTAAAAGATAATTTATAGGATCATATCTATAGAAAAAAAGTTTGACTTGGAAAAAAAATAGATTCCTGCTCTTCGTATAAACTCTCGCTCACTACAGATCATAATATTAATTTTTTCTTCCATACGTATGAGATCAGGAAGATTTTATATATATGTGTGTGTTTCTGTGTGTGTGTGTGTATACACTTCAGCTGTGTATTTCAAGATATAATATCAGTTAGTGGCTATTACTATTTACCTTCCAGAAGTTTATTAAACATGCCTTGGGTCACTCTGTTATCTTAAAATTTAAAATTACAGCACATAGATTAATACTACAGCCCCTCGATTTTGTACCTCCTCACAGGTTTAGTTCCCATTACCTTTGGAGCATCTGACTTCTGAATAGGTTGGTGCACGTCTACCTCTGTGCTCTGAAAGCAAGAAACACCTGAAAGCATGACATTGCCACATTAGTAGGGCTTTCTGAGCCTGGCTTTGCCTAGAGAAAAGCTGAATGTTGTGAGTTTTGTATTTATTTAATTTAGAAGTCCTTCAGTCAGGGGAGGTTCCTGAGAATCCTGTGCATGCTTCAGCCTCTTCAAGGTGCAAATCCAAAACAGAAAATAAGACACCCAAACAAGAAACAATTACACTGTTGGTTGGCTTATGATGGGATGTAAATACAGGACCCAAAAAGACAGAAAGTTGTACCATATGCAGAAAAATTTGCCCAACCAAATTCAGTTGCCCAAAGCCAATGCTTCTTCAGTAAACCAAAGAACAAATGTCGTCTCACACACTGCCCATCTTTTTCCTTTTCAGTTCTCCCTCATTCCTACTGCCTAAAACGAATCTTTTCTCACTGTGTGGCTCACCCCACAGTTTCAGATGGAATGAGGTCTCCCAGATACCCATCCTGCACACTCTCTGGGCTTATGTCACTGTGAAAATACACCCAGCTCCCTTTCCTTCTGTAAACCAATATCAGCTCCCTGTTTTCTTTTTGTTTTCCTTGGTATATTATGTTTCTGAATTCAGATGGCTTGCTGCTTCCAAAGTTAACACAAACCCTTTTCCTTCCACTCTAGGCTTGGCAATTAGCTCTAATGTTTAATGTCCTCTCCATCACCCTACCCCATACATTTCAAGCGTATTCTCCATAACTTTTTCTGTATTTTAAGGTTTTAAAAAAAGCTGACAGATAAGAGTGAAACACATCAAACTATGTTTTTAGGTTAACAGTTATGTATTTATCACTTGTGCAAGGTAAAGTTGCCTTTGTACGCTATATAATTCAATTGCAATATTTGATAGGCCAATGAAAACAGGATCAATCAACTATGTTAATGCCTCTTATGAAGAATTTTGCTTTCAAAGATTTTTTTTGCTCTAAAAGCCATATGGTCATGCTCACACATTTAATGTCTTTTTTCAAGTCTTAATGTCTTTCCTCCAAGTCCTCCTCTAATTATTTGTGTAAGGAACCACATTTCATCAATACAGATACATACACTTCATTAAATGACGCAAGAGCCTGAACCTTTAGCCTTTGTTCCATGACGTTTGCTGATAGATCTAAGGAAGGGTACAGTAGTCAAAAGTCACTTGTTAAGAACCTCTACTGTGAAGAAAAACAACCTTGTATTTAAGTGGCTAGTAGGTGCTTAGAATAGTATGTAATTACTGTCTAGAACAGTGATTTGTATAGAAATCACCTAGTTATCTTTGTAAAATGCCAATTCCAGTTTAATAGAAACCTGAGATTATTTTTAAGAAGTTCACAGGTGTGGACCACATTTTGAGTAGCAAGTGTAGAGTGAGGACCAGTGGTTACTTTTGAAAAGGACACTTTACAGTCATATATTAAGTATGGAAAATGGTTTCTCCCATCCACAAAAATAAAAGACACCTTTTCTACAGTAATACGTGGTTAAATTGGTCACCAAAGCACACACCGTCCTGCTGTTGGTCACTGAAAATTCTTCCCTCTCATAGTGATAGTTTTTAGGGACAAGAGCCTGCAAAATGGAACAAAGAGTAAAAAAGGAAGGTAATGAATATCATAAGCAGAAAAAAACATGACAGATCCTACTCCAGTGGCCAGAGGCAATCTAGCCTAGTGGTTTTGAGTCAGACTCCCTTAGACTTCAGATCTGGTTCCTCTACTTACTAGTTGCTTGACCTTACACAAATTATTTTACCTTCCTCTGCCACACTTCCTTACCTATAATAACGAATAATAATGCCTTACAGAGTAGTTGTAGGAAGTAAAAGAGATAATGTAAGAAAATAATATAATGCACTAGTATGACTACAATAAACTAAAACTACATGATTATACTCTTTAATTGTCAGAGATAAAAATATATCAACTGAGATGCAAAGGAAACTCTCCAACCTTCACACATATTAAGCAAATTACCTAGAAATTAATTAATGTTATTAAGGAATAAAAAGCCCCAACTAGAGCTTTAAACATAATGTTGGCCCATATATAGAAAATGTATCTTAAATATTTACAATTACCTCCAAAGAAATGATAAGATTAATGTAATAATGCAGGACATTATTAGGTGTTTGCTTTTTAGACTCTAAAATATACATTGTCTTTATTGTCCAGGACTTGTATTAAATGGTAGAGAAGGTTTGCCGTATTTAGAAAAACATTTAAACAGAGGACAGAAGGCTTAATATATTATTGCTTCCAAAGGAAATATGTGTTTTATATCTAAATTATATTTCTAAACATAAATATGGACTTTCATATTTAAAATATAGCCTTTGAAAGCTTTTTGATATTAGGTGGAAATTTATCATGTAATCATACTTAAAGTAAAAAATTCAGCTAAGTGTCACATATTTGATGACCAGTTAAGTGTTTACATCTTCTTCTGGAACTCATTGGCTTCATAGAGACACAGCCTAAGGTTTCACACATACCATGCCAGTTACTCTTAATTCAATTAATTGAGACTCACTGGGTCTTCACCTTGATTCAACACTCTTTGCTACTTTATTCTTCTCTGGTGTTGCCTTATTCACGTTGCTCTTCTTCACAGACCCTTTCCTTCTGCTGTGCTTCTGCCCAGCCCCACGTGGATGTTGTAGAAAGAAAACAAGGTGCCGGAGAAACACAGAACCAAATCCAGTGTGGAGTCTGCCAATGGAGACCTGCATGGCCAATGGAGACCTGCATGGCCTTGGACAAAGCTTTTTCTCTGAGACTTGGTTTCCTTTGTTCATATCAACACCACTTTACTGGATTACTGTGAGGATTTGAGATAATATTGTTAAGCATTGACATGGAGGCCACACATGGAAAATAGGCAATGTTTATAAACTTGTTTTTATTTACTAAATGCCAACTGATGCACCACTTAGTCCTGAAAGCTCTGAAGACAGAAGCAGTTTTTTACCTCCTCAAATATACATAGGTGCATTTTATTTGCAACTGGTTACTTTTTTATGTGGCATTCTAGTTATTAGGTATAAATTACAGTCTGTGTAGATTATCTCCTTTATAAGACTTGAAATTTCTAGAGGAAATATTGCCATATGCATATATGCACCATGCTTCCAGCCAGGAGCTTATGAATAATAGGTATAATAATAAGTAATTCAATCAGTATTTATTTAATGGAACAAAAAGCACTTTCTTACCAAACTCATATCAATTTTTAAGTTGGTCTCCTTTGGGTTTCCCCCAATTTCTCCAACTTTTCAATGCCTCACTAAATTGAATTGCATAAAACACCAAATGTTTCACAATGTTTTCCCTCAAATATGATTTATTTAGCAATCACATGTAATAAGAAACACAGAAAAATACAGCATAATAAAAACACAAGAATTGTAGGTTGTTATGTTAAAAATTAAATAAAAGAGGTTTCGGTTAAATGAAAAGGCATATAAACTGCAAGATATATATGTTGGGGAGCTGAGGTTAAAAATGCAAAGCAGGACATTCACGGTGCAACAGCCTAACCTATCAATCCCTCTCTTCAGATGGCCTCAACAGTAATGTTTGCAGAAAGACATGCACAGATAACCTCCACTCTGACTTTCTACTAATTAGTGCTCAGTAGTAGCTGTCTTACAGAGAGGAAAACAAAGGAAGGAATAAATATAAAAGCTTAAAAGAAAAAGAAAGAAAAGGAGGGAGTATAGCAGATAGAGAGAGATTAGGAAAATAAGTACAGCAGTAGCATGACAATACTTCTGAAGGAGTAAAACTTTTTTTTCTTTTTTTTTTTTTTACTGTCTCTGGAAGTTTGGTCACAGTGCTTTATAAGTCGCATAACCTGGAAAATTAGGTTAAAGCCCATATACAGAAATTGATGAATTCTTTATATTCCTCTACTTTTTAGTAATAAGGTCTTATAGATCTTAAAGTACTAATAGAAACAAAGTGGATATGCTTCCTATGACATTTAAGAAGTAGTATTTCTATTTACTTCTTTGAGAGATTCTATAGCTTTACTGAAAGACAACTGGCTCAAATAGGAACAATAGTAATTAGACTCCCCAGATAGATTCTATTTTAAATGCATGATATTTTCAAGCTGGTAAATAGCTTGCTTTAAAAAGACATTAAAAGCAGTAGTTACAGTCTCTCCATAAATAGAAATAAAAAGTCCATTTGAAAGGACAAAAAGTAACCATGATGTACATATCTATAAATGTTTTCCCCAGCACATTATTATAGATCAATCTTACTCCTTACATTTAAAAGATCAATTACCTCATAATGTCTATAATACAATTCAATTATTTAGCTGTGTTTTGCACAAGATTCAGGTGAAACTAAAGCTAAGGATCTATTCACAGAACAATTAAAAGCATTTATACAGCCTACATCCAAATATATCTTAAATTACAATGATGCATAATAAATATGCATATAGAATATGGCTTACACATTAAAAGAGATCTAAGTTGTGAGTTATAAAATCTCACCACTCAGGCTTAAAAGCTTCCAATTGTACCCTTTTCTAAAATATTGCTTAACATTGTGGAGCCCAGGAAGGAAGCAGATGCAGCAGAAAACTTGTTAGGATGCATGGATCCTCCTTTGCATGATTTAATTTATGGCTACTCCTGATTCTTTCCAGCCAATTTTTACCTTTCACAAAGATAAATTCACTGAAGCTCACAATCATTGCAATGCTTGTACAGTGAAAAGTTACAACATCTAATTGTGCTTGATCTTTCTTGTCAGCTAACAATGCATAAAGGTAGTTTTTCAGCTTTAAGCAAAGGAAAGACTTTGCACATGCTCAGGCAAAACATGACAAGGAAGCAGGGCCTCTGAGGGCTGCAGTTTGTTTCTGTGTAGTAAAATATAAAAGTCACATCAAATAATGTTATCTGTACAGAAAAGTGTGGGTTTTCATTTTCATAGACATTTTTGAACACACACACACACACACACACACACACACACACATTCTTGTCTCTTATCTCTTGGCTGGTAATATATTTTGTTACATTCTGATGGGATAAACATCCCGCTGGCAAATTTCATTTTCCATTCTAGTGTCTGTCTCCAGCAATGGTTGACGGTCTTGTTATCATGAACTGTAGATAGCATGTGACTTGCTTGTAACCACAACCATGGAGGTAATGCATTCGTGCTTTGAAACCATGGGGACGGACGCAGGCTGGTCCACGGGTTCAGAAAAAGGTTTCACTGCCATTTCCCAGTATGAGAGTTTACAAAGGTGTTCATCAGGTCACCTAGCTGGGGATCTAATGCTCCATTGTTGGACTGTAGCATTGCTCTGATGCTTCAACCAGCTCCTCAGCATCCCACCTGTCATTCTGTTCCCATGCATTTAAAATAAGAAGGACAATCTAAATAGTATATTCCCCAGCACAACAAAAAAAATTTTTCAATAATTTTGTTTTTGCTTCCTTTTATTTAAGACCTTGAAAAATTTATAGTTATAGCACTCTGTGTAAGACAGTGCAAGGAAGTAAATTTTAAAATACCTCATCTTCTGCACATGTATTGCACAGTCATTATGACAGGGTTCAAAGCAAGAAAAATTAAAAACTGTCTGACTTTTGTCTCAAAAATTTATCTGGCTTGATTGAAGAAGGCCAAATTGTGGAGGGAAAAAAATGGCAGAAGCACTGGCCAAAAACTCTGATAAAAACTTGAGTGTATTTATTTGGCCAGAGTTACTAGCTCAAAATTTATGTTCTTCTTAATTCCTTGTATAGGAGTCAATTAAAATGGCCCAATCCAATTCTATGTTGAAAGAAGAGCCATAGCTTTGTGGAAAGTTGAGAATTTAGGATGTTTTCATGCTGATTTCATTGTCCTGAAATAAAATCCAAATGAAAATATGGATCAGAGAAGAAAGAGTGGGAAGTGGTTGGGCGCATGCTAGTCAAAGAGTACAAAATTCCAGTTAGATAGGAGGAATCAGTTCAAGGGTCTACTGTAAAACATGGTTACTGTAGTTAAAAACCAATGGATCATATTCTTGAAAACTGCTGCTAAGAGAGATTTTAAATGTTCTCCCCACAAAAAGAGATGAGCATGTGAAGTAATGAATATGTTAATCAGCTTGATTTAGCCATTCCACAATTTCAAAAAAAAACATGTTGCACACCATTTTTATTTGTGAATTTAAAAATAAATAAATAAAAAGAAAAGAAAACATAGAAACTGAAGGTCATCACTTAGTCATACACAGGTATCAATTACTGTGTGGCAATTCACATTGCACTTTACATACCTTGTCAAAAATAAGGGCTTTCTTTTTTTAAAAAATTTTAATTAATTAATTTATTTTATTTTATTTGTTTTTTGGTGAGACGAGTCTCACTCTGTCGCCCAGGCTGGAGTGCAGTGGCGCCATCTCGGCTCACTGCAAGCTCCGCCTCCCGGGTTCACGCAATTCTCCTGCCTCAGCCTCCCGAGTAGCTGGGACTACAGGCGCCCGCCACTACGCCCGGCTAACTGTTTGTATTTTTAGTAGACACGGGGTTTCACCGTGTTAGCCAGGATGGTCTCGATCTCCTGATCTCATGATCCACCCACCTCGGCCTACCAAAGTGCTGGGATTACAGGCATGAGCCACCGCACCCGTCCTGGCTTTCTTTACTATCTTTCTAATAGATAGTGGTTTTACATCAGTTGGAATTTCTCTTCCTATTTCTGCTCTGGGTGTGTGTGCGTGTGTTTGTATGTGTGTGTGTTCAATTCCAGTAAAAACTCTGGTTCTCTAGATCAGATAGGCATACGGGCCTGTCAGGTAGTGTAAATGAGTTAAGTGGGCCAGTGTGAGTGTAAAACAACTAGACTCACAGGGACTGTAGTCAACTAAAGAACATAAGCCCTGCCTAAAGATATTCCAAAAGATATTTTAAATCAGTGTGAAAGTCCAGGCAAGTCTACTGACTAAATACAGCAACAAATGATCAATTTTGATCTCTTGTTGGATAGCACACTCAACGTTAAAGAGTAGACACCGGTCGTGATAGGGAACACTTTCCTCCCAGTGGGTAACAGGTCTGATAGTGGCTTGCTTTGGAAATGCCAGAAATTCCTGACATATCTTTCAAGAAAGATAATGTGATAAATGATATGCCATTAGCTTTTTAAATAATAAAGCAGCCTGGGATTATATATCCAACCATTCCATTTTATTTCCTTTAATAAACAAAAACACAAAAGAAAAATGTAAGCAAAACAAAACACTTTCGTGGTCTAAAATCTCCTAGAAATGATGGCGAAATTATACAACAATGTGAAAAGTAGATTTGAAGGGTTTCTTTCTTGTCCTAAGTGTAGTGTTGCACATTGATTTATGAAGTCTCAACACGGCACAGATTTAATTAGAGCTCAATATTTTCTGGGAAATTGCCTCACAGTGGGACCTACACATTGAGAACAAAGCAGGTAATGGCTTTCAGAGACATGGCCAGGCTGCGATAACATCTACACTTTCTGTGATGGCAGCCAGCAAAGAATTAGCTATCAGTCACAAAGAAGGTGTGCTAAATTTGCAACAGAAACCCTGCATGCCAAATCTGACCCTCAGATATATTTTTCTCTTGTCCACAAAACATTTCAAAAAACTTTGGGCCAATAGGAAAAATTGGAAGAGTTTACTTTAAGAACCTTTCTTAACCACTAGAAACAGCTGGCAACACTGGGCCCTTACTCTGCCAGAGTAAAAATCTGCCAGAGCCAAAGAGTGGCTGACTGTAGCCTTCAGATTGGGTGTGCTGTGTCCTCTCTGTTTCCAGGACTGATCACTGCCTGTTGTCTCCCAGACACCATGCCTGAGTCACAGTTGCCAATCGTCACCCCTCCTGTTGTTTTTAGACCTCACTCATTTCCCTCATTTAAAAGACCTACTTGTTTTGGGAAGCTATGTGAATTTCTGTCTGAAGTTTGAGTAAAGATATTCCAACAATTAAACTTTGCACCAATTAACTTTGACATAATTCCTTTAACATATACTGTAGGACTGTATCAACTCAGTTGCAGCAGAATTCTATTGAGGTTACATAATTAGTGAACATATAAAATTTATAAGGTGCTACTGAAGATCACATTTCCCAGAAGACTGTGCACCAAAGGCAGGGCTTTCTCAAACTGAGAAGGAAGCTAAATAATTTAACTGGCCTTGACAGAAAAAAAAAAATTGCCAAATCGTCTGCTCGGGCTTAAATATTATATTTACTTTGAGCGGGCCGCACACAAATGCAAAAAGGGGCCGGGTGCAGTGGCTCACGCCTGTAATCCTAACACTTTGGGAGGCCGAGGCAGACGGATTGCCTGAGCTCAGGAGTTCGAGACCAGCCTGGGCAACACGCTGAAACCCTGTCTCTACTAAAATACAAAAAAATTAGCCAGGCTTGGGGGTGGGTGCCTGTAGTCCCAGCTACTTGCGGGGCTGAGGCAGGAGGATTGCTTGAACCTGGGAGGCAGAGGTTGCAGTGAGCTGAGATTGTGCCACTGCACTCCAGCCTGGGCAACAGAGCGAGACTCGGTCTCCAAAAATAAAAAAAGAAAAATGCAAAAAGGTACTTCATATACAAGATGTTCACCACAGTGCCTGACACTTTATTGTTGCTATTCACAAAACTATTCTTATGAATAAAAGACAGTCTAACAACTAACTGTCTTTGTAACTCAAGAATATTGAGGAAGAAATTATTTTAAAAGCGAATCACATTTTAACACTTTCATATCTAAAGTAACAGCTGTGGAACTAATAATAACATCTCTAAGGTTTGGAATGGTACCCTCAGCATTTTCTCTTGCCCCAACCCACCACCCCCATAACAGGATGCGTTATAACACTTGGATTTTGTTCTTTACTTCTTCTTATTTTTAGTAGATATTAAGACATCTCCATTGTAAATACACATCCCTCCTTTCTAACTGCCCATATCTCCGCCATCGGTTCAAGACAGTGGTTCTCAATTTTAGTGGACAGAAATATCAACAGACTGGCTTATCAAAAATTCAAATTTTCAAGGCATCACTCCCAGAGTTAATAATTTGGTAGACTGAAAACAAGCCCTAGAAGCTGAATTTTTAAAAAGAGAACCATAGATGCACATGTTCACAGATTTTAAGGAACATGATATTTGCTTTATAATATGTACTTGCTTTGTTTTAATTACTGGGTATAAACATATTTTTACATGAAATAAAACAAGAAATCAGTCTAAAACATTTATATTTCTTACATGATGTGGAAAAAGAAATGAGGATTAAACATCCCCATGAACGTATTTATTATTGTTATTATTATTATTATTTTGAGATGGAGTCTTGCACTGTCACCCTGGCTGTAGTATAGTGGCCTGATCTCGCTCACTGCAACCTTTGCTTCCCAGGTTCAAGCAACTCTCCTGCCTCAGCCTCCCAAGTAGCTGGGATTACAGGTGCCTGCCACCACACCCAGCTAATTTTTTATATTTTTAGTAGAGACAGGATTTCACTATGTTGGCCGGGCTGGTCTCAAACTCCTGACCTTGTGATTTGCCCGCCTTGGCCTCGCAAAGTGCTGGAACTACAGGCATGAGCCACTGTGCCCGGCCATTTTTAAAATTATTTTTAAAGATTGAAAATTTCAGTTCCAGTAAATATAATTTTTGTTGATTAACAAATTAAGAACTATTTGAAAAGGTAAATATTTAAAGTTTACCTGTTAAGATTTTGTCTCAAAGGATTGATGATAGAGATTAAAAAAACTCTAGGAGGGCATTTAAATAAGAAAATTTCATCCATAATGGTATTCTGCAAACCATTTACTTTAGAAGTTAAGTTTCTGGTCTATAAAATAAAATTACCTCTCATGTTTAAAATGACAGAAGTCTTTAAGGTGTTTCGGGCCTATGAATGTGTCTCATCATGTTTTTCTTCAGCATTTACTAAGTCTTCTGAGTTCTTATGAAGATCAGATTCACCTAAAAATATAAGGAAACAAAAGCAAAACAAAACAAAATAAGGCTTTGGAAAAAACTAATAAGGTTAGGAGACTGAAGAACTTTATAAAATGTTGAAGACTGAATTTTACAATGGATTTTGTGGCACATTTTTTCAAAGACACCAAACATCTTCCTTTCAGCCTGTGGATCTACATAGTATAACAAGCTATCTTCTGTTGGTTACATAACTTTCTCAAGCTGTGATTTAATATGAAAATACAGAAATAAAATAGATGAAACATGTTTAAACATCTATTAAATCCCATGTAAAAAATCATGTTTTTTCTGAATATTTTTTAATTGGAACAAATTCCTTTAACTAAACCTTCTAATGATCAATGTTTTTTAACCATACATTGCTTAGTTGCTATGAATATTTAAAAATGAGTATGAAAGGATAGTAGTGTTTAAGATACCACCTGTCAAGACAAACTAGTCTTGGAATCACTCAGTTTCCATATAAACTTTCAAGAAAAATAAAATATTAGCATGGAAAAATCTTTCAACATTTCTGGAGAGGTTGTAGAGAATCTATGAAAATAGAAGTATAAAGCAGAATGTTTAGATGAAAGAGTCTTATTACATAAGCAACAA
Source organism: Homo sapiens (assembly GCF_000001405.40). NCBI lineage: Eukaryota > Metazoa > Chordata > Mammalia > Primates > Hominidae > Homo > Homo sapiens. The sequence goes on from NC_000002.12 coordinate 182,147,768, forward strand.
AGTAAACAAAATAAACAGAAATTAATTTTTGAGTCAATTACTTGAAATATCTTGAGAGTTCAGGAAATAGTCATATACAATGAAAGTTTCTTTCTGTCTGAAGTTTGAGTAAAGATATTCTAACAATTAAACTTTGCCCAATTAACTTTGTTATAATTCCTTTAACATATATTGTAGCATTGTATCAATTCAGTTGCAGCATATTTTTGTTGAGGTTATGTAATTAGTGGACATACAGAATTTATAAGGTGCTATTACAAAACAATTTTGTCTTTACGATATGGAGGGTTGGGACTTATCTTCTCAGCCAAGATCAAAATTTCAGGTAGTCTCATTACTTTCCTGATCATTCTTAGAGAACTAAAAACATCCTGTGATCACATTAAGTTGCCAAAATCTCAAATCAGACAATAGAAGGTCTGGTCTCATGTAATAAACATCGTCAAACAAAGATAAGACTCCTTTCCCACCTTGTTTGTTACAGAACCCAGAAATGTTGCCTGTGTGTGTGGAGGGGGGTGGGGTGTGTATGGTTGATGTTTCTCTCATTTCTTGCTTGCTCTCCCTCCACTGGCTACTTTGGACTCCTAAGCATGGGAGAGAAGAAAGCTAAGAGGAGCAGCAGTGTTGTAGGATGGCTTTGCACTCACTAGACCTGGCAGGCGTTTACAGCTGCCTTTATTTTCTGTGAGCACAGTCATGGGCTCTTAACAGAATTCTTGCCAAGGACCATGGCTTTTTACCAGGTTGGTAAGACCCATGAATCTCTGGCTTCTTTACAATGTCCACAGCCCCTGGAAATTTGCTGGTACATTTCCAGCTTCTGTCTGCTGAGGTCCCATCAGCTTTCCAAATGTGGGTGGGTACATTTGGTTCACATGACACACTCTTGAGGCATTTGTTTCCATGAATGACTGGAAGAAAAGCTGAAATCTACACAGCCGTCTCTCCTTTGGCTCACCTGCCACCATTTAACTCTTTAGATCTCTCAGGTAGGAACTAGATTCCATTCTCAATATCCTCTTAACTTCAATCTCTCCAAGGGTCTTGGTGAAGTTCTCCTCCCTTAATTTGAGGTGAAGAAGGAAGCATTTCTGCACATTTCCCAATAGCAGAGAAGTCTTTAAAGAAATCATCTTCATAAATCTTTTTTTTTTCAAGCTCAGTGACCTGAGCTTTTCATTTGTTTGAATTGGGAAAGGGTTTTATGCATCTTATTACTGAGTTTTGAACCTTCTTTGAAATTCTTGTCTCAAAAATCAGTTTTTTTCTGACATTTATCATGTTAGAGTCTTGGTTTAAATTCTGATTTAATATTCTGTTACTTAAGACTAGATTAGAACAGAACAGAACAGTCTAGAATAGAACAGAACATAGTAAAAAGAACAGACTGAATTACAAGAAAGAAATAGAAGTAATTAACTAATTCACTGGTTCTCAAAATTTTTTAGAGAACTTTTTATAATGGGTAAAGGCCATTACTAAGGTCATCCACCACCAAATTATTTATCTTATTTCTACTGAATAAAGAAATCAGCAGTAATAAAAGAGTAAAAGAAAAAGAAAGTAATCAAATGGCAACAAGGCAGCAATTATAAAAAATAACAAATCCCCAAATGATACACATATTATACCCAATAATAATTCTGTACATGTGATTAGCAACAATTAAAAACTATGATAAACTCAAGATAAGAGTTTCGTAGCACTGAAAAAGGGTCTTCCTTGAAAACTAAAATTCCAGCTCTTTTCAGGAGTAGACACGCAATTGCCAAGGAATTTCATGACAGCCAGATAGCAGAGTCCTCAGCAAATCCAAATTACATTATTTTAGTTGATAAATCTTTAGTTGTAGACGCCTTTACAATTAACTTGGGCAGTACTGCTTGTTAGTGACCCTTAGTACTTCATAAAAAAAGAAGTCATTCTGACATATCATTCTCCCATAAAGAGGAAACAATTTGCATTTTCAATCCATTAAAGATCATCTTAGATGACCTTTATGGCCCAAGAGTGTACCATATAAAGGCTTTGAGAAACACCCATATACCAAGGTTCCAAATGGTTTTGAATCATAGATCCCTCTTGTAGTCTGGTGAAGCCTATGGCCAGCTTTTCAAAGTACAATTTATAAATAAAATAAAACATATATGATTACTAAGAATTCTACTTAAAATACAGTTATCAACATATTTAAGTAAACCTAGTGATGTGCTATAGTGTTATATATGCTCCATTAATGCATTAAATTAAAAGGTCTAATTGAAGGTCTACCTATGTAGTTTTGAAATAGTGATATAAAATGATACTTCAAGGTCGCTACACTAAATATAAGTGTATAATAGGTATATAATAAATAGATATATAGTTCTATTGATGACAAAAATACCATAAATGTTGATGCGTATTCTTTCCTACAAATGAGGAGAATGATAAATTTCAGTTAAAGACTAGTAAAAAGAAATCCCTCTCTAAGTATTCTGACCCTCTCTATATAACTCTGGATTAAAACTTGATCTAGTCTAACTTCATTTTTCAGGCAAGAAATAGGTCCAGAATAATCGGTTGACTTTCTACAATGCAGATCATAAATAGATAACCTGAAGTCAAGACGGTTGGCTTTTAATTCACTGGTACTTCAAGAAGACCAGTAACGTCACTTTTGAATTTCATCTTACTGAAAGGATTTGCAATGTCATATATATAGAAAGCTGCTCATTAGGAATGAATGCAAGTGGTCTGTTCAAAGAAATTGCATATAAACTTGTTTGTCAGCCAGGAAAAACAGTGAAAATAAAGGAACATCAATAATTCTGTTCAGTTCAAAGAGTTTTAGGTGTTCATCTCAACCAGTTTCAAAAGTTCAAATCTAACAAAATAATTTGTAAAATGATAGAAATTTTATGGGTTTGGTTTGTAAATAGAGTCTCAATTCTTCAAGGAGCAGGGAGGGGATAGTTGTTATAGGAGAGACAGACTTACCAAAACCAACAGAAATCCTCTAAATTTAGCTAATCTAGGCTTTTAGATTGCAATTTAAGCTCACTTTTACCATATTAGAATCATAATGTGTTAGACTCATGGTGCTGTGAATAAGACTTGCAGGGAATTACACCAAACACACTATCAAGTGGATATTAGAGACTTTTGTCCTCCAGTCAGGGTCTCACTAACTATCTGAGAAATAACCTGTTAGGATAAATTATTATACAATTGAAAATATACCAATAATAATCAATACTTTGTGAACACCAACTAGGTGGCAGACACTATTCTAAGTGCTTCACTCACCTCACTTCCCTGAATCCTCACAGCAAACTTATTATTATTATTTTTTGAGACAAAGTTTTGCTCTTGTTGTCCAGGCTGGAGTGCAATGGTGCAATCTCAGCCCATTGCAACCTCCGCTTCCTGGGTTCAAGCGATTCTCCTGCTTCAGCCTCTCAAGTAGCTGGGACTATAGGCATCTGCCACCACACCCAGCTAATTTTTTTGTTTTTTGTTTTTTTGCATTTTTCATAGACACAGGTTTCACCATTTTGGCCAAGCTGGTCTTGAACTCCTGACCTTCAGGTGATCCACCTGCCTTGGCCTCCCAAAGTGCTGGGATTACAGGTGTGAGCCACCACGCCCTGCCCCCCTCACAGCAATCTTATAAAGTAAGGTTGAACAATTGTGGAAGCTGAGACATAGCTTGAAAACTATCTGCCCAAAGTCTTAAAGCCAGCAAGGGGCTGGATCCTCTGACAAAGGACAACCAGAATCTTGGCCTCTAGTTTGACTGTTTCCCAAGCTACAATCATGAGTAACCTACCCTCACCAATTCTGCTGTATTCATATGCCACCTGTCCTCTCGCTTACCTAATATTTTTCTTTAAATAGACTTTAAATATACTCCTTTAAAAATTAGTTTTGTTCTCAATAGTAATTTTCCTACCACAGAAATAAATTTGTTGTTCTTTTTGTATTTTTCTAATACCTCAAATCCATAATTAAAAGATCATTTCTCATGTAGATATAAAAAACAAAATGATTTAATAGCTTATTTTGCACTCGTTATTTTTGACTTATCTAGCCCAACAATCCCTGCATGTAAGTGGGAAAATCATCATTATGATTCTCATTTTAGAGATGAGAAAGACATGATTAGAGGGGTAGCTGACTATTCCAACGCAAAATAGCCTAGGTGAATTTGGGAGACAGAATCACAAGCTATTCCTCAGAGCAATGCCCCAGTTAATTTTTTAAATTTAACAGCAATAATAAATGGTGTTTGAAAAATACCACAAAATTGGTTTGTGCAGTCTTTTCAACAGAAATATTAGCTCTGAGTAACACTGCATTCTTATTTTTTCATAAGAAGAATATTACCTTTGCTATGTATAATAGTATTTCCTTAGGCATATCTCTAGGTTGCTTCAGCTTTACTTTTAGACCATTTATATAGTTTATGTTGCAGATAACTAGAATAAATTGGTGATCAAAGATTAAAGTTACAGTCATTGGAAAAATGTAATGTAGGATAAATCAGATATTCTGATTTTAATTGGTGTTTTGGCATCCATATAATGTAGTTTGCCTTACATGCTGGGATAAAGAAATCTATTTTAATACCAGGGGAAATACTTTCCCTATTTTTTTCCTCTTTTTTTTTTTTTTTTTTTTTTTTTGAGATGGAGTCTCGCTCTTGTTGCCCAGGCTGGAGTGCAATGGCATCATCTTGGCTCACTGCAACCTCTGCCTCCCAGGTTCAAGTGATTCTCCTGCCTCACCCTCCCAAGTAGCTGGGATTACAGGTACCTGCCACCAGGCCCAGCTAATTTTTGTATTTTTAGTAGAGACGGGGTTTCGCCATGTTGGCCAGGCTGGTCTTGAACTCCTGACCTCAGGTGATCCACCCGCCTCAGCCTCCCAAAGTGCTGGGATTACAGGTGTGAGCCACTGTGCCCAGCCTATTTTTTTCCTCTTAATTTTAATGCATTTGGAGAAGAAGCAGTTGTATGTGTTCGTTTACTTTGCAGTATGCGTGAAGGCAACAGTAAGAGAAGACAGGACTGCACACTAGGCAGAAGAAAAAGAAGGCTGTGAAAACAAAATTCCACTTAATTCCAAAATGTGCTAGCTCCAACCCTGTAAAATTAGAGCAAGTAATACCTTAAAGTGTTACATAAGACACAAATCAAGAAATAGGTAAATTATGTATTGGTTCATTAAAGAAAAACAGAAACATCTGATTTTGAGGAAAATACAACAATTTACTTTAGCAAGCTTTAGACTTACACCCAATGCATATGTGCTAGGCATCTAGATATGTAGAGAGTTTTACAGGTGATCTACGGAAAATGAAAAATTTATATGTATATTCATCTGCAAATCAGTGAAATTATACTCAACTTGGGGAAGCTAATACCTTGTCAGATAGCCAGAAATCTTAGTGTTTAAGTTACACTGAAATAGTTTAACAATGTGGGAGGTAGTTCAGCTGGCTCCTTGAAAGAGTTTTCTAAAATTGGGTCTGAAGGTTGTATATGTTTTGTTGGCACACAGGTAGGAGTATGCTGTTAGTGAAGGGATGAGGAGGTACGGTGGAGCCTGAGCAAAGGCAGAGGGTTGAAAAGAAAAATGATATGCCAGGAAAGAAATGAAGCCCAGCTGAGAAAACTACTGTGAGCTCCTACCCACTGGTTGAAGCAATTATTTCTCCATCAGAGTGTCATTCTTTTAGAGGAAGGCTCTGACACCTATTAAAATGTTATTATTCCTAGAAGGGAACTTTGTGACTGAATCGCAGATCTTCTTAAAAGAAAGCAGGCTCTGAGAGCAGGGAGATGATAAGAATGCACAGGCATTGATTGAAGGTAGAGAAGTTGGGGGTGGCAATGGAGAGAGAAGCTCTGGAGTGGTGAAGTTAAGACCATTCAAATCACACTTTATCTCTTGTAAAGAGTAGCAGGAATCAGCCATGGAAATGATCAGATTTGGCTCGTAGAGGCAAGTTGATGTGAAAGGCAACATGGGGCTGCTCTGATTTCTCAATTAGGATGAAAAATGGGGTGAAAATTGAGTCTGATGTTGGAGATACTGAAGGGTAGGAGGTTTGGAGGCAGGTAAGGGATGAGAAATTACTTAATGGGTATAATGTACACTATTCGGGTGATGGCTGCACTTGAGTGTGAGAGAAATGCCAAAAATTCACATATTCTTTATCTTTATAAATAGGACAAATTAACTGTAGAATATTGATTTTAACTATCTACCTAAGTGAGTTTCAAAAGCTAAAACTTGGAAAAAATAATCTGTAAAATGATGCAAACATTTTGGCTTTCCTTTAAATAATCTGAATAAACTATTCTGGTTGATTGAGTTTTCTTTGTAAAGCTGGATTAAGAAAACAAACAAACAACAACAACAACAAAACAAACTTCAATTGCCTTTAGTAAAAATGTCAATACATAAATCCATTTCTGTGCCTGAATGGAGAATGTTGAATATGATTGAATTTGTTTTGATGATGATAATCATGTAAAAACAAAAACAAAAAATCCTGAGGTGCATTGTTCTAAACATAAACCATTAATTTTCACTCTCCTATACATGTACACTAGATATATACGTGTCAAATAAACATGTATCATTCATCCTTATTATGAATGGCTCTAAGAAGTTGATATGGTTTAGCTGTGTCCCCACCCATATCTCACCTTGAACTTAATAATCCCCACGTGTGAAGGGCAGGGCCAGGTGAAGATAATTGAATCATGGGGGCAGTTTCCCCATACTGTTCTCACGGTAGTGAATAAGTCTCACGAGATCTGATGGTTTAATAAATGGGAGGTCTCCTGCTTCTTGCCTCTCTTGCCTGCCGCCATGTAAGCCACACCTTTGCTTCTCCTTTGCCTTCTGCCATGATTGTGATGCCTCCTCAGACATGTGGAGCCGTGAGTCCGTTAAACCTCTTTCTTTTATAAATTACCTAGTCTCAAGTACGTCTTTATTAGCAGTGTGAGAACAGACTACTACAGAAATCATTTAAAAAACAATTCTTAAATTTTCTGGTTTGTTACCATTTCTCAATTTACAAGTTAAAAAATTAATTGAAGGATCTACTTTCAATGTGGAATTTTATAACATAATACTACTACTAACAAATTATTTTTCAAGTTGCTTAACTTTAAGAATGTCAGAAAAAAACAAGGCATTCATATTATGTAATTTTACCACTTATCTGAAATCTCTCACCTATAATTTTTCATTGTTCTCTTTTTTTTTTAATGGGCCCAAACATGAATATAAAAAAATGTCCAATTTTAATTCTGCTTTTTTTTTTTTTTTTTTTAAGAGAGGGTCCCACTCTGGTTACCCAGGCTGGAGTGCAATGGTGCCATCATGGCTCACTGCAGCCTCCACCTCCTGGGCTCAGTTGATCCTCCCAACTTCAGACTCCCAAGTAGCTGGAACTACACAAGCACACCACCATGCCCAGGTACTTTTTTATATTTTCTGTAGAGATGGGGTTTCGTCATGTTGCCCAGGCTGGTCTTGAATTCCTGGACTCAAGCAATCTGCTCATCTCGGCCTCCAGTAGTGTTGGGATTACGGGCATGAGCCACCATGTCCAGCTGGGAAATTCTGGCTCTTTATGCAATAACCTTAAAATGATGTAATACACAACCACATTTATATTTTAAATTCTTCTATCTGACTAAATATGGACTAGATATATACATGTAGGATAAACATGTATAATTCATCTTTATAATGAATGGCTCTAGGAAATTGATATGGTTTGGCTGTGTCCCCACCTATATCTCACCTTGAACTATAATAAGCCCCACATGTCAGCCAGGTGCAGTGGCTCATGCCTGTAATCCCAGAACTTTGGGAGGCAGAGCCTGGTGGATCACCTGAGGCCGGGAGTTTGAGATCAGCCTGACCAACAAGGAGAAACCCCGTCTCTACTAAAAATACAGAAAATTAGCTGGGTGTTGTGACGCATGCCTGTAATCCCAGCTACTGGGGAGGCTGAGGCAGGAGAATTGCTTGAACCAGGGAGGCAGAGGTTGCAGTGAGCCGAGATTGCACCATTGCACTCCAGCCTGGGCAAAAAGAGAGAAACTCCGTCTCAATAATAATAATAATCCCCACAGCTCAAGGGCGGGGCCAGGTGAAGATAATTGAATCATGGTTGCAGTTTCTCCCATGCTGTTCTCATGGTAGTGAATAAGTCTCATGAGATCCAATGGTTTTATAAATGGGAACTCCCCTGCACAAGCTCTCTTGCCTGCCACCATGTAAGCCATGACTTTGCCATAATTGTGAGGCCTCACCAGCCATATCAATAATCTGTCTATATGTATTTTAGCATGAAGTGTTACTATAGCTCAAATTATCTAATCATAAGTTATCTGTGCAGGAAATAGCATAAGAGCATAACTTAGTAAGGAGGAATAACTTAAGTTTATAATTATTAAGAACAATATTAGTAGCAACAGTAAAAACAATAGTAAACATTCAGAAAATGCTTACTGTGTACCAAGCACTGTGCTTAGTGCTTCACATATTTTATCATCTTATCCTTTCAACACTTTTTTTTTTTTACCCAAGGTCATACACCATCTAAGTGACAGAGCTGGGCTTTCAACCCCAGAGCCATGAATTTTATTACTAAGTTGAAGAGTTTGGTAACATGGTGCTAAGGCTCTGACTCAAAGGGGAAAGTATCTATTGATTGGAAAGGGCGGGAGCATTCCTAGTCATCTGGAAAAGCACAACAGTGAAGTTTCCAGTTGGGAAATGTGGAGTAAACATGACATTTTTCATCTTCCTTCTCTAACAAGCTACTAGTATTTGAAATTCAGTTCTTCAGGGGTGGCTGAGTAGTGTGGTAGTAAGAAGTGTGAGCAGCATTTGTAAGAAATAAGATTATCTTTTTACTACTATTCTCTGTGATAAAACCAGCAGTAGAAGATAATCTAAAAAGAATCCAGCAGCAAGGCCTGCACAAGTCCTATACCCGTGGGGATTTCAAAGTAAAGGGCTGCTAATACTATAAAGGAGAAATAATAGACATTGGGACTCCAAGAATAATGAGAAGTTATTTTATTTAAAATCCAGTATAAATATATAACTGAAGTAAGTATCTATGCTTAAAAAATCAAAAGATGTAGAGGAGCACAAACCCTGTTATCATTTTTGTTTCGTTGAATTTTTTATTTTTTTATTATTATTATTATTTTATTTTATTTTATTTTATTTTTTTTTTTTTGAGACAGAGTCTTGCTCTGTCACCCAGGCTGGAGTGCAATGGTGCAATCTCGGCTCACTGCAACCTCCAGCTCCTGGGTTCAATCGATTCTCCTGGCTCAGCCTTCCCAGTAGCTGGGATTACAGGCACACGCCACCACGTCTGGATAATTTTTGTATTTTTAGTAGAGACAGGATTTCACCATGTTGGCCAGGCTGGTCTCAAACTCCTGACCTCAGGTGAACCACCTGCCTTGTCCTTCCGAAGTGCTGGGATTACAGGTGTGAGCCACTGTGACCAGCCTATTTTGATGAATTGTGACTCTCCATCCTGAAACACCATGGCTAAGCATCCATTGTAGATCTTAAAACTTCCCAAATTGTGCACACTTTGCATATTCAAACATAGCAAGAGCTATGAACTGTTTCTAACCTAGAGACTGCAAATATCACAAGTTTCTATAGACTCTAAGACCCAATTTTAGTGTTTATAATCAACAAACTCTTCAATGCAGAGGGCACTTCTTTGTATGAGTTTCCATCTAGGGAGGATGCGAGAAGAGTTAGGAAAGTAAGTTTCCTTTGATTTTTTTTCTCTTCGTTTTTTTCGTGGAGACTAAACCCACTTACAATCTTTACCAACCTAAATAATATTCACCATGTAAGTATCTGTTACAGAAGAACAAGTCATCAAATGCTGGTGGTATGCATAATCCAAAATTCTAGGAGTCTATAGATATCCCTGATGGTATTTTGTAAACACTGTTCAACAAATTTGTAAACTGAGTTGAATTGGAGCTACCAAATGCCCCCAGAAATAAATGTTTTTCCATCTCATCTTTTAGCTTGAAGCCACCAAATCTTTAAGAGGCTTTAGAGAGTTGGTAGTAGCTATGTTGATTGGGCCTAAGAATCAGCCAAGATAGAAATCAATTCCACATATTCAGCTATGCTTTAACCTGGGGTGAGAAAGTCTCTTGGCTTCTTACAAAAGTCTTTCCACGTTATTTCTTTCTCTGCTATGTACATGTCAATACCTAACTTTGGCTGGCTATGATGGGGGGTTATTTGATGGGATATGTGGAGAGAGCTAGCTTCATCTACTTAGAGTTTGTGAACGTAGTGGTGGAAGAAATTGCCTCCCTTGGATGTATATGCAAGTTGCTCCTATTGAAGTAAACTTGTAAATTCATGCTTTAAAATAAAAGCACTTTAAGCAATTAGTCACAAAGTACTTTATTGATCTACAACTTTCAGTCAGGATTATGAGAAGCAGTAGAATCTCTAATCTCTAAAGACTCATGTAACAGGTTAACTGTCCTGATGGAGGCAAACTTATTTAATATAAGTTGTGGGTGTTTTGTTATCTCTACATCAAATTACATCAAAACTATTCTCTTACTCTTGTTGTACTGCCTTTATTTGATGAAGTTTTTGTTTATTACTGATGTATTTGGGTTTCTCTGAATCAGCAGACATGCCTTCATATTTTATAGAAGTCTCATCTAAGATGGAAGGGTAATGTGGGAACACAGGAGCCTTCTGAATGAATCCCATGTCCAGAGTGATGAGTTAATATCTTTGAGTTGATATTAACTTGACTGAACTTCTATTGCTAACTCTACAAAAATTTCCTGACACGAATCAAAATTAGCGCATGGCTTCCAAGACCACTCACTACCCAGTTGTCTTGCTAAAGAATGGGCCTTGGTTATGTTTTGAAGATGACACTGTAATACACTTTGAACATCAGATTCTTGTAGGTTTTCACCATCTTCCCATGAAGACATACTGAATCCTACCTTAAGAGATCTTTTAGATCACTTTTCCTTTCCTTTTCACTTTGCATAATTTTTTTCTTTGGAGAAAGAACAAAATACAGAAATTAAATACATATGACAGAGATCAAATACTTTAGTTATACATTTTTTGCATAATTACTGGGAATTTCCTAGATTCCTATCATTAACAAGAGAAAGTTATATTAGCCAAAGTATAAATAGCAGTCCTAGAAGAAGTAAAATTAGGGAAGCTGAAGAGTTTGGGCTGTATACAGTCTAAATCTAGGCATATTTTAAGAGATAAAAATTAAAATGGTAAAAATCCCTTCAGGAAAGAATTGAATTGTCATAAACCAAGTTTACTGGATAAGCTAAAGTGTCCTCTTTTTGAGAAAATTTAGGTTTACAGAACCTTCTTTTTTAGAATCCTTCTTTCCCTCTAAAGGGTTCTGTGACAGGTATATGAAGTGGCAGAATCCTTAACAGAAAGTATTTAGATAAAGATGGTCCATTTATAACTATATAGAGTGAGCAGTTGTAGTAACCATTCAGAACAAGCTAATTCCATTGCTTGATTTACTCATCAGAAAACTGGATGGATTTGGGAGATATTTGGGGATAAACTTTATAGACTATCTTGATAGGTTAATTAAGAATGGAAAGGTGATAGAAATCACCTATCAAGATAATTCATCACACAGCAGTTCACTCGACTGATTGATGGACAGCGCCATTGCATGTTTTGTCATGAGTTAAGCATAATCTTATATATATCAAAATCATCTTAAGCAAGTAATACTTTTCCATAGCACACTTCTTTAAGGAAGCTTTCTATGAAATATCCATTCAGTCTCAAGGAACATATGTGAGCTGAGGAGAATAAGAATTAATGTAGGCCGAGTGCATTGGCTCTTGCACTTTGGGAGGCTGAGGAGAGAGGATCACTTGAGTCCAGGAGTTCAAGACCAGCCTGTGGAACATAGTGAGACCACATCTCTACAAAAGTGAAAATTTAGCCAGGCATGGTAGTGTGTGTCTGTAGTCCTAGCTATTCAGGAGACTGAGGCAGGAGGATTTCTTGAGCCCAGGAGTTTGAGGCTGCAGTGAGCTATGATTATGCCATTGCACTTCAGGCTGGGTGACACAGAGAAACCCTGTCTCAAATTAAAAAAAAGAATTATTGTAGAAAATGCCAAGTTCTAAACACTTTATATACATTGACTCATTTAATCCTCCTAACAGCTCTTGAGACAGAAACTATTTTTGTGATCCTCACTTTATAAATGAGCAAACTGAAACACAAAAAAGATTAAATCAATTGTCCAAGATTACATAACTAGTAAGTAAGGAACCAGAATTGAAAAAGATAGTCTAGTTCTAGAGTCCTGGATCCTAACTGTATATTATGCTCCCTCCCTGGGTGTAATGTACTGCCTTTTATGTTTTTGGCTTTTCTTAGTGTGATGATTAATTTTAGGTGTCAATTTGACTGGATTGAGGGCTGGTGAGGTACTGATTTTGGGTATGGCTGTGAGGGTATGTCCAGAAGAGATTGACCCATGAGTTAGTGAACTGGGCCACCCTCAATGTGGGCAGGCACCATCCAGTCAGTTAGGGATGTAGGTAAAGCAATGCAGGCAGGAAAAGGGAGACATTCGTCTTGCTCAGCTTTTTCTTTTGGCCTCTCTGTCTCTCTCTTCCTGAGTAGACACCTTTTTATCCTTTGCCCTTGGACACCAGACTCCAGGTTCTTTGACCCTTAAACTCTGAGATGCAGTAGCCACCTCCTGGGGCACTCTAAGGCCGTTAGCCTCAGACTGGGGCTGCATTCTTGGCCTCCTTGGTTTTGAGGCTTTCAGACTGAGATGGTCACACTACCGGCTTCTCTCAAAGCCACGCTACAAACTGCTTCTTCATCTTGCAGATGGCCTATCGTGGTGAGACTTTGCCTTTGTGACAGTGTGAGCCAATTTTCCCCAATAAATTCCCTTTCATGTATATTCTATTGGTTCTGTCCCCCTGGAGAACCCTAATACAGACACTGATGCCAGGAATGGTTCTAGAGGAACAGTATTCTTAAAAGGAATTTCCTTAATTGGTTTTGGGATTTCTGGAACTGACTTTATAATCTGATTAAACCTAAATAGTCTTTGGCGTGAACTGTTTATAGAGATACACAAAATAAAGGCACTTGATGCTTCTAATTCACCACTTTCAGGAGGTAAGGAGTTCAGTGACTATATGCATACCTTCCAACTCTGGTGGGAAACCAAGAAATGATAATGAAGTTAGTTGGGTGCTCTTAATATCACTGGACAAAGTGAGGAAAGAAAAAGATGAGCTCAGGGATTCCAACTCCCAGCTCCAGATGCATATACATACCCTAAAAATTTCTAAGTGTGTCCTGAAGGAGAAGGAGAATCTCCTCTTCTTTAGCCATGGGACTTAAACTGCTGAAAATCAAACACAAGCCTTCAGCATCCATCGGCTGAGTTACAAAGAAAGGTGAACTCTCAGCCTTTACTGGTATCTAGTGTTAAAGTGAGGACGTTGGTTGGGGAAAAAAAAAATGGAATTATCTAAATGGGGATGGAGATGTGTGGGATGATCCTGATGGGGGGCATTGAGCTCGTAAATTCTGAAGAGTATTTTTTGCCAAGGTGACTGTCCTCTCCACCTCCAGAGGCAGTGGCACCCCCACCCACAATGGTATCTCTTTTCCACCCCTCTCTGGGATTAACTGCATTGTCAGAAAAAAGAGTAATGGTCTCCCCTGCAGCAGTTGCCGGGCAAGACAATGCTGATTCTCCTTGAGACCCACCCCTACCACCCCTCTTTGCTTCTAAACCTGTAACTAGACTGAAATCCCAGAGGGGAGGTTCAGAGTGTGACCCACAAGGAGGTGCGCTATACTCCAAAAGAACTACTTGAGTGTTCTAACTGATACCAGCAGAAATCCAAGAAACATGCGTGGGAATGGATATTAAGGATGTGGGATTATGGTGGAAGAAACAAAGAATAAGGTCAAATTTATTGATATGAGCCCACTAAGCATATATTCTGCATTTAATATTGAAGCTCAAGGAGTGAAAACAGGCACTATAAGTTTATTTGGCTGACTGGCTGAAACATGGATCAAAAAATAGACCACCCCAGGAGTGAGCTGGGGATGCCTGATCTACCTTGGTTTCATTTAGAGGAGGGAATTAAAAGGCTTAAGGAAATTGGAATGATACAGTGGACTTGTCACATAAAACCTACTCCCCCACACTGGGAGGGTCCAGAAGATACACCTTTCACTAATATTTTAAGAAATAAATTTGTGAGGGGAGCACCAGCATCCTTAAAGATCTCTGTGATTGCTCTTCTCTGCATTCCAGAACTTATAGTGGGAACTACAATCACTCAATTAGAAAACAAATGCAATGGGAATAATTGGATCCCTGGGTGGCAGGAGCCAAGCGATGGCACTCAAATGTCAAAGGCAAGGTGGGCGTAGTTACTGGAATTAACAGCAGAGGCAAAGCAACAATCAGAATAATCTGACTTGTGTAGACCTCCAGCACTGGCTAATTAATCATGATGTTCCTAGAAGTAAAATAGATGGGAAGCTTACTATGCTCTTACTTGAACTGTAGAAGCACAAAATTTCTGGGTCAAGTGAAGAAAAGTCTAACTCAAATCTTGACAACAGGGAATCACTGCCCCTCAATCAATTTCTAGACTTGAGCCAGTTTACAGACCCAGAGCCCTTTAAGTGAAGGGGAGACCAGGTCCTGTTGAGGAAAGACTCTGGTGCACTACATAAAATTTATACTGTTAATCTTTCTCTTATACTTCCCCAAAGGGACCTCTGGCCTTGTATCAGGGAAAGGAAAATAATCAGGCTTTTCAGGGATGACTGGCCACTGGCTCTGAACTGACATTGATCCCAAGAGACTGAAAACATCACTGTGGCCCTCCAGTTATAGTAGAGGTTAGGGGAGTCAGGTGATTCATGGAGCTTTAGCTCAGGTCCAGTGGTCCCCGAACCCATAAGGTAGTTATTTCCCCAGTTCAAAATGCATTATTGAAATAGACAGACTTAGCAGCAGACAGAATCCCCACATTGGTTCCCTAACTAGTGGGTGAAGATTATTATGATAGGAAAGGCCAAATGGAAGCTATTAGAACTGCCTGTACCTAAGACAATAGTAAATAGAAAACAAGGTAGCATTCTTGAAGGGTTTGCAGAGACTAGTGCAACCATCAAGGACTTGACAGATGCAGAGGTGGTGATTTTCACCATGTCCCCATTCAACTCTCCTATTTGGCTTGTACAGAAGACAGATGGATCCTGGAGAATGGCAATGGCTTATTGTAAGCTTACCCAAGTCGTGACTCTAATTGCAACTGCTACACCCAATGTAGTTTCATTCTTGAACACATTAACACATCTGGTGCCTGTTATGCAGCTATTGTTCTGGTAAATGCTTTTTCTCCATACCTGTCCATAAGGCCCACCAGAAGCAATTTGATTCACTGGCAAGGCCAGCAATATACCTTTGCCCTCCTACCTCAGGGGTATACCAACCCTTCAGCCCTATGTCATAATCTATTTTGCAGGGATCCTGATTGCTTTTCCCTTCCACAAGCTATCACCCTGTTCACTTCATTGATGATATTATGTTAATTGGACCTAGTGAGCAAGAAGTAACAACCACTGTGGATTTATTGGCAAGACATGTGCATTGTCAGGGGGCAGGAAATAAATCCAACTAAACTTCAGGGGCCTTCCATTTCAGTGAAATTTCTAAGGGTCCAGTGGTGCAGGGCCTGTGGAGATAACCCTTCTAAAGTAAAGAGTTGTTGCATCTGGCCCCTCCTATAACTGAGAAAGAAGCACAATTCCTAGTGGACCTATTTGGATTATAAAGGCGACATATTTGGGTGTGTTACCCTAGCCCATTTACTGGGTGACACAAAAAACTGCTAGTTATGAGTGGGGCACAGAACAGGAAAAGACTGCAACAAGTCCAGGCTGCTATGCAAGCTGCTCTGCCACTTGGGCCATGTGACCCAAGAGCTCCAATGGTCCTTGCTGTATCAGTGGCAGATAGGTATGCTGTTTGGAGTCTTTGGCAGGGCCCTACAGGTGAATCACAATAGAGGTCTTTAGGATTCTGGAATGAGGCCTGGCATCATCTGCAGATAACTACTCTCCTTTTGCGAGGTAGCTCTTGACCTGCTACTAGGCCTTAGTAAAAGCTGAATGCTTGGCCTTGGGCCAGCAAATTACCATGTGACCTGAACTACCTACCATTAACTGGGTGTTATTTGGCCCATTAAGCCATAAAGTTGGGGAGACACAGCAGTATTCTATCGTCACATGGTAGTGGTATACACACGATCAGGCTGAAGCAGGTCCTGAAGGCACAAGTAAGTTACATGAAGAAGCCCAAATGCCCATAGTCCTCACTCCTTCTACACTGCCTCCTCTCTCCCAGTTTGTACTATGCCTTCATGGGGAGTTCCCTACAATCAGTTGACAGAGGACAAGAATACATGGTCCAATGGTTTGGCTGGATGGTCAAGGACTTGGAAGGAACATAATTGGAATATTGGTAACACAGAAATTTGGGGAAGAGTTATGTGTATAGACCTCTCTGAGTGGGCAAAAAATATAAAAATATTTGTGTTCCATATGAATACTCACCAAAAGGTGACCTCAGCAGAGGAGGGTGTTAATAATCAAGTGAATAAGATGACCCATTCTGTGGATACCAGTCAGCCTCCTCCTCAGCTACCATTGTCATTGCCCAGTGAACTCATGAACAAAGTGACCATGGTGGTAGGGATAGAGGTGATTCATGGGCTCAGCAACATGGGCTTCCACTCACCAAGAGTGATCTGGCTACTGCCTCGCCATAGACTGAGCACTCACAGACCAATAGTGAGCCCTAATATGGCACCATTCCCCAGGGCAGATTGATTCCATTAGACTACTTCCATCACAGAAGGGGCAGCATTTTGTCCTTACTGGCATAGACACTTAGTATGGATATGGATTTGTCTTCCCTGCATACAATGCTATTGCCAAAACTACCATCTGTAAACTTATGTAATGACTTATTCACTGCCATCCTATTCCACACAGCATTGTTTCTGACCCAGGAATTCACTTCACAGGGAAAAAGTGCAGCAATCAGCTCATGCTCATAGAATTCACTGGTCTTAGCATGTTTCCCATTCTCCTGAAGAAGCTGGCTTCTACAGTACCAGCTAGGTGACAATATTTTACAGGGCTGAGATAGATTTCTCCAGAAGGTTGTATATGTTCTGAATCAGCATCCAATATATGGTACTGTTTCTCCCATAGCCAGGAGTCATAGGTCCAGGAATCAATAGGTAGAAATGGAAGTGGAACTACTTATCATCACCTCTAGTGACCCACTAGCAAAATTTTTTCTCACTGTTTCTGCAACATTATGTTCTTCTGGCCTAGTTCTGCAGTGAACTTTGTTTCAGAGGGAGGCATGCTTCTACTAGGAGACACAAAAATGATTCAACTGAACTGGGAATTAAAACTGTGACCCGGCTGCTTTGGGTTCCTCATGATTCTTGAGTCAACAGGCTAAAAAGGGAGTTAGGGTGTTGGCTAGGGTGATTCATCTAGGCTACTAAGGGCGATTGATTGGCCTACTGTTCCACAATGGAGATAAAGAATAGTATTTCTGGAATACAGAAGGTTCCTTAGAGCAACTATTAGTATTACCCTGTCCTGTGATGAAGGTCAATGGGAAACTACAACCACTCAATATAGGCTGACTATGAATTGCCCAGACTCTTCAGGAATGAAGGTTTGGGTCACCTTGCCAGGCAAAGAACCATGACCAGCTGAGGTGCTTACTGAAGGCAATACAGAATACAGAATGGGTAGTAGAAGACATGTATAAATACCATATACAGCCATGTGGCCAGATACAGAAATGAGGATTGTAATTTTTATAAGTATTTCCTATTTTGTTAAGAATACATTTGTATGTATATTAACATGTCTTAAGCAAGTATCTTTGTTTTCTCTTTTTCCTTTATCATGTAACATAAGATTTATTGACTTAATATCAGCATTTGAATACTGTTAATTTTATATCAGATTTGAGTTGCAGGAGATCAGAAGAGTAAACCACACTCATGAACTTTATCCTTTCTTCTGAGGATGGGATTAGTACACGTTGGCTTGTAAACAGGATAGTTTCACCATGTTGGACAGAATTATGACCTTTTTATAGTCTTCATCTGGAGATTAGGTGTGGTTTAAAGAGGTGCATAATGGGTGCCAAGCTGGCAAGGGGTAGACTTGTGATGGGTAATTTTAGGTACCAACTTGACTGGATTGAGGGATGCCTAGATGGCTGGTGAAGCATTGTTTTGGGGTGTGCCTAGGTGACTGTTTCCAGAGAAGATTAACCCATGAGTCAGTGGGCTGAGAGAGAAAAAGACCTACCCTGAATATGGGCGGGCACCATCCAATCAGCTGGGGGAGCAGCTGGGACAAAGCAGGTAGAAAAAGGGAGACACTCAGCTTGCTCTGGCTTTCTCTCTTTCCCTTTCTGAGTAGGAAACTTCCATCACAGAAGGGGCTGTTTATCCTCCTTCCCTTGGACATTCAGCTCCAGGTTCTCAACCTTTGGACCCTGAGACTTGTACCAACAGCCTCCCGGGAAGGGGGTGGTCTAAGGCCTTTGGCCTCAGGCTGGGGCTCCACTGTTAACTTTCCTGGTTTCTCGGCTTTTGCATTTGGACTGAGCCAAGCCACCAGCTTTTCTGGCTCTCCAGCTTGCAGATGGCCCATCATGGGACTTTGCCTTTATGACTGCATGAGGCAATTCTCCCTAATAAATTTCACTTCACATGTATTTCTTATTGTTTCTGTCCCTCTGGAGAACCTTGACTAATCTGATGATATTTTATAGCCAAGTTTTCCACCTCCTGTGTGAAGGCAAGGTGAGATAGATGAAATAAATATACTTATTTGTGAAAATACATTATTCAATACTGGACATCAGCCATTCTTAGCTAATTAATTATTGGAGTGCTTCTACTAGTCTAGCAGAGTTAACTATTAAGTAAACTGATAACAGTAAAAGATGATGTAGGAAAGCAGCTCTTAAAAACCAGACTTTTTCCAAAAAGAAATAACTTAGCTAACCTTAAACTGAATTATGTAGAAAACAAGTCAATTTCAAATCCAACAAAAACAGTACAGTAAACCGTTCATGTTCTGAGAGACCAAAATAAATACCCACTTATTAACTAAGATGAACCCTAAGGTTAATGAAACAAAAGTTACTTCCAGGTTGAGTGTTGAGAGCTTGACTGTCATGGAAACTTCCTAAATTCCTACGGCTATAAGAAAAACCACATTCTTGGTAAACTCCCTAACAATAGGAGATATCAGAAAAATTGCAGACCCTTCCTAACTGATTTATAGCCCACACCACTACAACTTTAAGAAGACTGAGGGCCAATCTTACAAACATTCTTTACTGAGAAGTAACTAAAGATCTCAAGCCAGTTTTGGCCAGCTTACAGAGACTGTCCACAAACTTTGTATCCTATGTTTCTTTAAAAGAAAGAGCCAAATTCCTCCTCATTTTAATGCTAAATCCCCACCGCAAAATGAACATGGGATGTACATTACATATATGTTTACCCATTAGGCATGTGCTTGACTCTGCTCATAAATATGTATAGCTTTTTCCCCAAACCTGCTAAATATGTATGCCTCTATTGTGTAATAGACTCTGTGAGGCATAAAAACCCAACTACCCTTTCCCTCTTCGAAGAGAGAGCATCTTTGGTACACACTGGAGACTGTCTCTTCCCAATTTGCAAACTGATATTGCCAGTAAAACTCACCTTTCTACTATTTGGACAACCTGGTGGGTTTTTGGATGATACATTTCATCCCTGCCATTCACTCTCACTATAATATAAACATGTTTTCAAAGATATCTATCCCTTAGGACAAATGGTAGAATTAATGTAAAAGATAATTTTTTTTTTTAATTTGCACTACATTTTTGACGTTTAGAAAAGGGACAATCTAAGGTGAAAACAGGTGGACCAAGCTTTATTGTAGAAATGACAAAATTAGCAATTAGCTGCTCAAAGAAAATTTATTGGCACTCGGTAAAGACAAATGCCACAAAATGCCATTGAAACAGATATCTGAAAGCACAAGGTGCTGATGTAGCCACTAGATGAATCTGTTCGGTAGCAGTTGAGCCCGGTGAATTAAGGAGTTTACAGCTGTTATTTATGTGGCTCATGATGCTTATTGAGCAATCTGCAAAAATAGATTTCCTGTCTCACACAGGACAGGGTAGATTTCCAGCAAGCATAATCAAAATCTCCAAGTCTTTTGGTCAAATTAGAGCTGCCACCATGCACGAGGTTTTACTTAAAGGTGTTTACTGATGAATAAACTCACACTTCTGTGAACTGGTTCTTGCTTCTGAAAAAAAAAAAAGCGTACTTATTTTAATAATTTAGAGAAAATGCTGTAAAGAAGTTATGAAAAAAAGTAATTCTCATTTATAATCAGCCATGATTGTAAAAAATTACTGTCGTAAAATTATGAAGAGAAACATAATTGGCATATTTTCCTTAATTTTTAATATACTTTGCTTTTGCTATTGAAACTTTTGTGATTCTTGTATTCATCAGTGGTGATCTTAAGATGATTCATTTTTCTTTATAACTCAACTTATTTTTTACTCTACTTGAATTGTTGCCTGGATTCCTATGGAGTCCAACTCTAGTTGTTATCAACTAGAGCAGACACTCTCAGAATCTAATGAGAGATTATCTTGAAACCTATTAATATTGTCTGCTAACAAATAGTATGCAATGCAAATATTTGGATGTAGAATTTTATTATGTAAAGAAATGATATTCTATCTGTGATTTATTTTCAAAATAAAAAAGAATAAAATCATGTTTCCTTTTCCTTTATCCACAGAAAATATCTTTCTCTTATTAAAAAATGTTGAAATATGCTAACAACAACAACAAAATTTCTGATTGAATTACAGACCGGAAGGGCTAATGCTGTCACATAGGTTATAACACGATTTTCAGGTGGAATTGTGCTCTATCATTCCTTAATCTCCTGAAATGGCATCAAGGAAATTATTAAGTCTTGTGTGCATGTGTGTGTAAGTGTATGTGTGTGTATATCTGACAAGTTATAATCATGCGCAATATAATGCTATTTTTTATAATTTAATATAAATATCATAAATAATTTCTTTAACTCATAAGCATTTGGTAAACTCATAAGCATTAAGATGAACTATAGAAGGACAATTTTGGCTACATATGGGTTTTAGAACAATTCTAAACTCATTGAAATTAGGTTTCTTCTCTTTACTATTTACCAGACTTTACATTGATTCCATCTCCAGTTTAGTAGAGTTATGGAAATACAGTTTTAAGGAAAGAATATTGTACATTGAAAAAAACATACTGAAACATAAATGCTGAAAGTTATACCATAAGAATTAGCTATATTTATTTATTTGCACACAAATGTGGCATGGATTTTGTATATCAACACAATAAATGTCATAAGCTCTGAGTGATACAACTAAAATAATAGTAAAGGCAGTATTGGCTAAAATTATTGATCACAACAATGAGATATGACACACAGAAAGAAAAAAAATCTATAATACTCAATAAGGACCATCTGCTAGGGTTCCTGTTAAACAAATGGGAGGGACAAAATGCATACCTTGGATGAAGAGGATTGGTGGAGTCTTCTGGAAATAACTTCTAATATCCTGACTGTATCTAACTATGAGTAAACATCTAAGAGTTACTCCAAGACAGATGAGCTTCACAGACCACCCCTACTTTCAAATTTAGTAAAGAGTACATCATCTGATAATTCATCTTCCTACCAACCCAGATCCTTTCTTGTCCTAGTCCTGCCCCTCTTGGGAAAACATTTTATCATCACCAAGCCAGCTAATAATCTCTATGGGAATGCAGGCATGCTCCCTCTACCTTCCTTCTTACTTTTGTTGTCCATGCAAATACAGTGGACAGGAGACACACACACACACACACACACACACACACGCACACACACACACACACTCTCCCTCTCTCTCTTTCTCTTTCATACACACACACACACACACACACTCACACACACAATATTACTTAAAATATCCTTAAGTTATGCTGCTGTCAGAATCCTTCCATCAGTAGATTTTGAGCACACTTTTTGCTCTGGAGGGAAGTTTAGAGAATTTAACTAAACCAACCCATCATAATTAACTTCTAGAACATGATACAGGTTACTGGTTTTGAATTTGGGCAAAATAGATGAAAAGCCCCGCCTTTTCAAAAATTAGTTTTGTGACGTTAGACAAATAATTTAGTTTCTCTGAGTGAGCTTCACTTTTGTCAGACTAAAATTCTTTCCTTGTAGAGTTAGCTGTAATTTTTTTTGTATAGATGGTCAATGGGTGAATAAATGATAAAAAATTTCACTCCCAAATTCATAACTTTCAACATTTAAAAATAAAAATATCTGTGAGATATAACTAATCTTATGAGCACATTTGTAAGCTCATTGGATAAATTGTGCTAAGATTAAACAGAAGTAGATTTGATGAAGCAATTATGCTAGTCTTTGGGGTAAGGTTTCACAGGAAATTCTTTCCTCTTTCTGTCTGTACTCCTACCGCATAGCTATACCATATAATTTTCTGTGTGCTATATGAAACCGTGAAAAGAAATGAGAAAGTTAGATTCATTTGTAATACATGTATACACCTGTGATGCTGGAGACTTACTTCGCTGCCTTAGACCTAAGTTCTCACCTTGGATTTAGATATGATAATATCTAAATTGTAGGGTTATTTGTCTGACTAAACAGGATAGTGATTGTAATAAAACTCAGTGTATTTCCTGGAACATAAAGATGTAGTTAGTAGAATATGAATCTACATTTGATTTGGCATTAATACCAACATAATTACAAAGATTATTTACCATACATAATACAAAATATTGCATCTTAAGATGTTTCAAATATAAACAATATATAAAGTTTAATTAGTGAACTATGATAATATATTAAAATACTATGTTAATCATAAGGCAAATTTGATCTTTTAATAATGTTAATACTTTCCCACCAATTTTAAATGTTTCTCTTACTTCTAGTGAAAAACACTTCTAGTTTTGTTTTTAAATTTTTTAACCAGTGATATAAAACCTATTCCCATTTTTTTGTTTCCTACTGAGAAAATGTATGAGCTTTTCTAGCAAAAACATAATTTAAATAAACCGTAAAATGTTAAAAATATAAGCAACCATCTAACTCAGTAACTCGTGATATTTTCTAATTACAAATGTAGGTCATAGGTACAGTGATTAACATTTTGAAAAATGTCCTGAGGGTAATGAGGAAATTAAGTTTTTATAGGAATTCTAATGAAATTGAAAATAACAGACAAACCATGATCAACCCAGACAATATGCAGTATTGCATATTATGTATGGTACGTGATTTTTGTTTGAAGAACTATAGACGTCATTTTAGGGAAACCATCAGGCTTTTGCTTTGTTGAATTGATTAATCTTTTGATCAGAACTAAATTGTTCTGAAAAATTGGGAGTATTTTAGAAGCAGAATGAGAAGAGAGATAGATAGAGACCTGGAATCAAGAGGAACGGAAGCCTATAGGTTTTGGAGAGAGAGGAGATGAGTGGTAACAAAAGAAGGGATTTCTGTTCTTCAAGGTGTAAGGTTAAGACAACAGAGCTTCCAATAATTTGGAAGTATTTTCAGCACTTGGAGCGGGGCTAATTATTGGGGGTATATAACAAAGTCTTGAGTCTGTCCTTGGTGTGAGCATTACACATGAACCCAGTCAAATTCTGGTCACACATCAAACTGCTACTAGATGAGAGCGGCACCAGAATGAGAGAACTGTCTCTGAGAGCTGTTCCATACCTTGTATCCAAAGACTTAGCTTACTCTGCCCCATCATCTCTGTTCGACAGTGCAACATCCAACCCAATACTCCCTTCCCCATTATTACCTCTACTTCCCAAATTTCCACACTTCCTGTCCCAGAGTTTTCAGAAGCCACAAAACTCCCATGAACTCTTGCATGCATTACTCATATTGCAAAGTACAATTAGAGCAAGTGACTAGGTTTGAGGTATCAGAAAGCATAGCAAATGCAGACATAAAACATGAGGAGAAACTTTTGGGGAACAACCCTTACATTTAGTTTGCCCTTTTGTGATTTATCAGATTTTTAAGGTCATTTAGCTAACAAACAAAAACATACTACAAAATAGTGGGTAATACTATTTCATTTATGTGGACTCACCATTAATATCAGACTTCCACAAAGTGGAGCAAACTTTCTTCTAATCAACACTGACAGAGCTCTTACCTAGCCCTGAGTAGGAGACACCAGAAATCTGATGCTGAACAGCCCATGAGTTCTGCTCTCAAGAAAAAAAGATGATAGGCATTTGTTTGCACTGGTACACAGGGGGTCTCTGTAAATATTTTTGTAATGACTTAATTAGTGGTTCTCAACCTTTTATCAAAATCCATAGTTTTTACATTTGTAACATACTCCAATCATATCTCATAATACACAGTGGTTCTCATTGCATAGAGAAATGATGCACACACCCAAAGCAGAATGCCAGAACCTCGATAAGGCATGTGTAGTTAAATGTCCTCTCCACCTCCACTCTTACTAGAACTCTAATTTGGGTAGGCCTCCTGCAAATGCATTTCTCACTTCTTATTTTGAGAACGCAAGGTAGAATATGATAAGCAGTCTAACTACACTACAGTATGAAAGAGACAGCTATGTTTATAAAACTAAATGATAGGCTTCTTGGAGAAGATGGCATTTTAATTGAATCTTGGAAGACAGGATTTTAATAAGCAGAATGGAGGAGAAGGCCCAGGAAGAGCATTCTATGAGGAGGGAAGAACAAAACCAAAGGTAGAGAGATAGGAAAACATAGGCGTAGCTAGACTTCGAGTTGTGTGAAGAGTAACCTTAAGTTCCAGGACCAGTCATGACCTTGTCCACTGATCTTCCCAGGAGTAGAGAGCAAACATTCCAGGGTACAACAGTATGAACCAAGATCTAGATATCATGTGGGATAGACACAATGGAACTATCCCATCCCTAGGTGAATATAACTACGAAGGTTCCCATTGCCATTTCCTGACTTCAGCCTGCCAAGGTGAAGCTGGCTCAGATTTAGATCTGTACTTGGCTTGTCCTGACCATGAGCTGGTATTTCCTGCTCTTCCCCTACATGTCCTGTTGCACTGATTTAAATGCACAAAAGTGTTCTACCTAGACCTTCCTCTGTGAACTGGAGAAAGGGCATGTTGAACTTTAAAAAAATCAAGTAGTCCAGATGATGCTGATAGGCTGCCCAGGTTGAAAACTTTTGAGTTGTACCTTTGTAATAAAGGAATGAGTGAATGAATGGATAACACACAAGCACACACCATTCAAACAATTATTTAAGCTCTTCTAGGGTTAAGTGACTCTGAATATCACTTCTTAGAACTTCATGATTCTTACCTTCTGAAAGTTCCACTCTATCAAATGCATACTCCTGCTCTATTGTACTGCTAACATGATATAGAACATGATCTGAAGACAAAGCTGAAGAGGTTAAATTGGAAATAGGAACAATAAAGGAAATATATAATATAATAATTTAATTTACTAATAATTTAAAATATATAAAATTACTAACATGATCTCATTTAAACTTCTAATTACATTTTGAACCATAATTAGAGAGAGAATGATAGCAAGCTCTAGTTTTTATTTCTGAAAGACTTTGTTTTCCTCTGATTATTTGTCCCTTTTGAAATCTAAAATGTACATGTATATTCTCTCAGAATTGCTTAGGATTCAGTCCTGGGAACTTAGAAGTTATAATGTAAAGTGAACTGTGCTTTACATGAAGGGTTTTGATTGAATTAAAAAGATAGTGGAAAGGAATAGCAAATATTTTAAGAACACATACCTTATAAATACAACTTTTTAAAGTAATTCAATACAAAGTAACATTGACATGTTTTCGTTACTTTCAAAAAATCAATTTTTACTTTCTCTAAGCAACAGATATGGAAGAGTGAGGCCCACTGGTGAGTACTAATAGGCATTGCTGGCAAATAAAAACATGTGCTCAGAAAGCTTACAGAGACCCGTGAGATAAAACTACAGATAAATACCACAGGGGAATGTAGGTCTTTGAGAGTCACTGCTCTGTAACTAGTTGGGGTGGGGTGCCAAGGCTAACACTGCTATTCATTCTCCCTGAGCAGCTTGTTATCTAGCAGTCCTAAAGGCGATTTGAAAATATTCACTGAAAAAGCCTCTCTAAGTGTCCACAGAATCAGAGCTTGGGAATGGAGCCTGAAGCCATTCAGCCTTATTTCCTGATGACGTCCATGGACGCAGACCTAGGTTTTTCACAGAGAAGCAAAGGAGGAATATAAAGGTGGTACTCAGATAGATTACTTATTTATTGTTCCAATAACAACTTTTTCACATGCTCTGAAACCGAAAGGAAGACTTGGCTTGATTCAAACTGTGATACTTTTCAGAAGGAGCAAGAGAAACTCTGAGAGTCAATCAGGGGAGGGTAAAACAACTGTTTCTTGCATTTATTTGTAAAGTTCTCTGCATTACACACTGAACAAAAAGAAGGGCAAATTCACTATTCATACTCTGTTACAGTCCTCAAGTTTTTAAGCTGGCTTGTATAATCCTTTAAGTATTTTCTGGGAAGAAATAGTGTAAATAATTCAATTAACACCTTAAGATTGTCCTACACGTTGCATAAAACAGAACAGGTTATCTCATTTGTTTTTTATTTATTTTATTTTATTTTATTTTTATTATACTTTAAGTTCTGGGATACATGTGCAGAATGTGTAGGTTTGTTACAGAGGTACACACGTGTCGTGGGGGTTTGCTGCACCCATCAACCCGTCATCTACATTAGATATTTCTCCTAATGCTATTCCTCCCCTAGCTCCCCACCCTCTGACAGGCCCTGGTGTATGATGTTCCCTTCCCTGTGTCCATGTGTTCTCATTATTCAAGTCCCACTTATAAGTAAGAACATGTTGTATTTGGTTTTCTGTTCCTGTGTTAGTTTGCTGAGAATGATGGTTTCCAGCTTCATCCATGTCCCTGCCAAGGACATGAACTCATCCTTTTTAATGGCTGCATAGTATTCCATGGTGTATACATGCCACATTTTCTTTATCCAGTCTATCATTGATGAGCATTTGGGTTGGTTCCAAGTCTTTGCTATTGTGAACAGTGCTGCAATAAACATACGTGTGTATGTATCTTTATAGTAGAATGATTTATAATCCTTTGGGTACATACCACTGTCTTCCACAATGGTTGAACTAATTTACCCTCCCACCAACAGTGTAAAAGCATTCCTATTTCTCCACATCCTCTCCAGTATCTGTTATTTCCTGACTTTTTAATGATTGCCATTCTAACTGGTGTGAGATGGTATCTCATTGTGGTTTTGATTTGCATTTCTCTGATGGCCAGTGATGGTGAGCATTTTTTCATGTGTTTTTTGGCTGCATAAATGTCTTCTTTTGAGAAGTGTCTGTTCATGTCCTTTGCCCACTTTTTGATGGGGTTGTTTGTTTTTTTCTTGTAAATTTGTTTGAGTTCATTGTAGATTCTGGATATTAGCCCTTTGTCAGATGAGTAGGTTGCGAAAATTTTCTCCCATTTTGTAGGTTGCCTGTTCACTCTGATGGTAGTTTCTTTTGCTGTGCAGAAGCTCTTTAGTTTAATTAGATCCCATTTGTCAATTTTGTCTTTTGTTGCCATTGCTTTTGGTGTTTTAGACATGAAGTCCTTGCCCATGCCTATGTCCTGAATGGTAATGCCTAGGTTTTCTTCTAGGGTTTTTATGGTTTTAGGTCTAACGTTTAAGTCTTTAATCCATCTTGAATTGATTTTTGTATAAGGTGTAAGGAAGGCATCCAGTTTCAGCTTTCTACATATGGCTAGCCAGTTTTCCCAGCACCATTTATTAAATAGGGAATCCTTTCCCCATTGCTTGTTTTTCTCAGGTTTGTCAAAGATCAGATAGTTGTAGATATGCGGCGTTATTTCTGAGGGCTGTGTTCTGTTCCATTGATCTATATCTCTGTTTTGGTACCAGTACCATGCTATTTTGGTTACTGTAGCCTTGTAGTATAGTTTGAAGTCAGGTAGTGTGATGCCTCCAGCTTTGTTCTTTTGGCTTAGGATTGACTTGGCGATGCGGGCTCTTTTTTGGTTCCATAGGAACTTTAAAGTAGTTTTTTCCAATTCTGTGAAGAAAGTCATTGGTAGCTTGATGGGGATGGCATTGAATCTGTAAATTACCTTGGGCAGTATGGCCATTTTCACGATATTGATTTTTCCTACCCATGAGCATGGAATGTTCTTCCATTTGTTTGTATCCTCTTTTATTTCCTTGAGCAGTGGTTTGTAGTTCCCTTTGAAGAGGTCCTTCACATCCCTTGTAAGTTGGATTCCTAGGTATTTTATTCTCTTTGAAGCAATTGTGAATGGGAGTTCACTCATGATTTGGCTCTCTGTTTGTCTGTTGTTGGTGTATAAGAATGCTTGTGATTTTTGTACATTGATTTTGTATCCTGAGACTTTGCTGAAGTTGCTTATCAGCTTAAGGAGATTTTGGGCTGTGACCATGGGGTTTTCTAGATATACAATCATGTCGTCTGCAAACAGGGACAATTTGACTTCCTCTTTTCCTAATTGAATACCCTTTATTTCCTTCTCCTGCCTAATTGCCCTGGCCAGAACTTCCAACACTATGTTGAATAGGAGTGGTGAGAGAGGGCATCCCTGTCTTGTGCCAGTTTTCAAAGGGAATGCTTCCAGTTTTTGCCCATTCAGTGTGATATTGGCTGTGGGTTTGTCATAGATAGCTCTTATTATTTTGAAATACGTCCCATCAATACCTAATTTATTGAGAGTTTTTAGCATGAAGAGTTGTTGAATTTTGTCAAAGGCTTTTTCTGCATCTATTGAGATAATCATGTGGTTTTTGTCTTTGGCTCTGTTTATATGCTGGATTACATTTATTGATTTGCGTATATTGAACCAGCCTTGCATCCCAGGGATGAAGCCCACTTGATCATGGTGGATACGCTTTTTGATGTGCTGCTGGATTCGTTTTGCCAGTATTTTATTGAGGATTTTTGCATCAATGTTCATCAAGGATATTGGTCTAAAATTCTCTTTTTTTGTTGTGTCTCTGCCTGGCTTTGGTATCAGAATGATGCTGGCCTCATAAAATGAGTTATGGAGGATTCCCTCTTTTTCTATTGATTGGAATAGTTTCGGAAGGAATGGCACCAGTTTCTCCTTGTACCTCTGGTAGAATTCGGCTGTGAATCCATCTGGTCCTGGACTCTTTTTGGTTGGTAAGCTATTGATTATTGCCACAATTTCAGATCCTGTTATTGGTCTATTCAGAGATTCAACTTCTTCCTGGTTTAGTCTTGGGAGAGTGTATGTGTCAAGGAATTTATCCATTTCTTCTAGATTTTCTAGCTTATTTGCATAGAGGTGTTTGTAGTATTCTCCAACACCATTTATTAAATAGGGAATCCTTTCCCTATTGCTTGTTTTGGTGAGGGTTGTCAAAGATCAGATGGTTGTAGATGTGTGGCATTATTTCTGGGGCCTCTGTTCTGTTCCATTGGTCTATATATCTGTTTTGGTACCGGTACCATGCTATTTTGGTTACTGTAGCCTTGTAGTATAGTTTGAAGTCATGTAGCATGATGCCTCCAGCTTTGTTCTTTCATTTGGATTTCCCCATAATAAAAAAATGTCTTTTTTGTTGCTCAGTTTCCTCCTGAAATATGTCTTTGACATTACTAACCATACTGAAACACCTCAATGGATATAAAATTATGGATTTAATTTGTGTCACATGATTCAGTTCCATCACATTAAATCACTTAAATTCAAAGAAAAAAATAAGCTTCTAATCTTTCTTTTTCTGTAAAGTGAGGAAACATACTTGATAAATGTTCTTTGAATAATAGTATTTTAAATACACTTAATTTAGTAATCAAATATTGTTTTTCATTTCTCTTCTGAAACAACTACAAAAGCTTATTTTGTGTGTCTCGATGAGCTGATACAGTGAATCATTAGCTGATCTGGTTTTGTTTCTACTTGTTTGTTATAACAGGCTCATGCCTATTTAGACAAGGAGACACAGGGGTTGTTACTAAGCTACCCCAAAAACAAAGGCATCTATCCTTTGTCTTCAAATTCAAAAGCCACATCCATGCATGGCTAAAAGGTTTTTGGAAAATACTTAATCAAGTTCTACCTTCCCACCCATACTTCCAGAGGAGATCCAGGTTTCTCACTCCCTGGACATGGATCTAGGTTTTCCCTAAGAGAAGCAAAAAGGGGTATGAAGGTGCCATTCAAATTGGAGGAGGGAAAAGCTTAACTCCTTACCCTTCCAGTGACATATTTTTCACCCCCTATGAAACCAAAAGTAAGGTGTAAGGGAGAAAAGAGTTGGAAGATTCAAGAGACTTAGACAGTTATAGTCTGAGACGGGACCTGCTCTCTGAATTTGGCCATCCCTGTGCATTTTGAGTTATTTCCGAGGGAAAAACAAGAAAGAATTCTGAGAAAAAGTCAGGGATCCAGGGGTTAGAGAAGATCTTTGTCATGTTCCCTTATCCAGCATTCTGAACAAGGTGGGTGTTCTCAGCATGCAAGGAATAGAGGAGGGGTGGCTGTGTAGAATGTCAGGACAGGAGAGCCTGAGAGAGCGCCTGCAGTATTCAGTCAACCCCAGTGACTCTGATGTGAAGACCAGCCTGTCCTTCAGCCCTGAGAAGTACAATGAGAAGGAGAAGAAAAGAGAGCAAGCAAGCTGTGGCAAGCAAAGATGTGGGGGCCTGCCGTGGGAAAGCAAGGGGTCAGAGTCAGAAGGTGATACCAGCCAAAAACCAATGGGGGCTGTCTGTCTGGAAAGATGAGAGAGAGGCCAGAGGTCAAGCAAGAACCTGATGCTCATCTGAAATCCATTAATACCACAACATTAGTCCCCAGGGACTGCAATGCCATCTAAAGAAGGAGGAAAGAGAGGTCAGAAACCCTGGATTGACCAGGCTTACTCTGATTCAGTCAAAACACTTAAATGATAAGCTTATATTTTCTTCAAACAGGTAGCATGAGGACATAGCTAGAAACTATGTTTGGTCACAGAGAAATAATGAAGGGTATATTATTTATGCACCTGATTTGTGGCCTAAGGATATGATATGTACAGACTTAAACAAAACACTAATATTTAAAAAGTATCTGCACAGTATTTGGATTTTTTTTTCTGTCTCATGTTTTCTGCAAGATCCAGAAAACTCCTGCTGAAACAGAACAACATTTGTGTTGTCATGGATAAATTTTAAAAAGCATCTTGTTGAGTGGAAAGCAATTCACAAAGGAATGTATATGGCACAGTTCCATTTATATTGTTTTAAAACAGACAAAACTAAATTATACATTGTTTAAAATTATACAAAGAGGGATAACAGCTTAAAAAAAGAATGATTATCACAAAATTCAAAACAATAATTAGCTCATGGGTGGGAGAGAAGGAAATAAATGATTAGAGAAGGCATAGAGAGAATTCCAA
The DNA here is from genome assembly GCF_000001405.40 of Homo sapiens. Lineage (NCBI taxonomy): Eukaryota > Metazoa > Chordata > Mammalia > Primates > Hominidae > Homo > Homo sapiens. The sequence continues at coordinate 182,179,579 of NC_000002.12, forward strand.
GGGCATGGCAAGATCATATATTTCATATTTTGGGGCCTAGATGGTAGGTTTTCTACCTCTCTCCTTCCTTCTTCCCTTCTCCTCCTTTCTCTACCCCCTCCTCTCTCGTCCTCCCTCTTGCGCTCTGTCTCTCTCTTTCTTCCCTGCCTACTGCAGATAATCATTTGAATTTCTACTTTGTGCCAGTCTCTGTTCAAAGAGCTTGGGATACATCAGCAATGGAAACAAACATCTTTATTTTAATGAACCTTATTTTTAAGAGGGTGAAGTAGATAATAAAAATGAAGCATAATAGGTCAACAGTCTCTCCCTGCTCTAGGACTAGGGAGATGTTTTTGCGATATCTGTGAAATAGAGCTTAAGGGTTAATATGATGATGAGCAAACATCTGGAATTCTCTTCAAAGCCCTGATGCTTAATTAATATTCCAAAGCTCTAAACATCATATGACCTGCTTATTTTAATCTCAATGCAATTGTAATAAAGAAACTTTCATCTTCAGCGTATAAGACTAGAAGTGGTAGGTACTGGAAAATTAAAATGGCAATATCTGATACTCAGTGACTTTAAAATTGATCACTATGTTAGTAGATGCATTTTAATAGCTTATCATTGTTTCATTTTTATGCAATATTTCATGTATATAAATGAATTATAGATACATATATAAAGCACATGTTAGACATAATCATAATCATAATGATAAAATGAACTTTTGTGTGTCTAGTGCCCAATCTAGGAAGTAAAATTCTACTTATTTCTAATAATATGAAATTTTAGGTTGAAAAATTCTTATCTTTAAGAATGTTGAATATTGAATATTGTATATTGCCCTCACTCTCTTCTAGCTTGTAGGGTTTCTGCTGAGAGATCTGCTGTTAGTCTGATGAGCTTCCCTTTGTAGGTGACCTGACCTTTTTCTCTGGCTGCCCTTAAACATTTTTTCCTTTGTTTCAACCTTGGAGAATCTGAAAATTACGTGTCCTGGCGTTGATCTTCTCATGGAGTATCTTAGTGGTGTTCTATGTATTTCCTGAATTTGAATGTTGGCCTGTCTTGCTAGGTTGGGGAAGTTCTCCTGGATAATATCCTGAAGTGTGTTTTCCAACTTGATTCCATTCTCCCAGTCTCTTTCAGGTACTCCAATCAATCGTAGCTTCAGTATCTTCACATAGTCCCACATTTCTCGGAGGTTTTGTTCATTCCTTTTCATTATTTTTTCTCTAATCTTGTCTGCATGCCTTATTTCAGCAAGATGGTCTTCAAATTCTGATATCCTTTCTTCTGCTTGATTTATTCAGCTATTGATACTTGTGTATGCTTCATGAAGTTCTTGTGCTGTGTTTTTCATCTCCATCAGGTCATTTATGTTCCTCTCTAAACTGGTTATTCTAGTTAGCAGCTCCTGTAACCTTTTATCAATGTTCTTAGCTTCTTTGCATTGGGTTAGAACATGCTCCTTTAGCTCAGCAGAGTTTGTTATTACCCACCTTCTGAAGCCTACTTCTGTCAATTAATCTATCTCATTCTCTGTCCAGTCCTGTGTCCTTGCTGGAGAAGTGTTACAATCATTTGGAGGAGAAGAGGCATTCTGGCTTTTGGAATTTTCAGCGTTTTTGCACTGTTTCTTCCTCATCTTCATGGATTTATCTACCTTTGATCTTTGAAGCTGATGACCTTTGGATGAGGTTTTGTAGGAGGTCTTTTTTGTTGATGCTTTTGTTGTTGTTGCTTTCTGTTTGTTACTTTTTCTTCTAACAGTTAGACCCATCTTCTGCAGGTCTGCTGCAGTTTGATGGGGGTCCACTCCAGACCCTGTCACCTAGGTTTCACCAATGGAGTTTGCAGAACATCAAAGATTGCTGTCTGCTCCTTCCTCTGGAAGCTTCAGCTCTCCTGTATGAGGTGTCTATTGATCCCTGTTGGGAGGTCTCTCCCAGTCAAGAGGCGCAAAGTCAGGAACCTGCTTGAGGAGGCAGTCTGTCCCTTAGCAGAACTGGTGCACTCTGCTGGGAGAGTCCCCCTTGTTAGGGTCAGCTGCTCTCTTCAGAGCCAGCAGACAGGAAAGATTAAATCCGCTGACCCTGCGACTGCAGCTGCCTCTCCCTTCAGGTGCTCTGTCCCAGGGAGTTGAGAGTCCTGTCTGTAAGCCCCTGACTGGAGCTGCTGGATTTCCTGCAGAGATGCCCTGCCCAGTGAGGAGGAATCTAGAGAAGCAGTCTGGACACAGCCGCTTTGCTGTGTTGTGGTGAATTTTGCTTAGTCCAAACCTCTCAGTCTCCTTCACACTGTCAGGGGAAAACCGCCTACTAAAGCCCAGCAGTTTGCTTATTTTGTGCAACACTGTGTCCTTCATTCCTGTGGTGATTAGTTAAATTTTAACAGTTTTATACTGTTCCATAATATGTACATACTACAGTATATAAATCAATTTTACTGTTTTTTACACTTTATTTTGCAGTCATGAACAATGCTGCTGTGAATATTTTAGACATGTCTTTGATGCATATGCACAAAAGTCTCTCTGGGGTAAAAATACAGAAGCAAAATTGTCGAGAAGTATGGCACATGCATCTTTAAATTTCCTACAGAATGCCAAATTGTTCCATGAAATGATTATATAATTTTACCTATATACAAATAATGTGTAAGAAAACCAAAAAGCCTGGCATCATTTTTGATTCTTCTCTTCACTTTGTTTCCTACATCTAATCTGGTAACAAATCCTATCAGTTCAGCTTTCAAAATATCTGTATATCCAGAATCCAATCTCTTTTTGCTTACCCTCCTTCTACTCACACATACTGCCACAATCTTTACATATCCAGAAATTATAGACCCTCTCAACCATTACTACTTGGTCTAAGCTCCCATGTGTCTCCTGGGTTATGAACAACAGCCTTCCTTCTGATCTCCTTGTTTCTATTTTTACTACCCAAACAAAAGCACATTTTCCATTCTGTAGCAGAGTAATCCTTTTGAAACCTCAGTTCAGATCAATCAACATTTTTTCTCAAAACTCTACATTTGGTTTCCTGTCTTTCTCGGGCCAAAACCAAAGGTCAGGCACCACATTCCCCACTCATCACATTGCCTACATTATTCCCACTTGTCCAATTTCTTCCTGCTTCACTGCCCTTCTTGTTGTTTCTGGCATGTCAGGCAAGCTTGGCCTCCTAGATAATGTGGTAGCCAATCCGTTTTAAAAATTTGTTAACACCCACCCTCCCAGACCTCTCCATCATTCTCTTTCTAACCTCCATTGTGTATTTATTTAAATTATTTCTTCCTCAGTGAAGGCTTTCCTTACCAGTTTACTATATAGAAATTATCCCCAATTTCCATAGTAATTAGATTTTCTTAATCTGGTAATGTCTTTATTTTTCTTTATTTCTGAATAGTTTTGCTGGATTTAGAATTCAGCATTAGGGACACCCCTAGTTTCTATATAGTAGCCCTATAACCCTTATTTCTAGAACACATGGCAGAAACATAAATAATATAGTAATAACAGCTAACTCATATAGCGCTTAGTACTCTAGACACTTCTAAGCAAATTATATTAATAAACTCATTTAATTCTCTTAAAACCTATGGTGAAGAGGAATACTTCCTGCTATAGTGATGTAAAGAAGTCGAGTTTTTTCTCTTCATGAAAAAGCAAGTGTAAAACTGGACAGCATTAATAAAAACAACTATTCAATGACTCTGGAAATCAACCAAAGGGACATAATAATTTGAGAAACATTTATTCTTAAAAAATTGTTGGACATTCAGGTAAAAACAGCAGGAACCTGTGACCTTCTTGCCTGAAGTTACTCCCACTCCTCCATCTTCCTCTCCAACTCTGACCTGGGAATGGAAGCAAAAGCCAACTTTCCTGTTGGATGTGGTAGAATCAACTTGGAATGGGAAGGCAGCAAATAATTCTGGTTACTTGAATATAAAATGGTGAATCCACTTAGACTAGATGAGGAGAGCCCCAAGCTTTGTCAGCCTAGGGTTGGGGTCCAAGTTGGGGTAAAGGGTAAACCAGCAGGATTTAACAGAAAAACCCTAGAAATTAGAGAGCCATAGAAAGGCCATTTATAGTCAGTTTTAAAATTGATTTCAAAAAATTCAAGACAAGTTTTTTAAATATGTTTTTAAAATTAAAGAAAATAATCTTGAAGAATTAAAGGAAAATATGCTAACAATGAATGAAAATATAAAATATCAACAGAGAAATAGACATTATAAAAAAGAACCAAATGGAAATAATAAAATTGAAAAAAGTAGCTGAGATAAAAAGTTAATTCAGTGAAATCAACAGCAGGATTGAGGTGGCAGAGAAAGAAACAGTAAACTTGAAGATAAATCATTAGAAAGCAGCCAATCAAAAATGAATGAAGAAGGAAGGAAGGAACAAAAGAAGGAAGGAAAGGAAGAGAAGAAAGAAAGAAAGAAAGAAAGAAAGAAAGAAAGAAAGAAAGAAAGAACAATTAAAGAAATTGACAGAGATCCAGAGCATCCAGGACAATTTCCAGAATCCTAAGTTATGCATAACACAATCCTCAGAAGGAGAGAACAGAGAGAAAGAGGCAGAAGAAAAATATTGAACAAAATGACAGAAAGCTTTCTAAATTTGAAGCAAATTATTAATTTGTGGATTTAAGAAGCTAGTGAACACTAAGTAGAATACTGAAAAAAAAAAAGACCTAGATATATCATCATCAAATTGCTGAAAGTCAAAATAAAGTCTAGAAAACAGAAAGAAAAAGATAATACTCAGTACATACAAGGAAGCAACAATACAATTTATTTTTGGCCAACACTATCAGAAACTATGGAAGCCAGAGGCAATAGAATTACACATTAAAAGTGCTAAAATAAAAAAAAATCATTCAACAATTCTAAATCAAGTAAAATTATTCATAAATAAAAGTAAGATACAGACATTCCCAGATAAAGAAAATCTAATTGTTTGTCAGTATAACTGTGTTATAAGAAAATACTTGAGAAAGTACTCCAGTGTGAAGAGAAATGATACCAAATAGTAGCTCTGACACACAAGAAGAAATGAAGAATATCATAAGGGTAAATATGTGAGAACATACAAAAGATTGCATATACGAATGTGTGTGTCTGCCATCTGTCAAGTTCTGCAGGAATTAATGTGCTATTTTTGGCTCTCTGGTCTATTCCCAAGGCCCATCTTATTATCTCTATATCACAGCCACACTAAATTTATTACTTCAGTATAAGAGTAAATTTTGATATATGGCAAGTGCTCCCACTTTATTATCCTTCAGGAGTGTCTTGAGTATTCTTAGGTATTTGCAATACCATATAGATTTTAGGATCAATTTCTTAAATTCCATGAAAAATGTATTGGAATTTTCACTGGAAACATGTTATATTTATGGTTGACATTTGGGATAATTGAAAACGTTTCAATATTGTGTCTTTCTGACTATAAATATGATTTAACACTCTATTTTGATCTTATATTATCCATTTTAAGAAAAGTAAGTTTATTCCTGAGTATATTAAAGCTGCAAAAAACACAAGGAAAAAATTTCTGGCTGAAAAAATAACTACAAAGACCCTGGAGTATTTTAAGAAACTTCCAAGAGGCCATTGTGCAGGGAGTGTAGTGTATAAGGGAGACAGAGCTGTGGGAATGAGTGTGAGAAGAGGCAGGGGCCAGATCTGGATATGAAAGCTAATTCCTGCACGAAAGATAATAACTGTTTGAATACTAACTCACAAACCTACTAAATGGACTAATTAATTTGAAGCAGCTAATATGTCAGAAATAACTGTAGCTACCTTCCCATGCGATTGCTGTGGTGGTTGATTACTAATGATTTCCCCAATTCCTGTCTAAATTCTGAGTCAAAAAAGCAACTTAGTGAAACAGAAAAAAAACACACCCAAGTCTCTGACATGAAGTGATAACACACTTAATGCAACACAAAAGCCACTTACCAAGTAAAATCCAGGCTGGAAAGCACCTCTACGAAAGCACAGGAGTTTATATGGTACCACAAAGTTTTGTCACCATTTCATTATCTCATCTTTCAGTATCCAGTTTGCCAGCACCCACTGACACACAGATCTGCAGCCCATGTGGCACAAACAAACCAGAACCTCTTTTTATCTAATAAATGAGCCAACTTTCTCATGAATGATCAAAGAGTAGCCAAATTCCCAATACCATCAAGGGCTTACATATTCTATAGAAGAAGAAATCTAGAAGAAGTAATCCAAACTCTTAGAGGAGAAGTGAAGACAGAGAGAGATGGCAGTAAGGCCTCATAAACAACACTACCTTGTGCAGCTAACTCTTTCCACCTCTCTTTGTTCTGCTGAATGATGTCCACCAGGTTGTTCTTGAAACTCTTCAGGTCCACTGCTGCAAGGGAGTAGTCTGGGGAATAGGACCCATCACTCATGGAGCCTTTTGTATTTGATCGTCTTAGTGCATCAGCAATGTGTAACCCCACAATGGTGGTTGAGCTAACAGTAACAACCAAAGAAACCAAAAAACACCATCAGGATATGGGGTGAACAAGGAAAACCTGAAAAACTTTACAAAACCGACTAGAAAAGCAGGATAGTAGATGCTCAGTCCCAGTTCTGAGCACGTGGCAGCTGCTCATCTCCTTTCTCTCCCTCCCCACACTGGATTCTCCTTAGTACACACCTTACTTAGTATTTCATATTTTGTGTATTAAACTTCAGTTGTCAAAGGCAGATGCAATATAATATAAAGCCACTAGGTGGCAATACTCCCTAATAATTCTTGTGAGAATTCTCTGCCTAGATGTGAGAAATATAATCATTAAGGAAAGTGTTACTAAACACCACAAAGATGAAAAATAATGCAAAAAAGAAAATATCATACCTGCTTGCCACATAGGAAGAAGTTTCGGCTTTTGAGGCTTCCTCTATAAGAGGAATAACAATTTTCTCTGTTGAGTCTGTCAGAAGAGAAAATGTTGGCTCTACTATGAAATCGATGAAACCTACAAAAGCCAAAATGAGAAGAGAGAGAGATAAATTCAAGTGTTACAATTTCCTGAATTCTGAAATCAGAAATAATGAAGAGCTTCTGACAATCCTGGGATAGCAAGAATCAACTAAAATATTGGTTCTGCTTACCCTTTGTATTGTTTTAATCTAATAACAGTCTTTAGAGATGGTTTAACTGCTCTATAAAATAATACTTGAAGCCATGGAAGTGACACAATTTAAGCTTGCTAACTCAAGTATATTGGCTTTTCTATTTACTATTCAGCCTTATATAATATACGATTGCTAACAATACATTTAGATCCAATGAGAGTGACTATAGTTTCCTCTCTCAACACCAGGGATCATTATCTTTTTTGAAAGCACATCATGTGCATTTTGGATTTTATTCTTTACTAACAAGAAATCATATCTAAGCTCCAAAGAAATTAAATAATTGAAGGTTTTTCTCAGGTAACAGGAAGACAATTACTTTTTGTTTCTTACTATATCAGTCAGAGCTTTCTGCCAGTGTGTTAATATTTCAAATTGTTGTTTATTATTCTCTGGATGTAAAGTGTTAGTTCACAGCATGTGTGTGTGTTCTGTCAAATCAGTGAAGAGAAAAGTAACATCTCTGGGAGACAGCATTAATCCCACCACTTTGAGATGTCAGTACTGAATGAAGACTTTTACATTTAAAGTACTCATCAAGATAGAAAATGACACACAGAGAAAAGGGCATTGTCCTCTGGGAGCATTTTCCATCCCATGTTTAGGCAGAGGAGGAGACAACAACCTATTCTAAGGTCTGTGTACATGGCAATATCCCAGATCCCAGGACTGCTGTGGGTGCCTCAAGTCAAGAATTGTTGTTGGAAACACTTCTGAGAGCAATGGACTACCACCTGAATATAGGAGAATAGCTGGAGGTAGGCTTTTTAAGTGATAATGTCCTGTAAATATGCACATTTAAAGATTGTCCATCAGATGCTTGGATAAAAGTAATTCACATTTCAAGTAACTGGATTACTTATAGTATATAATAAGGCACATTTTTAATTTAATAAAACTTCAGTAGTTTTAATGGATGCCTTCAAGTTAAATCAGTGTTAATTGACCACCTAGGGTACTATTTTAAGTTCTATGTTCTTTTTTTGTTCTTTTTTTTTTTTTTTTTTTTTTTTTGAGATGGAGTCTCACTCTGTTGCCCAGGCTGGAGTGCAGTGGTGCAATCTCGGCTCACTGCAACCTCTGCCTCCTGGGTTCAAGTGATTCTCATGCCTCGGCCTCCCGAGTAGCTGGGATTACAGGTGCATGCCACCACGCCCGGCTAATTTTTTGTATTTTTTAGTAGAGACGGGTTTCACCGTGTTAGCCAAGATGGTCTTGATCTCCTGACCCGAGATCTACCTGCCTCGGCCTCCCAAAGTGCTGGGATTACAGGCATAAGCCACTGCACCCAGCCAGTTCTATGTTCTTAAATGCCTGAGATGTGTAGACTGTCAACTGGGGCATCACCTCTACTAACATGGCAGCAATTTGCATTACAGCAACAAGCCTCAGAAACTTCCATTCTTAGCTTGCCACATCAGGTCCTTAGCCTGCCACGTTTACACTTACTAAGCAAGGATAGGCACCTGTGTTATGGTCTCTAGAAAAACAGCTGTTGAAACTTGGATGGGAAGGGGAAAAGGTCAGAGCAGGCAGCTTTCCCCAACGCTTTGTGATGGGTGGTGCTGGAGCATAACTACACAGCTAAGAAGTGATCCTTGTGTTTATTGATCATATTGTTCAGTAACAAAAATGCTGGCTTAGGGAATAATTATTACAAGTATTTGAGCCATGCAACACATGTTTTAATAATGGACTGGACTTGAAGTCCCCAACACAAATACAGATGATAAGAATGAATGTGGTTGGGAGCATTATCATTTTGCAAATTTCCTGTTGTTGGTTAATCTATTCACATCATGACAGAATATTTTTCCAAATGAAATGTGCACTACTATATTAAGCATACCATGGAAACTTAGTGATAGAACAAGTGCACTAACATTTTCATTGAGTTGACCTATATATCTAAAGAATTAAATTACAGAAAACAATAATCAGCAACAAAACAACATAAAATGGTCTCCCACACAAGAAAATTTTATATTTTGTAAAAGGATTACAACCACGATAACAATTACATTTACTAATGTTGCTTTATTGAATTCATTTTGTGAAAATGCTTCAATAAGTCTTATTCAGCACCACATAGATCCATTTAAAAATCAAATATATCATGAATATGGAGTGAGGTTTTCATGCAAGTTACCCCTTTGAACAACATCGTTTACCCATTTGAAAACTGACAAGCACACACTCACTTTCCACCACCACAAATCATCAGAATTACCTATTTGTGACTGGGCCACCATGGTTGACTTCCGATCACAAAGTGGGGAAAATGGAAGCCCTAATTCAGCTTCTTTATCTCCCTGGAGAAAGAAAAGCACATTAATATAGACTTGGGTTGGAGAAGCTAAAATAATGAGCAACCTAAGATATAAAGCCTAGAAAAGCCACATCTTTCATTTCTTAATTAGCAATACTTTTTTCTTATTTATAAAACCAAAAGCTATGGTCCAAGTTTATATAATTTTTCTTGGATGGTCTCCATTTGGGGACATTTTGCAGGGAGAAAAATGAGGAATGTTTTCAGTACCTGGAGACTTTGCTTTGGCATTACAATCCCTTGACTTTTAAGAAACAAACATTTGCTTTTGGAATTTTCCAAAGTCACCATAAAATAACTAGCCATCTTATGTGTTATCTGACATTTAATTAACAATCCAAGTTAATTTATTTATGCCAAGTATATCAACAGACCTTTACTATCAAAATTTTGTGACGGAACTGTTTTTCAAAATTAAAAGTATATGATGTGAAACACCTTTCTATCCATTAACCAAGTTTTATTAAATCTTCCACAACATATAATGAGGAATTTCTTCAACATTCTTACATTCAGTGTGCATAAACTTATTTTAATGTTTTCTTCTCAGAGAAAATTGAAATATCAATTTTTTTATTATTTGATCTCATCTAAAATAGATTAATTGAGCACATATGTTAAAGAATTCCATTTATATTGGGGTTTTACTTCATGAGAAGTAATTAAATTTTCATCTTCTAAAACAAAGGTTGCTGTTCTGGTCAAACCTCTAATATCACAAGGTTTATTAAACTTTGGTTCTTTCCTTTGCATTAAAGGGGATGTGCTTATGAAAGAAAGAGGAGAGGATACTTCCTTGTTCTTGTTCATTTCAATTTCCTGGCCATTTGAAAGAACATTTTAGGTTCTATTTTCTCCTAATTTATTGGCTGTATACCTTCATGAGCAACACCAGCCTTGCATCATTAAGTCCATAACTTAGGATAAAATACGTAAGGACTCCACGGTTTCCTTTCACTCTGTTTCCATTAACATCTTTCTATGCTAATCTTTACAACATCATGTCAACATGTAGCTTTACAACTGTTTGAGAATATCTTCTAGAGCAGTTCCCCTAAACCATGCCTTTGATTATGAGAGTTATAGACAGAAAGTCTAGAATCAGAATTGTTGAGGAAAATCTAGATATGGCCATCAAAGAAGTAGGAAAATAGTTACAAACAGGAACATTTCACTATGTCATAACTCAGAGAAAACAAGGAATAAGAATTTCTGTGACCTCTGCCAGTAACTCCCCTAATTCCTCTGGATAATAATAACACTATTTCCATTTGAAATTGTGATTTATACTCAGCTTAAAGGACAGATGGAAGGGAATTATTAATGCCACTAGTCTTAGAGTCAGAAGATACAGTCAGCTGAATCGCTGCTGTCTAGGGGTTATTGCTGTTACTTCAGACACAGCACAGCCTTTGCTGAAATGAATTCTCCTTATCTGTTACCTAATTTTGTGATCTTGATTTACTTGTTTTAGGGATAAAATATAATAGATGTAATAGTATCTATCCTGAAGTTATCTAAGATTATTTATATGAAGCATAAAGACAGTGCCTGACACTTAGTAGTCATTAAGTTTAGCTAATAAGAAACATAATTTAGGTCAGGCACGGTGGCTCACACATGTAATCCCAGCACTTTGGGAAGCTGAGGCAGATGGATCACGAAGTCAGGAGATTGAGACCATCCTGGCCAACATGGTGAAACACCGTCTCTACTATAAATACAAAAATTACCTAGGTGTGGTGGCATGTGCCTGCAGTCCCAGCTACTCAGGAGGCTGAGGCAGGGGAATCACTTGAACCCAAGAGGTAGAGGTTGCAGTGAGCCGAGATTGCACCACTGCACTCCAGCCTGGGTGACAGAGCAAGACTCCATCCCCCCAAAAAAAAGAAAAAAAAATCCATAATTTAGAATAGCAACAACATGAATGCAATATGTACAAATTAAAGGTATTTATGATGTCTAATGCATACATTGAATAGTTTTAAAACACAGGAAATTGAAGTAGTGCTTAATTTAGCATGTAATAGAGAGGGATCATCTTTTTCTCCCTCTTTTTTCCTAGCAAGGAATTGACAAGAAAGGATTTCCACTTTTGAAAGATTAGTTTGTCTGCAGTATGAGAGATGACTTGGGGTGAGTTGAGGATGACTCCTTGGCTTCCAGTGCGAATGGAAAGGAGGAGTCTGTTGATGCCACTAATGGAAACCAGATGATCTGGGTGGGGGAAAGATTTGAATACTATTATTGATTTGGTTTCTAACATGTTGAGGATAAGGTGCAAGAATAATGTCATCAATCATTTATGTTAAAATATAAATACTAATATTACTATTGATGAAATAAAATAGAAATAAAGCTACCGATAGGCTTTTGGGAACCTGATATTAGAGATGCTTATTTAACATATGCTGATACAACTGCGTTTTATTCTTTTGTGTATTTGTTAGGTTGGTGCAAAAGTAATTGTGGTTTTTGCAATTAAAATTGTCAGTAGTCTTAGAATCAGAAGATACAGTCAGCTGTATCTTTTGCAATTAAAATTGCAAAAACCACAATTATTTTTGCACCACCCTAAATATTATAAGATTGTATCTATTAAATGCTGCTAAGCTATATTTAACTTTTTTTTTTTTTTTGTCAAGATGCTGCTATCTGGTATTTAAGGACACAAATGTAATAGATGTATTTTTATACTCTGTGGTACAAGCTCTTTGGCCCCAAAATGATAACTTTGGCCTGAGAAAGGCATTATGATGATTTACTTTCTTTTTTTTTTTATTTTTTTATTTTTTTTGAGACAGTTTCGCTCTTGTTGCCCAGGCTGGAGTGCAATGGCGCAATCTTGGTTCACTGTAACCTCTGCCTCCCAGGTTCAAGCAATTCTCCTGCCTTAGCCTCCCAAGTAGCTGGGATTTCAGGCGCCTGCCACCATGCTGAGCTAATTTTTTATATTTTTAGTAGAGATGGGGTTTCACCATGTTGGCCAAGGTGGTCTCGAACTCCTGACCTCAGGTAGTCCCTCTGCCTCAGCCTCCCAGAGTGCTAGGATTACTGGCGTGAGCCACTGTGCCCAGCCACTTTCTTGAGCTAAATTTTATAGAATGTTGAATGGCAACATATTTCCTATAGGGCTTAGGCATTTGACAGATATATGCAGGGATGACCTTCCTACAGATGGAGCAAGAGATTTTATATTCTATTTGCTTCCTGTACCTCACAATTAATTTAGAATATTAAATTTTCACTGTCAAAGCACATTGAATGCTAAAGTACATTAATTATTTAATTTATTTATAAATATTTCAAAGTATTATTTACTCTTTAGGGTGAATAAAGGCCATGAGTGCAAGATTAGTAGGGGGCCCTGTAGGTAAACTATGAAGGAACTAGAACTTTGTATAAAGAGAATGTTAGAATCTCTGAGTATAGATTTGGCCACCTTTATAATTTCCTCATTCTGTCCCAGGATAAGGAATATTTATTTTCCATCAAGGTAAAAGCAGAGGTCATCGCAATAAGCATTGTGAAAGAAGAATTTATATTTTTCTTAGAGGTTTCGCTGTCATTTGAGGATGCTGCCTTCAGGGGGCCAAAATACACTTTTAAAAATGAGGAGTAAGTAGAAAAACTAGTCCCATAGAAATGGAAACTCAAGGCAGCCTGAGGTTCTCAGGCCCCACAGCTTATACCTGTCTTTACAATTCCCTGGAGATCCTTCAGGTTTCTTCTCTGAAAGTCTGTAAGAGAACTAGTAATTGTTTTTAAATGCCTTCCTACCATTGTAAAGTGCTCTGACAGCCATTAATAAGGTATGAAATCCATTGACCTAACAGCACCTTTTTGTTGTTGTTGTTTGTTTTTTGCATTTCTCTGAAACCAAAAAAATTTCTATAGTTTTGCTTTGTTTTTGTTTTTCTTTTTTTCTTGAGAGGAGTCTCACTCTGTCGCCCAGGCTGGAGTGCAGTAGCATGGTATCGGCTCACTGCAACCTCCGCCTCCTGGGTTCAAGCGATTCTCCTGCCTCAGCCTCCCGAGTAGATGGGACTACAGGCACCTGCCACCATGCCCAGCTAATTTTTGTATTTTTAGTAGAGACAGGGTTTCACCATATTGGCCAGGTTGGTCTCGAACTCCTGACCTTGTGATCCGTCTGCTCCAGCCTCCCAAAGTGTTGGTATTACAGGCGTGAGCCACCGCGCCTGGCCAGTTTTGTTTTGTTTTGTTTTAATGAAGAAGATAAGACAGGGTAAAGTATAGAAATCTTGAGAAAACTCTTCATTGAAACTTCAATTTTGGAGAAAGAAGCAACGTCGATAACAAATATGCAGGAATCCCCTGACCACAGGGACAGGGGCTTAGGAGACACTCCTCCTAAGGACAGCCTTTGGAGACATTCTAAGGCTGAGGGTGAAATCTGAGAGACCACTGGTTCTATAGAGAATTTGATTGGGAGAGGAGAGGAGCATGCACTAATCTAGCCTTATTTGGAAAATTTAAGGAATTTAGGCCCTCTAATGACCCTTCTTTACTTCTACAAATGGGCCCTTCTAAATTCGAAGAACGCCACGAAAAACATTTAAGCATTTAATAATTACAGCAACTAATACATTCACTTTCAGTAAAATATTGGTCTGATATAACTATATTTCTGTGAATGTTATAAATATTTTATGGAATATTAGAACCCCTGGTGTAATCGGTGTTTATAGTACTTTTATGGCTCTTGAAACTAAAAGCTTTACTTTTTTACATTTAAAGTTATCTTGGCTCATAGCTACAGTTCTTTTCATTTCTGCAATTTTAGGGGTTATGTTTATGATTTTTTTGAAAAGCCAGATCCTTGGCTGAGAATGGACTAAGTACATTTGTATTACTATGGACAATGAAATTTATTTTGAAATAACACACTTTATACTACTTCTAGCAACATTTAAAAATAGAGAGGCCTGACTGTATACAATTCAAGGTAAAGTAAACATTTTGACCTTTCCTTCCAAATAACTTGCATTTCTAATTATTTTTTTCTTCTTGGCTAACAAGGTAATAATGATTAATAAATGCAGATTTTGTTCAAATATAGATTTTTTTCATGTGTCACAAAACAGCTAGTTGAAGAAGGGAAAAATCCACGTAGTTATTGTTATTTAGTTTAAAATACAAACACATTTTGATGGAAGTAACTATTTTTGTAAAAAAATTAACTGCATTGACTTCTTATCTTGCCAACCTGACATGTGTGTTCAAGAGGAGAATAAAAAGCAAAAACCTGTCTTCTTTTACCAATGATTACTTTTTTGGCTGATATTGATCTCTCTCTCCTATCAGTCATAGTTAAAATAAAGCAGCATCCTCCAAATCTACCCATTACTGTCAGTAGGTGTGTTGATCTGCATGAAAACTCGAGGAGACATTAATTGTATTAATAAATATCACAGGCTTGTTGCGAAAATGCCTTGGAAATGAGAACTCGCTCTACTGCCTTTTACCATTAGCAGCTTATTCAAGAGTCAGAAATCAGCGTTTCTCAAGACTGCAAATTCTGGATACAATTCTGATCTCTGGCTAGTTTCTCACGGCTTTAGAGGGTGAAACTAAAGTAGTAGCACTAAAGAATGGGATAACGTTGATGGGATTTTTAAGAATAATACAAATAGCTTGTCTTCCAGAAATATACAGCATTTAAAAAATTCTTAGTGTCTGAGTCCATTTGTTAAATAAAATGAGTTCGGTAGACAAACTAATAAGAAAATGATTTAGAAGTTAACACATCACAAAATTTCTCTGCATTTTTCTGAAATATTCACACACACACACACACACACACACACACACACACACGAACCTTTCTTGAAAGGTTGCTCTTGAAAAATTCTAAAAATCAGCTCTTTCCTTTGCTACTTTTCTGATTTTTTGAATTTCTATCCAGGCTCTAATTTTGTTCAAAACCAATAGAAGGAATTGCAAGTCTAGCATTACATTCTGCAGATCAAAAAGGAAAATACTTCTCTTAATTGGTTACTTTTTAAACTTGATGATTGTGTTGGAAATGTGCTTTTAAATTGTGCCCAGATCTTTAGAAATTCAGCGTTAAGTAACTATCAAACAACAAAATACTTCATAAGCAATGGTGTAGTATACTGATACTTTGCCTCGGAAAGTATAAAGCTTAAAATAGACTAGCAGGATAACAAATACCACCAATTCCTCACATTTGAAGCCCTCTTACTTTTGTTCTATCACTTTGCTCCTCACAATCATCCTGGGAAGTAGGCAGGATGGGAAAAGGTAAGAAGGTGTATAGAGACAGGAAGGGGAAGACTCATGTCTCCCACTCCTGGAAGAATGAGAAGCTAGGGCCTACCCTTGAGTTTTCTGAAGTCAAGTCCAATTATCTCTCTAATTTGCATTATTAGGCTTCTTATGTTTGACCAATGTACATAAAATACAGTCTTTAACAAGAAACACAAGATGTTTACATTTAAACTGTAGCTGAGCACCATGATGAGCTCTGGACAGACCTCTTTTGATTTACCTCAAAATCTCTAGCACAGCCAGTGGAATTTAAGACACAGTATTTAGCTTCTTAGTACCTTCCAAAGGAATGAAGACATATATTTGCAAATTGCTTTGTAAAAGTGCTGTTTTCACTGTCCGAGATGAAAAACCCAGTCACCTTGGCTAAATGCAGAGCAGAATGGTATCAGTACTGTGGGTCTGACAAAGTGACAGTTTTACAGATGGCTATGTGAGGATGAACAAAAATAAAACATACAAGAACCACTGCAGTCCTGCTAATTTCTAGGACATATGCATAGATACATAGACACAGTTCAATATCTTATGTCAAATCAGAGAAATGCATACAGCAAGGAGTTTCAGGTTCATTGCTTATTTACCTCCAAAGGTGTACATTATGCAGTATGACTAAGAATAAGTGAGAGTAATATGGGATTTATTTAGTTAGTTCAATGCAAGAAAACATTTTACCTGTTGGAATTAATATCATATTTCAGTTTAAGTTTCACAAAGAAAAACTTGTTTTGCTTGAAAGACATATTTGTTGGCAGTATAAACTTAATTATTTTGACCTTTAGCTCCACATTTTTCTGTTTTGCTGCATATGTTTCTGAAGGGGATTTGAAAATCGTTTACTTTTAAAAATCCAGAAATTGGTGAACTTTCAACAGATCTGAACTCAATTTCATTGAATTTACTAATCTCATGATCCTGTCAGGTATTCTTTGTCTGTTTTGAAATCAGTAAAACAAAAGGATAATACAAATCGTGATATTATTTGGAGATCTAATGGTAATCTTCAGGAGTCTCTGGGATTTTAGTTTTGTTTTTTCCCACAGTAATTTTTTTAGGGTCTTCTTTAAGTCAGAGATGAGCTACCTTCATTATGATATACTCTTTTTAAAAAAAATTAAAGGGAAATTTATGGGCAAATCTGAAGGGTATAAACAGGAACACTTGTATAATACTTGATTAAGATATAGAGCATTTCCATTACCCCCAGAAAGTTGCCTTAACCTCGTCCAAGGAATCCTAACCCATATAGGCACCTACTGTTCTGATTTCTATCACCATATATTAATTTTGCCAATTTTTGAACTTCATATAAATTGGTTTATAGTATTATTTTGAGATTTATTGTCATTTGTATCATTAGTCTATTTTTCATTGTTGCTGGATATTCCATTGTATGACTGTACCATGATTTATTTTTTATCCATTTCTATTTTTGATGAATATTTGGACTGTTTCTAGCATTGAGTTTTTTTAAGTAGTAGTATAATGACTACTCCTATATAAGACATTTGGTGGGCATAAATACTCATTTATCTAGGGGTAAAAGTGCTGGGTCCTAAGGGATATTAACTATCCCTTCATATTAACTTCAGTAGATGATATCCAGTAGTTTTCCAGAGTGATTGTAATAATTTATCCTCCCACCTGTGATGTATGTATGATACCTCCAGTTGTTCCTCATTTTTGGTAACACCTTATATTTTCAATTATTTTAATTTTAGTCATTCTCATGGGGCTATATGATATTTCATTATGGTTTAATTTATAATTCTTTGATAAGTAAAGAAAATGAACATACTTGTATGTAAGTATTACCTACTTGTACATTTCCTTTTATAAAATATCCATTCAAATTGGCCTGATTTTCTTTTTACTATTGATTTGTTGGAGTTCTATATGCAATTGGACACAAGTCCTTGGACAGATATTTGTAGTACAAATATTTTCTCTCAGTCTATGGTTTGCATTTTCTTAGTAGTGCCTTTGGAAGATCAGAAGTTTTGAGTTTTGCTTTTTTCCACTTCATTTTTTTTTTCTTTTATGGGTAATGCTTTATGTGTCTTCTCTAAGAAATATTTACCTACCCCCGAGATTAGAGAGATCTTCTCTTGCGTTTTCCTCTAAGATCTTTATAGTTTTAGGTTTTGTCTTAAACTCCTTAATTTTGAATTAGTTTTTGTGTTAAGGTGTAGGTAGGGGACAAGTTTCCTTTTCTTCCCATACATTCACTAATTGCTGTTCCATTTCCTTTTGTGGAAAGACTTTCCTTTCCCCATGTAGTTGTTTTGGTGCCTTTGTAAAGATCACATGACATTATATATATGAGCCTGTTTCTGAAATCACTCCTCTATTTTAATGATCTATTTGCCTAGCCCTATGCCCTATGCCAATAACACAGTGCCTTGATCACTGTAGCTTTATACTAACTCACATAAGGAGGAAGTGTAAGTCCTCCAACTTCTTTAATCTTTTTCAAAATTGTTTTAGCTGCCTTAGACTCTTATATTTCTATACAGATTTTAGAATCAGCCTTTCAACTTCTACAAATAAGCCTGTTACAATTTCTGATAAAGATTATGCTAAATTTATTAAAAATTTGTAAGAATTGACATCTTAGAAATATTGAGTCTTTCAGTCATTAACATATCTCTCCATTTATATAGGTCTTAAAATTTCTCTCAAAAATGTTTTGTGGTTTGCAGTGTGGAGGTTTCATATACATTTAATTAAAGGTTTCCCCCAAAATTTTATTATTTTATGCTGTTATAAAGCATACTGTTTTCAATTTTTATTTTCAAATTGTTTGCAGCTTGCATACAGAAACACAATTGATTCTACAACTAATAAACTCATTTATTAATTCTAGTAAGTAGCCTTTTGTAGATCTCTTGAGGTTTTCTATGCAGATGCTCATGTTTCTGCAAATAACAGTTTTATTTATTTTTATTCAAACTATACTTTGTTTTTTATTACCTTCCTACACTGGCTAGAACTTCAAATGCAATGTTGAATAGA
Organism: Homo sapiens; assembly: GCF_000001405.40. Lineage (NCBI taxonomy): Eukaryota > Metazoa > Chordata > Mammalia > Primates > Hominidae > Homo > Homo sapiens. The sequence continues at coordinate 182,198,408 of NC_000002.12, forward strand.
AGTGGTAAGAGTACCTATAATGATCTTAGAATAAAAATGTTCAGTATTTCATTGTGAAGTATCACATTCGCTATAGACCTTTGATCAGGTTGAGAAAGGTCTTCTACTTCTAGTTTACTAACAGTTTTTATAATTAATGTCTGTCGAATATTGTCAAATGCATTTTGCATATCTATAGGGTTGATAATTAATATATTTTTTCCTTTATTTCCTTTAATATGGTGAATTACCTTAATTTTTTAATATTAAACTGACTCAAGTTATGATATGATATGCACTATCTTACTAAATTGCTGGATTTGATTTGCTAAAAATTTTAAAAATTAAAAAAAAATTTCTCTTTCAGTTTTATGGCAGATGTGGATGTGTAATTTTCTTTACTTGAAAAGTCTTTGTCAGGTAATGTCGAGAATTATGCTGTCAAATTTTCCTCTTCCTCTATGTCATAAAAGAATTTGTGTAAAACTGGCATTATTTCTTCCTGAAATGTTTGAGAAAATTCTCCATCTCTCAATTGAATTGAATATTGAGAATTGAAATCGGAAATAAGAATTAAAGTCATCTAAGCCTAGAGTTTTCTTCATAAGAAGAGTTAAAGTACAAATTCAACTTTTGAAACAGATATATGAATATTCAGACTACATGATTTTTTCTTGTGTCTGTTTTGGTAATTTATATCTGTCAAAAATTTTGACAATTTCATCTAAGTTTTCAATTTTATTGGCATAAATTGTGCATAATATTCCTCACCCTTTTGATGAATACAGGCTCTATAATGATATTCTCTCTTTCATTTATAGTTTTTTCCTCTTTTTGATCCTGCAAGTAATTTCATTACTTTTTCGGAGAGCCAACTGTTATCTTCATTAACTTTTGTTATTGTTTGTCTTTGTTCTGTTTCACTGTTTTTGGCTTTTATATTTATTATATCCTTCCATCAACTTATTTTGATTCAATTTTCTTAATTTCTAGCTTCTTAAGGTGAAACAGATATAACTTACTTTATTACACATTTTTTTTCTAATGTAAGTATGTGAAGCTATAAAATTTCCCCTAAGCACTGCTTCAGTTGCATCCAACAATTTTCAAATATTATGTTTTCAAAATCATTCAACTTAAGATATTTAAAAATTTCTTCTTAACCTGAAAAATCTTTGTATCTCTTTATTTTTCTGTTTTTGCATCTCTAATGTCACAGGGCTATACAGAAAGATCTCTGGTTGATTGATTGAGTATATCATTATAATTTTTAATTGACCATAATAAGCAGTTGACCTTTAGAATTTGGTAGGTTTTTACATTTAGTGTATTTTTTTAGCACAAAGCAAATTATTAAAATATTTTTCAATACTATTTTTAGGACCAAAATATTTGAATTTAGTAAGATGCTACTCAGTAACTTTCTCTAGGAATATAAATTGCAATATAAAAATGAAACCACACATTATGTCCATCAACAATGGGAGACAGAAACGTGAGTCATCCAAACATAGTAATATATTTGGTGTTTATATCTTCAGAACAGGTATAAAATTAATGAACAAACTTTCAAAATACCACACATTATGTCCATCAACAATGGGAGACAGAAACGTGAGTCATCCAAACATAGTAATATATTTGGTGTTTATATCTTCAGAACAGGTATAAAATTAATGAACAAACTTTCAAAATAAAGAACAATACTGAGAAATGAAATAATCTGAAAATACAGAAATAAAAGAACTTCTCTAAGTGGGACTGTGATATAATAAAACAAAATTATCTGATATTCATTCCCAGTTCCTAGCAGAGCTTCAAAAACCTGTGGAATTTCATGAGTGATAGGAGACTCTAGGCTAATGAGGCAACTCTGGGCCTATCCCCTAGATAGTTTCAGCATAGGGCCTGGTCACCAGAAACCAACCACATGATTAGAAAGTTGGAACTTTAAGCCAGCCAGGGGATATCTGGGAAGGAAGTGAGGCTGGAGACTGAGTTCAATCGCATGTCCAATGGTTTAATCAACCATGCCTATGTAATGAAACCTTGATAAATACTCTGGACAGGAAAGCTCAGTAGAGCTTCCTGGATGGTGAAAACATTGACAAGGCAGGATGGTGGTACTCGCTAACTCCACTGGAAATAGCAAGGAAGCTCTGCATCCAAGACCCTCCCAGACCTTTCCTTATGGGCCTTTTCATTTGGCTCTGCCTGGATTGTATTCTTTATAATAAAATTGTAATTGTAAGGATAGCACTTTTGAAGTTTTGTGAGTCATTCTAGCAAGTTATCAAACCTAGAGAGGGTTGTGGGAACCACTGAACTTGTAACTGGCTGGTCAGAAGTGCTGGTGTCCCACAGCCCCATTTGCAGCTGGCATCTGAAGTAGAGCCAATCTTGTGGAAGACTGAGCCCTTAATTTGTGCAATTTGATGCTAACTCTGAGTGGTTAGCATCACATTTGTATTGTAGCACTCCAGCTTGGATTGTGGGGGTTGCAAAACAGGGACATGTATAAAGAAAAGATGTGTACTTGTGGCAGAGAACGCCAGTCACAATCCTTATCCGGGCTTGTTTCTGACGTAACATTAGATTTTTGTTGTTGTTGTTGTTGCCTATTTCAGTTAGGCATGTGTCCACCCAGCTAAAGCAATATTTCTTGGCCTCCATTAAAATTCTGGCCAACAAGATTTATGCAGAACTGTTATATATCCTTATCTACTCTTTCTATTATGAAAGCTATTTGCTGTCTCTGCTGTGGCACTTACGTCTTAACAGCAGATAACAATTCTTAGCTGCTTTTATTTTTCTTTCCTGACAGTAGCATCTCAGATCCAAAATTTGAATCTCTTTAAAACATGTATCACACTACATAGACTTAATACACCTTTCTGATAGACTAATAAATTTTGCTGAAACCCCCAAGAATGTGTAGGTGGCCAGTTGATAATAGTAAGTCACAAGCCCTGGATTCCATACAGAAAAGGTGTACGCTAATATGCACAGTCACTATTTCCAAAAACATTTGCACAGAGTGTGAAAGAGGCACCTGCAGGAAAAACTCCTCCATTAGGGCCATGGTCCACCGATAATGCAGCTTCCAGGATTTGGCTGGGTGGCTGATGTCTGCTGCGTGGAGAATCAGGGACATGGTTTTGGCTCTGTCAATCCTGTCAAACCAAGGACATGCTTATATTATTCAAAACAAAGGAAACAATTACAGTCTTTTCTGAGGCCAAGCCCCTGGAACTTTAACATGACAAAAAAAAAAAAACAACAAAAAAAACACAAAACCTACCCTTCAGGCTGCTGCAAACTGTTTCTTATATTTTTAATTTGCTGGAAGTGACCTGACATGTCTGTAGATAAAACCATTTCAATCACTAGGTTCCGAAGATCCCTGCAGAGTCACCAAAAGGAGAAAGGTTCATTCAGCCATTTATTGTTCTGAAGTGGAACACTTCAATAAATAATCACTCACCATGTTTTATAGTTCTTAATGGATATGAACACAAAAGATGCTACTTTTTAAATGTGAAAGTCCACACACAAGTTTGATATTATTTTACCTTTTAACTGTCATGGATCTAAGAAGTTGCCAGCAGCGAGAATGGCAACGATGTTCACACCTCCCTGAAGAGCTAGTGCTTTCCCTTCTCACTCCCACAACTCTTCTGCAGTCATAATTCCTAAATATTATTATTTTTAATCTGAAAGGAACTTTAGCCATTTTAAAGAAAAACTATTCCAAATACAGTATTATATAGTATTTCAATGCTTTGAGGAAAAAAAGTAGTCCAGTGGGGCCTGAGACTATTCTAAATCCACATGTCAACCAAACTAAAAGGTTTGATGTCTCAGAGAAGAGACAGAGATAAGAAGAGCATGAGATTTCAAGACCCTATCTGATTCTTCTTCATTTTGCATTTTTAATCAAAACGACTACTATTAATAAAACCAGTGCTATTCATTCAGTATTTATTCAGCAAGGCACTGAACTGTAAGGATTAAATGTCTTCATATAATACCGATAATAAAATACTTTAGCAACTAGTTGCTTTGTATGTATACAAAGACATTTAATCCTCCTAACAATCCTGAGGGAGCATTAATATTTCCCCCCAAAGGAGACTGAGTCACCCAGTCACACAGCTGGTACATGGCTCAGATAAGATTCAACGCAAGAGGTCCCACTTCCAAAGCAGACACATGGACCACTCCTCTGTGCCAAGCTTCCATCATAAGAACCCCAGAGAAACCAAGATGCTAAAGTGAGTAGTGATTTTCTGTTTAAGCTTTTGGGATCTGACCCTCCCTAACATAAAGAGAGCCATTGGTATTACTGACTATTTTAACCAAGGCACTGTAAATACAATAACCATGTCACAAAGCCTCACACTTAGTAGAAAATAAGGCACCCCAGCAAAGCCTTGCATGTTCCACAATTCCTTGTTTGCTCTATACAGATAAGTTAAAAAAGTCACTTGTACTGGAAAACATATTTCATTTTCATTGTGTGGTGTGGCCAGTAGGATAAGCTGAACCAAAAGTGTGAAGGAAACTTGAATTACGATCTTGCACAAAGATACTTTACTTAAAGATGATATAATCTATTTAATTGCCTTTTTAAAAAAACTATATATTGGCTGGGCATGGTGGCTCACGCCTGTAATCCCAGCACTTTGGGAGGCCGAGGCGGGTGGATCACGAGGTCAGGAGATCGAGACCATCCTGGCTAACACGGTGAAACCCCGTCTCTACTAAAAATACAAAAAAAAAAATTAGCCAGCCCTGGTGGCGGGCACCTGTAGTCCCAGCTACTCGGGAGGCTGAGGCAGGAGAATGTCATGAACTCAGGAGACAGAGCTTGCAGTGAGCCGAGATTGCACCACTGCACTCCAGCCTGGGCTACAGAGCAAGACTCCGTCTGAAAAAAAAACAAAACAAAACTACATATTGATGGTTCTTGCTGAAAATCATGAGCACTCAACATTTCTATTGAATTTTTAGATAGAAGCCATGAGAATCAATACTCTGCTTACTTACTTTTATTCAAGTAGTAAGGGAAAGGAAGCTATTAATAAAATTATTCTCAATTACATTTTTTTCGCTGAAAATATGACAAGACCCATATTTGAAAAGCAACTGAATAAGAACATTTATGTTTGCTAAGGAAAATGAGATTAGAGTTTAAGGAAATCAATAGAATCTAATAAGTATATTGTGCTTTGCATATAAATGATCAGTAAATGCTAGATGTTATCAATAACCAACTAATAATATGTCAATAATTAGGCAAAATAAGAAAACATTACTTAATTTATAAAATTTTCTTGTGAAAACTTTTAAATTAATGCATTTATTTTTACTAAAAGTACTTTAAGAAATAAACAGATATGTAAACAGAAAACATCAGTCTTTAAGAAGATATCCATATTTTAATTCTTAGTAAAATGTTATCAAACGTATAGCATCAAATAGGTATTTTATAGATTTTTGGAAAGTGTTGAATCTATTAAATTCTAAAATGTATATAATATGTACACTATTTGTTAAAACAATTCTTTAAAAACATTCAATTAAAATGACTCTGAAGTTACCAAACAGAAACTTAGACAATTACAGCAATAAACTATTAGAATAAAATATTTAAAATGGTAAATAACAAAATATAATAGGAAATAAAATCACACTGAAATAGCAACAAAGTGAACTTTGAGGAAAAAATGTTTATTTCTTTGAATAACAACAAATTAATATTATAAAAATTATCTATGGGAATGGTAATCACTGATTAAGAAAATAAACTAATACCCTAGATGTAAATAATCTCTCTTAGGCTTTAGGAAATATCTCAGAACTTGTCTGCTTGTTCCTACCTTTGCCCATCTAATCGCTACATAGCCCAACAGTGGTCTCTTTAAAATTATTTCACAGTTAGATCCTGGCATTTCTAGACTGTAAATCCTCTTGGGCTACTATTTCCTGCAGAATACAGTTAACCCTTGAACAACATAAGTTTGAACTGTGTGGGACCACTCGTACACATATTTTTTCCCCTCTGTCACACCTGAGAAGCAAAACCAATCCCTCCTCTTCCATTCTCCTCCTCAGCCCACTCCACATAAAGACAGAGGATGAAGGCCTTTTTGATGACCCACTTCCACTTAATAAACAGTAAATATATTTTCTATTCTTTATGATTTTCTTAATAACATTTTCTTCTCTCTAGTTACTTTATTGTAGTAATATTGTATGTAATACAAATAACATACAAATTATGTATTTATCAACTTTTATATTATTGGTAAGGCTTCCTATCCAGAGTGGGCTATTAGTAGTTAAGTTTTTGAAGTGTCAAAAGGTATACATGGGTTTTCAGTTGAATGGGGGTGCCCCAACCCCTGTATTGTTCAAGGGTCAACTGTAAAATGAAAGGCCTGAACTGTGTCTCCAAAAGAAAGTTCCACCTTCCCTCTACCTGACAGCATTTTCTAGAGTTGCAAAAATGAGCCCATATCTCTAGATATGGCCTTGAAGAACCAGGAAACTTTGAAAATTTGAAAAAGTGTTCACAGGAGATTTAGGCTTATTTTAAACTCTGATTTTTATCTTTTACGTTTTTTAATGTTTTTATTGTCACTTTCCTTTTGGATATTTCTTTTTACCTTGATTTAAAAAAACAAAAATGAAAGCAAAAACCTTTGATATTTACATTCAATTGGAAACCTTTTCTAGTCAATTAAATGACTTTTAATAAGATTGTTGTTAAAGATAAATACAGGCCTTTTTCTGTTCTTACTATAAGAGAGTCCCATAGAATATTAGGGACATATACTAAGAAGATTCTATGATTAATGAAGTTCATATTTAATTGATTGTCCTTTACTTTTATTTGTGAAGTCCAGCAACCCTATTGTCAATTGAAGGAGATGATAATGACCAAAGGATCAAGAAAAAGAGAAGAAAGGTTATAAGAGGGATGGGGGTACATCTTGTTATTTTTCCCTACATAGCAACAAGTATCAATATACCATGTAATTTTTTTCAAGCAAACAGATGCTTTGGAGAAACATGTAAGATTTCCTCTGCACTTGGGTCATTTTAGTATATTGGAATTTTTTTCCCACGTTTAACTTTTTGTTTTTAAAAAAACCTTAACTCCACATCTTTTAAAAAAAATATATGAAAGAATGAATATAATGCCAAAATTTTGAATTTATGTAACACCCCATATTGATAAAAATTGAGCAGAGCTCCATTCCAGAGAGTGTGTAATTATGTATATAAAATTATTTGTTGTGTTGTGTGTGGTCTTATTCAGACATATGGATGTTGAGTTGACCTGGAAATACTTCAGGTCCCTTTAACACAGTCTGGCTCTGAACAAAGTCCCTAAGTACTAATCCTTCTCAGAGTCATCCAGTCGACAGTAATTAAGTTTGTAATTTGGGGAATGCATCGACTTTCATCTTTTTTCTTGACTTTAAATCGCATAATTTATTCCTTTCCTGAAATTAAATTTCCTCTAGGTTTTCTCTGAAACTCACCTCCAGTCATCTTTGGATAAATTTATCAAGATATTCATTTCTTCTTCTTGCATAAGTCGATAAGCTGCACTCACGTGGTGATTCTCAAGGACAGAGCGATCATTATACAAAATGGCAACATCTGACCTAAGAATTAAAAACAAAATGCCCAACAGAGGATTTCTTTAGACATCATGAATGTCTAATAAGACTTACTCAAGTATCAAGTCATGTGACCAGAAAACATCCTATAATTGAACAGTGAGAATTATGGAAGTACTTAGTTTCTTTTATTTTTTACTGTATGATATTTTAAAATTTTATATAAACTCTATTAGAGAAGTTTTAGGCTCACAGCAAAATGGAAGTTGGTACAAAATTTCCCATGTACTTTCTTCTACCACACATGCGTAACCTCCCCCATTGTCAACATCCCCAACAAGAGTGGTATTTTTGTTACAATTGATGAACCTACATAGACACATCATTATCATCCAATGTCCACAGTTTACATTAGGCTTCACTCTTGGTGTTGTACATTCTATGCGTTTAGACAAGTGAATAATGACATGTATCTACTATTATAGTACCATACAGAGTAGTTTCTCTGCCCCAAATCCCTCTGTGCTCCACCTCTTCATCCCTTTCTCTCCCCTAACCCTGGCAACCACTGATTTTTTTCACTGTCTCCATAGTTTTGCCTTCTTCAAAATGTTATGTAGATGGAATCATACAGTATGTTGCTGATATGGTTTGGCTCTGTGTCCCTACCCAAATCTTATGTTGAATTGTAATCTCCAGTGTTAGGGGAGGGACCTGGTGGGAGGTGATTGGATCTTGGGGGCAGACTTCCCCCATGCTGTTCTTGTGATAGTGAGTTAGTTCTCATGAGATCTGGTGGTTTAAAAGCCTGTAGCACTTTCTTCTTCGCACTCTCTCCTGCCACCATGTGAAGATGTGCTTACTTCCTCTTCACCCTACCATCATGATTGTAAGTTTCCTGAGGACTCCCAGCCATGCCTCCTGGATGGCCTGTGGAACTGTGAGTTAATCAAACCTCTTTTCTTGATATGTTACTGAGTCTCAGGTAGTTCTTTATAGCAGTATGAGAATGGACTAATACAGAAAATTGGTACTGAGCGTGGGGTATTGCTATAAAGATACCTAAAAATGTGGAAGCAACTTTGGAACTGGGTAATGGGCAGAGGTTGAAACAGTTTGGAGGGCTCAGAAAAAGAGGAAGATATGGGAAAGTCTGGAACTTCATACAGACTTGTTGAATGGCTGTGACCAAAATACTGATAGTGATACAGACAGTGAAGACTAGGTTGAGGACGTCTTAGGTAGAGATAAGGAGGTCTTAGGTAGAGACGAGGAACTTATTTGGGACTCTGAGTATTTGAGTACTTATTTGAGTAAAAGTCACTCTGGCTATGCTTTAGCAAAAAGACTGATGGCATTGTGCCCCTGCTCTAGAAATCTGTGGAATTTTGAACTTGAGAGAGATGATTTAGGGTATCCGGTGAAAGCAATGTCTAAGCAGCAAAGTGTTCAAGATGTGGTTTGGCTGTTTGTAAAAGCCTATGCTCATTTGCATAAAGAAAGAAATTACCTGAAACTGGAACTTATATTTAAAAGAGAAGCAGAGCATAAAAGTTTAAAATAGTTGCAGCCTGACCATGAGGTAGAAAAGAAAAACCCATTTTCTGGGGAGGAATTCAAGGCTGCAAAAATTTGCATACGTAAAGAGAAACCTAATGTTAATAGCCCAGACAATGGGGAAGATGTCTCCAGGGCATTTCAGAGACCTTCATGGCAGCCCCTCCTATCACAAGCCTGAAGGCCTAGCAGGGAAAAATGGATTCATGGGCCAGGCCTATGGCCTCCACTGCTCTGTGCACGCATCCTGGACATTGTGCCCTGCATCCCAGCTGCTCTAGCTCCAGTCGTGGCTGAAAGAGGACAAGGTACAGCTCAGGCCATTGCTTCAGAGGGTGAAAGCCCCAAGCCTTGGTGGCTTCTACATGGTATTAGGCCTGTAGGTATGCAGACAGTAGTAATTGAGGCTTGGGAGCCTTTGCCTAGATTTTGGAGGATGTATGGAAATGCCTGAATATCCAGGAAGAAGTCTGCTGCAGGGGCAGAGGCCTCATGGAGAACCTCTAGTAGGGCAGTGTGGAGGGGAAATGTGGGGTTAGAGTCCCCATAGTCCTCACTGGGGCACTGCCTAGTGGGGCTGTGAGAAGAGGGCTACTGTATTAGTCCATTTTCACAATGTCATAAAGATAGTACCTGAGGCTGGGTAATTTATAAAGGAAAGAGGTTTAATTGACTTACAGTTCTGCATGGCTGGTGGGGGCAGGGGCCTCAGGAAACTTACAATCATGATGGAAGGCAAAGGGGGAAGCAAGGCACATCTTAAATGGCAGCAGGAGAGAGAGAGTGCAGGGGGGATGCTGCCACTTTTAAACCATCAGATCTCATGAGAATTCCCTCACTATTATGAGAACAGCATGGGAGAAGCTGTCCCTATGATCCAGTTACCTCCCAACAGGTCCCTCCCTCAAAACATGGGGATTACAATCTGAGATGAGATTTGGTGGGGACACGGAGCCAAACCATATCAGCCACTGTCTTTCAGACTCCAGAATGGTAAATCTACCGACAGCTTGCACTGTGCACATGGAAAAGCCACAGGCACTGGACGCCAGCCAGTGAAAGCAGCCATGGGGGCTGTACCCTGCAGAGCAACAGAGGTGGAGTGCCCAAGGCCGTAGGAGCACACCCCCTGCATCAGCATACCCTGAATATGAGACATGGAGTCAAAAAGATTATTTGGGGTCTTTAAGATTAAATAACTGCCCTGCTGGGGTTCAGACTTGCATGGGGCCTACAGTCCCTTTGTTTGGGCCAATTTCTCCCTTTCGGAATAGGAGCATTTACCCAATGCCTGTAACCCCATTATATCTCGGAAGTAACTAACTTGTTTTTCATTTTACAAGCTCATAGGTGGAAGGGACTTGCCTTGTCTCACATGAGGCTTTGGAGTTGGACTTTTGAGTTAATGCTGGAGTGAGTTAAGACTTTTGGGGACTGTTGGGAAGGCATGATTGGTTTTTTGAAATATGAGAAGGACATGTGATTCAGGAGGGGCCAGAAGTGGAATAATGTATTATTAGTCCATTTTCAAGCTGCTGATAAAGACATACCCAGGACTGGGCAATTTACAAAAGAAAGAGGTTTATTGGACTTACAGTTCCACATGGCTGGGGAGAGGCCTCACAATCATGGTGGAAGGTGAAAGGCAAGTCTCACATGGTGGCCGCAAGAGAGAGAATGAGAACCAAGTGAAACAGATTTCCCCTTATCCAACCATCAAATCTCGTGAGACTTATTCACTATCACGAGAACAGTATGGGGGAAACCACCCCCATGATTCAATTATCTCCCACTGGGTCTCTCCCACAACACATGGGAATTATGGGATTACAATTCAACATGAGATTTGGATGAGAGACACAGAGCCAAACCATATTATGAGCCAAATGTTGATTACAATTCAACATGAGATTTGGGTGGGGGACACAGAGCCAAGCATATTATTTGATATGGTTTGGATCTGTGTCCCCCGCCCAAATCTCATATTGAATTGTAATCTCCAGTACTGGTAGAGGGACCTGGTAGGAGGTGACTAGATCATGGGGGTGAGTATCCCGCTTGCTGTTCTCATGATAATGAGTGAGTTCTCATAAGATCTGGTTGCTGAAAAGTGTGCAGCACTTCCCCCTTCACTCCCTCTCTTGCCACCATGTGAAAATATGCTTGCTTCCCCTTCGCCCTTCTGCCACGACTGTAAGTTTCCTGAGGCCTCCCAGCCTCACCAGCCATGCCTTCTGTATGGCATCTGGAACTATGAGTCAATTGAACCTCTTTTCTTTATAAGTTATCCATTCTCTGCCAGCTTTTTATAGCAGTGTGAGAAGAAGATAATACAATTGGTTCCTTTCACTCAGTAATATGCATTCATGTTTCCTTCATGTCTTTTCACCGATTGATAGCTAATTTCCTTGCAGCACTCAAGTTTTCTTGTCTGCATATACCACAGTTTATTTATTCAGTCACCTACTGAAGGACATCTTGCTGGCTTCCAAGTTTTGGCAATTATGAATAAAGCTGCTATAAGTATCTGTGCTATAAGTTTTTGTGTGAATGTGTTTGTAATTTTTTTGAGTAAATACCAAGGAGTGCAATTCATGGATCATATGGTAAGAGTAGTTTCAATTTTGTAATAAATTGGTAAACTGTCTTCCAAAATGGCTATACCAGTTTTCATGCCTACTAGCAATAAATGAGAGTTCCTGCTGCTCCATTCTCACCAGCTTTTGGTGTTGTTAGTGTTATGGATTTTGGCCATTTTAATAGATGTGTATTGCCTATTGATCTATTTGGTATCTCATTGTTTCAATTTGGATTTCTCTGATGACATGATATGGAATATCTTTTCATATGCCTATTTGCCATTTGTATATCTTCCTAGCTGGAGTGACTGGTAAAGTTTTTGGTTCATTTTTAAATTAGGTTGTTAGTTTTCTTATTGTTGAGTTTTAAGCATTCTTTGTATATTTTGGATAACAGTGCTTTATCAGATGTTCTTTGCAAATATTTTCTTCCAGTCTGTGGCTTGTCTTTTTAGTCTCTTGATAGTGTCTTTGGTAGAGCATAAATTTTTAATTTTAATGAAATCCAACTTATCAATTTATTATTTCATATATTGTGCCTTTGATATTATATTTAAAAAGTCATCACCAAATCTAAGGTCATCTAGATTTTTCTTCTATGTAATCTTCTAGGAATTTTATAGATTTTTGTTTTAAATTTAGGTCTGTGATCCATTTTGAGTTAATTTTGTAAAGGGTATAAGGCCTGTGTCTTAGTGTGTTTTATGCTGATGTGACAGAATACCTGAGGCTGGGTAATTTATCAAAAAAAAAAAAGAAATTTATTTATCACAGTTCTTAACTGGAAAGTCAAAGATCAACATACCATCATCTCAGGAGGGCCTTCTTGCTGTATCATCAAATGGTGGAAAGCATCACATAGTAGAAAGGCAGAGAGTGCAAGAGAGCAAACCCTCTCTGGCAAGCCCCATTTTATAATGGCATTAATTTATTTATCAGGATAGAACACTCCTGACCTCAATACCTTCCAACCCTGTCACATTGGGAGTTATGTTTGCAACACATGAATTCTGGGAAACACATTCAAACCATAGCAGTTTGTGTCTAGATTCTTCTTTGCTTTTTGCTTTTGCATGTGGATGTTCAGTCGTGTTAGCACCATTTATTGAAAAGATTATTTTTGCTTCACTGTATTGCTTTTACTCCTTTGTCAAAGATCAGTTGACTATATTTTTTGTAGGTTCATTACTGGGCTCTCTACTCTTTTTCATTGATCTATTTGTCTGTCCTTTTATCAATACTACACTGTCTTGATTACTGTGGTTTTGTAGCAAGTCTTAAAGTTAGGTAGTGTCAGTCCTCCAACTTTGTGCTTCTCCTTTAAAACTGTGTTAGCTATTATGAGTCTTTTGCCTCTCCATACAAACTTTAGAATCACTTTGTCAGAATCATAAAATAACTTGCTGGTATTTTCATTGGGATTGGATTATATCTATAGATGAAGTTGCGAAGAACTGACATCCTGACAATTTTGAGTCTATCTATGAACATGAAATATCTGTCCCTGTATTACTTATTTCATCAAAGTTTTACAGTTTTTCTTATAAAGGTCTTGTATATGTTTTGTTCCATTTATACCTAAATATTTAATTTTGAGTGGTGCTAATGCAAATGATATTTGTGTTTCCAATTTCAAATTACATTTGTTTATTGCTGGCATATAGAAAAGCAATCGAGTTTTGTGTATTAACCTTGTATTTTGCAACCCTGCTATAATCACTTAGTTCCAGGAGTTTTTTGGTCAATTCTTCCAGATTTTCTACATGGACAATCATATCATCTGCAAACAAAGATAATTTTATTTCTCTCTTCCCAAGATTCATGGGAAGAGAGAAATTCCTTTTTCTAGTTGTATTGCATTAGTATTGCATACTTCCAGTATGATACAAAAATTAGTTGTGAGAGGGGACATCTTCCCTTGTTCACAATCTTAGTGGGAAAGCTTCAACTTTTTCACCATTAAGTATGATGTTAGTTGTAGGTTTTTTATAAATAGATAATTTTCTTTGAATTATTTACTTTTTAATTGACAATTAAAATTATATATATTACGTACGAGATAATGTCTTGAAACATATATATCTTTCTATATATATATATGTATACATTTATATATATATACACACACACACATAGTGGAATGGCTAACTCAGGCTAATTAACATATGTGTTACTTCACAATTTACCATTTTTTGAGGTGAGAACACTTAAAATCTACTCTTGGCAATCTTTTAGAATACAATACATTGGGGAGGAGCCAAGATGGCAGAATAGGAACAGCTCCGGTCTACAGCTCCCAGCGTGAGCGACGCAGAAGACGGTGATTTCTGCATTTCCATCTGAGGTACCGGGTTCATCTCAGTAGGGAGTGCCAGACAGTGGGCACAGGTCAGTGGGTGCGCGCACCGTGCGCAAGCCGAAGCAGGGCGAGGCATTGCCTCACTTGGGAAGCGCAAGGGGTCAGGGAGTTCCCTTTCCGAGTCAAAGAAAGGGGTGATGGACGGCACCTGGAAAATTGGGTCACTCCCACCCGAATACTGCGCTTTTCTGACGGGCTTAAAAAATGGCGCACCACGAGATTATATCCCGCACCTGGCTCGGAGGGTCCTATGCCCACAGAGTCTCGCTGATTGCTAGCACAGCAGTCTGAGATCAAACTGCAAGGCGGCAGGGAGGCCAGGGGAGGGGCGCCTGCCATTGCCCAGCCTTGATTAGGTAAACAAAGCAGCCGGGAAGCTCGAACTGGGTGGAGCCCACCACAGCTCAAGGAGGCCTGCCTGCCTCTGTAGGCCCCACCTCTGGGGGCAGGGCACAGACAAACAAAAAGACAGCAGTAACCTCTGCAGACTTAAATGTCCCTGTCTGACAGCTTTGAAGAGAGCAGTGGTTCTCCCAGCATGCAGCTGGAGATCTGAGAACGGGCAGACTGCCTCCTCAAGTGGGTCCCTGACCCCTGACCCCCGAGCAGCCTAACTGGGAGGCACCCCCCAGCAGGGGCAGACTGACACCTCACACGGCAGGGTATTCCAACAGACCTGCAGCTGAGGGTCCTGTCTGTTAGAAGGAAGACTAACAAACAGAAAGGACATCCACACCAAAAACCCATCTGTACATCACCATCATCAAAGACCAAAAGTAGATAAAACCACAAAGATGGGGAAAAAACAGAACAGAAAAACTGGAAACTCTAAAAAGCAGAGCGCCTCTCCTCCTCCAAAGGAACGCAGTTCCTCACCAGCAACGGAACAAAGCTGGATGGAGAATGACTTTGACAAGCTGAGAGAAGAAGGCTTCAGACGATCAAATTACTCTGAGCTACGGGAGGACATTCAAACCAAAGGCAAAGAAGTTGAAAACTTTGAAAAAAAATTTAGAAGAATGTATAACTAGAATAACCAATACAGAGAAGTGCTTAAAGGAGCTGATGGAGCTGAAAACCAAGGCTCGAGAACTACGTGAAGAATGCAGAAGCCTCAGGAGCCGATGTGATCAACTGGAAGAAAGGGTATCAGCGATGGAAGATGAAATGAATGAAATGAAGCGAGAAGGGAAGTTTAGAGAAAAAAGAATAAAAAGAAACGAGCAAAGCCTCCAAGAAATATGGGACTATGTGAAAAGACCAAATCTACGTCTGATTGGTGTACCTGAAAGTGACGGGGAGAATGGAACCAAGTTGGAAAACACTCTGCAGGATATTATCCAGGAGAACTTCCCCAATCTAGCAAGGCAGGCCAACGTTCACATTCAGGAAATACAGAGAACGCCACAAAGATACTCCTCGAGAAGAGCAACTCCAAGACACATAATTGTCAGAGTCACCAAAGTTGAAATGAAGAAAAAAATGTTAAGGGCAGCCAGAGAGAAAGGTCGGGTTACCCTCAAAGGGAAGCCCATCAGACTAACAGCGGATCTCTCGGCAGAAACCCTACAAGCCAGAAGAGAGTGGGGGCCAATATTCAACATTCTTAAAAGAATTTTCAACCCAGAATTTCATATCCAGCCAAACTAAGCTTCATAAGCGAAGGAGAAATAAAATACTTTACAGACAAGCAAATGCTGAGAGATTTTGTCACCACCAGGCCTGCCCTAAAAGAGCTCCTGAAGGAAGCACTAAACATGGAAAGGAACAACCAGTACCAGCCACTGCAAAATCATGCCAAATTGTAAAGACCATCGAGACTAGGAAGAAACTGCATCAACTAACGAGCAAAATAACCAGCCAACATCATAATGACAGGATCAAATTCACACATAACAATATTAACTTTAAATGTAAATGGACTAAATGCTCCAATGAAAAGACACAGACTGGCAAATTGGATAAAGAGTCAAGACCCATCAGTGTGAGGTATTCAGGAAACCCATCTCACATGCAGAGACACACATAGGCTCAAAATAAAAGGATGGAGGAAGATCTACCAAGCCAATGGAAAACAAAAAAAGGCAGGGGTTGCAATCCTACTCTCTGATAAAACAGACTTTAAACCAACAAAGATCAAAAGAGACAAAGAAGGCCATTACATAATGGTAAAGGGATCAATTCAACAAGAAGAGCTAACTATCCTAAATATATATGCACCCAATACAGGAGCATCCAGTTTCATAAAGCAAGTCCTGAGTGACCTACAAAGAGACTTAGACTCCCACACATTAATAATGGGAGACTTTAACACCCCACTGTCAACATTAGACAGATCAACGAGACAGAAAGTCAACAAGGATACCCAGGAATTGAACTCAGCTCTGCACCAAGCAGACCTAATAGACATCTACAGAACTCTCCACCCCAAATCAACAGAATATACATTTTTTTCAGCACCACACCACACCTATTCCAAAATTGACCACATACTGGGAAGTAAAGCTCTCCTCAGCAAATGTAAAAGAACAGAAATGATAACAAACTATCTCTCAGACCACAGTGCAATCAAACTAGAACTCAGGATTAAGAATCTCACTCAAAACCGCTCAACTACATGGAAACTGAACAACCTGCTCCTGAATGACTACTGGGTACATAACGAAATGAAGGCAGAAATAAAGATGTTCTTTGAAACCAACGAGAACAAAGACACAACATACCAGAATCTCTGGGACGCATTCAAAGCAGTGTGTAGAGGGAAATTTATAGCACTAAATGCCCACAAGAGAAAGCAGGAAAGATCCAAAATTGACACCCTAACCTCACAATTAAAAGAACTAGAAAAGCAAGAGCAAACGCATTCAAAAGCTAGCAGAAGGCAAGAAATAACTAAGATCAGAGCAGAACTGAAGGAAATAGAGACATAAAAAACCCTTCAAAAAATTAATGAATCCAGGAGCTGGTTTTTTGAAAGGATCAACAAAATTGACAGACCGCTAGCAAGACTAATAAAGAAAAAAAGAGAGAAGAATCTAATAGACGCAATAAAAAATGATAAAGGGGATATCACCACCGATTCCAAAGAAATACAAACTACCATCAGAGAATACTACAAACACCTCTACGCAAATAAACTAGAAAATCTAGAAGAAATGGATAAATTCCTCGACACATACACTCTCCCAAGACTAAACCAGGAAGAAGTTGAATCTCTGAATAGACCAATAACAGGATCTGAAATTGTGGCAATAATCAATAGCTTACCAACCAAAAAGAGTCCAGGACCAGATGGATTCACAGCCGAATTCTACCAGAGGTACAAGGAGGAACTGGTACCATTCCTTCTGAAACTATTCCAATCAATAGAAAAAGAGGGAATCCTCCCTAACTCATTTTATGAGGCTAGCATCATTCTGATACCAAAGCCAGGCAGAGACACAACAAAAAAAGAGAATTTTAGACCAATATCCTTGATGAACATTGATGCAAAAATCCTCAATAAAATACTGGCAAACCGAATCCAGCAGCACATCAAAAAGCTTATCCACCATGATCAAGTGGGCTTCATCCCTGGGATGCAAGGCTGGTTCAATATACGCAAATCAATAAATGTAATCCGGCATATAAACAGAGCCAAAGACAAAAACCACATGATTATCTCAATAGATGCAGAAAAAGCCTTTGACAAAATTCAACAACCCTTCATGCTAAAAACTCTCCATAAATTAGGTATTGATGGGACATATTTCAAAATAGTAAGAGCTATCTATGACAAACCCACAGCCAATATCATACTGAATGGGCAAAAACTGGAAGCATTCCCTTTGAAAACTGGCACAAGACAGGGATGCCCTCTCTCACCACTCCTATTCAACATAGTGTTGGAAGTTCTGGCCAGGGCAATTAGGCAGGAGAAGGAAATAAAGGGTATTCAATTAGGAAAAGAGGAAGTCAAATTGTCCCTGTTTGCAGACGACATGATTGTATATCTAGAAAACCCCATTGTCTCAGCCCAAAATCTCCTTAAGCTGATAAGCAACTTCAGCAAAGTCTCAGGATACAAAATCAATGTACAAAAATCACAAGCATTCTTATACACCAACAACAGACAAACAGAGAGCCAAATCATGAGTGAACTCCCATTCACAATTGCTTCAAAGAGAATAAAATACCTAGGAATCCAACTTACAAGGGATGTGAAGGACCTCTTCAAGGAGAACTACAAACCACTGCTCAAGGAAATAAAAGAGGATACAAACAAATGGAAGAACATTCCATGCTCATGGGTAGGAAGAATCAATATCATGAAAATGGCCATACTGCCCAAGGTAATTTACAGATTCAATGCCATCCCCATCAAGCTACCAATGACTTTCTTCACAGAATTGGAAAAAACTACTTTAAAGTTCATATGGAACCAAAAAAGAGCCCGCATCGCCAAGTCAATCCTAAGCCAAAAGAACAAAGCTGGAGGCATCACACTACCTGACTTCAAACTATACTACAAGGCTACAGTAACCAAAACAGCATGGTACTGGTACCAAAACAGAGATATAGATCAATGGAACAGAACACAGCCCTCAGAAATAATGCCGCATATCTACAACTATCTGATCTTTGACAAACCTGAGAAAAACAAGCAATGGGGAAAGGATTCCCTATTTAATAAATGGTGCTGGGAAAACTGGCTAGCCATATGTAGAAAGCTGAAACTGGATCCCTTCCTTATACCTTATACAAAAATCAATTCAAGATGGATTAAAGACTTAAATGTTAGACCTAAAACCATAAAAACCCTAGAAGAAAACCTAGGCATTACCATTCAGGACATAGGCATGGGCAAGGACTTCATGTCTAAAACACCAAAAGCAATGGCAACAAAAGACAAAATTGACAAATGGGATCTAATTAAACTAAAGAGCTTCTGCACAGCAAAAGAAACTACCATCAGAGTGAACAGGCAACCTACAAAATGGGAGAAAATTTTCGCAACCTACTCATCTGACAAAGGGCTAATATCCAGACTCTACAATGAACTCAAACAAATTTACAAGAAAAAAACAAACAACCCCATCAAAAAGTGGGCAAAGGACATGAACAGACACTTCTCAAAAGAAGACATTTATGCAGCCAAAAAACACATGAAAAAATGCTCATCATCACTGGCCATCAGAGAAATGCAAATCAAAACCACAATGAGATACCATCTCATACCAGTTAGAATGGCGATCATTAAAAAGTCAGGAAACAACAGGTGCTGGAGAGGATGTGGAGAAATAGGAACACTTTTACACTGTTGGTGGGACTGTAAACTAGTTCAACCATTGTGGAATTCAGTGTGGAGATTCCTCAGGGATCTAGAACTGGAAATACCATTCGACCCAGCCATCCCATTACTGGGTATATACCCAAAGGACTATAAATCATGCTGCTATAAAGACACATGCAAACGTATGTTTATTGCGGCACTATTCACAATAGCAAAGACTTGGAACCAACCCAAATGTCCAACAATGATAGACTGGATTAAGAAAATGTGGCACATATACACCATGGAATACTATGCAGCCATAAAAAATGATGAGTTCATGTCCTTTGTAGGGACATGGATGAAATTGGAAAACATCATTCTCAGTAAACTATCCCAAGAACAAAAAACCAAACACCGCATATTCTCACTCATAGGTGGGAATTGAACAATGAGAACACATGGACACAGGAAGGGGAACATCACACTCTGGGGACTGTTGTGGGGTCGGGGGAGGGGGGAGGGATAGCATTGGGAGATATACCTAATGCTAGATGACGAGTTAGTGGGTGCAGTGCACCAGCATGGCACATGTATACATATGTAACTAACCTGCACAATGTGCACATGTTCCCTAAAACTTAAAGTATAATAAAAAATTAAAAAAACAAGAAAAAAAAGAATACAATGCATTGTTATTAACTCTAGTTGACACATTGTACAATAGATCTCTTGAACTTATTTATCCCATCTAACTGAAATTATGTATCCTTTGACCAACATCTTCCTAACTTTTATCTCCACCCCAGTCCCTCATAACCACAATTCTACTCTAGTATAGATATTCTTTATCAAGTTAAGGAAGGTCCTCTCTATTCCTAGTTGGAGTTTATATCATAAACGTGGGTTGGAATGTTTTGTAAAATGCTTTTTCTGCATTTATTGATAAGATCATGTGATTTTTTTCCTGTATACCCTGTTGATGTGGTAGATTATATTAGTTGAATTATGAATGTTGAGCCAGACTTGCATACCTGGGATAAACCCCACTTAGTTGTGGTGCTTAGCGTTGTTTTAATTATCATTATTATAGTTTAAATGTGTTTATGGCTTTTCCTTCTGATTTGTAATCCAGACACCTGCAAAATACTCTAGATATATCAAAGTGAATAAAATTACCTAACGTCTTATTCAGTCAGTGAATGAACAAACCCCTTTGTACCCATTCAAGAGTGTTGATACCATCCCTGTTCCTTTAAACTAAAATTACTTTGGGTAGCAGGTGAAGGGGATGATGAAAATCATTTGATCTATTTATGATTCTAGTTTTTTACTCTCTTATAATGTGATTAAATTTTATTGTTATAGATCCTTTTGCTTTAAAATTAAGATAGAAAAGTCGTTTTTAAAGAAAACTTAAAATGTATGCTTCATCACCCATTTAAAAGGAAGATTTTATTTTTAAAATGATGAATACATCAAGGGAAGGCTTTTATTTCTCACCTGTCTGTATTTTAATATAATTTTATTATGAAATAAATTGGTATACTTCAAGTTGCATTGATGAATTTGGTATTCTAACTTTAAGCCTGAAATATTTCAAGCATTCTCAGATCTGTATAATGGAACCTGGGCTTGTCCTTCCTCTATCCTCCTAGGTTGCCAGATCATTATGCAAGTGTGGAATGGAAGCAAAATCACTATGTTCAATCTCTTAAAATGGTGAACTCGTTCATATAAGTTGGCAAGTTGAATATTGACAACAAATATAGCAAAAAAGAAAGTCAAGTTAAAACTTGTAGCAAGTTTGCTACCACTTACCCAACACCGAGGCTTCTCTCACTCTCCTATCTCCTGGTAGATACTTAATGCTGTCAAGTGTAAAACTGCCTCACTCCAGACTTACTGTTTCAGGCTTTTCAGTGGGTAAAGTCCTAGTTATAACCTAGCACTGGCCCTGCCACTGAATATTTATGATAGAGTAGACAAGGACAAAATAAAAAATGAAAAGTTCCCACTAAAACAACACCACCACCACCACACATGGATAGCTATGTGAGATGATGGATATATTAATTTGCTTCTGTATAATAATCATTTTACTATCTGTATCTTATCATGTTATATACCATAAATGTACACAATAAAAACTATTTAATAACAACAGAGAAAACAAAAACTAAAGAAATCTGGCATTTTATACAAGCAGCCTGTTTAAGATCTGTGTCTGATAGTCTGCCAGATAAACCAAGCTTTATTATTCATCCAACATATGATAAATGACCTACCAGGCACTATTACTTTCTTTTTTTTTCTAGCACTATCATAAAGATGAAATAATATATGTCTTTAATAGCACATATTTCTAAAATAGATTTCCATTTAATAATCTTAGTTAAGGCCTAAAAAGGATTTAATGAATAATCATACCTCAATATACAGAAATATGAACTAGCAAAGCACATGTATAATTCTCATTGAAGAGATAATTGAAGAGATGTTTCCCAAGCAAAACACTGTGTGCATTTCTAGAAGTTTGCTGAGATCATGGGGAAAGCTGTGATTTTCCAGTAACATTTGCACTATATGGCACCAAATCTAGCCATAGCAGATTTGTCAGGGTTATTACATGATATGGCTCCAAGCATCACCATCTACTCTTTCAGAAACAAGCTAAAATGTGTTTTTGAACCAGATTTAATTGTAGCAAAGTATGCATGATTTTGTCTCATAAAGCTAACAAGGATGCTGAGAATGCAGCATGGTCTAATGTTTGAGATGGTCTTTGACTGCTAAGAAAAGAACAGACTCTGAGCAACATCCAGTATCCATGGTAACATGTAGCCTGGCATTTTCTTTTCACAAAGAGGAAATTATTTCCATTTATTTACACTTTCAAGGATTTCATGCATTATAATATCTGCATTGAACTCAAATCTAGCCTTGCCCTATGTTCCAAATCGCATTTTAGCCATTTTGTATTATGTAGTAAATTAGTTTCCAGATTGGAAAAAACACTCTCAATCCAAGTAACAATGAATAATATAAAATAAAATAGAATTAGTGATATAAATGACATATGACCTTATTTCATCTTGGATGAAGGCAATATTGAGAGTTAAAAATCATGTTATATTGTTGCATTTTGGTCATTACAACATTTTGGTTCATGGAATTTTCAAGTTCATGTAGAATTAATTCATTAAATAGTTGACCCTGTTAGACAATTTTTTCCCATTTTTATACAGAGTTTTAAAATATAAATTGAAAAAAACATGATTCTTCTTTTTCCTTCTCTGCCCCCATCTACCCCTTCTTGTCCTCCTCTTCCTTGTCATCCCCCTCCTTTCCTCCACCACCTCCTCCTCCCTCTCCACAGCCAAATGCATAAGTAAATCAGGACTCTTCATCCACTTGCAGATGAATAGTAAAGGGAGAAAGCTAGAGTGATGATCTAACACTGCTGCTGGAAGAGGCCAGCCCACTGGCCTTTACTTTTCAAAGTCGAAAGGGCAACTGGCATTCACTGATAACAAATCACTTGCTTTCTTCTCAAACCCCTAGAACTGTTTTCCTGTACAGAGCCCAGCTCAGTGATGAGCGATCTTTAATTAAAATCCTCCACATCGTGGATCCAGTGGATGTAGAGAGCCTTTGTTAAGCAAAATGATCTGCATAGTCTTGTTTTCCTTTGACATTAAATACAAATAAAAGCAAAAATCTCCCTATACTCTGCAAATATGGGTAGAAAAACAACATTCCTGCTACATAACCAGACTCTGACGTTTTCCTTTTCCCTCCAAACTGTATCAATCTCTGGGACCCTGGGGTTTCCTCCATTCCAGGGACAGACAGAATGCCCTCCCCAACACTTCACTGTTTGAATTGCAACTCTTCCTCTGTCTCCATCAAGGGGCTACAATGTGTAAGCCCACCCCATTTCAGGCTTTAACAGCTTGGAATTATCATGTGTCCATCTCTGGCTGTGGGAGCAGACTTATATAAGAACTGGATTGACAGTGAGTGTCCCTTTTCTCACTCCTCAATTCTGCCACTGCCATCACCTGACCAAGTGCATATAGACAGGTCACTCTACCTCTCGAGGTCTTCATTTTCTATTTTTAGATGACGGATATCAGACCAGATGATCTATACTGTGGATCTCACTCATCTTAGGGTCCTTTAAGTTCTAAAGTGTCTAATATTTTAATAAACTGTTTCTATATTCCCCACATCAAACAATAACTCCCACATCTGGAAAATCAGTTGTTAAAAATATATATATATTAAAAAACCAAATGAACTGACCACACAAGAGCCTGCACATGTATGCTTATATCAGTATTATTCATAAGTGCCCAAATTTGGAAACAACCAAGATTTGCTTTAATAGGTGAATAGATAAACAAACTATGGTATGTCCATGTAATGGAATAGTATTCAGTGATAAGAAATAAGCTGTCAACCATGAAAAGACATGGAGGAACATTAAACACATTCTTCTAAATGAAATAACCCAGTCTGAAAGAATTATATACTGTATTATTTCAGCTCTATGACATTTTGGAAAAGGCAAAACTAAAGAGACATTAAAGAGACCAGTGGTTGCCAGGGGTAAAGGGGCAGGAAGAGAGGAATGATAGCTGAAGCACAGGAGACTTTTAGGGCCGTGAAACTATTGTGTGTGATACTGCAATGGTAGATACATGACATTATACATTTGTCAAAACCCATAGAACCCATAATGCAAAGAGTGAACCTTCATATAAACAATGGAACTTAGTTAATAACAATGTATCGATACTGGTTAATCAATTGTAACAAATATCTCACACCAGTGTAAGATGTTAATAACAACGAAACTTTAAGGTAGCAGGAGGAAGCATATGGAACTCATGCAACTCTGTACTTCCTGTTCGATTTTTCTGTGAATCTAAAACTGCTCTAAGAAATAAAGTCTATTAATTAGAAAAAAAAATCAGATCTAATCTTTCCTCAACAAGAATGGAGATTTATGCAGTGGTTCAAGAGAGACATCAGCTCTTAACATATATCTCCTTATTAAGCATCCTGACTAGTAAAAGAGAAATTTCAGGATCCCACACATGTAAAGTAAGTTGGATCCTGATGGGGCCTAGACCAAATCCTGCTTCTCAGATACTGACTTCTGTGCCTAACTAAAAAGAGGTTAGGGTAACTCTCTGTTATGGACTGAATTGTGTCTGCCCTAAAATTCATGTGTTGAAGCCCTAACTCTCAGTGTGTCTGTATTTGGAGACAGGGCTATTAAGGGTGTAATTAAAGTTAATGAAGTAACAAGAGTGGGGCCCAAGTCCGTTATGACTGGTGTCCATATAAGAAGAGGAAGAGACACTGGGGTGCATGTGCTCAGAGAAAAGACCATGTGAAGACACAGCAAAAAGGGTGTTGTCTGTAAGTCAAGAAGAGCAACCTCAGAGGAAACCAAACCAGCTGACACTGTGATCCTGTACTCCTAGCATCCATAATTGTGAAAAAATAAATTCATGTTGTTTAAGCCACCCATTCTGTGGTATTTTGTTATGGCAGCCCTAACAGACTAACATACTTCTACTCTGGTATTTGATTTAAATAACTTCCATTGTAACCATCATCAAATAATTTCATTTTCTAGTTATTTTAAATTTAATACTTCATGTTGGCCTGAAAATGAGATTTAATTTTTGGATTTTGTTTTCAGAAGTACACTCGTATTACTTTCAAATACATAATGACACCAAACCAGTACCTTAAGCATTATGTTGCAAGATTTGCCTCAGTGAATAGATGTCTGACTTGTGTGGTAGTTCACAGTGTAAGTTCTGGGCAGAGACAGATTGTCTTAAACATTTTCATGTTCTTTAAATTGCTAGATATGCCACAAAATACTATACACAAGATTCTTAAAAAATAGTAGTTAATTGATTCAATTGTTAGCAGCTTAAGAAATTTTGCTAAAAATTAATTAAACCTGTTCTTATTAGAATCTTTATTATTTTTTAAAAATCCTCTTAAGTGATATGCAGAAAAATAAATTTCAAATTTTAACTAATGAAAGTTAATACTTTTTCAGACTTACCTTGTCTGAATGTGAAAGTTGTTTGTTGTCCCTGTATGCTCATAATCATGAATGGCAGCAGCAAAGACCATTGCTAAAATTTCCAGTTCAGTGAGCCAGTGCTAGTAAATTACAGAAAGAATCCATTATATTCAAGAAGTAGATAACATCTTTCCTTTCTTTGAAAAGGACTTTCAGTGCACCCTGTTTATGTAATCATATAAAATTATTTTTCATTTCTTTTAATTTGTTTCCTATTTTACCTCCACTAATTGTGCAAGATGGATGCTTCATGAAGTCAATGATTGTTTCATGGCATATAAGTTCAAAATTCAGAATATAATTGTCCTTGCTAATTGAAAAAGGAGTAGTTTTCTATGATTTAAAAGGTGAACCCTAACTGGATTTTGAATTTACAGCCATACATGTTTGGGTTCTTCTGAAATCAATTACAGTTTGGTGATTTTTATCATACAGCTCATACATTATTAAAATGTCTTTTAGCCCAAGTGTTGTAGAACAATCTACTATGAAAAAAAATTTCATCTAAAAATTAAAAATATTCACTTTCTTACTAGAGAAAGTGCACTTCATTTTCATGTTTAGAGATTTAGAAGTTTCTGAAATTCACAAATTTTTCTATTCATAACACATAAAAATGGCTGTGCAATTAACTTCAATAATGTTAAAAGAAAGAATAAATGCTTTCATGTAAAAATCCATGACTATCCGCTTTACATACATTCATCTTTCAGTTACTAACTAGATGCTTTAACAAAAGTTCCCTGCTATTTTTAGTTCATTTAGAAATAATTCAATAGTTTTTTCATCACTCATATTTTGTAAAACCCTTATACTGTACTACCCAATATGGTAACCACATGTGACTGTTTAAGTTAAAAATAAAGAAAATTAAGTAAAATTAAATTCACTTTCCCAGTTACACTAGCCACATTACATATGCCCATTGGTCACATGTGACAAGTGGTTACCATACAGAACAGCACAGACACAAAACATTTCCATCACCACAGCAAGTTCTACTAGAGAACACTATAAATAGATGGCACTTGATGGTACGAATGCGGAATCCAAAATGCTATGACACTCACTCTGAGTGGTCTTATTCTGTACACTTAAAACAATAAAAGACTTTGCGAAAAACAACAGAAAGAGATCATGTAAACTATGTGCACACTTGATAAAAGTTTGCAGAATAAAGATGCAATTTAAGAGCCTAGAGAGAAAGGCTAATTGGTGGCAGTAGATCTTGGGAAAAGGCTGGAAAAAGGCTGATAGTTAAGTGCAAGGATGGAGACAGAAGAATTTCAAATAGAAAGAGCAAATGTAGAATCATACTATAGGGTCTGTATTAAAATAGAATTGTCAATAGTACAATCGTGTTGGAGAATCAAGTGAAGTGTAACTGAAGAATATGGAGAGTATGGAAAGAGTTAATGGACTAATTTGATGAGAATTGATGAATTTAAATTTTGTGTAAAAGGTAAAAGAAAGCCATTGTAGGTCCATGAGTCAAAAATGAAGGCAGTGACAATTGTTGAATCTCATAGGTACCAAAGGTATAATCTTATTAATCTTAGCTCCCTTCACATAACCTATCATGATATTCGGCACATATTAGGAACTTAGTATTTGTTTGTTAAATTGTAGTTTTGCATTAAAAAGAGGCAACAGTGGTAAGAGACCATGGAATCAGTCCTGGTTTTAAATCTCTGTTAATCCTCAGGAAAATAAGTTATTTACCCTCTTAGCTACAGTTGTGGTGAAAATGGCATTAGTAATCTTTCCCCTATGGGGTTTAAAAAGAAGTTTTGGGTTAATGTATGCACTGCACCTATCATGTCTTGTCATATGGTAAAATAAAGAATAAATGGCATTTTGCTAGGAACTTACTATGTTAAATGAATTGATAAAGGCATTAAATCTGGGAAATAATAGCTAACATATCATTAGTGATTGTAATTCATGTACAAATGCCTCACAACTGGATGAGTGAAGCAGAAATAATTTTCAGAGCCAAAAGAAGTTAATATAACTAGCTGTTCTGTGTTCATAGACACATTTAATTGTGAGTCATTAAAAGGAAGAAAGTTACCTTATAGAGGT
Organism: Homo sapiens; assembly: GCF_000001405.40. Taxonomy (NCBI): domain Eukaryota; kingdom Metazoa; phylum Chordata; class Mammalia; order Primates; family Hominidae; genus Homo; species Homo sapiens. Next base: position 182,225,970 of record NC_000002.12, read on the forward strand.
CTGAATTGGGATTGAGCCTCCAATGTTCCCAATGAAACTATGGAACTAAACACCATGAAATGAATAGCAATTGAAGTTAAACTAGTTTTGTACCCTAGAAACCCATTGTTTTATTAAAGAAAATGGAAAAAAACCACTTATTTAAATTTTTGAGTGGGTTCAAATTATGTATTTATAAATATAGCTGTGGTTTTAAAAAAGGCAGCATTCATTATCTACTATGATAACACAGAATATAAACTGTCAATAGTAAAAAGAAATTAAATTAGAAAATCAGAGATGGAATTAATTAGTGATTGACTCATAAATATTTACAATTATTATCTTGCTAGCTGTGAAAATTTATTATAAATACATTTCCTGTTTTTACTTTGGTTCATTTCTGCCTCCCATAAATAGTACTTTCTCCACAAATCCCCCTTACTTATTTCTGCACTATGGACTATATCATTAAGTTCCACTACAAACTAATATAGGAAGAGAGGAAACACTGAACTTTCACACTTAATTTAAAAACACATCTACTTTGCATTAGCAAAAGTAGAATTCTGGACTGATTGTTAGTTCCTTAGCTGCTGATTCATTTTGTGCTGGTATCAGAAGGAATTCTAACTCAGAAAACAGGTGCTTAAATTCATAAATTTTATAAATGACTCCTGAGGGCAAGCCAGAGAGAACGAGGTTAAATCCTGTCACTCTTCCCAACTACAGCACTGGTCAATACAAATCCAAGGTTCTTCTGATTCCTAATAGGCAGAAATAAAGGGTTAAGAGGATAAATCATGAGCAATGCAACACTGTATTTCATCAGAATTTTAGGTTGTATTTTGTCTGCAGAAATGCTCAGGTTGGCTTACTCTAGAGCGGGCAGTCATCAACTTATAAGGAGGTATTGACTGCTATTAATAACATGTATTATAACAGAAACAAAGGAAGGGAATTAACATTAACTGGACACTTTAGTTAGCTGATCTCATTTAATTCTTAAAACCACTTTATAAGATGGTTATAGGTAAATATTTTTATGCCTATGTTGCAGAAAACAAAGCTGAATCCTAGAGAAATGGATCAACATGTCAAAGGTCACATACGTATCTAGCGGCAGAGCAGGAATGCAAACCCAAATCTGTCTGATTTCAAAGTTTCTATTTTTTCAACGGATCACAATAGCATTCATTACATAAAGAAGGCAATATGCTGAACACATGCTTCTAAGGTTTCAAAAGTAGGATTTCTAGCTAATTTTAGTATATGAATGGGTAGAAGCTAATAGAGTTTTGACTTAGGACTTAAAATGTAATTTTCATGTCTGAATTACTCAGGATGTGTGAGTGTGTGCCTGTGGGACAGAAAAAGTAAATATGTGTATTATACAAAGTATGTATGTGTATTATATAAAGGGTGGGGAGAATTTCAAGTCAGAAAATCACATTTATTTCTTGATTCCTTGTGTATCTAAAAACACATAATTAACAATTCTTTTAGCTAGAATTTATGAGGTTTGACACTATTTTTCTCTATTCCTTTGAATAGGCTGAAGAAGTTTGCTGTAAGTTACCAGTATAGAAAATTGGCATATTACAATTAATTAATTAAGGTATGTTAATAGCTATTATGTTTTAGGCACTAGGTTAGGTGCCTTGCAAATGTTTTATTTACTCCTCATTGCCATTCTATAAGGTGGCTGGTATTATTAACTGCATTTTAGTGACAAGGGAAGCAATGTAGAGCTAGTGAATTAGAAAGTGGTGGGGCATGGTTTTAAACTCGTGTCTGACTGCTTCCTGAGTCCATGCTCTCTTTCCTCTTCCAAACAGTATCATATTGGAAGCCATTTATAAGAACAGAATTTCCACATAATTTGTAGAAAGATATAGTACTAAATGTTCTGTAGACTGATCAGAGAAAAATGCAGTCATTCCAAAGTGTGGAAGACTGTTTCTGTGTAGTCAGTGCACTAAAAATTCCAAAGGAACTAGATTTACAGTCATCTCTCCTCCTTCTACTCTTAGTATTAGAGAGAACGCAGTGCCAGGAGCCCTCTAATGCAAATGTTTTCTGGCCAAGGCCCTTGTATAATTCCATGTTCAAAGAGACATTTGAAGGTGACTTGACAGCACTTTATAAAACATTTGCTCCTTAGCAAATGGACTGAGTTACTGTGCATCACTGTCACCATGGCACAGGACTACAAATGTATCAAGTGACAAAAGGAGAGAGATAGGGGGACAAGCAGGTGTATGAGCATCAACTCTCCTCGGCATTGTCTACATCCAGACTTGAGGGCGTCCCTTATGACATTAACAAACAGAAGGACAATGGCTTAATTGCAATCCCTTTCAGGAATGGTCCTTAAAACATCTTGCAGATGACAACATGCATTAGTCTCCTGACAGTACTGGGCTGCTACTAGAGTGCTTCATAAATGTCACACTGATAGGGCCACCCTGAAATAGCAGGGCATCAACTAAAACACTAAAGTAGATGGCCCAGTCTTCTTTATATCAAATCTGAGGGGTGAGAAAGAACTAAAGATTTTTTCCTAATGAAAATTTCTATAAAGCTTTTTTGTTTCAAAGAACCAACACATTCATATACATGAAATTTAATAGTCACCTATCACTACTTTTTAATGTAGAGAAAACTTGTTAAAATAACTTTCCAAAAATTGTCAAGCTGACAGTGTAACCTAGTTTAGACAAAATAGTCAATACATTCATAAACTCATGTTGTCTTCCCTTTCTCCATCTATGGTAAAAGTTCTCATTATTCTCTTTAGTTCAAAGGTATTTTCTTGGTTCTGGAAAACACTAAAGGTCTACCACCAGACTATTTTTGTAATGGTTAAATTAATGGATGAGTAAAGAGGCCAGTGACACATTTTTGCTAAAGGATGAATAAAATCAGAAAGTTACATTTATATTTGGTAAGTCATAGCTGTCTCAGAAAGTGACTATGTGATCTTTGCTAACAACTTTAACTTTCTAGGAGTCATGCGAGGCTGGGCCAAATTCCCTAGTCTTACAGAGAAGTTGGAACGGCTTATTTGGTCCCATAACAGTCTTCCTTATAATTCTGAGGGTAAAACCACATTGTGGATTTGATTTTCTCTATTTACCAATTAATATGACACCCACATCTCTTCAATGTCACCTTCACACCAGGTGAAGCTGATATAGTAGACTTTTATTTGGCTCCCTTTACACTTGTAGCAAGTGTAAAAAAAATGCATTCAAGCAGGAATTTTTTTTTAAATGATGAAATTCTGGTTGCCTCCTAGGCTGAAATGGCATTTTCTCACTGCACTTCACGATTAAAGCAGGTGCTAGGATTTAGAAATCTCACATGGCCTGCTCCTTTTTTGAACCCAGCTCAGTTTTGCACCTTCACAGGAAGGTCAGTTCCTCACTTTTTACCTTCTGGGAATCATCCTGAGTTCTAAGACATTACAAAAATTCCCAACTCTCTCAGAGTTCCTGTCATACACTCACTGTTATTTCAGGCTTTGCATCACTGAATCGTTTAGTCACCCATTCACTGATTCATCAAATGCAAAGAAGAGGAAGGAAATTTTGCAAAAATTGACATTAATAATTTCCCCAAATCCCTATTAGAATTTGACTGTGATTAGTAATATGAGTAAGAGAGCAAAAGCGACTAAGGTCAGGTTAGGAGCACATAAGGAATGAGAAAAAGAGTGCTATAACTTTCTTTCTAAAGACTTTTTCTCTAGGTCACTTTTTTTGGTTGACTCCTGCAGAATAAAGGAATTTACAAACAAAAATGTTTGGTAGTCCAAATTTTGGGAAACTTTTTTTTTTTTTGCCTCTGGTTATCTTTTTTGCACTGACTTAAAGTATTTTTTGAAAAATGTGTATTATAACACATTAAGCTTCAAAAATCCAAACAATTATTCTTTATAATACTTATTACTTAGAATACCTCTATGGGCATTAAAGAGACAATAGAAACTTATAGGAATGGAAGTTTGGAATGCTTCCAAACTAACAAACCTCAGTTACAAAGACTGTCTTACCATGATACCTGTATGAAGCATTATGTAATGCACAGTTTGAGTGACATCAGCTGCATGAATCAAATTGTGATATGGATTTTTGTACTTGCTGTAACCAACTTCTAAAGCTTCTGCAAAGGTGATTAGGCAAGAAACAGGAATCTGTGGAAAGTAATAATTATAATTATATTTTGACCAAAAAAGTGGTACTAAATCAACCTGAGCACTGTTTGTCATGGAACATATTAGTGAGTCAGATGTGGACAGTAGTTTCTTTATGTCAAATGTTGATTGTTCTGAAAAACCACTTCATGAACATGTTAACTTTCATTCCCAAAAAGAAAGATTGTAACCCCCAAGTATTTGACTAGGACAGATTAAATAATAGCCTTACTTGTACTATAGGCTTGAAATTTTAGTATCTTCCGGAGAGTAGGAAGGCTAATTCGTAGAAGGGTAAATATTTCCAGTTACAATTAGTGGAGTCTAGTTTTTCTATCTTAATACAAAGAGGTTAAAATAGATTATCTCTCAGTACTTTATAGCTCTAAAAATGTGATGATTCTACAGGAAATGATGAAAGTAATAAGCTACAATCTGCTCAGTAGTCTGTATCAAATCTATTGCTTGGATGGTTCTAAATGAAGTTAATTAGAAACCCCTTCATTCTAATTTAAGAAAAGCTGGCAATAAAGGTTCATTCTGTATTTTAGGAATGCTGGAGTAGTCATATTTCTTTAAGACATAGCTGCCAAACCCTATGTGAGTGTTTTGTGAATAAGTCAGGGGATATTGGCATCTTGCTGGAATGAGGCTATAGTGGCCTCATGATCTCTAGGTGGATATATAGATGTGTCAGTGACTTGTGGAGAATGGTTCTATCATATAAAGACCTCATCACCTTAATTCTGTGACCTGCTAACTAAAACATCCTAAAATGAATTGCTTAATTACTCAAATGTTCTGCATTTTCATTCTTACTCAAATAACCAATTCTAAGAGCATTTCACTTTTGTTCCATGTTTCTGACCTTGAAACGGTTGATAAGATCATATCTGGTAAACAGTTCATAAATCATAAACTTCAGACTATGCTCTCCACTTGCTTCATTTAGGGCAAATACATCGAAAGACCATTTATCAACATCCTGTAGAAAAAAGAATAAATACTTTAGGTGCCAATATCATACTGTTTCTACGAGAATTTATTCAAAAGATAAGGCATTGTACATTTAGCAGGTCATCTTTCAATTTAGCATGTCAAACTACACTTTGACCAGAGTTTCATAGGACAGGACCACTTAGTATCCATGGGTCCACAAAATTGAGGCCATAATGCTTTATAAAGCATCAAAACCTTTTCTTTAATCCCAAAGTTACTAAAGTGATTTAATACATTTGATAATACCATAATACTGCCATTATCTTTAATCTCTCTCCAACTTCCTGCCATAAATCATTTTCTCAGAGTGGACCTCAATTTAGGGTAGAATTGCTAGTTACATAGATGATGTCAATTGGGAAATACAGAAAAAATAGTCCCGGTTTTTCTTTCTTACTCACTTGCTACATTGCTTGAAATTTCACCATAAGAGTTTGCAGTTTGGCTAAAGTTTTGATATTTATGTCCTGTTTTAAGATGTAAATATCGGCCTGGTGTGGTGGCTCATGCCTGTAATCCCAGCACTTTGGGAGGCTGAAATGGGCCAATCACGAGGTCAGGAGTTCGAGGCCAGCCTGACCAACATAGTGAAACCCCATCTCTACAAAAAAATACAAAAATTAGCCAGGTGTGGTGGTGCACGCCTGTAATCCCAGCTAATCAGGAGGCTGAGGCAGGAGAATCGCTTGAACCCAGGAGGCAGAGGTTGCAGTGAGCCAAGATCGCACTACTGCACTCCAGCCTGGGTGACAGAGTGAGACTCCATCTCCAAAAAGAAAGAAAGAAAGATAGAAAAATATGTAAATATCATAGCGAGATAGAGTATACACTATCTTTAATTATTAAAAGGTATTTTTTACACTACTTTTCAACTATTATTATTTGCTCTATCTTTGGCTGATTTACTAATACTTTGCTTGAGGGACAAGTGGTGAGGAAAAGGAAGTGGGCCTTTTGATTGAGGAGGAGGATAGTAATACTCGCATTTCATGCAGTTCCCTAGGGAAGCAAGCAGGCCAGTAGGGAAACTGGAAAGTACCCCCTAACAGAGAGAGAGGAGAGTGAGCAGGGATATAAACCACTCCAGCCACCTCATGATTTTGCTTTGAAAATCTATAGAAGCACTGTAGTCCATTCTAATGGTTATCAGAAACTGCTAGCAGGAAGGCCTACTGTTTATACACATACAGTAGGTTTAGTATTGAACAGTAAGTGGGCAACCATAAAGCTATGCGTTAATTTTCTATTTGAGTAGGCACGTTTCAAATTTCATTCAACACATTTTTCTGGAGGCCAACTCTATGTGCTATAATATGCTAGAACCAAACTAAAAATCTGATAAAAAGTATTCAGTCTCTTTTAAAAATACTTCCTTCAAAAAATAATAGTAAGAGCTTCAAATGGTATTTTTAATCACTTGGAAACAAGCACCAATGAAACAGTTTTTGGTTTGCTTGTATGTCGTTATTAAATTCCTTGCATTTGGCCCTTATTTGATCCCCAAATGCTTGCTTTATCTCTTTATATATTAAAAGTTATTATAAGTTCTGTTAGAAGGCATTTTACATCAGTAAATCTCAAAGGAGGTCAATAAATCTTTTATCAAACTCCAAAGCTAACAAACAAGAGTTAGTTCAGACTCTTAGAAGGTTGCTATTTATATTTACAGTTCCAACTTGGGGGTTCCCACTGAGTAAAAGGTTAATTCTTTATTTCTTGAGAATTTTTTATAAACCCTGATGATTTACATTTCTAAACTACTGCAGATGCTTGGCTTTTATGTCATCAGATTGAGAACAAACAGGACAAGGAGGCTTCTCAGAAAATAAGAATTATTTAACTAAAACATTCTTTACTTGGTGATATTCCCTCTCTCAACCTGTTAGTTTATATCTTTTTTACTATACAACACTTTAGAAAAAATACTACATTCTCTCATACTAAAATATTTTGTTAGTTGGTTTTTAAGCAAAAATTCTTAAAATAAATAAAATAAAAATGAGTAATTTTCTTGCTCATTGTTAAGGAAATAATAGAGAAGGCAAAATCTCTCAAGAACCGAGGAATGATTAATATCCTTTAATGCAATGGTCCTCAATATTTTGGCACCAGGGACTAGTTGTGTGGAAGAAAATTTTTCTACAGACTGAGTTGGGGTTGGATGGTTTTGGAATGAAACTGTTCCACCTCATCAGCAGTGCACAACCCTCACACGCACATTTCACAATAGGGTTTGCGCTCCTATCAAAATCTAGTGTCCCCTCTGATCTGACAGGAGGCAGAGAAACATAAATATAAAAAAAGCACCAAAGAAAAATGAGCTATCTTTTAACATTAATGAGATTAAAATCTAATATGCAGCAGAGAAAAAACAATTGCAAAGAAGATGCTTAAAATTTTTAAAAACACAAATTTAAAATTAAAAAGGAGTACAATAAGTCAGAAATAAATCAACCCAGGATCTGCTGCTGCCAATATCCTTTAAATTCTTGGTTAATGTAGAAAAACCAATATGCAGATGTTTTAGGAGACAATGTTAAATTAAATTAGGCAATCGAAACAAGTTTAGAAGGATGAGCCTACAAAATGCCTCTGTAGAAATAACATTTAGAAACAAGGCACATGAACACCACACACACACACACACACACACACACACACACACACACAATGAGGCAAGTATGTGAGCCAATAACTTTACTCACTTCAGAGTTTCAACTCTGATTATTTCTAACATATGTAGCGCTGCAATTGGGCCTTAGAATAGTGTAGCCACAGGAGAAGCCAAAGACAAGAGAGAGAAGTGTTTTTTCTTTCTTAATTTTATCTTACATTTTGTATTTTTTCAGACCTACAATCCTAAATAATTTCCTTCTGTATGTTTTGTCATTTAAACATCATTGACTAAAATATCTTTTTATAACATGCATTTAACTCTTCCATAATATATTCATAACAAAATATGTACATTTTGACAAGTACTAGTGCCATTTCAAAATGAATTCAAGATCCACATAAATAAAATTAAGAAAAAAAACACACGTGTGTGTGCATACAAACATGCATATATATATGTTGATATAGTTTGTGTAAATCAGTCATTTGAATCTACAGTGAGTCATGATTTGGAACACAGTTCATTTTTTAAATTGTTAGGATATGTTGAATTTTTTAACGTTCTAAGATGTAGGCTGCAGTAAAGACCTATTCTCATTTTCTCATAGCCTTTTTAAGAGAATTTTTTAAAATGACCATTTTATACACGAAAATAATGAAATTATGTCACCTTTAATGTTACGATGACAGCTGCTGGATATGCCAAACCAACCATATGATATGTTTTTCGGTACATTCTAAAAAAGACAAAAATAAGTGTAAATATAAAATTCATTTATTCAAAGTTTTCAACTATTTCTTAAATATCAGGGAAAAGATTACTTTTGACATGTTCACCTCTTATCATTAGTTACAGACTCCCTTTGTGTCAATAATGATAACTATAGTCACCTTTTTACTAAACATCTACAATGTGACAATGTAATATATTCTCTATTCACAATCACCCTGCAAAATTAATGTGACTTTAGTTTCCATGTAAAGATATCCTTCCCTGAACTTGATCATATTAAAAGATGCACTACACTTTGCATATGCAACAACTTTCTAACATGCCACCATATCCCTGACAGCAGAACATTCTTGTTTTATGTCCATTTATATGCCAAAATTTTTAGTCTGGAAGCTAAATGTCATTAAAATATTTCCTTTATATTTTTATATTAAAATTATAGAGGGGGATATGTAGTATCATCAGAATTTACATAGGTCCCCCTTCTTTTATTTAATGATATTGGGGAAATCATACTAGCAAAAATTGTTTAAGTTTGTTCAAATTGTCATTCAATATTAAGAAAGTTATTCAGAAAGAAAACAATGTTATTTTCATTTCCATAATAGTATCAATAACAAAAGTGGTTTTTTGTTTTTGTTTTTGTTTTGTGTTTCTTTTTCTTTTTGAGACAGAGTCTCGCTCTGTTGCCCAAGCTGGAGTGCAGTGGTGTGATCTGTGCTCAATGCAAGCTCCGCCTCCCGGGTTCAAGTGATTCTCCTGCCTCAGCCTCCTGAGTAGCTGGGATTACAGGCATGCGCCACCATGCCCAACTAATTTTTGTATTTTCAGTAGAGACAGGGTTTCACCATGTTGGTCAGGCTGGTCTCAAACTCCTAACCTCGTGATCCGCCCACATTGGCCTCTCAAAGTACTGGAATTACAGGCATGAGCCACCACGCCCAGCCAACAAAACTGTTTTTAATAATCAGTGATTTGATTTTTTTCTATCTTCTGCTGGGCAACCCAAATAGCATAAACCAAATATAAGAACCCCCTCCATGAATTCATGTGAGAAAAGAATCAATATGATAGCCTAGCATGTGATATAGTAATAGTGCTTCTATTCGGGACTCTGAAAGAAACATGTTTCCTCCTCCAAGGCCTGGGAAGAAAGAATACAATTGAGATTAATCATGTCCCTTAATTTTTATATCAAGTTAGTCCACAACGAGCTGAATTTCTAGGCTACATGGCTGTAAATTCTCCCTACAAAAGGCCTGGACAATGCCATAGCTTAATTAAATATAACGATAAATATGGTCGATGTAAGAAATGGTCACATGGACAATATTCTACGTCTTTTATAAAACCGCTATAGAAGATACTAAATTTTTTGATTCAATGTTCCTTATGTTAAAAATGCATGGGACATATTACTCAGTTTCTATGTAAAAGCCATCATTTGTTAAAGATAATCAAAGCTAAGCAATTTATCATGTTTTCCTTTTAAGTCTTGACTAGTTGGAAGTTCAGAATGAAAATACTGTGTTTAATTACATCTCTAGCCTAGGCTTTCTTGATGAAGTAGCTCTCCATTTTATTCTAGAGACCTTAAGCACAACACTTTCATGCTTCCACTTTACGTTTATTTTAAATAGTCATAAATTATTTTTGGATGTGGGTGATTAGGTAGAATAAGAAATTATCCTATATCTCTATTGAAAGATTTTAGAACAGTTAAAACTAAAAATACTTATATTAATTACTCCATTGATATAGGTATAATTATTCTAATCTTGCAAAGCAAGGAAACTACTAATCATACTATACAAGATCTAGAATAATTACTATCAACAGTGATACTCAGGTGTTTTTTTTTTTTGGAAACAGTCTTTTCCATCTGTTTCTAGTCATTACTATTAATACTAAAAAAATGGAGGTGCAGGGGAAATGGAAGGATGATGAACAGGCAAAAGCGTCAATATAAAAATCATTCAGGATTAAGAAATTTTAAAATGTTAATTAACGTTAGCTCGACTTGACTTCATGGCACAGAAAGGCAAAGAGAACACATGCTTTGAATCACATGTTAGCCACTCACTGCTGTGTGACCTTTGGAAACTATTTAATGTCATTCATTTGTAAAATGAGAATAATTATAAGCTTTTTGTGTAAATGATTCTCAGTACAAGTAAGCCATCATTTTTATTATTATTTTAACTGTTCTCATTACTTTGCAGCCAATATCATTGGTTCAAAATCTTATGTCTTTAGAGCTCTCTGGCCTCAATGGGACCTCTGATGCTACTGAGTTTCTTAAACTTGGGATAGGTTGAGAAATGAATACCAATATACTTTCTCATTACATGGAATGTAAAGGAAGACAAAGAGGATTACCCTTCCAAAGAGATAGCAAAACTTTCCCATTATCATACTTTTCTAATTCTATAATCAGGAATAGAATTCTAGGATGGAAAATTAGAAATAGAACACTAAGATGGAAAATTAAGGTGACTCATCCTTGAATTAGAATGAGCATCGGAGATATCTTAACCCAGTTGTCTCACACTTTAGTAAACAGGTGATATATTACAAGTTTCTGAAAAATGATAGTGAATTTCCTGGGCTCCTAAAGGTGGTGAAAGTCTAACTGGAAATGTAGTGGATTATTTGTGGAAGTTTCCATAATAGTTACAAGATATAATTCAAAAACTCTTTAAAAATACTATTTTAAGGACGGGCGCAGTGACTCACGCCTGTAATCCCAGAACTTTGGGAGGCCGAGGCGGGTGAATCACCTGAGATCAGGAGTTCGAGACTAGCCTGGCCAACATGGGAAACCCTGTCTCTACTAAAAATACAAAAAACAATTAGCCGTGCGTGGTGGCATGCGCCTGTAATCCCAGCAGGAGAATCTCTTGAACTCGGGAGGCGGAGGTTGCAGTAAACGGAGATCAAGCCACTGCACTCCAGCCTGGGTGACAGAGCCAGACTCCGTCTCAAAGAAAAACAAAACAAACACACAAACAAAAAACAACACTATTTATACCAGGCACTCTGCAAGGCAACAGACTTATTTAGTGGAAGGCAAGGGAAATATTGTTGCTATTTCACAGGGCTTATTCCAGTGGTGAGGAGAAATGAAAAATAAGATACAATATATGATTACAAACAGGGATAAGTGCTAGGAGGTAAACCACTGGCTGGGGGCAGCAATAGTGAGGAACAGCATAGAGTGATCCGGGAAGACCTCTGGAACGGTAAAAGGGCCAGCCCGCCATGTTGAAGGGTGGGGAGAACCACTTCTGACAGAGAAAATAACAGGATGAATGGCTCCAAGGCAGGAAAGAGCTTAGAAATGTTCTTGAAATTGAAATCAGGCTGGTATAGGTGTTCAGTCAAGGATGAAGGTTGCAGTAGATGAGGCTAGAAAGCAGAAAGGGACCTAACCAGGCTCAAGTGAATTGGGAAACCTTCTGGTGGTTTGAAGCTTAAGAATGACAGGAACTAGGCTGGGCACGGTGGCTCACGCCTGTAATCCCAGCACTTCGGGAGGCCTAGGTGGGTGGATCACGAGGTCAGGAGATCAAGACCATTCTGGCTAACACGCTGAAACCCCGTCTCTACTAAAAATGCAAAAAAATTAGCCAGGCAGGGTTGCGGGTGCCTGTAGTCCCAGCTACTCGGGAGGCTGAGGCAGGAGAATCACTTGAACCCGGGAGGCGGAGCTTGCAGGGAGCCGAGATCGCGCCACTGCACCCCAACCTGGGTGACAGAGCCAGACTACGTCAAAAAAAAAAAAAAAAGAAAAAGAAAAAGAAAAGAATGACAGGAACTAATTTATATCCTAAAAACATCACTGTGGAATGGCTTGGTTGGGGTGGTCAAGTTAGGAGGAGAGGAGCCCAGTTAGAAAGTTACTGTCGTATTTCTGAAGGCAGATAGTGGAGGCTTAGATTGTGGTTGCAGGAGTGGAGATGAGGAAGTGAGTGGATTCAGAATGCATTTGGGTAAGTAATTGCCAGGGCTTGCCAGGGAATTGAATCTTGGGAGGAAGCGTTTAAAGGAAGAAGCAACAAGACTTCAAGTAGACTTTCAGCTGTCAGGATTGAAGATGATTACTTTTGAAAATTTCCAATAAACTTGTCCCACTATTTTTATGCACCTACTAGTGGGGATTCAACAGTGATTTAAAAAAGACTTTATTTCTATATGTTCTTAGCACATTGATTTCTTAAAGACTGCTTACTAATTTAGTTACCTGAAGAACAATTTTATACTTTTATAGGCTACTAAATGTGTTTTATGTAACATATGAAAAAATTGAAATTTAGCATATTCAGATATTTTATATATTATAACCTTCTCTTGAATGGAAATGGAAAATCAGTTGATCTTCCTCCACAGTTTACATTTTTTCCCAGTTTGCCAAGTTCTGTAATATTTTTTTAAACAAAGAAGACAAAATATACATTTCTTTAGCAAATCAAACATACTCTCATGTTTCATCTGTGATTCTCTCACAGATTTTCTGATGTACTATTTAGATATTTTTAATTTGATGCTAGAGAAAAGTCATCTTCTTTAAATTGCACAGTGTATTTAACCATCTTTAAGCTTTATATTTGTTGCCATGCATTCTCATTTACACTTTTAGAAATTCAAATGTGTTTTCCACTGTCCCTTTAGCAGAAAAAAATTCAAGTTTGTAATATTGATTAACGGTAATGCCTAGAGATATCAGAAGATGAGAAATAATGCAGTTTCTCTAAAATTTAATTTTAGGCATATTGGCAAAATTTTTCTCTGTTTCTCAACTTTATTAGTTTCTAAAATATTCAAATAATCATTCCACATATAATTTCATGTAATTATTTTTTAATCTAAGGGATTTCTGATAACTACTTTTCAATTCTGTCAAACATAAAATGTCTATTTTGGCGAGTCTTTTGTAGTTTTAGTTCTAGGAAATATCTTGTTTCCTAGATGGAAAAAATAAGCTGTATTCTTAAGGGCTGAAAGAATGTAAAATTGGGTCATATTAGCATGTGTTTCACATTGAAAACTCTGATGATATAACTAGGCGTTTCTAGGGGCCATCAAATATCCCTTGCTTCAGTGACAGAAATGTTGAAAAAAAAAAATAACCTATCAAAAGTGAGCATGAGAGAGATTTCCTCCATTATGGAAAGAAGGGAAGCAAATGGTCTTCTGTCTTTAGGGCAGAGGAAGGCCTAAGTGATCTTGACATGTAGATTGCTACCCAGTGTAGAATGTATTTCATGAAATGTTACATTTTATTCAGGTAAAATTAGTTGTGTAACATATACATGTGTCAGAATTGTTTTTAAACAGTTGTTCACAAAGGTTCATTTGAGGAGAAAGGTCATTCAAAAATCTTTGCTTTCAGTCTTCATGTCAACTTAAAATAAATAAAAAGAATGCATCCGGGACCAGGTGTTTTTGTTATAGGTAAGTTCATCATAAAGTCCCAAATTTGTTCATTCTAGTTATCATTATGATCACAGTTTTCGTCAATAAGTGAAATATAGACTGCTCATACCCTTGAAAAAATGAATGTATCTGCTGCCTTTCAAATGTTACTGTCTTGAGATACCAACAATTTCACTTACCTTTCCACAAAAATTCCAGCTTGAACAGCATGCACAATGCTCCGAAATTTTGGTTTTTCCTCAGGTTTCTTTTTTGTCATCCCCATTTTCCGTGTAAAGGTAGAAGCCAACCAGTCCCGGACTTCAGATGGGACTGAGTCAGTCTGAATGTCACTGAGCTCATCTTCAGTATCCAGAAGTCTTCTACAAAAATTTATACAGATTAAACTTTTTTATAAAAAAGTGAAGAAAAACATATAACAGAAAAACAAGGATTGCAATGGGATTTAAAATATAGCCAATCACTCTCTGATTATTCCTTAATATGTACTCTCTAAAGAAAGAAAAAAAATTCATTAACATTTGGAAAGCTCTTAATTTCTCAAATTGATCATATGAAGACAACAACGAATAGACTTGAGCATTTGCAGCTTCCCAAACATTTCAGCACAATGATACACCAGTCTAGAGGTACCGACTGTTAATATCTTTAGTGTGCTATTCTAATAATGAATAAAACTAAGGAAAGATAGGGAAGTGAATTCATAAACAGATGTCTGCTATTAAAGGAAGTAACTGGAGTGGGAAGAAAAAAGGGGGATTGAATCTATAATAGTTGTCATATACTTAATAATCTTGTGTGTATCTTAAGTATAGTACATGCTATTTGAATTAGGCTTTGCAATTTATAAAAGTCATTCACAGATGCTACTTCATTGGATAAGTACCTCTAAATTTTAGGAAAATAACCACTTAAGTGCTCCCAACGATATCCATTCTATCAATGTCACAGATTTTAAAAGTGAAAAAAAAAATGAAAACACATGATATCAAATAGATTATGTTTAAAGCGCATTTCAGGTGACCACGGGGTGGAGCTCTCATGGGTTTAGAGCTGCTGGCTGAGGAAATCAACCCAGTGAGTGAGGTAGTGAATAGGAACTGAAACAATGACCACGCTCTGTATAAGCTCCAGGTAGATAAAATTGACTGGACTGCTGAGTAATAACAGCTGCCATTAAAGAGGAAACTAAGGAAACATCGTTATTTTAAGGCCAGTCAGCTTCGGCAGTCAAGAACTTCCTAGAGGTCTGAACTGGCAACATCCCAGAGGCTCCCCACCAAATACAGAAACAGCTTACAGAACAGTTGAACTTTGCCTCTAGGAAGAACACAGGCCAGCTCTGCCTGCCATTTGACTTGGTTCTTTCCTTATCTGTGCACCAATCTAAAAACTCTGGCACATGTTAGCTTCAACCTTTGGGTTTCATCTGCTTTTGAAAATCTCTTTGCCCAGACCTAGGCCTAACGATTATGAGCTAATGTTGGAAGGTGGCCAGAGATGGTTGTACATGCTAATGCCTCAGAAACAAGGCAGGGGCCATCTCAAAAAGCAGGGACAAAACAAAGGACAAAAAACAGGAGGTCTCCACAAAGAACTCAATCTGACTAAAGAGAGGCTCAAAAGGTAATATGCAGGAGAGGAACTCTTCATGTTCCTTTAAATGACCTCTCACATATGCTGCTGTTTCCTATAAACCTGCAGAAAAGTCATTTGCCAATATTTATTTTCCATGGTATTAAATAAGCATGAATGTATTTATGAAATACCTTATAAAAAATAAACATAAGTTCTGGAGTCACAAAGATACGTGTATACATATAACGATAAAAAATATTTAGAGTTGAATGTTAATACTGATTAATACTTACTCTATATGATTTTTAACTTTCTTTCTGATCTGACATTTGGATGGTTTTGATTTACCCCTAAAACACTGAACTAGAAAATTAAAGCAAAATAGTTTGTTTATCTTTTTGCCCATTTGAAATTAGATTCCCTAGCCCATTTCAGCAAGTCACTAAACTTCATGGCTTGAAAATATCACTACTTTAAAGATAATGCCATTTCTACTATCTCTTATGCAGTGATCAGATACAGTGTAGGTAGAACAAGTGGAATAGGAATCATTGTGGTGTAATCTTGTGATGTCACCATGCTCCAAGCATTCCACTGCAGCCTAGTTTTGTCAGCTAATCTCCTTAGAATGACAGAAACCTGGCTGATGGTGCCAATTCCTCCACAGTAAATTTCATGTTGATGGCTTTAAGGCTATATGTCCTATACTCATAAATGATCCAAGAGAGCTCACCAAACATGACAAAACCAGCATATGGAAGGGATATTCCACATAGTAGAGTGGTACTTAGGAGGCTGGAAATCCTTAGTCGTGATGCATGAGGTCATCTACTGAGAAGAAAGTGCATATAATTTTAGGGAGAAATAATGATACGGATTAATTAGGGACACACAAATAAAGGACGACAGTGTGTTAAGGGAAGAGCATGGAATATGCTATTGTGTAACTTGAAAAGGGAATCTTGAAAAGGCAACAACTACCTCCGTGAGGTTTAATTTTATGTGTCACCATAGGTAGGTTATGGTGGCCAGTCGTTTGGTCAAACACCAATTTAAATGTCGCTGTGAAAGTATTTTTTAGATGTGATTAACATTTAAATCAGTAGACTTTGAATAAAGCAGATTACCCTCTAAATTATGGGTAAGCCTCATCTAATCAGTTGAAAACCTTAAGAAAGAAGATTAAGGTCCCCCAAAGAGAAAGGAATTCAGCTTCCAGAACGCCTTTGAAATCAAGACTGCAACAATGACTCCTGCCAGGGTTTCCAGCCTGCCAGTTTGCTTTGCAAATTTCAGACTTGCCAGCACCAATAATCACATGAGCCCATTCCTTAAAATACGTATCTCGCTCTCTCTCTCCTCTCTCCTCTCCTCCCTCTCTCTCTCTCTCCCTCTCTCTCTCTCTCTCTCTCTCTCTCGTGTGTGTATGTGTGTGTGTGTGTTGTGTAGCTGTTGGTTTGGATAAGAAATCATCTTTCCATCATTTATGAATGCTGCGTGATAACTACCAGTGTAGGTTATAAATAAAATAGAATATAAAGACTCAGTTCTCTATTAATATTCATTTAATAGAACATACCAGTCCTATTTCTCATGTAAAAATCCTATTTGCAATGAAATAAAATGCCTTTTTAGCAATTATAAATCTAAACACCATACTGTTTAAACATTACAGAATTATTGTCAAACTAAATGAAGTGATTAAAAATTGAAAAAATGAGAATGATCCCTTATCAGGTAGAACTTATATTTTAAAAGAAAGACTAAAAATAAAATAAGAATTATGATATAAGGTTAATTATGAGAGGAAACACTATGTTAGATAAGATGATCAGATAGTTAAGACCCGAACAATGAGGAAGTATTAGTTATAGGAAAGTCTGGGGGAAGTCTGTTCTATCTATTCCAGATAGAAAGAAGGGCAAGTACAAAGGCCCGAGGCATGATCAGTATTGGCATGTTTGAGGAACAGGAAGGAGGCCAAATGTGGCTGGAGTATACTGACTGAGAGAGAGAGTGACCCAAGTTGGGAGGCAAACATAGGTATAAGTAAGCTAATATCAGGCCTTGGAAGGATTCTGTCATATTTGCAATGGCAGGTCATTGAATTATTTTAAGCAGGATGTGATATGATTTATGTATCTAAAAGACCAATGTGCATGCTGTGAGAGGAATAGACAAAGTTGTAAGAATGGTGTTTTGAGTTTAGTTAGTTTAGTTAACTGAGCACAATTGCAAAAATGGTCTTTTATTTTGGAAGTTCACTACTTTTCAAAGACCGTAATTGGTATTGAGTTGGGTATCATTTTGTCCTATAAACATATGGCTCAAAGTCTTAATGGTATATTATTTTATTGACTTATTATTATTATTTTTGAGATGGAGTTTCGCTCTTGATGCCCAGGCTGGAGTGCAATGGTGCGATCTCGGCTCACCACAACCTCTGCCTCCCGGGTTCAAGCGATTCTCCTGCCTCAGCCTCCTGAGTAGCTGGGATTACAGGCACGTGCCACCACGCCTGGCTAATTTTGTATTTTTAGTAGAGACGGGGTTTCTCCATGTTGGTCAGGCTGGTCTCGAACTCCCGACCTCAGGTGATCCGCCCGCCTTGGCCTCCCAAAGTGCTGGGATTACAGGAGTGAGCCACAACGCCCGGCCTTAATGGTATATTATTAATGTTTTCTCAGACTATACATTTTTTTCTGTTCCATTTGTTTGGTTCTCTTCTTCAGGGAAATGGATTATGCCTATCAGAGATCTCTTTTATCTAGTTTCCATATCTATCATTTTTCCACTAAACTTTTTTTGAAAAATTAATGTCTTGATCTTATCCTGTTTTGTTTACCTTTTTCTTTTTTTAAAAAAACTTTAAAGTATTTTATTTGTCAAACACTCTACTGTGTTTTCAGTTATGTCTCTTTTAAGTTTTGTGGCTTATGGCTTGGCTGTCTCTACAGGGTAGCCTCATTTTCCTCCTCCATTTGCTGACTGAGTTATGTGTACCCATGTTTCACCTCCTTGTATTATCATATTATTTACCTCTTGAAACCTTTTTCTTTGTTTTAATTGTATTATTTTTTCTACAGAATTGATGATTTCATTAAGTTCTTGAGTTCATAGGATGAGCTCACAGATTTGTACATTCCTCTGGCATGGGTTCTTTGTCATGTGTTTTTCCCTATCTTTTCCACCTTTGTTCTTGTGGTATTTTTTTATATGGATTCCATGTTGGTTTCTTTTTGAAAATTGTTCATTCTTGTATGAGAGAACTTCTTTCCAAATCAGAAGGTTGAAGAGAGGGACCAGGAGAATGTGTACAGCAGAAAAGAAGTGAATCTGGGTATGAGTTCAGTTGTATGTCTCTGTGTGCAAGAACTGACTTAACTTTCTCTTCAGCTGACAGAAATAGTAGCTGCAGGTCTGTTTCTCAAAGATTTTTCTCTGCTCTACAGCCCAGTTACAACAATGGCCTTTGAGAGCTTCATCTGCCTATGCATGCATCTCTGCTACTCCAGTGTGTGAAATGGGGGAAGCCTCCAAAGCCAGCCAACTTAACTTGACCTTTTTATTCTCCTCAAGAAGTTTTTAATTTTTCCTTTTTGAATAAGCATGATTACCTAGAGAACTCTGTACTATGCTATCCCTGCCTGAAAGCCACAATCTCAGGCACCTTCTTCATTTAGACTTTATTTTTTAGGCTTACAGAAAAATCGAGTGTATAGTACAGAGAATTCCCATTCATCTCATCTCCACCCCCACCTTCACAGTTCCCATATTACTGACATCTGGTATTATTGTGGTACAGTTATTTCAGTTGATGAGCCAATGTTAATACATAATTATTAATTAACATCCATAGTTTCTATGAGGACTCACACTTTCTGTTGTACATTCTATGGGTTTTGATAAATGTATAATGACATATGTCTACCATTACAGTATCATACAGGGTAGTTCCACTGCCCTAAAAAAAATCCCTATACTTCATCTATTCAACCTTCCTTCCTTCCCTCACCTCTGGTCCCTGACAACCACTATCTTTTTGCTGTCTCCTTAGTTTGGCCTTTTCCAGACCATCAGATACTTAGTATCATATAGTAAAAGGCTAGACTTTTTAATATTGGCTTATTCCACTTGGTAATATGCATTTTTCTCCATGTCTTTTCATGGCTTGATAGCTAATTTCTTTATATTGCTAAATAATATTCTATTGTGTGCATAGATAGTCTATGCATTCTACTATTGAAGGACATCTTGATTGCTCCAAGGTTTGACAATTATGAATAAAGCTCCTATAAACAGGTACAGCTTTTTTCAACTCATTTGAGTAAATGCCAAGGAACACAATGGCTGGATGGTATCATAAGTGTTTAGTTTTGCAAAAACTGCTAAACTTTCTTGCTATACCATTTTGTATTCCCACCTGTAACGAATGAGCCAGAGGCCAAGCTGCCATCATCTCTTGCCTGGCCTCCTGTGCAGCCTGCTAACTGGCCTCCCCCTCTTGCTCCTGACCCCTGTCAGTCTCTTCTTCCCTCTACAGCCAGAATGCCTCTTTTAAAGTTTAAGTCAGACCACAATGCCTTATTCATAAAGCTCCACATAAGTCATCTCAAGCTAAGTCTCCAACCTCACCTTTTAACCAGTTCCCCTTTATTCATTTTGCTCCAGTGACACTAGCCTTGCTGGATGCAAAGCTGCCAAGCTTGCTTTTGCCTCAGGGCCTGTGTACTTGCTATTCACTCTACTTAGAATCTTGTACTCAGATATTTGTGTGAATCATTTCCTTACTGCATTTAGGTAGAGAGGGCATCCCTGTGCCTGCCCCCAATAGTAAGCATTTTTCATTTTTATTTTGTCTTTTTATTCTACTATAGTCTTTTTTCTTTTTTCTTTCTTTTTTTTTTTTTTTTTTGACAGAGTCTTGCTCCGTCGCTCAGGCTGTAGTGCAGTGGCATGATCTCGGCTCACTGCAGCCTCTGCCTCCCATGTTCAAGCGATTCTCCTGCCTCAGCCTCCCAAGTTGCTGGGATTACAGGCGTGCCACCACACCCAGCTAATTTTTTGTATTTTTAGTAGAGACAGGGTTGGGTTTCGCCATGTTGGCCAGGCTGGTCTCAAACTCTTGACCTCAAGTGATCTGCCTGCCTCAGCCTCCCAAAATGCTGGGATTGTATACAGGTGTGAGCCACCATGCCCAGCCTTACCCTGTTATAATCTTCTTAGCACTGACCACTACTAGATGCCATACCATATGTCCACTGGTTGGTTTGTTCATTTTATGCTTACAGTCTAGCAGCCTGGGCTGCAAAGACCTGGAGAGCAAAGAGTTGGCCTTCTGTTGTACACTGCTGTATCATCAGCTTCTAAAATCATGTGTGACACAGAGCAGGGGGTCAATATATATCCACTGAATGGCTATAAAGTGTCTAGAAATATTTACATTAGACTAATTGTAACTGATTACCTTCATGAGTGGAGTAAGGATGGAAATGGTAGAAGTTTTAATGTATACTCCTGTGCAATTTGATTGATATAATCAAATTTATTGCTGCTTATGCAGCAACAACATCTTGGGAGCAAATTCACTGCTGCCAATCATCTCCTTCATTGCCTTTAGATTAAGTTGTTCCTGAATAATCATGTTGCATATTATTGAAACAAATTGTGGGGAAACATATATATTTGGTGTAGAAAAAAAAAACTAAACATTTTTGATAGCATTTTAAAGTCACAGGAAAGAAAACTTAAAAAAAGTATGCATTGTTTATATGCCTTTAGCCAAGAAACTCAGTATTTCTGTCAAATATTAGCTCTTTTATGCTCATTTATCACATAGAGAAGAGTAAGAAACTTCTAATGAAGACATAAGTAAGTGTTCACAGGTTCATTAAGATGGTTATTCCAGTTTGGAGAGAAGAAAGTTGAAAAACAGGTAGATCAAACCTAAATTTGAATAAATTTTGAAAATAAACTAATAAACCTAAAGACATATTTCTCCCTACTCCCCTCCATTTACCTCTTCTTACTTATTCATTTTCCCTTTCCCTCGTACCCGCCTTGTACTCTGTGTCTTCTTCCGTCTGATCAACATGAGCAGCTCCTCAAGTTTCATCTGACCACGCTAGACAGTGCAGGAACAAAAACTATAATGTAATATGGACTAGTCATTGTCATCCTGTACTTTTTCACCGGCAGATAATTATTATAAAGAATTTTCCTATACATTTATCTAAGACATGAAAATATCTGAATACTTGTATAAGATTATGCCACATGTAAAACATATATTTTGTCCTCATTTCATTTTTGAAAGAAATTTGTGCAAGGAGGATGATAAAATAGGATCTCAACTATCATAGTTAATTTTGTTTTACAAACATCTAATAGCTTCATTGCTCTTTATTCTAATGTTAAAGGGCAGAGTGTGCATAATCATTTACATTGTAAATGCTTTTTAAAAATGAAGACTTTGTTTTTAAGAAACATACAACGTGAAAAAATGATGACTGGTACATTTTCCTTAGGAATTCTTAAAATGTGTCAAGACCAGCCTGGCCAACATGGTGAAACCTTTTCTCTACTACAGATACAAAAATTTAGCTGGGTGTGGTGGTGCATGCTTGCAATCTCAGCTACTGGGGAGGCTGAGACAGGAGAATCACTTGAACCCAGAACCAGAGGTTACAGTGAGCCAAGATCACACCACTGCACTCCAGCCTGGGCCACAAGAGCAAGACTGTCAAAAAAAAAAAAAAAAGAAAAAAGCAATTCTTAAAACGTGCTATACAGAAAAAGAAACGATAAGGAATATATGTGTAAAATGTTACCACTGTTTACCTCTGAAAAATGCTCCCACTGGTGTTTGATACTTTAGTTTTTGTCCCAGTGGAGTCAATAAAGCATAAAGTCAAGGGTTTCTAAACACGACCTGGGTGCAGATGGCAGCCGGTGAACTGTGAAAACTGACCCTGCATCCAATCTGTGACTCAACTAATCCTTCGGAGCTATTTATAATCATAATTTTCTCTTGAAATCAGATGACATAACTCCCAAAGGGCTTATATTTTGAACTAAAAAGTTTGCAGGGAAGGGAAGTAAAGAAGGAGGCGGCCACGGAAGGAGAGGTCATGGGATTTTGACTCTTACAATCATATGTCAGTGAAAATATTTCTGTCCACAGTGGACTCTTGGAAAATGATTACATTCATGTACTGATGTGGTTATTTCTGGGCAATTGGTACCCGCAATTACACCTTCTAAGTGCTAAAATTCAAGTGCTAGGTGCAGTTAGGAGATACTGGTTTCTCAAGTTTGAAATGTTCCTTTCCTGCTTTACTATTCTTATAAAGGACATGTTTCACGCAGCAACGAACTCATTCAGTTCTTTCCCCTAACATTTCATGGGCTCAGGGTAGGAGCATATTTCATCCAAATACCATTTAACTAAGTATTTTAAAGTTATATATCAGGTGACTAAACTGCTATATGTTCTATCCTTCTACCTTTTAATAAGTTTCATAAAAGACAGACAAGTTGGGTGAACTGAAAGTTCTCAGCTCCTTGTGTGACAGCGCTGGGCCAGCAACCTGCAGCTCCACTCTGCACCACAGGTGGAAACCTCAGCCCCCAAGTACAGTCTCCATCAACCTACCTAGCTTTGAAAGGAGCTGCTTCTTGGCCACTCCTTGGTTTGAAAGGGTACAAACACCAATAGCGTCCTGGGTCCCTTGAGAGGAAAGACCTAATAAGAAAGCCCAGTAAGATGTAGGAGACAGGCTTGGGGACCTTTGGGTAGAGAATGCTGGGGTCTTCTGCCCAAAATAAGGTAAAGGAACATACTGGGAAGAGCAGGGAATTCCAGGGTCCTACAGTATCTGGAGGGGGAAGAGGGCCATGAGCTTCAGGTTCTTCTTGGTCTTGCGGGGCAAACCATGGGGAGAGGAACACCAAAGAGAGCCCTTGTCAGGCCCCCTGAAGTGGGGAATCATGCCCTGGGAAGCAGCTTCACTGGCCTGGGGCTAAAGGTGGTACTGAACTCATATGTTGCGAATATCTTCCAGGACAGATGGAGGAATTAAGGGTGGTTCATCTTTCCATAGTAGGAATACTCTTGTTGGAGTAAGTGGTTTCCTCCTAGGAGAGTCCATTAGTATTATCTCTTTGATTAACCTATGTCTGCGTTCTGAGCTGCTTGTACCCTTCTTCACCCTTACCCCCCAACCCCCCCCCCAAAAAAAACAGAAAACAAACCAAAACTCTAAAGGTAACACCAATCCTTCACTCAGGCTTCAGAACTGTTTGAGGATCGATATAGATGATAATGCCAGCTGCTTTATTGCTTTCTTACTAAGAACCAGGCAAGAAACCAAGCTTTAGCTTATTTAATCCTCATAATACCACCATGAGAAAGATCTAATTATTATTGATACTTCTATTTTACTGATAAATAGACTGAGGCACAGATGTCTTGAGTGATTTGTGCAAAGTCATTCAACCAGGAGTGTCCATGTCACATTTTTTGGTCATGTATGTCTGGTTTCAGGGTCTGAGTTACTGATTGATAAGTTATCCTCCACTTTAAACGCATTTTTTTCATACTGAGTACCCAGACTGCCTTCACATTCGGTCAATGCTAATGCCAGTAATCATTTTCTCTATCTCCTCTCTGCCTTGAAACTTATGGTTAAAAAGAATTGATCTTAAAAAGTCTTAAAGGAGTTTGATCTGTCTTGATCTGTCAGGAAATCTTTAGTTGGAGGAAGCTTGAATTTAATTTCCAGTGCTAGTATGTTGAATTGTTTTCTCATAGAGAAATATATCTGGATGACAAAATTTCAGGACACTTTGAAGTACAATAAATTAAATGTCAGGATGGAAATAGGTAATACATTTGAAATGCCATATCTACTTGTCAGTAACCTACTTACTAAGTGCTAAATACATTTGAATTATTTCTTTCAGGCCACCACTGAAGCATGTTTATTTATTCCCTGTTTTGTTCCAAAAAGTATTTAAAATGGCAAGCTTACCAATTTATCTCAATAGCTTTTTTTTAAAAAAAAGTTTCCTGATAGATTTGTTCAATGTTCCTCTGGTATTGTTAGCCTCTCCTCGACCCAACTTTTTTTTTTAACTGTGAGAAGATGACCATTGTACATGAGTGACTATGAAGACTGAACTTTTGGGTGGAGAAGTCAGTTATGCCGACCTTAGCTCAATTCCCAAAAGGCAAATCTTGGCGTAAATGAGGTCAAGTAAGGATAATGTTGAAGTTAGATGTGGCTTTCTCCAAGGTAAGACCTACGGAGTGCTTGGTGCCTCCTCCATATCCAATCTAGGAAGCAAAGGTGGAGGCAGTGGAGGTCCTGTCCTCCAGGAGAGGCAGAAAGGACCCAAAGAATGTTGAGGGGAAGGGCCTGAGAAAGAGTCAAATTGCTTGGAGAGCTGGGATCAAGATTGTATTTTTGGAGTCATTTGGGGATGGAATTGGGATTAATGGGTGAGGCAGAAAACTGCCCAAAGCCTTGCTGATGACTCTTGGCTTCCCACCAGGAAATCCTCTTGGCTCAAAAACATTTTTGAAAATATTCCATTAGGCATAGAGCCTAATGCTCCACTGATTAACAAATTTTGATTAATAAGCATCCTGTGTAGTTAGAAAGACTGCCTCTGGAGTCAAACTCCTGGCTTCATCACCTATTGGCTGTGTAGTTTTGGAAGAAATATTTCATCCGCGTGAGACTTAGTTCCTTTATCAGTACAAAAAAAGGTTGGAATTGGGGCATTTTAGCACAAAGTTATCTCATTTACAACTTGGAACAACACTTGGGGCATAGTCTTGATAAGACCTTAAATTTCTAACCACCAAATTTCTAATGGTCTCTCTGTTTCTCTTTTTTTGTGTATGGTCTCATTGTGACATCATCTAGAAGAGTAGTTTCAAATTGTTGTCACTAGACCAGAAGAATTAGCATCACCTGGGAACTTGTTAGAAATGAAAGTTCCCATGCTGTAAGACCTATTGAATCAGAAAGTCTGGGAGTGAGGCCCAGCACCCTGGTTTAACAAGCCCTTCAGGTGATTTCAATGACTACTAAGGTTTGAGAACACTGTTCTCCTTCATTCACAGCTTGCCAATTAATGGAAGCTCTATACCAAGAAAATACGATTTACTTATTTTCTATGACATGTGCTGAATGGCACTGCTTATTTCCTTATGCACATTATTTCACCGTCAGTGATGAGGCATGTTGGTGAATTATATCGGGAGGAACAGTCAGAAGAGTCCCCATGAAAGTATTTTAATTAATGAATCTTTTATAATGATGTTACAAATGGGAATTATCTGTATGTTACTTGACTGAGAACTAAAAAAGTCAATTTTCAACAGACCATGGGTGGAGAATGTGTCCTTAGTAGAGCAGGGGTATATTTGGAAGACAAGAGTGTAAGGGGAGATAAGGAATATATTTCTTTCTACACCCATGAGGCCAAAATAGTAGGGATGATGACAACTGGGAGGTAACGGTAGCCAAACAGAATAGCAAAATAAGTATCAGTGTATATAGTGTGTCCTTCACAAATATTTGTTGAATAAATGAATAAAAGTATAGAAAACATAGGCATAGGGTCTCTGGTTTTAGGGATTTTTAAAATATTCAAGTATTTGCACTAGTTAGGTATTAGCCCAGATGAAGAATAAAGTCATTTTTATTTGCTTATTTTGATGCATATGTTGTATATGTCAATGTTTTTAGTCACATCCTGTTTAATGTAGAAAAAGATATTTTTCATGTGTAAAAATGTTTAAAAAAACAATTTAAAAAGTATTTTCTGTGATCCTGTAACTCTTTGTATATATGGTCAGCCATGAATTCACTCACTGACTCAAGTTGTAAATGACACACAATAACCTACCTGAAGGAGGGAAAAATCCATGTCCCATGGAAGGAAGAGAGACCCAGGAAAAGATAATAGAAGAATATGTGATAAGTCAGAGTAAAGTTTCCAGAGTAAAGTTTCCATTCCTGTGATTGTCCAAAGATACCCCAGATTAACGAAGAGTAGTCAGAAAGGAAGGCAGGAGAGATCTTGAGAAGGAACACTGGATCCTGCCTGACCTCTAATCCAAGACAAACTGTGAGAAGGGTGGGAGCATGCCCCAGATAAGTTTCCAGGATCCTGCAGCAGAAGCCAGCTGAATGCCCCACCCTATCCCCAGCCCCTACTCCTGGGTGGAGCCTGCAGGACGGCAAGGTCCCTGTGTGGAACTGACTAATGTGTGTCTACACAGATAGGCCTGAGACAGCCTCACAGATAATGGTGACTCCAGCTAGACTGATGGGGATGGAAATGAGATAAAAGAGATGGAGAGTAGACAGAAGAAAAATATATTGGGAAGTAGGCTATATAAATATAGTAAAGAATGTACAAACATCTTTGTATGTAGAAAAATGTAAGTCCCTCATTTCTAGTACTTGATACTTGCTCAAGAAACACCTATGTTGTTCGACTTTATGATGGGATCAGTGTTTTGAGGGTTACCTTGGAAACTTAACCTATTACCTCATTTCATGGGAAACTAGATTATGAATTATTAGTGGTTAACTTAGAAATCAAACATTTGCATTAGGATTTATTGTTAGGGTAAAGTGACTCCTGGGAAGGATTAGAGATGAAGAACATGAATTTGGAGCAAGTCCAACCTACCTGGCTGTAAGAATGCTGTCAATGACAGGTGACATCAAACCTAAATGAAAGTGGCTCAAATAATGTAGAAATTGATTGATTTCCTTAAAAACAGTTAAAAGTAAGTTGACTCCAGTAAGGGATTTTTTAAAATCAGGAAGTCAATGATATCACCAAGGACTAAGGTTTCCTTTGTCTTTCTACATGAACAACTTTAGTATTAGGTTTAGCTTTCTGCTTGAAGCAAGATGGCTGTATTCACTGTAAGTATCAGATGTAGATACACCACCCAGAAGCATGACACCCTTCCTATGAAGAGGAAACCTTCTGCCAACACCCCCCTTCATTCTGCCATTTATGCAATTCTCATTGGCCAGAATCATATCACATGTCCAAGCCTAAACTCACTGATTAGTGAACTGGAGAACAATAACTGGTTAATATCAGTTAGGAGTCATCCATCCTGAGCCTGGGGCTGATGTTGGTGTCCCCTGAATCACTTGGCCTTAAAAAAGGGAGTAAATAATTAGGGAAAAAATGGGCTCTGTTGGCTAGGAAAAAAGAGAAAAATAGATGTTTGATATATTCCATTTAAGTTTGAACTTGTCTCTGATGCTTAATAATTATATAATCCTAAGCAAGTCAATTACTTTCTTTATGCCTTAAATTTTTTAACTTTATAGTAGAAAGAATATAAGTATCTAATTTATAGGCATTTTTGAGAATTATATGAAATCATATATGCAAATTGAATAATATGTTGCCTTGGATGTAACTGTCAAATGATTTTCATTATTATTATTATTGGAAAAGAATAATATTTAAAACATCTTTTTAAAATGCAGCAAATATTCATTTATATTACACTGAATCAAAACATCACTAATAGTCAGATCTTATTCAACACATAGAGCTTTTTTGTTAGTCATTTCTCAAAAGATCTGGTCAGGTTTTTTTCCCCCTTTTCAGGAGTGAGGCTGTTTTTGAAAGTTTGTAGAAAGTAACACACCACAGATGGACAGAAAATAGGAAAACCAACCAAAAAGTACTGCAACTTTTTCTAAGTGATTTTCACACTCCACCTACAGGGTGAGAACAGCCTACAAACACAACACTCCAAACAGCCACCCCTCCCCACAACTCACACCACAAAAATGGAATTCAGAAAAATCATTACTTGATTTTTAATGATTCACTGAGTTCCAGCAACGTCTTAGCACATTTTCCTCAAACTGATTTCCTCAGGGACTTTTCCAAATGGAAATAATTTGAAGAATACAAGAGCCCATACTTATAAATGCTAAGCAAATGATAAGCAGTTTCCTCCTGTCACCCTCCTGGTAGTCAGAGTAATTGAGTCATGAGCAAGTCTTTACAGGGGGACTTTGGAACCATGGATAAAATCACACAATTCCAGAACAAAAAGGGACTGGAGACTTTATCTTCCACGTGAAAAAAACAATGATTAGAGACTAATCATTAGTAGGAGCAAAGCCAAGAAAGGAGTTGCTGAACTGCCAATCAAGGGCTTTCCACCACATCCCACACAAACCCCGATCCAGGTCCCCTGCTTGTGACACTAACAGAAACATTTTAGTTTTCACTGCAGAGACAACACAGTTGTGGTTTGAGAAAGCACTTTCCTCCATTCTCAGTTCTTAAGCGTATGACTTAAATAGAGTTGACCACCTATCTTTCTCATGGGATGCTTGACGACTGACCTTGTATATTCAACTCCCCTGGACACAATGACTGGTTGAGGGATAAATATGTTACCTAACTAGAGCCAATGAAACATAAGGATATGCTTATCGGATCCTATGGGAAAGAAAACTTTTCTCATTCCTGTTGGATTTGATGGTGTGAGGATGTGAAGCTTGGAAATACTGTCACCATCTTGCTACCAGATAAAACATCAAAAGAGCCATTCCAGAGCAAGCAAAACAGAGGTGGACCTGCTGACAGACATCATTTGTGCCCTAGATCAACCTGTGTTTATAGTCACCACTAGCCATCAATATTTTGGCCATGAAAGCCAATAAGTTAATCATTTGTTTGTTTAAACTGGCTTGGTTGGGTTTCCTATCACTTACAATTGAAATATTAATAAAAGCCGTTCATTAGCCCAATCTATTTCTCTTTTTCCTCTCTCTTATTCTGACTCTAAATGCCAAAGGAGCACACATGAGTGAGTGCCATCATGATGTGCAGGTTGTAGTGATTAAACATAAAGAGTTTGCCCTCCACATCATTCCCCAAGTTTAGCAGCTCATTATTCATACGTTAGCCATAACTCTTGCAGCGCATTTACCCATGCTAAGCAGCTGAGTTTAAAATGAAATACCAGTGAGTCTTTCGGATTTTACAATGCTACTCATGTTTTGCTTACTTGAAGACCCTTGGCTGTGCACTAGTTAACTCCAAGTTCATCTACACTTTTTCTTTTCTTTCTTTCTTTTCTTTTTTTTTTTTTTTTGAGACAGAGTCTTGCTCTGTCACCCAGGCTGGAGTGCAGTGGCATGGTCTCAGCTCACTGCAACCTCTGCCTCCTGAGTTCAAGCGATTCTCCTGCCTCACCCTCCCAAGTAGCTGGGACTACAGGTGTGCACTAGCGCACCTAGCTAATTTTTGTATTTTTAGTAGAGAGGGAGTTTCACCATATTGGCCAGGCTGGTCTTGAACTCCTGACCTTGTGATCTGCTGACCTAATGATCCACCCGCCTCGGCCTCCCAAAGTGCTGGGATTACATGCGTGAGCCACCGCACCTGGCCACATCAACATTTTCAACCAATGTTTGGCTATTTCTCTCTTCCTAGATAACTTCCCAAGGATGACTTCTTTTTTTTTTTTTTTTTTTTCTTGTTTATTTTTCTTTTATTTTTCTTTCTTTTTTTTTTATTATACTTTAAGTTTTAGGGTACATGTGCACATTGTGCAGGTTAGTTACATATGTATACATGTGCCATGCTGGTGCGCTGCACCCACTAACTCGTCATCTAGCATTAGGTATATCTCCCCATGCTATCCCTCCCCCCTCCCCCAACCCCACCACAGTCCCCAGAGTGTGATATTCCCCTTCCTGTGTCCATGTGATCTCATTGTTCAATTCCCACCTATGAGTGAGAATATGCGGTGTTTGGTTTTTTGTTCTTGCGATAGTTTACTGAGAATGATGGTTTCCAATTTCATCCATGTCCCTACAAAGGACATGAACTCATCATTTTTTATGGCTGCATAGTATAAGTCAGTGTGGCGATTCCTCAGGGATCTAGAACTAGAAATACCATTTGACCCAGCCATCCCATTACTGGGTATATATCCAAAGGACTATAAATCATGCTGCTATAAAGACACATGCACACGTATGTTTATTGTGGCATTATTCACAATAGCAAAGACTTGGAACCAACCCAAATGTCCAGCAATGATAGACTGGATTAAGAAAATGTGGCACATATACACCATGGAATACTATGCAGCCATAAAAGGATGACTTCTTGACCTAATCTTTCTAGGAAGCATTTTTTTTTCTTGTCATGCTAAATACGTTTTTTAAACTTTTCGTTTCTGGGCTACAGATACCAACCTTTCATCCTAAAAACAATGTGAACAAAAACATACAAAAAGGATTCCTCAAGTATATGTCCAAATCAGTAGATTGGTCTATCTCTGTTTTTTGTACTCGAGCAAATTCTGGAAAAATAGTCTATACTAATTTCTTCACGAAGCCATTCCACATTAATTCCTCATAGTATCATCTTCTGGCTGGTAGCTTTTTCTCTTTGCTGAAACTCTACTTCAGGGCATTAGGAATCTCCCAACTCATCCAGTGGTTCACCCTGTGGCATTTGATTTACCCTTTTCAGTAACCCTGCTTTCTGTTAATTGGGCAATTCATATTTGTCATATATGCCTGTTGCTTTGGTGTCTATTCTTTCTAGTCTCCTCTTTGGTAGCTCCATGCCTTGCCTTAAATACTCAAGTTTTCCTTAACTACCTGCCTGTCTTTAACTACCCTCCTGTTCCACACCTCCAATTTTATCCCCTCCCTTGATTTAAATTAGTGGGATAACATGGTAGCCCATTTTGATATGGAATTCCAAGCGTTTTTTAAACCTTAATAGTTGAAAGTGAAAAAACTTTGACATTTGAAAAGTCAAAAAATTGGTTTAGTCTACATAGATAGGCTTTATTTTACCTTCAGTGCAGACTAATTCTTTTGTTTTATAAAAAATACTTTGAATAGGTCTTTTAGTTACACTAAAAAAAGTAAGGGCTCTCCTTTGGCATTTAGAAGACTGAGACAATGGGATTCCAAGAGGCTAAACATCTCCAGAAAGTAATGCTCAAGCTTGTCTTCACCATGAGCACAGCTGCATCACTCTCAGGTTCTGTGTCCTTTAGAAAACTGTCATGTTTTTTCTAAATGTGAATTTAGACTGCACAGTCTTTTAACATAGGGGTTGATCCTTAGAGATGAATGACATTAATTTTGATTGGCCCCTATCTTTATTTTAGTCACAGAACTTGAGGTCCTGAACTCAGGACAGCAAGACATGTCAAAAGGACTTCTGTAGTGGAAGGTCTCTGTGACATGGGCATCAGGCATTAGAGGATGCACCAAGATGCTTGATAAGGGACCTCTATGAAAGGGCTTAAGTTGTAGATTTTTGAAAGCATCTATCAGCTGGGCGCGGTGGCTCACGCCTGTAATCCCAGCACTTTGGGGGGCCGAGGCGGGCAGATCACGAGGTCAGGAGATCGAGACCACCCTGGCTAACACGGTGAAACCCCATCTCTAGTAAAAAGACAAAAAAATTAGCTGGGTGTGGTGGCAGGCACCTGTAGTCCCAGCTACGCGGGAGGCTGAGGCAGGAGAATGGCATGAACCCGGGAGGTGGAGCTTGCAGTGAGCCGAGATTGTGCCACTGCACTCCAGCCTAGGCGACAGTATGAGACTCCATCTCGAAAAAAAAAAGAAAAGAAAAAAAGAAAAAAGAAAAAAGTAAGCATCTATCACTAATGCCTTATTGCAATTATAGCTGATTTTAGCTTCAGTTTGGAGAACAGGAGGAAGGGATTGAACTCATGCTTGGGATCCTGGCTATACACAGCTGGACTTGAGGAAAAAAATAGGTAAGAAGAAAAAAATGCAAAGGAACAATTCATCAGTCTGAAGCCAGAGAGCTGGCTGCAAAGGAAAGTGACAGCCAGGACAGACTGGTGAAATAAGTAAACATTCACTGACCATTCTCAAGAACTTTAGGATGGAGAACATATTCAAACAGTAAAGGAGCTCCAACTATTGAACGTTAGCATCAAAGTAAAGGTATTTAAAAATTCTGAGACCCTTGAGTTATAATTCATATCTCTAAATGGCACTATATTTCTGAGCTTCCATGCACATATATCTAGCATATTCCAGACATATTTTACCTTTAGTCCTCTTGTTAGAAGCCATGTCTTTAAGAATAGGCAGGGAGAGCTTTGCCAGAGAACAAACTCATTAATACTCAAAAATGCCTGCAAGTCTAGAAGTCTAGACATATCTGGTTTGGAAGTCTGACTCTGTATAAATTCTTACCCCATTCTTACCCCATGTTACTCCCTCTGGTTATCAGTTACTGTTGATACTTGGTGTTTCCTCCTTGTAATCTGTCACTGTTGCTTGGGTCTCTCTCTAAATCTCTCTGTTTCTTGTTTGAGCATTTGTTCTTGTGCCTAGGTTTGTCTTCACAATTCTAGACCCAGTTCTAGCCACCAGCTGCCTGCACAATTTTGCTCCTGATTCTGATTACCAGTGTGTCTGGTATTCATTTCAGGTACTCAACAGGTATTTGTTAAATGAGTGAAGATTCCTTGGAAAGTCCCTCTACTCAGTAATTTCAAGGATCTTAGCCTCTAATGTACCCTAAATGACGCTCAATTTCTTTCTACCAGACTAACTTCTCAAAGTACTGATTGACATCAATGCAGTATCTAACCCCAAATTAAGGATCCCTAGATTTAGCAAGACGCAAAAGTCAACTGATGTTTTTACAGAGATAATGTGACTCTGTATTAAGGGAAAGGCACTCTTTTCCATAATTTTATGCTTTCATTCCTTGGTGACCAGTACCCGTTTTCATTTTCTCAGGATTAAAAACTGCTCTCAGGGAAGCATTTGTTACCTTTATTAGAATATGTAAATCATATAGCTTCATGTGTTATGTATCCCAGAGTTATTTGCATTTTACTCATACGTAATAAATAAGAATTTTATTTAAAATAGAAATATCTTGTTATTATTTAAATTTTACTCTTAGGCATTGTTACACATTTAATTCTCATATCAACTTTACGAAGTGAACATTGTCCTTACTCTTATTTTGTAGATGATAAAGCCAGGGATGTAAAGTAACTTCCTTAAAGAAAGAGTATTAAGTAGAGAATCCAGACTTTGAACAACCTACTCTTTCTGAATCCAGAGTCTAAGCGCTAATCATCGAAATTATGAGACAGATTGGTTCATGTTAAACAAAGAAAGTTATAAATTGTGTTTTTAGGAGGTATTAGTAAGCACAATACCGATCTTGAAAGTATATCTCTCAGGCAGCTGCCTGCCCTGCTATGCATGAGGCCAAAAATGCTACTTTGCTTGGCAATATCCCAATCCAAATAAGGACAATCGAACATATTTTTTTAGGCTACATGTTTCTGGATTAAAACTTTGTAAGTTTGAAAAACAATAGCCTCTAGAGACAGTTCTGAACACAAGACTCATAAAGGATTGGCATTTGCATTTGAAAATGTCTTTTAAAAAATCCAGCAGTCATATTCATTAGGGTATTGTGCTATTATCTCCACTAAGAGTCAGAATTCAGAAACTTTTTATTTTTCTCACCAAAATCATCTTTAAAGGGAGATTTTTGTTTTGATTGCTTTCTTAACTGAAATTCTGCAATCATTAAGGCTCTGTATGTGTGTGTGTTTTAAACCAATTAATAATTTGTGTTTTACATTGCTTTATTTTGTGCTGACTTTTTTCTTTCAGTCCAGCTCAACATTCAAACAATACCTCTCTGGAATACTCACGGCATCGAATTTTCTATCAAAAAACATTTCAGAAGTCAAAAGGTTTTTAAAGTTTAAAAGCAACTAAATGCTTCTTGGACCTGACTCCTTTTACATAATCTCTGTTTTACTGATAGTTTTAAGGGAAATGGTACTTTAATAATTGTATGGACATCTCAACAGAAACATCCTCAGTTTACTGCTGTGTATCTTACTAAGTATATAGAAAATCAACCACATAAATTATTATTGTTCTAAAAAATCTTAAGCTGATATTTTGATCATGAAATCGCAGCTCTTAGGAGATTTGTAAGAGGTAATCTTAGGTCTGACCTGTGGTATGATGGTAAATGTTTAACAACAGACTCTCCAGAAAAAAATAAATTCTGATTTGTAGCATGTTATTTTTCATGGGTGTGGATACTCCCACGGTAGCCATTTTCAAGCTAGCCACATGAAACTACTGAAGGCAGAATTGGAAAGAGATGCCACACAATCAGTACACCACTGGGGCTGATGATCCTGACAACCTGTGCACTTTCATCAAACTTCAGTGTCTCTGAAGTCACCTTTTCATCAAATGTTAGAAAAGGGATGAGGATGAGAATTGCACTTCATAGCCCAAGCCCTAGGGTCAGACTGCCAAGGCCCTAATCCAACTCTTCAACTCCCTGTCTTCCCTTTGGTAAGCTATGTAACTTTTCTGTGATTTAAGTTTTCTCATATACAATCTGGTAATAATAGAGTTTCTATTTCATAGGACTTTTATGATGTTTAAATAAAATGGTATATATAAAATGCTTAGAAGATTTTTTAGCATATAGTGGGCCCTTAATACGTGTTAGCTACAGGATTTACAATTCCAGCTATCAAAATGTTTTATATGTTGTCATCTAAATCTTTCAGAGGTCACTAAAAACCATTCTGTTTTATAGGAATACTCTGAGAAGAGTCAGGTATAGAGGAAGGAGTACTAAATAAGAAGTCATGGGTTAGGTTTTAGTCCCAGTTTTGCCAACACTTCCATCCATGACCTGTGTCAAACCGTTTCCCTTCTAAGAGCTTTAATTATCTCATTAGTAAAATGCAGAAAGTAATAATCATCCTGCCAATCACATAGGATTGTGGTGACACTAATGTGAGATAATGAAACTAAGAGCCCTTTGAAGATGATACAAATGTGGGGTATTATTATTAATCCAATTTAAAACTCATGATGCCATGGAAGCATTATAATAAAATAATAAAAATTTGGAGTAAATATTAGGAATAATGTGGTGTTAAAAGATGGAATGTTTTGTTATGTGAAGGAAAAAAATAAATGAATTTCTACCACGAAGCAGGGCAGCGTTGTGCTCAACCTCTTTTCCCCGCAAAAGAGCAATTTTCAAATGAAAAAGGGCTATACTTTAGGTATAATATACATTTAAATGAGTTAGGGATCATAGGGAACTAAGTTAGCAAATATCCATGGAGTCATACTTCTCAGGGAAAGGAAATGCACCAGAAAAATGAATAAATAAATAAAGCATATAATAATCTATTAAATGACAGACAGGACACTTAGGCAAACCAGGTAGTTAGCATTATGCCATTAGAAGATGAATAACGAAATCTTCAAATCGTTCTTTGGTTCTAAAGTTTTATAGATAAATAGAAAAGAAAATATCTGTTCAAGGACAGATTGAATAAATCTTAAACCTGTTAAGTTGAATCATCTTGTGAACAATAAGAGCACACATAAAAATGAGGGAGCAAGGGAAAAACATCAGATATTTTTAAAATTTGCACTTTGGATTCTGTTTACTTAGAAGAATCATGTACATTCATACACATTCAGTGAACATTCACCAAGAAAATAATTTCTTTCTTTCTCCTTTCTTTCTTTCTCTTTTCCTTTCTTTCTTTCTCTTCTTTCTTTCCCTTTCTTTCCTTTTTCTTTTTTTCTCTTTCCTTCTTTCTTTCTTTTTCTTTCTCTCTTTCTTTCTTCTTTTTTTATTTCTTCTTTCCTTCTTTTATTCATTTATCTATTGACATGATCTCACTCTGTCACCCAGATTGGAGTGCAGTGGCACAATCTCAGCTCACTGCAACCTCGGCCTCCCTGGCTCAAGTGATCCTCCCACCTCAGCCTCCCAAATAGCTGGGACTACAGACACACGCCACAATGCCTGGCTAATTTTTGTGTTTTCTTGTAGAGATGAGGTTTTGCTATGTTGCACAGGCTGGTTGTGAACTCCTGGGCTCAAAAGTGATCCGCCCACTTCAGCCTCCCAAAATGCTAGGATTATAGGTGTTAGCCACTGTGCCCAGCCTGTTTCCTTTTCCTCAAATAATTTCTCCAAGCTATGCTTTAGTAGAGGAGTTTCACTCTGCAGACAAAGAAAGAATCGCTTGTGCAACAAAGCTCTCAATATGGCCTCTTCTGCCAGCTATTAGTAAAAATTCTCATTGTCAAATATTTAAAAAATCAGAATAAAATAAAAGGAAACTTTTAAGTTTCCTTTTTCAGTGAAAAAAGAAGAATGAGAGACTGTTTACGTAGTATACTACCTTCCATGAAAGGATGAGGCAAAAATACAAAATAAAAATATGTAATAAATCACTGGAAAGATGTATAAGAAATTTATGAGAAACAGAGTAGACTGTGACCAGGGTAGAGGCAAGAATTTCATCATGTGAATTTTTTACTTATTAAACAATGTGTGTGTGTGTGTGTGTGTGTGTGTGTGTGTGTGTATCTGCGTGCCTGTGAAGTCCAGTACACATAGGTAAATAAAAACCAATGTTATTTAGTTGCCCATCCAGTTTAACATTGCTCATCTTCCCCAAGCTTAGGCCTGGGACAGGCATGGACTCCTGCTGAGTGGAAGGGGCCTAGTGGGTGTCCTCACCTCCATATTCCCACTCACTGCTGCTTCTGGTTGTTTAGCAATGCGGTGCGAGAGGCAGGAAATTATAGGACCAAAGGGTCTGGCTAGACTGGTGGTTTTGCTGTCATCTATGTGACAAATGCCCAAATGCTGCCTATTTTTTTTCTCCTGGGGACCATTTGTGGGTCCTTCAGAGACAACTTGCTAACACCAAGAGAGTACTTTGAATATATATATTTTCTACTATTTTAGCTGAATTTTTATAATTCCTACCCTGGCTCTTATACCATCACTTACTCTATGCAGCCTCTTTTTCACTATTTGACTTAAGTAGTCTTTGGTGCTTTAAGAGACCTCTATTCTACCTGCTTTATGGCTGTGAAAAAAATTAGCACCTTTTCCATGTCAAATGCTGGAAATGCATGCCTCTCTCCCCACAGGTTCCCTCTTAGCTCTGAATTCACAGGTAGCCCTGATTAGCCTGTCACTTTTATCCTTTTTGAGAAGAGAATTAGGAACCAGATATCTTTGAACACCAAGAGACACTGGTCACATCTCCTGGATTTGCCAAATATCCTCCAGGGGGTGAACAGCCTCTTTGAGGGTCACAGCACTAAGCTGGCAACCCTCTTCAAATAAGTCCCCCTTTCCTAATCTCCTTACAACTGCTAATTATGAGGCTAGGTTTGGATGATCAAAAACACACATTTGGGATGCCCCTTAGCAATCCCTGCATAGAGGGCCTGTTAGACACATCTCATGAGAATGTGTGGGCATATAACACCCATTTTCCTAAAGGGACTCTGACATTTGAGATAATAGGGAAAATCCTTACATCAGTGAAAACCAGTATAAGCCTACACGTAACTCTGACATTTAAAAGTCTGAGCCCAAGGAGACTGAGGATGGGGGAAGAGGAGATTTTTTTTTCACTTTAGTGTTTGACTATCTTATGACATTCAAACATTTGGATTAAAATGTGTATTAATTTTAGAGAATCATAGTCCAGTTAATTAGCTACATGAAGAAGAACATTTCAAATTTTAATAAGATTTGATTTTGGTTTCACAGGAAGATATGCTAAATTCCTGTTTGAGATAAAGGAGGGTCAAGAAAGAGGAAGAAAAACGGGAGAGAATCAAAGAAGATAAAAGAGAAGAAGGTTAAAACTTACCTTGTTTCATCGATATAAACTGCTTCCAGCACAGATGCCGCATATTCAATATTCTTCTTTAAGTCGACGACGTTAACATCACCTCTTTCCAGCTGCTTCACCAAGCATCTTAGTCTATTTCAAAAAAGTAGCCAAAGAGAGAAAGAGCAAGGAATTTATTGTAACTATATGGAAAATAGTACAGTATTAAATACACTCAGTTAAGATTTTTAACATAGCTATTTCTAGGTCAACAAATAGCATTATTTTCAGATTTTTTTTTGATATAATTAAGACCAGTCTTTATTATGTAAGGAATTATTAGGTATTATATTCAGCTCGCAATAATATTAGGAGTATGGGTAGCTAGTTTAAGTATAATATTTCAGAGATAGTCTTCCTGAAAATTCAAGACAATATAGACATTTTCAGAAAAGTATATTCCTATAATTTATTCTATGGTTTTTCTGTTTTTTTAATGTTGGCACTAGGAGAATATTCAAAGGACACTCTTCTTAATTCACAGTTGCAAAAATATGGAACCAACCTAAGTGCCCATTGACCAATGAGTGGATAAAGAAAATGTGGTATATATATACATATATATATATATGTATATATATACACCATGGAATACTACTCAGCCATAAAAAGGAATAAAATAGTGTCTTTTGCAGCAACTTGGATGGGGCTGGAGGCCATTATTCTAAGTTAGGTGACTCAGGAATGGAAAGCCAAATATAGTATGTTCTCACTTATAAGTGGGAGCTAAACTGTGAGAATGCAAAGGCATCTGAATAATATAATGGACTTTGGGGACTCACAGAGGAAGAGTGGGAGGGGGTGTGGGATAAAACACTATATATTGGGTACAGTGTACACTGCTCGGGTGATGGGTGCACAAAAATCCCAGAAATCACCACTAAAGAACTTATCCACGTAACCAGAAACCACCTGTACCCCCCAAAAAAACTACTAAATAAATAAAAAATTAAGAAATAAAATTAAAAGAAGACTTCATAAAATAAACAAAAAAACAAAGAGTGCTTTTCTGACTGCTAGATTCGCTATTATTCACTGTATAAAGCAATAAAGACAGACGAAAGGCAAACATTATTTTAAAAGTTAATTGAGACAAGAAAAAATATACGTATGTGTCCTTAGTGTATTTACTGCACTCATTTTTCACCTGAGGCAAATTTGAAAATATTTTCTCATGTTTGAGTCCTTAGGATGATGTGTCCCAATGCTCTGAGGAATTTTAAAGTATAGGACTCAGCTAGATGCCTGAGTTACAGAAACCACGAGATAATTAATCTTAGTGTATTAAGCCCCAAGCCTTGAGATAATTGTTATATAGCAATAGGTAACTAATAAAGTAAGGTGATACAAATTACCTTAACAAGTTTGTAACAGCTTTGGCAACTTCTATGCATTAAATTGTAAGCTGCGTGTTTCTGAAGATACTGCTCTTTACCAAGTACAAAAGGAACATATTCCTTACTCTCTCCATACTACAGATAAGCAATATGAAGACTACTTGTCTATTTTCCTAAGTCATCAGACAGAATTTAATTCCATTCTATTCAGAGGTATTGCAAAAGAGAGTAGATTGCGGCTACTTTTAGGCACTCCCTTAGAGATAATTTAGCAGATTTCCTAGCAATTTATTTTGGATAATTTTCAATGCCAAGGGTGAAGATACAAAGGCAAGTTAAGAATTTCAGCAAAGGTATTTGACATTTCTCCACCCATAAGCAATAGTTCATTTCTCTATGGGAAAAAAAAGACACACCTAAATGAAAACGTCTTACTCAGGAAGCTGTAAACAATTACTTTTTTTATGCCATTTACTTTTGTATGATAAAATATCAGCAGGCAATAACATTGAAAAATAAATTGTATATACCAATAAATAAGTCTTATTAATACAGAATAAGCAAAACAAAGCACAACAAAAAGGCAACCAAAACAGGTTACTTAGAAAGGAAAAATTAAGCCTGGCTTTGAGGCTTGTCTGAAACACCAAATGTGGTTATAATGGATCAAGATACAGAGGGTTTTGAGATTTTTGTAATGGTTATGACCCAAGAACATTATTCTTAGTCAAACTGTCCTTTATTTATGAAAGTAGAAGATAGAGTTTTTGTTTTTCCATAGTCCTGCAATGGCTTAGAAATATACTATCATATGTCTTTCTTGTGAAAATTACTTGAGTTCAGCTTGGTAATATAAGGTGGCTTAAAAACAATAGTACTTCAAAGGGTTGCCTTCCTTTTCCCTGAAAAACTGCATTCTACTTTTATTTGTTAGCGATTTTCCCACTAAAAACACTACATTTTCTAAGCTCTCTTGAAGCTAGGTATGGTCACATGAGTAAATTCTTGCCACAGATGATGTGCATGGAGGTTGTTGGTGAAACTTTCAGAACAGTTCTTTGGAGAGAGCTAACTGTACCGGAAGGAGTTCTCTTGCTGTCTGGAATGCAGCGGAACTCTCTAAAGGCCAGCAGCCATCTGGGATCATAAATGACCTGGCAAAAGAAAGCCACACACTAAGCATGGTAGAAAAGAAAAAATGGAAGTGGCCTGGATATCATGCTATGGGTCCACCTGAATGAAATCGCCCATCTCTGGACTTGTTTCTGATGCAAGAACAACAAAAATTGCATTTAAGCCACAATTATTTTGTGGTTTCTTTTATAGGCAAATGAACCCAAAACACACTGATAAATGAATAGAGAATGAAGCAAAATAAGGTTGTCAAGAATGGAGAAATCTTCATTATCAAATGAGATGATGAGTACCCTAGGAGACCATGGACAAGTGCATTTCCTAACTCACAACAGCCTGTGGTTGTTCCTAGGGGATTCATCCCATCTGCAACTATAACTGATAAGACTTGTGAAAATCAAGAGGCTCTAATGCTTGCACAATGAACATGCCCTTTCACACAGAGATCTCAATGTGGTTTAAAAACAAAATATTATGAATTATGTCTTGATAATTCATAATTAGGTATATAAACCTATAATTGGACATAAAACTTCCACTGGGGAAAAACACTTCAGTAAGGTTTTACCACCCAATTAGAAAATGTAATCGCATATAGTTATAACTCAGTAAAACCATATCCCCTCATGCACACATGCACACACACACACACACACACACACACACGCCTATATTCACTATGCCAACCCCAAAAGACTGGATAGAAATGTATATTGGGGGGTTACTAGGACTCGTTTTTTCTCCTTTGCTTCTTGCACTAAATTTTCATTAATGAGTGCACATTTCTATTTACATAAAAAGGAAAACCTTTATATTGTAAAAATATTATTTACAACTAGAACACGAGCTTAATGGAATAATTTATATTATTATTACTATCCTAATTGTAATCATTTATATCATCACTATCCTAATTGCAAATATGCTTTTGTAATCAAATTATATATACAACAATCCTCAACAATCTTATTTCGGCTATTATTTTACTTTCTTCCTAGATAATACAAGGTCAAACATCTTCATGAATAATTTTCAAATGATTGTATGTTCTGTACTGGTGGGTTCCAAAGTGTTAAGGCTTTATTGTATATATCTGTACAATTTTTTTTATTTTTAAGATAATCACATCCTATTTACCTAATTCTTAAGCCATCCAATAGACAAATTCTCAGAGCTGAAAATAAAATATTTTATGCACAAAGTCATGTGCATAAAATAAACAAGTTCCCTTAATTTAGCAAAAATTCTTTTTAATAATGATTTTGCTTCTTTCATCAATCAGGGTGGACAAGCTGAGTAGAAAACAATGTTCTTAATTTCTGGCATAGATAAGTTGTTCTGGTTCCCAAAGCTTAGGGTGAGGGCATGTTCTTGATGTTCTAATCTGAGCAGTTTCTGACCCAGAAAATTGTGGATGAGGACGG
Organism: Homo sapiens; assembly: GCF_000001405.40. Lineage (NCBI taxonomy): Eukaryota > Metazoa > Chordata > Mammalia > Primates > Hominidae > Homo > Homo sapiens. Next base: position 182,268,217 of record NC_000002.12, read on the forward strand.
CTACTGTGTTTGGTAGCAAACCAAGTTAACAGCTGTTGTATCAAGCAGTATAGACAACTTTGCTAAAAAGGTGTTAAAAAACCCAGTTCAGTTAGATAAATGATTATTGGGTATCTATTACTGCACCTAGGGCTGTGTAAAAGAATAAATATCTATATATAGATATTAGTACATATATAAGAATACATATGTATACATTAGTTTATATATACAAGGATACACACAAAACCACACTTATATATACATATATACATATATAATGCATGGGTACCTGTGTGTGTGCACAACAATACCTTCTTCAAGGTATTTGCAATCTCTGAGGGGTGTATGACATGCAAACAATGTGGTCAAATGTCAAACTGCAGGTATTTCCCGTTGCTTCTTTTATGCACACCCTAATTTCTAAGCAAACTGGTGTAGTCACTCTTCCTCAAAAACCCTCACATCATCTTAGATCCCAGTGCTTCTCTCTTGCTGAACTCTCTTTCTCCCATGTTCCTACCATTTGTTACTGTCTTAAATTATGTTTGGTTACCAGGCGTATCTGAGATGCTACCTATCTCGTAAGTCCTTTGAAGATGCCTGTTCATTGTGATCACTCCCTACATAGAAACTAAGCCACATTTTATTTGTTTCTCATTGACAACGTTCACATTTCTCTGACTTTCATATAATTTCAACTTTTTGATATGATAGTTCCCCAACTGGTCTCTCAGCAAATAAAAAATTTTCAGGCATGCAAACAAGCAGAAAAATTCACCCATGATGAGGATAAAAATAAATGAGTTAAAATTAACCCAGATATGACAAAGAAGATAAATTAGTAGACAAAAATGTTGATTGTTATTATACAAATAAAATAATATAAACAACATTATGCCAATAAATTCAATAACTTAGATAAAATGAATTATTTTCTTAAAAGACACAAACTAACAAATATCAAGAAGAAACAAATAAATGAAATTTGTAGCTAAAAACCCTTTGCATAAGAAAACTCCTGGCCTAGAAGACTTCTCTGGTAAATTTTGGGAGGCCGAAGCGGGTGGATCACCTGAGGTTGGGAGTTTGAGACCAGCCTGGCCAACATGGAGAAACTCCGTCTCTACTAAAAATACAAAATTAGCTGGGTGTGGTGGTGCATGCCTGTAATCCCAGCTACTCAGGAGGCTGAGGCAGAAGAATCACTTGAACCCAGGAGGAGGAGGTTGTGGTGAGCCAAGATCGCCACGATTGCACTCCAGCCTGGGCAACAAGAGTGAAAAATCTGTCTCAAAAAAAATAAATAAATAAAAATAAAAAATAAAAAAATTAAGGATGTAATAATATTTTATACATACTTTTCCAGAAAATTGATCAACTGTAAATACTTCTGAACTCATTCTAGGTGACCAAATTATTTTTATAACAAAACTAGATGCAATCATTGAGGAGGAGGAGTTCTATTTATATAAAATTTGAGAAAATGCAAATGATCCTAATAGTGACAGAAAGTAGATACTAGTTGTTTAAGAATGAAGAAAGCAAGAATCAGGGAAGAAGAGGTTCAAGGAAACTTTTGAGAGTAATGGATAATGTTAATTTTCTTGTTATATGGTGATGGTTTCACAAGTGTATACCTGTGTCTGCACTTATCAAATTGCAAATTGCAAGCTAAAATATGTAATCAGTAATTTGAGAAAGAAAAAGGCTATGGGCTAAATAGAGGCTATTGGTATATACCTTCATTTTTCATCTATTTTATTAAAATATTTAGAATTCTAAGTTATATTATCAAAGACATGAAAAAAATCTAAAGCATCATTAATGATCTTTTCCCAAAGAGAATGACACAAATCTTTGATAATTCCTAAGACTTTAAAAATCAGCCTGAAAATATGTGCTGAGCACACTTTGATCTGCTTAGTTTTTAAAGGGACTTCCTTACCTTCTAACGATCAGGACACATAAAAGAAGACAGAAACAAAAATAGCAATACCATCTTTGAAAGCAATTGATTGGCTCTGTGGTTAAATCAAGCAATTGCAGAAGACACATAATTTCTTCTTTTGAACAAAGAGTACTGAGTTGTAGAAAATTATTGAGTATTTTAATTCAAATACAGAACTGCTACATTCCAAATGAAAAGTTACTCAATGTCAAATGATGCAGTTTTTATAACCAAGTACTCTGAATACCTTCTAAGCTACCGTTACATAACCCAATCTTGCAGAATGACCACCTACATAAGTAACAATGTTCTCATATGGAAAAATCCTGTGTGTCTATGCATGTCTTTTTAAATTTTAGGATACAAAATACCCAGGATATCCCTCATGTGACAGAGCATGAATAAAACGTAATAATTCAATAAATAAAATTTATTAAAATAATTTATAATTATTATATAACTATCAACGTTCCCACTTGTGATCTGATTGAAATACAAAAGTGAAAAGGATATGGTTGTAAGAAATCCATACTAAGAATCAGAAGAGCTAAAGTTAAAAGAAATTATATACCTATAATATATATTAATATTAACATTAAAATCTGGCCATAAGCAGAAGCGCATGAAATCGCATAAATAGAAACTATCAGAACAAGAAGCTACTGTGTCATTTTCAGTAAGTCCTGCTTGACTCTAAAACAATAAAAAGTTGATAATAAAATCTGTTAAATAATGAAGTCTTATCTATTCTGCAGGTCGATGCTCAGGAAATTAAACCCTAACCTTAATCTAAAATGCAGGGTTTATGGACGTAAAGACTTTTCCAGTATTTTTTTCATACAGGCAAATATAACTGTAAAGCTCCATGATACCTTTATTTTATAGGATAAATAATTCCCCAAACAATTTCTATAATTGAACACAATGAAAACAAACGGGATCAATGGCATAATGCACAGCATGAGGACTACACTTAATAATATTGCATTGTACACTGGAAATTTGCTAAGAGAGTAGACTTTTAGGTACCTTTACCACCAAAAAAAAAAAAAAAAGCTACCTATGTGAAATGATGGATATGTTAATTTGCTTGAGTGTACTAATCATTTCACTGTATATGTATATAAAACATCATGTTGGTCTACCTTAAACATATACAACAAAAATAGTATGGCAAACAGTATTACTCTTAAAAATGTGTTTACAGTCTACATTTAAAGGAGCAAAATAATCCTATTGAAGCAGAGAATATGTGACTGAAAAAAACTCTTTTAAGTACAAAGGAATATATTCTCTCTTCCCCAAAAGTCACAATTTAGGTAAACTATTTCTTTACTTCAAGAGGTATTAACTTTTTCTACAAAAATGGACATTATGTAATTTCCAGTTTGTTGAAGAGTTCCTCGTAAGTACAGAGATGTAAACATTCAAAGAGTTAGAAATGCTTTCAAGATCAATTTGTTTCTCCTTGAAGATAAGAAAACAGTAAGATCATATCGAGTCTAAACAAGGAACCAATCAAGTGTTTCTGGTCAGTGTTAACCATCTGAAATAACTGAGTCATATTACATCATTTAACTGTGGTATAATTTTTATATTGTTCAAAAAGAAATAGACAAAAGGGTATTTATGGTTTGCATTAACTCCTGGTAGATTAAAAAATTTCTTTATTGGTGCTCACCACTGAAACATTAATATGACTTAATAAACTGAAACAGAGACTGAAAAGAACTATTAAGAAACAAACAAAAAACTTTGAGAAAAGAGATTGATACATGATGCAAAAACATGCTACTTTTTAAATGGAATAAATGGTGATGAAAGGGCTTTTGGAAATTAACACTAATAATTTACATGAAAATGTCAACAGAAGGGGTAGAGGAAAAGTCCAATTTCTATCCCAGGAAGTGGGCAAAAAGACAGCAAGATGGATACTAGAATAATAAAGAAAAACATTAGAGAGCCGGTTTGGGAGATCTAATATCCAGCTAATTGGGGTTCTACACATAAGGAATACAGAAGAGAATTAGACAAAATTATCAAAGAAATAGTCACTTTCCCAGAACTTAGAATCTCCATGCTGAAAGGACCTCCCAAGGCCAGCTTCATGGGCATGTACCTGTGCAGTCACTCAGGGCCTTGCACTTGGGAGGGCCCTGCACTTTCCTTAGTGCTCTGCTGTCGCTATCTTGAAATTCTTGATAATTTTGAGCAAGAAACTGCATATTTTCATTTTTTCACTGGGTCCTGCATGTTATGCAGATGGTCTTAGGTCTGACCTAGAATTCTATACTCAGCCAAACTCTCAATCTAGTTTGAGGAAAGAATAAAGGCATTTTCAAATATTCAACAACTTCAAAAATTTGAATTTTCATGCACTCTTTTTCAAGAAGCCACTGAGGAGATGCATTTGACCAGTACAAGAACATAACAGAAAATCTAAGACAGGTAAGTTGGGAAGGGAAGTCTTACAATAAGAGGTATGTGTCCATCCTGGAAACTAACTAGTCCAGATTGAAGTATGAGTACAGAGGAAAGGAAGTGTGAGAGAAACCTGTAAGGGAAAAAATGGAACTAATGACCAATGGAACTGATAGAATGTTTGGAAATTCGTTTTGACAGATCAAGCATTTACAAAATTGTGAAATATATGTATGAAAAAATACAATAATTATGAATCTAGGAGGAAGAAAGAAGTTGTATGAGATAGGAAACAGTCATAGTTTACTATCTGATTGACAGTTGAATAATATATACAAAGTCATATTACTATAAACACTAGTAATTTTAAAACAAAATAAGGCACAATATCTCTTTTGAGAACATTAGAGTAAGGAAGTTGATGAAGTTAATGTACAAGAGTTATTTCCTCTATTATCATTGTGGATGTCCATAAAGTCTGAAATTGATAAATCAAGAAAGAATACAGCATTTTATTTGGAAATATAAATCTTCCTCCAAAAGAAGGAAGGACTAAAAGAGCTAAAACATTGTGATTATTCACTTCTGGGGAATTGACTGATATCTTTTGATAATTAAAAAAAGAATTTTAATGATGTAGTTCCCTATTTAAGTAAAATGTCCAAGTCACAAGGAAAGTGACTTAACTTAGAAGTCAGATCCTTTACTTGGTAGTTTTTGAATCACTGACCATGACAAATTTAAAAGCCTGAAAAATAAAAAGATGTCAAAATTCATCTTGAATTTAAAAGGTTTTGAAAAGGTATGAAGCATCCAAAGTTGATAGTGATGTTGAGATACAGTTCTAGGCTCTTTTAGGCATATGGCTAAGCCAAGGATAAAAAAAAATAGATTTAACATAAAAAATATATATATATATATCTTTTGTCACATATATCATGCTTATCTACTGAACTAACTGAAAACAGGCACATATTTCAGGTTTGAGGTAGACATAAAGAAGAAAATACACATTAAGTGAAAAGAGAAAGAGAAATATGATGAAACAAACTATGATGGCTGAATTTATCTTTTCTTTTTTCTTTTTGCAAAATCAGAGGAAAGAAAAAAGTGTGTTGAGTACTTTTACAAAAATCAAATTAAATTGTGGCTTAGAAAGAATGAAAGTGAGGAGATAAAAGGTTGGTTGGGCAAAGAACTCTGAGATTTGGGTGCTCCTGAAGCACTAAGGTGGTGAAAACCAGTAAAATCTATTACTATATTGGCTGAGCAAAGCAATCTCAGCACCAGTTCCACCAAAAATAACAAAGGAATGGTTAAAAGTGGTATATTAGACCAAACAAAATACCATGTACTGGGTGGCTTATAAACAAGAGAAATTTCTTTCTCGCAGTCCTGGAGGCTGGGAAATCCCTGACCGAGGTGTTGGCAGATTCAATGTCTGGTGAGGGCCTTCTTCCCAGTTCATAGATGGCTGTCTTCTCACTGTAACCTCACATGGTAGAAGGAGCAAACCAGCCCTCTGGGGTGTCTTTTATGAAGACACTAATCCCATTCAGGAGAGCTCTGCCCCCATGATCTAATCACCTCCCAAAGGCCCAACCTCCTACCGTCACCTTGGAAGGGTTAGAATTTGAACCTATGAATTTTGGGGTGACACAAATATATCAAATGGCTTGGGATATTTATTCTTAATTAATGCAGTACCATGTACCGACACACTTCAAAAATGCACTAGCAGAGAAGAAAATCTTTTAAAAATAGATTTTTACACAAACATGCATACGGAAAAAAACCACAGAAAGAAAAGTCAACATGATATTTTTCCAATTACAATAGATCACACAACACAAAAATATCTAAAAACAGAAATATTTCCATGGCAGATACTATTGGAGAGCATAGAAGTCCTTCTGTTACTCTTGATACTCAGTGATAGAAAAATTGAGTCATTTCAAGAAGCGTCTCTTGAAAGGCCAATTTTTTGGAGATACAATTTGTGGCATAAAAAGCAATCAAATCGAGTCCAAAAGAATTGATTGAGAAGACAACTTTTATTGTGAAGGTTGTTATATGTATTATAAAAATTATTTTAGACTCCAATTTGATTGATTCTCTCTCTCTCTTTCCCTCTCTGCCTTCTTTCATGTATGTATGAATACCTAAGTTTCAAGAAAAAACTAAAGTTGAATGACAAAAAACTCATATTTGGTTTTACAGAATTTCCCTTGCTTCTGTAGAAATGTAGCTTTTGTAGCCATAATCTCTCAGAATCATTGTAAATAATTCTTTCTTTATGATATCTTTGAAGCATTATATTGACATTGACAGAAGTAGTTTTGAGAACGCATCATCACTGGTATAAACTTCTGAGTTGCTTAGCAAGGCTTAACAATAAGAATAAAAAATGAAATACTACTAAATAAGTTAAGGTCTAACTAGGAAAACAAAACTCTGAACATTTAAAACTAAGTTTAATTCTTGCAATTGATTACTTGGATGATGGGAGATGAGAAAACAACCAGGGAATAGTGAGGATAACCCAAATAAGCAACTGCAGGAAGCTTTTGGAGGGTCAAAAGAGGGAGGCAGGATCACCAGACCCCAGTGGCTTTGGGAGTTCCTGCAGAAGAGAGAAACACCAGTGGGGACTGCCCACGGCAATCTTGAACCACAGAAGAGACACAACTAATGTAAGAGAGGCTTCCTCAAGGCAGACAGAGAGGGAGAGGAATGCCCTGGCTTTTACCTTCCTCCTCACCTATCCTGACTTTATATGCCACTGGCCAGATCCAAGCACAAGTCAGCTGACAGGAACCTGGGAAATTTAGCTATGATTATACAGAGCACTGCAGGGCAGGGATAAAGCAAGGAATAGATCACAGGCTAGTAGGCCCAGAACCGCAATACACAGTACCCAGAAGGTGTCAGAAAGTTTTTCTTGAGATTTGCAAATAAGGCAGAAAGGTAGGTGGCATGTTGTTTCTGTCACATAAAGGCAAAGCCAACCAAAAGGTATCTAGAATAAGGTATTTAGTTCATCTTACTCTTTGATGTTGATTAAAGGGCCAAGGTTTAGCAAGGCTGTTTAGTTAACTTGCAGATTTTTGTCTGGTGTGAAAAAAAATAATTTTTATTTGGCAGAATAGGCACCCTCGTAAATTCATAATCTCATTAGACATCAACTAGATTTGCTTCTAACACAGCCATTTTATTGAAACATTGCCTATGTATATCTAACTTTCTAAATGCTCTTTCAACCAGTCATAACTTCTTACTGATTCCCTCATTATTAATGATTTAAATAGAAACATTGGCATATGCTCAATTTATATTTGCACATGACTAATACTTTTACCTTTGGAAAATTATATATTAACAAGGCATTACAAATTTTGGTACAATTAATTTCAACACCTTCAACATATAGGATAATAAATAATACTCCTAACTCTAGAAAGGAAGGAGGAATCTAAGAGATATAAAATTAATGACCAGAAAAATCATTTCCTTCCTCTCTCCCTTCCTTCCTTCCTTTCTCCCATCCTTCCTTCCTTTTTCCATTCTCTCTCTTTTCTCTGTTTCTTTGTTTCTGGTTTCTTTCAAGAAAACTAATAAAGACATGGCTCTCATGAGTTCCTAGAATGTAGACAAAAAATGAACAAAAATTGGTCTTAGAAGCTATGCTCCAAATAGCAACTGCTGCAGGAAGTCAGGGACCCCAAACGGAGGAAGCAGCTGGAGCCGCGGCAGAGGAACATAAATTGCAAATATTTCATTTTAATATGGACATATATCAGTTCCCAAAATTAATACTTTTATAATTCCTTATACCTGTCTTCATCTCAATCTCTGAACATAAACTGTGAAGATTTCATGGACATTTATCAGTTCCCAAATAATACTCATAATTTCTTACGCCTGTCTTACTTTAATCTCTTAATCCTGTTATCTTCGTAATCTGAGGATATTTGTCACCTCAGGACCACTATTGTACAAATTGATTGTAAAACATGTGTGTTTGAACAATATGAAATCAGTGCACCTTGAAAATGAACAGAATAACAGCAATTTTAGGGAACAAGGGAAGACAACCATAAGGTCTGACTGCCTGTGGGGTTGGCCACAATACAGCCATATTTTTCTTCTTGCAGAGAGCCTATAAACAGAGGTGCAAGTAGGGAAGATATCACTGAATTCTTTTCCTAGCAAGGAATATTAATAATTAAGACCCTGGGAAAGGAATGCATTCGTTGGGGGAGGTCTATAAACAGCTGCTCTAGGAGTGTCTGTCTTATGTGGTTGAGATAAGGACTGAAATACGCCCTGGTCTCCTGCAGTACCCTCGGGCTTATTAGGGTGGGGAAAAAATCCCGTCCTGGTAAATTTGAAGTCAGACCAGTTCTCTGCTCTCGAACGCTGTTTTCTGTTGTTTAAGAAGTTTATTAAGACAATATGTGCACAGCTGAACATAGACCCTCATGAGTAATTCTAATTTTGCCCTTTGCCTTGTGATCTTTGCTTTTGTCCTTGCCCTGTTTCCTCAGAAGCATGTGATCTTTGTTCTCCTTTTTTGCCCTTTGAAGCATGTGATCTTTGTGACCTAATCCCTCTTCGTACATACCATCCCCCTTTGAAATCCTTAATAAAACTTGCTGGTTTTGTGGCTCAGTTGGGCATCATGGTCCTACTGATATGTGATGTCACCCCTGGAGTCCCAGCTGTAAAATTCCTCTCTTTGTACTCTTTCTCTTCATTTCTCAGATCAGCCAACACTTAGGGAAAATGGAAAGAATATACGTTGAAATATTGCGGGCGGGTTCCCCCGATAAGCAATTCATTTGGGAATGCCATCATCCATTTGAATTTTTGATTTTTAAAAGTAAAGATCAAGTGCTGAGCATTTCCCAAGAGACCACCATAGTCTCACTGCATATGCATGACAGAATTCTCCACCTAGTTGGGCTTCTCTTGTAAGTTCATATCTGCCCCTACATGAGGCAAACAAAGCAAGTAACTTGGCAAGACGAATTTCTGATCTTAAACATAAAATAATGTACTAAACAACAACAAAAAATTGCCCTAGGTTGTCTTTAAGGAATTCTTAATGGTCTAGATCCTTGCTAGAGAGCTACTGGGTGCAAGAGAGACACCTGATTCTTAAGTGAAGTTTTTCTCATTTAACTGAGGTAAGCACAGTTCCATCTATATTGAGATGCACTGAGTTTCAGCAGGTGTTTCAGATGGAATTAAACTGCCCTGTGGAAAAAACAATATGGTATGTAACACTGTCAGAAAGCTGCTCACCTAGAATGGCTCACACTGTCACTTGGTCTTATCCTACTCTACTGTGTCCCTACCATGACAAGGTTACACTGAACAACTGTCAAGTACCATCCTCCACTACAGTGTATTCAATGTCAATCAATTCACAGTACCAGACAGATATATTTACCATATGTGGTCTGGCCAAGAGATCCTGATGACTTCTTCTTGGAAGATCAAAATTTCTTCATAAAACATATTTAATATAGTGATTAAATAGGACAATTTCTTAGTAAGTCTTGAATTCTCTACCCTTTCCTGTGTCCCTACAACAACTCACATCAAGACAAGCACTAGTCTGAAAATGGGCACATTTTCACACTTAAGGATCACATTTAAGGATGTGATTTAACAAGCTTACACAATTGAGTTGAGTCTTCTAATTTCAAAGTCTCTAGTGGATATAACACACACACAAAAGTGGATATAACACAAACAATCATCAATCTGCAGGAGAAGATGAGCTGGAGCATAAACTTTTGACATTATTTTTCCAGGTATTTAACCATAAACACTAAAAGGCTTCAGTTCTATGTTTTGGTAGACTAAGATATAGAGAAAGTTTAGCATTAAAATAGAGTCTTTAAAGAAGTATCATCAGTAAAATTTACATTTCTATCATATGAGTGGTTTATAAGTCATTTTGATTATTTAGCAGTTCATTCATAGTTTTGATCTAGTGTATAGTGGTAAATAGAAATGTTGTTTATGTATTATGGACTAGACTTCAAAATTACATGGATACTTATCAACACTAAAAATCTAACTGAAACAGTGATTCATGTTGGTCCAAATGTAAGAGGGGCCTCAGAAGTGAATACCTGTTTGACATTCCAGAAGGAGCCTTCACTCTGGTAAGTTCAACCCTGTTCTCTATAGTAGCCCAGCAATGATTAATTTGGAGGGGAAGAAAAATCTGGTAGAATTGACTAACCCAAGAATATGTGAAGTTCTTTTTACAATTTTTAACTTTTTAAAGTAAGCCAAACACAGTTTATACAGATTTGTATAGGGTATTAGGAACAGAAGCATTAATGTAAAAGCTTAAAGTTTAAATTCCAAGATTGAAGTTCATTTCTTTTCCAACTCAGATACCTTACATTGGTAAATGACAGAGACTTTTATAGTTTCTTAGAGACTCTTATAAATTATGTTCTTTTAAACAATAACCAAAATCCTAAACCAAAACAATAACCAAGGTATAATGAAAATAGGGCATAGAGGCAGGATTCTTAAAAAGTAAATTATCAGTTTTTTAGTTTAGTTTTTCATCTTATGTAGGCAATGAATATTCACTGTCAAGAGTTGGAGGATGAGCAGATTTTCAACAACGGTCTGTAGTAGGAGAAAATATGCCACTCTGTAATTCTTAGACGAGCACAACCTAAATTATCATGATGTACAGAAACTCCCAAAGCATCCCAGCACCATAAAAAAATAGAGAAATCTTATCAGTCTTCTTTAGGACTTGTTCCCTGGGAAGCCAATGACCATCAAAACAGAATGGCTTTGGTTACTGGTAAGAGCAACCTTCCTTGTAGAATATATATTCATGGACCAGATTTTTAAAATCCTGCTTTCTTTTTCTTTCCACAGTCAATATTCTTGGAAGAATATCAACCCTGAATACCTATCATGTATCCTTTACAGCTTCAATGGTATAGGGTCTACATATCTTCAGGAAAATATCTTTGTAAATCTAAATATTAAGGTTTTCTTTGGTCTTTCTCATTCTTTGAACTTCACTTTTAAAACATCTTTATTGGAGTAAATTATGGACAAAATTAAATGGCATATTTAATTTACAAATACATATAGTTTTATAATGAAATAAAATATATTTAATTTCTCTTTCTCTCTACCTATCTCTGAAATCTTTTTATAAAAATTAGCAGTTTCTTCATCCACTTAGTCCTACCCTATGTTCTGCTCACTGGGACATCTCTTTAAAAATACTTTGATTGTTTTTTTCTGGGATTTTACTCTACATTTTAAAATGGTATGCTTATTCTGCTATCTCTTGGTTTATTGATACTGGATACCACCTATTGGCCTCCTGTTACGGTGAATAAGGACTTAGGTGTTTTTTATATATCTGCTCCATTTTACCTTACCCTAAGTTACCAAAAATACTGTTTTATAATACTTGTAACATTAATAATCAAGGTTTACATTTTTATGATCAGACATACAGTGTTCATTACATAGCTGAATAGTGTATGAAGATTACATTTCCATGCCTTTGGGTTTTTTTTATTACCCAAAGTAATGAATTACTGCATTTTTTACTAACATTATGTTCTGAATGTCTATCCAAATTTTCCCCCTAAGCCCCATTTACATCTTCCAAATATCAATCAGCACTTCCTCTTTTATGCTGGAAACCTATCTTGGACCTGTATCTCTGGCTCACATTCAGATCTGTTGCTCTCCAGATCTTACACAGCTGTCATCCTGAGGCTGCCCTTGACCACATTTCCTGTTGGATTCCCTGTTTCTGGATTCTATGACCTCACTTCTGAATTTTCTTCTGTTTTGCACATTCTCCAGTAGTTTCCAAGAAAGTGTGTATGTGACATAAATCACTGAGTTTCTGAATGCTAAAAATTTTGTTCTTTCTTCCCACTTGATTGATAGTCTGACAGAATATTCTAGATTGAAAAGAATTTTCTCTCAAAATGTAAAGGCTTTTCTTCATTTCTTCTGTTAGGGGGAGTCCTATGCCTAGTGACTCTGCTCTGCCAGTTACCACTATTCCTTCTGTTTACATTTTTCAAAAATTCGCTAAAATAACCTATTCTCTAATGCCTTCTCTTTTTTTCCTCTTTGATTTTGTGGGTTTATAAATTTTTATTTTCAATTTTAGGGGGTTTCAAGCTGGAAAAAAAATCAATACATGTGACCATCCATCACCTTATTCAAAAGTAAGATTTTATTTTTTTTGCTGCCTGACTAAATTGGCAAAATGATAGTAATAAGGTGGCAGCAAGGTAAAAACTTCTTTTTAATGATGTACCTAAATAACTGCACAAACTAACAATGACGAAACAGATAAGTTACAGGGCTGGTGCAAATGGACATTACCCATTTGGTATTGGAAAAATTATAGAGATGTTTTTCACAAACAGAAGATAATCTCTTTGTTTTTTCTGGGGCAGAAAGAATAACTGAGGAAATAAAAAATAAAGAATTATAACAGAAAGTCCATTTAGATAGTAGGAAGAATCAAGTTTGATCTAGATCTCAAGGGAGTCTGTGTATTCTAAAATGCATGAGTCATTTTCATTTTTTAATTTTAGCATTAATTTTGTGTTTTCATCAGTTACTTCATTTTCCTTTGAAGGTGTGATATTCTGTCAAGTTCTATAACACGGATGCTGGTTTTCTACTGCAATTTGCTTTTAAAATGTCCAGTGGAAAGAAATGCTAAAGAACGTTATAATGAGTGCTTTGTCTTAGTGATGTTTAAAAGAACCTTGCCTCTCAAAGAAACTGCTTAAAACAAGCCTGTGGAGCAAATGGTCATGCAACTTTAAAATGCTGCCAGTAAAATAGCTAAGTAATCTCAAGAAACCCATCTGAATGCTAACCACCTAGACCAGAAAACTCAATCCAAACTCCAATAATCAACTGCTTCGTGAAAGAGCCAGCTGCTGAAAAGATGTTCTTCCTACTGCTGCTAAGAAAGAAAAAATAACTGTGCATACTCTATGTACACCATATTCAACACGTGCTTTTACAGCCAGAAGAGAACTGAAGAAATCAGTGGAGTGTGATAAATATCAGTGTGTCCAAAGAAATCAGTTTGTGAAAATTTCATTATTTTTTTAATTTTCCCCTCTCAACGGCTGCTTAGATTGTTTTACAGTCACTCTGATTTAGCAAGAGAATATTGACTGGAAGGGAAAATATTTTTTAATGCTGTGAATAAGCAAATTGTCAATTTTGCTTCTAACACTAAATGTCTTAGAGTTTAATATTAAATATAGTTAAGAAATTTTAGAAAAATAAACCTGAGACTAAAATGATAAAGAAAAGAAACAAATATATTATTGATACCATTTTGTATGTTTATTATTGATCACCCAAATCATTCACCCCATACCTGTGCCTTTCTGTCATCTGGAACAATGTTACCCTTAATGATGTTATTTTAACAGACAGAATGATGACAGTTTAATCTTGATATGGGAGTAGGCCTATCCAGTTAACTCTGGTTTCTCAACTCACTCACCTCTAACTCTTACAGAAGATATTTAAGCATAATCCTAATCTTTTACCACTATTCCACTCACTTATCCTCACTACTTTGTCACTCTTGAGCTCTTTCCTGTCTCCACTATCCATGCTCAAGTAGGTCTTGGCTACCTTTCTGCTCCAAGAAGAGATGATCATTGTCAGGAAAAGTCACTGTAGCCTCCTTACATACAAGCCTCCTTACATACATTTCAAGTTAGTGACCTGGGTCCTCTGATGTTCTGCCCTAATTTTAGCTATCAAACATCTTCCCTAAGAAAAACTTTCTATGTGAATAAAATTCATCCTTTTGAATTAATTAAGTTCATAGGTGTCATTGTTACTTAACTCAAGATTATGAAAACCTCAGCACCAAAGCATACATTCTCACCAAATTTCAACTCTCAGCTCTATTGCATGCAACACACTCAAACATCCCAATATTTGTAGGTAAGGAGACATCCATATCATATTTCATATCCTAATATTGGAGATTTGTGTTAGTTATGTGTGAGTACCTATATATAATTCCAAAACTTGGCATTATTTTCCTACATACACCAAGAATTTAATTTGTTTATTTTTTTGCAATTTATAAATGATTGACCCAATATATAAATATATAGTCTACATGCATGTTTTGTGTCTTAATAAATCTGTTAGTCCTCAATTACAATTGGCAGTCCAGTTCATTCAATAAACTATTAAAACTTCCTTAATGTTCACAAAAGCCCTAATGAAATAGTCTCAATTGGAAAATGTGGACACTGCGCCTTAAACTTTTACAGAACCTGTGCATAGCCATACTGTTGAATCACAGAAGAGGCATGTCTAAAACAAGCAGAACTTTCTCAGAATCCATGCTATTTCCATCTATATAAAGCTGGAAATAACACTAAGATTATGGGTAGTAAATTTAGTAAATACCTTAGGTGTTAATCAATACTAATAAGCAATAGGAAAGAAATATTTTCTTTTCAAATCTTAAAGTATAAACTGTCAACTCAATGTAATCGTTCCCAAGGACTAGGAAATGTAATGGCAAAGTAAAATCACTGGACACTTGTTGAGTGTCCACATATGTGTGGTCAGGTAAGTTTTACACATAGTAGTAAATGGTCACCTATATGTTATGATAAAGTGATTCTGATGTAATGTTTTGACCACCAAATCTTTCCAAAAATAATAAAACAAGTTGCTTAAACTGGTATATATCTTTGAATAGTCCACCTTATCAATATGAGAACATGGTTTTGGTATAAAGGGTACCTGAGTTACACACACACACACATACACACACACACACACACTTTAAGACTTGGTGGCAGCCTTCATTAAATGCTATATAACACAAATTATTAGATTTGAGAAAATGACAAAACAATATAGGGCTCCGGGATTTTGATATTATTTATTTATGAAACTGTTATGAGTTTTTTTAAAAAAAATCTTTTCAACTTTTAGCTCAGAAAAAAATGAGTTAAATCTTGAGTTTTACAAAGATACAACCTGAAGTTTTCCTAGAAGGAAACAAAAGATGTATTCACCCAGAAGGAAATGAATCATGCTTAGGAACTGGGGTCTGTATTTGAAAACAAAAGACAAAGAACCATCACTACAACTTGACACATTTCGACAAAGTTGTAAAGATTATGAAGTGAAAGTACAAAGGAGGAGGCTTTTCATTAAATTAGTGGTTAGCTAGGACTCTATGAAAAGCGTCATGGCTTGTAAAAGATTATCCATTATCAAACCTCATTTTAACATCTTTTTTTACAGATAGTGGAAAACTTTGATGACACATGAAGCCTATTGCCACTTAGGATTTCTAGGAGGTGGTTTTTTAATAGTAAAAGTTATAACAATCAAGTACATACCTTCTTTTTCTCTGGGATACAACTGTATCAGGTCCCAGCTTTCAAGCGGCTAGTGACCTGGCAGCCCTTACCTGGCCTATTGCAAGAATCAGTCTGGGAGAACAAGAGGCAGTAAGGAAAGGAAATGGCATATATGAAAGAACAGAAGGATATAACCTGAGGCTGCATTGTCCATGATTTTAAATTCTAGTTTGAGGAGTCTGTGTCTTACAATACATGAAAGATTTCAAGAAATTGTCAGATGAAAGTAGTTTTTGGTAAATTGACTTAGCTTACTTCTTAGCTAGAACAAATCTTAAATGCAAAATAACATTTATACTTACAAATAAATAGCTGCATTAGAGGATTTTTACTGACTGATATATCACTAAGATTTTAATAAGATGACTGATAATTAAAATATAAAATTGGAACATAAAATTAAATTGAGCAAACTCACAAATTTGGAGAAGCATTGGCTAATTTGTTATTTTCACTATCTTTGCTAAAATGCATATAAATATATTTTGGAGGGAAATGAGTATAAGTTGAAATTTTATATAATGTCATTAATTATCAGATACACAACAAATTTATCTTGCTTAAAGGGGGCATGTTGGCTAAAATGATTCAGAAGAAAATAATCAGATTTCTCCCATTTACCTAAGTCAACAGAAAATATAGATGGGTGGTAATTTTTTAATAATAAGGACATAATATAAAATCCCCCTAAATTTTTAATCTTTTCTTTATGCAAGCCTTTTGTCATCAATATAGGATCATGTTGAATATTTTCCCATTCTGGAAATAAAACAATAATAACTAACATTTATTAAGCACTTTACATATAATAATTCCTTTCATCTCACATTGATTTTATGAAGTAATTTACATTTATCTTCATTTCATGATGAGGAATCTGAGACACCATGAGATTAAGTAACTTGCCTAAGGTCACACAATTAGTTGGTAGTTTCTTGGATAGTTAGCCATGCACTTTTAACCAATGCACGAGTTAGCTTAGCTATCTTCACTTTCCTCAAGCCAGCATTCTTATACTCTTGTACTTTCTCTTCATAGCAAACTTGCACGCAGATAATTGTTTTGCCGCCTCTGATTCCCTCCCCAGTGCCTGCCTTCCACCCATCAAAGTGGCACTGCAGCCACTCTTGCTTCTGCCATCCTGACTTCTGCACAGCTATATCTAAGGATACTCCTTGGTTTTTATGTTTTTCAAAGCTCTGCAGCATCTTTCACTTCTGGACACTCTTCAGAGTGTTTTCTTTTCTTGTTTTCTCTGGCATCATCTTATTTTTGTTCAAGCAATAAAGTTGGTTTTTCTTCCTCAATTTCCCTTTCTTCCCTCCCTCTGCTAAGGACATTTAAAATGCATGAACCGACCCTTATTTGTACCAAATTTGCTAACCACTAATTTAATCAACAGGACACTTAACAGAGGGAGGGAAGGAAGTGGCCAAAATCAGATTTACTAAGAAACGATCTGGTCAAATTATGTCTAAGGACACTTAGCAGAGGGAGGGAAGGAAGGGAAGTTGAGAAAAAACTGAGAGAGTAGAGTATAACCTTCTTCTCCTAACCACTTCCCATGTGGATGTTGACTTTGACAATATGAGTTACTTTGGCCAATGGAAAGTCAGCATCTTGAAACAAGTGGCAGCCTTAAATGCAGCAGCTTGGCTTGGCATCTCAGGCTTCTGTGACCCACCATAGTAAGAACATACATATTCCAAGTAGTAGGTGGCTGAGGACAGTGAGGAAACACATGGAGCAGACTTGAGTCTAACCTGCAGCCTGGAGCCAGGCCCAGATGATCTTAGCTGAGTTCAGCAGAGGAATAGCAGACTTGCAGACCCATGAATGATAAATCAAACAAATACTATTATAAATCAATGGAAAGGTACAGATTCAACTCCACTACTTATCATGAAACTTTAATATAGGCAAGTTATTTATCCTCTGTAAGTCTTAGTGTTTTCATCCGTAAAGCTGGAAAATGAATAGTTTGCTTTACTTTTACTTGATTTGTAGAGAAAATTAAATGAAGTAATATATGTGAAGTGCTTAGCACAATGGCATAGTATGAGCCCAATTAATGCTAATTTAAGCAAAGAATGTTTTCCTTATTTCCAGACTCAAATATGACGCTAGAAAGCTGCTCTGGGAGGGCACTTCGAGAGCTCAAAATCAACAGGTGTCATAATGAACTCATTACATTTCCTCCTCCTCTGATATCTAACATTGTAAATGACAGCCTTTTTTACACAGCTCACAAACGAGCAACTTAGGGGTCCTCCCTACCTTTCTCCTTACCACTTTTCTCTGATTTTCAATCAAGTTTTTTTTTATTTTATCTCCTGTATATGTTATCTGTTCATCACCTTTCCTTCATCATTACAGCCACCATCTAAATCACTTATTTTACTGCATCAATACCTATTTTAGTTAAGGTAAGGCTAAACACTGTAAGAGGTAAAATCCTCAATCCAGTCATTACATAATCAGTTTGCTTCTCACTCATAAGAAATCTTAGTTGTGAGTTCCTGATTAGTGAGTGATTTCGGACCTAAGCTCTTTCCATCACATGATGTCACTATTTTCAATACATGGCTTCTTCCATAGTCGCTGTATTCACATTAAGCCGGTGGAGAGGGAAAGAACATGGATGGTTGTATGTGGAAGGCTTTATGGTTAAGAGTTGGAAGTGGTGCTCATAGCTTCCACTCATATTACATTGAGGATAAATCTATCATATGATCACATCTAACTTTAAGGGAGGCTGGAAAAGGCAATCTGACTGTATGCCAAAGAAAAAGAGGTAATAGGTATGATGAACAACTAGCCATACATTAACCCAGTTCCCTCAGTGGCCTCCATGCTTCCAGCCTAGTCCTTTTGCAATTCAGTTCCTACAAGAAGCCAGAGTTTTGTTTGTTTGTTAAACATAAATTGGATCATCTCACTCTTATGTTTAAAATTTCCAATGTCTTTCAGTAGGGCATTGACTAAAACCCAAACTCCTTACCTTGACTTCATAATCTTGCCCCTGCTTTACCTTGCTGAACTTGTCTCATTCCAATCTCTTCATCATGCACTATGGTTTACTCACATTGATTTTCTTTCTGTTCCTTGATCTTCTGAAACAAACTCTTCCCCTATGATCTTTATACCAGCTCTTCTTTCCTTCTAGAACACTCTTCCATAATCTTCACATAGCTGGTATCTTCCTCCCACTAAGACTTCATTTTAAATGACACCTCTTCAGAAAAGCCCTCCCTGACAACCCAGTCGAAAATAATCACCCAGTCACTTTCTACCACATCGATGTATTTTAACATTCTACATAAAACTTATGAGAATTTGGTAGGTTTCTTTCTGTCAGGCTATTTATTTTTTATTTGTCTGTCTATCATCTATCTATCACGTCTATTTACCTATCTATTTATGACTCCACATGCAGACAGAGATCCTTGAGTGTTTTATTCCCCACTGAACTCTATTACCTAGAATACTAGCCCTGTTTGGCACAGGGCTACTTGAGTAAAGTTTGACTCACTAATAAAGTTTGCTGAACTTTCTGTGCACTAAGGTGGGAACACTTTCATCCCACCAACCAACTCTACTGAGCTGAAAAAGACAAGACAAGTTTGTTTCTTACTTAGCATTACAAAAGATACCTGTGGTTGAAAGTCAGGTTTACTAAGAAACAAACTGGTCAAATTATGCCTAAAGAACTGCTTAGCTGACCAATTTACTTGTAAGCTTTTCTCTTTCCACTGAGCCTAAGACTCTGAATGTAATGTCTGATGGTAGACAATACATTTTTTCTCACTTAGGCAGGAACCTGTGTTTTTTGTTTGAAGGAAATTTTATATTTATGTGTAGTAAACCACTTAATTTTTCAGCCTGGAACAAATATCCTCTTTAATTTAATGAATTGAATTGTTCTTCTTGTTTACATTGATAAATCTCAGTTCAAAGAGAGAACAAGTGTATTACATGGCATTTAAAATTAAAAATTAAAAAGAGTTTTACAAGGAAAGCCAAATTATTGGTACTTAAAACAATGAAAGACATTTATTAACATTTGATAAGTGTTTCAGTACAATTTTAGTTTGCAAATGTGGAATGAAGACTTCTATTTTATTTCCTTCCAATAGAATGTTTGTAGTAATAAAATCATAGCAGTTAATAGTTGCTGAGAACTTTTGATATGCCAGTCACTATCCATGCTTACTTTACAAGAACTGTGTGAACTTAGGCAAGTGAGGCCTAAAGAGGTCAAATTACTTTCCCCAAATCAGAAAGCTATCAAAGGTAATCGCCGTACACAGTGCAAATGCAATTTACAAATCACAGTGTAATCTCTATGTCCTGGACTACAAGAAACTGCAGTCAACAGGTTCGTCTATCAACAGGCATTCTGTCTTAAGTTTGAATATCATCATTTTCATAAGGCATACTTTTAAGTTCAGTCTGTAATAATCATCCAGTTCTCCTGGATGATGTAAGGCATAGCAGATTCTGGCAAATCTACCCAGAATTACCTTCATGGCCAGCAATTCAATACTTGCAATAAGAACTACCAATAACATTAGTTTCTGCCTGTGGAAGACACCACAGAAAACGCCAAGTACAACTAGCTTGGGGGAAACTTGAACTCTTAAACAGATCACCAATGTAGCATCCATGTCAGACGTGTTATCCAAAAGGAGCTGCCAAACCTGCTTGTGGAATTTCTGTGGATGACTATGCTTGCTTCCCTCTCTGACTTTGCCACTTCATCAATCCCTCAGCCCATTCCCGCTTGAGTACAATCGAATATTAGAAATGATGCACATTAGAAGTTAAGAAATCAACATGTTTCAGAACTTCAGATTTTGAAAGACTTTTAAAAATAGTAATCTGGTTTAAGATTTTTCTTTTGACAATGAATCAAATCATTTCAGAGAGATTTGCCATTAGGAGCAGTCAGGACTAGGACTCCAGGCCTCTTGCTCCTGGATTCACATTCCTTTTGCTATACCACTCTTCCTCACCTTGCTACTTCTGGTTGTCCATAATTCTTTAGAGTTCCCTGGACCTTTAGAATCTACATGATTCCCGAAGTTAGAATCCCCACCCACTCCCATTACAACACCAATATTTACCTATTCTGTTTCCTTTATTCTCAGTGTTCTTTTTCTGTTCGTTTAGATATTAGAAAATTGCATAAATTAATTCTAATGCCTATATTAATGGAGGCTACAGATTGAAATACTTCTTTCCCTTTCTAGCTAAAGTTTTGTTTATTTAAAAACACACCATTGCAATTACTAAGATTTCAGGTAACATAGCAGACCAAGAAGAAAGACATTATGGGCAGGCATTTTTCAGAGCCCCTCACATCATTTGAGGGAGAGCCCAGCTTCACATAAAAGACACAGAAGCGGAGATGCAGTGGTAACATAGCAGCCAGAACAAGTTAAATAACATGGATATAAATATTTTAACTAGGGCTAGACATCACTCCCTGTGTTTTAATATTGTATCTCTCCTTTAATCACAAACTCTTCCTTGTTTAGTTTTCTGGTTCAAGAAAAAGCAGATTTCAAGAGGGGCCCTTTTAGCTTTTAACAGGAAGGACATTTTCTACAGTTATTTTCTCAAATGTAGCAGTTCGTTCAATTTCCTTATTGGATTTCTAAGCCTGAAACTTATTATTGCCTTTTGCCTACTAATGGCAAATGTATGTACTTAATTCTAAAATTCTCATCTTCTCTTTTGATTCTATTATTACTCCTAACCTACGAGTTACTTTTTTGATGTTTTAAATCAATGTAAATAAAATCAGTGATGATTTTCAAAAATTATAAAAAATATTCAAAGAAAAATAACTAGAAATGTAATCTCATCTTGAGACAGACTCAGCTATGTATGGATCAAACATATTCTGTATTGACATAAACCCCACAGTAGGTTTCCAAACAAATTTGTTAAAGGTTACATTAAATTATCCTAATAAAAATGTTCAATTTTGCTAGAAAAAAATGCATGCCATAGTAACATGAAAAATATGAAAAGTAAATAACTGTCAATTGTGGAATTAAATTAAAAAATTAAAAAGTCTCTTTTACTCTAAAGCAATATGCTCAGTGATTGAGATCATCAATAAATTAGGTCTGAAGACAATTTTACATATTCTATAGCCTTTTTTGTCCATTAAGCTCAGGAATTACCAAAATTAATTAATGCCAAAACTTGAGAAGAAAAGTATATTGAGTATGCATGTATTAGTATGTTTGTATGCATCTTCTGGGTAAGTCATCTTTTTTCAAAATAAAATAAAATAAGATAAATGTTTAGTAATATCCAAATCTTTTGGTGGAAAGACTGAAAGCCTTCAGGTGTTTACTAATTTCTCTCAACCTTACGGCTATTGTCTAGCAATACTAACTAGGGATAAAATGAAAAACACAAGGGTAGAACTAGTGGTAACTTTGGTTAATCTTAAAACATGAAAAAACTGTAACAGATGAGTCTCTGCCCTATATACAAAGAATAAAGAATCCAGCCTCCCTCTGCTTGCCTGAAGGGGCCTCCCCATGTCCCTTCTTTGAAACTCTGTATTTCTATGGCTTGTATGCCTGTCACTGCACTGATTTCTTATTTTGCTCCAATCTAATCCATCCTTTTTTAGAGCCTTTTACTGTTTCCTTTCTCATTCTTCTGCTTAGATGATAGTGTTGTCGAGGGTTCTATTGTTGCTTCTCTTCTCATTTTACTCTACATGCCACTGAAAATCTACTGCCACCTATCAGCACCTCCTACTTGAGTTCTCTATTTAGAATTTTAACCAATAACTTCACCTTCCATAACCCCAGCTGGAGCTCATGAACTTTCCCCCAAATCTGCTCTTACCCACCTACACTGAATTTTATATAAATGGCACCAACATTCGCCCAGTCCTGCAAGCTAGAAATGTGGTTTTCATGTGTTCTGACTTCACACTTACACTAACTCATCATGTACAGTTATACATTAAATGCCACTGATTCTCCATCATAGCTCATCCATTTAAACTTTCCTCTTCTTTCCTGCAGCCACAATGTTAGCTCTGATCCTGACCATCTCTTGCTTGAACTAGTAATTCAGTCTACTAACTGGTCCATCCTCCTTCTAGACCCTCCAAACCTCTCGTCCTGCCTAGGCAATCCTTCATGTACATTACCACTGATCTTCATAAACCACACATTCAACCAAGATTAAACTCTTCAGTCTTCCTATTGCCTTCAGAGATTTCCAAAAGAAATTTCTCACCATATCTACACCTGGAAACTCTGTCAAACTGCTAGTCAGTCTTCAAGAACTAGATCAAATGTTTACTTCTTTGTGAGATCCTTCATGACCTACTGATGCAGGGTTAATCACCCCTTCTGGTAACAGTATTGCACGTAGTGCATATCTCTTTTTTATATTTACCACACTGGTATGATTATGTGTTTACATGACTGTACTGCCTCTGGATTGTCAACTCTTCAAGGCTCTGGTTGTAACTATTTATCTCTGTGGTTAGGGACCTTAAGTTTTCTGCAGAAAAAATATACCAATTCCCTCTGGGAACATGAGAGACTAATAGGATTTGTTTAATTTGGAACATAATCCAGCAACAGTTTAGAGCATAAAGTGGAAGAATGAGTGGAAAATAGGGACAAGGAAACAAGTAGGAAATAAGCTGCTGCAGTACAAACACAGAAGAATGACAAAGTCCTGGATAAAGACAGAGCTGGGGGTCTGCCGAAAGGGCATTGCTGAATTTTGGAGAAAACTATTTGCCTATTCATAGGATTTAAATTCTGACATTCAAAGAAAATTTTTAAAATTTTGTTTAATAATATTTGTATGCAATTTGGAGAATAAATATATTCATTGTGTTTCCCCTCCCCTAAATATCGTTTTGCATCATTGGGAGGTGAAACAGATGCTCAGGAAGCATGACTGTTACTTGTAGTTTAAAAAATGACGTATTTCTTGGTTTTAAAAAAGAAGACTAGTAGTATAGTATGATCTATAAAACTGTATTGCCAACTTGGAAATAAATGTCTCTATGATAAAGGTAAGAAATATTCTTTTTGAAATATTCATATAATTGGATATGCTTTGTGTGTATAAGGGGCTTCACAAGTGTTCTTTTTATAAGCTTCTGAAAGACCAGAGGCTCTCTCTCTCTACTAATCCTATCATCTGATTAGAATGCAGATATTTTGGAGAAATTTATTTTTTGGTTATTTATGTTGACCTATATTTTATGCCTAAATTTTCAACAATTAAGCTTCTGAGAACCCAGTGTCTATAGATCTAACAATTTTTATGACATTTATAAACAAAAAAATTATCTTACTAGTTTCTCCATTTTTCATGTTTTCATATTTTAAATAATTTTTAATTAAAATAACACTTTAACATGTTTTAGCCCTAATTTCTGCTTAGGTTATCTGTCACACAGAATTTGATAATTATTTCTTTTTAAAATATGTATTCCACAATAGTGAGACTATTCAATATTCAAGGTATATTCTTGTAGTACACTCAGAATCTATTCTCATCAAAATTATGTATTTCTGAATAATAGTACAAAATTTGCTATTTTTATTTTTTATAATATCATAATGCAGAAAACAGAAACAAGAAAGTGGAAACCATACATGCAATTGCAACATCTTTCAGGAGAACATAAATTAAGTAGTAAAACTCTTTCTCTATCTCCTCTCTCTTTCTTACCTTTTAAATTAAAAGTTTGATGTTTCTCATTCCACATTTTTCCAGTGGTTATAATAATATGCATCTATACAAATATCTGTATATATAGCATAGCTTTTTGTTATAAAAATGAAGTCATATTGTATATACTATTTTGCAAACTTAAAAAATATTGTCAGTGTATCATTGTGAGGTTTCCAATTCAGTATATCATACATAAAAAGTAACTCCTTTAATTTTTAAAATTGAGGTATAATTTACCTACAGTGAAAGGGATACATCTTGAGTGTACAGTTCAATGAATTTCAACAAATGTATAGATGAGTGTAAGCAGGTACTCTTTTCAAGATTTAGAACCTTTCCATTCATTAGCTGATATTTTAAAGGTATACCACAGAATTGACAGTCATCAGTTACCCTCTGTAAGAATTATTTAAGAATTACAAGCTGAGAACCCTGGATCCTCTAGAAAGAAAGTTGCATCAAATTCTTCCTCAGAAATTTGAAAGTAAAAGGATGGAATTTCCAGACAACAAATAACGCAACAACCCTTGTATCATTAAAACTTACATTCAAGAAAATAAATTAGGAAAAACAGTAGCGCTTTGATTTTAAAAAAAATCTTCAGAGAACAGCAATTCTGCAGCAACATTATTACTCTGAACATTTTAGTTACTTCAGTATTAATGATCTATATTTTTTTCCTCTCACCTGGTACTGATATTGTTCATTTGCTAACACATATTTGAAGGAAAAAAAAACACCTATAGCCTTTAATGAACTAATTATCACATGCAACTTCCACGTACATCATGATAGTATGAATAATACAATAGTGTCCCCTCATTCGTGGGGAATGTGTTCCAAAACTCCCAGTGGATGTCTGAAACTACAGAAAGTACCATAAACACAGCCTACATGTGATGACATTTAATTTATAAATTAGAGACATAAGAGATTAACAGCAATAACTAATAATAAAATAGAACAATATAACTGTAAGAGGAGTTATGTGAGTGGTATCTCTCCTTCTTAAAACACCTTATTGTACTGTACTTATCCTTCTTATGATGATGCGAGATGATAAAATGCCTACATGATAAGTGAAGTGAGGTGAATGACATAGGCATTGTGAGGTAGTGTTAAGCTACTAATGACCTTCTGACAATACTCAGAAGGAGGATCACCTGCTTTCAGGGTTCCTGGATCATCAAGCCATGATGATGTCTATGGTGTGATATTAGGAGCAGATGATATTGATGACTGATGGGTAAGTAGCATATATAGCACAGCTACGCTGGACATAGAAATAATTTATGTCTCTGGCAGGACAAAGTGGAACAACAAAAGATTTAATCACACAAATCAGGATGGCACACAATATAAAAACTACGAATTGTTTATTTCTAGAATTTTCCATTTAGTATTTTTGGAGAGCAGCTGACCACACTTAACTGAAACCTCAGAAAGTGAAACCTTGGATGAGGGGGGAGCTATTGTACAACATAAGTAAACGTGATAAATGTAAATTAATCAGAGAGCAATTAATCTGGGCTCATTAATGATAATTTTTCAAAATAACATTGGCTTACAGAAAGGTATGTTTTTCATTTAATTTTAGCTTTTTATTGGAATGAAACACTAATATTTTCATGGCATTGTTATGCTTTTAATAATGGCATTAATAACTCATATGAGTTTTATAATTCACAGGTTGCTTTCATATACAAGATCTCAAGTAAGCATGAAAACACACATATGAGGTAAACGTGCTACGTAGACATTGACAATGCTGCTCACACATTCTGTTTTAAGAGAAAGTCCAAATTTCCTTCTATAGGATCCCCATAGGCAGCCATATTTAATATCACATTACCCTGTGTCTTTCAGCATCAGCTAATCGGGCAAAAGGTGAACACTGATTCAAGGGTGGTAAGTTTATAGAGTATCAAGTACTATATGATGTAGCCTGGCACAAAAGTTAAGCTGGGACCAATAGACTTTCTGTTTTAAAAAATGTGAATTGAGAAAGAGTAATAATCAAGCAGTTAATAGTGGCAGGTAAAGACGAAAGGGTGTTTACAGAGGTGAGCCATGAGGGCAATCAGGGTCATCAGGTGTGATGACAAATCAAAGTTATAAGGGAACAGAGGGAAACAGAAATGCCAGGAAAGAGAAACCTTTGGCCCATGAGAGGGAGAAGGATAGGTAGTGCCCAGAGCTGAGTGCCCCAGTTTTCCGCAGCTAATTTTAGGTAACTTGGTTAAGTCTCCGTTTATTGCAACCAAAAACGACCAATCAAAATAAAAGGTAATCTTTTTTTTTTTTTTTTTTTTTTTTTTTTGAGATGGAGTCTCGCTCTGTCGCCCAGGCCAGACTGCGGACTGCAGTGGCGCAATCTCGGCTCACTGCAAGCTCTGCCTCCCGAGTTCACGCCATTCTCCTGCCTCAGCCTCCCGAGTAGCTGGGACTACAGGCGCCCACCACCGCGCCCGGCTAATTTTTTGTATTTTTAGTAGAGACGGGGTTTCACCTTGTTAGCCAGGATGGTCTCGATCTCCTGACCTCATGATCCACCCGCCTCGGCCTCCCAAAGTGAATAAAAGGTAATCTTATCCCTACTTTGTAAATCGAATAACAGAAATTCAAAAGAATGGAAATCACCTATCTACTATCAGATGGTCATAAAGTGTTTTAGTTGGTAATGGAAGACAAACCTCTTAAAGTCACATCAATGGTGTGTTCACAGATGTTTTCTTAAATCTAAAAAGTTGTCAGAATTATTAGGAGAGTTTTACAGCATGCCAATTTCCAGGCCCTGAATGGTATCTACGGATTAATAGTCTTCAGGGATATGACCATGGCTTAATTTCAGAATTTTAAATGAGTTCCCTGATATTATTCTGATGATCATTCAGATTGAGAGCTAAAATGTCTACTTTTAAAATAACTTAAAACTTTCCAAATTTGTCTCTTTGTAAAATTAGCTTAAGTCCTATTTTTGAATAAAATATATATATACTGAGAAAGAAAAAAATGTTTGATTTAACATTATTGAACAAGAACTATAAAAATGAAGAAACCTGGATGTTGTTAACTATTGATTCCTTATAAGGAAAAGAAATTAGAATTTATTGGTCACATTTCCAATATTTGAGCATTAGAAAGAAGTCCACCATAGTCTAGTCATACAGATGTGGCTTGCTAGATACTAGAAATTTACTCGTTAATTAACTTAAATAGTGGGAATGCAGGCAAAACATAAAACTCTGAGTTCACAATTGGTTGAATATTTTAAGCAAGGTAATGCTTTCAAGCTTTCAATTTTAATACCAGTCAGTATACAGAAACTAAAAATATAATCATGGTAAGCTCAAATGTAGGCACGTGTAACGCATTAGAGTCCATGGAATAAGGCCAAAAAACACTAACTTAAAGTATACTGCCTTGATTTGACATTTGGGGTTGCTTTTGAGCTCACCTCGGGCTCTCTGGGCTGCTGTGCCCCAATGCCGTGCTGTAGATTTCTATCATCTTTTTCTTAGTTTTGATACAACTCCCCCACTGTCATACATATAGGACAGTGGGGATGAAGTCAAGGCACACATTTGCCTACTTATCAACTAGGGTGAACTGAAGAAAGTACTTTTGGTTTTGCAAATATTTGGATGTCTGAGTATATGTGGCTACTACTGGGGAAATCCTACTCATAGATAGATGATATAGATATACAGATATAGACACAGATACAGATATAGGTATAGATACCGATATAGATATAGACCTTTCCCTAAGGGCATAGCAATGAGTGGCCTATGATGTATTGCCTAAGAAAAATAAGGCTAACTAATAAAGAGGCCACCGATCTTCAAGTGAGGAACACCTAGCAAAATTGCCTTTGGAGGCTCTAAAATCTATCCCACCAGCCACTGGATGTGTGTGATGATTAATTTTATATCAACTTGACATAGAGTGCTCAGATAAAACATTATTTCTGGGTGTGCTGTGAGTGTTTCCCAATTAGATTAGTATTTAAATTTATGGGCGCAGTAAAATAGATTGCTCTCACTCATGTTGAGTACACATCATCAATCCATTGAAGGCCTGAATAGAACAAAAAGGTGGAAAAAGAAGGAACTCACCCCTTTTTTCTTTCTGCCTTCCTAATTGAGCTGGAATGTCAGTCTTCTCCTGCCATTGGTCAAGGATTTATGCCACAGGCTGCTCTGGTTCTCAGGCATTCAGACCTGGACTGGAATTACATCACTGCTTTCTTGGGTCTCCAACTTCCAGAAAGCAGATCTTGGGACTTCTCAGCCTCCATAATCATGTGAGCT
Organism: Homo sapiens; assembly: GCF_000001405.40. Classification (NCBI taxonomy): domain Eukaryota; kingdom Metazoa; phylum Chordata; class Mammalia; order Primates; family Hominidae; genus Homo; species Homo sapiens. The sequence goes on from NC_000002.12 coordinate 182,297,079, forward strand.
ATTCCTTATAATAAATCTCTTCCTAAATATATCCTCTTGGTTCTGTTCTTTGGAGAACACTGACTAATATGATATATTATGATCTATATTCTGCCATTGGATTGGTTAACTATAAAGTAATTTTTGGCAGTTACAGGGTTATAAAAACTGTTACTTATTACACAAAGCTTCCACTGTCTTTTCTTGGTTTTGATCTTTCCCATTAGTGAAAAAAAAAAATCCTACTAACCCTCTTTTCCTCTTCCTCCTCCCACCCATTTGCTTATTAAACTCTATTTCCTGAGCCCAGTGGAGAAAAAAACAAGAGCTATTTTTTAATCTTTATCCTTGGGCTGGCCACAAAGAGGAGGTCTGATCATTAAATTGGATTGGGGCTCATTTTTATAAAGCCACTTTTAAGTAAGTGAAAACTAGACAACGTTCCCTAAGGACAAATGTGAAAGTAACAGTCTAACGTAGGATTACCAAAAAAGTCAAAAAGCCTGTGCTCTTGTTTCCATTCTACTTCACATACACTAAGACGTTAGATGTCACTTATAAAAGATGCTATCAGTGCCTTGCCCATATCTGTTCAGCCTTTACCATTTCATTCCATGTCTCCTCTACTTCCAACATCCAGCAGCTAAATCTCTACCTGAGAACTTTCCCTGTATAACAGAGCCCACTCTGCCTATGCATGTGCCTATGCTTCCAGAATCACACCTTGATTGGTATATGAATACCCTACCCTCTCACTCCATTTATGGTATAACTCTGAGGTGTGTGTTCCATACTGTTTCCTAGAGTTCCCCAGCAAGCTCCAGCTGACCAGTGGTAACTTGCTAAAGAACACATTATTTCCTCTATTACTTCCCCCTTCCTTACCAATGATCCTGACCAGCAGCTGGTCTGCTTGGAGGAATCATATGCAAAGACATTATTGTCTTATATTAAGTAGCAGATACTCAGGGTATGTTAGCAGAATTGGGTAACTTGTTAGACATATGGCAACAAGAATTCCATTTCTGGCTGTAATTGCAGTGGTGATAATCCCTGGTGTACTACAGCACCACAATTGTTAACTCATCTGTGAAGAATTGGGATAAAATACAAATGGAAGAAGATACTTACACATAGCATCTGAGAGCTGTAAAGGCAATGGTAATTATAGGACCTATGAAATTGGGCGGCTGTTGATAAGTGCCATTGCAGCGCTTAAAGCAAGAAAATGACAGTATCAGTTGAGCTCACTGTAAACTCAGGGCAAGGTGCAAAGACCAAAAAGTCTCTGTGGCTGTATTTAAACACACCTGTCTTCTCCAGCTGGAGTAATATGTTGCCTTATTGTGAGAAAGGCTAAAACAGAACCAGTAAGTCCTATATGGTGAAGTAAGGCCCTGAGAAGAAAGAATATGACCATGATATGTGGGATGGGGACAATGCGGGTGGATGCATTTGGTAAAACTGAGTCCTCCAATTTCTTAGAACCCCAACAGAAGTGCCTCACCCCGAGTTGTTAGAGGATAGCAGCCTTTCTTTTACTGGAGACTATACAAAGACCTCACCTGAAGCAGATGGCTCACAAGCTAATCTTGCCCCACTTTACCTCATTACTTCCAGAAAAATAATTAGGGTTAAGTCTCAGCATGACCCAGCTGGAGAAACAGTCCCTTCTATAGGAGGAAGGTGATTATTAACCTAATTAACCACAGGATATCAATATTATATATTAGCAAAAACCGAGAGAATATGCCTGAGAAGAAGTCTTGAGGACTCTAGACTTTAAGCGCTGAAATATAAGTAATGGAATATAAGGTTGAATATATACAAATACACACACACATTTAAAAACAGATCAAGATCAGGGGAGCTGAAAAAGCTAGTATTTGACTACAACGGAAATTTACAATCTCTCAGCCAGTGTTCCAAGCAGAAACAGTAGTAGATTCAAAACCTATTAACTAGGAAAGCTAGGTCCCCTTGTAGAAGAATCCTGCAACACCATAGCAAATGTGTAGAGTATCAATTCCCCAATATTTTCGCCGAAATACCAGGGTCTCTGTACACTGGGGAAAAATACATATTTTAAGGTGTGTTGGATACCAAGAGACCCTGAATACCATCAAGGCCTGACTGTTATAGGGTATATAGATGCCAGGTAATAAATGGAGGCCTGGCCCAAGTCTGTCTCACAGTGGACATAATATGTCCACAAACTCATCTGGTGATTATTTCCCTAGTCCTTGAATATAGAATCTGGATTGATATACTTAGCAACCAGGAGAACCTTTCAGTTGGTTCCCTGATCTTTTCAGTAAGAGCCATTATGGTAGGAAAGACCGAGTACAAGTCCTTAATACCGCTTCCTCCTCTCTGGCCAGGGATGTAATTCAAATGCAATGTGGCATCCTAGATGAAATGGCAGAGATTAGTCCCACCACCAATGACTTAAAGGTCCAGGATGGTCATCTCCATCATATTCCCAATTAACTCACCATTCTGGACCTGCAAAAACAGCCTAGAACATGGCACATGGCAGTCAAATACTACAAATTTAATGAAACAACAGCTCCGTTTACAGTTTCTGTGCTAGATGTGTTATCTGTTCTACAGCAGAGTAAGAAAGCCTCTGATATACAGTATACAACTGCTGAAATGATAAATTTTTTTCCATACTCATCAGAAAGAAGGATCAGAAGCAGTTCAGATTCACATGATTGCATAACAATGTGTTCTTGATTATACACCAAGATTGCTAACTTTCTTGCTGTCTAACACAATATAGTCTGAAGGGACCTTGATCATTTCGACATCCTTCAGAAAGTCACACCGGTGCATTGTATTGACGACAGCATGCTATTTAAACTTGAGCAGCAGCTAGCAATAAGGACAACCACACTGTGACATATCTCAGACAGATAGTGGGAGATAAATCTTCCTAATTCAGGGGTGTATCACATTGGTGAAGTTTGTAGTAGTCCAGTTGTCTGGGACATGCTGTCCTATATGCCCCAAGGTAAAGAACAAGTTATTGTACTTTGCAAATCCAGCACTAAGAAAGAAACATGACCCTTAACATGGCCTCTTCAGATTTTCAAGTCAGTTCTGCCCCATTTTGGACTATTCACTGATCTGTTCATCAGGTGAGCTGGATGTTAAACAGATAAAGCCTAATATAACAAATATACTGAGAAAATATAAATAAGCTTCAGGAATAGGTAGACTAGCTTCCATGTTTCACTGACACGTTTTTCATACCTATGGCTTCATGGGAAGTTCCATATAACTGGCTGATGGAGCTAGAGTAAAACCTGGACTTGGTTCATTGATAGGCCATTGCGATCAATTGTTGGGAGTTCAAAGCTCTGTACTAGATCCTCACTCTGTGATATCCCTGAAAGACAATAGTATGGACAAGCCTTCCCATTGGGCAGAGTTTTGAGCAGTGTATCTAGCCATCAATTGTGCAGGGGCAGAACATATATTTAAGAGAAGGATATATATGGACTACTGAGCAGTTACAAATGACTTGAATGTTTAGTAAGTGGCTTTGGAAAAAGCAAGATTGGAAGACTAAAGATAACAATGTCTAGAGAAGAAATAGTGGAAATAATTATAGAAGTAGGCACAAAGTATGTATATCTTGGCCTCTTGTATAAATGTCCTCTGAATTAGATGCACTGAACAAACAAATGGATAGAATTACACGTCTAGTAGGACAAGTTGTTTTTGTTTTTCTTGGCTATTACACTTGTTGTGTAATGGCCCATGAAATGAATAATTACTGTGACATGAATGTACGCTATGCATGGGCTCTCTCTTGCAAAGTTGTTCAAGCTACTTCCTCCGTCAAATGACTGATTTCTCATAATCAGAGACGAACTTGCAAGTTGGTTGCAAGTTGATAATATCTGACATTTTCCTACCTGGAAAGAGCAGTAATTTTTCATTATTGGGATCAATAAATATTTTAGATATGGGTTTAGCTTTTCTAAGTGTCTCATCTAGCAATATTATCCAAGGACTTGGAAAATGGGAGATTTATCCTCACAAGATGGTATATGATATCTCCTTGAACTAAAGAACCCATATTACAGCAAAGGAAAGATGACAAAATGTAAATGACTGAAATATCACTCATTTTACAATATATTGCATTACCCCAAATCTGCTGGCCTGACAGAATGTTGGATTTGTTTCTTAAAGGCACAAGTAAACAAACCAGTCTGTGGATGGCACTGTTACTCTGTGAGATTTGGATATTATCCTTTAAATGCCAGTGGCTACTATATGGTGTTGTGTCTCTAACAGGTGGAATACATGGCTCTGAGAACCAAAAAGTCAAACTATAAGTGCCCTTTTATTATCTCTCGAAGTGACCCAGTTGGGTGATGTGTGCTTCCCATGTTCCACTTTCAACTCAGCTGTAAAAGACACACTTGATTTCCAAGGTGTGGTAGTGGTGCAGGGGTGCTTTTACAAGGGAGGATAGAGTAAGGGTTCTACTAAACTATGGCTGCTACCTGATCATTTTGTTATCCTGATCCTGATATATTAGAAGGAAAATATAAAACAGTGAGTATGCTGACACAAATAAATCATAATCATAATGATGAGAAAGAAGTATTGATGCAAAATGATAATGAACAGTATGTCTTAGAATTCAGGGGACTCACTGAGGAGCTCTTGGTGCCCCCAAGCCTAGTGATAACCATGGACAAACAATTACAGTGACCTCTGTCTGAAAAGGTCATAGTAACCAGGGGCTCAAGCCCCTCAGGATGAAAGTCTTTGTTACCCATAGGACAAACCTACACCTACAGAACTACTGGCCAAGGATGAGAGGAATCTAGAATGAGTGATAGAGGAGGGGCATGATGATTATTAATTATAGTTTTAGGATTAATTGCAGCAGTAAGGACTACAAAATCTACCATTAAGTCTCCTGTACTAAGTTGTTGGGTTTTTAAAAGAAATTGTAATCTCTTGCCACCTAGAAGAATATGTAGCAGGAATGGGGTGAAGTTAATGGAGGCAACAGTGGATATTAATAGTGGTAGGCTGGATTTTAGCAAACACCCATAATAACTCAGCCCTTAACATTTCCATACATGCCAGCCCAACTTTCAACTGCAGTTCTTGCATCTCTTTATCTGACTTTTTTCTCTGGCTATTGAAGCCTCTTCTGCCCTTGCACATGGTAAGATAGATTGCAATAGAAATAATACCCCTACGAGAAACCCTCAATTATCGGCATGCCTCAGAGATACTGTGGGCTTAGTTCCAGACCACTGCAATAGCGCAAATGTGAGTCACACAAATTTTTTTGTTTCCCAGTACATATAAAAGTTATGTTTGTACTACACTGTAATCTCTTAAGTGTGCAACAACATTATGCATAAAAATGTATATAACTTAATTTAAAATACTTCATTACTAAAAAATGCTAACAATCTTCTGAGCCTTTCAGCAAGTTGTAATCTTTTTGCTGGTAAAGGGTTCTGCCTCTGTGTTGATGTCTGCTGACTAATCAGGGAGGTAGTTGCTGAAGGTTGAGGTAGCTGTGCCAGTTTCTTAAAAATAAGGCAACAATCAAGTTTGTCACACTGACTGACTATGTCTTTCATAAAAGATTTATCTGTAGCATGCAACCTTGTTTGATAGCATTTGACCCACAGTACTTCTTTCAAAATTGAAGTCAGTCCTCTCAAACCCTGCCACTGATTTACCAACTAAGTTTTTTTTTTCTTACCAACTAAGTTTTTGTAATATTCTAAATACTTTGTTGTTATTTCAACAATGTTCACAGCATCTTCACCAGGAGTAGATTCCATTTCAAGGAACCACTTTCTTTGCTCACGCATAAGAAGCAACTCTTCATCCACTTAAGTTTTAACATGAGATTGCAGCAATTCAGCTACATCTTCAGGCTCTACTTCTAATTCTAGTTCTCTTACTATTTCTACAACATCTGCAGTAACTTCCTTTACTGAAGTCTTGAACCCCTCAAAGTTATCCTTGAGGGTTGGAATCAATGTCTTCCAATTCCTGTTAATGTTTATGTTTTGACTGCCTTTCAGGAATCATAAATGTCATCTAGAATGGTGAATCTTTTCCAGATGCTTTCAATTTACTTTGCCCAGATCCAACAAAGGAATCACTATCTATGGCAGCTATAGCCTTACGAGATATATTTCTTAGATAATAAGACTTGAAAGTCAAAATTACTCCTTGATCCATGGGCTGCAGAATGGACGTTTTGTTAGCAGGCATGAAAATAATATTAATTGTATACATCTCCATTAGAGCTCTTGAGTGACTAGGTGCATTGTCAATGAGTAGTGACATTTGAAATGAAATCTTGTTTTCCAAGCAATGGGTCTCAACAGTGTGCTTACAGTATTTATAAACCATGCTGTAAACAGATATGCTGTCATCCAGGCTTGATCGTTCCATTTCTAGAGCACAGGCAGAATAGCTCTGTTATTTTATTCTTAAGGGGCCTGGGATTTTCAGAAGGGTAAATGAGCATTGGCTCTAAGTTAAAGTCACCAGCTGCATTAGCCCCTAATAGTAGAGTCAGCCTGTCCTTTGAGGCTTTGAGAAGTCAATGTCTGGCTTCAAAGCTTGGCATTGACTTCTCCTATTTAGCAATGAAAGTACTAGATGGCATCTTTTCCATTAGGCTGATTCATCTTCACTGAAAATCTGTTGTTTAAGGAAACTACCTCATCAATGATCTTACCTCTATCTTCTGGATAAACTGCTGCAGCTTTTACATTAGTATTTGCTGCTTCATCTTGCCCTTTTATGTTATAGAGATGGCTTCTTTTCTGTTTGTTTGTTTGTTTGTTTTTTTGTTGAGATGGAGTCTCGCTGTGTCGCCAGGCTGGAGTGCAGTGGCAAGATCTCTGCTCACTGCAACCTCCGCCTCCCAGGTTCAGGTGATTCTCCTGCCTCAGCCTCCCGAGTAGCTGGGACTACAGGTGTGTGCCACCATGACCAGCTAATTTTTGTATTTTTAGTAGAGACACGGTTTCACCACGTTGGCCCTTGACCTCGTGATCCTCCTGCCTCGGACTCCCAAAGTGCTGGATTATAGGCGTGAGCCACCATACCCGGCCGATGGCTTCTTTTCTTAATCCTCATAAACCAGCCTCTGCTAGCTTCAAAATTCTTCTTCTGCAGCTTTCTCACCTCTCTCTATCTTCATATAATTGAAGAGAGTCAAGGCCTTGCTCTGGATTAGGCTTTGGCTTAAGGGAATATTGTGACTGGTTTGATCTTCTATCCAGACAACTAAAACTTTCTCCGTATCAGTGATAAGGCTGTTTTGCTTTCTTATAATTCATGTTTTCACTAGAGTAGCACTGTTAATTTCCTTCAAGAACTTTTCCTTTGCATTCACAACTAGGCTAATTGTTTGGCATAAGAGACATAGTTTTTGTCCTGTCTTGGCTTTCAACTTGCCTTCCTCGTTAAACTTAATCATTTCTAGCTTATGATTTAAAGTAGGAGACATCTGACTTCCTTTTACTTGAACAGTTAGAGGTCATTCTAAGGTTAACTGTCCTAATTTCAATAATATTGTGTCTCAAAGAATAGGAAGGCCAAAGAGAGGGAGAAAGACACGGGAATGGCTGGTTGGTGGAGCAGCCAGAACACACACAACATTTATCAATTGAGTTGGCCATCTTATATGGCATGATTTAGTGGTGCCCCAAAACAATTATAATAGTAACATCAAAGGTCACTGATCACCATAACACACATGATAATAACAATATAGTTTGCAAGAATTACTAAAATATCACACAGAGACATGAAATAAGCATATGCTATTGGAAAAAATGGCACTGATAGACTTGCTTGATGCAGGCAGTGTTGCCATAAACCTCCAATAAAATTAGTATATAAAGACCCCAACTCCATTGTCCCTCAGATGAAATAACTCTAAGGAACATGCATTACATTTTTCCCCAGAGTCGCTCAGTAGGATTGAGTTTCAGTTGTCCACCAAGAAAACACATGAATTAATAACACTTGCCTAATAACACATTATTGGCTTTCTTCCTTCCTTGTCTCTCTTCTCCAATCTTCTATTAATGTTTGTTCGGATTACTTCCACTTTATAAACAAACTAAATTCAAATCTTTTTTTCAGAGTCTATTTTTGGGGAACTTCAAAATAAGATAGCAACTAATCTCCAGGTACCTCAACTTCCCCCGTTGTTAAGTAAGTTTTTCCTCTACATCATGAATAAGCCATTTTTTTTTTTCTTTAAAGGGCCAAATACAGGCCTTACAGGGCATACTTTCAGCTTTACCCTTACAGATAATACATAAATAGATGAGCCTGTGTTTCAATAAAACTTTATAAAAAGAGACTGCTGACCAGATTTAGCTCATGAACTATAGTTTGCTGATCCCTGCTCTAAATTAATTCCAAGTTTTTTCATGGTCTAAAATTCAGTACTGTATGCCTCTGAATTCGGACAACACTTTGGAAATCCTACAAATTGCAAGAGATTATCAGTAGCTCTATAAAGAGATTATAAAGTTTATAAAAATCAAACAATCTAAAATTGTTGCTAAGCATTAGAATTTCAAAATTTATTCTCTAATGATAAAAGTGATGTATTTATTACTGTTGTTGTTTTTATTATCTTAAAAGTAGATAATTATTTTTATTATATTGTAATTTGACAAATTATAATTGTATATATTTATGAGGTAAAAGTGATATTATGATATAGGTATACAAAGTGGAATGATTAAATCAAGCTAATTAACATATCCATCACCTCAAACATTTACTATTTTTTGTGATAAGAACATCTGAAATTTACTCTCTTAGCAATTTTAAAATATACAATACACTATTTTGAACTATAGTCATCATACTATGCAATAGAGTTCAAAAAATTTATTTCTCTTATTTAACTAAAACTTTGTATTCTCTTAACAATATCTCCTCATATCCTCCACCCCCAGCCTCTGGTAACCACCATTCTACTATCTGTTTCTTTGAGCTCAATTGTTTTAAATTCTATACATAAATGAGAACATGTAGTATTAGTTTTTCCTTGCCTGGCTTATTTTACTTAGCATAATGCTCTCCAGGTTCATCTATTTTGCCACAAATGACAGAATTTTCTTCCTTTTTAAGACTGTGTAGTATGCCACCATGTATACGTACAATATTGTACAGCATTGTAAGTCATGCTGCAGTGAACATGGGAGTGCAGATATCTCTTTGACATACTGATTTCAAATTCTTTGGATACATACACAGAAGTGGAATTGCTGGATTCTATTGTAATTCTATTTTTAGTTTTTGAGTAATCTCCATATAGTTTTTTGTTATCCCCATGTCATTTTTCACAGAAATAGGAAAAAATCCAAAAATTCATATGGAACCACACACACACACACACACACACAAAAGCAAGGCAATATTGAGCAAAAAGAACAAATCTGAAGACACCATACTACCTGATTCCAAACTATAATATAAATCTATAGTAATTAAAACAGCATGGGACTGGCATAAAAATAGACACATTTGCCAATGGAATAGAAGAAAGAACCAAGAAATGAACTCAAACATTTACAGTCAATTGATTTTTGATGAAAGTGCAAGAATACAATGGGAAGAAGAAAGTCTCTTCAATAAAAAGTATTGACAAACATGAAGAAAAAGAATGACATTGGATCCTTATCTCACTCTTTATAGAATAAACTCAAAATGGATTAAAGACTTAAATGTATGACCCGAAACTGTGAAACTACACTGAAAACACAGGGGTGACACTATACAACATGGGTCTGGGTATTGATTTTTTAGATATGACCCCAAAAGCTCATGCAACAAAAGCAAAAGTAGATAAACGGGATTACATCAAACTAAAAAGTTTCTGCACAGCAAAGCTACAATTAGCAGAGTGAAGAGAGAACCTACCAACTGGGAGAAATATTTACAAGCATATTATCTGTTAAGTGGTTAATATGTATAATATAAAAGGAAATTAAACAACTCAATAGCAAGAAAACAAATAACCTGATTAAAACATGGGCAAGGGGCCTGAATAGATATTTCTCAAAAGAAGACATACAAATTACCAACAGATATATGAAAAAATGCTCAACATTACTGCTATGGTTTGAATGTCTGTCTCCTCCCAAAGTCATTTTGAAATTTAATTATCATTATAACAGCATTAGAGGGTGGGACCTTTAAAAGGTGATTAAACCAGGAGAGCTCTGCCTTCATGAATGGATTAATGCTGTTCTCACAGGACTGTGTTTTTGTTGTGGGAGTGGGTTCCTTATAAAGGTGGAATGTGCTTTCACTGTCACCCTCTCTTGCCCTTCCACCATGTGATGATGCAGCAAGAGGTTCCTTGACCGATCCCAGCCTCTTGATTTTTGTCTTTTGAGCCTCCAAAGCTGTGAGTCAATGAATTTCTGTTCATTATAAATTACTCAGTCTGTGATATTCTGTTATAGCAGCACAAAACAGAGTAAGACAATCACTGGATCATTAGGAAAATGAAAGTTAAAACCAAAATGAGATATCGTCACAAGCCTGTCAGAATGGCTACTATAAAAACATGGAAACAGCTTGGGCAACATAGCAAGATCCCATCTCTACCAAAAAAAAATGCTTTGCTGGGAATCATGGCTTACACTTATAGTCCTAGCTACCTGGGAAACTGAGGTGGGGGGATGGCTTGAGACAGTGAGCTATGATTATGCCACTGAACTCTAGCATGAACAACAGATACAGACTGTCTAAAGACAAAAACAAAAACTAAAATTACAAAAGAGATGAAAGATGACAAGTTGTTGGTGAGGGTGTGGAGAAAAGAGAACCCTTGTACACTGCTGGTAGGACTGTAAATTAGTACAATCATTATGGAAAACTATATAGAGCTTCCTCAAGAAAACTAAATATAATCGTTTTTTAACAGTTAGCATTAAGACACTGACAGTTAAATGAAAATTGAATTTGAAAAATAATGTCCACTGGAGAAATTACTCTTTTTAATATGGCAGGCCTTGTTGACAACATTATTCTGCACAAGTTTAACAATTATAGCCTAAATCAGAACAAAATCACATCCAGCTTAGAGTGCTCAGGGAGAAATACCACACATAACATATATAATAACTAGGAAACATAAAAAGGTTGTTCTTTCAAGGATAATTCTATAATGAAATCAATTATGTAAGCAATATAAGAGAAATTGCTTTTATTTAACTCCAATAAAGATGGATGTGGTTTGTGCAAATCATCACTTTTAAATTGCTAAAAATATATTAAATATTGAAGTGCCAAATAAAATACATTGCTGTAAATCTCTTTTAAAGTCCGAAATGTAATTTAAAGTCATTGAGAAATTTATAAAGCAAATCTTGGTATAATAAGCAACTATAAATTAAGTAAATCCATATGTGGATCATGTTTTCTCCCCCTTCATTTTTAACCAGGCAGAATATTTTATAGGATAAAATAAAATAAAATGATCTAGAAATTAGTAAATTGTAATAAAATGTGATATTTGGTCAAGCATAGTTTTTTAAACTTTAAACAACAATGATGTAAAAATTTTTCACTTTCATCCAATTGTATGTTTTTATATCTTTTTTACAGATACAATGTGAGTTATAAAGTATGAAAGCCTTTGAAACAATCCAAATACTTTTTTATATTTAGTTGAAGGCAAAATATATATGCTTCTTTCCTTATAAAGTGCAGCGTGCAACCTATAAATCTCTAACATTGATTAAAATTCAGCTTAGTCAAAGCACACATACAAGCTGAGAATTCTGCTATGTTTATTTTTCCTTTTTAAATTGGAATCGTATTTATGCCCTTATCTTACCTATGTCCTTATTTCTACAACTTATCCTAAATGCCAGGTAAATATCTATTAGTAAGGTTATGAAATAGCATTAGTCTTGCTTTAAAAAAAAAAAAAGTGACAAAGAAGTTCACACAGGGAAAAAGCAGAGTTTGCAAATTAACCTAAGAAGAGCTTCATGAAATTCAGGTTTTCCTTTTACGTAAAAAGTTGGATATGATTTTTGTTTATTTAAGAGACTCAATTGCATTAATTCTGAAAGGAGACAAGACTTATTAACTATCCCTTTATTTTACAGAACCATGTTTTTTCCTTCTAAAGTTGTAAACTTAAGTAAAGAAAAATCAGTGTGTTGTGTTTATATTGAGACAATAAATTGTGACAAAATAGAAAATAACATTGAGCATACCATCCTTATAATTCTACAATCATGGGTAATCACATACACAAAAATATACTTTATTGCACTTACACCTAACCAAAACTTAAGGCATCTCCATTTCTGCCAATAAAATGTGGCACCTAGAAAATAAAAATAAAATAAAACAAAACAAATAAGTACCCAAAGTGTCAGAAGAAACTTAGAAGGCCAGCTTCCTACTGATGAAGTCACAGTTACCTTCTAAGAGTATAAAGCATTAACTGTACCCATGATCTCTAATCAAAAAATATCAAAGATGAGAAAGTCTATTCAATTTGAATATTAAATCAGTAATTTCAGTCAAAATCACATGTGCAATTGTTTGAAGGGCGAGAAGAATGAATCAATGAAGAAAACCTTATTTTTCAGATATATGCAGTCAGGTAAAATATGCATGAAATACAACTGATGGAAAATATCAAAACCATAATTTTAAGAATGTTTCTGACACAAAGACATGGAGAAGTGAAAAAACTGCATGTGATTGATGTGAATAGCTCAAGTATGGTGGAAAAGTTGCCTTGGAACTCAATAAAATAGTTAAAATAGGAATCAAAGGCACCAAGAAGGTAATTTAAAAAGAGAGAGGAGAGAATGCCAATGCAATAAAAAACATCAAATTGGTTTTAGAAGTGACTAGTTGGCAGACAGCCCTAAGGGAAGAGACAGAGTTATCAGAGTAATTGAGGCAAGACACAAGGAACATACTAAAGATAAGCAGAAAATATAGATGAGGCAAAAATGAAATCTGCAGAAAGAAGAGACAAAACCAGGGCTTAATTTCATCTTTGAAATAAGAGTCTATCATTCACTTCAACATTGCACACATTATTGTTATTTTTATTAGCACAGATGGTACCATTATATGCTTAGCTATAACATAGCAGGAATCCAAAGAAGTGTTCTAAGAAATCCTGTGGTTTCCTTTCCTTTATAGTTAATAACTTATTAATATCTTCTCTTTAGAGGAGAACAAGATAGGCAAAGGAAATAACTATTCCTTCAGGGGGCTATGGAGGAAATAGCAAAGGTCAAAAGTTATGGAAAAACTTTGAACGTTGAAGGGAAATCATTGAAAAAGAAAGAAATGCTTTGCAATTGTAGCAACTTTTTTTTCAGATTAATACAATATGTGTCATATACTCATTTAGGGCTTTATAAACCTTGAGAGATAGTTTGACTATATTACACTATTCCATCCTCAGTATATCTTTGAGTGGTAGGCAAATATTATCCTAGTAAACGAGATGTATTTAACGCAAATTTATTCCCCCAAAGACAATATAATTGGCATTTAATGTCCTCCTTTAATTTCTGCCACATTCTCTTACAAATTTTACCAGCTTCCTAAAGCCAAACTGAACTCCTCACTGCTCCATGGCTGCACATCTCACTTTCACGTTGCCATACCTGTGGCAGAGACATTGTTATGTGCTCATCAAACTCATTTCCTTCTTCTAGGAACCCAGCTCAAACTATATCTCCCAGTGCTTTTTGCAGATAAACAAGGCCATGTGACCATGTTCTGGCCAATAGAGTGCAGGCAGAAATGATATACTCAACTTTTATGCCTGTCCTCCAAAATCTCCCACTCGATCTGCCACATAAGCGCTCTGCTTCCATATCTTTCTTCCCCTGTCTCCAGGCCAGATACAGAAGACACAGTGGAGGATGCCAAGACCTACACTCTCTAGGTTTGAGATCCTGCCTCATCCGTGGGAAGAATGCCTCCTGAATATTGAAGTGAACTGCCATGTGGGCAAGAAATATAACATTCCTCTGTTAAGCCACCAAAATGTTGGATTATTGAATAGCAGTAAGTTTTTCCTAACTCATATTATAACTTCACTCTTCTGCTTTTCATCTATTTAGATAGAAACTCTCTAACCAAGTGAACCTACTCCAGAAAAACTTTCCTGACCACTTCAGCATGTCCCAGTTTTCTCTACTATTAATCAGTTCTGCTTACTGTTTCATGTGCATAAATATATTTTTTAAAAATCAGGTTCATTGATGTATAATTTATGTAACAAAAATAATCTTTCTGAAGTGTACAGATCAATAAGTTTTAGCAAATGTATATAGTCACGTTACCATCACTACACTGAAGACACAGAACATTTCCATTACCCCTAAAAGCTGCATCATTGCCTTTTCCCTCAATTCCCTTCCTACTTCTGGTCCTACAGTTTTGCTTTTCTAAAATGTCATATAAATGGAAGCATACCATCTGTAGCCTTTTGTGACTGGCTTCTTTCCCTGAGTATAATGCTTTTAAGAATAGCTCATGTTATGGCCTCTATCAGAAGTTTGTTCCTTTTTATTGCTGAGTACTATTTTTTTTTGAATGGATGAGCCACAATTTGTTTATTCATTCCCCAGCTGATGGACATTCACATGTAAGTCTACATATCTTGTATGATTTCATTTCTCTTGGATAAATACCTACGAATGGAAGGGTTGGATTGCATATTAGGTGTAAGTTTAACTTTTTAAGAAGCTTCCAAACTTTTTCCCAAAGTGACTGTACTATTTTGTATGCCCAACAGCATTATATAAGTTCTAGTACCTCCACATTATCACCAATGCTTAATATGGTCAGAGTAAAATAAAAATTTAGTCATCCTAATAGATGTGTAGTGGTATCTCACTGCAGTTTTAATTTGCATTTCCCTAGTGATGAATGCTTCTGATGCTATGAGTTATCTTTTCATGTGCTTACTTGCTATTCATGTATCCTCTTTGATGGAAGTGTCTTTTAAATTTTTTTCCCATTTTTAGTTGAATTATTTTTATTATCCTTTTTCCTTTTATAGAATTTTGAGAGTTCTTTATATATTCTTGATGTAAGTCCTTTTTCAGATATATGGTTTGCAAATATATTTCCCTGTCCATGGCATCTTTTCATTCTCTGTACAATGTCTTTCAAGGAGCAAACCTTTGTGGTTTTTAAATAGTTAATGAAGTCCATCATGTTTTTTTAATTTTGTAGATTATATGTTTTGTGTTATATCTAAACAATATTTGCCTAACTCAAGATCACAAGGCTCTTCTCTTATAATTTCTCCTAGATGTTTTATAGTTTTAGGCTTTACATTTAGACCTATAATTCATTTTGAGTTAATATTTTACATATGATGTGAGATACTCCTAGCAGTTTATTTTATTTCTATACATAGACATCCAATTATTGAGAGCACCATTTGTTGAAAAAGCTATTATCTCTCCACTGAATTGCCTTTGTACCTCTGTGTAAAAAATAGATTGTCCATATATATGTGGGTTAATTTGTGGACTCCACTTTATTACATTTCTCTACTATCTACCAGTGATGCCACACTATCTTGATTACTGTAGCTTTTAATCAATCTTGAAATCGGGTAGTGTCAGTCTTCTAACTTCGTTCTTCTTTTACAAATTTATTTTGGCTATTACAGGTTCTTGGCATTTTCATATGGATTTTAGAATAAACTTTTTATGTTTTACCAAAAAAAAAAACCTGCTGGGATTATGACTGGGGTTATATTGAAATTGAACCTATAGAACAATTTAGTGTGAACTGACATCTTGAGTCTTGACCATAAACATAGTATATCTCTCTATTTATTTGTGACTTCTTTAATTTCTTTCTGCAATGCTTTAAAATTTTAATACATAGATCTTGCATATCATTTATCAGATTTACTCTAAAAATTTTCAGAATATCTGTTGCTATTGTAAATATTAGATATCCTATTATCTTGCTAAACGTACTTATTAGTTCTAGGAGTTTTAAAAAGTAAATTATGGCCAGGTGCAGTGGCTCACGCCTGTAATCCCAGCACTTTGGGAGGCCGAGGCAGGCAGATCACGTAAGATCAGAAGTTCGACAGCAGCCTGGCCAACATGGTGAAACCTCGTCTCTATAAAAAACATAAAAATTAGCCAGGTGTGGTGGTGGGCACCCGTAATCCCAGCTACTCAGGAGGCTGAAGCAGGAGAATCGCTTGAACCCGGGAGGCAGGGGCTGCAGTGAGCTGAGATCGTGCCACTGCACTCCAGTCTAGGTGACAGAGAAAGACTCCGTCTCAAAAAAAAAAGTAAATTATTTCCGGCTTTCTACATAGGCAATCAGATGTTCAGCAAATAACAGTTTTAATCCTTTCTAATCCAGATTTTTCTTTCTTTTTCTGGTATTGTTGCATTTCCTAGAATTTCCAGACCACATTGAATAGCAGTAAGAGCAGACATCTTTAACTTGTTCTAGTTGACACTTAATTTTATTTTCATATTTTGCTTTTCATACACTTTGGTATTTCACCTGTATTGATCTGTATTGGTGAGCATATTGAGGAATGGTAAGAAGTGTGTGGCTTCTACAAACACTTTAATTTATCAATTTATTTATTTTGAGTCTTACTTTGCATATAGGATGAAACATTAGTAGGTTTTTAAGGGGAGATAATATGAAGAAGTCCACTTAAGTACACTTGAGTAATCATCAGTTATGCAAATATGTAATTGATCTAATATTAAAGGGTAACTCATTTAAAAAGACTGGGAATACCTAGTGCTGGCAATGAGGTAGAGCAACTTGAAACATACGTATTGTAGGAATACAAAATGAAGCAGTCACTGTGGAAAACCTAGCATGTTCTACTAACGGTAAATATGCATTTCTTATACAGTCCAGCAATGCCATTTCTAGATAGTTACCCAAAAGTAATGAACACAATATGTTAATACACAGATTTGTACACTAACATTCATAAGAGCTTTATTCTTAATAGCCAGACTAAAAGCAAACCCAAATTTTCATCAACCAATAAAAATATAAACAAATTATGATACACCAATACAGCAGAATACTACTCCAGAGAATAAAAATGAATGAATAATTGATACACACAGCATCATGAATGAATCTCAAAATAATTACACTGAGTAAAAGAAACCAGAAGCCTAGTAAAGTCAATTCCTGTAGTCCCAGCTACTTGAAGGCTGAGGCAGGGGGATTGCTTGAATCCAGGAATTCTGGGATGCACTATGCCAATAGGGTGACCTCCTGGGAGTGCGAGACCACCAGGTTGTCTAAGGAGGGGTGAACTGGACCAGGTCAGAAACAGGGCAGGTCAAAACTCCTGTGCTGATTAGCAGTAGGATTGCATCTGTGAATAGCCATTGCACTCCAGCCTGGGAAACGTAGTGAGACCCTGCTTCTTAAAGAAAAAAGCAGCAGCGGAAGAAGAAGACACCACAGCCACCCGACAAAAAGAATGTCATTTATGTAAAATTCTAGAAAATGGAAATGAATTGATAGTGATCAAAAGCAGATAAGTGGCTGCCTGGGACCAGGAGGCCAGAGAAAAAACAAAGGGAGAAATTTTCAAGGAGCATATGGAAACTTTTTGGGGTAATGTCTATTTTTGTGATCTTGATTGGAGTAGTAATTTGATGAATATATATCAAAGCTTATCAAAATGTATACTTTTTATGCATGCAATGTATTATATGTTAATTATGCCTCAATAAAACCGTTTTTAGAAAAAGAAACCTTGGGGAAAATTATATTTATTCAGTTAGATTAACTTGTCTTAGAACTAAATGTCTTCTGAGACTGTCCCAGTTACAAGCATATCAAAACAAAACTGTGTGTAAAGGTGAGGGTTTAGGGGTCTGGAAGGTATGTTTTCTTAGCTAGACCCTGAATTTTCCGTGAACACTTTAAACTCAAAAAATCATCATAGAATGGCTTAGTAAAATATCCTGATTAATAATACTCCTTGATTAATTCTTAAATTTTACCTTTTAAATTGTAAAACTATTAATATGCCTTCAGAAAAAATGGAATGACATCAAGATTTTTAAGGCCATAATTAAAATACATTTATATGCATGTGGTCTCTCCAATCATTTTCATTAATAAGTTTGAAACTATTATTACTTTGAGCATATTTTTCAAGCATTCATTTATCCATTCATTCTTCAAGAATTATTTTTTTACCATCTACTATGTGCCAAGTACTGAAGCTATTGACACAGAGTTTCTCTCTCAGAACTTACTTCTAGAAAGCTAGAAGACAAATATTAGTAAATAAAAGCAAAATGCATATAATTAAAAGTTAAATTCTATAGCAGAAAGGAAAAGAAAGCAATGTCTGATTATCCATTCAAGGAAGCCACACCAGTTTATTTTACATGTATTGGTTGAAAAAAGAAGAGTTACTTCTGGGCTCCTTGTGAGGAGGAGTTGGGATCATGAGGATAAAAAGTACAAGTTGTGTCTGTCTCAGCTAATGGTCCCCATGCCCAACTTCAAGAACTGACTCTATTAGAGAAAAAGATTACATATCTGGGATATCTATTTTAGTGAGGGACTTTCTGGGACACTGGGGCACATGTAGGATGCTTTAGTGCCTGCCCAGACTCCCAGCACAGAGTAGGAGAGAGAAATATTCTTTTCTACAGTTTCAAGGTCCACTATGGGGTTTTGGCAGAGAGGATCTGGGAAATTCAATATACATTTTGCCCTTAAAGGGTTTGCAGTGTTAAGAGCACCAAGAAAGAGCATCTCCTGGCAAACACATCACCATTTCCACTGGGAACATTGATGATAGGTGTCTGGCAAAGCTCTGTTCACAAGTGGCTTTACAAGCAATAAAAATTGACCAAGAGGTAAGAAACCAGAAGAATCTGGAAGTTGTGAACTCAGAGGAGACATCCTGGTGTCTCTGAGCAGTAATTGAATAAGTCTCTAAATCTGGTTGGAGGACCTTGCTAAGCAGATGCATCCAGGAGTTGAAGATGTACTGCACAGGTTCTAAATAAGCAAGATGCACATCAGATTATTCTAACTCATCCATGTGATCAGTAGGGTAACAGGGGACTTTAACATAAAAATGAGGTAATTTATGTGGTCAAACTTTGAAAGAGTGTAATGTTTTATAAAGTTGTAGTGCATTATACTGATGTATTAAATTATACGTTTAAACTTTTACAAAGATCTTTTACATATTTTTCTCATTTGATTAAGTAAATGTTAATTAAGCAAACAGGAATTATTATCACTATTTTACAGAATAGTGAGCTGAGATTCAAAGGAAATAAGTAATTTGCCCAAGACTATATGTTTGGTAAATGGCCCAGATAAGGGTGGGTCTTTTGAATTCTAATCTAAAGTACTTCACATTCTACTAAGCTCATAGTGTTAAGAATGAATTTGCAATGTCAGTTTTGTTAATACCTAAAATATTTGTAAAAATATTGTTGGTGTCTTCATTTCTGGTTTGGGATTGAAGAGAAGATATTCAGAAAACTAAGAATGATGAGTATATCTTTTAATTTTTATTCTCTTTTTAAAACTGCATGACAATAAATATTGTATATTGTACTTTACTTTCAGTAACTGTTATGCAGACTGCAGACTCTGAATATACGAAAACATTTTAAAAATTGTATAAATTGGATATTACTAATTTTTGAAAATTGAAGGTAAAAACATGGACATTTGTCTCATTTGGATATGTGTTGGCTTAGTATTAAGTAAAGAAAATCTGCCAAATTGCTGTAGGATTGACACACTCATTAAAAAGAGTGAAAAGTTACTTACATCCTTTTGTAAGACTTTAAGGACAATCGTATTTTCATTGTTCTTCCTCTGACCAGCCTATGATTAGGTTTAAAAGGCTTGTGTTTTGGTTTCACCTTGCTTCCAAATAATACATTTCTGGTTTGGAGTTTAGACAAGTTTACTTATGCAGTGCATCTTAATGCACACACTTAAGTATATTCTCATACAAACCAGATGTTAGCACTCACATGCATTTATACTTTATGACACGTGGAGTGATATGTAGCTCCAGAGTTGTTTCAAATATTTTTGCTTAATTTTTTAAGAAAGCAGATGCTCTTGGAACATTTCTCACAAACTTTTTTTTTTTTTTTGAGGATAAGAGTACTATTGGATAAAACTATGATTCATTGAGCTAGGACATTCTGCATAGTATCATTCTCTCCACTCAATGCTACCATCATCCACCTTAAAGGACTACAGCCATTACATTAACAAATATATGTTGAACACCTACTATGCACCAAGTATTATGCATGCCATGGCAAATTCTAAAATGAAACATGCAGTTCTCATTTTTACAGACTAGAAATGCAGATAGGCAAGTACTCTGGCAATCATCGTATAAGATGATGAGTGCTGCAACAAGGAAAAGCAGAGGCATACATAACAATGAGTGCTGCAACAAGGAAAAGCAGAGGCATACATAGTGATGTGTCCGAAAGCCTGAAGGTATGCAAGAGCAGAAACCCTTCAGCAAAGATAATGAATGTGGACCAGAAAGTTTTACTACTAGGAGACAGCCAGTGTGGTAACGGGGCAGGGACCTAGGAACAATGGAGGTGGCTCTCTTTCAGTTCTTAATTGATTCTTGAGTATGCTTAAATTCTGGGTGGGAAAATAAATAGACATGAGAAAGCTAGAAAGAGAAGGTGAGCAAGAGTTAGAAGGAGAAGGGAATAGGTAGACGGGGGAGAAAACAAATCACTTTTTTGTAAATATGCCTGACACTTTAAATACTATTGCATTTATATCTCTTAATGCATGGATATGATTATCTAACTCTGAAAATTTGATTATTCCCAATTTACAGATCAATAAAATAAGACTTAGGAAGTATAAGTCAGGTGCCCCAGCATACAACAAGCCAGGCTGATATTCAAATACAGAATTCTCTGGCTATAATACATATTTTCTTTTAAATACACCAGATTCTCAAACATTTAAAACCTTTCTCTACTTTCACAAACATGAAAATTTCAGGCTCACACTTTTAGCTGACTTAATATGTCCCCTCAATATAGATCACTATAATCTGTATTCTCACTAGCCAAGAATTTCAATCCCTATAGTTTGTAACACAAATCAAATTATATTTGTTATTTCTAAATATAAAACTGCAATGCCAATGATGCATTTTCAACCTACACACACCCTCTGACCCCAGTTGTCCCCTACTGAAAATCACCGCTCACATCATGCTATTCCCTGGCCTCACCAGTCCTAATCTTCATATCGAGAAATGATTCCTGCCATTTGTCATTTTCAATATCCTTCATTTAGAAAGATCAACAATGTTATACACATAAGTCCATACAATCAAGAAACAGCTTTCACAGATAGCATTGTTAGGAGGTGCTAAGGCTGTTTTGCCGAAAATTAAATGCTGCAATAGTAGCATGCTGGTTTCACACTCTCCCTGGAGCTCTTCATCTTGAGGCCCATATGACAATCATGTGAATAAAAAGAACTTCACCCACAGGACCACAGCTGCTGCCAAATGCTCACTTCAATGCCTTGGAGACTCTAGGAGGAAAGGAATAGCTTTGCAGCAACATGATAATTCTCTGTGACTTCTAAAATTTTGCAGAACACTAGTGGTCCTAATTTTCACTAGAGTCACCCTCAGCTGCAATCTATATGATATGAGCTCTTCTTTATTCCTTTCTTTTTTTAAAACCTTTAAAAAGACTTTGTTCAGCCCACATTGATTTCAATATGTCTTAGTATTCTCAGCATGAATTACTCATTATCCTATTTTCTTAGTCATTCTTCCTATGTTTATAAAAATGTGTTGAGAACTGCCTTGGAGAATGAAGATATTCTTTTCATCACCCTCTCTCTCATTTTACCTTTCATGCCTTCATGTTTTGAAAATGCAAGATTATTTCTCGTCATGTATTGATTTTCCCATTTCGGTAATTTTTGCTTTTGCCAAAAAAAGAAATTGTGCAATATGCCCCTTATCTCAGGATAAGATGATTCTTTTTGATTTCTGTAAGAGGATCTACTGACTGAAATTCTTAGCAGAATTATACAGAGTTAGGAGAAAAACTAAAAACATATCTTTACATAACCTAAACATGTTCTGTCAGGTCTTTATTGATGTTATTAAACCAACACTGTTAACTTTGACATGGATGATGAAATTTATAGGGAACAAAAGAGATTTTTAAATTTTTTTTAAAATCTAAATCCCTGTTTAACCTTTTGTTTTCTGGGCTTAAGTTAACTGAAAACTAAACAATGCTCATTGTGGTCTGGCCTTAATTTTCTATCTTAAATCTATTCATATTTAGCTGTAAGTGTATCTTTATTTACTCCTATATTTCTAAATGGAAGTTACTTTGCTTGAACAATTAGCATAATACGCATTAATGGGGTGATGTTATGTAGACTTCATCTACTCCTGTGGCAATCTAAGGAATAATTTTCCCCAAACATATTTTCTGAGGTCTCAAAAGGACAATAGAAGTAAGAAGTATGTTTAAGCACCTTTCCTAGCTGGCTCATTTGTATCTGTACAGCTGTTCTTTAGAAGCTGCCCAGAATGACTTCAGCTCCTGCTGACAAGCACAGTAACTCATCAAGAAACATAAAAATTGGCGTGACAAAGTAAATAAAGATGATACACATTATTTAATTGGCATGTAATGGGATTATTTTCTTTAGAGTTAGACTGTAATATTCTGAATATTTATTCAGTCTCTCCAGGATTCTAAGACTATGATAAATCAAGAAGCAGTTTTCCATTTTCACATTTCATTCTTGTTTAGAGTAGCATAGACTATGTCAGTGGTCTGCATTCTCTGGTGGATTTAAAGGCTGGTAGGCCCTATGTTGCCTATATTCAGTGTCTTTCATTCACCAGGACCTATAAAATAAGGGCCAACTGGAAGCTATACAAGTCGTCTTGGCTCATAGTCAAGACTGGACAAATACAATAACTGTTTAATTAATGAATATTCTAAGTAATGCATGAGGCTAGGTATTGACCCTAATATTAGTGACAACATAAGCTCAATATAGGAAGATACTGTCCAGTTCCTTTTATCCTGTGACCCAAGAACATGGCTGGTTGGTTTTGTTGGTTATTTGAGTGGAGGATAATTACCAGAGCATGAGCATACTCATTCAGCAGACAGCTGGTGTAACCTGCCGGATCCTAAGGTGCTGGGGTATGAGGGCTCTGTCTTTGTGTAGGCCGCACTGATGAAGAGGAAATTTGCCAAAGAAGACTTGAGAGAAAAATACAGCTTCACATAGGCTCAAGAAATAATATTTTCTAAATTTACAAAATTTAAAAACTGTAGTATAAATCCAAGTAAAAATAAGAAACAATATTATCTGGAACAGAAAAAACATTTTTGAATAAAATTTATGTTTATCTTTGTTAGGTTTGTAAGTATATATTAGCAATAAGTAGATATTTGCTTTGAATTTGCTCTTTTCAGGACTCAATACAACCAGCTTTTTGAAAGTTAGCTATTAATTTTAGCAATAAATCACTTTTCCAATGTTCGTAGCTAACTTCAGTTGAATAATTTTCAATGGACTAGTTACAAAAGACCTATGATTAATATAAATTTAGACATGTCATTTGACAGAAGATCTTGATGGTTTATAATAGCAAATTCACTGTTACTTATTTTGTGACTCCTTTGTCTCCATGAGATCTAATTTCCAAGGTATACCCTAAACCAAAAATATTCCACATGTAAGCTATTATGCAAATGAAATATTTTGCAAAATATTTTGTCCTATTTCACTAGTAGGTATACAATATGTAATCATTAATTAAATTATTTACTAATGTATCTATTTACACATTCAATCTCATGCAATAGGTTCTAATAAAATGCTTAAATAATCTGCTATCAACAAAAAGCAAAAAATAGCATTTAGGGCAAATAACTGCTAATGACTTGTGAGTGACTGTTTATTTAAAGCAGATAGATGTTTTGCATGTTGCATGAGATGTAAAACCAAGATGATCATTAAAAACAGGAATAATGGCATTTTCCAGAAAGAACATTTACTGGTGCCTTCTGACTGAATTCCAATTCATGAGATCACAGCCAGAATTTTCGAGCTCTCCTGTAGTTTCAATTGGCATACTTCTCTAATTCTTGCTTATTTCTCTGTGAAGGGACATGGTGTTTCATTTTTAATAGTTCACAAGTTCTCCCCAAGGCAATATATGTTAGAACAAGTCTGATGATTAGTTACAAATCAACATGTAGCTATGAAAAATTAACTTTCCTTCCAAAATCTTTGCTTTTTTTTGGTTTTATGAAGTATCAGGCACTGTTAATAATGAGTTTCAACAATTAATGAAAAGAACAAAATACAATCGGTATCCTCCTACTATATGGATCAAAGATGAGAGAGAGGAGCCACAAAGAAGGGAGTCTATTACTTTGACAAGGAGTAAAATGATCCTTTCATTTTAACTACATTGCTGAACACCTGTTTTTTCACTAATGGAATAAAGATCTTGGCCTTTACAGTGGTTTTGCAAATTATTCCTTTAGGACTTGCATCTAGAAGGATTCTTTGACACTCACCTAGAAAGCACCTCAAGCTGAAAGTTGTACAAACCTTCCCATTGCCCCTTCTCTCCTCATAGAGCTCTCCAAATTTGCATGTTTTATAGCTTTAAGCTTCCACGTAAGATTTTTATATAAGGGAAGAGTTTCATGGCTAGGAAGCAATTTATAAACCACCAGGCTAGATATTATTTTAATTTCTCTTCCAGCTTCACCATTCTAGGATTCTAGGAAATGATGTTTTACTCTGGATTTAAAATTTCAAGGTAATTACCTTTAGAAGGACAGTGTGGTGTTCTGTCCCTAATCGTTGGAAATAAGAGCTCCAAAGTCACGTTGCACTTTGAATTCCTTCTCTCCTACTTACAAGTTGTGTGATCTTGGGCAAATTATATTTTCTTTCTAAACCTCTGTCTTCTCTTTTATAAAAAGAGATAAGAGAAGAATCACCAGGATTGAATTCAATATTGTATGAAAATTTCTTAATATGGTGTTGGGCACATAGTAAGCCACAGAATCAACTCGAGACTTCATAGATTCCAGACTATTAGAAGCTGATATGGTTTGGCTTTGTCCCTACCCAAATCTCATCTCGAATTGTAGCTCCCATAATCCCCACGTGTTGTGGGAGGGACCCAGTGGGAGGTAATTGAATCATGGAAGTGGGTTTTTCCTGTACTCTTCTCATGATAATGAATATGTCTCAAGAGATCTGATGGTTTTATAAAGGGCAGTTCCCCTGCACATGCCCTCTTGCCTGCCGCCATGTAAGATGTGCCTTTGCTCCTCTTTTACCTCTGCCAAGCCATGTGGAACTGTGAGTCCATTAAACCTCTTTTTCTTTATAAATTACCCAGTCTCAGAAGTTTCTTCATAGCAGTATGAAAATAAACTAACACAGAAGCTGAATTCACTTCTCATGAGGCAGACTCTGTTAGACAATTAAAAAGTTATGTGATTCACCAATAGTTTTTATTTTTATCTTGATGGGCTTTTTACTTAAGACACTCACCATTTTTATAAAGTTTAGTAAAAGAATTTGTAGAACACTCCAGTGATACAGATAGGTGAAACTATATTCTTTTTATTTTAGAAAATAAATGATAAAGTAGATACGTTAAATGATTTCGCAAAAATAAATAAATAACTAGGCTGTAGACCCAGAAATAAAATCAGAGAGTATATTTCTTGAAAATATCTTAATTACATGTTAGTTGATTGTTAAACTATGCTTAGTTCCTACAAAATGAGTTCTTATCTGAATGTTTTAGAATACTCAATATTCTGAGTGTTATACATAATATAACTATTCTACATCTTGTAAGACTCATAAAAAGTTGTCTGCTGACTTATTACAAAATAAAACAAATGTTATTTTAACCTTATGAGCTTGAACAAATAAATCTAAAATAAATGGCTTTATAGAAGCCTTTGAACTTATAAACCAATTAAAGCAATGGAAAACAACTACATATATATAAAGGACAGAAAAACATACCCGGTTTATCTCTTCTTTGTGACTAATAATTGTGGCTTATTGTCAATGCTGTTCGATATATTTTGTAAATTTATGGAAATGAAAACAGACAAACAAAAAACTCCCATTTCTTCTCTCCAAATAAGAGATTAGCTATTTCTATCAATGGGACTCAGTCACAAGAGTTCTAAAGAGAAGTTCTTCATTAGAGAAGTAATAACTATAATAAGGAATGTTTTCTCTAAGAGGGAAGAGAGAGACTATTAGGAAGTTGAACATAGGCTGGAGACAGACAAGAAAAAAATGAATTTTTAAGAAACATCTCTACCCCTGCCCTAATGTTTACCAGTTAAGAGCCAAAAGTTTCTTTCAACTTCTTGGAGGCAGGGGAAATTCTTTGGAAGATTTAAGTGCCTGTCGGAGGAGCGCTGAAAAAATCCATCTTCAGCATTAGCACTGCTTGGAGGGTCCTTGTCTGGAGAGGTAGGTCTGGCTATCGTCAATGAATAGGGCAGGAAGCCCCCAGGAACACAAGGAGGATAGTAACGCAAGTATTACATCTCACGAACTCTGAGGCACCCTGTTTCTGCCAGAGGTGTGAGACTGTACCAGCTTCCAAGGGATTTCCACCAGAAGCCCCACACCCTGGTAGAGCAGACCAGCGTGTCAGTGTGTTGCCACACCATCCAAGGCACAACTGTAGGGCCTGACATTGCAGTAGGGCTGTGCAGCCTTTTCAGGCACAGCATAGATTTTCTCAGTGGGCCAGGGAATCAATCAGAGACTCGCTACACCAGTAGGGAAGACATTTCTGCTTTAAGAACCATAGGAGAGTGAAAGACAGACCCATAAATATAGGTGGTGCTATTAATTTTTACTGTTTATTTCCTAGCAAGATGCCTGGAAAAATTATTCATTACAAGCTTATATGCTTCATTTCATTTGAATCTCAATATATTACTATAAGGGAGATAGGAAAAGAAGTATTATTTCAGTTTCGTTGAGGAGGGGATAATACTAACGGTTCTATATCTCAGTGATTAGAGAACAGGGAGGAGAATCTATTCAACCATAATTCCCTCACAAGAATCTTGACTTCAACATCTAATCCACTAAAATTTCCATTTTGGGAACTTGCATACAAGATAATCGATGTATACAAATTTAGGCATATTTTAAAATTCTAATTTTGTTAAATATGAAAATGATGTGCATAAAATCATCTTAATGTCTAAGTTTAGGGGATTCCAAAACATAGTTACTTAGTTGTCATAATTACCTGTATATGAGAAAATTAAAAACAGATGAAAATCAGAGACCTTCTATGTAATCTTAAATATTTAGACTTTCCACCTAATGCCAAGCATACTCTATGTTAGAGGTCAAATCTGTTATGTTACTTTTTCTTGAGGTTTCATATTTTGCCCCAAACCTACAAGAAAATAAATCACTGTTCTGTGGGTACATTGGGTAGCACACGCTCATCCCACGTCTGTACTCCTTTGTGATGTCTCTTGGAACTTGTTCTTTTTTTGTTCCCCCAGCATAGACGGTTTGTCCCTTCCATCCTCCATTCACTGTACAGTTGACTGCCCTCAATGCAAAACCAAGTCAGCTGAAGTTAGTCACTCACAAAAAAATCAGTGCTTCAGTCTTGAGCAATAAGTTCAGGAAACATTTAAGTGTTTATTACGTGCCAGTTGCTTTCACAAAGGTTATCACAACAAATTCTGAGGTAGACACTATTACTCCTGCAGCTCAGAAAGGTTCAATGATTTGCTCAGGGTCATGGAACTAGTTATTTCTGGGATTCAGTCCAAGATTTTGACTTTGAATTCACTGCCCTTTTTCCTATCCTATTAACACACATCAGGGCTAAAATCCCAGGGTACAAACATACATTTGACTAGTCAACAGGAGCAAAAATGGTAATAAATTCAGGCCATGCTGAGCAATTAAAAATAGGAAGATATAAGTCTCAAGTATGAGAGTAATGGAAAATATAGACTTGTTGGTTAGTAATTAATTTAAAGTTACATAGATACTTTGTCAACCTATAACACTAAATGTGACTAAAAAGCATATGTGGCTTTACCATACAACATATACAAAAAGTAAAAATGAATCAAAGATCTAACATAAAAGCTAAAACTATAAAAAATCATAGAAGGAAACATAAGGGAAAAGCTCTATGATACCAGATTTGGCAACAATTATTGGATATGACACCAAAAACATGGGTAATGAAACAAAACAATGGAAAAAAATTGAGTTCATTATAATTAAAAACTTGTACATCAAAGGAGACTATCAACAGAATAAAAAAGCAACTCAAAGAATTGGAGAAAATATTTGTAAATCACATGTTTAATAAGAGATTAAGATCCAGAATACATAAAGAACTCCTGCAACTTAACAACACCAAAATAAAAACCCAGCTGGGCGTGCTGCCTCACGTCTGTAATCCCAGTAGTTTGGGAGGCCTAGGCAGGTGGATTGCCTGAGCTCAGGTGTTCGTAACCAGCTTGGGCAACATGGTGAAACCCCGTCTCTACTAAAATACAAAAAAATTAGCCTGGCATGGTGGTGTGCATCTGTATTCTCAGCTACTCAGGAGGCTGAAGCAGGAGAATTGCTTGAACCCAGGAGGCAGAGATTGCAGTGAGTTGAGATCACGCCACTGCACTCCAACCTGGGTGACAGAGCAAGACTCCATCTCAAAACAAACAAACAACAACGACAAAAACAAACAAACCAGTTTAAAAATTGGCAAAGAACTTGAATACACATTTCTCCAAAGCTATATAAATGGCAAATGAACATATGAGAAGACACTTAGCATCACTAATCACTAGGAAAATGCAAATCAAAACCACAATGAGATATCAGTTCACACCAATTAGGATGACAAGTATATATATATTTTTTAAAAAGAACAGAAAATAAGTGTTAGCAAAGATGCAGAGAAATTGGAACACTTGTGCATTACTGGTGAGAATATAAAATGGTGGACCCATATCTACCCACAAGAATTGAATGCAGGGACTAAAAGAGATATTTGTAGACTAATGTTTATAGTACCATTACTCGTAACAGCCAAATGGGGAAAAAATTCAAATGTCCATTGATGAATTTGTGGGGAAACAAAGTATGACATATGCATACAATGAAATATTATTCACCCTTAAAAAGCAAATAAATTCTGGTATATGTTACAACATAGATAAACCTAGAAAATATTATGCTATGTAAAATAAGTTAGATGCAAAAAAGATGAACACTGTATGATTCTTAGAATTATACATGAGGTTCCTAGAATAGTCAAATTCACAGAAACAGAAAATAGAACAGTTGTTCTCAGAGAATGGTGAATTATTGTTAAATGGATACAGAGTTTCAGTTTGGAATGAGGAAATAGTTCTGGAGATGGATGGGGTGATGGTTGTACAACACTGTGAATGTAATTAATACTACAGAATGGTATGCTTACAAATGTTTAAGCTGGTAAATTTTATGTTATTTTATCACAATAATAATTTTTTCTTAAAGACTATCCCTGCAGTTACTTGGTAAGAGTGAGTTAGAAGCCCTGAATAAAAAAAGTCCATGTGGGGATTAGGATCAGAGACTGGAGGGAGGCACACACATTACCTTTTTCTGAATATTGGTGATTCAGTCTTTCAATTATTCAACATTTAAAAGCATATGTTAAGGCTCTCATTTATTTGTAATGTAAACAAGATATTATCTCTGTGCTTAAAAAGCTCACAGACTATTTTGAGTAAACATTATCTCAACAGAGATACCTGTGATGCTAAATTGGTTCACTATCTCTCATTCATTCAACAAATAATTATTGAATATCTAGCTGACTAGGAATTCTTCTAGGTCCTGGGGACACTATGGTATATAAAACAAAGTTCCTGTTTTAGTAGAGCTGACATTTCTTTGAACAAGACAGAAAAGAGGCAAATGAGTAAATATGTAATGTTAGATGATGATCAATGCTGTGGAAAAATTAATGAGTGTAAGGGAGAGAGGGAATGACTGGTTGGAAGGAGCAAGTCGAAGTGTATTGGAAAAAGTGATCATGTGATACTGGAGTAGAGAATTGAGTGAAAGAAAATGTAGGCAATGTGGATATCTGCAGGAAGAGCATTCCAGGCAGAGAAAAATTTATTTTCAGAAGTCAATTAAATCCCTCAAATAGGAATATGCTTGAGTGTTCAGGGAAAAGTAAAGAGGTCAGCATGGCCGGAGCAGAGGTTTTTGAAAATACTTTAAATTTTAATGGTAAGGAGATGAGGAAAAATCAACAGAAGTCATTGAGATGGAGTGGCCAATGAGTGAGGTGAGGGTAGAACCAAGTGAAGAAATTATTTCAAAAAGGAGGGAGTATTTCATCACCTCTAAATCTGCTAACAGTTTTTATAAACAGACTGAGCTATGACCACTGGGTTTAACAACACAAGGTCACTGAAGACTGGCTGGAGACACAGGGACAAAGCCTGATTCCAGTGGGTTTGAGAAGTATGGAGGAATAGGAAGTAGAGAATGCACTGCAGACAACACATTAGGACTTTGTTATAGATGATGAAGAGTGGGGAGAAATGTGGGTTGAGGAGGGCTTTTTCTAAGTAGAAAAGATAAAAACATGTTTCTGTGCTGAAAGCACTAAACCAATAGGACAAACTGATGGAGTGAAGAGAGGGAGCGATGTCTGGAGTAAAGTGAAAGGTGAGAAGGAATGCGATTTAGCACCTAAGTAGAAGCTATGGCTTTAACAGGCAGGCTCTTCTACGTTTATAGGAATGAAGGTAGAATATGCGAATATAGGTGCTGTTAGGGAGGTAGATGTGCGGGAAATGTCTCAAGTTCTCTTCTGATTGCTTTTATTCTGTCAGTGAAATAAGAAGCAAAGTCACAAAGACTATATCTAAGAGTGACAGGGCAGAGACCAAGAAGGTGTGAAATAGATTCTAAGAGAGTATTTAAGCCTGTAGCAGTAGGAAAACATGGAATGATTGCCAGGAAACATTAAGGGATTATTTGAGGTTGATGGTGAATTTAAACACAGAATATTAAGCATGAGTTTGTTTTTATTCAATGACACCACCAAAGTGCTGGTGTGAATCATTTAAAAGTTCATTGTAATATTATTTGGGTTTTGCCAGAAGAATAACATAGAAAGAAATGGAACGAGGGCATTGAGAGTACATGGAAGGTCATTATTGCAATGATGGATTATTGAGTATAAGTTGGGGAGAGAAATAAAGGTATAGTTCAGGGACATAGTAAAAAAAAGTGGTGAGATGAACAGATTTTAAGTTCTACTATGATCAAGAATTTTTGGAGTTGGAATACGAGAGGGAGGGAACTTGAAGGACGAGATGCAACTTGAA
This sequence comes from Homo sapiens, assembly GCF_000001405.40. Taxonomy (NCBI): domain Eukaryota; kingdom Metazoa; phylum Chordata; class Mammalia; order Primates; family Hominidae; genus Homo; species Homo sapiens. The sequence goes on from NC_000002.12 coordinate 182,328,602, forward strand.
GGCTGGAGACTGAGATGCTAGAACCTGAGATTGTGGAAGGGGTACGGTTATTAGGTCTAGAGGATGACCACGGGAGCAGGTGGTTAAGAGAGTGAGGAGAAAATCTAGAATGAGGAGATCAAGGAACTGAAAGGCCAGAGTTCCATGGGGGAACCACCATGAAATACTTCTAGAGACTGTGACAATAAACCAGTGCTAAACTCTTCAAGGACAGGTAAGTAAGGGTCTCTGCATTATTTAGAATCAAAGTAACATTGAAGAATGGTGTTGGACAGCAACTCATCCTCCATAGCAAGAGCTTTTAACCTGGGCTTTATGGAAGGGTTTCTAGAGTTCCAAGAACTCTACAAAATTGTAAGCAACTTCTTTTCTTTGTGTAAACATGGGCTTTTCTCTAGGGAAAGAATCCACAGCTTTCACAGGTTCTTAAAGTGGTCTAAGTAATAACTTCAAATATAAACAACTACCAGCAGGGGTAAAAAAATTATACACAACAAAAATAAAAACTGTAATTCACATGTGATACATTCCTATGGCTGTCTTTACCAGTAGGCATAGTAAATGATTATATATGGCTGTAAAATTTAAATTGCCAACCTCCTATTCCCTGTGCTCTCAAATTTCACTCCAGCCATAGTGGCATCTTAGTTGTTCCTTGAATATGTCAAAATCTCTGCAGTTGTAGATTGTTGCACTCACTGTTCTTCATCAGAAACTTTTTCTATCCATATATTCATAAAGTTGAATCTCTGGCTGCCTTGAGATTTATACTCAAATGTCTCTTTATTTTATTATTTTTTTTTTGGAGATGGAGTTTCACTCTAGTTGCCCAAGGTGGAGTGCAATGGGGCAATCTCGACTCACTGTAACCTCTGCCTCCCAGGCTCAAGCGATTCTCCTGCCTCAGCCTCCCGAGTAGCTGGGATTACAGGCACCCGCCAGCAGCCCGAGCTAATTTTTTGTATTTTTAGTAGAAAGGGGGTTTCACCATGTTGATCAGGCTGGTCTTGAACTCTTGACATCAGGTGATCCACTGGCCTCAGCCTCCCAAAGTGCTGGGATTACAGGCGTGAGCCACCAGGCCTGGCCTGTCTAATTACCAAATAGGGGTTTCTATCTCCTATCTGCAAAGCACCATCACCACTCCAGGGACCACTCCTACTTTCGGATTCCAGTTTAGTTTTCTTCATACTAATTATCTCCACTGGACATATTTTCTATCCATTAATTTGCATGCTTACTGTTTATTTTAGAAAGACTCCACAACGAAAGTTCCATGAAAGCGGGTTGTTTTCTGTTTTGTTTTTGCTCGTTATATTCCCCACACTTAAAATGGTGTCTGATATATAATGACTATTTAATAAACATTAGTTGTTGAATGAACCTCAAATTACCATCTGTGACTATTTAATAAACATTAGTTGTTGAATGAACCTCAAATTACCATCTGTTATTTCTCGGTTGGGCATCGTGGCTCAACGTCTGTAATCCCACCACTTTGGGAGGCTGAGGTGGGTGGATCACCTGAGGTCAGGAGTTCAAGACCAGCCTGGCCAACATGGTGAAACCCCATCTCTACTAAAAATACAACAATTAGCTGGGCATGGTGGCGCGAGCCTGTAATCCCAGCTACTAAGGAGGCTGAGGCAGGAGAATCACTTGAACCTGGGAGGTGGAGGTTGCAGTGAGCCAAGATCATGCCATTTCACTCCAGCCTGGGTGACAACAGCAAAACTCAGTCTTAAAAAAAAAAAAAATACCATCAGTTATTTCTTGGGTTACAGCACTGAATAATTTCTTAAAATGTAAATATTTTCAGAAGGGTTATAAGCCTACTTCTTTCTCCTCTATCTTACTTTATCACTCTCTAGCCTTCTCAGTCTCATTATTTCTCTGATCCTTAAATGTTATTAAGAAACACACATAAATGACCCTTATGTGCAAGCCCTTCTCTCAGCTGTTTTCTCTCTGGCTTCAACCGTCTCTTTCTGCAAGACTGCTTACTGTCCCCTCTGTCGCCCTCCTGCCCTCTCTGCCTCTGAACCCACGGCAATCCCACTACCATCGCTGCAGCTCTAGAAAGGGGTCTCTCAAAAGGTCAGTGATGACCTCATTGCCAAACATAGTCATCTGATTTTAGTCCTCAAAATATAAAAAGTTATCTTTGGCCTTGCTGACTAGTTTCTTGGTTTCTCTAGCATCACTCTCTTGGTTCTGCTCCAGTTTCTTGAACCTCTCTCCCACACAGTCCTTTACAGCATCCCTTTCATTTCTGAATATTTCTTCCTTCCCTGGCCCCATAGGGAAATCTTGCTCCATGTGTTCTTCCTGGAGATCTCACTGGGCTTCCACTGGGAGCTGTAAGTGGCTAGTTTCCAGACATTGTGCTCCACCTTGCCTCTTAAATTCCAGAGGTACCTTTTTACCTGCTCACTGAACATCTCCACCAAGGGGGCTGTGAAGTCTTTGAAGCATATCTATTTATTTTGTATCCCCACTGACCTTCTTTCAGATGAGCAGATGGAGGCATAGAGAGGCTTAGTCACTTAGCTGAGATCACACAGTTAGGGAGTGGATGACTATAAACATCATACTGACTTGAATCTTGACGCTGAGGAAATTACTTAACTTTTCTGTGCTTAAGTTCACTCATCTACAAAAGGAGATTTTTAAAAGTCCCTATAAGTCTTGACTCTTTATCCAATTTGCCAGTCTGTGTCTTTTAATTGGGGCATTTAGCCCATTTACATTTAAGGTTAATATTGTTATGTGTGAATTTGATCCTATCATTATGCTAGCTAGTTATTTTGCCTAATAGTTGACGCAGTTTCTTCATAGTGTCGATGGTCTTTACAATTTGGGATGTTTTTGCAGTGGCTGGTACCAGTTTTTCCTTTCCATATTTAGTGCTTCCTTCAGGAGCTCTTGTAAGGCAAACCTGGTGGTGACAAAATCTCTCAGCATTTGCTTGTCTGTAAAAAATTTTATTTCTCCTTCGCTTATGAAGCTTAGTTTGGCTGGATATGAAATTCTGGGTTGAAAGTTCTTTTCTTTAAGAATGTTGAATATTGTCACCCACTCTCTTCTGGCTTGTAAGGTTTCTGCTGAGAGATCCACTATTAGTCTGATGGGCTTCCCTTTGTGGGTAACCCGACCTTTCTTTCTGGCTGCGCTTAACATTTTTTCCTTCATTTCAACCTTGGTGAATCTGACAATTATGTGTCTTGGGGTTGCTCTTCTCAAGTAGTATGTTTGTGGTGTTCTCTATATTTCCTGAATTTGAATGTTGGCCTGCCTTGCTAGGTTGGGGAAGTTCTCCTGGATAATAACCTGAAGAGTGTTTTCTAACTTGGTTCCATTCTCTCCCTCACTTTCAAGTACACCAATCAAACGTAGGTTTGGTCTTTTCACATAGTCTTATATTTCTTGGCGGGTTTGTTCATTTCTTTTCATTCTTTTTTTCTCTAATCTTGTCTTCACACTTTATTTCATTAAGTTCATCTTCAATCTATGATATCCTTTCTTCCGCTTCATCGATTCAGCTACTGATACTTGTGTATGGTTCACAAAGTTCTCGTGCTGCATTTTTCAGCTCCATCAGGTCTTTTATGTTCTTCTCTAAACTAGTTATTCTACTTAGCAATTCCTCTAACCTTTTTTCAAGGTTCTTAGCTTTCTTGCATTGGGTTAGAACATGCTCCTTTAGCTCGGAGGAGTTTGTTATTACCCTCTTTCTGAAGCCTACTTCTGTCAATTCATCAAACTCATTCTCTGTCCAGTTTTGTTCCCTTGCTGGCAAGGAGTTGTAATCCTTTGGAGGAGAAGAGAAGTTCTGGGTTTTGGGAATTCTCAGCCTTTTTGCACTGGTTTTTCCTCATCTTCATGGATTTAACTACCTTTGGTCTTTGATGTTTGTGACCTTCGCATGGGGTTTCTGGGGTTTTTGTGTGGATGTCCTTTTTGTTGATGTTGATGCTATTCCTTTTCATTTGTTCATTTTCCCGCTGCAGGTCTGCTGGAGTTTGCTGGGGAGCCACTCCAGACCCTGTTTGCCTGAGTATCACCAGCAGAGGCTGCAGAACAGCAAAGATTGCAGCCTGCTCCTTCCTCTGGAAGCTTCGTCCCAGAGGGGCACCCACCAGATGCCAGCCAGAGCTCTCCTGTATGAGGTGTTAGTTGACCCCTGCTGGGAGGTGCCTCCCAGTCAGGAGGCAAGGTGGTCAGGGACCATTTCACGTGGAAAGACACACATAGGCTCAAAATAAAGTGATGGAGAAATATTTACCAAGGAAATGGAAAGCAAGACAAAAAAAAGCAGGGATTGCAATCCTAGTGTCTGATAAACAGACTTTAAGCCAACAAATATCAGCATAGGCAAAGAAGGGCATTACATAATGGTAAACGAACCAATGCAACAAGAAGAGCTAACTATCCTAAATATATATGCACCCAATACAGGAGCATCCAAATTCATAAAGCAAGTTCTTAGAGACATACAAAGAGATGTAAACTCCCACACAATAATAGTGGGAGACTTTAACACTCCACTGTCAATATTAGACAGATCAACGAGACAGAAAATTAACAAGGACATTCGGGACTTGAACTCAGCTCTGGACCAAGCAGACTTAATAGACATCTACAGAACTCTCCATCCCAAATCAACAGAATATACATTCTTCTCAGCACCACATCACACTTCTTATAAAACTCACCACATAATTGGAAGTAAAACACTCCTCAGCAAATGCAAAAGGACTGAAATCAAAACAAACAGCCTCTCAGACCACAGTGCAATCAAATTAGAACTCAGGATTAAAAAATTCACCCAAAACCGCACAATTACATGGAAACTGAACAACCTACTCCTGAATGACTATTGGGTAAATAACGAAATTAAGGCAGAAATAAATAAGCTCTTTGAAACCAATGAGAACAAAGACACAATGTACCAGGATCTCTGGGACACAGGTAAAGCAGTGTTTAGAGGGAAATTTATAGCACTAGGTGCCCACAAGAGAAAGCAGAAAGATCTAAAATCAACATCCTAACATCACAATTAAAAGAAGTAAAGAAGCTAGAGAAAACAAATTCAAAAGCTAGCAGAAGACAAGAAATAATAAAGATCAGAGCAGAACTAAAGGAGATAGAGACACGAAAAACCCTTCAAAAAATCAATGAATCCAGGAGCTGGTCTTTTGAAAAGATTAACAAAATAGACAGACCACTAGCCAGACCAATAAAGAAGAAACGAGAGAAGAATCAAACAGCCACAATAAAAAATTATAAAGGGGATATCATCACTAATCCCACAGAAATAAAAACTACTGCCAGAGAATACTATAAACACCTCTATGCAAATAAACCAGAAAATCTAGAAGAAATGAATAAATTCCTGGACACATACACTATCCCAAGACTAAATCAGAAATAAGTTGAATAACTGAATAGACCAATAACAAGTTATGAAATTGAGGCAGTAATTAATAGCCTACCAACCAAAAAAAACCCAGGACCAGACAGATTCACAGCCGAATTCTACCAGAGGTATGAAGAGGAGCTGGTACCATTCCTTCTGAAACTATTCCAAACAATGGAAAAAGAAGGACTTCTCCCTAACTCATTTTATGAGGCCAGCATAATCCTGATACCAAACCCTGGAAGAGACACACACACACACACACACACATGCACACACACACACACCAAAAAAAAAAGAAAGAAAGAAAATTTCAGGCCAATATCCCTGATGAACATCGATGCAAAAATCCTCAATAAAATACTGGCAAACTGAATCCAGCAGCACATCAAAAAGCTTATGCAACACGATCAAGTTGGCTTCAACCCTGGGATGCAAGGCTGGTTCAACATATGCAAATCAATAAACGTAATCCATCACATAAACAGAACCAATGACAAAAACCATATGATTATCTCAATAGATGCAGAAAAGGCCTTCAATAAAATTCAACATGGCTTCATGCTGAAAACTCTCAATGAACTAGGTATTGATGGAATGTATCTCAAAATAATAAGAGCTATTTATGACAAACCTACAGCCAATATTATATTGAATGGGCAAAAGCTGGAAGCGTTCCCTTTCAAAACCAGCACAAAAAAAGGATGTCCTCTTTCACCACCCCTATTCAACATAGTTTTGGAAGTTCTGGCCAGAGCAATCAGGCAAGAGAAAGAAATAAAGCGTATTCAAATAGGAAGAGAGGAAGTCAAATTGTCTCTGTTTGCAGATGACATGACTGTATATTCAGAAAACCCCATTGTCTCAGCCCAAAATCCCCTTAAGCTGATGAGCAACTTCAGCAAAGTCTCAGGATACAAAATCAATGTGCAAAATTCACAAGCATTCCTATACACAAATAATAGACAAACAGAGAGCCAAATCATGAGTGAACCCCCATTTACAATTTCTACAAGGAGAATAAAGTAACTAAGAATACAGCTTATAAGGGATGTGAAGGACCTCTTCAAGGAGAACTGCTCAAGAAAATAAGAGAGGACACAAACAAATGGAAAAACATTCCATGCTCATGGATAGGAAGAATCAATATCATGAAAATGGCCATACTGCCCTAGGTAATTTATAAGTTCAATGCTATCCCCATCAAGCTACCACTGACTTTCTTCACAGAATTAGAAAAAATGACTTTAAATTTCATATTGAACCAAAAAGGAGCCCATACAGCCAAGACAATCCTAAGCAAAAAGAACAAAGCTGGAGGCATCACGCTACCTGACTTCAAACTATACTACAAGGTTACAGTAACCAAAACAGCATGGTACTGATACCAAAACAGATTTATAGACCAATGGAACAGAACAGAGGCCTCAGAAATAACGCCAACACATCTACTAACTTCTGATCTTTGACAACCCTGACAAAAACAAGCAATGGGGAAAGGATTCCCTATTTAATAAATGGTGTTGGGAAAACTGGCTGGCCATATGCAGAAAACAGAAACTGGATCCCTTCCTTACACCTTATACAAAAGTTAACTCAAGATGGATTAAAGACTTAAACGTAAGACCTTAAATCATAAAAACCCTAGAAGAAAACCTAGGCAATACCATTGAGGACATAGGCATGGGCAAATCTTCATGAGTAAAACATCAAAAGCAATGGCGACAAAAGCCAAAATTGACAAGTGGGATATAATTAAATTAAAGAGCTGCTGCATAGCAAAAGAAACTATCATCAGCATGAACAGGCAACCTATAGAATGGGAGAAAATTTTTGCAATTTATCCACCTGACAATGGGCTAATATCCAGAATCTACAAGGAACTTAAACAAATTTACAAGAAAAAAATAAACAACCCCATCAAAAAGTGGGCAAAGGATATGAACAGACACTTATCAAAAGTAGACATTTATCTGGCCAACAAACATATGAAAAAAAGCTCATCATCACTGGTCATTAGAGAAATGCAAATCAAAACCACAATGAGATACTATCTCACGCCAGTTAGAATGGTGATCATTTAAAAGTCAGGAAAAAACACATGGTGAAGAGGATGTGAAGAAATAGGAACACTTTTACACTGTTGGTGGCAGAGTAGATTAGTTCAACCATTGTGGAAGACAGTATGGCGATTCCTCAAGGACCTAGAACCAGAAATACCATTTGACCCAGCAATCCCTTTACTGGGTATATACCCAAGAGATTATAAATCATTCTACTATAAAGACACATGCACACATATGTCTATTGTGGCCCTATTCACAATAGCAAAGATTTGGAAGCAACCCAAATGCCCATCAATTTTAGACTGGATAAAGAAAATGTGGCACATATGCAACATGGAATACTATGCAGCCATAAAGAAGGATGAGTTCATGTCCTTTGCAGGGACATGGATGAAGCTGAACACCATCATTCTCAGCAAACTAACACAGGAACAGAAAACCAAACACCACATGTTCTCACTCATAAGTGGGAGTTGAACAATGAGAACACATGGACATAAGGAGAGGAACGTCACACACCAGGGCCTGTCAGCGGGTAGGGGGCTAGGGGAGGGATAGCATTAGGAGAAATACCTAATGTAGATGATGGGTTGATGGGTGCAGCAAACCACCATGGCACGTGTATACCTATGTAACAAAACTGCACGTTTTGCACATGTACCCCAGAACTTAAAGTATATATATATATATAAGTCCCTATGAGAGTTGAACAATGAGAACACATGGACACAGAGAGGGGAACAACACACAACAGGGCCTGTTGGGGGTAGGGTGTGAGGGGAGGAAACTTAGAGGATGGATCAATAGGTGCAGCAAACCACCATGGCACACATAGACCTAAGTAACAAACCTGCAGGTTCTGCACATGTATCCCTTTTTTTTTTTTTTTTAAATAAAGAATAAAAATAAAAGTCCCTATGATACAAAGTGGCTATGAGAATTAAAATAAAATACACATATAAAATAGTATTTAGAAGAGTACATTGTAAGTGGTAAATACTTGGTACATAGTAAATGGTAAATACATGTTAGGTTGTATTTTCCTTATCTGGAGTTTAATGTATACACTTTGCCTTATATGTACAGTGTGAAGTGCACAACCTCAAAGGTAGGGAAAGGATTTGAACAGAAAAAGATGGAAAGATTGTGACTTTCAAAGGAAAGAAATACATACAAAATAAAGCAGAACATTAAGTGGAAAGAAAGAAAATATCCTACATGTTAAGAGTTTCACAGTTAATTTCATGTAAACATTATATGAAACATACTTAGTTAACCACATTATAATACAGAGTTATGTTCAATTTACCATCTAAATGGTAGAGTGTGTGTGGAATCTTCAGAATGTAAATAATTGTCATTTTCAAAGTCATGAAATTATTAATTACCTAAAACTTTTGGTAAATAACATGTCATTTCATCTTCTCCACTGTAAAAATTAGCCCTTAGAATCTAGAAATTAGCTTTTCACTAGAGTTTCCAAATAATTTGGAGAATGGCCTTTTGTACTTTCAGATGCCAGAGCACTTGGGAAGAAACAGAAGCTATCATTAGAAAGCTGCTTCATTTCCTTTCCCCATCCATGGTCAATAACCTTCGACAGCTGATCTAAAAAGGTCGCCTATTCTAAGTATCACAGGATAGAGTTATGTCAAATTGGACTTAATGAATGTTGTTACCTTTTTGACAAAAAGCAAAATGATCCTTTTCAGTGCACTAAAGGTAAATATAGGATTTTAAAAAAAAAGAAAGTGTGATACCCCTCTGTTATTAGTAATGTCTATGTCAAAATATTAGACACTAAACCAAAACTACCTTTGTCAATTTTCATCCTCAATGACCTACCTGTCATTTGATGTTCCAGAGCCATTAGGTCTATATCACATAGGTATGTTCCTACTGGATCCTCCATTTTTTAAATGTCCTTCAGCAAGACCTGCACACTATTAGCACAGTTTGAATGGATTAAAATATTCTAATGCCATCATTTCAGAGGTAAGTCTACAGAGAAGAGACAGTCATTCAAAGATGCATGACACTTTGGATCCATTGAGTTCATCCTCTTACTGCCTTGAATGAGGCCACAAGAGAAGTGAGGATGCTGGAGCTGGCAGCACCTACATGTGAACCCTGACTCTAACACCCAGTAACTGTTTGATGTGGAATTACATAAGCCATCTTTGGGTCTCAGCTTTCTCATCTGTAAAATAGGTATAATATCACTCACTTCACAGGGACTTCATGAAATGAGCGTGTAAAATGCTTTTAATAAATGTTAGTTCACTTTCTTGATCTAACATGAGAGTTCTTTTCTTGTTGGTTCTGCACTTAGAATTTTAACTTGCATAAGTACCTATGTAATCAAAACCACTTTACTCATCACAATATCAGCTATCACTGATTCCACCCTTCCACTAAGCATATGGTTTTATTTATTTGTTTGTTTGTTTGTTTTTGAGACAGTGTCTCATTCTGCCATCCAGGCTGGAGAGTAGTGGTGTGATCTCGGCTCACTGCAACCTCTGCCTCCCAGGTTCAGCCATTCTCCTGCCTCAGCCTCCCAAGTAGCTGGGACTATAAGCACCTGACACCACGCCTGGCTAATTTTTGTATTTTTAGTAGAGACGGGGTTTCACCATATTGGCCAGGCTGGTCTCAAACTCCTCACCTCGTGATCTACCCGCCTCGGCCTGCCAAAGTGCTGGGATTACAGGTGTGACCCGCTGTGCCCAGCCGGTTTTATTTTTAACCAGAAGGCAAGGGCTTGAGATGACAGACAAGTAAGTCATCTGTTTTATTTTGCCTGACTGCACCCAATAGTAGCAACCAATATTTCAGTGGTAACTAGACTGAATTTAATGAGGTGCTTGAAACTCTTAGCCTTATTTTCTGTTGATGATTATCAGTGTGTTTCTGAAGAATATGAATTTTAATTAAATTCTTCCTCATGGATTTGTGCTGAAGATGTTTTTTTTCTATATGTTTACAAAAGGATAACCTTGCCCTAACCTCAAGGCATATTTCCTCTTCTTTGTACCACTGCATAAAAGAAAATTTTACAGGGTGTGTTACTAGGAGTCCTTTAGTAGAACTAAAAGAGACACAATGAATAGAACCACTTCCACTTGTTTAATAGATTGTGAAGACTTTCAATGAAATTTGTATTTCTCAAAGGTGCATTTTTTTTACCCTACCTCATTTCATATTACTTTTTTATTTCTCAAGTTGCCTGAGAAAATGTTCAGTATAAACTAGATGCTCTTATCCATGAATTTCCATTCTGTAAACAAAAGTATGGCAATAAAAATCTCATTCTTGAAAATTACTTTTTAAAAGAGCTATAAAATTCAAACACAATCTAGATTCAACAAAAATTAAGCTTACTTAATTTGAATAAGATGCTTTCATTACTGTAATAATATGTAACTCAAATAATCATCAGAACATAACTGCTTTGAAAAGTGACTCAATTCAATTCTTTGTGTTAAAATGCTCACATAAAAATGGCCTGAGTTCTACAAGTCCTGTTCTATCTGCTGGAGCCTACTGCACTTCTAAATCTTGAACAATTGGGAGTTAAAAGGCAAGGGCTGGTCCCTCTTTCAGAGGAAATTAAATATTCTACTTCCATCTATGACAGTGGTTCCAAAACCTGCCCACTCATAATCTCTTGTAGAGCATTTTAAAAATATTAACACTCCATGAAATTTTGATTTAGCAGGTCTACTCCATGTAGATTCCATGAAACTTTTGCAATTATTCTTATGTTTTGTGAAAGAGGGAGAAGAGTTTTCATTTTCTAAAGTCCTAAACCCAATTTACTTAGGGCAAAGGGAATGATAATCATATATTCAATATCCTACTTTATTCTAGAGATGTAAATATGCCTCAGAATAATCCTGATAAAGCAAGCTCTTGCTGCGTAGTTTGGGCATAGATGGCTGAGATTATACTGTAAAATGCAACTTTCATTAAAGAACAATTTATGGGGATTGTTGAATTATGACAAGGCCAAGGTAAACGTTAAAATGAAGTATATGCAGTTTGTAGATTTATAAAATTGTCAGAAGAGTTTCAAAATAAGCAAATGGCTGCTTTTAAGGTCATTTGTAATATATGCAACTGTACTTCTATTTGCTTTCAGGCAAATTATATCCAATTTAAATGTTATTCTTCAGAAAGTATGTCTAATAAAATTCACCACCATAACTTCTGCATGGGTAATGCCTGCTCTCATCACTGAAGACTAGTTTGCTGTCAAAACTTTCAAAGAGCCTCCAAGTGAAATGAATACTGAAGAATAAAGCTTCTAAAGGCTATTTTGGGTTCCGACACCTCCTTTCTCATGTGGCATTAAACTAAGCCAAGGGCACCTTGTCTCATAAAACTCACTTCATGAAATACCTCTTGTAAAACTGCAGAAAATGGGAAGTTTGAAATTAGAAACAGAATACAAAAGAGAAGCTAGCCCTTAACTACATGTAGCATCTTCAGATTTTTAAGTAGGAGGAAAAGTGGTTAAGAAAGGGTTTTCTGTGAAAATTGCATGACTATGTTATATATAAATTAAATAGCTAGAATGTAAGGGACAATAGCTAGCTTTTCTGTAGCCCTGATGTTAAAACAGAAGGAAGTTAACCGAAATCTGGGTATTAAAAATAATTTAATGATGATGAATGTTTTAACAGATCAAATGGATATATTGTAGAGAATTTCTCTTACCTCTCCTTTAGAGTCATGATGCCTGGTTATGCCAGGCTAGTTGTAGAATCATGGATAAATCAAACGGATCTTCTAGGTCTCAGAATTCTCATTTGTAAAATGGAGAGTTTGGATACGTAATTTAACTTCTAAGGTGTCTTCCTGTTCTCTGGACTCTGACTTAAAGTGTTATTTCCTCCTAGAAGCTTCGAAAGTGTAAACTGTTTTCTAACATGCTCTGGCATTGTTTAGTATGGTGCTGAGCATACAGGAATTTGGCTGTTCATTAATAATAAAACCTAAGTTTTCAATAGTATGTTACTCCTTCAAAGTACTCTTATAAACATCAACACTTTCAATCCCAATTCTCACAACGTTATAGAGAGGAACATGGACATGAATAATTCCCTTCATTTTATTAAGGAGAGAAGCAAAATTCAAGCGATTTGGGATCCTATCTAAATTACAAGACCAAGAAGTAGCCAATCTGGCTCAAGAAGCCAAGATTTCTAACTCCTCATCCACAGCATCCTATTGATGAAGTCATTTGTATGAGTTGTGCTTGTATACAGAGGCTATTTTTCTAAATTTCTAACTATAAAAACAGCAATATTTGTGGCAATAACTGTTTTAATGTCATCTTTGAAGATATCCCCATTGTTAATCGTCTTTGTTTAGTCCCATGGTACACTCATATGGGAACTCCAATCTACCTCATAGTTCCCTTCCCTGAAGATTCAGCAGCCCCAGAAACTCCAGCCTGGCCTGGTCATATATTTTGATAAACAGGTGTGACATGCAGTTTTATCTTATCCATCACCCCCATAAAGCATAAGCTCTTACTTATGAAATTTTCTTTGTAACTTCACTGAGTGAGCAATTGATAGGGAGAAAGCTATTCTTACTCTGGTGCTTTATTGTGTTCACATGTGACACTTTCTTTGAATAAGCTACAAATTTGGTAAAATTTCTTTATCCTCTTTTTTTGAGATAGGGTCTTTCTCTGCCATTCAGGCTTGGAGTGTAGTGGTGCAATCATGGCTCACTGCAACCTCAAACCTCTGGGCTTAAACAATCCTCCCATCTCAGCCTCTCCAGTAGCTAAGACTACAGACACACGCCACCACACCCAGCTACTTTTTTTAAAAAAGTGTTATTTATTGTAGAGACCAGGCCTCGCTATGTTGCCCAGGCTGATCTGGAACTCCTAGCCTCTAGTGACTCTCCCACTTCAGCTTCCCAAAGCACTGGGATTAACAGGCATGAGCCACCACACCCGGCCCTTTTCTATAGTTATCTTTTATATATTAGCAGAATTTTCTCATATTTGCTCCCAGAAATTTTGTGTTAAATGTTCATTTTATAACTATTAAACAATCTTTTATGTTTTGGCTGAGAACATTTCACTTCTTTGTACTATACCTGGACCAGACTTGGTAGACAAATCAGAAAGTGTTGTTGTTGTTTGTTTTTATATAGTATTTTTTGTTTCTTAAATTTTAAGTTCAGAGGTATATTTGTAGGTTTGTTACATAGGTAAGCACGTGTCATGAAGGTTTGTTGTAAAGAAAGATTTTTCAAAGATTCTGAAGCAAAAAACATCACCTAAACATAGGCCAGGCACGGTGGCTCACGCCTGTAATCCCAGCACCTTGGGAGGCAAAGGAGGGAGGATCACGAGGTCAGGAGATGGAGACCATCCTGGCTAACACGGTGAAACCTCATCTCTACTAAAAATACAAAAAATTAGACTGGCGTGGTAACACGTGCCTGTAGTCCTAGCTACTCAGGAGGCTGAGGCAGGAGAATCACTTGAACCTGGGAGGTGGAGGTTGCAGTGAGCTGAGATCGCGCCACTGCACTCCAGCCTGGGCAACAAAGCGAGACTCCGTCTCAAAAATGAAAAACAAAACAAACACACACAAAAAAACTAAGTTAATTTATACTGAGTTTTCTATTTAAAATATAGAAATAGTCATCATTTATATGGAACCATATTACATAACATAATTTCATATGGAACTCTTTTGCAAGAAAGTCAATAGACTCTTTCATACCTATAACTAGAGATTCTAATGTGTTATACTGAAGAGAGGTTCAGGGCTCCAGAATAATAAGACACTTTCTCTGTCCCTTAGACTCCTATGCAGGATAAGGTGAATATACAATATGTATATGCACATACATGCGTTCACATATGTTTGTGTGTGAATACATGTACAAACTGCATATGAAGAATAAATGCAACTATAATTATGTTTTATAATTGGACTATGGAGTGGATACATTGTCTTATATACAAATAGGCCCATAATACTCATTGGTTGACACCTGAATGTTCTGCATGAATCAGTTCATCCACTTAGAGTGTGCATAATTCAATTTACAATGTCACCACCTGCAAGGACACGGTCAATTCAGGTATAGTCACAGTTCAAGGTTGTTTTGTTTGGGCATTTTGGTGGAAATTTAACATTAAGCAGGCAGGTCTAATTCCTGCTTATTCACTATAAATTAGAGTTAATAGTTATCACCTTATTCCCTGGCTAACATTTAATAGATATACAGCACTATACCAACTAACCACTTCACAGTACATATACATAATTTAAATAGGAAATAATTCTGAAGGTTTTCAGATGCCATAAGCAGCAGACCTAACTAGGTGATCTTTGAATTTTATTCTTACAATATTAGTATAATATGTTTCTTCTAAGATAAGAAAACAACTAGAAAATTTGTCATTAAAATTGCTCCAACCTCTAAAAATTCTTACACTTAAAACATTTTGCAGCCTAATTGACAAGGTTAGCATTTTATACAGGTCTATGTCTTCTAAACTATTATTGTGTTTTTGCAATATACTTATCAATTAATTGTGATAACAATTAAATTGGGTATTGTGGTACCAGAATTACAATATTACCATTTATGATTTCTTATATTTAGTAATTAAGATATTAAATGTTTTATCTCTGGCAAGAATATCCAAAGACCATCGACCATATTTTATCTCTGTCAAGAATATCCAAAGACCACATTACTATGTCCAAATACATAGTAATCTCTTAATCTTTTTCTTTTTCTTTTTTTTTTTTTGTTGAGGCAGAGTCTTACTCTCACTCAGGCTGGAGTGCAGTGGCACAATCACAGCTCAGTGCAGCCTCAACCTCCCTGGGCTCAGGTGATCCTCCTATCTCAGCTTCCCAAGTAACTGGGACTACAGGCACACGCCACCATGCCTGGCTAATTTTTAATATTTTTTGTAGATTCAAAGTCTCATTATGTTGCCCAGGTTGGTCTCAAACTCCTGGGTTCAAGTAATTCTCCTGCCTTGGCCTCCCAAAGTGCTGGTATTACAGGCATGAGAAATGAAGCCTGGCCTTTTAATCAATATTTTTGAAGCCATCACTGAAATTTAATTGAAAATATTGTTTATATTTTTGCATCATACTATAAAATATATGAATATAGGGAATCTTATTCATATGCAATGAAATATATATAATGTTTACAAAGAAAATATGAACAAATATTTTAAAATGAAAACTCAGGATTATAAGTATACACAAATACATTGTATGTTGATTTGCTCTTACTAATGGCTGCAAATTGGCTTCAATCTTCCTAGCTATTGTACTTAATTATAACATAATTTGATTGTCTCCAGACTCCATACTATTTTATACACAATCACTCAGAGCAGAGCATTCGACTCATCTTGGCTTTTTTTAACACCTCCACTTGTAGTCATGGCCTCTGCTTTACCATTATGTCAATACTTATGGTTATTTTCTGGACAAAGAAATATTCAGTACCAAAAGTGTATTTCTATCTTTACCTTTGCAAGATGGAAAACTGCTTGCATCTTTAAAGTAATAGTGTCTGTACTAGGTTTTTGTTTGTTTTGCTTGTTTTTCTTCTTTCTTTCCTTTCTCTCTGTCTCTCTGTCTCTCTCTCTCTCACACACACACACACACACATACACAGTGTGCTCACACACTCACACAAAGATTTCAAAGATTTTAAGAAAGCATCTCATCCAGGCCTCAAGTTCAAAGTGCCAGTTATTTGACTTCCCTGACAGAAGCCCCTGCAGAAAAAAAGAGCTTGTCCCAAACCCACAATCTGTAAATGGCCACCTCATTCTGAAGTGACCTCAGAGAAAACACCCCGATTCAGTGCACTGTCTTTTCCTTGGTTTTCTACCAGGTCTGCACTCTTCTCTTAGAATCAACCAGGATACCCTGGCTTGTTTTGGGGGCTAAAATGGGATGACTATTTTCAAGTCTTTATTTAGGCTTTATTTGGTTATTTATTTATTTAGGCTTTATTTATAAATGGCTTCCACATTTATATCTTTAGCCTAAAGCTCTCTATCCCATCACCATCTCCACTTAGATAATTAATAGACATCTAACACTGAATATGCTGATAAATGACCTCCCAGGGTTTCACCCTCCATTTCTGATGTCCCCATCTTGGTGAACGGTGGCATGTTCTTCAAGGTGCTAACCCACACACCTTTAAGTTATCCTTGCGTTATCTTTCTCCTTCACCTCACATAGAAATCCAGGACTTAGGACACAATTTCTTGCCTATAGTACACCAATAAATATTATTTCCTGCTTCGTCTCTTAGCTTTCCATCATCTATTCTGAACAGCAGTCAGATTCTCTGCCAAAAACCATCCATGTTTCCCTATCTCACTCAAGGTAAAAACTGAGCTTGCTAATACGACTTAAGAGACTCTACACAGCCTTATCCCAGTTATTACAGACCTCCTCTCCTCCCACGCCTCCTCTTAATCACACTTTCTGCAGCTACCCTGGCTCCCCTGCTATTCATTGAACATACCAGCATGCTCCTGCTTAAACAGTCTTTGTAATGGTTGTTTCCTCTGCCAGGAATACTCTTCCCCCAGGTTCTGTGTGGCTTGTTCCCTCATCCACTTCAAGTCTTTGCTCCATCTCTTTCTCATCAAGGCCACTCTGACCACCATAGTTAAAGCTGAAGACTCTGCCAGCACTCTCATGTCCCCTCCCCGTGATTGCCTTTGCGTTATTTCCATAGCATACTCCACCATCCAACATACTAAGGAATGTACTTATTTATTACTTTATTGTTTATTATCTGTCTCCTGCAATGTTACCTCTGCAAGGAGAAGGAAATGTGTCTGATTAAGTCAAATGAAGTAACACGAGAGTGAGGGTATCAGACACATATATAGTAGACAGCATAAATGTTCCTTAAAGGAATATATTATCATCAGGCTTTTAGATCTGTATGTCTTACCAAAAACAGACAAGCTATGTTATTAAAGTTTAGATTTTCTAGAAACATAAATATCTTCAGCATTTATCTATTCTAGTTGTTTACTAGTGTAAACATTTAGTTTTTAAGGTATATTATCCCCACCAACAAGAGGCAAAATAAATAAATAAATAACAAAAAACTCAGCAATTGTGGAAATTAATCTTAAATTTTAGCTTATTCTATGGTTAAAAACAATTGCAAAAGGAAAACTCAAAACTTCCTTTAATGGAACACAAGGATAGATTAAGAAAAAATACGGTAGAACTAAAATTTCCATAAAAGAGCAGACATGTTTTCTTATGGATACCAGATCAGGGAGGGTAAGTTGGAGGTAAAATAGAGAAGATGAAGACAATATTTACTGAGTACCATGTCAGGAACTGTGTTAGAAATTTTATTTCATATTGCATTATTTTTCAAATCAAGCAGTTTAGTTTTAAAAGAATAATACATGTAATGGTACAATGTTCTAAAGGTATAAAAGAGTATACCCTAAAAAGTAAGTCTCTCTCCCATCTCGACACCTGCAACACATCCAGTTCCTCTCCCTGGAGGGAAAAATTGCAACCTGTTTTTCCTGTAACCTTTTAGAGATGAATCTATGCACATACAGATGAAGGTATCTGTGCATATTTACATATCTGTACAAAAATGATCATTGATTCCTACTTCAATATGAGAAAATCAACTCAGAGGGTTTAAATGACAATCCTATGATCACTCAGAGAATAAATAACAGAGCCAGGATTTGAGCTCATACCTGTCTACATCTAAGCCCGTACCAAAGAAAAAAATCTCAAGTATTTCACCCAAGACTTCTGAGAAAATTTACTTGTCCTTCATAGAAGCACTTTTCTTTCATTTGGCAGCTGGTAAAGAAGTAGACTATTAAGACACTGTATTCTTTTTCAGAAAATTATTTTGAAACCAAAGCTGAGATAAAGGTCTATAAGACAGACCCGATGGTCAAATGGTTAAGTCCTCATCTATGTCAGAAAGAAAGACAAGTTACCAAAAAGCTGAGTTTTTTTTTTCCCTCTGGCCTATGTGTAAAAGCCATTTAGTCAGAAAATGTTGATTTAAATCCTGATCAGAAAATTTTTAATTTTGTTTAAAGCTCCAGATCTCTCTTTGATAAGTACATTGACCTACCATGCTAATAACTCAAGGAGAAAGGAATATGCACAGAATCTGCTATGAAGAAAGCGATTTTCCTAATTTCAACTATGAGTCTAATTTAAAGGGGTAAACTCAGAAATTAATATTAAAATCTTCGGAGCTTTCAGTATAATAGCTCATTTGTGCTATGTTTCTGTATAACTCATATATTCAGTCCCAATATTAATCTACTTGGGTATCCATTTCATTTATTAAAATTATGTT
The DNA here is from genome assembly GCF_000001405.40 of Homo sapiens. Taxonomy (NCBI): domain Eukaryota; kingdom Metazoa; phylum Chordata; class Mammalia; order Primates; family Hominidae; genus Homo; species Homo sapiens. The sequence goes on from NC_000002.12 coordinate 182,347,487, forward strand.
TCCCTCCCTCGTAATCTCCTTTAATAACATACTTTCTTTGCCTCTGGTACAATCATGGATTGAAATCTTTGTTAACTGTAGCATGAATTCTGTCCTTGGAACATTGTTTTTTTGTCCACGTATTGAAACTCTCCAATGCATATCAATTGCCTAATTTAAGACAGGTGCCATGCTAGATATTGTGCAGTAAGAATGAATACGGTGAATGCTCCATTTTCAAAGAAATTGCCAACTGCTAGAAAAGACAAGAATGTATATAAATAATTATAGTGCAAAGCCATAGAAGAGATATAAACAAAGCACTATGTGAGCACAAAGTTTTGAGTATTCATTTTAACAGAGAGGATCAGAAATAGCTTCATGAAGGAGGAGCATAAAAACTGAAAATTAAAAAGGGTTTATGCTAGTTGAGGGGAAAAGTAAAAGAAAAAAATAGAATGGTAGTACAGCGTTTTCTTTGAAAGAAGCAACACGTAGTTTTGGGGAAAAAGGATTTGTAATGCTATCCACAAATGAAGTGACACATTTAAGTCAATTACCCTCCTAGAGATTTGAGAAGACTATTGCACTTAAACTCACCCATACTATGCTGATGTAAAACCAGCCAGCATTTTTGTCATTTATTTGGGACCTACTACTTGGCTATAATCACAGATCTTTAAGAAAAATAATGTATCCCTTAAATTAAGGATTTGCTTTATGTTAATAGTCTTTAATAAGCCAGTATGGGCAAAGGAAAGTAAACAAAAAGTAGAAAGATGCCATTTCTCCATTTTGTGTATGTTGCCAGGAATCTTCAGGAACTTAGGCAGATTGTTAGACTCTTTCAGTAAGAGGAACTAATCATGCTTAAGAGAAAAGTGGTAGATAGAGAAGGTGAATGGGGCCATTGAACATGTATAGAACAATTCAGGATTCTGTGACCTCTGACTTTACGGATATCCATTACTTATAGGAATCAGCCCACATCACCTAACAGGAAGGCCATAAATTCCCTAGAAAAGATTTCCTCCCATATTCTCTCATGGTTCAGGGAATTTCTCCTGGTTCTTCGCACATGTTCCAGCTATTTCTCCTGTCTTTGACACATCTTAATAAGTGTCACATCTATACATGTATAGATTACATGTATCCAATTGATTATTTGGACTCTATGCTATCCTGTCCATTTCATTTCATTCCATTTCTTTGATCCATAAAGTAGTTCTTAGTTCATCTTAGCTCTATGTTTAGCTACACTCCCAGTTGCATCCCTGGATCTCAAAACCTTACCTTGTGACAGAGCTTTGGGCTACTAGATGTCTGAGAGGGTAATTGAACCTTATTCTAAATTTTTAGTTCAAATTGTTCTGTACTTTCCTCTACTAAAACAGATTGAGCTAGACGGTTTTGTCTGTGGATAGAGGAAAGAACTCAAGACAGAAAAGGCTGTGTAAAGGAGGTGGGACAGTTTGAATTTCCGTAAAAAGTGTTACTATAACACCAAAATAAACTAATCTGTTCTGATAAATGTTATATTAATAGGCATCTCCAATAAGGATCTAGGTAGAATAAAATGTCATTGCTATAGTGATTTCAGTCTCAGGAGAATTGAAAATAACTCAAGGGTACGTACAGACCAGACCTTTGACTGCTAAGTTTATTTAGTTAGAAAGCTCTTTGCTGTGGATGCCAGGAGAAGTATTTCAATATACTGAAGATTACAAAATGGAGGTCACTGAGAAAAAGGGAAGCCTCTGTGGGTGAACAACTTAATTTTTTAACTACCATAAATAAACAGGATAAACATAGAATCTGTCTGAAAAAGACACACTTTCCATTTCTCTTTGCCAAAATCAAATACTGGCCTCCAACTGTGCCAGCATAGGTCAGCAAAGTAACATGGCTGTTGAGTTCTTGGGATCTTAACTACAACAACAAATTGAATGGAAAAGCTTTTCAGTAACAAGCATTTATGTTTAGATTTTGTCATGTTTTTTATTTTTCTTGGTCAGAGACCAAATTGGTGGAATTTTTAGTAGTGTTTATGACACTGAAAGGCACGTGAAATTTCTGTAAACCATCAATCTTCTGATTAGAAAGATTAAGATTTGTCAAACTGCATTCCTTCCCAAAGTCATAGCCTTCTAGACATGGTACTTGATCTGAAAATTAAAACACAAACATCGGAGGCTGAGGCAGGAGAATCGCTTGAATCCGGGAGGCGGAGGTTGCAGTGAGCCGAGATTGCACCACTGCACTCCAGCCTGGCAGCAGAGTGAGACTCCATCTCAAAACAAAAACAAAAACAAAAGCACACAAACATAAAGACACACGCAAACAGAGATTAAAAGAAAAGATAGCCTAAGCCTCTGGAGGGTAACAGTAGGCGAGTAGCAGTGAATAGAAGAATGCAAGATTTTTTTACTACTGTATTTTTTTTAACTTTTTATTGACATATAACATACATACAGAAAATGCACAAATCTTAAGTTACAACCTGATGAGCTTTTCTAGATTAACACTGGCTCCCAGATTAAGAAAGAAAATATTATCAGGACACTGAAAGTTCCATTTATTCCTCTTTCAGTACTTATCCTGCCCCCACCGAGTGTAACCATTACTGTGACTTCTAACACCACAGTAACTAACACCATAGATTAGTTCTGCCTATTTTTAAAATGCATATACATGAAATTACACCGTGTGTACTCTTCTGTATTTGGTTTCTCTGATTCAGCATTATCTTTGGGAGATTAATGTATCTTGTTGTTTGTGGATGTACTCTGTTTCCAGAATTAATTGTGCATTTGGATGATTCTCAGTATTGGGCTATGAGAGATGGAACTTCTGTGAACATTCTTGTACATGGCTTTAGATGAATGTATGCATTTCTATTAGATATTTTCCTTGGAGTGGAATTGCTGGGGATGCTTATATCCTGTGTGCTAGCTATCGTATCTTTATTTGAGAATAAGCAGAAGTAGTTTCTCACAAAGAATGGCTACATACAAGGTCAGTTATAGAATGTACAGGTTACAGTGCAAAATAAAAATGCAAGGCCCCTTTTTAAAAAGCAGGAAAAAAGTGCAGTTCAAGGTATAAAGTTTTTTTCTTTCTTCCATGATGTTTTTCTTGACTTGTCATGATGATTTTTAATTGCTATATAATTATATTCTAAGTAAAGAAAAGCTCCAGATTCCTCATTCACAGTCAAGAAGAGTGGTGTGTTCAGACTCTAGGAGGACATTTCCAGTTATCTCCATGGACTTCTCATCTGTAGAGTGGGGCATGGCCAGAGCAGTGCCAGAGAAGGGACCAAGGTAGAGTCCCCCAGGACCCAGCTATAGGGACAGTACTGCCCCCACCCTAGCTACTACCAATATCACCCTCACACGTTGACTCACCCACCTATCATTACTCCCTGCCCTATAATATTCTGCTCCCTGATTTTCTTTATCTCAAAGAAAGGCTCTAGTTGTTACCACTCTGTAACTTTTATAGCTTCTCTTTGTTTTTATGAACTATGATAAATGCAAGTTTGGCTTATGGTAAAAGATGTTTTTGCTTGTTCTTGTTTCAGCAGTATTAACAGAAAGCACACTGAGCAACAGAACGTGTTCTTGGGATAATTTGAAGAAAAATGCTTTTGATATAAGCAGACCCTGTCTTCTAGGGACTCTAGAAATAATTTAATTAAACTCCAACTTTGCCTCGCAGCACTTGAGGACTACAGACAATTTTGTCCTCTTAGTTCATTGCTTCTACAGCTTAACCTGTGTTTCCCAAAGTAGTCATCTAAATTTCCATTTTTTAAATAGATGTAAATGTGGATAAATGCTTACACCTTCTGGTACATTAACAATGGGTACAAGTAAGGGGTAGTTTCTAGTCATTTGTTTTTATCCAAATGTCTCAAACTGATGAAATCCAATTTCTTAGAAGATAACTACGAAAATTGTAGGCTGATTAGACACATTTTGCAGCTATCTTTTAGGACCTGATTATCAAGCTGGAAGTGGGGGAAAAGCAGTACCAATTTAGAGTATCAACACTGAAGAAAACATTGAATAAGAGATGAAAATATTCCGACAGGGTGATATCAGAGAATGTCATTTTTCATCACAAATTTGGAATACTTTTCCATGCATGTCACAAACCAATCATTTCAACTGAGGTGTTTCAAGTGTCAGCGTTGGCACTTTACCGTGACATTTGTGATCAATCATAGCAATCTGTACTCACTTCTGAAAGTAAAATCACAGCCAACACTCTATCATCCCTGTTCTGTTGTGCAGACAAACTTTACTGAGCCATAAAAGGTTATTTTTTAAGGCAACGGATCTGAACCATAATTAATTGATGTTAATAATCCACTTGATGCTGAAGTTCTAGAGCATTATCTGGATTAAGAAAATAGGTAGATGCATATTAACAGTTTACCATATACACATTCAGTTAGTCATATGCCAAAAATGTATAAGAAATATGCACACATACCCACCTAAAATAGAGTCATGCATGTCAAAACATTTGTAATTTTCACACATAAAGATGTTATGAGATACAGACCTTCATGGGTCTCTTCATTCCTACATGTGCTGCCGTGTGTGCACCAAGACTGTGGAACCACAACCACTTTTTACCCAGGCTACTTCTCACATTATGTTTGCTTCAAGCCACCTTGAGGGATGAGGTAATGTTTCCCATTGGGACAAAGAGCAGGCTTGCCTACTGTTCACGGTGTAAAATGGGTTCCCAAGCCCAGTGTTCCTCAACTGTGATGCAAAGCCACTGCATGAGCAGTGTCCACCTGAGTCTATGTCACATTGCCCCTGTGGGACTTGAGGACAAGAAGAATCCATGCACATGTTGATACTCATGCTGCTTGCAGTGCTGTGCACAAGTAGAGTTTTGCTTCTGAACCCAGGAGCCTTATGCCTTCTGCCAGCATCCATGATGCCTTAAAAGGCTAACTTCTTGGCTTCTAAGAAGGGTTAAATCTATTCTACAAAAATGGGGCTCAAATATAAAATACTGAAACAAAATAAAAATGAAATATTAAAAAAGAAACTAAGAAAGGGAAGAAAGAGGAAATAAACCAATAAAGAAAGGAAAGGAATAAACTACTTTATGGACATCAACACAAGGACATCCAATTTACTGGAAAGTGATGCTCACTCTGTTGTTTTTTTTTTTTCAGTTAATTTTCCTCTTAATTGTGTGGGCATTCTGCCCATTTGCTAGCTGGACTAAAAGAGTTGCCTACAGTAGCTGACTTGATGTGTGGCAGAAAGCATTCATTTTAGATAAGATTTTGTAAACAAAACACAACTGTTGCATTCAATTAAGCAGTGAATACATTTCATCTTGAGTCATAGAAACTATCAGCCAATCGTGCTTCTAAACTGAGAACTTGAAAATCATTAAAAAAAATAAATCAACAATTTGACCCAGTGTATCTCAAATATGTGAGACATACATAAAAATTCAATACTTTAACATCTCATTTCATTTGGGCTGGGCCTAAGAGTTCAATGAGATAACTATAAAGCAGAGCTAGTTAAATATAAACATCTGGATAAGCAAAAATGTAGCTTGACAACTACTATCACAATTACATATGGAAAAGTCACGTATGGATTTTACAGCTGCAAGCTAAAAAACAGACACTTGCTCATGGCAAAGTAGACAGGCCCAGTAAGTGAAATTATGTTCTGTTTCGTCTGTCTTCTAAAAATTAATCTGCTAATTGATTATTTGGACCATCAGCACTTATCAATGGCAGCAGCTTTATTGCTTTTGCTAAATCCAGAATTATTTGGTGTGAAATGCATATTATAAAAAACAAATACAAATATACTTATGAAATGCAAATGTAGGCTCACTTATTGATTGCTCTAAATCTGAATATTATACATGTTCTAACTCTTTCACCTCTATTCTGAGGTATAAACAAAAAACAGTTCACTAACTTGCTAGGAATTTTTCTTTGCTTGGTATTTCACAGATTTTGATGTTTTGTTATAGCATTATCTGTGGAAAACAGATAGAAAAATAAGGTAATTTCATAAGTTCCCTTCTAATTCTAAGACACATAATTTTATAGTTCTAAATTCATGTCTACAGCATGCACAAATACACATATTGAAAGGAAACAATGAAAATTTTATATTTAATTAGAATGGGAATTAAAATAAAAGTTTATATTTGTAATATAAAAACCTATCTGTTTCAATTCTGTGAGATCGAGCACAGGGTAAACAGAATAAAATACTCACTACATTAAGATGTCAGTTAATCAGTATGGTTGAAAATTGGAATTTCTGAGTACCTAAATTCTCTGGTTAAATAATGGATCTAATTTTCACTTATTAAACTTAATCTAATTTTAATAAATCTAATTATATGGTGATTCCAAGAAGTAGTATATAGAAACCTGCATTTCAGAAACTCTTCTTGAGTGGCTATAATTTTATCAGTAAATCTATGTACTGTATACCTTTGAAAATATATCACTTTGCAACCATAAGACTTTAGTCTGATAACCAAATTGTCAACCACACTTTCACGAACGAGATCTCCTGAATACATAAAGTATTCACGTAAAGATGATACACAAAGATGACATGGAGTAGAACCCCCTGCCAATCTTCAACTGATAATTGACACCCAGTTTAAGCAAGAAATAAATTATGTTTTTTAGTCCACTGAACTTTGAAGGCTGTTTGTCACTGCAGCATAATCAATCCTATCCTGAATACCATAATTCTCATCAGAAACAAATGCCCAGCTATTTTGTACTACATGCAATGTCACACTGGTGACTGTCAGTAGACATTCCACCACTATAGAATCTACCCATCCGAAATATTTGAAAGCGAGAACAGGGGCACATCCTATCAATCCTGTAGTTTCCCCTTAAATTAGGAAGATAACAAGCCAGTTTTATTCACAGGAAAATCACGTTTTCTGCCTTAAGGTTGCATTCCAAATCAGGCTTTACTGACAACCATCTGGATGCAAGTCAATCATTAAAAGTTGATTATAGCTATTCATGATTTTTCACAGTAAGTGTCAGAACAACTTGGCAGATAAGGGCACTGTCTTCACTTTAAGAGAAAATCCACAGTGAAAAACATCTATGGCAACAAGTGCTTGAGAAAAGACCTATTTGTGAACAAATAAATGTGCTCAGGTTTTTGATGGATAAAGGGGAAAAATTAATGTAGCTTTTAAACACAGAAAAATATTTAAAGGTGGACATTTAATAAATAGGTTATATGTCAGATAACATTCAAATATTAGTACCTACTATTACTTTAAAGACCATTTTTAAAAGAACGCTGGAACCTTAGACCAGAGGTTCCTAATTATAGGTTTGTTGATCAGCTTTATCAGTATGACTTTGGGGTAAGGGTACTTTTTAATAATAGGTTCCTGGACCCTGTCCAACATAATAAAGTGAACCAAAGTATTTTTAATAAGGTTCCTAGAGAACTTTTGATCCATAATTAGTGATGACTATTATAGCCAGCATGTATTTGAAGTGTTAATGCACTTCACTTAATGGAGTATTTATTTTACAATTCCCCTGATACAATAAGAGATAAGTTGAGGCTTTGTATTTTAATGGACATTAATATTTAATATTAGCCAATCTTTCTCATATACACAAGAAAACATAATTAAATAAAAAAGAAATGTATATATGTAAATATTCTATTGCCAGTTATATCAATTGCTGAATTATACTAAAATAAATATGGCCACTCTTACCATTAAGACTTAGCAACATATCCCTATCAACAGTTAAAAACAAATCCATTTCTGAATTTGTTTTGATACTCACAGTATAAAGAAGACAGTAAGTGTAGGTACATAAACATATTTTCAAATGACTCATATTTGTAAAACCTTAGGCAAAATAATTATAATTTAAAAATTTTAAATTTTAAAATATTTAAATTTTATGCTATTTTGATTTCATAAAATAAACCTAAGTTTGAAGATAAAATTGTAACACTATGAAACACTCCAGATAATACTTCAATCTTATTTATAAATAACTGGATTTTATCTCTATATGTTTTATGTAGCTATTATTACAGCCAGAGTGTGCCATATCTCATCATACATCTGAATTTTACATGTATCCATTAATATAAAAATTATTGCTATTGAATTCTAATTTTCTAAAGCATTTTTTTCCTAAAAATAGTTTCATGGTAAAATTTTTAAAAAGGCTTTTAATTAAGGTAGAGTTTTGGCAGCAATGCTGTTTCTATGACAACTCATAATTCCAGTTTAGTTCCTTCAATGTAATATTAAAAGTTAACAACTCTAATTGAGAACACATTTAATGAAATTTTAGGCTTTTGATTTAAAATGACTCTCTCCTTTAAAATAATTTGTCTGAAATATTTTCATTTGCATTGAGTTATAGGGACCTGAAGAGAAACTACGTTTGCTTATAATTTTTGAGTTGTTTATATTCTAGAATAGGAAAGTCTAAGTTGGATAATAGTTTCTAGCATGCAAGTGTTGCACAACTTTCAGGCAGCTACAGGTCAGTTTGATTGTAACAAGAGCTTTTGAATTATTCTGCTGAGTGCTGATAATAAAAAACAATTAAACTATACCAAAATGAAAAGATGTTTTGCAATGTTACTAAAATTCCAAAGAAAGAAGACTTAAAGTGGTGTGCAGTGGCTCATGTGCATAATCCCAGCACTTTGGGAGGCTGAGGCAGGAGGATCACTTGAAACCAGGAATTCAAGAAAGAAGACATTAGTAGTGACTAGGGAATAGTTTAGTAGCACAAGTCTAGTTAGTGAAAAAAAATCAAAAGATTACATGACCTTGTGTCTATATACTATGTTACAAAACTTTTTCCATCTAAGTTTTAAAACGTAAAATCGTATATTAAGAATTTTTATTAATGTCAATTAGTAATTATTAATGTATTAATATTAAAATAGAGATTTCTCATTGCTGTCTTATGATCTAATAATTTTTATGAAAAGTGGTTCTCAGCACTTTGGGAGCCCGAAGCAGGCGGATCACTGGAGCTCAGGAGTTCAAAACCAGCCTGGGCAACATGGAGAAACCCCATCTCCACAGAAAATACAAAAATTAGTGGGGTGTGGTCCCAGCTATGTGGGAGGCTGAGGTGGGAGAATCTCTTGAACCTGGAAGGTGGAGGTTGCAGTGAGCCAAGATGGCGCCACTGCACTCCAGCCTGAACGATAGAGTGAGACTGCCTCAAAAAAAATTAAAAGCACTATTCACAATAGCAAAGACTTGGAACCAACCCAAATGTCTAACAATGATAGACTGGATTAAGAAAATGTAGCACATATACACCATGGAATACTATGCAGCCGTAAGAAATGATGAGTTAATGTCCTTTGTAGGGACATGGATGAAGCTGGAAGCCATCATTCTCAGCAAACTATCACAAGGACAAAAAACCAAACACAGCATGTTCTCACTCATAGGTGGGAATTGAACAATGAGAACACTTGGACACAGGAAGGGGAACATCACACACCGGGACCTGTTGTGGGGTGTGGGGAGCGGGGAGGGATAGCATTAGGAGATATACCTAATGTAAACGATGAGTTAATGGGTGCAGCACACCAACATGGCACATGTATACATATGTAACAAACCTGCACATTGTGCACATATACCCTAAAACTTAAAGTATAATAAAAAAATTAAAAGAAAAAAGAAAAAAAGAAAAGTGATTCTTAAAAAATAAAGATTCAATGAACTACAGAGAGAGAGAGAGAGCAAGGAGGAAGGAAAACAAAAAAAAACAAACAAACAAAGAGAGAAATGGGTAAAGGAAAACCAGAAGGGAGAGAGAATAGGACTGGTAGTCTGAACACGTAGATGACATCAATATTTTCAACCATCTCTGAAATCAGTTCATTGCTGTAAGTCTTCCTAATGTATAGGGAAAAGCTTAAAAAACAGTATTGCATGGATAATCACAAATTCATTGACCTTTCTTTAGAGGAGGAAGTCAACCTACAATATTCCAAGACTGAGCTGTACTTGGTTATTTTACTGCCAACAGATTTTGAGCATTGCAGAAAGTGTGTTTATTTATTTATTTATTTATTGGCTATTAGGATCATTATTATTTAAATAAGAATATCACTATTTCACATATATCAAATCCCAGCAGGAATAATTAACATTAGTAATGTCTGGTGAAAATACTATGAGAAATTTTAACTAAAAATGATAAATTTTAAAAATTGTGACTTCGTCACCAATTCTGTTGTATTCTGAATAATATTGGGTTCCAGACTTGATTTTAATTTAAATTGCTCCATAATGCCTTTCAAAGGCAGCTCCACTGAGTTAAGGCACATGCCTCAAAGAAATAAATGGACTTTTATCAGTAGATCATGAAATATATGTTAGATTTATAAGCAGTTTGTCCCAAGCTACCATGTGGCTCCACTGATGCCTGCAGATCAAGGTAGGGAAGTCAGCACCCACTTCCTTGTGATGAGCTGTGTTGCAGTTCTTGCCTCTAAGTGGATGACTATCTCTTGGTTGGCTCTCAACCATTTCTCAGCCACCTTCCATTTTCTAGGCTTGTGTTTTGGGTGGACATGATTGCACCCTTCCTCACTTAAAGTTATCTTTTTAGGGACGAATCCGATGATACCACCTTTTCATGTAATCCTGTAATGGCTTCATAGTGTTCGTATGTTAGGGTTCTGGAAAGCCATGGATAGCCTGATTCTAATCTTCCTTTCCATATTTATCTCCCTCTACTCAGCCACTCTCCCTCAAGGTTCACTTAACCAATCACTACTTCTTAAATTTACCTTGTGTTTTATGTCCCCATGCCTTTTCTGATGCCCTTACATCTGCATACTTTCTAAATCTTTATATGCATCAGGAAACTTCCTTTTTGAAGTTTTGTCTAACCCAACTAATCAGAATTAATCTTGCCTCCTTTGTGCTGTTCTGCATTTATGTTTTTCATCCCTTATCTATTATCTTCTTTTCCTAGACACCGTGTTTTTCTCCATTGGTATCATCTCTGTGCCTCCTCTAGCACTTTGTTCAGATTTATTTCACAATATTTATCATGCTATATTATAGTTGCATCTGTATCTTGCTGTTTTCCTATTACACTACGAGTTTTTTGGTAGCAACAATATTCAGCTAATAGCTAACATTTTTTGAAGGCTTACTAAGCGACAGGCAGGATCCTAAGCAATTTACATACATAAATCCATTTGATTCTCATAACAGTCCTAGAAGGTTAGACTATTATTATCCCCGTGTTACAGATGAGGAAACTGAAGGAGAGGCAAGTTAAGTAATTTCCTGAAAGTTTTGTTTCTTGTTATTAGAAGAGATGGCATTCAAACTGAGGCCATCTGACTCCATAACCCTAGTTATTTAACTAATTTGCTACACTGCTTGTCCTTTCATCTTCCTTCCATTCCCTTTCTTCCTTCCCTTCCTTCCTTTCCTTCCTTCCTTCCTTCCTTCCTCTGTCCTTTCTTCATTTCTTCCTTTTATTCTTTCTTTCCTTTCTGACTTTACAATACTTACTATAATTCCTAACATGTAGCTGTGGATGTTTCTTGAACAAGTTAACATTGTTTGAACATGTGTAAGTCTTTGGGAAAGGTAGGCACAGCTTCTTCCCAAGCAAACTCTTTAAAAGTTTAATAAATCTAAGTTAACTTTACATAAACAGTTCTGCTTCCTTAGTTTGAAACTGATAATAACCAGAATCCATTTGAAGCAAAATTTAAGTACACTCTTTCAGAGCACACTAACTCACTTAGTGGATAGTCTCTTAAAAAGCAAACTCAAAATGACCATGTTAAAACTTGTAATAAATAACAGTAATAAATCCCTCCATCCGATTCTTGATAGGTTTTATTGAGCGACTTTATAACGTAAAACTGCTTTTAGAGAGGACAAATTTACAAGCTCTTAGCTGACACATCAATGATTTACGTAAATGACTTTTTCAGTTTTAAATCAGTTTCTGGGTCTAAGAATTTGGATGCCTAAGTATACAACTGTACTAATGCATTTCCCTCGTTTGAAACATCATTTTCATGCATCAGAAAGATTATTGATGTCATTTTAATGAAGTATTTTTTTGTTTGACATCCACATCAGTATAGTAAATGAGTAGTTAAGATCTGTATGGGATTGTATGCCATAGAAACACTTTATGTCACTGAGACTAAAGCTCCCAGCGGTCAAGAAAAGTAACAGGGAAAAGGTTACAGAAGGCATTTTCCCATGAGCTTCTATTCCCTGCATTCATAAACCTTCCTGTCTGAGGAAACTCAGATGATCACACCACACCAAACATTAGCCGGCAAAGAAGGGCAGGCTTATCTTGAGATTGCCAAGGAATGACATGTTTATTTAGCTTTGTTTCTTGAAGATGGTCCAACGATTTTATACAGTTCAAACCTGCAATTTCTAAATTCTATAGAGCCCTCAAAATGGAACCCAAATACCATGAAGAAAATGCTACAAAAGTTTTAATGTAGCATTCCTCTTTCTCCCAATGATTATTCTATGAAAACTACACACTTAAAATGCATGACTCTGGGCTCCTTTTCTTTCCGGATTACACCAACTCCAGACACAGACTTTGACACTGTTTTGGAACATTTAACATAGATACGACTTCTGGAGAAGACGTGATGAATTACTACATTTCCTAGTACACATTTGTTTGTGATTAATCTTAGATTTCATTATCTGATGTGGAAGAACTGTTGTGTTTTACATGTTTTAAAATATTAACTTCTTTATCCCAGACTTTTAAATTCGTATAATCTCATCCATCACTCACAGAGAGTGAGGCAATCGGATTTGGCAAGTGTCCCCGTTTAATCTAACTCAGTTTAGGAGCTAACTATAGTATACTTAGGAAGTCACTGTGAGCGGGGCAGGGAGACCTCACTGGAACACTCTGAATTGCAAGACCAAACATAGGGATAGAAGGATCCCTTATTCATGTTAGGTTTGTCTCCATATGAAGCAGTTTAGTGTTTTTTTTTTTTTTTTTCGTAACTTAAGATTGGTTTAACCATTAGACACAGTGGGCATAGTGCCCAGGGCCTATGACGCATGTAGAGACCTGCAAAAATATTCTTATTTTAATTTCCTTTAAAATATGACGACAAAGTGAATATAATAGTAATGTATATATTCAAATCAATCCCACCTGCATTTTTAGAAGTTTTTTTTTTCCCCCTATGGTGGAAGGGGCCCATGAAGGCAAAAATGCCCATGGCCCAACAAGTCATAATTCAGCCCTGTACTCAGTTGATCTGCTGTATGGATTCTTGACAAGTTTTAAAATATTACTTGTAAACAAGTCCTGGGTCCTCAAGTTACAAGTTATGTCTATTGGACAAATCACTTAACCTCCCTGAGCCTCAATTTATTTATCTGTAAACAGGAATAATAATAATAAAGGCTTATTTGTCTGGCATTCTTCTAGATACATTATTAGCATTACCTCATTTAGTCCTCCAACAACTTGGGAAAGGGTTGAGTAAATGAGACAGACACTGCAATCACCATTACACACCGGCCGAAACTAAGGATCAGAGGTCTGATCTGATTCCCCCAAGTACTTACAATTAGTGAGTGATAGTGTAAAGATCTGAATCCAATCTGATTTTAACACTTGCTTTTTTCTAACATCACTATGAGGATTCTGTTATTAACATGATTATTTTTACATGTGTACATAGTACATGTGAAATAATGTTAGATATACGTAATGCATAGTGATCAAATCAAGGTATTTGGGGTATCCATACTGTGAGGATTAATAGGCAAAAAATGTGATCTCTAAACACCTAAGTATCATTTAAATATAAAGTATTTAATTGCAAATGATACTTGCTTTTGCTAACATTTTTTCCCCAAAGGATTTGTAAATCTAAACATGAGAGTTGTATTTAGATGAAACTACTTGTTTGTCTAATAGGTTTTATTCAAATTTATGAAAGGATAGCACACAGCTAAATATTTAGAGGATAAGGAAAAAATATGAATGGCCAGGTTTCCTTTAATTTCTACACACACAGTTCAGCCTCATATCTCTGTGTATATTTTTTTAGTCATAACCATGCACATTTTATGAGGAAATTGATAGTAAATCATCAAATTATGTTTTAAATTGCTCACAAAACAGCTGGATCCCTTAAACATTAATTTAGCAGGGAACACAGCCACTTTAATAGGAAAATGTTTAAGAGCTACATCACACTTTTTTCGCACTTTTTATCATGAGGAAATCTTAGTTGGGAAAAGGCAGGTCAGGCACTAACACTGGTAACATAAGGGAACCAAAATTCCCTTGACTTTTCTAGATCCAGGGAGGCTCCTGCTTTTCCCCAACTGCCAAGTTCTTTGATTGAGGACATAGCAGTGGCCAAGCCATCTACCAAGCAAAAGGAACAGTTTCAACTGCAGGTCAGAAGAAACCCCACAGAATCGTTACTATCCTAGAATGCTGGTTGTGTAAAGAGTTTGCTTTAGCATCGGTTTTCATTTTATGAAAGAAAAAACAAAGGCCAGGTTGGTGAGGTGAGTTGAGATTAGTGGCAGAATTTGCACTAGAATTCAGATGTTTGCTAGTCTGGTACTTTCTTCATAATAATATGAAAAGTATTAGCAAGAAGAACATGTATTCATTCTGCAAATCAATCCAGAAGACCAATGAAATTATACCATTTACAGACTTATCAGTTAAAGAAGGATGTCCCCCAGGCCTTTTTGTTGGATAAACATTTGTAATCTTATTAAAAATTACTGGAAACCATAGTAGTGTCAGCAGTAGCACGGGAAAAAAGTAGAAATAGAACAGAAATAAAATAAAATAATGTACGGTAGCCATCTCACACTAAGACAGGAACAGGTGATTACAAAATTTAAACAATAATAGACAATTATAAGAATAAAAAGTGACCAACTGTCCTGGCCTGCACAGGGCTGAGAGGGTTCCCAGGACAAAGGACTTTCATGTTAAAACCAAGAAACTCCCATGCAAACTGGCACAAAATGCCTAATATATTGTTTCTCTTTAAATTGTCAATTTACCTTTTATCTTCCTTTTATTTTCAAACTTATCTATAAAAATGTGGTTGTTGTTGTGGAAGACAATGTAGTGATTCCTCAGAGACCTAAGAAATACCATTCAACCCAGCAATCCCATTACTGGGTATATACCCAAAGGAATATAAATTGTTGTATCATAAAGACACATACATGCACTATTCATTGCAGCACTATTCACAATAGCAAAGACATAGAATCAACCTAAATGCCCATCAATGATAGACTGGATAAAGAAAATGTGATACATATACACCATGGAATACTATGCAGCCATAAAAAGGAATGCGATCACGTTCTTTGCAGGAACATGGATGGGCCTGGAGACCATTATCCTTAGCAAACTAACACAGAAACAGAAAACCAAATACCACAGGTTCTCACAAGTGGGAGCTAAATGATGAGAACACATGGATACATAGAGGGAAATAACACACACTGGGGCCTATTGGAGGATGGAGGGCAGGAGGAGGAAGAGGATCAGGAAAAATAACTAAAGGGTACTAGGCTTAATACCTGGGTGACGAAATAATCTGTACAACAGATCTCCATGACACCCGTTTACCTATATAACAAACCTGCTCATGTACCCCTGAACCTGAACTTAAAAGTTAAATTTTAAGAAAAGAAAATGTGGTTGTTAACATTTAGTAACTAATAACATGCATATATGTTCCTATACAAAATAGAGAAAATAAAACAAGATAAAAATCCCTACTTCAAAGACATTACGTTCTACTGGAGGAGAAAAGAGAGAATATAAATACAATGAAGTATATGATATATTAGAAGATTCCAAGTGTTATTGAAAAAAAATAGAAGAGAGACATAGAGTTGATCCAGGGTAGCAACTTTAAGTACGATAGCCAGAGAAGACCTTTCTAAGAAGGTGAAATTTGAATTTAGATGTGAAGGAGGTAAAAGAATGAGCCATGTGGATGTCTGGGAAAAGTGTGTTCCAGGCAGAGGGAGTAACACACGCCAAAATTCTAAGTGGTGATGAAGCTCTATTTGTTTGAGGAAGAGTGAAAATTTATTGCAGCTGGGGACAGAGTAAAAAGAAAAAAGGCTGCAAAAGGCATTTGAATTCTCCAATACCATTTTCTGCATCATGCAGTGCTGAGTACAGCATTGACTATGGAGTGGTTTCATAAGGAGGGATGAGAAAGTAATGCTACTACATTCTAGAGTTAAGTTTCTAGAATTAGAAATTAACAAGGCAATAGTCTCAATAAAAGATGTGTACCACGAACTATGCATATAAGATTTTAGAGGCTCAGAACGTATAGATGGAAATAGATAGAAAGAACAAGCCATGGTACAGATCATGCCACCTCCAGATTGAAAGGTATATCATCACCAAGTCAGCCACCCATTTGTAATATGCATCATGGTTCCATTTTGGTTCCATTTATGCTCTGCCTCCACATCTGCAGAGAAAACACATGACTATTTAGCAGGTCACATGAAAGCTACAGCAATTACCCAGGTCTTAGCCCTAAATATCTCCAATAGAACAAGGATATGTTGGCTCTAAGTACCTTCCTTCCCTGAGTCCGCTTCTTCAAGGTAACTCTGGTCTTTACAACCATACCTTCAGTAAGAAAGGCTAATGTGGCCAAGAGCCAGGCAGGGCATATTAAGCAAGTGCTTTACAGGATTCAGGTAGAGCAGTCCTTCCCCCAGCTTACACCCTATCCCATGTGTGTTAATTTCATATCTTCTCCTTTGTTTCTTGTTGTGTGTTGTGTTGTTTGGGTCAATAAAATGCCTCTCAGTAATCTTAAACTCTATCAATTTTAGTTTAATTTAATATTGCTTTCACAGCATTCTCAGACTATATTAGAACACTTTGGTAAAAAAAAAAAAAAAAAAAAAAAAAAAAAAAAACCTTATTCTGAATTATTTGCTAGGAATCTTACCCCTTGCAGGAAAAGCTAGTACATAGCTCTGACATTTCAGGACAGCATAGCATTAAAATATACCCAACTTTTCTCTCAACTTCCAATGCATCCTTCTTATTTTAATATCTTACTATATTTGTAACAAATAAAGATATAGTTTAATTTTTATACTTCCTGATGGAGAACTTTTAAGATTTTATAATTTTTAAAAAAAATAGCATGTTACTTTTCAAACATGGAACGTGTTTTTACAACACAATAAACATAAAATAGACTCCCAGGTGTTGGTAGACATTGTATTCAGTTAATACAATGACATTTTTGTATGTCTAAAACAGACATTGTATTCAGTTAACAAATTGACATTTTCATACGTCTAAAACAGGCAAATATTGGCACTTTCATATAATTCAAATTAATACATCTGCTGCTCTAACCCTTATCTGGTTTAGGCCTCCTAAAAACTGACAGCTAATAGTTTTTCAGCATCTGATTGAGGACTGCTAGTTTTTCCATTGGTTCTTAAGGCAATGCCTTCCATTACAGGACAATTTCAATTTGTAGAAGGTTCTCCCTAATTCTAAGTACAAATCTATATAACTGTAACTTCAATTTATGAGTAGGGTGTTCATATTCTTTATCATGCAAACCAGAACTCTTTAAGAATGAAATAGGATGCTCTTAGTAATTACACAGGGACAGCAGGTGTAAGCTAAGATGATGCCTGGCAAATGTGCAGTTGCAATCATCTTGCACATAAGTCACGGTGAATATAGGTGATTCCTCTTTTGCAAGCTAACCATTAAAATAACTCATTATTTCTACTATTGCTGTTTTCTCCTGTTTTCATGAAATTAAACACAGCTCCATTTTTTAGATGATTCCTCTGCTGGCATAATTTTGAACCCTATACACTTAACTTAGCTAGTATAAATATGTTAAATACATATTACAAAGCAAGGAGAATCAGATTAAACTAAGTCAACTTCTCAGTCACAAAATGGACAAATTATAAAATTAACAGCAATGCCTATCCCCAAGTTAATTATCGGTTGTAAATTGCAGGCTCATCATGTGCTCCTTCTTTCCTTATTTCTATTCATCCTGTGTTCTTCTCCTTACTCCTCTCTCTCTCTTACCAGTGTCTTGGGCCTGCAATGATAGAATTAATATTGTTTAGACTTGATTTTGTTTCTCATCATTAAAATGTGCTGACCCATCCCAGAATTCTTTTGATTGAACATATGCTAAAAATCTCTACTTGTTAGCCTCCTTGATTAGAATCTATCCCTCATGTTGTATTGTTCTCCATGTAACTGAAATCAAACTACAGATGATAAAAGTGACTAAAACTTATTAAAGGGCTTTGTACCCCACAAACATTCAATAAATCAATGGTTCTCACCTATGCTAGGTACCACACCCCTCCGAGGTGTACTGTCAACTGTTAAGAGATGCTAAAAGGAGTGCAACGTGCAGGAATTTGCCTCCTGAGTACTAAGAGATGTTCATCTGGCAATAAACAGTTAAAATCAGTGACACACTGTTGAAAGGTGATGACGTGAATTGTGAGAAACTGTGATTACTTTTATAGGAGCAGGCACTGTGAGAAGTTTCTCTTCTAGAGTCATTTTAAAAATTTAATTATTCCTTATGTGTTTAGTGCTATTTTGACTTTTTTAGTCCTCTCAAGGGTGGTTCCAAAAGTTCCAGTATTAAAGAGTTTGCCTCAAAAAAGGATAAGATCCACTGTAATAAATGTTTGTTTATAAACAGGTGATTGACCAATATGAGTTAAAAGATGAGAAAAAGGAGATAGAATGAGAAACATGTTTCCCAACTACCTTTATGGGTGAGGTGACATTTCTGTTAGAGCTGGATCAAAAATCACATTGATCTATCAATTATGATTTGCCGTTGGATCTCTTAAAGTTCGTCACATAACCTTAAACACCCTAAACTAACCACCTCTCTATAAAATAATCATATCCCCATCCTCATTAATTTAATAACCTATTGTTTTTAAATTTGAAAAATGAATTAAATATTCATAAAATTTTGAAAGTACTATGACTAAAACAAGCAATATGGACAATATGAAATTGAAAGCTCATTTCACATGAGACATTTTAAGCATGAGAAGCCAGACTGTTTATGTAAAGCTTTATTTTGGGACATTAGCTTTCCCTTTAATAGAACATCATTTCCTCAGACTACATGGGTTACTATGGTATCCCGCTTCTATTTGCTTCTGCTAATGTTCTTCAGTCCATTAATGTTCAATTGTGAAATTGTTTTGACTAGTGGGCTTGGCAGTCGTGGCTAATGTGGAACAATAAGAGCAGATCCTTGAGCAATCAGAGTGGTACAGAAATAAACAGAGTAAAGCATCATCGTCACAAGCTTGTATTAAATCATTGTGGGCTTTATTACTATGACAAGATAATCGTAAATCTGACAAAAGTTACAAACAAAAAGCAAGTGAGATTTCAAGTACTTCTTGACCATCTTTCTTCAAATTAACACTGATCACTAATGTAGTGATCACCTAATGCAGGCAAAAATATAGTCTGCTTCTTTTAGTCAAAAATATTAAATGGTTTATAAAATTTTCAAGTTAGAAAAAAAAACAAGCTTGCTTTTGTTGATTCCTTGATTTAGAAGTCATATGGAAAAGATTTTTTTAAAATGACAGCTGAGTTTAATATTAGGGCTCTTTTAGGAAAACTATTTCTTATTGAATTATTGCTAATTGTTGGAACTATTTAGTCTCTTATGACTAGAATCACTAGAATCAGATGTAAAAATAATTTGTTCATTTGTTTACAAGAGTGTGATATCCATATTACATGATACACTCAGTAAATTTGCTCACATGATTTGTTTAAACCTTTTATCTTCATATGTTTCAAGTTCAAACCAGCATTAAAAACTTAAAACCTGTATTAAACATTAGAAAAAAAAACACTCTAATGAATTTTAAAATACAGTGGTGGGAATTTGTTCTCTTAATAAAATGTCTAGTGGAACAAAAGAACTTCCTTACAACTTGGGTAGTTAATTTCTCGATAGAAGAATCCTGACAAATTAATGTGGCAATGTAGCAAAGCCAATTCAAGCATGAAACTGCATTTGATGGGACAAGTAGGGTTTATAGATTAGTCAGTGAGTTTTAAAAATCCCATTAGTACCTAATACTTTAAAAAATTAATTGAAAAAATAAAATTATATTTTGCCATGCACAGATGCCTTAATATATAATTTTTAAAGTCACACGTAAACATTAACCTGGAAATATCTATCTTATTTTTATTTATTATCTGTCTTTAAAAAAATCCACTTTATTGAGATATAATTGGCCTACAAAAAGCTGTATATATTTAATGTATAGAACTTGATCATTTGGTAGATAAATATATACCCATGAAACCAACACCACTCTGTCTTTCTTTTACTTTTTCTTCTAGAAAATTTAAAACACACACAAAAGGAGAGAGGTTAATATAATGAATTACCATACATCCACCACTCCACTTCAACAATTATCAATAGTTTGCCAATCTTTTCTCATCTATCTCCACCTACTTATATTTGTAAGAGTATTTTAAAGTAAATCTCACATTTAATATCACCTCACCAGTTTACACCTCAGTATGGATCATTAACAGATGACACTTTTTCCATAACACTTTCTAATATCATTATCGCATTTTACAGCATTATCAACAATTCCTTAGTATCATCAAATATGGAGTTCATGTTCAAATTTTATTATTTTCTCATACATATTTTCTCAGTTTCTTAAGTCCAGAACACCCCAGCCCCCCCCACCCAAAGGCCAGACATTGCATTTGATTGATAAGTTTATGAAGTCTCCTTCAATACATAACATTTTCCCCTTCCCACTCTTTTTTATTCATTCCATTTATCTGTTGAAGGAACCATCTCACTTGTCCTATAGAATGTCTACATTTCAGGTTTCACTGATTTTCTCCTTATACTTCTCATCACCTTTTTTTTTTTTAAACAGAAGACTACAATGGGGCTGAGAGAGATTAAATGATTCATCTGTTGTTGCATCAGTAAATAATAAACTTAGGGCTGCAACTCACTCTCTGTTGTTGAATCTAGAGCTTTATGCAATCTCATGAAAAGGCAGAGCAAGAAGTTTGCAGACTGGAAACTTGGGATGGGAGCCCATCCTATTTTCCAGCTGAGTGAACTTGGGCATGTTATCTAAACTCTCTGAGACTCATTTTCCACATCTAAAAAATAAGGATAATAAAACTCTCCTTACAGAATTGGGAGTGATGATTAACAAGTAAAAATATAAAATCCCTTCCTTGCCCATAGTGAACACTCATTAAATGGTAGCTGCTTTCACATTATTATTTCAAGATTTATAAACTATCCTTTTGGAAAGGAAAATGTTAGTTTTTATCTAAAGTAGTAGCATATTTTGGTTACTCAACCGGCCTAGTTGTAGGGAGTTAGACTCGGATAAAAAACTGCTAAATAGTCACTAAGTATTTTTTAATATCAAATCAAGCAGGAACCATTGTATATATCACCTTAGATTACTTCCCCGTCTTTCTATCTCAAATTTGATCTGTCTCAGCAAGCCCAATCCATTAGGATATTTAGTATGCCTCTCTATTTCTGCATTCTGTCTGTCTCTAGTCACATCCCCAAAAGTCACCTAACAAGCATGCCTAACTCAGTGACTCCCTTTCCTCTTTTCACAAGCCCATGCAGTGTACATTCTTATTAAGCTAATCTTCTTGATACATTGTTTTTATATAATAGCTTCTTATCGCACAGGTTTATTGTTTCATTTTGTTAACATCTATTTAGAAGACATAAAATATAATTATGTGTAGCCTATTTAAAATAGAATTGATTGCTTAAAAGGCAGCTGCAATAAAAATATAAGTAAAGTGGTCTCTTTCCAGTTTGACAAAGCATTTATTGGAAATAAGGGGGAAACGTTTCATGGTAGCTTCATCTTTACCAAGATTACCTCTAGTGAATTTCAGGTCTCTGGGGTGTCATATAAATAAAGGAAGTAGCACATTTGCAGAACACTTTGAAGAAGTGGTCAGAAGTGATAAATCCTGCAGCATAAGTCAAGGAAGATGAGAAGAAAAAGAGACTCAGAAAAAAAAAAATGGCCATCAGGTAATGCCTTCAGACCTTGGAGGAGGTCCATTGATATGGTGAGAACTAAAGCCAAATTGCAGTGTCATAACAAATAAATTGGAAATGAAGAATTAGAAGCAATGCATCAAAACCAAGTGTAGTGCAAATGGAAGGTTAGAGATAAACTCATTACTTGAAATGAAGGTAAGTGTAAAAGAAGCCTTAGAAAGGAGTTTCATTGGCTGGGCGCAGTGGCTCACGCCTGTAATCCCAGCACTTTGGGAGGCTGAGGCAGGTGGATCACCTGAGGTCAGGAGATCAAGACCATCCTGGCCAACATGGTGAAACCCTGTCTCTACTAAAAAAATACAAAAATTAGCCGGGCGTGGTGGTGGCCGCCTGTAATCCTAGCTACTCGGGAGGCTGAGGCATGAGAATCCCTTGAACCTGGTAGGCAGAGGTTGCAGTGAGCTGAGATCACACCACTGCACTCCAGCCTGGACGACAGAGTGAGACTTTGTCTCAAAAAAGAAAAAAAAGAAAAAGAAAAGAAAAAAAGAAAGGAGGTTAATCTTTTTTCCTGTGAGATAAGAAAAAAGGAAGAAAGGATGGCTGATTAATTAGTTAAACTTTGACATGGAGATGAACGAAATTAATAGGTCGCATGCCTAATGGACTCTAGTTCCTTGAAAGGATCATAACAGACAGTTTGCTGAGTGTTAGGTTGAGTGTTTGAGGAAACTTGTAAAGATTTCAGACAGTTGGTGAGAGAATGTGAGAGACTGATGGGGAATCAAGAAGAGCTGACTGTGCCTGAACTTTTATTTAAGGATGACTGGGAACAATGTCAGGCAATTTTTCTTAAGCACCACCCAGGCAAGGAGCAGCTCAGAGGGGGCAGATGATTGATCTGAGATTTGACAAGAACCCAGAACCCAGAGAATGTGGCAAGACTGCTGTTGCTGGTGAGACTGCTGTTAGATTTAAAATGAGTTCCAACCTGGGTAGGAAGAGAAAGAAAGCCAAGAGTGAGTGACAAACTGGGAGGAAGAGATTATGATGAGCTCGTGTGTGTTACAGAAGGACACAGAAAGTGGACTTTTAAAGTTCAAGATCTCAAAGACAGGACCATGTGAGTGTGCTGTTGAAACAGAAAAGTTATGGGATTGCAGGAGATTAGGAGTTCGTTGAATGCATTATCATTGAACATGCTGAAGTTACAATCTTTCTAGAGACTTCAGAAACCTTCCAGCAAAGACCCAGAAAAAAAGAAAAAGTTCAGAAAAACTGCGAAAAGAGGCTCTAAAGTCTTACCACAAGATACAGCAAAAGAGGAGGAGGACTACTCAAACGCAATCAATTAACATATCTGAGAAATACAAAGAAAAAGTTTTCCCAGAGGTATAGGCTAGGCAGAAAATCTTAGCCCATCCAAAGCAGCAGCTGGATGGAATCACAACTTAATGTCATTTGATTCTAAAATCTTTGAAAAATATTAGAACAACAGTTCTAAAAAAAGACTACGAAAAAAGTAGTTATAAAATATGCACTATAAACATTTATTAAATATAGACTTCTTCCATATTAAATTATTCTTTTAATACCTACAGGCATTAGTTTCTATTTAAGATCAAGGCCCTGCCAAATTTTGTTTTATTAACAGAAGAAAACCAGAAGAAACTTCCCCAAGCAGTATTTTAATTGAAATGTTATTTTTATAAAATGACTATCAGGTCTCCTGAGACGAAAACTTATTCTGATAAAAGTTTATTGTTAACAGGACTTCAGGAGCTGAGCAAAGGGAGAAGATTGCAACAAGCAATGAAAAGCTCCCAATAAAAGTACAAGCAGACTGCCCCACAATGTTTCAGCAGATAGGCAGAAGAATTGACACATTTACAATTTTGCCCTAATAGACATTTTTAAAGTTTTTCCCTAACAATTTGTTTACTGGATATCTGGGAGGTCATGGATGCTCTTTAGGATAAAAATGACTCCTCTCAAAGGTGATAGTAATAACCATTTGTTTAGGTGTTCCTAACACATAGTCATGTCTTGCCTCATTAAAAATCATGCATGATTATCTTACTTTTATGATAAATGTTAAAATGACCTACAAAATGAATTAACATTTATTTATTTATTTATTTAGAGACAGGGTCTCACTCTGTCACCAGGCTGGAGTGCAGTGATGCCATCTTGGCTCACTGCAACCTCCGTTTCCTGGGCTCAAGGGATCCTCCGACCTCAGCCTCCTGAGTAGCTAGGACCACAGGCATGCACCACCACGCCTGGCTTTTTTTATTTTTATTTTTGTATTTTTAGTAGAGATGAAGTCTTGCCATGTTGTCCAAGCTGATCTCAAACTCCTGAGCTCAAGCAATGCGTCCACCTCAGCCTCCCAAAGTGCTGGCATGGGCCACCATGCCTGGCCAACTCTGATATATTTTTATTACCGTTAATTGGCATAATTTTTTTCAAATGTGCATATCTTGACTTGCATACCAAAATGTGAGTTTTCCGAAGATACAGTAAAACTGTGGTTTTATTTTTATTTATATAACTCTTGTATTTATACAACTCATCTACTGCATAACTGCTATGAGGAGGAAGGTATTGTGTTTGACATTACATAGGGGAGAAGTATTGGTAAAAATGTGGAATTTATCTTAACTAAAATGTTAGGTGTATAGCATAAATTCAATAACTGTTTGATAAATAAAATGATAATTGTGATCATTTTATCTATATTTAAGTGGGAATGGGTTTCAATTTTCTCTTTTAAAAGGCATTTTAAAGAAAAACTTTGAACATGTCACAGACCAGGATGTAAAAATAGTGACAACAAAGAATTAAACAGGTAACACTGTTATATGCTGCTGATATTACAACAGTTCCTTAAGTACTTTCTAATTTAGTGAAGAATTCAGAGCTAGGCAGGATAGGGACTGGAGAAACAAATTTCACCCCCTAGTCTGACCCTGAAGAGTGAGAAGGTACAATGTTTAAGAGGGTGCTATGCCACAATCTCAGGTCCAAATTCCAAAGTTATTCATACTAGAGAACCAATCTAAGGGGCAATTCAGAACACAGAGAAATTCAGGAACTGGCTGATTGCTCAGGAGTGAGGCAGACCAACGGTTAGCACTGGGAAGTGTTCCCGTAGGAGAAAAGGCTCAAACACCAAGATGACTCATAAGACAAAATTCCATTTCCTGTACAGAGGGACAGGCTGGAACAAGGCAGCACAGAAAACAGAAATGTCATAAGGACAGTGATAAAGGAACAATGTGCAGGCCAGGGATCCACTCATGACTTAGGAAAAGGGACTAAGACAAAGGCCCAAGCCCTGTGCACTGGGACCCTATGTAGTGACAAGGAGAAATTGTTGAGGCTGAGCAGTTTCACGACCTCACATAATGCCAGTTCTTACCTGTGGTTGTCTGTGAAGAAGATTAGAATGAAAAATACATCACAGGGGCTTCAATGATTTACTTGAGTCAGGCATCCTGAATCTTGGGGTTTAGTATCAAACACTGCATTATAATAATGGAAGGGGAACCAATTACTATCCAATCTGCCTCTTTTGGAATGGCCTCAGGGGTGACCTGGGCTGCATGTGGTACTGTCAGGAGAACAACTTTCAACTTCAATAAAATGGTGGAAGGCAAAGCCAAATGACAAGGGACTGCTAAGGAAAGGAGGAGGAGAGAGGGCAGAGAAACCAACAGTGTAAATTACTTCTTCGACAATCTATTAATGTCAGTACAACCACATATCTTAGGTTCAAAAACTGGAAAAACTTAATCATTAAGTGATTTGGTCATGGTGGGCTTAAAAACAGAAATTTAAAGGCAGTTCTAAAACTCTAATAAATCATTGTTTTAAAGTTCTCACACAGCTGAAACAGAATAAGGCTACTTCATAAAATTTCCTTAAAGTAAACATTCAAATTTCTCATAGAAAAAGTCACAGGTTGCTAGAAATGTATTATAGCACTTCACTTGAGAAACAGAAGTAAAGCAGTGAAGAAGGAGAAAGGATAGAATTTAGTGACTAGTAAGGCTGAAAAATGAATATTTTTTTTCACATGAGCTTGTTTAAAGGCAGAAGAAGGAATTCAGGCAGGGACAGATTAAAAATACATGTAACAAGAAATGCTTGGGGGAGATATATGACAAGAAAACAAGAGGAAATGTTATTAATATCACAGGAAAAGAAATCAGATTTTCACATGATGACTTCATTGAGTTGCCAAATCATGTGCAAATGTTGTAAAGGGACTAAAAAGATATGCAGTAAATAGAAAAGGACAAAAAACAATAAATATTAATGGCTTTGCCACAGCAGTCATTCAATTATTTAATCAATAAATTTTTACCAAGTATTTGGTGAATGGTGGAGGAGAAATATTAGATAAAGTACTAATGTTCAAAAAATTAAAAATTTAGTCAATCCACATATATGATTAGTCAAAATTTCTTTATAACATATACTTATTATTTTTTCATATGTGACATTTAAAATTTATATGTACATTCATGGGTCAAATCAAAATAGATAACTCTCAAAGACTGATAGGTACTTCTACGATAAATATCATCATGAACACTTGAATATTCATATAGAAAGAATAAACTTTATCCCCCACCTCACACCATAGATAAGAATTATTTCAAGATGAATCAAAAACCTACACATAAATGATAAAATTATAAAGCTTATAAAAGAAAATACAGGAAAATCTTTGTAACCCCAGCACAAGCAAAAATTTCTTGAGACACAAAAATACTAACCATAAAAGAAAATTGATAAAGTTTACTTCATCACAATTAAACTTCTGCTATTTAAAAGAGACAGTTTTAAAAATACCATTAAGAAAATAAAAATTCAAGTAAGAATTAGAAGAAAAAATTCATCAGACATATATCTGACATAAGTCTTACATACAGATCATATTAAAATCTTCTACATATAAATAATTAATAGAATAAAAATGAACATGATACTAGAATAAACACTTCACAAAATAAGACACACAAGTGGTGAATAAGCACATAAAAAGATGTTCAATATCACTATAGCCAAAAGGGAAATACAAATTAAATCCAATGATTTACCACTTTTGTATTAGTCTGTTTTCATGCTGCTGATAAAGACATACCCAAGACTGGGCAATTTACAAAAGAAAGAGGTTTAACTGAACTTACAGTTGCATATGGCTGGGGAAGCCTCACAATCATGGTGGAAGGCAAGGAGAAAGTTTCGTCTTACATGGATGGCAGCAGGCAAAGAGAGAATGAGGAGGATGCAAAAGTGGAAACCCCTCATAAAACCAACAGATCTCGTGAGACTTATTCACTACCATGAGAACAGTATGTGGGAAACTGCTCCCATTACTCAAATTATCTTCCACCAGGTCCCTGACTCAACACATGGGAATTATGGGAGTACAATTTGAGATGAGATTTGGGTGGGGACATAGAGCCAAACCACATCATTCTGCCCCTGGCTCTTCCAAATCTTATGTCTTCACATTTCAAAACCAATCATGCCTTCCCAGCAGTACCCCAAAGTCCTAACTCATTTTAGCATTAACCCAAAAGTCCACAGTCCAAAGTCTTTTCTGAGACAAGCAGGTCCCTTCCAACTTTGAGCCTGTAAAATCAAAAGCAAGCTAGTTACTTCCTAGATACAATGGGGGTACAGGTATTGGGTAAATAGAGCTGTTCCAAATGGGAGAAATTGATGAAAATCTGAAATCTTCCAGGACAGTCAAATTTTAAAGCTCCAAAATAATCTCCTTTGACTCCAGGTCTTACATCCAGGTCACACTGATTCAAGAGGTGGGCTTTCATGGCCTTGGGCAGCTCCACCCCTGTGGCTTTGCAGGGTACTGTCTGCCTCCCAGCTGCTTTCATGGGCTGGCATTGAGTGTCTGTGGCTTTTCCAGGCACAAAGTGCAAGCTGTAGGTGCATTCTGGGGTCTGGAAGATGGTGGCCCTCTTCTCATAGCTCCACTATGTGGTACCCCAGTAGGGATTCTGTGTGGGGGCTCCAACCCCACATTTCCCTTCCACACTGCCTTAGCAGAGGTTCTCCATGAGAGCCCCATCCTGCAGCAAACTTCTGCCTGGGCATCCAGGCATTTCCATACTTCTTCTGAAATCTAGGTGGAGGTTCCCAAACCCCAATTCTTCACTTCTGTGAACATTCAGGCTCAACACCATGTGGAGGCTGCCAAGGGGTGGCTTGCACCCAATGAAGCTATGGCTCAAGCTCTACGTTTGCCCCTTTCAGCCAAAGCTGGAGTGACTAGGACACAAGGCACCAAGTCCCCAGGCTGCAAGCAGCATGGGGACCCTGGGCCCTGCCCATGAAACCATTTTTTCCTCCTAGACCTCCAGGTCTGTAATGGGAGGGACTGCTGCAAAGATCTTTGATGTGTCCTGAAGACATTTTCCCCATTGTCTTGGGGTTTAACATTTGGCTCCTTGTTACTTATGCAAATATCTGCAGCTGGTTTGGATTTCTCCTCAGAAAATGGGATTTTCCTTCCTATTGCATTGTTAGGCTGCAAATTTTCTGAACTTTCATACTCTTCTTCATTTTTAAAATTGAATGCCTTTAACAGCACCCAAGTCACCTCTTGAATGCTTTGCTGCTTAGAAATTTCTTCTGCCAGATTCCCTACATCATCTCTCTCAAGTACAAAGTTCCAAAAAACTCTAGGGAAGGGACAAAACGCTGCCAGTCTCTTTGCTAAGACATAATAAGAGTCACCTTTGCTCCAGTTCTCAACAAGTTCTCATCTCAGCATCTGAGACCACCTCAGCCTGGATTTCATTGTCCATATTATTATCAGCATTTTGGTTAAAGCCATTCAACAAGTCTCTGGGGACTTCCAAACTTTCCCACATTTTCTTATCTTCTTCTGAGCCCTCCAAACTGTTCCAACCTCTGCCTGTTACCCAGTTTCAAAGTCACTTCCACATTTTCGGGTATCTTTTCAGCAATGCCCAACTCTAATGGTACCAATTTACTGTATTAGTCCATTTTCACACTGCTGATAAAGAGATACCTAAGACTGGGCAATTTACAAAAGAAAGAGGTTTAATTGGAGTTACAGTTCCATGTGGCTGGGGAAGCCTCAAAATCATGACAGAAGGCAAGGAGGAGCAAGTCACATCTTATTGGATGGCAGCAGGCAAAGAGAGAATGAGAAGGATACAAAAGTGGAAACACCTGTTAAAACCATCAGATTTCGTGAGACTTATTCACTGCCATGAGAATAGTATAGGGGAAACTGCCCCCATGATTCAAATTATCTTCCACAGGGTCCCAGTCACAACACATGAGAATTACGGGAGTACAATTCAAGATGAGATTTGGGTGGGGACATAGAGCCAAACCATATCAACTTTTAACCCACGTGATTGGGTAAAAAAATTATGAAAATGATATTGACATGCTTTGGATATTTGTCCCTGCCCAAATCTCATGTCGAATTGTAATCCCCAATGCTGGAAGTGGGGCCTAGTGAGAAGTATTTGGTTCATGAGGGTGGCTCCCTCCTGGCTTGGTGCTGTCTTGGTGATAGTGAGTTCTCATGAGATCTGGTGGATTAGAAGTGTGCAGCACCTACACCCCCTGACCCTTTATCTTTCTCCTGCTCCTGCTCTCGCCATATAACATGCCTGCTCCTGCTTTACCTTCTGACATGATTCAGATTCCTGAGGCCTCCTCAGAAGCAGATGTCAGAGCGATGCTTCCTGTACAGCCTGCAGAACTATGCACCAATTAAATCTCTTTTCCTATAAATTACCCAGTCTCAGGTATTTCTTGATAGTGATGCAAGAACAGATTAATACAGACATTGTCAAGTGTTGACAAGAAAATGAAGCAAGTAGAACTCTCCTAAATTGCTAGTGGAAGTGAAAAATTGTATTACAATTTTAGAAGTTAGTTTGGCAGTTTTTCATAAAGCTAATTACACAATCTCTTTATGACCCAGCAGTTCCACTCCTTGGTATTTACTCAAGAGAAATGAAAATATGTGTCCACAAAAAGACTTGTACAAATATGTTCATAGTAGCTTTATTCATAACAATCCCAACATGAAAATAAACCACACGTCCACAAATGGAAATTTGATGAAGAAATTGTATTGTGTTCATACAGCAAAATGCAATTCAGACAGTTTTTTTTTTTTTGAGACAGAGTCTTGCTGTCACCCAGACTGGAGTGCAGTGGTGCGATCTTGGCTCACTGCAGGCTCCTCCCCGCAGGGTTCATGCCATTCTCCTACCTCAGCCTCCTGAGTAGCTGGGACTATAGGTGCCCGCCACCTCGCCCGGCTAATTTTTTGTATTTTTAGTAGAGACGGGGTTTCACCGTGTTAGCCAGGAAGGTCTCGATCTCCTGACCTCGTGATCCACCCGCCTCAGCCTCCCAAAGTGCTGGGATTACAGGCGTGAGCCACCGTGCCCGGCCCAGACATTTTTTAAAAAGAATCAAATACTGATAACAAAACAACATGAATTATCTCAAAAATATTATATTGAGCTAAAGAAGCCCAACACAAAAGTTTGCATAATGAGTCATTTCATTTTTATGAAGTTCTAGAGCAGGTAAAACTAGGCTACTGTAATACAAATTTGAACAAGATTGTTTCTGGGTGAAGGGGGCGTATCAATATTGACCTGGCCATGAAAAACCTTTTTGGAAAGATAAAAATGTTCAATGTTTTAATTGGTGATGTGTTTGCATACTGAGTCAACAACTGTCAAATTTTATTGAACTAAGTACTTAAGACCTGTGTTATATAGTATATAAATTACACCTCAATTAATTAAAAATTGCCACCAAGTGATTTCTAGGAGTCCCTTTCTACTCTAATACTCTTGTCATGACCATAGTGATTTTCCAAGTATTAGCTGTGATACAAATAATTATTGAAGGAACTCTGTAAGTTACACTTAGACCCGTTTGCATGTTACTGTCTTAAAGCTTAACGCTATTTAAGTGTTTAATGAGGTCCAATATGCAACTAATGAACTATCCAAATAAAATGCTACCATATATGACTCATGTTATGCACTGTATTGTTCAACAGCTGTCAATCTCAAATCTTCTGACTTCCAGTCAGAACTACACTACTATGAAAATCCTGCTGTTTTGTTATTACAGCTTTTTACTACAAAATCTTCGTATTATCCAGTATTTTTGGATTTTTAAAGGTCATTCTTATTTTAACATAGCTTTATCTGTATCAAAACTAGATAGTCCTAATCTAAACATAGCATTTGTTCAGACTCTCAGCATGTCCCCAAGGGCAACATGAAACAAGTTGAATTTTATTTTTGACAAAACTTTTAAAGTTAGTTTTCATGAAGATTATGTTAAGCAATTGAAAAATGAGAATAAGGATGAAATAGTTTTGTGTAAATCCCACTGATACCTACTTTCACAATTTAAAATAACAACTTCCGTTTTTTCAACAGTGTAAAAAAAAATTCCATCCTAGAACTACTTAAATCTTTGCTTCATGCCAAATACTTCACAAGATAGAATAACAACATAATTACAATGTTCTAAAATGGATTTAGCAAAGCAATCACAAAAGTCCTGCAATGTTAAAAGCCAGATATTAGATGCAATTCCTTCTCACTCTCTCTTCCATCCTGACATAAATTACAAATGTCAGTTTCTTTCAAATGAAACTGTGTGAATATCAAGCCTCTAGGAGAGATCATGAAAGCACATGGCCCTTGCTGACAGGATCTCTGCAGATCTTTTTTCTTCAAACTCAGAAACTACAGAATCCCAGCTGTTCAAACGTCTGATAGAAATAAGGGCTTGGACAAGTTCCATCTGGCTGAACTTTAACAGCACAAACAGGAATAAAGCAGTACTCAAAGGCAAGGATTTTGAATGACTAAATATTCCTGTAAAGGTAAATTAGAACAAAATGTATAGTAATATAACATAAAATAATTTAAGCATAAAATGTTAACAGGATTGTCCTCACTTCAGTATTCCATCTAAAATAAAGATATGCATGTATTTATTTATGAAATATTTTTCTTTCCAAAAGTGGGTATTTTTCAGGATCATCTTGCTTAGTCTACAGCAGTAGGAGAGGTTTCAGTGAGGATGAAGATCTTTTCTATTGTTCTATTCCATCCTTGATGGTCCAGGGACTTGGAGGAGCCCCTTACTTTGTAGCAATTCACAGGCAAAGCTGGAAATTCTGGACTACCATCCTGATGGTACACTTCTGAACGTGGCATACAAAATCTATCAAAATCACATTTTCTTTTAATTTTGTTTTCTCTACCCTTTCTTTAAATGCTTACTATGGTCCTTTACTCTATCATGCCTCTCTACATTTACCTATTTTCTCCCTGATTCTCCTCTTAAACGCCAAGTCATCTTAGAAGACCCAGCTCCTCTTTTTTTTTTTTTTTTTTTTTTGAGACAGAGTCTTGCTCTGTCGCCCAGGCTGGAGTGCAGTGGCACGCTCTCAGCTCACTGCAAGCTCCGCCTCCTGGGTTCACACCATTCTCCTGCCTCAGCCTCCCGAGTAGCTGCGACTACAGGCTCCTGCCACCACGCCAGGCTACTTTTTTGTATTTTTTTAGTAGAGACGGGGTTTCACCATGTTAGTCAGGATGGTCTCGATCTCCTGATCTCGTGATCCACCCGTCTCGGCCTCCCAAAGTGCTGGGATTACAGGCGTGAGCCACCGCACCCAGCCCCAGCTCCTCTTTAACTTTCCTAGCTTTCTGTCTCTCCTGCCCGGGTAAAATAGATCATGCCCTTTGCCCACTCACGGCAATGTGATACATTTTCTGGTTCGTTTTGAGAAGAATGGTATATGTGCTAATTTTATAACAAATAAAAACAATTTAAAATTTATCTTCAATGGATCTTTTGAAAGAGTCATTTTGCAAAAATTTGAAATTCATGTTGCAGGTAATCTTATAATTTTTGTCCTTAACTGTTTGTTTTCAATGAACATTTGTAGAATTTTTAATTGCGAAAATTATTTCTTCAACTTTAGGATAGTTATAATTAGATAATTATAAGGATTATTATTTGAGGATAATTATTAGGCATGGATAGTGCCTAGCAGAATCCAGTTCACAAGGTAACCAGACTAATAGTTATTTAATAAAGCAATAAATATCACTGAATGAACCTCAGCTGGGCCATGACCAGTTACTATGCTGAAGAGCACTAAAAAATGCACCAGTATCCTAGAAATGAGAAGTCAGATACAGGGCATACTGTAGTGTGTCTGGGAGAAGAATACCTGTTGACTTCGTAGTCAAGATTACTAGCCATGGCAGATGTGATGGTTGTATTTGAGCCAAAGCAGTGATGGACATGGAGAAGTAGTAATGAGCTCTAAGCACTTAGAATCTAGAAGTGGTCAGGACAGGAATGTAGACAGTCAAATTATATGGTTACTCTGATATGATTGTGATAGGTTTTCTCTTTCTTCATGAATGTGTACTTTTTTTTTTTTTTACATTTCTCAGAAGAAATAGAACTATTGAAGTTGTAACAGATTTTTAACACAGACTATGTTATTTTTCATCTAGAATACTGGGAGGAAGGGGAGCTTTCTATCAGCTCCCACTTCATCATCATGCTCTTTCTAGCCCAGTCATGAAACATCTGAATTCACTGTTGGGATATCTAATTAGGCCAAAATGTGATTTAGAATAGTTGCCAGAGTAGTCAATGAAGCGTTACATTATAAGGCTCACAGGATGGTGGCGAATTGCCCTTTTAAAGGGCCTTTGTTGAATGTATCAGTGTAATGTCATGTGTTGCACAGAAAGTACAAGTTGCTTATAAACGTTATATTAGGCCAGGCACGGTGGCTCACGCCTATAATCCTAGCACTTTGGGAGGCGGAGGCGAGCAGATCACGAGATCAGGAGTTTGAGACCAGCCTGGCCAACAGGGTGAAACTCCATCTCTAATAAAAATACAAAACTTAGCCAGGCATGGTGGTGCATGCCTATAATCTCAGCTACTCAGGAGGCTGAGGCGGGAGAATCGCTTGAACCCAGGAGGCAGAGGTTGCAGTGAGCCGAGATGACACCTCTGCACTCCAGCCTGGGTGACAGAGCGAGACTCTGTCTCAAAATAATAATAATAATAATAATAATTATATTAACTGAGTTTAATTTTGTTCCCAAAGAGTAACCATTTAGATATGTTTTAATTTTTATTTTATTCTTACTGAAACATAGTCATTGTTTCTGGATCACATGTGTTTTTCACTAATCCCTAAATTATTATACATTTCTGTAACAATTATTATTTGCAGTATTTATATTATGTATAATATTAAGTTTTGACAATAAACAAATACATACTTTTGGTAGGTAGACTTCTAGGAATGACCCCCCAATAACCCTTACCTTTTTATAAGCTCTCCTTTGAGTATAGGTGGAAACTGTGACTATGATAAAATATTACTCTGCTATGTTATATGGTAAAGCTAGACTTAAAATTAGTAGATTATCCAAGTGTTCAAATCTAATCACATGAGTCCTTTAAAAGCAGAGTTTTCCTTGAACAGTGATATAAGAAGGCAGAAGAGCAAATAAGAAAGATATAAAGCTAGAGAACGTTTTGACAAATGGTTTGAAGATGGAAGGGCTCAAGAACAAGGAAGAAGAGCAGTCTTTAGAAGCTAAAAGGTAGCCCCTGACTAACAACCAGCAAGTAAATGGAGACTTCACTCTCACAGCTATGAAAAGAAATGAATTCTGCCAAAATATATTGCACTTGGAGCCAGAGATTTTCCCAAAGCTTCCAGATAAGAGCCCAGACTAGCTAACACCTTGATTTCATTCTTGTGATATTCCATACATACATCCCAGCCTAGCATGCTTGAATTTCTGACCCACAGAACTTTTCACTAATAAATAGGTGTCATAAGCTACTGTTTATAATAACTTGTTACTTAACCAAAGAAAACTAATATAGCATCTGAAATCAAGAGACACACAGCTTAGTTTACTGTTTAGAAAAAAAAAAACTAAATTTTGAGGATATTTTCTTTTGGAGCAAAATATTCCAGAAACACACTACTATTCACTTAACATCTATTTTTTTCTACTTTTATACTCTCCTATAGGCTGTACTAGAAGATTTAAATAGGTATCTTCCAAAATATGAATTATAGCATTTTGTGTAAGTTAATAATTAAAAGTCTGAAAAGCATGTATGGAAAACATATTTAAAAGTAAGAAATGGTGCTAGATAAATTTAAAGTTTCCATAGCTAAATAAGTAAAATTGACCAAGATAATCATTAACAACACCATACCACCAATACGTTAAAACCCCAATTAAATATCTCCCTCATTCTGGTCCCAAGTCTTCTCCTTGCCTCATCTGCAATTAATCCCATTCTCCAAGACTCCCCATAATCTAAAAATAGCTTGGGAATTTCTCATGCCGTCTTTCTAGTAACCTATTCCTCACTGTCTGTGCTCTCTTTTCTTCTCTTTCTATCCAATTTCCACCCATACTTCAAGACATATTTAAAGTCCTTCCTGAAGTTCTTGCAACCTTCTCTTGCTGTGAAAATCTTTTTTCAAATTCTCAAGTGCTTCTTATCTGTGCTGAGTTTTTGCTTTTCCATTTTATATATTTCCATCATCTCAAATATCATCTTGAGCCATTAGTTAACTGATCTTGTCTCTCTATGTAGATTGTAGTTTAATGAAGGACAGAGATAATGTCATAAATACAGGAAATGACCAGTATATGACAGTTTATCTGAATATTTATAAATATGAAAGAAAATTTAAAAATAAATTTAAAACATATATAATACAAGGCGAAGGAAAAGTGAATTAGATAACATTTTAGATCTAGTTGGATGCAAGAAAATATGCCGACTGGAGAGAGGTAGGCAGAGCAAGATGGCAGAGTATGGCCCTCCAGTAGTTATCCCCCAACAAAAACATCAATTTGGAAACCATTCATGCATGGAAATACCTACACAAGAGCTAAGAAAACCAGGTGAGAGATCACAGTATCTAACTGTAGCAAAACAGTGAGAAAAGATATAATACGGAGGATGGGAAGGACAATTTTACATTACTCGCATCATTCTTCCCCAACCCCAGGTATTTCAGCATGGAGAGAGATGCCATTTGCTTGGAGGGAAGAGACAGAAGTGAGCACAGGACTTTGCCTTGGATTCCACCACACGGCCTACTACAGTAAAACTCAGCACTGGGAAGACTTCTATAGTCTCATACTCCGTGATGGTACTTTTGGACTGAGCCTGTAGAAATGCCTTGGTGCCATATTGGAGCACACAGCCCCAGGATTTAGGCTTCTGTGGTAGACTTGATCTCTAGACCACATCACCAGCAGGCTGACTTCAGCAGCTCCATGCTCCAGACAATCCTTAGTGACAGGCAGCCCTCAGTGGCTCTGAGCTTCTGGCCCATCCCAGTGCCATGCCTGCCACAGGGCTTTCCCAGACAAAGCCAGTTTACAAATACTGAAATGAGTATCTACTTTTTCAAATATGCACACATAGACACATGACCACAAGAATCAAGAAGAATTAAGGAAACATCATCAAACAGACAAAATGAGGTTCCAGTGATTGACCCTAAAAAATGAAATATATAAACCACCTGACAAAAAAAATTCAAAATAACCATTTAAGTAGGCTTAGTGAACTTCAGGATATATGAAAAATGATTCAACAAAATGAGAAAAATAATAAATTACCAAAAAGCAAAATTTAATAAAGAGAAAATAATAATAATAATAATAATAATAATAATAAAATAGAAATCCAGGAGCTGAAAAATACAACAAACAAAATTAAAAATTAAAAATGCTATAGAGAGTAAATTAATGAAGTAGATACAAATAACTTGAACTCCAAGACAGGTTATTTGAAAATATGTAGTCAGAAGAGGGAAAAAAATAATAAAAAGAAATCAGGTTAGCTTACAGGATTTGTGGAACAGCATCAAAAGAGCAAATATTCCAGTCACAGGAGTTCAAAAAGGAAAAGTGAAATATAAAGGGATAGAAAGCTTATTTTATAAAATAGTAGCAGAAAATTTTCTAAACCTGGAGAAAGATGTAAATATTGAAATACAGAAAGGTCAAATATCTCCAATCAAATTCAATTCAAATAAGACTACCCCAGTACCTATTATAATCAAACTGTCAAAAACTCAAAGACAAGGAGAAGACTGAAAGCAGCAAGAGAAAAGAAGGAAATAGCATATAATAGGATTCCAGTACAGCTAGGAGCAGACTTATCAACAGGAGCTTTACAGGCCAGGAGAGGGCAGAATGATAGATTCAAAATCCTAAAGGGACAAACTGTCAACCAATAATACTGTACCCAACAAAGCTTTATAAATGAAGGCATGATAACAACTTTCCCAGAAAAACAAAAGCAGAGGGAATCCATCTCCACCAGGCCTGTCTTACAAGAAACACTAAAGGGAATTATTCAAGTTGAAAGAAAAGGATGCTAATGTGTAACATGAAGACATATGAAAGTACAAATCTCACTGCTAGTCACACAGACAAATTCATCATACTCTAATACTATAGTGGTGATACACAAATCACTTATAACTTCAGTGCGAAGGTTGACAGTCAAAACTATTAAAAATAATAATAGCAACAGTAATTTGTTAAGAAATATGAAATATAAAAAGATGGAAATTATGACATCAAAAAGTCAAAATGTGAGGGGAGGAATGGAATAAATGTATATTTTGTGGGTTTTTTTAAAATCAAAATCAAGTTTTTATTGGCTTAAAAGAAAGTTATTAGATTTTTTGCAAGCTTCATGTTAATCACAAAGCAAAAATCTATAGTGGATACACAAAAAAATAAAAAGCAAGGAATCAAAACATACCATTAAAGAAAAATGCTTAGATGAAAGAAACAGAAAGAAAGAAAGAAAGAAGAAGAAAGAAAGAAAGAAAGAAGAAAAAAAGAAAGAAAAGAAAGAAAGAAAGAAAAAAGAAAGAGCTCTCCCTCTCCCTCCTCTCCCTCTCCCTCCTCTCCCTCTCCCTCCTCTCCCTCTCCCTCCTCTCCCTCTCCCTCCTCTCCCTCTCCCTCCTCTCCCTCTCCCTCCTCTCCCTCTCCCTCCTCTCCCTCTCCCTCCTCTCCCTCTCCCTCCTCTCCCTCTCCCTCTCCGTCTCCCTCTCTCTCCACGGTCTCCCTCTGATGCCCGGCCGAAGCTGGACTGTACTGCTGCCATCTCGGCTCACTGCAACCTCCCTGCCTGATTCTTCTGCCTCAGCCTGCCGAGTGCCTGTGATTGCGGGCGTGTGCCGCCACGCCTGACTGTGTTTTTTTGGTGGAGACGGGGTTTCGCTGTGTTGGCCGGGCTGGTCCTAACCGCGAGTGATCCGCCAGCCTCGGCCTCCTGAGGTGCCGGGATTGCGGACGGAGTCTCGTTCACTCAGTGCTCAATGTTGCCCAGGCTGGAGTGCAGTGGCGTGATCTTGGCTAGCTACAACCTCCACCTCCCAGCCGCCTGCCTTGGCCTCCCAAAGTGCCGAGATTACAGCCTCTGCCCAGCCGCCACCCCGTCTGGGAAGTGAGGAGCGTCTCTGCTTGGCCGCCCATCATCTGGGATGTGAGGATCCCCTCTGCCCGGCTGCCCAGTCTGGGAAGTGAGGAGCGCCTCTTCCTGGCCGCCATCCCATCTAAGAAGTGAGGAGTGTCTCTGCCCGGCTGCCCATCGTCTGAGATGTGGGGAGCACCTCTGCCCCGGCGCCCTGTCTGGGATGTGAGGAGCGCCTCTGCCCGGCCGCGACCCCATCTGGGAGGTGAGGAACGTCTCTGCCCGGCCGCTCCGTCCAAGAAGTGAGGAGCCCCTCCGCCCAGCAGCCACCCCGTCTGAGAAGTGAGGAGCCCCTCCGCCCAGCAGCCGCCCCATCTGAGAAGCGAGGAGCCCCTCCGCCCGGCAGCCGCCCCATCTGAGAAGTGAGGAGCCCCTCCGCCCGGCAGCTGCCCCGTCTGGGAAGTGAGGAGCGTCTCCGCCCGGCAGCCACCTCGTCCAGGAGGGAGGTGGAGGGCCAGCCCCCACCCGGCCAGCCGCCCTGTCTGGGAGGGAGGTGGGGGGCACCTCCACCCGGCCGCCGCCCCGTCTGGGAGGTGGGGGGCGCCTCTGCCCGGCCGCCCCTTCTGGGAGGTGAGGAGCCCCTCTGCCCGGCCACCACCCGGTCTGGGAGGCGCACCCAACAGCTCACTGAGAATGGGCCATGATGACGACGGCGGTTTTGTGAAATAGAAAAGGGGGAAAGGTGGGGAAAAGATAGAGAGATCGGATTATTGCTGTGTCTGTGTGGAAAGAAGTAGACATGGGAGACTTCATTTTGTTCTGTACTAAGAAAAATTCTTCTGCCTTGGGATGCTGTTGATCTATGACCTTACCCCCAACCCTGTGCTCTCTGAAACATGTGCTGTGTCCACTCAGGGTTAAATGGATTAAGGGCAGTGCAAGATGTGCTTTGTTAAGCAGATGCTTGAAGGCAGCATACTCGTTAAGAGTCATCACCACTCCCTAATCTCAAGTACGCAGGGACACAAACACTGCGGAAGGCTGCAGGGTCCTCTGCCTAGGAAAGCCAGAGACCTTTGTTCACTTGTTTATCTGCTGACCTTCCCTCCACTATTGTCCTATGACCCTGCCAAATCCCCCTCTGCCAGAAACACCCAAGAATGATCAATAAAAAAAAAAAAAGAAGAAAGAAAGAGAGAAAGAAAGAAAGAAGAAAGAAAGAGAGAGAGAGGTTGGGTGTGGTGGCTCACGCCTGTAATCCCAGCACTTTTGAAGGCTGAGGTGGGCAGATGTCCTTAGGTCAGGAGTTTGAGACCAGCCTGGCCAATGTGGTGAAACTTCATCTCTACTAAAAATACAAAATTAGCCAGGTGTGGTGGCGCAAGCCTGTAATCCCAGATACTTGGGAGGCTGAGGCATGAGGATTACTTGAACCTGGGAGGTGGAGGTTGCAGTGAGCCAAGATCATACCATTGCACTCCAGTCTGGGTGACAAGAGTAAAACTCCATCTTAAAAAAAAAAAAGAAAGAAAAAAGAAAGAAAGAATCACTCTACAAAACAACTAGAAAACAATAAACAAAATGGCAGCAGTATCAATAATTACCTTGAATGTAAATGTATTAAATTCTCCAATAGAAAGACACTGAATGGTTGAATGGATAAAAAAAGACCCAAGTATATGCTGCCTACCGCATACTTCAACTGTAAGGAAACACATAGACTCAAAGTGAAGGGATAGAAAAAGATATTCCATGGAAATAGAAACCAAAAAAGAGCAGGAGTAACTATACCTATACAGACAAAATAGACTTTAAGTAAAACCTATACAAAGAGACAAAGAAGATCATTATATAATGATGGAGGGGTCAATTAAGCAAGAGACTATAATGGTTATAAATAGATATGAATACAACATTGTAGCACTTAAATATATATGAGAAATATTAATAGATCTGAAGAGAGAGACACACTGCAATACAATAATAGTAGGGGATATCAACACTCCACTTTCAGCAATGAACAGATTCAACCAGACAGAAAATCAAGAAGGAAACATCAAAGTTAAACTGCAATCTAGGCATAACAGATATATACAGAAAACTTCATCCCCCAACTGCAAAATACACATTCTTCTCAACTGCACACAAAACATTCTCCAGGACTGATTATATGTCAGGCCACAAAATAAGTCTTCATAAATTTAAGAAAATTAAAATTTTATGAACTATCTTTTCTGACCACAATGGTATAAAACTAGAAATTAATAACAGCAAGACTTTCAGAAGATTCATAAATACATGGAAATTAATATGCACCTAAACAGCCAATGATCAATGAAGAAATTTAAAGAAAAATTTAAAAATATTTTAAGACAAATGAAAATAAAAACACAACATACCTATGGGATATAGCAAAAGCAGTTATAAGAGGAAAGTGTACAGCAATAAATACCCACATCAAAAAAAGAAACATCTCAAACAATCTAGCACTGCACCTCAAGAAAGGAGGAAAGCAAGAACAAATTAAGCTTAAAGTATATGGAAGGAAGTAATATAGATCAGAACAAAAATGAAATAAAGACCAGAAAAAATAGAAAAGTTAACAAAATTAAGAGTTGATTTCCTGAAATGATGATTAATATCAACAAACCTATAGCTAGACTAAGAAAAAAAGAGAGAAAACTCAAATAAAAACTTTTAAATGAGACATTACAACTGATAAAGCAGACATACAATGCATCATGAGAGACTACTATGAACAATTGTAAAAGAGGACTTCAAAAGATTCATGGAAAAATGAAGTTAAAAGATAAAAATAAAAATTATAAACTTTAGTTCTCAAAATAAGTTCAATCAAGTTCAAGATACTTTTGTAAGTAATGATACCAACCATTAAGTCCATCCCTAAAGAACTGAGAATCTTGAGAATTTAACTGTGTCAATGCAGTCTTTTTTACATTATTAACTAAAGAAAAATGAGTGCTTTATACAGATATTTTTAAGATTAGGAAACAAAGCAAAGTCAGGAAACTATCAACAGAGTGAACAGACAACCTATAGAATGAGAGAAAATACTTGCAAACTATATATCTGAAAAGGGTGTTTTGAATATATGAGGTTGTGTATATATTCAAAATATACGAGGTATACAAACCATAGCAAGAATACAAATAACCCAATTAAAAAATGGACAAAGGGCATGAATATACATTTCTCAAAGAAGACTTATAAGTGATATATTAAAAAAATACTTAATATCAGTAATCATCAGGGAAATGCAAATTAAAACCAAATAACATGCAATAAATAAAATAAAACCAAATAAAAGCAAATAAAATGAAATAACACCTCACAGCTGTTAGAAGAGCTACTATCAAAAAGACAAAAGACAGTGTGATGGTTAATAGTGTCAACTTCATTGGATTGAAGGATCCAAAGTATTGTTCCTGGGTGTGTCTGTGAGGGTGTTGCCAAAGGAGATTAACATTCCAGTCGGTGGATTGGG
This sequence comes from Homo sapiens, assembly GCF_000001405.40. NCBI lineage: Eukaryota > Metazoa > Chordata > Mammalia > Primates > Hominidae > Homo > Homo sapiens. The sequence continues at coordinate 182,389,751 of NC_000002.12, forward strand.
AGAGGTAGACTCACCCTCAATCTGGGTGAGCACCATCTTATCAGCTGTCAGTGCAGACAGAATAAGGCAGGCAAAAGAAGGTGGAAAGAGCAGACTTGCTGAGTTTTCCAGCCTTTATCTTTCTTCTGTGCTGGATGCTTCCTGCCCTTGAATATCGGACTCCAAGTTCTTCAGCTTTTGGACGCTTGGACTTACACGGGCGGTTTGCGAGGGGCTCTTGGGCCATCAGCCACAGACTGAAGGCTGATCTGTCAGCTTCCCTACCTTTGAGGTTTTGGGATTCAGACTGGCTTTCTTGCTCCTGAGCTTGCAGAGGGCCTATTGTATGATTTCACCTTGTGATCATGTGAGTCGGTACTCCTTAATAAACTCCTCATCATATATACATCTATCCCACTAGTTCTGTCCCTCTAGAGAATCTAGACTAACACAGATTTTGGTACCAGGAGTGGTTCTAGAGGAACTGAATTTAAGGATGGATTTCTTTAGTTGGTTTTGGGGTTTCTGGAGTTGGCTTCTTAATCTGATTAAACCCCAAAATACTAAGGACTCTACTTCTAACAGTATGGAGAACACTGATAGTCTTTGGCATGAACTGTTTAGAGAGTTATACAAAATAAATGCATTTGATACTTCTGAATCATCACTTTTGAGGGGCAAGGAGTTTAGTGACTCTATACATAATACCTTCAACCATATGTGGAGAACCAAGGAATATAATGAAGTTGGTTGCTCCTAAGTTCACTGGATAAAGTGACGAAAGAAAACAATGACCTCAGAGATTCTAATTCCTGGCTCCAGAAGCATATACTGAGCCTCAAAACTTCTAAGACTGACCTGAGTGAGTCTTACCTCCTACAGACAAAGGGCTGACATTGTGGAAAATCAGACACAAGCCCTTATCGTGTGAGTGGCTGAGCTGCAACAAAAGGTGCACACTCAGCCTCACCAGGTGTCTACTGTTAAAGTGAGGGCATTGATTGGAAAAGAATGGGTCCCTGCAACTTGGAATGGGGATGTGTGGGAAGACCCTGATGAGGCTGGAGCCACTGTGCCCAGTAGTGACAACATCCCTACCCACAACCACACTACCATCAGCCTTCTCACCTTTCTCTGAGGAGAACAACCATGCACTGCCTGAGGCAACAGTGATGGCCTCCCCTGAGGCAGTTGCCATGCCAGACAATGCTGATTCTCCTCAGGACCCACCACAACAGCCCTGTTTGCTTCTAGACCTACAACTAGAATCAAGGGCCAGCAGACCCCTAGAGGTGAGGTTCAGAGTGTGTCTCACAGGAGGTGCACAAAATTCCAAAAGAACTGCTTGAGTTTTCTAATATAAGCAGAAATCTGGAGAACGGCTCTGAAAATGGATATTAAGGGTGTGAGATAATGGTGGAAAGAATATAAAGTTGGTTCAGGTTGATATGGCCTGAAAGATATGGGCCATCTAAGGAGGGCCCATATCCGCATTTAACGTTGCAGCTCTGGGAGTTATATTGATATGGGCCCTCCTTAGAAGGCCCTCCTTAGAGGGCCCATATCTGCATTTAATGTTGCCAGCTCTGGGAGTTAAAAAACGTTCTAATAGTTTATTTGCTTGGTTAACTGAAACATGGACCAAAGATGCCCCACTGTGAGTGAGCTGGAAATGCCTGATCTCCCTTGGTTTAATGTAGAGAAAGGGATCCAAAGGCTTAGGGAGATTGAAAGGCTAGAGTGGATTAGTCACTTTAGACCTACTCATCCCAGCTGAGAGGGTCCAGAAGACATACCCTTCACCAATACCTTGCAAAACAGATTTGTGAGGGGAGCACCTACATCCTTGAAGAGCTCTGTCATTGCTCTTCTCTATATGCCACATCTTACAGTGGGAACCACAATCACTCAACTGGAAAACTTAAACACAATGGGAATAATTGGATCCTGAGGTGGCAGGGGCCAACTGGAGGCACGCAACAGTCAAAGGCAAGGTGGGTGTAGTTACCATAATGAACAGCAGAGGCAAAGAAGCAATCAGAATAGTCTGATTCATGTAGAGCTCTGGCATTGGCTAATTAATCACAGTATTCCTGGAAGTGAAATTGATCGGAGGCCTGCTGTATTCTTACATAATTTGTACATGCAGAAAACTTCCAGGCTGAATGGACAAAAAACTAATTTTAATTATAAAAATAGGGAATCATGACCCCTCAATCAGTTTTCAGACTTGAACCAGTTAACAGAGCCAGAACCCCTTTAATGAAGGAGAGGTCAGGTCCCGTTGAGGAAGAACCCCACAACACTACTGACAATTTATACTGTTAATCTCTCTCCCATCCTTCCCCAGGGAGACATCCAGCCTTTTACTAGGGTGTATCAGTCCATTCTTATGCTGCTAATAAAGCCATGCCCAAGACTGGGCAATTTATAAAGAAAAAAGAGGTTTAATGGACTCACAGTACCATATGGCTGAAGTGGTCTCACAATCATGGCAGAAGGCAAAGGAGGAACAAAGGCACCTCTTACATGGTGCCAGGCAAGAGAGACAGCATGTGCAGGGGAACTACCCTCTATAAAACCATCAGATCTCATGAGACTTATTCATTATCACAAGAACAGCACGTGAAAAATCCAACCCCATGATTCAATTACCTCCCACCACGTCCCTCCCACAACACTTGGGAATTTTGGGAGCTAATATTCAAGATGAGATGTTGGTGGGGACACAGCCAAATCACATCATTCTGCCCCTGACTCCTCCCAAATCTCATGTCCTCACATTTCCAAACCAATCATGCCTTCCCAACAGTCCCCCAAGGTTTTAACTCATTTCAGCATTAACGCAAAAGTCCACAGTCCAAAGTCTCATCTGTAACAAGGCAAGTCCCTTCTGCCTATGAGACTGTGAAATCAAAGGCAAGGTAGTTACTTCCTAGATATAATGAGGGCACAGGCATTGGGTAAATACACCTATACCAAATGGGAGAAATTGGCCAAAATGAAGGGGCCACAGGCCCCATGCAAGTTTGAAATCCAGTGGGGCAGTCAAATCTTAAAGCTCCAAAGTGATCTCCTTTGACTCCATTTCTCAATCCAGCTCACGCTGATGCAAGGGGTGGGTTCCCATGGTCTTGGGCATCTCTGCCCCTGTGGCTTTGCAGGGTACAGCCTCCCTCCTGGCTGCTTTCCTGAGCTAGTGTTGTGTCTGTGGCTTTTCCAGATACACAGTGTAAGCTGTTTGTGGATCTACCATTCTGGGGTCTGGAGAACAGTAGCCTTCTTCTCACAGCTCCACTAGGCAGTGCCCCAGTAGGATTCTGTGTGGGGGCTCCCACCCAACATTTCCCTTCTGCACTGCCCTTGCAGAGGTTCTCCATAAGGACTCTGCCCCTGCAGCACACCTCTGCCTGGACATCCAAGCATTTCCATACATCCTCTGAAATCTAGGCAGAGGTTCCCAAACTTCAATTCTTGACTTCTGTGCAGCCACACGCCCAACACCATGTGTAAGCCACCAAGGTTTGGGGCTTGCACCCTCTGAAGCAATGGCCTGAGCTGTACGTTGGCCCCTTTTAGCCACAGCTGGGATGCAGGGCACCAAGTCCCTAGACTGCACACAGCAGCAAGATCTGGACCCTACCCACAGAACCTTTTTTTTTTTTTCCTACTAGGCCTCTAGGCCTGTGATGGGGGCACTGCTGTGAAGGTCTCTGACATGCCTGGAAACATTTTCCCCACTGCCTTGGTGATTAACATTTGGCTCCTCATTGCTTATGCAAATTTTTGCAGCCAGCTTGAATTTTTCCTCAGAAGATGGGTTTTTCTTTCCTATTGCATCAGACTGCAAATTTTTCAAACTCTATGCTCTGCTTCCCTTGTAAACATGTTATGATTCCAAACCATATTTTTGTGAATAAAAAACTGAATGCTTTTAAGAGCACCCAAGCCATTTCTTTGAACACATTGCTGCTTAGAAATTTTTTCCACCAGATACTCTAGCTCATATCTCTTAAGTTCAAAATTCCACAGATCTCCAGGGCAGGGGCAAAATGCCATCAGTCTCTTTGCTAAAACATAAGAGTCACCTTTGCTCCATTTCCCAACAAGTTTCTCATCTCCATCTGAGACCACCTCAGCCTGGACTTCATTGTCCATATCATTATCAGCATTTTGGTTAAAGCCATTCAACAAGTCTCTAGGAAGTTCCACACTTTCCCACATCTTACTGTCTTCTGAGCTCTCCAAGTCTCCAGGAAGTTCCAAATTTCCCATATTTTCCAGTTCTTCTTCTGAGTCCTCCAAACTTTTCCAACCTCTGCCTGTTACCCAGTTCCAAAGTTGCTTCCTCATTTTCATGCATTTTTAGAGCAGAACCCCAATCTATTGGTGCCAATTCACTGTATCAGTCCATTCTCACGCTGCTAATAAAGATATACCCCAAAACTGGATAATTTATAAAGAAAAAGAGGTTTAATGGACTCACAGTTCCACATTAACTGTTAGGTTGCGGGGGGCCTCACAATCACGGCAGGAGTTGAAGGAGAAGTAAAGGCATGTCTTACATGGTGGCAGCCAACAGAGAGCATGCAGGGGAACTACCCTTTATAAAATCATCAGATTTCATTAGACTTATTCACTATCACCAAAACAGCATGGGAAATTCCCACCCCCATGATTCAATTACCTCCCACCAAGTCCCTCCCATGACATGTGGGGATTATGGGAGCTACAATTCAAGATGAGATTTGGAAGGGGACACAGCCAAACCAGACCACAGGGTAACTGCACTGGGGAAAGGGGAATGACCAGACCTTTGAGGGGCTGCTGGACACTGGCTCGAGCTGACATTGATTCCAGGGGACCCAAAACATCAATATTGGTCCTCCAGTTAAAGTAGGGTTTGTGAATGTCAGGTAATTAATGGATTGTTAGTTCAGGTCTGAGTTACAGTGTATCCAATGCATTCCTGGACTCATCTTGCAGTCATTTCCCCAGAGCCAGAATGCATAATTGGCATAGACATACTTAGCTGCTGGCTAAATCCCCACATTGGCTCCCTGACTTGTAGGGTGAGGGCTACTATGATGGAAAAGCCAAATGGAAGCCTTTAGAGCTGCCTCCACCTAGAAAAACAGTAAATCAAAAACAATATCACATCCCTGGAGTGGCTGCAGAGATTAGTGCCACCATCAAGGACTTGAAAGACGCAGGGGTGGTGATTTCCATAACATCCATATTCAAGTCTCCTGGTTCGTTGTGCAGAAGACAGATGGATCTCTGAGAATGACCATGGGTTATCATGAGCTTAACCAAGTAGTGACTCCAGCTGTAGCTGCTGTACCAGATGTGGTTTCACTGCTTGAACAAATTAACATATTTCCTGGTACCTGCTATGCAGCCATTGATCTGGCAAATGCCTTTTTCTCCATTCCTGTTCATAAAGGCTGCTAGAAGCAATTTGCCTCCAGCTGGCAAGACCAGCAGTATACCTTTACTTTCCTACCTCAGGGGTATGTCAACTCTCCGGCTTTGTGTCATAATCTTGTTTGCAGAGCCCTTGATTGCTTTTCCTTTTCACAAGATATCGCATTGATCCATTATATCGATGACAGTATGCTGATTGGATCCAGTGAGCAATAAGTAGCAAACACTGGACTTATTGGTGAGACATTTGTGTGCCAGAGGACAGGAAATAAATCTAACTAAAATTCAGGGACCTTCTACCTCAGGGAAGTTTCTAGGGGTCCAGTGGTGTGGGGCACGTTGAGATATTCCTTCTAAGGTGAAAGATAAGTTGCTGCATTTGGCCCCTCCTACAACTATCTGGATTTGGGAGGCAACACATTCCTCATTTGGGTGTGTTATGCCAGCCCATTTACTGAGCGACCTGAAGTGTGCCAATTTTGAGTGAGGTCCAGAGCCAGGCTGCTGTGCAAGCTGCTCTGCCACTTGGGCCATATGATCCAGCAGATCCAATGGTGCTTGAGGTGTCAGTGGCAGATAGGGATGCTGTTTGGAGCCTTTGGAAGGCCCCCATAGGTGAATCACAGCAGAGGCCTCTAGGATTTGGGAGCAAGGCCCTGCCATCTTCTCCAGATAACTACTCTCCTTTTGAGAGACAGCTCTTGGCCTGTTATTAGGCTTTGGTAGAAACTGAACTTTTGACTAGTGGTCATCAAGTCACCATGAGACCTGAACTTCCTATCATGAACTTGGTGCTTTCTTACCCATCTAGCCATAAAGTGGGTCATGCACAGCAGCATTCAGTCATCAAATGGAAGTGGTATATACGCGATCAGGCTTGAGCAGGTCCTGAAGGCACAAGTAAGTTACGTGAGGAAGTGGCTCAAATGCCCATGGTCTCCACTCTTGCCACCCTGCCTTCTCTCCCTTAGACTGCCCCGATGGCCTCATGTGGAGCTGACAGAGGAAGAGAAGACTAAGGCCTGGTTCACAGATAGTTCTGCATGACGTGCAGGCACCACCCAAAAGAGGACAGCTGCAGCACTACAGTCCTTTCCTAGGACATCCCTGAAGGACAGTGGTGAAGGGAAATCTTCCCAGTGGGCAGAACTTCGAGCAGTGCACCTGGTTGTGCACTTTGCTTGGAAGGAGAAATGGCCAGATGTGCAATTATATACTATTTCATGGGCTACAGCCAATGGTTTGGCTGGGTGGCCAGGGACTTGGAAGAAGCATGATTGGAAAATTAGAATACAGATGGGTAGTAGAAGAAGGTAGTCATTAATACCAGCTACGACTACATGACCAGTTGCAGAAATGAGAACTGTAATTGTCATGAGTATTTCCTCCTTATTTTGCTAAGAACATGTTCATGCATATATACACTTGTACTAAGAAAATATCTTCATTTTATTTCCTTTCTTTTTCCTTTATCAAGTAACATAAGATTTATTGACTTCATGTCATTATTTAAGTGTTGTTATCTTTATGTAATAGCATTTAGGTTAAGGATTAGTATGCTCCCGGTTGTATGAAGGATAGCTGTATTATGTTAGGCATAATTATGACCTTATTATTGTCTTTATTTGAAGATTATGTATGATTTCAGGAGATGTATATGGGTTTAAGTTGACAAGGGGTGGACTTATGATAGTTAATACTGAGTGTATTCATTCACTTCCGGGTGATTTGGCAACTGCTTTTACCTCTGGTTGTATTGACTGGGAAGTGAAAAGCAGTGTTTTTTTCATGCATCTAAGAAACAACATAGCACAAATTTATCTACCTGTGGGTATTTCCCTTTTAAGTCTTCTTCAAGACTTGGTTATGGTTGTGCAAGAAATAGATAATTGAGGTCATTTATCTCATAGGAAATACTCATTACAATGTCAAATATAGGCCTCACTTCTCTGTTCCCATGCCTTTCTGCATGCACTATTACCTTTCATTTCAACGATACATACAGTATATTTTTAGGACATTTTGAGAGGCAGCAAACTCAAAATATGTAGTAACAATAATGAACCTAACATATTTGAGGTGATGGCAAGATGAACAGAAATAACAAAATTTACAAATGGGCTGGCTATTATTATATATTTCTGTTCTTGTAGGTCGAAAACAGTTCAATATTGGCAATTTCATATTGTTTAATCCTGTATGTCATGATTGCCATATCCCCAAAAGTGATTGTAAAACACCATTTATATGACACATGATTTCAGAGACATTACAATGTGGAAAAAAATGTGTAAATCAGAATTTAAAAATGGTATTTTTCAATTAACGCTTTCCCTGAAAAAAAGTTATATATGATTTTAAGAATTATTAGTGTTAATGTCAGACATGAGAAAAAATTCTGCGATAAGAAAACCGATAAGGAGGATAGTTTCACTGAGTATTTCAAAGACCCATTAGAAGAAATGTCCTCTACCTGTTTCAGCAATACAACGGTGTCTTTTCAGTTTTTTTCCTATTACGCTATGTCACATAATGTTTAGTACTGGAGTCACATGTACAGCTTCTTATCTCTTTTACTGTATAAACTCTTTAAGATCAGGGATCAGTTTTTGGTCATCTGTGTGTCTCCTTCACCAGGTAGCATGGGGCTTCATATAGAAAAATGATCACTATCTACCTGATTGAATGAACGGATGCTAGAAAAATGTAAAAGGAGCTTGTAACAGTCTCCGCACTTACAATTTATTTGGGGAGATGAAATTAACTTGCATAAAACTAAGACTATTCTATTCTATGTACAGTAATATTTCAGAAAATAAAAAGAATTCTTTCTAAAGATGTTTACATGAGAGACATGGTATTTCAACTGTGCTGAGAACAGATGAACATGGTTTAGATAGATGAGGCAAGAAATGAAAGACATCACTGGACACTGAAAAAAATGACAAAAAGAGAGAAAATGTAAGAAATAAAAAAAAAGCTTGAGTTGGGTGAAGTCAGTGAGGAAATTCTTATTCTACTCTTGTAAAACAGTTTTTGTTTAAAATGTACAGTCTTGAATTATGATCACTTAAGAGGCAGACAGATATTTAATATTCATACTGGAAATAGCCATATCCATGAATTACAACGCAAACTGTCAACGTTAAATATACAACTACTGATCTCTTATGCCACTTGACTCCTACTGACATGAAAAACCCACAGTTCAACATTGTCATAGATGTGAATATAGGGTTACTAAATATATTTTAAATTCATTATACTTTTTGTACTTTGATGACTCATTAAATCATTTACCATTGACTCTTTATCCTCTAGTATTTCATTAAAAGCTATTTTACAAGAGTATAGGTCATGTTCTTTTGCACAGTTGAATTAAGATTCCTTATAAAATATATGACCTTATTTTCAGCATCCTCAATTGAATTATAAACAGAGATGACTGTGATAATTACACAACACTAAGTCCACTGAGCCTTCAGAGGTGCTTGGATCAGTACTGACCACAAGTGACTACTTATATATTAGGTCTGTTTGATTACACTTAAAGTGTAGGAGCATACCGCTATCTTAAATCTTACTAGTTTTTTCATTTTTGCCTTCTTATAATTAATTCATACAAATGGCTTGAATCCTGTAGATACTTTACTTTTAGAAATCTTAAATTTCTTTTTTAAAATTTATTTTACTTTAAGTTCCAGAATACATGTGGAGAATGTGCAAGTTTGTTACATGGGTTTGAATTTCAACATGAAGTTCTTTTACCTATGTAGTTCTTGGTAAACTACCAAATTCCCCTAAACTTCAGTTTGTTAACTATAAAGCAGGATTAATAATAATACCTATTGAACTATCCTACTAAATGACATTTTGATGACCGTCAAGGATGAAGTGGGCTGAAACTGAAAAATAACCCTAAAGTTTTCAAAATTACGGCCAGTTTTCTCTTTAAAATTTTTTTTGTCTCAGTTTAGCCTATAATTAGAATATTTTGGAGGACTATGTTTATTACTCATTTCTTAGTATTTTTAACCCATATTTTTTTCTTCACTAATATAGTTTATTTTAAATTTATATGCTACAAAATAATGCACTTTTTTGGTATAAAATTCTATGAATTTTGACACATGCATAGATTAATGTGTCATTACTCACCATCAAAATAGAATACAGAACAGTTCCATCAGCCAAAACTATTCCCTTATGTGACCCCTTTTAGTTAAATCCTGCCCCCTCTGCTTCTAATCCCCGGAAACTCCTGATATGCTCTCAATTTAATACATTCTACATCATGAAATTAATACATGCTTATTGTAAAAGGTTTTAAAATGGTATACATTAGTATGTAAGTTTAAAAATGAGTCTTCTCATTCCTTTTACCAATATCATCCCTCTAAGCTTATCAATTGTAATAGTATATGTATCCTTTTACAATTTTCTCAATGTTCAACTTATACAAGTATTTACAAATGTATCTAAACTTACAGAGTCTCACTCCTATTTTTTTAAGTGAAACCATTCTAGTATAGAGTTTACATCTCACTTTTTCAATACTAACATATTTGGGGAGTATTTCCACATTAATGTAGAACTCTATTTCACTCCTCCTAATAGCTGCCTATGTTCCATGGTTTGATTATACTATAATCAATTTAGTCAGTCTCCTGTAATGGCAATCATTAAGATTGTTTCTAATTTAGGCAGTTACAAACAATGCTGAAATCAAGAGATGGTCCTAGATACTGATGTTTTTATTCCTGCATGAAAGACTTCTAAAACAGGATTGCTAGTCTAAAGCTATGTATTTATAATTTTAATAAATATTATAAGGTTATTTCCTCAAGAGATAGTAAAAATTCACACTCTTTCCTTTGCCCACAATGAATGCTATCAGTCTTTAAATGAAATATTGTTTTAATTTGCCTCCCACTGGCTACTATTGAAGATTAAGATTTTTACATATTTATTGGCTATTTGATTTTTTTCTTCCCTAAATTCTTTGCCAATATCACTGAACAAATGTCTATTGGGTTATTTTTCCTTTTCCCATGATAAAAGAAGGTTCCATGTACTTGACACAGAGCAGATCCTGAGCAAACTGAATTAAAATTTTCCTTTATCTTTTCCCAATTGTTGTCTCAAGTTAGCAACCTTTCTGACATGGTGGCAAGACACTTTCACATATTAGAATACACTTCTGTAAAATAAGAAACAGTTGCTCCATTTACATTACAATAATTTCAAGACAAATCCTTTATGGATAATTCTCCAAGATAATGTGCCTTCGTATATGGCCCCAGAAAGAGCTTTCAGAACACATGTGTTTGTTTTCTCTTCCCTCCTTACATCTTTACCCAAAGGAGACTCTCAACATCTCCTTAGATGCTGCAACCCTAATTAGCCCTCCAGAGGACTCTCAGGAGCACTCTCAGGGGAGTTTTCCAACTAAGTAACTAAGGGATCAAGCATAACTGCATTTTCATTCAAAGGAGCCACTCTCTAAAGGCATGAAGAGAAAGCGGAATGATGTCTTTTGAGTTTAATACAGTAAGAGGAAGGAGAGACTGGGAAAAATATTAGGAAATCAAGGCCAAAGCAGGGTAGGGCAAGAGAAGGACCACTTGCTGGGGTGAATAATGGCAGGTACTATCTTGATTTCCTGCTCTAAACTCGTCACAGAGATTTCTTTCATAAAGTTTAGTAGAGAAACCACCTTTGCCAAAATGTCAGAGCATTTCTCATCTTCAAGTCCAGTTACCAAACATTAATGATTCCTATCAGAGAGGAGTTTTTATTATTCCATTGGTGTTCTCTTTTTTGTAAGTCCCTAGTTCTGTTTCATAAAAGTTCTGATTCAGTAAAAAACCTGTATACCCTCTGAGGCTTCCTCCACTTAAGAAAATAAAGGATTCACAGCTGAATTCTATCAGAAGTATAAAGAGGAGCTAGTACCATTCCTTCTGAAACTATTCCAAACAATAGAAAAAGAGGGACTCTTCTCTAACTCATTTTATGATGCCAGCATCATCCTGATACCAAAACCCAGGAGGGACACGACACAAAAAGAAAATTTTTGCCAATATCCCTGATAAACATCGATGCGAAAATCCTCAATAAAATACTGGCAAACCGAATCCAGCAGACGTCAAAAAGCTTATCCAACACGATCAAGTTGGCTTCATCCCTGGGATGCAAGGCTGGGTCAACATATGCAAATCAATAAACGTAATCCATCACATAAACAGAACCAATGACAAAAAACATATGATTATCTCAATAGATGCAGAAAAGGCCTTCAATAAAATTCAGTAGCCCTTCATTCTAAAAACTCTCAATAAACTAGGTACTGATGGGAAGTATCTCAAAACATTAAGAGCTATTTATGAAAAACACACAGCCAATATCATACAGAATGGGCAAAAGCTGGAAGCATTCTCTCTGAAAACCGGCACAAGACAAGCAAGGATGCCCTTTCTCACCACTCCTGTTCAACATAGTGTTGAAAGTTCTGGCCAGGGCAATCAGGCAAAAGAAAGAAATAAAGGGTATTCAAATAGGAAGAGAGGAAGACAAATTGTCTCTGTTTGCAGATGACATGACTGTATATTTAGAAAACCTCACTGTCTCAGCTCAAAATCTCCTTAAGCTGATAAGCAACTTCAGCAGTCTCAGAATACAAAATCAATGTACAAAAATCACAAGCATTCCTATACACCAATAACAGACAAACAGAGAGCCAAATCATGAGTGAACTGCCATTCACAATTACTACAAAGAAAATAAAATACCTAGAAATACAACTTACAAGGGATGAGAAGGACCTCTCAAGGAGAGCTACAAACCACCGTTCAAAAAAATATGAGAAGACACAAACAAATGGATAAACATTCCATGCTCATGAATAGAAAGAATCAATATTGTGAAAATAGCCATACTGCCCAAAGTAATTTATAGATTCAATGCTATCCCCATCAAGCTACCACTGACTTTCTTCAGAGAGTTAGAAAAAAAATACTTTAAATTTCATATGGACCCAAAAAACAGCCCGCATAGCAAAGACAATACTAAGCAAAAAGAAAAAAGCTGGAGGCATTATGCTACCTGACTTCAAACTATACTACAAGGCTACAGTAACCAAAACAGCCTTGTACTGGTACCAAAACAGATTTATAGACCAATGGAACAGAACAGAGGCCTCAGAAATAACACCACAAATCTACAACCATCTGATCTTTGACAAACCTGACAAAAACAAGCAATGGGGAAATGATTCCCTGTTTAATAAATGGTATTGGGAAAACTGGCTAGCCATATGTAGAAAACTGAAACTGGACCCCTTCCTTATACCTTATACAGAAATCAACTCAAGATTAAGATTAAAGACTTAAATGTAAAGCCCCAAACCATACAAACCCTGGAAGAAAACCTAGGCAATACCATTCAGGACATAGACATGGGCAAAGCCTTCATGACTAAAACACCAAAAGCAATGGCAACAAAAGCCAAAATTGACAAATGAGATCTAATTAAACTAAAGAGCTTCTGCACAGCAAAAGAAACTATCATCAGAGTGAACAGGCAACCTACAGAATGGGAGAAAATTCTTGCAATCTATCCATCTGACAAAGGGCTAATATCCAGAATCTACAAAAACTTAAACAAATTTATAAGAAAAAACAAACAACGCCATCAAAAAGTGGGTGAAGGATATGAACAGACACATCTCAAAAGAAGACATTTATGTTGCCAACAAACATGAAAAAAGTTGATCATCACTGGTCATTAGAGAAATGCAAATCAAAGCCACAATGAGATACCATCTCACGCCAGTTAGAATGGCGACCATTAAAAAGTCAGGAAACAACAGATGCTGGAGAGGATATGGAGAAATAGGAATGCTTTTACAGTGTTGATGGGAGTGTAAATTAGTTCAACCATTGTGGAAGACAGTGTGATGATTCCTCAAGAATCTAGAACCAGAAATACCATTTGACCCAGCAATCCCATTACTGGGTATATACCCAAAGGACTATAAATCATTCTAGTACAAAGACACATGCACACATATATTTATTGCGGCACTGTTTACAATCACAAAGACTTGGAACCACCCAAATTCCCATCAACGATAGACTGGATCAAGAAAATGTGGCACATAGGCCAGGCGCGGTGGCTCAAGCCTGTAATCCCAGCACTTTAGGAGGCCGAGGCGGGTGGATCACAAGGTCAGGAGATCGAGACCATCCTGGCTAACACGGTGAAACCCCGTCTCTACTAAAAATACAAAAAATTAGCCGTGCGTGGTGGCGGGCGCCTGTAGTCCCAGCTACTCGGGAGGCTGAGGCAGGAGAATGGTGGGAACCCGGGAGGCGGAGCTTGCAGTGAGCCGAGATCGCGCCACTGCACTCCAGCCTGGGCGACAGAGCCAGACTCCGTCTCAAAAAAAAAAAAAAAAGAAAATGTGGCACATATACACCATGGAATACTATGCAGCCATAAAAGGGATGAGTTCATGTCCTTTGCAGGGACATGGGTGAACCTGGAAACCCTCATTCTCAGCAAACTAACACAAGAACAGAAAACCATATACTGCATGTTCTCACTCATAAATGGGAGTTGAATAGGAGAACACATGGAAACAGGCAGGGGAACATCACACACTGGGTCCTGTCAGGGGGTGGGGGGCTAGGCAAGGGATAGCATTAGGATAAATACCTAATGTAGATCATGGGTTGATGGGTGCAGCAAACCACTATGGCACGTGTATACCTACGTAACAAACCTGCACATTCTGCACATGTACCCCAGAACTTAAAGTATAATAAAAAATAAAATAAAATAAAAGGTCAGTTTAATTTGGGGTATAACTTATGTCAATAGGAACAAATTTTTTTTTTAAAAAAAGTCATATCCTACAAGAGGAAAAATATGCTTTGGAAATGGTCCTGGTAAATATGAAATAAGCCATGAAGAAATTCTATGCTTCAAATAGGCTGAAAATTCATCCAAGTCTCAAACCTGACGACTCTGCCTTTTTCTCTCTTGGATATCCTCTGCCAATTAGCCAAGGAGCAGAGAAGAGCAAAGGTGAAATCACTATAGGAAATGGATGAAATTCTTTATATTCCATAGGCCAACTTCTAAGAGAGATGACTCATTCTTTGGCTCTCAAAATGATATCCCAGGACGACCCTTCTACATCAAAAAGGAGAACAGAAGACATTACTGTACACTACTGGACACTTTATAAACCCTGTACACTTAGGCTACACTAAATTTGTTTTTTAAATGTTTCTTTCTTCAATAAACAAATTAACTTTTTCTTACTGTAACTGTTTCATTTTACAAACTTTTAAATTAAAAAACATTTCGACTCTTTTGTAGTAATACTTGGCACAAACACATTGTACTGTTGTACAAAAATATTTTCTTTCTTTATGTCCTTATTCTATCAGATGTTCTGTATTTTTAAAACTTGTATTTTTTTTTTACTTTTTAAATATTTTGTGTAAAAACTAAGATACAAACACACACATTACCCTAGGGCCACACAAGGTCAGGATAATATCACTGTCTTCCTCCTCCATATCTTGTCCCCATGGAAGTTTTTTGGGGGCAATACCACGCATGGAGCTGTCATCTCCTTTGTTAACAATGCATTCTTTTGAAATACCTCCTGAAGGATCTCCATGAGGCTGTTTTACAGTTAACTTATTAAAAATATAAGTAGAAGGAATACTCTATAAAATAACAATAAAAAGTATAGCATAACAGTACATATACCAGTAACATAGTTATTTATTTTCAAGTATTATGTACTGTACATAATTATATGTGCTCTACTTTTATACAACTGGCAGTGCAGTAGGTTTGTTTACATCAGCATCACCACAAACATGTGAGTAATGCATTGTGCTATCACATATGATGGCTACCATGTCACTAAGCAATAGGATTTTTCAGTTCCATTTTAATATTATGGGATCACTATCATTGTATATGCTGTCCATTGTTGACTGAAATGTTATATAGCACATGACCGTACATATATGACTCAGTGGCAAAGCCCTTCCCTAGGATAACATGAGGAATACAAAGGAAATCAAAGATTTAAATTTATTGTCACTCTTCTACTTTCTCTGGGGTCATTTACATAAGAAGAACAAGAAGACACAGCTGCTATTGCAAGGAGGCTTATTGCCATCTAATACTGCATGGGGCCCCCAGGGTCAGTGAAGTGTAGTTCACAATGCTAAGTTCTGAATAGGATTTTATCAAGCGGTCCTGACATAAACTTCACTTGCAGGAAACTACAAATATGCATCTCATAGGATATTTTGCTCCTTTTATCTACTGTGGTTTTTATTCCTTCAATTTTCATCATTTCTGGCTTTCACTTAATTCTGTCAAAAACTACACTCACCAAATCCTTGTGCCCTAAAAATTTTAAGAATAAAATATTGGGTGAAGGGGGCTGCTGGAAAAATGTCGGTCAAAGGGTACAAAGTTTGAGTTAGACAAAAGGAATACATTTTTTAAGACCTTCTGCATAGCATAGTAACTGTAGTTAATAAGGTGTATTTCAAAATTTCTGAGAGTAAAGTTCAAATAGTCTCACCCCAAAAAAATAAGTATTTGAGGTGATGGATATCTTAATGAGATAAATTTGATCATTCCACATTATGTACATATATCATAACATCACATTGTACCCATAAATATATGCAATTATCATTTGTCAACTAAAAGTAAAAATAATTTTTAAAATAAAATATTACTAATAAAAAGAATAACATATTGCTCTACAAGTATTTTCTCCTCAATTTGAAAGCTTTATGGATCCATCTTAGGTCAAAGAAATTTTACCAAAAAAAAATAAATTTCCTATTTGATAATAATAGCTATCATTTATCAAATGCTTAGAATATTTTGAGCATGCTGTTAAGCACTTTCTATATAGTACTTCATTTTATTCTCACTTCAACTGTATATAGCTCTATTATTATTATTCCCATTTTACAGATGAAATAAAAGTTCAAACAAGGCCTAAAATTACAAGCCATTTTTACAGATTATATTTAGGGGACCAAGGCTTAAGAATTCTGAAATTTACTATATTTATTTAGTCATTCTCATCTTTAGCATAAACCTAACAGAGTAGTTTTGTGGATCTGATTAGCAGTCAATTTATTTTTAGGTTTTTTGGCTCACAGTAAAAAAAAAAAAATGTAGATTTCCAGTAATACTAGCAGACCAAGCATGACACATTTTAGGCGTTTGCTTATTATTCATTTGTCATCTGTTCTTTCATTCAGCAAGTATAAATTATCAACTGCTGTGCTCAGAACTCTGGTGGACACAAAGAAATAAGAAGCTATTTCCCACAATCATCCAAGAAGATTTACAGAAATAACCCTTAGTTTTAGCTACTGGCATAGTTAGCATGTTGGATATTGGAGTAGATCATTTTTTAACATTCCTTTTTTATGTATAAAAAATTATTATCAGAAATAATCATGAAATGAGATAATAATAACAGCTAGAAAAGAAATGCAGGCAGTAAATATTTTCTTTAGTTGAAATTGTGCTGGTATACCAGTTTGAAAAAACAAATAATTTTTTAAAACTACAGATATTACAAGAAATGAAAAAAATGCATTGATTTTTAAAATTATATTAATAAATTATTTTATTTATACAAAAGTGAAAAGGTATACCTTCTTGTTGCTCTGTCACAGTAATCAATACTATCTCAGTTTGTTTTTAATTGTAAATCCTGCATATTTTTCAATGATGTTGTCTAAATTGATCTTCTTTAAATATTCATGTTCAGTAGAGAGTATAGCGAGATTTATCAATCTATTTTCCCCGAGAGTACTTCAAAGAGTTTGTTTTAATCAATTTACTTTCAAAATGTTTTCTTCACATGAAGCAACAGATATAAAAGTGGATAGGAAACGTCTTAAATATAAGTTTGGCAGAGATTTATGAAATCCCATTTCATAATTAAATGCTGTTCATGTCTTTGTTTCTGCAGATTGATTCTAACAGCTTTCAAATGTCTCTGTCATAAGAAAAAAATGCTACTAAAAAATCTTCATCAAAAAAGTCAGCATACATGTGTATTATACTTGGTAAACATTTCCAAAGTTTATAATTGTTCAGGATAATTTGAGTTTAAGTACAGTTTTTGCATTCTTTCCTTCAACATACTTTATTATTATTTTTTTTTTATTTTTTGAGATGGAGTCTTGCTCTATTGCCCAGGCTGGAGTACAGTGGTGCCATCTCAGCTCACTGCAACCTCTGTCTCCCAGGTCCAAGTGATTCTCTTGCCTCAGTCTCTGGAGTAGCTGGGACTACAGGTTCCCGCCATCACACCTGGCTAATTTTTGTGTTTTTAGTAGAGACAGGGTTTCACCATGTTGGCCAGGCTGCTCTCAAACCCCTGGCCTCAAGTGATCCACAGCCTGGGCCTCCCACAGTGCTGGGATTACAGATGTGAGCCACCGTGCCCGGCCAACATACTTTACGTAGCATATTTGTAACAAATGCTACCACAGTGACCAAAAAACAGAACTTGACCAACCACTTACTCTTGAAGCAAATGTATGTAGCTAAGTCTTCACATGTTGGGAGACTAGCCAATAATTGGAAACGCCCTGAAAGTTTCTCCCATGAAGAATACAATGTTTCTTAAAGAATAAGTCATATGTACATGTATGTATATGTTATATATGTGTGTGTATACTATATATCCATACATATTCTATATGAATATAGATAAGTAGATAATTTAAACTCAACAGCATCCACAGCAATTCTTTAGGAGTTAGACAAACACAGAACTTTTGAGGAGTATTTTATTGCTGATGTTGTTTAGAATTGCTGGCATGTGATGATAATAAAAAGGAGACC
Source organism: Homo sapiens (assembly GCF_000001405.40). NCBI lineage: Eukaryota > Metazoa > Chordata > Mammalia > Primates > Hominidae > Homo > Homo sapiens. Next base: position 182,408,078 of record NC_000002.12, read on the forward strand.
AGGGAGATCTTACCCCACTGCCCCACACATAGCTAATCACTGGTGTAAGTCACTGGAGTTTAGTCAATCAATTTATGCAAAATTATTTTTTAAAAGTATCTGCCAAAAAAAAAAAAAAAAAAGCAGTGGCTACCTAAATCCCTCCCACCTTTTATTTTCCCACACTATTACTCCAAGCTATTTGGAAATGACATACCTGGACTACCCATGGATTTTGCAGTTTGACAGATGTGGTTTTCAATCTTGGCTCTGCTACTTTCTAGCTGTATTACCTTAAAAAAGTTAGCTAACACCTCAGAGCTTCACTTTTAATTTCTCAAATGTGAACAATACTTACTAGAATGACATACATTTCATAAATAACAAATGAAAAGCACCTTCACATATCAAGTGCTTATTAAATGGTAACTATCATGATTATCCCTTAGCCATGGCCCTGACCTATCACCTGCTACAGACCCTTAACTATTTCAGGGTCTTTGGGCAGTAATTACCTGTGATAAAGGGTGGACTAAATGAAGACGTTAATTTTTTCCCTAAAAGATCGTGTTAAATTAGCGTGCAGTGTCTTCTGCACCACCAACTTAGCTTCTCATAAACTGTTTAAATAAATGATCTACACCTACTGCTCTCTCTATCACTACCCAGTGTTCATAAACTGCTCATTTTCTTCCATTCTTTTAAAGGTGGGGCTTAAATGTTACCAACAAAAAACATCAACACCATGGCCTTTGCTCACTCTCACAGAAACTTTTCACAAAATTCGGGAACTGCAAAATCCACTAGAAGGAAACTGGGGGATCAGCTAGAAGCCAATCCACTCACCTTGCAGAGAGAAAACTGATTATCGGTATGGTGAAGTGATTTGTTCTACCAGCTAGTGGCTGAGCAGGGACTCAGTCAGGCTGCCCAGAGCCACAGGTCTTCTGCCTCCACAGTAGCTCCTTGGGCTCCAGCTTCATTATTGGTCACTTCCTGCTCCGAAACTCTCCATTCTTTCTTCATTCTTCTGTAATTCCTCTCTCCCCTAATAATGCTGGGCATTTCCCTTGATTCATTTTTCAATCCTCCTCCCTTCTCCTTTTACATGCTTTTCCTTAAAATCGAATCCTTTTTCCACGTCGATTAGCACCTTTCTCAGTGTCTCCTAACTCTCACTTCAGTTCCACTCCTAGACTGTGAATAGCCTGCTAGAAATTTCTACCTGAACAGAATAATGACTTCAATGATTAATCTCAAATATTGGATACAAACTTAATTAGATAACCAATTAAATAAGGCCCAAGCCTTTAAAGGAAATTTAATGTTATTTGTTATTCAACAAATATTTATCTAGCACCTATTAGGTAGGAGGTACTGTGCAAAGTATTGGAGATACGATATGTACAAACCCAGTCTCCATTCTGTGAATACACAACATACATTCTAGTGGAGAGGGCAGACACTAAGCAGATTGTAAAAGTAAATGCATAGCTAAAAACCATGAAAAAGCCTTCAAACAAGTTACAGGTGCTATGAAATAACCACATTCTTACTTCCTGATGGGCCTGTGGGTGCCTGTTTGCTTACTCTTCCATTCATAGCAATTGAATGAATGGGAGGGTCACTGGGTATACCATAGGCATAAGGGAAGCCAAAATGTCTTTTTATAGATGAACCTCCAGTCTCATTGATCTCATTCAAGTGCAGTGGTCAGGAACATTACAATTATATGTACCATATGGTCTATTAGTAAAAAATATTAATATAAATTAAATGTGATGTTTCTTCTTTCATGATAAAGACATTTATATCACATAGTTTATATAGCCAAGTCATAATCAATAGTAAGGATAATAATTTTAATATAAAGAACTCAAAATCAAATGTGTTTTACTGCTTTTTTCCATCTTCAGATAAATGCATACTTTTTGGAAATAAACGTACAAAAAATTTTCAAAAAATTGTATAATAAACAGTTCAGTTAATTTACCGTTTTAAAATGCATCCACAGGCCAGACATGGTGGCTTATGCTTGTAATCCCAGCACTTTGGGAGGCTAAGGCGAGAGGATCACTTAAGCCCAGGAGTTCAAGAACAGTTTGGGCAACATAGTGGGACCCTGTTTCTACAATTTAAAAAAGAAAAATTTTTTTTTTAATTAGCTAGGCATGGTGGTGCACACCTGCAGTCCCAGCTACTTGAGAGGCTGAGGCACGAGGATCACTTTAGCCTAGGAAGTCAAGGTTGTAATGAGTCATGACCATGCTGCTGCACCCCAGCCTGGGTAACAGAATAAGACTTTGTCTTAAAATAAATAAATAAATAAATGAAAGAAAATGTACCTACAGTTTGAAACTATGAATAAACATTTATCAGAGTGTGGCTTATTTTAAAGTAAATATGCATATTTTATGAATTCTTTCCAACTATAACAATAATAAGCAATCTAAATATTTAATGTGAGAGTCTCTCTAATGTACATATAAGAATTGTAGTACAATTAATAAATGGCTGTGTTAAGAAAAATACAGCTGGGCTCACATGATCAGTGTCATTCTGTGCAAAGAATTTCTGTCTCAAACTCAACCTCATCAAGATAATATAATTACTTTCATTAGCAATGTAGAATAATAAAACTTGGAAGATATCTGGGTAAACATAAAGGACTGAAAAATTAATGTCTTCCCATCAAGCTTTAATTGTTCTTCACAGTTGTTATTTTTTGACAGATTTCCACTGACAAGACACAGAAAAGAAGTACCATCCATTCCCTTTGTGCCTATCCATGCCACACTAAGGCCATTTACACAGTGTCTCCTCAATGTCACTCTAATATCACCATCAGGTTTTCCCTGGAGCTTCATTTGTAATTGGTTAATTTGGGAAGTTTGTGTCTTCTCCCAAATAGAATCTGCTACAGTTTTTTCCCTAACTTTTTACTAAGGTGTAACATTCATACTGAAAACTACACAAATAATAATTTTCATAAATGAAACACATCCATGTAAGTAGAAGCCAGATCAAAGAAACAGAATGTTCGTTGCCAACACCCTAGAAGACCCTTTCATGTTCACTTTAAGTGGTTCCAAGGATAACCACTGTCCTACATTAGTGTTGCATACTCTGTTTTTTCTTCAGCTTATATAAATCTTTCACTTTTTACTATATTAGTGTTGTCTGTTGCTGAAACCTAAAAAAATGGAATCACACAATATATTTTTTGTCTGCCTCCTTCCATTCAAAATTGTGTTTGCGATATTTGCACACACTGTTGCATGTATTTTTGGTTCCTCTTTTCTCACTGCTGTATAGCATTCCACACAATTTACTTACCTATTCTACTGTTGATGAACATTTGGGTGGTATTTTTGTTTGAGGTTATTATGAATAGTGCCTCTAAGAACATGCTTGTACAGGTCTTTGATGACAATTGGGGTATGTATTTACTTCTGTTTGGCTTGGAATTTCTGGATATACCTATGTTCACCTTTAGTAGATACTACAAACAGTTTTTCAAGTTGTACCTCCTTTCAGTCCCATCGGCCATGTATGAGAGTTCCAATTGCTCTAAATCAATGGTTCTCAATTGGTCATAATTTCACAAATGTCCAGGAACATTTGGCAATGCCTGGGGACACTTTTGGTCTTTACAACTAAAAGGATGCTACTGGAATCTTGTGGGTAGAGACCAGTGATGTTGCTCAACATCTTACAATGAACAAAATGGCCCCAACAACACGCCTGTAATCCCAGCACTTTGGGAGACTGAGGTGAGCAGATCACAGGTCAGGAGTTCAAGACCAGCCTGGCCAACATAGTGAAACCCCGTCTCTACTAAAAATACAAAAATTAGCCAGGTGTGGTGGCATGTGCCTGTAATCCCAGCTACTCGGGAGGCTGAGGCAGGAGAATTGCTTGAACCTGGGAGGCAGAGATTGCAGTGAGCCAACACCGCACCATTGCACTCCAGCCTGGGCAATGGAGTGAGACTCCATCTCGAAAAAAAAAAAAAAAAGATTATCTATTCCAAAATGTTAAGTGTTGGAGTCGAGAAATTCTGCTTTAAACTCTCACCAACCTAGGTAAATTTTTGACTTCTATATTTAGCCATTTCAGAAAGCATATAAATGTATTGCACTGTGGTTTCAATTTGCACTTCCCTGACAACTAAATATAATCATTTTGAAGGCTGAGATTTGTTTCTTAGACAGCTATCCAAATTTTTAGTTTCCAGAAATGACTACTCCAAGATCCCACCCTAAACAGTAGACAGTTCTGTTTATTCATTCAATATCTGACTCTAGAGCATAGTTGCTGAAATCAAGTGGACCTCGCTTTGACTCCAAATTCTTCTACCCAGCAAAGTTATTTAAGCTCACTGAAATTCAGTTTCTTTATCCATAATATGGGGATACTAATGCCCATACTTCAGTATTACTGTTATAATTAGATATAATGTAGGTAAGATCCCTGGCATGTAGTGGATGCTCAATGGTTATTACTGCCATGGGCTATAAGAACAAGAGGCACAAATAAATTAGACTAGAAACAGCACGGGCTTGAGAGTTGATGTGTGTTCTAGTCCTGACTCTACCACTAACTAGCTGTGAGGACTTAGTCAAAATACTTAATGTCTTAGAGTTTTTCATTTATCTATGAAATAAGACAGTTACACTAGATACAAGGTTTTTCTAACTTGATTATTCTCTAATTCTATGGATATGACAGGGTCTTAGCCATCAAGTTTACACTAAGAAGGGGAAATAGGACATGCATTAAACAATGACACAAATTACTGAGAAATATACTCAGAAATTCAGAGCTACAAATAAAGTACTACTGCCATGCAAGTTCAAAGGAATAAAAGCTTATTTTGGTTGGAACAATCAGGGAGCCCTTCATAAAGACAGTGGCATTTGAATTAGGACTTGAAGCATGGACGAGGACAGAGACCAGTTCAGACAAAAGAGAGAGAAGCATAAAAGCAGACAAAGCAGAGTAGACAAAGGCTTAGGAAGGGAAGCGTAAGACAGGTCCTAGGAGCAATAAGTCACCCAGAATGACCGTAGCATAAGAGTTGTGAAAGGAGGAAAGAGATGGAATAGATGGAGAGTAGGTATAAAGTGCTTGCAATCTCAGAAGAATCCATGTTTCACTTGGTAGAAAATAAAGGGCCATGGCAAATTACAAATGAAAGGAGTGACATAACCATGACAAAGTTTAAAGACTAATCTGATAACTTGAGAACCAAGGAACTGTGGAAGAGGGGCTGAAGACTAGAAGATTAATTTTTAAATATCATTAAATTTTAAATGGGAGGCTAGAGGGCTTTGAAGTGGAGAAGCACAAAGAAAAGAGTAGAGAAAGAAATGTTCTAAGGACATAAATGAAAGGACTTGATAATTGTTTTGTTAAGAATGATAAGAAGTAGAGAAGCATGAAAAATAACAGACATTTGAAATCTAAATGACAAGAGGATTAAAAGTACAGGGAAGTGTTTTATGCTGTCCTTAATAGTTTTCAACAAAGAGGCTCAAAGCAGCTAGGCTAACCTGTTCCTCTAAGCAATATTTCTGAAACAACAATTTACTGAAAACTTTCATATGTTTATAGATATTTGGCACAAAGAAAGTTCCACTGTCAATTTAGGAAACACTAAATATCATATCTTTGCCTTAAATATTTACACTTAACATAAACGTTATAAAGTTCTGGGAAATCCTCTTGTAATCCTGTGTCTGTGTGTGTCTGTGTGTTTATGTTAGGGTGCACATATGTGTGTGTGATAAATCTATTAAATCTCATGGTGCACTAGTGTTACAAGGGACAAGGTTTGGAGAGATAAGCATGTGCTTCTGAACTTATTATTATTGTTATTATACATGCATTATAAATCTCTTTCAGAGAGATTAGTATTGGTAGTATTGGGTATCAGGAGGTCATCAGGTGGACATGTTTAAGAAATGTAAAGAAATGTGAATCGGCACTCAGAATAGAGTTGAGATCTGCACATGTAAATTTGAGGATCACCTAACAGAAGACAGTTGAGATTAAGAGAAGAGGTGTATTCACAAAGGACAGAAGAAGTTAATGGGAAGACATGGAAGCAGAGGACGATTCCTGGTCTACATTTTGAAGATAAATGAATGGAAGGAAGAGACTGAATTGTAACTAGATGGAGTAGATAAGAGGAAATTATTTTAGAATGAATAGAATGAACATCTGCAAGTAACTCAATAAGTTATGAAGATATCACCTAAGCATTCTAGTCTGAGTCTTAAATGTGGAATTCCAGACCCCCCCAGGGGTCTCATTCTTTAAGGGAAAACCCAGAAACAACATCTACCTAGGAGTCCTAAGGCCACTATCTGCTCAGATATAAACTCACAGATCTAAGGTGACCTTCAATGTCCTAATGTTTGTTTACAGAGGTAGGTAGAACTCCTCAGGATAGCATAGTAACTGGCATAAACACTTGTTTTCTGGATATGCAGCAAGTTGTTCTCACATAGAAAATATTAGGCATTCTGGTTTCTGTCAAGGGAGAAAGGATGAAAGAAAAGAGAGGGCAGTGGGAAGGGGCAGCATCAAATTGTTATCTAGACATCTAAATGAAGAAAAAAAAAGATTCAAGCGAAGGTCCTTCATTAGCTCAGTGTTGACATTGCTTCCATTAAATGGATGAGTGAGCTAAATTCCAACTGAGCTAGTAGAGAGAGTGGGAAATGATGTGTTGGTAGGCAGGAAGAAGGATAAAGCAGAACAAATTATCCAGATTAAACACACGGATCAAAATTTTTCAACTTTAGCAGCTCAAATTCTACATCAATTTGTCTAAAAACTGGTACAGAATAATTGAAAAGAAATTTTACATAATGTTTAGCTCAGTGGTCATTTGGTACAACTGTTCAGCTCCTTAGACTGGAGTCGGAAAGTATTTTCCATTTTTTAAGTAAGCACCAATTTGGGATAGATTATTATTGAAGTAAACATCATGAAATAATGGTTCTACCCTACAGATAGAAGCATTTTAAAAAAAATTCTGTCTTTACCACTCTGTACCACATAAAATATATTGCCTTCAATAAAGACTTTCTAAATATTTTATTCCTAAAAGAGAGAAAATAGCCTTCTGAGGGCTTTGTGTTGTTTGCCTAGCCAACTGTGGAATATGTTTTCTCTTCAGAAAATAAATTCTTGGTATGTTTCAGAAAATCACAATAAGTAAAATATTTTAAAATAACAAAACATGCAAGCTTCATAGCACCCAAGAATGGTCTCAAACACATTAAAATAAAACAATGAATTTTTAGCATTTTGGATACTAGGAAATTGATGGAAAACAATGTCTGAAAATATAGATTAATAGGATGGCTGTCAAATTATATTTTAATCATTTCTATTAATGAAATCATGAAATCCAGTTCTAGTCTTGTACAACCTAGAAGTCATATCCTTCAAGATCTACATCTTTCTGCTGTCTAGGAAAATGTTATTTATATTATGATAGCAACAAATCTCTTCTGTTTAGAAACACTTTCAAAGCAACTGCCTGAACTTTATTTTTTCCCTCCTGTCTTTACTTCTTCTAGAGACAGTTCTTTATGTTCTAAATTTTCTAGTAAGTGTATCATATGTGATATGTTAAATCTATATTTGTGCAGTCATCACAGTAAATCGTATGACACTGAAAACATATAATTTACTTATCTCAACTTTTTTTCTCTCTCCATGTCTAGAAAAGGAAACTTGCATGGAAATCATGGGTATTAAATAACTCTAAGTAGCTAAAAACAATGTTTAAGGACATTCAAATCACTTCCTTGGCTACTGAGAATGGGTTATACCTCAAAGAAGAACCATATGCCTGGCCTGGCATGCACACTAAGTTCTCCTAACATATTTGTCATAAAAACTAAATCTGTAATGGCAAGCCACACTTAATCTGCCTGTTCTTAATGTCAGTGTCCCGTGTCTCTTTCTCTAACTTCCTGTGACCATCTGAACTTCAATTTCTTCATCTATGAAATGGGGAGCTATATGGTTTCATTACAGGGCAAATGTGCAAGCAAATAGTATAACAGATGTATAAAATTAAAAAATATAAACTAAATATGGGATTCTACACACCTACAAATTATCATTATTCAACATGGCATTATTCGTAGATGTTTAACTGTCTATTTCTCACTAAGTGTGAATTTCAGGGCGATGATTTTTTAAAAATCTCTTCAGGATGAAGCAAGGGAAAAGACACAAAGGCAAGTTAAAATGCTGCCAAATGGGTGTACAGTGACACCTGGGTGTGATAATCCACACATAACTTCCATCTGTTATTTCTTAATTTACGCTCAGCTGTTTCAATAATGTGACATCGTTCATCCTCTCCCAATCTTTTCAAAATATTTCTTCTTCCTTTTTTTAAACTCACATCATCACAGTTATGTAATAAAACATTAACTATTCCTTCAACTAGGCAACATTTTTTTGCCTGACTTCTCTAAGAGGAGATGAAAAATGTTAACTATGGAGAAGTTTCTTGAGGACAGGCTATCTTCCAGAAAACATAAATAAGAAAAGAAATAATTAAAGGAGGAGAAAAGACTAGCTGAAGCACAGTGAATTTCAGAAAAATAAAGAAGGCATGTTTTGGAGAAATTTAGGAAAACTAAAATATGTTTCTTTGGAACACTACTTTCTGGGGATATTAATAAGCATTATACATAAATAGACTGTTTAGGAAAATATTAGAGTAAACGAGTTTTACTACAAAACTTCTAATATGCTTTGTAAATCTCTAAGAGGGAAATTAGTGTGACTGGAAGTAATTCCCAAACTCATTTGATGCTTTTGTTCAGAGTATCTCAGGGGAATGGTGACCTACGACCAAACAGTATTTTGGAAATGCTGAGCTCAAGATTCAGTTCATTGGATTTGTCAGTTTCAACATCATGCCACATGGGTGACAATACACAGTCACGCAATAGACACACACTGTATGGCCCTGGACTCTCTAGCCCAAACCAAACTGAGCCACGCATCCCTTCGCATGCAGATGCTCAGCACTTGGCTGGCCAATGAAGAATTCTCCCTATTCCTGAGACTTTCCCAAACACTTTATGCACTTTTAGATTCCCACGCCTTAGCTGATGTTATACCACTTTGCTAATGTTCCTTCCTTCTTCCAGTTGCCTGTCAGAATCCTATTCACCCTTCAGTGTTCACCTGCAAGTGTTTTCCCTTCTTCTGTCACTGTACTTTATGTGTGCTTCTCTTTAGGTCTGTGGTTTTCAAGTGTGGCTTAGGGAATTTAAGAAAAACACTGATTCCTGGGTTTTACCCAGAGATTTTGATATAGTAGGTCTGAAATACCACCTAATTTTTGGGATTTTTTAAAATTCCCCAGTGAGTGCAAGACACAGCCAATATTGAGAACTGTTGCTTTGAAGTTCATGGTAGTTTGTCTCTGTTCTATATCCTAAAAAAGCATTGAAGATTTTTTAGAGGAGACATTTATCCTTCTTCATATTCAGAAGTCCACTGTACCCAACAGAGATTTTTCATGAAAAATGAAAGAAAAAAATAGCTTATATTTCCAATTATGATGTTAATCTTATCAAAATGTTTTACAAATTATTTTGCCTTTCCATTCCTAGTGTAAATTATATCATCAAGGAAATGGGTCCCAAATCTAGCAATGAATCAGACAGCTTGTAGGAATACATCAAACCTTTCTACCCCCAGAGTTAACGAATCAAAATCTCTGGTTACAAATGCAGAAGTTTGTTGTGTTTTGTTTTTGTTTTTGTAAACTGCAAGTCTAATGTCAATTTAAAAAAAAATTCATTTTGTGAATCACTGTTTCAAAATAAACGTTATATAATTTGCAGGTATTACAAAAATATTTACCTATTATAGTGGTGTTTAGGAGGGTTCAAAATAGAAAACGTTATCATAAATCTATCCCATAAAAAAATTTTAAGATAATAAATTTAAGTCCCAAGAGAATACACATTATAGCTAGAACTCAAATTAGATTCAAATGCATAAGGAAGCTCTGTTTTATTATTACGATTTCCAAAGCCTCCTTTCCCTGTCATAGTTTTAGTGTATTTGGAATGGAATTGCCCAAAATTATGTAATTAATTATGTTCAGCTTCTATTAAAATAATTAATTTCATTAAGTCGGCTAGCATGACACTTGGTAAAAATCAATTATTGAAAAAGAACTGGGAAAATGTGGGCAGTCATTACGGGTGTAATAGCTCATGTTTTAGGGCAATTAGGTGAAACGTTTTTACTTTTTAACTTTTTAAAACTTCTTAAACCAGGAATCTCAGGCATGCTATAACCCTGGAGTCAGGTGAACCATGTTTGACCCTTGGGTCACATGAGAGTCATCTGGACTACACTGCTTCATTCATATATATTTTTTTCCTGTCCTCACTGGTCACTTAGACCACTTAACAACATGAAATGAAGATCAAACTATGTGCTTTTTCTTCAACAGCGGAATGAACTGCAGATGGAGTAAGGGAAAGAAGAATCAAAAAAAGCATAAGCGTTTTAAGAGCAGAATAATCGCATTAACTGATCCAAATGCAAATGCTTCCTCATATCTACACCCTTTGGTTATGCCCTCGCACACCAACACTGGGCTTGGCCACGTGGCTTTTTTATTGTTTTTTAAATGGGACAGTAACAACTTAACTCAATCAAACTTAATCACAACCTTGAAAAAGTTTGTGAGTTTCCTCTTCCTCTTAAGCCGGCCCACAGAAAACCCACCATCTGGCCACAGATGCATGGAAAAGACCCACTGATATCAACCAAGCCTGGCACAAATCAGCAGAAACATTCAGCTGACCCACGGGCGCAGATCATTTTAAGCCACTATGCTTTGGGAAGATTTACAAACTGCAATCGCTGATACAATTGTCTTCAATGTTTAAAGAGCTAAACTATGCAAGAGAAAGTTTAAATCCTTCCTGTTCCAGTTCCACTAAAAGAGAAAAAAAAAAAAACATTGTACTGATAGGAAGACAGATTTCATTTTAAGAAAGTATTTTCTAACAAGTTAAGTTCAAATTTGAAATGCCTATAGGCAATGAATTTCCTGACACTGGAATAATTCAAGTTGGTGCTAACACAAATGCATTTTATTCATTCAAGGATTATATACTTCATCTATTCTTTTAATGCTACAAAATTATATACAAGTTATCAGTACAGTTATGCTGTAGAGTATATTGATTTTCTCATTCTTTTTTTCTTTTCTTTTTTTTTTTTTTTTTGAGATAGAGTCTCACTCTGTCGCCCAGGCTGGAGTGCAGTGGCACGATCTTGGCTCACTGCAACCCCCACCTCCTGGATTCAAGCAATTCTCCTGCCTTAGCCTCCCGAGTAGCTAGGACTACAGGCGTGTGCCACCACATCCGGCTAATTTGATTTTCTCATTCTTTAATAAGGATTAGAAACAAGAACCAAGTACTCATCCTCCTAGTATACCTCTTGGATGTAACTGCCAGAATTTTCAGCTAAGCTCTACTGGCCATTTGTTCACCCCAACAATAGAGAGAAGACGACTGTGTGGACCTAACAAAACAAACTTTTCATTCTATCATTCATTCATTCATTTCAAGGGGCACCAGCTAGCAGTCTGCAGCTAGATCCTGTTTAGTGTTTTAGTGTTTTTTAAAATGTCAAACTACATGCCTTTTGTTTCGCACCTACTACGTTCCCACCATATCCTACTTCACATATTTACAATACCAGTGTGGTCCCTGTAGGTATTTAAGTTGAAGACTTGGGTGAATTCTTACTTATAAAATACATTCTACTAAAAGTTATGAGAAATACAAAGATGAATTCAGTATTGATTCTAGCCTCAGGGATCTTATAGTTTCGTAGGGGAGCTGATACCCTTACTTAATTAATTATAATAGAATTATAATAATTATAATAGAAGTATAATATAATTAATACTAATTAATTACTTAAGTATAATAGAATGAGAGAGATGCACAGCAGAAGAGGTGCAGATAAAATGCCACTGTGCTGTTAGAAATAATAATTGGATGCAGCTGGACTGAGCAGTAAATGCCTAATGGGTCCAAAAATTAGCAAGAGTCTCTTTTTTTCTGTTTTCTGTTTTGTTTTGTTTTTTTCACAGAAACATCACTATTAGAATAGATATGTCTTTGGCATCTCTGTTAGTGATCTCTAACAAACAGGTGGGCCCAGATCATCACATATCCCTATTTTCATCCAAATTTAATTTAATGATATAACTTAAAAGTGACTTGACCTGGTGGGGATTTTCTTTTCCTACCTCAGTTGGAACTGACATAACTGCCACTTTTATATGACAAAGATACAGCCCTACTGTTTTTCATTACCATTGGTTTCTAATCAATTTGTTCCAGGCTCTTTGATCCTTAAAAAAGTCAAATTAAGTATTAATATTTTAAAGCTGAAGTGATGGTTTTCATAATAAAAGCACATAACTTTTCAAGCCTATAAGCAGCTGGTTAATACATATACAATTAATATTTAAATATCTGTTTTGGTTTAATGTAAAAACTCTTCAAAAATAATATCCTAAAATCCTAAAGGCTGGAGACACCAAAACACTAAACGTGGATACCAACTTGACTCAGAACTAATGCTTCTACATAACAAAACGTAAGACTTCAGTGCAGCTGGCTTGGATATTACAAAGATAATAAATCTGGAAGTATTATCATCTATTACTTCAAATGCACTGGAACTTGCCCCGTACATTTCCAGCAGCTCCAACTCAGGAAATGTTGAATTTTCCTCAATTATAGCTTGTGTCCAAGTGGCCGTAATCAAATACATAAATAAACTGAAGCTTTCCCATGAGAACTAACTGTCAAAACTACATTATGTCCAGTCACAGAACTGAGAAGACTAGGTTCAAAAATACTGCAGACTTCTTTAAATTTATTCCATCTCTACATACCTACAGGTCGTCTTTTAAACAAGTATCCATCAGTATGACTGTTTCTTCTTTTCATTGCTTTTTACCTAAACACTATGTGAAGTAGTCTGACTACTATAAATGTAAAATTTTCCAGATGGCATAAAATCACTAACAATCCCAGTAGATTGTTTTACCTGCATAATCTTAATTTTCCTTATTTTGATCATTCCAAATCTTTGAAAAGCCATTTCTAAATCTTACCAATGTCTAAGATAAATGTACATGTCATCAAGCTGCTCTAGCTGAGAAAACGACATTTGTGTAGCTCCTGAGTGGAAGACACCTCCCCACATTTTAATCGTACCCTGTTCCTGACTCTATACCCAAAATTATTAATTGTAGATTTAATACTGCCTCATGGAGTTATCCAAAAGATTACATGCATATAGCTTGCCTAAAAATACACCAAGTTTTCTATGAATTTTCCCTCTTGGTGTTAATATCAACACTTGCTACTGCTGCTGATAATTATGATGCTAGTTTATTGGAGATAATTTAAGTTGTGCTGACTGTGGGTGAAATAATACCAGCAGGAATAAATGCCTGGCATTAAATTTACCTCCTGCTATTAAAATGTATAACAAATCATAGTTTATCTATTAGTGATGACCTCTTAAAAATTAGAGCTACTTTTATCACAACTGGAAAAATAACAAGGCACTGTAATGTCTGAAATTTTCTTTCATGGTAAACATTATCTGCCTTACACTCAAATGTGTTTATTTGTTTTCCTTTGATCTTGGTAATACATTTCAAAAATCAGTAAGTTACTAACAGCAATAGGTATTAACCATACCCATTAGGTCCACAAACAAAATTAGGATGTGCTTTTCTTTTTCTAGGCTTTCCTATTTCATCCCACTGCTTTCTCCATTATTAAATGAAGAAAATATGCCTGCCAAATACACACTCAGAACTCCTCTGCTAACAGATACTTGCGAAAATAAAGCTTCTGAGAAGACGTAAAGAGAAGAAACAGCGTGATCTGAATGCTGTGAAGATCCCAATATGATGTTCACTAGTCTTGAAACCTGGCTGCCTTTAGTGTCTTCGATCCTGGATGTACAGACTTGTTCTCAATTACAGGCCTAATAAGGAACTATTTGCATGATTTTGTTTGTGGCTTTTTAGTTTTATTTCTAATGGAAAATTACCACAAAAGTGACCTAATCACTTCTGAACCATGAAAGAGCTTCAAAAAGTTGTCAGTTCCAAAGAACACTAAAGTTTAACATATAAGAATCATTTCAATTTACTTTTTAAATTCATTTTTTCACTGCCTACTTCTGGAAAGAATTTGGAGAGACAAATGGGGAAAATGCACATATAATAGAATTTGATAAAACAAAATATCAAGTAAGAGAAAATAATTGTAACAAAAGCCCAGGCTTAAATGGTTTGAGGCAGTGAAATTCAGAAAAATACTTTTACTGGTGCAATTTTACTAGAAGAAACAGATTTTTCTTGGCCTCATAGTCTAAGGTTGATTTATCACAAGGGAATATAGAAAGTTTACTAAGCAAGATGAGTATGCAATAAGGTGGAAATGTCTTCAACAATTATTTTACTAAAGTTATATAAAGATCCTTCATTTGAATATGTTACATCATTTAATATTAAAACACAAATTAATGAATATAGTCATATAAAGAGACAAATTATTATAATTACCAGAGATAAAGATCTCTGGGAATATAGAAACAAAGGTTTTCAAAAGCCTAAAGGAATGTATCTATGTGAGGTCTCATATATGAAGTGTTGATTCACATCTTGGATTTTAAAGATATATGTACAGTAATTTGTTACATGCTGAGGACCTTAGTATTATTGATTGAAAATATATTAATATAGTTTTGTGATTGTGTTTTCTTTCCAGAAAATTATAAAACTCAAAGTATTTCTCCTGAGGAAAAGGAGCATCGTGTTTTCTCAACACCAGTCTGAGCTGGAAGAGCCTGTGCAGGCAGAATCACAGCGTGCCCAAAAGGCACTCACCATGCACATATGCTCAGGGCTGGATAGTCTCATTGATGCCACACTTCCACATGATAGCCATAAAGGAGATAATATAAACTCCTGCCTTGGCCATAAAAGAAACTTAGCCTTTCTTCCTTCCCTCATTGACATGATATGAAAATATATACCTAAAATTTCCAAGGAAATTTTTTAAAAAATAGATTTGATAACCTCATGATACGAAAATATATACCTAAAATTTCCAAG
Source organism: Homo sapiens (assembly GCF_000001405.40). Classification (NCBI taxonomy): domain Eukaryota; kingdom Metazoa; phylum Chordata; class Mammalia; order Primates; family Hominidae; genus Homo; species Homo sapiens. The sequence continues at coordinate 182,423,289 of NC_000002.12, forward strand.
GAAATTTTTTAAAAAATAGATTTGATAACCTAACTACAGGAAATGATTTGGAATCTTTACTGTAGGAGCCCCAGACATTCTTAGAGGCAGGATCTAAATGATACGTAAGATTCCTCCCAAGCCTCCTAATATCGTAGCCAGCTACAAAATTTCAACGTTCACCATCTACTCCAAAACCTCTCAGTAACTTTTTCCACTTGATGGATGACTTTTACTTTCTGAAACTTAGGATGACTGTGCTGATGAAAAACTGATTTTAATTAAATCTTGAAAATTAAATTGGAAAAAAAGCTCTTGCTCTCATATCTTTCAGGTCACTTAGGTGTTTAGAATGAGTCATTCCTGAAATCTGTCTCTTCCATTTCAATCTCCCAGGATGTTATCACCTCCTTTATGGCACCCATTGCCTGCCTGTAGCACATTTATCTAGGTATATCCTCAATGATATGTCACGTGAGGGCACATAAGTATTTTTCTCCCCATATCTGAACTCTCAAGCACCATGAACTCAGAAGTGGACACTTGTAGTCAATCAGTGAAGGCCAGGTGACTAGAATTAAAGCTGGAGCTTCAATTATAGGGGAAATTAGCCTGTATATAGAAATTTGAAACTATGTCAATGAGCCAAATATTTCAAAAAAAAAAATCCTGGATTAACCTTTTTTTTTTTTTTTTTGATGGGGTCTCACTCTATAGCCCAACCTGGAGTGCAGTGGCGCAATTTCAGCTCACTGCGACCTCCGCCTCCAGAGCTCAAGCGATTCTCATGCCTCAGCCTCCCAAGTAGCTGGGACTACAGGTGCACACCACCACACCTGGCTAATTTTTTGTATTTTAGTAGAGACAGGGTTTCACCATGTTGCCCAGGGTAGTCTCAAACTCCTGAACTCAGGCGATCCACTCACCTTGGCCTCCCAAAGTGCTGGGATTACAGGCATGAGCCACGGCACCCGGCCAAATATTTCTTAATGACTGAAATTTTAAATGAATTACTTTTAAACAGCCAAGATACTATTTTCATAAAATGTCCATTAAGCTTATAACTGGCCCCACTAGCACACAAAACACACTGGTACAGATTTGCCTGTCAAGTGGATTGAGATCCAGTGTGCAAGGCCCCTAGGAAGTGGGGTGCAGTTACAAGTACATACTGAGAAGGAAAGGTCTAGTACATGGGTCTCTGAAAAGTCAGGCTTGAGAAAGATGTCTCAATGTGAGATGCCAGACAGCCTAGGGAAAGCCTAAGAGAACAAGGTGCCTAAGAAAGGAGGCTGACGAAGAAAACGAAGTGAGGCATGAGATAAGAAGCAATGCATCAAAAGCAAGCTTAACCCACTGCCAGCTTCCCTAAAAGTACAACTAGCTATCGGGAAGTCTGTGTTATGGAAATCAGCCCCAAACTTTCTCTGTGCAATTAAGCCTAGTTATTTGAATCTTTTAAGATATTCTCCATCTCCCTTTTCCCTAATCACAATCATAACCTGGTAAAAGCAATGCCAACTGTCAATGTGCCAGATGACCAATAAATCCTGCTCTCACATACAGCTTTAATCTGTTATCAGTCAAAGACCCATTTCTAGACCTACTTGTAACAACTCCCTGGTGAAAGTATGAGAGCACCAGGATCATGAAGCAAATCACTTGAATTTAACAAATTTTATTCTAATTATCTGGGCAAAGAATCTCAGCTTCCACAAAGTTCTATTTTTTACATAAATAAGCACAGAAGTGCAGTTAAGTTGCAATCCACCTTCCCCATAGCACCTAAGCATATAATTAATTAATTAGGAAGAAATGAGGATTTGGCATAAATCAGTGGTGAAAACCACCTGCTTCAATCCCCACAGCTCTCCAAAGGGGTAATACAATAAAGATGATGGCTAGGTGGATCTGATTTTATCCAACACAACCTTGCCTTTCCAAACTGCTGTGGGTGCCCTCTGTGAGTTGTGCCTCACTGGTGTTGAGTTTAGAATCATCTGGGCAACTATCATACCTTTTTGAAGTCGCACGTGCACTTGGGAGAATATAGATACTACATACAATTGGAAGAACTTTTTAGGAAATATGGTAGGTGAATATATTTTGGGGGTCATTTTAGATTTTTGGTTATTTACCAACATCATTGCATAAGACACAAAAACATATTTAAGTAGAGGGGGATAGTAATATTAAATCCATATATATGAATTTAAATATAATTTATGTTCAAAGGAAGACTTTAAAACAGATTCAAGCTAACATCTTGTTTTAAGCATTACAAAGGTATAATGTTGCTATTAATAATTCAGTAATGATGTTTAATCAGTAAAAATGGCCACATTTTATATAATTATATTCCTCGAGGTCTACTCATTCATTATGTAGAAACCACAGAGAAATTTTGCTCATACGTTTTATCATCCTGTATTTAATTCCAGACAAAAACCAGTGGTTGCAACTTGACCTTAACATTGCTAACATGTAGTATCTCTGCTTTATCTAGAATATTATTTTGTGGAAAGACAAAACTGATATATAACTGACTTTCTTAAAAATCTTCTGTTTTGAGGGGCAAAAATAGGGTTCAATTTCTAGATACTTTTAAATTATTTTTTATTTTAAATTCTAAAGTACATAATAGGTAACTAAAGAATCCAGAATTAAAGAGTCAATGAAGAAACAGCTGCTTTCTTAAAGAAAGGGTGTACCTCCCTCCAAAATTAAACTTTAGCTCAATCCATTATACTGTATCTACATTTTGCCTGGTCACAGATTCCACCACAGTGTAAAATTTTTCCTATCACCCTGTTGTTTCTTTAACTGCTGGTCTGATATTCCTGAGCGAGCTGTAAAATGTGCACTCTAGTAAAGTAGCTATCAAGTTCAAATTTATCTCCCGACACTTCACTCCAGAAAGGTGTAGTATTCACAGCACTGAAACACTGCCCTTGCCTGTAATCAGTTGAAAGAACTAAGCACAACGTTTCCTATTTAGAGGGCTGTGCAACAGCCTACAGAAACAGCTAGAGATTGCATAACGTTTCCAAAGTTTTTCCAGTACTATGTCACTTATGTGTTTGAATAGTTAAGATTTTGTAAAATGTATTTTCAGGAGTTGATAAGAGTTTGTGCACAAAGTTTCAGAAAACAGAAAACAAAAAGGCTCCCTCAGTATGCCTGAAGTTAAACTTTAAGCACTCTTGATTGCTCTGCTGTAGCTTAGTGGCAGAATCCCCAAATTAAGGATGAAGGGAGAAACTATTGTTCCTGACAGCCCTAGAGCCACCTGCGATGTAGCATTACTTACCTAAAGATGGGTCTTTGGAGATGTTTCTTCCTGATTGTGACATGGTCATCCATTTAAAGGTGAAGGTTTAACTTCTTCCTGGAAACCACTCCAGAAACTCCAGAGAGGAAATGTGGAAGCTTATCCTGATCTATTGTGCTGCAAGGAGCCCAGAAAGAAAAAGTAGTTTCCTCTTTCTCTTTTTGGGTGCTGGGAGAAAACTTCCCTGTTCTCTGCCAGCTGAGCAGTGTGTCCATAGAGGCCACATAAGACAGGCACGTTGGGGCACTCCCCCACAGAGCAGGGTGTGCAAAAACCACCAAGAGTCACGTTGATCCAGGCAAGAGAAGTGCACGGGACCCTCCGAAACAGAACAAAACAAACAGAAAACTTCCTACCCCAGTGTCATCCAGGTAGGAACTCCCTAAGTTATTGCAGCCATGAGAGCTCTCCTTCCACATGCTGGTCAAGCTCCGAAAGGCTAAGTCCCTCCCTGTCTTTAAAACAGACTGTTCTGAGGCTCAACTTTTTTTCTTCAAAATAAAAGTTGTACAGCTGGTTCAGCAGCCCCATGTGAGTACCCTCTGAAAGTTTGTTCTCTTAAAATAAGAACTGTATACAAATTAATGAAGAAAGATAGGCTCGGGTTGCATGGCTGGCTCTGCTTCAGATTATAATTATTTTACAATCTTGCTTGTATTCATGCTGGCTGAAGTGTGGAGACGACTCATCATTTTTAGCACTTATAATCTAATAACCTCCTCTTGGCTGAAGTTGAAGATGCCATATCAACTGATAGAAGCCCATGCGAAGCTGACCAGAGCTACAAAAGTTAGAAAAACAAAAATTGCTAATTTCTACTGGTGACATTATACCCAGATGTCTGTACCCAAATGTGGTTTCCAACTAAGAGGAAACATCTCTTGCAAAAAAGAGATGGAAACACACACACACATCCACATGCTTTTTTTTAACAAAAAGCCCCTCCAAAGTGCCTGGGAGCCTATGGTTTATATATTATGTGATGAAATTTGGATTTATAAAAGTAAAAGGAAAGAAAAGAAGGTATAAAAGAATTTGTGAACAGCTGAAAATAAATGATATTAAAAATTGTTTTCTTTTAGAAGACAGATTTACACTGCGGGAACTCTTATTCTAGCTCCAGATAAAGGGAATGCTCGTATTTTAATGTAACTTATTTTGGAGACCTTCCTGTATCTGAATCACTAACAAAGTTCCTATTCAGTCAATAATGTCATAAGATTCCAGGTCAGAGATTTGTAATAAACTAAATCATTTCAAAGCATGATTAGAATGTTTTTAATATATACATGTAATAAAAAGGGAAAAATGAGTAACGTGCATGCCTTTAGTTGAATGATCCATAAAAATAAAGATCAAATGTCACAAAGGAGGATACTATCTGTAGTTATTGGCACTCTCCAAATACTTCCAGGGAGAAAGATCACCTTTTTATTTTCCTCCCTGAGGAGAGATAAGGAAGGAGAAGAGAGTTATAAGGGAATCATGGATTTTATCGAGCCGTTCTAATCCAAACTAGGAAATGTAATCATTATGAGAGCATTGAACTAAAAATAAAATAAATGGGTTCTAGTCCTAGTTCTATTGCAAATATGCCGGGCCACTGTGGGCAAATTTCTTGACCTGTCTGAGACCATTTTCTTGTTTGTAAAATGAAATTATAATATTAATTGAATTCTATATTTCTTTCCAGCTTTAATGGTACTATCATGTTATTTCTAAATCTGATTCGCCTGCTTCTTGCAAAGAAACTGCCATAGAAGTTATGATGCCTGATACTTCAAAAACTACACACTTATTATGTACTGTTATAAATAAATAAGGAAGCTATAAATAAAAAGATGATTTTATATTATGTATAACATATTTATATAGATATTACATAGTTATGTAGTGACATCTATGTCACTGTTCTCTTTATGATCAATAAGTACCAATGATAAATTCACATGTGTGCTATACAGCAGTTAAATATACTGACCATGTATAAACAAACTTAGATACAGATCTTTGAAGCAGATGCTTTATTATTACCATATGCTTTGGCTTTCTTTGTATTTAGGAAAGCACATAAGAAATAACACATTGTACAGGTCTTCTGGGAGGGATTTTGCGTTTGTGGGTAGCATTCAATTTCTGTAGTCATGGTTTACCTATATTACCATTAATATAGCATAAATCTTCCTCCTGAGGGAAAATTCAAGAAAATAATAAGCCCATCAACTTTTAAAAATTAACTTTCATTTTGTCTTCTTTTGAATTGGAAATGTGAGACAATTTCTACATGAACACAATGGAGGGAACTCAACATAAATACTAATAAACATCTAGCCAAGGTACAGTTCAAACGGCAAGCAAGTATGAAATATAGCTTGAAGTCCAAAGGCTTGATTACCAGCTGAAGAATCTGAAAGTTGTTAATCATAGGAAATCCATAACATACTTCATTACCTTAGGTTTATATTCTTTTTTCTTTCTGTGATTAAGTTAGAAAGTTTAGATTCACTTTATGGAAAGCACTATATTTAAAACCAATCTGAGACCCTATAAAGCATTCAGATGATACCAGTAAATTAAATATTCACTGGGCACAAAGAAAAATATATATTTCTTAAATGTTTTTATTAGCTTTTTCTCAAAGAACATTTAAATTTAACATTGGAAAAAAGTTGGCTTTATCACCTTATTCAACTTTAATGTAGTATTCAATAAGACAAAGATTTCATGATTATTAATTAAATTACTAAAATATATTCCTTACATTAACACAACTGTAGTGTGCAAAATACTAAAATATATGGCATAAATAAAAAGGCCAAGTCTTCTATACAATAGACTATAATTTATTATGAATAGTTTTTTTCCTGAGGGGGGTCAGAAAGGGTGTTTTTATTTTTCCTGTTGTGGAAAAACAAAGTCAGGCTGACTTAGTCTAACACGTTCACACACATACCCTACCCGACTCAGTGCTGTTAGAAATCGTCCTAACTGGTGCTCAATAAATATGTTAATTTTCTAAAACACAAATCAGCTGAAACACACCAAGAATTCCATCTAACCAACTCATTTTGTGTGACAAAACACATAGATCAACCCATGTGACTTTTCCAACCAAAAGTACCCTAAGAGTGTCATGGTATTTTCCATTAAGCATCATGGAGAAAAGGTAAGCTTTTCTTTTCCTGATTTTCTTCATTGTTATAGTCTGGCTGTGTTTGTAATACACAAGTGCCAAAGCATGCAATGGCAAAAAGGTCATTTGATATTATGCCATCCCAAGCACTGGAAAATGCATGGGTCTGCAGGTTCTCAGTTTAAGCACGTAAGTCTAGTCAAATAGGACGTGAGACCACATGTGTGTTCTTTTTGTTAAACAACATTTAATTAAACACAGTGTTACAAGTTATATATTTTAATGAGCTTCAAGTTAAGTGCAGGAGGGAAACGAAACTGCAAGAAAGAAAGGATTAGATGGCATTTTAGGTTTTACCATGACACATATATGATATTATCTCAATTTAAAAAAGAGCTTCTGCACAGCAAAAGAAACTACCATCAGAGTGAACAGGCAACCTACAACATGGGAGAAAATTTTCGCAACCTACTCATCTGACAAAGGGCTAATATCCAGAATCTACAATGAACTCAAACAAATTTACAAGAAAAAAACAAACAACCCCATCAAAAAGTGGGCGAAGGACATGAACAGACACTTCTCAAAAGAAGACATTTATGCAGCCAAAAAACACATGAAGAAATGCTCATCATCACTGGCCATCAGAGAAATGCAAATCAAAACCACTATGAGATATCATCTCACACCAGTTAGAATGGCAATCATTAAAAAGTCAGGAAACAACAGGTGCTGGAGAGGATGTGGAGAAATAGGAACACTTTTACACTGTTGGTGGGACTGTAAACTAGTTCAACCATTGTGGAAGTCAGTGTGGTGATTCCTCAGGGATCTAGAACTAGAAATACCATTTGACCCAGCCATCCCATTACTGGGTATATACCCAAAGGACTATAAATCATGCTGCTATAAAGACACATGCACACGTATGTTTATTGCGGCACTATTCACAATAGCAAAGACTTGGAACCAACACAAATGTCCAACAATGATAGACTGGATTAAGAAAAAGTGGCACATATACACCATGGAATACTATGCAGCCATAAAAAATGATGAGTTCATGTCCTTTGTAGGGACATGGATGAAATTGGAAACCATCATTCTCAGTAAACTATCGCAAGAACAAAAAACCAAACACCGCATATTCTCACTCATAGGTGGGAATTGAACAATGAGATCACATGGACACAGGAAGGGGAATATCACACTCTGGGGACTGTGGTGGGGTCGGGGAGGGGGGAGGGATAGCATTGGGAGATATACCTAATGCTAGATGATGAGTTAGTGGGTGCAGCGCACCAGCATGGCACATGTATACATATGTAACTAACCTGCACAATGTGCACATGTACCCTAAAACTTAGAGTATAATAAAAAAAAAAACATTAAAAAAAAAAAAAAAAAAAACACAACACTGCTTCTTTTACTCTTCCTTCTCTACCATTCACCAAAATTAAAGCTAGCCTTGTGTATGATTAGAGTACCTCACACACCTAAACTCCAGTTTAGTTGTTGCCAATCTTTTCTCTTTTTTGACATATCATACATGAAAGATAAAGTGTGCATGTGATCCTCCCCCAGGAAAGTTCCAAGGTCTTGCTAAAACCATGAAGAGTAAAACGTGGGCATTAAATGCAAACACTACTATAATTTTCATTTGTCATAACTAGGAATATCACATCAATAAAGTGGAACACCACTTGGTCAATTATACCATGAGATAAATGGCAGGGTGTAAATTCTTCCTCATAAACTAACCATAACTTTACCGCTTTACCTCTAGAGGAAAAACTACTGCATATAAGTGAGTGACAGTAGAATCATTTTCGAGATAACTTAAATCTGATTTATCCTTCCAAGGTAAGTCATTCACAACTCTCAGCATTTTGTTCATTCTTTATAACACATTTCTTGCTACAAGTTTTACAACTGACTAAGAAGCTAGTAGATACATGATAGAGCTGGGATTTGAACTCAGATGTCTCATTCCTGAGCCCAAGCTTTTACTCCTTACAGTAGGCTGTCATCTTGGCAAGCACTCTGTCTCTGGGGTCACTCAGGATCTTTCTGGGCTGTATTTAACATTCTATTGGGAAAAAGAAGAAACAACTTACCACTCCAGAGAGTTTCTATTCTTCTTCTAACCGCCTACCCTACTCAAGTGTCATAACATTGCCAATTATGTTCCCAATACCTACAAAAACACCAGCCCTAGAAACATTTCCAAAGGGCCCTGGTTTACTTGATATCAAGGTGAATTGAATAGGCTTATAGATTATCTCCTGCTAAGATATGAATGAAAGTTCTGTTCTATTATAAAGATCCCTAGACTAAAGTCAAAGAACATATATTTAAACCCCAGCTTTAGCGGCAAGTTTCCCTTCAACTCCCTGTATGTCAGTTTCCTCACTAATCAAACTAAGAGGTTGGACCAGATGACCTCTAAGATCCTTTCCAGCTCTAAAATTCTGTGCCTCTCTGACTAACCCTATGATAAAATGTTAAGTTATTTAAATTTAATGTCCAACCAAGAATAAACTCTGTAGTCATTTTTAACTCTCCTTAACCACAACAAGGTCATGCATACCACCAGAATACTTTTCATCCCCATTGTTGTAGGATTAAAAATACAGCACACTACTCAAATGTGAAAATAAATTAAAGTATCTTTTTTTAAATTGAGCTTTGCTGTTGTTGTTGTTGTTGTTGTTGTAGTTGTTGTTGTTATTTTCCTTATAGCTTCAACCAGGAACTACCCTCACTAAGCTCTGGAAAGGCAGGGATTAGTGTCTGTTGTATTCCCTGTGCATAGTATATAAAAGATGCTCACTGGTTATTTGTTAAGTGAATGAATACATGAACAAAGTGATCATTAATGCTATCTCATCATCTTTTTATATAAATACATATTCTTTTTCTAAAAACTCAGTAATATCTGTTAAATGTGTAATCTTTCATATTTCCTCCAGCCCATTGTTTTTCTTCAAGGAGACACCTGAGTTTATAAGGAAGAGGGTTTCTCTGACCTTGAGGTGGCAGGAAAGAAGTGGTCTCAGCCCCAAACCTGCAGGTCCCTGATCTCCTTTATGTCCTCTGGTCTCTGCAACTATGTCCCTTGTCTGTCTTGTCACTTGGTTCCCTGCACACATCTACAGCTAAAATCCAGGGCTTCTCTGATCAATTGCCTCAGTTTGGGAACCTTGGTCATTTGTCATGGATTGAGCCAATCTCAGCCTTCCTTGTTACTTCAATATCCTCTAAGTCTCATCCACATCCTCCACCTGGATCTCTATTGAGGCTATTAAACCTTTGGCATCTGTCTAGGACCCCCAGCCTCCTACTGTGGTCATGGCAGGCTCATGACAGATACACTGCTCCATCTCAGCTAGCTTTTGACATCCTCACAGGGCTAGCAGAACTTCCTGAGACTCCATCCCACACAGGCACTGAGGAAGACTTGGGATTGGCCACACCATACCACCATTTTTACTCTGTCATAGCTAACTCACTAAATCACAGCAAAATTCACTCTGCTTTAGCTTTTCACTTTCAACCAAACCTGCTCCTCCTCTGGGATTTCAGCTTATAGGAAAGAAGTCAAAATACTTTGACCATTTGCACAAAACACCTTCTTTTGGGGGTTCTCTTTTCTGTACTTCATCAGGGCAGAAGAAATGCTTTCTTAATTTATCTCCTGCATACCTTTCATCCATGGTCTATAACAGACCCAATGTTCAAGTCTACAGCCCTTGATCATGTATATCAGGTAGAGCTTCAGGGATTTAAGAAATAATTTTTGGTGTGAACAAAGTCTGGCTTTCAGAAATATTGTCTTAAAGGGGCTCAAAATTTCCATTTAGGTTTTCAAAACTGGCCCACACCCATGCTTCTGGTCATACACATCAAAATGGAAGATAGACAAATACATTATCACTATATATGATGAAACTTTCTTATTCATTTCATTGGGTGCATAATGAGTACAGCATACCACAATATCCACATTCTGCCTGATCCGGCCCTCGTGTACCTGTACCCTTCATCTCAAAACCCTGACCTTTGGCTCATTCCCCACTACCTGTGCTGGCATTTTGTGCCTTGAACACTTCACGCTCTTATCCTGCTGTTTCTGTACATACTTTTCCTTCTGTTTGAAATGCTTTTCATCCTGCTCATTGCTCAGATATCATTGCAGTGTCCCTCTTCAGAGATGTGACTCTCCTGACAACTCTATTTGAATTTCATGTACCTGTACCTGCAGTTTTTCCTCCCTCAGCAAGTATCATAATCTGTGTGCATCATAATCTGTTTAATTTTTTATTCACAAATGTATCTGTTCAATGCATGAATAAATCCATTCTGCAGGATACAATAACTGAGGAAAAGATCAGAACATGTAACTTACCCTGACTACTATAAAAATAAACCTAGTCAAGTTATACCAAAAATATATTTTTTCTCATATATGTGACTGTAAGACCCTAAAAACAGACTCAGTGATCTCTTGTAATGCTTCAAAACATTTTGTAAAACTTACATTCGTGTTTCATATTTGCCATTACACTTCTTCAAATCTGGAACTTTACATAAACGAGAGCAAATACAATGGCATCTTGGTCCATGTTGTTCTGCTGTAACAGAATACTTGAGACTAGGTAATTTATAAAGAACAGAAACTCATTTCCTCACAGTTACAGAAGCTGGGAAGTCCAATATCAAGGTGTCAGCCTCTGGTTTAGTGAGGGCCTTTTTACTACATCTTCAGATAGGCAGAAGGCAGAAAGGAAAGCTAACTGAAAATGAAGCCCTTTTTTTTTCCTGAAAGGGCCTTAATCCCCTTAAGAGGGGAGCAGCCCTCCTGGCCTAATCACCTCTTAAAAGTCCCCACCTCTACTACCACACCGAAATCACTTGAATTTTGGAGAGGACACATTCAAACCACAGCAAAGAGAATTGTAAAATTAACAATACAACTGAGAATCACTTTGAAAATGGTTCTCAGCCTCACCAGAAATGTTTTCTACCTCAGGGGAAAATTTTCTATTCACTCAATAGCTTTATACTAGATTCCCTTGATTTGTGTATCAGACTCAGTTCATTGGCCACAAATTCAATAACAAAATACACAAGAATTATTATTTTCTTAGATTAATTAATAATAATGTTCACATTTATAATTTCTAGTGACAGAAAAGCTGTTCCCCAAATTGGCTAACTCCCCGGTCATTTAAATCCATCAGAAACAAGGCTTTCTATGTCACAAAGTAGAAGAAATTCCTCTTTGTCACTGAAGTGTAGGAGTAGGTAGGTTAAAGTTTGATTGGCTCCAATTAGCACTCCCACCACTTCTCACAGCCTTAAGTGCTGCCCATCAAAAAACTTCCTATAAGTAGTGTAACATTATATGAAAACATCATCAACAACAACAACAATAGAAATAATTTAAAACAGATTCTCATAGCCAAACATCCGTTGCTTAGTGTGTAATCAACGAACATACAAATCTACTATTAAAGGAAATGGCTTTTGTATAGTAGGTAGTTAAAGGAACATTGCAAAAAGAAGTCTCCTTAATATAAAATTCTCTTTGAGTCAGAGGTCTAAAAAGGAGATGGCTGAACAGGGGTTGGAAGGATGAATAGATATTCAACTAGCAGGATAAGAAGAAGAGCAAGCAGAGTGTTTCATAAGCCCTAAGTACCATGCAATAATACGTGATTTCAAGTGCACATGGTGGGTGAAGCAGTGTGGTGTCAGTCATGCGGCATTCGCCTGCAGTTACAGAGGCTCACACCATCACATAAAAAGAGGGGTTGTAATTAGGGAACAATTACATGTTCCATGTGATATCAAAGTTTTAAAGCATCTGATTCAGAGGTTTCCATTACTCCCCAAACATGCCAAAAATATTCTTATCTGCAATTCTTCAGTCAGTGGAAAGCTGTTCAAAAGTAGCTGCATACTGAGACTTGGTTAGTTTCTCTGAAACTCTGAAGTCCATCACAAAATCAACAACCTAACTTCAATATTGAGTCCTCCTTACCAGCTTTCCTCCGTATTTTAAGTTTGGCTTCAATATAATGCTAAATTGGATTAGCAATTTTTTTAAGTCTGCTTAAGCTTTCAGTAATGCTTATGAATAAATGTTCAGAGCTACAACCAAGAAATGAATTGAATCAATGTCAGTAATGGAAAATTCCTAAATGCTAAACTATTGGCTTCTCTAAGCTTTGAGAATTAGACAGCAATAGAGATAATCATGACTCATGCTGACTGAGTAGAACCATCCACTGACTTTGCCAGACTTCCAATAGTGTGTTTGGTAAGGTTCTGTGTAAATAATCCAAATGTATAGAAATAGGTTACAACACTTATTACCTTTCTAAAATAAAAATGAGTTATTAACAGAGAAAATCAATACCACATATATTTGTACCCTCACTCCTTAAAAAACTCATTCTAGTTTCAGCTTTTCTCTTTGCTTCTATGGAATACTCCCTCCACTCCAAGTGCACTGTAATAATCTATCCTTGGCAATCTCATCTTTGGAATTACTATCTTCTTTTGAATATCAATGTATCATTACTATTAATTGTTCTATGACATGCCATAGTTACCATAATTTTTTTGTACTTTTATTTTATTAAACTCAAAATTCAAATTCCATACAGGATTTAAACTGGTCAGTAGTGCTTTCCCAAGCCCCATACTGGACATATTATTTATTGCATCATCTACTGCATGGCTCGATACCAGAAGAGAATACTGGAAATCAAGTCTATCTTAGAAATGCTGCATCTTTTTCAACATTATGAACCCTCATCTTGCTCTATGGTACTAGAAAATAATAATTTTCCCTCATCTGCTCTTTACATGACCCAATGGAAAATGTGGAGGGAGGAAAGTTGGCATGTGTTTGGCAGTCATTAACTGTGTCAGGTACTATACTTTATATGCCCTGTTTCAGTTAATTCTACATAACACACCCAAAAGGTAGAATCGCATATCTTCATTTCACACTCAAGGCAACTAGACTTTAGAAAAGTTATATAATTTGCCAAAGACTATATAGTTCGCATATTACAGTAATAGGATTTGAATCCAGTCTTTCTGATGCTGACCTCTTTGTTCTTACTAACATATTGCACTGCCTCTCCATGATCATATTCTTAGTTTTAATAACAGCCTTTAAAAAGCACCTTGGCCAACCATATTTTTAAAATTATAATTCTCTGATAATTTAAATTAAGTTGAACCCTAGCAGGAATTGAGACTTGATTTCAGAGACACATTTATCTGGTTTGGGTCAATCTCACAATACAAGCCTTACATGTGGATGGATCAATGAACCATGAAAAGCAGAAGACTGAATATTTGGATGCTTTAAAGTTTAAATTTTGCCATTTGTTTGCTGTATAATCTTCATTGAACAAAAGTGGATAAACAAAACTTCTGGTCAAAACATCACTGAGAAACTCTTGGGGAAAAAATCAGATTAGTAAATGTGCAAATGAAGTTGTGATATATATCCCCAACGTACAGAATGGGTCTCCAACACAAAGGTGTGTCTGTAAGGTAATTTTCTCTTTGAAATCCTATTTGCAACCACCCAAACCGTAAAAATAATTAATTGATTAATTAAAACTCTCTACCTTTTCTCTAAATCACTTCATAAGATGTTTCACCTTCACTGAAAAGGCTAGATAGGCTCCATTCATAGACTTGTAAAGCTAAGAGTTACCTATGAAATTACCTAGCCCCTATATCCAATAAAAGAGCTGTTGCCATTACAGAGCACATATGTACCAGGCACTGCTGAGGATTCTACAGAACCTATTACACTGAATTCCCCAGATGACAATATGGGATAATATTAGTATCCTAATTTTAGAGATAGCTAATATTGTACAGCTGGGACTGACAAAACAAAGGTTTGAACCTGGGACTGCTTTTCACCAGAGTCCACAGAATTAATTATTAGTGCCTTGTAAGGTTGGGTCCATCTAATATGATTCACTTTGATTCTTTCTCTCTGTTTCTTACAATCATTTTATATTTTTATCTTCACTCTTTTCTTTTGCTCTGTTTCATAAATAATTTTCTTTTCCAGTGATAAGCATCAAGTGTATTATTAACTGGTTCTTATCTTAAATTTATGGAGATTCTGAATTCACTTCTCTTGGTTGTTCTGCAAATACAGAACATTGCTGCTGTTTTGAATGTACACATTGTTTCAGTATAGTTCATGAACATCAATTTTTTGACCTTGAGGTAATGAGTTATTTGTTATAAATAGAATCATAGACTTCTGGAATCTGAAGGGATTTTCAAGGTCAAGTTATTCACCTTCCTAGCCATTACAGAACTCCTCTTGTTTTTCCTCTCAGAGAGCACTTACCTCTCAAGTATCCCTGAGCTGGTAAAAGTAAATCTACAGTTCCCCTGATCTCCAAATTTAAGACCTCTCATAATATGAGCATTTCATCTTGTTAAATGCTACTTGTATTTAAAGATAGAGACTTCTTATACCAAGTTATTTAGCCAATACACAATCAAAAAACAACAATCTACTCCAAGAATGGAGGGAAAACTGGCTGCGTTCAGCTTACTAAGAAGTCCTATGTTGGTCTCCAATGGGGCCACCTCTAAGGCATATGGAAAGGTAAATTTTGATTTTAATTTTTAAATCTTGAAATATATTCTATTTTTAAAAGTAATTTTAATACAATTAAGTGCATTCATAAAATAAAAGGAACAAAAGAGGCAAAGAGGGGAGAGAAAGGAAGACTCACAGAGGAAATTATGCTGTTTTAGCAAGGTTTAGCCAGTGCTTGGAAGTTCATCAGGGGAAAATTATTTACTAGAAAGACAATGCAGAGAAAGAAAGTTCAGTCAAAAGATGGTAGAAAGTAATGCAGAATCATGAAATGCCATAGTATTCAGGAAGGTATCCTGGCACGACTTAAAGGTAAAAATATGAGGAGAAATTACAGGAGACGAATCTGAAAAATTATAGAGACCAAATTATATATGCCATACTGAAGAGCTGAGACTATATCCAATAGGCAATGGGGAGCCACTAGTGGGCTACTATCAGAGAAATGATACTTTCTACTTTGCAGTTTTGGAAGATGTCACTGAACAATGTAGAAAATATTTTTTAGGATTACAAGTATGGGTATAGGGATATCAGTAAAAAGCATGTTAGAGTAGTCTAGGTGAAAGATGACTGTAACTTGAAGTAAGGCAAAGGCATTAATTGCAAAAAAGAGTGTATTCAAGAGATATTAACTGGGATAGTACATAGGTTATAGTGCATAATAAGGTGTACTGAATGAAAAAGAAAAAGGATTCTAAGATAATAATTAGATTTCTGATTTGTTATCTGGGAGGATGGTGTAAGAAGACCCAGATTGGTAATAAGAAGAAAGAAGTATAATGGTAAGTTTATTGGTAACACATAGTGAATTTGTGATGCCAAAAGATGGTTCAAGTGAAGATATTTAATGGGCAATTAGATATTTGAATGGTGCAGGGGGGTAGTGTGATGAAAGAGGAAAGAAGACAGTTATGGAGATAAAATGTGGGGGAGGGGAGTTGCATAAATATAAAATTATGAACGTGGATGGTCTTGCTCAGAGAGAACATTTAGATTACAGAAGTAAAGTCCCAAGAACAAAACTCTGGCAATTGAGGAGATGGACAGGGACGAGTATTCAGCAAAGATGTCAGAGAGAATTGGGAGTCAGGAGGAGAAGTTTGTCCTACAACAGAAGTGGAGAGGGCGTCAAGTGGAAGAAAGATGTCACTGGTACCAAAGCTGCAGAGCAGTCAGAAAGACTAGTGGAACATTTCCACTAAACATTTCCAGTAAAGTTGGCAGCATGGAAGCCACTGGTGGCCTTAATTAAGGCAGTTTCTGTGCTGGAACAATCCCATATTCAGTAAGACAAAAAGTTCTGAAACCAAGAAAACCTTTAAGGTTGGGAGAATTTTTCTGATTAGGCACACAAAACAAGCACTTCAGTTAATTGTTTCTATGGAAATAAATATGAAAGGAAGATATGGGCTAACTGTACAAATATTTGAAGTCACAGAAAAAGTACATATGGCTACCTGTTTACATGACAACATTTTACTTTGAGCAAGTTGTTGTTTCCTACCTTAATGCCTTGATTTAAAGTTTCTGAGGATATTTTCTTTTGGGAGGACATGTGTAGGAACACAACAGAAATATAAACCAAAAGAAAAGTTGCCCTAATTGTGTCTTCCTCAGTTGGAATTCACTTGAATAATCTTTTTTGGTTATGGTATACGTAGAAAGGGTGACACTGCTGTCCCAGAGCATATAATTTAAGCAAACACAGATTATCTCATATATCCTCCTCTTCCTTTCAGGATTCATTTCCAGAATCCCAGTGCTCTCATTTTAATTTCTGGAAGTTCAAATCTCAAACTGAAGCAATCATCTAGGGTCACTAGTCTACATATTTTCTTCCCATTCTGATTTCTATAGAAACTCACATATTCTGTGTTTCATTGGCTCAAAATGGTACTCTGAGCCAGCTGACCCGAGGAAGAAAGGGAATCTGCTAATATATTAGGAGATGACAAATTCCTCTTATTACATTCTGGGACGCAATTATCAAAAACTCTAACAGAAAGTAACTGTGGCAGACCAATGGGATGCTACTTAGTTATAGGCATGCCTTTAAATCATACCACATAGCTGTCTATTCTTCCTGACTATATGCAGACATCATATACTTCCACTCAACTGCAGCAAATGCCTATTGTGTTTTCATTTATGAAGAAGAAATAATAAATGCTTGACATTTCTGCATTATTAAAACAAGATATATTCTAAATAAAATACTTTTCTATTGAGAAATGAATTAACAGTACATAAAACTTAAGGCATATTCTCAATATTATAATTGGATTTTTCCAAATTATCCAAAATGCTTATTATCCCAATATTATGTGTTTAAAATATTCTTTATTTTCTCTTCTACTTTAAAATGTTACTTTTATTATACATTTAATTTTCATGGGTTTTTTTTTGCTTTATTTCTCTTCTTTTCTGTTGATTTTTCTGCTCAAGCACCAAACTGGTTTAATTACTGTAGCTTTTAGTATGCCTAAGCACTGAGTAATAACAGTCTTCCTTCAGTTTATTTTTCCCCTTACCACGAAAATTTTTTGGATACTAATGCATGTGTACTAGTCCATTCTCATGCTACTAATAAAGACATACCTTAGACTGGGTAATTTATAAAGGAAAGAGGTTTAATGAACTCACAGTTCCACATGGCTGGGGAGGCCTCATAATCAGGACAGAAGACAAAGGAAGAGCCAAGGGTCATCTTACATGGCAGCAGGCAAGACGGCTTGTGCAGGAGAACTCCCATTTATAAAACCATCAGCTCTCATGGGACTTATTCACTACCCAAGAACTGTATGGGTGAAACCACCCCCATGATTCAATTATCTCCACCTGGCCCCATCCTTGACACATGGGGATTATCACAATTCAAGGTGAGATTTGGGTGGGGACAAAGCCAAACCATATCAGTATGTTTATTCTTCTCCATAAATTTATTTTTATATATAATCATTTTATATGTATAAATCTCCTATTTATTTGAGCAAAAGAATATTGAGGATAATAGGAGCCAGATTGCTCATGATTGGAGACGGAATTTCACATATGGAAAGGGGAAGAACTAAAATAGGTACCATGGCATTGGCTAGAAGTTAGAGGTACTGGTATAAACTATAGGTTTTATAAATATAATATATACAACCCTAGCTATGTCCAGTGAGAGGAGCAAGAAACAACGCCACAACAGTAGCAATTAGCACACCTAGCACTCAAATTTTGTTTTCTATATAAGGTTCACTACTGAAAGTGATCAAGATTCCTTATATAATAGGCTGAATCCAGGGCTGGGGAGAGAGAAAGTGCAAGATAAATCTGGAATACATCACACTAGAAGGTAAGGATGCATTCAAAGAATGATGGTAGCATATCAAAAGAACATACAAATGAGCTTGAAGAGGCTTCATTGATCAAATCTGGGACAATCTGAGCATCAAAATAAATAATGATAGCAATGTTTTATGTCTTATTGCCCACTGAATAAAATCAGAATCCATGAGTCATTTCTGATAAAAAATAAATGAATGAATACATTAGGAATAAAGGTCCTCCTACTGGAAAACATCAACTGATAAATACCAAAGGAATGATAGAGCTAGAAAATCAGTGAATAGTAAAACCACTGGGTGAAAATTTGGTGAGAAAGAAGCAGGATATTTATACATCCTCAATATATCATTCTATAAATTTCTAATTAATTCAAAAATTAAAAATGGGAATATTACTGGTATTGCATCACTATTAGGACAAACTAGGATTAATTATGTGCCTCCTGACCCAATATCACAAAAACAAATCTACTCATTTTTGTAGAAATAAAAATTTCTAATTCTTTTCTTGGAAATACCAAACATAACCAAAGTGAGGGGAAGTCTATAAATAATTGGCCTGTACTCTAAAAATGTCAAGGTCAAAAAACACAAGGAAAGGTTGAAGAACCACTCCAAATTAAAAGACCCAAGAGAACTGACAACTAAATGCAATGTATCATCTTAGATTTCCTTCTACATTAGGAATGACATAGATATAAAAGACTATTGGGACAAAGACAAAACTTGAAAAAGAACTGCAGATTAAACAGTATTTTACCTGTATTAAATTATTTGATTTCATTTGTGCTATATATGTGCAAATGTGTGATAAAAATTATATGCATTGTGTAATACATATTTAATTTTATTCTATTCATATAATAAACAATATTTATATGCATGTTTAATTATACATGAATAAAGAGAATAAAGACAATGATAAATGGGGCAAAACATAAACAATTGTTCCTGGACTTCCCTGTACTATTCTTGCAACTTTAAAATTACACTAAATTTGAAAATTTTTTTAAAACTTGTTGCAACTTTAATTTTTAAATCATATAGAAATTATAGATTTTAAAAGGTCAAAGGAAATGTATAATTTAGCATCATCTTGAAATGTTGTATCTTACAATAAATTTTGCTACATCAAAACTTTGTGATGCCATATTTCAGAAGCAAGGTTAACAACTCTGGGAGAATGACATCTGTGTATTGTCTCTATTCACAGTGATTTACAAACAAAACAAAACAATCCGTAATAAATAAGATGGGTAATCTGTGAATATGTTGAGTAATAAACCCAACCAAAATATTCCCCCTTCACCCTGAAGGGGGTTCAGGTAAATCCCCCTTCTGAGGTTTACCTGAATTCTTCAAGTAGAACTAATCATACAACTCTTAACTCACATGCCATTGTTTTTCTAATTTTCCTAGGACATATAAAACTTTCTACCTCGGATAATAATTATGTATACACACATTATCTTTGAGAATCAACTAAAAAAAAAACCCTTAAGGATAAAACTCCCATTTGCTTAAAAATCTTTCAGTGGCTCCCAGATGCTCTTATGATGGTCAAACTGTTTAATTTATATTACATAAAATATTATATATTTAAGCTTCATAAATCACATATATATAATATAGTCTGGCTATGATATGGTTTGGCTCTGTGTTCCCACTCAAATCTCAGGTTGAATTGTAATTCTCATTGTTGGAGGAGGTACCTGGTGGGAGGTTATTTGATCATGGGGGCGGATCTCCCCCTTGCTGGTCTCGAGATAGTGAGTGTGTTCTCATATATGATGGTTTGAAAGTGTGTGACACTTCCTCCTTTGCTCTGTCTCTCTCCTGTCAACATGTGAAGATGTGCTTGCTTCCCCTTTGCCTTTCACCCTGATTGTAAGTTTCGTATGGCCTCCCCAGCCATGCTTCCTCTACAGCCTGTGCAAATGTGAGTCAATTAAACTTCTTTTATTTTCTTTTTTCCTTTTTTTTTTTTTTTTTTTGGAGATAGAATTTCACTCTTGTTGCCCAGGCTGGAGTTTAATGGTGTGATCTTGGCTCACTGCAAACTCTGCCTCCTGGGTTCAAGCTATTCTCCTGCCTCAGCCTCCCAAGTAGCTGGGATTACAGGCATGCGCCACCATGCCCGGCTAATTTTGTATTTTTAGTAGAGATGAGGTTTCTCCATGTTGGTCAGGTTGGTCTTGAACTCCTGACCTCAGGTGATCTGCCTACCTTGGCCTCCCAAAGTGCTGGGATTTCAGGCGTGAGCCACCGCGCCCGGCCAAACTTCTTTTCTTTATAAACTATCAAGTCTCAGGTACTTATGTATAGCAATATGAGAACAGCCTAATATAGGCTAGGTCTCTCAAAATCTCCCTACCCACTCATTCACTAAATAGACACATGGTCCCAGCTTTGGCAATATTGGACGACTTTCAGTTCACCTAAATCATTACATTTTCCCTCCAAGAAGTTTTAAGTTCCTTTGCCTAGAATATGCTTCCTTCAAATTCTTCCCCCAGCCATTTCTGGCTTCATGTTTAACCCTCAGTATGGGTATGGGTATCTCTTGCTTCTAGAAGTCTTCCTTGAGAATCACATCTGAGATAGATGTCCCTTCTTTGTGGCTGTGTATTTTTACTTCCAGTTTCAAATCATCAGTAGCATGATTACAATAGCACTTATACTTCTTTTCATTAATCATTAACTGTAACTTTCCTGTCTCATTTTGTACAGTATTGAGAGAATAACTCATCTTTGTATTCCATACATTTCTTTAATACTGTCTTGTATAAAGTAGCTTGGCAATTAATAAATGC
Organism: Homo sapiens; assembly: GCF_000001405.40. Lineage (NCBI taxonomy): Eukaryota > Metazoa > Chordata > Mammalia > Primates > Hominidae > Homo > Homo sapiens. The sequence goes on from NC_000002.12 coordinate 182,444,539, forward strand.
ATATCTATATTGTACTTGAGCAAAATGCTACTTATGAATTTTGAGTTTGAAGAGAAATCCATCTAACTGTCTATCAATATATCTCTCTCTCTCTTTCTCTCTCTCTTTCTTGCTGAGACCACTGAGAAGGCTTAGAAATAATGGCAGCTCAGTAGTAATGGGCATACCTAGCACCAAGGCCTTAGCTTCTATATATCATTATCTACTAAAAAAGAAATCGTCATCTATCCACACTTACATGTATGCATATATAGCTGAATAACATGTTTCCCAAAAGAATGTACTTCAGTACTTAATTTAGTACTCTTATTCTTCTTTTTGAATAGAACAAGGAAAAAGAACTCTTCAAAAAGAGTGGAAAAGATAGCTAATCCTCTGTGGTTTTATGTGCTAAAACAGTCCTGAGATACACAAGTTAAACTTGGCATACTTTGGATCTGGGCCAAAAATTGTTTTTATTGGCTGTAGAAAATGGAATTTTAGACCATGTTGAGCCATACTATAATTATGTTTGGAAATGCATGATGTGATGGTTGAGCATTCAGTGCGACTAAATGAGTTTATATCTTCTGGAAAGTGATTGATCATATTTTCCCCAGCATTTACGCCTTATGCAGGCAAAAAGAAAAGTTTTACTTCTTAACACCATTTACTGAAAATATAGAAACACAAATATTTCCAAAAGACAATGAGGAATTATAAAGGAACTTCCTTCTAAGTATAGATATCAAGATCTCGACAGGGTTAATGTAAGCCTAAAGTCAGCTTTTTATTGATAGAAAAACAACAGTAAAACAAATCATTTAGAGTAAATAGTTTATGCCTTGAGCTATCGCCTCAAAATAAACATTCCATTTTCCCACTTGACATTGACTCAAATGACATTGTTTTGCTTCTAAACAGAATTATTTTTTCTAGGTTCCACGGATGTCGGTGATTTCCTTCAGGAGAGTTGAAACTGATAAATATTGTTTTAGAGAGCTGATCTGGGAGTTGAAAGGAAAATATTTTATGCCAATAAAAATTAAATTAGCTTCAACGTGAAAGCTATACAAAAGAGGAAAATACATAACACAGGACTATAATTCAATGATTTAGGCAATGTTAAGAGCTGAAATACCATAGAGCTTTTAATATTATTATTTGGAAAAGTTTCTGCCTAGGGCAATACCAATGTAAACATTTCCAGTTTCATCCCTGCCAAATATTGTTGTTTTTTCCATTATTGAAGCTTAAAAATACTTGGGCTGTTTTAAAGATTAGTGTGTTGGCATAAAACCGCACATGCTTCCTAGAAGTATGTTCTTTAACCCTCAATCATGACATTTAAAATTATTTTTCATGATACTTAAATATTGTCAAGGTACTTTGGCATCAGAAGAGAATTTCACCAATTCTCATTAGGCAATTAGTTATGATAGAAATGAGGTAACATGCTGAGCCATGAATATTCAGTATTTATCACTACTTAAAATGCTAATATGCAAGATAAAAATGCCAAGTACACTTTTTTGGATTCATTTAAACTTAAATCATAGGGATGGCATTGTGTTTTCACCATCTCAGCTTTCATCATTATATTAAGATTTTAAATATAATAGCCAGAATATATTAATTACAAAGCAAAGTGGTCAGCAATGGTTTCCCAGGGTTATTTTGTAGTATCTTAAAATGCTGGCCAGATGAAAAGCATGCATAATTACCACATCTCCTGCCTAGAAGAGATTGTGGACCACTCAGCTCTGTTAGAACAGCATACCAGTGAAGTCAAAGCTCTCACAAGGTTCAATTAACATAGGACAAAGATAAACTTATCTTAGCCATTGATATCATAAAGGCATGCTGTTTACCCCAAATAAAATCAGGTCAGAGGATGGAGATAAATTTTACTGCCATTAAACATTTGTTAAATTGAGTGCAGTCTCCTGTTTTGGTCAGGAGTGGCTACTACAACATACCTTGACTGAGACTAAGTATTCTGTGTCTAAAATGTCAGATTTAAGAACTGAGGACAGATATCTATTTGCTTTGAAGCAAAGAGCATGTATTCAGATTGAAAATTTGCTTTGTAAATGGAAATGGAGAGAACAATTAACAAACTTGCTAATATTGTCATTTGGTTAATTAACTTACCTACATTACACATGTGGACTGTTGAGTTCAAATGATTAAATATTAAGTTTATGTGCCCTTCAATGATTAAGCAGCCTTCTCTGGTAGAGAATAAAGAGCATGAACTCTGGAATGGCCTGCTTTGATTAGAATCCCAGCTCCTCATCTAACAAGGTATGTGATCCCCAGAAAATTTTTTAAAATAGTTAAGGTTAAATTTCCTCATCTTCAATGAAGGGAAAATAATCATCACCACCATATGGGATTTCTGTGTTTTTTAAGTGAGATAATATATATATATATATAGACCACATAGACAAATGCCTGATACATAGTAAACCTGCACAAAATCTTTTGTTTTGTCATTTTAATCTATACATTAAACTCCAGAATTACACTTACAAGTTGGTTAAGTTCAAAAGGACGGCCACTGGGAAAATGTTTACTTTGAGAACTTTTTTTTCACTTACACACACACACACACACACACAAACACACATACTCTATTCATATTTTAAATATCACTGTTTATTATATTTCCCTTTATAAATTTTCATGTTCCTCATTATTCCTAGATAATGTTGCACTTAGTTTTGATGTCCTAATATCTCATGTCATCTATGAGCAATCATTTCCAAGCAGATGAAGCTGGGACATGGCCACATAAGACCGTATCAGAATCTACTGAGAGATTTTCCAGACTGTAAACACACCGGACCCTCTACTTCCCATTCTTGCCAAATTCTGACACTTTCCAGTGACCTTCCTGATTACCAGCTCAGTTCATGAGGAGCCCTTTTTGCTGATGGCAATGTGTGCCACAAGTAAAGAGGAATAGAAGAAACAGGCTGTAGACCACCAACAAGTAAAGGTCCTCACACTTCCCAGTAAGGATGATGCTATTGTAGGCCTGGAGACTAAGGGATCCCTTCTATAAGGCACACATGCCTACCCTGTAAAGCCCATCTCAAAGGCTATATTTTCAACCTTATTTTCACTGGTGCTCTCTGCTCTTTCCCTCTGAACAACCATAAATCTATCTATACTTTCCTATGGCATGGCTCACTTTCTACTATGTATTATAGTTTCTTATGTCCATGACACATTTCCCTACTAGGCTTCTGTGCATTTCAGATAATAAGTGATTTCTGAATTAATTAATTAATTAACTAATTAATATCAAATGTCTCCCTTTGAACTGTGCCTAAACTGTTTAAACAGGCTTGCGTTTCAGAGTTTCATCCATAGCCTGTCATATGGATGTTTCTGATGAGCACAAACATTGGTCAACTTTTTGACATTATGGGGCTAGAACACAAACTTCTTGGAGCTCTGGCTTTATCTCCTTAACTATGTGATCTTGTTTCACAACCCTGGCGTTACTGCTATTTTCCCACATCCCAGTCATGCCTTATGATGACAAGCTGCATTTTTAACATTTTAGTGCTACAGGATAGGCTCAGTGAAACTTCTTTTAATTTGCAAGTCTTTGGCTTTCCTAACATTTCAAGATTCTAACACTCATGCTTGGCACATTGGGTGTGCTCAGTAACTTTTGATTTTATGTCTTAAATTCTCCCTTCCTTTTCTCACTCCTTTCTTCTTTATTTTAAACCATTTTGGAGCACATGTTTCTAATCAATAAACAAAATCACATCATTTGCTTAGTCTTATCATTTAGATTTTTTTTTGTTCTTGTGTTGAAAGCAGATTTTAAAGACTGGTAGTTTAGAATTACCTTTGAATTATTCTTTTAACTTATGTTTCCCTTGTTGAAGTCTGATTTACACATATCCCGAAACTCCAAAATTGTAAAGTATATGCGATGTTTTAGAACCCAACAGAAATGTTGGGTTATGGACCATTCTGCTGTGAAAATTGTGAAGAATCTCAGATATTTAGAACTGAAAGAAAAAACTTCAAAGGCATTCCAAAACAGCTCCCTGTTCTTTCCACATTATATCCAAAAAAACTATCACCCACTGCTAATGACTGTGCATGCCAGCCAATTTTCATCTACCAACAAAGGTATTCACTTTCAGCAGAGTTCCAAATTGGTTTAATTTAGTGCAGTTTGATGGATAAAATCTAAATGATCTTTTTTATTTAAAAACTAACACTACAGAGTTGTCTTAATCTACTGTGATTCCGTTTTTAGCAGATACAAACATAAGTTATGGTGTTGGTGTGGAAAGGTACTATAGAGATTATTTGGTTCAGACTCTATTTTCCTCTGGGGAAACTGAGACCACAAGACATACTAAAGCAATATCCTTTTACTCTAGCCTACAAATTTAAAATTGATTCTTCTCTATATTTAAAGATATACGTTTAAATTTAAAATAATAAGTATTGGAGATTAACAGAATTGTACCACTACAGGATCACATCATACACATACACACACACACACACACACACACACACACACACACAAACAAAACCCAGGAAATCCTTCTAAATCTTCTTAGGATAGTCTTGTCAAACCTTGTAATAAACCTGTGAATAAAAGGCATCACAAAATGATAGCTTATCTAACTGTGGAAGTATCCTTCCCAAACATCTAGGCTGACCCAGAAAAAATATACCAAAAAAAAGAAAAGCAAATGAAAACATAATTAACTCAACTTTACCAAAAATGAAACAGAGAAAGAAAGAAAGAGACAGAGAGAGAGAGAAAGAGAAAGGAAAGAAGGAAGGAAGGAAGGGAGGGAGGGAGGACGAGCGGGCAAAATAACACAAAATAACAGCTCCATGGAAAAATTCATTCTGTATCATGAATAGTGAAAAAAATGAGCAGAGGCTATAAGAATAACCTCCCTCACCTCATTACCTCTTCCTATACTCCTTCACCAAAGGAGGGTGTTTGTAGTTCAAATATTGTCAACAACATTTCAAGTTGAAAGGAGAAAGTATCTTTGTCTGATTTTTATGCCATACAGGCTTATTTTCCACATTTTCTGAGAGACACTAAACATTCACTCTTTGGCATTTTTACCTTTATTTCTACTTCTATTTCTATAATTCTACTAAATCATAAAGTCCTAGTATTCATAAAATCAGATGTGAAAAAGACCCATATTTGAATGTTGGTTACATTACCTACTAGCTATTCAACACTGGATAATTTTCTGAATATCTCTCTGTCTCACCTTCATATTACTAAAATAGGCTTGAGAATAATAACTACTACATAGGGCTGCCCTAATAACTGAAGAGAATCAGAGTGAATTTTGACCCCTCTATAGTATATGTAGCATTTAAATTTAAATTTTTTTAAGGACTAGACTTCAGCTATTATACCAAACTCAATTACACCAACTTGGATCATCCATGTAAAGCATTTATAATGCTACAACATAAAATGTGCTAGCTAAAATTATTTTTAGGTTGCTGTCAAGATTAAATAAAAGAAATATATTAATTTCTGAGCATAGAACCTGGCACACAGTAAATGGCACTCAATAAATGTTGGCTTTTTAATCATCATCATCATCATCACTGGTATTATCTTTAATTACTCCTACTGCTAACTGCCTTCTCTTTTATTCAATACCAAAGGAAACAAAAGCACCATCAAGCACATATCACATTTTCAAAAGGCTGTGACACCAACAAAATTTACTAACCAGAGAGAAAGAGAGAATGGACAAAGGAAAAGAATGGAAGAAATGGAGACATAAAGTGCCACATTGAGCTAGAAAGTTTCCAACTGAAAAAATAAGCTATGAAATCTTCCATGAATAGAATTCAGGGCTGGCCAATTTATGACTCCACCTCATGTCATGTGCCTCAGTTAGCCCAGAGGCCAAAATGTAAGCATTTGCCCATGAAACTGAATTTATTGGCTCACAGTAGGAAACAATATACCAATGACATCAAGCTAGTCCTCAAAAATGTTTTCATAAAAAAAAAAACCAACATTACTAGGGCAATGAAAATTCCCTGCAGTTTGATTAAATAAAGACTGGTTAAGATCAAATCAGGCTTGTTCCTTTTAAGGCTATTGTTTTCTTTTTCAAATTTCCAAAGAGCCATGCTTTGGAAATTATAATTTCTTCATCAGAGAGATGTTACATGAATATCACTGTATGACCTGGTAGCTTTTCACTATGTATAAAAAAGACACAAAGAAAAAAAAAAAGAATTTCTCACATTTGCAAAAATTAATGTATACTGACTATAAAGGGAAAAAAGCAGCTATTTACGGCTGGCACTGTTTGTTGTATCGGTTTCTGAAACAATAGAGAATATCAAAGTACGTGAATCACCATATACAAGTTCTTTCCTTCTGAGAAATCTAATTTACAAATAACTTAAGCCTGTATTCTGTAATTCCCATTGAAGTAAGTGAAAGTTGGGTTCTGAGTCTCATTTAGATGACCAATGCTATGGAAATACATGCTTGAAAGATATTTTTCTTTTTATTAAAAATATTTTAACTAGGGCCGGGCGCGGTGGCTCACGCCTGTAATCCCAGCACTTTGGGAGGCCGAGGCGGGCGGATCACGAAGTCAGGAGATCGAGACCATCCCGGCTAACACGGTGAAACCCTGTCTCTACTAAAAATACAAAAAAATTAGCCGGGCGTAGTGGCGGGCGCCTGTAGTCCCAGCTACTTGGGAGGCTGAGGCAGGAGAATGGCGTGAACCCGGGAGGCGGAGCTTGCAGTGAGCCGAGATCCCGCCACTGCACTCCAGCCTGGGCGACAGAGCGAGACTCCGTCTCAAAAAAAAAAAAAAAAAAAAATATTTTAACTATACAAATGCATAAAGTATTAGTATGTATGTGGACATATGAAAAGACAAAACTACGCACACTCCCCAGATCTATTTCTGTTATTAACTGGCATCATCAGAAAATGCTGTACCTTACTTAACTGTGTAAGTAGCTCTTTAAGCCTTTTTTAAAATGTTAATTTTTTTATAAAAATTAATCTGAAATTTATTATATACTTTTACCAGTAAGAATTCTGCTATTGTTTCAAGCCATAATCAGGGACCTGAGCTCACATGTCAATGCAAACTTGCATAACCTATACTCTAGTTGCTTAAACTTTTGATGGTACCAAGAACACCGAAAGAGAAGCAAACTGAGGATGCTCAGAGTTGTGCAGTACCGCTTCCCATGCAGCTCTGAGCTGCCCCTCTCTCCTACTGCCTCCACGGCTTTGTCTTTCTTACTACTTCTGCTCTGCACTGCTTTCCTCCAAGCACCTCTGCTTTCCTTTTTTCCTTTTTCTCTCATTCACCATTCAGTGCCAAACATGAGCTAGAACTTCTGCTGGGCACTGGTTCCATAGCAGCAAAAAGACAGACACATTTTCTTTTTTTTTTTATCTGAGTTTGTTTATTGTTCTGATTTACTGAAACTTAAAATATTCCATCAAATTATCCAGGAAAATCCAGGTGGCAGAAATATATAATATGTCCATTTCATCAAGAGGTCTCGAATAAATTTTAAAAGTCCAGAAAATGATATATACTATGCTATTTAAATCAGTTCTATCTTCTGTACGTAAGAACTCAAGTACAGAAACAAACTGTGGTGCTGAGGTAACATTGTAACCCGCTACCAACATGACTGCATAGGTGTCTAAGGTTAAGAGTGAACATTACTGTGAGGTCTCAAGTTATTTGATTGATCAGTCCCATTTGAATTTCAATCCAAGCAGCATATTTTACATGCACCTGAAGGAAATATCTTCAATGTGTTCATGTGTGTGTTTATGTGCACATATGTGTAGGGGATGACTGAAAAACATTGATAAGTGCACGCTAGAAGTCTGCTGTCCTAACAAAGATTAAATTCCTGTCTCATTTGCATATGTCCTTGAAGCTTTTGTTTTGTTTTCTTTGTTGTTCATGATTTGTTCAGTTTAACTTCCAGCACCTTGATTCTGTGATCACCACTAATCCACAAAATCTTTTTTCTGCTCAGTGAACAATGCCACTACATTTTACTGGAACAGATTGTTGCAATGAAGCATTTACCATCTCAGTTTCTACTGAAGCCCCAAGCAAAAAAGGTGACAACTTGCCTCATGTTTCACAGTGAGCTGGAGGCCCATCAAAGTAAGACTTGCAGAAGAAGAGTTCGAGAGCCAGTAACCTTCAAATGTGCTCCATTTAAGTCTGCTAAAGCCCTGCAATGCCAGTGGTTAAACACCATGGCAAAACCAGAATAATCAAGGGATAACTTTCCTGCCCTTACCTTTTTCTTCCCACTCCACATCCAGTCAAGCAAACATGAAGCAGCCCTGTAAATAGGTACTAGCCAAGAAAAAAGAACAGATGGTGACTGCACTTGCACTTTTTTATTTTGCCATGGACAGTCCGCACAAACAGATCCAAGCTGACCTATTAGAAAACCTTTCACCTTAAATGAAGATAGATACTTTATTTCATTCAACTAGGCATATCATTACTGAGACTATTTTTTCATGTGACCAGAAGTGACTTGACGTATTTTTATGGCCTAAAAATGATCAGATAAATTATAGTTTCTGCTCAAGTTTTCATTGTCCACCTCAGCAAAGCATGGTGGTAGCAAGACTCCTCATTAGGGTAATTCCTTTGTTTCGGCACTATCGTTATTAGTCATTCATTATGAAGCTGATACGGTGATGAAAGAGCTCAAAAAGCTTTTTGGGATACCACTTGATGCAGGCCATTTTTTTTCTCAGTCCTGGAAAAAGTCAACAAGACAACTCCATAGCCAAATTGGACACATGATGCCCGATTTGGTCTACTTATTTTCCAAAAGAATTGTGAACTTCTTCATTAAAAAAAAAAATCTGTGTGCAGGAAATTACTTTAACAGACGAATTTGCAATATCCTTGATGAACATTGATGCAAAAATCCTCAATAAAATACTGGCAAACCGAATCCAGCAGCACATCAAAAAGCTTATCCACCATGATCAAGTGGGCTTCATCCCTGGGATGCAAGGCTGGGTCAACATATGAAAATCAATAAATGTAATCCAGCATATAAACAGAACCAAAGACAAAAACCACATGATTATCTCAATAGATGCAGAAAAGGCCTTTGACAAAATTCAACAACCCTTCATGCTAAAAACTCTCCATAAATTAGGTATTGATGGGATGTATCTCAAAATAATAAGAGCTATCTATGAAAAACCCACAGCCAATATCATACTGAATGGGCAAAAACTGGAAGCATTCCCTTTGAAAACTGACACAAGACAGGGATGCCCTCTCTCACCACTCCTATTCAACACAGTGTTGGAAGTTCTGGCCAGGGCAATTAGGCAGGAGAAGGAAATAAAGGGTATTCAATTAGGAAAAGAGGAAGTCAAATTGTCCCTGTTTGCAGATGACATGACTGTATATCTAGAAAACCCCATTGTCTCAGCCCCAAATCTCCTTAAGCTGATAAGCAACTTCAGCAAAGTCTCAGGATACAAAATCAATGTACAAAAATCACAAGCATTCTTATACACGAATAACAGACAAACAGAGAGCCAAATCATGAGTGAACTCCCAGTCAGAATTGCTTCGAAGAGAATAAAATACCTCGGAATCCAGCTTACAAGGGATGTGAAGGACCTCTTCAAGGAGAACTACAAACCACTGCTCAAGGAAATAAAAGAGGATACAAACAAATGGAAGAACATTCCATGCTCATGGGTAGGAAGAATCAATATCGTGAAAATGGCCACACTGCCCAAGGTAATTTATAGATTCAATGGTATCCCCATCAAGCTACCAATGCCTTTCTTCACAGAATTGGAAAAAACTACTTTAAAGTTCATATGGAACCAAAAAAGAGCCCGCATCGCCAAGTCAATCCTAAGCCAAAAGAACAAAGCCGGAGGCGTCATGCTACCTGACTTCAAACTATACAACAAGGCTACAGTAACCAAAACAGCATGGTACTGGTACCAAAACAGAGATATAGACCAATGGAACAGAACAGAGCCCTCAGAAATAATGCCGCATATCTACAACCATCTGATCTTTGACAAACCTGACAAAAACAAGCAATGGGGAAAGGATTCCCTATTTAATAAATGGTGCTGGGAAAACTGGCTAGCCATATGTAGAAAGCTGAAACTGGATCCCTTCCTTACACCTTATACAAAAATTAATTCAAGATGGATGAAAGACTTACATGTTAGACCTAAAACCATAAAAACCCAGAAGAAAACCTAGGCAATACGATTGAGGACATAGGCATGGGCAAGGACTTCACAAAAGCAATGGCAACAAAAGACAAAATTGACAAATGGGATCTAATTAAACTAAAGAGCTTCTGCACAAAAAAAGAAACTACCATCAGAGTAAACAGGCAACCTACAAAATGGGAGAAAATTTTTGCAACCTACTCATCTGACAAAGGGCTAATATCCAGAATCTACAATGAACTCAAACAAATTTACAAGAAAAAAACAAACAACCCCATCAAAATGTGGGCAAAGGTTATGAACAGACACTTCTCAAAAGAAGACATTTATGCAGCCAAAAAACACATGAAAAAATGCTCACCATCACTGGCCATCAGAGAAATGCAAATCAAAACCACAATGAGATACCATCTCACACCAGTTAGAATGGTGATCACTAAGAAGTCAGGAAACAACAGGTGCTGGAGTGGATGTGGAGAAATAGGAACACTTTTACACTGTTGGTGGGACTGTAAACTAGTTCAACCATTGTGGAAGTCAGTGTGGCGATTCCTCAGGGATCTAGAACTAGAAATACCATTTGACCCAGCCATCCCATTACTGGGTATATATCCAAAGGATTATAAATCATGCTGCTATACAGACACATGCACATGTATGTTTATTGCGGCACTATTCACAATAGCAAAGACTTGGAACCAACCCAAATGTCCAACAATGATAGACTGGATTAAGAAAATGAGGCACATATACACCATGGAACACTATGCAGCCATAAAAAATGAAGAGTTCATTTCCTTTGCAGGGAGATGGATGAAACCGGAAGCCATCATTCTCAGCAAACTATTCCAAGGACAAAAAACCAAACACTGCATGTTCTCACTCATAGGTGGGAATTGAACAATGAGAATCCATGGACACAGGAAGGGGAACATCACACTCTGGGGACTGTTGTGGGTGGGGGAATGGGGGAGGGAAAGCATTAGGAGATATACCTAATGCTAAATGACGAGTTAATGGGTGCAGCACACCAACATGGCACATGTATACATATGTAACAAACCTGCACATTGTGCACATGTACCCTAAAACTTAAAGTATAATAATAATAAACAGGTTAAGAGAAAAAAAAAACAGAAGAATTTGCTAACAAATATGTGTGTGCTGACTGTTCAAAGTAAATTATATTTAGATTATTTTCAACACATTAAACTTATGCATTTATTCAAATTAACTCAAGAAAATTCAGATCTAATTCATATCTTTGAAACCACATAGATGTGAACTCAATGTGGATGTAAAATGCTGCCCAACTAGTCATCAGGGTTACCTAGCTCTAATCGGGTTCTCTAACATATTATACTAGTTCTTTCAGAGTGTGGTCCCTGGATCAGTAGCATCCACTTTACCAGGGAACTTATCAGCCATGCAAACAATCGGCCCCCCTTCCCAAGCCTACTGAAGTAGAAACTGTTGGGGGTGGTGGTGCTAGGGGCAGCAATACGGATCTTAACAAGACCTTCTAGAGACTCCAATGCACACTAGTTTCAAAGTCACTGTATTGACACAAAGATCTTTTAAATAACAACTATTTCATAGTGCTCCCCTTATTAGCCTAAATTTTATAAATGACGTAACTTACCCATATAAATTTTTGAATCAATATAATACCTTAGCTGTGTAATGCCTAAATAAAAGTAGTACAATAAAATAATCTTAATTTCTCTATATTAGCATTCAGGCATGATGACACTTAGAGATTCTGAAGTATTGAAACAATTGAACCAATCACCGTGAGTACAACAGCTACACATGCAGAGAAGGAGGGCAGTGAAAGATTCTTGACAAAAATATCATGATCACATTACTGATGTGATACAACTGAGTAACTCTGGGAAATTTTAAACTACAAAGAAATACAATCCTCAATCTTTTATCAATATGTACAATAGTAGCACTCCTGGAAAATCAGTGTATACTACAACTGCCAAAAAATGTGCGTGTGTGTTTATATGTAAAATCAAATTAGTCTCTATGCTCCAATTAATATAAACAGGTTCTCTCCTACACAAATGTCTGGTGAGGAATTTAAAATTCTTGCAGGAAAAATACAATCTTTTATATTGCAGGATGGATAGCATCTCACACACTAAATGCCTGTGGTTAATCATTGGAACAAGCATAAAAACATCCCCCAGCATTTTTAAACATTTCCTAACAGTAAGTATGAATGCCTTTGAGAACACTGAAAACCAGACAGTCTGGACTGATTAAGTTGGTACACGTTCCCTTTCTTGTTAGGATGCATACACGTTTCCAGGCGAGGTGTGCTCCATCTCAAGAAACAATTCCACTTTCTTAGTAGAGGAGAAACTTACTGATTCAGACAATATAAGGAATTTTCTGCCCTGCTGGATTCTTTTTGCAAAATTTTTATACTCTAAAATATTCCTAAATATTAGCTGGTGGCCTCTTATTTTATTGACCTTGTCATGAAATTACCTGCATATGATATAGTAGGCCATTTTTCTCAATTATCATATATGTTTATATTAAGCACTTAGTTAAACAGGTAGAAAACTGTAAATAAGCAAGATTTCTTCAGCCATCTGCCTGTAAACAATAAAATCTGTGTGTAAACAAAAAAATTAGATAAAAATCTCAGGAAAAGAATTAAGTTTGTAGATGGTAATTAAGCATTCTAGATTCTTCAAGTCAACTTCCAACTCTGAAAGTCTACAGTTCTATGAAAAGGTCCTTTGGACAGTATAATGCCAAAGTAGATTAATGCTGATGTATGGTTTTGGTAGTGATGATTAGAATAGTGTGATGACTGGCAAACCTCAAAATAGAAAGTCTTCATTCTTATGTAAGTAAATTATCTTACAAAAAAGCATGTACAGACAAGCAGTACTTAGCAAAAATAACTCTAGGAAGTGCTTTAGACTTATATATTGTTTTGATATTGTGTGAAGGACCATTTCTCCACATACAATAACTGGATAAATAACAGCTATGGTAAAGGGGAGAAATTTAAAATGGTTACAGTAAGAATAGGTTTGGTTTAATGAAGGGATAAATACTGAGCATTAACAATTCATTAGATTCTATTTAAGATGTAGCTTTATTTATGACTTGTGTTGGGCAAAGTAAAATTTATGCTTAGGTTTAAGCCAAAATTTCTATACATCCTCTATTGATAAGGGAAACACTCCTCTATAAAGCATCAATATTAGCAAATGTACATAAAAAATACATGATATTGAGATACATATTTACAACAGTAGTTACAGCAAGTAGCTTGAATGAAAATTTTAGGAGAATGCCACTTGTCTTGTCTTGAGATAATGTGTAATAACCATGGTACAATGGGAAACAAACAAACTAAGATCATCAATCAAATATGAGAAGGCTTCCTCAAATCCAACACTTTGGGACTAACCCCAATCTGTAACAAGCCTCCCAAGAAAGGCATTCATAATAAAAAAACAAAAAAAGCAATATTTTCATTCCTTATTATCTGAATTGTATTCAGCACATTGTCTGTGGCAGGCACTGCCATGTGCTTTTGAAAAAAAAGAAGTTAACAAAATGTGTAAAGTCCCTGTGTCCATGGAGCTTCCATTCTAACTCAGGATGGGAAAAAATCAGTAATAGGTCAGGTACAATAAGAACTGTAGGAATTAACAGGCTATGTGAGGGGGATATAGAGTGACCAGAGTGATATTTTATAGCTGGTGTTAATTAAATCTTCCCAATAATGCCCTAAAGCAAATAAAGAGGGTTCATTTGAGTGTAATCGAGAAAACTAAAGCTCAGAGATGATTACAGGAAGTAGCAGACTCAAGACTAAGTCCCAGCATTCCCAACTCAATCTTATACTCATTTTATTTTATCACCCTGCCTCTGATTGGGAAATTATGCTTATCTGAAGAGTTCTTAACAAAGCAAAATGTGGGGGAGGTCAAAGCTGTAGGCAACCACTTTTAAAAACACTGGACAGCAAAAACAACTTAAGCCATCATAAATTCCCACTAATTAAAATGTTGCTAAGTGCCCTGATAATTACACCGATAACTGTGCCAATCCACTCTTCTAGCCATTTGTGGTCCAGCTTTTCATCTATCATATTCTAAAGATTACTCCTTAAGCTTATCAATATCTTCTCTTGTTCTTTTTTATTCTTACACAATATAGTAAAAGCACTTCACATTAACATAATAAACACAATAGCAATCTGTTGCCATAACTCATGAAGTATTTTATGATTTTAATACATTTGGTTTATCACAATTTTTATTCATCTCTAAGATAAATAATACCTATACCTATTACTGGCTGTTAAATTAATCTCAACAAACAGGTAGAGGGTTCTTGTAAAAGATTAATATTTAGTTAATGAAAATTTGAAGCACCAACATCAAAGACAGAAGTCCTAATACAAAGCACTAAATGCTTAACATCTTAAGAGAGAAGTTCAGAGAACCTATAAAATCTAAGTTCTCAGAGGAGGGAATGTTATAAGCCTCCCCCTTGAGAAGGCTCCCTCCAGTGCATATTGAGAGGAAGTTGGACAATAAGAATTTCCTTCAATTCTAACAGCAAGCTTTAAAGTTCTCCCTTTCTTATTCTCCTAAATCAAGTTTTATGTTCTGCCTTGAATTCATTAACGCCTGTGTTTATATCTGTCAGGTGAAGCTTGGTCAGAAAAGGAATTTACTAAAAGGATACTGGGTGGTTGCACTCTTAATCCACAAATGATCTCTAACTACTCAATGCCTTCCCATCAGTAACTTCACATTCTGAATCTGCTCAAGAGCATCAGTTGACTAAGCCTAGGCCCCTAAAGAAACTCTAGTTGCCAGGAAGTGAAGAAGGAGAGGGAATATCTGGCCACCTTTAGCTTCCATAACAGGAATAACTACCAACATTCAATGAGGAATGCTACAAAGGGGGTAGAATGTGAGCAGCCAAAAAACCCCTAACAAATATCCACTGTAGCATGCACAGTATTTCAGTATTTTTTTCTCAAAACGCTGAGATTCTAGAGAATAGTAATCTTCCCCATTGTGCTTAGCACCATACCTAGCACAAATAGGAGCTCAATAAATACTAAGTTGCTTTTATCATATTATTCCACTTTAAACCCTTAAGGTCAAATAATCCACTTCTTAGCCACCTCAATCTCCATTCACTGACAACTGCCAAGTCATCTTTTGTTCTTCCTTCTTCCTCACTCCTGTTATTTAGTCCATGGCCACAATTGATACTACCTCTTTTAACATCTTGCTCATTCATTCCAATCCCTCTTCCAACCTACCACAAGAGTGACTTTCCTAAAAATACAAATCTGCATAAAATCCATCAATCCAACTATTGTTATCTTTGTCCCTCAGAGGCAAGAGAATATCTCATACCTTGAAGCCTTCAGTCACAGGTCCTCTCATTTTCAATACTCCCAGCAGCCTCTTCGGTGACAGGTGCACATTCAACCCTCAAGACAGGTCAAGCCTCACTTCCCCAGTGTTACTTCCCATCACCAGTTCGACCTTTCATTCAAAAACAGTAAAAGCCCTCTGATCCCATGGAATATTGAAACCCATATGTAACACATTTTTAAGAGATGGGGTGTCACTATGTTTCCCAGGCTTGCCTCTAACTCCTGGGCTCAAAGAATCCTCCTGCTTCAGCCTCCCAAGTATCTGAGACTAACTACAGATGTGCACCACCGCACCCTGATTGCAACCTGTATGTAACTTTAATATTGCATTTGCCTTGTTTCCTTTGCTCGACTAAAGATGACTTTTCTTTCATGTATGAAACCAGAGTTCAAGTAGAATTGTTAGTGGACAGAATTGGATTAAGTATGCATAAACAAGAGTAACTAAAAAGAATAGAGCCTCTAATGTTCAACTGTATTTGAACAAAAGGAATAAGCCATTCTGCTGAATAACTATAACTACAAATTAGAAAATATCAGGTTTTCAATGAGAGAGAATGTTATCATTTTATTAGGTTGGTGCAAAAGTAATTGTAGTTTTTGTTATTGCTTTTAATGGCAAAAACTGCAATGACTTTTGTACCAACCTAAGAGTAGCATTCTTATTTAACCCACTCTCCTCCACTTGGTATTACAAGGAAAACAAAAGGTGGAGGGCTAAGAGGGAAGAGAATTCATGGTCAAATGAACTAAGGAAAAATAAATAAGCTTCTTTACTATTTGCCAAAGTTTTTAATATACTAAAGTACCCTATGAGTGGTCAGAAGGTGACCTCATATGCAGCATTTCACAGACTTATTTGGCCATGGAATCTTTTTCTCATGAAGTGTTTGTGAGCCTGGAGTTCTGAGGTGTATTCGTTAGCAAATATTATTCTACAGCATAGAACTATAGGAATCTGAAAGGAATACGAAAAACTAAAGTAAAGTTCAACCACTTCCACTCTGGCACATATGACTTCATTACATGAAATAATATATTGTACAGCCATTAAAAAAAATTTGAATACTGTCAACTAAATTGTTTCCATCGAAAAATTTTAAAAACCTTGGGCCAGGTTATTCATGATAAAGCATGGATGTCTGATCCACCTACACAGTTTTACAACCAGGAATACTGAATCTGCCCTGCTATTCACTTTGACTCTCCCATCTCTCTCCCATATAAGGTATCCAAGAGTGATAAGCTTGGGAATAATAACCAAATAGGAAACAAAATATCCCATCATTATTAGTTGAGCCAGAAACCAATAATCCCTCACCAGCCATATCATAACCCATGATGGAGTGCACAATCTAACCCTCCTACATTCCCCTGTAACAGCGTCCTGTATGTTGCAAGTGACAGAAATAGACCTCAACCTGACTTAAAGAAAGACAGGAAATACGTAGGACCTATAAATGAAGATTCCAGTGCTGGTGCTTTCTTCAGCTATGGTTTGATTCAGAGTTTCAAATAATCTCATCAAGATTTGTTTCCTCTGCATATCTCAGCTGTCCTTTCCCCTGTCAGTAAGCCTCATCCTCATGGTGTATCTCATTGGCAGCAAAAAGGTTATTCTCACCTCTTCACACTCACAAATCCAGTAGAAGAAAGATATAAACTAGTTTTTCCCAGAAGCCCCAGAAAAATTTCTCTTGTGTCTTATAGCTTTGATTGGGTTGCATGCTTATCTGTTAATCCAGCGAGATAGACAATGCTTGCTGGATTAAACCAAGGGGGCTCATTCTCTTTAAAAAGTATTCTCAGCAAACTATCGCAAGAATAAAAAACCAAACACCTCATAGGTGGGAATTGAACAATGAGAGCACTTGGACACAGGAAGGGGAACATCACACACCGGGGCCTGTTGTGGGGTGGGGGGAGCGGGGAGGGAAAGCATTAGGAGATATACCTAATGTAAATGACGAGTTAATGGGTGCAGCACACCAACATGGCACATGTATACATATGTAACAAACCTGCACGTTGTGCACATGCACCCTAGAACTTAAAGTATAATAAAAAAAAGAATAGACATATAAAAAAGTATATATATATATGTATATCTTATATATATGTGTGTGTATATATATATACATATGTATATCTTAAAAGCAGGACTGAGTTCTGATCAGCACCCTCAAACCAGACTCTTGGTGTTTAACAGTCTGTTAGGTTTAGGCTTGATTGTGGAGAGGGACAAGTGACAAGGACAGCCACGTTTAGGCTAACCTACTCATTCTGTGCATGAAGAAGGGAAAAAAAAGGAACAGAGCATGGGCCCTGCCTTTTAGCATGCAGTGGTTCTCAACAATTTTCTTAGATATTGACTAGTCAAATTAACATACTTCCACCTTAAGAGAAGGATAAGGGAAAAAAAAGGGTGTAAGCAGGGAGCCCTAGAGGCAGTACTGCAGTGAGAGGGGACACATATGTCCCCTCCCCAACAAGAAATGCTAGGATTATTTTTCCCTACTGATTTTTTAAAAATTCAGAATAAAAATATCAAAACCTTGAAACTTTTTTTTATTTTTTGAAATTTTAAAATAAAAGTAAAAAGGGATGATGTTATTCACAATCTGTTTTATGAGTTTTAAGGTCAAATGCTAATTATATTTTTCTTATGACTAATTTTCTGCATTGTATTAATAAAATGACTACAATTCTAAGGGTAGGCCGGGTGCGGTGGCTCACACCTGTAATCCCAGCACTTTGGGAGGCCAAGGCAGGAGGATCACTTGAGGCCAGGAGTTCGAGACCAGCCTGGCCAACGGGGAGAAACCCCGTCTCTACTAAAAATACAATAATTAGCCAGGCGTGATGGCATGCACCTGTAGTACCAGCTACTCGGGAGGCTGAGGCGAGAATCCCTTGAACCCAGGAGGCGGAGGTTGCAGTGAGCTGAGAGTGCGCCACTGCACTCCAGCCTGGGTGACAAAGCGAGTCTCCATCTCAAAAAATAAAAATAAATAAATAAAATAAAATAATAAAAATAAAAACAAAAAATTTAAGGGTCTCAATGTATCTGAAAATATTAGTTAATTAAAAAAACAAATATGTATTGCAAAGTTAGACTCTCACCCCCTGGAATGCTACAGTATTCACAGCACAACAAATATACTACACACGTTATCCCTCGGCCTTCAACCCTTAGATTTAGAAAGCAAGCCCACTCTGATTTAAACTCCTTTGTGTGAAAGAAGAGAATATTTATGCTGCATTGTACTTCAACTAGAAAAGAAATCACCTGCTGCAATTTTGATAGCCTCAAACAAGAATGGTTACCGTAAGAAAAGAGTTGTGGAAGACATACTTTTATTTTCTTCTGTCAAGAAGAGCAGGAACAATTCAAGATCTTTCCACTCACATATGGCTCTACGAGAGGAAGAACAAGTACATTTTGCAAGGCAAAAATTTTATGTTTTGTTAATATTGATTAACAAAACTATAAAAGATAATTGGTGTCCAAGTCCCTGTAAGGTTAAAATAATATGCAAAATATGTACCACTTATTACAAATTCAGAGTTAATTTTCAAAATCATAGACAAGTACAAGCTGTGGAAAAGCATAAGCATGAAATCAGATTCACCCAGGGCTGCCAAAGAACACTTCTAGGAGCCCATGGTAACAGAATTATCTCCTGGCAAAGAAACTTCTGGCAAGGATATGAAGCTGGTAATGACGAGGGAAGAACTGCTTCTATGCCAGCCCCACTTCTCACTCTATCTGTTAGATAAGTGAATGGGTATTCAGAGCCACAGTGATGGCTATGCTACTCTATGAAAGCTCTCTCCCCCATCCTGACCTGGTCACCTATACCAAGCCATGCCAAGAATCTAGAACTCCCAAAATTTTCTATGTTTTCTTTAGGCTACTGATATCATGGAGATTCTACAATTGTTCACCCGAAATTCTGAGTAGTGTTAATGAAAAAATTATTCAATGACACGTGTTAAAGCATGGTAAGAAAGACTTTACTTAGGACCATTGTGACAGGCATAGGGACCACTGCAACAGGGTCTTGCAGTGGGGTATAAGGCAAATACCCTATTCCAAACTCCAAAAACAGCAGCGATGAGTGAAAATTTACAGCCAAAAAGCAGAGTGCAGGTCAATACATGAGAAACTAGTAAAAAGGAAATATTAGGGGTAAGGAGAATTCTGCTTAAACTGACCAAATACCTCTCAGTAGGAGTTTTGGCCACCCTATCTAAAATAGACTATGCATCAACCTCTTATTTCTATTCTATAGCTGATTTATTTTCTTTGTCAAAGAAAAACCAGAGCTGGATAGTAGTTAACATGGTAAAAAAAATAATAATAATAACAGATTTAATTTATGACAATTGCAGTAGAGAGAAAAGAAACATCAATAAAGAATCAGGCTCAATTCTGAATACAGCATAGGCAAGTGGGAATTCATAGCCAAGGATCAGGGTCAGGGTGGTCAGTGAATAGAAAATCACTGAAGGGAAACATCAGCAGTAAGGAGGGATTCTGGCTAAACCAACCTAATAGGAATCTTGCTCAAGTCAGACCAGGGTGCTGAGACCACCAGAACGAAAGCACCATTGTGCACAGACCCTTTAGCTTTTTTCATCGCTGTATGCCTCACGCTAAGCAGAACTACTGATACATGATGAACACTCAATCAATGTTTTTGAATGAATATTTAATTGAAGAGTGAGACTTAAAGACTATTAAAAAATATTAACTGTATGTTAAAATACAACAATATTAAAAGTATGTTTTTCTACCTCTATTTTGTTAATTTGACATTGCCTCAGTTTTTTTAATTTGACTTAATCCTTTACAATTATAAAAAATAAACTGTGATGGCTAGCGAAAGGAACAGTGCCTTTATTTCATAAGGACTGCAGTAATAATAATTTAATGGGAGATGACAATTTTGAACTACCAAATATTTAAAATCTAACCTAAAGTTTACTTTTCAAATCACAGTGGAATAACTAGCTTTGCTTTCATCCAATAATATTGTAAATGTCTATGCCTAAGAATTTTTACAATTTTCCTTTCCAAACATGCATACAAAAGAATTGGAATTTGAGAACCTCTGCTTACTTTGATTCAAAAAACAGTTCAGAGCAGTGTCTCAAAAAAATTTTAATTTTTTTTTTAAATCTGATACATTCAATCAATTATATTGATACATTCAATTAAGAGTTGTAGAATTCCTAATGAACCACAGGAATTAAAAATTTTTTTAAGTAGAAAATAAGATACTCTTTGGTTTAGAAAGCATTTATTTTCTTTATTCTGTCCTTTGGCAAGTATAATGTTTGAGAGTAGCACTATCTAAATTACTCCATAAAATATTAACCTTAAAATATGTTTGATGCAGTTTAAAGCAATAATTTTTGTCCAGTAGACACAAATATTTACTGACTTCACGTCTGCTGAATTTAGTTATCCACAGACAAACATGGAAGATATTTCTTAATATCCCCCAAATCACGATTATTACTTCATCTTTTAAACATAACTATTCAGAATCAATTTTTTCTAAAAGCCTTAATAAAATTTTGACATATCCATTTTGATGATGAGAACATGTCAATTCATTAAATAAACAGTTTACTTTTGTGGCCCCAGTGTCTAGAGTGATGCCGGAAAAGAGTAGTATTCAAAAAATATTTGTAAAAATAAATAAAATTACATAAATATTTACTATACCAAACAATGATACAATTTAGGGTAATATAAGTAAAGAATTTTAAGGTGTTGCCTACACTTTTGTGTGTGTGTGTGTGTAACCTGCCAGTTCTTTATTCCTAAGGTCTTGAATGTGTTTGTCACTTGTTTTCTTCATAATGTCTTTAAATGCATACGTTTCTCTTTGTCTCACAACCCCTGAACTAACCTGAATACCTCAGTCCTCTTTACTCTTGTACTTACCACAAGTTTCATCTTCTATCCTACTATTTAAAGATATTGAGTTTATCTTTCCCAGACCACATTTTCTTCCTAAGAGTTACCTTCCCAGGAACCTAAAAGGCATCCTATTTCTCATCAGACTAAAATCAAACTCTTAGAGCTAGGAAAGAAAAACCCTACATTTGTCTTCTTTTCTCATTCTCTTAAATAAAATGTTTGTCATTGATAACTTCTGCCACCTCTCTGGGCTTTAGTTCTCCTAGAAAATGTAGAGAAACTAGAAATTGGGGAAATTGAGGAGTGGCATGGTCCTACAAATGTGAAGGTATAGTAACATAAGTCCACGAAGTATGTTGGCAAAATAGTAAACCATCTCACCTGGAGAGGTGAGGATGGAAACAGTGAAATAGAACATTGGAAAGTTGGGAAGACCAGAGAGAAGAGGATTTAGAATACTAGACAGAGAGCTATGTACACTGGTCTATAAACAGTAAGATCTTCAAAGAAGGGGTGTTACTCGTATTCATCACTCCATTCTCAGGAGTGGGGGCTCTTGACTGAAGCATCCAAAAAGAGCACACAAATGGATCATTATACAGGAGGTGGAAGTGTTGGTTAGAGTTGTGAAGTAAACCAAAGTTCTATTCTTCTTCCTAACTAGTGCCTTCTTTCTTCTCAAGGGAATCCTTATTTTTGAAAAGGCAACAGGGCATGGACACAGTTTAGCTGAATAGAAGCCTAGAGAAAAATCAACTCTGCTCTTCCCATACGGGTATACTAAGAGGAGCTCTTAAGATTTGTCTTTTGAGCTGCTAGGCTCACCAGACTAAAAAGGCAGCTAGAGATTAAAGTGTATGCATAGCTTATATCTTGGGAAGGAGAAAGAAAGAAAAGGAAGGGATAAAGGAAAAGAAAAGATGGAAAGAAATAACGAAGAAAAAAAGAAGAATGAAAGAAGGGAGGGAGAGAGGAAGGGAGGGGAGGAAGAGAAAGAGGGAGAGAGGAAAGAAAATTACCAATATCAGGAATGAAAGAGACCACCTCACTACAGATTTTATGGACAGTAAAAGGAAAATAAGGAAATTGCAGGATATGAAGAAGATATTACAAACAACTTTGTGCCAATAAATTTTGCACCTAAATGAAAGGGGAAATTCCTAAATATCACATGAAGAACATTTTTAAAAATTGAGTAGTTTTATATTAAATTTAAAAATTTCAGTTTGTAATTAAAACCTTCCCAAAAGGAAAACATTGGACCCAGATAGCTTCAATGGGGAATTATATTAAACATTTCAGGAAAAAATAGTAACTATCATCCAGAAACTCTTTCAGAGAGTAGAGTATTAGAAAAAACTTCCCAATTTATTTTATTAAGCCAGAATTATCCTGATTCCAAATCCAAACAAAGATAACACAAGAGAACTGCAGACCAATACCACTTGAAAACAGAGACTAAAACTGTAAAAATAAATTAGCAAATCAAATTGAGCATTATGTAAAAAGGATTATATATCATTACCAAAGAGATGTTTGTCCTAGGAATGTAAGATTTATTTAACATCTGAAAATTAATCAATGTAATTAGCCATATTACTTGAACAAAGAGAGAAAACCATAGATAGGCATACCTCAGAAACATTGCAGGTTCAGTTCTAGTCTACCACAATAAAGCTAACATAATAAAATGAGTTACACAGATTTTCTGGTTTTGCACTATGTATAAAAGTTATGTTTACACTCTACAGTAATTTATTAAGTGTGAAATAACATTATGCCTAAAAAACAACATAGATACCTTAATTTAAAAATTCTTTATTGCTAAAACATACTAACGATTATCTGAGTCTTCAGAATCATACTCTTTTTCCTGGTAGAGAATCTTTCTTCAGTGTGATGGTTGCTGAGTGATCAGGACGGTGGTTGCTGAAAGTTGGGGTGGTTGTGGCAATTTCATAAAATAAGACAAGAATGAAGTTTGCTGCATCAATGGACTCCTCTTTTCACAAAAGGTATCTCCGTAGCATGTGATGCTGTTTGATAGCATTTGACTGACAGTAGAACTTCTTTTGAAATTGAAGTCAATCCTCTCAAACTCTGCCATTGCTTTCTTAACTAAGTTTATGTACAAGTTTATATCTGTTATTGTCATTTCAACAATGTTCATAGCATCTTCACCAGAAGTAGATTCCATCTCAATAAACCATTTCCTTTGCTCATCCATAAAAAGCAACTCCACATCCATTGAAATATTATTACAAGATTGAAGTAATTTGGCCACATCTTCAGGCTCTATTTTTAATTCTAGTTCTCTTGCTATTTTCACCACATCTGCAGTCACTTTCTCCACTAATGTCTTAAACCCCTCAAAGTCATCCATGAGTGCTGGAGTCAACTTCTGAACTCCTTATGTTAATGTTGATATTTTGGCCTCCTCCCATGAAACACAAATGTTCTTAATGGGATTTGGAATAGCAAATCCTATCCAGAAGGTTTTCAATTTACTTTGCTCAGATCCATCAGAAGAATCACTATCTGTGGCAACTATAGCCTCATGAAATGTATTTCTTAAATAATAAGACTTGAAAGTCAAAATTACTCCTTGGTCCATGGCTTCAGAATGGATGTTGTATGAGCAGGCATGAAAACAGCATTAATCTCCTTTTACATCACTAGCAGAGCTCCTGGGTGACCAGATGCATTGTTAATGAGCAGTAATATTTTGAAATGAATCCTTTTCTCTGAGCAGTAGGTCTTAACAGTGGGCTGAAAATTTTCAGTAAACCTTGCTGTAAACAGATGTACTGTTATCCAGCTTCATTGTTGCATTTCTAGAATAGAGGCAGAGTAGATGTAGCAAAATTCTTCAGTGCTCTGGGATTTTCAGAATGGTAAATGAGCACTGGCTCTAACTTAAAGTCACCACCTTCATCAGCTCCTGACAGGGGAGTTACCCAGGCTTTTGAAGCTTTGAAGTCAGGCATTGACTTTTCTTCTCTAGCTATGAAAGTCCTAGATGGCATCTTCTTCCAATAGAAATCTGTGTCATCTACACTGAAAATCTGTTGTTTAGTGTAGCTACCTTCATCAATAATCTTAGCCAGATCTTCTGGAAAACTTGCTGCAGCTTCTCCATCAGCATTTGCTGCTTCATCTTGCACTTTTATGTTAGGAAGACAGCTTCTTTCCTTAAACCTCATGAACCAGCCTCTGCTAGCTTCAGACTTTTCTTCTCCAGCTTCCTCACCTCTCTCAGCCTTCATAGAATTGAAGAGGATTAGGGCCTTGCTCCGAATTAGGCTTTGGCTAAAGGGAAAGTTGTGGCTGGTTTGATCAACTATCCAGACCACTAAAACTTTCTCCATATCAGCAATAAGTCTGTTTGGCTTCCTTATAATTCATATGTTCACTAGGATAGCACTTTTAATTTTCATCAATACTTTTCCTTTGTGTTTACAACTTGGCTTACTCTTTGGTGCAAGAGGCCAAGCTTTCAGCCTATCTCGGCTTTCACTGTGCCTTCTTCACTAAACTTCATCATTTCTAGCTTTTGATTTAAAGTGAGAAACATGCAACTCTTTCTTTCACTTGAACATTTAGAGGCCTTAGAGGCCATAGAGGTCATTGAAAGGTTACTAATTGGTCTAATTTCAATATTGTTTCAGGGAACAGGGAGGCTAAGGAGAGGAAGAGAGAGAGAGGGAATAGCTGGCCAGTAGGAGCAATCAGAACACATGTAACATTTAAGTTCTCTGTCTTATTTACATGTGGTTGGTGCCCCACAACAATTGCAATAGTAACAACAAAGATCATTGATCACAGATCACCACAATAAATATAATAATAATGGAAAAGTTTGAAATAGTGCAAGAATTATCAGAATGTGAGAAAGATATTAAGTGAAAACACGCTGTTAGAAAAATGGCACTGGTAGACTTGGTCAACAGAGGGTTCCCACTAACTTTTAATTTATAAAAAGCACAATATCTGTGAAGTGCAGTAAAGCCAAGTGTAATGAAATGAGGTGTTTATAGAATCATTTCAGTAAATTTAGTGAAAGAATTTGACAAAATAGACCAACATTTCATAATAAAAGCTGAGAAATCTAGAGCTTAGCAGGAATATCCTTAACCTGATTAAGTGCAGCTATGAAAAACTACAGCTAACATCAAACTCAATGGTGTTAATCTCAATGCTTTCTAGCATTCTAAATGTTCGGTATAATTCAATTCTCCAAATATTAATTGAGCAGCTATTCTCTAGCAAAAGCTATTATAGAAATAGCTATTTAACAGTAAACAAGAAGACAGTTCTTCCTCTCTAGGAACTTATAGTTTAGTAAGAGAGAGAAATAGGAAATTTCAATAAAGATATGATAACACTGTGAAGTCAGTAAATACATACAGGAAGCTATATATTCAAAGTGGAGGGGCCTCCACTACTGTCTTGCAATCCAGGATTTATTCTGAAAGTGGGTTTCTGTACATTGAGATCTTAAGAATGGGAAGAAGTCATCCTGTGAAATGAGGGTAGATGCAAGAGACAGTATGCACTGTTCATGGGACAGCAAATAGGTACTATATACGAACACAGTCATGGAGTGAAGAGAATCTCAACTGTGTTACAGAACACTTAGAAGAAAGGTTTTGCACAAGGAGCATTAGGCTCAATCCAGTGGGAGATGACATTTGACTTCACATTTTTATAGAGATACTATGACTATTTTGATATAGCAATTTGTTTTTCATGAATTACCTTGTCTGTGTTCTAAGTGATTTTTGTGCTTAACTACTGCATGTAGGTGGAATAACATTTCAAATAGTTAAAATTATATACACTTATCTAAAAAACCGAGAGTAGGCAAATGACAATCTTCAAAATTTAGTGAACTAAATTTTTTAAGTGGTAACATGAAAGTCAACTTGCTCTACAGACCAATACATTTATATCTAGAGCAAAAATATTATCTAAAGCCATCAGCTATAATCCATAGTCATGTGGCTTTAGAACACTTAGAAGTTATAAAGAAGAGATACATTTCAATAACTGTTTATTTAATAAAATGGATAATATATCACAAAGGTATTATATGTCAGGCAGATGAAAAATATGAATAAGAAGCTTTCCCTATGCCTACCACAGAATTGACCTCACCTAGTCCCACAATCATTAGATGTTCTGAAGAACCTTTTATACACAGTATAATTATTGATGTTCTCACAAGAAGCCCAATTATAATAAAGCAAAATACAGAAGTCTCTTGAATTATGACTTCTCAAATTTTGACTAAAATGAAACTAGTTTTTGAGTGTAGGATAGAAGGTAAGGTAAAAGTTTTCTAAGTGTTTCTTCTCCAAGATATACCAACCCAATTCCTTTTACCTATTAAGATGCTATGTACTACACACCACTTTATTACACTGTACTTTGGAAAGAGAATTTTTACGTTACCATTTCCTTCTTTTTTAAGAATTTTTTTGTAGAAAAGTTTCTTGAATAGGAATAGTGTTCCAACTCTTCAGTGAATGTCAACAAGAAAGTCAATGGTTCAGCAATACGGTGGCTAAAAGAGTTTCATAAGACACTCTTCCTCTAAACTTTTTTATTTTAAAATCCATTTAGAAAGAGAAAATATTTCCAAAAGGGGACAGAATGTATAAGGAACTCAAACAACTCAACAACAAAAAATTCCCAAATAATCCCATTTAAAACTGGGCTAGGGCAATGAATAGACTATATTTTTAAAGAAGACAAATGTCCAACAAGCATATGAAAAAATGTTCAACATCACTAATAATCAGATGAATGCAAATTAATATCACAATTAGATACCATCTTACACTAACGAGAATGACTAATATTAAAAAGACAAAAAGTAACATGTTGGAGAGGATGTGGAAAGAAAGGAACTTAAAACACTGTTGGTGAGAATGTAAATTAGTACCACCTTTATGGAAAACAGTATGGAGATTTCTCAAAGAACTAAAGAAGGAATGACCATATGATTCAGCAGTCTCACTACTTGGTATCTACCCAAAGGAAAAGAAAAATCATTATATCAAAAAGATATCTGTACTTGTCTATTTATCACAGAACTATTCACAAAAGCAAAATATGAAATCAACCTAAGTGGCCATCAATGGATAACTGGATAAAGAAAATGTGGTATATATACACAATGAAATACTATTCAGCCACAAAAAAAGAATAAAATCATGTCTTTTGCAGCAACACGGATGGAACTGGAGACCATTATCCTAAGTGAAACAACTCAAACACAAAGACAAATACTAAACGTTCTCCTCATAAGTGGGAGCTAAATTATGTGTACACATTGAAGCAGTGTGTGGAATGGTGGACAATGAAGACTTGAAAGGGTATGAGGGATGAGGAGGGGTGAATGATGGGAGGTTGCTTGGTGGGTACAAAGTGCATTACTCTAGTTATGGATGCACTGAAGACTCTGACTTCATGACAGTGTAGTACATCAATGTAGCAAAATTGCACTTGTACCCATGAATATATACAAATAAAAAAGCTCATTTCCACATAATCAACTCTAGCTCAACTGCTATTAAATTCACAGACCTTCTAAACAAAATCTGATTTGTCATTTCTCACAGTAAAGATTTTCTTTAGGCAAAAAGAAAAACAAAACTTTTTTTAAATAAATACATTTAGAGCCGGAGAAGAACTTCTTTAACATTAAATCCTACCTTTAGTATCCAGACTCATACATAAGCTTTTTAAAAATTTTATTAATTTTTTTTTTTTAAATTTTTTATTTTATTGTTATTATACTTTAAGTTTTAGGGTACATGTGCACAATGTGCAAGTTAGTTACATATGTATACATGTGCCATGCTGGTGTGCTGCACCCATTTAGCATTATTTAGCATTTAGCATTAGGTATATCTCCTAATGCTATCCCTCCCCCCTCAACCCCACAAGATGGATTAAAGACTTAAACCTTAGACCTAAAACCATAAAAACCCTAGAAGAAAACCTAGGCATTACCATTCAGGACACAGGCATGGGCAAGGACTTCATGTCTAAAACACCAAAAGCAACGGCAACAAAAGCCAAAATTGACAAATGGGATCTAATTCAACTAAAGAGCTTCTGCACAGCAAAAGAAACTACCATCAGAGTGAACAGGCAACCTACAAAATGGGAGAAAATTTTCGCAACCCACTCATCTGACAAAGGGCTAATATCCAGAATCTACAATGAACTCAAACACATTTACAAGAAAAAAACAAACAACCCCATCAAAAAGTGGGTGAAGGACATGAACAGGCACTTTTTTTCTTTTTTTATACTTTTAAGTTCAGGGGTACATGTGCAGGTTTGTTACATAGGTAAACGTGTGTCATGGCAGTTTGTTGTGTACATCATTTCATCACCCAGGTATTAAGCCTAGTATCATTAGTTATTTTTCCTGATCCTCACCCTCCTCCTACCTTCCACCCTCTGATAGGCCCCAGTGTGTGTTAATTCCCTCTATGTGTCCATGTGTTCTCATAATTTAGCCCCACATATAAGTGAGAACATCAGGTATTTGGTTTTCTGTTCCTGCATTAGTTTGCTAAGATAATGGCCTTCAGCTCCATCCACGTTCCTTCAAAGAACATGATCTCATTCTTTTTCATGGGTGTATAATATTCCATGGTATATATGTGCCACCTTTTCTTTATCCTGTCTATCACGATGGGCATTTAGGTTGATTCTATGTCTTTGCTATTGCGAAAAGTGCTACAGTGAACATACATGTGCATGTATCTCTATAGTAGAATGATTTATATTCCTTTGGGTATATACCCAGTAATGGGGTTGCTGTGTCAAATCGTATTTCTGCCTTTAAGTCTTTGAGGTATCACCACGCTGTCTTCCACAATGGTTGAATTAATTTACAATCCCACCAACAGTATATAAGCGTTCTTTAAATTCAATATAAACATTTTTTGGTGTGTATATATTATGAACCTACTTTGTGTAAAGTGATGGGTAACCATGAAGAGTAAATATTTACTTGGGTCTAGGTATTTTACTATGATGAAAGTTTTACTCTTTCGCTTCAGCTAAGAAAGGCTCTTTCAGAGTGAGAAAAAAAGTATTTGTAAACATGTTTATCAAATGAAAGGACCCAACAGGAATGCCTCAGGCGTCATGTGCAGCAGCAAAGTAGGCTATTCAGCAGTGGAGAAGTCATTTACTCAAGGAGGCCAAAAGCTGCCCTAGAAGTAGAGGATGCACTTTGGGGTCCAACAAAATGCACCAAAATTGAACATGGACTCCATTCATAATTAGCATGTGATCTTGATCAAGCCACTTAACTCCTCTGAACCCTGGTATTTTTTAACATATAAAATGCACATTCCTAATTTTTAAGGATTTGTGAGAATTAAACGAGATTATTATAAAGCACATAGTAGGTGCTTATTAGGTCAGTCCTCTTGATGATATATACAAGTTCTATCAGGTTACTGCTTTTCCTCAATAATACAGAAAAAAGATAGAATATGAGGACAATTATATATACATAAACCCTAATAAAACTCCCTGGCTTACTCTTTCCAAAAAGATTAAGGAGAAGACGATGACCAAGAACACTCAACTGCCCAAGCTGATGCTGTAAAGCTCTACTTACACAAAGACAACATAGAATTCCAACAGAAAAATAGAATTTATGTAGAAAACTGGGCTAAGACATACAGAAATTAAAACTCCTCACAAAAGAGAAGATAAACACTGCCACAGTCTCTCTCTAAATGGGAAATGGATCATGTCTGAGAGAAAAGAGTCAGTGTGGCTTGACATCATTCTGGGGTATCCCTTGTCACAGCACTTTTAGAGGTAGCTCTCTGTGTTTCTCTTTAGATAGCTTTTTCTCTCATCTCAAGGACTTGTCTATACCTTCTTGAAAAAGTAAAGTAAAAGCTTAGACACTTTCAGGAGCCAAGTAAGAAGTTAGAGCCTTCCACTACTTCAACAAGCATGGCAACAATGGACTTCAGGAATGGGATGTCTTCCACATCAGCACTGTCAAGATGAGACCTCAGGAAAAAAGACCAAGATGAGTGCCATCTGGGACAGCAGCAACAGGTGCAGACTAAGGCCATCAGGTGATACAGTGTTGATAGCCCCACTAATGGAGGCAAGACAGGTTAAGAAAAGTGAAGAAATTGAGGGTCTCCCCATTCCTCTGCCCAAACTCTTCAAATCAGACATTGTGTTTTATATACAGTATCTCACTGAGGGGAATAAATTTGCAAACTGAGAAGTGATTTATATTCCAAGCAGCTCCAAAGGGCTGGAATCCACAGCCAGACTATATGCTTTACCATTCTCATTATTACTTTAATAGTTTGTTATTACCAATATATTCTGGGAGAGCTAGGGTTATAGTTTTTGTGACTGAAATTATCTCTTAGGAAACAAGCACGGGCTATTCATTCTTTCTTCCAACATTAAGGACCACAAAACACTTCTCAAACATACCAGATTTTTTTGTCAACTCTCTTGCCTTTAATGAAGTTAATATACAACTTCATTTTATTTCACTCATTAAAACTGTTTTATCAGTTTCCTTAGGCCATATACTCAGCAAAAAGTAGTAGAATGGAAATGGAGCCCTTTCAAAATCCTTAACTGCTTGTTTACCAAAATGTTATACAATGAATTTCTGTTCACTGGTTTCTGAGATAACATAGTTTTTAACATTGTTTTTAAGATAACACAGAAAAAGTTTTGAGGAGGTAGGATGTTGATAAAAAATTAAAACTAGGTGCACTTAAGGCTATATGAGAAAAGAACAAATGTTTAAATTTTTTCTCCAAAAGAACATATTAAAAGCTAAATTTTATACATGAGCACAAAAAGAAATACTATATTAATTTTAAAAGGGTTATTTTTATATTGTGACCAATTTTCATTTAAAGGTGAAATATCACAACAATAAATATGTATGTTCTGTATCCACAGGTTGGTTAACTATTAATTAGAATTAATTATATTTTTAAAATTAAGGCTGGATGGGGTGGTTCACACCTGTAATCCCAGCACTTTGGGAGGCCAAGATGGGTGGATCACTTGAGGTCAGGAATTCAACACCAGCCTATTCAATATGACAAAACCCCGTCTCTACCAAAAATACAAAAATTAGCCAGGTGTGGTGGTACATGCCTGTAATCCTAGCTACTTGGGAGACTGAGGCAGGAGAATCACTTGAACCCAGGAGGCACAGGTTTCAGTGAGCTGAGATCCCCACTGCACTCAAACCTGGGCAACAAAGCGAGACTCTGTCTCAAATAAATAAATTAATTAAATAAAAGTAGTGTTACCCATCTTAGCATGTTATTTCATAATGCACACATTATTTTGATTAATAGACAGTACACTGCTTTGCTGATTAGGACATTTACTGAGTGTCAAAATTAATTCTGATTTAATAAAATTAATGTGGAATGTTGCAGGATAGCAAAAGTAGAATCAAAGCTTATCAGAATTAAATAACACTATTTTTCTAGTTTTCTAATTTTCAGTGATCCATTTATTTGAAAAGGAGCTTGGGCAAGTTTACCCTGAAAATGAAGATACAGAACTGGAATATAGTAACATAAAAATGAAAGAATAAAAGACCAATAATAAAAGTGACTAGGAAGCAACAATTATATAAGAAGGTTTCAATTTTTTACATGGCTAAGGTTTTCATAAAAAAAAAAAAAAACTCTGAGCTTCCTGGCAGCCAAAGTAAACAGGGAAATGTTATGCATTATACATGACACATTTTGCCTCATGAAAGAAGATACAACAATAAATCAAAAGAAAGATGTTTATTCTAATATTTAAATTCTGTTAAGAGTTTGTCATATGGGCTATGACATCAAAAAACAAAAGGAACAGCATAATAATTCGTAAGTCAAAGGCATTCATGGATTTCCATCACTTCAAAAGAACATCAATAAGAAGCCAATATATCCTATATTGAGAACCTATAGCAGTAAGTGTACTGCGGGGTAATGCAAAATAATTCATATATGTAGCCTTCCAATTATCTGACTCATGTTGAGGGTAAAAGAGAAAAATGTAGTCTGGTTAGCATGTCTTGGATTATAACTTTCATTAAGTCAACTAGTATTTATTGATTATAATAGCTGCCATTAATTGACTATTTACTGGGAACAAGTGACTATGACAGCTGCTTTAAACACTTGACAATTTAATTATAACAGTCCATTTCAATCAAGGCAAATGAAGAAATTGAGGCTCAGAAAGGTCAAGGAAAGTTCCTTGAGTCACGTAGTGAATGGTGAAATTGAGATGTGAATCTGGTGTGCTTGGCTTCAAAGACAATGTTGTCAACTTCTCTGCTGTCCTGCCTCCACATATGGTAAGTGCCATGTTCTAGAAAACACAGCGTGTAGGGTTGAAGGTTAACTGGCATTTGTTTGAAACTGCACACAAATTTTCACATATTTAATTTCATGCCACAAAACAAATCCTAGACATAGAGAGCATTATCACAGTGATCTCCATTTTGCGAATAAGAAAACTGAATCCAAAGATGCATAAGATTGCATAGTTACGGTAAACGACACACGAACTCACTCAAAGTTTGAAAGCCCAGAGCCCTTTCATGCTTTTGACAGAAGCTGTATGATATAGCTCACAACCCAATCACAAAAACATCATTCAAGTGATGCACGTCTCTTTTGTGGAGGACTGGGGGATCTTCATTCTCTAGATTCCAGGTGTGTAGGAAGAAAAGGTGGGATTTTATTGCAGGAGCCATGGAGCCTGACTCACATTCTTGCCGTGACAAAGGACAGCTGCATGTCAACATGGAGTAGAGCTGAAAGAGTAACTGCAGGCAGAGATGAAACTCATCTCAAAAAGAAGCAGCTCAAACCAGTATACACCAACGTGAAAACGATCCATTGCTAAACTTTTTTTGTTTCTTTGATGAGTGTTTCTTTTAAGTAGAATTTTGAAAATAAACAGGTAACTCTAAAGATGTATTTCTTTGTGTCTCGATACTTGCTATAATCCCCAAAACACCAATGGAATTTTATAAATTTTCAACCATCTTGTTCAATACATTTATGATAAAACATCCATTAGGTATTTCTGAGTCAAATACTGAGCTGGTTATTCCTGCTATGCAGAAAAAAAAAAATAGTGCTCTATCATTCTCTTGGATTGGCAGTGAATTCCTGGAGCACTGCATTGAGGACAATGTCCAGCCTCAGTAGGACAAGGTGCTTTAATAGATGAACAGTATCTTACCTGGGCTGAGAATGGGGAAACTACATATGCAAGCCACATATATACCACTCTTATTTCAGGGGCACCTTCATACCTACTGTATTTCCTCATGTCATTTATCCCTGCAAATACCTTTTAGTTCAGACCAGGTTTTAATTGGAAAAATCACAACACAAAAGTCAAACATAGTACCTGGACTGATCATGTCTGGATATCACTGCCAATACATTTGTCCTGCTGCCTCCAAAATTTTGTGCAATTTCTTGGCTAGCACAAACTCTTTTCTTAGTGTGTAAAAGTTGACATTTTTCTATATAACTTTTCATGCCCCAGATCCCATATTTGGAGGCTAATAGAGTGAACACTTCACATCTCTCATCATGCAAGAAATGAAGGGGTTATAAATCTAGCTTATGACTTTAAAAAGGTTACTAGACCCCTTAATCTGGCCTTGGGTGACTTGACTATAACAACATTCTCTTCTCAAAACTAAAATTATAATGGCACAATGTCTGAAAAATGACTCCTGTCCTGTTGTATTATTTTTATATACCATCTTGCTTCAAAACACAATAGATATGATTGATGATATTCCCTTATTAATCCTGTTTAGTTAGAAGTGAGGAAAAAGGATAAAAGCCTTACATATCTCAAATGCAAATATATGTGAATATTAATCCTACAAATGGATAATCCTTTTAGATCATGTTTATAGAGCAGTCTATATAGAAAGTGTTAGGATTTTCTTAGACAAACTCAAATCAGGAAAAGTGAACTTTACTTCTATAAAAATCAGCAATTGTAGGCATCTTAAGGATGCATAAAAGCAATATGCCTGTCATTACATTTACTCCCACTCAAAAGTTCACCCAAAAGATAGTTATGTTGACAGCTTACCACGTTGGCAATCATAACAATTCTTGGATAAATTTGGGCATTACAAGTTATGTTGAAATGTGAAAGCTCTAATTTAACCCCTAATTAACAGAATCATTGATTTCAAACTCACAGATATAATTTTACCCTCTTCTTCATAAAAAGGAAAAATAGGGAAGAAAGGCAGGCAGGCAAGAAGGAAGGGAGGAAGGAAGACAGGCAGGAAGGAAGACAGCCAGACTTAGGACACATGACTGATTTTGATCTAGTCCTAAAGGATAAAAATGCGTTAATGTGCAGATTGTGACAACACTAAAGACTGTAAAAAAAAAATTAAAAGATAAATATATATAGCATTTCAGTCTTTATCATATTCTGCCTCTAGTATTTGTTGAGCACATAATAAAGTATAAATCATACATAATAGAAATAGTAATTATTGTACTATATAAATACATATCTTGCATTACAATTTCTTGCTTTTACTTATTTTATTATCAAAGGTCCTGGTAAAAGACTTTACCTGCAGAAGTCATTTGATTCTTTATGTACATAGGAAGAAAGGACTAAGTATGAATTCTGTCCTGTTGTCAATGATAAGCTGTTGAAAATTATTCTATCATATCTGTTTCATATGGAGAACAAAACTTCCTAAAATATCATAGTACCAATTACTTTCCTCTCTCAAATACAAGGGACTTTTTCTATTAAACATTCAGCACCATTATGGTGAAGAACAGTAATCACAAAAACAAACAAATGGACAAAAAAGCTTTACCATCTTGATCAACAGTGTTTTCAGGTATGACTGCTAAAGCAAAGAAGAGTTTCTTTATGACAAAAACAACAATTTTCTACCAAAGAGAATCCAATATCATATTCTCTCCCAATTACAAAAATATGCTACTAACTCATATATGGTCAAATAACACTCATTTTATTTAACTCCTAAAACACAACGGTATTAAGTGCCAGAAACTGTACATGGTGATTAAAACCTACAGTTGGAAGCAATCGCATCATATATAAAGAACATATTTAAAGTTCAGAGAGCCCAGCCTGTTAGAGATAGCCACCTCCTTGAAAGGCTTTCTGAAAAATGGTCAGTTAACAGAACCAGAAATACAGTCGGCCTACTGTATCTCTGGGTTCCACCTCTGTGGATTCAACCAACTGTGGATGGAAAATATTTGGGAAAAATTTCCACAGGGTTCCAAATAATAAAATTTTAATTTTCCACCTGTGGAGTACTACACTTAATCCATGCAAATGAAGTGATGTGTAGGCATTGTATTGGATATTATAAGTAACTAGAGATGATTTAAAGTATACAGGAGAATGGGTGTAGGTTATATGCAAATACTATGACACTTTATATAACGGACTTGAGCATCTTCTGAGGTTCTGAAACCAATCCCCCACGATAATGAGGGATGACTGTACTGCCACACATGTGCATGTACATACACAAACACACTCCCACCTACTAAAAAGATGATTGATAGGAAGAAGAAGGAGGCTATGCTTTAGGGAGGCTGCATTCATGGAAGGGATATTTCCTCTCTTCCCTCCCTGCTGGAGTCAAAACGGGTACTTTGTAGCCACTTGCAGAAACCTTTACCTCCTCTGTCCTCTCTCCAGGTTCCAAGGATCTGGTGCTGGGAAGGAAGGTGGGACAAAAATAGAGAAGACTGCTCCTTCCATTCTTGCACTTCGAGTTTGCAGAGGGATGTGAAGAGTTTTACACCGGATATAAGGGTCATACTTTAAAATAAACTGGATGAAGTTTTAAAGAAACAAAAAGAATCAAACTAATAAACAAAAGCAATCGAAAAGTTTTGAAACAAGACTGGTTTTTTTAAAGGGGGGCACTACTTTGTGTGAAAAGGAAGAGTGTAATAACATAACTAGGGACAATTGTAAAAAAGCAGTTTTATGTTTAGGCCTCAAGAAACCACTTACATATCCATTATTGTTAAAATACAATAGCATTTATCATAGTCTTCAACAAGTGAACCTCCCTGTCATGGAACCTGTGCTTGAATACCTCCATTCATATAGAGCTCACTAGCATACTGATGAAGTCTAATCCATTTTTTTGAATAGCTCTAACATTTGACTATGAAGTCTGAAGTGAAAAAATCTCCCAAATGCTGAAAATATTTCATTCTAACTACAGAAAAAGGAAAGAATTTCCATTAACTCAAAATGGTAATGACTGATTTGATCATCATAGAGAAACATGAAGGAATTTATAGGTTGGAAGTTTCTGTTCTTGTGGAGGAAGGACCTGATTTAAAGCACAGTACAAAAATCCCAGATTGTGGAAATAGCTAGTGACTGAGGGTGTCCTGGAATGCAAGAAAAATGAATATGTGGGGGAAGGTACAGAAAAGCACCAACATTGCCTTATAGTCCAATCTCGTCTCTTTTCTTTTAGATTTTGTCCCTGCAGAGCAGATGGCACATGGCCCCAGTGCTCTATTAAGTTACAGTAAATCAGAATGAGAAAGTCCCATACTAATCTGATAAGAGGCATCTACTAGTTGGATAAGAGCATTGACTTTAGAATCAGGTGAACTTGGGTTTGAATCAGCTCAATCCCTTGGCAGCTGAGTGACCAATGTAATTATCTCAGCTACAGAACTGGAGATATACGATACCTTTACATTCTGAGATCCCCTGATTCTAACATATAGTCTCTGTCTTTTCCTTCCCTTCACTACCTATTCACAAGAAAGTGAAATTTACACATTGTCACTATTTTCTTATTAACAGTCTGTATATTTTTAATTCCATGGTAAATTTAGAGTCTGACAAAATTGATTAAGCGCAATAATAAAATAAAATCACTCTATTAATAAATGTAGGAAGTAAAAAGTAGAGATTTAAAAAACCTGAGACTTTATAAGATTTATATAACTTTTAGGTTATCACCTAGTTTTTAAACTGCTATAAGACAAACAATCTATCAGTATTGAGAAAAATTTATAGTTCCAAAAACCTTTAACTTAATTTTTAAAGTCTAGTTAAAGTATAAGAAAAAATATGATTATGGAGTTTTTCAGTTATCATTTTTCATTTGTCAAAAAAAGAAAGCCCACATTTCATCAAAATATTTTACCAAATTCAAAATGTTAGAGACTTCTGACCATGAAGGAGTAAAAGGATCACAAACAGTCTCCACAAAAAAAAAATGAAAATAGCTATACAACTGGATCACATTGTCAGGACAATAATTCCAGGATCTAGAAATCAACCACGGGCAAACAGCAAATTGAGAAGCATGTATTCACCAGAAACTATGGAATGTCAGTTAACAGTAGGAGTCTGCGGAATTCCAGCCTGAAGCTATTATCCCCATCCACTGCCCTACTGGGTCAACATGGATATTTTACAATAGTGGCACTGGTCTTGAAACCAGCAGCTTCATTGCTGGAGGTAGCTGACTTGATTTGGAACAGAGTATGGAGTTCAGAAAGCATGTGAGTTAGAGAAAGCAAACAGCAACATGACAGATTCCAACCATGTCAATTAGCTGTAACTAGACTTAAACACTACAATCAAAAGGCAGATTATCAGACTGCACGCAAAGACCAGATCCAACCAAATGCTGTCTATAAGAGATACACTTTAGATACAGACATAAACAGGTGAAAATAAAAGGATGGAAAAAGCTATACTGTATAACCATCAGGGAGCTGATGTGGCTGTATTAATATCATACAAAAATACTTTGAAACAATAAATGTAACTACAGACAAAGAGGATCATTCATAATGGTCAGAGGGCCAATACATCAGGACAATATAGCAATCATAGCTGTATACTTACACACAGAGACAGAAAATACCCAAAGCTAAAACTGACAGAATTTAAAGGCAAAATAGGCAATTAAACAATTATAGTTGTATATTTTAATACTGTATTCTCAATATTTGATAGAAAAACTAGACAGAAAAAATAAAGGGGTATAGAAGACTTGAACAACACAATCAACTAGACCTGACATTCAGAGAGCACTCCACCCAACAAAGCGAAATACACATTATTTTCAAATGCACACACAATATATGCTAAACCAAAGAATACATCTCAATAAATTTAAAATTATTGAAATCATTCAGGTATTGTCCACAACCACAACAATAATCAATTAGAAACTGACAACATAAAGAAATTTAGGGACTCCACAAATACATAAAAAACAAACAACATACTCTAAATAATTCACAGATAAATGGAGTTATAATGGAAATTAGAATACATTTTGAACTTAATAAAAACACAACTCATCAATGTATGAGATATACCTAAAGCAGTGTTTTAAAGAAAATATAGCTGTCAATGTAAATACTAAAAAAATTTTTCAAATAAATAATCCAAACTTCTACTTTAAGAGCCTAGGAAAGAAAAGCCTAAGCAAGCAAAAGGAAGGAAAAACTAAAGATCCAGAAATCAATTACATAGATAACATAAAACAATAGAGAAAATCAATGAAACCAAAAGTTAGCTTATTGAAAAGATCAACAAAACTATTTTACCTGTAGCTATGTTAACCAAGAAAAGACACAATTGTTACACTCAAGAATGAAAGAGTAGACATCACTATGAATTCTTCAGAAATTAAAAGAACTATAAGAGAATATTTTGAACAACTCTATGCCAAAAAATTGGACAACTTAGATGAAATGGACAAATTCATTAAAAGATCTAAATCACTACAAAAGACTCATAAACAAAAATCTGAATAGAACAATAAGTAAATAATTGAATTAGCAATTAAATTCTTCCCACAGAGGAAAATTCAGGCCCAGGTGTCTTCCCTAGTGAACTCTATAAATGTTTTTGAAAGGAAATAATACTAATCCTACACAACCTTTTTCATCAACTAGAGGTGGAGGAACACTTCCCAACTCTTTGCATAAATTCAAACCCAAAGATACCACAAGAAAAGAAAACTATAGAACAATACTTTTCATAAACATATACCAAAAAATCATTACTAAAATAGTAACAAACATTATATAAAAATCAACTCAAGATGGATTACAGACATAAATGTAAAACCCAAAACTATAAAAACTCTGGAAGATAATCTAGGCAATACCATCCTGGATACAGGAACAGGCGAAGACTTCATGATAAAGATACCAAAAGCAATCGCAACAAAACAAAAATTGACAAGTGGGATCTAATTAAATTGAAAAGCTTCTTCACAGCCAAAGGAACTATTGACAGAGTAAACAGACAACCTAGAAAATGGAAGAAAATATTTGCAAACTATGCATCTGACAAAGGACTAACATCCAGCTTCTATAAGGAACTTAAACTAATTTGCAGGAGAAAAACAAACAACCCCATTAAAAAGTGGGCAAAAGACATGAACAAATACTTTTCAAAAGAAGACATACATGCAGCCAACAAGCATGTGAAAAAAAAAGCTCAAAATCACTGATTATTACAGAATGCAAATAAAAACCGCAATGAGACACCATCTCACACCAGTCAGAATGGATACTATTAAAACATCAAAAAATAACAGATGCTGGCGAG
This sequence comes from Homo sapiens, assembly GCF_000001405.40. Taxonomy (NCBI): domain Eukaryota; kingdom Metazoa; phylum Chordata; class Mammalia; order Primates; family Hominidae; genus Homo; species Homo sapiens. The sequence continues at coordinate 182,484,880 of NC_000002.12, forward strand.
GTTGTGGAGAAAAGAGAACGTTTATACACTGTTTGTGGGAATGTAAATTAGTTCAACCAATGTGAAAGACAGTGTGGCGATCCCTCCAAGAACTAAAAGCAGGCTTACCATTCAACCCAGCAATTCCATTACTAGGTATAAACCCAGAGGAATATAAATCATTCTACTATAAAGACACTGGCAAGCAAATGTTCACTGTAGCACTATTCATAATAGCAAAGATATGGAATTAACCTAAATGCCTATCAGTAACAGATTGGATAAAGAAAATGTGGTACATATACACCATGGCATACTATGCAGCCATAAAAAGAATGAGATCATGTCTTTTGCAGGAACACGGATGCAGCTGGAGACCATTAGCCTTGGCAAACTAACACAGGAACAGAAAACCAAATATCACGTGTTCTCACTTACAAGTGGGAGCTAAAAGATAAGAACTCATGAACACAAAGAAGGAAACAACAGACACTGGGGTCTACCTGAGGGCAATGGGTGGGAGGAGAGGGAGGAGCAGAAAAGATACCTATTGCGTACTGGGCTTAATACCTGGGTGATGAAATAATCTGTACAACAAACCCCCGTGACACAAGTTTACCTATGTAACTTTCACACGTACCCCCAAACCTAAAATAAAAGTTTTTTTAAAAAGCTATAGTATCAAATATAAATTAAAGCAGTAAAATATACCACTTTTTGTGAAAGATGCAGAAAACAAAACGGTAGCAAACCAAATCTAACAACATATAAAAGAATGATACAACACATCCAAGTGAGATTTATCCCAGGAATGCGAGACAAGTTTAAAATATAAAAATTAATTAATACAATACATCACATTAATAGAATAAAGGACAGAAAAGCATATCATTGTCCTAATAGATGCAGAAAAACTATTTGACAAAATCTAATACATATTCATGATTTTAAAAAATTCAACAAACAAAGCATAGAAAGAAACTTCATCAACAAGGGCATCTAAGAGAAGCATTGAACAACCCCCACTTAAGACAGAACTAAGGCAAGGGCATCTGCCTGCTTCACTACTATTTATTATCAAACTGGAAGGTCTACCCACTACACTTAGACAAATCAGAGCAATTACAGGCATACAAATTAGAAAGGAAGAAGTAAAACTCTATTCACAGACTACAGATTCTTTAGGTAGAAAAACCTAAAGAATCTATAAAAGGAAGACAGACTAGATACTATTAAATGAATATAGCAAGTTTGCACAATTCATGATCAATATAAAAAAAATTCAAATGTATTTCTATATAATAGCAACTAAAAATTCAAAAATGAAAATAAGAAATTCTATTCAAAAATCATCAAAAAGTGTAAAATTCTTAGCAATGGGTTAATAAAAGAAGTGTAAAATTTGTACACTGACAATAATAAAATATTACTGAGAGAAATTAAAGAATATAAAAGTAGATGGACATTATATGTTTATGATGAAGACTTAATATTGGTTAACAAGAAAATTCCCAAGAATTGATCTACAGAAACAATAATATTTCTATCAAAACCCCACCAGGCTTTTTTTGTAGAAGTTGGAAATATGCTTCTAAACTTGAGAGGGAATTATAAAGGATCTAGAATAGCCAGAACAATTTTTTAAAAGAACAAAGTTGGAGGATTTACACTTTGAAGTTACAAACTTACTATAAAGCTACAGTAATCAAGACAGTTGGTACTAGCATAAATTGACATATAGACAAACAGAACAGAATTGAAAGACCAGAAATAAATCCTTAGATTTTTGATCAATTCATTTTTAACAAAGCTACCATTGGGAAATGGATGATCTTTTCAACAAATGTTTCCAGGTCAATTAGATATCCATATGCAAAAATATGACTTTCGGCCCTTACCTCAAACCATACACAAAGATTAACTCAAATAGGATTATAGACCTAGATGTAAGAGCTAATATTACAAAGACTTCTAGTAGAAAACAGGAGAGAATTTTTGTGACCTTAGATTAGGCAAAGATTAAGACACTAAAAGCATAATCCATAAGGGAAAATGATAAATTTGACTTCATTAAAATTAAAAACCTTTATTCTTCAAAAGATGCCATTAAGAAAATGAAGGACAAGTAATAAACTGAGAAAAAATATTTGTAAATCATCTATTGGACAAAGCACTTGTGACCAGAATTGATAAAGGACTCTTAAAACTCAAAATATGGATTTAATTCATCTTAAAAATTGGCAAAAGAATTGAATAGATATTCTATCAAAGAGGCTATACAAAGGACAAATAAGCACATGAAAAGATGTTCACCATCATCGGTCATTAGAGAAATGTAATTTAAAACTACAATGAGATACAATTCCACACCTGCTAGAAGGATTCTCATTTTTTAAAACTGCCGTACCAGGTGCCAGCGAGAAAGTGAAGAAGGTGGAACTCTCATACACTGCTGGGGAGACTATAAAGTTGTATGGCCGCTCTGGAAGATTAGCAGCTTACGAATGGATTAAACCAACACTTACTTTTGGATCTAACAATTCCATTCTTAGGAATCTACTCAAAGGAGTTAAAAACATATATTTATACAATCTTGTCAACTGATGTTCACAGCAGCATTATTTGTAATAAACAAAACCTGTCAATCCACTGGTTATTTAATAATCAAAATATGACATCTATAAAATTGAAAACTATTCAGATATAAAAAGGAATTTCAAAGGAATGAAGTTCTGATATCCACTACAAAAACACTGAGAACTGCATATTGCCTGATAGATCATTTACCTGTGGTTGGGGTGTGGGGATGGGTAGGAGTGGGCCATGACTGCACATTGACACAAGGGAACTTTTAAGGATTGCATAACTCTAAAAATTTTTTGAAAATCACTGAATCATATATTTAAAAGGATAAATTTTATGATATGTAAATTATGCCTTAACAAATCTGTTTAAAACTGTCATTATTAAACCAAAAACTTTTACTTGGAGCTGACTTCCTAAGAAAGTTTGTAATGAAAGATATCCTGTAGCAGAAAGACTCATGCATAATATGTTCAAAAGGGGTTCATTAATGTCAGAAAAAATATCAAATAATTATTCAATGCATGTGTCAAGATCTGAATATACCACTGTTTATAGTTTTCTTTTATAATAAGTAAATCTTATCAGAGTGGTTTACAATATTGAACAAAAAAGTATAAGTTGAATAGAACACTCATAATTTTGGATTTACATAATGTGTGTAGTTTCACAGTTTTTACTAACATTTTTTTCTGAAAAGTTCTCAAAACCAGTTCCATCACACTGATATGTTTTAATAAATCAGAAAGTTATAACTAGGGTACAATTCACAATTTGTAATCTGTCAATATTAAAATGTGATTAACCAGTTTGGTTCAATTAAAATGACTATAGCACTTGAAAATGTTTCTCTTTTTCCCTATGTCAAAATTTAATTTACCAAGGGCTACAGTGGATTCTTCACAACTGCGACCTTCTGAATACACTGACTCAAGATAAAAGCAAATAAGTGATTACAAATAAGCTAGATAATGATATCTAGGAGGCAATATATGAAAAAGCAAATCATATAATAAAAGTTCAGATATCCACTTTATTTGGCAAATTAGATATTTCAAAGTGTTTTGTTATGCCTTATTTCCATTTAGATATTGTACTGTAGTGTTGATTCACATGTTAACACTATACTATTACTAAAACAATGATAAATACCTGTCTATCTACTGAAGCCTTCTGCAAAATTAACAGTTTTTGAAAATTGTAAATACATGAAATGTGAAGATGAAGGAAGAATATATAAGGAATCAAAAATATTCTATTGTAATTTGCCCACCAAATTATCAAAAATTAAAACTAATATCCAATGCCTATAAGTGTGTGATGAAACTTGCCCTTACAGAAATTATGTAAAACACAGTCTGATAATATGACTCAACAATTTGAATGTATAGATGCTATTTGTCCAGTCAACGAAAAACAGTGGATGTCAACCAGGTGTTGCAGGAATGATTCAGGCCCTGGAAAGAGAGCATGTTCAAAAGCAAAGTAAAAGTGCCTGCTTTTATGAAGTTTGCTTTCTAATGGGCATGGGCAATTAAGCAAATAAATAGTATGTCAGAAGGTGAAAAGTTTATAAATAAAACTAAGATAGAATAAAAATGTACAGACTGATATTGGGGGAGCTATTTTATAAAAAGTGGTCAAAGAGAGCTTTTCTGAGAGACGACATTTGAGTTGAGCCCTAAAGGAGGTGAGAGGGTGCACTATGAATGTATCTCAGACAAGAGTGTACCAGGAAGAGCAAAGGGCAGATTCACAAGCCCTAGGGCCTGAGCATGCCTCAAGTTTAGAAGGAGAAGCAAGAAAGCCAGTGTGGATGGAGCCAGTGTGTGAGAAAAGAAAAGGACATGAAGTTAAAAAGATGGAAGAGAAGGGCCGAATTACAAAGAATAAGGATGTTTGATTTTACTCTGAGATAAAGGGCCAATGAAAGCTCTCAAACAGAGAAGTGACATGATCTAGCTTCCTCTGTAAAAGGATCACTGACACTGCGTGAAAAAGAGCAGAGGTGGAAGAGTGGATTAGGGAGACCGTAGCAGGCCATGGCAGGTGGGAGTATTCCAGATGTGAGAGATGACAGCAGCTCGGACCAGGGAGGTTGCACTGGATGTGGTAAGAAGTGATTGGATTCTAGATATATTTTGAAGGTAGATTCCACAAGATTTCCTGATGAATTGGATGTGGCTGTGAGTGAAAGTCTCTCAAGCTTTTAGAAGCTTCTGGTACAAGAAAATGACAGAATGGAGTTGTCATTGACCTAGAGGAGGAAATCTACAGGAAGAGACAGTTTTCCAGAAGGACAAAAGGGGAAAATTGAATTTGGTTTTGGAAATGTTCAGTCTGAGCAACAAGAGGTGTTGGATAAACTGTAGTTAAGTCTGGAGAGGTCCAGGCTGCAGATATAAATGTGGCACTAATCGGTAGAGCATGATAGATTGATGGAATATAGCACCATGATGCTGGATGTTATCACACGGGGCAGTAGCACAGATAAAGACAATTAATCTGAGAATTCAGCACTGGGACATTCCAAAATTCCAATGTGTAAAAATAAGGAGAAATCATCAAAGAAAACTGAGAAGGAGTAGCCAATGAAATAGATGGAGAACCAATAAAGTGTTATTCTGGAAGCAGTAAAGAAAGTGTTCCAAAAAGAAACTTTAAGCTAAATGTTGCTAATGGGCCAAGAGAGATAAAGATGGAGAAGCGAACATTTGACTTGGCAATATGGAGGCCATCAATGACTTTTAACAACAGCAGTTTCAGTGTAGAAAGGGAGATATAAAAAAATTATTAGAGTGGATTCAACATCAGATGGAAGCAGAGCAAGTGAAAACCATGAGTAGTCAACCTTTAAGGAGTTTTACTGTAAAGGAGAACTTTGACTTACAGGAGGATGACATAGGTTAAAAGATTTTAATTTTTATTTATTTATTTATTTACTTTTTGAGACGGAGTCTCGCTCTTTCGCCCAGGCTGGAGTGCAATGGCTGGACCTCGGCTCACTGCAAACTGCCTCCTGGGTTCACGCCATTCTCCTGCCTCAGCCTCCCGAATAGCTGAGATTGCAAGCGCCCACCACCACGCCCAGCTAATTTTGTTTTTGTATTTTTAGTGAAGACGGAGTTTCACTGTGTTAGCCAGGATGGTCTCGATCTCCTGAACTCATGATCCACCCACCTGGGCCTCCCAAAGTGCTGGGATTACAGGCGTGAGCCACCACGCCCAGCCAAGATTTTTATTTTTTTAACCTGAAAATATTATGGTACACTTATAGGCTGATCAGAATTATACACTAGAGAGGGAAAATAATGCAAGCTAAAGCAGGCACAATTTTAAGAGTGATGTCCTTGAATGACAATATACTTTAGTATACAAGTAGGGGATGGTCTTAGACAGGCGCACTGACAGTTCATTGACTATAGCAGAAAATAATGCAAAGTGTAGGAAGAGATATGTGGGGCTGTAGACATAGTAGGGAAGGGCTCTTTTTAGTAATTCACTTGCTCAACAAAGTAGGAAGCAGGGGGGAAGGAAGCATCTGAGGTTTGAGGAGGCAGGAAAAGGCTTAAAATAATCATTCATGGTTATATTTAGGTTGATGGGAACGTAATTGCAGTTTTCGCCATTACTTTTAATGATTTTAATTACTTTTAAAACAGCAACTATGTTGGCACCAACCTAATAGGAAGTGCAGAGATTGGTGGACAACAAATAGGGTGCACTTGCAGTTTGTGGTCATACGTTTAGGGTAACAGCAGTCAGTATAATAGTGTGTTTTTCTCCAACCGCAATCAGCTACATGAATGCAAGCATGAAATGATCAGAGTGGAATTTAACCAGGAATAAGATTTTTCGGGAAGTCTATACATGAGAGGGACAAGGGAGTTTAGTGAGTATGCAAGTGAGGGATATAATAATGGACTGTGGCATTTAAGCTTCTTGGGGGGACATGGGCACATGGGAGGAGCAGAAAGGAATGAGAGAGGCAGTGTGAAGGTACAAAGAATTGGAGGTCCCAGTAGGGAAGAAAAACTACTGTAGTTGAGGTGCTACAAGGACTACGCTGGAAAATAGGAGGCAGTGATGGAAAAGTTGGTCACTTGAAATTTAGATTTGACCCAGCATACTTACTTCTGGACATTTGTCCTAAGAAGAAAGACGAAATATGGGAAAGCTGTTTCCTAGTGTTTATAATAGCCCTAAACGATCTACAGCCATACCACTCTCAATACACCTGATCTTGTCTGCTGTGGTTTTATGAGATAGAATGTTATTTTTCCCAAACACTTTACATTTTCCTACTACCTTGCATATTCTCATACTTTTTCCTTGACTATCATTCTCCTTATTGCTACTTAATAAAATCCTTCAAGATACCAGGTAAATGCCACTTTTCCTACCAGTTGTTTCTTATTTCTCTATGCACTTGCAGAGGACCACTCAGGCTTTTTATCTCATTCTACATTGTGCATTCAGATGTCTAACAGTAACATTAAGATTCCTTGCTTAAGAGTTGGCATATGTTCGGCCCATTAAACTCCATGCACTCATGACCTTTATTATTATTGCCATGACCTGATGCCCCACTGCTTGATCATTGCTTTTAGAGGCTAGTCTGATCATTTCCTATCATCTTGCTTTGCCTTGCCAATATCAATACAGTTGCCCCATGACCAAATCCCTTTAGATTTGTGAATTTTTTTGTCCAGTGGGATAATTTCCAGTCTTGACCACAAAACTTCAGGCTTCCTCTCCTCTACCTATTTCATACTAAATTGGACTACACTATAATTATTTATACCAATATCTAATTATTTATGTGATTATTTGTGTCAAAGTCTAACTCTCATACTAGCTTTTAAGTGCTCGACTTCTTAAGGTTTACAACTATATTTTTATCCATCTAAAAAAGCAAGCATCAAGCTCTAAATATGATAGAAGCTCAGTACATTTTATTTTGAACAGGTGAGTGAGTTTGTGAATGAGTGAACTGATGGATGATAAATGGATCTCTTTATACTTTTGGCTTTCAAATCTAAACATCACATAAAATTTTTAGTAATAGCAAGATTCTATCAAACTTTCTGAAATTCTGAGCTTAGCTCCAACCTATTGATGAAAATTATTTACGGTTATAGATCATATTATAAATTATCACTTTTGCCTATCTGACCTTAAAACAACTCTGGATGAAGAGTAAAATATTCACCTTGTGAATTAGTTTCACTTAGAGAAGAATCAACTTTTCTGTCATGAGCTTTAGAGAAGAATCAACTTTTCTGTCATGAGCTTTTGTGAACAATAAACTTTTGTTTATTGTTATATTTTTAAAACAAGGCTAACTAAATTTTTTTGATGCAGTGAAACATGTTTTTATAAAGTCTGATTCTCAGAAAGATTCTGTGACAAGAGATATCCACATACTAAAAAGTCATTGGCACTTCCTTTGCTATGCACATACTAAAACGTGTGGGGAACTACACAGTTTCCAGGCTTAGAATCAGTGTCAGTGTAATGCCCACATGTACAATTATGGTGGCAAAAAAAAAAAGGGCAGGGACCAGCAGGCTTTTCAACCACACTTCTTTTATTGCATAAAACATCTACTCTGTGCTTACATCATCCTAATCATTACAACAGCTGTAAGACCCCAAACAACAAAACACTACCAGAAACTTACAAAACAAAAACTTTAACAATTAGTCAAAGCATGCCTTGCTATACCTAGTTTTTAAATCACCCCTTAACTGCATAAATTTTAATCGGCAAGAGGACTTTCTCGACTAACTTTTTTTTTTTTTTGGAGAGACAGTGTCTTACTATACTGGTTAGGCTGGTCTTTTTTTATATATATATACTTTAAGTTCTAGGGTACATGTGCACAACGTGCAGGCTTGTTACATATGTATCCATGTGCCGTGTTGGTGTGCTGCACCCATTAACTCGTCATTTACATTAGGCATAGCTCCTAATGCTATCCCTCCCCGCCTCCTCACCCCGTGACAGGCCCCGGTGTGTGATGTTCCCCTTCCTGTATCCAAGTGTTCTCATTGTTCAATTCCCACCTATGAGTGAGAACATGCAGTGTTAGAACTAGAAATACCATTTGACCCAGCAATCCCATTACTGGGTATATACCCAAAGGATTATAAATCATGCTGCTATAAAGACACATGCACAAGTATGTTTATTGCGGCATTATTCACAATAGCAAAGATTTGGAACCATCCCAAATGTCTGTCAATTATAGATTGGATTAAGAAAATGTGGCACATATACACGACCGAATACTATGCAGCCATAAAAAAGGATGAGTTCATGTCCTTTGTAGGAACATGGATGGAGCTGGAAACCATCATTCTCAGCAAACTGTTGCAAGGACAGGAAACCAAACACCACATGTTAGGCTGGTCTTGAACTCCTGGCCTCAAGTGATCCTCCTGCCTCAACCTCCCAAAGTGCTGGGATTACATGTGTGAACCACTGAGCCCAGGCATGGACTGTATTTTGCAATGCATGCTTTACCACTGTTTGAAGAAATTCCAGATCATGGCATGTGAACAATTATATAAACAGAGAATGATAATGTTCCTTAATTTGGTGGCTTTGTTAAGTCCTTCAGAAATGTACATTCAAAACAATCGAGGTAGGCTTTAAAGGAGCATTCAAAATCATTAACTGAGTCTTCAACTGAGTCATTTATTATAATTTGAAGAAGGTTGAATGGTCTTTACTGGGATGTCTCTTGAGCAAAGGTAACCTTTTATCATCTACATATCCAAAAGCCTTAGAACTGTCAATTTTGTTCTCTCATCTAAATGTGTAGTAAGCTTACAAGATCATTTGGATTCTACAAAAAAAAAAGAAAAGAAAAAGAAACTGTGTAGACTATGGACTACACAGAAAGATTTATACCTTCTGTTACTTAATATAATTGATCATACTCTCCACACCCAATGCTCAGCCCCTCTGCCCAACCACCATCCCTTAGCCCAGATAATACAAATGGCGAGCCCACAGTTTTGGCTTGCAGACATGAGTAACTGTTTAAGAAACATACTGATGTCAGCATTGTGTCTTTTATGGTTTTCTTCCCATTGTCCCTTCACACTCTCTGGATTTCTTTGTCTCCACCCCTGGATGAATCCACCTCCCACAGACATTCTGGCTCCTTTTAGTCACAAGATGGTTCTCATCTCAGAAGTCAAAATGCCCAACGACCAATGTAATAATCAGAATTCCATTTTTTTTTTCAAAGCGAAGAATCTGAAAAGCCTTACCCTCCCTCCCAAGCCCAGGCCTGCTTCCACTTGGAATCTTCTTCCTCTCCAACTCTCCAACTTACTAGGCTCCAGGGGAAAGGAATTAGGAGAAACAGCACACTTTTATATAGCAGATGCAATTGGTTCCTTGTGTTGGTTCCTTCTAGATGCTGAATTTGTCTCTTGTGAGATTCCCTTCTCCCAACAGAATTCTTGGATTTTTTTAGCTCTTTCCTCTGTGGTCTTCTCACTGCAGTTTCTAAGGCTATCCTCTACCTGACCATTAAGGACTCCCTTTCTCATCCCTAGCTTCAGTGGTCCACTCTGTCGGGGGTGCTCGGCACTTCCAGGCAGTCATCTTAGGCAGGATCTCTTGAATTGGTCCAGGCTGACTTCTTTCTAAGGTGCACGTGGCCGGCAGAGGGACACGTGCCCCTGACATTAGTACAAGCCCATTGGATCTTCTTTCTCCTTGCTGACAAAGGCAGCTCCAGTCACAGTCTCTTGGCTTTAGCCTTTTCCTTGGGGTGGTAAGGGTACCTGCATACTGACAGAGCTCACTTCAAATAAATCCTGAAATCCTCCCTTTCAGTATCTCATTCGATACAGACCAGAGGAGGCCTGTCTCTAATGCTAGAGAACCCATTTTGCACTCACTTAGCTATCCTCTATGGGTGGTCCAGCATGTAGAATCTGGCTTTGGTTGGCACCTTTTGAAATTTTCTTGGCCTTCAGTGCTTCAGCCAGGGCTAAAATGGAACCAATCCCATTTTAACATGCTGTAACACATGGGTTTTATTTAGTCTTCATAGTGTTGACCCAATCAGTGATTTTTAACGCTGTGATTTGTTTGCTAACATTTTTAAATCAAAGGATTATATATTTTAAAATATGGACCTTTAACTTTCCTCTAAAAGAGAAAGTAAAGGCCCCTTAGCCTCCTGCCCCAAGAGGCAACAAGTAGTCTCTGAGCTGCTACAGTCAGCAGCCACCCCCGCTCCTTCAAGTATGGCCCCTGATAGAATTTGAGTTTGAGACGCCTGTCCTATCCCTCTCTCCATCCAAATCCTACCCTTCATTAAGATTCATCTGAAATCTCCTCGAGAGACAGACTGATATAAAAGAAAGAGCAAAAATATTTAAATCCCACTCTATAGTCCAATGTCAGTATAATTTCATGAAGTTATCTAATCTGGAGTGTCAATGCACTGTTCTTCAAAATGGCAAAGGCAATATTACTTTACAAGGCTTGTATGGAGATTTAGTGGGATAACAAATACAAAGTTGCTGACATACAACAGATATAAGTCCTCTCAACCATAAAGAAAAACACATATCTTCCAAATTTTATAATGTACCCCCAATTAATAGGAATTTGTTTTATCTACCCTATTAGAGGAAAGACTGTCTTTTATTTTTTTATCTCTTAAGTAACCTAGTTTAATATTAAACATGTAATACAGGTTCATACACTCACTGCAGAGATATTACTTAAGAGATAATATTAAACTAGGCTACAAAATATTGTACTAGGCTACAAAATATTGTCCAGCATTTAAATACTACCAAAGACTGCTAGGAAAAAAAGCCTTAAAAGGAAAACATGTTGATCACATTGTTATTGTATTTTAGATAATCATTCCATTTGGAAAACAAATTGTAATGTGGTTATGTATCTTTTTTATTATTATTTTCTTAACGAAAAGAAGCAGTAGAAATAAAAATACTGAAAGTGACAAAAACTGGGATCTGGTTATAGCTCTGTCACAAACCGTTATTATGATAGATAATTTAGGTTGACTCATTCTATTTGGAGAGATTTGAAAGCTAAAATCTATATCCCTGGGCCATTTTAGCTAGGCTTCTAACGTGAATTAGGTACTGCCAATTGAAAGGGGCCTGAAAGCATTTGGAAGGCAAAGTGAGGAAGAGCCATCTTTCTGCTGCTATTTTGGCTGACAAACAAGGTCATGAGACAATTGTATTGGCTGGACTTTGCCTTTGCATGTCTAGCCACTGGCTCCATAGGTATCTAGAGGCAGCGGACTGATAGCAGCAGTAGTGATGGCAGCCCAGAGGCAGTAGCTTCCTGACTGAATCACAGCTAAGCTTTTAACTTGCTAATCCAGTAGTGGCCCTGACTTCCGGCTCCTATAGACATTCCTGTGATTTTGTAAGCAACTAATTCCTGTATTGAATCCCTTTCTGTTTCAAATACCAGTGGGTTTTCTTTCCTGCACTGAACCCTATATGATACAATTACTTTAAGGTTACTTATTTTGGCTTCCTTATATGATAAATGGAGTTGGTATATGGTCTTACTTCACAGAGTTTTCCAGACAATTAAAGTGAAAAAAAATTTTAATTTATTTTAAATTATTGAAAAACTTTAGTGCATCTCTTTTAACCATGGCCAATTGAATACATGTATTTATCATTGTTATCTCCTAAAACTCCACTAACATGACAGTAAAAACAAAACATGTTATAAATCCCTCAAAAGGACAGTGTGAATAGGAAAGAAGTAACAAAATCCAAGAGAATCAATTCGTTTTCGGGAGTGTGGAAACTAGGTGGAGGGGTGGAAACCTTAGCAAAGGATGACAGCAGAAACAAGGGTTTCACCCTAAAGATCCCTGAAAAGATGCAGGAATTGAAGGCACCAGGTATCACAGCAGTCAGGGAAGCAGAGTGGTGCTGAAAGTGGGGTTTTGGCTATGTAAAGACAAGGTAAGTCCTTAATTTCCTCCTCAGTACCTGGTAACTATTGTTCCCATGTCGCTTTGGGAAACAAGGTGTTTGTTTTCTTGTGAAATTAAACCACAGAGGTGAGAGAGGTTAAACTTCTATTCTTAATAAGTAAAAACTACATAATGAATGTTATGGCCCCAACGTTTTTCCTCATTCCGTTCTAGAACAGACACAAAAAGGCTTAGACATACTAGACAGGATATTAGATTATTTGCCCTTATAGAAAATACATAGCTCCAAAGAAAGACCTGTGGACACAGGTACCGGCATTTGGTAACCACCCAATTAAAAGACAGAGCACCCGGCAGGGCGCGGTGGCTCACGCCTGTAATCCCAGCACTTTGGGAGGCCGAGGTCGGCGGATCACGAGGTCAGGAAATTGAGTCCATCCTGGCTAACACCTTGAAACCCCGTCTCTACTGAAAAAATACAAAAAAAATCAGCCGGGCGTGGTGGCAGGCACCTGTAGTCCCAGCTACTCGGGAGGCTGAGACAGGAGAATGGCGTGAACCCAGGAGGCAGAGCTTGCAATGAGCCGAGATCGCGCCACTGCACCCCAGCCTGTGCGACAGAGCGAGATTGCGTCTCAAAAAAAAAAAAAAAAAAAAAAAAAAGACTGAGCACCCACCACACTGTTATGAAGCCCACTGTCCATTCACACTGAATGTCAATGAGCTCTGCAGTGTCTCACTTTGCAATGCGAGAAGGCAGCCAAGAATCACCAAACCTCTGAGGAAAGCCTTTAACATGAAAGATACACTGAAGTGAACACAAAGAAAGTGGCACTCCAGAGAAAAAGTCTATTCATATAGAAGAAGAATTGTTAATCAACTAAAACAATTTCAGAGCTATAAAAATTATTATATACATAGCAAAAGAATGGAATGCTACAAATAAGAATCAAAGTAAGAATGTTATCAGGTCTCAGAAAAGTATTAGAAAGGCTGAGAGATAGATGTTAAAGTTTTGTATTTTTTTAAAAAGGCAAAAATTGGCAAGAGGAGAAAAAAATATAAGAAAATTTCAGGCTTAATCCAAGAGGTGCAAACTAAAAATCCCAGAAAGAAAAAAAAATAAGAAAAAAAGTTATCAAATTAAAAAAATGAAATATTCTCCATACTGAAAGGCATGTATTTCCAGACTGAAAGGCATGTATTTCCAGACTGAAAGGACCAGTCAATTTCCCAGTATCAAAATTACCCTAAGGCCGGGCGCGGTAGCTGACACCTGTAATTCCAGCACTTTGGGAGGTCGAGGCAGGCAGATCATGAGGTTAGGAGATCGAGACCATCCTGGCTAACACGGTGAAACCCCGTCTTTACTAAAAATACAAAAAATTAGCCGGACGCGGTGGCGGGCGCCTGTAGTCCCAGCTACTTGGGAGGCTGAGGCAGGAGAATGGCGTGAACCCGGAAGGCGGAGTTCGCAGTGAGCGGAAATGCGCCACTGCACTCCAGCCTGGGCGACAGAGCGAGACTCCATCTCAAAATAAAAAAATAAAAAAATGACCCTACTAAGGTTTTTTTGGTTTTTGTTTTTTGTTTTTTTGAGATTGAGTCTTGCTCTGTCACCCAGGCTGGAGTGCAACGGTGCAATCTCAGCTCACTGCAACCTCCGCCTCCTGTGTTCAAGCAATTCTCCTGCCTCAGCCTTCCAAGTAGCTGGGATTGCAGGCATGCACTACCATGCCAGGCTATTTTCTTTCTCTTTTTCTTGTTTTTTTTTTTTTTTTTTTTTGAGACGGAGTCTTGCTCTGTCACCCAGGCTGGAGTGCAGTGGCGCGATCTCGGCTCACTGCAAGCTCCGCCTCCCGGGTTCACGCCATTCTCCTGCCTCAGCCTCCCAAGTAGCTGGGACTACAGGCGCCCGCAACTGTACTCCGCTAATTTTTTGTATTTTCAGTAGAGACAGGGTTTCACCATGTTAGCCATAATTTTTGTATTTTTAGTAGGGACAGGATTTTACCATGTTGACCAGGCTAGTCTCAAACTCCTGACCTCAAATGAGCCACCAGCCTTGGCCTCCCAAAGGGCTGGGATTACAGGCATGGGCCACTGCACCCGGACTAAGGTTATTATCACGAAATTCCCGAACAGCAGAAATAAGAAAAATTCCTGGCTTATGAGGGTTGGGAAGAACATCACACAAAAAGAAGACTGAAAGGCCTCAGGCTCCTTGATAGCAATACCGAGAGTTAAAAGGCAATGAACTGGTATCTGCAAAATTCTGAGAGAAAGTATCTTTTACTTATGTTTGAACCAACTAACCTGTATCAAAATAAATATATCTTCACATATGAATTCATTTTTACACATGTATTTCTCAAGTGCCCTATCTCAGGAACTATTGGAGAAGCTCATCCCCTAAACAGGGTAAACAAGAAAGGATGAGATCCAGGAAACAGCAAACGCAATTCATGAGAGTGCTGGAGGGATTTCCCAGAATGAAAGCAAAGGGCAGTCCCAGGGGATGGCTGTGTCTCCAGCTTTAGCGAGTCCCAGTTGGAGCTGGGGGACAAAGATTTGAAAAACAATACAATACCAATTAAAAACAACAAAAACAAAATGTCTCTAAGGAAAAGAGTGGGACAGAAGAAGCACATGATGGTAATATATTGAAGGGTTTTGCACTTCTTTCGGTGAACTCAGAAAGAATTAGTGATAGGTTTGCAGTAATCAAGTCCAACAAAGTAACAATTAAAATGAGATATTTATTAATTCCAGGAAAAACAAGAAGTTATACTCCATAGGAACATATTCATACTTTACTACTTGGCTCAGAAGTGAAGCCAATTCAGTCATAAGACTACAAACCTCAAATACTGATTCACTGAAGTGGTCATAGAACTACATTGGGAGGAGGGTCAGTCAGGAGGGGGTGGCAGGAGCTTGGTCTAAAAATGCTCAACTTTCATCCATGTTATATGAAATCAGTAAAGAATATTTAAAATAGATAAATCAAAAAACAACAACATTAAATTATTATTTAAAAATAAGGAAAAGCAGAAAAAGGATCTCCAGGAGCTGAGAAAAGTTTAATCTATCAGCCAAAAAATGCAAAGTATTACTGATGGGAACATCTCACTAAGGGTCCAAGAATTGCAAGAATTACTTTGGGATAAGCAGCCTGACACTAAACTTCAAATAAGAGCCACCCTCCAATGCCAAATAAGAAATTCAACCAAAACTTCAAAAGATTTTTTTAAATATTGACATAACTCACATATAATTATCCCCAAATTAGCTTATTGCATGAAAACAGAAGATTCCATTTCCAAAAGGCCAAAAGTAGATGTAAAATCTATCCAGTGACCTCAACATGGCAGTCTTACAACTGTTTAACATTGTGACCCAGCAAATTCTATATATAATGACACTAATTGTGACAAAAATCAAAATAAACAATGACTTTCACTTCTCCTCACACCTGATCAACACTGTATTGTAGTTAGTGAATAGCAGTTGCATCTACACCAATGTACATAATTTTGTATCATTGTTTTATGTGTGTATGTGTGTAGCTATTTTGTTATAAAATTTCAACCAAAACGAACTTCAGTCTTGGTAACAAAATCATCAGAAAAAGGAACAATTAATTGCTTGCTGAGCATGTGCAAATTTACAAAACAATTTGGCTTTTCAGATGGAATTTGAAGGCCTGAATTATTTAAGTCAACTGAAACTACTACTACTGTGAATAGAGGCACAACGACCCTTATATAGTGACATAATCATCACATCCTTCTGGTTAATAACATATTTCACAGCAGTCCTTCATTGCATGCTTGGCCTGTTGCTACTGATCCATACTTTAAATTTGCCATCCACCACCATCAACACCACAAAGAATAAAGCTCAGTCACTAAAGCAAGGTGAAGGAAAAACCCTGTTATGAGTTTTGATGACACTGTTTAAGTGTAACTTCTATTGTTGTATAGGCAATACTTTAAAAGCTGTGGTCAAGGAAAAGCATCCTAAAAATTAGATCTGCCTGCTTTGTTTTCTTTTCAGGAATAGCCATGCTTTCAAACAGCCTCTTCTGTTTTGAAGAGAAAGCCTCCTAATGAAATGTAAAGGTGCTCACAGAAGTCTTCTACAGAGGAAAATAAAATCTCCTACCATATATTCATTTCACAAATTATATTTCTTGTGTAAGCTTGTCTAATTCAATATGTGTTTATTATATCATTTTGTGCCTTTAAGAAGAAAAGGTCACTGATTCTAGTGCCCTATTCTAGCAATTCATTACCGTCTTCTCTACCACCAATTCATTGACCTCACCCACTTTCTCCCTGTCCATACTTCCTCCCATGTCCTCATTTCTCTCCCTACCCAACTTAGATCTCATGGTCAATCTAGGTTTAACACCCTGTCCTTTAAAGAGGCCCTCAAGCTCCAGTTTTCCCTCTCTTCATCCATCACACTTATGTTTTCTGGCAAAATATGAACTCTGTAAACCTAGTTCTGAATCTGCCCTGAACCTCTGAGCCTGCATGGAAACAGCTGAACTGAACGTAACAGGAAAAAAGGCACACAGGGACACAGATCTGACTTTAAATACGACACCGCTGGCAGGCCCTCAGACTGCCTGCCCTGTCCACCTCCTGTCCTCAGCCACACTCCTCTCAGGTGACTCCATCTTCTCCTCCTTCCTCAAATGCCTCTTCAAATAGCCTCTTCTTTAATTTCGCTGAGTAAATAAAAGTAACCAGAGTTTTCACCTATCTATCTGCAAATGTTCCCAAACATTCTGTCTTCCCTCTTGCTATCATAGATAAGCCGCCCTGCTCCTAGACTTAGGTGACTGCTGAAAGAGGTAAAGACATAAGTCCCCTTACTGCTCACCTACTCTCTTTCGTGTGTGTGTGTGTGTGTGTTTGTGTGTGTGTCTGTGTGTCTGTGTATCTGTATCTGTGTCTCCATTGTTTTTCTTACTCTCTACAGACCTGTAAATGTTAGAATGCCAGAGAGCCCTCGATCCTCTTCTCACTTATACCAACTTTCACTCCCTGAACGTTCTCATTGAGTCCTGTGATTTTAAATACACCCATATATCAACAACTCCAAAATGTATGTGTTCAGCCCTGACCCCCTATCTGTCCAGCTATGTATGTATTTGTTAAGGCCACTTGAGCATCTAATGGGCATCCCAAAAGCATGGATTTAAAAGAGGTTTTTATTTCCACAGCCATCCTCCCCATTTCAGGAAATAGTACAAGTCAACAATCCCTTTTCCACACTGAAAATTCAAAAACCCTAAAAATCAGACTTTTTTCATTTGGCAGCAAAACTTGGCCAGACCTGAGCTCATCTGACAGCAAAACCTGACCTGAACTGAGAGGAGAGCATGTATTAAGTGAATACTTATATGTTTTGTTGCAGATTTGTGCCTATGGAGCTACCCCAAACCCCACTGGGAATATGTGATGATTTTTGAAATAGGCACATTATTACCTTTCTAAAATTTGGAAAGTTGTGAATTTGGTTCACATCTGGGCCCAAAGGTTTCAGGTAAGGAACTGTAGACCCAGTTGTTCAGGTTCTCTCTTTCTCTCTCTCTCTCTCCCCCTCCCCATTCTTTCTTACACACACACACACACACACACACACACACACATACACACACACACAGCATTGTGCCTCATTCTCTTCCATCCTTTAACCCCATATCCATTTCATCAGTGCATTCTGTCAGCTCTAATCTCAAATATGTCCCAAATCTTCATACTTCTTACCACCTCCAAAGGCACCAATGTCACCAAAGCTACAGAACCTTCACGTGGACAAAGGTCAGAGCCTTGTGACACATCCTCCTATTTTTAATTTTGTCCTTCCTTGCCTCTCCACTTCTTAGCTTTATTTTCCACAAAATGGTCAGAGAAGTCTTCTTAAAACATAAATCAGATCTGCCACCCACCCTGATGCTCCTAAGGTGAAAGGGCTTCCCATCATGCAGGAAATAAAATCTTGACTTCTTATCAAGGCTTGCTGGATCTTGGGTCATCTGACTTCTGCCCATCTCTCCACATTCAATTATTCCACTCTTTCTCCTACCTGTACTACAGCCCTTCTGCTCTTACTGGTTTTCTTCAAACAGGCCAAGTGCACCCTGCTTGGGGTGTGTGCCCTTGCTTCCCTCCGCACACCAAGGCCAATGCTTCAGGCCTTGGTGTCACTCACTATTCACTTCATTAAGGTCTTTCTTCACAAGTCACCATCACGAGAAGCTCTTTCCTGACCACTCTGGTCTAAAATACAGACTTTTGAAACTCCCAAGAGTTTGTTGCTGTACCGTTTTATTAAAATTACATTATATTCTTTTGCCTGATTATGTAACCCCACCATCAAAATATACACTTCAGGAAGGTAGGGATCGTATCTGGACTGTTTATTGTTATATCCCTGGTTCCTAGAGTAATGCTGGAACTCTCCATGCGCCAGTGAATGAATATTTGTAGAATGAACAAATAATTAAGTTGTATTAATAAGTCAACAGAGTTGAGTTAATAAAAGAATATTAACCCTACTTTCCAAAGTATCTCAATGTTTTTAAAAGTATCAGTATAGTCTGGATGAATTTGGCTATAACTTTTTTTCTGAATGACACTCATTCTTAAGATAGTTCTAACCAGTGGCTAAGATTACCATAGTGTGACTCACGCTGTATACATTAGTGTTTACTGCTATACCCACAAGACATACACTTAACAAAACAATCTGAATTCATCAAGGACAGCCTTTTCTTTTCATTCTTTGCTTTTACTGTGAGCTGAATTTCTCTTTCTAAGGAATTTAAGATTACTTAGCAATATGTTTCTAATTCCAAGGTGCGCTAAAGTGATTCCATGTGATTTCTTGTTTCCCAGGTAATACTGGTAGATACAACCAAATTATCTAATTACAGAAAGTGTGTATTATGCAAATTTAGCATAGAATTAGGAATTTTAAAAACATAAGAATGGAGATAAACAAGAAATCATTTTTAGTATTTTATCATTTTTTATTTAGTAAAGATAAAATTTACAGTAAGGAATTTTAAAAATTATTGCCTCATGTAAAATAATTGGAAAGTATATATAATAAAGTCATTTGGGGACTAATGCTGGGAATATTTTAATCTCTTAAACTGGGTATTATTTCGGTTGTGAATTTCATTTTGGAACACTCTCAGTTATTAAGCACATATGATTAAGCATATATGATCTCCTTTTGGATAGATGAGTTAACTTTTACAGAGAGGCATCTTCTGATAAACACTGTATGAGTATTTATCCCTAACTGAAATTTGGTTCACATGATAGAATAAATAAAGTCTGAGAACAAAAATTAAGTGACAGCTTCAAAATGGTGACTATTGTCCAAGCTTCATCACACACCTTGGACTTGAATGTCTGGTAAAAATGAAACTTGAGAAATGTTAAAATTGTTCAATTACATTGGAAAACTTCAAGATTACCTTGCTTTGTAAGTTTCTTTTTAAGGACCCATGCGAAGAGTCTTCAACTCAGTAGCAAACAACATGTTGTAGCCTGGAAGCCAATTCTAAAGTATTTAGCCTGATTGCCTCCAAATTCAGTCAGCTTATCTCCCTGTCTGACTCACTGCAATTGGGAAACTTCAGCAGGCAATTTTCTCTCACAGGACACACAGCCGTCTCCACTCACTAAGAATTCTCCAGGCTGCAAGGCCACATGAGGCCAGAATGTTCACTAATCACTGAAAGATACTGTCAGCATAATCCTAATTATTCAGCTACATCATGAAACAGAAATTTCAGTTTTCCTGGTATATGTGTGGTGGAGAACTTAGGAAATTAGAACCTTGGACTATAAGAAATTCATTAATTCAGTCAGTGTTTAAATCTCTTCTGCCTCCTACCCACTATGTAGTTATCTAGAGTCGACTTTTACCTCAATCTTAACATTTGGCAGAGGAATGGGGAAAAACAAACACATTGTTTCCCACATAGATATACCAAAAAAGTAATTTACAGGAACAGCTATCATTCGTAGATGCTTATTCTGGGCCAGACACAGGGCCTGGGCACTTTGATTTTATTACTTTATCCCTCACAATTTTGAGAAAGTTGGGTAGTCCTCACTCACATGTCCGGTAGTTAACTGTTTGGTTTAGAGGGGCCTCAGCTGGAGTGGTTTATATCCACCCCACATGCCCATCCTCCAATAGGTCTCACCAGGCTTCTTCACACGCCAGTTTGAGGGTTCCAGAGAGCTTAAACTCCAGTGCATAAGCCCTTTCTAAGCCTTTGATTGTGTCACATTTGGTAAGGGCCCACTGGCTAAAACAAGCTGCATGGCCAAGAGTAAGTATGAGAGAGATTAGTCAAGAGAATGGATACAGGAAGTCATGAATAAATTGGGCCATTACTGCAACAGTAAACAACAACATGATAGAATTTCTGGAAAATAAATAAATAATATCTTTGGAAAACTCAAGATATTGAAGCAGAGATTTGCTAGGAAATGAAGTATCAAAAGGCCACACATAAAGATGCTTGTTCATACTGCAACCAGTGGGAAGTACTGGAAATTTTTCAAATTCTAAAAGTTAGAAAGGAACCCGTTAATCTATATGCTAGCCATCTCTAAGTGCAATGCATAACTAAATATCAGAAAATGATGTTATGCTATACAAGTTTTTATCAACTGAATTCCCAATTCTATATAAAATTTTTCCTTTTTCATTCTTAGCCTTTTCTTTCCTTCGTCATTCATCTTTTCTTTCCATGTAGAGTTCGTAAGAAAGCAATCTGATCGAATTCTTTTTTTCTCCTGTTTCTCTTTGTTCCCTATGCAATTGGTTTGATTATAAGTAGGAAATACCGTTTGTCTTTACAACTTATATCTTATTTTAAAATAAGACCAAATAAACAGCCATTTTATAGATGTGACTTCTTGTGATGACTCCTTAAAAATTTTAAAGGCTAACTAGTGTGGCTAATGGACACATACCCCAAATCAGCTCTCAGCTGCTAAACTGTTCTTATAATATTAATGCTTCTCTGGTTTCCACAATTTATTCTCATTACTATTTTGATTCTCTCTCATTTTTTCTTATCATTTACTCCTTTGAACTAATCAAATATTAGCAAATGTTTCAGAGCTTATGAATGTAAAAATTGAAGTCACTATTTCCTGCCCCCCTCTTAAATCTGGAAAGATAATCTTATACTGGAATGGTTCAGATAACAGAAGAAATATGTAGGTGGGGAGGAACAAGATGCAACATCACTTTCTTCTTTGTCTTTGTGGTTGCAAAGAGGAGGCCTAGAAAACTGGGAACTGGGCCTTCCCATGCCCTGTATGACCTGTTGTCAGGGCAACAGGATGTGTGGGGAGCCCTGGCCTTTCTAGTGCCTGTTGCCAGGGTAACAGGATATGAACCATCTTCTTTTATGCAACTATGCAGTTTCCCTGCTTTACTCTATACTTCTCTTCTATTTGGTGGGAAATTACATTTGTTCACAGAAATCTAAGAGCAATACAAGTTCAGTACACAGCTGCTGAAGGAGCATGCACTGGAAGAAATATTTTATGTGGACACATGCCATTGATAGTGTTGCTGGTGAAAATAATATGTAGATGAATTTTATTAGACTATCTTTCTAAAAAGAGAGACCTCAATGTTTATTTTCGTAAGCTCTAAAATATTTACTAATTGGCTATTAGTTCAAAGAAATAAATGACAGTAGATGATGAGAAAGTAGTAACCACAGTAATAGGTAGAAAAAAAAAACTTTAGAAACCAGAGACTTATGTGAAAAATTCAGAAGCTAAGAGATCATTGTGGGTGCATATCAACTAGCTTTTGTTGTGCAACAAAACACCGACAACTTAGTGGACAACAATAATAAACATTTATTGTTTTCTCACAATTTTGAGAAAGTTGGGTAGTCCTCACTCACATGTCCGGTAGTTAACTGTTTGGTTTAGAGGGGCCTCAGCTGGAGTGGTTTATATCTACCCTACATGCCCATCCTCCAATAGGTCTCACCAGGCTTCTTCACACGCCAGTTTGAGGGTTCCAGAGAGCTTAAACTCCAGTGCATAAGCCCTTTCTAAGCCTTTGATTGTGTCACATTTGGTAAGGGCCCACTGGCTAAAACAAGGTGTATGGCCAAGAGTAAGTATGAGAGAGATTAGTCAAGAGAATGGATACAGGAAATCATGAATAAATTGGGCCATTACTGCAACAGCAAACAACAATATGATAGAATTTCTGGAAAATAAATAAATCATATCTTTGGAAAACTCAAGATATTGAAGCAGAGATTTGCTAGGAAATGAAGTATTGAACAGCCACACATAAAGATGCTTGTTCATACTGCAACCAGTGGGAAGTACTGGAAATTTTTCAAGTTCTAAAAGTTAGAAAGGAACCCATTAATCCATATACTAGCCATCTCTAAGTGCAATCTAAGAATGCTTGAAAAAAATACTGTGTAGTTTAAGTTCTGTTTGGGAAGTAAGGCAGAATAAACTATATTAAGATTATTTTTCTGAAATAAACAGAAGAAAGACTACTCATTTGACTTCAGGGAAGAGCATTCTTATGTGCTTAAGTTTTGTTATAACAAGAATAGAGTAGTAGCTTAAGCAAAAATAAAGTACCTAGATTTAATGGTTAGAATTCTTTTTTTTTTTTTAAGGATAAAAATTTTATGATTATCTCAATAGATTCAAAAAAATCATTCAACAAAATTCAACATTCTTTTATGATTTAAAATTCTCAATAAATTACTAACATAAGGCATATACCTTAATATAGTAAAGGCCATATACAACAAATCGATAGCTAACATTATAATCAACGGTGAAAAGCCTAAAACATTCCATCAAAGACCACCAACAAAACAAAGGTGCCCACTTTCACCACTTCTGTTCAACATAGTACTGGAAGTCTTAGCCAGACTAACCAGATAAGAAAAAGAAATAAAAGATATTCATGTGAAAAACAAAAAAAAAAGGTAAAAGTGGTTTACAAATGAAAGGTGAGTTAGGTCGGAAAAACTGGCATGTGGAGTAATTCATTTATGTTTTCTAAGCAAAAGTTCTCTACGTGGATATTTAGGAATGACATTACTGACTTTGTTTATTTGCTGTAAACACTGAATAACAGAATACCTAAGGAGCCACAAATAAACATCAACAAGTAAAAAAGAAAACTAGCATAGCATTTTTAACACAGAGTATAAACACCAAGATTCAGAAGTGAGATATTTTCCGGGGTATCAAAGCCATTTGTAAATTTCTTTTTTTTTTTATTTTTTTTTTATTTTTATTTTTTAAAGCTTGTTGATTATTTTTATTTTATTTTATTTTATTTTATTTTTTATTTTTTTTTTAATTATACTTTAAGTTTTAGGGTACATGTGCACATTGTGCAGGTTAGTTACATACGTATACATGTGCCATGCTGGTGCACTGCACCCACTAACTCGTCATCTAGCATTAGGTATATCTCCCGATGCTATCCCTCCCCCCTACCCCCAGCCCACAACAGTCCCCAGAGTGTGATATTCCCCTTCCTGTGTCCATGTGATCTCATTGTTCAATTCCCACCTATGAGTGAGAATATGTGGTGTTAGAATTCTTGAATTTATTTTCATTGGTTAAAAAAAAATCTTCTGAAATGGGCACCCAGACATTACTGTGCAGGGTTTTCTTGGTTGTTTGGTGTACCAAAGGCCAAATAAGTTACAGTGATTTCGCAAAGGTCCAAGCTCTAAGGAGGTAAAAGAGTTTAGAAAACATCAAATTCTCTTGTAGCTATTAGCTAGAATCATTGTTTAAATAAATTAATTTAAAAGGTAATGGTAGCACATGTCCTAGAGAAGAGAAACAAAATTGGGGAGTTTCTGACATCCAAACCATACGCCACATGATAACTCCATTTGGTATTCAGCTTTGAGTACGCAAAACTAGACAAACAGATGGCAGGACTGTGGAAAAAATCAAAACAAGAGAACAGCTTTTAATTCCTGAAATGTCAGGTTTTATACTGAGCCTTGCGTATTAAGTAGAATTATCTAAGTCAGTGTTCAGTGGAATAAGTATGGGCCTCAGAATTTGGCCCTCCCCTTACTAAATGTGAAATAGTGGCCAAGTGGTTTAATATCCTGGAGGTTCAATTTTCTCATCCGAAAGACTGGAGATAATTGTACTGAGCCATACAGATAAAAAGTAAAATCTTTCAGAAAGTAACAGGCAGAAAACAATTATAAAGTATGATTACTACTATGATTCAATTTTGAGGTGATTTTTAAACAATTTAAGGTAACCAGAAATGTAGTTGATACCAAAGTTGTTCAGCTTTGTCTTATCTTGCTCCAAATACAGCTTATTTTGAACCAACTCTTAGAAAGTCCAGTTTTAAATGGACCAGAATTAGTACATTATTGTTTTTCTAATAAGTTCATTTTTATTTTCTTTTAAATTTATCTACAACTTGTTTTAAAAGAATCCCTTGAACATCCATACTTATGCAGAGTTTAGTTAATGTTGACCTCAGGTTTCTTCTCCTGGAGACTCTGGTGCTTAGAGATTTTACTATTTTTTTCATGACTCATTATAAACATATTTGAATAACTATAAATATCAAAAATTTGCCTATCAAAAATTATCTGCATGACTGAGCTTTTTGTCGGCCTATTTAGTAAAAGTCCACGTTTTTAAATATTTTATAAAATATAAAATAAAATTTGATCTTTTTAAAAAGCTTCAAGAAAGTATAGCTGAAAGGAGAAACCAACCAAAGGGTCATGTTTCATATATATGCTTCTAATGAGCTATCATCATTGTTATGCCTTCCTTAACTATAGTCATTCATGCCTAAAACTTGCTCAGACTGGATATGTGGAATAGTGTGATTCTCATGAGACTTTAACGCTATCATCTGTTTAATAATGTTAATTAAGACTTTCTTTCATATCCAAAAGGCCTACTATAGCATAGTCCTTTACCAGATGATAATCAAACTTGCTCACATATTACATTTGACTAGCTAATTGAAATATGTTAAATGACAAAATCTGATAACGTAATGGAAATACAGCATTTTCTAAAATGAGTCAGCAAGGGGATGGACATGGGACATGATAGCAATTACCTAGAAGTCAAGTCTGTTGTGAACCAGGCTCAGGTTATAATAAGAAAAGGCCTAAAGAATAATTTTCAAGCCAGAGTGACTCAGGAAAATAAGTCTAGCCCTGAGATAAACATGATTATAGAGACCTAAAATCCACTATAAGGCTACCTCAAGATGTTGACTTAAAGATGCCCTCAAGACAATTCTTCTATCAGTGAAACTCTCAAAGCCCACTTCTCCTCAGCTCTCTCTCCTTATATACCCTAGTTCCTGCTCCAGGGAAACACAAATCCTTATGTATAATGATTCTGGTGAAGAGAAACCTGGGGAGTGAGAATACTTCCATTGAGCTAAAAGAAAGTTGTCTTTCTGCATCTTGACAACCCTACTCTGTGCATTGATTCTGATAAGAAAAGTACATGAAAATATATAGAATTGTGTTTCTGCATTTAATATTAGCAATAATAATGACTGACAAAAGCTAGGAATTCTTGAATTCTGGATACTTTTCTAAATAATTTGTGTGTCAACTTAATTAATTCTCTCAACACCGATGAGATACGTGATGATATTATTTCCATTTACAGATAAGAAAATTGAGGAATTGAAAAATCAATCAAGAGGGAAAGAGTCAAGATGGTCAACTAGATGTAGCCAGGAAAACCTTCTCTCACCAAGAGACCAGACCATCAAAAAGACCGGCACGCTCCAAGCAGATCTTCAGAAGGGCATTGAGAGTGGACAGAGGAAACAGACCCTGAGCTGAAGAGAAAGGAGGCTGCGAATGCTGTATGGGATTGCCAAGCACCAGGACTCATTCCTGGACCAGAGGAGCTCCTGGGGCCAGGGTGAGTAAAATAGGTGGGGAGTGGCCCACTCTCACCACAGACCTCCAGAATCCTAGCTGCAGGAGACCCCATGACACATACTGACTTTTGAGCTGGCAGGGAGAGCTTCTTACAGAGTTGATAGGGGTGGGACTTAAGCCTGCACAGAGCCTGAAGGGTTTAGTGTGGGAACAGCTATAGTGGAGCACAGCCAGGGATGCCCATCTCCCAAGGCCTGCCATGCTATGCTAACAGGCTTTGGCTTGTGTTGACTCAAATCTAGACAGAACAGGGCTATTTTCCCCATGAGACAGAGCCAATCTGATCTGGGAGCCCCCCTGTTTGCCAGCCTCTCCCCAGAGTCCTTGCTTGGACACACCCATTTGCAGTGCAAGCACAGATACTGAACTGGGGTGCTTCCCAGTGGACACTACCACAGCTCCTTCACCAACAGACCCTGTCTGACCATCAGAGAGCTTCTGCAGATGGGCCCCTGCCAGTGCACACCCATCTGCCGCTTCCCCTACCACCTTGCCAACACATGTTCACAAATGTGTCCTGCAGCTGCCCAACATACATGCGTGGACCACACTGCCCCACCACCACCAGTGCACAGGCAGATCCCACCACTGCTGCTGCCAGTGCATGTGTGCAAACCTCCTCACACCACCATCCCATTGTCACTGGTGAATGTGCACACAGAGCCCACCACCTCACCACTACCCTACCGCCACTATCGCACATGTGCACATGCAAACCCCACTGCTACAACCTCAATAAAGTCCTTTTTCCAGCACCTTTCTCCCCATCAGAATGTTGTTGCCAGTGAACTGGAAACACCTCAGCCCCTCCAGTGCAGCAGGTGCTTAACCTCAAGGGGCCATAAAACAAAGTCATGGGCCTGGTCCCAGGCCCCAGTATTAGAGCATGCAGCCCAGGAGTGCTGAGCTGAGACTTGGCCCCCTGAAATAATCCAAAAACAAAGCCAGTCAACTCAACCCAACTTATACCACAGTCAAACCCTCAAGTGCATGAAAGAATATAAAAGCAAAAAGCCCCATCCAAAGGACAGCAACTTCAAAGATTAAAGAAACATCAGCTTACACAGATAAGAAAGAAACAATGCAAGAACTCTGGCAACTCACAAATCTAGTGTCTTTTACCTCCAAATGACCATAACAGCTACCCAGCAATGTTTTTTTACCAGACGAAATAGTTGAAATGACAGACACAGAGTTCAGAATCTGGATGGCATGGAAAATTATTGCAATTCAAGAGAAACTTGAAACCCAATTCAAGGAATCTAAGAAATCTATTAAAATGATTCAAGAGCTGAGAGACAAAATAGCAATTTTAAGAAAGAAACAAACTGTTCTGATAGAGCTGAAAAACTCACTACAAGAATATCATAATACGATCACAAGTATTAATAGCAGAATAGACCAAGCTGAGGAAAGAATCTCACAGCTCAAAGTCCGATTCCTTGAATCAACTCAGTGAGACAAAAATAATGAAAAAACAATTTCAAAATGAACAAAATCTCTGAGAAATATGAGATTATTTAGAAACCAAACCCATAACTCAATGGCATCCCTGAAAGAGAGGGAGAGAGAGCAAGCAACTTGGAAAACATATTTGAGAATATTGCTCACAAAATTTTTCCCAACCTCACTAGAGAGGTTGACATTCAAATTCAGGAAATCAGAAAACCCCTGTGAGATACTATACAAGATGACCATCCCTAAGACACATGGGCATCAGATTCTCAAAGGTCAATGTAAAAGAAAAAATATTAAAGGCAGCTAGAGAGAAGGGCAGGCTGCCTACAGAGAGAACTCCCTTAGGCTAATAGCAGACCTTTCAACAAAAACTCTACAAGCCAGAAGAGACTGGGGGCCTATATTCAGCATCCTTACAGGAAAAACATTCCAACCAAGAATTTCATATCCAGCCAAACTAAGCTTCATAAAACAAGGAAAAATAAAATCATTTTCAGACAAGCAAATGCTAAGGGAATTTGTTACCACCATACCTGCTTTACAAGAGGTCCTTAAGGGAGTGCTAAACATAGCAACAAAAAACTGTTACCAGCCACCACAAAAGTACACTTAAGTACATAGACCATTGACACTATAAAGCTTGTACACAATCAAGTCTATACAACAACCAGCTAACAACATGTCAGGATCAAATCTTCACATATCGATGTTAACCTTGGACGTAAACAGGCTAAACGCCCCACTTAAAAAGCACGAAGTGGCAAGTTGGATAAAGAAGCAAGGCCCAACCTGTATGCTGTCTTCAAGAGACTCATCTCACATGTGATGACAACCATAGGCTCAAAGTAAAGGGATGGAGTAAGATCTATCAAGCAAACAGAAAACAAAAAAGAGCAGAGACTGCTATTCTAATTCAGACAAAACAGAAATTAAGCCAACAATGATCAAAAAGGACAAAGAAGGGCATTACATAATGATAAATGTTTCAATTCAGTAAGAAGACTTAACTTTTCTAAATATATGCACCCAACACTGGAGCATCCAGATTCATAAAACAAGTGCTTAGAGACCTACAAAAAGACTTAGATAACCATACAATAATAGTGTAAGACTGCAACACCCCACAGCATTTCTATACACCAGTAACATCCAAGCTGAGAGCCAAATCAGGGACGCAATCCCATTCACAATAGCCACAGAAAGAATAAAATACCTAGAAATACTACTAACCAGGGAAGTAAAAGATTTCTACAACAAGAATTACAAAACACTGCTTAAAGAAATCAGAGATGACACAAATAAATGGAAAAACATTCCATGCTCATGGGTAGGAAGAATCAACATTGCTAAAATATCCATACTGCCCAAAGCAATTTACAGATTCAATGTTATTCCTATCAAACTACCAATGAAATTTTTCACAGAATTAGAAAACACTATTTTAAAATTTATATTGAATCAAAAAAGAGCATGAACAGTCAAAGCAATCCTAAGCAAGAAGAACAAAGCCAGAGGCAGCACACTACCCAGCTTCAAACTATAGTACAAAGCTATAACCAAAACAGCATGGCACTGGTACAAAAACGGACACATAGACCCATGGAACAGAATAGAGAACCCCAAAATAAAGTTATAACCATCTGATCTCCAACAAAGTCAACGATAACAAACAATGAAGAAAGGACTCCCTATTCAATAAACCATGCTGAGATAACTGGCTAGTCATATGCAGAATATTTAAACTGGACACCTTCTTTTCACCATATACAAAAATCAACTCGAGATTGATTAAAGACTTAAATGTAAAGCCTAACCTATAAAATCCCTAAAAGAAAACCTAGAAAATACCACTCTGGAAATAGACCCTGGCAAAGATTTCATGAGGAAGACTCCAAAAGCAATTGCAACAAAAACACAAATAGACAAGTGGAACCTAATTAAACTAAAGAGCTTCTGCACAGCAAAAGAAACTATCAACAGAATCAACAGAAAGTTTATTTTGTTCTATAGTTCTGCAGTTTTGAAGGTTAAGTTGAATTCACAGGAATTCTGGTTTATTTAGCCACACACCCAAACCATGTTCTTCCATGCAAGTTTAATCTGCAATAAAGCTGATATTTTGATTTTCATCTACGGGACTCCTAAACCTATCTCTCTCTTAATTCTGAACTTGGGCAGGAATTATGGGTATCATTCATTAGCACTTCCTCTCACCCTAGCATCTTATGAGGTAGGTATCAGTTTTGTCCATGTCTCAGCTGAAAAATAACCTAAAAGAAGTCATCCCTGAATATCCAAAATACTTTCCCAAAGGTGCATTTTATTCTGGTCACTTCTTACTGCATATTAACTTGCTTTTTATAATTTACTTTTTTGTTGTTTGTCTCCTCTACAGGAACAGTAGCTTCTGTGTCTAACATTGTACCTGACACAGTATACAATCAGAGTATATTTATTGAATGAGTAAATGAATGATCAATTCAATTAATGGATTTTACAAATAAGAAAAGTGAAGTTTAGGTAAATTAATAACTTTTCCATGGACACTCAGCTAAAAAGCAGGTAGTATTGTAATATTAGAAAATATCTGATTAGAGTTCAATTTCTAAGCCACCTAATCTGTAAGGTATTCCACCTTAATAATGTTAGTTCTATAAACTATAACATAATGTTATGTAGGACTGAATATTAAGACTACGTCTACACATCAAAATGAGTTTTGATGAAGTGGTTTTCTTCAAAACAAATTATGATTATGATTAAAAGACAGATTTTTAATAACTGATTTGCCTGATTAATCCATCAAAACAGTCACATACTGAACAACATACAGACTTATCAACAATTTCCAAGAAAGATCACATTCTCTTTTGACATTTGAAATGAATCCAGTAAATACCCTCCATCTCAGAGTTTGGTGAGGAAACTGGTGTTTTGGGCATGCAAGTCAGGGTTAGATGGAGGTACAGTGAGTTAATGGCTAAGAATAAAGAGTATCTGAATCCAATGTGCCATAGAGTGAGGCAGGGCTTCACCACTAGGGATTGTGCGTGTGTGTGTGTTTCTGTGTGTGTGTGTGTGTGTGTGTGTGTGTGTGTGTGTGTGTGTGTGTGTTGGGTGAGGACAGGAATGGTCATGTTGATGTGTTCTTCTGGTATAGAAGGCATGTATTAGATTTTTATTGCTACTGTAACAAATTTACCACAAACTCAGTGGCTTGAAATAAATGAATTATCTTCAGTTCTGTAGCTCAGAAATCTGGTGCAAATTTCACTGAGTTCTAGTATCAGCAGGACTGTATTCTTTCCAGAAGCTCTAGGCACATTCTGTTTTATTATCTTTTCAAGTTTCTAGAGGTTGCCCTTGGCTCGTGGCCCACTTTCACCATCTTCAATAGTAGCACAGACGAGTTAAGTCCTTGTCACTCACTCCTACTTTTTCTTCTGCCTCTCTCTTCCACTTTTCGAGCCTTTGTGATTGGCCAGGCATGGTGGCTCACACCTGCAATCCTAGCACTTTGGGAGGCTGAGGTCAGCGAATCACTTGAGCCCAGGCATTCAAGACCAGCCTGAGCAACATGGCAAAAACCCATCTCTACTAGATCTATAAAAAAATTAGCCAGGTGTGGTGGCACATGCCTGTAGTTCTTGCTACCTGGGAGGCTGAGGTGGGAGGATCACCTGAGCCTGGGAGGTCAAGGCTGCAGTGAGCAGAGATCGCACCACTGCACCAGAGTGAGATCCTATCTGAAAAAGAAAGAAAGAGAGAAAGAGAGAAAGAAGGGAAGGAGGGAAGGAGGGAAGGGAGGAAGGGAGGAAGGAAGGAAGGAAGGAAGGAAGGAAGGAAGGAAGGAAAAAGAGAGAAAGAAAGAAAAAGAAAGAAAGAAAGAAAGAAAAAGAAAGAAAGAGAGAAAGGAAGGAAGGAAAGGAAGGGAAGGAAGGAAGGGAGGGAGGGAGGGAGGGAGGGAGGGAGGGAGGAAGATGAATCTTTGTGATTACATTAGGCTCACCTGGGTAATACAGGATACGCTCCCTATTTTAAAGTCAGCTGATTAGCAATTTTAACTCCATCTGCTCCTTTAATTCTCCCTTTCAAATGAAGTAACATATCCTTTGGTTCAGGGGATTAAGACGTGGACATTTCTGGAGGGTGATAAGTCTGCCTACCCCAAGCCTGGGAATTGAGTTTTAAGGAGAACCATTGTAGATCCTTTTCTGGTGTCTTCTGAGACTGTCATCTTTTCTGTATTGGATGCAAGATAAATATAATGTTAGAGCTAGGTATATCTATGTTTAAACCCATGTTCTACCAGATACTAGCTGCATAACTACTTAAGAGACTTATGTTTTTAAGAACACTGGTGGGGAGTAAGAATACAAATATGTTATATCTGCACAATTCTAACAATATGATGATAAAGATGATAAAGCAAACACCCTTCCATCTTCTCCATGTTTATTCCAGCTGTGAATCTATCTCCAATCCTCCCACCTGGTTTTAGTCACTATTTTCGCAGCCTGGCTGATCTAATTTTCTAGTTACAGCCAGTATAAGATTCAGAATTTTATTCATTCATTGACTTAAAATATTAATTGCATTATCTCCTATGTGCTAAGTACTGTGCTATGTGCTGGAATCCAAGAGCAAATCCAATGAAGTGAGCATAGCTCTTGCACTCAAAAGCTGTGGTTGAATAGGGAAGGTGGATTTTGTTACGAGAAGAGAAATACAGGTTATTTATGAGCTGAAAATAAAAAACTAATCTAGTCTGGAAGGTCAGGAAGAATTTCCTTTGCAAGTGAAATTTAAGCAGCAATCTTTGCACATTTTTAACAGGATATCTATCAGAATTTTGAGTGGGACAACTCCTCCTGATAAGGAAATGCCCTGAGCTCTGCAGGACATTTAGCCTACCCGGACCCTGCTGCCCACTAAATGCAGAAACACCTTGCCATCACTGCAACCACCAGAAACTTCCCTACGCAACTCCAAAAGCTTCGTATAGAACAAGAGCAAACCTGGCTGAAAGGAAAACGGAGGAACAGTTGCCTCCAGAAGAGAGAACAAAATGAGCACAGGAAAAGGGGTGGTAAGCAATGTTTCTTTTGGGTGACCCTAGGTCTGAATAGGAGGCATGTCACAGAAGGAGAGGCATTAGAGGAGAATCCAAAGATCAAGCTGGTATACAGTGACCCTGTGAAGGATGCAAAGCTTTAAAGGTGTTTAAGCAGAGAGTAAAAGGATCAAATTTGTGTCTTATCTATAATGCACCTTCATCCTAAAGTATGGTTCCAATTTGGGAATATGATGCTAATAGCTCCTGTCACTTCCATGTTTTTTTTGCTAATTTTTATTTTAAATGTATATTTCTGCTACATCCTCTTGGTGATAAGGGCCTGGACAACTCCATCTGAGAACTACACAACATACTGCCCTCTTCAACAATAACAGTTGCTTAGAATTAAAAGATTACCATCTAATTCTTCTCTCCTTCACTTTTTGCTTCTAAACATTTTGTCCTTCACTATTGATAGTCATGTTCACTACCCTACCAATCACAGAGAAAAAAAAGACAACGAAGCTTAACTTAATGTCTTTCAAGCATTGCATTCACAATTCCAAGTCTTAAAATTAATATCTGGACATTCGTCGGGATGGGGGAGATAAGGAGGTATGTGTCGAGACGTGTAAAATTAGCGATCAGATATAAAGTTAGCTTCTAACTGAAATTGTGATAGATTCTAGTACTATGTTTATAAAAACTGAAGGAACTGGGGCAGTAAGTACTATGAAGTGGTGAGTATTACATTTTTGTCAGTAGTTTATGGTTTCTGGCAGTTCATACTTTCTTCTCTTCTCTTGAATGCCTGAGTAAGATAATACTTTGTTTTAGATTTTTCCCTATAATTTCATGTCGTTTTCACTGAATTTTCTACCTGAAAAATGCTCATTTTCAGTTTTCTGAAAATGCTGTCACCTCTTAGATTGAATTCTTATAGCAATGTCACTAACTGGAAAGAGCAACACCAGTGTTTTTTAAATGTTTAATTTTTTAATAAAATCCACAGGTGTGGAACTCTTTGTATGTTTAGAGAAAAAAAAAGCAACAGTACATGACACAAAAAGGCATTTATCTTTCAAATGGAAAAGAAACACAATGCATAGGTGAAATACTGTAAAATCTTCAAACCAACTTTCCACATGGAAATCAATGAAATTGACAATCTTTGAAAGACTATCAATAGCTATGTTTTCTTAGTATGTAGGAAGAAGTCTAGGTCCCAAATTCATAAGAAACTTCTGAATCAGAAATTTCATTTGGTGTTGAGATGGCATAAGAAATAGGAAGTGTTTTCCAGCCCTAAACGATTGATAACTTATGGCCAAGTATATAATTCTTTTTAAATCTAATTTATGAAAGACCTGATGCCATAGTTATTTGCCCATATTTCCACCATCATAGATGATGACTTGTAGTGTAGAATCTAAATTGTTGTACTGAGTAACAAATTAGTGGTTGAATATGGAAAAAGATAAATAAAAAGATTGTAATATAAGAAGAAAATTAATAGACTAATGCAGAGAAGTCTACATCAGAATGGGAGTAAGAAACTGTTTCACCTTTCTTGTCACAAAAGAAAAAGAGATTTCTTGGCACATAACTTTATATGGTGTCTCAAATATTATATGAAGACAATTTAGAAGAAGCTCAATAAAAGAAAACAAAAATGGTAGACAGCATTGATATTTTAATTTAGTTACCAATGTTTTCCACGTGTTCCAAAATTTAAAAATTATTTCTATGGACTCAAAAGACTCTCTAAAATGTTATGTCATATAACAATCCCTATAAGATATTTTCTCTAAATATCTACCTGTAATGGTTCATGATTTCTACATTTAAGGCATAATTGAATAAACATTATTTTACTTTCACCTTTGTCTCTATTTTTATTTAACCTTAAAATTTACATACTGGAAGCTCAATTAAAAACAGTATATTATGCCAAAATAAGTCAATATATTTATAAAGTACAAGATTTTAAAAATCACTTTCTAAACAAATATCTAAAGGTCTTTAGTCTATTTTAGCAAAAATAAGAAAACTATTGCACAATTGTTTGATAGGTTTAATGAGTAGCATGATTTTAATTGCCAAAACTTAAGTGTAGAATTCTAGTACCAGCAATTTTGATAAGCTAAAATTCTGTTTGAATCAATATTGCATTTTAAATAGACAAGACAATATCAGCAATGGAATAGGGAGTCCCTCATATCACTGCTCTGAATGCAAACTATACAAAAGACCATAATTAAACAATTTGGTTGTCATTAGTCATGCAGATTTTAGATTTAGAGTTTCTCGCTTTGACAATTCTAAGCCTTGAACACTGAAAATGTACTAAGTCAAAGTACAAGTTAAAGTGATAGTACCAAAATGCAATTTCTTCTTTATTCAATGAAAAAGCAGTCATTTTAGTCAGTTAGATAATGATTTTTAAAAGAAAGAAAGAAAGAAACTTGGTTAATGATTATTTAGTGGCTCTAAATAAACACAACTCAAAATTAATTTTGCATGTACATATTTTCATATATCCTTCTATCAATTCATGAAGATCTACTGTTGGATGACTCTATCACCCTTTTCTGAAATAAAATGACAGATTGATCTCTGAGACCAACTGATACAGTGAGTCAGTAACTTTGCCCTAAAGTATCAAATAAACACAAAATCACTTTTCAAATTTCTTAAAGACATATGCATAAATCCACCAGCATACATCTTCATACATTCAAGTAACTACAGGAAACTAGAAAAATGCAAACAAAACAAAATAAGCAAAACATCCTTCTAAGGAGAAGAAAATCTAAAATAGGTTGTAATGAGAGACATAATTTTCCCGGTACTGATGTTCATCCACTCATTAGGCTAAAACACAAATCATCTGCTGACTGCTAATGTTTAATTTGCATCTATGCTAATTAATTTTGAGAGCTGTTATTTGCTTTGATAGGATTACTTGTTCCGCTAGAGAACAACCTCACCAAAAAGCTGTAATTTCTAAATCTTCAATGGATCTTAGAAACAGATTTCTAGCTCATCCAAATAATGTAAAGATGGCTTCCTTTTTGAAAGTTATTCTCTGCTATATGTTCTTTGCATTATTGTGCTCTTACACTAATGCACTGTAAAGCCATGTATTACTTCAAGAAGTAAGAAAATATACAAAGAACAATATTTAAATACACAAACATCATTAAATACAATCAAATGGAGGAAAGCAGAAGGAATTTTTACCTCTAAACAAAGTTTGATGTAATTTTCTTTAAAAAAATATCAAACAGGGACATCAAATTTACTCAGGTACTGAATTTTTAAAAATAGTGTGTAAATACAGCATTAGAGATATAAATCTTAGAAAATCTCTATTTTGCATAGTGTAGGATTCTTTCAGCTGTTATTATAGAAAAGCAAATATATTAATATTTTCATTTGAGATCTGCAAATATACTAAGCAATTACAACGGCCTGTAAAATTCATATTCATATTTCTCATTTTTATCCAAATGTTAAATCTGATTTTTAAATTATGACAATTAAGATAAAGCATACAAACAGTGTGGTGCTGAAACACTAAACAGGAACTAGTAGCACACACAGCTAAAAAAAATGTAAGGGTGTAAATATCAAGCTGAATAGCATTGCAATTAACGTCTGACTTAGGTAATTACATCCCATGTTTGACATAATGCATAATTCTTGACCCATTTTACTAAGGGCTATTATGTACTATGGACTATTCTGTACTCTCAGGAGAAGTGAACTGTGAACTGGTTAATTTAAAGCCAAAACTCTCCAATAAGTTTGATATGCTGTTAATATTTTTATCACGTAAACATTTTTTCTTATAGAAATATCATTTAAGCAAAAAGAAGCACAATAAAGTATAATTATTTATTATCATATTAATCATCTCATTGCTTTTCCAAATCTAATCACAGAGAAAGAAGTATCAGTCTTATTTCTCTCTCTGCTTACCTGAGGGAAATTTTATTTGTGGCAGTATCCCGGCAAATGGCTTTCTTAGTTACCTTTCTGCATATCTGAACCACATATCTAAACAGCACATACAGAATGCGTAAAAGAAACCATGTAATATGACAGTAAAGTGACTTCTCCAGAAGTTACCTTACTTTAATAACATGTGCAAGTACAAAAAATCATTCGTCTTTCAACAAGTTGTTAGCTGAGGTAGGCACATTTTATTTTTCGAGAGAAAATCTTTCTAAAGGAAACTAGCCCACAAAGGCGGATAGCACCAACAATTAGTCACGTTAATAGTCAAATCTTTTGGGGGGAAATAAAAAGCAAAGAGCATACTCACATTCCTTTCAGGCGCTGCCACATTTTTTCAGTCTGTTCTCCTGTAAGATACTTAAAAGTGGTGTTTTCCAATTCTTCAATCTCTGTGGCACTAGACCCCATGATGATGCTCCTAAGACAATACAGTTACAGTCAGTTTCAGCAGCTAGAACAAGCATTCCTCAGTCCATTACAAATCTTACACACTTATACAGTAGCCTCTCTTATCTATCAAAACAGTGCTGATGTACAAAGCTGAGGGAAGACTCTGACAGATTTGCTATTGACTTTGACAGGCATATATCCACTGCTCACCACCTCACCACCCCCCTAAGCAGACAGCAGTATAAACAGATGCTCTGACCTCACAAGAACAATCCGTACATGTGAGCCTGCTACTGTACTACTGACCGACTGAGTACTCAAGCTCTCCCCAAAAGCAGCTCATCTGTTACTGTTCTGTGCACTGAAGCACATCAGAATTCCTACAGTTTACGAGCTCTATTATGCACAAGAGAAACGTGAATGACTTTCGCGCTCCAGAAGAAGCTGAATTCCTCTCTACCAACAGAACAAGGGCAGGATGTAATAAGGAAACAGATGGTAGGAGCCAGTATCAGCAGCACCACCATGAGAAAAAAAAGTGCCTGTTTAAATGCCAAGGTTTTTTTCTCTAAATTGATCTGAAACTAACACTTAAAAATGTATCATCATCTAACAATAAATGCAACAAATATTAATGATAACAAAGAGAAAATAACATCTAAAGCCATACAGAAGAACACAGCTCCACAGGTTGTTATTGCAAGAATATGTACATCAACTGATGCTGTAAGCATGCTTATTCACCTTCTCCTAGCAACTCCACACAGTAGGTAACTGCCAATTTAACCAGTGGAAAATACGGCAGCTGCACACAGCCTGCTCTATGAATCCTTTGGGGATTAAAAAATAAATAAAATGAAACTAGTGTAAATGCACTTGTGTGTGTGTGTGTTTTTTGAAGGAAAAGGGAATAGATTTGTGTGTGTGTGTTTATGAGAGAGAGAAGGAGAAAGGGAGAGAGGGACAAGAGAGAAACTGATGGTTTGCGGCTTGTGCATTTTAGAAGAGAAATGAGAGAGAGTGGACATAAAAGGAATCAGAACTGAGTCGTCTGCCAAGCTCCTAACACATGGCGAGCTTTCTTTGAAACAAGCACAGACCTTAAGTATGAGCACCATAACAGCTCTTGCTATCTGCAAGCTGCTATAGAAAATATACTTATAAACAATATTTCTTCTTGTTTGTTTGAAAACCCAGATGTAGTTTTATTTCTTCTTGCAAGAAAACTTGCCTGTTACTATGAGTTTTAAGGTAGAGACATTCAAAGATTGGTAATAACATCCAATATTTGTTGAATATTTCTGATGTTTCAGACAATGTTCTCAGTACCTATTACATATTACCTTTTTAAATTCTTACAAGATGCCTGTGAGATAGGCAATACTCCTGTTCAACAGTTGAGAAAACTGAGAAACAGAGACATTCTCCAGATTTAAAGCTAATTCTTAAAAATGGGAACTATTATTAACAATTAGTCTTCCAATGTAAAATTACTATGTCTATACAAATGACACTGATGCTATCTAGTAGTCAGTTATAATGTGTACGTAAAAAGGACCTTTGCAAAATGTTATAGAAAATGGCTTCTGATTTGCAAATTATAAGAGGGTAAATCAAGTGAGGCTTCCATTTTCCTTTCTCAGACAAGATATTTCCAGAATTCAATCTGAATGTAATGTCTTTAGCTAGCAGACAGCTTTGTGAAATTAAAACTTCATTCCTATAAGCATTTACCAGAGTTGTCAGAAATAAGTGAATCTTTGCCCTGAAAGTACCAATTTTACCCTCACTGTGCCTTCATTTGTAATCTTAGCTATATTCATGTAATAAACTGTTACCTGATATTTCTTTAATGAAACAGTCAACAAACATCTATGTTCTGCTTTCAAAGAAATATTGCAGCCAAAAATCTCCATAGATAGCAAGTACTCTATAATTATTATTTTATGAATCAAGATACCTAAGTCCTTGAGGCTATACAGATGATTTTCTAAATATGACATGAAATGTCAAGACCTCACATTGACCAGCTTACCAATAACATTGCAAAGTAAATAAAGAATGAGAACTATTCTACTTAAGTATATGTCTAAGAATCTTGTTTCAATACTACAATTCATTTGCCCTTTGCTTTCACTATGTAACTTCTATCACACATTGATATTTAAGACCTCAAGGTATACTAATTCGGTCACTTACTAGAAAAAAATCCTTAATCATTTCATTAAATGTTTCATAAAATAAAATTTTGAATAATAAACTAGATAAAATAGCTTATTATTTAAATCCTTGACCAAGATAATCTTCATCCTTAGGAAGTATCAAAAAGTTACTTCTGTTAACATAGAGAATTCAAATCATTTTTCTTTGTTAGTTTACAAAAAAATTCAATATAAGTTCTGCAAGGGAAAATTGAGAAAATAGTCATAAAAATACAGTAAAAAATGATCCAATTTGTATGTCCCTCATTTCTCATAGTTTCCATTTATTTTGCTTTAACTCTACAGTCAGGTAAATTATCTCTATTAGAACAAGTAGTTCCTTCATTCCTGTTTACCTAATATTTTATTAGGAATGGTGACAAAAATGTATAGAATGAATTTAGTATCTACTATTGCCAAAATGTAATATAACATATACTCTAAATCTAGACTACCTGGGTTTGAATCCTTATTCTTTCACTGAAAGAATTATGTGATTTTTTACAAGTTACAATTTTTGTCTGTTTCTTCATGTATAAAATGAGCATAATAATAACATCTCCTCATAGTGTTCATGCACTGAATGAGTTAATACAAGTAAAGAAATTAAAACAGTTATCTGGCACATAATAATTGCTTAATAATTATTAGTTCTTATTATTATTGATAATATTACTTGATTTTTTTCCTTTTCATTATAGTGTAATTATTCAATAGATTTTAGTGACAATTATTTCCCAAATCATTTGTAATCATTGTTTTTATGCATTGCTGGTGTTCCTTTTGTTTAGAAACTACATCCTTATTTATAAGCAAAATTGTTCTAAGTATTTGTGTCACTAGGTTTATTGGTTTTCGTATTAAGGTTATATTGGCTGATGTAGTTTGGATCTGTGCCCACTCAAATCTCATGTTAAAATATAAGCCCCAGTTCTAGAGGTGGGGCCTGGTGGGAGGTGATTGGATCATGGGGGTGATTTCTAGTGGTTTAGCACCATCCTCCTGCTGTGGTCATGTAAGATGTGCCTGCTTCTCCTTCACCTTCCGCCAAGATTGAAAGTTTCCTGAGGCCTCCCCAGAAGCAGCTATGCTTCCTTTACAGCCTGCAGAACCATGAGCCAATTAAACCTCTTTTCTTTATAAGTTACCCAGTCTCAGATATTTCTTTATAGCAATGTAAGAATGACTAATACATTGGCACCATGTAACAAATGGTAAAGAAAATAATTTTAATTCTTTAGCCAGTAAGCCATCACTCAATGACAAAGATAAATGATGACACATTCAGAACACCAAATTCAGAAAGCATACCATTCAAATACTCGTTAAAAATAATTACATGAGTTAATATACCTGAAAAAAGAAAAAAAAGTAATTAATGAGAAAAATCAGAAACATAGCAATGGAAAATCATAAACAAAATCCCAAGTTAGCATCTGTGAAGAAGGGCTAGGAAGAAATCAATTCAGGTGAGAACAAGAAATCATAGGGATCAAAAATATGGCTTCAAGAAAAAGTGGATTAAATTCATCAAGAATATTTAAAAACAAAATACTGTTTTATTGATAATAAAAGTACATTATGTTTTCACTGACAAGAAAATAATTTAGAAAATATCTTAATTTCTGAACAATATCGCAGACTAAGGTACTCTTAAAACTTCCAGACCAAAAATAATTTTCAAATATTGGAAAAATTCCAATAAATATTATTTTGAATGCATAACTGAACCTATATAAAATGAAGTCCAAAATGAACAGGGACAAAAAAATTAGAATTGTAAGGACATTTATCAAACATAGTAATCTACAGCCTTGTATTATAATCAGTATATAGGAAACAGAAAATAAGGGTTTGGGTCTGTACAGTATGAAGACTTGAAACCAAGGTCCTCCCAGAAAGATAGAAACCATAAAAGGCTACCCATGTAGTCAATTTGTGGACAAGAAAGCGTTAAGTGTGGCCAAGAGATACCTGAAAAAATGTTCTCTCTCAGCTTAGTCTCTAGGAGAGGAAAAACAAAATAAAAGCATTCTTTGATAGATTTTAACAATGGAACTGCCATCTATGAGTTTGATTAAACTTAAACTACCAGCTTTGTCTGAGAAACAGCAAAACTTAAAATGATCTTGGGTTAGTGGCATCCAAGGTTACCTAGAATAAGGAAAGCAAATTTCTTTGGAGGAATGAATCCTGAAACACACCTCTTAAAATTCTTACAGATAAATCTAGTCAAATATGAGCTTACAATTCAAAATTATAAAACACATAGTTAATCAAGTCATCACTAGTAAGAGTCACTAGACAAAAACTAATAGAACCACACCCTCATTTGTTTATGAATATCTGTTGCTATGTTTCTGATTTTTCTCATTAGTTACTTTTTTTTCTTTTTTCAGGTATTGTAATTACCTAATAAGTTATAACAATGTTTAAATTTTAAATAAATAGAAAAAATTATTGGTCAAAACATGACCAATAAAAGATATTCTATTTTTTTAAAGGACCATTCAGGAAAAGGAAGTAAAAAGAATTTTTTTAATTAAAAAAGAACCATTGAAATTACATATTCAATGTACAAGGTAAGAACAGAAAGAGAATTAGCTAATAAGAAAAATATGAAGAGGCTGGGAGCCATGAGTCATGCCCATAAACCCAGCACTTTGGGAGGCCAAAGCAGGCAGATCACTTCAGCTCAGCAGTTCAAGATTAGCCTGGACAATATGGTGAAACCCTTTCTCTATAAAAAAAAAAAAAAAAAAAAAAAAATATATATATATATATATATATATATATATATATATATATATATATACACATATATATATACACACATATATATACACAAAAAAGCCAGGCATGGTAGTGTGTGCCTGTAGTCCCTGCTACTTGGGGGGCTGAGGTGGGAGGATCACTTGAGCCCAGGAAGTTGAGG
Source organism: Homo sapiens (assembly GCF_000001405.40). NCBI lineage: Eukaryota > Metazoa > Chordata > Mammalia > Primates > Hominidae > Homo > Homo sapiens. The sequence goes on from NC_000002.12 coordinate 182,527,495, forward strand.
CTGCAGTGAGCCTTGTTCATGCCACTGCACTCCAGCATGGGTGACAGAGAGACCCCATGTCAAAAAAAGAAAAAAAGAAAAGAAAAATCTGAAGAAATTGCCCAAAATGTACAGATAGACACAGAAGTGAGATTATGAAAAAATAACTTAGACGTCAAGAAAGACAAAAAAAGTTCCTAATGTACATGTCTAATATGGTTTGGCTGTGTTCCCATCCAAATCTCATTTTGAATTGTAGCTCCCATAATTCCCATGTGTTGTGGGAGGAACCTGGTGGGAGATAATTGAATCATAGGGGTGGTTTCCCTTACACTGTTTTTGTTGTAGTGAATAAGTCTCATGAGATCTCATAGTTTTGTAAGCCTTTTGCTTGGCTCTCATTCTCTCGTCTGCCACCATGTAAGATGTGACTTTCGCCTTCCACCACGATTGTAAGGCCTCCCCAGCCATGTGGAACTGTGAGTCCATTAAACCGCTTTTTCTTTATAAATTACCCAGTCTCAGGTATGTCTTCATCAGCAGCATGAAAATGGACTAATACAGTAAATTGGTACCAGTAGAGTGGGGCACTGCTGTAAAGATACTCAAAAAGTGAAAGCAACTTTGGAACTGGGTAACAAGCAGAGGTTGGAACAATTTGGAGAGCTCAGAAGAAGACAGGAAAAGGTGGGAAAGTTTGGAACTTTCTAGAGACTTGTTAAATGGCTTTGACCAAAATGCTGATAGTGATATGAACAATGAAATCCAGGCTGAGGTGGTCTCAAATAGAGATGAGGAACTTGTTCGGAACTGCAGTAAAGGTGACTCTTGCTATGTTTTAGCAAAGAGACTGGTGGCACTTTGCCCCTGCCCTAGAGATTTGTGGAATTTGGAAATTGAGGGAGATGAGGTAGGGTATTTAACAGAAGAAATGCCTAAGCAGCAAAGCAGTCAAGAAGTGACTTGGGTACTGTTAAAAGCATTCAGTTTTAAAAGGGAAACAGAGCATAAAAGTTTGGAATATTTGCAGCCTGAGGATGTGATAGAAAGGAAAAGCACATTTTCTGAGAAGAAACTCAAGCCGGCTACAGAAATTTGCATAAGTAATGAGGAGCCAAATGATAATCACCAAGACAATGGGGGAAATGCCTCCACAGTATGTCAGAGACCTTTGTGGCAGCCCCTCCCATCACAAGCCTGGAGGTCTAGGAGGAAAAATGTTTTTGTGGGCCAGGCCCAAGGCTCCCGTGCTGTGTACAGCCTAGGGATTTCGTGCCCTGTATCCCAGCCAGTCCAGCCATGGCTAAAAGGGGCCAAGGTACAGCTCAGGCCATGGCTTCAGAGGGTGCAAGCCCCAAGCCTTGGCAGCTTCCAGGTGGTGTTGAGCCTACAAGTGCACAGAAATCAAGAATTGAGGTTTGGGAACCTTCACCTAGATTTCAGAGGATGTATGGAAATATCTGGATGTCCAAACAGAAGTTTGCTGCTGGGGTGGGGCCCTCATGGAGAACCTCTGCTTGGGCAGTATGGAAGGGAAATGTGGGGTTGAAGCCTCCACACAGAGTCCCCACTTGGATACTACCTAGTGGAGCTGTGAGAAGAGGGCCACCGTCCTCCAGACCCCAGAATAGCAGATCTACAAACAGCTTGCACCGTGCACGTGGATAGGTACCACAGACTCTCAATGCCAGTGCATGAAAGCAGCTGGGAGGGAGGCTATAACCTGCAGAGCCACAGGGGCAGAGCTGCCAAAGACCATGGGAACCTACCTTTTGCATCAATATGACCTGTATGTGAGACATGGAGTCAAAGGAGATCATTTTGGAGCTTTAAGATTTGACTGTCCCACTGGATTTCGAACTTGATAGGGCCTGTAGCCCTTTTGTTTTGGCCAATTTCTCCCATTTGGAACAGTTATATTTACCCAATGCCCATACCCCCATCATATCTAGAAAGTAACTAGCTTGCCTTTTATTTTACAGACTCATAGGCAGAAGGGACTTGCCTTGTCTCAGATGAGACTTTGGACTGTGGACTTTTGAGTTAATGCTGAAATGAGTTAATACTTTGGGGGACTGTTGAGAAGGCATGATTGATTTTGAAAAGTGAGACCACGAGGTTTGGGAGGGGGCCAGGAGCGGAATGATATGTGTGTCTCCACCCAAATCTCATTTTGAATTGTAGCTCCCATAATTCCCACATGTTGTGGGGAGGACCACTGGGAGATAATTGAATCATGGGAGCTGATTTCCCCATACTGTCTTCATGGTAGTGAATAAGTCTCAAGAGATCTGATGGTTTTATAAGCCTTTCACTTGGCTCTCATTCTCTCTTGTCTGCCACCATATAAGATGTGACTTGATTTCCACCATGATTGTGAGGCCTCCCTAACCATGTGGAACTGTGAGTCCATTAAACCTCTTTTCCTTCATAAATTACCCAGCCTCGGTATGTCTTTATCAGCAGCATGAAAATGAACTAACACAATCTCTTTGGATTTTCAGAAGTGTAAAATAGATTGAATACAGAAGCAGAAAAATATGAAAAGGAAGCAATTAAGACGATTCCAGAATCAGTGGAAAACAAGAAAATTCAAATTCAGGAAGCAAAACACATTGCAAACTCTTACTAAAAAGAAATTCAGGCTTCTGCTTCTAAACAAGATTGAGTAATGAGGACCATCTAAATTAGCCAGAAAGCAGACAAAATATATTGTTTTCAAGCCATTAGCCATCAGGCAACAAGAGACAGTATCCTTATGAGAAACAAACAGAATAAACTGTATAGTTGCCCCAGATTAGCAACTTTGAGAGAAATTTTAAACCACAGTGAAGGTAATGGGATGCCAGATGAAAAGATGCCAGATGAAAAGCAGGGGGGTGGGAAAACTCAAAGAAATAATAAATAAAAGCCTTCCAAATTTGGCAAGAGACATACACCTAGAGACTCAGGATGAATGGATCTCAAATAGGGTAAACCCAAAGAAATCCACATCAAGACATATTGTAGTGAAGATTCTGAAAACTAAAGATGAGGAAAAAATCTTGAAAGCAGTGAGAGAAAAATTCTTACCTATAGAGAAAAAACATTTACAGTGACAATGGATTTGTCATCAGAAACCATAGAGGGCAGAAAGATGTGGCACAGCTTTTTTCAAGTACTACAAGAAAAGATCTGTCAAATTTGAAATCCATATTCAGTGAAAATATTCTTCAGAAATGAAGGTAAAACTAAGACAATAACAGATAAAGAAAAACTAAAAGAATGTGTCACCAAAATACCTTCTTTAAAACAATAGCTAAAGGAAATTGTCCAAACAGAAAGAAAATAATAAAATGAAACTTGAAACATCAGGAAAAAACAAAAAGCACAGTAAGCAAAAATGCAGGTAAATATCATAGCCTTTCTTCATCCTCTTGAGTTTTATAAATTGTTTAAAAGTTGAAGCAATAATTATATCATCTGATATGGTTCTAAGTGTATACAGTGGAATATATAAAATTATTATAAATGGGAGAGAGTAAAGGGACATAAATGAGGTGAGAGTTCTATACTTCTCTCAAACTGATAAAATAATGACATATCAGTAGATTTTTATAAGCTATGCATAGATAGTGATATCAAAAGGAACTATCAAAAATAGCTATTTAAACAAATACACTTAAAAATACAGATATAGATGAATCAAAATAAAATTCTAAAAAAAAAGTGCTCAAGTAACCGATAGGAAGACAAAAGAAAGAAAACAGAAACAAAAAACAGAAGAAAAAACAAGAAAGCAAAAAATCAAGACTTAAATCCTAACATGTCAATAATTACATTAAATGTAAATGATCTAAATGCTGGTCTATAAGAAAAGCACTTCAAATGTAAAAGCTCAAATGGATTAAAAGTAAAAAGGTAGTAAAAAAAAAAAATACCATAATAATACTAACCAAATGAACACTGGAGTCATGATAGGAATATCAGAAAATGTAGATTTTAAAGCAAAAATTATTAAAAGAAATAAAAAGGGCATAGCCTAAAGATAAAGAGTTTAAGTTCATTAAGAAGATATAAAAATCCCAAATGTTTATGCACATAAAAATCGAGTTTCCAAACACATAAAGCAAAAATAATACATAGAAGAGATTTCATGTATTCTACAAGATTTTCATGTATTGTTCACGTATTTTCTTCTATAAGGAGAAGCAAACAAGTTCACATTATAGTCATATAATCTAATATTTGTGGGTTTTTTAATATACTTTAAGCTCTAGAGTACATGTGCACAATGTGCAGGTTTGTTACATAGGTAAACATGTGCCATATTGGTTTGCTGCACCCATCAACTCATCATTTACATTAGGTATATCTCCTAATACTATCCCTCCCCCAGGCTCCCACCCACCTACAGGCCCCGGTGTGTAATGTTCCCCGCCCTGTGTCCATGTGTTGCATTGTTCAACTCCCACCTATGAGTGAGAACATGTTGTATTTGGTTTTCTGTTCTTGTGACAGTTTGCTAAAAATAATGGTTTCCAGCTTCATCCATGTCCCTGCAAAGGACATGAACTCATTCTTTTTTGTGGCTGCAGTAAAAAGGTATTGAATACTGATGTGTACTACAACATGTATAAATCTTAACACCATTTTGGTAAAAAAAATTTTTTTAAAGGATACAAATGTATACTTGGAAGAAATAAATTCTAGTGTTCTATAACGCTGTAGGATGACTATAATCAACAATAATGTATTGCATAGTTTCAAAGAGCTAGAAGAAGGATATTAAATATACCCAATACAAAGAAAGGATCAATGTTTGACATAATGGATATGCTAATTACCCTGATGTAGAGTACACACTCTATGCATCACAACATCACTATGTATCCAATAAATATGTACATTGTGTCAATTTAGGAATGTTTAAATTTTTTAAAAAACTTTTTTAAAATTATAAAAAGCCAGACACAAGAGATCACATATTGTATGATTCCGATTATATGAAATGCAGAAAAGGCAAATCTAGAGAGTCATGAAGTAGATTAGTGGTTTCCAGGGGCTGGGGTTAGGAAAGGGGATTAACTGTAAATGGACATAAGGATCTTACTGGGGTAATGAAAATGTGAAACTGTTCTAAAACTCAATTGTGATGATAATTGCATCACCTGGTATGTTTACTAAAAACCTTTGAATTATATACTTAAAAATCAATGAATTTGCCAGGCACAGTGGCTCACGCCTGTAATCCCAGCACTTTGGGAGGCCGAGGCGGGCGGATCGACACGAGGTCAGGAGATCGACAGGACGGTGAGACCCCGTCTCTACCAAAAATACAAAAAATTATACGGGCGCGGTGGTGGGCGCCTGTAGTCCCAGCTACTCGGGAGGCTGAGGCAGAATGGCGTGAACCCCGGGAGGCGGAGCTTGGAATGAGTCAAGATCACGCCACTGCACTCCAGCCTGGGGGACACAGCGAGACTCCGTCTCAAAAAAAAAAAAAAAAAAAAAAAAAAAACAATGAATTTTGTATTATGTAAATTATACCTCAATAAAGTTGTTAAAAAGCAAAGAAGAGGCCAGGCGCGGCTCAGTCCTGTAAACCCAGCACTTTGGGAGGCCAAAGCCGGTGGATCATTTGAGGTCAAGAGTTGGAGACAAGCCTGGCCAACATGGCAAAAGCGCATCTCTACTAAAATACAAAAATTAGCTGGGTGTAGTGGCGCATGCCTGTAATTCCAGCTATTTGGCAGGCTGAGGTGGGAGGATCACCTGAACCCGTGGGGTGGAGAGCGCAGTGAGCCAAGATCACACCACTGCACTCCAGCCTGGGTGACAGAGCGAGACCCTGTCTCAGAAAAAAGCAAAGAAGAAAGAATTACATTTTTTCCAATGGATTTCAAATATGCAGTATGTTCTATTGATATATCAATAACTTTTACATAATCACAATATTATCAATTCCCATTTGATAATCTTCTGAATCTTAGTAAAAGTGATGGAATAGCTGCCAGATAATGGGAGAAAAATGAGGATGAGAAGTGGAGGGAAGTTTATGATTACTGACATTCTCAGCTCATATTATGGAAAATTAAATGATACTGTTTAAAGTTGAAAAATCAAGATATAGAGACTTGAAGTTGAAAAATCCAGATAAAGAAGTTTAATAGATTAGAATCATTATCAATAGATATAAAAGTGTAAGTATAATTGATTAGAATAATTACAATGGAATATCAAAAAATAATTCAACTTAAAAATTAGGAGGAGAGGACCACAAATTTCTGGTCTTTCAGGGTATAGAGACATCATATAAAGTTTAATGTTGATAGATCAAGGTATCAAAATTTGAGCTCCATGGATATGGATTGGATCACCAGATTAAATAAAAATGAAAATAATTGAAGAGGTAAAACTCTTTCTTTCTGTGCACTTTTCTAGATATCTTTATTTATATAATTGAGGCCATCTGCATGTGTATTTCATGGTTTAACTCATTTAATATGATATCAATGGCAACATTTTATATTTTTTTCTAAATATAAAATACATATTATTGTAGAGAATTTGAACCAGTATCAAAAAATGCAAAGTAAAAAAATGAAAGTCACTCATAACCCCTGAGAGGAAATAACAACTACAAATTAGATTATGATGTAGAGGCATATAAAAGTATATACTCCTTTATCCTTTTAAAATTGTATTATGCACAGTTTCCCATTCCCTTAACTTCTCTTCAAAATTGTACATCTAATGGCTGCATAGTATACCATCATTTGGTTGTATCATGATTTAGCCAATCCCTGTTTTTTTTTCCAATTTTCCTTTGTTATAAAGAATTCTCTAATGAATAGTTTTGCATCTCAGTGCTTTTACACATCTCTATTTCTTAAAACAAATTTGCATAGAAAACATATTGGGTCAAGGGTTATAAATCTAATGTAAGATCTTTAATATTTACTCCAATTTATTTCCTAATCTGCAATGTCTGAACATTCACGTTTCAGAGGATGCTAACTAATAATGGATATTAAATTTTTTCTTTCAAATTACTTACCAGTTTGATAAGCCAAAAGGTCTTTAAATTTATTACTAATGAGAATTAATGTATTTTTTGAATTTTTGTACCACTTTAAAAAAAATACCTGCTGCAATTTTTAATCTTTTTTTCTTTTCTAGGGATCACAATATTTATTATTAATTTGTAAAGATTATTTTATATTAATTACTTATATTAATTTTTGGCCTATCATGTATGATGCAAATACCTTTTTTCTCATCATTTGTAATTCAATTTTTATTGAATTTTTTATGTTACACCTAACTTTTTATGTAGTTAAATTTGTTGAATTCGTCTCTTTGTTTCTGCTGTTGCTCTTTTGCTTTAGAGGTTTTTCCTAAAGTCAATATCCAACACGTATTGACCCAAATTTTATTCTAATTTACATGCAGCTTTATTTTGTTTACTTAATGCTCTAGTTTACATGAAATTTACCTGTGTTTAAATAAAAAACACACATCTAGCTATTTTTTTCCAAAGATTAAATGATGGTCCAGAACCATTTACTAAAATTTTTCTGCTGCCTTCATTGGTTTGAATTGTGGCCCTTATCAAAAGTATTTTTTTATATATAAGTACTGTATTTGTCCCTGAAGCACCTCTACTATTTCATTGCCCCATCAGTCTATTTTTATGTAAGTCCTACAGTTTTAGTAATAAGGTTTTGATGCATTTTAAATTACATTTAATAGATACTATTTTGAAGTGCTTTTTCCAGGCATACATTATCTGTTAATCTCACATTAATATTACATTCATTTTATAGATGAGGAATAGTGAACTCAAGGAGATTAACCTCCTGTCTAGTACAAGACAGAGTCAGGATTTAAAACTCATGTCTAATTCCAAAGCCTGTACTCTTAAATACTTTGTCTTTTACTTATTCCTTTATATCTTGTCATCAGTCCTAAGTATTTTATATTGTATGGCTATTATGCTTTCGTATTTTTCCATTCTGCCTTCTAATCATTGCTGTTTATAAGAAAACTAGTGGTATTTTTATATTATTTTCTATCCAATTAACTTATTGAATTTAATTTTTAGTTAACTATCTTGGAGTTTTAGTTAGGTAATCCTGCTGTCAGCTGTGAAAAATGATCTTTTGCTTTCTCTTTTGGGAAGTCTTTTTAAATGTATGTACATTTGACGGGGGTATATAATTAATTTCTCAACCATTCTACTAACTGTGAATATTTAGATTGTTTTCAGTTGGAATGAAAAATCACCCATTTCTCTGTTCCTCTGATTGTCATGTCCTTGAGGGCTATTATTAAGAGGGCAACGTTAATGCATATCCCCATGTTTGTGTCACAGAACACTACACTGTGCATTACGGAAAATGGGTTTTAAATGAACATTTCTTGGCTTTAGAAAATTGCCACTTTCATTGAAGATCCAAGGAATACTTTTTCCTTTCTTATTATAAACAGTCTGCCTTAAAAGAAGCATAAATTTAGGCACACTGAACATGCTAAAGTGAACAGTCCGAAATAGCGAGTAGGGTCACTGTACCACACAGCTCATCTTCACTGATATAGCATGAGCTACATTATGGCATTTGTATGGCTGTGACTGACACAGTATTTACAATGTTATAATCTGTGCACATGAGCAGATTACAATCTAAACTCACACTTCTCAACTTCTGTGATTTGTATCAACTGAGAACTCAGGAAGTGTGATGTTAAAAAGCTACAGTTTTCCAAAATGTTATACAGGAAGCATGTACTTTCTTTTTTCTACTTAGGTACATGTCATAAAAACCAATTCACATTTAGGAAAATTTTAGTATATTCTATCCTCTTATTGTGTTTCTGGAACAGTTTATGGAATATTATAAAACTTTCTTTCATCTCTAAAACACTAGTTTTCATAATACTTCTATTGTTTCACAGATCATTAATTCAGGAAATATTTATTCATTCAATAGCAGAAATTGTTGAGTGCCTACCATATGCCAATCATTGACCTATGTAGCAAAACCTGATTGATCAGCAGTAAAGAAGACTATAAAAGCTTTGCCTTTATAGGGCTTATATTCTAGTGATGAAAACAGAAAATAAATAGAGCAAAGTCTGCACTGGAGAAAGAAAAAGGAATGTGGAAGATTGTATTTTCCAAACATGGATAATATATTTATATATACCATTACACATGTTCTTAAAATGTCACATTCCCCTCCTCCCTTGAAGCTGGGTTAACTTTTGTAATTCCCTCAACTAAGAGAATGCAGCAGAAGTGATACTCACTGACTTTCCAAGACTAGATCATAAATGGTGGTATGGCTTCTACATGGCTAACTCTCTCCCTCAGGACATTTGCCTTTGGAGCCTTGAGCCACCACGGAAGAATTCTGATTACCCTAAAGCCACCATGCTGGAGAGTCCCTACAGAGAAAAATGACTAAGGAGACCCACGTGTTCTAGTCCCCAGCTTCTTTAGTCTTCCCAGACCAGGTGCCAAACATGTAAGTGAAGGCTAAGAGATGATCCCAGCCATAGCCGCTGCATGAATGCAATATCATAAAACACCCAGAGCCAGAACCACTTAGTTGAACCATTTTCAAATTCCTGACCTCACAGAAACTGTGAGAAATAATAGTTATTGCTGTTTTAAGCAACTAAGCTTTGGTGTAACTGCTTACATAGCCATACCAACTGGAAGAAGCAGAGTAAAGGAATATTGAGGGATAGGAGGAGGTTAGATTTTACATTGATATTGAATGTAGGCTTCTCTAAGGTTTTAAAATTTGAGCAGAGAAAGAAAATGTGGCACATATACACCATGGAATATTATGTAGTCATAAAAAAGAATGAGTTCATGTCCTTTGCAGGGACATGGATGAAGCTGGAAACCATTATTCACAGAAAACAAACATAGGAGCAGAAAACCAAACACCGCATGTTCTCACTCATAACTGGGAGTTGAACAATGAGAACATATGGACACAGGGAGGAGAACATCACACACTGGGACCTGTCGGGGGATTGGGGGCAAGGGGAGGGATAGCATTAGGAGAAATACCTAATGTAGATGACAGGTTGATGGGTGCAGCAAACCACCATGGCACGGGTATACCTATGTAACAAACTTGCACGTTATGCACGTGTATTCCAGAACTTAAAGTATAATAAAAAGAAATGAAAATGAACAAGAAAAATTAAGAAGGCCTGTATATATCCATGGAAAGAAAATTTCAAGCAGAGGGAGCAGCAAATAAAAACTTCCTGAGGCTGGAGATACTTGGCATATTAGACAATCAGCAAGGTGTGTTGCTGGTAGGAAGTAATCAGAAGAAAAGTGGGTGAGTGGATGGGAGAAGTCATGTCATACAGAGCCTTGGAGGCCCCTGAAAAGTCCTGGAATTTTGTTCTAGGTGTAATGGGAAGCTCTTGAAGGATTTTGAACAAGAGATTGAAGCTCTTCAAGACTGAAGCTCTTGAAGGTTTTGAGCTCCGATTTATGTGTCAAAAGCACCCTTCTGTATGACTTCTTCCCCTGCACTCTCTTTCCCACTGATTTGGTCCAGCCACACTGGCCTTTTTTCTATGCCTTCAACATACAAAACTCTTTCCGGAGTTAGGTCTTTGAGACTACTTTTCCCTCTGCCAGCACCTGCCTCCTCATATCCTCAAATGGATGCTGAACCAAACATTCCTTGGTCTGTTTATCCAGCCTAAAATATCAGGCCACATCAGGTGACACTTCCAATCACATTTCCCTGTTTTTACTTGTTTATGGTGTGTTGCTCCTTCTCAAATATAAACTCCCATGGCAAGAGAGACTGTGCCTCTCTTGCTTTTTGATACATGTACAGAAATATAGAACAGTGTTTGAAATAAAGTAAGTGCTCTACCAGTATTTGCTAGATAAATGCATGAACAACAATATCTTCTGTAGATATTATGAGAAGGAAGAAATACAAGGTATGAAAAGATATTGGCATGCACCATTAATTTAGAGAATTTTATTGTTTATTTTTTCTCCAATTTTTTTTGCTTTTTTTTGCTGGACTCTATATTCTTATTAGCCTCATGCCATATAAGGAAAATATCTTCATTTGTTTGACTATACACATTTCACTTTTAATTATAAAATTATGTAAATATCTTATGAATAGATTCTAAACAAGAGAAAAACTTCAATAAATATTCATAGAGATTTTTAAATCTAAATATCTTTGGAAATATTTTAGGCCTAGTACTCCTCTACTATATTCCATGACATTTGTTAAAATTGGGTGAATCAAATACATATGGTGTCAGATTTTGTAAAACTCATTTTGATTTTAAGTGGTAAAAAGTACTCATTCAGTAAAAACAAACATCAACATTATATGAATTAAGCCTACAGTAGTAATGAGTTACGGCCTGACCCAACATTCATGTCTCTGCCCTTTGCTACCTCAGGTCCATACCTAAGATTATGTCAAAATCAATCTATTGTGTTAGAAATTGCCAGCACATCCACACTATCTTTAAAGGATCTCATTTGCAAGATCTTGAAGGTTTTGAGCTCTGATTTATGTGTCAATAGTACCTTTCTGTATGACTTTTTCCCCACACTCTCTTTCCCACTGATTTGGTCCAGCCACACTGGCCTTTTTTCCATTCCTTCAACATACAAAATTCCTTCCTGACTTAGAGTCAGGTAGGGTTTCATAGAGATAGGGTTTCACAAACATGGTTTATTTTACTCATAGTAAATTTCCAAGTTATCTGAATCAAACTTAAATTCTGTGAAATTCATATCATAAAAGATTATAAACAAAAGAGGCTCTCGAGCCATCACAAATCCTTGGGAGCTTTCAAGATTTTCCCTGTCCTCCCACTAGCTGCTAGGTCAAGTGGTGGGCTTGCATTATTAGTTTTATTTTGAGTCCCTAGAACAAACAGTGAGCTTTCAGAGACAGCCCAGGATTTATAAACCAAAGTTCTGAATATCAACCCCAAAAAGGAACATTCGTGAGCATAACTCCACTAGCTTTCAAAGCAATTGAATAAAAACCAATAGTTTCTATCCTAACTTAAAGCTATCTATGGGAATATTTGGTTCATTGTTTGTTAGCTAGAAAAAGCTATAATTTTATTTTGTTATATACATCACATCCCATACTGAAAGTCTTCATTTTGCCAGGAAAAAAACGTTGTGTTACTCCACTACTGTACATGTTATAGATTATTTAGTGCCAAGGATATCTTATAGTTTAGTATGAATAGCCTAACTGTAGTTTCAGTGCAATGGGCATTGAATGACAATGAAATGCATTGTTAATAAACACTTGTAAAAACACCTATCAAATGATTTGTTGACTTCATTGTCAGTTTTATGCAGATATGGAGTAAAGTTCATTCAGCTATGCTCAGGAAGTCATTTCTTTCCCTTCAAATATGTCTCCCACTTGCTTGATAATGACTAAAATTATATTTAGAAGAAAGCTTTTTATTGTAGCATTACTTAGAAATATCAAAATGCAAATAACTCTTGGAGAAATAAGACATTGACCTAAAGTTCCACAAAGGCATAAATTACTGACATCAAATCATTTATTGAAAGAAGTAGGAAGTGGCTGGGTGCAGTGGCTCACACGTGTAATTCAGCACTTTGGGAGGCCGAGGCAGGCGGATCATTTGAGGTCAGGAGTTCGAACCCAGCCTGGCCAACATGGTGAAACACCGTCTCTACTAAAAATACAAAAATTAGCTGGGCATGGTGGTGGGCCCCTGTAATCCCAGCTACTCGGGAGCCTGAGGCAGGAGAATTGCTTGAGCCCAGGAGGCAGAGGGTGCAATGAGCTGAGACATACCACTGCACTCCAGCCTGGGCAACAGAGAGACACCCTGTCTCAAAGAAAAAAAAAAAAAAAAAAAGCAGCAGCAGCAGCAGCAGCAGCAGCAGCAGGAAGTCAGAAGAGGTCATGAGCACTTTAGTGCATGAAGGAGACAAGGGATACAGAAAAGGGAAGCTATTTTGCAAGGGACTAACCTCTCCCACTTTAAAATCTTGCCAAATTATTAAATTGGCCACACTGATGTAGAATAACTACTTCTTAAAACAAATAGTGTCTGAGTTAACCAAATTCTCTATATTTAAAAATTTTTAAGTTAGTTATTTCTTGATTTAAGTAAAGCCATATTTTTTACATTCAAAATTATATATGATCTTGACTTACACAGTTTTACCTTTCTTCATATGTACACAGTTTGTCGAAAACTGGTATAAAATTTTCAATTCACTTATGTAGTTTTAATAAATATAATGAACATAAATACATATTTATTTATATTGCTCTTAATTCACATTGACACAAATACATGACTATGTACTTGTATTACCGTATGTTAATATACATGCATAGGACCTCCCCCAACTGAAAGGCTCCATAAAATACTAAATATTCATTACCTAATTGTATATTTATGCTTATTCCATGCAAGAAAACTCAACTGCTTTCCCTATTACCATTAGCTAAAACCCCCAATATAATTGCAGCAATTATCTTGGAAGGAGGGAAAGATCCGAGAAAGGAACGATGGCTGATTGGCTACAAAATCAGAAATCAAAGAAACAAGATATATTTATATGTAAGAGGATAGAGTTCAAAACATATACAACAATATCTAATCTAAACATACTGAAAGTCACTACTAACCTCACATGATTTAAATGAAAAAGTTATATTTATAAAGACCCTTACAATAATTTTGGCACACCATGGTGATGCAGTAGAATCAGTGCTGGATTTGGATTCACAGGAACTGGGTTCAGGTTCTGGCCCTACTCCTTGCTAATGATCTAAACACTTAAGCTCTCTATATTCCAGTTTCTTCATCTATAAATAAAAAGCCAACAGAGATTAAGATAAGCTTAGATCTATTCCCAGTCTTACCACTTTCCAACTCAGTAACCTGGCAGAAACTGCTTAATATTTCTAGTTTCCTCTGACATAAAGGACTAACCACAGAACTTCCTTCACTAGGTTGTCATGAGGTTTCAGAGAGGAAATACATGTAACATGGTGACCATGGGTCTTGGTGGAAGGAAACATTCAATAAATGCAATATATTATGCTATTGAAGGGCTGTGAGAAAAGCTGCCCTACTAACCTTAGAGTTTTCTTGTGAGGCTCAATCTCTAATAAGGTTTATAAAAACCTATTACACATGTAACTATTTTAAAACCCATTACAGACTGACCATTAGGTCTATATTTGTTCATATTTAATTTAACTGATAATAGAGTATTAATGCTCTGAACGTAGAAAATTTGAAAATGTGTTGTTAGCCATGCATGTTTGCAGGCAAATCTGCTTGTGACTTAATTACCTTTACATGTTAGAAAAGGAAATATTAAGTTTAAAAATTCCAAATTAACTATTGTAAATGAAGCTTTATGTGTGACTTGAGCAGGAAAGACTGGCTTAAGGAGAGGCCCGAATATTAAGATTCCTTTTCCAACTAATAAACCTATCAATTCCAAATCCAAAGCATGAAAATTAAAATCAACCTGGGAATTTAATGTCAGGAATTTAGAAACATTTGCTGAAAATATCTCAATTAACCTATTTTAAAAATTTTATGTGATTATAAAATACATTGCTTTTATTAGATTATTTTAAAATCAAGCATTGCCTTTTCAAATTAGTTATTATTTTATACATCTATACCTATGCGATTTCAGAGAAAATATATACTTTAAGTTAAAAATCTAACCTTAAATATTTCAAAATGTTATATATTCTGCGAATTTTCTAAACTACGCTCAATTTCACAAAAAGATGTATTTGATCTTTTATTTGACAGCTATCTCTATGTATGTTCTTTAAGGCCAAATTACTTTTAACATTAGAGACAAGGCCCAGATTTTCTGAACTGCTAACCAGTAGATGTTCCAAATAAATTTAGGTAAAAACATCACTGAAGATGTATGAAAATATCTTGCATTCTGTATGAATTAAACATTTGTGTAAATTTAATGAATATATTAAATTACATATAGTATCTAATATATTCCAAGTGTTGAATGTCTTGAATTATTTTATTTGTATTTCCAGTTTTTAAATTTTTTATAAATCTCATTTAATCCTTCATAGCATGTTCTATTATTTTATTAGGCAATAAAATAGTAATGCCTATTTAGGGAATAGAAATCTCTTGGTTCCATGGCATATCATTAGAATTTCTACACTACGGGTTTACGTCAACGAATGATAAATTTTTGGTTAAGATGTCCAACTGGCGTATTAAAGCCAATTGTCAAGATAATAACTTGGATGTTTCTCAGTATTCACATTTGTTTTGATTTCTCTGCCAAAATCATATCTTTATCTCTTAGGGGGAAATCACGTTAATGAAAATAAGCATATGTCTTCATGTCCAAAAGCCAGAACTCACAATGCAATGATAAAGGAAATTAGAGTGTATGTACATTTATAAGCATTATCATTGATGTACCTTGCTTCCACATCTCGTTTTTCCTTTGGCTTTTTTAAGAGGCTGTGTTTTTGTGAGTGTACTCTGAGTGAGTCAGCTCAAGGCAGCTGCTCTATTTCCCTGAAGTTACAAATCCAGGAAGCAGTGGGCACTGGAAAGGGTAGCCATCAGAGGAGACCACTCAAATCATGCTTTATACCTGCACTATATATGAAATATTGATAGTGTACATAGCTCAGATATAGAAATATAAATAAGATTGTGGAAAATAAAGTCCATTTTCTCTTAAGTGTATTTATTAATGTTTTCCCAAAAATGCCCTGGAAATGAAATAAAACATACAGATTTGTATGATTAATTCTAAGTAGCCGACTATTCTACTCATTGTAAGACAAAACCCTAATGTACCACTGACCATTGTTATAAGCCACTACAACTTGCTATTGTAACTATATTTCATTAGATAAACCAGATTACAAGATTCTTAAGGACAGGGACTGAGATTTGTTTGGGTAGTCCAACCCAGGGTTTAAAATTAGGACTCAGCTTTGTACATCAAACTATAAAAGGAACAGGGGATGCCTACATTATGGGTAACAGTGTTTTGGTGGATTTTGTTTTTTACATTTTGGGTTATTTTATTTTGAACATTAAAATCAAACTTTAACCTTATTTTAATCAAAGACATGTAATCTTTATGTCCTTGACAAATTAAACATTGGAAACAGTTCTTTTAGAAATTTTTTCATTAAAAAAAAAGATGTCTCAATTTATCTTTCAAGGTCAGTCTATATTACACTCCAGATACTCGTGAAAAATTTTTGTGAATTATAATGTGAGATTTATAATTTAACTGAAATGCTCTTCTTAATAGGGTTTCTTTTTAATAGGATGTAGACTAAAACTATATGGCAATTGAGCAGAGCATTATGAAGCACCATATGGGCTTCTAAAATGAGAAGATGATACACATGGGTCCTGCCAACTCTTCCTCTCTGTCTCTCCTTCCCCACCTGCCAGTCTCCCTCCACATCCTGAATTCTGTCATGATATTGAATGTCTTTGGTGAAAAATTACTTAAGTAGTGGTCTCTGTATTTTTCAACTAACTTCTCTCAGTAATAAGCGGGAGAAAATAAAAAGAATCCTAACCTTCTTAAAAATAAGTGACCTGGTTCAAGTTGCAGGACTATCAACACATAAACTTTCCCAAATGAGGTTAAGAGGTGACCAAGCAATTAATGACCTGACCATAACTGGCAACCAAGACTGGGTGATAAACAGATACTACTGAAATTAAAGCAGGGCAACTTGCTCAGAGTAGCAGCAGGACTAGCCCTGACAGATAGTGGTAAACAAAAGTAATTGAAGTAAAATACAGCTGTCTGGTTTCCCTCCTCTGTTTATGGTCAAGTTTTAGTATCTTTTCTACAGCATGCTTTCTTTTGCTGCTTTTGCTTCCTTCTGCTGTCCAAACTTAGACTTTTGAGTCTAGATGAGTTTAAGTCACAAGGAAAAAGTTGTCTAAAATATTCATAAAAACATGGGATTTGCGACATACCATCAGCTTAGAGAGCTAAACATGTGGCACCTGCTCTGGTGACAAGAAATCAAGGTCAGCCTAAAGGAAAGTGATGTCGTGGAGATAGAATTTGTTTGAAATATTCTTTTCCACTCACCTTCCCAATCCCTCCTCCTTCCTCTCATTTGAATGAGGAAGCTGCCCATTAAAATGTAGTATGCATAGCATCATTTCAAAACTTTATCATTACAGTTACTGGCCTTGCTTTTCTGCCTCGATTTGTCTGTTTTTCTTGATTCTCTCCACATTGGCTTCTCTGATGCTTCCACTTGCCTTCCCCTTTTTTCCTGTCTCATCTTTCTGGTTCATCTCCTTCTTTATTTATCTCCTTCTCATGTGGTGGAAAGAAACAAAGAGGTAAAATTACTGTAAAAGTTGTGATGAGGATGAAAAGGAATAAACAGTACAATAATCACGTCTCATTTTATCATTTACTATTTGTGTAATTATTATTTTTATAATAATTAAATAAATACCGGTCTTACTGGAAGTGTGCTTCTTTTTATCCTTTAAATATGCCCCTTTAGAGCTTAGTTATTAGATGTGCCATGTGTTTTCTTAGTTCATAGCCATTGTATTCACTAGGAAAATTCAAAAAGGAAAGACAGACACAAGTGTAAGAATAGCAGACAGGATGAAGGAAGAAACCGGATACTACTCCCTGTCTCTGCTGTGGCTGGCTTCTCTGATAATGGCTGCACCTTCTTCATGGCTCCGGATCCCACTGGACAATCCCATCCCCTGTGGTCCCAGCTTCTCCCAAAGCAGCCCCTTCCCTGGTCCTAGACCCCACCCCATGGGCTCCAGTGACACACTCAAGCACTAGGAATAGTAGCAGCTCCCTGCACTTGCTGTCCTCTGAGTTGTTGCCCTCTTCCCTGCTCAATGTCTTCTTTCTTACATTTCCAGTGTAACAAATTCTCTCTAATAAATTCCTTCCATTTGAAATATCCAGAGTGGTTTCTATTTTTTTAATAACTCTGATGGATACAAATACTATAGTGGAAAAGACATGAGATGAGAAAGCCTGATTTCAAGTCTTAACTGTGACTAAGTAGCTAGAAAGTTCCGGTCAGGTCATTCAGCCTAGGGTTCATAACATTGCTTTATGGCTCAGAGCTCAAAGTTTAAAGTGAAAGCTCTCTAACTCACCTTATGAACAGACCTGTCATATTAAAACTCTCTGTTCCTCTGTAAAACATACTGACTGACTTCTGCAGCACAGTGAAAGGCCAAATCTGTGATCTTTTTTCCAGGAGTTTATACTTCTGTTTCTACACCGTAATTTATGTTCTTACCAGCAGTCAGTTATATTTATTCCAAAATCTATTTATGCCAGTTGTTAGTATAATTACATAATGTAATTAGTAAGTGACAGAGGCCAAACCTGTTTAGTGACTTTTATCATACAGAGTTTTAAGAGGACTTTTACTATATAGAGAAGCAAGACGAAAGTGACCTTTTCAAGTACTATAGAGTTAGTGGAGAATAACCCATTGCTCCCTTCATCCCCTCTGTGGCTGAGGAAAGTTATTTGAATTGGTTCTCCAGCTCTGGTCTTTCAACCAAAAGTGTCTCCCCTTGTTACTGAAGCAAGTGTTGGTAATCATCTCTTGCCTGAAAGTGGCAGAGTTCCTGATAAGCAAAATACCAAGAAGAAGCAGGAGAGAAGGGGCAGATCAGGAGGATGAAGTGCCAAGAGTCCAGCCTGCATTCCCATTGTGCTGTTGCTAGGATGCACCAGGGTGTCTGATACACACCTAGACAAAGGAGAAGGTAGCAAAGTTAAAGCCATTTTGCTTATATCCATTCCAAGAGACCACTCACTGGATGGATGTACCCCAAGAGCAAGGCATTCTTGGTGGTCCATCTGCTGTGGGAGGAAAGAAGGTAAAGATAAAGCTGAGACTAAGATGGATACCCCCTATCAGAGGGCTGTGCATCAAAAGGCCCCTATAAGGCCCTGTGAGGAAGCAACAACTGGGGAAGGGTGATAGCATTTGAAAGCCACGTGGATAACGAAGCATCGATCACTCACAAAAGAACAGCAACTTCATCACCACCCGTGAGGAGTGGTTCTCATCCAAGAACAAGAGTTACAATCAACCAGAGATTCCAGCCAACTTGCTGTGTGTTGTTGCCCTGTTGTTGGTTCCTCAAAGGGCAGATCCTTTCATTCCCTCTTCTTCCTTGCCAAACCAATACCAGAGGAACAAGTCTGGAGAACAAGAAAGGATTCACCTAAATGAAACATTTTATTAACTCTAAATGACAGGGTGTTGTAGAATTGAACTGAAATAATCTTAAGGAAACTTACTACTACAGAGCAGAAGATATGGTTAACTTGAAAGAACTACCGCTTAAAGGACAATAGAAGTTATTAAAAAGTTCAATCATTTCCTGTTTTTACCTCCAAGTTGCTATTTCATCAAAACAGTTACTTTCACATTATTTTTTATGGAATCAAAAAAATGATTAAGAGGCACTCGCAGCTAACTGAAGTTAGTGCTCCTTCAGTAGATGAACTCACTTTACAATTTTTTAAAAATAAAATTGAAAGTATATTAGTGATTATTAGGGGTAAATACATCTAAAAATAGGATTTAACAAAAAAGAGCCTTCATTAACAGCCCTAGTTAATAACTGCATTTGCAAAATACAAAAAGAGGCATTTGCACATCCTGGGTGCTGGGTTTCCATCTCGTTGTTGGGTTCCTGTTCTAAACGATCAGCCTACCCTTTCTGATCTAGCACCCTTTTGCTGTCCATATGTGTCTAGCAGAACTGTCATCTCCTAAAATAAATCTACCCCCACAAAAAAGAGAACCAAAGAGAATTCTTAGGAAACCAACCAAAGTTGATGTGTTTTAACCCTCCATCTTATGCCTTCCTGCCTTTGATGATGAGCATAAGATATTTTCTTGATGAAAAGACTCCAGACGGGAACTAATTAATCAACGACATCAGAATTTACTTCGTGTAAGTTGTTTTTATTAATCAGGCCAGGTTAACCAACAGTACTCAGTAAATACTAATTAAAACACATAAGATATGCAGACACTTGACACATTCTTCATATTGCATAGGAAGTGTACATAGGCAAATATCCTTTAAAAAAATAAATCTACATTAATTTACACTCAGGCAGACTAGGCTGATGCCTTTGTAATGTAATTTGGCAGTTACCAGAAGGCCCATTCTGACCAAAAATCTCTCAGAAATGTCCTGTGAAAGAGCCGGAAATTTCTATGACTAGAATAAATACTAATATATTTATCAATTATTACTCTTAATGGCATCATGTGAATTAACTGATAAAGTAATTATTTCCCAGTTCTCTGAGAGGTTAGTACCTAGGACAAGTAAGTTTTGAAGAAAAAAGTTAAATAGCCATTTTTATTGCAACAATATCGAGAAACCGAGAAGTAGGGTCTGAGAGAGATGTGTAGATATGGGAATTGCTTACCCTAAAATAAAATCACAATTTTTCCTGGGACTGGAATTCGGTACCATTTAATTCCTATCACAAGTTTAAAATAAACATCTCCTTTCCCAAGTTTGTGCTTTTTCCCAAGGAACTGGAAGATGGAAAAAGATTTGCTTTTATTCTCATCTTAAGTCAGTGAACATAATATTTGCTCAGACACCAGAGGTGAAATAGTGGACAGCAGATCAGCGCCTAAAGAAACCTGTGCTCCAGATTCAGCTGTTACTAACAGGAAACAGCTGGTTTTGCCTTTTTTCCCAAGACCTCCTGAATAGTTCCCTGACTTTCAATTTTTGTTTTTAAAGTACCTGAGCCAAAACAACGGCAAGCTTGATTTTTAAAATAGGATCAGTGACAAATGCTGAAATGCCAAGTCGAAACGCACAGGATACGACCAAGCAAAATGCAAGAAGGAATTTGGAAGGCAGATTAGGGGAATGTGGATCCCAATCTGTGCCTGACAACTGCTCTCAATAAACTGTGCCGAGGTCAAAGAAACATTTGGGAGTTTATTCAAAAACACACACAGACCAAGGAGACAGATGCTGCTTTTCCACAGATTTTTAAGAATTTTTTTCTTTTTTAAATAAGGAGGCTAGAGCACTTCCCAAAATTATGGATTTCTACCATTCTTTGTGGGTGAAATTTTTTTCTCCCATTGCCTAAACCCTTATCTGGGGTAGGTTAGGTCCCTTTGGTAATTCCCTAGTTCATGCAACACTAGTATATTTTCCCCACTTGGAACCAGATTCCACTCATGGTTCTGCATTCCCTCAGATAGGTCATGCTAAGGTCAAACAGCAATTCCACAATGCAAAAACTAACCACTGCATGTCCTCTAAGTGTGTGCAGACCAGTCCTAAAGAATGTTCCATGTGGATAATCAATTAAGTATTTTTGATAATCACAATTTGTAAGACTAACAGGAAGCAGAGATGTGTTTAAGACGTTAAGTCCAACTAATAAAGCTTAGAGTATGCAGTGAAGGTAAATGTATATTAGTATGTCTACATCATAAAAGAAATTAATATTTATAAACTACCTTGAAGTTCTCAAGTATAATTCACTTTGGATTATAGAAGTTTTGAATCCCTCAATCATCAGTGTTTCCATTTCCCTTGGAAAAAAATCACTTTTATGGAGAAAATATTTCAAAAAATATTTGAGATATATTTGAATAGCCAAAAAATCTTGAAAAAAAATAACAAGCACAATCGATTTCTATTGTATGTTTCATAGAAGATAAAGTTAAAGTCTACTTTAACTTGCAAACCAGAATTACATTTCTATTAATTTAGATTTTGTCTCTTTCAAATTACAAGTATTGATTATGCAAAAAGGCACAAAACCAATAATTCTAAAAGAACATAGGAAATTAAAAAGTCATGAGTTACACATAAATCAGGAGTTAATGGTAATATTATCAGCAATATAGTATTGTATTATGCATACAATGTATAGCATACTGAAGAAGGAAAGAGTGAATTAGGAAATATGACTTGCAGATCTCTGGAAAATACCTCCAAATTTGAACAAATTGTGTACTTAAATAGGAAACAAATGCCTTTTTCTGTCTAGATTATATTTTGTTACAAATCATTCACTATAAGTAAAGGCAAAACTGGGGAACTCTCTTCCAATTTAAATAGACATGGAATACAGAAGACAGAAGCAACGTTATTATTCTAAGTACATATTTTTTTCATTCCTTCACCAAGTTATTAGGGTTCTTTCAATGAGATAGTGTTTTTTGACATATTTGTGTGTGTATATGTTTATATTACTTATAGACAGGGTTATTAAATAGTTTTTACTATCTGTATTGTTTAATTCCGTTTTATAAATAGTAACATTTGGTTAAGGTAAATTGATATACAAATGAAATCAGGAAGAAAATCTGATTATTCTCAATTTAGCTATTATCTTTATGTCTTACTTAGCTTTTCCCTACGACATTTTTATTTTCACCTTCATAGTCATTCAAAGTTATTAGATTTTTCTAGCCATCAATGAAGAAAAAGAGGAACATTTTCTCTTGGAGATTCCTAGTAAAGAAGTAGCAAATTTCTGACCCCAGATATCCAAAATAATCAAGACCGGCATTAGAATCCAGGTTCTACCTCTGTTTAGCCTACTAGAGAATTCTTCCTATAAATAAAGAAAGTAAATGTGAGAATGACACGTAACTAGTTGAATTTGTCTTTTCCCAGTCCACCAAAAATTCCTTGAACTCTAAACAAAGGTGTTAAATACCATGAAATAAATAATTAATTAGTTTCAAACTTAGTCTGGAATAGATTAATTCACAGGGCACTTCGCTAGCCTTTCTATTTGGTTATTACAGCTGTAATAAAACCCCATTCTCCAGGGAAATCATGCTCTGGGCAACTATTATACTTCTCTGGCACAGATCATCAGAATTCAGGGCAATTCCAGCCAAGCCAGACTCTTTGTTAGCCTTAGTCTACTACTAAGTTCTGAAATACTGGTAAAGCAAGTACTGGTGATTTTAAGACCTTTAATTCCGTTCTACTGAAGAAAAAAAGGAATAATATGTTAATGAACAATTACGACGCTCCAGTCACACTTCTAGGTGCATTAGACACATTATTGTATTATTCAGGATGCCCTCACTGTTATAACAGACAATCCAATAGTTTTCATGCCTTAACAATAGGATTCTATACCTCTGTGCCAGGTAAAAGATCAATGAGTGTGTTTGGTGGGCAGCTATCAGGAGTTGACTCTGGAATCCAGAATTGTTTCCATCTTGTGGTTCCGCTATCCTGTAGAGAGCATGAGAGTCTCCTGTTGGATCTTCTGTGTCCATATGGCAAATGGAGGAAAAAGGAGCATAGAGGCAAGAGGGGCTCAAAATTGTATGTAAGTTCTGTTCACATTCCTTTAACCAGAAACAAAGCACAAGGATATACCAAACAGGAAGGGAGCCTGGAAATATAGTCTACCAGTGTACCCAGGAAAAAAAGAAACAGATTTGGAGAATAACTGGCCAATGTTTCCTACAATCAGCAAATACAAAAAAAAAAAAAATCCCTGACCTTTAGGAACTTACATTCTGTCTGGCGGAAACAAATGACTAGAAAGAGGCATAATAAATTATAAATTGCATAATCTATTATAAAATAATAGCTACAATTGGGGGGTGCAAAGAAAGCTCAGAGCAAGGTAAAAGGGAGAGGTATCTTTTGACAATAGCTATAGGTGGCTGTGGCAGGGTAGAAGATGGATCACTGTTGAAGAGTCAATCAAAGGAATGAGAGGCCAATTATTGGAGGAATCATCTTTGCCAATAATGGGATAATGTTGGAGAGAGTGATGGTGATCCAGAAGCTAAAATCGGAGCGAAGTGGGGGCTTGGGGTTGTCCCATGAGTAAGCTGATAACAGTAATAGAGAAAAGCAGTGGGTGTCGTGGAATTTGGAATTTTACAGGAAAGAAAAAGAATGATCTGAAAGCAGCAATGAGGAGAGAAGACAATGCCTACTCCCAACTTCAGGTCCAGCTATGAAAGAGTTGTGGAATTAAAAGCAGCCACCACTTCAGAGGGCTGCAGAGAAGGAATGCCCTCTTGTGAGAGACCAGTTCCCCCTAGAAAGCATTCTTATAGAAAGAATGTCAATGATATCAGGATTTTAGGAAATCTGGCACTTTCTGTGGTGACCGGTATGAACAGAGATAAGTGGCATACTGAGATTTGTCCTGGTGGAGTCAGGCTGAAATGGTGGCAAGCCTACAAGTGTCCAGGACATTAAGGAGTGAGGATTGGCAACTCACTCTTGACCCCTGCTAAAAAATCAAGGTAGATAGAAGGCTTAGGATTAGGTTTTCTTAAACTCAGTTCTTGACTTCAATCTGGACCTCTTTCAAGAAGGGGGAGTTTATGCCAAACACAGTGTCTATTTCTATACTCAGAGAAGCTAGAGATTACTCTGGATGAACAGATAAAGTCACAGGGGTGTGTGGTCTTGATCTAGAATGTGGCCACTTTTTGACTTCCAATGATCACTACCAGCCAGCCATCACATACAACTCTTTGAAACCTTTAAAAAATATTTTAAAAGATATGCTATTTGTTTTACTATTTCATTTTTATCACATAATGAACCCAAATATTCCCATTACCTCTCCAATAAGTCATATTGGGCCTGAGTATCACTTCAGTTTTTCACATATAATGCCTTTCCAAACCTATAACATATCTTTCCAGGGCTCTCAAAAACAGGGAGAAAAATAGATTCTAAAGAAAGCATGTTAGCATAAGCAACTCCCCAAATTTTCAGCTCTTCCTTCACATGCTCTTCCTTGACACAGCATTCAGCTAGTCATCCAACAGGGAATTGTGAGCAGCTATTGTACTGGGAACTGCAGTAGGCAATTGTTTGTAAAACAAAAGCTACACAAAGTTTTTTTTTTTTTTTTTTTTTTTGAAACAGAGTGTCGCTCTGTCACCCAGGCTGGAGGGTGGTGGCGTGATCTCGGCTCACTGCAACTGAGAGACAGGACTAGCTGGATTTCCTAGGCCAACTAAGAATCCCTAAGCCTAGCTGGGAAGGTGACCGCATCCACCTTTAAACACGGGGCTTGCAACTTAGCTCACGCCCAACCAATCAGAGCGCTCACTAAAATTCTAATTAGGCAAAAACAGGAGGTAAAGAAATAGCCAATCATCTATTGCCTGAGAGCACAGTGGGAGGGACAAGGATCGGGATATAAACCCAGGCATTCGAGCCAGCAATGGCTACCCCCTTTGGACCCCCTCCCTTTGTATGGGAGCTCTGTTTTCACTCTATTTCACTCTATTAAATCTTGCAACTGCACTCTTCTGGTCCATGTTTGTTACGGCTCGAGCTGAGCTTTCGCTCGCCATCCACCACAGCTGTTTGCCGCCCTCGCAGACCCGCTGCTGACTCCCATCCCTCCAGATCCAGCAGGGTGTCCGCTGTGCTCCTGATCCAGCGAGGGGCCCATTGCCACTCCTGATCTGGGCTAAAGGCTTGCCATTGTTCCTGCACGGCTAAGTGCCTGGGTTCATCCTAATCGAGCTAAACACTGGTCACTGGACTCCACGGTTCTCTTCCGTGACCCACGGCTTCTA
The DNA here is from genome assembly GCF_000001405.40 of Homo sapiens. NCBI lineage: Eukaryota > Metazoa > Chordata > Mammalia > Primates > Hominidae > Homo > Homo sapiens. The sequence continues at coordinate 182,553,132 of NC_000002.12, forward strand.
ATAGAGCTATAACACTCACCGCATGGCCCAAGATTCCATTCCTTGGAATCCGTGAGGCCAAGAACCCCAGGTCAGAGAACACGAGGCTTGCCACCATCTTGGAAGCGGCCCACCACCATCTTGGAAGTGGCTCGCCACCATCTTGGGTGCTCTGTGAGCAAGGACCCCCCAGTAACACAACCTCTGCCTCCCAGGTTCAAGTGATTCTCCTGCCTCAGCCTCCTGAGTAGCTGGGATTACAGGTGCATACCACTACAACGGCTGATATTTGTATTTTTAGTAGAGACAGGGTTTCACCATGTTGGCTGGGCTGGTCTCGAGCTCCTGACCTCAGGTGATCCACCTGCCTCGGTCTCCCAAAGTGCTGGGATTACAGGCATGAACCACCATGCCTGGCATACAAAGATTTTTTTAAATAAAATGTTGTCATTCTCCTTGAGGAGCTAACTCATAGTTGGGAGCATGTGGAGATATGATTACAGTTCAAGGTGTTAAAACGAAAATATGTACCAAATGCACTGGAGGAATTGTGAAAAGAATGATTAACTTGCCTGGGAGGAGTTGAGAGACTTCTCACAGGAGGTTTCATTTAAACTGGAACTGAAAGTATGAGTAGGCATTTTCTAGATGGAAAATGAGAAGACAAGCATTCAGTCAGAGGTACAAATGCACACACAGAAGTGCAGAGCAATCTGCATGACAGAGTTATGTATATCTCTATAACAGATTTAGGGGCTATAAAGAATCCCCGTATGTCTGGAATGGTGGGTGCATGCCGAAAAGTATCAGGAGACTTTAGACAGTCAAGGCCAAAGCCTTGAGCAATGAAGTAAAAAACTGACAATGGAAATCATCACAGACTGTTTTAGGCAGGGGGGTTACGGGATCAGGTTTGTATTTCAGTAGATAACTCAACTTTATAGTGGAGAGTTGATTACAAGGCACAAAACTCCAGGCAGGTAGACCAGTAGAGAAAGGACTATAATACTTAGATGAGACACGAGGGCCTGAAGGAAGGCATCTCTCAAAGGAGTCACACCATTTTCCTTTGACTAAATTTAACCTACAATTCAAAGAGATCATTTGTTTGGAAACCAAATTTTCTAAACTATTTCATATTCCATTTTAGTGCTTTAAATTAAAACTAATTTTAAATCCATCTTTGATGAAACTCCAGTCACGATTCCCCTTCTGAAGTCTAAAGGTACACAAAAATACATTTCTTACTGATATAAACATAGAATCACAGATTCTCAGGGCTTGAAAGTTTTACTTCACTTGGTTCACCATCCATCTGATGTTGGAAGCCTTTCTAAGCTCTCCTTGCCAAGCCATCTTCTGGACCAGGCTTGATCATCTCCAGGAATGAAGTATCTAGTGAGGTGGTGAAGGTGTGGGTTCTGAAACTAAGCAGACCTAGATTTGAGTTCCTATTTCATTGCTTCTACTTGTGTGAACTTTGGCGAGTTAGTTAACTTTTTTCTCAAAGCTTCATAATCTGTAAAATGAATGTAATATTATTTAACTCATAGAGTTATACGAAGGAAATAATGCATGCACAGCCTTCAAACATGTTTTATAATGTTATCATTATTTTTAGTCATGTCATTATTATTATTAGTTTCCAAGGCATTCATCTTCTAATGCTGGACAGCTACCTTAGAAAAGTCTTCATTCTGCCAGTTCATAGAAAAATATGGTTTCATAATATAATTTAGCAAAACGAAGTCAGTATTTCCTTAGCTGTAATTCACCATAAAATTTGGAGGAAACTCTTTGAAAAGGATTTGCACAATCTCATCGATATCTTCTCAGGATTTCAAGACATCATTTCAAAAGTGTAAACAGAGAAATAGTTGAAATATTGAATCTATAAAGCCCTGTCAGTAATATCTGTCTCATAATACTCATATAAACTAAAGAGATGTGAACAAACGTAATCTGTTACCTGACATCACTCCTGGGCAATGACTCAAATGGCAAATTTAATTACAGTAGCACTCACAGTAAACATTCCCTGACTTCAGAGCTTTCTGTTGACAGAGGCACTCTAGACAATAAACAGAATCTTAACCAAAAAAGGATTTTATGAAGCTTTTCTTAAATTCACAACAGCTTTCCATGCTACCTGAGTTAATTACATCATTCAAACACATTGTCGGTGAATGTTTTTGTCAAGATACTCCGAGCGTTTGATAATAGAAGTAAGATAACAGAATCAAGATTTCAGGAGCTACAATAAAATAACTTCTAATCGGTGTGGATGCCACCTGCCATAACTAGTAAATCCTGATATATGTAAATGAACCTCTTTTTTCACATAAATTAACCAATTCTTTTTTAAAATGTCTTTTATGTTATAGTGCAGTGAAAAACGTCAACAATCTTAAAAATCACATAACCCTTTCTTCACATTTAAGAATATGTACTAAGAATGCATAATTTTACACTGAGAAAATTTTGCCCAGAACATATTCTCAGAAAATGTTTGAAATGTCATTATTAGTTATCAGGAATTTTTTAAGATAATATTCTTTAAGAATGTCATTGTTGGCTGGGCGTGGTGGGTCACGCCTATAATACCAGCACTTTGGGAGGCTGAGGCAGGCGAATCACCTGAGGTCAGGAGTTGGAGACCAGCCTGGCCGACATGATGAAACCCCTGTCTCTACTAAAAATACAAAAATTAGCCAGATATGGTGGCAGGCACCTGCAATCCCGGCTACTCAGGAGGCTGAGGCAGGAGAATCGCTTGGACCCGGGAGGCAGAGGTTGCAGTAAGCCGAGATGTCGCCACTGCACTCCAGCCTGGAGACAGAGGGAAACTCCATCTCAAAAAAAAAAAAAAAAAAAAAAAAAAAAAGAGTGGCATTCTTTTGACTTAAGATAATCATAATCTACTCTTGGATGGATAATTAGAACTGTGTGCATTGGTGAATTGAAGAGGGAAACAAAAAAACTCATTGGAAGACAATCAACAATAAAAATGAAGGGAGTGATGTACATAAGATCTGACAAAAGAAAATCAGAACTGACCATATTGAAATTATTTGAGATGGTAGCTACAAACATGGAGCAAGAAAAACCTTTGGAAATAACTATTTAAACCACCTAAAATTTCCCACCAAAGATCCACCAAAGAAAATATGGCAATGAGGCTGAGATCTGAAAGATAATTTGGCTGTTGGGGTGGTGAGAGAGGAAGAGAGAGCCACAGGCAGCCAGGATATCGTGACTTTTCAGCTTACTTGTAAGCAGTTAAATTGGTTTACAAATTATTCTATATAATGTTAACTAAACTTATTCTCAGAAAATGCACAAGTGTCTTAAAAATACTCCTATAAATAAATTAAACATTAAAGACAGTGTAATAATGATGCAAGCACCAGCAAACAATCAGAAAACAAGGAAGCTAACCCTCCTGTTAGGAAATGTTCCTCAATGGCCATATTGGGAATTGAAAGCAATGAGTCCAATGAGCCCTTTAAACTTTTTGAAATTATGGAGACTATAAAATAAATTTACATGAACTTTCATTTATGATGAATGCACTGCCCTAATTTTATTTCTTAAAATATTGTCTAATGTGCTTCAGAAGCCATAACTAGAAATATGACATTTTAAAATATTTTCATGCCATCTTCATCTCAGCCTTTTCAATTTCTATTTCTCCGTTTATTTTATAATATATTAGGTACTTCATATAGTAAGCCTGGTACTTAAACACTAGGACCATAGTACATGTATATTGTTAACGAATAAATAAATATTGGTGATGCAGTGAATACACATTTTCACTGAAAGCTGAATGGTAGAATTGATATTTACCCAAAGCCAAGTATTATCATCCTGGAGAGAACACCTGGAATTAGAATAAACAAGGCTGGGCACGGTGGCTCATGCCTGTAATCCCAGCACTTTGGGAGGCCGAGGCGGGTGGATCACCTGAGGTCAGGAGTTCAAGACCAGCCTGGCCAACATGGCAAAACCCTGTCTCTACTAAAAATACAAAAATTAGCCGGGAGAATCACTTGATCCCAAGTGGTGGAGGTTGCAGTGAGTGGAGATTGCACCACTGCACTCCAGCCTGGGTGACAGAGTGACTGTGTATCAAAAACAAACAAAAAAAGAATACATTAAATTTTATGAAAAATATTTATTTCAGATCATTAAAAATTCTAGTGCTTCCTTTTCTAAATTTTTATATTATTGTCTGAACATAATTTCTCTGCACTGTCATCTCTAGATTATTTCGGCAATCACTGTTTATAGATTCTGGCCCATTTAAAAATGTCTCTAGGCTGGCACAGTGGCTCACACCTGTAATCTTAGCACTTTGGGAGGCCAAGGTGGGCAGATCGCTTGAGCCTAGGAGTTCAAGACCAGCCTGGGGAACATGATGAGACCCCATCTATACAAAAAATACAAAACTAAGCCAGGTATGGTGTCATGCACTGGTAGTCCCAGCTACTTGGGAGGCTGAGGTGGGAAGATGGCTTGAACCCGGGAGGCAAAGATTTCAGTGAGCCAAAATCGTGCCACTGCACTCTAGCCTAGGCAACAGAGCAAGACCCTATCTCAAAAAAATAATAATAAAATAAAAATAAATAAATAAAATAAAAAAGTCTCTAAATGTCTCCATGCACAGAAGAATATTATTCAGAAAACAACTTTTAGTAGCATATTTCCTAGAGATAATTTTATAAAACATCCATAGCTTGAGCAAATCTTACAAATCTTTCATCATCAACTACTGAAAGTAGCTGGCAGCTATAGCAATCATAAGTTTTCTATTGAAATTTTAACTGCCATAGCCACAAAACTTTAGGAACTTTTCTTTATAAATTGTTATAAAATCTGTTATTTCAAAGTTTAATTAGTAAGTACAAAATATGTTTGGGGTAATCCATTCTTCTCCTAACATAGCTCTTCATATTCTTATAACAGTTTGAGTTGAAAATAATTTATCATTGATGTATATCATTTTGTAGGATTTTCTTTCCTGTAAATTTTGAGAAGATAAGTTTGGCATCCTTCTGTTATTTCATTCTCACTGGATGTGCAGGATTCTCAAAGAAACATTACAACAGTTTGACAACTCTTTTTTTTTTAATAAGGCAAGTACACCAAAAGAGTCTACAAATATTTTAATTATGATATAATCTAATATATATTATGGCGTTTAAGATTTAAGATTAACATTGTCATAAAAAATAAGTTGATCTTCCCAAATTTATGTAATATTCTCATTTAATATACATATTAATGGCTACTCCATATCTCTATTTAGCCCTTTGACAGTCTGTAATAATATAAAATAAAACAAAATTAAAGCTTTTACAATCATTATTTTACTTCTAGCATAATATGCTACAGCCATAATGGCCTTTAATCTATGTAAAACCAGGACTGCTACAAGAAGTGAAAGGTACAAGATCATGTCAGTTTTTTCCTTTCAACAAATATATAGTCAACTGCAATTTTAAAACATCTGACAATGGAAACTGTAAAAGTGAAACAGCTAACAGTTCTTTCATAGTGCATGACAAGAGTGATTTATAAAAGCCATGCCAAAGACAAAGGATTTGCAAAAATAATAAATGTGCTTTCCATTTCTCAATAAATCATAGTGTACAGTATTTAAACTGTCAGTACTCAAATCATGCAGTCTTCCATAAAAGAAAATGTACTCTTCCTCCTAGCTCTGTTTGGGAAAGAAATGTCTGCAGATCAGAATGTGGGCTTGAATCAATGTCAACATTTATTCAATCTCAGTGACTCCAAAAGGCTGTTGAGGAACGTTTTTTCTCCTCCTTGCCAGGAAACATATTCTTTGATCATCGCTAATATCAAAGCCTAAGCCTAAATCCAAAGGGAAAACAAAATAGTGATTTTAAAGGACTTACTGTTCTCAAACTTTGAGAATACCTCAACCAAAGAGAGCTTTTCAAATCATATCACCTTAATTTATCTTGACTCCTTATATTTGCCCAGTGATCAGTTTTTTAAAAAACCATTATAACATTAAAATTAAAGGCTGAATAAGTGAAAAGGTAAGACAAAAACCTAATGCAAAATCTCCAAAGTTAACTTTGAAAAGAAGTAAAGGCTGCAGATCTGGAATCCAGAGAACAAGGGAGACTGATATAAAGTGAAATCAGGAATAAGCAGTGGCTAGATTATACAGAGGTCTGTAAACTATGGTAAGAAGCTTGGATTTTATCCTAGGTTAATAAAGCCATGGGAGAGTGTTTTTAAAACAGAAAAGATATAATCATGATTTTAAACCATCACTCTGACCACAAAACATCCATCAGCACAGCTAAAATTACAAATAGTGACAACAGTAAATGTTGACAAGGGTATAGAGCAACCAGAATTCTCTGACATTGCTTGTATAAACGTAAATGGATAAAATCACTTTGAAAACTACTTTACGGTACCTACTAAAGCTGAACATAGGTATACCCCATGGCCCAGCAATTCTCTCCTACATATATTTCCAGTAGAAATGTGTACATATGTTCAATAACAAGATACTTAATAGAATGCTTGTTATACCATTATTCAAATAGCATCAAACTGAAAACTACCCCAAATGCTCATCAACGGTGCAATAAAGTGTATCATATTCACACAATGAAGCACTATATGTACAGCCATCAGAATTAATCATTTACAACTAAACAAAACAGGATGACTCGCACAAGTATCATCGAGCAAAAGCCAGTTACAAAAGAATGCTTTGAATGAATCCATTTAAATTTTTAAAAAACAGGCAAAGCTAACCCATATTTGTAAGAGACAGGATAAGGGTTACCCTCAGTATGGGTAGGGAGCAGCCAGTGACTGGAAGGTAGTTTGTGGGGGAAGAGAAGCATTAAACACATTTTCTTGGTGGCAGAGGGATGGATGAGGAAGAGATAGGGATTCTTTTTTTTTTTTTTATACTTTAAGTTTTAGGGTACATGTGCACAATGTGCAGGTTAGTTACATATCTATACATGTGCCATGCTGGTGTACTGCACCCATTAACTCGTCATTTAGCATTATGTGTATTTCCTAATGCTATCCCTCTCCCCTCCCCCCACCCCACAACAGTCACCAGAGTGTGATGTTCCCCTTCCTGTGTCCGTGTGTTCTCATTGTTCAATTCCCACCTATGAGTGAGAATATGCGGTGTTTGGTTTTTTGTCCTTGCGATAGTTTACTGAGAATGATGATTTCCAGTTTCATCCATGTCCCTACAAAGGACATGAACTCATCATTTTTTATGGCTGCATAGTATTCCATGGTGTATATGTGCCACATTTTCTTAATCCAGTCTATCATTGTTGGACATTTGGGTTGGTTCCAAGTCTTTGCTATTGTGAATAGTGCCGCAATAAACATACGTGTGCATGTGTCTTTATAGCAGCATGATTTATAGTCCTTTGGGTATATACCCAGTAATGGGATGGCTGGGTCAAATGGTATTTCTAGTTCTAGATCCCTGAGGAATCACCACACTGACTTTCACGATGGTTGAACTAGTTTACAGTCCCACCAACAGTGTAAAAGTGTTCCTATTTCTCCACATCCTCTCCAGCATCTGTTGTTTCCTGACTTTTTAATGATTGCCATTCTAACTAGTGTGAGATGGTATCTCATTGTGGTTTTGATTTGCATTTCTCTGATGGCCAGTGATGGTGAGCATTTTTTCATGTGTTTTTTGGCTGCATAAATGTCTTCTGAGAAGTGTCTGTTCATGTCCTTCACCCACTTTTTGATGGGGTTGTTTTTTCTTGTAAATTTGTTTGAGTTCATTGTAGATTCTGGATATTAGCCCTTGGTCAGATGAGTTGGTTGCGAAAATTTTCTCCCATTTTGTAGGTTGCCTGTTCACTCTGATGGTAGTTTCTTTTGCTGTGCAGAAGCTCTTTAGTTTAATTAGATCCCATTTGTCAATTTTGGCTTTTGTTGCCATTGCTTTTGGTGTTTTAGACATGAAGTCCTTGCCCAAGCCTATGTCCTGAATGGTAATGCCTAGGTTTTCTTCTAGGGTTTTTATGGTTTTAGGTCTAATGTTTAAGTCTTTATCCATCTTGAATTAATTTTTGTATAAGGTGTAAGGAAGGGATCCAGTTTCAGCTTTCCACATATGGGTAGCCAGTCTTCCCAGCACCATTTATTAAATAGGGAATCCTTTCCCCATTGCTTGTTTTTCTCAGGTTTGTCAAAGATCAGATAGTTGTAGATATGAGGTGTTATTTCTGAGGGCTCTGTTCTGTTCCATTGATCTATATCTCTGTTTTGGTACCAGTACCATGCTGTTTTGGTTACTGTAGTCTGGTAGTATAGTTTGAAGTCAGGCAGCATGATGCCTCCAGCTTTGTTCTTTTGGCTTAGGATTGACTTGGCAATGCGGGCTCTTTTTTGGTTCCATATGAACTTTAAAGTAGTTTTTTCCAATTCTGTGAAGAAAGGCATTGGTAGCTTGATGGGAATGCTATTGAATCTATAAATTACCTTGGGCAGTATGGCCATTTTCACGATATTGATTCTTCCTACCCATGAGCATGGAATGTTCTTCCATTTGTTTGTATCCTCTTTTATTTCCTTGAGCAGTGGTTTGTAGTTCTCCTTGAAGAGGTCCTTCACATCCCTTGTAAGTTGGTTTCCTAGGTATTTTATTCTCTTTGAAGCAATTGTGAATGGGAGTTCACTCATGATTTGGCTCTCTGTTTGTCTGTTATTCGTGTATAAGAATGCTTGTGATTTTTGTACATTGATTTTGTATCCTGAGACTTTGCTGAAGTTGCTTATCAGCTTAAGGAGATTTTGGGCTGAGACAATGGTGTTTTCTAGATATACAATCATGTCGTCTGCAAACAGGGACAATTTGACTTCCTCTTTTCCTAATTGAATACCCTTTATTTCCTTCTCCTGCCTGATTGCCCTGGCCAGAACTTCCAACACTGTGTTGAATAGGAGTGGTAAGAGAGGGCATCCCTGTCTTGTGCCAGTTTTCAAAGGGAATGCTTCCAGTTTTTGCCCATTCAGTGTGATATTGGCTGTGGGTTTGTCAGATAGCTCTTATTATGTTGAGATACGTCTCATCAATACCTAATTTATTGAGAGTTTTTAGCATGAAGGGTTGTTGAATTTTGTCAAAGGCCTTTTCTGCATCTATTGAGATAATCATGTGGTTTTTGTCTTTGGTTCTGTTTATATGCTGGATTACATTTATTGATTTGCGTATATTGAACCTGCCTTGCATCCCAGGGATGAAGCCCACTTGATCATGGTGGATAAGCTTTTTGATGTGTTGCTGGATTCGGTTTGCCAGTATTTTATTGAGGATTTTTGCATCAATGTTCATCAAGGATATTGGTCTAAAATTCTCTTTTTTGGTTGTGTCTCTGCCCGGCTTTGGTATCAGGATGATGCTGGCCTTATAAAATGAGTTAGCGAGGATTCCCTCTTTTTCTATTGATTGGAATAGTTTCAGAAGGAATGGTACCACTTCCTCCTTGTACCTCTGGTAGAATTCGGCTGTGAATCCATCTGGTCCTGGACTCTTTTTGGTTGGTAAGCTATTGATTATTGCCACAATTTCAGAGCCTGTTATTGGTCTATTCAGAGATTCAACTTCTTCCTGGTTTAGTCTTGGGAGTGTGTATATGTCAAGGAATTTATCCATTTCTTCTAGATTTTCTAGTTTATTTGCGTAGAGGTGTTTGTAGTATTCTCTGATGGTAGTTTGTATTTCTGTGGGATCAGTGGTGATATCCCCTTTATCATTTTTTATTGTGTCTATTTGATTCTTTGCTCTTTTCTTCTTTATTAGTCTTGCTAGTGCTCCATCAATTTTGTTGATCCTTTCGAAAAACCACCTCCTGGATTCATTAATTTTTTGAAGGGTTTTTTGTGTCTCTATTTCCTTCAGTTCTGCTCTGATTTTAGTTATCTCTTGCCTTCTGCTAACTTTTGAATGTGTTTGCTCTTGCTTCTCTAGTTCTTTTAATTGTGATATTAGGGTGTCAATTTTGGATCTTTCCTGCTTTCTCTTGTGGGCATTTAGTGCTATAAATTTCCCTCTACACACTGCTTTAAATGTGTCCCAGAGAGTCTGGTATGTTGTACCTTTGTTCTCGTTGGTTTCAAGGAACATCTTTATTTCTGCCTTCATTTCATTATGTACCCAGTAGTCATTCAGGAGCAGGTTGTTCAGTTTCCATGTAGTTAAGTGGTTTTGAGTGAGTTTCTTAATCCTGAGTTCTAGTTTGATTGCACTGTGGTCTGAGAGATAGTTTGTTATCATTTCTGTTCTTTTCCATTTGCTGAGGAGAGCTTTCCTTCCAACTATGTGGTCAATTTTGGAATAGGTGTGGTGCAGTGCTGAAAAAAATGTATATTCTGTTGATTTGGGGTGGAGAGTTCTGTAGATGTCTATTAGGTCTGCTTGGTGCAGAGCTGAGTTCAATTCCTGGGTATCCTTGTTAACTTTCTGTCTCGTTGATCTGTCTAATGTTGACAGTGGGGTGTTAAAGTCTCCCATTATTATTGTGTGGGAGTCTAAGTCTCTTTGTAGGTCACTCAGGACTTGCTTTATGAAAGTGGATGCTCCTGTATTGGGTGCATATATATTTAGGATAGTTAGCTCTTCTTGTTGAATTGATCCCTTTACCATTAGGTAATGCCCTTCTTTGTCTCTTTTGATCTTTGTTGGTTTAAAGTGTTTTATCAGAGACTAGGATTGCAACCCCTGCCTTTTTTTGTTTTCCATTTGCTTGGTAGATCTTCCTCCCTCCTTTTATTTTGAGCCTGTGTGTGTCTCTGCACGTGAGATGGGTTTCCTGAATACAGCACACTGATGGGTCTTGACTCTTTATCCAATTTGCCAGTCTGTGTCTTTTCATTGGAGCATTTAGTCCATTTACATTTAAAGTTAATATTGTTATATGTGAATTTGATCCTGTCATTTTGATGTTAGCTGGTTATTTTGCTCGTTAGTTGATGCAGTTTCTTCCTAGCCTCGATGGTCTTTACAATTTGGCATGATTTTGCAGTGGCTGGTACTGGTTGTTCCTTTCCATGTTTAGTGCTTCCTTCAGGAGCTCTTTTAGGGCAGGTCTGGTGGTGACAAAATCTCTCAGCATTTGCTTGTCTGTAAAGTATTTTATTTCTCCTTCACTTATGAAGCTTAGTTTGGCTGGATATGAACTTCTGGGTTGAAAATTCTTTTCTTTAAGAATGTTGAATATTGGCCCCCACTCTCTTCTGGCTTGTAGAGTTTCTGCCGAGAGATCTGCTGTTAGTCTGATGGGCTTCCCTTTGTGGGTAACCCGACCTTTCTCTCTGGCTGCCCTTAACATTTTTTCCTTCATTTCAACTTTGGTGACTCTGACAATTATGTCTTGGAGTTGCTCTTCTTGAGGAGTATCTTTGTGGCGTTCTCTGTATTTCCTGAATCTGAATGTTGGCCTGCCTTGCTAGATTGGGGAAGTTCTCCTGGATAATATACTGCAGAGTGTTTTCCAACTTGGTTCCATTCTCCCCGTCACTTTCAGGTACACCAATCAGACGTAGATTTGGTCTTTTCACATAGTCCCACATTTCTTGGAGGCTTTGTTCGTTTCTTTTTATTCTTTTTTCTCTAAACTTCCCTTCTCGCTTCATTTCACTCATTTCATATTCCATCACTGATACCCTTTCTTCCAGTTGATCGCATCGGCTCCTGAGGCTTCTGCATTCTTCACGTAGTTCTCGAGCCTTGGCTTTCAGCTCCATCAGCTCCTTTAAGCACTTCTCTGTATTGGTTATTCTAGTTATACATTCGTCTAAATTTTTTTCAAAGTTTTCAACTTCTTTGCCTTTGGTTCAAATTTCCTCCTGTAGCTCGGAGTAGTTTGTTCGTCTGAAGCCTTCTTCTCTCAACTCGTCAAAGTCATTCTCCATCCAGCTTTGTTCCGTTGCTGGTGAGGAACTGCATTCCTTTGGAGGAGGAGAGGCGCTCTGCTTTTTAGAGTTTCCAGTTTTTCTGCTCTGTTCTTTCCCCATCTTTGTGGTTTTATCTACTTTTGGTCTTTGATGATGGTGACGTACAGATGGGTTTTTGGTGTGGATGTCCTTTCTGTTTGTTAGTTTTCCTTCTAACAGACAGGACCCTCAGCTGCAGGTCTGTTGGAGTTTGCTAGAGGTCCACTCCAGACCCTGTTTGCCTGGGTACCAGCAGCGGTGGCTGCAGAACAGCGGATTTTTGTGAACCGCAAATGCTGCTGTCTGATTGTTCCTCTGGAAGTTTTGTCTCAGAGGAGTACCCGGCCATGTGAGGTGTCAGTCTGCCCCTACTGGGGGGTGCCTCCCAGTTAGGCTGCTCGGGGGTCAGGGATCAGGGACCCACTTGAGGAGGCAGTCTGCCCGTTCTTGACTGGTGATGTGTACACGAAAAGCACAGAATCAAAGAGTCCTACTTTGCAGCCATCCATTACAATCTGCCTTCGATACATCTGGTTGAACCACTGGTGATGAGAAACACAATTTATAAGGGAGACTGTTCTTTTTTGGAAGAAAAAAAAAGAATCTAATGACTCACATGCTATTTATTAGAGTCAAGATTTTTTCTAGTTATTCTTTCTGAAACATGAAACAATCCACTTGAATTTCCAGTAAAAGTTCTTCCAGGAATTGAACACAGCAAACTTACTTTGCCCTTAGTTTTTTTCCCAGGTTAAACAACTCAGCTCCTTAATCCACTCTTCGTAGAAATTATCACAGACTGACCCATCACCATCACTACCCTGATAAGCTTTCATTTGCTAATATTACTAAGAAAAAGAAGAAAGAGACAGGGAGTGACTTGGATCAGACATGTAGACACAGAATACAAAATTTATGGAATTGTGAGTTCAGGGAGTCTCAGAGCTCAGTGATTTGAATGAAATGCAAGAGATTTCAAGGGTGGTTCAAGGTAGCTTCCAGACCTTCTGCTTGACATTCTTATTCTAATTCACTTACTTGTTTTCACATAGGCCATTAATTCTCTCTCATCTACAAGCCTTCCTTCATGTGTCACAACTATGTTCTCCCTCCATTGAACCATAACAAACCTTGGTCAGAACCTTAGGCTAAACTTCTCCTGTTTTAAATCAATTCATTTCCCATATCTATCTACCTGCCATACTTTTGACCCTACACCTTCTAATACTGTAATTTTTAAGTTATATTTCATATAAAACTGGTAAACTTCTTAGTCATCAATATTTCGAAATAATTAACAATGAACATTAAAAAGAAAAGAAAGAAGACAGGAAATAATGGAGGGAAAGATTTCAGCAATTTTACATTCCAAATATATATGATTTAATACCATATGCTATGCATAATATAAATTATATAATATATATTTATTATACATCCTATGAAACAGGAAATAAGTAAATTATATTAGATTTTAAATATTTCTTTCTAGTTTCTCAAGATGTAGTTTCATGCATGTAACTGGAAAAGGCTTCAGTGTTAGTTATTTATCTGATAATACGTCCTTAAAGTTCTCAAGTTTATATTTGAGTCCAAACTTCTATAAAGCTAGGAAGCTGATCCTAGTGAGAGTGAATTTGCCAAGTTTTCTTTCCTTCCTTTCTTAACATTCTAAGACCATCTACCAGTTGTGAGTTGATTTTTCATCTTCTGTAAATAGCAACACTGCTATGGAAATATTTTTTATAAACTTAGCTTTGCATAACATCTTCAAGCAATCCAAATTTTTAAACTTATTCCTGTGAATACCTAGATTTAGTTTACTGTTTACTCTTGCTTTGCAACATAGAGATAATTCATGATAACCTTACATATTTTGTTTCTTATATAATTATAATTTAGAATGAACAATTTGAAGTGTTAAAAGCCCTGGATAAGTCTAGCTTGATTAGTTACTTTATTTATTAGTAATTAGTTATAACATTTTTTAAATGCAGAACATTTTTGCTGCCATAACCAAATTTAGCTGTATGATATTCTAAATCACTCTGTAATGCCATCTCGTAACAATTTGCTATAACATTACCATGAGAGAACATTACCAAGAATTAGGAAATCAGCAAGAAAACTACCTGATTCCCACAAAACGTTTGCTTCCAATTGGATGACTGTGAAACTTCGTTTTCCTGGCATATTTGTGTTTGATATCTCTCCCAGCTGGTGACCTACTGCTCTAAGGTAATTCTTCAGAAAGGGAAGAAGATTTTATAGCAGAAGTACTATTCATTTACTTTTCTGGCACCTGCAGAAGAAACCTGGAATGATATACCTGGCTTTAAAACAAAGAGTCAAATAGTTATGAAAAGGAAAATCTTTACTCATTTAGACATGAAATACCACCAAATTGGGAAACTTCAAAAATATGTCTTCTCGTCTTCCTTCCATTTACAACAAACAAAATCTCTTTACTAGGTTTTCTAAAGCAAATACAGTGATTTCTAATTGCTCAACAAAAATAATGTTTTAACAACTAATCATAAATTTCAGCTTGCAATATTGCAAATTGAAAAAATAATATTCATTTTGATTTTTTTATATTCTTGGTTGAAATAAAATCTAATTTCCCTGATAATGAGTTTTTAATATCTTTTATATAACGTATAAATCATTTTAATGTTTACTTTTTTTTTCTTTTTTTCTTTTTTCTTTTTTTTTTTTGAGATGGAGTCTTGCACTGTTGCCAGGACTGGTGTGCAGTGGCATGATTTTGACTCACTGCAACCTCTGCCTCCCGGGTTCAAGCAATTCTCCTGCCTCAGCCTCCTGAGTAGCTGGGATTAGAGGCGCCCGCCACCACGCCCGGCTAATTTTTGTATTTTTAGTAGAGACAGTGTTTCACTATGTTGGCCAGGCTGGTCTTGAACTCTTGACCTCTTGACCTCATGATTCACCTGCCTCGGCCTCCCAAAGTGCTAGGATTACAGGTGCAAGTCACTGCGCCCGCGCCCGGCAATGTTTAAGTTTTCTAAATAACTTTTTGTATAGCCTTTTTTGTAGAGTTTCCTTTAGTTAAATTTAAATTTAAAATGTAACAGTATTGTTAAAATTTTTGGTTTTTAATCTGTTCTTTAATAACGAGTTATTAAACTAAAGTTTACATTTATAAACTTAAGAAAAAAACATTTTTCATTGAACTCATATTTCTGATTTCCTTAGCTGTTATTAAAACTTTGAACACCAAAATTATTTTAAATTTATCTTCTATCCTTTTATAAAATGTTTTTATAGTAATAGTAAACACAAAGACTGGGCGCGGTGGCTCACGCCTGTAATCCCAGCACTTTGGGAGGCCAAGGCGGGCAGATCACTAGGACAGGAGATCGAGACAGCGGTGAAACCCCATCTCTACTAAAAATACAGAAAGTTAGCCAGGCGCAGTGGCGGGCGCCTGTAGTCCCAGCTACTCGGAAGGCTGAGGCAGGAGAATGGCATGAACCCGGGAGGGGAGCTTGCAGTGAGCCGAGATCACACCACTGCCCTCCAGCCTGGGTGACACAGTGAGACGCCGTCTCAAAAAATAAATAAATAAATAACACAGAGTAGGTACATATTTCTGTATTTATCATCAATACAAATATGCTTAGTTGGTATACAACATGTAATTGCACTCAAAAAATTCATACAAGTTTAATTAGCTGAATAAAATGGCTTAGAAACTTTTTCTTGAAAAATCACATATGTGATCATATATATTTATTTCCTATAGGCCAGGCACGGTGGCTCACACCTGTAATGTTTTAAGAGATTAATCACCAATCTCATCTTGCCAAGTTGCAAATTGAAAAAAATAATAATAATAATATTCATCTTGATATTTTTTACATTCTTGCTTGAAATAAAATCTAATTTCAGCCCTTTGGGAGTTCAAGACGGGTAGATCACTTGAGCTCAGGAGTTCAAAACCAGCCTGGGCAACATGACAAAACCATATCTCTAAAAAAAATTTTGAAGTTAACTGTGTGTAGTGGCACATGCCTGTAGTCCCAGCTACTTGGCGGGGCTGACGTGGGAGGATCACTTGGCCCAAGAGGTCAAGGCTGCAGTGAGCCGAGATTGTGCCACTGCACTTCAGCCTGAGTGACAGAGTGATAACCTGTCTCAAATATATATATATATATATATATGTATTTCCTGTTGTAATAAAATAAAGCTCATAATTGTTTGCTGAACATTAGCTCTGACCTACAATTTTTCATTATGCTCTGTATAAATTCTCTACTCTAGCTAAATGGTTTTATAAGGGAGGCACTATATTCAGCTATGGTCAACCTGCTCCCAGCATTCTGCTCCATCATTCTGAGTGTCCTCTTTATCCTCAGGGTCTAAGACGCTCATTGAGCTCCTTGGGCGTCAAGCAGTAGGATGGTAGAAGGAGAAAAGAAGAGCAAACTTCCTCTCTTTAACGAGACTTTCTCAAAGTCCCACAGAATGACACAACACTTTGTGCTTATATTTCACTGGCAAAAGCAGATTACTTTGATTAACCTGGTTTCAAAGTAGAAATGGAAAACATAGTCTTTTATCTGGTTACATGGCTGCTCTGAAATAAAACTGAAGTTCAGCAATTGAGGGAGAGATGAGAATGGATGTTGGAGCTAACAATTAACAATCTTCTGCCATTTTTATTTGAATAAGCTAGATTCCCATTAACATCTTGGTTCAATACATTTTCCTTTCTTAAAAACCTTCTTTCGATACTACTCTTACTGAAGTTCTAGCCTTTCTTCAATGGCCAGTGTAGTTTCTAGTTCTTCTTAAGTGTTTTCCAACTGTCCCAGACCTCATGCAAAACTCCTACAGCATTTTTTCAATCTATACCACTTGTGATATTCCCAAGGTGAATTTGCTTCTGCATCCTGTGCTGTGTTCCCAATCATGTCTGAGCTTCATAAAATCAGAGACCATGCCTTTTGCTTCCTTGCTTCCCTGGGGTTTGGGGACACAAAATTGTCTCTATCTTATTCTACAAGAGATTTGAGGTGGTTTACGTAAAACATTCAAAGGGGAGATAAAATGTTAGTAAAAATCTGGAGCAGGGAAAATACAACCTGAAATAGGAAGCCAAGACATAAAGAGAAGGGAAGTAGAGAGTATAAAATAGAAAAATAAAATAGAAAAATGCAGACTGTAAGAACCTACTTTAAAACATTTTTAATACTGAGCTTCATATTTGACTCTAAGACACATATTTGACTAAACTAAATATGTTATTCCTGGTAACCAAAGTGAAAGAGAAATAGAGACAGTTGTAAATGACTGTTGAAAAAGGCAGGGAGATTATCAGTGAGAGCAAATCCCTTTCTTATCACTAAATTTTAAAATATGTTCTTCACTCAGGTCTTTACAATGTGAGACAAAGTAATACAGTAGACAAAGCCCTCAGTAGCATTGTCATGTCAAATACAGCGACAAATCTATGAAGTTGTTTCTTAGAGCATACACCAATAAAAGAAAGGCCTGGCATCAGACACAGTAATGAAGTCTATTTTAGAAACGGTCAGTGTTCAATATGATCATTTTCTTATTGTTTAAAATAGGGTAAAAAGGAAACCTAAAATAATTGGAGCAATATATGTCCTTCAGTCATTAATACCTAATGCTTTCTTCATCTTGCTTCTGAGTTGGGCCAGATAGTGGAGAGCTTAAGGATTTGTGTATCCATATATTAGACATGAAAAGCTGTATGAGAAAATGGCACGGGATAGAGATAAAGGCACTTGTTGCCTGTGGAGCACTGGGTAAGTCATTTGACATCTCTTTGCTTTAATTTCCTCATCTGTAAAATGAGACTAATAATTGTACCTAGCTCATTGAGTTGATATGGATATTATAACAAAATCATTCGTAAGGTTCTTAGAGCAACAGCTGGCAACAGCAACTGCTATAAAATAAGTGGCTAATTCATTTTAAGTAGATGCTAATGTTTAAATACTCATATGAAGATTAGAAAGCTGACTGTAGCTTTTATTTTAATGGGTGCCAACAATTTATCCTTGAATGCTTCCTGATTATGAGAAGAATGGTAAGAGCTATTTTCATGGATGAAACTGAAATTTTTAGTTTGCAATTCAAACCTTTAAGATCATGTTTTTCATATGCTTTCTTTTAAAATAGGGGTCATTGAAATATCACCAAGAGGAAGAGAATGAAAAAAGAATAATGTAAATACCCTCATTATTATTCTACCAATCAAATCATAGAAGAGATGATAGGACTGGACAAAGAGAATTTCAAGAAAATAGCATAAAATGATTACCACAAACTTTGAGACTTTGGAGGTTTGTTAAGCCTCTTATTTTCTAATTCTTTGTCTAAAGTGAGTATGGATCTGTGAAGGCAAATGTCATGAATTATAAGGAAGCTGATGTCTCTCTCTACATCATTGTTAAAATTAAAAATTGGTAAAATACAAGAACTGCTTATTGCTGGATTAAAGATAACATTCAATGGCACTTTCCTGTTATGTGAGAGCAAAATAGGATGCTAACTACTAAATTAAACAATAAGTTTATATTTAAAAATAATAATAATAATAATAATGTCAATCATAGAAAATGTTTTAAATGCCAGTAAATCTGATTTCCGAGAGTAGCAAAAAAAGCTCAAATAACTTTCAGGTCTCCGGTGTAGTAGCAACTTTTCAAGAACAGTATCATGATCCATTATGCCAGCAGAATTCTAAATCTACAACACAGCAGTCACTCAACCATGTCTCATTATCCAGAAAAGGTCCTTTTAAAAATTGACCTTACTCTATGTTCACTTCCTAAGAAAAGCTAACCATGTGGCAAAGTCATCTTTGTGATGACCTCATGACAGCCCATAGCTTATTTCTCTTAGAACTGAAGTGTCAGCTAACTCCCCTTAGAAAGATGTTTTCTAACTGAACTATAATTCCTGAGAGGCAGAGACTTTTTTTGGGTGGTTTTATGTCTCTACAGATCCAGGAACTGACACTGTGCCTGACATTGAGCAAATGTTCAATATTTGTTTGTTATTGAAAGAATGGAAGTCGGGAGAATGTCTTCTTAGGAGTGTGTTTTATGTGCTTATACGAAGCCCATTTTGCATGAACTGGTGAGGTAGAAGACAAGGGAAGGAAGAGCTTTCACTAAAGAAGAATGAGGAGAAAATTCATACAATAATCTCTCCTCTTCTGGCAATCTAGGAGAACACTCTTCTGATATAACTCTGCAGGAAAACAGGTACAGGAGGAAGGAAAGAGAAGAAAATCATCCACTATTCCTTTAAACAAACTGGCTCTTTCTTCTCATGGTTCCAAGTTTGTTACCTTAAATCACAATCACTATAAACCAGTTTAGAAAAGTATGACAATAATTACTATCCAATTCCTATCAGCCCTGGACTTGCTAGGAAATTTTCTACTTCATTGTAAAACCTCTTGCTAAACATTTATAAGGCCTACAGTGTTTTAAAAGTGAAAGATAGGCCAGGCGCGGTGGCTCACGCGAGTAATTCCAGCTGAGGCGGGCGGATCACGAGGTCAGGAGATCGAGACCATCCTGGCTAACACCATGAAACCCCGTCTCTACTAAAAATACAAAAAATTAGCCGGACATGGTGGTGGGCGCCTGTAGTCCCAGCTACTCGGGAGGTGAGGCAGGAGAATGGTGTGAACCCGGGAGGCGGAGCTTGCAGTGAGCCAAGATTGCGCCACTGCACTCCAGTCTGGGCGACAGAGCGAGACTCTGTCTCAAAAAAAAAAAAAAAAAAAAAGTGAAAGATAAATCTTATTTGCCACCACTAGAGGAGACAACAGTGCCCAATCTTTACTCTAGAAAGTGATAACTAAAATGAAAGAATTCAACATCTAACTTTCCTTTTTAGAGGAATTCTAATTCATCTCTGTTTTTAAATCCCCAATGAAATAATGATTTAATTAGACCAAAGAATGCTAAAGCCATTTGGGGTAAGGCTGGTGAGAAATGGGCTCTGCCTCGCACGTTATTCTATAGACTGCTTGGCAAATACCTGATACCGTTTACAATGTAGTTTATGACTACATTGTAATGACCCTCTCTTAACCCACTGATCAAGCTTAGCAAACTGTGGGAGGAAAACCTGCTTTCATGTAACTGTTGGGTGTAAAATATAAAGACATCACTGATCCTGTCAAAAATGTTTCATCTGAATCTCACTGAGGCTTTGGGACTAACTTCCAGATTGACAGAAATAGAGGACAGAGAGAAACAAGCTGAACGATGCCATAAGGAAATCATTTTTTAAAAAAAATACAGAATGTGGGACATTTCTCAAGACAGCTATACTAGTCTCTTCAAAAAGCTAATTTCACAGGGAAAAACAAACGAGGGGCTATCACTAAACTAGGACAGAATCTAAAGGGACGCAACAACAAAATGCAATGCAGGAATCTTAATAGATCCTGGTTTGAAAAATTTGTCTATTAAAGACATTTAGGGGACAGATGATGATATTCATATATTAGTGAGGAATATACGACATTAGCAAATCGTTAGTAATTTCTTAGTTATAATGGAATTGTAACTATGTATAATTTTGTTCTTAGGAAATGCAGGCTAGAATATTTAGGTAAAGGGTGATGATCTCTGCAATTTATTTTAAACGATTCAGCAAAAATATACTTTCATATAATATATAAAATTCTAGTAATATCAATCGGGGTTCTCTAAAGGGACAGAATAGGATATATATATTTATATATTTATATATACATATGTATATATATTAATATATATACATATGTATATTTATATATTATATATATTAATATATACATATGTATATTTATATATTATATATATTTATATATTTTTTTATACACACACACACACACACAAACATATATATATACGGAGTTTATTAAGTGTTAACTTACAAGGCCCCACGATAGGCTGTCTGCAAGCTGAGGAGCAAAGAAAGCCAATCCAAGTCCCAAAGGTGAAGAACGTGGAGTCTGATGTGTGAGGGCAGGAAGCATCCAGCACGGGAGAAAGATGTAGGCTGGGAGGCTAGGCCAGTCTCTCCTTTTCATGTTTTTCTGCCTGCTTTATATCCGCTGGCAGCTGATTAAAAGGTGCCCATCCAGATTAAGGGTGGGTTTGCCTTCTCCAGCCCACTGACTCAAATGTCAATCTCCTTTGGCAACACCCTCACAGACACACTCAGGGTCGATGCTTTACATCCTTCAATCCAATCAAGTTGACACTCAGTATTAACAACCACAAGTCCAACCCTTGTCAACTTGAACCCATACACATCTCCTGAGATCATACATAATCTTCAAATAAAGACAATAATGTCATAATTACACCTCACATAATACAACTACCCTTTGTACAACCAGAAACGCACCAATCCCCAACCCAAATACTATTACATAAAGTTAACAATACTTAAATGCTGATATGAAGTTGATAAATCTTATGTCAAATGATAAAGAAAAAAATATTTTCTTAGTACAAGCGTATACATGCACAAACATGTTTTTAACAAAAGGAGGAAATACTCATGACAATCACAGTCTACGTTTTTTTTGTTTGTTTGTTTTGTTTTTTGAGACAGAGTCTCACTCTGTTGCCTAGGCTGGAGTGCATTGGCACAACCTCGGCTCACTGTAAGCTCTGCCTCCAGTTTCAAGTGATTCTCCTGCCTCAGCCTCCCAAGTAGCTGGGACTACAGGTACACACCACCATGCCCAGCTAATTTTTGTATTTTTTAGTAGAGACGGGGTTTCACTATGTTGGCCAGGCTGGTCTTGAACTCCTGACCTCATGATCTGCCCACCTCAGCCTCCCAAGGTGCTGGAATTACAAGCATGAGCCACCGTGCCTGGCCTGAGCCACCACTGTGCCCAGCCTACAGTCTCCGTTTCTGCAGCTGGTCACATGGTTGTAGCTGGTACTGATGACTACCTTCTTCTACGACCCATTCTGTATTCCCTTTGCTTTAAGCAAGCACCTCAGCAGGTCATGGTTTTTTTCCTGGTGGAATGATCCAAACCTTCATTCCTGAGGGGTCTGAGACACTTGTGGTCCTGCCTGGATTGGGCTGTTGTCGTTTCCCATTGACCTTAATCACAGAGTATGATAATACTAAAAGACACCCTAATTGATCTCCTGTATTCCACGAATTCTCTTCCTTACCTCCATTGTGGAGGAGTACACTGATTTCATACTGATAGTCTGGGTCAATCACCCCAGCCAACACTATAACTCCCTTCTTAGCCTGTTGACTTAAAGATAGGAGGAGCCCAAAGTGTCCAGGTGGCAATCTTAACTTCTAGTTTAATGGAATAATTGTTGTGACTCCTGGTGGCAATGTTCCTTCCTCTGGAACTAAGACCTCTAGGCCAGCAGAACATAATGCCACAGGAACAGGAAGCAAAAATTTTGCTAGGGGGTGATGGTGAGTGGTGCCACTTCCACTTCTGCCCTTTGATTCCTGGACCCATGAATCCTGGCTATGGGAGAAACAATACCAGGGTCTGCCAGCCTAGAGGTCTTAGTTCCAGGGGAGGAACGCTGCCACCAGGAGACACAATTATTCCATTATGTATCTATATATATATAGATATATATAAAAACTTAATACTACATATAGTATTAATAATATATTATATATTATAATTATTAATAATTAGTATTATTAATTATTAATTACTTAGTCTTTGCTCCTCATCTTGCAGAGAGCCTATTGTGGGACCTTGTGATCATATAAGTTAATACTTTATATATATATAAAGTTAATACTATATATAGTATCATATTATTATACTATATATAGTATTAATATATTATAATATATATTATTAATACTAATACTAATTAATTAATTAGTACTATATTAAGAACACACTAGGTGCTGTATATACATTATCTGATTTGCTTTTTAAAAATTGTGATAAAATGCATATAACAAACTTTTTTATCTTAACTACTTTTGAGTGTACAGTTCAGTGGCCTTAATAAATTCAAATTGTCATATAATCATTACCACCATTCGTCTACAGAACTCTTTTCATCTTGCAAAACTGAAACTCTGCACCCATGAATCCAAAAGTCTCCATTCCTCTTTTCCCTAAGCACCTAGTAACCACCCTTCTACTTTACGTCTCTATGAATTTGACTACTGTAGGTACCTCTTACAAGTAGAATGGCACCATATTTGTCTTTTTATGACTGCTTGTTTCACTTAGCAAAATGTTCTCAAGATTCATCCTTGTTGTAGAATATGTTAGTATTCATTTCTTTTTAAGACTGAATAATATTCCTTTGTATGTATAGGCCACATTTTTCTTATCCATTCATCTACCAACGAACACTTGTGTGGCTTCCACTTTTCTGGCTATTGTGAATATTGTGGCTATGAACATCAGTGTACAAATATTTCTTCAAGATCTTGCTTTCAACTCTTTTGTGTATATAAACAGAAGTGAAATTGCTGGATTATATGGTACTTCTAATTTTAATTTTTTGAGGAACCACCATACTGTTTTCCACAGTGGCTACACCATTTTATATCCCGACCAACAGTACACAGGGGTTCCAATTTCTCTAAATCTTGCCAAAATCTGTTATTTTGTTTTGTGTTTTTTATAGTAGCCATCCCAATTAAAGCCATTAAAACCACTGATATCACCAGTAGATAGAAGATGGTATCAGTGGTTTTTATGACTTCAATCGACATTTCTGTAATGATTGGTGATTATAAGCATCTTTTCATATATATCTTAAGTAGAAAAATGTCTCTTCAAGTTTTTGCCCATTTTTATTTGGTTGTTTGCTCTTTGTCCTTGCATTATAAAGGTTATTTATATATTCTGAATATTAACCATATCAGATATACGATTTGCAAATATTTTTTCCAATTCCATGAGTTGCTTTCTCTATTGATTGTATTATTTGATGCACAGAAGTTTTTAATTTCAATGTAGTTTAATTGATCATTTTTTCTTTTGCTACTTGATTTACTTTTCATATTACTTTGAGAGATGTATATTTTAGCCCAATTTTATACAGAAAGAATCTGAAGCTTAGAATATAATTAACTTGGCCAAGTCTACACTACCATTATGAGGTGAAGCCGAGTTTCAAATTCAGTTCCATCTGACATCTCTATAAGCCATGCTGCAGTACTAATTTAAATATTCATATTGTTACCAAATTAAGAATAATTAATTAGAATAAACTTTCTGTCCCATCCTGAATTTGCAGATTTGTCAGTTCTACAAATATAGAGTCTGATTAAATTGATTAAGAGAAACTCTTTCCCCCAGATGGCAAAGCTCGGACAGCCAGATGTCTTAGATATTGTATTCTTTGACATGTGAACTGCTTAGAAACAGAGAAAGATAAATAGTCACACAAGACTTCTGACAGAATGTCACTGTTTAGAATAACTAAAGCAAGAGGTGAAGGGGTCAAACATGATAATCAGGGAATGCTGAATGTGGCAGCAGGTCCGATGTGTGAGATCACCTCTAAAATTGCACTCATAGAATTGCATTCATAAAATTGCACTTACAGAATTGCCAAAGAGAGTTGGTAGAACCTTCTCAATAGGTAAGAGCAGCCTGGCCAACATAGCAAAACCCCGTCTCTACTAAAAATACAAAAATTAGCTAGGTGTGGTGGCCCGTGCCTGTAATCCCAGCTACTCAGGAGGCTGAGGTAGGAGAATCGCTTGAACCTGGGAGGCAGAGGTTGCAGTGAGCCTAGATCTCACCACTGCACTCCAGTCTGGGCGACAGAGCAAGACTTTGTCGAAAGAAAGAAAACGGAAGGAAGGAAGGAAGGAAGGAAGGAAGGAAGGAAGGAAGGAAGGAAGGAAGGAAGGAAGGGACGGAGGGAGGGAGGGGAAAGAGCAAGGAAGAATTAGTTAAAATTTAAAAATTAAAAAGTGTCTTTGCACAAGGACCAGAAAGAAGGCTTTTCTTTTTCCATTTTCTGAACCATGAGCTTTGGTCTAGAAGAAGCCCGAAGTCATGAGCCAGCCTAAATCATGGAACCTCTATAATAAAGCATAACATGGATCTCTTTCCTTCTAAACTCCCTTCTACTCTTTGGCAGGAAGCAAATTTAAGGGTCCTCTTTTATACCTTATGTATCTATTAAGCTTATCATCTGAGTTTCTTACAAAGCAAATTTAAGGGTCCTCTTTTATACCTTATGTATCTATTAAGCTTATCATCTGAGTTTCTTACAAATTTTATTCCAAACATAGGAAACAAAATAGAGACCTAAAGCTTCTAACATTAAAAAGGCAATATTTTATGATTTCAAAAAGAAAGTCTATATTATTAAGGTTTAAATTAGTAAAGTTTTGAATAATGTGACCTGGCAACATCTATTTTAAAATATTCATGTACTTTGACCAACAGATTCATTTTTTCATAAGCTTATCATTTAACAGCAAAGAGGACAGGGGCCCTGGAAACAAACCAAAGTTCATCAGTAAGGGAATGGTTGAATAAGTACATTTATACAATAGAAAAGTATACTGCTATTTAAAAAATAAGCTAGCTTTTTTACATGAACCTGAAAGAATGGTATTTCCACTCCATGCAAACAGTAAGTTGTAGCAGTGTACATAGTTTTGCCCTATTGTGAGCTCAGGAAAGGGCAAGGAATGGTAGACAGTGAGGTGCTAACATGGGTTACTTTAGGCCTGAAGGAAGGTTGAAGGGAGTATTATCAGCCTCTTCTTAGATCTCACATGGTGACCTTGTTGCAATAACAAAGTACTATTATATAATTTTTTAATCTAGTAAAGACAAAATTCTGAAGTTCTGCTCAACAAATACAATTTGTAAAGTCAAGTTTTAGGCAATGGAGTTGCTTCTCTTTCTTTTTCCTAAAAGACACTTAGTTATCTATTCACACAAAAGGGAAAAACAAATGTTTTCACCTTGAGTGAAGTGAATAAATAACCTGAAAACAGTTTTGAAAGCTCAGAGCCACTTAATTCTAACTTGATTATAACAGGAAAACAGTGAGCTTAATGTATCTCAAAATAAACATGCTACAATGGATTTAAGAAATACTTATTAGTTGACCATCTCTGCTGCTGAATGGGGCTGACCCCAGCTCTGGAGTCAGACTGCCTGGTTCAAATTCTGTCTGCTACTCACTTGCTTGCTACGTAGCATCTGACTCCTTATTTATTCTCTCTGTTGGCCTCCCTTTGCTCATCTATAAAGTGGGAGGTCACTCCCTTAGCAAGGTGGCAGGCATATAATACATGGACAATAAATGTTAGGAGTTAGGCACTCTGCTATAGAGTTCAGTCCCTGCCCTTAAGTAGCTCATAGCAAAGCAGCGAGACAAATATCTAAAAATTAGCAAGAAACACAGCTAATGAAGATTTCTTCTGCAAGGGATCAGAATCATTTTCAGTTCTCCCCAAGTGGCATGGTCTGCAGCAGCTTGAAGATCAGCCAAGGGCTATGAGTATATAGAGCCACTTTGACTGTCATTGTTGGCATAAGTCTGAAAGGAGAACAAGTTTGAAAGACGGGGATAACTGTTTTCCTGTTTTCCATCATACCTAGAAGCAAGTACATGGTATGCCCAAAAAAAAAAGGAGAAATGAGCATTTTAAATCTAAATTACTTTCATATAAATTATTATAATAAAGTGGTATACACTTGTATAATTTGGACAAAAGAATGATCATTATAGGACTAGAAGAAACACAAATGGAGGGCATTAATTCCATGAGAACAACAAACAGTGAAAGAATGTCTAGCTAACTCTTCTTGTCCCCAAAAATGCTATCAGCACATATTTCACTATAGCTGATCATGAGCAATGTGACTTCATTAAATGCAGATAAATACACAGACCCTGTTTCCATTTCATTCAGGCTAACAACATCTTCAAAACAAACTATAACTACTCCTTTGATAACTAAAATAAACACACAAATTAATCATTTGAATTTCCTAAATTTGCCTTGCTTAACAAGGAATTCACTGTATCACAGAGAACTTCTTATGGTTGGATTGTGTTGGCCAAAATGGTATATTGACGTCCTAACCCTCAGTACCTCAGAATGTGACCTTATATTAATTAATAGTTTGCTGGGAGTACCATAACAAAGTACCACAGACCAGGTAGGAAGTTTAAATAACAGAAATTTATTTCCTCACAGTTCTGAAGGCTAGAAATTTGAGATCCAGATTGGATTCATCTGAGGCTTCTCTCATTCGCTTATGGGTAGCTGTCTTCTCCCTGAGTCTTTACACGGTCTGCCTGCTGTGCCCGTCTGTGTCCAAATTTTCTCTTCTTATAGAGATACTAGTCATATTAGATTAGTGCCCACCTGCTCACTTCATTTTATCTCTTTAAAGACTTGACTTCCAAATATAGTCACAATCTGAAGTGCTGCAGGTTAGAACTTCAGCACTGAATTTGGGGGTGGAGAGCCAGGGGAAACAGTTCAGTCCATAGCAAGGTTGAGAAAGATTTTACTATAACTTAAATGGAAGACTGGCTTTCAGTCAATCCATTTTCAATGTACTTAGTGCCACTGTAAGTACCAGGAATAACGTAGGTTTTTAATTTAAATGTATTACTAAGAGCCAAGGGATATTTAATAAAGGTGCACTTCCTTTTAACAGCATTTGTAAACATCCTCTGCTTGACACCGCTCAACAATGGCCTTAGTCATATAACTTCATTACTTATCTTTTGGGAAGATAAGTAATTTTTGTCCCTTTTTCCCCATTATTCCACATAAATTACATGCCTTGCAAAAAAATGATCTCCCAGCTGCAAAATATATATGCCTCTTTTCTGTATCTTGTCACTCTTACTCTCCCAGTCTGAAATACCTTACCATCCTACAGCTTTCAGTATTGCTGACAATATCAGATAACATCTAATAAGATAACCATAGCTGTTGACCACATAGGCAGTCATCATTTTCTTCATAAATTGAGTCTGATGACAATAAAACAAGTGATTTAAAGTTGTACCTGCTAGCTAGTTTTAATTATACCAAAGCAAATTTTAGTCCCTGGAAGATACCTATTTTCATAATTGTTGCACAAAGTCAGTGAAGACCATCCTATCTTCCCCAAAGACCTGGTAAAGAAAAACTAAGGATGTTGGAGTAGTCTCACAGGTTTAATTCTTCAAGTGTAGACTCAGACAAGAACAGAATTGGGTACAAACCTCAAACGGCCTCATGGAGACTCTCTCTTGCCAAAGAAAATAGCTGCAGACTCTCTCAGCATGCAAAAAGGCTCTGTGCATTCAAAAGATAGCACCCATATTCTCCAATGAAGGGCCTTTGCACACAAATGCCCCTGTGTGTGAGCCCTCCAGCATACTTCTCATTTTTACCTAAAGGAATAATTGGGAGACCTGCACCCATGTCAGAAATCAAATCAATCTATTATTTCTATGTTATAATTCTCTGTATCTCACATTGGTTAACTGTCAGTCTTCCCTGTTACAAAGAAATCAAAGAAAATACCAGATTGAGAAATCAGAACCAAGTTAGTATAGGACACCCAAGAAGAAAAACCTGTACTTGGAAAACCTTAGACTATTTTATCTGGACAGAAACAGCTGAAGAAACAGAAGCCTAGGGCAGTGAAATAACAGGGCTAGCAACTGGAGAGCTCACTAGAGACTCAACCAGAACGTGAGCTGATCTCAATCCACTCGAGGGCAGCTTCCATATTAACCCCCCTTCTGTATCACCTGGGGGAGGCAGAATGGTTTTGTTATCTGGTTTGAGATACTGAGAAAAATAGAAATCCTATGCGTTTTTAAAATACAATACTAAAGCAAGCTCTCCAACTGCTCCAGGTAAAACTAAAAATGACAATAAGGAAATACTGAATCACATACCAAAGCATGCAATTTCATGTAGTAGAATTTTAAAATGTTTAGCTTAATATTAAAAATAAAGTAAATTACCTGACAGCCCCCTCCACCCTAACCATCCACTTGCACCTCAGAATTTCATTTTATAGGCCTTCCTGGCTTTAAATGCAAAGGTGGCAAGGATCAAAATGTCTGGTTAGATGGATACTTCCAAGGAGTTGGAAATATAAAGCAATGAACTGGGCAAGAATCTTCAAAGTTATGTCAGTTGGCATGAAAATGTGGACATCTTCTCCAAAAGGGCATAAAAATTGATCAATGTAATTTAGCAAAAAGCTTTTGAATGCCTGGTATGTGCTTGTTGCTATGCTACACGCAGATGGTCATTAAGATGTAGTCTCTGCTTCCAAGGAACCCAGGCCTAACAAAGGGGATAGATACCAGATTAAAAAATAAAACAGTATAACTGAAATTTTTAAATAATATCAAAGGCACTACAGAAACAGGAATTAATTTTGTGGAAGTCTGAAACACTAAGACTTGATCAATATGTGAGATCTCAAGAATGAGTAAGGATATATGGACAAAAGAGATGGGAGAGTGCCACTCGGGCCAAGGGGAACAGCTCGTACAATGATGCACAAATGCAAAATCTCAGATGTCTGCAAGGAAGAGAGTGCCCTAGTGGGGCTAAGGTCTATATTACAGAACACATAGGAGAAAGCTTGAGTTGAGATCAAAGGGATAGACCCAGTTATAAGAAACTTACTACTAAGCTAGCGGACAGAGCCTATGGGACTTGGAAAAACACTAGTGACCATAGGATCAGAGATATAACCTGTGTTAAGTCAGATCATTTTTGTTTCCCACATTTTTCTGTGCTTGTATCCTTATATTTGTGGTTCTGTGTTTGGCTGATATTTGAATATTTCATGCTATATTAATTGTAATAAAAAGAACTGAAAATGGGGTTCCTTTTTGCGCTTGAACCAGACCTTTAAAATAACTACAGCATAGCCCCAGAGAATGGTTTGATGATGGTGGGAGTGATTAGAACAGAAAAACCCCAAGACAAAGATAAATCCAGGAGAACAAAGAAACAGCTGCTTGTTCACCTGCTCTCCTCTTCAAAAATCATCTCCTTCCAGTGGTAAAATCCATGGAGCTTCTGGGTTTTGTTTTTAATAAGAGAGGCTGTTCTTTTTTCAATAGCTGACACTATATGATTCAGCTATTACGCATTTAATAAGAATTGAAAGAGAACAGCAAAATATCTATAATCAAAGAAAATTCAATAATTGAGGAAATTATCAGAATAATATATGCAAACTGACCACTTAAAATTATTATAAAGATATAGTAGAAATCTGTTTCACTATTTATCTGAAACATCTGGCTTTTCTTTCTTCAACTGCAGACGTAAGAGCAAAATGCCTTTCTCAAGGAGCTGGAAGCCATCCGTCCAAAATGCAATCATCATCATCCATGGATGCCTTGCTCTAAGTTGTAAACCTGCCTCCTGTCATGAAGATATGGAAAGTTTACTTTTCCTTTGGGTAAGTCCAATTAGCAAACACAGGCAATCTATGATTCTCCTCACCCCGGCTCTTAAAAACTCTCCAGCCCTTTGTTTTGGGGAAGTTGGGTTCAATCTCTCTCCTCTACTGAAATAGCCTTGAATAAAGTCTTCCTTGCCTGTTTAACTTTTTCCAGTGCAATTTTTCTGCATTATTCACATCAAAAAAACAGTCACATATTTCTGCTATACTGTATTCCCAGTGACAGGTCTTTGCCTTCATTATACAATGTTTCGCATGAATTTAAAAATCACCTATTTAGTGTTCCACAGAAGACCCACCTGAGGTAAGCATATTGTGGTGATTAAATTTTTGCACAGAAGTTGAAATTGGGATGATTTAAAACTTGGAACTCAAAATTAACAAGAATTGGGTCACAATTCCTATCAAGAGATTCAATAATATTATTAAATCCTTCAACCTCTGATTTCCTGATAAGAAATCAGAGATATTACGTGATCTCATTTAGAAAGCTGGCCAATGCTACATTCTCTTATTAGTTAAAAAGGCAGCTCTAGAGATCTTGCAAGGAGCCACAAGGAGTTGCAGAGAGAGAACACAGCAGTGTTGGACTTAGAGAGACTTCAATCTGAATTCTAGTTCTACTGCTGACTATCTCTGTTAGTTAAAAAGGCAGCTCTAGAGATCTTGCAAGGAGCCACAAGGAGTTGCAGAGAGAGAACACAGCAGTGTTGGACTTAGAGAGACTTCAATTTGAATTCTAGTTCTACTGCTGACTATCTCTGTTAGTTAAAAAGGCAGCTCTAGAGATCTTGCAAGGAGCCACAAGGAGTTGCAGAGAGAAAGCACAGCAGTGTTGGACTTAGAGAGACTTCAGTTTGAATTCTAGCTCTACCGCTGACTATCTCTGTGACTTTACAGGCAAACTACTTAACTTAAAGATTCAGATTCCCTGTCTTTAAAAAGAAGATAATAATAATCACTTGGACGTCATGCTGTAAGTCATATGTGAGATGATGTGTGTAAGTGAGACAGACGGTGGCTGTCGTCACCTGCTCAGGCCACTAGTGTCTGAGACAGCTGTGCAATGCTCACCATCTAAAAGGGAATTGACAGTATGTGCCAGAGAAGAGTCAGAGACTTCTCCAAAGTGAACTCTGCCCTCCTAGGGTGATGGGAGTCTCTTGCCAGCAACTGTCAGCACTTGTGGTTGAGGCTCACCTCTCAGCAGAAAGCCTGGCTACACCAGGGCATTGGCTCTCCTCTGTCCTCACCCAAGAGCAAGTGCCTCAAGCTATCTTGAGCACAGGAGGAAAACCCACCCCAATAATTAACTCCACAAACAGAACAGACTCAATCCACTGTGAAAGGTGATATGAGAAAAGCTTTGTTTTTGAGCTGGTTCTACAAAAACAAAAATACACAAAACAAAATCAAACAATAAACCTGGACGTAAAAAAAGTAAGAGGGTTCTTCAACTTCTTGATTTTTTGAAAAACGTTATAAAGCAAAAGCTTTTAACACCTAAATAGAGGAGCACAGTAATGTTTTAACTTCAGTAGGAGAATAAGAACTGGATATAAATTGGCAGGAATTGCATTTCAGCTCTAACTCTCATGTATATCCCATTTAGTCTTTAATATTTGGCAACAATCACCTGGAAAGAATTGACATCTTCCAGGAAATTTCATCACACTAGAGATCCTGATGAAAATTAGATTCGTGATAGCAACATGTCCCATAAAGTATCTCATTCAAAAACTAATGGCGTGTTATTTTTATGAAGTGTATTTTGGGAGTCTCACTCCTATTTGGGAAATTTTTATTCTTCAATGTCCTCAATCAGAGATTTCTCCATTAAAATTCACATATAAAAATTTGTATATGAACCACAGAAAGTGATCGTATTCATGAGTCAAATAATAGATTTGTCTTAAGAACTACCTAGGTTTGAGCACTTTTATTTCCTCATTCAAAAAGCAATTCAGAACTCTTAAAAAAATTGATAGTCTATAACCACCTTTAAGAAAGTGGGTTTTCAGTCCACTTTCTTAATCTTACACTTTCTATTCCCCACCCACATGACTTTGCTTTTCTCCTGGCAAGAACAGATAATAACACAAGGAAAACAAGAAGGGCAATATCTGTGCTGATTATTCAGAGAAGCAAAATATTTCTCATCTTTGTATATTCGTTGGTGGCAAAAATAATTTTCCTCTTTGTTCCCATAGATACAGTAAGTCTGATTAGTAATCAGAATAATAGATCATAAATCACAAAGCCAGTTAAATATCATCTGTCCTTATGTAATATTTTAAACATATTCTTGTTTACTAATTGGTCCCATTTGTTACAATAACATGATTTTGAAAGGTGATTTGACTTAAATTTAGATGCATTTCATATATACATGTAGAAAAAAATGGTATTACCATGCTTGACCATGTGTAAACTGTAATCAAAAAGATATTACACAGATGATATAGAATAATGTATACCTATTTCTAAGACAGGTCAAAATACTGAATGTTTTCGCATTTCCCATATTAGAAGCACTTTCGGTTCTATCTCCCCCATCTTTCTCCTACAAATTATGAGGTATTCATTTTCAGTATTCATCCCGAGTAAATAATCTATAATATTCAAATAGAATATTATTTTTTTAAACTTCAAAATTGAGTGACAAAAATATCTTATGGACATTAAGGAGAAGTCAAGGCAATGTAAAACAGCAATTAACTAGAAGGGATAAGAAAAGGACAATAAATATTTTAGAGAACACATCCCAGCCTGAACCTTGTGCACTACTCTACTCAGCCCACTATGCAGACCACCACTATCAAGGGAAGATTGGTGCCTCTTGCTCTCCATGACTTTGCTTCTGAATCATGCTTCTTGTTCCTTGTCTTAAAACTGCTTCCAAACCTCCCAATTATTTACTTTGACTGTCTATTTTTTCTACTACTTTCCTCTGAGGACAACTTTGCATTGCCTGTTACATGTTACACTGCACATGGTATTATTTGTAGCTAGGTTTCTCAATCTCAGCATTATTGACACTTTGGACCAGACAAGTCTTTGTTATGCATTATAGGATGTTTACATCCTACAGTGGCCTCTACTGACTAGATACTGCCAACACCACCCCTCTCAAATCTTGTCAATCAAAAACGTCTTCAGACATTGCTGAATATACCCTAGTAGGCAAGATCAATGGCCCCTAGATGAAAATCACTATTTTACACTGACATTTATTCATGCATTCATCCATTCGATAAATGTTTATCAGATGCATATTATGTGTCAAATACTGGACTACAATAGTAAGAAAGATACAGTGGTTGCCCTATCCTAAAGTCTGGTTATAAGTGTGGACAAGTAATCTGTTAATTATAATTTAGTATATGAAGAGATAAAAACAAAGCACTACTAAAGCATAATGAAAGGGCACGTAACCCAGTTTGGCAGGGGTGGGGGGTGTAAAGCTTTTCACAAAGGAAAAGGCACTTAAGCACATACAAGAAAGATGAGTGGTAATTAGCTCAGTGAAAAATTTAAAAGGCACAGAGTGCTCCAGACAAAGAGACCAAGTAGGCAAATGCCTGCAGGTCAGCATTATTGGGGCACAGAGAACAGTAAGCAGGAACCAGGTCACACAAGGTTTTGTGTTTCATATTAAGGAGTTTGACTTTATTCTGAGGATAATGATGAGCTATGACCTTGCTCCTCAGGACAATGCTAGTTGGGGTCCCCTGCCCTGACTCTTATAACTTGAAATAAATGTCCTTCTAACATATGTCAGTCCTTGGGTACTTCCATGACAGCCTAGAACTTCTCCAACACAGCACTCTTTTCAAGCTTTATCCACTCTTTTAACAGGTCCAATACAGAGACCATCAATCTTCCAGGTCTAACCATAAAAGAATGAGAAATTATCTCTACAATTTAAACTAAAATGATTTGCCATTTTTCACTATTGCACAAATAACTAAATTCTGAAGTTATTCCACGTGGTTATAACTAAGTGGGGTACCAACTTTTCTGTGCACTAACTAAGAATTAGTTCTTTCAGAATATAAAGAAAGTTAATTGCCATTTACAGATGAAACTAAGAAAAAATCAAATCGATGGCTGATCGGGTTTAGACAAGTTCTACTGACTTCCCCTTTCTTAGTCTTGATGTTATATCTAGTTATATTTGTCTAGAGTTCACTGGGGAATTTCTGAGCCACAATAACTCAATTTTTAAAAAATTAAATGTCTAATACGTTCATTACATAAGCAATGGATTTAGTCTTTGTGTGAATTAAAAACACTAAATATGCAGCCAATGTTTGTTTAATATACCACACAACTAAAGAAGACATTTAGCATGAGAGAGAAAACAACTTGATGTGACTTTGAATAACATCTGAGTCACAAGGAAGAAAATCAAATAAATGCTCAACATATTGGGAGAATGTTTTTAACCAAGCAGTGACTGTGTTTTAACAGAATGTGGTTTTGATATGTGAAGTTTGGAATGTGAAGTTTGGA
Organism: Homo sapiens; assembly: GCF_000001405.40. Taxonomy (NCBI): domain Eukaryota; kingdom Metazoa; phylum Chordata; class Mammalia; order Primates; family Hominidae; genus Homo; species Homo sapiens. The sequence continues at coordinate 182,588,065 of NC_000002.12, forward strand.
ATGTGAAGGATGAAAAATTGGTAGCATTGCTTTGCAATTAAGTAACCTTACTCAAACCAAAGCTTTGTGGAATATGTCTATTTGCAAGTAAGTAAGTTTGAATTCATTTCCTTCTCATCATCTGTTCACTACAGCATAAAACAGGGAAAAAGAGAGCGCTGGGTAAAATAAAACCAGAGTTGAGCTTCTCTCTCCAGTTTTGTAAAGATTCATCTTTTCATCTGGAGTAAGTGGCCCAGGGATCTTTACTTTTGATTTTTAGCACATTTCAAAGTGATTCTTGTCCATTGATCTTTCTCTCACAGGTGAACAAAAAGTTCCTGTAGTTTTAAATTTCCATAAATTCTGCTACATTTTAAATTCTGAATATTTAGAAAGACTCTAAAGTGCTGGAGAAATTAACCTTCCCCTGAAACTCTTATTACTTCTGTCTAAATTTTCTCAGCAAAAATACACTCAAATATCACTGCAGGTCTTAAAAATGAACAACCATATGACCCTTTTTCATATTATCTGTCACCTCATATTTAAAAAGTATCTCATCCTTTCTAAGTGGTCATATCTGAATGTCTAATTAAGATTATAAAACCTATTAAAGAAGGTTAGAACTGAATTCTTTTTTCCTCACAGTATTTAAATTTTTAAAGATATTCAACAAAAGGTAATCATTAGGTAATAATTTTAAATAATAATTTTTAGCCGGGCGCTATGGCTCACGCCTGTAATCCCAGCACTTTGGGAGGCCGAGGCAGGCGGATCACCCAAGGTCAGGAGTTCAAGGCCAGCTTGGCCAACATGGTGAAACCCCATCTTTACAAAAATACAAAAATTAGCCAGGCATGATGGCGGATGCCTGTAATCCCAGCTACTTGGGAGGCTGAGGTGGGAGAATCACATGAACCTGGGAGGCAGAGGTTGCACTGAGCCGAGATGGCACCATTGCACTCCAGCCTGGGCGACAGAGTGAAACTCTGTCTCAAAATAATAATAATAATAATAATAATAATAATAATAATAATAATAATAATTTTAATGATCTTTTGACACAATTATATTGTTTTTTTTAACTTAGCAAGACTGGGCCTGAAAGAGAAAACAGAAGGAAAGATAGCAGAGGAAGAAGGGAAGAAGGAAAGGAAAGAGGGAAAGAAAGAGAAAGAAAAGAAAAAAAGGGGAAAAAAAGAAAAGAAGGAAGGGAGGGAGGGAGGAAGGAAGGAAGGAAGGAAGGAAGGAAGGAAGGAAGGAAAAAGAGGTATGATTGATGTAATTCATAGAAGCTACAGTGTGACAATCTCCACTGAGATTCAGAATCAATGAATAGTGTGCAAGTGTAGAGATTCCCTAGCCCAAAAGATCAAATCCAATCTGAATGAATATAATAATACCCTTAAAGAAAGATGTCCATTATGACTTGGTGGAAGATATGAAAAAGCAGGGGTATTCTGTCACAAAATCATCTAAAACAAAAATTCAAGGAGAAAAAGAAAACTAGAAGTGCCCATCCAAGCCTCATCCAGGAAAGAAAGCATTTTAGCCAACTATACTTAGAGTAATGCAATCCCACGAAAAATGCTCTTCCTGTCAGGGAAACGAGTACATCAGGCTAAAGAAATTTGTATCTATCTAAATCTCACTGCTCTGATTCTGATTTCAGATGGATGTGCCTACAAATCGAGAATACTCTCATTTAAGAATGCTCATAAATATTGATATATTAACATTTCTATTCCATACATCAGTCCCACAAGCCTGGTCAATGGAAGTCCATCATACCAGTGGTTAACATACCCACCTAGAGTTACTACACCAGATTTAGGATAACATATACTTACTAGTATAATAATCAGCCAGGCTTCCTCCAGTGGACATCCTAACCACGCTATTAGCTTTTGGTGCTCTCCATTTGAAATTTCTACAACTAAAACTCGTCCATTTCTTGTCAACATTAAGCAATATGTACAAACCATAAAGACAAGTTATAGGTGTCCTTTCTGGATGTTCTTCCATCATACATAACTCCCTCTGTGTGCTAGATTCTTTAGTAAGTAGTGGAGACGTAGCATACCCACCTTGATATAGCTCACAACCTGGCAGAGGAGACTGAAATGTGTATAAACGTAGTTAGGCATGGTGGCTCATGCCTATAATCTCAGCAATTTAAGAGGCTGAGGCAGAGGGGACTGCTTGAGCCCAGGAGTTCAAGACTAGCCTGAAGAACAAAGTGAGACCCCCATCTCTGCAAAAAATTTAAAAGTTAGCCAGGCATGGTGGTGCCCGCCCATAGTCCCAGCTACTCAGTAGACTGAGGTGGAAGGATCTCTTCCACCCAGGAGTTCAGGGCTGCAGTGAGCTATGACTATGCCACTGCACTCCAGCCTGGGCAACATAGCCAGACCCTGTCTCAAAAAAAAAATGTGTGTGCACATGATATAGTATTAAAAACACTATAATGGTGCTTTGTGGGAATGAAATTGAAGCAAGTGGAGGGGGAACTTAATTCTGCATGCAACTCAGTTGAGAGGGATCAGTTCTATAATTTAAATAACCAAGAGACTTTACCAAACATTCACCATTTTTTTCATAAAATAAAAGCAATGATTGCAGAATTTGTACTTATAGATGTTCTAACTGATGAACGACTACCCCAGATATTTTATATGCAAAGATTTCCATTAAATATAGGGAAAACCTGGTTCTGAGAGGAAAATATATCTGTTACGTAAAATTGAGAAAAGCATGTGACTCCCATAGTCCCATTTATTTGCACCCACTAATTTGCACTGGAAATGACTTGCCTACTAGCGAAACAACTCAGTTGTGTTCTCACAATTGGATCTAAGACATATTTCTAATACCACCCACAGTAAGCAAGCCCTGTGTCTATTTTTGCTCACCATTGTGTCCACAGGAACTATAACAATGCCTCATACATAGAAGATGCTCAATATAACCTATTGAATATACAAAACAAATATTTAAGAATGCCAGTAGTTCCTTAAGATACTGGGTGGATCATCAATGTGTTAAAAGGTTGAAACTGGACCTATTCTTTTTAGAACTAACCTAAACAAAATTAGTCATGCACAATCATTAGGATACTTTGATAAATATAAATACTCCCTAATAATGAGGGGTAGATAAGGGCCATAGGTCTTCATTCTCAAAATTTCTTAGTCTACCAGGTGTTCTATTACAATAAGTGTAAGTCTCAGATCAAATTCTGTGACACACTCAAACATATATTAGCAAGCAGGCACAAAAACAGTTAAGTCCCAGTTATCTGACCTCTTGGGAACTCCAACTATCATGTTCCATCAAAGATTCATTTGAGAGAATTGCAGCAGTATTCTGGCAGCAAGAGTCAGCTAAATTTCTAGTCAGAACCGGGTGGCAGAATCCTCAGTTAATGGCTACACATGGGACCAAATAGCATTCTAGACCTGGGATACCACCCTGATGGGTCTAGGCTACGATTTCTCAACCTTGGCACTACCAATATTCTGGGTTGTGTAATTCTTCATTGCGGGTGAGTGATGAGATTTTATACATTGTAGGGTTTTCCACAACGCCCTGGGTATCTACCCACTAGATGTCAGTAGCAGCCTCTCCCCCAAGCTGTGACATCCAAAAATGTCTCCAGACATTGCTAAATATTTTGGGACAGGAGGTTGAGAGGCAAAATCACCCTAGTCAAGAACCACTAGTCAAGCCACCTGGTTCACTGGAAATTTAGTCTCTTTTTAAATTAAGTCAGTTGTGCCTATGCAACATTTCTAACCAATTCATACATCTTGAGCATTCTCATTCCACCAGTGAAGAATCATTTCTAACATTGCTTACAACATAATTAGGACACCTACCAGTGCTCATCAGAAAGCAAGATATGAGAGTGCTAGTAGCAGGTGCCTCTGAAGAGTGCACTCCTGATTAGATTCTTTCAAATGCTAACTAACTGCTTGTGGTGGGTGTATGCCTGATTAGAGTATTTCAAATGTTAACTAACCATCCTCTGACTTCAAATCAAATAAACACTTTTTCTCTAATTTCGATGCCAGCTTGGTATTGCCCCCAAGCACCTCAGAGAAGCAACCACTGGAAAGCTTAAGGCTAAACTCTCAGGAAAAAAGTGATAAAGCTGATAGCAATAATGCCAATAACTTAAACACAAGCATACATGCTGTAATCCTACTGCCAGAACAACTGAGATGTAGCATGCTCTACAGTTTCTCTCCGAGTTTCATCCAACAAAAATGATTTTGCTCATGCACAAGCATATTCATTATAGCAGGTGTTCAGTTCAAAGAATGAATTATGGGCAAAAGTTTTGCAAGTATATAAATATTTGAGTATTAAGATTTAAATGGTGCTAGATTCCTATATCCACATGGGGTGCATTTACACTTGAACTTGGTTACGTATCTTCCCAACACCAGCTTCCATGACTGAAAATTAAGAGGTGGTTTTAGATTATTTCAATTTTGAACTGAGTAAAAGTATGATTATGCTGACAAAAGACAGCTACTCCCCATCCAGGACTGGATATTCTGGAGATGTTTTCTGCATACAAAATACAGGAAAAAAAATAAGGACAGGGCAAATCAAGTGAATCCAATGAAATAATCACAGCCACATGGAGGTGTTTTGGATAAATTATACTCCTGGTCAGGGTGGCAGAGGTTTTATGCCTGACACAGAAAGAAAAAGAAAGAATGAATCAGAAAACAAGTCAAAAAAGGAAAAAGGGTAGTTGATACATTTGTCAAAACAGACATCTCTTTCACACACACTGTTGTGCCTCTCTGGACAGTGTACTTGAATCTGCTAATCCACCCAGTTAGGAACCGAAAGCATAAAACGACGAGGTGACCCAGAGGCCTTACCCCTAAAGATAACTGTGAATGCCAAGGATGGTGCCCACCTAGAAGGAGGTTCAGTTGACCCTCTCAGAAGAAACAGGAATAAATTCTACCCAATAATTAAACGTATCTACACACAACACCATTAATGTACACTGATTGCTTAGGAGACAGTGAGAGTTCTATGCCCCTGAGAGTCTTCCAGGGAAAAAGACTGGGCACAAGTGTTGTTAAAAACATAGAAGGTGTTATCTACCCAGAAGTGTTAAAATCATTACTGTACTTGCAGTGTCATCCCCAAACAATCACAAATAGGTTAGCTCTTTTTGACTTCCCTATCACCTGCTGGTGGAATTTGGGATCAAACCTAGGGATTAAACTGGGCAAGTCTGCACTTGAATCCAGTTATAGTTTCCTTTCATTACTAAAGAATCAGAGAACAGATATTGTCAAGAATACTAACAGAAGAGCACTGCAGTTGAACCAGAAAATTGGGAAGAGATTGGCAGAGATCATATAGAAGCCCCATCAATCCACTACTGTTCGAATTAAGTACTCAGGAAATCTAGACTAGTAGATAGGATAATGTGGTTCCACTTAACATAAGGACAGAATAATCCCTCCTGATGAGTCAGACCCGTGGGAGGGAATTTGTGTTGGATTTGAAAAAACTCCTTTGGAGTTTCTGCCAAGCAGCATCTTATACTAAAAAGATATATAATTATGTAGAGTGACTAATTTACTTTTGCAGACCCCTTACATGTTACATGAAATAAAGTCTTCTGTTTACCTGTTTGTCTCTACCACTGGGACCATGTCTTACAGGACAGGGACTGTGTCATCTGCATTCTTTTGTCTCTGTAGTGTAACACAGTATGAACACCCAATAAAGGTCTTTTGAGTGTTGAATAAATAGGCAGACAAGTCTTTATGCAGAAAAACTAATAGCATCTGCATATTTGAGTATTCCCTTGTGTGATTCCAGGCCATTTGTGAAACTTCAAATAAAACTGTCTTGAAAATGCATGGGCGTCACTTCTTCTATCCAGAAGTAATTTTTATCTGTTCCCTTTGTTACTTATATCTGTTTATTAGTAATTAAACTTATAAAAGGGCCCTTAAGTCTAGAAATCTAATATAACCATAGATTCTTTTTACTTTATAAATAAAAAGACCTGCTGAAATAATAAGGTGAGATTAATTCTTTTCAAAGCCTATATCATGGTTTATGATCTAAATATATTTTAAACAACCTAGTCCTAAATTTTTCATTTACTTTTAACACTCATGTGCATTAAATATAACCCAAATGATTTATTTATTTCTAGATTGCCAAATGTGAAGATAATACCATAAGCTTACAACTCTCTAATCTAAAATGTGGACATCTCTAGATAGAGTCTAAGTATGGCACTTTGCACAGCGTATTTCTTGGTAAAGATTTAAGCAATTGTTGAAGATCTGTGCTGTCTCCTTTCTAGTCCTCACAGCAACTCCTACACAGTGACTACTGAGTAGTACTCCTTTGTGTTAGCAGCTGGCTTCCTTATTTCAATATATTTTAAGAAACCTCTAAGTTGCAAACTAAAGCCCTATTAAGGCATTCCTCAAATTCTTTTTGACTAATCTAAGATCTAGTTTCAACATGACATAACTTTTCTTTGTCATATACAAGTCAGATATTAAATGAACACAAAATGAATTTCCAAAAATAATTTATAAAAGATACTGGCATTTTTATAGGACCACTTCTTGTATAAAGGTATTTAACTCGACACTTAGTCTTCTGACCTATAATATGTAACAGCAGGATTTTTTAAAAGTTGTTTTTAAGCAGGCACGGAGTCCAACTTATTTAATAACTCATTTAGCACAGAGATCTACCATTCAGAATGGATGCTGGTGGTCATAACACTGGACCAGGTCCTGAACTGCTCCTTCATGCTCCTTATTAGTTTCTGGATAATGGGAGGCCTGGGTGAATTGCAGGGATTCAATGGAATGGCAGTACGGGGCACTCAGGTAATTGAGGCAATGGCTATTTATCAATTATTTAGATTTTTGCAATAATTTAACAACTGTGCATAGTTAGTGGTACACATTCATATAAAATAAGCCCTGTGGTAAGCCTTTTTGTTACTTTTTTTCTTCTAGAAAAGAAATGGACGATAAAGACAATTGAACTAAGAGCCGTTTCACTTTGAGGAAGAGAGTATCCTATTTCACAGTGTTCTCAGGGATTAGACATAATCAATTTAAGCAAGGCCTGAAGCTTCTGCAATTGAGGAAGAAAATGCTTTTTAAGAAAAAAACATATTTCTTATGCAAATTTTACAAAAAACAATAGGACTATATGAACACATTTCTAGAGTTCCTCCCAGAGGACCTAAAGCTCCAACTTCATTATCATCACTAAATCCTCCTCTGCTGATTGTCCAAAAGAAACTGCACAACTGATTGACTCTTTCAAAGATTCTCCTGTGCCCAAAATAAATTTTAACCCTAGCAAACTGAGAAATTTATTAAAATCCAGAATTAACATTACACGTCACATTAACTGTGTTTTTATATAGTAAACAGGAAAATAAATAGGTCAAGGCTGAAAATGAGATAATATATGCTTATTTTCTGATCCTACTCAATCGTTTTCAACTTGGCCAAAGATTATTCTTATAGCTTAGAATGGGGAACTCTATAGCACCCATAAGGCTGTCTCTTTCTCCCTCTGAAGTCTGTGTTTGAAATTCTTTCCTTATACAAATTGCTATGGACTCACTTCAAGCACCAAACTAAAATTCAGCTTTCTCTCGCCATCAGGTGGATCTCTTGATATGACTTGCTGGTGGGTGAGGGTGATTTGTCTGCTTTCATCTGAAGGAGGAGGACTACTATTTTGACATCCGGAATAAAGATTAGGAGGGTGAGGAGATGACTATAACATTGGCCTCCTGTCAATGCTTATAAAATAGAAGTTCTCAACCCTCATAGCACAGTAGAATCAACTGATGCTAGGGCCCATCCAGACAGATTAAACCAAAATCTTTGGGGTTGAGGCAGCAGCACTTTTAAAGGAGTAACTTAAAGTAGGTGATTCAAGGTGAGAAACACCACTATAAATTTATAGTACAAGCAAATAAAGTCAAAAGCTAAAACAGCAACAACAACAACCAACCTTTGTTTCATAAGGGAGTATTTGAGACAGAACAGGCATAAGGAGTGTTACTTAAGTCTCTAAAACAAAGTCTAATCAAGTAAGGTACATTCTTTGGTACGCTGGACCAGGCAGCTATGAAAGTTCAAAGAGAGTGAACACATGGAGTGAGCATGGGTGTTTTGCAGCAAGCAGCTGCAGGCAGAGCACTGACAAGCAGCCCTTCAGGCAAAGGGGAGTCCGAAGAGCACAGAGTGATCAAGACAGTGTTCAGGGCATGCACCCACAGACTCTTCTGAGGCACACATGAGACATACCTTCCCCCAGGGAGGCTGAAGACTTAGGTGAGAATTTGCAGAGTCTTAAAAGTGCCAGCCACATCGCAAGGGGAGAAGGAAAGCCAGTGAAATTTGAGCTACTGATCCTGTTACCAAAGTGGCGATACTCTTCAATAATTGGTTTATACTTTAAATACTTTTATATCTTTAACATAATATTCACTATGTGCAGGTAACTCCATTGAAAAACAAATAAGGCTATCAAAGTTGAGGGCCATCAGTAACTATGAGGCTACTGTATAATATGAACTGTCTGCATGAATAATAAACTGGATGGATGGATGGATGGATGGATGGATGGATGGATGGGAAAAATGCAAGAATTTGGGCAAGGACAAAGAGAGTAAGGCAAGAATCAACAGCTACAATGAAAGCTGTAGAGTAACCAGAAAGCTGATTTTTAAAAAATAGAAGCAATGAGGTGTGAAGAATAGAACTTTCATATAAAGAATCTAAACACACTGCCAGGCGCAATGGCTCATACCTGTAATCCTAGCACTTTGGGAGGCTGAGGCAGGTGAATCTGTAGAGCCCAGGAATTTGAGTCCAGCCTGGGCAACATGGCAAACCCCGTCTCTATTAAAAATACAAAAATTAGGTGGGCACAGTGTTGAATGCCTGCAGTCCCAGCTGCTCAAGAGGCTGAGGTGGGAAGATCACCTGAGCCTGGAGGTTGAGGCTGAGGTGAGCCATGATCATGCCACTGCATTCCAGCCTGGGCAACAGAGTGAGACCCCATCTCAAAAATTAAAAAAAAAAAATTTTTTTTTTAAATCTAAACACATTATCTAAAAATGATTTGGAGTTTCAGACTTAAGAGCAATTATGAGAAATGAATTTGACATCAAAATCTTAGAATTGCTGAGGAATTTTAATTCATGGAGACAATGGAATGTACCAGGATAGGTATATGACTTATTCTGGAAGATACAGACTATGTGGTTGCTATGCCTCACTAAGGGGAAATATATCTGAATGGTGCATGTGAAGGAGCCATCAATAGGTTCAAAGGCAAGGCTGGAGGAAACAGAGAAGCCAGCGCTTGCAGGCTATTGCAGAGGAAGAGAGGAACTGGTGGGCCAGGACAGGGCATGAGAGCTGAGGGGTCCTGGGAGGGTCCTGAGAGGTGTGGGGGAAAGGGAGTAAAGAAAGTAAAGAATACAGGGGTAGAGAGACCGTTTCCACAATACCCACCTCGTAATTTTGCCCAAAGCCCACTTCTAAATTAAGAAGTGTACTTTTTCACATGTAAATAGAAATCTCTAGATGCTAACTTTATTTTGAGTAATATAAGACATACTTTGAATTATAAACTTTTCAGGCATTGTCAAGTCCCCAGGGAAAATGACGCAACCTTCAATATCTTCCCTACAACAACTGCGGATGGTGAAGCTCAGAAACAATCCTTCCACAAATAGAGATAACATAGTTTCTTTTGCATTTATCTTTGGTCATTCAGCAGTTTGGAGACTTCTCAAAAGGCACTGAGGCGTTAAGAAAATCCTCTTTTCACCAAATTGCTGTTCTCCCATGAAACTTTTCTGTTCTTTTAGAACACTTTAAAATTTCCTTGTTTCAGCATGTTAAAGAAATGTGAAATTTAAGCGACTAAGTCAGCCTACTGGGTCACCAATGCAAAATTACTGCAATCTGTTTCTCAGTTTATCAGGCTCCCTAAAGACCATTAAGTCCTATGCACAGCCATAACAGCTTCATCTTCAAATGCTCAGAAACATAGCCCAGAAATTAAAATGGGAGTTTAATTTATTCCTTCTTCTGTTCAACCCTTAATCTTTTTTCCAGTGCTTCTGCAAGCTGATTTACTTTAAATTGCAATTATCCTAAGAAGAAAATTGTAAAGGAAAAAGAACAAGGTTCTCAACCGGGCACAGTGGATCACGCCTGTAATTCCAGCATATTGGGAGGCCGAGGCGGAGGGATCACCTAAGGCCAGGAGTTCAAGACCAGCCTGGCCAACATGGGGAAACCCTGTCTCTACTAAAAATCCAAAAATTAGCTAGGCATGGTGGCGGGCACCTGTAATCCCAGATACTTGGGAGGCTGAGGCATGAGAATCACTTGAATCTGGGAGGCGGAGGTTGCAGTGAGCTGCAACGCACTCCAGCCTGCGTGATGGAGCGCAACTCTGTCTCAAAAAAAAAAAAAACAAAAACAAGGATCTTTGCCATTAATTCTGCTTTCACGCTCTCCCTTTCTCATTTCCCATGTTCTATACTCCCTATCAAGCTCTGCCTTTCGAGTGTGGGGGCAGGGCAGAGTAGGGGAATCCTCACCCTACCAAAGCCTCTGATGACTCCTTCTTCCACTAAGCTCCTGCACCACTGATTATTTTAACCATTCACTTTATACTGAGCATGTGTATTACAGTTACTATTACTGCGTAACAAATAACCACAAAACTTTGTGGCTTAAAACCACTTTACTATGCTCCTGGATTCTGTAGGTCAAGAATTAAGATAGCACACAGCTTATCTGTGCTCCACAGTGCCTGGACTTCTGCAGGGAATTACTCATGGGATGGAGGCTGGAGTTCTCCAGACAGCACAACCGCTGCCATCACGCTGGCTGCAGCAGAGAAACACGGCTGGGGCTTCATGCTCCATGGAGCCAGTGAGAGCTCTGCCCCTTCTGAGTTGGGGCAGGAGCTCCGCAGGTGTCGCTGCAACTACCCAAACCATGGCTGCAGACTCATGCATCCTGCACTCTTGGGAGCCCAGGAAGGCCCCCCCTACCCTCACAGGCTCAGAAGTGACTGCTCCCACTGCCTGGCTTTTCCCTGCTATGGGTGCCTGCTCCCATGACTGGTGGTGGATCCTGGCTCTGCCTCAGTGGGACTTGAGCTGGGGCTGTCAACTAAAGCAGCTGCTTGAGCTCTCCATGTGGCCTGGGCTCCCTTATACCATGGTGGCCTTAGGGTAGTCTTTTTCTTTCCTGGACGCTCATCTGCAAAAGCAAGACAGAAGCTACAATGCCTTTTATGACCCAGCCTCCATAGCTATGCAGGCATTTCCTCTCCATCTACTGGTTACAAGTGAATCATTAAATCCGATCAGATTTAAAAGAAAGGACATACATCCCACCTCTCAATGGAGTGCCAGAGAACTTGTGGATATGTTTTAAATCCACCACAATGTGCTTCTCTGTGTTATTATTTCTTATGTATGTTCTGGCTTTTAAGCTTTATATTCTTTAAACTGATAAAATTTTCAGAAATAACAAAAATACAGAATGCCCCCACTAGATTTGAATTTCAGATGAATAGGACATCCTTTTACTATTAAAAAAAATTATTTGTTGCCTATCTGAAACTTAATTTTAACTGGATGGCCCATCTTTTATCAGACAAGCCAACCCAAGCACATATCCCTGTGCTATAGGCATCAGAGAGGTTTAATTATGCCAGTTATTGACCCAAATGTAATATCTGATTAGATTGCTAAATAATTACATGTACCAGATCTCTAGACTCTACTCCCTCCATTGCAATCATAAAAGTAAAATCCCATATTCCACCTCCAGATCTTCAGGTTGCTACTTCAACATGACAGGAAAGTCCCTTGAAGCCTGGTCTAGGAGCACAATCCTACTCTACTCCCAGGAGAAAAATAAATCCTTAAGTAAAAATTTTCAGGTTTTAGAGTTTCCATCATTGTTAATTAGATTTGAACACTCTACAGCAAAGTTCTCTTAGGTTTTGAAAATAAAATTGGGTAGTTTTATAAGAGCTGATTATTAAAAAAATAAGTAATGCTATTTCAAAATGCTCCTGCTTTTTTTGTCATCATCAACGCATTTCTCTTTCTGTACCATCTGTTGCAGAATATTCATTTTCTGAAAGGTTTTTTTCAGGTTGCTTGCTACACAATTTTCAACAACAGAGGAGCCATAGAGAGTACTCAACATTATTGTAAGTTGTTTAGAAATCCCAAGCCTTGTTTATGCACTGAATACATAAAAGTACTCTTACTGTTTTGTGGAAATTCACATTTTAATTTTCACACTTGTGTAGCTGAAAAAAAATATTGAGTTGTCCACTGGATTTCCTTCATGGAGAGAGCTGTTTTACTCAGAAACATATCTTCAGGTTTGTTTACAAAAATCAGGTCTTTGGGGGATGGATTTAGATGACAAAGAAGAGTTTTAAAAGAAAAGTACTCATAAAATGAAGAAACAAAATCAGAGGTTGGGCATGACTGAGTTACTGAGTCAGGATGAAAAGAAAAAAGTTCAGAAGAAAAGTTAGCCCAGCCATGCATTGAAATACATGTCCCCTAAAAGAAAAGATGACCACTTTGTAAAAATATATACAATGTTTTTAAACAACGTGTGGTAGACTGTTTGCAAGTTGGCTCAATAATTCTTCTTCCTATATCCTTTTCCTTGATTATCCCCTACCCAACACTGATTCTGGGCTGGGCCTTCAGTCTTTCCTTGATCAATGGCAAATCTGACACAGGCAGAGATTTTTTAAGTGCTCATGTATTAAGAACATGTCTCCTGCTACTTTTCAGAACTTTGTGGCTGCTATCATGTTAAAAGCCAAGGCTAGTCTGCTAAATAATAAAAGAATATGGTCCAGTTGTTACAGGATCTTTGGGGTGTCACTTTTCTGGCCGGAAACCTCTGGCTGGTGGTGTGTTTGCCCACCTTTTGCTCAGGCCCAGCTTGTTCCACCCACTCGGCCTGGCAGGCTGCACTTGGATCACACTACCAGCATGGATGCCACATCTGCCAAGGGTGAGCCAGGCATGGAGCTGCAAGGGGTGTGTGAGCAAGTGAGTGTAGGGTCCGGCCACTGCACATAGTCACACTGGCTGCTGCAGTGTGGCAGGCAGCTCCAGGTGCTGACACAGGTGCCAGCTCTCTGCAAGGCTGCAGCTGGACCAGCTACACTGCAAGCAGCTTTCCCAACTGGCACCAAGGAATTCAGCAGCACGCAGAAGCTCAGAGATTCCAAAAACCATAGGGCCTCAAAGAGGGAGTCATGGCCCTGAATGTCTAGGCTCCCCAAAGGGCCTCAGCTCTTCTCTTCATCAGCAATGTGGTGAGCAAGGGGTATGTTTCTGTCCTGTGTCTGTTACAGATCTTCTAGACTTGCCATTTGGTGGGCCCCAAGTTCTTGTCCTGTGACCAGGAAGAATGAGGCACACAGACAAATGGAGGGTGAGCAAGATGAAGAGAAGCTTTATTGAGCAGTAGAAGAGCTCAGAGACCTGCTGTGGGTAGCTCCTTTCTGCAGCTAGGATGTTCCAACGAGTGTTCAGCCTTCAGCAGAGAGGAGGAGGCTCTGGGTTGGGTGGCTCCTCTCTGCTGGCAGCCCATGCCATCCTCTCTGCAGCTCTTAGCAGAGTAGAGACCCTGGAGTGGGAAGCTTCTCTCTGCTGCTGGTCATTCCATCATCTGCTCATCTCTAGCTGAGCCCAGGACTTTTATGGGCCCCAGAGGGGATGAAGTCACACCAATTGGTCCATGGGCAGCCATGGGTGGGCCCAGAGAAAGCACCACAAGTTCCCACTCCATTCCGTGGGACTGGCAGCCCAGCCCCCAGCCTTCAGGCCCTCCCTGTCCTAAAGGTAGGGTCTCACTGGGGACCTTCCCCCTTCCACCCAGGAATCTGCCTGCCTCCTGCTGCCATTCATGGTGCCCAGGTTCAGCCCCAACTTTGCTCCAAGATGAGAGCAGGCACTGATAGCAGGGAGAATCCAGGCAGAGGGAGCAGGCATTTCTGAGCCTATGAAGGCAGGGGGGCCTTCCCGGGCCCCCAAGAGTGCAGGATGCGTGAGTCTGCAGCCACGGCTTGGGCAGCTGCAGCAACACCTGGGGAGCTTCTGCCCCAACTCAGAAGGGGCAGGGCTCTCACTGGCTCCATGGAGCATGAAGCCCCAGCCATGTCTCTCTGCTGCAGCCAGCATGATGACAGCGGTTGTGCTGTCTGGAGCGGCCACTGCCATCAGTCATCCCTATCACCCCAGTCAACATCCAACACCAACTGGTCAAATTAAAAGTAAAGCCATTCTAGAATAATCAGCCCTCAGATGGACATGGAACTACTTGGTCAACCCACAGATTCAGGAACAATAATAAAATGATCGTTAGCTTAAATTTCTTGGGTGGTTTCTCATGAAGCAAAAGCTAACAGATGCAAATATCTATTATCCAATTTTAAACTGTACACTGTACTATGATACAATCTTACGTTTTTGGTCCCACATATCCAATAAAAATTTTCTAGACAATCAGCCCATGATTGGTGGTGATTTGGAAGCAGAATAAAATTGGGCAATGGCAGTAATTTAAAAATAGAATAGTGGAAGAACAGGCATGAGAAAGGAATTAATAGAGGAGAAGATAAATTGTACAATAGACAAAGAGAATAAAACAACATTAGAAACTCAGGCCAAGAATAAGTGGCTTTCATGAAACTGAAGATACCAGAAGAGACACTGGGTTAGAGGTTGTAGCCAATTACATTAAATGTAAGAATACAATATCAACTCAGTTGATCTAGGGAACATCTAAGAAGCTGACACTCGGGTTGCCCTAAAATACATCACACACACACACATACATACATACATACATACATACATACATACATACATACATACCAGTTTGGTGGGGGAAGCTGATATACACTCTCTCTATGTGGTCATCTTTGACATTAATTTGAAAGGCAACTTGGCCAGAATTAAAGATGAACCCAGTTCATAGAATGACAAAAGTCCTGGCTGTAACTTAGGTGTGTTCTTTTATTGTTTCTAGAAATTCTCTCACCTTTCCTGTCTGTAAATAATTGTTTAGGAAAATATCATCAGTTTTGCTGATATTCACTCCCTAAAAATGGTATAACTGAGACCACATTGATTACTACTGGAGGTTAGCACAGAAGAGGTGAGTTGAAGTTTTTTGTTTTTTGTTTTTGTTTTTGTTTTTGGAGATGAAGTCTCATTCTTTTGCCCAGGCTGGAATGCAGTGGCGCCGTCTCAGTTCACTGTAACCACCACCTCCCAGGTTCAAGCAATTCTCCCTGCCTCAGCCTCTTGAGTAGCTTGGATTACAGGCACCTGCCACCACACCCCAGCTAATTTTGGTATTTTTTAGTAGAGACAGGGTTTTGCCATGTTGGCCAGGCTGGTCTTGAACTCCTGACCTCAGGTGATCCGCCCACCTCGGCCTCCCAAAGTGAGTTGAAGTTTATTAGTAGTTGCAGAATGCAGGTAAGAAGCTCAAGTAAAATGCAGACTGTGAGAGCAGCAAAATAGAAAGTTAATTATTTGGATGTTTACACTGAAATTTTAGTTTGCTCAACAAGATGTGGTATTAAGTTAAATTCCTTTTTTAAAAAAAGAACTCAGGTCAACAAGAAACATTATCAAAAAATGTAAACTTTATACCAAGAAAGAGCCAGAATATTAATAAATAATTTTAAAATTGCAGCAATTTAAACTCCTAAAATTTCATAGAGTGATGTTTAGATTCCTCTTTCACTCTGAAATATCTCAACCTACTAATACTTCATTGGGTTAAAAGTAAACCCTTTCATAAAAGTGATATTTTATAAAATAAATTATATACTATTCCTAGAAATTTAGTTTTAAAAAAAAAATTCATACACTTTTCCTAAAGTATACATGCCCAGAACTATACAGGAAGTATTTACAAATTAAGAAGATCTTACTGGAATACAAAAGAATAAGAATTTTAATTATATCTGAAAGAAATTATAATGAAATGTAAATAAAATTTTATTTTAATTTTTCATTTGGAATAATTCTGGTTAATTTGTAGTGTCTGTGCACTAAAATAGATATTCCATTTACATAGAGCAGTGCTTAGATAACCTGTCTAATTATTTGAGAGTTATCAGCACTTTAAGCCATTCCTAAACTAGCAATATAAATTTGATACATTACACAAAACATTTCAAGAGGAAATTTGCTATTTCTTGAACATTGCTTAGAATACTAACCGAATGATCTTAATTTTAAACATGCTGTCAATCATTATAATCACAGAAAACAGTCATATTCAGAGAAATGGAAAAAAGTACTTCCCATGAAGAACTACTTAAAATGACAAAAGTAATCATTTGCTCAGTCCAAGGATATGGAGAATACAGTGGAAAGTTTATCGAAAAAGACAACCAATGAAAGAAGTTACAGGTTTTCAGAAATCAAAGTTTTTAAAAGATAGTCTATACGTATTTTATTATTATCCCTAAGCATGCTACTACTGATTAATTTTAATTTCTGCATTTGTTGCTAATTGATGAGGAAAATGCATGCCATATATATAAAATAGCCATTCCTGGTAAGAATTCACAGCATTCTAAGAAATTTAACCCAAGACAGTTTTGAAAGCCAGGTTATATTGGTTTTTTAAGTGTTTCATGATTGTTACTCTTTTTTTAACTCATAAAAGATTTACCAAGTGTTTAGTATTATACGTCAGGTACTCTCAAAGAGTTTTTTCCACTCTAATGAAGAAAATAGAAAAGTGAACCAAAGAAAGAAAGATATTTTCTTTCTAACGTTTCTTAAAGTGTGACTTAGTGGCCAGCTTCAGAATCACTTCATCAGTCTCTGGGTGGGGGCCTGAGGGGAGTGGATTTTTTTTTTTTTAATCATGTTCCTTGGTGGATATTTTTCCTAAGATTTTAAAACCACTCACCTAAAACTGAGAGCATTTGACCTTAACAATTCATTTCAAGCCCGTCTCTGCCCTGGGCCCTGCCCTGGTCCAATTAGACCTACCGATGACAAGAGGCCCCGCCAATGCAGAAGGTGACCTCAAGCCCAACCTATCTGTGGTACTACCCATCAGGGCTGCTAATCAAATATTTCTGGTGCTTTCCTCTTCCTACACTAGCTGTTCCCTCACAGCTAGTTGTGACCCTGTGATCAGTAGTGGCATATGAGATGTAAACAGAAGTCATTCCAGGCAGAGGTGTCATTCCAGGCAGAGGTGTCACTCCAGCCAGAGGTTTTAAAAGCTAAAGCATGAGTTTCCATATCCTTTTCTAAATTCCTTCATAACTGTGGAAACACAGGAATGGATTCTCCCTCAGTCCTTGAGTAAGGACAATGTGGAGCACATCTCCAATGGATGGCCTCGTGAAATACGGGTAAGAAATAAACCTGTTTTTTAAGTCATTAAGACATTTAAGTTTGCTTGTTTCCACTATCCTGATGGCTACATAACCACACCAGCTACATAAAGTACAAAAAGTCATCAATCCATTGATCCAGAGTAAAGGGAGAACTTTCAAACCTCTGTTATCCCCTCCTAAATTTCACCCAAGCATCATAGTCAAATTGTGTCTCTGAGTATTCCACAAATCCAGAGCTGCTCACCAAGGGTGAAGTAAAAAGAGAGGAAGGAGTAGCTTCGAACTAAATGTTAATGTGAACTGTACTTGTGATGGGAATTACATCTTAGAATCAAAATTCCAATTAAACACACCTGCACATACACACACCAAAACATCTCAAGGATGTCACATCTTCCAGGTCTCATATTTTTTTAATGCTTCCAAGGCCTATCTGATTTTCAGACTTATCTCCTGTGACTTTGTCAATAGGATATCATGCCATTACTGTTCAATAGGATATCATACTGTCACTTAATGACATATGACTTTATTACAATGACTGTGGAAGATAGGTATGAAATATCTCTATAGCACTGTCACAGAAAGAATAAATTACTCCCCAAGGTATGTATGTATGTACGTATGTAGTTATTTATTTGTTTGTTTTTGAGATGGAGTCTCGCCCTTCACCCTATCGCCCAGGCTGGAATGCAATGGCGCAATCTCAGCTCACTGCGACCTCCACCTCCCAGGTTCAAGCAACTCTCCTGCCTCAACCTCCTGAGTAGCCAGGATTACAGGCACATGCCACCACACCTGGCTAATTTTTTGTATCTTTAGTAGAGACGGGGTTTCACCATGTTGGCCAGGCTGTTCTCGAACTCCTGACCTTGTAATCCACCCGCCCTGGCCTCCCAAAGTGCTGGGATTACAGGTGTGAGCCACCGTGCCCAGCCTCCTCAAGGTATTTATATAATGAAAATTCAAACCCAGTTTTTTTCATTCATTCAACTATTTAACAAGTATTTATAGCTACTGAGGATACAGCAGTGAACAAAACAGACAAAAATCCATGCCCTGTGGATGTTATAATATAGAAAAAGAAGACAGGAAATAAACGAATAAGCTTATCATATAACATACCAGCAGGTCATAAATACCATGAAATTAATAAAACAAAAATTGTATATCTAACTTTTCAGAGTGAAGGTGTCTTGCATTTCCAAATAGAGTGGAAAAGGAAAGTATTCATGAGAAAATGGCACTGAAGGAATGGAAGGCCACATACTGACAGCAGAGGGGAAGCTCTTCAGGAAAAGGGAAGAGCAAGTACAAAGGTGTCACCAAAATGCCAGGGGTTCAGTCCAGGTCCTGCTGCTCACTGTGCACAAAGCCAGTCACTGAGACAATAAGTATTGCCAGAGAAGAAGGTGCTGCCGCTGAGGAGATGGGAGACCAGTCTCAAATCCATCTCCCTGATGGTCTAGAATTAAGGGTTTAAATGGCAGAGAAGAAATGTAACGTGGGGGGAAAAAAAAAGACAGGATTTAGGGATGAGTAAGGAAGAGGAATTGGTCAACCAGAAGCAGGTGGTTAGTTAGGCAATTATGATGGGTGTTGGGTCTAGTGTCTCATCGTCCAGATGTGGTGATCTGGTAAGTTTCAGTTCCTTGATACTATCTGGGAGGCCTGATGGTTGGTTTTCTGAGAAAGCAACTCACATAAGATAATTGTAACTTTCTCAAGTTTTAAGATTGGGAGGGCCAATTTCTATGTTTATTCAAAATAAACCATAAATATCAGTTCTATAGGACAATTGGGCCGGTTTCAAAGGCAGGAAAGCCAAAGTATGCCTGGATTGTTTGAGGAATAGCACTTTAAGTACACTTAAAATGAGTGCATTTCACTATACAGTTGTCTCTCAGCATAGTGGGGGATTGGTTCCAGAACCCCCGCGTATACCAAAATTCATGCAAACTCAAGGCCCAAGGTCAGAACTGCAGAACCCACATACATGTGAATAGTCAACCCTCCCTATACTGGAGTTTCACATCAATGAATACTGTATTTTCCATCCACGTTTGGTTGAAAAAAGTCTATGTACAAGACCCATGAAGTTCAAACCCATGTTGTTCAGGGGTCAACTGCGTGTAAATTTACCTTTATGTAAATAAAGCTGATGTTTTTAAAATAAAATAAAAGGTTCATATTACAGGATGAGTTCTCATAGAAGCAGATTCTAACAAGCACTTTACAGCACATGATGTTACTTAGGAAGTGACCTTGGGAACGGCACCTGTGGAAGGGGGAGGAACTAAGTGGGAGTGAATAAAGGGAGAAGGCACATTGGGACTTCAGGCCAAAATACAGCTTCTGCAGACTCCATGGGGACTAACAAGACCCTTCAGAGTTATCGTACATTTGGCAAAAATGACCAGGCCTTTATACCTCCACCTGTATCAGTCACTCAGCATGGGCTGAGTCCTGGGAAGAGGGTATTGGGACTAAGAAAACAATACCCCTAAAAGAAGCCTTCAAAAACAGCCTCAGAAGCAAGAGTTTCCTCCGACCTTCTCCTGCCCTTCTGTCTCTCAGTTCCATTCTCCCCTGAGGCTAGCCTAGAAACTAGAATTCCTCTTCTCCAAGAGGGGTGGGGGTTGCGGGGTTATAGAAACCAGGACCCCTTTTCCCTGAAAATCTAAAAATATTACTGTAACTTTTCTGCCACTTTTCTGCGGAAAAACTTACCATAAAGAAATTATCTGACCTACCTTGTTTGACTGTAGGTCATCATGAGAGGTGACACCCGGGCTCGCTCTCGGCGCCTCCTCGGCCTTGGCGCCCACTCTGGCTTCAGCCCGCAGCTGCACCGTGGGAGCCCTTTTCTGGGCTGGCCAAGGCCCAAGCCGGCTCCCTCAGCTTGCGAGGAGATGTGGAGGGAGAGGCGCAGGTGGGAACCTGGGCTGCGCCAGGCGCTTGCGGGCCAGCGCGAGTTCCGGGTGGGCGTGGGCTCGGCGGCCCGGCACTCGGAGCCGCGCCGCACCTGGCAGTGAGGGGCTTAGCACCTGGGCCAGCAGCTGCTGTGCTCGATTTCTCGCCGGGCCTTAGCTGCCTCCCCACAGGGCAGGGCTCGGGACCTGCAGCGGGCCATGCCTGAGCTTCCGCCGTGGACTCCTGCGCCTCCGGAGCCTCCCCGACCAGCGCCGCCCCCTGCTCCACGGCGCCCAGTCCCATCAACCGCCCAAGGGCTGAGGAGTGCGGCCGCAGGGCGCGGGACTGGCAGGCAGCTCCCCCTGCGCTCTGGTGCGGGATCCACTGGGTGAAGCCAGCTGGGCTCCTGAGTCTGGTGGGGACTTGTTGAATCTTTATGTCTAGCTAAGGGATTGTAAATACCCCAATCAGCACTCTGTATCTAGCTCAAGGTTTGTAAACACACCAATCAGCACCATGTGTCTAGCTCAGGGTTTGTGAATGCACCAACTGGCACTCTGTCTCTAGTTAATTTGGTGGGGACTTGGAGAACCTTTATGTCTAGCTAAGGGATTGTAAATACACCAATCAGCACTCTATCTAGCTCAAGGTTTGTAAATGCACCAATCAGCACTCTGTGTCTAGTTCAGGGTTTGTAAATACACCAATCGACACTCTGTATCTAGCTAATCTAGTGGGGAGGTGGAGAACTTTTGTGTCTAGCCCAGGGATTGTAAAGGCACCAATCAGCACCCTGTCAAAACGGACCAATCAGCTCTCTGCAAAACAGACCAATCGGCTCTCTGTAAAATGGACCAATCAGCAGGATGTGCGTGGCACCAGATAAGAGAATAAAAGCAGGCTGCCCCAGCCAGCCTGGTAACCCTCTAGAGTCCTTTTCTGCATTGTGGAAGCTTTGTTCTTTTGCTCTTTGCAATAAATCTTGCTGTTGCTCACTCGTTGGGTCCACACTTCCTTTATGAGTTGTAACGCTTACCGTGAAGGTCTGCAGCCTCACTCCTGAAGCCAGCAAGACCACGAACCCACCAGGAGGAATGAAAAACTCCAGACGTGCCGTCTTAAGAGCTGTAACACTCACCATGAAGGTCTGCAGCTTCACTCCTGAGCCAGTGAGACCACCAACCCACCAGAAGGAACAAACTCTGGACACACTGCCTTTAAGAACTGTAACACTCACCGCGAGGGTTCGCGGCTTCATTCTTGAAGTCAGTGAGACCAAGAACCCACCAATTCCAGACACAATCAGATTCCCATTCCAGAGTGGGTCCCACCCCATTCCTAGGAAAAAGAAACGGATGGGGCACAGTGGTTCATGCCTGTAATCCCAGCACTTGGGAGGCCGAGGCAGGTGGATCATCTGTGGTCAGGAGTTCGAGACCAGCGTGGCCAACATGGCAAAACCCCATTTCTACTGAAAATACAAAAATTAGCTGGGTCTAGTGGCACAGGCCTGTATTCCCAGCTACTTGGGAGGCTGAGGTAGGAGAATCGCTTGAACCCAGGAGGCGGAGGTTGCAGTGAGCCAAGATTATGCCACTGCACACCAGCTTGGGAGACAGAGTGAGACTCTATCTCAAAAAAAAAAAAAAAGAAAGAAATGCATGCTCAGAGGAGCCAACGAGTCTGGACAAATAGGCCTTGCTGGGTTTCCCCACTCAGCCTATTAGCATTAGACCATACCCTTTTTGTCCAATCCTATTTCTATACAGCTCTTTATGCTTTGTCAAACCTAAGCATAAACATTGACAATTTCCCCTATATCTTTGGGTCTTCCTTCTGAAGTCTCTTTTGTACACATTAAGTCAATTCGTATGCCTTTTCTCCAGTTAATCTGCCTTTTGTGGGCTGATTTTTTCAGTGAACTATCAGAGGGCAAAGGGAAAGTCCTCCCTCAGCTCCTACAGCTGTAATCATGGAGGTGGTGCTCTCTGCGGTTGAGGCAATCCCTGAAGCAACTGACCAAGCTGAAACTGACCAAGCTGAAACCTTTCTCAAAAATCTTCTGTGGGTTAAAGTCAGATTAAAAAAAAAGAATGGCAATATTTTAAAGGATTACATTGTAAAATTATTTTTAAAACTGCTTTAAAATAGTAAATTAAAACAGTTGAAAATCTTTTATTTAAATCAGAAAATAAAAGCTAGGGTTAAATAAAAACAAAAAAGAGAATAAAAAGTATGTCAGACAAAAGCAATAGCTCAAAATTGAATAGGATTGGATAAAACTAAATTATAACAAATTTATAAAACTTTGAAAAAGAGAGAAGAAAATAAAACTGAAAAATAAAAGTAAAATTAAGTATCCTAAAAACAAGAAAATTAAAGGCAAATATAAACTTGAATTATTAACAATATAAGCTATTATTGCTGTAAACTTTAAGAGAATAAAGTAAATTATATAACAGTGGTTACAAAGTATTTTATATACAAAATGTAAAAAACACAAAGTGCAAGCCAAGTGCAGAATATGTCCAGAGGTTCTGCTTTTTTGACTCCTCATTTGTCGTCTGAAAATTTAAAGTTCTTTGAAAGGATATCCAGGTAAATTCTTTAGATGAAAAGCAGAAGCTCAGGTAATCAGAGCTATTGCCTTACAGGGCCCAGTTTCTTCTCTATCTCCCTGAACCTCTGGTCCTCCCAGTCCCTAAACCTACAATACGTAAGTGAGTGATTCAGCCCACTTCCAATTCCATGCACTGCCATTTGGAGGTGCTGGATAACACAGCAACATTCAGCACCTGAGCCACACAGAACTCCAAGCTGTTTACCACTTGAGGAGCGCAGGAAAAACAAGGAAAAATGGACTTCAAAATAGCAATAGAAAAAAGTGATTTCAAAGAGAACAAACCACCCCTTCCCAAAATGTATCTCAAATATATATGCCAAAAAGGTAGCATGAATATAAACAAAATAATCCCAAGGCACAGTATTTCCTCTTTGCTACACTTTTCACCAAACTAATCTTCTTAACCAGTATAGACAGTCTGTAAATTTAAACTTCAACTCATCTTCCATTTTGCTTGAAGTAGCAGATTTCAGAACCCTGGGATTCATAGACTCTTAGGAAAGTATGCAATTTTAACCTTCTGCCTTAACTTACGACCTAAAATAATCCCAGAAAAACTGTCTTACTGGTAAAGATTCCAAAGACGGTGCTTTTACAGCATTCTTTAGTAATTATTTAAACATTTAACAATTTATATTGCCAGGAAATATATATTAAAGAAAGAATGAAGAAAAAAGAAAAAAAAAATCATGTCTATTTGAAAGCAAAAGAATTGCAAAGCACAAAAATAAGCAAATAAAGAACAATAATATTTGAAACTGATGACCGGCTTTAAATAACAAAGTTGAATATAAGTAAATGAAGATGTTTGGTCAAATAACTACTTTTCCCAAAACAAGAACAGCCAGGCCAGCTGCTTCAACACCTTCCATGCCCTGCTGACAAAATCTCAACCTCAACACTGAACTCTGTCAAAACAACAGCTCCATTTTTTCCAGGTGCCCTAATCAGATGACAAAGTGTCAACTCAAATATACTTTGCAGCACAAAGGACTCCAGCCCAGTACTAATTTCGTCCAAAACAAATATACACAATATTTTAATATTCAGAAAAATCTACAAATTAATCTATCAAAATAATTTCATTTATAGGAATTTTATATTCTTAGTGAACATAATATTTAACAATTCAGTCGTTGTGAATCATGTATTAAAGGCTAATCAGGTTGCTTAGACAAAGATATCAATTTCACAGGTATTCAAGACAAAAAAAGGTCTGAGTGAAGGAATTTCATGGATTGAAATAACTTTTCATAGACTATTGTTCAGAAACAGATTGGAGTCAAAAATGAACATTCTCTAATACCTAATTCTCATATATCCAGCATGTTTATTCTTCCAGTATGTAAGTTCTCATTACACAAATGCATCAGTAGAAATTTATTTGGGTTTGAGCACCCTAGGCTATGACACTGAAATCTTCTGTTTCTGCAATTAAATGATATTGAAGTATGAAAACAGGAAAAAAAATGACAACAAAAAACACCTTGTATCATAAAGGCCACATGTATTTCACTCCAATCTATATGTAAATTAATTATCTTGCAAGGCAAGAACGAAAATGGCTTTCACTATACACTATTTTTCTTTTTCATTGGGGCCTCTATAAAGATGGGGAAAAGCAAAAAAGTAGGCGCATGATATTTTCTGTTCCTATTTGCAAACTGTCAACTGACTTATACAAAAACAAAGCAGGACCAATATGAATATTTAGATCGAAATTAAATTGAACAGAAACGAGATTATTTTATAAACTTTTCCTCTGAGATAAATCATGGACCTCTATTTGGGGGAGATGGGAATAACCATTTGCGAGATCGGCCTCCTCCATAAGCCACCAATCTTATTCGTTTTTGCAGTTTTTTTATCTTTTCATGAGTCTTTTGAATATGAGTTCTTTTACTCACACTGAATCTGCAGGGCAAGAAATGTTTTTAAATGCACAACTTTGTAGTTATACAAATTTTACATGAGAATTCAACATTTAAAATTCGTAGCAAATTGGATAGTCCTGATTTAAATGTAATATAAAAGATTGAAGCATTTTTATCTCTGTTATCAGAGAAAAATACCATGCATGACACTATTTTTTATATTTGTCAAATTGTTTTCATGAGTTTTTAAAATTATATTATTGAAGAACAATTGTCAAGGATTCATTTATTTATTCTATACATAACTTCAAATAACATCATTAAATAGGGGGCCGGGCACGGTGGCTCACGCCTGTAATCCCCAGAACTTTGGGAGGCCGAGGCGAGTGGATCACGAGGTCAGGAGATCAAGAACATCTTGGCTAACACGGTGAAACCCCATCTCTACTAAAAATACAAAAAAATTAGCCGGGCATGGTGATGGGCACCTGTAGTCCCAGCTACTTCGGAGGCTGAGGCAGGAGAATTGCGTGAACCTAGGAGGCAGAGCTTGCAGTTGGCCAAGATTGCTCCACTGTACTCCAGCCTGGGCGACAGAGTGAGACTCCATCTCAAAAAAAAAAAAAAAATCATTAAATAATGTTTTCATATACTTTGTTTTTATACAGGGTTCCATTGAATGGTACGGTGGTAAAGTCTTAAGTCAATAAAAGATCAACTATCTTCAGTTATTAAGATATTTTGAATGCATAAATACACTATGGTTTCAAATCCTAACTTCAACACTTATTAGCTGTTCATTTTGAGAAATTTTTAACCATGAGTTTCCCGAACTGTTTGCCAAGGTATTCCAAGGATTGCCATGGGGTATTTTAGGTTTTCAAGAGCAACACAGTGATACTCAACATCTTTTCAATACAGTGCAAACAGGGTCAATATTAGATCATGCCACACTCCTTTCAATGATGACATATTTTTGCAAAGCTGGGTTTTCAGAAATTAGTATGATAAGCAAGTACCACCTCAAATTCAATGTAAAACACAAAATTGGGGTGGAGGTATCCTATCTGATGTAAAGTTTGCAAAGCTGTGCAGTGCCCAAAAGGCAAGTACATCCTGTTAGTAATTGTGGTTAAGAATGAAGTAAAAATAAACTTAGCTTCAATTTATGTATATTTTATTTTCCAATGGCTACCAAGTTGATAGAACCTACATACTTATTAAGGTTTTAGAACTAATAACTTAGTCAAGGAAACTTTTAGGAATACCTTTAGGCAGAGTGGTGTGAAAAATTACTGAGACGCTAAGAACATTGTGCAGTGAAAAAGTTTGGGAACCTAGGAGTATCCCTCTGAGAGGCATTTTCTTTATCTGTAAAATGAACATAATAGCTAGCTCATAGAGCTATTGTAAGAGTCAGAGTTTATAATGAATGTAAAACTGTCTAATATAAAGTCCATATAAACTCTATAAATTTTAATTCTTTATTTTTTCAAGTGACTTAGCTTTTCAGTTTTGAATATTATTATATGAAAACATTTTTCTTTGCTATATTTATGTAAGTTATCACTTTATTACATAATATTTAAAGTAACTAGCATATCTTTTTTTTTTTTTTTTTTTTGAGACAGAGTCTCACTCTGTCTTACCCAGGCTGGAGTGCAGTGGTGCAATCTCAGCTCACTGCAGCCTCCACCTCCTGGGTTCAAGCAATTCTCCTGTCTCAGCCTCCCGAGTAGCTGAGACTACAGGCATGTGCCACCACACCCAGCCAATTTTGTATTTTTAGTAGAGACAGGATTTCACCATGTTGGCCAGGCTGGTCTTGAACTCCTAACATCAGGTCATCCACCTGCCTTGGCCTCCCAAAGTGCTGGGATTACAGGCGTAAGCCATTGTGCCCAGCCTATCTATTGTTATTATACCTGAGGAGATGCTCACAATTCTTATCCCAAACCTTAGCATGAAACAAAAATGATTTATGAATTATCAAACATAAAGTAAAATATGTCCTGTATAGTTTTAATATTGATGATACTTTTAGAATAAATAATTCCTATACACTCCGTTAGTCAGAATATTTCATAAATTAGAATATTCTATTTTCCTGAAAATTCATTTATAATTGAATCCAAATGCATGCCATTTTCACCATTTCCTAAGACTATGTAGCTATGACAGATGATTTGAGAATGTGTGACATTGTTACATAAATTTCATTTCATTTCTACTTCCATGGGAGTAAGGTCCAGTGAAAGCCTCCTGAATAAAAGTAGGCTGCAGTTCTGTTCAGACTCCAATGAGTAATTTTGAATCATTTGACTCCTCCTGGTATATGATGGCATATCTTTGCAAAGCTGGGTTTTCAGCTGTAAAACCCAGCTAAAATGACAAGATCAGTCTTGCCCCAAAAGCAGTAAGAGATACAAAAAAAAAGTGGTAGTTATTTATATCTTATTAGAACAATACAATTAAAATATTATTGGGAAGATAAAACTGCAACACTTAGGAAAAACCCAGAAACAATATAAGACCATATGTCATTAGATGCTAAATTAGCAATTTCCCTATTAAGATTAAATATAATTATCTCGACATGTGTTATTAGTAGCATTACTAATAAAATAACACATTGCTATTGTCTATTTTTTGTTGCTGTAACAGAATACCTAAGACTGGGTAATTTATAAAGGTCAGGAACTTATTTCTTAAGTTCTGGAGGTTGGGAAGCTCAATATCAAGGGTCCCACACCTGATAAGGTGCTTGGTGCTGCATCATACCATGGTGGAAGGTAGAAGGGCAAGAGAGCATGCATGTGCACACATGAGAAGGGAAGAAAGAACAGAAGGAGAGGGAGAAGGAAGAGGGACTCAAACTCATCCTTTTATCAGAAACCCACTCCCACGTTAATCAACCCATGCCCATGACAATGGCATTAATCCATTCATTAGGGTGGAGCCCTCAAGACCCAATCACCTCTTAAAGGTCTCAATTCTCAACACTGTTGCCTTGGGGGTTAAGTTTCCAACACATTAACTTTGGAGGTCACATTCAAACCATAGCACTTATGAACAATAATGAATAAATTATTTAACATTTTTTAAGTCTTAGCTTCTCAGCAATGAAATAAAAATTATAATGGCATTTACTTCATAGGAATGTTGTAAGAATTAAGTTCATTTATGGGTTAAGGTCAGCAATTTGGCACAGTGGCTAGAATAAGGCTTCAATCACCTACCTCAGTGAGATGCTGAGGATCACACTGCTGGCACTTTTGGAGCCTATGGCAAAAGTTCAACACTAAAGTTTATATAGTCTTACAACAAGTTATGAGGTATCTCCTATTATCCCCATTTTACCAGTGAGGTAGCTAGGGCTCAAAGAATTATGTAATCTGCCTCAGAAGGTGAGAGGCAAAGGCCAGAGTAATAGGTAAACTCATTCATGTGGCACACCACAAGGACAGGTTACTTCAGATGGAAGATACCCACTGTAAGGATATAATATGTCCAGAAAATCAACCTAGCAATAGTTGAGTAAAGTCTCATGACATGCCTGTCTGCATACCTCAGCAACTCCAATAGAAAATCATTTTCTTGATTCAGCTTCTCTGTTTATGCTTCTTCTCCTGAGACTACATCTTTATCTACACCCACTGCTGGAGCCAATTATTTGTCTTAGTCAGACTCCCCAGGAGAGGACATCACACTCCAGAGAGCATCTTTGCTAGGCAGTTTTCCCAGCTACTTCATGAAGTGGTTCTCAATCTTGACCATGAATTAGAATTATCTGCAGATCTTTTAAAACATACCAATCCTGGACCTGCCCCAGACTAATTAAATCAGAATCTCTGGGGACAGCGGGTATGGGCTAAAACATCAGCAACATTAATTATCCCTGTGTAAGCCTAATGTGCAGCCAGGTTGAGATCCATTAAACCTCAGTGGAAGTCTTTGATTCAACAGCTGACCTCAGGTCCAGGGAGTGATGCCTTATGCCAGACTTCCTCCAAAGGAAATATGACTGGAATTTAAAAGTTTTGTGGTGTGTGACAAAGAATTAATCTTGCCCAAACAGAGGTTTGACCTTTGCCTTCCATTCCTGGGAGGTAACCTCTATGTCCTTGGAAGGTCCTGCCTAATCACATTGTTTTTGTGTACCTTGGAATCTTGGACCATGCCAAATATCCTACACTAACAACGTGATTTATGGTTGGGGCCTTGATATACATGATATCAACTTGACCTCTGAAGGGGCTGGAGTCTAAAATCAGCCATATGAGTGGTCAATCATGTCTATATGGCCACACTTCAATAAAACTGGACACCAAGGATTGAGTAAGCTTCCCTGTGTCAACACCCCACACATGTTGTCACACATCATTTCAGGGAAATATTAGCACTGTTTGCGAGGCTCTACCAGGGAAGGATAACTGGAAGCTCATGCCTGGATTTCTCCTGGCCCCTGC
The DNA here is from genome assembly GCF_000001405.40 of Homo sapiens. Classification (NCBI taxonomy): domain Eukaryota; kingdom Metazoa; phylum Chordata; class Mammalia; order Primates; family Hominidae; genus Homo; species Homo sapiens. The sequence goes on from NC_000002.12 coordinate 182,617,419, forward strand.
TCTATGGACCTCTTCCTTTGGCTGATTTGAATCTATATCCTTTGTTGTAATAAACTGTAACCATGAGAACAACAGCTTTGCTGAGTTCTATGAACACTTCTAGTGAATTATTGAACCTAAGAGTGGTCTTGGGGATCCCAGAATTTGCAGTTTATGTCAGAAATTAGGGTGATCTTAGGGATCCCCTGAACTTTGCATGTGGCCTATTCAGTTCACCCAGTGCAGATGGCCTCCTCTCTGAAGAACACAACAACTGCCATTCTGGATAATTCTCCATTTGAGTCATAGCAGCATCCTCTCATATCTCCATGCCTTTGCATTGGCTTCTTCCTGTTCTTGGAATGTCTTTACTCATCTTCATCATCAAGTCACTCCTTCTCATTCAATGTACTTTTCTCAGGTGTCACTTGCCCCCAGAAACCTCCACACCCCATCTGGATTACATGTTAGCCCTTTATGTTCTCTTAAGACCTTACACCCATTTCTAACATAACCTTATCATAGTGTAACCCTCATACCTAAAGCTTGCTATTTTTGTTTTCTTTCAATCTCATACATCCTTGATAGAACTTTGACCAAGTTCAATTTTAGCAGCAAAGAAACTCCAGTATTTCATTCATCCTGTTTTCTTTCTCATTTACTGCTGTGCTGCCTGCTTAATGTTCTAATGTCACGGACATTGTGTTGTTACATTTGAGTTTTATTATTTGTGAGAAATTACAGGAAAACTGAAAATAAATGCCATCAAGAGAAAGAATTAGACAGACAGAAAGAAGGAGAAAAGACTGCAAATTTCACACATCAGTAATATTTCCCCTCAATTTGGGAGAATTATTATAGTGTCATAAATTTTCGATTTGGCCAAGTAAGCAAGTTAACAAAGCTAACCTATTATAATACTCCATTCTTATCACATTGAATAAGTGGATATTTTAATAAGATATGAATAGAGAAATTATAATAGCAAGAATTAAGAATGTAGAATTAATTTACCCTTAGGATGAACTCGTTATAGTATCTTTTGGTTCAAAGTGGAGGTGGAGGAAGTAAAAGAGTTTGACAAGGAAGGTGAGCAACACAGTGGCATTCAAAGAACAATAAGGCTGAAGAATCTACACTAAGAATCATTGTTGAGCTTTGATTCTGCTTGCAAAAAAACAAAAGAATAGATGTACATGAGAATTTAATAAAAATAGAATTGACAGTTTTCTCTGCATACTGGCAATAGGTTTACTGCTTTAAAAGATGGCATGCATTGCATTTCTCTCTTTTGTGTCTTTGATATACATGGTTATTTCCGGGAACATGAGTCAGTGACAACAAGATTCAACTGAAAAATTATCTGTTTACAGATTGTGAGTTTCATGAGGCAGAGACTTTTATCTTTATGTTCCTGGCACAGAGCACAAGCCTGGCTTGTGTTTGTTAAATAAATGAATGTCCTACAAAGAGAAGACAACCTCAAAGAAAGTCTCTGTTCTGACACCATGTTAGGATTATAGACAGCATTAAAGCTGGCCAGAATAAACGACATAATCTATGGCAGTGACTCCCAAATTTCAGTCCTTCGTCCAGCGCCAGTTAGTGATTAAGTTGTCATTGACTCCTCTGCAAAAAAAAAAAAACAAAAATAGGCGGGTGAGCGGGGGCAGGGTTGGAAGATACTATAACAAGTTCACCCTAAGGCTCAATTAATTCTACATTCTTAATTCTTGCAATTATAATTTCTCTATTTACATCTTATTAAAATATCCATGTATTCAATGTGATAAGAATGGAGTGAGTATTATAATTTGTTAGCTTTATTAATATGCTTACTTGGTCAAATAGAAAATTTACAACACTATAATAATTCCCCCAAATTGAGGAGAAATATTACTGATGTGTAAAATTTAAAAACCTGAGAACACCCAGAAAAACGCTATAGATCCCTCAGAAGATGAGGAAAGAGCAAAAGCTCTGAGAAGACATTGTGTGACCCATACAAGCAGAGGGCTGTGCAGCCAGTCATGCCTCAAAATGACCAGAGAGGAGAGTAACATGAGCAAACCATGGCAGCAGAGCAAAATACAGCAGAATTTGTCAGAGCCACTCACGGAGTGAGTGCCTACATGGAAATATTTCTTATTCAGAGAGGTTTTTGACATGGGGAAATACTCATTGTGAAACACTAAGATTCTAAGACACTAGCAGATTTTATATCACTTTGAATTACCTATTAAATAGGACAAGATTTTTTTCTTTTATCAAAATTTCCTTTTGACACATAAGTGTTATTAGACATGCAAGTTCAGGAGTTTCATGCCACTGAGTTTTCATGGTGTCAGTCTGTTTTGTGTTGCTATAACAGACCACAGACTAGGTAATTTACAAAGAAAAGGCATGTATTGCTCACAGTTCTGGAGACTGGAAAGTCCTAGGGCATGGTACCAGCACCTTGCAAGGGCCCTTGTGCTGCATCATCACATGGCAGAAGGCAGAAGCGCAAGAGAACACACTGGGGAGCAAGAGAGAACTCACTTCCAGAAGTTTTTTTTTAAGGCATCAAACCCATCCATAAGGGTAGAATCTTTGTGGCCTAATCACCTCTTAAAGGCCTCACATCCCAATATTGTTACAATGGCAGTTACATTTCAACATGAGTTTTGGAGGGGATGAACATTCAAACCATGACACATAGTCTACTGGGATTTTTGGTGGAAATTAAGCCAAGTATAGAATCTCATAAAATAAAGAAGTTATTAACTTTAAAATGTATTTATTTCTTTATTTAATAAATAACAATTAATTGAGTCAATTTGAGCCTCTGGGAACACAACTATTAACACATTTCTATATTAATATGAATTTCAGTTATTTGATTTGTAAAGCTTAAAATGATTTCACAAATAGTTATTCAATCTTTGTTTATTGCTTTCAGACATCTGATTGAAATCTATTATTCCATGTACTTTTTCAAGTTTGATTATAGCATCTATAAATTTGTCCAGATATATGTGTGGAATTATCCTGACAAAAATATAAGTTGGCACCTTCCTCTAAGAACAAAATTTATCTTCTATTGTTATCCCCCATCCAAACTGGGTCATGCTGAACTAGAATAAAGAGTAAGAACAAGGATTTGAAAAAGAGAAAATACATTTTATAATTCTCTTAAAACAGGAAACAGAGGCTAGAATGCTATGAATCCAAGCCTCTTATGCCATTAGAAGAACAAGAATAATAAGATTTATGTTTTTCATGTTCCTTTTCAGTTGTCTTATGTAATGCTATGGATTTAATTCCACAAAGTTACATATACACAAATATAATTTTCTTTCTTTCCTCAAATTCAGTTTCTATTTTAAGCACCATTTCACCAGGATGGCAAACTTTAATCTTAGCTCATTTGAGTTCGCAACTCCAGTTTTTCTGGGGCTCTAAATTCTGGGTGTCTATATACTGCCAGAGGATTAAGGAGAACACATTTTGTCCTCAATGCATATGATTCTTCAGATATCCAGTATGCTGTCCACCAGCCCATCCAATTATCAGCCCACACAAGACATTGCTGAGACAATTCGCATTCCTGCCTACATGGCCCTTTAAGGTTCAGCAGTTCATCTACTCCCTGGATATACTCCTAGTGACACAGAAATTATCTCTGGAAGGTTCTCTGTGCCCCTTCTGCCGAGATGCATAAAGCAGCCATCTCCTCTCTGACACTCCGCCACATCCCAAGACTCTAAGTCTGAGAATTGGGAGCAGATCCCTTTCTATCTTGGGTTCTACAAACTTCTCATATCTTTCCACATCTCCAGGTAATATCTTAGAAGCAGGGCTATCCATCCTTCTCTCTGTGACTCAGAAACCTTCATAACTAGGAGAATCTTTTGCTATCTGCAGTTGACACTCCCCACTCCCTTAACCTTGCTTTGAGAGTGGAAGAATTACTTTCTCTATCAAATGTTTTTGCTTCAAAGAGCACCTAATATAATCTCCTCCCAGGGGCTGAGCCTTTTGGAAACACAAAAGCCTCAGTAAAAAGGAGATTCCATCCTTTTTACTCTCCAACCTATCACACTCTCCTCAGGAGGAATAATACCCGTTAATATCCTTAAAACTGAGGTCTGTTGTGTTCTATAACATCAATTGTTTTTCAACCATTTACAATAACTTAAAAAAAAATTTTTTTTTTTGGTTATCATTATACAAATAATTCCTTGTTTTTCTCTCCCTTTGAATGTGTTGTCATAGTTTTTGGTTTCCAAAAGAAATTTTTAGAACTTGATTTTTGTGAATATAGCAAAATGTTTATTGTTTTTTCTAACATTTATACAATTCCTGAGGGTTTCAAAGTATTTAACTCCTATATAATTAAGTGAATGACGGTAGACAAGAAGAATACAGCATTACATCCTGAAGAAAAATGAGCTTTCTGATTTAGTATGAAATTTACAGGATGTGAATTACAGTTCATGCATATTCCTTTGGTTTGCTAATTTATAATGCATTTACTTAATAATGGAAATAGCCTCAAGAGAGAATTACACATTTTCATGACTTTGGAGAATGAGATTTGAAAATCTAATTAATGGCTTCATTTGTAAACTACAGAACATTATAGACTGGTTATCTCATTTCCAGATGTGCAAAATATGCCATCTTAGAGAGGAATTGAGGGTTAAGTATGCTCTAAATACTTTTATTCATAAAAAGAATGACTGGAAAGAAATGAGACTATTTAGTATGACATAGAACCACTATTTAAAACTAGGTAGCAAGTGATTGTTTTGATATAGTCCTCTAATCCAAGTGGTTCTAAACCCTAGCTGCATATTAAACACACGTGACAAGATTGTTTTTAATGTCCATGTCCTGGAACCATCTATAGAAATACTGATTTAATTTATCAGAATTGAGTGGGGTATATTTTTAAAAACTACTCAAGGTAATTTAAAATGTGCAGCCAGTGCTGAGCACCACTGCTCTGTCTCATTAGGTCAGAAAATAAACACGAGAAGGAAAACTGTGCAGTGATAGTTTCCAAAATGAGTAAGATAAACTATCCTGAAGTAAGTTCTTAGCAAGCCAAGTAGTCTTTTGTAAGTGTTGGAAGCACACTTCCAAGCAGTCTTCCAAATTTTTTTGCCATAAAGAAAAATAAATGCCCTTTATATGGGGTCTACACAGAAATGATAGGAATGAATGTATATTAATTTTACAAATTGGTTCATACCATCCTACATCCAAGCTGCCGATTATCCACTCCCAGGTCAGTAGGAAGCAAAGGTACTGACCTGGGCTGAGATCTCAGAAGGCTGAGCTAGATTTGATAGTAGCCAAGACTGCCCCAGAAATTAGGGACTCTGAGAGCCTGGTGAAACACAACATAAGTATAGGTCCAAAATGAGAAGAAAACTGGAACAATAAGCACAGAGTCAACAGCAAGAAAGACACAGATTCAAGGACATATTCAGAGATGGAGTCTCAAAAAACAATCTTCAGTGGATGGAAGTATTTTTCTAATAGCAGAGTCTGTGGGTAGGGAGCATAGTTAGAACAACACCACCCAAAAGAGGATATGGCTTAATTAACAATAAATGGCACTCAACAACATTATTATTATTGAAATGCAGTGTTTTACTTGGTCCACACTGAACTGCAGTTTGCACAAGTGGTTGAATTAAAACTCTGCCACTATCTATGTGCATAAGTTGACATCTGTAAATGCTTTGGGGCCTGGCAAGAAGAAGGAGGAAAAGATATGAATAGGTAGGCATATGCATACACTAAGCTGGGAATCTAATGAGAGGAAAGAAATGAGGATGGAGGTGACAGCACAATTACCATCCTTTCTGCCCAGCCAACAGACTGGTATAGACATTGCATGTAGAGAGAAGTTTAAAAGCAGAAAGACATAGTACACTTCTCTAGGATAGCCTGTGTTCCATTTCAGGCACAAGGAGTCTCAAGAAGTCTTGTCACAGGGCCCAAAAGACAGAAAAAAAACATTAAAGCAGTTGATATTTTACCTGCTCTTTCACAGACTAGGGTCATGGCCTGGGACGCAGGGTTCTTACCAGCAAACTGACTTCTAATGCACAGAAGAGAGTGTCCTCATAGGAGATAATAGCAGAAGAGCCATTAGTGAAGGGACACTAGTGAGGGGGCACAGAGACCCCTGACTACCTACAAGACATCTTCCGAAGACATGTAGATATAAAGAGAGAGCCTTAGGAGTGGAGGGCAGGTCTTGCATAAGCAGGCTGTAACTACAAAAAACTGTCTTCATTTGGATGTTAATATCATTGACTTCATTTCTGCCCATAGGCTACAGCCTAGGTTATTTGGATTACGTTATTATTTAATGAAACACCGTGACATAAGTTTTCTCAACCATCAGCTTGCTTGAACATTATACAAACCCTTTAGATAAGAAGACAGGCCAGGCGCGGTGGCTCACGCCTGTAACCCCAGCACTTTGGGAGGCCGAGACGGGCGGATCACGAGGTCAGGAGACCGAGACCATCCTGGCTAACACCGTGAAACCCCATCTCTACTAAAAATACAAAAAATTAGCCGGGCGTAGTGGCGGGCGCCTGTAGTCCCAGCTACTCGGGAGGCTGAGGCAGGAGAATGGCGTGAACCCGGGAGGCAGAGCTTGCAGCGAGCTGAGATCACGCCACTGCACTCCAGCCTGGGGGACAGAGCGAGACTCCGTCTCAAAAAAAAAAAAAAAAAAGAAGAAGACAGGTTTTGGTTTTATTCCCATTTTACACTGAAATCCAAAAAAGATAAATGCCTGCTCAATATCAGCCACAAAAATTTAACTTTGTGTCTCCTGATTTAAAATACGTAATAAGCCTCCTGCTAGCTACTATGCTCAAGGCACAGGTGGGCACCTCTACTCCTGGCTGCAGCTGCTTATTGAAAAGGTCTGTACTCAAAAGGAGAAACAGAAGCCACCGCATTTGTTAGCCAATAATCAGATGCTCACATACCAGTGGATTCAGAAACATTTGTCAATAGTACTAGATCCTAAGAGGAATGTATATGGTAAGTCTTTACACTGATATCATGGGGACCAATGAACACTATTTCCAATAGCACTTTTTAAAAGACGCAGAAACCTTTCTTTTATGGCCAGCCCTTATACCAACCCCTAATGAAAGCTGGGTCATATGAAATCTGTTCCTGGCAACCATGAGCAATATAATTTTTTGTAAATTTCTGTCTTGAGCCAGTTTTGAGGCCCTGGCTAGAGGCCTGTCAGTCCCCTTCTTGAGCAGCTGATTATTAAGTCTATACCTCAACCACATTTCTTATTGGGCTCTCAGAACCTGGGCCACTATGCACGTGTCCTAATTGCCCTGGGGCCAGATACCAGACAACCAAGAACAGTTCCATGCCCCAGAGATTGAGAAACAATTCAAATTAGCCAGTCCACAGGGAGCCCAGCAAACCTAGCTAACCCCAAACCTCTTTCCATACTTCAGCTGCCCCCTACAATTCCACCTTAATATTACCCTTGCAACCCCCTGCTTGTGCCCCCAAAATTTCATATGTTGAAGCTCTAATCCCCAGTGTAATGGTATTAAAAAGTGGAGCCTTTGGGAGGTGATTAGATAGATTTAGATGAGATCGTGAGAATGGTAGAACACTTATGATGGGATTAGCGATGAGATTAGAAGGAGAGACACCAGAGCTGCTTCTCTCTGCCATGTGAAGATACTGCAAGAAGGTGGCTGTGTGCAAGCTAGAAAGTGATCCCTCACTAGATCCTGACCATGCCAGTAGCCTGGACTTTCCAGCATCCAGAACTGTGAGAAATTAATTGTTGTTTAACATCCATTCTATGGTATTTTGTTATAGCAACCTGAGCAAAGACAAAATCTTATAAAACACCATATAATGACAGTGAGGTGAGATGGTCCTCCCAGGAGTACAAGATGTTCTGGTGCTTGGACTTGACACGGGTACAGAGATTGGAGAAATAGGTAGTTAGTTTAACTTTTTCTGACTATTTCTTCCAAATATTTGTTGTCTCTTCTGGACTCTTAACAATTGATATTAAGTTCAGGGCACTTGCCTACATGCAGAGACCATGCCTTGAAGAAATCTCTCTGCTTTAGGGAACAGGATAGAGGTAGTACCAATTTATGCTAGGTTAGGAAAATAACTCTTGGCTGAATGGATGGATACAAGACCATCTCACTGGTCCTGACAGAGTCTAAATTTCCTTTCAGGTTTCATGTGGGAATAGACTTAGTAACAGAAAAATGTGAAAATTTGAGTTCAGTTTACATTGCTTTTAAGTTGTCAGTATCATATGATAGCCTAAAGCCAATATGTACTTTTGAGGGGTGCAGGGCTAAAAGGCCAAATGATCACATACTTCTAGCTCAAAGGAAAAGAAGCTCAAACCTTGATGTCTTCTAATAAAGACATCCCTCCTCATGTACAGCAACATATGCCATAACACTGGCATCTACTGTTGCCTGTATGTGAGAAAAACAAAAGAGAAGACAGGGAATTAGAAAGATTTACAGGGATAAAATTCAAACAATGCCTATGATCAAAGACAAAGGCAGAGACAGAGGAAAAAAACACCTCAGAATGGTAACGCTGACAAAGCAGGAACAGGTAAGCTGATCCTGCTCACCTGCTGCTCCCTGCTGCCTTTGAAATCTGCAGGGCTTCCACATGTTGGAAGTGCAGGAAGTGACTGAAAATGAGACTGTAGCTTGACACTTGTCTGATTTGCTCCCATGAATTTCCAAAACAAAAAGCAAACTTAAACACCAGATAGCTATATCTTCAGCTCACTTTGAAACAGCAAATGTGAATAGATCTTGAGAGTTCTAGTTAAAGCTTTTTACTGGTGAAAACCAGAATAACACTCAATTGAATCTGAATTCAATTTCAGAGAAAGGTTAGTGAGAAACTTTAAAATCCACAAAGTATTTCAGGGAAGCAAAGGACACCTGAATTTTTTTTAAAAAAGCCCAAGGATATATTTTAAAATGTTATCTGTTTAAAATGCTGCTTTAAAGGCCATTGCTTTTGAAAATTCTGATTATTTCAAACACATGTTGAACATATTAAACTAATTTTAGAGTTTGTGATATTAATCCTTACACTGGTATAAAAAAAAACCATGATGACTCCCTTCATTCTGGAGAACATTATATAAATACATAAACTTTTAGCAACAACCTAAACTTTTAGCAACAACTTGTAGATCCAATAAGAAAAAAATGTTTCCTAATATGTAATTGCCTTCGAGAAAAAAAAAAAGATCAAAGAACAAATGGCTTTATATATATATATATATATACATATATATACATATATATATATACATATATATACATATATATACATATATATACATATATATACATATATATATACATATATATATACATATATATATACATATATATACATATATATATACATATATATATACATATATATATACACATATATATATACATATATATATACCTTTAGACTGTAGATCCAATAAGAAAAAAATGTTTCCTAATATGCAATTGCCTTTGAGAAAAAAAAAAACCAAAGGACAAATGTCTTTATATATATATTTATATTTATATATAAAATATAAATATATATATTATTTATATATAAAATATAATATATTATTTATATATAATATAAATGATATATTATGTATATATAAAATATAAATAATATATTATGTATATATAAAATATAAATATTATTTATATATAAAATATAAATAATATTTATATATAAAATATAAATATTATATTATTTATATATAAAATATAAATAATATATTATTTATATATAAAATATAAATAATATATTATTTATATATAAATAATATATAAAATATAAATATATATTATATATAAATAAAATATATATATTATATATATAAATTTATATATAATATATAAAATATAATATATATATTTAATATTTATTATATAATATATAATGTATATTATATTTAATATAAATATATATTATATTTAAATATATATATATAAAATCTCTTTCAAGTAAATCATTGAGTCACTTTCAGTGCATTCAAGATTGCTCCAACAAATAGCTTATTTAAAATAGCTTTTCAAGTTTGATTAGCATTCATTTTGTCTAAGGAAAAACATTGCTCACACATGATATTTTAATTATGTCTATTTGCTGTGCTTACCTAAAAAAAAATTTCCAGACATCTGCAGCTGAAAGTTAAAAATTAATTCAAATTGCTGGGTGCAGTGGCTCATGCCTGTAATCCCAGCACTTTGGGAGGCTAAGGCGGGCGGATCATCTGAAGTCAGGAGTTCGAGACCAGGCTGGCCAAACTTGTGAGACCCCATCTCTACTAAAAATACAAAAATTTAGCCAGGCGTGGTGGTGCAATCCTGTAGTCCCAGCTACTCAGAAGGCTGAGGCAGGAGAATCACTTGAACCCGGGAGGTGGAGGTTACAGTGAGCTGAGATCATGCCACTGCACTCCAGCCTGGGCAACAGAGTGAGACTCCATCTCAAAAAAAAAAAAGAAAGAAAGAAAAAAGAAAAGAAAGAAAAAATTAATTCAAATTATTTATAATGCTATTTTCACCTCTAACAGTGCTTCTATGAAAAAAGTGTATGTGTGCACACACACACACACACACACAGTTTGCATTTTTTTACCTGAAAATGGAACCCTAGTGACCTAGAAGCAACTAACTGACTTCAGAGGACTTTGCTTATCCTTACTTGGCCAGAATCCGATTATTGTTATCGCTAATTTTCATTTTAGAGAAATAGAAGGATGTGAAGTAAGCAATGTCTGAGAAAAGGGAGGTATCCCACTGGGATCTAAAAACTTCCAGCAGGAAAACTAGAGAGCTTTCTGGAGGAAAAAATACATTCAAGTAGTTTCATCAAATATAAGACAAATATATTTTCACATTTTAACATTTTTTAATTTGGCATATACCTCATAATTAATTTGCTAAGCAAGCCTAGTTTAACTAGAGTTCTTTTCCTTTAATTTTAATACATAAAATAATAATCCTCTGACAATTAACACCATGTTAGAATGGATGAAATATAGAACAAAGACTGAAGAAAAACAACCAAACCCAAGAGGACATTCATTATGAAGAACTCAAGGAAGTACATGATATTGCATCAATGTATAGTATTAGTACTCTCAGAAAAGCTTGTAGAAATACGTATTACTAATGGTCTGAGGTGTAGAAGTAATTTTCTTTTCTTAATGTCTGTTTTTTTTTAATTATTCAACACATAGATGTAATTTTATGTAATAAGATCATGTTAATCATTTCTGTTTTTGATTTGGCTTTGGTCTTTTTAAAATATTGTTTTCATTGTTTGCTTGGCCATCTGTAACAGACACACCCTACTCTTGACCCCCCCAGTGATCCATGTTCTCGTAATCATCTCCAGTCCTTGGATAAGTGGGACATGCAACTTTCTTCTAGCCAACAGAATATGGCAAAAGTGATGGTATGGGATGTCAGTCTTGTGATTGTATTTCATTTCGTAAGACTCCATCTTAGCTGATTTAGCAGCAGGAGATCTCCTGCTGGCACTGAAGAAGCAAACAGACATGCCAGAACTGCCTATGGAGAGGGCCATGTGACAAGGAATTGCAGGTGGTCTCTGAGACATAAGGGTGGCCTCCAGCCAACAGCCGGTAAGAAGCCAGGGCCATCAGGCAGGCAGTCCCGAGGAAATTAATTCTACCAACAATAATGCAAGCTTGGAAAAGGATCCTGAGCTCCAGAAGGGAATTCAGTCCTGCCAACACCTTGATTGTAGCTTTAGAAGATCCTGAGCAGAGGATTCAGCTAAGCTGTGCCCAGACTCAACCCATGGCAACAGAAAATAAGTGTATGTCATTTTAAACTTCCGAATTTGTGTTAATTTGTTACACAACAGGAGAAAACAAGAACATTCCCCTTCTCTTTTCTCTTCCTCCCCTCTATCCACATTACTACCACCACCACCACTCAGATAACAGGTGATGAAGTTCCTTTGATTATAAAATTACAAGTATTTACAAAATACACATACACTTATAGTGGGAGGATCTTACTTATGTTTCAAAACTGGGCTATTACACAGTTTATCAGCATCCTGCTTTTCTCACTCAACCATACCTCATGGAAATCCCTCCAGGTTTCCTACTATCTTTCTAACACACAGTCTTTTTGATGGCTACAAAATAGCCCATGGTATTAATGTGCTATTATGGGCATTCACTTTGTTTCCAGTTCTTATAATCAACATTATGTATACATGTTCATTGGTGCTATTATTTTTACTAGTTAGATTCCTAAGGGTGACAGTGCTAGATCAAAGCATCCTATGCATTTATTTCTGCTAATAGATGTTACAAGATTACATTCCAAAAAGGATGCTAAAATGTAAGTTACTACATTTTTGTTAGAAATATCTGAAACTACCATTGCCTATCCATTCTTTGGCAGAAAGTGGTGCTTTCCTTCTTTTTAGGTTTGGCCAGTGTGTGAGGTATATAAATGTTAGTTTAATTTGTACTTGCCTGCCTATAAGAAGTTTGATCTTTTTGGGATTAACTCTTCTATGATTTGCCTATTTTTCTCTTTTGCCCATTTTTCTATTGGATGATCTCCTCATCATTTGTAAGAACTCTTTGTCTATTATAGTATTAATCTTCTGTGTTCTGCATTCAAACATTTTTTTTCCAAATCTATTGTTTTTTCTATTCACTTTTTTAAATGGTCCTCTTTTTCCCCCTAGTTTATACTTATAATCTTGTAGATTTTCCTGTAGGTGTTTCTTGTTATGTTGCTAACTTTAATATTTAATTCATCCCAAATTTATCTATATTGTGTAAGTCAGTGATACAATTTTATTTACTTCCTGATGGATTAGCCAATTGGGCTAACACCATATGTTGCAGGAAACCGTGATTTTCCCAATGAGTTAAAATACCACCTTGGCTGTATGTTAAATTCTCATCCATACCAGGATCTATTTTCAGATTCTGGATTCTTTTCCACTGATCTATTCTGATGCCAATGCCATATTGATTCAAATACAATAAATTACAGCATGTTCTCACATGGTAAGGCAAGCTCCCTTTCTTTAATCCTCTTTTTTAAAAAAAAAAAAACTTACCTGATTTCAGCCATTTATTCCTTCATGAAAATTTTTAAACATTTCATCAGTTTGATGGTTCTAATTTAAAATGAATTTCATTTTTATGTAAACATTTAGAAGATTCATAATGTTATTAATCTTTTAATCCAAAAATGTATTCTAGCTTTTTATTTATATCTCATGTTCTTCAATACAAATCTATAGTTTTCCACACAGGGATGAATCCAGCATCAGCTCTCCCTTCAGGACCTTGGCAAGATCCAGGTGCTCACTAGAACACAGACATCATAAACACACCAAAATTTCTTTTTTCCTTCTTTCCCTTCCATTTTCTTACTTCAATTTAATATTTATTAACTTAATGAGAATTTGAGTTCTGTATTAATTATGGTTCTCCAGAAAACAGAACTAATCTAATGTACATATACGTTGTGTGTATATATATATGTATACACACACACACATACAGATATAGAAAGAAATATTTATTATAAGGTATTGGCTCACACAATTGTGGAAGCTGAGAAGTCCTACAATCTGCTGTCTGCAAGCTGGAGACCCAAGAAAGTCAGTGGTATAATTTAAAAACTTGACAGCCAGAAAGTCAATGGTGTACATTCTAGTCCAAATCTGAAGCCCTTAGAACCAGGTGTACTAAGGGCAGAAGATCAATATCCTAGTTCAAGCATTCAGGCAAAGGAAGGGTGACTCCAATCTGCCTTTGCCTTCTTTTTTTTTTAATTAATTAATTTATTCATTTATTATTATTATACTTTAAGTTTTAGGGTACATGTGCACAATGTGCAGGTTAGTTACATATGTATACATGTGCCATACTGGTGCACTGCACCCACTAACTCATCATCTCGCATTAGGTAATCAGGCTCTCAATGGATTGTACAATGCCACATTAGGGAAAGCCATCTGCTTTACTCAGTTCACCAATTCAAATGCTAATCTCTTCAGGAAAACGCCTTCACAGGCATACCCCCCAGAAACAATGTTTCACCATCTATCTGGGCACAATGAACCAGTCAAATTAACACATAAAATTAACCATTACAGCTTCCTACAGTTGCAAAGCACTTTCATATGATAGGATACTATATAGTTTGTAATTTCTATTTAACAGGCATTAACGTAGTTAAAAATTAACTGTATATTAGACAAATAAATGCTTTTGTCACAATTTACTTTTCTTCCTCTCTGACATGGTTTTCACATGGAAGTATTCCTCTGCATCTCTTTCAAGTATGATGCTAGGAAATTGTCAAAATTTACATCTTGCTATTCTCAAACACGTAAGTGGAACTCAGAGTCCAGCTGAAACAGCAATAATTACCATTTGTTTTAGAAATTCTCATAAATAAAAAAGCATTATTAATCAAATTAGTGGAATGAGATATAGCTGAATCAGATACACTGATACTAAATTATAGTGACTACTTTCTTTTTCCCTTTTTCATACCGATTTTAAACAACTTTCAAAGGGTTTTATTCTCTTCCAGACTGAAGTATATAAAGGGTGAGAGACAGTTAGTCTGGAGATGGGTGGAAAAGGAAGAAAACCTTTAGGATACATAAACACACACACCAAGAGACAGAGAGAGAGATTTTTTCCAAACATACATTTCATCAGATTTAAAGTCAAACAAAAATACAGTATGCTTTCATTAACTGTACCACCATTAAAAATAAAATTTTAAGTTACGAGTATATTTTAATGAGTGTATTTTAACCACTTTTATCTTAGCAATCAAATAAATAAAACTGATGATGTTTTACAATCGTTCTATGTAAGATTTAGCATCCACCTGAGTAAATGAAAGAATAACTGCAAATGTGAATCTTCCTTTTTAAACATTTGATAATGAATTCAAAGATCAGCATAATACTACTTCTCATTTTTTTTTTCTTTGTAAGTATGTCTCCTACTCCTCCAGTTGCCTTCTCTCTCCCTTAGCAAGAAGATAGCACTATTAGATACTGCAAGAAGAAATACTCTCTTTCTACCTTAAAAATCATACCTTCTTTCCTCCACTGTTACCATGCCCCACTGGGTTCTAGACTTATGAAAATGTCCTGGTTTTTACAAAGATAGGAGATAATTTTTAAGCATCTCTATAAATGAAAGCAAATAGACTACACCATAGAATTGTTTATAAAAGTTCAAATTACATTTTGAAAAGATTATTATTCTTATAAATACACAAGTTTACTTAGCCCCCCACAATTTTAAATAAAAGTTTCAAGTTCAGGATATTATAAAACAATCTCAAATTGTGACCACTATAAGGTGGCAATGCTGCTTTGTTTCTCTGTTTCTTAATTTACTCAATAAAAAGCACAATTATTTCCCAAAAGCCTAAGAAAAAGGAAAATGATTTTAGGACTTCATGGTAAACTCAAAGCACCTAATCCGGTAGCATTCAGATTATGCTGTATCCATTTAGGTCTTGAGACTTCCCTTCAAATTATGCTATATGACAAATAAAGACGAATTTCATGTTGGCTCCATTTGCTCCAACCAAAACAAAGTAAGATAAAATGGCATGATGAATGGATTTACTCAGATACATTTAGGATGGAGATGTCAGTGTCACAGCAGGTCAGCATAAAATGGGTAAATAGCACAACATGAATAAGATTTTCAGTTGCTCAGGTCAACAATATGACAACGATTGCATGGACAATCTGAAAATCAAAAACAACTTTATCTGTGTAGTCAAATAGATTTTCCTCAAGCCATGCAAAATTAAAAAGGTCCACCCTGTTGCATTCTGCTCCAGGCTGGTATTTGTGCTTTTCTTCCTGTTTCCTACCTACATTATTCTCCTCGGACTCCCCACTAGTCTCAGTCACTTACACTTAGCCTGAAAACTCACTCACACCAAAACAGAAATGGCTGGTGTTATGTCCAATTATCTGCACTTGGAATATTCTTAATATTGGCATGGAAGGCTTACCTCTTATTAAAGGAAACCATGGGGAAGGAGGAGCGTTGTTAATCTGTGACCTGAGTCATGGATTTCTTCTAGCAGAAATAGGAATCATGTGACTTCTGGACCCACGGCGTTCTCATTTTGTTCCCACTCTTCATTTCATCTTGCCCCTATTTCAGATATTCTCTTAAATATTTCTAATCATTTGGCCTGCATCCTAAGAGAACATTACATTCTTCCAAAAACAGACTTCCACCTATCTCACAACACGTAAGTCCAAACTGAGTGATTAAAAGGATAACCAGGCTGGATGCAGTGGCTCATGACAGTAATCCCAGCACTTTGGGAGGCCAAGGCAGGCAGATCCCATAAGCCCAGGAGTTCAAGACCAGCCTGGCCAACATGGCGAAACCCTGCTCTACCAAAAACAAAAAAACAAAAATTAGCCAGGAGTGGTGGTGTGCGCCTGTAGTCCCAGCTACTGAAGAAGCTGAGGCGGGAGGATCCTTTGAACCTAAGAGGGAGAGGTTGCAGCGAACCAAAATCACACCATTGTACTCTAAGCCTGGATGACAGAGCAAGACTCTGTCTCAAAAAACAAGAAAAAAAAAAAGATAACCCCTCAATTTCAGTAGCAATCCTTTTATCTGACACATCAGCACTGGTTATATCATCAACTAATCAAAAATAAAAAGTATTATACATCCTTTAAACATTCCATCTGAATTTAAAATGTACAAATGTACATTTATTTTCTAGTTTTTTTCACGTAGAGCCAAAACATCTCCAAGTATGGGGACTCAGCTGATGAGTTTTGAACTATGTCTAGTGTGAACCACACGTAATGCAGTCTAGTGTTTCCAATTTTTATTGTTTAATGTGAAGAGAAAGCAGCTTTCTATCTCCAAATGTTTATAATACTAAGATTAAAAGTAGAGAAAATGAAAACTCCAGGAACAAGGCAGACTAAAGAGCACACAGACAGTTGAAATAAACCAAGCAACAGCAGGGGAGTCCTGCTTTGCCGAAAGAGGTTTGCAACCATCATTTTTGGAGCATGAAATTGATCCTATTAGCATTTTCTGAGATGCTAAGGATTGCAGGTGTCACTATTATTCACTAAATAATGTTACCCTCGCCTTGAAATGCAAAATCTTTCTTTCACATGGGGAGCATTATGCGGTACTCAGAGAAAAAAACAAGTTTCTAATGTGAAGACTGAAAATAAAGGTCTACAAGAGGACTTGATGAAATGCAAATGAATTGTTTTAACAGCAATTTGCACTGGCAAAATATTAAAATGATCAAAATTCACACAGCATATATGGATGATGATTCATCTTTAGTCAAAGCTTAATTACTACATTCATCCTAATGATTGGAACCTGTTCCAGAAATATTGAAAACAGGTGCAAAATAAAAGGTAGTATAAAATGTCACTCACTGTGAAATAAACTGCAGTTGCAATTATTATAAGTAATGTCATGCAGCTTATGGATCTCAAAAGCATAATCTGAATTTTAGAATTATAGGACAATAAATCAATTGGATACCGCTCATTATAAAAAATGTGTTCTCATACTCTGCGGGAAAAGGGGAATTGGGTACATAGCCACATTGTAAATGGAAAAAAAAAAAAAGCTGATTTTTAAAATTTTGATCAATACTAAGTTTCGGTATTTTTTCTTTAGAATTTTTTGATGTTGCTTTTAATACCATTGATTTAATGTAATAATAGATAATTCACATGACTCAAAAATTACAAAGTTCAAAAAGATACAGTGAAGACTCCTTCCAAGATAATTCCCATCTGCCCATTCCCAACTATCGCCTTCCCAGTAACAATTGTTTATATATATAATTAATACTATATATTGATGTTTCCAATTTATGCTAATAGTAGTATATTATAGTTTCCTGGACCTTTTTTGTTTAATATACCTTAGAAATCTTTCAAAATTAGTACATAGAATACTTCCTTGTTTGTTTTTATCAAATGAAAAATATTTCATTGTATGAAAAACCATAATTTATTTAACCAGTACATCTTATGGACTTGAACAGGTTTAGGAGAGTTTCTGTCACCAGTCTAGCTTATCACCAGCTGTTCCCACATCTTCGGTTGGCCAACTTTTCATTTTAATCATTTATGGATCACTTTGTTTTAAGAGTATCTATCTCTCTCTCTCTCTCTCTCTCTCTCCACATATGTGGAACTTCTTTTTAACTTCAAAGAGTGTCCTTCATATGGGAGGTGAGTTTTTTTGGTTTTCTTTTTCCAGCTTTATTGAGGTATAATTAACAAATAAAAATTGTACATATTTAAGGTATAAGGAGGTAAATTTTGATTAATGTTTTCTGAGGTCTGCTGCCACTGAATTCTCCCACTGCTCTGAGTCCTTATTTTTCTTTACTTCCGTCAATAAAGCTTCTGCTCGATCTCACCGGTATTTTTTTTTTTTTTTTTTTTTTTTTTGAGACAGAGTCTTGCTCTTTTGCCCAGGCCGGACTGCAGTGGCACTATCTCGGCTCACTGCAAGCTCCACCTCCCGGGTTCACGCCATTCTCCTGCTTCAGGCTCCCGAGTAGCTGGGACTACAGGTGCCCGCCACCGTGCCCGGCTAATTTTTTTTTGTATTTTTAGTAGAGAAGGTGTTTCACCGTGTTAGACAGGATGGTCTCGATCTCCTGACCTCGTGATCTACCCGCCTCAGCCTCCCAAAGTGCTGGGATTACAGGCGTGATACATTGAGCCCGGCCTCACCTGTATTTTTTAGGCTTAAAGTAATTTTTAGCCTGCTGATTAATAGCTGTCTCCTAGTTCCAACAAAAATGGAATTCACTGGGGTTTTTTTTCTTTTTTAACTCTGTCTTTAACTTTTGGATAATTTCTAGAAGGAAAACAGCATAATCCTGATTTACCTTAGTTAGGTTTGTACGGGAAGTTCAGAAACGCTGCTTTCAAGTGATAAAATATGATTTAAATCACCCAAAAGGTGATTAAGTCACCCAGTTTCCCTTCATCATGTAATTTTCACAATGAGAAAAAAACCCATTTAGCACGATTTTTATTTCAAACAAACGTATTTTGCTTTCATCAGTACATGTATTCCCTAATCAGCAAAGCGAACTTTCTCCCATGTATTATAATAGTTTATAATTGCTTCTTAGAGGTGTAAAACAATACAAATTGATTATCTCACAGTTCTATAGTTGAGGAGTCGGTCAGACCCTGCTTAGAGTCTCACAGGATGCCCGATGAGGCTGCGCTCCTTACTGGACACTCTAGGGAAGAATATGCCTCCCAGCTCAGTCAGGTTGCTGGCTAAGTTCAGTTTCTTGTGTTTGTAGCATTAAGGTCCCTATTTCCTTGCTGGCTGTCAGCAGGGGGCTGGTCTTTGCTCCTAGAGGCTGTGCACATTCTTCTCATGCTTTTCATGAGCTCCCTCCAGCAATGGCGGGTTGAATACCTCTGGCAATAAAATATCTCTGACTTGTCTTTCTGCCACATCTCTCTAACTCCGCCTGAAAAAACAATTATTTACTTTTAAAGGCTCATGTAATTAAGCTAGGTCCAGCAGGACAACCCAGGATAATCTTCCTATTTTAATGTCTGTAACATTAATCACATCTGCAAAATTCCTTTTATCATGTAACATCTTCATAGGTCTGGTGATAGGGCATGAGAATTTAAAAGAGGTCATTATTCTTCCTAGACATCCTATAACTGCATCCAGCATTTGAGACATAGCAAAATAAATTTCACCAAAGATATACTACTCCATTGATTAGCTAATATAATCTCCTAGTTCTACCCTTTGGCAGACTGAAAATCCCACAGCAATCCAGAAAAAGTTGATGAACTGAACTGTGAAGAACCAAGTTGATTAGTGGCTAATCCATACAGATGCCAAATATGGTGAAGATTAGAATCTAAGCATAAGAATCTGAATTTTTAAATATTCCTCAAGTTGTCAAAAAATGAAGCTAATAAAATGGAAATATGAAAGACCAATTAAAGAAAAGAGCTCATATCAGTGTGGCTAATATAAGAAAATACCAATGATGAAGGTTAGAATCTCAGCATAGGAGCCTGAATTTTCTTACCAAAGAATCAGTACTCTTCCAAAATGTCAAAGTCAGGCCGGGCACTGTGGCTCACACCCGTAATTCCTGCACTTTGGGAGGCTGAGGTGGGCGGATCACTTGAGACCAAGAGTTCAAGACCAGGCTCCCAACGTGATGAAACCCCATCTCTACTAAAAATACAAAAATTAGCCAGGCATGGTGGTACGTGCCTGTAATCTTAGCTACTCAGGAGGCTGAGGCAGGAGAATCACTTGAACCCCAGGAAGCAGAGGTTGCAGTGAGTCAAGATCATGCCACTGCACTCCAGCCTGGGCAACAGAGCGAGACTCTGTCTCAAAAAAACAAAAAGTCAAAGTCATACAAAAAAGGAAAAGACCACGGAACTATCACAGACGGGAAGAAACAATGGAGAAATAAAAACTAAATGCAATGTGAAATCCTGGATAAATTCTGAAGGAGAAAAGAAACATTATCAAGGAAATTCATGAAATTCTAATGGAATCTCTTAATTAATAATATTGTACAAATATTAATTTCCTGTTCTTGATAATTATCCTTTGGGAGTGTAAGATGTTAAATAGAGGAAAAAGGATGAGGGATTGCTCATGCATTTATTCTATAAGTCTAAAATTAGTTCAAACTAAATAATTAAAATAAAAATCAGGCATACAGTCGGGTGCAGTGGCTCACACCTGTAATCCCAGCACTTTGGGAGGCCAAGGCAGGTGGATCACCTGAGGTCAGAAGTTCGAGACCAGCCTGGCCAACATGGTGAACATCTCTACTAAAAATAACAAAAATTAGCCAGGTGTGATGGCGGGTGCCTGTAATCCCAGCTACTCAGGAGACAGAGGCAGGAGAATCACTTGAACCCAGGAGGCAGAGGTTGCAGTGAGCTGAGATTGCGCCCCTGCACTCCAGCCTGGGCGACAGAGTGGGACTCCATCTCAAAAAAAATGAAAAAAACAATTTAGGCATACAAAAAGATGGCTTTCTCTTCTCCTCCTGAATGTCACACAAAGGTATCAGGGTAAATGGGAAAAAGCCCATTATTTTCAGCGAAAAACATTAGATATAATCTGCATAAAAATTTTAGCAAAAGCAACTAAAATCATGACAAAGTGACAAAGTTGCACAGGAAGATTACAACAGAAGCAGTAAAAAGAAAAGTAAATGACAAGCCAGCCTAGCGCTTCTGGTAGGCTAGGGGCTCGCACTGAGATGATAAAACTATCACCTTTCCACACAAGAGATTCCAGATCAGGAGGGAACCAGATAGAGACTGAATAAACAGAAGCCATGTGGTGAGGAAAGTGTAGCAAAGATACTCAGAATTTCAGTGGTGAGAACTCAGAAAATGTCAGCCCAGACTCTGAAGACACCTCCTTTCAACAGCAGGGTCAAGGAAATCTAACTCATGACATTTTGAAAGATCTGACAGTGCTGATACAAAATTTCAGTATGAGAAACAGAAAGAGCAGGAAAACTTACCAAAAGAGGAACATACATCATAAGTAGATAAAAACTTGGATTAAACATTTTTCCATGAATTTCAGAACTTAATAAAGCAATTGCTCTCTGAATATAAATCAGAAGGCGAAAATACAAGAAGGCAAAAGAGAAATGGTAAGAAAACCTAAGCAGAGAGTAAGAAAACAGAAGAAGATGAAACATGACCTGAGAGAACTCAGGAAAGAAAGTGAGGATTAAAATAAATTTGCCTGTAATCCCCACACTTTGGGAGGCCAAGTGAGGCAGATCTCTTGAAGCCAGGAGTTCGAGACCAGCCTGGCCAATGTGGCGAAAACCCGTCTCTTACAAAAATACAAAAATTAGCTGGGCAGGGTGGCACACACCTGTAATCACAGCTGCTCAGGAGGTCGAGGCAGGAGAATCACTTGAACCCAAGAGGCAGAGGTTGCAGTGAGCCAAGATCATGCCACTGCACTCCGGCCTGCATGACAGAGTAAAATTCTCTTAGGAAAATAAAAAATAATTAAAAACTATCATCTAAATGAAAATAAAATCGAAAAAGAGAGAAATCCTGTGAAAAATACAGTAAGAGATATTGACATATTTAGGCCAAAAAGAAGAGTAAGCAACATGAAATGAAAACAAAATTTAAAAGAATGAGAAAATATTAGATACAGAAGATAAGCAAAAGAGATCCATCATACATGTAACTGGAATCCTGAGAGAATAAAACAAATACAATGGAATAGAACAAATATATAAAGATATCAATCATAAAACAGCTCTGAAACATATAATTTATATAAATATATATTTATTATATATATGCATAGATAATCTATATATTATAATAAAAGGACACATTATTCAGAAAAAAATAAATTAGAATGCTCAACAATATGGTCTATTCCTGTTTAAAGGATGTTAAAAAAAATGGTGAAGTCTAGCAAGAACTTTAAATAATTTCTTGGGGAAAATAATTCAGGCTGTATTCATATAACTCCTCAATGTCTTATAATACTAGAGGACAGTAAAGCAATACCTACAGGGTTCACAAAAACCAAAGCATGGGCTAAGAATTTTATATCTTGCCAAGCTGTTATTCAAGTGTGAAGGTTGTGTATACAAGAACTCAGGAATGTTGGTTCCACAAGCCTTCTTGAGGAAAATATTAAAATACAAACTTTACGCAAGCGAAGTCAGGAAAACTGCAGCAAAGAGACCATAAATGAGGACTGAAATATATTTCTCTTAGAACTGACACTGAATAAAAGTGGGGATAACAGTGAACAATCAGAATGTAAATATTACATGCTCTGAAGTTATTGAAATGATACAACCCATCAAAACAGGAAGGGCATTAAGGAAAGAGGTAGAAAGTAAATAAATATTCTGATTGTCCTACCTGTCAGCTGGGAATAAAAATATTTGAAGCTGACAAATCAATTAATAGAAACATACGTATATTTAAGAATATAAGAGTAAATACTAAAATGATTTTATTTTCTAATATCAAATGGTGGAAGAAGGAGGGTGCATGGAAGAAGATAAAATGCTAATTTTATCATTTCTCTTAGTAGGATCGATACTGTAAGACAAAGGGTATAATACACAATTATATTCATGAAAGCAACCACTAGAAGGAAAAAAAGAATTCTGAATTATCAGAAAATATGCAGGCCGGGTGCAGTGGCTCATGCCTGTAATCCCAGCACTTTGGGAGGCCAAGGCAGGCAGATCACTTGAGGTCAGGAGTTCAAGACCAGACTGGTCAACATAGTAAAACCTCGTTTCTACTAAAACTACCAAAATTAGCCAGACATGGTGGCACACAGCTGTAATCCCAGCCACCTGGGAGGCTGAGGCAGGAGAATTGCTTGAACCTGGTAGGTGGAGGTTGCAGTGAGCCGAGATCACACTACTGCACTCCAGCCTGGGCAACAGAGTGAGACTCCATCTCAAAAAAAAAAAGAAGAAGAAGAAGATATACAAGGAATACAAAGCAAGAGAACAAACCATGTAGTAAGTTTTCAAACATGTGAAAAATGAAAGAACATTAAGATTCTAGGTACACATTTTTATAGATGCATAAAGAAACTCTGAAAGGATAGAGTTTACATTAAAAAACTAAAAAGATGGTTGCCTATGTAAGAGGAGAAGTGGGAAGAAGAATGTAGGGAAAGTACTAGGCATATGGGGGAAAAGGATGAGACAGATTTTTCACCATTCTATTTTAGTTTAGGATTACCTAACCAGAAAATCAAATAAAATAATGTAAAAAATATTTTCAATCATTAAAAACTAGGCCAATTTTTTACCTGTTGTCATAGTTAAGCTATTCCCCATATTTCATAACTAATACAAAGAGTGATCATTAGATATTTGTCCAAAACTTTGGGTATTTCAACATTTTTCCCAAGAAAGCAGTTATAAATTGAAATTTTTTAACTAAGAGCAAACCACTAATCCAAATGAGTTTTTTGGACTTTTATTCATCTCATTTATAAAATGAATCATTATGATGAAAAAGAAGACAATGAATTTATAATTAACAAGTTACTATGGTTTCATGTTCTGAGAACGTTAGTCTTCTTTCACATCTTCACATAATAAGTTAATTTTACAACCCGAATAATGACTAAAGACCTCTACAAAGTTTTTCTGAGGTTACAAGCAATTTATTTATTGTTTTTGTAACATATTTATTGTTACTATTCTTAGGCAGGATAATCATTTGGAAATTTGAGCATGTCAGTATAGCTGCTCTCCCAGGTACATGAAACAATACATGTCTTCACAGTTGACATTTAAGCAATCTTCAATTGTCGAAAGGTGCATCCAAGAAAAGCTATCTGCACACTTTTCTAATTTACTATGACGTACCTCCTAAGATCATCTGAGGCCTATTATTTAAAGTCACTAGAAACTTTCTTTCCTAACCAATTGCATTTAATCATAAAGACAAAGACCTATGAGAAAAGTTTTCACGGAAAGGTTTCATAGGACAAACTTAACTATTATTTCTAAAGCAAACACTTCAGCAGGGGCTACACATGATATGGAATCCTGCAAATTATTTGTAGTCTAAAATATTTCTTTTACTTTTGCTTCACTAAATTATAATTTATGTAATATAATAAGAAATATTTGGGGCTCAACGCTTTGGAAACTGTATAAGCCAGAACATTTTCAGCATCAAGTGACAGAAAAATGTAAGTGAGAAGATCATAAAAGATAAATCTCCTGTTAAATCCAGGAATTTAAACAACATCATCAGAACTCTGTTCTCTTTCCTCCTTGACTTTGGCTCTGCTTTCCACTGCTTTGCCTCAGATCAGACAGGATTTGAAATGGCTGCAGGTATCCCTAAGACCATGTGGATTAGAGATGTCATAAACCTGAGGACTCTGAATTTGCCCACTGTGAGTTACATGCTCATCCCCATAGCAATCACTGAGGTCAGCGGGATGCAGCGCTCTGATTGGTCAGGCCTGGAGGGTGTGCTATGGAGGATTAGGAAACATAAATATGCAGCCAGGCCACACCGGTTGTTATGAAATTGGGGAAGAGATGGCTCCCATCTCTTAAAAGGAATTGGGGAAGAGATGCTGAAGTTTATCTATACATTTTCTTTTTCACTTACCTCTGATGCTAAGATATCTAACCTAGTAGAATTAACTTTAGAAGTTCTGTAAAGTTGTCTTTGAAGCCTTCCATCATCTCATTTTAGAACCCTAAGTTATTTTAGGGAACATTGTCTGGCTTAAATCCTGAAAATTGCGTCTTCCAGTGACACTTTAGATTTCCCAGTGACAACCATTTACTCCCTTTAATTGGCTCCAGAAATGCCTTCCTTCTGGAGGCAGGAACAAACACAAGTTGACACCCTTAAACTGAGTGTCAGGGACAGGCATGTGCCCAAGCATGGAAAATCAGAGGTTACAAGGAGACCTGATGCCCATCATTTATCTCAGCCACATCCTCCTCTTAAAGAATATTCCCTGTCTAGTGCAGCCCTCCAGGTGAGGCAGCCTTAACCTTTGCTTCAGGCCCAAAGACAACTACTGCTGGGTCCTGGTCGTCAGGATCCTGAGTCCTGCTCAATTCCTGGCTGCTTGCTTCTGCTCCTCCAGCTCCGTATTAGCCAGTCACAAGTTACCAAGCACATTCAAATACTTGTAAACCTCCTTTGAGGCAGAGTATAGTTCTCATTTTATACAGATTAAAAATTAGTGCTGAGAGGTTAATTAATTGCCTGGTACGGCACAGGTAAGCAGGGAGCCAGGTCTGCCGCCTAGGTCTCATGTTTTTCTCCCTATATCCAGCTTCCAGGTTCTCTCTGGGTCTGGCTCATCTTATGCCTGGTCTTGGGTACTGCCCTCAGTCTTACCTTGTCTTTTCTCATCTTGCATTCTCATCTCAGCTTCCTGCCCAACCGTTATACATTGCATAACTTTCTTCCCAATATGTTTGCTCTACAACAAATGGTATTATTTTTCGAGTGAGGCATTTTTTGAGTTATAGTTCTAAGAAGGAAGTGAAGGCATGTAGAAGTAGACAAGAGGAGTCATGAAAGAGAAAGCTCTCTCACCAGAACTATTAGCATTGCTCTTTATCTTCAGGAAGAGAAAGAAAAGGTTTAAAAATGGAGGTCCAGAAACAATGGCTACTGTTCAGGGGGACACTACAATAACAAAAAGAGAGAGAAACTCAGTGTCAGATCTTTAAATGAAAGAATTGATATGAAGGACATTTGCTTTGGCACATCTAGAAAAATATGAGAAAATAATATATTGTAATTTATTTGCAATATATTTAAGCTGCTTATGTGGATGGCTTATTAATTAGGCCAGGAATTCAGCCAAGTCCCATTGATTTATACAACCAAAATTCTTTGTTTAGCTTATGATGGATGATACATAAATGCTGATGATTAATCTCTTGTAAGTTTTCCCTTTTTTTAATTCCCAGAACACTACAGTTTGCCTCAAGTGAGTTGATGCTCTTCATAGCCTAATTGTCATATTTAATTTGTTAAGTCAGAGATACCTTCTCTCTAATCAATGATTACACACACACACACACACACACACACACACAGAGCCTTGTAATGAGCTTCTACACCTGAGGATTTACCAACCACCAAAAATGACTTAAATCTGGGCTTTTACTTCCGATGTCTCCAGGTCAGAGTCTTAAGACTCTGTGTGTGTGTGTGTGTGTGTGTGTGTGTGTGTGTGTCTGTGTGTGTCTGTGTATGTAAAGCCATGTATGAAACCCAAAGTTGTTATTAGATCCAAACCATGGAGTTTGGGATGGTGGTTTCTAGAGTTAATGGATCAAAAATAGTTAAGTTCAAACATTCATCAGGTTTGAAATAAACTGTAATGCTCTTCTAATACAGTAAAAGGATCCTAGCAAAAATTCTACATTAGAAGGTAAGAATTATAACTCTCCAAGTGCATGTTGTTATATAGTTTAAGAAGTACAATCCATGGTGTGGAATGAGTTACTAAACTAGAAGATTGAGCTTCTGACACCAATTTTGCCAAAGTTACTAATACTGTGACCTTTGGCAAGGACGTCATCTCGCTGAGCCTGATTTTCACATCTATGAGTGGGAAGGATACAACCTGTTCAGAGGACTGTGGTGATGAAAAACTGTGACAAGGGAGGTAGCATAAGAGGCAGAATGACTAGCACATGGTTCCTTCTTCTTTCCCAGTTCTATTTAAGACCTAAACAGGATCAGTGAAACCCACCAAGATGTTGGAACATAAGTAGAGTCTGGAAAAAAAACCATAATATAAACACATATATTTGAAAAATAGATAATAGCATTAAATTATTTCAATTTTGAAAAGTATAGTAATTTAAAATGAAATTAATTATTTCTGCTTCCTCAAGCATGCCCATGTCTTCTGTATTTTTTTTTTTTTTTTTTGAGACTGAGTCTCGCTCTGTTGCCCAGGCTGGAGTGCAGTGGCACAATCTCCACTCACCGCAAGCTCAGCCTCCTGGGTTTACGCCATTCTCCTGCCTCAGCCTCCCGAGTAGCTGGGACTACAGGTGCCCGCCACCACACCCAGCTAATTTTTTGTATTTTTTAGTAGAGATGGGGTTTCACCATGTTAGCCAGGATGATCTCTATCTCCTGACCTCGTGATCTGCCCGCCTCGGCCTCCCAAAGTGCTGGGATTACAGGCGTGAGCCACCGCCTCTTCTGTATTTTTGTGGCTACTTTCTGTTATGGATATTTGTTTTAATATAAATATTCCGTTTTACCTGATGAAATATTTCTGTGAGGGCATTCTTTCTAATAAAATTGTCACTTATTATAAAATCATCACTGGCAATCTATCTTTTTTCACATTTTCTTCATCTTTACTAAGCCATTCAAGCGTGGTTGGCATTTCTTATTCAAAACACATCAATAACACTGGAGGCCAGAGAACACTTATCTTTTTTTGTCAAATTGAAGTCAGCTATTGTACTATTTGGAATGTTAATGGAGAGCTTGTCAGATATTCAGATAATAATGAAATGTTTATCAAAATCATTATGCTCAAAAAAACAAAAGTTCAAGATTTCTAAAGTAAACGAAAAACAAAAATTTTTGCAGATTAAGTCTACAATTTCTAATGAAAAGAAAAAAAATTAATATATGGCCACTACAGAACAAAATATACTAAATCCAGGTACAACATAACTGTTAATTTGAAAAGGTAAAACGGTGAAGGTTATGCCAGCTTCTTGTTCCATAGTTAAGAAAAATCCATGTTTTAAATATTACCTCCCTCCTCAACAAGGTAAATTATTATTCATGTTAAATGTCATCCAAAGTAAAGAATTTGCCTAAAATATATTTTCTCTTTTTCTAAATATGCTGAATGAGTGATTCGTATCCTCCCCATTTGGGGAAGGAAATGTCATATTTTGGTTGAAAATAACTTCCAATAGGCTACATGGGGATATAAAAGATAAATTTTTAAAAGGGTATAGTAAAAAAAAGAAAAAGAAAGAAAACAACCTTCAGCCACTCTTTTACAGAGTTAGATGGATAAGAATATAGGTTGGATTGGTCATGGCTAATTACATTAAGAATTAAGGAAAATGGGCAGGGCATGCCTGTAATCCCAGCACTTTCAGAGGCCGAGGCAGGTAGATCACCTGAGGCCAGGAGTTTGAGACCAGACTGGCCAACGTGGTGAAACCCTGTCTTTACTAAAAATACATTAAAAAAAAAAATGGGCATAGTGGTGCGTACCTGTAGTCCCAGCTACTCGGGAGGCTGTGGCAGGAGAATCGTTTGAACCCAGGAGGTGAAGGTTCAAAAAAAAAAAAAAAAAGCCATACGCGGTGGCTCACACCTGTAATCCCAGTACTTTGGGAGGCCACGGCGGGCAGATCACAAGGTCAGGAGTTCGAGACCAGCCTGGCCAACACAGTGAAATCATGTCTCTAAAAATACAAAAATTATCTGGGCATGGTGGCAGGCGCCTGTAATCCCAGCTATTCGGAGGCTGAGGCAGGAGAATCGCTTGAACCCGGGAGGCGGAGGTTGCAGTGAGCCGAGATCGCGCCACTGCACTCCAGCCTAGGTGACAGAGCTAGACTCCATCTAGGAAAAAAAAAAAAAGAATTAAGCAAAGTCACCCAAAAAGAATAATTCCCAAGTCAGTGAAACATAAGTATAACCCAATTAAAGGTAGTAATATTGCTGAAGAAATTATGTATTAAGCAGAATGAAAGATCAGCTAAAAAATCATAGGAGACTCTTTTGAAAACATTGGCAGTGCCTACACAGATGGTGTCAAGAAAAAGCAGTAAATTTAGCCATCAGGCTCTCTGGTAATAAACTGGTTTCCATCTAGGCCTGCGTGGAGACAAAGCAGATGTGGCCATGCTGATAATTGGATTCCAGTTCTTATCACACAGATAATGGTAAAGTAAGAGATTGGCACGATGACTTTTTGCATTAGTTTTAAGAATTTGTTGGGAGTTTGTTTCTTTGTTTTTAACAATGTTGAACCCACCTGTGGAACTGACCGAATTAGGATTTTTAAGGCTGTCCAGCTGAGGACCAGCCCCTCAGCACAACAAAACCTCCAAAATGACTTCACCCCAGGAAGTCTCTTCTCTCAGGGGACATCACTGCGTGCACTCACCTGTGTCCCTGTACCTTTCCATATGCTCTATTAGGGTGATGCTTGCACAGATGAGGGATCTTGACAAGATAGATTACTGAATGGATGGATCAGCAGTTTTCAAGATCAGAATTTATTTCTGGTCTCTTTCCAATAAAGCATAGTTAGATTAGATTGGATCGTACACCTTCCCAGAACAACTTAATACAATAACAATCATATAATTTGTCATTTTTCCTATGGTATCTTTATGTGCTTTGTTTTTATAATGTGCCAAGAGCCTCATGGAATTCAATTTAAGGGTTATTGAGGTAGTCTATTAAGAGTTATTGAGATAGTTATTGAGACAGACTATCGAGATAATCAGCAGCTTCTGCAGGGATAAAATGGAGTCACTTAGGAAAAGACATATCACCTTTTTCTGAGCAGATAAGACTTAAGTTGAACACCATCTGGTTCCAAAACCTTTCATTAGTGTATGGCTTTTAAAGATACGATGCTACAGTAAAGACTAAATCATCTTGGTGGCTACAATTTCAGAATCATTTACTCCAGTTCAATTTAGCATAAGAAGCCTCTGTAGAAAAATTGGCTTTCGAAACCCAAATTACACAGTGAGCTGATAAACAATTAAATGAAATTCTGTCATTGACAGGAAGAGCTAGGCAGAGGAGGACAAAAAAGGGAGAGAAAGATGCCCAAATTTACTGAGGAAAAAAAAAGGCACAGGAAAGGAAGTGAGGTGAGTATCGGCAGGTTAACCTCACATCCTTCTGAGAGACTTTCCTCTAGAAAGCTGATTTTCAAATTTGCTTGAAGATAAGAACTGACTAGAACACTTGTTTAAAAAACTCTCAGGCCTCAGCCCGGACCTACTAAACCATGGTATATTGGAAAAACCATAGTATATTGGAGAAGAAACCTGGTAACCTGGCAATCTGTGCATATAACAAGTGCCTCACGTGTTCCTCATCAGGTAAGTTTGAGCTAGCACTGTAGCTAAAAAGATGTTTCTATGGGCTTGTTGGGACATTCTGAGCCTTGCGAGTAGTAAGCCTCATTCTTAATAAGACGGTCCAGTTGTTGGAGTCAGAATAGGAGCTCTGATTCAGACGAGCAGAACAAAAACATTAAGGCCTCACAGTTTGTGGCAAGAGCTTAAGTAGATGCAGTAATAAGTCCAGGCTGGGCACAGTGGCTCACACCTGTAATCCCAGCACTTAGGAAGCTGAGGCTGGAGGATCCCTTGTGGCCAGGAGTTTGAGACCAGCCTGGACAACAGAGCAAGCAAGACCCTGTCCCCACAAAAAAAAAAAAAAAAAAAAAAATTAAAAAAATTACCTGGATGTAGTGGTGCACTGGTGCATGCCTGGAGTCCTAGCTGCCTGGGAGGCTGAGGGAGGAGGATCACTTGATCCCAGGAGATTGAGGCTGCAGTGAGTCATAATCATGTTACTGCACTCAGCCTGGGTGGCAGAGCAAGACCCTGTCTCTTTAAAAAAAAAAAAAAAAAAATTCAAGACAAGGCAGTTAAAGCCAGTTGCAATTAATTTAAATAAACACCAACAAAGCATCCTAATACCTGTAATATGAAGACATGGGTGCAAATGCCAACACTTCCAGTCACATTTTTATCATCTATACAAAAGAAGTGATGATATCCAGTTTATAGATGTTATTATCAGAGCTGGTGTTTGAAAGTGCCACCTAAATATGAGCAATTATTGCTACTAGGTAAAGGGTACCAGAGCAAGTGCTCATATCAGGACAGTCAAACAAGAGGTGTCCCTACAAGTGGGTGGGGAAACACAGCAATGGGAATGTAGAATGGAAAAATTGTGAGGTGTGTGTAAGTGGCAGCAGGTAGCAGGCCCCTCTGGTGGCCTAGAATACATCTGAAACTATCATCTTCAGGCATAGAAAGAAGAAAATGAGATGTGAGTTAGTTGAGAAGAAACTGGATAGCTGAGAGATTACCAAGATAAGATTCAGACATATTAAAAACAATCTTGGTACCCACTGCCTGGCGACAGGGTATGTGGTAGCAGCTTTGTGCAACATAAGTTATTAGCACAGAAACCAAAATCAGAATAGGAAAAGCAACATGAGCTATTCCTAACACTTCAGTTCCCCTTGGTCAGAGGTAGGAAAGTTGAGCCTACAAATAGGAATAAAGTCCCAGCCGTAGAACATAGAGAGACGCAGGAAGCTAAAGAGGTTTTTTCAGGGGGCAGGTAAACCTTGTTCAATCATGAAATGATGTTCAAGAGAGACATCTACTGGCCGGGAGCAGTGGCTGACAATTGTAATTCCAGCACTTTGGGAGGCCAAGGTGGGAGGGTCTCTTGAGCCCAGCAGTTCGAGACCAGCCTGGGCAATATACCAAGACCCCACTCTATACAAAAAAAAAAAAAAAAAAATTGAGATGGAGTCTCGCTTTTTCACCCAGGCTTGATTGCAGGGGCGCAATCTCAGTTCACTGCAACCTCTGCCTCCCAGGTTTAGGCAATTATTTGCCTCAGCCTCCCAAGTAGCTGGGATTACAGGCGCCTGCCACCACGTCCGGCTAATTTTTGTATTTTTAGTAGAAACAGGGTTTCACCATCTTGGCCAGGCTGGTCTTAAACTCCTGACCTTGTGATCCATCCACCTCAGCCTCCCAAAGTGCTGGGATTACAGGTGTGAGCCACTGTGCCCGGCCTACAAAAAAATTTTTTTTTAAATTAGCCAGACATGGTAGCTCATGCTTGTAGTCTCAGCTACTCGGAAGGTTGAGATAAGAGGATCACTTGAGCCCAGGAGTTTGAGGCTGCAGTGAGCTGTGATCATATCTAGGTGTGATCGTACTCCAGCCTAGGTGATAGAGCGAGACTCTCTCTCCAAAAAAGAGAGAGAGAGACATCTGCTGCCAGCAAAAAGATCCTAGATCTATCCATAGGTTTAAAACACACATGGCTTTAGGTGCCAGGTAGATGAGGAAATGTATAAGGGCACAGGGTCTCAGACTATGGGAAAACGCAAGTATTGTTTAGTATTTAGAATGCAATCACTGAAATGCAGTCTAACTCAGATTTTTAAAAACCTACTAACAAGCAAAACTGGTCTCTGGGCTAAATAAAATCCCAGGAGACCAGGTTTTAACATGAATGGCCCAGAGCAGAGAGCACAGATACAAATATGTAGTGTGATGTATTCAATAACATTAAAAGTTATTTTTTTAACTTCAGATTCAGACTTAAGGAACATTCAGTTAGCACCTACTATAACCTAGGAATGAGGCCCTCCTATATACATTTCATGTGCATGGAAATAGGGAAGAACCAGGCTACTTGAATCAAAACACTTTGATAACCTTATTCCCCAGAAAGCATCTCAAAATTCTGATTTCATGTCTACAATAATGATAAAAATGACAGTAGTAGTAATAACAGTTATACAAGGTAATTAAGTAAAATGTCATAAAGTAATGTAGGGATAACAATTATACCTATACATATTGTAACTCTAACTTTTTTAACGTAAGTATACTCTCTTGAGAAATTAATTGTATCCTCGGCATTAAAGAACTTAAACCATCCCAACTGAAAACACTTGAAAGAGAACAGGAAAATCCCACTGCTCCATGCTGACAACTGATATTCAAGATCTTGCGTAAGAATTCTAACCTTCTTGGAAGTATTCACAATGACTTTTAAATATCTGCCTTCATGTTACATTTAAAAAGGCTTCTTGAAAAACAATAGGAGTAGAGTGCCCTCTAGAGTCTTATTTGTGTTTTGTTTTTTGGGTTTTTGTTTTGTTTTGTTTTGTTTTTTTCCAGATGGAGTTTCGCTCTTGTTGCCCAGACTGGAGTGCAATGGCATGATCTTTACTCACTGCAACCTCTGCCTCCCAGGTTCAGGCAATTCCCCTGCCTCAGACTCCTGAGTAGCTGGGATTACAGGCACCTGCCATCACACCCAGCCAATTTTTGTATTTTTAGTAGAGATAGGGGTTCACCATGTTGGCCAGCCTGGTCTTGAACTCCTGACCTCAAGTGGTCCACCCGCCTTGGCCTCCCAAAGTGCTAGGATTACAGGTATGAGCCACCACACCTGGCCTTGTATTTTTAATGCCAAATTAGGGGGGTAGATAATTTGATCATTTCTGGCTGCAGTCATTGAAATTGAGAAATGTGAAAAATTTGACTATTGCTGCTACAAAAATGTATCTCTTTACAAAATTTAGTATGATCTTTTTCCTCCCAAGAGAAATCTCTTTGAACATTACCTATCTACATAGTTAGAACAGACAAAAATATTAAAGATTTGTATTGAAAATGTGTTAATTTGTATTCTACTTTCTATGTCCTACACATACAAATTTATTCAAAGGAATTCTAATATCAGTATGACTATTTCATCTTTTGTGTGCACTTTTTAAAAACTTATACATTCATTTCAGTCCATAAGTTACCAAAAGGGAAACAATATTTGTTAATCTAACATTTGAGGCTTCTACCTAAAATTTATACAACGCATTTGGGTAACTAATAAACGCTTTTACACATAGGTGCATTAACATACACTGATTAAAATAAAGGCATAGCTAGAAATGTCTTCGCCCCACTTAAGACATACAGATCATCACAAGGCTGTGATGGCAGGCCTAATAGGAATATGTGAAGCCTAAAGCTGCAAACTTGGAATCTGCAGTTTAACAAAAGATAGGCTTTGCTTTTACATCTAGCACTCCACTATTTATCAAGGAAGTCAGGGATCCAACATACTTAGCTCTAAAATGGGATAATATTGACAGCTGAGCTTATTATGTATTTTTAATGTATCAATTGTAAAAATTTATAGGAGGGCTGTATAGATCATAAATAGCAATGCATATAAGGTATGTTTTCTGTTTTTCACATAAAATGGAGAGTTCAGCCAAGTTAGGTCATCCTTGAATAAAAACATGAAGCATTCTCCCAGTATTATTGCAGACTGCTCTTCAAGCTTCTTTGCCAATGTTTTCTCCTCACATATATATTACCTGTCCCTTGACTATAAGTGTTTTAAATATTCTTTGGGACTCTTCCCTATGACCTGTCTAATTTCACTGCTGAAATTCTCCCTAGAGAAATTTTTCCCTCCCAGGTCTTTAGATTCCTTCTGCAGTCTAGAAACACACTTACCTCTCTAGATCGACCTCCTACGATCTGGATCCCTATTTCAACTGCCTATTTTACACCTCCTTCATCCTCAGCGTCAGAGGAACCCTAGGCCTGAGATCAAAGACATACAATAGAGATCTGAGGCAAGATGTCGTCACTGCAAAATGAGTCAAAACATGCATGGAACTATCCTCCCCAGCCACAGCCGGATAAAAAGGTATAGCTCACAGGATGTGAGGTGGGGCACATCCTCTTGACGCAGTCCACCCCTGGTACCATTGAGACCCACTTGTACCCTATATTAAATGCAATTCATCACTGAGTGTTCAAGGTGGTGGCCTCTTCAAAAAGCTTCATATACAACAGTTACAGGTAGAAACTACAAATGCTGCAACTGGTACCCAAATCATAATTCATATTCATATTTCACTTCTCTATTACACTTTGTAATTTCTCTCTCCCTTTTGTCCATCAGGTTGCTCAGTCCCTCTTTTGCTGATATAGGTTGCTTGTCTAATGGAGTCACCCAAACCTTCAGCTGATTCTGAGTTCTTAGTTGTTTTGTTCTTACCATGTTATGGTCACTGCAATTTCTGGTTCATCATTGTCACCAGACATGGACACACAAGTGCACCTCATGAGTTCTACTGTGTAGTAGCAACTCTAGCTCTTCAGGATCATGGGGCTCATTTCCCCCAGGAATATACTTCTTTTTTGGCTGCCATTCTGCTGGCATGAGGAGCCCATAACATAGGAATCACTTTCGACCCTTTTGAAGTAGTCACAATTGCAGGTTTAGTGGGCACTTACCATATTGCTGAGTGCAAATATTCCCCTAATATAGCAGAGCTAATTTATTTAAAAAAGGAAAACATGAATTCCATCCTGAGGTGGACCTCAGGATGATAGGGAGGGGAACCAATTCTGTTTCCATGTCTTGCTTCCTGGATCTGCATATTTTAGCCATGAGAGACACCTCGCTATGTATCGCTAATGATTTAAGGCAATTCTGAAGGACATTGACTAAATCACTCCATAATTTTAATCATTTGGTTTTTTTCGAGGGGATGTGGTGTGTGGCAGGACCAGAAAACTATTTGGCCATACACTTGCTTACTCACCTCTTTCTCTATGAAATTAGGCTCTTGATCTGACAGGATGTTTACAATATTGCTTTTGTAAATCATACATTCTGTAAGTGCTTGAATGAGGTGTTGCAGAAACCCCGTTATCAAGGAAGGAAACCCATATCTAGAAAAGATAGCAATTGAAGAATCAGTTTCATCTTCAGGATGGAAGGGGATTGATGTAATCAACTTGCCATCAAGTGATTACTTAATCTCCTTGAGGGATGGGAACATATAATTGATCTCTGCTTCTGATAGGCCCAGCATTCAGCAGCACTAGTAGCCCACTCATCCTGGCTGATCTGGCTCAGATACGAGTCTTAACCTCTGCCATCATTGCTACTCTGAAACTCTGAAACTTTATAGGGTCCTTCTCCCAGCTTCTGACACAAACGTGCCTTACTGGGGCAACTAGGGTACTCTCTTCTTCCTGCACATCAGATCCATCATCGTCACTACACATGGACCAGTTGGCACAATGGCATCAATGTAGTGGACAAATGAAATGATCTGTGAAATATTAAAATAATCAGAGTCCCCACAGACTATATTTTTATAGACTATAAGAGTGTTAATAATACCTGTGGAAAATAGTGACTGTATACTACTGTCCATCTAACATAAAAGTGAATTAATTATGAAACTCTTGATTGATAGAGATTGAAAACTGCATTTGTTAGATCAATACCAAGTACCAGAGGCTATATTAGTTGATTCTAATGGAAATAAAATACCTGACACCACTGCAGTTGCACCCACCACTTGGTTAAGTTTGTGGTAGTCCACCACCGTCTACCAAAATTCATGTTGTTGTTGCTTGGGTCAAACAGGTTAATTGAAAAATAATGTGTTGGAAGCAACCCTGCATTCTTTAAGTCTTTGGGAGTAGCACTAACCTCTGCAATTTCTCCCAGGTTGCAGTTTCACTTGGGATTCTGTTTCTTGGTGTTGGGAGCTGGACTCACTGTAAGATATATTTAGGTCAGGACTCCATTTAGCATCTGCTCTTCCAAGGTGTCACTTTAACTAGGGATCATAGTAATATTCCTGTTTAAAATGTCCCCTATTTTAAGTGCCAGCTCAGATAATTTATCCAAAGCCCTTTGAAAGGCCTTTTTTCAACATGTAATCTGATATATGCTTTAAGTCCTTTTGGGGCAGGAATGGAGACATATTTATGGCATACACATGAAGTAACCTCTCAGGGTCCCTCCTCAAGTGAACCTAGCCTTCCCTTCAATGAATGGGCTCTGGCTCTGTGAACTAGCTCAGATCTCTCTAGCTCAGTCTGGAATCTATTCATTGTCCACCATCCCATCTGACATCAGTCTTCTGTTCACAACTCTTTTTTTTCCATTTCTTGATGTTAACAAGCTGTACCTCTAATGGGCTTTCCATGTCTCTTCTATTGGGAACACCATGATGTATGAACACTTGCCACAGGTCCCAGTGGGTCAAGGCCTCCTGGTTATTCATCTGGCCTTTTTGCTCATTTGTCCTGTCTAAGGTACCACCATTTGGCCTCAGAAATTCTGGAATCCTATCATTCCTATTTTGTCTAGGCAACCACAGATGCCAATCCCCAACTCTCAACCATAGCGTAAAGAGGATAGTAACTACAGAGCTTCTCGAAGATGCCAATGTCTGCCTCAAGGTGCATTCCTTATTGCTTTAGTGAATGAAGTGTCATCAGGGCTCTCCCCGGGAACAGAGGCAGGAATGAGAGTTTTCTAGTCTCCCATAATAAATCCATTCTAACATGCCCACTTCCCTGAGCTTCTAACTCCATTCCTCAATACTCTGTCTAAAGGTTCTGGCTTCTCTAACTAGCTTCAAAGAGCCATCCTAGCAGGGCATTATGATGGACTCCAGGTGTTTTCACTAGGATGTTAAATCTTGAGTCATGGGAAGGTGAACCCAAGTCAATAAACTCTCCACTTACCAGCCTTATATTCTGCACCAAGCCCCTGGCTAATGGCCACAAGATCTATTTCCACACCTGCATACCTAGTTCCTGTTGGTACAGCCTATCCAGATCCTGCCATCCTTTAAAGAGTAAACTATTCCTCCCAGACTTTTCTCCTCAAGGAATGCTCAGATTTGACCCTTATTTCTAGCCTCTAGACAATGAGAGAAGGAAGGAAAACATGCATTATTTTGCAAGGCATTTGCCTGTGTTGAGGTCTTTCAGGAGAGTTTTCTTTTTCCCCGGCAAGGAGAGGATACTCTCCTCTAGCCAGTAGGTGGGGGTCACCTCTGACAGCACAGGAGAATAAAGGGTTCAAAATTCTCTGGCACATCCACCAAATGTCTTCATTCCAGTTCTCAAGTTTCCGTGATCTGAGCCCTGAATCTAATTTAGGAAACCTGCCAAGGCTTCTCACTCCATCTCCTTTGCAACTTGACCACTGTCACAATTAAATTCCAGTCCCAATCTATTCTCTGGCTGCAGGAGATAAAGATCACTTCAAAAACTGCCTTGAAGGCCTGCTGGGTTTCACAGTGTCCTGATTGATGGTTGGCTGACCTGACCCTGTGGTTGTCCTTCATCAAGCCTTTTAAAGCAGTTAGCAAAGGCCAGACAATTATACAGTCATTATTTCCCCCACATCATTCTATTACTGTAGCTGCCAGTATTTTACCTTCTACCTGTTGCAAGTGCAATCCACTACAGGTAAGATTCTTAGCCATCATGATACCACATTACCCCAGGAGTTCTCATCATTCCACTGAGCACCAACACATCAGTTTTCTTCCAAAAGACCTCTGAGACACATGAAGTACAGATTTAGAAATGAAGTATAGATCTATATTTGATAGTAATGAAAATAACATTCATTACAATCAAAACCTCTAAAAATCTGAGTGGTTTGACTCTATCTTACTTTTGTCAAGCAGCCAACTTGTGATTTAGCTATAATGCACATTCTATGATAATTTCACTTTGAAACTATAAAAATGGAAAGATGGGAAGAGCAAAAGAAAATCATCACTTTCATCACTTAGCTATACTGGATGAGGTATCAGGAATATGGACTGATGACCAATAAAGTAAGACAGACTCTACTCTGAGCCCTGGGATGAGATTTTAAGTTCTGCAGAAAATGGAAACGAATCTTTAAAATGTCCTTTTACTTAGTCTTCAATGAGTAGCTGTACCTAAAACAAGAAAAGCCTATTTGCAGAAATTCAAATAATCATTAAACTGTATTAGGCATACCATATTTGTATTCCTTCATTTATTTTTATTTTATTTGAAAACTTTCCAATAGTTCAAAACTACATGCTGGTATTATCTCATTTAATTTTTAAGTATTCATACAATAGATCCTGAAAACACATACTGAAATAGAGCTTGGCCAGACTTAGGATGGTGTGATTAGTCATTTTCTTCTTTTCTCTTATCTATGTTTTCTAAATTCCTTACAGTAAAAATGTATTATATGCAGAATAAAACACAACTGGCCAGGTGCGGTGGCTCATGCCTGTAATCCCAGCACTTTGGGAGGCCAAGGTGGGCAGATCACAAGGTCAAGAAATCAAGACCATCCTAGCCAACATGGTGAAACCCCCTCTCTACTAAAAATGCAAAAATTAGCTTGGCTTGGTGGTGCATGCCTATAGTCCCAGCTACTTGCGAGGCTGAGGCAGGAGAATCGCTTGAACCCGGGAGGTGGAGGTTGCAGTGAGCCAAGGTCGCGCCACTGCACTCCAGCCTGGTGACAGATCGAGACTCCGTCTCAAAAAAAACCCAAAACAAACAACACAACTATATTACGTTAAATTTTTTCAACCGCATTTAGAATATCAAATAGTTGCTTGAGCCAAGTAATGT
The DNA here is from genome assembly GCF_000001405.40 of Homo sapiens. NCBI lineage: Eukaryota > Metazoa > Chordata > Mammalia > Primates > Hominidae > Homo > Homo sapiens. The sequence goes on from NC_000002.12 coordinate 182,657,315, forward strand.
GTCAGACATACATTTTATTGTCCTACCTCTACCAAATATTCCAACTTAGTCCTTATATTTAACACTATTACAAATATAAATCTCCAGTGAAGATGATGTCAGCCCTAACAACAAAAGTGATTAAGGATAAACAAATATATAAAAAATACTTGCCAGACCTTAGCAAAATCCTAAGTGGGCAGGATTTATTTTATATTGCTACTCTACCTTCTCTTTCTATACCTTTCACTAATCCATGCCCATCTTTTCATCATGTATCCAACGGTCTTAAGCTGTAGAGCTTCTGTGACATCAGAGAAAAATAACAAAAACACCTGATAAATTTATGTTTCCATGGGCATATGCTATTTCTTCTAGGAATATTTACATTGTAAAAATAAATATTAATAATGAAAAATAGTGAAATTTTAGACATTAGTAGGAGGTATATTTTTTGCTTCCAATTCTCCTAAAATCAACCATGTGGGAAGCCCCAGGTGGCTAAAAACATCTCTAAGTTTAGCTGTCCCTTTGTAGATGAGAGATCATCAGCAATAATGTGTTATAATGGCTTCTGTATCAGATAGAGACCATTTACTGTGTAACTTTGGAAAACTTATTTAAGACTACTCAGCCTGAGGTTTTGTAGCTATAAAATGGGAATAATATCTACCCTGCAAGGCAGTTGTGAGAAGAACAGTAATGACATAATGTGTGTATCGCATAGTACCTAGCACATAAACAGCTTCTCAGTAAAAAAAAAAAAAAAAAAAAAAAAACAAAAAAACTTTTCTTCCTGCCTTTCCTCCTGTGTTAGTTTCCTAGGGCTGCCATAACAAAGTACCACAAACTACATGGCTTAAAATATCAGAAAAATATTCTCCCATTTCTAGAGGCTAGACGTCCAAAGTCAAAGAATCAGCAAGGCTGGTTTCCTTTGAAGGCTCTACATATGAATCTCTTCCATGATTTTCTCCTAGATTCTGGTGATCACTGGCAGTCCCTGATGTTCCTTGCCTTGCAATTGTAACACTCCAATCTCTGTCCCAGCCATCATATGGTATTTTTCTGTGTGCACCTTTGCCCTCATATGGCCTTATTAGAAGGACACTGGTCATTATATTTAGAGCCTACTCCAATCTTAACCTCATCTTAATTTGATTATATGTGCGAAGATGCTGTTTCAAAACTAAGGTCACATTCACAAGTTCCAGAGGTTTGCACTTCAACGTATCTTTTTAAGTGATGCAGTTCTACCCACAGCATCGTGATTCTATAATGACATAGCATAGGTGGATTCCACAGTGTAACTGAGAGACTAACCCAAGTAAAGATGATTGAAGGAGTGGTACTCTATTAATAAGCGTAACAAGAACATGGTAGAAGCAGCTCAATAAGTGAGAAATGTTTGTCATTTTGTGCTGAATATAGCAATCATGTACACAAATAGTATAAGTTCTCTCAGTCATTCAACATTTTATCAGTTCAAGGGCAAAATTCTTTTGGATATGAGATGTCCAGAAGTTTCTCTTTGTATGCATACAAGTGCACTTTACTGCCATTTCCCACTCCTTCTTAAATTCCATTACTTTCAAACACTGGCAAATCTTTTTTCCCATTTTGAAAAAGGGTGAAATTTCTGCAAATTCTCACTGCAAGCCATCATACTATTGACAGGGACTGGAACACGGAATTGAAAGAAAAACTCATTTCTTACTACACTCTTTTTACCTATTTGAATTTATAATCTGCCTATATTACCTATTTAAAATAATTAAATTTTAAAAGTTACCTGATATCGACCCACTTATACCATCCATCTCTCTATTTGTAAGTTCCATCTACTTAACAAAAGCCTCTTGCCAAGCAGAATGTCTTCATCAATCTCCAAACCTCATGAATATTTCTATTCTGAATATTTTTTCATTCTTTCTTAGGAAATTTGTCTCTAGACAATGAAATGTTGTTAAGGAATAGTCTAAGTGTGAAAGGCTGAGAAATCCTTGAATAAATCTGTTAACTGGACTATTTTACATTTGTTCCCTTTATAAATAAGATTTACAGCCTCATAAAAATACAAGGAAAACATGAAGCAGACAAGAATCATATGCCAAACATAAATGATAGGGCATAATAGAAATAAAACCAATTCATAAAGAGTTGTACATAAATCTTGAGGTAAATGAAATAGTCATTCTTTGAAATGAGTTCAGAGTTGCACAAAATAAGATGATATCCCTCCAATTCTATAAAGTTATGTCTCTATTATTTTATGAAAACATGAGATATATTTATAAACTCTTTCTACTCATATGGTAGTGAAAAGGTTATATGAAAGAGCTTGAACTCAAAATTCCTTGGTTGGATTCCCAGTTCTACCCAATTCTACCTGCATAATTTGAGGAATCACCAACCTTGGTATTCCTTTCCTCACTTACAACATCGCTGCTAAGCATTATGAGATACTTATGTAGCATGATGCCTTGTAAACTATAAATGTAGGTATTACTAATAAACAGAAATGTAAGTATTAATAATAAAAACCACATCTCAAAGGTAAAACAAAATACTATGAAAATGTTTTTTCTGTCACTTTAGGATTCTCTAATGCTGTCATAATTTTGTAAACACTCTAACATATTCAAACTGCAAAAGAATAAAATTATACCAGAAATTATTGCTGACTAACAGCAAGACATTAGTAAAACTTTACAATAAGTTACCAAATATATCATGGGCATGGCTGGATGTGTGTGTATACATGTGGCTTTGAATATAACTGAAACATCAGCTGTAAACCAGTGAAACTCAGAAGCTCTTGGATTAAAATTCATAAATTATCCAGCTACTGAAGGGCACATGAAAAAGATGGTCCCCAGCCTTATCTAAGAAATGAGGCTGAAACCATACTATCAATGTAAGGCATTTGGCAGCTTAAGGTATATGCAAATATTTAGAAAAGAGAAAGATTCATTGACACCTTAAGATGATGCCATGAAACAAGAAAGAAAATGCTTCTCTGAGAGAGTGGAAGAAAGAGGAGAGTGACACTCTGCATATATGCAGGATCTGTGATAATTGGAATCCTAAAATGATCCCATTGCCCCTCATCCTGTATAACCCTATTCCCTTGTGTGTGGGGAGAACCTATGAATATAAGATTTCACTCCAGTGATTGTTACATTGCATGACAAAAGAGATTTTGCAGCTATAATCAAGGTCCCAAATCTGTTAACTGAGTAAATCAAAAGGTAGGTTACCTTAGTTGTTCTGACCTAATCAGGTGATCCCTTCAAAGCAAGAATTTTCTCTGGTTGGCTTAAGAGAAGGAAAGCAAATACTGTAGCCATGTTGCAAGCTGTCTACAGAGAGGGGTGGCCTTCAATTGCTTAGAGAGGTGCCCAGACAACAGCTAGAAAGAAAACATGGACATCGGTCCTGGAGCTGCAAGAAATTAAAATCTGCCAACAACCTGAACGAACTTGTAAAAGGTCCCTAAACCCAGATAAGAACCACAGCGAAGCTGGCACTGGGATTGCGGCCCTTAAGACTCAAACAGAGAGTTCAGCTAACCCGTACCCAGACTCCTCGCCCTGGAAACCCTGGGATAATAAATTAGCAGTGTTATAAGCTTCTCACTTTGTGATAATTTGTTACATAGCAATAGAAAACTAAGACAGTAGCAGAACTGTGGAATCTGACTTCCCTCTCCAAATGCCTAGTATTGGTTTTTGTTTTTGAAGAAGGCATACACAAAAACATAGCTTCTGAATGACATGTTTGACATTTGAATGTTTACGCCTAGTGAGTTGACATTAACAGATGTTTAAAAACGACAGTTTTGTCATAAATCAATTCTCCTCAGTTGCAGAGTAACTTCTTCCTGTTTATCACAGAGATTAAAAAGATTCTTAAATATTCAAGTTGACATATCCTCTGGATAATTTAAGATGCTACACCAGATTGCAAACTTTAATCACTGTGCATTTAGGTGTATAATTTTCTGAGATTTTTATGCCTGACAGAAATGCTCTTACCTAATATATGCCCATATACTAGAAAGAATAATAGAATTTAAATCAATAATTATTCAGTGGGCACCTTCTATATATCAGATACCAGGTTAGGTGCTAGAATCAAAGACAAATTCTCAACCACTGATTACAAGCAAAGACTACAGTTAATGGTGAACTGTTAGAAACATTGCCATTAAAAGCAGAAACAGAGTAACCCCCATCACTACACTATTTGATGTGGTTCTAGAGGTTGTCCTAACCATGAAGCTAAACAAGAAAAAATAAAAATATGGAACGGCTGGAAACGAGGGAAATAAAAATTGACATTATTATCAGACAATGTGACCACCTACAAAATAATCCTACAAGAAACTATAGACAAATTATTACAGTTAATTGGATGTAATGGTTGGATGTAATGTACCAAATATATTCCTAAACTAGCAATAAATAGCTGTATAATATAATTTTAAGAAATATCCTTTGTAATAATAGCAACGAAAATGTCAGGTACCTAGAAATAAATGTAGCAAAGGATATGTGAGACATTGTAAGACTTTACGGAATTACATTAAAGGAGACCAATTCACATAAAGACACACATTCTGCCCAAATTAATCTTTAAAACTGATACAGTTTCAACTAAAAATCCAAAGAAAATTTTACTAATTCGACCAGCTGATTCTAAAATTTATATGAAAAAAATCAAAGGGCCACTAATAGCCAAAACCATTTTGAAAAAAACTACAAAAAATATGATAGGGGAGAGGGGGCTTACCCTACCTAACATGAAGACTTATAATACAGTTTAAATGGTATACTATGACCTCAGAAGTAGATAAATAGAACAGAAGAAAGAACCAAAAACAGGTATGTATTGAGAAACTTGATATTGCACCATAAAGAGAAGTTGAAATATCCAAAAAAAAGTTTGTTAATAACTGGTTTTCCAGTTATCTCAAGATAACTAAAAAACCTACATATTAAAAGGAAATTTTTATATAGGAGAGCTTAAAAATTGAAAAAAAAAAGAAAAAAAAAACAAAAAAAAACTTTTTCCCGAATAGCCACGACAATCCTAAGCAAAAGGAACAAAGCTGGAGGCATCACACTACCCTGCTTCAAACTATTCTACAGGGCTACAGTAACCAAAACAGCACAGTACTGGTACAAAAACAGACACATAGACCAATGAAACAGAATAGAGAGCGCAGAAATAAGCCTGCACACCTACAACTGTCTGATCTTTGACAAAGTTGACAAAAACAAGCAGTGGGGAAAGGACTCCCTATTCGATAATTGGTGCTGGAATAACTGGCCAGCTATATGCAGGAGATTGAAACTGGACCCTTCCTTACATCATATACAAAAATCAACTCAAGATGGATTAAAGGCCTAAATGTAAAACTCTAAAAGCCCTGGAAGACAACCTAGGCAATACCATTCTGGACATAGAAACAGTCAAAGATTTCATGATGAAGATACCAAAGCAACTGCAACAAAAGCAAAAATTGACAAATAGGATCTAATTAAAATTAAGAGTTTCTGCACAGCAAAATAAATTATCATCAAAGTAAACGGACAACCTAGAGAATGGGAGAAAAATTTTGCAAACTATGCATCTGACAGAGGTCTAATATCCAGCAACTATAAGGAACTGAAACAAATTGACAAGAGAAAAACACACCACCCCATTAAAAAGTGGACAAAAGACATAAACAAACACTTCTCAAATGAAGACATTTATGCAGCCAATGACCATATGAAAAAAAGGTCAACATTACCGATCAATAGAGAAATGCAAATCAAAATCACAATGAAATACCATCTAACACCAGTTAGAATGGCTATTACTAAAAAGCCAAAAAATAATAGACACTGGCAAGGTTGCAGAGAAAAAGGAACACTTATACATTGTTGGTGGGAGTGTAATTTAGTTCAATCATTGTTGATAGCAGTGTGGCAATTCCTCAAAGACAGAAAAACCATTCAAGCCAGCAATTCCATTACTGGGTATATACCCAAAGGAATATAAATAGTTCTATCATAAAGACACATTCATGCAATTGTTCATTGCAGCACTATTAATAATAGCAAAGACATGGAAACAACCTTAATGCCTATCTATGGTAAACTGGATAAGAAAATGTGGTACATATATACTACAGAATACTATGCAGTCATAAAAATGAATTAGATCATGTCCTTTGCAGGAACATGCATGGAGCTGGAGGCCATTATCCTTAGCATACTAATGCAGGAACAGAAAACCAAATACCTCATGTTCTCACTTATAAGTGGGAGCTAAATGTTGAGAACACACGGACACATAGAAGGGAACAACAGACACTGGGGCCTACTGGAGAGAGGAAAGTGGGAGGAGGGAGAGAATCAGGAAAAATAACTAATGAGTACCAGGCTTAGTACGTGAGTGACAAAATAATCTGTACAACAAACCCGCATGACACAAGTTTACCTGTATAACAAACCTTCACATGTACCCCTGAACTTAAAAGTTAAAAAAAAAAAGAAAAACGGTCTGCAAGATCTCCTAAAATAAACCATAAGAAAGTAACTTATAAAAATTTAAAATTTTTGAACATTAAGAGTCCCCATTTTCTAAAGTGAAAAGATCAGACATAGACTAAGAAAACTTATCTGAAACCCTTTTATATAGCAAATGATTAATATCCCAAATGTATTTTTTAAAAAACTTTGGTAAGAAAAACAGTCCAAAAGAATAATGGGCAAAAATTGGAAAAAGTAGTTGACTTTACTAGTAATGAAGGAAACACTAATGAAAGCTACAGTGAGAATTTTTACACATCCATCCAATAAATAAAAATTTAAAAATCAATTAATAGTAAACCAGTGTATAGTTTGGTGCAAATCACTTTGGAGAACAATTTGAGAACATCTGATAAAGTCAAAGATGCACAGATCCAATAACTTGCAGTTCTGCTGCCAAAGAAATTTTTGCAAATATGACCATGGATTATTATACAAACATTACTTGCAAAACATTTGGATACAATATAAATGCCCATCAATGACAGAATAGGTATGTAATTTGTGGTATATTTATACTTTGGAAAACCACATGGCTATAAAAAGAGTAACACAGAACCACATGTACTAAAATAGGAAAGCCTCACAGTGGCAGAAGGATAACTAAAGTACTAATATTTATTTGAAGTTTTGAAACTCCACTATCTTGTTATGGGATGAATACAAATGTGATTAAAATAATGACAACGCATTTGGCTTAAAATGCTAAGTACCAAATACAGAATAGTGGTTCCTTTGGTTTGAAGAGGAAGGAAGGAGGGAATGTGATTGAGTTTAACATTTAAGAGAAAGACACCATTGCCCATCTAAATAACCAGGTGTCTGGCAGAAAGAAATATCCCTACCCTAAAATGAGTTCTAATTAATGAATGCACTTGGATCCATGGAACTTCTGGATCAAAAATATCAAAGGCTTCATGATACCAAGAAAGTGCTAGCCAAAGTGATTTCTGTTTTGAAATTATTCTAAAGAGATACGTAAGTCAAATAATAGTATCTCTTTTTCATTCTCGGGCTTAAAACAATACATATTACAATAATGGCATGTGGCACAATTATTTTTCTCAAAAAAAGTAAATTCAAAATACACAATAGTTGTTGTCAAGGGTAGTTGTTAGGACATCTTCTTTTAAAGTTTATAAACAATGTTCTTGAAAATTTTTAATCAAATCAAACTTTGTTTTCTCCAAACGGTTTTGCTATGAAAAATTATAAACATATAGACAATTGATAAAATACTACAATAAACTAGATTTTTTGTTTCACTTTTAACTTTTCAGTAAAAAAGACTTCAGAAGTTTTCTTGTCATAAAAAATGTACATGCTTACAAAAACAAAAATTGACAATGGGTCCTAATTAAACTAAAGAGCTTCTGCAGAGCAAAAGAAACTATCATCATAGTGAACAGGCAACCTACAGAATGGAAGAAAATTTTTGGAATCTGACAAAGTCCTAATATTCAGAAGCTACAAGGAATTTAAACAAATTTACAGGAAAAAAAGAAATAACCCCATCAAAAAGTGGACAAAGGACATGAACAGACCCTTCTCAGAAGACATTTATGTGGCCAACAACCATATGAAAAAAAATTTGACATCACTGATCATTAGAGAAATGCAAATCAAAACCACAATGAGATACCATCTCACAGCAGTCAGAATGGCAATTATTAAAAAGTCAGGAAACAACAGATGCTTGTGAGGCTGTGGAGAAATAGGAATGCTTTTACACTGTTGGTGGGAATGTAAATTAGTTCAACTATTGTGTAAGACAGCGTGACGATTCCTCAAAGATCTAGAACCAGAAATATCATTTGACCCAGCAATTCCATTACTGGGCATATATCCAAAGGAATATAAATCACTCCATTATAAAGATACATGCACACATATGTTTATTGCAGCACTATTTACAATAGCAAAGACATGGAATCAACCCAAACGCCCATTAATGATAGACTGGATAAAGAAAGTGTGGTACATATACACCATAGAATACTATGCAGCCATAAAAAGGAATGAAATCATGTCTTTTGCAGGAACATGGATAGAGCTGGAAGTCATCATTCTCAGCAAACCAACACAGGAACAGAAAAGGAAACACCCCATGTTCTCACTTATAAATAGGAGCTGAACAATAAGAACGCATGGACACAGGGAGGTGAACAACATACACTGAGGCCTGTCAGCAGGGAGGGAGAGCATCAGGATAAATAGCTAATGCATGCAAGGCTTAATTCCTAGGTGATGGGTTGATAGGTGCAGCAAACCACCATGTCACATGCTTACCTAAGTAACAAACCTGCACATCCTGCACATGTAACCCAGAACTTAAAATTAAAATTAAATTTTAAAAAATCACCCCTCAAAAAATGTACATGCTTAAATTAATAAACACACATAAATTTGGCTTAACGAATTAAAGATTACTACATGTTTTAAAAAATCATAGACAAGGGGCTGGGTGTGGTGGCTCACGTCTGTAATCCCAGCACTTTGGGAGGCCAAGGTGGGTGGATTACCTGAGATCAGGAGTTCGAGACCAGCCTGACCAACATGGTGAAACCCCATCAATACAAAATTAGCCGGGTGTGGTGGCGCATGCCTGTAATCCCAGCTACTCAGGAGGCTGATGCAGGAGAATCGCTTGAACCCGGGAGGCAGAGGTTGCAGTGAGCTGAGATCATGCCATTGCACTCCAGCCTAGGAAACAACAGTAAAACTCTGTCTCAAAAAAAAAAAAAAATTATAGACAATAACATACTCAAAAGGGTAAAGCTTGACAAGGTAGCAAGAAACAGAGATTTTGCCAATTGCCAAGTATGTCTATTGCAACTCTACATTCAGGAACCAGGGAAGAAATTACCAGCTAACTTCTACCTCTATCTAAGCCTTTGTCTATCACCTGGCCACCATAAGCTCCCATTTGACTGGTACAGTATAGCAGGTTTGGAGTGCCCAGGAATAGCATCAGTTCATATTAAGTGTCTAGGAATATCTGAATAGTCTGGGTATTTCCTTTTTCCCAGTACACAGTCACGGTCTAGGTACTTCCTTTTTCCCAGTGCACAGTCCTGCTAGTAAGTCACCCTTTGGGAAAGAATCAGGGGAAATTTTACATTCTATATTTGGTTCTGCTGTAGCATCCTTCTTCAAAAGAACCTGGCCTCCCCTTGAATCAGGGGGTTCTAACCTGTGAACTGGTTTAGCTCTAAAAAGTAGGTAGAAATCCATCACTCTCCACTAGGTGGCTCAAGTCAGGTTTTTAGCCACCAGACCTGCAGTTTCTGTTTTATAAATTAAGCAGCTTTTTAGTAGGCTGCTCATCATTTTCATTTCTGGTAACCACATGGTCAATTAGTCACTACCAAAAATTCCTGCAGGTCTAAATAGTCTGATTACCTTTACAGTAATCAGAATCTGCCAGCCTTTATAACAAATATGGCTGCTTTATCTTTGGCAGTTAAGTATTGTCCATTGGCCTCTGCTCTTTCAGGGTCCCATCATCCCTATTGGAATCAGGGAACCCATCACAATGGTGGTATTTCCCACCATCATATGTGGCTTACATATGAGAGCCACTACAGTGCTCTTCAGAGTGTGGGTGTTCCCCTCACTAATGTGTTTCTCACTGCTTTCAAGGGAGTATCCTCTGAGTCTCCTCAGACAATACAGTTGAGGGTAGAGGGACACAGCACCCATATAACAAATCATTCCTGTTCGAAGTCTTTGGAGTCCTAAACTTTTAGATTCCTTTCTGCACATGTGAAGTCAACAAACATTTTCTGTAAAGGACCAGATTGTAAATATTTTAGGCTTTGTGAGTCAACAGTCCAAACAGAAGAGATTCTGTCACAGAGGGATTAGAATTGCTATATCTGGAAAAGACAGAACAATGTCAATGTTCAACTTCCAAAACTGCAACCCAAAATGAGAGATTTTATAAGTTCCAAAATCTCTTTCTTTCAAATGAAAAGTAAACCCTTGGGATCTGAAAATAGGGCTTTATTAGAAGCCATAGTGTAAAGAATACTTGAGATATAATATCAAGGAAGTCCCACCAGAGATATTAGAGTCTGCTAAGGGAAAGGATTGAAGGAGGGAAGTGGGATGGTGCTGATGAAGATGCAACACCCTTCCCAACCCATGGACTTCAGTCAAAGGGAAAAGAGATTCCTAAATGGGTGGAGAAGGAATCCAAAATTATCTGGGAGGCTGCTCTGTCCTTCTCAGTATAGCATGGCTGAGAGGTATTAGTCCATGATCAGAGAGCAGTGAGTATTTAAGAGTAGCCTGAGGTAGCACCAATTCTCCACAGCTGACTTATGATTCCCAAGGGCTCAGAGACGTAGGATTTGTAGGGGTTCTGAGAAGGATGCTGGACAACTAGAGATCTGCAGTCAAGACAGGAGATATGGGGCAGGCACATCACAACAGTGACAAATGGTAGGAACCATGGACTTAGGCAGAGGGCACTTACAGATGAGTGTTATAAGCATACCTCTGCAAGATTAGACCAGACCAATCAACTTCACTTCAGTGGAGACTAGCATGAGACCGAAAAAAAGGCAAAAAAAACCAATAGAGGCCACCAAGAGTAACTGTAAGCCACACACACATGCATACCCCTAGACAGTCTCTAGAAATGGAGGAAATGGAAGAGAGATGTCAGGTTTGAGCCCAAACTGAGGTTCAAGGGGGAGTTGGTGGATGACTGGTAGGTAGTTGAAAGAACACTCAGGGGGCTGCAGTCAGGTGAAATATGGCTTTATTCTCTCTCTGGGCACAAGCCTTTGTCTCGGCTGCCTGCTCCTGCCACAGCCCTTCTCAGCAGCCAGCTCTTCGGCTCCTGCTGCCCCAACGCATACAGCTGCACTCCCTGGAGCACTCACCATTTCCTGGCTCCCCACTGTCTGCCTGCAAGGTGGTTAGCTCTGGCTCTCTCTTACAGAGTCAGCAGCTTTACTCTCTCTCTCTCTCCTGCCTCGTGCGAGCCGGTGGCAGCAGGGCAGTTACACTCCTTACAGACAACAGTGGCTCAGAGCCAAGTATGAGCTTAACAAACAGGTTACATAATGCATGGGACTGTGCACCTGTGCTCCAATCCCACTCATCATGCTGTACTGGATGTTTATCTTGGCCTATTCTTGACCACAGCATATCCATTTTCCTTTCAAGAGGCCTTTGATAGAGGAGAGAAACAGCCTTTCAGGAAGGTTGAACTTTGAATTAACTGTTTCCCCCAAAGAAGCTATTCTAGACTGAAAAGACCAAATAACCTTTAATAAGGCAAGATTAAGTGTACTGACCCTTCACTCACCCCAGACACACTATTTACAGGACTCCAAAGATCATTCCTCAAAACAAAGGAATACTACTTGTTTTGGCCCATTTTGTTTGTTAGGTGTGACTTTTAATACAATAGCCCAGTAGGGTCAGGTGTTGCTTAATTAAAGTGATGGGAATTATTGTTTTGACAAAGTCAAAGACTGTTCCCAGATGTGGGTTTTTAACCCATCTTTTAACAAATATTCCCACCAGTCAAGGAAAATTTGTTGAATTTTGCTATAGTTTCCATGTATTAAAAGTTGGAAGTTTGTTTTGTTTTCTATTTTCAGTCTCTTCTCTGACTTTACCTTTTGTTAAGATCTCACCCTTCTTTAAAACAGCAACCTTCGCTATTTTTCCCTATTAAGCATGTTATTTCTTTCCCATCTTCCTGATTAAAGATTTTTAATGAACTCCCCATCACTCATATTTTCGTCATTAATTCTGTTTATAATCCCTTGTATTTTACATTCTATTCGCACAGCTCTTGACTGCCTTATCATAGGTGGTTCCCACACTTCTTAACTCTCTCCTTTGAATCCACCTTTTACGCCATGTGTATGGTAAACACCCTGATAGCAATGACATAAGCATACCCTGAAAATGCTCCCATATGGCAGACGCACCTGCGTGTGCGTTCTGAGCTAAGGAATCCGGGAGTGGCCAACCCAGAGATTCATTCCTTGTCTATTAGGAACATCTGAGCCCTCGGAGCATCCCATGGGAACATGGGCCACACACGGGCCCATTTGGAGCACATGAAGGTTGCCAGGTGCAGGTCATTAAGGGATGATGGTGTTAAGTAAAAATGCTATATAAACCACATGCTGTTTGCAAGCAGTTTTGGTTTTCCTGGCCAGCTCACTGCCACAGGGCCATGCAGATATCTTGTCCAGCCCACCACCACTGGATTCTCTCTTCCCTGTATATAAGTGCCCAGTACAACCCCATGTCTCGTTTGCTGGCTCTGGGTCTCTTTTTGGCTTCTTGAATCAAAAGGTACTCAGGGGGTTTACCCTACACCTGTTTAGAGAAAAAATTCCAAGGTCTTCAGTTGTTCCCACCTAAACCATTTAACTGTTTTACAAGGACTAGTATTTCTCAATCCTTAATTGCACACTAAAGACTCCTAGGAAGCTTGAAAAATTAATATAGAGTCCTGAGCTCTACAACAGGGCAAGTAAATCAGAATATCTCAGAGTGAGACCCAGCTATCAATAGCTTTTAAAAGCTCTCCAAGCTATTCTCATGTGCAGTCAAGGTTGAGAATCATTTATCTAGAACTAGATCAAGTCAAAGTTGGGCTAGATTGTCCTAGGCCTAGGGCAATGATGCATCACAATCACCTGGGGGATCTTGTTAATATTCCTGGATTTCAGACCAATTGAATTAAAATCTCTAGTGATGGGTGCCGAAGCCTCTTTTTAACAAGCTCTCCAGACATTCTTATTTAGCCAAATGGTCCTGGTGTGGTGACCAGTATTTGGGAAACCAATCACCTACCAATGTTTCTCAAGCTTTAAGGCACATAAGAATCACCTGAGAAATCTTGTTGATGTGGAAGTTTTAATTCAGTAGGACTATGGTAGAACCTGAGAGTCACTATTTCTTTTAGAGGGGAGGCGGGTGGTGGATGGAATCTTGCTCTGTCGTCCTGGCTGGAGTGCAGTGGTGTGATCTCGGCTCACTGCAACCTTTGCCTCCTGGGTTCAAGTGATTCTCCTGCCTCAGCCTCCCGAGTAACTGGTTTTACAGGCGTACACCACCAAGCCTAGCTAATTTTTGTATTTTTAGTAGAGATGGGGTTTCACGATGTTGGCCAGGTTGGTCTCAAACTCCTGACCCCAAGTGATCCGCCCACCTTGGCCTCCCAAAGTGCTGGTATTACAGGCATCCAGCCACTGCGCCCAGCCATACTATTTCTCATAAACTCCCAGGTGATGGTTATGCTGCAAGTCTATGGATCACACTTTTTTTTCTTTTGAGACGGTGTTCTCGCTCTGTCGCCCAGGCTGGAGTGCAGTGGCGCGATCTCAGCTCACTGCAAGCTCCACCTCCAGGGTTCACGCCATTCTCCTGCCTCAGCCTCCCGAGTAGCTCAGACTACAGGCGCCTGCCACCACGACTGGCTAATTTTTTTTTTTTTTTTTTTTTTTGTATTTTTAGTAGAGACGGGGTTTCGCCGCATTAGCTAGGATGGTCTCAATTTCCTGACCTCGTGATCCACCGGTCTCAACCTCCCAAAGTGCTGAGATTACAGGCGTGAGCCACCACACCCGGCCTGGATCACGCTTTTGAGTGGCCAGCACTCAAATTACACAAACCCCATTTTTCCTGATAGGTACATTTCTTGACCCTTCCTTACTAGCATCATTTGCAGCTTTGCTCTGGTGGGGTGGTTGTGACTTTCTTTTTCTTTTTTTTTTTTTTTTTGAGACAAGTCTCGCTCTGTCGCCCAGGCTGCAGTGCAGTGGAGCGATCTCAGCTCACTGCAAGCTACACCTCCCAGGTTCACACCACTTTCCTACCTCAGCCTCCCAAGTAGCTGGTACTACAGGCACCTGCCACCACGCCCGGCTAATTTTTTGTATTTTTAGTAGAGACAGAGTTTCACCATGTTAGCCAGGATGGTCTCGACCTCCTGACCTCATGATCTGCCCACCTCGGCCTCCCAAAGTGCTGGGATTACAGGCTTGAGCCACCGTGCCCGGCCGTGACTTTCTAAAATGCCCTCTCCTTTCTTAGTGACCATACACCCCGCAATACTCCCCTTACTCCAGCTCCTCCTCGAATTCTGCCCGCTAAACCTCTCCTCTAAATTGCTAGAACATTTAATGTGTCCAAACTAATTTTTCATGCTAAATAGCATACTTACCAATTATTTTTAAATGGTATGATTTTCTTGGATCCCTAGTTTTCTTCAGTGACTATGCTGAGGATGTAGTAGGTATTTTTTAAAATACTGGCTAGTTAAACACTTGAATAGTTATATGGTAATTGTTCCCATTGTTACCTATTGGTTGAGAAAATACACATTAAAATATTACTATCAATTTGTTAATGTTTTTATATAAGCATATTTTACTTGACAAAACAGCATGTATGCACCTTAAAATAGTGTTACTTTACCATTACTTTTAATGCAAAAACCCCAATTACTTTTCACCAGCCCAATATTACAAAAGTGTGAGATATCATGAATTTGGACTGTTGACAAATAACTCAGAAACCTTTAGTTAGTATTCACACAAAAGGTTACTGACATAAAAGAGAGTCAGTCATTAAACAGTTGTCAACAAATATAACAAAAAGAGAATTTATAAAAGAAAGAGACAGGGTAGAAAAAACACACATAGACTATCTGAGAGCAGTGTGTTTTGTTTAACTTTTCTTTGGTAAGCTGATTGGCTGGAAGCCATCAAAAAGACAAATGTGGGCAGCCTTTCCTGGAGCACATTGACCAGCCGTTAGTAACAACTATTGTAGTGACTTCTGGATTCTCTGAGAAAGTAAGCTGAGCAGCATTCATGATAAGCTGCCTCTGTAGGATGCCTGCCACGTCCTTCTGTTAACATTTCCACTTTGGTTGGGCTAAACTTACACCATATGCCCCTTCAAATCTGAATTCTATCAGTAATTCTTAATCTTCATTTTAATGTGTAATAAGAATTTTGTGGCTCATCATGTCTTCCTACCTCAGATTGAGAATCCCCATTCTAAGGCACCATCCTCGTCATATTCTCATGTGCATGTCCAGTAGTTATCACGTGACTCATAGACTTGGCATTCTGCTACTCACGTCACTCCAGGATTGACTCTTAGAAAACAGCAGAGTAATTTTTCCGGTGTAAAAGAATGACAATACAACAGAAAAAGGGTCCTCACATGTTTTTGTGGCAATCCAGTTGCTACCAAATATTAATGAAGATATGCCATTATATCATTAGCCACATGCCATTTTAAACATATCATTGCCTAAGCCACTATGGTGACTTCTATAATTCTGATTGTTTCAGATTGATGACTTTGTAATCAATATGTTAGGCTGAGCTTAAAATTTCAAGTTTTGATATTGTCTTCATCTGAACATGTGAGTTATTAAAATTAATCAAAATAAATGTGTTATTATCAAAAGGTATAAGTGTTGAAAGACAATGTTCCATGGATCTCTTGTGTTTCTGCACCTCTTACGAAGCACAAAGAGGTAAGAAATATGACTCCACTTCTTTTTACTGGTGTCTTCCTTTTAGTTCAATACATCTAGATGTAGACAATAGCATGCTAAGAAAAGTTAAACAATAAAAAATCATGAGAGAATTATTTTTCAGAAAATGCGTCACTTAAAATATGTAGTATATTGGGGCAGCATTTCAATATAATATTAAACATTTTAAATAAGTAATTTTTTAGTATATTGTAATCTAATTCCATTTAAGATTTCGTTTTAATTTTGTATAAATTAAAATAGTCATGTATAAACATGACTATCTCAGAATTCTTTAAATAGAATTGCCTTAAATATGTTGCTTATTCAACCCAAATTTCTAAGATATATGCTCTGATATAATAAAAGCCAAGAATACTATAATAGGAAACCTTAAGTATAAGAAAAACACCCTAATTTCTTGCTTATACAAATCAGCTCCTCTGTATTTTCTAGGCTGATCACCCTAAAAAGTGGTCATAAACAGGAACATCCAGCCATAAAACTAGGGAGAACTTACCATCCAATAAAAATAGTGATTCTTATAGAGTACTTATTATGTCATAGGTAATATAACTTCATATATATATATATATATATATATATATATATATGAATTGATTTAAGCCTAATGGTAAAATATGAGGTAGAAATTAACAGCCCTGCTTTTATGGATGATAAAGCTAAGGAATAGAAAATGTATAGAATTTGACCATGATCACTGTTAGTAAGTGGTATAGCCAGGAACTGAACTTAAATCTGGCACCAAAAATCTATGTACTAAAACACTGTGCTACACTATACACTAAACCACTATGTGACCCAACTGCAGTTGCATTGCTTTCAAACTTGCCTCATGATTCAGTCCTTTCTATACACTGATATTTATTAAAATGCCCATAGTGCCTTCTGTTAGGTACCATAGACAAACACAATGAAACAGGGTCCCAGCCTCCAGTAAACTTTTCCCCAATTATCTCATTAAATGGCTATTTATTTAATCTGTGTTCTTACCTTAAATTTATAATAATCTGATAGCTGTTTATGTAGAACTGGCAAATAAAAAGCCAGTATCATCCCTACCAATATGAAATCTTAGAATGCAGGGCCTAGGACAAAATAAAATTATATATTGAATCACATTTATTAATCCCATTCACAGATACATATATATATATATATACCCCACCACCCCACCCACTCCTGTCCCACAAACAGACTCCTTCTTAATCTATTCAGAATTGCCACCTCTGATCATAGTGAGGCAGAAGACAAATTCAATGGTAGATTCAAAGTCATGTGCCTGAAGAAGTTCCATTTTCACAACTGTTTATAAGAAGTTCAAGAGGAATACTTTCTACTTACCTTTCTTCTGTACATCTTTTTTGTTTTGTTTTTTGTTTCAATTATTTTATTAATGTGCATAATAATCCCAGCAGACAACATGTATTCAAGCAATGTTAATCAGTTCCCTAGGCTGCAACCCCATGATTTAATGGGCCATTTGATTTTCTTTTCAAAAAAATTTTGATGTTTTTATTTATTTATTTAACTTTTATTTTAGGCTCAGAGGTACATGTGCAGGTTTGCTACATAGGTAAACTTGTGTCATGGGTGTTTGTTGTACAGATTATTTTGTCACCCAGCTACCAAGCCTAGTACCCAATAGTTATTTTTTCTGCTCCTCTCCCTCCTCTCACCCTCTACCCTCAAGTAGGACCCAATGTTTGTTGTTCCTTTCTTTGTGTTCATGAGTTCTCCTTATTTAGCTCCCACTTATAAGTGAGAACATGAAGCATTTGGTTTTCTGTTCCTACATTAGTTTGCTAATAATAATGGCCTCCAGCTCCATCCATGTTCCTGCAAAAGACATGATCTCATTGTTTTTTATGGCTGCATAGTATTCTATGGTGTATATTTACCACATTTTCTTTATCCAATCTGTCATAGATGGGCATTTAGGTTGATTCCATGTCTTTCCTATTGTGAATAGTGCTACAATGAATATTCACATGAATGTGTCTTATGGTAGAATGATTTATATTCTTTTGGGTGTATACCCAATAATGAGATTGCTGGGTCAAATGGTAGTTCTGTTTTTAGGTCTTTGAGGAATTGCCATGCTGCTTTCAATAATGGTTGAACTAATTTACACTCCCACCAACAGTGTATAAGTTTTCCCATTTCTCTGCAACTTCTCCAGCATCTGTTATTTTTTGACTTTTTAGTAACAGCCATTCTGACTGGTATTACATGGTATCTCATTGTAGTTTTGATTTGCATTTCCCTAATGATAACTAATGTTGAGCTTTTTTTCATATACTTGTTGATCACATGCATGTCTTCTTCTGAGAAGTGTCTGTTCATGTTTTTTGCCCACTTGTTAATGGGGTTGTTTTTCTCTTGTAATTTGTTTAAGTTCCTTATAGATGCTGGATATTAGACCTTTGTCAGATGCATAGTTTGCAAAAATGTTCTCCCATTCTGTAGGCTGTCCATTTACTCTGTTGATAATTTCTTTTGCTGTACAGAAGTTATTTAGTTTAATTAGATCTCATTTGTCAATTTTTGCTTTTGTTGCAATTGCTTTTGGCATCTTTCTCATGAAATCTGTGCCCATTACTATGTTCAGGATGGTAGTGCCTAGGTTGTCTTCCAAGGTTTTTATACTTTTTGGTTTTACATTTAAGTCTTTAATTCAGACCAAAAAAAACCATTCAAAAGATAAATGAATCCAGGAGTTGGCTTTTTGAAAAAAGTAACTAGTAAAGAAGAAAAGAGAGAAGATCCAAATAAACACAATTAGAAATGACAAACGGGACATTACCACTGACCTCACAGAAATAAAAATAAACACCAAAAACTACTACAAACACCTCTACACACAAAAATTAGAAAACCTAGGTGAGATGGATAGATTTCTGGACACATACACCCTCCAAAGACTGAACCAGGGAGAAACTGATTCCCTGAACAGATCAATAATGAGCTCTGAAATTGAATCAGTAATAAATAGCCTACCAACCAAAAAAAAAAAGGCCAGTACCAGATGGATTCACAGCCGAATTCTACCAGATGTACAAAAAAGAGCTGGTACCATACCTACTAAAATTATCCCAAAAATTGAAGAGGAGGGACTCCTCCCCAACTCACTGGGAGGCCAGCATCATCCTGATACCAAAATCTGACAAAGACACAACAGAAAATAAAATTTCAGGCCAATATCATTAATGAACATTGATATAAAAATCATCAATAAAATACTTTCCAGCCGAATCCAGCAGCACATCAAAAAGTTAATCCACCATGAGCAAGTAGGCTTCCTCCCCAAGATGCAAGGTTGGTTCAACATATGCAAATCAATAAATGTAATTCATCACATAAAGAGACCTAAAGACAAAAACCAAATGATTATCTCAATAGATGCAGAAAAGGCTTTCAATAGAATTCAACATCCATTCATGTTAAAAACTTTCAATAAACTAGGTATAGAAGGAACATAACTCAGAATAATAAGAGCCATCTATGACAGACCCACAGCCAACATCATACTGAATGGGCAAAAGCTGGAAACATTCCCCTTGAAAACTGGCACAAGACAAGGATGCTCTCTCACCACTCCTATTCAACATAGTATTGGAAGTCTTGGCCAGCGCAATCAGGCAAGAGAAAGAAATAAAGGGTACCCAAATAGGAAGACAGGACGTCAAACTATCCCTGATTGCAGACAATATGATTTGATATCAAGAAAACCCCATAGTCTTGGCCAAAAGCTCCTGCAGCTGATAAACAATGTCAGCAAAGCTTCAGGATACAAAATCAATGTACAAAGATCACTAACATTCCTATACACCAACAACAACCAAGCTGAGAGTCAAATCAATTCCCATTCACAATTGCCATAAAAAGAATAAAATACCCAGGAATACAGCTAACCAGGGAGGTGACAGAGTTCCACAATCAGAATTACAAACCACTGCTCAAACAAATCAGAGATAACACAAACAAATGGAAAAACATTCCATGTTCATGTATAAGAAGAATTAATATCATTAAAATGGCCATTCTGCCCAAATGATTCGATGTTATTCCTATCAAAGTACTGATGACATTCCTCACAGAGCTAGACAAAAACTATCTTAAAATTCATATGGAACCAAAAAAGAACCGGAATACCCAAGACAATGCTGAAGGCATCAGGCTACCTGACTTCAAACGATGCTACAGGGCTACAGACAGCATGGTACTGGTACAAACACAGACACATAGACCAATGGAACAGAATAGAGAGCCCATAAATACGGCCACACACCTACAACCATCTGATCTTTGACAAAGCTGACGAAAACAAGCAATGGGAAAAGGACTCCATATTCAATAAATGGTGCTGGGATAACTGGCTAGCCATATGCAGAAGATTGAAACTGGACCCCTTCCTTACAACATATACAAAAATCAATTTTTCTGTACATGTCTGACTGCCCATTTTATCAAATAATCTCAGTTCAACCCAGGAATTCTATACTCCTTCCTAATAAAATACTCAATAAAATAGGAATAGATAGAAACTTTCTTAATATATCGCAGCACAAAAGCCAGGAGCATATAATAAGGAAATACCAGAAGCACCCCTTTTAAAGGCAAGAATGAGAGAAGGAAAACTACTATCACAAGTACTATTTCAGATTGTATAGGATGTATTAGTTGTAACGCCATTAAGAAAGAGAAAATATGGCTGGGCGCAGTGGCTCACGCCTGTAATCCCAGCACTTTGGGAGGCCAAGGCAGGCGGATCATGAGGTCAGGGGTTTGAGACCAGTCTGGCCAACATGGCAAAACCCTGTCTCTACTAAAAATACAAAAATTAGCCAGGCATGGTGGTGGGCGCCTGTAATCCCAGCTACTCGGGAGGCTGAGGCAGCAGAATCGTTTGAACCTGGGAGGTGGAGGTTGCAGTGAGCCGATATCATGCCATTGCACTCCAGCCTGGGGGACAAGAGCAAGGCTCTGTCTCAGAAAAGAAAGAAAAGAAAGAAAGAAAGAGAAACTATTTAGGGCCTGTGAATTGAAAAATGTCCTAATTGCTTTCCATTGCTTAATAACATAAAAATCATATTATATGGTATATACCTGCATGTGCCAAAAAAATT
This sequence comes from Homo sapiens, assembly GCF_000001405.40. Taxonomy (NCBI): domain Eukaryota; kingdom Metazoa; phylum Chordata; class Mammalia; order Primates; family Hominidae; genus Homo; species Homo sapiens. Next base: position 182,678,560 of record NC_000002.12, read on the forward strand.
AATGGGAAAAACAACTACAAACAATAAGATTTCAGGTATATTATTTAGGTAGCAGAATATAAAATTAATATACAGAAATCCATAGAATTTATCAAAACAACAACCAGTTAAATGACATAATGGAAACTAGGATGTTGTTTACTATAACAGCAAAAATATAAAATGCTAAAAATATACTTAATAAAAAGTTGATCTCATACAAGTAGAGATTAGAGTAGTGGTTACCAGAGGCTGCGAAGAGGAGGGGGAGAGGGAATGGAGAGGGTTGGTCAACAAGTAGAAAGTCATAGTTAAATAAGATGATTACTTTCTAATGTTTCATTGCACAGTATGGTAATTATAGTTAACAGTATATTGTGTATTTCATAATAGCTAAAGGGAGAATTTTATATGTTGTCACATTTCTGAGATGATGGATATGCTAATTATCCTCACTTTGGTTTCTCTTTTTTTTTTTTTTTTTGAGTCAGAGTCTCACTCTGTCACCTAGACTGGAGTGCAGTGGTGTGATCTTGGCTCACTGCAACCTCCACCTCCTGGGTTCAAGTGATTCTCATGCCTCAGCCTCCTGAGTAGCTGGGACTACAGGCACATGCCACCATGCCTGGAAATTATTATTATTATTATTATTATTTTTTTTTTGACACGGAGTCTTACTCAGTCGCCCAGGCTGGAGTGCAGTGGTGCAATCTCGGCTCACTGCAAGCTCCGCCTCCCGGGTTAACGTCATTCTCCAGCCTTAGCCTCCCAAGTAGGTGGGACTACAGGCGCCCGCCACCATGCTCAGCTAATTTTTTTTTTTTTTTTTTTTTTGTATTTTTAGTAGAGACGGGGTTTCACCGTGTTAGCCAGGCTGGTCTTGAAATCCTAACCTCAGGTGATCCACGCGCCTCAGCCTCCCAAAGTGCTGAGATTACAGGCGTGAGCCACCGCACCGGGCTCTAATTACCCTAATTTGATCATTACGCATTGTATACATGTATTGAAACATCACACTGTACCCACAAATATGTACAATTATTACGTGTCAATTACAAATAAGATAAAACTTTTTAAAAAAGGAAATGTAAAATCCTCCGTGAGAAAAAGATCATTAAAACCCTTCTGAAAAAAACACAAATATAGACGTGAACACATTTCTAGAGCCATTTCATGAAGAAGCAGACTCAGTATCACAAAGATGTCAGTTCTTTCTGTGTTAATTCACAGATCTAATGTGATTTTATTTAAATAATCAACAACTTTTTTCCTAGAGCTAATAAAATTGATTCTAAAGTGCATATGGAAAGATAGGGAAGTCAAAATAGAACAGGAAACCCCTGAAATATAGAAATGGTGGGTAGGGGGAAGATGGGAGGAAGAAGGACTACCTCTACCAGATATTACAACATTATCAAGCCTCAAAAATTAAAATAATATGGCATTGGCATATGAGTAGTCAGACCGTGAAACAAAATTGAATGCCCAGAAATAGAAAAAGTACACATAGAAACATAATAAAACATAAAGCAGCATTTTGAATCAAGATAAAATATGGTCAGTCAGTTCTGCTAAAGTGGCAAATAACCATTCTTACAAATTACGCCATTATGTAAACTCACACAATAAAAACCACAGGGCATATAGGGGTCAACATTCAAAAACTTTATCAGCGACTTTTTTTTTTTTTTTTGAGACAGGGTCTTGCTCTGTCACCTAGGCTAGAGTGCAGTGGCATGCTTACAGCTCACTGCAGCCTCAACCTGGGCTCAAGCAATCCTCCCACCTCAGCTTCCCAAGTAGCTGGGACTACAGGGATGCATCACCACGCCTGGCTAATTTTTGTTTTTTTTGTACAGAATTTACAAAAATTAAATTTTGTACAAAATTACAGAGTTTCACCAAGTTGCCCAGGCTGGGACACTTTTTTTTAAGATGGGAATTTAATAAAAAGCATAGCATAGTTTTATACATGTTAAATAGTTAAGAAATACATAGATACTATTTTTTAAATGGCACTTAATCTTAAAAAAGACCTGAAATTTGCTTGTGAAAGTGTATGTAGGAAAGATTGCAGCTTGTGAGTTACTAGGAAATGGTACAAGGAGGATTCTCACAGTTTGTGACGTTTCACAGCTTTAAATTCTTTTGATGCAGGGAAGGCAAGTCTTAAAGTTGGGGTTTAGCCCAGGAAGTTTCTTGGCTTCACCCAGGAAAGAATTCAAGTGTGAACCAGTGGTAGAAGAAAACAGCTTTATTGAGGCAGCAGCATTACAGCTCCATGACTGCTCCTGCAGGGCAGGGCTACCCCATAGGCAGTGTATAGACAGTAACAGCTCAGGGATACTTCTGCACTCTTATTTATACCTACTTTCAATTACATGTAAATTAATGAGATTATTCAGAAATTTCTAGAAAAGGGGTGGTAACTTCCAGGTTGCTGCCGTGGAAAAGGGCAGTAACTTTCAGGTGTTGCTATGGCAATGATAAACTGTCATGGGGCTGAAGGGTGTATCTTAAGGAGAGGTACTTTTGGTGCCTCTTCCTTTCTTCAGCCAGTCTTCAATCTGGTCTGGAGTCAAGTCCTACCTCCTACTTCACTGGGGCCTGTTTTTTTTGTTTTTTTTTTTTTGTGCCTTTGAGATGTAGATCCTTCAAGAGATACATTTTCAATAACAGCTGTTTCCTCAAAACTGAAGTTTGATACAATATATAGCCTAGCTCTTCAATTCACATGTGTTTCACTGCTGGAAATTCTTTTATAATTATTTAATTATTTATTTTAGAGAGAGAGAGTCTTGCTCTGTTGCCCAGGCTGGAGTGCAGTGCTGCAATCAGAGTTCATTGCACCCTCAAACTCCTGGGCTCAAGCCATCCTCCTGCCTCAGTCTCCCAAAGTGCTGGGATTACAGGCATGAGCCACCATACCTATCTGGAAATTCTTTCGTGGCTTTTTTGTGCACAAAAAAAACCTGACAGCTGAAGACTTTGAACACTACAGTGATGTTTAAAATTGCCAAACGAGCACCTCTAAATTAAAAAAAAAAAAAAAACAGTTATTCAGGATTTGTCAATATCTACTTAAGGTCTTTGCTTTGTATATAGATTACTCTTTCTCTTTGTTTTTTTGTTTTGAGATGGAGTCTCGCTCTGTCACTGAGCAGTGGCACGATCTGGGCTCACTGCAAGCTCCACCTTCCGGGTTCCCACTATTCTCCTGCCTCAGCCTCCCGAGTAGCTGGGACTACAGGCGCCCGCCACCTCGCCCAGCTAATTTTTTTGTATTTTTAGTAGAGATGGGGTTTCACCGTGTTAGCCAGGATGGTCTCCATCTCCTGACCTCGTGATCCGCTCACCTCGGCCTCCCAAAGTGCTGGGATTACAGGCGTGAGCCACCATGCCCGGCCTACTCTTTCTCTTTGATTATAAGAAAGGCTGTTCTCAACACAGTTTGGTCTTCAATCTATATTCCACAATTTTTCCATTTCTTCTATTTCTTGAGACCTCCTTTTCTTATTGACTTCACAGCACTTGAACTTGTTCCAGCCACGATGTTTCTTTTATTTTGTGGAGTTTCTGACTGTCTACAATGTGAACTTCCATATGCCTTTTACCTGAGAGAGATTGTTACGGAATACCAGGCATTTGGTCTAGGTCCAGTTGCTTGCCACACAGAAGGCCAATCACTGAGATGAGCATTGCCTGAGAAGACTTTAATCGGGAGCTGTGTCTGAGGAGATGGGTGATCAGTTTCAAATCTATCTTCCTGACCAACTAAAAGTAGGGGTTTATATAGCAGGGAAGAAATGTAAACATGTGTGGGGAAACAGTAATTAGGCAGGGGTAAGGAAGAAATGTTGCTCAACAGGAAGCAGGTAGTAGGTTAGGCAGTCATGATGGATAAAGGGTCTGGTGTCTTATTTTCCAGATGCAATGATCTAGTAAGTTTCAGTTCCTTGATACTATCTGGGACTCCTGAGAGTTCATTTCCTGAGAAAGGAGCTCAGATAAGACAATTATAACTTTCTCAAGTTCTAAGACTGGGAGGCTTAGTTTCTATGTTTAATCAAAGAAGCCCTAAATATCAGCTCTATGGAATAATTGGGCTGGTTTCAATATCACATATTTTCTCATTTCCCTCAAAACTTTTACTATGTCAAGACTTTACCCAATATTTAGTTTTTCTTTTTCATGCACTGCTTAGCATTTTTGAACCAGCCTGCTTAGGCATGTGTGGGAAGTTAAATGAATGTTGTTGTTGTTGTTTAACACAGAAAAGTTTACAAATGTGTAAAATAATAGCAAAACACAACCTTATCAGATAAGATTGCAGTGAACTGAGGTAGATGTCTGAGGACTGTGTGTGTGTAGGGGTGTGTCTGTGCATGTTGTACTCCTCCATAGGGTAGCCCAGTTAAGTTTTTTGTGTGAGTTTTATGTTTCTAACATAAAATTGTGCATAAGAAAATGCAAATTTAGTGTTATGATCAAACATATATGAATTGCATTGGAATATATGAATTGCATTGGAACAACTTGTGTTTTCTTTTTCTTTTCTTTTTTTTTTTTTTTGAGATGGAGTCTCACTCTGTTGCCCAGGCTGGAGTGCAGTGGTGCGATCTCGGCTCACTGCAACCTCCGCCCCCCAGGTTCAAGCGATTCTCCTGCCTCACCTCCTGAGTAGCTGGGATTACAGGCGTGCTGTAATTTTTGTACTTTTAGTAGAGACAGGGTTTCACCATCTTGGCCAGGCTGGTCTTGAACTCCTGACCTCATGATCCACCCACCTCGGCCTCCCAAAGTGCTGGGATTACAGGAGTGAGCCATCATGCCCGGCCAACAACTTGTGTTTTCAAAACAAGTATAATAGCGGAACTGACTACACTTTCTAAATGTGGAAAAAGATAAAATTGAGTCCAAAAAATAAACTCCAAATGGATCAAAGATCCAAAGGTAAAAAATGAAACTATACAAGTATGGGAAAAAGACAAGTACAAGACTAGAATTTCTATACATCCTGCAAGTGGAGAAAGTTTTCTAACCCCAAATACAAACTACAGAAACAATAAAAGATTTACAAATTTGACTATATCAAAAACTGTTTAAATCATGACCGATAAAAATAAAACAAAACAAAGTCAATGAAGAAAAATAACAAGTAGGAAAAAAAGCTTGCAGCTTTTCACTAGCAAAGGGCTTAACTACTTTTTAGGTAAAGACCTGAAAATCAAGAAATATGATAACAGCATCTATTGGTAAGGCTTTGAGGAAACAAACTGCTGATAGAAATGCAAAATGGGGCTGGGAGCGGGGGCTCACGTCTGTAATTCCAACCCTTTGGGAGGCCAAGGCAGGAGGATCACCTGAGGTCAGGAGATCGAGACCAGCCAGACCAACATGGAGAAACCCCATTTCTACTAAAAATACAAAAAAAATTAGCTGGGTGTGGTGGCGCATGCCTGTAATCCCAGATACCTTAGAGGCTGAGGCAGGGGAATCGCTTGAACCTGGGAGGCAGAGGTTGCAGTGAGCTGAGATCACGCCATTGCACTCCAGCCTGGGCAACAAGAGCAAAACTCCATCTCAAAAAAAAAAAAAAAAAGAAATGCAAAATGGTTCAACAGAGGATCATTTTGTAATACCTAAAAAAAATTATATAAAAATGATACACCAAAACTATTTCTAAAGCTTCATTCCAAAAATAAACTGCCAAAAATACTAAGAAAATTTACTTGACAATACCGTATGTAATATATGTACATTGTGTATTATATATAGTATACATTTTATTGTATTTTCTAGCCAATACAGGCTGCTAATTAAATAGCTGAGAAAAAATAAGCTACATAAATATTTAAACTAAACAATTCTCACCAAGAAAGAACTCACTAGTTTATTACTCTGCTTTGAAGTAGAGACTACAAATCCAAACTGCAAGCCTTATGTAAGTAATCACGTCAAGAACAGACTTTCCTGAAGAAGAAAATTCTACAAGCTTTTAAAGATGCAAAACATATAATTTTTTTTTTTGAGATGGAGTCTTGCTATGTCACCCAGGCTGGAGTGCAGTGGCACAATCTCAGCTCACTGCAACCTCCGTGTCCTGGATTCAAGTGATTCTCTTGCCTCAGCCTCCCGAGCAGCTGGGATTACAGGCATGCGCCACCACACCCAGCTATTTTTTGTATTTTTAGTAGAGACAGGATTTTGCCATGTTGGCCAGGCTGGTCTCGAATTCCTGATCTCAAAACATATAATTTTTAATTGACCATATAACATATCATTTCTAATTAACCATATAAATGTTAAAATTATTAATTTCTTAAATGATGTATTAGGTTATATTGGTGTCATTCATATATACGTATATAAATGACACATTCATACATTCCCAATGAGAAAGGGAGGGGTAGATTCAGAGAGACAGCAGAAAGAAGAGGAGATTTAGCATTTAAGAAGTGCCTTGCATGATGCAAGCTTTTGACAAGCATTTTAATAATAGCAGCACTGTGGTTATTCTGAATATATATATATATTCAGAGTATATATAAATATATAACATATACATATATATATACACACACACACAGAGAGAGAGAGAGAACAGATAGACATATCTCCACAAAGTAACTTTGTAAAACCTTGACTATCAAAAGAGAAACAGATGGCTTGCCTGCTTTTAATGCCCAATTAAACTTATATATACTAAAGAAATAAAATAATCCCCACTGCTTATTGTTAGTCTTTGTAGTTAACAAAAGGACATTCTCTGCTTTCGAAGCTCACTGAAGTTTTTAGTAAATCAGCTAATGATGTATTTGTATGCTATGTATAATATGTTTATGTAATACTCATTCTCATTATTGAAAAAGTGGCATAGTTGACTATTCTTTAATTATTTCAATGGAAACAACATTGACTTTGGAGTCATACAAACTTGGAATTAAAATTTGGCATGGCATTTTGATAGATGAGTCACTTTGTGCAAGTTATTTAACCTCTCTAAAATTCAGTCTACTCATCTACAAATTGTGAACAATCAGTGCTTGCTATTATTAAAACGCCTGTCAAAAGTTAGGACCATGGGAGGGACTGCCTGAGTGCTAAATCTCCTCTCCTGTCTGCACTCTGTCTGAGTGTGCCCTTCCCTTTCTTGCTGGCCTCTGTGATTAGAGCACAGACATTCAAGGCTCACCCTAAACCAAAGTGTTACATCAGCAAAACTGATCAAAGTGCTTTTGCTTTTTGATCACGCACCTTCCTCCCCATCTTATGTGTCCAATATTTTCTTTCCACTTCCCTAACAAAAGTCTCCTCTGCTAATTGGCAAGTGAAGCTGAATATATTATCCCTGCCAAGATAATATGCATTTTAATAAGACACAAAATCTATTCTACTAGTCATTAGAGCAATCTTAATCATCATATATCATATAATGATTCTGTACCACATAACGAGCTTGATTTGAACCAAGTTGAACAGGCTTAACAGCCTGCTCTTCCAGAAAAATTGAAAAATATTTTATATACCCTTCTTTTCCTTCCCCTCCAATAGGCAAGTTTATGGACTGGAAAATTTTCTGATCACTCCAGAAGTCATCTGCAAAGTAGGAAGAGAACTGAAGTAAAATACACCTTCCAAATATATACAACAATAACAAAAATGAAAAAAATCTATTAATATAATTATATGATTTTTCTTCTTTAATCTGCTATGGTAATGACTTATATGAATAGATTTCCTAGGGTTAAACTATCTTTCAACCTTGAAATGCAAAAAAGTACTTGTTTATGGTTTATTTCTCTTGTAATACATTGTTAAATTTAATTTGCTAATATTTTATTTAGATATGTATATCTATTCATGTATATTTTTGTTTGAACTATTCTTACTAGTATTCAGAATTAAGGTTGCCTTTAAAAAATTAATTGTGGCCATTTTGCATCCATTTTTGGTCTGAAATAGCAAGTAATAGAGGAATTATAAGTTATTTGAAAGTTAGGTTGACAGGCGGTTCCAAGATGGCCGAATAGGAACAGCTCCAGTCTACAGCTCCCAGTGTGAGCAATGCAGAGACAGGTGATTTCTGCATTTCCAACTGAGGTACCGGGTTCATCTCACTGGGGCTTGTCGGACAGTGCATGCAGGACAGTGGGTGCAGTGCACCGAGCATGAGCCAAAGCAGGGCAAGGCATCACCTTACCCGGGAAACGCAAGGGCTCAGGGAATTCCCTTTCATAGCCATGCAAAGCTGTGACAGATAGCACCTGGAAAATTGGGTCACTCCCACCCTAATACTGCGCTTTTCCAATGGTCTTAGCAAACGGCACACCAGGAGATTATATCCCGCGCATGGCTTGGAGGGTCCCATGCCCATGGAGCCTCGCTCAGTGCTAGCAAAGCAGTCTGAGATCAAACTTCAAGGCGGCAGCCAAGCTGGGGGAGGGGCGCCCGCCATTGCTGAGGCTTGAGTAGGTAAACAAAGCAGCCCGCTGGGAAGCTTGAACTAGGTGGAGCCCACCGCAGCTCAAGGAGGCCTGCCTGCCTCTGTAGGCTCCATCTCTGAGGGCAGGGCATAGCTGAACAAAAGGCAGCAGAAACCTCTGCAGACTTAAATGTCCCTGTCTGACAGCTTTGAAGAGAGTAGTGGTTCTCCCAGCACGGAGTTTGAGATCTGAGAACGGACAGACTGCCTCCTCAAGTGGGTCCCTGACCCCCAAGTAGCCTTTCTGGGAGGCACCCCCCAGTAGGGGCAGACTGACACCACACAGGGCTGGGTTTCCCTCTGAGATGAAACTTCCAGAGGAACAATCAGACAGCAACATTCGCTGTTCAGCAATATTCCCTGTTCTGCAGCCTCTGCTGCTGATACCCAGGCAAACAGCGTCTGGAGTGGACCTCCAGCAAACTCCAACAGACCTGCAGCTGAGGGTCCTGACTGTTAAAAGGAAAACTAACAAACAGAAAGGACATCCACACCAAAACCCCATCTGTACGTCACCAATATCAAAGACCAAAGGTAGATAAAACCACAAAGATGGGGAAAAAACAGAACAGAAAAACTGAAAATTCTAAAAATCGAGCACCTCTCCTCCTCCAAAGGAACGCAGCTCCTCACCAGCAACGAAACAAAGCTGGACGGAGAATGACTTTGATGAGTTGAGAGAAGAAGGTTTCAGACAATTAAACTTCTCCAAGCTGAAGGAAGTTCGAACCCATCGCAAACAAGTTAAAAACCTTGAAAAAAGATTAGACGAATGGCTAACTAGAACAACCAATGCAGAGAAGTCCTTAAAGGACCTGATGGAGCTGAAAACCATGGCACAAGAACTATGCGATGAATGCAAAAGCTTCGTAGCCGATTCGATCAACTGGAAAAAAGGGTATCACTGATTGAAGATCAAATGAATGAAATGAAGTGAGAAGAGAAGTTTAGAGAAAAAGGAATAAAAAGAAATGAACAAAGCCTCCAAGAAATATGGGACTATGTGAAAAGACCAAATCTAGGTCTGACTGGTGTACCTGAAAGTGACAGGGAGAATGGAACCAAGTTGGAAAACATTCTGCAGGATATTATCCAGGAGAACTTCCCCAACCTAGCAAGGCAGGCCAACATTCAAATTCAGGAAATACAGAGAATGCAACAAAGATACTCCTTGAGAAGAGCAACTCCAAGACACAAAATTGTCAGATTCACCAAAGTTGAAATGAAGGAAAAAACATTAAGGGGAGCCAGAGAGAAAGATCCGGTTACCCACAAAGGGAAGCCCATCAGACTAACAGCTGATCTCTCGGCAGAAACTCTACAAGCCAGAAAAGAGTGGGGGCCAATATACAACATTCTTAAAGAAAACAATTTTCAACCCAGAAGTTCATATCCAGCCAAACTAAGCTTCATAAGTGAAGGAGAAATAAAATACTTTACACACAAGCAAATGCCGAGAGATTTTGTCACCACTAGGCCTACCCTACAAGAGCTCCTGAAGGAAGCACTAAACATGGAAAGGAACAACCGGTATCAGCCACTGCAAAAACATGCCAAATTGTAAAGACCATCAAGGCTAGGAAGAAACTGCATCAACTAACGAGCAGAATAACCAGCTAACATCATAATGACAGGATCAAATTCACACATAACAATACTAACCTTAAATGTAAATGAGCTAAATGCTCCAATGAAAAGACACAGACTGGCAAATTGGATAAAGAGTCAAGACCCATCAGTCTGCTGTATTCAGGAAACCCATCTCACATGCAGAGACACACATGGATTCAAAATAAAGGGATGGAGGAAGATCTACCAAGCAAATGGAAAACAAAAAAAGGCAGGGGTTGCAATCCTAGTCTCTAACAAAACAGACTTTAAACCAACAAAGATCAAAAGGACAAAGAAGGCCATTACATAATGATAAAGGGATCAATTCAACAAGAAGAGCTAACTACCCTAAATATATATGCACCCAATACAGGAGCACCCAGATTCATAAAGCAAGTCCTTAGAGAACTACAAAGAGACGTAGACTCCCACACAAGAATAATGGGAGACTTTAACACCACACTGTCAACATTAGAGAGATCAGCGAGACAGAAAGTTAACAAGGATATCCAGGAATTGAACTCAGGTCTGCACCAAGCAGACTTAATAGACATCTACAAAACTGTCAAACCCAAATCAACAGAATATACATTCTTCTCAGGACCACACCGCACTTATTCCAAAATTGACCACATAGTTGGAAGTAAAGCACTCCTCAGCAAACGTAAAAGAACAGAAATTATAACAAACTGTCTCTCAGACCACAGTGCAATCAAACTAGAACTCAGGATTAAGAAACTCACTCAAAACCGCTCAACTACATGGAAACTGAACACCCTGTTCCTGAATGACTACTGGGTACATAACAAAATGAAGGCAGAAATAAAAATGTTCTTTGAAACCAACGAGAACAAAGACACAACATACCAGACTCTCTGGGACACATTTAAAGCAGTGTGTAGAGGGAAATTTATAGCGCTAAATGCCCACAAGAGAAAGCAGGAAAGATCCAAAATTGACACCCTAACATCACAATTAAAAGAACTAGAGAAGCAAGAGCAAACACATTCAAAAGTTAGCAGAAGGCAAGAAATAACTAAGATCAGAGCAGAACTGAAGGAGATAGAGACACAAAAAACCCTTCAAAAAATCAATGAATCCAGTAGCTGGTTTTTTGAAAAGATCAACAAAATTGATAGACCGCTAGCAAGACTAATAAAGAAGAAAAGAGCAAAAAATCAAATAGATGCAATAAAAAAATGATAAAGGGGATATCACCATCGATCCCACAGAAATACAAACTACCATCAGAGAATACTATAAACACCTCTATGCAAATAAACTAGAAAATTTAGAAGAAATGGATAAATTCCTTGACACATACACCCTCCCAAGACTAAATCAGGAAGAAGTAGAATCTCGTAATAGACCAATAACAGGCTCTGAAATTGAGGCAATAATTAACAGCTTACCAACCAAAAAAAGTCCAGGACCAGATGGATTCACAGCCGAATTCTACCAGAGGTATAAGGAGGAGCTGGTACCCTTCCTTCTGAAACTATTCCAATCAATAGAAAAAGAGGGAATCCTCCCTAACTCATTTTATGAGGCCAGCATCATCCTGATACCAAAGCCTGGCAGAGACACAACAAAAAAATAAAATTTTAGACCAATATCCTTGATGAACATCGATGCAAAATCCTCAATAAAATACTGGCAAATGGAATCCAGCACGACATCAAAAAGCTTATCCACGATGATCAAGTGGGCTTCATCCCTGGGATGCAAGGCTGGTTCAACATACGCAAATCAATAAACGTAATCCAGCATGTAAATAGAACCAGAGACAAAAACCACATGATTATCTCAATAGATGCAGAAAAGGCCTTTGACAAAAGTCAACAGCGCTTCATGCTAAAAACTCTCAATAAATTAGGTATTGATGGGATGTATCTCAAAATAATAAGAGCTATGTATGACAAACCCACAGCCAATATCATACTGAATGGGCAAAGACTGGAAGCATTCCCTTTGAAAACTGGCACAAGACAGGGATGCCCTCTCTCACCACTCCTATTCAACATAGTGTTGGAAGTTCTGGCCAGGGCAATCGGGCAAGAGAAAGAAATAAAGGGTATTCAATTAGGAAAAGAGGAAGTCAAATTGTCCCTGTCTGCAGATGACATGATTGTATATCTAGAAAAACCCATCATCTCAGCCCAAAATCTCTTTAAGCTGATAAGCAACTTCAGCAAAGTCTCAGATACAAAATCAATGTACAAAAATCACAAGCATTCTTATACACCAATAACAGACAAACAGAGAGCCAAATCATGAGTGAACTCCCATTCACAATTGCTTCAAAGAGAATAAAATACCTAGGAATCCAACTTACAAGGGATGTGAAGGACCTCTTCAAGGAGATCTACAAACCACTGCTCAACGAAATAAAAGAGGACACAAACAAATGGAAGAACATTCCATGCTCATGGGTAGGAAGACTCAATATTGTGAAAATGGCCATACAGCCCAAGGTAATTTATAGATTCAATGCCATCCCCATCAAGCTACCAATGACTTTCTTCACAGAATTGGAAAAAACTACTTTAAAGTTCATATGGGACCAAAAAAGAGCCCACATCACCAAGTCAATCCTAAGCCAAAAGAACAAAGCTGGACGCATCACACTACCTGACTTCAAACTATACTACAAGGCTACAGTAACCAAAACAGCACGGTACTGGTACCAAAACAGAGATATAGACCAATGGAACAGAACAAAGCCCTCAGAAATAATACCACACATCTACAACCGTCTGATCTTTGACAAACCTGACAAAAACAAGAAATAGGGAAAGTATTCTCTAGTTAACAAATGGTGCTGGGAAAACTGGCTAGCCATATGTAGAAAGCTGAAACTGGATCCCTTCCTTGCACCTTATACAAAAATTAATTAAAGATGGATTAAAGACTTACATGTTAGACCTAAAACCATAAAAACCCTAGAAGAAAACCTAGGCAATACCATTCAGGACATAGGCATGGGCAAGGACTTCATGTCTAAAACACCAAAAGCAATGGCAACAAAAGCCATAATTGACAAATGGGATCTAATTAAACTAAAGAGCTTCTGCACAGCAAAAGAAACTACCATCAGAGTAGACAGGCAACCTACAGAATGGGAGAAAATTTTTACAAACTACTCATGTGACAAAGGGCTAATATCCAGAATCTACAAAGAACTCAAACAAATTACAAGAAAAAAAAAACCCCATCAAAAAGTGGGCGAAGGATATGAACAGACACTTCTCAAAAGAAGACATTTATGTAACCAACAGACACGAAAAAATGCTCATCATCACTGGCAATCAGATAAATGCAAATCAAAACCACAATGAGATATCATCTCACACCAGTTAGAATGGCGATCATTAAAAAGTCAGGAAACAACAGGTGCTGGAGAGGATGTGGAGATATAGGAACACTTTTACACTGTTGGTAGGACTGTAAACTAGTTCAACCATTGTGGAAGACAGTGTGGCGATTCCTCGGGGATCTAGAACTAGACATACAATGTGACCCAGCAATCCCATTACTAGGTATGTACCCAAAGGAATATAAATCATGCTGCTATAAAGACACACACACACGTTTATTGCGGCACTACTCACAATAGCAAAGACTTGGAACCAACTCAAATGTCCAACAATGATAGACTAGATTAAGAAAATGTGGCACATATACACCACGGAATACTATGCAGCCATAAAAATGATGAGTTCATGTCCTTTGTAGGGACATGGATGAAGCTGGAAACCATCATTCTCAGCAAACTATTGCAAGGATAAAAAACCAAACACCCCATGTTGTCACTCATAGGTGGGAACTGAAAAATGAGAACACTTGGACACAGGAAAGGGAACATCACACACTGGGGCCTGTTGTGGGGTGGGGGGAGTGGGTAGGGATAGCATTAGGAGATATACCTAATGTAAATTATGAGTTAATGGGTGCAGCACACCAACATGGCACATGTATACATATGTAACAAACCTGGATGTTGTGCACATATACCCTAGAACTTAAAGTATAATAAAAATATATATATATATAAAATATATATATGTAATATATATAAAAGAAAGTTAGGTTGAATTCAGATATAAAACAATCTGGACTTGAAAACTTTTTATGGTTATCTTTAAGAACCTTTCCTAGTTCTTACACAGTAGTCAGTGTAAACATATCTGCCTCCTCTTGGGTCATTTCAGATAATTTATATGTTTCACTAGGTATCTGTGATTATGTTTTACTTAATCAGTGGTTACATAATTTATTGACTTTAAAAATAAATCTAGTTTCCATTTTTATTGTCCCAATTATTTGGCACCTATAGTCCTAGCTACTTGGGAGGCTTAGGTGGCATGATGGCTTGAGCCCACGAGTTTGAGGTTGCAGTGAGCTATGATCATGCAACTGCACTCCAGCCTGGGTGACAGAGAGAGACCCTGTCTCCAAAAAAATAAAAATAGATAAGCAACTAGGAACTCAACAATTAAAATAATTCCCTAGAATCCTATGAATCTTTGTTTCAAATTTCAAATATATATAAAATCAGTAAAGAGTATAGTGAACTCCCATTTATCTATATTACCCAACTTCAACAAGTATCAATTTTGGTCACTTATATTCATTTAACTTCTACCCAATTCTCCCCATCCCATATTATTTTGAAGCCAATCACAAATATCATATCATTTTATCATAAATATTTGTATTCCTTATTTAATAAGGAATCTCTTTCAACATAACCACAATACTGTATTATTTGTATTTTCCTAGCAGCTAATAATGTGCAGCAGCCTTTTATGTGCTTGCAGGTCATTTGCATAACTTCTTTGCATAAATGTCTTTGGCCATTTTTAACAATTGGGTTACTTGGTTGATGTTGAATTATAAGGGTTTTTAAATATATTCTGGACACTAGACCCTTATCAGACATATGTTTTTCAAGTATTTTTTTCTTTTCGGTGTGTTGTCTGGTCACTTTCTTGATAGTGTTCTTTTTTTTTTTTTTTTTTCTTTTTGAGATGGAAACACTCCACACTGTTGCCCAGGTTGGAGTGCAATGGCGCAAACTCGGCTCACTGCAGCCTCCACCTCCCAGATTCAAATGATTCTCCTGTCTCAGCCTCCGGAGCAGCTGGGATTACAGGCACCCACCACCACACCCAACTAATTTTTGTATTTTTAGTAGAGACAGCATTTTGCCATGTTGGCCAGGCTGGTCTCAAACTCCTGACCTCAAGTGATCCGCCCGCCTTAGGCTCCCAAAGTTCTGGGATTACAGGCATGAGCCACTGCACCTGGCCTCTTGACAGTGTTTTTATAAAAACAAAGCTGTTTAATTCTGATGAAGCCTGTTTTATTTATTTCTTCTTTGGTTGTTTCTATCTTTGGTATTATATCTAAATATCTAAGAGACCATTGCCTAATCCAAAATCATGAAGATTTGCACCTATATTTTCTTCTTAGATAGATATATTTATGTCGTTGATTCATTCTGACTTAATTTTTGTATGTGGTGTGAATAGAGACCCAAATTCATTCTTTACCATGTGGATATCCAGGTGTCCTAGCACCATTTGTTGAAAACACTTCTTTCCCACTAAATTGTTTTGGCTTCTTTGTTGAAAATCAATTGACCACAAATGTATGGGTTTGTTTCTGGGCTCTTAGTTCTATTGAGATATATTGATACATATGTCTGTTTTGCCAGTACTGCAGAGTCTTGATGATGCAATGGGCTCAGATGGATTCTGTGCATGCAGTGAGTTTGCGCTGCACTTGAGAAACACTGAGCATCGGGAATCCACTCCATCTACAGAAGCGGTAACGAAGCCTACTCTCATCTGAGAAATGATCCATGTAAAAGGGCAGTCAGGTTTGAAACACCCAGAAGACATGTAGGAATACAAGAGATCCATGAAGAGATCTCTTCTGACAGGGGGAAGGGTCTTTACTTAGAGTTGGAAAGAACACATCTGTGTTAGAACAAATGTTTACAGAAAAAGGCACATATCCTTGACTAATACAGCATGTTCATATGCTAAAAACCCAGAAAGAAGAAAAATTCAAGAGAAGAAGAGCAACTGATGGAAGCAGACTCCTGAGAAAATGGATTATGGAACCCAGAGCTCCAGTGGAAGAATTGAAAGACTGTTGATATTACATAGAGGAAAAAAAAAGGTGGGGGGGGGGCAACAGTTGTTTGTTTGTTTTTTTTTTAAAAAGACAAGAAATAGAGAAGAAATTATAAAAGTGATTGTTTATGATGATGGGATTATTGATGCTATTTCTACTTAATATACTATCCCATTTTTTGGGAAGTAACATATTATTTTATAATCTAAAAAATGGTTACCATTGTAAAATTTTTTTAATTCAGAAAAGCATTTAGATTACAAAATTAAAGAATTTAGAAACTATAATTAATGAGTATTCCTATTGTTTTCTTTGAAAGGCATATTTTAAATTTTTATTCCTCGCATTATTTAAAAGCCAAGCATGGCTAGCCTGACATGTAAGGGGCTTGGAAGTCACCACTGCATCCTAACAACAAGTAAAAGGCTGAGAAAACTGAAAAATCAACAACACTTCTTAAATTCATAAGAGAAGAGAGGTCAGAGGGCAAACCACTGCCCCCAAAATTGAGTCACAATGTACCAAACCAGAAAACATCAAGCAGAAACTTTCATGGGAACCAGCATGGAAGTAGGAAAACTTAAACTATAATTGCAAATTGCAGGAGGTTCAGTGTGGACATGTCTGAGAGTTTAAAACTCATTAAAATTTAAAATTTCTGCTCTGCAAAAGAGAATGAAAAGATAAGCCATCCTGGCTAACACGGTGAAACTCCGTCTCTACTAAAACTACAAAAAAATTAGCTGGGCGCGGTGGCTGGCGCCTGTAGTCCCAGCTACTTGGGAGGCTGAGGCAGGAGAATGGCGTGAACCCGGGAGGCGGAGCTTGCAGTGAGCCGAGATCGCGCCACTGCACTCCAGCCTGGGCGACAGAACAAGGCCCTCTCTCAAAAAAAAAAAAAAAAAAAGAAAAAGAAAAAGAAAAAGAAAAAAAAAGAAAAGATAAGCCACAACTGGGAGGAAATACTTGCAAACAATATATCTCATAGCGGACTGTTACCAAAATATACAATTAAGAAATTGGCCAAAGACCTTAACAGACACCTCAGCAAAGAAAATACACAGATGGCAAGTAAGCATATGAAAAGCTGTTCCATGTCATATGTCAATAAGGAAATCCAAATTAAAGCAAGATACTACTACATACCTATCAGAATGGCCAAAATCCAGAACACTGACAACACCAAATGCTAGCAAGTATGTGGAACAACAGGAACTCTCATTCATTGCTGGTGAGAAGGCAAAATGACACAGCCACTTTGGAAGACAGTTTGGCAGTTTCTTACAAAACTAGACATACTCTTGTCATAAGATCCAGCAATTGCACTCCTTGGTATTTACTCAAAGGAGTTGAAAACTTATGTCCGCACAAAAACCTACACACGGATATTTACAGCAACTTTATTCATAATTGCCAAAATGTGGATGCAACCAAAATGTCCTTTAGTAGATGAATGAGGAAATAAACTATAGTACATCCAGACAACGGGATATTATTTACTGCTTAAAGGAAATGAATTATCAAGCCATGAAAAGACATTGAAGAAACTTAAATGTACATTACTAAGGGAGAGAAGGCATTCCGTAAAGATAACATACTGTATGATTCCAACTACATGACGTTCTGAAAAGGCAAAACTATGGAGATAGTAGAAAGGACAGTGGTTCCCAGGAATTAGGAGGAAGGAGAGATTAGTAGGGAGGAATGAGTAGGCAGAGTGCGGAGGATGTTTAGGACAGTGAGACTACTCTGTATGACACTATAATGGTGGACATATGTCATTATACATTTGTTCAAATCTATAGAATGTACAACACCAACAGTGTACCCTAATGGGCTTTGGGTAGTAATGATATGTCAATGCAGGTTCATTAATTGTAACAAATCTACCACTCTGGGAGGGGATGTTGACAATGGGGGAGGATGTGCATGTGTGGGGACAGGGGGAATATGTGAAACCTCTGTACCTTCCACTCCAGTTTGCTATAAACCTAAGACTGCTTTAAAATAAAGTCTATTTTCAAAAATTTCCTATGAAATGTATGAAGCATGAAGCAATATAATTTGTTATAGATCATTAGGTCATAAAGTCTAATGTTTTAAGTTGAAATCATATAACTATATAACAATAAAAAGACTCATAAGTATTTCTCAGGACAAAATTTGTCTTAGATTCTAAGCATTGATTTTTATCTCTCAGTTTTTTCTATCTTGAGCTTGAGCTGATCACTATATCAATTCTAAATGTTACATATAAGCTTATCATTTGAGAAATGTCAAAAGGCCAAATTGCACCAAATCTCACCCCCTCTGATATACCAAGATGGCTGAAATTCCCACCATGAGAGTCATTACCATCTTTTAAGTGATTATGTCTGCAGAAAGCCTGTACTAAAATACAAATGTACTTGGGGGAGGTGGGGCTCATGAAGGCAGGAGCACTCAACGGCACAATGGAAGGAACATGGACCTTGGGGTCTCACACACCAAAGTTTGCATGTCGACTCAGCCACTTGCCACTTAACTGTGTGACCTTACGAAATTGCTTAACATATCTAAATCTCAGCTTCTTTACCTACAAATATGATTCTAATTCTCACAGTATTATTTCAAAGACTATTTGTGATAATTTGGAGGAGTGAGGGATCTGAATCCTAGATCTCTTCCTCAGTTTCCATGAGGACACTGCTTCCCTGTCCCAGTCCTTCCCCAGGGGAGGAGAAGTGCCTGACCTGATTGGATTTACAGAGAGGCCCCTCTCCATAGAACTATGTTGACCAGAAGGCAAAACACCACGCTGCCAGGTGGACAGGTGATAGTCTCTCTTTCATTCTCTCAGGCCTGCCTGCTTACACAGTGAGTACCTGTGTTTTTAATTTTTATGTGAGAAGCAGACCAAGAGAGGCCTACTTTGTCAACCCCAGCTTCTCTGCTATAGGCAGATCAGTGACACTTGGATTCCAAAGTCTAGGCTTGGAGGGAATTAGGACGCATTTCACATAGCTCAACCCAGTTTTAGCAGTATGGCTAAGACACTGGGCGCTGTATGACTCCATTCTCTGCAGCTATACTCTGTTGATGAGAAAACCCTGTTGGGGAAAATAGATGAGTGCTACAATTCAGGCAACAAATCCCACTATGTCATTCCAATAATAATAAATTTGAAATAACAATCACTGCACCTGGAGCCAAATAGGCACTCAATAAATGTTAGTTCCTCTCTCTCTTCTTGAGAAATTCATCAAGTTGAAAATATGTTCAATTTTCTGTTAAACTCCTCTCAGGCATCAGAAGAGCAGCATTGAAGGTTAGCATTTTCTCCTAGCTGTGCTGCTGCTAAGATAACAAATATAAGTAACAGAATACCAGCTCCACAGTTCTGACATGCCCTGTTGCCATTCCTAAAATATGGCTCCTCAGTCCAGGCTTCAACACCAGATTTTAAAGAGCTGATTAGGATTTTATTAGGAGAAAGTGGTTCTTTATCATCTACTAAAAAAAATCCTGCAGGAATCTATCTTAGGCTCTTGGACCCTGAAATTCAGCTCTTGGGAGTGTATCTTAAGGTAAGAAATCTGAAATAGCAAAGGCTGATATTATATCAGCAGAATGATATTTACATCAGCACTATTTGTATGAGCAAAGGAAAACATGGAAACAACTTTAAAAACTAAAAATAACTAAAGAGTGGTTAAATAAATTATGCTAACTCCATCAGTAAAATATTATATACTATAGCATTATTAAACATGCTTATAAAGATTATGTTATAACATGGAAAATATTTGTTATGATTTTGAATAGAATGAGCAGAATAAAAAATAATTTTTCATTATTTTACAGATTTGTAAAAACTGAATGATGACATAAAAGTGCTCATAGTAATTATATTAGCGTGGCAAATAAAAACACTCTTTTTTCCTTTTTCTACTCTTCTTTTTTATTGCCTATTCTTATGGAAAAAATATTTCTTTTTAAAGCCCAGAGACATTTGCATGTAGTGAGCACAAAACATAGTCTATCACCAAGGCAAAGGGATAAAACTGCCTGGCTATGACTTCATTCCCCCCTTGAAGGCTGTTCTTAATGTTCTTTTCAAGCTGATTTCATCTCTAAATGCACTCGTGTGGGAGAACATAAGAACACAGTGCATTTGGCCCTGAGACCTCTAGCTCCCAAGGAATGGCTACAGACACTTGGCAATATTTGTCAACTAACATGAGGATCAGGCAGTAACACTGTTATTCTTAAGCATTAAAGACTTCACGTCTATCCCTGAGGTAGCCCTTTATCAGTAAAAATAAATGCTGTATTGATCCCTGTTGAACTCAGATCTCTTTTTATCATAACCCAAGGTAAAAAGGGATAGGTGGTAATATTCTCACTCCATGAAGGAAACCAGGGTAGGAATTGTTTTCATCAAAGTAACTAATGCTTCTAGGCAAAGCACCGCACTAATAAACTGACTATTCATACCTTCAGAAAGCAAGTCATTCTATTGCTTTTCCCAGTAAAGAAATGGATACAACCAGCTGATTGTTTGAGGTTCACTAAGTGTCACATTTTGGTAAATACACCAAATTTCAGAACCAAATTTTTCTTACTTTTTGGTTTCGGAAAATTGATTTTATCAGCTCACTGAAGAATAAAGCACTGGTGATTTTGATACCAATAACATATTTTACAATAAACTTTAGCATGCATAAACAGTAATGGTTTATTTTATAAGAATGAAGATGTATTTTTTCTTCTGTAAGATATTTGTTATTGGATTTGAGTTAATACCTCTTCAAAAAAAATAGACTATAGGAGGCTAGTTAGAGTATGTAGAATTTTAGATGACAGTTACAGGTTCTTAAGAAATATTTCCACCATGCTAAAATAGCATGATAAGATGCCATTCTGAGCTGTAAAAATATTTCTGTATAAAGAACAAGTTTGTTTATTTGTTTTTCTTTGATGTTACCATTTGTTGAATGCTTACTGTGTACCAGGCTTTTTAAAAACATGTTTTCTTAAAATAATTCTCAAAACAATTTTGGGAGATAAACAGAATTACTATGACTGTTTTACAAAGAAGAAGACAAGAGGTCAACCAATTTGTCCAGAGTTAAATTGGCATAGCTAGGATTCCAACCAGGCCTGCCTCTTTTTCCTGTAATCACTGCTCTTGACCATGAGGCTCAGCTGGCTACTGGTGCTACTGTCATCTAACCTGTTTCTCTTCTCTTGGAAAAAAATGGACAAGACCTTATTCTCCAGCTTTTCTTTCTCTATGAAAATGATTCTAATGAGGAAAACCACTTTCTCATTGCCTCTGTCATTGTACCACTTTTCTTGACATTAATACAAGTGCTTTCATAGTAGGTCACATTTCCCAAGAATAAAAACCAGTGATTTACTCTCATGTTGGCTGAATTGTAAGAACATCTTACTCTAGTGGCTTAACTGTTTCCAAAATACAACACACAGCAAATTTGTTCTAAAATTTCCCATTTAAAAAAATATGTAGGCCGGGCGCGGTGGCTCACGCCTATAAACCCAACACTTTGGGAGGCTGAGGTGGGTGGATCACCTGAGGTCAGGAGTGAGTTCGAGACTAGCCTGGCCAATATGGCAAAACCCATCTCTACTAAAAATACAAAAGAAATTAGCTGGGTGATGGTGGGGCGCAGTGGTTCACGCATGTAATCCCAGCACTTTGGGAGGCTGAGGCGGGTGGCTCACAAGGTCAGGAGATCGAGACCATCCTGGCCAACACGGTGAAACCCCATCTCTACTAAAAATACAAAAATTAGCCAGGTGTGGTGGCAGGCACCTGTAATCCCAGCTACTTGGGAGGCTGAGGCAGGAGAATCGCTTTAATGCGGGAGGCAGAGGTTGCAGTGAGCTGAGATTGTGCCTCTGCACTCCAGCCTGGGCGACAGAGCAAGACTCCATCTCAAAAAAAAAAAAAAAAAAACAGAAAGAAAAGAAAAAGAAAAAGAAATTAGCTGGGCGTATTGGCAGGCACCTGTAATCCCAACTACTTGGGAGGCTGAGGAGAGAAAATTGCTTGAATCTGGAAGGCAGAGGTTGCAAGGAGCTGAGACCACACCACTGCACTCCAGCCTGAGTGACAGAGGGAGATTATATCACACACACACGCAAAAAAAGTAATTCATTAAATGCATGTCCTAATTAGTTTTCATTTAAAAAAAATCTTTCCTGAATGAACATGAATATTCTGTTTACTTCCTGACTTTCTGTTTTTTGTTTTTGTTGTTGTTGTTTTGAGATGGAGTCTTGCTCTGTTGCCCAGGCTGGAGTGCAGTGGCGCGATCTCAGCTCACTGCAAGCTATGCCTCCCAGGTTCACGCCATTCTCCTGCCTCAGCCTCCCAAGTAGCTGAGACTACAGTCGCCTGCCACCACGCCCGGCTAATTTTTTTGTATTTTTAGTAAAGACGGGGTTTCACCGTGTTAGCCAGGATGGTCTCGATCTCCTGACCTCGTGATCCGCCCGCCTTGGCCTCCCAAAGTGCTGGGATTACAGGTGTGAGCCACCGCGCCCGGCTGACCTTCTGTTTTAGTAATATTTTCTTTTATCCTAAACGTTAAGGTTTGCTTAACTTTTTTTTTTTTTTGAAGTTTTGCTGTGTTGCCCAGGCTGGAGTGCAGTGGTGCCATCTCAGCTCAATGCAACTTGCACCTCCCGGGTTCAAGTGATTCTCCTGCCTTAGCCTCCCAAGTAGCTGGGATTACAGACGCGCACCACCACACCAGTCTAATTTTTGTATTTTATAGTAGAGACGGGGTTTCGCCATGTTGGTCAGGCTGGTCTTGAACTCCCAGCCTCAAGTGATCCACCCGCCTCGGCCTCCCAAAGTTACAGGTGTGGGCCACTGTGTCCGGGCTGGCTTGCTTAACTTTTAAACCTGTGTCCAAATGACTAAAGTACCAGATTTGTCCCAAACCACCGATTCACTATCACCCTCTTGTGATTCTAGGTAGCCTTCAAAGACATGAGAGAGGAGCTGTAGTCTCTAGGATCTACTATAAAAGCACAGAGCTTTTATTCCAGCAAAACTAACTGACTGAGACAATGCTAACAAGATCAATTTTAATCATTGTTTAGATAATGCCTGCCTTTAATGTTAACACTCATTTAAAGAATACAAATAAATAAACAAAATTTAAGGAAGACTCAGCTAAATTTGGGGCTCTAGATTCTAGGTTTCTCTTAAAGAAACCAATTTACAGAATTTAATTTGCAGAATTAAGATTAAAATTGTGAGAAAAACTTTAGCATGCATAAACAGTAATAATTTATGCATATTACTTATTTATTGATTGATTGATTTTTGAGTGGAGTCTCACTCTGTCGCCCAGGCTGAAGTGCAGCGGCAGGCTCTTGACTCACTGCAACCTCCGCCTCCTGGGTTCAAGCAATTCTCTTGCCTCAGCCTCCCAAGTAGCTGGGATTGCAGGCATGTACCACCACACCTGGCTAATTTTTTATATTTTTGGTAGAGACAGGGTTTCACCATGTTGCCAGCTGGTCTCGAACTCCTGACCTAAAGTGATCCACCCACCTCGGCCTCCCAAAGTGCTGGGATTACAGGTGTGAGCCACCTCACCTGGCCTATTCATATGGCTATTTATTGGCTACAAAATATGCAAAGCAGCGTGCTGCTTTTGGTGAAGGACCCAAAGATGAATAGATTCTCTACCCTTAGGAGTGGGCATTCTAGTGAGGGAGAGGAGAAATGCACACAGAAGCTGGTATGTGATGCACTTCATAAAATATGCACAATGAATTAATATAAGGGGTTGGAGAAAGACACATTGTCTTATTTTTCATAATTATAAAAGTTATAAAAAAGGTATTTTGCATAGAAAACATAAAGAATATTGAATCAGAGCAATACTTTTAAAAGCTATTTTCTAATTATTTAGAACTCTGATAAATTTACCACATATCATCTTCATAATTTTTGCTCTGAGTCAATCTAAACTCTTTATTAGAAAAGTGGCTAGTGTTGCTCCTCCTCTCACATTGGTATGATTGGGTTAAATTCAAGTCTTTTTTGTTAGAAGTGAAATGAATAAATAGGTGACAGTTAAAATATATCAGTTTGGATTTGTGCAAATTATCACTGTCTTTCTTGTGATCTTTCAGATAGGAAAATCACACAAAGTACTTTCTGAAAGAATAACCATTACTTTTAAAGACTTCAAGTTATAATGGCACATACAGATGAAAGTTAATGATATGAACCTGTTCATGTACTTAAGCTGATTGTTAAAATGGAACGCAACCAACGAAATTGGTCTAGATAACTTAATGAAAGCATGATAAAATTTCTTTCAGGAGCGGGTATGGGTAAGTAGTCAAGTTATATATTTAATGTTACATAAAAATCCTACTTGTGATTTGATCTTTATTTCTAATAACTCTTCAATCTCTAGTGGCAATTTATTTTGAAGTTCCTGTTAGATTAATTTCAATTTACATTCCAGAAGAAACAGGCCTATCTTTACTCATTAATTTTCGCAGCTGTTGACAGGTCAGTGACTCTCCATGCTAAAAGAGTTCTGATTCTAATGTAGAGTATACAGTTATGAGTGTAGGCAATGGTTAGAAATTCCAATTCTGATCAGGTTGCTGAATGGCATAAGGGAAAGGGAGAAGAATCCTAAAAGAGCTAAGCAGGACCCAGCTCCCGGGTTGGGTAAAATTTATGCCTCCACTCTACAAAAATGGAGAATGTTAAACATGTTTTATAGTCCTGACCCTCCCAAGGCAAAAATCTAAAGAAGAAAAAATGTCATAAATGGAATTGAAAGGCACCTTCTCCTCACATAGCCTGGGATCTAATCAGTCCAGGCTGGGAATCCCAACTCTGCCAATTAGCTGTGTCATCCTGAACAAATCATTTCACTTTTCTGAACCTAGGTCTCCTCATCCATGAAATGGATTCTTCTTCTTCAATTTCAGAGAAGCCACAAGGATTAAAAATAAAATACATAAAGTACCTAATAGAAAGTAAGGCATATTCCAGGCCATCCATAAATAAGGTTCCAGCTCTGGTCAATTCTTGTGGCCATGGTTACAGGAATGTGAAATTATAGGATAAATATTTATAAAAACTCAGTTCTGGCCGGGCGTGATGGCTCACACCTGTAATCCCAGCACTTTGGGAGGCTGAGGCGGGAGGATTACCTTAGGTTAGGAGTTCGAGACAAGCCTGGCCAACATGGTGAAACCCTGTCTCTACTAAAAATTACAAAAAAAAAAAAAATTATCTGGGCGTGGTGGCAGGCACCTGTAGTCCCAGCTACTCAGGAGGCTGAGGCAGGAGAATTGCTCGAATCCGGGGGGCAGAGGTTGCAGACAGCCGAGATCACGCCACTGCACTCCAGTCTCAGCAAGAGAGAGACACTCCGTCTGGAAAAAAAAAAAAAACAAAAAAAAAAAACTCAAGTTTTTTAAAGCTCCCTGTTCCTACTCATAGCTCCTCACTCATACCTCTCCAGTAGTTTTGCCTCTCAAGTCACGAAGTTGCTGCAGCTATTCAGGGCTCTGTGAAATTCAGAATTCAAGGTAATTGATCTGGCAGTGAATCTGTGGCTAGGGGGAAAAGGCATAATAAGATCCATGAACTAAAAATAGAGTTAAGGTTGTTAAAATGTATTAGGAAGTTAGGCAAAAATCTAAATATACGATTCTTGGGAGAGGAAGGTCAAAGTAAGAATTTTCTTTGTAATCTTTGTTTATATGTGCTGTGTCTACAAATATTTACCATATTAGAAATTAAAACATAAATTTAAAATGTTTATTACTTTATTTAAAAATAATCCATTACATATTAACATGTATATTTGTGAAAAATTTTCCCCAAAATTAATGAGTAAGATGGCAGCATTTTACCTTTCTGCAAATCTCTTAATGTTTGGCTTTATAAAGGTCAACTAGATTTTCATATCTGTGGTGTCTACATTCAATCTACTGTGGTATCACACAACATCACATAGTCTGTGGAAAACTTCATTGTATATTTAAGAATGAAAGTGGATAAAAGAATTATCATGAAAGTAGTTTTAACCTCACAAAGCCCTGGAAAGAATTCGGGGGTCCCCAACAGTCCCTAGATCGTACTCTATGGACTCCTGGATTAGATATATACACGTTTGTCCTAGTGATTGACTAAAGTATTTAAAAACAGTATTTTTTTTGATTCTTAGATAGATCCTGGAGAATGTGGCAAACCACAACCTATAGTTCTCTTACTTCTGCAACTGTCAAATTGATAAAGTAGAAACAAAATCAAACAAAAGGTTTAACTTTAAAAATGTACCATGTGAAAACCTCCAGGTGTCCTGAAGGGCCAAATCTCATGTATGATAATTTTTTAAACAAAAATTCTATATGATGTGGAGTTTTTCTCCCTTTTCTTTCCCAGTATAAATATGGCAGCTCACGTAGCCTAATTAATAGTGGGTGACATCTTCTGCTGGCTCAGTGGCATTTTTACAAAGTGAACAAAAACAATTATTGAGGGCACATAAGGAGACAAGCATAGTGACAATATGTTTGCTGCCATCGACTTGGTGGCAGTCTACCCTTTAGCTTATTTAACTAATTAATATGCTAATTAAGAAAACCAAAGCCATTGATGAAAACATTTTTACAAAGAGTAGATTAGGTCTTTGGGCTATAAATTAATCTTCATGAGGGCTAAGTCTTTTTTTTTTTTGTTTTGGGGGACGGAATCTCGCTCTGTCACCAAGGCTGGAGTGGAGTGCAGTTGTGTGATCTTCCCAGCTCACTGCAACTGACGCCTCCTAGGTTCAAGCGATTCTTCTGCCTCAGCTTCCCAACTAGCTGGGGTTACAGGCATGCGCCACCAAGCCCAGCTAATTTTTGTATTTTTCATAGAGACCAGGTTTTGCCAGGTTGACAAGGCTGGTCTTGAACTCCTGACCTCAAATGATCCACCTGCCTTGGCCTCCCAAAGTGTTGGGACTACAGGCATGAGCCACTGCACCCAGCTGAGGGCTAAGTCTTTAAAAACAAAAAAGTTCATGACAGTAGAGTTAAACAGTTATATTTAGTTGCAGAATATTACTGATTTCATTATTATGCAATGATAATTTCTTACAAATGGAATAACTGCCTTAAATGATTTACTGCTAGTGACAGGAGACATACAAGATTTTGTGGTCAGTTATGCAACGGAATTGTTAAACCTAAATCTGACTATTAGAGAAATTAAAACCTTTAAATGGAGAATAGAATAGAAGCCTATAGTCAAATGTGAGATGTTGACTATCAGGTATAACAAATCCAAAAGCCATCAGCAGGTCAGGCATTTGTACCTAGATCTAGACACAGGGAAACAGTGGTTCAGTGTCTTTAAGCCTCAAAGAGCCTCTTAGCGGCTACTCCCTTCTCTGAAATTCTATTCCCTCCTTTAGGGACAGAGAATGCTTGTCCTAATTATTTAGCATCTCCATTCAACATTGAGTAGGATTCTCAGCATATTAGCCTGAAGTTGAAATTTGAAATTTTTATTTCATCTTACTTTTGATTATGTTAATTTGGGCAAAGACACATTCAGTTCTGTTTGATGTTTTACAATGTTGAGGAGGAAAATGCCCCTGGAAAGAGCATTTAGTAAATAAATTCCTTTAGGTCTAAAACATGCTAACCAAGAAGGAGTGAATCATATAACTTGAAACTGGTTGAAATGAGTAATATATTTCAAGGTGACCAAAGTAAACTTTTCTGATTTAAAAAGACAATCACAGAAACAAGTTGTTTTGTATTGTTTTGTTGTTAACACCCAACCCATGTTCTTTCTTTGTTTTCATATTCTGGCTACCAAATCTGAAAAGGCACATGGCTTCCAAAGCAAGCAGAAGTTGCAAAAAACAAATCATGGTTCCACAGTGTCTGGTTAGTCAAAGAGACCAATTACATGCTAGAAATGTGCGAAAGCCTGGGCATTCTGATTTCACACTGGTAGTAACAACGGAGTATGAAAGAGTAAGCAGTAACTTAAATATGTTCCAGGGTTTATAGCAGCAGAGGTAACAGAAAATTCTGTTTTCTCTTTAAAGTAGAATGAAGAAACCCAAAAGTAAAACTGGCAGTGAAAACAATGGCTGATGCATAGCAGTAATGGTCAGGCACTGTTCTGAAAGCACTTCACTTCTACAATAATCCACTGTTCATTGTGCCCCACAGGATTCTTTGAGGGAGATACTAGTTTATTCCCCCTATTATATTTAAATAACCCATGGCCAAAGAAGAATTACAAGGGAAATTAGAAAATATTGTGAACTGAATCAGAATAAAAACACAAGCATCAGGAATTATGGGATGCCACTAAGACAGTACTTAGAAATTTAGAACTTTAAATGTTTATACCAGAAAAGAAGAAATATCCAAAATCAGTAACTTAAATTTCCAGCTTAAAAGGCAAAAAATTTAAAAGAAGATTAAACCCAACATAAGCAGGAAAAAGGAAATAAAGATAAGAAAACAATCAAACTAGAAAAGAGAAAAATAAAAATCAATTAAATCAAAAGCAGATTATTTGAAAAGATCTATAAAATGGATCAGTCAATAGTTTGATTAAGAAAAATGAGAAAGAGCAGAAACAACCAATGTCAAGAATGAAACAGGAATATTACTACAGATTCCCCAGATGCTAAAAGATAATAAAGGAACTGTGAGAACAATTTTATAGTAATAAATACGACAACTTAGATGAAATAGACAAATTTCTTAAAAGACACAAATTACTAACACTCAAAAAGAAATAGAAAATCTGAATGGTCCTATATCTAGCAAAGAAATTACATACATAATTTTTAAGTCATATAAAAACCTTCCCAGGAAGAAAACTCCAGGTGGATTCACCATGGATTCTATCAAATACTTAAGGGAAAAATAAAATAAATCTCTCTCTGCAAGTACAGGAGAAGAGTACACTTCCTGACTTATTTTATGAGTCCAGCATTACCCCCATATCAAAAGTACAGTCTAGGTAGAAGTCGCAATTAAATTGTGGTTACTAGAGGCTGGAAAGGGTAGCAGGGAGGAGAGAATAAGGAGAGGTTGGGTAAGATACGCAAAGTTACAGCTAGGTAGGATGACTAACTTCTAATGTCCTATGGCACTGTAGAGTGACTATAGTTAGCAATAATTTATTGCATATTTTCAAATAACTGGAAGA
Source organism: Homo sapiens (assembly GCF_000001405.40). Classification (NCBI taxonomy): domain Eukaryota; kingdom Metazoa; phylum Chordata; class Mammalia; order Primates; family Hominidae; genus Homo; species Homo sapiens. The sequence goes on from NC_000002.12 coordinate 182,708,004, forward strand.
GAAGATTTTGAATGTTCCCAACACAAAGAAATAATAAATGTTTAAGGTGATGGATATGCTATTTACCCTGATTTGATCATTACATATTATATATATGTACCAAAATATCACTCTGTACCCCATAAATATGTACAATTATTACATGTTAATTAAAAATACACAGTTTAGGACTAGGCTCCCCAGATTCAAATTCCAGTTCTGCCCCTACTAGCTTTGCAACCTGCCCCCATGATTCAATTATCTCCCACCGGGTCCCTCCCACAACACGTGGGAATTTTGGGAGCTACGATTCAAGATGAGATTTGGGTAGGGACACAGCCAAACCATAACAATAAGTTATTATGTTATTATGAAAAAATTATATGAAAATAATGCCTCTGCTAACTTAAGTAAGTGCTGTCACAAATATTTCAGTTAACTAATTTTGGTATTCTTTGTGGGCTCCAGATCTACACTGCCTGTATTAGTTTTTGCACTGCTCTAAAGAACTTCCCTGAGACGGGGTAATTTATAAAGGAAGGAGGTTTAATTGACTCACAGTTCTGCATGGCTGGAATGTGAAGGAAAAGCAAGCACCTTCTTCAGAAGCCCATCAGATCTCTGAGAACTCACTATCACAGAACAGCATGGGGGAAACCACCCCCATGATCCAATCACCCCCATCAGGTCCCTCCCTCAACACATGGGGACTACAGTTCGAGATGAGATTTGAGTGGGGACACAGAGCCAAACCATATTACTACCTATGTTGGAATCCAAATTCTACCGCTTACTAACAGTGTGACATTGGCAAGTGGCTAAACCTCTCTTTGTGTCAGCTTCTTCATCAGTAAAATTGACTTAATAACAGCATTTACCTCATAGGGCTGTTGTGACAATTAAATGTATTATTATAACTAAAGTGCTTAAAATAGTATCTGAGAATTATAAAGCAGATGTAAGTTTTGGTTATTTTGATGATCATTATTTCATACTGGTCAAAAAAAACAGGAACCACAGATTATGTTCCTATGTCATCTATTTACATTTGAGTATCTTTAGGCAAGTCACTCATCAGTCTTCCTGAGCCTCAGTTTCCTCCTCTATGAATTGAAGGAATAGACTTCATGATCTCAAAGATTGTACCTGGTTCTAAAATTCCAAATCTTTTGAGGAATTCTTTTTCTTAAAAAAAAAAAAAATTTAGAAAAACCCATACTTTCCTTTAATTCTCCTCTAAGCACTTCAGCCCCAAATTAAGTCTTTTGGGACCATATTGCTCATATAACTCATTTGACAAATATTTTTACATATCAATTGTTTGTTCTTCACCTACTCCCACCGGGCCAGACATAATAACTTTAGGAACAAAGGTCCACTCTTACTTTTTTGTACATAATAAACATTTATTCTTCATTTCATCCTAATGCATGTATTGAATACATGCCAAGCACTGTTCTAGCTAGGCATTGAAGGAAAGATAAACAAAACCAGATTCCTGATCTCAACGAATTCAGTATAGTAGACCAACCAATGAAACGTAATTATAATATATTGTGATAAATGCAATAGTAAAGGATGGAGTGATCAAATATGCTTAGCTGGAGCTTACAAAATGATTTTCAGAAGAAGCATGAACTAGATCTTGAAAGATGAGTAGCATTTCTCCAAATGAAACTGAAAAAATGAAATGAAATGCTTTCTTTGTAATAACATATCTCATACATATATCATGGTGCTGTTGTATTGAGTTTTGATTTATTACACTGAGACTGGCAAGGCCTTGGTTTCCCAAGCAAGTGGACATCCTTGATGTCAATTATCTGAAGTAGAGATGTGTCTTCAAACATCTTTCTCTTCCCCATCATGACCAATTTATCACCAAATCGTACCTACTGCCTTCTCTTTTGTTTGTTTGTTTGTTTTTGTTTTTGAGACAGAGTCTTGCTCTGTTGCCAGGCTGGAGTGCAGTGGCATGATCTTGGCTCACCACAACCTCCGACTCCCTGGTTCAAGTGATTCTCCTGCCTCAGACTCCCGAGTAGCTGGGATTACAGGCACACACCACCACGCCCAGTTAAGTTTTGTATTTTTAGCAGAGATACGGTTTCACCATGTTGGCCAGGATGGTCTCGATCTCCTGACCTTATGATCCGCCCACCTTGGCCTCCCAAAGTGCTGGGATTACAGGCGTGAGCCACTGCACCTGGCCCATATTACCTTCTACATTTTTTAAATTTTAAAATATTTAATTGACAAATAAAAACTGTGTATATTCAACATATACAACATGATTGGATATATATTCTATACTGATTACCACAGTTGAATGAATTAACACATCTATCACCACTCAGTTATGTGTGTGTGCATGTGTGCATGGTGAGGACACTTAAAATCTGCTCTCTTACCAAATTATAGGAGACAATATATTATTAACTATAGTCACTAGGCTGTATATTAGATCCCCAGAACATATTCATCTTACAACTTAAAGTTTGTTCTTTTTGACTACCATCTCTCCTTTTCCCCTCCACCACATCCCCTGGCAAGCACTGTTCTCCTCTCTGCTTCTGTGAGTTTTACTCTTTAGATTCTACAGATAAGTAAGATTATACAATGTTTGCCTTTCTGTATTTGGATTATTTCACTTAGTGTATGTAATGTCTTCCACATTTATCTATGTTGTCACAAATGGCAGGGTTTCCTTCTTTTTTATGGCTGAATAATATTCCATGGTATATATACCACATTTTCTTTATCTATTCATCTGTCAATGGATACTTAAGTTGTCTTCATACCTTGGCTCTTGTGAATATTGCTGCAATGAACATGAGTTCCACATTTTTCTCGAATCTGTTTATTTCTCCACATCTATGCTAACTCTACCCTAGTCCAAGCCATTGCCATCTCTCACCTGGGCTATTTCAGTAGTATCCTAGCCAGTTTTCCTCTATCTTTTGTTGCTCTCCTCCAACATATTCCTCAAACTTTAGCTAAAACAATTATTACAAAATAATCATGCCCTTTCCCATCTTGAATAATTAATACCAAAGCCATGAGAAGAGAGGCTGAGCAGTGTCAGAACCCAACCAGTGTGAGGAGAGTGTTCATATAAGGCAGTGAGGGTGAGTCACTGTGTATTGGAACCCTTTGAGAATGAGATGTGTGTCCCTGCCAGAGAACAGCCTGGAATAGGTTGGAACCTGAGTGGAGTAAACAGAGCATCTGCTCAGGTGAGCAATCCAGTATAAGGTAGCGGGGCAATCACACAGGGGATGATGGGGAGCATCAGCAATAGAAGATTGGTTATGTATACATACTCATTCAGTGATAACGAGAACCAGTTTCCTTACTGTCAGACAGAAGAGCTACATTTATGGAAAGAAAAAACTAAAATAAATCTGACACCTGTGATATTACATTGCAATTGGAAATATTGGTGTAAACTCACAGTTTTATACATATGTAAATGTGGAGGTGTATATGTGTGAGTATGTGTGTATATGTATATACATATACATATATTCTCTACCTTTGTCCACCGAGAAGACCTGGAAGCAACAGCAGCCCCAGATTATGATGAATGCCTAGGACCTAGATCTTGCCATGTAAATACCATTCTTCCAAAGAACCAAGGCTTCTTAGAGAAATGGCTAGTATAATGGCTGAGCCAGGAAAAGTCCTGGATGAGCCTCGAACATCTTATTGTGCACTAAAATAAGCATACCCAAAGAATGGTGGGATTGTCAAAACGACACATAAGCCAGCTTGAAAGAATTCCCACTGGTCCAATCTAGAACTACTTAAACATCTAAATAAATGGTAATAATGGATTTTAACCCATAGAATAAAAAATCCATGAATGCATAATAATATAAATCAATGAATAAATTGGAAGTTTGATGAGGAATAGAATATGTTCATAGAGTCTCAAAGCACCTCCAATAAAGGACTTATTACAAAAGGAGAAATGTAACATTGCCATAGAAAAGCCTCTCAGACATCTCTATAATGAAGCCATCTAAGTTAAAACTACCAACAATGAGACGAATCAAAATTTGCAGCCTGCAATGGATAGACCATAGGGTCAGTTCTGTTAGATTCTTCCCAAATACATAACCTAAATCTAATCGTGAGGAAACATCAGACAAACTGACACAGAAAGACATCTACAAAATAATTGGCCTATATTCTTCACAAGTGTCAAAGTCTTAAAAGTCAAGGAAAAACTGAAGAACTGTTTCCAACTGAGGGAGCCTGAAATATCAGGACACTAAATTGAAACAAGTAGTTGCCAGGTAGATCTTTGTACCGCAAATATGTTATTGGGACAATTGGCAAGACCTAAATGGGGTCTGAGGATTAGATGGTAATAAGATATCAGTGTTAATTTCTGGATTTTGATGATTGTGTTTTGGTTATGAAGGAGAATGTCCTTGTTTGTTAAAAAACATAAACCAGTTTTGGGAGACAACGGGACAAGAAGTTAACAACTTACTCACAAATGGTTGAGGAAACAAAATTACTTGTTCTATACATTTAACATTCTTGTAACTTTGAAATTCTTTTCCATTTTTTTCTTTTTTTTTGAGACGGAGTCTTGCTCTGTTGCCTAAGCTGGAGTGCAGTGGCCTGATCTCTGCTCACTGCAAGCTCCGCCTCTCAGGTTCATGCCATTCTCCTGTCTCAGCCTCCTGAGTAACTGGGACTACAGGAGCCCACCACCACGCCTGGCTAATTTTTTGTATTTTTTGTAGAGATGGGGTTTCACTGTGTTAGCCAGGATGGTCTCAATCTCCTGACCTCGTGATCCGCCTGCCTCAGCCTCCCAAAGTGCTGGGATTACAGGTATGAGCCACCGCGCCTGGCTCAGTTTTTTTAAATTAAATAATTCAATACTGTAATGACATTCCGTTGTTTAAACACTTCTGTGGCTTCCCATTGCTCATAGGAAAAGGCCCAAACTCCTTAAAATAAACTACATCTTGTCCCTGTCTGCTTTTACATTCCCATTTTGTTGACTCTCTCCTTTTGGCTTGCTACATTCTGGTGATCTTTTTGTTCCTTTAACACCCATGCTCTTTTGAAGTACAAGAACTATGCACTTGCTGTTCAATCTGACTATAATATTGCCTAATTTTTTGCCCATATATGTTAAATTTCTTCCTTTTTATTTTTATTTTTGGTGAAACCTTTGGCAAATCTTTGCCCCTAGAGTAGCTCACAACATCACAACACTATGTATTCTTCCTTCATAATTACAGATTTGTTTGAATAATTGATGTGTCCTCTATTATCCTACTTACTGAGGGCAGAGCTATGTCCTTGCTCACCACAGTAACCCTAATGACCTAGCCCAGAGAACAGTAGACTACTTTAATTAATAAATTAAATGTGCACTTTGGGAGGCTGAGGTGGGCAGATCACCTGAGGTCAGGAGTTCGAGACCAGCCTGACCAATATGATGAAACCTCGTCTCTACTAAAAATACAAAAATTATTTAGGTGTGGTGGCATGTGCCTGTAATCCCCACTACTTGGGAGGCTGAGACAGGAGAATTGCTTGAACCTGGGAAGCAGAGATTGCAATGAGCCAAGATCGCACCATTGCACTCCAGCCTGGACAATAAGAACAAAACTCCATCTCAAAAAATACTAAATAAATAAATAAATGAACTGTGTAAGATTATCAATCCATCTGTGCTCTTGACTCCATCCCTCTCATATCTGTGGCCTCTTTCTTTTTTGGCTTCTACTCAGCTTATGAACTTGCTCAAGCCTTTCCAAGCCTAAAGCATTTCCTCTTTGGAATCCACATCCTCTTCTAGTTACATGAGTTTCCTTCCTCTTTTCACCCAAACTCTGAACAGAGTATATGTACTTGCTATTTCCATTTCCTCAGCTCCTAGCCAATCTTTAGTCTACTACAATCTAACTTCCAGCCTTACCATCCACCAAAATTGTGCTTACTAAGGTCCCTATAACCTCCTAATTGCCAGACCTAATTAACAAGTTGCAGTCAGTATCTTATCTGACTCACTCTAACTTCCTTGATGTTTAGTTCCTTTTGCCCATCTCTGATCATCTCTTTTTTACATCCTGTATGGGTTCTTCTTCTTCAGCCTATTTCTCAAATTAATGTTTATTCATTCAAAAAATATTTATGTAGTACCTACCATATAGTAAGAACAGCTGGAGCCATAACAGTAAATAAAATGAACAAAAATCCACCTTCATGAAGCTTAGATTCTTTTTCCGTGTGTGCTTTCATTCTTGATGTTAGAATTCCCCAAGGTTTTAATCCTTGGTCCACAACTTTACTTATTCTGCACACTTTCTTTGGGTGATCTGATGATTTTTCTCCTATTTTTTCTCCAATCTAGACATTACCCATGAGTTTTATGCAGGGTATATTCACTAAGATATGATCTAGGAACCTTGAACTAGATATGTCCAAGTCAGAACCCTTTATCTTTTCCCTAAACAGATCTTCATTCAGTGGGTAGTATTCAGCCATAAGAAGTCAGAAGTTAAACTTAAATCTTTCCTTTATCTCCCATATCCAACCAATCACCATCTCTTACTTTTTTTTTTCCCCCAAGACAGAGTCTTGCTCTGTACCCAGGCTGGTGTGCAGTGGTGTGATCTTGGCTCACTGCAACCTCTGTCTCCCGGGTTCAAGCGATTCTCTTGACTCCCGAGTAGCTGGGATTATAGGGGTGTGCCACCATGCCCGGCTTATTTTTGTATTTTTAGTAGAGATGGGATTTCACCACGTTGGCCAGGCTGGTCTCGACCTCTTGACCTCAAGTGATCCACCCGCCTCAGCCCCTCAAAGTTCTGCGATTACAAGCGTGAGCCACCACACCCGGCCCACCACCTCTTAAAGCATTTACCCTATTTGTCTAACATTCTCCTGTTCTTTCTCCAGTTTTGTATGCTTTGCATCCTCTCTCCAATAGCTGCCAGGATGATCTAAAATACAATCTCAGTCTCTTTTTTAAAAGCTTCCTCATCACCTAAGAGATAGAAATCTATGTCTTCATCTTGGTATAAAAACCTGTCTGTGATCTGGTCCCTGCTTCATCTTCCAGTTTTCTGTTTGTTTTTCAATTTACTTTAAGATTTTGTTACAGTGTGTAACAAAATGGTTACACACTGTGTCATAATGCTTAACATCATAGTCTCTGAAGCCAGGTTGCTTAGATGTGAATCCTAGCTCTCAAATATTTGCCTCAGTTTCCTCAAATGGGAAATAGATATAGGAGCCACTATCTTGTAAGATTATTTGGAGGACTAAATGAGTTACTACATGTGTGCTTAGACCAGTTCCTGAGACATATTAACTACTATTACATCAGGCTGCTTCTAATGTTTGCCTTTGTTCATTCTACTTCCTCTTCTTTCCTACCAAGTATTAGCTTAGCCATAGATCCTGTGTAGTTTTCCAAGTTTTTAGAAGCTGACACTTGATTTACTCCCCGAAACTGTTACCAATCACAACTTATTTCATGTTAGGGTTGATGTTATAAGCAGGTATCCTCTAGGCTCGGTTTTCTCTTTTAAATATAGAAAATGTAGTAAATATAACCACTTCAATTGTTATATTGCTGTGGGACAAAATGCAGTTCCTGTACCATAGCAGTAGGAGATCAAGGTAAGAGAGAACAACGATAACTCCCCAGTTTCTAGCTTGTATGACTCAGAATCCAGAAAATATTGTAGAAGTCTCAAATGCTTGTTGATACACACGCTTACACAAAATTGTAAATGTTTTAATTTCCTTCAAGTTTCCTACTGCCTCTTCAGTCCGCTAGCCTGATACTGCAATCAGTGTCGCTTCAGGCAACTTCTCCTTTCTCCGCCAAATTTCGCCTTTCGGTCTCACCCACCCATCACCCAGACAAATCCTCCAAAGCTCCGTCTTCCCTTTAAAAGACTCTCAGGGAACTCAACCCCAAAACCCACCCTCTGGGTTTCCCCGTCACCCTGGCAACGGAAGCAGGAAGAGGCGGGCTTCGCCATCCACCCTCCCCGCCCGCGGCAGGCGCCGGCCGCATTGGTGAGGGGGCGCGGGCTGCTTGGCCAGGGCAGTTCCCTCAGCTCCGGGTTGGAGCCGGAGCCGGAGCCGGATCCCGCGCACACCGCCACGTCAACCTAAACCTACACCGCCCTCTCCACCCCACCGCCGCAGCGCCCGCTGGGCCCGCAGCGGGTCTCCCCAGGCAGCGTCCTCCACGCCTTTCCCACAATGCTCCGCGCCAGGCCCCGCCCCGGCTCGCCGTGGAGACCGGCGCGTGAGGAACCTACCGGTACCGGCCGCGCGCTGGTAGTCGCCGGTGTGGCTGCACCTCACCAATCCCGTGCGCCGCGGCTGGGCCGTCGGAGAGTGCGTGTGCTTCTCTCCTGCACGCGGTGCTTGGGCTCGGCCAGGCGGGGTCCGCCGCCAGGGTTTGAGGATGGGGGAGTAGCTACAGGAAGCGACCCCGCGATGGCAAGGTGGGCATGGGCCCGGGGCTAGGGCTTTGCTGGAGCCGGTGGTGGCCTGGGCCCTCCGGTCAGGGAGGGGCGGAATGGCTGAGCGCCTGAACCTCCCTTCCTGTGCGCTCTTAAGACCTGGATATTGTGTTCTCGCTCCCCACCTTCCTCCTCCCTGTTATTCACACCACCCTTCCTCTGCCCAGCGATTCCCTCTCAGTTACTTACACTTTCTCCCTAAGTCCGACCTGAGACTTCAGACACCAGCAACACTTAACAGCCCTGTTCCCCCGTGTCTTCATCTTTACCCCTCTCCCCTCTCCCACTCTGCAGTGATGGCAATGCGAAAGCTTGCGCCTTGCATTTACCTGGCGCTTCCACCTGCCCGGTAGCTCGGGCCACGGGCAGTTCGGCCACACCCACGCTGAGAACAACCCCTGGGCGAGAAACATCTTATCCCAAAGTGTTGATTGAGACTATGCCCTCTCTTTTTCTGATGGTTGTTTTCTTGTTTGGATACTTGTTAATCTCTACATCATTATATTTTTCAAAGGTATATTTTTGTGGAATGAAAAGGAAGTATTAGAAATGAGCTGAAGACCATTCACAGGTAAAGAGAAAAATTTTTAAATATACATTTAGGATTAAATGAAAAACAGAAATGAGGTGCGAGGAGCGTTAGATTTTTCAAAGCATTACGATCTCTTTGGAACTAAAATATAGTGGTTGAAATGTGATATGATGAAGTAATGATTGTTTTTGCCCTGCAGAGAGTATGTCTAAATAACCGATTCCCTTCTCTTTTTGTGTTTTGTTTCTACTTACACCAAACATGAACTTTGCAATAAAATTACACTGGTAACTTACAATTGTTTTTCTACTATTTTTAAAAAATGGCCTCTACTTAAATTCAGTATAAGCACCTTCTGAGGAAACTCCGGGAAGAAGATCGACTGCTGTGTAGATTGTCTATTATAACAATATATTTCACTGTCATTTCTGGTAGGGTTATATGAGAAGTAAAAAACCCTATGTTTCCTTCTAGTCCCTCCCAAGGACATTTCCTACAAGTGAATTCTGCTGAAAATGAAAATTAGACAGCTTTAGGAGGTAAAGAAGTAGCTAAAAGGAAGAGGTATTACAGGCAACGCTATAACTGGGTAGAAAGAGGAAGCACCTGTAGCTCATTGCCACCTTTGTGTTCTGATGCTCGTCAGAGGTCTTTTCTCAGTGTATAAATTGCTGAGGGTGTGTGTGCAAGCTACTTACTACCACTCATGACCTTTTTTCTGCTATCTTCAGTGATTTCACAAATCTAGCTACATGGATGTAGAAAGAGTGAAAAATAGAACCTGGGGCATTCACACTGATTTGCCATTTAATGGAGATTGTATTGCTGACCATGTTCTGTGATAAATAAATTGTGCTATTATTGTTTAGTTCAAAATGTATTTTAACTGCCTGCTTTTCTTTCTTAGATTAATATTTTTGGGGACAGATTTGTGATGCTTGATTCACCCTTGAAGTAATGTAGACAGAAGTTCTCAAATTTGCATATTACATCAACTGGAACCAGCAGTGAATCTTAATGTTCACTTAAATCAGAACTTGCATAAGAAAGAGAATGGGAGTCTGGTTAAATAAAGATGACTATATCAGAGACTTGAAAAGGATCATTCTCTGTTTTCTGATAGTGTATATGGCCATTTTAGTGGGCACAGATCAGGATTTTTACAGTTTACTTGGAGTGTCCAAAACTGCAAGCAGTAGAGAAATAAGACAAGCTTTCAAGAAATTGGCATTGAAGTTACATCCTGATAAAAACCCGGTAGGTAAACGTTTGTTTTTAAAAATATTTGATTATATTTTTGGTACATTTTGATATTTATTTAAATTGCTTTAAATGATCAAATGCTTAAGAATAATCATATGTCAAAATTATAATTCAACTTGTATGCTAGAAACAAAAGCACCAAAATGTTCTGGATTATTTAGGATCCCGTGAAGGAATGTCAGTACCAAAAATTCAGTTCCCTCTTAATTTGTAGACGATTTTCCAACAATTCTATTAAAGACATTAACCCCAAAACAAACGATAATATCCGTGAAGTAGTTGAAGTAGTTTTCTTATTAAAGTAGGTTAAGATCAAGTGTTTTAGAACAGGAACAAAAATATTTTTTTAAAACTCAGAGGGTATGACTTGCTAAAAATAGAAGTAATAGCTAATAATAGCATGTTTTAACTTTGACTGTTTTCTTCTGTGTATGCACAAGTCCACAAACCAGAGTTAGAAAGTTTTATAAATTAATACTTCACAGCAGCTGAATATAATGCCAGTCATAAATATTTATGTACACATTAATGTAAATCTTTCAAAACTAAACTCATTTTAATTTTTATGGTGTTTTTGTAATTTATTTGATTATTTCTTAGTGAGATTTAGCGTTCATCATTAACAAGAAGACATAGTTATAATTTTCTCTTTTCTAGGTAGAAGTTTTAAAATAGGATTATTTTCATTGCATAAAGCTGAGCAAGAGAAACAATATTTCTTTAAATATTGTTTAGTTGATTATCTTTTCCTAAGATCCACATTCTATTTAAGGTTTTTATTTTTTTTTAATTTTTCTTTAAAATTTCAAATAATGATTTTTAAGTTTCCATATAAAAGACAGTAGACCTTCTACCATCCGAGTATTATTTAAATGAAAGCATCCTTCAGAAACAAATTTTATGAAGCACAGTAACAAGGAAGAAACATTTCCGATCCAATTTTGGATTGTTTTCTTTTTTTTTTTTTTTTTTTTTTTGAGATAGGGTCTCACTCTCTTGCCCAGACTGGAGTGCAGTGACGCCAGCGGCTTCCTGCAACTTCTGCATCACAGGCTTAAGCAATTCCCCTGCCTCACCCTCCTGAGTAGCTGGGATTACAGGCGTGCGTCACTACTGCCCAGCTAGTTTTTGTGTTTTTAGTAGAAACGGGGCTTCACCATGTTGGCCAGGCTGGTCTCGATCTCCTGACCTCAAATGATCCACCCTCCTCAGTCTCCCAAAGTACTGGGATCGATTTTGGGGTGTTTTCTGATACTGGCTTTTATGTAATTAGCTGATAGATTGGGGCACATCCTTTTTTAATTAAGTTGATTTTACCTCAAATAGAAAAATAACCTACAAATGTATTGATTTATAATTGTTATAGGAGTAAAAAATATTTATGAAATTAAGAGTTTCAACAGGCTTATTATTTTCAGCTGCATTTTTTAGGAAGAATAACTCATGGTCTGATAACGTCTGTCAACCTTTTGAAGAGTCAATTATTTCATTACTTTTCTTACTTTTTTTTTTTTTTTTTTGAAGATTATAGTTTCTTAAAAAATACTTCATTTCAACCCATGGTAACTCATGTCATGTTGTATTACCCCTCCTTATGTTGGTATATGGTCTCCCAGAAGTTACTAGATTAATTAAACCTACATATATGTTTTGAAGAAACTTGGATTGTGTATCTGAAATAATTGTATTATATCTAATATTTTTTAACAGAATAACCCAAATGCACATGGCGATTTTTTAAAAATAAATAGAGCATATGAAGTACTCAAAGATGAAGATCTACGGAAAAAGTATGACAAATATGGAGAAAAGGGACTTGAGGATAATCAAGGTGGCCAGTATGAAAGCTGGAACTATTATCGTTATGATTTTGGTAAGGTGATACGATATTACTTATGAAATGTGTTTTATCTGAGTAAAAGAAAAGTGAATTCTGTTTCACCACTTAGCTTATATATTTAAGATGCGTCACTTTGATTAGCTCCTTTTAATTTGCTGTGGGAGTGAAATTTAAAAGGAATGTCAGTTGGTATACAGAGATGATCTGTACAGATATGAAGTTGTATTGGTTAAATCTTGTTAAATACTTTTAAAATAAGGATTGCTATTTAATAAAAAATATGCATTCATGGACTGCATAATGACATTTCACTTAACAATGGATTGTATGTAGGACATTGGTCCCATGAAATTATAATACCATATTTTTACTGTACCTTTTCTATATTTAAATACAAAGATACTTAGCATTGTGTTACAGTTGCCTATGGTATTCAGCAGTAACATGCTGTACAGATTTGTAGACTAGGTGTGTAGTAAGCTATACTATCTAGGTTTGTGTAAGTACACTCTGTGATGTTTTTGCAACAACAAAATTCCCTAACAACACATTTCTCAGAATGTGTCCCATTAGTAAGTGATGTATGACTATATGTTTGCATTAGGGGTAGCTAAATATTTCTTTCAGTATTTTTTAGTATTGAATAATATTAATTTCTTTCAATATATTTTAGAGCATCATATTGTCCAAGAAAGGCGAAACTTCAAGTTTAGTAATGATCTCTTCAATAGAAATGCCGTCCTTCTCATATGGAACCCTTACTGATTTTTAAGGTGTTTTGGCCTTCGGTTGACATTAAGGTCAATACCTTGAAACATTATCAATAAAGGTTCCATATGAGAAGGACGAAAGGTGTTTTTTTTCTTAAACATGGAGGAAAAAATAAGGTGGAAGGAGGAAACAAAGTAAAGGAACTAAGGAAGAGAGATTGTAAACACACAGGTATCAAGGGAGGAAGGTGTGTTCAGAGACCCAGTGTTTCTCCTAGTCATTAATTAACCTCAAATGCAGGCTAAGAACTGAATATGCTTCTGTATTAGACTAAATGAAGTATTTTAAATTTATATCTGGAGGATTTGCTTTTAGTAAATATGATTTTTTTTCAAAATAGTATTTTCAAGTATATTCTCTACACCTTGATAGTCTATATCAAGAGTTAGCAGACTGCATTTCATAGGCCAAATCTGGCTTGCCATTTGCTTTTATAAATAAGTTTTATTGGAATGGAATTACTTTAATTTGTTTACATAATATATGTGACTTCTTTCACACTTCAAGAGCAGAGTTGAGAAGTTGTGATAGAAGCCATACATCCCACAAAGCCTAAAAAATGTATATTTACTAAATATTTGTGTCTGCCTCTGCAAATACTCTAAGCTTTTTAGCAGAAGATATTCTAACATGATACCATGTGTTAAAAACCATATAATCTGAAAATCAAATGAGGTCTGTAGTCTAGTTAACAGTGTACCACTCTCAATTTCCTGGTTTTCGATATTGTGCTATATAGCTACATAACATGTCACCATTAGAGGAAGGTGAGTAAAAAGTATACAAGAGTCTATATTTTTGCACCTTCCTGAATCTGTAATTATTTTTAAAACCATAATATAAATTTTATATGGAGGTAAAATTATGTGAATATTACGAACTACCGCATACACATCTATGAGAGTCCATATCAGAATTCTAATATCTTTAGATCACCCTAAATGTACTGATAGTATTATTTACTTTTTTTTCACTTAGGATGTTGCATATTCTCTAAGTTTGAGATATAATATAGTAGTTTGATTTTTTTGATGATTAAAACGAGTAATCTATTTTTATGTTGCAATTTATATGGTGAAGTTTTGATTTTATAATTTTTATATACTTTTAAAATTAGGTATTTATGATGATGATCCTGAAATCATAACATTGGAAAGAAGAGAATTTGGTAAGTTTGTGGGCTTAAGGTTTTATAAAACTAATACAAGTTCGATCTCATCTAAAACTCTAGGGGATATATATGTTTGAAATTTAGAAATCTTTTGGAGTTTCGAACAGTAATAATGTAATATACTGTATCTTAAATATTTCTAGCAGAATGTGGGGAAGTGTACCATAATAAAAACATTAATATTTATGTAGCAAAATGTGTAAGTATATATACTAAATAAAAGAAATTTAAAAATCAGTTCAGATCAGGTTTGGATGCCAAGTGAGCTTGCTGCAAACTTACAGCAAAACTTCTCAGAGCTTTTTGATTTTAGAGTTTTGGATAAAGGTATAGTTATTTTGGAAGTAGATTTAATTTGATTGGCAACTTTGTGTGAAAATGGCCATAAAAATACAGTTCTGCATTTTCCATTGCATTTTAGAAAATTGTATACCAGAATAGATTCTTATACTTTCATCCTTTGTACAGTAATAATAGGTTTATTTTTTCTATTTCAGAGCAATAAATTAAACTTCAAATCAAATTTCAATTTTATATTGCTCTATCACAATTGTATTTAATTTAGAAAACTAAAATACAGCCAGGCGCGGTGGCTCACACCTGTATAATCCCAGCACTTTGGGAGGCCAAGGCAGGCAGATCGCTTGAGATCAGGAGTTAGAAACCAGCCTGGCCAACATGGGGAAAACCCTCTCTACTAAAAATACAAAAATTAGGTGTGCCTGGTGGCACGCACCTGTAATCCCAGCTACTTGGGAGGCTGACGCACAAGAATCGCGTGAATCTGGGAGGCTGATATTGCAGTGAGCCATGATGGCACCACAAAAAAAAAGAAAACTAAAATAGCGTACCAGTCGCAAAAAATACATATAAATCTATATGTTTTTCATATATTATCGTTAAAAATTTATTACAGCTACTTGATTTTATACAGTTTGTTCCTTCTAAGCAAGGGTGGCTTTTTTTTTTTTTTTTTTTTGAGACGGAGTCTTGCTTTGTCACCCAGACCAGTGTGCAGTGGCACGATCTTGGCTCACTGCAACCTCTGCCCCCTGGGTTCAAGCGATTCTCCTGCCTCAGCCTTCTGAATAGCTGGGATTACAGGTGCCCGCTACCACACCCAGTTAATTTTTGTATTTGTATTTTTAGTAGAGACAGGATTTCACCATGTTGGCCAGGCTGATCTCGAACTCCTGACCTCAGGCGATCCACCCACGTTGGCCTCCCAAAGTGCCAGGATTACAGGCATGAGCCACCACATCTGGCCAAGGGTGGCATTTTAATCTTATTTTCTACATCATGCTGGTGAGCTTCACATACAAAATAGCTGTTCAATGTGTTACTTTGTTAAAAGCCTTCTAGGTGAACACTTGAACATGTTCTAAGTGAATAGAAAATACATCTTTCCTGTGTTCTGCAAATAAGACAATTTGATTCATTTGGATTGTTAATAGAATTAATGCTCATGTCACAAGCTGGTAGAATCATAACTCTCGTGTGAGTTATATAAACCTATAGCTGTTCCTGTGTGGTTTTTATTGTCTCTCATCTCCTAATATATCAGTAAGTGTTTTGTGTACCAATGGTTCAGAAAACATCGGAATTACAGATAGAGGAACTGAACAAAACTTGCAAGCTTACTAATCCATGAGTCTACCTAGAATGAGACTTCACTGATAGTTATATTGTATATGGGTTCACACTTTTTCAGATGTGTCACTATGCAGAAAAGCTTAAGAACTGTTAATAGTTCATATAGAACCCCAAATGGTAGTTCAAGATAAATTGCAGCCACAAAACTTCAGAGATAATTCATAAATAATTAACCTTGCTTGATGAGAGGAATGAGCAGGAGCATTGTTGTGATAGAGAAGGACCCTCTAGTGAAGCTTTCCCAGGCATTTTTCTGCTAAGCAGATGTTATCATTTCTGGCTCTCTAGAAAGTCAACAAGCAAATGCCTTCTAAGCTCTTCTATTATATGCAGCATAGGTTAAGTAGGTTTAATCAATTCTGACAGCTACTGTAAACTCTGAAAGAATAAAATAAGAGACCTACATAATACAGTAAGGATTGCGGGGATTAAATTTAATATAAGCCCTAAATAAGACATTACCTTGGAAAATCACTTTATTTGAAAAGATTGACTTTTTTTTAACAATTCAAAACATTAATACATACTTGCTAAAATTATAGATTTGAACATGTGATATCTAGCCAATAGTGCAGTTTATATTTTATCTGTAAAATGACCTGATGCAAATTACAAATTTTACTCACTTAAAAAATTTAACATTGTAAAAATGTGCTTTCACATTCAAGATAAAAAGGCGAGGGTAATCTGCTTTTGGTTAAAGGATTTCCATATGATTCCATGTTAAAATTAGTTAATATTTTAAAATAAAAATTTCAGAAATTACAGTAAGACATTAAAACATGCATGGTATTCTAAATACGTGCAACTAATTCAGGCTAATTAGAAACAGGTACAGGACTCAGTGTTCACCTACATTTCAAGTATAAGATAGACCTGTGGGGAAAAAGTTAATCTGTACCTTACAGGCAAAGTAATTACATTTTACTTTGCTAATAGAAGCTGTTAACTGGAGTTGTATGTATATTAACAGACAGTAGCTGTAGTTGTATAGTTTAGAAGTGGAAAGTTGCATTTTGAAATGTAATAATTCTATTCTGGGTCACTGTTAGGCACAACATCCCATTGAGCTGTGATGATACAGTATTTAAAATATTTTAACTTTATTCTTATTACTCAGCAATCAGTGGGAACTTGGCAAATATGAGAAGTGCTCGATGAAGACAAAGTACAGGTGTACCTCATTTTATTACACTTTGATTTATTGCACTTCATAGATAATGCACTTTTTTTTCCTTAACAAATTGAAGGTTTTTAGCAACCCTACATCAAGCGAGTCTATCAGCTGAACGTGTTTCCAATAGCATGTGCTCATTTCATGTCTCTTTCTCACATTTTGGTATCCAAACTTTTTCATTATTATTCTGTCTGTTACAGTGATCTACAGTCAGTGATCTTTGATGTTACTATTGTAATCATTTTGGAGTGTGCCCATAGGATGGCATACTTAATTTTTGTGTCTATTCTGACTGCTCCCTCTTCCTTCTCCCTTTTCTCTCCCACTTCTTGGGCCTCCCTACTCCCTGAGATACAACATTACTGAAATTAAGCCAATTAATAACTACAGTGACCTCTTAAGTGTTGAAGTGGAAGAGATGCACATCTCTCATTTTAAATCAGAAGCTAGAAATGATTAAGCTTAGTGAGGGAGGCATATCAAAACCCAAGACAGGCTAAAAGGTAGACCTCTTTTGCTAGTTAAATTATAAATGCAAAGGAAAAGTTCTTCATGGAAAGTAAACGTGCTACTCCAGTGAACACACTAATGATAACACAAAACAGCCATACTGCTAACATAGAGAATGTCTTAGTGGTCTGGGTAGATCAAATTATCTACAACATCCCCTTAGCGAAAGCCTAACCAGAGAAAGACCCTAATTCTTTTCAATTTTATGGAGGCTTAGAGAGATGAAGAAGCTGCAGAAAAAAGTTTGAAGCTAGAAAAGGTTGGTTCATGAGGTTTAAAGAAAACAGCCATCTCCATAACATCAAAATACAAGATGAAGCAGCAAGTCCCGACATAGAAGCTGCAGCAAGTTTTCCAGAAGATCTAGCTAAGATCATTGATGAAGGTGGCTATACTAAACAACAAATTCTCAATGTTAATGAGACAGCCTTCCATTGGAAGAAGATGCTATCTGGGACTTTTTTTTCATGCCTGCTAACACCATATCCATTCTGCAGCCCGTAAATCAAGGAGTAATTTCAACTTCAAGTCATATTATCTAAGAAATACATTTCATAAGGCTCTACCTGCCATAGGTAGTGATTCCTCTGATGGATCCAGGCAAAGTAAATTGGAAACCTTCTGGAAAGGAGTCACCATTCTAGTGTCATTAAGAACATCTGTGATTCATGGAAGGAGGTCAAAATATCAGTGTTACAGGAGTTGGGAAGAAGTTCATTCCAACCTTCATGGATGACTTTGAGGTGTTCAAGGCTTCAATGGAGGATGTAACTGTAGATGTGATAGAAATAGCAAGAGAACTGGAATTAGAAGTGGAGCCTGATTATGTGACTGAATTGCTGCAATCTCATTATAATGATCTCATTATAATATAATTATCTCATTATAATAATCTCACCATGGGGCGGTGAGGAGTTGTTCCTTATGGATGAGCAGAGAAAGTGATTTCCTGAGATGGAACCTACTCCTGGTGAAGATCCTGTAAACAATGTTGATATGACAACAAAGGATTTAGAATATTACATAAACTTGGTTGATAAAACAGCAGCAGGGTTTGAGGCCAGTTTTGACTCCAATTTTGAAAGAAGTTCTACTGTGGGTCAGATGCCATCAAACAGCATTTCACGCTTCAGAGAAAATCTTTCAGGAAAGGAGACATCAATCAGTGTGGCAAACTTCATTGTCATCTCATTTTAAGAAATTGCCACAGCCACCCCAACCTTACACAACCACCACCCTGATCAGTCAGCACCCATCAACATCACGACATGCATGACTTGCTGAAAGGCTGAAATGACTGTTAGCATTTTTTACCAATAAAGTTATTTTTTGTTCCTTGGTTGGTTTGTCACCCCACCTGGAGAGTGCAGCAGCAGGATCATAGCTCATCACAGCCTTGAACTCCTGGGCTCAAGCAATCCTGCTGCCTCAGTCTCCCGACTAGCTGAGACTGCGGGCATGTGCCACCATGTCCAGCTATTTTTATAGAGACAGGGTCTTGCTGTGTTTCCCAGGCTGGTCTCAAACTCCTGGGCTCAAGTGATCCTCCTGTCTCAGCCTCCCAAAAGGCTAGATGACAAGCATGAGCCACTGCGCCCAGCCTATTTTCTAATTAAGGTATGTACATTGTTTTGTTTGTTTTTTTTTTTTAGACATAATGCTATTACATAATACACTGTATATAGTGTAAATATAACTTTTATATGCACTGGAAAACCAGAAAATTTGTGTGACTCCTTTATAGTGATACTTGCTATGTTGTGATTTGGAAACAAACCCACAATATCTGAGGTATGCCTGTTACCAGGGTAGGAGACATTTTTACTACAAGAAAGGTTTTGTGTCAAATACCATTCAAATTTGTTTTACAGCATATTTTTATTTAAGACTTATGAACAGTAATACCTTGTGTAATTATTGCTTTCTATTTTTATATAAAAATAACTACCTCATTACTTGTTTATAGCTGATAAGATAATCCCTTCTTTCATTAAAGTTTGCATTAATTCTGTTAATATTTTTACCTAAATTTGTACTGGTTTGTGGTCTAAACCAATATGGCAATTTTTTCGACCACCTCTATAGAATGGTCATTTGCCAGACTTTGAAAACATTGCCAAAGAACAGCCCATAGTCCTGAATTACACACTTTGCCTGTAATGTGTAGATTAACTGTTTTCCCACAGGTCTGTCTTATACTTGAAATGTAGGTGAACACTGAGTCCTGCACCTGTTTCTAATTAGCCTGAATTAGTTGCACGTATTTAGAATACCATGTGTGATTTAATGTCTTACTGTAATTTCTGAAATTTTTATTTTAAAATAATAAATTTTAACATGGAATTATATGGAAATCCTTTAACCAAAAGCAGATTAACCTCGCCTTTTTATCTTGAATGTGAAAGCACATTTTTACAATGTTAAATTTTTTAAGTGAGTAAAATTTGTAATTTGCATCAGGTCATTTTACAGATAAAATATAAAATGTACTATTGGCTAGATATTATATGTTGTTCAAATCTGTAATTTTAGCAAATATGTATTAATGTTTTGAATTGTTAAAAACCTCAACCTTTTCAAACAAAATGATTTTCCAAGGTAATGTCTTGTTTAGGGCTTAGATTAAATTTAATCCCCGCAATCCTTACTGTATTATGTAGGTCTCTTATTTTATTCTTTCAGAGTTTACAGTAGCTGTCAGAATTGACTAAACCTACTTAACCTGTGCTGCATGTAATAGAAGAGCTTAAATCTCAGTCACTCTTACTATTTGTCTTCTTTATTTCTCTCATGCACACAAACTCTTACGTGAGGTTTGGCTGCTATTTCTTGTGCCGTCACTTTTTACAACTTTATGGCCATATTTATCTTGCAGTTTGAGGCTGCTTCTTTTTCAAGTATGGGCGTAGGAGAGTTTTTTTAAAAAGCTATTGTTGGTTTGACATTTGAAATGTTTCTTGTGGAAAAAAAATTTTTAATTTTTTAAAAATGTCATTTATGTAGAAGATATAGAAAAACATCACACAGAAAATGAGAAAGACAATATGAAAATTGCATGACTTTTTAAAATTCTGATCTCCACAAAAAGTTTTTAACTAAAATATGCATGAACCTTTAATAAATAATTCTAAGTTGTTTGCATTTTATGTATTTTTAGATGCTGCTGTTAATTCTGGAGAACTGTGGTTTGTAAATTTTTACTCCCCAGGCTGTTCACACTGCCATGATTTAGCTCCCACAGTATGTATTTTTCACATCCTCATTACTAGTTTTATTTCTAATTGATCTGCAATTTATATGTTAGAATTTTTTTTTCTATGAATAGTAATCAAAAATAATTATCAAATACTTTAAATGTCTGGTTTAAAAATATATAGCTTGGAGTGTGTTCAAGGGAAGAAAAGTGGTCTTATCAGAGAAATATGTTTTCTTTTTCTGTCATAGTGGAGAGACTTTGCTAAAGAAGTGGATGGGTTACTTCGAATTGGAGCTGTTAACTGTGGTGATGATAGAATGCTTTGCCGAATGAAAGGAGTCAACAGCTATCCCAGCCTCTTCATTTTTCGGTCTGGAATGGTAAGGGATAAAGTTAGCATTTTTTAAATTTGTGAAACATTATGACAAGTTAAATAGTAGAGAAAATAACAGTATGTAGAATTTGCAGAACATTTTAAGTCTTGTTTTACAAGGTGCCATCTCACTAGTCTTCTGTAATAATAAACATTTTGGATTATGAATTTTTTTTTTTGAGATGGAGTCTCACTCTGTTGCCCAGGCTGGAGTGCAAGGGTGCAGTCTCGGCTCACTGCAACCTCTGCCTCCTGGGCTCAAGCAGTTCTCCTGCCTCAGCCTCCCGAGTAGCTGGGACTACAGGCACCCGCTCCCATGTCTGGCTAATTTTTGTATTTTTAGTAGAGACGGGGTTTCGCCATGTTGGCCAGGCTGGTCTTGAACTCCTGACCTTAGGTGATCTGCCCACCTCAGCCTCCCACAGTGCTGGGATTACAGGCGTGAGCCACAGTGCCTGGCAAAAAAAACACCATTGACTTTGCTATATTTTAAAATTAAATGTTTGCCAATTTCAGTTTCTGTCTTAAGGAACATAATTTATACAATATGTATATTGTATTTGGTAGTTTACAAAGTATTTTACAAGTGTTGTCTCATTGAATGTAAAGCTCTGATATCTTTTTTCTTAGTTTCCAGTGAGGAACCTGAACGATTATAAATGGTATTATTAAAATGTGTTCCATAGAATCTGTACTGTCAAGATTATCAGGATATCATTTGGAAATACATTCTGCTATTGAGAAATAGAGCTTTGCTGCATTATTCAAGATAATGTAAAAATCAAACTCTTTGGTATTATTTTTATTGAGTTTTAAAAAGAAAAAGTAAAAGATGTTTCTCTTCTTACAAAAACCAATAGGCCCCAGTGAAATATCATGGAGACAGATCAAAGGAGAGTTTAGTGAGTTTTGCAATGCAGCATGTTAGAAGTACAGTGACAGAACTTTGGACAGGTAATTTTATTTTCTTAATTTGCTTGATTTTCAGGGTATTTTGAAATCAGTATTTTGTTTTTAATGGCAATATTAACATTTTGGTCATGGTATTGAAATTTTAAAGTGTCTTTTCCATGTTTCTTAGAAGGGAATTGTGTCATTTACTCTGAACTCTGCTGAATTTAACAAACTAGTTAAATTTTTACAGAAACTTGAACTATCGAGATATGGGAAATGGATATGAGATAGGGCTACGGTAAAAAAGGCATCTCTCAAAGTGCAAAAAATGTTTTGTAATACAAGTGTTTTATTGCTTTTTTAAATATGCTTATCAATCAGTAAATTCAAACCTATTCTGTTTAATTTTAAAGTTTAAAAATGCTTCTAATCTTAGGCTTTTAACTCATTAACTGCCTTTAGGCAGATTAAGCTAATAATAGTATTTGTGGCTCAAGATGTTCATTTTATTCATTGAGTAAAGTTACGTGTCAGAAACTATTAAATAGTGGGGCTGCAGTAATAAAATATATAGTCCCTGCCATCAGTGACTTCATTAGTGAGGAAAACATTAGTAAACAATTAAAATGCAATATAGGTACTATTATTATAGAGCTTAAGGGAGCATAAGATGTGTAAAACAACCCAGTTGGGGAAAAGAGAAAGAGTTAGAAAATACTTCTTGAAAGAAGTCATATCCAATCTGTCATGAAAATGAATAGGAAGCCTTAGGAGATCACTGTGTATTTGGGGAACTGGCAATACTTCATGAATCTGACAAAAAGATCAATAATTGGGTCAAGTGGTGTGGGGAAATATAATATAGCTGGCTAAATAGGTAGGCAAAGCTCAAGTCACAGGGGCCTAACTTGCCAATTTGAGTTTTTTTCTTAATGAAATAATGAATTTAGGTTTTATATGATGAAAAAATTGGAGAGCCATTGAAGGAATTTGTCATACTCAAGAGTATCTTTGGAAAGATAACTGGTAAAACTCAGAGTGGATTAGAAGAGGGTGAGA
Source organism: Homo sapiens (assembly GCF_000001405.40). Taxonomy (NCBI): domain Eukaryota; kingdom Metazoa; phylum Chordata; class Mammalia; order Primates; family Hominidae; genus Homo; species Homo sapiens. The sequence goes on from NC_000002.12 coordinate 182,730,941, forward strand.
TTAGAAAGGAAAAATTACTTAGAAGACTGTTTCCATTAGTAAAGGAGTAATAGGTGATCAGAATTTGCTTTTTTTCTTTTATTTTTAAGGAAATTTTGTCAACTCCATACAAACTGCTTTTGCTGCTGGTATTGGCTGGCTGATCACTTTTTGTTCAAAAGGAGGAGGTAATACTATTTTTTAATTTTGTTGGAATGAGAACATGACATTTAAATTTTTGGTGACAGTTTTAAGTATGCTACTGTAATTGATTATTAAGTACTAGAAACTACAATTTATGCCCAGGATTACAATTTTTTTACTTAATGAATATTCGCCTTTTTCATTATTTTACACATGAGGTTATTATTCATTTTTTAATGTATCCTCTATGTTTTTATGTTCAGTGGACCAGTTTTTCAGCTTAGACTCATGATAAATTGTACCTTCAGATAGCCACAGATGTTATTTGACAATTTGCAAAAATAACTAGTTGTTTACAGCTCTAACCCCTCCCAAAATAATAATTTTTTGGAAATATGGACTTTGCTTCATGCTTATATATATCTCTCAAACATACATAGATTTGCCTCATACAATTATATACTTGAAGATGACAGCTTCTTCTAGGAACCTTTCCTTGAATAAATTAAGTTGAAAATTCAGTACTCTGCATAGCAAGCCGTAAACTGTAAACTGTGTTCAAGCAATGTGGTTGGTTAAAAATTGTTCTAAGACAACAAAATATTATAACTCAATGTATTTGCATGTATTTAATCCCAACATGAGTCTTCTCCCCACATTTCATCTCTCAGCCTTCATGCTGCTATATTGAAAAGGTACTGCCTTGTAACTAAAATCAACCCATTACCCCATCCTGTAAGGCCTATGCTAGAAAGACACTGCCTTGCAGCAAAACGTCAGCCTTAAACTTAACTAATCACCAAGGGATTTTGTCTCATTTTGGCCTATTGCCCAAATTTCTGTTCATCCACACATGAACAAAAGTTCTTACATTCTCTGAGATTCTTTTACTTCTCACCTCAAGTAAATTGCTTCTCCCTGTCTTTGTAGGCTCTGTGATGCTATAGCTCTCTTTCTTCTAAATCTTCTCTCATTGTATTCTAGTGTTCATATTTGCAGAACTTTCATAAAAATAGTGAAGGCACTATTTAAAGATTTTATTGTATTTTGAGGATCCTTTATATACTTCTATCAAATATCTATTACATTTTATTTCCCCCCAATTTTGAGATCTCTTGGATAAAATGGATTGTTGATAGGAGGAGAGATTGAGAGTATTAACCTAAAGAGAGAAAATTACTTTTTCTCTGTAGCTAGACATCCTAGAAATTAAAGGGAGAGAATGAAAGAAAGAGGGAGCGAGGGAGTGTGTGTGTGTTTTTGTGTGTGTGTTTGTATGTGTGTGTGTGTAGAAGGATTTCCATATCTATCAATAGAGTCCAGCTCAATTAATTGCCTTCGAATGAACATGGTAATTTGGGGGAAAGGCAAATGCAAGTATTTTCATCAGGCTTAATAAAGGTAAAACTGCCTCATAAGGTTTTTTTGTCCCCAGATTGTTTGACTTCACAGACACGACTCAGGCTTAGTGGCATGTTGGTAAGCATCAATCATTTTGTAAAACTATATCACCATGTAAAGAAACACATTTAGAAATTGATTTGAAACATTTTCTTCCCTTATTTCTTGAACATTTAACTCACCTATTTGTAATCTTATTTTCTGATGACTGTATTCATAGCTATGTGTTTTTTCCTGAATAATTAGTTACGTTCAATAAATTTTAACGTGGTATCAATTCTAAGTGTCATTTACTTTGTAAGTATTCTGTAATTTATAAGTTCCTCTTCAACTGAAGTTACATGTTAGTGTTTTTGTCATTTCCCAACTTTATCTTTTGTTGTTTTCTTTTTTAGTCATTTTTAAATGTATATAGCTCTCATGTTATGGCTGGGAAGTAGCCTGAGTGATGTTGATTTTTTAACACCATTGAAATACCCTTTGTGGCTTTGTGGCTTGACAAAGCCACACAAATTGTCAGTTTTGAAAATTTTGGAAATTCTTTGTGAGCTTGAATATAATAATGTTATGTTAGGTGTAATATATGTTAGGTGTAGTATTACATTTATTAGATCAGATTTATTAATCATGTTATTTGTTTTTGGACTACATGATCTATAATTTCTAAGAGGGATGTATTAAAATCTCTACCATCCATCATTGATTTATCTATTTCTTATATTTCTGTCAGTTCTTCCTTTACATATTTTGACATTATATTGTTGGCAGCAGTATGATCATTATATCCTTTGGCGGCTATTTATTTCTCTTTGTGCATTATGGATTTGTTTACACAAATTCTGTTTTATTTGATATTAAAATCACTAACTTAGTATGCTTTTGTTTCATTCCCTTTCTTATTTCACCCTATGCCTAGGCCTTTAGTTTTTCAGCACTACACATTAAAATCACCTGAGGAGCTTTTAAAAATAATAAAAAAACAAAACCATGTCCCCCAGACCAATTAAATCAAAATATTCGAGGGTGAGGACTGAGCATTAGTATCTTTATTTTTTTTTTAATATTTGGTGATCAGAGTGATTGGCCTATATTTTTCCTTTCCAGTAAAGTCTGTGCACTTTTAGCATCAAAGTTAGGCTGGCCTTTAAATGTGTTGGAAAGTATTATCTCTTTTTCTCTTCTTTGGAAACAGTTTCTGTACAACTGTTGTTATTTCTTTCTCAATTTTTTTTTTTTTTTGGTAGAATTTATCAGAAAACCATCTGGGCCTGAAGTTGTCTTTGAATCCATATTTATAGACTTTTCTCCAATCTCTCTCAGATAGATAGATAGATAGATAGATAGATAGATAGATAGATAGATAGATTTTCTACTTCCTCTATTTGGTAAATTCTGTTTTTCTAAGACTTCGTTCTTTGAAGCAAATGTGTAAATGTATTGCTATAAAATTGTACATAATATCCTATTTTTTTATATCTGTAGTATCTATAGTGATGTTCTTTCTTACTTTCTGATCATATTTTGTGTGTGTGTCTCATGTCTGTTTTTATTCTTATTCTGTCCAAGGAGAGGTTTCTTAACCTTTATAAGTCTTTTCAAAGTCTCAAGTTTCAGCTTTATTGATTTTTTTTTTTTTACTGCCAGTTTCTTGATTTCATTGACTTAAGCACTATATTTCCTTCCCTCTACTTTTTTATGATTTAATTTGCTGTTCTTGAATGATTAGTTCATTGATCTTAGGCTTTCCTTTCTAATATATGAATTTAGATTATAAATTAGTGACTACAGCTTTAGATACATCTTCTATTTTGATATATATATATAGTATTTTGATTATCAGTTTAAAATATTTTTTAATCTTGATTTTTATTTCTCTTTGAATCACAGATTCTATATTTTTTGTTCCTAATCATAAAGGTTATTTTTAAAAGTAATTTTGTTATTTTTGGCTAGCTTGATTCTACTGTGGATAATGAACATGGAATCAGTTTTTTTAAGTTGTTAAGCCTTGTTTCATGGCCCAACATATGGTAAATTTTTATAAATGTTTCATATGCATTTGAAAATGAATCCTGTAATTCACAGGTACACATTTCTATAAAATCAGTTGGGTCCAATTTGTTAGCTATGTTAATCAGATCCTCTAGATCTTAATAATTTTATTGTCTGCCTATTCTATCAATAACTGAGAGAGTGTCTTAATATCCTCCACTACTTTGTGGATATTTCTATTTCCTTTGTTTCTGTCAATTTTTATTATCTATTTTGATGCTTTGTTATTAGATGGATATTAATTTAGAATTGTATGTTTTCTTGGTGATTTGAATCTCTAACCTGATGAAATAACCCTCTTTATCTCCTTTCGTGCCTTTTGCCTCCAAGTCTACCTTGACTGATAACTAATATAGCTACACCAGCTTTCTTTTGTTTAATGTTGGCATTTTTCCATTTTTTACTGTCACCCTTACTGTATCCTTATATTTATTGCCTGCAATCAGCATGTAATTAGGTTTTGTATTTATCTAGTTGCTATTTTTTATCTTAGTCCATTTACATTTAATGTTATTCTTGATATATTTGGCCCTATGCTTACCATCTTGTTAGTTTTATATTTGTCCTACCTGTTTTATAGTCCTTTTTTCTTTCCTTTTTGCTTCTTTTGGATTAAGCAAGTGATTTTTAAAATTTCATTTCCCATCTCTACTAGCTCTTTGGTTACCTGTCCTTTTATTGTTCATTTAATGGGTACCCTAGAAATTTTGTACATGTATCCTGACTTACTCATTTGCTACCTAACGCAAGAGTACTAAACAGAAATTATTTTACTACCTCTGAAACTTTGCTGTTATGTATTCTAATCAAATATGTTTTTTTCTAAGTTCTGTCTTAAATGCAGTAAAGTGAATACATCTTAAATGTACAACTTAATTTTTACATATATATGCTCCCATGTAACACCACCTAGATCAAGATCTATTCTTTCTTAGCTTTTAATTGTTTGTGATTTTCTGAAGTTTCATTATGATATACATAGGTCTTGAGTTTCTTATTTATTCTGATTGAGATTAACTGGACTTCTTGATCACTGTAGGTTAATATCTTTCATCAGTTGTGGAAACCTGTCAGCTGGTATTTCACTTTTTGTTTCTATCTCATTCTCCCTTATCTTTCCGAGATCCCAGTTGAATGTATGTTAGAACTCTATTTGTTTACTAACTTGCCCAGTGCAGAAATTTTTTTCAGTAACTTAAGGTTATGAGAAATGTACTTTTCGTACAGGATTTTTGGAGCTCACTAAAGGATTAGCTTAGCCACTGTAGATGAAAACTGGGAAGATACTAATTTAAATGCACATTGTAGACACATACAGAGAATGTCTCATAAACTGTATAATTACTAAAAGGATAGCCACAATGAAAAATCTTAAACAGTAGTTTGGTTTATTTTCTTTAACCTGAAAGACTATTGGACAGCTCACTTTCTATAAAAATTGTAAATGTCGTTTTTTGTGGATTCGTAGAAAGAATTATAAAAAGTAGATTTCTACTATTAGGGAAAAACCATTTCTCAAGTTACTAAGTACAATTTTTTGCACTTAATATTTCTAAATTTATTAAGTAATTTATAATATTAGAAATCTACTTTTTAACTTTGCTGTAGAACTAAGGCATGAAGTTTTAATTTTTTGGTAGAAAAATTGTGTTTTTAGCTAAGTAAAGCTCTAAATCCCTTTAACTTTTTGCCTCCCATTTACAACATGGTTTGTTGTTTCTTTCCATTTTAGGATGGTCTTGTTAATGTAGGATGGATGGACTGTGCCACCCAGGATAACCTTTGTAAAAGCTTAGATATTACAACAAGTACTACTGCTTATTTTCCTCCTGGAGCCACTTTAAATAACAAAGAGAAAAACAGTATTTTGGTATGAATCACTTTAAACTAATTTATTTACATATAATGTGCAAACACCCTCAAAAATAATACATTATTTTTGTAAGCAGTGAGCAAAGAAATGAACAATTTATATTGTCTGATTGTGGAACCCTTATTTAGAACACATACTTAATTTCTGAGATTCTTTTTAATACATGCTTCAAATTATAAAATTTAAGGATTATTTTTAAACTGACGATTACATTTCATTTAAAGTCATTACATCTTTACATTTAAAATTACCTTACATTTAAAACCATTATATTTTTAAACCCCAAAAGTATGGAGTACATTCCTGGGTTATACGAAAGAGCATTTATAGCATGAGTTTTCATTGTTTTCTATTTAATTGTTTATTTTGTTTTTTTTGAGATGGAATCTCACTCTTGTCGCCCAGGCTGTAGTGCAGTGGCGTGATCTCGGCTCGGTGCAACCTCTGCCTCCTGGGTTCAAGTGATTCTTCTGCCTCAGCCTCCTGAGTACCTGGGATTACAGGCGCCTGCCATCATGCCTGGCTAATTTTTGTACTTTTAGTAGAGACGGGGTTTCGCCATGTTGGCCAGGCTGGTCTTGAACTCCTGACCTCAGATGATCCGCCCATCTCGGCCTCCCAGAGAGCTGGGATTACAGGCGTGAGTCACCGCACCTAACCTAATTGTTTATTTTCTAATGTTAAAAATATAGATCAGTGGTAGTTTTGGCTGGGGCCTAAGTATTTTTCTAAAGCACCCCGTGGGATTCTGGTGTAAACTCAGTTTTGACATCTTGTAATGTGGTATACCTCCTTAAGTTTGAGTGAGGAAACTGAAGCTCAATCTAGTTGTCAAGGAGCTAAGATAAATAGTGGGATATTGGATGGGTCACTACGGAATCCCAAAAGAAAGTAAGGACTGTGATAAGACAAATCTCCCTTAGTTTTCCCTCTGTACTTTAATTCTGCTTTTTTAGATGTTGATAAAGATAACATATACTCATTTCAGAAATTCATATATGGCACAGAGCTGTAAAAGAAGATGCAAAATTCCCTAAAACCAAATCACTAATAGACAGCCACCATCAAATCTTGGTAAATACCCATCCAGATCTCTACTGAAATATATATGCAATTACGACTTTGTGCCAGCAATTCTCTAGTTTATACCTGTGACTCAAACCTCTGTTCTCCACTCCAGATGTATTATACACATGCACCTATACGTATATGTGTGGATGTGTGTGTGTGCTTGTGTATGTATATGTGTGTGTGTACATACTTACATATCACTGCTCATTCAATATCTTCCTTAGGATATTAGTCAGTGTCTCAAATTTAAATGCCTATAACCATATTCCCAATATCCCTCCATAAATCTGCTTCATCCAGTTTTTTCCCATATTATTTGATGAAAACTCTGTCCTTTATTATTCAAGCCAAATGCCCTGGAGTTATTCTTGATTTCTCTTTTTCTCATACCTTATAACCAATTCATCAAGAAAATCTATGGCTTTATCTTTAAAATGTGTTTATACACATCAAATGGATGGATGGATACAGATACGTAATTTTTCATAAATGGGATTGCATAGTAGATTCTATTTTGTAATCTAGTTTTTTCACTCAGTGTATCAGGAAGATGCTTTCTTATTTAAAAAATGTACATTTTATATGCATACTTTATCATTTTATAAATGAATATGTATACATTATCCTTGAAGTAATTAATGATCCCTGGATGGTAAGTCACTGACTAGATGTGACATACTTAGTTTAATCAGTTCTTTCTTGGTGTGTGTTTCTACTTTCTCAAGATGATAAGCAGTGTTGTAATGAGCAATCTTGTATCTTTATCCTTGTGCACTTTTTCAGTTATCTGTTTAGAATGGGAGCATTGTGGCCATTTTAAACTCAATTGGTATTGCCAGATTGCCCTCCGGAAAAGTTGTACTAGTTTATTCTGTGCCATCCGTCAACAAGGATTGCCTACACCCTGTCCAACAATAGAGCCTCTTGCCTTGAGTATTATAATCTCTGGGCTTCATGATAGAAAATTACAAGGTCAAAGGCTGTCTGAGACAGGAAACAGAAATGAGTGACTCTGGAAATGTAATAACAGGGAGTGGTGAATTAAACATTACTTGTCCCTCCCCAAAAGCAGTCAGGTTTTTTTTGGTTTTTTTTTTTGAGACGGAGTCTTGTTCTGTCGCCCAGGCTGGAGTGCAGTGGTGCGATCTCCACTCACTGCAAGCTCCACCTCCCGGGTTCACACCATTCTCCTGCCTCAGCCTCCCGAGTAGCTGGGACTACAGGTGCACGCCGCCACACCCAGCTAATTTTTTGTATTTTTGGTAGAGACGGGGTTTCACCGTGTTAGCCAGGATGGTCTCGATCTCCTGACCTTGTGATCTGCCGGCCTCGGCCTCCCAAAGTGTTGGGATTACAGGCGTGAGCCACCGCACCTGGCCGCATTCAGGTTTTAAAAAATATAAAACAGTATGCCAGCTAAATATATCTGGTAGGTGGAATTCAGAGGCTAGATAAGACAGCAGTCCTTTATAGGTGTAACTAACAAATTCTCCTCTAACAGAAACAGGTTTATAATGAGATTCTAGTAGATTAAGCACTGCAAGTTTATATAGGCTGTGTAATAGGCATTTTAGTAAAAGTCTTCATAGTGAATAGGACTAAAGTGAATAAGATGTAGAACTGAGGCGTGAAAGATTTGTTATGGCATTTTAAGCTCTTTGATAGCAGGAACTATTTCATATAGACCTCTAAGAATGTTTATGATATATATATATATATAGTATATATCATATATATTTATATATATTTATATATATAATATCTCATATATATTTATATATATATATATCTCATATATATATATTCAGTTTTAAGAAAAGAATCTTAGGGAAAAAACCTGAATTTTTATTCTTATGTTGTACCTATTATTTTTAGCCATATGTTTGTTCTCATGTCTAGCATGATTAAACTGTGGATTCCATGATTGTTCGTACAAGTTTTTAGTGAATTTTAGATCTTTCAAGTAATACTTAAACTGTTAAACATAGATGGTTCATAATTAAAGACATATATTAAACTCTGTTTTGTCAACTTTCATATACATTTTCTTGATGTAACCATTGCTGCATTCTTTATAATAACAGCTGCTTCATTGAGAGAATCAGACCAGCAGAGAGAGAGAGTTATATGACAAAATATGCTGAGGATAAAATATTGACAAATAAAGAAGATTTGTTAGAAGGGCCTTTTATACTCGTTTGTGTTTTAAATAAGAGACTCGGGCCGAAAACAAGTTTAAGATAAGATCTGTATCATTGTATTTTACTCTAAAAACTCCTAAGTGGTTTGGTTTTTAGATGAAAACCTCTATAATGAGCAAAAGTCCATTCCAATTTTCCACTTCTAAGTTCCTCTTAATTAATCTTAATTATTGGTTGGGGAATGAAGTGTCTTTGATAGTCTATTATTCTTCCTTCTAGTGTTATAAAAATTCTTAAGTGAATGTGTAAAACATTGGCATTCTGTAAAACATGATTAGCATTAAAATTAAGCTAAAGATAATGTGGTTTTTCTTGATGATTGGGAGGTCACTCAGGATTTTTCTGAGCATTTTTATAGAATACACATCATAGTTAATTAAAAATTCCAGTTAATGCAACATCTTATAATGGAATTTATTGTATATCACTATTTAAGAAACAGCTTAGTTATATAATATTTTTGATAATTGCCAAAATACACTTTTTTTGAAAAAAGACATTTGGAATTGTTTGAAAAACTATTTACCTTCTATAATCATTTTCCTAAAAATACTACATTGGAAATTGAAAAAACAAAAGATATCAAATATAATGAATATTTATTCAAAAAGATTACAATGTGATTTTCTTTTTCTAGTTTCTCAACTCATTGGATGCTAAAGAAATATATTTGGAAGTAATACATAATCTTCCAGATTTTGAACTACTTTCGGCAAACACACTAGAGGTAATGTTTTTATTAATAATGATAAGTAGCAATGAATGTTCGTAACATTTCAGGTCTTAACATTTTAAAATTAGCATTTGTTTTATTCATCTCTAGAGAGAATTGAAAGTAGCAGTTTCAAAGGATTATATATTAGTCAATTGTAGGTTAAATTCTAATTGGATATCTGGTGTTGCTAATTCAGGATGGATCTGTAGTTCTGGAAAACCTACTCAGTCCTGAAGGTGGGCTTCAAAAGGAACATCAGAAAAGGCAGAATTTTAATCAGAGCAACTTTGGGTCTGATTCATAACTTTTTGTTCTTGCTTACAGAACGGATTATATTGATTACTAAGAAGAAGTATTCAGTTTATGGATAGAATGCTGAGAAATATTGCTTGTGGTAGAATCAGTTTTTTTTCCTATTAGGTTGGTGCAAAAGTAATTGCAGTTTTTGCCATTTGAAAGTAGTGGCAAAAACCACAGTTACTTTTGCACAAAACCAAATACTTCCTAACCACAGATCTTTTGAAGTCTGTATCACTACGAGATCTTATGTGCTAAGCCTGAAAAAGCTGACAACTTTGCCACCCAACTTTTTAGCTATATGCTGTTAAAATCATGTATTTGTTTTTGGCAGTCATCTACTTTAAGATTTTATAATTTAGTGACTAACCCTCCTGTAATATTTGTTGATTTTACATAGCATTATTCTAAGTAAACTACAAAATAAGAGAATGAGTGGGTCCGAATTTTAGACAGTATTTTGAAATAATGGGTAGGGGAGCTAAAACTAACTTCAAGTCATAGAAATGAAGATTAGAACCCTTAGAATTTCCCATCTCTGACATTTTGTTTTCTTTATCACTTTTAAGGATCGTTTGGCTCATCATCGGTGGCTGTTATTTTTTCATTTTGGAAAAAATGAAAATTCAAATGATCCTGAGCTGAAAAAACTAAAAACTCTACTTAAAAATGATCATATTCAAGTAAGAAAAATGTATTCTGCCTAGCCTTCTGCTGGTGTACTTTGTTGTTAATTTAATGCATATAATTAAATTTTAAATAACATAAAAACTCTTATTTGAAATTATAAGAAGCCTATAAGTGCTTTTAGTCTTGGTTTGTGCTTGCTTTTCCTCTTTTTTATTAAAAGTTTATATGTAATCTGAAAGTGGTTAATTTTCACTTATTTTGGCATTTGATAAACCTGTATCATACAATTTTTCTGGAATGCATACTGTAGGAGGTTATCTTTCCATTTTTTAAATTCTTATTTCTTTATATAAGTAATTCTTGGTCGTTGTTTAAAAATCAGGACAATAAATAAGTACAAAAATAAAGCAATTATCTAAAAAAATCACCCATACTCTTAACATTGTTCATAACCCTGCTATGTATTTACTCTATATAACCATTTAAACATTTTGTGAGTGCCCATATGCATATGTAGGCATATGTATATGTGTGCACATGCATACATATTGTAATGGCCATTGTAATAGACATACACGTGTAAATTTATATGTCTGTGTTTTAATCAAAATGGATTCACTGTATGCTTTTTTTTTTAACTTCTGTCATACAACAATATCATAAACTTTTTCACAGACCTGTAAAAATGCATATATATTTATATGGATATAAAATCTCTATATCCATGTACACATGTATATCCTCCTTATTCCCTAAAGGCTACATAGTGGCTTACTATATGGTTATGCCATAATTGTTTAGGAAATCCTCTCTTACTGATTTTATGTTGTTTCCTTTATTTTTTATATCAAACGATGCAGAACTTGTCTTTAATATGGGAAATTTTCTTCTCTTTTCTTTTGAGACAGAGTCATTCTGTCACCCAGGCTGGAGTTCAGTGGCGTGCTCTTGACTCACTGCAACCTCAGCCTCATGGGTTCAAGTGATTCTGGGTTCCAGTGATTCCCTCCAGAGTAGCTGGGACTACAGGCGCATGCCACCAAGTCCGGCTAATTTTTGTACTTTTAACAGAGACTGGATTTCTCCATATTGGCCAAGCTGGCCTCGAACTCCTGACCTCAGGTGATCCACCCACCTCAGCCTCCCAAAGTGCTGGGATTACAGGCGTGAGCCACCACACCTGGCCACATGGGAAATTTTCAACTCAAGGTTATGTTTTCTTAAATGGTTTTTATTCTCATTACTAGAGTCCTCCAGAAAGTTTTATCAGTTTATAATCTCACTGACAGCACGTGAGTGGCCATTTCTCCACGCTGTGCCCACCATGGTACTATCGTTCTTTATAATCTTCACAATTCCGATAGGCCACAAGTGATATGTTAACAATATTCACTTTCATTTAATTGCTTTCAACTGGTCGGGGAAAAATACTTTTTCATGATTATTAACAAATCATAATTGTTCTCTAGTTAATTTTCTCTTTATATCTGTGGCCCATTTTCTTTTTTCTGATGGGATGTTTGTCCAGCTTTTTCTTTGTTTTTTTTTCTTTTTTTTTAATGCAGTGTAGTGTCACTCTGTCAGCCAGGCTGGAGTGCAGTGGTGCGATCTCGGCTCACTGCAACCTCCGCCTCCTGGATTCAAGCAGTTCTGCTGCCTCAGCCTCCCAAGTAGCTGGGACTACAGGTGCAAGCCACCATGCCTGGCTAATTTTTGTATTTTTAGTAGAGACGTGGTTTCACCCTATTGGTCAGGCTGATCTCAAACTCCTGACCTCAGGCAATTCAGCTACCTCAGCCTCCCCAAGTGCTGGGATTATAGGCATGAGCCAATGCGCCTGGCCCTTCTTGTTTCTTAATGGATCTTCTCTCTTAAATGCCACAGATTTGTTCCTGGTTTATATTTGGCTGTTGTGCTTACGCTCTTCTTTTTCACACTCTTTGAAAACATCACTTTTTTCTTCATTATTTCTGCTTCTGAAAGTGATCTCTCCTCTATCTCAAGATTATATAAACATTCTCTACATCTTCAAAAAGTAGGTTTCTGGAATAACTTCATATTTTCTTGGGAATTCCTCAGGTTTTTTTTAACTCTCTAGGAAGCATTTTTTTAACTAAATTGAGTCTTAATATTAAATGTAAATGAATTATTTCTGTCTCTTATTTTCGTAGCCTATTAGCTTCTGTTTAAAAACTGTGTCATTAGGGCAGTGCCATTTTTGGATTATCATGAATATTTACAAATCAAATGGGTAAGACAGTGTTTTTATCAAATTTGACCTTTTTCTCCTTTAGGTTGGCAGGTTTGACTGTTCCTCTGCACCAGACATCTGTAGTAATCTGTATGTTTTTCAGCCGTCTCTAGCAGTATTTAAAGGACAAGGAACCAAAGAATATGAAATTCATCATGGTAAGAATGGAAAAAAATGATAAAAAAAAACTTAGCTTCATTTTCAAATAGAAGTTTTCTAATTGTGCTTTTTAAACTTATTTTTTACGGACATGCTTATTGTAAATAACTTTTCTCAGTAAATATGAGGACAGATATTTTGAATTATATGTAGTCACTTTATTCTCTTTACCCTTCTTTTTAACATGAATGCCTTTTCTCTATTCAGTATTTTGATCAGGATTTCTGGTGATAAGTCAAGCTAGTGAGAAATTTAAGTCCTGCTTGTTTGCAAAAGTAAGCAACACCTGCAGTTTATATTCCAGCTTGCCATGTGTATCATCTCAGCCATTATAGGCAATTTCCAAACATTCTTTTGGATGTTTCTCCCACTAGACTTCCAGACTTCTTCATTAACTGCCTTGTTATCTTTCTTGCATTTATAATTTTATTTCAGCTTATTTGGGACTTTAGCTCTGCATTCATGTGAGTGCAGTCTCAATTCCAAGAGTTTGGACTACAGCAGAGTCCTTGTCCTGAAAGAGGTCAAATATAGCAAAAGAAACACACAGACTACCAACTACCATGCAGTTAAGTGAACAACAGATACCGATGAAATGCCCATTAGCACCTAGCACTGCTTTCAATGTTGAGGATATAAATTTGTAAGACATGAACTCCTTCAAGAAGTTTAAAATAGTGTAGCGGGGAACAGAGGAGGGAGATCCATAAGAAAACAAAAAATACTTTAATGGTCATTGTATATTAATGACAACAAGATCAAATAGATTTCTGCATAGTAGAGGTCAAGAAGTGGTATTTGAATTGAGCATAAAGTGCTCAATTTCCCCAAGCAACTATAGGGGAAAAGAAGTGAGACCTCTAGGCTGGAGGAACTTTGGGGTAAGATAACCCTCACAGTAACTACTGTTTATTCACTGCTGTCTCCAAGTCAGACATTCTGCCAGAAGCCTTGCATACGTGATTCATTTTTATCTTTACAACAGCCCAGTGAAGGAGAAAATGGAGACTCAGAAAGGTTAAGTAACTTGCCCTATGACAGACATACTAGAAACTAGCCATGGTAGATTTTGAATCCAAATTTGTCTGACTCCAAAACCTAGGCTAATAGCCGTTAAACTATACCATGCACTAAAAGTGCTAGAAATGACTAAGTTTTAATAATGGAATAATACTCTTTTTTATCTCTGAAATAGTTCTCAGACCCCCCCTCTTCTCTTCTCTGTGCTTACTGCTTTGTTTCAGGCCCATCATCGCCTTCATCTATGATAGTATTATCCTCTGGGAGGATTGCTTATCTCCTAGCCTTTCTTCCTTAAAATCAATTCCTTGTTGTGTTTGCAGTTATTACCCATTCTTGTGTCACTTTTCTGCCTTGACTTACCTTATTTCTTATAGCATAAGCGTCAGATTCCTTAGCATAGAAGCAATAATCTCATCTGTTTTGCTCACTGCTCTATCTCCAGCACCTAGAATGGTGTCTGGCACATAGTAAGAACTCAGGAAATGTTTGTTAAGTGGATAGGGTATGTTCACAGTCTGGCTCTGCCAGTTTTTCCAGTCTTAATTCCCACTGCTGCCCCTCCAGATAGTCTTAGCTCCAGCTACCTTTGGATGTTTGTGAATGCCATGTTCTTTCACTCCTCTGTGCCTTCACACGATTTTTCCTCCTGCATTATAATCACTCCTTCCTGTTCCACAGAATATTTAGCAAACTCCAAATTGCCTTTCAAAACTTAAAGCAGCTTCTTCCCTGGAAAATATATTATGAATCTCCAAGCACTTCCTTTTATGTGCTCTTACTAACTTTGTAATAGAACTTACATTGTTTCTTTGGATTAAAATAGTTATTGAGCATCTGCATGTACCAGGTACAGTACTGAGGAATAGGAAAAAATGTGAACTATACTTAGTAATCTCTAATACAAAGAACATTGTGGACTATTAGGGAAAACAGACAAGTAAACTAACAAATTTTTATTTTTTTTTTTTATGGACAAGTTTTTTTTTTATTTGAATTTTTTTTTAATTTATTATTATTATACTTCAAGTTTTAGGGTACATGTGCACAATGTGCAGGTTAATTACATATGTATACATGTGCCATGCTGGTGCGCTGCACCCACTAACTCGTCATCGAGCATTAGGTATATCTCCCCATGCTATGTCTCCCCACTCCCCCCACCCCACAACAGTACCCAGAGTGTGATATTCCCTTCCTGTGTCCATGTGTTCTCATTGTTCAATTCCCACCTATGAGTGAGAACATGCAGTGTTTGGTTTTTTGTCTTTGCGATAGTTTACTGAGAATGATGATTTCCAGTTTCATCCATGTCCCTACAAAGGACATGAACTCATCCTTTTTTATGGCTGCATAGTATTCCATGGTGTATATGTGCCCATTTTCTTAATCCAGTCTATCATTGTTGGACATTTGGGTTGGTTCCAAGTCTTTGCTATTGTGAATAATGCCGCAATAAACATACGTGTGCATGTGTCTTTGTAGCAGCATGATTTATAATCCTTTGGGTATATACCCAGTAATGGGATGGCTGGGTCAAATGGTATTTCCAGTTCTAGATCCCTGAGGATCTAGACTGACTTCTACAATGGTTGAACTAGTTTACAGTCCCACCAACAGTGTAAAAGTGTTCCTATTTCTCCACATCCTCTCCAGCACCTGTTGTTTTCTGACTTTTTAATGATTGCCATTCAAACTGGTGTGAGATGGTATCTCATTGTCATTTTGATTTGCATTTCTCTGATGGCCAGTGATGGTGAGCATTTTTTCATTTGTTTTTTGGCTGCATAAATGTCTTCTTTTGAGAAGTGTCTGTTCATGTCCTTCGCCCACTTTTTGATGGGGTTGTTTTTTTCTTGTAAATTTGTGTGAGTTCATTGTAGATTCTGCATATTAGCCCTTTCTCAGATGAGTAGGTTGCGAAAATTTTCTGCCATTCTTTAGGTTGCCTGTTCACTCTGATGGTACTTTCTTTTGCTGTGCAGAAGCTCTTTAGTTTAATTAGATCCCATTTGTCAATTTTGGCTTTTGTTGCCATTGCTTTTGTTGTTTTAGACATGAAGTCCTTTCCCATGCCTGTGTCCTGAATGGTAATGCCTAGGTTTTCTTCTAGGGTTTTTATGGTTTTAGGTCTAATGTTTAAGTCTTTAATCCATCTTGAATTAATTTTTGTATAAGGTGTAAGGAAGGGATCCAGTTTCAGCTTTCTACATATGGCTAGCCAGTTTTCCCAGCACCATTTATTAAATAGGGAATCCTTTCCCCATTGCTTGTTTTTCTCAGGTTTGTCAAAGATCAGATAGTTGTATATATGCGGCGTTATTTCTGAGGGCTGTGTTCTGTTCCATTGATCTATATCTCTGTTTTGGTACCAGTACCATGCTGTTTTGGTTACTGTAGCCTTGTAGTATAGTTTGAAGTCAGGTAGTGTGATGCCTCCAGCTTTGTTCTTTTGGCTTAGGATTGACTTGGCAATGCGGGCTCTTTTTTGGTTCCATATGAACTTTAAAGTAGTTTTTTCCAATTCTGTGAAGAAAGGCATTGGTAGCTTGATGGGGATGGCATTGAATCTGTAAATTACCTTGGGCAGTATGGCCATTGTCACAATATTGAGTCTTCCTACCCATGAGCATGGAATGTTCTTCCATTTGTTTGTATCCTCTTTTATTTCCTTGAGCAGTGGTTTGTAGTTCTCCTTGAAGAGGTCCTTCACATCCCTTGTAAGTTGGATTCCTAGGTATTTTATTCTCTTTGTAGCAATTGTGAATGGGAGTTCACTCATGATTTGGCTCTGTTTGTCTGTTGTTGGTGTATAAGAATGCTTGTGATTTTTGCACATTGATTTTGTATCCTGAGACTTTGCTGAAGTTGTTTATCAGCTTAAGGAGATTTTGGGCTGAGACAATGTGGTTTTCTAGATATACAATCATGTCGTCTGCAAACAGGGACAATTTGACTTCCTCTTTTCCTAATTGAATACCCTTTATTTCCTTCTCCTGCCTAATTGCCCTGGCCAGAACTTCCAACACTATGTTGAATAGGAGTGGTGAGAGAGGGCATCCCTGTCTTGTGCCAGTTTTCAAAGGGAATGCTTCCAGTTTTTGCCCATTCAGTATGATATTGGCTGTGGGTTTGTCATAGATAGCTCTTATTATTTTGAGATATGTCCCATCAATACCTAATTTATGGAGAGTTTTTAGCATGAAGGGTTGTTGAATTTTGTCAAAGGCCTTTTCTGCATCTATTGAGATAATCATGTGGTTTTTGTCTTTGGTTCTGTTTATATGCTGGATTACATTTATTGATTTGCGTATATTGAACCAGCCTTGCATCCCAGGGATGAAGCCCACTTGATCATGGTGGATAAGCTTTTTGATGTGCTGCTGGATTCAGTTTGCCAGTATTTTATTGAGGATTTTTGCATCAATGTTCATCAAGGATATTGGTCTAAAATTCTCTTTTTTGGTTGTGTCTCTGCCCAGCTTTGGTATCAGGATGATGCTGGCCTCATAAAATGAGTTAGGGAGGATTCCCTCTTTTTCTATTGATTGGAATAGTTTCAGAAGGAATGGTACCACTTCCTCCTTGTACCTGTGGTAGAATTCGGCTGTGAATCCATCTGGTCCTGGACTCTTTTTGTTTGGTAAGCTATTGATTATTGCCACAATTTCAGCTCCTGTTATTGGTCTATTCAGAGATTCAACTTCTTCCTGGTTTAGTCTTGGGATAGTGTATGAGTCGAGGAACTTATCCATTTCTTCTAGATTTTCTAGTTTATTTGCGTAGAGGTGTTTGTAGTATTCTCTGATGGTAGTTTGTATTTCTGTGGGATTGGTGGTGATATCCCCTTTATCATTTTTTATTGCATCTATTTGATTCTTCTCTCTTTTTTTCCTTATTAGTCTTGCTAGCGGTCTATCAGTTTTGTTGATCCTTTCAAAAAACCAGCTCCTCTTTCTGCTAGCTTTTGAATGTGTTTGCTCTTGCTTTTCTAGTTCTGTTAATTGTGATGTTAGGGTGTCAATTTTGGATCTTTCCTGCTTTCTCTTGTGGGCATTTAGTGCTATAAATTTCCCTCTACGCACTGCTTTGAATGCGTCCCAGAGATTGTGGTATGTTGTGTCTTTGTTCTCGTTGGTTTCAAAGAACATCTTTATTTCTGCCTTCATTTTGTTATGTACCCAGTAGTCATTCAGGAGCAGGTTGTTCAGTTTCCATGTAGTTGAGCGGTTTTGAGTGAGATTCTTAATCCTGAGTTCTAGTTTGATTGCACTGTGGTCTGAGAGATAGTTTGTTATAATTTCTATTCTTTTACATTTGCTGAGGAGAGCTTTACTTCCAAGGGTGTGGCCAATTTTGGAATAGGTGTGGTGCAGTGCTGAAAAAAATGTATATTCTGTTGATTTGGGGTGGAGAGTTCTGTAGATGTCTATTAGGTCTGCTTGGTGCAGAGCTGAGTTTAATTCCTGGGTATCCTTGTTGACTTTCTGTCTCGTTGATCTGTCTAATGTTGACAGTGGGGTGTTAAAGTCTCCCATTATTAATGTGTGGGAGTCTAAGTCTCTTTGTAGGTCACTCAGGACTTGCTTTATGAATCTGGGTGCTCCTGTATTGGGTGCATATATATTTAGGATAGTTAGCTCTTCTTGTTGAATTGATCCCTTTACCATTAGGTAATGGCCTTCTTTGTCTCTTTTGATCTTTGTTGGTTTAAAGTCTGTTTTATCAGAGACTAGGATTGCAACCCCTGCCTTTTTTTGTTTTCCATTTGCTTGGTAGATCTTCCTCCATCCTTTTATTTTGAGCCTATGTGTGTCTCTGCACATGAGATGGGTTTCCTGAATACAGCAGACTGATGGGTCTTGACTCTTTATCCAATTTGCCAGTCTGTGTCTTTTAATTGGAGCATTTAGTCCATTTACATTTAAAGTTAATATTGTTATGTGTGAATTTGATTTTATGGACAAGTTTTTAAAAGTGTTTGCAGTGGAGAGTATTTATTGTCTATTGCTTAGTAGTAAATTACCCCAAAACTCAGTGGTTTAAAACAAACATGTATTAATTCACAGTTTTTCGTGGTCAGGAATCTGAGAAAAATTTAGCTGGGTAGTTCCAGACACGGATTTTCTCATGAGGTTGCATTCAAAATATGCAAGGGCTGTGGTCATCTGAAGTCTAGACTGGCTACAGGGTCTGGTTCCAAGCTTACTTTTGTGATTGTCAGGAGGCCTAAGTTCCTCACTGGCTGTTGGCAGAGGCCTCAGTTCCTCATCATGTGGGCCTTTGTAGGGCTGCTCTCAATATGGTAGCTAGCTTCTGTGATAGTAACAGAGATGAAGAGAAGTAGATTTGTAAAAGACCAAGAATGCAAAGTCAGTATTACTTGGTGACTGATGAGATGTGTGGGAGGTCAAGAGAGAGAGAGAGAGTCAAGAATAATACCTATGTTTCTGACTTGACGAAATTGCAGTTGAGTGATTGTACCGTTCAATGTAAGTGGACTGTGGTAGCAATGTAGAAAATGGATTAGTTAAGGAAGACTGGGTGAAGAAACACTAGCTAGGTTATTGCAGAAGGCCAGACTGAGTTCAGGCAGTAGCAATGGGTTGGAAATGGTAAGAGATGGAATGGATAGAATTATTATGATACAGGGCAGAGAAAGAAGTCAAGGCTCACTCTGGGGAATTATATTTAGGCACCTAGTGGATAATTATGTTATTGCCAAGATAAGGTTGGTGAGAAAAGGAGCAGGTTTGGAGGAAAATAACACAGCCTCAATTTGAATATATTGCCATGTGTCAACGACAGAGACGTCTTCTGAGAAATGTGTCATTAGGAGATTTCATCCTTGTACAAACATCAGAGAGTGTACTTAAAAAAAACTAGATGGTATAGTCCACTACACATCTAGGCTATACAGTATAGCCTATTGCTCTTAGGCTACATCTGTACAATGTGTTACAATGTACTGAATACCATAAGCAACTGTAACACAGCGGTAAGAGTTTGTGTATCTAAATGTATCTAAACATAGAAAAGGGGTAATGTGTTGCACTACAGAGTTACAACAGCCACACCATCACTGAGCCATAGGAATTTTTCAGCTCCATTATAATCTTATGGGACCCCATCATATATGTGGTCCACCATTGCCTGAAATGTCATTATGCAGGACTGTATTGTGTTTGACGTGTTTACGTGATATCCAAGTACAGTTTTTCACTGGGCAGTTGGTAATATGGGTTTTGAATTCATAAGAGAAGTCTAGGTTGTAGAAAATGATTTAGGAGTTAGGCCATAGTAATCACTGAAGTAAGCATAATTAATTTAAAGAACCCTATAAAAAAGTCATTATTCTACCTCTGAAGATGAGGGAACATTTCAAAGAGATTTTGACTTTTTTTTTTTTTTTTTTTTTTTTTGAAATGGAGTCTCACTCTCACCAGGCTGGAGTGCAGTGTCGAGATCACTGCTCACTGCAACCTCCACCTCCCAGGTTCAAGCAGTTCTCCTGCCTCAGCCTCCTGAGTAGCTGGGACTACACACGTGGCCACCATGCCCAGCTAATTTTTTGTATTTTTAGTAGAGACGGGGGTTTCACCATGTTGGCCAGGATGGTCTCGATCTCTTGACCTCGTGATCTGCCCACCTCGGCCTCTCAAAGTGCTAGGATTACAGGCGTGAGCCACTGCACCTGGCCAATTTTGACATTTTTAACTAGTCCAGGAAACAGAAGAGTGTGCAAGAAAAGGGTGCTCCTATCAGAGCTAAGCCCTGTATAGTATACAGCACACTAAAACCTCACCAAAATCAATTTGTTCATAATTTATCTTCTTTAGTATTCTGAGTATTAAAACTTTGAAATGTCTCTGTGCATACAAAAAGCAGAATTTGGATTTGAATTTCTCTCATTCACTTTGAAAGGAAAGAAGATTCTATATGATATACTTGCCTTTGCCAAAGAAAGTGTGAATTCTCATGTTACCACGCTTGGACCTCAAAATTTTCCTGCCAATGACAAAGAACCATGGCTTGTTGATTTCTTTGCCCCCGTAAGTTATTTTTATCTGTCAGATTCTAACATTGTCAGATCTTCTCCTGTTATGGCAAAAAGACATTTTCTAGATAACTTTGAATCATTAGTACAAAAACTGTGTCATTCCATTATGGCCACTAATGCATATTGCTTTTAAATGAGTGCTAATGTAATTACTCCTCCAGGGAAGGTTTGCCGCTAAGTACAGTTTGTCTTACTTAGCATATTACTTGTTGCAGAAATGATGGGGGGGTTTTTTGTGTCATTTGGCTCGGTGCTTATGAATATTTTTTCTTTCCTAGTGGTGTCCACCATGTCGAGCTTTACTACCAGAGTTACGAAGAGCATCAAATCTTCTTTATGGTCAGCTTAAGTTTGGTACACTAGATTGTACAGTTCATGAGGGACTCTGTAACATGGTAAGGCAAAGTATCAAAAATTATTCTAATTAATTTTATAAAATGAAGACCTTTTGGCTGTTTATTATTAAAACATTAAAATAACTTAGAAATAATACATCTTCTATTTAGAGTAGTAACAAATTATTTAAACAAAATAATATTTTTAGAAAGTGGTATCAAATATGATTGGATTAAACCATGCATAGCTAATCAATGCATTGAATGTAAATAAGGTCTTATTTATCAAACTCAGGCAACTATTTTCATTAACTTCATAAAATGCTTATATGATTTTCCAATTATTGAAGATTGTTATATTTCTTTAATATTTTTGACATTTTATAATTTTTTTCCTTTGGCTTTCTTCATACTTCTAAGTATATTTGCTGGAAAGAAGTTAAAACAATGAACAAGCCTTTTGAAATCTTTGTTTAAATGAAATTATTTTCTCAGGTAAATATTCACTCCTCAGTTGCAGGAAGAACTAAAAATTATATACCGTAGAATGAAAGTACGTAATATCACGTATAAAATACTTTGGGCAAAAAAAAAAAAAAAATCAATCCTATAGTAGATCTATCTCCAGATCTATTAGTCTTTAGGAAATTGAATGACAGGGGAGCATGTTAAGTGACACCATGGATATGAAATCTGCACTTCCCAGTATGGGAGAACTTTACAGGACAAATACCCAGTATATACATTGTATATAGTGGAGGAGAGATTAAAAAGACTTAAAAGACTATCAGTCAAATACAACATTTAGACTTTGTTTGGATGCAGTTTAAACAAACCAAGTGCAAAGAAAGAGATAATTGGGGAAATGTGAACACTGACAAGATATCTGATGATTTCAGGTAATTATTGTTAGTTTTTGACAACAAAAATGATACTTTGGTTATATGGAGGGGAGTCCTTATATTTTAAATATACTGAAATATTTGTGGATGAAATTATAGATCATCTGAAATTTGCTTTAAAATGATCTTGGGAGTAGACTAGAAAGGGAGTATAAGTGAAGTAAAAGTAGCCATGAGTCAGTGATTATTGTAGCTATATGAATACGCGAGAGTTTGTTGCTCTCTACTTTTGTGAATGTTCTAAATAACTCATAAAAAATAAAATGTTTTTAAAGAACATAGATGGAGAAAAGATAAAGGGAAAAAAGAAATGGGAAGAGGAAGGAAAACAAAAGAAAGCCATACATTTTTAGAACATCACAGAAGTTTAAGCCAGCAGCAATGGCACATGCCTGTAGAAATTTCATTAAAATACATTTTTATAAAAGGAAATAAACAAGGCCTTTGGTTTTGAATGTTTTCTCTGTAACTTTGAAAGAAATGCCAACCAAAGATACAAAATTGATGTGATAAACAATAATTATCTTAATTTTAATTTCTTTAGTTTAGTTTTTTTTTTTTTTTTTTTTTGAGACAGAGTCTTGCTCTGTTGTCCAGGCTGGAGTGCAGTGGTGCAATCTCAGCTCACTGCAAGCTCCACCCCCCGGGTTCATGCCATTCTCCTCCCTTAGCCTGCCGAGTAGGTGGGATTACAGGCACCCGCCACCACGTCCGGCTAACTTTTTGTATTTTTAGTAGAGATGGGGTTTTACAGTGTTAGCCAGGATGGTCTTGATCTCCTGACCTCGTGATCCTCCCACCTCGGCCTCCCAAAGTTCTGGGATTACAGGCATGAGCCACTGCGCCCAGCCAATTTCTTTAGTTTTTCTACTTTTCATCTTAGCTCATTAAACATATGTGAGTTCAGTGTAAGGATTTAAAACTATGATATCGATTTACCTGGAATAGAGGCCAAGATTCACTACTCACCAATTAGTTGCCACTCACCAATTGGTTGACTTTGACCAAGTTACTTAGCCTCTCAGTAACTTAGTTTCCTAATTTATACAGTGGGTTTTATCATTTTAGCAACTAAGTATAATTGTTGTGAAGAATAAATGAGAAACTACATGTTAAATGCTAAAATAATGCTCAACACATAGTTAAATTTTAGCTATAATTGCTTTGTTAATCAGTGAATTATTTGAATTTGCACACATTTTTCAAGACTAATATAAATGTTTCCATTGTTTTTTCAAAAATTATTTTTGAATCCTGGTCAAAGATTCCAGTTTGCTAATGAGTACTTAAAACTTTAAGAGTGCAAAGTTCAGCTACAGCAAATCCACAGACAAGGATCTCTTTATAACTTTTTGAAAAATAAAAATAAAAGCTTTAGAGAGAGGCTTCCTGGGCTGGTGCCCATTTTAATTCTGAGAAGGAAATTAAGCATTTCCTACTATAAAGGCTATCTTGAAGAAGAATAAAAAGGGATTACATTCATAGGGCATGATTCATAATTCTTTAACCTAAAATATAATCATGTACCCCCTAATTATTTGTGTCTTTATTCTTGCTGTTTTATTTCCTGATCATCATCTATTTCTAGAAAAAGTATTTATTATGGTTTAAAAAAAAGACTCAAGCTAGAGATATAGCCTGTTGTTTATAGCCTCTTCTTACCTTGGTTCAGGAGAGTAAAAAGGGACCATTCGTATAATTACCCATGCCGATTTCTCAATGTTTCAATGCCTATGGTTCTCATGGCGAATGGAGCAGCTATAAATAAGGATCAGGTATTCATCAGTATTTAGCAGTATTCATCACCATAAGTCCTTTGCTAAATTTGGTGAGACTAAAATTTTTGTCACCAGAAATTTAGAAATGGGTTTTTAAAATCTTGTTCTTGTTACTTAAAGGCAAACTTGTTATAAATTTGTAACAAATAGGTGAAATCTATAAAATCTTTAATTCATATTCTCCTTCCTATCAGTATAACATTCAGGCTTATCCAACAACAGTGGTATTCAACCAGTCCAACATTCATGAGTATGAAGGACATCACTCTGCTGAACAAATCTTGGAGTTCATAGAGGTATTTCAGATTATAGACTATGTGACTAGAAATTTGTCTGTTTCTATGTAAACCCTGTATGAATGTTTCATATTGTTTAATAGGATTTACTCTTTTCATGCCCAAACTATTTTCTTACAAAATGATTTTTAAAGAATTTTTCTAATGTTTTACTCTTCTTATATACTTGTCTGTAAACTCAAAGTAAATCTGTGTTTTATTTGTTACCTGGTATGTACAGTGCCTTATAAACAATGGACACAATTATTTATTGAACATATGCAATGTATTTTCACCTTGTCACCCCTTTGCACTGTTTTCTCTGAAAACAAGTGTCTGGCATCTACAGCATCTTTTTTTTTTTTTTTCTCAGTAACACTCTTGATAGAAATACTTACAGGGGACTCCTAGAAAAAAAAAAAGAAAATTTCTAGTTTATTATTATCCATTTGATGACCCTCCAACCCTGTCCTACTCACCTGTTCCTCCTCCTCTGACGTAATGTTTTGTCTTGTTTTCCCAGTGAAGCTAGCCTCTTCATCAGTATTACCTGACTGTTGTAGGCTGAAGCTTTGTTAAAATATCATTTGGAACAAAGAATCTGTAGAAAGGTGTAGTATCTCCAGTCAGAATGTCAGAAAAATGAGATAGTAGGCTTTCCACTAGTAATTAAAGAATCATTTCCAAACCAGTCATTCTTGGTTCTAGAACAGAACTTTATGGCCTCTGTAGACATCCAGGCAGCCCTTGAAACTCTTTTATTATCCATGCAGAAACTTAAAGTTGCCTCTTTGCCTGTTATGATTTTAGTGATACATAGAGATAAAGGATAAATAGACCTTGATTTTTTACAAAACTAATGAGCAAAATCCAAACTTAAAAATCTAAGTTAGGTTTATTTTCATATTTTAAGATAATTCACATTGGATTTCTTTTAGCTATCCTTAAGCATCTTTTGGTTTCTCAAAAATGGGAACTTTCTAAAGGACATACACAGATTGAGCACCCCTAATCCAAAAATCTTAAATCTGAAATGCTCCAAAGTCTGAATTTCATGTTTAGACTTGGGTTTCATTCCCAAGATATATGCAAATATTCCAAAATTCAAAATTCTCAATACTTCCAAGTATTTTGGATAAGAGATACTCAACCTGTACCAACAATTTGCCAGGAATATATGAACAGCTATGCTTTATATATATGTTATAATGGAAGCTATATTCTCTTCAGGATCTTATGAATCCTTCAGTGGTCTCCCTTACACCCACCACCTTCAACGAACTAGTTACACAAAGAAAACACAACGAAGTCTGGATGGTTGATTTCTATTCTCCGTGGTGTCATCCTTGCCAAGTCTTAATGCCAGAATGGAAAAGAATGGCCCGGGTATAGTAAAAATAGTTTATTTTAAATCTTAACATTTACTAAGAATGTTTATTTAACAGAATTATTTTGAAACGGATGTGAATGAACCCACAACTAAATTATTACTTAATAACAGTACTGATCATACCACTTTGATTCCAGCTCTGTTTCTGTCTGGTGTGTGAATGGTATAGCCTACCATTTTTGTGTGTATAGCATCTGGTACACTTTTTTTTTTTGGTCGGGTAGCAGGGGGCAGAGTCTCGCTCTGGAGTGCAGTGGCGCAATCTCGGCTCACCGCAACCTCAACCACCCTAGTAGCTGGGATTACAGGCATGTGCCACCACGCCTAGCTAATTTTTGTATTTTTAGTAGAAACAGGGTTTTGCCATGTTGGCCAGGCTGGTCTTGAACCCCTGGCCTCAAGTAATCTGCCCACTTCTGCCTTTCAAAGTGCTGGGATTACAAACATGAGCCTCCGTGCCCAGTATATCCAGTACTTTTGACTAAACTGTTGCCAACAACAACCCAAAAATTTACCTCATATTTGTTTCAATTTTTTCTAATTTTTTTCCTGCTTTATTTTTAGAGTTTAAAAATATCATTTCCTGACATACTGTAGGACTTAAAAGTAAGAAAAAAAAGCTTTCAGCATGTGTATTTAGAAAATTTCCTGAAAATAGGCACCATGTTTTAAGTTGTAGAAGATTGGAAACAAATCACTTAAATACCAGAATGGAAAATGCAATTACTACTTCACATTTGTTTACAAGATAAAACACTAAATCTGAGTTAAAGTGATTTCTAGTATCTTAACATTTAGGATTACATATTTTTGTGCTCTTTTCAATAAAATTTTTAAGTTCAGGTGTGAGTCAGTATAACACATTAGACACCTACAAAGCTTGTTTTCATTGGAAAGAATACTTTGAAATATTGCAAAGACTTTCATTAGTTTCTAGCACTTTGAATTTTAGAAGTATATAGTTTTTTCTCATGTAACAGTTAAATGAAATAAATTGTTTAATCTGCAATAATTTTAGTAAGTACTTAATTACAAAATTAGATTACAAATTCATTAGTATAAATGGTCTATTATATGTTAAACCCTTATCCATTTTTATTGGGTAAAAGTCACTGATAAATAATATAATAACTGTTTCACCATAATAATACAATGCTTATTTCTTTATTGCAAACATATGTAAAAAGTTATGGAGGTAATCTGTTTTTTCTTTTACAGACATTAACTGGACTGATCAACGTGGGCAGTATAGATTGCCAACAGTATCATTCTTTTTGTGCCCAGGAAAACGTTCAAAGATACCCTGAGATAAGATTTTTTCCCCCAAAATCAAATAAAGCTTATCATTATCAGTAAGTATTCTCTCATATTTGAAGACATTTATTATAATTATTTAATTATACACTTAACAGTTAAGTTACCTGAACAAAATAAAAGTTAACCCAACAAATATTTATTGGGAGCCCACTACGTAAAGATAGTTTGTTAATGAACATTTCAGAAGATGAAAAGGGAGTATTGAACAGTCTCACTGTGCATAAAGCTTATAGTCTAGACAAAAAGATAAGGAAAGGAAGAGCTAACATTTATTAAGTCCTTAAACACCTTATTTGGTTTCAGGTACTATATTAGATACTTTACTCACCTTATTTCCAATAATCCTCACATATGCTCTGTGAACTAGGAATTACTACCCTTCCTACTATTACAGAGAAGTAAACTGTGATTCTCAGACCTTAGAATCCAAGGTCTAGGAGTTATCTAAGGCTTAGATAACTTCCCCAAGTCACACAGCTGCTAAGTTGAAGTTGAGGTTTGAACCCAAGTCTGTCTCAGCACCCATGCTGTTTCCACAACACCACGTGGTATTTCAGGTAGAAAACTCAAATGTAAGGTACATATGATGAATGTTATTAAACAAGTAAAAATGAACCATGGATTTCAAGAGAGGAAAGGGTCACAACTATGAGGAAATTATGAAAGGCTGCATTTTGTAGGTAGTTTTTGACATGTGTCTTTAAAAATGGGTAGGAATTTGACAGACAGTAATAACTTGAATAAAGATTCAGAAACTAAAACCCTTGGACATTCTGAGTTTCGCAATTCCCATAGGTCTACAGGAGATGTCCAGTAGACAGCTAGACATTCTGGGCTGTCTGGGGCACAAAGATACCAAGACTAGAGAAAAATACATTTGTGAGGCCTTATAACCAGAATTTGTAGCTAGGTATATTTGAGAAGAGAGATACCAGATGAAATCAATCAATATAACTTATTTTTTAAATTGCTACAATAAGATTGTTTTCTGAATACATCCAATAATAGAGAATCCTATTTACAACTAACATTTTTTCTTCTCTCAGCAGTTACAATGGTTGGAATAGGGATGCTTATTCCCTGAGAATCTGGGGTCTAGGGTGAGTAATTAAAATATATATCATTGTATAAAATAGATTCAAAGCCATTTACCCCCCTTTTATATCAATAGTTAAATTTACTGTGGGTTAAGGTTCTAGCATTTTAAATTACTTAGTAAAGTATTATATTAACCAAGATAGTACTGTACTTTATTACATTGCCCTTCCTTGACATCATTTTTAACTTAGAAAGTATTACAATATTATTGCATTTCATATGTTTGCTTTGGTTTTATATAATGAAAAATGATTTTGATCATTTGCCACAGATTTTTACCTCAAGTATCCACAGATCTAACACCTCAGACTTTCAGTGAAAAAGTTCTACAAGGGAAAAATCATTGGGTGATTGATTTCTATGCTCCTTGGTGTGGACCTTGCCAGAATTTTGCTCCAGAATTTGAGCTCTTGGCTAGGGTAAGTCATACCTGTCTTAAATAAGTTGTAGCCACATTCATGTTTTAGTAATTAGATAAAACATTGTAAGTATGTAATTTTTAGGTTTTTTTCTTAAATGTTTCCTCTGAATTTAAAAATAGCTATTATATTTCTATGACTGTAATGGTTGTAGTAGATTTCCTCTTTCTTTGTTAAAGCTTTTAGCTAACATCTTCTCTATCTTGGTAGACATCATCATCTACTAGCCATAAAAGCCAGAAACGTCTCTTTCTTCTCCCTCTTGTCTACTTTCTCCTCCCCACCCCAGTACTCTGTTGCCCTCCAGGCAGTTACTAGATTGTGTCAGTTTTATCCCCTAAATGTCTTTCAAATGTCATTTCTTATTCATCTCTACTGCTAACCTGTTTCTTCAACCCTTTATCATCTCTTGTCTAGACTTAACCATATTTGCCTTTTAAGTGCAGTCTTCCCTTGATATACTCAGGGGATTGGTTCCAGGAACCCCCATTCCATACCAAAATCTGTGCAGCTCAGGCCTCACAGTGGGCCCTCTGTATGCAGGGTTTCACATCCTATGACTATTCTGTTTTCCATCTGCAATTGCTTAAAAAAAAAAATTCCCAGTTCAAGCAGTTCAACACAGTTCAAGCCTTTGTTGTTCAAGAGTCATCTATGGTATTATACTGTCTACCTTTGTCAGTGCTGCCCTGGTGATCTTCTAAAATATTTCCCTCTCTGACTTACTAAGTTTCTTAATATGCATACATTGACTTCAGGTGTCTGATATGAGCTCTATCTCTATTGTCCACCTCACACCTTAGATTCCAGTGTAACAGAGTACTCCAGGTTCTCTGAACATGTGTCCTTATTTACATGCCGCTCCCTCTCTCTAAAATGCTCTGTCCTTACCTTGGTCATCTGTATTTTTTCTCCTCTTACTGCAAAACTCAGCTCCGATGGCACTGCTCTATTCTCTGCCCTTCTCAGTTAATCAGTGTCACCTGGATATGTTATCAAGTGTACTGATACAGTGCATATTAATTCTTTATTTATTATTACTTGAAAGATATTTAATTTGACCAGAAATAAAAGGAGCTGGATACCAATGGAAATAATTAGTTGTAGCAATTTTGGGTTTTGTTCGGTTGGTTGGTTTTATTTTTCGGTATAGCATTGTCCATCTTCCTTTGTAAATGGCTGTCTCTTCCTGAGGGCAAAGTCCATGTTTTATTTATTTTTATATCCTCAGGGCCTAACTCAGTAAATGCTTATATAAAATTAAACTGAATACATACCCTCAATGCAGTCTGAGCTTTTGGTGTTTCTTTCTGTCGTAACAGTCTTATTAGTGACCTAATCCAGATTGATAGCTTTCTTGCCTCCATAACTCGAGGAACTCTTGCCACTAGTGTTGGTATAAAACACTCAACTGGAATGAGAAAGTCAGCTCCAGTTCCACCAGTTCACACTAAAGCTTAGCATCCCAGGCCATGGGAATTTTTTAGCAGAGGGATTTTAAAGGTCTTACTAGCTATAAAAGATTATTTTTGTTATTAGCTGGTGCATCAGATAAGAGGTTTATTCTTTCCATTCTAATCTTCTTATGCTTCCTTCTGTAATAATTCTGCTTTACTCCATTTCTCATGTACTAAAAACTTTAGTTATAAACTTTGTAATGCAACTCTATATTGTATCTAGTAGAAAATTATTAAACATGAAAAAGACCATTTATTCAACAAATTTTAAGTACCAAATGAAAAGCCATTATGCTAAGTAGTAGGGCCACGTAACTCCACATGAAAGAAAAGGAAGATGAAAAGAAAGAAATTCCATGTCTTTAAGGAGATTTTAATCTAGTGGAAAGAGAAAATGGAAATAAATATAAGTAATACAAGATAATTGCTACAGTAAAATTAGAATGAAGCTGGAACAGGGGTAGAAGGGTGTCAGTGATGCCAGAGAAGGATGTTTAGAGCACCAGAAACAGTATGGTGCCATCTCATAAGTAATTGGAAATACAAGTAAGCAAATATACAAACATTTTGTAAATGACATAGACACTTACGAAATTAACATTTCTACATTTTTCTTACTTTCGGTATGCAAGTGTGTGTGTCTGCCTACATGCTTGTGCCCTAACACAAGTTAGTCTGCATTTTAGTAAACCCCTGCCTTGGGGACGAAACTAGAGGCAGCAAAGATATTTTAAGTGTCCTGAAGTGAGAGGTGATAACTTTAATCAGGATTAGGGCATTGGTGATAGAAAGAAGGGGACAAATACAAAAGACAGATAAGAATAAATAGGATTGAATGTGATAGATGAAGGATAGAGAGGAGTCTGGATGAGCCTAATTTCTGGCTTGAACTGAATGAATAGAACGAGGAAAAGTGGGTTCAGGGGACATGCTGTGTTTGGATGCTTATGCGGCATTCACCCAAAGCAGGCCAATGCGTGGTTAGATATGAAATCGAAGAGAATGATTGGGGTAC
The DNA here is from genome assembly GCF_000001405.40 of Homo sapiens. Lineage (NCBI taxonomy): Eukaryota > Metazoa > Chordata > Mammalia > Primates > Hominidae > Homo > Homo sapiens. Next base: position 182,761,780 of record NC_000002.12, read on the forward strand.
ATCAGCATATAGATATGTAAAACCACCTTGGGCACCTGTTCACAGTGAAAAGATTGTTGATCAAAGATGGAACTCTGATTGGATATTATAACTTGAGGGGCAGGTAAAGGAGATCCTCATGCTGGAAAAAGGAAGAACAGTCAGAGGGGTAAGAAAGCCAAGAGAGAGTAGTGATAAATGCTAAAAAAGAAAGAAAGGAGTGGTCAGCAGTAAACATCAGTTGCGCAATAAGAAGACCAAAAAGTGCCCAGTTTGGTCAAGCGGTCACTGGTGAACTTACAGCAGTTTCAGCAGAGGGAGCAGTAAGCACAGAAGACGACTAAAATGTTGCCAAATAAGCAGACAATGGGAAGCAGTGAAACAGTAGACTGCTGCTCAGGAAAAAAAAAAAAGAGAGAGAGCGTGAGAAGCACTATGACAGAGGAACCATAATCCAGGAAGGAATCCTTTCATGATTATATACATCTTCACTGGAGAATATGTGTTCTGACAGGGAGGGACTGGAGAATACAGGTGGAGTAAGTCAGCCTTCACGAGACAAAGAGTGCCCAAAGAGTCCTACCACAGCACACCCCCAGTGAAAGGAGAAAAAGATAGAAACAGAAACATGTTTATGGTATGATGTGCCAGTAGTGGGTGGCAGGAAGAAGTTGAGACATTGCAGGATAAAGCTGCTCAGTTTTCTTGATGAGGCAAAGGAGGGTTTATTTGCTGTTGGAGAGGTGGTGCTAGGTGAATAGGGGCTTAAAGGGATAATGTGGAAATAATCTTGTTTGAGTAGGAAGAATTAAAGTTTTTTAAATAAATTCTTAGATTCAAAATGTTTTATATCCTATTGCTTTGTTGTTGCCAAAATAGTTTATGCCAAACAGAAAATGGCAAACTGTATTTTTCTTTTTCAGATGATTAAAGGAAAAGTGAAAGCTGGAAAAGTAGACTGTCAGGCTTATGCTCAGACATGCCAGAAAGCTGGGATCAGGGCCTATCCAACTGTTAAATTTTATTTCTACGAAAGAGCAAAGGTATGTCCAGACTTTCCTCTGTTCCTTCCCTTAGTAGGCCAAGCTCAAAAGATGTGTTTCAGTCTGAGTAATGTTTTTTTTCTGTTTTCTCATCCTTGTCATTTTTTTATATTATTACATATTACTGATACAAGTTTTTAAAATTTACATGTATACCAAGCGATCTTAAAAGGTTTTTTGTCTTGTGGTTGATACAGACTCAATTGCCTTAACATTTTTATACTAATGAATAGGAAAACTACTAGAAAGAGACAAAAAAAGTATTATTCGTGATAATCTTTGAGTGCTGGAATTCAAGGTAATTTTCTACTTTTCTGTGAAAGGTTATGGTGACTGTTGAGGTCACTAAGAATACTCTATAATACACACTGCTGCTTGGAATAATATTTCCTTAGTATATTTCTATTCAGTATACTTTTTACTGAATAAGTTTCAAAGTAATGAGCTTCCTTTGTGGGGAGGAAAGAACAATGATAAAGTATTTGCCATGTACTCATGTTTTCTGGTAAAACATTAAAAATAGATAATTTCAAATATTTTTATACTTTTTGTCCAGAGCTTATAGCTTGCAGTGAATGCCAAGAATGAGTTCTCAGACAATTCCAGCTGAACGGGGGCAAGATAGCTCTTCTAAGAGAGTCCACCCCAGCATTCATCCGCACAGTATTTATTGAAAGGGCTTGTTAAACCACAAACATCCACTAGATGGCTTGAGGTCCAGTCGTGAGACACCTGTGGCCTTGTAAAAGCACTCAAACTGCATTCTCAGGAGGCTGTTTTTAGCGTTCCTTATCACACCACACACTCCACTCCTGTCCTGTTTTCGGGATCAAGGAATTTCATTCTCATGCACAAATAACATACACACAGTGCCTCAGTATTTTTCCATGCCCCGACCTCAAATGCCACGTACATAAGGTTGAATATATTGCCATGCTCCCCCGATGTCTCCCTCTTCTTTAATTCTTAGCACATGCTGGTCATCCAATGCAAGGTAAACTTCTATTGTTCTTCCTTGGTCATAGATACGTTGGGTGGCAGCACAGAGCCGTCTGCAAATGCCTAGCAAACAGATAAAAAAAAGAATAAGTACAACGGCCATCACCTAAATGCATATGTTTAACCCAGACAACCAAGTGTTGGGGTTTAACCAATGAAAACTTTCTTGTAATTGCTGAAGGGTACTTGTTTGTAGTTGCTGTGACTATTCTTCAAGTTGTTCAATTTACACTCAAGAGTGGAAATTTGAGAAGACAAATAGTCGTGATAAGCCCCTTGCAGATGTGCTTTCACTCTCTCCCAAGCATATTGGGAGCTATTATATGGCAGAGGTGTGACACAGAATTATATTGCCAATCACAATGTAAATTTTGACGGGTAATGAATGCCTGCTGCTGATCCCCTAGCCATTCAAAAGTGGCTTCAAGGGTCTCTAAGTGAGACAAAATAGTTTTATCAATATTTACCTATTCCTGAAATTCATGGGTTACATTATATACCATGTGGCTTATCACTGAGGCTGTGTGAATAGATTCTGTCAGAGAAGCAGTTGCAGTAGCGGCAGTTGCTAATATAATAATAGCTGAGAGTAAAAAGGCAACTGAAGTGGCCAGAAATCTTATTTTTCAAGTATGAGACAATGCTTTTCTAAATAGGTGCAGGGTGGAATCCTCTTCCTAGCTCCAAGTTAAATTTACAGGCAGCCACCATTCTGCATGCCATTTTAAGATCATGACACAGGTTATATTTAATTATGTAACGTTTTGATGAGAGAAGCATGTAGCATACCAACTACTGGAAGAGACTTTAATACTATAAAAGGATTGATTCTGCTCTATGTTAGGAACACCTTGCCGAAACAAAAGTATATAAGGGTGCATAGTACAAATCAAGACTATGTCGGTAACATTATTATGCAGAGAGAGGGTATAGTTGCCACCGCTAGTAATATACTCACCATGGGAAAGAACCCATTCAAAAAAAGGAAGTCCTAATCTCCAAATCTGGGTATGAGCATGGCTTAAAGCTTGTTTCCCTTTTACTTGTAATATTGGTCCTAAAAGCCCATACTCTGACCAGATGATAGAACTATTGGAGGGACTCCTAAATCCAATAGTCTGATCTGCAGACATAAGATTACCATGGGGACCCTAATCAAGTAAGGTGTCATTATCAAACAGAGGCTCTTGATGCAGCGCAGGCTGTTTGCATGGCGACCACTGGATGGCCTCACACTTATATCGCCAGTCCGTACTCAGACAGCATATAGGAAGATCAGGCACTTGTGTAGCTTCATTAGAGACCTCAGTAAGATTAGTGCTAACAGCAGACATAAAGGTCAAGTTTGCAAACTTAGTATCCCTTTGGGGCTGGTAATAAAGATACTCCTGAAGAATGAGAGTAACACACTTATCATGTGCTATTATGGGGAAAAAAAGGGGGATTACTAGACAATAAAATCAAGTAGTAATTAAGTTTAATCCATCCCAAATTTTCAGTTAAGGGGTAAGACAGGGGCATCTATCAACCTCCTGTCCCAAAAGTATCATTGGATGACAAAGGCAGGTCAGCATCCCACCATGTAATAACATTAAAAACGGGGATTTAAAACATGACTCCAATAAACATGTTCTTGAGCTGATCCCACTTGGCAAAGGACAAGAATTGCCAGCCACCCCAACATCCATGTTTGTCTTACTTTCTCAGAAGTTTCCCCAGTTACCACCAGATACTTAAGAAACCGATTCCATGCGGTTGCGAGGGCTTCCACAGCTGCAAGCCAAATAGATGCCTGTTGATTCAATTTCTTTAGCTGTCCCCAGGTAGTGTTAGGTGCCTTCCAAGTCATCACCTTCATTGTTGTGGTCGATTCTCTAACAACAGGTCCTGTTCTCGAAAAGAGAGCCCCATATTCCCCGTTTTTTGTTTAAGATATATATTAAGAGTTTGATAAGCTTGTTTAACAATGGCTTGACTAGTTGAGGTATAAGGAATACTAGTTTTGTGTTGTATGTGCTAAAGTTGCAATGCATATGCAAATCGAGCACTAAGCTAGCAAGGTCTATTATCAGGTTTTATAGTTTGTGGAAGGTTTAAAGTTATAATGGATTCAAATAAATGACCAATTGCATCTTTAGTTTTTTTTCTGGTCTGGGGGTAGCATGTATTAGGCCTGTGTAAGTGTACACGGTAACGTGGAGAAATTTAAAACGTTTAAAGGGTGGATACTGAGTAACATCAGTTTGCCAAATAGCATTAGGCACCAGACCTTGTAGGTTGGCACCAAGCCTTAAGGAAAAAGGGGAAAGAGAATGCTGTTGGCAATCAGGACAAGTTTTAATAATCATGCGAGCTTGAGCAAGTGTCAAATGAAACTGTTGTTTAAGAATCCAGGCGTTCTGATGAAAAAAATCATGATCAGCTGGACTCGCAAAAAAGCAGGAGAATCTGCAGACCACATCTATGGTCATACTAGAGCATCACCTTGAGCATTCTTTTCTGATAAGGGACCAGGTAGCTTAGAATGAGAGCGAATATGTATGATGTAAAGAGGGTGATGATGGGACCGAGGAGCTCTTGTGCTGGAAGAAACAAAGCTAGTAGGGGTTCATTAGTAATGCCCTTCACATGTGCAAGATTTAAATGAGTAATACTATACACCATGTAAGCAGAATCACTAACTATATTTATGTCTTGGTGAGGAAAAGTTGGTTGCATGCTGCCTTCTAGGTTTTATCTCAGATAGCTCTGGCTTTCTTGCTACCCACAGAGGCCTGGGGCAGGAGAGTTGCTAAGATGCAACTAACTTTTCCTTATACTCCAGGGAAGCAGAAAAAAGACACGGCCAGAAAGGCTGATGCTGGAAATAGGAAATGAGAACTTGCATATTAGGAAGACTGTCATAATCAGCCACTTTCCTTCCCTCCTGTAGGCACCCCTCCAGCAGGGAAGTTTGTTGAGGAGACGCAGCCACCTAATCATACAAATGTTCGCTGACCGGGGGTATAATCTAAGAACTGTCACTTGGGCGGCCTCTAATCTACTTAAGGGGGATGGGAGGTGCTGTTGCCTGAACGGGGCCAACAGATGCAGGTCCCTTTAAGGTTGGAGGAAAGAAAGGCAATGGCTTTTCTGTAGGGGGAGGAAAAGGCTCCAGTCTGTCCTTATCCTCACTAGAAAAAATATACTCCTTATGCCCTACAGAAGGGAATCAAGTAGAGAGAGGAGCACCCCCGTGCTGTTCTGGTTCCTGTTTTTCCTCACTAGAAAAAATCTCTTCCTTATTCCCCATAGAAGGGAATGAAGCGTAGAGTGGAATCTCTCCCTTTAAATCTTCCAAATTCCTTTCAGGTGGAGATAATGGGCGATCTGGTGGGTAAAGAGGATACCACGCAGAGCGTACCGGTGCCCAGGTGGCCAAAATAGTAGCGTTAATAAAATGACCTTGCTCATTTCCTCTTTTCAGGCAGTGACCTACCTGCTTCCATAACCCTAAATCTAAGGTTCCGTGATCAGGAAACCAAGGGCATTTCTGCCAAATTAAAAGCATAAGCTTGTGTAGAGCTCCAGGATCTACAGTGCACTGGATAGCCTTAAGTAGCTGTTGCACTGTTTTAAAAAATACTTTCTGTTCTTTGGTCATTTCCTGACCCATGATAACCCAACCCCTGGTATTTTATGCATGGGTCCCATCCTCCTGATGGGAGTCAGGACTGTCCCTTACTGGGATTCCTCGAAAATTGATGAGCTCTCCTCCTTCACACATAACTTCAAGGTGATCACGTCGAGGGCACCACTTGCAGAGCTTATAGCTTGCAGTGAATGCCAAGAATGAGTTCTCAGACAATTACAGCTGAGCAGGGCCGGTGAGGGGGTGGGGGGCAGCTCTTCTAAGAGAGTCCACCCCAGCATCATCCGTCCACCAAGTATTTATTGAAAGAGCTTGTTAAACCACAGATATCCACTAGATGGCTTTTTTGAGGTCTGGTCATGAGACACCTGTGGCCTTGTAAAAATGCTCAAACTGCGTTTCAGGAGGCTGTTTTCAGCATTCCTTATCATACTACACACTACACTCCGTATCCTGTTTTTAGGGTCAAGGAGTTACATTCTCATGCACAAATAACATACACACAGTGCCTCGGTATTTTTCCATGCCCCAACCTCAAATGCCATGTACATACGTATGAATATGTTGCCGTGTGCCCCCCACATTTTGAAGGAGAATTAGGTTAAGATCTGATGTTATTTATTGGTGGTTACATTTTGTGATGAATAGGGCTAAATTAAGAAATTGGATGATGAATTTCAGAAATCTAGAATTGCCACACATCTAGATTTTTCAGTGAAGGTTTTTGATTTGTCAAGAATCTGTCTTAAGAACAATCTAGAGCAAGCAGAACTTGATGGAGGTGAGAGGCAGCTTATATCAGAGCCTGAGTCTTCATTTCTTTGAATCAACAGCTCTATTTCTCAGTTTTCAGAATAGCTGAGAGATGGGTGACATAAATAGGGATCTTCTTCAGATAATATCAGAGAAGTATCAATTTAATGAGCAGTTACAAGAGTTAACCATACCATAGACAGAGCTGTTTGAAAAGATGTTGCCATGTGTCCAGAGGAGTCCAGGGGACAAAGTTAGGAACCAAACATCCCTGTCCAAATTGAAAGACAAGGGTAGCATTCAGCCATTGAGGCCAGACAGGAAGGCCAAAGCAGAATAATGGTTGGAGTAAGGAGAAACACAAACCAGGTGGGCAGTTACACACAAAACAAAATTCTAGCACATAGTTGGGGATTAGAGTTCACACCAAGATTAAGACAACAGGTGGCCCCAGATCCAAATAAGCAGGTCAGGATATGCTGACCTGTTCCTTCCCCTGCTTTTCAGCCACCTTCCTGCTGTGCGCAGATGAAAACTAGGAGATACATGTTGCTTTCCATTACTGTTGTTGGTCATGGTTGGGCAGTGCTAATGATTGTATTAGAGTGGAATGAGTTCGGTCCTCTGGGAACATCTTTTTGTTTGTTTGTTTTAATTATACTCTAAGTTCTAGTGTACATGCGCACAATGTGCAGGTTTGATACATAGGTATACATGTGTCGTGTTGGTTTGCTGCACCCATCAACTCATCATTTACATTAGGTATTTCTCCTAATGCTATCCCTCCCCCAGCCCTGAACTCCCCAACAGGCCCCAGTATGTGATGTTCCCCCCACTGTGTCCAAGTGATCTCATTGTTCAATTCCCACCTGTGAGTGAGAACATGAGATGTTTGGTTTTCTGTCCTTGTGATAGTTTGCTGAGAATGATGGTTTCCAGCTACATTCATGTCCCTGCAAAGGACATGAACGCATCCTTTTTTATGGCTGCATAGTATTCCATGGTGTATATGTGCCACATTTTCTTAATCCAGTCTATCATTGATGTACTTTTGCGGTGGTTCCAGGTCTTTGCTATTGTGAATAGTGCTGCAGTAAACATATGTGTGCATGTGTCTTTATAGTAGCATGATTTATAATCCTCTGGGTCTATACCCAGTAGTGGGATTGCTGGGTAAAATGGTAATTCTAATTCTAGATCCTTGAGGAATCGCCACACTGTCTTACACAATGGTTGAACTAATTAACACTCCCACCAACAGTGTAAAAGTGTTCCTGTTTCTCCACATCCTCTCCAGCATCTGTTGTTTCCTGACTTTTTAATGATCGCCATTCTAACTGGTGTGAGATGGTATCTCATTGTGGTTTTGATTTGCATTTCTTTGATGACCAGTGATGATGAGCATTTTTTCATGCATCTGTTGGCTGCATAGATGTCTTCTTTTGAGAAGTGTCTGTTCATATCCTTTGCCCACTTTTTGATGGGTTTTTTTTTATTGTAAATTTGTTTGAGTTCTTTGTAGATTCTGGATATTAGCCCTTTGTCAGATGGGTAGATTGCCAACATTTTCTCCCATTCTGTAGGTTGCCTTTCACTCTGATGATAGTTTCTTTTGCTGTGCAGAAGCTCTTTAGTTTAATTAGATCCCATTTGTCTATTTTGGCTTTTGTTGCCATTGCTTTTGGTGTTTTCGTCATGAAGTCCTTGCCCATGCCTATGTCCTGAATGGTATTGCCTAGGTTTTCTTCTAGGGTTTTTATGGTTTTAGATCTTACGTTTAGGTCTTTAATCCATCTTGAATTAATTTTTGTATAAGGTGTAAGGAAGGGATCCAGTTTCACCTTTCTACATATGGCTAGCCAGTTTTCTCAGCACCATTTATTAAATAGGGTATCCCCATTGCTTGTTTTTGTCAGGTTTGTCAAAGATCAGATGGTTGTAGATGTGTGGTGTTATTTCTGAGGGCTCTGTTCTGTTCCATTGGTCTATATATCTGTTTTGGTACCAGTACCATGCTGTTTTGGTTACTGTAGCCTTGTAGTATAGTTTGAAGAAAGGTACTGTGATGCCTCCACCTTTGTTCTTTTTGCTTAGGATTGTCTTGGCAATACGGGCTCTTTTTTGGTTCCATATGAAATTTAAAGTAGTTTTTTTCAATTCTGTAAGGAAAGTCATTGGTAGCTTGATGGGGATGGAATTGAATCTATAAATTACTTTGGGCAGTATGGCCATTTTCACATTATTGATTCTTCCTATCCATTAGCATGGAATATTCTTCCATTTGTTTGTGTCCTCTTTTATTTCCTTGAGTAGTGGTTTGTAGTTCTCCTTGAAGAGGTCCTTCACATCCCTTGTAAGTTGGATTCCTAGGTATTTTATTCTCTTTGTAGCAATTGTAAATGGGAGTTCACTCATGATTTGGCTCTCTGTTGATGGTGTATAGGAGTGCTTGTGATTTTTGCACATTGATTTTGTATCCTGAGACTTTGCTGAAGTTCCTTATCAGCTTAAGGAGATTTTGGGCTGAGATGATGGGGTTTTCTAAATAAACAATCATGTCATCTGCATACAGGGACAATTTGACTTCCTCATTTCCTAATTGAATACCCTTTATTTCTTTTTCTTGCCTAATTGCCCTGGCCAGAACTTCCAATACTATGTTGAATAGGAGTGGTGAGAGAGGGCGTCCTTGTATTGTGCTGGTTTTCAAAGGGAATGCTTCCAGTCTTTGCCCATTCAGTATAATATTGGCTGTGGGTTTGTCATGAATAGCTCTTATTATTTTGAGATACATTCCATCAGTACCTAGTTTATTGAGTTTTTAGCATGAAGGGCTGTTGAATTTTGTCAAAGGCCTTTTCTGCATCTATTGAGATAATCATGTAGTTTTTGTCTTTGGTTCTGTTTATGTGAAGGATTACATTTATTGATTTGCATATGTTGAACCAGCCTTGCATCCCAGGGATGAAGCTGACTTGATCTTGGTGGATAAGCTTTTTGATGTGCTGCTGGATTCAGTTTGCCAGTATTTTATTGAGGATTTTCACATCAATATTTAGGATTTTCACATCGATGTTCATCAGGGATATTGGTCTAAAATTCCCTTTTTTTGTTGTGTCTCTGCCAGGCTTTGGTATCAGGATGATGTTGGCCTCATAAAATGAGTTAGGGAGGATTCCCTCTGTTTCTATTGATTGGAATAGTTTCAGCAGGAATGGTACCAGCTCCTCTTTGTAGCTCTGGTAGAATTCAGCTGTGAATCCTTCTGGTCCTGGACTTTTTTTGGTTGATAGGCTATTAATTATTGCCTCAATTTCAGAGCCTGCTATTGGTCTATTCAGAAATTCATCTTCTTCCTGGTTTAGTCTTGGGAGGGTGTTTGTGTCCAGGAATTTATCCATTTCTTCTAGCTTTTCTAGTTTATTTGTGTAGAGGTGTTTATAGTATTCTCTGATGGTAGTTTGTATTTCTGTGGGATTGGTGGTGATATCCCCTTTATCATTTTTTATTGCGTCCATTTGATTCTTCTCTCTTTTCCTATTAGTCTTGTTAGCAGCCTATCAATTTTGTTGATCTTTTCAAAAAACCAGCTCCTAGATTCATTGATTTTTTGAAGGGTTTTTTATGTCTCTCTTTCAGTTCTGCTCTGATCTTAGTTATTTCTTGTCTTCTGCTAGCTTTTGAATTTGTTTGCTCTTGCTTCTCCAGTTCTTTTAATTGTGATGTTAGGGTGTCAATTTTAGATCTTTCCTCATTTCTCCTGTGGGCATTTAGTGCTATAAATTTCCCTCTAAACACTGCTTTAGCTGTGTCCCAGAGATTCTGGTATGTTGTGTCTTTGTTGCCATTGGTTTCAAAGAACATCTTTATTTCTGCCTTCATTTCGTTATTTACCCAGTAGTCATTCAGGAGTAGGTTGTTCAGTTTCCACTAGTTGTGTGGTTTTGAGTGAGTTTCTTAATCCTGAGTTCTAATTTGATTGCACTGTGGTCTGAGAGACAATTTGTTGTGATTTCTGTTGTTTTACATTTGCTGAGGAGTGTTTTGCTTCCAATTATGTTGTCAATTTTAGAATAAGTGCAGTGTAGTTCTGAGAAGAATGTATATTCTGTTGATTTGGGGTGGAGAGTTCTGTGGTTGTCTATTAGGTCTGCTTTTTGCAGAGCTGAGTGCAAGTCCTGGATATCCTTCTTAACCTTGTGTCTCATTGATCTAATATTAACAGTGTGGTGTTAAAGTCTCCCATTATTATTGTGTGGGAGTCTAAGTGTCTTTGTAGGTTTCTAAGGACTTACTTTATGAATCTGGGTGCTCCTGTATTGGGTCCATATATATTTAGGATCGTTAGCTCTTCTTGTGGAATTGATCTCTTTACCATTATGTAATAGCCTTCTTTGTCTCTTTGATCTTTGTTGGTTTAAAATCTGTTTTATCAGAGACTAGGATTGCAACCCATGGTGTTTTGTTTTGTTTTGTTTTGTTTTGTTTTTTGGTTTCCATTTGCTTGGTAGATCTTCCTCCATCCCTTTATTTTGAGCCTGTGTGCATCTTTGCACATGAGATGGGTCTCCTGAATACAGCACACTGATGGGTCTTGACTCTTTATCAAATTTGCCAGCCTGTGTCTTTTAATTGGGGCATTTAGCCCATTTACATTTAAGGTTAATATTGTTATGTGTGAATTTGATCCTGTCATTATGATGTTAGCTGGTTATTTTGCCTGTTAATTGATGTAGTTTCTTCATAGCATCAATGGTCTTTACCATTTGGCATGTTTTTGCAATGGCTGGTTCCAGTTGTTTCTTCCCAAGTTTAGTGCTTCCTTCAGGAGCTCTTGTAAGGAAGGCCTGGTGGTGACAAAATCAGCATTTGCTTGTCTGTAAAGGATTTTATTTCTCCTTCACTTATGAAGCTTAGTTTGGCTGGATATGAAATTCTGGGTTGAAAATTCTTTTAAGAATGTTGAATATTGGCCCCCACTATCTCCTGGCTTGTAGGGTTTCTGCCGAGAGATCTGCTGTTAGTCTGATGGGCTTCCCTTTGAGGGTAACTCGACCTTTCTCTCTGCCTGCCCTTAACATTTTTTCCTTCATATCAACCTTGGTGGATCTGACAATTATGTGTCTTGGGGTTGCTTGTCTTGAGGAGTATCTTTGTGGTGTTCTCTGTATTTCCTGAATTTGAATGTTGGCCTGCCTTGATAGGTTGAGGAAGTTCTGGATAATATCCTGAAGAGTGTTTTCCAACTTGGTTCCATTCTCCCCATCACTTTCAAGTACACCAATCAAACAGATTTGGTCTTTCCACAGAGTCCCATATTTCTTGGAGGTTTTGTTCATTTCTTTTTACTCTTTTTTTCTCTAACTTTGTCTTCTCGCTTTATTTCATTAATTTGATCTTCAATCACTGATACCCTTTCTTCCACTTGATCAAATTGGCTATTGAAGCTTGTGCATGTGTCACCAAGTTCTTGTGCCATGGTTTTCAACTCCATCAGGTCCTTTAAGGTCTTCTCTACACTGTTTATTCTAGTTAGCCATTCGTCTAATCTTTTTTCAAGGTTTTTAGCTTCCTTGCAATGGGTTCAAACATCCTTCTTTAGCTCAGAGAAGTTTGTTATTACCGACCTTCTGAAGTCTACTTCTGTCAACTCATCAAAGTCATTCTCCGTCCAGCTTTGTTCCATTGCTGGCGAGGAGCTGCAATCCTTTGGAGGAGAAGAGGCGCTCTGATTTTTAGAATTTTTAGCTTTTCTGCTCTGGTTTCTCCCCATCTTTGTGGTTTTATCTATCTTTGGTCTTTGATGTTGGTGACCTACAGATGGGGTTTTGGTGTAGATGACCTTTTTGTTGATGCTGATGCTATTCCTTTCTGTTTGTTAGTTTTCCTTCTGACAGGTCCCTCAGCTGCAGGTCTGTTGGAGTTTGCTGGAGGTCCACTCCAGACCCTGTTTGCCTGGGTATCACCAGCAGAGGCTGCAGAACAGCAAATATTGCAGAACAGCAAATATTGCTGCCTGATGCTTCCTCTGGAAGCTTTGTCCCAGAAGGGCAGCCGCCTATATGAGGTGTCTGTCGGCCCCTACTGGAAGGTGTCTCCCAGTCGGGCTACATGGGGATCAGGGACTCACTTGAAGAGGCAGTCTGTCCCTTCTCAGAGCTCAAATGCCGTTCTGGGAGAACCACCACTGTCTTCAGAGCTGTCAGACAGGAACGTTTAAGTCTGCAGAAGTTGTCTGCTGCCTTTTGTTCAGCTATGCCCTGCCAACAGAGGTGGATTCTAGAGGCTGAAGGCCTTGTTGAGCTGTGGTGGGCTCCACCCAGTTTGAGCATCCCTTTCCACTTTGTTTACCTTCTCAAGCCTCCACAATGGCAGACACCCCTCCCCCAGCCAGGCTACCACCTCACAGTTCAATCTTAGACTGCTGCACTAGCAGTGAGCAAGGCTCCATGGGTGTGGGACCCTCTGAGCCAGGCCCAGGAGAGAATCTCCTTGTCTGCAGATTGCTAAGACCTTGGGAAAAGTGCAGTATTTGGGCGAGAGTGTCCCGTTTTTTCAGGTAGTCTGTCACGGTTTCCCTTGGCTAGGAAAGGGAAGTCCCCTAACCCTTTGCACTTCCCGGGTGAGACAACACCCCCCCCAATCCCCGCCCTGGCGTCTTCTCGCCCTCTGTGGGCTGCACCCACTGTCCAACCAGTCCCAATGAGAAGAACCAGATACCTCAGTTGGAAGTGCAGAAATCACCTGTCTTCTGTGTTGATCACACTAGGAGCTGCAGACTGGAGCTATTCCTACTCAGCCATCTTGGAATGCCCTCTCAAACTTTATCCAGGAACATCTGTTCTTGCACAGTTTCGATGTTTTGAGGCTTTTGGAGTCAGTGATGCTTTTTTTTTTTTTTTTTTAACAATTGTTTCATGTTTCCGTGACACTATTATTAGTATTTATTTTAGGTACATTATGGGTTAACTGCTTTTGCAGCATTATTTCCTTGAAGAGAATAAATTTGAATTTCAAACACTTCAAGTTTTGGAACAAAAGAACTTGAAAGCATATTTAATCAAGTTTCTTAGGTGGAAATGTTATGTTTTTATTAAATACTTAAAAGATAACAAGTGTTTTTAATTTTAGAGAAATTTTCAAGAAGAGCAGATAAATACCAGAGATGCAAAAGCAATCGCTGCCTTAATAAGTGAAAAATTGGAAACTCTCCGAAATCAAGGCAAGAGGAATAAGGTATGGACTAAGCCTAGAGTTGACTTTGGCAAAAGTTGGCAAAAGTTAGCAAAATCTATTTTTCCTATACATTACATGCATCCAGAGACAACAAAATGAGGCATCAAAAAATAGTAAGATAGCTGAAAATTCTACTTTGGGAAATAGGACAATCAAAATGTAGCCTAGACACTGAAATGCTTTTAAAAATTTGGACAAGTAAAACCACTTAACAAAAAATAGTGACTGTGGTCCATGCAAAAACATGTATACAAATATTTATAGCTGTATCATTCATAATAGCAAAAAAAAGAAATGTCTGTCAACTGACAGATAAATGAAATGTGGTGTATCCATTGAATAGAATATTTTCAGCCATAAAAGGAATGAAGTACTGACCTATGCTACAACATGTTTGAACTCTGGAAAATGTTTAGTGAATGAAGCCAGTCACAAAGGCCAAATATTATATAATACTATTGATGTTAAATATCTAGAATAATCCATAGGGACAGAACGTAGGTTAATGGTTGCCTGGGGCCGAAGTGGAGTGGGATAGAAAAGAGCAAAAATGGGGTAACTGCTAATGGGTAGTAAGGAGTTTATTTTGGGAATATGGAAAAATGTTTTAAAATTAGATTGTAATGACAGTTGGACAACTCTGAATATACCAAAAACCACTAAACTCCTTTAAATGTGGGAATTTTATGGTATGTGAAATATATCTCAACAAAGCCATTAAAAAAAAAATAGTGACTGTGGCCATAAATTATTTAAATTTTGTTCAAATGTAAATAAAGCATTGAATTGTTAGGAATAAATATACTGGAGCCTCATAACACGTTTTGAATAGCAAATTTTCTTTTGTTCTTGGTGTAATCAGAATGTATTGAAACCCATATTTGTGTTGGCCCCTCTTTGAATCTTTAATCTGTCAAGAAGCAGCACAACCTTTTTCCTGTTACTCTTCAGAAGGCAGTTCAGTTTTACCTTTTTCAAATCGGTGTTACTGTAGATCATACTTAAAAACAGAACAAAGAGTCTATGAATGTTGTAGTGCTTTTAAAATGGAATTTAATACAATCACATGAGGTATCTCGGATTCTTTCCCTATGAGGCGAAAGGAGGACAAAATAGCTCAGCCTCTGGAAAGGGCTAGAGAAGACTGGCTTTATAGCACCATATTAGACAATAGGTTCTACTGTAATCCAGTTCAAACTGCAGACCCCAATAGACAAAGCCTTACAACCTACCTCAAGAATATTTTTTACGAATCTGAAAGGTAGGAAAGAGTTATGAGTCTGTATTTTCTTGGTTCCACTGAACAAACATGTTTTTCTAGTGTTTCGCTATATTAGTTTTCTCAAGATATTTTATTTTGAAAGGTGTAACTTTTATCTCATTAAATATTTGAAATTTAAAAATTGTCATAATCTAAAATATCATACCTGAAATTAAGTTAAAGAGAATACCCAATATGCTTGAAATTATGTAAACCTATATAGTTAGTAATATCTGCTGTGAGCAGGTAAGAACTAGGATATTCTTTTCTTTTTTATTGTTATATTTTGGCAAAGTATATTTCATGTCATGATCCATTAAATAAGAATATTGAGTATTTCTGAAAAAGTAAAATGTTGGTTTGTGGTATTTCACCTTATTTTTAACATTACCAACTCATACTTTCTCCTTTCTCTATCGCCTTTACATTATTATTATAGGATGAACTTTGATAATGTTGAAGATGAAGAAAAAGTTTAAAAGAAATTCTGACAGATGACATCAGAAGACACCTATTTAGAATGTTACATTTATGATGGGAATGAATGAACATTATCTTAGACTTGCAGTTGTACTGCCAGAATTATCTACAGCACTGGTGTAAAAGAAGGGTCTGCAAACTTTTTCTGTAAAGGGCCGGTTTATAAATATTTTAGACTTTGCAGGCTATAATATATGGTTCACACATGAGAACAAGAATAGAGTCATCATGTATTCTTTGTTATTTGCTTTTAACAACCTTTAAAAAATATTAAAACGATTCTTAGCTCAGAGCCATACAAAAGTAGGCTGGATTCAGTCCATGGACCATAGATTGCTGTCCCCCTCGACGGACTTATAATGTTTCAGGTGGCTGGCTTGAACATGAGTCTGCTGTGCTATCTACATAAATGTCTAAGTTGTATAAAGTCCACTTTCCCTTCACGTTTTTTGGCTGACCTGAAAAGAGGTAACTTAGTTTTTGGTCACTTGTTCTCCTAAAAATGCTATCCCTAACCATATATTTATATTTCGTTTTAAAAACACCCATGATGTGGCACAGTAAACAAACCCTGTTATGCTGTATTATTATGAGGAGATTCTTCATTGTTTTCTTTCCTTCTCAAAGGTTGAAAAAATGCTTTTAATTTTTCACAGCCGAGAAACAGTGCAGCAGTATATGTGCACACAGTAAGTACACAAATTTGAGCAACAGTAAGTGCACAAATTCTGTAGTTTGCCGTATCATCCAGGAAAACCTGAGGGAAAAAAATTATAGCAATTAACTGGGCATTGTAGAGTATCCTAAATATGTTATCAAGTATTTAGAGTTCTATATTTTAAAGATATATGTGTTCATGTATTTTCTGAAATTGCTTTCATAGAAATTTTCCCACTGATAGTTGATTTTTGAGGCATCTAATATTTACATATTTGCCTTCTGAACTTTGTTTTGACCTGTATCCTTTATTTACATTGGGTTTTTCTTTCGTAGTTTTGGTTTTTCACTCCTGTCCAGTCTATTTATTATTCAAATAGGAAAAATTACTTTACAGGTTGTTTTACTGTAGCTTATAATGATACTGTAGTTATTCCAGTTACTAGTTTACTGTCAGAGGGCTGCCTTTTTCAGATAAATATTGACATAATAACTGAAGTTATTTTTATAAGAAAATCAAGTATATAAATCTAGGAAAGGGATCTTCTAGTTTCTGTGTTGTTTAGACTCAAAGAATCACAAATTTGTCAGTAACATGTAGTTGTTTAGTTATAATTCAGAGTGTACAGAATGGTAAAAATTCCAATCAGTCAAAAGAGGTCAATGAATTAAAAGGCTTGCAACTTTTTCAAAAACCTGTTAGAATATGCTTTATTGTGTTTTGAGGAGTTTTCCTTTTTTTCTTTTCAATATCACTTTATCCTGCTCACCAGTATTTCCTCATAAGGGTTATTATAGCCATAATTAATGTTAAAATAGACTTTGTTCTTCATATTCTCCCATCTTTTTCGCTACTATATACTCTGTCTGGATTCTGCTGTATGCCTGTTGGCATATATGGAACAGTCACCACTTGTCACACTTAACACCAGCTTTTTGAATTATGATCAGTAATGGCAAGAGCCTTTCATTCTCGAATGTTTAAAGCCTAGGAGTTCTACAAAATTGGCTTCTTTCTACAAGAATCCCAAAATGGAATGCCTAAAGAAGTCTTACTTGGGTAAATACTTACTAAAATATACTGGTTATGTGCATATCACCACACTGGACACTGAGGAGTGTTCAAAAGGAATCTAAGACATGGTCCCCATCTTCCAACTGTCTGTAATTCACTGTTTTGTCATTGAGCTCATAAGGTACTTACATTACTACCTATAAATGTTTCCTGTACTTGTTAGTTGTTGAGAAACATTTTAGGCAGTAAATAAAATAGTAAATATTATGTGTCCTATAATTTGACCTAAGCTGTGTGCCTTTGGAATCAGCTCTAAGCCAGGGCCCCCTGGGAGTCATGTTAAGAAACACGTATCATAAAGTGACATACATCAAGGTTATCTTATATAGTCATAACAGTATTATTGGGTCTTTCAAAAACAGCTGGCAGATTGAGCTTTTAATGGCTATATTGATACAGTAGATAGAGCACCTCTAAGGAGTACCAGGTATAATGTGCCATTTCTCTCAGCAACACCATTTTTGTGTGCAGCTGACCCTCTAACATGGTATCAATTCTAGCTGACCAAAGCACATTCTATCAGGCAGCCAGGCTTGGAAATTAGGTCCATTTAAAGTATGTGGCTTACAGTCAGGTATGGTGGTGTGCGCCTATTGTCCCATCTACTTGAGAGGCTGAGGCAGGAGGGATTGCTTGGGCTCAGGATTTTGAATCCAGCCTGGGCAACATAGCAAGACCCCATCTCTAATAAATAAATTATGTTTTGGGCATTAATGATGTTTGTCTATTCTGATTTCTCAAATTTTATTTAGGTCTTTCATAGCTTTTTTATTTAAAGGTATATGATTAAGATAAAGGAAAAGTAAAATGAAATGTTTATGTAATTTTATATTCTCAAAATTTTCTTTAAATTTGCTCTGTTTTCTGACAGTGCTCAAAGTGGGAATTTTTTTAGAAGTACGGTTATCAAAAAAACACATTTCCTATGGGACACACATTTCAAAGATGTTTAGTACGATAAAATTTTTAGTAAAAGGGTAGCACTTTTAAGTCATTTGAATAGAATATTTGTGTAATATTTAGTCTAGTGTTAGTCCTTAAATCTGCCAACAAAACCAGATAGATGTCTTAAAGTAGGCACATTTATTCCATTGTGACTGTTAAGAAATAATAAAAGATTAAATTAACAAAATGCATTTTAAATTTTTATGATACCTATAGAAAATTGATAATGAAGATGAAAAGTAAATAACCTTTCTGATAATATTCTACTTTACACATATACTGAAAACTTACTTACATATACCCAAATTCTTCTAGTGAAGAAGTTTGTAATATGGTTTGAGTATTTGTCCCCTCCAAATCTCATGTTGAAATATGATCCCCAGTGTTGGATATGGGGCCTGGTGGGAGGTGTTTGGGTGATGGGGGCTGATCCCTCATAAATGGCTTTGTGCCTTCCCCAGTGGTAATGAGTTCCTGCTGTGTTTATTCCTGCAAGAGCTGGTTGTTAAAAGGAACTTGGCACCACCACCTCCTCTCTTTCTCGCTCCTTCTCTGTGTGACATGCCTTCTCCCCCCGTGCCTTCTGCCATGAGTAAAAGCTCCCTGAGACCTCACCAGAAGCTGAGCAGATGCTGGTGCCATGTTTTTACAGCCTGCAGAACTGCAAGTCAAATAAACGTTTTCTTTATAAGGTAACCAGTCCCAGGTATTCCTTCATTGCAATGCAAAACAGACTAATACAGTTTCTTTTCAGTAAGAATTACAAAATTTAGGCCAATGACCAAGCTGAGTATAAATTACTAATCATACACAAAAATGTGTTTCACTGGCTTGAGTCATTTTTCTGTTTAACACTGAATTTACACTTAGATTCTTGTACTGTCACTGAGTCCCCTTGTAAACAGCTAGGTATATTTTGTGAATGGAAACTAGCCAAAAATACAGCCAAAGTCTCAACGCCAAACTGGTCTACATCAGTATGGACTCCAGAAATGCATCTTTCAACCACTTGATTGCATTAAGTAGTCATTTGAGTGCATCACCTAGTGGCCTTTGGTCCTGAAAGTTAGCAATCATCCCCAAAAAGGTCTGTGTTAATAACTGATAGACAATCTTCATTAAGCAACTGCTGTTTTTTTTTTTTAATACTTCAAGTTCTGCAATACATGTGCAGAACATGCAGGTTTGTTACATAGGTATACATGTGCCATGGTGGTTTGCTGCACCCATCAACCTGTCATCTACATTAGCTATTTCTTCTAATGTTGTCCTTCCCCTTGCCCCCTACCCCGCCGACAGGCCCCATTGTTGATGTTCCCCTCCCTGTGTCCATATGTTCTCATTGTTCAACTCCCACTTACGAGTGACAACATGTGGTGTTTGGTTTTCTGTTCCTGTTAGTTTGCTGAGAATAATGGTTTCCGGCTTCATCCCTGTCCCTGCAAAGGACATGAACGCATCCTTTTTTATGGCTGCATAGTATTCCATGGTGTGTTTGTGCCCGTTTCTTTATCCAGTCTAACATTGATGGGCATTTTGGTTGGTTCCAAGTGTTTCCTATTGTGAATAGTGCTCCAATAAACATACGTGTGCATGTGTCTTTATAGTAAAATTATTTATAATCCTTTAGGTATATACCCAGTAACGGGATTGCTGGGTCAAATGGTATTTCTATTTCTAGATCCTTGAGGAATCGCCACACTGTCTTCCACAATGGTTGAACAAATTTACACTCCCACTAACAGTGTAAAAGCATTCCTATTTCTCCACATCCTCTCCAGCATCTGTTGTTTCCTCACTTTTTAATGATCGCCATTCTAACTGATGTGACATGGTATCTCATTGTGTTTTTGATTTGCATTTCTCTAATGACCACTGATGATGAGCTTTTTTTCATATCTTTGTTGGCCACCTAAATGTCTTCTTTTGAGAAGTGTCTGTTCATATCCTTTGCCCACTTTTAATGGGATTTTTTTCTTGTAAATTTAAGTTCCTTGTAGATTCTGGATATTAGCCCTTTGTCAGATGGATAGATTGCAAAAAGTTTCTCCCATTCTGTAGGTTGCCTGTTCACTCTGATCATAGTTTCTTTTGCCATGCAGAAGCTCTTTAATTAGATCCCATTTATCTGTTTTGGCTTTTATTGCCATTGCTTTTGGTGTTCTAGTCATGAAGTCTTTGCCCATGCCTATGTCCTGAATGGTGTTGCCTAGGTTTTCTTCTAGGTTTTTTATGGTTTCAGACCTTACATTTAAGTCTTTAATCTATCAACTTAATTTTTATATAAGGTGTAAGGAAGGGGTCCCAGTTTCAGTTTTCTACATGTGGCTAGCCTGTTTTCCCAACATCATTTATTAAATAGGGAATCCTTTCCCCATTGCTTGTTTTTGTCAGGTTTGTCAAAGATCAGATGGTTGTAGAAGTGTGGCGTTATTTCTGAGGGCTGTGTTCTGTTCCATTGGTCTATAGCTCTGTTTTGGTACCAGTACCATGCTGTTTTGGTTACTGAGCCTTGTAGTATAGTTCGTTCTTTTTGCTTAGGATTGCCTTGGCTATATGGGCTCTTTTTTTTTTGGTTCCATATGAAATTTAAAGTAGTTTTTTCCAATTCTGTGAAGAAAGTCAATGGTAGCTTGATGGGAATAGCATTGAATCTATAAATTACTTTGGGCAGTATGACTATTTCACAATATTAATTCTTCCTATCCATGAGCATGGAATGCTTTTTCCATTTGTTTCTGTCCTCTCTCATTTCCTTGAGCAGTGGTTTGTAGTTCTTGAAGAGGTCCTTCACGTCCCTTGTAAGTTGTATTCCTAGGTATTTAATTCTCTTTGTAGCAATTGTGAATGGGAGTTCACTCACGATTTGGCTCTCTGTTTGTCAATTATTGGTGTATAGGAATGCTTGTGATTTTTGCACATTAATTTTGTATCCTGAGACTTTGCTGAAGTTGCTTATCAGCTTAAGGAGTTTTTGGGCTGAGATGATGGGGTTTTCTAAATATACAATTATGTCATCTGCAAACAGAGATAATTTGACTTCCTCTCTTCCTGTTTGAATACGCTTTCTTTCTCTTGCCTGATTG
Organism: Homo sapiens; assembly: GCF_000001405.40. Taxonomy (NCBI): domain Eukaryota; kingdom Metazoa; phylum Chordata; class Mammalia; order Primates; family Hominidae; genus Homo; species Homo sapiens. Next base: position 182,782,925 of record NC_000002.12, read on the forward strand.
TCCTGGCCAGAACTTCCAGTACATAGGAGTGGTGAGAGAGGGCATCCTTGTCTTGTGCCGGTTTTCAAAGGGAATGCTTGCAGCTTTTGCCCATTCAGTATGATATTGGCTGTGGTTTTGTCATAAATAGCTCTTATTATTTTGAGATATGTTCCATCATATCTAGTTTTTTGAGTGTTTTTAGCATGAAAGGGTGTTAATTTTATCGAAGGCCTTTTCTGCATCTATTGAGATAATCATGTTTTTGTCATAACTGCTATTTCAAATGTTTGGAGGAAGTAAAATGTCTTTAAAAGAATAAGTGTTGATTTTTGGAAAATATGAAATTGGAAACTTAGAAAACTTGAATTCTAAGTGGCTATTTATATTACCAAGCGGTAAAACATTAGCTAACTAAAACATGGTTCTGAAGCCAGTTAACTAGCAAAAAGTCCCACCTATGCATTGAAATATCTTTCTCAAGTCATTAGATAAAGTATATGGCGTTAAGGCAAAAAATACATATACACACACAAAAAAAATATTTCAGCAGCCACTGCCAACTGAAAGTAATAAAATGAAACAATTTGTTGGCTTTAATGTATTTAGGAAAAATCATTTATTTACAAAACATCTTCCCTTTCTTATCATGAAAATTATGAAGATGAGGTAAAGTCTGTTCCATTTTTCCTCTATTTTTGAGAAATCTTAGATTTATCTTTACCAGTCTGTAACCCAGCTTTCTTGTTTTATATTTTAAATATACTTTCTATTTTGTGACAGGAGTGAAAAAATGTTTAATGATTTTAAACATGTTTATATATATTTTTCAGACTTGGAACAGCAGTATCTCATGTTTTACTATAAAAACTTGGGTATATTACTTGAAGATCAACTATATTGTTATTTTTAGTATGTTAGCAATTCATCTGTCAATAATCACCAAAGAACTCAAGAATGAATAACATGATCTATCAAAAGGCCTATAATCTCAATCTTCATGTTAAGACTTTGGAAAGTTAATTTGTATTAATTAACTAATATAAATTAATCCTATCAAGTTAATTTGTAATAAATTCAAGATGCAAAAAGAAAACCTATTTCACTACCGAAATTAAATAAACTTTAAAATTCATTTTGTTGGCTGGGTGCAGTAGCTCACGCCCATAATCCCAGCACTTTGGGAGGCCAAGTGGAAGGATCACTTAAGGCCAGGAGTTCAAGACCAGCCTAGCCAACATAGTGAAACCCCATCTCTACTAAAAATACAAAAACTAGCTGGGCATGGAGGTGTGTGCCTGTAATCATCTACCCTGGAGGCTGAGACAGGAGAATTGCATGAACCCGGAGGCAAAGGTTGCAGTGAGCAGAGATCACACCACTGCCCTCCAGCCTGGGTGACGGAGTAAGACCCTGTCTAAAAAAAAACAAAACAACAAAAAAAATCATTTTGTTGGTATTTTATATAAACTTAAGAAACCTCCCCACACAAACACACACAGCCATATTGTCATCTCTGAAGACAGCAGCCACATGTGTCTTATTCCCTGCAGTGTTGGCAGAACCTAGCACATTGTTGACCCGTAGAAGCACAGTGTGTATTTCAATTGACAAACAGCCAGAAGTATTATACTGTTGACTGTGTTTAAAACTAATTTGCCAGAGCTCTACTGTGATAAGAATTTCTGACTAGAAATTATAAATTCATTGTTTTATGCCTTAAAAATTATAAATAATGATAAGTTTAATTTGCAGCCCTTATAGCTTAGAGGCATTGTAGTTGATATTATAGTAACCCTTTTAGATGTTAGTAACTTTTATTGTAAAATTTAAGGTAGCTCTACCTGCTAAAGTAGCACCTATTCTTTTGAAAGGAACTTTCTCAAAGGATTTTTAGGGCTTCATAATTTCTTGTTGCTCTGTGTAAATCCCTCTGATAGGCTTCCCTGAAGGATTTTAAGCAGAAATAACATCAGGTACCAGTAGATGGCAGTGAAAAATAAGCAGACACATTTTTCTGATAAAATGCCATTTCTACCTCAGTACTTGATAAGAATCACACAGTCTAGCTGGCCTTTGTGTTTTCACTAAAAATATCCTGAATTATCAGTCAGTTATGTTTGACTATGAGAAATTGCAGAAAAGTTAAAAGTATTTCGCATCCAAAAGTTTGTAATCTAGTGTAATAAATAGGACAGATACTCAAAGTGTATGAATGGTATGACAATAAATTTAGAAAATCATACAGGCACACACACTGCTATAGACATGTAAAGATACATACATGTATTGGAGCTCAGCAGATTCCCATTCATGAAGAATGGTGCCTGTGTAACAGTATAAATGGATCACTTCTAATAAATAAAACATAAAATTGGACTAATAGCTTAATTTTTTTTTTTAATTCAAAAATCTCAGGGTTTTCTGGGGCTTTTAGTACTCCTTTGTGAAATAAGACACATAGTCTTCAGGTAAAAAGAAAGAGCTCTTGGTCACAGAAATGGGTGTACTGAATTCTCGCCCTGTAGTCAAGTACTTACTATGAGTTTGGAAAAATTGCTTACTTCATATCTGTATCCTAATTATCCTAATTAACTCGTTTGTTAAGTGGAAAAAATATTTCAGTAGGTAGTCATATAAATAAGATGAGGTAATGTGTTTAGAAAAACAAATCAATGTGCAGGCAAGAATCGGGAATGTGGGAAATTTTGTAGGACAAATGGTATGATTTCTTTAATGAAAAAGACAGAGAAAGGTATCGTATAGCTTAAAAGGAAAAAGAAAAAGAGGCTTTTCAGTCATGAGCCAAATGCAGTATGTGGGCTATATTTGCATCTTGATTTGAACAGACTATTGTATACATTTATATATACATAGATCTATAGAGACAGTAGGATATATTTCATATATATATGAAACAGTTGGGGAAATCAGAATATTTGAATTTGATATTAACTAAGAATTGTTTGCAGGGGATGTTGTTGCATATTCTAATGACTTTTTTTAATAATGAAAATGTTTGGCATTTGCTTTAAAATAATCCAGTAACCAGGATCTGAGAGAAACCAAAAAAAAGTGGGGAGATAATAATCCAGGGACTTTGGGTAGTTGTTAAATGGATGGCTGTATCATAAGTATTGAAGCTGATAAGGGATAGATATGGGTTGATTATATATTTGTTTTGCTGGAAAATGTTCCATGATACAGTTTTAATAACAGTTTTAATTTCAGAAACGCAAAATATTGTTTTTACAACTAAGATAACATTGAAATTTATACAGAACCCCAAATGACAAGTGTATAATCAACTGCCAGGAAATCAGTTTACCTGTTAGAGGTAGAAAAGTTACAGGATAAAAATGGAATTGGTTGGCACTAAGTAGGACCACTTTCGAAGAGAATGGGTAGAATTCATTTTCTTTTCATTACTTCCTTTCAGCGTGGAGCCTGAGCATCATTTCACCATTTTGAGCCTCAAGCTCTCAATATACTGGAAAATTGTAATCCTGTTCCCTTCACTGAGGTCATAATACTGAATTCTGAAATGGAAATAATTGACTAGAGATTGTCTAGTCAAACTAGACTGATGAGGTCTCACCATTTTCTTCAAGGAAGATCAACTGAACCTGCCTGAAGGCACAGGGTACACCATCTTCCTAAGGTGTGACCTCCTGTTCCCAAAGGAATAGACCTAGGTGACCAACCAGCAGCACCTAGCTTTTGCCAGCTACGCAGCTTTGAATAGCCTTCCACCCTTGTGTCCTTCAAACCCCATTCTTGCCAAAGCCAAGTTCTCTCCCTCCCTCTCAACAGATTTCTCAGCACACATCAGATTTCACACCGATCTATGAAAAACTATTTTTAGAGATTATTACTATGGTCCGAATGTTTATATCCCCTCCTGCTCTCCCTAAAATTATGTTGAAATCCTAACCCCCAAGGTAATGGTATTAGGAATGTGAGGCCTTTGGGAAGGGTTTAAGTCATGAGGGCAGAGACCTCCTTTTTGAGATTGGTACACTTATAAAAGAGACCCCAGTATCTTGCTCGTCCCTTCTGCCATGGGAGAACACGGTGAGAGCGAGCCATCTGTAAACCAACAAACAAGGCCCTCACCAGGCACTCAATCTGCCAGCACTTTGATAGTGGACTTCCCAGCCTCCAGAACTATGAGAAATAAATGTGTTTTTTTAAGCCAGCCAGTTCATTTTGTTATAGCAGCCTGGACAGACAATATATTGAAAAAAATCAGTTTTGCAGTTCCACTGGTCAGGTGAATGCCAGAGGAGCTGGTCCACAGTCATAGGCGTTAAACTTCTTTTGGAAACTATACTGGCTTGACAGTCTCCCCATACTGATTCAGACTCCAGCAAGGTGCACATCACCCGCTAGTCATTGTGGCTTCTGCTGCTTTAAGGTTCTGGAATTATGGAAGAAAATAGGGTGGGCCTACTGTCTCTTCCCACTGTTTACCTGGTGTTTTGATTCTGAATAGTTTATAAGCTCTGCTATTCAAGAAGTTTATACAAACCCGTAATGTACTACCAAACCGTTCATTCATTATGACAAAACTGCCTACCAAAGCCACAGACTTTAAGTCTTTGCAGGATTACCACTGAAAGTTCACATGCTTGGTTAGCAGTCTTAACCTCTAACCAACTGAACAAATCGAAGACATTTAATTTAGTCAAAATAGGCATGGGAATGAAAGTGAGACTTAGAGGCAAAGAATGAGGCCAGGTGCGGTGGCTCACACCTGTAACTCCAGCACTTTGGAAGGCCCAGGCAGAAGGATTCCTGCAGACCAGGATTTCAAGACCAGCCTGGACAACCTGGTGAAACCTCCTCTCTACAAGAAAATTCAAAAATTAGCCAGGCGTGGTAGGGTATGCCTGTAGTCCCAGCTACTTGGGAGGCTGAGGTGGGAGGACTGCTTGAGCCCAGGAGGTCCAGGCTGCAGTGAGCCGTGATCACACCACTGCACTCCAGACTGGGAGGCAGAGGAAGACCCCGTCTCAAAAAACAAAAGGTAAAGAATGATTTTAGGAATTAGGTGTCTCTAAATTGAAGTAATGCTCACATAGAAAAATTAAGGCATATTATTTTACTGTACTCTCAGAAAGATGTTTAACAAATACTTGAAGAGCCACTATTTAAGATAAATGAGAGTCCTTTCCAATTTGAGCCTCGCAGAGTGGTTCCTACAGAGAAGGGTGGCAAGAAGGGCTGTTCTGCCATCAATGAGGTGGTGACCCGAGAATATGCCATCAGCGTCCACAAGCCCATCCATGGAGTGGGATTCAAGAAGCATACCCCTCAGAGCACTCAAAGAGATCCGGAAGTGTGCCACAAAGGAAATGCGCGTTGATACCAGCCTCTACAAAGCTGTCGGGGCCAGGCGAATAAAGGATGTCCCATGTCTTATCCATAAGCAGTAGTCCAGAAAACATAGCGAGGATGAAAATTCACCAAACGAGCTCTTATACTTTGGTTACCTATGTACCTGTTACCACTTGCAGAAATCAACAGACAAGGTGGATGAGAACTGTAAATCATCAAATAAGTTATAAAACCACCAAAAAATAGGAGAAAATGGGAGTAAAAACAAAATGTATAAAAAGTATTAAAATTTGAAAAATATCTTGGAAATAAGGATGGACAGTTTAAGTACTTATCTCAAAAGGAAAAATGTTAGCAATTGGTTGTAGCAATACGTCCGTCTGTAAGTGATGGTCATATTTGTGTTCTTTTGTCCCAGAGAACAAAAGGAAGTGAGCTTATCCCACAGCACAAGTAACGTCTATTTATCTCAGAGGAAATCCAGGGAAGTTCCTACTTGGGAAAACGGAAAGGTAGACTATTCAGAAGTTTTCTAAAATGGACTTCAAGCTCTATGACTTTATGATCACTTAGTATGTCTACGGATTTTTTGGGGAAGAGAGATTTCACGTTAAAGGTCATTTTGTGTCTTCTTTAAAACTCTTGATTCCTTTTAGAGTTTTTTAAATTGTGATAAAGTACATGTAACAAAATTTATTAATCATTTTAAAGTAGCATACAGTTCAGTAGTGTTAAGTAATTTCACATTGTTCAACCCATCTCCGTGACTTTATCTTGCAAAACTGAAATTTTATATCCATAAAGCAAAACCTTTTTATTTACCAATGCTGCTAGACCCTGACAACCACCACCCTACTTTCTATCAATATGACTACCATAGATATTTAATGTAAGTGAAATCATACACCATTTATCTTTTTGTGATTCCTTATTTTACTTAGCGTAAGTCCTCGAGACTCACCCATGTTGTAGCATGTGTCATAATTTTCTTGTTTTGAGACGGAGTCTTACTCTGTCCCCCTGGCTGGAGTGCAGTGGTGTGATCTCAGCTCACTGCAACCTCCACCTCCCAGGTTCAAGCGATTCTCCTGCCTCACCCTCCCAAGTAGCTGGGACTGCAGGCATGTGCCACCACGCTGGCTAATTTTTGTATGTTTAACGGAGACAAGGTTTTAGTGTGTTGGCCAGGCTGGTCTCGAACTCTTGACCTCAGGTGATCCGCCTGCCTTGGTCTCCCAAAGTGCTGGGATTACAGGCGTGAGCCACCGCACCCAGCCAATTTTCTTCCTTTTTAAGGCTGAATAATATTCAATTATATATACATTCTACATTTTGTTATTCGTCCGTTGATAGGCTGCCTTCACCCTTTGGCCATTGCAAATAATGCTGCTATAAACATGGGTGTACAAATATCAGAAACCCTGCTTTCAGTTCTTTCAGCTATATACCTAGAAGTGTAAGTCTATATCATAGTAATTCTATTTTTAATATGGGGGGACCTCCATACTGTTTTTCATAGCAGCTGCACCATTTTACATTCCCACCAATAGTGCACAAGAGTTCTGATTTTTCCACATCCTCACCAACACTCATTTTTTTTAAATAGTAGGTATCCCAATGAGTGTGCGTTCATATCCCATTGGAGTTTTGATTTGTACTTTTAGAGTCTTTAAATTATTACTTTTTCCATATCAAAGTACTTTGTGGGAAGTTGGTTATTTTACATTCTCATACCATGCTTTGTATTACTTTCCCATTTGGATGCCCTTTTCATCCTTCACCTCATCCTGTAAACCCAAAATCTAACTTAAATCCCAAATCCAACTTCCACTGTAAAGCCTTTGCTGACTTCTTTACTTCACATTGATTTCTGAATTTCTAAAAGTTCCTCATTGTCTACCACAAAACTAAGTATTTGTTTATAAGAAAAAGCTTTATTTAGTCCTATATTATTCTCTGATTATTCCATATGTTATCTTCCAAACTAGATTGTTAGGTCTTCAAGAGCAGAAGAAATTTATTTTATACTTATAAACTTCAAGATTTGCTGAAGTACTTTGGGTGCTAAATGCTTCTAGCTTATTCGTTTAGTTTACATGACTTTCTGCATGTGAAACTTGAGAAAACTGCAAATCTAATACCTTGGTCTTACAGAACTGAACAATACTTAAATGTGTTTAAACCTGCTATATAAAATGTCAGATGTAAAAGCGAATATCTAATGAAGCACCTTTTCCCTTTTCTAAAATTCAATAGTAAGGGCCAGGCACAGTGGCTCACACCTGAAATCCCAGCGCTTTGGGAGGCCGAGGCGGGTGGATCCCTTGAGGTTAAGAGTTCAAGACCAGCCTGGCCAACATGGTGAAACGCCGTCTCTACTAAAAATACAAAAAAAAATGGCCAGGCGTGGTGGTGCACGCCTGTAATCCCAGCTACTTGGGAGTCTGAGACAGGAAAATCGCTTGAACCCGGGAGGCAGAGGTTACAGTGAGCTGAGGTCACGTCACTGTACTCCAGCCTGGGCAACAAGAGTGAAACTCTATCTCAAAAAAAAAAAAAAAAATTACAATAGTAATAATTATGCCTTCTAACACTAAAATCAAATAACCTTACTTATCAGTTACATTGCCTACTAAGCTGACTTATTTTCTGACTTTTCCTTTGCTTTATTCTCTTATTTCTTCCAAGTAACCATATTCTCTTTTACCCTCCTGTTCAACTGTCTATGCTCCTTCTCTCTTTGTTCACTATTTTGATATTTAAATGTTATGACTTATTTTCAAGTAAATATTTTTTTAATTTCTTCATTTGGGATAAAATATTCACTACATAAATTTAGTGGATAAATACCCCCACAGAGATCGACCCTGCATGAAATGTGTTCCCTCAGAAGTAGGGCAATTCATTCATTATGAGATCAAGCCATAAAATTTAAATCCAAGCAGTAATTCTCCAATTAAAGTAACTCTAGAGCTTAGTTTTCAGTCCTCCTGAATCATAACTAGTTGGCAACAAAAACTAGTATGCCTTGGTGTGAATAAACCTTAACATAGAAACTCACCCAGCCTCAAAAGTTAAAAATTAAGAGAGATATGTATTCAGGTGGCCATTTATACACAATATTTTTGAATACTATTCTGGCCAAATTAGTATAAAATGGGTTACTCTAAAATGAAATTTTAAAAGTATATAAACATCTTAAACTTTAAAACTTCAGCCCAGCTAGAAGTCAACGTGTGTTTCTGAAACTATGCTGGGGAAAGTAGCTCTGTCCATAATGATTATATAGTTGTTAGCAAAATATTGGTCAAAACTTTTTCAGTTTAATGAGTTTCAAGATATTCTTCAAACTGGCCTCTGTGAACTCTTTCTTGACAAGTGAAACCTGGCTCCAACAATGACTACTTTATTCTACCTCTCATTTATTTTCTGTTTAATAAATCCAGTATTTGGGCATACAAACTGTATACAACATTTTATAACACTCTAATGTGGATAAGACACCTCAAAAACAGGAGTTTAGTCATTTCAGTCACATGTTTCTAATACATGATAAGATTTGCAGTTATCGTTTAATTAATTGCAATATGGAAATAGATACTAAAAAATCTAAATTGCATCTTACATTTCAACAATGGATGTTTAAAGCGTTTAAAAGTTATGTTTTGCATTTTACAACATATTGAAGATACACATTTTAAATTTAACTCTAAACAATGCAATAATCTAGAGAATCAGAGAATTGGATCCTGAAACACCTTATAAGTTCAGTCCTGTTGATTAGTATGTTTCCCTGTCCTAGAGTGCATGAACTTTCAAAGCCAGGACACAATCTTGTTCACTTTTCATGCCATCATCTTGACACTCAATACATGTTCAAAGAGTAAATTAAAGAAAAAAGAGATGCTCAAGTCAATTTATAAGTAATCCTCACAAATGCTTGCATACCATCAGTGAACAATTATTTTTTTATCTCCATGCTATAATCTTGCACAAGTTTCATTAGAATTAAATGCACTATCTGAAGTCTATGTTTATTAAATGAGGATTACAGTAGTTGGTTATCTTTGTGAGGGGTTTTGAGGGTTGTGGAACAGGATAACATTTTGAGGTACAAAAAATAATGAAGAGGATATATTCCAATTTCTTTCCTTCCCCAAGGCTTTTCATTACAGCTGTTATAAACCCTGGTAGAATTGATTGGTTTCCTTTTCAGCTTCCTGTTTTGTCCCTCAATGTTCACAAAAGTCCCATCTGATAAATGTATTGTTTAACCTCTCATTGTTTGAAAGAACACCTCTTTGCTCCCCACAGATTACAGACCTATTGGCTTAAGCAGTCCATCTAAATGCATGCCAGTTTCTTTCTTGATAAATTAGAGGCCTATAACCTCAAACCAGTTTATCTGCAAGAGAAGTGTGTGAAGTTAGACTCAATTCTTCCGCTAATGGAACATCGTAATCCTCCTTGTCATCTTTCCTTTGGCCTTCCTGAATAGAAATCATTTATGAGGAAGTTACATGAGCTCAACATGAGCCCCATGTCACTCAGCAAACATTTATTTGAGTACTTACAATGTGCTAGGCTTTGTTCTATGCATTTAAGATAGTGTATTAAATGTATTGACCTCATGAAGATTCTATTCTCGCAGTGGGGAGATAGACAATAAACAATTAATATAAGCAAATGTTAAGTATGTTAGAAGTATGTTAGAAGATGTGCTGTGAAATAAAGAAAAAGGTAGACCAGGGTATGAGGGATTAGGAGTGTGGGGGCAGCAGCAGGAGAGTTTCGGTATTAAATAGGGTGGACAGGGCAGGTCTCTTGGAGAAGATGCCATTGAAGGAGGTGGAAAAAATGTAGCCACTAAATGGGCTGAGGGTAGAGCATATGAACAGAGAGAAAGGCCAGAGGACAGGCTCCAAGGCATGCTTGGCAGGTTCAAGGAACAGCAGGGAGGCTCATGTGGCTGGAATGGAGTGAGCTAGCAGGAGAGAAGATGAAGTTAGAGGGAGAGAGAAAGTGGGGAGCCAGATCATAGAGGGCTTTGCAGGTCACTTGTAAGGACTTTAGCTTTCTAACTTTTGTAAGGACTTCAACTTCTACTCACAGTGAAATTGTGAAATTCCAGAACCAAAAAGAAGATCCTGGTAAAAGAGAAACTTTCAGCAAAATATATTTAACATTTTATTTGAGTGAAGAACAATTCATCCATCAGGCAGCACTGAGAACCAGAAGACATTCAGAGAGCTCTGCTTTGCGAGGTATGCAGTGAACATTCATAGACAGAAAACAAAAATTAAGTACAGAAATAGCTTGATTGGTTACAGATAGGCATTTGCCTTATTTGGACATGGTCTGCTCCAAATAAGGCAAGTTGGCAGCATGCAATTGGCTGTGACCTATCTGTTACAAAAATATATCTATATAATCCTAAATTAGGTTTCAGTTTATTTAAGTACTAAATTAGGTTGCAATTTATTACATGGGAACTCAAAGTCTGGAGACAGCCTCAGGCCAAGGTCCTCTTGCTTATTTAATTTAGCAATCCTAAAATTTTCCAGAGAGGAAACACATCACACACACACACACACACACACACACACACACACACACACACACTACCTACAAAAAAATAACAATTAGAAAGTAATTGGAGCTTGAAGTATTCTAGAAGACTTTGGAGCAAAGCCTTCCAAATTCTGAGAGGAAAATATTTTTAACCTAGGATTCTATTCATACCTACCCAGACTAACAAGTAGCAGGCAGATGATAAATATATTTTTAGGTGGTTAGGTGATGAAACACCTCCTCCAAATGAAGGCATAAACAACAATGCATGGGGATCCAAGAAACAGTGACTCCAACCCAAGAGAGCAGTGAACAAATCCACAGGACAGCAGCTAAGTAGGAGGCCTAAACATCACCTGGGGCAGATGGGGCGAGAGAGCAGAGAGCTTGGGAAAGAAGTCTCTGAGGAGAAAGAATGAGGCAATAAGTCAGATGCGTATTTGCGGACCTCAGAAAAATTTGAGTACATAGGAAACAATAGATGAAGGATAGAAATAATCCATTCAGATTCTCTCCTTTGCATGATGACCACATTAAACTTACAGAGTAAGAAATGTCATTCTAGATTTGATTCTACTGTTTGTCTTTGCAGTGAGCTATGTTTTTTTATAACATGTAGAAGTGAAATAAACTTGTCACAAAAATGCAAATTGTGTCACCAATTTTCAGCTTAACAACATAAAAATAATTATATACACTGACCCAGGTTAAGGACGGGTAGAAGTACGAATGTCCTTATCTTCCAGAGTGAAGTGAGGCTGTAGTCAGGCATTGCAAACTCACATAGTTAAGGGTGTTTTGTAGGTAAAGTACATGACGGTAGTTAGTGCATGCACTATTTTAAAAAGGCAGTAGTTTCTCTGCTCCAAAAGAGTATTGTCATGAAGAAAGAGACCCAGATGTTCCAGTTTACCCAGAATTTACCCCAATCCGGGTTTTTATGTAAAATATTTCAAATGTTCACAACTACTTAAAACATTTAAATATATGAGGGTCAAACAATACCATATCCAGCCTGGGGTTTCCAGTTTGTGACATTGCTACAGCAGATGGATAAGAAAATGAAGTAAGGTGTTTGAATGTATGAAATTAACCAGTATAGATGTTAAACTGGCAGCAGCAGCTCTAGAGTATGGAAGGGCCATCCGGTCAAAGTCAAGGTGAGGGGAATTTTTTTAAAGCTGTGTTGGCATTGCAAGGATATTATTTGCATTTATTGGGGAGGAGGGTAGGGGGAATTGGGGAGCTAAAATTCTTTCCCCCCAACACTTGGAGAGCAGTGATAAAACTATATTGGGAAGGAAGAGGTAAGGAAGAAGAGAAAAAGTGTAGTGTGCTAAATCCTCGCCTATCATAATAATAAATCAAATGCCAATATCTAAATTAATATATTCTTAAAGTACTATAAACATGTTAAATACTAAAAAATGAAAAATTAGTAAAAATGCCTGTCTCAGGAAACAACAAAACTACTTCTGCATTTATCCCTTGCCTAGCAATCCTATTTTTAAGAACCTACACGGAAGATATACCTCAACAATTTGAAAATACATATATACGAAACTCTTCATTGTGGCATTATTTGTAATTTAAAAATACTATAAACAACCTAAATGTTTATAAATAGGAGATGAGTTTTATAAATTATAGTATATATACTCAATAGAATACTAGGTGTGAATTTTTTCATTTTTTAAGAGAGAGCTATATAAACTGATATGGAGTGATTTCTAGGATGTGTTATTAACAATACAAACTTCAAAAGAATATCTAGTATGGCACCTCTTTTTGTAAAAAGAAACACATGAAGGATAAATGAGAAATTAACAAAATTGGAGACTACAAGGGTATGGTAGGATGGGGTAAAAGAATAAAGGAGAGAGCAACACTCATCCAAATACACCTTTTTGTACTATCGGAATCACATTAATGTTCTACATACTCAAAAAATAAAGTCAACAAAAATGCGAAAAAAGCTCTGAAACTGAATGCAAACAAATAGAAATGAACTCAATTTTATTTCAAATGAAACATAACTGAAGGGAAAAGGGAAACTCATCCATGGAACTATGAAAAATTAATTTGACTGTATGTGTGCAGTCTAGGGAAAATGCAAATAAATCTTGAACTCTTTTTCGTAGTTTTTTTTTTTAATTATGATATGGGTGTAGCAGTTCCTAAATTCCCTGTATACCATGGAACTGAGCAAATGAGTTAATATGTTGATGTTGTTGAGAGCTGGGATTCTCATTATGGGGGAAAAGAAGTTCAAATGCAGAAAGAATAAAGTCAAGAAAGTGGAGTTGGATTGAAATTGGAGGCGTAAGCCAACAGGGAAGGTAGGTGTGTGCATGGATGGATGGGTAGACATGGTGGTATGCTGGAGCTTAGTCCTATTGGCTCATTAGACACAATTATGCATCTTTTCCCAAATCTGCATTTAGTGACCTCACATTAGTAGCTTGAAACCAGCCAGTACTTACACCATGGAAATTGGCAAATACTAGAAATTAGGTCTTCTGGCCCCTTCCCCCAGACCTAGTTGTTAAACTTTTCCAGCTCACCACTGGATAGATACGTTTTGTAGCTCTATCTGCTTAAAAGGTCTAAAAGCAATTACACCTCAGCAGAAAACCTCAGCATGTAATGTCCAGATCTTAGCTTCTAAATTTCATTCCTTGGTTGGAAAAATTACTGATTTCAGGACTGCCATAGAAAAGGTACAGGTGGGGCTACAACATCTTTTTATGACAGAAAGTAAGGATCCACTCAAAAACTAAAATACCTATGTCATAAGGACACACAAGGCAGCTTGAAGGGACATCCTCTGTCCAAATCTCAGACATCAATACAAGGTCAGTAATAAATTATAACCCATTGAATAAAATAGGAGTCCCTGAGGCCATACTGATGATAGAATGAGAAAGGGAGGGGGGCATAAAAGGGGAGGGAAGGAAAGACAGAGAAGCCAACAAAGGCTCTTCCTTATAGCACCATGTAAACTGATAAATGAAGGAGTGCTGGAGTTATTTTTTTTAAAAAATCAACATTTTGTGATGATACTAGCAAAAATTGGTTCAGAAAAAAAGTAATCCAAAAAAAAAGGATGCTAAATTGGGGAAATTCAATAAGGAGCGGAAGCATTTCTGTGGTCTCAAAGTGTCTCTCCACAGACTTTATTAGTTACAAGGGGGAAAAGAGTAACTATAGAGTAGAAGGATGATTACACCTCAACCAGGTGATCGTATTACCAATGGGGAGCAAAGGGATAAAGTGTATCTCCAGATATAATGTCCTGAGAAGGAAATATTACTTTTATGGTATTCCAGCTGGGTGTGTATAACCTGAATCTAATAAAGAGGGAACATCAGAGAACCCTAAATTGAGAAACATTTTAAAATATCAATATCAAAAACATCTTTGAAAAGACACCACCAAAGAAAGTACAGACAATAAACACATAAAGTACGCTCAAGATAATTAGTCATTAGGGAAATGCAAGTTACAACCATAATAAGATACTACTACACAATTGCTAGAATCATTATAATTAAAGATAGGCCATTGTAAATATTGGCTAGAAAATGGAAGATCTGGCCAGGTATGGTGGCTCATGCCTGTAATCCCAGCACTTTGGGAGGCCAAGGCGAGTGGATCACCTGAAGTCAGGAGTTCAAGACCAGCCTGGCCAACATGGCAAAACGCTGTCTCTACTAAAAATACAAAAATTACCTGGGCGTGGTGGCAGGCTCCTGTAATCTCAGCTACTCGGGAGGCTGAGGCAAGAGAATCACTTGAACCTGGGAGGTGGAGGTTGCAGTGAGCCAAGATCGTGCCACTGCACTCCAGCCTGGGTGACAAGAGTGAAACTCCTTCTCAAAAAAAAAAAAGAAAAAAGAAAACGGAAGATCTGGAACTCTCATATAACGCTATTGGAATACACAATTGTACAACCACTTTAGAAGTTTAACAGTGTAAGTTAAACATACACCTATCATATAATACAGGCATTTCCTTATAGGTATTTACCTAGAAGGTACATAAGTCTATACAAAGACTTGCTTGTAACTATTCATGGTTTCATATGTAACAGCCATGGAAACAACCCAAATGTCCATCAACAGGTGAATGGATAAATAATCCACACAAAATAATACTTCTCAATAAAAATGAATGAGGCTGAGCACAGTGGCTCATACATATAATCCTAGCACTTTGAGAGACTAAGGTGGGAGGATCACTTGAGTCCAGGAGTTTGAGACAAGCCTGGGCAACATAGCAAGACCCCATCTCTAAAAACAACAAAAAGTTTTAATTAGCCAGGTGTGATGGTGTGCACCTGTAGTCCTAGCTACTTTGGAAGCTGAGGTGAAAGAATCACTTGAGCCTAGGAGTTTGAGGCTGCAGTGAGTTGTGATCGCACCACTACGCTCCAGCCTGGGCAACCAAGAGAGACCCCATCTCTGATAAATAAAATAACATAAAATAGATAAAATTTAAAAATGAAACACTGATACATGCAACAACATAGATGACTCAAAGTAGTTATGCTGAAAGAAAAAAGCTACATACCTTGTCATTTCATTTATATAAAATTCTAAAAACAGTGATGGAAGGCACATTAGTGGTTGCGTGGGAAATGAGAAAAGAGTGAGTGGCTGGAAGAAGTTACAAAAGAACACGAAGAAACATTTGGTGGTGAAGAATATGTTTCTTATCTTGATGATGCTGATTGTTTCACAGATGTATACACATTTAAAATGTATCACACTGTGTAATTATCTACTGTACAATTTATCATGTCATAATTTTATCTCAATAAAGCTTTTTTTAAAAGTGAGAGTGTTTTAGTGTGTTAATATTGTGAAAGACAGAAAAAGTCTAAAAAATTACTCCAGAATAAAGGAGATTATGATGAGTAACAAATGCAGCTCCAGGACCCACCTCCCGCCCCCAACAGATACCAAAATTTGCAGATGTTCAAGCCCCTGATATAAAATGGCATTGCATGTGTATATAAATCTCTGCATATCTTCCAGTATACTTTAAATCATCTCTAGAGTACTGATACCACCTAATATAATGTAAATGCTATGTAAATAGTCATTGTACTGTATTTTTTAGGGAATGATGACAAGGAAAAAAAT
Source organism: Homo sapiens (assembly GCF_000001405.40). NCBI lineage: Eukaryota > Metazoa > Chordata > Mammalia > Primates > Hominidae > Homo > Homo sapiens. The sequence goes on from NC_000002.12 coordinate 182,798,962, forward strand.
GCACATATTCAGTATGGACACAATTATTTCTTTTCTGAATATTCTGGATCTGTATTGGTTGAATCCTTGAATTTGGAAACTGGATACAGGGGGCTGACTGTTAATACAATACTTAATCCTGAACTGGATTTAGCAATAAAGGATAATAAATCCTCTAGCAGACACGATTGAGTCAGTTGAGAAAATTGGAATACAAACTACAGATTAGATACAATATTGAACTGTTTAGTTTCCTGGATTTAACAGTTGTACTTAGATTATATAAAAGAATATTCAACTTGTGCTTAGGAAATACATTACTGAAGTATTTAACGGTAAAGGGCCATGATGTATGCAATTCAATTCTATACTGTAATTCAATACTAATTCAAAACATTCAAAAATTAATCATATATATGTATATAAAATGAGAAAATGGTAGTATAAGTATGGCAAAATATTAAAAACTGGTGACTGGATAAAATGTAAAAAATAAAAAGTGTTTAAGTGGTGGCATCTGAGTGAAACAAGAGAGAAGAAGGTCGGTGCAAAGGATTATTGCTTTTTCATTTAGCATTTTTATGCTACTTTATTTTTAAAATAATGTTGATATGTTTATTAGTTTGGTTTTATTTTTAAGTTTAAAAATTCTAGGAGTCCTTTATTGAGACTTTTTTTTTTATTGAGACTTTTTAAAAATCATCAAGGTTGCACCTGCTTTAGAATTCAGGATGGAGTGCTCTATGGGGAACTTTTTGATCACAAAAAGCCACAGAGTCATTTTGGCTCCATGTATTTTGAGGGCAGTCAATGGCTCAGGTTTGGTTTCACTGAATGTGGCCTTGTAGAGACTGGGTGGCCCTCTATTCAAACAGCATCCTTGCAGTTCCTCAGCTTTTACAAGAATATCATCCTTCCCCCATCAGTTGACTACTAAAGCTAAAGCTCCACATTTAAACAGCACCACAGAAGAGCTGCACTCCAGGTGCTGGCCAGGAAACAACAAATTCACTACCACTCAAAGTTCTACAAAAGCCCAATTGAGAGGAATAATAATTACAGATGGTAGCCTGTAGGATCTACAGTTCATTCTTCCCTCTAAATAGCCTAAAATGTTTTCCTAAATTAAGCCAGACCAGCAGAGATCCACAAACCTGACCACATCTTCTGAAATCCCCACCCCTCCTGGATTGCCTTTTACTGAATTTGGCTTTGGTGTTTGTCATACACTATGACACAGTGAGGGATGTTGTAAGAAGCAGCCCTATGAAAATCTGTTGGACTTATTGGAGAATAGTGTCCACTTCATCACATAGTGACTTCTTTATGAGATTTACAAGAGAAATTTCTTTCTGGTCTCCCAACCAGAAATAATTTTGCTGCTCTTGAGCAACCAGCTTGTTTTTATCTTCTGAACACTGTGAATCATTTAACTGATCATTTTTCCTTCTCAATTTTATTTGGCCAGAAATCTTAGAGGCAAATTTGTGGTTTGTCTCTAGCAGAACCATAGGACCTTACAATTTCTGTTTTGTATATCAACCTTATTCCCAGCTTCATTGTTGAGTCAGTAACATATGATAGAGCAGAGGGCTTGGCCGGGTTTGAACCTCAGAGCTCTACCACTTAATATTTGTATAGTTTTAATCATGTATCTGTGCTTCAGTTACCTCATCTGTAAAATGGAGATGATAATACAGGTTGAGTATCCCTTATCCAAAATGCTTGGGACCAGAATTGTTTCAGATTTTAGCGTTTTTATGATTATGAAATAGTTGTATATATGTATATAATGATATGTCTTGGGGATGGGATCCAAGTCTAAACATGAAAGTCATTTGTGTTTCATATACACCTTATACATGGAGACTGAAGGAAATTTTATACAATATTTTAAATAATCTTGTGCATGAAACAAATTTTGTGTTAAGTACTTATGTGTAGAATTTTTCACTTATGGTGTCATGTCCATGCTCAAAAGGTTATTTTGAAGCTTCTCAGAGATTTCCAGATTAGGGATGCTCAGCCTGTAATATTGTTCCCATGAAGCTGTTGTCAGGATTGAATGAATTCATATACACAAGGTGCTTAGAACAGTGCCGATCATATAGCAAACTGTCTATGTTTAGGCACTATTGTCCTCATCTCACCTTTCCTACTCTCACTTTTCCTTGATGTCGTTCTCCTCTCCCACCAATTTTTAATGTAATCTTTTTTCTTGTTATGTATATATATTAAGCCACCTTAAATGGTTCCTGGAACAAGACTGGGAAAAAACAAAAGCAAGGAGTGCAAAAACACCAAAATGTGCGTGGCAATCAAGAATAAATCAGGAGTAACCAAATGAAGATATTAACTTCTATTAAAAAAAAAAAAAAAACGTACACAATAGCTACAATATGGACCATCATCTTGCTAGACCTTAATCTGGTACTTGCATCTGTAGAAGATACTAGAAGTCTGATCATGTGCTGATTTGCTCCCAATTATAATTTGTTCCGATGATGGGTTCTGTGAGAAAAGCTCATTATACCAAATAGCTGTTCAAAGATTGCCACCGTAAAACTACCTGAAACTCTTTATCAATTGACAAGATAAACCTGGAGGAAAGGCATTTCTCTGCTTCATCTTTGATTAGCTGAGGGTCTGAGCCTCTAAGGAAGCATCCGATTACTTGGCAAAGGCAACGCCTCCTTTTTTTGTGTGTCTGGAAAGCATTTATTCAGATAAAATAAAAGTCAGCTGCAAGACACAAGGAAAGATATAAAATAGTAAAGGATACTGTTTAAAAAGCATTGAAAAGTTTTCCTCTGATATTAAGTATACTTTAATTAAAATAAAACTTTGTGTTTTACTTCTCTACAATTCAAGCAGCATTGATGATGTGCATTATACAGTGTCTATTTCTCTCTACTTTTCTTCTCTCACTTCCTGTCTCTGGTGATAGCTATTGGAAGGGCTGACCTTGGTGTTAGGTCAGAGATCATCAAAGGAATCCCTTGCTGTGCAAAAATACTTTCTCCACATATGAGTTGCTATGAATTAGAGCTTCACTCCTTTGATTTAAATCACAGCAAGGTTTCTCCTATTCTAAGGAAAGTAGCCCAAAGAGAATGTCTGGTATTGAGCCTTCTCAGCCTTGAGATATTGGATGCTTAACTAAAAGTAAGTCTTAATAAACGAGGAAATTTAGTCAACAAATGTTTACTCAGCACCCACTATGAGCTCAATAGGGATTGGAATTAACAATACAGTGTTCAGTCATGGGTCATCCTAATGAAGAGATATCAGAAATAACATGACAGATGATAAGGGCAAAAAAATTACAAAGCTGGGAAGGGAAAAGAGTGATGGCAGAGGTGGGATGGAGATGGAGGGATACTGCTTAGATAGGAAGGTCAGGAAAGATCTCACTGATGAGAGAAGAGCTATCACAAGAGGGCTGTGGTGAGGAAACGGGTTATACTAAGGTAAGGAAGGAAGGAAAAGCAGCCAGCAATGGAAGAGTAGGGGTCCTAGAGTTAGTTTTGCTGGTTGCTGAACAGGAGTCAAGTTCTGAGTCCTCATCTTGGCTCTGTCAACTCCCTGCCATGCTTGACCTCATCTTTCAGATGAGAGTAATAATGCTTGTCCTGTCTGTACCTTGGAGCTGCTGATGTTTGAGATCATATTAGGAGAATATTTTGAGCTCTACAGGCAGAAAACATTAGGAAAGTACAAGGTACAATTATGTTGTTTTCCCTGTATTTTTCTCCTGTCTTTTTCAGTTTGACTGCTCTTTTATTAAAAACAAACAAACAAACAGAGCTGGTGACCTATTCCTCCCTCTCTGTAAGCCAACCTCATCTGTCAGTTTAAATGTGTCTCATCTAGCCAGGGCAGGCCTGAGATCCTTCTCCATACTGAAAGGTCAAGGTCAATATGAAACTAAAAAGAAAATGTTCTACCATTAAAGCTAGACTTGGAGTGTAAGGCTTAACCCTACAAGGAGGATTCCCATATAGAATGTATTCTCAGAAGAGCAAACAAACACAGGATGTCACTGAATCCTTGAGGGAGGAAAGAGAGTTTTGTAGATTAACTCTCTGGCAACAGCTCACTTATTTAGCATTTTGATGGTACTGGAGAGGTGGCAGAATCTTACAAGACATAAAGTACTTTTTCTAGGTTTACACAGTTCAATTAACTTCTTATAGCCCTCAGATTTTGTTCCAACTTCCTTTCATTTTCTTTTAGCTATAACAGGTAAAGCAGGAGAAAACAAGATAAAGGAAGAGAAAAAATGGGAAAATTTCTAGTCAAGTACTAAGATTCATTGGGAGCAGCAAAAGTTCATGAAAATTTTTGGAACTCAAGTTCTTAAATACTCATAATGGTATTTAAAAAAATGCTCTACCATAGAAAATGCCAAACATATACAGAAAGAGAGAAAATACTTGAGTGAACCTCAAGTACCCATCATGTAACCTGAGCAACTTTCAAATCATTGCCCATTTGTTTCATCTGTGCGGGATCCAAATTCTCTATGCCTCCATGGATTTTTTATTTTTATTATTTTTATTTTTTATTTTTTTGAAATGGAGTCTTGCTCTGTCACCCAGGCTGGAGTGCAATGGTGTGATCTCAGCTCACTGCAGCCTCCGCCTCCCAGGTTCAAGTGATTCTCCTGCCTCAGCCTCCTGAGTAGCTGGGATATTAGGCACGCACCACCATGCCCAGCTAGTTTTTGTATTTTCAGTAGAGACACGGTTTCACCATGTTGGCCAGGCTGGTCTCAAACTCCTGACCTCGTGATCCACCCACCTCAGCCTCCCAAAGTGCTGGGATTATAGGTATGAGCCACCACACCCGACCTCCACGGATTATTTTTAAGCAAACTCCATCACATCACTTCATCAGTAAGTACAGTTGATTGTCATTATTCTTGGAAGTTATGTTCTATAGAGTCATCACAAACACAATTCAAGTAGATACTAAACCACTCCTCCTAGGGGAAATAAGAGGGTAAGTTCCTGCAAGCCTCTGGTCACATTTTTGTCAGCTGGTCAATACATAACCTTGTTTTATGTGTGTTTCTGTTTAGACACCTGATTCAACATGTGTTGTTGACTTACTAACATTGAAGTAATGGCCAACAGCACCATAACTCATGCCTGAATGAAGCATATTTAACTCGCGTATTTTCTGTGTAGAGCTATCACAGCCTTGCGTATAGAAACCCTAGACAGCACTTTAGCACTTGCTTGGGGGCCACTGTAAACAATACAATTACCAACAACGAAAATCACAAAAATGTGATAAACACAGCACTAAATAGCCCATGAGAAGGACACTCGTTTACAATCTGAGGGCTGAACCGAGAAAGCAGAGTTCCACTTTGCTCAACCTCAGCTAGGAATGTGTACTTCGGGTCACTCAAATGTTTCCCACCCTGCACATATCTATAAGTGACCATGAAAGCACCATGAGTATTGATTTTGGGGTTAGAAACACATTTTAGTGAGTAGGCAAACTTATAAATATGAAGCCACAAACAAAGCCCAACTGTATTTTGTCATGTATTTCATGTAAAGATTGATTTTTAGTAACATAAACACAATACCATGTTTTCCACTGAGGATTAGCACTCAAAGATGGGTATTTTTATTTATTTATTTACTTTTAAGCTTTTATTTAAATTTGTGGGGACATGTGTAGATTTGTTACCTGGGTGTATTATGTGATGCTGAGGTTTGGGGTACGAATGATTCTGTCGCCCAGGTACTAAGCATAGTACCCAACAGTTTTCCAACCCTTTCTCCACTTCCTCCCTCCTCTAGTAGTCCCCAGTTTCTATTGTTGCCATCTTTATGTGCATGAGTACCAAATGTTTAGCTCCCACTCATAAGTGAGAACATGTGGTATTTGGTTTTCTCTTCCTGCATTAGTTCACTTAGGATAATAGCCTCCAGCTGCATCCATGTTGCTGTAAAAGTTATGATTTTGTTCTTTTAAAAAACTGGCATTTTTAAGTGACATTTGTCATTCACACATTAATTCAAACATTAAGTAACTACTGCATGCTTTAATATTGGTTGTGACTTAGCTTTGTTAAAGACAAAGCTAGAATAGTAATTAGGTAATGTCCCATCTCAAATATGATAGTATAGGCCTCCTTCATTATTAATGAAAAAATGGTTCTAGGACCCCTTACAGGTACTAAAATCCACAGATGCTCAAGTCCCTTATATAAATTGACACAGTATTTGAAATAACCTACTCACATCCTCCTATATATTTAAAATCACCTCTAAATTACTTATAATACCTAATATGACAAAAATGTGTGTAAATAGTTGTTATACCATGTGTCATTTTTTATTGTTGTATTGTTATTGGTTTTTTCTGAATACTTTTGATCCATTGTTGATTGAATCTGGGGATGTAAAACCCATGAATATAGGGGACTAACTATAATTGAAAGTATGTCAAGGGTTTTGAAAAATTTTTTCTAAATTTGAGGGCAAGATTTCCAGTCAGCATGAGGCGTCATTCAATATTATTAATATTATTACATAGAAAGTACTCTTTAACTGCCCACATCCTTAAATAGTTGTTAGCTAATCAGCTACTGTGCTATTCACTTTTATATTTCTGTTTTTGTCTTGCTATATAAAAACTGCCCTTAATGGAACTTGTTAGTTGTTTAATGTTTACTTAGCAAATGTCCATTTTAACATGGCCGAGATCCTGACTTATAATGGCAATTTTATTTTTCACAGGTAGCAAAATACAAGAGTTCCAGCAATATGATTTATCCAGGAGAATTATCTCTGAAATGTGGGCAAAGCACTTAAAAATGTAGAAAGAAAGTTTCCCATTAGCAATCTTGGCGGCCCTTCTCTCAAAGCACCCTAGCTCAATTTTTAGGTTATCAGCACTTGAATGGCTGGATCTATACACAACGGGGAACACATTTAATGAAACATACAACAAGACTGTTTCAGTCCAGAGCCCCCAAGAAAAGAAGTTGGAAAATAAATTTCCTTTTAGACTGTCATTTCCAGAACGTTTCAACAATGTCACGTAACATTCATCCATTTATTGATGAGTGAAGTATTACAGATCCAAAGCATTATTTTCTAAACAGTGAAATTACAGTTCTCAATCCAACCCCTCAATTTTCATTTACAACGATGATTGTAATCAAAACTGCACAATTTTAAGTAATTGCATTTGATTAGTCCTATTTGGTCATAGAAAAACCACACTGTGGGACCACCATATTTGAACATGTGTTTATATGTCTTACACTCAAAAGTACTAGAGATTTAAAAATTAAGTCATTCAGAAAACTTGTGTTCACATGTGAATAATTCCAAACTAAAATCGAGGTTGCTAGTAGAAGAAGTTTAAAGAGGTTTTTCTAATATGACTAACAAATTCTTCCTTGAATCTTTAGCTGCAATATATATTTCAGAAGAAATATTCCAATTTATTTAAGATATAATAAAACCTTGATTAAGCCCCAAACCCACTCTAAGCTCCCAGTTAACTGGAAAGTTCTTGCTCTTCACCTTTATTTTAGAAAACTAAATTATAAACTATGCTGATACTAATGCAGTATTTGTGTTGGTGTGTATTAAACAGTTAACTTATAGTATTAATCCTGGGATGTATACAAATTTAGATTAATCTTGCATAATTTTCCAAAATGATTATATATTATCAGATTAATATGGGGATACTGAAAAAATCTAAATAATGTGAAATTAAAATATCTATACTGCATAGTTCTTAATAAAGTAGGATAGTAGATTAATACATTTAGGGAGTCCTTTATAAAGTAAGAGCTGAAGCAAGGAGAGATAGTCTGATTAACTCAAGGATACTCAAATAATTCTTTTTTCCTTCACATTCAGTTCATCTCTCAGTTCAGTCTTTAATCTCTCACAAATCCTTATCCCTTCTAGACACACTGATACTGTCTTTATTCAGGCTCTTTCATCTTTCTCCTAAAGCTTTATTCTTAGCCAATTTGTCCTCCTTAATGCTGCCAAAACTATGCTTCTGGAATAATATGATATGTATTTAAGCTCTCAATGGTTCCCCTTTGTCTACAGCACAAAATACAAAATCTTTATAGTTTAGTATACAAGATGTTTTTCGATCTGCCCTGTCTCCCCATGCAATTTCACCTCCACTCTTTCCTATTTTCTTCCCCCCTCATTCTCCCTCTCATACTACACATTTTGGCCATATTCAACTAATGCCAGTTTCTGAATGGTCATTCCATTTTTAAATGTCTCTATGCCTTTGTACATACTATTCTCTCACATAAGCCCTCAATAGTAGTGACCACTATTAGCTATAATAAAGTATTGTAGCAATAACACAAGCAGCAAAGTATGTCAGGGCCAAGTTGAAGTGCTCACCCTCAAAATCTGGACCACGTCCATTCTAAAGCTGCTCTCCTCCAGGTCATCAATAACCTCCATTCTAGGGTCTTTGTTCTGCCTGCCACTTACTTGACACCTCACCAGATTGATCATTCTCTAGTAAAGGAAGCTGCTCTCCCAGCTTCAAGGACATACTCTCCTGGTTTTCCCTCACTGTGCATGCCTGACTAGTCTGCTTGCATCTCTCCTGTTTGACCTCTAAACAATAGAGTAATCCAGGACTCCGTTGTCAGCTCTCTTTTTGTCTGCTCTTCTCTATCTACATTCACTTGTTTCTACGTTCACTCAGTCTTCAGTATCTCAGTAATATGTCCTCACAGTTGCTCTTGTCAAAATCCTAAAAGTGATCTCAGATACCTTTATTTGCCTCACCCCCCATAACTAGCTCATCAGCAAGTCCTGTAGATGCCACCTCCAAAATATATCCTGATTTTTTCTCCTCCCTCAAACTCCCCAGGCACTACCCTGTTTGTAGCCCTCACCCTCTCTTGCCTGTATTACTGCACAGCCTCCTATCTGGACACCATATTTGCACTCTTCCTCTTCCACAGTTAGTTATTCATAAAGCAAAAGTGAGTGTTATAAAGTATAAATTCAACGTCACTCTCCAGCTGAACAGTCCCTCAGTAGCATCCCATTGTACTTAGAATAACATGAAGCCTTCCCCATAATTGCCAGCAGTCTTGATGGTGTAACCCCTGCAGATTCCTCAGGCTCATCTGGGATTCCTCCCCTCCGCCTGCTACCGCCAGCTACACTGGTCTTTCTCTTCTGTTGACTACTCAAAATCACTCTTCACCTTCTGGGCCTTTGTACTTTCTGTTCTGTCTGCCAAAAATACTCTGTCACATATGTGATTGGTTCTTTCTTGTCATTTAAATTTCAATTCAAATCTTACCTATATAAGCCAGTTCTTGAAAATCTTGCTGCTCTTATTTACAACAGCCTAATTTAGGTGATTAAGTGCACAGTGGTTCTCAAAAATAAGACAGGAAACACACAAAGAAGAACCAGTGTTGGAGAAAATGCGTTCAATTCAGGACCTGTTTGAGTTGGAGATAGAATGCCCACCAGGCAGCTGAATATTTGGAACTGATCCCCAGGAAAGACAAATGGTTGGCTATGCAGTTATCAGTGCACGGGTAGTAGCTGAATACATGAAAATAGCTAGATTTGCGTCAGGAAATGAGAGGTGAAAAATTATAAAAGAGCTGAGAACAGAACACTATGAAATGTTGCCCATTTATTTTATTGTTTTTGAGACAGAGTCTCACTCTGTTACCCAGGCTGGAGTGCAATAGCGTAATCTTGGCTCACTGCAACCTCTGCCTCCCGGGTTCAAGCAATTCTCCTGCCTCAGCCTCCTGAGTAGCTGAAATGACAGGCCCACACAACCACACCCGGCTAATTTTTGTATTTTTAGTAGAGACGGGGTTTCACCATGTTTTTCAGGCTGGTCTTTAACCTCTGACCTTGTGATCTGCCCACCTAACACTCCCAGAGTGCTGGGATTACAGGCACGAGCCACCACACCCAGCCGAACTGTTTCCCATTTAATTGACGGGTATAGGAAAAGAAACCACAAGAGCCAGGAGATAAAATGGAATAAGAAAACCAGTGAAGAAGAATGAAGACAGAAAGCAAGGAGAAAGAAGCTTCCAGAAGAATGAAGTGATAAACTCCAATAGGAATTTTAAAATGTGGAAAAAAATGAAAAGGGTTCATTGCTTTTGGAACTGAGATGTCAGTGATGGCCTGGGCTAGAGCTTCAAGGCCAATTGCAACAAAGTGGAGGTAAGAGAAGAAGGAATGACAGTCCATGGCGTATTTATCAAATGCCTGTCTTCTTCACCAGATTAAAATCCCCACAAGGACATAGCTCAATCTTTTCAGTATTTTATGTTTCCCTGAGCTCAGTAAAGTGCTGGACAGATGGTGGGCACTCCTCTCCCCAACATATTTGACCAGTGAATGAATGAATGGGATAGGGTGGGGAGGTAGACGGAAAAAGAAAAGGGGAGACGAGAAAGAAAAAAAAAAAGGAGAAAGATGAAGAAAGAAAGGGAAGAAAGAAAAGAAAGGGAAACAATGATACAGCAGTATCTAATTGTATCAAACATACAGGAGGACCTAATTGTTTTCAGGGTGGGAACATCTTGAGCACATGTGTATGTACAGGCAGAGGTAATCCAATGGGGAGGGTTTTAAGACACAGAAAAGAGAAAGACAAATAGAATGAGAAACTTCTGTGAGAAGGTAAGAGATGGAATCAGGAACTAGTAGAAGGATGAATTTCATATTGGTAGTTCAATGAAAATTAAGTTTCAGTAAGACTGAATGTCATTGATAAGCCACAAATGATCTACAAGGGTGATTTAAATTATTTCTGATACTATCATTTGCTTATTAATTGGTTTAATAATGAAATTATATAAAATGGCTGTTTATATCCAATTTTATATTCTTGACTGCATCCTTAAAAACCCAGTTATTATAACCATTCCTTGGTTAGAATTTGTAATTGTTCCATCAGAGTTTTCAGAACAACTTTCCACTTTTGCCATAAAACATTACTTCTGAAGGTGAGGTAGAAATAAGACAAAGGATAAAGAAAAATATACTTAATTTTCACATAGCATAAATGGCTGAATCTCATATTTTTTAAAAAAAGGTTGTTCTGGTTTGTCAATATCAAAACCAATAGAGGGTGAAAGGAGAAACAGAAATAAGATCTGTTGTTTGTTATAAAAAAGATTCCAGGCTAAGTTTAATACATTTTAATCCATGTCCTCTGAGGGATGTAAATCTCTCTCCACCTCCAAAAAGGAAAAAAAATAACAACGGAATAGCCATTAAACTCTATTGCAGTGCTGCACTGCTGTTGCCAAATTTCTTATTTACTAAAATTGAACTGTCGTAACATTTGTCCCGTATGCTCCTACCTTGAGACCTTGAGGACAAGGCTCTACTGATTTCTTTGTGCCTTTTTAAGACCTTATTTTGGCCTCAGCCCCAAACCCAAGGAAACAAATTTGAGTTTTACCTAATTTGAATATTTGTTGAAGATAGGTAGTACTATGCTTCAAAAACTAGGTTCCTAACTAGGACCTAACATCAGATTCTTCACCTCTGTTTCTTAGGATGTTTGTCAGATCTGACCTTAGAGATAATTATTTTCTAAGACGACATTTGTAGCTCAGGAAATAGGGATGGCTGAGCCATCCACCACTAGTCATGGATAAAGCTAGACAAACTATCCATGAGGTGACCTTTCAAAGTGGCTGATGACCAAAAAAATTAGGGAGTCCCATTTGATTCTTCTAAAATAAGTTTGAATCTAGCTTCTTCTCTGTCTCAATTGTACCCACTTTCCCTAATTCAGAAGACAGCTATCGTGGCCACTGATAACCAGAACCCACGTTTCCATTTTGCTTTGGAGTCTTTGTTTTTCTCATTAAAGTCTCTTACAGTAAGGATGGGCACTATAACTAAAGGGGAAGCTTGCTTTGGTCTAGTTGGTTAATTTGCAGAACTAGTAAAAGGTATAACTAGAGACAACTTTGAAACAAGTGGCTTAGATAGGATTTTGTGGCTGTTTGGGTTTTTTTTTTTTTTTTAAGGGTAGATTCCTGTCACGAGCAATTGAAAGTTCTGTAGTAAACACTGTTGGCCACTCCACCAGCATCCATGCCCCCTCCTCCTTGACCGAATCACACTCCTCTCTGCACCACCTTAGAGCTCCTCAGTGCCCACCATGTCCTGTCCCAGCACTGTGTGGTTGCTGACAACTCCATGCAGGGGCAGCCTGCTGTGCCTCCGCCTGAGGCACCTGCCAATCTTCTTCACCTGCTGGACATCTCTTCACTCCTATCCTCCCTCCCTGCCTTGCAACACAACTGAAGTGCAGGGGGCTTCCACACCCCAGGATTCCTTTGGACCAGTGAGAGATGGGAGCCATTGGATAAATATTTCATGTTTCACTCCACCCTCAACATAGCCCTGAACTCAGTCTCTCCTAGACTCAGGCAAATCCCTTTTTACCTCTACCCCAATAATTCAGTCTTTTGAATCTTTGAAACCCCATTTTTTTTTGAGATGGAGTTTTGCTCTTGTTGCCCAGGCTGAAGTGCAATGGCGCGACCTCAGCTCACTGCAACTTCTGCCTCCCAGGTTCAAGCGATTCTCCTGCCTCAGCCTCCCACATAGCTAGGATTACAGGCACCCACCACCATGCCTAGCTAATTTTTTGTATTTTTAGTAGGGATAGGATTTCACCACATTGGCCAGGCTGGTCTCAAACTCCTGACCTCAGGTGATCTGCCTGCTTCGGCCTCCCAAAGTTCCAGGATTACAGGCATGAGCCACCGCACCCAGCCAAAACCCCGTTTTTCTCTAACTCTTGTTTCTTAGTGAGTTTTCCGAGTTAGGTTGTTGTGGTTTTTCTAGGGAGGAGAAAAATGAAGGGAAAAAAAAGTGAGGAATGCTTACAAAGCATGATACCTGTGGTTCATTCCAGAAAGGTGTGGCACTGACCATGAGTGACACGACCAAAAACTACATTCGTTCATTCATTCATTTAGAGACCAGGTCTCACTCTGTCACCTAGGCTGGAGTGCAGTGGTGCGATAATATCTCACTGCAGCCTCAAACCTCAGGCTCAAGCAATCCTCTCACCTAGCCTCCCGAGTAGCTGGGACTACAGGCAGGAACCACTACACCAGACTAATTATTTAATTTTTTTGTAGAGATTGGGTCTCACTGTGTTACCTAGGCTATTAAGCAATCCTCCCACCTCAGTTTCCAAAAGTGCTGAGATTACAGGCATGAGGTACTACACTGGGCCCAAACCATCTTTTAATTATATTTCTTTAACACACTGAGGGAGACACAGAGACCCCCCCAACAATACTTCTTTAAAATTTCCTTTAAATTCTCTTACATTCTTCAAGTGCCCCCTAGTTTTCTCTCCTTCAACTTTTCTGCCCAGCCTGTACTTTTAAAATTCAAAACCTCCTCTCTTCAGTCTTTATAACATTCTCATGTTAACTTTTTTCTTAAAGTCCCTTTCCTCCACTTCCTGCTCCCATGGCACTGACTCTATGCCCCTTCTCCAGATCTCAACCATAAACAACAATAACACTTCTGTAAGTTTTCTAGGAGTGAAAATACCTTAGGAGGTGTCAATGACTCAGGATTCGTTTTATAGCAGTGGTCCTCGAAGTGTGGTCCCAGAGCAGCATCCACAAGCACTAGTACTTAGCAGTGGAAATTCCAGGGCCCCGCCCCAGACCTCCCGAATCAGAAACTCTAGGAGTGGAGCCCAGCTCGCTGGTTTCACAAGCCCTTCAGGTGATCCTGATGCAAGTATTATAGTAACCATTGCCACATGGTTCTCATTCAGCCCTCACTGTATATTAGAATCACCGGAGGAGCATTTAGCCTTACAGATTCTTGAGCCCTAACCCCAGGGATTCCATTTCAGTCGGACTAGGGTGGGGCCCAGGCTTCCAAGGTGATTTTGCTGTTCCACTAGGGTTTGAAACACTGCACTATCCTTAAATAAGAACTAAGTAAAACCAACATTTTTTCTATTGTGGAGGGTTAGGGAGAGGGGTAGAAGATGGTGCACGTTTCCTGGTTTTCCTGGTTTGGAATATTTAGATATATTTATAACCTTAATTCTAAAATAATCATTACCATGAGTATAAAGCAAGACTGCATGTCCAATTTTTTAAAATTTGGTTCATTAAAATATATAAATGGTCTTTAGAATTTTGGAGCCACACACGTGGTAGAACTGCTTAAAGTAAACAGAACTATTCCAAGCATCGTGGACACTGAGATTGGCGACCGGGTACCTGTGGTTCGTTGATGGCTGGCTGGGTGCCTTCCCCCCTTCACAAATTTAGCAACGCTTTAGGTTGGTGCCCTGGGCAACTGGCCTTCTCACACCTTCCCCTCTGCCCCCTGTCCTTTGGAACACGACTACAATTCTGCTAATGTCTTCAGACAAAGGCATCATTTTATTCAGCTTTTATTAATAGCAGCAAGTGTTAGAGACTCTGTAGACTGAATCCTGTGGGGAGAAAAGTTAGAGACCCGGTGTGAATTTAAGCATCACCAGCACCTCATCAGGCCACATTTCCATGTTCTTTCCATAAGAACCAAAATGGACAATGGAAAATGCACCAATTACAATTTTCCTAATGGGAATGAGACACTGCTTTGGGGGTTCACTAGTGAAGTTTATGTTTAAATAACATGCATAATCACACAAACCTCTCTTTTTTTGCTTAATCTGCCTCCATTTATCACCAGCTGATTTGACTTAGGGATTTTTCTTTCCATTTAATTCATCATATGGCATGTAGTTGTAAGTAGTACAACGTTCCTCTTTTAAGAAAATTAAGGTTGACCAATATATTCAAGTTTCAATATTTCCATCTTGTTTGCATGAACTACCTTGATTTTCTCCTAACAATTAAATTAGCCAAAAATCCAGTGTTATCTGGTTACCACAGGAAAAATCACCAAGCTCCAGTTCAGCAAAAATTACAAAAGCATGTGGTATTTATAAGAAACTTGAGTGCCAGCTTGTCCCTATGCCCAGCAACAATAAAATGTGAATATCTATTCTGTGCTTGCAGTATGGTAAGTGAGCATAAAGGAAAGACGTAAGACAGGCACTGTGGTTCTCCTTCAAGTAACAGTGCATCTGTTCTTTTGCTCATGACATTCTAAACTGTGCTAGGAATGGCTACTCACTGTAAAAAACTACCTACCAAGAATTCCACAATATCTTGAATCTTGTCTGAAGTTACCTGCAAAATTCAGACAAAATAAAAGTTGAAGGAAATACAAGAGACAATCTGAGGACTTGTCCAAGTCAGACACATATTACTGTATTTCCTAATGTGTAGGTGTCATTAAGTTGTGTTATTAGACATGAAGTGGTGGAGTGCTCAAGGAGGCGGAACCTGGACCTTTCTCTCACAACCTACTGATGTGCAGAGTCTGAAGGCAGCTGGGGAGATAAATTTTCATGAGGACATCCCAACCCCTTCTGAGCTTTCAAGTGATTGACACCTATCAGAGGACCCAAGAGGACTGGACTGAAGGACCAGCAGCAGGAAAGGGCAAAGCTCCTGACATTGAACCACACACGGTGGTGGTAGAAAAGCCGGGCGAGGAACGTGGTGCACCTCAGAGGCTCACCAAACGGAGAGAGGGTGTCTGGCCCATGGTGGTGGGTAGATCCCAATCCCTGTCCTGGCCCCAAGATGCAACCTTTGTGAGAAGGCTTCTAGGCTAAGACGGTACCAAGGTAGATACTTTCAGCCCTCACACATGCAGGAACCACCACAGTTAGGGCAGGGGAATTCTTTAGGCTTGGTAAGAACCACGCAGGATGTTTAGCACTTAGACCACCTTCTGAGGCACAACCAAAGGACCTGCAAACTCTAAGCGAGCACTTCAGCTTTCCAGGTATCTGCTGGGACACTCTCTCTCTGATGTGGGCATGCAGGGGTCCACTGAGGCGATTCCAGCCTGTGGAGGTGCACCTTGGACCCTACTCATGTGGTGAGTCCAGAGCCACCTGGACTGACTCTTTGGACTGGAGCAAACAACCTGGGGTTGGAAGCACATTCTTTCGATAGACAAACTGAGAGCTTAGGCTACTTAACTGACTTTTAAAAGGGGTCTCTATTAAGCAATATATTTTGTTTGGTTTTCTCAAAGGGACCAAATGTACACAGGAAACTCAAAGATTTAGTGCCCACTTACTCCTTTTCTGAGCCAGTATCACTAGTGAAATTATAACTAGGAGGAGCCACGAGGTAGTAAAATTTGAGATTTAAAATCTAATGGGCTTTTAAAGATTCTGTCTTGAAGACAGATGATAATAACACTCCCAGAATGTGAAACACGAACTTTAGCCTCAGCCTTTTACCATTTTCTGATTAGTCTGTGGATTAGTCAGATATATTAAGTCAAAATTAAAACTAGACTTCTTATGCTTAAAAATTACATAAAAAAAGAAACAGTACATGAAGATTCGCAAGGAAATGATGATGTCAATTTTAGTGGAATTTAACTGCAAAAAGCAGAACCCAGAGGAGACGATGCTTGAGTCCATCTTAAAAGTTATATGTAAACCAGCCAGTTAAGAAAGGGCAGAATTACTAGACCCTGATGGGCAGCTAAAGAGAATGCACTGGAATTTTGATCATAGACAATCAGAAATATTGTGTGCCCACAAAAAGATCTTAGAAATGTTGATTATATATTATAAAAATAAAACCTATGGATTGTAGTTGATAGCTTAAGAGATACAAAGTATAGGCATAGTAAAACTCATACCAACAGAACTCTGATGGAACTGTTACCAGTGGCCGGGCGGTGTGTTCAGTGCTCTCACTTGACTGTAGTGGTCCTGTTAGGCAGGTAATGTCATTACTCCCCCTTAAAGATGAGAAAGCTGAGATCTGACATATTTGATGCTGGATTTATGACTAGCACCTGAGGTTGCTCTCCCACCCTAATGTGATTATATGGCCTCGTCTTTTTTACCCCTTCCAAAGATAACAAGCATATTTAGGTCCCCAGGAATGTTTATGGGACATTCACATATGTAGTATGGGAATTAATTTATTGGCACAAGTTGTGAAATTGGATGCTGGGCTCTCAGATCCCTCTATTTTTTGCTGTTTGTTGTTTGTTCGGTTGGGTTTTTGGGTTTTTTTTTTTTTCGGTTCTTAACAATTTTTTATTCTTTTTCTTTTTCATTTTTGAGGCAGAGACTCACTCCGTCACCCAGGCGGGAGTGCACAGCTCAGGGCAGCCTTCTCCTCCTGGGCTCAATCAATCCTCCTACCTCAGCCTCCCCAGCTAGCTGTGACTACAGGTGTGTGCCACTACACCTGGCTAATTTTTTTTTTTTTGCAGAGACGGGGTTTCACCATATTGCCCAGGCTGTTCTCAAACTTCTGGGCTCAAGCAATCTGCCCACCTTGGCCTCCCAAAGTGCTGGGATTAGAGAGGTATGAGCCACTGCACCTGGCATTTTTTATTCTTCTAATACATTTTCTCCCTCTGCATCCTCAAATCATATGCAGACTACCAAATGTACTTTTGAAACAGTTGGTTGCAAAAAAAGATATTTTCATATTTTAATATTTTTAACCTCAGATTTTTTATGCAATTGTGATCATTATGTACACAACCTTGAGTCCTCCTTTATTCATTTATATTCTATTGTAGGCATTTTTTACATCTTTAAACAGTCTTCACAAAAATATTTACTAGTTGATACTATTCTATCAAGTGGCTAAATCACTTAACCAATCCTGTCGTGTGATATGAAGCTAAATTTAAGTATAAAAGTTAACCTTACTTTAGCCCTTGAGGTCTAGAAACTAATCAGCAGATACCACTCTCAGAGTTAGTACCTAAAAGGCTATTGCAATCAGTAAATTACATAGCATGTCACACTTGATCAATTTTTTACCATATTAACAGTGATTACAAGTTTCTCAAGTTTCACAAGGAAATCAAATAATTGACCACAGCTGGCAGTATTTTATTTTACATGGAACACCACAGCTGGAGGAATTCCAGCCTAACCTTGAACAGGGCTTTAATTGACTGCAAACATTTAAGGGCCATGTCTTATGCTGACTGATTTTCTCTTCTTTGCTAACCTTTCATTTTGTGTCTGAATATTTTCAGGAGTACTCACAGGAGTTACATAGCTTTCACTGAGGCCCAAGGAAAACCCAGGAGCCCAGCAAGCTTTGTTCCAAGAATGAAAAAAAAATAATAATAACCTCCTAAACATGTAGGATCTAACATAGACATTTCTACCCAGCAATGTTTTGAAACTCACTTGATCCCTTCAATTTCACAGCTGTTTCAAATCGATAAGCAGTGACAGTAACTTTAGAGAACATGTTCTGAATACCAGTCATTCTTGCCACAGGATTTTTATAAGCAAGGATGAAATAAAAATGAGAAGAACAAAAGAGAAATAAAAACTTTTCCTGCCACTTAGGTTTACAACCTCTTACTGACAATCACATTTTCCCTGAACCAATTAATTAAACACAGAAGTGCTCTATGAGTATGTGATCATGTGATATGCAGCTTTATCAATATCTTGTTTATCCATTCCGCAGGAATGTCACTATGTAGTTGCAACAGTTTTGACATTTGAAAGAGATGTAAAATCCGTTCACAAAATTTGAATCAATATGTGTGATTTAGACTTTAATTTTCCTAAAGATGTTTAGTTTTCATTGAGTACTGTTAGAAAAAGGGGGAAAAATGGCCAAAGAAGCATTTTCTAGGATTGTCCTTGACTAACTAAAAATAGAAACACAGAAGCAAAGAATCCAATCTTATTACAGCTGCATTTTACTTGACAGAACAAAGAATGCTGCTGTCTACAGTAAAAGCACTTTAAGGTCGACACTTGAAATAACAAAAATAATCCTTAAAAAATTAAATAACTACAATATGTCATACCCCAATCTTAAAAATATAATTAAGGATCAATTGGAATCACCTGGAAGAAAATATTTTCACTTCTAATAAATAGCTGTGTGTATATAATGTACACCTCCTATAAGCTCTGGTCTTCTATAGTATAATGTTAATTTTAAAACTTTGATCAACATTTTAAAGTTTGTATATATATTAATAACAACATAAGAATGACTATAACTTATTTTCAATTTTAAGATGTAGACTTAAAAGGTCTCTTCATGGGGAACAATTTTTTAAAGTATTCTATTTTTAGCAATATTCAAGCTTTTACTTTCAGTATTTTCAAAATCTTACTTTTAAGAAAACATTGACCAGCAACTTTAAATACACCTCCAGTTTCTATGGACCATTTTCTATGGCCTTTCCTGGGTTAACACGAACATTACTGTTGCACACACTATGCCACCAGCGATCAGCTTTAGGGGTATAAGATGTCCCATAGGTATATTATCCCACAAATTATTTCAATAACATTTAGAACCAAGATGTCATTTGGAGCCTAGAACAGTTTATAAATTTTTTTAGGGGGAAAGTACATGTCAAAATTGTAAGATATTAGTAACAAGAGAATAACTCTACACAATTTTAAAAGCAAGTAACTTAAGTTTATGTTAACACGGCACATCTAATTGTCAACAAATGCAGCCTGTATTTTATTTTTTTAACTCAGCCTAAATGCTTCCAGTCCTTTCCTTCCACGGTGTCAAATGGAGCTGTTGTGTAGGCAAAGTGTCTTTTGTCCCATCACGTGTGGGAATTTAGTAACCTTTTCACCATGACAATTAGAAATAACAAAGAGGTATCTATTCATTCAGTATAAATTCTTAGCATTAATAGTTGGCCCAGGACTGGTAAAGTTATTAGACTGGTTCATATCTGGTTCATTGTGTTTCTGCCTTGGTAAAATAAGCATTCAGCTAGGGTTCTCATGCTTAAGGCTAGACACCAGTTAATAGGGCAAAAGGTAACAGGGCAATTTAACTTTTAGTTAAGTGTTTTTCCATTAATTGGGCCACACATTCTTACAAGCACAAGTGCACACAGTTTGGTCCTGAGAAGATTTGCAAGCGTTTTGTGTGTCTTTTGTTAGTTCCAATATACAGCTTATCCTTGATTTAGCAGACTACAGTTATACAAGACTTTTCTTAATTGCTTTTCATGCATAGTTGGGAGAAACAGCAGGCAGCCTTTAAGCAGAGGTTTTGTGGCCCAAAATGGTAGCTTCAAGTGCCTCCTTCCCAGTGTTTATTGTTGACAATTCAATTAGCATGCCAAAGCAGCTGTGCGCTGTAGCAGGCAGGGTCAACCAGACTGCACAGAAACTAATTTTACTAACAGAGGGGCAAAATTCGCTGTGCTGCATTTATCTTATGCATTTACTAAAGAGCACGACAGGAGAAAGCTAGCCAGTTCTCCCCAATTTAAATTAATCTTGTGGAAAGTCACACATGTAAGCCATTTTTGTTCCATTAGTGGCTGATGAAAAGCTATTCATTTTCTCACTCTTCAAGCTTTAATAAAAGCCACACTTGGCAACAATGAGATAAATACCTCATATTCATGAGAAGTTTTATTTTAGTGAAAAGTGACTTTTTTTTTTTTTTTGACATGGAGTATCACTCTTGTCACCCAGGCTGGTTGCAGTGGCACAGTCTCGGCTCACTGCAACCTCCACCTCCCGGGTCAAGTAATTCTCCTACCCCAGCCTTCCCAGTAGCTGGGACTACAGGTGTGTGCTACCAGGCCCAGCTAATTTTTTTTTTGTATTTTTTGGTAGAGACAGGGTCTCATCATGTTGGCCAGGCTGGTCTCAAACTCCTGGCCTCAAGCCATCCGCCTGCCTTGGCCTCCCAAAATGCTGGGATTACAAGTGTGAACCCACTGCGCTCGGCCTAAAAGTGTATTTCTTAACCAAAGAAAGCCAAAGAGAATAAGGCTCATATAAGGGTATTTTATGGATAATGCAGTCAACAAAGATAATTTGGAGAACCACAAGCATACTGAATGATTTAGTCTCTCCTGGTAGTTCAAATGTAATTGGTGAGAGACAACGCATGGTGCAGAGACATGTAGGTAAGCTGAAGGGACTCAAGGGCCAGATGGGAGAAGCTCCTTAGGGTCGGATCTGGCTCTGTAGGTGATTCTGGGGCAGCTCTCAAGCAGGTGCTCCATGTTCTGCTGGTGCAGCTGCGCTCTGGAGCCACGTGCCACTGGTTCCTGGGGGTGCATGTTAGAGCTCTGAGGTGACTGCTGGTTCTCCAAGAGTTCAGCCATGAGATTGGCCACAACAGTGTGCGTGACAACCGGACCCTTATGTGTCCCAGCCAGAAGTGGGGAGGGAAGTCACTCCTGATTCCCTGTTCAACACTGTTGACTTCTCAGGTGCTAACATTTAATATATATATATTTTTTGAGACAGGGTCTCTGTCACCTAGGCTGGAGTGGAATGATGCAATCAGTAGTTCACTGTAGCCCTGACCTCCCGGGTTCAAGCCATCCTTGCACCTCAGCCTCCTGAGTAGCTGGGACTACAGTTATGCACCATCATGCCTGTTTTGTTTTGTTTTGTTTTTTTTGTAGAAATGGGATCACACTATGTTGCCCAGGCTGGTCTTGAACCCCTGGCCTCAAGTGATCCTCCCATCTCCACCTCCAAAAATGCTGAGATTACAGGCATGAGCCACCATACCAGGCCTAATGCTTCCTTTTTAATAACTTAGGTTAGACTTTGGACATCATCTTTGACTGATGGCTACAGAAAGTCTGAGTTGGAGGCAGAGATGATAAAGGATGTAACCTCACAAAGAAATAGCATGAGGTGGCTATCTACCTGACCTATTCAATTTTCATACCTAAAATTCTACAAACAAGCAGAATTGGAAAGTTGCCTTATTTTTCTATTGTAGCACTACTGGCAAGGTTTCCTGAATCATTTTATTTTCATCCTTTCATTGTAACCACCTAACAAGTCCATTTTGCCCGCTGCCTAGACAGAGCCAATTTATTAAAACAGGGGAATTGCAGCCAAGTGCGGTGACTCACACCTGTAATCCCAGCACTTTGGGAGGCTGAGGCAGGCAGATCACAAGGTCAAGAGATCAAGACCATACTGGTCAACATGGTGAAACCCCGTCTCTACTAAAAATATAAAAATTAGCTGGGTGTGGTGGCGGGCACCTATAATCCCAGCTACTCAGGAGGCTGAGGCAGGAGAATCACTTGAACCTGGGAGGCAGAGATTGCAGTGAGCTGAAATCGTGCCACTGCACTCCAGTCTGGCGACAGAGTGAGACTCCATCTTAAAAGCAAACAAACAAAATCAAAAAACAAAAAAAAAACAGGGGAATTGCAATAGAGAAAGAGTTTAATTCATGCAGAGCTGGCTGTATGGGAGATGGAAAGTGAGGAGTGCTGATTGGTCAAGTCAGAGATGAAATCATAGGGAGTTGAAGCTGTCCTCTTGTGATGAGTCAATTCCTGGGTGGGGACCATAAGACCAGATGAGCCAGTTTATCCATCTAAGTGGTGTCAGCTGATCCATCGAGTACAGGGTCTCCAAAATATCTCAAGCACTGATTTTAATATTTACAATAGTGATATTATCCTCAGGAGCAATTTGGGGAAGTTTAGAATCTTGCAGCCTCTAGCTGCATGACTCCTAAACCATAATTTCTAATCTTGTGGCTAATTTGTTAGTCCTGCAAAGGCAATCTAGTCCCCAGGCAGAAAGGGGGGTTGTTTTGGGAAACGGCTATTATAATCTTTGTTTCAAAGTTAAATTATAAACTGAATTCCTCCTAAAGTTAGTTCAGCCTAGGCCCTGGAATGAACAAGGACAGCTTGGAGGTTAGAAGAAAAATGGAGCTGGTTAGGTCAGATCTCTTTCACTGTCATAATTTTCTCAGTTATAATTTTTGCAAAGGCAGTTTCATCATCATTCTTGCCCCTTTTCCAACCTTTCTTTAAAATGTTTTTATCTTACCATTAATTTGTACTTCTTTAGGGTTTAACATTCTAGTGCTAAGCAACCCCAAAATTGTTATTTTCACCCCTAAATTTCTTAAGTTGGCTTGCCTGTGGGCTTATATTTTTATTATTTTCTGTAAATTCCTCATCCTACCTTTTTTTCTTTTTTTCTGGATTAGACTTCTAGTCAAATGCTACCAGCCTTCAAAATAAACATTTCAGGAATTTTGTGTATGAGGGGGTACAGGATAGAAGTCCAACACAAAGATGAGATCCCCAAACTTTTAGATGAGCGGCTCTCATAAAGAAAATAGAGAATTGGAAGAAATGAGTTCTGAAATAAGATGGAAACTCATTTATACAAAATCCACTCATGGAAAACTTCACATAGACTTGAATGTTGAGATGACTGGCCTTCTTCACGTTGCAAAGTGACAGATGGCATCTCCTAAGAAGCTTTATAGCCTCATGATCTCCTTCTTAATTCCAAATTATTTAAATACCATATATTCTCTAAAAGCCTTATGAAAACTTTGTTTAATACAACTTTTACTGTGTTTTTATCTACTCATTATGTATACTAATCTGTATATTCCCTGGGAAAAGTAAGAATTTTTTGGAATATCAGCATAACAAATGACTTCTTTCTTATGGGATGTTATCTCTATTCCACAGCTTTTCAAAGTGGTCTCTAATGCTTACACCGTACACACATATGGATTTGTCAGGATCCCATATCCCCAGATCATAGTTAATTATAGCTGACACTTGGAAATTTGGTATACTTGTGAGAAATTAAAACACCAGATTAGCCAAGACTTCTCTTACTTGCTTATTTGCAAAAATATATTTTTAACTCTGGGAAAACATCTCCTAACTGAAACCTCCTAAAGTCAAGGTCTTAATCCACAGGCAACACAATATTTCACATATGCTTTTAAAGTCTGGTGTATTCATCAATTAGAATGATTCAGTGGCGGTCATTTAATTATTTCTCCCAGGCCACTGAGAAATGTAAGCAAACTCAGATAACAAAGTTAAAGTCTGATTTATTAAGGTGGTATACATATTTCACATACCTAACTCATTCCTGCACACTGGAGCGGGATTAAGTGATGCAGAATCATGGCTAAATCCATAATCTTGCTTTTATATCAACTTCAAACAGAGGTCAACACTGACATATTTACACCTATATAAAGCCATATCCATTATATTATTAAATGCCCTCCTAAATATTCCTAATAGAACTTTTTATGATGATTGCAACCCCCTGGAGACACTTCTACCCAGCCTTCAACATATTTTTACTAAGATCCTGTAGTTCCACATGAAAATAACTTTTCAATTTAGCATTTCTACTTAATCCAATTTAAAGGCTTTGTCCTGTCTCATTTAACTTACGGAATGAGAGACCAGTAATAGGAACAGAAATAGGAACTTTATATAGTTTTAAAATATGTTATATTTACCAAATACATGTGGGTGACTCTCAAATGTTTACATATAGCTCTCCCCTAAGTCACAGACTCCTATCTACTCAACATTCTCCTGCTGAGTAACTAATAAGTATCTCAAACTTATCACAACCAAATTAGAATTCCTTATCCACTCCTGACCCCATTTTTCCCTTTTTCTAGGCTTTCCTCCCCCTGGATGATAGTTGCACCACCATCAACCCAGTGGCTCAAGTCTGAAAAGTTGCTCAAGTCATCTTTGAATATTTTCCCAGCTCCCTACATCCAACTCATCAGCTAGTCCAATGATTTCAAAGTCTAATCGGTATCTTAAATCTGTCCACTTTGCTCTGTAATGCACTGCCACCAGCCTGATCCAAACCACCATCTTCTCTCACCTTTACTACAAGAGCCTCCTTTCTCTAATCATGCCTTAACCCCAGATCAGTTCTTCCTTTGGAGTCTGAGTAATCTTTTAATAACATATATCTGAGCATGTCATTCTCTTGCTTAGAACACTCCAGTGGTTTTACATACCACTTTGCTACAACCCAACTCCCTAATATGGCTACATGGCCCTTCACTTTTATTCCCGCTAATTTCTCCAACTTTACCTACTACCTTTCTCTCCATTCCCCAACTACTCCATGCTCACGTCCTCTGATTGGCAAGGCAATTTCCAGCTTCAGAATTTTCAAACGGTCCTTCAACCCACCTGAACTGCTGTCCCCACATCCAGCATGGCAAGCTCCTTCTTATCCTGTGAAAATCAACTGAAATCTCTCCTCCTCCTAGAAGTCTTCCCTAGCTACTAAGTGTGAATCCAGATTTTGTGAACCCTGAAGCTTATACAACTTGGTAGAAACGTTTTTATAGAAAAATAACGTATTAAAGCCTTAAATGTGCACACTTTGCAAAAACACATGATCATGGAAATACTCAGGGCCTTAGAAGAGGCCAGTACAAGTGAAGGACCCTTAAGCTTTGCCTCATGAACTTTACAATGATTCTAACTCTGTGACTACCCTTATTAAGCAGGTTTTCTCCTCCTGCCACCTCTATCTCTGATATTCTTTATTGCATCTTATTAAAAGTAATGGCAAAAATCGCAATTGCTTTTGCACCAACCTAATATTTATTTCTTAGCACTTCTCACAGTTTGTCACCTGTGTGCCATCTGCCTCTTACATTTGTCACCTGTGTGCTGTTTGGCTCTGCCTTTGTGTACATTGCAGCAGGGTAGATACTGCGAGTCCACCCATTACCATAGCTGGCATTTGACACAGTAGCACTCGGTTAAGACTTGTCATTGAATGAATAACAACATGTCCTTTGAGATTAATTGTGCTAGATAAAAGCAAATAACTATTTAACATTTTAAAGTTGCCATGTCATTAAAGCAGCTTTTTTTCCTTCCCTTGCTATCTTAAGAAGCTGACAGCGTGACACAATTTCTGGGGCAGGGGAAACTATTGTTATACCCTATCTACTCCAAGCCTCAGGAATTTTTAAAGCCACAGCCTAATTTCAGAGACAAATAAGCAGCTGTTCATGAGGGTTCAGCCTAGTTACCTGGTCAAAATCACCATGCTCGGTGTTTAGAGGAAGAGCTCTGCTTCAAACTGGCTTCTGGCCGTGGTGACGCTTGACTGGGGCTAGGGTGCCAGCAGCCATCCTGGAGCTCAAGACGCTTCCTGGGCTCAGGCCTACCCTCTCCGGATACATTGGTGCACCTGTTCCCTCTTATCTGATTTTTTTTAGTCAGCCTGTTCTCATCACTGCAAGATGTTTCCCCACTTTCTGGGCTGTGGCTCTCAAAAGGGGATCAGGCAAGGGGCCTGTAGTTTGTCTAACCCCTCCCAAGGAGAGCTAACACCTGCACACAGACAGGTAGAGGTGTTATTTGAAGCTAATTCCTTTCTTCCCGAACCCATAGGAGAAAACCAGCATGAGATTTTACTAAGACTTGCTAGGATGATATTCAATCTAAATTTGAAGTACTTTCAAACTTGGCTTTTTAAGTTAAAGGGCTGAACAAATACTTGGGGAAAATTATAACATCTATAATTGTAGCAAAATGTTTCACATAATTTGACATCTTGTGCTAAAATCTGCACTGTAAATTGCCAATAGCAGAAATTATTAAATTCTAGAACTATCTACAAATGGAGACTATTAAATGTCTTCCAGTGCACTTTTAAAAAATGGGATGGTTGGGAGGCCAAGGTGGGTGGACCACTTGAGGCCAGGAGTTCAATATCAGTCTGGCCAACATAGCAAAACCCCATCTCTACTGAAAATACAAAAACTAGCCAGGCATGGTGGTGCACACCTGTGGTCCCAGCTACTCAGGAGGCTGAGGCAGGAGAATCACTTGAACCTGGGAGGTAGAGGTTACAGTGAGCTGAGACCAGGCTCCTGCACTCCAGCCTGGTCAACAGAGCAAGACTCTGCCTCAAAAAAAAAAAAAAAAAAAAAAAAGGAGGCGGGGTGGAATGAATAAGCCACTATCTTACATGGTTTGTATTTGTTTTTACTTGGACTAGATAAGACTTAGTCGGGTATCAGGTGGAGAATGCTACAAAAATCCTGTTTGCCTTCCACTGAAAATCCCTTAAAATCCTCAAAAAAAAAAAAAAAAAGCTACACAAATTTAGAAATGAACTCAAGTTTCTTTTGTATTTATATGAAAACTGCATTTCATTTGTTGAGTGAATGGCTCAGGATCTATACCGTTCATTTATTTGGGACAGGTTAAACAGTCAGTCAGAGTGTATATTTTATGGTTAAATGAACCTGAGCTAGGTTAATTATGGTAGCAACTGACTCTCAATCCTATTCCTTGCATATTGACCTTAGTATGGTGATATTTAACTCTAAGCTGCAGTATATTAAACACAAACTTCTGATTGGAAGCAGTTTCAGAATCAATTTGCATTCAAATAAAAAGCCACTTCAGTGAGAGGCACATTAAGATGTTTAAATTATGAGGCATGTGGGATTCATCAAGCAAAGAGAGCAGTTGTAAATCAAGCTTATGGTGAATAGGTTAAACATACAAGAGGGTTTTAGTGCTACAGCAACACTTCCTAAGATCTTTTAGTTTTAGCAACTAAAATGAAAATTTTTAAGAAAACAGTGAAGGGTAAACAGGTTTTCAAAAAATGACAACTACAAACCATATTTATAATTTTTCACTGTCTCTGGCATGCCAGCCTTAAAAATGTGATCATTAGCACTAGGACTACATTTCAATACATCATACTAGAATGAATGGGAGGGTGGGCAAGAGAGAAATGAGACCAGCAGTTTAAGGAATTTTTTTTAAAAGAATGGCCCTTTGTTCTTCTTTCTTTTGTAGACTCCACCACCTTGTATTACATGCAGATTTTTCTCTGCTGGATTATCTTATTTTACTTCTCACTTTCAATTCCTAGCACTGAGCCTCGCAGCAAAATGGGTGTTTGTTGAATGGGTGTGCAAGAGCCAAGTGGGTACTCTCTGTCTGGACATGGGCGCTCATTCACGCAGGACTTTATTCCTAAAGAATGAGCCTTTGCAGAAACAAAATAATATTACTGGGAGCCCATTGGGTCCTGTGAATAATTGTTTCAGTTGGGAGGGTCAGGGGAAGGCTAAAATCTCTCTCGTGTGCGTCTTTCTCCCCTTTCAGTCCCCATTTCCCTGCTCTAGGCACTCTGTTCTCTCGGGCAGCTTCTAGAGCCCCTTTCAGCCCCAGTTACTTAATAAGCTAATTGTTACTAAGGAATAGGGACTGATATATTTCATATGCCCTTGCATTTTAAGTGGATTCATGAAGACAACAATGATTGACCCAAAAGACTGAATCTTTAATAGTAAGATTGCAGGTAACCTTTGTTAGTAGTTAAGTTTCTAATGCTACCAAACCACCAATTTCATTAAGTTCCAAGAATGATAAAATAATTCAAGCTAGTTAGGAAACATTTTATTAGGCACACACAAGAGTAGGCAAACCACAAGCCAACAGCCAAATTCAGCCCACTGCCTGCTTTTATGAATAAAGTTTTATTGGAACACAGCCATGCCTGTTCACATATATAATATGGTCTATGTCTGTTTTTGAGCCTCAGTGGCAGAGCTGAGTAGCTGCAACAGAAACTGCATGGCCTGCAAAATCTTAAATATTTACTATGGGACCCTTTACAGAAAAGTTTGTCAACCCTGGATTAGTTTCTTCCTTTTGCAGCTGGGTTTTTGGTTATCGTCTGTTTTTCTAAAAGGGACTAGTCCAAGGCCTTTATGAGTTGTCCTTACTTCCCAGTTTCAGTAAAAGCTGCCTCTGTTTTGAGAACCCTCAGTGTGTAGCCTGGAATGCAGAGCCTGCACTTTTGAAACATAAACACTTTGTCTCGATATAATTTTAGTACTTCTGGAACTCCCTGGGAAATGAAAAACACCAAGAAGATCCTCTGACAAAAATTCAGCTCTTATTGAGAACACATATCTTTTCAAGGGGTCTCTCCTTGCTGACCTAAACTATGAATAATAACCTTTTTGGGGAGCCAAACTTTTATAAATAACATTCAGAGAAAATTGTTTTCTTTACTTTGCTCTTTTATATAAAGTAACCTATTACTTACAAAGGATAATAGTAAAGTATAAAAACGTGATTCCACTTGAAAGTTCAAGGAATAAATGAATTAATCTGGAAGTTAACATCTCCATAGAAATAACCAGCATGAAGACATTAAAATTCCTATAGGTTTACCATTCCCTATATTTAAAAATGGTTGGAGGCTGGTCCCAGTGCCTTGGTATTTACAACTCATTGATCACTACCAGTTACAGACTTTTTTTCTTCCTTCTTCACCCCCATTGCTTGACTAGCCTTAAAAAATAATAATTATTAAAAAAAAAGCATGGCTGCAGAAGTCTTTTGGTTCTTTGGTTGCCAAAATAAATAAAAGTGTTTGGAATGAAACATAAATTTGTATTGTGATATATTTGTAGATTTGAGTACTTATATGGTTTTTCCAGAATCTTTTGTCCAGTCTCTTGATCATGCTGCATTTTAAGCACACCTGCCTCACTGGAGGGAAAGGAAAAGAACTTTAATCTTCAATTTGAAGAAAAATTGAGAATTTTTTGAGTCCAGCATCTTAAAGATGGAGAACAGAGAACAGGCAGGAAGTGTGATCTCTCGAAAGCCACTTTTCTTCTGGGCTTAGTGAGCACTCACTAGAACCCTGTTAGAGAAGTGTGTACTTCATAGAGAGGAGCTGGGAGTAAAAGGTGGAATGATTCTGATTCCTATTAAACACCTATCATGCTCCAGGCACTGCCCAACAGAATCCATCCAGCTCATCTCTCCTAATCTTGAAGCTTGGAAATAAGGCTAAACAGCCAATGAGTTGCGAAGTGAGCATTTGAATCCAAGTGCCCTAACTCCAAAGCTCTACTCAAGGTATGGTGAGGGAGCCATTTTGAATGATTGAATGTCTCCAAATGTTGTCCCTAAGGAAGAAGGAGTGTGGGCAGCTGTGGTTCCAGGCATCGTGTAGGCAAGAAAACCTCAGGACAAGACTGCCTGAGCTGATGACCTGAAAGGAATCGAAATGAGCATCATGGATATTGATCAATGGATTTAAAGAATATCAGATATTTGCATCATGCCTGATCTTCTAGCAATTCTGAAAATATTCCTGTAGCTATGTGTTTGATTTAATTAGCCAAGCAATATGAGGAAAAGCAGAATAGGCAAGAATGGCCAGGAGGGAAAGAGATGAATGTGAGCAGACAGGACAATTCAGTATTTGTGGGTATAATATTTTCTGAGCATCACGGGTTTTTTTTTTTCTGTTTTTGGTTTGTTTGTTTTGTTTGTTTTTCTTATCTTAGGCCATGTTTTATTAGAAAGAGCTGGCTGGTTAGATCACTTACAAGACACCATATCTTGAATTTTCAAAGAAAGAGAAACCTTCACAGAGCAAGGGACTCATGGCAATTCCAGTAATTAATGAGAAGGAAAGAAAAGGCCAAATTTAAACATGTTTTTTTTTTTTTTTTGGCAGAAGACTTCACCTGGAGTATCATGCATCTTTTAAAGCTTTGATATATTACTTGAGTTTTAGGTCGTAGAGAAAGTTTTCCAATAGGAATTTTGTTCATATTGATCTCTCCTTTTGCCAAGTTGTCCCACAGTTCAACTCAAATTCTTCTTTTCAGTGCTAGGACAGGAATACCATCTCTGGGAAGCCATGATTCCCTCAGAATCACCAAAATAATGTAGAAATAAAGACATTAGAGTGAACTGCATCTGCTTTATTTATTGGATTTACCACCCAGTATAAACAAGAAATCCTTTGTTCCCTGTTTCATTGACTTCTTAACATCTCAGAGCTATCCTATGTTTCAGACATCACCCGACCCACCCTTGCTGAGGCCCCAGACTATCCTAAGTCCAACCCTGCAATCATAACATCAACCTCACATCGTGATGCTAAGTGTGTGGGGAGGGAGGTGGTGGCTGTTTGCAAGAGTGGCCACAGTACCACTGTGTAATGAGTGGGGTCATTCCCCTCCACATCCCTGTGGTGAGTAGAAAATTCTTTCCCGCATTTTCTTTCATTTCTGTGTCAGTTTCCTCAACAGCCCACAAATCCTTTTTTTTTTTTTTGGACAAATTTCCTTGAGCACAACCTTTCCTTCTTCATGGGACAACTCCTCAAGTTCTCAACAACCACCTAAGTAGAAACATGACAAACGTTTGCATTTCATCGGAAGAAAAACATATTTAGTTGTATTAACATGTTGAATCCCTGTCATAGTGAAAATACTTAATGAATGAAAAGCAGGGGGAATTAGGTCAGGTGGAATAGTTTTTCTAGATTATGGAGGACTCTGGTGGTGGGAAACATAGGGGGCATAATCTAAAAAGGAGAAATGGGAGTTCCCAGTGGAAGTAGTCGTTCTCGTTTTATTTGTAATAATTATCAACTTTTAATTTCAACTTTCTTCCAGGTGTTGTTGAATACAATTAACTGTTTACTTTTCTACAAATTCAAGGGAAAACAGAAACCTTGAAAAATGCTTTTCTGAGAGTCACACATTTTTAAACAACTAATGCCCCCAAAATTACTTAATTCACCTGCCTGTCTGTATGGAAATAATTCTACTGAAATTCTGATTTCATAAGGGAGGACACCTGAAGATGTGAAGTGACTGTATCTTGGATTAGAGTTGGGCCTATATTATATAGGCTTTCTAACATAGTTGGTAGACCTCAGTTTAAGAAATAATAGCTATTGTTATATTTATATTATTATTTATTATAATCCAATAATAGCAATAGCTACCACTATATGCCTGACACTATGCTTTTTCTTTTTTTACAGTGCTAGGATGCATTTACCTTTTTATCAGAAATTGCAGTGGTGGAAAACATATAATTTGGGAAATAAGATTATGAGGATCTAAGGCCCAGCTCTGCTACTTACACAACTCTGAAGTTCTAAATACTCATTTAAAAAAAAAAAATCTGTTATATGGGAATAAAACATCTACTTCAACAACTTTCAAGGAATAAGTGAGGTAACATATGCACAAGTGTTTCATATAGAGTTCCAGCCACTGTTAGATGTTATTACCCCAAACAGATAATTATGAAAGGTATGACTATACTGTTTTTGTTAATATTAATACATCTGGGTACCATACTTTTAAATTTTATAGGCTGGATTTCAGTAACACCATATTAGAAGTCTCTGCTTTATTTTTACCATCTTCTTGAATTTTTGTGTATTAAAATATGTTAAAACTCAGTGCTAAATGTCAATCTTGAAATACCTTTAGTCATTTTACTTGTTGAAATGTAACAGCAAATAATTTCTTGCAGAAGGCAATAGGTAGTGCTATTTGCTCACAGTGATTATAACTTTTGTTTTTGCCTTCTTAATGTGTAACACATGTGGAAAGACAGTTTGTCTCACCCCATCCCTGAATGCTGGGTGCAACATATGGCACTGAATCAGATTACATTGTATGTGACACAGTAAAATACATATCCATGAAAAGAGAATCCATGTTTGCTGCTATTTAAGTATTTGCTACTTTATTCAGCATGCATCTGACTTTAATTTGGCTAAGAAAATTAAAATCCTAAAGTTGAATAAAATTTTTTAAAGAAATATAAATTTTATCAATCTCAAGGTTACTGACAAGGATGCATGTATATTAAATTTTTAGTGGCTTTAAAAGTTACTATCTGCAAGAAAACCCTATAGAGAGGCATTAACGAGGTGTCTTTGTACTATGGCAACTAGAGTAGAAATGGTTTTGCAGTCTCCTGAGAAACGTGACCATCATGATAAATCACGCCATCCTCCCAAAAGAGGTCTGCACAGTTTATTAATGAAGATATTGTAGCTATCAAACTGAAAAACCAAATGTACTTTATTCATGGGCTTTATACCATTAGAAATGTTTAAACAGCTGACAGAAGCCTCATATAGGTGAGCAAAATCAAACATTGCCACTATAGATGGTAGTGGTAAAACAGTAGGTTGTAAAATGGCACCGAATGGAAGGTGGTTTAAAAAAAAAAAAAACTGCTGAATCTAAGAATCTGGCCGTGTTTTGTTTATATTAAGCATAAAGTGTGTCAAATTCCTACACAGAAACTGATCATACCCCCTTTACCCAACCCCCACCCCCCAAAAAAAACTGCAGAAGCTGGAAACATCTGCAGCTTTTATACATCAAAAGAGTTCCTTACTTAACATTGCTTACTGTGCATTGAGAGAGTTGAGGTTTGTGGATTTGAGATAACGGTTCCTTTAAACCTCTCCTGTAGTCAATTCTTGTCCTTCTTTACAGAGTTAACGTGAGAAAGCCTGAGGAAAACAGGCTGAGGCACCAGCACTACTTTCCACCCCTCTGTCCTCAGGCTCAAGTTGAGGCTTACATACCAGGAAGAGAGATTCTCAGGGGCAGTCCATCCACGGTGGCGCTTCATTACTCCCCAGTGACACCCAACTCACCTTTTAAGGGTAGGACATCAGCACCTCAAAAGAGATGTCCTTGCCATCTGAGAATATAGCAACAATGGGCAGATGGCAAGCCCTTTGGAAGTGGTCTTTTGGAAGCTCAAAAGACTATGCAGTCCTATAGGCAAAGGTGGGAATGTTTTCTTCTGGGGCTGGGGAAATTGTTGGCTTTGGAGAGTCAATCAGAAGGCAGGAATGTTCCCTTACTCTGTCACCTTTAAATATAGGGAGATAAATCTCCAAGTAAAGGGTTTATTTGGGAATATAAGAATTGGAATTGTAATTCTGGGCACACAAACCAGTGTAGCCTCTAGTTGTGTTCAAAGAACAAAGAGAAAGGCTGGGGTTTTATTGGGGAAGAGAGGAAGGTGATCTAAATGGTTTTGAATGAAAGTTCACTGGAGCCAGGCGCGTCTTGTAGGATCTAGCAAGTTCTGATTGGTGAGTGGCAGCAGCTAGGTAACTTTATCTTAAGGTTAGAGTTAGGTCTTCGTGATTTTTCTGTTGAACTGCAAAAATGGTTCCTGGAACAGGGACCTGGGTGCCTTTCCCCATGGCCTCCCGACTCCATTTTAGTTGGGTATGATATGAGTGACTCCAATTTGTAGAATGAACTTTCACACTTTTGTTGTTGTTACAGAGACAGGGTCATGCTCTATCGCCTACGCTGGAGTACAGTGGCCGCAATCATAGCTTACTGCAGCTTCAACCTCATGGGCTCTAGCCGTCTTCCTTCCTCAGCCTCCCAAGTAGTGGGGATTACAGGTGCACTCACCACACCCAGCTCACACTTTTAAAATAGAACATTTAGATAGATGATTATTTACCATTTTAGGAAACTTTTGTTCAGGAATGAATTTCATCCTTGCTTGATTATCCTTGTAGAAGGAAACATAGCACGATTTTTGCTTCATAAGCATTTTATTTTCAGCACGCCACAGCTTAGAAATTTGGTTCTACTAATAGCACACATGTAAATGGCAGAGAATGAAACTTTCAAGTAATTGGCACAGGCTCTAAGGAACTCTGCCAGAGGAAGGAAGTACAGATGCTCCGCCATTTACGATGGGGTTACATCTGGATAAACCCATTCGAAACTGAAAATATCGTAAGTTGAAATGCATTGGGTTACATCCTGATAAACCCATTGTAAGTCAACAAATTGTTAAATTGAAGCATTGTAAATTGAATCATTGTAAGCTAGGGACCATCTATAAAAGCATCATTTGTTCACCACAGCCCCTGGGATCTCACCACAGCTTGGGTAATGAGAAATGTGCAATTGGTTCAAAAGTCGAAATAACCTCTCTCCTGACAACCATAATTCATTTTACTAGACATTTTTCGCTGAGCATTAAGCAGCACAAATCCAAATGATAAAGTGCAGGCCAGTTTGCAGGCCTGTATTTTAATCCACCTTGGGTGTGAGTGCAAGGACACACATGTACACAAATACAGACACACACACAACAGAAAAAACAAAAACAAAAAAACCTGCATATTTTATCACTCTGTAATCTACAGCATTTTTATGGAGCCATGTACTTTTAAAAACTAACCCTGGTGCACGTGCATACATAATCTTTTCCTGGTCAATACGGCAATTCTGATTTATTTTAAAAGAAGAGAAAAAAAAAGACTTTCACCAATGGGTTTATTTAAAAGGAAGCAAATTAAACAAAACTATGGTGATAACAGCAGATGTCTAGTTATAATTCATTTCTCTAATGCTGATTAATATATTCATGAACAAATCAAATGTATTGCCAAAAGAAGAATGCTACCATTAACACCCCAGCGGCTACTGGTTTCAGTTGTGCTTCTCAATCAGGCAAAATGTTCTTTCTTAAGCTCCTATTTATTTTACTTCCTGACAGTCTCAAAAATAATTCATCTTGGGTGTTGTTTCCTCATAAACACTTCCTGGTGCTTGATTGCTTTGCCTATGTGACATTTGACTTCAAACTGCCATTTTACCTTTATAAACATTTGGAACTTTCTAAGCATGAGGAGAATGCCCAAAAGGCATACAAAAATAAGGCTGTAATTAGATCGGCAGAGTATGTTTTAAGGCATATCTAGCTTTCTGTGAATACCAGAAACCTCTCTTTTCATCCAATATTGCATTCCCAATTGGGGTGCAGAAAGTAAATTAACATCTGGAGACTCCAGCAAAGAGGCTCTGGTAACAGCATGTTTAATTTATTATTATTGCAAAAGAACAGTTTTTCTCATGATTAGTGAAATAGAAAACTCACAATATACTTAAGAGTCTGCCCCCAAACCATTACAAAGGGGTTGAGAGAAGAGAGAAGCAGAAACCAAAAGAGAAACAGAAGTAATAATCAGTTATCACATGATTTTTATAGTAAACAATAGAATATGATGTGCAATAGTGCAATTTTCCTTTGCTAGTCCAGCAATGCAAGTAAGTCTTAATAGGAAGTCCACTGTGTTACTTTTTGTATTTCGGGATTTAGTTGCGTGCTTGCCGGGGGTTCGAGTTCCTGCCAGACTTCTGACTCTGAGTGGAATCACTATTGCTAGAATCACTTTTACTGAGTCCAAGATGACGAAGCTTCATATCCCAGCGCTGTGAAATTTAAAATAGAAAATAGTCACAAGCACATATCACCAGGGTCATTATTTCCATGATTCTAACAACTGGGTCAGACTGCAAGTTCAGATCTCTGAAGCATTTTGCTACTTTTCCAAAAGTATCAATCTATTTCCCAGGGTAACAAGAAAACTGATGCAATATGAACATTATTCTCTGACTTTAACAAGCGCAACATCTATAATGTATTTAGTAATGCTTTCTTATCAAACCTTAAACTTAAAATGTCCATGTCTATAAATGATGACAGAAATATCTCCCTATATCTCTGGGTATTTCCTGAGGTAACATACAGGAGGCTAGTGCTTCACAGATACTCAACAAATGGAAGATTTACACACAGAATTTGAAGGGAAGGCTATTTTTCAACATCCTCTCTTAATACACATAAGAACATAGCCTTTTAAAGTCTATGTGATTTGAGCAGTGAAAAAAAAATGGAAATTTTTTTGAGGGATGGGGGGGTCTCAAAAATATTTTTCTAAGTAATATCCACTAAGTACAATGAATAAAACAGACAAGGTCCTGCCCTCGTTCTAAGTGTTACAAAGCAGGTATTAGCAATGTTTTTAATAAACACAATCAAGTTTAGTAATATTTCATATTAACAATGTCAATAATATTTTCATGTAATTTAAGTTAAATGGAAGTTATATTACATGAGGATAGGTAGGGAATACGAACTACAGCTGTACTTCCCAAACTTCAAACACGGATATCATATGGGGAATTTGTTAAAATTGCAAATTCTCATTTAGCAGGTCTGAGACAGGGCCGAAGATTTTCATTACTAACAAGCTCCCAGGTGATACCTATGTTGCTGATCCAGGGACCACACTTTAAAGAGCAAGCACCATCAGATCCTTGGGTCAGATGGCCCAAGTTCAAATTCTAACTCCACCACTTACTGTGTGAAGTTTCTTGAACTTACTAGACCTCATTTTCATCATGTATATGTTGGAACTGATAATAGAATCTACTTATAAGTAGATACATCTGAAGATTAATAAAAATATAAAGTGCTTAGCACATAGTAAATGTGTTATTGTTTTTCTGTTACTGAAGGTAATTCTTCATTTCAGTATTCTTTACTCCACAATCTTGTCTTCATATTTTAAAAACAGTCTGATTCTCAACTTCCCAAGGAAGTCCAAACATCTTGAATCGTCTGCTATAAGAGACTTAGGTAAACAACCATTTGCATGAAAAAAACATAATAATGTTTCTTATAAAATTATTGATTCATCCACTGAGAGCAAAACTCAGCTAAGAGCAAATCTGATTGAAAAAATAA
Source organism: Homo sapiens (assembly GCF_000001405.40). NCBI lineage: Eukaryota > Metazoa > Chordata > Mammalia > Primates > Hominidae > Homo > Homo sapiens. The sequence continues at coordinate 182,836,284 of NC_000002.12, forward strand.
CATCCTCCATAAAACTCTTTTTACACATCTTCAAATTGACTGGAAAACTAAAATAGGAATCTCAATAATTCTGGCCAAAGGAGATTTTCTACCCAAACTCTTTAGCCCTCAATATCTGCATATGAATTTAAAATTGTTCAAATTATTGGTTTCTTTCCTTTAGAATATTTAAATCCAGACTGAGAATATAAATGACTTTACAATAATAACTCTGCAAGTCCCCTGCGGAAAACAATGGGAAATATTGCAGAAAGCAATGGGAAACAGGACAAACAAGCCATGTGTCCTGTCAACAACACAATGATATTGTTTTGGTACCAAAAGAGGAGCAGTAAGCCTTGTTACATGCTTCGCAGCAGGGATATTGAAAGCTTTTCCAACTGGTACAGGAATTTAGGACAAATTCCAGTTCTGCATTAGCAAGCAGAAAACCAAATTAAAGACAGTAAGAGATTCCAACATACTGAACAAGAGCCACTTTTTTCTTTAATAAACACCAAACTAATTGAAGAGAGATGCAGAGAGAATGCCCGCAAGTCTGAACTTGAAATGCATCTCCCTTTTGACAAATCTACTAAAGGGGAGAAGAACTTACTGGAGGGTAGTTTCTCCTTACAAAATAATGCCCTCTACATTTTTGTAGGTCACTTAAACCCAAACGTGTCTGCCGTGTCAAGTGCCAGATGTATAAGATAAACCGCCCAGGGGTGTTTAACTTACCATGTAAATGTTTCCCAAGCCTTCAAACTTGCAGAAGGAAGAGGATGTATTATGTTTGGTACAGTTCCCACTCCCCCCACCCACCCACACATCCTTTGAGATTTTTTTGTCCCCCCATGCATTCCCCCACCCCATTCTTTTCTTTAAAACAGATTTGCTTAGTGCAGTAAGAAGAAACAAAACCTTCTATAATACAGTACTGTACTATGTGATTTTAAAAAATGTATCAATTCCACAATCTAAGAGTTATTTGGCTTAAAAATAAGGCTACATTACTGCTCTAAGGACCTAATTTATTCAGATCTCTTCTATACAGATGAATGTAGCTACACTTTGTACATAGGAATTGCTGTTTATTCATCGGACATCATTGTTTATTTTCCTTCCCATCATTTATTCTCCCCTTCTCACAAACTGCAGTTTGTTCAAAGAAGCAATATCCCCAGGTTTAAAAAGACTACATTTTCTAGCCTGTTTTGCAGCTAAGTAAAAACTGCTTGATGAGGCTCTTGGAAATCCCTTTTACCTCCTCTTTTTCCTGCCTGAAATGTACATGTGATACTAGAGGCAGAGCAGCCATCTTGTGACCTCCAGGTGAACATGAGTATGAAAGCGATGCCTTTAAAAATGGTAGAGTGATAAGCTAGAAGGAGCCTGACAACATGAAACCACCCTACCAGGACTGGACTACAGCTAGACTCCTTGTGAAGAGACATTAGGGCAACTGTAGTTAGATCTTTGATACACATACAGGGAACTCATTCCTTAAATAAAATAGACATTAAAGACAAATTCAGCTCTTGGAGTATATAAATATATGCATACTAAATTTTAATATTTCTCATATGGTTGAAGGCAGCTATTTCATTTCAATGACAGATGGCTGGTTTTCTACTTTTGTTTTGTTTTCTGTGTATTACTTCAAACATAAAATACAGGCTTACCTTAACTTTTTTACCGAGTCGATCCTTCCACTTCTCAGCTATAGAGCCTTCCACCAAGAGTAATCTGTATTTTTGAAAGAAGCAAACATTTTTGAAAAATTAAAACCTGTTACTGAAAAGTACAAGGAAACAGTACTTGAACAAGAAAGACTTATATGTTTATTCTTGAATAGGACAGCTAAGATTTAGAACAGTAATTATTAACCATTTGTAAGTCACAGACCCCTTTAAGAAACAAATGAAGTTATGGCCCCTCTCCCAAGAAAAATGTAAACCTATAAACTACACGCATACACCCATTCCATATATGAAATCAAGAAACCCAACTAAAACTTATCTGTAATCCCCAAGAAGGTAGACAGATCCCAATGTAAAAATGCGAGGGTAGCATCTCTAGAGACAAATTTAATGAGAGTAGGATAAGCAAAGTAGTTATTCTGTATCCTTAAAGAGTGAATTACCTGGAACGTTCCTCATCTTCATAGCCCATGATGATATATTCCTCATTAACATTAAGTGGAGGGCAGAGGCAGCCAGAGCTGGTATAGAGGTTGACAGTGTCCCGTGGAATGTTTACCAGAGAGGACTTTAGAATCTCCTTCACCTCCACTACTGCAGTCACATCATGGCACTTAGTCTTTATCTCTTTAACTTTAGCCCGAATGACTGGGATAAAAGACAAGAAAAGCTGATAATAATATGACACATAATAGCTACCCCATTCAAAAAAAGCCAAAGTAGGCTTCTCTTTAGTTAATTCTTATCCACTTGATATTCAACGAATGGAACAGAAAAGTCAGCCAGATATTTTTGCCTTAGACTGTAGTGTGTGACATAAAACAACACACCTGACCTAATGCTCAGCCCTGCTCTCTTTCCAATTTGTGGCTGTGTATATATTTGCATGTATTTATGCATGTGTGTGCATGTGCTTTTGAGAAATCCATTTAGAGAATCAAAGATTGAGTCAACAATCTGATACAATTTTTCTCTAAAATTCCATTTTGGATGTGTATATATGCATGTGCAGTTCCAATTGCTGCCAAGAGGAATTTAAACTATGTTAATTTTACTATATGAAAAGACCTAATACTTAAATATGCTTTATTCCTTGTCGACACTGTTTTATCAGGTCCATTAACAGGTTTTCTCAAGTAGTGGGCCTCTGTAATGTTATAAAATTGTCCTGCTCAGTAGTGTTCCCAAACTGGTTCTGCAATCTTTTCACCTTCCTCATCTTGGCTCACTGTTCAGATATTAGCTCCTTTCTTTCTTTGTGGTCAGTACAGATTATCTTTTATATTCTCCTTTAGGTGGGCTACATTTTCTTCTTTGTTCGGATATTAGGTCCTTTTTTCCTTTGTGTTCAGTACAGATTATCTTTTATATTCTCCTCTAAGTGGGCTATATTTACTTCTTGAATAAAAATGGTCACCACTAGATCTTATTTCCTCCATCTGCTTTGAAGTCAGACACTCCAACATTCCTTTCCCTCACGTGCTATGGAATATATTCTCACGTGTCAATGGCATTATTCTACCTCTCTCAATGGATATATTGGCACCCAATTTATCTCACAAGACTTGCTTTACTTATCAATGTAACAACAAATTGCCTTCAGTTGCAAAGTTAAAGTATGTGACTCAGAATCTAGAAAGTACAGATCTGCTTCTTTTCTGTATCTCTCCCCTTTAAAAGAGTCAAGTTGTTCAGATTCCTGCTTCTAGTAAATGAGCTTTTAAAAAGAGAAGTTTTAAAACACCAAGAAAGAAGTAAAAATATCAGTAAAAAGCCAGTGGCATTTCTCCCAGTACCCTCATTGCTCCAGTTCACTATCCATGGACATTATATAGAGGAAAACACCGTTTATCCAAATGAGTCAACATTTCAAAAACTTCTTAGGCACATAATTGCAAACCACTTTAATCTGAGTACTTTCCCACATATTTTAGAGATTTTGGACTATAAAGGATTAGAAGAAAGTAATCCTTGAAAAATATAAAACCAGCTAATCAACCATTCCCCCCATTAATGTTCCAATTTCGTCACAAAAACTTATTCTACCAGTACAACACACATGACAGAAATTAGTTACTAAGGAATTCTAAAAGCTTCACATTTCAGTCTTCCGAGAATTAGTTGCCTCAAGTATGAGAACGTGTAGCAAACAAACTGTAACTACCCAACTGTCCTCGCTTGGTTTGACTGGCAAGTGGAGCCTCTTTCTATTCATGTTCTCCCTATTCTGTATTTAACAAAAGATAAGATTGCCCTTTTTGAAATGCCATTTGGCAGAATCAGATGAGAAATTCACAACCCCAGCTAGCAGGCATTTTTGTGTGTCCTGGCTTAAGTGAACGTGCTTCATAGCATCCATCAACTATTAGAGATTAGTGAACTGTGCAAATGTTCTCAAACTAATGATTTATTTACCCAGTGTCTACTATTTTCATTAGAAATGTTTAGCACATGTACCCACTCCAAAATAAATATCTTTCTACAAGACCTACTTTTTCACTCAAGTAATTTGGTTAACACTTAAGGAGTTTTTCCCAGAATTAATCTAAATGAAGTAGAGGTTTTGTCTGAATTTCCAACTGCTCCCACCTTGACATGCAGATATAGAAGATAAAAATATTTTGGAAGTAAAATATACTTCCTTTTCAGAGTTCTTCCTTCTATTTAACCATTTGAGTGCCTCCCTTCCCCAAAGAAACTGTAAGAAATCCCAGACAAATGGCAATCCTGAAACTATGATCAACTTAGCTATTACTTGGCTACAAAAAAGAAATTATCTGCTCCTTTCCATTAATTATAATCCATATCCCATTTTATTATGATATTCATTCAGCTACTTTCTCTAAGACCTTCACTTTCCATGACTTGTCATTCAATTTTTAACAAAAATAACAGCAACAACCATTGAAGCACTACAGAAGCTAGATAAAATAAAACTTGATAATAGGATACATAAATTAAATATAAATAATTACATTTCCCTGATATAAAATTGATATGTTTTTATTCTTAGTGTTACAGTATATAAAAGTTCAGAAAGCATTTTTCAATCTTAACAAGCTAATCTCCTAGAAATTAAGGGCTCCCTTTTCCCTAGGCTTCTTCACATCAATCTGTAAAGAAGCGGGTTCTTAGATAAGCAGCCAGGCATTTGACTTCTTACATAAACATAAGCTTACAAACTTAGAAAGAGCATCCATCATTGACTAAGAAAAGCTACAATCCTCTTAAGAGGAGTAGCAGGCAAAACATAGAAATTAATTCCATTGAAGAAAAATTTGGGAAACAAGGTGGATTTGTTTTAAAGAGATTTAACTAAACCCAAAATTTTCAACTTTATATTTTTTAATACACTGCATTTTGAAAGATATTGAAGCTAACTTTTACAGTCTTATTCATTTCTCTCCTTTCAATTCCCAAAAGTATAGAAGAAATAAATCTGCTGTATATATCCTATATACTTTAAAATAGTGTACATAAATGTAATAATAAAACTCTTATTTTAATAAGGTTCACTGTAAAAGTCTGTTTAATCTCCATGTTTACTCATTGACTCAACATCAATAGTCTTATGCAGAGATAGTAACATACCTTTTATTAATACCATAGATATTAGAAAAAATCAAAATGCATATGGAATACAGTAAATATCAGTCCCTTATGTGTCAACGGGAAAGCTCTGTTAATTGCCCTTTCTAAATATAATGACTGTATAAATGAATTTATGACTCTAAAATATACACCAGCATCCAAAGTACATTGTGAACAATCAAAGAAGGGACTACTTAGGTTCGATAATCATTGATAAAATCAAGATGGTAATATATCTCATGGGGCAGCTGAGAAAATTAAAGATAATGTATGGAAATCACTTAGCACAGTCCCTGATGCAAAAATGGCAGGCTTTTTAATCCTTCAGTTAAGTTTGTCAGCTACATTTGGATTGGTGGCTCTTCAATTAATATTTAGTTTATTAGAATGTCGGATTTTAAGTCAAGCTAGATAACAACACATTTCCTTCGCTGAATACCAGCAACTTCTACAAGTGTTACTTTCCAAATCTGTCAGTGTTTTTCATGGGATAGACTGACTGAAGAAGTCAAGTTTGAGTCTTTTAACAGTTCCTTATGCATCAAAGTGCTCTGCTGTTCACTCAGTGAAGCACAACTGATGGCCTATGCAACCCAACTTGAGCTCAAATCCTCCTTCAGCCTCCAGGCAGGGAAGAGTCCCATGTATCTTGATACTTATCTCTGTGTACTTAAGTGCATGGCTCTAGGATGACAATACTGCTTGATGTGCTTCAACATCAACCAAGTGTTAAGCATTTTGCCCGTGTGAGACATTTTAATTGGTCGGGGCAGAGGGACTATGCTCCTAAAAATAGTCCTTCTGTTTTTAAGCCTTATTCTTAAATGGCTCCACTCGTTTACATGTGCACATCCTCATAGGTGCATCCACACACCTCTCTTAACACAGCAGTTTATACATCAACCATGAAATTTTCCTTACCATAGTTGTAATTGTTCCGGAAATAGGTCTTCTGTGTAGCTCTAATAGGCTTACATTTACAGCGTTCTGAAAAACACATTTTAGTTATAAGCACATTTCCAATATTAGCTTTCTTTTGTTTTGCTCAGACTCACATTTTTTGCTCAGACTAGATCTCAATTTGGTGGTGAGAAGGCTCTTGTCAATTCTGTGTGTCTGAATTTTTTCTCCTGGAACTACATTCATGTTTATTCTATCTACATGTCCTCTTATTCAATGTCAGTATGCTCATGAGAACGAGTTTCCATTCTCAACAAACCACCCAAATCCTGAGGAAATGCTGTTCACCCCCATGCATGAGAAGAGCATGACCCCTTAATCCTGAAAGAGGTATGCTTTATGCTTATGGAAGTATTAATATTATGAATACCAACTGGGAGGCAATTTTCTGCCTATGCTCAGGTAGCTGGTTTGCCCTGTGGACTATCACCTAATGTTTTTTTACTTTTAACAGATGACACAGTACTCCTCCTACTATTAGCTCCTAGATCTGAAAGCAACTCAAAGAGATAAGCAAGTGTTATTACAACCCAGTGAACTTGGTGAAGTTCTTAAGAGGGGCAGTGAGCCCCTTCTATAGGTAAAATAGCTACCATTCAACTCAATGGTATTTTTGTGCTTGTTGGAGGAAATTATGCAGGTATTTTGAAAAGAGAAATTTCATTTTTTAACAATATTTGGTGAGTAGTGACCAGAATGCATATTTTATGTATATATTAGGTTGGTACAAAAGGAGTTGTGGTTTTGGCCATCATAATAATAACAATTCTAATTATCTCAAAATGTTTCATCTATAGGGTAGATTCATTTGACACCTTGAAGAGTAGATTATTATACCTTTTATAGAAGAGCTACAAAGCTAATATTACTTAGCTAAGAAATATACATCATAAGCATGGCAAATTGTCAGGAATTAATGTCAATATAAAAGTAGAAAATAATACACAATTATCTTAAAATATTTAATTATATGTAAAGATTTCTTTAAATAATGCCCCTGAGAAAGCTTTAGTAAAAATTAAATGGTATGTGCTTCTCTTTTGACACAGAAAGGAAATAAGAACACATAAATTAGAGAAAGGACATCAACAAAAAAAGTTTCACTTAAAAGGCATTTTATGGCTGGGCACAAGCGCTCACGCCTGTAATCCCAGCACTCACTTTGGGAGGCCAACATGGTGGGGGAAAAAAAATTGCTTTAGCCCAGGAGTTCAAGACCAGTCTGGGCAATGTGGCAAAACCCCGTCTCTACAAAAAATGCAAAAATCAGCTGGTGTGGTGGCGTGTGCCTGTAGTTTCAGCTATTCAGGAGACTGAGTTGGGAGGATCACTTGAGCCCTGGAAGTCAAAGCTGCAGTGAGCCAAGCTCAAGCCACTGCACTCCAGACTGGGTGATAGAGTAAGACCCCGTCTCAAAAAAAAAAAAAAGTTGTTTTATGTTAACATGGGGAACAATAAAAGGCAGAAGCTTTTGTTGACCACTTGTATTTTCTAATGAAAATAAATTTTATTTCCAGTTGAACTTGTCAATAATACACTTTAACATAGCAGTCCCGAAAAGAGTATCACCCTTCCTGCCAGAGAAATAAGTATCTCTACTGGGGATAGGTAGCAGCAGCAACTGTTGCTCTTGCCCATGACAGAAATGAGAATTCCTCAATACCACACACAGCTCCTTCCCTTGTTCTCCTGATAATTTTTAGCACACAATTTCTGTGAAGATCTCAGCCAATAAACAATGAGTAACATTAGTGCTTGTTGCTATTTTGACAAAAACTATTCCAAAAATAACTTTATTAGCAAAATGATTGTATTATCATTTAAAAGAGAACAAAAAGTTACCTAGCTTTTGGCGTTCTGTATTTTATTCTGTATTAAAATGTTACATGTATTTTTAAAGAGATATTCTTGAGATGAGAATATTTCTGAAGACGTAAATTTTATGGTATTAGGTTTATAAATTATCCTCATCCATATATAGACTTGTGATTTTTCTACTTAAAAATAAATATCTATCAAAAATAAGTCATGTAAATAAATTACACATTTGTAATTCTTCAGAAATTTGCATGTGCTCAAATAAAAAATTTTGGCAAAAACTATAGCAACTGTCACTGAATTGAGTCTAATTTGATGTTGTTACTTACATATCTTTGCTTGGAGCATAAACAAATGGATTCCATAAAACTTTCCAGGCAGGGATTTTTTTAAATTATATTACAAAATGATTTAGTAATATTTCAAGTAGGCATTTACAAAGCTATGCATACAACTACATATACATAGCTAGACTATTACCTAACAGCTAATGAGCTAAGCAAATATTCTCGGGACTAAATTTTGCTCATCTGCAATATACTTCTTATTTCTGCTGGTCTCCAAGGTGACAATGCCATACTAAATATATATTTTAAATATTTATATGGGACAATATGTCCCAATCCCTAGCTCTTGCCATAAGCAAATTATCTGTATAGTTCAAGTAGCTCGATAAAATAACAGTAATAAGGAGAAGCTGAGTTTATATCCACAAAGCTCAAATATGAAAGAACCTCCTCTCATTTATGCTTACTCAACCCAAAAATTCATATCTTAGGTTATTCATGAAAAGGGTATCTTAGATCAATAGATCTGAAACATAATCCTCATCTGAATTATGTTTACACACATCAACGTACACATCCCCACAAGCCCAAGAACTGTGAAATTGTGAAGAATCAGAGAGAGGTATGTTGCATGCATTAGCTGTCACCTTTTTTGTGCCTGCTACCCTAAATCAGATGTAACAGTTTATTTTTATTACCTATAGTTGATTTCTTGATACTCTTTTTGGGGGGCCTGTAGCATTACCATCATTTCTTGTTTAATTGCTAGTAATCTTCCTCTCCCAACCTCCTAATGGCACAAGTTTTTTAGAATGGAAAATGAAATCTATTATTTACTGAGCTTTGCACAAAAACCATTAGATATTGATTTTTCTGTATTTCACTGTTGAGAAGAAAAGCTTATAAATGAATTAGCATCTGCCTTGGTGCTTTATGTAAGGAAAAAAAAATACTTTAAAAGTTAAAGGAGTTGGTTTTGACAAAATAGGCTAAGTAGTGACAAAGAGATCTTCAAACATGGGCAGTTTTAACATTAGCAATTCATTTACCTCAAAGCCTGAAATTAATACAATACCTTCAATTGTGGGACAGAGTGCAGTGCTACATTTACCAGCAGCCATGGAAAGGACAGAAAACTATTTTCAGCTTAGTTCTTCCTCACATTCCTTCCACTCCTCTTGCTTGATTTTTCTAGTGACTCTCCTAATACTAATGATCTCCTACATATCTGCTAATGAACCTGGAGACTGTTTATTTCATAGAAACATGAGTTTATCACCCTAGTAGAAAGAAATCTGAGTTTGCAAAGTTAACATGCCCAGTACTTCGCAGAAGTTAGTCTGCAGCTCAGGGGAAATGCCCCATGATACACGCAGTGCCCGAGCAGTGAACAGCCTTGCTGCCTCAGAGTAGCTTCTTATAAAGATCAAAATAGTTCAGAGGAGACAAGAATCTTAGCCTTCTTTATTCAGTTTTGCTCATACAAATATGCTCATTTATTTTTTAAAAACAAAAGGATACTAGTATTTTTGATATGATCTTAGAAGATCTAAAGAAGTCTAAGTCCCTGATACAGCTATGAAATATGACACTCACTGGACTGTCACTATTTAATGCAACATTGTTTGAGTTCAAGCTTAAGTGTGATAAAACTTTCTAACTATCCCTGACCTTTGTTTGAAATTGAATGCTTTTGGGTCTTATCCAGAGGTGTAAGACTATAATTAACTTCATCAGATCCCCAAACTCTCATAACCTTTCATGTACCATGACTTTGGAGGACTACTATGTTTGAGTGGATATTTTTCTGTTTTTTCTAGGAAAAAAAGCCTCAGATCTGTGCTTAGGATTTATTGTCAAAAACTATGGGGAAGGAGAGAAGAAAATACAATTGTATTTGTGTTACAATCTCCTTTATAACTTTTTCAAGACTGACCTTTTCTAATCAGATCAGAGTTTAAATCATTTTAATTTTTACCAGATGCACTGTAAGTCTCATATCCTGGCATTTGACCCCTGAATCCCAATTGTCCTCTTTTCCTCCATTTTAAAACACATAGGAGCAAAGCACAACACATTTTAAAAGATATAAAAAATAAAATTTTATAATTTGAAGATCCAGGTCCTTAACTATGACTTTTTTACTGAGCTCTAGATCTATATTTCCAACTGCCTGTACGAGGTATCTATGAGCAGTTCCAAAATTTTTAACAGTTCCATAATTTTTAACATCTGGTAACATCCATCACACCATGAATTTGTCTTTCTTCTGTAGAACTGATAGTAGTATCTTCTGACTCCATAACTCTGGTGTATCCATTCTTCTGTAAATATGAGATGAGAAAGGGAAAGAGAACTAACATTTGTTGAACTCTTTCAGTCACTTACATATGAATTCATTCATTCTGCAAATATTGGGCATCTGCTACATTCCAGGCTCTGTGATAGGCATGTAGGACACATGATGGGCACTACAGACAATCCAGAAGAGGATAAAGACATTGAACAAAGAAAGTACACACAAAATAATTTGTCACATGTGATACATGACATGAAATTAAAACACAATGTATATGTGTAATAAGAACATATAACTTAATGACCTAAACTAGTCTGGCCTCCAATATACTGTGAGAAAATGATATTTAAAGCTTTGGGTGAGTTGTAGTTCTCTAGGCAGGAACTACATCTTTATATATAAGACAGAGAATATGAAGTCCATAAAGGAGACTGAGAAGCAGCATCCAGTGATGTGGAAGGAAATACAGGAGAGTGTGGAATTGAAAAAGCGTCTTCCAAAATAAAAGCAGGGTAGTCCTCTGTGTCAAATGACCCTCAGAGCTAAAATGAGTTCAGAGAGAAAAGGGTCCACTAAATTCAACTGGCAACGTGATGACTGGACCCTGAGCAAAAGAGAGAATAGGACTTTGAAAGCTAGAAGACTTTATCCACTACACAAGAAGGAAAAGGAGAGAAAGGTACTGATATTGACAAGTTTGTAAATTGGTTGGTGGAATAATGAGGGTGTTCTTTCCAATGGCTTTTACCTTCTCATTGAAGAATGAAGTGAAGTCATCAGCTATGGGGAATGAGGGGCTACGAAAAGCAGGATGTGGGCATGTAAGCAAAGAAAGTATAAAGCAGTTATTTCATCAAATAGAAAGGCAAACCTTATAGTGGGTAAGAATGCTTGGCAATCTTGATTGTCTATTTGAATTTTCTATCTTGAATTTAAAGTGAAACCAGTCACCTCAGTTGAGTAATTTTCTCAAATAACTGGAGTTGGGATTTGCCAGATGAGTATGGAAGAGGAAGAGAAAGCAAAGAAATTGAGGGTATCTTCAAGGGTATCAGTATTGCAGTAGACCATGATATCTCACATAGACAAGAAGGCCAGAGGCTTAGCAGATAGTAAGCAGTAGCTGATGGATAGGTAATCTCAACATGGTAAAAAAAAAAAAAAAAAACAGCAGTGATGATACTGCAACAAATCATCTGGAATGAAAAGAGGCAGCAGGCAAAGAATGGGATTCTTAGAATTAATATTACAATGCTGGCACCACTGCTAGCACCACTGAAAGGCCCAGAACTGCTCATGGAAGTGAGTGGCTGGGGTAGAATAGACAAGCAGGTTAGTAAAGTGAAGAAATCAGTGCACTAGATGGATCATCTACCTTATCATCACAGCTATCAAAACAGCAGCAGGAATGGATGCCATGGTGGAACTTGTTCAGATAGCCCTTAAAACAGAAGATGGGCAATATACCACTTGGCCATTCAGGAGGTCAATTCCACTATCCTTCTAGAAACAAGGCGATAGTAAAACATCCCTAGATTCCACCCCATGGAACACATTCCCTCTTCCCAAAATTGCAAGTCATCAAATGGACACTTAATGGAAAACCGACAGGGTCTTATTGTTCCTAGGGCATTAACAAACAAACAAAACACCCGAACCCTAGAGTCCTGGTGTCAATGATGAAAGGGAAGAAAACGAACAACAACAACAACAACAGCACAACTCCTGCAGATTCAGAAATCAACTATATTAAACTAGGAACCATATAGAAGTCATATTGGTATTATGCTCATACAAGGGTGTACTTTTACACAATTAGAAATAAAATAAAATGATGCACAGAACTCAAAGTCTCAAAAATGCCATGGTATGCCAAAGCAGCCAGTCCCAAGTGTGTACAGTATGCTTCCATTTACGTGAAGCTGAATAACGACACCCATCTATGGCAATGAAAATCAGAACTGTGCTTGCCTCAGGGCAGAATGGGTGATAAGACACCAGACAATTTAAAGAAATGTTCTTTAGGCCGGGGTGCGGTGGCTCACGTCTGTAATCCCAGCACTTTGGGAGGCCGAGGCGGGTGGATCACGAGGTCAGGAGATCGAGACCATCCTGGCTAACACGGTGAAACCCCGTCTCTACTAAAAATACAACAAATTAGCCGGGCGTGGTGGCAAGTGCCTGTAGTCCCAGCTACTCGGGAGGCTGAGGCAGGAGAATGGTGTGAACCCGGGGGGTGGAGCTTGCAGTGAGCTGAGATCGCGCCACTGCACTCCAGCCTGGGCGACAGAGCAAGACTCCGTCTCAAAATAAATAAATAAATAAATAAATAAATAAATAAATAAATAAATAAATAAATGTTCTTTATCTTGATCTGGATGATGGTTACATAAATATATACATTTGTCAAAATTTAAATGCAGCATACACTTAAGATTTGTAGTATTTTACTGTAAATAAATTATACCTTAATAAAGTCCTATTAACAAAAAATAAGACATTTCTTTCATTTTTTTATAAAAGGAAGTGTGTCTTGACTTAGTAACCATTCATTACCTATGTAAAACAATATTTATTTCCTACACCTATACACAGGGCAAAGAATATCATATTAAATTTTATTTTGGATTACACCAGTATATGGAAAATGTGATGAAGTTGACTGGTGAACCTAGGCGATATAACAAGGCTTTACAAAGTAAAAGTAACATTTGCTCAACTTAGCTGTAAAAACAAACCTCAAATATTGTAATAAAGGACTCAATTCACAGTAATTTGCACTTTGTAAAAGAAATTGCTTAAGACTGACAGAACTAACGCTATATTAATAAGAAAAGGAAATTCAGTTTATTCCTTTTTGTCTTTGGAAAATTTCAAATAAACTGCCTTTCACAAGTTTTCTGCATCCAAGAGTTATTCAGAATATCCAAAATATAGAAAGAGTCAATACAATTATGCTTGTTTTCCCTCATGACTTCTGAAGTGTTGTTTTGAGATAGACTCTAAGGAAGTCAATTAACAAAAAGAAAAGGGGGCTTCACAGCCTCTAGAACACCATGTGTCCACTCAATGCCAAGTATTGAAAAGAGGTGAAAGGAAAGGGAGTGCCAGTCACCTATTTGCTCTTTCATTCCATGTCATTGGCACATATTGTGCCTGATACGAGTAAGTGTCCCTTATATTTTTTATTAATACATAATAGATGGACATATTTTCAGAGTACATTGATATTTTCATACATTCATATAATGTGTAAATATCAAGTTATAGGGTAATATCCACCACATTAAACATTCCTCTTTATGCTGTGAACATGTGAATTATTGTACATATTGAAATGTACAAGTAGATTATTGTTAACTATAGTCTCCATACTGATCTATCAAACACTAGGTCTTCCTCCTAACTAACTGTATATTTGTCCTCATTAATCATCCTCTCTTCATTCCCTCCTCCACGCTACCATTCCCAGCCTCTGATAACCACAAATCTACTCTCCAGCTCCATGAGATTCACTTTTTTCTGTTTTTAGCTCCCATATATGAAGGAGAACGTGTGATATTGGTCTTTCTGGGCTTGGCTTATTTCATTTAACATAATGACCTCCAGTTCCATTTTCCTTCAAATGACAGGATTTCACTTTTTTTAATAGCTGAACAATATGTCATTGTGCATATATACTACATTCTCTTTATCCATTCATCCACTAATCAGCACTTAGGTTGATTCTACATTTTGGCTATTGTGAATAGCACTGCAGTAAACATTGGAATACAGATATTCTTCAATGTATTAATTCCCTTTCTTTTGGATATATACCCAGTAATAAAATTGCTGGATCATATGGTAGTTCTATTTTTAGTTTTTTGAAGAACTCCCTATTGTTTTCCTTAGTGGCTATACTAATTTACATTCCCACCAACAGTATACTAGAGTTCCCCTTTTTCCACATCCTCGCTACCGTCTATTGTTCCATCTTTTTGATAAAAGCCATTCAAACTGGGGTGAGATATCTCACTGTGGTTTTGATTTGCATTTATCTGATTAGTGATGTTGAAAATTTTTTCATATACCTGTTGGCCATTTGTAAGTCTTCTTTTGAGAAATGTCTGCTCAGATCTTTTGCCCATTTTTAGATTATTTGTTGTTTTTTGTTTTGTTTTTGCTATTGAATTGTCAGAGTTGCTTATATATTCTGGTTATTAAGCTCTTGCCAGATACTTTGCAAATATTTTCCCTCATTCTATGGATTGTCTTTTCACTTTGTTGATTGTTTCCTTTGATGTGCAGAAGCTTTTTGGCAGGACAAATCATTACATTTCTAATGAATGGTGAGATCGGTGGACTAAAACCAAATAAAGTTTCAGTACTAGGGACTTAGAAAAGCAATGGTGTCACATACTTAAATGAGAAAGTTACAAAAGAGAAAGTTTTAATTAAACAATTACTTCAGGGCTGGGCACGGTGGCTCACGCCTGTAATCCCAGCACTCTGGGAGGCTGAGGTGGTTGGATCACCTGAGATCAGGAGTTAGAGACCAGCCTGGCCAACATGGTGAAACCCCTTCTCTATTAAAAATACAAAAATTAGCCAGGCGTGGTGGCGGGTGCCTGTAATCACAGCTACTCAGGAGGCTAAGACAGGAGAATTGCTTGAACCCAGGACATGGAGGTTGCAGTGAGCTGAGATCGTGCTATTGCACTCCAGCCTGAGCAACAGAGTGAGACTCCATCTCAAAAAAACAAAACAAAACAAAAAACAAAAAAAAAACAACTTCAGTAATTAAATACATTATTTTTGAAGTACTCAAAGAGTACCCAGGTAGAAGTGTTACAGGAGGGAAATGTGGTCCTAGAGAGTAATCACAACTAGAGTCATAAAAATGATAATTCAGCCTATGTAGCTTGATGAACTCCAACAGGAGGAATCCCTATGAGGAGAGAGGAACAGAAGCCAAGCACAGAGCCTCAGTGACTGTCTATAGCTGAGGGACAAGCAGAGAAGAACTAGGACAATTTGGGTAATAGCTCAAGGAGAGAAATGCTTAGGAAAGAGAACTGGTCAAAAGTATCAGTTGTTGCAAAGTAATGGGGAAAAAAAATCCTATAGTTTTAAGCTACTGTAAAATCACAAAAATACTATTTGTCTATCCTTTTTTTTCCAATAAGGTGTGGAAGTTGGCTCTACAGTCAGTAAACATTTGTACCAAAGAAAAAAACTGAACTTCTTCCCAAAATTGGTAGTAAGCCAGCAGGGAGGAAAGAAGTGTAATAGAAAGAAAGAG
Source organism: Homo sapiens (assembly GCF_000001405.40). Lineage (NCBI taxonomy): Eukaryota > Metazoa > Chordata > Mammalia > Primates > Hominidae > Homo > Homo sapiens. The sequence continues at coordinate 182,852,205 of NC_000002.12, forward strand.
AGGGAATGGGTCTATACTACCCAAGCTAAGCATAAATCATGTCAGCAAAAGTGGGAGTGGCTGGGCAGGCCTGGCAGCTGCAGTCATCAGGAATCTCCAGTTGCTCAGTGGCCACCAGGCAGCTACCCAGAGGAGCTTCTCTGGAGCACCTTTGGAACAGCGCCAAGAGCAGGTTAGTGAAAACTCTGGGAGAGCATCTGACTTACACTAATGTTCCCTAATTTAAGATAAATCAGAAGGGAACTCAGATCAATACAATCTGATTTTATATTAGGAAACAGGCCCCAAGAAATAATTTGGTCACATTTATATATTTAGTGTCAGAATTTACCAACTCTATCTCCGCTCTGGAGACATTTGTGTTTTTCAAATGTGAAAGTTCATAAATTGGTCACCCTCACAAAGCAGAAAATTGGAAGAATTACTTTTTGGAATTATTTTAATTAAAAAAAACCCTTTGCATTGGACCACTTGAATATCTGCTTTAATTTTCTGTGTGCTGATTTGATAGATCAAGTGACTAGGTGAAATAGAACAAAAATTGTTTTCCTCCATATTACACGCTATGGAAATAAAGAGCATCTATTCCTTATTACAATAGTGAATTTGCAACAGTAAAACGTACAGTTGGATGCTGTTCAGAGTCATTATCTCAAAAAAAGAAAAAGAAAAAATAGTTAAGCTTTGAGGCAAAGAATATATTAACTAGAGTGAAAGAATTTCTTTTCCAAATTCCAGACAGAAACAGCTTGACACTTTGGAAAGAGGTCCTTATGTGGGTTACAGTGTTTTCATGCCTTCCTCATTTCCTGTTTTATCATGATCAACCTCAGCTGTTACATTTCTCCAAAGCATAAATTTTTGAGTGTGAACAAATTATATTTCCTTTTCAGAACATGTGAACATGTTAGTGTTTTTTTCACAAACAGAATGAGCTTTGGTTTTGCCTATTTGTTTTCATCACTCTCATTATGCCAGAGAACTGGAAAACATTTTTAAAAGACGAACAGTAAACACTGACTCTGAGAACACCACATTCGTTCTAGGTAGTTTTACATGTTGAACTGTTTTTTGTATATTGTTGATAGTGTTGTTGATGTGTTTTCTTTCTTTCATACATTGAAGTGCTATATTACTCTAACCATAACTTTGGAACAAATTGGTAACATATACATGTCCTTGGCCAGAAATTTTGACCCACCAATTGCAGTTTTATACAAATGAGCTTTTCAGTTCGGGTTGAGAAAACATAATAGAAGGAGTGACCCTTCAAATAGCAACATTACTGGACAGCAATGATTTCCAACTGATTTCATGATATTGAAAAACATTATCAATTATATAAAGTAACAAAACAATTCTAAAATAATTTTAATTTACTTATGTATTTAATGGGATAAATATTTGTTGGGACACCTTTGGTAGACATTCCCTCAGATCAAACATATCACCATGATAAGATTCAGTGGAAGTCAACAGAGAAAACTGTCCCAATGTAATGAAAGTTGATATTTCAAACTTATTTACAACTTAATAAAATAAATGTTTCATTTCCACAGATAAGACACCTTATAAGGCAGGACATACTCACCAAAATCAGTGCAAAATACTAGAGGAAAGTGAAATGGAATATATGGTACTCATCGCAGCTATCATATTGTAGAAATAAATGCAGCATTAGTCATTGTAACAAAAACTGAAAACAACCCAAATATCCATGAACATTAGAATGAATAAAGTGTACCACATTCAATGATAGAATACAATATAGCAATTAAAGTGAAAAACTACTGCTATACACAGCCTAATGAAAAGCATAGGAAGTCACATGCATATACAAAAATACATACTGTAGAATTCCATTTATATAAAGTTCAAGATCAGGCAAAATGAATTTATGGTACTAGAATTCCTGGGAGTAGTTACCTTTGAAGAGAAGGGTGGGGGTAGTGACTTGGAGGCTTCTGGAGTGCTGGTAATGTTACATATCTTGGTTGCAGAGAGTGGTTACTTTGTGAAAATGCACATTTATGATTTGTGCACTTTTCTGCATGCATGTTATACTTTAATGGTTTATTTTATGGTAAGATGGAATAAGTAGATTCCATCTTGTTTCTCCCACTGAAAGCAGATCTGAAACCTGAACAGAGTGCATGAAGCAGCAACATAAGAACTCTAAAACGTAATACAAGCATAACAGGAAGACTGGGGGGAGAAAATAATACCATAAAACTATAGTGGGCTCATCATTTTTTCCCTCTGGTATCCACCAGTCTGGTGTCAACACAGCCTGTATCGTAGAGGCAAGCATTTTGCAGACAGAGTACACTCCAGTTCTAACTCAAGAAGTGGAAAGGATCTCTAACATATCAGCCTCTTGCATTCCATTCCTCCAGGCATCCTGGGACTGTGGTAACAGCAACGGCTGCAACAAGGGAGACCCTCAGGAGCCCAAAACTTTGATGAAGGAGAGAATCTTACCCTCTGATTGGAGGACTTGTAGTTCCAAAAGACTGGGGCAAATCCCCATTACTTTGTCTCTCTCTCTCTTTCTCTGTCCTCCCACCACTTGGCCCCATAGGAAGGAGCAGTCACAAGAAGCAAATCACAGAGTAGGATAAAGCTTTCTAGCCAAAGGACCAAAACGGGGGAATTCCAAGGAACTGAAAAGTGCAAGGGAGATCAGAGAGATAAAGGAGCCTGGGAAAGGATTTTGTAAAGTTGTTTATGAACTACTGAAGTCACCCCTGGGCATGTGTGACTCTGACATAAAACAGTGTATCACAGATTTCAAAAACTGCACTGTAGGATAAAGTATTGCTCTGACCTCATACTGGCCACTGAGTGGTATACATGTGGGATAGATATGGAAGGTACTTCGAAGGCTTTGGAAATGGAACTGACATTAAAATCACAACCCACAGAAGACCAGTCAGAATTTGCAGCCTAATCCTAACTAGGTTAACTGTTGCTAAAATTAAAAAAAGAAAATCAGCATTTTCCATATAACTTTAAGTAAACAAGACCCAAAGCTTTATTGCATGATATTCAAAATGTCCAGGATTCAACCCAAAATTACTCTACACATGAAGATGTAGAGAAAAAAATGTTGACTTGAGTGGGACAAGACAATTAGGTGACACAGATGACTTTACGGTAGCTATGATTAAAATGCCTCACAAATTAAGGGTGAATACCCTTGAAATAAATGGAAAGATAGAAAGTCTTACCAAAGAAATACAAAATATAATGAAGAATCAAATGGAACTTTTAACTTTGAAAAATATACTAACAAATAAAAACTATCTGGATGTGTTTCAGAGAGTAGGAGATTGAACAAGACCAACGAAAGAGTCAATGAACTTGTCGCTAGGCCAATAGAAATTACCTAATCTAAACAAGAGAGAAAAAAGATTAGGAGAAAAAATTAACAGAGCCTCTCTGGGGCCTGTGGAACAATATCAGAAGATCTAACATTCATATCATCATAGAAGAGACTATTGTGTAAAAAGCAAGTATTTGAAGAAATAATTCCTAAGCACTTCTCAAATTTGGCTAACATTATAAATTTATAGATTCAAGAAGCTCAGATAACCCTAAACAGGGTAAACTCAAAGGAATCAATGCCCAGACATGTAATAATTAAAGCACTAAAAACTAAAGACACAGGAAAAAAAAATCAAATGCAACCAAAGAAAACTGATGTATTACTTACAGGGAAACAATTATTTGCAAGACTGCCAATTTCCCATGAGAAACATTGAAGCCAGAAGGAAGTGGAATATTTTTTATGTGCTAAATGTACTGCAAACCTAGAATTCTGTATGCAGTGAAAATATCCTTTAGGAATGAAGGTGAAATGAGAATATTTTCAGGTAAAGGAAAAAAGAAGTTTTTGCCAGCAGAACTGCTTTAAAACAAGTACAAAAAATACTTAAGAAAGTTCTTCAGACAGAACTTCTGTCTGAAGAACAGAAGAGAAAGAATACCAGAAGGAAGTATGGAATGTTGGAAAAGAAGGAAGAATAATAGAAATTAAAACATCTGTAAAAATACAGTAGGCTACTATTCTCCTCAAGTTGTTTAAAAGATATGTAATTGTTAAAAGAAAAAATATAAAATTATCTCATGAGGATATATATATATCTCACATACGTGTGTGTGTGTGAGAGAGAGAGAGAGAGATACAATCCAAAAGAAAGAAGAGAATGTGAATAAAAAGGAGAGGGCACAAACAGAAAATAAAACAGTAGATCTAAATACAAATATGAATAACTACATTAGCTGCAAATGGTCAAAACATACCAATCAAAAGACAAAGATCAACAGTATGGATTTTTTTAAAAAGACCCAACTATATGATGTCTACAAGAAATGTATTTAAAACACAATGACTTAAGTATGTTAAAAGTAGGATAGAAAAAGTTTTGCCCTGCAAACACTAATCAAATGACAGCTGAATTACCTATAGCAATATCAGAAAAAATATAATTTAGAGCAGAGAAAATTACCAAGGATAAAAGGACACTACATAATGAAAACATCAATTCACCAATAAGACATAAAAAATATTAAACAAGTATGTACCAAACAGAGCTTCAAAATACATGAAGCAAAACTGACAGACTGAAAAAAGAAATAGAAAAATCCACAATATTTGGAGACCTAATCACCCTTCTCTCGGTAATCAATAGATCTAGTAGACAGAAAATCAGCAAGAATATAAAAGAACTAAATAACAGTATTAATCAACTAAATTGAATTGACATTTAAAGGACATTCCACCCAACAGCAAAATACTCTTTTTTCTAAGTGTACATGGAACATTCACCAAGACAGATTATATCCTGGATCAGAGAATAAACCTTAATAAATCTAAAAGAACTGAAATCACACAAAGTATATTCTTCAACAGTAGAATTTGAAAAATAGCAAAGATAATAGGAAAATCCTCAAAAAGCAGCAAATTAAACAGCATAATCCCAAATGATGCACAAGTCAAAGGAAATATCAAGGAAAAATATAAAATATTTTGAACTGAAGAAAAATGAAACTATCAAAATTTGTGAGATGCAACTAAAGTCATTCTTAGATGGGTATTTATAGCATTACATTATATTAGAAGAAAGGTCTTGGCCGGACATGGTGGCTCACGTGTGTAATCCCAGCACTCTGTAAGGCCAAGGTGGGTGGATCACCTGAGATCAAGTGTTAGAGACCAGCTGGCCAACATGGTGAAATCTTGTCTCTACTAATAATACAAAAATTAGCTGGGTGTGGTGGTGCACACCTGTAATCCTAGCTAGTTGGGAGGCTGAGGCAGAATTGCTTGAACCCAGGAAGTGGAGGTTGTGGTGAGCTGAGATTGCATCACGGCACTCCAGCCTGGGCAACAGAGCAAGACTCCATCTCAAAAAAAAAAAAAAAGTCTCAAAACACAATATAAGCTTCTACTCTAAGAAACAAAAGAAAAAGCAAAATAAACCTCTAAAGCAAGCAAGCAGAAGGAAATAATCAATAAAATTGAAAACAGTGAAACAATAGAGAAAATGAATAAAACCAAAAGATGTTTTTTGTATCCAGAATATGTAAAGAACCCTCAGAACTCATTAAGAAAACAACCCAACTTAAAATGGGCAAAATTATTGAACATTTTACCAAAAAGCATATATGTGGATAGCAAATAAACACATGAAAATGTATTCAGCATCATTAGCCATTAGGGAAATGCAATTTAAAACCATGATGAGCTATTATCACATACCTATTAAAATGGCTAACAATAAAATATATTGATAATACCAAGGGCTCGCAAAGATATAGAACAACTGGAACTCTTATACATTACTAGCACAAAATTGAACAGCCATCTTGGAAACAGTTTGGCACTTTTTTACAAAGCTAAACATATACTTACCATATAACCCAGTGATCCTATTCCTACTTATTTAGCCTAGAGAAATAAAAACTTACATTCCCACAAAAACCTGTACTGGAATGTTTATAGTAGCTCTATTCGCGATTGCTCCAAACTGGAGACAACCCAAACTTCCTTGAAGGAGTGAATGGGTGAACAAATGGTCATACATCCAAGTAATAAAATATTCTGTAATAAAAAGGAATGCACCATTGATATATGCAGCAATTGGTTAAGTCTCAAAGGCGTACTGTCAGTCTGTCTATATGGACAATCGAACCTCAAATAGAGAAAACTATAGTGATAAAGAAAAGATGAGTGATTGCCAGTGGATGAAGATAGGGAAAACTTGTAATTATAAAGGGATACAGCTTGAAGGAGTTTTGGGAGGTGATGGAATTGTTCTGTATCCTGATGTGGTGGTGGTTACATAAATCTCTACATAATATTAAAATTCATCTGTACCAAACTATATGTCCAAATAAAAGTCCAATTTTACTACGTGCTAATTTTAAAAATAAAATTAATATAAATGAGGGAATTTTAAAAAGTTTACTTGTAAAATGTAGGGCACAAGCTTCCCCATGAATGACTTAAGTATCTAAATTACATCAATGACTAATCTGACCACAAATGAAAACCAGGAAGATAATGATATACTCACCACTGCTTGCCCCTCTACAGTTTCCGTTACTAGAATCCATAGGAAAATCTGAAAGGAGGTGACAGAAAAAAGAACTATAACATATCTATTTCAAGAATTCCTAAAGATAAAAATCTAACTCAGTCACAAGTTTGATTTGGGTAAGAATCCAATTGTCTGAAGGAAGTAGATTTTTATTAACGTCATGAGGTCGGCATTCTTATCATTCATGGGTTGAGTATGGATGAGACTTATTTTTTCATGTGGTTATAAGGAAATACTCTTCTGAATACTCAACTGTGCATAAAATTTTAGAATTTAATAATTTATTTGAATTTCACAAAATTTGTAAATGATAAGCATCCTATCATGATAAAGCCTATGCAAATATTAGGCACTCATCCAACACTTATGACTTGATGACAAAAAAAAAACCAAACGCATCTTCAATAAATGGACATATCACACTGAACTGGTATATATTTAAATCCTTAGTTCCTAAACGAACACTCAGAAATCATTCTCATGTCCTTTAACTGCAGGCTAAATAATTCTTCAACAGAAAAGAAACCTACTATTCAGGGACTATTCAAGCCAGTGCAATTAATAGATGTGACAATAATTAGAAATTGCTATTGATTCTTTTTAGGATGCCATAATCCCAGAAAATAGTAATGATAAAGGTTTTCTGTGTTCTAATTAAGAAAGCAGCCTCTAATGAATAACAGTGCACCAGCGGAACACCGTGCTGAGAGATGCTGTACCTAGCAATATATCCTTATTGACACTCCAATTTAGTACTTTATATAAGAGTTTTACATTTGTAGTAACACTTTATGCTAAACTAATTTAATGCCTCTATTTATTCTAGGAGAAAATAGTATTCTTCCTTTGTCCTTTTTGTTTATAGGTCCTATCAGGAATAAATTAAACAAGGGGTTAATACTATTTTAGGACTATAACACCCACAATTACAATTAATGAATTACTTTCCCAGGTTTAGTAATCATCAGCAAGTATTTAAAAAGCAATATCCAAGAAAAGACAGCAGTCAGCAAACAAACAGATAAGCAAGTAACAAACACTAATTCTAAAACATTTGGCTCAACTTGGGCATAAACTATTAATTACTAATACTTTCATTATATTCAAACATTTATTCATGATAAATGTACCCAAGTATTACAGTAACGTGCCAGTGGTTTTTCTATTTCTGAATAATCATGTGATAAACTACATACAAAAATAATGTCTTCATAAAGGAAGAAATTATATTGGCCCATATTTGAAATGTTTATTGTTCAAAGGTAGAAATAAGAGTGAAAAATAAAACTTTGCTTGGTGAAAGGGAATCACTTCAAAATAGCTAAGCCAAGGAGAGTGTTTTACTTCTTCCATTCTTATTCAAAGGAAAATGTTTCTACGCTTTTACAAATGCTTAGAAGTCAATTGTTAGAACTGTAAGACAGAAAACAAAAATTTTCTAATAATTGATCAAAAAATTATTGTCAGAAAGTTAAACTTAGGAATTCTAACAACAAATTACCCTAAATGAAAATATATATTATTAGTAAGGATTTTAAGCAAAAGATTTGCATTTCAGAAAAAATGTCTATTGGAATATGGAGGGGAAATACTGGAGATAAGAGAGACCATTATCATCCTATGGCCATAATCCTGGTGAGAAATGGTAAGGTCCAAACTAAGAAAGTAGCATTAGAGAGGGAGAGAAGGGAATTTGAGTCAGAGTAGACCAAACAGCATGTGATACCTATTGAGTGAGGGGAATGAGGAAAAAGGTAGAATCAAGACTGCTTCCCACAGCCAGGTATGGTGACTCACACCTGTAATCTCAGCACTGCGAGGCCAAGGCAGGCAGATCATCTGAGGTCAGGAGTTCGAGACCAGCCTGGCCAACATGGCGAAAACCCATCTCTAACAGAAATACAAAAATTAGCTGGGCGTGGTGGCATGCACCTGTAGTCCCAGCTACTCAGGAGGCTGAGACAGGAGAATTGCTTGAACCTTGGAGGCAGAGGTTGCAGTGAGCAGAGATCACGCCACTGCACTCCAGTCTGAGTGACAGAGCGAGACTGTCTCAAAAAAAAAAAAAAAAAAAGACTGCCTCCCAGGCCTGGACTACTAAGGTATGGTGGTACCTTTCAACAATATAGAAAATACTAGAAAGAAACAAGTGCATGACTATGGGGAAATGATGAGTTCACGCTGGGGCATGCTGAGACCGAGAGACTAGGGACATGAGAATCTGGAATGTATAATCTCTACTATCTCAAAATTGCAGTGAAGTCAGAATCTCTTATCTCTTTGAATCCATTGTCTAGAAGCCACCTTTTATTCTCTTAAGCCATAGATAAGTGTACTTCAAAATACAATGAGAAAACCTTTGTTCCTTTAACTGCAATCTGCTAGGCAAAGAATAACAGATTCTCTAGAAAGTTAGGAATTACATTTCTTAAGGGACAAAGTGTAGTGTAGAACAGGCTCTGCTTCGAATTCTCTTTTTCTTACTAGCTCTGCTAACTTGGACAGTAACTTAGCTTCTCTATATGCCTTGGCTTCCTTTTCTCCAAAATGGGAATAATAATGAATGTGCAAAATGCACTCAGGACAGCACCTAGAACATAAGTGTTGGTTGCTTTTATTGTGTTGCTAATGGTTCCTGTCCTGAGGATGACACGTCCTCTCCCCAATGACGTTGTTGTTAAACATTTATATTGTGCTTTACCGTTTATCAGTAACTTCATATTACTATTTCTTTTGTTCTTCACAATCCCTAATGAATGTCAATGTCAAGCGACTAGTTCAGTGTACAAAATTAATGGCAAATCTAGAATTCCAACTAAGGGCCTGTAACTCTAAAACTGTGGTTTTCTCTAAATTGAGGAGATGTAGCCAATTCTTAATTATTCAAAACTATCTCTATTTGTTGGCTGTTGGTCTCCTCATTCTAGACACCAAGTAGAACTAGAAGAGCTAAATATAACCTAGTCAGTTTTGCAATTTGTAGCAACAACTATTTGAAGGTTTAGTGGGAATGAGATAAAAAGTAAATTATTAAGATTTGGAGACTACATAAGATTACATTACTCCTGATAATGGGGGTTGCTCTAAATAAAGTTAAATACTACTAACATAACACTGAGATACTCTTCCCTAACCCATCCAGAGTGCCTTTCAGTATTTTACACAATGAAGGATCCTCAGAAGCATGTTTTCCCTTTAATTCTAATCTAAAATTTCCATTTCTCCTTTCCATTTTCCTCCTCATATCACACTAAATAATTCTTCCTTCTTGGTACTTGGCCCCTCAAATATTTGTAGAACAGGGCTAAAGAAAAGACTGCCTGTTTCTCTGAGAGTGGAGAAACGATTAAATGGCAGCTCCTGCATATGAAAGTTGGCACGGCTCATGCCAAGAGAGAGAAGGCCTGCAGAAACGTGTTGAGCAAGAGCTGGGGAGAAAAGTTAACACTGCCCCAGAAGCCAGCACTGACTGAGGAATGATTATAAAGCCCTTGGCACGGCAAACTGTAGGTGTTGTGGAAATAGCTGTGAAATATCATACCATAAATTTTCTTAACTGCTTGATTCCTGGGTTTCTGAGATGAATTATTTGTAATTAACTCCTCCACCAGACTCATTCTTTTTTCTGTCGCTCCCAAGGGGATCTGCTCTTGAGCCTGAGGTCTAGGTCAATTTGTGTAAAAGGAAATACTAACTTTATATATTTAGAAGAAATAAGATTTGTTTTTCCAGTTAGGTCCCAGTGTAAAGCTTTTTTGTTTTGTTTTTCCCCAGAGATGAACTAATAAAAGTTCTAGGCTGCATCTGCATTTACCAACATAACCATTTCAAAAACAAAATAGAAAATGTTAGTCAATTTGTTTTAACAGTGATAATAGTAAAACAGCAGCAGCACTTTTTTCAGTGCTTACTAAGTACTAAAGCAATGCTTTATATGCTGTTTAATTTCTTTTCTTTTCTTTTCTTTTTTTTTTTTTGAAACACAGTCTGGCTCTGTCGCTCAGTCTGGAGTGCAGTGGCGCCATCTCAGGTCACTGCAACCTCCACCTCCGGAGTTCAAGTGAGTCCCTTGCCTCAGTTTCCTGGAGTAGCTGGGACGACAGGCACGCACCACCATCCCAGGCTAATTTTTGTATTTTTAGTAGAGACAGGGTTTCACCATGTTGGCCAAGCTGGTCTCCAACTCCTGACCTCAAGTGATCCACCCGCCTCGGCCTTCCAAAGTGCTGAGATTACAGGAGTGAGCCACTGCACCAGCTTTAATTTCATCTTTACCATGCCCTTGGGATGTAGATAGTTTTGTCCTAATTTTACAGATAAGAAAACTTTGAATTACAGAGGTCATATAATTTTCCTATAACAATAGTTGATGTCGGGGCAGAGTCATTCACACCTGGTCTGCCCCACTCCAAGCCTATCCTCTTTACTCACCACACAATATTAAAGATTTGACTGAATGTCATCACTAACTTGCTGAATGACTCAATTGAGCTGAGTTTTCAGATAATCAGTTGTACATGTAGTCACACAAAGTTATGCAAATATAAAATGTGTAAGATGAATAATAATGGTCAGGATGGAACCCGTTCTTTTCAAAAATATGATTACCCTTAGTATTTTGAAAGCAAAAAGTAGTTTCAAGCATTACTCCATTTCAGTAAGACTGCTTTGTAAAAGGTCCTAAGCTTGTTTGTGGAGTCATGATATACTATGAGAGAACAGATCCCCATGAATGGGTAGGATTTGAAAATCCTCTTGGCATCAGAAGAATGTGAAAGATTGTCCTATTTTATTCAGGGAGACCTCATTTTTATATCTAGTTGGACAGATACTAGTCAAAAGACACAGGGATTCTGTTTATACCCAGTTGAATAAGAAAAAAACCTTGCTTTGTGAACTATCACTTCCCACTGAACCAAAGAGTATATTGGATATTGCATGGTAAATTACACTGGCCACATGTGGTAGTTCCTAAGTAATTCCAGGTGTCTGACAGTTTGACCCAGCATAGGGAATGTAATTTTCAACAAGCTGGCCCTGGAAGCCAGGAGACCCTTCAGGCTACAATCTACACACTTCATTCCCAATTTCCACCTCCCCCCACCTTTGAGCTCCCCTTGCCATCATAGCCTCTGGTTCACACTGAAGCTTATGGAAGGGAGCAGGGATGCCATCACTAACTATGATTCCAACTACCACCTATTTTTCTAGCAAGGATGCTGCCAGTAAAGCAAATACTCTGGCATTTTAAAGAAGCTTAGAAATCAGGTCCCATGAACTGACAAATTGTTTCCATGCATGTCCTATTTGAGTGCTTCAATGAGGCAACTGTTTCCATGTTTGTTCCACAGTGATTGGTAACTCAGGGACACTTAATGAAACTGCTTCCTATCCATATTGACTATGGCTTTTTGAGAGCCATTAACCTTGCCAAACCTCACTCACTCTAGGTCCACCTCTAAGGGAGGTTTAAGAGCAAGTTTTGTGCTTTACGGGGAGGAATGCATTTCAGCCTGAACCACTGCCACCTCATTCCTAGCCCTTGGCCTGAGAGGAGCACCTGCATTTAACTGATTCTAAGTGCCTGGCAAACCAGAGCGGCAACTGCACTGAGCACTTCCAGACTCTGCAGTCTGTGACTTTAGTGAGTACGAAGCCTCAAGCATGCTCTTTTAGCAAAGATTAATAGCAAATACATTTCTGTGATGATTTTGCACAACTAGCTTTTGGTTCTTGATTAAAATCAAGAAGACAATAGGTATATTCAAAAAGTGATAAACTAAGTGAGGTCACCATTAAAAAGTTCTTGAAATTCTTCTGTTTATTTTTTTTCCTTCAGCTATTTTTACAATTACTTCTCCTTCTCTCACTTTGTTAAATGAGTCAACGTGCACAGAAGGTAATTTTTCCAAATCAATTTCCCGATAACTAAGAATTACTACCTGGAAATGGACTGGGGACATGCGCCTAGACTGCGCAAGTTGAAAGAGGAAGGAAAGTTGATGCCCAAGAAATAAACAGATGGAGGCAACCAAGTCAACACATCTAAGAACAGAGTTGTTGGGGGGTGGGGGATGTGGTATGAAAGAGGACCACTCATGAAAAAAAATTGCCTTCTTTATAAAATATATGAAGGGTAAAATTTGAGGTTGGGTTAGTTGGTAGAAGTAATACTGAGTTAGAATTAAATGGACCATAATGAAGTAGGTTTAGTTGGGGTCTTAAAGTTACAAATGTCATAATTAGACTAAACACTAGTGAGAAAACAACTTGTGATTGACTCCATTAAATTTAGAGCTGCAATAAAGTTTTATGGTAGGGAAAGACTGAAATGACTGTGGTTGGTGCACACACGGAAAAGGAGCATGAAATAAGGTATTAAAGACAATTTTTTTTTCAAAACATGAGAGTGGAATAAGGGGTGAGATTTAAAATAACATTACGTGAGTGTATGATAACACGCCTTAAATATAACTCCTTTCATCTGTATGCCACTTATAAAATGACTTGAAGGCATGTGGGCATGTGAAAAGAGCTCAGTAATTTCAGTCTGCCAGCTCTATGGCAAGCCACAGAAGCTAATTAACAGTGCATAGCAATGTTTCACAATTGTTTCATTCTGGAATGGAAGAACAATTTATCTCATTGAAAGGAGGGGGAAATTTAAGGTGAAGGTAATTGCTCAAACTGGATCTTGAGCAAACACATACCCCTAACATCTGTCGGTTAGAGTAAGGTTATTGAAATTATCTTGGCATTTTTAATTAGAAGAAAATGGGGCTTCAGTTTTCTGTTTCCTCCACACAATCTTAACAAGCATCTAAGACACTAAAGATACAGAAACCTGATGACTGAGATTGCCTGAGAATCAGCAAAGAAAACCCAATGATTATAAACACATTTTAAAAGAAAAAGAGCATCACTTTACAAAATGTGGCTACTTGCACATGTAAGGAGTTGAAGTGAAGGATTCCTGTGGAGTAGAAGTGTGATGGGTTTGGAATGCATGGATTGTTTTAGAAAGATCGCCTATTGGAACACAGTGCCAGAGTGCATCAGTTTGGAAGGTGATAAGGTGAGGGTTTTTTTGTTTTTGTTTTTGAAAAAAGAAGAAAGAAGAAGAAGGGTCTTTGATAGAGGAGCAGTTATGGGAGAGATTAAGTGATCCGAAGAGAAAAAAATTAGAGAGTAAAGGCTAGTAACAAGGACTCCAAGAATTGAGGAGGCTGTAGGGTAAGGGAAGGGTGGGCCGTGTCAAAACTCACCAGCTCCGTCCGCAGTAACGATGGCCTCGGGAGAGATGCACACGCCCCTGTCGTACACTGGCAGCTCCTCGCAGGCCAGGTTCTCCGGCCACGAGTGGCGGTACTTGATGAGTATGGGCTCACAGCCCTGCCGGGCCCGCTCGCACACAGACTTACAGGGCTTGATGGGCTCGTGCTGGAAGTCAATGGTGCAGATGGGCGCGTACATGGCACAGAGGAAGAAGAGCAGATCGGGGCTGCAGTGGGTGCCCAGCAGACCTTCGAACTGCTCGATGGCCAGGATGGCGTTGGCCTGAGTGCTGTGGTGCAGGTGGTTGGGCATCTTAGTCATGTTCCAGGGCAGGGACTTGCACAGGGGGATGCGGACGGGCTCACAGGCTGCAGCCCGAGCCCCGGGCACCCGGAGCAGGCAGAGAGCAGCCAGGGCAAGCAGCCCGGCCCGCAGCAGCAGCATCCCTCCCGGGCTGCCGCAGACCATGATCCCGGCAGGATGGGGCAGGGTGCAGCCGCGCAGTGGACGCCAAAAGGCCCGCTCCGCCGTCTCCGCCTCCCCCGCTGCAAGTGGACACAAGGATCTGGGAGCTTCTCCTCCCCCGGCAATCACCGCTTCCTTGGATCAAATTCCCCCAATGGGGTCCCACGAGCTTTACCGAGCTCCAGCCACCGCCCCTGCCGCCCAGGCTGCTCTTTCCCAACGTCTAAGCCTTCGGAAGCAGCAACATCTATTTATTCCTCTCCCTCTGGCAGAAGCATCAGACTTCGCAGATCAGTCAGATAAGAGGGACACGAGAGGAGGCGAGGAAGACATAAAAACAAAAGTAGAATTCAGCTGAGAGCTAGTTGGAGCTCTGGGGTGTCTCCTCCCCTAGATCACGCACACAAAAAGATGCTAAAGAAAGCATTAAATTCCCCAAAGTGAGGAGGACAGAGGGGTTGGGGGGAAGGAGGGAGGAAAAGCTCCTAATGGGAGAGAAGGGTGCAGTAAGAGTTTACAAGTCCTGTGTGGGCTAAGAGCTGCGGCCGCCGCTGCGGCTGCGACCCTGGCTGGCAGGAGGGACGCTCAGGAGGAGCCCCGCAGGGACGTCTGTGCCTCTGCCCGGGCGGCTCTGCACTTTCCTACCTCCCGCCTGAGAGGGAGCTCCGCCCCTGGGGCAGTCTCTGCCCTCCAGTGCCGGCTGCTCTTCCCGAGAATGGAGTGGGCGCCCGGGGAAGAGAAGGCCTGGGAGTCGCAGGCGGTGGGGTGCGAAGCCGTGCGAGTGCGAGACCCCAAGACAGCGCCGAGTCGAGCGCGCCCTCACACTAGGGAACCCGTCTTTGGCCCCAGAAACGAGCCCCTAGCCCCTCACTGAAGAGCCCACCCCAATTCCCTACGGAAAAGTCCCCCTAGTTCCCCACTTGGGAACCCACCCGAGACCCTCCTTCCTGGAGGTATTTCCTTTAAGCAAACTACAGCTTTTCCTCTGCAATCACTGGCTCTGCAGAAAGTCAGACCTGGTGGGGGGAAAGGCTTAAGCAATGTCACTTTGTCCAAGTAGCGGAAAACACAGACCCCTGCGAGCAACGGTGGAGCCATATCAACCCAGAGCTAGTGACTACAGAGGTCTCCATTTTCAATAACTGCGGGGGAGGAGGTGGGGGGAGGATTGCCTTTAAAAAAAAAAAAAAAGAGAGAGAGAAACAAAGAAATGCTGTTCATGACTACAAATAGGCCACCAGAAGCAAGGAAAAGGGGTTTTTTCCTTCTATTCCCGCCCCCCCCACCTAGTGGAATTAGAACTCTTGAGCTTTGCTCCTTAAGGGTTAACGTGGAAACTAACAGCTCTAATACACTTGGACTTTTTTTTTCTGATTTTGCTCACGGATAACATGGCAGATATTATTTGTTATTCTCAGCAACAATTCTGCCCGACACTTAAAAAAAAAGTGTAGGAAAACGACATCACGCAGGTAATAATGATGATTATAACAACAATCAAAACCTTTCCATCCAGATGAGTTCAATCTGGAGGAGAAAATGGAAAACAGATCCCCTCCTGGTCTGCTTCTTCCACTAATGAGCTCCCTCTTCCCCCCACCCCCGCCCCACTCTACCCTTTCAGCTTATATTGTAAATGGAATGACCTGCAGAGGCCTTCACACTATGCCCTCTCAATGGGAAATCACTGAGCAAAAGGATTGCCGAATGTCAGAAAACACAGCCTTCATTGAGAGGAGAAGGAAACAAAACCTGAAACAAAACAGGAAGTCACCTTTGCTCTGCATCACTGAAATATTTCTCTGCTTCAATTTAGCCATCTCTCACCGTCCATAACAAGCAGAGAAATATGTCCCCACTTCAGAGCACATAGTGAGATGCTCATTTTCATTCCCTAGAGTGACTTGACAGCACTTATAAAATGTCAATGCTAACTTGAGTTATGGAATTTTATATCTAAAATGATCATAAACAGCAGTTTGTGACTGCTGTAAATTTTTTTGGAAGGAAGTTTGTTCCACTTATGGTGGCGGGGGCGGGGAACACCAGATGGTAGACAGGGAGTCAGTTAGTATACAAACTTTGCCTGGTCTACAATTATCTAGTGTCATGTAAGAGAACAAATTCAAAAATTGTACAAACGAATTTAAAATGATTTATCAAGTAAAATTTAGAGGAAAAACAACTTTAAAAGACAGTCAACATTAGAACATTTTGGGACTATTTTGTATAAGAAAAATATAGCTGAGATTTTCAATAATTAGAAGAAAAAACATCAGGAGTAGATGTAGTAGATTGTTTGCTAAATACATTTTTCTGTTCATCTTAAGTCTTACAGTGTGAGAAGAAATGTGCCAATAGTTTTAAAGGTTCTACAACTATTTGAAACAAAGTCTGTTTTCCTTCCCCTGCACAAAAGTCAGCTATCTTCTTTGTCTAATAGGTCCCCTTACAACTTTAATCCAAATTTGTTTTTATAAAAGCCCAAAATAAATGTCACTGTCTTGAGGAAGCCCTTTTGAGTACCTTGTCTAGTTGTGTTCATTTTTCTGGTTAGTTACCCTTGAACAGTGTTTGTTTTTACAAATTATTCCTTTATTTATTTATTTATTTATTTTGAGATGGAGTTTTGCTCTTGTTGCCCAGGCTGGAGTGCAGTGGCACTATCTTGGCTCACTGCAACCTCCACCTCCCGGGTTCAAGAGATTCTCCTGCCTCAGCCTCCCTAGTAGACTCACAAGCTCCCCACTTGTGAGTCTCCAAAGTCTGTTATACCTCTCAAAGATATGCCTTCTTGTACCCATAGCTTTGCTCTCATTTATAAGTGAGAACATACAGTATTTCATTTTCCATTCCTGAGTTAAATCACCTAGTATAATGGCCTCCAGCTCCACCCAAACTGCTGCAAAATACATTATTTCATTCTTTCTTCTGGCTGGGTAGTATTCCGTGGTGTATATATACCACATTTTCTTTATCCACTCATCATTTGATGGACATGGACACTTAGTTTAGTTCCATATTTTTGGTTGATGGGCACTTAGTTTGGTTCTATATCTTTGCAATTGTGAATTGTGTTGCAATAAACATATGCATGCAGTTGTCCTTCTGACAAATTGATGTCTTTTCACTTGGGTAGATACCCAGTAATGGGATTGCTGTATCAAACTGTAGGTCCAGTTTCGTTCTTTGAGAAATCTTCACACTGTTTTTCATAAAGGTTGTACTAATTTACATTTCCACCAGCAGTGTATAAGCATTCCCTTTCACCACATCCACACCAACATCTATTGTTTTTGTTTTGCTGAGACGGAATCTTGCTCTGTCTCCAGCCTGGAGTGCAGCGATGTGATCTCAGCTCACTGCAACCTCCACCTCCCAGGTTCAAGTGATTCTGCTGCCTCAGCCTCCCGAGTAGCTGAGACTATAGGCACGCACCACCCTGCCCAGCTAATTTTTGTATTTTTAGTAGAGACAGGGCTCACTATGTTGGCCAGGCTGGTCTCGAACCCCTGACCTCACTCAGGTGATCCAACCACCTTGGCCTCTCAAAGTGCTGGAATTACAGGTGTGAGCCACTGAGCCCAGCCAAGTTTTGCCATATTTCCCAGGCTGGTCTCAAACTCCTGGGCTCAAATGATCTGCCCACCTTGTCTCAAATGATCTGCCCACTTACAGGTGTGAGCCCCCACCAAATTATTAATATACTAATACTCTGCTGGAAACAAAAAATCTATGGACACCAGATTCAAGGACTTCAAAGGGCTCCACACAATGCATATCCAGGTTATGATATGCATTGGTTATGATAGCCAGAGGACACCTGGCTGTCTGAGAGCTGCAGCATAGCGCCCCCTAGCACCTAGTTGGGACTATGGGTTAATTCCAGGCTCAACCACTGCTTAGGAAGTGCACCCAGACCCAGTGATGGCCAGTCAAGCTTCTTAGGATGAGTAATGATACCATGATCATTGACATTTGGTTTAACTTCCTGACAGGTAGGTGTTCCTGTGGCAATGTCAAGAAAAAGATCATGCTAGAGTATATTACTTTGATATAGCCATATTACCAAAATTCAAATTTGGCCAATTTCCCCCTCCCTGCCCCAATTTTGCAATGTCTTATTTTGTCAGTAATTTGAATATTCACATTATTTTTTCATCTGTTTAAATAAACTGTAAACCTATCCTAGGTTTGTGTTAATAAGTCTGCCCACATCTTTCCTATAAGAAAATGTGTTTGCAAAAAATAAGAAAATATTCTTACATTTTCACAAGCAGAGCTGATATGTAAAATAGTTAAAAACTGGTACAGTTGAACACCAGTGAGTCAGAATGGCTGTGGCCAGGCCCATTCTGTACTATCAGGGTATCAAGGAGCAAGGAATTAGTGTTTATTGAGTACTTGCGAGTACTTTATGTGAGGTATGTAAACCACTTTTTAAGCACATAAACTGCTCAAGGTATTAGTTCCAAAGATGAAGAAAATAAGGCTCCATAAGATGAAGTTTCCCAAAGTTCTCACAGATAAATAAGGGCCTGGCAGAGTGGGATTCGAATCCATGCTCTTTTAACAATTCCAATCATCTGTTTCATAGGCAGAAAAGAGCCAGGGAAAGGGAAATATCAGGGATCTCTGTGAGCTTGGGTCTCAGCCTGCACCCTGACCACACCAACTGTCAGATATTGGCTCTATCTTCTTAAGAATGGAAAGATGTCGGCCGGGTGTGCTGGCTCACGCCTGTAATCACATCACTTTGGGAGGGCAAGGCGGGTGGATCACGAGGTCAGGAGTTTGAGACCAGCCTGACCAACACGCTGAAACCCCGTCTCTACTAAAAAAAAAAAAAAAAAAAAAAAAAAAAAAAAAAAAATTAGCCAGGCGTGGTGGCGCATGCCTGTAATCCCAGCTACTTAGGAGGCTGAGGCAAGAGAATTGCTTGAACCTGAGAGGCGGAGGTTGTAGTGAGCAGAGATCGAGCCACTGCACTCCAGCCTGGGTGACAGAGGGACACCCGTCTCAAAAAGAAAAAAAGAATAAAAAGATGTCAAGATGTCAAGCCCAATGAGAAGCTTTGGATTTCAGATGGGGAGACCTCCTTGCTCATAGCCTCTCCCTGAGGTATTCTGCAGACCTAGTAATTCCTTGAGTTCTGCCTTAGGAAGAAGATCTTACCCTTTCCCATCTCCACGCAAACCAATAAAAGCTTCCCAACTGTTCAATGCAGCAACATTAGGGCAATGATTCTCAAACTGAATCATGCAGCGGAATCCCCTGGAAGGCTCCTGAAAACACAGGTTGCTGGGCTTCATCCAGAATTTCTGATAAGGTAGGTCTGAGAATTTGCATTTCAAATAAGTTATCAGGTGATCCTAATACTGCTGTCGAAGAACAACACTTAAAATCACTCTTTTGAACTAGATATTAAGCTCTGATTTACCCCAAGTAAATGCTTTTCATGCTATAAAGATTTCATGATTTTATCTCCTTTTATCTTTTCTCATAGGAAAATTGGAAACAAAATTGTAATAAAGCAACCTAATAGCTAAATGACTCTCTAAAGTTTGTCTAGATAACTCTACCACTCAAAGATCATAATAATAGCCCCAATGAGACTCAGCCTTACAATCAGCTGGCCCTCTGACCTTTATGTACTGTCCTAAGGGTCACAGCGTCACTCTACCTCTGTTGTAGAAGAAGAACGATAGATCCAGCTTCAAAGAAGTTCCAGAGGGAATCTTAATATCTTAGTGGTGGAATGAACCTCAACAATCTAATCCACCCACCTCTTTCACCTCTGCAACCTTCTAGCCCTCCCCTCCATACCTTAATTTGAAAAGAAGACTTGAGATAAAATCACTTACCCAAAATCATGAAGTTAATGGCACGTATGGCAGATGTACCTACCAGCAGCAATAACTCAACTTAAGCATACCCTGAGAATGACCCTATGGTCTAAAAACAATGTGTGTTCAGAGCTGCGAGGTAAGGAATTCAAAAGTGACCAATCCAGAGATTAATTCATTATTTATGAGGAACATATGAACCCCCAGCCCATCCCATGGAATGCAGGCCATACAGGGGATTGAGGCTGTTTGTTTTGGGTTAAATGAAGTTTGTTAGGTAGGGGTTCCTAAGGAGAGGGTGCCAAGTGAAAATTCTGTATAAACAGCGTGATTTCTACAAATGGTAGTGGTTCTGCTGTCCAACCTACTGCCACTGGACTACCCTGTATGTAAGTTCCCTCAGTAAACTCCATGTCTCATTTGCTGGCTCTGGGTCCCTTCTTCAGCTTCTTGAACATGGTATCACCCTTACTGAAGTCAATAGGGGCCTGGTGTGACACGGCAACTCATATGGTTTGACTGTGTCCCCTCTGTCCCCAGCAAATCTCACCATGAATTGTAATCCCCATAACCCCTATGTGTCAAGGGCAGGACCAGGTGGAGGTAATTGGATCATGGGGGCAGTTTCCCCCATGCTGTTCTCATGATAGTGAGTGAGTCTCGTGAGATCTGATGGCATTTCCCCTGCTTGCGCTCATTCCATCCTGCCGCCCTGTGAAGAAGGTGCCTGCTTCTCCTTTGCTTTCCGCCAAGATTGTAAGTTTTCTGAGGCCTCCCCAGCAATGCAGAACTGAGTCAAGTGCTGGGATTACAGTAAATTCTATTTAATTTTCTAAAACTATCTGCATTTATTATTTTGACTGAAACATAAATATTGTCCCCACCATAACTAGAGACCACTCAATGGTACCATAGCTAATCTGACGTGAGATTAAATAAAATTTTGGTGACTAATTAAAAATAGGATTATCCTAGATTATCCAAATAGGCCCAACATAACCAACAAGGTCCTTAAAAGACTCATGAAGTAAACCTAACAATGCCATAAGTGTGACATTTTGGGACGAGGGAGAAATGTCAAGAGGCATTTTAGGCAACTTTCTACGTGATATGTGCTATGTAAAACTTAGTCTGGCCAGGCGTGGTGGCTCATGCCTGTAATCCCAGCACTTTGGGAGGCTGAGGTGGGCAGATCACCTGAGGTTGGGAGTTCAAGACCAGCCTAACCAACATGGAAAAAATCTGTCTCTACTAAAAATACAAAAGTTAGCAGGGCATGGTGGTGCATGCCTGTAATCCCAGCTACTCAGTAGGGCTGAGGCAAGAGAATCACTTGAACCCGGGAGGCAGAGGTTGCGGTGAGCCGAGATTGTGCCATTGCACTCCAGCCTGGGCAACAAGAGTGAAACTCCATCTCAAAAAAAAAAAAAAAATTACCCAGCTTTGTGCTCACTTCACCAGCACATATACTAAAATTGGAACAATACAGAGAAGATTAGCATGGCCCCTGGGCAAGGATGACATGCAAATTTGAGAAGCCTTCCATATTTTTATGAACAGAAAGGAATAGCATCAACATCAACAAAAAGGATGTCCACACAAAAACCCCATCTGAAGGTCACCAGCATCAAAGACCAAAGGTAGATAAATCTGTAAAGATGAGAAAAAAACAGCGCAAAAAGGCTGAAAATTCCAAACACCAGAATGCCTCTTCTTCTCCAAAGGATCACAACTCCTCGCTAGCAAGGGAAGAAAAAAACGGGACGCAGACTGAGTTTGATGAATTAACAGAAGTAGGCTTCAGAAGGTGGGTAATAAAAAAACTCCTCCAAGGCATCATGCTACCGGACTTCAAACTATACTACAAGACTACAGTAACCAAAACAGCATGGTACTGGTACCAAAACAGAGATATACACCAATGGAACAGAACGGAGCCCTCAGAAATAATGCCGCATATCTACAACTATCTGATCTTTGACAAACTTGACAAAAACAAGCAATGGGGAAAGGATTCCCTATTTAATAAATGGTGCTGGGAAAACTGGCTAGCCATATGTAGAAAGCTGAAACTGGATCCCTTCCTTACACCTTATACAAAAATTAATTCAAGATGGATTAAAGACTTAAACATTAAACCTAAAACCATAAAAATCCTAGAAGAAAACCTAGGCAATACCATTCAGGACATAGGCATGGGCAAGGACTTCATGTCTAAAACACCAAAAGCAATGGCAATAAAAGCCAAAATTGACAAATGGGATCTAATTAAACTGAAGAGCTTCTGCACAGCAAAAGAAACTACCATCAGAGTGAACAGGCAACCTACAAAATGGGAGAAAATTTTCGCAACCTACTTATCTGACAAAGGGCTAATATCCAGAATCTACAATGAACTCAAACAAATTTACAAGAAAAAAACAAACAACCCCATCAAAAAGTGGGTGAAGTATATGAACAGACACTTCTCAAAAGAAGACATTTATGCAGCCAAAAAACACATGAAAAAATGCTCATGATCACTGGCCATCAGAGAAATGCAAATCAAAACCACAATGAGATACCATCTCACACCAGTTAGAATGGCAATCATTAAAAAGTCAGGAAACAACAGGTGCTAGAGAGGATGTGGAGATATAGGAACACTTTTACACTGTTGGTGGGACTGTAGACTAGTTCAACCATTGTGGAAGTCGGTGTGGTGATTCCTCAGGGATCTAGAACTAGAAATACCATTTGACCCAGCCATCCCATTACTGGGTATATACCCAAAGGATTATAAATCATGCTGCTATAAAGACACATGCACACATATGTTTATTGTGGCACTATTCACAATAGCAAAGACTTGGAACCAACCCAAATGTCCAACAATGATAGACTGGATTAAGAAAATGTGGCACATATACACCATGGAATACTATGCAGCCATAAAAAATGATGAGCTCATGTCCTTTGTAGGGACATGGATGAAGCTGGAAACCATCATTCTCAGCAAACTATGGCAAGGAAAAAAAACTAAACACTGCATGTTCTCACTCATAGGTGGGAATTGAACAAGAGAACACATGGACACAGGAAGGGGAACATCACACACCGGGGACTGTTGTGGGGTGGGGGGAGGGGGGAGGGATAGCATTAGGAGACATACCCAATGCTAAATGACGAGTTAATGGGTGCAGCACACCAACATGGCACATGTATACATATGTAACAAACCTGCACGTTGTGCACATGTACCCTAAAACTTAAAGTATAAAAAAAAAAAAAACTCCTCCAAGCTAAAGGAGCATGTTCTAACCCAATGCAAGGAAGCTAAAAACCTCGAAAAAAGGTTAGAGGAATTGCTAACTAGAATAACCAGTTTAGAGAAGAAAATAAATGACCTGATGGAGCTGAAAAACACAGCAGGAGAACTTCATGAAGCGTACACAAGTATCAATAGCCAAATCGATCAAGCAGAAGAAAGGATATCAGAGATTGAAGATCAAATTAATTAAGTAAAGCATGAAGACGAGACTAGAGAAAAAAGAATGAAAAGGAGCAAACAAAACCTTCAAGAAATATGGGACTATGTGAAAAGACCAAACCTACGTTTGATTGGTGTACCTGAAAGTGACGGGGAGGATGCAACCAAGTTGGAAATCACTCTTCAGGATATTTTCCAGGAGAACTTCCCCAACCTAGCAAGACAGGCCAACATTCAAATTCAGGAAATATAGAGAATACCACAAAGAAACTCCTTGCAAAGAGCAACTCCAAGACCCATAATTGTCAGATTCACCAAGATGGAAATGAACGAAAAAATATTAAGGGCAGCCAGAGAGAAAGGTCGGGTTAAACACAAAGGGAAGCCTATCTGACTAACAGTGGATCTCTCTGCAGAAACCCTACAAGCCAGAAGAGAGTGGGGGCCAATAGCCAACATTCTTAAAGGAAAGAATTTTCAACCTAGAATTTCATATCCAGCCAAACTAAGCTTCATAAGTGAAGGAGAAATAAAATCCTTTACAGACAAGCAAATGCTCAGAGACTTTGTCACCACCCAGCCTGCCTTACAAGAGCTCCTGAAGGAAGCATTAAACATGGAAAGGAAAAACTAGTACCAGTCACTGCAAAAACATAACAAATTGTAAAGATCATCAACACTATGAAGAAGCTGGATCAACTAATGAGCAAAATAACCAGCTAGTATCATAAGGACAGGATCAAATTCAAACATAACAATATAAACTTTAAATGTAAATTGGCTAAATCCCCCAATTAAAAGACACAGACTGGCAAATTGGATAAAGTATCAAGACCTATCGGTGTACTGTATTCAGAAGACCCATCTCACATGCAAAGACACACATAGGCTCAAAATAAAGGGATAGAGGAATATTTACCAAGCAAATGGAAAGCCAAAAAAAAAAGAAAAGAAAAAAGCTGAGGTTGCAATCCTAGTCTCTGATAAAACAGACTTTAAACCAAGATCAGAAAAGACAAATAAGGGCATTGCATAATGGTAAAGGAATCAGTGCAACCAGAAGAGCTAACTATCCTAAATATATATGCACCCAATACAGGTGCACCCAGATTCATAAAGCAAGTTCTTGCAGACCTACAAAGAGACTTGGACTCCCACACAATAATAGTGGGAGACTTTAACACCCCACTGTCAATATTAGACAGATAAATGAGACAGAAAATTAACAGGGCTATTCAGGACTTGAACTCAGCTCTGGACCAAATGGACCTAATAGACATCTACAGAACTCTCCACCCCAAATCAACAGAATATACATTCTTCTCAGAACCACACTACACTTATTCTAAAATTGACAACATAATTGGAAGCAAACCACTCCTCAGCAAATGCAAAAGAACAGAAATCATAACAAACAGTCTCTCAGAGCACAGTGCAACCAAATTAGAACTCAGGATTAAGAAACTCACTCAAAACCACACAACTACATGGAAACTGAACAACCTGCTCCCGAATGACTACTGGGTAAATAACGAAATGAAGGCAGAAATAAAGAAGTTCTTTGAAACCAATGAGAGCAAAGACACAAGGTACCTGAATTTCTGGGACACGGCTAAAGCAGTGTTTAGAGGGAAATATATAGCACTAAATGCCCACAGGAGAAAGTGGGAAAGATCTAAAATCGACATCGTAACATCACAATGGAAAGAACTAGAGAAGCAAGAGCAAACAAATTCGAAAGCTAGTAGAAGACAAGAAATAACTAAGATCAGAGAAAAACTGAAGGAGAGAGAGACACAAAAAAAACCTTCAAAAAATTAGTCAATTCAGGAGCTGGTTTTTTGAAAAGATTAACAAAACAGATAGACCACTAGCCAGACTAATAAAGAAGAAAAGAGAGAAGAATCGAATAGACACAATAAAAAATGATAAAAGGGATATCACCACTGATCGAACAGAAATGCAAACTACCATCAGAGAATACTATATACACCTCTATGCAAATAAACTAGAAAATCTAGAAGAAATGGATAAATTTCTGGATACATACACCCTCCCAAGACTAAACCAGGAAGAATTAGAATCCCTGAAAAGACCAATAACAAGTTCTGAAATTGAGGCAGTAATTAATAGCCTACCAACCAAAAAAAGCCCAGGACCAGACGGATTCCCAGCCGAATTCTATCAGCGGTACAAAGAGGAGCTGGTACCATTCCTTCTGAAACTATTCCAAACAACAGAAAAAGAGGGACTCCTCCCTAGCTCATTTTATGAGGCCAGCATCATCCTGATACCAAAACCTGGCAGGGACACAACCAAAAAAAGAAAATTTAAGGCCAATATGCCTGATGAACATCGATGCAAAAATCCTCAATAAAATACTGGCAAACAGAATCCAGCAGCACATCAAAAAGCTTATCCACCACGATCAAGTCAGATTCATCCCTGGGATGCAAGGCTGGTTCAACATACACAAATCAATAAATGTAATCCATCACATAAACAGAACCAATGACAAAAAAAAGATGATTATCTCAATAGATGCAGAAAAGGCCTTCGATAAAATTCAACACCCCTTCATGCTAAACACTCTCAATAAACTAGGTATTGATGGAACGTATCTCAAAATAATAAGAGCTATTTATGATATCATACTGAATGAGCAAAAGCTGGAAGCATTCCCTTTGAAAACTGGCACAAGACAAGGATGCCCTCTCTCACCACTCCTATTCAACATAGTATTGGAAGTTGTGGCCAAGGCAATCAGGCAAGAGAAAGAAATAAAGAGTATTCAAATAGGAAGAGAGGTAGTGAAATTGTCTCTGTTTGCAGATGACATGATTGTATATTTAGAAAACGCCATCGTCTCAGCCCAAAAACTCCTTAAGCTATAAGCAACTTCAGCAAAATCTCAGGATACAAAATCAATGTGCCAAAATAACAAACATTCCTATACACCAATAATAGACAAACAGAGAGCCAAATCATGAGTGAACTCCCGTTCACAATTGCTACAAAGAGAATAAAATACCTAGGAATACAACTTACAAGGGATGTGAAGGACCTCTTCAAGGAGAACTACAAACCACTGCTCAAGGAAGTAAGAGAGGACACAAACAAATGGAAAAACATTCCATGCTCATGGATAGGAAGAATCAATATCATGAAAATGGCCATACTGCCCAAACGAATTTATAGATTCAGTGCTATCCCCATCAAGCTACCACTGACTTTCTTCACAGAATTAGAAAAACTACTTTAAATTTCATATGGAACCAAAAAAGAGCCCATATAGCCAAGATAACCCTAAGCAAAAAGAACAAAGCTGGAGGCATCATGCTACCTGACTTCAAACTACACTATAAGGCTCCAGTAACCAAAACAGCATGGTACTGGTACCAAAACAGATATATAGACCAATGGAACAGAAAAGAGGCCTCAGAAATAACGCCACACATCTACAACCGTCTGATCTTTGACAAACCTGACAAAAACAAGCAATGGGGAAAGGATTCCCTATTTAATAAATGATGTTGGGAAAACTGGCTAGCTACATGCAGAAAACTGGAACTGGACCCCTTCCTTACACCTTACACAAAAATTAACTCAAGATGGATTAAAGACTTAAACCTAAGACCTAAAACCATAAAAACCCTAGAAGAAAACCTAGGCATTACCATTCAGGACATAGGCATGGGCAAAGACTTCATGACTAAAACACGAAAAGCAATGGCAACAGAAGCCAAAATTGACAAATGGGATCTGATTAAACTAAAGAACTTCTGCAGAGCAAAAGAAACTATCAGAGCGAACAAGCAACCTACAGAATGGGAGAAAATTTTTCCAATCTATCCATCTGACAAAGAGCTAATATCCAGAATCTACAAGGAACTTAAACAAATTTACAAGAAAAAAAAACTCCATCAAAAAGTGGGCGAAGGATATGAACAGACACTTCTCAAAAGAAGACATTTATGTGGCCAGCAAACATATGAAGAAAAGCTCATCATCACTAGTCATTATAGAAATGCAACTCAAAATCACAATGAGGTAGTATCTCACGCCAGTTAGAATGGCGATTATTAAAAAGTCAGGAAACAACAGATGCTGGAGAGGATGTGGAGAAATAGGAATGCTTTTACACTGTTGGTGGGAGTGTAAATTAGTTCAACCATTGTTGAAGACAGTGTGGCAATTCCTCAAGGATCTAGAACCAGAAATACCATATGACCCAGCAGTCCCATTATTGGGTATATACCCAAAGGATTATAAATCATTCTACTATGAAGACACAAGCACATGCATGCTTATTGCAACACTATTCACAATAACAAAGACTTGGAACCAACCCAAATGCCAATCAATGATAGACTGGATAAAGAAAATGTGGCACATACACACCATGGAATACTATGCAGCCATAAAAAAGGATGACTTCATATCCTTTGCAGGAACATAGATGAAGCTGGAAACCATTATTCTCAGCAAACTAACACAGGAACAGAAAACCAAACACCACATGTTCTCACTCATAAGTGGGAGTTGAACAATGAGAACACATGGACACAGGGAGGGGAACATCACACCCTGGGGACTTTTGAGCGGGGTGGAGGGCTAGGGGAAGGATAGCATTAGGAGAAATACCTAATGTAGATGACGGGTTGATGGGTGCAGCAAACCACCATGACACATGTATATGTATGTAACAAACCTGCACGTTCTGCACATGTATCCCAGAACTTAAAGTATAATAAAAAAACTTACATTTTATTTAATTCTTTACTAAAAAATAATGAAGTCCATATAAAACAAAAAAAAGAAAAAGAAAATAAAAACAAAAATTACCCAGCTTTGGGAATTTCTTCATAGCAATGTGAAAATGAACTAATACAGTAGTTAAGTGTGTTTGCTAGTTTGATCTATTTACACAATTCTCCTTCTCTATTGGTAGTGTGTGTTTTTCTTATACACCTGGAAACAGAAAATGCCTATAGAAATATATCTGATAATTAACATAATGGTATTCAGTTTATGTAATACCTTAAAATAATCTTTTAAGATTATTTTAAGTCTATTATTATAGACTTTTCAAGCAGTCCAAAAGGTTTTCAGGGTCTGGAAGGGGAAGTGTGGGGCACATCCAAGAACCCACACTGTAGGCTCTCCCCATGTCAGTTGAAACCCCGATGATTCTGAATTTCTGTCTAATCTCCCTTTGACAAGATATAATTACAGATAATTTCTAAAACACCCTTTCTATCATCTTACTCTAGAATAGACCTACATGTTTTGCCACATCTTTTGTATTATCGTATCTTTTAAAGCCTTATTTTATTGCTTATTTCTCCTTATGGTAACAAAGGAGCAACCAAGTAGCATACAGGTCATTCCAACATGAGTTTTATGCTGCAGTTATAATGTAGACACCTAAACAACTCATTGTGACCGAGGCCTAATTAGAAACTAGCCTTAAAATGATCCCTCACAAGACAATAAATCCAACAGAACAATCAAAAGGGCTGGGCATGGTGGCTTACGCCTGTAATCCCAGCACTTTGGCATTAGGCAGGCAGATTACTTGAGGTCAGGAGTTCAAGACCAGCCTGGCTAACGTGGTGAAGCCCCATCCGCATAAAAATACAAAATTTAGCGGGGCGTAGTGGCATGCACCTGTAATCCCAGCTTCTTGGGAGACTGAGGCAGGAGAATCACTTGAACCCAGGAGGCAGAGGTTGCAGTGAGCTGAGACGGCACCACTGCACTCCAGCCTGGGCAACAGACCAAGCCTCCATCTCAAAAAAAAAAAAAAAAAGCAATAACCAGGTTAACCCTCATTCATCTATGATTTGTTAAATGTGAGTCATACCTGGATTAAGAAAATATGGCACATATACACCATGGAATACTATGCAGCCATAAAAAATGATGAGTTCATGTCCTTTGTAGGGACATGGATGAAATTGGAAATCATCATTCTCAGTAAACTATCGCAAGAACAAAAAACCAAACACCGCATATTCTCCCTCATAGGTGGGAATTGAACAATGAGATCACATGGACACAGGAAGGGGAATATCATACTCTGGGGACTGTTGTGGGGTTGGGGGAGGGGGGAGGGATAGCATTGGGAGATATACCTAATGCTAAATGACGAGTTAGTGGGTGCAGCGCACCAGCATGGCACATGTATACATATGTAACTAACCTGCACAATGTGCACATGTACCCTAAAACTTAAAGTATAATAAAAAAAAAAGAGTAAAGGAAATGAAAGCTACCATAATATAATAACAAAAAGTCAGTGCCTATGAGAGACAAAAAAAAAAAATGTGAGTCATACATCTTACGTTTAATCTGGAAGGCAAATCAGTCTCTTTCATTGATATATAAATAATGATAAAACTAACCTGCAAACTTGGCAACCACATAAAGTATTAAATCCAATGCATTTTTTTAAATCTAAACTTTTGTCTTCAGTCTTGAAGAATAAATGCTAATCAGAATGTCAGAAGTGCCTATTGAAAGATTTTTAGGGGTAAAGTAAGACATTTCAAAATAAATTAGCCAATGTAAAGGACCTACATCTTAAGATGGATCCTCCTAGTGCTCAGAGAACCTTCCCTGGGAACAGCTTTAGTACCACTATATCACTAATCAACAGATTGGCCCCACCTGGGAATCCTGACCTGCTGCTCCTCTTGCTAACCCAACAACATTAACCATCCTGTGCAATTTTTCCTCCAAGATATTTTCTAATTGAGGCCCTTATCCTCAAGGTGGCTCTCAGCTATCTATCTCACTCTTCCCATCACTGGGTAATAACTTTACCTCTGGCTAATACTCTTTCAATCTTTCTGTCCATTCTTCCATCACAAGGAACTGAATTATTATAATGTAACTCAGGCCAGAAAAATGGGATCCACTCAATGCTAACATCCTTAGTAACTCAATAGTTAATTTAGTAGCTAGAGAATTTCCTAATTATAAGTCTCGAAAGGTGAATGCAGACATCTTGCCTTTTTCTTGGGTATATTTAATCATATTTCATAGATACAAGATAATAATTCTTAAAGTGTAGCTGTAAGAGAAGGCAAATACAAATATTTTATTCTTCCTCTGTATTTTATCTCTCTGAAATCTACGCCTTAGAAATCCATTTTTCCTTATTAAAATTTTGGCTCCTTTTTTTCATGTGATTACTCACTCATTTGGAAACAGAAAGAGTCGAAATTAAGTCAGCTCCAGAGGGTTATGCTTTGAATTTTGTAGCCTGTATAATAACAGCAAATACTTATATATTTAGGTTGGTGCAAAAGTAATTGTGGTAAAAGTAATGAGAAAAAAAAAACGCAATTACTTTTGCACCAACCTAATAGCATTACTGTGATTTATTATGTACCAGGCCCTGTTAAAGCTTATATTTAATCACCACAACTCTAAAACATAGTACCATTATTATTATTCCCATTTCGTGAATGAGGACATTAGGCCGCAGAATAATTTTCCCAAGATCCCATGACTTAATAAGAGGTCATGTCAGGATTAAAATCCAGACAATCTGGCTGCAAATTCTGTACTCCCCGTCACAACACTGCATTTCCTCTGCATGGAAATTTACTCCTTCAGTCTTAACCCAGTGCCCACTAGAAAAAGTCTGGCATGTTTTAATATAAATACCTCACCTACTAAATTGCTGCCAGTCCCTCAGATATCTTTTTTTATAACAGCTGCATTGAGACACAATTTGATTTCCATAAAGTTTACCCTTTTAAAGTATATGATTCAGTGGCTCTTTGTTTATTCACATAGTTGTGTAATCATCACCACAAACAATTTCAGAACATTTTTATCATCCCCAAAATGAAACCTCATACCCGTTGGCAATCACTCCCATTTCTCCCCCGTAACTCCAGCCCTAGACAGCCATTTATCTATCTCTATGGACTTGCCTATTCTGGACATACATATATGCCTATTTATATAAAGAGACTCATAGAATTTGTTGTCTTTGTAAATAGCTTCTTTCACTTTACATAGTGCTTTTAGGTTCATCTATGTTGTAGCGTATATCGGTACTTAATTTCTTTCTATTGCTAAATAAATTCTACTGAATGGATATATCTCATTTTGCTTATCCATTTATCAATTGATAGACATTTGGATTGTTTCTACCTTTATGGCTATTATGAATAATGCTGGCATGAACACTTGTGTACAAGTTTTTGCATTAAATATACTTTCATTTCTCTTGGGTATATACCTAGAAGTGAAATTGAAATTGCTGGATCACATGGTGACTCTATTTTAACATTTTTAGGAACTCTCAAACTGTTTTCAAGGTGATTGTGCCATTTTGTAGTCCTACTAGCAAAATATAAAAGTTCCAATTTCTCCACATCCTTGTCAACACTTATAGATACAACATTTATATAATCTTTTTTTTTATTATAGCCATCCTAGTGGGTGTAAAGTGGCATTTCATTGTGCTTTTGATTTGCAGTTTCTTAATGACTGATGACGTTGAATATCTTTTCAAATGCTCATTGGCTATTTGTACAACTTCCTTGGGGAAATTGCTATTCAAATCCTTTGCCACTTTTTTTTCTTTTTGGTCTGTGTTATTGCTAATACCTTTGCCACTTTTTAATTGAGTTACTTGTCTTGTTTTTGAGTTTTAAGAGTTCTTTATATATTCCACATACAAGTCCCTTATTAGATATATGATTAGAAAATATATTTTATCATTTTATGGATTGTCTTTTCATTTTATTAATGGTATCTTTTGAAGCACAAAAGTTTTTAATATGGATGAAGTTCAATTTATCTTTTTTCTTTTGTCTCTTGTGCTTTTAGTGTCATATCTAAGAAGCCAAGGTCACAAAGATTGGCTCCTTTGTTTTCTTCTAAGAATTCTTAATAGTTTCAGCTCTTATCTTTAGGTCTATAATCCGTTCTGGGTGAGTTTTTATGCATGATGTACGGAAGTGATTCCACTTCATTCTTTTACATGCTACTATCTTGTTGTCTCAGCACTTACTTGTTCAAATATTGTTTCCCTTATTTCATTGTCTTGGCACCATTGTCAAAAATCAGTTTACAGGCCAGGAATGGTGGATCACACCTGTAATCCATGCATTTTGGTAGGCTGAAGCAGGCTGATCGATTGAGTCCAGGAGTTCAAGACCAGCCTAGGCAACATGGTGAAACTCTGTCTCTACAAAAAATACATAGAAATTAGCTAGGCATGGTGATGCATGCCTGTAGTCCCAGCTACTTAGGGGGCTGAGGTTGGAGGATTGCTTGAGCCCGGGAGGTGGAGGTTGCAATGAGCCGATATCATGCCACTGCACTCCAGCCTGGGGACAGAGAGGGACCCTGTCTCAAAAAAAAAAAAAAAAAATCAGTTGAACATATTTTTGGACTTTCAATTCCATTCCATTAATTCCCTAGATATCTTAATTCAATCTGATGATAATTCATAAAGACCTTAACATCAAGATTGGTTTGATCTTAGGAAATGTGTCTTGCAAAGCCTGTCACCCTTGAGCAATCTCTCAGGAAAGGAAAAGAAAGACAGGAAGATTGCGATTTCCAAATTCTACCTTGAACGTACGACTGATATGAGATCAATGCAATATTATTAACTGAATGTAACAATAAATAATTTCTTGAGCCTAAAGGAAAAATATCTGGTCAAACTGTTTAATTACTGCAACATTATGATGTTATGGAATACATCTAGGGGAGGATTATATCTTCCATCTTTAAATAAAAATCTGCTTTTACTTATTTCCTTCATAAGAGATAGTTTCCAAGCCTCTCTAGAAAATTAAATCCATGACTATAATTTATAATAAATATTTGTTTTGATCCTCAATCTTGGCTGTCAGTCTGATTATTACAATGTTGAGTTTGACAGAATAAAAACAGTAAGGACAAGTGAGAGTCTCAATTATTTAATTGACTTGATGAGTCTTAGAATTTGATAGGACTTTGCACATAGGTCTTCTGAGAAACCTCCCCCTTCCCCTACAGTAACATGTCATGTAAAAGACAGCATAATAGGAGAGATTCCCAGAGAGAGAAAGAATCAGGAAAGAATGTTACCTGGAGTGACGTCACTCAATTATTCTCTGAGGTGGAAAGAGAGATGGGCACAGAACATCAGCCATCCTTTCTCTTGGACTGATAAAGATAGAACCTGGCAAAGCTTTGAAAATAACACCCACATGAAGATAAGTTAAGGCCATACAGATTCCTTCAAAGTGACTGTGCCATTTTGTAGTCCTACTAGCAACATACAAAAGTTCCAACTTCTCCACATCTTTGTCAACACTTAAAGATACAACATTTATATAGTCTTTTTTATTATAGCCATGCTAGTGGGTGTGAAGTGGGATTTCATTGTGCTTTTGATTTGCATTTC
Source organism: Homo sapiens (assembly GCF_000001405.40). Classification (NCBI taxonomy): domain Eukaryota; kingdom Metazoa; phylum Chordata; class Mammalia; order Primates; family Hominidae; genus Homo; species Homo sapiens. The sequence goes on from NC_000002.12 coordinate 182,886,291, forward strand.
TTTTGCACTTTGAAGGCCATACACAATATCTTTTTTTCTTTCTTTCTTTTTTTGAGATGGAGTCTCACTTTTTCACCCAGGCTGGAGTGCAGTGGCACAATCTCGGCTCACTGCAACCTCCGCCTCCTAGGTTCAAGCGATTCTCCTGCCCTAGCCTCCTGAGTAACTGTGATTACAGGTGCACGCCACCACGCCCAGCTGATTTTGTATTTTTAGGAGAGACGGAGTTTCACCATGTTGGCCAGCTGATCTCAAACGCCTGACCTCAAGTGATCCACCCCCTCCGCCTCCCAAAGTGCTGGGATTACAGGCATGAGCCACCGCGCCCAGCCTGCAGTACACAATTTCTATAAATTCTTCATCTCTCTTGATAGAAGTTCCAATGTTGACTTATCACTAGTAATTGCCAAACAAAAACAATTTGAATTCTTTAAATATTTTGCAAGAGTATGAAATAGCATCTCTTTTTTTAGATTTCCTTTTTTCCAGTTTTGAAACTAGAACAAATTTAATTTGTAAGTAAAATATAATCTGCTTTGAATAAAAACATTCAAAGATCTCCCAAGAGGGCATTGGAGTGGAACGTCCACTGGAGTCCATTTATACTGTTTTATTTTAATGTTTCTGATGATGATAATCACGGTGATTAACACAATGAAAATACAGCTATTAAGGTCTAGAATACTGTGTCTAGTAGGACCAAACTGGACAGGATACAGAAGAAACTATGAAGCCTCTTTGGGGAAGGAAGTGGAATATAATATCTGAGGAAGGTTTAAAATAATATTGTTATTCTGAAAAAGTTAATTCATCCAATTCATTCATTGAACATTTATTGCTCACCTTCTAATTACCAGACAATTTTAGGGTGCTGAGATAACGCAATAAACAAAGCAGGGTCTGGGCCATCATAAAACTTAAACTCTAATAAGTTTACTTTACAAGATGGAAAGAACTATAAACAAGTCGGTCCTATATCTTCACTGAGGGAAAACTAAGTTACGACATTGTTTATGTTACAGTGGAGAAGATTTACACCAGATTTGAAGAATGTTCTAGTGTAGCGGTTGGTAAATTCCTGAACTTGATTTTTTAAAAATTAAGTTACGTAGAATGAGAGAACACTTTTCTCTTCAAAGGGTTTAGATGACACCACCCTGCGAGCCAGGCCATATACATCAGTTTTCTTCAGAAAGGCCATAAACCTAATGTGCAAGGAGGGAGGTTGGGAGACAGGGCTTTAAAAGAACTGGCAGGTGGAATACAATTAATTGGGCATTTTTGATAGTGCCTATAAACTGCTTTTGAAAAACTGCTTACATTTCACCAACGTATGTCAATGTTGGCATATATTTATTTAGTCATTTTTCATTTTGTAAGAGCCTAAATGTGTATATTTGAAATAATTATTTGTCCTGCAGGTGACACATTTGATGTTTCATTTCACCAAGTTGTAGGTCCATATTTTCATTTTATTTTTGTTTCTCATCTCACATTATCCATGAACAAGCATTTTGCAGAAAATTGCATTTTCCTTTTCTAGGTATAAACAATTTTTAACTGCAAGTAACTGTAAAACACTATGCCAGGTTTGCATAGGCTTCAAGGAACTCTCTGTCATTTGGTGCCACATCAACAATTGGTGCTGCCTAGTGTTAAAAATATCATTTCTGGCGGAAGTTTCAGTGGGGAACTCTACAGTGTTTTACACCTGCTGTGCATTTTGTTTTCGAGCCTGTTTTTCTCTGAAGAATGGGGTAAAGCCAACAACAGGCTAAAATTTTCCCTAAAGTATTTAAGAAGAACCAAACAGAAGGCTGGAAAATTATAACACTTAATTCACAGTAAGACTATGACAAAGGAACTAAAAGCAGTCAAGAAACGACTTTACATAGAAAAGGGTTTGGTCACATGTAGAAAAGAAAAAATCATGCAAATAGACTGCCAATCAATTGCTTCTATCTAGCTATGACTAGCTCTAGGTTCTGTTTATAAATGAATTTATTCTATCTTTTTAATAAATGTAATGTTCCTTAGGTATTCACACATTCCATGTTTCAACCTAAATGCAAATTTACTTTTTCTTTCCTGAATATAGAGAATGACGATTTGTTTCATTTCACATATAGATCTAAAAATATATAAATTACATATTTTCTTTGCTCTGGTAAGTGGATATAACCAATATTACTATTATATCACTATGGTTACTATATACGATTGAAATAAATTATTAAGAAAAAGGGCAGAGAAAAATGTTTGATGGCTTCCCATGATCAATACAGTATGAACCCCCAAGACAGAGAAAGACAGATGTGGAAAGAACAAAGGAAATGAAAAGAAGTGTAGCAAAACAAGATTGAAGGATGCTAGGGATGAGCTTAATGTTAATGGGGAAACAAGAATGTATTTCCACAGAGAGGAGGAAACACCCACTCTTCTCCCCAGGACTAAAAACAACATGGGAGGAACCTGAATGGAGGTTTTTTCAGACCTGTAAATCTGAGCGAAGGAGGACATCTGGGTTTTCCTCTCTCCTTTGGAACTCTTAAACACTTTTCAGGTGCCCTGTGTGGTCACTTCTAGGGATGGCTCAGCCTGCAGAGGAGCCCTGCAGTGGTCCAGCACACCCATGACTGGGTGCTTAATTCTTATTAATCCTGGGATCTAAAATTAGCAAGACCCGTTAGTCACATATCTAAAGCCACATTCTCCAACCAACTTTATATTAGTAATAATATCAATCAGTTAATCTGCTGTGACTTTTATTTCAATTAGTTTTTAATTTGGATTGGTAAAAGAGGTGTTTATTTACCGGGCCCCTTCAAGATTTACCAGGAGTCTAATTTCATCCCGTTGCCCTCAGGGACCGCTGCATACTCCTAGAGTCTAGTTCCTCTATAGTGTGGATGATAATGAGACCTCTGTGCAGGTAATGAGGCTCTGTGCAAGCCATCTTAAGGAGACAGCACCAAAAAGAATACAATTCCAAAGAGATGCTGTGATCCTAAAGTACTATTCTTTACAATAATATTGGTTACTTTTTCTGAATTTTATTTTTAACTGACAAATAATAATTGTATATATTTAGGGTAAAATGTGATGTTTTGATATGGATATACATTGTGGAATGATCAAATCAGGCTAATTAATATATCCATTACCTCAAATACTTATCATTTCTTTGTGGTGAGAACATTTCAAATGCATTCTTTTAGCAATTTTAAAATATACAATGCATTATTATTAATAATAGCCACATGCTGTGTAATAGATCACGAAAACCTATTTCTCTTGTCTCACAAACTTTGTACCCTTAGGCCAAGTGCTCCCTTTTCCCATGTACACCCACCTCCCCAGTCTCTGGTAACCACCATTGTGCTCTCTACCATGATGAGATCGATGTTCTTAGGTTCCACATATAAGTGAGATCATGTGGCATTCGTCTCTCTGTACCTGTCTTATTTCACCTAACATAATGTCCTGTAGGCCCATCCATGTTGTTGCCAATGACAGAATTTCCAGTTTTTTTAAAGGCTGAATAGTATTTCATCCTGTATGTATGTATGTGTGTATATATATATATATATATATATCACATTTTTAATCCATTCATCTGTTGATGAGCACTTCGGTTGTTACCATATCTCGGCTGTTCTGAATAATGCTGCAATGAACATGGTAGTTCAGACATGTCTATGACATACTGATTTCAGTTCCTTTGGATATATGGCCAGAAGTGGAATTGCTGGATCCCTAGTGGTTATTTTTATAAATAGTATCACAAAGAACAAATAAGTCACAGAATAATAGAATATAAAATACTGTTTACCAAGGCATAAACTCTCACAATTTTTTTTCTCTCATGTATATCATGACCCCTCCCCAACCAATTTTCCTCTCTTATTACCTGTTCTTTGCTTTTCTACAGACAAAAATGCCCTGGAGATTAAGTACTACATACATATAAGATAAAACAGATGGTGCACTGAATAACCCCCATTCCCTGCATCCCTCAGAAAACCCAGGACTGAAGTTGCTTTTGACATACTGTATGTTTTTTATAAGGCCAAAGGTGTATTACACATTTTTATAATGTGAGTATTGTTGGGAACCTGATACGTACTGTGGTTAACGCCATAAAATATTTGAAGATTCTGAGGCAAGGTCCGTGAAAACGGCTGAGCGTTTCAGTGAATCTGCTTGTAATTCAACATGTGTCCTTCCAGGTTTGTAATACTGTCACCAAGACTCTCCTGCTTGTTTTATTTGCAACTCCCCACTGATAAAAGTAATGAATTCCAAGCGTGTTCACATGAGCCTGTGAACCAAGACTTAAGTCATAAATATGTTCCCTGGTGATATGGAATGGTTACAAAATCGTTATGTTTTGGGATAAAAATGTCTATATACTTCCATTATTAATTAGTATTATACAATGTTTATGAAGATTTATAACTGGGTAATCTCTAACTGATTTCTCCCAATTTCTTTTTTTTTTTTTTAAGAGTGTGTCCACACATAAATATGTATTTACTAGGTAACAATAACATGTAATCCCAAAGGGAGTGGTGATTAGCATTAAGGCATTCTAAAATCCTTCATTGTTTGAAAGGATTATTTGCTTGTCTAATTATTGACATTAGACTGTGTGAGGTGAAATATGTCCTTCAAAATGTGTCTCAGGTAGCCACTACAAAAACAATAGCGCACATAACTTAAACTAATAAAGGAGAACATACCCGAGGAGCAGAGAAAAACTGAAAGTAAAAACTTCAAAATGAATCTTTTTTCTTGAGAGTGGGCATAGTCTGGAAATGATTTACAGTTGCAAATGTTCCAGAGGTTGCAAAAGCCCTCCACCCTTGTGACCTTCGAACCCCATTTGCTCACCAAACCCAAGGTTTCTCTCTCTCTCTCTCCTCCTTCTTCTTTATATCTCACTATGCATACATATATATATACACAGATCTATATACTCAGTTCTTTTTATGGTCTCTACTTATTTTTAGATCAATACTATAGCTACATTTTAAGTTCTTAAAAGACATTTCTATGATTGAATCTATAAACTAATAAAGAAATTTGACAAGTTAACAAAAAGCTAAGCTGAGTATAACTGAATTTTGACCTACCTGGTTGTTTGCACAGGGTGTTAGGATTTTAAATATCTATTTTCAATGGTAAACCAACTCTCAATGAAATTTTTGTAGCTTAAATCACTATTTGATCAGAAGTATATATTAATTTTTTCATTGGTGATAATTTAGGGTAGAAAGAGGAAGGAGAAAAAAGGCAGGTCATGGAGACATAGAGAAACTGTCCGGGATTGGGAATTAGTTTGCAGCAGAAACAGGGAGAAGGAAAGAGCCTTCCCAGCCAGTTTCATCAGCTATTTATCATCACTACCTTCTTCCTTCTTTCTAACTCTGATTAGATCGTCCTGATTTGACAAATTAATCATCCTAAGGTTAGGATTAGATTCCATGTCTCATTACTATGGCCTCTAGGAAAGACAAGACAGTCTATACTTGTGAATGATGCAATAAACCATAGCTAATATCTGCCTGTAGCCTCTATTTATGAAGCACAGCTTGATAGGAAGAGAAGACTGGAGCTTTAAAATTGAATTAAATGAGCAAAAACAACTCTTTAGACAGACGTTCTATTCTAGAGAAAAAGATCTTTAATGTTTAATTTATAAAACTCTTCAAACTCGTGAATATCCAGCAACAAATTTTATACCTATTTGATTGATTTAAAGTAAATTAATTAGAAAAGCTTTAGACTTAGACTTCCCATTGCAGTATGATTAATTTACCAATCTAAATTTAAGATTCTGTAACAAATTATTCACATTATTTCCCCAAAACCCATTAAATATTACGTTGACTTGAAAATTCTCCTAGACTGCCGTTTTGTTTAACTTGCCATATTTTTGTGTATGGAATGAATGCTCTTTGGTGGATGCATATTATGCAGTTTTTTTCCACGTAGACATAAAATATCAAATAGCTAAACTTAAGTAAAACCTGATTGCTACCAATTAGAGGTTCTTTAGTGTAATGTTTTGAAAATGTTCTAGAATTTACAACCTCTGAAAAAATAAGCTTTTTGCCAAAGTCAGTATTGCTGAATTTGCCTAGTCCTAAAGGGATAATGCAGGGGTTATCTCCCTAAAGATTCAGAAAGCAAACAAACAAAAACTTAGATTAATTATACCAGAAGTTCTGGAGCTCATTCATTTCCTTTTAGTTTTGTTGAGTGGCAACGACATGAAGTGAATGTTAAAATTTATGAAAACAGTCATAGGATTTATCTTTTTTATGTGAGAGCAATTATGACACTTCAGATATGTTCTGATGTTCAACTTAATCTTTCCAGAAAAAAGGCTTTTGGAAGAAAATCTAACACTGCTAATAATGAAATCAGATGCTTTGACTAGAAGAGTCTTAAAACGACCTATTCCACCAAATGCCTTATGCTCCTTTCCTGCTCAATGGAACACATCACTTGTTATTGGAATAAAATTATAACTAAATAACTTTAACACTAGGATTTTCTGTAGATCTTTATCCTTAGGATAAGCACATGGACAATTTCAGCCCTGTAACTGACTGCAATAAAAAGAACAATTTGGGCCAGGTGCAGTGGCTCATGCCTGTAATCCCAGCACTTTGGGAGGCCAAGGTGGGTGGAACATGAGGTCAGGAGTTCAAGACCAGCCTGGCCAAGATGGTGAAACCCCGTCTCTACTAAAAATACAAAAATTAGGCTGGCACAGAGGCAGATGCCTGTAATCCCAGCTACTCGGGAGGCTCAGGCAGGAGAATCGCTTGAACCCAGGGGGCGGAGGTTGCAGTGAGCTGAGATCGTGCCACTGCACTCCAGCCTGGGTGACTTAGTAAGACTCTGTCTCAAAATAAATAAATAAATAAATAAATAAATAAATAAATAAATAAATAACTATTTGGCTTATTTAACGAAGTGTTTGGTCATTACTTTCTCCTTTGAGGCACACAGGAGCAGAGAGTAGCTGTATAAAACTGAAACCACTCTTTGAGGTTACGAAAAATGAATGTGATGGGACACATACCCTAATGAGTTTTATTTTCCTACAAGTGATAGGAAGGAGACAGGAGACAGACACATTCCTATGTAGTCAAGGACAGGTTCCCAGTGAAACCCAACATTCACGTTAAAGAGAGCCTGAAGCCAGAAAACCGAGCTGCCAGTTTCGGGTGGAATACACCACCAGAGTGAGAATTTCCTCCATGCCTTGTAGCCAATGGAATGGTGCTTTTTCCAGGCCTGACCATGGACCAATCAGCATGCACTCCCCCATTCTGAACCCATAAAAACCGTAGACTCAGCCTCACAGATGGCTACCTGATTTCGGGTTTCCTCTCACACAGAGGGCTACCCACTTCAGGTGCCCTCTCATGTCAAGAGCTTTTCTGCTGCTCAATAAAATTCTTCTCTGCTTTGCTCACTCCCCGGTGTCCACATACCTCATTCCTCTTGTTTGTGGGACAAGAACTCGGAACCGCGGAATGGCAGGTGCAAAAAGAGCTGTAACATGCATTCCTGTTCCCCAAGCTAGGAAGTGGAAAAACCACTGGGCAGCATGCATCCCCGTTCACCAAGCAGCGGGTGGCAGGAACAAACGAGCTGTAACACACCCCCATCCGCCAAGCTGTGGGCATCAGAGAGAGCTGTATCACACCCCCGTTTGCCTAGCTGTGGCATAAAGAAGCGAAGCAGTTGGGTGCCATTCCCTCCTGGCTGGCTTGCCAAACTACAAAATCCACATTTCTTGGGGGCTCAGACCTCAGGACTCCCTGAGTGAGAGGTGTGACACCCACTGGGGCTCTGTGGTTGCTGGCATCCCTGAGTTTTCAGTTGCCACCGCATTCCCCGCATCTAGACTTTTGCACCCAATGTGAAAGCCACCCATGGCACACCTAGTCCAGCTGAGGGCTGAGGGCAGAGTCCCTGTTTGGATGCGGGATCTGGGCAGGGGCACAAGCTGAGCCCAGCCTGCGGGCCGAGTGGGTAGAGTGAGCCCCAGGCGCCGAGTGAGGCCCTGAGCAGACGCCACAGCAGCTGCAGAGATTTCTGGCTGGTGAAGTGGCACTGAAGGAATCCTGTAATACCAGGAAGTGTTCCAACCATAACATAACATGATGTGAGCACCAAGTCAGGGACCTTCAGAGGAAGGAGAGACTGAACTCCATCTATCTTGTTTCTTCGGTATGGTACCTTAAATACCATGGATGTTCAATAAGTGTAGATTGTAAGAATGAGTGAATGAGAATTAGTGAGTGAATGAAAAAATAGAACATGTGCCTTTTTTTTTTTTTAGTTTAGCAACTTTTGTTCTTTCAGAATATTCTGAGATAAAAAATAATGCTTTTTTAAATTTCACAGCACATTTTCCTAGTGAGGTCAAATCCAAGGTAAAGGGAAGAAATAAAGCAGCCCTTGGAAGTCACCGTCTGTGCCCTTCATAGCGCTTCAGAGAGGACCCAGAAGGTCAGAGGGGCTGCTTAGACCCAATCTCCAGCATTAGGAGGTACCCAGAGTCTTGGTGTCCAGCCTTCCCCTAACTCATGCTTCTTCAAAGAGGCATAAGAAGTGGGCTGGGGCTGAGACTTATTTTTTGAAGTTTTAATCAAAGCCCTGTAGAGAGTTGGCTGAGGATCCTCAGACCCCTAACATTCTCTCCCTGTTTAATCCATGCTCCCCAACCACCACCACCACACCAAGGGTCCTTCTGCTCTTGGACTGTATGCCCCTTCCATAGAACCCATTCTATTCTTTGCTCCAAGCCAACACACAGCTGTTTCTCAATACTGCTAAATTAAACTAAATTTGGCCAAGGCCACCTCCTTACTTTGTTTCTGCCTCCTTACTTTGTTTCTGCCTCCTTACTTTGTTTCTCTGTAGCAAACTGCGGCCTAATAGCACATAAACAAAATGCAGGCTAACACTTGAGTAGCAAGTAGCTGAATCTCAGCAAATTATAGTAGCCAAACTTCAGCCAATTACAGGCTGCCAACTAATCAGTCCATGCCCAAATAAGGCAAATGCCAAGCTGTAACCAATCAAGCTGTTTCTGTACATTATTTCCTTTTTCTGTCTATAAATATTGCCTGCCACGTTGTTCCACATTGCTGGATAGAGCTCTCTGAATCTCCTGGAAATCCTCATCTCCATGATTTCTAATTTTTTTCTTTTTTTTGCGGGGGGACGAAGTTTTGCTCTTGTTGCCCTGGCTGGAATGCAATGGAATGATCTCAGCTCACCGTAACCTCCATCTCCCGGGTTCAAGCAATTCTCCTGCCTCAGCTTCCCAAGTAGCTGGGATTACAGGCATGCATCACCACGCCCAGCTAATTTTGTATTTTTAGTAGAGACGGGGTTTCTCCATGTTGGTCAGGCTGGTCTGGAACTCCCCATCTCAGGTGATCCGCCTGCCTCGGCCTCCCAAAGTGCTGGGATTACAGGTGTGAGCCACCGCGCCCGGCCCAGGATTTCTTAATGTTGAAGGGCTTCATGGTTCAGTCCTGGTTCTGAATGCTGTCCAATTCATGAATCATTGGTCAAAAAAACTCTGTTAAATTTAATTTGTCTAAAGATTTTCTTTTAACAACACATGCTCTCTGCTCTGGCCAAGCTGATATATAAGCATGATCTTCGTGAACTCTTCCTCAACCCTGGCAGCCTGCAGTAACTGCACTTATCACAGCTATGTTACTTAATCATATTAACCCTTAATGTGTATGCATATATTAATTTCTGGTGCTTCAAGGTTGAGGGCCGTACCCTAACTATTTATATCCCACTATTCTTTGCAGTGTTTTGTTCTCATAGTAGCTTATTCGTATTTGTAATCAAAATGAGAATATATTCTTTTCCTCTGGAACTGCCTTCTGTATCTTTTTTATTTAAGGCATGTTAATTCAGAGCAAAGACTTTCTGAAACATTATGTGATAGTTGTAGAACAAGAGGTAGCCTCCTTGTTATGCAGAAGAGTCAGCTAAGTAATTTCTCCACCCAGAAAATTCACCACTCTCATAGATATGAAGGAGGTCAAGTGTAAATTTTCTCTGTAAAACACAATTACAACAAATCCAGTTTACATAACCAACATCACATAACCGTCATGTGGTCATGGAGGTGATGATGATGGTGGTGGTGGTGATGGCAGACCATTTGGATACCCTAGAAGATGACCCTCAGAATCCTCATCTCCATAATTTCTTAATGTTGGAAAGCCTGAGTTCAGTCTTTGATACGCTTCTTTTCTCTATACTCACTCCCTTGGTGACTTCATCCAATCTCACAGCTTTATATTCTATCTAAAAACTGTTAATGTCCAGATTTATGTCTCTAGGCCAGATCTTGCCCCTGAACGCTACTCCACATTTCCACTGGGATATCTAATAAACATCTTAAATTTAACATGCCCTAAACTGTGCTCCTGATCTTTCACCACCACTTCCACCCCAAAACAAAATAATGAAAAATTTAAAAACTGGCCCACTAACAATCTTTCCAATCTCAGTTATGGTAGTTCCTTCCTTACAGTTGTTCAGGCTGAAATCCTTGGAGTCATTCTTCCTTTTAACTCCACCTTCAAAATATGGAAAATTCTGGCCATCTGGCCATCTCTCCATCTCTCATTACTCCATGTTAGCCCAGTGGCTCAAGTCTAGATTATTGCAGTAGCCTTCTAACTAGTCTCCCTGCTTCCATTTTCAGCTCCTTACAGACTAATCTCAACACAGAAGTCAAAATGATACTTTAAAAACATAAATTAGATCAATGTGACTCCTTCAATGTCCTTTACTTTCACTTAAAGCAAACATCAAAGTCTACAGTGGCCCACAAGACTCTACATGATCTACCTCTTCCCTCTGTTCTCTGACTTCACCCCCACTACCCGTCCCCTCATTCATTCCACCTTAGCACATATGTTTCTGGCTGTGTTTTGAACACATTGGGAATGAGAATGCTCCTGAGTCATTGATTTTTCCCTTGCTGATCCCTTGGTCTGCAGTACTCTTTCTCCAGATGTCCATGTGACTCACCCCTATACCTCTTTAATGTTTTCACTTAAATGTTAACTTCTCAATGGAACCTACCCTGACTACCCTATTTGAAAAGGTAAACACCCAATCCCTTGGCCCTCTTTATCCCTCCTCTTCCACTAATTTATTTTTCCCCATAACTCTCATCACCTTCTACATAATTCGTGTATGTATTTTATTGTCTACTTTCTTCCCCTAGAATGTAAATTCAAATGAAGACAGTGATATATCCATTTTGTTCTCGTGCCTATGAAAGAGCCAGGCACCTTATAGGCATTCAAAAAATATATGTTGCAAGAATTAATTAATGAATGGCTGAATCATTCATTAATTAGGTCATAATACAGTCTTAATTAAGTCATAATACAGTCTTCACTCACTGTAACATAAAGGAACAGCAACATTAGAAGTTACTCAAAACTCCACCAAATATATACCATCTTGACCTTGGGTAAATCATTGAACTTCTCTGACCCTCGGTGTTCTCATCTGTAAAACAGACATAATAGTCCTTTCTCATTCTATATCAAAAGGCTGTTCTGAGGGTAAAATAAGATAAATGGTAAGATGAAAATGGTATAAACCTTAGGTAAGTTCTAGCCTTAACAATGTCAAACAAGTAATTTTAATAATAAAATTTCAGGGATAAGTCAACTCAGTTCCTGAATTTCTTTATTGAACTTATTGTCTGTTTGACTTACTTAGCATTTTATCACATAATAGTCTAAAAAATTTCCATTAATTTCATTTATGTTTACTCCTTCAACTTTTCAAGCTTGTCCATTAAAATGAGATTTTTATTATTGCTTTTATTGTCTTATTATAGTAAAATTTCTGAAGGACAAATTTTGTGATATATATTTTTATACTTCTCTTTTATATAGGTTGTCATACACATTTGATTGTTACATTTTTGTCAAGTGAACTTATTGGATCCCTAGAAAAGTGAGCCGTGGTGAAAGTGGCTCATAAATACTGGCTTGTAGAACTCAGGTCCAACTGACTTCACAGCAATATATAATTAACATTACAATATTACATAATTATGTTATTATAATTATATAATTAACTATAAATGGAAATAGAATATCAAACTGGTTATAATCTTACATATTATTTTATCTTGCCTTGAAGCAACACTGTGTTCAAACCATCATAAGACTAGTAAAAATATAATGAAAGATCATTATGTTTTTATAGCCCTGGGTAGACCAAGACATACAGTTACATCAAGTTAATTACATATACCAGACTTATTTGATAATTATCGCACTCTAATTCACCCATAATTTTCAGGAGAAAATGTAGGGTTTTGATCTTTGTAATTATTTTCTGTCAGTTTTCAGGACAACAGCTTTGCACAACTAATGCTTATCCATAAAAATCATAGAAAAAATTAAATTATCTTTCATTAAACCCAGTCTTAGCAACACTTCAGAAGCAAGTCTAGGGGAAGCAGCTGCTTCTGTTAGGCCAAACTACCCAGGTTGGGAGTGGTGGCAGGGGTGGGCAGAGACCTGGAGGTGCTGTGGCCACAAGAGAGGAAATCACACCTTCTTCTTAGTGATAACATAAAAGCACACATCTAGGAAACGTAGCCTAGGAGCTTCCAAAATCTGAACATCTTCAGAAAAGAATGTTCCACACCCTCCTTCAGTAATGACTAGGGTCTGTTCCACAATTTAAATAGTCTGCATTTCCCAGAATTATCTGCTTATCTGCAAGACTTCCACGTGCACCCAAACCTGTGCTCTGTGGGACCCTAGGGACACAACCATCATCCCTGACCTATTTCTTGGTCCCAAGTTCTATTCTCTTCACTATCCCCAGAAATAAGCACCCAAGCTTTTTTCACTTAAAATGTGGTAAAGAGAATTTTTACAGGGAAGTTGAGAAGAATGATGAGGATAGACAACATGGGAGGTAACAGAGTTGGCAAACTGCTCAAAGTCACACTCCCAGGGGTGAGCTTCTGACTCCTTTTGGAAGAAGCAGATGCCTGCTAGGACTTTAGACCTCCGTTTTTCTTTCTTTTTTTTTTGTCTGAGGCTGGGACTCACTAAATTGGTTCCATTTCCCTTCCCCATCGTTAGAGAAGGCTACCAGCTCCGTGTGTGACCTGAGCAAGTGTCTTACCCTTTCTCAGTCTCAGTTTTCTTCCCTATAAAATGACAGTGATAAAGCTACTAGACCCCACGAGGTTGTTGTGAAGATTAAATGTGTTAATACATGTAAACGCCTAGAACAGTGCCTGGCACATAGTAAAGCCCGGTAAGTGTTAGCTATTATTATTATTATTTGTCCTGGCAAGGATCTCTTCCCACCCTAAAAAAAAGTACCGCATCTCTTTGTCACATGGGTGTACACTGCCTGTCCAAGCATGCCAGGTTTCATGGCATCCAATGTATAGGGCCTCTGCTCCAGCCAGACACAACACAATATTTCCCTCATCTGCCCCATTCTTATATGAGCTCATAACTTATATTTTCTCATCAAAGGAAATGGGTAATTAGTAGTTGCCCATCTTCCACTGGAAATCTAGGGAACTAGCTACAGATCTTTTCCAGACAGTAATAGTTCTGGTGACTCTCAATGAGGCCATTTCTGCCTTTGGATGAGACAGCCTGACCAATAGTATGCTTCATAACTAAGGAGACCATCATCATCCTGGTTTCTACAAAGAGTGTGTGGAGGAATTGGCACAGCTACATTGAAAATTCTCACTCCAAGACTGTCCACTCTTTGCTTCTCCTGAATTGCAAAGGGTAGGCAGAGCTGTGAGCCATGCTCCAGGTGCCTTCAGCTACCCTCCCCCGTACAAGATTCCTGAAAAGCCAGGTCAGCTCTACCCTTGCTGTGGGCCTTCAGTCACATGTTACCATGACAGACGAAGAGAGTTACGCATCTGTTTTAAAACATGGAAAACAGAGATAAGGTGACCTGTCTTTGAGAAAGTAATACATTTGTTTGTTCAACAAATATTTACGAAGTATTTACTCTGTTCTAGGCCTTGAGTTTATAGCAATGAACAGAACACACATGAGAATCATGCTGTGGCACTTGGAATGCAATGAATCAATGCCATAACTAGAAAGTTACTGTATATGGCTGGGCGTGGTGGCTCACGCCTGTAATCCCAGCACTTTGGGAGGCCAAGGCGGGCAGATCACGAGGTCAGGAGATCGAGACCATCTTGGCCAACATGGAGAAACCCCATCTCTACTAAAATATAAAAAATTAGCCAGGTGTGGTGGCGGGTGCCTGTAGTCCCAGCTACTCGGGAGGCTGAGGCAGGGGAATTGCTTGAACCCAGGAGGTGGAGGTTGCAGTGAGCTGAGATCACGCCACTGCACTCCAGCCCAGGCGACAGAGTGAGACTGTCTCAAAAAAAGGAAAGTTACTGGATATGTGATGCATCTCCTATTTCCAGGTCTTACTCCTTCTACAGTGAATATTGAATAAACCCTTAATAGGGCCTAGAGTCTCTCACACAGCACACCTCTCTCCCTTCTTCCCTTTTCCCTATCTTTTCTTCTTCCTTCCTTTCTTCCCTTCCTTCTACCTTCTCTCCTTGACTTTCCTCCTCAGTACTGTTTATTACTCTACTTCTGTCTTACTAACACCACCTAATAATTTGTCCCCTCAATCTACTTTTTTTCTAACAAGTTCTAAATGAATCAGTCTTTCTTAGCTCTAGTATAAATAACTGAGCTGATGAGCTCTGCCAACATAGGATTTAGGCGGCAGGGATGGAGCTGTCCTTACTACATGGTAGAAATGCTGGTCTTCAACAAATACTGACAGGTTACAGATTATTAGATTTAGAAATACCTGTCATTTTGTTTTCCCTTTCAAGGAAGGTAAAATACAAGGATATTTTAGTAGTCAGACAACATCAAGAAAATCAGAATAGGTGTCAGAATAGGACAGTAGTTGTCGAAGCCATGGGTTTTGCAGATGGTGAAGGTTGGTTTTTGAGTGCTAAGGAGTATATAAATGTCATCTTTCCTCTTCTTCTTCTTCTTTTTTTTTTTTTTTTTTTTTTTTTTGAGACGGCATCTCACTCTGTCACCCAGGCTGGAGTGCAGTGGTGTGATCTCAGCTCACTGCAACCTCTGCCTCCTGGATTCAAGTCATTCTCCTGCCTTAGTCTCCCACATCATACCCGGCTAATTTTTTTATTTTTAGTAGAGACGGGGTTTTAGTCAAGACAGGCTGGTCTCAAACTCCTGACTTCAGGCGATTCACCCACCTTGGCCTCCCAAAATGCTGGGATTACAGTTGTGAGCCACCACGCCCAGCCTAAATGTTGTCTTTCATATAAAATGTTCTAAACTATTTTGGGCCTGAGGTGAGTAAGATACCTACAAGATTATTTAAAATGCCAAGTGCATCCATAGCTAAAAGGAAAGGCTCAGCTAGACACAAAAAAGGAAAGCATCACCTCCTCTCCAATCCCCACAGGCCCTGCCTCTGCAGCACACCTAGGGCCTCCTGCTGCTGTGTAGGTGCACGTCGTATGCAGATAGACACACACTCACACACACTCGCACAGGCAGACACAGGCGTACACACTGGCTTGCCTTCCAGACTACCTGCTCCAACAGCAGGTCTCCAGCATTCAGGTTGCTGAGAACTGAGCCTTCGTGAGGCATTCCCAGAATGGCCCTCTGCCAGTGGGCTCAGCTGGGGCAGACAGCGGTCTCTCCATCTGACCATTATCACATCTTCTGCCCCTTCTATGTTGGAGTGAATTAAACCTTCCATACTATCTTACAAAGATTGCCTGCCCTGTTTTTTTCTTTTTTTTTTTTTTTTGAGACTTTTCTTCTTGGGAACTGAATCTATTCAGTAGGCTGGTATGCTCACAGAACTCAGGGGAACACATTTACTGCCTTATTTCATAGTAAAGGATATGATAAAGAATACAGATGGGCAGCCAGGTGGAGAAGTATTATACATAGGAAGAGATTTGGAAGGGATGCAAGCTCAGGAACTTCTGTCCCATGAAGTTGGGGTGCACCACACTCCTGGCTCATGGATGTGAGCTGGAAACTCTCCAAACCTGATACTTTAAAAGCTTCTGTCCTGTGGAGTTGGGGTGCACTGCCCTCCTGGCTCACGGCTGTGGAGTTGAAAACTCTCCAAACCCCATACTTTGGGGACTTTTTTTTTTTTTTTTTTGAGATGGAGTCTCACTCTGTCACCAGGACTGGAGTACAGCGGCGCACAGCAACCTCTGCCTCCCGGGTTCAAGCGATTCTCCTGAGTCAGCTTCCTGAGTAGCTGGGATTACAGGCGCCCACCACTACTTCCAGCTAATTTTTGGTATTTTTAGTAGAGATAGGGTTTCACCATGTTGGCCAGGCTGGTCTCGAACTCCTGACCTCAAGTGATCCGCCTGCCTTGGCCTCCCAAAGTGCCGGGATTATAGGCGTGAGCCACCGCGCCCGGCCTAGGGACTTTTATGAAGGCTTCCTTATGTAGGCATGGTTGATTATTAACTCAATCTGGAGCCCTCCTTCCTTCCCCAGAGGCTCGGGGCTGAAAGTTTGTAGCTTCTAGTCTTGGCTTGGTGTTTCTGGTGAACATGCAGGAGAAGCCCACCAAGTCTCGCCTCATTAGAACAAAGGATGTTCCCCATCACCCAGGAACTTCCAAGTGACTTAGGAGCTCTGTGTCAGGAACTGGGGTCAAATATCAAATATGTAATTTTATTATGCCACATTATTATATGATAATATAGCAAAAATTGGGGATGAGTAAATTCTGGAATATTGTAGACTTGGCAGAAACTTTAGGCTATTTTTTCCAATGTTTTGTGGTTACCAGAATGCTTTTGCAACCAGTAAAATTCCTTGAAGTCAATGAGTATTATCAGAAAATTTCATCTATATTTTACAAATTAATTTATGTTTTACTCACCAATTCCATTTCAAAGGAGATTTTGATATCAAGGAATTTATTTCAGTTTCTTTTTACAGGTCTCTTTTAAAACTTATTTTCTCCTGGTGCCCGGGCAGCACTGAACTCTAGTAGATTAGAATTTGTTAGAAACCCTGAACCGAAGAAATTTCTGAACAGCGTGACAAAATTAACCAGGCTACCGTTAACCAAAATGACAGTTATCTTATTATATAGTCAAATGAAATTTTGGCAATATAGCTAAAATAAAAATAACTGGAAAGTCAGCTGACCAGGAATCAATTCTTGGTCTTTGCTCAACCCAATCTTAGTTTCTTACTTCAGCCAAATACTTAGTATTTTACAATACACCAAGCATAACAACCCTTTTCACTCTCCTGCCTAATATAGAAAACATTGTTAAGTGGATGTCTGTGTGGCACTTTGAGCTGTTCAGATTTAAAAAGCTGCCTGGAAAAACTTAAGTAATGTTTGGTGTGAGGCAAGAAAGCAGGCCCTGTCAAATCCTACGGGTTGAAGTAGAAACAGGAACAGACTGTCTGGAAGACAAAGTGTCACTGAGCGGCAGAATCCTTATAATTTTGACTCATAATTCACCTTCTCCAAATTTATTCTAATAAATAATAGGGTATTGGTAAAATTATGCTATGTGGAATACTATACATTAAACCATTAAAAATGATTTAGTAGACTGTACAATAGAAGAAGAAAATGGCATGGAAAAATATTCATGATATGTCAAGTTTTTAAAAGTTATCAAACGGTGGGTATGGCATGATGGCATGTAAATGTATATATAGATATAAACATCGAGAGAGAGGTCGGGCGCGGTGGCTCACGTCTGTAATCCCAGCACTTTGGGAGGCCAAAGTGGGTGGATCACTTGAGGTCAGGAGTTCGAGACCAGCCTGGGCAACATCGTGAAACCCCATCTCTACTAAAAATACAAAAATTAGATGGGCGTGGTTGTGGTGGCAGTGCCTGTAATTCCAGCTACTCGGGAGGCGGAGACAGAATTGCCTGAACCTGGGAAGTGGAGGTTGCAGTGAGCTGAGATTGCGCCACTGCATTCCAGCCTGGGCAACAGAGTGAGACTCCGTCTCAAAAAATAATAATAAAAAAATAAATAAAAAATAAATACTGAGAGAGAGAAAATTAGAGAGCTAGATGTGTATATAAAGATAGATGTAGATGTAGTTGTAGATACAGATGCAAATATAGTCATAGAAATACATATGGCTCTAGAACATATATATGTATGCATGTATATCCATATATAGATACAGATATAGATTTCAATGGTTTAATGCATAGTATTCCATATTGCATAGTTTTACATATAGATATAAATGTGATGCTAAAATGTTAATAAAGACTTTCAAAGGTATGAGATTTGGGGTGATTTTTACTTTTTTTGCTTATCTATTTTTTTCTGAATAAACATGGATTTTCTTCAATAAACATGTAAGTTTTCTTCAATAAATATTTTGAAGAACTATTTTATAATATAAAAAATCATTTAAGTGAATGGCACTAGGAAAAAATAACATCTATAAACTAATTACTAGACTGTACCATACTTACTTTAAAAGAAACAAGCAAATCATTATGCATATTTTTATGTACTCATACTTTTCAAGGTTAAATTCTACAGATGTCAATTTTTGCCCTTTGGGCTTTATTGCAGGCAGGAGCTGTCTCTCCTGAGTCATATCGCCAGGTGATAAGGGAAGTGCATCACATCCACCATCCCAGGCCACAGTCTCAAAATTACAGCAGCTTTGATCTAGGGCTTCTTGAGGTGTAGCTGAATTTTCACACAAATTCTAGGTCACTAGGTCATCCATCACCTGAAACATGATAAGTCATTTAATGGTTGCTTGAATGTACTTTAAATTCATTTGGGAACTATATTCAGATTTTCAAAGTAAAGAGGAAAGTAAGTCCACACTGAACCTTTATTTAGCAAACAAAATGGGATCCAATTTATTAGCCAAAGTACTAATAGCGGGGTAGCACGAGGAACAGGAAAATTTATTCTGGCATCCAGCTCCTTCTTGTTTTATCCATCTGGGACTCCCTCCCCAGTTTAATAACAAAGAAGGAAATGTGGTCACCTCCACCAGGGAATATCACCTAGGAGTCAAATATTTCTGGTATAATATCCTCTCTGTAGAATGCTGGCTCTTAAGCAAAATGCTTTAAAGAAATGAATGTGGAAATTTTCTTTTTTGGCTTTAGAAGATTGGTATTCAACCTAAGACATGACAGAAGGCCTAGATGTTGTGCACAAAAAATATAGAAATGAACAATTACTGGTATCTTTCCATTCTTATTTAAGCTACAGTAGAGTCTCTTTAGAAAAGAGCACATGGAATAGACACATATATATGCTAAAAGGTTCAGTGCAGAGTTCTCACAGGGGAAGATTCTTTCATATTTTTAAATTTTCTTGAATCTGGTTTGTGGCATGGGAAAATAGATTGTTTCTTCTTTGCTTTCTGATTTAACAGTTAGCTTTCTGGTAACAATAATTAAAGAATAACTATCAAATTTCTTTTCTTTTTTTTTTTTTTTTGAGATGGAGTCTCGCTCTGTTGCCCAGGCTGGAGTGCAGTGGCGCAATCTCAGCTCACTGCAAGCTCTGCCTCCCGGGTTCACACCATTCTCCTGCCTCAGCCTCCCGAGTAGCTGGGACTACAGGTGCCCGCCACCATGCCCGGCTAATTTTTTGTATTTTTAGTAGAGACAGGGTTTCACCGTGTTAGCCAGGATGGTCTCGATCTCCTGACCTCGTGATCTGCCCCCCTTGGCCTCCCAAAGTGCTGGGATTACAGGCGTGAGCCACCGCGCCCGGCCTTCAAATTTCTCTTAAATCAGCTGAAAGAAACACATCATTCAGAGCACTGGGTATCTCTCCCTAATCTCCAGCCTCAGAAATTAGAGACTACTTAAAAAAAAAAAAAGTTAAGCTAATGAAACATATTCCTGAAAGATCTAGTTTTTGAGCCATCTATTTTTTTCTCTTCAAACTAATAAAATACGATAAATCTTTGTTGTCTAATTTGCTCAGTGGGAAACCCCATTGCATATAACCTTTCACATGCTCAGTGTCAAATGCGTCTTTTCTCTTCATTTCAATATCACAGTTGATTAACTGCTACCTACAGTGCAGACACAAGCTGTTTTTATGAAAAGGTGCTAAATATACAAAACAGGTTATTATTCAGCAGAGGCTATTTAGAAATATGTAAAAATTTAATTTACTTGTTTCTCCTACAAGAGGCTATTGCAAACACCATAAAATATATTCACTTACAGTCATAAAAGGGGGACTTATTGTACATTTCCTGTTTCCACTGAGGTCTGGTTATAGTTCCCACAGGTAGACAAAACACAAGAGAATTTTAACTTCCTTTAATAGTTGCTCAAACTGACTTTAGTTAATATAGAAGGAAATGGAAACAGGTTTTCAAAAATATGCTTGGACCTGAAAATTTGCTTTTTTCTTTTTTTCCTTTTCTTTTTGCTTGTAGCTATATTGTACCTTCTGGATGGTTGGGAATCTCTGGTTTGTATTTCTAAGTTGGTATTTTATCCTTTAGGTTTTTTTTTTTTTTTTTCAGTTGTTAATTGTGAGCTTTCTTTTCCTAAGGAAAAAAAAATCAGCTATCTTATTAAATTTTGCATAATATATTGAACTATAGCATCAAAGCTAGATTTCCTAAGCTACATTTTAGATTCTTTTCTCAGCAATGTACACTTACTTTTAAAAAAATAATAAAAAAAATAATAAAAATCCTTTTCCCAAGCACCCCCGTCTAAAGTTACAGCTGTATTTGGTTACTCGTTGGAGAGGAAGGCCGGTTGCCTTTCTTCTTGGCTTCCAAGCCTTGTTTCTGAATCCTTTCCACACACACAACTCTTATTTCAAAGAGAAACCCCACTGGGAGACTGGAAGACAGGACTGTGAGAGAAGGAAGTTATGTTAATTCCCCAACCCCAAAGACACCAGTGGGCACTTCAAATACTTAGGGAGAAAAAAAAAAGCTTCCTTCTAGATTGATTAAAAGTTTGGTGATCACATTTGCAAGTTTTCACAGCTCCACCATTACATCCCTCCTCCCCCATCGCACCAGTCACTTGCTTAGTCACAGATAGTGTCGCTGCTTAAGGAGCCAAGTAAGGCTGAATGTGACCCCTGTTTCCCCGTGGCAGCCTGGGCTCCAAGGTAATTGAAGACATGACGGCTGTTGATTTTGGCTGAGGCTCAGCAAGGACTTAATGTTTGGGGAAATCAATGGCACCACAGTAGGCCACAACCCAACCAAGTAGCTTCTCCAGCCTTGAGGAGTACTTTTGCCTCTCAAACTTGAAAGATTCCAAAAAAAAGGGAACAGGAAGTGCTAAGAAACAATTTTTAAAATATTTACACATCTGACAATAAAACAACAGACTGTTAACTGGAAGTTACTAATGGAAAAATCTTTCAAGAAGAGATGGTATATAGAGATTGAAAGAAATCTTTGAAGAGGAAATACAGTCTCCTGCAAGCATTCATTCAACAAATATTTTACATGTCATGCAATGCAATTATTCTTAATTTTTTCCCTTCCATTTGACAATCCGATAAACAATAGAAACTATTTCCCCAGGAAAAAGCACACATGTATATAAATATTAGACCTAGGCTGGCTGCAGTGGCTCATGTCTGCAATCCCAGCACTTTGGGAGGCCCAGGTGGGCAGATCACTTGCACCCAGGAGCACAAGGCAGGATGAGGCAACATGGTGAGACCCCATCTCTACAAATAAAAAATAAAAAAATAAAAATTAGTTGGTGGTGGCGCACGCCTATAGTAACACCTACTTGAGGGGCTGAGTGGGGAGGATCATTGAGCCCAAGAAGTCGAGGCTGCAGTGAGCCAAGACCATGACATGCACTCCAGCCTGGGGACAGAGAGACCCTTTCTCAGAAAAAAAAAAAAAAAAAAAAAAGAATAAAACCCACATGGGGAATTTTTTTTTTTTTTGAGACAGAGTCTCGCTCTGTTGCCCAGGCTGGAGTACAGTGGTGTGATCTTGGCTCGCTGCAAGCTCCACCTCCCAGTTTCATGCCATTCTCCTGCCTCAGCCTCCTGAGTAGCTGGGACTGCAGGTGCCCGCCACTACGCCCAGCTAATTTTTTGTATTTTTAGCAGAGACAGGGTTTCACCGTGTTAGCCAGCATGGTCTCAATCTCCTGACCTCGCAATCCGCCTGCCTTAGCCTCCCAAAATGCTGGGATTACAGGCGTGAGCCACTGCACCCGGCCAAAATGGGGAATTTTTTTAATCTTGAAAAACTGGATATAGTTCGTCAGCCTAACTATTTAAAAGTTCTGTATGGCTAAAAAAAAAATAAAGACAAATGATAAGTTTAGAAAACATTTGCCAAATATGTGATAGACAAAAACAATTTCATTAATATGTGTACATTTTGTTAATAAGTGACCTCTTACAAGTCAATAAACATACAAAAAAGATGTTCAACCTCACTCAGACAATATTTTTCATCTATCCAATCGACAGAGGTTAAAAAATTGGATAATATCCATTGCTGGACCATGAGGACACAGGGATCATATATCGCAGATGGGAGTGTCAACTGGTACAACTGTTATATGATAATGTACCACATTTCTGGGACTTTTTAAAGCATATATATTTATCCAAGTGCTCAAATATATATATTCAGATGTTCACTACTGTATTTTTTTGAAGAATGCAATCGGACTGTTCAATAGGACACATAACACATTTAGGCTATTTCAAGATAATGGTTTATTTTGACACCACCAAAAGGAATGTAGATCTCTCTGTTTTGATCTGGAAATAGGTTCAATACACATTATATCAAATTTACCGTTTCAACCATTTTTAAGCATACAGTTCTGTGGCATTAAGTACATTCATGTTGCTGTGCAACAACCACCATCATCCACTGTCAGAACTTTTTCGTCTTCCCCAACTGAAACTCTGTTCCCTTCATACACCTTCTCTTCATTTCCCTCTCCTTGCCAGCCCCTGCCAACCAACATTCTACTTTCTATCAATTTGACTATTTTAGGTACCTAATATAAGAGGAATTATACAATATCTGTTCTTTTGTGGCTGGCTTATTTCACTCAGCATAATTAATGTCTTCAAGGTTCATTCATATTGTCTCATGTGTCAAAATTTCTTTCCTTTTTAAGGCTGAATAATATGCCACCGTACATATATATCTCATTTGTTTTTTGATTCATTTGTTGATGGACGCTCGGATTTACTGCCTTTTCTTGTATGTTGTTGTTTTATTTGTTTAAGTAAACAATCACTTTTAAAGCCAAGGTTTCCTTGAGAAGATATTTAGGGCACAGGACACCAAAATACAAATAAGTCAACTAGAAATGAGAATTTTCTGTGCTCCATTTTGAATTTGATTTGTAGTTCTCAGAATAGAACAGGGAGCCCAACCTGAGCTGAGCTTCTTGGGTACTCCTAAGAAAAACACTTCCCTGGAATCCATTCTCAGCCACCGATTTAGATAAGGGCCAAATAGCCTCCTGATCCAAGGCCACAAATTCTGTCACATTTGGTGTTCAGACACGTATAACCAAGTCTGTTGGAATGGATGGGGTGGGAATTCAGTGAAGGCCAAAATACAAAAGAAAATGATAGGGTCGCAGACAGAAAGTTTTATTCTAAGGAGTTCAACCGCTGAGCCCTAGAGTTAAGGAGAAACAGTGGTTTCTGCAAAGCTGTGGTAGCTGGCTCTTTAACTGGTTCAGACTCTACTATCTTGGAGGACTGCAGGTGCCCTGGTAGCCAAAAGGGCTCTAAGTTCAAACTCAAGGAGCTGCCTCACTAAACTCTACATCATTTTGGAGTCCAAGTAAACCTGCTGTGGGACAACCCTTGCCACCCCACTCAAGCTACAGTTTTTGATTGAGTAGGAAAGCCAGCATGATTTGTGTTTCTGCATCCAGGCAAATGTACTAAAATTCTTTGAGAGATGAGAGGAAATATTTTTCAGAAGCTTGGAGGTCTGAGTACACATGTGGGGAAAACAGTGATTATAAATTGGGCATGGATGTTAATGTATACTCATATGTGCCCACAACAGTTGGAGCCTTGGGAACAAGGAAGTTACACTGCCTCGGCAAAGAAAGTGCTTTTCTCCACTGGAACTGCAAAGGAGAATCTCAGCTCTAGGAGAGCCTCAGACCATTCAGGATTCAGAACCTAGATAGATGATGCTGTGAGGGCTGCGGCTGTGCTCTGCACTTCTGTGTACGTCGAACAAGACAATAGATGTGAAAGAGCAACCCAGAAGTTAGTCCATGTTTGGTGGAAAGGGGTCCTCAGCACCCTCATAGGTCATGCATCCTCAAAACCTTTTCTTCTAGGAAATTCCTGGCAATGCAATCTAATTTCTTCACTCCTCATCTTGAGGGGTAAGTGGGCAAACATCAAGAACACTGGCTTATCAGCAACCTTCAGAGAAAGTTACTGAGAAGAAGGTGATTGCTAAGTATTTACAGATTAAAGACTCAACCTGTATTCATGCTCTGATGGTCCAACATTATAACTTGGAAATAAAAATAAAATCCTAAGCTCCCCCCCCACATTTGACTAAACAGACCCTCTCCTGGCCAAGAGGACTTCAGGGAAACCTTAAAAACTGAGTTCCCGGCCATGATGGGATGGGAGGTTGGGCACATCTCATTATACCCCCTCCTCACTAACTACCATTAGGTGTTCTTTCCTAAGAGTTAAACAGAAACCAGCCCTTTGGAAAGACCTGTTGCACCTCTGATTACAACCAACCTCATGACTACCCCTCCCTTTTTGCTCTTTGACAACTGACCAGCATTCCTTCCTATTAAGGGAGTCCACTGACCATGGAGTGGTTCTGGCCAGTCTAGGGAAGATGCAGTGAGGGTTTTTGTGTCCTCTGCTTCACCTTTTGATGTCAGAGGGCTGAAAATCCCACCCTTGGATCATGCTAACACCACTAAGCCTTACATAGTGGGGAATTCAAACACATGGGAAGGGGATTAATTCACAAAACAGCCTATACTATATGAATAAGACCAAAAAATGGCCATCAGTTCATGACTTTATTAACTTATATAGTTAATACATGTTTTATATACTGTTATAAACAGACTATGTGAAAAAATTTGAAATATAAACTCTTAAACCATGAAAACATAAGTCAAAATTCTGTTACTTCAAATGTTAAATATTTCAGTCATCTATGAATGGCCATCATAATGATTTGAAACTAGCAAAGTTATCAGTTAGGTTTGCTATATCCTTTTTTTTCTCCCAAGCTGTTTGAGCTTTTATGTTAACACCTATACTACTACAATGAGAAAACAGATTGCTGTTGATGGGAATTATTAAAAAAAAACAAAACAAACAGAACCGCTTTTGGAGAAACTTGCCCTTATATACTCTCTTATAATTGCCTCAACAAATTCAAGATGGTTATACTTTTTAAAAAAGTTTTTCATGATTTTATTAGAAAGCAGTAACTGCATTTCTGGTAGGCCTTTCTGATAGGTCACTTGAGAATGACTTTTGCATTATTCATGCATTTTCCACAATAGACACTTCATGTCTTTGAATTATTTTAGTTGGAGTAGGAAATGCAAACAAATCGGCAAATGGACTTAGCCCTTGAAAGCTTATGTCCAGCTGAGTAGTTATATCAATCACATCATGAAAAATTCCTTTTACCTAAAAAACTGCTGAAGTTCAGAGGTTGTAATTTTTTTTTCTCAGCATAGGACAGACTGAAAAAGAAAATGAAGACCATCTTAAAATATCTTTGGATATTGGCAAAAATTTAGGGAGCTTTTTGATATGAGAAAAATATGCTTTTGCCTTTAAGGCAACATGTTGCCCATTACGTATTAATAAACTGGATTCAACAAAGACATTCTTACCCATTGCTAAAAATCAACCAACTATAAACAGTTACCACAGTTCTGTTTTTGCCAGTGCCAAAAAGATTTCCAAATCTTTTCAGCTAAAAAGCCAGCAAAGATCAAAGAGTTTTCACATGAGCTCTCTATGTGGCAATGAGATACAAGTGCCATCTTTTAGCACATTATAATAATCCTGTTGTGCAGTACTCCTTTCCAATGACCTGTAAAAATTATATATTCAGAAAGGCATTTTTCTCAGCAAAAGGGAAAAAGTACGAATTAGGAAAGGTACATTTAACAAGCTCAATGATCTATTATAAGTTAATACACTTTTTCCCCATTCTGTGGAGTTCAGAATTATAAATGCTTGGCTAGTTAGCCATAATAAAAATGGAATTTGAATGTTAGAGTGCAACCTGACAAAATGATTTATTACTCCTTCGTCATTGAAACTAATACACGCTCTAACCTTTATAGCTTTTCACTTACTCTGTTAAGCATGCCTTGCACCAAATTAAAATATGTGCACTAGCACAATACTATAGACAGATCTCAAAACCAAAGAAAGATAGAGGAAGAAAGGAAGGAAGGAAGGAAGGAAGGAAGGAAGGAAGGAAAGAATTCAGCCAGATGAACTTTAGTTAAGTGCAATTTATGTTTTTGCTAATGGCATCATACTAATTTTCCAATGCATTCACCTATCCATTGGCCATGGTTACTATCATTGAAACTTTCACTTGAGCCTCTGTTCAGTTTTGACGTTACCATGTTGAATAGTTGTTATTTGTTTTACTGTCTGCCTCCTTCATCAGATGATGAGTAGTGACCCTAGTTTTACAGTCAAGATCAAACATGTAAAGTCTGTCTCCTCCACTATATTATAAGCTCTGTGACATCAAGGACCAAATCTGGTTCATGTACATGCCAAGCATTTAGGACACTATGTCCTGTGTATTTATTGATTCAACAAATATTTATTGAGGACTGTTGTGGCTTGAATGTGTCCCCGAAAAGTTCATGTGTTGGAAATTTGGTCCCCAGTGCAGCAGTGTTGAGAGGTGGGACTTCTGGGAGGTGATTGGTTCACAAGAGCTCTGCCCTCATGAGTGAATGAATTTATTTCTAGATTAATGGATTGATGGGCTATCAAGGGAGTGGGTTAGTTACCACAAAAGTGAGTCTGTTATAAAAGTCAGTTTGGCTCTCTCTGGTGAATCCCACCCCCACACCATGTGATGCTCTGTGTTACCTCAGGACTCTACAGAGACCCCACTAGCAAGAAGGCCCTCACTAGATGAGAACCCTTGACCTTGTACTTCCCAGCATCTAAAATGGTAAGCAATAAATTTCTTTACTTTATAAATTACCCAGTCTCGGGTATTCAGCTATAGCAACAAAAAATGAACGAAGATAAGGACCTTCTCTGCACAGGGCCCTTTTGATTGCAAGAAATATAATCTAGTCAAATTAATTAAAATGAAAAAAGAGTCTACTTCCTAATTCTCATCCTCTCATGCTTCTTTGCTTCTCTGTCTGCATCTGCCTCATTCTTTTTTCCTGATCAGCACTCTGATGCTCTCTGCCCCCACAGCCTGTGGAAATACAGGAAACTTCACAATGGTGCACAGTCCATACTCCATGAAACTTTCTGCTTAAGTAGCCCCCACAACCCTCAGCCTCTTGGTTCTAACTTAGTGAGAAAACTCTGATAAGAACCCACCATTTACAAGCTATTGGACTAACTCCCCTTGGATCAGTTTTCTTCCCTCATTTAATCAGTTGTAGCCAGGGAGAAGTCACATATTGGTATCAGAGTGTGCAGTCACAGAAGGAACTCCCTTTAGCAGTATCTCCCCTTAAATGAAGTTATAGTTAGGGCAGGTAATCGTAGACAAGACTAGTTAAACTGTGTTTTTAGTTAGCTTTGTTTTGTATTTTATCATTCTGTCCTCAGTATCTAGCACATAGTAGGTATTTTAAAAACTATATTCATTGAACTGATGTTAGGATATGACATAATATATTATTTCTAACTTTTATAGTTTATGTGAAATGGGGAAGGCAAGTGGAGGGAGCTGACGTTTTGGACTCTGGACAGATACAATACATACCTGCTGCCAGGATGAATAGATTAAAACAGGCAATTTCTATTTCTTTAACTTTCCTACTCAAGCATTGTTTTTAAATGAAAACTAACTCAGCATATCAAGCTTTAAAAAACCAATTAAAAAATTAAAAGAGGAAATGGAGATACTCTAGTATGCAATTTATATGAAACCCATTACCCACTATAACCATCTTTGAGGACACTCTGCATTTTAGAAGTGCCACAATAGCATATTCTCTCCTTTTCTGGTTCCCTTTAAAACTTAAGTCACTTAGAATGACATGAGGGGTTCTATTACTAATTTGAAGAGTAAAAAGAGTAAAAAGGAACAAATTCCCCTCTAATAAATTACCCCCACAGAAAATATGCTGTGAGGTGGGAAAGGCTGATGGCTAGACCGACACTGCAGAGTTCCATTGGTAGAGATGCGCTTTGTGTAATGTTGGGAGCAAGTAATGATTTTTCCTCTTTGTTCTTGTGGAGGGATGCTTTGGGTGCTCAGAGGAGCATTGACTACCTTTTCCATCCCTTCCCTTTAAAGAAATCAGATTTTGTAAACAGTGAAAAAACCAAGAGCAGATGTGATCATTTAAGCTGGGAATGCAGCCATACCGGGTGTCAGAGCATGTTGTGAGCACCTCTACCTGGGTGTCCCCCTAGGGCTACAGCTGCTCTCAAGGTCACTTCCTCTCACACAGACAGGCAGTGAAACTCATGCTGAGGACTCATCTTCTGTACACACTTTTAAGAACTTCTACTTCCAAAGATACAATGAAGTTAATAAATGAAGCAAAGCAGATTTCTAGACTAGGCTTCACATAGGGTGGCTTGCAGCATTTAGAAGCATTTCTCTAGACACCACACCTATTTTCCAACTGTAATATTCTGTATAGAATGCAAATGTTCAGACTTTGCTTTTCAAAAACGTTGTATGGTTCACAGCTGAAGAGAGAATAGTTGAGAGTTGAGTGATCTATCCTTCAAACTACAGGCATGATATTCCTTCACTTGCCAGCAACCCTTGGACCTCTGCAAGGATGTGACAGGAATAGCACAACTCACTAGAGCAGGTATCAGCTGCTCCCTCTAGTCACTTTCTGGGTGCTGTGACCTCCAGCAGCAGAGGCATTCATTCTCCAAGGGTGTTCTATGAGCCTTATTGGTCCTCCCTGTACGATCAGCTGCGAAAGAACTGCCAGTGCAATCTTGAGACTAGATGAGGAGTTACACTGACAGGATAAAATTTCAAGGCTTGCTAATCCTTGTGCATGATGACATGAGATCATCAGACCAGCTTGACTATAGGAGGCATTTCTGTAAAGGGGTAAGATTACAGTTAAGTGTCTCACAGCTCCTGTCTTTTCTATGAAGTACTGACTCTAGCTAGGGGTGAGTCACCAGAATAAAATGATCATTTATTTCAGGACAATGACCTGAGTAGTCACTTTGAAATTTTTCTGATGGCCTCTCTTCTTTGCTCTTGGCATTTCACTTAAATTTTCAGATTTAAAAATAATTTTTTTGCTACGTGGAATGCCTTTTTGATCTATTGCCAATGCTTTCACCTTTTGTCTATTTATACAAGGGGCTCAGATTCTGCATCTTCTCCCCCTGACATCCCAGACAAGTGATTTGTCTCATTGGGAGAAATCTTAGAAACCATGTCTTCGGGGCAGTTTCCTCTCCCTCCCCGTCTCCCTGCTCCTGCTCCTCCCTCTCCCCCTCCCCCACTCCAACTCTCCTTTTCCCTCTGCCATGTAAGAAGTACCTTGCTTCCCCTTCGCCTTCTGTCAAAAAAAAAAAAAAAAAAAAAACATGTCTCTGTGTCATCACTGAGCTGCTGCTATTACAGGTGTAGAAATCCCCAGCTGCCTGTATCTCTGATGCTTCTCCACAGGAACAAAAAGAAACAGAACCACTTGTTCCCAACATGAAGCTAAGGGCATCTGTACCAATGGAGGTCTGTAGCATCTGTCCAGCCACTGGCCTTTCCTAACTTAAAGTAAGATTCTGAGAGTTACACAGGGTAGGAAATTTGACTAAACAGACAGAAAGATGAAATAAACCTAGACCGTGACCTCAAGGCAGTCCCAGAATCAAAGGAGTCAGAGATAAATAATAATTACATTATGATTCAATATGTACTATAATAAAGGCATTTATAAGGTTTAGAAGAAACAGGATGGCATGGTAAGGAAAGGGCAAGTGATGTTTGAGCTTACTGTTTACATTATGTTCAGGAGTTTGCCAGCCAGAATAAGAGAACATTCCATTCCAGAGACAGGGAACAGCATGTGGAAAAGCACAGAAGCTTCCAAGAGCAATTGTCGCAATTGTTCTGGATACTGCAATAACATTTGAAAATACAAGCTTTACATCTTATACATTTTTGTGTATAGTATATAAAAATATAGTATAACATACATATAGTATAGAGCAGTCTTAAAATTAATTTTAGCATCGTTTTCTGTTAAAGTTACATGACAGGGAAAATAATCTTTCCCATTTAAGATAAAGACTCCGATCAGAGCTATAGAATAGACTAACACACAAATGTTACATTTGCATGAGTGGAAGTTCTGATATTATAATACTCATAAAAGCCATGAAAAAACTCTTTGAAGGCAATTTTATAAGTGAAACCAAATAGCCTAATAATACTGGAGAAACTACCACCATTTACACTGAATGCCTACTTTGTGGTAGCCTCTTCTTCCCCACCATCTCATCAATTTATACGCATGATCTTATTTTAATGCTTACAATAGCCCTTTAAAGTAGATATTATCCACATTCTACACTTAGGGAAACAAACTTGGAGAAGTTAAGTAATTTGTCCATAAGTGACAGAGCTGGGATTCAAACCCCAGATTTGTTTGAGGCTGTGGCATCATACTTCAAGTCATATCCACGTCCAAAATCCTACCAGGAACCAGTAGCTGTTTATCATTATGAAGACTATTACTGCATAAACATAAGATCAGCATATATGCGGCAACACAGCACAGTGGAAGGAACACTATATGAGCACATCGCCACATATGTTAATTTGGTTAAATTACCTAACTCTTGAATAGGTTGAACCAGATAATCTCTAAGGCTCTTCCAGCTACAAATGACTAAAATGCTCCATCATTACAATCATTGATACATAATAGGTTGCCCATTCAAGAATTAGCTATTATCTTGAAAATAAGTTCATCTTTCATAAAGGCAGAATTAATCCATCAATCACATTTAGAGAGCTCTTGGCACGAACTTTAATATTAGACCAAGTGTTGTATGTTCCAGTGTAGGATCTCACTTCAACAGCTGCGTTACCTTCAGAAAATAGTAAAAACCATTTTTGTTAACATAGAGAGTAAGTACTGTGTGAGCTTGAGATTTAAAACTAAAACAAATATTTTTAACATTCACAAATATGTGACATATTATCTACTATATATGTGGGATAAGACAGCCTAGGAAAGAAATCTGATTTACTAGAGATTAATCTGAGCAGGATCAGAGAGAAAAAGTGAAGAAGCAAAGAAGCAACTTAGACCCATGAAGGCCAGAAAGTGGGCATAGTGTCCCCAAGCCCACAGTCATTTACCCAGGAAATGTTTTTTAGTGCTTTGGGAAAGAACATGATACAGTAGAAAAAATATGGGCTGGAAATCCTAGAGCCTTAGGTTTTAATCTCAGCACTGCCACTCAAACTCAGTAATTTTATGACACTGGGGCAAGGAATTTAAAGTTTTATGAGCTGGTTTCCACATTCATTTACAAAAATAAAGAAAACAATCCCTATTGAGTAATTTGGTTGTGGAGTTTAAATGAAGTAATGGATATGAAAATGTCTAGTATCAAGAGTAGCATAATGTAAGCCCTCATTGTTATTTTTTTTGTCCCTCATTGTTAATGTAAAGCAGTTTCAAATGCTACTGGATAGAATTTGATCCAGCAATCCTACTACTGGGTATCTACCCAAAGGAAGTCAATATATCAAAAAAAATCTGCATGTGTATATTTATTGCAGCACAATTCATAACTGCAAAGATATGGAACCAACCTAAGTGCCCACTGACCAATGAGTGGACAAAGAAAGTGTGGTATATATACACACCACGGAATACTGTTCAGCCATAAAAAAAGAAACAATGTCTTTTTGCAGCAACTATGATGGAGCCAGAGGCCATTATTCTAAGCAAAGTAACTCAGGAACAGAAAACCAAATACCGTATGTTCTCACTTGTAAGTGGGAGCTAAGCTATGTGTATGCAAAGGCATACAGAGTGATATCATGGACTTTGGAGACTCAGAAGTGGGAGGATGGGAACGGGTCTAGGGATAAAAAACTACACATTGGGTACAATGCATACTACCTGGGTGACAGGTACACTAAAACCTCAGACTTCACCAATGTATGATTCATCCATGTAAACAAAAACCCACTGTACCCTAAAAGCTATTCAAATTTTTAAAACATTAATTAAAAAATGCTATTGGTTAGAAAAGTCCACACTCACATTTGAGAGATCTGAGACACAGTTTAATGAGAAGAACACAACTCTGGGGCCAGATTTAAATGTTGGCCTCTGCTACTTCCTTGTAGTGTGAGTTTGTAAAAATTGCTTTGTCTTTCCTGAGCTTCAGTTTCCATATCAATAAATGGGGGTCATCATGATATAGGATTACTGTGAAGACTAAAAGAGCAATATTTAGAGGTTTGAATTAGAGAAAACAGAGTATCTGGTACACAATGGGCTTTCAATAAACATTAGCTCTCATTATTATTCTAGTCAGCATTTTTGGCTTGATAAAACCACAACTACCAGTTAAGGTCAAATTTTCCCCTCCTAGCCATCACAAGTTCTGCCATCTGGGCCTTGCTTCAGACTGCAAAGACCCTTGTACCTTTTGGCTGAAGGTAAGAATTCAGAATGAACTGACATTCAGCATTAACCTGTAAAGTTGTGTACTACCTGCTCCTCAGCTTCAGCTTCAACCTTTGCAAGATCTAACAGTTAAATGGTTAAATGACTACCTACTTCAATGTGCTTTCTGGCAGCCAGAATCTGCATGCAATCAATGACCATGTGACTAACGTAAGTTATGGTCATACCTAATTAGTATGACATTCTGATTATTAACTGGATATTTCCTCTCAAATAAAGATAAACATTCTATATGTAACTTGGAGTGAAACTCATGTGTTTTATACATTGAATGCTATCAGTTCAAGGGTGAATATGCCTTCAGAATGCAAGTGCTTTTTTTTTTTAATGTATTATAATTTTTTTTTTTTTTGAGACAGAGTCTTGTTCTGTTGCCCAGGCTGGAGTGCAGTGGCATGATCTCGGCTCACTGCAATCTCCGCCTCCTGGGTTCAAGCGATTCTCCCGCCTCAGCCTCCTGAGTAGCTGGGATTACAGGCGCGAGCCACAAAGCCCAGCTAATTTTTGTATTTTTAGTAGAGACAGGGTTTCACCATGTTGGCCAGGTTGGTCTCAATCTCTTGACCTCAGGTGATCCATCCACCTTGGCCTCCCAAAGTGCTGGGATCACAGGAGTGAGCCACCGCGTCTGGCCTTAATTATTATCGAGACCGGCTCTTGCTCTGTCACCTAGGCTGGAGCGCACTGGTATAATCATGGCTCACTGCAGCCTCGAACCACCCACTGCCGCCAACCCTCCCCTTGGGCTCAAGCAATCCTGCCACCTCAGCTTCTCAAGTTGCTGGGACTACAGGTGTACACAATCACACCCGGCTTTTTCATTTTTGTATTTTTTTTGTAGAGATGGGGTTTAGACATATTGCCCAGGCTGCTCTCGAACTTCTAGGCTCAAATGATACCTCTGGCTCCGCCTCTCAAAGTGTTGGGATTACAGGCGTGAACCACTGTGCCTGGCCACCAGTACTTCTTACGTAATACTTGCTGTAGAGAATCTCTTTCTACTCAAGGGAAGATGCTAAAACTGGTGTTCATGCAATTAAAGATGACATGAACATAGACATTCAGAAGCAACACTGTCATCTTGAGAGCCACATCATTCCAGTGTCACATTTCTAGAACCAAAATATGAGTCCGTGTGGGCTGCTATAACGAAATGCCTTAGTCTGGTTTATAAAGTTTATAAGCAAGAACTGTGAACAATAAATTTGTTACTATAAAAAAACTTCTTGCTTATAGTTCTGGAGGCTGGGAAGCCAATCAGTGTGCTGGCATATTTGGTGTTTGTGGAGGGTCTGCTTTCTGGTTCATGAACAGTGGCTTCTTGCTTTGTCCTCACGTGGTGGTTGGGGCAAGTCGGCTGTCTGGGGCCCCTTTTACGAGGGCATTAATCCCATTCATGAAGGCTCCACTCTCATGACCTAATCACCTCCCAAAGGCCCCACATCCTGTCACACTGATGATCAGATTTCAACATATGAATTTTGTGGCCAGGGGGACACAAACATTCAGACCACAGCACAAAGGTTAGGGACAACTTCTTAAGTAATTGTGTGATGCAGCAAACACATGCATAAAAAAAAAATCAGAAATAATGAAAGTAAACAAGGGCAACATTATCTTAGGTTTGTCTCTGAAAACATTCAGGACGCATCACTGAGTAGTGCACAGTTTTAGTCTGTGAGCACGCTTCAGTGAAATTATATCACCACTGACCACAAAATCTTCAAATCCCAGAGTTGAAGAAAACACTTTTAGTCAGTTACTAATGGAGAAAAAATAAATATAATTTGGTTGCAACCTCGTAAGTTGCTTCCTGTTCTATAATTTAAAATAACTATCTTAAATTAGTAGTTTAATGAGTGAGCAATTTAGCACCTGATACTGCTGAGAAATTAATGACTCTGCACTGCATTAAATTTAAAAAATGAGCTTTAATAAAATTACAGTAAATTTTAAATATGATTTCCTACTTATTCATGGATTCTAGAAGCTTATTTTATGATGGTAATCTTCAGTTTAGGTCTTGGTGAAATAATTTCAAGCCTTAGCCATTGGCATTTGGTCAGTATGTGTATGTAGTGTACTATGAATGTGACTCAGCCATATACTACAACTGAGACAAGGCAATCACCAAGGTCACATACCTAGTACAACCCCATCTCCAGGCCACCCATTTACCAAGTTTGTGGCCCTCATGTAAGAGGTGACCAAGATGCACCTGCACCAAGAGCACCAAGAGGATTGTCTCAATCCTTAAGAGAAAGAAGAAGGTAAGGGCTGGGGATGAGGGGTGCACTTAAACCAGAAATGAGACATGGCCCTCTGTGGCTAGGATCCTAACTTCAGATTGCTAATTTATCCCATTTTACTTAGGCCCAAAATGACAGGCTGAATACTTTTATTGGAAATGAAACATTCCAGAGTTAGACATGTTTACTCTGGACAGTCAAGGACAGCGATGTGTAGGGAAAGTTTGGTTCATGCAAAAATGAATGAAATTTTAATACACTTAAAGTTACTTCTCACTCTGAAAATAATACCAAAGTAGAGTCAATAAATATTAAATTTCCTTCCAATTCCACAGGACCAATTAACGAAAAACATAATTTTTGTACTACAGAATAAAAATTTTAAAATCTCAAATATTTTTTCCCAAAGGCAGAGGTCATGGCAAATCTTCGGAGAAAGAGAGCATTTTGTCTATTTGAAAATTCAGGCTCAGGCCTTCAAATGAAATGATGGTTCATGCTGTCATTTCAAGTGACTACAAAGAAGAAATGAAAGAAAGATGTAAGGAGTCACTACTTTAAGGATTATTCACAAAAGTCTTAGGAATAATACAGGTGAAGTCTCAGAAAGGCAAGTCCTTATAACAGAATGGGCATGGATCATGTACTAATCAGTAGGTTACAATTCACTACCTTACAGAATTTGGGCTTCATTTAGAAGGCCTGATGGTGTACAACAGACTTTACATTTTCACATTAATGCAAGAGCCTATCAGTGAATTCATGTTCATTTCCTTTATTAACCAGCCTACATTAGATTTAATTTGTGAACTCTGCTATATAAGCAAAGAAGAAAGCAAGCAAGCACATGATCAGAAGAGAAAAAGAGCTAGATAGCCCATAAGGCTCCTAGAGGGAACTTGAGCACTCCTCATGACAGAGACACAGATGACACACTTCTAACTTCTCAAACATGCCAAGTTTGTGCTTGCCTTCTGGGTCTTTGCCTTTATTATTCCTCCCCTCAGCCCACTTGTGGTTCCTTCTAATCCTTCACGTACCAGCTCAAATGTTTTCTCTTACACAGATGACACTTTCTTCTAACACTTTCTTCTAAAGTAGTTTCACCACTGCCTCCCCACATTATCCTGTATACTTTCCAGTCACCATCAGAAGTTTGCTCATGGCTGGGCGTGGTGGCTCATGCCTGTAATCCCAGCACTTTGGGAGGCTGAGGTGGGTGGATCACCTGAGGTCAGGAGTTCGAGACCAGCCTGGCCAACATGGTAAAACCCCATCTCTACTAAAAATACCAAAAATTAACTGGGCGTAGTGGCGGGCGCCTGTAATCTCAGCTACTCAGGAGGCTGAGATGGGAGAATTGCTTGAACCCGGGAGGCGGAGGTTACAGTGAGCCGAGATCAGGCCATTGCCCATTTCCTGGGCAACAAGAGTGAAACTCCGTCTCAAGAAGCTGGTTTGTTTATTGTATACCATCACTAAAATCCAAGCTCAACTATAAAAGGGTCACCTTTTTGCTCACCATTACATGCAGGCATCTAAAAATACTTGCTTAAATAAGTGAATGAAAAAGCAGCAGAAAGGAAGCAATTTTACTTCTGAAAAATTATTCTAAAAAAATAACAGGTCAACTTTACCAAGATATAGATATACATTTATAATAATGAAAAGAAATTGTCTAAAAATCTATCCAATCTATCCAAATGAGTATTTTCTTTTTTTTTTTGAGACAGTCTCATTCTGTCATCCAGGCTGGAGTGCAGTGGTGTGATCTCAGCTCACAGCAACCTCCTCCTTCCGGGTTCAAACAATTCTTCCACCTCAGCCTCCCATGTAGCCAGGATGATAGGTGTGCACCATCATACCTGGGTAATTTTTGTATTTTTAGTAGTGTCAGGGTTTTGCCATGTTGGCCAGGCTGGTGTTGAACTCCTGACCTCAAGTGATCCATCCGCCTTGGCCTCCCAAAGTGCTGAAATAGGCGTGTGCCACTACGCCTGGCCATGAAATTGTTAAATTAGTTATGGTATCTATAAAGGTATTAAAAAGAATATTAAAGACATTTTTTCTACTACTGAGTGAAATAAGCAGATTACAGGCCAGTATGTATGGTATGATCACATTAATGTAGAGAAAACAACAAAAATAGTATGTTGTTGTGTAAGTTTAGAAGAAAATAAAACAAACAAGATATTAAAAATAGTAGTTGTCAATTTACTTTTAACTTTTTCCTCCAAGTTACCTTTGCCACGCCTCCTCCCCCGCCTTTGCTGTATGAGAAAAAATTTGGACAAAAACTTCAGGTGACTATGAGGAGCGATTTTTTTCTCAGCCTAGCAGTGGTAGAGAATGCCTTATTTTCATCCTTATGCCCTTTCACATATGATTCCAAAGTGTACATATCCAAATTCCTACTTTACCTCTCCAGAGATCACTGCCAACAAAGTTATTACCTCTCTAAGATCCTAATATTTCAAAACAAACGGCATTAAATCTTAGTTTTGACTGCTCACTGTGTAAATCAGACTATTTCAGGTCTGAACTATGCCATTTTAAAATTTCCCTTTTTAAAAAATCTTTATGGAACAAGTACAATTTTTCGACAGATAGTGACAACTACTCCCTACTTTAAATATAGGCTGGACAAATCATACACAAAATAATAGCATAATCTCATAGTACTTCAATTTCATTCTACTCTCTATGTTTGAAGAAAGAAAAACATTATAACTGAGTTCACAGCAGCCTTCTTTTATCTTAACACAAGTTACCAGTGTATACATAAGAAGCTGTGAACAGAAGCTCTTTATGATATTCATATACAAAGCTGCTGAGAAACAGCCTCAACAATGCCAATCAAAGAGCAAAACATTGGGTTAGTTTTCAAACTAAATGAGCTGCTTTGCCCTCCATGCCAACTATTAAGCAATAGGCCCTTTTATGTCTTTCCCATTCATTACTGACTAATGCAGCAGTTCTCAACATTCTCACTAGTCCCATGATCACTCAATTTTTTTTCCCTATTCTTTTAAATAACTCTATTTGGTTACAGATAAAATGAGCAAGTTGACAGCATACAAGTTTTCTTTAAGTTCTTAATTTTTAAGAAGTATTGTGTAATTTTATTTTCTAATTTTGGTATTTTTTTCAATAAAATGTTTTTTAAAACATTTAAACAAATCATATAATAGCTGACCTGGTATCGAATGCTGTACTTAGACATTCCTAAACCATTATTTTTTATATTTCAAACTAAGTTTAAACAAAAACTTTATTATTATTGAACGAATATCCAAGGATCTTAAAGAAATCAATCGAAGTGTGATACAGTCTAGTGTTTATTTTATGTTATGGCAGGTACACTTGAATTTCAAAAATTTAAAACATATATAAAAAGTGGTTAGGGACTAACATTTGTATCAACAGTTGATAAATGTCTAAGATTGTTTATTATACAGCAGGGTACAATGGTAGTGCTAATGCCAACAGGGCACCATGGAAGTTAGTCTAAAAATTATCGCTAGGCTTTATACAAGCAACAACATATGCTGCTGCTCTTAGAATTTTGGGAAATGATCTGCTTCTAATACTAAGCAGTTCTTTAACATTTTTAAATGTTATACAGTGTTACAGTATTTAGTTTGGCAAATGTTTCAAAATAAAGTAGAAATGTATTCATAACATCACAGAAATGCACATCCAATGTTGTTTTCAATAAGAACCATAGGTACAGATCAGAACTCTTCCCTATATGAAATAATTTACACACAGATGAATACTATAATATCACTATCTAAAATAATCACTAAATACAGTTCTTTTTCAGAAATAAACAAGCAAAGATTTTTTTCATTATCAAATATCAAAAACATGTTGATAATGTATGTTTTTCAAATAAATGATACTTTAAAATTATAGGAATAATCTCAGTGAATTCAGTGAATGTGCAACCTAAATCAACCAAGTATACTGTAGTACAACCATATTAAGAAACCAATGATCAGAAAATACAACCGTATGAAAGAAATTTATAATCCACAAAACTTTTTCAGGTCTTAAGGTAAAATAGTTCCACAGTCTACAGGTAAAACCAAGGCAACAAAAATGCGTGCTTATCTTGATTAAGTAGGTAATTTTATGCAGAAGATGTAACACTTTGTTTGTAGACAGCATGGTATGCATTTCTCAGCAAGACATAAGGAAAACAAGATTCCAAAAGATCCATTGTAAGGAATGGAGATTCTTGTACAATCTGTAAAATTCAAAAAATCCATCAAAACAAGTTATTTATAACTTGTTTATAAACAAAAATCATAAGTTATTTATAATGGGAACATTTATTGACAACCAGTAAGGCATAACTTCTATATTGTTCTTATTAGCAATAGACACATATTATTTTCCTTTTACTTAATCTAAAATGTAAATGTGCCACAGTGAATGTATATCAAACTGTTTAAAAAGAGCTACTTTTCAATTAAATTTATTTAATCAACAGGAATATATTGAGCACTTTCATTTTCCTCACTGATATACTAGAAATAAAAGACAATACAAAAATATTTTTTTTTTGTACTATCAACTCTACCTGGCAATCAAAGACTAAGCTAGGAAGCAAAACCAAACATAAGACCGACTATAATGAAATGGAAAGCTGTAAATTCTGTAAGAATTCAAAACAGAAGAAAGATTAATGTAGGCCAAAGTAATCAAGAAAGACTATCTGGAAAAAGATTTGAGCTGTGGGATGTGCTAAGTCATTAGGATAAATCCAATTTCTGCAGGTAAGGAAAATAACTCTAAGTGGGGAAAGAGCCACGTGGTAGAAACAAGCAAGAGCTGGTTCACAGATACTGCAGAGAGGGAAGTGACTAGGCACAGAGAATTACAGAAAATTACGAGAAATGGGCAGAATAGAGTTAGAATGTAGAAAACTCAGAAAACTGGAAGAGAGGTGACACCAATACACTAGAAAAATACAAGGCCTG
Source organism: Homo sapiens (assembly GCF_000001405.40). NCBI lineage: Eukaryota > Metazoa > Chordata > Mammalia > Primates > Hominidae > Homo > Homo sapiens. The sequence goes on from NC_000002.12 coordinate 182,926,555, forward strand.
AGTGTTTTCCAACAGGTTGAAAAACTGTTCATAAAAGAATACCCACAGTTAATGCTAACCTTTGATTGTTATCTTCTGATATTACCGAAATGATAAAATATGAGTGATGTCAGTCTTCTCTGCAAATTTTAGAAAGGTGTGGCTTACGTGAAGTGAACAAAAGGGATCAAAAAAAGTATTCAATGACTAAGATGCCAAGAAAAGATTCTCAGGAACGACTGGAACTTTTTTATTGTTAGTAAAAATTAAAATGAGACTTACCATATCTAGCAGTAAATAAACAGATTCTCTATTTCTTGTTGTAGTTTTATCTGTCTCCTGGCCAATTTTCAGTAGACTGGAGGATGCAAGCTTAAAAGTATACATACACATAAAGTGAGTTTGTTAATAAAAGGTTCATCGGTTACTTATTTTAGGTATGTTTCAACTTCCAACACATTTCAATCATTCAGTGCTAAATATAAAATAATGAGCAATTAAATAAGATGAGCTTAGATAGCCTACATTCAAGCAGTAATTTAGAGAGTAATTAAGGCACAAAGAGACACTAACATAATAAATGTAATCAAATATTCTTATTGGTCTTTAAAACTGATTTTTTCAGAACAAGTCTGCTTTTTAAAATGATTCAAATTATTTTCTCTTATCCCATCCCATTATCTATACTGACTATATTTCTTAGTTCCCAAGGAAGAAGACAGTTTCACACTGGATTTGACTTCACAGAAACACTGTAAGATTAAGACATTAAACCCTGAGTGAAGGAATTATTTGCAAATGGAAAGAAACACTTAAAATTTTTAATAGTGTTTTCCTTGAAATAGAAGTTATTTTCTCCTCAAGTTAGTACTATATTTGCATTTGTAATTTAAAAATTATTTTTTAAAAAAGCTGACAGGATTTATAACTGAAAAAGAAGTAAATGTTCTAGAGTTCAGTATGCCATGGTATATCTTTCGTTTAAATAAAATATGGAAAAGGTTATATTAATAAAGAAAAGAAAGAACTACATTGATAGAGAAACTAAAAACCATGTTTCATGAGGCTACATTTAGCACTCCTCTCTCTTGGTAGTGAGTAGTATTTTTAATGATGAATTTTTCACCATTAATTGTCTTTCTCCAAAGAAATGGAAAAAAGTAAAATATGTCTTTTTAGAGGGAATAGCTTCTCTCTTGGCCTCAATTTTCCTTTGCTTTTTTTCTCTTTCAAGCCTAGGAAAATTTCTAGGGCAGTCCAAACATCAGCTTGGGGAAAAAAGGTCATATTGCAGAGCTCTAGAGTTGGGAAAGAGACTTCCGAGTCTAAGGGAAATAACGGACGGCTCCTCGATTTTAATGCCCCACCTTCACCTGTTTCTCCCTCCAAAAAAGAAAATAAACAAATAAAAATAAAAGGAGACTGAAATTCATATACCTGAGAAAATAATTTGAAAACAAAATGCCATTAGAGGACACTAAATAAAATGTAAAAATAAAGAGAATTTATTCTTACATTTTGTGGTTGTGAATTTTAGTTTTCTTTATAAAATGTGATGAGTTTTGTTATTTGATTATACATACCGCCAGAAATTCTTTAAGACGGTCTTCAATGCTTCCTTTGTGAATTGTAAACAAAGCTGCAGCAATCTGGTTGATGGCTTTGGCCAAGCAATGTATGTTGTTGCAATGCCCTGAGAAAATGCAAATAGGGTTGTGTAGACCCCAAAATAGCAAATAATACATAGAAGGCAAATCTTTAATGACTTCACAATCTGCATAAATAGGGGCATAATTAAGAGTAGAGTTGGGACATGACCGGACTTGCTCTCCTTTGACTTTCATGAACACTGATGTTTTTAAAACTAGTTTAACAGGAGAGTAACAAACGATCGTGTATATGTTAAACAGGCAAACACTTCTGAAAACATCTAAAAGAAATCACACATCAGTTTTATAGTAGCTCGGAAATAAAAAGGAAGTGCTTAGCTGCTTTACAACATTTTACCATTCAATCCTTAAAATAATCCTATGAGTTGGATAATCCCTCACCGACCTCTACACACATTCAGGCACACATGAGCTTACTTACACACATTTCATATATCAGGAAACTGCAGTTTAGGAAAAGGGAAACAGACTACCCCATGTTCCACTGCCAGTTAGTGGCAGAACTTAACTCATATTTTATTATAAAATACCAAAACCCATGATTTATTCATCGCCAAAACAATTTTAAACCACTATTACCTTCTATAGCAGGGCTGTACTGAGACATCACATTACTGGCCAGTGTTGGCAAAGAAACTGCCACAAACACCATGAGAAGGCAGGCAATTTTATACTCTTCTTCTGGACTAATGTTTTCTAAGAGACAAAAATTAAGAATAAAATCAAGGTATTTCTTCAAGATTAGTTAAGATTTGATAATCTAAACTAAACAGATTTTTATTTTAAAAATGGTTTACTTTTTTTTTTGAAATAGTAAACTATTTTACTAGCATTCTATAGAATTGGTCACAATTTTGTTATAAAAATATAAAGTAGAAACAGTTTATATTACAATGGACTATTATCAACTACTTAGGCATATTTCAAGGACGTCTGATAAAACAGTAAGGTAAGATTTTATTTTTTTTAATTGTAAGATTATAGAACAAAAAATACAGTTAGGATAACTGCAATCCTACAATTTCCTAATTGAAAACTAATGAGGAATTATTACTTTATGAGACAGTTCTATTTACAATTTAGAAAACTTATAAATTATTCTGCAAAATCACCAAAAAAATCTTAATTACTTTTTGAAAGAGATATGAATATAATTTGAAATTTACTATTTAAAAGACATAAATGTGGAAAGTGGAATGGGTTTTCAACCTCTCTATTTTAGAAGACAGAAGAAACTAGTCATGAATAAAAGAAGACAGAAGAAGACAGAAGAAACTAGTCATGAATAAAAATACCCAGCATTGCTCTAAAGCTTTCAAGACATAACCCTTTCTAAAACATTTATTGTGATATGCACTCAAATTGTGGGTTATTTAGGCTACTAATCACCATTAGATATAATTAAGAATTGAATGTAAGAAAAGAGCTGAAATATGTTTTAAAGATTTGGTCGACTACAAAAAATACAGCTGTAGCAAATCAAGTAATAATTATAATTATCCATGTGACTAAATGTAACATACTGTATGAATGAGGAAACAAAATTGCATTGTTAAATGAAAAAAAAAAAAAAACTGATGAACTCAAACACCATGCTGCTGCCTCAAGGAGGCAGAAGGGGCATTTTAGTAGTAGAAAGAGATGAAATGCTATATTTACTTTGTAGACAAATCAAGAAATATCTACAGGATTCTGAGTACTGCATTTCTAAGGGCTGGTCTTAAAAATTTCTAAATGTTTTATATAAAACTCTTGATGGTGAATAACTCTAGTACAATAAAAACAGAATACCCTTTCCTAGATCTCAATTTTTTGCTATCTACTGGACCATCTCCCATTAGCATACAAATGCTGTAATCTCCTCCATCTTAAAAAAATCCTTCTCTTGACTTTGCTCTTGCCTCCAGCTGGTGAGATTTTATTTCTTTGCTTCCCTTTACAATAGAACTCTTTGAGTTGTCTTCTAGTTATCTCCAAATCCTTTCCTCCTGTTCTCCCTTAATCTCCCTTACTCACTACTCAGCCTTTTGCCCATAAAACCTCACTGACACTGATCTTGTTAGTACCACCAATTAACTCTACATAGCTGATCATTTCCTTTCTATCTTCCTGGAAGCTACCCTTTCCTGGTTTTTCTTCTACTTCATTGGTCCTTTCTTCTCAATTTCTCTAAATTTCTTTTTTCGTGGTTTTTCCTTTTCTCCCTGAGCTCTTAAATCTTAGAATGGCTCAAGGCTCAGACCTGGATCCTCTTCACTGCTGCATCTATATACACTAAATGGCTCAGTAATCTCAACCAATCTTAAGTTCCAGAAGGGTGATGTTTGTGTTTTATGCACTGATATAGTCCAAGTACCAGCAATAATAATAACAAATTTAAAAAGCTGAACACAAAGCAGGCATTTGAATATATGGTTAAATATCATACCTATACCTATGCTGCCCTGGTAACTTTAACTAAGAGTATTAAATATTTACTAATGCATTTTACCCGATTTTTGTGAAGAAAGAGCTACGACCAATGCAGGATCAATCTCACAAGGTAATCCGGCAGCTGATGATAACTCATACACATTCATTGCAACCTGATAAAAACAAAAGAATTACAGAGCAATAAATAGTCTAACAAATTTCTGAGAAAGCTCACTGTTTATTAGAGTCTGCCTAGAAGAACACCAGAGAATTTCGGAAACTTGGCTGAAGCAGAAACTACAGCAAAACTAAGTATACTGAACAACTGATTCAATGTAGGTTGAATACTGTGAGGTGCTGCTGGTTCTAACTTCCTACTGCTAGGCCAAACAAAACTTGTATACTTTCTGTGGCACATTCCAACAGGATAATTCTAAAGTTATCACTTTGCTTGGAAGCATGAATATAAAATATCAAGTCAGAAAAGATGAATAAATGAACAAAGTGAATCAATATTACTAGACCTGTGTTTATCTCCATAGTGGTTTAATGAAAAATTATAGTGGTTCAATGTCTAATCATATCGTATCTATAAATATAGCAAATTACTTATAATAGTTTTTTTAAGGAGTATTCATTTAAAAATCTGATAAGGGAATTTCTAATAACGAAAGTAATTTTTCTGTATCACATATAGATTTCAAATATTCAAGGCATTCTGACTGCTCAATAACCTCAGAAGAAAGCTATCTATATAACTGGTTACCTCTGATATTGCGACAAAAAACCTTAGTATAAAATACGAAGTAAAATAGTATAGCTTAGAAAAACTGGGAACATGGCAGGGATTAAGTTCTAGATTAAAATGTTTGTAATCTATTACTCACTTCACACACAAAAATTAACTCAAAATAAATCATAAACCTAAATGTAAGAGCTAAAACTGTAAAACGCTTAGAAAAAAATATAGGCACAAATCATCATGACACTGCATTAGGCAATGGTTTCTTAGACTGACACCAAAAGCACAAACAAACCCCCAAAAACAGATAAAATGGACTTCATTGAAACTAAAAGACATCATCAACCTATAGAATTAGAGAAAAGATTTGCAAATCATGAATCTGTTAATGGACTTGTATCCAAAACATATGAAGAACTCACAAATAGAAAAAGACAACCCAATTTAAAATGTCAAAGGCTTTGAATGGTTATTTCTCCAAAGAAGATATAGAAATAACCAGTAAACATATGAAAACATGTTCAACATAATTTGCCATCAGGAAAATGCAAATATAAACAATGAGATGCCACTTCACACTCACTAGATGGCTATGATTAAGAACACAGACAATTACAAGTATTAGTGAAGATGCAGAAAAAATGAAACCCTCATACAATGCTGGTAGGAATGCAAAATGACACACCCAATTTGAAAACAGTTTAGCAGTTCCTCAAAAGGCTAAACATACAGTTTTCATATGACCCTGCAATTCTCTCCTGGTATATATTCAAGAGAAATAATACACGTTCACACATTAAAAACTTGTACACGGATGTTCACAGTAGCAGTGTTTCTAATAGCTAAGAAGTGAAAACAACCCAGATGTCCATCAATTGATGTGAATAAACAAAATGTTGTATACCCATACAATGAAACATTATTCAACAATCATTAAAAAAAGTACTGATATATGCTGTAATATGTATGAATCCTGAAAATATGCCAAGTGAAAGAAGCCAGTATCAGAAGACTACACATGATGATTTATGTAAGTGTCCAAAGTAGGCTAATTTAAACAGAAAGTAGATTAGTCGTTGCCTAGGGCTGGGGATGGGGGAGAAGTGGAATGGGGAGTGACTGCTAATGGGTACAAGGCTTCTTTTTGGGGATGATGAAAATGTTCTAAAACTGACTTTAGTGATGGTTGAACAACTCTGTCACTACACTAAAAACCACTGAATTGTGCATTTTAAATGAGTAAATTTTCTGATAGGTGCGTTATAACTCAATAAAGCTGTTTAAAAACATGTTTTTGTTTTTTGTTGTTTTTTTTTTTAAAAGTTAAGTTCTATTGAAAGTTTGCTGGAAACTAAACATGATTATGTCAGGTGAAAAGTGAATGGTTGCTCAGAATATTAATTAGAATTCTTATAATTCTGCACATCAGTGTCTTCTCAAGAACTGATTAGTTTTTGTCTCCTTAACTTTATTTTTTCTGCAGTGTTTCCACTTAGGAAATCATTTTGAGCTATTTGTACATAGTTTTCAATCATAGAATCACAAGACAATCACTGATCTCAAATGTTTATTCTGCACAAAACACTGTAAGAGAAACAACAGCAACAACACCAAAAAAACAAAGTCTGGGTCTTCAAGATATATACCATTTGGTATAAATATAAGTAGAAAAATAGAATTATAATACAAGGCAGATTATATTCAACTCCACAGGAGATAAACAAGTTCTCTGATAACACTAAGAAAGAAGAAGTTCTTTATCATTGGAGAATCTAGGAATGGTTCTTAGAAAATGGCAATTGAATCAAGCCTTAAAATACAGGCAGGATTTCAAAAGGCAGAAAGAGAAAAGGTTGGTATTTTCAAGTAGAATAAATTAGAAGGTAAAACAGATAGATGTGAGAATGCAACAGAAAGATCTAGTTAGCTCACAGAATACCATATAAAAAGAGGGACAGAGTAAGAAAGAGAGTGAGAGAAGGAAGAAAGAAGTGGCAGAAGATAAGCCTCAAAAAGTTTGAGTGGCACCACATTTTTTTTTTTTTTTTTTTGGAGACGGGAGTTTTGCTCCTGTTGCCCAGGCTGGAGTGCAGTGGCGCAATCTCAGCTCACCACAACCTGCACCTCCTGGGTTCAAGAGATTCTCCTGCCTCACCCTCCCGAGTAGCTGGGATTATAGGCATGCACTGTCACGCCTGGCTAATTTTGTATTTTTAGTAGAGATGGGGTTTCTTCATGTTGGTCGGGCTGGTCTCGAACTCCTGACCTCAAGTGATCCACCCACCTTGCTCAGGTGATCTGCCCACCTCGGCCTCCCAAAGTGCTGGGATTAGAGTCTTGAGCCACCATGCCCAGCCTGAGTGGCACCAATTTCAGAAGAGTCTTGGTGTCATACAAAGGAGTTTAGACACTATTTTTTTCAGTCGGTGTTTTTCAAGATATGTGAAACAGAAACAATCTCTCTAAGAAATGTGTCAGCTTAGAAAACACAAATGTAAACCCCGATATATCACTTACTAGATGTATAACCACTGGTCAATCATTACTAGGATTAGATCAATAGTTGGATTTCATGGCTCAATAGATTTTCAAAACAAAAACTGTAAGCTCACAGAAGTCTGCCAACCTGCTGTTTTATATATATATTACATATAATAGAATACTAAAAATCTTTTTAAAATTACAGCCTACAATTACATCCTTTTATAAGAAATGACTTAACATCTATCTTAAACTTATTGAATTTCATTGTATTTAAAACGACTATTATTTCATTGCTTCATCTTTCTTTTTTTTTTGAGACGGAGTCTCATTCTGTTGCCCAGGCTAGAGTGTAGTGGCAAGGTCTCAGCTCGCTACACGCTCCGCCTCCCAGGTTCACACCATTCTCCTGTCTCAGCCTCCCGAGTAGCTGGGACTACAGGCACCCGCCACCACGCCTGGCTAATTTTTTTTTTTTTTTTGTATTTTTAGTAGAGATGGGGTTTCACCGAGTTAGCCAGGATGGTCTTGATCTCCTGACCTCGTGATCTGCCAGCCTCGGCCTCCCAAAGTGCTGGGATTACAGGCGTGAGCCACCGTGCCTGGCCACCTCATCTTTCTTAATTTTCTTTATCACCATGTATAAACAGCTATCCATTTAAGGAAAAAAAAAATCTATTTTTAGTCAATTTTGCATTGCTATAGGTGATCAAAGAAGACTGACTTTCAAAATGCCTAGGTAGTATTTTGGTGCTGAGCTCTCAAAGATTCAATTACAAAGGCAAGCATGCTAACTAACCACTCTAAACTAGAAACCTTACAGTAGTTTAGGATTTATTACATTTTCTTGCATATGTAATTTAAATATTTCGCTTTAGAGACTGTAAACCCCAACTATAAATTATATTATTACCTTCATATCAGTTTCCCTTGGAATGTGATCCTTAAAATCTTCAATTGAACTTACAAGAAAAGGAATGTGGTAGGATAAGACCTAGGCAGGATAACAAATAAGAATACAGAATTATTTTTAAATGGCAACCCCTAAATTTACAAAATATTACCAATTGATTAATTTTAGTTTTCATAAAAATTATTTTACTTTATCTACTTTCAGTGATTTTTCAAAAATTTCAAGACATATGAAAATTAAATGGATTCAAAATAATTCAATATTAAAGCCAGTATAGTCAAAATTGAAAATACTCTACTGATAATGAAGATCACTGAAAAAGTAGTGCAATAACCACGCAAGTTATACTCTGCAAGCAGCAGTACCAAAACAAAAAATGAGCTTAAATAACTAATTTTATGTATGTTATTTTCTGTAACTACTAAAACTGGAATTTTAATTATATCATTGCTAAGCATGAATCTGAAACTTAACTTTAAATTTCTGAGAAATTAAAAGGGATTGTTTGGATACCGAGTATATACTTGTAATGGTTTCTTACATCTCTAAGTGCTTCTTGTGCCAATGATCGGAAGGATAAAATTACACCAATTATTGTCATCCTCTTCAAGACACTGTCAACAGCTAAATTCAAAGAAACAGAAGGAGAAGAGAATAAAAAAGTGTGAACTGGATTCTTTCTTAAACTTGGAAAAAAATCTAAATTTATTAAAGTAATAAAATTCCCATGATAAAAGGCACAATTAACAGTAATTTGATTACAATAATGATTAAAGAGAGAAAGATGTTGATAGCTGATATTTAAACTGGTTAAACTTTTAAGTAACTATAGTTTCCATCAAATGGAGTATATTGTGCTCTTTCATATGAGTTAGATGGTTCACAAGTAGCTAACTATAAATTATATTTATAATATAACTTTATATAAATTATATTACTACCTTCTGAAACCCTATTTCAGAAAAGGTAGGGGCAGAAAGAAGGGAAGCGAGACTAGATGAGAAAGAAGCTGATCAGAGTGAACAGGAGTTAAATCCTCAAGCGGCCCAGGAACTCAGCAGTGCTAAATTCTTAAATTGTTAAGGTCTTGAGTTAAGAAACAAAAAATGCCTGTTGAGAACACATGCAGTTTTGGCAGGACCAGTTTGCTGAAGCTGAACAGATTTGATCACTTACATATTGGTTAGAGAGCATTATTCTAAAAATTATTAATAGATTTTCAAGGCTGAGCATGGTGGTTCACATCTGTAATCCTAGCATTCTAGGAGGCTGAACCGGGAAGATTGCTTGAGCCCAGGAGTTCACAAGCACCCTGGGCAACATAGCAAGACCCTGTCTCTACAAAAAATAAAAAAAAATCAATCGGGTGTGGGGGCATGAGCCTGTGGTCCTAGTACTTGGGAGGCTAAGATGGGAGGATCCTTTGAGTTCAGGAATCAGAGGTTGCAGTGATCATGCCACTGCACATCAGCCTGGGTAAAGGAGCAAGACCCCATCTCTAAAAAAAAATAAAACTCTGTTAACAAAGTAGGATTGGAAGGGTCAATATGATGGTTCAATACCTTCACATTTTATAAAGCCAAAACAAACATTTATTGCACGCCATATACAAAGCCTTACACTGTGTAGTAAAAGAAGAAATATAAACAGAATAATGACCTAGACCTCGAATAGCAGACAGTCTAAATGGGCTGTCATGAAAACTAAGAAATATAATTCCATTTATGTAAACTAAAAAAGATATATATACAGACCTATATTTGTATATACATAACAAATTTCTGGAAAGAGATGTATATACTACAGTAACTGTTAAAGTTACTAGTTGAGGAGTAGGAATAGAGAGAAGTGTTTTATTTTAACTTTCTACCTTCTGTGTAGCTTGTTTAAACTTTGACCATAGCATCTTTCACTAAACCATACAAATAGGCCTAATATAAGCCAAATATGAATTAAAAGTCATGTTAACAAAATGATATAAGGCGCAAATTTATTAAAAATTCCATGTGAGCAGGAACTACTCTTAATCTTCTCATCTACCTGTAGCACTCAGCACAGTGTCTGATACCCAGATGACCAGTAGATATTCAATTAAATGGTAATTCAAGATGAGACTAGGTTGGGTGGCTGAGGCGGGTGGATCACTTGAGGTCAGGAGTTCAAGACCAGCCTGGGCAACATGGTGAAACCCCAACTCTACTAAACATACAAAAATTAGCCAAGCCTGGTGGCACGTGCTTGTAGTCCCAGCTACTCGGGAGACTGAGGCAGGAGAATGTCTTGAACCCAGGAGGCGGAGGCTGCAGTGAGCCAAGATCTCGCCACTGCACTCGAGCCTAGGCAACAGAGCAAGACTGTCTCACAAAAAAAAAAAAAAAAAAAAAAAAAAAAAGATTCACACTAGAAATAACAACAGACAAGATTCAGTGTGATATAGCCATATATTTTCCAAAGTATGTTACCCAGAAATTAATCAAGTTCTCAAAGACTATACCCTACAACCTCATCTTGAATGTGTACAATAATGACACATTAAAAGTTCTAAGATACTTCACAGTAAGAAACACTGCTTAATGTATTGTGTAATGGATTATTTGCCAAACCATTTGACCACTGGCACTTCCCTTCACCCCACATAACATCCACTAACTTCCCAAGGAACTAACTCTAGAACAGAGGCTATGTGGGTCTTGGACCAGGCAAACAAATAGGTAGTGGGGGACAGAGAGGGAGGTAATGCCAGTCAATTATTTCATTAATCCAAATAATAGCTTTTGAAGGTCATGCTAAGGAGTTTATACTGTATCCTTCAAGCAATGAGGGTGTTGTTCAGGGTTTTCAAAATATAAAGAGTTATACGAAAAGAATTCTATTTAAAAATGACTCTTCCCATTTAAAAAATAATGACCCAAATTAAAAAAAAAATTAATGTAGCATAGGGCCAAACAATGTATACCTTTGGACCAAATGTGACACACCAATTTGTAAACTCTCATCTATAAGACATAGCTACTGCACATGGAATATGAGGAGTGAAAGAATCAGAGAGGATGCCCAAGTTTTCCAGTGTGAGTCAATGGATAGATGGTGAGAGAGGTAACAAAATAGTCAATAAAGAAAACATCAGGTTTTTTCTCCCCACCTACTTATACCTGCCATGGAAGAGATACTTCCCATTCCAGGGACGTTGTGAAAAACCTGTGGGTCATATAGCTGAAAATATTTAACACAATGTTTCTAAACTTTTGTATGATTCCAAATGACCCCGAGGACTTGTTAAAACACAGACTGCTGGGCCTCAGCCCCAGAGATCTGAGTCAGCAGGTCTGAGGTGGGGCCCAATAATTTACATGCTTAACAAATTCCCAGGTGGTGCTGTTACATGTCCCTGGGTTATACTTTGAGAAGCCCCGGTCAAACTAGTACTTGGTATTAAACATCTGGAGATCAATAGAAGAGAGTTAAGGCTGAAGATAAATATTGGATAAGGGAAGAGAAAATTTGGGATAAAATTTTTCCAATAGTATTGCAGAGTAAAAATGGAAGAGTAAGATATCACAAGCTGACACTACATAAAAGATGAACCTGCAAAAACGACGAAGAGTAGAGATAAAAGTATTGGCAAATAAAGAAAATAAAGCTTTAATAAAAAGGAGAATAAAAGAGATAAACACGACAGAGAAATAAACAGAATGAGAGTTGAGGAAAAAGCACCAAATCTTGCAAATGAGTAGTCACCAACAAACTTTCAGAAAGGTTTCAGGAAAGTGGACATATTACAGCACACCAAGAGTGGACAGGTGGGACAATCAAACAGTGCATACAAACTAGTCAAAAAGTTTCAAAGTAAGACAGGTGGTAAGATGAAAAAGAGGCCAGTTTAACGACAGACTTAAAAAGTGTTATTTCACAAGCAGTACTTGGCTTTCAGGGTGCAGGAGACTTTCTAGGGATCAGGAAAACTGCTTTGTGGGAATGAATGTAGCAAAAACTCAAGGGTATGACAGCATAAGGGAGAATGCACTAACCAAATTTCATAGTCCAGAATGGATAAAATATGTAAAGCCAGGAATAGGTGATCAGGAAAGCTGAGAGGCATAAAAGTTTCAATGAGCCAGAACAAGGAGTTCAATAGGTGTAAAGGAATGGGAGAGCTAGAAGACATGGCTGTGATCTGAGAGTTGAATTTCAAAGTTCAAGATTTTTACTGGTGGAACAATTTCAGGAAATAATAACATCCAAAGTACTGCTAAAGTAAAGATCTTCAGAGGCAACTTATAGGTTTGTAGATGATGGCAGAAAGGTATGTGAATAGAATGAGTTTTCGAAAGAAAAAATTGCTGTAGGAAAACTAGAAATATTTTTAGTCTGGAATTAGGGAGTCAGTAAAGCGATGAACCTAGTCCCAAGAAACAGAATGTCAGAGAATAAAAAAATATTAAACAGACATAAGGAGATTTGCCCAAGTCACATAGAAGTCTTAAAACTGATAATAAGGCCAGGCACGGTGGCTCACGCTTGTAATCCCAACACTCTAGGAGGTCGAGGAGGATGGATCACTTGAGGTCAGGAGTTCGAGACCAGCCTGGACAACACTGTGAAACCCCATCTTACTAAAAATACAAAAATTAGCCGAGTGTGGTAGTGCATGCCTGTAGTCCTAGTTACTTGGGAGGCTGATGCAGGAGAATTGGTTGAACCAGGAGGTGGAGGTTGCAGTGAGCTGAGACTGTGTCATTACACTTCAGCCTGGGCACCAGAGCAAGGCTCCGTCTCAAAAAATTTAAAAATAAAAATAGATAAAATAAAATAAAAATAAACTAATAAATTCCAGATTGCCTCCCAATTCAGACCTACTTTTAATTAATCATAATGCTTTATCTTTTAAAAAGAATGTGCTTGTTGACTGTGAAAAACTCCTTCAAAAACACATTGACTTCTGGATATGGACATGGGGAGAAGGAAGCACAAAAGAATTAAAAAAAAGAGAAAGTTTTGGAAAACAGTTCAATTGCTGAAAAAATAGTTCTCTCTACTCTCCTAAATGAGTCACTCTCAAGTGAATCGTTTCTTTTTCCAAATTATAGAAAAGATTTAATAAATTCTATTTAAAGACAAATTTGATTTATATGGGTCATTAACATTCAACAATTTAGATTTTGGTTTTGGCCAATTCCAAAATGGCCAATGAGTTAGAGGTAATGAGTCACCATTAATTATTATACACAAAATTCAAGTAAGCAGAATCTTGACAAACGACTATGAATTTTATTTTGAAAACTTGCAAATTCTGTTTGGAATTTTAACAAATTCCATTGTTTCAATTCCACAAATGAGAGTTAAATAAAGTACTGAACACTGCAGCGGATTATTTGCTTCTAATTAGATGGAACAGTCAAAAGACTGTTAGTAGGAAAGTAAATAGGGTTAAGGCCAATGGGGTTGTCAAATGAGTATTAAAAAATGGGAGAAAACATGAAAAAAACAAAACTAATAAGAATAAAGGAGTAGAAAATATAAGTAGCTAGTAAACCAATGTACAATAACAAAAGAAAGATCAGGAGAGTTTTAAAAACTAATTTCCTACTTATTCATACTCCTCCCTATAATGCTACCACGTCTATTTTTTTGTTTTTTAAAGTATCATATAATAAAAATGACCTTTTCTTTTCCTTTTGGTATACAGCTCCATTTTTTTTTTCTTTGAAATAGAGTTTTGCTCTTGTCGCCCAGGCTGTAGTGCAATGGTGCTATCTCAGCCGACTGCAACCTCCATCTCCCGGGTTCAAGCAATTCTCCTACCTCAGCCTCCTGAGTAGCTGGGATTATAAGCATGTGCCACCATGCCTGGCTAATTTTTGTATTTTTAGTAGAGACAGGGTTTCAATATGTTGGCCAGGCTGGTCTGGAATTCCTGATCTCAAGTGATCTGCCTGCCTTGGCTCCCAATGTGCTGGGATTACAGGCCTGGGCCACCACACCCAGCCCCAAATGTTATCATGTACAGATCTGTGTTACCACTATGTAACACACAGTGATATGTGTCGTATGACACATATGATAGATTTGTATCACCACTATGGTGAACAGTTTCATCACCCTAAAAATCTCCCTCATTGCTTTCCCTTTATAGTCCTGGCAACCACAGATCTGTCCTATAAGGTAATCTTTAATTTTTATTCAATAAGAATTAAATAAGTTTTACAGGATAAAATAGCCTAATAAAGTGATTCTCTAAAGCATTTAAGAGAAAAATGTCAAATATGAAGTATGTTAAATACATGTATGGCTTTAGTTTTCTTCTGGATTATTTTTTGTTTAGGAACATAAACTTGTTCTCTGGCTTTCTCAAATACAAAGAATATTTTATTTGGGATTTCATTTTTTTTTTTTAGTGTTGAGAAGGCTTTTAAATTAACCAAGAAGTATGACTTTAAAATAATTTTTCATTGTAACTTTAACAGTTCAAGTAAAAAAAGCAAAAGAAAATAACATTAGATCAAGTATATCTAAAACAGTTATCTGCTTGAACACACTTTAATACTTAAGATTCACTGTGATTTCACAATATACCTCCCACAAAGAATCAATGTCAAGAAGACATTACAATTTTTTTTTAAGTTGTAGGTTCAGGTTTTCATCAATCTTAGCTAATAACAAAAAGAAACAAATTACTGATCACTTAACAACATGGATGAATAAATCTCAAAAACATTATGCTAAGTGAAAGAGGCCAGACACAAATTTAATCTATAGTGACAGAAATAAGATCAGTGGTTGTTTGGCCTGGGGCCAGAGACTGGGGTAGGAGACCAACTACAAAGAGATAGCAAACAATTTTTCAAACTGATGGAACTGTTCTATATCTAGACTGTGGCAATGGTTATATGAATGCATCCATCTGTCAAAATCCAAAATACCGTTTGCTTAAATGGTACATTTTATTGTATGTAACTTATACGTATAAAGTTGATTTTTAGAAAGTTAACAGGCTCAGAAGCTAATCCTTTTAGTCTAAATTAATGTAGATTTACTGTATTAAATTTAATGGGTTCAAAACCAAATTGATACTGGTAATATTCATGAACTAGCGACACATAGTAGACTAAGAGTATGGTTAAGAAAAATTGTGAAACAGATAAGCCACACACACACTTATATGATCCTTTGACTGCAAAAATGTTCTAGTTCTCTTCATAAGCTAAAGAGTACTTTTCATAATTTACTACTTGTATTTATGTTACAAATTTTGAGCCAAAGCTAAATACTGAGTATCAAGATCTTCTTATGTTTATAAAAAGTATCATGAGTTACCCACATGATAATCTTTTAAACAGTGCAGCCATCTGGTCTGGTTTGTCAAAGCTGGTCCTCATTTGTGTTAACACATCAACATTCTCCACCACAAGTTTCTAAAAAAAAAAGAAAGATCCTAGGTCAGGCACAGACCTCTTTGTGTTAATGAGATAAGAGCATGCTTGGAAATTACAATCTGGCAAGTAGGAAACACAATTCATGAAATCCAGACGCTCTATGCTACATATATTTTTTTGTTGTTTCAATAAAAGCATCTGAAAATTATTTATATAAGCTTAGTGTTTCCCTTCAGTTTACAAATTCAAGAAGGAAGGAGTTCAGGAAAAGCAACAAAGGTAAGTAGTAGGATAAAGAATCATCTTATGCTTACTTAGACGCTGAACGGCATCAATAATAAAAAGTAGACACTAAAATGGACATAGCAACAAATTCCAACTGAAACAAAAAAACTAGCTAAAGTTAAACCTGGCCAAAGGCAGGCTAGAGTATGCCTGTAGACAATGAGTATTACTGGATACATACAAGTAGAGGGAGAATGACTTGTTATGGTATGGTACCACTTGATGGGGATTATATAATAGTAATGTTTCCCAACAAAAATTATAAAATGGAAGTATAAACTATCTACTCCTCTTTCACAGACCACTGAGAAAAGGGAAGAGAAAAGAAGGAAGAGATATAAATAAGGGAAGGGTGTGAAGGATAACTATTCAAGAAAAGTATAACTCATTGAAGAATGTTCTCCTCAAAAGAAACATTACAAAGTAATTTAAAAATTATAACACAAATGTAATTAATTTCATTCTGTCAGAGATAAGCCTAGACAACAATAAACCGAGTTTCTAAAACAACAAAGAGAGAAGTGAGAGAGACATTCTGCTCTTTGTTGCAGTTACCTGTGCGGTCTGCTTTCACCACTAAGTTCACCACTATCACACTTCCCAGTTCTTTCACAATGTAAGTGAAGTTTATAATTTAATTTCTGATCTCTATATCTCTACAAAGTTCTTGTAAATCAGAATTTTCTTTACTTTTGTTCTCTATAATGGTTCTCAGCCCTTGTACACATCACAATCACCTGTGGTGCTCTTTCCAAATACACATATCCATTGCTTCATTCTTGGTTATTTCAATTCAGCAGACCTGGTTGGGAAGGTGCAGCAAGCATATAAAGTGCCATGGTGTTTTTTACAAACGAAAGGTTGATAACATCTGATTTAAGGGAAAAAAACTACACAGAAAATCCATAAAAATACTTTTTTTGAAAACATTAGTATAAGTTTTGTTTAGGTTGCTTGATGTTATTACTTCAGATTGTTTCTTATTATGCTGCTAATCAGAAGTTAAGCTCTAGTCACATTTATTTGCTGAATTTAACTTCTATGGTCTCTGATTAGGCTGCCTGCTCTCTCTGGGCCAAAACAAAACTCTCCAAATCTAAAACTGGATTCAATACACACTCAAACTCTATGCCCAAGCCTGATAGTGACCATGCACTTTAAACATCGTATCACATATCAGTGAATCAACACCATCGAATTTAAAATGCACCTTATTCTATGTGTCACTAAAAGGAAAAAAAAAACCCAACTACTAACACTATAAGATACATACCATTTCAGAAATACTGATATATGTTTAATAATAAGAGCAATTATAACCATTTGTTAAGCTCTTATACAAGGTAACTTATAATCATATTTACTATAATCCAATTAAGGTAGGTAATATTCCAAGTTTACAGCTGAGGAAACTAAGGTCAGAGAAGTTGGATAACTTGCCCAAAGTTACAGTGATATTCAACAGTTAATTTGGAATTTGAATTCGGGTATGTCTCACTTTAAAATCCATGTTCTTAATCCCTAAAGAAATGGTTCCCCATCTTTTGTGCGCATAAAAATTCTCTAGAGAACTCCTTACAAACACACATTGCTGGGTCCCAGCCCCAGAATTTCTGATTTAGCAGGTCTGAGACAGAGAACAAAAACCTGCATTTTTAACCAGCTCCAAAGTAATGCTTCTTCTGCTGGTCTGAGAAGTAAAATTTGTGAACCATTACCCTAAATTATTTGCTGGCTTACTATTTTTGCTCTCTATAAAGTTATTGATTAATCTCACTGATGAATAAACTGAAAGCTGGCAGTAATAATAGGAATTACCAATGAAATGGTTTAGAATAAGTTTAGACAAAGCAAGTGAAATAAATCAAGATTTTTTTTAAAAAAAAGTTTGATATAATTTAGTTGGTATTGTGTTAAAAAGAAAGTGTTAAATTCTTGGCAAAATTCATATTTAAATTTCCTACTTCATTTGAAAAAATGTCCTTTAGGATCCCATGAAGAACTAGAAGAACTGATCTGTAAAATGCCAAAACAATTCTTTTGGCAGACTGGAAGGAGAAATGGACTCAACGCGCACAACCCCAAATAAAACACCCAAGAATTTTCGTAGAAAAAAAGACGGTTGCTTTCTTCTCCTGAAAGGAATAAACATGTTTCACCATAAGTACACGTACATAGTGTTGATTATGTCTGACACACAATTTATTCACAACCATCAAATATAAAAAAGCTCTACTTCTTTAATTAGCACACAAATTACCCTATAAAACAAAAAGGTCCTCGGCTAAAACAGGAACTAAAATAATTAAGATCACCTTTAAGATAAAAAGAAAAAGATTGAATCAAATGATACTTAGTTTATATCAGTTTAGATTAAATATTTTAAAAATGGAAATAAAAGCAAAGAAGTGGCCAGGCATGGTGACTCACACCTGTGATCCTAGCACTTTGGGAGGCCAAGGTGGATGGATCACCTGAAGCCAAGAGTTTGAGACCAGCCTGGGCAACACAGCAATATTTCGTCTCTACAAAAAACTTTAAAAGGCTGGGCGTGGTGGCTCACACCTGTAATCTCAGCACTTTGGGAGGCCGAGGTGGGCGGATCACCTGAGGTCAGGAGTTTGAAACTAGCCTGTCCAACATGGTGAAACACCACCTCTACTAAAAATACAAAAATTAGCAAGGCGTGGTGGCAGGCACCTGTAATCCCAGCTACTCGGGAGGCTGAGGCAGGAGAATCGCCTGAACCCGGGAGGCAGAGGTTGTAGTGAGCTGAGATTGTGCCATTGCACTCCAGCCTGGGTGACAAGAGCGAGACTGTCTCAAAAAATAAAAAACAAAAAAAAAGCTTAAAAAAAAAGTAGGCACAGTGGTACACGCCTATATTTCTCAGCTACTCAGGAGGGTGGGCCCAGGAGTTGGAGGCTGCAGTGAGCTATGAACGTGCAACTGCACTCCAGACCAGGTGACAGGGAGACCCTGTCTCTTAAAAAAGAAAGAAAGAAAAAAAAACCAGCAAAGAAATTACAGAATGATCTTTAAAATATTACAATTCCCCCCAAAACACAAAACACTGTATATACTAACTCCAAAAAGACTAAGATGCTATTAGAGATATCACAATGTTCTGCTGAGGAGAGTGTGAACTACAATATTTTCAGAGGGATATTTGGTAATATCAAAAAAAATTAATGTTCATATTCTTTGATCCACTTTTAGAAATGTTTCCTATCAAAATGCTCAAACATGCTGGTGAGGTTGCAGAGAAAAAGAAATGCTTTATGCACTGCTGATGGGAATGTAAATTAGTCCAGCCACTGTGAAAAGCAGTTTGCAGATTTCTCAAAGAACTTAAAACAGAATTACTACTCAACCCAGCAATCTCATTACTGGGTATATACCCAAAGGAATATAAATCATTCTAACATAAAGACCCATGCATGTGTATGTTCACTGAAGCACTATTCACAACAACAACAAAAAGACATGGAATCAACCTAAATGCCCATCGACAATAGACTCAATAAAGAAAATGTGGTACATATATATCATGAACTACTACACAGTCATAAATAAGAATGAGATCATGTCCTTTGCAGCAACATGGATAGAGCTGGAGACCATTATCCTAAGGGAATTAACACAGAAAGAGAAAACCAAACACCTCACATTTTCACTTAAAAATGGGAGCTAAACATCAAGTACACATAGATAGTGCAGTGGCTCACGCCTGTAATCTCAGCATTTTGGGAGGCTGAGGTGGGTGGATCACGAGGTCAGGAGATCGAGACCATCCTGGCTAACACGGTGAAACCCCGTCTCTACTAAAAAATACAAAAAATTAGCCAGGCGTGGCGGTCGGCGCCTGTAGTCCCAACTACTCAGGAGGCTGAGCCAGGAGAATGGCGTGAACCTGGGAGGCAGAGCTTGCAGTGAGCCGAGATCACGCCACTGCACTCCTAGCCTGGGCGACAGAGCGAGACTCTGTTTACAAAAAAAAAAGGAGCGACACACACCAGGGCCTACTTGAAGGTAGAGGGTGGGAGGAGGTTAAGGGTCAAAACACTACCTATTGGGTACTTATGCTTACTACCTAGGTGACAAAATAATCTGTGTGCCAAACCCATGACATGTCATTCGCCCATATAACAAACCTGCACATGCACCCCTGAACGTAAAATAGAAGTTGGAAAGAAAAAAAAAATGCTCAAACAAGTATGTAAACTATGTAGAAGTGCTGATTAAATGTAGAGAATTTTAAATGTCTAAAACTGCTCCTTTCAGAAATCCACTCAAGTCAGAGGTAAAAAAATAAAGGCATAAACCTACCAAAAAAAAAAAAAAGGAAACAGCAGAAAAAACAAGATCAAAGGAGAAAAGTCAACAAATTCCTGGAAGATGGAAACTAGAGCAAAGAATAAGGAGAGGTGAGAAATTTGATTAGCAAGTTCTTATAATGGAGATAAAATGCAGAAGCAAGTTAAATCACACCTCAAGAGGGAGGAAAGGAGGAAGGGATCAGAAATTGAAGGCAATGGCACAGAAAGGAAGGCTTGAGGCTGAAAACAAGACAATAATTTAATCATGGCAGCCTGCCAGATATATAAAACCTCCTACCTCCACCCTGCACTAATCTCCAAAAGACTTCCACTCTCCAGCTGAAGGTCATGTGCTTGATGAATTATTTGCAGGAATCATCTGAAGCCTAGGATGAGGATATCTTTCTCCAGAGAAGATCTGTGTTAGCTTCTGCTAAGTACATTGGGGCACTACCAACCTAGGACCACATTAATCCAGGTCCAAGGATTGAGATGCCTTAGATAAAGCATATAACATAAACAGGGCTGCAAATCCTGGGGAGGGGTGACTCATTTCCAGTTCACCCCTACCCCGAAGTTAGACAGTGTCTATGTAAAGAGGGCTGGGGAGAAATTATGCAGACTTCCTTCCCATGCCCTACTTTGAGAAGGCTTTACTCTAGGTTTTTGACTACTGACACCCTTGTTCCACAAGGCCACCAGAATTCAGCTTAGTTTTACAAATGTTACTTCTGCTTCAGTACACATGCCTGGGTGAAAAGTGGCTTCCAAAGCTGGGCTTATGTCTCTGATTTCCCAGGTTCTCCTTGGCGTCAGCCTAGAAATACTTCACTATCTTTTTAGTTCTTCTTTAAAGAAGATTATTTTATAGAGATATATATATATCTCCAGCTTTTTAAGTTGTTCTTTGGAAATAAGGAGGTCTGAATTACCTACCAATACTGGAAGCAAAAATCTGTAAGTTCTTTTGTTCCTATAATTTCAAAAATTAGGTTATTCTAAGGAAATTTTATAGGACGCTAAAAAAATTAGAATCATCACTGACAGAATAACTTTTAGAGATTTATTTCAATGAGACAGACTAGTATACAACACACTGAATTTATCTATATGAAACATCATTATGATCTGTAGGATTTCTTATGTAATAAAATATAAGAATACGTATGAAGTATGCCTCAGTACACAGAGGCTGAGAAAACAAAGTCACAAATAAACACCTTCTCAAGTTCTTAATAATACACAAGTAGTTGAATACTAAACAATCTGGATTATTAGGAGAGAACTCAAACAAAATCACTATAAAACATTATACAATTCCAGAAAATGGAATCCTTACAATTAACCTTGTTTTGAAGAACTAAATGATGAAGGCACAATATTAAAAATATAAATATTTCATAGGAAGCCTTCTGAAAAACATAATCCTTAAATAAGTCAGGATTTAGTATTTGAGAAGCAAAAAAGTAAAAACAAATACCAAAAAATATTACTACAATATTAAATCATTAATAAAATATGGAAGTTATTATGAAGGTAAAATGAAAAGTCAAGTAAGAAAAGAATCACATAGGAGATTACTAGAAAGCTAACATCAAAAGTTTTCAAGAAAAAATGTTTTAACATCCTTAACCATCTTGGTTAAGGATATTTAAAAAGTCAACATTGTTTACAGTCGTTCCGCATTCCCCTAACTTTAAATTTTAATATCTGAGCGAGAATACAGCCACTCCAAAATATAAGAGAGAAATGTTAAAACATAAGCACCTTCCATTTCTTCTCAAGAATGAGAATATATTTGATAACATTCATACTTACAGACAAGGCTAAAATAGTTAAGTTTATAAAATAATTGTTAAAAGACTAGGATAAAATCTGTACTCAAAAAAAGACCCTAGAATAATGGACAATACCTAACAAGATAAACTCTACTAAGAAAAACTACAAAGCATACACTCAGGTCTAAAAATTTCACAAAATATAAGATGTGGAAAGCCATGGTTTAAGGTTAGCATAAGTGAAAAAAAGAGACAATTCATCTGATTGCAAGTTGATTGTGAAAACAGTATGGCATAGCTACCAAATGTGTTCATGCTATCTTAAACTGTGTCAGTAAGTACAGTATCCAGAATAGATAAATGTACTCTCACTCATCACACCTTATCTGAAACTCATTCTTGGTTCAGGGCACTATTCTCTAAGAGTGACAACAAAAAAAACAGAGTTTGTACAGAGGAAGGAGTGAGAAAGATGGCAAAGAGACTGAATATGAATATATTCCACACGAGGAAGAGAAAGATGATACATGAAGGGAAGCAGTTTTTAAATACGTGAAGAGTGATCTCGTCAAAGGCAATCCCTGCCTCTTGATGTAAGAATAAGGACCAATAAAAAATTACTACTTAGATACTAAATCAACATAAACTAGAGATGTACAGTAATTGATAAGATGGCCTCATTTTCAAAAAGACTAGCTAATACATCTAGAAAAATGCAACATGTGCTCCTTCATCAGATAGGAGTAGGTTAGATGACTACTGAGATCCCTCTCAGCTCTACAGGCAGTGTAGCATGGTACTAGCATAATCTGTGGTGCTAGACAGACTGAGTTCAAATTTCAGTTTCACCACTGACTAAAATGTGAGCGTGCGTAAGTTATTTAATCCTTCTTGGCCTCACTTTCCTAATTTGTAAAATAAGGAAAACACCTCTTTTAAAGATGTAAAGGAGTTAATAAGATAAGTGAAGATCTTAGAAAAGTCCTTGAATAAAACAGAGTTAAGAAAGCTGGGGCCAGGCACAGTGGCTCGTGCCTGTAATCCCAGCACTTTAAGAGGCTGAGGTGGGTGGACCATTTGAGCCCAGGAGTTAGAGACCAGCTTGGGCAATATGGCGAAACCCTGTCTCTACAAAAAATTAGCCGTACTTGCTGGCACATGCCTGTAGTCCCAGCTACTCAGGAGGCTGAGGTGACAGAATCGCCTGAGCCCAGGGGGGCCAAGCTGGCAGTGAGTCATGATCACACCACTGCACTCCAGCCTGGGTGACACAGCAAGACTCTGTCTCCAACAAATAAACAAACAAAGCTAGCTATTTTTATTTTTGCATCCAACAAATATTTACTAAGTGCCTAATATGTGTTAGGTCTGCAGCAAGGTTTTAACAGAGTTTAGAACTGCATTTATACTCTAGTGAGAGTGACATGAACAAATACACTGCATGAGAGGTCACAATTAAGATACACATACAGCTGAATGAAGAGAATAAAAAGTGATGTTTGCTATTTTAGAAAGCTTGGTCAGGAAGGACATTCTGATACGGTGACATATGAAAAATACATGAATGTCACGAACAGGCAAGTTATGACCATGTCTTAGTGAAGGGTAGTTTGAAATGACACAACAGCAATCAGGCCAGCCATGCTAGAAAAGTGAAGGAGGAAGGAAAAGCAGAAGGCCAGATCCTTGCAGTATTAAGGAACTGTTCATATAAATGAATTCAGAGAGACTCAAAATAGGCTAATTTTTATTACCATACCATGATACTGTATCCATCAAATTAAATAACAAAAAAGCAAAAAATAATACAGATAATTCTAGAAGTGCCTAGTTTATTCAGTCTGAAATAAAAAATAGCTGGCTAAAGTAAAATTTCAGAGCCATAATTCTTCTATTATCTCATACTGAAGGAACACAAGAAAAAAAATTGGAGATGAGAAATTTCTTATTTGAGAACAGTAGGATAGAAAAAAATTATGTATTTACAGCAGAATTAGTCTAATAAATAAGAATGATACTGCTTGTAAAGAACCAAGACCAGCATTTCAATGTTTGTATATTTACAACCATATAAAGTTTATAAACTTTATATTTTAAGCCATCTAAAAGTTGACTTTTATACAATAATTGCAGAAAACTTTAAAAATAACAATGAGAGGATAATGATACAATGAATACTAAAATAACAGACATTATGCTGAGTACCTAAAAGCTTGACATGCATGATCTCATAAAATTCTCTCAAAGTACAAGCTTAAACATTTGTCCGAAATCAAAGCTTGTAAGTGACAGGTCTGAAATTCAGGAAAGTCTAACTTGAAAGCTTGAGTTTTTTCTTTTTTTTGAGACAGAGTCTCACTCTGTCATGCAGGCTTGAGTGCAGTGGTGTGATCTCAGCTTACTGCAACCTCCGCCTCCCGGGTTCAAGTGATTCTCCTGCCTCAGCCTCCCTAGTAGCTGGGATTACAAGTGCCCACCACCACACCCAGCTAATTTTTGTATTTTCAGTAGAGGGGGGATTTCACCATGTTGGCCAGGCTGGTCTTGAACTCCTAACTTCAGGCAATCCCCCACCTCGGCCTCCCAAAGTGCTGGATTACAGGCATGAGCCACCACGCCTGGCTGAAAGCTTGAGTTCTTAACCAATGGGTAATATTGCCTCTCCTTAAATCTTTGATTATACTAAGCTTTTAGTCACACTGACTCTTGCTATTTATTCACTCAGCAAAATACTATTAAGTTTGTGGAAATTAACTTGTTCTATATATTTGCTCAATTTTCAGTAAATCAGATTAACCACATTTAGAACTCTATGTGCTACATCTGAACTGTAAGCTACTTACCACTACCGTCTATCATTTTCTTAAGAAACTAAAAATTGGCCAGGCACGGTGGCTCATGCCTGTAATCCCAGCACTTTGGGAGGCCGAGGTGGGTGGATCTCTTGAGGTCAGGAGTTCGAGACCAGCCTGGCCAACACGGTGAAACACCGTCTCTACTAAAAATACAAAAATAAGCCAGGCTTGGTGGTGCGTGCCTGTAGTCCCAGCTACTTCGGAGGTGGAAGTTGCAGTGAGTTGAGATTGTGCCACTGTACTGCAGCCTGGGCAACACAGTGAGACTCCATCTCAAAAAAAAAAAAAAAACAAACAAACAAAAACTAAAATATCAAGACTCAAGTAACCACCAAAAAGCTTTTACGAAGAAAATGTTTATTTTAAAACATGATTTCTCTATTCTGCTTGTAAGTTCAAAAGTTTTGGTGGCCCAAGTTCAAATTCTTTCAAAAACTACATAGTTATTATATATACAGATTCGTTTAATATAAATCACCGTAGCTGTAGGATATTTCTAAAAGGCTAATAAAAAGGTATTTAAAATGTTGTTGCTTCAGTTCCTTTACATCTTTACTGAAACATTAAGCATTCTGAAGGCATTTTTCATTCAACTTAGAGGGCATAAGATAATTTAAAAGATTACCTAAGAAAAAGCAATAAGCCCAGTAATTTTTGTATTATAATCTATGGAAAGCAAATACATTCAAACCGCAAGTGTGAACAAATTGTTAACTTTGGCTGGAATTTTGAAGCTGGTATTTCAAAGAAAACATCATGATTCAATACTATGAAGGCCTGACCACAAGCCAAAGACTCTGAGGTTCTGTCCCCTTTACCAAGTCAATTCACCTATTTTCGCTTTCCATTTTCTCACCTACAAAATAGAGAAAACTAAACTAAGATGCCATAAAAAGGCCTTGCTAGCTATTTAATTTTCATTTTCATATTAGTACTTTCATGTTGGATTAAAATAATTAACATTGTAGGCTTGTTGCTCATATCCCTGAAATGTTTTTCAGGAATTAATGTTTAAAAGCTAAAATTAATAAAGACTATATTACCTTAAGTTCAGCAACTTGTGATGAAATATGCCACATAAGGCTTTCACTTAGAAACTTCATACCATATGGGCCTAGTAGTTCTGATAATGACCTCATTTCTGAAAGAAAACATACTTAATTTTATACTTCCGACAGAGCAAATACTTTAAGAAAATGAACATTAACACAATACAACATCTCATTATAAAAACTAATGTAAAATCCTGATAAAAGTCTCTAGAGTGAAAGAGAGAATACAAAATGCAAAAGTAATTCTAAGATACAATATGCAGTTACGCATATAATTGAATGAAATAGTCACAACAGAATCAAAAGTCTAAAGAATCAAGACACTAGCAAAAGAATTAAGTGTTCTTCATTCTCTAAACTGTGGTATAGTACTATTCACCTGATATGTCAGAATATTCCTCTGCATTGAATGTTAATTCATTTTCTGTAGGTAAGTTCACAAACGCTTTCATTGCAGGAAAATATGCTATATGGCCATTGCTGACTTGTCGTAACAAAGTTTCCAAATACCTAAGGAGAAACGTAAACTTATAACCGGAAGAAACTGCTTAATTCAGAATGTATCATGATATACATTCCTGCATATAATTTTAAGTTGACTGATAATATGAATAAGTACTTATTCACAAAAAAATTAATTTTCCTAAGTACTTCATTACAAATTTTCCGCTACTACAAATTTCTAAATGCATTCCTTACCAATTTGTGTATAGACTTGTAATGGTTGGCTCTCCATGACTGTCTAAATGTTGTGTTTGTTGAAGAAGCACATTATTAAATACTCTTGTAATATCAATCTGCACATAGTTTTCTATTGACTGGAGTACGGTCATGTATGCTCTTACACTTGTTAGAAGTTCTGAAGGTTTTGCAATTTCCTGTGTGGCTTGATTATACATAGTCATCCCAACAATTGACCTGGGAAGAAGGGATAGAAGAATAAGAAAAGCCTCTGACTTTTCCATTCATGTAAAATAAACCACTCAACCTACTGTTATCTAATATTAAACAAGCAATAAAATTAACTTTAAAAATAATTTATTACAAAGCTGTAAAATTACTGTCATTATCTTCCCAGGAAACAGCGTAAAAAAAGAATGAAGGCCGGGCATGGTGGTTCACGCCTATTGTAATCCCAGCATTTTGGGAGGACGAGGCGGGCAGATGACTTGAAGTCAGGAGTTCGAGACCATCCTGGCCAACATGGTGAATCCTTGTCTCCACTAAAAATACAAAAATTAGCTGGGCCTGGCACATGCCTGTAATCCTGGCTACTTGGGAGGTTGAGACAGGAGAATCGCTTGAACCCAGCAGGCAGAGGTTGCAGTGAGCTGAGATTGCACCACTGCACTCCAGCCTGGGCAACAGAGTGAGACTGTCTTAAAAAAAAAAGAAAAAAGAAAACTTAAAAACTACAACGAAATGTGAATAAAATGATTAAAAACATTCTAAGTATACCAGTAACAAAAGTGATTTAAGTATAAAGAGGGTTTTACAAATTGCTTTAACATGGTAAGTTGTTTGTAGCAAGGACAGTGAACTATTTAGTCTACAGCTTGAATTTATTTGACACTGTTAGGTGCCAGTAGTTTTTGAGGCTTTATATAAATTACCTACAATCCTCACATTTAATAAACACCTACAATGTACTTATCACTATATCTCCCAGAGGAAAAAAATAAAGCTCAGGACTCACATAAATTGATAAGGTTTTGTTGGGAAGTGGTTATGACTAGGATTTGACCGCAGATCTGCCTGACTTAGTGCTGCCTCTAAACAAACTGTATGACAGTCAAACAAAATAAGGCAACAAACAACTTTATTTTCTTTAATCACTCATAGCATATAAAACAGTTCTGTTTATATCTCAAGAAACTGTATACGACTAAAAAGGAAACACAAATTTTGAAAATACTTCCCTAAATGATCTTATCCTACACTGACCACCCCTATTTCACTTTCTTTAAAACTCCCTGAGCATTAGATCTGTAAAGATCTTAGACTTGTATTTGTAAGGATGAATCCTTAAAAGACAACCGACAAATCCCATCACTAGAAACAGGCCAAGAAGAGCCAACGCAAGATGAAAACTGCTATCCTAGTGTATAATCCCTAAGTCCTAAGACTGTGCTCAGTTGATTGACAAAAACCAACCCACTAATATTCACAAGCTATCTGGCTGGCCAATATGGCGAAACCCCGTCTCTACTAAAAATACAAAAATTAACCAGGCACAGTGGCACACGCCTGTAGTCCCAGCTACTCGGGAGGCTGAGGCAGGAGAATTGCTTGAACTTGGGAGATGGAGGTTGCAGTGAGCTGAGATTGTGCCACTGCACTCCAGCCTGGACGAAAGAACAAAACTCCGTCTCAAAATAAATAAATAAATAAATTAAATAAAATAAAAAATCTTTCCAAGGTAAACAAGCTGTTCCCCTTGCCTTGATCCTAATCACTAAGTAGATGTTTGGTTAAAAAAAAAACTGCTTCTCTGTGGATTAACAAAGCAGACTGTTTACAAGGAAAACAAGGGAGCTGTACACTGAACTCTCCCTTCCACCCACCAATGTCCCACCTCTAACCCACTTGAGAATAATAAACACCACAAGGCACAATGCCCCTTTGGTCTAAGTTCTAGGGCATTCTGGGTTTTACTGTCAGGATGCCTGACTTACTAAGGAGAACAAAAGACAGTTCATCACCAGACTCTTCTCAAGTCAACTGATAATTTAACACTCAACTTAGTGCCACTTTATATACTGTCATATTCTGTTCTCTAATTCTTTTAGTCATCTCACCAGCTACAGTTCTATCTTTATCTCATTATTACCTAGAGTACTTAACACATTGTTAAGCATATAGTGCAAATACAAACACCACCTGTTAATGACTACAGAAACTTTGAAAACCTTTTGGCAAAATTTTGTTTTATAAATTGCTTCAAGGCTTTGAAGAAAAAAATTGTCAAATAAATAAAAATTTTCATGAATAAATATTAATAAATAAGGATGTAACTTCAGAAAAAGGTTAAAACAATATATATAAAGTTGAAAGGTTTCTGACTTATCAATGCACTATTTCATATACATACATAAAATATATATTCATATATAACAGGAAATTCTAATTAGAATTGAGAATTCAAGAATCTAGAATTCTATTGGCTTATTTAACAGCAACATGTGAATTCAGAAAACATGTAAGGGTTCATCTAGTCCTCAGGTCTTCAAACATTTTACTGTGACCTACTGCATGACACGCATCTTAACACTGCAAGTCAATACACATGCATACATGTAACTGAAACATTTCACGAAGCAATATATATATTTAATGCACACAGTGTACTGGGTTTTTTTTCCTATTTTTTCTTCCTCTTGTCCTTTCTTTCCCTCCCACTTTTCTCTAAACTTTGACTACAACCTAATAAACTGATTTCATGAACCTACTGGGTTGCCACCTGCAAGATGAAATACATTGATTTGCTCCAATATTCTCACTTTGTATATAAGGAAGCTATGACTCAGAGATATTAACTGGTTTGCCTGGTGTTACTAGTTAATACTAATAGGTATGAGAAAAGAATCTGGGTATCTTCAGTAATTTTCAGTTCACTATTCTTTGCATTTCCCAGTTCATTATTCTTGAGACAGAGTCTTGTTCTGTCACCCAGGCTGGAGTGCAGTGGCATGATCTTGGCTCACTGCAAGTGTGTCTCCCGGGTTCACGCCATTATCTTGCCTCAGCCTCCCGAGTAGCTGGGACTACAGGTGCCCACCACCACGCCCAGCTAATTTTTTGTATTTTTAGTAGAGACGGGGTTTCACTGTGTTAGCCAGGATGGTCTCGATCTCCTGACCTCGTGATCTGCCCACCTCGGCCTCCCAAAGTGCTGGGATTATAGGCGTGAGCCACCACGCCCGGCCCGGTTCATTATTCTTAACACTAATCCAGTTCTACTAATGCTTTTCCTTATAAAACACTGTATAATTAAATAACAAACTCATTACTGAGTCAACAAACAAAAACAGTCAATATTCTTTCTTACTTGGTAAAGCGTATTTCCAGATGAGAAGTCAAATATTCTCGTGGGGTAAAGGTATGTTCCCATACCACCATGTTTGGTACATAATTTATAGAGAAGCATAACTCAGAAAGTGCAGTGTGCAATTTATCAAGGCTGAAAAAAATTAATAAACAGTTAAAATGTTCACATGTCATCACAGGCAATACAAAATTAATTTTATAAATATATCAACCTTATTTGGAGATAATGCTTAGAGAATTCGACTTTTTATTCTCCTAAACTGAGAAAGTTCAAAATCTTTAAGGTTATAACTAACACATAAGAGCAATATTCTAAAGATGGCGTCATTTGTTTCTACCTTTAGGTAGTAATGAATATACTGACTTAATATACAAAGGTAGAGCTTATTCTGCACTCATAAAGATAATCACGCCCAATTCCTGAAGTACTTTCTGTTATGAGAGAAGGAAAGTTGTCTATAAAAGGGCAATGGCTTGCTCAATTTAGCAAGAAAGTAGGAACTATACTTTAAACAAAAAATATTTACCGAATTATTACCCACCTACACCTCCCCTCCAAACAATGAAGCAAGCAAAGATCCCTGAATGCTACCTGGTCTGTTATTTCTGTTTTATAATAATGACATTGGGTATGTTCTAATATATCAAAAACATGCCAAAATAAAGTCTCCACTATCTAACTTTAAATAAATTAAAAATTACAGATTGCTTATAATGTAACACACAAAATTTTTTAAACATATAATTGGCCTTCAGTACTTAGTATAAAAAGACAAATATCAACTATTACATATATTTTCTTCTAAAGGCCAAAATCTGTATTTTGAGATGAAATAAGCAACTAACAGGTTAATTAAGCTCAGAAATATTTTTTAAAATGGCTGGAAAATGAAGAATATACAATTATTAGCATTTCCTCAGTACTAATGTCAATAGAAAAAAATGAAATAAATATTTTACCTGGAGCAAAAAGGTATAATATAAGTGGATACTTACTTGGTCACAACCAGCCTGTTTTTCCTCATGCTCTCAACACCTGGTTTCTCCCTTTCAGGTTCCCCTTTCTTACCAGTCTGCTTTTTTGATTTCTTATTCACTGCTTGACTGATAGTTTTGGCACAATGCTTGGGTAGCAACTAAATTTAGAAAAGAATGAAATCTTACATTACACCAATTACTCTGAAAGCATACTAACTATTCAAGCAAACAGTAGCTGAATCCAGGCTGTGTTGCAAATATCACAACAATATTAAAAGACAGAAATATAAGTGAGATACAGAGCTTACTTAGCTAGCTTGGGTAATGCACATAGCTTGGTGAAAACAGAAACGGGTAGATCTTGGGTAAATCTTGTGTGAAGAAACACGTCATAGAGTAAATTCATAGACGCTTATTTAAATTACTATTAAAAAGACAAGTAAAAACATACCAGGCAAGCAAGGAATGAAAAAGAATATTTCACTGGAAGGATTAAATGGCCTTTGGAAAAAAACTGTGTAAAGATATGATGGTTCAGAGCTGTAGTTAGAACTACTATGTGGTGGAGCATAACGTGTAAGGTAAAGTACAGAGGTTTCAACTATTAGGAAGGGCCTTGAATGCCAAGCTAGAGGTTGGATTGTAAACTGCAGGCAAAAAGACAGCGACAATTTTTTAAAATAGCCACAGCATGAGGAGACATTTTCTTTTCTTTTCTTTTCTTTTGAGAAGGAGTTTCACTCTTGTTGCCCAGGCTGGAATGCAATGGCACAATCTCAGCTCACTGCAACCTCTGCCTCCTGGGTTCTCCTGCCTCAGCCTCCTGAGCTGCTGGGACTACAGTCGACTGCCACCACACCCAGCTAATTTTATTTGTATATTTTTAGTAGAGATGGGGTTTCGCCATGTTGGCCAGGCTGGTCTCGAACTCCTGACCTCAGGAGATCCACCTGCCTCGGCCTCCCAAAGTGCTGGGATTACAAGCGTGAGCCACCATGCCTGGCCATGAAGAGGTAATTTTCTAAGGATAACTCTGATATTGGCAGAAGAAAACACTGAAAAAGGAAAATTGTAACAGAGCTGCTAGAAATAGTTCAGACAAGGCATGAAAAAGGGATATGAAATAGGCAAGTGTAATAAAAAAATTTTAATGGGCAGATCTGAGACAGACTTCTGAGATAAAATTGAAAGGATTCAGTAACTTAGATGTGTGAGAGAAGCAGGAATCAAGTATGACACAGAGGTTTCTACCTAACACATTGTTAAGACCAATAATTAAAACAAAAAAACCACACAGGTACAAATCAGAAATAATTGATTTCACTTGACAGGTAACAAAGCAGGCAAATGAGAAATAAGAAATAACATTTTAGGTAGAAGGAGAGCTTCACTGTACATTACAGTAGCCACATGTGAAATGTGCCCAGTCCAAATTCAGCTGTGTTATAAGATAAACACCAGATTTCAAAGATTTAGTATAATAAAAACTATACAATATTTCATTCATATGATTACATGCTGACATAATAACATTTTGGGGTATATAGGGTTGAATCATTGTTTTTAAAATTAGCTTTACCTGTTTCTTTCTAAGTTTTGTGTATGGCTACTACAAAATTTTAAATTACATATGTGGTTTACATAGTATCTCCATTGGACAGAGCTGGGCCAAGGAAAGTTATTTAGTCATTATACCTAGATAGTAACTAAAGCCATGGGATTGGTATTTGGGGAAAAAAATGCATAAGAAATTACATTGCATTTCTATTGTGACAAAGGAGTTCCTTCCTAAAATGAAAATTTCTACGGACATTTGCAACTTCAACAATATTAAAGAGACCAGAGTGTTGAATCTCTATAACACTCTTCACAAGAGACAGAGCTACTAGAAAGGCTGGTACATCTTGTCACACCAGATAACAAGAAAGCTCTCAAATGACTATAAGGACTCCCACAAGCCGGGCTTCATCCCTGGGATGCAAGGCTGGTTCAACATATGCAAATCAATAAATGTAATCCAGCATATAAACAGAACCAACGACAAAAACCACATGATTATCTCAACAGATGCACAAAAGGCCTTTGACAAAATTCAACAGCCCTTTATGCTAAAAACTCTCAATAAATTAGGTATTGATAGGATGTATCTCAAAATAATAACAGCCATCTATGACAAACCCACAGCCAATATTATACTGAATGGGCAAAAACTGGAAGCACTCCCTTTGAAAACCAGCACAAGACAGGGATGCCCTCTCTCACCACTCCTATTCAACACAGTGTTGGAAGTTCTGGCCAGGGCAATCAGGCAGGAGAAGGAAATAAAGCGCATTCAATTAGGAAAAGAGAAAGTCAAATTGTCACTGTTTGCAGGGGACATGATTGTATATCTAGAAAACCCCATTGTCTCAGCCCAAAATCTCAAGCTGATAGGCAACTTCAGCAAAGTCTCAGGATACAAAATCAATGTGCAAAAATCACAAGCATTCTTATACACCAATAACAGACAGAGAGCCAAATCATGAGTGAACTCCCATTCACAATTGCTTCAAAGAGAATAAAATGCCTAGGAATCCAACTTACAAGGGACGTGAAGGACCTCTTCAAGGAGAACTACAAATCACTGCTCAATGAAATAAAAGAGGATACAAACAAATGGAAGAACATTCCATGCTCATGGGTAGGAAGAATCAATATCGTGAAAATGGCTACACTGCCCAAGGTAATTTATAGATTCAATGCCATCCCCATCAAGCTACCAATGACTTTCTTCACAGAATTGGAAAAAACTACTTTAAAGTTCATATGGAACCAAAAAAGAGCCCGCATTGCCAAGTCAATCCTAAGCCAAAAGAACAAAGCCGGAGGCATCACGCTACCTGACTTCAAACTATATTACAAGGCTACAGTAACCAAAACAGCATGGTACTGGTACCAAAACAGAGATATAGACCAATGGAACAGAACAAAGCCCTCAGAAATAATGCCGCATATCTACAACCATCTGATCTTTGACAAACCTGAGAAAAACAAGCAATGGGGAAATGATTCCCTATTTAATAAATGGTGCTGGGAAAACTGGCTAGCCATATGTAGAAAGCTGAAACTGGATCCCTTCCTTACACCTTATACAAAAGTTAATTCAAGATGGATTAAAGACTTACATGTTAGACCTAAAACCATAAAAACTCTAGAAGAAAACCTAGGCAATACCATTCAGGACATAAGCATGGGCAAAGACTTCATGTCTAAAACACCAAAAGCAATAGCAACAAAAGCCAAAATTGACAAATGGGATCTAATTAAACTAAAGAGCTTCTGCACAGCAAAAGAAACTACCATCAGAGTGAACAGGCAACCTAAAGAATGGGAGAAAATTTTTACAATCTACTCATCTGACAAAGGGCTAATATCCAGAATCTACAATGAACTCAAACAAATATACAAGAAAAACAAACAACCCCATCAAAAAGTGGCTGAAGGATATAAACAGACACTTCTCAGAAGAAGACATTTATGCAGCCAAAAGACACATGAAAAAATGCTCATCATCACTGGCCATCAGAGAAATGCAAATCAAAAACAACAATGAGATACCATCTTACACCAGTTAGAATGGCGATCATTAAAAAGTCAGAAAGCAACAGGTGCTGGAGAAGATGTGGAGAAATAGGAACACTTTTACACTGTTGGTGGGACTGTAAACTAGTTCAACCATTGTGGAAGTCAGTGTGGCGATTCCTCAAGGATCTAGAACTAGAAATACCATTTGACCCAGCCATCCCATTACTGGGTATATACCCAAAGGATTATAAAACATGCTGCTATAAAGACACATGCACACGTATGTCTATTGCAGCACTATTCACAATAGCAAAGACTTGGAACCAACCCAAAGGTCCAACAATGATAGACTGGATTAAGAAAATGTGGCACATATACACCATGGAATACTATGCGGCCATAAAAAATGAGTTCATGTCCTTTGTAGGGACATGGGTGAAGCTGGAAACCATCATTCTCAGCAAACTATCGCAAGGACAAAAAACCAACCACCACATGTTCTCACTCATAGGTGGGAATTGAACAATGAGAACACATGGACACAGGAAGGGGAACATCACACACTGGGGCCTGTTGTGGGGTGGGGAAATTGGGGAGGGATAGCATTAGGAGATATACCTAATGTTAAATGACGAGTTAATGGGTGCAGCACACCAACATGGCGTATGTATACCTATGTAACTAACCTGCACGTTGTGCACATGTACCCTAAAACTTAAAGTATAATAAAAAATAAATAAATAAATAAATAGATGCTTAAAGTTGGAAAGAAAAAAAAAAGGACTCCCACTAGCCAATGACGGGGCAATCTGAGCTTCAATCTGAATTATAAGTACAGTGGATTGAAAATCACCAAATATGCTTAATTCCAGTTCTTTTGCAACTTTCAAGAAATAGCAGAATCAGGTGCTAACACTACACACATGTAAAAACTACACGTGACTCCTGATTAAAGAACACAAACAGTACGTACAGTCTTGCCAGAAAGTTTACATCTAAGAAATTATACCTGTTAATGGAGTTTCACAGCAGAGGTTTGAGGTTTACTAATAGTGTGGGAACTAAAGAATGGAAAGTAAAACAACAACTGGCTAAAAGCACATTTTCTTGCCTTCACACAAAATTTCCTATCTGTTGGAAACACTTAAATCATTACCTGGTCACTAAGGGTACACTGTTCTGTGCAAATATCAGTGATGAGATTTCGAGCTTGTTTGGCCATTTCATCTAGGAACATATTACATAAGGAAAGACTGCGATCTCCAATATGATGTCGCTGTGAAGGCAGAATAATAATAATAATACAAGTTATAAAGAAAGTACGTTGAATTAAAAAGACTTCTAAATAGACATGGAAAATTAGGCTAAAGGTACATTCCGCAATAGTGAGGGTGGGAGATGTTAAAAATTGCTTTTGCCTCTTGTAACAACTAACTCACCATACTGTATTTGAACATAAATGACAAAGTATTTGGTGATTGTGAAAGCAATGTATAACTGGGAGGAGTCTTGAAAAATCAGTATTTTGCTTAACATGAAAAACTATGTATTTAATTTTCAAATTCCACAAAGTCCTATATCCAGTTCTTAAATGTTAAAATATTAAACATATAATGTGAAAGCAAACAGATTTAGAGTACTGTTTCCAATCTTATTTCATTTAAAATCTGTGTCTCTATAAATGTATAAATTGTGGCATAACTTTGTATAAACAGGAAAGAAGAGCTCAAATGTTTAAATAAAATGGTGAGAAATCAATTTGGTAATAGAAAGTCCAAGGCATTCAAATCTCTAAAATCAAACCCTATTGCTCCCAGGAAGAAAAAAAAAAAAAACGCTGATCATGCATCCATCTCTACAGGATTCTCTTTTTAGTTTTAGTGGGCTGCAATCGTTTGATTGTTTTTTTCTTATCTATGGTAACTGGAATGTTGAGTATAAAACACTGTAAATTTTTGCACTACACATTTCTAATACTTTACAAAGAAATAAAATTTTTAACAGTTTTCCTGCCCTGACCTTCCATAATCATATATGTAGAGCTTACATACAGTATTTATATGATGAAATAAGTGTAAAATACATAAAATATAAAAATACTTGAGCATAGAAAATAACTTTTCCTAGATCTATTATATCTAACGTATTTTATTTAAAATGCCCTGTAAAACTTTAATAGAAAGTCAAATCAAAAAAAAGATTTACAACCTGATATAATTAAATATTGGTTCACCTTAGGAAAGATTTCAATTAATAAACAGTGTTTTGTTTAATCAAATTCTGACTTCTGAAAGACATAAATCTTCTGCTATTAATTCTTCCTGAAAAAAGAATACTGAATTAAGACTGCTCAAATTTGTTCTTTACAGATACTAACTTACTTAAAATACAAATCTGATTTCACTACTCCGTTTCAACAGCTCAGAAATGCTGAGATGGAGAAAAACTAAGGTTTAACATGTCATACAAATCTCTCTATTATCTGACCTCTGCCTTTGGCTACGGTGCCAAGAATAAAGTTTAGGAGAACAATGGCAGAAGCAAAGAGACCACTTAGGTAATCCAGGCAAAGATGAACTCCATTTAGAGTACATATGAAGAGTATCGTAAATCTGAACTGTAATAATGACAATAGCAATGGAAAGTAGAGGATGGATTCAAGACATGACATATAAATAAAATTAGAAGGATTTTATGGGTAATTTAATGAAAAGAAATTTGATGGTGAGCAAACAGTTAATAATACATCTCAGGTGTCAAGTTTGGGAGAAAAAAATCTATTAAATCTAAAAAATTCATAAATCTATTAAAATTCGTGGTATTAATATCCTCATAGGTAGAAATTCTGAAAGTATTCCCTAATAAACTTCCTGTAAGCTAACTTCTGTCTCAAAGTTGGCTTCCCCTGGAATACTGGCATACAATCTGCAACAGATGTTGTCTAATGCTTAAAGAAACTGACCATGTTCCTGCTATCTCTAAGTTTCTTTTCTACAAGTTCTGCAATTTTAAGTAAAGGGACTAAACACTAAGTTAAATTATAATAAAGAAATACATTATTTAATCTTTATATTTTTATCACATAGAAAATATTTCTTCTTTAAAGATTAGAAGAAACACTGAGTACATTTTTCACAGATACTTGGCATCAACAAAACTACCAAGCAGTTCAATTACTCTGCAACTGTGTGTGTGTATGCACATGCATGTATGTATCCCACAAGTATCACAAAATCTGGATTTTGCTTAATATATTTATTAACAATTTAGTAATAATAAGTTAGTGAATCTCTCTTTGACTTGTTTATGCTTATTCAGTAATCCATAAATTTAATTTTCGAGTCCTTTCCATGACAGTTTAAGAGGAAAATTAAGTATACAAAATCAATTACTATATAAATCTTTTCCACAGATATTAATACCTGACCCACCATTTATCTTAAAAAAGGTAATTCCAAGTGACTTTATGGTATGTTCTTATTATACTTATGTTTATTTATCTATATATATATTAAACCTATGTATCTGTTCAAGCACTTTTCTGATTCTGCATAGAGATGTATTCGATGGGAAGCTAAGTTAGCTAATTATGACTGTAAATATTTGGTTGGCTACAGGTTTGATCTAGTTTACTTTGCATACCATATAACTCACAGTAGTACACTATAATTACCTCTTCTGGACATAGTTCATGCGTGCAACTCATAAAATGAGTGCAAAGTAGTGGAAATGCAATTGAGTATCTTGATTGAGAGGGTAACTCCAAACACTGTTGAAACATCTTCTCAAAAGCACGACTATAAAAACTATATAAACAAAAATCAGAATCACAATTTTTACATTTAAAGTAAGTTTTCTGATATAGTACCTTACAGTTAATTTGATTCAAGTGAATGAATGATAACTGGTAGCACTGATTTAAGAAGAGAATATTTTTCCCCCAAAGTATCTTTTACACACCAATAATTATCCCAGAGTAATAAAAATATTATTTATATAACAATAACAACATTTTAAAAAATAATAAACCATAATCTATGGCCTCTTACATAATCAAATTTCATCAAAGCTAAGTCACTATAAATAGGAAAAAATACCATTATTATGGCTGGGTGTGGTGGCTCACACCTATAATCTCAGCACTTTGGGAGGCCAAGGCAGGTGGATCACTGGAGCCCAGGAGTTTGAGACCAGCCTGGGCAATGTGGTGAAACCCTGTCTCTATTTTTAAAAAATAAATTAAAAAAAGAGAGAAATATTTTATGAACCACTAAGAAAAAAAAAACATTGCCAATTAAATAATCACACGCCATCAATTTTATTTTTTTTTTTAACTTTTTTTAGACGGGGGACACTTTGTTGCCCAGGCTGGAATGCAGTGGCACAATCACAGTTCACTGCATCCTTAACCTCTTGGGCTCAAGCAATCCTCCATCTCGGCCTCCCATGGTGCTGAAATTGCGGGTGTGAGCCATGGCACCCAGCCTGCCAGCAGTTTTAATTTGCATCCACATTTAAAGATGTTAAATCTAAATGTAAAAGAATGTGAGTCAATAAAACACTACATATCTTAGAGTAATAAGACAAACAGAAGTAGTAAACATTTCTTTATTTTGGATGTGACAGGCAAAAATAGAATGCAACTATGAAAAAATATAAATAAAATTCAGGTATGACTGAAAATTACAAATTTCAAACATTATTCAAAGTGCTTTTAGTTCCAAGAAAGGGGATATGACTTTCTAATTGTTGTATTCTTCTTTTGGAATAGGATCCTTTGCATAGCTGAAAATATCTAAACATATAATGTTTCATGTTCTACCTAAGGTAGACTTTGTGCCAGACAGACAGTAGTCCTGGGCTCCACATAATCTTAAAAATTCTTGCAAATTTGACCTGTGATGTGCCTAAATCTAAAAAGTATACTTCCTAATGTGTTTCATTATTTCCTTTAAGAGGCATGGTTTCTCTACCTGGTGATTTGAATTTCTTCTGCAATACTGCTAATTCAAGCTTTCCTAACAAACTGCCAAAATCAACACAGATTATACTATTTTCCAAAATAAATGCAGTGAGAAGCTTTTCATGATGATCTCTATCCCATACATAGAAACTACTATCACTATCCACTGAGATCATTTCAGCATTTTAGAAATCAAGAGACATACTAGGTTATTCCAGTCCTCTTCCCTAAAGGAAAATAAAGGGCCAAGAAGCAGAAAATAGAGTTGATATTATATAGCTTGAGGCGAGAATTCTTGATTTTGAATCCTAACCCCACTGTTATGTATTTATTTATTTATGAGACAGTCTCACTCTGTCACCGAGACTGGAGTGCAGTGGCGTGATCTTGGCTCACTGCAACCTCCGCCTCCCAGGTTCAGGCGATTCTCCTGCTTCAAGCCTCCCAAGTAGCTGGGACTACAGGCACACACCACCACGTCCGACTAATTTTTCTATTTTCAGTAGAGATGGGGTTTCACTATGTTGACCAGGCTGGTCTCAAACTCCTGACCTCAGGTGATTCACCCACCTCGGCCTCCCAAGTGTTGGGATTATAGGCGTGAGCCACCGCGCCTGGC
Source organism: Homo sapiens (assembly GCF_000001405.40). Classification (NCBI taxonomy): domain Eukaryota; kingdom Metazoa; phylum Chordata; class Mammalia; order Primates; family Hominidae; genus Homo; species Homo sapiens. Next base: position 182,966,585 of record NC_000002.12, read on the forward strand.
CACCACACTGTTTATCAATCTGATCACAACTAAGTTGACTTATTCATTCAAAGATTTATTAAATAACTACTATGACAGACACTAACAAAACAAATTATAGCCATTAAGGACCACATTTTCTGGGAGGAAGAGAGGGAAGAAAAATAAACTAAGTATAACAAAAAGACTCTAACAGAAAAAGAGAATGAAGCACAATGCAGGAGGTAGTCACCACATCATCTTCATATTAATGTTTAATTTTACATCATAGAAGTGAAGTTACCAGGCATTTAATTTCCAACACTTGCTCTATTTGACCTTGATCTACAACATTTCTTTCCCTTTAGTCTAATCATGCAAAGAAGGGCCTTAAGGTAATTTGGAGTGACTGTTTTCAACTCCTCAAAAAAATGTAAGAAATAAAAGTCACATCAGTAAGTTGCTCTTTTAGAGAATTAAAAACAGACATAAAATCCCAACTTGGTTAAACTTCTTTTTGTTGGCACATTTTAATAAAAGTCCACTATTCCCTTTATTCTTAAGGATCTATTACTGAACTGTCTTAAGGACTATGCTAACACAAAAATAATCAAGAAACATATATCGCATACTAAAACTTTCAAATCCAGATTTAGAGAAAATTACAACATACCAAAATATGGAGAGATCTGATGTTTCCACCAACATTTCCACCAAGGAATCTACCATTTTTGTATGAAAAATTATTGTATTCATCATCTTTCCAAGTTCTCTGTGATCTGCAAGGCCAAGTGAAGCCTTTGAGACACTAGTATATGCCTATAAAGTACAAAAAAAAAAAAGTAGTTCAGGTAAACATAAATGACTTCGGACTTGTCATTTTACAGGGGGAAAAGCATCACTGAAAGATACTTAAACTATCTACTGTGACACTGACAGTAACATCTACTGTGTTAGTTGTCTGTAGTGACCCTACCTTGAAATTCCTATCAAGAATTTATTTAGTAAACTGAAATACTAATGTCCATAAAACAGTGTCTAATATATGAGTCATTCACACTGAACCTCAAAGGAACTGAAGTTAAAATATCAAAAGTGTAAAACAATTAATTGTCATATTAACCATACCAAAAGAAATCTTCGACCTAATTTAAGAGACAAAACACACACAGGAAGCAATCAGATAAAACTAAGTACTGCACATGTTGATTCAATGAGGTTTTAGAGTATACTGATTCACTAAAAACTGGATCATATAATACACTGTATTAATTTGACAAATTCTAGAAAAGTACTGAAGATAGTAAAAATTGGTGTAGTTTGGCCAAAAAAGTGATAGAACTAAACGAAAATCATTAAGATAGGTTGTGGGGAAAAAAATTCTACAACTGGGATACCAAATCACAAAAAGCAGATCATGTCCATGGATAGGGCACATTTCAGAAGGGCAGAGAATAAGAATAGAAGGGATGCCTACAGAATAAGTACTGTTTGTTACGGCTAGAGTTTGAGTGCAAAGAAGAGAAGGGAAATAGTAAAACATGAGATTCAACCAGATGGTGAACAGCCTGTATACCACGTTAAAGAATTTAAACTTTTTAGTGAAGCACTAAGGGTTCTATGTGGTGGCCAGTTTTTGTTTTAGAAAGATTACTCTGTATAGTGAGGAAAATAGGGAAGCATGACTGGGAAGGGAAAGGAAGCAGAAATCTATTAGAAGGCAGTAGTGGCAATAAGACGGCATTACAATGGTCTGGTTTTGAGTAATGGTAGTTTAAAAGAGTTTACTCTGGGAAATAATTAGATATAGTGGGAAACAGAATTATAGATGATGGTCAGGATTTTGGCTGTTGGGAGATACTCCTGCATGGGTCTCATGCTCCCACACACCTTGCTGGGTATGTCAAGAAGGCAAAGCCTGAGCCACTCATTCTCTAGGCCATTTCTTAGGGTTATATTTGCAGCTATCAAATTTGAGGGATGAGGTAATGTCTCCCTTGGAACAAAGAGCAAGTATGCTTACAGCTGATGATAAAATAGAGGGTTCCTCAAATTTAGTGTTCCTTATCTGCAACACAAACAGACTGCATGCACAGAATTCATTTTGGCTCCTCTGTACCACACCTGCAGAGCTTAGGGAAATAGCAGAAATAATGCATATATGCTGATGCCTATGCTGCTTTCTGTGCAGTGAATGAAGTCTTTTGTCTTTTGTCACTGACCCAGGAGCTCCATATCTTCTTGCCAGCATCCATGAAATAGTAAGAGAGTAAATTATCACCTTGTAAGTAGGATAAAAATTAAACCTCAAACCCTACCATGGCAAGGGACCAATAGGTGGATGATGTTACTATTCAATGAGACAGTGACACCACAAAGGAGACTTTTGTATTTTGTTGTTTTTGTCTACCAGAAAAGAAGAAGGAATGAGGTAGAATGATGTCAATATTCTGATGACAAAATATACTTGACATTTATCACAAACTAAGCCTAAGGAGTTTTACTTACCATTTATCAGCTTTAGAGTATAAACAGGAATTAGCTATAGCTGTGGCCATGAATTCAATAAAGAGTTCCATTAACTGTCCCACATTTTTAAAAAGCAGAATTTATTCTTCTCATCAGAACATGGGATAGTCTCCAGGAGAGACCATATGTTAGGCCACAAAACAAAGTTCAACAAATTCAAAAAATTGAAATCATATCAAGTATCTTCTCTGACCACAGTGCAATAAAACTAGAAATCAACAAGAGGAACTTCAGAAACTAACACATGGAAATTAAACAATATGCTCCTGAACAATGTAGAAATTAAGGAAATAAAAAATTTATTGAAACACATTAAAAATAGAAACACGATATACCAAAACCTATGAAATACAGCAAAAACAGTAGTTAAGAGGAAAGTTTATAGCAATAAACACTCATATTAATAAAGTAGAAAGACCAAATAACCTAATAATGTACCTTTAACTTCGGAAACTAACATATGGAAATTAAACAATATGCTCCTGAACAATGTAGAAATTAAGGAAATAAAACATTTATTGAAAGAAATAAAAACAGAAACACGATATACCAAAACCTATGGGATACAGCAAAAGCAGTAGTAAGAGGAAAGTTTATAGCAATAAACACCTATATTAATAAAGTAGAAAGACCAAATAACCTAATAATGTACCTTAAAGAACTAGAAAAGCAAGAATAAACCAAATCCAAAGTTAGCAGAAGGAGATAAGTAATAAAGATCGGAGCAGAAATAAAGAAAATTCAGACTAAAAAGAATACAAAAGATCAACAAAATAAAAAGTTAGTTCTTTGGAAAAATAAAATTGACAAATCTTTAGCTAAATTAAGAAAAAAAGAAAGAAGACCCCAAAAAAATCAGAAATAGAAAAGGAGACATTACAACTGATACCAAAAACTTCCAAGGATTAGAGATTATGAGCAACTATATGTCAAAGAACTGGAAAACCGACATGAAATGGATACATTCCTAGACACATACATCCTACCAAGAAGAAACAGAAAACCTGAAAGGACCAGTAATAAGTAATGAGATAGAAGCAGTAATAAAAAGTCTCCCATGAGAGAAAAGCCTGGGACCTGATGGTTTCACTGCTGAATTCCAGCAAATATTTAAAGAACTAATACCAATTCTACTCAAACTGTTCCAAATAATTGAGGAGGAAGGAATACTTTCAAATACTCATTCTATGAGGCCAGCATTACCCTGATACCAAAACCAGACAAAGACACAAAACTACACGAAAAGAAACTACAGGCCATCATCACTTACGAACATAGATGCAAAAATGCTGAACAAAATACTAGCACACAGAATTCAACAACACACTGAACAGATCATGATCCAGTTAGATAAATACAAGATGGTTCAACATATGCACATAAGGACAAAACTGTATAATTTTAATAGATGCTGAAAATGCATTCAATAAAATTCAACATCTCTTCATAATAAAAACTCTTAACAAACTAGGTAGGGAAGAAAACATAGCTCTTAAAAAACTAGGTATGGAAAAAAACATACCTCTTAACAAACTAGGTATGGAAGAAAACAATAAAGGCCATAGATGATGAACCCGCAGCTAGCAATACACTGAATTGGGGAAAACTGAAAGCATTTCCTGAGATTTGGAACAATACAAGGATGCCTGCTTTCAACACTTTTATTCAACACAGGACTGGAAGTCCTGGCCAAAGCAATTAGACAAAAGACATAAATAAAAGGCATGCAAACTTGAAAAGAAGTCATCAAATTGTCCTTATCTGAAGAAAATATGATATTATATTTACAAAAACCTAAAGACTATTAAAACTGATCAACCAATTCAGTTTCATGACATAAACTCAACATACAAAAATCAGAGGCATTTCCATGTGTCAACAGCAAACACACTGAAAAAGAAATCAAGAAATCTCATTTACAATAACTACCAAAAAAAAAGCCTATGAACAAACTTAAACAAAAAGTGAAAGATCTCTACAATGAAAGCTATAAACATTGATGAAGGAAACTGAAGAAGACACAAAGAGATAAAAAGATATCGGCCGGGCGCGGTGGCTCACGCCTGTAATCCCAGCACTTTGGGAGGCCGAGGCGGGCGGATCACGAGGTCAGGAGATCGAGACCATCCCGGCTAAAACGGTGAAACCCCGTCTCTACTAAAAATACAAAAAATTAGCCGGGCGTAGTGGCGGGCGCCTGTAGTCCCAGCTACTTGGGAGGCTGAGGCAGGAGAATGGCGTGAACCCGGGAGGCGGAGCTTGCAGTGAGCCGAGATCCCACCACTGCACTCCAGCCTGGGCGACAGAGCGAGACTCCGTCTCAAAAAAAAAAAAAAAAAAAAAAAGATATCTCATGTTCATGAATTGGAAGAATTGATATTGCTAAACATACCACCCAAAGTGATCTACAGATTCAATAAACTATCTATCTAAATACCAATGACATTCTTTACAGAAACAGAAAAAATAAATCCTAAAATTCATATGGAACAAACAACAACAAAAAAAAAACTAGAAGAGCCAAATCAATCCTGAAAAGTACAATCCAAAAAGTACAAAGCAGGAGGAATCACATTACTGATCGCAAAATCTACTACAAAGCTATAGTAATCAAAACAGTATGGTGTTGGCATAAAAGCAGATACAAATATCAATGAAACGGAACACAGAACCCAGAAATAAATCCACACATTTACTATTAGCTCATTTCCAACAAAAGTGCCAAGAATATACATTGGGGAAAGGACAGTCTCTTCAATAAATTGTGCTGAGAAAACTGGATATCCACATGTAAAGGAATGAAACTAGACCTCTATCTCTCATCATACAAAAAAAATCAAATCAAAATGAATTAAAGACTTAAATGTAAGACCTGAAACTATGACACTACTAGAAGAAAACACTGGTGAAACATGCCAGAATATTGGTCTGGTCAAAGATTTCTTGAGTTAGACCTCAAAAGCCACAGTGAACAAAAGCAAAAAAATGGATAAATAGGATCACATTAAGCTAAAAAGCTCCTGCACAACAAAGAAGGAAACAATCAGCACAGTGAAGAGACAACCTATAGAATGAGAGAAAATATCTACGAACTATTCAACAGACAAGGCATTAACAATCAGAATATATAAGGAACTCAAACAGCTTAATAGCAAAAAAAAAAAAAAAAAAAAACAAAACTGATTTTAAAAATGGGCAAAAGAGCTAAACAGACATTTCTCAAAAGAAGACATACAGGTGGCCAACAGATATATTTTTAAACTGCTCCCCATCAGAGAAATGCAAATTAAAACCACAATGAGACATCATCTCACCCCAGTTAAAATGGCTATTATCAAAAAACAGAAAATAAATGCTAACGAGGATGTGGAGACAGGGGAACTCTCATATACTGCAGGTGGGAATGTGAATTAGTAGAGCCGCTATTGAAAACAGTAGTGTCTGAGGTTCCTCAAAAATTTGAAAATAGATCCAGCAATCACACTGCTGGGTATATATCCAAAAGAGAGGAAATCAACATACTGAAGAAGTATTTGCACTCCCATGTTTATTGCAGCAATATTCACAATCGTCAAGATATGGAACCCAACCCAAGTGTCTATCAATAGATAAATGGTAAATATATACACAATGGAATATTATTATGCCATAAAAAATGAAATCCTGTCTGTTGCAACAACATAGACGGAACTGGAAGAAATTATGTTAAGTGAAATAAGCCAGGCACAGAAAAACAAATGTCACATGTTCTTACTCCTAAGTGGATGCTAAATAAATTGATCTCATGGACGCAGAGAATAGTATGATGGTTATAAGAAGCTGAGTAGGGAAGGTAGGAAGTGGGAATAAAGAAGGATTGGTTAATGGGTACAAAAGTACAGTTAGGAGGAATAAGAACTAGTATAGCACAATGGGGCAACTATAGTTAATAATTTTCTGCATCTTTCAAAATAACCAGAAGAGTAGATTTGGAATGTTTCCAATATGATGATATGTGTTTGAGGTGATGAAATATTCCCACTACCCAGATTTGTTCATTATACACTGTATGCTTGTATCAAAATATCACATGTACCCCCATAAATATGTACAACTATTATGTATTCATAAAAATTTAAAATTAAAAAAATTAAATCAGAATTTAAATAACATTGTGAAAACAAATTCAGAAGAAATGGATGGTAACAAAACAAGATAATGATTTAACTGCTTGACAACAATGGGGGGAGAAACATGTTACTAAAAAAGAATAGGTTTAAGTAAAAGAATATAAACAATTTGAATAAATTAGAAGACAGACGAGAGAAGATATTTGAAAGAGCAACTAAAAATGCTTAAGGGACTGATGGAATACACAACAGAATGAGATCACTTAGGAAGTAGAAAAGAATGACAAAAATACAAAGAGAATTCTTAAGAGTAGGAAAAGGACAGAGAAAGATGAAAGTGACCTATAAAAAAGCAATGACCTTAGAACCAAACTAAATAGGACACCAGTGAAGGCACAAAGTACACTACTAAAATTCTCCCAAAGGCTTACTCTTCTGGTCTGCTCTACTCAACCACTACTGGCTATCTATAGAACTCTTCACCACTCTCTGGCCATGTGCTTTTACCTAACAATTCTTGCACTTCTACCTGAAACCAAAGGTCAGTGATCAAAGGCAGATCATTCATAGTTCTTGTGAATATTTTCCCCTTCTTACAGTAATCCTTTATACTCAAAAGTCTCTTTACTTGCTCTTTACTCATTGTTTGTCCTTTCCTTTTTCCTATTCAAAGCAATTTTAACTTGAAAAATGCTTTATCCCTTCTAAGACTGAAATTAACTGATAAACATATTCTGTCTATGACATCTCTTAATCTTTCAGATTTTCAGCTGCTATTTTTTACATTTTTTATGCTTTGTCTCCATAGCTAGATTATAAAATCCTCAAAAGATGAATGTGCTATTTTTCTACAGATTATATAATACTGCTCAGTATTTTATCTTCTGTATCCTACAGTCTAATCTGTAGGCTTGGAACTTTCACCTTTGAGCTGCTTTTCAATACCTATGTAAACCTTCTAGATTCTGGACCCTGCCTGCTACCTTGCACTTTTGTTCTCTACTTCTAGTGAACACTTCTCTGGCTTAGTGTTATGTCCCATTCTTTCCTTCCTTTGTATGCATTGTCCTGTTGTCACTAAAAAAAAAAAAAAAAAAAAAAGGGTCTGTATGCAGTAGAAAGGGTCTGAGTGACTGCATGTTCTAAACGTGGTTAACAGCAATGTTATGCATTGAATTGTATCCCCGAAGAAAAGATGTGCCTAAATCCTAACCCCCAGTACCTCAGAATGTGACCTTATTTGGAATTAGGGTCTTTCCAGAGCTAAGCACATAAAAATGAGGTCATTTGAATGGGACCTAATCAAATATAACTGGTAGCCCTATAAAAAGGGAAAATTTGAACATGAAATATGCAAAGAGGAAAAATGAAGTGAAGAAACACAGGGAGAATGCCTTTAGAGTAATGCAACTACAAGCAAGGAACAACAAAGATTACCAGCAAATCACCAGAAGCTAGGAGAGAGAGATGGAAGAGGTTCTCCCTTGCAGTCCTTGAAACAAACCAACCCTGCCAACACCTTGCTTTCAGACTGCCAGCCTTCAGAACTATGAAATAATACATTTCTATTGTTTAAGCCATCTAGTTGGTACTTTGTTATGGCAGCCCTAGGAAACTAACACAAGTAGGTATAGATTACATGAAAAAAAAATCAGATAGCTAGCTAATAATGCTCTTATAAAAATCTTAAAAAACTTTAAAAATCTACACATAGGAATAATCAGGTCTACATTCTTCATGTTCACTCAATGCTTTTTATTTTGCAGTGACTGAAAAAGGCTAAAATTCTCACATGAATAACTCAAATGTAAGGGTGCATCTGAAATGCATCTAAATCTCTAAAATTCTCTGAGCCCAAGTATTGGTTTAGGCACTCCTATAAACCCAGAACAGGAGATTGAAGCAGTTCAAGCTTTATGACAATGACTTTCAAAGTTTTAAACATGTATATCCTTTGGCAGAGGAAATTCCACTTCTTTTTTTTACAAGTTCTACTTTTGTATTGTTTCATTGCCTTTTTAAAAACAAAGAGGTGTCAATTTTAAAACTTTATTTGTAATAAGAAAATAACCTATAATATATACACATTTAACATTTTGGGATGTTGGTATTTCAAGTGTACTTCCCTGATCTCCCACTAACTGGTAAGGTATTTAATGCTTTTATTTATAAAAGTCTTCATTTCTAAAAATAAGCTCCCTAGAGAATATAGAACAAAAAAGAGAAAAGTGCTTATGCATTTTGAGGTTGGAAGGAAAGAACCTAAGAAAAGCAAAAGCACCTCAGAGTACTAAGCAGACCGCCAGAAAAGTATGGTCATCCTGAGAGTCATTCCTGAGACTGTATCCATCTAAAAATGGCTTCCACAAAAAAATACTTCTTATATTTTCTCTTTTTAATTAAACAAATAGAAATTTTATTTATTTATTTTTAACAGCAAAACAGGCCAGGCACTGTGGCTCATGCCTGTAATCCCAGCACTTTGGGAGGCTGAGGTGAGAAGATCACCGAGGCCAGGAGTCTGAGATCAGCCTGGACAACATAGCAAGATTCAGTCTCTAAAATTTTTTTTTAATTAGCTGGGTGTGGTGGCTTGCACTTATAGTCCCAGCTATTCAGGAGGCTGATGTGGGAGCACTGCCTGAACATACGAGCCTGAGGTTACAGTGAGCTATAACCATACCACTGCACTCTAGCCTGGGTGACAGGGCAAGACCCTGCCTCTAAAACATAAATAAATAAGTAAATATTTTTTTAAAAAGACAAAAATAAATAGCAAAACAGTACATAGTACTATCTAATTTACTTGTTTGAACATCTAAAAAAATATAGGCCAGTTATTAAAAGTGAGTATTTCTGGAGAATGAAACTGGGAAAGGGGCAAACTGAATGTTTTGACTTCACAATGAGTCAAATGACTATATTATCATTTAAAAATATATGGATTTTTAAAACATGCACATTATTGAGAACACTGGGCCATTTTCCCATAATTACTTAAAATATTTACAGGGCAACTAATTTTTATCATTAAGGTTACAGTATACACCAAGGTGTTAGGCTTGCATTCTTAATGCCTTTAGGAACTATTTATATGAGACATATATTAAATGAACACTCTAAGTCTAATAATATTTATTTGTTTTTCAGAAAATGGAAGTTTTTTGTACAGATCGTGGTGGTAAACTATGGCCTGTGGGCTACCTGCTTGTTTTTATAAATAGTTTTACTGGAATACAGCCATGCCCATTAAGTTATGTATTGTCTATAGGTGCTCTCACACTGCAATGGCAGAGTGCAATCATGATGACGGAGACTATATGGCTGCAAGCCTAAAATTTTTTAGCAGCTGTTTCTTTATTAGAAAAAGTTTGCTGATGCCCACAGTAGATTTTAAATATTTTCTCAGAAAAGATTTTGTGCTTTCACTTTAGAATTAAATATTTGAATCAGGATAATCAAGAGAGAGATTGGGATTTAAATTTTTAGATATTTTAAAATTATAATAATCTATTCAAAAACTCATATTGGCTTAAGTTATTAATATATTTATCCAACTTTAATAATTAGTACAAAATGTTTCTTTTATGGTTAATTATACAAAAGAAATATTTTCAATAGGTATATAACAATGAATATTTTATAGTTGTTATAAAATTTTTCATGTTAACTAAAATAACAAAACAGAATGACAATAAAAGGTTATTCTTACCTGTAACCTAAACCAATCTAATCTCATTCCTCTGAAATCAAATACTTCCCCATCTTCAACTGTAGTAATAGAAAAAAAAAAAAGATTACAAAGCAAATTAATGTTTTCACAATCTATAAGCACATTTTAAATTTTAAGAGCTAAGACAATTCTACTTCTGAGTATACCTAAAACAATTAAAGCCAAGGTCTTAAAGAGATATATGTACACCCATGTTCACAGAAGAATTATTCAAACAGTCAAAGGTAGAAGCAACTTAAATTTCCATTGATAGATGAATGAATAAACAAAATGTAGTATCTAAATACAATGGAGGCCGGGAGCAGTGTCTCATGCCTATAATCCCAGCACTTTGGGAGGCCGAGGCAGGTGGGTCACCTAAGGGTCAGGAGTTTGAGACTAGCCTGGCCAACGTAGTGAAACCCCATCTCTACTAAAAATACAAAAATTAGCTGGGTGTGGTGGTGCGTGCCTGTAGTCCCAGCTACTCGGGAGACTAAGGTGGGACAATTGCTTGAACCTGGGAGGCAGAGGTTACAGTAAGCCGAGATTGTACCACAGCACTCCAGCCTGGGCAACAGAGCGGGACTGGGTCTCAAAAATAAAATAAATAAATATCATGCACTATTATTCTGCTAAAAAAGAAAGGAAATTCTGACACATGCTACTATGGCTGAACTTGAGGACATTAAGCCTAGTGAAATTAGCCAGTCACAGCAAGACAAATACTCTGTGATTCCACTTATATGAGGTATCTAGAGCAGTCATGCTCACAGAAACAGAAAGTTGAATGGAGGTTGCCAGGGGCTAGCAGGAAAGGGAAATGGCACACTGTTGTTCAATAATCATTAAAAGAATTTGTTTTGCAAGATGAAAATGTTTTGGAGATTGGTTGTACAACAATATGAATATACTTAACACTACTGAACTATACACTCAAAAATGGTTAAGATGGTCAATTTTATGTGTATTTTACAATTAAAAAATAAAAACATTTTAAAATTAAAGAGTGAAGACAGTGAAACAATTCTCAAATCCTGTAAAGATGATGATAAAGGAGACAGTTGTGCTAAGGGAAGTAAAGGCTTTTCTCCTAAGCTCTCTGATTCTTAGTGTGCTTACATGTCAATTTACAGGAGTTTGAATAGAATTTGAGAGATCCTACGAATAGAAACTTTGGACAGCATGCTGAAGTTCCACAAAATAACTCTATATAAACCAAATATCACCAGAAAAAATTACTTTAGTTTCATTACTTAGATGTGGTAGCAATAAAGATTGAACTAAGAAAAATGTTTATACATTTATTACTCAGAAGTTTTCAAGGTTTCTGATATCCTTTATTAAAAGACTATAAAACTAAAACACACTATCGATCCACTAGAATGGAGTGTCAAATAATGGCAAGGTGATTATATGACATCAATTTTTGAGATTGACAGATTTGAGCTCAAATTCCTACTTTTGCTTAACAGCTATTAGAGCTTGGCAAATTATGTTCAGTAACTGCGAGGTTAACCCTCAAACCCAGAGTTTCCAAATCTGTCAAAAGTAATAACAGTGTTGAAAAAAGAATGTGGAGTAAATGGGATAATATATATGTAAAGTGCCTGGCACAGACTAAACATTTTATAAATGGCATTAAATATTGTTATTGGTATGCTTGGACCAAATATATGATTTGCTACAAAATGCAAATGTTTTATTGTTTTTGTTACAAAATGCTTTTTTTCCTGCTTAATAATTAGAAATATAAAACTGTAATTATTATTTTTGTAAATAGCATCACAAACCCATTTTGGAAATCTTTGCTTCAGAGAACAAAATTAAGATAAAAGATAATAGATCATTAGCCAAATTAATTGGTAAATTATCTCCTTAATAATCAAGTTTGAAAATCTAATTAGAAGAAAATATGCTTTTATTTAAAAGGCTTATTACCTTGTTTTACACTTAGGGAAGTCATAGTGTTAACAAAAGAGGACATGATGATTGATTCATCTTCAGGGCAAACAGAAAGATTCTGAAAAACAAACAAAAAGTAACGTTAAAAACATCTATAGTTGGGAAACAACTCAGGTCTATCAATTAGTGGACGGATAAACAAACTGGTATACCCATACTATGGAATATTTTTCAGTAATAAAAAAGAAATGAAATTTTAACACACACCATAACACGAATCTCAAAACCATTACATTAAGTGAAAGAAATAAAAAATAAATGATTTTGTGTTAAAAAGTAATTTTTTCATACACTATATAGGAAAATTTATATGAAAAAGTATTTTTAAGGCGAAAGTATAATGACAAACACCAGTTGCTGTCAGGGGCTTATGCAAGAATGATGAAGGTGTACCATAAGGGTGTATAAGTAAACTTTTAAAGGTGTTGGAAAAGTTCTGTCTTGAATATGGTGATGGTAATAGTTGCACAAATGCATACAGCTACCAAAATTTACAACATGCACTAAAAATGAATGATTTTTGTTGTCTGTATGTTAGGCCTCAACAAAATTAAGACCTAAAAATCCTTTTCAATCTAGCTTAAAAAATGAATATTTGATAAACTGTATTTAAAGTGGATGCTAAAAAATAAATTCCTTTTAAAAAGTGGATGCTTAGCTTACAAACAGTATAAATAAAACACATTTTTAAAACTTTATGATGCGAGTGAACTGTACACTTAAAAATCATGAAAATGGTAAATTTTGTTACATATATTTTACCACAATAAAATATTAACACCTATTGCAATCAACTATGCTAACAGGTTTACAACCTTAGTTCTAAATTTATATGCTAGCAAATGGTGAAAAACATTGTGAATATACTTTGCAACAGAAGAGGGTGGTAAAATGCTCAGGCTTTGGAGTCAAAACTTGAGTTTGACTACTGGCTTTATTACTTATGAGCTGTATTGGTGATAAGGAGCAAATTACATAAGGCATTTCTTCTTCAACAAATAATGATAACTATATCCACTCTCACAGAGGTTTTCTACAGATTTGGTAAGATACACTATCAATAAATCTGGCAATTACTAATATCAGTATGATTGCTGCTGATACTATACTATTACTATAATTCCAGAAGAAATGCTAAGAATTAATCTTCTCAGTATTAGTAAACTCCACTTTATATAAAAATAGATTAAGTAATTCAGGAATTCTGGTTTACTTTTTAAACTGTATGCTAGTATGAATAAATAATAAACAGTAACAAAAGCTTCTGGCTTATCTGTTAAGTAATAACTATTCAAATAAAATTATAGTAAGGCAATAATACCCCAGGTTTTCTGTTCCCTTTTTAAATGACCATAGAAAAGAAGTATCTGAGCTCCATCTAGTGGATAAAAGAAGAAATAAACTATAGAGTTTAGAATACTAGCTTGTAACAGCATGTAACTCAAGGTAAAAAAAATTACATGAACAATTTTTTTCCTTATTATATTTTTAGGTTGATTTGAAAAAAATGAGATCTTCAAAGTATGGTTATTTCTCTGGAAAACTAGCAGCTTTAGAGAAGTCTTTATATAAAGAGGATTCTTAACTGTTTTCTTTATACTATGTATTAGCTTACAGTCATTTGAAACATGTAATTCTATAAAGTGAAGCAAAATAAAATATTATTTCCTTAGAGTCAGTTTATTTGGAATAAAAAGTTTTTTAAATTTAAATAAAGATGAAAAATATTGAATAAATAAATTATGGAAAGCAAAAAAAGGCTAAAAACCAATTAAGGAAAAAAAATTGGACATTTAAATGGGAATGTCTATATGAAATCTTTATTTACTGGCCATCCTCTAACAATCTTCTTCAAAAAGATTTTTATTCTACTTTCCCTCTAATACTTAATTACCAATTATATTGTCTCTATCATCTCTTCTGAATCTCCATAGCTACTGCCCATGTTCAGACTCTCATCACCTCTCATCTAGCCTACTGCAGTCATTTTTCTTCTGGTCTCTCTGCCTCCTCATTTGGTTCCCAGCAATCTACCATCCACACTGAACCAGGGTGATCTTTTTAAGTAGTACACCTGATTTATGATTAACCTCCTCTTTCCCAAGGCCCTCTGTAATTTGGTTAGCGTACACCTCCATCTTCAGGATAAATAATTGTGTCTTTCCTTGTGTTCATTCTGAGCTTTATATATACTTAATGCATAACACCTATCACATTGGACTACAACTAACTGTTTCTTCCCTTCTAGGTAATGATCTCCAAAATATAAACATGATTTATCACTTGGCACATGATATTTCATAAATGCTTGTTGAACAAACAAATAAAATACTATCAAAGGTGGGAAGGAAGGAACAAAAGGGAAATAGTATGAGATAGTTTTTACCTGCACGAGTTCATTGAGGACAACAGCATCAAAGCCAGAAAGGTACTGCACGTAATACCTCTGCATTACAGGTCCGTATTTCCTCACATGTGCTCTAAGTTCTTCCATGTAAAATATTAATTCAGCAATGTGCCTTTTTTAAAATTTCAAGAAAAATATTCAAATAATAAATTCATCATTATTAAAGAATATATTCGATGCCCTTAATCTTATTTCTAAAAGTATTTTTCTTATAAAGGGCATTGTTTAATACTTAATGTCAATTACTTCCTTTTTAAATCATTTCATGAATAAAGAAATCATGGAAAGCAAGAAAAAAAGAAGAAAGAAAAAAAGTTAAAGCTAAAAATCGACAGCAGAAAATCCAAACTGAAAATAAGCAGGGCCGGGCACAGTGGCTCACGACTGTAATTACAGCACTTTGGGAGGCCAAAGCGGGCTGATCACATGAGGTCAGGGGTTCAAAACCAGCCTGGCCAACATGGTAAAATCCCATCTCTACTAAAAATACAAAAGTTAGCTGGGCATGGTGGTGGGTGTCTGTAATCCCAGCTACTTGGGAGGCTGAGACAGGAGAATCACTTGAACCCAGGAGGTTGAGGTTGCAGTAAGGCAAGATGGCATCACTGCACTCCAGCCTGGGTGACAGAGTAAAACTCCGTCTCAAAAAAAAAAAAAAAAAAAAAATTTAAATTAAAAAAATAAACAGGACATGTTATAAATACATCATCAAAAAATCTCAAATAAAAGAAGATTAGCAAGAAATAAAATTTTTCTGTATGCTCTTATTTCTCTGCTCCATTTTTCTAACTCTTATTGAGAGACTGAACTAAAATAAGACACATTTTAATGACACACTGAGTTGCAACTCTAAAAACAGGATTTTTATTTAAATGTTTTGTGTAGTAAATAGTTTTAAAAAATGAATTCCATAAGAAATATTACTGAGCATAGCAAGAAAACAAAAACTTTATCACCACAAAGCATACTACGAGAAAATAAAAGCCCTAATTTAAAACTAAATTTGACTTTGCAGTCTAATTAATATCATCTAATGATATATTACAAATATTCCAAGCTCTTCAAAATAATTTTGCTTCAAATATAAGTCTCCAGATTCCCCAGCCCACAAATCAGAATATAGATGGTGCACAACTTACAGTGATTTGGATGTACTATCTTTCTAATTTACAATGGTGCAGAAGAGATACACATTTAGTACAAATTGTACTTTGAATTTTGACTTTTTTTCCAGGCTAGCAATAGGCAGTATGATACTCTCTCATGATGCTGCCGTAGTTCCCAGTCAACTATGTGATCAGAAAGATAAACAACCTATACTCTTCAGTGTACTATGTTGCCAGATAATTTTGCCCAACTGTAGGCTAATAAAAGAGTTCTGAGCACATTGAAGGTAGGCTAGGCTAAGCTCTAATGTTCAGTAATAATAGGTGTACTAAATGAATTTCAACTTAACAATATTTTCAACTTACAATAGGTCTATCAGGACATAACCCCATTGTAAATCAAGAAGCATCTATATACAGAAAATATTTTTTTAAATGTTGCTAACTTACTTATCTATAAAGTCGTCTGCACTCTTCTTTGGCATGTTATCTGCATGACGAAGTAGCCAGATGATTTCATCACGGGCAAAGGATAATGCCATAAAAACAAAAAGTGCCTGTTTAAAAAAAAGTAAGTGTTTATTCTTATTCAAAGATTAAAAACAAAACTGGTAATCTCTTTCTATGTGAAAAGTCATTGGCAAGAAGTGATAATATCAATTCAAAAGAGTGAAGAGACTAACAGAAGAGGACACAAGAGAACCTGTAAGTATGTATGAGAGAGAGCATGCATATAAGGGAGAAGAATGCAGGGAGGTACGATGTATGAATGTCAAGTCAGCAAATTCATTCTCCACTAAATATAAAAATCCTTTTATGTAGTCCCTGACTCAAATTTCAGTAAAATTTCACTTAGAAACGTTTTTTAAAATTTTAATATGGCACAATTATTGAAATAATAATTAAATGAATTACCTTGGGACCTAGCAATCCAGGTTGATCAGAGAGGACAGTAGCCAATTCCTTCAGTGCAGATCTTAAAAACTTGCGTCTTTCTCTGTGCATTGAACCACTATGGGGAAAGACACCATAATAGTTTATCTGCTTCTACTAAAATTATTATTGGCAATTAAAGTAACTAGCATTATAGGTGCAACTTCCAAAGTCTTTTTTTAGGAAGCCAAAGTTCCTATAAAAATCATCTTCTATGTGTCTATCGTTAAGTGAGTTTCTAATCTTACATTTATCCTGCCTTTCTTATGTTGCTTTTTAAACTATGTTTCTTTTGTTATTCTCCATCTATCAAAATCCTACCCAACCTTCAAGACCAGTCCTTCAAGAAGCATTTCCCAACATCTAGCTATTTATTTATGAATAATTTATCCAATTTTAGTACCATGTAGCTTTAAGCACTTTATAGACTATGAAGTTCTTGATGGTGACCAGGCACAGTGGCCCATGCCTGTAATCCCAGCACTTTGGGAGACCAACTTGGGCAGACTGCGTGAGCTCAGGAGTTCGAGACCAGCCTGGGCAACATGACAAAACTCCGTCTCTACTAAAAATACAAAACATTAGCCAGGTGTGGTGGGTGCCTGTAATCCCAGCTACTTGGGAGGCTGAGGCAGGAAAATCACTTGAGCCCAGGAGGCAGAGGTTGCAGTGAGCTGAGATCATGCCACTGCACTCCAGCCTGGGTGACAGAGCAAGACTCCACCTCAAAAAAAAAAAAAAATCCTTGAAGGCAAAAACTGACTAACTGTATACATTTTTGTCACTTCCATAAAGAAATTAATAAATAGAACTTAAGTATCTGGTTATCTATATTCTTATTAAGTTATATTCCTATTAAATATACAAAACTGAATACACAAGAGCTATAGTCAATAAAGGTATTGGGATGAGAGCTACTTGGCACTCTTGTTCAAAAATAGAAAGATGGGGAAAGGAAGGGATAATCATAAATATTCATATACTACTTATTTTAAAATTAAGATTAGAAAACATTCTCACATATTAACAGAAGGAAAAAAAATCATAAAATGTTCCAAGCAACTCCTCATACTACACAAAATATACACTGCTCCAAGAAAGTTTTAGAATTTAGATTGGGGTGTGTGTGTGTGTGTGTGTGTGTGTGTTGCCTATGCCAAAAACCCAAGTATAAAGAATACACACCACTAGTAATTTCGCTGTGACACAGTAGATCAGTTTCAGAGGACTCAAATTAAAATCCATCCTCTCCCTACATGACCTTAGGTTCCAACTCTAAGTTTCAGTTTTTCATCTGTAGAATAAGTATGATGACATCTGTCTCAAAAGATGCACAATCTTTCATGATGCCTGATATATAGTGCTTCTGTTACTTTAATTTCAATGACAAGCTCTTTTTACTGACAATAATAAAGTCATCGTGTCATTTCCAAGAAGAAAATGAACAAATGTTATTTTGATTATTTTACTTCACAGGATTACTGTGAGGAGTCTGTGATGGTTATTGGGAGAAAATGTCTATAAAGTACTTGGGCCTGGCACATGGTAATGAGTCCTAGAAGTTACCACTGCTTACTACTTATATTTTATTTAATAAACAGAAGGAGGAAAATAAAAATACCTTAATTGTAAAAGATCTTTATAAAAGATAGCTATGCCTATATGTCTGCCTATAGTAGCGTCTATCCCACGAAGAAATAATAATTATGTGCATTTCTGCAAGTCTAGAGAGGAATTCTAACAAACTCCAAAGTACGTTATCTGCACTAGAAATCATTTTTGAAAAATTAAGCACATGTACTTCATTCAAGTAAATAAAATATGCATGAGGAATGATATAGCACAGATACGATGAGTAAAGATGGTTTAAATTCCCAATATCTTATAGCCTAAACTGAAATTTTAAAACTTCCTGTGGTTTTATAGTTTTCGCTATGGAGTGTTGCTTGTCTTCTCTCTGCCTTATATAGAAATACTGATAGATCAAATAATATTATCTGTATATAGTACCTAAGTTAACTGGAGAAAATATTCTATATTAAGTATATCATATATGTAACAAAGTGAAATATCAAATTATTTAGAATTATTTTATGAGAAAACTGGAAAGTTGTTCAAAGATTTAAAATACACTAATTTCTCACTTAGGATATCTATATATTTACTAATATAAGAAATTAAAATTGGGAAAGAGGTGTACTCTTAAAAGTAAATATTTGCCGGGCACGGTGGCTCATGCCTGTAATGCCAGCACTTTGGGAGGCCAAGGCAGGCTGATCACTGAGGTCAGGAGTTCAAGACCAGTCTAGCCAACATGGTGAAAACCTGTCTCTACTAAAAATACAAAAATTAGCTGGGAATGTACGGCGGGTGCCTGTAATCCCAGTGACGCAGGAGGCTGAGGCAGGAGAATTGCTTGAACCCGGGAGGTGGAGACTGCAGTGAGCCGAGATGGTATCACTGCACTCCAGCCTGGGTGACAGAGTGAGACTGTCTCAAAAAAAAAAAAAAAAAAGTAAATATTATCTGTAAGAGTTATATGGATATATTAATTTTCATGTAGTAGTACAAAAATCATATTGGTATGCAGAGCATAGTGGCAGTGAGATTATACCCAAAGTAAGAGTCCTTTGTGTGATACTTCCTTATAGCATTTTATCAACACTTCAAAAACATTTAAAATCTGACTTCACTAATTCCAAGGTTCTACATATTGAGGCAATATACTTAATAATTCTCATTGACTGAAAGTCCCCCTCTTCTACTACCATATCTTGCATACTATTAATCTGTACTCACTTCAACAAAATGATGCTTTAAGAATTTTTCTTGATTAAAGCTACCACGGATAAAATAAAACTACTCACGCATGTGACACGGCTGCCTCCTTGCATTCTCTTATGTCATTAATACGTTTATTATAGCTAGGTGCAAAAACAAATTAGAACGTTAGTTTAATTTGATCAATAACTGTCAAAATGAGTAAGTCTAATACTAGAAGTCAATTAAAAATGACATTATCAATTCAGAAACTGGCCATCAAACTGGAAGTGCATGGAAGAATCTACCCACACTTTTTCCTAGCACTTAGATGTCCAGTCAAGCCTTCCTAAAAAAAAAAGTAACATTATATTAAATCCAACAATAAAATTAAACTTCACAATGTAGATTTTCATTTTATTAAATGTTATTACTTCCTTAAGCCCCAATGGAGACACTGAAATTATACTTCTGATGTAATTAACATCAGAAGTGATTTCCAAAAGTCTAAAGTACTGACAAAGCTATCATTTCTGACTTTTTAATCAAGTCTATCTTTAAGCATGAAAAAATTCTGAAAGGATATATATTAGTGATCAAAAGTAATGACTGTTTGGATAAAAAGGTTTTGTGAAGGAGAAAACTGAGGCAGAAAAGCATTTGCCGACTTCAAATTATTTTAAGAGAACTATATATGATTTTAAGCTATGTATTTTTTTAAAAAAACTTATTTTTCAAATAAAAAAACATTTAATTAACATCAGCTTAAAGATGCTACCATGAAAACAAATGCTAATAAATAATTTCATGAATAATAGATATAAAAACTCAAAATTCCTAAAATGTTAAAGAAAAAATATCTTCCTGACAACCTCTCTAAAAATCTCTTACACTATGGCCAGGTACGGTGGCTCACACCTGTAATCCCAGCACTTTGGGAGGCCAAGGTGGGTGGATCACTTGAGGGCAGGAGTTCAAGACCAGCCTGGCCAACATGGTGAAACCCCATCTCTACTAAAAATACAAAAATTAGTCGGGCATGGTGGCGGGCACCTGTAATCCTAACTACTTGGGAGGCTGAGGCAGGAGAATCACTTGATGCCGTGAGGCAGAGGTTGCAGTGAGCTGAGATCACACCACTGCACTTCAGCCTGGGTGACAGAGCGAAACTCTTGTCTCAAAAACAAATAAAAAAAAAAGTAAATAAATAAAAATCTCTTACACTAAAATGGACTCCAACTTCTATGTTTAAGTGGTCTAAGATTTATGTATTCTTTGAGCAAATTTCCAAAATATAATAATTCTGTAATCATCACCCTCTATAATTAATACACTTTTATACTTATGGTTTGATGATAATTCATATTTTAAACTGGATGATCATTCACAATTAAATTAAAAATGCAAACTCATAATTTTAAATACAGAGATTCTCAAATGATAAATTTATTATTAATAAAGCATAACAAAGACAACTGGTTTCACTATGCCATTAAATTTACTTGCACCATACATAAGTTCACTCAATATACAGAGGCTAACTGGTTTTAAATGTTTACATATATTTACATATGATTCTACAATGAGTTTGTCAGTATGCTAGTACATGATATTAATAAAAGTTTCATGATTTTCAATCTAAATCAATTAGAAAATGACAAAGCCCATCTTGCACATAATATTTCAGGGTATTCCACCATCTAAAATAAGAGCTGAAAAGTACATAGGGCACTATTTATCATATGACTGACAGATCACTGCCATAAGAATATCAGTATGGTGACAGAAATCAGAATAGTAGTCACTTGAGAAAGGAGTGGGGGGGGAGTGGGGACTAGGCATGGCAGTACCGACCAGAAAGAAGCACAAAAGAATTCTCCAGAGATGATGGAAATGTTCTTACATCTTGATTTAAGTGGTGATGATGCCGGAGTTTTCATATGCAAAGTCACTGAGTTATACAGCTAAGATGTATGTATTTTTCTGTTTGTATTTTCTCTCAAAAAAGTACTCGGGAAGAAAAGGGCAGATTCCTTTAACCTCTCCAAGACACAGATAGAGGAGGTTAGAGGTGATGCTCAGGAACCTGGATTTCAATTTGCATTTCGGGGTAATTCTTATGTACACTAAAATGTGGGATATATTGGCTTACATTTAGCGTCAGACATATACACATACATTAAAATATCTAGAAGTTTTATTTCATTTCAATGTCATTAAGTCATTATTCAACTGGATGTGAAATAAATATAAGCAAATTTCACTGTTATCTGAAGCTAGGAAGCCCAACTTATATATTCAACATAAGTATAGCAGATCCTAGATATTTTTAAAAGATTTCATAATTGCCACCAAGTCTGAGTTCAATTTGGCTTTTATATATTGGCTACAGAATCTCAAGTGGAGAGAAATAAAGTTATTAAAAATTTCAAAGAAACACATTTCAGATAATTATTTGCTGAACTGGAAATAAATGAAAATAAATAATGTGGAATACTATTATTTAAATAAAAACAACATGATTTCCTACATGCAGTGATATGAATTCTGTAATGGTTATAATTAATCCAATTAACTATTTTTTATTGCTTCATATACTTTTACAAGTACACCCTATTCTAAAATAACACTTATAAAAATTTTAAACCTCTAAAATGTATATGGTACTTTTGCATCTAAAATCATATATGACTTGCAAAAGAAGACATATCTTCCTTCTCCTATATTACATGTTTTGAAAGGTCAGGTAACCTCAGTTTTTTTTTAATATGTGAAGTTACCTGTAAAAAACATGATTATTAACTATCAGGATGACTGTTAAAAACAACTTCCTGGGATCCAAGTCAGATGGTATAGGCTGTATCTTCCTGCACAGTGTGACTACTCCTTTATCCCCAAAACTTCAGTAAAGATAACTCACTCACCACCCTTCTCCAAAAAAGACAAAATAAATGAAAATGCCATACCCTCGTATGTTTACAAATAAGTCTTCTGCAGCTTTGTGAATGTGGAAAACTTCATCCCGAAAGAGAGAGAGGCAAGAGCTACTTTGAAGAGCTAGTTTCCAAAGGTTCAGTGCTGTAGCGTCAGTATTTAGGATCCCATGGCACAAAATAAAGCCAACTTTAAATAAAAAGAAAGCAAATACAAATGTAAATGTACAAGTATTCCAAAGTTTGGTGACAGTGTAGCTTTTGAAAAATACAGAAACGTAACCACGATCACTAAATTGAGGCTTCTGAGTGACAGTAACAATACATATGTATAAACCATGGTAATACGTTTCTTTTCCAATTATAATTTTCTGTATTCTGCAAAACCAGTTATTTGAACCTGAACTGACAAAACGGGAAAAATGTCACTTCTGGGTTATGAACCAAGTCATTTTAATAAAAATAACATTTATAAAATATTTTCAACCAAAGATCAGAAATTTCTAATTAACATAATGCAGTAATCATTACAGTTGTTATAATAACTTAAAAATAAAGCTTATCTTGGGGCCCGGTGCTGTGGCTTATGCCTTTAATCCCAGCACTGCGGGAGGTTGAAGTGGGAGGATTGCTTGAGCCCAGGAGGCAGAGGTTGCAGTGAGTCGAGGTTGCGCCACTGCACTCCAGCCTGGGTGACAGACCCTGTCTCAAAAAAAATTTTTTTTTAATGGCCAGGTGCTCATGCCTGTAATCCCAGCATTTTGGGAGGCCAAGGCAGGCGGATCATGAGGTTAGGAGTTCGAGACCAGCCTGACCAACATGGTGAAATCCCGTCTCTACTAAAAATACAAAAATTAGACAGGAGTGTTGGTGCGCCCAGCTATTCAGGAGGCTGAGGCAGGAAAGTCGCTTGAACCCGGGAGGCCGAAGTTGCAGTGAGCCGAGATCATGCCACTGCACTCCGGCCTGGGTGACAGAGCAAGACTCTGTCTCAAAAAATATATATATATAATTTATATATATATAATATGCATACATACATAAAGAGAATCTACTTTCCTAATCATGAGAATAAATCATAGCATCTCACATTTTAATAGCATCCTCACATTTTTAATAGCAATTTATAGTTCATTAAGTCTTCTCATATATATTATTTCAAATGATTATCCTGTGTAGTAGACAAGACAGGTGGTATTCTTTCTTTTTTTTTCTCTTTTTGGTAGAGATGGGGTCTTGTCATGTTGACCAGGCTGGTCTCAATCTTCTGGTCTCAGGCCATCCTTCCACCTCATTCTCCCCAAGAACTGGGATTACAGGTATGAGCAACTGCACCTGGTCCATATGCTTCTTATAGTTGAAGAAGTGAAGGGTCAATGACTTTACTAAAATACTATTAAAGTAATAAAGCTAGGACTTAGCCCCAATTATTCATCCTTAAAGTCCAATACTTTCAATATATTAAGTTGCTCTTTATTATATGAATTCTAAATATCTTTTTTACCTTTTGTTATCTAATCTGGAAATCCTATATAAATGTATAATTTTATACATGCTGACTGATATCCTCTCTAGTCTTCCATACTAGGACGTAAGACCTCATCTTTCATTCACTGAACATCTACTCAGTGTCTACTATATATACAAGGTTCTGTAGTGGGCCAGTTAGAAACCAATCCCATTTTCTTTGAGACTTCCCTATGATTCTCAATAATCACTCCCATGTTTAAACTCCTATTATAGCTGTGCAACTATCTTGACACTTTAACATAAAACTTGCCATTTATCTTTTGATTCTTAGCTCAAGCTTCCTTCTTGGGTCACTAGAGAAGCAAGCTAACTCTCTAAGTAGGCATATTTTGTAGAATCATACACACATATTTAACTTCTTTGACTTGAACTATACAAAAATATTTTTCATACAACAGGGCCCCTAAAACAAGCCAATTATTCAATCTGGCACACAATCAAAGAAACAGAATACATGTATGAAAGATTAAAGAGCCCTCAAGAGAAATTTTGTTTATAAAACATTATCCTCTTATGTACTTGACTTTCCACCCTAATATCAAGTGAAATCAGATTTCACTTAGTGTCTTACACCTTTGTACGTTAACACTTACAAAATACTTGCTACTACTAATACAAAGTTTCTCTGAAAATTTTTATCACTTACAAGTTAAAAGTGTTTGTTTTTAACATACGTGTTATGAGTTAAAGTATATTTATTTGTTTAAATTGGACCAAAAAAGGCAAATGAATTTAAAATAGATTGCCCAGGCTGGGCATGATGGCTCACACCTGTAATCCCAACACTATGGGAGGCCAAGACAGATGGATCACTTGAGGTCAGGAGTTTGAGACCAGTTTGGCCAACATGGTGAAAACCCCATCTCTACTAAAAATACAAAAATTAGCCAAGCATGGTGGTGGGCACCTATAATCCCAACTATATGGGAGGGTGAGGCAGGAGAAACGCTTGAACTTGGGAGGTGGAGGGTGCAGTGAGCTGAGATCATGCCACTGCACTCCAGCCTGGGTGACAGAAAAGACTCAAGTCTCAAAAGAATAAAATAAAATAAAATAGATTGCCCAAGATTAGGGGGATGACTTATTAATTAAACTACACATCAATCTCCTTTACCAAAATTAGGATGAAAGGACAAAAAAAAAAAAATTTAAAAGTAGCTCTTAAAACAGAAGACCAAGTCTTGACAAGAAAGTTGAAGAAAATCTTTGAAGGCAGAAAACAGATAAAATTGGACTATCAATATAAAAAACAAGGCAGAAATTAGTAATCCAAAACTCTGGAGATAGGAAAAAAAATCTTTCCTAAGGAGTCTCCCAAGTCCAATCAACAGACCCAAAAATGAACCCTAAAATACGTATCAGGATAATTAATTTTACATCTGTACTTCAAGTGCTGGGTCCTCAATATTCTAGGTCCTGCACAACTCTTAGCATCGGGCTATAATCTAGAGCAGTGATTCTTAAACTTTAGCTTGCACCAGAATCACTGAGAAAGTACATTAAACAGATTGTTAAGATCCATCTGCAGAGTTTCTGTTTAGTAGGTCTTGGGTAGGGACCAAGATTCTGCACATCTAAGAAGTTCCTAGGTGTTGCTGATGTTGCTGGTCTAGGAACCACACTTTGAACTAATCCAGAACAAAGGTCCAAAGAAAGTAGACTACCTATTGAAGAAAAATCCTAGTCTGGGTAGTAGTTCCAAAAAGAGAAGTGCAGAATTTGAGGCAACTCCTAACCTCCAGATTAGCTCTACTCAGGGTTCAAATACATGAAAGAAGCAAAATTCATTCCTTATTTTGGCAACTGTGGTTATCCCAAATCTGCCTTCTCCATGCCCATATATTCCCCATTAGGGGAGCCTGCTTCCTGATCGACTTACCGGCTCATTACACAAACTCATGCCATCAGCATTCCCGTTTAAAATAAAGACCAGTGGGAAGCAAAATCCAGAAGTCACTAATGACAGCTAACTCTACTAATTAACTCAATTATTCATCTGTACATCCATAAGCACAAAACAACTAATAATTACCACACAACCGAGCAAGATCAAAACTCTGAAAGCTGTTTTTCTAAATAAACTATGAGACAAAGCATGATAATTTCACTTATCTTTATAGAAGAAAATATAAATATCACAAACCTGGTCAATGTAAAAAATAATATAATTAATAAAAATAGCTACGGCCAGATAGTATTGTTAAATTTCCCCTCTTTCATACTAAAAACACACTACTCAAAGTATCAGTCCATAATGAGACTAAGTATTGGAACAGGGTATTTAGAAATTTTCATAAATATTTCACAGTGATTTTGGAGTAGAAACTTAATAATCTGTTAGACTGAATCTAGTAATAAAAACTATGAGCTTGTATTTTATGTCTTTATTATTTTGTTTTTCTGGTAATTCTAGTAATTCATTTTCTTTATTTTATTAAAGGATCAATCCAAAAAATATTAAAGAAGAAAAACTAGTCCTTCACCATAGTTTGAGAAACACTGTAATAAAAAGTCAACAAATACAGTCATCTCTCAATGTAGGGGATTGGTTCCAGGACCATCAACAGATACCAAAATCTGTGGATGCTGAAGTTCCTTATATAAAATGGTGTAGTATTTACATATAACCTACACACTTCCTCCTGCATAATTTAAATCACCTCCAGATTACTTGTAATACCTAATACAATACCTACACATCACTTCATTTGCGTGGACTCAATGTAATACTCATTATGCAGTAAGTTTTGCTTTTTGGACCTTTGTGAAATTTTTTCCCGTATTTTAATTGGCTGTTGACTGAATCTCTGGATGCAGAACCCCAGGATATAAAGGGCCAACTCTATTCTCTAAAGGTTAATAAATCAAGAACAAAACCTGTAAGAATGAAAAAACACAAACACTTCAAAATTATTCCCCTGTGGCAGTGAGCCTAGGGGTGAGTAGGAGGAATTTATCTATATTACAGAAATTCTCATTCTGTATTAAACCTGTGTGTCTCCATGGAATAGTACACAGCCATAATAAATGAATTCATATCCTTTGCAGTAACACGGATGGAGATGGAGGTCATTATCCTTAGGAAGCTAAGGCAGGAACAGAAAACCAAATACTACATGTTCTTACTTATAAGGGGAGCTAAACACTGAGTATACATGGGCACAAAGAAAGGAACAATAGACACCAGGGCCTACTTGAAGGTTGGGATAAAAAAAACGACCTATCAGGTACTATGCTTATTACCTGGGTGACAAAATAATCTGTACACCAAACCCCCATGACATGCAATTTACCTATATAACAAACCTGCACATGTATGCATGAACCTAAAAGTTTAAATAAAATCTCTTTTGAAGCTGATAAACAAACAGCTTAAAAGCAAATACAACAAGCTATTAGAAGTCATAGAAACTTGGTGGTAGATTTATGGGTGTTCACTCTACAATTATTTCAACTTTCTTGATGTTCACAATAAAACGAAGGAAAACAAACAAACAAACAAAAACCTTGTGTCTATTTCTCTCATAGTTTGTAAGCTTCTTAGAAGCAGAAACTAGTACTTTTATCTCCTGTGCATCTAAAAAACTGCCAAACATACGAGTAATTTATTAAACTGAAGTGAATTAAAACCAAAAACTTTAAGTGAACGGATGTGACATTTAAATAATCATTAAAAGCAAAACCAAAATTTAGTTTTGAAGGTTATGTTGAAAGGCAATATAACGTAGCCCATGAGCCTTGGAGTTAGGCTGGGTTCTTATCTTGTCTTTGTCACTCACTAGCTGTGTGGCCTAAGCTTTAGATTCCCCAGCTTTAAAATAGACTACCTGGCCGGGTGCAGTGGCTCACACCGATAATCCCAGCACTGTGGGAGGCCGAGGCGGGCAGATCACTTGAGGTCAGGAGTTCGAGACCAGCCTGACCAATATGGAGAAACCCCCGCCTGTACTAAAAATACAAAAATTAGCCAGGCATGGTAGCGTGTGCCTGTTGTCCCGGCTACTCGGGAGGCTGAGACACGAGAACTGCTTGAACCCAGGAGGCGGAGGTTGCAGTGAGCCGAGATTGTGCCACTGCACTCCACCCTGGATGACAGAGCAAGACCTCATCTCAAAAAAAAAAGAAAAAAAAGAAAAAAAACCCACAAACAGGCTATCTACTCTGATAGGATCAATATGAGGACTGAAAGAGGTAATGGACATAGATGGGTTAGCACAATGCTAAGCACAGAGGTAGTAACCATGTCACCTGCTATTTTTCTCTAAAACATAAAGCCTGGGGAGTAATCATAACACTAACCCATTTTACTTACAGATAATCCACTTTTCCATTGCATCCAAAGAGAGGTATTCACAAGGCATCTTAAAAAGAGAATATATACATTTGCAGTTAAAAGAAATTCTAAAAAATATTCCATATTGAGCCACTCTCCTCCCTTTCTCCTGATAACTTACTACCCAATTCTTCGCCCAAATACTACCACAACAAATTTGAAGAGCTGGATAAAAGTTTTATTACCTATACTGAAACTTGCAGTCAATAAACAACGAGAGGTGTGCCCCTTTCACATCTGCATACCCTCAAACCTCTCTTTAAAAAAATATTGTTGCTAATTATCTTTAATCTGGTAAATGACAACTTATCAATTTCTCAAGCCTATTTCAAAGTTTACAATATTCCAAAAGATAAAATTTTAGTCAAGTTAAAAGACATTTATGTGTCTGAATACTCACTGTCTCACCAAAATCAGTAGCTATGTGTGTGTATTCTCCATATGTGTGACACCTATGTTCATAAATACAGAGAATAGACTGAAAAAAATATAATGGAATATAACAATGATTTTGTCTACTTGGTTCTACTTGGTGAGATTTGGGGTGATTTTTGTTTTTGCTTTATACTTCAAATTTTTCTACCATGATAAAGCAAAACAAACTTTTAAACTTTAAAGAAAAAAGTACTCATACTATTCACCATATTAATTTATCACCAGTTTTCATTAAGACTCTAAAGCTAAAAAATCTGAACAATATGACTTAAGTAGTGAACATTTTATAATGAACTTCAACTAATAAGCTAATGCTAATTAGAAACAAACAGCAACAGCATTACTGAACTATTATTTTTTTAAAAGTCACTTTATTTTCATTCAAAAGAGAAAAATAGAACCATACAGTGTCGGACTGTGCTGGATTAAGCATTGTACTAGGTGCACTGATGAGGCTCAATAACTGGGCATTTCTCCACTGGTCAGCTGAAAGATTCCTTCGAGGATATACCATTTGAAGAGAAATTAGTGCATCTGAAAGAGACTAATTAAAATACGAAAAAAAAGCTGAAGAATAATTTTCTTTCCTTTTCTGTTTACATTGCAGCTATAATTGCTGTGTGTTTCTAACTATACCATCATAAAACAACACAGCCTAA
Source organism: Homo sapiens (assembly GCF_000001405.40). Classification (NCBI taxonomy): domain Eukaryota; kingdom Metazoa; phylum Chordata; class Mammalia; order Primates; family Hominidae; genus Homo; species Homo sapiens. Next base: position 182,995,954 of record NC_000002.12, read on the forward strand.
TTATACCCATGCTCCTTATAATATCTGAGTTGGGTTGTGGCTCCTCTCCTCTAGAATTTTTTTGCTAACGTTATAAAAGCTACACAGATTCTGCGTTTTTGAGCAAAAGCTTAGGTCAGAAACTCATGTTATTTTCTTAAAGGTTAAAATACGTGGCAATCTTGGGAACTTTATTCCAAAAGGGATAGACAGCCCACTGTCACCTTTTTGCCAATGCAAGTTTCCATTCTGATAGTTTCTGATAGTTCCAAAAGAAAAAGACTTCAGGGTTATATGACTAAGTGTTAATAAAACTCAACATGCTTTATATTTCTCTAAAGAATGTCTTATAAAAATAATACACTGTACCTCATCTTAATAAATTACTTAACTTCTCTTTATCAACGGGTTTGTTGATTACAGCTTTATTATCAAGGTATTTAACGTTTCATCTCAACTGTTTCTTTCTTGCTTTCATAAATGTCTTTTGCTATTAATCCCTGCTTCCTAAAAATTCTGTAAAGAGTGATTCTTTTTTTTTTTGAGACGGAGTCTCGCTCTTTTGCCCAAGCTGGAGTGCAGTGGTGCGATCTCAGCTCACTGCAAGCTCCGCCTCCCAGGTTCACGCCATTCTCCTGCCTCAGCCTCCGGAGTAGCTGGAACTACAGGCGCCCGCCACCACGCTCAGCTAATTTTTGTATTTTTAGTAGAGACGGGGTTTCACCGTGTTAGCCAGGATGGTCTCGATCTCCTGACCTCCTGATCCGCCTGCATCGGCCTCCCAAAGTGTTGGGATTACAGGCGTGAGCCACCACGCCTGGCTGTAAGAGTGATTCTTTAATCTGACTGCACACAGAATGCCAGAGAAGTCTGTTCTGAATACAGAATACAGGGCTGTAACTGAAATTTAGTGAAACTGAACCTCTGGAAACAGAACCCCACAATCTACCATTTTATTAAGCTACACAAAGTGATTCTGACGTAGCCAACTAAGAATGTTTTAAAAATTAAATAATGTAATTTTTTAAATCCTGGGAAATTTGGGAGGTTGTTATGTTATGGGAATTTACCACTTCCTCTAGATTTTCTAGTTTGTGTGTACAGAGATGTTCCTAGTAGTCTCTGATAATATTTTGTATTTCTGTGGGATTGGTTGTGATATTACCTTTCTCATTTAATTGTGGTTATTTGCATCTTCTCTCTCTCTTTTTTCCTTGTTAATCTAGCTAAGAGTCTGTCAACCTTATTGGCAATCCTTTCAAAAAACTAACTTTTTGTTTCACTGATCCTTTGTATGGTTTTTGGGTCTCAATTTCATTTAGCTCTGCTGTGATTTTGGTTATTTATTTTCATTGCAGGCTTTAGGTTTAGTTCATTCTTCTTTTTCTAGTTCTTGTAAGTGCAAGGTTAGGTTATTAATTTGAGCTATTTTTATCATCGTTTTAGTGCCATAAACTTTCCTCTTAACACTGCTTTTGCCACATTCCAGAGGTTTCAGTATGTTGTGTCGCTATTTTCATTTGTTTCAAAGAATTTTTTTATTTCTGCCTTAATTTCATTATCTACCCAAGTCATTCAGGATAAAATTGTTTAGTTTCCAAGTATTTGTGTGGATTTGAGAATTCCTCTTGGTATTGACTTCTATTTTTACTCCAGTATGGTCTGAGAAGATGCTTGGCATGATTTTAATTTATTGAGATTTGCTTTATGAAACCAGGAATAAACAGAAATCCTGAACAGACCAATGAGTAATCAAATTGAATCAGTAATAAAATACCTACCAACCAGAAAAAGCCAGAGGCCACATAGATTCACAGCTGAACTCTACCAGACATACAATCCTATTGAAACTATTTCAAAAAGTTGAGGGGGAGGGGCTCCTCATCATTCTATGAGTCCAATATCATCCTGGTACCAAAATCTCGCAAAAATACAACAACAAAAAAAGAAAACTACAGGCCAATATCCCTGATGAACATAGACACAAAAATCCTCAACAAAATACTCACAAACCACATCCAGCAGGACATCAAAAAGTTAATTCACCATGATCAAGTGGGCTTTATTCCTGGGATGCAAGGTTGGTTCCACATAAGCAAATCAATAAATGTGATTAACCACATAAACAAAAATTTTTAAAACACCATATGATCATCTCAATAGATGCAGAAAAAGCATTCGATAAAATCCAATATCCCTTCACGATAAAATGTTCAACTAACTAGGCATCAAAGGAACACACCTCAAAATAAGCAGTGCCATCTATGACAAACCCATAGCCAATATACGGAATGGGCAAAAGCTAGAAGCTTTCCCGTAAGAACTGGAACAAGACAAGGGTGTCTGTACTCCTACCATGTCTGTACTCCTACCACTTCTATTCAACATAGTACTGAAAGTCCTAGCCAGAGCAATCAAGCAAGAGAAAGAAATAAAAGGCATCCAAATTGAAAAAAAGGAAGTCAAAGTATCTCTTTTCATTGACAATATAATTCTATACCTAGAAAACTAAATGACTTTGGCAAAGTCTCAGGATACAAAAATCAACATACAAAAATTAGCAGTATTTCTATACACTAATAACATTCAAGCTGAGGACTCAAGAATAAAATCCTGGCCGGGCACGGTGGCTCATACCTATAATCTCAGCACTTTGGGAGGCCAAGGCGGGCTGATTACCTGAGGTCTGGAATTTGAGACAAGCCTGGTCAACATGATGAAACCCCATCTCTACTAAAAATACAAAAATTAGCTGGGCGTGGTGACAGGCACCTGTAATCCCAGCTACTGAGGGGGCAAAGGCAGGAGAATTGCTTGAACCCAGGAGGTGGGGGTTGCAGTGAGCCAAGAGCCAAGATGGCACCACTGCACTCCAGCCTGGGTGACAGAGTAAGACTCCAACAAAAAAAAAAAAAAAAAAAAAAAGGGGGGAAGGAAGGAAGGGCAAGCAATCCCACTTACTAATAGCCACAAAAAAATAAAATAACTAGGAATACACCTATACACCTAACCAAGGAGGTGAAACCTCTCTAAGAGAAGAACTAGAAAACGGTGCTGAAAGAAATCACAGATAACACAAATAAATGGAAAAGCATTCTACGCTCATGGGATGGAGGAATCAATATCATTAAAATGACAATAATGCCCAAAGCAGTTTAAAGATTCAACACTATTCCAATCAAATTACTGTCATTTTTCATATAATTAGAAAAATCTATTCTAAAATATATATGGAACCAAAAAACAGCCTGAATAGCAAAGGCAAAATAAAGAGACAACTTACAGAATGGGAGAAAATAATTGCAAACTATGTACCCAACATAGGACTAATATCCAGAATCTATACGGAACTTAAATCAACAAGAAAAAATCAAACCACCCCACTAAAATGTGGGCAAAGGACGTCAATAAACACTTCTCAAAAGAATACATATAACCACCCAACAAACATATGAAAAAATGCTCAACATCACTAATCATCAGAGAGATGCAAATCAAAACCACTGGTAAAATGGGATACCATCTTACACCAGTCAGAATGGCAAATATTAAAAAGTCAAAAAAATAACAGATGTTGGCAAGGCTACTGGAGAAAAGGAAATGCTTATACACTGTTGGTGGTAATGCAAATTAATTCAAACCCTGTGGAAAGCAGTTTGATGACTTCTGAAAGAACCAAAAATAGAATTACCATTCAACCCAGCAATTTCATTACTGGGTAGATGCTCAAAGGAAAATAAACTGTTCTACCAAAAACACACTTGCACTCGTATGTTCACTGCAGCTCTATTCACAATAGCAAAGACATGGAATCAACCCAGGTGCCCATCAACACTGGACTGGATAAAGAGAGTGTGGTATATATGCACCACGGAACACTATGCAGCCATAAAAAGGAACAAAATCATGTCTTTCTGCAGCAACATGGATGGAACTGGAGGCCATTATCAAAAGAGATTTAATGCACAAACGGAAAACCAAATACTGATTGTACTCACTTATAAGGGGAAGCTAAGCATTGGGTACACATGGACACAAAGAAACAACAGACACTGGGGACTCCAGAAGTGGGAAGGAGAGGGATAAGAACTGAAAAACTACCTATTGGGTACCATGTTCACTACTTTGGCAACAGGATCATTAGAAGCCCAAACCCAGCATCACACAATATACTCATTTAACAAACCTGAAAGTGTACCCCATGAATCTAAACAAGAAACAGGAAAACAAACCCTGGCAAATAAAAAATAGTGTTTTATCAAAATTCTAAGGTATCACGGAATATTAGAAAAAAATCAAGATTGGAAAATAAGTGGTCTAAATTCAAATGAATTATCCTATGTAATTATCAATAACCTACTATATACTGAATTTGTTAATGTGCTAATGCCTATATAGAACTTAAAAAGCCGAGAGCCTAGCTTGGAATTTTCAAGAGCCTGTCAAGGAAATTTTCAACACCTAAGTGGAGAAAGAACCAAATATAAAATAGCTAAATAAAAACAAGACCATACATGATTAGGGAAAAATCCTAAATGGATCCAGAGAGAAAAGAGGAGAGGAATAGAAAAGACAGTTCCGGGTGGGGAAAAACCACTACTGATATTAGAGATAGGAGATGACCATGATATGTGCAGTATTTTGAGGAATTCTGATACTTCCATCTAAAATGCTGATTTTTTTAAATTTCAAAACTGATGCCATCTACTAGCTTCTTGCAAACTAATGATTCAACCAATTCCAAGACAGAAAACCTATATAAATTTGTGTATAATGTAGCTATGCAAATCTGGAAAGAATTCTTCAGAATTTTCATGGGAGTAAAAAAATTCAAAGAAAATTATTGGTGTTAACTGTATGCCAAGAAAAAAGCACAGTGGCCAGGCACAGTGGCTCATGCCTGTAATCCTAGCACTTCGGGAAGCTGAGGTGGGTGGATTGCCTGAGCTCAGGAGTTAGAGACCAGCCTGGGAAATATGGTGAAACCCTGTCACTACTAAAAATACAAAAAAATTAGCCAGGCGTGGTAGTGCATGCCTGTAATCCCAGCTACTCTCGAGGCAGGGGCAGGAGAATCACGAGCCCGGGAGGCGGAAGCTCCAGTGAGCTGAGATTGCACCACTGCATTCCGGCTGGGGCGACAGAGCGAGACGCTGTCTCAAAGAAAGAAAAAAGCACAGACTTACACAAGGTAAATAGTTTAACTTTTATGATTCAAAGAGAACAATGTAGACCAAGATTCTAGTATCCTGGGCTTCAGTTCTAGTTTTGCCACTATTGTTACCAAATGACTTACCTTGTCATGATACTGCTCCAGCCCTTAATCCTTAGCTATAAATAATGAGACTGGATAAGATACCTATGAATTTCCTTGAAGTGTTCAGAAACTACCATTCTGTGAATCAGCCCTTCTGCAGAGAATCCATAATGACAAGACTACTTACAACCAAACTTATTTCATTAAGAACTATTTTTAATATCTCTTAAAAGATAGTCATTTCAAATTATTTTCATAAAACCCGTCATTTTTTGAGACTATAATAAAGTTAAAATTTATCAAACACTGTACTTTTTAATGAAGTAATTCATTTAATTCTCATAAGAACCATATGAAATAAGTGCTATTATTATTCCATTTTTACTGATAAGAAAACTGAGGTATCGTGAGGTTAGTTAAGTAACTCGACAAATATTATACTATAATTTGCAGAATTGCTATTAAAACCCATTAGTGTGAGAACAGACCCTCTCAAATACCATATGGTAAATCCTATTGTTTAGTGCTATATTAAAATCTAAAAAACTATAATGAAATCAATCAATATATTCTTGAGTCTCTATACACTATTCTGAATCTCATTAATTAGTTCCCTGTCTATAATTAGATAAAAGCACACATAACTATTACTTATATCCCATTATAGTATTTTTCAAAAACAAGATTATCCCTTTATCCAACCATCCATCCTCATGCTATGTTATATGCCCATTCTCTCATATGCCTAACAACTGCCTCTTACCTTGCTATGGGGTACAAATTCTTCCATCATCTTCTTTAAAGGGTTTTCATAATCCACAATCATCTGGCCAAGGCGTGGGTATTCTCTGTCACTTAAAACAGACATATCAAATTTCAATGAGTTGTAATCCATCAAACTGAGCATTTTAGAAAGACTTTTATAATGCAAATCTACCTTGCTCCATGAGTCATTTCATGGGCATAGTTGTATAATCCAATGATTGCCTTCCTTTCTTCAATTCGAGACAGCAGTATCATTAGTGTTGTATAGGTTATAATTAAATCTAAGTAGTTCTTTGTTAAATCAAAGTTTACAGTCTAGGAGAAAAAAAAATCAAGTTCAACTACTTCCTATTTCTTAAAATTTTAAACACACACAAAATCTTCATAGAAGCTATTGAGAGCTAATAATTTTCTGTATTTATTTTATCCCTGTTCTAAAATGCTAATTCCTTTCACTAAAAGCACATCTAAAATTTGACAGTTACAGATAACAGTTTTGTGTCTGACACAATTTTATGGATGAAAGAAAAAGAGCTTGTGATCACTATATTCAAACTGGTAACAGTTCAAAAGAATAAAAGCCAGAATAATAAGGAACACTGGTGCCAATCTCACGAAAGAGGAAAAAAATTATTTTTTAAAGTTCACCATTAAGTAAATGGAGACAATTTTCACTTTGACTTCTTGTATCTAAAAATTATCATACTAAGAAAGAGTCCATCAAGTATGCCTTTTACAGAGAAAATATTATCCACTTAACTTTTCAAAATTGGGCCTATTAAATAAAATACTAAAGTTAACGTGTATTTCCCAATATGTACAAGACTTATACTCAGTGACAATCAAAACAAATAAAAAGAATACACACTTTACTTTTTAAAAAAGCTATAAAACAAGCCAAATTAATAATGCTAAAACTTTATATGCTAGTTACATAATCTAGCTAAAGAAAAGCAAGTGGTCCCCTGAGCTCTTCTGGAAACAGAATAATTGGACATTTTTCTGAAAATGATACTTACAATATCAAAGAAGACTTGGCAAACGTCAATAGTATTCAGCAATTCACAAACATGGTCCTGAAAAGAAATACTTATTTTAATCTTTTATCTGTATAAATCTGTTTAAATTCAGAAAACACAAACAAATAAGGTATGTGTTAAACTTCAGTTCTGGAAGAATTTCAATTTTATTATTTACAACTGACACAGCAATTCACACAATTAATAAACATTTAAATCTACTTCTGAAGTGTTAAATATTATATATTAAAATACATACCTTAAATTCCATAACATCTACAAATGTGAAGTAATATAATGCCAGATTTTTCAGAATCTCTGATTTTTCTTTCTGTAGTTGTGCAAGCTGTTGCTGTAAAAACAAAATTAGAATGCATTGCTCATAGAGAACAAAAGTATTTAATTTTACTACAAACTATCTTCTTTTATGACTGCTATATGGAAGCACAAGCTTTTAGAATATTTCTAGATGATTACGGCTTTTTAAAAAACCAAAGTACTCGAGACAGCAACTGCTAATAGTGATCAGCAACTGACAGTGTGAGGCTATAAAACAAATCAAAGCATATTAGTACCAAATTGCGCTACTATTAAGGAAAATCTGAAAGTGTTAGGAAAAAAAGTATCAAATGAACTCTTAAAAAATTAAAAACAAGTCATGAGCATGATCACATTACTAGAAGTGGGAGAAAAGAAGGTGAAAAACATTACAACTCACACTACAAAAAAACAATATGCTATATAAATTTGGAACTTACCAAAAAGAACATCCAGGTAAAGCCACGTTACGCATGCAAAATAAAATGTAGATACAAACATAAAATACGGTAACGGTTCCCTGACCAGATCCAGAAAACACAATAATATATTAAACAAAAGCAAAAACCACAACAACAAAAAAGAAATGAGAAAGAAGCAAAACTAGAGTTAAGACATGAAAGAGGGAAATGTTGAAAGACAAATAGTATTTTAATCAACTGTATAATTAAATTTACAAAAGTCCCAATTTTTCTTTTAAAATCAACTATTGATATAATTTCTAAAAGAATCTAGCTATTTTTAATGCCCTATAAGATTCTCAGAATTCCAATAAATGATCTAGAACCTTGACACTCTTGAGTATAGTTTACTGAATAGCCACTCCCACATCATTCAGGAGCTTGTTAGAAAAGCAGAATCTCAGGCCTACCTCAGATCTACTGAATCTGAATCTGCCCTTTAACAAGATACCCAGGTGTTGTAAACACACATTAAATGTGTGAGAAGTTTATTCAGAACATGAGAAAACTGGAAAATATAAGTGGCTCAAAATAGCAGATTTGCTATCAAAGCCCATACAATGCTGAGGCCTCCATATAGTTCTGAATTACACTCAGGAACGTTAGGGGGAAGATGCATCCATACATAATTGTACTGAACCACTATGGTAAGTCAGAAAATTTACAGCAGTGAGCCTAACATCAGAGGAATATATATATATTTTTAACTACGAAAAACCTATTTAAAACAGCAAGCAAAAAAAAAAAAAAAAAAACAGCAAGCACAGCAGTCTGGAAGACCCTACTATTATAGGGTAAACCACCCTAAATATTGCACTCCCTGAAGACATTTAAAGAAGTAATTCTATCTAGAAAATATTCACACTCAAGCCTGTAATCCCAGCACTTTGGAAGGCCAAGATGGGTGGATCACCTGAGGTCAGCAGTTCGAGACCAGCCTGACCAACATGGTGAAACCCTGTCTCTACTAAAAATACAAAAATTAGCTGGGCATGGTGGCGCATGCCTGTAATCCCAGCTACTCAGGAGGCTGAGACAGGAGAATCGCTTGAACTAGGGAGGAGGAGGCTGCAGTAAGCTTAGATCGAGCCACTGCACTCCAGCCTGGGTGACAGAGATGAGACTCCATCTCAAAAAAAAAAAAAGAAAAAAGAAAATATTCACAAATGAAATATTTCATTACTACCCCTAAATACCAGACAAATTAAGATATATACTTGTAGTGACTATTTTTAGCTTCATCTGAGAGTAGCTGACTCTATTTTGCACAACATTATCTGTTTCAGAACGATTCCATGTTTATATGCACATTTTAATCATTACTACTCCAAAAACATAAAGTGAATACTTATTACCTTATTCGACAACATTAAACATTTAGAATTGATGTCTTAGTCCTTTTTCCTGCTTTTCAGTACTTTAAACTTGAGTTTCAAAATACAACAGGTGAAAGTACATTCATAATAGTAAGATATGAAGGGTATAATTTGGTTTATATTGGGCTTAATAATCCCAATTTATTTTAGTTGCCCTAGTATAATTTTACTAATTGTGTCCCCTTTCCTTCCAACTTCAGTGTCCTAGTCTGAACAATAAATAATACGGTCACCATCTTACTATGAGCCTTAAATGGTCTTAAATACAAACCTCATTTTCCATATTAAGAACCTAAGACCTACAGACCTTAAAAGAACCTTCTTAAAGTTACAACTACTTAATGACAGAGCCAAGATTGGAAATCTCATCTCTTTACTTCTGAAAGTGTTCTTTCTACCATTCTACATGCCCATCATCTCCCTTTTTAATACAATCTCATAGGCTACATTTCTCATTCAACTTTATTTCCCCCAAAGCCATATATAACTAGACTCTACTTAGCTACAAACATTTATCAAACAACTACTAGATGCCTAAATTCAAAACAGTCTAGCTTTCAAGGCCCTCCACAATCTGGCCCTAACTTACTTTTCCAATCTACATTTCCCCTACATGTATTCACACACTACATACGGTAGCCAAAACAATCTATTCACTATTTTCTATACACACCTCCTGCTTTCTTACTGTTCCTCTACTGGAATGTCAGAATCCCACCATTTAAACATGTCCCAACCCCACTATTCCTAAAGCACTTAGTTTAAATGCTAATCCCATTTTCAGAAAACCGCACCTGATTGCACTCCTTCCCTGAAATGCTAACATCTCCCTCCTCTAAACATGTATAATGTCTAACAGCAGCTATCACTTTCTATCTTCTATTATAGCTATCTCCAGCACAATTAGACAGTGTACCAAACTCAAGTTTTAATTTCCCCAGTCCATATCATACAGTTCTGGACAAAGGAAGTATCCAATGCAAACATCTATCAGATAAGGGATTATAATGACAAACTTCAAAGACTACCAGTGTCAGATGATATGTTTTGGTAGGTGATGCTAGAAAGCATACCTTATTATGCAACCATGGTTAAATGACTTAACATCTCTAGCCTAATACCCTCCTCATCGAAATGGAAGCTGACATGGACAATTAACCAAGATAATGTACATAAGAATATGTAGCAATGCCTCACAGCCAGAAGCTGTACATTAAATATTAAGTGAATAACAAAGGAAGCTTGCAGATCACTTCTTCAAAATAAATATAATAAAACTTTAATATTCCCCATTATTACCCATAGTATTTCTAATAAGAGCTGATATTTACTGAGCATACATTATGTGTCAGGCATCGATTGTTCCAAACATTTTACAGGTCTCTCACACAATCCTCTCAATATCTCTATGCAATCACGTTCCCCATTTTAGTGAAAATAAATTCCATAAAGCCTGGGTGAAAGAGGTCAACTACAACAATGAAGAACAAAAGTGTCTACAACTCTCTTGCTTCAACTACAAAAAATGCTACATTTTAGTTCCTAAAGTGAGGGAGAGTAGATACTACCAAAAATTATTAATATCTAGAACCAAGTTTTCTTAATTCAATCACATTGTTTTATAGGAAATAAAAAGCAGAAAATGGCCTAAGAACATAGGTAACACATTGTTTGATGTTATACAACAGAACATTAGAAAAGTACTACTGTGAGAAAAAATTGATTCTATTCACTACACTAATATTTTATTTATTTATTTTTGGGATGGAGTCTTGTTCTATTGCCCAGGCTGGAGTGTAGTGGTGTGATGTCGGCTCACTGCAATCTCTGCCTTCCGAGTTCAAGCAATTCTTCTGCCTCACCCTCCCAAGTAGCTGGGACTACAGGCAGGCACCATACATCCAGCTAATTTCTTTGTATTTTTAGTAGAGGCGGGGTTTCACCGTGTCGGTCAGGCTGGTCTCAAATTCCTAATCTTAGGTGATCCTCCCGCCTCGGCCTCCCAAAGTGCTGGGATTATAAGCATGAGCCACTGTACCCGGCCTCAATACGCTAATACTTATAAAAGCATATTCATGTGATACATGCAAATATTTTAGCAAAGAATTTGTATAATGCTTTCCTTAAACTTTCTAGCTATGGGTCATTATTCTAAATATTCAAGTAAAATATGTAAAAACTGGAAATAAACAGGATAAATATCAGGCATGCTTATGGCAAAGAACCTATCTTCATACTGAAAAATCCTGGTAATTAATCTTTGTTCAATTAAGAAGCATTTTCCACACAAATATAAGTATCGAGAAAATTGAAATTTATTATGTATTCTAAATCCTAAAGTATTTCATTCTTCCAAAGAAAAAGCAATGGCAAATTACCATAAGGAATCAGTGCCTACGAGCTAAACCACTGAATACAAAGGAACGTGGGTAGTTTTTATTCACTCATTTCAATTATTACCTTCTATTGTTATTGAAACTGCTTATTCATAAATTATTTTTCTTAATCTAAGTTTTGCTAGCATTTGTTCCTCTTAAAAAAAAACCAAATTCAGAAGTTTGGTTTCAAGGAATGCTTTGTTCAAATTCTTAGTATGATATTCTAGGCCAGGCTGCTCAAAGTAAGAGTGCACTGAGATGCTATTTGGGTAAATCTCTGCCTAAACTGTCCCAGCTACCACCCTAGTCATCAACTCTCATGTGGACTCCTACGGTAGCACCCTAACTGGTCTCTGTATTTCTCCTCTTGCCTCTTCAATCTTCTCCACATAGCAGCAGCACAGTGAATGTTTTTTGTTTTTGTTTTCTTTTTTTTTGAGACGGAGTTTGGCTCTTGTTGCCCAGGCTGGAGTGCAATGGCACAATCTCGGCTCACTGCAACCTCCTGTTACCAGGTTCAAGCAATTCTCCTGCCTCAGCCTCCCGAGTAGCTGGGATTATACGCATGCGCCAGCACACCCAGTTAATTTTATATTTTTAGTAGAGATGGGGTTTCTCCATGTTGGTCAGGCTGGCCTCGAACTCCCAACCTCTCAGGTGATCCGCCCGCCTCGGCCTCCCAAAGTGCTGGGATAACAGGCATGAGCCACCACGCCCAGCCACAGTGAACATTTTAAAGCAACACACTACCCTAAAAAAACTGATTCCACTGATGTTATGCAAGATGTTTAACAGCACGTGAAGAATACAGGTGAATTCTCTATACTATTTTTGCAAAGTTTTTATAACTCTAACATTATTTCAATACAAAAATCATTTTTTAATTCCAACAGTTTCACCTCACAATTAGAATAAAAAAATAATTACCAGTGCCTCAGAATAAAGTCTAAATCAAAGCCCTTGTCTATCTCTAAGACCTCATCTTCTTTCATGCTCCTCCACCCTCACTCAGTATAGTTATCATATTGGTCTTCCTGCTGTGTTTGCATTCACCAAGTATGTTCCCATCGCAGAGCCTTTGCATTTGTTCTTTCTCATGTCTGGGGTGCTCTTCAACATTTCTGAGCACAGCTTACTCCCTCACCTCACTTCTCTTCAGTGAGGGAGAGTAGATACTACCAATTTTAAAATTTCATTGCTAGCCATAAATGAATTTGACAGTAGGTATAAATTCATGTCTCAAATGAGTTTCTAAATTGATTTAATCCCTTGAATAAAATCCCCAAAGTTGGGTAAAATACTTCACATTATGTCCTTCCAGCAAAGGAAAGCATAAAAGAAATGAGTGGCAACCATAGAGACTGACATATGCATATCAAATATAAGCAAATCTCTTAAGATTACCTAAAAATTCTAATTAACACAAAGAATAGTCATGTTTTAAAAGAACCTTAGACTCCTACTTAAAATCTTTTGTAGTGTATTTCTTTTTTCATATACAAAGTGATTATACTGGCAGTAAATATTTCAAAAATGCATTTTTCTGAGGAAACTGTAGTAAATATATTTTAGGAAAATGTATCCAGGCCAGGTGCGGAGGATCACGCCTGCAATCCCAGCACTTTGGGAGGCCGAGGTGGGCGGATCACCTGAGGTCAGGAGTTCAAGACCAGCCTGGACAACATGGTGAAACTCCATCTCTACTAAAAATACAAAAATTAGCCGGCATGGCAGGTTAGCCACCTGTGGTCCCAGCTACTCTGGAGGCTGAGGTAAGAGAATCACTTGAACCTGGGAGGTGGAGGCTGCAGTGAGCCAAGATTGTGCCATTGTACTCCAGCCTGGGCAACAAGGGGAGGGGAAGGGAGGGGAGGAGGAAAGAGGGAGGGGGAGGGGGAGACAGGAAAGAGGGAAGGGAAGGAAGGAAGGAAGGAAGGAAGGAAGGAAGGAAGGAAGGAAGGAAGGAAGGAAGCAAGCAAGCAAGCAGGCAAGCAAGCAAGGTTGGTTATCCTAACACTAGCCTAGTAAAATATGCATTACTGAATTACTGAGTGTTTAAGATGTATACTAAATTGAATCCTCTTAATACTTTTTCAAGGTACATTACTTTTTTTATTGTGGTAAAATACGCATAAAATTTGCCATGTTAACCTTTTCAAAGTGTGCCGTTCAGTGACTTTAAGCACATTTGCACTGCTGTGCAACCATCAGCACCATCCATCTCCAGATGGTTTTCATCTTCTCAATCAAAATACATTTTAGTCCTCATTTTCCAGATACAGAAACAGACCAGAAAAGGGTAAGATGCCAATCCGGGTCTATGAGATTCCAAAACTTGAAACACTTCTTCAATACACTTCAACATTCAAGTTGCTATACAATGACATAAAAGTAGCGTAGGGACAAGCTAAAGAAAACATTTGTATTTAATTATATTATAATCAATTACACAGACTTAAACTTCTAAAAAATCTAATTCAACTGTTTCACTTTATAATTAAGGTTATGTTTCTCTAAGTTCACACTGCTAGTCTTCTGTTTAAATTAATTCTGGAATGCACAAAGAGTTTTCTATTAAAGAACTGAAAGGCAAAGAAAAAAACTTAAAATTTGTGTCCATGCCTCCTTGCAATAGAACTCTACTGCCTCCATTAAGCACTGTTGTCTATTTTCCCCACCCTTCCCATCTTGGCTGGCCTTGTGACTTGCTTTGACCAACAGAAAGCAGCAGAAACAACGAGTCACTTCTAAGTCCAGGGCAAGGTCTTGTAACTTCTGATTTTGCTCTTTTGGAACACTGCCCTGACGTGCTGTATGTGAGGAAGCCTGAGATATCGTATCACATAGAGAAAGGGCACTTCAGCATCCCTGCTGTTCCAGCTGGGCCCATCCCCCAGAATGCACCAGTGGAATGCACTGCGGTAACCTAAAACCAGTGAGACCAGCAGAGAAACTACCCAGTCAACCCACAGAATCATAAGAAACAAGCTGCTGTCGTTTTAAGCCATGAAATTTAGAGGTGACCTGTTATGCAGCAATAGGTAACTGACACAATTAATATCAAGTTCAGCAATATAGATTAAAATAATTTCTATTTCACCACCTGAGCACATTAATGTGCCTCAGCTAAAACTTTTGGAAATTTAAGATTCTGGCTATAGATGGTCAAATTAAAGCAAACTTTGAAATTAATTTTATCATCAGTACTACAAAAATCACTAATTATATACCGTGGTATAGTGGGGTTGGTCAAGTGTAACATTTTTGTATAAAGGGTATCACATTGCATTAATGATAACACAATTTACCTCACTTAATGGCACTATTTTCCATTACAAATAGAAATATAAATAGGTTAGTTCCTTTACATTCAATTTTAATAATTTTTTAAAACCTTTCTAATATGTGATTAACTTACTTTCAAAACCAGTAGACCAGGCATAAATCAAGCTTTTCTTACTGATTAGATGTCATCATTGTAATTGATAATTATACAGATTTATTTATGTCAAGATGGCCTCAGATGCTACTGACTTGTACAAGATAATCTGACATTAAATGGTCCTTGCCTGCTATACTTAAGAGTTTTTATTTCTCTATCAATTATCATTTGCTCCTGATGAGAGTTCCTTTTAACGTACAGTGTGTTAGAAAATATACTTGTTACAATTTTGCCTAACCGGACTCAACAAGTTTGGTCATAGGAGAACCAAAATGCTTTTCTCTGAATAAACTTCATTTATTCTAGAATACATTTCTAGTTGTTCAAAATCATTTGGTTTTTTACAGCTTTATTAAGGTACAGTTTACTTACCATGAAATTTACCCATAAGTGAAAAATAATTTTAGTAAATTAGAGTTGTGAAACTATTCACTCTATCCAGCTTTAGAACATTTCCATCACCCCAAACCCTTGTGCCCATTTACAGTTAATCCTGCTGTTACTCCCAAGCCCTAGGCAACTACTGATTTGCTCTCTTTATCAATAAGCTTGCCTTTTCTAGACATTTCCTATAAAAGAGAATCAGACAATATGCAGCTTTTTACATCTAGCTTCACTTATTCATGTTATAGCGTTTATCGTAGTTTGTTCCTTTTAATTGGTGAGTAGTATTCTGTTAAATGTACACACTACATTTTGTTTATTCATTCGTCAGTTAATAGGCATTTGAATTGTTTCCAATTCGGGGCTATCATGAATAACAAATTCTGCTATGAACATGTCTTTGGGTAGACATATTTTCATTTCTCTTCGGATAAGTCCCAGAAGTGGAATTGCTTTCTTCCTAACTCTGAGATATGATTCAAAGAGGCAAGTGACATGAAAAGTACAGATAAGTGAAGAGTTACTGTAATAACATATTATTCAGACAACAAATATCTTAACCTATTATATTACCAGGCATTGTGGGAGAAGCTGAGAAAAACTATGAATAATGTACTGACCCTGCCCTAAACAAGCTCATTGTCTAGTGAGGGATGTGTATATACGTGTACAGGGAACTCCCAATTGTTTTTTCTTTTTGGTTTGGTTGGCTTTTTTGTTCTTTTTAAGGTAAATATCCAGTTTTTGAAGCTGATTAACTTCTAGGTGCAAGGTTTAAAGATGGTGAAAAACTACTATGATCAATTCCCATATTCCCTTCAAGACAAAGGTTTTCACCAACTGGCAATAACATGAAAAGGGTAACAATAAAAACAAAATCTACACATTAGTGTGATAAAGACCACAATAAGAAAGGTCAGAACTTCTAAGAGTGGTGAAAATGCTGAGCAAAACAGGGAAGTCAAAGGAGAGGCTGCTCTGAGTAGGTACCCATGAATGATTTTTGGTACATGAATACATACTGACAGAGGGCATGACAGCTGATGTTAAGTTTTCTCAAGCCTGTAAACAGGAATAAAGCTGATGTTTAAATTATCCTGGCTTCTGTCTGGCCTTTTTGGACATCTGTTGTTCTTGGGAGATTTGGAGACAAAGTGAGGTGGCATCACTGGGAGAATAATTCCCACTTAAAATCTGTAATACTCTGCCTCCACAAATTCTTTCAACACAGAGGGACCTCCTATCCATTCACTCTACCATCTTTTTACTGTCACTCATCCCCTTACGCCTTTTTTTTTTTTTTTTTAGACAGAGTCTCACTCTGTCCCAGAGTGTAGTGGCATGATCTCGGCTTACTGCAGCCTCCGCCTCCCAGGTTCAAGTGATTCTTGTGCCTCAGCCTCCCCAAGTAGCTGGGAAAACATGCGCACGCCACCACACCTGGCTATTTTTTTTTTTTTTTTGTATTCTTTAGTAGAGACAGGGTTTCACCATGTTGGTCAGGCTGGTCTCGAACTCCTGACCTCAAGTGATCCACTCACCTCAGTCTCCCAAAGTGCTATTACAGGCATGAGCCACTGTGCCCAGGCCCCCTACTTTCTTATCCATCTTAACTTTAAATGGCCCATCATTATAATTACTGCCTTGCCCTTCCCTCCCTCTTTCATAACTGTCTGATAAAACCTACAGTAGCAGAAAAGCATATACTTTGCTGACTCTGATCTCAACCTGATTTCATGATCATTGACCACAACTGAGTAGCAATACTACTCAAACTTTTCTGTCAATTCATTTTCCTACTGTCCTAGATGATTATTCCATTCCTTTCTCTCTCTCTCAAATCCCTCAATAATCTTCTTCAACTTGACAGTCAGCTTAAACCTAACCTGAGATCTACATTCATATAAACAATTGGCTATTTGATATCTCCACTCAGATTTCCAGTAAGCCTCTCAAACTTAACACGTCTAATATTGAGCTACTGAGTACTTCCCCCACTGCATTCACTGTACTACTCCCACTGCACTACCCCAAACCTATTTCTCCTGTTCTCTCACCCCATTATATCTTGACATGAGTTCAGGCCAAAAACCTTAAAGTCTTATTTCTCACTGTCCATACACCCAACACCCAATTCATCAGCAAATACTATAGGTTCTGTCTTCAAAAATATATCCAGAATCTGAACATTTCTCACCTCAACCACCCTAGTCCAAGCCACCATCAGCTCTCATCTCAATGATGGCAAATTTCCTAACTATTCTCCCTATTTTCACCTTTGCTCTCCTGCAGACTATTCTCTACCGAGTAGCCATAGTGATCACAGTCATATCACTTCATTCCCCTACTACTCCCCTCCTATGGCATCTCAACACACTCAGGGTAATTAGCTAAGGTCCTCACTATGGTCCAGAAAGCCCTATATGATCTGCCTATTCATTACAACCACTGGCACTTCATGTCCTACCACCGTCCCCTTCAATCATCTACTCTGCTCATAATGCCCTCCTTGTTCCTGAACATGCCAGGCATGCACCCACCTGAGCCTTTGGAGCTGCGGTTCCTTCAGCACAGAATGCTCCTCCCCTAGCTAAACTCACTCCCTCATATCTTCAAATCTCTGCCCTAATGCTTTCTTCTCAGTAAGGCCTTTCCTGGTCACCCTAAGTAAATTACATCTGCCAGGCATTAGTCTTATGCTTTTACCCTGCTTTGTTCTTCCTAGAACTCTTTACCTGGTATTATATTCTTATTTGTTCATTATTTATTTCTGTTCAACATAATATAAGCTCTGTAAGAACAGAGACTTCTGTTTGTTCACTGCTGGAATCCTCTCTTCCAGAACAGAACTTGGCTCATAGAAGGCGCTCAATAAAGGATTTAAATAAATAAATGAATAATCAGTGGAGAATGTGATGGAAACATACATATGCAGAACTTAAACTAATTTGGAAAGGTCAGGGAAAGCTTCTCTGAATGGTGGCATTTAAGCACAGACCTGAAAGACAAGCTAGCCTAGTGAAAGAACATGGGAAAGAGAGACTATTCCAGATAGTAAAAAAAAGTCGAGGCAAAAGAAACATGGCCATTTGTTCAATGAAAGTATAAACATACTTTCCCCAAATACAACACTCCTTTAAAAAAATAAAGCAAGCAAATATATTTTCCTTAGGTTCTACATTCTATCCTACACTAGACAATGGGAACTAACATAGTATACTAGCCTGCATACTCTTGGCCAGGGACCATTAATGTACCTATTTAAAATATTCTTGGCCAAGATGAGTACTACGAAGAATAAAAGAAAGTAAGTACTCTGCAACATGTGTTATTTATTCCATTGTAGCTTTTACTGTGTTATTTTCAATCTTGGCAATTAACTTTAGATCTGACAAAAGGTAGTACTGAACCTGCCATGAAGAAACAATGAGAAGATAACATGCTAAAGGTACTTAAAAGGTACAAGGTTAAAAGTGGCTAAAGGCCCCAAAGAAATGACCAAGGAAACCAAAGTTAAAGGTCAATAGGTGATTAGGTAGTGATAATGTCCTCTGCTACTATGAAGGGCATCAAAATCACCACTGCAGCCAAATGGACCAACAACTGTTTGAAAGCTGAAAAACTATCACTTACAGGCAAGACATAACTTCAGGAAATTTGAAGAGTATGGAAAAATGACTACAGATGCCAGAAATGTATATACTTGAAGGCTATGCTATGGAACCCCAGTGTAATGCTCATTGGCAGCCTCATTTCCAGGAAAGCAGAAAGTCTCTTTGAGTTGAAGAGGTTATGAATATAGTTTAGTATGACAAAAATATATAGCACATAAGATGCACAAAATAATATTCTGAAACCACAGGTAATTATATAAAAAGGATAAGAAAGGAGATGTTTTAAAATAGATGTGTTTTGGGATCATAAGAACCACCCTTGAGAATATGAAAAAAAGCTTAATAATTCATTCACACACAAATTCTATATGCAACTTTAGGGGATTCTCAAACTCATGAAAATTCAGTGGAAAAGCGCAGGTAAAATCATCACACTGAAGACAAAGCTATAACCCATAATGAAAGCTACACAGCAGGCTTTTACAAATTATCTAGATTGATGTTAGAAGACAGAAGGTTAGAGGAAAGTAGGCTCCAGGAAAAAAAAAAAATTATAAAAAGGTGACATGATTATAAGGCCAAATAAATTTAAAGAAAGTAAAAAGGCTTATAACTATAATTTCAGAAAGTCATGGTATAACTATGAAACTGTAAAATAATTTTAAGTAAATGACAGAATTTAGGAAGAGAGATTCCTTTTCTCTTTAAGGCTAAATATATTATTCATCTTACAGCCCAAAGTGTGACAATGGAATAAAGAAATCCAAACCAAGCACTTAGGCCTTTATTAATATTTAATTTTTTTCAACCAACATATAATAAATATAGTATCAGAACACTGTATAATTACAGAACCAAAAAAAAAAGCATTAACAATTTTGACAACATGAGAAGAAAAGGACAAATGGATAAATAACCAAGGGTGAGGATATAAAAAAAAAAAACTATATTAAAGTTAAAAAAGGAAGTAATCAATGATCCAAAAATACTAACAAAAAACACTGGGAAAAAGGCTTGAGAGGGGAAGTAAGGGGAAGTAAATTGAGCAAGCTAAATCCTCATCTTTTGTTGCATAGGAGAGACACTGTCTAAAGTTGGTAACTGAAGTTATAAGGGAATAAGCATATTTGTTATAGTTCTAGCAGTAACCTGTAGAAATTCTAAAAATAGAAGTTCCCTCTGAGGAATATGACTAGGGTGGGAAAAAGTAAACTAGGAGATATTCACTTTTCATCCTAAATTCTTCTGGACTATTCATTATCATGTATTCATGTTCTTTGGGCAAAAATAAAAAACAAAAAATTTAAATCACTTTAGGTAGGTCACCAGTGCTGATGCAATTCCCTGCCACTATTTGACCTATTTCAATTACTTTCCAAATATATCAAAGCAAGGCTTACTTGCATCTCCTGAGGAGTTCTTTTATTTATTGTTTGTTCAAGATAGAATTAAAGACTTTTACATGTCTAAGAGTCATTAACAACTCAATACTGATGATATCTTTTTAAAAGAACATTGACATTTCAGTTAATTCTCATTGTATCAAAATTCCTTAAATCCTGGCAATGTTTAATTGGTCGGGACCAAATATTCCTTTGAGTTTCCATTAGGGCATATATATTTATTCATGATGCTGTTACAACTCCCAGCATGCTGTTACAACTCCCAGTTACATTATTTTACAGTAAGGTGATTCCTTCTAAACCAAACTCTTATTTGTTGGCCTACTACATGCCAGTCAAGAGGGATTCAAAGATGAGTGCGTGGTCCAGGAAGATGCAGATGTGGGGTACCACAGAGAAAGTGATTGTTTTTTGTTTTGTTCTGCTTCCCCTGGTGGAGGTTGGAGGGAGGGAGGAAGGGAGGGCGAAAGTAGGAGAGATTGGATGGCATACAAATCAATGTTTGGATTAACATGGCATTTGTCCCGGCAGGAAATGTAGACCTGAAGGGGATAAATTCAAATGACATTATAGTGGGGAACCCGGACAAGTCGTAAATGACCAGTTTGATATTTTTTACAAGTCAAAAGGGATTCTGAAGGTTGTAGTTTAAATAACTAAGTGGATGGTGACAGCTCAAGGGGGGAAACACAAAAGAGAAAAAAAGGTAGGATAATCACATGTTCCATATTGGATAAAAAGTTTTCTGTTTAGCTTGTGGAGCTGTCCAAAGGGGTAGCTAGAATTCAGCTCTAGAGCAGCAGTCCCCAACCTTTTTAGCACCAGGGACCAGTTTCATGGAAGACAATTTTTCCATGTACTGGGGCGGAGGGGTGGAGGGTGGTTTGGGGTGACTAAAGCACATTACATTTATTGAGCACTTTATTTCTATTATTACATTATAATATGTAATGAAATAATTACACAACTTATCATAATGTAGAAGCAGTGGAAGCCCTGAGCTTGCTTTCCTGCAATTTCATGGTCCCATCTGGGGGTGATGGGAGACGGTGACAGATCATCAGGCATTAGATTCTCCTCAAGAGCTCGCAACCTAGATCCCTCGTGTGCACAGTTCACAATAGGGTTTTCACTCCTATGAGAATCTAATGCCACTGCTAATATGACAGGAGAAAGAGCTCAGGCAGTAATGTGAGTGATGGGGAGTGGCTGTAAATACAGATGAAGCTTAGGGTACTACCACTCATCTCCTGCTGGGCAGCCGGGTTCCTAACAGGCCACGGACTGGTACCTGTCTGTGGCCTGGGGGTTGGGGACCCTGATCTAGAGCACAGAATATAGGAGATCGTATATGTACTTAGTTGAAGCCACAGCAGTAAGTGTTTTCACACATATACACTATGGGGGGAGAAGTCATTTAGGAAAACCCACATTTAAAGGGTACCCAGAAGAAAAGCCAGCAAAGTAGTCCAAAAAGTCAAAGAGGTAAATGTTAAGTTAACAGCTTCCATTCTTCAAGAGCAATTTGTCACACACTGTACTAAGTGCTTTAGGAAACAATGAACTACTCCTTGAGATTGGTATTATCACCATTTTAGAAATAAGAATAAAGATACCTGGCCGGGTGCGGTGGCTCATGCCTGTAATCCAGCACTTTGGGAGGCTGGGGCGGACGGATTGCCTGAGGTCAGGAGTTTGAGACCAGCCTGGCCAGCATGGTGAAACCCGTCTCTACTAAAAATAGAAAATTAGGCGGGCGTGGTGGCAGGCACCTGTAATCCCAGCTACTCGGGAAGCTGAGGCAGGAGAATCGCTTGAATTCGGGAGGCAGAGGTTGCAGTGAGCCAAGATTATGCCATTGCACTCCAGCCTGGGCAACAGAGCAAGACTCCGTCTCAAAAAAACAAAACAAAAAAGAACAATGATACCTTAAGATGTTAAATAATTTGCCCAAAATTATCCAGCTAATAAGTGGAAAGACCAGAACTCAAATTCTGGTTTACTGAATCCAGAGTCCATCCTCTTAACCAGTATGTTACTATCTTAATAGGAGTCATGACAAAACAAGGAATGCCCTCTTAAAGACAAGTTAAGAAGGAGTTAAATATGCCTACTGTTTCCTTCTAAGTCCTTACCAAACCACAGTGCATGCATGTGTCAAGGGCCTCCCTACACCTATCACCAATTCCACCACCCCACCCCTAAAACACATTTATGTTTTTAGGAGTTGAGACTCTTGCTCTATTTCTGGGTGACTTTCAATAATACCATTAATAAGATATATCTGAATAGTTCTACTAAAAAGTACAATCTTTTTTTAGCTAACATTAACTCCATAACTTTTAAAAAGTGTGGATAAGTTCAGGTCCTGACATAAATCTAAAGCAATGTTTGAATACAAGTGAAAGCTGGTTATGTTAGAGTGTATCAAATAGTTCCATTCATTAATGGGACATTTATTTAGTGCCTCTTATGTGTCAGGCACTAGGGATAAAACATTTTTAAAAGGCTCTATTGCTTCGCCTCTGAACTAACTTTACTGCTGATTATTACACTTAGAGTTGCTTTGTCTTTCCTAGAGTGACTTTATAAGCTACTTCAATAAAAAATTATGTTTTACATAACATCTTATAATTCTATGTTCCTTGGGAGAGGGGATAAATAATATCTATAACATAAAAGATTCCTATAACTTAGGAAAACATAATTTTCAAATTATTTCAACAACAGCCTGTGTCCTAGTCTAGAATCCCTATATCACTCCTGTGGCACTCTACTCGCCAGCAATGTCCCTATTCTTAAAGACTTCAAGATCTAATTCAGCATACATAGGATAGTAATTTTTATCATTTCCTCATTAATTTGGATATCAAATCCAAAATTTTACATTAAAATGTGCAATAGGCTAATTCCATAATAACACTATTGTGCCAGATAATATTTTTACTGTTTTAAAAAACACAAACTACCTTTTAGGTGTAATGCAATATAGGAAAGAGAAAAAAAAAGTTTAAAAAATATTGGAAAAAAAATTAGAAAAGTTTTAACATACACCTGAACATTTGCTTACATTGCCTTTTAGGTTTCCTGAGCCAAATAATTTGTATGTGTTAATAAAATAAGAAAGGAGTTTCTACTATTTTCTTCATCCAGGAAAATAACAGATTCCCCTCCAGGTACCCTTAAGAAACCTACGAGAAACAAATTTCATTTGAGAGTTACACTTTCAAAATAATGAAAGCATTTATATTACAGATAAATTAGATAATCTTTCAGCTCAAAAATACTTGGCTTAATCTGAAATTAAATGAGGAACTCTATTAATACACATAACCTGGCACACATTAGATAACAAGTGGCTGCTATAATTATAAAACTGGTATGGCTTTTATTCATTTTGAATTTCATTTAATCAGCTTGCTCTGAAGCATGAGGCATTTAGTTCAACATCATGACCCAAGGAAAAAACCTCATTCCTTGGTCCTAGATTTTCCCTAAACCCAGAATCGGAAATATAAAACTTGTTACAACTGGTCACAAACAAGAAAGTAAAAATGACTCAACAGAGTCCAACATCATCACTGTAGAAGTCATGTTGTGTACCAGTCCTGCTACCTGTCAGCAGTGCCTTCCTTTGTTGCATATCAAATAACTATGTGCTCAAGGATTCTAAAGGGATTAAAAAGTATGGAGGTGAGGGCAGTTATTAAAAAAAACAAAAAACAAAAAACAAACAAAACAAAATAAAAAATCAACAATTTTTTAGCTGCAAGATAAGGGCAGAATTTTGCAAGAATCCATTTTAGAAACTTCAAAAAATAAATATTTTGAGGCTGGGCATGGTGACTCAAGCCTGTAATCCCAGCACTTTGGGAGGCCAATCTGGGAGGATCACTTGAGCCCAGAAGTTTGAGACCAGCCTGGTCAACATAGCAAGACCCCATGTCTACAAAATATACAAAAAGTTAGCCAGGTGTGGTGGTTGTGCCCCTGTAGTTCCAACTACTTGGGAGGCTGAGGCAGAAGGATTGATTGAGACCAGGAGGTGGAGGTTGTAGTGGGCTGAGATTGCTCCACTGCACTCCAGCCTGGGCAATAAAGCAGGACCGTGTCCCAAAAAAAAAAAAAAAAGAAAAAAAAGAAAAAAAAATTTATTGCATTTTCACCAGAAATCTGTTTTTATGAGTACCTTTTCTGAAATTGGGGGACATGTGTTACTTGTAAGACATGAATCAGAGTAGAAATAGTAATAACCTAGGTCCCTAAGAAAAAGTAAGCATGTTCTGTTTCACATATTTACATAATAATCCAAAGCACAAGAATAAGAAAAAAAGAAAGAAAAGACTGATATCAATACCACTTCTACAGTGCACTTAGTAGCCAGAAATCTGCAACCTCCTATCAATCCCAGACGCTACTATCTTTTCCAGTCTTTAAGCTCCATCAACTAATTCAATAAGTTAAAAAATAATAATAGAACTGAAACCTCACTTCTCATGTCCTGATCCAAGCTAGCTAGGAACTTCTCACCAAAATTTTAGCAGACCCAGATCAAAACTGAGATCACAAGACTTTATATATGCCCAATACATAGTACTTCAGCAGGTAAAAAAAACAACAGAGTAGCATTACAAAGAATAGTTGTAAAGGCAATATGAAAAAACTCAGGCTTTGCAAACAAAACAAAGTAAATACTACAAGTAAGTCATAACATTCAACAACATTGTACAATCAATTTTATAGGTTAAGCACAGAATTACCACGCCACCCAGCAATTCTTTCACAGGTTTATAAAGCCAAGAGAAATGAAAACATATCCATACAAAAACTTTCACATAAATGTTTATAGCAACATTATTCATAATAGGCAAAAAAGTAGAAACAATCCAAACATCCATCAACTCATGAATGAATAAAATGTGGTATATCCACACAACGGAGTATTATTTGGCAATAAAAAGAAATGAAGATTGGGCACAGCAGCTTACAGCTGTAATCTCAGCACTTTGGGAGGTCAAAGTGGGAGGACTGCTCAAGCCCAGGAGTTTGAGACCTACCTGGGCAACATAGCCAGACCACATCTGGATAAAAAATTAAAAAAAATTTTTAAAAATAGCTGAGCATGGTGGTGCGCACCTGTGGCCCTAGCTACTTAGGAGGCTAAGATGAGAACATCATTTTGGTCTAGGAGTTCGGTGTTACAGTGAGCTATGATGGCGCCACTGCATTCTACCCTGGGTGACAGAGTGAAACCCTGTCTCTTAAAACAAAAACAAAATACTGATACATGCTACAACTTGGATAAACCTTGAAAATATTACGTTAAATGACAGAAACCAGTCACAGAAGACCACATATTACATTATTCCTGATGAAATCTTCAGAATAGGCACAGAGACAGAAAAAGTACATCAGTGGTTGCCTTAGGGCAGGGGTGTTGGCAGGAAATCAGGGGTGACTGCTAATGGGCACAAAGTTTCTTTGGGTGGTGATGAAAATGTTCTAAAATTAACTGTGGTACTGGATGCACAACTCTGTGAATGTACTTAAAAAACACTGAAACTGTACACTTTGAATGGGTGAATTATATGGTATGTGAATTATACCTCAATAAAACTATTATTAAAAATATCGATTTTGTGCTTCAAAAGTTAGAAAGAGAAGTAAAACTATCAAAAAACAAAAAACAACAGGATGATAATAAACAGTTTGCCCGGCATATCAAGAACAGCAGATGCTTAATTGGTCTGCTGACAACAGACAATTTTACTGTTGTTTCACCAGATACTTCTAATTCTAAGGAAAGACCTAATATTAAGGAACGA
Source organism: Homo sapiens (assembly GCF_000001405.40). Lineage (NCBI taxonomy): Eukaryota > Metazoa > Chordata > Mammalia > Primates > Hominidae > Homo > Homo sapiens. The sequence goes on from NC_000002.12 coordinate 183,022,175, forward strand.
TGCATATTCTCACATATAAGTTTACACACAAACACATGTGTAAACTAAGCTTCAAAGATTCTCTGAAGAGCTCATGTCAGAAATTTTATGAGCTGTAAGAAAAAGAAGTGTATATAAAATTAATTTAAGACAGATTTTCATAACAAAATCTCTCTTTTAGAGTGAGTATATAATCTCTCAGATGAGGTAGCCAATTAATGTCAGTAACTAAAAAAGAGTTCTCCACACAAACAAAAGTGTTAAGAAGTGCAAGTTTTGAATCACCTATTTTGCAATCAGGAACTAATTATAATGCTTTAATATATTGATATATTATAAAACAATATTTCTGGCTGCGCACAGCAGCTCATGTCTGTAATTCCAGCACTTTAAGAGGTCGAAGCAGAAGGATCCCTTGAGCCCAGGAGTTCAAGACCAGCCTGGACAACATAGTGAGATCTCGTCTCTACAAAAACAATCTTTTATGAAACCTCTACTAACCTGTACTCCCCAAAAACAGACTTGATTTTGTTTAAAAAAATGCCTTAAAAAGCACTTTATCTGACTTATTTGTATTAGTTCTTACTAGCATTTTCTTTCTACATGGAAGCGTTTTTAAGCAAAAGTATCAACAGGCTAAATACAAATCTTCAATGAACATACATGATTTGAGAAAACAAAAAGGTGACAATGTATCTTTTTATTTTTAAACCAGTCAAGTGCAGTAGTGAGAAGGGGGCAAAGAGTAGAACAAGGAGCTGGATCTGTAACTGACGCAGAACAATCAATTGAGATAACTCACTATTTTTGGACCAGCTGACGATATATCTTTTCAACAGAGCTTCTCAAAATTATGAAGATCATATGTGAGAGGAAATTTCTAAACTAAATTTGTATGTAAAGCAAAAGAGGCAGCAAAGATAGTAACAAGAAAATATCAGAGAAAAAAATAAAAAGAGAAGACAGGCAGAAAGATTCTGAGTCAAAATTTATATAAAAATGCCACACTGAGGCAAAAAATAACTCTAATTTCCCAAAAGTAGTTATTCATAGAAATTACTATAAAGATATGTAAACATATCAGGAAGATTCTGAACATGACCATTCTTCAGTATACTAAGAAAAAACTTTCCCATATGAAAAGTAATATGGAGATAATAAAGACCCTAACACAATCATTTACTTGTACTATTTAATCTTTAGAAATCATTGTCAATTATGAAAATACTAGAAAAACAAACACATTTTAAAACTAAATACAGCTAACTACTTAAAACAACAGAAGCTCTATGCAGACATTTACTAACTTCAACAGGAAGTTTATGACTATAAGAAACAAAAATATCCCAAGTATCCACACAAGAATTTGGAATATATACATATCTATTACCTTACTCTTGTTGCAATTTGAAAGGGAATAAATATATAGTAATCTAAGATCTTTGCTGTAATAAAGTGGCAATGTCGTTAAGAGTTATTTTTTTCCGGTCTCGGACATAAGAATATTGTCTCAAAAAAACCCTTAAGGTATATAATCTGTATATCAAAATGTTAAAAATTAGGTAAATAAGAGCTACTATAAGCACTGTGTTGACCACTGTTTCTCTAAAAGATGCTTAAAATTAAGCAATAGAAAAATTTAGATAACTTACATTGTTGTTGCGGGTTTCTACAGCAGGGAATTTTCTGACTATGAATTTCACAGCAGATTCCAGGTTTTTGTCGATAAGATAGGATGGTTTTGCCTTGGGGTCTCCACATGCCTATAAAACAACAGTAATAAAAAAAAGTGAAATGCACCCTTCTTCTAAAATCAAAAATAGCAAATCTGCAATTAGAAATTAAAGAGATATTTATTGTTTTTGGTGAGCAGGTGATAAAATGAATAGGCAAAGTGCAGGGATTGTCACAGCTGAAATATGCAATGGGAGACAGTACAGAGATGTTCTTCTACTGAAAAAAATGCATGGAAAGTTTCGAAGCAGTTAGCGCAGAACAGCAGTGAAGGAAAAAGCTCAAACCTAAAAAAAAGAAAAAGAAAAAAAATTCTTGGTTTGAGGTAGGATTGTATTCATCTGAAGCTAATAAAATATTACAAAATTAAATATTCAGTAGAGTACTAGACATGTTTCTTTCTAAGTGTTATAAAATAAAAGCTTATGTTTAAATGTCTTTTCCAAAATGTTTTCCTCATTCACTTTAAACATTTTAATACAAGAGCCCTAGTTCAAAAGAACTGGAAGCTGCTAAAATTGTCTTTATAGTGCTAAGGTGTGTTGTCTTATTCTCTGAACATCTGAGTTACAACACTGTTTTCCATCATACCAGCAGCACTTCAAACAATGAATCTACATCTGTTCTATATATCATAAGCACAGAACAAATGGATATGTTTACGTTTTGACCGTATCAGCAGTACAGCATTCTCTGCAGTAAACTGTAAGGCACTATACAAATGTAAGGTATTATTATTAGAAAGAACTTTCTACCTGAACTATTACAATACAGAATATAATCTTGAATACTGTTCCTGTTTTATTACGTGACATTAAATTAACTGCTTGCTAGCGAGATGTTATTCCTTAGGGAATTACTAAAATTATAACATTTCTATTTAACTTCTTTTTATTGCATTTTGAAAAGGATGTGTCCTTTGGAAAGTTACATCTGTCTGCCATGTGTGAGGAAATACACTACTGCAATTTTATAGTTTTCCATTGTTTACTATGGCTATGTTGTGGATTGCAGAAAGAGAAGTTATGAAACATGAAACTGATCTGAAAGCGGGCAAGCGGGCAGAGGGAAGGTGAAAAGCTTTGCAAACCTTCCAAACTTGTCCTTGCTGGGGAAGCATTGTAATAAAAAGAGAGAAAATTACGTGTAAACAATGATTGTCAAACTATGATATACGTTTCAGAAGAAAACTTATGCACTGCAGACTATGAATAACAGAACAAGATTAGAATTATATGGTGCTACAATTTTAAAGGTATTCTAAGTAGCGAGTTTTAGTATAAAATAAATTTATAGAGTTTATACTGTTCATATAAACACTACTGTGTACGTGTACAATCAGGTCAGTTTCTTGGTGCTCTTTCTAAACCAACTTAAAATAATACTAGAAAGAAGGAAAATAAAGACTACATGCAGCTATAAAAACAGGAGCAAAACCATCAGTGAAATTTTACATACCTTAAAAAGAAACGGTAGCCGAGAATAAAAATAAATTGTTATTGGATGACTTTTGTATTTCAGCTCAAATTGTAACTATTTTTCAAACATCACCTAACTTCCTACCATGCCAAAGTATAAAAATCAATGTTAACATTCCTATATTTTCCAAATGGAAATAGGAATGCAGTAAGAAATCTCTTAATTCTCAAATATAATTAAATAAAACAAAATCTTAAGAAATTTAGAACTTCATAATCTTTAGCCAGACTGACATTACTACTATGTAAATTCCATTTCAACATCATAAATATTAAAATATATCCAACTTTCTTTGAGTAGACTATCATTTCTTTAAAATATTCTTAAAATCTTCCAATTTATATTCTTCTCCCCAAATATAATAGCTAAGAATAATAATCACATACTAAAAATTTGCCCAAACACAAATAGCTATAGATTAGCATTGCCTTACATAATCACATAATAAAAATCAAGTGTCATAAACATGCTTGAGGTAGTGCAAAATCCTAAAGTGATTCCAAATTATGTTCAGTTTTTTCATATGTGTTGTCTTTCATATTCTAACTATTGAAAAATTTAGCTATCCATTCCTCTATTAGGGACTATCACATATAATGAAAATGACAGATCACCATATCCATTTCCCACAACCACAAATTTTACTGTTTAAGAATGTAAACATATAAACAACTTCGTTGGTTGATAACCAAACAAGTATGTGTGTGCGTATGTGTGTATACACACATACACATATATAAATGAGCAGCTCTTCCTTCTTACACTGAAAACAGAAAGAACAGAATTTCATTTTGTCCAAGTCCAGTGGCTCACGCCTGTAATTCCAGAAATGGGGGCTAAGGGGCTTGAGCCAGAAGTTGGAGACCAGCCTGGACAACATAGCATGACCCTGTCTCTACAAAAAAATGTTTTAAATTAGCTTGTAGAGAAGTAAGCTCAGGGCTTTAAGAGAAAAAAAAATTATAAGGGTGTGGTGGTGCACAACTGTACTCCTAGCTACTTGGGAAGCTGAGGGAGAAGATCACTTGAGATCAGGAATTCAAGGCTACAGAGCTGTAATCACACCACTGTACCGCAGCCTGAGCCACAGAGTGAAGCTCTGTCTCTTAAAACTAAAAACTAAAAAAAAAAAAAAAAAATTCAGAAAAAAATAAAGGACTATATAATCTGCTTTCCCTGGAATTGATTTACCTTTTCCACACTGCTCAGTGGACCTTATCTAACATACTTAATTGGGAGGCAGTATGTCTCAAAGGTTAAAAACAAATATTCTGGAATAAAACTGGCTGAGTTTCAATTTTCATGACTTACTAGCCATGGGACCTGGAATATATTACAAAATATCTCCTAACCTATGTTTCTTCGTCTGTAAAATGGGGAAATTAGTACTTACCTCACAGGGTTATTATAAGGATTAGAAGAGAGATAAAGAAACCATGTAAAGCATTTAGCAAAATGATAAGCACATAAGTGCTCTAAAAATGCTAGCTGCTTTTTAATAATAGCTATAATGATGATAATAATTATCCAAGTCTAATATGAATAGTAATCATAGTAACAGTCTTTATCATAATATATATATACAACTAGCAAGTTAGTGTTAACTTCCTTATGCAACTATTAAATACAATCCCCTCTCTCAATCAAATATTTCCTTTATTCACTTTAAGCCTAAACATCTAAATACAGCCTAAATACAGCCTAAAGTCTACATTTGCTGTAACTGTACAGAGTTTAACCTAATTGTTAAGAACCTGAGTTTCAAGACAGGCTGTCCATGTTTAAAATCTTGGCACCATCACTTAGCTGTGTACCCATGAGCAAGTCATTCTATCTGTGCCTCAGTTTCTTCAACTGTTAAACAGATAATAATTACAACCTATGCTAAAAAGTTTTTATGTTCACTACATGAAAGTGTTACCTGTAGACTTTACGAGAGTATTTGGCATACCAAGAGCTCCCAAAAAATGCCAATTAAAAATAAGAGGTTAATACATACAGAAGTACTAGGCCCCATCTTATCTTTTTTCTAAAATCCACTTACTTGATTTATTTGCTTAATAACAAGAGAGACACTTGTATGGGGAATACTTAGGCAAAAAAGAAGAAGTCTATGAAAAAAATAAACTGACATGACTAAAAGTTATCAGCTAGGTAAAATATATCCTGGCAAAGAACCATAACAAATAATTCAGGTAAGAAGGCTGATTGGGCATGGTGGCTCACAACTGTAATCCTGGCACTTTGGGAGGCTCAGGTGGGAGGATCACTTGAGGACAGAAACTAGAGACCGGCCTGGGCAACATAGCAAGATCCTATCTCTACAAAAAAATTTTTAAAAAAACTTTAAGGTTTCCTACCATACTAAAACAGTATAGAAAATTCCAAATAACCAGAAGTTATAGTTTATAAAAATTCATCTTATTCCCCACCCAAACTCAAAAAACTTTCATTTTGAGGATAAGAAAATCACAACTTGCATTTTCAGAAAACAGCCTGCTATTGGTATACTTGAAATCATATATCTTTCTATTACATCTACAATATTACACAAAATTAATCCTTAACTCAAAGTTATCACCTTTTGAAGTATCAAATTTTTAAAAACTAAATACACAATTAAACTTAGTTATCAAAACATTTTAGACTAATATATTTCAGAAAGGCTTACCAGAAAGACGTAATCAAAAGATTTAACAAATTACCAATTCAATTAAACATTTGAGCACTTCTATCCCCCATACTCCCAAAAATAGAAAAAAAGGAAAGGTGAATACAGTGTAAAATGATGTCTAAATCCCTGAATTTTATAGCCCTACCAAAAAAAAAACTTTTTCAGAGAATTGACTAAAAGAGGTATTTCACTACACAGAAAGAAAACTATGCATAAAGTACAGAATTGAAAAAACAAAAACTCCCCCAAGTACCCTGTTTTACTTTATCTTGAGTCAGCATATTTTCATAAAACATAAAATACTATAATTTCAAATTTCAGAAGATCTAAAATAAATTTAAATATTTATATACTTAAATTTCCAGTTCTCAGAATTGGAACTTTATTCTCCATGAATATTCTAATTATAATATTTTAAAAGTCAGGATTATTTTATGTGACAGATAAAATTACAGTGATGTTAAAGGATACACTTAAACATAGTAATTAAAACCCTTGTCTCTTGGGTCAAGTGCATAATAGCCTATATGACCTTAGGCAAGTTGCCTAACCTCTCAGCCTCAGTTACCTAACCCATAAATTGAGGATATTATTACTACCTACTGCATAGGGTACACTGTTAAAATATTTAAAAGATAAGATACACATAAACTGTTTATTTAGGTGCCTGGCACATATGTAGTTAATAAATAAGTTCCAAATATTTTTTTAAATAAAACTTCTTTATATACATGGATACACATAGTGAGTTCTCAATTATGGAAACAAGATTTTCCATAAAAACAATTCTAGGCTGGGCTCAGTGGCTCACGCCTGTAATCCCAGCACTTTGGGAGGCCGAGGTGGGCAGATCGCGAGGTCAGGAGTTCAAGACCAGCCTAGCCAACACGGTGAAACCCCGTTTCTACTAAAAATACAAAAAAAAAAAAATAGCCAGGTATGGTCTGGCGCCTGTAATCCCAGCTACTCGGGAGGCTGAGGCAGGAGAATCGCTTGAACCCGGAAGGCGCAGGTTGCAGTGAGCCAAGATCGCGCCACTGCACTCCAGCCTGGGCAACAAGAGTGAAACTCTGTCTCAAAAGAAACAAAAAAAAAACTATAGGTCAGTAGTCAATTCAATATCTCTAAGTTCCTTTTAAAACACAAATCTGATGTTATCAGTAAAAATGAAGGACAAGGATGTTTCAGAAAACTACACAATATATTATCCGGGCCACAAAAGAAACATCTTTGATTAGAAACATCAAGCCTAGACCCTATGCCATTTTAAAGTATGACTTTAAAACACATCTTTCTGCCACTCTACCACAAACCCCCATACTGAGGCCTTTCCTCAAGCTATTACAGCATAGGATTACATACCACAGCTTAACTTTACATGGTTAATGTTACTATTTTTCCAAGAACTTACCATGATGCCAAAAAAAAAAAATACAGATTTTTAAAATTCCTCTATCTATTCACAAGAGATTAAGCAACAATCAAGACACCAAAAAAAAAAGACTGCTCAGTAGCTCACACCTGCAATCCCAGCACTTGCGGAGGCCAAGGCAGGAGAATTGCTGGAGCCCACAAGTTTGAGACCACCTTGGGCAAGAGGGAGACCCTGTCTCTACAAAATGTTTAAAAATTAGCCAAACGTGGTGGTAAATATCTGTGGTCCCAGCTACCTGGGAGGCTAAGATGGAAGGACTGCTTGAGCCAGGGAGGTTGAGTCTACAGTGAGCCCTGTTCACAACCACTGCAAACTCCAGCCTAGGCAAGAGTGAGACCCTGACTCGAAAAAAAAAAAAAAAAAAAGAGAGAGAAGGAAAAAAAACAACAAAATAATCAAGATACAAAAGATGTTGGAAGTAAAAAGAACATTTACTGTGCAATTATTGTGTGCAAAACACCTATGCTTTAGAAATTATCTAAATTATCACTCAACAGAAAGGAAAGGAGCTTCTGAAAAATTAAGTAACTTGATCAAGATTTCACAACTACTGACAGGACCTACAGAGAAATTCATACCTGATTCCAAAACACTATCTAAAAATATATGTCCCCTCCCAAAAATAATGTTTAAAAACATGCTCCACTTATTCAAAACCTCCGCTGCTTAAAACCTCAGGAAGCAGTTGCTATCACGGTAAAAATCTGATCAGTTCAATCCATTTTATTTTTTTGAGACAGCATCTTGCTATATTGCCCAGGCTGGACTTGAACTCCTGGTCTCAAGAGATCCTTCTGCCTCAGCCTCCTAAGTACCTGGGATTACAAGCACGCACTACTACTGTGCCTAGCTTCAGTTTTATTTTTTAATTTCTATTCTAACTCAGGAATAAAACACATTCCTTTGCTAAAATATGGAAGAACAATTATTTTCTAGTACAATAATTGGAAAAATGCCAAAATAGGGAAGAACAAAATGATTTTCTAGTACAATGAATTAACTGAAAAAATATGAACAAGATCTCAGGAGTCAGAGTGAGAATGCTATTCGTGAGGGCACAGAAACCAGCCCCATCTGAATAATGTCAAGGATGAGGAGAAAAATACAAAATGTGGCCAATTTAGACTCGAAAGAGGAATTTGACTTAATAACCAAGAAACACCACACGTTTTGCAAAATTGAAGGAATAAAGGGACAAAGATTCTTCCCTGAGTTTTCAACAAATTGAAATTAATACCTAGAGGAAGAATAGACGTTACCTGAAATTATGGAATGTAAAAGTAATATATACCTATGATTATTTTATGTTCCAATTTTTTAAATAATGAAAATATTACAGTATGAAAATTGTCCATAAGTACTGGAAAACTTTATATCAAGAGCAAAATAAGACTCAAATTCATCAGTAGTTAGCTTTCCGATTATTTTTTTCCTCCTGTGTTATGATGTATATTTTGGCCAACCGATCTGCTTTAAGTTAGCACTTTCCCTCTTAGGTAGGTAAAAAGAAAAGAGAGCAATCTACTGCTAGTAACTTGGATTAAGAGGCTTGATAACAAAGTATACTGAAATTATTGGAAATGCTTTCAAATTAATGTAATTTTATCAATAACTACCTCTTAATTGGAGCCAATAATTGAGATCTAAAAATATAGAAATCACAGTTATTGTCCTTTAGACACAAGTTCTGAGAAAGTCATGAACTTGAAAAACTTCAACCCATTATACACTTCAAAATTAGTGATTCAAAAAAAAGAAAAAAATTTAGTGATTCAAATGAGTTATTAATTACCATTCCATTTACAAGAAGATATATATGTCACTGTTGCCTTTAAACAGTTTTCAGCTTCCAATATACAGGATCATCTCAGTTTATGAAGCAAAGGTGTTTTTGCAGTTTTTTAAAGTATATATATTGTCATACCTTTGCGGTTAAAAAGAAATTGTTATTTAAAGGACTACTGTGGAACACATACTTCTGAAATACAAATAATTATTCTGTCTTAGCAGTAAGTAGATGTCAAACTGTATCAGGCAGTAAAATAGAATAGTGAGGAATGTTTCCTAAAAGGTAGTCTTGAGCTTAATTTAATCTGGGGGTGGGGGGGAATGAACATTTATTAAGTGTCCACTATGTTCCAAGCCCCAGAAATAGAACTAGTAACAACAGCCACCATTTCCTCAGCTCTTACGCTTGCTACAAGGCACTGTACCAATACTTCCTATGGATTCACTCATTTAATTCTCCTCTTAACCTATGAGGTTAATAAAAGCGTATTCCAAAAACGTGAGATAACTGGAATATCTATTTAAGATTACAAGAGTTAGAATCAATAAGACTAGCAAGGCTTAGAAAGCCAAAAAATACAGCTTGAAGCATAACAGAAGCTGAGAGCAAATAAGTACCATGGAGCTGGTTTTGCTAGTAGACAGCCAATGTGCAGCCTTCCAGAAATTTAGTTATAACCCAGACAACTAAATTAAATCACCACAGTTAATAATTAGCAGGAAAAGAAATTACAGGTATTTAAGAATTTACATTTCAGTTATTTCAGTAGTTAACATTGGAACAATTTCAGGGATTTTTTTCTGTTCAAGTTAAGTTTGGGTCAGGATCCAGATGTATGGAATTTGGAAAAACCTTCCAAGAGGATTCTATTATGTATCCCTGGCTAGGAACCACTGATCTCCTCACTTTGTAAGTAACCTACAGCCCAGAAATGTTAAATAACTTGTTCAAACTAAAAAAAAAGTATCAGAGCATTATCTAGAATCTAGCTCTCTCAACTCACAGAATATTCTGCAAGTACGGAAAATGTTTAGAAAATAAGTGAAGTTTAGAGGTTATATGCCTGCAAGAAGAGCATTACTATTTTATACTCTAACACAGTCATGCATTGCTTAATGTCATCAGATGATTTCATCATTGTGTGAACATCAGAGCGTACTTACATAAACCTAGATGGTATAGCCTACTATACACCCAGGGTACATGGGATATAGCCTACTGCTTTCATGCTACAAACCCGTACAATGAGAATACTGCAGGCAATTGCAACATAATGGTATGTATTTTTGTATCTAAATGTATCTAAACATAAAAAAAAACAGTAAGAATACAGTGTTATCTTATGGGACTACTGTGTATAGGCAGTCCATCATTTCAGTGTTATGTGAAATATCATTATGCAGAATGACTGTATTTTGTTATCTTTATACAGATGCTCCTCAACTTAACAATAGGGTTACATTCCAATAAACCTATCTTTAATTGAAAATATCATAAATCAGCCAGGTGCGGTAGCTTACACCTGTAATCCCAGTACTTTGGCAGGCTGAAGCGAGTGGATTGCTCGACCCCAGGAGACAGAGACCAGCCTGGGCAACACGGTGAAACCCCAACTCTATCAAAAAAAATACAAAAATTAGCCTGGCATGGTGGCATGTGCCTATAGTCCCAGCTACTCAGAAGGCTGAGGTGGGAGGATCGCCTGAGCCAGGAGGCAGAGGCTGCAGTGAGCTGAGATCGTGCCATTGTACTCCAGCTTGTATGACAGAGCTAGACCCTGTCTCCAAAAAAAGAGAAGAAATGCATTTAACACACCTAACCTACCTAACATCATAGTTTAGCCTAGCCTACCTTAAACACTTACATTAGACTACAGTTGAGTAAATTATCTGGTAATACAGTACACTGCAGAGTATCAGATCACAAGAAAGTATCATACCACTTCCTACTGCATGCCATAGCTTTTGTGCCAACAAGAAGTCAACAAATTGTTAAGTCAAACCATCACAAGTTGGGGACCCTCTGTATATCCTACTGAATAAAAACTCTGCAATCTGAAATAGTAACTAGTTAGTTTCTGTCACTGGCTGCCTGAAGTTTCTATTCATACTTCAAAACCAAGTACAAATGTGACTCTCCTCTTTACCATCTCTCCCAGATTATAATCCTTAATTCCCTTCTCAAGACTCCGACAATCCTACTTACACACTGCATTTTAGTTAAATATCTATACATCTCTCTCCCCACTAAGACACTAATTTCTTGGCACTAGAGACTTCATCTTAATTTACCTCTATTTCCCTCATGCCAGGGAACACATTCAATAAACGAAGAGTAAATGAATAAATTAAAAGGGAAAACCTCAATATTTGAGAGTAACTGAAAGAATAGCTCATATGATGGCTTATAAAACAGTTTTAAAGATGCAATTTTATTACTATCTAAAATAGTCAACTATGCAATAACAAAGCATTTTCCAGTATGGGTTCTTCTACTTAAAACAAGAGAATCATTTCAAACTGGCACATATACAACCCTACTTACAAACTAACAATTCAGTAGCTTATAAAGTTATAAAGATGGGCAGACAGTGAATTTTTGAAGTCACTCATTTATGTTATGTTTGAGTTTTTGACAATAAACATATATTCCTCTGGTAATCATTAAAAAATTTTAAAGTTACTTAACAATTCCATAAAGGAAACAAAAGATGGATTATTTATCATTGCTACTTAAAAATTAAAAATAATTATTTTCCTAAGCATCTCTGGAACACGCTTCTGCATCTGATTGACCAAAAGAGAAAATAACACCCTAAGTGGAAACAAATACAATACTGAAAGGGAAGACTAAAACCAGTTCCCCTCCCTTTACCCTGCACTGCTCCCTTCACAAACATCTTTTCTTCCCCCACTAAATAAGCAGATACTGGCTAAAGACTTTCAATTTTACAATGCTAGTCCTGTTAAACTTTTCCTTAGAAAATAAATTTATCCAAAATAATGAGAAAAGGATAGGGAAAAAAAGAAAAATATTCCTCTAATGTTTTTAAAGAAGTAAAACTGCATTTAAACCACCACAATACTCCACTTTAAAAAGTTTGTAATAGTTGTATGGGTTTTTTTTTTTTTCTCATTCTCTGACCTTTACAGTACAGGCAGAAATTTAACAGGAGGAAAAGACGCAAGTATTAACTAAGATCTTTTTAATACAGAGATTAATCTCATGTTGGTAATGGTGGAGGAAAAGAAAGGAGAAGGAAAAAAAGAAGAGAGTAAACCACACACACAAAAATTTAACTGAGCAAAATGTTTTCTTTGGGTATTTGGCAGTTTTGTTGAACAGTTATACAATTTCAGAAAAACAATGTTGCCCAAAAGAGATGCTCAGATTCCTAAATACTATTTTCACATATTACCATCCTCTACCTTCAGAAGCAATTCTGTGAAGTATGTAGGGCAGGCATTATGCTCCCTACATTACAGAAAACTAAACTGAGTTCAGTTATTGTTTAAAATGAAACATAATTTCTACTCTACTACTTCACCATAAAATCATAAAGATAGAGCTGGAATAGACTTTAGTGTTCCTTTTACAGTTAATTTTCCCCATTTTACAGATGAGGAAAAGTGAAGCTCAAGAAAGTCAAATTACTAACCAATGTTAGAGAACTCTCAGTGACAGAATGAAGATTGGAATGCAAGTCTCTTAACTTCTGGCCCAGTGCTCTTAATCCCACCACCACACAAGTTGCCATGCTGGAACCTTTAAAAATGTTACAAATCTCTACATGAGTGAGTCACATTATTAGGTCTGCAAAAGGGAAACCATATATTTAAAAACAAAAAAAAAGGAATTAAGCAACAAATAAATTTAAATGTAAAGCTACCAACAACCTTCAAGTCTTTTCCCTAAAATCCGCTTTTATGTGTTCCTACATCCTCCGTCAAACTACAAGTTCCCTAAAATTCCCATAAATTGTAAATATTAAGATCTCAAAATTTTTGACTGATGAAATTAAAAAAAAAAAACATTCTTCAGTAATCATGCTCCAACTTCCCTAATAAGCGCCAAAGCATATTACTGACAATAATAAGTTATTTTACTTAACTATTTTTCATTGTATATGTTCACTAAAATATCATTTCCACTGTATACTTCCAATTGAAACAGAGTAATTAGATCTGGTAGACAATCTAATGCACATGCATTAATGAAAATGTGATAATTGATTGGCAAACATGTATTATGAGGTGGAAGGTTTTTTTTTTAAGACTAGAAGAGGTTGAGATTGAAAAGAGTATGTGGTTTATAATGCAGTAAGAATGCAGACAGCATGAACCTAATAAACACATGGTGAACAGATCTTACTCACTTCTTTGGCAAGATATTTGAACAAATGTTTCAATTCCTAGCCAGCTGGGAAGATATGCCAGACTCACAGACAATTCTATAGGCTGAAAGATCCAAAATCTTATCTGATTCATTTACATGCAAAATTACACAAAGGGAGCAAACCCAAGGGTATTATTATTAAAACTAGAGCACACAGGTTTTGAGAGAGAGGAGGGAAGTAATTCATTCATTTCAACCTGGCCTAACTGAAGGCCTCGAGTATCAGATAAGGCCCTAAATACTCTAGTATTTCAAAAATTACACTGTCCCTGCCCAGAGAAAATTCACACTCAAGCAAGGTAAGCAATGTATTTCTTAAGAAACTAAAAATATAAGGCAAGTGCTAAAATATGACGTTTCAATAAATCAAAATATTTGACATGGATATAATAATGATCACATTCAATGCATTTTAACTTTCACAAGTTCAATAATACAAGAGGCTGAAGCTTCCCAAAACAGGAAGTGAAAAAAACAGTGCTTTTGAGAAAAGGCAATGAACTGGAATTATTAGAGTTCAAATGCCCAGAATTTCATTTAATCTTATTTATGAAGGTGGGATATTAAAGTTTGATTGCATTTATCCTACAAAAATGTTTAATAAATGCTTAGAAAAGGTATTTTGCCCAAATACCCAAATCACTTTTGATGTTACTCTCACTTCCTCTTTTAGAAACCATCATAACCATTTCCTTTAAACCACAATACCACAGGTCTAGTAACTTTTATAATATTTGACTTGTTCATTTTTGGACAAAATTCATATAGGAATCAATTTCCAAGTTTTTTAAGCAGCACAATCTCCCCGAACAGTTCAGGTCAATGCAACCTCTAAGTAATACTATTTAAAACTGAATTATTCCTAACCTATATAAATTTATAACCTAGGCTCCTTGGTAAATGCAGAGGGGCTTCTTTGTCATGACACTGAGCTCCTGCCACATAAAAGGTAACAAACTGAGTAAGCATGTTGCAGTTACTCTCCAGATAGCACTGGGTTTAGAGTAATAAAGCCTTGCAATTAGGTGAGCAACCAGACTTTGTCCTTATCCAAAATTTATCATCATTAAACCAGGACACTCTTTAGAATTAGTGTCTACATCAAATTGTAAAAAATAAATCAATTTTACACTCAAACGCTTGGAAATGAATTTCCAAAGAAAAAAAAAAAAACCTTTCTTCAGAAGCCCTCTCAACCTACAATCTATTGCTATGATTAAACTAAACGGTAACATTCACGATATATTAAAAAGCCAACAAATAGTTATGAAGGTATGACATCAAAGACACATTGGAAACTCGATGGATCTAAATTTTCCAAATATCTCTTTTTCTCTTTATCAAATTGTTTAAAACTTACCAACCTTGCCTTAAGGGGAGAGATTTTGTTGTTTTGTCCTACGATAATGAATGTAATTATTTGTTCTATCTTTACATGGACTTTTCTAAACTTCCAGTGGTCTTCCACTCCTTACTGTACTGAGGACATGTAAAAGCCTTTAAATGGGCCTATTAGCTATAGTTGCTCAAATTATCAGACTATGCTATAAATCAGCAGCAATTGCAACATTTTTACGGTTTTTATTTTGTACAGACACCGAACTTTAAGAAATGGTATTGGAAAATCTAACATGAGGAGGAGTACAGGGGAAAGAGTAGAAGGTTGTTATTCCAGTTCTAGTGACTCACAGCCTAGAAGTATTTCAGAAAATTGGTTCCACCCTCACTTCCCCCTCCTCTCCACCTTCAAAATGAAATAATCCCAAATCGTCAACACACTCTCAATGGCTTTTTATTTAGCAATCTAAAATAAAGTGGCAAAGTGGAGGGGATACGGGATTCATCCAATCAGCCCTTCTCTACCCACATTCCCACACCAAAAAATGGGGATGTGGGGTGTAATCCCTGTTCACTGCTGCCATCTCCGTAAGAATATGGAACACTCAAGTTTTCCTACCCACCTAGAATTTCGCCCACCCACCACCCTCCCTTTCCTATGGGCCCCATCATGGGGGCGGGGGCGCCGAGGAGGGGACAGCTCCCGGCTCCCAGCGGCGCCCCCACCCCGTGCGAGGCCCAGCGCCCGATCCCGCCGCCGGGAGCCGGGAAATGGCTTCTCTGCCTTCGGCCGGCCGGCGAACCACAGGGAGAGGCGCCCGGGACTCCGCATTAGGCCGCGGCGCATCCAGGCGACCCCGGGCCGGGCCTCGGGCGGCGACGCCGAGATTTCTACACCCGGCGCCTCCTGCCGCCCCCACCCCACGGCCTCCCTTGCCCTTCATCCCTCCCGGGCCCGCCCGCCTCCGCCGCGGCCTCCCCGGCCCGTGCGCACCTTCTTGATGTTGTAGAGGCGGGTGAGCATGCCGACGCCCCGGTCGTTGAGGATGGTGAGCTTCTCCGCCAGCTTCTGCTGACTGGGCTGCAGCACTGAGCGCGACATGGTGGTGCTGGTGCCGCCGCCGCCGCCGGCCGCCTCGCGCCCAGTCACGGGCCCGCGGCCTTCGCAGCAGCCTCTCTCGGGCCTCCTCCCCTCCCGCCCGCGACCTCCGCCTTAGGAGAGCGCGCCCATGGCCCTCGCGCCCCAATCCCGCGCCGGCGACAGAGCGAGCCGCGGCGGACTCCTCGGAGCCCCTTCTCCCGCAGCAGCCCGCGCCCCGGCAGCCTCCTGCCTTCCGCCCGCCGCCCTTCCGCCCCCACCCCCGGCGCTCTCCGCCCCAGCCCCCAACGAGCCGCCTTCCCCGGCTGCTCCACTAGGTGTGGCGGCGGCGGCGGCGGCGGCGGCGTCTCCGGCGGCTGAGAACGAGGCCGCTTCCCGCAGCCCCGGACGGGCCCTCGGTCACCTGATCGGCAGCGCCGGCGCCCCCGCGAGGCCGGACGGGGAACTGCGGCCGACGGGCCCTCGGCATGGCCTCGCCGCCGCCGCTCTGGCCCTGGCCCTGGCCCGGACCGCCCACTACGCCTGATGCCGGGATGGGAGTCCCAAGCGGGGACTGAGTGGGGTCGCGTTGTGTGCTCTTTCCACTTCGCCCCACACCCCACTCCTTCAAGTTCCCAAAAGTTGCTTTTCCGCACCACCCTTCTAAAGAAACCGGCAGAAACTCTGCTGGGAGGCGGGGTGTTTTCCAGGCGAGTTTCGCTTAAGAGTGGGCTGGTGGCTCCAAGCGCTTTTTCCTCCCACTGCTTGACAGGCGCTCGCCGCAGAACACAGCAGATGTTGTGCTCCGCGAGGTGGGGATCGCCTCTGCCAGCCTCCCCAGCCCATCCTCAGTCTCCCCGCCTGGAACCAGTTTGTGAGAGAGGAGGTCGGAAGTGAGGGTAACTCAAGTCCTTGAGATAATCACAATCTAGACTTTGTCGGCGAGGAGCACCCATCCGGAGGAGACGCAGTAGGTCCTGGCATGTGGAAGGCAAAAAATAAATGTTTGTTCAATGCCTAAAGGAACCGCTCCCATTTTTTTACAGCCTCCACCCTAAATCCCACTTCTTCTTGGAAACATTCTTCTTTGCCATCTCATTTTTCCTGATCAATTTCTTCTTAGCGACACTCCAAGGCTACTCCCTTGTCAAATGTATTAGACATGATTCCAAAAGTGAACTAACTGAGGACTTACGTAATTGAGGTGAGAAACTTCAGCCAAGAGGACTCAGGCCTCTAATATTTTTGGCTTTGCCTTTTCTCGATATGTTAATTTTTTATATTATATTCATTAATTTTAAGTCAGTAACAAAATGTCCCGCCACATTCAATAAGACATTCTAAGAGTAATAAGCCATCACTGGATTTATCAAAACTCTTTAAGAAAAGGAAATTGTAATGAATAGCTTTAAAATATTTTTTAAAGCTACTATATCTACTATTCGTAAAGAAATCTTCATTTTAATATTCCAACAAGAAAGAAGGAGTGGACTGAATGGATTTAATCTAAGGGGCATTTAAAAGAGTCCTGTTCCCACCAAAAGAAGTCATAATCATACCTGCCAGTGTGCCTGAAATTCTATATACAAAGCTGCAGTACCTTGAATGAATGCTTTGTACCTAGAGAGTCTTAAGAATACAAACACTTCAGAGAGATCATCTGTCGAGCTATTACTAGTCATTAACTGGTCAAGGAATTTAATTTATCTGGTTACTTCTCAGCCTGATAGTTAACATTTTAATTTAGAGGAGGCAAGGTTGTGGGGCCTGGAATAGTAAGGGCAGACCTGAGAAGGGGAGGCTGCGAGGAGGGGTTTGGGGTAGCCAGATAAGAAAATTTAAAAATGTTGAACATTGGGGAAATATGTGCTCCTTTAGGGAGACTACAAATAACTAAGTCTAGACGCAGAATTACAGAGTGCTACCAATAAAAGATTGTCTCATTTTCTAGTTTTTAAAAACTGCTGTATAGGGAGAACAAGAAAATGGCACTGTATTATAAATTTGAACACAACTCTTACTCCCCAAGAAAAACTATCATGTTGCCATATAAACTTGAATACTAGTAGCTGCTTATAACTCAGGAAGTACCCAATAGGAGAACGCTGTAGATAGTAGTCTCATTATTCAATATTTATTGTCACTAATTCATAGACATACTGGCCCTAGACTGTAATGAAATGTATATATTTGCGTAAAAGAGATTAGATGTAGATGAATTACAATTTTTGTCTTTCTCTACATTTTGCATTAAAAAGAACAAGTGTACGGGAATTTTTCTTAAACTTTTTAACTTTTTTGTAGAGACAGGGTCTCCCTATGTTGTCCAGGCTGGTCTTCAACTGCTAGGCTCAAGCTCCATCACACCTGTAACCCCCACACTTTGGGAGGCCAAGGCAAGAGGATTGTTTGAGTCCTGAAGTTCAAGACAAGCCTTGGCAACATAGGGAGACCCCCATATCTACAAAAATTTAAAAATTAGCTGGGGGTGGTGGCGTGCCTGTGGTCCCAACTACTCTGGAGGTTGAGGTGGGAGGATCACTTGAGCCCGGAAGGCAGAGGCTGCAGTGAGCTGTGATCACACCCCTGTACTCCAGTCTGAGTGACAGAGCAAGACCCTGTCTTAAAAAGAAAGAAAGAAAGAGAGAGAGAGGAAGGAAGGAAGGAAGGAAGCAAGCAAGCAAAGGAGGGAGGGAGGGAAGGAGGAGGAGAGGGAGGAGGGGAAGGGAGGGGAGAAAGGAAAGAAAGAAGGAAGGGAGGGAGAGAGGAAGGAAAGGAAGGAAGGAGAGATGAAAGAAAGAAAGAGAGAAATTGAGGCCAGGCACGCTGGCTCACTCCTGTAATCCCAGCACTTTGGGAAGCCAAGGTGGATGGCTCACTTGAGGTCAGGAGTTTGAGACCAGCCTGGTCAACATGGTGAAACCCATCTCTACTAAAAATACAGAAATTAGCCGGGCATGGTGATGCGTGCCTGTAATCCCAGCTACTTGGGAGGCTGAAGCAGGACAATCACTTGAACCCGGGAGGAGGAGGTTGCAGTGAGCCCCGTGATTGCACCACTGCACTCCAGCCTGGGTGACAGAGTGAGACTCTGTCTCAAAAAAAAAAAAAAAAAAAAAAAAGGAAAAGTACATCCATCATCCAGCCTCCCTTGCAGCTTATGTTCTGACCAGTAAGATATAAGCTGTCAAGAACCTTCCTAAAGGGACTGCTGCTGCTCTCCATTTGCCAGTTCTTCCTCACTTCCTTCATTCTGCCACACCCAACAAGGATGCAATGACCACTATCTTGAACCAGGAAGACAACAGCCACTCAGTAAGGATGACAAAACATAAAAATGGAAGGTGTATGTGGGCTTTTTAGAACACAACAGCCATGTCAAACTTGGCCTGTCTAGACCTGGTTTTGTACGAAAGAGAAATAAACTTCTAGCTTTTTTATTTGTTTTTTTTTTTATTTACTTACAGCCAAACGTGATTCTCAATAATCCTCAAACGTGATCCTCAATAATAAGTTTCTGTGGCCAACTTTATAATATCTCTAATAGGAATAAAATAAGGGAGGATAACTAGATTTAATAGTTATGGTTTTTGCACTGTGTCAGATGTTGTTACAATTTGAGCTACATTTTCTCATTTACTTCTTTCAAAAACCTTTAGAGATATTATCATCTTTAATTTTACAGATGAGAAAACTGAAATGCAGACAGTTTTTTTTTTTAATTGCCAAAGATCACACCCATAGAAAATGGTAAAGCTGATATTGGATCCCTTATCGGTCTGACTCCAAAGTTGGTGCACTACTGTGACAAGACAGTTGGATGGCACTACATTTTTCATGCATCCAGTGAACATGATTCTATAGTTTCCTCTAGAGTCCTATAACCCTGCTCAAACCTTTATAAACAGTTCCTTCACTTTCTTCAATTCACAGTTAAGAGTCTGCCATATTTTTTCCTGACCGATACATCAGCTTTTTTAGATGGCTTTCTTTAGCTTTGCTTTCTCCAGAAACTAGCATGAGAATTATTTCTGTAATATCTTTTGCTAATCATAAAGAATGTTTATGCGTTCTTTTTTTAAAATCACTTAGTTTACCCAACCCAGTGTTGCTTCTCTATATAAGGCAAGAAGTGAGAAAAATTGATTAAGGGTATCTCTATAGGTTCTTAGGATAAAGCCCTTTGATTAGGAGGTCTGCCATCAAAGGCAGTGTTCCACTTGATCTTAAAGACAAATATAATGTTTTTCCTCCCATCAAACTTCAGTGTTCCACTTGATCTTAAAGACAAATATAATGTTTTTCCTCCCATTAAACTTCTAACCAGGTATTACTAAGTATGACTAGAAATGTATGAACAAATTTCTCTTTGAAATAGCCTGGGAATTGAGAAGTAGACATAGTAATTTTGTCTGTCCTTCAACCCTTCCTTTGGGAAGCCACCACCTTCTGACAAAATTGAATGCAGAAAGAAAAAGGGCCCAAGCTGTGGGAAGAGTCAGACATAAGTGAATAACAAATTAATAGAGCTTTTCAAGGAAGTGCCATTCTAAAAAATTGCATTTGGTGAGACCATAATGCAGAGAAACCAACCCTGGGTGAACAACAGTGGAAAAGGACAATAGATTTCCCTGTGGTTTAACAGTAATTCATGTCCTGTTCTTCTGCTTGGCAAAGACCACAAGGTATAACATTTATTCCCCAAAAAATTATTAAGAAAGAGAATGAGGAAAAGACAGGGCAACAGTGAGGAAAAGACAGGGCAACAGTATCCATAGTAAATGAAGGAAGGAGTTAAGACTTAGCCAGAGATTGCAACTCAGTAGAGCAGAAGAGTAACTGAGACCAGAATAAAGACACATGAGGTATCTCCAGTAATCAGTAGAAGAGATGCCAGAAATACAGCTGATCTGAAAAGTTAAAAAAATGAAATAAAATAAAGAATTAATTACAGCCTTGATCTTGACCACTCACATCCAATTAGATTCATCTTATAGTATGCCTAATCTTTGGTAATATAACTCACACATGTTTATTTGCACCTGCTCTATAAAACTATAGATTTAGCTTTCCTTTTTTGTTGTTTTTGCTTTTTGTTTTTTTGTTTTAGATATTTATTAGGCTAGACTTATGCATGAATAGTATATGATGGAATATATATCAGTGAATACAAATATTGGTTGATCATTTTAGGTTTATAATTTTTTAACGTTAAAATGCTACATGGAAAATAGGCAATATCAATGGTAGAACAAAATGAGTTAGAATACAGGGTTAGCATTTTGATGATACCAACTTTCAGCTGAACAAAAATAATCTATTTACATTTTTACATTTTTACATTTACATCAAATGTAAAAACTCCAGAGATGAATATTCACTCCAGAGGTGAATATTCTTTCAAAAATTTGAAAATATATTGAATCTATTGAACTGGACCTCCAAGGGGAGGCCTAGCATACAAATTTGAAGTTATCAGAATTTGGGTATTATTTGTAGCCATGGGAATAAATTGAGATACTTTTTGGAGAGTATTTTTTTAAAAAGGAAAATAGTGTGTAATAGAAAGAAAGAAACAAAGAAAGAAAGAAAAAGAAAGAAAGAGAAAGAAAAGAAAGAAAAAAACGAAAGAAAAGAAAGAAAGAGAAAGAAAGAAAGAAAGAAAAAGAAAGAAAGAAAGGAAAGGAAAGGAAAAAGGAAGACTTATGAGGTGTTAGGCCTGTGAGCCCAAGCCTGCACGTATTCATCCAGATGGCCTGAAGCAAGTGAAGAATCACAAAAGAAGTGAAAATGGCAGATTCGGCCGGGCGTGGTGGCTCACACCTGTAATCCCAGCGCTTTGGGAGGCCGAGGCGGGTGGATCATCTAAGGTTGGGAGTTTGAGACCAGCCTGACCAGCATGGTGAAACCCTGTCTCTACTAAAAATACAAAAATTAGCTGGGCGTGGTGGTGCATGCCTGTAATACCAGCTACTCGGGAGGCTGAGGCAGGAGAATCGCTAGAACCCAGGAGGTGGAGGTTGCAGTGAGCCCAGATCGTGCCATTGCACTCCAGCCTGGGCAACAAGAGCGAAACTCCATCTCAAAAAAAAAAAAAAAAAAAAAGAAAATGGCAGATTCCTGCCTTAACTGATGACATTACCTTGTGAAATTCCTTCTCCTGGCTCATCCTGGCTCAAAAGCTCACCCACTGAGCACCTTGTGACGCCCACCCCTGCCATCCAGAGAAAATCCCCTTTGACTGTAATTTTCTGCTACCTACCCAAATCCTATAAAACGGCCCCACCCCTATTTCCCTTCACTGACTCTCTTTTCGGATTCAGCCCGCCTGCACCTAGGTGATTAAAAAGCTTTATGGCTCACACAAAGCCTGTTTGGTGGTCTCTTCACATGGATGTGCATGAAATTTGGTGCTATGACTCGGATCAGGGGACTTCCCTTGGGAGATCAATCCCCTGTCCTCCTGCTCTTTGCTCCGTGAGAAAGATCCACCTATGACCTCTGGTCCTCAGACCAACCAGCCCAAGGAACATCTCACCAATTTTAAATCAGGTAAGCCACCACTCTTTACTCTCTTCTCCAACCTCTCTCACTATCCCTCAACCTCTTTCTCCTTTCTATCTTGGCACCATCCTTCAATCTCTCCCTTCTCTTAATTTCAGTTCCTTTCCTTTTCTGGCAGAGACGGAGAAGACACGTTTTATCTGTCAACCCAAAACTCCGGTGCCGGTCATAGACTCGGGAAGACAGTCTTCCCTTGGTGTTTAATCACTGTGGGGACGCCTGCTTGATTATTCACCCACGTTTCAGAGGTGTCTGATCACCATGAGGATGCCCACCATGATCCTTCGCCCTTAGTGGCAAGCACCACTTTTTGGGGGGCAAGCACCCCCCACCCCTTCTCTCCGTGCCTCTACCCTCTCTTTTCTCTCCACTTTCCTGGGGGGCAAGCACCCCCCACCCCTTCTCCACTTTCCTGGGTGGCAAGCACTCCCCACCCCTTCTCTCTGTGTCTTTACCCTCTCTTTTCTCTGGACTTGCCTCCTTCACTACAGGCAATCTTCCACCCTCCATTCCTCCTTCTTCTCCCTTAGCCTGTGTTCTCAAGAACTTAAAACCTCTTCAACTCACCCCTGACCTAAAACCTAAACACCTTATTTTCTTCTGCAATGCCACTTAACCCCAATACAAACTTGACAATGGTTCCAAATAGCCAGAAAACAGTACTTTTGATTTTTCCATCCTACAAGATCTAGATAATTCTTGTCGTAAAATGGGCAAATGGTCTGAGATGCCTGATGTCCAGGCATTCTTTTACACATCAGTCCCTCCCTAGTCTCTGTTCCCAATGCAACTCATCCCAAATCTTCCTTCTTTCCCTCCCACCTGTCCCCTCAGTCCCAACCCCAAGTGTTGCTGAGTCTTTTCAATCTTCCTTTTTTATGGACCCATCTGACCTCTCCCCTCCTCCCCAGGCTGCTCCTTGCCAGGCTGGGCCAGGTCCCAATTCTTCCTCAGCCTCTGCTCTCCCACCCTATAATCCTTTTTTCACTTCCCTTCCTCACACCCAGTCCGGCTTACAGTTTCATTCCGCGACTAGCCCTCCCCCACCTGCCCAATGATTTCTTCTTAAAGAGGTGGCTGGAGCTAAAGGCGTAGTCAAGGTTAATGCTCTCCCAAATCAGTTAGCGTTTAGGCTCTTTTTCATCAAATATGAAAAACCCAGCCCAGTTCATGGCCCATTTGGCAGCAACCCTGAGATGCTTTACAGCCCTAGACCCAGAAGGCTATCTTATTCTCAATATGCATTTTATCACCCAGTCAGCTCCTGACATTAAAAAAAAAAAAAGTTCCAAAAATTAGATTCCGGCCCTCAAACGCCACAACACGACTTAATTAACCTAGCCTTCAAGGTGTACAATAATAGAGTAGAAACAGCCAAGTAGCAATGTATTTCTGAGTTGCCATTCCTTATGTCCACTGTGAGAGAAACCCCAGCCACATCTCCAGCACACAAGAACTTCAAAATGCCTAACTTGCAGAAGTCAAGCATTCCTACAGGACCTTCTCCATCAGGATCTTGCTTCAAGTGCCAGAAATCTGGCCACTGGGCCAAGGAATGCCCACAGCCTGGGATTCCTCCTAAGCCTCGTCCCATCTGTGCAGGACTCCACTGGAAATTGGACTGTTCAGCTTACCTGGCAGCCACTCCCAGACCCCCTGGAACTCTGGCCCAAGGCTCTCTGAGTGACTCCTTCCCAGATCTTATCAGCTTAGCGTCTGAAGACTGATGCTGCCCAATTGCCTCAGAAGCTTCCTGGACCATCATAGACACTTTGGGTAACTCTTACAGTGGAGGTTAAGTCCGTCCCCTTCTTAATCAATACAGAGGCTAGCCACTCCACATTACCTTCTTTTCAAGGGCCTGTTTCCCTTGCCTCCATAACTGTTGTGGGTATTGATGGCCAGGCTTCTAAACCTTTTAAAACTCCCCAACTCTGGTGCCAACTTGGACAATATTCTTTTATGCACTCCTTTTTAGTTATCCCCACCTGCCTAGTTCCCTTATTAGGCTGAGACATTTTAACTAAATTATCTGCTTCCCTGACTATTCCTAGGCTACAGCTACATCTCATTGCCACCCTTTTCCCCAGTTCAAAGCATCCTTCACATCCTCCCCTTGCATCTCCCTACCTTAATCCACAAGTATAGGACACCTCTACTCCCTCCTTGGTGACCGATCATGCACCCCTTACCATCCCATTAAAACCTAATCACCCTTACCCCCACTCAATGCCAATATTCCATTCCACAGCATGCTTTAAAAGGATTAAAAGCCCGTTATCACTCGCCTGTTACAGCATGGTCTTTTAAAGCCTATAAACTCTCCTTACAATTCCCCCATTTTACCTGTCCAAAAATCGGACAAGTCTTACAGGTTAGTTCAGTATCTGCGCCTTATCAACCAAATTGTTTTGCCTATCCACCCCGTGGTGCCAAACCCATATACTCTCCTATCCTTAATATCTCCCTCCACAACCCGTTATTCTGTTCTGGATGTCAAACATGCTTTCTTTACTATTCCTTTGCACCGTTCATCCCAGCCTCTCTTCGCTTTCACTTGGACTGACCCTGACACCCATCAGGCTCAGCAAATTACCTGGGCTGTACTGCCACAAGGCTTCACAGACAGCCCCCATTACATCAGTCAAGCCCAAATTTCTTCCTCATCCTTTACCTATCTCAACATAATTCTTCATGAAAATACACATGCTCTCCTTACGGATCGTGTCTGGCTAATCTCCCAAACCCCAACTCCTTCTACAAAGCAACAACTCCTTTCCTTCCTAGGCATGGTTAGATACTCCGCCTTTGGATATCTAGTTTTACCACCCTGACTAAATCATTATGTAAACGCACAAAAGCAAACCTAGCTGACCCCATAGATCCTAAATCCTTTTGCCACTCCTCTTTCCATTCCTTAAAAACAGCCCTAGAAGCTGCTCCCACACTAGCTTTCCCTGTCTCCTCCCAACCCTTTTTCATCACACACAGCCAAAGTGCAGGGCCATGTGGTCAGAATTCTTACACAAGAGCTGGGACTGTGTGCTGTAGCCTTTTTATCCTAGCCCTCGTGTCTGCGTGCGGTGGCTGCTGCTGCCTTAATACTTTTAGAGGCCCTCAAAATCACAAACTGTATCCAACTCACTCTCTACAGTTTTCATAACTTCCAAAATCATTTTCTTCCTCACACCTGATGCATATACTTTCTGCCTCCCTCCACTACCTCTCAGCAAGTCAAACTCATTGCCTTAACTCAAGCTCTCAGTCTTGCAAAAGGACTACGTGTCAATATTTATACTGACTCTAAATATGCTTTCCATATCCTGCACCACCATGCCATTATATGGGCAAAAAAGGGGTTTCCTCTCTACACAAGGGTCCTCCATCATTAATTCCTCTTTAATAAAAACTCTCATCAAGGCTGCTTTACATCCAAAGGAAGCTGGAGTCATTCACTGCAAGGGCCATCAAAAGGCATCAGGTCCCATTGCTCTGGGCAACGCTTATGCTGATAAGGGAGGTAAAGAAGCAGCTAGCATTCCAACTTCTGTCCCTCATGGCCAGTTTTTCTTCTTCTTATCGGTCACTCCCACCTACTCCCCCACTGAAACTTCCACCTATCAGTCTCTTCCCACACAAGGCAAATAGTTCTTGGACCAAGGAAAATATCTCCTTCCAGCCTCACAGGCCCATTATATTCTGTCGTCATATCATAACCTCTTCCATGTAAGTTACAAGCCGCTAGCCCATCTCTTAGAACCTCTCATTTCCTTTCCATCATGGAAATCTATCCTCAAGGAAATCACTTCTGAGTGTTCCATCTGTTATTCTACTACCCCTCAGGGATTGTTCAGGCCTCCTCCCGTTCCTACCCATCAAGCTCGGGGATTTGCCCCTGCCCAGGACTAGCAAATTGACTTTACTCACATGCCCCGAATCAGGAAACTAACATACCTCTTGGTCTGGGTAGCCACTTTCACTGGATGGGAGAGGCCTTTCCCACAGGGTCTGAGAAGGCCACTGTGGTCATTTCTTCCCTTCTGTCAGACATAATTCTTCAGTTTGGCCTTCCAACCTCTATACAGTCCAATAACAGACTGGCCTTTACTAGTCAAATCACCCAAGCAGTTTATAAGGCTCTTGGTATTCAGTGGAACCTTCATACCCCTTACCATCCTCAATCTTCAGGAAAGGTAAAACGGACTAATGGTCTTTTCCCAAAAACTCACCAACCAAGCAAGTAATTTCGCTGAACCCCCTTAGGCACTCTCTAATTGGATGTCCTGGGTCCTCCCAATTCTTAGTCCTTTAATACCTATTTTTCTCCTTCTTTTATTTAGACCTTGTATCTTCTGTTTAGTTTCTCAATTCATGCAAAACTGTATCCAGGCCATCACCAATCATTCTATACGACAAATGTTTCTTCTAACAACCCCACAATATCACCCTTTACCACAAAATCTTCCTTCAGCTTAATCTCTCCCACTCTAGGTTCCCACGCCACCCATAATCCTGCTCAAAGCAGCCCTGAGAAACATCGCCCATTATCTCTCCATACCACCTCCAAAAATTTTCACCGCCCCAACATTTCAACACTATTTTGTTTTATTTTTCTTATTAATATAAGAAGACAGGAATGTCAGGCCTCTGAGCCCAAGCCTGCACATATTCATCCAGATGGCCTGAAGCAAGTGAAGAATCACAAAAGAAGTGAAAATGGCTGGTTCCTGCCTTAACTGATGACATTACCTTGTGAAATTCCTTCTCCTGGCTCATCCTGGCTCAAAAGCTCCCCCACTGAGCACCTTGTGACGCCCACCCCTGCCAGCCAGAGAACAACCCCCTTTGACTGTAATTTTCCACTACCTACCCAAATCCTGTAAAACAGCTCCACCCCATCTCCTTTCACTGACTCTCTTTTCGGACTCAGCCCACCTGCACCCAGGTGATTAAAATGCTTTATTGCTCACACAAAGCCTGTTTGGTGATCTCTTCACACGGACATGTGTGAAAGGAGGTAGAAGCAAATCATAAGTAAATGGCATCTCGGGAGCCAGGGGAAGAAAGTATTTCAAGACGATGTGGTCAACCCAGTTGACTACTGCTGAGAAATGGAATAAGAAGTAAACTAAACAGAAAAGTACTCATTGAATTTGGCAACCTGTAAGTTTTTGGTACTTTGAGAAGAATAGTTTCAGCAGAATGGAAGAGATTAATTAAGTATAGAATGGGAGAAAGGGATGTGAAAATAACATATGTAGATAAGCCTTTTGAGACTTTTGATTGTGAAGGGAACAAGAGATGGGCAGTAACTAGAGGGTTAAGGGAAGGTTTTTGTTTATTTTCAATGAAAGTTGCCAGATTATCCAGTAGAGAGGGAGAGGTTTATGATTCAATAGAGAAAGAAGGAATAAGCAAAGGAGCCGAGGCCCTGATAGAACAAGAGAGATGGATGGGAAGCAGATGATATATGTCCAGACTGATTTTTGATTGGTTTCGGGGGGAAGTGCAGGGAGGAGACAAGATATGATATTAGCTAACATCTATTGATCACTTTCAATGTGTCATGTCCTGTCCAAGTGTCTTAACATGTATTAATATGTTTCATCTTCATAGCAAACTCTTAAAGTAGTGCTGAGACCAGCTCGGTCGGGGAGACTCTAACCCAGTGACGCTAGAGGAATTAAAGACACACAGAAATATAGAGGTGTGGAGTGGGAAATCAGGGGACTCACAGCCTTCAGAGCTGAGAGCCTTGAACAGAGATTTACCCACATATTTATTGATAGGAAGTCAGTGATAAGCATTGTTTTTATAGATTATAGATTAACTAAAAGTATTCCTTATGGGAAACAAAGGGATGGGTCAAAATAAAAGGATGAGTTTGGCTAGTTATCTCCAGCAGGAGCATGTCCTGAAGGCACAGATCATTCATGCTATTGTTTGTGCTTTAAGAACGCCTTTAAGCAGTTTTCCACCCTGGGTGGGCCAGTGTTCCTTGCCCTCATTCTGGTAAACCCACAACCTTCCAGCGTGGCCATCATGGCTACCTTGAAAATGTCACAGTGCTGCAGAGATTTTGTTTATGGCCAGTTTTGGGGCCAGTTTATGGCCAGATTTTGGGGGGCCTGCTCCCAACATGTCCTCCTTCTTTGATTTGCAAAGCGATAAAAGCAAAAGCAGCTTTGTCACAGTTAGCTACTTCTTGCGGGAATCAGGATCTGCATCTGCAGGCTATACAAAGACAAATAACACAGATTAAAAGCACAATCATTGAAATCACAGAGCTTCTAAGAGTTTTTATCCATTTTAATGGGTTACTAGCTTCTAATCTGTCTGCAACTCCTTCAAGCACTCTAGTTCCTGGCATTAAGGTCAGGTGTGCCTGGGATGCTTTAAATATTTTTTCTTTTAATTTTGCAATATCCAAAGACAAGTTTGTAGAGTGTCCTTCTAGATGCTTTTTTATTCTTTCCCAAATTTTAATCCTATTAACAGCTATTAATAATTTCCACAAATCCTTATGTGTAGCTCCTATAATGGGCCATATCATTTGAGGTTAAGGTACCACTATACCGCCATGATTCCAGATATAGGAACTCTTGCGTACTTCTTATCATTTCTGCCATCTGACCGTTTTGTTCAGACCAGCTGAACATAGTGTGACCGTGGCACACAGACTGAGAGGTGCGATTCAAGCTAAACATCCCCTTAGGGGACCAATCAATAATGATTCCATAGGAATCATTGCGCAGCACCTCTGCCTGTTCTGCAATGCAGTCTTCCTAAACAAGTACATTCATTTTTTCTGACTGGGTCCAATCCTGTTTACAAATAGGTTTTTGAGGACGGTATCCCTCAATTATAGGAGCAGATTTATTATGGTACATACTGAGACCAGAAAGCATGTGTAACTGTGTCATAGAGTGATTACATCCAGGCATTATTGCCAGCCAAGATTGATAAATATGCCCAATAAGTATAATTTTTCTCTGTGTCAGCCCTTGTCGAAGGAATAAACACAGCAATGGTGATCACCGCTATCATAGCTACCATTAAATTACTCATTGTGACTGGTTGTCCTGCTTTCCTCAGGTTTTCTTCTGCCATCTGTGACAGTTTCTTCATCTGTCCCCAGGTGGGTGGCTGTGTTCGACGGGTGTTGCTCATGACAGTTGGGGTCCTCCTTAGTGTCAGCCTTTACATGGCTGCAACTGGGGGGTCCTCGGATTTCTCCCGGAATCTCTCCATCGGATAATTGCTCTGGAATTAGAACTTGTGCTCCCCATTCTTGTAATAAATCTCTCCCCCATAAATTTATAGGTACAGAAGTTATAATTGGTTGAATAGTCCCAGGTCGTCCATCAGGTCCTTCACATTGCAAAATATAACTACTTTGATATACTTCAGGGGCTTTACCAACTCCAACTATGTTAAATTGAGCAGGTTGAATGGGCCACGTGGATGACCAGTGCTGTAGAGAAATGACTGAAATGTCTGCTCCTGTATCTACCAAAACTTTAAATTTCTTTCCCTGAATAGTTATTTCACAGGTAGGACGTTCATCAGTAATTTGATTTACCCAATAAGCTGCTTTGCCTTGTTTATTTGTGCTTCCAAACCCTCCTGTTAGTTTAATTTCATTTTTCCCTATTTCCACATATGGCACAATCAGGAGCTGTGCTATACGTTCTCCTGGCTCTGCTTTCCAGGGAACAGAAGTAGATATAACAATTTGAATTTCCCCATTGTAATCTGAATCATTGACTCCTGTTTGTATTTGTACCCCTTTTAAATTTAAACTAGACGTTCCTAGAAGTAATCCTATCATCCCCGCTGGCAAGGGTCCACAGACTCCTGTTGGGACCTTTTGTGGGGGTTCCCCAGGCAGAAGGCTCACAGGTTTTGTGCAGCATAAATCTACTGTGGCACTACTGGCTGTGGCGGGGGACAGACATTGTACAGGGGTGAGGGAATGGCCTGAGCCGGAAATGCCCTGGTTTGGAATGGGGCCTGGGACGGGCCCCTCATGGCATTTCCCGAATTTAAAAGGAAAAGGCTCAAACGTAGCTATAATATTCCCCTGTTGATCTGGGGGGTGTATTCTAACAGGGAACTGCCAAGCCTCTATATCACCCTCTCTTCTAGCTTGCTGGATTCCCACCTGAATAGAACTGAGAGCGGTCGCTGGAGGCGCTGCTCAGTCATTGGGGCAACTACTTTTCACCCAGTGTCCTCTGGAAAAGAAGCATCTGGAGGGTCAGGCCACTCTTTTTCTTCAAAATAAGGATGGAGTGCAGAAGGGTAAGGATGAACCTCTCCCTCCTTTGCCGCTTTAGCTTTAGCTGGCAAACAAACCTGCTCTGTAACCTCTTCTGTTACTTCGTTATACTCCCCTTCCTCCTCATCATCAGTGTGAAAAGGTTCCAAGGTGGAATGAACCAGAGTCCACCCTTGTCCCATTGTTACCTTGATGCCTCCGAGCTCCCCTTCTTACTGACCATGGGGACTGCTTTAAGAGTACTCGGGTGTCCTCCAGCTTAGTTCCACGTTCTCCAACTGTCGCTCTGGTGATCCTTCGACCTGGATTCGAGCCCCCACGTATGGGCGCTGCTTGCCGAGACCAGCTTGGTCAGGGAGACACTAACCCAGTGGTGCTAGAGGAATTAAAGACACACGCACAGAAATATAGAGGTGTGGAGTGGGAAATCAGGGATCTCACAGCCTTCAGAGCTGAGAGCTTCGAACAGAGATTTACCCATGTATTTATTGACAGCAAGTCAGTGATAAGCATTGTTTTTATAGATTATAGATTAACTAAAAGTATTCCTTACAGGAAACAAAGGGATGGGTCAAAATAAAAGGATGGGTTTAGCTAGTTATCTGCAGCAGGAGAATGTCCTTAAGGCATAGATTGCTCATGCTATTGTTTGTGGTTTAAGAATGCCTTTAAATGGTTTTCTGCCCTGGGTATGCCAGGTGTTTCTTGCCCTCATTCCGGTAAACCCACAACCTTCCAGCATGGGCGTCATGGCCATCATGAATATGTCACAGTGCTGAAAAGATTTTGTTTACGGCCAGTTTTGGGGCCAGTTTATGGCCAGATTTTGGGGGGCCTGTTCCCAACAAAGTAGGTACCCATAATCATTCCTATTAAACAGATGAGTGTCTAAGGTCACAGCTGGTAAGGGGAAGAGCTCCACTGGAGTGCACTGATGTAGGTCAGTAGAATTGGTTTTGAGAAGATGAGAATTTCCCATTTTCTTATATCTTCTATTTCTCCAATGAAATAGAAATATTTCACAATCCTAAGAGGGAGGTCATACATCAGAAAATGTTAAATATTCATTTGTGCTTGGTGTCATGCACTTAAATGGTTAGCAGTAAAAAAGCCTAGAGTCTGGGGTCAGATTAACAGAGTTGAAAACCTGGCTTTGCTACTTACAGTAGTGTGACCTTGGACATATGAATAAAGCTCTCTAATCCTCAGATTTTCACCATAAATGGGGATAATTGTACCTACCTCACTAGATTGTCATGAGGAATATATGAGATTATTTTTAGCATTGTCTCATATGTGGTTATACTAGCTATAAATGTTGCCTTTTATTACTACTCTTAAAGTTATTGTTATTATTATTATCACTCCACTCTGCCCAGTTTTGTGATTTTCTATGTTAGTACATGGCTTCAGGCCCAGAGAAGATAGAGGGTTATGGATTTTTCTTTTTTTACATGAGTGTAATGGAGGGAGAGAGTGGCAAAGAAATGAGAGTAGTGACTAGAGAATAATGGTCTACTTTAAATAGCCAACACATTGTGTTTTAGCATTCAACCAAAACAGAATTAAAAATCTACCTAATTGTATTAAATTGCTGTGCTTGACAAACTCCTATTTCAAAGTAATAACTTCCAAAAATGACGTTTTCACCATTTCACATTAAGTACACACCATAATCGTTATACTTCTAAGCCTTGATTATGTGCAAATGTTAAGGACATTTTTTTTCTTATTATAAAAATATATACTATGTTAAAGTATTATAAACTCATTATAAGATTATTTTCCCCAGTAAGACATTGCTGAAATCTAAATGTTTACAATAAGTCAGTTGTTCACTGATGTTTAAATTCAACTTTGTAGTCCCACTTAAATTAAAATCCAGGCCAAGTGCAGTGGCTCACACCTGCAATCCCAACTCTTTGTGAGGCAGAGGCAGAAGGATCACATGAGGCCAGGGGTTCGAGACCAGCTTGGGCAACATAACAAGATCCCCTCTCTACAAAAGAATAATAACAATAATTTAAAAAATTTAAATTCTGACCAGGTACAGTGGCTCACACCTGTAATGCCAGCACTTTGGGAGGTCGAGTTGGGCAGATTGCCTGAGCTCAGGAGTTTGAGACCATCCTGGGCAACATGGTGAAAGATTGTCTCTATTAAAAATACAAAAGAAAAAATTAGCTGGGCGTGGTGGCATGTGCCCATGGTCCCAGCTACCTGGGAGGCTGAGGTGGGAGAATAGCTTCAGCCTGGGAGGTAGGGACTGCAGTGAGCTGAGATCGCACCACTGCACTTCACCCTAGGTGACAAAGTGAGACCCTGTCTGAAAAAAAAAAAAAAAAAAAGCCAGTGTTACTTAAGTACAGTCATACAAACTAAGCTGCTACTATAAAATCATGTTTTTCTTTAAAACTGTGAACATACACTGCCCCACCTGGATTGTTTGCACATTAAAGTTTTACCATTTCATAGATTATTTTTAATTGCTTCAACTCATTACTCTTTGCACAAACCTTTAGAATCAGAGTTTATTCACATTTTCTACAACTACTTTTTACATTTCTTATATTCCCAATGGTCTTCATTTGTGCTATATTTGAAATGAAAGGATGAACAATTTACTTTTAGTTTGTGAAGAGAGGAAACCCACATTTCCTAATTAGTGTCCAATTTATTTATATAGTTGATTCTACATGTAAAATATTAGGAACACATTAAAGCAAACTTTAGCATTACATATGTATGTATACTTTCTTATGTCACATTTTAATTATAGAATTGTTTTACTTGAGCAGAAAACATTTGTAAGTTGATTTAAATAAAAATATGTTATCTAATATATTAGCCAAAAGTGCTAGTAGTTCTGTTATATAATACATTGGCTAAAAATGCACCTGCTACTACATTACAGACTATGGGACTTCCAAACATCAGAAGAGAACTTTGGATGTGCAATTCTGGAAATAACAGAATTAGCTTAGAGCACCCTCCTGTTTTAAAAGACAGTGAAAGACTTAAAGCCTGTGAATTGAATCAGAATAAAGGAATGAAGTGAGCCACTCATCTTTATTCATTTTCCCCATGGAGTCAAAGAAGAAATAAAAACAAAGCTGAAATCATTTTTTCTTTATGCTGGTGTTGGCCAAATTAATTTTTGGTTACAAGGTTTCTAATTAGCTTTTTTTTTTTTTTTTTTTTTTTTTTGACAGAGTCTTGCTCTGTCACCAAGCTGGAGGGCAGTGGCGCGATCTCAGCTCACTGCAATCTCCATCTCCCGGGTTCAAACAATTCCCCTGCCTCAGCCTCCCAAGTAGCTGGGACTATAGGCATGTGCCACCACTCGCAGCTAATTTTTTGTATTTTTAGTAGAGACAGGGTTTCACCATGTTGGCCAGGATGGTCTCGAGATCTCTTGACCTCGTGATCCACCTGCCTCGGCCTCCCAAAGTGCTGGGATTACAGGCGTGAGCCACTGCACCTGGCCTCTAATTAGCTTTGAGTAATGGATCCCCCTGCTGAAGCTGGTCATCCTATCCATAAAATATATACAAATATTGTAGTACAATT
The DNA here is from genome assembly GCF_000001405.40 of Homo sapiens. Taxonomy (NCBI): domain Eukaryota; kingdom Metazoa; phylum Chordata; class Mammalia; order Primates; family Hominidae; genus Homo; species Homo sapiens. The sequence continues at coordinate 183,056,491 of NC_000002.12, forward strand.
TTAAATAGTTTATGGTTTCGTTAAGACCATATAAAGCTCCAGAGACCCTAGATTTGAAACCACTATGCATTGTAATGAGTCTATCAAAAATGGCATAACAGGAGCGATTGTATACCCTGGTAATCATGTGCTAAGCATCCGGGTTTAACCTGGCATAAATGTTAAAAAGAAAACTTTCTATGCCGGGGGCGGTGGCTCATGCCTGTAATGCCAGCACTTTGGGAGGCTGAGGCGGGTGGATCACCCGAGGTCAGGAGTTTGAGACCAGCCTGGCCAACATGGTAAAACCATGTCTCTACTAAAAATACAAAAATTAGCTGGGCATGGTAGCGGGCACCAGTAATCCAGCTACTCAGGAGGCTGAGACATGAGGATTGCTTGAACCTGGGAGGTGGAGGTTGCAGGGAGCAGAGATCACGCCACTGCACTCCACCCAGGGAGACAGAGTGAGACTCCATCTCAAAACAAACAAACAAAAAAACCTAAAGCTTTTTAGAATGTCATCTGGATCTGTAAAAGAGCCTCTTTCCTAATGAGTTCAATGCATTACCCTATGGCAATCTTTCCATGACAGTAATAGGGTAGCCTCTGTTATCAACATTTTATCAGGACTAAATATTCCACTGTAGATCATTTACTCAAGTTCTCTCTTTATCTGCCTCCCTCTGGCTGCCAAGACCTTTGGCACCTCCAACAGAGGGTGGGAAGGAGAACTGAAAACATGAGACTCAAATTGTTTTGTTTTGCTTTCATTTGAACACCTTAACTAAACAGTTTTGTATAAAAGAAGAAATGGAAACTGCTGATTACCAAAAAGTCTTTTAATGGTCTGCAAGTTATCATTTGTCTACATATCCCTTTTTCTTATTGTTATAAGTAATAAAGGGTTGGATGTTTCCTTAATGAAATGTACAGTGTTTTAAAGAAATCCTGTGGCTTCTGCACATTACATAAGCCATAGTTAGTCTGCCTCAGAATGATTGCAGAAATATTGTAAATTTAGTCTCAGAAACTGGCTGCTAATGTAGGCCCAGCCAGCTTTTCAGCTTTCAAGACTGCTCTGTGTAAAATAGCACATTTGGAAATCTGTTGCTGCTACACCCTATTCATACCATACCCTGTTCCTAAGAAGTAAAACTTAACATGAAGAAGAAGCATAAGATATGTGAAAGGGTCACAAAAATGAAAGAAGCAACAGGTTCTAAAAATATTTGGTATTGGTTCAGCGTTCAAATACCTAGACATTAATGTCTTTGAGTGTTGACAATATTCTCTCGTTGGCAAAATACCTCTTCTCTTGATTTCAGTGCTAGCTGGCAAACTCCCATTCCACGGATGTACAACTGGCATCTGTTTCATACTGCTTTTGTTTTTGTGAGAAAAAAGTTAATATAAGGTAAATATCACCACCACCACCACCACCATCATTATTTAATGTTAAATATCAGCTTGACACAAAGCAATGGACTTGACTACAATTATCAGAGTTAGTTAAACTGCCTCAGATTTTTTGTGGAATGAGGTCATGTGAAAATATAATCAAACACTGTACTAGAAATAAGGAATTTTTTTCCTTCTCTTCATGGGAGACAGATTAGCTTAATTCATGTGAAATTGTTTCTTTTTCTCTTATGTCCTTTTCATTTCAAGAGGTATTCCTACCTTTAGTGGGAAGGGTTTTTTTTTTTTTTAATTTTGATTTGTTTTGTTTTGTTTTGAGACGGAGGCTGCCTCTGTCTCCCAGGCTGGAGTGCAGTGGCACGATCTGTGCTCACTGCAACCTCCACCTCCTGGTTTCGAACAATTCTCCTGCTGCAGCTTCCCAACTAGCTGGGACTACAGGCACCTGCACCACCCTGCCTGGCTAATTTTTGTATTTTTAATAGGGGCGGGTTTGAGATGGCCAGGCTGGTCTCAAACTCCTGACCTCAGGTGAGCTGCCCACCTCGGCCTCCCAAAGTGCTGAGATTGCAGGCATGAGCCATTGCATCTGGGCTTTTAAAAAACGTTTTATGTGAAATCTCGTCTCTACTAAAAATACAAAAAATTAGCCGGGCGTGGTGGCAGGTGCCTGTAGTCCCAGCTACTCGGGAGGCTGAGGCAGGAGAATGGCGTGAACCCGGGAGGCAGAACTTGCAGTCAAAAACACAAACAAACAAAAAAAACATTTTTATTACAGAGAATTTCAAACATGAAAAGAGTAAATAGAGGAGTATATTAACTTCCCATGTAATGATCACCCAGCTTTGACACTTAATGACATTTTTCCAAACCTGAATGTAAAGGTTTTGTCCGTAATCTAAACCAGAACTCTTATTTATGCTAAAATAATACATTAGAATAAAAAATAATATAATAGAAACTCTTTTTGTTTTCTTTTTTTTTTGTTTTGAGACAGAATCTCGCTCTGTCCTCCAAATTGGGGTGCAGTGGTGTGATCTCAGCTCACTGCAACCTCCACTTGCCAGGTTCAAGAGATGCTAGTGCCTCAGCTTCCAGAGTAGCTGGGACTACAAACGCACAGCACCACTCCCAGCACAATTTTTTTTTTGTTTTTTGATACGAAGTCTTGCTCTGTCGCCCTGGTTGGAGTGCAGTGGCTAGAGTGCAGTGGTGAGATCTCGGCTCACTGCAACCTCCGCCTCCCGGGTTAAAGCGATTTCCCTGCCTCAGCCTCCTGAGCAGCTGGGATTACAGGTGCACGCCACCATGCCCAGCTAATTTTTGTATTTTTAGTAAAGATGTGGTTTCACCATGTTGGTCAGGCTGGTCTCGAACTCCTGACCTTGTGATCTGCCTGCCTCGGTCTCCCAAAGTGCTGAGATTACAGGCGTGAGCCACCACGCCCGGCCAATTTTTTTTTTTTTTTTTTTTTTTAAAGACAGGGCCTTGCTATGTTGCCCAGTCTGGAATACACCAGCTATTCACAGGCTCACTGTAGCCTTGAATTCCTAGCCAGAAGCAGTCCTCCCTCCTCAGTCTCCCAAATAGTTGGGACTACAGGTGTTGAAAGCTAGACATTTTCACATTTCTTAATGGTAATTTTTATCAACATTTTAAAAAGAAGAGATGGTAAGAACAAATATCAAAGTGACACTCTTGGCAATAGCCAAACCAAGGGGTAAAACATGTCTATCAAACTGAACTTAAGCTAACAGCATGTGATATCATAATTATATGAGTAGTGCTTCCTAAATCCTGGTTTCTTCGAGAAGTAAGAATGTACCCAATGCTTTCATTTTGCTGAGTCACCATGTGGAAAGAGAGAAAAATCAACCACTTACTGAATGAATCACTTTGTTTTTCTTCTAAGTAATTTGCTCTTCTTTAAGAACTGGCAGGCATGAAGCTACCAGGACTTGTGCTACCTGTCTTGTCAACAGTAATACTCACCCAGGGATTACAGAAATGCTTTTAATAATAACATAGATCAGACACAATCTAAATTCTCATAGTAGGAAAGAGTTACAGGAGTTATATAGTAAACCTACACCAAGAAATTTCGTAGGAATTATATGCCAATGAAAGAAAATGTAGGTAGGCAGGTCTTAGTAATGTATATCTGCCTCTTTAAAGTGTTCTAGGGTCATAACCAAAAAGATTATGTAATTCAGACAAATGGGCCTTCTGAGAGGTATATCCGTTCTTGGTCTGACAAGGGATCAGGACAAGACAGGCATAGTGATCTCAAGTCCCACTTGGCCTGTGGACAATGACTGATTGGGTTGGACATTTGAGGTACAAAATCCAGACTAATTTATGGGAACCAAAATAAAGTTGCACTTGAGCTGTTTTACATCTTCTGTGGCACTTTGATGGAAACCATGCACTGAAGAGCCCATTGCCTAAACCATCCCATTCATAGGCATTCTATGGTGCTGCTCTACTGTTTTAAAGTCCCCAACATTCTTTGCTTTAGCCAAAAAATGTAGTGGCACTGACTGCAGAGGGTGGCTTTTTAAATATACTTACGTCCAAAAGGTAGATGCAAATGCTCCAGACCCCCCTTTCCCTTTGTTAGCACGGATTAGGTCAGTAGGCAGCCTTGTATTGAGGAGGAAGGTGTAAGAGGAGTTAGTCTGTTTAGGGGTGGGTCTGGTGGGGTCTGGGGTTGGGAAAAGAATAACAGCGATAGTCTTGGTCTGGCCAGAATGTGCTGTAAGAAGTTCCCTATGCCCTGATAAGAGAAGGAGGAAGTTCTCTGTAAGGTCCTCTGAGCTGGTCGCACCATGGTCGAGCCATCGTGACATTCCCCCGCCCTTGTGATAATGTACTTTGTGATATTCCCCAACCTTGTGAATGTACTTTGTAACATTCTTCCCCACGCTTGTGACAATACACACTCACCGCCCTTGAGAATGTACTTTGTAACATCCATCCCCCGCCCGCAAATAATTGCTCCTGACTCCACCGCCTATCCCAAACCTATAAGAATCAACGATAATCCCACCACCCTTCGCTGATTCCTTTCTCAAACTCAGCCCACTTACACCCAAGTGAATAAACAGCCTTGTTGCTCACACTAAGCCTGCTCAGGTGGTCTCTTACACGGACAGGCATAACATTCTCCTTCCCTGAAGAGAGCAGAAGGAGAGAACTTATCAGCATTCAGGAATGCTGTGAGAGAAGATGTGGCACTCCAAAGGCAGGAAACCATTTCAAAGAAATGTGCTCAGAGTTGGGCGGTCAATAAGGATTGCTTTCAAAGGAAAAAGATGGTGTCACAATTCTGCCAAAGCCTGCTCTGAAAAAAGGTTTACCCTTATAAAAATAAAGGGGCTGGGCGTGGTGGCTCACGCCTGTAATCCCAGTGCTTTGGGAGGCTGAGGTGGGCAGATTATGAGGTCAGGAGATCAAGACCATCCTGGCCAACATGGTGAAACCCTGTCTTTACTAATAATACAACACATTAGCCGGGTGTGGTGGTGCACACCTGTAGTCCCAGCTACTCAGGAGGCTGAGGCAGGGGAATCACTTGAACCTGGGAGGCAGAGATTGCAGTGAGCTGAGATAGCGCCACTGCACTCCAGCCTGGAGACAGAGCAAGACTCCGTCTCAAAATAATTAATAATAATAATAATAATAATAATAATAAAATAAAATTTTTTAAAAAAAGGGCCTATCTTCTCCCTATCCCTCTAAATCTTGGAACATAGATAATTTAATGGCACTGGGAGTTGCAGTGTTAGGGGGAGTGGTAGAGCTACCAAACCCAAGTAGTCAGCTTTCCATTTCCCAGGAGCTGAAGAGGGCTGGGTAGAATCAGCTCTGCTTTTTACCATTCTCTTCATTGACATCTATTCTGCCCCTGTTCATTTGAGGTTCACAAAGGCTTTCCTGCTTTCTTAGAGGAGTCTGACATCAAAACCCCAGCAGAGCCAATGTGGAGGGGTATGTGAAGGATGAGCATCTTTAAAATTACAGAAAGTGGTTTTCCCCATTGTGAGAACACTTTTCAATCTATTCTCACTGGGAAAATTAAGATATTCTAAACTTTAAGAAAATGCTGTCAACTTTAATAGGAAAAAAAGACTAAATTATTTGGAATTTATGGGAATGCAATCCAGTTGTGATGGTAAATAGTTTTATTTGTTTTTTTTTTTTTTTTTTTTTTTTTTTTTTTTTTTTTTTTTTTTGAGATGAAGTCCCACTCTTTTCACCCGGGCTGGAGTGCAATGGAGCGATCTCGGTTCACTGCCACGTCTGCCTCCCGGGTTTAAGCGATTCTCCTGCCTCAGCCTCCTGAGTAGCTAGGATTACAGGCATGTGCCACCACACACAACTAATTCTGTATTTTTAGTAGAGACGGGGGATTTTCACCATGTTGGCCAGGCTGGTCTCGAACTCCTGGCCTCAGTCGATCCACCGACCTCGGCCTCCCAAAGTGCTGGGATTACAGGCGTGAGCCACCATGCCCGGCCCGGTAAATAGTTTTAAAAGTCTCTTTTATTTAACCTAACAAGGGGCAAAGATTGCCTAACTTAAGTTTCAGTTGTTTTTATTTCCCCTGCTTCCCTTCTCATAATGGTTTGAGTGGAGAAATCATAAAATCATAAGTTTAGACCTAAAAAAGTCCTTGGAGATAATTTCTTCCCCTTCATTTTACAGATAAGAAATCTCAGGCCTGACAAGGTGGCTCACACCTATAATCTCAATGCTTTGGGAGGCCAAGATAAAAGGATCATAAGCCCAGGAGTTGGAGACCAGACTGGGCAACATAGTAACACCCCCATCTCTAAAAATTAAAAAAAAAAAAGAAATTTGCCAGGCACAGTCGTGTGCACCTATAGTCCCAGTTATTTAGGAGGCTGAGGCAGGAGAATCCCTTGAGCCTGGGAATTCAAGGTTGCTATGAGCTATGATCTTGCCACTGCACTCCAGCCTGGGTGACAGTGAGACCCTGTCTCAGAAAAAAAGAAAAAAAAGAAAAGAAATCTCAGAACAGATAAATAGCTAAATGTAGGAAGTCAAAAAGTTGCAGGAGAGACATTAAGTATAGATAATTCATAAAATAAAAATCAGATCCACGAAATCCTGAGTTTGTTGTAGAAAATGTCATTACACTTAACAATATTTTCTCTGCAGATCTGGATATGTGTTTGTTGTCTCTATTTTTGTTGGTTAAAGAATGGATCAAGGTTTTACAAAATTGTTTTTTGCTGCCACAGTGGAAATCTACAAAAATGGGTAATAGGCTATTTTGGGACCATTGTTCAGAAGTGCATTTATCTTAGAAATGGTTACCATGGAGATGAGCACACGTTGTGTGACTCTACAGCTTGCAAGTTAGAGTCATCCATGCTAAGACATAAATAGCTATATTATTACACACAGATGCACAAGAGCTCGTGAACACATGCACAATAAAGTTATGTTGTTCCTCTTTTTGTAAAATAATAATAAAATTCCATGTAGTGCTGACATTTGGTGGTGGAAGGGCCTGCACATCTTAGACATTTTAAAATGTAATATTGTATGATGATATAAAAACCACTTTTTAAAAACACCATAAAGTAGTCTGAATCAAGTTTAAAGAGTAACAACATACTTAACAAGTAAAATAAATGAGAGCATGTTTCTTAGACATCACTGCTTCTTAAAGTAGAAATACAAAAAAAGTAAAAAACAAACTCAGAAAATATTACAAAAAGTTCTTGAGTTATTTTTCCCAAAGCACTCAATATTGGGCATAGGTATTTACCTAGTTTCTCTCTCCCTCTCTGGCTAATTAAGTACTTTCTCTTTTTTTCTTTCTTTCTTTCCCTCTTTCTTTCTTTCTTTCTTTCTTTCTTTCTTTCTTTCTTTCTTTTTCTTCCTTCCTTCCTTCCTTCCTTCCTTCCCTTCCCCTTCCTTCCCTCCTTCCTTCCTTCTTTCTTTTGTTTCCCTTTTTTTTTTTTTTTTTTTTTTTTTTTTTGAGGCAGAGTCTCACTCTGTCTCCCAGGCTGGAGTGCAGTGGCGCGATCTTGGCTCACTGCAACCTCCCCGCTTCCCGGGTTCAAATGATTCTCCTGCCTCAGCCTCCCAAGTAGCTGGGACTACAGGTGCTCCCCACCATGCCCCGCTAATTTTTTGTATTTTTACGGGGTTTCACCCTGTTAGCCACCAGGATGGTCTCAATCACCTGACCTCATGATCCACCCGCCTCGGCCTCCCAAAGTGCTGGGATTACAGGCATGAACCACTGCGCCTGGCCTTGTTTCCTTTTTCCACTTGGACTTTTCTTTTTCTTCAGGAATTTTTTACCCTCTGTGTCCCCAGGCAGCTGCATCACCCTAGAGAGGTCAAAATGGTCACAGCACCATGGAATGCTCACTGGCAGACCGAAAAAGCACCCGCTGGATGCTGAGGGAGTCTGCAAAGAAAATAAAGGTTTTAACATTTCAGTGATCACTTGCCGAGATCACAAAGGCATATATTCTGATAAAGTTAATTTGCTTTAATATTTTTACCTTTTTCTTTACATTTTATAATGGATGTTTTCAAATTTTCAAACAAAAAATGAAAGGATAGTAAAATTAAGCCCTCTCCCAGGTATCCGTCACCCAGCTTCAATACTTATCAACATATGGCTTATTCTGTTTGGTTTACAACCCTCCTTCCCCCATCGTTTTAAATCAAATGCAAAACATCATAATAACAATTCTTTTGAATAATTGAACTAGTCAATAAGAAATCTTTTTTCCTCCACAATTTGGAGTTTTTTCTATTTTCCTTGGAAACTTCAAAGGCTTCATTGTGTATAGGGTGCAACGCAGGGTACTGAATTCAGTAGTGTAAACAATAATAACTATAATAATAATAGTAATAATAATAATGCTTTCTCCATCATGCAAGTGATTAAATACACCAATGATTTAGCCACATTTAGCTTTGAAGCTACATGCCATCATTCATCTATTTCTTTTCTTGTGTGAAAAGAAATCTTTTCTCATGCACCAGAGTTAATTTTTTCAAGACTAATTACTGCATATGTATTTAAACACATCTTTAAAGTAAGCCATGTACTTTGACTTGTTTTATAGAATCACAAGAAATATACATAAAATAAACAAAATACATGTTTTCTGCTTTTTTAAGACAGTGATTTTAACACATCTGATTAGTAAACAAACAACCTATAATAGCTAAAGAGTACACAAAAAGTACAACTATAAAAAAACTAATCATCTTTCACAATCTTTTCATTAAAAATAGCCATGTATGGGCGAAGTGGGTTGGCTCACACCTGTAATCCCAGAGCTCTGGGAGGCCGAGGTGGGCAGATCACTTGAGGCTGGGAGTTCGAGACCATAATGGCCAACATGATGAAACCCTGCCCTGTCTCTACTAAAAATACAAAAATTAGCCCGGGGTGGTGTCACGCGCCTGTAATCCCAGCTACTCAGGAGCTCAGGAGACTGAGACGGGAGAATCGCTTGAACTCGGGAGGCGGAGGTTGCAGTGAGCAGAGATGCACAACTGCACTCCAGCCTGGGTGACAGAGTGAGACTCTGCCTCAAAAAAAAAAAAAGTCACATATGATTTCTCAGTATTTGCTGCCATTTTCAAACTTAGGCATCATGTAGTTTTAGAGATAAAATCAACAAAATACAAAACGTAGGTCAGCAAAAAAGCTGATTATATAACCTTGATTTGCTTTCATTTTAGTACTCTTATCACACTGCCTTCTAGAATTTCAGTACTGAATAACTTGTGAAGTTTTTCCCCCAAATTTGTCCATCTAATATGGCTTATTCTCAAATGAAATATTATTTATCAATGTATTAATAATTAGATCCACGCCTTTAAAAATACATATAAAGTTTTAAAATCTTAATCTTTTAAATCTGTCTCAGGAAGTAAAAGATTTTTAATGTAGAATGAGAGACCCCTCAGAAATCAGAAAAAACATCTTTTCACTCTACATAGCCTCATCCAGGTTAATTAATATGTCTTTAAATAACCATTGTTTGAAAAGAGTTAGCGTTTCACCTTTATGTATAGCTCTAGTGCTTCTAGCATTTAACTATTCATCCTTATAAAATATCTACATAAATAGCTCCAGGAAAATATACAGGTTTTTAGGAACATTTCCAAGAAAAAAGTTACAGGGGACTCCTGACTCAATTGAAAAAGAAAGGATTCAAGATTAAAAAAGAGACATGTCATATTGTATTGGACCAGTTGATTATTCTAAATAATACTGACACTACAATAAATTTTGAGGGACAGTGCTATAGCTTTCTAATTCATCAATTACAAATCCAGAAATAGGGATGCTTTCCTTAGTTGATGTATAATCCAAACATCTTCTCAGCTTGTTGGATACTATTCTGTTGCTGTCTCTACCAGTACATAAGACAATGCATTCAATAACTTCATTACCCACCATATCCTTTTAGTTGACATAAAAGTACTTCTTTTAAACTTCAAAACATGTTCCCTATTATTTTTAATATCCTAGGATTTTATTAACTTCGTTCACATTATCCATATTATTCCTGATTCTTTAAAGTAATTTGATCATATTTCTTCCCAGCTTTTCATTATTTTAAATTAAAAAGTCATATATGTTTTATATAAATAAGTATTATTAAAAATAGCATTTTAAAGAAGGAGGATAGATTTCTAGAAGAAGGTAGGGAGGTCAACATTATCTGAAAATGACACTCTGGAAATGAATTTTCTGTCATGGACACTCTAGCAGTTTCCAGACACAACCTCCAGCTGCCTCTAGTTATATGCCATCGTATCTTTTCAAGCTCTTTAATTTGGCAGCTCTTCTACCACCCTATTGAAGCTGTTCTATGAAAAATGATCAGCTGATCTCATTGTATCATGTCAATTTAACTTGTCTTCATTCTCTGTATTCTGACTTCTCTGTAACTTTCTACAACATGGAATAACTTTTTCTTTTTTTTGAAATTCTATTTACCTTTGAATACATGGTCCAGGCTTTCACTGGTTTCTATAACTTCTCTTTATCTGTTTTTTTTTCATGTTTCATTTGTTTTCAAGACTCCAAATTTTGTTCCCTAAACCATCGTCCTTTCCTGGGCTTTCTGGAAACTGGCTCCTTTGAGAAGTTCATATCTTCTCATTCAACCATCATCTTTATGTGAATGACCTCAACTCAACTCAGATATCCTGGCTTTATCACTCACTTATTCATCCATCCATGAAATATTTATTGAAGGCTTACAATGTGGCAAGCACTAAATAGATAAGTTGGGCTCCTCAGCACCCTAGAGAAACACAGCTCATAGTCCTTATAACACTAGTGTCCAGATTTCCCTAGCTAGAAATTGTCAAGTCATTTTTGATGAGCCTTTTTCTTTAATCCCCAAATAAATTTTTTAAAATAAGTTCTCATTTATTTTATTAAAAATTGGCTTTTGTTTGGGCCTGGTGACTCAGGCCTGTAATCCCAGCATTTTGGGAGGCTGAGGCAGGAGGATCACTTGAGGCTAGGAGTTAGAGACTAGCAAGGGGAAACACTGTAAGATCTTGTCTTTACAAAAAATTTTTAAAATTGTATTTTTTTTTGTTTGTTTTTTGAGACGGAATCTTGCTCGGTCGCCCAGGCTGGAGTGCAGGGGCACAATCTCGGCTCACTGCAAGCTCTGCCTCCTGGGTTCACGCTATTCTCCTGCCTCAGCCACCCAGGTAGCTGGGACTACAGGCACGCACCACCATGCCTGGCTAATTTTTTATATTTTTAGTAGAGACAGGGTTTCACCATGTTAGCCAGGATGGTCTTGATCTCCTGACCTCGTGATCCACCCGCCTCGGCCTCCCAAAGTGCTGGGATTACAGGCTTGAGCCACTGTGCCTGGCCAAAAATTGTGTTTTTTAAAAGTACTTTATAGGTCATCATTCTTATGGGCTTCAACATGATTCAAGTTGTCAAATCCCTTGTACCTGCATTACTATCTTACTTTCCTGATTGGTCCTCTAACTTATTTTCTTCAGCTTGTATAATATTTTTTATCATGTTATTCTTAATGTTTATAAAACACTATAAGCCCAAAAATCTCCATCTGGTTTTTGAAGCTTACATAATCTAGATCGACCATGCTGTGTAAATTTTATTTCCAACATGCACCCTTCTTAAAGCTCAGATGTTTCCCCACAAGTATGTGTTATTTTTAACTTCTATACTTTGCTAATACCTGTGACTTTTTTTTTTCTGGGTTGATTTTTTTCCTCTTCCAAATGGAATTGTAAACACTTGAATGTCAGAATCTATTTTTAATTGTTGAATTGTATCAATTCTAAAATGCACATTTCTTACATTATTACTTCCTGAAAATGAGGGTGTATCTTTTAATCAATAATGTCTTAAACATTTTAATACAGTTCAATTCGTAATGTTTATTTATTTTTTTTTTCATGGTACATCAAATAGTAGTGTCTCATAATCAATGGCATTTTAAATTCAATGAAATGCCTTTTTTTTTTGCACCTTGATAGTCTTTGATGGAGTATTTAGCTCATTGCAGATGCTCCAGAAATGTTTGTTGGTTGATTCTATGGTTTTAAAGCATAAGTGGCTGCAATAAAGATAACCTGCATGTCTAGCATATACCTAATTTGAAAATTCAATTTTAACATGATTTGTTTTTTGAAGTGAAGTAGAAAAATAATTAGATAAATATTGATGGCAGCAATGGCCCATGTGGAGCAGCAGCTGTAAAGATGCTGGCTGCAGGAGGGATAGGGGGTGGTGGCCGGGGTTGTGTGTTCTGCAGGACAGCATGAGCCAGGAACAGGTGTGAGCCCTGCCCTCTACTAAGTTGGCAAGGCAGGAGCACCGCACTCCCAGGCACAGCTGCAGCTGCACAGCTGTGGCTCTGAACCCAGAAAGGGTTCTTACAAGCTCAGAAGTGCCTGCTGTCTGGCCTCCTACTGTCTGGCCTCTGTCTGCTCCTGGTGCCCACTCTAGTGCAAGCCTGGGTGCTGTCACAACCCAGCCAGGTGTGCACGTGCTCAGGCCAGTGCTGACATGCCAGCCCCCTGCCACCTTAGCCCTCTTGGGACTTTGGGTACTGACAATCATGGGAAGGAGGTTGGGGGTGCTGAGGGAAGCTTGGCGTGGGCCTGCAGGCACCATTGGGCACTAACAGCCTGGGCACTGTGGATAGCATGTTGATGGCAGAAGGCAGACAGGTTCCTGGGTGGAAAGGGGCAGGTCCCTGGTGAAGCTCCACCGTCAAGCCAGGGGCCCCTTGAAGCATGAGGGCTGGGCTGTCAGTTCCAGGTAGAGTCTGCAGCCTGGAGTGAGAACTTATGGTGCATTTTCTGGTCCCACCCATGGCTGCCCATGGACCAATCAGCATGCACTTCCTCCCTTCTGAAGCTCATAAAAACCCCAGGACTCAGCCAGACTCTCAGAGACAGGATGACCTGTCTGCGAGTAGGAGCTACCCACTCTGGGTCTCATCTCTGCTAAGGGCTGCAGATTCAATGGGACAACCTGCCTGCAGAAAGGAGTTACCCACTTCAGGTCTCCTGAGAGCTTAATGTTGCTCAATAAAGCACCTCTTTGCCTTGCTCACCCTTCAATTGTCCATGTACCTCATTCTTCCTGGACACAGGACAAGAACTCAGGACCCACCAAATGGTGGGACTGAAAGAGCTATAACACAAACAGGGCTGAAACACTACGCGCCCCCGCCACTGCCTGCTTGCCAAGTTGTGGGTGACAAGAAGGGGAGAAGATTTGCCGCCATTTGGGGTGTTCAGACCTAGGGTCTCCCCAAGCCAGGGCTGTGACACCCTCTTTGGGGCTCTGTAATTTTTGGCATCTTCAAGCTTCTGGGCACCACCGTATTCCCCTCGTCCTCAGGTGCCCACAGTGGAAACCGCTTGTGATGCATCTGATCCAGCCACAGGCTTGCATGAAGCCAGAGTCTGTGCTGGCATCTGGAGCTGACTACCCCACTGCAGCAGCCGATGTGCCTGGCTGTGCACAGTGGCCTGACCCCCTACTTGCTCACTGACGCACCCCTCACTGCTCTGTGCCTGGCTCCAGTCTCTTCCGAGGCATGGGATCCAGTCTGGTAGCACGAGCTGAGCACAGCCTGCCAGGTCAAGTGGGCAGAATGAGTCCGGCAGGCCAGAGAAAATCCTGGGCAAAGGCATCACCGACCACAGAGGTTTACAGCTGGAAGAGCGACACTCTAAGGATCCTGTGACAGTATGTGGAGACTACTTTTTAAAAATACCATGTATCACAATGAATAGAACTATAAATTTCTGGGTTTAGAAATTCTAAATTTCTGGATTTAAAAATTTAGAATTCTATTTATTGTGATATATGGAATTTTTAAAAAGTAGAAATAGAGTGCATCCCATGCTCTATTTCACTGAGCTTGAAAATATCTCACTTGTTTTGGGAAATGTGAGATTCTTAAATATTAGCACAGACATGCAAGGAATTGATATTTGAAAGGAAATGCAGAGAGTTTGTATATCTCGACTGGGCGCGGTAGCTCATGCCTGTAATCCCAGCACTTTGGGAGGCTGAGGCAGGTGGATCACAAGGTAAGGAGTTCAAGACCAGCCTGGTCAGCGTGGTGAAACCCTGTCTCTACTAAAAATCCAAAAAATTAGCCAGGCATGGTGGTGTGTGCCTGTAGTCCCATCTACTCAGGAGACTGAGGCAGGAGAATCGCTTGAACCCAGGAGGCAGAGGCTGCAGTGAGCAGAGATCACACCACTGCATTCCAGCCTGAGCGACACAGCGAGACTCAGTCTCAAAAAAAAAAAAAAAAAAGAAAGTTTCTATATCTCTGTTTGTATGACTATATACATATATATGTATTTGGCAGAGCTAGCTGAGGTTTTATTTTGGAAAAAAATAAAAGCAATTTGAATTGTTCTGTAGCTGGAGGCATGGATGGGCAAGGGGGCTCCCCAGGTAGTAAACTCCCCTGCGGACGGGCTGAGGGCTAGGGCTGAGGCTCAGGTGGGTCTCCCGTTCTCTGTGCTACTCTGCACAGCCGCCCCCCTCACGGGCTCTGGTGCAGCCACAGGAGGGGCAGGCTGGGAGGGGCTGCTGTGGCTGTTCACTTGGGCAGGACGTCAGAGAACTCTGACACCAGCGTCCCATCACGGGTCTCAATCTTCTTCACAACCACGGCCCTGGTGTAGCTGATGCAGCTGAAGGAACTGGAGCCCGCGCCAGAGCCAAAGCTGGAGCCCAGTCCACAGCTGAGGCCGGGGCTTGTGAGGCCCCCATAGGCCGAGCTCAGACCACCTGCATAGCTGCTGATGGTCTTTGTATGGATACTCATGCTCTGCATCCCAGACTCCAGCCAGCTCTCCTCGCCCTCCAGCAGCTGCCTGTAGGTGGCGATCTCAATGTCCAGGGCCAGCTTGTCGTTCATCAGCTCCTGGTACTAATGCAGCTGCAGCACCACGTCCTGCTTGGTTTGCTGCAGGGCGGCCTCCAGCTCAGACAGCTTGGCGCTGGCATCCTTAACGGCCAACTCCCCGCGCTGCTCCGCATCTGCGATGGCGGCCTCCAGGGAAGCCCTCTGGCCTTTGAGACCCTCAATCTCTGCCTGGAGCCAGCTGATGTTCCGATTCATCGCGGAGATCTCAGTCTTTGTATGCTGCAGGTCATCTCCGTGCTTCCCAGCCAGCGTCTGCAGCTACTCATACTTGATCTGATACATGCTCTGGGCCTCAACCTGGCTGCGGTTGGTGATCTCGTACTGCGCTTGACCTCATTGATGATGCTGTCCATGTCCAGGGAGTGGCTGTTGTCCATGGGCAGCACCACAGACGTGTCTGAGATCTGGGACTGCAGCTCCGGGATATCCTCTTCATACAGCTGCCTGAGGAAGTTGATTTCGTCAGTCAGCCCTTCCAGGCGAGACTCCAGCTCTACCTTGTTCAGGTAAGCTTCATCCACATCCTTCTTGATGAGGACAAATTCATTCTCCATCTCTGTACGCTTATTGATCTCATCCTCATACTTGTTCTTGAAGTCCTCCACCAGCCCCTGCATGTTGCCAAGCTCCGCCTCCAGCTTCAGCTTTTCCTGGCCCAGAGTCTCCAGCTGCTGCCTAAGGTTGTTGATGTAACTCTGGAATATGTGTCCATGTTGCTCCGAGCCGTCTTCTGCTGCTGCAGGAGGCTCCACTTGGTCTCCAGCATCTTGTTTTGCTGCTCCAGGAACTGTACCTTGTATATGAAGGTGGCAAACTTAGTGTTGAGGGTCTTGATCTGCTCCTTCTTCTGAGTGTGCACTGCCTGGATGTGTGGGTCCACCTCCAGGTTAAGGGGGCTCAGCAGGCTCTGGTTGACAGTGACGGTGGTGATGCCTCCCATGCCACTGGCCCCACCGTAGCCTCCTCCCAGGCCACCCCGGAAGCTGCTGCTGCCCACTTGGGAGAAGCTCGAGGAGCTGATGGAGGCACCAGGCCCACTTGTGTAGAAATGGCTGCTGAAGGCCCGGGGGCCAGAAGTGGACACCCTGTAGGACTTCTGGGTCGTCCTGATGGACATGGTGGAGGCAGGAGTGGAGGCAGGCAGGTTGAACCAGGTGGAGTTTCCAGAAGGAGTGGAGAAGCTGCTTCTTGGTCGACTTCTTATATTATCAATATAATACAAATAACTAAGGCCAGACTCGGTGGCTCACGCCTGTAATCCCAGCACTTTGGGAGGCTGAGGCAGGTGGATCACCTGAGGCCAAGAGTTGGAGACCAGCCTGACCAACATGGTGAAACCCCATCTCTACTAAAAATACAAAAAAAATAGCCAGGCATGGTGGTGGGCACCTGTAATACCAGCTACTTGGGAGGCTGAGGTGGGAGAATCGCTTGAACCTGGGAGGTTGAGGTTTCAGTGAGCCAAGATCACGCCACTACATTCCAGCCAGGGCGACAGAGCAAGACTCCATCTCAAATATATATATTTATATTTATACAAAACCACACATATATAAGCAAAAAATGTTGTGTAATCAAAATACTCCAGTAACAAATTTATAAATGAGGAATTGTATTCATGAAGAAAATTTACATTCAAACTTGTTTTAATTGAAATTTTTAAAAAGTCTTCTAAAGGATCACACAGGAAGCAGTTGCCATAATCATGAAAGGAATTTCATGGGTTGTTCTGTTTTGTTTTGAGACAAGGTCTCTCTCTTTGTCACCCAGGCTGTAGAACAGTGGTACGATTTTGGCTCACTGCAGCCTTGACTTCCTGGGCTCCAGCAATCCTCCTACCATAGCCCCCTAAATTGCTAGTACTACAGGTGCGTGCCACCATGCCCAACTACTTCTTTTGTATTTTTTTGCGGAGACTGGGTTTCACCATGTTGCCCAGGCTGGTCTCCAACTCCTGAGCTCAAGTGATCTGCCCACCTCGGCCTCCCAAAGTGCTGGGATTACAGGTGTGAGCCACTGTGCTTGGCCGAATTTTGTTTTTCTCTATATTCATTTCAGGCTGTGTCTGCATGTTCTTAGTGAAGTGCAGAATTGAGATTATTAACTCAGGCTAGAAATTGTAATGCAAAGAGGAGGATCTTTGATTATTTATGAATGATTTTTACCCATATAAGTCACATCTTAATTAATGAGGATTACATATTCCCATGGCAGATTTTATTATGTAACATGTCAGAGCATGTAATGTAGTGGGATAAAAGTGGATCTTAGAATTCAACAGACCAGTGGCTGGGCACGGTGTCTCACGCCTGTAATCACAGCACTTTGGGAGGCCAAGGCGGGCGAATCACCTGAGGTCAGGAGTTCGAGACCAGCCTGGCCAACATGGAGAAACCCCATCTCTACTAAAAAAAAAAAAAAAAAAATACAAAAATTAGCCAGGCATGGTGTCGCTTGCCTGTAATTCCACCTACTCAGGAAGCTGAGGCAGGAGAATAGCTTGAAGTCAGGAGGTGGAAGTTGCAGTGAGCTGAGATCAAGCCACTGCACTACAGCCTGGGCGACAGAGCAAGACTCAGTCTCAAAAAAATCTTAAAAAATTAAAGAATTCAACAGACCTGAGACTAAATACAAAAGATCCACTGCTTACTACTTCATTTCGATTTAGCCACTTTATCTAAAAGTGAGATTTTTATGAGGATTAGAGGTAATGCTCAGAAAATGCCTAGCATAGCACTTCACATAGACACTCTAAATCTGTTAGGAGAGAAGAATTATATGGAGAACACAGGAACATATTCTAGGGTGTATTCACTTCACACTTTCCCCTTTTCCTCAGATCCAAGTCCCCAAGCCCTTGTAAGGATGTGCCCTTTCTTGCAGGACAATCTATTACCATTCATGTCTCAGCCTGGGAAATGCCTTCCCCAGGGGTGGAATGCTGTCTTCTCCCTCTGGCCTGGGTCTAATAACATTTTGCCTCTCATTTCTCTCCTGCCAGCACTCTAAGCTAGCTTTGTGTAAAGGATTTTTGCCCTTAAGGGACTTTTTGGAAAGCCGTACATTGCAGTGGAACGAGCATTGTATATTGAGTCAAGGGACCTGGGATTACAAGGGATATGAACTTGGGCAAATCAGTTTACTTTTCTGCACCTTGGTTCTTCTGCAAAATGTTGATATGAGTTGGATAGCATCTAGGTGTCAGGATATTAGCAATCAATGTTACTGCAGACATTAATATTCTAGTATTACCAGCAGGGACTGCAGCTATCAATGTATAACCAACAACTCTACCCATCCTCTACAGAATGATGTAGTGTAAAGAATATGGGCTCATGAGTAAGATAGAACTGTGTTCAACCTTGTTACTCAGATCTGTTACCTAACAGATCTGGACTGTGTGACCAAAGGCTATGTCCTTAGGTTCCAAGTTAAATGTCCTTCTTTATAAAAAGAGAATGGATGCCTATTTTATTAGGTTATCATGTGGATTGAATCAGATACTGTTTGTATATTCCTGGGACATAGATCTGTTCTTGTTGAAGGAGTCTTTAAATCCATTATAGTGCACAGTCTTTATCTTACTCAACACTATCAACAGCATATGACACAGCTGATCACATTGTGTACTTTAATACATTTTCTTTACTTGTACTCTCAGAACTCTCTCTCTCATTCATTTTCGTTCAACTCCCTGACCTCTCCTTCTTAGTCACTTTGGTATACATGGGGCTTCTCTATCAACCCTCACTACCAGGCCATCTCATTCAGCTCCATGGCTTTATATAGCATCTTTAAGCTGATTATTCCAGAAGTTGCATTTCCAGCAGATACCTCTCTTATGAAGTCCAGATTCATATGTATAGCTGCCCACTTGATATCTCCATTTGGCTGACTAATTGACATCTCCATTTGGCTGACTAATAGGAGTATTAAACTTAACAAGTCACAAACTTCTTCTCATATTCACATCACCTGTTTCTTGGTAACTGGCAAATCTATTCTTCAGTTGCTTAGGCTAAGAACTTTGGAATTATCTGAATCACCCCACATCAATCTACTAACAGATTCTCTTGGCATGATTCTCACGTATCCCTAGAATCTAACTACTTTTTACCTTCCCTCTGCTGCCGTTCTAGCGCAAGCAACTGTCATCTTCCATCTGGACCTCTGTAGTAGTCTCCTAACAACAAGCAGGAAAGGGAGCTTCCATCCTGCTCCCTTTCCTTGTAGCAGCCAGGAAGACCCTTCTATGGCATAAGCAATGTCATGTCACTTGTCATAGATTAAGTTTCCTGGAAGCTGACTGAGGTGGAGTTTAGCATGCAAGACTTTTCGAAGAGTGCCCTTGGGATCAACACTTGTGGAAGGGAAGAAGAAAGCAGAATTGGGCAGATAGAGAAGTCAAGTGGTTATACAGATCCAATGACAGGCTTAGCCAACCACGTGTTAGCTTTTTAGAGCTAGAATGATTCCTCAGAGTTGTTTCAAATTGGGCTAACATACAGATCTTTATGCTCCCTCATCAATCAGCCATGGATGTGGTCTATTCCATAAGGGACACAACCTCGGCAAAGCAGCCCTCTGCAGCTGCAGCAGTCCCTGAAGGGATTGTTACCAGTCAGCCAATAGTACACCCGGTAGTGGAGACAATAGGTATTCATTGAAGAAGGATCTGGGTAGCACAACACAGGATCCATCATATGACTCCTTTCCCTAGTTCCCTCCTGTGGCTTCCTATCACTCAGAATACAAGCCAAAGTTATTATCATTTCTCTCTGTCCACATCTCCTCCAACTCTTTCCCCTAATTCACTCCCTTAAAGCCAAGTTAGCTACCCAGGTGTTTCTTGAACCTCTCCATCTCCTACTAGTGCACTCCTGTTTCAGCACTTGGCATAGACAGTCCAAATCTGTCAGAAGATTTAGACACTTGGCTATTAAGCTATTCCCCCATATATCTACAGGGCTGGCTTCTGCACTTTATTCAAGTCTCTGTTCAATTTTCACTGTATCAGAAGTGCTTTCTCTTACCACCCTAAAACAAATAACACGCTGCCCTCTCACTCTGTTCCCTTATTTTGCTTGATTTTTCTTTTTTTAGCATTTAAATTATGACCGAACATGGTTATATGTATATTTGTTTCTTGCTCTCTCCACTTGGATATAAGATCCATGAAAGAAGGGACTTTGTTTTTATTCACTGCTGTATTTCCAATGACTATAACAGTGCCAGGCACATAGCTGATGCTCAGTAAATATTCGTTAACTGTAATTATTTTGGAAGCAGGGCCGTATTCTACAGTAAATAAAAGATAAGGCACTGGACTGAAACAAACATAGGTTTTATTTGTGATTCTAATCACAAATAGGGGTGAGGTCAAATATGATAATGTGTGTAAAGCATTGTTAAGCAGCTAAGGGATAATACTAAGAATCTAAAATTGTTTATAAGCGCAGTGCCTAGCATGCAGTGAATGCTTAATAGTACTTATTTTTTTGATCATTATTATGATAAATATATGGATTGATTTATGGTTAGAGTTGTTTTTTGATGAGCCTGTGATTGTTGTTTAAATGATGCAAATAATCTCTTCAGTTTTTCATTTTAGGACATCCTGTAGATAGCCTGAGCTTATATATATATATATTTTTCTCTCTCTTTCTTTTTCTTTTCTTTTCTTTTTTTTTTTTTTTTTTTTTTTTGAGACAAGGTCTTACTCTGTTGCCCAGGCTGGAGTACAGTGGCATGATCATGGCTCACTGCAGCCTCAACCTCCTTAGCTCAGGTGATCCTCCCACCTCAGCCTCCCAGGTAGCTGAGACTACAGGCACGTGCCACCAAACCTGGCTAATTTTTTGTATTTTTTAGTGGAGTTGGGGTTTCATCATGTTGCCCAGGCTGGTCTCGAACTCCTGGGCTCAAGCAATCCACCCATTTTGGCCTCCCAAAGTGCTGGAATTACAGGCATGCGCCACTGTACTGGGCCTATTCCTTTTTCAAGAGGGAGAAGTTTGGTTTATATCTCAGTTTGCTCAGGCTGCTCTAACAAAATGCCATAAACTTTGTTGCTTAAACAACCGAAATATATTTTCTTACAGTTCTGGAGGCTGAGAAGTCCAAGATCAAGGTGCTGGCCTATTCAGTTCCTGCTGAAAGCTCTCTTCCTGGCTTGCAGACAGCCAGCTTCTCCTTATGTCCTCATACTGTCTTTCCTTGGTCCATATAGGGGAGCAGGCAGATTTCTTTCAGTTCTCCTGAAGCCACTAAACCCATCATGAGGACCCTACCCTAGGGTCTTAGTCTAATCCTAAATTACATCCCAAAAGTCCCATTTAAATACCATCACCTTGAGGTTTAAAGCTTTAACATATGCATTTTGAAGGGACAGAAATAGTCAATCCATAACAGTTGAATTTTTTTATGTCAGAAAGTTTCAACAACAACACAAATTTTAATATGTGGTATTGGAAGAAAAGTTTTCATAAGTGCAACTTCTTCATTTTATATATGTGTTTATACATTGTGTTGAAATTCATTTAAAATTACATTTACTTTAATAGGGGTTTGAAAAATTTCTCTTTAAAGGAATCTTGTGATTTCTTTTGCAAAACTTTTTTTTGGTAATCAGAATCATCGTTCTATAATTTATTTATCTGTTTTACAAATTTGGATGCTTACACAATTGATTTTCTTAATTCTTCGTATGGATGGACTTGCTGCAATTCTTATTTAGGATGTATATTTACTGTATGAAATGAAAATGTAGGCTGAAAGTCAGAAAATAAATAAATTTTAAGCTCTTGTCAATCTACATATATGAGCATAAATTTTAAAAAATATATCTTTTTTCCCAGTTTATTTAAATTGTTGCCTCACAAATACGCACAACAACTTTATCTAGTAAACGTTCCTCTTGCATTAACAGCAAAAGCAGAAGGTGTGAAGGATACAGGAAGCGAGAAATAACTTTTAACGTCTGCTCTAGCCCTCCTGGACTAGCCTAAAAGCAGACAGGCAGGAAAGGCTTTGGGACATAGGGTGATTTGCAAGGTGACTCCGCCGGTCTCTTTCAAGCGGGAGCGATACACAGGTCAGCCCGGATCGTCCATGGTCACTGCCGTAAGTGACACTAACAGAATATATCAGAAAATCACTGCCTTTAAAGAACCAGGACATATCATTCCTCTCTCCAACGAAGTCTTATATTTTACCATTCTGCGTGTATTAGAAAGCTAAATTTAAACAGCAACAATAAGAAATCTTCCCCAGTGGATCCCTCGAGCCTTTCGGGAAAATGCAGGTTTCTGGCTGACAGGAAGAAGAAACAGCATCCAATCGGCACTTGTGTCTCAATGACCAATCAAATTTCGCCTTACATTGCATCGCTGGGATAAACGGAGCTGGACGACTCAGTCTCTTGGTCTGTGGCTGCTGCGGTTACCTGGATGGGCGAGCACCTCTGAGGCTGGCTTTGTTACCTGGGCAATAAGGGACTAGCAGTTCAGCCGTTTTCTATGCCTGCTGGATTTGTTTGTATTTGTTCCCAGCCACTGCTCATGTAATGTACTCCCTTAACCAGGAAATTAAAGCATTCTCCCGGAATAATCTCAGGAAGCAATGCACCAGGGTGACAACGCTAACTGGAAAGAAAATTATAGAAACATGGAAAGATGCCAGAATTCATGTTGTGGAAGAAGTAGAGCCGAGCAGTGGGGGTGGTTGTGGTTATGTGCAGGACCTTAGCTCGGACCTGCAAGTTGGCGTTATTAAGCCATGGTTGCTCCTAGGTGAGTATATCGACTTGCCACTAGATCATTGAGTCCTTTTAGCCAGATTACGTTCTCATTTTCCCCCTTTATGCGTAATAGTCTGTATTATCAGCTATCCTGCCGAAAAGCTGAACTGTTTCCTTTTTTGGATATGGAACTTCCATTAGCCAGCTAGAGCCGTTTCTGCCTCACAGTGTACCCATAAGAAGCATAGATGCTATTCTCGTAGCACTTGGCACTGCATATTTGAATTTTAGAAAAGCTTTCTTCCCGTTTCTCTAACTTCTCTGGAGAATAACACATTGATGTTGTGTTTTCTTGGCTTATAAAAAATACAGCTTGAAAAAAAAGGAATGAAAAAAGAATGTTTGTATCAGGCAGAACTACAAGTGACAATGGTTAAAGTTATAGAAAAGTTAATACTCGAAATAGTCCTGTGCTTGCTGGCCTGCGCAGCTCTTACAGACCGTGCGGAATACATGCCTCCTGTGGCCACGTCTGTTCATGGTGTCTGTTTTTGGAGTGTTTAAGAGAAGGAGATCTTAAGATCTTATGATTTATTTCGTATTATGGAAATACTGAGCCCCTATACAAGCATAGTTCACAAATAGCAAATGAAGCAAGGTTATAAAAGTGCAAACTTGTTAATTTGGCAAGAATATGGTATGGTGTTCTTAAAAAAATAGTCAAGAATGTTTTCAAGTACGTCTGAATTATTTCTATTTATGAATAGAGAAATTAAGACTTGGAAAGACTAAATGACTTATCACTATGCAGCTAAGGCATTCTTGAATAGAGAGAAGACTGAGAAATAGCCCAGGTGCTGTTCACCTAGTGTCTTACTCCTTTGAGGAATCCTGTGAAGTAGGGATTATCAGCTTTGTTTTACAAATAGAAACCAGGATTTAAAATTGGTGAAGTAATTTACACAAGGTAACACACCTGGTAAATAACAGACGTATGCATCAAGCCCAAGTCTGATGGACTCCTGCTGTCCATTGTTATACTAGGCTGCCTCACATAGACCAAGTTTTCAATCCTGCTCCGCCTCTAATTTACTAGATTAGCTGGTGCAAGCCATTTATCCTTTCTGGTCCTCCAAAAAGCCATTTGTAAAGATGAAGTAACAGTATCTGCTTATGTCATAGGATCCTCCTGAGGTTGTTGTAAAAGGTTTTTGATGCAAATCAATTGCAGTGTACATATAAGTTATTAAATATTATATGAATTGTTACATAGGCTGTCTTTAAATTCACCAAATAAATGTCTCTAACTAGTTTCTACAGTCCCGTGAAAAACTGTACCATATTCTTGTCACATTTACAGTGAAAAAGTGAGTTATTTAGGTAATCTGAAAAGTTCACCTAGGCCCTGCTCACCATATCTAGGAAAGAAAATACGTCCTGGCACATTTTTCAGTTATTTTGGCTTCCACTGTAGTAATCATGGCTTGGAATAATTATGGTAGAATTTTCATATATCATTCACCAATTTAGGGTCTTCATGAACTTTGCTTATTACTATTATTTGTGGACTTACCCAAAGTGAACTGATCAAGGTAGTGTTCTGAGATTGGGGTTGGAAACCTCCCCAGGATAGTGGGAGAGTCCTGGGAGGAACTTCTGAAACTAGCCCTAATAAGGTCTTCTCTGGAATGGGATACTTTCATCAGGAGCAACCTCCTCCCTTCTGAAAGCTCACCTTTTTCTGCCTAATTACAAGTGCCTCATTCCTAAAGGATCCATGGGTGGTTCCACCCGCAGTTCTTCTACATGAATGTTGAAAGAGTTGTTTCTGACCAGACTTAGTTTACGTCTGGGAGACTGGGGTTGTTTGCAGGTTGGTTCTAAGAGCTTCTTTCACCTCCTCAAAGCGACACAGCTTCCTCCCAGCATCGCATGCCAAACAACTTTTGGTTTGGGTGATGAATAAAGAAAATGAAGAGTTGTAAAAATGTAATCTTTTTTAGTTCGTAAACTCTAAAAAGTGACTGCATTTAAAAAATATTACATAGGCCCTCGAACCATTTAAAAATGGAGAAAAGATTTTAGACAGCATTTTTGTCCTAGGCTTTGAACATTATATATAGACAGATAATTATTTATTATTTATTTATTTATTTTGAGATAGGGTCTCAAAATAAATCCAGGGTGGAGTGCAGTGGCACGATCTTGGCTCACTGCAACCTCTGCCTTCCAGGCTCCAGCGATCGTCCCACCTCAGCCTCTGAATAGCTGGGAATACAGGTGCACACCACCATGCCTGGCTAATTTTTTTGTACTTTTTGTAGAGATGCGGTTTTACCATGTTGCCCAAGCTGGTCTTGAACTCCTGGGCTTGAGCAGTCTGCCCGCCTTGGCCTCCCAAATTTCTGGGATTACAGGCATGAGCCACCACGCCTGACTAAACCACCAAATTTCAATTATTTGAACCTATTTTTTCCTCTGGAGTTGGTTAGGGCTTTCTACATTAGAAAACAGAATTTTAAAAAAAATTATGAAGTATTTCAAATTTATAGAAAATTACAGAAACTAATAGACAATTATGTATATACCATTCAGCTTTAACAAATGTTAATATTTTGATAGGCTAACTTTTAAGTATAATAAAGCTGAATGTGAGCTCAGTAGCGAACCTGTAAGCTTGGTATTATCAAGAGGATATTGGCCAAACAGCATACTTGCTGGCCTTTCAGCCACCTAAAATCACATAATAAAAGTTGGCTGAATTCCCAGATGGGTAACTTAAAAAAAAAAAAAGTTTATGAAATAGAACCTAATTCAGGAAAGTAAAATACTTGAAATCTTTAAACTGTGAAACTCACTTTATTTTGACTAGTTATTCTCCATATGAACTTGCTTATTAACTAGAGCCAGTTTCCAAGTGTGGGAGATCTGGGAAGCCGGCTGTGACAGAAAGAGATTGTAGAAGGGCACAGCCCTAGTGATACATGGAGTGTGGGTGGGATCCTGCAGACCAACAGCATTTGCTCTAAGCTACTGGGTGTTCCCAAACCAGCTGGCACAAAGTCATCTTGTGGGTGTGTGGTTTTTGTAATATCCTTTTTTAAGTTACAAAATAAAGAGATGTTTATTGTAAAAAGTCAGAATGAGCATAAAGAAGAAAAAAAAATCACCTGCAACCCCATTGTTAACATTTTGTTCTATGTATACCTCCTTTCCATTTTTTAAGCATATACATATTTTTTGTTGTTATAAAAATGGATGATGGTATTTTGTAACCTGCTTTTATAACCAGATACATTGAGAACATTTTTCTTTTTTTTTTTTTTTTTTTTTTGAGACGGAGTCTCACTCTGTCACCTAGGCTGGAGTGCAGTGGCACGATCTTGGCTCACTGCAACCTCTGCCTCCCAGGTTTAAGCAAGTCTCGTGCCTCAGCCTCCTGAGTAGCTGGGATTACAGGCATGCACCACCATGCCCAGCTAATTTTTGTATTTTTAGTAGAGATGGGGTTGTGCCATGTTGGCCAGGCTTGTCTCAAACTCCTGACCTCAAGTGATCCACCCACCTCAGCCTCCCAAAGTGCTGGGATTACAGACAGGAGCCACCACTCCTGGCCAAGAACATGTTTCCATGCTATACATATTTTACCACATTTCTTCTTTCTCTCTTTCTCTCTCTCTCCCTCTCTTTCCCTTCCCTTTTGTTCGTTCGTTCGTTCGTTCCTTCCTTCCTCCCTCCCTCCCTCCCTCCCTCCCTCTCTCTTCTCTTGTCTTGTCTTGTCTTTTCTTTTCTTATCTTTTCTTTTCTTTTGTTTTCTTTCTTCTGGCTGTGTCACCGAGGCTGGAGTGCAGTGGCATAACCATAGCTTACTGTAACCCCGAATTCCTAGGTTCAAGGGATCCTCCTGCCTTAGCCTTCTGAATACCTGGGAATACAAGCATGCACTACCATGCCTGGCTAATTAAAAAAAATTTTTTTTCTATAGACAGGGTCTCACAATGTTGTTCAGGCTTACATTTCTTATTTCTAATGGTGGTAATGGCTGTATGTATTTCACTACACAATTATACCATTTTTTATTTAATGCAACAGCTATTATTGGGCTTTTAGTGTTCTTTTGTTTTTGTTTTGTTTATATTACAAACAATACTATGGTGAACATCCTTACAGCTAATCTTTGCAACATCTATAACTTTTAGGACAAATTTTTAGAAGTAGGATTTCAGAGTCCAGGAGTTTATGTAGGATGACTGTTATCAAATTGCCCTTCAGAAAGTTGGACTAAGGTCCTTCCAAGTTGTTGGTCTTTTTTTTTTAATAACAGAATTGCTGTAGAAATTTATATAAAAGTTCAAGATGATTATATTTGTGTTCAAGGTGGTATCATTTATTTCTTCTAGGGTCACAAGATGCTGCTCATGATTTGGATACACTGAAAAAGAATAAGGTAAAAAAATGCTTTAAGTCTGGCACCATATACACAGAATATTTTAATTGTTTTATTTAGGAAAAACTGTATTGGTCCATCTTTGGTATATTATGGAGTTTATTTGGTAACATTTTGGCTATCATTTCAATAGAGTTGAAAAATAATTGGCACATAATTCAAATATGTGGATCTGTAATCTGTCTTTCCAGTTTTACATTCTTCTTGATCTCCTTCATGTACCCTCATGAACCTGACCTTGGAGGCATGTCTTTCTTGCCTGTGTTTATGTAGTTCCTCTGTGTGGGATAGACTTTCCCTCATCTCTGCTTGTCCAAGACCTGTCCATACCTTAAGTCCCAACTCACATACCACGTCTTCTGTAATGCCATTTCCAGCCACTCTACTCCATACAACTGATGTGATTTATTACATATTTACTCAAAAGGATTTTTAGCCCTCTACCATTTTTTTGAGTACTGTTTCAGGTCATGGAATTGCTGTAGGTGAAGGAGTGCAAGAGATTCTTGTTCACTTGAAGCGTATGACCTAAGGGGCAGACAGAGAAGAGAGACAAGCAGCTACCGAACAGCGTTTGTGTGCTTTGATGGGGAAGTGCAGGGTGCTGTAGAAGTGCATAGGAGATGATGCTCTTAACCCATGTTTGGTTTGGTTTGTTTTTGGGGGGATAAGTGAGTCAGGGGAGACTTCCTGGAGGAAGTGATATTGAAGTATTTCTCTGAAGAGGCTAGGAAAGGAGTAGACAGCCTGTAATCCCAAGGCTTTGGGAGGCCAAGGCAGGAGGATTGGTTGACCCCAGGAGTTCGAGGTTACAGTGTGCTATGATTTTGCTACTGTACTCCAGACTGGGCGACAAAGCAAGACTCTATCTCAAAAAAAAAAAAGAAAGTAAAGTGTTCATACAGAATAAATGATATGTGTGAAGGCCCAGAAGCAAGAGAAAGGTGGATGCTTTCAGGGACAGAAAAGTTCAGTGACCCTGGAATAGAGAGTGTGAGAAAGAAGGGCACCAAGAGACAAGGCCAGAGAGAGAGGTAAGCATGAGCCAGATCACAAAAGGCCATGTAAGCCAAAGTTAGTTGTGTGGACTTGATCCAAAAGACTATGGAAAGCCACTGAGAAGTTACCCAGAGATGTAACAAGGTCAAATTTGCAGTTCAGAAAGATTTCTCATTAGAAGCAGTGTGGAAAATCGATTGGAGGGTTGCTCAAGTTAGAGATGGGGGAAACTGGTTATAAAGCTATTGCAGTAATCTAAGGAAAAGATGATAATGGCTGAGATTAAGATTTAGTGGAGATAGAATTAGATAGATGTGAGGGGTTTTTTAGAGGGTAGAATTCTTAAAATTTGATTACTTATGAGGCAGGATAGGGAGTGGGGCTAAGGGAGAAGGAGGAGTCAAGGCTGATGTCTAGCTTTCTTTGGTAACTAAGTAAAGTTATCGTTCCATGAGATTGAAAGCAACGTAGAAGGAACAGGCTTTGAAGGAGAAACAGTGTGCTCAGTTCTGAACATGTTAGGTTTTGGGTGATGTGGATCATCTAGGTGGGTGGATATGTAGGGTCTGAAGTTCAGAATAGAGGTGAATATATAGATTTAGGAATCTTCAGCTTTTAAGTAGTTACTGAAACCATTAGAATAGATGAAGCTGCCTGGGGAAAAGTGTAAAGTAAGAGAGAAGAGGGCCTATGACAGAATCTTATCACAGAACTGATAAATTGAGGAATATCACCCTATATGGAATGATCAAACAAAGAAGAGTCCGCAGTGGGAAAGGAGGATCTAAAAGAGGCCCAAAGAAGGTAAAACAAAAAGATGGTGTCATGGAAACTAAAGAGAATAGTGTTTTAAGGAGGAGAGAGTCAGCAATGTCAGATGCTGTAAAAGTTTAAGTACGATTAGGACTAAATTATATCCATGGGACTTGGTGACAGAGAGGTTGTTAGTGCGTTTGGTGGAAACAGTTTCATTTGAATTGGAGGCCAAAGCCATATTGCAAAAGATTGAGAAGTGAGGAAGTGATGGCAAAGGGAAAAAAAAAAAGAGAGAGAGGAGCCATAGGTGAGGAGGGGGAGGGGAGAGCTTTGAGCATGTTTTAAGGCTGATGGTAGAAGAAGGAATTGAAGATACAGAAAAGCAAGAATTATGACTATAGGGAGATGCCAAGAAAGTAGGAAGCACTGTGACTCCAAGCACAGGTTCTGGAATGAGCCTTATCGAAGATGCACGAGCACATCCTTCATTGTAATCAGAAGGCAGAGGGGAAGTACAGATGTGGACAAGGTTGTTAGGTTTTTTTTTTTTTTTTTTTTTTTTTTTTTTTTTTTTGAGGCAGAGTCTCGCTCATTTGCTCAGGCTGGAGTGCAGTGGCATGATCGTGGCTCACTGCAACCTTTACCTCCTGGGTTCAAGTGATTCTCAGCCTTTGGATTATCTTAATGGACTGTCTGCCTGGCTTTCTTCCACATGGTTGGTGGACTCTAGGAAAAGGGGCTCAAATACATAGATGCAAGAGGAGGAGGTTGCTCAAGTGTACCATCTGAAAGAAAATATTTTACAACCACACCTCCCCTTACTTTTCAGCCAGATTGGTTCATCAGAATCTCTGGGTATGAGACCCTGTGTTATTGATAGTTTTTAAGAGTTCATCAGGTGACTCTAATGTGCAGTCATCCTGGAGAACCATTTTATAAAGTAAAGAATATGAAGGAAAATAGGGAAATAATTCTTGAAAGGGAAGTTGTATACCACTGATACACTTCTCCTATTTAAGTTTTTATATGGATATTCACAGATTAATTCAACAAAGATTTTAAGCATTTTCTGCTAAACTCACTGCTCATTCGCTTATAACACTAAGTTAAACATGGTCCCTACCCTCATGGAGTTTCTAGTGCAGTGAAAGAGAAAAACAATCTCTAAATGGCATGAGCTATAATAGGGCAAGTCCAGGGCTATGAAAATATATAGGCCAGGTGTGGTGGCTTATACCTGTAATGCCAGCACTGTGGGAGGCGGAAGTGGGAGCATCACTTGAGGCCAGGAGTTCGAGACCAGCCTGGGCAAAAAAAGTGAGACCCGCCCCCCTCTTCTCTGAAAAAAAAAAAAAAAAAAAAAATTAGCTGGGTGTGGTGGTACACGCCTGTAGTCCCAGCTACTTGGGAGGCTGAGGCAGGAGGATCACCTGAGCCTAGGAGTTCAAGATTGCAGTGGCCTATGATTGCATCATTGCACTCCAGCCTGGGTGACAGAAAGAGACCCTGTCTCTGCATGATGATAATAATAAGTTAAAAGAGAGAGAGAGAGAGAGAAAACATATAGTAGAAGGAGCACTTCTGGTGTGGGATTGAAGCAGTATTATCATTCAAGTGAGTCGCATTTAAATTTTTTACCTTTCTTGTTATAGATATCAACACCCCAGTCTCTTTTTAGGTAACCTAATTCATGGGATTTAAAACAATCATCTTTTTTCTTTCTCTTTAAGGTGACTCATATTCTTAATGTTGCATATGGAGTTGAAAATGCTTTCCTCAGTGACTTTACATATAAGAGCATTTCTATATTGGATCTGCCTGAAACCAACATCCTGTCTTATTTTCCAGAATGTTTTGAATTTATTGAAGAAGCAAAAAGAAAAGTGAGTTTTGTTTTGATCCATAGTTCTGCAGAAGCAGAAATTTGAAAGTGTGGATCCATTACCCAATCTTTATTATTTTTATAATGAATCTCTAAAAAACAATTATGAAATTTCCCTTCTAACAATATTTCATTATTTCCTACAATTATTTGGTTAATTGCTCTTTTTTCAATGAGATGTTTAGTTTCAACATTAATTCAGACTATAAAACAGAGACTGCTCTAGACTTGTTAGTGTATTTATGATGATTAATATGCATTTGATTTTAATGAATGAGATAGTTATTGTGAAACTATGCATTTTTAGCAGTAAAATTTTAAGGCACTCTAAGGACTAAATGTGTATTGCTTTACTTAGATTGTATGAAAATGCTGATCAGAAACTGTCTGTTGGTTTTCTGAAGTTAGAAGACCAATAGCCAATGTCATATAGTACTTCAGGCTTGTTATTGAAGTCAACATTCTGACAGGCAAAGTTTCTAGGTTGGCTGTTATCAACAATTATTCCTTGAAATGTCATCATTTTTAGTCAGCAAATAATTCTTACAGACTTTATGTAAGATACGTAGATGGGAAAGTAGAAGCATTTACAGAGAGAAATAACTCTTCTGGAACACCTAACAATGACAGGATTACAATCAGGTTTAATTGAACTCTGGCCTACCTTCTCTCCCTTTATCTTTTCTCCTTCCCATTTTCTCTTCCTCTCTCCCTTCTTTCCTTTCATTTAGTAATATTTATTGAATGCCTTAGGTGCCCAGCACTGTTCTACGTGCCTTCCTACTAGACTACCCAGAAAATATAAAACTATTCAATTCTACTGTTCATCAACTTTACTTAATAGCAGATACAGTCATGCACTGCATAATGATGTTTGGACTGCATATATGATGGTGGTTCCATAAGATTATAATAATGTATTTTTACCATACCTTTTCTATGTTTATGTATGTTTAGATACACAAATACATACCATTGTGTTACTGTTGCCTACAAGTCAGTACAGTAACATCTGAACAGGTTTGTAGTCTTGGAGCAATAGGCCATACCATTCTAGGTTTGTGTGAGTGCACTCTGTGATGTTTACACCACGAAGAAACTGCCTAACAACACATTTCTCAGAATGCATCACCATTGTTAAATGATGCACGACTGTATTTGGATGGAAGCAAAGGAAGAGGTTTTTTTTGTTTTTTGTTTTTTGTGTTTTTTTTTTTTGTTTTTTTTTTTTTTGAGATGCAGTCTCACTCTGTCGCCAGGCTGGAGTGCAGTAGTGTGATCTCGGTGCACTGTAACCTCCGGCTCACTGCAACCTCCGCCTCTCGGGTTCAAGTGATTCTCCTGCCTCAGCCTCCCAGGTAGTTGGGACTATAGGAGCACACTGCCACACCCGGGTAATTTTTTGTATTTTAGTAGAGACAGGGTTTCACCGTGTTGCCCAGGCTGGTCTTGAACTCCTGAGCTCAGGCAGACCACCTGCCTCAGCCTCCCAAAGTGCTAGGATTACAGGCATGAGCCACTGCACCTGGCCAAGGGAGAGGTTTTTTAATTCAAAGCCTAATATTGGCCATTCTGTTTTCTTGTTAAAAAATTTACAGGCTCTGGATTGTAACATTCCAGTGTGTGAGTTAATAGTTTTAAAAATAAAAAGGATGTTTCTGTATTGGCTCCTTCTCTAAGGAGATGTAGAATATGCCAGAGATGGCAAAGTATAGATATCATCCATATTCATATTAACATTAGAAGAGATGTAAATGTTGCAAGTAAAAATTAGAGAGGTTAATCATATCTAGAAAGAAAAGCAAGAGATTGAATATTCTAATAAGCTTGGAATTTTAAATAAATTTAAAAAATAAAGTTTGCCTTAATTTGGGCCAGTAAATTAGAGTGGATTTTAGCTTGGGTTTCCTAAAAATAAAGCCTGAGATGAGGATTTAGAGCTTATGCTTAATTTGAGAGGTACAATCTCTAGGCAGTGAGAGTGGCAAGAAAGGAAAGTGATTCAAGGTGGGACGAGAAGCAATACAAAGTGATGCGTTTACCCTGCTGGGCTCATTTCACAGTGAGCTGACTGTTGGCTATTCAGCAGGTACAGCTACTCTACCACCCAAAATACCTCTGGACAGGCAGTACAAAGAAACTGCACCTCAACCCAGCCTGGAAGGGAGGATTTATCTGCCTGGCTTCCTGTCAGCTCCTGTTTCCCATTGGTCAAAGTTTGCCAGTGGGGATATAACCAACCCCACAATTCTAGGTTATAACATTCCACTCTTTCAGCAGCCACCTCGAAGCCAAATCTAACACCCAGTAATACAACTTTTCAACCAAGTTGAGAATTAGAAAATCCAGAACTCAGAGTACGCCTGTCTATACTGTGGACACCATGGAAGAAGAGCTCCTTCTTTGACAGGCAAAAGTGAAAGCAGGGGAGAGCAGTCAGCCATGGAGGTGGTAGCCGAGGTGGAGCATGCTGAGAGGGTCTGTGAGATGGCGGCACCACAGGAATCTGAGGAGCTGCAGAAAATGTTTCTGATAAGATGAATTAGATTTCAGAAATATGTTCTACCCTCTCAAGCCTTGTGTTTTATACTGGAATCCTAACCTCAGCCAATATTTCCCTGCCCTGAAAACTCAGTGCCATGACACAATCTCAGCTCACTGCAACTCCACCTCCTGCACTCAAGTGATTCTCCTGCTTCAGCCTTCCTAGTAGCTGGGATTACAGGTGCGCACCACCATGCCTGGCTAATTTTTGTATTTTTAATAGAGACGGGGTTTTGCCATGTTGGCCAGGATGGTCTCAAATGCCTGACGTCAAGTGATCCACCTGCCTCAGCCTCCCAAAGTGCTGGGATTATAGGCATGAGCCACCATGCCTGGAAGGCTAATATATATTTAGTTTTAGCAATAAAAATTCTTGAATTTTTTTCATTTTTTTTAAGAAAAGATCTCTTCATGCCTTTGTCTATTTTATATTCAAGTATTGTTAAATCTAATTACTCAGTGAATTACATGTTTCAAAACTACCTTTCTAGGCTATAGTTTGTTGTTTTCATCTTTTTGCATACCGTTGCCAAATGGAATGGATTCCATTTCCTAAGTCTTTACTCATTTCCCTCTGTACTTGCAAAACTCTATTTGGCTTCTCTGTCCTTCCTTTATGCCTAAAGGGACAGAAATACACCTGAGAAGAACAGTAATGGTAACTTCTATAGCCCAAAGAGTCCTTTTAGGAACTAAATTTATTTGTCCCCTCTTTTTATGTACAAAAGGTACAAAGTATAACAATGTGTATTTGATATTTCATGTTCATTGTTTATAAGATGTGATTTTAAAAACATGACGTAAGTAGTCCATGTTCTTTGTAGAAAAAATGGAAAATGCAGATGAAAATTAAGACACTTCCACACTTAGATATAAGCATTGTTAGCATTTTGATATATTTTTCTAGACCTATATATGTATTTTTATAAAAATAGTATCATACAGTTTATATTCTTTTATAGCCTGCCTTTTTTTTGGGAGGGCAACTTCATGACTTTATTTGTGGTACCTGTGCTTTATCTTGAAAATACCTTCTCCCCCTGTCCCAGACAGCGGGCTGGGAGGGGGCAGCAAAAAATAGAAGACTTCCCTCCCTATTGCACATGGACCCTATGTACAGGCCCACCCGGCTGAGGCCAGCAGGCCTCTTGGCACATTCTTGGATCCCTGCTCAGGAGGGGAGGGCTGACGGGGTGCTATCACATGTGAGATCGGGAACTCTGGGCGGCCACTTTGGTCCTGGGTACTGATATTTGCACTTCTTGGTCCTCAGTTCCTTCCTGGTCCTGTCTCTGGCCCTAGTCCCCTCTGTATAGCCTGCTTTTTATACTTGATGATTCAAATCATTTAAAATTTTTGCACAGTATTCTGGTAGTTGGTGATTCTATAATTTATCTTATTTCCTGCTATGAGACATGTAAGCTGTTTGTAGTTTTTTGTTCAATAGAAGTAAAAGTTCATTAGAGAGACATTATGGGTCTAAATAAGTACCTAAATTCACGAAGTTTTTAGATGCTTCTGTTACAAGTAGAGGGTCATGACTGCAAGTTGTCCAGGTTCTTGGCATTTTGAACAAATAATTGGACAAAACGCCCATCAAAGCAAAGAAAGAATGAAGCAACAAAAGAGCAAAAGCAGGGATTTATTGAAAGTGAAAGCACACTCCACAGTGTCGGAGCAGGTCCAAGCAGCGGCCCAAGGGACAGGATACAGAATCTTCTTGGGTCCAAATACCCACTAGAAGTTTCCCAATGGCCACTTCATGCTCACCTTATGTAAATGAAGTGGTATCCTGCAGTCAGTCTGATTGGTTGGAGAAAGCAGCCAACCAGAGGCTGAAGTGAAGTTACAAAGGTCACGCTCCTGTGCAAACATCTGATTGGTTGCAAAAAGCAACCAGTGAGAGGCTAGGGTGAAGTTACAAAGTTATACTTCTATGCAAACGAAGACTTGGCCTGCAATTAGTCTGATTGGTTGTGGACAGCAAATTTCCCATCTGCATGCAGAAAAGGTGAGGGGTTTGCAAAGGCAGTAGCCCCCGGTGCTTTTGTTACTTAGGTGTGGAAAGTTAGGGTTTTCCTTTGAATTTAGTTCTGGGAAATCGGAGTAAAACAGCCTTAGGTTCCCTGCCACCAGACCCTATTCTCTTGCTTTACTTCTTCCATTTTGTTTCAAAGCAGTCTACCCATCACTTTTTTGTATTTGTCATATTTACATTCCCCTCTACTACTGTGGATAGTCATGAGTGGACTGTTCTGACCTGTGCTCCTCAAAGTGTTGTCCAGTTTGCTACCAGACCTCTGCAGGATAAGAAGGTTGTGCCTGAATATAAACCAAGACATTGCTTAGTTCTTTGAGAGATTTTGGCTACTCCCCCACCCCACCCAAACGCTGAACTAAGGAGTATATTTTTAGTGACAATTGATTTTCATTCCACTGCAAAATTCTTATTTCATCATAGGTGGCTGTCAAGCACTTGCAGACTATCACATTATACCCAAGGTTTTTTTAAGTTCTGGGGCACATGTACAGGATGTGCAGGTTTGTTACATTGGTAAACGTGTGCCATGGGGATTTGCTGCACTTATCAACCCATGACCTAGGTATTAAGCCCAGCATGCATTAGTTATTTTTCCTGATGCTCTCCCTCCTCCTACCCCACCTAACCCCGACAGGCCCCCAGTTTGTGTTGTTCCGCTCCATGTGTCTATGTGTTCACGTTGTTCAGCTTCCACCTATAAGTGAGACATGCAGTGTTTGGTTTTCTGTTCCTGCGTCAGTTTCCTAAGGATAATGGCTTCCAGCTCCATCTGTGTCCCTGCAAAGGACATGATCTCATTCTTTTTATGGCTGCATAGTATTCCATGGGGTATATGTACCACATTTTCATTATACAGACTATCATTGATTGGCATTTGAGTTGATTCCATGTCTTTGCTATTATGAATAGTGCTTCTGCCCAAGTTTTTTTTTTTTTTTTTTTTTTGAGACAGAATCTTACTCTGTCAACCAGGCTGGAGTGCAGTGGCATGATCTCAGCTCACTGCAACTTCCGCCTCCTGAGTTCAAGTGATTCTCCTGCCTCAGCCTCCTAAGTAGCTGGGATTACAGGTGCCCAGCACCACGCCCAGCTAATTTTTGTATTTTTAGTAGAGATGGGGTTTCACCATGTTGGCCAGGCTGGTCTCGGACTCCTGACCTTGTGATCCACCCGCCTCAGCCTCCCAAAGTGCTGGGATTACAGGTGTGAGCCACTGTGCCTGGCCATGCCGAAGTTTTAATGGAAGTTAAATATAAGGAAAAACACCTGGGCCTGGCTCAGTTACTGTTAACAACTATTAATTACTTATTCTGAGAAGATGTGAGGGATACACATTGCTGCCCTCAAGGAGCTTGAAATCTAGTTGAAAACTATAATAGCACAAGAACAAAGACAACTCTATGAAATGGAAATAACATAGCATAATTACTATCTGCCTATAGGTTACTACTTGCCCATAGCAAAATGGTGATTTTGAATTTTTGAAAGAACACTTTCCTTTCAGAAATGCAGAACAAATGTATTCACTTAGCAAAAAGTTATGGAATAACTACTATATGCCAAGAATTGCACTAAATACTAGGCATACAAAGATGGTTAAGACATTCCTCATACCCTCATTTCACTTGGAAAGAGGCAGTCTTAGAACAGAAGTCAGAATTAGCTGTACCAAGAAGAGCAAAGGTCTTCTAGGCATAGGACAACAGCAAGTGCAAAGGAAAAAAAAAGTGGTTTATAAATTGTTTGTTACTATTTTGAGCTCTGGAAAAGGGATATAAAGCCAATAATTTCTCTGGAAATACTTTCAAGGACAATATGATACCT
Source organism: Homo sapiens (assembly GCF_000001405.40). Taxonomy (NCBI): domain Eukaryota; kingdom Metazoa; phylum Chordata; class Mammalia; order Primates; family Hominidae; genus Homo; species Homo sapiens. The sequence goes on from NC_000002.12 coordinate 183,093,601, forward strand.
AAGGAATAATCAAAAGTAGAAAGTAGGTAAATTGAAAAGCTGTAGAAAAACAGCTATTATATAAAGTAGAAAGAAGAAAATAATATCATTTGAAAACATTAGCTAAAATTGGATGCACAATGTGTAAGACTGAAAATAAAGCTAGTTTCATGTTCAAAAGCCTATGTATGCATCATAAAGTAAAGCCGACTAGTATATAAGCAGGAAATATTAAAAGTGACATTGAAGGGTATCTCTTGCTTATTAAGGTTATGATTGCAAGTTTCTTTGGAGTATCTAATTAATTTGTTTTATGCTAAATGAAGTTCATTAATAATTTTCATCAGTTACTTTAATATAATTTTTAAACATCTTAAGTTTTGTAAAAATGGGCTATTGCTACAAAATGAGAAAAGTTCCCAAGGTGTATAGTGAATATTTGTGTTTTGCTTTTCTTATATAGAAACTGTTGAAGTTTGAAAATGAGTCATAAATATCTATAGAAAAGAGTAATATCCCATAGTAATGTAAGATGTGAAAAAAGAAAACAATTGATATTTTCCTTTTTTATATGAGGATTTTCAAAATGTTAACTAATTTTGTTATTAATCATTTGGCTTTCTTGAAAAGAGATGCACTTGCAAATTTGTTACAGCAGATCAAGGAAAGGAGTTTTGCAACAGATGTCTGAATCGGAAAACTGCCTTGCAGAAGTAAAATAATCCAATGAGTCATAACAATAGTATTGTTAATATGTGCTTTGGGTAGAGGGTTTTCAGTAGTATATTTTTTCCCTCCTGCTCTCGTCTTTTTTTGTGTTGTACCAAATAAAGAATCAAGAAATGAAGTAACTAAAATGTCTAATTCTGGAGGGTGTGCTCACAGTTCACCACATTTCATTTAGATCATTAACTTTTTAAAAGCTTCAGATAGGCCAAGCTGTATCAATGCTGTCCCATCAGATCTATCACATTCATTATTAATACAATATTGCCCCCATCAGCATTGGTCTTGCACTGTGTCTCTTTTCACTTGGAAAGTATCATTTGCAAGTTACCTGAAATGTTTTTCATTTATTGACCTCATGCTGGTATGTGATTACCTTTTCCACTTCACATTGTTATGAGCTATTTGTGTCACATTTTACTACATCGTAAGTTTAAATATTTTTAAGTAACTTTCTGCCAGGATAAAATATGTGCAAGGGTAGAAAATTTTTTCCTTGCTGATTATTTAAACAGATTTGCAAGCCATTGACACTAGCTTATTTATGAGAACACTAAGTATACTCTGGAGTATTTCTGGCTTTCTGTTTAGCTTATAGTTATGATTTTATTTTATGTTTCCACATATATTTCCTGTGGTTTTTTTCTTATTTATATACACTTATCTACTAAGTTGTTAGGTTTTATGTGTACTTTACTGATACATTTGGCTACAAAGTTGTTAGGTTTTCATGTGTACTTTACTGATACATTTGACTACTAAGTTATTAGGTTTTTATGTGTACTTTACTGATACATTTGGCTACTAAGTTGTTAGGTTTTAATGTGTTCTTTACTGGATTACTTTAGTTTAATGAAAGATACTGTTTCAGAATTCCAAACATCATTAAAGCATTTCAATCATGGGTTAGTAGGTAAGGGAGGTACAGGTTGATTGATTGATTGATTGAGTTTCCATTTGTTGCTGGTAATGAATTTTATTTCAATAATCAAATAAATTGAATCAAATAAATCAATAAAACTGAATATTTACTTTATACTTTCAAGTAGTATAAGAATGTGCAATTGATATAATAACCTTTCTCAAATGAATAATGAAGATTTTTGTTTGTTTTTTTTTTTGTAGGATGGAGTGGTTCTTGTTCATTGTAATGCAGGCGTTTCCAGGGCTGCTGCAATTGTAATAGGTTTCCTGATGAATTCTGAACAAACCTCATTTACCAGTGCTTTTTCTTTGGTGAAAAATGCAAGACCTTCCATATGTCCAAATTCTGGCTTCATGGAGCAGCTTCGTACATATCAAGAGGGCAAAGAAAGCAATAAGTGTGACAGAATACAGGAGAACAGTTCATGAGTTGCATTGTAGCAGACAATGGACAACTGTAGTTTCTGAATTGACTTCTATAGCCATCTTTTCCCTTTTTTGGAGAGTAGACTAGCAAAACTCCCTTTTTTCTCTTGCCTTTTTTATGCATAAATGGAGGTCAATTTGATTGTCCTGACCTACTGTATAAGTAAATTTCAAATGTCATTACTTTCTCTTTGTTATTATAATGTGTGATTAAATGCTTTTTTAAATTGCTAAGGGAAAATAACAAAGTGTTAGTAATCATTGCTTTCTGTAGAAGAAAAAGGTTTAAATTTAAAATGTGTATTTAGAGCATGGAGAGAATCATTTAATGAAGCCTATTTTTCTGTTCCAGCAACTGTTTTTATGAAAGAAAAACTTGAAATGCTACTTAACTTACTATTTCAAAGGGAAGTATATTTCTTTTTAAAGAATCTTTTTAAGATTAAAAATGAATACCTTAAATCTCCCAAAAGAGATAACCAGTATCTGAAGGTTTATACAATATTTACACAGTGGCTACAATATTCACAAAATTCTTATGTTCTCTTATGAAAAATATACACTTTTCATTTTGTCTTCTTCTTTTTTTTTCTTTTTTTAGATGGAGTTTGGCTCTTGTCACCCAGGCTGGAGTGCAATGGCGCAATCTCAGCTCACTGCAACCTCTGCCTCCCGGGTTCAAGCGATTCTCCTGCCCCAGCCTCCCATATAGCTGGGATTATAGGTGCCTGCCACCATGCCCAGCTAATTTTTGTGTTTTTAGTAGAGATGGAGTCTCACCACATAGGCCAGGCAGTCTCGAACTCCTGACCTCAGGTGATCCACCCACCTTGGCCTCTCTAAATACTGGGATTACAGGCGTGAGCCACTGCATCCGACCTCATTTTGTTTTTTTCAATTCTGTTATCGGCATTTCTTTCTTTTTTTTTTTAATGTATAGGTGTTCTGTCATACGTTATTGTGAGCTTTGGTTCTTTGAACAGGTGATCTATTCTCTTACATTTTGTGCTTTTTATCTTGGGTGCCTAGCATTCTGTTTTTTTGATCCTATGTCATAATTTTTTGAGAAAATGTTTGATACTGCAAGATCATTGTTTAGTGGTCTGTTTTCTACTTCAGTATTCTACCAGAGAACATATTTTTTAGGGGAGAAGGGTTATGGTTTTGTAAGAAACTTTAAATATACTTTTAGGAGACCCACAATCATTTACAGTTTTATCTTTGGCCTTTGAATAGGTTCTTTTTTCTTTAATGTCTCCGTATTTGAAGAACTGAGCTCTGTACATTATAAATTTGCTTAAAGATTTTGATTTTTTCTTCAGAATATGGTATACTTAAAATTAATTAATTAAGACAGTTTCTTTTTTCTTTTCTTTTTTTTTTTTTTCGAGACAGGGTCTTGCTCTGTCACCTAGGCTAGAGTGGAGTGGCATGAACACAACGCACTGCAGCCTCTACCTCCTGGGCTCAAGCAGTCCTCCCACCTCAGTCTCCTGAGTAGCTGAGACTACAGCTGTGCGCCACCACATCTGGCTAATTTTATTTTTATTTTTGTAGAGACAGGAGTCTTGCCATGTTGCCCAGGCTGATCTCAAACTCCTAGGCTTAAGTGATCCTCCCGCCTTAGCCTCCCAAGTGCTAGGATTACAGGCATCAGCCACCACGCCTGGCCTGATAGTTTCCACATAGTTTTTCATGACTTAGAAGATATCATTGCCATGTAGGTTTTATTTTTAAAAGTCTTGAGCTCTTCTTAAATATACATTATAAAGAGCAAGCATAGATGGAAAGTGCATATTGAACACATCTGTGCATTTGAGAAGGCAGGCTTTCATATGCTGTCATGAGCAAAAAGTAGAAGTGATAAATGCAAGTTATGTTTTGAGATTGCTTACACCGTGACAAGATGCCATCACTTGTGATGTTATGAACTGTTATAAACTCTTTGCTTCTGCTAAGAAGCAGTCTAAATATAATCAACGTACAGTGAGCTCTTTGAAGCCAACCAAGGCAGGCAGAACCCTCTTAAATATGAGACTGATGTATAGGTTCTCTCTATGGTCAGTATCACTGGATAAGCCTTCTCCTTTCATAAGAAAGGATGTATTTAAATACATTTTATTTTGCTAAATCCTGTTTAGTTTTCAGCCATTAAATGTCACATGAAGCCTTGATAGAATTTGTTCATAATGGCTCATGTATTATTATTATTTTTGAGATGGAGTTTTGCTCTTAATGATATTATTATTATTTGAGACAGAGTTTTGCTCTTATTGCCCAGGCTGGAGTGCAGTGGCGTGATCTTGGCTCACTGCAACCTCTGCCTCCCAGCTTCAAGCGATTCTCCTGTATCAGCCTCCCAAGTAGCTGGGATTATAGGCATGTGCCACCATGCCCAGCAAATTTTGTATTTTTTTTTGGTAGAGACAGGGTTCAACCATGTTGGTCAGGCTGGTCTCGAACTCCTGACCGCAAGTGATCCACACGCCTTGGTCTCCCAAAGTGCTGGGATTACGGTGTTAGCCACTACACCTGGCCTGGATTGTGTATTATTTATGTCTGTAGTTTATATGCTTAGTTGTTGCCTATAGTGATCTGGGTAAGATTCAAACATTTATCTTTTGTATCTTCTACAGAAGTGCTTTGAGCATCAAATTTGTTTTAACGTTAAATTGTAGTTTGCTGTATTAAAATAGATCAATGAATATAATTCAGTCTTTTAGGGGCACCAAGTAAAGCATAAGGTCATATATACTATACAATATGTTTATTGCACTTCCCATGGGGATAAATCACTCTGTCATTCCTAGTTATTTTAAAAAAAGAACTTTATGATTACGGTCCTCTTTCTCACATACTGCAAACTTAAAAGATACATACACCAAATATAGGTCTGTTTTAAAGGAGAGGAAAAATAGTTCAAGGAGTTTTTGCCTCTTTGTTTTTCAATAGATTATTCTGCCATTTTTTAAAGGAAAGGGAAAATGAAAACAGCATGTCTTTTTAAACATTGAAAAGAAATATGGAGGCTTTAAACCGCAAACTGAAAAAGCTGAGTAGAACAAAGGCAGTGGAGCATACAATACAATTCTATTTATTTGAGGTTAATTGAAGTTAATAATTTTTAAATTTTTTTCTAATTTTATGCCTTAAAATAGGTTTCTGATTACATAAAATTTGAATAGAACACTCAAGAAGTATGTAGATTTTTGAAAAACCCAAACAATATTCTTCTTAGATTTTTGGAGGCAAAATTTAGACCAGTATACTAATTCAAAAGACAAATATTTCAGAGGAAGTGGAGTACAGTATTTAACATTTTGTTTGCAATTTTACTTTTTCTTCCCTTCTTCCCTATTGAACCTTGATTAAAATGTATGAATACAATACTTGGATTTTTTTTTTTCAGCTTAGACTCTGATAATTTCAGTGGTAGTGGGGAAACCTGAATTTGTCAGCATGATTATTTGTAACTCAGATTGTTCAAATGTATATAGAAGGTCCCCTTCAAGTGTTGTTTCTCCAAGTAGTCATAAATGTAGCAAGTATAAATCAGAATATCATCTTATAATCTTACAGAGTTAACCTAATGAGTCAATACCTTTATAAGCAAAACCATGATAAATTTAAAAACAACAGAAATGTGGCATGATTACTTATTTATTTGTTCCAGGTGACTCTAAATAGTTGATTTTTCTGCCTGAAGGATCCTGAACATATTTAGTTACCCTGTAGTTATTTAGGAATTTAAACCAGAAGACTTTGAAGTTGTATATTCTTGCAATGCATAAAATGACATTATAATCAACAAACTTATGGTTTGTTTCAATTGATGCACACAAAAAATAACTTATAGTTAGACTTTTCTATTTCAAGTAAAGCTTTGAGTTACTTGTTTTTATACATATTCATCATGTACCCTTTATTGTTTCTAGGTGTTGATATACTTTAATAAAAATGATATGTTTAATATTTTCCCATTAATATATTTCTTTGAAGCTATTTGTTTTAAAAGATGTAACACTTATTTGCTGTCAAATTCTGAATTAAAAAATCTGTTGGTGGCCAGGCGCAGTGGCTCATGCCTGTAATCCCAACATTTTGGGAGGCCAAGGAGATGGATCACTTGAGGCCAGGAGTTCAAGACCAGCCTGGCCAACATGGCAAAACCCCATCACTAAAAATACAAAAATTACCCGGGCATGGTGGTGGGTGCCTGTAATCCCAGCTTCTTAGGAGGCTGAGGTAGGAGAATTGCTTGACCCTGGGAGGTGGAGGTGGCAGTGAGCCGAGATAGCACCACTGCACTTCTAGTTGACAGAGTGAGACTCTGACTCAAAAAAAAAAAAAAAATGTTGGGAAGACACACAATTTTATATTTTAAAATGTAAGTTAGTTTAGATCTATGAAGATTTGTTGTTCCCGTCTCTTCAAGAAATGAAAAGCCGGCTGGGTGCGGTGGCCTGTAATCTCAGCATTTTGGGAGGCCGAGGCAAGAGGATCACGAGGTCAGGACTTCAAGAGCAGCCTGGCCAATACGGTGAAACCCTGTCTCTACTAAAAATACAAAAAAAATTAGCTGGGCGTGGTGGCACACGCCTGTAGTCCCAGCTGCTTGGGAGGCTGAGGCAGGAGAATCGCTTGAACCTGGGAGGCAGAGGTTGCAGTGAACTGAGATTGCGCCACTGCACTCCAGCCTGGGTGACAGAGCGAGACTCTGTCTCAAAACACAAAAGAGAAAAGCTAAAGTAAGAGCATATAATTGGCATCACTGTGGACAGATTGTCAATGAAAATTCAATAGAATACCTTATTTAAGGTAAGAGAAGATGCTGAGTTACTGTCAGATTAAATTACCCTACATTCTAACTATGACTGCATTGAGATTATTTGTACATAGTGTGGCACCCACCTCCCACGCTCATGCAAACAGGCTGTTATATCTTTGTAATAGTTATTTTAAAATGTACAATAAATTATTGTTGACTGTAGTCACCCTGTTGTGCTATCAAATACTAGATCTTATTCTATCTAGCTATATTTTAATACCCATTAGCCATCACACTTCTTCCCCTCATGCCCCCACTGTTCTTTCCAGCTTCTGGTAACCATCATTCTACTGTCTATCTCCATGTGTTGAACTGTTTTAATTTTTGGCTCCCACAAAGGAGTGAGAACATTTGAAGTTTGTCTATCTGTGCCAGTCTTATTTGACTTAACATAATGTCCTCCAGTTCTATCCATGTTTTTCCAAAGGACGGGATCTTATTCTTTTTTATGGTTGAATAGTACTCCATTATATATATGTACTACATGTTATTTATCCATTCATCTGTTGATGGACACTTAGGTTGCTTCTAAATCTTGGCTATTGTGAATAGTGCCGCAATAAACATGGGAGTGCAGATATCTCTTTGATATATGAATTTCCTTTCTTTTGGGTATTTATCAATGTTCATCAGGGATGTAGGCCAATAGTTTTCTTTTTTAATGTGTCCTTTTGATTATTATTATACTTTTAGTTCTGGGATACATGTGCAGAACTTGGGGGTTTGTTACATAGGTACACATGTGCCATGGTGGTTTGCTGCACCCTTCAACCTGTCATCTAGGTTTTAAGCCCCGCATGCGTTAGGTATTTCTCCTAATGCTATCCCTCCCCTTACCCCCCACCCCTCGACAGGCTCCAGTGTGTGATAATCCCCTCCCTGTGTCCATGTGTTCAGCTCCTACTTATGAGTGAGAACATTTGGTGTTTGGTTTTCTGTCTCTGTGTTAGTTTGCTGAGAATGATGGTTTCTAGCTTCATCCATGTCCCTGCAAAGGACATGAACTCATTCTTTTTTATGGCTGCTAGTATTCCATGGTATATATATGCCACATTTTCTTTATCCAGTCTATCATTGATGGGCATTTGGGTTGGTTCCAAGTCTGCTATTGTAAATAGTGCTGCAATAAACATACATGTGTATGTGTCTTTATAGTAGAATGATTTATAATCCTTTGGGTATATACCCAGTAATGTGACTGCTGGGTCAAATGGTATTTCTGGTTCTAGATCCTTGAGGAATCGCCCCACTGTCTTCCACAATGGTGGAACTAATTTATACTCCCACCAACAGTGTAAATGTGTTCCTATTTCTCCACATCCTCTGCAGCATCTGTTGTTTCCTGACTTTTTAATGATTGCCATTCTAACTGGTGTGAGATGGTATCTCATCGTGGTTTTGATTTGCATTTCTCTAAAGACCAGTGATGACAAGCTTTTTTTTCATGTTTGTTGGCCGCATAAATGTCTTCTTTTGAGAGGTGTCTGTTCATATCCCTTCACCCACTTTTTGATGAAGGTTTTTTTTTGTTTTGTATATTTGTTTAAGTTCCTTGTAGATTCTGGTTATTAGGCCTTTGTCAGATGGCTAGATTGCAAAAATTTTCTCCCATTCTGTAGGTTGCCCATTCACTCTCATGGTAGTTTCTTTTGCTGTGCAGAAGCTCTTTAGTTTAATTAGATCCCATTTGTCAATTTTGGCTTTTGTTGCAATTGCTTTTGGTGTTTAGTAATGAAGTCTTTGCCCATGCTTATGTCCTGAATGGTATTGCCTAGGTTTTCTTCTAGGGGTTTTATGGTTTTAGGTCTTACACTTAAGTCTTTAATCCATTTTGAGTTAATTTTTGTATAAGGTGTAAGGAAGCGAACCAGTTTCAGTTTTCTGCATATGGCTAGCTAGTTTTCCCAGCACCATTTATTAAATAGGGAATCCTTTCCCCGTTGCTTGTTTTTGTCAGCTTTGTCGAAGATCAGATGGTTGTAGATGTGTGGCATTATTTCTGAGGCCTCTGTTCTGTTCCATTGGTGTATATATCTGTTTTGGTACCAGGACCATGCTGTTTTGGTTACTGTAGCCTTGTAGTATAGTTTGAAGTCAGGTAGCATGATGCCTCCAGCTTTGTTCTTTTTGCTTAGGATTATCTTGGCTATATGGGCTTTTTTTGGTTCCATATGAAATTTAAAGTAGTTTTTTTCTAATTCTGTGAAGAAAGTCAATGGTAGTTTGTTGGGAATAGCATTGAATCTATAAATTACTTTGAGCAGTATGGCCATTTTCACGATATTGATTCTTCTTATCCATGAGCATGGAATATTTTTCCATTTGTTTGTGTCCTCTCTTATTTCCTTGAGCAGTGGTTTGTAGTTCTCCTTGAAGAAGTCCTTCACATCCCTTGTAAGTTGTATTCCTAGGTATTTCCATTTTATTTTATTTTATTTTCTTTGTTTGTCTTTTATTGGAGTATAGGAATGCTTGTGATTTTTGCACATTGATTTTGTATCCTGAGACTTTACTGAAGTTGCTTATCAGCTTAAGGAGATTTTGGGCTGAGATGTTGGGGTTTTCTAACTATACACTCATGTCATCTTCAAACAGAGACAATTTGGCTACCTCTCTTCCTATTTGAATACGCTTCATTTCTTTCTCTTGCCTGATTGCCCTGGCCATAACTTCCAATACTATGTTGAATAGGAGTGGTGAGAATGCATCCTTGTCTTGTGCCAGTTTTCAAAGGGAATGCTTCCAGCTTTTTTCTAATGTGTCTTTGTGTGATTTTGGTATCAGGGTAATACTAACCTCATAGAATACATTTGGAAATCTTGCTTCCTCCTCTATTTTTCAAAATAGTTTGAGTGGGATTGATTTTAGTCCTTTTTTAAATGTTTCATAAAATTCAGGAGTGAAGCCACTAGGTCCTGGACTTTTCTTTGCTGGTAGACTTCTTATTATGGCTTTGATCTCATTCCTTGTTATTGGTCTATTCAGGTTTTGGATTTTTTTATGGTTCATTCGAAGTAGGTTGTATGTTTCTAGGAATTTTTTCATTTTTTCTATGTTTTGCAATTATTGGCATACAGTTGCTTATAGTAGTCTCTAATGATCCTTTGAATATCTGGGGTATCACTTGTAATGTCTCCTCCATCTGTGATTTTGTTTATTTAGTCTCTCTGTTATTCTAGACACACTCTGGGTCAGAAGGGAACTCTGACTCAGAGTGTTAGTCTGACTAAAAGTTTGTCAATTTTGTTTATCTTTTCAAAGAACAACTTTTTATTTTATTGATCTTTTGTATTTGTTCCATTTCAATTTCATTTATTTCTGCTTGAATATTTACTATTTTTTTTTTCTACTAATTTTGTGTTTGGTTTGCTCTTGCTTTTCTAGTTGTTACAGATGCATGGTTAGGTTTTTTATTTGAAGTTTTTCTACTTTTTTGTTGTAGGTGCTTATTGCTATAAACTTTCCTCTTAGTACTGCTTTCACTGTATCCCATAGGTTTTGGTAAGTTGTGTTTCCATTTTCTTTTATTTCCAGAAATTTTTAAATTATCTTCTTAATTTCTTCATTGGCCCACTGGTTATTCAGGAGCATATTATTTAACTTCCAGGTGTTTGTGTAGTTTCCAAAGTTCCTCTTGCCATTGACTTCCAGTTTTATACCATTCCTGGTCAGAAAAATACTTGATATGATTTCAATGCTTTTTTGAATTTTTTAAGACTTGTTTTGTGGCCTAACATATGGTCTGTCCTTGAGAATGATCCATGTACTGAGGACAAGAATGTGATTCTGCAACTGTTGGCTAAAATGTCCTGTATATACCTATTAGGTCCATTTGGTCTACAGTGCAGATTAAATCCAATGTTTCTTTGTTGATTTTCTGTCTGGATTATCTGTCCAAAGCTGAAAGTGAGTGTTCAAGTCTCCAGCTATTATTGTATTGGGATGTATCTCCCTCTTATCTCCAGCTATTATTGTATTGGGATGTATCTCCCTCTTTAGCTCTAATAATAATTGTTTCATGTATCTGGGTGCTCCAGTGTTGGGTACATATACACTTATGATTGTAATATCCTCTTGTTGAATTGACTCCTTTATCATTATGTGGTAACTTTGTCTCTTTTTATATATTTTATCTTGGAATCTATTTTGTCGGATATAAATATAGCCACTACTCATGCTCTTTTTTGGTTTTGATTTGCATGGAATATCTTTCCATTCCTTTACTTTCAGTCTATGAGAGTCTTTATAGGTGGAGGGTGTTTCTACTGTGGCTGAGCTGGCAGCCAAACCATGGGACACAGTTCTTCTGTATTAGTCTGTTCTCACATTGCCATAAAGAACTGCCCAAGACTGGGTAATATTTAAAGAAAAGAAGTTTAATTGACTCACAGTTCTGCATGCGAGGCCTCAGGAAACTTAAAACCATGGCGGAAAACACCTCTTCACATGGTGGTAGGAGAGAAATGAATGAATACCAAGCGAAGCGGAAGCCCCTTATAAAACCATCGGATCTCATGAGAACTCACTCACTATTATGAGAACAGTATGGGGGAAAACCGCCCCTGTGATTCAATTACCTCCCACTGGGTCCCTCATGCGACACATGGGGATTATGGGATTACAATTCAAGATGAGATTTGGTTGGGGACACAAAGTCAAACCATATCATCACCTTCCTACTATTACCTCTCCTTTGCTCATGCAGAAGTAGTCGCTCCTCATGACCACCACTGCTCCAGGCCCACAGTGAGTACTGCCTGGCTACTACCAGGCAGTTCACTCAAAGCCCAGGGGCTCTTCAGTCAGCTTGTGGTGAATGCTGCCAGGCCTGACTCTCTCCCTTTAGGGCAGTGGGCTCTCCTATTGCCCAGGGTGGGCCCAGAAATGCTATCCAGGAGCCAAGGCCTGGAATCAGGAATGTTAGGAGTTCACTTTGCGCTCTACCCAACTGTGGCCATGCTGGTACCCAAGCTGCAAGACACAGTCCCCTTTATGCTTTCCTCTTCTTTCCTTAAGCAGAAGGAGTCTCTCTCCATGGCCACCACAGCTGGGAATGTGCTGTGTCATTCCTGAAGCCAGCATGGCCCTGGGTTTCCACCCAAGTCCCATGGTGATTACTGCCTTGGTACCACTGATGTTTATTCAAGGCCCAAGGGCTTGTTAGTCAGCAGGTGATAAATCCTTCCACGACTGGGTTCTTCCTTTCAAGGAAGTTGGTTTCCTTCTGACCCAGAGTGTGTCTGGAAATGTCTAGGAGCTAGGTCCTGAAATGGGAGCATCAGGACTCTGCTTGGTGCCCTATTTTACTGTGGCTGAGCTGGCATCTAAGTTGCAAGACAATGTCCTGTTTACTCTCCCCTCTCCTCTCCTCAAGTAGAAGGAAGGAATCTCTTGAAGCTATGAGCTGCACTGCTTAGGGTTAAAGGATAGGTGATGCAAGTATTCTCTTGACAGCCCCAGCTGGTGTCTCACTATGTAGCACCACCCTAATTCTACTGGTTTCGAGCCCAGGACAGCACCAGGACTTGCCCTGGAATCATAGTCCTTACGCCCTGGATGGTCTTCCAAGTTTATTTAGGACCCCATAGCACTTTAGCCCATGGTGGTGGGGCTAGCTGAAACTCAGGTTCTGACCAGTGGGTTGGACACTTCCCATCTGGCTAGACCAGCCCTAGCCAGATGGGAAGTGTCTCTTGGTGGGCACTAACTGAATCCTGCCCTATGTTGCTTTCTGCTGTAACAGAGCAGCACTGAGTTCCAATGCAAAGTTCCACAGTCATTGTGCTCTCTCTTCCCCAAGCACACACATTCTCTCTTGAGGTGACACGGCCACTGCCAAGGGATGGGGGAGAAGTGGTATCAGCAATTCAAGACTGTCTTTCCTACCCTTTCCAGTGCCTCTTTCCCTGATATGATGTTAAAACTAGGTACTTTGATAGCACACCTGACTTTTGTTTTTTATAAAGTGTTTTCTTGTGTAGATAGTTGTTCAATTTGGTGTTTCTGTAGTGGGGATGATTGCTAGAGAGTTCTATTTCACCATCTTCCTATAGCAATTAATACTGTAGAAATATTTATTGAGAATCTAACTATCAATACAAATGGTATTTAATGTAAGAATACTGCATACAAATCTGATTTTGTTGATGCTTGTTATCTATACAGTGATAAATCCTTCAAAGTTAAAAGTAAAGAACACCAATAATGCAACTTGCCTTCACTCTTTCCACTTGAGTATCATTCTACTTGAATATCATTCTAGTAGGATAGGAAGTCTGTTTAATTGCTTGCATTCTCTAAAGTCTCATTCTCCTCTTTCCACAATTCAGTTCTTCTATCAAATGTGTGAATTTACTTAATAAGAGTTGTCCCTTGAACAAGGTGGGTGTTGGAGGAGCCAACCCTTCCTTCCACAGTAGGAAATCCATGTATAACTTTTTTCTTCCAGGGCATGGGGTCTTGCTATGTTGCTCAGGCTAGACTCAAACTCCAGAGCTCAAGCAATCCTCCTGTCTCAGCCTTCCAAGAATCTGGGACTGTAGGTATATACCACCAGGCACATACAAAAATAACACATATATTGTGTATGTTATATGTATTCCATAATCTTACAATAAAGTAAGATAGAGAAAAAATGTTATTAAGAAAATCATAGGTTGGGCATGGTGGCCCATGCTTGTAATCCTAGCAGTTTGGGAGCCTGAGGTGGGCAGATCACTTGAGCTCAGGAGTTTGAGACCAGCCTGGGCAAAATGATGAAGCCTCATATCTACTAAAAATACAAAAAATTAGCCAGGCATGGTGGCAAATGCCTGTGGTCCCAGATACTTGGGAGGATAAGGTAGGAGGATCACTACAGCCCAGGAAGTTGAGGGTACAGTGAGCTATGATCATGCCACTGCACTCCAACCTGGGTGACAGGGTGAGACCCTGCCTCAAAACAAACAAAAACCCAAGAACAAAACAAAAATGATGAAGAAAATCATAAGGAAGAGAAAATATACTTACTATTAATTAAGTGGAAGTGGATCATATAAAGGTCTTCTTTATCATCTTTGTGGAGAGTAGGCTGAGGAGAAGGAGGGAGCAGAGGAGCTGACTTGCTGCCTCAGGGTGGCAGAAGTGGAAGAAAATCTGCATGTAAGTGGACCCACACAGTTTAATCCCATGTTGTTCAAGGGTCAACTGTAGTTGTAATTATTGCTAATGCAGTTTTATGACTGTAAGGAGTAAATCAAAACAGTTAATGTCTCACCACAAGAGATTTGTTTATATACAGCTTTTATAAAAAGAAATGGAATATTTTCTGAAATAAGAGTCTAAGCTCCAAAGTCAGATTGTCAATTTAAATTTTGACTTCACTGCTTACTTGGGCAAATTAACTTTTTAAGATATTTCAGGCCGGGTGCGGTGGCTCATGCCTGTAATCCCAGCACTTTGGGAGGCCGAGGCGGGCGGATCATGAGGTCAGGAGATCAAGACCATCCTGGCTAACACGGTGACACCCCGTCTCTACTAAAAATACAAAAAATTAGCCGGGCGAGGTGGCGGGCGCCTGTAGTCCCAGCTACTCGGGAGGCTGAGGCGAGAGAATGGCGTGAACCCAGGAGGCGGAGCTTGCAGTGAACCGAGATCGAGCCACTGCACTCCAGCCTGGGCGACAGAGCGAGACTCCGTCTCAAAAAAAAAAAAAAAAAAAAAAAAAGATATTTCATAGAGTACTTTTAAAGATTAAATGAGATAATGTGGCTTAATAGTAGGCACTCAGTTTTTTTAAAAGTTGAAGTAGATTTCTATATCATGGGTAGCTCAGGAATGATGTTTTCTCACAACATAAACCATATTCTTATAATAACAAAGACTCTCTTTCAATAAGTAATAATATATACTACAATTCTCATTAATTATAGAAAAATGAAGAGTCATAAAAGCTTTCCTTAAAAAAAAGTAAATTACCTTTTCAGTAGAGTTAAGAAAACGGGAAATCACTGGTATTCAATTCTGTGGTCTTTTCTCTTTCAGCAAATAAGAACAGCTATACCTTGTCCGCCACCGCAAGCTGAAGTATGTGGCTCTTTGATACTGCAGACTCTTTTTTTTTTTTTTCTTTTTTTTTGAGATGGAGTTTCACTCTTTTTGCCCAGGCTGGAGTGCAATGACACGATCTCAGCTCACTGCAACCTCTGCTTCTCAGGTTCAGGTGACTCTCCTGTCTTAGGCTCCTGAGTAGCTGGGATTACAGGCGCCTGCCACCACACCCAGCTAACTTTTTGTATTTTTAGTAGAGATGGGGTTTCACCATGTTGGCCAGGCTGGTCTTGAACTCCTGACCTCAGGTGATCCACCCTCCTCGGCCTCCCAAAGTGTTGGGATTACGGGCGTGAGCCCTGCGCCTGGCCCTGTCTGTATAAAACAATTTGAATGACAGTGGATTTCTTATCAGAAGACATGGAGGCCAAAGGGAAGTGGCATCATATTTTTCAAATGTTTATCCTACAACCAGAAAAAATAGTCTTTAGGAATTAAGGGAAAATCAATCAAGACATTCTTGCTTTTTGGTTTTTTGTTTTTTTTTTTTTCTTCTAGATAGGATGTCTGTTGCCCAGGCTGGAGTGCAGTGGCATGATCTCAGTTCACTGCAACCTCTGCCTCCCAGGTTCAAGCAATCCTCCTGCCTCAGCCTCCAAGTATCTGGGACAACAGGTATGTGCCACCATATCCAGCTAATTTTTTGTATTTTGTTGTTGTTGTTGAGACAGGGTTTCACCATGTTACCCAGTCCGGTCTCGAACTCCTGGACTCAAGTGATCAGCCTGCCTCAGCCTCCCAAAGTGGTGGGATTATAGTTGTGAGCTATTGTGCCTGTCCTCAAGACATTATTATATGAAGGAAAATGAAGAAAAGCTGTGGCCGGCAGACCTGTTCTAAAATAATAGCTTAAAAGAAGTTCTCTAAACAGAGACAAAATGATATAGGAAAAAAATTCTTGGAACAAGAAATAACTTTGCAAACAAAATATGACTGAATAGAATAAGCTTTCCATGTCACCTTGAGTTACTACATTAAGTTTGAGGGTTTAAACCATAATGGTAACAGTCTGATGTGTTTTTATCTGTATGTAGAGGAAATATCTAAAACAATTATATTGCAAATGGGGAAGGATAAAAGGGCATAAAAGTTTCCATATTTTATTTGAAATAGTTAAAATAACAGTAGTAGAGTGTGATCAGTTATGTATATATAGTGTAGTACCTAGAGCAACACCAAATCTACTCAATCCCTTCCAGAAAACAGAAGAGGAGGAAACGATTTCCATTTCGTTTTATGAAGTTAGTATTAGCCTGATACCCAAAACAGGCAAAGAAAGAATACAGCCAAGATCACTCTTCAATACAGATACAAAAGTCCTTAACAAAATATTAGAAAAAAGAATTTAGCTCTTCCTTCCTGTAGGAGACAGCTTTTTAAAAAACTCAGCTATTTATAAAAAGAATGACGTAGCATGACCAAGTGGATTATGTCAGAGATGCAAGGTTGTCTCAACTATTGAAAATAAATCAGTATAATTAACCATATTAATAGGGAAAAGAAGAAAAATCACATAATCATGTAAATTAATACCGAAAAAAACATTTGACAAGCTTCAACACCAATTCATCACTCTCAGAAAAATAAGAATAGAGAGGAAACTTTCTCAACTTGATAAAAAGCATTTACAAAAAACCTCTATAGCTGCAGACAGTGGCTCACGCCTGTAATCCCAGCACTTTGGGAGGCAGAGACAGGTGGATCACCTGAGGTCAGGAGTTCGAGACCAGCCTGGCCAATATGGTGAAACCCCGTCTCTACGAAAAATACAAAAATTAGCCAGGCATGGTGGCACGCACATGTAGTCCCAGCTACTTGGGAGGCTGAGGCAGGAGAATCTCTTGAACCCAGAAGTTGGAGGTTGCAGGGAGCCAAGATCCTACCACTGCACTCCAACCTGGGTAACAGAGCAAGACTCCATCTCAAAAAATAAAAATAGCCGGGCACGGTGGCTCACGCCTGTAATACCAGCACTTTGGGAGGCCAAGGCGGGTGGATCACGAGGTCAGGAGTTTGAGACCAGCCTGGGCAACATGGTGAAACCCCGTCTCTACTGAAAATACAAAAAATTAGCCAGGTGTGGTGGCAGGCATCTGTAATCCCAGCTACTCGGGAGGCTAAGGCATGAGAATTGCTTGAATCCGGGAAATGGAGGTTGCAGTGAGCCGAGACTGTGCCACTGCACTCCAGCCTGGGCAACAGAGTGAGACTCCATGTCAAAAAAAAAAATAAATAAAAATAAAAAACAAAATAAAATAAACCTTATAGATAATATTATATTTAATGGTGAAAGACTAAATGCTTTTCTCCTAAGATCAGGAACAAAGCAAGGATGTGTGTTCTCACTGCTCTTCTTCAACATATTGCTGCAACTCCTAGCCAGTGTAATAAATCAAAACAAGGAAATAAAAGGCAACAGATCAGATAGGAAGAAATAAAAGAGTTCCTTTTGCAGACTGCATAGTTGTTTACATAAAAAATTCCAAAGAATTTACAAAAAAACTGAATGCAATTGTACTTCCACATGCTAGCAGCAAACACAACCACTAAGATTAAAAATACAATATGATTTACACTCACTCAAAAAAACAAAAGTGAAGAGGCCGAGCGCGTTGGCTCAGGCCTGCAATCTCAGCACTTTGGGAGGCCAAGGCAGGCAGATTACCTGAAGTCAGGAGTTCGAGACCAGCCTGGACAATATGGTGAAAACCCATGTCTACTAAAAATATAAAAATTAGCTGGGAATGGTGGTGGGCACCTATAATCCCGGCTACTCTGGTGGCTGAGGCAGGAGAATCGCTTGAACCCGGGAAGCAGAGGTTGCAGTGAGCCAAGATTGTGCCATTGTACTCTAGCCAGAGTGAGACTCCATCTCAAAAAAAAATTAAAAAAAAAAAGTGAAGAAATATTTAGGTGTAAATTTAATATAACATGTACAGAACTTATATGCCAAAAGCTATAGAATGCTAATGAAGAAATAAAGAGAGATCTAAATAAATGTAGAAAATTGTTAATGTATTGAAAAATTAAGTGTAGTAAAGGTATCAATTTACCTCAAATTGATACACAGCTTTAATCAAATTCCTATGAAAACCTCAGCAAGACTTTTTACAGATACAGACAAGATTATTCTAAAATGTATACGGAAAGGCAAGAAACAAAAATAGCTACAACAATTTTGAAAAAGAAGAATAAAGTAATCTGGTTTCAAGACTGGTTATATAGCTACAGTAAACAGGACTGTGTAGTATTGGCAAAGAGACAGACACTTAAATCAATGGAACAGAACAAAAAAATCCAGAAGTAGACCCATATAAATATGTTCAAGTGATCTTTGACAAAGGTGCAAAAGCAATTCAATGAAGGAAAGGTAGCCTTTTTAACAAATGATGCTGGAGCAATTGGACATCTGTATTTCCATAGGCCAAAAAAAAAAAAAAAGAAAGAAATTCTATGTAATCCCATACCTTCAACAAAAATTAACCAAAAATGGAGTATAGACTTAAAAGGAAAACTAAAACACTTTTAGGAGAAAATCAAAGAAAATTGGCCAGGTGCGGTGGCTCATGCCTGTAATCCCAGCACTTTGGGAGGCCAAGGAGATCAATCACAAGGTCAGGAGATAGAGACCATCCTGGCTAACACAGTGAAACCCTGTCTCTACTAAAAAAAAATACAAAAAAATTAGCTGGCGTGGTGGCAGGTGCTGGTAGTCCCAGCTACTCGGGAGGCTGAGACAGGAGAATGGTGTGAACCCGGGAGATGGAGGTTGCAGTGAGCCAAGATTGCACCACTGTACTCCAGCCTGGGCAACAGGGTGAGACTCCATCTCAAAAAAAAAAAAAAAAAAAAAAAGAAGGAAAATCACTGGGTTCCAGGGCTAGTCAAAATGTCCTTAGACTTGACACCAAACTTGTGACCCACAAAAGCAAAAATTTATAAATTGGAAATTTATAAATTGGACCTCATCAAAATTAAAAACTTTGCTATTTGAAGGACCTTGTTAAGAAGATGAAAAATGGAAGAACATATTTGCAAACCGTGTATTTGACAAAAGATTAGCATCTAGAATATATTTAAAAAATTCTCAAAATTCAACAGTCAGAAAAAAAATCAACCCAATTAGGAAATGGACAAAATGTATGAAGAGACACTTTACTGAAGAGGATATACAGATGACAAATAAGCACATAATAAAATGTTCGACATCATAGCTACTGGGGAAGTGCAAGTTAAAACCACAATGAGATATCACTACATACCCACCAGAATGGCTAAGAGATAATGACACACCAAATGTTGGCAAGGATATAGAGAAATGGAATCACTTATATGTTATTGGTGGAAGTGTAAAATGGTACGGCTACTCTGGAAAAGATTTTGGCAGTTTTTAAAAAAGCTAAATACACAACTACTGTGTGACCCAGCAACTATACCCCTGGGCATTTTCCCCAGATAAATGATTATATATATTAATACAAAAACGTGTACATGAATGTTTATAGACAGTTTATTTGTAATAGGCAGAACTGGAAACAACCCAGATGTTCTTCAATGGGTGAATGGCTGTCTAAAGTGTGATGCATCCATGCCATGGAATACCATTCAGTAATAAAGAGGAACAAACTAATGATGTGTGTGCGTCAAGCCGAATGAATCTACAAAGAATTATGCTGAGTAAAAAAGTCAATCCCCAAAATGTTACATACTGTATGATTCCACTACTATAACATTCTTGACATGACAAAATTATAGAAATGGAGAACAGAATAGTGATTTTCAGGAATTAAGGAAATGGTGGCAGGAGAGGGAAGTTGGTGGGGTTATAAAAGGGCAACATGGTAATAATAATGTCCTTTAACTTGATGTATCACTGTTCAATATCCTGGTTATGACATTGTACTTTAGTTTTGCAAGATGTAATCATTGGGAGAAACTGGGTAAGGGGCCATGAGATTTCTCTGCATTGTTTTTTACAACTGCTGGTGAATCTATAAATATCTCAAAAATAAAGTTTTTAAAAGGCTTAATGAAAAAAACACAAGTCCTTGACTTCATGGAGCTTATAATCTAGTTGGGAGGGAAGATATGGATTATTTTTTAAAGTACAGAAATATATAACTCAAACAGTAACCTCATCTAGTTATGAGGGAAGGCTTTCCTGACTTTTGAGTGACATTTACCATCGGTTAGAAAAGATAAGTAGGCGTTGACTAAGTGAGGGAGAGTGGGTTGTTGCAGGTCTTCCAAAACTGAGGGAGGAGAATAGGTAAAGACCCAGGGTTGGGAAGGAGCATGACACATTGGAGTGATGGAAAGAGGGCTGAATGGCTGGAGCAGTGAACCAGAAGTGATAAGGTGGTGTCAGATGAGGCTGGACTGTTAGGCTACATCAAGCAGGGGCTTGTAGGAAGCTCTAGGATTTTGGCCTTTTAAACAGTGAAAGAAACTGAAAAGTTTTGAGATAGGATCTCGCTCTGTCACCCAGGCTGGAGTGCAGTGGCATGATCAGGGCTCACTGCAGCCTCAACTTCCCGGGCTCAAGCAATCCTCCTGTCTTAGCCACCCAAGCAGGTGGGACTACCTGTAGCAATCCCACTTCAGCCTCCCAAACTGTTAGGATTACAGGTGTGACTCATTGCACCCAGCAAAATGGAAAAGTTTTAAGCAGGAGAGAAACTTATGCAGAATATTACTTTAAAAAGATCAGTCTGACTGCACTGTGGAGAGTGGATTAGGGAGGGAAAGCAAGATCATTAAGGAAGCTAGGTCCAGGTCTCAGGTGATGAAACTGAGATTTTGCTGAAGCAGTAAAAATTGAAAAAAAAATGGATGCATTTAAATGGTATTTAGGAGGTAGAATTCACAGGACTTGGCATTGAATTTGTGTTGGAAAGAGAGGTTTTCAACACCATCCATGGTTTCATGCTTTAATAACTAGATGGCTGGTGGTGCCATTCCCTGAGATAAATATTCAAGTTTTATACAAAAGACCATGAGTTTGGCTTTTTAAATTTGATTTTGAAGTACCTTTGAGATATCCAAGTCAAATAGATATGTCAAGTAGGTAATTGGATACATAAATTTGTACCACACAGAATGATCTGGGCTGGCGATATGAATTGAGAGTCATTGTAGGCAATGTGCATGGATGACAACATATGAGGAAAGAGTGTAGGGCAAGGCCAGATCATAAGATAAAGCCTTGGGGGACAATTTTATTATTATTATTACTATTTTTATAGAGACAGGGTCTTGCTATGTTGCCCAGGCTGGTCTCGAACTCCTGGGCTCAAGCGATCTTCCTGCCTCAGCCTCCCAAAATGTTAGAATTATAGGTGTGAGTCACTGGCACCTGGCTATGGGAACAATTTTTAGTGGCTAGGTAGAGGAGGATGAGTCAAGAAAAGACATGGTCATATGGTGAGAGAGGCAGGAGGGAACTCAAGAGAGTATATTGCCAGAGAAACTGAAGGCTACAAAGAGAGTGTTCAAGAACTCACACTGAGAAGTTACAAAAGGTTAGAACCTAAAATGTATTGGATTTAGCCTCATGGTGGTTGTATTAGTCTGTTCTTGCATTGCTATAAACAAATACCCAAGACTGGGTAATTTATAAGAAAAGAGGTTTAATTAGCTCATAGTTCTGCAGGCTGTATAGAAAGTATAGTGGTATTTGCTTCTGGGAAGGCCCCAGGAAGCTTTTTACTCATGGTGGAGGGGAGAACAGGAGCAGGTGCTTCACATGGTGAAAGCAGGAACAAGAGAGTGAGGTGGGACATGCTACACACTTTTAAACAACCATATCTCATGAGAACTCACTATCTCAAAGACAGTACCAGGAGGGATGGTGCTAAACCATTCATGAGAAATCCACCCCCATGATCCAATCACCTCCCACCAGACCCCACCTCCAACACTGTGGATTATATTTCAATATAAGATTTGGGTGGGGACACAGATCCAAAACATATCAGAGGTCTTTGGTGACTTTGGAAAGACTTGTTTGGCAGATTAATGGGGGAAGAAGCCAAATTAGTTTATCAAAGGCTACATCGTATGCTGAATGACAGATAAGACCATTAGGCTAAAATTCAATTGTTGAATATATTATATTTAATATATATCTATTGCTGGGTAAATAAGTCAATGTATTACATGAGGTAGGTAAAATTATT
Source organism: Homo sapiens (assembly GCF_000001405.40). Lineage (NCBI taxonomy): Eukaryota > Metazoa > Chordata > Mammalia > Primates > Hominidae > Homo > Homo sapiens. The sequence continues at coordinate 183,115,750 of NC_000002.12, forward strand.
CACACTATTCAGATTTTTAAAACAGAGTCTTAGAGATGTTAATGTCACATGTCTATTAAGTATTTGAAGTCAAGATTTGCACCTGTAGTCAACAACACGCTGATTCTCTAAACAAAGGCATTATCAAGCAAGGAAAGATTCATGTTTTCCTTTTTTCGTTTTTTGTTTTTTGAAGAGACAGGGTCTCATTCTATCACCCAGATTGGAGTGCAGTAGTGTGATCATAGCTCACTGCAGCCTCAAACTTCCTGGGCTCAAGTTATCCTCCTACCTTAGCCTCCCAAGTAGCTGGGACTACATGCGTGCATCACTATGCCTGGCAAAATTTTTTATTTTTATTTCTTGGGTCCCCAGAAGTTGCCCAGGCTGGTCTCAAACTCCTGGCCTCAAGTGATCCTCTTGCCTCACCCTTCTGAGTGGCTAGGATTATAGGCTGAGGCCACCATGCCCAGCGTTTTTCATTGATTTTTTTTCTCTCATTTTTCACATAAGCTGAGACAGAATGTATGACTTTTGAACACTCTAGAATTTAGGCTTATTGATGTTTTTTTTAAAAAAGAATTTAATTAGGGAAAATAACAAACATACACAAAATTATAGACAATAGCATTGAGTTCTAGCACTCTGAAAAAAGAAAAAGAAAAACAAAGAATAGCATAATTTGTTACCATCAACATTTATTGACTCATGGCTTTTCTGGTTTAATGTATACCCCTAGACATCATCCCTCCTCTCTTTCTGCCCTCCCTACCCTAGCAAATTATTTCAAGGCAAATCCTTGATATAGCTCTTCCTAAAATCCATAGCATTTTTTATTCAAAGTTGTCAATTTTGCCTGCTATGAACTTCCTCTTTTAAACATCTGATCAAACTACCTGATAGTTCAAATAGAAGAGCAGGAAATAAAATTACACCTGAAAGTTATGTAAGTTTTAAAGTTAGTTTTTTCACTTCCTGCAGGTGAAAGGAATCATTTAATTGATTTAACGACAACAGGTGAATGAAGTAAACTGATGTTTCTTTTGAAGTTTAGCTACTTCCTTTCTGCCAGTTGTTTACTATAGTAAAATGATCAGAAAAACTTCATGCATTTTCACATGTAATATTTTATTTTTAAATGTATAAAGACATGGCTTTGGTCATGATTGTTTATAGAGGTCAGATAATGCAAATAACAAGAGTAAATTTGTATTTTTTTTTTTTGAGACAGAGTTTCACTCCTGTTGCCCAGGCTGGAGTGCAATTGCATGATCTTGACTCACTGCAACCTCCACCTGCTGGGTTCAAGCGATTCTCTTGCCTCAGCCTCCCGAGTAGCTGGCATTACAGGTGCCTGCCACCACACCCAGCTAATTTTTGTACTTTTTTAGTAGAGACGGGGTTTCAACATGTTGGCCAGGCTGGTCTCGAACTCCTGACCTCCGGTGATCCACCCGCTTCGGCCTCCCAAATTTCTGGGATTACAGGCATGAGCCACTGTGCCCAGCCAAATTTGTATTTTTTTAAAGATGATGTCTGATTTTTTTAAAGACGAGGTCTCACTGTGTGGCCCAGGCTGATGTTAAACTCCTGAGCTCAAGCAATCCTCCTGCTTCAGCCTCCCAAAGTGCTGGGATCACAGGCGTGAGTCACCATGCCCAGCCAGATCTCTACATTGTAAACATCACAAAGGGTCTTTGGAGATCACTTGTCCTTGGTATCCAGGAAGTCATGGTTCCTCTGTGTGCTTTATGTGACATCATTAAGTGAGGGGTAGCCCATGCTACACCAGGTGCTGAAGGCTGAGACGGTGAGAGCATGAGTGATAAGATGCTCTCTCCCCTTGCTCTCTTTCTGAAGATGACAAACTCCATCTTTTTTCTAAAGTCTTACTAAAGGTGGAAATCTTTTTTCTTCACTTCAATTTTAAAAAATTATTTGTTTTTGTTTTATAGAATAGACTGAGAGTGGGCTTTTAAGAGTAACAAGTTGATTTTGTATTTATATACAAACACTGCATATTGTTGGACACTTATAAATAGGTTGATGAATATTCAGTATATATGATAGATATACAAGCAGTTTGGTGTGGATATATTAAACTTATTGAAAAATTTTTAAAATGTGAGATTTTACATATTTCTGACTTTTTCAAAATTTGAGTTTAGAAGAAAGTTGAAATATAGCTCAGAGCTAATTTTCAGGTTGAGCTCTCTGTAGCCCTAGGTACTCCAAACCAAGTATTTCAAGAGTCACCTGGAGTTGCGATACTTGGCAGTTTAGGGGGCAAGAACCCTTGTACTCTTTCTGTTCCTCCCCTCCCAACTGGGCAGTTGTATTTATTAAGCATCTGCACCATCCTTTGTTGAAGAAAGGGCTCCCCACCTAAGTTTGATAATCAATGGTCTACAAAAATAGCACTATGATGAAATCTGATGTCCTGGGAGGAAGGAATTCAGAACAGAAATAGGAAACAGGTTCCATTTGACAGTTTATTTAGTGCGTTCAGAATAGAAGGTAGAGAAAAAAGTATTGTAATCAAGATAATATTCATCTACAGAGGAATATAGTGAACATGCAGTATTTCTAAAATTGCAGTTTAACAAGAAATAAAAAAAGTACAAATGTTTCTCATTCAAGATAATCCACATTTTGAAGATCTCATTTTACACAAAAAAGGGTAATTAGAACTATAAACAGGTCTTCATTTTATAATAAGCACTTAATATAACTAATGTGCAGTTATGATTTTTAAAATTGGCAAACATGCAAAATTGCATTAAATAAGTTATGTCAGATAATTATCCTTTGTTTAATGTTTATTTACAGCTTGTAATTAATGTTTAATCATTTTGTTGTCAGTGGTGGGAATCCAAATTACACAGCACCAAAATATGTTGTCAGCGGCAAATCCATACGGGTCTGCAACAACAATTCTTGTGTCCTCAGGAGAGAATCTGACTAAGGGGCATAAGGCAGAAGAGACCAAGACAAGTTTTAGAGCAGGAGTGAAGGTTTGTTGAAAAACTTGAGAGGAGGAATGAAAAGAAAGTAAAGTACACTTGGAAGAGGGCCAAGCGGGCATCTTGGAGGACAAGTGCCCCATTTGACCTTGGACGTAGGGTTTTACATGTTGGCATACTTCTGGCATCTTGCATCCCTTTTCCCTTGATTCCTCCCTTGGAGTGAGAGGCCTGTTAGCACTTTGGAGGTAAGCATGCGCAATGTGTTTACTGGAGTTGTACGCATGCTCACTGGAAGTGTTCTTCCCTTACCAGCTGAATGTCCTTAGGAGGTCAGATACCAGTTAAACTCCTCCATTTTGCCTCTTAATATGCATGCTTGAGCCCACTTTCCCAACTCCTTGGATCTTATCGGGAAGCTGCCGATCACCAGTTTTAGGTGTTTCTATCTACTGGGAAACTGCCTTTTCCTGGCACTGGCTGCAATCAATTATTTTAGAGAGAGAGTTTAACAACCGCCTGACATTCCTGGTTGGGGTAGGGGGCACCTTCTCTTGCTCTGTTTATGCCTGAATAGCTACCTACTGTAACCATTTATTTTTCAACATACATTTAATTGAAAAATAATGGAAATACAAAATAGGAAAAGTTATGGTCCCTGGCCTCAAGAAAATCCATCTAGTGGGGCTGAAAAGAAAACTTACAAAACAAGTATCTTACAGCAAAGTGAGGTGAAGAGATAAGACGAATCAGAGTTGGCATGGCTGGGGCAGGTTTACATGACAGAAAGAGGCTTGAGCTGCTACTTGAAAGAAACACAAGACTTTGCAAATTGGGGTGGAAAGCTAAGGGATGCTAGGCAGAGGGTTGATGTGAGCAAGAAATACAATGTGAAGAGCTGTTCACAAGAGAATGAGGGTTTTCAACAGGGAATAATGAGAGAATTGATTGGAGCAAAAGGTTAGGATGAGGAGGTGAAGGAAATTTTTCTTTTTGGAGGGGGGTGGGCAGGGAACAGGGTCCAGCTCTGTGGCCTAGGCTGGAGTTCAGTAACAGGATCATGGCTCACTGCAGCATGGAACTCCTGGGGTCAAGTGATCCTCCCGCCTCAGCCTCCTGAGTAGCTGGGACTAAAAGGTACATGCCACCCCACCCTGGGATTTTATTTTTGAAGCCAAGGATCTCAGTTACCCCAGGGTGAAAGTAGGGTAACAATGTGTATTGCCTTTAGGGGTTCCTATGGAAGTCTCTTAAAGAGATGCTTCTACCCTCCCACCATGAGAGATTCTGATTTTTTCCTTCTTTGCTGTCCAGGTGACAATGTATATAGTATAATGAAGGATGTTACTAAATGACATGTGCTGCACACCTGAGTCTTGTGGAGGCTGAAGAAAAGGAGGCTTCTGTAGAAAATAGGAACTCAGTGAGTGTTTTCAGACAGCTGGGTAATGTGTATGAAGAAGAAAGCTTTGGGCCAGGCACGGTGGCTCATGCCTGTAATCCCAACACTTTGGGAGGCCAAATCTGACAGATCACTTGAGGTCAGGAGTTCGAGACCAGCCTGGCCAACATGGCAAAACCCTGTCTCTACTAAAAATACAAAAAGTAGCCGGGTGTGGCGGTGTACACCTGTAATCCCAGCTACTCGGGAGCCTGAGGCAGGAGAATTTCTTGAACACGGGAGGCAGATGTTGCAGTAACCTGAGATCGCTCCACTGTACTCCAGCCTGGATGACAGAGTGAGACTCCGTCTCAAAAAAAAAAAAAAAAAAGAAAGTTTTGGCTACTGGTGTGTTAGGCTTGGTGGGAGAAACTGAAGGCAGGGAGATGTAAGGAGTTGACTGCAATTGTATAGGAATTGAAGAGGCAGAAAGAATATCTCAATGTTTGATGGTAGAGAAGGTGAATGTCAGAAAAAACAAAGTGGAGCAGACACTGTACTAAGAATAACCATTTTTCAAAGTAGGTATTGTTTCTATTTTACAAACAATATAATCTAGAAATCAAATACAAATCCAAGTTATATAGGTTTTAGTGAGAGAGTTGGGCTCTGAATTGAGGTTCGTCTGACTCTAAATTCTGCTAATGCACTATGAATTCAATTTTGAGTTTCTAAGAGATGGAAAGAAAAAGACAAAAGATGAGCTTGCTTTTGAGGTTTGATGTACGGGTAGGTTGTGCAGCAAGCATCTGGAAAAGTGGCATTTGGCTTTAGAGATGTTGGGTATAGATTATTAAAAATTATTTGCACAGGGTGACAATGATAAGGATTCCAAGGGAGACCACTAAGAGTTGAAAAAGAAAGGAGAGAGCAAAGGCTTGAACATCAATAATATTCCCAGGTTAGAAAAAAAATGGGATCAATTATTGAAAAACCAGAAAAGGAGTAGGAAGTTATGAGAAATAGGAAGTGTAGCATCACCAAAAATAAAGAAAACACTTGTACTTAGGAAAAGATTGTCAAAGCTGTTGGATACTGCAGATGTCAAGGAGGCAGGTCTAATTTGGCAATTAGAAAAAAAAAATAGTTGGGGTCAGTAGTTTTATTTCGGAAGAGCATTACACAGGAGCCAATCTGCAATTAATTAAAAATCAAAATAGTAAAGATAGGGAAACAGATAATTTACTAAAATCTATAGACACTTCTTTTGAGATTTTGAAAAAATGAAATGAGAGAGAAATTAGCACATGGTAGGTAGGTGGAGGAGCAAGGCCTAGGGAGGGTTTCAATTCTGGGCTTCTTTATAGCTTGGTAAGGAAAGAGCCTGTTGAAAGGGTAAAAGATTGAAATGCAGGTAAAGAAAAGAAAATAAATGTCTTAATGGAAAAAAGTTTTTAATTTAAAAAGTAAAGAAAATAGGGCTGGGCGCGGTGGCTCACACCTGTAATCCCAGCTCTTTGGGAGGCTGAGGCAGGTGGATCATGAGGTCAGGAGATCGAGACCATCCTGGCCAACATGGTAAAACCCTGTCTGTACTAAAATTCAAAAAAAAAAATGAGTTGGGTGTGGTGGCATGCGCCTGTACTCCCAGCTACTCGGGAGACTGAGGCAGGGGAATCAGTGGAGGTTGCAGTGGAGTGCCAGAGCTGAGATCGTGTCACTGCACTCCAGCCTGGTGACAGAGCGAGACTACATCTCAAAATAAATAAATAAATAAATAAAATAGCAATAACACCTGTCATCAACCACAAAATTGTATAAAATAAGTTAAAGGCCATTCTTTTTATTATTATTATTATTATACTTTAAGTTCTAGGGTACATGTGCACAACGTGCAGGTTTGTTACATATGTATACATGTGTAAAGGCCATTCTTAAATCCTCCAATTTACAAACCCTTTTCTACTTTACTGTTAATAGTTTGGTGCAAATCTTTTTCTTTTTCTTTTCTTTTTTTTTTTTGGACACAGAGTCTCGCTCTGTCGCCAGGCTGGAGTGCAGTGGCATGGTCTTGGCTCACTGCAACCTCCACCTCCTGGGTTCAAGCGATTCTCCTGCCTCAGCCTCCCAAGTAGCTGGGATTACAGGCATGTGCCACCATGCCCGGATAATTTTTGTATTTTTTAGTAGAGATGGGGTTTCACCATGTTGGCCAGGCTGGTCTGGAACTCCTGACCTCGTGATCCGCCCGCCTTGGCCTCCCAAAGTGCTGGGATTACAGGCATGAGCCACCATGCCCGGCTGGTGCAAATCTTTTTCAACATCTTCTTTTATTTAAAGAAGTATCACTCTTTTCTCTTTCTCTGCATCTGTTCCTAAATAAACCCGTTATTAAATAAAAATGGTGCCGTATATGCATGCATGTTTTCAAATTACTTTTTTTCATTATATCTATCACAGAGGTCTTTCTAGGTTAATATTTACACTCATATCAAATCCATCTAATTCATTTTAGTTGTTGTATAGTGTTCTTTTGTTTGGCTAGATCATAATTTGTATAGAAATTTCTTTTTTATTTTGTAGAGAAGTGGGGTCTCACTATCTCAAACTCCTGGACTCAAGTGATCAACCCCTCAGCCTCCCAAGGTGCTGGGATTGCAGGTGTGAGCCACCACATCTAGCCTCAATGTGTGTAGAAATTTATACATTGATATACCTTTCTTGGTAGCTTAATTCTAAAAAGTGGATTGCCCTGTGTTGTGGGCTGACTACTCCCCAAAGATATCCATACACTAAGCTTTAGAATCTGTGAATGTTACCTTATATGGCAAAAGGTATTTTGAAGATGTGATTATTAACTTAATCACCTCTACTGAATATTGAAATAGTAAGATTATCCTGGATTACCTGGGTGGGTCCTAAATGTCATCACAAGGCTATGTGATGGCAGAAGCTGAACAAAGCAGTGTCAGACAGACCAAAGATGCTACATCGTTGGCTTTGAAAAAGCAGGAAGGTGGCACAAGCTAAGAAATATAAGTGGCTTCTAGAAGCTTGAAAAAGCAAGGTAATAGATTCTCCCCTGGAGCCTCCAGAAGAAAATAGTCCTTCTGGTACTTTGATTTTAGCCCTACAATACTCATTTTGGATTTTTGGCCTCCAGAACTGTAAGAGATACATTTGTGCTGGTTTAGTTAACCGAGCTTGTGGTACTCCAATGTGACTTTATCTGAACTTTATTACATCTGCAAAGACCCGATTTCCAAATAAGGTCATATTCATAAGTATGAGGGTTAGGACTTGAACATAAATTTTTGAGGGACACAATTCAATTCACACACCCATTTTCAAAAAGTCAATTCGATCTGTGAGTGGTTTTAAAATTTGATTTCTGTGAACCTACCATTTAATTCTGGAATTGTTACTGCCTCATTCCAAAGACAAAATTCTTCCTCCATTTGAGATTTTAGGAAGTCCTAGAAGAAATAGCTGAGCATGGGTGGATATTTTGGAAATAATCCTCATGGTATGGAGCAGAGAACGTCCCCAGTTATACATATGTAGCACATTATTTTATAAAGTTAGTATTTGAGCAAAACTAAACAATATATTTTTACACACACATATGCAGAATATGTGTATGTGATTTACGTATGACTATGCCCTAAAGAAAAGCAGCAAAGTGAGGGGACGTGGACGGCAGGGATGGCACATGCAGAAGCACGCAAGATTCCGCGGTGTGGAGGGTTCGTGGGTGCGTATAATTATCTTCCATTATTTACATGTGTACTTTATGCGTTCGTTAGCTATATTTTTGTATGTTTTAATATGCAACAAAACGGCGTATGAGTTACGCTTTAATGTAAAATTGTCTACATAACACAAAATTTAAAAGAAATGGCATACGGATAGTAGAAAACATGCTTTGAGGAAAAAGCGTCATGTACTAAGTCCAGAAATCGACATTGCAAAGAGGCACCAACTGTTTTCATCAAGCTGACTTTTCCAGGTGCTACTCAGAAAAGCTGACCGATGATAGAGCACTGGGTCAACTCACGCTAATTATGAAACCGTGAGTAAAATAATCTGTGCTTCTATGTAACTTAAGTACCCACAAATCAGGAAGCATTCCCGGATGAAAAGCATTCACAGAACCATACGCTGGTTCGCCACCTTCCCGGTGCAAAAACCCTTTCCTCGGAAATTCTCAGCGCAAAGACTTTGCCCTATTCCAAAATGGCTCCGGCGCCTACAACTTAAGCATAGCGCAGGTCCGGAAGTTACGCAACCCCATAAGGTAGCACGCCGTTACCCGTGGGGAGCGTTTCCGCCATTTTTGAAAATTAATTGGGAAGGTACTGGTTTTAAGTGTAGTTGCCGACGCAATGGCAGCCTTTGCAGTGGAACCTCAGGGGCCCGCGTTAGGTGAGTGAAATATTGCTTTTCCTTGCTGGCACTGCCATCCATGCTCTGGGCCTGGAGGCGGGCAAGACTGAAAGGCAGTCGTCAGGCTCTCGTCTGCTGGTTTCAGTCGCGGAGAGGGAATCCTTGGGTGCCCCCAAGTTCATAGTCGGTCCCCTACTCGACGCGTCGCCTCCATACTGCTACAAAGGTGGCGCCGGGAAGCTGAGGGCCCTGGGAGGGTGAAGAAAAGGCCGTCTGGCGGTGACTGAGCTGTGTTTGTGCCCCCACACGCCAGCCACGTTAGACTGGCCCATACCTTAACCTCCTTCTGATACCCGAGACGCGATGCTGGTTGCTGGATTCCCAGCTGGTTGCTGGTCCCCAGAAGCATCCCTGGGAGGAACTGACCGCGGTACACGTGGGTGGGCGGTGCCCTGAAGTGTGTGGGTGCAGTCCACTGCTTCTTGATCACCGGTGCTTCCAGTTCCTGTTTTGACTCCTCTCTCCCGGGCTTTGCCAAAGGAATCTTGTTATTAATGGAAGCTTGAATCGTGCAACATTTAATCAACCGTGTGGTTGGTAATCATTGAGATATTGACCTTAACAGCAAGCTAGGAGTTCGCACGATATTTCCCGCCTTTATTTGGGGAAAGTGACTCTTAAGTATTGTAGGAGGTATTTTTCTCTAGTAAGTCACGATCTGAATTTTTTTAAAGATTCATTCCCATTATTCATTGCGGAGCCTCGTTGAAATATGTCGTCTTTGAAAAAAATCTACCACTTTAACAGCACGCGGATTTCTTTTTTTCCTGCTGAGTTTTGCGACTTGTGAGAATCGTCGAAAATTTTAGAACGGAAAATAAACCGTCTTACTGTCATAGAGACTTACCTGAAAAGTTAGGTTATAACTTTCTGAGCTTGGAAAAGAGAGCAAATGTAATATATATGGTGTGGAAAGAGTCTTTAGATTTGAAGGGTATGTAATGCTTGCCATGTTTGGTGTAAAATAAGTTCTTTTTGAGAATAGAGTAACTTGAACTACTTTAGTCTGTCATAAAAAAACTAAATGCATAATGTCAATAATGCAGATACTCTGCATTAAAATTTATATATAGATGTCGTCTTGGTATTTATTTTTAATGTATTTTAGAGATCAAAAACTCTTCATTTCCAGTTCCAAATTTTTCTATTCAACAAAAACATTTTGGAGTGCATATTTATTGGGGTTACAAATGTGAGTAAACCAATCCCTGTATATTGCCTTGCCAGAAATCTGACATTAGCCAGTATTAATGTTTAAGTCCACATTTTGCAGATATTCCAGGTGCCCACTGGTGTAGTAAAACTAAGGGTTGACTTCAACAAACTGCTAGCTGAGTACGTATCTTTTGGGAGCACAGAATATGAAATGGAATTGAGGACATGCAGCATCTTTTCCTTAAGTTTGCTTTAAGTGAAATTTAGCCTGAGGGGTGGTTGGTGACAGTCCTGATTAAGAGCCCATTGTGCCCTCCTTCCTGTCTGGTGCTTTCTTTTTTCTTTTCCTTCCTTCTTCCCTCTCTCCCTCCCTCCCTTCCTCTTTTTTGACACAGCCGTGTCACCTGGGCTGGAGTGCAGTCGTGCAGTCTCAGCTCACTGCAACCTCCCCCTCCGGGCTCAAGCAATCCTCCCACCTCAGCCTCCCAGGGGCTGGGACCACAGTGTGCCGCCACTCCCAGCTACTTATTGTATTTTTGGTAGAGACAAGGTTTCGCCATTTTGTCCAGACTGGTCTCGAACTGAGCTCGAGCGATCCACCTGCCTCGGCCTCCCAAAATCCTGGGATTAGAGGCTTGCGCCTTCTACTGTGTCTGTATGTATCCAGATACATCAGAACTTTTCTTAAGCCAATTCTTACTTTATTTTGCTATAATTTTTTTTTCTTTTAGGGAGGGGGAGTGAATGTAGTGAATGTTACCAAAAACTTTGCGTTTAATATGGTATTCTGAATATCTGTTAAGAATATGCTTTTGTTTAGACTTTTGGTTTGATTTTAGTGGATCTTCTTACGAAATATTTCTACAGTGCCATGTAACATAGTAACTAGCACTTTATAAAATAATTACAATGTAATTAGAGTTTTTCACACCTTGTTTTAGCATTTGCTTTATCCATTTATTGAATTTGTTTTTTTTTTTGTCTTTTATACACTTGTATTGTTAATATCTAGGCCTAATATAATGGGAAATAAGAGGAAGACTAAATAGTTGGCAGCTTTCGGATATTAAGAAACAGATTGTTAAGGCCATCTAGAAGTTAAGTAATAGTTAATAAAAAACCATACAAATAACATAGCAAACATTTGACCCTTCTGAGTGCAATGAGTCACACTCAGGCTTGTCACCTAGTTGAAAATTATTTTCATAAGCAGAGATTGCAAATTCTACATTTATACTTTACTCAGTTTTTGCTATTATAAAATATTTGTAGAAAATAATAATTCGTATTTATTGAGCACCTGTGTATCAGGTACCAGGTCAAGCTATACTTGCTATAATTCTAACAAAAGCTCTGTTAGTGGATGCTAGCTATGCTTATTCCCTTTTACTGAGAGAACTTGAACCCACATCTTTGACTCCATAGCCCATTGTTTTCCTTATTCTGCTATTTTGCTCTGAAATTAGAATTATATAGCTCACTCATCTTCATAAGGGAAATAATATCTACTCTATAGATTGTGAGGATTTATTTTGTATCAATTGTGAGGTTTCAGTTCTCTAAGTTGGCTTTATATTAGGGGGATATTTAATGATGATTCTTTAATTTTTTTTTTTTTTTAAATAAAAAAGATGAGATCTCAGTGTGTTGCCCAGGCTGGTCTTGAACTCCTGAGCTCAAGTGATCCTCCTGCCTTGGCCTCCCAAAGTGCTAGGATTGCAGGCGTGAGTCACCATGCCCAGCTGTGATTATTCTTGACTTAAACTAATGATTAAGAAAAAAGATACAAAAATAAGTTTTCGACTCTTTTCAACATGTTTCTGAGTTAGGGTGCTAGTTATCACTGTTATTTTGTAAGTGCTCTAATATATGCATGGTTACGGTTTTATCACAATAATGATGAACTTTTTATGGGGAAGAAAAAGAAACAATTTAGCAAGCTTAACCCATTGTGTTTGATATGCTAAGCTTTGTATGTATAAGTAGTGCAGCCTGTCCTTGTTTTTGGTTGTTACATAGTCCAAACTGATTCGGAAATGGAAAGAAGTTATTAGTGTGATTTTTAAACCCCTGAAATAATGTAAACAAAAATAGCTGTCACAGATAAATATTGTGCTGCCAGGTGTACTGGCTTCACACCTTTAATCTCAGCACTTTGGGAGGCCAAGGCTGGTGGATCACCTGAGCTCAGGAGCTCCAGAGCAGTCTGGGCAGCATGGTGAAACCCCATTTCTGCAAAAAAATACAAAAATTAGCTGGGCGTGGTGGTGCAGGCCTGTAGACTTAGCTACTGAGAGGCTGAGGAGGGAGGATCGCTTGAGCCTAGGAGGTGAAGGTTGCAGTGAGCTGAGATTGCGCCACTGCACTCCAGCCTGGTGACAGAGTGAGACTCGGACTCAGAAAAAAAAAAAAAGTGAATACAAGATAACTTTACATTTTTCTAGAAATATTTTTTGTTGGCTTTTAAAATAATAAATTCAACTATGGTTCTATTATATCTAAAAGTTTTGATTAAATTTGCAAAATTATGTTAGATTCTTGCATGTTTTTGTCATCAACATGTAACAGAAACTGTAACAGAAAAGTCCTTAATTTATTTTTTGATTCATGTAGGATCTGAACCAATGATGCTGGGTTCACCCACATCTCCAAAGCCAGGAGTTAATGCCCAGTTCTTACCTGGATTTTTAATGGGGGATTTGCCAGCTCCGGTGACTCCACAACCTCGATCAATTAGTGGCCCTTCAGTAGGAGTAATGGAAATGAGATCACCTTTACTTGCAGGTAGGTGAATTGCTTAAAATAATTTTATAGACATGCTAGATACAGGGATGTCCAATTTTTTGGCTTCCCTGAACCACATTGGAAGAAGAATTGACTTGGGCCACACATAAAATACAGTAACTCTAATAATAGCTGATGAGCTAAAAAAAAAAAAAAATGCAAAAAAAATCTTAAAATGTTTTAAGAAAGTTTACCAATTTGTGTTGGGCAACATTCAAAGCCATCCTGGGCTTCATGCGGTGTTCAAGCCATGGGTGGGACAAGCTTGTGCTAGAATTTTTAAAAGTGTAGTGGTGCAGCATTCACCCTCATCAATACATTAATTAAAAAAAATTAAGCAATGTGTCTATTATAAAGCAAAGCTTTTAAGGCTCTTGGAATAGAGGTGTAAGAAGTATAAGCTATAATTTCTAGAGCCACTAAAATGTATTCTATGTTTTTTTCATTCTAAGATGCCTTTGAATTGGCTTTTAAGTACCACTAGGAAAGATAACCCTAAATATGACACAATGCTAAGATGCCATTTTTTGTAAAATTTCTGTGTCGGAGATGTCAGAGTGTGGTGGGGGAAGAGTGCCTCACAGAGTTGATGAAATACCATCATTTAGCTTCAACTGAATTCATTTAAAGTAATTCATCTTAAGATACAAGAATAGGAAATAATCGGTCAAAAGAAGTGTAACTTGAAGATGTAGATACGAATTCTGCCTTTAGTCTTAGTGAATTGAGATTCTCACATATAGCGTGTTTAAGGAAACTTGGGGGGGAGGTTTTATACACAGAATTTGTGATTGTCAGGGCAAAGTATTGTAAATGCAGCCTGTGTTTATTACAGAACTCCTTTAGCAAAGAAATACTTTAAAAAATGACTTCGAAGTTTTAACTGAGTAGTGAGAATTAGATACAGAAGTGTTGAATTCTAATTGTGAGCTAATATCCTTTAGTAGTAGTTCAAGTGAAAACTCTTTTTACCTTAATTGCCCTTTAAAGTATTTTTGCTTTAAAATGGTTTATTATTTAGGATTTATCAGGGAGAATTATAAATTATATTTGAAGTAATTCATTTAACATTAAACATTAAATTTCAAATGTGTTATTTTATTATGGTAGCCAACGTATATTGATTGCTTATGAGCCTGGCAGTATGCTAATCATTATTTTGTCAATCTTAAAGGGTAGGTAATAGTATCCCCATCTTTAAAAAGAGAAAACTGAGGCTAAATGCAATAAGTAATTTGCTGAAGCTCACTTGCTAGTAAGTGAGCGAGCGCTATAAACCTCAGGTTAGTCTTATTCCATAGACTGTGCTCTAAATAGCTTAAGCTGTACAGTCCAGGCTCAGACATTAGTCTTACCGATGGCCTGGGCTGCATCACTATTTGACATTGCATGTTCTCTGATCGATAAAGACATCTTTATGTCACAGAACTTGGTCCTTTTACTACATCTTTATTATGTACTTAAATATATTTCTACTGTGAGAAACATGAATGGGATCTACTTAATCTAGATAGTCAAACTCTACATAGGGAATTGTATTTATTCAGGAATCTACAGACTGGAGCTGTTTAGTACCTACTTTCAAGTGAGAAATGGGATCAAGTTTTGTATTTAAATGTTAAGCGTTTTGTAGAGTGAGCAAAAGTTACATGTGTTTTCTGAAAACTAAGATTTTCATTAACTACTTACTCTGAATCCTTTTATTCAGAGTGCAGTCTATGGATCAGCAGCATTGGCATTACCTGGGAGCTTATTAGAACTGTATAATCTCAGGCTTCACCCTACACCTTCTGAATCAGAGTCTGAATTTTAACAAGGTCCCCAGGTGACTGTTCAGCATATTAAAGTTTGAAAAGAACTAACAGACAAGATTTTAAGTCAGTATTTCAAAAATATAAATTTAAAAAATCTTACCAAAAAGAAGAATCCCTTTTTTTTTTTTTTTTTTTGTACACTGTAGGTGGGTCACCACCACAACCAGTTGTACCAGCTCATAAAGATAAAAGTGGCGCTCCACCAGTTAGAAGTATATATGATGACATTTCTAGCCCAGGACTTGGATCAACACCTTTAACTTCAAGAAGACAGGTAATATAAATACCCTTTTGATCCCCAATGAACAACATCATGGTTTTATGTGTCTGTTCAGTGAGAGTCAATACTTTGAAATGTTTCCCTGAAGTCTGTTTTAATGTAACTGTGTTGCACAGAATAAACATTAAACACATCATAGAATCTACTTAAATTGTGTTGATGATGAACTGTACTTAACAGTGTAGAACTCTAGATTTTCTCTCATAGGTAATTCTCAGGTGTTTATAGGTATGCCTTATCCACCTGCCCATAGCTCCAACCTACTTAATATACATGTAGAATGTGACTATGGTTTAAATCATTCTGATTGTTTAAGAAGTTTAATATTTAATATTTAAAAATTATGTGAAAGAACAAATGAAAATTTAGAGTTTCATCTAGATCTAGGGCACTCGTCAGCTGAGAAGTAGTATGGACTTGTCTTTATTTTCTTCTTTTTTTAGGGTCCCCAACAGGGTCCTGATCAGTTGCCCAGGCTAGAGTGCAGCGGCACAGTCATAACTCTGCAGCCTTGAACTCCTGGGTTCAACCAATCCTCCTGCCTCAACTGTCCTATTGGGATATAGGCACGTGCTGCTATGCCTGGCTAATTGTATTTTTTTTTGTAGAGATGAGGTCTTGCCGGATTCAGGTGATCCTTGCACCTTGACCTCTCAAAGCGCTAGATTATAAATGTGAGCCACTGTGCCTGGCCGACTTTTCTTTTAAGTAGAAAATTTAGTAGCTTCATAGACACAAGTGTTGTTTCCTATTATTATTGTGCTTAGTAGGACATATAAACAAAGTTTATCAGTTAAGTTGGTAAGTTCTTTATATAAAGATATGTCTGCTGTTTGCTTTAGATATATGTTTTATGCCTTTCCCTAAATTGTATTTAGTGAAGTTGAGAGTTCAAGAATATTAGAAAGCATTTTTCAGTGGATTCGTGCTATTTATAGGCTTGATATGTCTGGCATACTAGGCTTACTTGTCAAGTAAAGCAAAATTCATTCACTGTGGTAAACAGATTACTGTTTCTTCCCAACACTTCTAGACCTGCCTTCCTGTCCAACAGGAGCCACTAGCTAAGTGTGGCTATTGATACTAAAGATATAGCTAGTCTTTATTGAGATACACTTTAAGTATAAAATACACACCAGAGTTTGAAGACTTAGAAAGAATGTAAGGTATCTTATTTTTTTATGTTGATTACATATTGAAATGATAATGTTTTGGATGTGTTTGGCTAAATATTACTAAATTTCACCTGTTTGTACTTTTAAAATGTGCCTACTAGAAATGGTAAAATTACACGTATGGAATTTATTGTTCCTAATGGATAGATATCCTGGTCTGGGATGGTTTTCTAAAGGTTGATAAGTAAAGCTTATGATTAGTTTGGTATGAAGGCTGGGCGTGTTGGTGCATGCCTGTAATCCCAGCACTTTGGGAGGCCGAGGTGGGCGGATTGCTTGATTTTTATGTATTTTTATTTATTATTATTATTTTTTGAGACAGGGTCTTGCTCTATCACCCAGACTAGAGTGCAGTGAAATGGTCATGCCCCACTGTAGCCTCGACATCCTGGGCTCAAGTGATCCTCCCACCTCTTCTCCCTAGTAGCAGGGACTACAGATGTGGACCACCATGCCTGGCTAACTTTTGTATTTTTTGTAGAGATGGGATTTGTCCTGTTGCCCAGGGTGGTCTTGAACTCCTGAGCTCAAGTAATCCACCTTCCTTGGCCTTCAAAAGTGCTGGGATTACAGGTGTGACCCACTGTGCTGGGCTTTGGGCAGATTGCTTGAACCCATGAGTTTGAGATCAGCTTGGGCTACATGGCGAAACTCTTGTCTCTACTGAAAATACAAAAAAAAAAAGGCTAGATGTGGTGGTGTGTACCTATAGTCCCAGGTACTCAGAAGGCTGAGGTGGGACGATTGCTTGAGCCTGGGAAGCTCAGGCTACAGTGGGCTGTGATCGTGTTACTGCACTCAGCCTGGGTGACAGAGTGAGACCCTGTCTCAAAAATAAAATAATAAAAACTAAAAAATTAAAAAATTGTTTGTTGCAAGAACCACTGGCTTCTAAATTTGTGCAAGGTTTTATTACTTCTCTGATGATACAGACAAAGGCTTACAGATATTGCTGTATTCAAAATGTTTGAAAGACTCGTGGGTCATAATTTATAGAGAATGTTTTTGATTTGAAAGTTGGTAAGAATATTATTGCTAGATTAGAGCCCAAATTAGTTATGCCCCCTGGAATTTGCTCAGTTTGCTTTCTAATCATGAAAGAATTGGCATTAATAATTGAGGAATAAATTTTATATCTCTCCCAACATTCTCTCAGCATTTAGTTCTGGTTGCTAAATGAAGCTATTTGAGATTTCCTTAGTTTAATTAGAATCTGTTTTAAAAAATCTTTATTGAGTTCTAGAGAGATTCTGTTCTCATTTATTGATTGGATATTGTCTTTGTTTTAGAAGGATTTTAAACTATTTTAATCCTTAATTTTCTTATATTTAAAGGAACTAAAATGGATAATTTACCAGTTTTGGAACTTTCTACTGGTAGTGGTAGGGATATGCTGTCTTTTATTGTTTAGACTGATTTGAATCTATAGTGTTTCATGGTTTCTAAGTATCTGTTGAAAATCAAATTTTGTCACCCTTCTGTTTTTCTGTATGAACCTGGTCATTTTAAAAATTACCATTATCTCTGTTATTTCAAATATTGTACATTAGAAACTAAAAACAAATAGTTAACATGTCACCTTTTACAGAAGATAGTCTTTTTTTTTTTTTTTAACATAATATGACTTTTCTTATTTTAAACAAATACTAAGGGATCTAGTAAATTTTAGGTTAATACTGTTTAACTTATGGGGAAAAAAGAGTGCCTTTGTACTTTGAGCTAATTAGAGGCATCTCTAGCACATGATAAAAATTCAGTTATCCATTGAATGAAGCCTTTTAACACTTACTGTATTTATGTTTTGCATTTTTACCATAACACTTTCTTCTGTTTGTGTAGCCAAACATTTCAGTAATGCAGAGTCCTCTTGTTGGAGTTACATCTACTCCTGGAACAGGTAAGTGATTCTTTCTTTTTTTTTTTTTTTTTAAAAGACAGGGTCTGGCTCTGCTACCCACGCTGGAGTGCAGTGGTGTGATCACGGAGTAAACAACTCTGACACCAAATACTTCTCTATTCTTCGAATGAATTTAATATAAAATGTTTGTTGGTAACTGCCAAAATTTTTTATTTTATATTTCAAACTTGGAGATTTTCCAAAATCTATAACTTCTTTCAGGAAGGAAATACTTTGTATATTGATTATTTTCTGAATCAAATCACCCTAAAGGTATGGTGGGGTGAATATTCAGAATGTCTTTTTAAGAAATTGTATACTTAATAGATGTTTGAAGTATCTCCTTAGTTATTAAAACTTGTCAATAAAAAAGCCATTGGAATTGGGATGAAAAGGAATAGTTAAGACACTGAATAATAAAGGTGTTTTGAGAGATGTTAATGCATAGTTATAAATCTAAATGCCGTTGAATAGAAGCAACCACTGATTATATACCTAGTTTTTCTTTAAGATTAATGGCTTTTTAATAATCATCATTATGCTTAGCACAGTTCTTCATATGTCGTCATATGTGTATAATCCCATCAAATGTTTATTCAGCAAATATTTGAGCACCTAACTGTGTACTCTGGGAAATAGTAAACAAAATAGATATTCCCTGCCTTTATGGAACTTACATTTATTTGCAGAATTTACATTTATAAACAAAACAAGTAAATTATAACATTTGTTAGAAGGTATTACATTTTGTGGAGGAAAAAATTAAGCAGCAAAGGGGGGGAGGGGGTAGAGACTTAGAGTTTTAAATAGGGTAATGTATTAGTTTTCTGTTGCTGCCATAACAAACTACCACAAACATAAAAGTGGCTTAAACAATACACATTCATTATCTTTCATTTCTGGAGGTCGGAAGTTTGAAATGGGTCTTGGTGGGCTAAAATCTAGACATTGGTAGGGCTGTGTTCATTTATGGAGGTTCTAGACAAAAATCTATTTTTCTTTTTTTTTTTGAGATGGAGTCTTGGTCTGTCGCCCAGGTTAGAGTGCAGTGGCACCATCTCGGCTCACTGCAACCTCCACCTCCTGGGTTCAAGTGATTCTCCTGCCTCAGCCTCCCGGGTAGCTGGGATTACAGGTGCTCGCCACTGCGCCTGGCTAATTTTTTTTTTTTTTTGTATTTTTGGTAGAGATGGGGTGTCACCGTCTTGGCCAGGCTGGTCTCGAACTCCTGACCTTGTGATCTACCCACCTCGGCCTCCCAAAGTGCTGGGATTAAAGGCTTGAGCCACCGCGCCCAGCTGGCAATAATCTATTTTCTTGCCTTTTCCATTTCTAGAGGCTACTTAATGTTTCTTGGCTTATGGTTCCCTTCCTCCATCTTCACAGTCAGCAACTTTGTAACTCTTTGACCATTCTTCTGTAGTCATATCTCCCTCTCTCTTTTAAAGACCCTTGTGAATACATTGGGCCCTTCTAGATAATCTAGGATAATCTTTGTATTTTAAGGTCAGTTGATTAGCAGGGTTAATTCCACCTGCAACCTTAATTCCCTTTGCCATGTAATGTAACATTCACAGGTTCCAGGGATTAGGTCATGGACATCATTTGGGGACCTACCCAGCTTATTCCACCTACCACTGATAGTTAGGGGGCAAGTAAACTTTACTCAAAAGTCTGTAAGTGAGGGAGGTAGGGAATAGTATTCTAGACGGAGGGAACAGTGTGTCTGGGGTGTTCAAGGAAGAATAAGGGGATGGTGACTGAAATGGAGTAAGTGAGGGGGAGAATAGTGGAAAATGAGGTCAGAGAGGAGAGGTAATGGGGGCAGATGTATTACATGGCCCTGTAGGTTATTGTCACAATTGGTCTTTACCCAGAAAAGGTGGAAGACAATAAGGATGAGACTGTTGCTGGGTTCAACTAGTTTGGGAGTAAAAGTTAGCTTAGAAGCAAGGAGACAAGTTAGGAGGCTACTTGTAGCAATCTAGGTGAGAGATGATAGTGATAGAAAAAGTAGGCAGGCAAGAAGGGAAATAATACAATAACAGGGAAAGATGGAACATAAGAAACAATAGCAAGACAGTAGATTTTAAACTAAGCAAATCAGGCATGTGCCTGTAGTTCCAGCTACTCGGAAGGCTGAGGCAGGAGGATTGCTTGAGCCCAGGAATTCGAGGTTGCAAGGGAGCTGATTTTGTCACTGCACTCCAGCTTGGGTGACAGAACAAGACCCTATCTCAAGAAAAAAGTAAATAAAAATTTAAAAAAAAAAGCACGCAAAAAAACTAACCAAATTAACAATGATGTAAAATGTATTAAACACTCTGGTTAAGGCAGGTATTGTCAGAATGGATAACAAAAGGAACACCCAATACAAATTGGATCCTTTGAATCCTCCAAGTCTGAATTTCTTGAGGCAGTCTGTGAGCACTCATTGGCCGTGTCTTTAAAGTCTACATTTCTAGTAAAATGTTCTTCAAGGAAACTTAGTCATTTTCTATCACGATGCTCAGAATTCTTCCAGCCTCTACCCACTGCCTGATTTCTAAAGCCATTTCCACATTTTTACTTGGGTGTTAACAGCAGCACCTGACTTGTTCCAAAATCTGTACTAGTTTTCTGTAGTTGCCATAACAAATTACGACAAACTTAGTGGTTTAAAACAATACACGTATTATCTTCTGGTTTCTAGAGGTCAGATATCTGGGCTGTTGGTTAGAGCTCAGATGTCAACAGGGCTGTGTTTCTGTCTGGAGGCTTTGGGTATGAATCTGCTTCCAAGCTCCTTCAAGTTGTTGGCAGAATTTAGTTCTGTGTGGTTATAGGAATGAATGAGGTCCCTCTCCTTGCTGGCTGTTACCTTAAGATGTTAACTTCTAGAGGCTGCCCTCACTCCTTGGCTCATGGCTCTCCATCTTCCATCTTCAGATATAGCAATGGCAGATCAAGTCCTTTGTTATGCTTCATATATCTCTAACTTTACTTTTCTGCCTTCTGCTGGTGGTTAGAGCTCATTCGATTTTATCAGGCCCATGAGGATAATCTGAGATAGTTCCTTATTCTAAAGTCAGCTGAGTAGTAACCCTAAGTTCATCTGCCAAGTTCCTTCACGGCAGTACCTGGATTGGTTGATTGGATTACCAATCAGTCAAACCAGGGGACAGAAATCTTGGAGGCCTCTTTAGGCTGGGCGCAGTGGTTCATGCCAGTAATCCCAGCACTTTAGGAGGCTGAGGAGTGCAGCTCACTTGAGGCCAGGAGTTTGAGACCAGGCTGGCCAATATGGGGAAACCCTGTCTCTAGTAAAAATATAAAAATTAGCCAGGCATGGTGGTGCACGCTTGTAATCCCAGCTACTTGGGAGGCTGAGGTGGGAGGATCACTTGAACCTGGGAGGCAGAGGTTGGAGTGAGCTGAGATCGAGCCACTGCACTCCAGCCTGGGTGATAGAGCGAGACTTTGTCTCCAAAAAAAAGAAATCTTGGAGGCCTTTTTAGAAGTCTGTCTACTGTGTATGTCATGATCAAACATCTAGAATGTCACCCTAGTCTTTTCAGCCATGTAACTGAGGTTGAATGTCTAGGAAAATTAGTGCTGAACAGCCTTAAGCTGATCAAACTGTAACAAATAGGTGGATGATGATGCTTTGTTACACGCAGAAATAGTGATTATTCAGTTATTTGAGTCATGCCAGGTGCCACTGGCTCATGCCTGTAATCCCGAGGCAGGTGGATCACTTGAGTCCAGGAGTTTTGAGACCAGCCTGGGCAACATAGTGAGATGCCTGTCTGTACAAAAAAAAATTTTTTAAATTAGCCTGGCATGGTGGCACACACCTGTAGTCCCAGCCACCTCGGATGCTGGGGTTAGGAGGATCACTTGAGCCTGGGAAGTCAAGGCTGTAGTGAACAGTGATCACACCACTGCATTCCAACCTGGGTGACAGAGTGAGACCTTGTTTCAAAGAAATAATTGAGTCAGTAAGTGATCCCAGGGACATTGAAAATCCAAAAACAGGGCTGAGTGTGGCATGGTGGCACATGCCTATAATTCCAGCGCTATGGGAGGTCAAGGTGGGAAGACCGCTTGAGCCGGGGAGTTTAAGGCTGTAGGCAGCTATGATTGCACCACTGCACGCGAGCCTGGGTGACAGGGAGACCTCAAAGAAAAAAAAAAAGGCAAAAACACATAATGTTAAGTAATGTTTTACATTTTAGTGGCTCTCTTAGTTGACTGAAAAGCATACATTTTAATTTTCCTACCGTTGTCAAGTAGAAAAGCGCATGATTAATGTTAATAAATATCTTTTTGTTAACTTATTTTTTTCTAATATAGTAACTTCTGTGAGGTTTTGTAATTGTAGAAACTATATATGAAAATACAAGAGCTGTGATAGGAAAAATACCTATCATGAATTGGCCACTGGGAGCCACTGCTGCTTCTACTTTGACTTTAAGGAATTTACACATAGAAAGTCTTAATGGGGTATAAGTGACAAAGAATATTTTTGAAAAGATGACAAGGTGTGGAGACCTATCATGCATGGCCAATGATAGGCAAGAAATAGAAAAAGAGAATTGACAGGAAAATTGAGGGGAAAACCTAGATTTTTCATTTAGAGCTATATATATATATATATATATATATTTTTTTTTTTTTTTAGCTCCTGTATTTAGTGTTAAGTGAAGTTTTTTTGGATGATTAGTAAATCTTAGCTTTCTGAGATTGGCAAGTTTTATAAAGAGATGTCATGGGATATAATGGCATGACTGCCACTTTATGCTTAGGTTGTTTTTTGCATCCAATAAAGAGGTTGGTGGGTTTATTTTATTTTGTAAACATTCTGTAACTGATGTTAAGATCTTTTTTAGAATATTATTTCTGGTGCAGGAAAACATTGGTCATAAGTCAAAATAGGAAATCTGGATTAAAGAATATAAGAAACTCTTAGTCATGGTATATTACTGCCCCTGGTAAAGAACATTGAATGTGTTTTTTCTACTTTCCCCATCCTCATCCCTGAATATTTTTTTCTGCTGCAATTTAAGTTTTCTTCTGCTTTTCTTCTTCCTTTATATTTTTTATTACTTTTTTTCTTGAGAAGTTCTTTCACTTATATATTAGCTCTCTTCCAAAATGGTAGGTCACTCGTTAATTAACTAGAATCATTTGTGTTAGCATATTGTTAACAGGTTAAGCGTGATATTAAGTGATAGTAGCACTTTATGGCTGCTTTTGTTGATGCAAGGACCTCAGAGTTTTGATAGTGTTCCTGGAAGTGGGGGCCAAAAGGGACTCTTCTTTTTCTGGTTTGGGTTAGGTACTCCTTACATGTGTTCCTTTTAAAGCTCTCTGTTTGGCTCTCATCTGTCTTTATTACCTGATTATGAACTCCTTCAAGACAGAGATTTTTCCTGTGTCTTCAGTGTTTACCCATCTCAGAGCTGGGTACAAAGGACCTAACATTAATCCTGTGCTTTTCCACTTGACAACAATAAGAAAATTAAAATGTATGCTTTTCAGTAGACTAAGAGAGCCGCTAAAGTGTAAAACTTTACTTAACATTATGGTTTTGCATTTCTTTCTTTCTTTTTTTTTTTTTTGAGAAAAGATCTCGCTGTCACCCAGGCTGGAGTGCAGTGGTGCAGTCATAGCTCCCTGCAGCCTTAAACTCCCAGGCTCAAGCAGTCCTCCCACCTCGACCTCCCATAGTGCTGGAATTATAGGCATGTGCCACCATGCCATACCCAGCCCTTTGTAAATGTTTGTTGACTGAATATATTGATGGATATAAGCTGTAGAGAGTTGAATGGTGGCCTCCATACAATATGTCCACATCCTAATCACTGGAACCTGTGACTGTTAACTTACATATGATTGAGTTAAGGATTTTCAGAGGGGAGACTCTGAAGGAGAGTTTAAAGAGTTAAGGAGGGAAGGGGACAGAATCCTGGATTGCCTGGATGGTGCCTAAATCCAGTCACAAGGGTCCTTGTAGGTAAGAGGCAGAAAGAAATTTGAAACTGAAGAGGAAGAGAAACATATAGAGGAGAGAGAAGGTGATGTTCAGAAGGGGGCAGAGATTAGAGTGTTGTTTCCAAAGCATGCCATAAGTCACCAAAAGGTGGAGGAGGCAAGCGGCAAGCAGTGGATCCTTCCTTAGAGTCTGCAGCAGGCATGCCACCTTGCCAACAACATAATTTTGGACTTTGGGCCTCCATAATTTGTGAGAGAATAAATTTCTGTTTTAAGCCATCCAGTTTGTGGTAATTTGTTACAGCAGCCACAGGTAACTAATATATGTAAATATTGTTTTGAGACAATGACATTCCAACACCAGTATCCACTACCAAATAAGAGGATTGGTGTATTTGCATCCAACTTGGCAAGGCATGATTTTTCTTTAATAATACTGAATAAAAACTATCCTTATTCTAGACTATGTAGCTTCTTATTGCTGCTGAACCATATTATCACAAATTAATATCTTAAAACAACACAAATTTATTGTGTTACAGTTATGGAGGTCAGAAGTCTGAAGTAGGCCTCAGTGGACTAAAATCAAGATGTTAGCAGGACTGCATTCCTTTCTGGAGGCCCTAGAGGAGAATTTTTTTTTTCTTTTCTAAGTTGTAGAGGCTGTCCACATTCTTTGGTTTATGTCCCCCTACCATCTTCAGAACCCCCAGTGTCCAGTGAGTGTTTCTACATTATTATTTTCCTTTCCTCTTCCCCTTTTAAGGACCTTATTGGTTATATTGGGCCTATTTGGATAATCTAGGATAATCTTATTTTTAATTAGTCACCAAAATTTTATTTACTCTCATGTCAGATTAACTATGCTACCATTGAGTGGTCTCTAGTTATGGTGGTGGCAATGTTTATGTTTTAGTCAAAATAATAAATTCAGATGGTTTTAGAAAATTAAATAGAACTTACTGTAATCCCAGCAATTTGGGAGGCCAAGGCGGGTAGATCACCTGAGGTCAGGAGTTCAAGATCATCCTGGCCAACATGGTGAAACCCCATCTCTACAAAAACTACAAGAAATTAGCCAAGCATGGTGGTGGACACCTGTAATCCCAGCTACTCAGGAGGCTGAGGCAGGAGAATCAGTTGAACTGGGGAGGTGGAAGTGGCAGTGAGCCGAGATCGCACCACTGCACTCCAGCCTGGGCAACGAGAGCAAAACTCCATTCAAAAAAAAAAAAAAAAAGGAAAATTAAATAGAACTTTAATACAACAAAATGCAATGATCTTTAACCTTATTATGAACTAGCCAGTCCAGATCTTAGAGCTATTCTTTTTGGAATTTACTATGTCCAAATTAGATGCTATATTAGTTTACTCTTGCCATTGTAACAAATTACCACAAATGTATTGGCTTAAAACACTTTACATTTATTCTCATTTATCCCAAAGTCAGTTTCACTGGGCTAAAGTCAAGGGGTTGATAGGATTACCTCTGGAGATTCTATGGACAATCAGCTTCCTTGTTTTTTTTTTTTTCCTCAGCATCTAGCTGGATTCTCCTTTATGCCTTTTTCCTCCATCTTCAAAGCATATCATTCCATTCCCTGCTTCCATAATCACATAGCCTTCCCTGAAGTAAAATCTCCTACTTCCCTCTTGTAAGGATACTTGTGGTTACATATAGGGCCCACCTGGATAATCTCCCCATCTGAGGATCTGTAATCACATCTGCAAGATCCCTTTTGCCACATAGATAGCATTTGCAGATTTCAGGGATTAGAATGTTGTTATCTTGGAGGGCTGTCATTTAGCCAGCCACGTCATCATATTGCTAATTCTTAATTTTCAGTTTTTAATTTTGCTATATTTCTCTTAAAGTAATTGAAGATATTGTATTTTCCCCTCATATTATCTGAATATAGTTACATCTAACTTTATTCCTTTGTCAGTGTTTGTACTGTGACTATGTAAATACTGCTCAGTGCTGAACCAATTAATATGATTATTCTTTCTGTAAAACTCTTGATTCTCCAATAGTTAATAATTGTTTTTTTTCTATTAAGTCTAATTTTCTATGTGCCGTTTGTTCCCTTTATTTTAAGCAAACATTCTGCTGCTATGGTACATACCTATTTTAGTATACTCACTTTTCAAGCACATTTTTCTTTGTTTTAAATTGAGAATTTCTCTCTCTTAGCCTCTGTCTTGATTTCTTGTTTTGGCATGGTGTATGACAATCATCCTAGGACTTGCATGTTTGTAGTGTTGAGTTCTTTTTCCTAGAAAGCATGCCTCCCTCTTTATGTCCTGATTTTGGTGAAGAACATATTTAAGTAGCTTTCTAAAAAAGCTTGCTTAAGAAGTAAAAATTTAAAACCTCATGTCAGAAATGCTTTTTTTAGTCTTCACACTTGATTGATAGTGTAGGTGGGTAGGTTGGAATTTTGGAGGCATCATTCCATTGTCTTCTGCCTTCCAGTGTTCTGTGGAAGCCATTTGTGATGATGATTCCTGAGTATTTTTACGTGACCTGTTTTCCAGAATTTATGATATTTCTATGGTTGGTATTCTCAATTTTGCAAATGTGTCTTGGTGTGGAACTTTTTCATTTGTTTTGCTGGGGAATTGATGGATCCTTTGCATCAAGATGCTTATATTTATTCTTCAGTTCTGGGAAACTTCCCTGTATTATTTGTTTGATAATTGCTTTCTCTCTGCTTTCTCTTTTCCGTTTTTTGGAATTGCTTGTTTGTGTGTTGCATTACTGCAGAGATTTCTAATTATTGTTTCCCTTTTATGTTATCATTTATATCTGTATGCTACTTTCTGAGAGATTTTCTCAAATTTTGTGTGTTTTCTTTTTTTTTTTGGTGGGGGGTGGTGGGCACTTTTGTTTTTGTTTTGAGATGGAGTTTTGCTTTGTTGCCCAGGCTGGAGTGTAGTGGCACAATCTCGGCTCACTGCAACCTGCCTCCCCAGGTTCAAGTGATTCTTCTGCCTCAGCCTCCCAAGTAGCTGGGACTACAGATGTGCACCACATGCTGGGCTACTTTTTGTATTTTTAGTAGAGACAGGGTTTCACCATGTTGGCCAGGCTGGTCTTGAACTCCTGACCTCAAGTGATCCACCTGCATCAGCCTCCCAAAGTGCTGGGACTACAGGTGTGAGCCACCATGCCCCACCATCTCAGTTTTTTATTTTCTCTGTCATTTTAATTCCAGGAACCTTTTTGTTGTTGTCCTTTGAATGTACTTAGAAATATAGCATTCTCTTCTCTCAGCTGGGCACGGTGGCTCACGCCTGTAATCCCAGCACTTTGGGAGGCCGAGGTGGGTGGGTCACGAGATCAGGAGATCGAGACCGTCCTAGCTAACAAGGTGAAACACCGTCTCTACTAAAAATACAAAAAATTAGCTGGGCGTGGTTGCAGGCGCCTGTAGTCCCAGCTACTCGGGAGGCTGAGGCAGGAGAATGGCCTGAACCCGGGAGGCGGAGCTTGCAGTGAGCTGAGATCGAGCCACTGCACTCCAGCCTGGGTGACAGAGCGAGACTCCATCTCAAAAAAAAAAAAAAAGAAAAGAAATACAGCATTCTGTTCTTTCATAGGTAAAATGTCCTAGCAGTGAGGTTAATAGCAGTCTTTTTTATTCTTGCTCTTATTGTCTCGTCTCTTCTAGTTCTTGGTATTTTTTTTTTTACCCCTCTATCATTGCTGGTGAGCAAATATTTATCAAATGAGGCACTAAAAGCTATTTGGAATAAGTGTGTGCATAGGATTCGGTATTGGCAGCAGGGTAGAATTGATGGAGAGGAGCTGTTTTATATCTTACTGGGCTTCACTTTTAAGTGTTCCCAAAGAAGAATCTTTTAATACTCAGCCTTATGCCTAAGCTGGTGTTCTGAATATGGGCAGGGGCAAATCTCCTTTTCAATGTGCAGATTTTCACTTAATCTCCTTACAGTTGTCTTCTGCTGTCAGACTCATTGAGTTTTGAGCTGTTTAGGTTCCTTTTCTCCAGAGACAAAATCTTTGGTCTTTTGAGGGTGGATTGGGAAAGTGAGAGTTATCTAGCTGCCTGGGATAAGGAGAGGCCTGGTCTGTAAGCCCTTATTATATACTTTACACTAGTTTTCCTTAAGTTCAGTCAGGAGTTTCTCACAGTATCATTGGTCCCCAAAACCTGACACTTTTTTAGAGTGTCTGTCAGTAGGGGTTTGCAAGGGATTATAAGTGAATACAGGGTTCAGTTCACCATGCTTGATTGGACATTGTACCATTCAATATGCTTTTTCGGTATAATGTGTGTGCCATACTGCAAAGTCTGATTAAATAGTCCTTATAAGATTATCCTTACTTCAGATACTAGCTGTTAAGTTTGGGATGATCACTTTAGACCAGCTGTCTATAAATTAAGAGGTTACCAAGGCTGCTTGTAATGTTTGGTAGTTTACTAGAAAGACTCACAACCTCACTGAAAGTGCTGTGCTCATGGTTACAGTTTTATTACAGCAAAAAGAAACAAATTAGAGCCAGCCAAAGGAAGACACATAGGGTGACGTTGGAAAGGGTTCCAAATGTGAAGCTTCCTTTCCATTGTCTTCAGGGAGATGTGTTATCCTCCCAGCGTCAATGTATGGCAATATACATGGAGTACTACCAACTAGGGAAGCTCACTGGAGCATCTATGTCCACAGTTTTTATTGGAGTTTCATTACATAGGCATGATTGAATTACCAATCAGGTGGTTGAGTTCAGTCTCCAGTCTTCCTCCTCTTGTTGAGCAGAGACCAAATCCCTTATTACATATTGTGCTACTTTGTTTCATGATAAGAAGTTAACACCGCCAGGAACCTCTTTTTTCCAAGTTTCATTTGGCTCGTATCTATTTAAAATTTACTAGTCTTTTAATCTCTTTTGTTTTCATTTAGGTTAGTGGTCTATTTTGAAATAATTGAATCTTTCTTTTAATTGAAGACATTTTCATAAAGGGTAATAAGGTCTTTTGCCCTCTGCTTTAATCCAGTCTTAGGAAGAATGTTTGAATAGTGATTTACTCAGGGAGACACATTGCAGTCCGATTTGATGTGGTTTGATAGGCACACTTTATTTTCATCTTACAAAGCATGGCATGTGGGCATCAGAAGTCTGATTGAAAGGAAGTAAAATTAGTGGAGCAATTAAACATTAACTAGGTGGGGGGCAATTATGCTAAAGTTATGTAAATAGTTTTAGATTATGTATAAGTAATTATATTTTTCAGAGTAGTTGACAGGGCAAAAATTAGATTGCTTATTCGTTTGAGACTTATTTTTGATTTGTTTTATTTTTAAAGGTTGTAACGGTTGTCACA
Source organism: Homo sapiens (assembly GCF_000001405.40). Lineage (NCBI taxonomy): Eukaryota > Metazoa > Chordata > Mammalia > Primates > Hominidae > Homo > Homo sapiens. Next base: position 183,144,948 of record NC_000002.12, read on the forward strand.
ATTCGAACCTTCATTTAATTTCTTGCTTGAAGATTATTACATGATGTAGCATAACTAAATTTTATCTTCTTAATGGTAATACTTGTAGACTGTAGAAAATTTGGATTGGCTTCAGATTAAATGCCTTTTACTGTCTTCAGTTTGTTAATGGAATGTCTTTGTAGTAACTAAAATTAGTTAAGAGTATCTTTTGTATAAATATATGCTTCCACTTACTAAAGCAATAGTTGGTAACTTAGTTGATAAGTAGATTCTTAAAAATATAACAGCACTTGTCAAAGTGGGATGTTTCATTCTAAATCAGACTTATTTTAGAAATGTATTGAACAGGTTGAATATCCCTTAGCAGAACTGCTTAGGACCAGAAGAGTTTCAGATTTTGGAATATTTGCATTATACTTATCAGTTGAGCATTGAAAATCTGAAATTTCCTTTGAGTGTTATGCTGGTGCTCCAAAAGTTACACGTTTTGGAACATTTTGGATTTTGTATTTACAGATTTGGGATACTCAGCCTATACCTATTAAATGCTTCTGTGGTGATGAGGGAAGTAAATTGTTAAATGTATTATAGGATGATGTACTTTAGTATTCCTCCACATGTACCCCATACATTTGTACAAATAAAAAGCTATCCAGTATAGTTGAAGATTACCTGAAAGAGAATTTTTAAAAGTTTAATAAATATTACTTAGTTATTACATCTATAATGAACCTTAACACAAGACTTAGGTGTTACTCCAACAATAAAATGGGACAATAGACAAGAACTTTAAAAAGTTAACTGTTGTTAGTAATACATAACTTCAATTACAGCACAAATATTAATTTATAAAGTCAAGTCTAACAGACTTCTAGGAATGATGTCCATGTCTTGCCTCCAAATGATATCAAAACAAAACTACAGCCTGGACAGGATCAAAAGAGTTATCAAGTAAAAACTACAATGCAATAATATCATTCTAACTGAAAAGAAAAAATATAATCACTTAAGAATTTCAAAAATCTGCTGTGCATGGTAGCTCACGCTTGGAATTGCAGCACTTTGGGAGGCCAAGGCAGGTGGATCACCTGAGGTCAGGAGTTCGAGACCAGCCTGGCCAACCTGGTGAAACCTCGTCTCTATTAAAAATACAAAAATTAACTGGGTGTGGTGGCACACACCTGTAATCCCAACTACTCCAGAAGCTGAGACAGGAGAAACGCTTGAACCCAGGAGGCGGAGGTTGCAGTGGGCTGAGATCGTGCCACTGCACTCCAGCCTGGGCAATAGAGTGAGACTCTGTCTCAAAAAAAAAAGTATTTCAAAAATCTTACTTCTTTAGGGTTGCTAAACAATTTGAGTTCCTAGACTCCTTTGAATTCAAATTTAGAAACTAGAACTAATCTAATTTAACCTATTAATGTACACTTTCCTTTAGGAAAAATATTTTTCAGATCACCTCACATCTATTAAGCTTATTGAAGAATATATTTTATCCAGAACACTATTCTAGACCTTACTAGACAACAAGATGTTCAAATAGTACTGCTATTTTGAGTTCTACAAATCTCCAAACCGCTTTCTGTTGAGGCTGAACTAATTTACACTCCCACCAACAGCATATAAGGGTTCCCTCTGCAGCCTTATCAACATTCTTACATTCTTATTTTTTGACCTTTTTTTTTTTAAGTTGGAGTCTCACTGTCACCCAGGCTGGAGTGAAGTGGCACGATGTTGGCTCACTGCAACCTCTACTCCCCGGGTTTGAGCGATTCTCTTGTCTCAGCTTCCCGAGTAGCTGGGACTACAGGCACCCGCCACCATGCCCGGCTAGTTTTTGTATTTTTAGTAGAGATGGGGTTTCGCCATGTTGTCCAGGCTTGTCTCGAACTCGTGACCTCAGGTGATCCAAACGCCTTGGCCTCCCAAAGTGCTAGGATTCAGATGTGAGCCACTGCGCTTGGCCTATTTTTTGACTTTTTAATAGTAGCCATTTTGATTGGTGTGAAATGGAATCACATTGTGGTTTTGAATTGCAGTCTCTCTGTTGATTAGTGACATTGAACATTTTTTCATGTTTGTTGGTCACCTGCATGTCTTCTTTTGAGAAGTGCCTGTTCATGTCCTTTGCCCACTTTTTAATGTTTTTTTTCTTGTTAAGTTCTTTACAGATGCCTTTGTTGGATGCATACTTTGCACATGTTTTCTCCTATTCTGTAGGTTGTCGATTTATTCTTTTGATAGTTTCTTTTGTGTGCAGGAAGTCATTAGTTTAATTAGGTCCAACTTGTCAATCTTTGTTTTTGTTGTATTTGCTTTTGCGATATGAGTTGTAAAGTCTTTGCCTAGGCCAATGTCCAGAAGAGGTTTTTCAAGGTTTTCTTTTAGAATTTTTGTAGTTTGAGGTCTTACATTTAAGTCTTCAATTCATCTTGGTTAATTTTTTTTATATGGTGAGAGGCAGGCTGCATATGGTTAGCTAGTTTTCCTTGCACCATCTATTGAGTAAGGCATCCTTTATCCATTTTTTATTTTTGCCAACTTTGTCAAAGATCCATTGTTTGTAGGTGTGTGACTTTGTTTCTGGGTTCTCCATTCTGTTTCATTGGTCTGTGTACCTATTTTTGTACCAGTACCATACTGTTTTGGTTACTGTAGTCCCATAGTTTGAAGTCAGGTAATATGATGCTGCTGGCTTTGTTCTTTTTGCTTAGGATTGCTTTGGCTATTTGGGCTCTTCTTGCTTCCCTGTGAATTTTAGAATAGTTTTTTATAATTCTGTGAAAAATGATGTTGGTTATTTGATAGGAATTGTGTTGAATTCCTTTGGGCAATATGGTCATTTTAATGATGCTGATTCTTCTAATCTATGAGCGTGGAATGTTTTTCCATTTGTGTCATCTGCGATTTCTTTCATCAGTGCTTTGTAGTTCTCCTTGTAGAGATTTTTCACCTCCTGGGTTAGATGTATTCCTAGGTATTTTAATTTTTTTTTTTTTGATATGTGGCTATTGTAAATGGGATTACATTTTTGATTTGGTTCTCAGCTTGAATGTTATTGGTGTATAGAAATGCTACTGATTTTTGTGAATACTTTTTTAAGCACTCGCTTATGAGTGAGCATATGTGATGTTTGTCTTTCTGTGCCTGGGTTGTTTCACTGAAGATACTGACTTCCAGTTCCATCCATGTTGCTGCAAAATTGATTCCTTTCCTTTAAATGGCTGAATAATATTCCGTTGTATATATACACCACATTTTCTTTATTCATTCACCCATTGTTGAACCCTTAGTTGATTCCATATCTTTGCTATTGTGAATAGTGCTGTGATAAACTTATGAGTCCAGCTATCTTTTTGTTATATTATTTCTTTTCGTTTGGTTAGATACCCAGTAAGAGAAATTGTTGGATTGAATGGTAGTTCTATTTTTAGTTCTTTGAGAAATCTCCATATGGCTTTCTATAGAGGTTGTACTAATTTACGTTCTCACCAACAGTGTATGAGTTCTCTTTTCTCTGCATCCTCGCCAGCATCTGTTTGTTTTTTTGTTTAACAATAGCCATTCTGACTAGGGTAAGGTGATGATGTAGTTTTGAATTGCATTTCTCTGATGATTTGTGATGTTGAGCATTTTTTCATATACCTCTTAGCCATTTGTATGTCTTTTGAAAAATGTCTATTCATGTTCTTTGCCCACTTCTTTAACAGGTTATTTTTATCAAATATATCTATAGATATATTTCGAGATGGAGTCTTAAACTCTGTCATTTAGGTTGGAGTGCAGTGGCATGATCTTGGCTCACTGTAACCTCCACCTCCCAGGCTCCAGTGATCCTTCCATCTCAGCCTCTCAAATAGCTGGGACCACAGGCACACACCACTACGCCCAGCTAATTTTTTGTATTTTTAGTAGAGATAAGGTTTTGCCATGTTGCCCAGGCTGGTCCTGAACTCCTAACTTGGCCTCCCAAAGCGCTGGGATTACAGTCACGAGCCACAGTGCAAAGCCAAGCTTTTTATCACAGTAGCTTTTCCCCCCACCTTCTATAGATAATCTTTTTTGTTTCTTAAGAACATACTTGGAGAAATCCATGTGACTATAAACACTTTGGAATGAGTTAGGATGGTTTTCAACTCATTTGGGAATTAAGGATAAATGGCAAGTCAGGAGATACATACAATAGTTAGAATATGTTAAGTAGCCTCTAGAAAATCAATAAAAATGGAGCATGACTCATGCGCATTGACCTGTAGAACAGTGGTTCTCAAATGTCTTAGTTTTGTAGTTTTTACCTTGTTTATACTCTTAAAAATTAAAGAGCTTTTGTTTATATAGATTATAGCTATCAATATTTACTGCATTCAAAATTAAAACAAAATTTAAAATTTAAGTATTAACTCATTTAAAAATAAAGCTATTTCATATAAACATAATCTTTTTTGAAGTGAACAGTAACTATTTTCTAAAGAAAAAAAGATTTGCAGGAAGAGTGACATTGTTTTTGTTTTAAAAATCTTTTTAGTGTCTGGCTTAATAAAATACCTGTGAATTCTCATGAATCTGCTTCTCTTTTCAACCTGAGTCTGTTGAATCACATGAAGTTGCCTCTGGAAAACTCCACTGTACACTAATAAGAGACTGAGAAAAAGGCAAATGAAACTTCATGTTTTTGTGAAAATAATTTTGAGTTGGCTGATCTCATGAGAGAGTCCTGGGGGAGCCAAGAATCTCCAGACCACACTTGTAGTACTGCCACAGGAAATAAACATGTTAACTAGATTACTGCCTCAGAGCTCATGCTTTGGATTCCGATTGCCTGGATTGGAATTCCAACTAACCTTCTGGATGTTATTTAATATTATCCTGTTTCCTAATTTGTTAAATGGACTAATTGGACCTTTTGTAGGATTGTTAGAATTAAATAAAATTACACTCGTAAAGTGTAATAATCACTTAATAAAATGCTACCTTTTTTTTAATTTTTTTATTTTTTTGAGACAGAGTCTCTCTGTCACCCAGGGTGTAATGCAGTGGTGCTATCTCAGCTCACTGCAACCTCCGCCTCCCGGGTTCAAGCGATTCTCCTGCCTCAGCCTTGAGAGGAGCTGGGATTACAGGCATGCACCACCACACCTGGCTAATTTTTGTGTTTTTAGTAGAGATGGGGTTTCACCATGTTGGCCAAGCCAGTCACAAACTCCTGACGTCATGATCCGCTCGCCTTGGCCTCCCAAAGTGTTGGGATGACAGGTGTGAGCCACTGGCCTGGCCCTTAAAATGCTACCTTTTACTATCAAAGTTTTAGTCCTGTTATGTCACGCTTGCTCAGATTTTTCTGTTGGTTTTCTACCTCGCTTAGAGCTTTAGCTTTTACAGTGGCTTTATAAGGTTTTTCTTCATGATCCGGCATATTGCTGCCTCTCTGCTCGCATCTCCTTGTTCTCATCTCACATCCCCCTCACTGTGCAAACAGTGGCCTTCTTGCGTTCATCTAAGACCAATCATGTCTTTCCTCATGGCCTTTGTTTTATTATTTTCTCCACAAAATGTTCACTTCTTCAAATATTGTTTTGCTTCCCTTGTCCTTCAGGTTTTTGCTTTAATGCACCTCAGTGAAATCCTTTTTCATTTAACCCACCCACACAAATTGGCCCTGTCTCCCTTCTCTGCTTTATTTTTTTTTCTCTGTAGGATTTTTAGTTTTGTAGCACATTAAGTATTTACTTATTTGTCTCTCTTTCGCTAGAATGTAGGCTCCAATAGGGATGGATTTTTTGTTTTTATTTGTCTAATGTGTTTACTGCTATACCTTCAATACCTAGGTTGATGCTTGGTGCATATTTAAGTGCTGATAAAATATGTTTTGAATGAGTAAATCATTATTGCTACTGTGAAGATGAAAGGGAAATAGTCTTTGCTTCTCTCAAATGTATAGCCTTAATTGGACATTGCTTCTGATATAAAATGAACTTTATAAAGTGTTTAGCATGGCATGTTGGACACACAGAAGTACTCAATTGGTGGCTGTTACTGAAGAATAAGAAATAAAAGGATAAGACATTTTAGAAAGAAATGACCTGAATAAAAGAAAATTGCATTCACATTTTAAGGGGTAAGGTAGATATTGTTTAGTGCATACTGGAAAAGTAAGGTTGCAACTGTATAGCTGAGGCCAAGGCATTCGGATTTTGTTCTGTGGGTAATACATTTTTACATGTTCTTAAGGCAGAGGTGCTGTGATGAAAGTGGTAGGTTTGGAAGATGAAACCAACAGAAGTCTTTGAGGTTGCCTGGGATATCCTTCTGGTGTCAGCTTAACCAGACATGCTTAATAAAACATTTAGATAATTTATCATACATAATAAAACATTTGCAGAATTATAAACTATGCCCAATTATTACTTCCTCTAATTGTATGGTAGCATGAAATTGCTATTTGACCACAGTTGTATGTTTTGAACTGTTTATGTAATTGCCAACTTTATTAGACTTTATCATTTAAAACTAAGATTTTTGATTTAGAATCAATCGAGGTGTTTACACTGGCAACTAACTTGCTAAATATACTAATATAGGGCAAAGTATGTTTAGTCCAGCAAGTATCGGTCAGCCACGAAAGACGACATTATCTCCTGCCCAGTTGGATCCTTTTTATACTCAAGGAGATTCTTTGACTTCAGAAGATCACCTCGATGACTCTTGGGTGACTGTATTTGGGTAAGGTTTGCAGACCATTTGCCTTTTAAAAACCCCACCCTAACATTTTATAATGAATATAATCAAACATACAGTAAAATGGAAAGAAGTGCATAGCAAACACCCATATTACTACCACCTAGGTTCTATGGTTAACAGTTTGCTACATTTGCTTTGTCATTTATCCATCTATCAATTCATTCTTTTTGTTGGTACATTTCATAATAAGTTGTAGACATCAATACATATTACCCTGACACTTGAGCATGCATGTCATTAACTAGAGTTTGATATTTGTTTGTAGTTTTTTAAATCATTTGTCTGTTTATTTCTTCCCAAATTATTTTCTCTCAAGCATATTTACTAGATGGAACACAGTTGTCCCTTTAGACTTAGGGAACTCCTTCCCCTTTTTCTAGTGACTGGTTCTCTACATCTAGTGGAATTCACCAGTTTTGAATTAACAGAATGAACATTTACAAACACACACACACACACACACACACACACACACACACACACACACAATGTCACAGGGTTGATACTTTCTGGTCCACAAAGTATTGAATATTAATAGAAACAGTATGACAGTCCTTGTTACATTTTTGAATAGATTTTTAGGTCCAAAAAAAACTTTAAAATGCCTTTTTTTAAAAAAAATGCTTTTTTATTTCCATAGGTTTTTGGGGAACAGGTGGTATTTGGTTACATGAGTAAGTTCTTTACATGATTCGTGAGACTTTGGGGCACCCATCTCCTGAGCAGTAGGCACTGAACCCAATTTGTAGTCTTTATCCGTCACCCCTTTCCCACCCTTTCCCCCGAGTCCCCAAAGTCCATTGCATCATTCTTATGCTTTTGCATCATCATAGCTTAGCTCCCACTTATGAGTGAGAACATATGATGTTTGGTTTTCCATTCCTAAGTTACTTCACTTAGAATAAGTGAGTTACTTTACTTAGAATAATTTGCAGTCCCATTCAGGTTGCTGCAAATGCCATTAATTAATTCCTTTTTACTGCTGAGTATTCCATTTTGTATGTATATATATCTATCACAGTAAAACTCCTTAGAGATCATATTGTATAATGTTTTATTTTACAGGTGAGGAAACTGAGGTGTAGGCAGATTAAGTGATTTATTCAGCCGTTCACATCTAGTTATTATTAGCAAAGCTCCAGCAAAAACTTGGGTCTTTTGATATTCAAGCTGATATTTACACTCTACAAAAATATAAAGTTTGTTTCTGAAAGTATGATTTGCCATACTGTATTAGTCCCTATTCATACTGATAAAGACATATCCGAGACTGGAAAGAAAAAGAGGTTTAATTGGACTTAGGGTTCCATGGCTGGACAGGCCTCAGAATCATGGTGGGAGGTGAAAGGCACTTCTTACATGACGGTGTCAAGAGAAAATGAGGAAGAAGCAAAAGCGGAAGCCCCTGATAAACCCATCAGATCTCGTGAGACTTATTCATTATCATGAGAATAGCACAGGAAAGACTGGCCCCCATGAATCAATTACCTCTCCCTGGGTTCCTCCCACAACACATGGGAATTCCGGGAGATATAATTTGAGTTGAGATGTGGGTGGAGACACAGCCAAACCATTTCATTTCATCCTTGGCCCCTCTAAATCTCATGTCCTCACGTTTCAAAACCAATCATGGTTTCCCAACACACCCCTGAAAGTCTTATTTCAGCATTAACCCAAAAGTCCACAGTCCCAAGTCTCATCTGAGTTAAGGCAAGTCCCTTCCACCTATGAGCCTGTAAAATCAAAAGCAAGATAGTTATTTCCTGGATACAGTGGGGTTATAGGAATTGGGTAAATACAGCCATTCCAAATGGGAGAAATTGGCCAAAACAGAGGGGTTATAGGCCCCATGCAAGTTCAAAATCCAGAGGGGCAGTCAAATTTTAAAGCTCCAAAATGATCTCCTTTGACTTCCTGGTCTCACATCCAGGTCACGCTGATGCAAGAGGTGGGTTCCCATGGTCTTGGGCAGCTCCACCCCTGTGGCTTTGCAGGGTACAGCCTCCCTCCTGGCTGTTTTCCCGTGCTGGCATTGCGTGTATGGGTTTTCCAGGCACAGAGTGCAAGCTGTCAGTGGATCTACCATTCTGGGGACTGGAGGATGGTGGCCCTCTTCTCACAGCCCCACTAGGCAGTGCCCTAGTAGGGACCCTGTGTGGGAGCTTTGACCCCACAGTTCCCTTCCGCACTGCCCTAGCGGAGGTTCTCCATGAGGGCCCCACCCCTGCAGCACAATTTTGCCTGGGCATCCAGGTATTTCCATACATCTTCTGAAATCTAGGTGAAGGTTCCCAAACCTCAATTCTTGACTTCTGTGCACCCACAGGCTCAATACCATGTGGAAGCTGCCAAGGCTTGGGGCTTCCACTCTCTGAAGCCACAGCCCAGGCTCTACATTGTCCCCTTTCAGCCACGGCTGCAGGGGCTGGGATACAGGGCACCAAGTCCCTAGGCTGCACACAGCACAGGGACCCTGGGCCTGGACCACAAAACCGCTTTTTCCTCCTGGGCCTCCAGGCCTATGATGGGATTGGCTGTCTTGAAGGGCTCTGACATGCCCTAGAGACATTTTCCCCATGCTCTTGGGCATTAACATTAGGCTCCTTTCTAGCTATGCAAATTTCTGCAGCTAGCTTGAATTTCTCCTCAGAAAATGAGTTTTCCTTTTCTACTGCGTTGTCAGGCTGCAAATTTTCTGAACTTTTATGCTGTGTTTCCCCTTTAAAATGGAAGGCTTTTAATAGCACTCAAGTCACCTTTTGAATGCTTTGCTGCTTAGAAATTTCTTCCACCAGATACCTTAAATCATCTCTTTCAAGTTCAAAGTTCCACAAATCTCTAGGGTGGGGCAAAATGCCACCAGTCTCTTTGCTAAAACATAACAAGAGTCACCTTTGCTCCAGTCGCCAACAAGTTCCTCATCTCCATCTGAGACCACCTCAGCTTGGAACTTATTGTTCATATCACTATCAGCATTTTTGTCAAAGCCATTCAACAAGTCTCTGGGAGGTTCCAAACTTCCCACATTTTCTTCTGAGCTTTCCAAACTGTTCCAACCTCTGCCTATTAGCCAGTTCCAATGTCACTTCCACATTTTTGGGTATCTTTTCAGCAATGCCCCACTCTACTGATACCAATTACTGTATTAGTCCATTTTCATGCTGCTGATAAAGACATACCTGAGACAGGGAAGAAAAAGAGGTTTAATTGGACTTACAGTTCCACATGGCTGGGGAGGCCTCAGAATCATGGCGGGAGGCAAAAGGTACTTACATAGTGACATCAAGAGAAAATGAGGAAGCAAAAGCGGAAGCCCCTGATAAACGCGTCAGATCTTGTGAGACTTACTCACTATCATGAGAATAGCATAGGAAAGACCAGCCACCATGATTCAATTACCTCTCTCAGGTCCCTCTCACAACACATGGGAATTCTGGGAGATACCATTCAAGTTGAGATTTGGTTGGAGACACAGCTGAACTGTATCACATGCTGATACTGGAATGTATCTATTATATATTTTTTGGGATTAAAAAACATAAAAATAACACATGAGCTCCTTGAAGGAAGAAAGGTGCATAGTAAATGTTTAGTGGATTTTATGTATTCAATTTATTTAAAATTAAAAATTCAAAAGGTATGTAAGAATGTACAATGAAGTTTTCCCTTTTGCTTTTGTCCCAAGCTAGTTTTCCTCCTCTTTAAGGCAGTGATTGCCATCTGTTTTTTGTGTATGTTTCCAGAGAGATTTTATGTGTTATTGATTTCTATTTGGGTAAAAAGCGGGTCATTGCATTCCGTTGTTCTCTAGAAAGTCCATACTCAGTCCTATATCCATAGCAATTGGGCTGGTGTGTTTTTTTTCTTCTTCTTCTTTTACATTTACATTTTTATAGTCTCTCATAAAATGGCTTTTTTTTTTTTTTGAGACAATCTCTCTGTTATCTAGGCTGGAGTGCAGTGGCATGATCATAGCTCACTGCAGCCTCCAATTCCTGGCCTCAAGCAATCCTTCTACCTCAGCCTCATGAGTAGTTGGGATAACAGGCATGAGCCAGCTTGGCTGCATGTTTTTGAAAATAGGTACCCACTCTTAAATCTGTTTTTCAGGCTCAGTAGTAGTGGTTTAACTTTTAAGATTTCCAGTAATTAGATAAATTACTTGAAGCACTCCTAGTATTTTTTCGTATTTCAGACATTAACTCTCCCAGCTGTTTATTTTTTTACTTTCGTGTTTTAATAACCCTCTATGACTTTAATTTCAAGAACTGAAGCATTCTCCTTTAAGGGATAAAGTATTTTATTTTGATCATTTATGGGGAAGTACCTCTAAAGGATGCATTATATATGTTCTTTCTTTGGTAGTTTAACTTTTTCCTACTGACTTAGGGTTATGAAATATTCATTGTTTTGGGTGATTCTGCTATAGAGTACTAGAATGTAAGTTTCTACTCAAAGTGGTCCAAGAGTTTTAGAATTATGTTTTATTTCTTAAGTACTTCCCTCACTTGCAGCCATTCTTTCTTCTTTTCATTTTTGTTTGATCTCTGCCCTGTAGGCACCCAACCTATTTGTTGTTTTTCTTTGTGGTTAGAAATTTCATGTCCAGATTTTATACAAATGAATTTTCAGTTCTGATTGCAGTGAATATTTTACTCATATAGATTTTATTTAATTAATTAATTTATTTTGAGATGAGGTCTTACTCTGTCACCCGGCTGGAGTGCAGTGGCACGATCTTGGCGCATTGCAACCTTTCCTTCCCAGGTTCAAGCGATACTTCTGCCTCAGCCGCCTGAGTAGCTGGGATTACAGGTGCCCGCCACCATGCCCAGCTGATTTTTTGTATTTTTAGTAGAGGCGGGGTTTCACCAGGTTGGCCAGGCTGGTCTCGAACTCCTGACCTCAAGTGATCCACCCACCTCGGCCTCCCAAAGTGCTGGTTGGTATTACAGGTGTGAGCCATCGTGCCCAGCCTCACATAGATTTTTAATGTGTTTGGTTTCTGATTTATTTTTGAGACTCGAATTTTTTTTTTTCTTTAGGGTTCTAATTCAGTCTTCAGATAACTGAAGTTAGATAGCCATTTCTATGCGATTGGTAGTGGTTATTGTTTTCAAATTGAAAACAGCTTTATTGTTAAGACTATAAAAGAATAATATGTCATTGTAAAATATCCAAACCATACAGAACTTTATAAAGAAGAAAGTAAAAATTACTTAGAATTTTCTCATGCAGAGATATGGCTAATCAAATTTTGGTAACTGTCCTTTTAAGTGATTCTATACCATAAATATTTTGATGCTGAATTTTCTCTTTGTTATGATACTAAATTTCAGAATTTTTAAGTGATGCTCAATGTATAATGATTCGTTTATAATTTAAAATTCTTTATCTTTTCATAACCGTAGTATACCTAAATATATTACATATTAACATACACATATTGAAATAAATTATATATAGAACTGCAACTTTATAGTTTTTTTTCTAAGACCTGGATAATGGCAACGAGAGTAGCATTTTTAGAGATTTCAGAGGTAGAATCTGAGGATGGAGAAGAATGGCAGGATAAGACTAACTTTAAGGTATTTGCTTTTGAGTGACTAGTCACTGACAGAATTAGCCCATATCGGGGAAAACAGGATGATCAGCACTCTCCTGTTAACGTTCTAGACAGTTGGGGGCCATTTATCTTGAAACATTATCTTGTAGTAATTTGCATTCACATTGATAGTAGAAGCTGACGTTTTCTTTGGACAACTCTTTTTTTCAGGTTTCCTCAAGCATCTGCTTCCTACATATTACTACAATTTGCACAGTATGGGAATATCTTAAAACATGTGGTAAGGCTTAATTTTTTTCAGTTCAGAGTTTTGACTAAAGAGGGATAAGTTGTGAATTGAGAGAAACTGCTTCTGAATTTTGTGGGTTTTTTTTAAACTTAAATTTTTTTTTGAGTTTTGATATAATACATCCTTTGAAGTCTGGAAGGCTGGAAGTTGCCTAATTTTTGATAAAAAGAGATATAGTGAGAAGATATGGAGAATTGAGAGTTTGAAAATCCACCTCCTCTCACCTCCTTTCTTAAACAGTTTACAGTCTTAAAAAAGATAGATTATGCCAAGTATTATATTACTGTTTTCCAATTTGAGCTGCTTTTATTGGGGATAAAAGAAGTAGGAGGCAGTTCCTGAGCTTTTAGAGTTTTTAGAGCTTTATAGCTCTAAAATTTAAAAAATTATCTTACCTTGTGCTACAAGTTATAAGTAACAAATCCTTTTTTGTTGCTAGAGATTGACTTAACTCCTATACAAAATCAAATTGAGTAGTTTTAAATAACTTTATGGCAAGTGTTGCTTTGATCTCTTTACAATAAACATATTTTGAGAAGTATCTTACTTTCAGAGAATATGTACATGTTGATTGTAGAGAATTGAGAGATTGTTGAAGCTGTTCTAAATACGATTTTTGTTGAACTTTACAGCTTTTTACAAGGCATCAAATACGGAATGGAAGTAAATTTATCTTACCATGTTCCTATTTTCTAGTAGAATTCATTAGATGTAGATTTTATATATTTTCTATTTTAAGAGACAGTTTTATTCTTTGCAGATGTCTAATACAGGAAATTGGATGCATATTCGTTATCAATCTAAACTGCAGGCTCGGAAAGCCTTAAGCAAAGATGGGAGGATTTTTGGAGAATCCATCATGATTGGTGTAAAACCATGTATTGACAAAGTAAGTTATTGGTGATGTAGGCAAAGTAGCTTAATCTATATGAAGAGCACAAGACCAAGGATTGAAATTGGTCGTTGTGTCACTTGGTTTCACTGTGTCTGTTTTTCTTAGTTTGTAAAATGTGATGATGTTTATAGTACTCTTTGTGGTAAGCCGAAGGTATTTAATCATAGAGTTTAGAATTTAGAGGTAATCTGTCCTCACCTCTTCATTTTTCAGATAAAGAAACTGAGAGGGCTTAAGTAACTTGTCCAGAGTTGTTAAAGGTGAGGCCTAGATTTTAGGTCTCTTGACTACTAATCCATTCTCTTTCTTGTGCAAAGCGATACCAGATTCTTTAAAGTACTTAAATGGAATGGTACTATTTCAGAATGAATTAGTTCATATTAACATTAACTGATAGTTAACTTTTAAATGTCAAAGGTTTTCGTTTCAAAATATTTCTGTTTAAAACTATTTTAAAATTATTCTATATATACTCATTAAATAGTACAGAGTACAATTTAAACTGTTCTTTGTGGCTTGTTAAATCATTGTGAACATTCTTTAAGTATATGTGAACTTGTACTACATTCCAGGCATTGTGCTTGGTGCTAGTATACACACATTAATGAACAAAGCAAGATGTGGTTCCTATTCTTAAAATCTGTTATATCAGTGTAGTTATATAGTTATAATACTGTGCTGTAACAAATGTTTGCAGAGGCCAGAAGAATATTTGGGGTAACTAAGTGCTAAATAGCACTGGAGTTTGATTCTTTCCAATCCAGGTTTCCCTAAGAATTTTTTTGTCCTTGCTGATTTTTCATAGTGTTTTAGGAAATTCTTATTTTTGTGGTCTATAGTTGTATTGAGATTGTTTGAGGTCACTGAAGTGAGATTTCTGTCTGAGCATTCAATCTCAAATGCTACCTAAGAAGCAAATATTTTCTCAAGCCTAAAATTATTTGCAAGTTTAATTAGAGCAAATAAAGTATTTCATCTTTATCTTTTAATTAAATTTTCTAAGTAGGATGTAATACTGGATGATATGTATTATGTTTATAAACAAAGGAGTTATTTCTTTGTTTCTCCAGAGTGTTATGGAAAGCAGTGACAGATGTGCTTTATCATCTCCATCTTTAGCCTTTACACCACCAATCAAAACTCTAGGTACACCAACACAACCTGGAAGTACTCCTAGGATTTCTACCATGAGACCTCTTGCTACAGCATACAAAGCCTCTACTAGTGATTATCAGGTATTTTAAGGATTGGATAAAAAAAGATGTACTTTAATGGCTGAGTGCATAGCATGCTTAACTTTTTCATTGTATTGATTTGTATGCCATTAAATGTTTCCTGTGGAGGCTATTACCTTGATGAAACCTTTACGCTTTAAAAGTTTTCTGCTTTAAAGTTAACATCTTGGCCAATTGGAAAGTTATCATGAATTAAAAAAAAAAAATTATTTGCCATTCCTTTAAATTTTTTGAAAGTTGTTTTAGCTTTTTCTAAGTTATATTTGCATACATACGAAATGTATCCTGTGTGCATCTTTGACATGAGGGCGCATTAAAACTTTATTAAATTGATGACTAAATTGATGGTATCCAAAGTGCAGAACCTTAGGTTGGAGTAGCTTTGGTTATTTAAATGAAGACATTGACCAACCTCCAGACAGAAAAAAATTTCTCACTTCAAAAAAGCTTAAAGAAGTTAATTATGTTCTTTGAAGAATGGTAGAAGTATTATGATCTCATTCAGTATATTATTGTCTCCTACTGACTAGCCAAGTGTTCGAACTTAACCAGCTGCAGAAACAGGTCCTGAAACACACAGTACATGAAACACTTGTGCTTTAGTAGGGCAGATAGTGGTAGTTCAGTTTTTTGACTTCCTCTGAAATTTGGAGATTATTCTAGAACTGTTTTTTTCTTTAGGTTCTATTACTGTTATTTTAAATTTCCCATTCAGTGCAGCTTTTGTTATTCAATTTTTCTTTCTTTTGTTTTGAGACGGAATGTCTCTCTGTTACCTAGGCTGGAGTACAGTGGTGCTATCCCAGCTCACTGCAACCTCTGCCTCCTGGGTTCAGGTGATTCTCCTGCCTCAGCCTCCTGAGTAGATTACAGGCACGTGCCACCACGCCCAGCTAATTTTTTGTATTTTTAGTAGAGATGGGACCATGTTGGCCAGGGTGGTCTCAAACTTTTGACCTCAAGTAATCTGCCCACCTTGGCCTCCCAAAGTGCTGGGATTACAGACCTGAGCCACTGCGCCCAGCTATTCAATTTTCTAATTTAAGAAACAGATGTTATTTGCTTTGCCAAAGGAATAAAATTTTGGCATTCTTAAAAGCATAAGGATATTCTAAGTCCATATTTTAATTTTAAAAATATACAATTCAGGCCGGGCGCAGGGGCTCATGCCTGTAATCCCAGCACTTTGGCAGGCCGAGGCGGGCGGATCACGAGGTCAGGAGATCGAGACCATCCTGGCTAACACGGTGAAACCCCGTCTCTACTAAAAATACAAAAATTTACAATTTAGTGCTATAAATGCATTTTGGTGTTTCTCTTTTAAATGAGCAATTCTAGAATTGCCTATGACACTGAAGTAACAATAACCTAACCGTTTTTTTTGTGTGTGTTTTTTAATAGGTTATTTCTGACAGACAAACGCCAAAAAAAGATGAAAGTCTTGTATCCAAAGCAATGGAGTACATGTTTGGCTGGTAGTAGAACACCAAGAAGGAGGTTGCTACACTAAAACAGAGTTAGCAGAGTGCTGCTGGTTCCTTCGGTTAGTTATATAACTGTTCCTGCAGTATTGGATAGCTATCTCATACTTCTTTTAGAAAGAAGCCTTTTTCATTAAGGATACAACCTATTTGTAGCTCGCACTTTAAAAGATGCTTGAGATACATTTTAAAGAAAACTAAAAATCCCTGTAAATAGGATTTTGTGCTTTCTGTAACAGTGCATGCTTCAGCACAGAAAACTCAGCATTGATTATTGTAAATTAAATAACTGAAATTGTGGTGAGACGTCATAGTCTTCATGAGAACGTGGGGGTGAATTTCATGAAGGGGAACTATAGTTATTTCTACCGACACAAATATTATAATTAGCAATTTGAATTATGGTCTTTTAATTTAGATAGTATTTAATATTTTAATTATCCTTGTTTGTATATGTCCTGTCACAGAGTGTCCTCTTGGTGTATTCTAAAACGAGCATTCTTTTAAAAAACCTAAAGTTTCTTGATAATAAACATTGTCAATGATATGTGTATTAGTCTGTTTGCATTGCTATAAAGGAGTACCTGAGGCAGGATAATTTATTAAAAATAAGAGGTTTATTTGGCTCAGGGTTTAATTGGCTTGTAGCTGTACAAGAAGCATGATGCTTTACTTGTGGAGGAAAGTAAAGAAGAGTGAGCATATCACATGGTGAAAGAGAGGAAGAGAGCAGGAAGAAGGAAGTTCTAGACTCTTTTTAATAACCAGATCTCACATGAACTCATTACTGCAGGGAGGACACCAAGCCATTCATGAGGGATCTGCCCCCATGATCTAAACATCTCCCACTAGTCCCCACTTCCAACATCGGGGACCATATTTCAACATGAGATTTGAAGGGGACAGATATCCAAATGATATCAATATGTATTGAACATTTTTTGAAAGGGTGATTTATTATAAAAAGCTTTAAGTATTCATTGAAAGAGAAAATATGTATGAACCACTATATACCAGCTTTAATTACCATTAAATTTTGCCATACTTGTTTCTTTTCTTTCCCTTTTATTTTGTTTAAAGCACATCCCAGATAAGATGTCATTTTACTCTAAATACGTGAGGATATATCAAAAAAGAATATTTCTACATGGAATTACAATGTCAGTATCCCATTGAACATAATTAATACCTTTTTTTTTTTTTTTTGAGACAGAGTCTTGCTGTGTCACCCATACTGGAGTGCAGTGGTGCGATCTTGGCTCCCTGCAGCCTCTACTTCCTGGGCTCAAGTGATTCTTGTGCCTCAGCTTCCCAATTAGCTGGGACTACAGGCGTGTGCCACCATGCCTGGCTAATTTTTGTATTTTTAGTAGAGACGGGATTTCACCATGTTGGCCAGGTTGATATTGAACTCTTGAACTCAAGTGATTCACCTACCACGGCCTCCTAAAGAGCTGGGAAGTATTACTAAGTAATACTAAGGAATGTACTGGCATGAATGAAGATTCATTTATAAAGTATATTTTCATCTGAAAACTTTTACATTGAAGTCTTTTTCTTCCAGTTTAGGATTATATTTTATATCCTATTTCATAATGTGCAGAACTCAATTATTCAATATAGAACTGGCTACTAAATTCCATTTTAAAAGTCGTGCATTTGTATTTGAATTAATACACATTTTATTAAAAGGGTTGTTTATTGGAGGGGGTGTTTTATTTATTTGCATAGGCCTTTATGGACTGTGAAGTTTGCTTTTGGGCAAAAAATATTTGTTTGCTATATTTTGTTATTTCTCTTGGTATCATATCTTACCCATCTTTGTATCTGTCATTTATTTTAAAAGATCCAGGAAAATTTCAGAAAGCGAGCTGTCCTATTTTTGAACACTATATAAAAACAACAAAAATGGAATATCTGTGATGTTAGGAAAGTTACCCTGAACTAAGCCTCCTTTTAAAAGCTCAGAGAAGCTGACTTCAAAAAAAATAACGTGAAACTATAATCATGCAAGTTTGTTTAAAAAAAAAAAAGAGTATAAGGAAGAAAATAACATCCCTGTAGACATTGAAAGCACACCAGAAAGGCATGCCCATAAATGGATAGAAGCTATAGAGTAGTACTTAAAATTGAGTTTTAAGACATTTAGAAAATGATACAAGATATGAAAGAACAACAAAAATAAAATTGAAGAACTTGGGAAAATGTTAGTAATAGAGGAAAATCACTCATAAATTAAGACTAGAATAAACAACAGCTGATGAACAACAGATATGCCCTAAAAGAAATGAAAGATAAAAATGGAGGACTTTTAGAAATCAGAAAGAAAAGAGATAAAAAGGATTAGTAGGGGTATGACAAACTCTAGAGACAGAAAAAATGCAACATACAGAACAAAATCAAATGACTACTTTGATGAAAAAAATTTGGAACTACACATTGGAAGAGTAACCTGCCTACCTGAGATTATTATACTGGGACAACCAATGGCAATATACAAACTTTGGGTTTGACTAGACAAAAACAGCAAATGACTTACAAGAGCAAGAGTTAAAACAGCAGCACTATGTCAGGAGGAAAAAGAATAGCCTCTTTAAGATATCTGTAGAAAGAAAATGTGAGTAAAAGATTTTGTATCTACCAAAACTGATTAAGTATAAAAATAACTCCTCAGACACTATCAGTGTGCAAGAATTCAGGAAACGTGTTTCCCTTGAGTGTGTCCTGAGGAATGGACTAGAAAATGCACCTCCAGCAAGCTAAATGCCTAGAAAGATGACATAAAGGCTGGTGAGCATTTAATTTTATGTTACATCATGAGCAAAGTGCTGACCAGGTTTATTGCTTGAATTGAAGCTCAGGCCACTAGGTAGCTTTTCCCTTATCACTGTCTTTCAAGTCTACTCAGGCTAATATGACAGGAGTCAGTCTTTGGTTTACAGTAAAATACCAAGCTGATTTATCTGTGAACCAAGCCTGGGGTTTTTTCCTCCTCTGTCACCTGATAGTAGTGGTGAACCCCAACGAAGCCATGAGCTGAGGGAAAGGTGCTGGTGTCTTGGAGGTAAGTTACATGGGCCACCTTTTCATGGAAGTGGGAGCCCTAGGAACGGCTTGGGCACCATCCTGAATGTAACATGAGTTATTACTATGCTGGTCTATTCTTTGGGTTTGGTGGATCTGACAATACCCAGCTCATGATGGATAGCTCTGGTCACATAGTTGATGTGCTCTGATGTGAGGAGCTACTCTCTAAATAGTGACTAGTTATCTGCTGCGGAAAGACTGACTGAGCTCCAGAAACCTAAAGGTCTGTGTTACGACTTATGCAATCAGGGCTTGCCAGAGACTCTGTAGCATCCTTGTCTACCAGGAATGTCTCTGGCATCATGGGATTTGCCAGGTCATATGGCCTAAATGTCGAGTTATTTGTACTATAAGCTGGAACTTGCTCCAGAACTCCCTCACTCTGGGCCCCACTAAAATCTAAGCCACATAAGAAATGGGTCAAAGGAGTTTTCCTATCTACAATTTGTGTTTCTAAAATCCAGAAGCTTATAAAGTGCTGTATCTCTTTTTAATGGTAGGAGGATCAAGGTGAAATAAATTATCCTTTAGTGACGGGCAGTCCTAGCATGCTCCAGACCAATGGATCCCTCATAACTTCACCAGTGTGGTTGTCCTTTGAATTTTTGTGGTTTATCTTTAACCTTCTGGAATGCATGTGACTTAGGGCATCCTGAGTACTTCCAGTTTGTTTATTTATTTATTTATTTTTGAGACTGAGTTTCGCTCTTGTTGCGTGGGCTGGAGTGCAATGGCGGGATCTTGGCTCACTGCAACCTCTGCCTCCCAGGTTCAAGTGATTCTCTGAGTAGCTGGGATTACAGGCGCCCACCACCATGCACGGCTAATTTTTTGTATTTTTAGTAGAGACAGGGTTTCCCATGTTGGCCAGGCTGGTCTCGAACTCCTGACCTCAGATGATCCACCCGCCTCAGCCTCCCAAAGTGCTGGGATTATAGGCATGAGCCGTCGCACCCGGCCAGTTACTTCTTTAAAAAAATAATTTTTGTTGTGGTACAATACATATTACATTAAAATTACCATTTTAACATCCCCCCCCCCCTTTTTTTTTTTTTGGCGACAGCGTCTCTCACCTGGGCTGGAGTGCAGTGGTGCTATCACAGCTCACTGCAGCCTCAACCTCCTGGGCTAAAGTGATCCTCCTACTTCAGCCTCCCGAGTAGCTGGGACAACAGGCATATACCACCATGCCTGTCTAATTTGTATTTTTTAGTAGAGTTTGCCACGTTGCCCAGCCTGGTCTTGAACTCCTGGGCTCAAGTGATCTGCCTACCTCGGCCTCCCAAAGTGCAGTGATTACCAGTGAGGGCCACCGTACCCATCTCATCTTAAAACAATTTTTAAGAGATGTTCAGTGATATTACATACATTCATAATATGCAACCATCATCACTATCCATTGCCATAATTCTTTCAATCTTGCACAAATGAAACTTTATCCATTAAGTAATACCCCTCCCCTTCTCCCAGGCCCTAGCAACCACTATTCTTTCTGGCTCCAAAATTTTGACTATGCTTCCTCATATAAGTGGAATCTTCCAGTATTTGTATTTTTGTGACTTATTTCATTTAGCATGATATCTTCAAGATTCATATATGTTACAGCGTATGTCAGAATTTCCTTTTTAAGGCTGAATAATATTCTCTTGTATGTATATTACCATATTTGATTATCCATTTTTTGATTTGTTGTACACAGCAACTAGAACAGAGGGTAAGAACACAGAATACATTAATACCTTGTCTAAGATCACATAGATAAGTAGTAACAGCAATAGGATAAAAACTTTTTTTTTTTTTTTTTAGAATGCAGTTCTGTGGAACTGTAACATTTTGAGATTTAGGTGTTTTTAGTTTCTATTTTAGGTCCAGGAGTACATATGCAGTGTTGTTACATATGTTAATTGTGTGTTACAGGGATTTAGTGTACAGATTGTTTTGTCACTCGGGTAATAAACATGGTACATGATAGGTAGTTTTTCAGTCCTCTCCCTTCTCCCACCCTCCCAACTTCTGTTGTTCCCTTCTTTGTGTCCATATGTAGTCAATGTTTAGCTTCCACATTGAGTACACATGGAATGAGAACATGCAGTATTTGGTTTTCTGTTCGTGTGTTAGATTGCTTAGTATAATGGCCTGCCTCTCCATACATGTTGCTGCAAGGGACATCATTTTCTTCTTTTTTATGGCTGCGTAGTATTCCATGGAATATATGTACCATATTTTCTTTATCCAGTCTATTACTGTTGTTGGGTATTTACGTTGATTCCATGTCTTTGCTGTTGTGAATAGTGCTGTGATGAATATATGTATGCATGTATTTTTATGGTAGGATGATTTATATTCCTCTGGGTATATACCCAACAGTGAGGTTTCTGGGTTGAATGGTAATTCTGTTTTAAGTTCTCTGAGGAATTGCCACATTGCTTTCCACAATGGCTGAACCAATTTACCTTCCTACCATCAGTGTGTAAGTGTTCCCTCTTCTCTGCAACCTTGCCAACATTTTTGTTGACTTTTTAATAGCCATTCAAACTGGTGTGAGATGATATCTCACTGTGGTTTTGATTTGAATTTTTGTGATTAGTGATGTTGAACATTTTTTCATATGCTTGTCAGCTGTATATATGTCTTCTTTTGAAAGGTGTCCGTTCATATCCTTTGCCCACTTTTTAATGGGGTTGTTTTTGCTTGTTAATTTAAGTTCCTTATAGATTCTGGATATTAGACCTTTGTGGGATGTACAGTTTGCAAATATTTTCTTTAGTTCTGTAGGTTATCTATTTAATCTGTGTAATGGTTAATAGTGTCAACTTGATTGGATTGAGGGATACAAAGTATTCATCCTGGGTGTGTCTGTGAGGGTGTTGCCAAAAGAGATTAACATTTGAGTCGGTTGACTGGGGAAGGTAGATCCACCCTTAATCTGGTGGGCACAATCTAATCAGCTGCCAGCAAATACAAAGCAGGCAGAAAAGGAGGGAGACAGGCCTAGCCTCGCAGCCTACATCTTTCATCTTTCTCTTGTGTTGGATGCTTCCTGCCCTCGAACATCAGACTCCAAGTTTTTCAGTTTTGGGACTCCGACTGTCTCTCCTTGCTCCTCAGCTTGCAGACAGCCTATTTTGGGACGTTGTGATCTTGTAAGTTAATACTTAATATACTCCCCTTTATTTATATATATGTATATATATTTATATTTATATATTTATATGTCTAATATTGTCAGTGGGGTGTTGAAGTCTCCCACTATTATTGTGTGGTTATATAGGATATATATATAGGATATATATATATCTCCTATTAGTTCTGTCCCTCTAAGATAACCCTGACTAATACCATCTGTTTATAGGTTGTTTTGTTTTGTTTTGCTGTGCAGGAGCTCTTTAGTTTAATTAGGTCCCATTTGTCAAGTTTTGTTTTTGTTGCAATTGCTTTTGGCGCCTTCGTCATGAAATCTTTGCCAGGGCCAGTATCCAGAATGGTATTGCCTAGGTTTTCTTTCAGGGGTTTTATAGTTTTAGGTTTTGCATTTAACTCCTTAATCCATCTCAAGGTGATTTTTGTATATGGTATAAGGAAGGAGTCCAGTTTAAATAGTCTGCATATGTCTAGCCAGTTACCCCAGCACCATTTATTGAATAGGGAGTCCTTTCCCCATTGCTTATTTCTGTCAACTCTGTTGAAGATCAGATGGTTGTAGGTGTGCAGTTTTATTTCTGAGCTTTTTCGTTTGTTTGTTTTGTTTTGTTTTTTGAGATGGAGTTTCACTCTTGTTGCCCAGGCTGGCGTGCAATGGCATGATCTTTGGTCACTGCAACCTCCACCTCCTGGGTTCAAGTGATTCTCCTGCCTCAGCCTCCTGAGTAGCTGGGATTACAGGCATGTGCCACCACGCCTGGCTAATTTTGTATTTTTAGTAGAGATGAGGTTTCACCATGTTGGTCAGGCTGGTCTCGGAACTCCTGACCTCAGGTGAACCTCCTGCCTGATTTCTTTATTTGTCTCTGTGTCTGTTTTTGTACCCGTACCATGCTGTTTTGGTTACAGTAGCCCTGTAGTATAGTTTGAAGTTGGGTAATGTGATGCCTCCAGCTTTGTTCATTTTGCTTAGGATTGCCTTGGCTATTTGGGCTCTTTTTTGGTTCCGTGAATTTTAAAATAGTTTTTTTCTAATTCTGTGAAGAATGTCAATGGTAACTTAATGGGAATAGCATTGAATCTATAAATTACTTTGGACATTATGACCATTTTAACAATATTGATTATTCCTGTCCATGAGCATGGATTATTTTTCCATTGGTTGTATTATCTCTGATTTCTTTCAGCAGTGTTTTATGATTCTTGTTGTAGAGATCTTTCACCTCCCTTGTTAGCTGTATTTCTAGGTATTTTATAACTTTTGTGGCTATTGTGAATGGTATTGCATTCTTTATTAGGCTTTTGGCTTGGACGTTCTTGGTGTTTAGAAATGCTACTGATTTTTGTACACTGATTTTATGTCCTGAAACTTTGCTGAAGTTGTATATCAGATTTAGGAGCTTTTGGGCAGAGCTTATGGAGTTTTTTAGGTATAGAATCATATTGTCTGCAAACAGAGATAGACTGACTTTCTCTCTATTTGGATGCCTTTCATTTCTTTCCCTTGACTGAGTGCTCTAGCCAGGAATTCTACTACTGCATTGAATAGGAGTGGTGAGAGTGGGCATCGTTGTCTTGATACGGTTCTCAAGGGAAATGCTTCCAGCTTTTGCCCGTTCAGTATGATGTTGGCTGTAGGTTTGTCATAGATGGCTCTTATTATTTTGAGGTGCTTTCCTTCAATGACTAGTTTGTTGAGAGTTTTTGACGTGAAGGGATGTTGAATTTTATTGAAAGCCTTTTCTGCATCTATTGAGATGGTTTTTATACTTACTTCTGGTTTATGTGGTGAATCATATTTACTGATTTGTATATGTTGAAGCAACCTTGTATCCCAGGGATAAACTCTGCTTGATTTTATAGATTACCTTTTTACTATGCTGCTGGTTTTAGTTTGCTAGTATTTTGTTGAGGATTTTTGCATCTATGCTCATCAAGGATATTGACCTGAAGTTTAGTTTCCTTATCTTGTCTTGTCTTGTCCTGTCCTGTCCTGTCTTTTCAGACAGTCTCACTCTGTTGCCTAGGCTGGAGTGCAGTGTCGCAATCTCGGCTCACTGCAACCTCCGCCTCCTGGGTTCATTCAAGAAAGCTCCTAAATCTGTTCATTCAAGTATTCAAGTGATTCTTCTTCCTCAGCTTCCCGAGTAGCTGGGACTACAGTAGCCCAGCTAATTTTTGTATTTTTAGTAGAGACAGGGTTTCACCGTGTGGCCAGGCTGGTCTCAAACTCCTGACCTCAAGTGATCTGCCCGCCTCAGTCTCCCACAGTACTAGGTTTACAGGTGTGAGCCACTGGGCCTAGCCAACTTTTCCCTCTTAACACTTCTTTAGCTGTGTGCTAGAGATTCTGATATGTTGTTTTATTCAATTAATTTCTTTATTTCTATCTTAATTTCCTGTTTATACAAATGTTATTCAGGAGCAGTTGTTTAATTTCCATTTAATTACATGATTCTGAGTGATTTTCTTAGTTTTGATTTCCATTTTTATTGTGCTGTGGTCCGAGAGTGTGTTTGGTATGATTTAAATTTTTTTGAATTTGGTGAGGATTGTCTTATGGCTGATTATGTGGTTGATTTTAGAGTGTGTGCCATGTGCAGATGAGAATATATATTCTGTTGTTTTGGGGTGGAGAGTTCTGTTAGGCCCCTTGGTCAAATGTTGAGTTCATGTCCGGAATATCTTTGTTAGTTTTCTGCCTCAGTGATCTGTCTAATATTGTCAGTGGGGTGTTGAAGTCTCCCACTATTATTGTGTGGTTATCTAGGTCTCTTGTGTCGGTCTCTAAGAACTTGCTTTATGAATTTGGATGCTCCTGTGTTGGGTGCATATATTAATATAAGGATAGTTTGGTCTTCTTGTGGAACACTTTACCATTGTGTAATGCCCTTCTTTATCTTTTCTGATCATTGTTGGTCGAAAGTCTGTTTTGTCTGAAATTGGAATAGCAACCCCTGCTTTTTTCTGTTTACTGTTTTTTTGTTTGTTTGTTTTTGAGACAGAGTCTCGCTCTGTCACCCAGGCTGAAGTGCAGTGGTGCGATCTTGGCTAACTGCAAGCTCCGCCTCCTGGGTTCACGCCATTCTCCTGCCTCAGCCTCCCGAGTAACTGGGACTACAGGCGCCCGCCACCACGCCCGGCTAATTTCTTTTTGTATTTTTAGTAGAGACGGGGTTTCACAGTGTTAGCCAGGATAGTCTCGATCTCCTGACCTCGTGATCTACCCTCCTTGGCCTCCCAAAGTGCTGGGATTACAGGCGTGAGCCACTGCGCCCTACCATTTGTATTTTTGTCTGACAGAGTTATTTTGGAGAAGCAGTCTTCAGGTTCTGAGATTGTTTCCTCATCTTGGTGAATTCTGCTGTTAATACTTGTGGTTGTATTATGAAATTCTTGAAGTGAGTTTTTGAGCTCTGTCAATTCAGTAGTTCTTTCTTAAAAGGATCATTTTGTCTTTTATCTGCTTTATCATTTTATTGTAGTCCTTAGAGTCCTTGGATTGGGTTTTGGCTTTCTCCTGAAAGTTGATGATCTTCGTTCTATTCATGTTCTGAATTCTATTTCTGACATTAAGCCATTTAAGCTTGGTTAAGAACCATTGCTGGGGAACTAGTGTGGCTGGAGATGAGAAGACATTCTGGATTTTTGAGTTACCAGAGTTATTGTGTTGGTTTTTGCTCATCTGTGTGGGCTGATGTTCCTTCAGTCTTTGAAGTTGCTGTCTTTTGGATGTTTTTTCCCCCCCTTTAACCTTCTTTGTGGTTTCACTGTGGTATAAAGTGAGTTCAGTCAACTGGCCTTAATTCTAGTCTGCTCCTGGGTCTTGGAGGATCCCCCCTCAATTACTGTCTCTGTGCCTTCTTTTTTCCTTCCTTCCTTCCTTCCTTCCTTCCCCTTCTTCCTTTTCTTCCCTTTCTTCCCTTTCTTCCTTTCTTCCTTTCTTTCTTTCTGTTTGAGGCATAGTCTTACTCTGTTGCCCAGGCTGGAGTGCAGTGGTATGATCTTGACTCACTGCAACCTCTGTCTCCCGGATTCCAGTGATTCTCCTGCCTTGGCCTCCTGAGTACCTGGGACTACAGGTGCCTGCCACCATGCCTGGCTAATTTTTGTATTTTTAGCAGAGACAGGGTTTCATCATGTTGGCCAGGCTGGTCTCGAACCTGTGACCTCAAGTAATACGCATGCCTTGGCCTCCCAAAGTGCTGGGATTACAGGTGTGAGCCACCGTGCCTGGCCCCTGCTTTTCTTTTGTTCGGTGTTCTTGTCCATGGAGCTCCCTCAGGCAGGTGTCACAGGTGTAGACAGGCCATATACTTGCTGGGTCAGCCCTAATCTGCTCTCTGAGTGCTTCCTGGGGGGACATAGGGTTGTGCCTGCCCAGGCATAAGCAGGACCCCTGGACTAGAAGCTTTAGTGGATATGGCCTTTCTTATGAGAGTGGGTTGGAGTTGCCTGCCCTGCCATCCAGGCATTTTCGGGGCAACAGGAGGCTGTGCCCCTCAGCAAATTCAGGCAGAGGCAGGACCTCTGGACTGGAAGCTCTAGCAGGTGTGGTTCTCCTGGAGTCACCCACCCTGCTTTCTGGGTATTTTCCAGGACAACAGGGTGCTACAATCAGACAGAAGTGGGACAGCTGGGCTGGAAGCTCTAGCAGGCATTGCTTGCCTGGCTGCCAGCCGTAGGGGTGAGTGGGGTCATCCACCCTGTTATCCAGGTGTTTCCTGGGACAACAGGAGGCTGTGCCCACCAGCTAAGTCTACACAGAAGAGGGACCACTGGGCTAGAATCTATAGCAGGTATTGCCTACCTGGCTTCTAGTGGTGGGGTTGGCTGGGGCCACTCACCCTGTTATCCAGGTGCTTCCTGGGCAATAGGGGGCTGCAAACTCTGGCTGAGTTCACACAGAAGTGGGACCCCTGAGCTGAAAGCTCTGGCAAGTACTGCCCACCAGGCTACTAGTAGTAGGGGTGGGTGGGGTCACCCACCCTCCTGTCTGGGTGTTTCCAGGACAAGAGGCTGCAGCCACTGGCTGAGTCCAGGCAGAAGTGGTTCCGCAGGGCTGGAGGCTGGCACCAAGCCTTGTCCAGCGAGGGGGTGTGGAGTAATCTTACTGCTCCCAGGCACCATGACTATAGCCTCTATTGGGTCTGTGGCACCAGTGCTGGTCTGCTCTGGGGCTCAAGGCTTGTCGAGGTCCCCTTGGACTTGAGTGTTGCCCCTATAAAATGTCCTGGTGTCTCTCAACCTCAGTCCTCAAAGCACAGTGGGGGAGGTGCAGGGGAGCCAGGAGGATTCTCCTGTTCTCAGTCTTGCACAGGTCCCTGTGGAGAGTGTGCGTCCTCCAGGGGGCTCTCACTTTTTGATCCTTTTCTGTGTTGGAGAGATTCTCCTGCCTCCGCCCTGAGCTCAGACAGGCTGGTGCCCAGCTTCGCTCCTCTCTGCTCTCTCTGTTCCCCTGCTTCCTTGATGCATCCTGATGTGTTTTCTCAGATGGTTGGCCTGCAGGGTCAGTGTTCACTAGCCGTTTTGTTTCCTCTCCATGAGAATGGCACGCGTGAGCTGCTTCTAGTCTTCCATCTTGACCCAACCCCCAAGGTTATTTGATTTTTAAACCACTTAGGTGAACTTGAGAAATATTTTACATGAATCTCCTGGGTTCTAATCACAGCTCCTTAATTAACTACTAATTAAAGAATATTTGAAAAGACTATTTTAAAAACATGAAGCCAAATAAAATATTTCTTTTTGGTCATATAAAAAAGTATACTTAAAACTTTACAACATGCAAAGGATGATCTCAATGTAAATCACTGGACACATTTGGACACATTTGTTAACTATGAATATTTAAATAGTATCAAAGTGCTGAATTCTTCATGTATTTTGTTTGTGCTAGCACTTATTGTCTAGGCTGAGGCATAGGGACATTCTTGGGACAAAAAAGCATCTCTGACCCAGAGGACACATATGCATCCTTTAGCTCCAAGATCTCCAAGTTTTGCCAACTGGGAGAAACATCAGGGCAATGTGTGCTGGGGTAGAGGCAAAGACACAGGGAAGGGACTCCAAACTTTTTTCTTTCTTTTTTATTGAGACGGAGTCTTGCTCTGTCACCCAGGCTGGAGTGCAGTGGCACGATCTCGTCTCACTGCAGCCTCTGCCTCCTGGGTTCCAGTGATTGTCCTACCTCAGCCTCCTAGGTAGCTGGGATTACAGGGACACGCCACTACACCTGGCTAATTTTTGTATTTTTAGTAGAGACGGGGTTTCACCATGTTGGCCAGGCTGGTCTCAGGAGCGTTGGTGAAAAAGGTTTCTCTGGAGCCTTTGGGTCATGTCTTAAGTTATCAGGTTATTTCTTGGCTCATCAGCAGAAGATATTTTATAAATTTAAATCATCTATGTCTTCCTGGTTGGTTTTTTTTTTTATATGTAGTAAAGTCTTGCAGCAGGTTTTAAAGCACAATTTCAAGTGGCATTTAAATAGATTGTCTATTTTATTTTATTTATTTTATTTTTTTGAGATGGTGTTTTGCTCTTGTTGCCCAGGCTGGAGTGCAATGGCGCAATCTCGGTTCACTGCAACCTCTGCCTCCCAGGCTCAAGCAATTGTCCTGCCTCAGCCTCCTGGGTAGCTGGGATTACAGGCACCCGCCACCACGCCATGCTAATTTTTTGTGTTTTTAGTAGAGATGGGGTTTTACCATGTTGGCCAGGCTGGTCTTGAACTCCTGACCTCAGGTGATCCACCTGCCTCGGCCTCCCAAAGTGCTGGGATTACAGGCGTGAGCCACTGGGCCCGGGCAATTGTCTATTATTGAAAACAGCTTTCATGTACTCAAAACTTTAAAAACTTATCTAACTCAAACTTCAGATGTACCTCCATCTTGTGGCAACTTGTCAGAAGTGTTCAACATGAAAAAGTTTTAGAGTAAAAATGTTTTTTCCTTTTTTTTTTTTTTTTTTTTTTTTTGCTTTTTTATACTTTAAGTTCTGGGATACATGTGCAGTACTTGCATGTTTGTTACATAGGTATATATGTGCCATGGTGGTTTGCTGCACCCATCAACCTGTCATCTAGGTTTTAAGTCCTGCATGCATTAGGTATTTGTCCTCATGCTCTCCCTCCCCTTGTCTCCCAACCCCCGACAGGCCCCAGTATGTGATGTTCCCCTCCCTGTGTCCATGTGTTCTCATTGTTCAACTCCCACTTATGAGTGAGAACATGCGGTGTTTGTTTTTCTGTTCTTGTGTTAGTTTGCTGAGAATGATGGTTTCCAGCGTCATCCATGTCCCTGCAAAGGACATGAACTCATTCTTTTTTATAACTTCATAGTATTCCATTATATATATATATATATATATATATATATATGCCACTTTTTCTTTACCCAGTCTATCATTGATGGACATTTGGATTGGTTCCAAGTCTTTGCTATTGTAAATAGTGCTGCAATAAACTTAAGTGTGCATGTGTATTTATAGTAGAATGATTTATAATACTTTGGGTATATACCCATTAATGGAATTGCTGGGTCAAATGGTATTTCTGGTTCTAGATCCTTGAGGAATTGCCACACTATCTTCCACAATAGTTGAACTAATTTACACTCCCACCAATGGTGTAAAAGTGTTCCTATATCTCCACATCCTCTCCAGCATCGGTTGTTTCCTGACATTTTCATGATTGCCATTCTAACTGGCATGAGATGGTATCTCATTGTGGTTTTGATTTGCATTTCTGTAATGACCAGTGATGATGAGCTTTTCTTTCATGTTTTTTGGCCACATAAATGTCTTCTTTTGAGAAGTGTCTGTTCATATCCTTTGCCCACTTTTTGATGGGGTTTGTTTTTTTCTTGTAATTTGTTTAAGTTCCTTGTAGATTCTGGATATTAGACCTTTGTCAGATGGATAGATTGCAAAAATTTTCTCCCATTCTGTAGGTTGCCTGTTCACTCTGATGTTAGTTTCTTTTGCTATCCAGAAGCTCTTTAGGTTAATTAGATCCCATTTGTCAATTTTGGCTTTCATTGCCATTGGTTTTGGTGTTTTAGTCATGAAGTCTTTGCCCATGCTTATGTCCTGAATGGTGTTGCCTAGGTTTTCTTCTAGGCTTTTTATGGTTTTAGGTTTTACGCTTACATCTTTAATCCATCTTGAGTTAATTTTTGTATAAGGTGTAAGGAAGGGGATCCAGTTTCAGTTTTTTGCATATGGCTAGCCAGTTTTCCCATCACCGTTTATTAAATAGGGAATCCTTTCCGTATTGCTTGTTTTTGTCAGGTTTGTCAAAGATCAGATGGTTGTAGGTGTGTGTCATTATTTCTGAGGCCTCTGTTCTGTTCCATTGGTCTATGTATCTGTTTTGGTACCAGTACCATGCTGTTTTGTTTACTGTAGCCTTGTAGTATAGTTTGCAGTCAGGTAGTGTGATGCCTCCAGCTTTGTTATTTTTTGCTTAGGATTGTCTTGGCTATACGGGCTCTTTTTTTGTTTCCATATGAAATTTAAATTAGTTTTTTCCAATTCTGTGAAGAAAGTCAATGGTAGCTTGATGGGAATAGCATTGAATCTGTAAATTACTTTGGGCAGTATGGCCATTTTCATGATATTAATTTTTCCTATCCGTGAGCATGGAATGCTTTTCCATTTGTTTGTGTCCTCTCTTATTTCCTTGAGCAGTGGTTTGTAGTTCTCCTTGAAGAGGTCCTTCACATCCCTTCTAAATTGTTTTCCTAGATATTTCATTTTCTTTGTAGCAGTTGTTAATGGGAGTTCACTCATGATTTGGCTGTTTGTCTATTATTGCTATATAGGAATGCTTGTGATTTTTGCACATTGATTTTGTATCCTGAGACTTTGTTGAAGTTGCTTATCAGCTCAAGGAGTTTTTTGGCTGAGATGATGGGGTTTTCTAAATATACAATCATGTCATCTGCAAACTGAGACAATTTGACTTCCTCTCTTCCTATTTGAATACACTTTATTTATTTATCTTGCCTGATTGCCCTGGCCAGAACTTCCAATACTATGTTGAATACGAGTGGTGAGAGAGGGCATCCTTGTCTCATGCCAATTTCCAAAGGGAATGCTTCCAGCTTTTGCCTGTTAAGTATGATACTGGCTATGGGTTTGCCATAAATAGCTCTTATTATTTTGAGATATGTTCCATAAATACCTAGTTAATTGAGTGTTTTTAGCATGAAGTGGTGTTGAATTTTATCGAAGGCCCTTTCTGCATTTATTGAGATAGTCACGGTTTTTGTCATTGGTTCTGTTTATGTGATGGATTATGTTTATTGATTTTCATATGTTGAACCAGCCTTGCATCCCAGGGATGAAGCTGACTTGATCATGGTGGATAAGCTTTTTGATGTGCTGCTGGATTCAGTTTGCCATATTTTATTGAGGATTCTCACATTGATGTTCATCAGGGATATTGGCCTGAAATTTTCTTTTTTTGTTGTGTCTCTGCCAGGTTTTGGTATCAGGATGATGCTGGTCTCATAAAATGAGTTAGGGAGGAGTCCTTGTTTTTCTATTGTTTGGAATAGTTTCAGAAGGAATGGGATGAGCTCCTTTTTGTCCCTCTGGTAGAATTTAGCTGTGAATCCGTCTGGTCCTGGGCTTTTTTTGGTTGGTAGGCTATAAATTACTGCCTCAATTTCAGAACTTGTTATTGGTCTATTCAGGGATTCGACTTCTTCCTCATTTAGTCTTGGGAGAGTGTATGTGTCCAGGATTTTATGCATTTCTTCTAGATTTTCTAGTTTATTTGCATAGAGGTGATGGTAGTTTGTATTTATGTGGGATCAGTGGTGATATTCCTTTATCATTTTTTACTGTGTCTATTTGATTCTTCTCCCTTTTCTTCTTTGCTAGCCTGGCTATCTGTGTGTCTACTTTGCTAATCTTTTCAAAAAACCAGCTCCTGGATTCATGGAATTTTTGAAGGGTTTTTCATGTCTCTATCTCCTTCAGTTCTGCTTTGATCTTAGTTATTTCTTGTCTTCTGCTAGCTTTTTAATTTGTTTGCCTTTGCTTTTGTAGTTCTTTTAATTGTGATGTTAGGGTGTCAATTTTAGATCTTTTCTGCTTTCCGATGTGGGCATTTAGTGCTATAAATTTTCCTCTAAAGACTGCTTTAGCTGTGTTAGAGATTCTGGTACATTATGTCTTTGTTCGCATTGGTTTCAAAGAATTTATTTCTGCCTTAATTTTCTTATTTACCCAGTAGTTATTAAGGAGCAGGTTGTTCAGTTTCCACGTAGTTGTGCTGTTTTGAGTGAGTTTCTTAATCCTGAGTTCTAATTTGATTGCGCTGGTTTTTCCTTTCCAGATTTAGTGCTTCCTTCAGGAGCTCTTGTAAGGCAGGCCTGGTGGTGACAAAATCTCTCAGCATTTGCTTGTCTGTAAAGGATTTTATTTCTCCTTTGCTTATGAAGCTTAGTTTGGCTGGATATGAAATTCTGGCTTGAGAATTCTTTAAGAATGTTGAATATTGGCCTCCACTTTCTTCTGGCTTGTAGGGTTTCTGCAGACAGATCCACTGTTAGTCTGATGGGCTTCCCTTTGTAGGTAACCCGACCTTTCTCTCTGGCTACCCTTAACATTTTCTCCTTCGTTTCAACCTTGGAGAATCTGACAATTATGTGTCTTGGGGTTGCTCTTCTCGAGGAGTATCTTAGTGGTGTTCTTTGTATTTCCTGAATTTGAATGTTGGCCTGTCTTGCTAGGTTGGGGAAGTTTTCCTGGATAATATCTTGAAGTGTGTTTTTTTAACTTGGTTCCATTATCCCTGTCACTTTCAGGTACACCAATCAATCGTAGGTTTGGTCTTTTCTCATAGTCCCCTATTTCTTGGAGTCTTTGTTCATTCCTTTTCATTCTTTTTTCTCTAGTCTTGTCTTCACACTTTATTTAGTTGATCTTCAATTTCTGATATCCTTTCTTGCGCTTGATTGATTCAGCTATTGATACTTGTGTATGTTTCATGAAGTTCTGCTGTGGTTTTCAGCTCCATCAGGTCATTTATGTTCTCTCTAAACTGGTTATTCTAGTTAGAAGTTCCTGTAACCTTTTATCAAGGTTCTCAGCTTCCTTGCCTGGGTTAGAACATGCTCCTTTAGCTCAGAGGAGTTTGTTATTGCCTACCTTCTGAAGCCTACTTCTGTCAATTCGTCAAACTCATTCTCTGTCCCGTTTTGTGCCCTTGCTGGAGAGGAGTTGTGATCATTTGGAAAAGAGACATTCTGATTTTTGGAATTTTCAGCATTTTGCCCTGGTTTTTCCTCATCTTCTCGGATTTATCTACCTTTAGTCTTTGATGTTGATGACCTTTGGATGCGGTTTTTGTGTGGGTGTCCTTTTTGTTGATGTTGATGTCCTTGCTTTCTGTTTGTTGGTTTTCCTTTTAACAGTTGGTCCCCTCTTCTGCAGGTCTGCTGGAGTTTGCTGGAGGTCCACTCCAGACCCTGTTTGCCTGGGTATCAACAGCAGAGGCCTCAGAACATCAAAGATTGCTGCCTGCTTCTTCCTCTGTAAGCTTCATCCTAGTGGTCATCCCCCTGATGCCAGCCAGACCTCTCCTGTATGAGTTGTCTGTTAACCCCTGCTGGGAGATGTCTCTCAGTCAGGAGGCATGGGGGTCAGGGACCCACTTGAGGAGGCAGTCTGTTCCTTAGCAGAACTGGAGTGCTGTGCTGGGAGATCCACTGCTCTCTTCAGAGCCAGCAGGCAGGAACGTTTAAGTCTGCTGAAGCTGTGCCCACAGCTGCCTCTTCTCCCAGGTGCTCTGTCCCAGGGAAATGGGAGTTTTACCTATAAGTCCCTGACTGGGGCTGCTGGCTTTCTTTCAGAGATGCCCTGCCCAGTGAGGAGGAATCTAAAGAGGAAGTCTGGCCACAGTCGCTTTTCTGTGCTGGGGTGAATTCCACACAGTCTGAACTTCCCGGTTGCTTCCTTAACACTGTGTGGGGAAAACCGCCTACTCAAGCCTCAGTAATGGCAGACTTCCCAACCCCCACCAAGCTCAAGCATCTCAGGTCAGTTTCAGACTGCTGAGCTGGCAGCCACAATTTCAAGCCAGTGGTTCTTAGCTTGCTGGAACCCAGCAAGCTAAGAGTGGGAGTGGGACCTGCTGAGTGAGACCACTTGGCTCCTTGGCTTCAGCCCCCTTTCCGGGGGTGTGAACGATTCTGTCTCGCTGGGGTTTCAGGCGCTCCTGGGGTACGAAA
Source organism: Homo sapiens (assembly GCF_000001405.40). Classification (NCBI taxonomy): domain Eukaryota; kingdom Metazoa; phylum Chordata; class Mammalia; order Primates; family Hominidae; genus Homo; species Homo sapiens. The sequence continues at coordinate 183,179,604 of NC_000002.12, forward strand.
AATAAACCCCTGCAGCTAGCTCAGTGTCTGCCCAAACAGGCACCCAGTTTTGTGCTTGAAACCCAGGGCCCTGGTGGTATAGACATATGAGGGAATCTCCTGGTCTGCAGTTTGTAAAAACTGTGGGAAAACTGTAGTATCTGGGTTGGATAGCACAGTCCCTTGACTAGGTGAGGGAGGTCCCTGGACCCTTGCACTTCCCGGGTGAGGTGACGCCCCACCCTGTTTCTGCTTGCCCTCCATGGGCTACACCCACTGTCTAACCAGTCCCAGTGAGATGAACCGGGTACCTCAGTTGGAAATGCAGAAATCACCCGCCTTCTGTGTTGTTCTCGCAGGGAGCTGCAGATGGGAGCTGTTGCTATTCAGTCATCTTGCCCAGGAACAACTAGAGTTAAATTTAAATACAGAAGCTGGAAAATCTGATATAAAAATCAGTTGCTGTATTTAAGATTTTAGGAAGATTGACAGCTTTTCCTTTACTTTTTGTTTTCCTTTCCACCTTTCTTAAGGCTTGGTTTCAGCCCTATTATACATATTTACTTTTATCAGAAAGGATCAGAAATGTTTTTTGAGTGTAATGAACAGGCATAAATACTTTTTCAAAACATTTTTCTTAAAACATTTTTCTAAAAATATTTTTCTTTTTCAAAGTTTTTTTTTTTTTTTTGAGACAGAGCCTCGCTCTGTCGCCCAGGCTGGAGTGCAGTGGTGCAATCTTGGCTCACTGCAAGCTCTGCCTCCTGGGTTCACACCATTCTCCTGCCTCAGCCTCCCGAGTAGCTGGGACTACAGGTGCCTGCCACCACACCTGGCTAATTTTTTTTTGTATTTTTAGTAGATGCGGGGTTTCACCGTGTTAGCCAGGATGGTCTTGATCTCCTGACCTCATGGCAGTAGAGCTGAGTAATTTATATCCTTAATATCAGACACTGAATTTTGACAGTTCAAGAAGACTTTTATACTATATTTCAGCATTAATATGTATGTATTTTTCCCAGGAAATCAAGATTAATGTGATCTGGACCAATTAAATAAATTTAAAGTTATTTAATTCGTTTATGGAAAAATGATACATTATTTGTAGCAAAGCCAAGCCTAAATTTTCTCTGAAGCAAATCCTAACCCTCCATTTACATTTTTCTCTTTTTTCCTCTTTCTTCCCACAAACCAAGTCCTTGTTAAAACTAACGTTGCTGAAAATTTAGTGAAGAATAAAAAGATAATTGTCTCTAAGCCCATGTTTCAGTATTTTAAAAAATATGGGTATTTTTTTACAGCATTCCAATTTGGCTGCCTCAAGCAGTAACAGCACATGAGATTTATTAATTGATCATCAGTACATAACTGTCTTCTAAATTTGTATGAAATAGTGTCTCAGTAAGACCTACCTCCATCTGAGGCAATGAATTTCAGCTTGGAACAGTAGAACTGCTCCAATCAGTGATGGTTAAATTATAGCTATAGGAGAATATGACAAAGGAAAACTTTTGGGCCAACATGTAGAAAGATCAGAAATAGGATTTAGCAGTCACTCATAGAATGTTCTTAAAAAGAAGTTTCCTCAAGCCAGCTGTATTCAGTATAGTACGTATATTGATGGAAGCTAATTCTCTATTGTGCTTTTGTGTTTCAAAATAAGTTGACCTTACTGTATACTAGAAGACCACTAGCTTCAAAAATCGCTCTTCAGTGATGGAAATATAATATATAAGCATTCTTAAGGAAAATCTCCCATTCCTCTGGTCTTTGTGCTCAAATGTTAGCTACAATAGATACGCTACTTCCGCTATCCTTTCTAAACTGGAAAAGCTGAAGTCTTCTCAGGAGAAATGTCTAGTCAAGCCCTTAGCCCATTTTTTTGTTGTTGTTGTTGGCTTATATTAGTTTTTTTGCTTTGAGCTCTATTAATTCCTTGTACATTCTGGGGATTAGCACTTATCAGATATGTTGTTTTCATGAATATTTTCTCCCATTGTGTAGGTTGCGTTTTCACTCTGTCAGTGTTTCTTTTGCTGTGCAGAAGATTTTTAGTTTGATATAGTCCTACTTATTTATTTTGCTTTTGGGTTCACATCCATAAAATCACCACCAAGACCAAAGTCAAGGAGTCCTGATCCCATGTTTTCTTCTAGGAGTTTTATAGTTTCAGGTCTTAGGTTTAAGTCTTTAATCCATTTTGAGTTGATTTTGTATACAGGGTAAGATAAGGGCTCAATTTTATTCTTGTACATGTGAATATTCAGTTTTCCTCACCACATTTGTTGAAAAAGACTATCATTGTTCCAACATGTATTCTTTGCATCCTTGCCAAAGGTCAGTGATCATATATGTGTAGGTTTACTTTGGAGTTCTCTATTTTTCCATTGGTCTATATGGCTGTCCTTATGCCAGTACCATGTACCATACTGTTTTTTGATTACTGTAGCTTCATAAAATATTTTGAAATCAGGAAATGCAGTGCCTCTAGCTTTGTTCTTTGTCAGGATTGATTTGGTTCATAATCTTTTGTTCTATATGAAGTATATAACCTTTTTTCTATTTCTGTAAAACATGTCTTTGAAATTTTGAAGGGATTGCATTGAATCTGAAAATTGCTTTGAGTAGTATAGACATTTGAACAATAGTAAGTTTTCCAATTCAGCAACACAGGATGTATTTACATTTGTTGTCTTTTGTTTAATTTCTTTCAGCAATGTTTTGTAGTTTTTAGTATATAAATCTTTCACCTCTTTTTTCCCTAGGTTTATTCTTATTTCAAAGTATTTTATTCTTTTCAGTACTTTTGTAAATGAGATTGCTTTCATAATTTCCTTTTCAGGTAGTTTGTTGTTAGTGTATAGAAAGGCAACTTATTTTTGTATGTTGGTTTTGTATCCTGCAACTTAACTGAATTCATTTGTTATTTATAGTATATATTTTTAAGTATTTGTGGTTTTCTTTTTTATTTTAGAGATAGGATCTTGTTCTCTCACCTGAGTTGGAGTGCAGTGGTGCGATCATAGCTCACTGAAACCTTGAACTCTTGAGCTCAAGTGATCCTCCTGCCTCAGCGTTTCAAGCACCTGGGACCACAGGTATGTGCCACCATACCTGGCTAATTTAAAAATTTTTCTTTTGTAGAGGCAAGGTCTCACTATGTTGACAAGGCTGATTTTGAACTCTTAAACTCAAGTGATCCTCCCGTCTTGGCCTCCCAAGTGCTGAGATTACAGATGTGAACCACTGTGCCCAGCCTGGGGTTTTCTATATAAGATCATGTTGTTAGCAAACAGGGATATTTTTACTTCTTTCCAATTCAGATGCCTTTTATATTTTGTTTTGTTTTTGAATTGCACTGTCTAGGACTTTCAGTATTATGTTAAATAGAAGTGGTGAGAGTGGGCATTCTTGTTTTGTTCCTGATTTTAGAGGAAAAGCTTTTATTTTTTTCACAGTTGTGTATGATGTTAGCTGTGGGCTTTTCATACACAGCCTTTATTGTGTTTAGGTATTTTTCTTTTATTTCTAGTTTGTTGAGAGTGTGTCTCTGAAACCGTGTTGAACTTAGTTAAATGCTTTTTCTGCGTCTTTTGAGATGATCATATGGTAAAAATATTTTATTCTGGTAATGTGGTAAATCATACTAATTGATTTTCATGTGTTGAGACCCTGTGTTTCTTCTAGTAGGTTTAAAGTTGAAATCTTATATGTTTTTAGTTGATTTTTATATATGGTATGAGTTAAGGTTCCAATTTCATTCTTCTGCTTGTGATTATGCAGTTTTCCCAACACTATTTGTTGAAGAGACCGTCCTTTTCCATTATGTGTTCTTGGTCCTTTTGTGAAAAATCAACTGACTCTTAATTTATTCCTAAGTTCTTTTTTTGATGCTCTTATAAATGGGATTGTTATCTTGATTTCCTTTTTAAGATAGTTCACTGTTAGTGTATAGAAATGCTACTGATGTTTGTATGTTGAATTTGTAATGTGCAAACTTTACTGAACTTATCAGTTCTAGCAGTTTATTGGTGAAATCTATAGTGCTTTCTTAATATTAAATCATGTCATCAATGGAGATGATATCACTCCTTTCGTATATGGATGCCTTTTATTTCTTTTTCTTGCCTAATTGCTCTGGCTAGGACTTCCAGTACTTTGTTGAATAGAAATGGTGAGAATAGGCTTCTTTGTTTTGTTTCTGATCTTGGAGGAAAAGCTTTCAACTTTTCACCATTGAGTATGATGTTAGCTGTGGGCTTGTCATACATGGCCTTTATTGTGTTGAGGTATATTCCTTCCATACCTTTTGTTTTTTGTGAGAGTTTTCAATATTAATGGATGTTGAACTTTGTCAAATGCTTTTTTTTTGCATCTATTGAAATGATCATGTGGTTTTTGTGCTTCATTCTGTTGATTTGATGTATCACATTTATTTGCATATGTTGAACCATCCTTGCATCCCTGATAGAATTTCCAGTTGATCATACTGAATGATCTTTTTGATGTACTGTTGAGGATTTTTGTGTCTGTTCATCAGGGATATTAGTGTATAGTTTTCTTTGCTGTGTCTTTGATTTGGTATCAGGTAATGCTGGTCTCATGGAATGAGTTAGGGAGATTTCCTCATCTTCAATTTTTTGAAATAGTTTGAAGAGGATTGGTATTAATTTTTCTTTAATTCAGTAGTGAATCCACCTGGTCCTGGGCTTTTCTTTGTTGAGAGACCTTTTATTACTGATTCAATCTTGCTACTCATTATTGTCTGTTCAGGTTTTTTATTTCTTCCTAATTAATGCTTGGTAGGTTGTATGCTTCCAGAAATTATCCATTTTCTTTAGATTTTTCAATTTGTTAGCATATAGTTATTCTTAATAGTCTAGGATGATGTTCCATATTTCTGTAGTATCAGTTGTAATGACTCCTTTTTCATTTCTGATTTTGTTTATGTGGATCTACTGTGTTCTTTTTTTGGTTAGTCTAACTAGTGATTTATCAATTTTACTTAACTTTTCCAAAAACAAACTTTTCATTTCATTGATGCTTTGTATTGCTTTTTTAGTCTTCATTTTGTTTAGTTCAGATCTGATATTTTTTGTTTCTCTTTTGCTGCTGACTTTGGGATTGGCTCGTTTCTGCTTTTCTGGTTCCTTGCAGTGCATTGTTATTTATTTAAAATCTTTCTATTTTTTTGGTGTAGGCATTTATTACTATAAACTTCCCTCTTGGCACTGTTTTTCTGTAAAATACAAGTTTTGATATGCTATATTCTCTTTTTCAAAAAATTTCTGTTTCAAGAAATTTTAAAATATTTATCTTAATTTCATCATTGACCCCATCATTTCTCAGGACCATGTTGTTTAATTTCCATGAATTTGGATAGCTTTCAAAGTCCCTCTTGGTATTGATTCCAAGTTTTATTCCACTGTAGTCTGAGAAGATACCTAATATGATTTTGACTTTCTAAAATTTGTTGAGGCTTGTTTTGTGGCCTAACATATGGTCTGTTCTGGAGAATGTTTCATGTTCTGATTAGAAGAATATTTATTTTGCAGTTGTTGGAAAAAAATGTTCTGTAAATGTCTATTAGGTTCATTTTGTCTAAAGTCCACTTTAAATCCAATGTTAATTTGCTTAGTTTCTATCTAAATTGTCTGTCTAATGCTGATAGTCCCCACTATTATTATATTGGAGTTTATCACTTTAGATCTCATAATGTTTTCTTTATGAATCTGGGTGGTGTGTGTGTTTGGTGGTAGTGGCAGGTTGAGTGGACCTGACCTCAGATCCCATGAGGGGTGCTCAGGTGTGCCACTGGTAGTGGACTTGGCTGGGCATTCCCCAGGGCTTTGGACAGTGTGCTCAGGTACTGGAGTCGGGGGTTGGATCCAGGCTGGGCTGTGCTCTTAGATCGTCAAGTAGTGCATATAGATGCTAGCGGTGGTATGCAGTGGTGGAATGGACCCTAGACCCCCCAGCAGAATGCTCAATTGGAAGTCACAGTGGCTGTGCTGTGCCCCTGCTACTGGGGAGGACTTAGGCAGGTAGCAGTCTTAGGCAGGCAGCTAGGAGGCATGGGCTTTGCTGGTGCAGCTGTGGCAGTTGCAGACAGTGGAATTTGTCCTTGAGGGTGTGTGAGAATGCTTGACAAACCCTCTGCAGTGGGGTAGGTTTGCTGCTGGTGACTCTCTCCTCACCCCAGCTGTAGGGTAGTATGCAGTCCAGTGTGGAGTAGGCTCTTAAAGTGGTGCTGTGCTGCCACTGCTTAGGATTCAGGGTTTTGTGGGATCCAGTGTGTGCTCTCTGGAGCTGTGCCTTTGTGCAGTTTCTAGGGAGCTTCTTTTGTTAGCCTCAGGGCTAGTGAATGTTGAGGGGCTCTCCTGAGGCTAGGATTATAGGAATCCTTTTGGGAATGTGGGTTGCTGGGGCTCCCTCACTTATCTTTTTCCAAGCTTGGGGAGTCTCTCCTGGCTCATAGCCAATCTCAGTCTCCACCAAGGAGGCTGTCGCGCTTCCCTCTTTTTCCTTGCTTTAGGTGTTTCCTGTCACTTCTCTGTTGAATTCCAGTGTTCTTTCCTGGATGATCTATTTGATGTGTGACTACTGACTAGTTTTGTTCTTCTTAGCGGAGGAGTCGAGTAGATGCCTCTGATCAGACATCTTGAAGCCTCTCCCATTAGGTTGTTTGAGATATTTCTCCTATTTTGGCGTAGGTTTTTATTGCTATAAACTTTCAGGACTGCTTTTGCTGCATTTTGTAAGCTTTGGTATGTTGTATTTCCATTTTTGTTTGTCTCAAGATATTTTTAAATTTCCTTTTTAATTTCTTCTTTGACTCATTGGTAGTTAAGGAGCATGCTGTTTAATTTTCACATACTTGTGAATTTTCCAAGATTCCTCCTGTTATTATTATCTAGTTTCATGCCATTGTGGCTAGAAAAGATATTTGATATGATTTCAGTCTTTATACATTTGTTAAGACTTGTTCTGTGACCTAACTAATAATCTATCCTGGAGAATGTTCTATGTGGTGATGAGAAGAATATTCTGCAATTGTTGGATAAAACGTTTTGTAAATGTCTGTTAGGTCCATTTGGTATAAATTGTAATTCAAGTCCAATATTTTCTTGTCTGCCTCTTTCTGCAGATATTGTAATATTTGCTTTATATATTTAGGTGCTGTAATGTTGGATGCATGTATATTTATAATTGTTATATCTGCTTGATGAATTGACCCTATAATGATCTTTTTTGTCTGTTTTACAGTTTTGATTTAAAGTCTATTTTGTCCATATTCTCTTTTGGTTTTTATTTGTGTGAAATATCTTTTTTCCATCCCTTTACTTTCAGTCTTTGTGAGTCCTTAAAGGTGAAGTGAGTCACTTGTAGGCAACATATAGATAAGTCTTGTTTTTTTATTCGTTCAGCCACTCTGTGTCTTTTGATTGGAAAATTTAATCCATTTACATTCAAAGTAATTATTCATAGGTGAGGTCTTACTATTGCCATTTTGTTAATTGTTTTCTAGTTAATTTGTAGACCCTTTGTTTCTCTCTTCCTCTGTTGCTGTCATCCTTTGTGGTTTGATAATTTTCCATAGTGGTATTATTACAAGTTAGACAGGCATTAGTGGGGCAGAAGAGGGCTCTCCCCCACCCACTAGGAATGTCAGGTGATGGTTCGACTGACAGTTATCACAATGATAATTTGGCAGCTGGCACCAGGAACAGACAATCTCCTAATGGTCCACAAGCTGTTAACATTAAAGTGTTAATTGAATGCAGACACCAGGGAGAAGCAAAAAGGGCTTCCAATAAAATCTCAGGTATTGGGCTAGTGAGCCTGGGCACATGCATTCAGTGACAAAATGGCTGAGTATGACCTTCCAGGGTCACTCCACTGGAAAAGGGAAGAAAGCCTCAGATGAGCATGTGTACAACTTCCTGAACACACTGTACATGCACACTTCCCAAGCATAAGGAGGGCACTGTGCATGCAGGCAGCCCATCCTAAGGGAAGAATCAAGGAAAAAGGTTGCAAGACGCCGGAGGTGGGCCAGCCTGTAAACTCCTAGGATCAAGGTTAAATGCTGCATTTGACCTTCTCGGTGCCTGCTTGGGTCTCTTCCGAGTGTACTTTCCTTTCTTTCCTGCTCTAAAGCTTTTTAAATAAACTTCCACTCCTGTTCTGAAACTTGCCTCAGTCTCTTTTTCTTTTTTTTTTGAGATGGAGTCTTGCTCTGTTGCCCAGGCTGGAGTGCAGTGGCATTATCTCAGCTCACTGCAACCTCTACCTCCTGGGTGCAAGTGATTTTCCTGCTTCAGCTTTCTGAGTAGCTGGGATTACAGGCATGCACCATGCCCAGCTTTGTATTTCTTTTTTTTTTTTTAGTAGAGATGGGGTTTCACCATGTTGGCCAGGCTGGTCTCGAACTCCTGACTTCGTGATCAACCCACCCCAGACTCCCAAAGTCCTGGTATTACAGGCGTGAGCCACCGTGTCCGGCCCTCAGTCTCTTTTTCTGTCTTATGCCCCTCAGTCGAATTCTTTCCTGAGGAGGCAGGAATTGAGGTTGCTGCAGACCTGTACAGATTTTGCCCATGGTAACTAGGATACCTTACACTGGTAATGGTGTGCTTTGAATTCTTTATTTTTATCCTGTGTATATCTACTATAGGTTTTTGCTTTGTAGTTATCATTAGGCTTGCATAAAACATTTTATACTAATAACAGGCTGTTTTAAGCTGATAATAACTTAACTTTGATCACTTGCACAAACTCAACTCTTTTACTCCCCCCTCTCAGTTTGTTTTGTTGACATGTTTTGTATATTTTATGGTTTGTGTCCCTTGACAAATTAGTAGCTGTAGTTGTTTTTAATAGATTTGTTTTTTTTGTTTGTTTTTTTTTTAAAGAAAGGTAGGAGGATCACTTGAGGCCAGGATGAAGAAAGCCTACTTAATATAACAAGACCCTGTCTCTACAAAAAAATAAAATAAAATAAATTAGGCATGGTGGCATGTGCCTGTAGTCACAGCTACTGGGAAGGCTGAGGCAGAGGATGGCTTGAACCCAGGAGTTCAAGGCTGCAGTGAGCCATAGTCACACCACTGCACTCCAGCCTGAGTGACACAGTGAGATCCTGTCAACAACAACAACAATAACAAAACACAAAGAAAAAGTGAGTATTGAAATAGTCTAAAGTGAAGGAATAAAAAGATAATGTCTTATGAAAAGGGAATGTTAAAATGAAAGCTTCCTAACTTGTTTCAATGTAGCTAGCTCCTGAAGAAGTTAAAAGTCCATCTTGGAAGGATTTTAGAAGTGGTAAATTAGGTCTAGGGTTCATAGGAAAAACAAAAAAAAACTGCTTGAAGATGAAGAAAACACGCACAGAATAGCCTATGCAAATAGACTCTGGTAATAACTCTAATGACTCAGACACCATAGAAAATCTCAGATTTAGGAACTTCTGGTCTGGCTCCTGATTTGAGATGATACAAGTTGTATTATAAACTGATTAGGTACAGAAGGGCCCAGAGCATCTGAGTAGGATGGTTCATGAGACACAGTTAAGGAGTAGAAGCAAAAGACTTTCAGACCAATTGGGGTGTGTGATAAATAAAGCTTAATTTTGAAATTTGAGATGCATTTTATTTGGCAGAATTCTTGGTAAGCTGGTCTCTTAAGAAAAGCAATCATCCTCAGGTGCAAAAACCTTATCCTAAGAGCCTGGTAAGAAGGGTAATAATTTGAAAAGATACAGAGACTAATGAAGAAAACAATGCTATAAGTGTGACATTTTGGGAGGAGAGAGAAATGTCAAGAGGCATTTTAGGCAACTTTCTATATGATGTGTGCTATATACAACTTTGGCTGGGTGCGGTGGCTCATGCCTGTAATCCCAGAACTTTGGGGGGCTGATCACTTGAGGTCAGGAGTTTGAGACCAGCTTGACCAACATAGTGAAACCCTGTCTCTACTAAAAAATACAAAAATTAGTCAGGTGCGGTGGCGGGTGCCTGTAATCCCAGCTACCTGGGAATCTGAGGCAGGAGAATCGCTTGAACCTGGGAGGCGGAAGTTAGAAGAGCCAAGATCATGCCACTGCCCTCCAGCCTGGGCGACAAAGCTAGACTCCGTCTCAAACAAACAAACAAACAAACAAACAAACAAAAAACCAACTTAGTCTGTGTTGTACTTGTCAGGAAAACTACAGTAAATATCTGTTTTTCAAGGCTTCTGAATTACCATTTTTTGATAAGTTTGATAAGGAGAAATAGGCTATATAAAAGCCCACATACATTTAGATTATGTGTGTATCTTCTCTTACCTAGGGTTATCCAGTATATTTCCTTTTAAAGGAAACATCTTTCCCTCTAAACACTGAATACATAATTCAGAAATTCTCTGAGAGGTTGAAAATTATTTCCTCACATTTGGAGATAAGAATATAAAATATTAATTCACTTTTTTAAAAAAGAGAGTAAATCATTGTTTCTTTTACCGTCACCTACTGCATAACATTCCACATCTAACCCCCTTTGTATGGCCATAGCGTATATCTTATTGAGATTAAATACACTTTTTACACAAACCAAATAATTCTTTTAGTTTTCTAGATAACTGGCATCATAATACTTCTGTTTCTGTTTTTTTAAAATTGGGACCTATTTTGTTATTACCCTATATTACTAGTGTAATAAAATAATATCACTTAATGTTCTCATATCCTTTAATTATAGACTGAGTAGTGTTGGAGGAAAGTCCCTGGGGCCTAGTAGAGGGACAAGTTGTGGACTGTTAGACATGGTCTAACAGTCTAAAGCTCTAAGCAGCCAACTAAATTGTTTGAAGTATAAAAGTGGCAAATGCAATCTTCATATTTATTTGGTGACTGCAGTAAGTAGCATCTGTAATTTTCAAAGACCACGTAAAATCAATACCACAGAGAGGATCAAGGCTAGCTATAGCCCTGAAAATCCAGCACAGTCCCAAGCCTCCCTTTGTATAACAAATATGTTATTATTTCTCCTTTATAATCTTAACACGGAATTCTTAGATAATTTAACCTACCTACATGCAAAAATTTAGGAAAATAAATGTAATGCCCTAGTTGTAAAATAAAAAAGGAATAAAAATAAAACAATAAATACATTCCAGTTTGTAAATCCATGAGCACAATTACAATTACACTTGAAGACATAATGATGTGTATCTTTTTTTTTTTTTTTTTTTTTTTTTTGAGATGGAGTTTCTCTCTCGTTGCCCAGGCTGGAGTGCAATGGCATGATCTCGGCTCACCACAACCTCCACCTCCTGGTTTCAAGCAATTCTCCTGCCTCAGCCTCCCAAGTAGCTGGGATTACAGGCATGTGCCACCACGCCTAGCTAATTTTGTATTTTTAGTAGAGAGAGGGTTTCTCCACGTTGGTCAGGCTGGTGTCAAACTCCCTACCTCAGGTGATCTGCCCAACCTTGGCCTCCCAAAGTGCTGGGATTACAGGCGTGAGCCACCGTGCCTGGCCAAATGATGTGTGTCTATACATAGAAAGCATGTTGAATGCAATAGTTAATAATGCACATTGTATTGTATTATACATTGAAGGAGCATAATTGATGGTGACATTTTTTCCAAAATATTGAGAAACTCTTTGCTAAGTTCTGGGTAGAACAAATACATTTTTCCCTTGATTACATGGTACCACATATATGGTTACTGCATAAAGAATGCCAGACATACTTTGTATTTACATGTGAAGTGGAGTTAGGTTCCAGGCCCAAGTAATTATAAATAAGTTTTCACTTGCAGAAATCAGGCAAATTGCCATTTCATTTTTAAGTGTATAGTCCTAGTGATCATATTGCAGTATATCTGGCATGTCTGGCCCCCACCCTTTAAATGCCACTAGTATTCCTCCCAATTATTTTGACAACTAAAAAAGTTTCCCACCATTTTCACCTCTGTTGAAATATTGCTCTCCTACATTTCCTTGAGGTTTAACTGTTACAGTGTTAATGGAAAGAATAACACATCTATCAATTGAACATATGAGGTCCACAAGTAATAGGCTCCTGTTGGCTGTTTTAACAAAAGTTTTTTTTTTTTTTTTTTTGACTTGTAACGCTAGCTATCTTTAGGTCTCTAGATATTGCACCCTCCATATGCAATCAGATTCTAAAACTTCTGATAAAAAATGCATCTCCTGGAAATGTCTGTGAAAAGGTTTGTAGACAACTAGTCAGTGTGGTAGACAGAACAATGGAACCTAAGAATATGTATATGTTATCTTGGCACAAGGGACTTTGCAGGTGTGATCAAATTAAGGATCTTGAGGTGGAGAGATTATTCTGGATTATCTGGGTTGTCCCAGTGTGATCACAAGGGTCTTAATATGGGAAAGGGGGAGGCAGGGGAGTCAGATCAGATTCAGAGAGAGATTTGAAGATGCGATACTGCCGGCTTTAAATGCCCATTGAACTCTGCTTCAAAAAATGAAAACACACCTCTATAAAATGTATATTGGGAATAAACTTTGTATTTACATACATTGGGGAATTTTAAAAAAATGTAATGTTTGGACATTACATATTTTACCATATTACTTTGCTATATTTGGACATTCCATATTTTACCATATTACTTTGTTATAAAATTATAAATTTAACTTTTAATACAGATTGCCAGAATATTCTAGATTAGAGATTAGGTTTTTGTTTTCCTCAAGACATAAAACAAGTATGAACATTCTAAACTGCTGGATGAATCTGAAAGACAGTAATTTCAAAACTCAATTTATACTCATGTTAAATATAACTACATTAAGAGTTTAAAATTTCATGGGAGAAAATATAATAAAGAGATAGGATCATTTATAGTCTTAAGAATAATGTTGGTTTCCCAAGTGCGTTTCTTAGCAATTAAAGCATAAGGTGAATTGAAATTTGCTTCATAGGCAGTTTGACTGTATGTATCAGAGAATGAAAAGAGGACATTTGTAGTAATGCATGGAAACTTGCTGCTTCAAATTAAAGTTCTCCTCTGCTGTTGTAGAATGGATTCCATACAGTAGCTAGTTGTGGATGATTCAGAAAATTATGAGTTTAGAGTCCCAGTTGTTAATTTATAAGTTTTGTGGGGAAGTATCACCTGCATTTGTGCTGAATAAAATATACGTGGATTCTTTAAAAAAAATCACAATTTTTTTCTAAATTTATTTTTTAAAAAGTTTTTAGAGAGAATAAATACAAAATTAGTCAATTTGAACATGTTTTGTTCACATTCTTTAAATTGCTTGTTGGTCTCCTTAACAATTTTTCTTTTCCTTTGACCCTCTGCTTTTCTCATTTTTATTTTCCTCCTTGAAGAAACGATTCATTCTAAGGGCTTTAAACATTTCTTTTTGTGTTGATGTTTAAATCTTTTATTATTAGTCTCATATTCTCCCTCAAGACTCAGAATTCTAGTACTCCTAATGAACATTTATGTCCGTTGGGCAGTCCTGCTGCCATCCTAAGCTACACATACTGGGAATGGAACTCAATCATCTTTTCTTTGCAAATCAGTGTCTCTTACCAATTTCTTTCATTCTGTTTACCCAGTCTTCTAGGTTTGAAATTTTGGGGTTGTTTTTAGGATTTTGTATTGCCTTCATTTTCTTAATTAATCAGAGTCCTTCTAGTTCTAGTCTAGAAATATGTTTCATATCTGCCATTCATGTTCCACTATGATTTTGACTGTCTTGCAGTTCCTGATAATTTTATGAATAGATTAATATAATGCTGTTTAACTTATTTTCTATATGCTTAATTCATTCTAGACATAGCTGGAAGACAGATCTTAAATTATAACTTTTTTTTTCCTATATGTTATTCAATGAAGAATAAACCTAGTTTAGTATTTCACTTGGTAAAGTGTAGTACGTCATGCATGAATTGCAGCATCAGGATCACTTGTGATATTTGCCAGAGGTGGCCATCCCACATCACCTAAATCAAATCTCTGGGCATGGATTCTGGGAATCAGCATTTTTAGAAGGCAGCATAAGTGATTCCGATGCACACTAACATTTGAGAACTACTGGAAAGGATAAAATTCAACCTAAAATTCAAAACCCTTTAACATATGGCCCTACCTTGTATATTCCAGTTTATTTTTCACTAGTTCTAATATAATCTTTTGCTCACTCTAACAGTCACTCTAGATATGCCACGATCAAATTGCTTCTGAGAATTTGTTTATAACCCCTTTATTCAGAATGCCTTATTTTTTTTTTTTGCATCCATCCTTCAAGCCCTTCTTCTTTATGGACTCTTTTAAGCTATGTATTAGTGAGCACCTACCATTTATGTCAGACACTTCATGGAAAATTTTTACTATCCATTAAGCAACCTAGGTATAATTGTTCCCATTTTACAACCAAGGACATTGAGACTTAGTGCAGTTAAGCAGCTTGCCCTAAGCCGTACAGGTAGTAAGGAGTAGAGTTTGATTCAAATCTAGGTCTAGGTTTGACGTGCTCCTCCCAGTGGTAGCTTTCAAGTTGGCTCTGTAGGCAGCTGCTTAACTAAAACCTACCTGGTTTTCTGTGTTTGTATGCTAGGGCTTTCCCACAGGTCACTTTTAAATACAGCTTAAATATTTTTAAAACCATTTTATGAGTTCTATTAGGACAGCTAGGACATTCAAATGGAAATTCATTAGATTATTATTTAACTGTTAAATGTGTGTCAGCTTCTCTGTAGTTGAGCCATAAGCTTCTTAGAGAACTGAAAGGAAATTTTAAAAAGCCTATCCCTTTCATCACCCAGTGTGGTAGTGGTTGTATTTAGTATGTATTCACCGAATATCTGCTCAGATTAAGTAGAATCCAGAACAGTGAAAGATGTACTTTCATTGAGTAGGAATCACTGGTTCCAGAAAACAAGAAATTGTTAGCATCTGAGGACAAAGACTACCAGTTATTTTAATGTTTTTTTAGAGCATTTTGAAGAAGATGGAAACTTAATAAAATTTTAATTATCATGTGTTTATCTTCAATTGGTGATTAGAAAATGTTTTCCAAACTTTTTGTGTTCAGCATGAAATAAAAACACAAAATAATTTTATTAGCAGAAAAGTTCTACTAATGTAACATAAAACTACAATGAAATATACAATTTTGGGATGTTATCGACTAAATATCATTAAGTTTCTCCTGCTATAGAATTTAATACTTGTTTGTCCATTGTAAAACATGAATATTACTACCTTACAATTTTATCTAACCTTCAATATATTTGTAGTTTAGGCCAAAAACATCTATGTTCTCATGTCACAAAAAAACATTTAGCTCAAGTGAATTGACTTCCTCTATCATAATCAACTCTATGTAATTAAGAAATTACTAAACCTTGAAGAGGAACAATCAATAAAGTAAACATTTTTGATCCATTACATATAATGTTAACTCTCAAGCATGTTTGGTGAAGCTATGCTTTCATATAATGCTTTCAATGCATTATTAGATAAGAAGACAAGTTCTCAGTAAGGTTGTGGTATATAAGTATTAATAAGCATTGAAGGCCTAACAGCACTGGCTGTCAAATCTGTGTGTATTAATGTGAATTAATGAGCTTTTCCTCTCCCAAGAGGAAAACAGTTTATTACAGGTTAAACAATGATGAGCAAAACACAGGCAATGCCAGTGTGATAGAAAGCCTTCAATTTAGAGAAGTGACCTTTAAAAGGGATTGCATAAATAACCCCAAGATAATC
Organism: Homo sapiens; assembly: GCF_000001405.40. NCBI lineage: Eukaryota > Metazoa > Chordata > Mammalia > Primates > Hominidae > Homo > Homo sapiens. The sequence continues at coordinate 183,195,340 of NC_000002.12, forward strand.
AGTTGGTATAATATTTTGGGTTTAGAGTTTAGATGGTAGTAAAAGCGTGTTTATTGATTGGTTTGATTTTTTAAAATTGTACCCCTTGGGAAATCACCTCAGTGCAGAATTAAAGTGAAAACACAATGATAACAACAAAACATGTATAACTAAAACTATCATAGAATGAAATACTGGTTTGAAAAAAATCACCCTTTTAATGTCACGCTATGGTGGAAAGTTAGGTATTTTCAATTCTCCAAATTACACAGAGAAACTAGAAAGCACTGATTATGTGTCTAGTTGTTGGTGTGGAAAGGATAATACCTTAGGACTATTAAACTAATACATTTCATTTTTAGTAATCCCTAGTTCCAAGTTGATCCAAGGCTGTGTTTAGAATCCTGCCAAGAGGACTCACATATTTGCTTTTATATTATAGCAAAGATATCATTCTATCATTTAGGCTGAGCAGTTAGGCTTAGCACCCAAAAGAAGGAAGATTTGATACTCTGGAAGACCTTGACAGAAGGAAAGTTAAAAAGCCTGTTCCTTCTGGTCTCAGAATATGTGAAAAAGAATTAATCAGACATAGGTTTCTGACTTCCCTTCTCCAGGCTAACAAGTTTGCAAGAAAGCCAAAAATAGAGTAGCTTTTGTTGAACTTTTCTTTTGGAATGTTCATATGAAGTTGTCACTTAGGGTGGCTCTGTGTCAACATGTGAAGTAATACATGGCAATGGTAGATGAAGGTGGCTACAAAGATGAATCTGAGGCAACGTACCTGGCTCTGAGAGTCCAGCTGTGTTTGGAGGGGGTGTTGCTGGGAATTTGCCCAAAGTGGTTTGCTGCAGTAGTTGGTGAGGCCAGACATTCAATGGGAGTCACCTCTAAACTCCATGAAGATAGCTGCACAGGAAGTAAGATTTAACTAGGGGTTGAATCAGTGACAGTTGGATGGGGTGGAGGTGAAGTGTCAGCAGGCCATTACTGAGCAAAGATAACAGACCTTATATTCCTTTGTAAAACAATGGCATATCTAAGGATTGCACCAGCCACCTCACAGTAGAGACCAGCACAAGGATGGCAGGCTACATGGAAGGGAAAATCCCTTGAATTCTGTAAGCTTTCCCCTATACCCAGATGTCAGCTTGGGAAGAGGAGGATGAAAAGTACAACTCTGAAATTGAGCTAAACTTTGAGTTGACTAAATATTTTACATTACAGAGGTTGTTTAAACTGGAGCTATCAATTGGCCATTTTGAGATAAGTCCTTGTCCTCTCACTTCCTTCCAAATAGGGTAGAATATTGAGAAGGATATTAAATGGAGTTATAGAAAATAAAATAGAATTTTTTTTTTGCACATTTCATTAATAGTATAAATTTGAGAATTTGCTAGTGAATCTGCTGTGCTTATCCCCACTCCCCAAGTCCTCACTCTCAGCTGAGCTGGCTTCCTTTTTCTCTAAGAAAATTGAAGTAATCTGAAGGGAATTTCCACAAGTTTTCATCGCTACATCTATTTACTTATAAATTTCTGTGACCATATACTCTGTCTTCACATCTGAGACATTAGAGGAGCTGTCTGATTCATCCAAAGGCAACTCTTCTACTAGGACCTTAGATCCTATCTCCTCTTACCTATTACAACTATTCTCACCTCTCTTTTGAGTAATCAATTTTTTTCTTGTTACCAATTATTCCATCATAAAACAAACATGGCTTATCTCTGACCATCGAAAACAAGTTCTCTCAATACAATCTCATTCTTCTTCATTCCCATATCTGTGTTTTCTTTATAGCAAAACTTCTCAAATACCTCCAATATCATTCTTCAAGTTCTTTTAAAACTTACTACAATAGGCTTTCACCCCAATCATTCCACTGAAACTACTCTTATGAAGGTAACTAATGACTTCCATATTGCTAAATAAAATGGATAATTCTTCATCTTCCTCTGTCTTGACTCATCAGCACTTAACACAGGCAATCACTTTTCTTTTTTCTCTTCCTTGACTGGCTTCCACTTCCCAGTCTCTGTTATTGGCACCTCCTCATCTTTCCAACTTCTCAATATTGGAAGCTCTAAGAGTTCAGTCCTGGAATGTTTTCTCTATTTTGTCTACACTTACTCCTTTTGTGTTCTCATTCAGTTTCATGGTTTTTAATATTATTTTATTATTTCTATGTGGACATCTCCCAAATTTTTATATCCAGCCTGAAAATGGGTCTTCTGAACTTTTACCTCCTATAGTGAATTGCCTACTCAACAACTCCACTTGGATATGTAATACGTATCTCAAATGTAACATGTACAAACAGAACCTTCCCCTTCTCAGCTGATGATAGCTACATCCTATGGTTGCTCAGGCCAAAGAGCCTTGGAGTCATCATTGATTCCTCCTTTTCTCTGACAATCTATATGAAAGCCATCAGCAAATCCTAGAATCCAGCTCTGTCTCACTACCTCCACTACCACTGTCGGTTTTTAGTCTCTCATCTTTGTCTCCCTAGAGTCTATTCTTAGCTCAACCAGAGTGATGCTTTGAATGTAAGTTATGTCACGTCTCTCCTCGGCTTAAAACCCTCAAATGGCTACCTACGTCCCTCAGAGTAAAAACTAAAGTTTGTATCCTGATCTATAAGTTCTTACAGTCTTCATGGCCCCTCTCCCCCACCTCTTTATCTCATCTTTTACTACTTCTCATTCTTACTCTGCATAGCTGCACCAGTTTTCTGTCTCTCAAACACACTGGGTACATTCTGATCTCAGGGCTTTTGCCTTTGCTCCTCTTTCTTTCTGGAAAGCTCATCCCTAATTTCTGCATGATTCAAGCTCTCACAGTATTTGTTTTTATTTCTCAAATGACACATTTTCAGTAGGACCTTCCTTGACTACCCTATTTAAAATTACAATCTCCACCCCTAATATGGCATTTCTTATCCTTTTTTCCTGCTTTGTTTTTCTCCATAGCTTTTATGACTTTCTGATATCCTGAACAAGTTATTGATTTTTTTTAATAATAAGGCTCTATTTTAATGTTGTGTGAATTACCAAGAAGTAGAGATTGACTGTAATTTCCCAAAGACAGAACATTCATTTCACAGCTACACAAGAACAGGGCTACGAGTGAAAAGGCACCCTAATTTGGGATAGTGTGAAGAAACATAGTTTGTGTTTTGGACAATTTATAGAGACAAATTTCCAGGGGACCTAAGAATACTGTTGGTCCATATGGATATAAAGTGAAAAATGAAAGAACTCATGCAAAAATCTATGCTATCTTTATTCTTCCTAGGTTAATTAAATCTCTATTTAATGCAAATTTTATAAGTGTATTCTGCTGTTATTGGAGAAAATGAATGTTTTCAAAGAATTCCTATGCTCCAACTTATGAAACCATACTCTGTCTAGACAAGGGCATAGGAGATATTTCTAAATACTAATAATAAACTCAGAAAAAGAGATAAAACCATCTTATTTACAATAGCATAAAAAACTTAGAAATAAATTTAAACAAAGAAGTGAAAGATCTGTACACAGAAAACTACAAAACATTGATAACAATGGAAGAAACATAAATAAATGGAAAGATATTCCATGTTCATGGATTGGAAGAATTAATGTTGTTAAAATGTTCATATTTACCCAAAGTGATATGTAGATATAATGCAATTCCTATCAAAATCCAATGACAGTTTTCATAGAAATAGAAAAAAAAATTCTAAAATTCATATGGAACCACAAAAGAGGGAGGCATTATATTACCTGCTCTCAATATTGACTACAAAGCTATGGTAATTAAAACAGTATGGTAGTGGCATAAAAACAGACACACAGACCAATGGAGAATAGAGAGTCCAGAAGTAAACCCAAACGCATACAGTCAACTAATTTTTGACAATGGCACCAATGAGATGGCATGGGGAAAGGTTAGTCTCTTCAGTAAATGGTGCTGGGAGAAAATATCCACAGGCAAAATAATAAAATCAGACCCTTATATTAAGGAATGCAAAAAAACAAAAACAAAAACCTCAAAATGGCTTAAAGACCTGCACATAAGACCTGAAACTACAAAACCCCGACAAGAAAACATAGGTGCAGAGCTCCTTGACTTTGGCCTTGGCAATGATTTTTTGCTTATAGCTCCAAAAGCACATGCAATAGAAGCAAAAATAAACAAGAGGGACTACATCAAACTAAAAAGCTTCTGCACAGCAAAGGAAACAATCATCAAAATGAAAAGGTAGCCTACAGATTGGGTGAAAATATTTGCAAACCATACATCTAATAAGGGGCTAATATCCAAAATATATAAGGAACTCACACAACTCAATAGCAAAAAAAATGAATAACCTGATTAAAAAATGGGCAAAGAACCTTAATAAATTTTTCCAAAGGAGACATAAAAACAGCAACAGGTATCTGAAAAGGTTCTCAACATTACTAATCATCAAGAAAATGCAAATCAGAACTGCAATGAGATATTACTTCACATCTGTTAGGATGGTTATTATGAAAAAGACAAGAGGTAGCAAATGTTGGGGAAGGAGTGGAAAAAAGAGAACCTTTGTACACTGTTGGTGGGAACGTAGATTGGTGCAGCCACTGTGGAAAACGGTATGGAGGTTTCCTACATAGTCCAAAACTAAATATAGAATTACCATATCTCCAAAATATGATAGAACTGTTATAATTCCAGAAATTAAATCTAGAACTACAATATGATCCAGCAATCCCACTTCTGGAAATATACCCCCAAGGAAATAAAATCTCCGCTCCTGTAGCTAGCTGCTGTCTCATGTTAACTGCAGCATTATTCACAATTGCCAAGATATGGAAACAATTAAAGTGTCCTTTGATGGATGAATAAAGAAATTGTGGTATATAATGAAATATTATTCAGCCTTAAAAAAGGAGATGCTGCCATTTGTGACAACATAGGTGAATGTAGAGGATGTTATGTGAGGTGAAATAAACAATACAAAAATACTGCATGATCTCATTTATATGTGGAATTTTTTTAAAAAATGAAATATGTAGAAACAGTAGGACAGTGGTATCAGGAGCTGGGAGATGGGAGGTAGGAAAGTGTAGGCCAAAGGATACAAAGTCACAATTATGCCCAACGAGTAAATCTAGAGTCTAATGTACAATATGAGGGCCAGGTGCAGTGGCTCATGCCTGTAATCCCAGCACTTTGGGAGGCTGAGGTGGGCGAATCACTTGAGATCAGTAGTTCATGACCAGCCTGGACAACATGGTGAAACCCCGTCTCTACTAAAAATACAAAAATTAGCTGGGTGTGGTGGTGGGCACCTGTAATCCCACCTACTTGGGGGGCTGAGAGAGGAGAATTGCTTGAACCCGGAAGGCGGAGGTTGCGGTGAGCCAGGATTGCCCCGCTGGACTCCAGCCTGGGCAACAGAGTGAGACTCTGTCTCAATAATAATAATAATAATAAATGTACAACGTGAGGACTATAGTTAATAATATTGTATTATATACTGGTAATTTGCCAAAAGAATAAATTTTAGATACTCTTACCATCAAAAAAAAAAAAAGAGAAAAGAAAGGTAACTGAGATTATAATTTGCTAAACTGTAATAATCCATTTACTATGTGCGTGTTCATTATATATATATATATATATACACACACATATACATAAACATGTTGTAGCCCTAAAATCTATGCAATAAAATTTAAAAAATAAAAACACCCAAGATGTCTTTTCCTCCTAATTAAATTTATATTTGCTATAAATTTAAGTTTATTGTCCCATTCCAAGTGCTAGTGAAGGATTTCAAAGAAGTCCTTTGTTCGATGTTATTAGCGATATCCTACTGTATCTATACCAAGGCATGGGAGGCACTGACGATTGCAACTAAGACTTACCAAACCACAGGGGTTCTCAAAATTTAGGGTGGGTAAGAATCACTTGGAGTAGGTTGGGAGTTGAAGAAAACTTGTTAAAAATGCACATTTCCTGGCTGTAACATAAGGTATTCTGAACCAATAGATTTGGGGCCTAAGTTGGTAATCTGCAGTTTCAGTATGCTCCTCTGGTGATCTTGAACAGGTGGTCCATCTCGCCTCCTTTGGGAAACACTGCACCAATGTTTATTATCGTAGAAGAAAATTACATAGAAGAAATCTAGAAGAAATTTCAACGAATTTTAGAACACTGAAGAATTTAGGGGTCCAGATAGCTTTCTTATTTTTTTGTTGTTCAAATCTTATCTTTTGTAAGAGAAATTTGAATAGCTAGGGACATTGGTGATATCAGAAACCTAGATTTCACTTCCTCTATCATTGTTTATAAAATCAAAACGATGGAGTCCTAAGAACAGACTAAATTTATTTTATAAACACCAAAAGAATGTATTTGATAGGAAACTAGCACCTGATCAAAGTGAATATTGACATGGAGGGAGAAATTTCCTGAGAAGGCTGTAAAACTGGCGTTATGTTAGTTTACAAGAAAATGAAGCTGCATGAAGAGGATATTTATTAAATAGTGAAACATTAGGTCTCTCTGTTGTTTGAATTATTTACAGCAAACAAAATACTTTTAGGTAAAATATGTAAACGAATACGCAGATAAGAAAATGGACACAGGTTTTTTTCATGCGTCTTGTAACCGTTTAAAGGAGACCATTGGATTTAGTGCTTAACCAATATATGTTTTATTGTGCAAACCAAGTATTTGGATATTAATATTTTAAAAAACTGATAAAGTCTTTATCAACTTTTACTGAACACCATATTATCTACTTGACTGTTACATTGCTTTAAGAGTCCAGTCTCGACTCACCTGTGATCCTAAGTGAAAAATAAATAACATGAGATCATTAAAATTTCCTACTGAGTTAAATTCAGATTGAATCCAGATATCTAAAAGTAAAAGTCAAAGTAACACTATCATAAACAATCTATATTAGCTTTTCAATTAATAAATAAATTTTTTTAGAGATGGAGTCTATATTATCCAGGCTGGTATTTGACTCCTGGGTTCAAGCAATCTTCCCATCTCAGCCTCCCAAGTAGCTGGGACTGTAGACATGCACCACTATGCCTTGCTGACTAGAATCTGTATTAGATTTTTAAAAATAAACTTTTTTTTTTGAATAATCTGAGATTTACAGAAATGTTTCAAAGACAGTATAAAGTTTTCGTTTTCCTCATTTTTTCTCTTTTTTTCTTGATTTAATTGACACATAACAACAATATATTTATATGGTGCAATGTGATGTTTACTTATATGTATATGTTGTAGAATGATTCCTCTTATGTCCCTTGCCCAGTCTCCCCTAAAGTTAACGTTGTATATCATCATAGTACATTTTTGAAAACTAAGAAAATAAGCTAGCCATGGTGGCTCACACCTGTAATCCCAGCACTTTGGGAGGACGAGGTAGGAGGATCGCTTGAGTCCAGGGGTTCAAGACCAGCCTGGGCAAAATAGGGAGACCATGTATCTACAAAAAATACAAACATTAGCTGGTCATGGTGGCATGTGCCTGTAGTCCCAGCTACTCAGGAGGCTGAGGTGGGAGGATCACTTGAGCCCCAGAGGTTGAGGCTGCAGTGAATTGTGTTTGCGTACTCCAGCTGGGGCAACAGAATGAGACCCTGTCTCAAAACAAAAAACAACATTGGTGCATTGTTATTAATTAAGCCCTAGACTTTATTTGGATGTCACTGTTTTCCCGCTAATGTCCTTTTGTTCTTTCAGGATCCAATTCACAATACTTTTGGTACATTGGCTGTATATATAGATGTAAAGGGCTGCATAGGCTGTACACTGCACTACTCTGGGGGTGCCATTTACATTGCTGTGCCAGGCACTGTTCATAATGCTTTACATCTATTAACTTGTTTAGTCATCACGGAAGCTCTAAAAGGTAGGCAATATAATTATCCCTATTTTACAAGTATGGGCATTGAGGACAAAGAGATTCGGTAACCTTAAAAGATCACTTAGCTAGTAAGTGGAGAAACTGAGATTCTAGTTACACAGCCTGTGCTCTTAGAGACATTCCGAATCGGCGAGCTTCCTATCCCAACTGACCAGCTATAAGAACACACTTCTTATTCCAAGGAACTGACTGATTGACCTTAAGCAAGTCACTCAATCTCTCTGGACCTCTGTTTGCTCATCCATGAAAGTGTAGAAGTGGATTACATAATCTATACAAGTTTCCTACCTTTAAAACAAATGTATAACATTGAAACATGTATCTTTAAATTTAATTTCCAGCTCAGAGACCTACTGCATTTTTGTACTCTTGCCAATCAACTTTTAAAAAATAAAACGTTCATTAAAATCAGAATATTGAATATTAAAATTCCAATTATATTTTTAAGGAGGATCTATATATCACATTGAGACACTTCTTTTTTTGCCTCGGGTTGTTAGCTTGTTGATTTTGAATTTTATATCATGCTTTTGAATACTACTCAATTTTACATATGCCCTTTGTATGCCAATAAAACTAAACTAAATGTCACTTCTTATGTAGGAATGCACAAGCAAATAAACAGTATATAGCCACATATTTCAGTAGATTAAACTCAGTTGAAATTATCCCACATGCTGGCACTGTAATATGCTATTGATCTCAGATTGCATTTTCTGTTTCTTTATAATTGAATTTTGTTCCCAAATGAAAGAGCATGTTCATTTTCAGTTTGTGTTTAGTGAAACAAAAACTGCATCTGGGATCAGTTTCATCATGTGCCCAATGGAGGACTAAGTATGAAGTATACCACCTTCTTGGAAGAGATTGTTTTTCCCTGAAAGTGCTAAATTTTAGATCTGAACTGCCATAAAAATTCTTCATGATTATATCCACAAATCAGGATATACACAAAACTATGGATTTTTCCCCTATGAATGACAAGTAATGGAAGATATGCTGTAATTACATAAATTAACCCATCTCTAGAGACTAAGGGAAATTAAGATCGAAGGAAGTAGGACAGAGGGCTTAAAAATAAAACAAAAAAGACCTTAAAATAGAAAATAGTATGCCAAAACTAGAGGTGATTTTCTTTCTAATGCTAGACCTTCCTTTGATTCTTTTAATTACAATGAGACGGAAATTTTAGGACACTAAGGGAGACAGATTATTCAAAGGCTTTTGCATGCCCTTTATTCTCTTTCAAATACAATACTCCCCATAATAGTGTAATACTATTAATCATACTGCTTTCAGCCCTCTACCTGAAGGTGACAGTCTTCAGCTGTTCCAGAAGGTCCTGGGTCCCAAAGTTCCTGTTACTCACTGCTGATTGGGCACAGATGAGAGTGCCTAGTTTTCATTCAGCAGCCTGTTGTGGGTACAGGGTTATGGCTGCAATGAAGCAGGGCCTTTCTGATCCTTTTTATTACTCTTCTTTCATGGGGGAGGAGAGAGATAAAGTGCCTACAGTAAAATGCAGTTGCAATACATTCACTCTCACAACTCATTTTTCAAACCCCAGGGAAGACTTCCCTACATCTCTTGACCTAAGTCCTTGAAACAAAATGCAGCTGCATCCTTATGCTGTGAAATTTGTGTGTGGTGGTGGTGTTCACATCGGAGAAGGACACTGCTTCAAAGCATGGGGAGAATGTGAGCAGAGCAAACACTTAAGTGGGAGAAAGGCAGATTGACTTTCCAAATTCTTCCAATCGGAAGGCATGAATGCTGATCCCCACAGTGCCTAGTGTCATTTTCTTGTTTCACTTGGTGTCCAGCATGAGATTTTGGAAGTACTTATGTGTTAGTAAGGTATTCTCAATGGTTGCACATGGTTGGTGAGAAATATTTTGCAATGGTGAGCAATTTATTTTTCAATGTGTGTCTATTTAGGTATGTATGAATGTAGGTATTACATTTATCTGCATGTATGTATTCTTAAATTTTTATTAAAAATTAAACAATCTTAAATGTAATATGTTTTAAGCATAACACATTGGCAGCTAGCACATTAGCATTGAATATTAGAATTATAGATGCTTTTATTTTCTAAAGTATTTATTTTATTAAAAACTCTTTTTTTTTTTTTTTTTTAAAGAAATGGGGGTCACTTTATGTTGCCCAGGCTGGACTTGAACTCTTGGGCTAAAGCAATCCTCTTGCCTCAGTCTTCCAAGTAGTTCTGGGATTACAGGCACTGCTATTTTTCTAAGTATTTAATAATATTAATTAAATTTTCAAAAAGTTAGGCAAAAAATTAATTTTAAATAACTGTGATTTAAAAATCGATTCTGTTAATATGTGTACCTTTTAATTTTAAGAAATAGTTTTGAATATTTTAAGAGAGAAATAAACTATTTGAAAATATGAGCCAAATGGTTAATATTGAGTGTCAACTTGGTTGGATTGAAGGATGCAAAGTATTGTTCCTGGGTGTGTCTGTGAGGGTGTTGCCAAAGGAGATTAACATTTGAGTCAGTGGACTGGGAGAGGCAGACCCACCCTCAATCTGAGTGGGCACCATCTAATCAGCTGCCAGCGGGCTATAATAAAGCAGGCAGAAGAAGTTGGAAGGACTAGACTTGCTGAGTCTTTTGGCCTTCATCTTTCTCCCATGCTGGATGCTTCCTGCCCTCAAATGTCAGGCTCCAAGTTCTTCAGGTTTTGGACTCTTGGACTTACACTAGTGATCTGCCTGGGACTCTGAGGCCTTCGGCCACAGACAGAAAGTTGCACTGTCTGTTTCCCTACTTTTGGGATTTTGGGACTGCCTTCCTTGCTCCTCAGCTTGCAGATGGTCTGTAGTGGGACTTTACCTTCTGATCGTGTGAGTCAATACTCTTTCATAAACTCTCCTTCATGTATACACTTATCCTATTAGTCCTGTCCCTCTAGAGAAGCCTAATACAATGAGGAATAATTTAATTTTTCAGTTTTTTAGCACTTAATTTATATTTTTGGTGCAAATATATCCACATTTGAACACTTTGAAGACAATTACATTTACTTTTTAATTCTTTAAATAATTGAGGGTGAATACAAGTCAAAATTGTGATAAAAATAGATTGAGTAGAAATAGCAATCATTTGGTTATGCATGCCTGTAGTTTCAGCTACTCAGGAGGCTGAGGCAAGAGGATCCCTTCAGCCCAGGAGTTCAAGGCTGTAGTGCACTATGATCATGCCTGTGAATAGTCACTGCACTCCAGCCTAGACAATCTAGCGAGACACCAACTCTTAAAAAAAAAAGACAAAATTGACTATCACTTTTTAAGCACTTCTCTCAGAAATGAAGCTCAGGAAAGAAGAAAATTGGGGAAAAAGCTGGGGTTGGGGGGAATAGAAAGACTTGCTTCCGACAAACAGAATAAGGCAAAATGAGAGTGTTATGTCTTCTGAGGACCAGGTTGCAAAGATAGTGTGACTTCTTTCTTTTGGATCTCTTGCTCTGTGGGAAACTAGCTGCCATGCTTTGAGGACACTCAAGCAATTCAATGGAGAGAACATACAGCAAAGAACTGAAGCCTCTTGCCCACAGCTACATGGGTCAGCCATTTCAGAAATGAGTCCTGTGGCCTCATTTCAGCCTGGAGGAGACTGTAGCCGCAGTTGACATGTGAACCTTCTGAGAGACTGAGCCACGATGACCCAGTTTAGCTGCTTCCAAATTCCTGACCTACAGGAATTAACAACAAATATATATTGTTTTAAGCTGCTATATTTTTGAAAATTTTGGTTATGTGGGAATAGGTAATTAATACAACCTGTTTTAATCTATTCTCATAACAGCAACCAAACCATGTTTTAAAAATATGTCAGATCATTTTGTCCAGTTTTTTTCATCAAAGAGAAAAAGTCAGATCATGGACTTCTCACAACTGTCCTATGGCTGTCCATTTCCCTCAGAGCAAAATCCAAAGTCTTTAATGGCCTTCAAGATCTGGCCCCTTCTCTCACTGTTCCCTCACTGACCTCAGCTCCTCCTTTCTCTCTCACTCAGCTTCAGCCACCCTCTTCTCTTTGATCTTCCTCAAACATCCCAGGAATGCTCCCACTTTAGAACTGTTGTACTTGTGGTTCCTGCCAACCAAAATCCCAGATAGCCACACAGCTAACTTCCTCATTTCTTTCAAATCAGCTTAAATGTTACTGTTCCAATGATGTATATACTCTGATCACTCTATTATATTTAAAATCGCACTGCTATCTCTTGCTTTGGGACCCCTCATGCCATTTGTCATGCTTTAATTCACACTAACATATAATTTCCTTTTTAATGTTTATATTATATAATGCTTATTTTTTACTGTTTTCTTCTCCCAAATCGCAGGAATTTTTGTTACTTTGTTTATTGATATAAACAAAAACTTGCCTAAAATCGTGCATGGCAGATAGTAGGTGCTCAATATATGTTTGTTGACTGATTTCCTCATTCCCAGCACCTCACTTTCAAAGCACATCCCTCAATAGCAGGCACTCATTCAGTTTAAGGCACTGAATCCTAAGGCTTGTATGATCCATCTGAGGCTTTTGAAGAATATATGCAAACACCATAAATATGGCCATCATTCATTCATTCACTCAATAAATATTTTTTCTTGAATGCTTTTTAGATTACAGGCATTTTGCTTGGTACTGAGGATACAAACATAAATAAAACACAGTTATGATCTAAAGAAAGTTATAGTTTAATAGGAAGAAAAAGCAAACAGTTCATTACAGGAAATGGGAAAGGGTGGTAAGTTAAAGATGCTTTGGGGATACCTAAGTAGAGATATATTTGTCTATAGAGTTTATGGGAGAGGTTTGGGCAAGACGTATATTTGGTTGTCATTGTCATATAGGAAGTGAATGAAGTCACTCAGGAAGAATATACACAATGGAAATAGGAGGTCCAGAATCAAATTTTGAGAAATATTTGCAGTGAGAAGGAGAGGATGTAGTTACAGAGGCAGTTAAAAGTATTTTTGTTCTTTTCCTTTTGGGCATGGGATAGGATTGCATTTCTCTGGTCACCGTGAAGTTATAACCACATTGCTAGCTTTGGCCAATGGAATGTTACCAGAAATGATGTGTGTAACTTCTCGGCACAGGCAATACACCAGTCAGCCGGTTCCCTTCTCCTTGGCTTGATGATTTGAAATGCATTTGTCAGAGGCATTGGAACCAGAGCAACTCCATCTTGAATGGGGACTGGATAAAATGAGGCTGAGACCTACTGGGCTGCATTCCCAGATGGTTAGGGCATTCTAAGTCACAGGATGAGATAGGAGGTCGGCACAAGATACTGATCATAAAGACCTTGCTGATAAAACAGTTTGCAGTAAAGAAGCCAGCCAAAACCCACCAAAACCAAGATGGTGATGAGAGTGACCTCTGGTCATCCTCACTGCTACTTCCCATCAGCGCCATGACAGTTCAAATGCCATGGCAATGTCAGGAAGTTACCCCATATGGTCTAAAAAGAAGAGGCATGAATAATCCACCCCTTATTTGGCATATCATCAAGAAATAACTATAAAAACGGGTAACCAGTAGCCCTCAGGGTTGTTTTATGGAGTAGCTATTCTTTATTCCTTTACTTTCTTAATAAGCTTGCTTTCACTTTATGGACTTGCTCTGAATTCTTTCTTGCACGAGATTTAAGAACCCTCTCTTGAGGTCTGGATCGGGACCCCATTCTGTAACATGTTGACATGGAGCCTCTGTCAACCTGTTTTCCTTAGTGATTATCAATAGTGAAACTCCTCAAGACCTGTCTTGGTCTTGTAGTGTGGGTGAGACATACACTTTTGTTGGGTTAGGCCACTGACCTATTTGTTACCACACCATAACCAAGTCTATCCTAAGGATTCAAGGAGAGTCTTAGGAAAAGAAGACTTTATTTTTTATTTTATTTTATTTTTTTTTGAAACAAGAAGGGGACTCTTGTTTTATTTAGAAGTAATTTTAGATTTTTGAAAAGTTGCAAAAACAGCACAGTAGTTTCCAATATATACCCCTCACCCAGCTTCCACAAAACCACGGGCCGATGATTAAAACCTGGAAATTAACAATGATCCTGTCCTATTAATAGACTGCACTAAAATCTCACCAGTTGCTCCACTCGTGTTTTTTCCTTGTCTAGATCTTACTCACATTTAGGTGTCATGTCTTGTTTGTCTTCCCCAGTCTGGGATGGTCCCCAGTCTTTTTCTGTCTGTCATTACTGTGATGCTTTGGAAGAACTCAGGCCAGTGGCTTTGTGGCACATCTCTCCTTTTGGGTTTCCCTGATGGTTTCTCAGGATTAGTTGGAGGTTCTGCATTCTTGGCAGGACCCCCATGGAGTGATGCTGTGTCCTGAGTATTTCATCATGTGGATGTGTCCTCATACAGGTGACATTAACTCTGATCGCTTGGTTAAGGTGCTGTCTGCCAGGTTTCTGCACTGGAAAGGTACTATTTTTTTTTTTTTTTTTGGTCAAAGGAGCAGGGTATAAAAGGCAGGGCATGAAATCTGAGAGCAGGCATGCATCAGGAATTAGGAACCAGGAACTGGGAGCTGAGGCTGCTGCTCTCTGAGGAAAAGGAGACTTTCAAGAAGATTTAAAAAGAATGGAGAAAGAAGATTCAAGAAGATGAAGATGTCAAATGCCTCATTGCAAAATATAGATTGGAAAGTGTTCCTTTAATTTGGCATTTTGTGGGTCATTTGTGATTTTGGTAAATTATGCAATGTGAAAAAATAGACAGTTTCTTTCAAATGGCAAGCAATTAAAGAAAAAAAAGTCATAAGTGTGGGCTGTAGCAACAGTGAGGCTCTTATTGTTGTCATTGTCTGACAGAAATCTGAACTCTGATCCCACAAATTTCTCTGCTCCCTTTTCCCTGCTCACTTTGAACTGAAGAACCTCTTTACTCCTTCCTTCCTTTCCCTCCCTCTTATCTCCTTGCCTCCCTGTAGATTCCATCACAGCTTCCTCCATCCTTTTTTTTCAATTATACTTTAAGTTCTAGGGTACATGTGCACAACTTGCAGGTTTGTTACATATGTATACATGTGCCATGTTGGTGTGCTGCACCCATTAACTCGTCATTTACATTAGGTATATCTCCTAATGCTATCCCTCCCTCCACCGCACAACAGGCCCCAGTGTTTGATGTTCCCCTTCCTGTGTCCATGTGTTCTCATTGTTCAATTCCCACCTATGAGTGAGAACATGCGGTGCTTGGTTTTTTGTCCTTGCGATAGTTTGCTGAGAATGATGGTTTCCAGCTTCATCCATGTCCCTACAAAGGACGTGAACTCATCCTTTTTTATGGCTGCATAGTATTCCATGGTGTATATGTGCCACATTTTCTTAATCCAGTCTATCATTGATGGACATTTGGGTTGGTTCCAAGTCTTTGCTATTGTGAATAGTGCAGCAATAGACATACGCATGTGCCTTTATGGCAGCATGATTTATAATCCTTTGGGTATATGCGCAGTAATGGGATGGCTGGGTCAAATGGTATTTCTAGTTCTAGATCCTTGAGGAATTGCCACACTGACTTCCACAATGGTTGAACTAGTTTACAGTCCCACCAACAGTGTAAAAGTGTTCCTATTTCTCCACATCCTCTCCAGCACCTATTGTTTCCTGACTTTTTTTTTTTTTTTTTTTTTTTTTGAGACGGAGTCTCGCTCTGTCGCCCAGGCTGGAGTACAGTGGCGGGATCTCGGCTCACTGCAAGCTCCGCCTCCCGGGTTCACGCCATTCTCCTGCCTCAGCCTCCCAAGTAGCTGGGACTACAGGCGCCCGCCACTACGCCCGGCTAATTTTTTTGTATTTTTAGTAGAGACGGGGTTTCACCGTTTTAGCCGGGATGGTCTCGATCTCCTGACCTCGTGATCCGCCCGCCTCGGCCTCCCAAAGTGCTGGGATTACAGGCGTGAGCCACCGCGCCCGGCCCCTGACTTTTTAATGATCGCCATTCTAACTGGCATGAGATGGTATCTCATTGGGGAACATCTTAAAAGAAAAGCATATAATTGCCATTTGCACTTCCTCACCTCTTTATCCACTCTTCAGCCTACTGCAAATTGACTTTTGACCTCTTTAATCTACTGAAATGGCTCATGCAAAGAGACTTTTTATAAAAATCACATATAATTTAGATTTTTTATTTTCTGCATAAATCTCTTTAATTTTATGTGATAATACAGTGCATGATTATTTGTTGAGCCGTTAATTTTGTATTAGCCAAAGAGAAAGTTGAACCTGTCAGTTAAACTGGGTGGAATAAGAAATAATATTTTAAAATTAGCAGTAAATAGAAACTTGCACAATAAAAATATTTTTGTGTCACTTGAAATATTACCATTGGTTGCAAGTTTTAAAGATGTAAAAGGTGTCTTCTTTCACGTTCACTTTTTTTTTCAGTAGAGATACTGACTGCAGGCAGCTTGCCTCTTTTGTTTTTTTGGCTTATAGTCACAGTATTTGAGCACAAATTTAATGAAGCATTGTTTAATTGAGACTTCCCTGTAGTGACACAACAATATTGCAAATTTTTTTCATAGGCATTTCCTCACTTAATTCTCAAACAAGTTTTGTCTTTTTTTTTTCATCACGATATCTGTAGACAGGATCAAACAACTTTTGAAGGGTATTTGATTTCCCCCTATTTACAGATTTAAGAAACTGAAACTCAAAAGAGACAAATTGCCACATTCATCCTGCCACAGGGTGTGTGTGTGTGTGTGTGTGTGTGTGTGTGTGTGTGTGTGTGTGTGTGTGTTTTCTGACTCTAAACGTAGAGCAGTTTCTACTATGCCCCAGCCACTTGGATGTAGTATGTGTACAAAAGTGACAACACGATATAGTGATTCTTCAAAGTAGGTTTATTGTTCTAATTGACATTTTTCTTCAAACATTATAGGATTATACATTTCCAACAATTTTAAGCAATTTTGATGCTTATCAAAATGTTGTATATTTAATAAGTTTTTGCATTAAATGAGTTTAGGTTGGCAATAAGGAACCACCATATACTTTAATAGATACTATTTCATACCACAGTTGTGTTGTCTTTAATACAGAGATGAGTGTTTAATACTCTTTTGCAATGGGAAGAAGTTAAAGGAGTTTGAGTTAAAATAGTGAGAGAAATAATTGAATATGATTGTTACCTTAAATATAGCCACAGTCTGTTGATTTAAGCTTCAGTTAGTCCTAACATATTCAACATATTCATAACAAAATTTTTTGGGCATCTCTGGCTCATTTATTAATACCTATGAACCTGCAAAACACTGCTGTATTTGTAAGACTGATATGTATGGGATAATGTATGCGATAAGCAAAAATCTTAGTTTTCTAGCTAGCTTTTGAAATGAAAGTAATGGAAACATGACTACTCAGATTTAAAAAAACCAGGCTTTACCTTTCGTAGTTCAATTTATATTAGTACAAATTCTTCTCAAAGGTGGTCTCCTTGAGAAGGTGCACAGGCTACTGGAAATAGTGAAGACAGTAATAAGAAGAAGATTAACTGGCTTACTTACCAAGAAAATGAATTCAGGAAATTTGATTCTCGTAGAGATCTAGAACAAGCAAACAGGATGAACAACCACTTATTTTGGAATAGTGTATTTAAATTTGAGAAAGAGTGATCTTTTCTTTCTCCGAAGGGTTAAGAATGTGATCAAAAGCCTGGAGCTGAAAGAAGGATAATATGTATGGGAGACAGTGAGGACACTTGCCTGACCAGAGCAGGTGAACACCTATGTACAATAAAGCTAGATTGTAGTGGCTGCAGTGGGTGTTGAAATACATGTTGAATGCAACAAAGAGGTATTAAAATTTCTTGAATGTTAATAGATTGGCCTAATCCTGGGTTTTAGGCAGAGCATCCTACAACCTTAACAAATGGTGAATTTGGAAGCAACTAGACTCAGGGAGATCAGCTATACTGTTTTGTAGAATTTTGAATTTCATAAGCCAATAAAGCTCCTAGAAAATTCTTAAGGACTAACATATGGTTATCAATTATTTATCTTGAAGGAAAGAATATTTTAAAAACCCCAACAACAAAATATAAACAGTAAATTACCACATACTATCTTCACTGTTTCATACAGGAATGAAATTTTAACATCAAATCAGCAGGAAGGACATACTCCCAGAGTAAAGGACACAACACTAAGATGAATAAACTTGATGTTCTTAGAGACCTACCACATTGCCTCTGTTTTCTCACTTTCTCCTCTACCTGTAACTCTGTGATATAGCTGCACAGATACTCAGAATGATAGCTGAGATCCACTGAGCTAAGAGAATACCGTAATTACTCAGGCATAACATAATGAAAACCTGGGAAAGAAGAAGAAAGAATAAGAGAAGGAAGGGAGAGGATGGAAGAATGATAGCCCATGGCAACAGATTGAATATAGAAAGTAAAAGAAGAAAGTGAAAGCTACCTGCAAAAATTATACTATGATCTCATGTCGTTTTTTGTTTGTTTGTTTTGTTTTGTTTTGTTTTTTGAGACGGAGTCTCGCTCTGTCTCTCAGGCTGGAGTGCAGTGGCGTAATCTCGGCTCACTTCAAGCTCCACCTCCCAGGTTCATGCCATTCTCCTGCCTCAGCCTCCCGAGTAGCTGGGACTACAGGCGCCCGCCACCACGCCTGGCTAATTTTTTGTATTTTTAGTAGAGATGGGTTTTCACTGTGTCAGCCAGGATGCTTGTATTGTTTTTAATAGTCAGTATTGCACGTAACACTGCCCTAATTCATCTCTTAACAGAGTCTGTGGGTTGTCATATCAATTGATTGATGTCTTGCTGTCTTCTTTTTCAGGACCAGAAACCAGAAATGCAATTTGCCAAGCATATGAAGAATATGTTTTTACTGGTTTTTGATAACTTAAAATACTTCTTCATCTAAAACCAGGCTGATCTTGAGAAAGATTTTAAAGGAGATTAGAAAATTCACTTTAACAAACCACTATCATATAGTCACATCAATCTTTCGTAGATATTTTTGCAAACAATTACCAGAATTCTTAGAGTTTATTACAGATATTTTGTTCTTGACCTTTGACACTTGCCATTTAGCAATTGCATGGTTTTACTTTTGTGGTTGTAGAGTTTCTGTTTTTCTTTCATTAGAATGATGTAAGTAGAGGAATAGAAACTGTTATATTTGCAAAAAAAGAGCAAAGATGCTTTGTGACCTTGGGAATTATATTTGAAGGTTACTCACAAGAGAATACCTTGTTTAGGAAAGATGGTTAATTTTTTTCTTGCAAGCAGACTTTTTTACAAAATTAGTTAATGGCAAATGTGTTCTTTGCTGAATATTAATCTATAGTATCATTTAAGATGTTCTTAATTTATGTTTCTGGACTTTGTTTAAATGTCAAACTCTAGAAAGGGTAAACTAGCTCACCCCACTGCTAGGTAATAGCTAGTATTGTCTTCGCTGCAGGGCATTTTACAGTAAAATTTTGAAGTATATTGAAAAAAGTTACCAGTTCACTTACTATACAATAGCTTGGAATGTGAATGTCTGAAAGAAGAAAAATTCAATAAATGACTATGTAGTTATTTGGTGGAATTCACAACATAATAACAAGAAAAGGTTTTCAGCTTTGATCATAATGGAAATGAGTCATTTAATTTTACCCTCAGTCCTGGTACACAGTTTCAGCACCTGCTAAGAAGTCGGCTTGCATTTAAATGACTTAGGCAATTATTAAAAGCAAGTTTCAAGAAATAAATGGCATTTATATAAAAAGGAGACTGGGCTCAAACTGCTAGTGCTTTAAATTTCCATAAAAGCAAATTCAAGTTCAGAACAGGATTCAGGATTTAGTAACAATTCAAAGGTTTTCAATCCCTTAATCTCTTTGTGATAACTATATTCATCATGTAGCCATTTTTAAAAGGAAGAGAATAAAAATGTTAACATTGATGTCTACCAGCACTTGTGACTGAAAAATTGATTATATATGGTAAATACTTATGGCTCCAAATAGCTATTTGATTTATAATTTTGGTATTGAAATGTAATGAAATACTTCTATTGTATTTGCAATCGCTGGAAGAGTAGTATGAATCATACTTCAAATAAAAATGCTTCTTTTTATCATTTTTCCCAAATGTTTTGAGTGTAAGAATGCTGTTTCCTTTTCTCTCAGGTCTACATATCTTTACTCATCATCTCAAAGGTGATTATTTTGTAACTTGACCTTAGTCTTGCAAAGGAGCTCTATTTAGAGATTTAAATATAGTATTAACTTAGAAAATAAATTTCAACTATTCATACTGTTTTACCTAGAGTTATTACATTATTAAGAGTAAATATCTTATTAAACTCAATAGGGAGCCACAAAATAGATAAGATTTCTAAAGGAGGTAACTGAGTGTATATAAAATAACTGATGAAAAATAAAAGTTAAGAAAATGGGGCAGCTAAATCATCTGTCAACAGTATTTATATTGAAAAGACATTGTAAATATTAACTTCAGTTTTTCTAGCTTGCCATATGGAATTGCTATAATTGGAAGACAAAACAAAATGTGGGAAGTACCTGACATTTCACTTAAATTTATTTAAACAAAGTTTGTATATGTTCTGAGCCACCTACTATTTTTGAGGCACTATTCTAAGTGCTTATATTTCTTAGCTCACTTAATCTTCACAATATCATGAGGTGGAAACTTTTGTTTTTGACCATTTTACAGATAAGGAAACTCAAACAAGTACAATCTAGACCTCCAAATGGACACGTGCTGCTTAGTAGCTATGTGGCCTCTGTTCTGAGTCCTGTGACCATTTCAGAGTTATAGTTCATAATTCCTTCTCATGTCCTGTAGTCCTGTCACCAAGTGCTATAATTTCATCATTTCCTTGGATTGTTCTTTCTTGTTTTTGCCTGGGTTATCTCCATTTATGCCTGAATGACCATATATCATAGTCTCTTAGTTTAGTGAATTTCAGGCATCAGTCTGAGGACTTGAGTTGATTTGTGAAGAAATTTCAGCATCTGCTCTCTTAACCTAGTGATTGACTTCCGGGTTTCAAAAAATGGTTCCTACACAACAGCTATTATTATAGATTGCTGTAGGAACTACTCTTTGCAGCCATTTATTAGCACTCGCAGGGCCACTTTCTAATCTTCTGAAGGCTCTTTCTGCATCCATGCTCGTTCTCTCTATTTTGCTCTCATTATACAGCTGCCAGAACCGTTATTTTAGAATGTGATATAGTTTGGTTCTTTGTCCCCATCCAAATCTTATGTTGAATTGTAATCCCCAGTGCGGGAGGTGGGGTCTGGTGGGAGGTGTTTGGGTCCTGGGAGCAGACCCTTCATGGCTTGGTGCTGTCTCCATAACAGTGACTGAGTTCTTGCAAGAAAAAATACTTCTGTAAGGACATCTGCCCAGCAACTGCTGGTTCAACTGCCTGGGCTACTGTCACCCTTGTTATTGATCCTCGTAGCCAAAGAAAATTATCTCAAAACAATTGTGTAATCCCCTCATTTTTCCTTTAAAAAATTATTTTATCTCTGTCAGTATACACATAGTTTACTATGACATTCATATTCCCTTAGCAATGTCCTATTCCTGAATGAATATAATTTTATTTTAGAGAGACTCTCTTGGTTTGTAGCAATAATTTTTCAATATATGAGATTTATCTCGATATTGTATGGTTAATAGTGTTAGTTGCTGTTACTCTGTTCTAAAAAGTGAGGCTAAATTGTAGCAAAATGATATACCTTTTGTTTTGCAGAAATCTCCCAAAGAAAAGCCATAGTTCAGGTTAAAGCAGTTAAGCCTATGGCATTTCCTTTAGCAAAATCGCAATAAAAGATAAACTAGGTAGTTAAATAATCCTAAGGGTTAGATTACACGAGCAGTCCAACTTGTTTCAAGTAAGCATTGAATACATTCTTATTGAGTAAATAATCTGTTTCCCATTTGTAACTTTCTTCAGACTTACCCTCTATAATGACTCTTCAGTGAACAACTTTTTGCTAGAATGACTCTGGCAAAATGCTAATATTTTGGACAATGACTTGAAAAATTGTCTAACAACCTTTCCACCAAAAAACATAATATAAAAATGGGCATTTCAACATTGTGATTTCAGGCAATGACACATTTGACAATTTACTTGACATAACAATTTTTAGTCAGATCCAAATATATGCATCGCATTTGAATTGCCTTCCATGTATGGATGAATCCAAAGCATTTTGCTCTCTGTACATACCCTAAAGTACTTCTGCCTGCTATTCTCTTCATCTCTAAGCAAGAGATGAAGATGCAGTATCTTCTGGGAGTCTTCTGTCTGTTATGCCTCTATATACTTAATCTGTATTTTACCCAAAGGTGTTTTTCTGGGATAATTTTACTTTAAGTGCAAAATAATCATGAGCCCCCCAAGTTTGAAATATTAGTGAAAAAAATGTTTCAGAAATAAGGAAAATAAAGGAAGTACAACATTGCCATTTATATATAAGCTGTATTTGTTTACTCCCAAATTGCTGTTTATTACTAATAAAAACAGATTTTTATTCAATTGATATATTTTTCTAGCTGTGAAAATTGTTTGGGTATCTTGTGTTGAGATGAAACATATCATAATTTTTCCATTAAATTTAATGAAAACTTTTTTTTTTCATTTAAAATCTCTTTACTTAATGGTAGGGTTTTCAGGTACTAATGAAAGTCATTTAAGCAAGGGAGAGGTGTGCTTGAGACACTTAATGAGTACTAACGAAGCCCTGTGTGGAATATCCTGCAGTTTGAGAAGCCATCACTGTAAATTAGAAGTCTTGGCAATTTTGTTATTGTTTCTTACCTGACTTTTATCTAAGTTGAGTTCTTTTGCAATATAGCTGTCAAATTTTCGACTCTCCTTTTCTATCTGCCACTTCTCATGAGCTTTATTTAACAAGAGGAACAAGTTAGCAACATCACCTGACTTTGCTAACTTAACATTATTTATCACACCAATTCACTAATATTTATGAAATAATTTAGATGGTTGATATTCTTCTATTATTTCTCCATTTTAAATTATTAACCATAAATCTTTGTTTTCTATAATTGAACACATATTTAATCAGTAACAAGTTTTGCCTTGAAGCTATTTTCAATCTTATATCTTAACTGCTTATCATAGAAAAAAAAGACTAATTAATAAGCCAAGTATTCAACTTAAGTTAGAACAATGGAGCAAACATAAAGGAGTGAAAGAAGGAAACGGTAAAGAAAAGAGCAGAATTGGTGAATTAGAAAACAAATTATAGAGAACTTCAAAAAGCCAAAAGCTGATTATATTAAAAGATGAATTAAATAGACAGTCTTTGACAAGAATGATAACGATAAGCCATGTATAATTAATATTAGGAACAAAAGTGGGTAGAACTACAGATACGACAGAGATTTAAACATCATAAGAGAATAGCATAAACAAATATATGCTGGTAAACTAGTTAGAAAACATGGACACTTTTCTAGCAAATTGGTTTATGAAGATATAGAAAATCTAACTATAGTATAAATATATAAGTACAAATATGTAAAAAGAAACTGAATCAGTAGTTAAAAGTCTACACAACACAGACATACATACTATGAAATACACACACCATACTATATACACACACACACTATGATATACACACACACATACACTCATCCAGGCCCAGATGGTTTTACAGATGAGTTATAACAATCCTTCAAAAAACTAATAATCATAAAACTGGAAAAAAAGAAAAAAGTACAAATGATCTTTATGGAAACTTTTCTAAACTTTTCAAAATTTAATGCTCTCTAGGTCACTTTATGATGCTAATATACCTTGATTAAAAACAATGAAAAGACCTGGGTACAGTGGCTCAGACCTGTCATCCTAGAACTCTGGGAGGCCAAGGCAAGAGGATTTGAGGCCAGCTTGGGCAAAAAAGTGAGACTTCATCTCTACAAAAAATAAACATTAAAAAAATTGAAAAGAAATATATGAGAAAGAAATGTTGCAGGATAACACACTTCATGAACACGAAGACAAATATATAAATTTAATATTGGCAAAAATAAAGCAATATATAAATAAATCATAGACAATTATTTCCCCCAGAAATATAGGAATGGGTTAACAGAAAATCTTTGACTATAATTTATCACATTAACTGTACTGTTAAATTTAATTACCAGATTTTGATTGGCAGAAGTGTCAGACACAGACACTGCCTAGGTAAATCAAATACATCTAGAGAAGGAAGTCATCCTAAATTTGAGAAGTGTATGATTCAGCTTTAACCTTTGAGTTTAAATTTTAAACAATATAGGATTTTAAAAAAAATCTTTACAAAAGTGATACCTATTTTTCCTTTGTCTCAAACATACTATTCTTTACATTTCTTTTTGAGCCCTTCTAATAAGATAAATAATGATAGTAATCAGAATAAGAGCTAATATTTATCTATTGCTTTTGATAAAATTTGATGATAAACCTCTGAAGGAAACTAAGCTACAGTGTTGCATAGCACGACCTTCGCATATTCAGTCACAGCTAAAATGGTGTTAGAACAACATCACTTTAAACATAGTGAATTTACAGTTATACTTTCCATCAACTTAATAGTATGAATATACACTACTGTATATATCTATATAATCTTCATATTTTCCATAGTATTTCAATGAGTTGGTTCACTTAAGTATTTCTAATGGTTAGACATTATTTCCAAGTTTTGCTATCATAAATACTTGGCTATGACGCAGCTATTTTTAAAATTCTTTTGAACAATTTCCTCTTGGGATGTAGAGCCAGGAATAGGATTTCAAAATGTAAACATTTGAATATTTTAATATTTTGCCATACACTGCCAGATTTCTCTCTAAAAAGACTGCAATGATTTACAACGATCCCTTTTAAACGGACAAAATTCCAGAGCTATAAAAAAAGGACTGATGTTTAAATTTGTGGAAGTCTGTAGATAGTTGGCTATATGGCTCTGTAAGAAATTCTAAATGGGTAAAACTTATTTGCATGTTAATGCGATGATATGACTTTTTTTCTTAAAAATGATATGAACTGAGGATCAG
The DNA here is from genome assembly GCF_000001405.40 of Homo sapiens. NCBI lineage: Eukaryota > Metazoa > Chordata > Mammalia > Primates > Hominidae > Homo > Homo sapiens. The sequence goes on from NC_000002.12 coordinate 183,220,377, forward strand.
TTCTGAGCCCTTCTTTAATTTTTTTAATGTTTTATTTCTTTTATTAAGCAGGATTGATAATAGATGCATTTCATACATAGTTAATGAAAAGATGTCATATATAAATGCAAATGGCTTTTTACCTGTGGTGCGCCATGGATACAGGACAGCTTGTATTTATTACTGCATTTTCAACAGCCATATATTTTCTTTTTAATTGCCTTTTGCTAATATCATTTGTCCTAGAAAGACATTTTCATACAAAGTACCTAATGAAGCTCTGATTAATAAGCATTAAAAATCATTATGAAAACTTTCAAATAGGAAAAAATAGGACAAATAATTCAATAAGCTATACCCATCACTCGATTATGAGGATTTTGCTGTGTTTGCTGCATCTACCCCCTACTTCTTTGCTGATTTAGTTTAAGGCAAATTCCAAACCTAATATCAATTCTTCCCTGTAACTTCAGTATGCCTTTCTAAAGGGGAAAAAAAACCCAAAACTATTTTCCCACAGTGCTACTAGCACAATGAACATTAAAAATAATTATTTGCTATCACCTTATACACAGCTCAGAATTACCCTTCCCTAATTTTAAAAAGTCTCTTAGAAATGATTTTTCAGAATAAGGATTCAAAGAAGTTGACATGTTTGGAGGGGTCATACCTCGGAAGTCTCTTTTCACGTAAAGCACTCTTCTTGTTAGCTTTTTCTCCAGGCTATTGACTTGCTATAGATGTTCTATAAAATGCTCATGCTCTGGATTTGGCGCTTTTTTTTTTTTTTTTTTTTTTTTTTTTTGACAGAGTCTTGCTCTGTCACCCAGGCTGGAGTGCAATGGCAAGATCTCCGCTCACCGTAACCTCCGCCTTCCGGGTTCAAGCGATTCTCTTGCCTCAGCCTCCCAAGTAACTGGGTTTACAGGTGCGTGCCACCATGCCTGGCTAATTTTTTGTATTTTTAGTAGAGACGGGGTTTACACCATGTTGGTCAGGCTGGTCTCGAACTCCTGACCTCAGGTAATCCATCTTCCTCGGCCTCCCAAAGTGCTGGAATTACAGGGTTGAGCCACTGTGCCCCATCTGCTTTCTTTCGATGTTATAATTGTTCCTCCTTTCCACCTATTTCCTGTAAATGAAAGTTCTGGGAGTTTGATTAGATTCAGATTCAACTTCTTGGTCAGAATATTGCTTAGGTGGGTATACATGCTTTCTATTCATCACATTGGGAGGTACTATGCCAGGTGGCCCCACTAGTTGTAACACAAATTGATCAGTGATTTCTGGTGGTGACAGCCTGATGCCTCCCACTGAAAAGTTTGCCATCGACCTGTTACCTAATGGTTTTATATATTGATGGTTATTGCTTGAATCAATGCTTTCATTTGGGTTGCAAAATGGTCATATTCTAATATTACAATTCCTTTAACATTTATTAGTTGAAATTCCTCTGTAAAGAAAAACTTTCTCCTACGATGGAATGAAACTTTCATAAATATTTCAATCCAATGTAAGGGAAAACATAATATGATATTTTTTATTTCTATGGATGTGTCTTCGTTTATCCTCTGATTCAACATTTAGCCTTATGATGCTTTTACTGAAGACTTATTTGATCACCTGCACATTAATATTAAAATTTCAAACTGCATGAAAAGAGAATACTTAAAAGAGAATCCCATCTCGCCACTTGATACATTGTTTCCCTCCGATTCCATTTGTAGGACTGTTACATTCTTTTGCAAATCTATCATTTTTTCCCTCTTAGAGGCAAGGTGAAAGGCAATCATCCTTAGCTTATTTCCATAATGCAAATACAAAGGAATATGGAAACCAGATTAATTGATTAGATTAGTTCATCTCTCTCTCTCTTTTTTTTAATCCTACCAGCTGTCTCTTCACGGAGTGAAATATCCAACATCTTTGCACTGCTGCTCCTAAAGCAGCTCTGCTCACAGATGGTGGCTTGAAGGAATCCCATAGTTCATCATTAAATGTGGATGTCAAAATTTCTGAACATGCTGTGAGGAAATTGTTTAATTTTTTCTCTTCTTTGGTGCTAACTCAGTTAAAAAGAAAAACCAAGAAGAAGTGCTGTAGGTTAGTATCGATGGTATCTTAGAGAAATAAGTGTGAGAAAAATGACAGACCTCTGTTCAGAGAGCTGATTTTATGGTACCAGCCAGCATCATTATTCATCTCCTGCATCTCTAAAGTCAAACTTTGAAGAAAGTTTTTGGTATCATTATTGTCCTTAAAAACAGGTGAATGTTTGTGTGTTTGAAACTGTTGCAAGGTTGTCATGGATAAATGATATTTGAGATAAAATAATGTTCTACAAAATCTTTTAGTGCAGGGAAGCAAATTGCCAAAAGTCAAGTGAATGGCGATTTAAGAAGTTTAATGCTTCCAGATAAACAAAAGGCTTTCAAATAAATTTACATGGATATTAACTGAATTGCTTACTTTTGTGGCAACGTTTTGTTCTTTCTAATTCACTGGGCTTTAGACATACTGACCATTTGTGTGTCCTCAAATATGTAAGGCATTTCTTTGTCTCATAGCCTTTGTAGATGTTGTTTCCTCAGCTTGCAATAATTTTCTCCAAAGCATGTTTTTTTGGTCCCGTATTTATTCAGCTCAATGCCACCTCCTTAGAGAAACTTCACTTAGTCTCTTCTTGTCACTCTTTACTTCCTTATCCTGAATACTTATTGTTCTCCATGGTGCTTAACGTTCTTTACTTGTTTATTGTCGAATGCCTTTTCCAGAATGTGAGCTTCATGAGAACGTCTGCTGTATCCTCTGGAATATGGTCAGCACCGGGGTGAGTTAGAATTGACGAGTTAAGGGGTGCAGCACACCAGCATGGCACATGTATACATATGTAACTAAACTGCACATTGTGCACATGTACCCTAAAACTTAAAGTGTAATAATAATTTAAAAAAAAAAAAGAATTGGTTTTTGATTCTGGGATACAGAAAATACAACCAAGAGAGCCTTTAACTAGATAATCTTCACTGATACTTTAGAAGAATCTCAGTTGTCAGTTGTCACATGGTTAAGGAAAAGTCTCAAGACTTTTTCTCTATATCCGCACTGCCAGCTTTGGTGTGTTGTTCTTTGTCCTTATGTTTTTGACTCATGGATATAAGATGGCTGCCTCAGTTTCAGGCATTATGTTTACAAGTGAAGCAGAAAGAGAAGGTAAGGGGTGGTACTAGCAATATTTATCACTTCTATGAGGCAGCAGAGATGTTTCTCTAAACTCCTCAGCTGACTGGTACTTACCTCTCATTGAATAGAACCGTGTCATATAGCCACCCCTACTGGAAAGGAATTCTGGAAAGTGAATATTGAAAATATCTAAATTCTAAAGCAGAGGTGAGCCAAGGGGAAGGGGCATGTGAGTGGCCATTGGGATAGCTAGTATCTATCACAGTAGCCAAAAAAAAAAAAAATTGCTGAATTAATAAATGAATATTAATCTAACAGCAAGAGTTGTGTTAGCTCAAGAATGCAAGAGGCCAGGTGTGGTGGCTCACACCTGTAATCCCAGCACTTTGGGAGGCTGAGGCAAATGGATCACGTGAGGTCAGGAGTTCTAGACCAGCCTGGCCAACGAGGCTGAGGCAAGTGGATCACGTGAGGTCAGGAGTTCTAGACCAGCCTGGCCAACATGGCGAAGGCCCGTCTCTACTAAAAAAAAATGCAAAAATTAGCCGGGCTTGGTGGCACGTGCCTGTAATCCCAGCTACTCGGAGGCTGAGGTGGGGGAATCGCTTGAACTCAGGAGGGGAAGGTTGCAGTGCGCCAAGATCATGCCACTGCACTCCAGACTGGGCAACAGAGCAAGACTCTGTCTCAGAAAAACAAAATGCAAGAAACGGTGTAAATTTGGGTTTATCAATATTAACTCCTATAAGAAAAATCTTATCTTTGGAGAGTATAAGCACTAGGAATCAAATACAATGAAAAATTATAACAAATGAAATAGAATAATATAAAATAAAATTAATATAATAGAATGAAAATGATAGAAGCATGTGGTCATTGTTTGTAAAGGACAAAACTTCCTAGGGAGGTCATACAGCCTAGTGATTAAATAACTCAGCAGAAAATTTGGATTCTAGACCATCCATGTAAGTTACTTAATTTCTCTAAGGCTCAGTTTTTAAAATCCTTATTTTAAGATAATGAAGTATCTACTTCATTTAGGACTATAAAACTAAAATTAGAAAACATATGCAAAATAATATAGTCTACATCCTAGCACTTTACTGAAAAGAAGTCCAAAATTTATATATAAAACTAAGTGAAAAATTATGGGTATCCAGATTTACTTTTCATGATCCTAACTGTTCTTTAGAAAATTATATTCTGTTTGTTGTGATATTTTACCCTTTTAACATTTCAAATAAAGTCTAATCTTCTTTCTATGTTACTTTTATAACTTATTTTCAAAATGGCAAAAAATAGTTGAGTATATTATTGGGCAATCTTAAGGTTATTCTGCTTAAAAGAACAAATGGGTTAAAAAAAGAGGACAAATGGGTTTAATAGTTTAAATTATGAAATTTTCTGAGGCTAATGTAAAACTGTAGTTTGTCATTAGCTTTTTGTGGTCCATTAGTTACAGTGTTTAGAAGTTGAATGCCACCTGGGTAAGGACACATTAGATTATTTTCTGTGGGCATGTCTATCTGGATATAGTGCTGACTCTGTTATTCTTTCTTCTAATGTATTCAAGTTGGCATGGAAGTGAAAGACATAATTCTCATTACATGTGCTAAGCCAGGCAGCAAGGGAAACAAGCCTGACTAAATGCTTGGATTTCACCCAATGGTGCAGCAAACTAATGTTGTTTCTGAAAATGAAAACTGTGTCTGTATTTGTCAGCTGGAAATGTCCAGGGCTTTAGAGAAAGTATGCAATAAATGGAGGACACTGTTCACTAAGTTAACCCCTTTTCAGTCAAAGGCACTGAAATGAAGTTCTCTGTGAATAATCAAGGTGCTTTTTGTTAATAGCATGGAACATTTTGGTGATTTTATGCTGAAGGGCACTTTGTATGACATTTTCATTTTAACTTGGTGCCTTCCTTGGCAGCAGCAGCTAATAAAATTAGATTTTTAAAAAAGTGTCAGAAACTGTTCAAATAACTCTTATAGGTCAATTATGTTAGCTATAGTTAAAAAATTGGCACCTTCAATAGTTGTAGTTGTCTTTATTAATTACAAACATTGAACTTGATCTTTTTTGTGATTAAAAAATTATTTTACTGTATTTGTGTTGGAATTAATCTTAAATATTGGCCTGATTTTGAAATACTCACCTCACAGTTACACATTTTTATTTCCTTCTCTGCTTAAAAGCTTTCCCATCTTGTTTCTCATTATCTTGCCCTATACTCACTAAGCTTGTAGAATGCATGATTATTTATTGGAATATGTGATAGTTCAATGCCTATAATCAATAAGTACCTGTATTAGTTCATTCTCAAATCATTATAAAGATACTACCCAAGACTGGGTGATTTGTAAACAAAAGAGGTTTAATTGACTCACAGTTCTGCATGGCTTAAGAGGCCTCAGGAAACTTACAATCATGATGCAAGGTGAAGAAGAAGCAGGCACCTCTTCACAGAGCAGCAGAAGAGAGAATGGACAAGAGAGGAACTACCAAACACTTATAAAACCATCAGGTCTTGTGAGAACTCACTTACTATCAAGAGAACAGTATGGAAGAAACCGCCTCCATGATCAAAACACCTCCTTCCCTTGATATGTTGGGATTACAGGTCCTTCCCTTGACACATGATTACAATTTAAGATGAGACTTGGGTGGGAACACAGAGCCAAACCATATCAGTACCTATTAGAAAAGTAGCAGGTTTATTGAAGACATCCCCATGAAAACTTATCAGCCAAAATTCCTTATATTTTACAAATATGGAACAATGTCACAAATGAACTTTGTGTGAGAATAATTAATTGTGCATAAATGGTTAATACTGTCAATAGAATTAAGACTTTATTCAGGAAATTTGCATTTCATATTAATTTGATAAATCTTTTTTTCTTAATTTACTGAGAGAACACTGAAACTCTCTTTTCTAAATAAATTCTTCCAGAGATGTCATGCACAATTACTAACATAATGAGATTTCTATGTTCTTTGACATCTTCAAAAAGAGTCCCACATTTTTATTTTTATTTTTATTTTTTTGGACTATCATAAAGTGTTCATGGAATTACCATGACTGGTTGCCTATTCATTCTGGAAGCCTCAGAGTAACTGAATGAGTAAATGGTTTAAATGGCCCTAGTGGATAGTAATCTGTGCTTTGGGAATTTGCAAAAGCCAGGATCAACATAATTACAGCGTATCTTACTTTCAGTTGGACTCTTTGTTCTGAAGGGTTGTAGGAATTAATATGACTGGTTTTGTGTAGTATCTCCATTGCAGTTAGTATTCAGAAGTCTTTTACTAACTCTTCTAAAATTTATATTTTATGGTGGCATTTTGTAAGGACTCAGTTTGGGCATGGATTTAGTCATCCTTAATTTTAATCAACAAACACTTACTGAGCAGCTACACTCACCTATGGACTCGGTTGAACCTGGCATGCTGTTATTTCTCTCATCTATGCTTTGTCATAGTGAGTTGGTGAAAGGTTTATTTGGGAACTTGTGGTAAATTGTGCCTGGAGGGTGCTTTAGTCTCCTCTCCCCCAACTCCAGCTGATATGTGAAAGTCACAGGAGGGAAGAGGTATAAGTTATTATATATAGTATGAATATGAGTTTTGAGATTGAATAATTTTTCAGATTTGAAGATTTGGGAGTTGCATTTCCAATTCTCACTTACAATTTTGGGAAATATGCATGGGCATAGAATCTACTACATTTTAAGTACTCAAGAAAAAATGAAGCTTAAAGAATCAGAATGCCAGTATCCTTCACAACACTTTTCTATTTATAGGCTGGCTGCAGCAGCTCCTGGAAAGCTCTGTCCCACTACATTTCACTTCATGTATCTAATTACCTTAGGGAATCTCTCAAGGCTCTGCCGCAGGGACCCAATCATCTGCTTTGTGTGTCCTTTGCAGATTCCTTGCTTCATATGCAGTTCTTTTCCCTTCTGCAACCTAGTATTGTCCTCTATGTCCTGAGAGCACCTTCACATGGACTCAGATTTTAATTTTTCTGGCAACCCTGATCTAGGACAAAGACCTGGGTCTACTCCTTGTCCTCCTGGACCCATATAAGCCAAAAATAAGCCTACATTGATGGACATAAATTTGAAAATATATTTGTTCATACTTTTTATGACTAAGAAAATGACCAGTTCAAATATTAGTTCACTTGAAATAACTGCTCATGGGAGGAGATACTTTGGCTTTACTAATTTTTTTTTTTTTACTCATCATCTTACAGTTTTGAAGAGCTCAAAAAGAAACTTTAATTTAAGAAAAAACCTTATCTAAGATTTTAATATCTTCTCATCAATTCTGAAAAAATAATCCTTTAGAAAATGGACTACCTGTAGTTTTCCTGTGTGTGCCAAAATCCATTAAAATGATATCAGAAGTAAGTGTGAAGAGCCAAGTTTCCAAGGGCTTATTGTTGTGTAGTACGAGCCAAAACACAGCCTTACAAAATGAAACAGATTTATTTAGTAATAGAATGAACAGAACAATAGGAATCACAGCAAGAGATAAGTGGAGAACAGGTGGCAATGAACTACAATCAGTATGCCAAAAGAAGGTTGGTGATGTTACTAAATCACAGATATCAATCAATGTGGAAGCCATCATTGCATATCATACTCCTGGACAGGAAAAAACCCTTTTAAGACACTCTTTTTTAAAGGTTGTTGCTCACCTGCTGCACCCCCTCTGGCCACAAAATATTGATTGCAATTGTCAGCAGGGACTGCTAGGTTCGAGTACATTTTGTTTGTTCGTTTTATAATAGCTTTATTCAGATAAATTTACAAGCCATAAATTTTACCCACTCAAAATGTACAATTCAATCACTTTTAATATTCTCATAGAGTCCTGCAGCCATTAGCACAATCAATTTTAGAATGTTTTATCATTTATAAGCAAAATTCAATGTCCATAGAGCAGTCACTTCCCATTTCCCTTCAATTTTCCCACTCCTAGGCAACCGTTAATCTATTTTCTGTCTCTATAGATTTCCCTATTTTTGACTTTCCACATAAATGGTATCATAGAATATGTGGTCTTCTGGGACTGGCTTCTTTTACTTGACATAATGTTTTCAAGGTTCATACATGTTGTAGTATATGTCAGTACTTCATTCCTTTTTTTTTTTTTTTTTTTGACGGAGTCTCACTGTTTTTGTCCAGGCTGGAGTGCAGTGGCACGATCTTGGCTCACTGCGACCTCCGCCTCCCAGGTTCAAGTGATTCTCCTGCCTCAGCCTCCTGAATAGAGTAGCTGGGATGACAGGCGCCTGGCACCATGCCCAGCTAATTTTTTTTCTTTTTTTAATAGAGATGGGGTTTTGCCACATTGGCCAGGCTGGTCTTGAACTTCTGATCTCAGGTGATCTGGCCCACCTCGGCCTTCTAAAGTGTTGGGATTACAGGTGTGAGCCACTGTGCCCGGCCCTTCATTCCTTTTTATTGCCTAATAATAGTCTGTTGTATGAATATATCACATTTTAAAAGTCTATCAGTTGATGAAATTGGAGGTAAGTGCGGACTTTGTAATAAAATGGAAGCAACATTTTTAAAGTTGTGCTGCAGCTTGAACAGAGAGAGAGAGTAAAATGGTTGAGCAAAAGAGTGGAAAATTGAATCTGAGTTGTAAAAAGTCAATGTTTTTTTTAAAGAAAACAAATGTCTAATACTCAATTGTAAACTTTCTATAGTGTTGATATGCTGTCTCCCTTGCTCTTACCTCTGAATCTCTATTGAAGTCAGTCACTGACAGCTGACATGTAAATTTGTTGAGAGAATGAGGAAGAAATCCAGGAGATGGGGCCATGTTCCATGTTTGGGTTGACACCAGTGAACAAGACTTATAGGAATCACAGAAAGCAGAGAAGAGAACAAAATTTCAGAAGAAGTAGGAAGTTAATCAGAGAAAACCCAGAAAAGTCTTGAGACTTTATTACACTCATAGGGAAGGCACTGGAAATTCCACAAATCATTCACAAAAGTTTCAGTGGTATTTATGTACATCTTTAGATGCAGGGAAGCCCTAGTTGGCATGCGAAGACCACAATGAATGAATCACTACTGTGAAATATGACTAAAGCGTTTAAAAAACATTTATAAGTAAATCAGTTATTTAGGAAGAGTGGTTTTCTTTTTTCTTTCTTTCTTTCTTCTTCTTCTTTTTTTTTTTAAAATACATGATGACCTCAGTTGTCCCTGAGCATCCATTGGTCTGGGTTTGGTTTGGGAAGAATAAGAAAAAAATGCAAAAAGAACAAAGACAATATTTAACTGCCCATGTTCAAAATTAAGATTTTGCAGATTTTAAAAGCAGGCTGTTGTCTTGAGAAAGGATTTTTTTTTTTTTTATAAGACAGTCTTGCTCTGTCACCTAGACTGGAGTGCAGTGGCACAATCTTGGCTCACTGTAACCTCTGTCTCCCTGTCTCAAGCGATTCTTTCACCTCAGCCTCCTGAGTAGCTGGGACTACAGGTATGCAGCACCACTTCAGGCTAATTTTTGTATTTTTTGTAGAGGTGGGGTTTCATCATGTTGCCCAAGCTGGTCTCGAACTCCAGACCTCAAGCAATCTGCCCGCCTTGGACTCCCAAAGTGCTGGGGTTGCGGGAGTGAGCCACGATGCTCAGCCTCAGAAAGGATTTTCTAAATTCCAAATGAAATAGCTCTCTGTTCTGAGGCTGGCTTTTCATTTCATAATAGCTTGAAGCACTCCAAAAATACTAATTAGAATTTTTACTTTTGAGATTGCATCTCTGCGATGTATTATTTTTAATCCATCCAGGGTCACATTTTTCTATTTCATCCTGTTTTCCTTAGATGTCTGTTGAGTTTTTGTTGAACTATCATATCTTTAAAATGAGAATTTTTAAAGATTCAGGGAAATAGCTGGTATAGGATCTTTGCAGAAGGTCTGTCTTGAATGGCATGATTGACTATAGACTTCCCTTTAGGGTCCATCAGTGGAGATTGGTAGGCTATCCTGGAACTCCCACTATTTTTCAAGTAAGGTTTTACTGTGGGTGATATGAGATTGTATTAGTTTGCCAGGGCTGTCATTGCAAAATGTCACAGACTGGGTGGCTTAAACAACAAAAAATAATTTTCTCATAACTCTAGAGGCAGGAAGTCCATGACCAAGTTTTTGTCAGGGTTGCTTTCTTCTGAGGCCCCTGTCCTTGGCTTATAGATGGCCATCTTTTTCCTTTGTCTTCACATGTTTTTCCCTGTGTGCCTATCTGCCTCCTAAGCTCTTCTTGTAAAGAGGCCAACTATATCGGATTAGGTCCCACACAAATGGCTTCATTTTAACTTACCACTTTAGAGACCTCATCTGCAAACACTATAGGAACATTATGAGGTTTGGGGAGTTAGAAACTTAACATACGAATTTGAGGGAGGACAAAAGCCACCTATAACAGTGACCTCTAGGGAATTTTACTTCTTGGAGGAAGTCATTCTTGTTTTACTTTTCAGGTTCATTGAAGTATTTTGGAGTTCTTGCAGGCTTTCTCTAAGTCTTCAGCCAAACACTCACACTAATAGTCCTTACCAAATAAATATTTCACTGTTTTTTTCATTGAAAGTTCTTGGGGCTCCAGCTGGAGATGAACGCTACAGCCCTCCTGAATGTGCATCTGTTCCAACAGAATGAATGGCATTCTCTATTACAGCCTTCTCATATATGTAAGCTGAACTGTTTTAGTTTTGTAAGGCTGACTGTATAAATATAATTCTTTATCTACCAGAAGTTTGTGAAAATATCTGAATGTCATATCTGTAGAAGGCATCCTCTCTTGATTTCACAGTGCCATGAATTTATTCTTTTTTGTCTCCCTTCACTGTTATTTCAAAGGGATTTTGGAAGGGAGAAGAGGAATATGTATGCTTTGTATGGCATTATTGAACCAGAAGTTAACTATAAAATCTTAAAGTACTATATATCTGCATTTCTATATGTGGTTTATATTTATAAAGAAACATTGTATATGTTGTTTCTGAATCTTTTGAACAATCTTGACACTTAGATGTGACTTGCCTTGTCTTTTCTGAATCCTGGGCCTTTCATTTATACATTAGAGATGCCGCTGCTACTCCTTATATCACAGCTTTTTAAGATAAAAAGAGACCAAATATGTAATGCAACTATAGCACCTAGAACATAGTAGATGCTCTGAAAATATTCATTTGTTTTTGTCCAGTGCTAAGTCCTATAGCATTTTTAGGTCTCTGGCAACTATGCGCTTAGCATAGTTTACTATTACGGTGACTGCAATGCCCACTTACCCGCCCCCCCTTCCTGAAGTGCTTTTGTATATAGCTCCCTATGCCACCAGCTTATTTTTAGGTCACTGGTTTGTAAAATTCCTCTCATAAGGATTCTCTTACATTAAAAAATTATTAAAATCTTGAGATTAGTTTCTGCATGACACTGTTTAATAGAATGATATGCTTGAAGGATTTTTTTTCTCTATAGAGATACATCCCTTTCAGCTGATTAAATGTGTTATTTGTGGCCAATGAATATAGGAAAAAAATTCTCTCTTTTAATGTTGTTTCGTAGGCTAATGAGATTGATTCTTATAGTATTAATGTGCAGGGATTTTTCAAGATGGAGAATTGTCAACTCATTGTTAGTGCAATAAAGTTCTTACAATGCTCTTGTGCCATCTTTGTTTCATTGGCCTCTTTTGATACTTTACTCCTTTTGCTTTCTCATGTGTCTCATGGGCTTGGATTACAAGTCTGAATGTACAGTGTGGGTCTGGTGCATCAGATCTGTTTATGTGTCCCAGTTACTGATCTGCTGCAATATGTGGCTAGTGTTTCCAGACAGATTCGTAATCCTAGGTGAGGGAGAGATCTTCAATGTTCAGGGTCACTGCATTTCACAAGAATGGAGAATTAGATGAAAGCTCAAAACACATTATCTGTTAGATTTTAAAACCCTGAGAATTTCCAGGGAAACATAGTCCTTATGTATCTCATTTATTTACAAACTTTTCTTATCAAAATGTCATGTTAAGCTCAGAGGTGCCCAGGACATCAGTTAAACCTTTTAAAGCCTCCTCATTTGCTTGTGCAACAGGAAATCATGTTTTGGCAAGTAAAAGAGGCTCTGTCTGCCATCTAAGCCCTCTGTTTCTCAACATTTAGCTGTTTTTAATCATTCTCCAAATCAAGAGATTTAAGACACAAATTTGTTTTCATATTATTAAAAAAGGACTGATGTTACAGGCATATAAGTAAGAAAGGACATGGAGGGAGTAGTGGCACTACTATGTTGACTTGGAGATCCTCAGGGGAAAGAAGAAAAAAGTTTTTAAATTATGCTTTTTTTAAATGAAGAGGTTAATTAATTTATTTTTACTTATGTTCTGGCATACATGTGCAGAACATACAGGTTTGTTACATAGGTATACATGTGCCATGGTGGTTTGCTGCACCCATCAACCCATCATCTACATTAGGTATTTCTCCCAATGCGATCCCTCCCATTGCCCCCCAACCCTCAACAGGCCCCAGTGTGTGATGTTTCTTCCCCTCCCTGCGCCCATATGTTCTCATCGTTCAACTCCCACTTACGAGTGAGAACATGCAGTGTTTGGTTTTCTGCTCCTGTGTTAGTTTGCTGAGAATGATGGTTTCCAGCTTCATTCATGTCCCTGCAAAGGACATGAACTCATTCTTTTTTATGGCTGCATAGTATTCCATGGTATATATTCTCAATTTGTAGGGATGTGTCTCTTACTCCAGAGAAGGAGTCTCTTATTTAATAATTGTAAACAGTGCAGAAGGAACTTAAAAATCATGGTGAAAATTAAGAATAATATTTTATATTTCAGAGTTGGTTTGCAATAATGTGAATGCCCACCCACCCTTTGTGTTCTGTGATGTAAAATAAAAGAATTAATTATGGATTAAAAACTATCCTGTAGTCATTGGGATTGCTTCCAAAACAATACTCTCATATCCATTTCATCTTACTGCCAATTTAAGTAAAGAAAATCAGAATTAGAACTTCAGACAACTAATAGCTTTCAAATTTCTACTTTAAGTTTAGTCCACCCTTGATACCTTTCTTATATATAAATATTAAAAAAATTTTCAAATAGTGTGATAATACACGTGAATGAGTTAAATAAAACAAAAATTGTTTATATGGATTGAATTATGGAATAAACAAATATATATATAAACATTTTCAAATATAAAAATGTTAGACTGGTGCAAAGGTAATTGCGGGTTTTGCCATTACTTCTAATGGCAAAAGTAATAAATAATTAATAAATAAAGTTATAAATAAATAAAGTTTGTAAGTAAACTTTAAACCTAATAAAGTTCTTAATAGTGTTGATAACTATTGATCAGATGTTTCTTATAATACCTTGGAGTTTTGTCCTTAACTGAACCAGTTTTTGTGTATAATTGTATTCACAATTCACAAAAATGAGTGTTATTGGTAAATATTTCCACTTGTCTTGTCTTACAAAACACAGGCTCAGAAACTGCACCAGAAGTACTGATGTGATTTCAGTGAAGTAAGATATTTGATTTTGTTTCTTATCTTTGGTGAAAACTTACAGATTCCAGATCATATGGAATCCCATGCAAAATTCATTTGTCTGACTTGTGTCTTGTATCCTGGCCTTCCAGTTATACATGAGTTTGAATTTGGGCTCTGCTACGTGATACTGAGCATTAAGCAACCTCTCTGAGGCTGTTTCCTGAGGTGTATATATATAAAAGGAGGATAAGAACTATACGCCTCTAGAGTGTCTTGAAGATTAAATATCTCCAGTGTATACTGTATGGATGATGGAAAGGTCTCAACAAGTAGTAGCTGTTGTTATTTTTATTGTTGCTACCACTAACAATAACAATACATTTCTCTATTCAGAATGACTTCAATGGCTATGTTTGTCTTATCATTGAATGTACTTTGTTAGTTGAAAGCCATACTATTAATATTTCTTTGAGATGAAGGTATCAGTTTTGCCTTCCTTTAATTGTTGATTGTTCTTACTTTGTAGGTGATTTAAAAGATAGATTATTCTATGATGGAATCAGACTAAAGTGTGTCATTATGATGAATAGATTCAAATATAGATTGAAGGGTGACACCATTTTTAAGAATATCATTTTCACTTCTCTGGGTCATAACAAAAAGAAATGAGCACCAGTGTTCACTGTCAACGTTGCATGAGTTTCAAGAAATTAAGGCCCTTTCTGCCTCTTATAACCAAAGGATAATTTAAAAGAAAGGGTTAAAGTGAGAATTTTGCTTTTCATGAAAGTAAAGAAAAAGGAAAATCAAATAAAAAATTGCTGCCAAGGGAGAAAGAGAATTGGAGAACTGTGACAAAATCCCTCTGGGGTCCAGATTGTTGGTGCAATGAGAGAGGTTAAAGTGAATGGAACAATGGGAAATCAGTCATGAGCCTGAAGCTAATCATTTGGCTTCTGAATAAAACGGGGAAAGAACCAATATTTTAGAAAGAGAAGAAAGCCTACAGAGCTGGTGCAGAAGGAAGTTCCTTTATCCAAGAACAAAAAGGCAAAGAGAATTAATAAACGATTTACTGGAACCTGAGTGGTATCTGAGAAAGATTTACATATTCTAAAGAGGTTTCTTTTTCCAGATAGTTGAAACAATGTTATAAAATATTGCCTTTCAGAAAATATTTGATAACATATCTGCAATCTTTTGAACATATTCTTTGATTTCCTTCTTTTCCTTCACAATTATAAACACAGGAGGTCTCCTGTAAGTCTAAAGAGTGTCTGACTGAGGCTAAAATATGTTATTTTCAGTATACCTAGAGATTGCCGTTTTTCCCCCTCAATTGCATTAATAATACTAGAGTTGTGTGTGTGTTTTTATTTTCTCATTTCCCATACTGTACGAAAGGAAATGTAATACAATCTTTAAATGATTGCACAATTATAAAGAAACAGAACTATTGTTTGAAAATTTGCACCACCATTAGCTAACTTGAAATGTTCATCTAAATACTGCTAAAAAATCTGGATTTTATGTGTGGAAGGTGTTTTAGAGAGGTAAAAATATGATGTAAGGAATTATGGGTTGAATGAAAGTGAAGGAATCCCTTTAAGAGGATCCCTAATGATTTGTAAGATAACTTCCTACAAAATGCTTGAGTGAATTGCTTGCTAGATTTCAAAATCAGCATTGTTTGGCAGCCAATAAAGTGAAGTATTTCCAGTATATTAACATTTAAATGAAATAATTGGGAATGGATGGGTGGAGAAGAGATTTACGTATCTTACTAGGAAACTACAGAAAAAGTCAATGCTGACAATATCAGATTTAAAAACTATCTTATTGCTCAAAATGGAGTGCTCACCTATGTTTGATACTCAAATTTATGTCATCAACTTTAAGGACTATTTTTCTCCTTTTCATGAGACACAACAGTGGGCACACAAGAGCAAGAAGAAAGACAAAGGGAAACCCCAGTGAATTCACAGCTGCCTCATTTTGTGCCAGACATAATCATCAAATATTTGGTAAACTCACCGGGGGACAAGAAATGTAAGACTCTTAGTTGACAAAGTTTCCATTCAACTTACAAAAAAAAAAAGTTTACCAGTGGCTCCAAAAAGGTACAACTCAGTGTAAACAGAAAGAATAGGGTCCTAGGTTCCTGGATGGAACCAAGAGTCTGGTCCTGATGCTACATTTAACTCACTGTGAAAATTGGAGTATATCATATAATTTAATTGATCCTCAATTTCTCCACTTGCAAAGTAGGTTGAATGAGTTAATCTTGGTGATCTCTTTGAGTTCTAAAATTCTGTGATTCTGCGTTTCATGTTCAAAATGTTAGAAAGTGATTGTCATATGTATGTTATACATAAGGTGCTACAGCATTTCAGAAGAAGAAATTGCTTCTAACTTTGAATTTCATGGAAATTCATAGGTATGAATTTCACATGTGGAAATTAGGGGAAATGCATTTGGATCAGAGGGAACTGCAAAGATATGAAGATATATGATGAAGCCTTTACAAAGAACAAGTGATTAAACTTTTTAAAAGCTTTTCTAATTTTTCTTTTCCAAAGTAGCCTTTATAAGAAACACATCTCTGTGATTAAAAAGTCTTAAGTAAGTGGGAGTCAAATATTAAGTTACAGAGAGATTTTATTTCTGATATCCAAAAAATTATAAGCCCATCGAAGAAAATTTGCACAATACAACAATTATAAGAAAATAAAACCATTGCAATTCCAACATGCAGAGATAATTACTGTTAATATTTTGATTTTGGTGTACTTCCTTCTAACTTTCATTTTACACATAAATATACACACATTCATACTATGATGCTCCTATTGTACATATTATTTTATGGTCTGTTTTAGAATTTAATGTGTCAAACAGGATTGATCCAGGCTGGGTGCAGTGACTCACACCTGTAATTCCAGCACTTTGGGAGGCTGAGGCAGGCGGATTGCTTAAGCCCAGGAGTTTGAGACCAGCCTGGGCAATATAGTGAGACCTTGTCTCTATTTTATTTAATAAAAATAAGAAACCCAAAAAATAAAAAAACAGGATTGATCTGACCTGGCTCCTTTTGGGGAACATTTGATTCTATGCTCCCCAGTCTGTTTTGTCAGGAATTAGTTTTGTTCAAATGGTACTTTAAATGGTCACAAGAGGAAGTAGTTGCTAAGGTTGGGTCATGATAGGAATATTTGTTAGGATATGATAAGTAATTTTTTCAGTGGTAGGGGTGGCATTTGTTCCCTTGGCATTAAATTCTAGGTTCCTGGAGGGCAAGGATGAGTCTTTGGTACCACCAGGGCACAGTATTGGACTTGACATGGAGTAAATGCTCATGCTTGTTGAACTACACTTTTAGGATGAATAATTCTTTTAGAGGAAGGCCAAATGCAGAAAATTTTTCTTGCTGGGAGCTAGAGAAAACTTCTGTGTATTTGGAAATTCCTGATCAAAGGCACCATTTTTCTACTTGCTAGTGTTTTCCTGTGTGTGGTAATGTATAATTATCACTAGACGCATGTATGGTGATTTCAGCTGAGGCATGGATAAAATAGGACAAATTAATAGAAATGTATTTATTTTAATGTGTATTAGTAAAAATAATATAACTAACACATCAGAGTTTTGATCCCAAGAATATTACTGTATAGAAAAAGGCCAAATTCAATGTAAAGAAAAAGATTAAGTAAATAATGAGACAAATGTTATTAGGATACATCAAACACTGTAGAAGTTGAACCTGAATGACAAAGGTTTGAAAACACAACTTTGTCAGATTTCCTGGAATGGGCAAGGGGTGTCAGTACCTTTTCTACCTTTTTTCTTACTTCCTTTCATGTAGAAGCAAGTACTTAATTTCTTTTTAAAAATTAATTTTTATTTTTAAATTGTTAGTTGATGAAATTATATATATATATATTTATGGTGTACAACATAATGTTTTGTGGTTTTTTTTGAGACAAGATCTTGCTTTGTTACCCAGCGCTGGAATACAGTGAGGCAAATACTGTTCAATGCAGCCTTGACCTTCTGGGCTCAAGTGATCCTTCCATCTCAGCCTCCCAAGTAGCTAGGGCTACAGGCATGCACCACCATGCCTGGCTAATTTTTAATTTTTTATGTAGAGACAGGGTTTCTCCATGTTGCACAGACTGGTCTTGAACTCCTAGCGCAAGTGATCCACCTGCCTCGGCCTCCCAACGTGCTGGGATTATAGGCATGAGCCACCACGCACAGCTCAGAATGTTTTAATATATGTGTACATTGTGGAATGGATAAAAGAAGCTAATTAACAGCTAATTACTTCACATACGTAACCTTGTTTTGTGGTGGGAACATTTAAAATCTATTCTCTTGACATTTTCAAGTATACCATACGTTGTTATTAACTATTGTTACCATGTTGTACAATATATCTCCTGAATTTATTCCTCCTGTCTAACTGAAATTTTTAAACCTTTGACCAAAATCTCTTCAATCCGCACTCCCCATTCCCATTCCCTGTTTTTTTGTTAAAAATTTTTTAAACAACATATAACAGCGCTATAGCTTCTTATTTAGGCTTTGCATTTAATTAGCTGTTAGACTATTCTCTGCTTCTATGACTTAGGCTTTTTCAGATTCCACATTTAAATAAGATAATGCATTAGTTGTCTTTTGACTGGTTTATTTCACTCAATATAATGTCCTCTAGGTCCATCCATATTGTCTTAAATGGCAGGGTTTCCTTCCTTTTAAAGGCTGAATAGTATTCCATTGTGTTTCTTTTATCCATTGATTCACTGATGGACAGTTAGTTTGATTAGATATCTTGGCTATTGTGAATAATGCTGCAATGAACATGGGAGTGCAAACATCTCTTTGACATACTGATTTTTATCTCCTTAGGATGTATACCCAATAGTGAGCATGCCGGATCATATGGTAGTTCTGTTTTTAATTTTTTGAGGAATCTCTATACTGTTTTCCATAATGACTCTATTAATTTACATTTCTACCAAGTGGCAAGTACTTAGTTTCTTTATGTAGATTATTCCAGTTTGAAAATATTCTTAGCTGGGCTCGGTGGCGGGCGCCTGTGGTCCCAGCTACTCGGGAGGCTGAGGCAGGAGAAGGGCGTGAACCCGGGAGGCGGAGCCTGCAGTGAACCGAGATCGCACCACTGCACTCCAGCCTGGGCGACAGAGCGAGACTCCGTCTCAAAAAAAAAAAAAAAAAAAAAAAAAAGAAAAAAGAAAAAGAAAAAGAGAAAGAAAATATTCTTTAAATTTCCAGCTGCTTTCACTAATGTTCGGCAGATCTGAGGGCTCTTTTTCATTCTACTTGGAGGACTCAACTAGTTATTCTCAACATCTTTTCAAGCACCTTTTGCTGTTCCTTTGTTTTTATTTGTTAATCATGATACTGTAATTGTATTTGCCTTCCAATCAAGAATTGTCAAGTGTTCTATGGGAAAGTTATTCCAGTCACTGAAAAATTTTTTAACAACATATAACAGAGCTATAGCTTATTTGGGCTTTGCATTTAATTGACTGTTAGACTGGACATAGGCAGTTCTGCTATTGGTAAAACGAAACAGGTAATCTCTCTAGAGTTGCTTCTAGCTCTAAGAAAACCTCTCCCAAAACAAAAAACAAACTGTGTTCCTCGATTTCTGATCTCTGTGTTCAAATATGTTATGAGATTTAAAGTTGTGCTGCACTGTACTTTATGGTCAGCCTCACTAAGCTACTTAGCGTTCTCAGAAGTCACTATGTTCTATGCAACTTCAGTTTGCTTCATTTCCCTCAGTTTGTGAATATTAGACTGAACTCCCATAAAGAGAAAGCATTGGTTTTACACGTGAGATATTAAATAAGCATGCATAATCACCCTGTCCATTCTTTGGTATGAGAGGCTCACTCTTAAACTCTGATATAAATAGTTGTCGGGGTTATAAGCACCTCCCAATGTCTATACTTACAGCCCTGAATAAAATGTGGATATGTGATTTTTTGTGTTATTCAGTGTGACTTTTTGTGTTCAGAGAAGACTATTCAGAGTTTACTTTTAGTTTAAAAAATTAGTAATACCTGGTTCTTAGCCTCTTAAGTTTAGCTTCCATATCTTATTATTTTGTTTATAAGTCTAGAAAAGGTTACATATATTTAAAGACCCTTTGAATAATATTTAGTTCAATTTAAACATATTTATTTCCAAGTGTTTTTATATATTTGATATACTTTATTTCCTTTAAAAATAATTCTTTGACTTAATAAAGTCTTCCAAAGCACTGTTTTTTAAAAACTCTCTAATTAAACTTAAAAATATGGTAAACATATATGTTCAATGCTTCGTATAAAGCATTGACTGAAAATTATTAATCTAAGTCAATCATTCAGTTATACATTTTAAATTAGAATCATGAGGCTGTCACTCTAATAGGCCATTTTTAAACAAGCACAGAAAATGGCAAATATGTTTAGACTACTTTCT
Source organism: Homo sapiens (assembly GCF_000001405.40). Classification (NCBI taxonomy): domain Eukaryota; kingdom Metazoa; phylum Chordata; class Mammalia; order Primates; family Hominidae; genus Homo; species Homo sapiens. The sequence continues at coordinate 183,240,574 of NC_000002.12, forward strand.
AACATAAAAATATTATTATTATGGTTTTGATTTTCTTAAATACCTTTCTATACTTTTAAATCTTCTTGGAGCTGAAAAATGTGAACTCCTTAAGTCAGGTGGTTATCACCCCAGTTAACTGAGTGTCTCAGTCAATTTGGGGCTGCAGTAACAAACTATCATAGACTAGGTGGCTTAAACAACAGAATTTTATTTCTCACAGTTCTGGAAGTCTGCAAAGGTCAAAATCAAGTTGCTGTCAGATTTAGGTGTTTGGTCAGGGGCCACATTCTGGTTCATGTTCTCACATGAAGAAAAGGATGAGGGTGCTCTCTGGGATCTGTTTTATAAGGCACTAATTGTATGGCTCTGGTCTCATGACCTAATCACCTCCCTGAAGCCTTACCTTATAATATCATCACATCGGAAGTTAGGATTTCAACATATAATCTTGGGAGACACGAACATTTAGTTCATAGCATTGAATTTATTTATGACTAGATACTTGTGTCTGCTCACTGTCCAGATTCTTGTTGGAGACGCTGAGGGGCACAGTGAACCACATTTGTAGTTTCTGTATCAATAATTCCAACAGGTGATCACAGAGCCCACCACCCTGGATTTGAGTTGTTTGAGTTTTATACATTGCTTAATTCTTTGGTGTGTTAGAGAAATCTACAAACTCTAATCAGGATGATTACTTGTATATATCATTTCAACTCTAAAGACTTTTGAACTTAATGAAATTCTAAGGTATAAAATGTTTTTCCAAGTAAATTTTAAGGTGTTTGAACCTGATGAAAGCTTAGAATCTCCATTTTCTTTTTAATCTCCTTATAAATATTAAAATGATATCTGATTGACATTGGATATTTCTCAGCTTTCGTTTCACTTCCGGACCCGACTTAAGAGGTCTACTGCTAGAAAAGAAAGCCCAAGCCTGAGTTTCACAGACCCTTCCCTGACTTAGTTAAATGGCCTTTAGTAGGTCTGAGTAGTAGCATTGATCAAACATGATTGATACTGGATACTGAGTTCATTATAATCAACTAGGAATCCAAAGACCTTTAATTCTTTTCTGAGTATAGTATAACATTCAGACCAGGCTTAGAATAAATCCTGAGAATAAGAGAAAAAGGAAATGGGCTGAAAGAGACTCCGGGCTAAAAAGATCTTTCCTCCGTTTAAACTGAGGCTCCGCAGAACCACATTGCCTAGTTGAACTATTAGTCCTGCACCAGGGTAATTAGGCACTTGGTTTCCCCATTGCTTCTTCAGAATACATCAATTAGAAAAAAACAAGGGGCATCAAAATAATACGCAATTATGGATATTTCTCAGGTTCTTCTTGATGCTTAATAAGTGACAAATAAGATTATAAAGCTTTATTTTGCTCTAACCATAATTGGCTTTTATTATACACTAAGATATTGCTTTGGGGCAATATCTTAATTATTTTTTGATAACAGCATTGAGGTTTTCATTTATTTTTACATCCTTACATGTGGTTGGAGGATGGCTAGTATGGGTTGAGATTTTGTCTGAGAATGTGGACTAACCTGAAGGAGACATTCAGTCTTGGTCATATTAGCATATTAGCATCAGGGTCTACACAGCCTGTGGCTGTCTCTCTAATGCAACTAGTTGCTGGTCCATCTGGACATATATGTTTTTCTAGATTGATATTTCTTTTTCTTTCCTACACTTTTCTATTATTTATTTATTTTTTTTTGAGAAAGTGTCTTGCTCTGCCACCCATGCTGGAGTGCAGTGGCATGATCTCGGCTTACTGCAGCCAATCCCTCCTGGATTCAAGCAATCCTCCCACCTCAAGTTCCCCAGTAACTGGGACTGCAGGTGCATGCCACCATGCTAGTTAATTTTTGTATATATATATATATATATATATATTTTTTTTTTTTTGGCAGAGACAGGTTTTCACCGTGTTGCCCAGGCTGGTCTTGAACTCCTGGGCTCGGGCTCAAGAGATTGGCCCACTTTGGCTTCCCAAAGTGCTGGGATTTCAGGCTTTCTATTCTTTATTTTGTGTCCTTACATTCCTTCGCTTCTTTTAGGTTGAAAAGAAATTATTTTCTGAAGTCAGCTTGAAAAATTTGTCTTTTTAAATTTGGGACTAATTTATACCCCACTCCATCTCATCCTTTACCCTTAAGAAACAACATTCTCTGTATTTTACTTAATAATTTTGATGTCTTTGATTTACATTTTATAGGCACAGGAAAAATAGGACAAGTCTAATTAAAACCTCAACTGCTGCATACGCATTTCCAGGTTTCCTCTTAATGTGGATAACATTTTGTTCTAATGAAAGGTAAGGCTTCATTTCAAGGGCACTGTCTGGGCGATGCAGATTCTTGGATTCCTCTGTGTTTCATTGAAACTCATAATGTGCCTGAATGACTAAAGGGAGCACGGATGTTTTTATATTCCTCAATGGATGTCTGTTGTAATCAAGTTCAAGTAGCAAACAAAGCTCAATGTGAATGAACACAAGGGTGTCATCTATCAGTGGCATCTCCATATTTGAGTTATTATGCCATTCAAAATAAAGGCAACAGACAGACTCTGTTGTAAGTGAACACTGAATCTCTCAGTTTAGTTCGTTCAGATATTGTTGATGTGTCATTAACATGAGAGTGACCTGGAAGAGAGCCAGATTCTCTGCTCTATCTAAAAATGGATGACTGTACCGCTGAGAATACTGTGAAGCCAATGTAGAAAATCACTTCTTTTGGAAAGGTGCAGTCTTTAGGCTGAAAAATTCTCAATCTAGACATTAGACTGTAAATGACTGAGGACTTATTTGCAGAGCATTCTTGGCTAAAGGACTAATATTCTTTCCTTGATGTCTTTAAACAAATGTTATTCGGCTTGCTTTGTTTTTTCTGGACACATTGTTACCGACATTAAAAAGAAGGTAACATAAACTTTTTGCCAATTGTTTTTTCCTAGAGGAGATTCTTAGTTGTACAAAAATTAACCTATTCAAATAGCTCAACTGAAGGGGGGATGGTATTTACTGAAAAATGCTAAGATCTTATGAATCTGAGAAGAGCAAATGAAGATTTGGGCTTTTATAACTGAAGTCAAGAACTGAGTTTCCTTGCTCCTTCTTTTTCAGTGTTTTCTCCATTCTTCTTTCTCACAGTTAGTTTCCTGAGTATATTCCTCTTGCACAGAAGGCTATACGGCCATCTCAACATTGACGATACATGATCTTTTAGCTTAAATCCTTGTGTCAGATGGACTCAGACTTCCAGTGCCTCAATTCTAAAATCCTTACAGATAAATCTTATTAATTGTTAGCAATATGCAGCTGAGCTTAGCTCAGGAGCCCCTCCCTGACTACTCTGATGTGTTCAAGGATTAACAAGTATGGTCATGCAGACTTGAATGAGGTAGTCTCTATTGAAGTAGTTGTGGTTTGAGTAGACATTCATACTTGTGTCTATTACAGTCCCTATGCTGTGTCTAAATCCATGGCCTTAAAACTTTTTCCACCACAACCCAGAGGAATAAATACGTTTTTAAATCCCATTCCAGCATTCATCTATGTATAAATTCTTGAAACAGTACTTTCCCTTATTACATGTGATACACTCTCATATTTCCTTTTTTTATTTATTTCTATCTCAATTCATTCCATTAAATAAAAGCTTGGTGGTCTTGGCTAACATAATTGATTTCATGACTCACTAATGATTTGCAACTTTAGTTTCAAAAGCACTGGTCTTCATATTGTTTTCCTTTGTAGCTCTTATAATTACAGTTGGCACTTCTGTTATATTTTTGTAGTTTTCTTTGTAGCAGATATCACAATTATAATAGCCTCCCTTGTTAAACTGTAAACCACATTAAAGCAGAGACTGTGTCTGTCTTGTTTACTTCTGTATTCCCAGCACCTAACAGAGTTCCTGGCACACAGTAGATGCTCAATTGAGTAAATATTGATGAATGAGTACAAGAAGACCCAAACAGATGGCACCCTTAATGGCTCACCTGGTTCTTTGCAAGGAGGAGATTCAGATACATATAAAATTCGCTAATTTGGTATAGCCCTGCTGATAGAGAAAGCAGATGGAAAGGCCCAGCAGGAGGCTCAGTGGAGCAAGCAGGCCAGGCCAGAGAGCTAGGTTCCCACATAGTTACCGACAGCTGAGTGAAATTCTTTCACCAGGGAAAATTGACTGTTTTAAGGGAAGGATCTGTGTCAGGGCTGAGCTCAGGTCTCTTGATTCTTTATCTAAAATGTATTCCACCACACTACAATGACTTTTTGGTTAGATTTCCAAAATTTCATTTTTGGTATTTTAATTTTTCCCTTTTTAGCTCATAATAAAGAAAGATGGAGAAAGAACCACACTTTTTTTTTTTTTTGACATAAAACACCATGGTACCTGTTTTCCAATGAGATGAAGACATCTGGTTAGGGAGATTAATAGCACACAGAGCTCTCTTCCCTCTCCTCTTGCTATCCTTATCCTATTTAGTGACTGACTCCCATCCCATCAAGATTCATTTAACTAACTTCTGCAATATATGACTCCTACTTTTCTGTAACAGTTATTTCAAAAACTACTTTTCATAAGTGGATATTTTAAATGGTGTCACCTACTTTCTTTTCCCATATGCACAGATTTTGAATCTATAGGACAATTTAATCATTATTATGGTTTCATCTATAGATTTACTGAATAATCTATAGTTACAAAGCTGAATTTATATAAAAAGCAATTCACAGATTGATAAACTTTCTATATAGCTTCCTGGTGTCCTCAAAGCAGGGCTGAGAGGACTATTACTTTAACGCTCAATCAGTTTCATCTGTTCTAAATATTAATTTATAAGGTGAGAATACTCCACTTCTCAAAATTAGCCAACTTAATATTGAATTAAATGGTCAAAGTACAATTCAATTTATTATAACTGGGTATGATATGTAAATTTATCATCCACACATATTCATAACTCTTTTGGGAGGGGAGAATTTATATGTCAGGCCAGTGTTTCTCAACCCTTTTTAATAGACTGTGTAAGCTTGCAGGGTACAGTAGACAGACTTCTACTTCTACTTCTACAGTAGACTGACTTCAGACAGTAGGGAAGCTTCCTTCTGTTGTAGATGACCATTCCAGCTTTAGTCAAATAAATATGGGAATACCTGAAGCAGGTATAAATTTTGTCCACAGTACTTGAATTAATGCATTCATAGCTTTTGGGGGGCAATCCTTTGCTCTTCAGTCCAATCCCATTTGATTCCTTAAAGAGAGTAGCTCTATACATTTTGTACTAAGCTCAGAGTGGGAATTTTTGCTAGGGCTGAAACTCTTGGCCTCTTGTGTTACATCTTCTCAGAACCTTCTCAGAAGGTTCACTTTCGTCTAAGGTTCTGCTAATTCTCCTGGCACTCTGGGAGCACGGTTCTGGTTTCTGCTCTATGAGTGACCCATAAACTCTGCCAATTTATTCTAAGTCCCACTGAGAAAAATTCTTAAAGAGTTACTATTTGTCATTTAGGATATATTTTACATAAAGAGTAAATAAATATACATGTATGTACACACATATGTGTATATATATGTATAATGAATATGTATACACGCATATATATGTTATACTACGCTTTCTCTTCCTATAAATATATACTCTATATGTAGTCTAAAAATGCTTTGTTATTGAAGATCTGTTTAGCTAGTAAGTTTCTTTTCATTCATGAAAAAGACAAAATATATGTTTCTAGAGGTTATTTAGTAATTACATAACATAAATTGGATATAGAAGTTATATAAAGTTTAATCTCTAATACTGTAAAAATATCTCTTGAGGGTATTGTGGTCTTGTTTTCAAAGAGTTATATTTTAGGGATACATACTAATATGTTTACAGAGAAAATAATCTGACGTTTGGGACTGGTTCAAAAACGATCTGGGCAAGAGGAGGGAAGTTATAGATGAAACAAACTTGATTATGTTGATAATAATCTTAATTTTTCTGTATACATTTGAAATTTTCCTAATTAAAAAATACCCATATGTTTGAAACACATATACTTCTGTCCTCTGACCCCACACTCATAGGGAAAATTGGTGGAAATAAAATGCAGATCTCCTGCAGTGTAAACGTGTGACCCTGAAGCCCTAAGTTGTCAAAACTTCCAATTGCTCAGTGGCACTAAAGTGCATGCATTTATTTCCAGGAGTATTTAGCCCATGTTTCTATTCATTTCCTCATCATTAAATCTCAGTTTCAATAGCACAGGGTGCCACAAGCTAAGAATCAGGTGAAACTTCCTATGAAAATAAATGCAGAAATTCCCAATTGTGTCTATCCTAATAAAAGCAAAAGGAACAACTAATTACCTATCTTATTTTAGAAAATAAAGTCATTGACAAGGTCATAGCCCTGCTATCCAACCTGACTGTGGATTATTCTGAGTACAAAGCAAAGCTAGTTTTTTTTTTTCTTGCCAGCGAACTCTACAAGGATATACCTATACTGATCTTTCTCAGGTTATTTTGTAATCACACTAAACTTGACTCCATGGCACCTAATTATTCCTTCAGGAACCCCTCCTTCCCTGCCACTGACCATGTATAGAAATCTGAAAACATTTATAAAATACAGTTGAATATATATTTTTTGGTAATAAAGATTTTATATTTGAAGACATGTTTACTAAAAGGTATTTCATTTATAAAAATTTAAACTTTCCTTAGTTTATATTTGACATTATTAGAAAATCAGTTCTCCATGTGGAACCTTTCATCTAAAATGTCGCAGGAACTGGGAATGGAAAAAAGGAAACTTTACACATTCTTTCACATCTTGAGTTTTTCACATGCTTTTTCTTTGCCTGAAATCTCTTCCCCATCTGTCCCTTGCCAGGTGGTAAATTCTTGTCCATCCTTCAGGGGCCAGCTCAGCTCAAGTCACTTCTTGCCTGATGTCTTTCTCAGTCTGTAAAGGATGCGACAAGGGCCTTTGCACACAGTATATCTCCACTATTGTTCTTACCACATTGTGCTGTAATAGCTGTTTTTGTATTTTTTCCCTATTAGATTACAAGCTCCTGCCAAGAAGACTTTAGTAACATTTATTAAATTGTTGGGTTGAATTGTGTATTCAAAGAACTGTTGAAATAATGGAGAGATTTCAAATAATAAATACATAAAAGCAAGAAAATGTCAGGGTTGAGGAAATGTTAACTGAAAAAATTACCTTTCCCCCAAAGTAATGGCTAAATATAACTTGCTTTTTGAGAAAGATTAAATCACCTTGAAAATAATCATTGACAAGAACATTTGTCCTACATTGTCACATCCAGTTGGAAAACTGCATTTAATAGTTTACATTCAATATAAAACTTGGACTCCTTCAAAAGATAAGTTGATTTTCCTCTTTACAACAAGATACAAGTTACTTTAGTACTTCATAATAGAATAGAAAAATGATTCAGGTTCACAACATGAAAAATACACTAGGAAAGAAAAAGATTTTACAGATAAGCTCCAGGTCTACAGTAAGCCAGAGCCTCACAAGAAGCTATTACTGTGTAAAGAGTAATGTGCTCCCTGTATTGAATGCAGCACAGTTGATGCGTTCCAGTGGCATCATAAACAACAAAACCCAAGTTCAAATCATTCACCTGAACTTGTAATTGAATTTTTCAAGATGTGATTTAGTGTAGTAGATGGAACAAGGATAAAATATTTCAAATGCAACAGTGATTGAACAAGTTAGAAAAATTAGTAGGGAGTGAATATTAATACGGGGTAGTGTTCAGACATCTTGAGATAGGAAAGCTCCTCACTCACCTAATTTAACAGTGAAAGAGAAAATAATACCAGGCTGAGTAAGAGGACTAGTGAGCAAGGAGAATATAGGACAATATTTTACCTTTGGAATGATAAACTTAGTGAAGTCGCTGAAAGCTGTGGTATGGATGTATCTTTTTTAAGAGTGCTGGATTAAAACTTAGGAAATATAACTATAAATCTCAGCTCATAGGTAGGACTCAACAGGCCTCCAGTTCCAAATTTGGAGACTCTCTTCTTTTTATTAAAGTGTATTCAAATGTACTACATTACTCAGAATTTGGCTGGCTAAAAGATTTATAAATTTGATGAGTTGCGAACTTCTTTTACCAAAATATGAGCTCCAAATGCTGTGAGCCTGGCAATTCTGTTTGTGTGAATGGGCTTTGGATTTCCCAACATTAAAGTTTAGTATTTATTGTTGGGTCTGCAGTGTATGATGAGAAATACTGACATGAATTTCACTGTTTTGATAATGCCAGCACCAGGGCAGAAACACTTGGTAGGACTGAGATGGCAACTGATTCTACAATATTGAGTGGCTTTCTAGTGAACCCTCAAGGCTTTGAATGGAAGTGCACTGATGTTTTTCATTGTTTGCTGGATGTAGCCTTTTTCCTGATATTTGGAGGTAACTCTCAATTCTTACCTCCTTTCCTTGGAGCTTAGAATTAGAGTCTGTTTCCAAATATAGCCAGCAGATGGTGCAATTTACTTTATTTATACTCCATCTCAAATGAAAAAGCATTAGACTATTCTATATACATACACACACATAATATGTTTCAATCTCATTCATATGTACAAATTTAAGTGTATGTTTCAAAACTTTTTATCTATTCGGAAACAACCTATTTAACATAATTTATCTCCTTTTAGAAAAGCAGTGTTCATTTTTTAGAGTTTTGTTAATGATTCAGACTTATATTTTATTAGCTTTATAGACCTAAAAGGAAGACATGAGAGGAGACTATTAGTCATGACAGGAAATATATAATTTCTTTTTGATCAGTTTTCTTACACAATTCATAATCACATGTCCTGCAAGACAAGAGTAAAGCTGGTTCTGATGTGCCCATGTAATTCAGCAATACTTAGCTATAATTTTGAGAGTCCTGTAATAACAAATGTTAAAGTTCTGATTTGGTAAGTGTATCCAACAGAGCTTTCAAGTTGAAATTTATTTATGGAATCATTTCAGTTATTAGACTATCCATCCTATCTCTTGTCAATAAAGGATTGTTTTCCATAGGAGATAACTAATAACTTTATAGAATTTTAAGATGTAATAGAATGTTATTGTCCCCTGGAGGTCACACTTACCAACCAAAGGGTAATAACTTTTATTAGAAGGCTGAAATAGTCTATAAATATTTCATTAAATCCTTAAAAATGTGCAGGTGTTAATTCTGCACTCTCTTCTTTTGATTTCTGGCTACCACACTGAGATGGATAAAATGTTCCTGGGAACCTGGGGAAAATGCAATTGTGCTGAATTTATCACCTGTAATATTTCCTGGTGGGATTATCTGAATACATGTGGATTTTAGGAAGAATCTTCTCAGAAAATTTCATTATTATTCTAAATGCTAGGCTCAGCATCTAAGTTCTGCCTTTATCATTCTCTCTCCCAACATGTTCCTACCAATTCTCAGCTCACTTTAGGCAGCAGGTGAAGAAAGGAGAGAAGACACTACATTTTCTGGCCATCTTAGTCGATTCAAAAGCATTTATGGAGCATCTGTCTGTGCAGGGCACTGGCGTGGTGCTGAGCTGATTGAGTTAAAAAAGACATAGACCTTGTCCTTGAGGCAAAGCAGCTGCCAATTGCTGACTCCAGGGAGAAGTGTTTTTATTTCTTCAGTATGGGCAAAGTTGCCATGGAGCAGGTTATGTGCGGGTTTGAACAGGTAGGGGATGCCCACATCATTCCTATCATCCTAGTAAACAGATAAAAATTTCACTTTATCAGACTGCAAAGAAATGCAGTTTAAATTTCTGAGAAATTAGAATTATAGAATACTCTAAAACAAAATATAGTTTTGACTTTCAGGTTAGCATTGTAACTAATGACATATTGCAAAATCGAAGTCCCTTCAGGGTTCAATTTAATGAATACAGAATAGAACTTAAGGTAATAAAACAGATTCTCACACAAAGGGTTGGTTAGATTTTGCATCTGAATGACACTCTGCTGTTACCACCCAGAGCATCTTTTCTCTTCTTGAACCACAAAAAAGACTTGGCTTTCTGCTTTTACTTCTCTCGAACATCATTCCTATATAATAAGTCACTTGTACAACACTTGCGCATAAGCAATGAGTATGAGGATATTTTGTGTGTGACCCATTTACTTGAAGGAATTGTTCTATTCTAGGCTCTTTGGTTGCAAGGAACAGGAACCCACTCAAATGGTTCAAGAAAAAAGTGATTATTTAAAAAAGAGAGAAATTCATGAATAGAAAATACAAGAACAATAGTCAGGTTTTATAATGAATGTCAGAATTCTATTTTCTTTCTCTTTTTATTTTGTAAGTTACTTTTAACAAATGGTCCCAGGTGAACTTGAGGAGGTCAGGCGGGGCCAGCTGTATTAGTCAGGATTCTCTAGAGGTACAGAACTAATAGGATGGATATATATATATATATATATATGATATTATATATATTTATGAGTTTATTAAGTAGTATTAATTCACATGATCACAAGGTCCCACAATATAGGCCTTATGCAGGCTGAGGAGCAAGGAAGCCAGTCTGAATCCCAAAGCTGAAGAACTTGGAGTCCAAGGTTCAAGGGCAGGAAGCATCCACTATGGGAGAAAGATGTAGGCTGGGAGGCTAAGCCAGTCTAGCCTTTTCACGTTTTTCTGCTTTATATTCTGGCTGTGCTGGCAGCTGATTAGATGGTGTCCACCCAGACTGAGGGTGGGTCTGCCTTTCCCTGCCCACTGACTCAAATGTGAATCTCCTTTGGCAACACCCTCACAGACACACCCAGGATCAATACTTCGCATCCTTCAGTCCAAACAAGTTGGCACTCAGTATTAACCATCACACCAGCCAAAGCTGGATCATATAAGGTCTTGAGGTTATGGTCAGGGATAATCTTGTGGCCATATGTGAACAACATGAGAAGGAGAAGTAAAGCCCTCAAATGAACTGAGCTGATTGGATTTTCTCTTAAAAAATTGACCTGAGACATTGGTTATTTGTGACTGGCTCTTAAAATACTGGTAATAACATTTAATATTTGTCAAGAGCTTACTGTGTGTCAGCTCTTGTCCTAGGCTTTTTTCATGTTTTAATGCATTAATCGTCACAACTGTATGATATGGATCAGTGTGATTCCATTTTACAAATAAAGAATGGAGGCATGACTAAAAAGTAAAATAGCTTATACAAGTTGACAAAAGATGTAGTAGAGCTGGTACTGGAACCCAGTCAGTCTGACTCCAGAGCCTGTGCCTAGCCACTATATGACACTGTCTTCAAAGTGTTAGAGTGGGGAGCTGGTTCTATAGCAAACCAAAGCCACACGCAACTCAAAGTTATGGAGTAGGAGAGGCAGAATGATGAGTTAGCAGAAGAAGCAAGTATATGGGGAAGAACACCGAGCAGTTGCTCGCAGCAGCACCACCACTGCCTAGATTGAACAAAGCCTAGTACATGGCAGGTGCTCACTAAATATGGGTGGAATAGTGAATGAAAATTTTCAGCAGGGGCTGTGGGTGTGACATATCCTCTAAGAAGCTCAGGTGTGCCAGTCAGGCAGGAGCCTCCAAATAACTTATTTTGATCTGTTTCCTTTACAAATTAACTAAATTATACATACACTGCATGAGTACATTCTCCTTTTTAAAAACATAAAGCTCTGATCTAGAGAGAATAGAGTTCCTTTGGGCCACTTCCCCATCTTTGTTTCCTCCTTTCCACTCCCCAAAGATCCTTCCAGGCTTTGTTAATATATTTAGATATGTATATATAGAAAATGTTGGAACTCTAAATTGTTGTTTTGCTTATTTAATAAATATTTGCATCAGTATTATAGTGTTCATTTTTTCCCTCATTTAATGTATCATAGAGATCCAGCTATACTGTTATGATAGACATTCAGATGGTTTCTAAACTTCTTACTATTATAAAATTATGTTTATAATTTATATTACAGATTTTAAAAAAAAGAGTTTTGCTCTTTTGCCCAGGCTGGAGTGTAGTGGTGCAATCTCAGCTCACTGCCACCTCTGTCCCCTGGGTTCAAGTGATTCTCTTGCCTCAGTCTCCCAAGTAGCTGGGATTATAGGCACCCACCACCATGCCTGGCTAATTTTTGTATTTTTAGTAGAGACAGGTTTTGCCATGTTGGCCAGGCTGGTCTCGAACCCCTGACCTCAGGTGATCCACCTGCCTCGGCCTCCCAGAGTGCTAGGATTCCAGGCATGAGTCACCATCCCCGGCCTGTACAGTCTCATGATTATCTTCCAAAGAGTTTTTAATTTTTTATTACTTCTGAAACTCGTAAGTTATAAAAGAATCAAAGCATTATCTGAGATGTCAGCTAGTCCAATGACTGTAAACCAGGGTGGTGGAGTGGTAGTGGGTTTATCTAAATCACTTCTGAAGCACTTTTCCAATAACAGCCTCCCTATCTTCTGGAAGAATTCTGGTATGGCAACCATGTTACAGTGGCAGTGGGAGTGAGGGGGGACGGGAGGTGAGTGAGCACCTGGGTTGTTTGCTAAACTACTTTAGCAATTATTGTGATAGGTACCTACCCCCCAGAATGCCCCCAAAACATATAACTAGTTGAAGACAAAACCAGAGTTTGATGCAAAAACTCCTGCCAGTTTTAGTCTAGTCTTTTCCTAATTATTTTGCTTTGCCCTGACAATTCATCTTCATCTCCATAATCCTTATTAGTTCCAGATAGAAACTTCCTTTAATTTACTTAAACTCTGTTCTGGGAGCTCCCCTGCTCTCATCTTCTACACTTAAAAACAAATGAACAAATTAATGAACAGACAGCAACACAAACAAGCTAAAACAAACGGGCAGAGACGATCAACTATACACTGAAAACTCATTTTCTCATTTCCTGGCCTGGGGTTATTGCTGGGGGTCAGCTTCCCAGCCAGGTGCTGCTTTTCTTAGGCCCTTTTGCATCCAGGGGCATCCATGCACTCATCAGTTATCAACCACCAATCAAGCAGCTGTCTTCTTTCCCGTGTCTAATCAGACAAGGGTCATCTGTCACAGAACTATCCAATCAGCATTAAGGTGCCGAGTACAAAAGGCTGCTCAAAGAGAGAGTTTTTCTGACCAACAACATTCTACTTTATTGAGGATTTGGATGTGAGAGAGATATATATATGGAAAGCTGACATTTGGCTGTGGGAGCAGAAGTAAAAAGAGACACGGCGAGACGGACCTGAGGTAGGAGACAAAGTTACGAATAAGCAGATGCTATACATGTAGAGGAAGTTGGTCAGTTGGGAGAGTAGCAGAAGCAGGGGCAAAGAGGACTGAGTCATCATGGCATATGTTCTCCCGCCTCTTGCTGCTGAGGGGGCAGCAAGATAATTCAGGCCTGGAAATGTATCAGAGCATTTCATTTTACCGCTGCATTTCCCCCTCTGTGAGGCTCAGTTGAACGCTGAGCAGGGTTTCCGTGCGATTCCGATTTCCTCTGCTTCCATGTGTTTCCTGAGAACAAATCCATCTTTCTTGAGGTAGCCCGAGTGATTTTCTGCCTACCAAACTTGCAGTCAGAAGAGCCTGACGCATCTGTCCTTCTTAGTTTTCATTAATTAGGATATTTAGTCTGCATATAATTGAACATGAAAATATGAATTTATAAAAAACAGGTATTGCCTTAATGACTGATTTGGGGAATATTTTATGATTTAAAATGATGTATGTTTATTCTTTATTTCTTTCAACAAACATTTATTAAGTATGTACTACTTGCCAAATTGTTTCTTGTTAACAAAACAAAAAAGGCAGTAGGGGCCAGGCGTGGTGGCTCATGCCTGTAATCCCAGAACTTTGGGAGGTCAAGGTGGGCAGATCACATGAGGCCAGGAGTTCGAGACTAACCTCGCCAACATGGCAAAACCTTGTCTGTACTAAAAGTACAAAAAATTAGCCAGGTGTGATGGCACATGCCTGTAATCCCAGCTACTCCGGTGGCTGAGGTACGTGAATAGCTTGAACCCGGGAGGCGGAGGTTGCAGTGAGCTGAGATCGTGTCACTGCACTCCAGCCTGGGTGACAGAGAGTCTGTCTCAAAAGAAAAAAACGTAACAAAACCGACACTGGAAGTCAAGGTTAGATTTGAATCATTCCATTTCCAAGTTCAATGATTCTTCTCATATGCTTAGTTATTATGCCCACATTTGATTTGGGGGATCCGCAAAATGTCTATATTTGCCTCATGTTGGGTCCTCCAGAAGCTGCACTTACAAATGGCTTTTCTGGATTCTCCTGCTACATATTAACCACGTCCTTCAGCACTTTCAGTGAATAATCCCTTTTATTCCTTTAGCCAGAGCCATAGTGATCTGTGACTCTAGCTATTCATCTTGGTCAGAAGGAAAAAAATGGACGGTTCTTGAGGAGAGCTGATATTGTCTTATGTAGCATCTGCCTAAGTTGAGGTCTCTGCGTAGTCTACGCAATGCAGTAAGGTCTACCGTCGTCTAACAAGAGGGAGGGGGCTGCCTCTGCAAGCCCAGAGTGTTCTGGAGAGTCTGAGAGTTCAATGTTCTTGAGTGTATCCACCTGGATATCTCTACCCCTAGCCTTGGGGTCCCACTCCTTCCCTGATAATGTAGGAGACTTGTTGGGGCTCTGAATTCAGGATTATCTCAACTCTTACTTCTCTAACAATTAGGATGAAGGTCTTGTCTCTAGCATGGTCTGTTTTTTGGTCATAAGAGAGGAAGGTGTCTGTAAACACTGCCCTGGGAGCCTTCTAACTTTCACATTTTGCCTTACGTGGCTAATTGGCTGAATGGAGCTTGTTATTTTCTCTCTTCGGTGCATCAGTAACACTTAGCAACAACCAAACAGATCCCCCAGCCCTTATAATTACTATTTCTATCATACTTCACAATGCCAAAGATATCACAGAAGCCATTGCATCCCTTCAACCTGTCATCCATTCCAAGTCACCACAGGTGAAATTCTTGGTAATTGCTGTGCTGCAGCGTGCCAGAGGCCTTCAATACTCATTTCACACTAGAGAGGGTGTCCTAGTTGCCATCTGGCTGGAAAGTGATCCAACTTCACAATTGCATCTCAGGCACTGCTAGCTCCTCTTTCTATGACCAACTGTTTATTTTGGTGGTCTATGGAGTGTATAGGTGGTGAGAAATTAGAGCCAGCTTGGTCTTGAAAAGAAGATGAGAAGTTGGGTGGTAGATAGAATGGAGATAAAGAGTAGGGCTTGAAATTAGAACTAATTAGGATTACAGCAGAGAGGAGATAGCCAGCAGAGAAAAGAGGGGGAGAATGCAAGGGCCTGAGTTGGTGAGATGACACGGAATACAAAATTGATTGGACTGCTGCTGCTTCTGAGATTAGAGGCACAAAAACAAAAAAATACAACTAAGTTTGTCATAATAATATAAATAATAATAGCTAATATTTACTGACTGCTTACTCTGTGCGAGGCACAGTTCCAAATGCATAGGCAGAAATTAGTTTTCATTTAGTAACATCAGAAAATGATTTTTTAAAGTTTTCTACAAGGTCTTTGACATAATTCAGTACATTAAAATGGCAGAAAATAAGTCAAGTGTTTAAAACATCATTTTGTTGCTATTAAGCCCCGTTTCCTTCTGCACTTTTCTTAAAAAGAGTTACGATTTTTATATTTCATTTTCTTATAACCAACAATTAGAAAAAGCCACTATTACAAAGTTCCTATTGTTTCAGTTCTTTCTCTCCACCATTAGCCCTTTACTTTTAATATAATGGGCGAGCCTAAAAATAAAAATTGTCTTGTGTATGGCACATAATGGAATGTGAATGAAGAGCTGAAAAAGAAAAAAACATTTCTTTTTCACAAGGCATCTCGATTTGATGGCCCAGCAGGCAGCAGTTTATTGCAGCAGTTGCTGCAGAGATCTTAAAAAAGGTGAGGTTTGCCCTGAGCAAAAAGGGCAAAGTCAACAAGAAGCTATATAGTGTCTCAACACCACAAATAAACGTGGAAGGGTGCGAGGGATAATGTAATGGGACATGTGTCGTTTGAGAGGTCTTTGGAGTATTCTGTTGTGATGGAGACCAAGCAGTATCTTGTCATTTCCTACATCTGTGTAGCTCCTTTTAACTAAAGCCTATGAGAAGCTCTGAAAAATATATTAATGGAGAGTAATAATCTCATGATTGTTGCAATTGAATTCCTACAAGCATGAAACTTCCTTCACAAATTAAAGCAGAGATGGTGAGTTAACTGCAGGGCTTTTCTCTCAATTTCACCCAACAATATTATTTAAATGTTATTGATTTTAAGATGATAGAGGCTTATAAGCTTTCACAATATAAGCTGTTTTTGTTTGTAAACAGCAGTGGTGGCCATTTTTGGCCCAATGAAAAAAGATAAGCCTAGGCAGTAGCACTTGACTTTAGGATCATTGGATTTATTTCAAGTTACTTTAAATTACTATTTAATAAAATAGAACCAGTGGGTTACTCATTTCCTCATTAATAACACTGATAATTTTCAAAATTAGTTCATATTTTGTACTAAAAACTTACCATAACTTAATATAAAGCCAGCGATTTTGAACCATGTCTGAGGAGGTTCTCTTCCTGAATACTTCCTTATAAAGTTGTTTCACCTGCAGCATTGACGCTACGGATCACAGTAGAGTAAGTTTTCAGTTTATTTCTTTAATCAATAGATGAGATAACTGCTGTAAACAGTTGTGTTAGGGAAATAATTTAACATGATTTGAGTTTGTGTTCTCAAATCTATTGATTAACAGAACTAGGGCATGGGCCCTATGCTAAAGAAAACTTGCAAATCTCCTGCTGGACATTTTTCTTTAAAATGTTAGGCGCACCCACTAAAGGACTAAAGACCATAAAAAAATAGCTAACAAAAAGGTTTATTTCAAAGTATATTGTTCACTTTTAGCCATTCATTTAGAGTCTATATTTACTATAAGCATTTAAAATTATCATTATGCTATTTTCTTTTAATTTAATGGTTTGATGTTAGTGTATGTAAGGTAGCTTTTAATGAGATAAATGACTGGGGGCTGTGAGGCCGGGCGCGGTGGCTCACCCCTGTAATCCCAGCACTTTGGGAGGCCGAGGAGGGCGGATCACGAGGTCAGGAGATCGAGACCATCCTGGCTAACATGGTGAAACCCTGTCTCTACTAAGAATACAAAAAAAAAAATTAGCCGGCCGTGGTGGCGGGCGCCTGTAGTCCCAGCTACTCCGGAGGCTGAGGCAGGAGAATGGCGTGAACCCGGGAGGCAGAGCCTGCAGTGAGCCGAGATCGCGCCACTGCACTCCAGCCTGGGCGACAGAGCGAGACTCCGTCTCAAAACAAAACAAACAAACAAAACAAACAAACAAACAAAAAAAGAACTGGGGGCTGTGTTAGTCAATACGCTCTTGACTTACAATGGCAAAAATCTACTTAAAATAGTTTGGGTGATCCCGGGAATATGGCAGCAGTGAAGGCGTTGTTGTGTCTCCAAATGCCTACATAAAAGTAGACAGCTAGATAGCAACACTAAAAACCTATTGACAATATTTACCACAAAACCGGGAGACAGGCTATCCCCACAAACCAAAGACAGTATATGAAGACAAACCACTTGACCCAAGACCTGTACAGTGAGACAGAGCAGAGGAATCAGTGGAGAAGAGGAGAACCAAATAGTCACAGAAGTTCACCATAAAGTGAGCAGACCAATTTGAGAACAGCAATGAATACTGAGAGGGTTTTGTTCAATCTGGTATTGGGTGAGTGCAAGGGAATGACAGTGTGTGCTGAAGGATCTGGAATCGTTTAGCTTCTAGATTCACCACTGAAACAGACTTGCAAGGATTCTTTTCCAGGACAGTGCCCCACTCTAAGATGAAACAGCTTGGAATAGAGTCAGAGCAAGTCAAGCAAAATAGAGATAACTGAGACTAGAAAAGAGAAGTTTGAGAAAAGATTGAGTTAAAACAACAACAATAAAAACTCTGTAGCTTTGAATTTGAATTCGAAGTGTCAGCATGAACTCATGAATATGGAGAGAAAGACTGAGATGAATTCTAGAAACAATGACCAGCTCAGTAGTAATGTGTATTCCTAATGTCAAATATGTCGTCTTGAAACCAGGGTTTCTTTGGAGAAATTGTCTGCTTACAACATGAGACTGAACCACAATAGCTGCTTGTATCACAATTGAAAGAGGCCACTAGACATTATATTTCACTAAAGATCCATACCACCTGTGGTCTTGCTAAAGGCATTGAACCTGAGTCTGATCAAGCCTTTCACTCTAGCTGCCAATTTGCTGGAAATTGGAAACAGAAGACAGAAGACAGAGTACAGAGGAACATGCTGAACTGTGTCATGAATATGTAATTGGCAAACTTCACTGGGAAAGCAGACAGGTCGAATACAGATCAAATGTAAAGAAAGAGGGTGGGGAGAACACATAGATGAAAGGGATTTAAATGATAATAAAATTTAATGGACAACAATAAACTATAGTGGCTTGGGATGCACATTTGGGTGGCAAAACTATAAAGAAATGAGGAAATTATTGCTATAAAAGTCAAGATAGTGATTACTTTTTTGAGATAGAGGAAGGGCACATAGAGGGGTGATGCAGTTTTGCTGTGTCCCCACCCAAATCTCATCTTGAATTGTAGCTCCCATAATTCCCACATGTGGGAAGGACCCAGTGGGTGATAATTGAATCATGGGGGTAGTTTCCCCCATACTGTTCTCCTGGTAGTGAATAAGTCTCTTGAGATCTGATGGTTTTATAAGAGTTTTCTGCTTTCACTTGGCTCTCATTGTCTCTCGTCTGCTACCATGTAAGACAAACTTTTCTCCTTCCACCATGATTGTGAGGCCTCTCCAGCCATGTGGAACAGTGAGTCCATTAAACCTATTTTTCTTTACAAATTGGCCAGTCTCGGGTGTGTTTTTATTAGAGTGAAAACAGACTAATACAAGGGGCTTCTGAGACAATTGGCAAATTTTTATTTCTTGACTTCGCTGGTGATTTCAAGAGTGGTATTTTGTGTGACTCTCTGTATCTGTTGTATTTTAAAATAAAAGGTTAAGAGTTAAGCAAAAAAGGGATTTTTTTATGTACTATATATCCAAATATTCCAGGAGTAGGTCATAGAATTGTCTGAATTCCGGGGTTCAAATGATCACACTAGGATGAAGTCTTTTTCTCATAATTGTTTGACTCTCTCCATTGACCTTCCCCACATTATCTTCACTTTTAGTCATTCTCTATCTGTTGGGATGGTGGGCCCTGACAGATCCAAGCTTGTGTGATCTTTAAAGCTGGTGGCCCCAAAGAAGCCATGGCTATAAACAACCGCTTTGAACCTTCTGGACAAGAATGGACAAGTACAAGAAGGAGAATGAAAGTGAGGAAAATTAAAGGTACTGATAGAAGTGATGAAAGCTCATGTCTTATAAATATAACACAATTGACTCAAAGGTGTAAAAAGATTAGAAATGAAGAATAGAAACTAACCACAACTTGATGCCCACAGGACTTAATCAGTTGTCTGTAGGTTCAGTTGTAAAGGGAACAAGCAAAATTCACAGATTTTGTGTAACATGAGATATGATTAATACTATACCTAACCATTTGTGACAAGAAAATTTATTTTTTGACTTTTGTGTATACTTTATGGGAATTGTGTATAAAAGTAAGAAAATGTCTATTTAATCAAAAATTATTTGGGAAAATTAATGAGTGATAGGTGTATAAGGAAGGGTCTCCTAAATAGGACATTCTTACCTTTTAAATCTGAGATTAGCTAGATCAACCGTGCCTCCTCTTAACCCTTGGAGCTTCTAGTTGCAGCAAAATACTAAGTTTGGTAAATTCAGCATTGTTCTATGAACTCTGTAATAAAAAATTTGTTCCTGACAGTATATACTTAACAATCAGGATTCTAGTAAATTCAGATGTTGGTCTTCGGAGTTCTCCGGGGCCAGCAGCTGCCTGACCAGGGGCCCGGGGCCACGGGCTCAGCCGACGACCATAGGCTCCGTGTCCACCCAGCAGTTTGCAAGTGGCTGCGCCAAGGCGGCAGAAGAGGCACCCGAGGAGGCGCCGGAGGATGCGGCCCGGGCGGCGGACGAGGCTCAGCTGCTGCACGGTGAGGGCATCTGTAAGTGGTTCAACTTGCGCATGGGATTCGGCTTACTGTCCGTGACTGCCCGCGCCGTGGTCGCGCTCGACCCACCAGTGGACGTCTTTGTGCACCAGAGTAAGCTGCCCATGGAAGGCTTCCGGAGCTTGAAGGAGGGTGAGGCAGTGGAGTTCACCTTTAAGAAGTCAGCCAAGGGTCTGGAATCCATCCGTGTCACCGGACCTGGTGGGGCGTTCCGTATTGGGAGTGAGAGGTAGCCAAAGGGGAAGAACATGCAAGAAGCGCAGATCAAAAGACAGGTGCTACAACTGTGGAGGTCTAGACCATCATGCCAAGGAATGCAAGATGCCACCCCAGGCCAAGAAGTGCCACTTCTGCCAGAGCATCAGTCATATGGTAGCTTCATGTCCACTGAAGGCCCAGCAGGGCCCTAGTGCACAGGGAAAGCCAACCTACTTTCGGGAGGAAGAAGAAATCCACAGCCCTGCCCTGCTCCCGGAGGCACAGAATTGAGCCACAATGGGTGGAGGCTATTCTTTTGCTATCAGGAAGTTTTGAGGAGCAGGCAGAGTGGAGAAAGTGGGAATAGGGTACATTGGGGCTAGTTGGCACTGCCATGTTTCTCAGGCTGGGGTTCACACCATCACCCTTTCTTCTCTCTGTTGGGGGAAAGGGTGAGTCAAAGGAACTCCAACCGTGCTCTGTCCAAATACAAGTGAGGGTTCTGGGGGCAACCAGGAGGTGGGAATCACCCTACAATCTGCATGCTTTATCTGAGGCTCCATCCCCAGAATTTCCAGCTTTTGAAAGTGGCCTGGATAGGGAAGTTGTTTTCCTTTAAAGAAGGATATGTAATAATTCCCATGCCAGAGTGAAATGATTAAGTATAAGACCAGATTCATGGAGCCAAGCCACTGCATCCTGTGGAAGGAAATCTATCAGGAGTAAGGCAGTGTTTTTTTCACATCTTGTATCCATATACCCACTTTTGGGATAGGGTGCTGGCAACTGTCCCAAGCAATGGGTACTGATGATGGCAAAAAGGATGTTTGGGGGAACAGCTGCAGACCTGCTGCTCCTATGCTTACCCCTGCCCCATTCTAGGCCAATGTGATTTTATTTATTTGCTCCCTTTGATACTGCACCTTGAGTCCCACTTTCTCCAGGATGCCAACTGAACTAGCTGTGTGCAAATGATGTATCTTGTGCAGTTTAACTTTTTTTTCCTTAATATAAATATTCTGGTTTTGTATTTTTGTATATTTTAGTCTGAGGCCATCATTTCCTGCACTGTATTCTCAGGTGCATGAGCAATCTCAGGGATAAGTCGGCAGCAGCTTGAGTTCTGCACAGCAGGAATACTTATTATTATACTTTAAGTTCTAGGGTACATATGCACAACATGCAGGTTTGTTACATATGTATACATGTGCCATGTTGGTGTGCTGCACCTGTTAACTTGTCATTTACATTAGGTATATCTCCTAATGCTATCCCTTGCCCCTCTCCTGACCCAACTATACTACAAGGCTACAGTAACCAAAACAGCATGGTTCTGGTACCAAAACAGAGATATAGACCAATGGAACAGAACAGAGCCCTCAGAAATAATACCACACATCTACAACCATCTGATCTTGGACAAACCTGACAAAAACAAGAAATGGGGAAAGGATTCCCTATTTAATAAATGGTGCTGGGAAAACTGGCTAGCCATATGTAGAAAGCTGAAACTGGATCCCTTCCTTATACCTTATACAAAAATTAATTCAGGATTAAAGACTTAAATATTAGACCTACAACCATAAAAACCCTAGAAGAAAACCTAGGCAATACCATTCAGGACATAGGCATGGGCAAGGACTTCATGTCTAAAACACCAAAAGCAATGGCAGCAAAAGCCAAAATTGACAAATGGGATCTAATTAAACTAAAGAGCTTCTGCACAGCAAAAGAAACTACCATCAGAGTGAACAGGCAACCTACAGAATGGGAGAAAATTTTTGCAGTCTACCCATCTGACAAATGGCTAATATCCAGAATCTACAAAGAACTTAAACACATTTACAAGAAAAAATCAAACAACCTCATCAACAAGTGGGCGAAGGATATGAACAGACACGTCTCAAAAGAAGACATTTATGAAGCCAACAGACACATGAAAAAATGCTCATCATCACTGGCCATCAGAGAAATGCAAATCAAAACCACAATGAGATACCATCTCACACCAGTTAGAATGGCCATTAAAAAGTCAGGAAACAACAGGTGCTGGAGAGGATGTGGAGAAATAGGAACACTTTTACACTGTTGGTGGGACTGTAGACTAGTTCAACCATTGTGGAAGATAGTGTGGCAATTCCTCAAGGATCTAGAACTAGAAATACCATTTGACCCAGCCATCCCATTACTGGGTATATATCCAAAGGATTATAAATCATGCTACTATAAAGACACATGTACACGTATGTTTATTGTGGCAGTATTTACAATAGCAAAGACTTGGAATCAACCCAAATGCCCATCAATGATAGACTGGATTAAGAAAATGTGGCATATATACTCCATGGTATACTATGCAGCCATAAAAAATGATGAGTTCATGTCCTTTGTAGGGACATGGATGAAGCTGGAAACCATCATTCTCAGCAAACTATCACAAGGACAGAAAACCAAACACCACATATTCTCACTCATAGGTGGGAATTGAACAATGAGAACACCTGGACACGGGAAGGGGAACATCACACACCAGAGACTAAAACTATACTTTTTGTTGTTTTTGCCACTGTGGAGATTTATTATTTGGAGTGCACAGCCTATTGAACTACCTCATTTCTACCAATGAGAGCTGGCTTTTCTGCCATAGTGTCCTCTTGAAACCCCCTCTGCCTTGAAAATGTTTTATGGGAGACTAGGTTTTAACTGGGTTGCCCCATGACTTGATTGCCTCCTACTGGAAGATTGGGAATTAGTCTAAACAGTAAATGGTGGTACAGAGAGGCTAGGAGAGACTGGGCCAGGTGAAAGGCCCAGAGAGGAAGCCACGATTAGGTGAGGGGTGACTAATCCTAGGGCACAGGACATGCTTTACACCCCAGTTCCATTCTTCACCAGATTAGGCTAGGCCTTCCATGCACGACAGGGTATGTGTGCTCATAAAACTGGAGTTGGTAAGGATAAGTTTTAAGACCAGTACCCTTATACTTAATCCTGTGCTGTCGAGGGATGGATATATGAAGTAAGGTATCCTTAACCTTTCAAAATTCATGGGTTCCAGGTAGACACATAAGCAAGGGCTTTGTGGTGCCTGGGACCTGCGTCCCGCCCTGCTGCAGTAGTGATTAATATTGTCACGGTAGCTAAAGGAGAAAAAGGGGATTTCGTTTATATGCTGTGAGATCACCGCAAACCTACCTCACTGTGTTGAAACAGGACAAATGCAATAGAACGCATTGGGTGGTGTGTGTCTGATCCTGGGTTCTTGTCTCCCCTAAATGCTGCCCCCCCCCCCCCAGTTATTGTATTTGTCTGGGCTTTATAGGATTTCACTAAATTGGTGATTGCTAGGTGGCCTAGTTTGTATAAATATAATGTATTAGTCTTTCTCCGTGTTCTTTGGGGGTTTTGTTTACAAACTTCTTTTTGTATTGAAAGAAAAATAGCTAAAGCATCTTTGACAGAAGGTTCTATACCAGGCAAAAAGATCTGAAACATTAGTTTGGGGGGCCCTCTTCTTAAAGTGGGGATCTTGAACTGTCCTTTGTTTTGTATTCCCCTTCCCCTATTACCTATTAGACCAGATCTTCTGTCCTAAAAACTTGTCTTCTATCCTGCCCTCTTTTCTGTTCATCCCCCAAAAGAAAACTTACACACCCACACACATACACATTTAATGCTTGGAAAGTCTCCACAACTCTTAAACGATGTATGCAAAAATCCTGAAGAAGCTAAGAAAACCCTCCATCCCTTGTTCCCAACTTCCTGAGTCAAGACCATTACCCATCCTTTCCCTTCCCTTTCCCCTTCCCCTTCCCTTCCCTTCATCTTGCTCTGTTGCCCAGGCTGGAGTGCAGTGGCATGCTCTTGGCTCACTGCAGCCTCCGCCTCTTGGGTTCAGGTGGTTCTCCTGCCTCAGCCTCCTGAGTGGCTGGGATTACACGCGCCCGCCACACCCAGCTAATTTTTGTATTTTTAGTGGAGATGGGGTTTCGTCCTGTTGTCCAGGCTGGTCTTAAGCTCCTGACCTCAAGTGATCTGCCCGCCTCAGCCTCCCAGGGTGCTGGGATTGCAGGTGTGAGCCACCGTGCCGGGCTGACCATTTCTTGATGTATTCATGCCAAACACTTAAGACACTGCTGTAGCCCGGGCATGGTGGCTCACACCTGTGGTCCCAGCACTTTCACAGGCTGAGGTGGGCGGATCATGTGTTCGGGAGTTCGGGACCATCCTGGCCAGCATGGTGAAACCCCATCTCTGCTAAAATACAGAAGATTAGCCAGGTGTGGTGGCGCATGCCTGTGGTCTCAGCTGCTCGGGAGGGAGGCTGGGGCAGGGGAATCGCTTGGGCCAGGCGGTGGAGGGTAGGCGCATGGAGGTTGCAGTGGGCTGAGTTCGCGCCACCGCACTCCAGCTTGGCAACAGAGCGGGACTCCGTCTCAAAAAAAAAAAAAAAAAAAGACACTGCTGTATTTTGGATGGCTCAAACCTACTTAATTTTTACTCCTAAAGTAGAGAGATGCAACTGGGGGCCTTCCATGTAGAAATTGAGGTCAGCAGGCCAAGAAAGAGAATATGAATGTATATACAAGTCACTCAGGAACTTTTATACAGAAACTTATGTCAAAGTGGCCACAAGATTGTTTAATAGGAGACAAATGAATATAACTCTATATTTACTGCTAGAAACCAAAGCTTTGTGTAAAATCTTGAATTTATGGGGAGGGAGGGTAGGAAAGCCTGTAGCTGTCTGTTCTTTTCCTGATCCCTTTCCCTCATTCCTGAACTGCAGGAGACTGAGCCCCTTTGGGCTTTGGTGACCCCATCACTGGGGTGTGTTTATTTGATGGTTGATTTTGCTGTACTGGGTATTTCCTTTCCCATTTTCTAGTCATTTTTTTAACACATGCTGACGCTTCCATTTCCTTCTCCTTTCCCTGGGAAAATACAATGAATAAATAAAGGCTTATTGGTACTCATACTGTAAAAAAAAATTCAGATGTTAAAAAACTTCTAATATATTATAAAACAGTCAAAATTTCCCCCAAGGAGTTAGCAAGGTCAAACATATGAACATATATACAAATATTTTAGTTAATGGAACTGGAGGCCATTATCCTAACTGAAATATCTCAGAAACAGAAAGTCAAATACTTCATGTTTCCACTTATAAGTGGGAGCTAAACAATGGGTACATGTGGTCCTACAGAGTGAAATAATAGACACTGGCGATTACAGAAGGTGGGAGGGTAAGAGGAGGGTCAGGCTCAAAAAAATTACCTGTTGGGTACAACGTTCGCTATTCAGAAGATGGGTATGCTAAAAGCCCAGACTTCACCACGACACAATGAATGTGAAACCTGCACTTGTACTCTCTAAAAAAAAGAAAAAATTCCCAAAACACCAAACACTAGATACATTTAAAACAGACACATGAAAATTATTAAAGTGTTCAGCTAACAATACAGTAAAAACTGTATTCATTTTAAAAAAACTTCCAACTTTTGTTTTTGATTTAGGGAATACATGTACAAGATTGTTATAAGGGTATATTGCATGGCGCTGAGACTTGGGGAACCACTGAACCCGTTATCCAGATAGTGAGCATAGTATCCAGTAGGTAGTTTCTCATCCCTTACCCCACTTCCCTCCTTGCTCTAGTAGTCTCCAGTATCTATTGTTTCCATCTTTATGTCCATGTGTACCCAATACTTAGCTCCCTCTTGTAAGTGAGAACATGCGGTATTTGGTTTTCTGTTTCTGCATTAATTTGCTTAGGATAATGGCCTCCAGCTGCATCCACTACCACAAAGGACATGATTGATTTCATTCTTTTTTATTATTGTGTAGTATTCCATAGTATGTACATACCATGTTTTCTTTTCTTTTCTTTCTTTTTTTTTTAAACCCAGGGAAAACCTGTATTTTTATATTTAGGTTCGATGAATGAACAGCCATGCAGAAATGTGATTGGACACAAAGGATCTGGCCTAACAGTGATGGATGGAGTGGGGGAAACCCAGCAAGGCCACTCTGTACAATTCCCCTTCCCCTGGGTATGGGGCGGGACCCCTCGGGAATGAGGGTCTTCCAGGGAGAAGGGAGAGAGTGACCTTGCTAGGTTTTATGGCTGGCTTTGGGAGAGAGGAGTTCTGGTTTCTATGACCTGCCTTGGGGAAAAAGAATTCTGGTTTCTGTGACTCACTTTCGGGGAGAAAAGGGGGCAGGAACCAGGAGGGAAGGACAAAGACCTGGCTTCTGAGGCCTTCCAGTCTCCTCTGGGTCAGAATAGTCCGCATGCCAAGGTGCCATACTTTGGGGTTTAATGAGCCCCGACAGCAGGTCCTTGCAGATTTCACAGGCAACTTGTGATCCAAGTAATTGGCTTTCAGTTCCCCAATTTCAGAGGACTTTAGCAAAACCTGGTTGAAATGGCCAAGTGTTAGAAGAACCTCTTCAAAGTTGAAATTCATTGAGTTCTTTAGCTGAGGGCGTAAGAATCCCAGATGTAAGGTTAGCAAGAGTTAGGAGTTCTGGAGTCTTCCCTGCATGCCCTGGCTCTTGAGCATCAGTAGGCCAGAAGCTCACATATCTGATCCTGCTGTGGTTCAACAGGGATGTGTTTTAGAGCAGCATGTTCAGAATGAAACTGGTGTACTTAGTCAAGCCTTGAGGGTCTTCTGAAGTCATGCATGGCCCACGCTGCCCTCATGGGAACACAGGTGCTCCAGCACCTGATGTGTTCAGGACTAGGTTGGGGGAACCTTTAATCCTGAAAACATCCCCCTGCTGTCTAGACCAGCCTGCCCCATGGCACTATTCCATAGTGTGCATGTGCCACATTTTCTTTGTCCAGTCTACCATTGATAGGCACTAGGCTGATTCCTTGTCTTTGTTATTGTGAATAATGCTGCGATGAACATATAAGTGCATGTATCTTTTTGGTAGAACGATTTATTTTCCTTTGGGTAGATACCTAGTGTGTTAGTCCATTCTCATGCTGCTATGAAGAAATACCCAAGACTGGGTAATTTATAAAGAAAAGAGTTAATCGACTCACAGTTCCGTATGGCTGGGGAGGCCTCAGGAAACTTACAATCATGGCAGAAGGCACCTCTTCACAGGGTGGCAGGAGAGAGAATGAGTGCAAGCAGGGGAAATGCCAGACACTTATAAAACCATCACATCTCGTGAGACTCACTCACTATCACAAGAACAGTACAGGGGAAACCGTCCCCATGATCTAATTACCTGCACCTGGTCTGGCTCTTGACATGTGGGGATTATAGGGATTACAATTCAAGGTGAGATTTAGGTAGGGACACAGAGCTAAACCATATACCCTGTAATGGGATTGCTTCATCAAATGGTAGTTCTATTTTTAGCTATTTGAGAAACCTCCAAACTGCTTTCCACAGTGGCTGGACTAATTTACATTCCTACCAACAGCATATAACTATTCTCATTTCTTTGCAACCTCACCAACATTTGTTATTTTTTGACTTTTTAATAGCAGCCATTTTGACTGGTGTGAAATGGTATCTCATTGTGGTTTTGATTTGCGTCTCTCTGATTAGTGAGGTTGAACACTTTTGCATATGTTTGTTGGCTTCTCATATGTCTTCTTTTGAGAAGTATCTGTTCATGTTCTTTGCCCTCTTTTTAATAGGGTTGTTTTTTGCTTGTTGATTTAAGTTCCTTAGAGATTCTAGATATGAGACCTTTGTTGGATGCATAGTTTGAGAATATTTTCTCCTATTCTGTAGGCTCTCTTTACTCTGTTGATAGTTTCTTTTGCTGTGTAGCAGCTCTTTAATTAGGTCCCATCTTTCAATTTTTGTTTTCTTGCAATTACTTTTGAGGACTTAGTCATAAATTTTTACCAATGCCAGTGTCCAGAAGGGTATTTTCTACAATTTCTTTTAGGATTTTTATAATTTGAAGTTTTACATTTAAGTCTTTAATCCATCTTGAGTTAATTTTTATATATGATTATAGGTAGAGGTCTAGCTTCAATCTCTATATATGGTTAGCCAGTTATCCTAGCACCATTTTGAATAGGGAGTCCTTTCCCTGCTGCTTATTTTGTTGACTTCGTCAAAGATTAGTTGGTTGTAGGTGTGCAGCTTTATTCCTGGGTTTTCCCTGCTGTTCCATTGTTCTACGTGTCTGTTTTTATACTAGTATCATGCCGTTTTGGTTACTGTAGCTTTGTAGTATAGTTTGAAGTTGGGTAATGTGATTACTCTGGATTTGTTCTTTTTTTTTTTTTTTTTTTTTTTGGATACAGAGTCTCACTCTATTACCCAGGCTGGAGTACAGTGGTGCCATCTTGGCTCAGTGCAACATTTGCCTCCCTGGTTGAATCAATTCTTGTGCCTCAGCCTCCCAGTAGTTGGGACTACAGGTGTGCACCACCATGCCCAGCTAAGTTTTTGTATTTTTTAGTAGAGACAGGGTTTTCCCATGTTGGCCATGCTTGTCTAGAACTCCTGGCCTCAAGTGATCCAACCACTTTGGCCTCACACAGTGTTGGGATTACAGGAGAGAGCCATCACGCCTGGCCTGGCTTTGTTGTTTTTTTATTTGCTTCAGATTCAAGCCTCTTTTTGGTTCAATATTAATTTTAGAATGGTTTTTCTAATTCTGTGGGAAATAATGTTGGTAGCTTGATAGGAGTAATGTTTAATCTCTAGATTGCTTTGGGTAGTATGGACATTATAATGATATTAATTCTTCCAATCCATCAGCATGGAATGTTTTCCCATTTATGTCATCTATGATTTCTTTCAGCACCGTTTTTTAGTTCTCCTCATAAAGATATGTCACCTTCTTGGTTAGATGTATTCCTAGATATTTTTTTTTATGGCTATTGTAAATGGGGTTGTATTCTTGATTTGGCCCTCAGCTTGAATATTATTGGTGTACAGAAATGCTAGCGATTTGCATATTGATCTTATGTCCTGAAACTTTACTGAAGCCATTTTATCAGTTCTAGGAGACTTTTGGCAGAGTCTTTAGGGTTTTCTAGGTACAGGATCATATCCTCCGTGAATAGAGATGATTTGACTTCCTCTCCTAGTTCTATGCCTTTTATTTCTTTCTCTTGACAGATTGCTCTTGCTAGGACTTCCTGTACTATGTTGAATAGGAATGGTGAGAGTAGGCATCCTTGTCTTGTTCCAGTTCTGGGAATGCTTCCAGCTTTTGCCTGTTCAAAAAAAAAAAAAACAAAAAAACAACGGAACTAATCACATAAGCTATGTTTAAGGGCATGACTCTAAGAAGCGTTTAAATCATTAAAAACTTCGTTACAAAACAAAAAAATTATAGCAATAAATGAATTGATTACTCAGTTACATAGGATCTTGCTACAAAAAAAGTGTTCTTATATAACACTATGGCATGCCAGGCAATGTTCTCAAGTTTTTTCCAAGCAGTATCATATATAGTTTTTCAAATATAAATATATAGTTTTGACTAATAAACATTTTGTATATTTATTTTGTATAATATGTTGTTTTAAAATATTTATACGTTGTGGAATGGCTAAATTGAGGTAATTAACATATACATTACCTCACGTACTTTTCTTTGTGGTGAGAACACTTTAAATCTACCCTTTTAGCAATTTTCAAGAGTACAATACATTGTTATTAAATATAGTCACCATGTTGTAAAATAGATCTCTTGAACTAACTTCTCTTGTTTAATTGAAACTTTCTATCCTTTGATCAACATGTTCCCACTCCCTAGCCTCTGGTAACCATCTTTCTACTCTATGCTTCTGTGAGTTTTACTTTTTAGATTCCACATATAATTGACATCATATGGTACTTGTCTTTCTGTGCTTGGCTCATTTCACTTAACTTAATGTCCTCTGGTTCATCCATGTTATTACAAATGACAGGATTTCCTTCTTTTTTCTTTTTTTTGAGATGGAGTCTTTCTCTGTCTCCAGGGAGGAGTGCAGTGGCGTGATCTCGGCTCACTGCAACCTCTGCCTCCAGGGTTCAAGCGATTTTCCTTCCTCAGCCTCCCGAGTAGCTGGCACTACAGGTGCATGCCACCACGCCTGGCTAATTTTTGTATTTTTCGTAGAGATGGGGTTTCACCATATTGGCCAGGATGGTCTCCATCTCTTGACCTCATTATCCGCCTGCCTTAGCCTCCCAAAGTGCTGGGATTACAGGCAGGATTTCCTTCTTTTTTAAGGCTGAATAGTATTCCATTGTGTATGCATATATATGACATTTTCTTTATCCATTCATTCATTGATGGACGCTTAGGTTTGATTCCTGATATGGTTAGGCTTTGTGTCTCCACCCAAGTCTCTTGAATTATAATCCCTATAATCCCCATGTGTCAAGAGAGAAACCAGCTGGAGGTAATTGAATCATAGGGGTGGTTTCCCCCATGCTATTCTTGTGATAGAGGGTTCTCATGAGATCTGTTGGTTTCATAAAGGGCTCTTCTCCCCTTTGCTCAGCACTCATCCTTCCTGCTGCCTTGTGAAGAAGGTGCCTTGCTTCCTCTTTGCCTTCTGCCATGATTGTAAGTTTCCTGAGGTCTCTCCAAGTATGCTGAACTGTGAGTCAATTAAACTCCTTTCCCTCATAAATTACTCAGTCTCAGGTAGCTCTTTATAGCAATATGAAAGCAGACTAATGTAATTCCAATGTCTTGGCTATTATGAATAATGCTGCAGTGAACATGGGAGTACAAATATGTCTTTGACATACCAGGTACTATTATTATTCCCACTTTGTAGATGAGGAATCTGAGGAACAAAGAGATTATGCAATTGCTCAAGGACACTCAGGTAGGAAGTGGGATAACTAGAAATTACATCCAGGCAACCTAACTTCAGATTCTCTTTGTTTTTTAAAAAGTTAAATATTTCAATATTTGTTAAAGATGATGTAAAGCTAACAGACATTAAATAAATATCTATATCTATGTCTATATTTCATACCAGTCCTGAATCTGTGCTTTTCATAATTTTCTTTGTCTTGATTCCTGACAGGAAAGTACACTTTAATTTGTCCTTGTTAAAACTTGCTTTTGATTTGAGTATTGAGACAAAACCATGAGCAGAAGTGGACCAGGAGCAGCAAATCCATTTTGTAAAGATATTTTAATACATAATATATCCTATTCTGTTCATGTCAACTGTGACACATTTCAAAGATTAGTTGGTAGAAATTGGTATTTAAAAATACTTATCAAAAGCCTACCATTTTATTTTTATATGTCTATACTCATATGCACGTGGAATAGCCAGTGAAATAAAACCTTCATTGGCAGTTAATGAAGGTTTTATTTCATGTGCATGGTATTTAAGCAGGATCATAATACAAACATACTAACTTGAATGATGTATGAGTTAGTACTCTCTTGGTTGCATGTTGCAAAAACCCCAATCGGTATAAAGTAAATAGATACTTCTTGTCGGGAGGAGATTCTAAGATACAGTCAGAGGAATGAGTGATCAGAGAAGGACTATTATACAACAAATTTTTGAGAAAATATGTTTTAAAATGTTAGAACTTTTCATCACTTTTCTCTGTACCACTCAGTTTACCTGCATCAGTATTTTTCTCTCAGCAAACTGGATTCCTTTCACTGTTCTCTCTGGTAGGGCTACTGATGGCTTCCAAACTTAACATATTAAAGCTTCAGGTACTATAAAGAGTCAAGGTGAATCTCTTGGAAAGTAACTCATTGACCCAGTTGGGTCAGCTGCCAACTCCTGGGTCAATTAATGCTGGCATAGTAGTTCTTATAGAAACCACAAGATAGAATGTGAGTCCCTGTTGAAGGTAAAGGACAGTTTCTAGAAGAAAGTTTTGGAATGATATTTTCAGAAGAATGGGATGGTGACAGAAAATAAAAAAATAGCTTTCTATTTTAGAAATGAAAGATAAATACCAATATAAGGAAAATATTAATAAAAATGACTGACATTAAATATAATTTTATCTGCTTTATTAATGTGTAATTACAAAAAGTAAAAGTAAGCATTTTAAGTGTAGTTTGATGAATTTTTATGAACTTATATACTTAAGTTTCAATCACTACAGTCATGATGTAGACTATTTCAGCATCCCCAAAAGTTCTCTAGTGCCTCTTTGCAGTCAATCTCTTTTATTTACTTCCTAGTTCCTGACAACCACTGATCTGCTTTCTATTACTAAAGCTTTGTTTTTTTCTAGGATTTCATAGAAATGAAGTCATACAGTATGTAGTCTTTTTTGACTGGCTTTATTCACTTAGTATAATCCTTTGAGTTTCATCCACATTGTTGTACTGCATTAGCCGTTCTTTCTTTCTTTCTTTCTTTCTTTCTTTCTTTCTTTCTTTCTTTCTTTCTTTCTTTCTTTCTTTTTTTTTTTTGAGACAGAGTCTTACTCTGTTGCCTAAGCTGGAGTGCAGTGGCACAATCTTGGCTCACTATAGCCTCTGCCTCCTGGGCTCAAGCCATCCTCCTACGTCAGCATCCCAAGAAGCTGGGACTACAGGTATCACACCCCACTAATTTTTGTATTTTTTGTAGAGACAGGGTTTCACCATATTGCACAGGCTGGTCTTGAACTCCCAGACTCAAGCTATTGACTCACCTTGGTCTCCCAAAATGTTGAGATTACAGGCGTGAGCCACCATGCCCAGCCCCTTTCCTTTTTATTGTTGAAAATATTCTATTATATGGATATAATACATTATTTGTTCATTCATCAATTGATGGATTTCCAGTTGTTTCCTGCTAGAGTGTAATTGATATTTGTGTATTGATCTTGTAATACACATCTTATTAGTTATGAGTTTTTTTTGTAGATTTCTTCCTACATAGATAATCATGCCATCTGCAAATAAAGCTGGTGTAGTTCTTCCTTTTCAATCTGTATGTCTTTTATTTCTTTTAGTTCTCTTATTGCCTAGGCTAGTTCCTTTAGTACAGTGCTGAATATAAATGGTGACAGTGGACATTCTTATTTCCAGTCTCAAGAGGAAAGTATACAGCTTTCTACTATTAAGAATAATGTCAATCAGTTTTTTTTTAAATACACTCTATCAGGTTGACAAAATTCCCTTCTTTTCCTAATTTGCTGAGAGTTTTTTTTTATCAGTGGATATTGAATTTTGTTAAATGCATTTTCTGCATCTATCAAGATGATTTTATGGTTTTTCTTCTTTACTCACTAATTATGATGAATTACATTTATTGATTAAAAAAGTTAAACCATATCTGGGATAAACATCACTTGGTCATAGCATATTATTCTATTTATATATTGTTGTATCCATTTTGTTAATATTTTATTAAGGATTTTGTGTCTATTTTCATGAGAGATATTGGTCTATAGTTTTTTTTTGTTCAATGTGCTAAGATTCTGATTGTTATTGCACTGGATCTGTAGTCAATTTGGAGAGAACTGACATCTTGGTCTAGTTTTGCTAACAAGCTATTGGTTTCTTCTCAAAATGAATTAGGAAGTATTCTCTTTTTTATTTTTAAATGAGTTAGTGTGGAATTAGTATTACTTATCCCTTAATTGTTTTGTAGAAAGGAGTTCTATTTGAGGAAAGGGTTTTAACTACAAATTCAATTACTTTAACTGATATAAGGCTATTCAGGTTATACATCTCTTCTCTAGTGGCTCTGGTAGTTTGTATCTTTCAGTGATTTTGTTGTTATTGAAGCTAAGTTGTTGAATTCATTAGTGTAAGTTGTTTATAATATTACTTTATTATTTTAACGTTTGTAGAATCTCCAGTAATATTCCCTTTTTCATTTCTGATATTGAAAATTTGTGTCTTTTCTTTTTTCTTGATTAGTCTAACTAGAGGTTTATCCATTTTATTATAATTAAATAATCAACTTTTAATTATAACTTTAATACAATTAAAAAGGTTTAGACTTTTGTAATTAAAATTGCAATAGAAATATAGACATCTGTGGATTAAAAAGTTTATAGAATGATGGTTCTGAACTAGAGCAATACATTTGTAATTTATTATTTTTTCTCCTGTTTTTATAGATCAAAGGTAACACTGCTTTCTTCAAAGTTATTTTTTTTTTACCATTTGCTAACATATTTATAAAATATAGAAATAAGCTTCTATATTGTCATTCTATATACCTGACAAGGTTAACTTTTTACAATTTTCACACTTTTACCGTAGCAATCATAGTGAAACATTTCCTCTTCTTGTACAAAATGTGACATTCTCCATCTTCAAATTTCAAACCAAGATTGATGGACTCCCATGAAAAATCTGTGCTCCAAATAATTCAACATACTCTTCAAACCTCTGACAAAATCTTTGACCCATTTTATTTTTTCAAAGTCAGTTTCATAGTGATGTGTTAATATGTGCATCTGTGTGGGTGTGTGTGTGTGTCCATCCATGTTCATTAACAGGCATACATGCATATGTGTAAAACTGAAGAAACAAGGTTTTTCCCCATGAGATAGCCTCATCCTGGAGAATATAAGGGATTCTTATAAGAGCTTTTACAAGTAGTAATATCAAGGTAGTATTTTAATCTCTTGGTTAAGAACAGACAGATATTTAGAGACTATCACTTTCAGCGAGGCCCTTGGCAGGCCAAGGGGACATATGCTGAAGAGGGGTAGAGGAGAGCGAAAGGGATAAATACAATTCTGTATAATAATGCAAATCAATAACCCCATGGTGAGAAGGAGCTTTCAAATGAAGAAAACTCCTTTTGCTCCTTGTTATAGGATTAGGCCATACTGTCTTTAAAAATTAATATTTTCCTTTGAAAGATGTGTTTCTATGTGGGGTGTGTGTGTGTGTGTGTGTGTGTGTGTGTGTGTGTATGCATGCATGTGTATTTGAAACATTCACTGGGAGGGAACTGCATATAAAACTAAACCCGGAGAGCCCATACTGATCCTGGATTGTTCTGGGGGATTTGGGTTGTCAAAGATCACCACAAAGTATCCTGTTAGAGGCTCAGGGCTTTTTTTTTTTTAAACTGAACTCACTGGCAAAAATGAACTTCTTGAGGGAAAAGCATGGATGATAGAATGGTATCACCTCTGGTGAGTGTTAGTTAGAAGTTTCTTGAACACTAGAGAGAGTTGAAGGAAGGATAAATTCTTGACAGTAGCACAGACTGTACAACAAGGCATCAAGATGGAGAACTAGGGACATCATGAATATACAACATTTGCTTACTTTTTCCTGGTACTACGGGAGAAGTCATGTTTAGCATTCACTATACATGGTTTCAATATTACCTTGAATTGTCTTTAATTAACCAACTTCAGGAAATTTGAGATCATTCATTCATTTGTATGTAGTGAATTTGTGTGTAGAGAACAAATAGAGGTGCTCAAATGGAATTTTGGTCTGTCCCCAATTCAGCCAGGGGTAGGGTCCCTGTAGATAGGGTAGCAGCTGTCAAGGATGTGTGTTCAGGAAATCCAGGCAGCAGGAGAGTGAGCAGTGGTTCATGGCATAGTTGTAGTCACAGAAGGGCACGTGACTGAGGGACGAAATTCAGCGTGGGCAACTCACGAGGACTCTAAGAACCTCATCTTCTCTAGTCCTTCTCTTTTCATGGGTAGACCTGTTCATTTCCCCACCCGCCCACCCACACACCTCTCACATACATTTATACTGAACTGTGTACTTGACTGTATATCCCTTCTGTTGGATTATAAAATACTTAAAGACAGAGCCTGTATCTTTTATTTAATATGCACTATTTAATCTGAAATTTAATATTTAATATTAATATTTTATACAGTTCTATATATTCTGATGTATCTTAATAAATACTTGTTTAGTGAGTAATTTTTTAAAATTATATTTAAGGAATTGTTTAGGTCATTTCTCTTCAGGGTTCCTTCCTCTCTCTCCCTCCCTTCTTTCATTCTTCCTTTCCTTCTTTCCTCCCTCCCTCCCTTACCACCCCCTTTCTTTTCTTTCTAACTTTTTTGTTTATAAGAGTTTAATGTTGGTTCAGGTCATAATTTATACAATTTACTTTGTATTTCTTTTCTGATTTCTATGTCCTAGTAAAGGATAGCATTTTAAAAGTCTTTTTCCAGAGGTTGTAGTTATGTTATTTTCAAGTCCATCCCTTGATTCAAGTAAGTAGGATTGCCTTTAAATAGGCTATTATTTGATATCTGCCAAAGGCATTGAAGAGTCTTAAAATTATGGCCCAGTAAACTCTCTTGCTTGATATTATACCAATGTTAATCCACAGAAAGTCAAAGGTTTTTCACTTGCAAATTTGATTTTAAATGAATTTTTATTGAACCCACCCCACCCGCAATTTCTTGGCTTATGAATCCTCTTATGAACCTGCCTGTCTTAGCAAAAAAATAAGAACAGTGCTCTAGAACTGCAGCAGTTTATTCTATATTTTTTCAATTATATTTTTGCCCTGTGTGTTAGGGATCATGAACTATAGTATTCATTACTTGTATGATTTGATACTTTTATGAAATAAAATCTTTTAAAGATAAAATTTGCAGAATATTTTAAAATGTCAGTATAATAATATTCTTACTATATTCTCTTGTAACAATGTATATGGTTGGTGTGGGCACAGAAAGAAGAGTGGGAAAAATTCTTATGTCAGTGCTGGGTCAGTAACAGTGGAGGATAATAGGAAGGCAATGGGACAGTATCAGGTTCAGACCTTTGCAAGTTAACTGAAATCTTGATCACTGTTAAAGGGAATTTCCATCTTGGAGACTAGTGTCCAGAACATGCATGTTGGGGAGATAATACTTGGGTCATGGCCATGTGTGTGTGAGTGTGTGTGTGTGTGTGTGTGTGTGTGTGTGTGTGGTTTCAATATACAGGTGCAGAAAAAATCCTGAGAGAGATGGAAATGGTTGTTCTACAGGCTGTAAACGATGGGAAGTCCAGTGACCTTACTTGGAGAGGAATGAGAGAGGGGGAGGAATGGAAAGGGAATTTCTCTACTAGAATATGTGTCTCACTCTGATAATTACATATTCAAAAATGTCCATTATTGGAATATCTGTCCATCATATGCATGCATTCACATCAATATTATCCATTCATCCATCCACCCATCTATCCCTCCATCCATCCATTCATTCACTTATCCATTTTCTGTTCATTCACTGATCCAAATGCTGGGAAATTGCATGATACCTTTTTACTGTTAATCTCCAGAATGATCTGTCATTCCAGGCTGATTACATTCTGCTTTTCCCTTCTTAAGGTTTTGTGTTTTTTCATTTTAACATTGAAAAATATGTATCTTTAAGCTTATAAAATAAATACATGTTTAAAACCAAGGAAATGCAAAATAGTTTAAAGAATATTGAGAAGAAACTAGGGGAAAGAATTACTACAAATCCACTACACAAATAAAAACACTGCTAACATTTTCATTTAGTGTTTCTCTTTTTAAATGAGTTAGAAAGTTGCAATCAAATCAAAACCACAATGAGATATCATCCCACCCTTGTTAGAATGGCTGTTATAAAAAATAGCAAATGCTTATGAGGATGTAGAGAAAAAAAAGAACTACCATAAGATCCAGCAATCCCACTTCTGAGTATATATACAAAGGAAAGGAAATCAGTATTTCAAAGGGATACCTGTACCCTGTGTTTATTGTAGCACTATTTACAATAAGCAAGATATGGAATCAACTTAAATGTCCATCAACAGATAAATGGATAAAGAAAATGTGGTATATACACACAATGGAATGCTATTCAGCCATAAGAAAGAATCAGATCTGATCCTTTGCAGCAATGTGGATGAGTCTAAGGGACATTATGTTAAGTGAAGTAAGTCAGGCACAGAAAGACAGAAGCCACATGTTTTCACTCACATGTAGGAGCTAAAACATTCCTGATCTCATAGAGGTAGAGAATAGAATGATAGACACCAGAGCCTGGGAAGGGTATGTGGGTGGGGTGCAGAAGTATGAAAAAGAGGGGTTGGTAGGGGTAAAAAGCTGCATTTCTATAAAAAGCAATTCATAAGCTGATAAACTTTCTGTGCGTTCTTGAGATCCCATGTGACAACATATAGCTGATTTAAGCAGAAAAAAAAAAAAGTTTACTACTGGGCTGCTCTTTTAGCAACCCCACAGCTCCCATCAGGCACAGGTACTGCAAAGTGTACCAGTGAACTTCTGTCAGTACTTCTGACAGCTCGATGTGTCTGCTCTCACCTTAGCAGATAGAACATGTCCTGTGAGATGTCTACCTTTTCACATTGCATTTGAATAGCATATTCGCAAGGGTGATTCTGATATCATAGCCAAATCATCCTTGTACCCTGACTGCAGGAGAAACTGGGAAAATAAGTTCCTGGCATAGACTCAAAATGTGTCAAATTCTTCAGATAGAAGCACTTTAAAAAGTACTAGTGAGCCCAAAGCATGAAAAATGTCCACCAAAATTTTCCCTTGACTGTCCTATGTCTATTGTCCCTCTTTCTCTCTCTCTTTTTTTAAGACTTGTAACCAATATCAACAATAGCAAAAACTAAGTGTTCTAATCTGAGTTAGTGCAACAAACTCCCAAACAAATCTGATACACCCTTTCTCCAAAAGGAAGACAGTATAAAATTCATTGGTTTTCACGTCCAGTTCCATGTCCAGCATCTTTAGCTTGTGACCATTTCTCCCCTACCTTCATCGTGATCCTGTGTTGATTTTCTATTTTTATTTTTATTTTTCGAGGGGGAGTCTTGCTCTATAACCCAGGCTGGAGCATAGTGGCATGACCTTGGCTCACTGCAACCTCTACCTTACAGGATGAAGCAATTCTCCTGTCTCAGCCTCTCGAGTAGCTGGGATTTCAGGTGCATGCCATCACCCCTGATGATTTTTGTATTTTTAGTTGGGACAGGGTTTTACCATGTTGGCCAGGCTAGTCTTGAATCCTGACCTCAATGATCTATGTGCCTCGGCCTCCCAGAGTGCTGGGATTACAGGCATGAGCCAGGGCACCTGGCCCTGTGTTGATTTTCTATAACATATGGACTAAATTGTAAAGTAAAAACCAACAATATGCTTCACATAAAAGAGCAGAAAAAAGTGAATAGAAGAAAATTAAAAAAATTATAGCTATAAACATTAAAATAAATAGAAATTTTGGATGTATACTGTAGTCCTCATTTCTGCAGAAAGATTATGTGGCAATGGTTATTTTGGTCTCCCTCTTCCTATCGCATCTGATTTTTAAATTAATGGTCAATAGCACCAATACCTCTTTTTTTCCAATATTATTAAAGTATGGAACTAAGCCTTTTTCACATTCAGAATGTAACTAATCTGAATCAGTTTTGAGACTTTGTATCCTGGTGATGTATGCAGACTTCTCCTGCATTTGAATATTCTATGACATAAATATTTCAGAAGATTTAGAAATGTCTACTCCCTTTAATTGCAGTCCTAGTGTGTGACTATCTTCTACACTTAAAAAATAACTTTTATTTTTATTGCAGCATCATGTGCATTCTTTGAAGATAGTGTTGTAACCGTTAAGAATTCAAATTTAAGTTAAAATTAAACCTGTTCTGGTGTTATGAACTTAAAAAAACCTCAACTGAGGATGATAATCAGAAAGCAGATTATATGGATGTCTTAGAACACTTGGGACTATTTTAATTTATTCATCTGGGTGATAATAGGTACATTTTCTTGAAATTAGATTATGAAACGCATGGCAGTTTTAGGCATTTTTAAATGTAGAAAGCATGCATCTTATTATGCAGTAGTCCCCTCTTATCCACGGTTTTGCTTCCCACAGTTTCAGTTACGGTATACTACAATAAGATATTTTGGGAGAAAGAGAAAGAGAGATCACATTCACATAACCTTTATTATACTATATTGTTATAATTGTTTTATTTGAATATTAGTGTTGTTAATCTCTTACAGTGTCTGATTTATAAATTAAACTTCAAGTATGTGTATATATACACAAAAAAATTATATATAGGGTTTGGTGCTACCTGCAGGCATTTGCTGGGGGTCTTGGAACATAACCCTTGTGGGTAAGGAGGGACTACTACGGTAATACAAACCAGATAACTAAGGAGTCATAGCTCTGAAATTAATGAATGTTAGTATGCCTCTTCCATCTGTACCTTTACCGAAGCTTCCTTTTAGAATAAAAGGGCCTAAAGCAAACATGAGACTTAATTTTCGAAATAAAAACTTATTCCTGCCCTGAAAATAGACCCATAAGAAAGATAAAAAGAGAGCTTGTGAAGGGTAAACCTCAATCATTCCGTGTTTATGAAGGGAACTTTCAGCAGTTGAACCAAAAACAGTTCATGAAGTGCAGCATAGTGTAGTGGGAAAAGATCAGGGGCTATGAAATGAGAGAGACACACACCTCTATCCTCGCCCCACTATTTAATAGCTGTATGGCCTCGGATAAAGCATTTGACTGCTCTAAGACACCCCCATCTTTTTTATTCTTTTCTTTTTCTTTTTTAGAGATAGGGCCTTGCTCTGTTGCCCACACTAGAGACTAGAGTGCAATGGCGTGATCATAGCTCACTGTAAACTTGAACTCCTGGGCTCAAGGGATCCTCTCTCCTCAGTCTACTGAGGAGCTGGGACTACAGGTGCCATGCCCAGCTAATTTTTATTATTTTAATTTTTTTGTAGAGATGGGGTCTTGCTATGTTGCCCAGGCTTGTCTTGAACTCCTGGCCTCAAGCCATCCTCTCACCTCTACTTCCCAAGGTGTTGGGATTACAGTGTGTGCCACTGAGCCCAGTCTGGTTTCTTTATTTATAAGATGAAATCATTATACCTTGTTTATTGGTGAGTCACAGGCATAGGAGGTAATTATATGTGCTGGGTGCCAAGAATAGTGCCAGGAACCTGACATATACTTGGATAAAATAGCAGTTGAATTAATTTACCTCCTGGCTCCTCATTTCCTCATCTGTCGGTCTTAAAATCTCTGTCTTCCAGAGCTGTTGTGAGGACAAGAGAGAACTACTGCAGGGTGTGTATCAAGTGTTTAGCCTTTAGTAAATAGCAGTTATTATTATGTTGTTATTTTCCAGATAGCCTCTGGATAAGGAAAAAAATGCCACTTCTTTTTGGTCTAAACTTGAAAAGTTAATCATTTATTGCTTTGATGTTATAAAATTGACATCATCAAAGTTAGCCAGAATATAGGATAGTCAACTGAGAAGGGGCAAGGCAAAATGGAGGTGCTGACCTTTACAGAGGGTTAACATACCAAGCTGGAGACAGTTAGGGAAGAATCATGCTGTGGAGGTGTGAGAGTTCAGTCAGGCTTGTGAGAAAAGTTTTTTTTTTTAATTTTTTTAATTTAATTTATTTTATATATACATTTTTAATTATACTTTAAGTTTTAGGGTACATGTGCACAACGTGCAGGTTTTTACATATGTATACATGTGCCATGTTGGTGTGCTGCACCCATTAACTTGTCATTTACATTAGGTATATCTCCTAATGCTATCTCTCCCCACTCCCCCCATTCCACAACAGGCCCTGGTGTGTGATGTTCCCCTTCCTGTGTCCAAGTGTTCTCATTGTTCAATTCCCACCTATGAGTGAGAACGTGGTGTTTGGTTTTTTGTCCTTGCGATAGTTTGCTGAGAATGATGGTTTCCAGCTTCATCCATGTCCCTGCAAAGGACATGAACTCATCATTTTTTATGGCTGCTTAGTATTCCATGGTGTATATGTGCCACATTTTCTTAATTCAGTCTATCATTGTTGGACATTTGGGTTGGTTCCAAGTCAAAGATAACTATAAGAAATAGGAATAAACCTTCTTGGAAGGCCAGGGGGTTTCATAAGCTCCAGTAATAGATCTGGCTGAAGGCAGCCTAATCTTTACCTTGAATAAATAACTTAGAGTAGGAACAAAGGAATGTAAGGGAGTTTATCTAAATAGCTTGTTTACTCATGTGGTCCTAAAACTAATCTTTGATCATTTGTGGGCAAGATGGCTCTCTCAAGGGGAAGGTGACCAGGTTAATTACCCTCTAGTGTTGTTGACTGAAAGCCTTTGTGATTTAATGTATGCTGAATAAATGCTGGTAGGGCCAGCTAGTCAGGGCTGTTGCTGCTACAACTCTTTTGGTCAGCAGCCTGGTCCCCTGGCCTGCTCTTTCGCTGAGTATTGGTGTCTGAGTATGTTATTCATCCGTTGTGCAGCTGGGGTCTGCGGGACAGACCCTGGCATGGAGGCACAGTGGACCATGGTATTTGGTGAATTGCTTACTGAGTGGTAAGATAAAACCAATAACTCATAGAGTAGGCTCTGATGATGAGATGAGTAACCACCTTAGTCTGAGAGAATAACTTAAGGTTCAAGACATAATTGGGTCAAATTTCTACAGAAATTCTAGCCTGCCCCATGGCCTTTTATTTTTCGCAATAGTGACAAAGGGTGACAGGATAACTTTCCCAGCTGACTCAGATGCCTTGTGTGTTAGAAGCTGTTATTTCTAATGAGGAAATTATTCATAGGTTTTTCTGGAAGTGTGGGGTGTATAAGCATATTCACAATCTCTGGCCTCCACGGAGGCATTTATTATCAAAAAGAGAACAAATTCCAATCAAGCAACAACAGGTGATCTTTCCAAATGCAATGCCCTCTGTCATTATATCCCCACTTCCAGCCTGAGCGCTTCTCCTTGGGGAGAGACTCAGGTGATGTATTTTTGCTGCAGAAGGGGTCACTCATTTTATAAGTCAGGTTCTTTTAGTTCAATTCAATTTGAATTAACTAGGCCAAGAGGTGAATTTATGCACTCATAAAACTGGGAAGGGCAGGAGTGTAACTAGATGCCCAGACCAGAAGCTATGCCACACCAACTTTCTTTCTTTCTTTCTTTCTTTCTTTCTTTCTTTCTTTCTTTCTTTCTTTCTTTCTTTCTTTCTTTCTTTCTTTCTTTCTTTCTCTTTCTTTCTCTTTCTTTCTTTCTTTCAATGGAGTTTTTGCTCTTGTCGCCCAGGCTGGAGTGTAATGGCACCATCTCTGCTCACTGCAACCTCTGCCCCCTGGGTTCAAGCAATTCTCCTGTCTCAGCCTCCTGAGTAGCTGGGATTACAGGCACTCGCCACTACGCCTGGCTAATTTTTGTAATTTTAGTAGAGACAGCGTTTCACCATGTTGGCCAGGCTGGGCTTGAACTCCTGACCTCAGGTGATCCACCCACCTTGGCCTCCTAAAGTGCTGGGATTACAGGCGTGAGCCACTGTACCCAGCCCCAAATTTCTCTTTCAACATTTGTCTTTGTTTCTCTATACTTGTTGATTTCATTCTTTTCCACTGCAAAGAGGTGAAAGCCAGGTAAAGCACATCCTTTTATTTCCAATTTGAAAAGTCCTTCGGCTGGATTCTGGTTTCTTTCACAAACTTAGCCATTAATCATGAAGACGAGGTTAGTTCCTGCTATGGTATGAAAGTTTGTGCCTCCTGCAAAATTCCTATCTTGAAGCCTAATCAGTAACATGATGGTCTTAGAAATGGGGCTTTCTGGAGGTCATTAGGTCATAAAGGCTCTGCACCTCCTGAATGGGACTAATGGCCTTATAAAAGAGGCCCCAGAGAGCTTTCTTGCCCATCTGCCAGGTGAGGACAAAGAAACAAGTCACCATCTATGAAACAGAGCCATCACCAGACAATCTGCTGGTGCCTTGATCTTGGACTTCTCAGCCTCCAGAACTGTGAGCAAAAAACTTGTTTACAAACTACCCAGTCTAAGTAGTTCCCATTTAGATTGCATGTTGTGGAAGATGATA
The DNA here is from genome assembly GCF_000001405.40 of Homo sapiens. NCBI lineage: Eukaryota > Metazoa > Chordata > Mammalia > Primates > Hominidae > Homo > Homo sapiens. Next base: position 183,284,761 of record NC_000002.12, read on the forward strand.
TTACTCAAAAGAAGGGAATGGGGCACTGGTAGACATTCCTCAGAAATGGCCCCTGAGGGATTATGTGGGCTGAGTAATCTGCCTCCACAGTCAATGGTTACCACCTTGTATCTGTGACTTATTTCCTGTACATTCTATTAGAGATGAGTCTTATGACTCTTGTACTTGTTCAAGCAAATATTTTTTGAACACTTACTGTGTCCTTGGCTTTGGGAAGGCTTTGGAGATGCAAAAATTGGTTTGACACGGTCTCCATCTACAGAGATACACACACATCTGCTCATAACCCAGGAAGTGCAGGAATTACACAACCATTACTGCAAGGCTCTGACTAATATTTGGAAATTTAACTGTGCAATTAAACTATTCTAATCATAGCTTTAATTTATAACGATTTTCCTTTCTGTGTTTTTTTTTTCATCTAGTTTCTTTGTAGATCAAACTGAACTCAACTGAGCTTATAGCTGTGAAATCTGAGTGTTTGGTTGAATTCTCTTTTCCCGTAGCCTCAAGAAGCCGTGTAGTACATGTAGCACTTTGTGGGCTAGTTTCCCTGGTTACACTTGTGCATTTTGCCAGACCCTCAGAAAGATGTGATCTCTAATTAACCTTAAAATTAAAGGGCCAACAGCAAGGATTTCATAACTCAGAAGGAGAGGCAGAAAATATTCTGAAAAATGTAAATCTAAGGTGACACTTGTAAATTCACTGAGATAGTACAATATTATGGGATTTCAAAAGGACAAGAAACAACAAAGCACCAATATTAGAATGGCAATTGGCTATATATATTTTTCAGCTCAATCCTCGCGTCTAAAAACTCTGAAGAAATTTTTTTAAAAAGGTTTAAAAATGTATTTAGCCCAACATCTTTTACGGTAGATGTTAAGTAGTACATTGAAAATGGAATCTACCCTCAAAGAATTATCGATTGCCTATTTTGACCCGTCTCCTTTTCATGTCTTGGGAATTCATTTCATTATGGTTTTACAAAACTACGTTATTCTCCAAAGCCAAAATGAATACTTTTTCATGCTTGACTCATGATTTTGAATTATAAAATTGGGTGGATGTGGTACTTTAATCCTCCAGTTTATATTGCACTTTTTTTTTTTTTTTGCCAAAACGGGGGAATAACTTGCAATTAATGGGATCATTGATTCCAATACATGGAATTTTTGTGGATGGATTTAAATATTTACTTTCATGACCAAATGAAAGAATGGACAATCAGGCATTTGAAACCTACAAGAAAAGAAGGAAGGAAAGTTCTCTTGATAGGGAACCCTGGGAAAGTTAACAATCTAGACTCAGGAATAGGTGCTGTGAAGAAATGAATTCATATATACATGAATTCTTTATATATATTTATATATTATATATTATATATATTTATATATAATACAATATATAATATATAAATATATATAATATATATATAAATATATATAATATATAATTATATAGTATATAATATATAATTATATAATATATAATATATAATTATATATATATAATATATAATTATATATATATATAATATATAATTATATATAAATATAATATATAATTATATATAAATATATATAATATATAATTATATATAAATATTTAAAAGGAAAGCAAAACATATTCAGACATTTTCTTATAGTGAATCAAACATTTTAGACTGAAATTAGCCCGCATCTCCCCTTTATGCCTGACGTTTTTTCTTTTTATCTTTTACGTGGCCTTCCTGTTCTTTTGGTTGTTTCTGAGTTAGCTCAGCATAAATACCTAGGAAGCGAAATATCTGAAGGGTTTATTCCTGTGAAAAGCCAAGATTAAAGTAGATTCTTTATGCTTTCGAATTAGTTGGCCTCTTTAATATGTTGCCAGTACAACAAATTTATTCAGCCTCTATAGATTCTTCATGGCTTTCTCATTTCTTCGCCTTTCCCAACATAACTTCTGTTTCATGGTGAATGAAACCTTGCTTTCAGCAATTTCAAAATAACTTCACCTTATCCACATGATTTTAGGGATCAGAGACGAGGAGATTAAATATTAACCTTCAGATGCATTGTTCATGCTGACACTCAGACAAATCTGACTTTTCTGGGCTGATGTTCGGCAGGGGGTCCTTTTTTTTTTTTTTTTTTTTTTTTTTTTTTAGCCCTAAGCTATAAATTATGGAATTTATGCAAAATTAAGGTTTCCTGTGTGTGAAATTAAATATAAAATGAACCCTGGAAATTTGGCAAGGTATTCTTTGTTATTAAGCAAGTGAAGAAAACTCCTCTCATTACAAACTTGGGGGCATTTTGTTCTTTTTATCTTCTTATACCTTTGTGCCACTCTGTCTTTTACTAGCTTTTTTTTTTTTTTTTTTTTTCCTAGTGACTGGTACAAGGGAGCAGGTGTTCCTAACAGTAAATTCTACGTCGCTGATGGGGTGGTTAGTTTCTCTGAGATTTTTTGACATCTTTGTAGATCGTCTTATAGCTATAGAACTTTTTTTCCCACTCTGATACATGGATTGTGAAGTCACTGTGTCAACTCTGTTTTAATACCTGCTGGTTATTGTGGCTTGTAGAAAACTATGTTATGACCACTGTGTACAGATTGCAGTACTGACTTAGATTCTACTCACAGGTAGAATTGCATATTATGTTTGACCAAAATAACTAGAGTTAAGATCATGGTTAGTAGTTAAATTATTTTTTAATTCTTCCACTGTAATTCACTTGTGAGAGGAATACATTTAATGTAGGAATGTAGGAATACATTTAAATGAAGGACATATACCCTTCATTTAAATAATGGTATTTTATTCTTCCTAGAAGCATATAAATTTGCTTTCTCCTACAGAGCTCAAAGATTATACCAAACTATCATCATTTATCCTGAGGTAAGAGTAGTGTTATCTTTATTTTTTATTTTATTTAATTTTTTTTTTTGAGACAGAGTCTTGCTCTGTCGCCCAGGCTGGAGTGCAGTGGTGCCATCTTGGCTCACTGCAAGCTCCGCCTCCCGGGGTCACGCCATTCTCCTGCCTCAGTCTCTCGAGTAACTGGGACTACAGGCACCCGCCACCATGCCCAGCTAATTTTTTTGTATTTTTAGTAGAGACAGGGTTTCACCGTGTTAGCCAGGATGGTCTCGATCTCCTGACCTCATGATCTACCTGCCTAGGCCTCCCAAAGTGCTGGGATTACAGGCATGAGCCACCACGCTGGCCTGTGTTACCTTTATTTTAATCACTGGCAGAGCTGAGGATCAGAGCTTTGGCAACATTTCTTGAATTTTTATTTCATGTACAACTTGGGCTTCTAGATAGGTTTTCGTCTAGTTTACTTTTTCTCCCTTTTACGTAATATATGATGTTTATTATTTTTTTGCAGAAAAAAATATCTGCCTTTTTCTTAGAAGATTGAGATAGTAAAAATTTAAGTTTAGTAAACTGGCAGACTGACAATTTTAAATCTCTCGTAGGAATATATAATCCTTTTTGTCGATATTGGGGGCTCAGAACATGATCCCCACAGTGCATCGGCAAGCTGAGTACTTTGAACTGAAGGAGATGGGAACAGTTTCAGAAGCAAGGTCTTTCTGACTTTCTGCCCTCCTGTCTTCCACTGCTCTTTCTCCCTTTGAAGTGAGTTATAGAAACCAGAACTTTTTCCCCAGAAGGAGTCATAGAAACTAGATTCTCTTTCCTAGGGAGAAAGGAGACTCTCTCTCTCCTAGGGAGAAAGGAGAAACTAGACTCTCTTCAAGGACCTAGGGAGAAAGGAGAAGGGAGTGACCTCTCTAGGTTTTTTGACTTGTTTGAGTGTCCTACCCCACATCCTGGAGGAAGGAATGTTACACGGAGAGATCAAGAGGAATCTCAGCTGACCAGACCTTATAGACCATACCCTCTGTTGAATTACATTCCTACATGGCTGTCCATTCTTCATCAAATCTACACATAAAAATAAAAACTTTATTTCTGAAGTCTCCCACATCATGTAAAACTTTGATTAAATAAATTTGTTTTGTCTATTGCTATACAAATGTTGGCTGTAATGGGTGAGGAAAGGTAGCATGCATTTTTGCCCCAATGTTGGCATTTTTCTTCACTTTCAAAGACAGGCACTCTTATATCTCTATTTTCTTAGGCTTTGGGCACTGTCACAATACAGGCTTATCTTGTTTTATTGCACTTTGAAAATATTGCATTTTTTACAAACTGAAGGTTTGTGGCAACCCTACATCAAGCAAGTCTATTGGTGATATTTTTCTAACAGCATGTGCTCACTTTGTGTCTCTGTGTCACGTTTTGGTATGCCTCATAATATTTCAAATATTTTCATTATTATCATACTGATTATGGTGATCTGTGATGAGTGATCTTTGATGATACTATTGTCATTGTTTAGGGGCACCATGAATTGTGCCTATAAAAGATGGTGAACTTAATTGATAAATGTTGTGTGTGTTCTGACTGCTCCACCCATTGGCTATTTCCCTTTCTTTCCCCTCAGGCCTCCCTATTCCTTGAGACACATAGTATAAAATTAGGCTAATTCATAACCCTACCATGACTCCAAGTGTTTAAGTGAAAGAAGAGTTGCAAATCTCTCACCTTAAATCAAAAGCTACAAATAATTAAATTTAATGAGGAAGGCAAGTGGAAAGCTGAGATAGGCCAAAAGCTAGGTGTCTTGAGACAGACAGTTAACCAAGTTGTGAATACAAAGAGTTCTTGAAGGAAGTTAAAAGTGTTACTCAAATAAAATGATAAAAAGCCATAAGCAATCTTATCGATGACAGGGAGAAAGTTTTAGTGGTCTGAACAGAAGATCAAACCAGCCACAACATTCCCCTAAACCAAAGCCTAATCCAGAGGAAACTTCCAACTTTCTTCAATTCCATGAAGGCTGAGAGAGGTGAGGATGCTGCAGAAGAAAAGTTGGAAGCTAGCAGAGGTTGGTTCATGAGGTTTAAGGAAAGAAGCTGTCTCCATACATAAAAATGTAAGGTGAATCATCAAGTGCTGATGGAGAAGCTGCAATAAGTTATCCAGACAATCTAGCTAAAATAATTGATGAAAGTGGCTACACTAAATAACAGATTTTCAATACAGACAAAATAGCCTTCTATTGGAAGAAGATGCCACCCTGGGCTCATAGCTGAGAGGAAAAGTCAATACGTGGCTGCAAAGCTTCAAAGGATGGGCTGAGTCCCTTGTTAGACACTAATATAACTGACGACTTTAAGTTGAAGCCCATCCTCATTTACCATTCTGAAAATCCTAGAGCTCTTAATAATGATGCCTAGAGCCCTTAATAATGATGCTAAATGTACTCTGTCTGTGCTCTATAAATGAATCAACAAAGCTTGGGTGACAGTATATCTGCTCACAGTATGGTTTGCTGAATATTAAAAACCCGTTGTTGAGATCTGCTCAGAAAAGGAGTTTTCTTTCAAAAGATCATTGCTCCTTGACAACGCATCTGGTCATGCAGAAGTTCTGAAGGAGATTAATGTTGTTTTCATGCCTGCTGTATTAGCTCGTTCTCACACTGCTATAAAGACACTACCTGAAATGGGGAAATTTATAAAGAAAGGAGGTTTAATTGATGAACAGTTTTGCATGGCTGGGGAGGGCTCAGGAATCTTAGAATCATGGCAGAAGGGGAAGAGGGACATCTTACATAGCAGCAGGTGACAGAGTGTGTGAAGGAGGAACTGCAAACACTTATAAACCCATCAGATCTCGTGAGAACTCCCTCACTATCACAAGAACAGCATGGAGAAAACTGCCCCCATGATCCAATCACCTCCCATCAGGTACCTCCTTCAATACCTGGGGATTATAATTCAAGATGAGATTTGGGTGGAGTCACAGAGCCAAACCAATCTCATGCGAACACAACATCTGTTTAGCATCCCATGGATCAAGGAGTAATTTTGACTTTCTAGTCTTATTTAAGAAATATATTTTGTAAGGCTATAGCTGCCATACATAGTGTAAGGCTATAGCTGCCATACATAGTGATTTCTCTGAATCTGGGCAAGGTAAATCAAAAAACTTCTGGAAAGGATTCACCATTTTAGATGCCATTAAGAACATATGTGATTAAGAACACGGGAGTAGGTCAGTATGTCAACATTAACAGAACTTTGTAAGAAGTTAACTCCAACCTCACAGATTACTTTGATGGGTTGAAGACCTCAGTGGAGGAAGTAACTGTAGATGTGGTGAAAATAGCAAGAGAATTAGAGTTGTAAATAGAGCCTAAACATGTGACTGAATTGCTGCAATCTTATGAGCAACTTGAATAGATAAGGTGTTGCTTCTTATGAAAGAGCAAATAAAGTAGTTTCGTGAGATGGAACCTACTCCTGGTAATGATGCTGTGAACATTGCTGAAGTGAAAAAAAAAATTAGCAAGTAACTTAGTTGATAAAACAGCAGCAGGGTTTGAGAGGATCAACTCCAATTTTGAAAGTTCTTCTGTGAGTCAAATGCTATCAAACAGTATCACATGCTACAGAGAAATCTTTTGTGAAAGAGTCAATCATTGCAGTACACTTCATTTTTTTTTATCATTTTAATAAATTGTTGTAGCCACCCCAACCTTCAGCAACCACTATCCTACCCTGATCAGTCAGGAACCATCAACATTGAAGCAAGATCCTCCACTAGCAGAAAGATTAAGACTCTCTTAAGGCTCAGATAATTGTTAGCATGTTTTAGAAATAAAGTATTTTTAAATAAAGCATATGCATTGTCTTTTTAGACATAATGCTACTACACACTTAATAGACTACAGTATAGTATAAACATAAATTTTATATGAGCTGGGAAACAAAAAAAAATGTGACTCATTTTTTTGTGGTCATCTGGAACCGAGCTCACAATGTCTCCCAGGTATGTATGTATTCTCCAGGCTCTCAATAGCTTGCTAATGACTTAATGCTATTGTTCAATTACCCTAAAATGTAAGTTAGAATTAAACAAAAGCAATTTGATAATCTTTAATTTGATGGACTTTATAATACCTTAAAACAACGCATTGTTGGTTCAGGTTTTGGCTGTTTTGGTGTTCAGAGGAATATAGGACATTTTGGTGAAAATCAAAGTTAATAAAATATTTAGCACTTAAAGTATTTTTATTCTACATCCTGCTTAAAGCTTCTTTTCTTATGAGGGGCAATAGTTTTTGAAGTTTTTTTTAAATGTGTAATATTCAAAGATTCTTCAACCCCCAATAGTTTCCTGCTGAAACCTCCTGTGTTGTGCTGCAAAGGGGTCTATGATAAACAGGGTCTGTAATTCTTTGTTTGTATTTTGTCTCCTCTCTTGGCTTCCTTTATACCTTTTTCTTTTCTCTTTGACCCTGAATTCTTTTCTTATCTGGTGGAACTGCTAGAATCCCTGCTGATAAGTCTCAGCTAGAGACACTGTTTCCTGCAGCAGGGAGGAAATGTTGCAGCTCCTTCTTGATTGATAAGAGGTGCAGAGCCCTGCTGAGCAGCTGCAAAAAGCAAATCCCTGCTTCAGAAGAAGTGAGTACTCTTAAGGCATTGATCTCAACCTGAGATTTTGCCTTATTTGCAAGGTGTAAGGAAGGATGACTTGGTGAACTGAAATGGCCATTGGTCAGATGTGGTCAGATCCACTGAGGAATGATTATGCCAAGTTTAGAGGGGACCACTCACTAAGTGCTGAGATTATGGTGCTGGTCATGATCGATGCTGATAGTAAATACAGCTACATTGCCATTGTGGCCTTTATGTTGAGTTGTTTTTGTGATGACTATTATTGTTCAAGAATTGCATTTTCCAATTAATGGAAGTACTTTAGGTATATTATCTATAATAATAATTTTAAATGATAACAAATATGGAAATTAGACCAGAGCATAAAATTAAAGATATTTGAATAATTACAGTGCAATCAAGTCAAAATTACTGATGCCTTTATCTGATGCTGTATTATGTGGAAAACAGCAAAGAATATACGTGCTTTGGAAGTTGAAAGTACATCAGATTTTGACAGTAAAACTGCGTAAATTATCAAGTAGTTTGAGTAATTTTTCTCCATGAATCTTCAAGTAAAAATAATAGTTGCAAAGATGAGTTCTGAAGAAAATTGGAAGGAATAAGTCAATATTCCAAATAACTTCTTAAACATGCTTGCTCTTTGAGAACACAGTTATGTAATCTGTTTGACATAGTGCCCTAAGTAATAGTGAAATATTGTTTTTAATCTTTAAAGAAGTTATGCTAACTGACAGAACTGACCAAAGGAAAATGTAATGAATTACTTCAATAGCTTACCATATAAAATGTGTTGGTTGGTATGACTGGTATGTATAAAAATGTTGTATTATATCTTAGAAATATTTTTTATGCCATGCTATTATTGAAATGTAATAACTCAGTGGGTTTCATAGCACATATATTTATCAGTAATATATCTATGTATCTATATCTATAATACAGTTGGATACGGAGGAGTACACTATGAATATTCTACTTTCTTGAGACCCTAAATACGAAGTGAGTCAAGGACATAATTGGAATAAGATCAAATGGGAGAGAAATTTAGGCTAAAAATGAACTGCACAGGCTCATTCCTCGTTTCTTTGGTAAAGAGATCTGTCTTTTCATGTGACTATATTAAAAAGTTATTGAAGACAACTGTAGTTTTTCAGATAATGGCCCCCCAAATATGTCTATACTCTAACCCCCACATCCTATGAACATATTATGTTACATGTCATAAAGGACTTTGCAGATGTAAATAAGGGTATGAACCTTAAGGAGATTATACTGGATTATCTGGGTAAACCCAGTGTAATCACATGAGCCCTTAAAAGCAAAAGAAGAAGGCACAGGAGTCAGAGACGTGGTAGAAGAGGAAGAAAGAGGGGATGGTAAAGAAGGGGAACAAGGATCTAAGAAGGATTTAATGTACCGTAACTGGCTTTGAAATGCAGGAGCTATGTACAAGGACTAGAAAGAGACCCCATGAGCTACGGGGTGGCTCCTGGAAACAGCCTGCAAGGAAATGGGGGCCTCAGTCCTACAAAATCAAGGAACTGGATCCTGCAAAACAAGCAAACAAAAAACCTGAATGAGCTTGGAAGCGGCTTCTTCCCAGAGATTCTCAGTTGGAACCTAGCTTACCAGCATTTTGATTATTGCCCTGTAAAACCCAAATCAGAGAAACCAGCTGAGCGAACCTGGACTTGTTATCTACAGAACTGTGAGATAGTAAGTTTGTGTTGTTTTAGGCTGCTGAATTTGTGGTAACTAATTCGGGTAGTGATAGAGACTTATATAGTAGTGTATAGTAAAATGCACACATCATATGTGTACATCTTGATGAATTTTTCAACATCTATAGTGCCATGTAACCACCACCCAAGTCAAGATATGGAATATTTCCAGAACCTTAGAAAGCTCCCTCCTGTTTTTTTTCCAGTCAATATCCTTCTGTCTTTCCCCAGAGGTAATTACTATTCTGACTTTCTTCCACAGATTAATTTTGTCTGTTTTTAAGCTTCATATAAAGAAATCGTATATGTACTCTTGTGTCTGGCTTATTTTATTCATCATTATGTCTGTAAGGATTCAGTGTTGTACATAGCAATATTTCTGTTTTTTAAAATTTATTATTTTATTATACTTTAAGTTCTAGGGTACATGTGCAGGACATGCAGGTTGGTTACATAGGTATACATGTGCCACGGTAGTTTGCTGCAGCCATCAATCTGTCATCTACATTAGGTATTTCTCCTAATGCTATCCCTCCCCCAGCCCACCACCCCCTGACAGGCCCCAGTGTGTGATGCCCCCCATCTCTGTGTCCATGTGTTCTCATTGTTCAACTCCCACTTATGAGTGAGAACATGCGGTGTCTGGTTTTCTGTTTTTGTGTTAGTTTGCTAAAAATGGTGGTTTCCAGCTTCATCCATGTCCCTGCAAAGGACACGAACTCATCCTTTTTTATGGCTATATAGTGTCCCATGGTGTATATGTGCCACATCTTCTTTATCCAGTCTATCATTGATGGGCATTTGGGTTGGTTCCAAGACTTTGCTATTGTGAACAGTGCCGCAATAAACATACGTGTGCATGTGTCTTTATAATAGAATGATTTATAATCCTTTGGGTATTGTGGGCGGAAAGTCACCCAGGTGCCGAGGCAAGAGACCGAGGGCACGAGCCGTTCCAGTATAATGAAGAAAATATGTAGAATAAGAATAGTTGTACTAGAAATAGATTATAGATATGTTTACATATGAATATCATTAATCATTAGTTTGTAGCACTACTCTTTATTCCAGTATTATAATAATTGTTGCTCTACAATTATAACCTAGGAAAAACGAGGCCAAACAGAGATAGGAGCTGAAGGGACACAGTGAAAAGTGACCAGAAGGCAAGTGTGAGCCTTCTGTTATGCCTGGACAGGGCCACTAGAGGGCTCCTTGGTCTAGCGGTAACGCCAGCGTCTTGGAAGACGCCCCTTACCTAGCGGACCTTGGTCTAGCAGTAGCGTCAGTGCCTAGAGAAGACACCCATTACTTAGCAGACCAGGAAAGGGAGCTTCCCTTTCCCCCCGGGAGTTAGAGAAGACTCTGCTCCACCACCTCTTGTGGAGGGCCTGATATCAGTCAGGCCCTGACTGTGATGCTGTGTTTCAGTGGTCACGCTCCTGGTCTGCTTTCATGTTCCACCCTGTACACCTGGCTCCGCCTTTTAGACGGCAGTAGCAGAATTAGTGAAAGTACTAAAAGTCTTTGAAATGCAGAAGTAATGGCGTAAGCTGTCTCCTCTCTCTCTCTCCGCCTCCACTGCCAAACAGGGAAGGGCCCCCTGTCCAGTGGACACGTGACTCGCGTCACCTTACCTATCATTGGAGATGGCTCACACTCCTTACCCTGCCCCTTTGCCTTCTATCCAATAAATAACAGCTCAGCCTGGCATTCGGGGCCACTACTCGTCTCCGCGTCTTGGTGGTAGTGGTCCCCCAGGGCCCAGCTGTCTTTTTTTCTCTTTGTCTTGTGTCTTTATTTCTATGATCTCTTGTCTCTGCACAGGAGGAGAAAAACCCACAGACCCTGTAGGGCTGGTCCCTACAGGTATATACCCAGTAAAGGGATTGCTGGGTCAAATGGTATTTCTGGTTCTAGATCCTTGAGGAATTGCCACACTGTCTTCTTCCACAATGGTTGAAGTAATTTACACTGCCACCAACAGTGTAAGAGTGTTCCTATTTCTCCACATCCTCTCCAGCATCTATTTCCTGACTTTTTAATGATTGCCATTCTAACTGGCACGAGATGGTATCTCATTGTGGTTTTGATTTGCATTTCTCTAATGACCAGTGATGATGAGCTTTTTTTCATATGTTTGTTGGCCACATAATTGTCTTCTTGGGAGAAGTGTCTGTTCGTATCATTCGCCCACTTTTTGATGGGGTTGTTTGTTTTTTTTCTTGTAAATTTAAGTTCTTTGTAGATTCTGGATATTGGCCCTTTGTCAGATGGATAGACTGCAAAAATTTTCTCCCACTCTGTAGGTTGCCTGTTCACTCTTAAGATAGTTTCTTTTGCTGTGCAGAAGCTCTTTAGTTTAATTAGATTCCATTTGTCAATTTTGGTTTTTGTTGCCATTGCCTTTGGTGTTTTAGGCATGAAGTCTTTGCCCATGCCTATGTTTTAGATGGTACTGCATAGGTTTTCTTCTGCGGTTTTTATGGTTTTGGGTCTTACATTTAAGTCTTTAATCCATCTTGAGTTAATTTTTGTATAAGGTTTAAGGAAGGGATCCAGTTTCAGCTTTCTGCATATGGCTAGCCAGTTTTCCCAACACCGTTTATTAAATAGGGAATCCTTTCCCTATTGCTTGTTTTTGTCAGGTTTGTCAAAGATCAGATGGTTGTAGATGTGTAGTGTTATTTCTGAGGCCTCTCTTCTGTTCCATTGGTCTATATTTCTGTTTTGGTACCAGTACCATGCTGTTTTGGCTACTTGAGCCTTGTAGTATAGTTTGAAGTCAGGTAGCATGATGCCTCCAGCTTTGTTCTTTTTGCTTAGGATTGTCTTGGCTATATGGGCTCCCTTTTGGTTCCATATGAAATTTAAAGTAGTTTTTTCTAATTCTGTGAAGAAGGTCAGTGGTAGCTTGATTGGGGATAGCATTGAATCTATAAATTCCTTTGGGCAGTATGGCCATTTTCACGATATTGATTCTTCCTATCCATGAGCATGAAATGTTTTTCCATTTGTTTGTGTCCTCTCTTATTTCCTTGAGCAGTGATTGGTAGTTCTGCTTGTAGAGGGTCCTTCACATCCCTTGTAAGTTGTATTCCTAGGCATTTTATTCTCTTTGTAGCAATTGTGAATGGGAGTTCACTCACGATTTGGCTCTCTGTCTGTCATTGGTGTATAGGAACACTTGTGATTTTTGCACATTGATTTTGTATCTTGAGACTTTGCTGAAGTTGCTTATCAGCTTAAGGAGATTTTGGGCTAAGACGATGGGGTTTTCTAAATATACAGTCATGTCATCTGCAAACAGAGACAATTTGACTTCCTCTTTTCCTAATTGAATACCCTTTATTTCTTTCTCTTGCCTGATTTCCCTGGCCAGAACTTCCAATACTATGTTGAATAGGAGTGGTGAGAGAGGGCATCCTTGTCTTGTGCCGGTTTTGAAAGGGAATGCTTCCAGTTTTTGCCCAGTCGGTATGATATTGGCTGTGGGTTTGTCATAAATAGCTCTCATTATTTTGAGGTATGTTCCATCAATACCTAGTTCCATCAATGCCTAGTTGAATTTTGTCGAAGGCCTTTTCTGCATCTATTGTGATAATCATGTGGTTTTTGTCATTGGCTCTGTTCATGTGATGGATTATGTTTATTGATTTGCATATATTGAACAAGCGTTGAATCCCAGGGATGAAGCCGACTTGATCATAGTGGATAAGCTTTTTGATGTGCTTTTGGATTTGGTTTGCCAGTATTTTATTGAGGATTTTCCCATTGATGTTCATCAGGGATATTAGCCTGAAATTTTCTTTTTTTGTTGTGTCTCTGCTAGGTTTTGGTATCAGGATGATGCTGGCCTCATAAAATGAGTTAGGGAAGAGTCCCTCCTTTTCTATGGTTTGGAATAGTTTCAGAAGGAATGGTACCAGCTCCTCTTTGTACCTCTGGTAGAATTTGGCTATGAATCTGTCTGGTGCTGGGCTTTTTTTGGTTGGTAGGCTATTAAATACTGCCTCAGTTTCAGAACTTGTTATTGGTCTACTCACGGATTTATTTACCCAGTAGTCATTCAGGAGCAGGTTGTTCAGTTTCCATGTAGTTGTGTGGTTTTGAGTGAGTTTCTTAATACTGACTTCTAATTTGATTGCACTGTGGTCTGAAAGACTGCTTGTTATGATTTCCATTATTTTGCATTTGTTCAGGAGTGTTTTACTTCCAATTATGTGGTCAGCTTTAGAATTAGTGCAATATGGTTCTGGGAAGAATGTATATTCTGTTGATTTGGGGTGGAGAGTTCTGTAGATGTGTATTAGGTCTGCTTAGTCCAGAGCTGAGTTCGAGTCCTGAATATCCTTGTTAATTTTCTGTCTCATTGATCTGTCTAATATTGACTGTGGGGTGTTAAAGTCTCCCACTATTATTGTGTGGGAATCTAAGTCTCTTTGCAGGTCTCTAAGAACTTGCTTTATGAATCTGAGTGCTCTTGTATTGGGTCCATATTTATTTAGGATAGTTAGCTCTTCTTGTTGTATTGATCCCTTTACCGTTATGTAATGCCCTTCTTTGTCTCTTTTGATCTTTGTTGGTTTAAATTCTATTTTATCAGAGACTAGGATTGCAACCTTGCTTGTTTGCTTTCCATTTGCTTGGTAAATATTCCTCCATCCCTTTATTTTGAGCCTACATGTGTCTTTGCATATGAGAAGGGTCTCCTGAATACAGCACGCTTATGGGTCTTGATTCTTTATCCAATTTGCCAGTCTGTGTCTTTTAATTGGGGCATTTAGCCTGTTTACATTTAAGGTTAATATTGTTATGTGTGCATTTGATCCTGTCATAATGCTATCTGTTTATTTTGCTCATTAGTTGATGCAGTTTCTTCATAGCCCTTATGGTCTTTACAATTTGGTAGGTTTTTGCATTGGCTGGTACCAGTTTTTGCTTTCCATATTTGATACTTCCTTCAGGAGCTCTTGTAAGGCAGGCCTGGTGGTGAAAAAAATCTCTCAGCATTTTCTTCTCGGTATAGGATTTTATTTCTCCTTCGCTTATGAAGCTTAGTTTGGCTGGATATAAAACTCTGGGTTGAAAATTCTTTAAGAATGATGAATATTGGCCCCTACTATCTTCTGGGTTTAAGAGTTTTTGCAGAGAGATGTGTTGTTAGTCTGATGGGCTTCCCTTTGTGAGTAAACCTGGCCTTTCTCTCTGGCTGCCCTTAACATTTTTTCCTTCATTTCAACCTTAGTGAATCTGACGATTATGTGTCTTGGGGTTGCTATTCTTGCAAAGTATCTTTGTGGTGTTCTCCGTATTTCCTGAATTTGAATGTTGGCTTGCCTTGCTAGGTGGGGGAAATTCTCCTGGTGAATATCCTGAAGAGCATTTTCCAACTTGGTTCCATTCTCCCCATCACTTTCAGGTACCCAAGTCAAGTATAGAGTTGGTCTTTTTCACATATTTCCATATTTCTTGGAGGCTTTGTGTGTTTCTTTTCACTCATTTTTCTCCTCACTTTATTTCATTGAGTTGATCTTCAATCTCTGATATCCTTTCTTCTGCTTAATTGATTGGGCTATTGATACTTGTGTATGCTTCATGAAGTTCTCATGCTGTGTTTTTCAGCTCCATCAGGTCATTTATGTTCTTCTCTAAACTGGTTATTCTAGTTAGAAATTCCTCTAACCGTTTTTTCAAGGTTCTTAGCTTCGTTGCATTGGGCTAGAACATGCTCCTTTAGCTCAGAGGAGTTCATTATTACCCAACTTCTGAAGTCTACTTCTGTCGATTTGTCAAATTCATTCTCTATCCCGTGTTGTTCCCTTGCTAGCAAGGAGTTAGATCCTTTGGAGGAGAAGACGTGTCCCGGTTTTTGGAATTTTCAGCCTTTTTGCACTGGTTTCTCCCCATCTTCGTGGATTTATCTGTCTTTGGTCTTTCACATTGGTGACCTTTGGATGGGGTCTCTGAGTGGACGTCCATTTTTGGTGATGTTGATACTATTCTTTTCTGTTTGTTAGTTTTTCTTCTAACAGTCAGGTCCCTGTGCTGCAGGTCTGCTGGAGTTTGCTGGAGGTCCACTCCAGACCCTGTTTTCCTGGGTATCTCCAGCAGACGCTGCAGAACAGCAAAGATTGCTGCCTGTTCCTTCCTCTGGAAGCTTTGTCCCAGAGGGGCTCCTGCCAGATGCCAGCCAGAGCTGTCATGTATGAGGTGTCTGTTGGCCTACTGGGAGGAGTCTTGCAGTCAGGATACCCGGGGGTCAGGGAGGCACTTGAGGAGGCAGTCTGCCCCTTATCAGAGCTCAAACAATGTGCTGGGAGATCTGCTGCTCTCTTCAGAGCTGTCAGGTAAGGACGCTTAAGTCTGCTGAAGCTGTGCCCACAGCTGCCCCTTACCCCAGGTGCTCTGTCCCAGAGAGATGGGGGTGATATCTGTAAGTCCCTGTCTGGGGCTGCTGCCTTTTTTTCAGAGATGCCCTGCCCAAAGAGGAGGAATCTAGAGAGTCAGTCTGGCTGCAGTGGCCTTGCTCTGCTGCGGTGGGCTCTGCCCAGTTTGAACTTCCTGGTGGCTTTGTTTACACTGTGAGGGTAAAACCGCCTACTCAAGCCTCAGCAATGGTGGGTGCCCCTCCCCTCACCAAGCTCCAGCATCCCAGGTAGAACTTAGCCTGCTGTGCTAGCAGCAAGAGTTTCATGCCAGTGGATCTAAGCTTGCTGGGCTCCAGGAGGATGGGACCTGCCAAGCCAGGCCACTTGGCTCCCTGGCTTCAGCCCTTTTTCCAGGGGAGTGAATGGTTCTGTTTTGCTGGTGTTCCAGGTGCCACTGGGGTATGAAACAAACAAACATAAAAACTCCTACAGCTAGCTCGGTGTCTGCCCAAATGGCTGCCCAGTTTTTTGCTTGAAACCCAGGGCTCTGGTGGAGTAGGCACCAGAGGGAATCTCCTGGTTCGCTGGTTGAGAAGACCGTGGGAAAAGCACAGTATCTGGGCTGGAGTGCACCATTCTTCCCGGTACAGTCTGTCACGGCTTCCCTTGCCTGGGGAAGGGCAATCCCCTGATCCCTTGTGCTTCTCGGGTGAGGCAATGCCCCACCCTGCTTAAGCTCGCCCTCCATGGGCTGAACCCACTGTCCAACCAGTCCCAATAAGACGAAATGGGTACCTCAGTTGGAAATGCAGAAATCACCCATCTTCTGCGTTGATCTCGCTGGGAGCTGCAGACCGGAGCTGTTCCTATTCAGCCATCTTGCCAGCAAATCTTTAAAAATTTTTTTATTTTTAATTTTTGTAGGTACATAGTGGGTACATATATTTATGGGATATATGAGGTATTTTAATACAGGTATAGAATGTGTAATAATCATATCTGGGTACATGAGATATCCATCACCTTAATCATTTATCCTTTCTATGTGTTAAAAATATTCCACCTATACTTTTTGTTATTTTAAAATGTGCAATAAATTATTGTCAACTGTAGTCGCCCTGTTGTGCTATCAAATACTAGATTTTATTCATACTAACTATATTTTTGTTTCCATTAACCATCCCCACTTCTCCATGCCTCTCCACTACCTTTCCCAGCCTCTGTTTACCATCATTCTACCCTCTATCTCCATGAGTTCAATTGTTTTAATTTTTAGCTCCCACAAATAAGTGAGAACATGTGAGGTTTGCCTTTCTGTTCTTGATTTGTTTCATTTAACATTATTAACTTTATTCAGTTGTGTTCATTTTGTTGCAAATGACAGAAGCTCATTCTTTTTTTATGGCTGAATAGTGCTCCATTGTGTATATGCATGACATTTTCTTTATCCATTTCCCTGTTGATGGACACTTAGGTTGCTTCCAAATCTTAGCTATTGTGAATAGTGCTGCAATAAACTTGGGAGTGCAGATATCTGTTCATATACTGATTTCCTTTCTTTTGGGTATATACCCAGCAGTGAAATTTAATTGCTAGATCATATGGTAACTCTATTTTTAGTTTTTTGAGGAACCTCCAAACTGTTCTCCATAGTGGCTGTACTAATTTACATTCTCACCAACAATGTATGAGGGTTCCCTTTTCTTCACATCCTCACTAGCATTTGTTATTGCCTATCTTTTGGATAAAAGCCATTTTAACTGGGGTGAGATGCCATTTCACTGTGTTTTAATTTGTGTTTCTCTGATTATTAATGATGATGAGCATCTTTTCACATACTTGTTTGCCATTTGTATGTCTTCTTTTGAGAAACGCGTACCCAAATCTTTCACCTATTTTTTAGCAGCTTTTTGAATATTAAGTTAACTTTTAAAATATTGGGTAGCTTTCCATATTTTCTATTTAAAAATCACACATTTCTTTTTTTAAAATTTTACTATAAGTGCTGAGATACATGTGCAGAATGTGCAGGTTTGTTACATAGGTATATACATGTGCCATGGTGGTTTGCTGCACCTATCAACCCATCATCTAGGTTTTAAGCCCCGCATGCATTAAGTATTTATCCTAATGCCCCCCCTCTCCTTTCCCCCCACCTCCCAACAGGCCCTGGTGTGTGATGTTCCCCTTCCTGTGTCCATGTGTTCTCACTGTTCAACTCTCACTTATGAGTGAGGACATGTGGACTTTCAACTGTTTTTTAATTAGATTATTAGATTTTTTTCCTATAGAGTTTGTTCACTTATTCTTTTTTATTGATATGCAATAATGTGCATCTGCTATGCAGCTTTTAAAATTGCTTTTCATTATATGAATATACTATAATTTACCCATTCCATTGATGAATATTTGGATTGTATTTTTTTACTATTGTGAGTAAAGATTTAATGAACATTTTTGTACATATCTTTTTGGTGGATATAAATACTCATTTCTCTTGGGTATGTTCATGACAAAAGAATGGAATTGTGGGGCTATATGATAGATTTATCCTGAATAGGTATGTCAAACAGAATCTACTCCTAGTTCTTTACCAACTTTGGACTCTTTTCTTTATCAATGGAACAAAAGAGTCCAGAAACAGACACACATACACACTATCAACTAACTTAGGGTAAAAGAAAGCATTTTCACTAAATAATGTTGAATCAATTCGATATCTATATGGGAAAGAAAAATCAAACTTTGTTTCTCTAACTGATACCATACACAAATTATGGCTAGCTGAATGATAGAACTAAATCTAAAAGGAGAGAAAAGTAATGCTTCTGGAAGAAAATATAGGAGAATATATTCATGACCTTGAGGTAAGCAGACAGTTCTTAAACAAGACACAAGAAAGCATAATTCCTAAAAGAAATAGTTGATAAATTTGACTTCCCTATGATAAGAACATCTATTAATTGAAGTTGATGGGGTTCAGGACATGCTACCCCAAAATAAGACACTTTGGGATTTGAGGAAACAGCAGAAGCAGTCCATATGAACTAGGAGGAATTCCTCTTGCCCCTTTTGCCCTGAAGGGGACTGTAAAATTTAACTGACCTTACCCTAAAAATAGATTGTAAAATCCTCATTCAATGGGGAGTCTTCCTTACACTCAGAGGAAAAGAATATTCTTAGCTTTAAGGACTACAGAGACATGGAAAATAATCTAAGCAAACCAGCCTTACTATGTTCTCCCCAGTTAATTACTGTGAGATTATACCTCTTTTTGTCCAATCATGTTTCTCCACAACTATTCACTTTTTCATCAGACTTAGCATAAAATATATGCAGTTTTCTGCTTCTTTGGAACTTCATTTTTGAAGGCCCCTGTGTCACATTAAACTTACATTAAATAAATTTGTATGCTTTTCTACTGTTAATCTGTTTATTATTATAGGGTTTTCAGCCACAAACCTTGTAATGGGTGAGGAAAAGATGTATTTTCTCTAAGGCAAGTCTTAGACTGAGAGGAGATCTCTGGAGTGCATATATTAAACATGAGACTTGTATCTAGAATATGTAAATAACTCCTACAAATCTGTAAGGAAAAAATAGCTCCATAAAAACGTGGGCAAAATGTTTGAGCATTTCACAAAAGTGGCTATCCAAAAGCCATAGCATGTAGAAAGGTGTTCAACATCATCAGTTACTAGGGAGATGACATAGCACAACAAGTTACCCCTACACAGACATCAGAGTGGCTAAAATTATAAAGACTGAAAATACAAGACTGTTAACAAGAATGTTGAGCAACTGCAGCTGACATATGTAGCCTGTGGGAGTTGGTACAACCAGTTTGGAAAACTGGCAGTGTCTATCAGTTAAAACATGAGTAGTTCAGTAAGCAAAACCTCACCAGAGGAATAAAAGTATTTCAAGAGTGGAACTATGTGAGGTTTTCTGAACTGTCTTAGGGAAGTGACTGGGGTTGCATTGGGGGCTGCATCAAAAATAAATTGAAAGGTAAATAAAGGGATATACTGATTCTGTATGTTTAAGAGAAATTTGTACACTGTATAAGCTTGTTTCACTAACCAGCAGGGCTGCAACTACTATGAGTAAATCAAATGTTTATGAAGCCCTGTGGCCTTGCTTGCCTGACTCTTCACCTTTGCTGCATGGCAGGAATCCAGAATTGGGAGAAGCTCAGCAGGTGCTTTTGTGAGCAGTAGACTATCCACCATTGTGGCAGCCCCTTCCTCATTTGGTCTTCTGCCCTTGCTGCTGCTGAAGACCTGGAAGGGGGAGAGGTTTGCATTATCACCAAGGTTGCTAATAAATGATGTTTTTCAATATAAACATGTAAAAGTTTTGCCAGAGTAGTCTTACTTTCCCCTTAAATACTCCCCAAAATTACCAGAATATTTTAAATTATGACACAATGAAAATGTTATTGCTGCCAGAGTTGACATTTTTCTTGCAAAACCAAGCTTTAAGTGTTTTAATTTTAAAGAAGACATTTCCAAAGCTAGGGTTGTATGCATAACAGGATTCCTATCTTTTTTTTGTGCCGTCTATTAAGAGGCAATTCTTTTCTTTTCTAGGACTGTTCTTCCTTTCATGTTAAGAGAAAAGGCTGTTTTTGGATGACTAAGAGGATCCCAGAGACATGAGGATAGCATCTTTAGCTGCTTCTGATACATATTATGTTCTTCATCTTGATGCTATTGATAGCACCATTGCTTGAATTCATTCTTGTTCATCCTCACTTACTTTTTTTTTGTCTCGTTACATAGAAAAAACTTGGAAGCATTTTAATGTTGAAGAACTTTCTTTCCTCTGCCCACCCCGCCGTGTCCATTTTGTCTATGATATAGCTGAATATAAACTCTAATACCTTTTTGTAGTTCTTTATTGGCCAGAGGAAAGTAAACAACTTGATTGTGCTCAGAGCCTGTCTCATGCCTCATTAGGTACTGGGGGTAAGCAGACGGCAGCAGCATTACATGCAGAAACTCTGCAGAAACATCTGATTTATTTTTATGAGCAAGTTATAGTCTTTAAGACATGAGCACCAAAGTCACAAGTGGTGCCATATACATCATAAAAATGAGGGATGTTTTCTTATATGTCATGAAATAACCCATGCATGTAATTCCTTTGACGGGAAAGAAAGAAATAGTCTCTTAGAACAAATTGATTTTTAAAACCATGTTATACAGTTGTCTTTCCAAAATTCAATGACTTGGTTGTCTTGGCAAAAATTAAAATGCCCCAAAACATCAGCATCTATATCTCAGAAGAGCGTGGAAATTCAGATTTGCCTGGCTTAAGGTGTGATCTTTTCATCCTATTCTGATAGAAAAGCTTCTCCATGCGGAAGACTGCACTTGTTTCTCTCTTGGAGCAGAGTTCTTGTGTTTAGAAATATGTGTCTTTAAATGATTTCACCGATAATGAACAAGTACAATCAAACAACTTTTCATAGCAGGAGGGCTAGGTAGATGAAGTTAGCATTTGTAGACCTGTAATTAAGTGCAGGGTACCATTTGGATTTATGAAACAATAACAATAACTTTACATTCCACAGTATTTTACCATTTACGCCGTGTCTTAATAAGCATTGCAGGAGTTTTCAGTCATGATTTCTCAGACAAGACCACATTGGAAGTTAATTTATATGGCTATCCAATGTCAGAAAATCAGGTTAAAATTCAGTTTTCCCACAGTAGAGTCCTTGTGATCCTTAGCTTGTGATCTCTTCAGTGAACTTAAGATGCCTTTCTGGCTACTTTCCAAAAGTTTCCGGTTAGATGTCATCTGCTTACTTGAAGCCCAAAACAATTATCACCTTCCCCTTAAAACTGACTTTCCCTTCTGACTTTTCCTTTTCTGTTGATGGTAGTACATTTCTCATTGTTGTCCCCATCAAAGGTGAATCTTGATTTAGTTATTTATAATTACTCTTCTGAAAGAATTTGAGGAAAATTGTTCCTTGGTGGCTTGGTGTACACTTAAACAATCAAACCCAAAAATGAACATCAATGGGTTCTAATTTGGGTTCTTTTAATTCAGGAAGCATGCTACCTTCAACAAGTTTCTTACCCAGCAATGTGCAAAATATTTCTTAGGGGCCTAGAAAATGCAAAGTATGGTATTAGGCACCATGCATCAACAAGTAGCAAACATTGCTGCTCTCTAAGGAACTTTACGGTCCACTTCTGCAGACAAGATTTATTGAAAATGTTCAATTTACAATAACATTCCAGTATCATAAGGCAGTTGGGTCACTGCATCCTTAAAGCTGAGATCTCTTTTAGTCCTTCCCACTTTTTTCTTTTTTTCAGTGAGAATCCAAAGGTGGAGAGGTAAAATGACTTGTAATGGGCATCCCAAGGCATCTTAATAGCAGAGTTGTGCTTAGACCTGGGGGTGGGGTGGGGTATGGTGCCTGGTTGAGTGCTTTTCTGCTTTACAATACTGAGCTGCTATAGGAGTGGGCAGACTGTTAGTTCAATATGTTCCAAGAATGAAAAGTCACAGTATTTTGAGAAAAGACCATGGAGGAGGTAAAATCTGAGCTGGCCCTTGAAAGGTAATTCATATTTAGGTAAAGGGTATGGAAAGAGCTTTCCAAGGAAACCAGATGGGACAGATTAGGAGATCGGGGATTAGGTAGATATGAATAAGGCAGGTGCTTCCTCCTGTTGAATAGTACTGGGAAGTAAGACTTGGAAATACAACTAAAGAGTAAAACATTTTAGGGAGATTCATGTTATAGTGGAGAGCAGGACTGATTGTAATGTGTGAGAAACTAAAATGAGATGGTCAAGTAGGAGGTTATTGAAGCAGTTTAGGTATTATGATTACAGCCCAAACGGATATGGTAGGTATAGAAATTAAAAGAGAGGTATAGATGGGGGAACTCTTGAAGGATGAATAGAAATTAATGACAGGTTGGATTAAGGAGGTGAGAAAGAAGCTGCAGGCAAGGGAGACACAAGTTTGAGACTTGATGGACAAAACAATGAGAAATGAACTACCATGAGCAGAAAAGGAAAAGTCAGAGGGTGATAATTGTGTTGGGCTTCAAGTGTGTGGGCAAGATCTCAGTGGAAACCCATGGAAGGTAGCCAGGAAGACATCTTCAGTAAAGAGATCATGAGCTAAAGACACAGATTTGAGAATTATCTGCATAAAAAGTGGTAGTTGAGATGTGACAATGGGACTAGACTCTGAGAATGGAATATAGTGGGTGAGCTTTGGGAAACACCTACCTCTAGGGGGAAAGAACAGGGGGTGGGAGTCAGTACAGGCAATGTAGGCCTGAAGGATCTGGCTGGCCTGGAAGCAGGAAAATCAGAAAAGTGTGAGAAGAGAATTCAGTTTCAAAAATTAGGAGGTGGCTAATTTTAACAACTACAATAAATTCGGTTGTTGTTGTTGAAAGATCTTTAAGGAGAAATGTGATACTCCTTGTAACATGGGCGCAGGAGATCTATTACATTTTGTTCCCCAGTCCTGTAGGAATGAGGGTAGGAGACATTCCTAGAGGTTGGTCAGAGCATGGTTTTCCATATTTCCTAATATATAAAGAAACAAATCCTAGTAAATACACATAACTTGGCCAAATAACCTTAAATAGATATATTAAAAATCACTTACAATTTGTGAAAATATCAAGTTCCCTTTGATTTGTATAATCTTCATTTTTTTATGGTGTTAAATTTTCACCGATATTTTGTTAAGCAGAATTCTTAGAGTGTAAAGGAATTGGATTAATGTTCTTTACTTTCTCTGAAAAGTATACCCCCAAAGAAAAAGGAAATAGATTTTGATAAGTAGACAAAAGAGATTTATTTTCAGAGAAGACTGACTTAGTAGTTCTAATTAAGATAATTTGAAACACAGGATCATCATTTCCTGAAACAATTTGGAAAAAAAGAAAGAGAAGTCTTTAAGCATAGTGTTTTTTGTTTTAATTGGTGAGAATAGAGAGAGGTGTGAATTATATTACTGCTTTAGATGTGTGAAGATTTTAATAAGCAGTTTAGTAGGTTTACTGTGAACTCTTGACATTCAAAGTTAACATCATTTTCATTTTTTATATCTGTTACTGGAACATGGAATTAACTTCTAAAATGTAGTTTTCCTGAGAGCTTCCTACTGCTTTTTACATGTCTTCATATGTACTGTCAAATGGTAGATTTAATATTTTATACTTGATTTTAGACATCATAATATAAGTCAACAGAAATGATGTTGATTTTTTTCCATATGTAAATAACTTCCTAAACTTTATGAAATGCTTGTGAAGGTTGATATCAAGATTTTTATTTTTATTTTTATTTAAAGTTCTGGGGTACATGTGCAGTATGTGTGGGTTTGTTACATAGGTAAATGTGTGCCATGGTGGTTTGCTGCACCTATCAATCCATCACCTAGGTATTAAGCCTGGCATGAATTAGCTATTTTTCCTGATGTTCCCCCTTTCCCACCCTCTCTATAGGCCCCAATGTGTGTTGTTCCCCTCCCTGTGTCCATGTGTTCTCATTGTTCCTCTCCCACTTGTAAGTGAGAACATGCAGTGTTTGGTTTTCTGTTCCTGTGTTAGTTTGCTGAGGATAATGGCTTCTAGCTCCAACCAGATCCCTGTAAAGGACCTGATCTCTTTCCTTTTCATGATTGCCTGGTATTCCATGGTGCATATGTACATTTGCTTTATTCAGTCTATCATTCATGGGCATCTGGGTTGATTTCATGTCTTTGCTATTGTGAATAGTGCTGCAATGAACATATGTGTGCATATATCTTTATAATAGAATAATTTATATTTGTTTGGGTATATACCCAGTAATGAGATTGCTGGGTCAAATGATATTTCTGGTTCTAAATCTTTGAGGAATCACCACACTGTCTTCCACAATGGTTGAACTAATTTACATTCCCACCAACAGCATAAAAGCATTCCTTTTCTCTGCAACCTTGCCAGGATCTGTTGTTTCTTGACTTTTTAATAATTGCCATTCTGACTGGCGTGAGATGGTATCTCACTGTAGTTTTGGTTTGCATTTCTCTAATGATCAGTGATGTTGAGCTTTTTTTCATGTTTGTTGGCTGCATGTATGTCTTCTTTTGAGAAGTGTCTGTTCATGTCCTTTGACCACTTTTTAATGGGGTAGGATTTTTAAAGATAAAATCTAAAGAAATTTAAACCCAGATACATTTATCAACTATTTTGTTCAATTACTGTTTCATATTAAAACTATTTTTACATTGTTCTTATTTTGGATAGTGGAGTTTAATGCATGTTGTTAACTGCTCTAATTTTTTAAGAATATAGTTTGTACAGTAGATAGAGATTTACTACAGATATGAAACCTGGGCCCCTACATCTAATGGCAACTTTTTATTTTATACTACCATGTATTTTTTCTCCCAGGATTTCTTAACTTTCTGTTCTAGATCATGCCACATCTATGTCTTTTTCTAAATGAAACTGGAGACAGTCAAAAGTGAAGATGTTCAGTAAGATCTAAATTTGGACAGGAATATTTAACTATACATATATTTAGTGCCTGCACAGCAAACATGTAGCAAGATTGAATGAAATACAATAATCCCTTCCTAAACATGAGATTCCAGTAAAAATTTAAAGTGAGATGTGGTTACCTTGTAGCTCCTTTTGTCAATCAAAAGATTTTGAATTTATTTGCATTTGAATTGTGAGCAATAATTCTGAGTTGAGAAAAGGCAACTGGAAGTTAGGAATATTTAAAAGGAAGTAAAGCTGATGGCGGAGAAGTACGAATTTTTATAACAACTGGGAAAGATACTGAAAGATTGGAAAGCTCCCCAGTACTCCTTAGGAGGAAGAAAAGGGGTAACTGATTGAGGCCTCAGTGAGCTAAGGACTGGGCCTGGAAACTGGAGAGACCGGGAGGCAGCAGGTGCGGCCACAGGGCCAATTCTGAGTCATAAAATTGAAAAGGTGATGGTCTTTGAGATGTAGACACAGATAAATTGAAAAAGAGTTGCTTTGAAATATTTGTTTTCTGTAACAAAACAAAAGTTACTTGTAAGCATGTCGTTAATACTGAAGAAAAGAGGTGGCAAGAGAGGGAGCTCCTGAAAACTTCTAGCATGCAAAGGTATAATTCACATTATCGTTAATTTAGGTGTATATATTGCATGGCTAATATCTTCACTTAGTATATTGTTTTACAAATGTGAAAGTATGTGTTAGGTTTCTTACAGATTTAGCTATGACATTGTTTCCCCAGCTGTGTTCTTCTTCTATGGCTTTAGTTTATTGATTATAAATTATGTTACAGGAATTCTTCTGGACCCAAATCCCTGTGGTTTGGGGGAAACTATTATATGTTTGAAGGAGAATAGGCACAGGTTTGTATAAAAGGGTTTGAAAGAGTAAAGTTGAGCATAACTAAAGCAATTTAGGCTGATGCCTGGTGTCCCTAAAATTAATGCACTTTAAAATGGACATGTCTAACTACTAATGAATTTTCAAAATTAAAATATCCATCAGTTAGACATTAGGCCAATCTCCCCACTCTTAGCATCAAAATCTCATTGTGAAAATTGAGATTCTTTGCGAAGAGCCTGGGATAACCTCCTTTAAGTCTTAGAATATAATGGTGTTGGTAAATATACCTTGATGTAACCCTGGGTCCCAGATTTACCAGCCCTTGAACACAGATGATCTCAGATTAATGGCCAAATTAACTGGCATTTCCAGAGCTTGGGGTCACATATCCAAACCTCCTTAAATAGCACTGAGGGATCCCTTAGGGTTCTGTATACTCAGATACAAGTAGGTTCATGTTTTCCACTTTGGTTTGCTCTTCCACACATAAGCTCTAGTGCAGCTGCTGCTAATGCCCATTATGGAGTTGTCATTGATTCTACTAACGATGCATCTTCCCACATTGGCAAAATTGCCAATACTTTCTTCCCTTACAGTCTCTTAGATTCCAGCCTAAATGTAGCACTCAGTGGGAATGACTTTCCTGACCCTTCCCCACAAGTGATTGAGGGTCGTTTATTCTATGCCTCCATAGCACTCTGTACTTCTTTCTTGCAGACTTTAACACATAATTATTTAAGTCATTTCTGTATTTCTTCAATCTTAAGACATGCTCTGTTTCAACATTTTTAACACTTAAAAATTTGTGATGTTATAATTGAAAAAATCATTTTATGTAGTAATTTCTTTTTATCATGGAGAATTTATTGAAACATGGATAATTCCATGAAATATCATGGAATATTTATTGTCTCTTATAATTGAAGGCATCTTTCAATTTGCTTTTGGAAGTGTGTTGGGCATGAATTTATTAATTATATATTCCTTTAAGTACAGCTTTATTTTTGGCATTTAGAATCAGGGATTATTTCCCACAAATTGTGAATGATTTTGCTTATAAAAATTGCTATGCAATTGTTAAGGTACAAACTTCAGAGTTAGACCTGGTTCTTGTCCTAGCCATGCCAACTGAAGTAATATGGTATTTGTGTATATATATTTTTGTCTTTCTTCCCTGATGGCCTATAAACTCCAAGAGGCCTGAAGAAACCTGTTGTTCATCCCTCTCCAGCAACTAGAACAGCACCTGCAGGTAGTGAAGGCTCAATAAACACTGGACTCCTTGCACCTTTGACTTGCTCACTCTTCATTTGATCCTAATGACACTTTGAGGTAGATAATTAGTTACCTAAGAACAGGAACCACACATTTATTCAAAAATATTTATTGTGTGCCCACTAATCAAAGTGTAAGATGTTGGAGATAAACACAGTGATGACGGAGTTCCTGTGACGAGTTCCTGTCACAGTTAAGTGGAACCAATATTCTCAAGAATATGGGGCAAGTGCTTTAACAGAGGCGTGTATGAAATAATTCAGTGGCATAAAGGGGTATGAGTGACTCCCTGGAGGAGAGCAGAAAAGGTTCACAGAGTTGGTAACATTGGAGCTGGACCTAAAAGAATGAATAATTATTTAATAAATTACCCAATAACATTTCCAAAAGGATTTGAAGCAAATGATCTTATGGCACTTCTGCAAACATGCAAAATGTAAGGAGTAAAGAGATGAATAAGTATGAATAGAAAATAGAGCTAGAATAATAAGATGGAGTCAGAGGGAGACTTTGAATGCAAGACCACATGCCTTAGAGCTATATACAATTGCTAAAGTCCTACACCATTGCCCATTCTATATATATTATATTATATTTGACAAAGGGATTCAGATAATAGTAAGGCAATCTGTTTTCCACAGTGAATCTAGTGGTTGTATGCAGAAAGAATTGAAAGTGGCTGCGGTGGGAAACAAGACTGAGTGTAAGAAACCAGGAAAGGCAATTGGAAGTACTTGAGATCGGTCAGTTATGGGGATGGGGATCGGAATTATGACAGTGGCAGTAATGGCACAGTGAGGGAGGGGGTTTTGATTCCAGGAAATCAAGACTGCTTTTACTTCTGCTTTTTTTCTCAATGGCAATACCTTTGTTGTTGTTGTTCAGTAGATATTTCTAGGGAACCATAGCTCTGACACTGGTGACATGTGCACTCCTTTGAAATATAGCCTTTAACAATTACCGTATCAATCAAAATTGAATATGGTATGCCGTTCATTTAGTGGCACTGCTTGCAAGAGGTGAAATTTCTCAAAGTAATGTCAACTTTGAGTTCTATCAGACAATCATGTATCTGCTTTGATTCCCTTAAAACAGATGAATCATTTGGTTTAATCTCTGAAATTATAAGAGGTATACATCTCTTCAGTTTGTAATTGCTAAGAAGCTATGGCTTGGTGATATTAACATTTAGAGTTATAATGTAACTTTTAATAAGTTGTTCTTTTTTTAGGTTACTAAAAAAAAATAGCTTGTTCAGACCTAAGCACACATCTCCTCTTAAGAGAAACAAAAACATAGATACTGACTATCAGGAATTGTATTAATCAGGGTTCTCCAGAGAAACAAAACCAGAAGAAGAACAAACAAAACTAGTAGAAGACAGATATAGTTATACCTACCTATAGATAATATACTGTATATAGAAAGACTTATTATAAGGTATTGGCTTACACAATTATAGAGGCTGAGATACCCCATAAGGTGGAAAACTTGGAAAACTGGTGGTGCAGTTTGAAGGCCTAAGAGCCAGAGAGCCAGTGCTGCAGATTCCAGTCTGAGACAGAAGACCTAAGAACCAGGAACAACAAGGGCAGAAAATCAATGTCCCAGCTAAAGCGTCAGGCAGAGAGAGGGCGAGTTTCTCCTTCCACCTTTTTGTCTATTCAGGCCCTCAACAAATAGGACAATACTTGCCCACTTGGGGAGGGCCATCTGCTTTACTCAGTACTGATCAAATGTTGATCTCTTCTGGAAACATCCTCACAGACATGCTCAGGAAAAATGTTTAACTCAATTATCTACGCATCCTGCGATCCAGTCAAGTTGATAGATAAAATTTACTATTGCAGGAATGTCTAACAACATACAGCGACTTCAAATCAAGAGTTTTTGCCTCCAAAATCATTTATTTATCTCAAGGCAGTACAGGCCTAAAAGGAGCTAGGTTAAAAATGCAACCTAGTTTCTTTGGAAGATGAGTTTTCTTTTCTTTTTTAAAACATTTCTTATTTTAATTTCTTTGGTATATAGTAGTTGTATATATTTATTGGGTACAGGAGATGTTTTGATACAGACACGCAATGTGTAATTACCACATCATGTAAGGTGGGGTTTCCATCCTGGAGAGCGAGTTTTCTAATCATTCCACCCTTTTCCTCAACATTCTGCCTTTGCTCCGCCTTAATTTCACAGTTTCCTCTACAGACATGAGTGCGTATCTTCTGAATTTAAATTGTGAAAGTGACACAAGATTTAAAGCATTAATGGCTACTTAAGCCATTATTTTGAAACAGCAAAAGAAAAAGAACATTATGAAAGAAAAATAGAATTGCACAGTAATTTCATGACAAAAGTGCTTCTGTTTAATGATTTGTAAAAGAAGTAGGAGGCATTTTCAGTGGAAACTGCTAATTATTTTGGTTTTCCATAATGAAAACCTGTGAAGTTGTTTAAATGTCTCTGTTCATTAGTTTACTTTGCGACACTGGCACATTTGTTTGCTTTATGTATTTTCTCACTTCTTTGCATCAAAATGAGACTGATATCACGATCCATGAACTTAGTTTTTTGGAAATTATGGCGATAATCTCTTGACCATGAGAATCAATAACTTTTAAATTTTCCTACTTTAGGCTAAGAAGGAATATTCCAGTCACTCTTTGGGTCTGTTGTTTCATTTATCATGTATCTTGAAAGATGGTTCTTTATTCTGCTTTGTCAGAAACATCTACAAATCAAATAATTACTGATATATACTTGGTGACTTATGTCTAGAATAAATTTAAAGGTTACTAAAGAAATTAACCTTGGTACCAATTGTTTTTGCCATACTAATGGCTCTTAAGGAATGATTTAATCATGTATGTCTGTGGCAGGCTGCTCAATGACAGTGCTGTTCAAATCAGAAATGCCCTTTTCCTTTAAGAGGGCATTTATTTTCCCTCTTCTCTTTATATATTTACATGGTCACTATGGATGGCTAATATGATACCTTCCCATTTTGAAACATATAAAATTATATTCTAATAAGAGAAGAAAACTTCCTTTTATAGATTAAAAAAAAACCCACAAAAGTGATGCTTCCAAGACATTTTATAAAAAGTATCTTTCAGCCGGGCGTGGGTGGCTCACACCTGTAATCTCAGTACTTTGGGAGGCTGAGGTGGGTGGATCATCGGAGGTCAGGAGTTTGAGACCATCCTGGCAAACATGGTGAAACCTCATCTCTACTAAAAATACAAAAATTAGCGGGGCATGGTTGCAGGCGCCTGTAATCCCAGCTACTTGGGAGGCTGAGACAGGAGAATCACTTGAACCTGGGAGGCAGAAGTTGCAGTGAGCCAAGATCATGCCACTGCACTCCAGCCTGGGCGACAGAGCGAGACTCTGTCTCTAACTAACTAATTAATCTTTCTCTAGTCCATGCTAGTTCTTACTGACTTACTGTTGAACACATTGTGTACCATCTCTCAGATCCACATTTCTCTGTGTTGGCTTCATTCTCAGGCACACACTTTGTATAGTGGGAAACGCCCCTGCAGCTTCAGGGTACACGATCCTTAATTTAAAGATCTTATAGGATCCTAGAGTGCCTTTATAGATAGCTTTAGGAAAAGTTCCAGAGGCATTTTTGATTGTTCTGGCTTGAGGCAAGTGTTCCTTCCTGAAGCTGAGTCAGCTTCACATGAATCATATGAATGAAAGGATTACTATGGAGAAAGTGATTCCCTAAAGGAAAAGCATACTTGGCAGACAGTCAAAGGTCTACTTCAATGAATATAAAAATTCAGATAGCTCGATGAAATGAGAGTAGGAAAAACTTAAGCCTGACTTAGTAGCTGATCTGAAGGTGGTTTTTCCCTAGGGTGCTTTCTGTCCCACTGTAATAAAAAAACTCTTGGGGGCTCTCGGTTTTATAGGATCCCAAATGAGAACACTTCTTTGATCTGATATGAAATATATAAATACAATTTTTGCTTGTATTTACTACTTATAGTTTTGTTTCTCTGAGATAGTGATCTTCAGTATGGAAAAGTAATAGATTAATGCTTTAAAATTTAGATAACACTGAATTTATTAATTTTGTATGATCCCTGTAGGATAAAAAAGCAGATTGATACAAAATAAGAAAATACATCTTCACCATTTCCAATAATGAATGAGTATAGACAGTCTTTATTAGCAGTATAAAGGCAGCAAATTTATAGTTAGTTAATAGTTATTTGCATTTATAAATCTATTTAAATGAATGTTTAAAAAAGTTCTACCAGCTTGTAATCATCCTTGTGGAATCAAGCAACTCTTATTATACACACATACAAACATACACACACACACACACACACACACACACACACACACACACACACACACACACACACACATACACATGGCCCAGAGTGCCTCCTAATCTAATAAGGAAAGGAATAGCAAAGAAACAGCTTTGTATTCGGCTCTCTGAGAGAGAGGTGACTGAGTCAGGAGGATGAGATCAGCTAGTGACCCAGCTGCTCTGACAGGGGGTTGTGGGTTTGAGATGAGAGCCTCAACTTTCCCATGCTTCAGTGATGTCTCTGTAACTCCCTTGGGTCACAAGCAGGTAGTTTGAAAAGCACTGATATAAAAATCAATAATGGGATTCAAATCACTTTATAGCATGACCATTACTAATTTTTTCAGAAGATACTTATCTGTGTTTTTTCATTTATGTCTATATAGGGGTCATATTGAAAATATTAGACAATTGATGTAATACAGGCACCTGACCAGCACTGACCAATCAGAGGAAATTCCAGGTATAAACATTTGAAACATCTTACAGGTATGCTTCAGCTAAATATCAGCCCTTTATATCTACATGCAAAGTTACTAAGCATTACTATTAATAAATTGTTTTGTCTGTCAAGATACATTTTCTAGCTCTGTTTCAGTTTATTCCATTTATATCACAATTCTAGTAAAAATTTAATGGGGAATTTTATATTTCCCTACCCATTGAAAAACACTTGTATAATTTGTCATTAAATATTCTACCTAAAATATTTGTTTTCTTGGAACATTATCTATCTAACTTATTGCTTAATATTAAGTCCATAAATATTTATTGGGCTCCTACTGCGAGCCAAGCGATGTTTTTGTCTCTGGATACACACTAGAAAGGATAAGGTCAACTCCCCTGTGAACCTTATTGCTTGATTGAGGAGATGAATAACAGAATTCCAAAGCAGAGATTCTGTCTTGGGGAAGTACAAGGGACTATGAAAGCAATGGGCAGTGTCATATAACATACACCTGGGATTAGGGAAGACTTCCTGGAGGAGGTGTTCAACTGTGACTGAAGGATGCACTGAGAGGTGGGAAACATGAGGGAAAAGGGCAATGGGAAGACAATAGTTCAAATATGTGAAAAGTTCCAGAAATAGGCCAGAAGACTTTCAATTACCCAAAAGTAGTTAATATTGCTTAGGAGCCCTATCTATTGTCCACCTGATATGAATGGAAAAATGATCACTTACTACCACTTACTACCCCCATCCCCTATACTTTTTAGTTATTTTTTTCCACTGAAAATGTGCTTAACTTTATAGTCTGTTCTGTAAACAGTTCTATCAGTTTGTCCCAGGATCTTTTATATGGAGTTACTGCTCACCATCAATGTGCAGTGGAGAGTAGCAAGTGAAGATAAAAGGAAACATTCTAACTTTTACCTGCTGATTCATGCCTCTCGCCTTTGCACATGTCTCTTTGACTGGGGTTGCCCTTTCTCTTCTCATTCACCTGTAATATCTACAGATCTTTCAGGATTTGAATTAAATGTTTTCTCTTATCAAAACTTTGTGTCTCCTACAGGTAGAGCCAACTGCTGTATCCAGTACACAGTTTTTTCTTATCAGCTGCAATTCTTTGTGCCTCATTTAGTCTGTAAATTATTTGAGGGTAGGGGCATTATGTTCTACTATTAAGACCTCAGTCATGTCTATCACAGCATGTCTGTTAGGAGTTTGAGGTACCTCTCACCTTCGTTTTGAGATTTAGTTACACACATAAGGTTTGCTATACAGATACGAACAAGTGTTGCTTTTATGACTCTTCAAATATCTCAAAGAAGCTAGATGGGGAACAGAGCATGGGTCAGGAAGTTTTTTTACTTTCTACCCACTGAATTGGTGATAGGTTTTGTACTACAGGTTTGACCTCAGTTTTCACTCTGTCACAGGCAAATAGACAATGAACCATGTGGTTCAATACAGGTAGTGGAAGAAAGCCCATAAAATAGGATAGGAAGTGAGGGGCCAACTTCCTGCCTTGAAGGCAGGGCTCCCCAACCTGTGGGCCATGGCCAGATACCAGTGTGCGGGCTGTTAGGAACTGGGCAGCACTGCAGGAAGTGAGCAGGGGCCAGCCAGCATTACCACCTGAGCTCCGCCTCCTGTTAGATCAGCAGGGGCATTAGATTCTCATAGAAATGAGAACCCTATGGTGAACTGCACATGTAAGGGATCTAGGTTGTGCACTCCTTATGAGACTAACTAATGCCTGATGATCTGAGGTGGGACAGTTTCATCCGGAAACTATCTGTCTCCCATCTGTGGAAAAATTGTCTTCCATGAAACCAGTCCCTGGTGCTGCTTTAAGGGGTAGTAGCCTGCCTACCAACAAAACAAGGGCTAATGAAGGAATGGCTCTGACTAGCCATCTCTTCTTCACATGCTAAAGTGATCATTTGCAAACAAGTGTCTCAGTTTTTGAAATTTATGTAAATGGAATCATACTGCATATATAACTATACATACTAATCAACTCCAAAAATGTTAAGTTCCATAAAGGCTGAATGACTCAAATATGGTACAATGTTGAATTGATAATTTGACTTGATGATTTTAAAGTGTCTTTTAACCCTAAGAATCTGTTTTCCTTTGGCCTTTGATATTCATGTCACCTGAAATTATTCAGTGTTCTCCGGATCTGGTACGTCTGGACCAAAGAAATATTCTAGTTCATAGAAAATGGACTAATCCTATGAAGAAAAATGGTTGCTCTTAAGTGTGTTTTCTTTCACTGCATATTGGGCCTTATTGCAGGGTGGAGGCAAATTGTAACCAAACGTGGTAGGCAACTGATGTATATGTTTGAATACCAAAGAAGCTTTTCCAAGTTCATTTTCATTAATTAAATCTGTGAACTCTTTAATGAATTGTCTATGATCTGGTGATTACCAAGCCACAGGACTGAAGTTTTAGTGAATTTATTTGTGAAGATCTCTATAAACCGTAACTGTCAGATCATACCTATCATAATTTTAGAGGGTAGTTTAAAATAGACTCAAAATTAGACCTTGTGCCTGAACTATATGGAGGAGGAGATTAATTTTTAAAATATAGCATGTTTAATAAAGATCGATTGGTGTGTACTTACCAAATAATTTCAGATATAGCAGGACATAAACAGTGTACACAAGAGTACTGCATCTCTTGCCTTAAGCTGTGTACCAACTGTACCTTCATTCATTCATTCATTCAATTTTGACTTTTTTACTTAGGAGAGACAGATGAGTACTGAGAGAAATTGTGGGGTGTGGTAGAGGGGCAAGCTAAAGTGCCCAAACCATCCTTTGATGTTTGCTTCTGTTTTTTACTGGGAATAATCATTTTCGGTCTTGATGTTTCAAAGATTATTTTAATGTAATTTCTTATTACAGTTTATATTTTTATGGTATGATTAATACAATTTTCCATGGAAATAATTTGAGGTTTTTTGGTTATATTATAAATAGAATAATATGAAACTCAGGATGACAAAGACATATTGCATATCTTGGCTTCAACCTGTAATAACATTGTTTTATAGGAAATATGTAAAGTGTATACCCTTTATCATTATGTATACCCTTTATGTATATGTGTACCCTTTATCATTAAGTTAAACAAATATTTTGTTTCTGGTCAAAATAGGTTCTGGTCAGAATATTGAAATTCAGACCAGAATCTGGCCAAGAGGTTCTGGTCAGAATATTGAAATTCAGCAATCTGGGGGTGATAGAATTAAACAGAGTTTGACATATGCATTGTTGAGAATTAGAGAAACTTATAAAGTTTCAGGCTCTTGCTTCCTATTTTTTGAAAAATGTTCATGCAAGTAATGTTTTTCAGAAAAATGAAAAATTCTTTGGCTCATTTTCTTTTGTTATATATTGTCCTCCATGGCTTTATCTATTTTTTTTTTTTCTGAATGAGTCTATTGAAATTGCTCCAATAAACTTTTCGGGTAAGAACTTTTTCACAGCTTGATGATGACCTATAGGAAGAAACGTTTTTTGAGTGTACTTATCTGTGCTATGTTCTTTTATTTGTTTAATTAAGAAAATATCTATTATGAAATATAAGACACAGATAAGTGCAAAAAAATCAAGGTATAGTATAATGAATTGTTACAAAGCAAATATCTCTTTAAAGCATCCCAGATTAAAAACGAGAACATCAACAGCTTTCAGAAGTTCCTTTCTCCCAGATATTCTTTCATCTCAGAGAGTAGATATCACAAAATTAATTCTGTGGTTAAAATGCCCTTGATTATCTTTCTTGTTTAGCCACCTATGTGTGCATTCCTAGACAATACAGTTTTGGAAATTTATGTAAATGGAACCAGGCTACATGGAATATTTTTATGCATTATTCTTTTACTCACTATCACGTTTAAGACACATTCATCTTTACTTCATTTTGAGAAATCTTAATTGACTTCCACATGAAATAATTGTCAGGATTTCTTAGGGTTTACTCTTATCTATCACTAGCCATTATTTGTCTTGCCTCTTTTATTTCCTTTTAAATATGCCTGTGTTTGGTTATTTTAATGCACAGTTACAGATAAACTTTTTAATGCACAATTACAGATACACTCATTTATTTGCCATGATCCTGTTTCATGTGTAGAGGATTTTTGCCTTGCAGTTTTTCCTAGCTCTTGAATTATATAAATTTATAGTTTGCAAAGATTTTGAGCAGAAGGGAAAGAAATAGATGTTGCCCTTTAGAATGATTGAATCAACTTACTAGAGGAGCATATGGTATGAAGTATGGTATGAAAGGAGCTGACTGATAACAAGTTTTCAGGGAATAGGGTGTCTGTTTACAGTTTCAAGAGGGAAATCAACAAAGGAAGAAAAACAGTTGGCATCTTAATGTTTAGTAAGTAACCTTTTGGTTTTGTTGCTTGGAAAATTCAGCATTGTGACAAAACCACTGCAAACTTGTGACAGAGCTAGAGAAATAAGTAATTTTGATTGAAGAGTTTTCTACCCAGAATCCTTTCAGATGACATGATTATATTTTGAGCCCAAAAATATATGTTATGGTGAAAGAGAAAGCAAGAGCAGCTTTTTGTATTTCTTTCTATCGAGGACAATCCTATTGTTGATAGCAACGTGATTCCACAAACCCACAAATGTTTTACCCTCCATATTTCAGGATGCTTACTGTGGAGTCTCAGCATACAGATTTGACAGACACTTTATCCAATGAAGTCAGTGATAATAGAGTTGTTGGAAATTCAGTGGGAAAACTCAGAACAAAATTAAATATGAGATCCCATTAAAATAAAGTTGATGTGAATTAAATTCCAACTTTTTCTCTTTATTCCCTATCTTGATAGGTGGAACTGCTATTTACTCCTCCCTCAATTCAGAAATAAGGAATCATCCTAGACTTACCTTCCTTAGCTCACACATGCCACCAACTATCAAAGTCAATTGCTTTTTAAAAAAATTTCTTCATTATTGCATCTCCTCTTTTTTCCCCATTGCAACTGCCTTAATTTAGGCAAGCACTTAGCATCTAGTTGATTGAAGCTTTTCTTTCACTTTTGGCCTCTTTTTTTTTTTTATATATTTTAAGTTCTGGGACACATGTGCAGAACATGCAGATTTGTTACATAAGTATACACATGCCATGGTGGTTGGCTGCACCCATCAACCTGTCATCTACATTAGGTATTTCTTCTAATGCTATTCCTCCCCTACCCCCCACACCCCGACAGGCCCCAAGGTGTGATGTTCTCCTCCCTGTGTCCATGTGTTCTCATTGATCAACTCCCAATTATGAGTGAACATACAGTGTTTGGTTTTCTGTTCCTGTGTTAGTTTGCTGAGAATGATAGTTTCCAGCTTCATCTATGTCCCTGCAAAGGACATGAACTGATCCTTTTTTATGGCTGCATAGTATTCCATGATGTATATGTGCCACTTTTTTTTTTTTTTTTTTTTTTACTTTAAGTTCTGGGGTATATGGGCAGAATGTGCAGGTTTGTTACATAGGTACACATGTGCCATGGTGGTTTGCTGCACCCATCAACCCACCACCTACATTGGGCATTTCTCCTAATGCTATCTCTCCACTAGCCTCCCACACCCCAACAGGCCCCAGTGTGTGATGTTCCCCTCCCTGTGTCC
Source organism: Homo sapiens (assembly GCF_000001405.40). Lineage (NCBI taxonomy): Eukaryota > Metazoa > Chordata > Mammalia > Primates > Hominidae > Homo > Homo sapiens. Next base: position 183,322,483 of record NC_000002.12, read on the forward strand.
ATGTGTTCTCATTGTTCAACTCCCACTTATGAGTGAGACCATGTGGTGTTTGGTTTTCTGTTCTCGTGTTAGTTTGCTGAAAATGATGGTTTCCAGTTTCATCCATGTTCCGGCAAAGAACATGAACTCATCCTTTTTTATGGCTGCATAGTGTATGCATGGTGCAAATGTGCCACAGTTTCTTTATCCAGTCTATCATTGATGGGCATTTGGGTTGGCTCCAAGTCTTTGCTATTGTGAACAGTGCCGCAGCAAACATACATGTATATGTGTCTTTATAGTAGAATGACTTATAATCCTTTGGGTATATACCCAATAATGGGATTGCTGGGTCAAATGGTATTTCTGATTCTAGATACTTGAGGAATCGCCACACTGTTTTCCACGACGGGTGAACTAATTTACCCTGTCACCAACAGTGTAAAAGCATTCCTATTTCTCCACATCCTCTCCAGCATCTGTTGTTTCCTGACTTTTTAATGATTGCCATTCTAACTGGCCTGAGATGGTATCTCATTGTGGTTTTGGTTTGCATTTCTCTAATTACCAGTGATGATGAGCTTTTTTTTCATATGTTTGTTGGCTGCATAAATGTCTTCTTTTGAGAAGTGACTGTTCATATCCTTCACCCATTTTTTGATGGAGTTGTTTATTTTTCTTGTAAATTTGCTTAAATTCTTTGTAGATTCTGGTTATTAGCCCTTTGTCAGATGGATAGATTGCCAAAATTTTCTTACGTTCAGTAAGTTGCCTGTTCGCTCATGATAGTTTCTTTTGCTGTGCAGAACTCGTTAGTTTAATTAGATCCCATTTGTCAATTTTGGCTTTTGTTGCCATTGCTTTTGGTGTTTTAGTCATTAAGTCTTTGCCCATGCCTAGGTCCTGAATGGTATTGCCTAGGGTTTCTTCTAGGATTTTTATGGCTTTAGGTTTATGTTTAAGTCTCTAATTCATCTTGAGTTAATTTTTGTAGAAGGTGTAAGGAAGGGGTCCAGTTTCAGTTTTCTGCATATGGCTAGCCAGTTTTCCCAACACCACTTATTAAATAGGGAAGCTTTTTCCCATTGCTCTTTTTGTCAGGGTTGTCAAAGATCAGTTGGTTGTAGATGTGTGGCATTATTCCTGAGGACTCTGCTCTTTCCATTGGTCTATATATCTGTTTTGGTACTGGTACCATGCTGCTTTAATACTGTAGCCTTGTAGTGTAGTTTGAAGTCAGGTAGCAGGATGTCTCTAGTTTTGTTCTTTTTGCTTAGGATTGTCTTGGCTATACGTGCTCTTTTTTGGTTTTTTGGTTCCATATGAAATTTAACGTAGTTTTCTCTAATTCTGTGAAGAAAGTCAATGGTAGCTTGATGGGGATAGCATTGAATTTATAAAATACTTCAGGCAGTATGGTCATTTTCATGATATTGATTCTTCCTATCTATGAGCATGGAATATTTTCCCATTTGTTTGTGTCCTCTCTTATTTCCTTGAGCAGTGGTTTGTAGTTCTCCTTAAAGAAGTCCTTCATATTCCTTGTAAGTTGTATTCCTAGATATTTTATTCTCTTTGTGGCAATTGTGAATGGAATTGACTCAGGATTTGGCTCTCTGTATGTCTATTATTGGTGTATAGGAATGCTTGTGATTTTTGCACATTGATTTTGTATCCTGAGACTTTGCTGAAATTGCTTATCAGCTTAAGGAGATTTTGGGCTGAGATGATAGGGTTTTCTAAATATACAATCGTGTCATCTGCAGAGACAATTTGACTTCCTCTCTTCCCATCTGAACAGACTTTATATCTTTCTCTTGCCAATTGCCCTGACCAGAACTTCCAATACTATGTTGAATAGCAGTGGTTGAGAAGAGCAACCCCAAGACACATAATCGTCAGATTCATCAAGGTTGAAATGAAGGAAAAAATATTAAGGGCAGCCAGAGAGAAAGGTTGGGTCACAAAGGGAAGCCCATCAGACTAATAGCGGATATCTCTGCAAAACACCCTACAAGTCAGAAGAGAGTGGGGGCCAATATTCAACATTTTTAAAGAAAAGAGTTTTTAACCCAGAATTTCATATCCAGCCAAACTAAGCTTCATAAGCAAAGGAGAAATAAAATATTTTACAGATGAGCAAATGCTGAGATATTTTGTCACCACCAGGCCTGCCTTACAAGAGTTCCTGAAGAAAGCACTAAATATGGAAAGTAAAAGCTGGTACCAGCCAATGCAAAAACATACCAAATTGTAAAGACCATCAACACTATGAAGAAACTACATCAACTAACAGGCGAAATAACCAGCTAGCATCATAATGACAGGATCAAATTCACACATAACAATATTAACCTTAAGTGTAAACAGGCTAAATGCCCCAAATAAAAGACACAGACTGGCAAATTGGATAAAGAATCAAGACCCATCAGTGTGCTGTATTCAGGAGACCCATCTCACGTGCAGAGACATGCATAGGCTCAAAATAAAGGGGTGGAGGAATATTTACCAAGCAAATGGAAAGAAAAAAAAAAAGCAGGGGTTGCAATCCTAGTCTCTGATAAAACAGAATTTGAACCAACAAAGATCTAAAAAGACAAAGAAGGGCATTAAATAATAGTAAAGGGATCAATGCAACAAGAAGAGCTCTCTATCCTACATATATATGCACCCAATACAGTAGCACTCAGATTCATAAAGCAAGTTCTTAGAGACCTACAAAGAGACTTAGACTCCCACACAATAATAGTGGGAGACTTTAACACCCCCGTGTCAATATTAGACCAATGAGACAGAAAATTAACAGGGATATTCAGGACTTGAACTCAGCTCTGGACCAAGCAGACCTAGTAGACATCTACAGAACTCTCCACCCCAAATCAACAGAATATACATTCTTCTCAGAACCACATCACACTTATTCTAAAATTGACCACATAGTTGGAAGTAAAACACTCCTCAGCAAATGCAAAAGAATGGAAATCATAACAGTCTTTCAGACCACAGTGCAATGAAATTAGAACTCAGGATTAAGAATCTCACTCAAAACCACACAACTACATGGAAACTGAACAACCTGCTCCTGAATGACTGCCAGGTAAATAACAAAATTAAAGCAGAAATAAATAAGTTCTTTGAAACCAATGAGAACAAAGACACAATGTACCAGAATATCTGGGACACAGCTAAAGCAGTGTTTAGATGAACATTGATGTGAAAATCCTTAATAAAATACTGGCAAACTGAATCCAGCAGCACATCAAAAAGTTTATCCACCTCGATCAAGTCCGCTTCCTCCCTGGGATGCAAGGCTGGTTCAACCCATGCAAATCAATAAACGTAATCCAGCTTATAAACAGAACCAATGACAAAAACTACATGATCTCATCTGCATCTCAATAGATGCAGAAAAGGCCTTCAATAAAATTCAACACCCCTTTATGCTAAAAACTCTCAATAAACTAAGTATTGGTGGAACATATCTCAAAATAATAAGAGCTATTTATGACACACCCACAGCCAATATCACACTGAATAGGCAAAACCTGGAAGCATTCCCTTTGAAAACCGGCACAAGAAAAGGAAGGCCTCTCTCAACACTCCTATTCAACATAGTATTGGAAGTTCTGGCCAGGGCAATCAGACAAGAGAAAGAAATAAACGGTATTCAAATAGGACGAGAGGAAGTCAAATTGTCTTTGTTTGCAGATGACATGATTGTACATTTAGAAAACCCATTGGCTCAGCCCCAAATCTCATTAAGCTGATAAGCAACTTTGGCAAAGTCTCAGGATACAAAATCAATGTGCAAAAATCACAAGCATTCTTATACACCAATAATAGACAGAGAGCCAGATCATGAGCAAACTCCCATTCACAATTGGTACAAAGAGAATAAAATACCTAGGACTCATCCCTTTTTATTTCCCCGTATACACTGGACTGCCAGCCGTATCAAAAGACCCATATTATGATCTTTCTTTTTTTTTTTTTTTTTTTTTTTTTGCCATGGTGCCATTGCATATCCCCCGAACATCTTTATCCTTCTCTTTCACTTGGCTTACTCTTGCTTGTTAAGGTTGAGATCAAGAATCTTCAGGTAAACCTTAGATCCACTAATATTGTCTCGGGAGAGCCCCCTTTGCAATCACATTTCCTCTACTTACCTCCATTATAACCCTGTCTGTACTCTTTGTAGTTCTGGGCTCCTCATAACTGTCTCTGCCACTTTTGTGTGAGTTCCTTGAAATCAGCCTGTATGCCCAGTGTTAGGATTCTCTATGAGGCATAACAGGCACTCAGTATATGCATGCGGGAGCCTGGTCAGTACAGGGAAGCAGAAACATCCCTAAGCATGAGAACAGACTTTCTCAACAAGAGGGCTGTTTGCCCCGAGCCCCTTCGGATGTTAGCCTTGTCTCCTACGATCCCAATTCACAGAAACTTTAGAATTATTTTTATCTGTGTTTTCTTTTTCTGATCGTAGGCTTTTTCTTTCTGGTTCTACTTAATTCACCTAAACTGGATCACACCTGCTTACGCAGTTGCCGTTGAAATTTTTATTGGAATTCTTAAAGCATTCAGGAGTGAACCATGTTTTATATATAACATGCTCAAGCATTGTGATAGGTTCAAATATGATAAATGATCTTTATTTTGGAAAATATTAGAAAAAATTCTAACATTTTATAAGGCACTGTCACTTATATTGCAATTTTACTATCTCTTACGTCAGTACCTAGAGCCATGCAACATTTTAAAGATCATCTTTTTATATTTTTCAATGCTGGGATATTATAAAGAATGAGGTTGTGTTTTGATTGATAAGGACCAGAGCACAGTTTCTGTAGAAATTAGTACTGGGATTCATTATATGCAAATATTTTCTAGTCATGCAAATGTTTCCCTTATAATTTTTAAAGTATTTTACTGAATTGTCACTTCTGTTACATATTCACATGCAATTTGTTTCAATCTGGAAAAATTACTTATGCTAAAAATTAAAAACAAATTGAAAATCTTATTAAAAGCCAAATTTAGATTTGTTTGGCTTTTATAACCAATTTTTGCTAAAATTATTAGTAATAGCAAGCCAAAATTCATGCAAAATACTGTGGAGAGATAAAATTATTTTTATAATAGTATACTATAAAACATGTGTGTAAACATCAACTGTTTTTGAGGATCTTCTGTTTTGTTTAAGTCTTGTAGTACATTTTGCCTCCTGCCTAAATTAAACTGTTGTAACAACATTAGATGGTACCGCCATCAAATTAGTTGTAAGGTTAAATTTACATGTGTTTCATTTAGCAAGATGTTTCCTCTTTGGTCAGATCAAGAAATGTCTAATATAATTTCTGAAATACTTGCAAGAATATATCCAAAAATGTTATTTTTGGTTAATCGTTGTATACATTTATGAGGCACAGTGTGATGTTTTAATAGATGTATACAATGTGGAATGATTAAATCAAGCTAATTAACATATTCTTCACATTGTTTACCTATTTTTTATGGTGAGACATTTGGAATTTACTCTCTTAACTATTTTGAAATACTTAATACAATATTATTGACTATAGTCACCCTGCTGTGCAAAAGACCTCAAAACCTATTCCTCCTATGTGAATCTTTGTACCCTTTGATCAGCAACTCGCCATTCCTATCCTCTTACCCGCCACCACCTTCAGCCTCTGATAACCATCATTTTACTTTCTACTTCTCTGAGTTCAACTTTGTTAGATTCCACAGATTAGTGAGATCATGAGGTATTTCTCTCTCTGTTCCTGTTTTATTTCACTTAGCTTAGTGTCCTTCAGATTTATCCATGTTGTCCCAAATAACAGGATTTCCTTGCCTTTTAAGGCTGACTAGTATTCCATTGTATATATAGACCATAGTTTCTTTATCCATTTATCCATTGATGAACACTTGGGTTTAATCCATATCTTGGCTATTGTGAATAGCTACAATGAACACGGATGTGCAAAGATCTCTTCAACATATTGATTTCACTTTCTTTAGATATAGATGCAGAAATGGGATTACTGGATCACATGGTAGTTCTCTTTTTAGTTTTTTGAGGAACCTCCATAAGGTTTTCCATAATGACTCTACTAATTTACATTCCCCCCAATAATATACAAGCTTAATTCATTTTATCTTATCGTGCTTTGCTTTATTGTGCTTCACAGATACATGTTTTTTTTACAAATTGGAAGTTTGTGCAAAGACTGCATTGAGCAAGTCTATCGGTGACATTTTTCCAACAGCATGTGCTCACTTTGTATCTCTGTGTTACATTTTGGTCATTCTTGAACTATCTATAAATTTAAAATTATTTTTATATCTGTTATGGTGATCTGTGATGAGTTTTTTTTTTTTTTTTTTTTTGAGATGGAGTCTCACTTTGTCACCCAGTCCGGAGTGCAGTGGCATGATCTCGGCTCACCACAAACTCCGCCTCCTGGGTTCAATCTATTCTCCTGCCTCAGCCTCCCGAGTAGCTGGAATTACAGGCACCTGCCACCATGCCCAGCTAATTTTTGTATTTAGTAGACACTGGGTTTTGCCATGTTGGCCAGGCTGGTCTTGAACCCGTGACCTTGTGATCCGCCCACCTCGGCCTCCCAAAGTGCTGGGATTACAGGCGTGAGCCACTGAGCCCGGCTGATGAGTTATTTTTGATATTACTATTGTAATTGTTTTGGTGCACCACGAATTGCACTCATATAAGATGGTGAATTTAATCAATAAATGTTGTGTATGTTCTGACTGCTCCACCAATGGGTCACTCCCCCACCTGTTTCCCTCTCCTCAGGCATTCCTATTCCTTGAGACACACAGCAGAAAATTAGACTAATTAATAACCTGCAAGGACTGTAAGTGTTCAAGTAAAATAAAGCGTTACATGTCTCAAAAGCTACAAATGATTAAGCTTAGTGAGGAAGGCATGTTGAAAACTGCTATATGCTGAAAGGTAGACCTCTTGTGCCAAATCATCAGCAAAGTTGTGAATAAAAGGAAAAGTTCTTGAAGGAAATTAAAAATGTTACTCCAGTGAATACACAGATGATAAGAAAGCAAAACAGCTTCATTACTGATAGGGATAAAGTTTGAGTGATCTTAATAGAAGATCAAAGCAGTCACAACATTCCCTCAAGCCAAAGCCTAATCCAAAGAAAGGCCCTAACTCTGTTCAATACTAAGAAGGCTGAGAGAAGTGAGGAAGCTGCAGAGGAAAAGTTTAAAGGTAGCAGATGCTGGTTCATGAAGTTTTGGGAAAGACACTTATCCATAACATGTAAGTGTAAGGTGAAGCATCAAGTGCTGATGGAGAAGCTGCAGCAAGCTGTCCAGAAGATGTAGCTAAGATAAGTGATGAAAGTGACTACACTAAAGAACAGATTTTTAATGTAGATGAAACAGCCTTATATTGGAAGAAGGTTATCATCTAAGACTTTCACAGCTAGAGAAAAAAAATTCAGTGGTTGGCTCCAAACCTTTAAAGAACAGGCTGACTCTCTTGTTAGGGGCTAATGTAGCTGGTGATTTTAAGTAAAAGCCAATGCTCTCTTATCATTCTGAAAATCTTAAGAGTTCTGTAATTATGCTAAATTTACTCCGCCTGTGTTCTATAGATGGAACAACAAAACGCGGATGATAGTACGTTTATTTGTAGCATGGTGTACTGAATATTTTAAGCCCACTGTTGAGACCTGTTGCTCAGAAAAATAGATTTCTTTGAAAACATTATTGCTCACTGACAATGCACCTGGTCACCTAAGGGCTCCAATAGAGATATACAAGGAGATTAATGTTGTTTTCACGTCTGCTAACACAACATCTATTCTGCAGCCCATGGATCAAAGAGTTATTTTGACTTTCAGGTATTATTATTTAATAAATACATTTTGTAAGACTACAGTTACCATAGATAGTGATTTCTCTGATGGATCTGGGCAAAGTAAATTCAAAGCCTACTGGAAAGAATTCATTATTCTAGATGTCACTAAGAATATTTGAGATTTACAGGAGAAGGAAGATATTAGCATTACCATGAGTTTGGAAGAAGTTGATTCCTGCCCTCGTGGATAATTTTGAGAAGATGAAGACTTTAGTGGAAGAAGTAACTGCATATGTGTTGGAAATAGCAAGATAAGTAGAAATAGAGATGGAGCCTGAAGAGGTGATTGAATTGCTACAGTCTCATGATAAAACTTGAATGGATAAAGTGTTGCTTCTTATGATTATGCAAAGAGAGTGATTTTTGAGATGGAAACTACTCCTGCTGAAGATGCTGTGAACATTATTGAAATGGTGACAAAAACTTGAAAATATTGTATAAACTTAGTTGATAAGACAGCATCAAGTTTTGAGAGGATAGACTTCATATTTGAAGGAAGGTCTATGAATCAAAAGTTATCAAATAGAATCACATGATAGGAAGAGAGGAAGTCAAATTGTCTCTGTGTGCAGATGATATAATTGTATATTTGGAAAACCCCATCATCTCAGTTCAAAAACTCCTTAAGCTGATAAGCAACTTCAGCAGTCTAAAGATACAAAGTCAGTGTGCAAAAATCACAAGCATTCCTATATGCCAATAATAGACACACAGAGAGCCAAATCATGAGTGAATTCACATTGACAATTGTTACAAAGAAAATGAAATACCTAGGAATACAACGTACAAGGGATGTGAAGGACCTCCTCAAGGATAACTACAAACCACTGCTCAAGGAAATAAGAGAGGACACAAATAAATGGAAAAACATTCCATGCTCATGGATAGGAAGAATCAATAACGTGAAAACGGCCATACTGCCCAAAGTAATTTATAGATTCAATGCTCTCCCCATCAAGCTACCATTGACTTTCTTCACAGAATTAGAAAAAACTACTTTAAATTTCATATGGAACCAAAAAGAGCGCGTATAGCCAAGACAATCCTAAGCAAAAAGAACAAAGCTAGAGGCATCATGCTACCTGACTTCAAACTCTACTGCAAGGCTGCAGTAACTAAAACTGCATGGTACTGGTACCAAAACAGATATATAGGCCAATGTAACAGAACAGAGGCCTCAGAAATAATGCCACACATCTACAACCATCTGATCTTTGACAAACCTGACAAAAACAAGCAATGGGGAAGGGATTCCCTATTTAATAAATGGTGTTGGGAAAAACTGGCTATCCATATGTAGAAAATTGAAACTGGACCCCTTCCTTACACCTTCTACAAAAATTAACTCAAAGTGGATTAGAGACTTAAATGTAAACCTAGAACCATAAAAACCCTAGAAGAAACCCTAGACAATACCATTCAGGACCTAGGCATGGGCAAAGACTTAATGACTAAAACACCAAAAGCAATGGCAACAAAAGCCAAAATTGACAAATGGGATCTAATTAAACTAACGAGTTCTGCACAGCAAAAGAAACTATCATGAGTGAACAGGCAACTTACTGAATGTAAGAAAATTTTGGCAATCTATCCATCTGACAAAGGGCTAATAACCAGAATCTACAAAGAACTTAAGCAAATTTACAAGAAAAATAAACAACTCCATCAACAAATGGGTGAAGGATATGAACAGTCACTTCTCAAAAGAAGACATTTATGCAGCCAACAAATATGTGAAAAAAAAGCTCATCATCACTGGTCATTAGAGAAATGCAAATCAAAACCACAATGAGATACCATCTCAGGCCAGTTAGAATGGCAATCATTAAAAAGTCAGGAAACAACAGATGCTGGAGAGGATGTGGAGAAATAGGAATGCTTTTACACTGTTGGTGACAGTGTAAATTAGTTCACCCGTCGTGGAAAACAGTGTGGCGATTCCTCAAGTATCTAGAATCAGAAATACCATTTGACCCAGCAATCCCATTATTGGGTATATACCCAAAGGATTATAAGTCATTCTACTATAAAGACACATACACATGTATGTTTGCTGCGGCACTGTTCACAATAGCAAAGACTTGGAACCAACCCAAATGCCCATCAATGATAGACTGGATAAAGAAACTGTGGCACATTTGCACCATGCATACACTATGCAGCCATAAAAAAGGATGAGTTCATGTTCTTTGCCGGGACATGGATGAAACTGGAAACCATCATTTTCAGCAAACTAACACGAGAACAGAAAACCAAACACCACATGGTCTCACTCATAAGTGGGAGTTGAACAATGAGAACACATGGACACAGGGAGGGGAACATCACACTCTGGGTCCTGTCGGGGTGTGGGGGGGGTTAGGGGAGGGATAGCATTAGGAGAAATACCTAATGCAGGTGATGGGTTGATGGACGCAGCCAACCACCATGGCTCATGTATACCTATGTAACCAGCACGTTCTGTACGTGTATCCCAGAACTTAAATTATAATAATAAAAAAATTCTTTGTGAAAGGAAGGATCAATGGTTGTAGCAAAATTTGTTGTTGTGTTATTTTACTAATTTGTTACAGCCACCCTGACCTTCAGTAACCACCATCCTGATTATTTCGCAGCCATCAACATTGAAGCAAGATCCTCCACCGGCAAAAAAAATTATGACTCTCTGAAGGCTCAGATGATTGTTAGCATTTTTTATAATAAAGTACTTTTTTTTTTTTTTGAGATGGAGTCTCACTCTGTTGTCCAGGCTAAAGTGCAGTGGCATGATCTTGGCTCACTGCGACCTCCGCCTCCCAGGTTCAAGCGATTCTCCTGTCTCAACCTCCTGAGTAGCTGGGATTACAGGCATACACCACCACACCCCGCTAATTTTTGTATTTTTAGTAGAGATGGTGTTTTACCATGTTGGTCAGGCTGGTTTTGAACTCCTGACCTTGTGATCCACCTGCCTCAGCCTCCCAAAGTGCTGGGATTACAGGCATGAGCCACCACACCCAGCCAATGAAGTACTTTTAACTGAGATATGTACATTGTCTTTTTAGCCATAATGCTATGGCATACTTAATAAACTACAGTATACTGTAAACATGACTTTATATGCACTCAGAAACCAAAACACTCTTGTGCCTCTATTGTTGCAATACGTGCTTTATTACCATGGTCTGGAATCAAAACTGCAATATCTCCAAGATATGCCTGTATAAGAGTTCTATTTTTTCTGCCTCCTCTCCCATACTTGTTACCATTCATCTTTTTGATAAAAGCCATTCTAGCAGATGGGAGATGATATCTCATTGTTTTAATTTGTATTTCCCTAATGATTAGTAATGGATATTTATCATGTACTTATTTGTCATTCATATATATCTTCTTTTAAGAAATATTTGTTCAGGTCCTTTGCCCATCTTTTAATTGAGCTATTTGTTTCCTTGCTATTGAGTTGAGTCCCTTTTATATTTTGGACATTAATCCCTTATCAGATATATACTTTTCAATATTCTTGCATTCTGTAAGTTGTCTCTTCCCTTTTTTTCCTTTGCTGTGCAGTAGCTTTTAGTTTAATGCCATCTCATTTGTCTATTTTTGATTTTATTGCCTGTGCCGTTGGGGTCATATCCAAATAAATCATTGTTCTGACCTGTTTTCTTCTTGTAGTTTCATAGTTTCAGATCTTAAGTCTTTTATCTATTTTGAGTTTATTTTTGTATATGGTTTAAGAGTCTAATTTTATTCTTCTGCCTTTGTAGAACCAGTTTCCAGACCCTATTTATTGATGACACTGTCCTCTCCTAATTGTGTGTATTTTGCACCTTTTTCAAAAATCAATGGACTATAAATGGGTGAGTTTATTTCTGAAGTTTCTGTCTAATTTCAGTGGTCAGTGTTTCTGTTTTTATGCCAGTACCATGCTGTTTTGATTACTGTTACTTTATAATGTTTCAAATCATAAAGTGTGATGCCTCCAGCTTTGTTCTTTTTGCTCAAGACTGTTTTGGTTATTTGGGGTCTTTTGTGGTTCCATACAAATTAATGATTATTTTTTTCTGTTTCTGTGAAAAATGACATTGAAATTTGATAGTAGTTACATTGAGTCTGTAGGTTACTTTGGGTAGTATGGATATATTCACAACATTAATTCTTCCAATCCATGGACACAGGATATCTTTTTTTTTTTTTTTTGGAGACAGAGTCTTACTCTGTTGCCCAGGCTGGAGTGCAGTGGCAGGATCTCGGCTCACTGCAAGCTCCGCCTCCTGGGTTCACGCCATTCTCCTGCCTAAGACTCCCGAGTAGCTGGGACTACAGGCGCCCGCCACCACGCCTGGCTAACTTTTTGTATTTTTAGTAGATACGGAGTTTCACCGTGTTAGCCAGGATGGTCTCGATCTCCTGACCTCGTGATCAGACTGCCTCAGCCTCCCAGAGTGCTGGGATTACAGGCGTGAGTCACCGCGCCCGGCCAGGATATCTTAACATTTTATTGTGTTTTCTTCAATTTCTTTTATCAGTGTTTTCTTGTTTTGAGTAGAAAAGACTTTTATATCCTTGGTAAAGTTTATACCTAATTTTTTAGGGTTGCTGTTGTAAATGGAATTGTTTTCTTAAGTTCCTTTCTGAATAGTTCATTATTAGTATATAGAAATGCTACTGATTTTTATATGTTGATTTTGTACCTTGCAAATTTGCTGATTTTTAAAATCAGTTCAAATAGTTTTTTTGGCGGAGTCTTCTGGATTTTTTATGTGTAGATAATGTCATCAGCAAATACAGACAATTTCACTTCCTCCTCTCTTTGTAGGAAAGAAATTTCTTTCTTTTGCCTAGTTACTCTGGCCAGCACTTCCAATATTATGTTGAAAGGAAGTGGTGGAAATTGGGCATCCTTGTTTTGTCCCGGATCTTAGAGGAAAAGCTTTCAACTTTTTGCTGTTGAGAATAATGTTAGCTACAATTTTGGCATATATGGTCTTTAATGTGTTGAGGTACATTCTCTGTATACTTAATATGTTGAGAGTTTTTTAAAAAATCATGAATGGGTGTTGAATTTTGTCAAATGCTTTTTCTGCATCTATAGAGATGATCATATAATTTTTCTTCTTTATTTTGTAATGTGGTATGTCACATTTATTGATTTGCATATGTTGAAACATCCTAACATTCCAGGGATAAATCCCACTTGATCATGGTGAATTATTCTTTTAATGTGTTCTTGAATTTGGTTTGCTAATATTTTGGTTAGGCTTTTTGCATCTTGGTTCATCAGGGATATTGACCTATAATTTTCTTTTCTTTTAGTGTACTTGTATTGCTTTGGTATCAGGATAATGCTAGTCTCATGAAATGACTTAGAAAGTCTTTGTTCCTCTTTAAATTTTTGGAAGAGTTTGAAAAGAATTGGTGTTAGTTCTTTAAATGTCTTTTAGAATTCAGCAATGAAGCGTTCTGGTTGCGGGCTTTTCTTTGATGAGAGATGTTTTATTACTGATTTAATCTCCTTACTCATTACTGGACTGCTTAGATTTTCCTATTTCTTCATGATTCAGTCTCTGTTTGTTGTATGCATCTCAGAATTTATTTTTTTATAGATTTCCCAGTTAGCTGATGTAAAATTGTTCATAATGGTTTCTTATAATCCTTTGTGTTTCCATGATATCAGTTGTAATGTCTCTGTTTTCATTTCTGATCTTATTTGAGTAGTTTCTTCCTTTTTCCTAGTTAGTCTAGCTAAGGATTTATTGATTTTGTCTTTCCAAAAATTTAGTTTCATTGATTTTTTTTCTCTTACTTTCTAGTATCTATATCATTTATTTCTTATCTGAACTTTGTTCTTTCCTTCCTTCTGCTAACTTCGGGCTTAATGTATTCTTTTTATAGTTCCTTAAGGTGTAAAGTCAGATTATTTGTGACCTTTCTTCTTTTTTGATATAGACATTTATTGCCATTAATGTCCCTCTTAGGACTGCTTTTCTGCACCTCAGGAGTATTGGTATATTTTGTTTCCATTTTCATTTGTCTCAAGGTGTTTTTTAATTTTTTTTTATTTTTTTATGTGTTGTTTAGGCGATTGTTTTTTAGATATCCACTATTTGTGTATATTCCTAGATTTATCTTGTTACTGATTTCTGGCTTCATGCCATTGTGATCTGAAAAGATATTTGAAATGATTTCAATCCTCTTAAATTTGTTAAGGCTTGTTTTGTGACCAAACATATGATCTATCCTGGAGAATGTTTCATGTGTCCTTGAGAAGAATGTGTCTTCTGCTGCTGTTTGGTAGAATTTTCTGTATATGTCTGTTAGGTCCATTGTCCAAAAGTATAATTCAAGTTTAATTTTTTTTACTAATATTCTGTCTAGATGACCTATCCATTGTTAAAAGTCGAGGAGAGGATCTCTGCTGTTATTGTATTGCAGATAATCTTTTTCTTCAGATCATTTAATACTTGCTTTATGTGTTTAAGTGCTCCAATGTTGAGTGCATATATATTTACAATGGTTATGCCTTCTTGGGGATTGATCCTTTTATCATTATATAATGACCTTGTTTGTTTCTTTTTATAGTTTTTGACATATCTGTTTGGACTTATATAAGTATACTTACCCCTGCTCTCTTTCAATTTGCATGAAATACACATATTTCAGTCTATGTGTATCTTCACTAGTAAAGCAAATCTCTTATGGACAGCATATAGTTGAATCTTGTATGTCTGTTTTTAAATCCATTCAGCCACTCTATGTCTTTTTATTGGAGAATTTCATTTACATTAGAGGTCATTATTGATAGGAACTTTCTACTGTTGTAGTGTAATTTGTTTTCTGATGATTTTGTAGTTCATTTGTTTTTTATCTTCCTCTCTTGCTGTCTTCTTTTGTGGATTGATGGATTTCTGTGGTTGTATGTTTTTATTCTTTCTTTTTTATATTTTGTGCAACTACTGTAAGATTTTGCTTTGTGGTTATCATGAGGCTCACAAAAAATATCTTATCCCTCTAGGTTACTTCAAGATGATAACAACTTGCCTTTAATTGCATACAAAAACTACATTTTCACTCCCTTGCCCTTTTATGATTCTGATGTCAAAATGTACAGTTGTTTCTGTAATTTATATCTCTTAACAACTTATTGTAACTACAGTTGTTTTAATAGTTGTGTCTTTTAGCTCTCCTAATAGGGATAAAATTGCTTTGTGGACCAACTTTATAGTATTGAAAAATTCTGAGAATGAGTATGTATTACTTATACCACTGAGTTTTTACTTTCTTATGTTTTTGTCATTAGTAAGAGCTTTTTTTTCAGCTTAAAGAACTCTTTTTTCAAGCAATTACTATAAAGCAGGCCTAGTGGTGATGAACTACCTTGTTTGTTTGGAAAAGTTTTTATTTCTCCCTCATTTCTGAAGGACAGTTTTATTGGGTGAAGTATTCTTGGTTGGCATTTTTTTTCCTTCAGCACTTTGAATATATCTTCCCATTCTCCTGGTCTGTAGGATTTCTGCTGAACAAATTCTGGTTTATATACAATTTTCTTTACCAACTATGTTAGCACAACTGCCCTAGGCTTACTCTAGACAATCTTTTAAGTCAATGGCAAAAATGGAAGGACATTTATTTTCTTTACTGAAGTTACATATTATACTTTCTACAACATGTATAAATGGAAAAACTCAGTAATTTTAACTTTAAGGATAAGACTGTGGGAGTAGATCACCCTGGATGCAGGCAGTAGTGGGGGTACATCATCTCTAGAGAATTTAAAAATAACAAAATCAGCTAAAAGTTGGTGTGCTTCTAATTGTTACCATGAACCAGCAATTCTAATATCAGTGATAAAATTCTTCACTCTGAAAAAAAAAATCTCTTGTTTATTTAAGTCTTTAAACCATTGGTGCAGTTACTGTTAAATTTTAATAATACATATTCAAATTAGCATGTTTTATTACTTATCCTTTAATAACTATTGTAGTCTACATTATAATTTTCAAGACTTGCAATTTACTACAAGTTCCTGACATATAAATGGACTTAGCTTATGTGTGCTTGTTTTGAGTGTAAGTTATTAATGGTTTGAAATTGTTCAGGCTGGAAATGATTCTGAAACTCATGCAAACTAAAAATAAAATGACAGATAAAATATTGCAATGTTCTCAGGGATATTGATATTTTATCAAGTTACACCAAAGGAATGAATTTGCTTTTTAGAATTTCAAATGTCATTTTGCTGGGTGAATAGGGTGGATACTTACGGAAAAGCACAGGCCCTTCTTGATGCAACCTTGAAACTATAATGTATTTTACTGCTACCACCTTTCTACTTGCTTTTAAGGACTTTTTTGATTATGTGGTTTTCTCTACTCTTTGTATATGCTTGGTAGAAATTCCTTTACATTTTATTTTTAAAGGCCATTCTACTTTGAGTTTTAGTACTACTGGCATAAATAAGCACAGTTCAGGGAAATCTTAGAGTCTTAAGCCCTAAAATAGGGAATGTACCCTGAAATTCCCAGTGAAAGTGCCCTAATGATTAAACATATTTTTTCCTTAATTCAAAAGGAGGCATTCATAGAATGTTATCAGACATATCTAAAACTTTATAAAGAATATTTGTGTGCAAATTTCAGATAAAAGTCACCATGTTTTTGTAGATAAAATTTTCAAATTGTAGAAATCTCACTACACTCAAAGGTATGATTCCTGTGGAAAAAGTGCAAAGGACAAGTTCCTATGAGATTTATCCTCTTCATTTTTCATGGATTTCAATATCATAGAAAAGGACTTGGCAGTGGAACTGGGGATCTATTTGCTTTATAATTTACAAAGAAAAAGGGAGATCTTTAAAAATATTATGCTTGGACTTGATAAATGATTGTATTATACAACTTTTTGATGTCATGACCTAGTAGGTGACTAAGTTATTCTTAGAATTATGTAACATGAACTGTAAACAGGAGGATACTTAGGTTTTTAGATTTAATATAGATAAATGGTATATATTTCTTAAGCAGGAACATTGTTTCTTCTTCCTGATTTCAGAGAGTAATCACAAAAGTTCCTTGTGTTAATTTTGAATAACTGGCAAATAATGAGAGACATCAGCCAGAAACTGGAAGCCAAATGACAAAGATTGAGAGCACATATTTCACAATAATGACATCTTTGATAATTCTATTACATTGCTACCTTTAAATCATGGGAAATCTTCATGGGCAATTAACGAATGATGTGTAATAAGAATTACAGCAAAAAACCTTCAAAAGAGAATCTCTCATGGTAGTGGAAACAGAATAAAAGAGACCAAAGTCTCTAGTTTCTGTGCCAGGGCAAAATAATAAAGTTTGAAAATAAGATCAAGAGGACAAGCTATGTGAGACTCTCTGAGAAACTAGTTAGGACAGGCAAATTCAACAGGGAAGCTATTTGCATTGTGGACTATAAAAATATTGAAAAGTTTATTCTTCTTAATTTTAAATTTAAAGAACAAATTTAAAAACAATACACAGACCTATAGTATTTTTTATATCAGATGTTATAAATATTTATACTGAAAACATATTCTCAAATATTAATTACATATTCTAAAATATTAAGAGCCTAATATATACAATTCTAGGACTATGATGATGTACAAAAGAGTGTTCTGAAAAATTTAAAGTGTTAGCAGAGAAAAATTTTCATCACAGAAGTATTCATTTTAGACCTTAAATGAATATTGCAGAAGTATATGAACCTGAAAAGCAACCAATTCTTATTGATTGATAAGAACGTTTTATAAATTAAGGACCCTAATCTTTTGGGTGTCAGACATAATTTTTTAAAAAATTAAAACATTTGTAACAATGACTACTTATGGGTTGAGTACTTTACTAAGAAGTGTCAGGACTCTGCTTAATAATGAAACTACAACAATGAACAAGGATCACATTTACTAATCTTATAAATTTTTTTTACTAGCTTCTTTCATATGTACTGTGCTTAGACATTCCTTCACTACATTAATATTTAGAAAATAGTTACCTACTTTTTCTTCTAGTACTTACATCACCTCAATTTTTACATTTAAATCTTTGACATATTGAGAATTTGCTTTGATATATGGACGGTGGAATTTTTAAACAATTTTACTAGCTTAGGTTCAAGTAAAATATTATACATTTATAAGTAAAATATTGAAAAATATTCAGTGCTTTCTTTTGGTTATTTCTGAATAGCATATGCTAACATTTTCCCTCCTGAACCTTCTTCTCCATTTTATAGTAATAAATTGGGGTGAGGTGGTTGGGAGAAACAGATGGTAGGGAGTTGGAATACATGACTCCAAGCTTAAATGTACTATAGCTGAAAAAGGCCACCTAGAAAATATACTTCTCAGTATAGAGCTAGAGCATCTTTAAAAAGCAGACACTTCTGAAAGGTTTCGCTAACGTAAACGGTTTTATTAGACATGACACATGAAGACCTAATTGGATTTCATTCTTCATGTTGATTTAATAATTTCATGTGCAAGTTTATGATGACCTTTAGTGTGATTAAAGATATAAATTAAGGTTAAGTGTTTATTATTTAATGAGACCATTTAAACAGCTAACATAGAGTTCCTTGCTGATTTCAGGATCATACCATTCAAGTGTTGCCTTCCCAAGTGATTTTTCTTTGTTTTTAAAAAGAGATGTGATTGGGCTCTACCGGGTGAATGTAATGTACTTTTCTGCATATCATATAACATCTCACTGATTTGGTTTAATAGTAAGGTGTGAAGGAAGAAAGCACCAAGTTTGAAGTAATTAAAAATCTGAGTTTAGTTAATGGAAAAAAGGATCATAAGATTTAGTAACATAATAGACTCTAAACCTTAAATAGGACACTAACCTCTGAGTTTCAGTTTCTACACGTGTAGGATGGTGATCATACCAGCTTCCTGAACCCTCAATCCTTTGGTAATTAAATAAGATACTGCATATGATGGTCTTTGCAAACTTAACACTGTATGCATATTCTCTCTTGTTATTAATTTAAACTAAAGATAATAACAAAAATGAACAGTCTATTTGTTTTGGGTTTGCTTTATAGAAAAGACATTTCACTTATAATGACTAAATGCATTAGTTAACTCTAATTCAATTAGAATTTTTATGAAGTCTGGCTTTCTAAACAAGCTAAAAATTTCTCCTTTAATTCTAATTATTCTAAAATGTCTGAACTAAGTCATCAACTTTATGAGAAAGTGGTTTTCTGTGTGACACCAATAAATATTAGCGCATACTATTGCATTCATTATATGCACAATAATTAACATAAAAATTCATTCCTCTCATTTATGTGTCTGATTATATTTGGTATCTTCCTTTCCATTCATTGTGTTGTTTACTTGTTAAATGGGATAATGAGCAATCTTTAATTTTTCCACTGAATTCCTTTTGCCTAAACTCCCGCTTCTACACATGTACTACTTAACTAGATTGAGGAAGAAAAATGAAACTCTCAGTCAAATTTTGAGTACAGATATATCCTTTACAACTGATTTTGCTATACGGTACCTTTGCAATATTAGGCAAGATCGTTAACTACTTGGTGTCTCAGTTTCTTCACTTAAAAATGAGTACAGTAATAAGGCCTCTTGCACTGGGTTGTTGAGAAGACTAATTCACTTAGAATATAAATTGTGAAATAGTGTTCACTAATTTTATTCTTTATTGTTTTATCTTGATAAAAGTTTAAGAATTTCATAAATTGTTTTGTCTGTAGTCTGCGTAATTTTGAATGCATAACATCAAGAATGTGTTAATCTCCAGGTGAAACCAGTATAAAATTCCAACTTCAGTGTATACCTATGTAGGTTAAAGTGATCTTTAATGAATAATGGATTATTGTTAGTCAAGCAAGTAAATAACTATAATTTCTGCTTATTTATTCAGCTGGGGAAAAGCAGATTTATTTTATTAGTTTATTCATATTTATCCTAACCACCTCTCTGCTGGTATGCATCTCAATCAGTCAATAAGAATGGTATTTGCTAATTCATATTTTGTACATGCTGTCCACAATCCACTCCTAGGTATTCAGAGGAGGCAAGGATGAAACTGTTCAAGAGAAGGGGATGTGTGATTTGAAAGAAAAAGCTGTCTCTGAGCTACAAGTGGTGTACAAATTATTGGGAGAAATGTTACATATTCTTAAACTGTATCTTGTAATACCTTGGTAATTCAAAGAAAGGTGCTGTGCACTGGACTAGTCAGGAATGTGCCTTGGAGGAACTTGAATTGTGTCTTCACTGGACTACAGATACGTTGTGTATTTGTTTCCCAGGACTATGATTACAAAATATCACAAACTCAGTGAGTTAGAACAACAATTTTTTTTCTCTTATACTTCAGGAGACCAAAAGTCTGAAATCAAGATGTCACCAGAATTGGTTCCTTCATGGGGTCTCCAAAGGAGAATTGGTTTCATGCCCCTTTCCTGGCTTCTCTGGCTCCTAGCAATCCTAGCATTTCTTGGTTTATAGCCATGTCACTCTAATCTCTGCCTCCATGTTCACATGGCTGCCTTCCCTGTGTCTGTGTCCTCTTCTTATAAGCAAACCACTCATGGTGGACTATGGCCCACCCTAATCCAGTATGCTCCTATCTTAACTTGAGTACATCTGTAAGACTTTATTTCCAAATGAGGCCTCATTCACATTTAAGTACCGGACATAAGAACTTGAACATATCATTTTTGGGGAACACAATTCAACCCACTAGATGCGGAGAGAAGAGAGGAGAATATCCTAGACCAGAAAGACAGTGAGAGTATAAACACCACACTTTTTAACTTTCCTTAGTTGAATCTGTTGTTTACTTGAATTTCACCCCTTTTTATGGCGCCTGAGACATTGGCAAATTGGAGTGCTTCTTTAAAAATACCTGAAATTTCACTTGATTTTAATGTCAGTATTTTGCTATCACCAGGACAGGACTTAAATAAAATATTATTTTTGAATACTGGTAAAATCATCACTAATTCTTATTAAAAGAAAGAGTAATGCAAAGAGCAAAATCAAAACAATCTCATTAATTTGCACAGTGACTCTAGGATGAACATTTTTCATGTTTTAGAATAAAATGTTTTATCAAATTTTCTGAGCAGTTTTTTTCTATTTTTTTCCTATTTTTCTATTAACAGAAGTTTCTTGGTAAAAGCAAATAAGCTCCTAAACATTGAAGAAAGATATCTATTTAGAAAAATTGAAATTACAAAATTAGCTAACATTATAAAAACAGCAGAGAAACCAGCAACTATCATATATAGCCAAAATGAAAGTAAAACATATAAACTACTTACACCTAGAGCTGGAAAATCAATGATGAAATGGCTTCATTTTACTAGATGTGCAAGTTATGCTAGGTAATTCTCCTTATTTCCAATAGAAAATTGATACTACTGAATTAGAGATTGAGTCTCTTTCTCTCCAGATTAGAATTATGGGATAATTTGCCCCCACTTTTTTTATTAGATAATATGAACAATTGGAAACAGTGAACATGCAAGGAAACAATGGTTGAGCCAATATATTACTTTAACAGCTTTTCACGTATAACAAATGTTTACCACAGATAACCATATGTTTCATGAGCTTCTGTGATCTTAGAAATTCATCTTTATTTGAGCAGTTTAAATCTTTCTTAAAACCATTTAAAATATTCAATCAATATATTTAAGGTAATCTGTGAATAATCTAATTAAGGAATAAAATGAGCAGTTAATAAAGGTCAGTGAAACAATTAACTATCTAATTTTGCTACTGAAGAAATAATACAATTATTTGTTATAGAACATGTAGCAAATGATAATAAAAATATTAAATATCAAATAGCTAAAGGAAGAATACACTGGGTCTCTGACATATCAAGTATGCTAATCAGAATACAACAACCAAAATGAAATATTTAGTTCAGAGAAAAAAATTCAAAGAAAGATATTATTAGACTGGCAAGATAGTATTTAAAAATTAAATCCTCATTCTGTTCTAAGTAACAAACCACATTAATGAAAAATATCTGCACTCTGGACTAGACGTTTTACTAGGCACAATAGCTTCTCCAGCTTCACTTTATCTTATCCCCATATATTCATAATTTACATGGAAAGCACTTTGAAAAACAATCGGCAAAGAATGAGCTTCTCAGATGACTGTCCTTTCTCCCTGTGAACAATGTAATCATCCAGAGCAGAACCACTTCTATCTACAAATCAGTCATTAGAACTGGAAGGTCTTAAGACAAGGACAAACATTTTTTTTTTTAAAAAAATCAGCCTTCTAAGTTATAATCACTTCTGGTTAATACGATATGTGCACATGGAAAAAAATCTGTGGGCATATTTCAGTAGACAGTGACCTAAACCCTATTCTTTCCCACATAAAATCAGGGATTGACTTAGAGGTATGCATCTGATGCATTTGCAAGCTTAGGTTATATCAGAAGATCTCTAATAATGAGAAACTTCAGCAGAGAGTCATCAATCCTTCTCAGTCTTTTAAACATGGGCACAAGTTACCTAAACTTTTGTGGTGCTGTTGAATTTTTCAGGTTTCAGACAACAGAAAGGTACCTGAAGTAAAGCCTACTTCTAAGTTTTTAAAAAAATGATCTCAAAGAGTGCTCTCCCAAGCTTAACTACTGTGAGAAATTGCTAAAAACAGACACACAATAGCTTAACAATTTGAATCTTAGAATTTAACTGGCAACACTGACTTAAAAAATAGAGATTATATTTGGGGTGTGTGTGAATGTGTGTGTGTTTGAGTGTGTGTGTGTGTTTGTGTGTGTGTGAGAGAGGGAAAAGGAAAGAGGTGGTGGGAGGGAGAATTGTGATAAAATGTTGGGATACTACATAAAATCTTGACAAATGCATGTATACCTCCCTTTTCTTCCTCTTCCACGGACCCCCCTATGCACTGTAATTGAGTATCTTGCCTGTTCTTTTACGTTTTGCCTAGGGTCTGATTTTGTTGTTATTTATTCTTTCTATCCTTACTTATTCCCTAAATCACTCTCCTGTGTCCTTTATCTTCTGTTTTCTTGTTTTCAAGTTGTCATTTACCAGTTGTTCTCACGTTTAATATCTACTCTGTAGCCTCTTGAACATGTCAGAGTAAAACACTAAACATATCTGGCAAATAGCCTTTTGGTTCATGCAAACAATAATAAAAAAGATTTCTGGATTATATTTTTCTCTTTAAAAGTTGAACTTTCTAAATTCAGGACATACAAAATATTGTACAAATATATAATTGTTATTCATGTGACATACTCCTTGCACTTTGTCTCTAAGAAGGGAATTATTGCCAGTGATTTCATTTGTTATAGACAAAGTTCTTTGTTTGTGATTGTATAAAATGAGTCTTGAGTGCTCTTATTACTTGCTAAGTAATATTATTTCTTTTTATTACAACTCAAATCATGACCTGATATCATGCTTTATACTGGCCTTTTGGACAATAAATCAAAAATGAGATAGAAAACAA
Organism: Homo sapiens; assembly: GCF_000001405.40. Classification (NCBI taxonomy): domain Eukaryota; kingdom Metazoa; phylum Chordata; class Mammalia; order Primates; family Hominidae; genus Homo; species Homo sapiens. Next base: position 183,345,873 of record NC_000002.12, read on the forward strand.
ATGTCATAGCACTCATCTAAAAGAAAATATTTCAGTAATTTTTAGCATAGAACACCCAACATCTCTCTTTGTTATCCCATATCTATACTACAACTGATATCTGGCCAATTGGGAGCCCTCATGACTACCAAAATTATAGTAGATTTTTCAATGCTTACCCTTTTCTGGATCTTCAGCTATATCTATGTATCTATATAATATATATATATATATATTATATATATATATATTCATAGATTAAATTGCTTGCTTTACACCTCTGCCTGGATTTTTAGGAATATATCCAATTGTATAGGGGAAGACTAAACCCTCTTGATTCCATTCACTCTTCAATCCATCTACTCATTTTCTCCCTTTGTCAGTAAATGGCACCACCAAACACCTAGTTGCTTAAGTCAAAATTCAAAGAACGGGTGTAGGGGATGAGGTCAGGAGAATCCACAGATTCTCGAACAACCACCATCTACTGCCTAGACTATTGCAATACCTTACTAACTGATTTACTCCTTCCACCCTTGACCCTTAATCATCCACTTCTCACAATAGCCAGGGCAATATTTTTTAAAAATGTAAATATGATCACATCTCTTCTCTTTTCAAATCCTCCAGGAGCTTTTCATTGCTGCTAGAATAAAACCTGAATTTCCTACCCTAGCTTACATAGTTGGGAAATTGCTCATCTCATTGACCTCAACACACACCACTTTACCCTTTGCCACTAATCTTTAGTTACGCGGCTTTTCTGTTTCTTTTTCACATGTGAATCCTTGACTTTTCCTAGTGCCCTTGCACTAGCTAAACAGCACCCCACCTGCAGTGATCATCTCCCTGATCTCTCCACAGCACTGATTCTGTCTTATTTAAATGTAGTTCAAATGTCATCTCCTCCAAGAAGCCCTCCCTGAAAACCCAGTTTGAAATAGCCACTTAGTTACTAATTGTTTTAATCAGCTATGGCCACAACAATGCTGTGCAGAAAACAGCTTCAAATTTCAATGGCTTAACAACAACAATAATTTTTAATTTTTATCTCAGGTTTGTGGGGAAGGTGGGGCAGTTCCATATCAGGCTGCAGGGTGGTTCAGCTTGGCTCCAGGCTTCAGGTCAGGTTCAAGTGTGCTCAACATGTCACATTCTACTGCCCATGGCTACCTGGGGCATGTCTTTCATGGGAGTTCAAGATGCCAAACCAAACCATAAAAACACATTTAAGATCTCTTTTCCTCTCACATCTGCTAACATTCCTTTGGCCAAAGCAAGTCGTATGACAAGTTACAATATTAATGGGGCAGGAGATATATTTCACCCAGATTCATATAATCAGTAAGAATGACAAAAATATTCCCAGAAACACTCAGAAGACTTCTCACATCTCTTTGGCTAAGAAGGTATCACATACTGTACTCATACCTAAAACAATCACTGGAAAAAAGCTGTTGGTGATCAGCTGTAAATTAATATCAGCAAATATAAATTAATATCAGAGCCTTACTTAATAGTAGCAGTAGTAGGTGGAATATAATTTTGCTTAAAGTTGATGAAATTTAGATATATATGTATTATAGAATGAAATTCAAATATATATTATATTCCATAATAAGGTTTAGCCACTCTCACCCAATTCTTTTTTGATGTTCCTGAAGTTCTGAGTTACTAGCTAGAAAGCTGGAATGAGTCAGTCCAGTATGACTATTACAGTCCAAATTCTGGTTCGCAGAACAGATAAATAAGGTAAACAACCTCTGCTCAGAAGTAATGTTTAACAGATTATTTCTGTATGGATATGATCCCTTTATATTTTGTTAAAATATGATGATCTCCAACTTTGTCAATTTGTTTTAAGCACCAAGACCTTAGGAGAAAACCTGTTTACTAGTAGACCTCTTATTTTCTAATACTGCTTTTCTGCTAACAACTCGAATGGAGCAGATTGCTTTTCTCCAAATTCCATATACTGGTGGAGTTGATTTTCAAGTAGAGCTTATAACTTCATCCATTTCATAGATGATCAGTGAAGGCTATATCTTTTAGGCCTATAGTCCTATTTCCCCAAGTGAAACTTCTATTTCAGGCTTCAGAGACCAACTAGTGTGTAGTATTCTTATCCTCTGTGATCTATCATCTGGCAAGATCTTGCCTTATAGCAGCTGTCTATGATTATAACAACGACTTTAAGGCATTTTTTTTTTTTGATCGGTCATCAAAGATAACAAGGTCACAAATTCAGTCTTTCCAGATTAATAAATGATTGCAGAGCTTTTCACACGTAGAAAGCCTTGTAACATTCATTCATTCATTCATTCATTCATTCATTCCTCTTATAGAGCATTTAGAATGATTCACTTTCCATTAATTCATTCATTGGACAATAAGTAAAAAGCTAAGGCAGGCCAAATTGAGATAATCTTTGAAAATATGAAGGTAAAGTACAAATTAGTGGAATGAGTATTTAGCAGTGTCCTTGAAATTTACTTGGTAAGCTTCAGGGTTTTTGAAGGACATTCTTAGAAGTAATTTCAGCTACTTCCCTTTTCAGAGGGGGGTAAATTCAAAATTAGAAAATTATTGTTTTTTTTTTAGCTAATGTCTGAAATTTTAAAATCATGCAAATTTGCAGAGGTGCTGTAGATTTAATGATTTTGTGCCTGTGGTCACGGTTTCCATTACAGCTAATCAGAAGGCCTGTACCATTTCCTAACGTACAAACACAGTTTTGCACTAGTGCACCAGGATAATACATTGTTAATAAACATATATGGCACCAGTAGATGGCAGGCCTTACAGGTAGAGCCCATTACTTAAAGACAAGGGTAGTAAGCATTACAAATTCTGCTGGCAAGAGTTTTTAAAAATTCCAGACCATGCAATCAGCATTACCCATTTAAAGCCAGTATACCCATTTAAAATGTAGTCTATTTAAAGTGAAACTGGGTTCTAGTTTCACTTCTTCAATATATTATCTGGGTGACCTTGGCAAACTTCATATCAGTCAAATAGGATGGGTTCAATTGCTTTTTAAAATACCATAGACTTATTAAAATAATAAAATGAAACAAAAGTGCATTAAATTTTCTTAAATTCAAATGTGATATACAAATTTAAGCTTATAAAACTTATGATTATTGCAATATATATGATCTAAGAGTTTCAACAGTCTTCCACATTTGATTTCTACCTTAGACCCCCAACCCACCTTTCAGTCATTTTCAGTTCAAAGCAGTTTAATTTCAGTCAACTTGAAATATTACATGTGAGTGTCCATTTCAAAAACCCCTTCCAAGGATTCGGGCAGAGCTCCCACGCAGCTGCAGAGTCCTGACAAAAGAAAGGCTGGTGTCGGGCTTGTGCCCCGCTTCCCTCCAGGCTCTCTGTGCCCACACAGCTGCAGAAGCTGCAGGTGTGTGTATGCGGTAATGTCTGTGCTCATGAATGACTACGATTTGGTGATGGCAATTGTGATCCCCTCCTCTGCTGGTCATTATTGTTTCTCTGCCTAACACCAGCTGTCCATTGGCTCCCTTTGTGACCCTGGCATGGAAATGCTGGCTTTCTCATGCATCGTATTTGTTGGTTCTTCTGTGGAATCTGCACTGGCTTTCCCTTAAATAGTTCTCCAGTGATTCTTTCCAGCTGGAGCCACTTTTTATCCTTTGGTGGGAAGTCTTGCAAATGGAGTCTCCCTGCTTCAGTGGGGAGTTGTTATGAATTACTAACAGATACCTTAAGAAGCCCTACTTGCCTTCAGTGTTTTTTGACTTAAGGGAACTTAGGCATACATGTAAGCTAAGCAATGGGATTGTAGACTACCCTTTTAGACTGCCCTAGGCACACAGTCTCTCAGCTTTACAGCTGGACTTTCACCCATATTCTGACAGAATGAAGTTTATCTGCAGGCTGGTGGCTCTGCAGCTTAGGAGTGGGGGACAAGACAAGCCTACCCCCAAGGGAACAGAGGTAGAAATAGGCAAATGATCACTGGCAACTCACAAACTCTTTAAGGGAGAAGGAGTAGTGTTTTGCTATAACATTCTTTTGGAATGTTACTACTCCAAAAACTTTATGGTAGAGGTATTTCTCCTGCTTTTCTTTGAATTTGGGAGGGAAATTATGTGCTTTGTTTTTGTTCTCAGCTCTGGATTGTTTTCAGTGTAGTCTCTACTCTGAGTGGAAATCCTGGGGGCGTGGAAATGCTCTTTACATCTGCAAGTTATACTGAATGCTTAATAGTCTCATGCCTCGTAATATTTGGTCCATGCCTATGTGAAGGTACTGGTCACTTCGAATTCTTAGCTGTTTGTCACTCGCCCATTTCAACTGCTTAACTGGATGCTTTTCAAGTGCAGAGGCTGCTCAGACACTGGTATATAGTAGGTGCACAGTAAAGCTTGTTGCATAAACAAATAAAATAGATTGAATGAATGACAGAAACTCTGGAATTACAAGTATAGTACCTTTTGTTTAATTACTAAGTGTTCATGAGCACTTTCTAGATGGTAAATATACTATCCCTGGTAGAGATTTGCTACCAATTACTTTTTCATCAATGATGCTTTTATAAGTTCACATCAGCCTACATCCCATTGTCATATATTATGTACAAGGCACATGAGTATCCAGAAAATGGTCCTCTTTTCATGTAGGAAATTTTGCCTTATTTCTCCCCAGAAGTCAGAAGTAGGATGAGTGCAGTCTAAAGTAGGTAATGAATTAAGCTTCTCCCCTGCCACCTTCTTACATGCCTGAATTAGTATGACTTTTTAATTTTTAACAGTGAAATCTAGAGGTGGTTTCCAGGTGCTAAGATCATCTTATATTTGAAGAGAGAACATTAAAAAATCCCCTCCCCCAGGCTGTGGCAGAGCTGTTTTCTATTAAATAATTTCAGTCATGACGTTTTAGTAAGTCTCATTTTTATAATTCCATCCTTTGAAGGAATAATTTATTTTGCCCGTCTTCCTCTTAATTTTGTGTACACGTCTTTCTTTTTGGATTTTAAAATTAACGTTAACTTTTTTTTTGTTTTCTAAATTTAAGACTAAGAGAAATCACAGTAAGTTGTTCAATTATCCTTGACATTTCACAGCAGTGGAGTGTAAACTTTTTTCACAGAATTCACAGTGGTCCACACCTTCCTAGCTCAGCAGTTCAGTTTATGTCAGTACATTTGTTGGCTGTGTGTGCTTCTCAGCAGATGCAAATGTGTAGCTATTTGCATGGTTCACAATGAAGTCTTATTTGAGAAATTCCTGAATCCATATCTGTGTTCTTTATTACGTAAAATTTTCTGTTCTGTTTCTCTTATTCTGGAAAGTGTTTGTTATCTTTGCTCTTGGTACATCGTAACACAGTAGTGTGTTCTAATCTGTGCTTTCAAATCTTTTTTTTTTTTTCATTCAAAAAACAACTCTCGGCCAGGTGCACTGGCTCACAGTTGTAATCCCAGCACTTTGGGAAGCTGAGGTGGGAGCATTGCTTGAGCCCAGGAGTTCGAGGCTACAGTGAACTATGATTACTCCACTGCACTCCAGCCTGAGCAACAGAGCAAGACCTTGTCTCAAAAAAGAAAACAAAACAAAAAACAACTCTTGTGGGTCAGGCAGAAAACACAATATCTGTCTTAAGGGGCTTACAACTTAGAAAAACAAGGCTGACCGATACTCCTAATTCATTATGAACAATGCTGTGACAGGAAGCAGAGAAGGTGCAGGTTGGATGGATCTGTGGTTGGGGATTTGCTGGCAAGGTGAGTGGAAAGGCACAGGAGAGCAGGATAGAGATAGATATTGGGAAAGGAGCAATGGGGAAGGGGCTGAAAATGTACGTTTCTAACAAGTTTCCAGGTGATGCTATTGCTGCTGGTCCTAAAACCACACACTAGTGGGAAATTAGGAAAATAGATTAGTCGGCCGGGCACAGTGTCTCACGCCTATAATCCTAGCACTTTGGGAGGCTGAGGCTGGTGGATCACCTGAATTCAAGAGTTCAAGACCAGCCTGGCCAACATGGTGAAATACTAAAAATACAAAAATTAGCTGGGCGTGGTGGCACACACCTGTAATCCCAGCTACTCTGAAGGCTGAGGCAGGAGAATCGCTTGAACCCGGGAGGTGGATGTTGCAGTGAGCGGAGATCATGCCACCGCACTCCAGCCTGGGCAACAGAGCAAAAACTCCATCTCAAAAAAAAAAAAAAAAAAAAAAAAAAAAGAAAATAGATCGGTAATACAGAACAAGCAGAGGGAAATAGTATTGCATTGCATCTTAAGAATTTACTGTAGGATGTCCAGAAACTAGAAGACATATAGATGGGTAACAGACAGCCAACTCTATTCTGAATTCTTTAAAAATTCACTACAAAATAGTATACATGTGCAATTTTTATACTCTTTATTATTTTTTTTTTCACTTTTCCCACCTCTAGCTACTCAGTGATCTTTAGCCTGTCTTTATGGTCCAGAAATGTTTCTGTCAATTTTTGTCCTAGTGTTCCCCTAAATTGTTTACTCTTTTTTTCAGTTTACCCTAGCTGTTTAAATAAACTTATTTTTATTGTCCTCATCTTGAATGGAGTTAAAACTGAGGGAACTTCCAGGCCCACTGCAGGCCAGTAGGGCATCTATAATGGTGGATACACATCATTATACGTTTGTCCAAACCCATAAAATGTATAATACCAAGGGAGAGCCCTAATATAAACTATGGACTTTGGGTAATAATGATGTATCAATGCAGGTTAATCAGTTGTAACAAATGCACCACTCTGGTGGGGGATGCTGATAGTTGGAGAGGCTATGTATGTGTGGGGCAGGGAGAATATGGAAAATCTCTATCTTCCTTGCAATTTTGAGCCTAAAACTGTTCTAAAAAAGTAGTCTTGAAAAAAAAAATCAGAGAGATGCAGTGGAAGAGAAAGCAGGAAAGATTTGGTAGGTGAGGTCAGAGAGATTTGCAGCTAGGAAGGACTTGCTCCACCCTTACTGGCTTTGAAGGGAGCCATGAGCCAAGTGTTATGGACTGAACTGTGTGCCTTGCAAATTCATACGATGTAATTCTAACCTCCAATGTTCCTCTATTTGAAGATAAGGCCTTTAAGGAGGTAACTAAAGTTAATTGAGATTATAACAATGGGATCCTAATCCAATCCTTATGTCCTTTTATGAAAAGGAAGAGACGCTGGAGATCTTTCTCTCTCTGGGCAGGCACAGAGAAGAGGCCATGTGAAGACACAGAAAGTGGCTGTCTACAAGCCAAGAGTTGAGGTCCAACCATAAACCAGCCCTGATGGCACCTTACTCTGGAACCTATGACCTCTAGAATTGTGAGAAAATAAATTGTTGTTGTTCAAGCCACTCGGTTTGTGGTATTCTTTTATACACCAGAGAATGCGAGAGGCCTCTAGAAGCTGAGAGTGACCCCCTACTGACAGCCAGAGAGAAAATGGGGCTTGCATGGAACAAAATTCTGCCAATAACCAGAACGGGCTTGTAAACAGATTCATTCCCAGAGACTCCAGAAAAGATCTCAGGTCTGCTGATGCCTTGAATTTGGGTTTGTGAGGTTCTAAGTAGAGACCCATTTACTCCATATTGTACCCCAGCACCTAATCCACAGAAATGGTGAGATAATAAATGGGTGTTGCTTTAAGACCCTAAGTTTGTGATAATTTGTTTTGGAAGCAATAGAAAACTAATATGGAAGAGATTATATTTATTCTATAAAAACCATGTAGATAGGTCACAAAACATGTTGTTAGTCTACAAAGATAGGTTGGCTTACCTTTTGATCAGGTCTTAAAAGGTAAAATAAAAGTCTAGTAAGCTGTTTTCCAGAGTGTGTTGCAAGGAGAAAGGATGCATGATAACAATGTACATTTTCATATAAAGCCTCTGCTAAGTTCTGGGCACGGGGGGCTGGGGAGGCAGGGGAATATCCATGGATTTTCTACTAACTCAGTAGATTTTTTTTCTCTCTTTATTTGAATATAGAATCCTTTTTAAATAAAATGCTTTGAACATACCTCCTGAAACCTGTCAAAAACACATAGAACTTTTGGTCCAGGAACCACTGATGTTGGGACTTTTTCATGCTAGACATGTAGGGAATAGTTCCAAGTCATTTCCCTGTACGCAAGTCCTGGAATGTCTATTTTAAGAGAGGATAGTTTTCTAGCAAATTTAATAAAATATAACCTGTTCTTCCTCCCATACTATATACCTAGATGTTGCAAATACCTACAGGCCAGGCAGATGATATGAATGAATGAAGTAGGGAAATGAATAGGAAGCCATGTGTCTCATGCATATATGAGAGTCTTTATAGAATAGATATCTCGAGATGTGGCCATGTTTGAAGATCTTTAACTTTATTAGGTGTATTAGGGTTCTTTAGAGGGAAGAACTAATAGGAGATATATATATACGTATATATATATACGTATATATATACACATATATATACATACATATATACACATATATACATATATACACATATATATACATATGTATACACATATACATATATACACACATATATATACACATATATACATATATACACATATATATACATATATATGGGAGTTAAGTATAGATATAAAAAAATATATATGAAAATATATTAAAAATAATATATATATAAAGGGGAGTTTATTAAGTTTTTTTTTTTTTCTTTTTTGAGACGAAGTTTCGCTCTGTCACCCAGGCTGGAGTGCAGTGGCGTGATCTTGGCTCACTGCAAGCTCCGCCTCCCGGGTTCTCCGCCATTCTCCTGCCTCAGCCTCCTGAGTAGCTGGGACTACAGGCACTCACTACCACGCCCAGCTAATGTTTTGTATTTTTTTTTAGTAGAGACGGGGTTTCACCATGTTAGCCAGGATGGTCTCGATCTCCTGACCTCGTGATCCTCCTGCCTCGGCCTCCCAAAGTGCTGAGATTACAGGCTAGTAAGTTTTAATTTACATGATCACAAGGTCCCACAATAGGCTGTCTGCAAGCTGAGGAGCAAGGAGAGCCAGTCAGAGTCCCAAAACTGAAGAACTTGGAGTCCGATGTTCCATGGCAAGAAGCATCCAGCACGGGAGAAAGATGTAGGCTCGAGGTTAGGCCAGCTCGCCTTTTCATGTTTTTCGGCCTGCTTTATATGTGCTGGTAGCTGACTACATTACGCCCACCAGATTAAGGGTGGATCTGCCTTCCCCAGCCCACTGACTCAAATGTTAATCTCTTTTGGCAACACCCGCACAGACGCACCTAGGATGAATACTTTGTATTCTTCAATCTAATCAAGTTGACACTCAGTATTAACCATCACATTAGGTGTGGCCAAATTGATTTCCAAAGTACTTCTAGCAGTTATTTTCACTAGCACTACTAAAAAATTCCATACATTTCATTTCTTTAAGAAGAAATAACTGACATGAAGCAGATATGGCAAAACATGTTAAATTGGGTGATTGATTGCGTGTATTTTGTTATTTTATGTACCTTCTTTGTATGTTTGTAATAGTTCATAATTACAAAAAATCAAAAACAATAAAAGGGATAAAGAATACAAAGAATATACAGACTGTGACAAGCTGTCTAAGGCAGGCAGGCTCTGCTTAGCTCTAGCTAAGCATTGCGGTGTATAATGGCCTTATGAGTGCTGATAAATTTTCAAGAAAAAACTAAAATCCAAATGTTTAATGTAAAATTTTCTGATATTTAAAGCAGATGTGGACCAAATGAAACATGTTAGTCTGGGATTCGACTGCCCTTTTATTTTTCCTACTTTATTTTCAACTATTTTGTTTCTGTACCCTTTATTCAGGCAAAATTGAACTTGTTATTTAGTAGAGGGATATAACAGAAATTTAGGGCAAAGGTTCTAGAAGTGAACTGACTGATGTAGAAACTAGACTTTATCATTACTTTCTTTGTGACCTTGGGCAAGATATTTTATCTCTATGATTCTTATTTTCTTTACTGTAAAATGGAGACAATCATATTATTCAGATCATAGGTTTAAGATTAAATGCGACTATATACATATACAAGTTTTAAGAACAATGTCTGGCAAACAACAGTCATTGAATAAATGTTAGCTCTTATTATCATCATCTGTAAAATCAGGATAATAGCATCATTACTGTAAGGGTGGAATTAGATGATATTCGTAAAGTGCTAAATGAAGTGCCAGGCACAAATTGTAGCTATAATTCTTATTCCCTGAGCTTTCCCATCTATCTGTACTTATGCTAGTCCCTCTGATTTAAGGTCCTTTTTTAGTTGCTGCATGTTCACATTCTACACATTTTCAAATGTCATTTCAAATACCACCTCCTCTAGAGAGTGGTCATTCACTCATTCAAAAAATATTTATTGAGAACCCTCTTCTGAACCCATGTCATTTTATCTTTTACGTTTACGCTTGTAATATATTGATTTTTAAATAAAAATGTCAGTTTTCAGGAGGCAGAATATATTTTTTATTCAGCTTTATATCTCCCACCCTGGCTAACACAGGGCTAGACACTTAGTAGGCAGTAATTTTTTTTTTTTAATCCAGAAAGGAAATAAACTTTATAGAAATTCTCTTCCTCTGACTAGGGGATTCAGTTACAGTGGTGGATAGGCTTCCAGCAAAAGATACACGGATTTAAAGTCTTCAAAAGATTTATCCTAATCAGAAAATGATGCTTCTCATTCTTTTTGCTACCTTTCCACAAAGATAATTGACATGTCCAAGCAACCTGGATCATTGGGAGGCTGGGACTTTGTCTCATCAGAATTGATAGTATAACTCACTATAAATATCTTACTCATTCAAGGAACCAGAGAGCTGCCATTTTAAAATATGGCTTCCAAACAGCAATAGATTAATATGCTTAAAACTTCTTGAATTATTTGAATTGTCTGCTAAATCCTTGACAAGGTATAATAGAATTTATTGTATTGGTTAGAAGAGTTCTTGGTCCCAGGAAAGTGACATTGATGCACCTCTGCTTCTAATTAGTTATGTGACCATGAACAAATCATTTTACTTCTTTAGATATAATTTCTCATATGTGTGAAGGGATAATTCATTAACTTGGGACAGTTCATAGATTCCCTCAGGCTGTTGTTCTACTACTCCTTCACAAAAGGCTTGTGTGTGTGTGTATGTGTGTGTGTTTTGTTTTTCCATTTGGAAAAAGGCTCAAGGCAAAGTGAAGGAAGAGAAAGGAAAGTCAGGTCTCCCTCTGGTGGGTAAAAAATTATATCGGCCAGGTGCAGTGGCTCATGCCTGCAATCCCAGCACTTTGGGAGGCTGAGGCGGGCAGATCACGAGGTCACGAGATCGACACCATCCTGGCTAACATAGTGAAACCCTGTCTCTACTAAAAAATACAAAAAATTAGCCGGGCGTGGTGGTGGGTGCCTGTAGTCCCAGCTACTCAGGAGGCTGAGGCAGGAGAATGGCCTGAACCCAGAAGGCGGAGCATGCAGTGAGCCGAGATCCTGCCACTGCACTCCAGCTTGGGCAACAGAGCGAGACTCTGTCTCAAAAAAAAAAAAAAAAAAAAAAAAAAAAAAATTATATCAGGGATATTTTGGAGGAAAGGTGATAGGTACTGGGGTAGCTGTGGGGGTCAGGAAGGAGACAGAAAAGCAAGTACTTCCATAAATGAGGCTGGGGCCATATGTTCAAGTTAGAGCAAAATGTTAATGCCATGTCTTCTTGCCTTGGAGTTTCGGGAGAGGTCAAAGGCTGAGAATACTGTTTCAGACTCTTACATTCTAAAGTGAGGTGCTTGGCATCCTAGGTGGCACTTGCAAAGGGGGTGTCCAAAATGGATTTTCTAAAAAAATTTATTACCTAGATCACATCCATATAAGGGTGAAGCTGGCGAGGCTGAGAAAGGATTTATTGGAGAAAGTTATCAGTATGTTGAATTATTCTTCTTTGTCAATCACACCCCCAACGGATGTAATGTGTAGGAGGACATTTTCCTTTCACTTTAAACCAGGTGCAAAGTTTATCTGTGTCCTTTAGATGTGAGGGTCTCCAAGGCTGGTATTTGACTCATCATGCCTGAAGGAGCTCTGGGCCAGAAGCTGAAGCTGGCCCTGTCCCCTTCTGATCCACACAGGAATGAGAACTGCAACGGAAGCAAGCTGCACTTGCTGGCTTGTGTGTGTATGGTGTGACATACGCAAGGTTTCTTGGGGACAAATGTGGAGCCCCTGGATTGATGATAGTCAGAGACTACTTGAAAGTTATCCTGTCCAAGAAGACCACTGTACAATGTGACCAGAGATGGTAGTCACTTGAAACCTAGGGGCTACTGGGAAGCGAATGGATAGCACCACATGTGCCATTTTTCCTGCACGAGAAAAAAGGATTAGCTTTGGAAGCCACATTCACAGGGCACCAATCCCAGAATCTGATAGGGCAGTAATCTGGGACATCTTCAGTCCCGTTACCTCTTTCTTTCCATTCTCTGACCCTGGAAAGAGCGCATATAGGAGAGGAAGCAGGGCCGCCCTCCCACCTGGCTTCCTTTCTCTTCCTTTCAGGCTTCCAAACTTGGGACAGAGGTGATTTGATGGAGGAGAGAAGTTCTAAATTGAGTCTTGATTTTTTACACTGGCCTGGATAGACTTATTTGACTTTTATGCTGGGCCTCATTTTAAACAAATGCCAGAAGAAAGTTTCTTTTTATTTAATATGTAAGAGTGTCTAGAAAAGCCATGGGACTTGCCTGGGATTCTATACAGAAGGGAGAAAGAATGAGTCCATGAAGCCAGTTTAATGGGGAGAAGCAAGAAGAATATAGTTTCTTTTGTCCTTGAATAAGTCCAGCTTATTCAGTGACCAAGTTACAATGGTTTATGAGAAATATATGTAAAAGTGGAATTTTAAAAATTCACTTTTGATTGTTAACTGAGCTTTTAAAATAAGCCACTGTTCTAAGACTGATTTACTTGGGACTCTGGATTTATTAGAATTACGTATATAAAATAAGGGAATTGGATTAGATGATCTTTTATTTCCCTTCTGAAACTGCATTTCCATGAATCTATGATTTTTAAAACTAACATGATGGTTTGAAGTGAACTTAGAAAAGATACTGCTAAAGTCTTAACACCCTAGTTTTGAATTTAAATGTCTTTAGACACTTAATATATGTTTCAATATATATTAGAATTGAATTTAGTGTGGGAATTAGATTACTAAATTATCACGTAGGGCAAATATCTGGCACACCAAGAATTATCCCTGAAACTCTCTTAAGCTGTTCAAACAGCATATCCAGTAGTTTTTTTAAGGAACAAAAGAATACATCTTCTTGGATAGTCCATCACTCCTTTATTCCTGTGGCAACTTCTATATGAGCCTCAAACTGCAGGTCATCTTCTCTGGAAGGTCTTGTGCAGCTTCCACTTTGTATTTGGGATATAGCTATGTGCTCCCTGCACACTCTGAACTCCCTCATCATAGTGGTTAACATGCTCTATTGTAACCATCTGTGTATTACAATGGGATGTTTAACAACAGAAGAATAGTCTAAATCACTGCAAAGAGCCATGTAAAAACTTTTATTGATTTGAGGGATGACTTACTTTTAAGAATGGTCTGCAACACTCCTGGAAACAGAATGTAGCCTAGACTTGGTAGTTCATAGTCTGACTTTGGATAATAGCTACTTAAGGAAATTCGATTTAGATCATGAAAAGGAGACCAAAATGAGGTATGTCTATGCAAAGGAAATTACAAACAAGATCCGAATGTCATAATGTCATGTGCCTAACCACACGGACATTTAAATTTTGAATCTTGGGATAATGTAACTCAAACTACCTGAGGCCAAATCATTAAACAAAAAAGCTTGATTTTATAGATGGAAGATAATTTAAATTAAATTCAAACTGTTAGCACATGGATACCATAACGTCAAATAAACATTTAGGATTTAAAGAAAGGTAAAATAATACATTTCTATGCAGCAGATTTCTCCTGGAATCTGAGAGAAAGAACAAGAAAAGAAAAGCTATTTAAGAGAGAAATCTTACATGAAACTTGTTCATGAGATATCTTACCTGACTATTCAGCTAGCATGTCTGGCATGCTTCAGAGAAGCAATGAAACTTACATTTTTTCCTTATAATGGTTTTATTATTATAAAGTCTGTTTCATATTGATGGTATCAGAGAAATTGCAAATCTTGGGGCAACGCTGCCCTCTGCAGTGAGCAGATCAAGATTATACTCTCAATTTCTAAAAAGTATTTCAACTCCTCTGGGTCAATAATTTTCTCCCAAACCAAATTGATCTACTTGCTGAGTGAATAGATGACGAGTTTAATCTCCTTCCTATTTTGATGAGATGGGCTATACTTCTTAGAGGGTATTTTCTTGTATTTTCTTTTGGGCCTAGAGCCATCAACTCCTCTATCTTTTTTTGGCCTTTCTCTGTTCCTTCTATAATTCCAAGGTTCTCAAAGCCTTCATTCTCTTGTTTGCCCTCCTGGAGGCCATTGTGAAGCTTAAGATATCCCAAGCCTGCAGGAGACTCTCGCTATAGATATAATACAGGATGCCTGCTGAAATTTGAACTTTGCATGAACAATGAAGACAATTTTAGTATGAGTGTGTCTGAAATCTTGCATGAGACATACGTATAAAACACCCTTTCATTTTTCAAATCTGAAATTCAAATTTAGCTGGGAATTCTCTATTTTTATTTGCTAAATCTGCCAAGTCTCCCCATCCCTCCAACCCAAATACCCCAAAAGCACCCACTCAACTCACCTGACCCAAAATGTATGGGATGCATGTACTACTACCAGCTCTTCTAGTTTTAGAGTCTCATCACACATCTTACATCAGTACCCTATTGATACATGTCCATCTGTGTGGGAGCAGGAGAGAGGGACTACTTCCTTTCCATCTTCTCCTGGTCAAACTGGTTAAATCCTAGTAAGGTTTAATTCTTTTACCACTCCTTGGCCTGCTTTAGATTTCTCTTGTAGCCATTTTATCCTTCCTTTTGCTGTTTTCCAGTATGTGTCCTAGAAGTTATTGGCTTAAGCAGGAACCCTCTTTGGGAAGAAGGTGGAGAGTCAGTCATGGAGTAAGATTCTGGGCCTGAAGAGGAGCTGGATATGAACTGTGGGTATAGAAGTTACAAAATCAATATCACTATTTCTTCCTAAAACTCTGGCTGATGATATTACTTTAGAATTAGCCCCAACCCCTGTGAACTTTAGAGTTAAAAAAATCCATCCTTCAGATTGGTATAAATCTTGACCTCTCCTTACCAAGTTACATTAGAATCAATAAATTAAGTGTAAATGATTTTATTTTGGAGTGAGGAAAGGCTTATATACCATTGGCATTAAAAGAAGTGATAAAAATAAAATGGCATATAAAGCAGATAATCTGTGAAAGAATATTGGTTAATTTGAACCTATGTTACTCATAGTAAAAACAAAAAACTAGTATTTGTATGCCCAAAGAAGTATTTTCAGTGCCTATGAGTGGTGGTTTCTTCCTCAGAGTAGGGAGAAATAAATTTGGAGAGTTTGGAAATACCCAGCCTTATATAAACAACTATAATAAACACTAACACAACACAAAACCTTTTAAGAATATTAAAGGAACAGGAAGAACTTGTTCTTAATAGATTCTCAAGAGAATTATATTTCAATCCTTAGAAGCAGTCTTTCCTTTTATTTTTCAATATATTCAATGGAAAGATTTCAATAAAAAATCCAGTGGGACTACATGATAGCACCATTTTGATGTCATTATGATCTGACATTATCTGGGGAAGTAATTTAAAGTATTTCATTAGATAAATGCCTTAATGAGATTGCAAATAGTTTGAAAGAGTGGTGCATTACACTAAAAAAAATCAGTGCAAGAAAACTGATGTAGAATCACCAGATAATTCAAGTTACCTTCAGTTAGAAAAACAAGTGCTGCTATCAAAATACTATATAGCTCTGACTTCACAATTACATTTGTAGTAATTGGAATTATATTATTAAAAAGGATACAATATACGTACTTGGTACTCGGCATCCAAATCTTCAATGTTAAAGGCAAACAGAAAATTGGAATAATTGTCAAGGGATATTTAGAACAAAAAACTGCATTATTAGTTAGTTATCTGTCTAGGTAAAATGAAAGAACCACAGTCAGTCATCACTAGAAAGTTTTAGAGAAGTGCTGTCTTCTGTTTGCAGAAGTTCCATAAAAGTGAATAGCTCAATCAGATGCTTGATAATGTTCAGATGTTGATTTGAACCTCAGGGCCTTATCTAAAGTGGCTGCATTATGTATTTACTTATTATTTTTACCATTTGTCTATCAAGTACTAAAAATTGAACTTGAGTCAACTGAAGTGATACAATAATAAGTCATTTTTAAATGTAATTGGATTTAACACTCTCAGAACACATGGAGTACATTGTTCGATTGTCTCTGGTTCTAATTGGAGGCTTTAAGCAGTGGTTTCAAATGTGAGTGTGCTAGGAATGTCCTGATGCTAGCAGACTTCCCCAGGAGATTTTGACTTAGTAGATCTGGGTTAGGGTTTTCAAATTTTAACAAATCCTCTAGATAATCCTGATTATTGTGATCCAAAAACCATACTTTGAGAAATACTGACTTAAGTTTTCAGCTATTTGTTACATTTGCCATTCTTCCAGGATCCTCTTTATGTCCCAAGCAGCATTAAGCAAACATAACGTGGGTGCAGGATGTGGAGTCAGGACACATCTCACGTTCCATTCCAGTCCATCCTATTCCATTCAATTCCATTAACTTCAACAAATATGCATTCAGCAATGGAGGGGGGGGAGGAGATGTCCAAGGAGAAGGGCTATAGATATGAACTTAAAAAATGTATTTTGCCATAAGGGATTTTTCAAACCTTTCAATGTCTGTATAATAAGGTAAAAGAAATAAAAGGATTTTATTTTATTCTCTACAATGTCCCAGGCACTTAGATCAATGCTTGTCATTTCACATATGCTCTGTAAATATTCACTGAATGCTTAATGAATGAATTGCCAAGCAAAGTAAAATTAAATGATGTAAATATGTAAGCAATGGTCTGGAGGTGGATGGATAAGGGAAGGAGGATAGTTGTGGGGGTTATTAATATTTCTAAAGTAGTTTCATTCCTAGAATTTGCTCTCCTCTAAATACCCTCCCTTTGTGCCTCTCACATTACTCATGGACTATGGTAATCTTACCAGCTCATAGAATTTTAGTGAGAATTTTCTGATCTAATGGTCCAATATGGGCTTTGAGGAAGAATGGATTGGCAGTTAGAAGAGCTGTGGGTTAATCTCAGTGACTAGTTGTGTGGCAAAGCATCCTAATATCTTCCTTTTGTTGGACTAGAAGAGACAATTCAACCTGACTAATTCAAGGAGATGGTAGATGATTACTGAGAAGTTAACTAGGGGAGTGCTTTCACACAAGAGGAAAGAGGCAATTAAAAATTATGAGTTCCTGGATTACCTTC
Source organism: Homo sapiens (assembly GCF_000001405.40). Classification (NCBI taxonomy): domain Eukaryota; kingdom Metazoa; phylum Chordata; class Mammalia; order Primates; family Hominidae; genus Homo; species Homo sapiens. The sequence goes on from NC_000002.12 coordinate 183,363,374, forward strand.
ATACCAAATACTATCCTTTCCTTAGAGCTGACCCTATACAAAATTGTTGCTCAGGGGAGCTTATCTACTCATCTCCTTACACGGTGCACTCCAGCTACTCAGGCCTATCCCATTATGCTGCTTTCTCTTTCTGGAGGGTAACTACCAAATTTCAAATCTTTTTCGTCCTTCTGCATCTCATTCTGCTGAAACAATCTTTTTTGAGACAGGGTCTCACTCTGCCACCCAGACTGGAATGCAGTGACGTGATCTTGGCTCACGGCAACCTCCGCCTCCTGGGTTCAAGCAATTCTCCTGCCTCAGGCTCCTGAGTAGCTGGAATTCCAGGCGTGTGCCGTTACTGCCCAGCTAATTTTTGTGTGTGTGTTTTTAGTAGAGATGGGGTTTCATGTTGGCCAGGCTGGTCTCGAACTCCTGACCTCAAATGATCCACCCAACTCGGCCTCTCAAAGTGCTGGAATTACAGGTGTGAGCCACCACGCCCAGCCTGAAGCAACCTTTTATCTAGGACTAATGAACTAAGTATATTAAAGTTTTAGTGAGTAATTATATTAGTAGATATTTAGGGAATGTAAAATGTTTACATTTTAATAGGTTTTCATAAGTTTCTTCTATTCAGTAAATGATTCTAATAGAAATGTCTGGTACTATGGTAGAATAAAGGAGTACTTAAATGTTTTTTTAAATTTTCTTATTGATGCAAAGTATTTTACATATTATGGGGGTACATGGGAGTGTTTGTTATGTTATGTCATAGAGTGTGTAATTATCAGGTCAGGGTGTTTGGGGTGTCCATCACCATGAGCATTTATCATTTCCATGTGTTGGTAACATTTCAAGTCCTCTCTTCTAGCTACTGGGAAATATACAATACATTGTTGCTAACTATAGTCACCCTACTCTGCTATGGAATATTGGGGCTTATTTGTTCTATCTAAATGTATGTTTGTATCCATAACCAACCTCTCTTTATTCTTTCACCCCAGACACTCTTCCAGAATACTGGTATCTGTCATTTGAAATTAGTTGTTTTTTTTTTTTTTTTTTTTTTTGAGACAGAGTCTTGCTTTATCGCCCAGGCTGGTGAGCAGTGGCGCCATCTCGGCTCACTGCAAGCTCCACCTCCTGGGTTCACACCATTCTCCTGCCTCACCCTCCCGAGTAGCTGGGACTACAGGCGCCCGCCACCACACCTGGTTAATTTTTTGTATTTTTTTTTTTTGAGACGGAGTCTCGCTCTGTCGCCCAGGCTGGAGTGCAGTGGCGCAATCTCGGCTCACTGCAAGCTCTGCCTCCCGGGTTCACGCCATTCTCCTGCCTCAGCCTCCAGAGTAGCTGGGACTACAGGCGCCCACCACTGCGTCCGGCTAATTTTTTTTTTGTATTTTTAGTAGAAACGGGGTTTCACCGTGTTAGCCAGGATGGTCTCGATCTCCTGACCTCGTGATCTGCCCATCTCAGCCTCCCAAAGTGCTGGGATTACAGGCATGAGCCATCGTGCCCGACGATGAAATTAGTTTTTAAAGTTCCCACATATGAGTGAAAACATGTGGCATCTGTCTTTCTGTACCTGGCTCATTTCACTTAACATAATGACCTCCAGTTCCATTCATGTTGCTGCAAATGACAAGATTTCATTCTTATTTATTGCCAAATACTATTCCATTGTGTATATATACCATATTTACTTTGTTCATTTGTCCATCAATGGGCACTTAGGTTGTTTCCATGTCTTCGCTATTGTGAATAGCGCTGCGATAAACACATGGGTGCAAGTATCACTTTGATGTACAGATTTCTTTTCCTTTGGATAAGTAGTGAATAGTGGGATTGTTAGATTGTATGGTAGTTACATTTTTAATTTTTTGAGGAATCTCCCTACTGTTGTCCATAGTGGTTGTACCAATTTACATGTTCACCAATAGCATCTAAGAGTTCCCCTTTCTCTGCATTCTTGCCAGTATCAATTATTTTTTGTCTTTTTATTAATAGCTAGTCTAACTAGAGTAAGATGATATTTCATTGTGATTTTGATTTGCATTTCTCTGATGATCTGTGATGCTGAGCATTTTTTCCACATATCTGTTGGCCATTTGTCTTCTTATGGGAAATGCCTATTTATGTCTTTAGTCCACTTTTAAATGGGATTATTTGTTTTTTGTTGAGTTGAGTTCCTTCTATATTTTGGATATTAGTCCCTTATTAGGTGAATAGTTTGCAAATATTTTCTCCCATTCAACAGGTTGTCTCTTTATTCTGTTGATGAACAATTTTTTGTGGTATAGAAGCTTTTTAGTTTAATATAGTCCCATTTGTCTATTTATAAAAATAGTTATCTGTACTTTTGAGGTCTTAGCCACAAAATCTTTGCCTAGACTGAGGTCTTGAAGTATTTCCTCTATGTTTTTTTTCTACTAGTTTTATAGTTCTGTGTATTATGTTTAAGTCTTTAATCCATCTTGAGTTGATTTTTGTAGATGGTGAGAGATAGGGGTCCAGTTTCCTTCTTTTGCATACAGATATCCAATTTTTTCTAGCACCATTTATTGAAGAGGGTGTCCTTTCCTGAATATATATTCTCGGCACTGTTGTCAAAAACCAGTTGGTTGTAAATACATGGACTAATTTCGGACTCTCTATTCTGTTTCACTGGTCCATGTGTCAATTTTTATACCAATACCAAGTTGTTTTGGTTACTAGAGCTTTGTGATATATTTTGAAGTCAGATAGTGTGATAACTTCAGTTTTCCTCTTATTGATCAGGATTGCTCTGGCTGTTCTGGCTGTTTTTTGGTTCCATACAAATTTTAGGATTTTTTTTCTAATTCTGTGAAAAATGACATTGGTATTTTGATAAGTTTCGCATTAAATCTGTAGATTGGTCTGGGTAGTAGGGTCATTTTAATTGTTAATAACCCTTCTGATCCATGAGTGTGGATGTCTTTATGTTTGTAACAGCTACAATTTCTTTCATCAGTATTTTGTAGTTCTCCTTGTGGATATCTTTTACCTCTTTAGTTAAATTTATTTTTAGGTATTTTATTTTTTGGTAGCTATTGTAAATGGGATTGCCTTCTTAATTTCTTTTTCAGCTAGCTCATTTTTGGTGCATAGAAACTCTATTAATTTTTTACCCTGCAACTTACTGAATTTATGTATTGGATCTTGGAGTATTTTGGAGTATTTTGGTGGAGTCTTTAGGTTTTTCTCTAGATATAAGATCATATTATCAGAAAAGAGGGACAATTTGACTTATTCATTTCCAATTTGGGTGCCTTTTATTCTTTCTCTTTTTTTTTATTCTTTTAAAAATTATACTCTAACTTCTGGGATACATGTGCAGAATGCGCAGGTTTGTTGCATAGGTATACACGTGCCATGGTGGTTTGCTGAACCCATCAACCCATCATCTACATTACGTATTTCTCCTAATTCATCCTCCCCTAGGCCCCCACCCTCCAACAGGCCCCAGTGTGTGATGTTTCTCTCCCTGTGTCCATGTGTTCTCATTGTTCAACTCCCACTTATGAGTGAGAACATGCAGTGTTTGGTTTTCTGTTCCTGTGTTAGTTTGCTGAGAATAGTGGTTTCTAGTTTCATCCATGTTCCTGCAAAGACATGAACTCATCCTTTTTTATGGCTGCATAGTATTCCATGGTGTGTATGTGCCACATTTTCTTTATCCAATCTATCATTGATGGGCATTTGGGTTGGGTACAAGTCTTTTCTATGGTGAACAGTGCTTCAATAAACATATATGTTCATGTGTCTTTATAGTAGAATAATTTATATTCCTTTGGGTATATACTCAGTAATGAGATTGCTGGGTCAAATGGTATTTCTGGTTCTAGATCCCTGAGGAGTTATCACACTGTCTTCTACAACAGTTGAACTAATTTGCACTCTCACCAACAGTGTAAAAGTGTTCCTATTTCTTCACATCCTCTCCAGCATCTGTTGTTTCCCAACTTTTTAATGATTTACATTCTAACTGGTGTGAGATGGAATCTCATTGTGGTTTTGATTTGCATTTCTCTAATGACCAGTGATGATGAGCTTTTATTCATATGGTTGTTGGCTGCACAAATGTCTTCTTTTGAGAAGTGTCTGTTCATATGGCCACTTTTAGATGGGATTATTTATTTTTTTCTTGTGAATTTTCTTAAGTTCTTTGTAGATTCTGGATATTAGCCCTTTGTCAGATAGATTGCAAAAATTTTCTCCCATTCTGTTGGTTGCCTGTTCACTCTGATGATAGTTTGTTTTGCTGTGCAGATCCCATTTGTCAATTTTGGCTTTTGTTGCCATTGCTTTTGGTGTTTTAGTCACAAAGTCGTTGCCTATGCCTATGTCCTGAATGGTATTGCCTATGTTTTCCTCTAGAGCTTTTATAGTTTTAGGCCTGTCATTTAAGTCTTGAAACCATCTTGAGTTAATTTTTGTAGAAGGGGTAAGGAAGGGGTCCAGTTTCAATTTTCTGCATATGGCTAGCCAGCTTTCCCAACACCATTTATTAAATAGGGAATCCTTTCCCCATTGCTTGTTTTTGTCAGGTTTGTCAAAGATCAGATGGTTGTAGATGTATGGCATTATTTCTGAGGTCTCTGTTCTGTTCCATTGGTCTATATATCTGTTTTGGTACCAGTACCATGCTGTTTTGGTTACTGTAGCCTTGTAGTAGAGTTTGAAGTCAGGTAGCCTGATGCCTCTAGCTTCATTCTTTTTTCTTAGGATTGTCTTGGCTATGTGGGCTCTTTTTTGAATCCATATGAAGTTTCAAGTAGTGTTTTCTAATTCTGTGAAGGAAGTCAGTGGTAGCTTGATGGAGATAGCATTGAATCTATAAATTACTTTGGGCAGTATGGCCATTTTCACAATATTGACTCTTCCTAACTATGAGCATGAGATGTTTTTCCATTTGTTTGTGTCCTCTCTTAATTCCATGAGCAGTGGTTTGTAGTTCTCCTTGAAGAGGTTCTTCACATCCCTTGTAATTTGTATTCCCAGGTATTTTATTCTCAACTCTCTCTTTGTAGCAATTGTGAATGGGAGTTCACTCATGATTTGGCTCTCTGTTTGTCTGTTATTGGTGTATAGGAATGTGTGATTTTTGCACATTGATTTTGTATCCTGAGACTTTGCTGAAGTTGCTTATTAGCTTAAGGAGATTTTGGGTTAAGACGATGGGGTTTTCTAAATATACAATCATGTCATCTGCAAACAGAGACAATTTGGCTTCCTCTCTTCCTAATTGAATACCCTTTATTTCTTTCTCTTGCCTGATTGCCCTGGCTAGAACTTCCAGTACTATGTTGAATAGGAGTGGTGAGAGAGGGCATCCTTGTCTTGTGCTGGTTTTCAAAGTGAATGCTTCCAGCTTTTGCCCATTCAGTATGATATTGGCTGTGGGTTTGTCATAAATAGCTCTTATTATTTTGAGGTATGTTCTATCAATAACTAGTTCCATCAAAGCCTAGTTGAATTTTGTCAAAGGCCTTTTCTGCATCTATTGTGATAATCATGTGGTTTTTGTCATGGACTCTGTTCATGTGATGGATTATTCTTGCTTTTCTAGTTCCTTGATTTGTACCATTAGTTTGTTTATTTAAAATTTTCTGATTTTTTTTGACATAGTCATTTATTGCTATAAATGTCCTTCTTAATACTCCTTTTGCTATATCTTGCAACAAAAGATTCATAACATTCATAACAGCAAACATTCATAACAGCAATTTATTCATTCATAACATTCATATGTGTAATGCATTTTTTAAAATTTCCGTATTAATTTATCAGCCCAATGGCCATGCAGGAACATGTTGTTTGATTTTCATGTATTTGTATAGTTTTCAAAGTTTCTCTTGGTATTGATTTCTAATTTTATTCCACTGTAATCTGAGAAGATACTTGATATGAATTTGATTTTTAAAAAATAGTTAAGACTTGTTTTCTGACCTAACATGTGGTCTGTCCTAAATGTTCCATGTACTGATGAGAAGAATGTATATTCTGCAGTTGTTGGATAAAATGTTCTGTAAATATTTGGCCTATTTGGTCTAGTATGTAGTTGAAATTCAATGTTTCTTTGTTGATTTTCTGTCTAGATGATCTGTCCAATGGAATAGATTTTCTATGGTAGACACCTTTAGTACTCTAAAATGGGATAATTTATTTACTCATGTATTTAAAAACTGTGTTTCAGTAACTTGTGCCAAACTCTCTTCCAGGAGCCGGGGGTGTAGCTATAAACAAGACAAACAAGTTCTGGCTCTCATGGAGCTTACATTCAATAAACAAAGAAGCAGGTGAACAAAAATAGTATCAGCCAGTGATAAATACTTGGCAGATAATTAAAGCAGAGTGATGTGATAGAGAATGATAGAAATGCTTATTGTAGGCTGTGTGGTCAGGAAAACCTCTCTGGAAAGCTGATGTTTAGACTGAGATCTGAATGACAAGCAGATGCCAGCCAGATGAAGATCAAAGTCAAGAGAATCTCAAGAAAAGAGCACTAGCACCATAGTATTAATGCAGGTATGAACTTGATGGGCAAGTTGCAGCAACAGGGAAGCCAAAGGGGAGAGTGATATGAGACCAGATTGGAGAGGTAAGCAAGGGCCAAGTTACACATGGCTTTCTAAAGTGGGTGAGAGGTTTGGATTTTATTTTAAGTGCAGTGAAAAGCCATTGGGGATTTTAAAAGCAGAGTAGTATACTGTATTTTACAGAGGTCACTCTGGTTGCTATGGGGAAAGCAGCTTGTGGGAGGCCCAGAGGGGAAGCTGGGTGATGTGTTTGGAGACTACTGTGCTATCTGGGTGAAAGATGCTGGTAGGTTTGATGAAATAGAAGTGGTTGGCTTTGTTATACAATTATTTGATGATAGCAGAGCTAAGAGAGCACGTTTATGAATTAAATGGGATTGAAGAAAAGAGATAATATATATTGTGACTTCATATGACATTGTTTCCATCTAGGTACAATTAGTGTAACTTTGGGGAAGAGTTTTAATAACCTTTGGTAATTGGGTTACTGTTTTGTTAAGTAAGTTATTTTTATACTTGGGCACTGTATTAGTCTTCTCAGGCTGCTATATCTAAATACTGTAGACTGGGTGACTTAAACAACGGACATTTATTTCTGACAGATTTGGAGCCTGGGAAGTCCAAGATCAAGATGCCATCTGATTAGGTCTTTCTTGAGGGCTCTTTTCTTGGCTTACAGATAACTTGCTTCTCCCTATGTCCTCATATGGCAGAGAGATCTCTCTGTCTTCCTCTTCTTAGAAAGCCACTAATTCTGTCATGAGGGCTCTACTCACTTGTCTTCATCTAACTCTAATTAACTCACTAAAGCCCCATCTCCAAACACATCATCACACTGTGATCATCATACCAAACACTTCATCACAGTGGAGTTTAGTGCTTTAACATATACATTTGGGGGTGATACAGTTAAGTCCATAGCAAACACCATAAAGATAATCAAAAGTGGGTATGTTCTAGTCAAATGAGAACTTCTAATGAATTATTCTTATTAGCAGAGATTACACTAGAGTACATGTACAAGATTATTCCGTTTGTTTATTTTGTATAGTATGTCTTCTTATCCAATGTTACTTATATCAGATAAGTTACCCGTGAGAACTCTCCAATCTGATTTACGATTTTATAAAATTTATGCTATCATTAGAACTACAGGTTATTTTTAATGGGTTATTGACATTCAGATTTAACACTGTGAACACTTTGAATAATTAGGGAAGAGGAGAGAGTGGTCACAGGATACTACATGAACCCTGTTGTTTCAGAAATCTGCCTTTGTGGTTTTGTATAACCCTCCCAGAATTTATGAAATGCTGCATAAAATAGCCCTAACTTCTAAAACTTTTTCTAACCTAAAATAGATAGAAACGATGAAGGTCAGATAAAGACCCTGCAGCTTGATTTCCCTTTTCTTATCTGCCAAATCTTTAGCTGATAATAGATGACTGCACAGAGGCACAGACTCCTGATACTTTCCTCGCCTCTGCCTTTGGGAAAAAAGATCAGTTGAGATCAGTTAACCAGAGCTAAAAGTGATGAAATAGATGGTCAAAAGAAGAAATCAGGTCTCAGTTGTATATATTCAAAATAGCAGTCAGCTGATAAGTGCCTTTTATACTTAAGAAATTGTGGAGAAACTGGTAATTATGTCATTAATAATTTTTAGACCAGAAATTTTAACTTCAACATACAGTATTTTTCAAGCTTGATGGTTGAGATTCATGTTTAGAGCATATTCAAAATTCATCTGTTAGTCTCAAATTGTGGTTTCCTACTTCTCTGCAACTTAGGGGTTTTCCTCACACTTCTTCCCTCTCCTGCACTATCAAGCTTGGCATCCTGCCTCTGAGCCCTGCACCAACTCTGTCTACAGTGGCAGGAAATGATGCAGAGCAATACAGATATTTTTTTTTAAAAAATGGTCCAACTTTACTTTTGACCATAAATAAAAGAGAAAATGGAATTTTCTTTTCCCAGCACCTGGAATTACAGTGTACAAATATTTCATAGAATGAGGTGTGATTGGAAGACTCACTGAGAAGAAACTGGTCAGGGAACTGGTTTAGGAAAAAGAAAATAGATAAAAGACACTATGAATGACTTTCTGGTTGGCAAAACAAAGAGGAGAGAAGGAAGATGGAGCCAGAGAAAAAAAGAAAGTAAGTTTTTTCCTCTCTTTCTCCCACGCTTTCAAGTAGAGAGGTCTGTGTTGTGGGATCTACTGAAAAGAGCAAAGTGGCTGAGATATGGCTGATTGAAATGCAAGACCTATGAGGCAGCAGCAGTGGCAAAAAATAACATGTCAAAGAATCTTTCCCTCCATCCTCTTGTCTCCAGCCATCTCAAGGAAGGCCAGGATCATAGGAAGGGAGAAAAGACAGACTGAGTTGTCAGTGCATCATATACAATATTGATAAATGTCATATTTTGTTTTCAGTTAACCTTATTACTATTTTTAGGTGTCAAAAGTACTTAAAGATATAGCCATCAGGTATGAATACTGTCTGGCTTAGTGTAATGGGGGTTCCTGTTTATAATACATGCTAAATTCAATGTTCTCTACAGTTCCGTCTTAGCCATTTGCTCTGTGCATACTCCCTAGGTGACATGCCCATGATTTTATTTGTTACTTACTGTATGATTTTTAAACCCCTATTTTCAGTCTCTCAGCTAAACTCCAGAGCTTCCATGTTCAACTGCTGTGGTTTTCAAACCCTGTTTCAAATGCCAGTTTGTGTATGTACGTGTGCACACACGCTTCACAAACTTGGCATCTGTCATTCTGAATGCCACATACAACTAAATTTATACTCAGAGCAATAGTTCAAATTTGTAGTCCAACGAGATATTAGAAAACAACTCTGCAAACAATTGAAGACAACAGATCTATTATTTCCCCCAAAGATCTGTTATTGGTAACTCTAACCCCTTTCAATTGATATAACTGTTTTGATGACAGATAATGCCACATTGCTCCCACCCATCCCATCCCTTTTTGCTGCCTGAAGTCTAGCCCAGCTCACTTCACCACTTTCTCCTTGATTGTCCATCCAAAGAGTGATGGCATCACCTACTTGGACTGAATAAATGGCCAGAGGTATTTTGGTGACAGACTTTCAATATTGCACACCTATGACTTTGACACAGACAAAGAAACTGGGGGAGACGTTAGGGTGAATGCCTATAGACTGTATGTCTACCCAACATCCAAGTACCATCTTTAAATTCTCTGTCTTCTTTGAATTTCTAGTTTGAAGTAGCCAAAGACAAGAAAGGAAAAATAGTATCTGAATCCACCTAAGCTAGAACCCATTTCTGCCAAGACATGTAGTATTTATGCTATAATAAGCATCATTTGGTATAACAGTAGGTATCTTGCTTAACGTATTTAACTCTAAGAAAAACATCAGAGTGGTTTGAATGGATAAGGGGTTGATCACATAATAATATTTAGAACTAATATTTTAACTGCCTAGACTGAACTAAAACAATTGCCACTTTGGCATTTCCAGTTGGATGCGCCATAGGTATTTCACACTCATAATGTGTGAAAATGACTTGATCACTGACTAGTGCAACATTGTGTATCATCGTGGATTCCTATATCTTACATATCCTTCAATATTCAATATCATATCTAAATAAGTCACTGACTTGAAATGATATGTGTTTTGAATGTTCCTGCACAATTTATCACCTCAGGCTTTCTAATTTTTATTTTCCTTGGCTTAGTTTAATTCTTCCTTGTATTTCTTCAGTGAGCAGATACTTGGCTTCCCTGTCTCCATTACAGCCTTTGTTCCAATGAACTTTGTCTGATAGTTGACTATATGATATATTCGGGAACACTAGAATATGCATGCACATTTTATTCATTTTACTTGTAGCTATCAAATATTTTGTTAGTACTTCTTTTAATCATATATGCATGTAAATGCATACACACGGGATATATGGAATATATTGGTAGATATATTCATATACAAAGGTGCTGAAAATCATTGATCATCAGAGAAATGCAAATCAGAATCTTCTCACCCCAGTCAAAATGGCTTATATCCAACAGACAGGCAATAACAAATGCTGGCGAAAATGTGGAGAAAAGGGAACATTCATACAGCGTTGGTGGGAATGTAAATTAGTACAACCACTTAGAACAGTCTGAACGTTCCTCAAAAAGCTACAGATAGAGCTACCATATGATTCAGTAATCCCACTGCTAGGTTTATACCCCTCCAAAAGCAAATCAGTATATTGAAGAGATATCTGCACTGCCATGTTTGTCACAGCACTGTCCACAATAGCTAAGATTTGGAAGCAACGTAAGTGTCCATCAACAGATAAATGGATAATAAAAATGTGGTACCCGTACATAATGGAGTACTACTCAGCTATCAAAAAGAATGAGATCCTGTCATTTGCAACAACATGGATGGGACTGGAGATCATTATGCTAAGTCAAATAAGCCAGGCACAGAAAGACAAACATTGCATGTTCTCATTTATGGTATCTAAAAATCAAAACAATAGAACTCATGGACATAGAGAATAGAAGGATGGTTACCAGAGGCTGGGAATGGTAGTGGGGGCCTGGGGTGTGTGGGGGGGGGTGGGGGTGGGGATGGTTAATGGGTACAAAAATTAGTTAGAAAGAATCAATAAGACATACAATTCGATTGCACAACAGGGTGACTATAGTCAATAATAACTTAGTTGTACATTTTAAAATAACTAAAAGAGTATAATTGGATTGTTTGTAATGCAAAGGATAAATGCTTGAGGGGATAGATATCTTACTCTCCATGATGTGATTATTTCACATTGCATGCCTGTATCAAAACATACTATGTATCCCACGAATATATACACTTACTATGTACCCACTAATATTAAATATAAAAAGTTATAAAATGTTACTGTAACACTTATTCTTCAACAACTTTTTATGCAATAGGACTTTAAAACCTCAAAGTTTTCTTTGAGGATTTTCTTTTTAAATATCTTTAGGATAGAGTATATAACTTTTAGACAGTCACTTGGAAAAGACAGAAATCACATGAAGGATTCCAGGATTCAAAATAGAGTGATTTTTCTACTATATACACTGAGTCATATGAAAATCTCAGGTAGAAATTTCTGTGTGTCTGATATCATCTATGTACCCCAAATACATAGAAGTCGTTCTATTCTCCACAAACCTTTACTCTGTTTTCCACCCTTGGAGGTGACCTGCATAGCCTATGGGCTCCACTCTCTGCCAGCTTCCCATTGGGTTTGGCTCCTAGGAGCCCTGTCAGGAGATGGGAAGCAGTGAGCTAGGTCAGGTTATTTATTTTACTTGTTCCTTTGTGTGAGGTTTCCTTTGATTGAAGATATTGCTCCTCTCAAGGTTTCTTCCTCTATATCACTCCCACCTTTGGGGTTCCAATAAATGCTTCTTCCTCTTATCTCTTTGGGCCTTGGAGTTGTAAAAATCCTGGTTTACTAACCCAGGTTCCTGTACTATATTCCTTGTGGCTCTCTGACACTCGTCCATATCTCTATTGGAGAAAAAAGAAAAAAAAAAAAAAGGCCCGGCCGGGCGCGGTGGCTCATGCCTGTAATCCCAGCACATTGGGAGGCAGAGGCTGGTGGATCACCTGAGGTCAGGAGTTTGAGACCAGCCTGGCCAACATGGTGAAACCCTGTCTCTACTAAAAATACAAAATTGGCTGGGTGTGGTGGTGCACACCTGTAATCCCAGCTACTCAGGAGGCTGAGACTTGAACCTGGAGGGTGGAGGTTGCAGTGAGCCGAGATCGCGCCATTGCACTCCAGCCTGGGCAACAAGAGCGAAACTCCGTCCACCCTCTACCACCCCCTCCCCCCCAAAAAAGAGAGAGAGTGAGAGAAGGGCCCTCTGTAAATAAGTCGTCCTTGAATTATTCTAAGTTGAGTGTGCTATCTCTTTTAGTTGAGGCCTTGATGGATAAAGTTACTTACTGTTCTGGAAACTTTATATCCAGTGAAATATATGAGATAATGCATGATTGCTTTAATTCATTCATTCTTGGTGATTGGCTTGATAAGAAATCACTTTTGGTGACTGGCTAAAATCTCAATAACTTACGTGGTATCAAAAGGAAAACAATAACTAAGAATGACTAATTGGCATCTTAGAACACGTAAGTCCATAGCAAAGACAGAAATCAAAATAAATATTCCATTTGTTCCTCTGCATTTCCAAGCCCTCTTGAAGTTAGATGAGGACATGTGAGTAGTTCTGGCCAATGAAATGCAAATCCAAGTGTTTTGTAGTAGAAAGCCTATGCTATATCTTAAATATATACAATTAAACAGCTACAAATAAAAAGCCCATGCATGATCCTCCAGTCTCTCTCTTCCTCTGTAAACCAAGGAAGCTTTGTGACTCAGCTGATATGTGTACGACATGATGGAGACTCTATCATCCTGGGCCTCTGAGGGACTGTGTGGAGCGCCATTCTCTGTTGATCTGTGCTGAATAGGCAGGATGAGCAGGAATTAAATCTTGGTTAGGTTAAGTCACTGAAATTTCGTGATTATTATTACCATAGCTTAATGTATCCTATACCAATACAAGGACCATAAGAGAATTGTGTTTTTTTTCCTCCAAGTCTACTTTTCTCCATTGTTTTCACCATCACTAAACAGCTCCATATTCCATCAATAAATTAAGACATTTTCTCGACTCTTCTTTTTACTTCACTTCCATGTACACAATCCATTGGTAATTCCTGTGTGCCCTACACCAAAATATACTTCAAATGTATTTTTGATGCTCATCATCCCAATTCTCCACTAGACCCGGGTGCCATCATTGCTCTCCTGGGCTGCTACAATAACTTTGTAGCTGGCCACCTTACTTCTGTTTTTATACTATAACAATCTATTAACCACACAAAATCCAAGAGATCTTTTAAAAATATGAATTGGATGTTACTTTTCTTTTTTCCTTTCTTTTCTTTTCTTTTCTTTTTTTTTTTTTGAGACAAAGTCTCACTCTGTCATCCAGGCTGGAGTGCAGTGGTGCCATCTTGGCTCACTGCAACATCTGCCTCCTGGGTTCAAGTGATTCTCGTGTCTCAGCCTCCTGAATAGCTAGGATTCCAGGTGCCTGCCACCATGCCCGGCTAATTTTTGTATTTTTAGTAGAGACGGGGTTTCACCATGTTGGCCATGCTGGTCTCAAACTCCTGACCTCAGGTGATCCACCCAGCTCAGCCTCCCAAAGTACTGGGATTACAGGCGTGAGCCACCACGCCCGGCCAAATCGGATGTCACTTTTCTGCTGAAAAACATCTGGGAGCTTCCCATCGTGCTTAGAAATAACTGCATAATCTAAAGTCGCACCCCACTCCACCTGTCACTCTCTCACTGTACCCTCTTTAGTTTCTTCATAGCACAAAGCACAAATTGAAATTTGTTTAATGTATTTGTTTACTAGTTTATCTCTTGTATTCAAGTAGAATGTACATTCAATTAGGCAGATAGTGTTTTGTTTTGCTCATTCTTATATTCCCAGTAACTAAAACAGTACTTGGCATAGAGTTGGGACTCAATAAATATTAGTTCAAAGAGTGATAAATTATAAGGGGAAATGGTCCAGGGCATGTTTACTAAACTGAATGCTGTATTTGTGTTTTTAAAAAATTATGTTTCGACTTTTTCTTTCAAATTTACAGCTAGAAAATTAAAGTCTACCACAGCCAGACTCCAGGCCCCAGGAATGATTTAATGCAACATCACATTAGCCAGAAAGGGAGAATAAATGAGGTGAAAACATTTTGTTGTATCATTTTCCCATAAAAAGCTTGTAAGAATACAGAGTCACCCCATGAAGCTGTTCTTGTGTCAATTGTTGCAGCAAAATAAAAAATTCTATTGTAATCTGTGAATATCTTTAAAATGGCCAACTGCTCCAAACTTATTAAGCATTCTTTTCTACACAGTCAGCTTAAATACCCACAATACCTTTGAAAAAGTTGCAGGGGTGAAGAGACAGTCTTATGGGGTTGTTTATTATCACTGTGATGGAGCTCAAAACTAGGGTGCAGATCCCCATGCTAGTGTTGATTTTATAATGGAAGTCCCCTAGACACTGTTTTTTAGGTCTTCCAAGCATAGTGGCTCACTTTTACCTAAGGCATAACTCAAGTACTTTCCCAGAATGCTACCCATTTGCTAAAGAAATATTTCACCTCTTCACTCAGTTAAGAATTTTACCATTCTTATCGGGATAGCCTGCTGAACTGTTTACACCCTTGTGGACTGTTTTTGTAACATTTTCATTTTATTTCCTTTCATAGTTGGTGTCTCAAAATGTATTCTTTTTGGTGTTATCTTCACTAGATATAACTAAGAAATTATTCTCATCTTGATTCATGTATGTTAAACTTTTTGTGATTTATTTAAATCATATGAGAATAAAACATTTTCTCTCAAAGTTCTCCATGAGATGTGAAACATGATTATTTTACTTTCCTATGCCCTAGTACAACAAGAGAATTCTAGCTTTTCTCATTATACTCTGCATATGCCATATAGATTGGGAACATTTTAAGGATAGATGTTGCTCATTGGGTCCAATTATGCATGTTCTATTTCCAATAAAATATGGAAACAGCTATTTATCTTGAGAAATGAACCAGCAGAGAAACAAATACCTTAGAAGGCATAAATGCTGTTATTGCCCAACAAACCCACATTTAGAAGCTCTCTTAAGCCTCTTTAGGTTAAATGGACTGTTTTACGTTATAGATTAAAACGAAGGAGGGTTCTTCCCATACCTCTAATAAAAAAGATAAATAGAATCATTAGAAGTTAGTCATACACAATAACTAATTTAGTAACCACTAGGTATAGATGTCTATGAGTTGTGATGGGAATTAGGATGGATACAAAGAATGTGTTCCTTGCTGTAAGATTCTAACTATTTAGAAAGAAAGACAAATTACACACACACACACACACACACACACACACCCCCACACACCCCATACTGTTCTTGAATACATACAAATGCCAAAGAGGTGGCTGAGACAGTAGAACCACAGAAGCATATGTGGCATCTGTAGATTATATATATTTAGGTTATTTATTTGCCCCTTAAACTTTGTTCCACCCCCTAAAAATGAAGGGAGGTGTACCTAACATTAGGTGTTGTGACTTGACTTTACAAATGGAACCTTCAGAAAAATTACTCTAGTCTCCAGCTGCCTTATTTTGGTGGATAACTATATACCAATCATTTGACTTTTCCTTAAATTTGATTAGAAAGTAATTAATGGCAAATATTTTACAAGAAAAATGGGATACATGCAGAAATTTTCATAAAGCTTTCATGTTTTGAAGAGACATATTGAAAACTAGGAAAATTTTGAAAATCTCATTTACTTAGAACAATTACAATTTTTGAGAATTGTGATATTTATTTCCATCAACTTCTATCATCAATATCAATTATAGTTAGTGAAAATAAATTTTGGTGATGTTTAGAATGTGGGTGTTAAGATAGAGTTATATTTGATTAAACCATTAAGCTTTGAGTTTCTTATGAGTAATATCTATTATTTTTAGCTTTTATCACATCATAATTTTCACCTTGGAAAAAGAACAAATGTGTTTTTCAAACAACTTTTCTTTAAAGTGGAAGCTTTAAATTACTTTACAAAGCAGACATAGCGATTTGGATTTTGCAAAGAATTTCATGTGATATATGAGTAAATCCAGGCATACTAAAGTCCTGGATAATTGATAGGTTATTAAAATGCTTTGTCACCTAAAATTTTTCTACTGAATATAGAAGCGCATTTTAAACAGCCTGTTGTTCATCTTCATTTGAATATCTGTCTTAACACCTCCTCAGTGTCTTCAAAATTCTGTATAAACTTGCACATAGTAGGTGCTCAAATATATTTATTGAATGAATGAATAACTCAATGTATCATCCCCAAACTTTCTCCTGAATTTTTTATTATGAAATTACTCTTAATACCTCAAAACCTTAATCACCTCCATTTTCATTCAATTGCTAATCAATTTCATAAGTCTGCCAGTATATCACTGTAGTGTATCTCAATTCCACTGCATTCACTCAACAAGTATTTATTGCTTGTGTATTTATGTATCATTTGCCACACACAGGAACAATATGGTTCATGTCACCATGGAGCTTGGCTTTTTTTGGGGAAACCTACAGTCTCATACCAGTCCTCTTATTATTAATCTAGACCTGTATTTCCTTTCATCTGACTATTGCAGTGTTCTCCTAGCTTGTGTCTCAGCATCCAGTGTCTTTGATTTTATTTGATTAATTTTAAAAGTATAACACTTATTATCTTTTTGTGCATTACCTTCAATAGTTCCCCATTGTTACCAAATAATTTGAAAATCCCTTAATTTACTGTTCCATGTTCTGGCCCAACCAGCTGTGTTCATTAACTTTCCTCTTGCACTCTGTTTTGCAGACAAACTAGGCTTCTCACTAGTTCTCCAACATCTTACTATTTCTCTAGCACTCATTGTTTTCTTCCCCTGGAGTTATCTTCTCTGTTATTAAAATTTTCATGGCTTAAAATCTACTCATCTTTCAAGGCCAGTTCTGCTATTTTCTGATTCCTTCAAACAAAAATATTTTCTCTCTCCTTTAAACCTCCATGGAAATTCCTTTGTTTCTCTCTTGTGGTTCTTATCAGTTTTGACCCTATGTTGTAATTTTGGAGTTTATCTCTTATCTGCTTGAGGACATCTTATACATTGCTTATATTTTTCACAGCAGCTAGCATTGTACATTCCATATACAACAAGCTGAAGGTAAGACCTGGAGAGTTAATTGGCAATGTTGCATATATTATATAGGAGACTCTATGAGCTAATCTAAAATAATCGAATGATATCTTAAGTATGAAATTTGATTGGTTCACTGAAATTTGCAAAAGATATCAAATTTATTTTATAGAAATTTTATTTATTTAGTTAGTTAATTATTTGAGACAGGGTTTTCCCTGTGGCCTAGGCTAGAGAGCAGTGGTGCTCAAACAATTCTCCTGCCTCAGCCTCCCAAGTAGCTGGGACTGCAGGTGCACACTACCACACCTGGCTAATTTTTGTATTTTTTGTAGAGACAGGGTCTTGATACATTCCCTAGGCAGGTCCTGAACTCCTCCTGGCTTCAAGCAATCCTCCCACTTTAGTCTCCCAAAATTTTGGGATTATAGGCATGAGCCACTGTGCCTGGCCTAGAAATTATTTTTAAACAAAGCAGAGACTCTTAGTAAGTGGTTATATTGTGGGCAAGTTCCTAAGTTTTTGTGCACTAAGACAATGTACTAATACCTTTTCAGGCATAATAAAAATTAACTTAGCTGAGAAACATTTCTCAGTTTAATGTCAAATCAGAAGACTAAATTGAAATATTTTCTTCTGACAGGGAATTCCCTAGATGAAATATAGCTATTTATATATACACACCCCCAAACCTACGGAACTAAGAATTTTTCAGGCTGAAAGTATCTGCTGGTAGATTGGCAATTCAGAAGCTTCTCTAAAGACTACCCTTTTCACCTTTCCAGTTTCAATTAATTTGACAACCTCAAGCTATTAGATGCTATACGTGCTTTGACAGAAAGTATCTAAGGGGACCATGCTGAAGGATCTTGAGTCATAAAATCTCCAGGCTTGTCCAGGATTCATATGATTTTAAGGGAATGGGCATAGTATTCTGTCTGGCTGTGAAAAGAAGATCTGGAACAAGAAAAGTGCTGCAATAGAAAAATGAACTGCTAGGCAGGTCTATCCCTGGGAGTAGGTATAGTGCATGCCATGGGACATATCTATAATTGTAACTGCTTTCCCATAAAACTTGATCAATTCCATCATTTGGTGGATTCTTCCCTATGGAAACACGCACATAATTTTTATAACAGAAGTTTACAACATATGATCTATGTTGTTATAAACTGCTTGGCCTAAAATAACTACTCCATAAAATGAGAGATGTCACATTGCTTGATGAGATATATTTCTTATTGCATTTCATAAGTTTAATAACAATTCATTTCATAGAATTTGTTCTCCTAGAAACAATGCTGAAACCAATGCTCATGTCATTGCTGGAATGCTTTCCTTCCCCTTGGGACTGAAGAGCTTGTTTCTGTGAATTTGCTTCCACAAAATGAGGGAGGGTGTGATTCAAGCTAACTCCCCAGGCAGACTTATGCCCAGATGCACAGTACATGATCCCAGAGCCACATGGTCATCCCATGGGTAAGCACAATTGTATCAGAATAATCACATTGCTCTAATTCTTTATTAATTTATTCATTGCCATGTTCCCTTATCAAGGCAACCAATGGGACCCTTAAAACAAAAACGAATGGATTGAAATCTCAAAGAAGCAGGTCTTTTCATTTATTTCAAAAACATTAAACTGAGTTAGTTAAATAAATGATTATTTGAAGACTTTTTAATCTGGGAAACTGACTAGAAGAAGGCTTTTGACCTGAGGAAATTCTGGAGAATAGGAAAATCTTTGGAGCCTGTGTCTGAGCTTCTGCGAGGCCAGGGACAATTCCCGAGCTCTCTGCGTTTCTTGCAGACTCCCAGGAACCCACTCTGATACAGAGAAGCTTGAGGTATTCTAATGACCGTGGCCAGAGGTAAGAAGCCAGAATGCTACCGAATGCTGTTCCTGGCTACTTCAAATTGCTCTCTGGATAGGATTGAGCAGGGATTCATGGAATGTTTCAATAACTCTGGTTTCTTAAGTAGTTATTAACATTGCTTATACCTAAAAATATATGTAGGTATAATTCCAAGAAAGTCAAACTCAAAGAATCCAGGACTGGAAGAAAAATTCATATAAGACTATTGGCAAAGGTAATTTTTCAATTCTTGTTGGTTGATTAAATCAACATTCTTAAGAACAAAATTGGTAAATAGTTTTATTTTTCAGTGCTTCCTTGTTTTGTAGTGGCTTCTTGGAGTGCTATTTTGATAAGGATGTGAGAAGTGCAATGATCAATTGGTGATGTCTGTCATGGACAAAAGGGAGAGAAAGAGGAGTGCTTCACATTTATTAACTTGGTATAGGTCTTTTACATGTCCTTTTATTCTTTATAATGAAGGCAGAGTATATGATTCATAAGGGTTTTGTTCTCGATTTCATGCAATACCCAAGGTGAAGCTCTGATATACCATATATAATCTTTGTTCAGTCCAGTGGATTATACCCACAACAAATCAGTAAGTTAATAAGTAGCATGAAATAAGTAGCATGAAAGTCCTACAATCTATATCATTTATATAGCCAAACTGAGGAAGCTATGAAGAGTTTCAATGTATGAATATTTTTCTAAGTAATGATCTATTTCAAGGCAGCATTTAAAAATCTTTCTACAACATAGAAAGTAGTGGTACATTAGGTAATTTCTAATTTTAAACTTCTAATGTCTATAATCATGAATAAATTATATAGAATATACAGACTATGTTTCTCCCTTTGTGCCTGTCTCAAACTTGAATTTATGATAAATACATATCTCCATCAAGTTGGAGCCATCAAAAGAGACAGTTTAAATGGTAGTAAGAAGTTGGGGAGGAGGGGAAAGAATCACTGCATGGATGAGCACGCTGGCTTATAATTACACTCTGGGTAATTTCAAATGTTGTGAAATTGGATTTCTTACATTCAGAGAAAAATGTTGAAATATGGTATTTATACAGGTGTTTCATTATCAGGTCCAGAGATTTGATTAAACAAGATTTCTCCCTTATAGGGAAATTTTTATAGAAAGTACTTATAATAGACATTTTGTTTATTTTTATCTTGCCCATCCCCATTTCTTTTCTTGTTAATTGTACCCTGACTTTTCAAAGGAAATCCATTTCTCTCAAACCCTTAGTCCATGTGGTTTACAGTTGGGTACAAGACCAAGATCCAAATATTTAGTCACAGGGATTGTTTCAGAGTTAGGTATATGATTTAAACTGGGCCTATGAGAAGCAGCCATGGGCTTCTGCTGTAACTGTCAGGAAAGGGACCATCTCAGTGTACTGTGGTTTCTAAGTAGAATTTGCTGTGGCCATATTATGTGGAAAGCTTGTCTGATGAAGAAGGCAACCCAGAAAAAAGAGGAATTGAGAGATGAAGACAGATCATAATGACATTCTTTGAGTAATTGGATTGCCAAGCCTTTGAGCCAGTTCTACCCTTGTACTTTTCATCTCTGTGTCAATAATTTTTTTTAAACTTAAGCCAGCTTGTGTTGGCGTTCCATCACTTACAACCAAAAGAGACCCAATTAATGAACCTACAACTCTATAATTCTATATAATATTACAGAACTCACTTTAAACTTTGATTAATAATGCAAACTTATAGAGAGCCTAGACTTCCAAGTATTCTTAGTGTCATATTCATATGTTTGTAGGATATAAAATACTTGTGCACGTGTCATATTTGTACATATAAAATTAAAACTACTATTAATATATTTAGATAGATTTTGCATATTAAAATATTATGGTATTTATAATAATTTTCAGTTATGGCTAGAATGATGACATGACTGTAGCTGAAAAGTGTATTATGATGGAAGTTGTGTTTTGGTACAATTAAGGTGAGGTTATGGTTAGAGACTCTATAGTGTCCAAAATTTGCTCTATTATTGATCATCTATCCCTCCTTAACAGTTTTTAAAAAGTGGGAACTATGCATAAGGAAAAAACCTGGCAATAAAGTATAAGTTTATTATTATCCATATTAGGAATTTCCAATCTCTAATTGCAGGGCCCTCTGATAAACCGAGTTGGAGCACATAGCTAGAGGCATTCCATCTGTAAGTCTAAATTTGGGACACTAAAGCAAGCCTTTGAGGAAAAAAATGTCTTGGTATTCAGTGATGACTCTTCCCTAACTGATGACACAGTTGGGGATGTAGAGGAGGTGTGAAAAAGTTTGGGACAGAAAATAGAAGAGACAGCCATCCTTCAGAGTGCTGACTTGAAGGCCCAATAACCTCAACCTCTAGCAAACCATGACCCAGTGCATGTTCTGGGCCCTGACTCATCAGATTAGTGACCCCTCAGTCATCTGAACCCTCTCTACTAATCAGATTAGTGATGCTACCCCAACATTTGGGAGGGGTTGTACTTACTACTTACAAGTAGCAAGAAAATGTGTAGAAGTGGGTCTCATACAAAAACAGCGGAGTGAACGTATCCCTTTTCAAAACACTGTAGACCCAAAAATACTTTGTACACTAAATAAAGGAAGGAAATTAATTATTTGACGAATCAGTTGTTTATGGATTTTTTTTTTTTTTTTTTTTTTTTTTTTTTTTTTTTTTTTTTTTTTTTTTTTGAGACGGAGTCTCGCTCTGTCGCCCAGGCTGGAGTGCAGTGGCGGGATCTCGGCTCACTGCAAGCTCCGCCTCCCGGGTTCACGCCATTCTCCTGCCTCAGCCTCCCAAGTAGCTGGGACTACAGGCGCCCGCCACTACGCCCAGCTAATTTTTTGTATTTTTAGTAGAGACGGGGTTTCACCGTTTTAGCCGGGATGGTCTCGATCTCCTGACCTCGTGATCCGCCCGCCTCGGCCTCCCAAAGTGCTGGGATTACAGGCGTGAGCCACCGCGCCCGGCCTGTTTATGGATTTTTACTAGAGTTTAGCTTCTGGATTTTGCTGCACGAGTAATCTTTTTATATAGCCACTCATTGTGCTGGACTTTCTGCTCCATTCCCAGGGAGGTGAGCCTGTCACTCTTAAATATTAATTACTGTATCCTTGTGGCTATACCACATCATTCATTATTCAACAGCTACTTGCAAGTCATCTTACCATTTAGTTTTCAAATGTTGCAAGTACAACAGAATTGAAGCCTACTCAACAGAGTTGTATCACAAGGAAACTCTAGAATACCACCTGTGTTTCATGATGATTTGTGATCTCAGCCTACAAATTAACCATCAGTAGAATTTGTGATTGGGAGTGGTAATGAAGCAGTACTGAGGTTGGGAGTTTGAGACCAGCCTGACCAACATGGAGAAACCCTGTCTCTACAAAGATACAAAATTAACTGGGCATGGTGGTGCATGCCTGTAATCCCAGCTACTTGGGAGGGTGAAGCAGGAGAATCACTTGAACTTGGGAGGCAGAGGTTACAGTGAGCGGAGATCATGCCACTGCACTCCAGCCTGGGTGACAGAGTGAGACTTTGTCTAAAAAAGAAAAAAAAGAAAGAAAAGAAAATAGATGAGTAATACAGAACAAGCAGAGGGAATTCATATTGAGTCGAGATCACGCCATTGTACTCCAGCCACACAACAATTATAATTAATTGAATACTTATTATGTACAGGACCTGTATATATTTGTGTGTGCATATGTATATATATACACAGATCCTGTATATATATCCATATATATCCACATATATATCCACACATATATACATATATATATATAAATTTTCTTTTGTTTCATTTTGTAACTGGTTAGTTTTGCATTTGTTTTTAATTTTTAATTTTTTTAACTTTTATTTTAAGTTCAGGGATACATGTACAGGTTTGTTATATAGATAAACCCACGTCATGGGGGTTTTTTGCAGATTATTTCATCACCATGATACTAAGCCTAGTACTCATTAATTATTTCTCCTAATCCTCTCCCTTCTCCCACCCTTCACCATCAGGAAGACCCCAGTGTCTGTTGTTTCCTTCTATTAGTCCATGTGTTCTCATCATTTAGCTCCCACTTATAAGAGAGAATACATGATATTTGGTTTTCTGTTCCTGAGTTACTTTGCTAGGGATGATGGCCTCCAGCTCCATCCATATTCCTGCAAAGGACACGATCTCATTCTTTTTTATGGCTGCATAGTATTTCACTGTGTATATGTACCACATTTTCTTTAGTTAGCCCACCATTGATGGGCATTTTGGTTGATTCCATGTCTTTGCTATGCTGCAATGAACATACAGGTGCATGTGTCTTTATGGTAGAATGATTTACATTCCTCTGGGTATACACCCAGTAATGGGATTGCTGGGCTGAATAGTACTGTTTTTAGCTCTTTGAGGAATCCCCACACTGCCTTCCACAATGGCTGAACTAATTTACACTCCCATCAATAGTGTATAAGCGTTCCCTTTTCTATGCAACCTCACCAGCATCTATTATTTTTTGACATTTTAGTAATAGCCATTCTAAATGGTATATCATTGTAGATGGTATATCATTGTAGTTTTGATTTGCATTTCTCTAATGATCAGTGATGTTGAGCATTTTTTCACATGCTTGTTAGCCACAAGTACGTCTTCATTTGAAAACTGTTCGTGTCTTTTGTCCACTTTTCTATGGCTTTTGTGCATGTAAATTTGTTTAAGTTCCTTATAAATGCTCGATATTAGACATTTGTCAGATGCATAGATTAGCAAAAATTTTCTCCCATTCTGTAGACTCTCTTTTTACTCTGTTCATCATTTCTTTTGCTCTGAAGGAACTTGTTAGTTCAATGAGATTCCATTTGTCAATTTTTGCTTTTGTTGCACTTGCTTTTGGTGTCTTCATCATGAAATCTTTGCCAGTTCCAATATCTAGAATGTTACTGCCTATGTTGTCTTCCAGGGTGTTTATAGTTTTGGGTGCTACATTGAAGTTGTTCATCTTGAGTTGATTTTTGTATGTGGTGTGAGGAAGGGATCTAGTTTCAATCTTCTGCACATGGCTAGCCAGTTATCCCAGCACCATTTATTGAATAGGTAGTCCTTTCTCCATTGCTTGCTTTTGTTGGCTTAGTTGAAGATTAGATGGTTGTATACGTGTTGTCTTGTTTCTGGGTTCTCTATTCTGTTCCATTGGTCAATGTATCTGGTGATTTGTTGATTGATTGATTGATTGATTTATACCAGTACCATGCGGTTTTGGTGATTGTAGTCCTATAACTCCTGTGTTGGGTGCCTATATATTTTAGATAGTTAGATCTTCTTGTTGAATTGAACCCTTTACCACTATGTAATGCCCTTCTTTGTCTTTTTTTTGTTATTTGTTGGTTTAAAGTCTGTTTTGTCTGAAATTAGGATTGCAACCCCTGCATTTTTCTGTTTTCCATTTGCTTGGTAGATTTTTCTCCATCCTTTTATTTTGAGCCTATGGATGTCATTGCATATGAGATGGATCTCTTTAAGACAGCATACAGTAGAGTCTTGTTGCTTTATCCAGCTCACCACTATGTGCCTTTTAATTGGGGCTTTAGGCCGATTTACATCCAAGGTTAGTATTGATATGTGTAGATTTGATCCTGTCATCATGATATTAGCTGGTTATGATGCAGACTTGTTTGTGTGGTTGCTTTATAGTGTAACTTATCTGTGTACTCAAGTGTGTTTTTTTGGTGGCTGGCAATGGTCTTTCCTTCATATATTTAGTGCTTCCTTTAGGAGTTCTTTTAAGGTAGAACTGGTGGTGACAAATTCCCTCAGCATTTGCTTTTCTGAGAAGGATCTTATTTTTCCTTCACTTATGAAGCTTAGTTTGGCTGGATATAAAATTCTGTGTTGGAATGTCTTTTCTTTCAGAATGTTGAATATTGGCCCCCAATCTCTTCTAGCTTGTAGGGTTTTTGCTGAGAGATCTGCTTTTAGTCTGATGGGCTTCCCTTTGTAGGTGAACTGACCTTTCTCTCTAGTGTCTTTAACATTTTTTTCTTTCATTTTGACCTTGGAGAATCTGATGATTATGTGTCTTGGGAATGATCTTGTGAAGTATCTAACTGGAATTCTCTACATTTCCTGAGTTGGAATGTTGGCCTCTCTAGCTAGATAGGGGAAGTTCTCATGGATGATATCCTGAAATATGTTTTCCAAGTTGGTTCCATTCTCGTCTTCTCTTTCAGGGACACCAGTGAGTCATAGATTTGGTCTCTATATAATTCTATATTTCTCAGAGGTTTTGTTTGTTAATTTTAATTCATTTTTTCCCTGTATTTTTGTCTATCATATTTCAGAAAGGCAGTCTTCAAGCTCTGAGATTCTTCAGTTTGGTCTATTCTGCAATTAATACTTGCAATTGCTTTATGAAATTCTTGTCATTTGTTTCTCAGCTCTACCAGGTCAGTTATGCTCTTTTCTATACTGGCTATTTGTCCTGTCAGCTCCTGTATCATTTTTCTGTGATTCTTAGCTTCCAGGGATTGGGTTTCAACGTACTCCTGCCTCTCAATGATCTTCATTCCGTTCCATATTCTGAATTATCTTTCTGTCATTTCAGCCATCTCAGCCTCATTCAGAACCCTAGCTAGAGAGGTTGTGTGGTTGTTTGGAGGAATGAAGGCACTCTGGCTTTTTGAGTTGTCAGAGTTTTCACACTGGTTCTTTCTCATCTTTGTGGGCTGATGTTTGTTAAATCTTTGAAGTTATTGTTCTTTGGATGGGTATTTTCTTTGGTCCTATTGGATGCCTTTGAAGGTTGGATTGTGGTATAAGGTAGGGTCAGTTTACTTGCTTCATTTCTGGAAGGTTTTAGGGGCCAAGGCTCAGTTCCAGACTTCTGGACTGCATGCCCTAACTTTGGGAGACCTGTATCAGACTCCACCTTTGTTCTATGGGTCCTTGAGGTTAGGAAGATTGTACTGGGGGGTGTTGAGATGCTCCCAGACCACTAGTCTGTCCAATGGGTGGTCCAACCAGTGTTTTGCAGGGTGGTGGCAGTGAAATCCATTTTGCTTTGCATGTGCTAGCAGCAGCAATATGGTGGGGTGCATGCTCATTGGCTCTGGCAGGGTGCCAGTGGTTACTGTTACTGGGGTGCCTGCCTCCATGTGGGCATTCACAGCAGCTGCAGAGGCAGCACAGCTTGCAGGGGCCGGTGTGTGTGTGTGTTTTGAGGGGGCTGCTGGTGACTGCGTGCATGGTTGCACTGGTTGTGGTTTTAGCATGGGGCAGGGTGCTGGTAGGTGCAGGTCTGGTGCACCCTTTGTGTATGTTCACTCAGGGCTAACCACTCAGGGTGGGAGATGGTCTACTGTTCTCCATGCCTAATTTCACTCCAGCTGCAGTGTTTGTACAGGAGCAGGGTGCTGGTGGATTGGGTCTGGCAGGCTCTGTGTCAGCCAAGGCTCTGATTGCAATGGCAGTATGGTGGGGTAGGAGATGTGAAGTGCACTCCTGCCAGCAGCAGTGGCAGGACATGGTGTATGCTTACAGTTGTGCTGGTAGGTCAGGGAAGGTAAAAACTGCCCATGCACACATGTGACAACAAAGTAATATGGGGGGTGGCCACGGGCCAGGGGAAGCTGAAGTGGTGGGAGGGATTCAGTGGGCTGGTGCATGCCCGTGGGGGCCACCCTGCTGGAGCTCTCCACTGGTCTGCAAGTGCAGGAGCTATGATGAGGGCCCCTAGGAGGTACCTGGCGGCTGCATTGCATGCAGGGCTGCTAGGCTAGTACCCTAGGAGAGGCCAACAGGCTGAGGGGTCCTCAGGTCAGACTGGCCATATCTCATAGGTAAGACTGCCCTGCAGAGTTCAGGTCTGACGGTTCCTCCAGGGCTACAGTCTTCTATGGGAGTAAGTCCAGCCTAGGGGGATGAGCATCCCTGGCTATGCCCTGCTACAGACACTCCTGCACCAAACCATCTGGGCTCCATATCAGCTGGTGTGCTGCCCCTACCACTTCTCTAAGCAGCTCTCCTTGCCAACTCAAGTGTCGGTGGTGGTTGAGGCATCTCCTCCTGCTGGAATTCCAGAGGCCCATGGTGAAAGAGCAGGTTGCTCCTCACTAGTTTAACTCATCTCTTCTCCCAGAGTCACTGGGGGCCCAAAATGAGTCCCGGTGCATGGTATCCCTACATAGGGTTCCCAGCAACTTCCGGCTTCAGTTTAGCCCTGTGTTTTCCCTCCATCCACTCTCAGTGCCTTCCCTCTGAAGATCTGTTAGAAGTGTGTTGGTTGTCCCAGTCACTTGGTAGCAGCTGTTCCACCTGGCTGCATCTAGTTGTCCATATTGCTGCAATCCTGCCTTCTTTCACTATCTTTTTAGTGGTTCTGATAAGATAGATTATAACATGCATCCTCTACTTATTATGGTCTGTTAGCAATTATTAATTCTACCACTTCCCTGATAATACTGGAATCTTAACCATGTTACATTTACCCCCTCACTTCTTTTTATGGTACACTGCTGTGTATTTTAATTATATATCTACTTTAAATCCAAGAAGACTTTACTATTATCAAATTAATATTCATTTATACTTACACAAATATGTAGCCATTGAGTTACACACTGCTTTTCATTTCTCCTAGCATTTTGGTGATATTTTCCTTCTTCCTAAGATATTCTTCTGGAATTTTTTTAAAATATGAAGCTTTGATGGATATACATTTTCTCAGTTTTTATGTATTTGAATAATGCTTTTGTTTCACCTTTATTTTTGAATGATATTTTTTATGTTAGAGGTTGACAGTTATTTTCTTTTAGCACTTTAAGGAAGTCTTTTTTATTGTTTTTGGCTTCTCATTTCTATTTAGAAGTTTCTTTCAGCCTTATTGTTATTCCTTTGAATTTACACCTTTCACTTAATGATTTTAATTTTTCTTGAAAATCCTGACCTTAGGTGAAGAGACATTAAATGAAAAATTCTATTAATTTTAATAAGAAATGTTATATGATCCACCTCAACCAAAGATACCCAAATGAATTGGACTGAACAAAGAAAACAGATTTATAATGTAATAACCCAAATATTGAAAGTAAATAAGTGCTATAAATGAAATAAATGATGGTTGATTTTGCTCATCAAAAGAAGAACACAGAAGACTTAATAGGTAGCAGTTGGTAAAGGAGGTGTGCAGCAGAGTCATTCTTCCTGCACCATTATGGTCACCAATTTTTCAACTTTTTGGGGGCTGTTGTTTGGCTAATACTCAAACTACACCTAACAGAAATTTATAGCCACAAGAACACCTTTAAGGGGAAATTAAGACTAAATATGAGAGAGCTTCAAACACACAAACATGGCACAAACATGCAACAGATTGAAAAAATGGTGGGAAATTCTACTTTCAGAGAACTTCCTATTGGTTATTATGTTGTCATTATCTGGATGACAAAATTATCTGTACACCAAACTGCTGTGCATGCAAGTTACCCATTTTACAAACCTGCACATGTACACCTTGAACCTAAAATAAAAGTTGGGAAAAAAAGAATTGTTGAAAATGCTACTTCTGCCGAGGCGGGCGGATCACGAGGTCAGGAGATTGTGACCATCCTGGCTAACACGGTGAAACCCTATTTCTACTAAAAAAGTACAAAAAAATTAGCTGGGCGTGGTGGCGGACACCTGTAGTCCCAGCTACTCGGGAGGCTGAGGCAGGAGAATGGTATGAACCCGGGAGGTGGAGCTTGCAGTGAGCGGAGATTGAGCCACTGCACTCCAGCCTGGGCGACTGAGTGAGACTCTGCCTCAAAAAAAAAAAAAAGAAAGAAAAAAAAAAAGAAAATGCTACTTCTCCTTTTTAGCTGAAGTACACATGGGAAACAATGTAAATCATCTAAACCTAGTGTGCAATTTATATTTGTAACATTTACTATTTTGTAACTAGAAACTGTGGTATTTAATAAGTTGTTGATCTTGTTGACCTATCACTTATCATAATATAATTATTTAGTAGGCTTTATGAGGTTAAATTGTGTCTTCCAAGAAGATATGTTGAGATTCTACTCCTGGAACTTCAGAATATGACCTTATTTGGAAATAGAGTCTTTGTAGATGTAGTCAGTTAAATTAAGATAAGGTTATACTGGAGTAGGGTGGGCCCTAGTCCAATAATACTAGTGTCTGAATAAGAGGAGGAGGAGGAAGAAGAGGAAGATGAAGAAAAGAAGGAGAAGAAAAAGGAGGAGGAGGAGAAGAGGAGGAGGAGAGGACGAGGAGAAAGAGGAGAGGAGGAGGAAGATAAGAGTGGGAGGACAAGAAGGAGAAAGAGAGAGAGAGACAGAGAGAAAGAGAGGGAGATGGCCACCTGAAGATAGTGGCAGAAACTAGAATGATGCATCTGTAAGCCAAGGAATGCCAAGAACTGCAGGCAAACACCAGAAGCTAGAAGAAGCAAAGAAGGATTCTCCTCTATAGATTTCAGGGGGAGAGTGGCCTTGCTGGTGTCTTGATTTAGGACTTCTGGTCTCCATAACTGTGAGACAATACATATCTGTAGTTTTAAGCCACCTTGCTTGTGGTTTGCTACAGCATTCCTAGGAAACTAATACTATGTGGTTTTCAGAGGAAAAGTTGCTGTACGGAAAACATATATTTCTGAAATGCGTTGTAACTTTTCTAGAGCTGTTTTGTGGAAAATTATTGGCTTAAAAATTGTTACATGTTAAATCATACATGAAAATCTTAAAAGCAGGCTGACACATTACAAACTTTGGTTTTCAGCTGATTTATTATTATATGCCTAAGTATAGTTTTGTATTTATCCTACTTGTGGGTATACTACTTGTAGATTTCTTAAATCTGGATTGCTATGTCTTTCATCAGTAGAAAGTTTCTGGTCATTGTCTTTTCAAATATTTTTTCTCCTCATGGTTTCTATCCTCTTCTTCTGTGCTCTACTGGTACATTGCATGAGATCTTTCCCTTACATCGCACATGTCTCTAATGATCTTTCCTGGATTTTTCATTCTTTTTTTCTTTGTATTTCTGTTCAGAAATTGGTCTGTCTTCCAGATGAACAATTATGTTTTCTGCTATTTCCAACCTATTATTAACCTATCTATTGCATTCTAATAACAGATATATATATATAAATTTTTTTGAGACAGAGTCTCACTCTGTTGCCCAGGCTGGAGTGCAGTGGTGTGATCTTGGCTCACTGCAGCCTCCACCTGTCTCAGCCACGTGAGTAGTTGGGATTACAGGTGTACACAATCACACCCAGCTAATTTTTGTATCTTTA
This sequence comes from Homo sapiens, assembly GCF_000001405.40. Lineage (NCBI taxonomy): Eukaryota > Metazoa > Chordata > Mammalia > Primates > Hominidae > Homo > Homo sapiens. The sequence goes on from NC_000002.12 coordinate 183,393,899, forward strand.
GTAGAGATGGATTTCACCATGTTGGCCAGGCTGGTCTTGAACACCTGACCTCAAGTGACCCCTCTGCCTTGGCCTCGCAAAGAGCTGGGATTACACGTGTGAGTCACCTTGCCCAGTCCAGATATATTTCTAATGCCAGAATTTCCATGCGATTATTTTATAGATTCCAATTTGTGATAAAATGCCCAATTTATTAAGGTTTATCTATCATTTCCTCTCATTCTTTGAACCTATTATTCATATTTCTTTTAAAGCCCTTGTCTGCTAAAGTAATATTTGTATCACTTGTGAATCCACTTTTTTGATCATTTTCCTCTTGGTTTTCATTCTTATGGTATTATTTTTGACATGCCTAATAATTTTTATTTAATGTCAGACATTGGTTACAAAAATTATGGCTTATCCAGCTGAATATATCATTCACTAGAGAGTGCTCATGTTTTTTTTCTGTTGGGCAGACAGAGTGGAGGCTGAACACATTGATCTAATTGGGGACTGATATGGCTTGGTTGTGTCCCCATGCAAATCTCATCTTGAATTCCCATGTGTTACGGAAGGGACCTGGTAGGAGGTAATTGAATCATGGGGGCAGGTCTTCCTCTTGCTGTTCTCATGATAGTGAATAAGTCTTATGAGATCTGATGGTTTTAAAAACGGGAGTTTCCCTGCACAAGCTCTCTTCTCTTATCTTCAGCCATGTGAGATGTGCCTTTCACCTTCCACCATGATTGTGAGGCCTCCCCAGCCATCTGGAAATGTAAGTTCCAAAGGCATACCCAAGACAGGGCAATTTACAAAATAATTTACAAAAGAAGAAGTATATAAGTTCCAAAGACATACTTGAGACTGGACAATTTACAAAGAAATGGTTTATTGAACTCTCAATTTACAAAAGAAGAAGTATTGTTCTAGATTTCAATAAACCTCTCTCTTTTGTAAATTGCCCAGTCTCAGGTATGTCTTTATCAGCAGCATGAAAATGGAATAATACAGTAAATTTGTATCAGTAGAGTGGGGCATTGTTGAAAAGATACCTAAAAATGTGAAAGCAACTTTGGAACTGGGTAACAGGCAGAGATTGGAATAGTTGGGGGGGGGCTCAGAAGAAGACAGAAACATGTGGGAAAGTTTGGAACTTCCTAGAGATTTGTTGAATGGCTTTGAAAAAAAGGCTGATAGTGATATGAACAATAAGGTCCAGGTTGAGATGTTCTCAGATGGAGATGAGAAACTTGTTGGGACCTGGAGCAAAGGTGTGACTCTTGTTATGTTTTAGCAAAGAGACTGGAGGCATTTTGTCCTGCCCTAGAGATCTGTGGAACTTTAAACTTGAGAGAGATGATTTAGGGTATCTGGCAGAAGAAATTTCTAAGCAACAAAACACTCAAAAGGTGACTTGTGTGCTGTTAAAGGCATTCAGTTTTATAAGGGAAGCAGAGCATAAAAGTTTCAAAAATTTGCAGCCTGACAATGTGCTAGAAAAGAAAATCCCATTTTCTGAGGAAAAATTCAACCAGCTCCAGAAATTTGCATAAGTAATGAGGAACTGAATGTTAATTCCCCAAGACAATGGGGAAAATGTCTCCAGGGCATGTCAGAGGTCTTCACAGCAGCCCCTCCCATCATTGGCCCAGAGGCCTAGGAGGAAAAAATGGTTCTGTGGGCCAGGCCCAGGATCCCTGTGCTGTGTGCAGTCTGGGGACTTGGTGCCCTGTGCCCTAGCTGCTCCAGCTGTGACTAAAAGGGGCTAAGGTACAGCTCAGGCAGTGGCTTCATTGGGTACAAGTCCCAAACCTTGGCAGTTTCCACGTGGTGTTTAGCCTGCAGGTGGAGAGAAGTCAAGAATCGAGGTTTGGGAGCCTCTGCCTAGATTTCAGAAGATATATGGAAACACCTGGATGTCCAGGCAGAGGTTTGTGGCAGGGATGGGGCTGTCATGGAGAACCTCTGCTAGGGCAGTGTGGAAGGAAAATATGGGGTCAGAGACCCCACACAGAGCCTGTACTGGGGCACTGCCTAGTGGAGCTGTGAGAAGAGGGGCACTGTTCTCCAGATCCCAGAATGGTAGATCTACCAACAGCTTGCACCATATGCCTGGAAGAGCTGCAGATACTCAATGACAGCCCATGAAGTCAGCCAGGAGGGGGTCTATACCCTGAAAAGCCACAGGGGCAATGCTGCCCCAGACCATGGGAACCCATTTCTTACATAAGCATGACCTGGATGTGAGACATGGAATCAAAGGAAATCATTTTGGAGCTTTAAGATTTAACTGCCCTGCTAGATTTCAAACTTTCATGGGGCCTGTAGCCCCTTTGTTTTGGCCAATTTCTCCCATTTGGAATGGCTGTATTTACCCAATGCCTGAACCACCATTGTATTTAGGAAGTAACTAACTTGCTTTTCATTTTGTAGGCTCTTAAGTGGAAGGGACTTGCCTTGTCTCAGATGAAACTTTGGACTATAGACTGTGGACTTTGAGTTAATGCTGAAATGAGTTAAGACTCTCGGGGACTGTTGGGAAGGCATGATTGGGTTTGAAATGTGAAGACATGAGATTTGGGAAGGGCCAGGGGCAGAATGATGTGGTTTGGCTCTGTGTCCCCACCCAATTCTCATCTTGAATTCTCATGTGTTGTGTGAGGCACTTGGTGGGAGGTAACTGAATCATGGGGGTAGGTCTTTCCCATGCTGTTCTCATGATAGTGTGTAAGCGTCAAGAGATCTGATGATTTTTAAAAGGGGAGTTTCCCTGCACAAGCTCTCTTCCCTTGTCTCCCACCATGTGAGATGTGCCTTTCACCTTCCCTTTGATTGTGAGGCCTCCCCAGCCATGTGGAACTGTTAAGTTCAATAACACTCTTTCTTTTGTACCAGTCTTGGGTATGTCTTTATCAGCAGCGTGAAAACGGACTAAAACAGGTACTGAGCAGTGCTAAGAGTGAATTGCATTTAAAAATTATTTTTAAAGTTGCAACTAGTGTTTTTTTTTTCCTTTCTTTATCCTAGGGTATAGTTCTATGGAGCTTTGTACTAGGATCCTGCTGTACTCACTGGGAACCCTTCCCTGGTGGTGGCTTCTTAACATTAATCCATAGTGTTCAAATCTTTAAGACTGAAAACCCTTTTTCTGTTCAGAGATTTCTACTTCCAGCCATGTGTGCCTTCAGAATTTGGAAAATGTCTTGAAGATGCCAGCATGTTTTCAGACCTCTCAAGACTCTGATTTTGTCACCCTAACATTGTGTCATTCCCTGCCAGATTCTCACCCTCTTGCCTGAGCCTAGAGTGACCAGATACTCACAGGAAGAAAGTGGCTTCAGATCATTAGCTTACCTTTCTGAGGTTCTGTCTTCTTTGGAACTTTAACTTCCATGGTACAAATTGCTTTCTCAGACCTCTGATGATTACAAACATTTTTTTCCTGTCTTTTCTAGTTTTTTTTCTTTTTGGCAACTTTAGTTTGCCACAAACTACTCCATCCTACCCAGAACTGGAACTCTTCTTGTTTAACTTTTTAAATTGACCTTTCAAACAGTATTAGTATCATTATTTTTAATATTATAGTAATATTTATTGGTGACATGTGAGTCAATAGGTTGTTCAGAGATTAATTCAATAGACAGCATTTATGAGCAGCTACTTCAGCTCAAAGTTTGAACATTTAACTAAGTCATAAATCTATGCTATTATGTTATTGTTTGGTTCATTATATGGATTGCTATGTTCTGTTGTCACTTTGTTTTACTGTAAATCACTTTAAATATATTATACTCCAAATACTACAGTATTATTTTTTGAGTTAAGTGAAAAAATCACATGCAAGTCAATTTTGCTCTTTACAAGCAAAGCAGATATTTCACAACTTGAATTATAATTATAACTTTGGCTATGATGGCTAGACTGAGAAAGATTGGAAAAACCAGATAAACCCATTAGTTGGAAGAGTTCTCATAGAAGTTACCAAAAATCTCCAAATTAAGGAATCCCAGATACGAAAACATCTCAGCATTTTGGTAGCAAAAAGAATTCAGACATTCAGTGGAAGTCTAGGCAGGCTGACTTTGAGGTAGATAGGGGGCCCTGTTATAAGGTTTGGGTCTAGAAACAGAAAAATGTCTCCTTGGATGCTTGAAAGGGAAGGTAAGGACCTAAGCCTTGGGGAATACAAATACTGGAAATTAAGGCAGGGATTTACATTATTTGAAGAAAAGTAAGGGGTTGGCCAGAGAAGAAAGGCAAAATCCCCTAATTCATCCAACTATGGAAATGTTGACTTGAACGAGTGATTTCGTGAAGCTCCAGCTCTTTATAGTTCTGCTCTGTTGGAACCTGATTGGCTTCAGTCTGGGGCAGGCCTGATCTTCTCTTTTCCATCCTGGTGCAACTAACAAAGTTGCATTTCCCATTTTCCCTCTTCCTTACAACTTTTATTGACACACTTCTCATCAACTTTCCCTGATTAAATTGATCACCTCTCCTTTGTTTCACCATTGAATAAACTTGTATAGGTTCCTTCACCGTTTTTCTATTTCTTTATACAAGTCATAGTGAGTTATTAATACACAAAGAGTAATAGAAAGCAGAGAGTTAGTTGAATCATCTTAATAATTAGACTCAAAGCTATGATAGCCTGATGGATTAATCACCACATCTGGAATGAACTTGCTTATGAGACAGTTTTATCAGCTGACCAGAGAATGGAGAGAGAAAAAGAGTTATCAAGAAGTGCAGAAGTTCTGGATTAATTTTAGCCCAAGCTAAAATCACCTATCATTGAATTTGATTCCTGAGGTACAAAATCAAATGCATTAATATCAGCCACTATTCTGGCGTATCATTCTTCTATTTATTAAAAAGAATTTATTAGTAACCTTAGAGGTTTTCAGTGTTCAACATGGTGAAATGCTGCTGGGTACTTTGGAAGGCATTGAGCGTATTTAGACTTTGGTAGACCTGAGAGCTGCCTTAAAATAGCATGACTTCTTTCCTTTGATGCTAGACTTGACAAGAGGTTTGATTAGGACTGCTTGGAAGAACTTACAGAATGAGAGATTTCATCTCATGACAAATGTATCTGATGACTTGTTACAAATTTATTATGCAGAACCACAGATGGAAATATTAACCATGTCTTGTTTTATGAATTCTGTGTTTATCCTTGAACAAATGAAAACATTGTCCCCTTCTTTCTTTCAAAGAAATAGCCAGAGCTTTCTTTGATATCCAAGTTTTTCTTTTTTTTTAAAGTTTTATTTTAGGTTCATAAGTACATGTGCACCTTTGTCATATAGGTAAACTTGTGTCACGGGGTTTGTTGTACAGATTATTTTGTCACCCTGGTATTAAGCCTAGTACCCAATAGTTATTTTTTCTGCTCCTCTACTTCCTTCCACCCTTCACCCATAGGAAGGCCTTAGTTTCTATTGTTCCCTTCTTTGTGTCCATGCGTTCTCATCATTTAGCTCCCACTTACCAGTGAGAACATGCAGTATTTGGTTTTCTGTTACTGTGTTAGTTTGCTAAGGTAATGACCTCCAGCTCCATCCATGTTCCTGCAAAGGACAAGATCTCATCCTTTTTAATAGCTACATAGTATTCCATGGTGTATCTGTACTACATTTTCTTTAGTCTACCATAATGGGCATTTAGGTTGATTCCATTTCTTCACTGTTGTGAATAGTGCTTCAATGAACATATGTGTGTGTGTGTGTCTTTATGGTAGAATGATTTATATTCCTTTGGGTATATACTCAGTAATGGGATTGCTGGGTGAAATGATAGTTCTGCTTTTAGCTCTTTGAGGAATCACCACACTGCCTTCCAAAATGGCTGAACTAATTTACACTCCCACCAATAGTGTATGTGTTCCTTTTTCTATGCAACCTTGCCAGAATCTGTTATTTTTTGATTTTTTAGTAATAGCCATTCTGACTGGTGGGAGATGGCATCTCATTGTAGTTTTGATTTGCATTTCTCTAGCTATCAGTGATATTGAGCCTTTTTCTTTCTTTTTTTTTTTGAGACGGAGTCTGGCTCTGTCGCCCATGCTGGAGTGCAGTGGCGGGATCTCGGCTCACTGCAAGCTCCACCTCCCAGGTTCCGGCCATACTCCTGCCTCAGCCTCCCGAGTAGCTGGGGCTACAGGCACCCGCCACCACACCCCGCTAATTTTTCTATTTTTAGTAGAGATGGGGTTTCACTGTGTTAGCCAAGATGGTCTCTACCTCCTGACCTTGTGATCTGCCCGCCTCGGCCTCCCAAAGTGCTGGGATTACGGGTGTGAGCCACCACGCCCTGCTGATATTGAGCCTTTTTCATATGCTTGTTGGCCACAGGTATGTCTTCTTTTGAACAGCGTCCCTTCATGTCCTTTGTCCACTTTTTGATTTTTCTTTTTTTTTTTTTGCATGTAAACTTGTTTAAGTTCCTTATAAATGCTGGATATTAGACTTTTGTCAGATGCATAGTTTGAAAAAAAATTCTCCAATTCTGTAGGCAGTTTATTCTGTTTATAGTTTTTGTTTAATTTTTAAATTTTTTTTTTGCTGTGCAGAAGATTTTAGTTTAATTAGATCTCATTTTTTTTCAATTTTTGCTTTTGTTGCAATTGCTTTTGGTGTCTTTGTCAAGAAATATTTGCCAGTTCCTATGTTCAGAATGGTATTGTCTAGGTTATCTTACAGGATTTTTATAGTTTTGGGTTCTAACATTGAAGTCATTAGTCCATTTTGAGTTCATTTTTGTATATGGTGTAAAGAAGGGGTCCAGTTTCAGTCTTCTGCATATGGCTAGCCAGTTATCTCAGCACCGTTTATTGAATAGGAAGTCTTTTCTTCATTGCTTGTTTTTGTCAGCTTTGTCAAAGCTTTTTAGTTGGTTGCGATGGTTGTAGGTGTTGTGGTCTTATTTCAGGGCTCTTTATTCTGTTCTATTTGTCTATGTGTCTGTTTTTATATCAGTATCATGCTGTTTGGTTACTGTAGCCGTGTAATAGACTTTGAAGTTGGGTTAACATGATGTCTCCAGCTTTGTTCTTTTTGCTTAGGATTGCTGTGGCTATCCAGGCTGGGTTCTTTTTTTTTTTTTTTGTTCCATATGAATTTTAAAGTAGTTTTTTATAATTCTGTGAAGAATGTCATTGGTAGTTTGATAGGAATAGCATATCTGTAATTTGCTTAGGGCAGTATGGCCATTTTAATGATATTGATTCTTCCTATCCATGAACACAGAATGTTTTCCCATTTGTTTGTGTCATCTCTGATTTCTTTGAGCAGTGTTTTGTAATTCCTGTTTTAGAGATCTTCCACCTCCCTGATTAACTGTATTACTAAATATTTTAGTCTTTTCGTAGCTATTGTGAATGGGATTACATTCCTGATTTGGCTCTTGGCTTGACTGCTGTTGGTATATAGGAATGCTAGTAAGTTTTGTATCTTTGACTTTGCTGAAGTTGTTTATCAGTTCACAAAGCTTTTGGGCTGAGACTATGGGGTTTTCTAGATATAAAATAATGTGATCTGCAAACAGGGATTGTTTGACTTCTTCTCTTCCTATTTGGATGCTTTTTATTTCTTTCTCTTTCCTGATTGTTCTGGCCAGGACTTCCAAGACTATCTTGAATAGGAGTGATGAGAAAGGGCATCCTTGTATTGTGCCAGCTTTCAAGGGGAATGCTTCCAGCTTTTGCCCATTCAATATGACGCTGGCTGTGGGTTTGTCTTAGATGGCTCTTACTCTTTTGAGGTATGTCCCTGCAATACCTAGCTTATCGAGAGTTTTTAAGATGAAGGGTGTTGAATTTTATCAAAAGCCTTTTCTGCATCTATTGAGATGATCAGGTGGTTTTTGTCTTTGGTTCTATTTATGTGATGAATCATGTTTATTGATTTGCATATGTTGAACCAATCTTGCATCCCAGGGATAAATCCTACTTGATCTTGATGGGTCAACTTTTGATGTGTTATTGGATTCAGAATGTCAGTATTTTGTTGAAAATTTTTGCATTGATGTTCGTCAAGGATATTGGCCTGAAGTTTTCTTTTTTGTTGTATTTCTGCCAGGTTTTGGTATCAGGATAATGCTAGCCTTGTAAAATGAGTTGGGGAGGTATCCTTTCTCCTCAACTTTTTGGAATAGTTTCAGTAAGAATGATGCCATCTCTTCTTTGTACATCTAGTACAATTCAGCTGTGAATCCATCTGGTCCTGTGCTTTTTTGTTGGTTGGCTACTTATTACTTATTCAAGTTCAGAGCTCATTATTGGTCTGTACAGGTATTCAGTTTCTTCCTGATTCAGGTGTGGGAAGGTGTATGTGTCTAGGAATTTGTCCATTTCTTCTAGATTTTCTAATGTGTGCATAGAGGTATTCATAGTAGTCTCTGATGGTTTTTTGTGTTTCTTTTTTTTTAATTTTATTATTATTATACTTTAAGTTTTAGGGTACATGTGCACAACGTGCAGGTTTGTTACATATGTATACATGTGCCATGCTGGTGTGCTGCACCCATTAACTCATCATTTAGCATTAGGTATATCTCCTAATGCTATCCCTCCCCCCTCCCCCCACCCCACAACAGTCCCCGGAGTGTGATGTTCCCCTTCCTGTGCCCATGTGTTCTCATTGTTCAATTCCCACCTATGAGTGAGAACACGCAGTGTTTGGTTTTTTGTCCTTGTGATAGTTTGCTGAGAATGATGGTTTCCATTTTCATCCATGTCCCTACAAAGGACATGAACTCATCATTTTTTATGGCTGTATAGTATTCCATGGTGTATATGTGCCACATTTTCTTAATCCAGTCTATCGTTGTTGGACATTTGGGTTGGTTCCAAGTCTTTGCTATTGTGAATAATGCCGCAATAAACATACATGTGCATGTGTCTTTATAGCAGCATGATTTATAATCCTTTGGGTATATACCCAGTAATGGGATGGCTGGGTCAAATGGTATTTCTAGTTCTAGATCCCTGAGGAATGGCCACACTGACTTCCACAATGGTTGAACTAGTTTACAGTCCCACCAACAGTGTAAAAGTGTTCCTATTTCTCCACATCCTCTCCAGCACCTGTTGTTTCCTGACTTTTTAATGATCACCATTCCAACTGGTGTGAGATGGTATCTCATTGTGGTTTTGATTTCCATTTCTCTGATGGCCAGTGGTGATGAGCATTTTTTTCATGTGTTTTTTGGCTGCATAAATGTCTTCTTTTGAGAAGTGTCTGTTCATATCCTTCGCTCACTTTTTGATGGGGTTGTTTGTTTTTTTCTTGTAAATGTGTTTGAGTTCATTGTAGATTCTGGATATTAGCCCTTTGTCAGATGAGTAGGTTGCGAAAATTTTCTCCCGTTTTGTAGGTTGCCTGTTCACTCTGATGGTAGTTTCTTTTGCTGTGCAGAAGCTCTTTAGTTTAATGAGATCCCATTTGTCAATTTTGGCTTTTGTTGCCATTGCTTTTGGTGTTTTAGACATGAAGTTCTTGCCGATGCCTATGTCCTGAATGGTATTGCCTATGTTTTCTTCTAGGGTTTTTATGGTTTTAGGTCTAATGTTTAAATCTTTAATCCATCTAGAATTAATTTTTGTATAAGGTGAAAGGAAGGGATCCAGTTTCAGCTTTCTACATATGGCTAGCCAGTTTTCCCAGCACCATTTATTAAATAGGGAATCCTTTCCCCATTGCTTGTTTTTGTCAGGTTTGTTAAAGATCAGATGGTTGTAGATATGTGGCATTATTTTGGTAATATCCCCTTTGTCATTTCTAATTGTCTTTATTTGGATCTTTTCTTTTTTCTTTTTTATTAGTCTAGATAGTGGTCTATCAATCTTATTTTTTTTTCAAAAAGGCAGGTCCTGAATTTGTTGATCTTTTGAATTTATTTTGTGTTTGTCCAGTCTCCTTCAGTGCAGTTCTGATTTTGGTTATTTCTTGCCTTCTGCCAGCATTAGGGTTCATTTTCTCTTGGTTCTCTAGTTCTCTCAGTTGTGATTTTATGTTGTCAAATTGAGATCTTTGTTACTTTTTGATGTGGGTGTTTAGTGCTATACATTTCCCTTTTAACACAGCCTTAGCTGTGTCCCAGGGATTCTGATATGTTTTATCTTTGTTCTCATTCCTTTCAAAGAATTTCTTGATTTCTGCCTTTATTTCATTATTTACCAGAAAGTCATTCAGGAGCAGGTTGTTTAATTTCCATGTAATTATAAGGTTTTTATGCTTTTCTTAGGCTTGAATTGTACTTTATTAGAGCTATGGTTTGAGAGAGCGGTCAGTATAATTTTGATTCTTTCACATTTGCTGAGGATTATTTTATGTCAGATTGTGTGGTTGATTTTAGAGTCTGCCATGTGATGATGAGAATAATGTATATTCTGTTGTTTTTGGGTGGAGAGTTTATAGATGTCTATCAGGTCCATTTGACCCAGTGTTGGGTTCAGGTCTTGAGCATCTTTGTTAATTTTGTCTGGATCATCCATCTAATACTGTCAGTGGAGTGTTGAAGTCTCCCACTATGCTTGTTGGGGATTTTAAGTCTCTTTGAAGGATCTGTCCTCCTTCTCATGTGCCAGCAGCAGCAGCAGCAGCAGTGGCAGCAGCAGCGGCGGCAGCAGCAGTAGCAGCGGCAGCAGTAGCAGCAGCAGCAGCAGCCATGTGGCAAGGTGCACACTTGCTGACCGCGGCAGGGTGCTATGGCATTTGCAGCAGAGGCAGTGGAAGCATGGCTGGGAGATTGGGGCCCCACTGGCAACCGTGTTTGTGTTTCCACTGCTGGCCATGTTAGCACAGGGTTGGGCACTGGTGGGTGCAGAAGTGTGCATGCTGGCAGGGAAGGGAGGGGAAGTTTCACCTGTTTACACGTGCTCTGGTACAGAAATGTAGGTGGTGGCTGTGGGTGAGTGCATGCAAGCAAAGCAGCAAGGGGGAGGTTGCAGTTGGAGGAGGGTGTAGGCATTCTGGTGTTAGTCTGCAGGTCTGCTCTGCTGGAGCACTCTGCAGGTTAGGTGCTGTCCACCAGTTCAGGAACTATGATAAGGGCCCTTAGGAGGTACCTGAGGGATGCACTGCAAGCAGGTGTAGCCAGGCTGGGGCCCCGGGAAAGGCCAGCAGACTGAGGGGTCATCAGGTCAGACCTGCCCAATCTCATGGGCATGACTGCCCTACAGAATTCAGATCTGAGAGTTCCCCTAGGGCTAAAGCTTCCTATGGGACCAAGTCGTCCTAGGGGCATGGGTGTCTCTGACTGCTCTACTAAAGATGCTTCTGCACCAAACCTTCTCGGCTCCACACTGGCTGGAGTTCTGCCCCTACCACATCTCTAAGCAGCTCTCCCTGCCATCTCAAGTGTCCATAGTGGTTGAGGGATCTCCTTCTGCTGGAATTACAGAGGCCCACGGCAAGTGAGTGGGTTGCTCCTTGCCTGTAAAATTCACCCTTTCTGCAGGAGTTGTTGGGGGCTAGGAACACTTGTTCCTAGGCTAGGACATTGTAAGAAAGATCCTACATTGGGTTGGGAGGTTAAGTCCTGGTACATGGTAGCCCTGTGGAAGATTCCCAGCTTTCTCCGCCTTCAGCCCAGCATCCATGTCTTTGCTTTGTCCACGTTCAATGCCTTCCCTCTGAATATCTGCATGAGTGTGCCAGTCTTCCAGATGTTCTGGTCCCTTGGCAGGAGATATTCCTCCTGGCTGTGTCTAGTTGGCCATCTTCCCTTTTTATCCTTTAAACATACATCTTTTTTGTTATTTTAATCTTCTGTATTGACTTATACTTTTTTTCCTGATATCTATTTTCTCAGCATATGTATTAGCATTTTTAATAATTTTACATTTATCTTGAGCAAAATCACATAACTTTCTTTCGTTTTCTGGTTGTCATTTCCTGAGGGTCTTTTAACCTCAAATTTGAGTGAATCTTCTTTTATACTCAGTAGTTGTTCAGTGCTCAGGTGTTGCTATGTTAAGTTTTTCTTCCTCTGAAGGAAAAATTAACAAGTCAAAGCTCTGGGAAGCAAATGGAGTCAATTGTCCAAGAAGAGAAGGGATATAGACTGTGTGCTTAGACTTGAAAGGTTGACCTGCAGACACGCTGGAAAAGACAGGGTAGTATATTTTCTGGTAAACTTGGTTTCTGGAGCCTCTATCAGTTTTAGGATGTCAGAACTTTGAATCTGTGGCTGGTGAGAGGCAGGGAATGACTTTGTGTCAAGTATTGGGGTCTCAGGGATAATCTACCATGGTCAATTGAGCTGCCAACTCTCAGTGGAATAATAAATACCTGAACCCATATAGAGCCATTGCAATGGGCAGATAGTGGAGGAGAAACGGTAGCATGACTGAGGGATTATGTCTGATTTTCATTTCAAAATAAATTGTGTCTTTGTGTGTGTGTTCGTGTGTGTATGTGTGTGTATGTATGCAAATTATGTATCATTTATGTACAGGTGTTTGGGGTGTGTGTGTGTATGGGTGTGTGTTTTCCCATGGAATGACTGATGGTGACTTCCCTGCCAATTTCGGTGAATTTGTTTTTATTTGATTTTCCTGATTTCTGAGATATGACATTATTTTTGCTTGAATATTTTAAAATAATTCATACTACCTTAAATGAATTTTTTGAACAATTACATCAGTCCAAAAATAAAATTGGATGCCTAGGTAATTACTCAGTTTCCTGTCACTGCATCTAGTCAAACAGAGACTATCTTTCAGGGACATTGTAAGAAAGATCCTACATTGGGTTGGGAGGTTAAGGCATTTTCTTTTTGATATTTGTATTTCTAGTGTCTAGGAGAGTACTGGCCATGTAACAAGTATGGTGTAAATATATGTTGAATAAATGAATTAATGGATAGATGCATTAAAGTGGCCCTAGTGTAGGCATTAGATGAATATATGGGTAAACTAAACAGCCATTAGAATATAATTTATATAAATACTGTTTCAAGAAAGCTGTATATTTCTAGAGAAGACTGAAAGAAATCAATACTTAAATCTATTAATTTCACTTGCAGTAATAGTTTATTGATGCTATAAAACTAAATCTATTGATAGTACACCCTCAGATTAGGAGCCCACTACTCAGAACTCATGGAACTTGCAGCTCCTCTATTTTTGTCCCTTTTCTCAGCACTAATTTTATGACTGCTTGCCTTTTTTGCCCATTCCCCACCACAGCATAGTCATCTGGATTAGGTGGTTCTTTTTGTCCCTCAGATAGTTTTATTTGAGCTTTATAGCAAGGGTGACCCTCATGCTAGAGCCTAAAGTAGAAACATTTCCTCCTTCTGATCTTTGTGTTCTTTAAAAACAAAAACCAAAACCCAGATGAACTAAAAACATGAACATTTTTCAATCATTGTAACTTTGAAAACAACATTCAGGGATGGCTGATCATTCCATTAGAGTGTTTTTTTTTTTCTTTTGTCTGAGTTCATTCATATTTCTAGCTGTTCTGTCTATTGACAGAAGCGTGGTTTGTCTTTCTCTATGCTTTTTGCAGCATAACTGTTGTAAGAGGTATTTAATTTAGATTGAGCAAGGTGTAGTAGAAAAAGCACTGGCCTGGAAATTCTGTCTGGAATTAGGTAACTTGCCCTTCAGTTCAACTAGATGGATCCGATGGTCCATTCTATCTTAAACATTTTTTGGTTCTACTCTACATTTAACACATTGTGTCTGTAATTTTAAATAAACAAATTTAAAACAAACTTGGGCATGATATATTTTGAGCTGGAAAATGGTTTTCCAACACCTTGGGTAATTTTTTTCTGTATATATTTAGATTTTGAAAATCTGGTTCAAATTTTTACATGTTAGCAATTGTACATTGTGGCACAACAATATTATTTCTTTTTCTGAATTCCATCGTGCTTCCTGTTTTGAGTGAACAGCTCTATTTTAGAAAACACTTTGCTAAATGTTTTCCACTCACTGCAACATAAGTGTGTCACCCTTTGAAAATTCTCTGGATAATGCAGCAAAGCGGCATTTGGTGCATTATAGTTATTCTGATTTTTTTTACAACTGGAGTCTGGGTTGGTAAGTATAAGGTGGGTTGAGTCTGTATATAGTAATACAGCCAGAGAAGAAGATATAATAACTGCGGGGATTTTTTTTTCTGGCAAGACACTTTAGAAAATCCATCTTCCTATCCTATTCTGAAATTACTCTAGCAATGTTTTTGAAAATTAGTCATTCAAGTTTGATTGAACATTTTCAGTGAAATTACGTTTACTATGTATTGAGGCTTCATTTTCATTTCAGAAAGCCCCAAGTGTTAGAAAACCTTCCCTTGCATTGAGCTGAAATCTGCCTCTCTTAAACCTCTACCTGCCTTCCAGAATAAATTTAATCTCAGATGCAGTTCTTTCAACAATTATAAGGTCTTTAGTGCCCCCTCTTCCTGCTTTCTGTTTTAAGATGAAATATCTCCTGTTCCTTACCATTTTGGTCACCCTCTGGAGTCATTGCAATTTATCCATATATGTTTTTAACTTTTTACTGTGCAATAATAATAAATTCTCAGAAAAGTGCAAACAAATGTATAGTGAGGTCCTGTGTGCCTTTCACCCATTTTCTCCAATGTTGACATCTTGTGTAACTTTAATACAATGTCAAATCCAGGGAAGTAACATAGATACAAAACACGGAGGTTATTCAAATTCTACTGGTTGTACATACATATGTGTGTGTGTTTGTGTTCACTGAGCTTATTGATGTTATATTCCTACCTTCCCTTAGAGACTGTGAGATAGGAGGTCTAGCTTTCCTAGTGATTACATTTCAAAGGGATGGCTCCCAAGATCCTTGAAAAAGACATTCCTGGGTTGTTGGAGATTTACATCCTAAAAGGACAGGGAAAGAAAGAATTTACAATTACAAGTTTTCTGAAGTAAATTCTCTAAGAAAAGGGAGGTTGGGGTAGGGGAGGGGTGCTCAATAAGCTATGCAATTCATCAAATCTGTAGCTTTGTGTGATACAAGCTGCAATTATGGTGTGACTACCAGCACAATTAAGCTACTTAATTGCGCCATCACCATAGGAATCCCTTATGTTGCCCCTTATAATCTCACTTGCCCTCTCCATCCATCCCTAACTCCTGGGAGCCACTAATCTATTCTCCATTTCTATAATTATGTTAATTCAAAATGTTATACAAATGTCGATATCCTTTAAAAACCAACAAAGAATTAAGAACTGTTCTCTTAATCTTGACCTCTGTAGGCAGTTCTTGATTTATAAATATTTGATTTATATGACAGCATCCTCGCATGAACAGTTGGGGGGCCTGAATTGTAAACGCCTATTTTCTCAGGAGGCAATGTTGTTCTCAAGTTCAAAATTCTAAGAAATGACTTTTTAAGGCTCTTGTTAGAATCAGGGCTGACTCCTTTCTCTAGACTAAACCTTTGATTTTTCAATACTTAAACAAAAGAACAATAAGGCAGAGATTTTAGTATCCCAAAGACCAAGAGACTTGTTAATCTTTACTTGTGATATCTTTTAAAATTTTGTACCTCTGAGCCATTCTGGACCTCCTAACTTTTTGGGAGGTGGATACAGCTCTATTTACCCACGACTGAGTGGTGTTGGCTCCAGCAATGTTCAGATATTTGATAACCTTTTCTGGATCAGATAAGTTTTATGTGCTAACATCAAATTAGAACCTTATCATTTCATTTAAGGAGGATTAATAGCAATGAATAGCCAGCTGGTTTTGGGCAAAGATTTATCACACAAACTTTGTAATTATTGAATATTGATTTTTTTTTTCCTATCCAAAACAGCCTTAATGCTTTCCTCAACTTGACTAAACTTTTAGACAGTTTTCTTCCCAGCTATAATCCCCCCAACCTCCTTTTTTTTTTTTCTTTTAGATAATTTACTTTAGAAAACTTGTAATTGTAGATTCTTTCTCTGTCCTTTTGAGATGTAAATCTTCTACAACCCAGGAATGTCTTTCTTAAGAATCTGGGAGCCATTCCTTTGAAATGTAATCACTAGGAAAGCTAGAACCCCTATCTCACAGTCTTTCAGGGAAGGTAGGAACATAAATTGAATAAGTGCCCATTAGCAAATATAGATGGTCTAATCACATTGGCCAACCTCCCTGTTAATGTTCTGTAGTACTTTTCCTCTAGCTCATCTCAGTACTTAAAAACTCTCCAGCTTTGTTTGAGCAGAGCTGGGTTCAATCTCTCTCCCCTATTGCAATAGTCTTGAATAATGTCTTCCTTGCCTGTTTAATTCCATCTGGTGTAATTTTTCTTTGATCTTTTGGTGAGACTTACTTGATTATAATAATTAATAGAGGTTGTCTAATATTTCTATATTTTTTTCTGGAAAAAAAATTATTAAATGTATGGTAATATCAGTGGGCTTTAGGCTCATAAAGGAGACTTTGACCAGTAATCTCCCAGGGCACAAATCTGGGGAAATGAGTTGGAGACCATTGCTCTAAATGCACATTCCTTGGTAGCAGAACCTTTTGGTAATTTTTACCTCTGAGAGGCTGACATGTGTTCCTGGCATGCCCTTTTGGAACCAAGTTTGGTTTTCCTGTAGAAATGGCTTATAATTTTGGCTGGTTTTTGTCTCAGATAAGAATGTCTAGCATACTTGGGGATCAAACCTGCTAGGGGTCTCTTCTTCTGAGGACTGAGGGGTGACTGAGAAATGTGTACCAAAGGAATAATTAGCCTAATTTGATGAATTTGCCTTATTGCTTTTGATACAGACTCCTTCATTCATCTGATCACTTCTCACAACATTCATCATTTCCACTCTAGTCCAAGTCTTCATCATCTCTATGTGGAATACAGAAATATTCTCCTATCTGATCTCCATGCTTTCTCCCTTGTGCCCTTGCAGTTTATTTTCCTGTGGTATCTAGAATAATCTTTTAGAAATGTCCTTTAAATGTCCTTTAAAAATGTCCTTCTTTCACTCTCAACTCTCCAATGACTTCTCAACATGTTCAAAATAAAATCCAAAGTAATCTCCAGGGCTTGCAGTGCCTCAGTGTTCAGGCCCTTCCTGGACCTCATTTCCTGCACTCAGCCTCTTCCTTTTGGCTCTCTAACTGCCCAGCCTTCTTGCGTTTCCTAGAGACAACCTAGCCAGTCCACTTAAGGGCCTTTGCGTGGCTGTTCTCTCTGACTGGGATGCTTCTCCACTAGGCATTCACCTTGCTAACACCCCCACTTTATTTAAATCTCTGCTCAAATGTCACCTCCTCAGAAAAACCCTCTCTAAAAGTGTGCCCCATTTTTCTCCTCCCCTTTTTCCTGCTTTTGATCTTTCATCGCAGTTTTTCATGCCTGAGGTTATAAAATGCTTTTTGGTTATGATCTCTTCCCCACTAGTCCATAAACATAGGCCAAGAACTTTGTCTTATCATTGCATCTGAAGTTCCCAGAATAGTGCCTGGCATTTAGTAGTATGCAATGCATTTGTATTGAACAAGTGAATTAATTTAGACTTGCCAGCTGATGAGGTTTGTGAAAATTTGAGTTACATAAATAGAGGCTCATTGTATAAATTAGTGCATCTGGGACCATACCTCAGGTGCAATATGGATTACAGAAGATTATGTGTGATAGATAGGAACATTAAATACAGTGTAAAACATTTTATGGGAAAATATATTTTAAGTTCCAAATAACTGGTTTACAAGTGGCTTTTTGGAACATAATAAATTTAAGTTGGGCATATGTTGACCTTCCATAAATTTCAGTAATGCACTTTCATAAGAAAATAATTAAGGTTTCAATAATATCTTTTCCAAAAGTTGTTGCTAAGATTATGCTATTTCTGGAGAAATAGCATCTTCCCTGGTAACCATGGAACCAAATTAGTAATCAAGATAGGAGGTACTTCACCACAACATTACTCAGAGCCAAAGTTTTGGGAATTTGTTCATTTGGAGGATGGTGGCTATCATTTAAGGATGTGGAGAGGAGGGTAAAATTTTCCTGCCACCTTGGAGAAATAATTGACAAGAGGTAGGATCAGTATCGGCCCTAGGAAATAAACAAATCTCCATTTTCATCTGAGAAAGCGTGTTCAGTAAAAACAGAAATAGAAAGCCCAACTGGAATTAGGTGGCAGCTACTACATGGTGGGCATGCAGGGGCCCAGGATTTACCTAGGCACATTTGATACTAACATATGACAATGTTTACAAATCCCACCTACATGAGAGGTTATATCTCCTAATATGTAGCTTGCACTGGAAAACAACAGTGTAGGCATTGCAGAAAGGGAATGGAAGACAGAAGTAACATCTACTCAGTACTCACTGCTATAGATACTGCTGCTATACATGCACGATTCCATGAAAGTTCCAGCCGTCCTGTGGAGTGGGTACTTTTATTATCTCCCTTTCATAGATGAGGTGGCTGAGGCTTAGAGTGGATACGTAGCACATTAAGACAACCATGCTGGAATACTAATTCGGGGCTGTCTGACTTGAAAGTCAGTCCTGTCTTCTGTGGCACTCTGTGATTATAGTTGCATAAGACTGGGGAATAAGCAATCAATGACATGGACTCTGAGGGCAGCATTTCAGAAAGTTGTCAATAGTCTTGTATTTTCCTCAAAAGCTTTTAAAGTCATTGCTAGGGATTTACAGCCAGATTGGAAGGAATTGCAAGACAAGAATGAAGAACACATTAACTCTTAGGTCTTATAGTTTCTGTGTAACATCCCTTTTATCATCACGCATCTCTCCGAAAAATAAACACACTGAAGAGAATGATTGAAATTAATAGTTCTGATGAATATCCATATATATTAATTTAAAGCCAGTCACTAAAGTGTAGTATCTGCTCTGCTGGAGTTTTAAAGGTATTATCTATTTGAAATCTTATTTATTTTATTGAATAATGTGTAACTATTGCAATGAATTTAACACCAAAAATTGTTGAATGACTGCCATATGTAAATACTATAATAATTAAAAAATTATCTGCAATCTACAAACCACAAACTAATTCAGAATAACTTCTTCTGACGCCAGAGAGGTCTGTGGTCCTTCAAGAAATGAGAGTGAGGGAATTCTGCTTGAGGCATAAGGGCATATGAGAAAGAGCTTCTCTTGCATTCTTTTTATTTCCATAAAGGCACCTGCTTTGAGGCTTAGGGTCTAAGAAAGTCTCAGATTCTGAACTCTGCCCTGCCTCTAGAGTCTTGGATTAGTTGCTTTGTTAAAGTCATTAAAGTTTAAAAAATAATCTGTTTAAAGAGAGCTTTGCTTTTCTGCCTGCTCAGAAGACATTACATGGGGGTGTGTGTGTGTGATTTGCTCACACTCAGACTTCCATTAGCTTAGTACCTCACAGCAACAGCCTTACTCACCAATGCCTGTGTAAAGCTTCCTCACATGTATGAAGCTACCAAAGAGCATCCTGGTAATAGGAAGTGGGGGTGGGAATACATAGGGCCAGAAGTGCCCAGAACTGCATAGGTGCTTAAATAAGTAAGTGTTTGATTGATTGATAAGTGGCAACAAATCTAAGTTTCTCTTGTAGTTCTACCCAGTGTATGGTCCAGTTCATGTGCTGTCATGTAATATGCAAATATATGGCTGTCACTAAATGAAAATATATTTCTAGATATATTTTGGTAAGGGTTGCAGATTTTAATAGTGCTTATATTTAATTTTGTATTTATAATTGTCATATATTTCAAAAATTTTACAAAAGAAAATTTTCATGGATTCAGCTTTATAAATGATTTCATACAACCACATAACAATTATATGATTTACAGTGAGCCCTACAAATAGAGCAGTGACAGTAAGGTGAGTAAGATTGCCCAGAAACTCTGAGGTCTGTCTAGTTGTTAAGCCTTCAGCACATGCAGATGACTTAGATAGACTGGCTGAAGAAGTCTGCACTGACATGTGTGTATACACTTCTCAGCTGGCCTGGGCTAAAGTAGGAAATAGGCAAAGCTTATGGTGTTTCCATTTTGCTGTCCAGTTCCTCACTACTGTTTTCTTCCCTTACCAAAACTTCTTTTCATGGTGCTAACAGAACTGAAAATTTAAGTGATCATCCCAAGAGTCTTAGTGATGAAAATAATATGCATTGAAGAAGGAAGCTGTGATAGTGGAAGTTCGTGCTCTGAGTAGGGCAGGGAGGGCTTCTTTTCTTTCATTCTTCAACACACTTTCCTGTCATTGCCAAAATCAATTCAATCATTCTGTGATTTGTAGACCATTAATATGACAAAAAAGCATCAAAAGATTTTTTCCACTTTTTTTTTAAAAGAAATTATAATTACTAGCCCTTACTAACAAAGATTAGCAAGCATTTCCTGCCTGTTTGGTTGACAGTATGTCTTGCTTTTTATGGTTTAGCTCCCAAGGAAATACAATTTGGATTTACAGCATAAAGAAGGAGAGGTAAAACCAAGCAGGGTTGATTCCTTTTCCATCAGGCTTACATATAAAAGTATAAAAGTATATATAAAAGTATATATATATATATTTTAAAAAGTATATATACATATATATTAAATTTTTGTTTGTAGTACTCTCATTAAATATTTGATGTGTATTTTTAGGTGTGAAATACACTATGATCTCCATGCTATAGATACTTATGGAAAGAAATCAAATGTCCATCAAAATGGTGAAAATGTGTAATAGGCAATATGCATTCATTCCATAAACCCAATTCTAGAGAAAAATTTCCTTTGGCAGGCAAACGATTTTAATGTAAAATTTAATGCAATAGGAGTGACATATTTTAGTACAAATTAATTAGATTAGTGAAGTGAAATGGCCTGAGTCAGAAAAAATAAAATGAGCTGCATGACATGAAGCACTTTGCAATAATTCTTAAGCTATCAATTCTGTTATTTTGCAATTTGAATTCTATTTAAATCATTAAAAATTATATAAAAACAATTCTTGTTTCTTCTGGTTGATTATATAAAGATATAACAATGAATTCCATTTATCTGGAAAATGAACAGAACAATGCTTTCTGTAATAAAAAATTTCTGGTTTGTAAAATATGTTTAATCATTTCTTCAGTTTTTCTTGCTTGTGTTTGTACCATGGACCATCTGAGAAAGTTCCACTTATTTTTTGTTAATTCATTTTTATACTTTGTTAGTTTATTTATGCCTCGACTTATTCTGTAAGTAATCTGTGGTGGTTTGCAATAAATGTTTTTTTAAAGTTGATACATGTGAATACAAATAATCATGACAAGAACCAAGAGAAACAGGTGACAAAACTGGACCTTGTTAAAATGAGACTAAAAATGCAGGCCATGGAGGCATATGTAATTTTTGTGGTTGAATTTTATGTATGACTCTAATTTCCTAGTATAAAAGCAAAAAGTGAAACATGCTGTTTTATAATTGTCTTAATTATGGAAGATAATTCTATTTATTGTATTAGTTAGAATATTTTAAGTAGTATAAAACCCAACTCAAAAAGGCCCACAAAGACCTGAAAATATTCATAAGTGTGGTGGTAGTAAGGCTTGGTTTAACTAGAACTTGGTCTGATTGGCTCAAATATTCTTGGTAATTTCATTCTTTTTGTGTTGATTTCATCTCCATCTTTTCACAAGATGGTTGCAGTAGTACTGAACCTCACATCTGTAAACAACTACATACAGAGCCTATCTCTTTTGACTTTCTCTTGACAGGGAAACTTTACTTCTATGTTGTCCAGTGAATTTAACCTTCACATCTCACTGGCCTAATCATTTAATTAATAACCTGCAATCAAAGGAATACTGTGGGCAGATTGGCTAAGGCCTGGTTTCCTGAAGCAGTTGTAGCAAGAAACTGGATTACCTTGGGCAAGTCACAGCCATCTTTGAAATGATTAGTATGATCAGTTTCCCTTGAAGTTCACCAGCTATGTAGTCTAGGAGTGTATACCTGAACAGATACTAAATTAGGAAAGGGAAAATGGATGCAACCAACAATGTCCTCAATACAACTTACCCAAGGGGAAGTAACCCTTTTTATTACTTAGTAATTTAATATCCTTGATTTTTTTTTTTTTTTGGTTACAAAAGGCTATTTTGAATTTGCATTCAGACACAGTCATGATGTTTGGCAGATTTAAATGTTAAATAAAAATAAATTGAAAGATGATCCCATAATACATGTATTTCTGAAGGTAATTGACTGCATAAAAATTTTACATATGGATAGGTTGATGGGGTTGAATGTTTCCAGTTTAAGATGGGCAGATTTGCCCAAGTCTTTCCCTAGTTTTCTAATTCTCTTTCATAGTATTCTTTCTTCTAAAATATGTCTAAATAGAGGTAAAATCCTTGACTATCAATTAAAAAATCTATATATTTGGAAAACTTTCTCAATATAGAAGAAATATTTTTTGGGAGTTGGCGGGTGGAAAGAAATTTGAACAATAGGATAATCACTAAAATGCTAGGGCTAAAAGTTTTCGATTTAAAGGTATGCCCCAAAGTCAAAGGTGCAATGCAGAAGGCAGGTGATTTCTGCATTTCTAACTGAGGTACCCTGTTCATCTCATTGGGACTGGTTAGGCAGTGGGTGCAGCCCAAGGAGGGCGAGCAGAAGCAGGGTGGGGCATCACCTCACCTGGGAAGTGCAAGGAGCAGGGGGCCTCCCTTTCCCAGCCAAGGGAAGCCATGAGGGACTGTGCTATCCAGCCCAGATACTATGCTTTTTCCACGGTTTTTGCAATCCACAGACCAGGAGATTCCTTGTGTGCCTACACCACCAGGACCCTGGGTTTCAAGTGCAAAACTGGGCAATTGTTTGGGCAGACACCAAGCTAGCTGCAGGAGTTTTATTTTTGTACCCCATTGGCACCTGGAACCCCAGTGGGACAGAACCGTTCACTCCCCTGGAAAGGGGGCTGAAGCCAGGGAGCTAAGTGGTCTCACTCAGCGGGTCTCACTCCCACAGAGCCTAGCAAACTGAGATCCACTGGCTTGAAATTCTCACCTCCAGCACAGCAGTCTGAAGTCGACCTGGGATGATTGAGCTTAGTTGGGGGAGGGGTGTCTGCCATTACTGAGGCTTGAATAGGCAGTTTTCCCCGACAGCATGACAAAGGCCTGGAAGTTCAGACTGGGTGGAACTCAACACAGTGCAGCAAAGCAGCTGTGGTCAGACTGCCTCTCTAGATTCCTCTTCACTGGGCAGGGCATCTCTGAAAGAAAGTCAGCAGTTTCAGTTGGGGGCTTATAGATAAAACTCACATCTTCCTGTGACAGAGCACCTGGGGGAAGGGGTGGCTGTGGGTGCAGCTTCACCAGATTTAAACGTTCCTGCTGCCAGCTCTGAAGAAAGCAGCAGATCCTGACAAGGAGGATTCTCCCAGCACAGCGCTTGTGCTCTCCTAAGGGACAGACTGCCTCCTCAAGTGGGTCCCTGACTCCTGTGCCTCCTGACTGGGAGAGACCTCCCAACAGGGGTTGACAGACACCTCATACAGAAGAGCTCCATGTGGAATCAGGCCCTTGCCCCTCTGGGACAAAGCTTCCACAGGAAGGAGCAGGCAGCAATCTTTGCTGTTCTGCAGCCTCTGCTGGTGATACCCAGGCAAATAGCATCTGGAGTGGACCTCCAGCAAACTGCAGGAGACTGGCAGAAGAGGGGCCTGACTGTTAGAAGAAAAACTACAAACAGTAATAACATCAGTATCCACAAAAATGACCCCCCCCCCCGCCAAAGAAACCCCATCCAAAGGTCATCAGTCTCAAAGATCAAAGGTAGATAAATCCACAAACATGAGTAAAAAAAAGTGCAAAAATGCTAAAATTCCAAAAACCAGAATGCCTCTTCTCCTCCAAATGATCATAACTCCTCTCCAGGAAGAGCACAAAACTGGACGGAGAATGAGTTTGATGAATTGACAAATGTGGGCTTCAGAAGGTGGGTAATAACAAACTCCTCTGAGCTAAAGAAGCATTTTCTAACTCAATGCAAGGAAGCTAAGAACCTTGATAAAAGGTTACAGGAACTGCAAACTAGAATAACCAGTTTAGAGAAGAACATAAATGACCTAGATGGAGTTGAAAAACATAGCATGAGAACTTCGTGAAGCAAACACAAGTGTAAATAGCCGAATTGATCAAGCGGAAGAAAGGATATCAGTGATTGAAGATCAACTTAATGAAATAAGGCGTGAAGACAAGATTAGAGAAAAAAGAATAAAAAGGAACAAACAAAGCCAAGAAATATGGGACTGTGTGAAAAGACCAAACCTATAATTGATTGGTGTACCTGAAAGTGACAGGGAGAATGGAACCGAGTTAAAAAACACACTTCAGGATATTATCCAGGAAAACTTCCCCAACCTAGCAAGACAGGCCAACATTCAAATTTAGGAAATACAGAGAACACCACTAGATACTCCTCGAGAAGAGCAACCCCAAGATACATAATCATCAGATTCTCAAAGGTTGAAATGGAGGAAAAAATGTTAAGGGCAGCCAGAGAGAAAAGTCAGGTAACTTACAAAGGGAAGCCCATCAGAATAACAGTGGATCTCTCTGCAAAACCCTACAAGCCAGAAAGGAGTGGGGGGCCAATGTTCAACATTCTTAAAGAAAAGAATTCTCAAACCAGAATTTCATATCCAGCCAAACTAAGCTTCATAAGTGAAGGAGAAATAAAATCCTTTACAGACAAGCAAATGCTGAGGGATTTTGTCACCACCAGGCCTGCCTTACAAGAGCTCCTGAAGGAAGCACTAAATATGGAAAGGAAAAACCGGTACCAGCAACTGCAAAAACACACCAAAATACAAAGACCAATGACACTATGAAGAAACTGCATTAACTAATGGGCAAAATAACCAACAAAATAATAGCATCATGATGACAAAATCAAATTCACACATAACAGCATTAACCTTAAATGTAAATTGGCTAAATGCCCCAATTAAAAGACACGGACTGACAAATTGGTTAGAGTCAAGACCCATCAGTGTAAAGGGATCAATGCAACAAGAAGAGCTAACTATTCTAAATATGTATGCACCCAATACAGGAGCACCCAGATTCATAAAGCGAGTTCTTAGAGACCTACAAAGAGACTTAGACATCCACATGTTAATAGTGGGGGACTATAACACCTCACTTTCAATATTAGACAGATCAACGAGACAGAAAATTAACAAGGATATTCAGGACTTAAACTCAGCTCTGGACCAAGTGCACCTAATAAATATCTACAGGACTCTCACCCTGAATCAACAGAATATACATTTCTTTCAGCACCACATAGCACTTATTCTAAAATCGACCACATAATTGGAAGTAAAACACTCTTCAGCAAATGCAAAAGAATGGAAATCATAACAAACAGTCTCTCAGACCACAGTGCAATCAAATTAGAACTCAGGATTAAGAAACTCACTCAAAACTACACAACTGCATGGAAACTGAACAACCTGCTCCTGAATGACTACTGGGTAAATAACGAAATGAAGGCAGAAATCAAGAAGTTCTTTGAAACCAATGAGAACAAAGAGACAATGTACCAGAATCTCTGGGACACAGCTAAAGCACTGTTGAGAGGGAAATTTATAGCAATAAATGCCCACATCAGAAAGCAGAAATGATCTAAAATCGACACCCTAACATCACAATTAAAAGAACAAGAGAAAGAAGAGCAAAGAAATTCAAAAGCTAGCAGAAGAGAAGAAATAACTAAGATAAGAACAGAACTGAAGGAGATAGAGACACAAAAACCCTTCAAAAAAAATCAATGAATCCAGGAGCTGGGTTTTTGAAAAGATTAACAAAATAGATAGATCACTAGCCAGACTAATAAGAAGAGAATAGAAGAATCAAATAGACACAATAAAAAATTATAAAGGGGATATCACCACTGATCTCACAGAAATACAAACTACCATCAGAAAATACTATAAACACCTCTGTGCAGGCAAACTAGAAAATCTAGAAGAAATGAATACATTCCTGGACACATATACCCTCCCAAGACTAAACCAGGAAGAAGTTGAATCCCTGAATAGACCAATAACAAGTTCTGAAATCGAGGCAGTAATTAATAGCCTACCAACCAAAAAAAACCCAGGACTAGATGGATTCACAGCCAAATTCTACCAGAGGTACAAAGAGGAGTTGATACCATTCCTTCTGAAACTATTCTAAACAATAGAAAAAGAGGGAATCCTCCCTAACTCATTTTATGAGGCCAGAATCCTCCTGATTCCAAAATCTGGCAGAGACACAACAAAAGAAAATTTCAGGCCAATATCCCTGATGAACATCATGCAAAAATCTTCAATAAAATACTAGCAAACTGAATCCAGAAGCACATCAAAAAGCTTATCCACCATGATCAAGTTGGTTTCATCTCTGGGATGCAAGGCTGGGTCAACATACAGAAATCAATAAATGTAATCCATCACATAAACAGAACCAATGACAAAAACCACATGATTATCTCAATAGATGCAGAAAAGGCCATTGGTAAAATTCAACACCGCTTCATGCTAAAAACTCTCAATAAACTAGTTATTAATGGAACAAATCTCAAATAATATGAGCTATTTATGACAAACCCATATCTAATAATCATACTGAGTCGGCAAAAGCTGGAAGCAGTCCCTTGGAGAACTGGCATAAGACAAGGATGCCCTCTCTCACCACTCCTATTTAACATAGTATTGGAAGTTCTGGCCAGGGCAATCAGGCAAGAAAAAGAAATAAAGGGTATTCAAATAGGAAGAGAGGAAGTCAAATTGCCTCTGTTTGCAGATGACATGATTGTATATTTAGAAAACCCCATTATCTGAGCCCCAAAACTCTGTAACCTGATAAGCAACTTCAGCAAATCTCAGGATACAAAATCAATGTGCAAAAATCACAAGCATTCCTAATACACCAGTAGTAGAGAAGCAGAGAGCCAAATCATGAGTGAACTTCCACTCACAATTGCTACAAAGATAAAATACCTAGGAATACAACTTACAAGGGATGTGAAGGACCTCTTCAAGGAGAACTACAAACCACTGCTCAAGGAAATAAGAGAGGACACAAATGGAAAAACATTCCATGCTCATGGATAGGAAGAATCAATATCATGAAAATGGCCATACTGTCCAAAGGAATTTATAGATTCAATGCTATTCCCATCAAGCTATCACTGGGTTTCTTCACAGAATTAGAAAAAACTACTTTAAATTTCATATGGAACCAAAAAAGAGCACATATAGCCAGGACAATCCTAAGCAAAAAGAACAAAGCTGGAGGCATCATGCTACTTGACTTCAAACTATACTCAAGGCCACAGTAACTAAAACAGCATAGTACTGGTACCACCACATATATATCAACCAATGGAACAGAACAGAGGCCTCAGAAATAACACCGCACGTCTACAACCATCTGATCTTTGACAAACCTGACAAAAGCAATGGAGAAAGGACTCCCTCTTTAATAAATGGTGTTGGGAAAACTGGTTAGCCATATGGAGAAAACCGAAACTAGACCCCTTCTTTACACCTTATACAGAAACTAACTCAAGATGGATTAAAGACTTAAACAGAAAACCTAAAACCATTAAAACCCTAGAAGAAAACCTAGGCAATTCCATTCAGCACATAGGCATGGGCAAAGACTTCATAACTGAAACACCAAAAGCAATTGCAACAAAAGCCAAAATTGACAAATGGGATCTAATTAAACTAAAGAGCTTCTGCACAGCCAAAGAAACTGCCATCACAGTGAACAGGCAACCTACAGAATGGGAGAAAATTTTTGCAATCTATCCATCGGACAAAGGGCTAATATTCAGAATCTTCAGAAACTTAAACAAATTTACAAGAAACAAACAACCCCATCAACAAGTTGGCAAAGGGTATGAACAGACACTTCTCAAAGGAATACATTTATGCAGCCAACCAACATATGAAAAAAAGCTCATCATCGCTGGTCATCAGAGAAATGCAAATCAAAACCACAATGAGATACCATCTCATGCCAGTTAGAATGGCGATCATTATAAAGTCAGGAAACAACAGATGCTGGAGAGGATGTGGAGAAATAGGAACACTTTTACTCTGTTGGTGGGATTGTAAATTAGTTCAACCATTGTGGAACACAGTGTGGCAATTCCTCAAGGATCTAGAAGCAGAATTACCACTTGACCCAGCACTCCAATTACTGGGGATATACCCAAAGGAATATAAATCATTCTACTATAAGGACACATGCACACTTATATTTATTGCAGCACTATTTACCATAGCAAAGACTTGGAACCAACCCAGATGCCCGTCAATGATAGATCGGATAAAGAAAATGTGGCACATATACACCATGGAATACTATGCAGCCATAAAAAAGAATGAGTTCATGTGTTTTCAGGGATGTGGATGAAGCTAGAAACCAACATCTTCAGCAAACTAACACAGGAACAGAAAACCAAACACTGCATGTTCTCACTCATAGGTGGGAGTTAAACAATGAGAACACATGGACATAGAAAGGGGAACATCACACACCGGGGCCTGTCAGGGGGTGCAAGGCAAGGGAAGGGAGAGCATTAGGAAATAGCTAATGCATGCGGGGTTTAAAACCTAGATGATGGGTTGATAGGTGCAGCAAACCACCATGGCACATGTACACCTATGTAACAAACCTGCAGTTTCAGGACATGTACCCCAGAACTTAAAGTAAAAAAAGAAAAATGATTTTTAGATAATGATGCACCTAATCCTTGTACACACACACAGACACACACACACACACTTGCCAGTAATATAAACTGCGAACTTGAGGAGACTTATTTTAAAATGCTATTTTTCTCTCCAGAGAATCTATCGAACTTTACGTAGTGTGAAGTTTCGTGCCTAGAAATGGAAGGCAAAATCAACAACGAAAAAATGTTTTAAAATAATAAAATTTAAGAATGCATTGATGATAATTTTTAATTCCTACTTTTCTGAATTTGATGACATCACTTTATTTTTCCACCTCACAGTCTTTGAGGATGGTGTCTACATTTAGACAACAATTCCTAATTTTCTGGCTCTGCTTTGTTTCCAGACGATTCTTTTCTTTATAGTGGACTTGGCAGTTAAATCAATTCCCTTAAGTACAGTTTGCTGAAATAAAGGCAGGTTCAGGGTCCTTTCTGGGGGCAGCACCAGCCAGTATTTTATTATCTCTTCCAAATCATGACACTCAATGAAGTGTGGAACTGATAAAAGATTAATTTACTTTAAGGTCCAAGAGTGAAAACATAATAGAAAATGAGAAGTTTCATCATAAATGCATCAATGATGTTGTCCAGGGAGATTTGGTGATGGTGAAACTATCTCATAGCCACAGAAATTGCATCTCACCTTATTCATGACTGACACTGTAATGGAATCTCAGACTGTCTCAGCATACCGTCTGTACCAGCTTCATTTTCTCTTTCAGGTACAAAGCAATGTTTCTGGTTTGACCCATTGTCCCAAGCCTGGCAGAGAGCTTCTTTGGCATTCACCCAAAGGACAATAGGGAAGCGATCTAGCTAAAATTACATATTGATCTCCCTTCAACCAGCTTGCTTTCCAGTTAAATTACCCTGTTTCTTCCTAAAGGCATGACTATGAGTTTTCAAAACCTGCTCACCCTGCTTCTTAGTTGGTAATTTTTCCTCTTAAAGTCTTCTGATTTCGATTCTGAAATATTTAAATAACTTATTGTTACTAAAACAGTACTAATTTTAAAGCCCTGTAAGTACAGACGTTCAATAAAAAACAATTCTAGAAGTAGGTAAAATTAAATGTTTGCTCATATAATTTTACTACTATGGAAATCTTGAATAGTCTCCTTCTTATTCCTCTTACCTAGTATGGTTTCCTTATAATGAAATTTCTGTACTACTCAAAAATTCTCCTTCTTTATTAATTTTTAATAATTGTTAAGTCTCTTGAGGTAGGAAGCAATGTTTATGCTCCCCCGACTTTTTTTTTTTTTAAACTTCAGATGCACAGACTTAATTGTATTACTTGGTTTATGGCACATTCTCATTAGTCCATGAAAGGTCCTTCTCTGGTAATGCAGTAAGTCAGAGAATAGTGCTCACCAATTGATTAAAGTCTTATCACTTGAGAAACTTCTTCAAAGTAGGACGTGGATAAGAATACTGAAAATTAATCAGAAATTTCCTTTATACATACATTAGAAGTTATTGACAGTTTCTTAGCAGGTTATAATTGGAATCTAACATGAGAACTGTCGTATATTCTTTATATTTTATTGTATATTAATATGAATGTTAAAGGCCATATCATTGAATGAGATTTAACTTTTGTAGTTCTATAGGTAAGTTGACTAACTATGTTAAGAATTATTAAAGGTAGGTGCCTAATCTAGTGAACTCTACCTATCTGTTCTAGGCAAAATCAGAGGTTTGGAGTATGTACAATCAAGAAAGTTGCACCCTTTATAGAATTCTGTCTTAACAAGGCTCAATTCTGTCTGAATTCTACAAGTTGCATAGTTATTTACTAAATTTTAATTGTTGTTGTGCTTGATGATGATGAAGAAAATGTTTCTATGCTAAAAATGTTCAATCATACATTGGAAAAAAATATTCCCATGGGTGCAAATAATACTTCTACAGCCTGGAAGATTCTAGAATAGCATCTCTCATATATTTTCGACTGAGGATAAGACATGCATTTTCTCTATTGACCCATTTTGTGTGTGTGTGTGTGTGTGTGTCTGTGTGTGTGTAGCTAAAACAAAAGTTTCACAAACAACGCTTTCCATTGCTATGTAAAATGCACTCTGTTTTTTCTATCCTTTTGAATTTTAAAAATTGACCCACTTAATTGATTTTGTTGATAAGTCAAAAGTATCATTGAAAAGATACTGTTCTAGGAAATGGGCCTTACAGAACAATAAAGTTCATAAGAGCATTCTGTGTTTTGAAAAACAAAGGGGAGAGGTTAAGAAAGAACAGCAAGAAATGCAAAGCAGAGAGTAATTTCACCAATGTGGTCATTACAAAAGTCACCTTTGTCTTTCCAGTTACAGTAGACATGTGGCTGAAAACTTTTTGAAGGAGCAACTTAAACCTTATGCATGGGGTATATAAATTCTTATAGTTTGCTTATACTGGTAGAGAATTATTCTGGTAGAGAAAGGATTTATTATTTTAGCAATCCATAGAATTGGAAAAATTAAAATTGCATTTTTAAAATGTATAATATATAGGAATATTTATCAAAATTACTTTGATAATGTATCATTTAAAAGTTATATTACATGCATATAAAATTATAAGTACATACACAGATAAATATATATACAATATCTATTATAATTGCATACATATGTACTTATGTTCCACCCATAAGGCATCAAGCAATTTGCATTTTCCCTTGTGTTCTGGGTTCCAGTCACCTGATTTTCTCCCTGTTTGCCTGGTGGGCAATCTCAGGGGCTTAGGCATGTTGTTTACTGTCCAGGATGCTACCTTCTATGCCATTCTGCCTGTCTCTACATAGTTTAGTTTTCATTTCCTTTAAATCTTACCACAATTTTCTTACTATCAAGTCTGTCTTAATTCTCTCAAGACTAAATCATGTCTACTTCTATTATGATCTTATAATATATTTTTCCTTATAGGTTCAGAGCACCATGTTCATTTTGGCTCACCATTTTTTCTACAATGTCCTATGTAGTGTCTGGTACATAATAGTGCTTAAATGTTTGCTTCATGATTAAATGCATCCTAATAATTAATATACCAATTACTTTTTAAAAAAATTATACTTTAAGTTCTAGGGTACATGTGCACAATGTGCAGGTTTGTTACATATGTATACATGTGCTGTATTGGTTTGCTGCATCCGTTAACTTGTCATTTACATTAGGTATTTCTTTTAATGCTATCCCTCCCCCATCCCCCCACCCAACAACAGGTCCTGGTGTGTGATGTTCCCCACCCTGTGTCCAAGTGTTCTCATTGTTCAATTCCCACCTATGAGTGAGAACATGCGGTGTTTGGTTTTTTGTCCTTGCGATAGTTTGCTCAGAATGATGGTTTCCAGCTTCATCCATGTTGCTACAAAGGACATGAACTCATCCTTTTTTATGGCTGCATAGTATTCCATGGTGTATATGTGCCACATTTTCTTAATCCAGTCTATCATTGATGGACATATGGGTTGGTTCCAAGTCTTTGCTATTGTGAATAGTGCTGCAATAAATTACTTTTTTAAAAGGTAGGTGAGTCAGCATTTACAACTTACTATTTTCCAGATCTCCTCATAACTTTCTGCCTGCATCATAGTTGTCTTTGTACAAGAACACATTTATTCCTCTTTTACATTTTTATCCATTATATAGATCTAACTGGTGTGTGGTAGGTACAAAATAAATGTTTATTGAATTGATTCTTTTAGGCAAAATGCATATGTTATTCAGAGTCAGGTAATGGGACCTGTGGAGAGTCTATGATATTTCTAGCATAACATTAGAGCAAATTTACATAGTCATTATGGTTGAGTTTATTGATTTTCATCTTTTAGAATCAATTTAATGAGAAGCAAAGAAAATAAGTTTGCGTGTTAATATGCTTATGTTACAATGTGTGTTCAAGAGCTCTTGTGGAAAGTCAGTGTAATGAAAATATGTGTTTAGTATGTTATTTATAGTTAACAGCTAACCAATACAAATCTAAAAATAACAATATAAATATCCAACACTGAGAAGAGAAGGAGAGGAGGAGGAAGAAAGGTAAATAAATGTCTCACATTTTATATTGATGACAGTCAGTAGATACTATCTAAAGTTAATAAGTTAGGACAATAAAACAAACTTATTATTTATACTTATGGAGATATCAAAACCCTGTAGAAACTGAAACAGTTAAGAGATATCATCCCTGGGGAGTGTATCTGTTGAAGGGGAGAAATTGGATGAGAGACTGATTCTTTTCATCATAGATCTTTTGTATTAACAAGGGAAAAATCTAGGAGAAAAAGTTATGCAGAATTCTACTTTATGATTCAGCTTCCTTAAACCTATTTTTGAGGTCCATGCATTTTTCTTGCCTCTGGCTGTTCTTTGGTGTCTTACTGGGAACTGATTATAATGATTTTTTCTTTACAGCAAGTGTCGAATTGCTGTTACAGAAAGTAGTCAGGCCTTTACACTAGAACACTTTTATGGGTGGAAATCTGGATTCCTAGAACACTGGCTTCTGCATACTATGCTAGGGTCTAGAGTTTTTAAACAAACCGGAAAGATTTAACATTTCTTAAACTTCCTCGTAAGCAGCAGCAATGCTAGAAAACCTATTTAGTTGTTCATTATAGTTCCATCCAAGGGAATAGCATATATTCTTCATTGTTGCTGCTCTGTTTAGACACAGGAATGCACAAAGGACACTTAAAAATGGTCACATTTGTGAGTAGATATTTATGAGAATGCTGATTATTTATTGAAAGTAAGAGTTCTGGAGACTCAGAAGTCTATGTTAAGAGGAGGACAGTTCATATTTTTAGTTTCCAGAGCTTCGGAGGAAGGAGCTAGTGGTCTTTTTAAAAAAATTAATAAGCTTTCTTTTTTAGAGTAGTATTAGGTACATAGCAAACTCTAGCAGAAGGTACAGAGATTTTCTATGTTATACCCCCGACCATGCATGCATAGACGCTGCCATCATTTTCAACATTTCCCACCAGAGGATGTTAATGATTGTTACGATTGATGAACCTACACTGGCATGCAGTAATCACTTAAAGTCCATCCTTTAAATTAGGGTTCTTTCTTGCTGTTATACATTTTATGAGTTTGGAAAAATCTATAATGACATGTTGTAGTGTGAATTCTTGCAATTTTATGCTGCCTCAGCATCCAGTTTGAATACAGGTTTAACTTTCTTGTATCAGAAGCAGAACTCAGTCATCCTCAACAGAATTTTTAGTGCTAAACCACATAAAAATTAGTCGAGTCCTGGCCAAAGATAAGAACTTCAAGACATCTTTCCCACCTAGCAGACTGGGCTCCTGCTTTTCCTCTGCTACCTTTAAAGAGACCATCCAGGGCACTTGTCCACAAATTTGAGGTGTTCTACACCCTATTCCTTCATATATACTGCTAATTGCCATGTGCACTTGTGCTCTGTCTCTCTAACTCTTCATTCTTGCCTCACATGACCCACGGATGGAAGACTGCTCTCCCAGCTCATTGTAGCTTCCTTGCCCAGGATCTGTAAGTAAAAATCTTTCAACTGATTTCCTACTGTGGTGGTATACTGTATTTGCACCTTCCATCTGAGGAACAAGGGCTACCCAAGGATGGATTTTCTCTGGGACTCTGGGGAGAATGCGAGATTGGTCTCTCACAGCCAGAGTGATGGTCAGGCAGATGCAAACTGGACATGGGTCAGACGAAAGCCACAAGGGCATCTGCCAGTATAAACAAGTTTCCCATATGAAGGATCCCCTGGTTGCAGATTGAACAATTAGAGATTAGGCCCTTTTCCAGGTAAAAGAAGCATCCTGAAAAACGCACACAGGATACTTCCCATATCCAGTTTCCCCTCATTTCCTGTTAGGGCAGTAATGCTTGCTGCTCTGGTACTATAATCTCAGTTTAGCAAGGGGATCTCAAAACACATGTGTTTTGTTTATCATTATAGCATCATACAGAGTAGCTTCACCACCCTAAAACTCCTCCATGCTCTACCTATTCATCCCTCTCCATCCCTACCCTGCTGCGTGGCAACCACTGATCTTTTCACTGCCTTCATAGTTTTGCCTTTTCCAGGATGTCCTATCTTTGGAATCATAGAGTATAGAGACTTTTCAGACTGGCTTCTTTCACTTAGTAGTATGCATTTAAGTTTCCTTCATGTCTTTCATAGCGTGGTAGCTTATTTTTTTAGCACTAAATAATATTCCATTGTATCGATGTATCACAGTTTATTTATCAATTTATCTACTTAAGGACACCTTGGTTGCTTCCCAGTTTTGGCAATTATGAATGAAACTGCTATAAACATCTGTGCTGGTTTTTTGTGTGGACATAAGTTTTCAGCTCCTTAGGGTAAATACCAAGGAGTGTGATTGCTGGATCATATGGTAAGAATATGTTAGTTTTGAAAGAACTTGCTAGACTGTTTTACAAAGTGGATGTTCTATTTTGCATTCCCACCAGCAGTGAGTAGGAGTTCCTGTTGCTCCACATTCTTGTCAGCATTTGGTGGTGTTAGTGTTCTGGATGTTAGCCATTCTAATAGATGTGTAGTGCTATCTCATTGTTGTAGTTTGCATTTTCCTGATGACATATGATGTAAAGCATCTTTTATATGCTAACTTGCATCACCCTTCTTGGTGAGGTGTCTGTTAGGGTCTTTGGCCCATTTTTTAATCAGTTTCTTCTTTCCTTATTGTTGAGTTTTAGGAGTTATTTGTTTGCTTTGTATAACAATCTTTTATTAGGCATGTCTTTTGCAAATATTTGCCCCAATCTGTGGCTTCTCTTGCTATTCTCCTGACAGTGTCTTTTGCAGAGTAGAATTTGTGAATTTTAATGATGTTCAGTTTATCAATTCTCCTTTCATAGATCATGCCTTTGGTGTTGTATCTAAAAAGTGATCGCCAAACCTTAGGTCGTACAGATCTTCTCTTATTTTTTAAGAGTTTTACCATTTTATGTTTTACATTTAGGTCTGTCATTCACTTTGAGTTAATTTTTGTGAAGAATGTAAGGTTTATGTTTAGATGTATTTTTTTGTTTTGTTTTGTATGCAGATGTCCGGTTATTCCAGCACCATTTAGTGGTCTCTTTTAAGTGTTAAATTCCAATTGATTTTAAAAGAAACTTCACTCAAAAGTTAGGGAAAGGAGCATTGGGTCAGGTGTTAGGAATTGCTTCTGGTTGGCCTAACAAATTTAGAATTTGTCTTTTCCTCACGTAAAAGGATTCCAGAAATAGGCAGTCCAATGTCCATACAATATCACATCATCTCAGGCTCCTTCAATCTCTCTTCACCCACTTCCTTAGTGCGTGGTTTTTATCCTTGGGTTCCCTCTTGATTTTTAGCATTGTTTTCTATCTTAATTGGTTTCTCTTCTCATGGTCACAAAATTTCCATTTTGTTCCAGGCAGAAAGAAGGACAAAGGGAGTAAGGGTGTTTGCCATTTAAGTAATCTGCTTAAGAGAACTTTCCTAATAACTCAACCTTAAGACTTTAGCTTATATCTCATTGTAAGGGAAGCATTGAAATTTAGATTTTTAGCTGTAAACATTTCTACCCCAATAGTATAGGAGTAAGGTAAAAAGAGAGACAGGATTTTGGCAGGCAACTCGCCATCTCTGTGAAAGACCTCATATGAGCCAAAGTTTCTGTTTGAAGCTGCTTATCCTGTAGAGGTGAACAAGATATGGGTCTGTAAAATGCCACATAATTGTTTTTTCTTTTTTAAAATAAATTATCTTAGTTTAGACTACAGGAATAGAACTTTTTTTTTTCTTTTTTTTGAGACGAAGTCTCGCTCTTGTCGCCCAGGCTAGAGTGCAATGGTGCGATCTTGGCTCACTGCAACCTCCTCCTCCAGGCTTCAAGCAATTCTCCTGCCTCAGCCTCCTGAGGAGCTGGGATTACAGGCACCTGCCACCATGCCTGGCTAACTTGTATTTTTAGTAGAGATGGGGTTTTGCCATGTTTGCCAGGCTGGTCTTGAACTCCTGACCTCAAGTGATCGGTCCACCTCAGCCTCCCAAAATGCTGGGATTATAGGCATGAGCCACCATGCCTGGCCAGGAATAGAACTTTTTAAGGCAATACTCATAATATTGTGTAGTATAATAAGTTATTCCAGGGTCATAAAATGGGATTTCTGGAGAGGGAAATGTATCCTTAAGAGTTCCTTACTCATATTACCGTCTCTAGCACCCAGCACAGCTCTTGCCGTATGGGTAATAGTATGCGTTCTAATGCTACGTATGTAGTGGCTTACAACCCAAATTTATATCTTACAGTTCTGTGGGTTAGAAGGTGACTCTGGTCTCACTAGGCTAAAGTCAAGATGTGATAGGGCTGTGTTCCTTTCTGGGGCCTCTATGTTTCCTTGCCTTTTCTAGCTTCTAGCTGCTGCCTACATGCCTTAGCTCATGGCTCCTTCCTTCATTTTCAAAGCCTGCAGCATTAAATTTCTATAACTATTCTTCCATAGTCACAACTTCTGACTACTGACCTCCCTCTTCTACTGGAAGGACCCTTGTTATTACATAGAGTTCGACAGATAATCCAGGATAAACTCCTCATTTTAAGGTCAGTTGATTGGAAACCATCATTCCATTTGCAAACGTAATTTCTATTTGCCATGTAAGGTAGCACATTTATGGGTTCTAGGATTAGGAAGTGGACATTTTGGGAGGTCATTATTCTGCTACCACAGTGATGGTGGATAAAAGTGCTGTTAATAAGTAATTAAAAACAGCTAACATAATGTGTTTCATTCTATTCTTCAACAATTACTATGAAGTACGGAAACTGGGGTTTAGAAACTTGGACTAACTTGGACAAAATCACAAAGTCAGGATCTTGCCCACATCTGAGTGACGTAAGAGTCCATGTTTGTAAACATAGGCTGTACCACTTATTTATAACCGAATGAACAACACATGCAGCAAACCTGATTCTGTGACAGAGTTTTATGGTTTTGCATGAAGGTTAGTGCGAAATCTGGCTAAACAAATTTTAGAGTCTCAGTCCAGCCCAGTCACTTTTAAAGTATACAATTGTAAAGTGAAATAAAAAAATTACATGCACACGTATGTTTATTGCAGCACTATTCACAATAGCAAAGACTTGGAACCAACCCAAATGCCCATCACGATAGACTGGATAAAGAAAATGTGGCACATATATGCCATGGAATACTATGCAGCCATAAAAAAGGGTGAGTTCATGTCCTTTGCAGGGACATGGATGAAGCTAGAAATCATCATTCTTAGCAAACTAACACAGGAACAGAAAACCAAACACCGCATTTTCTCACTCATAAATGGGAGTTGAGCAATGAGAACACATGGACACGGAGGGGAACATCACACACTGGGGCCTGTTGGGGGGATAGGGGCCTAGGGGAGGGATAGCATTAGGAGAAATACTTAATGTAGATGACGGGTTGATGGCTGCAGCAAACCACCATGGCACATGTATACCTATGTAACAAACCTGCACATTCTGCACTTGTATCCCAGAACTTAAAGTATAATAAAAAAATTACTTTGTTTTATGATTTAGATTTTTTTCTCATCATTGGCAATCTGTGAAGCCCCAGATTTGTATGGAACCTGGTAACAAGAATTATTGGCATTTCCATCTGTGCTTAATCATACTATGTAGACTTGGTAGTTATATTTTATTTAATAATCTTTTTTTCCTTGCTTTTTTCTTTTTTAAGCATTGTTATTCCTATGTACTGGAGGAAATCCAGGTATTTTCAGCATTGGGCTATATTTAAATCCCTTTTTTACTATAAAGAAACCATACTAACTAGGAATGGTGTGAGGGTTTCTGAATATATTTTCACATGCCTCATCATCCTTATTTAATTTAGCATTCACATAATGCAAATCATCAAGATCAATGTAGGTTGGAAATATTTAAGGCTGTAAAATTTTGTACCAGTTTATTATTGTAATTGAATACTAAAGTATAATATTGAGGAAGTTTATTTTTTTCAGTCTTTCATGACACTTCTTATATTTTGAGCTGCTAACATATATATAAAAAGCCATTTCTTTGAGTACTGAAGAAGAAATCATATTTTTTGTGAATATGAAAGACTAATGAAACTGTTGCTTAAAATGTGAATTTGGCAATATTGAGAAGTAAGCTTAGGAAAAACTTAGGAAATTGTCACAGCATGGCCTTTAGCAAGAAAACTTTTCATGATGTTGCATTCTGGTGCTTTATTGATATGGCAAATCATTTTATTCGATAGTTGTAAAGATCTTCTACGAAAGACTGTCACCCATATTTGTGGGCTTAAGCAATGTTTTGTTTGGGTTATATGGAAATCATTCTTCTGGATAGTGGTTTCTCTCAGGCCTCAAATCCTCTTTTCTTATTATTGTTATAGTAAATTCTATAAAGGATGAATGAATTAGAAAGATCTTCTCATTAGACTAATTTGATATAATGATCATCTTTCTACATGATGATTTTCTATGAATAAATGGTAAAGACTCATTAATGTGATTTTAGAGGCTCATTTGTTCTGCAGAAGATCATTTTTCTTTTAGAAGAGAAAGATCTGAGTGTAATTAAGTTAGATTTGTATTCTTCAGGATTCTAGGAAATCTGGAAATGTATATTTTGAACTTCAATATTTATAGTATATATATGCAAGAAAATTGTAGCTCATTGTTTTGAATATGCTGATGCATAATAAATGTGAGGTGAGAAGGAATAGAAAAAGAAGACAAAGAGAAAAGAGGTTGATTAATGAACATTTTTTCTTTCTTTTATTTATTTATTTATTTTTTGAGACAGAGTTTCACTCTTGTTGCCCAGGCGGGAGTGCAATGGCGCAGTCTGGGCTCACTGCAACCTCAGTCTCCCAGGTTCAAGCAATTCTCCTGCCTCAGCCTCCCCAGTAGCTGGGATTACAGGCATGTGCCACCATGCCCGGCTAATTTTATGTATTTTTTTTAGTAGAGACAGGGTTTCTCCATGT
Source organism: Homo sapiens (assembly GCF_000001405.40). Taxonomy (NCBI): domain Eukaryota; kingdom Metazoa; phylum Chordata; class Mammalia; order Primates; family Hominidae; genus Homo; species Homo sapiens. Next base: position 183,433,605 of record NC_000002.12, read on the forward strand.
TGGTCCCGATCTCAGGTGATCCACCTGCCTTGGCCTCTCAAAGTGCTGGGATTACAGGTGTGAGCCACCGTGCCCAGCCATGAACATTTTTTCGACTGCAAGAATTCTCAGCAATGTTATCATTTAGTGGCAGTGTTTACCAACATTCTCTCTATTAGGAATCCATTTCCTTTTGCCATTTGGCTAGAATTCTCAAGTGGTATCAACACAATAGTCCCATGGTATACTCAACATTCAGTTTTGAAATATATTATTAGTACATTTAAACTATAAATATACAGATCCTCAAAGGCAGGATTGTATTATTTATCTTTTTACTCCCCAGTGCTTATCCTACTGTCTGATACATTGGGAGTACTCAATAAATTTTTATCAAATGAAAGAATGAATGAATTAAACCACAAATTACCCTCTTCTAAGAACATAAATGTTTGATTTAATTTTACTCAGCTATTACTTCATATATATGTTTGGAAGCTGGATTAGATTGTCTCTAAGGCCCTTCCCAGCATCAATTTGGGTTATGTGGAAATCATTTTGTATCTCTACGATTCTTTCCTTTATTTGGTTGTGGTAGATAATGGGGTGGTACTCCTTCCCTCCTCAGTTGTTACCTCTGCCGAGATGGCAGAGAGAAACATTTTCAAGATTTACTTTTCTTTTTTATTTATTCTGCTTAGCTTTCTAGAGATTGTAGAATGCTACATGGCTCTTTCAGTAAGAAGCTATATCATGGAATTTATTCTAAGCTACCTAGAACTGCTTTAGAACTATAATGGTCTTTCTCCTGCTGTACCCTGAGGCCTCAGGTTCATTGGCTTTTTGTCAGATTGCCATAGGTCTCAGTTTGCCTGTGACAGTTGCAGTTAATAACTATTACTGTTGCTTGGTAACTGTTGCTTGATATAATTGTTAATAGTGTCCCTTTTATTCTCAAAAGTGACCTGGTTTGGACAATAAGTTATAGGGTTACCTACTAACTTAGCTCTTTTACTCCTGAAGTGTCTCCTCTCCCTTGTATTGAGGTGTGCTCATTCCTGGTAGTGCTGAGCCTTGGGTGTAGGCAACTATCCTCCTACATTCCTTCTCCTATGCCTCTTCTAAGGCAATTGGCACAGAGGCAGAGTGTACTCACATTTCTAAGTTTCTGGAAAAAAAAATACATTGAATACTTCTGGGTTTAAAAATGTGACCATTTGCCTCTAAGAGCTAATTTGATAGAGCAAAATAATAATAATGCAAATTCATTTTTAATGAAAAATCTATTCAGTTCTAAATAGGAAAGAATATCAGTGCAATGTAAATGAAGGCATTATAAAATCTTCAGATCCTTTTTGTCTTCTTGGAATTGTTTTTCTCATGCATTTCCAAGTGCGCTTTCTTTATGGTTGTGGCCTCTACAGCACTCCAGTTCAGGGCTATTATGCACAGCATAGTTAAGGGATGTAGGAATAAGGAAGGGACTCAAGTTTGTTATGGGAATTATGTCAAGTGTACACAATGCACTTGAAAAGGAAAGAAGAAAGTGAACAACGCAAGTTCTGCAGTCTTCCCAAGGGATTGAGAATTGGAGGCAGGAATTGAAGGATGGGTGGGATTTCTGCAGGTAGATGAATGGGGTAAGATTTTAAGTGGTAGGTTGTGATGTGCTGTCTTCTAGTGGGCCTGCCCAATTTAAGCAAGAAGAAAGAAAAATGGGGGATTAAGTGACTGGGTCAGAAAGAGAATTTGAGATTCTGGGGGTGAAGCGGTTTGAACGTTCACGTACTCAGCTTCACATGACATTTGCTTTTATTGGATTTTGAATATTGTTTTAAAACTTTTATTTCTGTAGAGGAGTTTCACTTTTAAGACAGGGAAGGATAGAATTGAAAGTAAAAATTAGGCTGGGCGCAGTGGCTCATGCCTGTAATCCCAGCACTTTGGGAGGCCGAGGCGGGCGGATCATGAGGTCAAGAGATCGAGACCATCCTGGCTAACACGGTGAAACCCCGTCTCTACTAAAAATATAAAAAGTTAGCTGGGCATGGTGGCAGGCGCCTGTAGTCCCAGCTACTCGGGAGGCTGAGGCAGGAGAATGGCGTGAACCCGGGAGGTGGAGGTTGCAGTGAGCCAAGATTGCACCACTGCATTCCAGCCTGGGTGACAGAGGGAGACTCTGTCTCAAAAAAAGGAAGAAATTTAAAAAAAAGTAAAAATTAGTTTAATGAGTCCCTGAGTAGCTTTATTACTATCTCTTCTCCTTTCACACCTTTGGTGGCATATAGAACATAAGGGAGTCAGTAGGGGAGAAAGGAGAAGTATATGTGTATATGATTTGGTTGCTGCTGGCTTGCTTGTGCTGGCTTTGTGTCCACAAGAAAAGTATAGGCTTTATTTTGACAAGAGTGAGAGGTGTCCATATTGGGTACACACTCTGGGTTCAATATTAGAAGATAAGCATTCTGCAGGGACATTCTTTATAGTCCATGGAGAAGATGAGGGTGGGGGAATGAAAGACGTCCCTGGGGATGCCCATTTTCAGAGGAGTTTGTTTGAAGCTTTTATGCATTCAATTGGGTGTAGCATGGAGGCATTAATGCAAGAAGCCTGAACCATCCCTCCCAGCAGACCTGCCCTTTGCCTGAGGTAGAGATCCTGTTTTTCCTGTCTTCCTTCTCATTTGTCTTTTCTGGACTTTTAGTACTACAGGTTCTATAGACAATTTTCCTCTGGGTACTCTCAGAATATAATTTACTCTTCAAATTCAGAGTGTTTTTAGCTTTTGTCCTCTCTGCCCATTCTAAGTGGTTTTACAGACATAAATTTATATTCATATGCAGATTTGATTAGTAAAATCATCCATTTTTTCACTCAGTAAACGTTTATGGAGCTTTCATTTATATGCCCATCACTGTTCTAGGTGCTGGAATGCAGGAGTGAACAGAAAAGATAGCCCTCATGGAGCTTAAAAGAAAAGTTAGATCAGGGCAAGGAGGACAGGGAGTGGAGAGGAAAGGGAACAATTGCAGTAGTGAGTGGAGTGATTAAGAGAGGCCTCAGTGACAAGGTGAGATGAACTCTGAGGCGAGAGGATTGGCCAGGAGTTATCTCAGGGAAGCACAGGGGGAACAAGAGGGAAAAGCGAGAGCAAAGGCTTAAAGCAAGAACATGCCTAGTGTGTAGTACAGAATAGTACAGAGGCCAGGAGATTGGGGTGAAGTCACTGAAAGGGACAGTAGTCGTACTAGAGATCAGAGAGTCTTGGAGGACTTTGCAGGGACTTTGTTATTCTCTGTAAAACAGAAGGCCATTTCAGGACTTGTGGCACGAGAGTGTCAAGATCTACATTAGGCTTGAAACAAGCTTGTCCAGCCTGCAACAGCTTTGAATGCAGCCTAACACAAATTTGTGAACTTTCTGAAAACATGATGAGATATTTTTGTGATTTTATTTTTTCTAGCTCATCAGCTATCATTAGTGTTAGTGTATTTTATGTGTGGCCCAAGACAATTCTTTTTCTTCCAGTGTGGCTCAGGGATGCCAAAAGACTGGACACCCCTGGCTTAAAAGGATCACCATGGGTGGGACATGTGTGAGTCAGAACAGAGCAGGAAGACCTGCCGGGAGTCTCCTGCAGTGCTCCAGGCAAGAGGTGGTGCAGCTTGGATTAGGTGGTAGTAAGCACTCAGATTCTGTGGATGTTTTGAAGCTAAAGATCAACAAGATTTTCTGCTGGATTGGATGTGAGGTGACATCCTTCTCTGCTGTAAGAGACAGACTGGAGTCAAGGACAGTTCTAGGGGTTTCGGCTTCAGCATCTGGAATATTGGAATTTTCAAGGCAGCTAAATACTTTATAATTAATAAATCTATTAATTTATAACCTGCAAATGTTCTCATAAATGTTTTCCCTATAATGCTTTAGAAATGGAGATTGGGCCAGAATACAGAGGGATGTGCAGTACTCAAGGTAAAGTCTCTGGCCTGGTGAAGGTTGTCCTTGTAACCTTCTTCTATTATACCCCATTGGACACTGCGTACCTCAAATATAGGAACTGTGAATTATTTCCCTTTGCACTTTTGCTATCTACCACAGTGGCTGTCATATATTGTCTTTAGTCAAATCTTGTTATTGATTTTAAGATAAAACATTATTTTATGTACTACTAACAAATGTTACCACTTATATGAATGATTTATTATTACTTTAAAAATGTAATAAATGTAAAAATATTTTAATAAATATATCACTACTTTAATAAATGTATTGGAATTTGATATTAAAGAGTTATTTTGGACTATTTAGACAGAAATATTTATCATTTAATGTTACTTTCTTTAGGGGCATTTCTTGGCTTGTGAAAGGCAATACTTTTTACGTATATCAGTAAAAAATGTAATATGGCTTCATTTACTTGTGGGTGTCATCCTTCCTTTCTAAGTTATCAGAAAGCACTTTGTGTTACTTTGCAAGAAAATATAAAACAGCCATTATTCTCCAAACCATGCATATGTGCTTCATTAATATTAAATGTATGCTCCATCATACAAATTCCTTTTCTGTGTATATAATAACATTTTTTTCAATGATGCATCATAGTTTAATCTTTTGGATGGTATTTTTTAAAAACAAACTCTACGAATATTAACAATGCACATAACTTAATTAAAAGGATAAAAATATGAAGAACTAGGATCAAGTTCTTGGCAGATTATAAAAACTATATCACAGTTGCCCCCTGGCTGACAGCAATTGTAGAATGTCATTCATTGTGAGAAACATTCTGATATCTCAGTTGTTAAAATGTGAAAAATGTACATCTTAGAGCCAATGAAATATGGTAGTAGATATTCAATAATGCTTAAATGCTTGAAGTGTGACTTTCTACCCCCTGCCACCCACGGGTATATCTCTAGCTCTAGGCTGCAGTGAGTTTTAATCCATACTTGCAAAGCAAGCCCTGTTGCAGCCTTTGATGTAATATTTCTATTTTTATTTTTTTCTGCCGAGTATCCCTTCTTATAGGAGATTACCCCTCCCACCTATGCTCTGTCCCTGTGGTTGGATGAGCTTCATTTTGACCCCCATTCTTCCCAAAGCATGGCCAGGGAGGATGTGTGACAGAGGCAGGGCCAGCCTACTCTATCAGGTGACAGTGATTGGTTCAGGGATCGTCACATGATCCAAGCCAGGTCAGACAGATGCTGACTTTTGTCAGAGCAATCAGGAAAATAAGCTTTCTTTTTCTTTAAGATTATAATTTTTTAGGACCTTGAAAGCTGCAGCTTCTGGTGGCCACCTTTCCATTATAGAGACAGTCTAGAAAAGTAGAATTGAGATGGGGTGAAAGTTCTCTGGCCATCTCTGATCCTCTTGATCTAGCAATAATTGAATCTAGATTTATTCCTGAAGTGTTCAGTTATATGGCTAGTATTTTTTTACCCTTGAATAGGCTGAATTCAGATTCTGTGGTTTAAAGCTGAAAATGTCCAATACATATACAGAAGCATTTTCCTATCTGCTGCTCCTCCACTTCTTCACAGGAAATATCCCCTGTGGAGTACAGGCTGACAGTCAGTTACTGTCTTCACTCTGTGTGTTTCCAAGTCTCAGAAGTCTTAACCTTACCCTTCACCCTTATCTTTCTGAATTATTCTGTTCATCTAAATTGATTTTATAGTGAATTGTCAAAACCAGGGGTAAGTTAGGATTTCTACTTCTTCTAGGCCTGATTCTCAGCTCAGCTTTCTTAGTCGTTGAGTGGTAGATGACTTCTTGCTCTGAGACTTCTAACAGACTCAGACTCCTACTTTTGATAGAAGCCAACTTCTAGTGTCTCTTTCAAAGTCTGAATACTTATTTATGCCTCCTACAAAGCCCTGGCCTCTTTTGGTGATGAACACCTCACACCCTCAGCTCATTTGCAAAGCACATAGGCCTGTGATGCTCTAAATTTCTCTGAAGGTTAAAACTTTTTCAGTCAGGTTATTACCTCTAGCTACTTTCCTAAATTTTCTTTGGTAGCTCATATATTCCAAGTGCAGAGATTTAAATCTCCCTAACTTTTTGTAACTGGACTCATATAATATACAGTGGTATTGTATTGTGGGGCTAAGAATGAGTTTTGAAGCCAGAGAGACCTGGGTTCCTGGCTCAGGTAATTATTGTAAGTTTTAAATTTACCTACATATTGATCTATATCCTATTCTCTCTCTCTGAGTCTATCATACCTGGCATATAGCAAGTTTTCATAAATGATATCTATCATTAGAAAATTACATATCATGTTATTTCTGAGTATTTTTATGTCTGATTTACATTTTCCATTGAATTTATATTATACAAGTTTAGTTGTTCTTACTTTGCTCTTTCTTTTGTATATACACAATGCGAGAATGCAAGAACAGTCATAATTAATCTAAGGCAGCAAACTTTGGATCCTTGCAAAACAAAACTCTAATATTGCAGACAAATCCACATATCTTGCCCTAAAATAAAACTAGAGAAAACTCTGAAAGCAGAGTTAGAACAGTAGTAGAATTTATTACCTAAAAGGCAGAACTTGGCCAGGTTCTGCCATCTCTTATAGGTTAAATATGTCTCTATAGAATTCTTAGCCGCAGATGAAGTAATCCTGTTTGATTTATATGGCCCCATTTTAAGAAATCTACAGAAGGGAAGGTCTATACCAATTCTTTATCTTAGGCACCTTGTTGGCAGTGGCTTTGTGTCCAAAAATATTTGGAATGAGAGGATATAAAAGACTTCTTTCTATGCAATTTTCATTTGTTCGGTTCCTTCCTCAGTATGTAGTAATGTTTGCTGAGCTATATTAATCAAGGATTTAAAAAAATAGTTTTCTTAGTACTTGAGAAGAGTGCCAGATTGATTTCCAGGAAGTTCGTGTCCTCCTAATGTGGCATAATTAACTAAATTCAGTTTCTTTGTCTGCTTCTTGCACCTATCAGAATTACACAGCCTTAGGAAGAAGGGCTATCAAATCTGAAAAGTCAATTCTTGCATTCCTTATTACTATGGAAGAGAAAAAAAAAGGTGACTAAAGATTTAGACCTAAGGTAAAATTATTAAGAATTATTTATTACAGAGTTTGGTTCTTAACCTTTATGGGTTACAGACCCCTTAGAGAAATTTATGAATGCTGTGGACACTCTCTCCCCAAAAATGCAAAAATAGACACAGGCAAAAAATTCTGCACCTAATTTCCAAGGTATTATGAATCTCTTGAAACTCATTTGGGCTAAGAACCTAAGTGTGATTTCTTAAAAATCATAGACATTTAGAGTAGTTACAGGACTTTAGAGGCCATTTGGATGAATCTCCGGCCTAACTCAAGGGTTTTTCAAACTCAGCATTAACTTAAGACATTGGACTGGATAACTCTTTGTCATGTGGGACTGTTCCATGTCTTGTGGAACTGTTCCATGTCTTGTGTTCAGCAGTATCTCTTTCCTCTACTCACTGGGTGTCAGGTAGAGGTAGGGGCAGTTGTGACAATAAAAATATTTTCAGACCAAATGTCACATGGGGCAAAATCAATTGAGAACCACTGGTCTAACTTGAAAAGCCCTTCCATGATTTTGATAGCAAGTGATCATCTTGTCCTTAAAGGTAGTTTATTACCACAAACTGACACATCTGTTTAAATTTGAGTTTGCAGAAAGCAGAATCTGAGATAAGGCCTTAAGGAATAGTGGTCCTTAGAAGTCCAAGTGAGAGAGTGAACAAAGTGAGGCATAAAAGGGGGGAGAGCCAGTATAGTTTTTATTAGAGAGTGTTATCACTGTAGGCAACTGGGGCTTAGTTACAACAGGGATTCCCTGATAAACAGTGCGGAACCCACCTTAGAATTTTTCCACCAAGGTGGGAAAGCCGAGATATTTATTCCTCCTCTCCTTGCCCTCATTGACTGACACTGATCAGGTAGAATTTGATCCTCAGCATTCCCAGGCTCCCCTGCAGATGGGCTTTGCTAACTCCTGTGATTCTGGAGAAAGTTCTCAGGCAGAGTAGCCCAGTAGAGGGTATTTAACATGGACAGTTATCAGTTTGCAGAGGAACTGTCCTTTGAACTCAATGGCAAGCCAAAAAGATGTCGGGGCAGGGAGTCAATAGCATCTGCCCAGCAACTCAATTTATGTTTTTTTAATTATGATTTTTTTTTTTTTTTGCTGATACTTGCTTTCTTGTAACTGGGACCCAATGACTTATGCTGTCATCTATAGCAGAGGTTCGCATACTTTGCAAGTGGGCCAAAGTTGGCCTTTTTGTATAGTCTGTGAACTAAAAATATTTTTAAAAATTTTAAACTGTTGAAAAAATGGAAAAACTATAGTTGTAACATTCAAATTTCAATGTCTAAAAATAAGGTTTTATTGAATACATTCATGCACATTAGTTTGTCTGTGACCGCGTTACTGTTACAATGGTAAAGTGCATGGTTGCACAAAGACTACACAGTCTGCAAGGTCTAAATATTTACTTTCTAGCTGGTCTATTACAGAAAAAGTTGGCCAACCCTTGATCTATAGCAACAATGAATAAGTCTATTTCCTCTTCCAAATGACAGCCTGGAAACGTTTCAAGATATTTTTCCTTTTTCTTTTCTAAGTGAACTTTCCAAATTTCTTTAAATGTTTATTATATGGCATTATTCCAAGACCCTTCATTTTCTTGGGCACCTTACTATAGACGCATTTCATTTCATCAATGTTTTTCTTAAAATGTGGCTCTCAGAATGGAACATATTTTATAAAATGCAGTCTGAACAGTCAAAAGAATAGTGATGGTATCCCCTGAGTTGGGTAGTCTACTTTTAAAATGTGGCCTAACTCCATTAGGTTTTTGGAAGGCTCATTACAATGTCAGCTCATAATGAGCATTGAATCAACTAAAATCCATTTTCACATAAATTGGTTTCAGTATAGGTATATTATTTCTTGACATTAAGTGCTCCTTTTTAACTATTAGACATTCTTTCTGAATAAAATTTATTAGCAATTACTTTAAAAATATTATTTATTGACTTCAAATATTTGTTAAAGTTTAATATTCATTGTTATAAATGAAAATATTTATGTTTATATTCAGTTGACCCTGATTTGGGATCTAATTTATTCCCAAATGACAGCCTTAATGTGGAATAATGACAGGTCAAACTTTTATGGCGTTATATTATAAAACAGGGTTCTTTCGGAAGATTAAGTTATTGACCCTGAGGCTTCACTCTTTTGTTGTAGTATTATGGAACCATATGCTTGTTAAGCCTTCAAGGTGGATGTACAGTAATGTACTCTTCTTTTTGACTTTTGACTTGGCCATGAGACTTGCTTTGACAAATGGCATAGTAGCAGAAAATAAATGTGCTTGCATGACTAAGTTTGCCTTGTGGGAGATTCTGATGGCTACCATGAGAGAAAAAAAAAAAATCCACCTTTCCCGGAAAGGCACTGACCCATTTACATGGAGTAGAACCAGAGTCTTATCAGAGGAAATTTCTTTCCTTTACAGAAGAAGACCTGACAATAACTGCCCAATATAATTTCAAAATGTCCAGAGACCAGTGATTAAAATATGCCTGCCATTCTTCCCCTTTTCGTGTGGCAGTGTTTACTGCAGTGACCTTGTCCCTTTTGACACCATGGTAGAACTTGTCTTTTTACTTCCTAGATCTACAGATCAAGAGTGGCCACATTCGGACCTGATGTAGATCAGGACTTTAGTTTGATGTTGTGTTGGGGTGAATTTTTGAGTGTCTTAGGATGAATGTATTTTGCTCATAGTAGGGCCTATTTGTGCTGCAGATGGACAGAATACCACAGACTACATAATTTATAAAGAGCAGAAATTTATTTCTCATAGTTTTGTTGGCTAGAAAGTCCATGATCAAGCTGCTGGCATCTGGTGTCTGCTAAGGACCTTCTTGCTAGTCCTCACATAGCAGAAGGTAGAAGGGCAACGAAGATGAACCTTGTGTCCTCACATGGCAGAAGAGCAAAAGAGAGCAAGCCCAATGCCCAAACCCTTCTTATAAGGGCATTAATTCATTCAGAAGGGCAGAGACCTCATGACTTAAACATCTCCCTTCAGGCTTCACCTCCCAACATTGTTGCATTGGGATTTAAGTTTCCAACACAAGAATTTTGAAGGCAAAATCAGACCATAGCAGTAGATATGAATAGCTGTAAACAAGGAGGTAAAGTGCAGCAGATTAAATTATTGGTCCCACTTTCTAAAACTTTCTATAGTCATATTATCCTGGCCTAATGCAGTGGTTGGCAATCTATGGCCAAATCTAACTGGGTCAGCTCTAACTGCAGTTTTTTATTTTGTAAAGTCTTCAGCTAATAATGGTTTTTACATGTTTAAAGGGTTTAAAAAGAGACAAAATATGCAGAAGAACTGTATGTGGCCTGCAAAACTTAAAGCAGTTTGTATTTGGCTTTTTACAGAAGAAGTTTGCCAATCCCTGGCCTAGTGAATAGTGAAGTGTACTTTCCAACTCTGGACTTTGGGCAATACCATATGATATACTTTGGGCAACGGAATATGAGTAGAGGCTTGAAAAATGTTTGGGAGTTGGACTTACTCTTTGGAATTTTTTTTTTTTCCTCAGCATTTTAAAACATTTAAGTATAAAATATAAAATATAAAATGCATATGCAAAAAATACCTAAAACAAATCTAATTCATTACAAAGCAAATATGGTTCATTACAAAGCTCAATGATTTATTTCAAAGCAAATATCCATAACTATCATCCAGGTCAAGAGATGAATATTGCCACTACTTCAGAAGTTCTATTGTGTTTCCTCTCTGCCCACAAAGGCAACCACTATTGAATATGTATTACTGATTTTCCAAAGTAAAATACCAATCAGTATTTTTTTTTAATTATTCCTAGACAATGCAAATAACTGTTATTCAATTTAGTTTTTGCTGACTCACTTGTCATTTTTGTCTTTCTTCTATATACATTTTAAATTCAGTGAGACCTTATTTTGTTTTACATTTAATATTCATTTGGGTTTACCTATCTATTTGTAGTTTTTATTGATCTTTATTTCTTTGTATGTCTCTGAGGTTCTTTTTAAGTGAATTTTCCTTTTGATATTGAGTTCCTATTTGTCCTGCTCTGTTGGTGATAAAGTCTTAGCTTTTTTCTGACAATATTTTTATTTCTTCTAAATTTCTGATAACCATTTTTTACTGAATATAGATTTCTATGTTAGCAGTTATTAATTAATTAGTTTTTATATTGAGAGGGCAGCTGTGGATTTTCTCTATTTTCTTTTGTTTCTCCTTCCTTCTTTCCAACAAAATACCTATTTTGAGATAAAACTGACAATCAATAAATTGTACATATTTAAAACATTTAACTTGATATCATTTTCACAATCAAGATAATGAACATACTCAACAGCCTCAAAAGTTTCTTAGTGTCTCCCTAAAAATCTTTCTCCTCTTATTCTTGACTGATTTCCTCCGTACCTAGGCAAAAACTGATCTGCTTTCTTTCACTATAGATTAGTTCACATTTTTTGAATTTTATATAAATGGAATTATATAGTAGGCATTCTCTTTTTTCTTGTTTCTTTTGTTCAGCATAATTATTTTGGAGTCCATCCATATTGTAGTGTATATCAAAAGTTTATTCCTTTGCATTCTATTCTGTATGGATATAGAACAGCTTGTTTATCCATTAACTTATTGATGGACATTTGGGCTGTTCTCAGTTTTTAGTTCTTACAAAGAAAGCTGAGATGAACACGTATGTAACAGCCTTTGTATGAACAGATGTTTTCTTTTGGATGAATTCCTAGGAGAGGAATAACTGAATCTTATGGTAGATGTGTGTTTAATTTTTAAAGAAACTGACAAACTGTTTTCCAAAGTAGTTGCAACATTATACACTTCCACCATTATTGTATGGAAGATCCATTTCCTCCACATTCTTGTCAACACTTGGTATTGTCAGTATTTTTAAATTTTAACCATTCCATTAGGATTTAGTGGTATCTCAACGAGTTTTAATTTTTATTTCTCAAATGACAAATGACGTTGGACATCTTTTCATGGGTTTATTTGTCATGTGTATTTTTCCGTTGGTAAAATGTCTATTAAATCTTTTACCTATGATGTATTGATTTTTTTTGTTTTCTTCTAATTGAGTTTTGGAAGTTCTTGATATACTCTGGATCAAGTGCTTTATTAGCTGTATGATTTGAAATTATCTTCTCCCAGTATATAGCTTCCCTTTTCATTTTTAAACAATGTTATTTCAAAGAACAAAAATGATGAAGTCCATTTATCAATTTGTTCTTTTATGAATTGTACTTTTCTTGTTGTAATTAAGAAACTTTTTGGGAGGGCGAGGTGGGTGGATTATGAGGTCAGGAGATCGTGACCATCCTGGCCAACATGGTGAAACCCTGTCTCTACTAAAACACAAAAAATTAGCTGGGCATGGTGCTGCACACCTGTAGTCCCAGATACTCAGGAGGCTGAGGCAGGGGAATTGCTTAAACCCAGGAGGTGAATGTTGCAGTGAGCCAAGATCGCATCACTGCACTCCAGCCTGGTGACAGAATGAGACTCTGTCTCAAAAAAAAAAAAAAAAAAAAAAAAAAAAAAAATGCTTTCTTCTATGTTTCCTTCTATATGTTTTATTGTTTTTGGTTTTACATTTAGGTTTGCGATGAACTTGATATAATTTTTGTAAATGGTACAAAGTATAAGTCAAAGTTCAATGTCTTTATCTGAATATCCAATATTTCTTGTGTCATTTGTTGAAAATATTACCCTTTTTCCACTGAATTACTTTACATCTTTGTTGATAATCAGTTGCTCATGTATATGAGGCTCTATTTATGGACTGTTCCATTGATCTGTTTTTCTGTTATTTGTGCTAAAACCACACTGTCATGATTATTGTGGTTTTAAAATAAGTTTTAAAATTAGGTATTATAAATTCTCCAAATTATCGTTCTCTTTGCCAAGTAGTTTTAACTGTTTTAGGTCCTTTGCTTTTCCATATGAATTTTAGAGTCAGTTTAAAAATTTAATTTAAAAGCCTGCTGTGATTTTATTTGTAAATACCTTGAACCCATGAATCAGTGTGGAGAAAATGGAGAAAATTACCATCTTAAAAATATTGGCTCTTCTGATATTGGTATATTTTTCAATTTTTTGGTCCTTTTTATTAGTTTTTAGTATACTGGTGTTGCACATCTTTTGTCAGATTTATTTGTATTTCCTTTTTTAGGCAATTATAGTTGGTATGACATTCTGTTTCCATTTTTGGTTGTTTGTTGCTACTATATAGATAAACAACTGATTTTTGCATCTTATGTCATGCAACTTTGCTAGACTTATCTGTTTATTCTAGTAGCTTCATTGTAGATGGTGCTCCATTTCCTCAAGTCAGGGAGTCAAATGGGTTCTTGCCTGGGTTTCCCCTTCTTACACTGCAGCACCTAAATGAGGCAATTGTAGAGCTCAGCTTGTTTGTGTTGTCTTCTATCAGGGATCACCATCCTTCATTTCCTGATGTCCGGTGTTCTTGAAAACCATTGTTTCCTATGTTTTGTCCATTTTTGGGGTTGTTTCAGGCAGAAGGGTAAATATAATCCCTGTTACTCGATTTTGTCTCAAAGAGAAAATTCTAGAAGTTTTTTTAATCTCTGCTTTGAGGTTCTCTAGATAACCACTTTACCAGCCTAGGCTCCAAGAGGAGATATGGATCAGGACCACTAAAACCAACCTGTTGACCTGCAGCCTGAAGTGGAGTCACTTCTGCTGACGTGCAGTCTTTTGAGCATGTGAAACAAAATAGTTTAACAAAAATTGTTTTCCAAGATCCACTCTCAGAGATTCTAATCCAATTGAGATGAGGCTCGCACATTTGTACTAAAAGCAAACAAATATGGAAACAAACAAATGAATGAACAAAATTTCCCAGGAGATTCTAATGTGTATTTAGGCTGGAACTGCCCTATGGTTCTATGGTAAAATACTACTTAAAGAGCAAAGCAGATATGGTTCTTGTCCTTATGAAGTTACAGGAAGGATGTAGATAATCAGCAGGTATTCTAGCATTTCTTGGGAAAAGTATTCTGAGGAGGAATCTAGAATGCTGTGGGAGTACCTGGGAAGGGGATGCTTACCCAGACCTGGAAGTCTGGTATGATGAGGTGCTTTAGACAAGACTGCTCTCAATATTAACTGTCAATAATAGTTCTCAATAATAAACTGTCAGCAGTTTATTTTTCCTGTTGTTCTAAAAAGTGAAGCTAGAATTCCACACTTGGAAACAGATTCTGTTCTGGAATGAAAATGTTTAAGACAATGAATAGGTAAACTGCTTTTTATGATAATGTGAAAGTTTTTCTTTTTTCAAAAAGTGAGTGTACTCTCAGAAGATTATTATAAGCACTAGGTGTGGGAAGAAAATAGGGGTAAGTAGAAAACTTAGTTTTTATTGCTCTCCCCTGGCCTCAGTTTGGCTAAGGCAAAAATTGCTGGAATCTGGATGGGAGAGATGCTCAAAAGCCCTTCCTAGTGGGCAAGTATTCTGGCCTCACTGAAAGCTGGTCTTTTGTAGAAGGCCATGATCTTTGAATTCTATGGGTCTTGATGGTCAAATTCAGTTTTAAGTTTTCTAAGTTGCCATTCCTTTGGCTATACTCAAAATTTTGTTAATTTATTATTATTAATATTATACTTTAAGTTTTAGGGTACATGTGCACAATGTGCAGGTTTGTTACATATGTATACATGTGCCATGTTGGTGTACTGCACCCATTAACTCATCATTTAGCATTAGGTATATCTCCTAATGCTATCCCTCCCCGCTCTCCCCACACCACAACAGTCCCCGGAGTGTGATGTTCCCCTTCCTGTGCCCATGTGTTCTCGTTGTTCAGTTCCCACCTATGAGTGAGAACATGTGGTGTTTGGTTTTTTGTCCTTGCGATAGTTTGCTGAGAATGATGATTTCCAGTTTCATCCATGTCCCTACAAAGGACATGAACTCATCATTTTTTATGGCTGCATAGTATTCCATGGTGTATATGTGCCACATTTTCTTAATCCAGTCTATCATTGTTGGACATTTGGGTTGGTTCCAAGTCTTTGCTATTGTGAATAGTGCCTCAATAAACATACGTGTGCACGTGTCTTTATAGCAGCATGATTTATAGTCCTTTGGATATATACCCAGTAATGGGATGGCTGGGTCGAATGGTATTTCTAGTTCTAGATCCCTGAGGAATCGCCACACTGACTTCCACAATGGTTGAACTAGTTTACAGTCCCACCAACAGTGTAAAGTGTTCCTATTTCTCCACATCCTCTCCAGCACCTGTTGTTTCCTGACTTTTTAATGATTGCCATTCTAACTGGTGTGAGATGGTATCTCATTGTGGTTTTGATTTGCATTTCTCTGATGGCCAGTGATGATGAGCATTTTTTTCATGTGTTTTTTGGCTGCATAAATGTCTTCTTTTGAGAAGTGTCTGTTCATATCCTTTGCTCACTTTTTGATGGGGTTGTTTGTTTTTTTCTTGTAAATTTGTTTGAGTTCATTGTAGATTCTGGATATTAGCCCTTTGTCAGATGAGTAGGTTGTGAAAATTTTCTCCCATTGTGTAGGTTGCCTGTTCACTCTGATGGTAGTTTCTTTTGCTGTGCAGGAGCTCTTTAGTTTAATGAGATCCCATTTGTCAATTTTGGCTTTTGTTGCCATTGCTTTTGGTGTTTTAGACATGAAGTCCTTGCCCATGCCTATGTCCTGAATGGTATTGCCTAGGTTTTCTTCTAGGGTTTTTATGGTTTTAGGTCTAACATTTAAGTCTTAATCCATCTTGAATTAATTTTTGTGTAAGGTGAAAGGAAGGGATCCAGTTTCAGCTTTCTACATATGGCTAGCCAGTTTTCCCAGAACCATTTATTAAATAGGGAATCCTTTCCCCATTGCTTGTTTTTGTCAGGTTTGTCAAAGATCAGATAGTTGCAGATATGCGGCATTATTTCTGAGGGCTCTGTTCTGTTCCATTGATCTATATCGCTGTTTTGGTACCAGTTCCATGCTGTTTTGGTTACTGTAGCCTTGTAGTGTAGTTTGAGTCAGGTAGTGTGATGCCTCCAGCTTTGTTCTTTTGGCTTAGGATTGACTTGGCGATGCAGGCTCTGTTTTGGTTCCATATGAACTTTAAAGTAGTTTTTTCCAATTCTGTGAAGAAAGTCATTGGTAGCTTGATTGGGATGGCATTGAATCTGTAAATTACCTTGGGCAGTATGGCCATTTTCATGATATTGATTCTTCCTACCCATGAGCATGGAATGTTCTTCCATTTGTTTGTATCCTCTTTTATTTCATTGAACAGTGTTTTGTAGTTCTCCTTGAAGAGGTCCTTCACATCCCTTGTAAGTTGGATTCCTAGGTATTTTATTCTCTTTGAAGCAATTGTGAATGGGAGTTCATGCATGATTCGGCTCTCTGTTTGTCTGTTATTGGTGTATAAGAATGCTTGTGATTTTTGTACATTGATTTTGTATCCTGAGACTTTGCTGAAGTTGCTTATCAGCTTAAGGAGATTTTGGGCTGAGACAATGGGGTTTTCTAGAAATACAATCATGTCGTCTGCAAACAGGGACAATTTGACTTCCTCTTTTCCTAATTGAATACCCTTTATTTCCTTCTCCTGCCTAGTTGCCCTGGCCAGAACTTCCAACACTATGTTGAATAGGAGTGGTGAGAGAGGGCATCCCTGTCTTGTGCCAGTTTTCAAAGGGAATGCTTCCAGTTTTTGCCCATTTAGTATGATATTGGCTGTGGGTCTGTCATACATAGCTCTTATTATTTTGAGATACATCCCATCAATACCTAATTTACTGAGAGTTTTTAGCCTGAAGGATTGTTGAATTTTGTCAAAGGCCTTTTCTGCATCTATTGAGATAATCATGTGGTTTTTGTCTTTGGTTCTGTTTATATGCTGCATTACATTTATTGATTTGCGTATATTGAACCAGCCTTGCATCCCAGGGATGAAGCCCACTTGATCATGGTGGATAAGGTTTTTGATGTGCTGCTGGATTCGGTTTGCCTGTATTTTATTGAGGATTTTTGCATCGATGTTCATCAGGGATATTGGTCTAATATTGTCTTTTTTGGTTGTGTCTCTGCCAGGCTTTGGTATCAGGATGATGCTGGCCTCATAAAATGAGTTAGCGAGGATTCCCTCTTTTTCCATTGATTGGAATAGTTTCAGAAGGAATGGTGGCAGCTCCTCCTTGTACCTCTGGTAGAATTCGGCTGTGAATCCGTCTGGTCCTGGACTCTTTATGGTTGGTAAGCTATTGATTATTGCCACAATTTCAGATCCTGTTATTGGTCTATTCAGAGATTCAACTTCTTCCTAGTTTAGTCTTGGGAGGGTGCATGTGTCAAGGAATTTATCCATTTCTTCTAGATTTTCTAGTTTATTTGCGTAAAGGTGTTTGTAGTATTCTCTGATGGTAGTTTGTATTTCTGTGGGATCGGTGGTGATATCCCATTTATCATTTTTTATTGCGTCTATTTGATTCTTCTCTCTTTTCTTCTTTGTTAGTCTTGCTAGCGGTCTATCAATTTTGTTGATCTTTTCAAAAAACCAGCTCCTGGATTCATTAATTTTTTGAAGGGTTTTTTGTGTCTCTATTTCCTTCAGTTCTGCTCTGATTTTGGTTATTTCTTGCCTTCTGCTAGCTTTGGAATGTGTTTGCTCTTGCTTTTCTAGTTCTTTTAATTGTGATGTTAGGGTGTCAACTTTGGATCTTTCCTGCTTTCTCTTTTGTGCATTTAGTGCTATAAATTTCCCTCTACACACTGCTTTGAATGTTTCCCAGAGATTCTGGTATGTTGTGTCTTTGTTCTTGTTGGTTTCAAAGAACATCTTTATTTCTGCCTTCATTTCGTTATGTACCCAGTAGTCATTCAGGAGCAGGTTGTTCAGTTTCCATGTAGTTGAGCAGTTTTGAGTGAGTTTCTTAATCCTGAGTTCTAGTTTGATTGCACTGTGGTCTGAGAGACAGTTTGTTATAATTTCTGTTCTTTTACATTTGCTGAGTAGTGCTTTACTTCCAAGTATGTGGTCAATTTTGGAATAGGTGTGGTGTGGTGCTGAAAAAAATGTATATTCTGTTGATTTGGGGTGGAGAGTTCTGTAGATGTCTACTAGGTCCGCTTGGTGCAGAGCTGAGTTCAATTCCTGGGTATCCTTGTGAACTTTCTGTCTTGTTGATCTGTCTAATGTTGACAGTGGGGTGTTAAAGTCTCCCATTATTATTGTGTGGGAGTCTAAGTCTCTTTGTAGGTCACTCAGGACTTGCTTTATGAATCTGGGTGCTCCTGTATTGGGTGCATATATATTTAGGATAGTTAGCTCTTCTTGTTGAATTGATCCCTTTACCATTATGTAATGGCCTTCTTTGTCTCTTTTGATCTTTGTTGGTTTAAAATCTGTTTTATCAGAGACTAGAATTGCAACCCCTGCCTTTTTTTGTTTTCCATTTGCTTGATAGAGCTTCCTCCATCCTTTTATTTTGAGCCTATGTGTGTCTCTGCACATGAGATGGGTTCCCTGAATACAGCACACTGATGGGTCTTGACTCTTTATCCAATTTGCCAGTCTGTGTCTTTTAATTGGAGCATTTAGCCCATTTACATTTAAGGTTAATATTGTTATGTGTGAATTTGATCTGTCATTATGATGTTAGCTGGTTATTTTGCTCATTAGTTGATGTCGTTTCTTCCTAGCGTTGATGGTCTTTACAATTTGGTGTGTTTTTACAGTGGCTGATACCGGTTGTTCCTTTCCATGTTTAGTGCTTCCTTCAGGAGCTCTTTTAGGGCAGGCCTGGTGGTGACAAAATCCCTCAGCATTTGCTTATCTGTAATGTATTTTATTTCTCCTTCACTTATGAAGCTTAGTTTGGCTGGATATGAAATTCTGGGTTGAAAATTCTTTTCTTTAAGAATGTTGAATATTGGCCCCCACTCTCTTCTGGCTTGTAGGGTTTCTGCCGAGAGATCCGCTGTTAGTCTGATGGGCTTCCCTTTGTGGGTAACCCGACCTTTCTCTCTGGCTGCCCTTAACATTTTTTCCTTCATTTCAACTTTGGTGAATCTGACAATTATGTGTCTTGGAATTGCTCTTCTCGAGGAGTATCTCTGTGGCGTTCTCTGTATTTCCTGAATCTGAATGTTGGCCTGCCTTGCTAGATTGGGGAAGTTCTCCTGGATAATATCCTGTAGAGTGTTTTCCAACTTGGTTCCATTCTCCCCATCACTTTCAGGTACACCAATCAGACGTAGATTTGGTCTTTTCACATAGTCCCATATTTCTTGGAGACTTTGTTCGTTTCTTTTCATTCTTTTTTCTCTAAACTTCCCTTCTTGCTTCATTTCATTCATATCATCTTCCATCACTGATACCCTTTCTTCCAGTTGATTGCATCAGCTCCTGAGGCTTTTGCATTCTTCACGTAGTTCTCGAGCCTTGGCTTTTAGCTCCATCAGCTCCTTTAAGCACTTCTCTGCATTGGTTATTCTAGTTATACATTTGCCTAATTTTTTTTCAAAGTTTTTAACTTCTTTGCCATTGGTTTGAATTTCCTCCTGTAGCTCGGAGTAGTTTGATCGACTGAAGCCTTCTTCTCTCAACTCGTCAAAGTCATTCTCCGTCCAGCTTTGTTCCATTGCTGGTGAGGAACTGTGTTCCTTTGGAGGAGGAGAGGCGCTCTGCTTTTTAGAGTTTCCAGTTTTTCTGCTCTGTTTTTTCCCCATCTTTGTGGTTTTATCTACTTTTGGTCTTTGATGATGGTGATGTACAGATGGGTTTTTGGTGTGGATGTCCTTTCTGTTTGTTAGTTTTCCTTCTAAGAGACAGGACCCTCAGCTGCAGGTCTGTTGGAGTTTGCTAGAGGTCCAGTCCAGAACCCTGTTTGCCTGGGTATCATCAGCGGTGGCTGCAGAACAGTGGTGGCTGTAGAACAGTGGATTTTTGTGAACCGCAAATGCTACTACCTGATTGGTCCTCTGGAAGTTTTGTCTCAGAGGAGTACCCGGCCGTGTGAGGTGTCAGTTTGCCCCTACTAGGGGGTGCCTCCCAGTTAGGCTGCTCGGGGGTCAGGGACCCACTTGAGGAGACAGTCTGCCCGTTCTCAGATCTCCAGCTGTGTGCTGGGAGAACCACTACTCTCTTCAAAGCTGTCAGACAGGGACATTTAAGTCTGCAGAGGTTACTGCTGTCTTTTTGTTTGTCTGTGCCCTGCCCCCTGAGGTGGAGCCTACAGAGGCAGGCAGGCCTCCTTGAGCTGTGGTGGGCTCCACCCAGTTCGAGCTTCCCAGCTGCTTTGTTTACCTAAGCAAGCCTGGGCAATGGCAGGTGCCCTTCCCCCAGCCTCGCTGCCGCCTTGCAGTTTGATCTCAGACTGCTGTGCTAGCAATCAGCGAGACTCCGTGGGCATAGGACCCTCTGAGCCAGGTGTGGGATGTAATCTCCTGGTGTGCCGTTTTTTAACCCCTTTGGAAAAGCGCAGTATTAGGGTAGGAGTGACCCGATTTTCCAGGTGCCGTCTGTCACCCCTTTCTTTGACTAGGAAAGGGAACTCCCTGACCCCTTGCGCTTCCCAAGTGAGGCAATGCCTCACCCTGCTTCGGCTCGCACAAGGTGCACTGCACCCACTGTCCTGCACCCACTGTCTGGCACTCCCTAGTGAGATGAACCCGGTACCTCAGATGGAAATGCAGAAATCACCCGTCTTCTATGTCACTCACGCTGGGAGCTGTAGACTGGAGCTGTTCCTATTCAGCCATCTTGACTCCACCCCCCTAATGTTTTATTTTAAATACCACAGCCAGCTCATATCTGTATTTTGTAGAACTGAAGGAATTTTCTCTTTCCAGGTGTGTTTGGAAGAATTATAAGATGTCTCTCAAGATTCCTGCTTCCTGGCATTTATGTCTTATGTAGTCTTCCCTTGAATGTGGGTGAACTTCGTGAATATGATGGGATATCTCTCTTGTGATTATGTTATTTCATAAGGCAAAAAGGATTCTGGAGATACAATATAGTACCCTAATTCACTGAGTTGAAGTTAACCAAAAGGGAGGTTTTATGGGCTGTCCTGACCTATCTTGGGGGAGCCTTTAAAGGATAAAGACAAGAAGCAGCAGCAGGTATTCTCCTCCTGGCCATAAAGGAGTAAGCTGCCATGCTGTGAGAGGAGAAGGCTAAATAGCAAGGGCCTGAAAACAACTCCCAACTGAGAGAAGTCTCTGGCCAACAGCAAGCAAGAAAACATAGCTCTCAGTCATAAAGCCAAGATCCAGGGAGCTTGCAGGTAGATGCTAAGACTCAACTGAGATTTTTAACCCTGGCTGACACTGTGATAGCAGCCCGGAGTCACTCTGAGCAAAGCACTCAACTAATCTGTATCTGGAATCCTGACCCACAGAAACTGATATAATCAATGGGTATTGTTTTAAGCCATCACATTGGTGGTATTTTGCTATGAAAATACACCAGGAGAGAGCCAAGTGGTACAGGAGAACAGCAGCTTCCAGAGCAGATATGAAGCAACCAAGGATGAAGGATGAGTAATGGTGATCGTGGGAGGAAGACAGCCTGTGGGGAGTAGAAGCAACTGGAGCAGGCTTATGGGCTGTTTCTTCAGAGACCCATAAAAACACTTAGGGAGAAAACCCAAATAGATACTGTATTTCCTAAAGTTATGTGAGATAGAGAATCAGATTCATTTGTTCACTGAAGAATGGTTGGTATCTCAATTTTGGAGAATGTGGTGATTTTCATGTCATATTTTATGGGCATGGCCTTGTCCTAGGAGCTGGGTATTCCTTGATGGACAAGACAGATAATATCCCTACCCTCATGGATTTCTAATGTAGCAAAGAACACAGTCTAAAAATGACCCCAGATATAAGGCAGTGTAGGTGCTATGATGAAGAAAGGGCTGGATGCTATGGGAGCATGTAGCAATGATACAGAATCTAAATTTAGGGTGGTCCAAGAAGACTTCCTAGGAGAGGTGATATGTCGCCTGATCTTATCAGAGGAGCTGGAGAGATGGCCAGGTGAATTAGGGATGGTGGCACCATCTCCCTGATGGAGGAAATGGCATGGACAACATCCAGAAGTAGGAGAAGAATTCAAGGTGGTCCAGTATGGTGAGAGCAGAGAGTAGTGAGAGATGTAGGAGCAAGAGGTGAGGAGGTGAGCAGGACTCAGATCATGTGTAGTGTGATGAGCCTTAGCAATATTGACAGCAAAGGGAGCAGGTAAAGAATTGTAAATGGAGATGAGCATGAAACATTTCATGATCTTAAAAAATCATTTTGATTATGGCGTAGAGAATTATTTAGAGGAAGACATAGCTAGTGAGAGGAAGATGAAAAATGTTGCATTTCTAAAGTCCTTTCAAGGCAAAGCTAAGATAAAACAAAATAGTATTATCGTCATGCTGGCAATTCAGTACTGATTTTGTTTTTAGGGTTGTTTTGGAGGGGACAACGCTCTGTCTTGCTGGTTCAAACATTCTAGTACTGCCTTCCTGATCAAGTTGTGGCTGAAGACTTCCCCGATAGCTTTTAAACTCATGTTCTCTTCCTAGTATAGTTAGGTAGGCCATTCTCTGGTATACTAACAGGTTGCATAAGACTTCTTCAGGAGTCTGGTCCTATCTTGTCTTGTTCTGACGGGGAGCCAGAAATCCCTTTGCAGTGTACTGTGAAATGTACTATATTTAGGGCTGGCTCATTAGAAGAAGAGATAAGAGAGTAAAAGGCCTTCTTGCTGTACTTTGTGAGCAAAGAGTTGCATCTACACTCTTTCTCATCAACAGACATTGGTGTAGTTTAATGCTTACTTTCTAGCTTCTGGAACTCTCGGAACACGTTTATTCTTCAGGGTGGTCCAAATGGAAACTAGACACTGTTTACTTCTAATTAATTATTAATATGGATGAGGAATCAGGGTTTGTTAGGGAAAATACAAATATATCTTTATTTAAAAAGTCACTATAATAAAAATTCCATTAATAATTGTATAGTTCAACTTCAAGGTAGAAGAAGTAGATTGGGAATGCCAAAACACATTTGAATTAAAACAAGTTTGGGTTGATCAAGAGTACTTGATTGGAGTGCTCCATGAGAGAGATTTTAAAGCTGTTTATGCTCTTTGGGAAAGAAGGTTGTCATCAATTAGTGATGTCTGTCTGGGCCACATCCATTCTTAAACAGCCTCCTAGATCTGGATTCTGTGCTATATATCTGGATAAGAACAGATCCATGCAACAAAGTTGAAGGTTGCATGATTTGTATTATTCAAGAAAAAAAATTTGAATATTTCTTAAAATTCAGAGAGTTTGCTTAAGAGTAATTGGAAAATAATTTCTTGCTGGAGCAGGAAGCTCCTGGTCAAGAGAAAGTTGCTGATTTCACTTCCATCAAGGTTTTGATAAATCATGAATTGTCTGGTATACAGGACTTGCCTCTAAATATATTGGTTATGTCATAGTGAGCCCATAAGCCTTATTGTATGACTTAGTTTACTCCAGGAACCCCATATTAAACTAGAATATATACATTTTCACTTTACTGAGTGTACTTGTGGAAAACAGCAAAGAAACATTTTTCAGCAAAGAAACATTTTTCAGCAAAGAAACATTCTAAGCACCAGTACATAGGTTAGGACTGACATGCTTAACCCTAACTTTCTTCTGATTCAGGGTCTTTAGCCAGGTTCTTTTCTCTGTTTGGGATGCCCTTGAATTTAATTGGATTTCTCTCTTTCTTCCTCATTTCTTTTCTTCTTATCTCCTTCTCTTTTTCCTTTTTGCAGTTATTCAAATGCAATTTCCTCAGAGAGGACTTCCCTCACCTTAAAGACTAGATCAGGCCCTCCTGCTCAGGTTTCTGTAGTTCTAGTTAGTGTTCTTTTATAACACCGGTTTGTAATTATACGCTTTTGTGATTCTTTGATTAAGGTCTGTCCGCCCTACTAAACTGTAAACCCCATGGGATCAGAGTCTGTTTGTTTTGCTCATATTCTATTGCTCAGAGCTCAGGCACATCTGGGTGTCTGGAACAGAGAAGAAACTCAACAAATATTTGTTGTATGAATGGAACTTATAAATAATTTTAATATAATGGGAAAGTAAATGAAGATTGCACCTGTGATAGAAAAGTCTTCGCCAGAGTTTTAAAAGTGAACTGTCTATGAGGATAACAATTAACTGGGAGGGAGTATTGACAGAGGCGTGCATGAGTGACAGAAAAGAGGGGAAGTAATTGAGTGACTTAGGCACTGAAGGCATGGAGAGACAAGGCTTGGGTGGCCCGCAGGTCAGTTAGTGAAAGCCTTGTGATTCTACTGTAAGAAGTTTCAGCATTATCTTCTAGAAGGTTATGGGAAGTACTGAAGGATTTTAGGCAAAGCCAACAAGATAACCTTTTTTTTAAAGTCAGGGTCTCCTCTGTTGCTCAGGCTGCAGTACAGTGGTGTGATCACAGCTGACTGCAACCTCAAACTCTTAGGCTCAAGGGATCCTTCTGCTTCAGCCTCCCAAGTAGTTGGAGCTACCGATGCATGCCACCATGCCTAGCTATTTTTAACATTTTTATATGAGGGTTTTGCTATGTTGCAAGGCCAGATTATCTCAAATTCTTGGCCTCAAGTGATCCTTCCATCTTGGCCTCCCAAAGTGCTGGAATTACAGCTGTGAGCCTTCATGCCTGGCCAACAAATTTATTTTAGAAAATTCATTGATTTGAAGGATGAGACTGGAGTCAGGGGCTTCTGTTAGAAAAATGTTGCAGTTTTCCAGGCCAGAAATGAAAATAGCATTAGCTAAAGACATGAAGTAAAACCAGCAAAAAAGAGATAAAATTGAGAAATATTTTACAGGCATGCACTACAGGATGTAGTGGCTGATGGGATGGAAATGGGGAGATGTGTGTGGGTAGATGCGGCATGGACTCTTGCTGGGGCAGCCTAGTCTTGGCTCAGCCCTGTGCAGGGCGGGGGGTAGGTGTTAGGAAAAGCTGGGTGGGAGGAATAATGCACGAATTGAGATTCTTTTACATTCTATAAATGCTCATCACCTCTTTTTCTTTATTTACATATGGCTTTGAAGCATTTAGAAAAAGTCATACAATTTAGGTAAGGAAGGTTGTTAATTGGGAAGAGAAAGTAAAAAGTAAATTCTACTTAAGCCTTTTAATTTTGGCTAGGGCTTGTCCTTTGTCAGGAAAGTATCTTTAATTAGAGATACAGTCTGTGTCTCTACCTGTGGTTTCCTCTGACTATTCTCTGAGGAGCATGAATAAATTATGGAAAATAATTTTGATATGAGGTTATATGCTAAGTTGCATAAAAAGCTGAGAAACCACAATAGGATGGGTGGAAATAATGTGTTTCTGTTTTAGCTTTGGCACATGTGTTTGTGTTAGAATAGCATGTTGTTCTAAGTATCAAAAACTTGGTGGATGACTTATTGTATTTTGAATATCGTATAAGGCCTAGAATAGCGCTAAGAAACTGAATGATTGGGTATTGTTGTATCCCTGTCCACGGGAGACTTAAATATCGTGACTCCAATTTGAAATCACAGCTACAATAAATTGACTCAATTTGTCGATTCCAAAGTGTGCAGAGAGCTCTAGTACTAGAGAATTTAAAAGTTAAGCAAATTTTAGATCTGACAGGGTAACCACAATCTCTTTCCCCATGCTATAGACACAGCATGTACTTTCTAATAGCCTGCCTTCGTTTCTGATTCTAATCCTTCAAATTGATATAAAAGCATTTAATGGGCTTTTAAAAGTGTATTCCCTTAAAACAAGCTCTTTAATGAGTAGCGAAACCAGCTCACTAGCTACCAGAAAGCAGATTTTCCTAAGACTCAAAAGACCTGAGTTATTTCACCAGCTCTCCAGGGACTAGAAATATAACCCTGCTCTCTTCTCTGGTGGCTTTGTTTGCCATTACCAATGTAAAAAATCTGTATAATCGTCCTCCCACTGCCATCCCTTGTGGGAAGGTTATGCAGACAGATGTTATCATATCTGCAAAATGCTATAAAACAAAATCTCTTCATGAATATAAAGGAGAATTGCTTCTGCCTTGGCCCTAAGTACTCGAATTTCATACTGTTTGATGCAATACGGTTTCAGCACATTCTTTTCCCAATGCTTAAAAACATCTAGCTGAAGGTCTTAACCAAGGGAGACTTATTCCTGGAATGGCTTTCTGAGCGTAGGTGTCATGGTAGCCTCTGAGAAGAGAGGAAGGCTCAGTGATGTTTAAAGAAGCCATGGAGCTTTAGAGTAAGAAGGCTGTTCTGGTGCCTGTCCAAGTATCTGGCACAGAGAAGCAAGAGCTTACCTGTCTACTGACAGAGCAGATTTGAAGTGATTATGCATATTGATACATCCATATACCAGCTGCATTCAGCTTTAAGCTAAGCCTTCTGACTGTTTTAAGCATTCCTGCCTTGAATTTATATCCAGGGAATATCAAACCTTTAGGACAGTGACAAATTAAAGTGGACCTTCTTAGGATTAACTGATGCTGGCCTGTCAGATGGCTATAAGCACTGTTGTAAAGGCTGGCAATAATCAGTCCTTCCAATGGTAAGTGAAAGCATTTAATTGGATACTGAGATGTGATTGGGATGAAATGTCAAGGGGAAAGTGAGAAATTCAAGGTTGTTGATCTGTCCAGTCTTATTTTAAAAGAAACATATGCTGGCAAGATCTGTGGTTTAGGATTCTGGATTTGGCACTGAAAAGGAGTTTCAGTTCTTAATAGTTTGAGCTACGGACACAAAACCGTATCACATGTAATTACTTCCTTTTCTTGGCTGGGCTAAGGGAAGAAGTTTAGCAAATATAAACTTATTTGGAGGAACATAAACGTTATAGCTATCTGTATGTCATATCTATTGCAATATGACTCATTCAATAAAATTGAGAAATTTTAGTGTATATACATAACATTTAAAAGCAAGTACAAGGAATTATTATTATTTACATATTTAACTAAGTGTATAAGAAATTTAAAATGGTGCTCTGCTCTTTAAAATGAATGGATATAGTATTCTAGTATGTTTGGATGGGGTGCTTTTGAATGGATATTTAGTCTCATAACATTTTAAATAATATAAGTTAATCTTCTAAATAAGATTAACATTAACTTAATCTTCAAACTACTGGGATTATTATTTTTTTTTTAGTAACAGCCACCAGATGCTTAATTTTTTTTAAACCACTTTATTGAGGTATGATTGACATACAAAAAGCCAGACATATTCAATGTATACAACTCAGTGAGTTTAGAGATAAGCGTATACCTGTGAAACCACCACCGTCAATGCTGTAAACCTATCCATCACCTCCAAAAGTTTCCTCCTGCTCTATTTATCCATTCACTCACTCATTCATTCATTAATTTTTTATAATAAGAACACTTAAGTTCTATCTTCTTAGCAAATGTTTATAACACAGTATTGTTAACTAGAAGTACTATTGCTGTACAGATCTCTGGAACTTACTCATCTTGCATAATTGAAACTTCATACAGTGGATCACTTCTTATGGCCCAAAAATTTTTCCTGAAAAGGAAAGTTTCATTTTGGCTGCATTGTAAAATTACAGGTTACAGTGTATAGTTTTCTCTTTGTCACCCTAGGATTGTATTTTTATTATTATTATTATACTTTAAGTTCTGGGATACATGTGCAGAACGTGCAGGTTTGTTACATAGGAATACACGTAACATGGTGGTTTGCTGCACCCATCAATGTGTCATCTAAATTAGGTATTTCTCCTAATGCTATCCCTCCCCTAGCCCCTCACCCGCTGAAAGGTCCCAGTGTGTGATATTCCCCTCCCTGTGTCCCTGTGTTCTCTTTGTTCAACTCCCACTTATGAGTAAGAACATGTAGTGTTTGGTTTTCTGTTGCTGTGTTAATTGCTGAGAATGATAGTTTTCAGCTTCATCCATGTCCCTGCAAAGGACATGAACTCATCCTTTTTATGGCTGCGTAGTATTCCATGGCATATATGTGCCATGTTTTCTTTATCCAATCTATCATTGATGGGTATTGGGTTTGGTTCCAAGTCTTTGCTATTGTGAACAGTGTTGATACGCGTGCATGTGTCTTTATAGGAGAATAATTTATAATCCTTTGGGTATGTACCCAGTAATGAAATTGCTGGGTCAAATGGTAATTCTGGTTCTAGATCCTTGAGGACTCTTTCACAATGGTTGAAGTAATTTACATTCCCACCAACAGTGTAAAAGTGTTCCTATTTCTCCACATCCTCTCCAGCATCTGTTGTTTCCTGACTTTTTAATGATCATCATTCTAACTGGCATGAGATGGTATCTCATTGTGGTTTTGATTTGCATTTTTCTAATGATGAGTGATGATTAGCTTTTTTTTTTCATATGTTTGTTGGCTGCATAAATGTTTATACTGTGATTATTTCTAACTAGTGGCACATTCACAGGTCTTCTATTACAGAGAAGCTGTTGCAAAATGGAGCTTTTTATTTTTTCCTTTTTTACTTTAATAACAAATATTCTTATGTGTATAGTATTATTTAAGTTAGTTGTGATAAGAGAGAAAGCCTTGATTTTAAAGCACCATCACTTCTCAGTGACAATTGGGTGTAAAATTGTGATTCTTGGGGGCTACTGGAAAAAAAGTCTATATTTAAGTGTTTAAAAATGATATCAGAGATTATTAAGTAACCAAAAGAAAAATTAATTTGTTTTTCTAGAATTTCAAGACTCAGGGGGACCACCAAATAGATAAAGAACTTATGGCAACCTTTGAGTGGGTGTTAGAGATACACTTATGACATTAAATTACACTCTCCCTGTACAGGAAAAATTCCCCCAGCATAGACTGGTGAAAAGACAGAGGGCTCTGGAATTAATCAAGCTGGGTTTCTGCTTCAGTTTTGTCCCTCATAGTTACTCCTCTGGGTAAGTGATTTTGTTTTTTCATCTCATCTCATCTCATCTCATCTCATCTCATCAACACTAAAGCTAGTCCTACTTTTCTCACAAGGTTATTGTAAACATTGATTAAGATAACTATTTACAGATTAAGATTGTCTTAGTATAGACCTGACATATAGTATCTGCTAAATAAATGAGCCTTCTTTTTTCCTTCATTTCCTTCATTTCCCCTTCCAGCTGTATGTGTAAAAGTATGTGAGAGCCTTCCTTAACCCAACTGCCTGCTCCCACCCCCAAATGTGGCTGTCAGTTGCTTGGTCATGAGCTCTCCTGCAGTTATTTTTGAGTCCAGGCATAGTGACATTGAGTAGAACTCTGGGGTTGGTCTTTTTATTTTTCTTCAGTTTTTCTGTAACTCATTCTTTTTGTAGATTCCAGAGTACTATTTGTGTGATTAATTATTATAATGATTATAGTATTTGGAGTTTTTTTTCCAAATTCCAGACTCAAAATTCCAGATGGATCTGGCTTTAGGTTTGACAGATCTCCTGTAACAAATGGCTCACTAAAGGACAGATGAACAGTGTAGAACATGACACTGGTCTTTCTCTAAATTAGCTGATTCTTAGGAGAACAGTCAGAAAAGTTCATTTACATTAACAGATTGTGTTTGTTGGTTTAGAATAGTTTCAACCATAACATTAATCAACAGTTTGGTTAGGGTCCATTTCTACAAAGGGCAAGATTAGAATGACTTCACTCTGTTAATTTCTGATTGGTTGCATGATAGCAAAAACTGGTCTCAGCTGTTTGGTCGGACTAAAATTTGTAGCCAAATAGTTTCAGTATAGTTTTTTTAATTGCTGAAGATAAATCTAAATGTGAGGTCGTTTATATTATTATTTCAGTGTAGTAGATAAGTGGTTGAAGATCAAATCTAGTCTAGTAGTATTGGAAGGAATATTTTTATAAAGAAACCTGAATGCTGAATTCTGATATCATTTCTTGTTGAATATTTTGGCTGCATATGACTTTGGGAAAGGTTCCGGAGAGTTGAAGTTACTTGCTAAGTTCACTTTCAGATGTTAAGATATGAGATCAATGTCTTTGAAGTTCCATAAAAATAGTTTTATATCAATGATATAATGTTTCAGTCTTGTGCATGGTGAAAGCACTTCTAAAATAGCACATTTTAGCATATACTAGCAATTGTTATCTTTGCTTTGGCAACAAATATCTTTGTAAATGTCTTGATCTTATTTCTTGAAAGCTCAACAAATGGTATTTTAGGAGGGAGACTTTTCAGGATGCTATCATGGGTCACAGAGTGACATTTTGTATGATCATAGAGTACCACGTAAAGACTTTCTCTTGCAAAGGAAGGAGCAATAATTACTTCATTAGTTACATAAGAGAGTCATAGGTCTTAAGCATAAATTGATTCTGATTCATCAAGGACATTATTAAGCTGTCAAAATCTTTCAATATGGAGTGTGACAACAACATGTAAAAATTCCATTAGAGGGTCATTAACAAGGTCTTTGAGCTCATGCTTAGCATTTTCTCTGAGTTCCTAATGGAACTTTTCTCAAAACAGGATTTAAGTCAGATACCTCAGATACTTTAATGCTGTTAGAAGTTTGTTATTGGAAAATAATTAGTCTTTTCTGAATTTTTTAGTCTCTATGCCAGCCAGAATAAAATAGCAGTTCAGTACAACCACAGTAATTTTCAAATGTTGACATTTACACATGTTATTTTAAAAATCTGGTAAGGGCTGAAGATGGACTGCAGTTGATAGCGTATTAGTTTGCATGTAGAGACTTAAACACTTTTTTGATACCAACACAGTAATTATTAAATTTTGCTGTTACTTTGATAGATTTTTTTTTTCCTGTAGGAGAAAAGGAAGTACAATTTGTGATGAAAACTTTTTACTTTTATTTCACTGTCAATTACTAATGTTGGTGGTGTTTGCAAATGACAGTGTCCAACAAGAAAGTTAGTGCAATATAAATATATATGCAGAAATGTCTGACAACCACAGAAAAAAGAAGTGAGTCATTACCATTTTTCTGACTGCTTTAAGTATAACTCAAAATGCCAAATTGATGGAGTCTCAGCATTGTAGGTTATGGCAGTTATGATCCACATAACTTAGTTCTTCATTTAAATGGCAGACAGGCAGAGATTAGAGCTATTCTATCATTTTCATGAACACTAAGAAAAAGTTTTCTATGATGCATAGAATAACAAGTTGTATTTATTGAAAACAGTAATAAAAGTCTCAAACTTTGTGAAACTTGGAATAATTAAAATTTCTTATATCTGTTCTTAGTATTTTTAAAGAGATAACTAAGATATAGATTGGAAAAAGATAAACAACCGGATGAGGATACGTTCTGGAAATTTGAGATGGGATGATCCAGATGGAATAGACACAGATATAATTTATTTGACAGAATCCTGAGAGTTGAGACTATATTTACCTGATAGAAGGAGAAATTGGGAAAATATGTACAGTGGCCAAGTAAGGTTTAATTATAAGTGTGAGTGCTGAGCCAAATGAAAGAGTGGAAGTTGCATGATAACCTTGAAAATCATTGTGAGCTGGGCTGGGAAGGTGACAGAGTGTTATACAAGAGTATATAGGAGGAGATTTTAAGCAACTGGTAAGATATTATATAGTGGTATAAAAAATAAATTGAAATTATTTAAAATTTTAATTTAACTTTCTTTTGGACATAAAAACAACATGATTCCTATCCTGAATGACATCTAATGAGAAATTAGTTTATTTATTTAACAAGATTTACTGGCACCCTGACCACTGATGTTTAATTAGAAGCTGATTGCTTATTATTGTCAATTTCATACCTTAGATGTTTCCAAGGGGGTGCTCACACCTTTTGAAATATATTTTCACTTTGAGAGAGTTAATAATTATTCACTGACAGACTGACTAAAAACTAGCATAATAAAACAAAAATATTTCTCTGCTTTCAGAAGAAATGAGAGATCTTTAGCATTGAATGTTTATTATTAGGGAATAAGGTACCCCACATCAAATTTGATAGGAAGAAGTATCAGACTTTTTTATATGACATTGATTGTTAAGAGAAGGACTTGCCTTGGCTGGTTACATGGCTAAAAGTGTGATATTGAAAATATTGAACAACTGGTGCAATATGCTTACTAACCAACCAGGCTGAAAATCAGCACCTCATGGTTGGCTCAATAAATGTTAGTGTGTGGTCTGGACTAAATATAGGCTCCATCCTAGGTGAGTGAGCATAAATTAATGTTGTTTTTCCATCAGCTTAAAGGGTCAACATCGAGAATTATACCTAGATTGAGTAAACACTATGTTGACTTGCTCACCAGTGAATAAAACCTGTTTTTAATATCGAATGATTTTTTTCTGGGATAATTCTTATGAGATAACAGTACCTAGCACACAGACCCTGCTTAGTATCATTACTGATCCTTATGCAGTAAACAAGGGTGCAGGCAAAATAACTGCTGTCTTTTGTCAATTAAATAAAAATGTTGAATAATTTTGCCAAAATTTTGAATGTGTAAAATCAAGTAAAAATGAAAATCTACATGAACTTGTTCACTACTCATTGGCCAGGCACAGCTGAGCTTTGCTGCCTCAGATCCTGTTTACTCTGGGGTCTCTACAAAGGCAGTTTCCAATAGGGGCAGACTGCAGAGGGGACAATTCAGGGAGCATATGCTGCTTACCTCACTGGCCTAAGAATGTATGTTTGTCATTATAAATATAGAAATGACAAATTTTATTTGTGTAGTAAATCATAGTCTGTAAAACTCTTTCATATGAGCTAGTTCAAATGTCACCTTTGTGAAGGCTTTATTTTTTTCTTTCTTTTAGGTTATTCCAATAATTTATCTATACCATTATCTCATATATTCCATTTCACTATATTCTTAAGAATCTTCTCTTTCACTGGCTGTGATAAAAGAGCACAAGTCACTCATTCATCTTTTTCTCTACATGTGTAGTTTGGTGCTTGGTACCGTAGGTACCTTATAAATTTGTTTTTTCATATTTTTAATCATTGGTTTCCTTAATTTGTACTCATTGCTAAGTTTTTGAATTTTTTTCTTTTTATTCTTTTTTATTTTTCACTAAGTTTTTTTTGTTGTTAAGAATATAACCCAATTAACTCTTATTTGTTCCTGAAGATAAGAGAAATATGTGATGGTTATATTCTAGGTTTCAGATTTTAATTAAACTGAGATTTATATGTAAAAATACATAAGCATGCAAACAAATACTGCAAAGGGCAGGGAAATAGCATCACTTTGAGTTATTAAGAGAGATATTTTTGTATTTAAGATCCCCATTGTGTTTTTCAGCTGTATTTAGTAAGGTTAGTAAAGGAAATAGGAATTGGTAAAAGATCAGATATAAGATTTTGACATTGTTTTTAAGCTGCAAGTGTCAAAAAGTTGAATAAATTTATGATAACACCAAAAACTGTCATTGGGTATCCAGTTAAATGCACACAGAAAGATGAGTTTAGGAAAAATCAGACCTATGTCTTGTGCTGAACAGGGAAATGGACTGGTGGAACTAATTGACACTTTAGGTAGAAATGGAATAATGGAGACTAGACTTTCTGGTGCCTGAATTGAGTATAAATGTGGACTTTGATTTTTAGACAGAGGAGCAGCGACAGGATGCGTTTCAGATACAGGAAGACTTTGGCTTTTTCACCTGGCTAGGCTCATGATAGGGAAGGTGTTGGTACCACAGCATAAATGCTGAGTTAATCTAATGGCCATATCTCTGGCTATTGATATACAATGACATGAGACAAAAACTGAGTTATAAGTGCTGTTAAACAAAGTTTATGGGAGGTCATTATTTTGGACTAGACTCCTGCCCTATGCCTTAGCAGACCAGACAAAACAAAAATGTAGTCACTCATGCTAGATGACTCAGGTAAATCCCCAAAGAGACCAGTTTTTCCTGAAAACAGGAGATTCCCAGCAACCAGTCAGAAGGAATCTAGTCTACCTGAGTTCCTTCTGCTTTAACTCTTGGAAGAAAACTGACATTTAGTAACCTGATATTATCCAATGTGATTTTTAAAATTGCTGTTTCCTTGTTCCCATCTTACAAAAACCAATCACTTTGTCATGTCCAGTGAAACACTCATTCTATTTCATACAGTGGGGTGTTGCCAGCTTCTAGAATTGCTAAATGAAGCCAATTAGATGTTGAAACTAAGTTTCTTGTAATTTTGTCTTTTAACAATGCAGAAAGTCCTATTTTCCCTATCTTCTCTGGAGAATCTTCCAGACAAGTATGGTGCTTGCTCTTTACAGGGATGTGAGAACCCATTGGCTGCTGGCATTTGTTATGAGCTAATTTAGCCTAGCTGAACATACTTAAAAAATCACAATAGTTAATGTCCTCATTACTGTGTCAGACTTTTCATTTTGTGAGATGGATATAGTAAGCAGGAAGAATAAAACATTGCTCGAGTAAGATTTTTACTCAGAAGCTTTTTCAAAGGAGGCCATAAATTATAATGTAAAAGAACATTGTACTCACTGCATAGTGACCTGGTTCTGAAAGCAAAGCTTTTCTTTGATAGCTAGAGAACAACTAATTCTAAAGATCAAAATACTTGTTATCATAGTAAGAAACACAAACCTGTGCCTGTGTATGTATTATTTTCCCAATTTTTCCTTTATATTTTATTCTCTGTTACCTCAGTGTTCAAAAACTAAAATGAGCCATGTGGACAGTAATATCCTTATGTTCTATTCTGGGTAACCAGATGGTTTGTTTTCAAGACCCTCAAACATTTTCTTCACTGCCCTGCTATCTCCTTTGAGGTGGCTCTTCTGGTTTCTCTTTCTCTCTAGTTCCTTGAGTTTGTGGCAATATGACAAGATAAACAGTTGACTACAGCAGGGGCTGGCAAACTAAGACCTGCAGGCCAAATCTAGCTCCTGGCCTATCTTTGTATTGCCTGCAAGATAAGAAAAGTTTTCATACTTTGAAAGGATTGTAAAAAAAAACACAAAACAAAGGAAGATATGCAACAGAGACAATAGCTGGTCAGAAATTCCTAAAGTACATACTACCTGGCTTTTTATAGAAAGTTTGCCAACCCTTCCACTACAGAATAAAGTGCAAATACCTTAGCTTGCCATCTTTCTGCCACAGCCTCCTCTTCAAACTTCACATGCAGTCTTGATTCCTGTAGCTACATCAAACATCCTTCAGTTCCTGCAAGACTGCATTCCACTCCCACCATGCCACACTTTTGTGCAAATCTTGCTCCTTGGAACATCCTCCACTTTATCCTGCGTCTTTTTTTCTTTTTTAAATTTGTGCTTAAATTTTTGTGGGTACAAAATAGGTGTATATATTTATGGGATACATGAGATATTTTGATACAGGCATTCAATGTGTAGTAATCCCATGAGGGTAAACAGGTATCCACCTCAAGCATTTATCTTTTCTTTGTGTTACAAACATTCTATTATACTCTTTTTATTATTTTAAATGTATAATAAATTATTGACTATGGTCACTCTGTTGTGCTATCAAATATTAGATCTTATTCATTTTATCTAACTATATTTTGCACCCATTAACTATCTCCAGTCTCCCCCAACCCCCACATCCCTACTACCCTTTCCAGCCTCTGATAATCATCCTTCTACTCTTTATCTTCATGATTTCAATTGTTTTAATTTTCGGCTTCCATAGATCAGTGAGAATGTGCAATGTTGTCTTTCTGTGCCTGGCTTATTTCATTCAGCATAATGACCTCCTCATATATGTTCATTCAGCATAATGACCTCTCATACATGTTGTTGCAAATGAAGACAGGATTTTATTCTTTTTTATGGCTGAATAGTACTCCATTGTGTATGTGTACCACATTTTGTTTATTGATTCATCTGTTGTTGGATACTTAGGTTGCTTCCAAATCTTGGCTACTGTGAATAGTGCTGCAATGAACATGAGAGTGCTGATATGTCTTTGATATTCTTTTGGGTATACATCTAGCAGTGGGATGGCTGGATTGTATGGCAGCTTCATTTTGTAGTTTTTTGAGGAACCTCCAGACTGTTCTAAGTGGTTGTACTAATTTTAATTCCCATCAGCATTGTGGGGTCCCTTTTCTCCAAATCCTCACCAGCGTTTGTTATTGCCTGTCTTTTGGATATAAGCCATTTTAAATGGGGTGAGATGATATCTCATTGTGGTTTTTATTTGCATTTCTCTGATGATCAATAACAATATTGAGCACCTTTTCATATGCCTGTTTGCCATTCATCACGACCAAGCAGGATTTATCCCAGGTATGCAAAAGATGGTTCAGCATATGCAAATCAATCAATGTGATACATCATATCAACTAAACGAAGTACAAAACCATATGATCATTTCAGTTGATGCTGAAAAGACATTTGATAAAATTCAACATCCTTTAATGATACATACGCTCAAAAAAACTAGGTATAGCAGCTACTCCTGCTCTTTTTTGGTTTCCATTGCCATGGAACATCTTTTCCCAGGCCTTTATTTTCAGTCTGTTTGTGTCTTTATAGGTGAAGTATGTTTCTTGTAGGCAACAGATCACTGGGTCTTGTTTTTTTATCTATTCAGCCACTCTGTCTTTTGATTGGAGACTAGTCCATTTACAATCAATGTTGTTATTAATAAGTAAGAACTTACTCTTGGCATTTTGTAATTTGTCTTCTAGTTGCTTTGTAATCCTCTCTTCCTTCCTTCTTTCCTTCTTGTCTTCCTTTTAGTGAAGATGATTTTTCTCTTGCGGTATGTTTTGATTTCTTGTGTTTTTGTGTGTGTGTGTGTTTCTGTTGTACGTTTTTTGTTCAGGTTATCATGAGGCTTGCAACTAATAAGTTATAACCCATTATTTTAAACTGATGACAACTTAACACTAATTGCATAAACAAACAAGCACAGAGTACTTTTTGGTGACTGCAGCCACGTCTGCATTAGGGGACACTCCAAACTCAGTAATGCTGTGGCTCTTTCAAACTTGTAGAGGTATCACCTTGGTTATCTTGGGTAAAATCTGGAAAAATTTTCTGAATTACCAGGCAGAGACCCATTGTTTTCCTTCCTTTCTTCCAAACAAATAGAGTTGAGGGGTGCCACAATCAACCCTGTGGCCACCATCACTGTGATTGTTTTGGGTCAGACCTGAAGTCAGCACAGCACTGGGTCTCATCCAAGGCCTGCAGTAAACACTGCCTGGCTATTGCCTTTGTTTGTTCAAAGCTCTAGGGCTCTACAATCAGCAGGTAGTAAAGCCAGCCAGGCTTGTGACCTTCCTTTCAGGGCAGAGAGATCCCCCTGACCCTGCGGTGTGTCCAGAGATGCCATCTGGGAGCCAGGGCCTGGAGTTGGAGACCTTAGGAATCTACCTTGTACTCTATTCTACTGCAGCTGAGCGGCACCCCAGCCACAAGACAAAGTCCTTCCCACTCTTCCCTCCTCTTCTCATAAGCAGAGGTATCTCTTCCTATGGCCACCACTGCCCCAGGTCTGCAGTGAGTTCTGCATGGCTACCACTGGTGTCCACTCAAGGCCCAAGAGCTCTTCAATATGCTTGTGGTGAATGATTCCAGGCCTGGGACTCTCCCTTCAGGGCAGTGTGTGCTTCCCTGTGGCTCAGGGCAAGTCTAGAAATTCCATCCAGGAGCCAAGGCCTGGAATCAGGAACTCTGGAAGCCTGCTTAGTGTTCTACCCCACTGTGGCTGAGCTGATACCTAAGCTGCAAGACAAAGTCCTATTAAGTCTTCCCTCTGCTTTTCTCAAGCACTCAGAGTCTCTCCTCATAGCTACCACAACTGCCAACATGCTGGGTGACACCTGAAGCCAGCACATCTCAGAGTCTCACTGAAGGCCCACAGCGTGTACTATACCTGGTTGCTGTTGCTGCTTATTCAGGGCCCAGTGGCTCTTTAGTCAGCAAATAATGAATTCTCCCAGGACTTGGTTTTTCCCTTTAAGGCAGTGGGTTTCCTTCTGGCCTAAGGTATGTCTAGAAATGTCATCTGGGAGCTAGGGCCTGGGATGGGGGCCTCAAAACTCTACCTGGTGCCCTGTCCTATTGTGACTGAACTGGTGTCCGAATTGCATGAGAAAAACCTCTTTATTGTTTCCTCCAGCAATAGAAAAGAGTTTCTCCTAGAGCATGAGCTGTACTGCCTGGGGTTGGGGGAGGGGTGGTGCAAGCACTCCCTTGGCTGCCCCACCTGGTGTCTTCCTGGGTCACATAGACCCCAACTTCAATTGTTCCAGGCCCAGCACAGCACCAGGACTTGTCTAGGAGCTCTAGACCTTGTGGCCTGACTGCTTTGCAAGTTTATTTAGGTCCTCAGGGCACTTTTAGCCTGTGGTGGGCAAGGCTTGCCAGAACTCAGGTTCTAACCACTGGAATGGACAATTCCTCTTTGGCTGGTGCTGGCCTATATGGTCCTTCTGTGGGTGCCGGGTGAGCTCTGCCCTGTGCTGCTTTCCACCTGTGACAGGGCAGCACTTGGTTCCAATGCAAAGGCCCATAGTCACTGCACTCTCCCTCCCCCAAGCCTAAAGATTCTCTCTCTCTGCCACGCCAC
This sequence comes from Homo sapiens, assembly GCF_000001405.40. Lineage (NCBI taxonomy): Eukaryota > Metazoa > Chordata > Mammalia > Primates > Hominidae > Homo > Homo sapiens. The sequence continues at coordinate 183,472,284 of NC_000002.12, forward strand.
CATTGCTGGTGGATATGGGAGGGGTGCCATTGACTATTCAAGACTGTTTTTCCTACCCTTGTCAGTGACTCTTTCAGTGATATATGTTTAAAATCAGGTACTGTGATTGCTCAGCTGATATTTCGTTCTTATGAAGGTTTTTTTTTTTTCTTTTTAATTTCGTGGATAGTTTTAAAATTTGGTTTTCCTGCAGGGAGGATGACGGATAGAGGCTTCTAGTTGTCTATCTTGCTCTACCCTTTCTCCCTAACCTGCATCTTTTGTGATCTGTACTTGTGTAATTTACCTATTTTATCCTCATTTCTCTGAAAATGGCAATGTATACAATACTGGTTTATAATAAATATTATCTGATAAATAAATGAATCTTGTCAAATAAATACTATCTAGCCAGAGAGGGAATTGTAGATACTAAAAAGAAAGCCAGTGAAAATCTGTGGTTTCTGTTGTATTGGTCATGCAGCTGTTGTTGACAGCTCTCTTCTCATCCTGCCTTGGTTATTTACTACCAGCATAAATAATGCAGTGTTCATTTTTTGATCTTTCTTTTCTCATTTGTGTTTTATTGATATATATTTTTTTCCAAGGCAGAGAAAAAAATAAAGCCCAGGATCTTGAAGATTAGTGGCTCAGTCTTCTAAGCAATGATGGAAAAGAAAGATAGCATTTCAGGAAGAAAAAGCTACTTGTAACAGCAAATGATTTTGCAAGGGAGATATATATTATATATATAGATATAGATATAGATATATATATAGATATAGATATATATTAGATAATATATTCATTATGGGAAAGAATTAAGATTGTTAGACACAATTGGCCAGTTTAAAGCCCTGTCTATCACTAGGGCTACATTGAGAAACCTACTGTGGTTACCCTGATAGTACACACAAAGATAAAGGGAATTTAATGCACTTAGATACAAATAAGAACAATAAATTTTTTTCTCAAATCAAAAGGAAAAGAATGAAAATGAATTCGTTTGGCAGCCTACCAGCTATGAGAATTAGAGTTTGGAATGAAACTAAGATAATTAGTGTATGTGTTTGGTTACAATAAAGATGCAGTAATTTAGCACTAATCCTGAAAAAGTGATACAATATTCTAATGTGAAATCAGGAGAGGGATGCTAAATATTGACAGGAGGACCAAAAGGGAGTAGGAAATGAAGTAAACCTAGTACCATAAGGTTAAAAAACACAAAAATTCTTAAATGATGGTTTAGAAATCATAAAATTAAAAAGCAGGTAAGCCATTCTTTCCATCCTTAAATCTTATGTTTGTAACATTCTTGTAACTTTAAGCTATTCAATCGCAGTTCTTGTTCATTGCCTGCTTTCCCCTGACCTTTAAGGAATCTGTGATTACAACTCTGCCTCTATATTTTCCCATTTTAGAGCTACCCAGTAGAGCTGTTCTTTAGTCAACATAAGGCCTTTATTTGTTATTCTGACTTTCCAGAATTTCATCTGTGACCCCCCTTTTTTTCCTAGAAAAATCTGTTTCAACCTTTGGCATCAAAGTTAATCTTTCTGTGGCCAGTAAAAGTAGGAAAGTGTCAGATTCCATTCACCTTGATCTCCTTGAAAATCCAGCTATCTCATTTACCTATTTATCATCCTTAAAGTAGAAGGTAATTGGTGCTTTTATTTTTATTAAGATTCACCTTTCATTGATCATTTAAAGAGCATCAAAATAGATAGTATCATTGTCTTTTTGGGATGTGAGGTCAACAAGTTGTTACATGGCTGGCACTATGCTAACATTGTATATTTTATTTTTTTACTTGCTTGGAAAATTTCTGACCTCATTTGAATAATGAGAAAGAAACCTTAATAAGAGCTTTTAAAATGCATTTTATTTAATATTCTGATTCATACATTCACCAAATTAATATCCAATTCAAAAGGAAAACATGTCCAATTTTTCAGTTAAGTCCGATGGACCTTTACTGGGTATTAATCTTATTTAGTTTTGCTCTAAGTAATTTGATGTGTTTTCTTCGGAAACTTTGGACATTGCATTTAAATGATACTGTGAAGTTCCTTGTGGAACTTAGGGAAGAAGGTTCTAAATGTTACCAATCAAACCTGTCTATGAACCTTTTTACAACTGTTGTTCATGCTATCAATTATACTTGGTGACCCAGGAGATGCTGCTCTTTCTTTCACATTTAACCATTCAGGGGTATATAGATATAGTAGTCAGCAAGCTTGCCTGCACAGCCATTAGCCGTGGTCTGGTGCAGATTGCTGCTCCTACCCCCACTGGCCACTCTCTTTGAGCCAACTGGCCAAGAGCGGTCACCGTGACACAGATCAACCATTCAGACTCATGGAGGTATAAGTTTGAATTGTCAGATTCTCTCCTTGGTGCTTTGTATTAGGAAATATGAGTAATTCTAACAATTCAAAATGGAGGATAAAACAAAAAGGATGCAAAAAAGAGAACGGCATACTAGGGTTGGGGTCATGAGGATTTATGGAAAACAAGTTATAATGTATCACATTTTCCCAAAGTTGGAATGAGAAACCGTGTGACCTCTGGGTATGGCTGAGAGGGCAGTTTCCTGAGTTTCCTTGTTTGATGAAGGTCCAATTCCAGTTTCAGTTTATTTAGCTTTACAACTCCCCTCCCCCATCCCCAATTCTTTTGTTACCTGAGGTAACTTACGTTCCTTGTAGTCAAAAAATTGACCAGAAAGAAATGAAATACTTGTCATTTAGACCTTCCTCCCTGAGCAAGATATCAATGCATTCCATCTTGTGATGGTGCTCTGGGCTTGTGAACTGTGCATGCCGTCAGTGTGTGCTGTGAACAAGGATCTGACAGGCGGCCATTATCCATTCAGGGAATGTCATGCTCTTTCTGCTTTCCCTTGGACAGCTGGTCCCCAAAGAATTGTAGCACTGTCAAAATTTAAACATTGCCCAGCTCTTTTAAAATGTCCTTATGTGAGAAACATGCGGTCTCTTTGCACTTAATAGGCACTCTAGCTATTTTGGAATTGAAATGAATTGCATGTGTATCGAATGGTTAGTTTCCCCTGTGTGAGGAAAATAACACCAGTTGAACTTGTTTTTGGTTAGTGGAGGGACAAAGGCTCTACTTTGTCCCCATCCTGACCTCGAGGTTCCAGGCTTGCACCTTGCTTCCTAGAAAGGTAAAAGCCCATATAGCTCAAGATACTTGGAATTATTTGCGGGGGAGGTGTTGTCCTCTCTAAAGTCTCTAGAATGTGGACTTGCTGGTTTTTTCCTGTCTCCTGACAGTCCATAGCCTTTTGTCAGTGTTGGTATTCCTTAAGCCTTGGACGGCGAATATTTGTAATACATCAAAACTTCTGGGCATAGGAAAGATAGTACTAAACGTGCAGAATGAATCAGGTTGCAATTATATATAGTCAGCCCTCCATGATTCTGCACCCACAGATTTTACCAAATGCAGATTGAAAATATTTTTTAAAAAACAATAAAAGTAATATAATAAAAAATATAAATAAAATCTCTTTACATAGCATTTACATTGTATTAGGTATCATAAGTAATCTAGAGATAATTTAAAGCATATGAGAGAATGTGCTTTAGGTTATATGCAAATACTCATTGGTTTTGGTATCTGAGGGTTGATCCTAGAATCAATACTCTGGGAATAGTGAGGGACAACTATATGAGCATTTTTATTAAGTTTACAAACTCCATTCAAGCTTGTGAGTTTCTTTCTTTCTTTTTCTTTTTTACTTAGGAGGATCCCATTTTCTAGGTGCATTTATTTCATGAAGAGAGGCATCTGGTAAATATGTAAAGAAGGGTATAAATAATGCCCTTAAGTAGGCATTGTGCTTTATCTCATTTAATCCTTGTAAGAATACTACCAAGTAGATATTCTTACTTGTATTTAGTAATGAAAAAATTGAGATCTAGAGTTCTTGATGAACATTGCTCAAGGTCTACTAAGAGACAGATTTGAAACCACATCTGACTTATTTCAAAGCCTGTAATAATTTCACCCTGTTACAAAGATATTGGAATACAAATAACTCATCCCAAAATTAGTTTAAAGTGCCTTTAGAACTTCCATTCAGTTTCTTTTTTTACGTAAAATTGATAAAAAGAATAAAAACTCATCTTCACCAATATTTCATTTCTTAACAAAAAAGAGAAAATTTCAAAACTTGGGGACATTGGTCATGAGTAACAGCAGGCTTCCAAGGGTATAACTCATTGTTCCTGAACAGGTGGTAGTAGAAATGATTTTTCTGTTGCCTTAGCTCAAAGTAATTGCATATCTATCTATTTATCAGAGCAATTAATCAGAGACTCAAGTAATCAAAGCAGCAGCCAGAATTCCCATGTTGGACTTCTATGTTATATTCACCAGTTCTCAGCACTTAAAATGATTTCTTACCCAAGAAGTCTAAATCACATGACCAAGTATCAGCCATGCTAAGGATGATTTACCCATCCCTGAGAATGCATTTCAGATGACTTTGCAGGAAATATAAAGAAAAATGATTACAGTAAAGATATTTTTAAACCAAAAAGCATTCAATAGTTTATATAGAATGGCACTCTTGGGCCCTACATTTATAGGGTACAAATTATGTTTTTTTTAGGAGCAATGGGTATAATATTCAATTAATTTAATAAAAAAGAAAGCTTTTTTGAAACCATCTTTGTTTAAAACTGTACACTTTTATGTGACTCAGAATTTGCATAATGACCATTTTCCTTAGCTGTCTGTAAATTGGTAGGAAAAAAATGACAAACCCATGGCTTCTAGGAACTGATATTCAAAAATCAGAATTGTCTTTGACCAGAATGTTGAACTGTAGGATTCTGAATGGGAAATGGTTTTTAGAGAGTCAAAATAAGTTATAATATTAAGCAGTAATTAAAAATTCAATTATTTAGTTGCCTAAAGCATTCATCAGAGTCAAATTGAGGTTGAAAGAACTTGAATTTTGGAAGCTGGGTGCAAGGCTTGAAAGGCTACTGTAAGGTGTCACCTCATGAGTATATTGTGTTAGGCCTGCACAATGTTTTGAAATTAAAACACAACGAGAGGATTTCACATAAAAATCAGGAGTTTTGCTTTTCTTGAAAAAAAAGCAAAAGATGTGGCAATACAGGGCCTATTGTGCCTTTCAGCTGAGGTGAGTGCTTTTGAGTTCTCCACATTCCCTTCCACTCAAATAATGTATATGCGAATTCTCCTCCACAGCTGACTTAACTCATTTAAAGTTACATGACTAGCCCTGTAGGCACTTGAGTTTCAACCCATATTTAAGGCCTGCTTACTGCTAGTTCCCAGAACACACAGTTATTCATGACTTCTGTTTTTCAAGACATTTTCTCAATCTTCAGGAGATTATTATTAATAGTATTATAATTTGGCTCTATTAATATCTTAGACACTTTTTGAAATCATACTGAGCCCTTGATGTGAAGAATATATAAAACAGAAAATAGTGACATTAAAATTATGAAATTTGGTAGTATTTTCTGTTGTGAGAGATTTATACATTGAGATATGTTTGTATGTATATGTTGGGACCGTTTGGACTATAGGAGGAGAATGCAACAAAAAATCTCAGTTCTACAAAGCAATTAATTACTAAAAGGTTGAGAATGCAACAGGTAATTCTATGCTATAGAATTACTCATCCTCCCAATGCCCACCTTCTCCTCCCTGCAAAATTAAATAAGGCCAAAGCAATGCATAATAATGAGATGCTGAAATAAAAAGTGTATCCCACTATATGTTTGGCATATTAGAACTAGATATAGACTAGGATAGGGTTTTCAGGTTTAGGAGATAAAAAATACAGGACACATAATTAAATTTGAATTTCAGATAAAAAACAAATACAAGTTGAGCATCTCTAATCCAAAATTCCAAAATTCATAATGCTCCAAAATCTGAAAGATTTTGAACACCTACATCATGCCACAAGTGGAAAATTCCACACCTGACCCCACATGTTAGGGTGCAGTCAATATGCAGTCACAACTTTGTTTGACGCAAAAAAGAAATATTGTATAAAATTACTTTCAGGCTATGCATAGAAGAAACATAAGTGCTCATGGATAGGAAGGATCACTATCATAAAAATGACCATGTTGCCCAAGTAATTTATAGATTCAGTGCTATTCTCATTAAAGTACCATTGATATTCATCACAGAATTAGAAAAAACTCCCCTCCCTCCCCCTCCCCCTCCCTCTCCCTCTCCATGGTCTCCCTCTCCCTCTCCATGGTCTCCCTCTCCCTCTCCCTCTCCCTCTCTCTCCACAGTCTCCCTCTGATGCCGAGTGGAGGCTGGACTGTGCTGCCGCCATCTCGGCTCACTGCAACCTCCCTGCCTGATTCTCCTGCCTCAGCCTGCCCAGTGCCTGGGATTGCAGGCCCGCGCCGCCATGCCTGACTGGTTTTTGTATTTTTTGGTGGAGACGGGGTTTCGCCGTGTTGGCCGGACTGGTCTCCAGCTCCTGACCGCAAGTGATCTGCCCGCCTTGGCCTCCCGAGGTGCTGGGATTGTAGACGGAGTCTTGCTCACTCAGTGCTCAATGTTGCCCAGGCTGGAGTGCAGTGGTGTGATCTCAGCTCGCTACAACCTCCACCTCCCAGCCACCTGCCTTGGCCTCCCAAAGTGCCGAGATTGCAGCCTCTGCCCGGCCGCCACCCCGTCTGGGAAGTGAGGAGCCCCTCTGCCCGGCTGCCCAGTCTGGGAAGTGAGGAGCGCCTCTTCCCAGCCGCCATCCCGTCTGGGAAGTGAGGAGCATCTCTGCCCGGCCGACCGTCCTCTGAGATGTGGGGAACGCCTCTGCCCCGCCGCCCCGTCTGGGATGTGAGGAGTGCCTCTGCCTGGCTGCGACCCCGTCTGGGAACTGAGGAGTGTCTCTGCCTGACCGCCACCCCATCTGGGAGGTGAGGAGTGTCTCTGCCCAGCCGCCCCGTCTGAGAAGTGAGGAGCCCCTCTGCCAGGCAGTCGCCCCATCTGGAAAGTGAGGAGTGTCTCTGCCTGGCAGCCGCCCCGTCCAGGAGATGGGGGGCAGCCCCCGCCCGGCCAGCCGCCCCGCCCAGGAGGGAGGTAGGGGGCAGCCCCCGCCCGGCAGCCGCCCTGTCCGGGAGGTGGGGGGCGCCTCTGCCTGGCCGCCCCATCTGGGAAGTGAGGAGCCCCTCTGCCCGGCCGCCACCCCGTCTGGGAGGTGTACCCAACAGCTCATTGAGAATGTACCATGATGACGATGGCAGTTTTGTCGAATAGAAAAGGGGGGAAGTGTGGGGAAAAGAAAGAGAAATCGGATTGTTACGGTGTCTGTGTGGAAAGAAGTAGACATAGGAGACTCCATTTTGTTCTGTACTAAGAAAAATTCTTCTGCCTTGGGATGCTGTTAATCTATAACCTTACCCCCAACCCCATGCTCTCTGAAACATGTGCTGTGTCCACTCAGGGTTAAATGGATTAAGGGCGGTGCAAGATGTTCTTTGTTAAACAGATGCTTGAAGGCAGCATGCTCGTTAAGAGTCATCACCACCCCCTAATCTCAAGTACCCAGGGACACAAACACAGGGGAAGGCCGCAGGGTCCTCTGCCTAGGAAAACCAGAGACCCTTGTTCACATGTTTATCTGCTGACCTTCCCTCCACTATTGTCCTAGGACCCTGCCAAATCCCCCTCCCCGAGAAACACCCAAGAATGATCAATAAATACTAAATAAATAAATAGATAAATAAATAACAAGGAAAAAATGAATAAATAAATAAAAATCCAAAGTAAGCATACACACACAAAAAAGATTTATTACAGCATGATATGCAAAACTAGAAAAAAGAAAAACATTTTTACTTATTTAAATAATGATTTTTTTTTTTTTTGACAGGGTCTTGTTCTGTAGCGCAGGCTGGAGTGTAGAGGTGAAATCATGGCTCATTTCAGCCTCAATTCCCTGGGCTCAAGTGATCCTCCTGCCTCAATCTCTTGTATAGCAAGGACTACAGGCATGGGCCACCACGTCTGGTTTATTTTTTGTAGACACAGGGTCTTGTTAATGTTGCCCAGGCTGGTCTTGAACTCTTGGCTTTAAGTGATTAAGTGATCCTCTCACCTTGGCCTCCAAAGTGTGGGATTGTAGGTATGAGCCACCACACCTGGTGTCTTTTGTTTTTTTTTTCTCTTGACCTCTGCTATTGAAAGCCAACTAAACATTTGTATTTAGAATGTTTAAATAAAACTTCAACCATAAATGGATTCAAAACATGGCAATTATGCATGTGCTAAATGGATTTGTATATTGGAATATTATGGAACCATGGAAAGTACATTACAAAAATGATAAAAAGTGCTTATTTTATAAGTAAAATAAAGTAGGACATAAATTTTTAGTACAAAAAAAAGAATTAGAAAAACTACTTTAAAATCCATATGACACAAAAAAGAGCCTGTATAGCCAAGACAATCCTAAATGAAAAGAAAATACTGTGGGTATCATGCTACCTGACTTCAAACTATACTACAAGGCTATAGTAACTATACTATACTACCAACTTCAAACTATACTACAAGGCTATAGTAACCAAAACAGCATGGTACTGGTACAAGGACAGGCACATAGACCAATGGATCAGAACAGAGATCTCGGAAATAATACCGCACATCTACAACTATCTGATTTTTGACAAACCTGACAAAAGCAATGGGGAAAGGATTCCCTATTTAATAAATGGTACTGGGAAAACTGGCTAGCCATATGTGGAAAATTGAAACTGGACCCCTTTCCTACACCTTATACAGAAATTAACTCAAGATGGATTAAAGACATAAATGTAAAACCCAAAACCCTAGAAGAAAATCTAGGCAATACCAGTCAACAGAAAGATTTTATGACAAAAACATCAAAAAGCGATTTCAACAAAAGCAAAAATTGACAAATGGGATCTAATTAAACTAAAGACCTTCTGCACAGCAAAAGAAACTATCATAAGACTGAAGAGACAACATACAAAATGGGAGAAAATTTTTACAATCAATCCATCTGACAATGGTCTAATATCCAGAATCTACAAGGAACTTAAATTTACAAGAATAAAACAAATAACCCCATTAAAAAGTGGGTAAAGGGCATGAACAGTTGCTTCTCAAAAGAAGACATTTATGTGGCCAAAAAACATGAAAAAAAGCTCAACATCACTGATCATTAGAGACATGCAAATAAAAATCACAGTGAGATATCATCTTATGCCAATCCGAATGGCAGTTATTAAAAAGTCAAGAAACAACAGATGTTGATGAGGCTATGGAGAAGTAGGAATGCTTTTACGCTGTTGGTGGGAATGTAAATTAGTTCAACTATTGTGGATGACAGTGTGGTAATTCCTCAAAGGCCAGAACCAAAAATAGCATTTGACCCAGCCATCCCATTACTGGGTACATAACCAAAGGAATATACATCATTCCATTATAAAGATACATGCATAAGTATGTTCATTGCAGCAGTATTCACAATAGCAAAAAAATGAAATCAACTCAAATGCCCATCAATGATAGATGGATAAAGAAAATGTGGTACATGTACACCATGGAATACTATGCAGCCATTAAAAGGAATGAGAGCATGTCCTTTGCAGGGACATGGATGGAGCTGGAAGCCATTTTCCTCAGCAAACTTACACAGAAACAGAATGCCAAACACTGCATGTTCTCACTTATAAGTGGGAGCTGAACAATGAGAACACAGGACGCAGGGAAAGGAAAAACACACACTGGGTCCTGTTGGCGGCAGTGGGGTGGGGGGTAGGCCAAGGAAAGTGAGAGCATCAGGATAAATAGCTAATGCATATGGGGCTTAATACCTAAGTGATGAGTTGATAGGTACAGCAAAACACCATGGTACACATTTACCTATGTGACAAACCTGCACATCCTGCACATGTATCCAGGAACTTAAAAGAAAATAAAAACAAAAACAGAGAAATCACCCCCCCCCCCGCCAAAAAAAAAACATAACTGAATTTTGTGTTTAGACTTGTTTCCCTAAATATCTCAATACGTATATGCAAGTATGTATATGTAAATATACATAGAGAATATACGTAGAGAATATGTATTCTGCAGCCATTGGATGAAATGTTCTGTTAATATCTATTAGGCCAGTTTGATGTATAGTGTGGATTAAGTCTGATGTTTGTATATTTTCTATCTGGAAGATCTGTCCAATGCTGAAAGTGGCATTTTGAATCCTCTAGCTATTGTACTGGGGCCTGTTTCTCTCTTCAGCTCTGGTAATATTTGCTTTGTATGTCTAGGTGCCCCAGTGTTGGGTGTATATATTTACAATTGTTATATCTTCTTGAATTGACCCCTTCATCACTATATAATGACTATCTTTGTCTCTTGTTGTAGTTTTTGTCTTGAAACCTATTTTGTCCAAGTATAGCTGCTTGTGCCCTTTTTTGGCTTCCATTGGCATAGGATATCTTTTTCCATCCCTTTATTTTCAGTCTATGTCTTTCTAGGTGAAGTATGTTTCTTGTAGGCAACAGATGATTGGTTCTTGTTTTTTCTATTTTTAAAAAAAAATTCATTAGCTACTGTATGTCTTTTTATTGGAGACTTTAGTCCTTTTCCATTCAATGATTTTATTGATAAGTAAGGACTTACTCCTGGCATTTTGTTATTTGTTTTCTAGTTGTTTTGTTGTCTTCTCTTTCTTCTTTCCTTCCTTCCTGTCTTACTTTTAGTGAAGGTGATTTTCTCTCATAGTGTGTTTTAATTTTTTGTCAATCTGTTGTATGTTTTTAGATATGAAGTTACTATGGGGCTTGCAAATATTATAACCCATTATTTTAAACTGATGATTGCATAAATGAATTAAGCAAAAAGGAAACTATAAAAAACTGTACACTTTAACTTTCTTGTCCCACCTTTTAAGGTTTGTTGTCTCTAATTATATTTTATTGTTCTGTCTATATCCACAAAAGTTGTTGTAATTATTATTTTTGATGAGTTCATCTTTTCCTTTTTCTAATGATATGAGTTTACACATCACAATTACAGTGTTATAATATTCTGTGTTTTTCTGTATTCTTACTATTACCAGTGAGTTTTGTACCTTCAGATGACATTTATTATTGCTCATTAATGTCCTTTTCTTTCAGATTGAAGAACTACTCTTAATATTTCTTGTAAGACAGGTCTGGTATTGATTAAATCCTCCAGCTTTTGTTTGTCTGGGAAAGTCTTTATTTCTCCTTTGTGTTTGAAGGATCTTTTTGCTGGATATACAATTCTAGGGTAAATTTTTTCTTCTTTCAGCACTTTAAATATCTCATGCCACTCTCTTCTGGTCTGTAAGGTTTCCATGGAGAGGTCTGCTGCCAGATGTATTGGGGTCCCATTGTATGGTATTTGTTTCTTTTCTCTTGCTGGCTTTCAGGATCCTTTCTTTATCCTTGAACTTTGGGAGTTTGATTACTAAATGGCTTGAGGTAGTCTTCTTTGGGTTAAATTCACTTGGTGTTCTATAATTAGAGGATACTTTCTGTTTTATTCATTCATTCAATAGCTTTTGAAGTACAAGTCGTTTTTGGTTACATGGTTGAATTCTATAGTGGTGAATTCTGAGGTATTATTGCACCCATCACCCAAACAGTGTACACTGTACCCAGTATGTAGTCTTCTATCTCTCACCCCCTGTTTACCTTCCCACTGAGTCCCTAAAGTCCATTATATTACTCTGTATGTCTTTCTATCTTCATAGCTTAGCTGCTACTTGTTAGTGAGACCATACAGTATTTGGTTTCCCATTCTGGAGTTATTTCACTTAGAATAGTGGCCTCCAGCTGCATCCAAGTTGCTGCAAAAGACATTTTGTTCCTTTTAATGCCTGAGTAATACTCCATGGTATATATATATACCACATTTTCTTTGTCCATTCTTTGATCAATGGGCACTTAGGTCGGTTCCATATCTTTGCAATTGCAAATTGTGCTGCTATAAAAATGTGTGTACATATGTCTTTTTCATAGAATGATTTCCTTTCCTCTGGGTAGATACCCAGTAGTGGGATTGCTGGATTGAATGGTAGATCTACTTTTAGTTCTTAAGGAATCTCCATACTGTTTGGCATAGAGGTTGTACCTTCCTACCAGCAGTGTAAAAGTGTTCCCTTTTAACCACATCCACAGCAACATCTATTGCTTTTTTGACTTTTTAATTATGGCTATTTTTGCAGGAGTAAGGTGGTATCTTATTGTGGTTTAAATTTGTATTTCCCCGGTGATTACTGATGTTAAATATTTTTTCATCTTTGTTGGCCATTTGTATGTCTTCTTTTGAGAAATGTCTATTCATGCCCTTTGCTCATTTTTTTGATGGGGTTATTTCTTTGTTTTCTTCTTGCTGATTTGTTTGAGTTTCTTGTAGATTCTGGATACCAGTCCTTTGTTAGGTGCATAGTTTGCAAACATTGAGAAGGCACTTTTTGATACTCTAAATATCAGGCAATCAGGCAAGATTCTGGCTGGTAGATATTGGAAAGTTTTCAGGTTTTATGGGTGTGATCATTAATATTGGGTGTCAACTTGATTGGATTAAAGGATGCAAAGTATTGTTTCTGTGTGTGTCTGTGAGGGTGTTGCCAAAGGAGATTAATATTTGAGTCAGTGGACTGGGAGAGGCAGACCCACCCTCAGTCTGTGTGGGCACCATCTAATCAGATGCCAGCATAGCTAGAATAAAGCAGGGAGAAGAATGTGGAAGGACTTGACTTGCTGAGTCTTCTGACCTTCATCTTTCTCCTGTGCTGGATGGTTCCTTCTATCAAACATAAGACTCCAAGTTCTTCAGCTTTTGGACGCTTGCACTTACACCAGTGGTTTGCCAGGGGCTCTTGGGCCACAGACTGAAGGCTGCACTGTTGGCTTCCCTACTTTTGAGATTTGGAACTTGGACTGGCTTCCCTGCTCCTCAGCTTGTAGATGGCCTATTGTGGGACTTCATCTTGTGATTGTGTGAGTCAATACTCCTTAATAAACTTCCCTTTATATATACATCTATCCTATTAGTTCTGTGCCTTTAGAGAACCCTGACTAATACAATGGGCATATGTTTTAAAGTCCTAGCTGGGAAGATAATAATAATGACAATGGTATCTAACACGTGAGCTCTAGTATATACCAGACATTGTTCTGAATGTTATAGGTACCTTAACATGTTTAATTTAACAACCTGTTGTGATAGATACTATTTTGTATCACCTTTTATAGGCAAGGAGACTTGAGCACCAGAAAGTAAACTGATTTTCCCAAGTGACAGTTGAAATGACAGAGCCTGGGTTTGTATTTCATTACTTACTTATTGGGTAGGTGATGGAGTATTAGGCAAATCATGGTAATTATTTATTGAATGCTAAGTATTTTGCACACATGTCATGTAATTTTTACAACTCAGTGAGGTAAACATTATTGTCAAAGATAAAATGGTTTTTTTAGGAGCAGAAATTATTAGGAGCACTTTTAATAATACAGATTTCTTAGAAGTCATTGCAGTGGAGAGAAGCTCAAAGTGTATTCCTTGTCAAACAGCAGAAATGACACTAACTTTTATGCTTTTAGAGAAAAGAAGACATAGAGAGATGTGAAAAGTAGAAAGAAAAACATACAAAAAGGGCACATTCATATATATTTTAAATGATTTGCAGTAGGTACAGTTTAAATCTATCAATATTTCCAACACCAGTCATGTCTTATAACTCCATATTTTACAAAGGTCAAAAATCTCCACAACATAGTTGTATGTATGTATAAGTGTACACACACACATACACAAATAACACATACACAAACCCCATCACATATGTGAGAGTGTGTTATATATATACACACTTTAATATATTTTGGTATGTATTTTTAAAATATATAGAGTAATATAAAGATAGCTCTGTAAAACTCTGACAGTGCTCTTATCTTCTTGGGTCTTGGATACTAAGAAACTTCAATGCTGATGAGGAAGAAAAGAGAGGAGTATTAAAACTAGTTCAGTGATCATAATTCAGTTTAACAATGAACTTGGTAATCCAAAATGATATTGTTAATTTCTAGGGTAGAGACAGTATACTACAGGGCCTCTGGCTAAATAAAAAGTTCATGTGGCTTCCTCAGAATTTACTTTTATTAAAGCTGACTTATTTCCAAAAAGTAGAATCATATTTCTGATTTGATATTTTCCATCTCAAAGAGCAGGCTTTTATTATTTTGGTTTGCCATTCTGCTTTAGGATCTCCTGAAATTTTCAGGTGACTCTCCTCTTTAGGCCAGACTCTAATTCTTTTAATTGCAAAGAGAAGTAAATACCAGGATGCCAACAGACAAAAACTAGTCAAAAAGTTTCATGTGACCTTTTGGTCTCTATTTTAAATGCAATGCTCAAAGCTTGCTTTCAGCTCTCTGCCAGAAAGTGGAAGATTTCAAGAGTCTGAGGAGCTTGTGTGGAGCTTGCATTAAATGCAAATGTTTGCAATGGAAAATTAGAGGGGCAATATAAAAATTTATTGCTGGACTATTGTGGAGAATTTCTGGAGCATCCTTTTCCAGCAACTTTTTACAACCTTTCCAGGGTCCAGAGAAGGCAGAGGGTGTGGCTGATGAAGAAATCTTCTGAGACCCTCTAGGTCTTAATCCTATTTGCCCATTGTTTTCAAATAAGGGCAAAATGCAATGCCTTAAATAAAAAGAGCAAGCTTTAGCTTAGATAGATTGAGGCAACTGGTATGCTTAGTCTATTTTCCATGCCTTGTAACAGAATACTTGAAACTGGGTCATTTATAAGGAGACATAATTTTTTTTTTTTACTATTCTGGAGGCTGGGAAGGCTAAAGTTGAGGGGATGAATCTGGTGAGGGCCTTCTTGCTGGTGGTCTCAAAGCTGTGCAGAGCATCTCATGGTGAGGGGCCTGATGGTGCTTGCTGAGGTCTCTCTTCCTCTTATAAAGTCACCAGTTCACTCCCATGATAACCCATTATTCCAATAATTCATGAATGAATTAATCCATTCATGAGGGCAGAGCCCTCATGACCCAATAGCTTCTTAAAGGCCTTGTCTCTCAATACTGCTACATTGGGGGTTAAATTTCAACATAAGTTTTGAAGGGGACAAACATTTAAGACATTGCATATGTCATACGATTAAAGTATGCCTAAAATAGAGTGTGGGATTTAAAGAATGTTATTTATCCTCTCTGAGAGAAGCAGAGGAATGTTACACAAAAGAATACAGTGTTTTTCGTCAATGCATTTTTAAAATAGCAATCATGTTTACTAATATTTTCTTTTCCCTTAAGCAGCAAAGAAAAATTGTTATATGGTTTGACAATAGCAGGTTCAGTTCCACATGGGTACATGTTCCCCCCAAACTCCCTGTTACACGGTATTAATTGTTCTTGTTTTACTTATGAGAAAACTGAGGCTTAGAGAGGTTGAATTAATGTGCTCAAGATCGTATACCTAGTTAACAGTAGGACCCCTCAGATTTGTTCATTTCCAAGGCCATGTGCTTTTTTTATACATCATCTTCCAGGATACATTGCTCAGCTCTCTCAAACTCAGAGTCTTTACCAGTAAAATGGTGATGCCTACCTCGCTGGGTGGTGGTGAGGATTAGAAATAACATATGTAAACTTTCCAGTGCGGTGACTGCCAATGGTTATGTTCAAGAACTGATAGCTTTTTCTGTTATTAAGCAGGTGACAGGTGAGCGTCCCAACAAGTAGGCAGGCAGACACAGTGTTAAAAAAAAAGTCTAGTAGCAGGCACTGAACGGAGGTCTAGATAGGTACCCAGTAGATTTCAGGAAAGTCTGATAACAGTAAGAGCAATTAGCTCATTCTAGACTGAGAATGAACAAGGGAATGGCCTAGTTTTATAGAAAATGAAGGTAAGAACCTAGAAAGGCAATGACTAAGCTCACTCAATCCAGAATGAATTTGACCACTAGCACCTTTCGAGAACAATGGAACACACCCCTAAAGTGTGTAATTGCTAAATAATCGAAATGTTTAAATTTAAAATAATATATTTGCTAAAAAAAAAAAAGGGTCCAATCATTTTTTAAAGCCCAAGCATGAGAATAATAGAGGTCACTATTTATTTAAATTATGGTCTGGATTTGGAATTCAGATCATTTTTAATTTGTTATTTCACATGTAACCATGAGTAAAATTTTCTTAGTCTTTTTTATGCAGTGTAATACAGGTTTGACATTTTAAAAAAGTGATGATGTGTGACAGCAGCAAGAGTACTTTTGAATGTGACTATATGACCTGTCAAAGAATTTACATCAGGTCTTTCTGAAGTGCTGTCATTCTCATTCACAATACAGGCCCTCAAGCCCCTCACTGCCCCACAGTAAAGGCTGTCACCCAGTCAGCACCAATTTCATTCTTGTGTGATATTGCTGATGTGTATCATGCTCTTGTTAAATTCACTGTAGGTCAACTAACTATTTCTTCTAAGTGACTCAATCATAAAACATAAGGCCCACAAATACCTAGAGAGGTATAGTAACTGGCATGTTTATGATAGTTGCATTAGGAACCTGATGAATTGGGGTAGAATCTGAATTTAACTTGAATATCAGTAAGAATGAAATTGTAAAAATTCTAATAAATTTATTTTGTATATTTGTATATTTTTTCAAAGGAATTTGGTTAATTACTTTAAATTACTGGCTGTCTTTTGATTAAAATGGGTTGATTTTAGGGCTTACTAAAAGCATTCAAATTGCTGTTCATTCATTCGCTCATCAAACTTTCCTTGAGCCAAGTGCTGCACGAAGCACTGAAAATACAATAACAACTAAGATGTGGCCTCCATTTCCCTTGGCATTACAGACTATTAGAAGAACAAATATCATTGGATTAACAAAAATCAGCATAATTTTGTTCTTGATCCTGTAAAAAAAACTTTCCTAGCCTTGCTTGAAAGGTGTAATGTATTAGATGTGGAGTGCTTTGGAAGAGGTGTGGAAGAGCAGGAAAGTAATACTCTCTTTTTTGATTCCTGGTCTATATCACGCTGGTATCCTTCACTTGTATCTGAGTTTCCCTATATTTCTTAGTGAGATGGAGGCTCACTCTATTTGTGTTAGACTGAGGGTTGTTGTCTTTGGATTTTTTTTTTTCTTTCAGGAGGAATTGTTGCTACTCAGTCTCTGCATTCTCCACTTCTGTTAGGAGTCTCCCTTTATAGGTTCCTAACTGTAGGATCTGAAGCAATCCTTCTAAAATTATCTCTTGCCTTCCTGGAACTATAGAATAATCTAGAAAAGACATGAAACTGTGATCAAGTCTCCTTGACACTTGTGTGCATTTCTACTCTATTGCTCTTTTAATTGTTATTTAAGTATATTTTACTTTATGTATTACAGAATTAGTATCTGTTTTTTTCAGGGAAGAATCCAAAGAAAATGGAGAAGAGAAGAAACAGAGAATAAGTATTTGCAATGCTATCTTAATACCTAGATAGAACCACTTGATATTTTGTAGTCAGTTCCTCTGATCATCCTTAAGGCACTCATATACACTTTTTCTGGGAACAAAATTGGGATTTGGGTAGAAAAACATTTTAGAAGTAGAAATGCATGGGCAAAGAATATGAACATTTTGAAAACATATTACCAAATTCATCTCCTAAGTCAGTGTAGCAATTTATACTCCCACAAACACTGTGTAAAAATGGCTGCACTTTTGAATTTGCCAAGATGGGATATGATATTTTATTTTTTTTAAATGTCAGTTTGATAGGTGAGCTCTTTCCATTTTTATAGATTTTTAGTACAATTCTTGGGCCCTGATTGCCCATTGATTCTTTTTTAGCTATGGATCTTGGGATCCTTCAAATGTCTTGGTTAGCTCAAAATATTTTTCTATCTATGATGCTTATCCTCCTGCTTGCAGCTCCATCCTTTATGCAAAATTGCTCTGGCTCCTTGAAATTGGTTTGTTTTTGCTGTTGTTGGTAGTTATTTGTCTTATGGTTCTGTCTTATGCATGCATTAGATTTTTCTGTCACTTGCTCCTCTTTTATTCAGAAAGTGGCCTGCTTATAGGAAGGTCGCCAGAGAACATAGATAGGCTTCTACTCTATTCTTTCACTACTCTATTAACATGCCAGTATTCAATGCTCACCATCTTGCGCACAACATTCTAGGAAAGTACAGGGTCTGCCCCCACACTCATTCAGTTTATTGTTCAAGGCCCTCTGAATAGGAAAAATACAATATGATTATTTTGGTCAAGAAAACAGAAACCACTCTAAGTATTTCAGCCAGGATGGACCTTAATTTAGAGACTTACAAGCTTGCATAGCTGTTTGAAAGAATGGAGGAGCAAAGTTCAACAGCCATATAAAGTACACTGGAACGATGTTTTCTATATAGAGTATTTGTGTTTGATGATACCCTTGGTTAGACTTAGGTCATTTCCATAGTGAGTCTTCATCTATTTCTCTGCCTGTTTGCATCTTAGGAAGCGTTCAGTTCTTTTTATGAATCACTGCTTTCTGTTAGAGGCTGTAAGCGTTTTCATAAAGAATAATAGCCACTTCACCTCTGAATGGCACACTAAGGTTGGCCTAGCTGCTGGTATTGCCATTTTTCTGACAGGAAACAGTAATATTATGTTTCTTGAAGTTGCCTCCCTTTACACTGTTCCTTCAGTCTTCCTTGTTTGCTGTCACCTGACTCAAGTTGCTGAGCCACAGCTTCTTTATATCTGGCTGGGGTCCATCCTCTAATATACACCCTCTAATGGTGAGTTGCAGTGAGCGGAGCCTCAGTGCTGTGAACTGGCTGTGCTCCAGGCTTCAGCTGCTGACAAATCTTCCTTGGCATTTGATGTTAAGTATAGCTCTCAGATGATGACTACTTTTTTTGAAGCTGCATGCAACATTTTGATAGGCTGTTATTATAAACCAGAACCTAAGACTAGAAACAGGAATGGGAAGGAATTTTCCATGCAAAGAAGCCCGTTAGCAGGGGTTGTTCTTTTCTGTATTCATTAATGTAGAGTCTAAAGATTTTTAGCAGAATGTGATCCAAAAATCAGAAAAGACAGTCTAGGGCACAGTCACCCTCAGGGTGGCTTAAATTTGTGGCCTTGGCAAGCAGCATTACCAGAAACCTCAGACAGCCTTTCACCTAGGATGTCTTTGAAAATATGGATAGTTATCTGTCATGTATACCTTCAAGAGAAAGTATTGCCTGATATGGACATACAGGAAAGAAAAATGTCAATTGACTCCAGCAGTGATCAATATCCCTCACTTTTATTAACTTCATGCCAGTGTTTCCCAAAGTGCTCTTCAAACTTTGAACCTTTAGATATATTCCATAAAAGGCTTTCATGGTCAAAATAGTTTGGGAAATGCTGTAATTTTTACCTACATCTAGGGACTCACAGTTAGCATTACAAAACGTATGACAAGTCTTGCAGTAACAAAACCTTTTTAATTTTGTTTAACTTAGCACCCTCTTCGTTTTTCTTTTTTTGATCACAGGCTTTTTTTTCATTTTTTAAATTATACTTTAAGTTCTGGGATACACGTGCAGAACGTGCAGGTTTGTTACACAGGTAAACATGTGCCATGGTGGTTTGCTGCACCCATCAAGCCATCATCTACAATAGGTATTTCTCCTAATTCTATACCTCCCCTTGCCCTCCACCCACCAACAGGCCCTGATGTGTGGTCCCCCTTCCTGTGCCCATATGTTCTCATTGTTCAACTCCCAGTTATAAGTGAGAACATGCAGTGTTTGGTTTTCTGTTCCTGTGTTTGTTTGCTGAAAATGATGGTTTCCGCTTCATCTATGTCCCTGCAAAGGACATGAAATTTTTTTTATGGCCACATAGTATTCCATGCTGTACATGTGCCACATTTTCTTTATCCAGTCTAATATTGATGGGATTTTGGGTTGATTCCATTTTACCTCTGTATCACTTTGATGAACTCTTGTTGAGAACTGAGATTACTACCCCTTCCCCCCAATTATCTCCTGTGGGCAACTATTTTATTCTAGATGACTATACCTGAGGTTTCTGAACTTATTCTGAGCATTGGCTCCCATGGCAGTCAGGTACATTAACACCTTCCAAAAATAATTTTTTCTCTTGCTTATTTCAAGGTTTTCTCCTTGACTTTCAGCATCTTTACTATGATGTGTTTGTTTGTGAATGTCTTCATATTTCACTTGCTTAGAGTTTGCTGAGCTTCCTGGATATGTAGATGGCTATTTTCCAATAAATTTTCAGAAGTGGTCAGCCATTATTTCTTTGAGTATTGTTTCTTATTCTCTTTCTTCTCTCTTTCTGGTACTCCCAAAAGTACCAGATTCATTTATGTGGGCGTTGGTCCGCTATTGGCGCCTACATTCCTCTGAGGCTCTGTTCATTTTTCTTCATTCTTTTTACTGTCTGTTCGTTGTTTTGCATAATCTCATCACAACCTTTACTGTTCCTGAGGGTCCTCTTAGGTTACAACTTTTCCATACTCTGTCTCAAATGCAGTTGATTTCTTTGGGAAGAAATTAGGAGCTGTTTTTTTCGTTTTGTTTTGTTTTTTCTTTTTTAATGGCCTGCTTCTCCCCACAGGTAACGTGTCTAACAGGACCTCTGGAGCTCAAGGTTGGGCAATGTAAACTTCTTTCTGAGTGACATCCCCTGTCTAGGATCTGAGTGCTCAGTGGAGGGGAGTCAGCAGGCTAAGGTCTTCTGGGCTTGCTTCTCCTGGCATAGAACCACCATCTCGAGTTGGAGAAAAGGCTACTGGGGTCTCAATATTTTCACTGCACCGTGCCAGAAGTAGAGCATTTATTCCACCATTGGGGAAAAAGGGAGCCCTCATCTCCCATCAACACTCAACTGGAATTTGACCTCAGCAATAAACCTTCGGAAGTAAGCTGAGAAACGCTGAAGTCCTGCTCTTCCTGGGAAGGAAGCTTTCTGGTTGGGCAGAAAGGCATCCCTATGTTCTTTGCTGCAGCAGTGTGGAGTTGCTGATCTGGGAGAGGGAAGGGAGGGAGAAGTCTTAGTTCAAATACCGCAGGCTCTTGCCTTTCTTACAGAATTTTGGCAGATTTTCTTGATGTTTCTTCATTTTCTGTTTGCCCATTGGACCATTTCCAGAGTCTCTGAATGGTTGTTTTTCATAATAATTTTAATCAATTTTATTGGTGAAATGAAGCTCCTCATACTGTCATGCTAGAAGTCAGTTTTTCAGATTAGATTTTAAATACATAAAACACATACAATTATAAAATAAGCCAGCTATATTGAAATACAGCCACCAAAAGTTTTTAAAGTTGTGGCATAGTACTTATTTGTTGATATATTAAGTACTGTCTGGCTGTGTTCTAATAACTACCTTAATTTAAAATAGAGATGTACATAAATGAAACATATGTTTTGGGATATCTACAACAATATAATGTAATATAGAAATATCTATGATTGCTAATGATGAAAAAGTCATAGAGGTTTTAATTTCATTATGGTTTGTTGTCTACGCTCATGATTTCAGGAAATGCTGTTTCAGTTAGAGGTCAGTAAAAATAAAAATATAAATTTTTCCAATCTGCATTTACTGATCCCTTGAATTTTACCCACGGTCCTTTTGGGGACCAGGCAAAGATTTCACATAAGATTTTAGATCATCACAGAATCGAGAGACCTTTGAACAATCCATTTGTCCTGTGACCCTAGGAATTGCTCTGATTCTTCAATTTTTAATGGTAAATGAAAACAACCTGTAGGAATTTTGAGGTTCTCTGAAGTCTTGCATGAACCTTTCTTGGAAAGCCATGATCTCTGTCTATCACCAGCTTTGTCACTTCTCTGCATCCTCTGATGGGAGTAACCTTGGAAATGATGGCAGAAGCATAGACAAGGAATTTTGAAAAAGGATACATCATTTCCATTGTTGTAACAAGAGACCTATCAGTGGTTTTAGAAAAATAGTACTGACTCTGGAATGTGCAAATCTGGGGGATTTAAGCTGTAAATATCAAGCAAAACAAAGAGATTTAAGGCTAAGAAAAAGTGTTTAAATAATATTGCCTACTAAAATTTTAGTCTCTGTAGAACACATCTTTGTGAAAACACAGTACTTTTAGAAATTGACTATAATTCACTTATATAATCTCTGTAAAAGAGAAATTTATCCACATCTTATATGATGGAGAAAAAAAGTATTCTTTGGTCGTTGCTCATTTCTATCCTTTACTTCAATAACTCAGGGCCGGGCACAGTGGCTCACACCTCTAATCCCAGCACTTTGGGAGGCCGAGGCGGGTGGATCAACAGGTCAGGAGTTCGAGACCAGCCTGGTCAAGATGGTGAAACCCTGTCTCTACTAAAAATACAAAAATTAGCCAGGCACAGTGGCAGGCACCTGTAATCCCAGCTACTCGGGAGGTTGAGGCAGGAGAATCACTTGAACTCGGGAGGCGGAGGTTGCAGTGAGCTGAGATTGAGCCGCTGCACTCTAGCCTGGGTGACAGAGCAAGACTCCGTCTTAAAAAAAAAAATTCAGATTTCACTTCTACCACTAAATGTAAATATTTCTATGATACAAAGTTTCTTTTAGAATTACTTCCTACAGGTTTTATGTAACAGCAGTTTGTGTGGGAAGCTTAGTTAATGCTGTTTGTCTATATACATATGCAGTTTTACTTTCACCACCATCGCCATCAGATATATCATTTCAAAAATTAGTGACATGATATGAAATAAAACAAAACCTGAATGTTATTGTACCATTGTACCTTAAGCGATTCAGATTAGATATAAAGGAGATTTTATTTTTTATTTACTTAAATATCAGGATTGTTAAATATTAGAAAGATGCTCTCTCTTTAAAGGTCATTTAAAAACTTCTATCTGAGGTGATTTGAGAGACCTGTTGCCTGAGGGGAGTGGGTGGGGCTGGATGACTTCTCAGTGTTTTGTCTGGCCATTTGATTTATGATTCTGTGTTCTGATGTGCAAAAGCAGTTTGTTATGTTGATGTGCAAATGATCTGGCTTGAAGAAATCACATCAAAGTAATCTCTCTGTTTTAGTATTTTTCTCACTTTAAAAAATATTCTATTTTCAGAGAGATAACGGGGGCCAATTATTAGTATTTGCAGAATATTTCACAAAATGGAAAGAAATAAAAAAAGCAAATTTTATACTTAACTGCTGAAACTTTCTGTGGCTGAATTGGTGTGTTATTTCAGCTTTCTCTCTTGCTGCAGAGCTTTATTTCTTCAGCAGCATTAGAGGGTACCAGAAGAGTAATTTTGATGCTAGCACTGGAAAAACATATCTGTTCTTTTGGGACCAGAACTCTAACGTGATTGGTGCTCCAGGGATGTAGGAAACCCATGTAATGGTTTGCCTTTGCATGATAAAGCACCTCCTTCTTCAGGCCCTGAAAAGTCCTATGGAGATATGACTTACCTGGCCCACTTGGAGGGCTGTGGATAGGATGGTATCATACTGAGAAGCCAGGATAATTGTGAGGGCCAGTGAGGCTTTAGAAGACAGACTGCTTGGGTAAAAAAGAGAAACATTAAAAAGAAATGCAATAGAAGTACAATCAAAGTATCTCTTGATAAATTGAAGAGTAAAATAATAATGGTCTAATGGCTTAAGACTCAGACTGAAAATTTGGGTGCTCTAAATTCTGATCTTGTCACTATGGTTAGCTCACGATGTATGCATCTGCACAGGCAAATCACTTCCTGCCTGAGGTGCAGTCGCTGCAGCTGAGCAAGTTCAGAAGGTGACAGCATACCTAATGAGCATACAGTATTTTGCTGTCTTGTTACAGAGTCTGTCTTAATTGGGAAAGCAGGAGAAACACCATTACTTCCTTATAGCTTTCTTCATTCATTGCCAACACCTCCCCCAACCCTATTCACATTTGAAATCATAGAAACTAAAACTAGAGGTACCTTACATAAAAGTTATTTGACTGAAGTCTATTCAGCCAGCTGAGTGGGGGAAGAAATCATTGTCATCTTCAACAATTTCTTGTTTGACATTTGGCCAAATGTCAAAATAGACTACCTCTGGACTCTCCAAGATACAGGTTCTCATAGTGCAGCTACACACTGGGGTCCAACTCAACTCCCGGCATGATGATGTTTTATTCCTCTTTTCCTCAACTTCTAAAAATGTGGCTTCTCACCGGTACCATAAAACAACCTGGGAACACATGTGGACTTGAGATAATGCACACCCATACCCTGGCTTCAGTATGCTCACATGGTCAGAAATGCTTGGCAACAAAAAAGCTCAGGGGTAGTGGAAGTGGAATGGAGATGGTGAATCTTCACTTGAGTTTTATTTATAGCTTGTGGCCACTTGGCATTTTTTTCCTTTCCTGGTAATTTCTCAGATTTTCCCAGCTTTTTCTTTTTGAGTCCTGATTCATTTTTTATTTTTTTTTACATTAACTCTCAAGCTTATTTATTTATATTAAAATACATTATTTAAGACCTCACAAATTTTTCTGAATGGATCTTCAAAGCTGAAAATAGAACACTAAGAATTTCTGGTTCAATGACACAACTCTCAAAGCACTCAGATTCTTCTTTGGAAGAAATATAGTATACTGCCTGAATATAATAAGTGTTTATTTTCCATTTCAACAATTTTTCTAAATATGACTTTTAATTCTTCAAACAAACCACTGGAGATAATTAGATAATAAACCACTATCATAATCCAAGGTTAATCCATAATCCTGTTTCTAATGCTAATCCTCCATACATCCTTCCAAACTTTAGAGCACCGATTTCATTTTCATACCATCTTTAAGCTTTTTCTTGAATTTTAAAATACTTGCATTGAGTGTCTTTTCTGTGTTAGGCACTGGATTAGGTGCTGAGAAAACTATGGTGAAGGAGCCATAACATCTGCCCTTGAGCTTACAGTCTAGTGTGGAAGAATAAGAAGCAAATAGGCATTGCAAACAGAGGGATGAATACTTTTGAGACTTTGTGACATTAGCACAAACAAAAGAACCCTGATTCTTCCCACGATGTCAAAAAAATGCTTAGGACTACCCTATATCCTAAGTAACTCCCAGTCAAGTCTACTGCTGTTCACCTTTTTCTGCCAAATGATTCCATAGGACATTTGCTCTCTCTGCTATCTTATTGGTTACAATTAACTGAATACTTATGTTACTCCAAAATTTATATGTTGAAATCCTAAACCCCAAGCTTATGGTATTAGGAGGTGGAGCCTTTGGGAGATGATTAGGTCATAAAGGTGGCGTTCTCATATTGGGATTAGGGCCCTTATAAAAGAGGCCCCAGAGAGCTAGCTGACCCCTTCTACCATGTGAGCTCACAGCTAGAGGGTACTATCTATGAACCAGAAAGCAGTCCCTCACCAGACACCAAATGCTCCAGCACCTTGAACATGGACTTCCCAGCCTCCAGAACTGTGAGGAATACATGTCTGTTGTTTATAAGCTACCCAGTTTTTGGTATTTTGTTTTAGGAGTCTAAATGGACTAAGAAACTGGTCAATTTATTACCTCTATCATCCAGGCTTCTGCTCTTACCCTCCCACTGCTGCTATTTATCATTAAAGACCACCTTCTAAAGGCCAAATCCAGAGTCTTTTTCTCCATCATATTTCTTCTTGACTTAATGAAGCACTCATCATTGCTGACCAGCCCACGGTCATTGGCTGAATCCTTGTGCAGCAGCCTAATGTGTTTTACATTCATCTTTGTCCCTGTTCTTCCCAAGATGTTAATCATCCTCTCCAGCCTCAGCTCTGCTCCTGAGTGCCAATGTTCATTTTACATTGAACATTTCCCCATAGATATTCTGCCAAACTGTACACTCTGGGTATAAATTTCAAACTCATTATGTTTTGGCTGTTAAAGTAAACTTCAAAAAGCATATCCTTGATATAGAGTTTCTCTTAAAAAATCTTTAATATCTGTTCATTGTCTATTGAATTATATACACAGCCTCCAGCATAACATTCGAGGTCTTACATGATTGATATATCCTCAAGCCAGGCTTTCAGTCTTCTTTTTTATGACTTTCAACACACATCCTATTCCAAAGACCAAGTTAAGAGATTGCTGCATTTTAAATATGCCCATAGTATTCTGCTTCCATTCTTTTGCTCCTGGTTGTTTCTTGGACTGCAGTTCTATTTACTCCTACATCCTTCTGTCAAAATGCAGCTACTCTTTCAAGGCACTCCCAGTAGTCACCTGTTCCATGAAATTTCCCTATCCTACCCAAAGAGTTATCTTTCCTTTTTTAGAACGCTATAGCATGTTGTCTCTTTTCCCATCATATTCCTCTATCATATATAAATGTAATATAGTTTTCTAATATACTGCATATCTTTCTTAACTTTATTTTTGATTGATACAAAATAGATGTACATGTTTTGGGGGTATATGTGATAATTTAGCATATTCCTATAATTTGTAAAGATCAAATCAGTATAATTGGGATATCCATCACCTTAAATGGTTGTTTTTCTTTACACTAGAAATAATCAAGTTATTCTCTTCTATATATTTTGAAATATACAATAGATTATTATAAACTATAGTCACCCTACTGATCTATCAAACACTAGTTTTTTTTCTATCAAAGTTTATATTTGTACCCATTGATCAACCTCTCTTCATTCCCCCTGCCTCCTATCCCTCCTAGCCTCTGGTAACCACAAATCTACTACCTGTCTTCATGAGATTCACTTTTTTTTTAGCTCCCATATATGAGTGAAAACATGCAATATTTGTCTTTCTGTGCTTGGCTCGTTTCATTTAGCATAGTGACTTCCAGTTCCATCCATGCAGCTGCAAGTAACAGGATTTATTTTTTTATGACTAAATAATCCATTGTGTATATATGTCATATTTTTCTTATCCATTTATCCCTTTATGGTGCCCATAAAGATTAAGAAAAATTCAGAAATCCTAAGAGTGTGGTTCAGTGAATTTTTGCACAAAGAAGACCGTGTAGCCAGCATATCCCAGAGCACCACCTGAGAGGCACTCTATCCTGTCTCCCAGTTGTTTCCCCCTGCCCCAAGGAAGGTCATTATCCTGACTTCTAACACTATAGATTAATTACACCTGTTGTTGAGTTTATATGAACAGTGTGTGTTCTTTCGCACAATATTACATTTGTGAAATTTATCAGTGGTATTGTTGCATGTAGATATATGTAAGTATATCTTGTACATTTTCATTGATGTATAATCTATTGTGTCAATAGAATACAATTTATGTATTAGGCACTTAGGTTGATTCCACATTTTGGCTATGGTGAATAGTGCTACAGTAAAACATGGGAGTGCAGATATCTCTTCCATATATTGATTTTGTTTCTTTTGGATATATACCCAGTAATGAAATTACTGGATCATATAGGTAGCTCTATTGTTTTAGTTTCTTGAGGAGCCTCCATGTAGTTGTCCATAGTGGCTATACTAATTTACATTCCTACTGACAGTTTATGAGGGTTCCCCTTCCTCCATATCCTTACCGGTATGTTATTCCCTATCTTTTTGATAAAAGCCATTTAAACTGGTGTAAGATGATATCTCATGGTTTTAATTTGCATTTTTCTGATAATAGGGATGTGGAGCATTTTTTCATGTACCTGTTGTCCATTTGTTTGTCTTTTTTGAGAAATGTCTATTCATATCTTTTGCCCATTTATAAATTGTATTATTATTATTTGCTATTGAGTTGCTTGAACTCCTTATATGTTCTGATTATTTATCTCTTGTTAGATAGGTTGGAAATATTTTCCTTCATTATGTGGGTTGTTTCTTCATTTTTTTGATTGTTTCCTTCGCTGCACAAAAGCTTATTTATTTATTTATTTGAGACAGAGTCTCATTCTGTTGCCCAGGCTGGAGTGCAGTGGCAGGATCTTGGCTTACTGCAACCTCCCCCTCTCGGGTTCAAGTGATTCTTATGGACAAAGGCTTTGTAACTTGATGTAATTCCTTATTCTATTTTTGATTTGATTGCCTATTGCCCATGCTTTTGATGTTTTACACAAAAAATATTTGCCCAAATGTTCTGAAGCATTTCCCTAAAATTTTTTTTTATAGCTTCATAGTCTTAGATCTAGGTCTTTAATCCACATTGATTTTATTTTTGAATATGACAAGAGATAGGGGTCTAGTTTCCTTCTTCTGCATGTAGTTATTCAGTTTCCCAGCACCATTTATTGAAGAGACTGTCATTTCCCCGTTGTATATTCTTGGCACCTTTGTCAAAAAATGGGTTGTCTGTAAATGCATGGAATCATATCTGGGTTCTCTATTCTGTTCCATTGGTCTATGAGTCGGTCTTTATGTCTGTGCCATGCTATTTTAGTTACTATAGCTTTGTAGTATATTTGAAGTCCAGTGGTGTCATGCCTCCAGATTTGTTCTTTTTGTTCCAGATTGCTTTGGCTATTCTGGGTCTTTTGTTGTTCCATATATATTTTAAGGCCTTTTTTTTTCTATTTATGTGAAGAGTGTCATTGGTATTTTGACAGGGATTACATTGAATCTGTAAGTTCCTTTGTGTACAATCGTCACTTTAATAATATCAGTTCTTCCAATACATGGACATAGAATATCTTCCCATTTTTTTGTGTTCTTATTTGTTCAGTGTTTTATAGTTTTCCTTGTATATACCTTTCACTTATTTGGTTAAATATATTCCTAGGTATTTTATATTCTTCATAGTGATTATAAATGGGATTGCTTTCTTGATTTCTTTTTCAGATTGTTGCTGTTGGCATAGATAAATGCTACTGATTTTTGTATGTTGATTTTATATCCTGCAACTTTACTGAATTTGTTTATCGTTCTAACAGTTCTTTTTGGTTGAGTGTTTAGAATTTTCTGAGTATAAGATTATGCCATCTGCAAAGAAGGCTAATTTGACTTCTTCCTTCTCAAATTGGATGCTCTTTATCTCTTTCTCTTGCCTAATTTCTCTATCCAGGACTTCCAGTATTGTATAGAATAAAAGTGGTAATAGTGGACATCCTTGTCTTGTTTTAGATCTTAGAAGAAACCATTTTAATATTTCCCTATTTGGTATGATGTTAGCTTTGGGTTTGTTGTATATGACCTTTATTATGTTGAAGTATGTTCCTTCTATACCCAGTTTACTGAAGGTTTTGGTTATGAAGGAATTTTGAATATTATTAAGTGCTTTTTCTGCATCTATTGAAATAACTATATAGTATTTTGTTTTCATTTTTGTTAATATGATGTATTGTATTCATTGATCTGAGTACATTGAACTATCCTTGTACCCCTGGGATGAATCCCACTTGATCATGGTGAATGATCTTTTCAATGTGTTGTTGAATTGTCTACTAGCGTTTTGTTGAGAATTTTTACATTTATGTTCCTTAGACATATTGTTCTGTAGTTTTTATTTTTTTTGATGTGTCTTTGTCTAGCTTGGTATTAGTGTGATGCTGTCCTCATCAATTGAATTTGGAGTATTTATATCTTCTAAATTTTTTTGAAGAGTTTGAGTAGAATTGGTGGTGTTGATTCTTCTTTGAATGTTTTGTAGAATTCGGCAGTGAAGCTATCAGGTTCTGTGCTTTACTTTGATGAGAGGCTTTTCATTATGAGTTCATTGTCATTACTTATTATTGGCTTGTTGAAGCTATTTCTTTGTGGTTTAATCTTGGTAGGTTGTATGTGTCCAGGAATGTACATATTGATTCTAGGTTTTCCAATTTGTTGCTGTACAGTTATTCAAAATAGTCTCTGTCTCTAATGATTCTTTATATTTCTGTGGTCACAGTTGTTATGTCTCTTTTTTGTTGTTTCTGATTTTATTTATTTGAGTATTCTCTTTTTTTTATTCTTAGCTAAAGATTTGTCAATTTTATTTATCTTTTCAAAAGTCTAACTTTTGTTTCATTAGTCTTTGTTTTTTTAGTGTCAATTTCATTTATTTCTGCTCTTGTTTTTATTATTTATTTTCTTCACCTAATTTTGGGTGTAATTTGTTCTTTTCTAGTTTCTTGAGGTGTATGATTAAGTTACTTATTTGAAGTCTTTCCACTCTTCTGATACAGGCATTTATTGCAATAAGCTTCCCTCTTAGTACTGCTTCTGCAGTATCCCATAGATTTTTGAATGATGTATTTTCATTTACATTTATTTCAAGAAATTATTTAGTATTATTCTTAATTTCTTCATTGGCCCACTGGTTGTTCAGAAGCATGTTGTTTAATTTCCATCTGTTTGCATGTTTTTAGTTTATTCCCTTGTGAGCAGAAAAGATACTTGATATTTCTACCTTTTTGAATTTGTTGAGACTTGTTTTGTGGTCTGAGATGTGATCTACTCTGGAGAACATTCCATCTACTGGTGAAAATAATGTGTATTCTGCAGCAGTTGGATGAAATGTTCTATAAATGTTTGTGAGGCTTCTTTGGTCTAGAGTGCAGTTTAACTTGAATATTTCTTTGTTGATTTTCTGTCTGGATGACCTGTTCACTACTGATAGTGAGGTGTTGAAGTCTCCTACTATTATTGTACTGAAGTCTATCTCTTCCATTAGATCTGTTGATGTTTACTTTATATAGTTTGGAGATCTGGTGTTGGGTGCATAGATTCGTATGCTTTGACTTATAGTTTTATTTTTCAAAGTGTTGCTGCTCTTGCCCTTTTTTGGTTTCCAGTTACATGGAATATTTTTTCCACTCCTTCACTTTCAGTGTATGTGTGTCTTTGTGGGTGAAGCAGATTTCTAGTAGGCAGTATATAGTTGTGTCTCATTCCTTTATCCATTCAGTTTATTTTTTTAATTGGAAAATTGAGTCCATTTACATTGCATGTTATTGATAAATAAGGACTTACTATTGCCGTTTTCTGGTTGCTTTGTCACTTTTCTCTTCCTTTCTTTGTTTCTTACTGTCTTCCTGTGTGGTTAAATGATTGTCTCTGGTTGCTTTTTATTTTTAGTGAATCTATTA
Organism: Homo sapiens; assembly: GCF_000001405.40. NCBI lineage: Eukaryota > Metazoa > Chordata > Mammalia > Primates > Hominidae > Homo > Homo sapiens. The sequence goes on from NC_000002.12 coordinate 183,503,327, forward strand.
TAGTTTTTTGGATTGTGCTCACCAAGAGGCTTACAAAAGCATCTTATAGACATAACAAATTATTTTTAATATATGACAACTAAGATCACAAAGAAAAAAATAGAAACAGAAAATTTTTAAAAACTCTATACTTTAACTCCATCCCCTTTACATTTTGACTTTATGTTGTTTCAATTTACATATTTTTATATTGCCTATATCTTAACTAGTTGCTATTGGTATTATTGTTTTTGATAGATTTGTCTTTTAGGCTTTATACTAGAGTTCTGAGTAGATTGCACACAATTACAATATTCTGGGTTTGTCTGTATACCTAATTTTTATCTTCAAAGGCTTTCTTTTTGCATGTTAATGTTTTTTCTTTCAGATTGAAGAACTCCTTTTAGCACTGTTTTTGTAAGACAGGTCTGTTGGTAATGAATTCTCTCATCTTTTTTTGGGGAAAAGTCTTTATCTCTCCTTCGTATTTGAAGAAAAGCTTGCTAAATACAATATTCTCAGATGGCAGTTTTTTCTTTCAGCACTTTGAAAATATCATTCTACTCTCTTCTCACCTGTATGGTTTCTATGGAGAACTCTGTTGCCGGACAAATTGAAGCTCTTTTTTATGTTATTTTCTTCTTTTCTCTTGCTGCTTTTACTTTGATTTTTGGGAGTTTGATTATATACCTTGAGGTAGTCTTATTTGGGTCAAATCTATTTGGTTGTTCTTTCTGTACCTTGATATTTACATCTTTCTCAAATTTTAGAAAGTTTTCTATTATATCTTTGAATAAATTGTCTATCCCTTGTTCTTCCTCAACTCCCTCTTAATTACCAATAATTCTTAGATTTGGTCATTTGAGGTAATATTTTATATATTGTAGGTAATCTTCACTTTCTTCTTTTTTCTATTTTCTGATTATTTTCAAATTACCTTTCTTTGAGCTCATGAATTCTTTCCTCTACTTGATCCATTCTGCTGTTGAGAGCCTCTAATTAATTTTTTCAGCTTAGCAAATGTATTTCTCAGTTTTAAGATTCTTGTTTGATTTTTAAAAATTATGTCAACCTTTTTGTTAAATTTATCCAATAAATTTGTGTTTTATCTTGAAGATCACTGAGTTTCCTTTAAACTGCTATTTTGAATTATTGGTCAGAGAGTTCACATATCACTATCTTGTTAGGGTCAGTCAGTCATTCCTCGCTTTGTCTATTTAAGATCATGGTTACCTGTTTGCTATTGTTTCTTGTGGATATACATGTATATATTTGGATTGAGGGAATTTTTTATTTTTTATTTTTATTTTTTTTGAGACAGAGTCTCTCTCTGTCACCCAGGCTGGAGTGCGGTGGCAAGATTTTGACTCACTGCCACCTCCGCTTTGGGAGTTCAAGTGATTCTGCTGCCTCAGCCTCGCGAGTAGCTGGGATTACAGGCACACACCACCATGCCCAGCTAATTTTTTTATTTTTAGTAGAGACGGAGTTTCACCATGTTGGCCAGGCTGGTCTTGAACTCCTGACCTCAAGTGATCTGCCCACCTTAGTCTCCCAAAGTGCTGGGATTACAGGCATGAGCCACCATGCCCGGCACATTGAGGGATTTATTCCTGTCTTCTCGGTGTGGCTTGTTTTAGTTTTTATTGGATATGTTTGCTTAGAGATTCTTTTTGATTTTCCTGTTGGTCTGTCTTTCAAAATGTTTTTCCCCTAGATTACTGTCCCCTTTTTGGCACTTGATGGTGCCTTAAGCTTAAGTCTGTCTCAGTTCTAATAAACAGTCAGTGTGCTACCCATCCCAAATAAGGGGGGTCCAAAGGGGATATTCCAGTAGTGTGATAAGGGGACTTGTGGAACAAACCTCCAACAGCATGATGCTGCTGAACAACTGCTCTGATTTGGCATCTTTGAGCTACAGAGCAGAGTTCTTAGGGCCAAGCATGGTAGTTCTACCTTCCTCCTTTGTCTCTGGTTGTCTTCAGGGATGTTTATCTTCTCAGGCATTCTTGATGCTTCTTGTAGGTTAAGGCAGGGGCAGGTATCCTGCCAGGGAATCCAAGATGGTGGGAAAGTTGGTTGTTCACCTCAATCTCACTTTTTTCAGTGCAGAACCTATGAGTTAGAGGGTTGATTTTCTGTGAGCCTGGTGCTGGGCAGATTGTGGGGAGGGACACTGTTGATATGGAAGTCCAATTATCTTACTGTCTGCTTGGAATTTTTTCACTTCTCTATGGTCCTGGAATGTGTCTCATCTTTGTTTTTGAGTTCTGGGATATTGTTGGTGATAATCTTGGCAACATATGTTTGCTTTTTGGCTTTCTGTTGGGGGAGTAAAGCCAGCTTGATTCTATATTGCCATTTTGGAACTAGAAATTCCATGCTATAAAACATCTTTGAGGACAGTACCTAGTATGTTTCCTTGCACGTATACCTTCAAAAATATTTTTTGAGTTGCACTTACCTCCTCAAGCCACCATTTGTTCTTGGCTTGCCTATTTCTGACTCTGTTCTCCCATTATTGTAGATATGTATTTATCCCAGTAGATATAAAAGTATATGCAGCAAATTTGAGGATTATGTAAAGTCTGTGATTGATAAAAATATTTTGAGTGATAAAATCAGTAGCCAAAAAAGCAGGCTGAGTTAAGAAAAATAGTAAGGTTAAATATAAAATCTATCTAAAAGAAACCATTGGCAAAGAACTAGATAAGAAGGAAGTGGTTGAGCAGTAGCCTATGTAAAAAGAGTACCTAAAGATTTGACTCTGTGGTTCACCCTAAATGAGTCAACAGCATCAGTTGTTCCATTCTATCATTTATTAGCAGTCAAACTTGGGGAAGTCGCTTGACTTCATAGAGCATTTCCTCTTTCATTTCTTAAGAGCCCTAGAACTTCTGAGCCCTGGAACTATGTAGCAGACATTTCTAGGCAATAGAGTTGCAACTATGAAGAGTACTTGGTCTCTGTCCTTATAAACATACACACATTAGTGAAATAATATTTGTCCAAATTATAGTAAAGCAATAATATTCATCTTTAAGTGTTACTGTATAGAGATTAAATCAGAGAAGGACAAAAGAATGGAGAGAAATAGATAAATATTATGTGAGAGATTGAAAAATATAAATAACAATACATGTAAAAATATCTAATATATTACCTGGATATGTTTTTACTCTTGATGTTACTTCAGTTTCTCTGTGATGCAACAGGATGTGAATTCATTTATTGTGGATGGTACCAGGAGTACTTTTTTTTTTTTAATCTGAGGATGCATGTACTTCTTTGCATTTGAAAATTTATTACTTATTGCATCTTCAAATATTTCTGTTCCCATATTCTACCTTATCTTCCGGAACTCCTACTGTGTGTAAGTTGGAGATTCTCAATTTATCTTATGTATTTCTTGATGATTCTTTCTTGTAAAAAATGCCATTGTCCCTTTGTGCAGCATTCTGGGCAATTTGCTCAGTATTTTCTTCTAAAACATAATGTCTCTTTTCAATGGCTTCACTCTAAATTATCCAATATATTGAACTTAAAAATTGACAACTCTAGTTTTCATTTTATAAGATTTTTAATATATATGTCTGCTGTAGTTCCTTTTGCCTGTTTTATAATTTCCTCTTCATTTTTATGCAAATTATTATTTCATCTCTCTTGGAAAACCTAAATGTACTTACTTGCAAATTTTTGCCATATTATCTCATAAAATTAAATTTTTTGGGTGAATTTATGGCCTGATTTTTGAATTTTTTTGCCATTTTAGATGTCTTCCTGCATTTTTGGCATTTGGTTTGGTAAGATCATTTTTGTGTGTATGTGTGTGGAAGAGTTTTGTGTTATTTCTTCCTGTCCCTCTACTTCAGGATTATTCTTCATGGTCTATTTTATTTCAGTTGTTTTCTACCAGCCCTGTGGTGTCCCAGACCAGATCCAAGTCTTATAATGGTATTGAGGGCTACTGTCCAGGAGCAATAGTGCAAATCTAGCCACTGGCGTTACAGAGAGGCTTGGCTTGACTTTGATGAGGTTGTGCCATTCTCCTCCTGCCTCCTTATGTGTCCAGAATTTATTCCTCCCAGTGGGTTCTTGGTCTCGTTGACTTCAAGAATGAAGCCGCGGACCCTTGCAGTGAGTGTTACAGCTCTTAAAGGTGGTGTGTCCAGAGTTTGTTCCTTCAGATGTTCAGATGTGTCTGGAGTTTCTTCCTTCCAGTGGGTTCATGGTCTTGCTGACTTCAAGAATGAAGCCACGGACCTTCGCAGCAAGTGCTACAGCTCTTAAAGGTGGTGCAGACCCAAAGAGTGACTAGCAGCAAGATTTACTGTGAAGAGCAAAAGAACAAAGCTTCCACAGTGTGGAAGGGGACCTGAGCAGGTTGCCACTGCTGGCTCAGGGGGCCAGCTTTTATTCCCTTATTTGGCCCTGCCCACATCCTGCTGATTGGTCCATTTTACAGAGTGCTGATTGGTGCGTTTACAATCCTTTAGCTAGACACAGAGCACTGATTGGTGCATTTACAATCCTCTAGCTAGACAGAAAAGTTCTCCAAGTCCCCACCGAAACCAGAAGCCCAGCTGGCTTCACCTCTCAATCCCCCCTCTCAACAGGATACCCCAACTGCTGTTGGGGATTGGGCGATGACTGCTCTGGCTACTTCCTGCTGGATAGGGGTGAAGAAGGGGCCCTGCAGTTGTAGCATCCTCCAGAGGAGAACTCTTTAGCCCAGTGAAAGGGCCAGCGGGTCAGTCCAGGGGTCCTTGGTAGAAGTTGTTAGTTGAGCTCATTTGGGGTTCCATTTTTAAGACCATCTGTAGCTTGATGGCCTTGATCCTAGAGGAAACAAATTTGACAAGGTGGTTAAAAATACAGGGCCCGAAGGTGAGTAATAGCAAGATGGCTGTCACAGGACCTAGAAAGGGGAGAAGCCATGTTGCCCAACTCCAGAGGTTGGTATAAGAGTTTGAAAGGCATTGTCTGATTTCAGAAGCCTTTTCCTGTAAACGCCAGGTGGCAGTCGTACTATCCCTGACTGGTTAGTGTAAAAGCAACACTCTTCCCCTAAGAAGGTGCAAAGTCCTCCTTTCTCAGCAGTGAGGAGGTCTAGGCCTTGGTGGTTTTGGAGAGTCACTGCTGCCAAAGAGTCTATTTGGGATTGTAGTTACTATCTTTACTGGATAGATTTTGTTATTTCTTGCAAACTCTCTGAGAAATCCTTTGAGAGTGTGTGGTAGTAGGATAATGCATGTTACACTGTTAATTTTTAGCAAACTTTACTTTGGTTCAAAACCTTGTTAAGTTTGAGATTTTAATTTTTCTTTGCTATTAATAAAACCTCGTTCAGTCCATATTAACTTAGAATTGGTATAGATGGCTCCTTGCTGATTCTGTAAGTACTTTAAAATTTTGCGGAGTGCAAACAACTTGCACGTTTGAGCAGACCAATTATTAGGCAATTTTTCCTAACTCTGCTTCTACAAGAGTTTCCTTATCATTTACTGAATACCCATTGTGTCTTTTTCCCTTAATCGCCCCGGAGGAACCATCTATCATCCTGTCCTGAAGGGAGTTCCTCCTAGATCTGGTCGGACCTTTGTATGGTAATTAATTAAGATTTAGATCGCCTGTTAGGAAACCTGCTGGGTTAAGGATTTTTGATAGGAAGGCTATGGGTTGTCAGTGGCCTCAGTGCTTTCGGGCTATGCCCTTGTTTACACTGACAACAAGGTGGTATTGCAGTGTTATAGGGTCACGGAGAAGACCTTCAATTATCGATTATAGGTTTTAAATTTACCCTGGCTTTTAAAGGAATAGGGTACACTTTTTTTTCTTTCCTACTTCCATCTCTCTCTCTGACTTCTTCTTTGTCACTCTCTTTCTCTCTGACTCCCTGTTTGTCTCTTCCTCTCTTTCCTTCTTTGTCTGTCTCTTCCTCTCTCTCCTTGTCTCTCTCTCTCTTTCCTCTCTGATTCCCTCTTTGTCTCTGTCTCTTCCTGTCTCTCTGACTTTCTCTCTCTCTTTCCTTTCTGCTGGTCTTTCCCTGCCTCTGCCAGCCACTTATGCTGCTGTTCTCCCCATCCTTCCCCTATTGATGGCTTTGGCAGTGTAAGACTGCCACCTCCGTGGGTTTTTGCACTGCATGCAATAACTCCATGGTATCCTTGTGATATTTAATGGGGGTTCCCCCAGAGGTTAGGAACTCCCTTTCTTTGCATATTGCATTATGGGCATTTTGGATTAGATAAGCATACTTACTATCTGTAGCAAAGTCTCCCAATTACAACTGAGGAGGTGGGAGAAATACCTGGTTACAGGCTGTCCCATGATTCCTCGGATGGTAATGGACCTTGAGGACAGCTGTCCGGGACAGGAGATTAACACAGAGAAAGCCATGCTAGTGTCCTGGAGGAAGTCAATTCTCTGGCCCTCAGTGGTTAAACATAGCAGGGGCTCAGTGAGGGTGATGATGACACGAGCTGGCGCTTGCCCCAGGCACCCTCAGTCCTATTGTTGGATCATCTGGTTGGGGGCTTCTGGCCCAGAAAACCTTTGTCCTCTGGGGCAGTGTGCCTTCCAGTGATTGCCTCAGCATAGTGGACATAGGCGAGGGGGTAGCTTGTTTCTCACTGGACAATCTTTTTTAAAGTGTCCTTGCAAACCACACTGATAAGGAGCCCTACCGGGTGATTGGCCTGCTCCATTTTCTGTCCTCTCTGAACCACCAAGGTTTGTTTGAGGGCCATGACTAAAGCTGCGGCCTTTCTCTTATCTCACTTTTCCTTTTCAGACTGTTCCTCTTGGTCCCTATTATAGAACACTGAGGTTGCCAGATTTAATAATGCCTCCAGATTTTGTTCAGGGCCCAGGGCTCATTTTTGGAGCTTTCTCCTGTTATCTGTGGCTGATTTGGTAATAAACTTATCTTTTAGGATCAATTGATCCTCCAGTGAGTCGGGTGACAGGGGAGTATATTTTCTTAAGGCCTCCCATAGCCTCTCGAGGAAGGCAGAAGGATTTTCTTCCTTTGCCTGAGTTATGTTAGACATCATTGAATAATTCATGGGCTTTTTCCTAATTCTCCTAGTCCTTCTAGAACACAGGTCAACAGATGTTTATGACTCCAGTCCCCATGATCAGAGTTGAGGTCCCAGTGGGGATCCACACTGGGGATGGCTTGCTGACCAGTAGGGAATTTGTCCCTATCATTTATTTGACTAAGATACCAGGTATCTCCAAACTCTTGGGCTGCAGCTTAAGCCACATTCTTTTCATTAAAGGCCAGGGTTTGATCTAACAATAGCATGACATCTCTCCAAGTGAGATCGAAGGTTTGCCCTAGATCCTGTAGGACATCTATGTACCTATCAGGATCATCTGAAAACTTCCCCAGGTCTGCCTTGATCTGCTTTAAAACAGAGAGGGAGAAAGGGACATGTACCCGGGTTGGGCCAAATTCCCCTCCCCCTACAGCTTGAAGGGGACATAACCGATAGCCTGGGGGTTTTTGTGGTCCTTTGGAGATTTCTTTGCTTATTTCCTTCTGGGTGGGGGAGATTAAAGGAGGCTTATCATTAATACAAAGCAGAGCTACAGGGAGGCTAGGATATGGGGGTAAGCTGAGAGGTCCTCCTGTGAGATGTAAATTGCAAGCTTTGCATAGTTGTGTATTCTCCTTCAATGAAAAGAAAGCTTGGACATAAGGTATTTCACTCCATTTGCCTTCCCTCTTACAGAAAAGGTCAAGCTGCAAGATAGTATTGTAATTTATACTTCCCTCATGTGTCCATTTTTCCCCATCAGAGAGAGAATATTGGGGCCGAGCCATAGTGCAGAAAAAATTGAGCCACCTCTTTTTCAGGGTTTGTGGGTCAAATTAGTCCCAATGGCTTAGGATGCATTTCAAGGGTAAGCCTGTTGATGCCTGTGTGTTTCCCATCTGAAAGACAAAACTGCCTGTGGTTTTGGTTTGTTTCCCCCCTGCCCAAGGACCTGCAACAGTCCCTGGACCCTGCTGATAGGAATGGTTGTGCTCACTGATGCAGCAGCAGAAATACCTCTCACTCAAGAACCCTCAATGGTCCCTGGACCCTGCTGATTGAAGTAGTTGCACTCACCAACACAGCAGCAGAAACACTAGTTTTCCTCCTAGACCACAAGGCGGACCGAGGAATGTCAGATTTAGTGGCCCTTACGGACACATTCTCAAAAACCTGCACCCTTGCCTGTCCTCCTAGACCACAAAGAGGACCGAGAAAAATCAGATTTAGTGGCCCTTACCAATGCATTCTTGAAAACCTGTTAGAGTCCTAAGCATTCTCCTGTTAGTATTAGGACTTTACCCATCCTATAAAGATGTTATGCCCCAAAAATGAAGTGGAGGGGCATACCCTGAGGGAGGGAAGGGATCTCCAGGGTTGGAAGAGTGACACCTTTTGTCCTCACTTGAATAGGAAGGATATCATTTCTGAGGCTCGCCATATCCTAGCTGCAGGAATAGCTTTTGTTAGGCCTGCTAGTCTGAGGAGGGATCCTAAAATTCCAGATAGTACCCCCCATGACAGGGCTTTGGGCAAAAATTATGTCTTTCTGATTGGTGAGCGTGGGTGCCTAAAGAAGTTTACAGAGTCCTGAAGTTTATACTAGAAATCATTCTTATAGGAGAAACTAGAAAACACCAGAGACAGGGAGTGGTTTTTAGAAGCAGGACTGACCTCTGAGAAGAGAGGTGAGAGGAAGTTTGTCTGACAGGCATTAGGACCCAGGAGGCAAGAGTCAGGATAGATGGGCAAGTCTCGCTTGGGTGATGTGACTTTGTGAGTTCCACTCATGGCCGCAGGGTCAGTCAACTTGTTGTTGGGACCCCGGAGCTCAATGGCTTTCCTCTCTGTCAACCCTCGGCTCAGCCCATAAGTACAGAAAAGCAGAAGCTGGTTCCAGGCAAACCAATGCTCCCAGCTCCAAAGAGTTGGAGGTCGTTAGAGAGCCCTTTCTCAGAAAGCCTGACACCCATGACTTCAGTCCGTTGGCCATGCTAGTTGCTTTTAACTGGCCGACAGGTGCCTGGTATTTAGCCCCTGAATTCTAAGGAAAAATAGGAGAGAATAGCAAGCAAAAGGGGTCCGATGGTACTCACCGCTTGGTGATAGTCCCATCTGGGTCACCAAAATGTGTCCAGAATTTATTCCTTCTGGTGAGTTCTTGGTCTCGCTGACTTCAAGAATGAAGCCACAGACGCTTGCAGTGAGTGTTACAGCTCTTAAAGATGGTGTGTCCAGAGTTTGTTCTGTCAGATGTTCAGATGTGTCTGGAGTTTCTTCCTTCTGATGGGTTCATGGTCTCGCTGACTTCAAGAACGAAGCCGCGGTCCTTCGTGGCAAGTGTTACCACTCTTAAAGTTGGTGCGGACCCAAAGAGTGAGCAGCAGCAAGATTTATTGTGAAGAGCAAAAGAACAAAGCTTCCACAGCATGGAAGGGGACCTGAGCAGGTTGCCGCTGCTGGCATGGGGGGCCAGCTTTTATTCCCTTATTTGGTCTCACCCACAACCTGCTGATTGGTCCATTTTACAGAGAGCTCATTGGTCCATTTTACAGAGTGCTGATTGGTGTGTTTACAATCCTTTAGCTAGACACAGAGTGCTGATTGGTGCATTTTTACAGAGTGGTGATTGGTGCATTTACAATCCTTTAGCCACAGAGTGCTGATTGGTGCATTTTTACAGAATGCTCATTGGTGCATTTACAATCCTTTAGTTAGACAGAGCACTGACTGGTGCATTTACAATCTTCTAGCTAGACAGAAAAGTTCTCCAAGTCCCCACCTGACCCAGAAGCCCAGCTGGCTTCACCTCTCACCTGGGTCTGGAGCTTCTTATAAAGCTTGACCCTCTTCAAGAACAAGTTGTGGGGGTTGCAACACTGCAGCCCCAATTTTAAGCAATGAGTCTGACTTTGTTACACCATCTCACCAGTAGAATATTTAGTCCCTATTGTAGTACAAGATCAAAACTCCAAGCTACTAGGGCCTGCTTCTGGACTAACGGTAGAGTAAGCCTGTAGTTTTAGCTGTACATGTTATGTTCCATTTTCATTGTTTTTTTAGTCCACAGAGGTGTTAAATATTTTTGTAAATGTCCCTGTTTGTGTTTAAATAATTTCTTTTGCATTCATTTAACATGCTTGATCACTTTCAGAATGCTTAAGTATAGTTAATGTAAAACCAGAACTAAATTAAGGCAGCAGATGTCCAGTTGCATTGACAATTACCTGGAGAAAAAACAGCAAAAAATACTGCACCTATTTACTGATAGAAACTCTATTGCTTGACATTTATATACAGTTATCACTGTAAATCTTTAACCAGCACTGAGGTCAGCTGGCCTTTATTTTTTCCTAACACCTTCCTTTTTTAAGCCCTTTTTGAGTTTTCATGGAATATTATTTATTTATAATTTAAAATAATTCTATAAAAATATTGGAAGAGGGGAGGAAAATAACAATAAGAACACAGTATGATTTATCTCAATCTCACAATATCTAGAGACTCAGTCTTACTAGAGATCACTGTATGTAATTCAATATCCATCACATTAGTGATTTAGTAAATATATTTTTAAAATTCTGGCTTTCTTCTTACTAAGTTAAAATTCCTCCATCTTTCCAGCAGAAAGGGAGAAAATTCCCACTCCTTAAATCTGTATCTCTAGTATCTAGTTCTTCACGTATATCAGAATTCAATAAACATTTGTTCAATACAACTTGCAAAAAAGGCTGGGCACTTTCATCATAGGCTTGGAGAATGAAATACAGTTGACCCTTTGACAACACGAGGAGTTTGAACTGTGTGGGTAGGTTTATATGTAGATTTTTAAAAATGAACATTATAGTGAGTGTACCTGCCTCTTCTGCCTCTCATTCCACTTCCTCCACCTCTTCTGCCTCTGCTCTTACTGAGACAGTAAGAACAATCCCTCCTCTTCCTCCTCAGCCTACTCAATGTGAAGACAATGAGGATGAAGAGCTTTATAATGATCTACTTCCACTTAACGAATTGTAAATATATTTTCTCTTCTTTCTAATTTTCTTAATAACATCTTATTTTTTGTAGCTTACTTTATTGTAAGAATATACCATATAATACATGTAAAATACAAAATATGTGTTAATCAACTGTTTATCTGTAATGCTTCCAATCAATAGCAGGCTACTAATAGTTAAGTTTCAGGGGAATCAAGTTATATGTGGATTTTTGACTGTGCAGGGGTTCAGCACCCCTAACCTCTGCATTATTTAAGGGTCAACTGTACATGCATTTAACATTTCTAGACACTAGTTATGTCATGAAAGAACCCAGGTAGTTGGAACAGTCATATCTCTACCACATCTTACTGGAATGAACCATAGAAAATGACACTTCACAGTAGTTCCCACTGGATATTTATGGGGGCAGAAATCTAATGTATAATAATACATAGATGTGCAATGTATGATTAAGCATATATGGTGTTAGTACAGTAGTTCATGTGGACAAGAGGAATGCACAATGTACACAGTTATAGCATTAATTTTGTGATTCTTTTCAATACTGATGTAGCAGTTAAAATAAGATTATTGCACTCCACATAGAGAATTCAGAGAATGGTTTAAGTAGACTTTCAGCTTGGGTGCTGGCCATGAAGTGAGATGCTTCTTTCCTGAAATTATCCTGGGGAGAAGGGTCCTCCATTTTTGGTTTACAAGACCAGAGTAATGTAATTATACTACAAGGACTCCTTCATTTGAGTAACTTGTTTCAATTAGACTAGTGAGTGGCATAAAAACAATGAGAGAAAAGTATGTGATAGATGCTGCTTGGATGATTATTATATTCAGTATAACAATAAACCTAATGGCTACTAGGTTTTTATGTCAAATTCTGTGGGCTTATTTATGAAATATCATTTGGTTTTGTATTATTCTTTATTGCCATAGCACTAGTTTAGTCCTTTATACATTTCTTTTGTACAAATTCAATTACTTTTAACTAGTTTCCCTACCTTGAGTCTGATGGCTCTTAATATTTATGGGGTCTGGTACCTTTCTGAGAATCTGATGAGAACTATGAAACTTCTTCCTTGAAAATGCACTTAAGCACGTACAGTCCACATGTTATATAAACTTCAGTGGGGTTCATGAGACCCTGAAGCTGGCATGTGGACTTCCACAGTACTTCCATTTGATTCTATTAGATCTGTGTTATTCATCATCCATTTATGCATCAAATGCTTTTGAGTATGCACTAAATTTGATGCACATGTGCTAAGCTTTGGAAATGCAAAGATAGGTAGGAAATGAGCTTTCCTCTAAGGAACTCATCATAGTCTAGACTAGAAGAAATATGTCTCATATATGCAATACAGTGTTACAGGTATTTATGGGCTACAGAGAAAGCCCCATACAGAAAGTTTTGGTTCTGTTAGGGGAATATTGAGTAAAAGCTTCATGAAACAGGTTAACTCTTACAAAGGAATGTCTTGATGATTCTATTCCTACATTCAAAAAACTGCAGTGATGCTCTATTGAAATTTAAGAAACTTGTTAATCAGATTTCAATCTATTTTTGTCTTGTTAGTTATCAGCCAAGTCACATGAGGGAAATTACATAAAATCCCTGGATTTTGATTTTTCTCATCTATGGTAATAAGAACAACAGTAGTAACAAACAAGTACTACTTTATGGAATTTTGGAGAAGAATAATAAGTTCATCTGCAAGCATTGTACTAATGTTTTACATTTATTATTTCTAGGGTATTAAGGTGGCTAAATATGGGGACTTTGGGGTCAGCAAAATCTCTGATCTTTCTTGGCTTTGCCAATTTTTGTCTGTCTGATTTGGGGCAAGTAATTTGACCTGCTTATTCATTTTCTCATCTGCACAAAAGGAATACATGCCTTCCAAGGATAATTGTAAGGATTAAATCAGGCAATGCAAATAATCTGAGCATGGTGCCTATCACAATACTAGACACTCTTATTACTATTGGAAAAATTGTCTTTTTAGTGCATATAATTATCACCATTTATAGGTAAGGAAACTGAGGTCCATATAGCTAAATAACTTTCTCATACAGTTCATACAGGCATGGAAATGTACAGTTGGCATTCAAGTGTCTTTGGCTTCAAAGGTCATGGTTAATTCAAGGCTGGGGAGGGGTTGGTGTAGAGGTGGGGAGAGAGCAAGGGAGAGCAGAGGTGGCACTGGCATATTTCTTGGTATATAGCTATTAAATTCACTCTTTTCAGGCATTCTGTTTCAGTTTGTATTTTCTACTTCAGCTAGTCTTATCCATCACTAACCCAGAACAACTCTACCTGTGTGCCTTTTTCTATGCTATGTCCTGTCCTTGACTTCTACTTTCAATTCCTACTCCTTTCCTTAAGCCCTGGGGGAGACCCACTGCCTTTTGAAAGCTGTCTATACCACATCTCCTGGGAGCAATCTTTTGTAGCCTTCAGGCTTCATAACACTTATTTTCTGTATCACTTACTTGGCAATAATCTTACCCAGCTCTTTATTGCTACCTTTTAGGTCTGTATATTTTTTATCACCTTCCAGAGATCATACCTCCGTGTAAGTAGGAGCCATAGTATAACTCAGCTTGCAGCACTGTCTGACGTATACTAACCTTCAATGCATATCTCATTACTGAGATTTTATTTTGAGAGATAATTTCAAAAGACATCTTGCTTCAGTGTGAGGAGAACTATGAAATCATAATCTCAGTCACAGGAAAAATACAGTTCTATTTGTGTACCGAGTTTCTTTAGAAACATTTCTAATGCGTAGAGTAATGAACACGTTTTTATTCTTGTAGCTGAAAGATGAATGAAAAGATAATAGTAAGATGGCTTTTTAAAAAACAATGGCATCAAGGGAAATGTCGTAAAATACTAGAGAGTTTATCATTTTGCATTACTTCTTTTTCTCTTTTTTTCCTATGCTGGAAAAAATAAGTTACTAGAGCGTTTTAAGTGTCCATCTTTATAGCCTTGTTAATATAAGAGTAACATTTGTAACACTGTGTTATTTACTTCCCATATGTAACACATGGATGTGAGAGAGTGGGTTAAATTCTTTGTTGAAAGTATATTATTCATTAGGCAATTCTTCACATTGACTTGTAACACTATGTTATAAAATTTAGAAGAAAAAGACACTTAAAGGTAAGAAATAAAGACGATGTTTTAAATTTTTTCTCAGTGGATTTTTTTAAATTCTTAGGATGTTGCTTTTACAAATTATGGTTAGCTTTTTGCTTTCTCCCTCTCTCTCCTTTTACTCAGTCCATTTTTGGTAGATAAGGAAGACTTAGGGAATGGAAGACTTCAAACAAACAGATGGGCACTGGCACCTTAGGTCTGATTTTATCAGGCTGCATTCTGCCCTGTAGGAAATGTTGTTATTGAGGTAACTAAGCGTAAGGCATTATGGTCATGCCATGTTGATTTTGGGAACCAAAAAATAGCATTTTCACTCTTGTCTGACAGAAAATCAGTTTATTTAATAGTTTTGCCCTTAACCTTAAATGGAACAAGATGGAACTAAAAAATTTATATGGTTATTAAAGAATGATTAGATATTGTCTCACAGGGCATTTTGGCACTGTGCTTGTGAAATAATGCATTTTTTGGTTCTGTTTTTCAATGGTCAATTCTCAGTCTTCATTGTACTTGATCTCTCAGAGCATATGATGCAGTTGCTCACACCCTCTTCCTTGATACTTTTTCTTCACATGGTTTCTAGGACCTCAGAATCCTGTGGGTTTAATCCTACTCTACTGGCTTGTTTTTCTCAATCTTGTTAACTGATGCTGCCTTTTCTGCCTGTACTCTGATTGTTGGAGTATATCAGCACATTCACTCCCTTGGTGATTGCATCCAGTCTCATACCTTATATACTAAGTACATGCAAACAGATCCCAAGTTTATATCTCTTGTTCAGAGCTCTAGCCTGACCTACAGGTGTCAGTATCTGCTGTTGACCTGACTTCTCTATTTGAATGTCTAACAGATATCTCATGTCAGACCTGTCTGAAACCTTCACTTTCCAAACCTATTTTATTCTCAGTATTCTCTATCTCATTTAATGGCACTTCCATCATTCCAGTTAGTAAACCAGAAATAGTGCTTTAATCCTTTACTCCTTTCTTTTATTTAAATCTCACATCCAATCCATTATGAAATGCTGTTGGCTGTAATTTCAAAAAATATAGAAATTTCGTTCACGTTTTACCGCTTTCATTCTACCACTCTGACTCGAAACATCATCAACTTTTGTCTCGATAACCATAATAGCATCCTAACTTGCTTGTCTCCTCCTACCATTGTCCCCCACATCCTGCCCCCTTCAATGGTCTAAACCCAGCAGAGCAGCCAGAGGGATCTTGTTAAAAAGTCAGATCTTGCTGCTCCTTGCTTAAGACCCTGAAGTAATTCCCCTTTCTATTGAGAGAAAGTCAAGGTAAATCAGTGGCTTTAAGACCCTGCATGATCTCACCTCTGTTACTTCTCTGATTTTATCTCTAGCTACTCTTTTCCTTGCTTCCACCTTTACTGGCCTTTGCTTTTTCCCAATACACAGAAATGTTCCTGCCCTTTCCTCTGCCTACAATACTCTTCCCCTATGTATCCTCCTTGCTAATTATCTCAACACCTTAATATCGTTTCCCAAATGACATGCTTCCAATGAGGCCTGTTTCCTGAGCACCCTATTTAAAATGGCACCATGCCTAACAGCGCAACTCTCCACATACCCCTTATCTCACTCATTTTTTAAAAGTATTTATCAATTATCATCTTCTTACACAATACATTTTACTTGTATTATCATGTTTATTTTTTAATTGTCTTTCTCTGTTGAATTGTAAACTTCATGTTTGCAGGGGCCTGTACTCATTTTGCTCATTGATGTATCCAAAGATGCTAGAAGGTTCTGGCACAATGTAGGCCCTAATAAATATTTGAGTAATGAATGAATGAAAGAATGAGTGAATGAATAGTGGAGAAGCAGTGACCTGACAGCTTCTTCACTGCTTGGTGTTAAGGGCTAGTTCAGTATTGGAGAGATTGTCTCACCACAGTCTGATTACTGTTGTTTCCTTTAAGGAGAAAGGCTACTGGACTAGTTAGGATTTTAGTATATAGAAGGGGCCTCATTCAACTCTTCTTATTCTTCTCCCTTCTGGGAACCTTTGTTTTGATCTACTTTTCTTTCAATTTCCTGGCCAACAAAGAGGAGGTTATTGAGGAAATGGTAACTTTATGCTTTGATTGTACATTTGACCTGCTGCTCAAAACTAGGAGTTTATGTATCACAACATCATTTTCTTTCCAAATACACCTATACTATGACAAGACTTAAATAATTTCTGGGGGAAAATAGTGTAAATATTAACTATCAGCACAGCTACCATGCAGTAATAGATACTCCTATCTGATCTGTGGGTCTTGGGGAGGTTTTCTGACTCCTTCACATAGCACCTGTTCTAATTTCTGGGCCTCTGTGTTTACTGTAATAAGATAAGGCTGATTGCTATTGAAAGCAAGCCAAGCTGGGAAAGGTCTGGAGTAGCAATGTAACTCTCACTAGTATTGCAGTGAGTAGTGTTTTCAGTAATTTTTAGTAATTATGATACTGAGTAATATTAAGAATAAAGGAAGCATGTTGTATTCTGTCGCAATTTCTGAATATCACAGCATTAAGTAGAAGTAGACTTTTCTTGCCATTTCTTCTATCATTTAACATCTGTTTCTTATGGTGACAGAGTTAACAAATAAACATCTGTCATCCTATTATATAAGGAAAGCTTTTCTCTTTCTTTAAATAAATTTTTATTTGATGGTGCTTAGAATGTGGTAGATGATCTCCAAAGATGGCTGTCCAACAATTTCCCCATTTCCTGTATGTGCATTGCATTCCTCCCATCAAGAGGAAAAAATCGATCCCCTGCACATCCCTCTCCCTTTAACCTGGGCTGACTTTGTGACTTGCTTTGAATAATAGAAGACAACAGACAAAAAAGTAATCCTGAGCCAGTTCTGGGCCTGGTTTTAGGAGGAGTGGCAGCTTTTGATTTTGCTCCCTAAGAACCCATTTGCCATGATGAGGGAAGTCCAGGTTGTCCTGACGGTGAGAAGAAACCGTGGAGAAGCCTTAGAAGATAAGTCCCTATATATAGAGAGAGAGGCCACATGGAGAAAAACTGAGGGGGCCAGCTGACAATCAGTGCCAAGATTCCGGCCATATGATGAGATCTTGACTCTTCCACTTCAGCTCAGATACCAAATAAATGCAGCTACATGAGTGACCCAAAATCACATTGAGTAGAAGAACCAATTTGAGCTATAGATTTGTGAAAAAAAAATAATAAATAACTGTTGTTTTAAGCCACTAACTAACTTTTGGGGTGGTTTGCGATATTGCAATAAATAACTTATGCAATGGACTTTTGAGTACCAAAGGATTTTGTTTTAACCTTTAATTTCAGATCTTGCTTTAAGTTGTTTGATTTTTCCACAAGCTTAAGACAGTGCTTTATTCCATTTGGGAAAGACTCATACAAATTTACTATAAGATAGCGACCACTGGTGGGTTAGAAAATGGCAAAGCTTCTTGGGGTGTCAGGGAGGTGAGGCTATTGTTTCTCTCTTGTCACAGGACTGCATGACCCCCATGTCCACAAGATGACCTGGGAGAGAGATGTTTGGGGGTGGAGAGGAGGAATAAAGACCAGAAGTGTGATTTTTCTTTTCCTTAGGTTAAGTACAGGTATAACTGACTGCTGTCTTGACACTTTAAAAAGACAATGACTTGGTAAGATGAAATCTAGAGACAGCAACACCTTATTCACTGTGTGTTAATGATAGATGTGTAGAGGGCAAGTGTTCACTTGGTAGGTTTGGATATAAATTATAAAGGCTTTTTTTTTTTCCCAAAAAAGAAACAGTGATATATTTGAAATTGCTGGATGTGTATTTCTGAGCTGTTTGCAAGAATTTTTACCTTTTTATAGACTCATTTCAACTCTGTATTTGAAACCAGATGGCTTCTTCTTGAACTGCAAGACTGAATATATTAACCTTTAATGTAAATGCACTTACTCATTGAGCAGTTGGTTACTCCTACATCTTTCTGCATGACCTTGATGATAAAGAACCACTTTTTGATTCTTATTTTTTAATGCTTACTAGGAATTTTTATTGAAAGTTACCAAACCATCTGATTTGGATGTTTTAAAATGTAAAAGTCAGAAACAAATTGGCATTGCTAAGATACTATGGATGAAAGGGTTGCCACCACTCTATAATCTTGAGTTGTAAAGAAGCAATTTGAGTTATTTTCTATGTGGGTTGGCAAGTGAGCTTTTTGTGGGCTAGAATTGGTAAAACAAAGATATGTTCAAGCTGTGAAATGCATTCAAGAGGAAAAAGCAATAAATGACAAGAGGCCTGTTTTGTCAGTTACGTTTTTGACTGTTGTACAGGTTCTGATTATGGGGAAAAAATGCCTTTTAAAAATTTTGGAATGATGGGTCTCCCATAATGGAGATAGGTTGGTTCGGCTGCAAAAGAGAACAGATGGAAAGCTTTATCTTCAACTAGTGCTGTCAGTTTCTCCTTATCACTTAAAAATCATATGTTCTTAATAGTTTTTGAAGTTCAGTTTTTTTCCCCTGGTTTTACAGTCTTTTTAAACTTTAACATAACTACTGTTTTCTGGTGCTGGCCTGTTCTAAAAACTATACTTGGATGGACTACATCTGTAAAACATCAGGAATTGTAAGAATTCCTTTTTGAGTTGTGTTAAGCTACTTAGCCCTATTTAAAAATGACCTTGATCGAGTTCAATAAAACTGTGGCTAAATTCCACATTATTCATTGTTATTCTTTATGCTCAAGTAAAGAAAAATGAGGCAAAATTATTCACTCCTATTAGGTTATTACTAAGGGGAAAATAAATAAATAAGTATGCTGAGATTGAAGTGCTTTGCAGGGAAGTGGGATGAAATACCTTGGCATTGATTGTTAAATATAAAAGTGGAAGGTAAATGTGGAATTAGGTGAAGGGGAAAGCATCTTTACAATTTGACTTTTTTATGTTAAGAAAACGAGCTATAATTCTCGCCATTGCAAATCCAGTGGGTTCTTTCTTTCTTATTACCACATTCAAATCTTGTTTATATAAAGAACTCAAGGACATTTACTTCAACTAAAACTTTTTTCCTTTTAATGTGCATTAAAAAATTACATTCTTTCTAAAATGGTGTTGCAATTTTAACCTCAGCAATTTTGCATAGCATAGTTTTCACATTATAGGGACAGAGTTGAAGAGATTTTCTGACAACTTAATTGATTTGTTTTTAGTGTTCTTTGGCTTATGTGTTTGGGCTAAAAATAACTGTTTGAAGTGATCTCATTTTAACTATGTAAGGTTTCAAGTGCATGGCATACGTGGGTCTTCATCTTCATTTATATTTCAGAGTGTTCCTGTTTGGTGATTGCAGAATTTGATTCTGATATTATTTGTTATTATTTTATTGCTTGTCAGGAAGCAGATTTAGTAGTTTAAGGGAAAACCATCAATAAAAATTGCTGGCTTTCATGATTTGATTTCATCTATCAGCAAGAAATGTTGACGTTTGTAGGCAGAAACTGCTTAGATTTTTCTTCCTGACCAAATGAGTATGAGGTGGCATTCATTACTCTAATGGATAAATGACCTAGTGCCTATTGATATTATTCATGTTTGTTCACTCACTATGAGTAAACTTTATTTCTTTCAATATGATATGAGATAGCAGTTAACTTGGCATTGCACTGTCTGAAGCACATAAAATTCATTTTGTCATTTTGTTTTTCAAATGTTAGTTATTTAAAATATTAAGTTATTTTTAGTAAAAACTGCTTTAAGATGCATAATAAACCAGCATTTTTCCTATTTATGATTTAATTAATTGAAACATTTCAAAATGCACTCTGTTCACTAAACCCTCTTAATCTCGAAAGCTGGTAGTAATGCATTCTTTAAGCAGGTCTTTAGAAAGTATTAGAACATTTAGCATTTAATGTATACATTTTGGATGACTTTGAAATCTTTCAAATTACCATTTGCTAGATTATGGATAGGCATGTTATTATCCCTATGTGGTTTTGGATATATTGATGTATTCTAATAAGATATAAAATTAAGATACAAAAATCAATGTGGTATGTATTTTGGTTAGCCAATTGGATGAAAGAGAAACTTATGTGCCAAGGCAGCATAAAAGATAAAATAGGAATAATCTTAAAAACTGTGAAAAACTATATGAAAAAACCTTTGAACACCTGATTATGGGAAATGATAATCTTTCTTCTTAGATAAGACAACTCCACATGATAGAGATGTCAGTTCTCTCCATGTTAGAGAGAATCCGTGATCCTGATAACAATGGCAACTGTTTTTTTTTTTTTCTTTCTGGAGTTAGACAAGTTGCTTCTAAAATTTATGTATACAAATCATGAAAAAGGTACTCAGAAAATCCTAAAAAAGAACAGCAATAAAAGGGATAGTCTAATGGAACAGAATGGAAGTTCCAGGAATAGACCCAAATGCATGTTGAAATTTAGTATCTAATAAAGATGATATCTACGTTCTCTGTGGAAGAGATGAGCTTTAAAAATAAATGATGTTAAGAAAACTGGCCATTTCAAAAAAGATAAAATTGTATCTATGCTTTATATAAAACAGTAGAATAAACCACAAATGGATCAGAGACTTAAGTCAAAAAAATCAAAACATTCAAGTACCAAAAGATAACATCACTGAATTCCTCTACAGCTTTGGTGTAGGAAAGCCTTTCTATTTATGACTCAAAATTCACAAGTAATAAAAGGAAAGATTAATAAATGACTATATAAAACATTTGCACAGGAAAAAATTATCAGCAAGTCAAAAGACAAATTACCAACTAGGGGGAAATATTTACAACTTCTGTAACAGACAATAGGCCAATTTACCTAATATATGAAGGGACTAATAAAAAGTGAGGGGAAATAAGGCCAAAACTTGATAGAAAAAAAATGGGTAAAAGATATGAACAGTTCACAGAGAAAGATATCTAATGACATTTAAATATGTGAAAAGATTGAAAGTACATTTTTACCTTTCAAATTGGGGAACACATAAAACGTTGACCATATACTTTGTTGATGAGTCTGTGGGGAAACAGAAATTTACACATACTGTTATTGTGAAGGCAAAATGTTATAATTCTTATGAAAGGGAATTTGACAACATCTAATAAAATTAAATGTTTACTTACATAAAGACCATTTTTAGGGACTTACTTTTGAGGTACTTGTATACAAATATAAAATAACAAATATAGAGGGCTATTGATTATGTCACTGTAAAAGTAAAATGTGGGAAATAAATGCTCAACTATAAAAAACTGGTTACACAGCATGCAATGGAACACTATGCAGTCATGAAAACACTATGTAGTCTCTAGAAACTGAGAGCAGTTAATTTATGTGATTTATTCTTATGTGGAAAAAACAGGTGCAAAGTGTATATGTAGTTGTTGTATATGTAGTTGTGGCAGGCAGCTTCTGATATATATTTTAGTGGTCCCCACTTCCTGGTGTTTAAAGCCTTTGTAATATTCTCTTCTTGAGTGTAGCTGAACTTTGTGACTTGCTTCTCACAAAAGTGATGGGGTGTTATTTCCGTGACTAGGTTATAAAGACTGTGACTTCTGCCTTGCTGATATTCTCTCTCCCTGGGTCATCTCCTGTGCTTGCTTTGATGGAAAGACCTACCAGGAAAGCCTCTTGCAAACAGCCAGCAACAAAGTGAGGTTCTCAGTCCAGTAGCTTGTGAGAAACTGTATCATGCTAGCAACCATGGAGTGAAATTGGAAGTGGATGCTACTTCAGTTGAATGTTAAGATGACTGCAGCCTGGGCTGACACCGTAATAACAGTCTCATGAAGACTCTGAGGCAGAGGACCCACCTAGATGAACTGTGCCTGAATTCTTGACCTACAAAAACTGTGAGATATTAAATATGCATCATTTCAAGTTGCTAAGTTTTGCATTAACATGTTATGCAGCAACAGATAACTAACACAACAGTGTTTATCTTTTGTATAATAAGCAAAACTAAAAAAACTTTTTTTTTTAAATAAGAAAGATACAATGGGAAGGATAAATTAGCAGCAAAAAGTCAAGATGTATTTGAAAAATTATTATGAAGTGGATTGAAACTGCATGACCTGATTGTCCTTAATGATGTCCAAGTATACAAATGTATTTTATTTTGGCATAGCCTCATAAACTCATAGTATGAATTTTCATACAAATTTGCTGGAAATTAGTAATTCCAATTTATAATAATTCTTGAAATATGTATATTTTGATATTTTCTGGTGAGATTTTGGCCATCAGCTCTATGAAGCATTTGTTTTTGCAGGTATTCTGAACCACAGAAGGCTGACTTGTTCTGCTTCATAATGACTTGACTTTGGTCATTGAAAAATGCTTGAGCTAAAGGAAGTCCATAGTCCCTATTTATATTCAGCTTTTACTAAAACACATTTATGGCAGAAATTTAACAAGGATTTAAGTCTTTGAGAAAATTTTTTGTTTTAAAGAATGAAGAAACTACTACACAGTGATTCTTTTCTTTCACTGAAGCTCCCAATAAAAAATATATACAATTTACAAATTAGGCTTCAATATTCCTTTCATAAGATCTAACAACTTGCTGCGCCATTCTAGTTGTTTGGGAAAGGGTTGGCCACACATAAAACTAAAAGATAATCGATCAATGAGCTTTTTGTGGAGCAGGCAAAAGAACCTTTCATTTCAAAGTCTCTGAGTGAACTTGTATGTTACATGAAGGAGAATAACTTCGGTGTAAAGTAACAACCTTTTGAAAATTCTTAAGATACAATATCACTGCCTTTTTTTTTCCCAAAGAAGAGTCATTGATAGTTCAGTTAATTACTGCATGAAAAAAATTCAAAGCTGCTACATCAAAAATATACCTGTACACAAATTTTTATCTCAGCACACTTCACAATTGCAAAGATATGGAACCAACCTAAGTTCCCATTAACTGATGAGAAAAGAAAATGTTGTGTGTGTATATATTACAGTATGTATATAATGGAATACCACTCAGCCATGGGAAAAGCAACTTGGATGGAGCTGGAGGCCATTTTTCTAAATGTAGTAACTCAGGAATGGAAAACCAAATAAATACTACATGTTTTTTGCTTAGAAGTGGGAGCCAAGCTATGGGTATGCAAAGGAATACAGAGTGCTATAATAGACACTGGAGACTTAGAGGAGATAAGGATGGCAGGGGAATAAAAAACTATGTATTGGGTACAATGGGCACTACTCAGGTGGTAGGTACACTAAAATCTCAGACTTTACCACTATATAATTCATTCATGTAACCAAAAACCACTGGTACTCCTAAAGCTATTGAAATAATAAAAAAAGCAATAAGTAAATGTCAAGAAATGTAAAAAAAATATAGAAACAAATTTCTCTGGTTTATTCTTGGATTATTCAGCCGTATGCATATTTCTATGCATATGGAGACATCCAGTAGAGCTATCTTGAAGCTTAACTTTCTGTCAAACATAATTTAATGTATCTGGGGCCTCAGGCAACCATAAGAGAAACGATATACATATCCATGCATTATTGGCTATTTTACGAAGTGATACAGTGAGCCCTCTGAAAAAGAAGGATGGTGACATTGACATGGCTTGGGAAAGTTACCATTTTTCTTGGCTCGTTTAGCTCTCATCCACAAAGACTTGTTAAAGGCAGTGTATGGGCAGGCTAGGAATGAATTAAAGCAGTAACCCTAACTTTCTCAAATGTCTGAGGGAAATGCACCATAGAAGTGATCCGAGATTCCATTAACAACTTAAGTCTAGCTGTAAGGAAGGACCATTTCAGGGCATAATGAATTGTGGGTATGATACACTGGATAAAATAGCCTATTTGGTTCAGTTTTGGCCAAATGGAATTTTATCTATCTCATTCACTTTTCTTTTGGTTAGGTAAGAAATTTTTTTGATGGCATTTTCCTAGGAAGCTTATGATGAAAAGAGAGAATAGTAATATGCCTCTGAAAACCCTGGGCCTAACTCCTCCTCTAGCATGAACATGAGCATATTACTAACCCTAATTAAGTGATTCTCTGCTTGGATTCAATGGAAACATAACACTCTTTCTTATAGGGGGCAGATAATCATGTTTTGAAATTTGATGTGAATTAAAGTAAGATCTGGGACCTACTACTGTCCTACTAGAGAGTTGTTACTAATGCAGGTTGTTGACTTCGTGACTTTTTGTTTTTTTTGCAATCTGCCTTAATAACTCAAGCTATAAATGTACTGGGGTAAAACAGTTGGAAGTATGTGGAGAAAGAACATTCTCCAAACAAGAAGAAATGAAGAGAAATTGCCCAGGATACAATGGACTGTAATTGTTGTATGACTGGAAGCCCAGGTCCATGGTCAGCTTTGTTTGTTTGGAAGGAGAGAAGGAAATGAGAAGATCATCAAGAAGGAAGGGATGAAGCATGTCTGAAATTTTGATGAGTTAGACAAGTAAATTAAATCTTCAGTGGTTCAGGCAGGCAGCACAGATGCAAAATTGTAGCCCTTGAAAAAAAGGAAATAGAACATAAGGCTTTTGCTACACATGTGATTAAATCTCATGGGTCCATGGAGAGGAAAATTGAGATGCTGGAGAAACAAATGATGCTGTAAAAACTGAAGTGCACTGACTGAGGCAGAGGGTGAAGATTCCTGAGGGAGACAAAGTTGTTTTAATGATTTCTACTTGGAGCTAACTAAGAAGATAAGCTGGAACTTCCCCCTGTTGAGGAATATAACTACTGACCTAGTCTTATAACCACATGTAGCCAATAATCTAGTAATTTAATAGTATGTATGAATGTATGCAAATGTATATTTATATATACATATTAAAAATAACTGTTAGCCAAATAATATTCAGTGCTTGAGAAATCAGAATTGCAACAGACAATAGAATCGGATACAAATATTACTGATTATCTTTTGATCTTTTAAAGGTCGAGAAAATGTTTAGTCCTTGTTGTGGTTTGGCTGTGTCCCCACCCAAATCTCATCTCATAGTTCCCATAATACCCTTATGTCATAGGAAGGACCTGGTGAGAGGTAATTGAATCATGGAGGCAGTTCCCCTCTGCTGTTCTTGTGATAGTGAGTTCTCATGATATCTCATGGTTTTATAAGAGGCTTTCCCCCTTTGCTCGGCACTTCTCTCTCCTGCCACCATGTGAGGAAAGATGTGTTTGCTTCCCCTTCCATCATTATTGTAAGTTTCCTGAGGCCTCCCCAGCCATGTGGAACTGTGAGTCAATTAAACATCTTTCCTTTATAAATTACCCAGTCTTGGGCACATGAGAATGGACTAATATAGTCCTTGTACATATAGTTTATCGAATATTTAAATAAATAATGAGATAAGAAAATTTGTATCATTTTTGTATTTCCTCATGTGGATTGAATCTGTGGCCCTGCTGAAATCTCATGTCAAATTGTAATTCCCAGTTTTGGAGGTGGGGCCTAGTAGGAGGTAACTGGATCATGGGGGCACTTTCTCATGAATGGTTTAGCACCATCTCTGTTGGTACTGTCCTTGCCATAGTGAGTTCTCATGATATCTGGTTGTTTAAAAGTGTGTGGCTCCTCCCCTGCCTCTTGCTCCAGCTTCTGCCATGTAAGATGCTTGTTTCCACTCTGCCTTCTGCCATGAGTAAAAGCTCCCTGAGGCTTTCCTACAAGCAGATGCTGTCATGCTACCTGTACACCCTGCAGAACCATGAACCAATTAAGCCTCCTGTCTTATAAATTACCCAATCTCAGGTATTTCTTTATAGCAATGCAAGAACTGACTAATACATTTCCCAAACCGATTATTATTTCCCTTGTGTGTATGTGCAGGAAATCATACAGAATCAATTGGTTCAGAGTCTCATTGATAAAAATCCCTTTGTATGACAGCCAGTTGCTGATTGGTATTTTGTCAGTCAATTCCTTATTTCCCTAACTGCCCTGCTCACTGCCCAACACTTACCTCCCCCTTTGCAAGCTCCTTTGCTTCTGGTATGCTCCTTGAGTGGTCCATGGTGCTGGTGGGTTACAATCTATGTAAAAGTGCTTATGAATAAAATATCATGCTGTCTTCCATGTTTATGTTGAAGGGACCTCAGTCAGTTGAAGGGACCTCCAAGCAAAACATAATTGGCAGGGAATATGGAAGACAGGGCACATAGTATGCAGGAAATATGAAAAACAGTTTCATGAGAATCTGTTGAAAAATATTAGGTACTTAAATTGACTTGGAGTAATTACTGAATAAGTCTGTGAAAGTTTGCAAATAGTAACAGTAATTATTTTCAAGGAAATAAACATCTCCACTCTTAAGTCACAAAAAAGAACATGGAACACTTCAGAGGAGAAATCCAAAGCAATCCAAAAGAGGAACAGTTATCTTAACTGTCAGGCCTCTGAGCCCAAGCCAAGCCATCGCATCCCCTGTGACCTGCACATATACGCCCAGATGGCCTGAAGTAACTGAAGAATCACAAAAGAAGTGAATATGCCCTGCCCCACCTTAACTGATGACATTCCACCACAAAAGAAGTGTAAATGGCCGGTCCTTGCCTTAACTGATGACATTACCTTGTGAAAGTCCCTTTCCTGGCTCATCCGGGCTCAAAAAGCACCCCCACTGAGCACCTTGCGACCCCCACTCCTGCCCGCCAGAGAACAAACCCCCTTTGACTGTAATTTTCCTTTACCTACCCAAATCCTATAAAACGGCCCCACCCTTATCTCCCTTCGCTGACTCTCTTTTCGGACTCAGCCCACCTGCACCCAGGTGATTAAAAGCTTTATTGCTCACACAAAGCCTGTTTGGTGGTCTCTTCACATGGACGCGCATGAAATTAACCACACTTATTTAAGAGTTTCAGAATTTCCTGTGTAGGAGAATTTGAAACTGGTATCAGAATTCCCCTGTATATTATGCACAATGTATTTATACATCCTAAATTGACGACTAAACAATGCACAATATAGAAGGCTGCTTACTGTTCTCATCACCTCATGTGAGTTCAGACATTTACAATTTCTATTTCTTTTTTAAAAATAAATATCTGAGTTAAAGGGCCCCTTTGAGTTTCCTAATGACTAATATTCAAAGTTATACACTGTCTGACTTTCATGAAGTGAAGATTCTGATGTCCAGAGTAAATAAAACAAGCAAGCAACATCGTTTACCAAAAACGTGAGACCAAAATGAAGGTGTGTGAGTCATGTATTAGGAGTATTCATAGAACAGGGTTCATTTCCAGTAGAATTTTTTTCATTTTCACATCCTGTTATACTAGATGAGATTCTCTCACATACTCTAATTCTATTTCTTTCTTTCCCATGTATCCTGTCTCTGAATTCAGTCTTGTGGAATAATTAACACATTAAATGAGTTCAAAAGTCACTATAAACACAGCATATGTTGTTGGGTTTTTGCTAAAATGCACAATTGAACTGATATTTCTTGACAGGTGACTAAACTTGTTTTAACACATAGGTTAAGTTAGTTTTCAAAAATGGCTTTGAGAGTCACTGTTTTCTTTGGGTGTATATTTTTTAAAAATAAGTCCCTAATAGGCAATCTTAAAATGTGAGAACATTCTTTTTTGGGGGCTACTAAGCATATGGAGTGTTTACTACACTTTCAGAAAGTTATGAATTAATGGAAAATAAGGTTCTGTTATGCACTGGTGGTGCAGCTTTGCAACATAATGTATCTTAGGCTGATTACAATTCAGCTTTTCAGCAGGAAGCTACATAGTCAAAGCTTTTGGATTTAGAATAATTTGGCTGAAATGATGTGAAAATAATGTCACTGTTTCAGTTATTCCATCTTATCTCTGTTCAGATAATGGTAATGCTGTGCTAAAGTGAGATTGTCCATCTCTGATTACAGCTAATTAATTCTGCATATATTCATCCAATACATAAGGATCTCAGAAGTTTTCCATGGGCTTATATTATTAACAGGATCAACCATTTTACCTCACAAATATTAATATTTAAGGTCCTGGCTCATTTCTTTCTTGTTGGAACTCTTTGGCAACGCACTAAGTATAAGAGAGACAACACGAAACCTTTGTTGACTTAAATTTCAAAGAATAGGGATGTATTTTAATTCAATCAACATAGTGGCCTCTAGCCTATGCCATTGATTTTAACTGGAGTTAATATCTATTCATTTAAACAATAAGAATACCAGTGAACACTGGTCATCAGTCGGGGAATGTTATGTATATCTTTGCGTCGCTATCTAAAACTCTTTCCATTGGCCTTTCTTGATACTCATAAGTCATTAAGAGAGCTTCAAAGAGCTAGACTTTCAATCTTCAGTAGGATAGAACACCTTGGGAGGAGTTCATACATCTGATTCCTTTCTGAATATTTCAGCTGAGCAGCACACTTTTGGAAGTGAAGAGGGTGGAAACATGAAAGAAAAATAAAATAGTTCGAAATGCAGAAAAACAGCTCTGTAAAAGGGTCTGAGGAATAAGAAACCACCTTGTAGTTGAAAGTTTGCCTGCCTAGTCTTGATGAAAAATAATATTATGAGAAAAACAGACTGTCAACTTAGCTCAATATTATTTCCTCCAGAATTAGTTACATGAGTGACCAGCTATTCACAATTTAACTGGAATTTTGTTTGCAAAATTTAAAAAATAATCCATCTATATCTAATTTATAACTATGTCTATGCATCTTTATGACATTCCTTCAAAAATTAAAAGATATTTTTCCTCAGTTGGCATAAATACACATATAAGCATGTAAGTGTATAGTATGGATAGGTATCAACTAAATGAAATATGCTTCAATGTATAATTATATATTTATAAATATAAGCTTTTGTGAAATTTAATTATTGAGATTAAAAAGCAACTTGCTAGATTCTCCTAGAATGTAAACTCCCTTTGAGGACTCAGGTACTTACTGATTTGCTATCTAGTAGTATTGAGGTAATATTTTATTGTTCCTTTTTTACATAAATTCATTCATCTTAAATCACTTTATGCTTATTTGATGTATGAATATGTGAGTATGTAAGCAGTGTGAAAATTACTGGGTTATTATTTAGTCTTTATTCATTCTCATCTTTTATATTTAGAATTTTTTTTTAAGCAAGAATTTCACGCACTAGTTTAAACTCCTGGCAAAACCAGTCTTTCCAGTGAGTCACATCAAAGAGCATAGTGTAGGAAGTTACAAGACTTCATTTAGCATAACATAGCACCCCAGTGGGGGAAAGCAGACATCTGGGAATAGAAAGCCTCAAGTTCATGTCCTGGCTGCCTTTCCTAGTATCGCCATGAGTTGGAGGAGTCATTTAAAAATCCCTAAGCTTCAGTTTTCTCAGGGAAATTGGAAATAAAATACCTTCGATTTCTTCTGTACCATCAAATATTTTATGTGAAGACACTTTGAAACCAGAAAGTGTCATACAAATATCAAGCATTAGTATAAATTCAGGAGTTAAAGCATTCTTTGAAATAATTATTTCAAGCCATTATGTTTTGTACAAAATAAGAGATAAGCTGATTTTTTTTTTGAATTGCTATGGGTTTTTGCCTCTTTCAGATGACCTTAGAAGGTGTCTTGGTCCATTTTGCATTGCTATAAACGAATACCTGAGCCTGGGTAATTTATAAAGAAATTTTGACTCATAAACATTTTGGCTTTATAGAGAAAATTGGCTCATGGTTCTGCACGTGGTACAAGAAACATGGCACATGGGGAGGGTGCTATGCTCTTTTAAACAACCAGCTCTCAAGGGTAATATTAGAGCAAGAACTCACTCATTGATGCAAGCAGGGCACCAAGTTGTTCATGGGGTATCTGCCCTCATCACCCAAACACCTCCTACCAGGCTCCACCATCAACACTGGAGATCAAATTTCAACATGAGATTTGGAGAGGAAAAATATCCAAACTATATCAGAAGAATAGAGAAGTATTTTTTTAAAAAAAGTCTACAAAGTGTTATTGCCATAATCTTTTTATGGTTTAATATCATCAGTGAACAATAAGTAGGACATAGCATGAGAGTCATCTTGTTAAATGGAATGCTGAATTACTCAGAGGTAAAATTAAGAAGGACTTTAGAGTATTAGTGAAGTCAGGACACTCAAAAAGTTATTTTTTATATTTTAAAGAAGGTATTGGAGCACTTTCCCCACAGGGAAAGAACAGAAGTTTTCTTTAACCTCTTTATATTTATTTATGGTTAATACTGTTCTTTTTGCTTATTTTACGTGAAGGCAGGATTATATTTTTAGTAGATAGGGGCCTCAAATGTCCTAATTTGGTCCTGCATATAATCTTCAAGACAGCTTCAAAACAGGTAGGCGTTACTGTTTTAATAATTCTAGCATATTTTTGAGGTATAATTTATATATTATAAAATTTATTTGTAAGCATACAATTCTTTTTATAAATTTATATTGTTGTGCAACCATCACCACAATGTTCCAGAGCATTTCTATCAACCTAAAAAAGTTCTCTGTCAGTCTGCAGTCATTCTCTGTTTCCATTTGCAGCTGCAGGTAACTACTAATCTGATTTCTGTCTATATAGATTTGCCCTGTGTATGGAAATCTCCTAGAAATTAAATCATACAATATGTAGTTTTTTGTGTCTGGTTGCTCTCACTTAGCATAATGGTTTTGAGTTTGATACATATTGTAGCATGTGTATCAAGAGTTTGCTTCTTTATATACTGTTAAATAATAGTTTGTTGTGTGGATATGCCACATTTTGTTTATCCACTCACCAGATAATGCATATTTGCATTATTTCCAGTCTGAGATTTTATGAATAAAGCTGCTGTAAACATTTGTATACATTTTTTTGGTGGACCTAAGTTTTATTTCTATTGTATAGATAACCAGGAGTGAAATTTCTGGATTGCATGGTAAGGATCTGTTTAACTTTTTAAGAAACTGCAAAATTGGTTTTCAAAGTCATTGTATTATTTTAAATTCTCACTAGAAATGTATGAGGGTTTGGTGTTTTCATATCTTTAGTATCATCAGTCTTTTGCATTATAGACATTCTGGTGAGAGAGCAGTGGTGTCTCATTATGGTTTTAATTTGCATTTCCCTATGACTAATGATGTTTAATATCCTTTCATGTGTTTATTAAATACTTGTATATCTTATTTGGTGAAATGTTTATGTAGACCTTTTGCCTGTTTTTTAACTGGGTGTTTTCTTATTGACTTGTAAGGGTTCTTTATATTTTCTATATAGAAGTCCTTTATCAGATAGATGATGATATATGATTTGCAAGTAATTTCTCCTAGATTGTGGCTTGTCTTTTCATTTTCTTCTTTGCTTTTCTTTTGAAGAGCGACAGTTTTAATTATTAAAATGTTCAGCTTATCAGTTTTTATAGATCCTATTTTTAGTGCCACATGTAACAAAAATCTTATGCTTAACCCAATATCACAAAAATTTTCTTATGCTTTCTTCTAAAAGTATTAGATTTTTATTTAAGTCTGTGATTCATTTTGAATTAATTTCTGTGTATGATGTGAGATAATTATATATAAAATATGTGAGGTAGTTATACCTATATGCATAAATTAGTTTACCTCATAGCATACACAAAAATTATATCTATATTTGGCATATAGGTAGACGTTGCCCATCATACGTTTGATAAAAACACTATTGTTTCTCCATTGAATTGTCTGGACCTTTGATAAAATTAACTGATCATATATTTAAGGGTTTACTTTTGGGATTTATTATGTTCCATGGATCTATATATTTATGCCAATATCACACTGTAGATTACTGTAACTTTGTAATAAGTGTGTAAATCAGGCAATGTAAGTCCCATTGTTTTCTTTTTTAAAAAATTGTTTTAGCTATTCTAAGTCCTTTACATTTTTATACAAGTTTTAAGTTCAGATTGTCAAGTTCTACAAAAATGGCTACTGGGATTTTAACAAGAAGTGTACTAAATTGATAGATTAATTTGGGTGGCAAATTACATTATTATCAATCTAAACAAGTGATGGATCTCCCCATTTACTTAGTTCTTTAATTTCTCTCAGCAATATTTTCTGTGTGCACGTTCTTGTACTTCTGTTAAGTTCATTCCTAAATATTTTAATATTTTATAGCATTATAAATGGATTTGTCTCAATTTCCTTTTGATATTGTTTGTTGCTAGTTTATAGAACTAAACTTAATTTTTAAATCTTGTTTTTTATGACCTACTAAACTTATTTTTCCTAGTATTGTTTTCTTTTCCTCTTCTGCAAATTCCTTAGGAAATTCTACATGGACAATCGGGTCATTTGTGAATAAACAGTTTCACTTCTTTCCTTGCAATCTGATACTTTTTATTTCGTTTTCTTTTCTTACTGCACTGACTAGAACATACAGTATAATGTTTGTTAACTAGAAGTGGTGAAAATCAACACTTGGTCTTCTCCCTAATCTTAAGAAGGAAAGTATTTCATCTTTCATTACTAAGTATGATGTTAGCTGTAGTTTTTTCTTAGATGTCTTTATGAAATTTAGGACGTTCTCTTCTAATTCTAGTTTCTTCAGATATTTTATTTTTTAAATAAATTGTTCTTTTTTTCTATTGATATAGTATATTAATTAAGTTTTTAGATATTAAGCTAATCCTGCATTCCTGGTACAAATCCCACTTGGTTATCCTTTCTATATGTTGGAATTGTTTACTACTGTTTGTTTAAAAATATTTTAAATTTATATGAAGGATATTGGTTTGTACATTTCTTTTCTTGTTACTTTATTTGAGATCCCATTTAGTGTCCTTTTCCTCAAGGTCTACCTTTCCAGACTTTGTTTCCCTATTCATCTTATAATAAATCATGGCATTGCCTTACACTATCCTTTGCACTACCACAAAGGGATCAGTTGTTTATTAAAATCTCATCTTACACAGCATAAAGCTGTACTAAGGACTGTGCAAAGGATTCAAGAAAGGAGCCACACCCAACACTAAGCTGCTATCTAGGAGTTCCTGAATCTATCAGAGGCACCTTCCTAGACAAAGACTGGTGATTGCTTGGGTCTGGATTTCGAAGGCTCATTCTGTGCCAGATGCATTAGCACAGGGACGTTGCTGAATTTGGCGATTTGTTAGCCACAGTAACTAAGAATACTTTATGACTAACTTCCATTCTTCAGCAGAGCTTGGGGCCATCAATCCAAAAATATGGGCTTATTTAAAACAAACAAGCAAAGAAGAAAACAATCAACAATCTAGTTACACCAGGTATATACTGTGAGAAGAATATTCTTTAAGAAATAAGTATAGTTCATAGAAGCCACAAGAAGAACCTCGTTTTCTTCGAGCCAATACATTCTATCATACAATAAAGAGTTCTGGCTGAAGTCAACATTACCTTGGTGTTCCTGAGGAGGGAGAGACTGAGTGAGGAATCTGCTGTTAACCCCTTCCTTACCACTCTGTATATGTTTTTTAGGTATTTTTTTTTTTTTTTGGTTAAGTTATATACTTGGCATTTGTTTTTGTAAACGAATCTGAGGATTAATTTTTAAAAATACATGGTGGAGTTTAAGCCATTTATATTTACTGTTATAGTAGGTATACTTAGCTTTATTTCTGTAATTTTGTTGTATACTATCTCTTATGAATTTTGACCATTTCTTTTTTAAAAACTGTATAAGCACGGACTATTACGCTCTTATTTTATTTTCAATTCCTCCGAAGATTTCTTTTAAGGTTGTATAGATGTATTTTAACTTTAAAAATAAACTAAGAACACTATAACTAACACTATAACTGAAACTATATCATTTCATTCTACCTTTTATAAGAGGAAAGCTTTTAACCTCACCCTCCTCAGAATGAAGACTATTGAAAAGAGATGAACTTAATTTAAGCCGAGGAAAACAAAGAAGTCTTTGTGGAAGAAGTGGCATGTAAATTGGTTTTTGAACAGTTGATAGAAGACAAATAAGTAGAGCTAAAAAGAAATATATAACTAACTATTTGACAATTTTATAAATTATGTAAAATTACTCACTCATTCCATATTATCTTACAATAATGGTTACCATTGACTATTTTGTGATATGACCTTTGATTCAGAACCTGAATAGAGTACTCAGAACAAAAATCCTTCCAGCAGCAGCTGGAACTGTAAGTTTTTGGTAACAGGTGAGGAGACTCTTTCTGGATTGGAGACATAGGTACAGCTCCAGCAGACCTCTGGGGCAGGGAGCTCCAACCCTGACTGCAAAACAGATATTGAAAAAGTGCATCATCTAGAGAGAGTGTAAAATACAGTGTACATATCAGTTTTGAATGGAGAACATTTTGTGTCAGCCAAAGATATCAGTGCTATTGTATATATTTTTGTAATCTACATTTTTATGATTCAATAAAAATCTGCATCTGAAAGTATTTTTTCTATGCTATCCAAAATGCAGCTGCTTCTATACAGCAAAGACTTAATAAATGACTGTTGAATTGAGTGAATGCACGGATAAACACAGTTGTCAGATATGGCCCGGCCCTGAAGAGGTGAAATGTTTAATTTAGTCTGTATATTCACTTTCCATTTTGTTAATAAGAAACTACAGACTGAAGCTGCAAGATAACCTTTACTAATGAGAGTGACATTGCATACACAAACAACTGAAACGTCTTTACTAGGCTTGTAAAGTGTTTTCATTTTACAACCAAATTTGATTTGTCCTGCCAAATTTGCATTGCTCTGCTCATTATTATCAGTACCAGTCTCTTTCCTTTTTACCCATTTCTATTCAGGTCATAGACTAAATTGTAACTTTTTCAGCCAAATATTTTTTAATTTGAACAGTAATGATAGTAATGATCACTGCTGTTAGTAAATAAGAGTTTTGGAGCCTGTAAAACTGGGATCCAGACCCTGGGTCATGGTAATTTTAGTAAGGCCACGTCAGGCTGCTCGGGAAACATTGTTTACCTTCTTTGGAGCCATTTTTTGAAATGAATTGCATTTGCTGAGAGCCTCTTGCCTTTCACATTTATACTATACCTACCCACAGATTCATAGTGAGCTTTATTTGAAGGAGTGTGTACAGAAATATACCATATAAATGCTTTTTTTCTATTATCATATCATGGCCAGAGCTAGTAATCTTCAGTGTCAACACTATTTCACAGATGAGGAGCAGTGAAGATGTTTTACATACTTGGTGGCTAAATTGAGACAAAGCCCAATTCTGCCAACTCTCAGGCCAAAGTGTCTCTAAATTTAAGGGATCACAACCAACGCTGCTACAAACATGGTCAACTCTCAGCCTCTAGGCTCAATAATTTGTGGGATGTCAGCATAGTTCCACTAACAGTTGGAACAGAATGATGGAGACAATCATGTTTGTGTTACGAAGGCCTGGAGCTCAGCCCTGCTAATCACAAAGGCACTCTCACCCCTTCGATGGGCGGGTGTAAACTTTAACTTGAACCCAACTTTTAGGTCAGAGCCATTCATCCAAAACAAGAGGTAAAGGATTTTTAATCCTTTCTATAGGCAACCCTTCAATTACACTGAATAACTTAAGAAAACCCTGTATATAAATTGTGACAGATTCTTAAGCTTAGTGTTTACCCAAAAGAAAATTTTAAAAGATAAAAACATATATAATGTATTTTCCTGGGTGTAATTTCTTACCTGGAAAGCAATTCTCTCAAGGACAGGCATCAGCTTAGGAGATATACGTTAGAAAAAGAAAAAAGACATTTCAAAATATATTTTTCACACACTTTAAATGGTAATTAAAAACACCTTCATCCAAATTATAAGGAACCAGGGATCCCTCAAAGCAAACTAAGTATGAAAAATTGAATAAAACTTACACGTGTCTAAAACTTTATTATTTAAGCAGTGAAAATAGAAGGTTAACATGACTTGAGCAGACAAATTGAACTTTGGATATAATATTCTACAGCTTCAAAATGATTATAATTTTGCGCATTGTTTCATTTTGCTTTCAAAAGAAAAAATGAGAAATGCAATTAATATGGTTTAACTCTGCAGGATAAATATTATTATTTAATGATGTATAAAACAACTCTATTCTAACAGCTTCATGCTGGGAACAAAAATGAAAAAAAATGTATGTATGCATGCATTTAAGAAATTCAGTTCTTTATTTTGAACACAAAGACTCATTTAACTTTGTTACCTATCAAGTGAGTATTTTGGGAAACATTATGCATGTCACATAATCCACAAAACTCTAAATGTCATGCAAAATAAATGTAAGACATAAGGTCGGAAATCTAAGCATATCCATTTACTGATGAACCATTTTCGTTGCCCACTTCACTAATTCTACTAATGTAAAAAATATGTCATAATAAATAATAATGTGGTTGGCATCACTGATTGAGTACTTGCTATAGATGGTCAAAACACACTCAGAGCTCAGTGCATCTGCAGCTAGTGAAAATGATCATGGCCTTCAAGTTAAATTCTGCCTCCTGAGCCAGGCATTGAATGTTTTCACAAATCACACTATATTTCCAGTCTAACCCTCTTTTCTACGTTTCATGATGCTACCAGACAGTAAACCCATACTTTTCTGTGTTATGCTCATTCACCAAGGCTTTCATTCCTCTGAGCTTTTCCTTGTGTTGCTCCTTCCACCTGGAATGCTCTATCTGTACAATTTCACAGATGTCTGATTTGTACTTTCTGGAACACTTTCTGTGTTTCTTTCTTGTAGTAAAAGAAACTTTTCTATTCATACATTCCTTTTCATGTCTTTTACTTTCCACTTGAACTGTAGTTATTTTTGATCATGTTCTATCTTTTCTATTAAATTGTAAGTTTCACAAAGACATAGACCATGCATTAATTATTCTCATGTGTTTTTCATACCTCCTTGGAAAGTACCTTCTATAGGTTCCTAGTAAATGTCTTTTAAAGAATACATGGTACTCCACTGGCAAACACATGAGAGTGAGTAGCAAACTTTTGATGAATTCTTTCTGCTTTATGATTTGACTACATTTTTGTCCTTGAATGCATCTTTAGTTAGAGTTCTTCCACAACTTGAAAACTTCCATATTTTAGGAAAAAAGGATTTATAAGTGAAAAAAGCAGAACTGGTTCAAATGGCCGAAAAGAACCATTTACATGTAATGGATAAATGAGAAGGTGGAGAATAAATGCTTTACAGGGAATACAGAGTATTTTGACAAAGTAGGGTTAATATAACTTGCCTTCTGTAAATTTTGGGGTATATTGAAAGGATAATAAAGATAGTATTAAGAAGCTTAAGATGAATTCAAGGCACTTGATTCTTTTTCTTTTATTTTCTTTCTTTCTTTTTTTTAAGCTTCTTCAATGTTTTGGAAAAAGGCACCTTCTTTCTTTAGAGACAGCACTACACTGCCCATGCTGAACTCGAACTCCTGGGCTCGAGCGATCCTCCCACCTCAGCCTCCCAAGTAGCTGGGGCTGCAGGCGTGCGTCACCGTGCCCAGCTTTGTCTTTTACAGTACCTATGTATATAATTGATCTTTTGTAGATAATCCTTTAAGTCAAAACAATACAATATTTGTTCATGAACAGTTATTGCCAGTACACAAGTAAACAACTTTAAATAATTTATCCTGTGTTTTAGGGTTTATTTTAAATTCAGAGAGGTAATACAATACAGTGATCAAGAAGACGACTAGGTTGCCTAGGTTCAAAAGTAGTTATGATGTTCAACAAGATAATTAACCTATGTTTCACCATATGTAAAATGAGTCCTGGCTTGTGATGTTGTATGATTTAAATATGATAGTATATGTAAAGAGTGTAGTGTTTATTGTTACTACCACCTCTATATTCTTTTCCTCAATTTAGTGCAAAGTTACAGCTGTCAATAATGACATTTATTAGATTGGGAAAACAGCTTCCCATAGTAATTTATTATACAAGTTTCTTCTTTCTCCTTTTCCAGGACTTAGGGGAAAAAAAAACTCCCTAAGAATATTTATTACATAAGAAATGTTGCAACTTAATTGCTTTGGAGTCTGCTTAGTGGAATATCTGGCATACATATTTTTTGGTTTTTATTAAACTATAAGCTTCCTATATCTGTCAGCATGTTTAAATGCAAGAAGTAGAAATAACTCTGATTAAGCAGAATAATTTTTAAAAACGAATATTGGGAGACTCACAGAGGCACTAATAAGGCTAGAGGATAACTTCAAAGCGTCAAAGCTATGCCTTTAGGAAAAAGACTCCAAATCATACAGCATACCAGCCTGAAGAGAAAATGACCCAGTGGCTGCCATGTCTACCAGGCACTGGATGCTACAGCTGTGTTCCACTCAGACCTCGAGGTCCTTGTGTTGAGATCTCACTTCGCAATCACTGCTGTCCTCCAAAGTCCAATGCCTCTGCTGCCCACTCACCAGCACACTGGATGCATATGCAGAGCCGTGTAACTCATGCTGGAGCATGGGTGCTGGTCACATGCCTGTGACTCATTCACGAGCAAGGCAGGGAATTAAGTGTTCTGGCTTTAAACTTACGAAGGTGGGACTGAAGAGGTCAAAAATTCCCAGATGATTACAATTGTGTTGAAAGGAGTTGAGCAGATAGAAAACACTAAATATCCTTTATACGCTCCATCTTTCTGTATGATTAACAGTTTATGGTTTTATAATCAACTATGCTAAGTTCTAGAAGCAGTTATAAAATTTTAGATGAATGAAATAGTTGCGTCACACACAGATTCTTGGAAGTGTTTGAATCGCATGAGTATTGTTTGAACTGCATAATAGTTAATTTTATGTGTCAATTTGCGTGAGCCACGGGCTATCGATTAAACATTATTTCTAGATGTGCCTATAAAAGTGTATCTGTGTAAGATTAGTATTTGAATTGGTGGGCTCAGTAAAGTAGATTGCCCTCCCCAATGTGATTGGGCGTTATCCAATCTGGTGAGGAGCTGAATAGAGCAAAGTGGAGAAAGTAGGAATTCACTCCTTGTTGCCTCGTTTACTGCTAGAGCTGGGACATCTCATCTCATCTCTTGGCCTTGGATTAGGGATTTAAACCATTGGCTTCTCTGGATCTCGAGTCTGCCGAGTAGTACTGAATTATACAGCTGGCATTCCTGAGTCTCTAGCTTGTAGATGGTTGATCGTGGGACTTAGCCTCCATATATGCATATTAATATATGTATCTCCTGTTGGTTCTGTTTCTCTGGAGAACCCTGACTAGTACAAACTGACATTAGTGTCAGCATTTGAATGCTATGGAACTGCTCTTTGTTATCTAACATGTAGAGTATTTTACACGTACCAGCAATACAAAGTTCAGTTTTACTGCTGTTTTATAGCCTCAACTGAAGCCATTTAGGAAAATCTTTCAATGGTTAACTTTTGTGGAATTTTAAGTTTCTTTACTTTCGAGACCCATAGTTCAAAAGCTACAAGAAGGCAGTAAGTGACAAGTCTCTTTCCCATTCCTGTCCACCAGTGGCTGAGTACCACTCCCTTCAGGCAGCCCATGCTAGCAATTTCTTGTGAATCCTTCCAAAGATATATAGGCAAACACTACATTCTATCCAGACTGTAATATCCTATTATATCGTTCTGTATTCTTTTGCTTTTGTCACATACCAATATAGCTTGTATGCCATTCTGTGTCAGTAAAAACCATGCTCCTCATTATCGTATGGGCTGCACAATATTCCATTGTATGGATGCACCAACACTTTTAAAAGCAATTTTTGAGGAGACTTACCAAAATGGCTGAGTAGGAACAGCTCTGGTCTGCAGCTCCTAGCGAGATCAATGCAGGAGGTGGGTGATTTCTGCATTTCCAACTGAGATACCCAGCTCGTCTCATTGGGACTGGTTAGACAGTGGGTGCAGCCCATGGAAGGTGAGGTGAAGCAGGGTGGGGCACTGCCTCACCCAGGAAACACAAGGGGTTGGTGTACTCCCTCCCCTAGCCGAGGGAAGCTGTAAGGGACTGGGCAGTGAGAAATGGTGCACTCCAGTCCGGATATTATGCTTTTCCCATGGTCTTCGCAACCCACAGACCAGGAGATTCCCTTGAGTGCATACACCACCAGGGCCCTGGATTTCAAGCACAAAACTGGGCTCCATTTGGGCAGACACCGAGCTAGCTGCAGGAGGATTTTTATTTATACCCCAGTGGCACCTGGAACACCACTGAGACGACAGAACCATTCACTCCCCTGGAAGGGGGGCTGAAGCCAGGGAGCCAAGGGGTCTAGGTCAGCAGATCCCACCCCCACAGAGCCCAGGAAGCTAAGATCCACTGGCTTGAAATTCTTGCTGCCACCACGGCAGTCTGAAGTCGATCTG
Source organism: Homo sapiens (assembly GCF_000001405.40). NCBI lineage: Eukaryota > Metazoa > Chordata > Mammalia > Primates > Hominidae > Homo > Homo sapiens. The sequence continues at coordinate 183,543,838 of NC_000002.12, forward strand.
GGATGCTCAAGCTTAGTCGGGGAAGGGATGTCCACAATTACTGAGGCTTGAGTAGGTGGTTTTCCCCTCACAGTGTAAACAAAGCAGCAGGGAAGTTCCAACTGGGCGGAGCCCTTTGCAGCTCGGCAAAGCCACTGTAGCCAGCCAGACTGCCTCTCTAAATTCCTCCTCTCTGGGCAGGAGATCTCCAGGGGGGTGGTGGGGGGTGGGGGGGTGGTGGAGAGGGAGGGGGAAAGCAACAGCCCCAGTTAGGGGCTTATAGATAAAACCCCCATCTCCCGGGGACGGAGCACCTTGGGGGAAGGGGTGGCTGTGGGCACAGCTTCAGCAGACTTAAATGTTCCTGCCTGCCACCTCTGAAGAGAGCAGCAGTTCTCCCAGCACAGTGCTTGAGCTCTGCTAAGGGATAGACTGCCTCCTCAAGTGGGTCCTGGACCCCTGTGCCTCCTGATGGGGAGACACCTCTCAGCAGAGCTTGACAGACATATCACACAGGAGAGCTCTGGCTGGGATCTGGCGGGTGCCACTCTGGGACGAAGCTTCCAGGGGAAGGAACAGGCAGCAATCTTTGCTGTTCTGCAGCCTCCACTGGTGATACCTAGGCAAACAGGGTCTGGAGTGGACCTCCAGCAAACTCCAACAGACCTGCAGCAGAGGGGCCTGTTAGAAGAAAAACTAATGAACATAAAGGAAGAGCATCAACATCAACAAAAAGGATGTCCACACAGAAACCCCATCCAAAGGCCACCAACATCAAAGACCAAAGGTAGATGAATCCACGAAGATGGGGAGAAACCAGCGCAAAAAGGCTGAAATATCCAAAAACCAGAATGCCTCTTCTCCTCCAAAAGATCACAACTCCTCACCAGCAAGGGAACAAAACTGGACAAAAAATGAATTTGACAAATTGACAGAGGTAGACTTCAGAAAGTGGGTAATAATGAACTCCTCTGAGCTAAAGGAGTGTCTTCTAACCCAATGCAAGGAAGCTAAGAGCCTTGAAAAAATGTTAGATGAATTGCTGACTAGGATCACCAGTTGAGAGAAGAACATAAATAACCTGATGGAGCTGAAAAACACAGCACGAGAACATCATGAAACATACACAAGTATCAATAGCCGAATTGATCAAGTAGAAGAAAGGATATCAGAGACTGAATATCAACTTAATGAAATAAAACCTGAAGACCAGATCAGAGAAAAAACGAATGAAAAGGGATGAACAAAGCCTCAGAGAAATATGGGACTATGTGAAGAGACCAAACCTATGTTTGAATGGTGTACCTGAAAGTGACGGGGAAAATGGAACCAAGGTGGAAAACACTTTTCAGGATATTATCCAGGAAAACATCCCCAACCTAGCAAGACAGGCCAATGTTCAAATTCAAGAAATACAGAGAACACTACAAAGATACTCCTCAAGAAGAGCAACCCCAAGACACATAATCATCAGACTCACCAAGGTTGAAATAAAGGAAAAAATGTTAAGGGCAGTCAGAGAGAAAGGTCGGGTTTACCCACAAAGAGAAGCCCATCAGACTACCCTACAAGTCGGAAGAAAATGGGGGCCAATATTCAACATTCTTAGAGAAAAGAATTTTCAACCCAGAATTTCATATCCAGCCAAACTAAGCTTCATAAGCAAAGGAGAAATAAAATCCTTTACAGACAAGCAAATGCTGAGAGATTTTATCACCACCAGGCCTGCCTTACAAGAGCTCCTGAAGGAAGCACTAAACATGGAAAGGAACAACTGGTACCAGCCACTGCAAAAATATACCAAATTGTAAAGACAATTGACACTATGAAGAAACTACATCAATTAATGGGCAAAATAACCAGCTAGCAACATAATGACAGGATCAAATTCACACATTAACAATATTAACCTTAAATGTAAATGGGCTGAATGCCCCAATTAAAATACACAGACTGGCAAATTGGATAAAGAGTCAAGACCCATTGTGTCCGGAATTGGTGGGTTCTTGGTCTCACTGACTTCAAGAATGAAGCCGCAGACCCTCGTGGTGAGTGTTACAGTTCTTAAAGGCGTCGTGTCTGGAGTTTGTTCCTTCTGATGTTCGGGTGTGTTTGGAGTTTCTTCCTACTGGTGGGGTTCGTGGTCTCGCTGGCTCAGGAGTGAAGCTGCGGACCTTGGCGGTGAGTGTTACAGCTCTTAAGGCAGCGTATCTGGAGTTGTTCGTTCCTCCCGGTGGGTTTGTGGTCTCGCTGGCTTCAGGAGTGAAGCTGCAGACCTTCAAGGTGTGTGTTACAGCTCATGAAGGCAGGGTGGACCCAAAGAGTGAGCAGCAGCAAGATTTATCGCAAAGAGTGAAAGAACAAAGCTTCCACAGTGTGGAAGGGGACCCGAGTGGGTTGCCACTGCTGGCTCAGGCAGCCTGCTTTTATTCTCTTATTTGGCCCCACCCACATCCTGCTGATTGGTCCATTTTACATAGAGCCGAGTGGTCTGTTTTGACAGGGTGCTGATTGGTGTGTTTACAATCCCTGAGCTAGACACAAAGGTTCTCCCCATCCCCACTAGATTAGCTAGATACAGAGTGTCCACACAAAGGTTCTCCAAGTCCCCAACAGAGTAGCTAGATACAGAGTGTCGAGTGGTGCATTCACAAACCTTGAGCTAGACACAGGGTGCTGATTGGTGTGTTTACAAACCTTGAGCTAGATACAGAGTGCCGATTGGTGTATTTACAATCCCTTAGCTAGACATAAAGGTTCTCCATGTCCCCACCAAACTTAGGAGCCCAGCTGGCTTCACCCAGTGGATCCTGCACTGGGGCAGCAGGTGGAGCTGCCTGCCAGTACCGCGCCATGCACCCACACTCCTCAGCCCTTGGGTGGTCGATGGGACTGGGCGCCGTGGAGCAGGGGGCGGTGCTCATTGAGGAGGCTCCGGCAGCACAGGAGCCCAGGGGGGAGGTGGGGGTTTGGGGGGAGGCTCAGGCATGGGAGGCTGCAGGTCCCGAGCCCTGCACCACAGGAAGGCAGCTAAGGCCTGGGGAGAAATTGAGCACAGCAGCTGCTGGCCCAGGTGCTAAGCCCCTCAGTGCCCGGGGTGGCGGGGCCAGCTGGCTGCTCTGAGTGCAGGGCCTGCCAAGGCCACGCCCACCCGGAACTCGTGCTGGCCTGCAAGCCCAGGGCGCAGCCCTGGTTCCCACCTGCACCTCTCCCTCCACACATCCCTGCAAGCTGAGGGAGCCGGCTCTGGCCTTGGCCAGCCCAGAAAGGGGCTCCCACAGTGCAGCGGCGAGCTGAAGGGCTCCTCGAGTGCTGCCCAAGTGGGAGCCCAGGCAGAGGAGGTGCTGAGAGCGAGCGAGGGCTGGGAGGACTGCCAGCACGCTGTCACCTCTCACCATCAGTGTGCTGTATTCAGGAGACCCATCTCACATGCAGAGACACACATAGGCTCAAAATAAAGGGATGGAGGAATATTTACCAAGCAAATGGAAAGCAAAAAAAATAGCAGGGGTTGCAAACCTAGTCTCTGATAAAACAGATTTTAAAACCAACAAAGATCAAAAGAGACAAAGAAGGGCATTAAATAATGGTAAAGGCATCAATGAAACAAGAAGAGCTAACTATCACAAATATATATGCAGCCAATACAGGAGCACCCAGAGTTATAAAGCAAGTTCTTAGAGATCTACATAGAGACTCCCACACAATAAGGTGGCAGACTTTAACACCCCACTGTCAATATTAGATCAAGGAGAGAGAAAATTAACAAGAATATTCAGGACTTGAATTCAGCTCTGGACCAAGCAGATCTAATACACAGTGACAGAATTCTTCACCCCAAATCAACAGAATATACATTTTTCTCAGGACCACATGGCACTTACACTAAAATTGACCACATAATTGGAAGTAAAACATTCCTCAGCAAATACAAAAGAACAGAAATTATAGCAAACAGTCTCTCAGACCACAGTGCAAACAAATTAGAACTCAGTATTAAGCAACTCACTTAAACCCACAAAACTACATCAAAACTGAACAACCTGCTCCTCAATGACTACTGGATAAATAATGAAATTAAGGTAGAAATAAAGAAGTTCTTTGAAACCCATGGGAACAAAGACACAACATACCAGAATCTCCGGGACATCCTTAAAGCAGTGTGTAGAGGGAAATTTATAGCACTAACAGCCCACAAGAGAAAGTAGGAAAGATCTAAAATCGACACCCTAATATCACAATTAAAAGAACTAGAGAGGCAAGAGCAAACAGATTCAAAGGCTAGCAGAAGACAAAAAATAACTAAGATGAGAGCAGAACTGAAGGAGATAGAGACACAAAAAAAACTTTCAAAAAAATCAATGAAACCAGGACCTGGTTTTTGAAAAGATCAACAAAATAGACAACTAGGAAGACTAACAAAAGAGACAAAATAAAAAAAGATAAAAACAAAAAGAGACAAAACAAAAAAAAAGATAAAGGGGATATCACCACTGATCCCACAGAAATACAAACTACCATCAGAGAATACTATAAACACCTCTACGCAAATAAACTAGAAAATCTAGAGAAATGGATAACTTCCTGGACACATACAACCTCCCAAGACTAAACCAGGAAGAAGTCAAATCCCTGAATAGACCAATAACAAGATCTGAAATTGAGGTAGTAATTAATAGCCTACCAACTTAAAAAAGTCCAGGACCAGACAGATTTACAGCTGAATTCTACCAGAGGTACAAAGAGGAGCTGCTACCCTTCCTTCTGAAACTATTCCAAGCAATAGAAAAAGAGGAACTCCTCCCTAACTCATTTTATGAGGCCAGCATCATCCTGATACCAAAACCTGGCAGAGACATAACAAAAAAAGGAAATTTCAGGCCAATATCCCTGATGAACATTGATGCAAAAATCCTCAATAAAATACTGGCAAACTGAATCCAGCAGCACATTAAAAAGCTTATCCGCCACGATCAAGTCTGCTTCATCCCTGGGATGTGAGGCTGTTTTAACATACACAAATCAATAAACGTAGTCCATCACATAAACAGAACCAATGACGAAAACCACATGATTATCTCAATAGATGCAGAAAAGGCCTTTGACAAAATTCAACAACCTTCATGCTAAAAACTCTCAATAAACTAGGTATAGATGAAATGTATCTCAAAATAATAGCTATATATGACAAACCTATAGCCACCATCATATGGAATGGGCAAAAACTAGAAGGATTCCCTTTGAAAATCAGTACAATACATAGATGCCCTCTCTCACCACTCCTGTTCAACACAGTATTGGAAGTTCTGGCCAGGGCAATCAGGAAAGAGAAAGAAATAAGGGTATTCAAATAAGAAGAGAGGTAGTCAAATTGTCTCTGTTTTCAGATGACATGATTTTATATTTAGAAAACCCCAGCATATCAGCCCCAAATCTCCTTAAGCAGATAGGCAACTTCAGCAAAGTCTTAGGATACAAAATCAATGTGGAAAAATCACAAGCATTCTTATACACCAATAATAGACCAACAGAGAGCCAAATCATGAGTGAACTCCCATTCACAATTGCTACAAAGAAAATAAAATTCCTAGGAATCCAACTTACACTGGATGTGAAGGACCTTTTCAAGGAGAACTACAAACCACTGCTCAAGGAAATAAGAGGACACAAACAAGTGGAAAAACATTCCATGTTCATGGATAAGAAGAATATCATGAAAATGGCCATAATGCCCAAAGGAATTTATAGATTCAATGCTATCCCCATCAAGCTACCATTCACTTTCTTCACGGAGTTAGAAAAAACTACTTTAAATTTCATATCGAACCAAAAAAGAGCATGTACAGCAAAGACAATCCTAAGCAAAAGGAACAAAGCTGGAGGCATCACACTACTTGACTTCAAATTATACTACAAGGCTACAGTAACCAAAACAGCATGGTACTGGTATGGTACCAAAATAGATATATAGACCAATGGAACAGAACAGAGGCCTCAGAAATAACACCATACATCTACAACCATCTGATCTTTGACAAACCTGACAAAAACAAGAAATGGGGAAAGGATTCCCTATTTAATAAATGGTGTTGGGAGAACTGGCTAGCCCTTTGCAGAAAACTGAAACTGGACCCCTTCTTTACACTTTATATAAAAATTAACTCAAGATGGATTAAAGACTTAAACATAAGATCTAAAACCATAAAAACCCTAGAAGAAAACCTAGGCAATACAATTCAGGACATAGGCATGGGCAAGGACTTCATCACTAAAACACCAAAAGCAATGGCAACAAAACACAGAATTGACAAATGGGATCTAATTAATCTAAAGAGGTTCTGCACAGCACAACAAACTATCATCAGAGTGAACAGACAACCTACAGAATGGGAGAAAATTTTTGCAATCTATCCATCTGACAAAGGGCTAATATCCAGAATCTACAAGAACTTAAACAAATTTACCAGAAAAAAAACAAACCATCCCATCAAAAAGTAGGCATAGGATATGAACAGTCATTTCTCAAAAGAAGATGTTTATGCAGCCAACAAACATATTTTAAAAAGCTCATCATAACTGGTCATTAGAGAAATGCAAATCAAAACCACAATGTGATACCATCTCATGCCAGTTAGATTGGTGATCATTAAAAAGTCAGGAAACAACAGATGCTGGAGAGGATGTGGGGTAATAGGAATGCTTTTACACTGCTGGTGGGAGTGTAAATTAGTTCAACCATTGTGGAACACTTTGTGGCAATTCCTCAAGGATCTAGAACCAGAAATACCATTTGACCCAGCAATCCCATTACTGGGTATATACCGAAAGGATTATAAATCATTCTACTATAAAGACACATGCACACGTATGTTTATTGCAGCACTGTTCACAATAGCAAAGACTTGGAACCAACCCAAATGTCCTTCAATGATAGACTGGATAAAGAAAATGCGGCACATATATACCATGGAATACTATGAAGCTATAAAAAAGGATGAGTTCATTTCCTTTACAGCGACATGGATGAAGCTGGAAACCATCATTTTCAGCAAACTAACACAAGAACAGAAAACCAAACATGCATATTCTCACTCATAAGTGGGAGTTGTACAAAGAGAACACATGGACACAGGGACAGGAGCATCACACACCAGGACCTGTCAGAGGGTGAGGGGATAGGGGAGGGATAGCATTAGGAGAAATACCTAATGTAGATGATGGGTTGATGGGTGCAGCAAACCACCATGGCATGTGTATACCTCTGTAACAAACCTGCATGTTCTGCATATATACCCCAAAACTTAAATTATACACACACACACACACACACACTCAGACATATATACACACACACATATAATATATAATATATATTATATATACCATATTATATATAATATATATACTATTATATATATATATATATGTATAAGGATTTCCTCCCTAACTTATTTTATGAGGTCAGCATCATTCTGATACCAAAACCTGGGAGAGACACAATAAAAAAAGAAAATTTCAGGCCAATATCCCTGATGAACAGTGATGCGAATATATATATGTATATGTGCCACATATAAAGTCTAGACCTTTAACCAAAGAGTGAGTGGTCTGAATTCAGGACAACTCACCTGAAACACCCAGTGGGTCTTCTGAAGACAGAGTTTGTGCTGGTACAAAGTGCCCTTTCAGAGGGAAACACCAGGTGTCAGGTCAAGTCACTTTGAATCCGGCTGACTGATGCCAGATATGCCAACCAAAATGAAGAAGCTGAGGCAAAGTTTATATATGCAGGGAGTTTATTTGCAACCCTCCAAGCTTGAGGATTGCGACCCAGGAACATAGATGCAATTTGCCCTGAATATACACTCCATTAGCAGAAGTTACAAGTGGATTTTTAAAGGAAAAAAAAAAAAAGACACTTTCAAGTCGTTTACCAAGAATTTACAATAAAATAACATAAGCTATAAAAAATAAAATAAAATAGGCTATTGGCTATTTCAATGACAGAAGAGGAGGATAAAGTTAATTCCATGGGCTCACACATTCGTTGTGAATTAAAAATAGAGGATTAGGACAGAGAAAAGTCAATGAACTTTACAATGAGTAGCCCAGGTGATTTGGAAGGTAGATAAACCAGTGACAGAAAATTGACAGGGAGGGACATTTGATGGAAGTTACTTAGTTTTGTTTTGATAATTGCAAGTCCTTTCTAGAAAGTTTGTCTCTGAAATCAATACTATGTAGTCTATATATAACAGGTATCTCTTAATGGATGAGGCATTCTAACCAATTAATGTGCTTTACTGATAAAACCTTTGTGCCTAAGAAAAAGCAACATAGTAAGATTACAAGGACTGTATTTAAAATGGTGATGAAACATTTGCAAAGAAATGCCTAGAAGTCTAAAGGGAAAAGAAAATGGCAATCAGAGTCAAGGAGAAGCAACATTGTGCTTATACACTTGGAGTTCTAGGTCTGTTATGTATACATTGTAGGTGTTAAAATGTACTTTAGTGCGATGGTGTTAACTAAACCAATCAGTTACTTGTTTAGTTAATTAAACCAATCAGTTATTTGTTAATTATAAAATAAATTATACATTAATCACATACTTTTTAAAGTTTACACATTTCAAAGGAAATACTACCTTTTTTTTTTTTTTTTTTTTTTTGCAAAAGAGACTGTTACAAAATATAGGCCAATATATTTTAAAGTATTCGCTGGTATTTATTTTGTTCTTAGCTTCAAACTTTGTTTCAAGGTCTATTTAGAATTACACACTTTTCAAAGATCATGAAATTCAACTATACAGAAATGTTTACAGATTTTTGGATAGGCATTCAAAACATAGGTGTTAATACAGATATTTACTTTATATTTTGTTGAACATCTAGAGATACTGTCTCTCAAGGGAAATATTGACCTTATCTCCAGGTCGCTAAATCTCTATGTTCACTGCAACAAAAGTCAATATCTGTATCATATCCATTTTCCTAGACAATAACTACTTCTATTCGTGCTGCAATGATTAGTGTTTAAAGACAGCTTATTAAAAAAGAAAACATGAATAGAAAACATTTTCAAGGTCTTAAAATTTGTTGACTAGGCAAATAAATAATTATAAAATAAATCGAGTATGCCTAAGCTTTCATATCAAGAAGTTGGATTTGCAAATTATTTTTGCCAAGGAAAACAAAAGCTCTTTATGATAAGTAAATACAGTGGGAAAGGGAAGAATTAAGCCTGATAATCTTATGTTTTACAAATCTCTCATTACTTTTTTTCTCCTAAACGATATATATTTAGGTTTTTCCCAGCTATATATCTTAGAGATAAAATTTTGTTCTGTTAAGCTGCTGAGAGTTGTTGGCTTCTTTGTTACTTTGGCACAGTCTTGTATATAATATTAATATAGTATTTAAAGAACAATGGTGTATGTATTAATCGGTTCTTTAAATCATAATAATCCTGTATTTCCTTTCTATTATTTCCAAAATAGCAAGCAATATTTTTGGTTACTTTCTGTAATTTTACTTTGAACTTTTTCTAATTCTAGATTTTGAAAATAAGTTGTTTGTATTATATAGTCTATGGGAAGTCAGAGTTTCCATCTCTCTTAAATAGAAATTAGTGGGAATGAATGGAAAATCTTAGAATTGAGTTCTTTTTAAGGAAGGTAAATTAAATGACCAGTGTGAACAACAGCCATCTCCTTAATAAGGGAATTGCTAACACTATCTAATAAATGCCTATAGTGAACATTAAAGCTATTCCCTAATACTCAGTTTTCCTCTCTACCTCAAAGTACACAAAAATGCTGTTTTTCCTCTCTTCTAATATACTCGATATGAACACGGGGACTCATCAAGAAATATAAGCAGATAAGGCATGTGTCACTTTCAAGTGGTAGTAATCACTTGGCTTTGTATAAGATGGCAGAGCCAAAAAAGTGAAGTAGCATAGATCACTGAGTACGGAGAACAGCTTGCTTGGAGGGTCACTTAAACCCACCACAGACTTGAGAAAAAAAATGGATAGATTAAGACATTGATATAGGGGGGTTAGTATTGATTATCGTACAGTGTAACTTCACTATTTACACTGCTATACCATCTAGGGAAATAATCAAGAAATCTGGCTCCAGAAATAACTCCTAGCTTTTTTTGAACTTATTGAATTGATGGAGAGGCCATGGATGCCATTAATCCAAAATAAACGGAGAAGGGAAAATGAATCGATAACACAGCCTACCTAATTTGGAAATACAAGAGCCATGTTTCCACTTTCAATTTCTTTTACCTTGTGACTAAATTCTTCTTCATTCATCTCTAAAAGTTATTCTTCAGGTTTGATTTTACCTGGTTTGGCCAAAGGCCAAAAGTTTCTAATAACAGTTCTCATTAAAATTCCAAGCATGACTTCTTCTACTGTTACCTAATTAAACAAGTTCTTTTTTTGTGTGTATATTCAGCAATAATGCTGTAACTTTTCTATATAATCTACTGACCATAATTATTACTTTATCCAGAACTTGGTGGACTATAATTTCTCAGGCCAATTTAATAAGAATTATGGTCTTGACAGAAACCTAATCTTGAATAGATTACCTTGTGCCATCATTATGAGTCTTTTTATGGCAGTATATAATCCTATCACTGAATGACGGTGCCCATGGATCTTGGCACTCAGCTACATAACTTAGTGGCAACAATATTGGAAATGGCAGCCCATTCACCTTTCAGGGTGATAGCACTAATACAGTTGCTTCTCTTCATTTATGCTCTAGAGGCTTACTCAGGAGATGATATTACAGAAAACTTTTTTAAGGTTTTCTATTTCTAATGTTTTCTGTAATATCATCAATACAATGCATTTGTACCAGAATACAAATACAATATATTGATATTGTATGTAAACATCATATACTTATCACTGATTAAGGAAAGGCAAGGCTTCTGATATAATGCATTTTTTCTTCTTTCCAAACACTGCCTTTTATGCTCTTGGAATGAGGCTTTCTATGTCATTTTAGGGTGCTGAATTGACAAGGGATAACCTTATGATTTTTATTATCCACTTGTCCTTGTCATTGTCTCTTGAGAATTACACTTTTGAAGTCTTTTGACCTTTAAAATCTATTGCTTTTGTCACATTTGAGATCATTTTCTGTGCTTGTTTCCTAGGCTTATTTTATATTTATCATTTTAAAAGAAAGAAATTAAATAGCATCAAACTAATGAACTGATTTCTTAGAATTCTTAAATGCTACCCAAGTGGAATAAATTGAGCTCCAACTCTTAAGAAAAAAACTTGTTTATAAGAAGCTATGTCTCCATGAATATATATGTATGTGTATGACTGGGTATACATACTGCCTAATAGACATAATCATTTAAATAGTAAAACCAGGAACTAGTGGCCTATACACAGATAAATGACACAAGAATTACTATGTAATTGATTTTATTTCATTATTATTCCCTGTATCATTTTCGTTCCTACAACTATACTGCAAATGGGAATTTTGTCTAATACATCAAAAATTACCTAGCAAACAGCTGATCATTTTTAAAGGAAATGAATAGTTGTATTAAAATGTTTAGCTTAATCAGGGGCAAATTAAAATCTGTAATGTTTTTATATCTCTTTCAAAGTTTGTAGATAATGAGGTTGGGTTTATTCTCTTATGTTGGTTTGGTTTTCTCTTCCGGTTCTTGTCATGTAATGTTTAACTATAAAAGGTCTAGTAAAAAGGTATGTAAGAACCTTTTCAGGCATCTATTGTACCTTTCTTCTGTCTACAGCTAGAGATACTTGATCCATACTCACCCCTGCCACAGGCTTTAGATTTAGTATATGTCATTACAAGATAAAATTTAGTTTAGTAGACAATTCATTATAAAATCAACTGATGTTTTCAGTTTTATTTTGACCTCACATTATAGGAATACACTCTAGCTTCAATAATTCAGTTCCTAGCTAATTGCCAAGGAGGCCCTATCTTAGCAAATACCTTTTCATTATTCTGTGTCTTTCCATACCAGGACTCTGCCTTGCTATTGTGCAAACTTTCCTAAGTATGATTCTTGAATTTAAGTTCGATATTGGAAAGAACAATCTATAGACAAGCGACACCCATATGTCTATGTCACTCAATACTGAATACTCCTGTAATGCGCTTTTCTCATCTGCCTACCTGCCCAGCTATCTCTTAGCATTTCTATATCTCCCCAATACTAAACTAATACCTACAGTGAGACCACACTCTTCAGGAACTATTCTTCAGTCAGCATATTAGATTTCTCATACCTACACCTGACATTGTCTACCACTTCTAGTCCCAAGTCCCAGCCTCATATTGAGAATATATTTAGCTACTTTCAGGTTTAACCTAAACTGCTGTCTATAAAAGCTATGAATCTTTTCTTCAAGCCATTACTACTGTTATTCTTTTCCTTTCTTTCTAAAGCTTTATTTCTTCCTCAAGGTGTATTTAATCTATAGCATATAATATGGTACCTTAAGTATAATATTAGATGTCTCATTCAAATACTGTGTATCAATAATAACGTTGATCTAGTTTGTGTAAATATTTTTCCAAAAAGAAATTGCTTAATTTATATTTCTGGGTAGTATGTAATATAAAACTACCCATGTACTATATACATGGTACATGTACTATATACATGGTATGTATATAGTATTTAATACCAAAGCCTGGGTAGTGATGGTAACCATATTATGATAACCAAACACAAGGTAAACCTTAATATTTTTTCCTGTAATCTTAACAAGACATAACTGTTTTCTGTATTTATGTTTTGTATTATTTTTAAATGATCATAGAGACCTTGAAAATACCTACAATGTTGTTCTCTTTAACATCCCCTAGAACAAAAATAAAGTGTTTTCTTGTCTTTGTGTTCTCTTTATGAAGTATATTTTCATTTTGTTTCAAATGCAAATGGAACTGTAATAGGCAAGAGGATGCCACAGACTCATATTTTTCATAAAATCATCAGAAGTCATCTCAGATTTTCAGCAAATGCTGACTTTCTCTCTTTCAAAGCTAAGGTAAGTATGAGAGATAATTTTAACATTTATTTATCAGCTTATAAATTTCTGAGAAGTGAAGATGATACTCAGGGCATGAAAAATAGGAAATCCCTGAACAGGATGATATTAAAAGTAATAAAGAGAAAAGGAAAAACTATACTCAAATACCTATAGTTCTTTATGTGTAAAACAAATGTGATGGGCCTCTTTAATAGAAGTCCAAAAATTCTAACATTTTTATACTTTGAAAGTATAAAAACTTGATAATGACATATACTTACAATCACTTCCTACCACTATCATTTGGTCCCTGAAATTGTCTATTAAGACATTTGGTCCTCTGAAATTGGCTATTAAGCAATGGAACAAAGTTTGCTGATGGCAAAATTTTCATGAAAAACTAACATTTCCTAAGTGCTTACTAAAATATATCACTTTTACAAAAGAAAGGCACAAGCTTCACATGATACCAAAAACTGATCAGTTGATAGGGATTTTACCCAAATGTATAAGGAGAAAGAATGAGATGCATTTTCATTACTTGTAGATATGGTCGGTTGGCAGCTTTGAATTTTGATCTGAGGCATAGTAAAGACAGCAAGATGACAAAGACAATGCTAGGAGTCATCCAAGCAGCAATGACAGTTAAACCTTCAGGAAAGGATGAGTTCTTCCAGGATAGAAGCAAAAGAAAGGATATATTGGGCTATATATAGACACAGAAGACTATAGTCTAGGATCCAAAGAAATATAGCATTTGGTGGTCAGAAAGCTTATGGACAATATTTACTCAAAATCAGCCATTGTAGTTGATGATTAAATGATTGGAGACATTTAAAATAGCAGTTTCAATAGAGTAATCTGATGCCATCCTATACATACTTCTAGTATGACACTGATTATAAAGATATTTATATTTTCACTGTATATTTACATATAGGATGTATATTATAGACTATTCATTATTATATGTCTATATTTCTATGTGCGTATAATATAAAAATACACAAAATATCATGGCATGCCATTCAATAAATTTCCACAAAGTAAACACACCTGTGTAATTAGCACTCAAGTCTAGAAATAGAACATTATCAGCCACTCATAAATTCCACCCCTCCCTTTTCTAGTAACTATCTCCCAAGCAATAATAATCAATTATGTATCATCTTAAACCCAGCAGAGTTCACAGTCTTTAGAACTCAATACAAAAGCTAGGAAGGGAAATAAAAGGGAGTGAAGAAAATGAGGGCACACTTTAGTCTCATGACCCAATTACTCAATATTTATAGTTTTTATGCCATGTTGAATGTAAAAATAGGCTATAGGAGGAGATATCAGAGAAAAGAAGACATAATCTCTTTCTCAGTGATGGCTTTCTAACCTTGAACTACCTACTCCCCTTTGAGATTAAAATTATGTAACCAGTACCTAGAAAAATACCAATATATTTGAATTAATTACTTGAAATATTTCTTTTAAATAGATAAATTCTGATATAGAGACTCAGTGACAATATGTGCTGATGAACCCACACAAAACTAGAACATTATATTCAAAATCTATGCTTGTCATTATGGGCATTGAGACATTAAGTCCCAGGTGCCCTTAAACCTCCAACTCCACCTAACATCCGCGTGCATCCTCTCTAGCCTCTCTTTTTCCTTTATGGAGAGCGTCCTACCCCAACACACACAAATAAAGGACAATTATTCCACTATTGCTCAGAGTCCTACATCATCCTGACAAACTAAGAGTTTTACAGCATCAAATAACCCTTCTTTCTTATGTACATTCAACTCATATCTCATTTGTATTGTTCCTAATGATATTTAAACATGGTTAATTTTCTTTACATCTTAAAAAATGAAAGCATTTCCTTGATTCTCACATCTCATCCAGTTTTCACTTTTACTCTCTTCTTTTTATTATAGCTATTTCAGGAAACAGTTTTCTCTATACTTGTTGTCTCTATTTTCTCAAGTATTGCTAACTAGCCAACTCATTTCAGTGAATTTATTAGAGGCAGCCAGGTCATTAAACTGAAGAGCATCTTTTTTTAAGTCTTCATGTTGCTTGTCTTTATACCAGTGAAACATTCTGTGAATTCTAGGTGCAGAATTTTAAGCCAGTGTCTAAAAATCATGTAATGACAATTCAACGTCAATTTATTAATGTACCTAAAATGTTATTTATCAGTAACCAAACAAATATTTATTCTTAATTTTAAATTTTCCCTTAAAAGAAATAATGTAAGTTAGGAAAAAGAAAAGTCTTCTAAAGTTCTTTCTCCAAGGAAAATGGAGTGCAGAGGGGGGCATATCCTATAAGAGCCTTGGATGCCACTGGAAGGATTTGGCTCTTACTCTGAGTGAGATGAGAAGCCAGTCCAAGTTTCTGAATATAAGATGACATGATCTGACTTTTTGGAGAAGTGAAGGAAAGATGTCTTGCTGTCACCCAAACTGGAGTGTATTCATAGTTCACTGCAGCCTTGAACTCCTGGATTCAAGCGATCCTCCTGCCTCAGTCTCCCAAGTACCTGGGATTGCAGGCAGGAGCCACTTCACCTGGCATGATCTGACCATTTAAAAGGATTACTCTGGCCACAGGATAGACAGTAGACTAATATGAGGAAGCAAAGGTAGAAGCAGGGAGGCCAGATGAGAGACTATTGACATAACCCAGGAGAAAGATAATTGTCAGTTTGGATCTGAATGGAAGCAGCAAGGGTGGTGAGCACTGCTTCAGAGTCCAGATTATTCTAAAGATAGAGACAAGAGAATTGTCTGGGGTGTTGCATGGAGGTGGGATGTGAGTGAGAGAGGAGAGTCAGGTTGACCAAAGCTTTCTGACTTGGCTACCTGGAAGGAAAATGTTATCAATAACTGAGGTAATAAAGACTTCAAAATAAGCAGGTTTTGGGGTGTGGACAATGGAGATGGGGAGTGTATATTGGAATCTGTTGTGGTGCCCATTAGATAGCCAAGAGGAGATGCTGATTAGGCAGTTGTAAACATGAGTCTCAAAGACTCCTTGATGAGATTTAAATTTGGAGTCATCAGTATAGAGACACTAAATCATGAACCTGGATGAGATCACTACAGTAGTGGATAAAAAGTAAAAAGAGGACAAACTATTAAATTTTTCACTGCTTCAATATTAAAAGATCCAAGAAGAGAGAACAGAGCAGAAAAGGAGATTTTGAAAGAGCCTCCCACGAGGTAGGAGAACAAGGAAAGTGTAGTGTTCTGGCACTTGGTGATGATAGTGCTTCTGGAAAGAATTCAGTAAATTTTAGTTATCCCTATTATGACAAACACTGACAGGAAATAAAAGCACAAGTGAATATTCTTCTGTTCTAGGAATCTATCAGTTTCTAAATATTTTTTCTATTTTCTTTTTCTTTTCAAGGGGAGGCAAGGTCCTTTCTCAAATTGTATTAGTCTGTTTTCATACTACTATAAAGAACCGTTGAGACTGGATAATTTATAAAGGAAAGAGGCTTAATTGACTCACAGTTTAGCATGGCTGGGGAGGCCCCAGGAAACTCACAATAATGGCAGAAGGTGAAAGGGACACAAGGCACCTTCTTCACAAGGCGGCAGGAAGGAGTAATGCCGAGTGAAGGGGAAGAGCCCCTTATAAAACCATCAGATCTCATGAGAACTCATTCACTACCATTAGAACACATGGGGGAAACTGCCCCCGTAATTCAATTGCCTCTACCTGGTCTCTCCCTTGACACATAGGGATTATGGAGATTATGGGGATTAAAATTCAAGATGAGATTTGTGTGGAGACATGAAGACTAATCTTATCACAAATAGTCTGCTAATATTATCAGCTACTTATATTTATAACTCTCTAGTTCTTGGCAAACGTAAGTTGCCAGATCATTAGAAGTTGGAGAATATTTCTTTAAAACAAAATTATTAGAAACATGGTTAATAAATGATTTGGAATTACTCTAGGTGGGTATATGAGTCAGTGTTTAATCAGAGAAGCCAAACCAGCAGTTTAATATATATTGGTTGGCAGGTGGAGAGAGTGTGCTATTTATTACAAGGCATTGGCTTATACCTTGTGGGGCTGGCTAGGTAAGCCTGAAGTTTATAGGATAGGCAGTCAGAAAGAAAAGATCACAGTAGGCTTGAACCCACTGACAGTAGGCACAGGCTGATGCTGTCATCCCTAGGCAGAATTTCATCTCTTGTTTTCTCTCTCTCTCTCTCCCCTCAGCACTGCTTTTATGGGCTTCCAACTGATTCAGTCAGGTCCACCCTTCTTTACTGAATGATACCTGATTAGGGGCTTTAATTACATCTGCAAAATCTCTTCATAGCAACAACTAGATTAGTGTTTGATTGAATAATTGGAGAGACTGCAGCCTAGCCAGGTTGACACAATAAAAAAGCTACCAAAATGGGAATACAATTCACTTCTATTTTATTCTAGCTAGTGCTAGTGTGAAGAACTATAGCCTATTTTACTCCATTTTCTTCTGCTGTAACAGAATACCACATATTGGGTAGTTTATGAAGAACTGAAGTTTTTTGGCTCATATTTTTGGAGGTGGAGAAGTCCAAGAGCAGGGTGCTGGCATCTGATGGGGGTCATCCTATAGCAGAAGACAGAAGTGAGTACACAAATGGAGAGGAAATCAGGCTGAACTCATTCTTTTTATCAGGAATCCACTCCCATGATAACTAACCCACTCCGATGATAATGGCATTAATGCCTTTCTGAGGGTGAAGCCCTCATGGCCTAATCACGTCTAAAAGGCCCTACCTCTTAATACTGTTACAATGGCAATTAAGTTCCCAACACATGAGATTTGGGGGAACACATTCAAATGAAGGCCTAGCTCTTATCTTAATTTTTTAAAAAATTGTATTATATTGTACTGACACAGTTTTCCCACTGCAAGAGCTTAACTCTATCATAAATGCTTTTTCTAATTGCTTCCTCCTTTTAAATTCCCAAACACAAAATTAAGATTCCTTATACAAATGCATGATTAATAATACTCAAACACTAATTAACCTCACTTCTCTCAAAGTTCATGTTCTTTTATTCCTCTTTCTTTCAAGACAGACTACATTTTTGGAAAACAATTTTTGTTTCAAAAAATGTAACATAACATTTTTCCAAAATTGCTTTTTTTTTTTTCTAGCAGTATAGTAAATCACTTAGCTTGAAAGATTCTCCAAATAAAAACAAAAATGCTGGATAAAATACATTTTAAATGTATTGCTTATTTTGCATGAAAATAGGGAAACTAATGAGTCCAAAACCAAAATTCATAAAGGTACTCTGAAAACCCATCAAATGTCAATGCTAATATTGTCCTACATGTTTTCTGCCAAGATCCAGAGACTCAGGGTATATGTTAAACCTATGGCCTGCCCAGATAGGACCTCTTTGAGGAGACCTTCAACATAAAGCTTGAAACCTAAAAGGCTACATATAGAGCAAGAGTGAATGACAACTAAAATATAAAACCCACTCACAAAATTTAGACAATGAGGAAATGTTCCAGTCCTGACTTTGTACTGAGTGGGTAAAAGTCTTTTCCTAAGAATTTATAACTGCAAACTGTTCCACATACAAATTTTTAATCTGAATAGACAGCACTTGTTTGGGCTGGGGAAAGAAAAAAACAGCAACATTCAAAGGGAGAACTTAAAGTGGCTATGAGTTGGTAGCACCCCCAGTGAGCACCAACACAAACAAAAATCTCGTTTAGCAAAATGCAATTTAATTTAAATGATGCTCATAGGTAGAAAGTTCAGAGTCAGAAATAAAACACACAGAAACAAGATACTACAAGTGAAAGCTGGCAGAAACAACCAAAAAAAAAAGATTCTGAGTTGTAAAGATTTTATATGTTAGAATTATCAGAGGGCATAAAATAACTCTTATTTTTAAAAATAGACCCTTAAGTCATAAAAATATTAAAAATGTCCAACCAGATTCATAAAATAACAAAATACAAGTTATGAATATTAAGAAATAAAATATTCAAAATTAAACTGTCAATGGAGAGACAAAAAGCAGATAGTGATTTGGAAGATAAATTATAGAAAATGCAGCATATGAAGACAGGAAGGTGTGAAAGGGAGATTAAGAGGAAATAAACATATGATAGAGAAAAGGGAAAGAAGCAGTATAGCAGGAATAAAATGTAGAATTATCCAGAATTATTGAAAGATAACACTCTTTGGATCTAGGAGGCCTAATGAATTCCCAACAGGGTAAGTAAAAACAAATCTACACCCATAAAGATCACAGTGAAACTATGAAAATGAAAAACAAGAAACATTATTAAAAGGTGCCAGAGACAAGTCAAGTGAGTGGAAATTAGACAGACCTAGGAGTTCACAATATAAAATAAAAAGCGGAAGGCAGTGGAATAATATAAGTGGGCTGAAAAGTATTATTCTACCATGCTAAAATTTCACACCTAACAAAGTAACTTTCAGGAAGAAAGACAAAATTTAAATATTTATGACCAAAAAATAAATAAAAATTTTAATGCCATTACTAGTAGAATTAAAATTCTAAGATAATATATTTCAGGCAGAGGATAATGATGCCAGATGGAGGTTTGAAGATAGAATTAATGGTAAGCAGTGAAAGTGGCAAATGTATAGGTACATTTGAATAAGTGTTGGCTATAAAAAATAATATATAAATTGTGAGATTAAAATAGATTGACATTGTTATGTTGCTTTTCTTATTTAAGAAAGTAAAGCTATTGATTAACTTTTGATTTTTAAGTATGCATATTAACATAGCTAGTCACATCTGAACTATAGACAAAGACACAAAAATTTCTAACTCATAGAGAGGTAGAGTGAGAAAAGAAAAAGCAGGAATCCTCAGTCCAAATTATACCATAAAAGGAGGGGGAGTGCTCCCTCCTTTTATGAAAAGGACAAATAGAAAGCCCATAATAAGGCCCTGAATATAAATTTAAATATAAATAATCTAAATGAATGCAAAAAGACTAAAAGGTCCACAAAATAAAGATTTTTATTGCTTAGGGAGACAAAGGGAAAAAACATGCAAGGTATGTTAATTATAACAGAAACTCCTAAAACAGAAGTATATTAAGAGCACTAAAGTCACCGAAAGAAAACATACATACACCAAAAAAATTCTAATAAAAAGTGAATTAGAATAACAATGTTGATAATTGACAAGATAGACTAAAGACCAACAAAATACAAAAGGTAAAGACATCATTAGATTGTTATAATTCAAAATTTGTATGCTTTAATATAAGTATACAAAGTATATAAAGCGAAGATGACCAAAAACAAGAAATTGACAAATCCATCATCATAGTTGGAAAATCTAGCAAATTTCTGTGAATAATTAATACACCAAGCAGACAGAAATCTGAAAAATAAAGGAGGTTTGAATAGAATAAAACACAAAGTTTGATTGAATGGACATATATTTAGAATATACCAAAATTTAAGAATATACATTTTTTTTCAATGACCAAACACTTTAAAAAATTTACTGCATATGGCATCCCATAAAGGAAGCCTTATCCATTTCAAGATTGACATAAGAAAGACCATCTTTTTGGAAAAAATTCAGTTAGAACCAGATATTAAGATTTATTCTAAAACTAAAATAATTCATAATAGGGTATAATTGGTACTACTGAAGAAATTTAAGATCATCAATATTTTAATATTACATGAAAGTAGCTACAGAAGACTACTTATGGGTATATGTGTTTCAGAAATGAGAAAAACTAAACAATATGGGAGGTTTTAGGATAACAGTGACAAAATCACAAAAAGATTTAAAAAGTTATTAATACAAAATCATAATGATTACCTCTGGGCAAGAGGAAGGAACAAATGATTGATGTGAGGCACACAGAAGGCATCTAAAACAGCAGTTCTCAAAGTGTTGTCTGTGGACCCACTTAGAGTCCCTGATACACTTTCAGGAAGTCTGTTAAATCCAAAGTATCTTAGTAATAAGATGTTATTGGTACATTTCACTTTTGTGGTCTCATTACTTAACTCAGTGAACCCATACTTCCCAAATGACTAATTCATAAAGTTTACAAATTATACATGGGTAAGAGATTCATTCAAAGTACAAAACAGATGAGTTTTAACATAAGGGTGTGTGAAAAGTTTCAAGTCCCACATTGCAACCAAACCTTTAAGAAGCTACCACTAGTAAGTAGAATTTTGATATAGTATTGAAAATATCCATGATTATTTCAAAATATTCCACTCTTTTCCAGTTATGTCTGTGTAAGTATGGATTTCTTCATATATTTCAACCAAAGTATTAATAACATATTACAACAGGTTGAATAAAGCAATATAAAAAAATCTGCCAGATATTTACCAGATATTAAAGAGGATTGTAAAAATACAAAGCCATGTCACCTTACACACTAAAACATTTTTATTGTTTTGGAAAAGATATTTCATATACTGTAAGGTATAAGTTTATTATTTCTAAATTATTAAATATTTTAAAAATTCCCCAGTTATAATGCCTTACATTGTAAACATCAATAGATACAACCTACCTAAACAAAAGCTCCTTGTGCTTGTCCATGAATTTTGGAGTATAAAGTGTTCTGATACTAAAATATTAGATAACCATTGATCTATATATATAGTACTGCTAATATCTGATTTCTTAAACTGAGTAGTGGATACATATTTTTTCATTTTACTATTTTAATTTTAAATATGTATATTTTCTATACATATGAGGTAAATCACAATACATTTTTAAAGTTTTCTAAGCCATCTATTATTCTTCACACATAGAAACTTTAAATAACAAGGTATCATGTTTTCCTAACCAGAAAATGGGGCTGAGGAAATGACACAAGGCATATATATCAATACATATACATACATGCCTATAAATACAAAAAAGTCTATAAAAATATTGAGAGTAAATACAAGTATTTTTGTTGATCATGACACTCCAATTTGTGTCTGTTTTGTGACTTAACATCCTATATAAGAGAATGGATTTCATATATTTATAAATTCACCATAGTATTAATAAATTTACATATTTCTAGGTAATAGTGCCTGCTTTTCCAATGATTTTACAGAGGTATTTCTGATCACTAAAGCAAATATGTAAATGAGAAATGTCAAGCTAGTCTTCTTTTATATTTACCCATAGCAACTATGTTCTTCTCAGAGCACCAATAAGGCAAAAAAAAAATTGATTACTTAAGTCAATAAACATCGCAATGCGTGTGCACTGGAGTGCAGTGGCGCGATCTCGGCTCACTGCAAGTTCCGCCTCCTGGGCTCACGCCATTCTCCTGCCTCAGCCTCCCGAGTAGCTGGGACTACAGACGCCCGCCAACACGCCCGGTTAATTTTTTGTATTTTTAGTAGAGACGGGGTTTCACCGTGTTAGCCAGGATGGTCTCGATCTCCTGACCTCGTGATCCGCCCGCCTTGGCCTCCCAAAGTGCTGGGATTACAGGCGTGAGCCACTGCACCCGGCCGCAAAACTTATTATTGTATAATAAAATATGTACTCAAATCATATCTGTGGTTCATGTTTTAGTAACACCATAATGAACAACAGAAACAACAAAAAACGGGCATAGTCCCTGACCCTAAGCTGCTGAAAGTGAGGGAAACAGGCATGAAACATATTAAAAACTATAATCCTAATTATAATTTATGACAGGTGCTATGATGGAAAATCTCAGAGTATCATGATGGAAGATAACTGAAGGAAACAAGTAACCTATTATTGATTGGATGGTCAGGCACCAATCAAACCCAAGGTACCTCATAGAAGGTAACAATTAAACCAAAATATAAGGATGAGAATAGCCCAATCCTGTGAACGCTAACGAAAATCACAATGACAGAGAATGTTAAGTGTTCAGATCCCAGGATAGGAGAGAACCAGCAGGCTAGAGGGACTGAAAAAAGTCTGGTGAGGCTGTAGTCTCATGTGTGTGAGAGTTAGCACCAGAAGACAGCACTTGAGAGTTGCTTGGTGGCCAGTCAGACCATGCAGAACTGAAGTAAGGAGTTTGACTTGTATTATAAACATTATAGGAAGCCCTTAAAGGACTTTCAAATTGTGATGTGCCATGATCTGTTTTCTGTTTTTAAAGAGCGCCGTATTTATTTCACAAATGGATTAGACAGGAAAAAATGTGTAAGATGGGAGGCCAGGTGAGGGACAATGGCAAAAGGCAACATGAGATCTGATCATGGCTTCAACTAGTAGTTGTGAAATAGATATTTTAAAATGCCATATTAGCACTTTTCAATCTGATTTTGTACTGATACATTCAAGTTAATGGTCTCTATTAAAACAAATGCCCTAATAAAGCAAGTATTTTCCAGTAGACCACCCAGCTAAGAGATTGTGAACTTGGAGTAACAAATTAACTGGCCAACTGGCTGAATATCAGAAATTTTGGGACTGTTCAAAAAGTGATGCAATAAGATTAATTTACCATATTTGATTAGCTAAAAACATCAGACTCTTGAGAAACCCTTTAAGGTCTCAAGTGACTTCATTTGGGATTCTTCAGAGTATTTGACAATATTATGGGAATATTAATGATAATATTCAGTAACTATGACTTTTGTGCCTAAAAATGATAAACTCCTTGGTAGACAGTAGAAATAAAAAATCATAAAATTAGATGCATTAATACATATTATTTTTGTTTGGGACAAAAGAAAATCTACTGCATGGAAGAAAAAGATTAGCAAATTAAAAATCATAACTATCTTTTTTAAAATAAAAGATAGAGCTTACCAATCTACTAATTAACATCACATGGAGCAAATACAATAAGAACTAGCCTCTATAGCAGACCAAGTGGAACTGATTAACCAATCTTATGCAAATATCTTGAAATGTGAATGAATGATTGTGAGATGCAAGATATTTAAACCTTGCAGGCAGGTAAGGAGGCTAGACTTTACACCTAATTATTTATCTAATCATAAGAAGTCAAACTTTTCGGATTTTTGTTATTGTTTCTTGGTTTTGTGTGCATGTGTGATGCTTTATTCTGCCTTCATGCACAGAGGAGTCCAATGAACTGTTTTCTAAATCCCTTTACTTATGCAGCAACCCCAGGAACCACTTAGTTCTCTGTCTACTTTAATGAATACATGAGTAACCAACGATTCCTTTCTACCAAAAGAATCATATAGTTTACGTCTTCACTTGCAAACCATCTCCAGGCCAGCTGAAAGGGGATATCAGCCTTCCTAGGTCATAGCATTTGTCAATGCCCATAGTGTTCATTTTGTTAGACACCAACCAGAAAAAATCCTAAACCTTGTTTATGCTGTTCTAAATGGTGGCAACATCCCTCTGTTAAGTTCTAGGCATAAGAGATTTGAGAGCTCTTCATGCCATGTTGCAACTGAGGCCCCCAAAAGGAACATTTTCTCTTAAGGGAAGCTGGTTATTAAGACGAGATGCCTTTTATTTTTCTTTTATCTTTTCTACCTTTTTACTTAAGATGAAAAGCCTGCCAGACTTGACTAAATTTGCAGAATGATTATGTTCTGGTGAAGCAGAAAAAACTTAATAACAAGTAGGCCTAAGCAGTGTTATGAAAATCTGTGCAGTTCAACTTTTAGTATCCAATTGTATTTTTAATAAACGAGTAGTTAACTGCCATCAAGCTATTTTAGAAATGCTTCTGTTGAAATATTTGGTAATTTTTTTATGGGCCATGTTGAAGGAAAAGAAATCTCTAACTATCTAATGCATTAATTACAAACAATACTCATAATATTTAACAATAAAACAAAAAAGACAAATTTTGATTATAATTTTTGCAACATTTATAGTATGTGCTAAGTACATTGACAAAAAGAAAAGATAACCATAACTATTCCTTAAAGAATTTCCTATAACTATATGATGAAAGGAATAAGATTAGTTTGATGGCTTAAATTTTTTTCTTAAAATCCATTGACACGATTGTTTCCACTTAAAACTCTAATGAGAAACACCATAAACTAAGAGAAAAATCAATTAAGTAAACATAGTAACAATGTAATTAATCAATCATTCATTGGCTATGAATTCACATATAGAAATCAGATTCAAAATTTTCCCTGACAAATATTTCCTGATTAGAATGGAAAAACTGTAATAACTAGCATTATTAAAATGTTAAAGGCTAAGATTTAAACTGAACATAGCAGATACATGTATTCCACCCAGAGAGTACAGATGACCTTAATACGCTCTTTAAAAACAGAAAGTGGTTTATATAAATAAGATATTCCATTGCAGCATAAAAATATGAAGGGCAGGTTAAAAACAGGTAAATTATGAAAATATTATGGAGCTAAAAAAATTGTCAATTACCACTTAAAGTGCAGAAATTTCATTAGCAAGATTAATGATGATTTACTGAAATCATTAAACCTTTACAATATTTGAGTAAAAGCTTCTATCACTATACAGCCACTTTCCTGTGAAGAATATTTTAGATCATTGCCTGAGGTGAAAAAACATAAAATATGTAGAAAGGCAACGTCATTTCTATCTCTTATTTATGCACTTTATTTTTCTTTATATTAATTTAGTGGTTACAATCTAATTAATATTAGCAGACATCAGTGGACAGGTAAAGAAAAAAAAGCAAAGGTCTTTATAACTCAGAGACAATTTTAAATGCATTAGGTAATTAGTGAATCTTACTCAGAGTTGTGGAGTGGCTTAATGTCTGCCAGATTAAAGGAACAAATTTATTTTGCTACACACAATTAGTGCTATATTTAAAAAAAATCTTAGTAGAACAGGCAGGTATTATTCTATTTTTATAATGGGAAAAATATACAATGGGAAGACAGAAGTATCTTTATTGCACTAAATATTTTTTTTTTGCTCTGAGAACCAACTTAGGTGCATTTACAATAGTGAAAATAAAATACATCAACAATGAAACAATAAAATAATATTAACAAAAGCCAACAGTATTGATGACTATTGTGGGTATTTGCCATTTCTTGGTTCCAGCCTGCCACCACCAGTTTAAATACACACACACACTTTTTTTTTTCCTATTATTCAAATTCCTCTTTCTATAGGAATTCCATTCCATGTGATGAGATTTACACAGGGCTCACCTTACTCTTCTCACCTGGACCAGAAGAGTGAGAGCCAGCAAGGGCTATTAATTACATTGACCCCAGCCAACCTAACTAGAGATGTCTCCAGGACTTTTCTACCTGAACTATGTGGAAAGGTATAGTCCTTCTACAGGAATTTCTAGCCTGGTAAAATGTATACATGAACTACTGTTGGTCTTCTTATCACCAAACAAAAATAAAAGAACATGTTTGATTTCCTGGTAACAAAGTAAAACATGATACCAAGAGCACGGTTGTTAGATATAGATATATGGCTTATGAAAGGCAGTTTTGCCAGTATATAGGACACATACTTTGGAATTTTAGGATGCCATAGTTAGGGGTATAAGAGGTTTGTTAAGCTACCATTAGGGGTTTCCTACAATCTAGCAAGATCTTCACCTGCCCAGGTAGAATATCGTAATCATCCTGAGTGTACCTTGGGCTAAAAACACTGAAGAGACTTCAGAAGCTAGTCTCATTTACCATACCCCATCCAGATGACTTTTGGTAATATTTTTGAAAAATAAATCATTTGAGCTTATCATAGTGAAATGTAATTTCTCTAAGATGTATATATTAGCATGCTTACCTTTGTCAGGCCTCAAACACAGTCCTATGTAGACAGGAAAATAAAAATTTGATTACAAAGTGGAAGAAATTTCAACCAAAAAAAACAATCAGCATAAGGCTAGTGGTTGCAGTTTTTGTAGGTATTTTTGTCACCTACTGGACATGGAATAAACTCTTCATTCCTGCAATAGCCTGTGAGCTGATAATATCCTCTGACACCAGGGTTAAAGTTACCTTCCTGACCAGGTAGAAAATTTTATCTACCTTTATATGTTTGCACATACAACTGTCTTTCTAGGATTATCTTAAGTTTTACAGTATCTGATATCGTTTGGCTGTGTCCCCACCCAAATCTCATCTTGAATTCCCATGTGTTGTTGGAGGGACCTGGTGGGAGGTAATTGAATCATGGGGCAGGTATCTCCTGTGCTTTTCTTGTGATAGTGAATAAGTCTCATGAGATCTGATAGTTTTATAAGGGGGAATTTCCCTGTACAAGCTCTCTCTTTCTGCCTGCTGCCTTCCATGTAAGACATGATTTGCTCCTCCTTTCCTTCTGCCATGATTGTGATGCCTCACTAGCCACATGGAACTGTAAGTGCATTAAATCCCTCTTTCTTTTGTAAATTGCCCAGTCTTGGATATGTCTTTATCAGCCACATGAAAACAGGCTAATACAGTAAATTGGTACCAGTAGAGTGGGGCACTGCTGAAAAGATACCTGAAAATGTAGAAGTGATGTTGGAACTGGGTAACAGGCAAAGGTTGGAAAAGTTTGGAGGGCTCGGAAGAAGACAGGAAAATGTGGGAAAGTTTGAAACTTCCTAGAGACTTATTGAATGGCTTTGCCCAAAATGCTGATAGCGATATAGACAATAAAGTCCAGGTTGAGGTAGTCTCAGATGGAAATGAGGAACTTGTTGGGAACTGGAGCAAAGTTGACTCTTGTTGTGTTTAAGCAAAGAGACTGGCAGCATTTTGTCCCTGCTCTAGAGATTTGTGGAAATTTGAACTTGAGAGAGATGATTTAGGGTATCTGGTGGAAGAAATTTCTAAGCAGCAAAGCATTCAAGAGGCAACTTAGGTGCTGTTAAAGGCATTCAGTTTTAAAGGGGAAACAGAGCCTAAAAGTTCAAAAAATTTGCAGCCTGACAGTGTGATAGAAAAGAAAATCCCATTTTCTGAGGAGAAATTCAAGCTAGCTGCAGAAATTTGCATAAGTAACAGGGAGCTGAATGTTAATCCCCAAGACAATGGGGAAAATTTCTCCAGGGTATTTCAGAGGTCTTCACAGCAGCCTCTCCATCACAGGCCCTGAAGCCTAGGAAGAAAAAGTGGTTTTGTGGGCTGGCCCAGGGTCTCTGTGCTGTGTGCAGCCTAGGGACTCGGTGCCTTGCATCCCGGCCCCTCCAGCCATGGCTGAAACAGGTCAATGTGGAGCTCAGGCCGTGGCTTCATTGGGTGCAACCTCAAGCTTTGAAAGCTTCCATGTGGTGTTGAGCCTGTGAGTGCACAGAAATCAAGAATTGGGGTTTGGAAACCTCTGCCTAGATTTCAGAGGATGTATGGAACCCCCTGGATGCCCAGGCAGAAGTTTGATGCAGGGTTGGGGCCCTCATGGAGAACCACTGCTAGGGCAGTGTGGATGGGAAATGTGGGACTGGAGCCCCTGCACAGAGTCCCTACTGGGGCACCACCTAGTAGAACTGTGAGAAGAGGACCACCGTCTTCTGGATAGCTTGCACCATGCCCTTAGAAAAGCTGCAGACACTCAATGCCAACCCATGAAAGCAACCAGGAGGGAGGCTGTACTCTGCAAGGCCACAAGGGTAGAGCTGCCCAAGACCATGGAACCCCTCTCTTGCATCCACGTGGCCTGGATGTGAGAGACAGAGCCTAGGGAGACTCATTTTGGAACTTAAAGATTTGACTGCCCTGCTGGATTTCAGACCTGCATGGGGCCTATAGTCCCCTTGTTTTGGGCAATTTCTCCCATTTGGAATAGCATTTATCCAATGCCTGTACCCTTATTGTATCCAGGAAGTAACTAACTTGCTTTTGATTTTACAGGCTCATAACTGGAAGGGACTTGCCTTGTCTCAGATGAGATGTTGGACTAGGGACTTTAGAGTTAATGCTGAAATGAGTTAAAACTTTGAGGGACTGTTGGGAAGGCATGGTTGGTCTTGAAATGTGAAGACATGCGATTTGGGAGGGGCCAGGGACAGAATGATGTGGTTTGACTGTGTCCCCACCCAAATCTCATGTTGAATTTCCATGTGTTGTGGGAGGGAGTCAGTGGGAGGTAATTGAATCATGGGGGCAGGCCTTTCCCATGCTGTTCTAATGATAGTGAATAAGTCTCATGAGATTTGATGGTTTTATAAGGTGGATGTTCCCTGCTGAAGCTCTCTCTCTTTGCTTGTGGCCATCCATGGAAGATGTGACTTGCTCCTCCTTGCCTTCTGCCATGATTGTGAGGCCTCCCCAGCCCTGTAGAACTGTAGTCCATTAAACCTCTCTTTCTTTTGCAAATTGCCAAGTCTTGGGTATGTCTTTATCAACAGTGGGAAAACAGACTATTACACTATCTTTTTTTTTTAATCACTTTTTGAGATGGAGTCTCACTCTGTCACTAGGCTGGAGTGCAGTGGCATGATCTTGGCTCACTGTAAAACCACATTTTCTCATCCAGTCTACCACTGATAGGTATTTAGGTTGATTCCATGTCTTTGCTATTGTGAATAGTGCTGCAATGCAAACACACATGCATGTGTATTTATAATAGAATGAGTTATATTACTTTGGGTATATACCCAGTAATGGGATTGCTGTGTGAAGAAATGGAAGCTTTGGTTGTGAAGAAATGAAAGCTTTCCATTTCTTCAACGTTCACCTCTCCAACACTATCTTCCCAGTCTTCTGGGGTAGAATTCATTGCTTCATTCTGTGTTCTTGCTTCATTTTTATCATATTTTTGACCTATCACTTATTTTTCTCTTTTTTAAAAAATTTAAATATTATGGATACATAGCATTTGTATACATTTATGGGGTACATGAGATGTTTTAATATGGGCATAAAATGCGTGATGATCAAATCAGGATAACTGGGATATCCATCACCTCAAGTTTTTATCATTCCTTTGTTTTAGGAACACTTCAATTCCACTCTTTTAGTTATTTTAAAATGTACAATACTTTTGTACATTGCAATTTATCAGATTTTCTGTCTCTCTCCCTTATTGGACTGTGAGCTTCTTGCAAGTAAGGTACCTTTTTGCACAAAATTGTTTAATATGTACTCAATTTGCATTAGATGAATAAATGAGTTATTCTATGCAAGTATTTTTTTAAAATGTGACATACTAATTCAGATAATATAAAAATCAACAGGCCATATAAAAACAATGAAATGTTATATGGTTTATAGAATTAATCTAAAAAAATCCTTAACTATTAGATATGGAATTAAATTTTACATAATTTTTAGTTTGGGAATACATTGGTAGTTTTTTTTCTTCAAAATGTTCAAGATGACCTGGAAGCAAGTCTATAAATTATACTTACTAAATATTATACTATTAATTATTGGCCATGAATAAAAGAAACATCAGCTACAACAATTAAAAATAACAACAGAGGACTGCATAAATTATTGTTTATAATAGAAAAACCAGTAAGATGTAAAAATGAAGAGTAAGTAATATCAAACTCTCTGGCTTTAAATTAAATTCACATTTTCATCATATGGCCTTTCTGAACTTTTTATGTGGTTTCAATGAAATTCTGTGTAATTGCAGAGTTTGATCATCCTGGATACCTCTCTATGCCATAATCAGACACATGCTGAAGATCAAAAAGTCCAATTTCCTGTTCAGGTTAATGAATAATTCATTCATTTCTTAAATCAGGGTCTTGGTTTATCTTTTTACTGGTCAAACTAACATATGGTATATGAATAGATGTTGGAATTTTGAATTCTTTGCATTCAATTATAGCTAGAAAATTGAAGTAGGGAAAAAATAATTAAGAAGGTAAATAGAAATATTATGCTTAGAGAAAAATGAATGCTTATACACTGTTAGTAGGAGTGTAAATTAGTTCAACCATTGTGGAAGACAGTATTTCCTCAAAGACCTAAAGACAGAAATACCATTCAACACAGTAATCTCATTACTGGGTATATACCCAAAGGAATATAAATCATTCTGTTATACAAACACATGCACATGTATGTTAATTGCAGCACTATTTACAATAGCAAAGACGTGGAAGCAACTTAAATGCCCATGAATGATAGACTGGATAAAGAAAATGTGGTACATATACACAATGGAATACTATGCAGTAATAAAAAAGAATGAGATCATGCCCTTTGCGGGGACATGAATGGAACTAGAGGCCATTATCCTTAGCAAACTAACACAGGAACAGAAGATCAAATACCGCATGTTCTCACTTATAAGTAGAAGCTAAATGATGAGAACACATGGACACATGGAGGGGAACAATACACACTGGGGCCTTTTGGAGATTGGCAGGTGGAAGAAGGGAGAGGATCAGGAAAAATAACTAATGGGTACTAGGCTTATTACCTGGGTGATGAAATCATCTCTACAACAAACCCCCATGACACAAGTTTACCTGTGTAACAAACCTGCACTTGTACCGCTGAACTTAAAAGTTCAAAAAAGAAATATTATGTTTTAAAAATAACATTCTTATATGTTCCAAGTACTGATATGAACCAGTGAAAATCCACTGGCTAGATATAATACCACAGAAACTGACAATTTAAGGGTTGATTTGTAATGACTTGTGGAAATCTTCACAGTTTATTATATATACTATACAGAGAAGGTAAACATCATCTAAGATAACCACTTTAAAGAATCTTAGGCACCAAAATATTCGGTGCTCTAGCGTTCTGTAATGATTGTCTGTACTGAAGTCAGTAATGAAGATCTATAACCTTTTGTTGTAATCCTACAGTGCTGCAAATCTTTGTGTCAGGTATCCTTGGTGACAGTATGACAATGAAACAAACATTAAGAATTGTATTTTAGTTTTTGAAAGCAGAGAACAGAACAGATGAAGTGATTAGAGCATTTGAAGGCACTGGCCAGCATAAGTTGACATTCATTTGAAAAGTAGTAGATTACAGTTCTGAGGAATCTATTGCTATGTTAATCTCTCCCTGGGAAAGTGTTGCTCTGTATGTAACATTTTCAGAGCTTTGAATTTCTTATTTCAAGCAAAGAGTAACAAAAAGAAATGCTTTGATATCAGAACTGGCCATTGTTTGAATGAACTTAAACAACTAAACAATTCCCTAAATTACCTAAGTAAGAGAACAGACCCTCTAGCATGGGGAAAACAATGCTTTGAACTGCCATCCTAGTGGTCCTAGCAGAACAAAATGAAAATCAAAGTATTGCTCATAAGAGTCACTGAAATTTAGGTGTTAATGTCTCTACACAGAGAGAAGAGGAAGTTAGAAAATGATAAGAACCACAGATTTCATGAAAAGCATTTCAACCAGAATTTGTTGATCATATGCAGAGAACTAAAATGCGATTGCAAGGACTAAAGAAACAGTCCCTGTCATTTGATTATCTCTTGTTAGAGTTCATTTTTAGAGAAAAGCTGATACCACATTTGATAAAGCAAAAATTATAAATATCTTAGACTTCCTATTGTTTCAGCACTTAGACCTTCTATTGTTGTGAAAGCTCCAGGTGACTGATCTTATTAAGATCTGCATGTTAAAGAGAAAAAATATATATTCTGTGAGACAAACAACATAACCAGACATAGCTAGACAAAACTCCATAGGGGAAAGCTGGCCTGCATCCTTATTCCCCTTTGTTCTACACATTCAATTCATTTCATTATTTGTGTTGTGGAGATGTTACTAATCAAGTGATGATGGAACATTATCCCTGCAGCCCCTTTAAATGTTTAGCTCTGTTTCCACTTCTCTATATTTTACATGTGATATGCTCCTTTGCAAACACGAAGACTTTTAAACTGCACAATTGGAATTATGATTTGAGCAACTTATTCATTCTCTTTTTTCTCCCTCTGACTCCACAAGACTTCACCAACTTTCAGTGGCATCAATTCTTCCTTCACAGAAAATTAGGTACTCTTTTGACTCTCAGGTTCCAAAAAGACATACCTACCTGGATGTTCTTCTTTTCCTGATCTTAAAATAGCATCTTTCTTCCCAGGGAAACTCTCTAAGGCAAATTCTTCTCGTTACTCTGGATCCCATCTCCTCACATCTTTTTACATGCCACTCACTAAGAATAATTCCCATTTTAGCCTCTCTCTTTACAGGAACTGTCCCATAAACATTTAAATATGTTGAAATATCCCCCATCTTAAAAAATATATTTTCCTTATCCCTACTTTTACTCCAGATACCATCCTAACATTCTTTTTTCCTTTATGACAATTTTTTCAAAACATTGTTCTGTAGTAGCAGTCTCGCCCCACTCTAGAGGATATAATTAATTCTTTCCAGTGTGAAGATTGAGAAAGTCTTCATAAATGACATATTGAAGAATGAGTGAAATGGTTGCAGGTGATTAACATACACAAAGGGATTAAGCATGAATGGATCCCCACACACCAAAGTATAGTCATAAGAGAATATAACCTGGACAGAAAAGTGGTTCCACACTTCTGGTGTAAGATGATGATTTGTGTGTGACAGAAACAGACTGGGTGAGGATTGAAAATATAGGTTATAGTCACATTGAGAACATTTATTTAAGTCAGGTTTTTACTGGCATCATTTACCTGTAAAACATCAGTGGTGAGTAACATGGTTAGACTTACATTTTAGAATAATAACTCCTCACAGTGGTTTGTCTCCAGGGCACTAAAAGAAGAAAGTCTATGTTCAAATTCTGACTATATCACTTTCTGCATGACGATGGACAATATATTTAATATCTCTGTGCCTCAGTTCTTTCATGTGTTCAAAACATTAACAGCACTACCTCATTGTGAAGATTAAAACAGAAAATGTGTTTTAATTAAGACTTAGCCTACAGCCTTATTGATAGTAAGAATCAATAAATGTTAGTGGCAATATGCTTGTTATTCTATTTTTCAATATTTACTTCAAGTAAATAGCTGGAAACTTTTTATGCATAATTCTTTTGTGAGTAAAGAAAGCTCATGGCAGCACCATTTATAATTGCAAGAAAAAAAGAGGACAAAGGAAAATGACAGAGAAATTAATTTTAAAAAATCATGTTTTGGTCCAGTTATTACTAAAACACATACAAAAAAATGGCTGCCAAATTTGGAAAGTATATTTGGAATGGCCTGACAAAATATAGTCAATATAGGATGCATAACATTCCCTTTGAAAAGCAAATCAGGATGGTAAAACCATTGGCAGAAGGAACAAGTTCTTTCAAGGGCAACCAAGGTTAATATCTAAGCACCAGAAGAAAGAGGTAATCATCCTTCAAAACAGCTGAAACGGAGGTGTAATGAAAGCCTTCTTTCTACAATTGCTTATGAGAAGAAATGTTCTCTTTCAAGGGCAATTGAAAACCATAGCGTCTCTCAAGGGATATCTGTCTCATAATTGTGCAAGATGCCAAACACAGAAGGAGGTATTGGGGGGGAACACATTTGTCTTCCAATATGTGTTCAAATAAGGTTATGTTAAAAAAAATCTAATTTAGGTTCAATGGAAAGGTGAACTATAAGTATATCCAATACAATGTAAGATCTCATTAGAATCAATTATAGCACCCTAAATAGAGGAAGAACAAATATTGTATAAAGATTCTTTGTGACAAAGTTGAAAATAATTATAGCTCTGTATTAGTTATTACAATTATATTTAATTACTAAGACTCCAACATTAATATCTTTGTTATATTAATAAGCAATATTTTAACAATGGTTAAAGATTCCTCTGAGCAATTTGAGGTAGTATGTATCATGAGTATATTAAACTGAGTTCATACACATAATAAAGTGTTGATCAGTCAATTAGGAAAAAAATGTGTAACCAATTCATTGAATGAGTTAGACCCAGAAGAAAGGGAACATACATATAACTTTGTTTTTACTTTACTGCTTTTGTCTATCAATGAATCTCCCATCTGCACCCCTCAGAGATAGATCACAAGGCTATTCTTCCAGTCAGTCTTAGATATTAGTGAGCTAGAGTCTCATTGAGATATTAAGTCCATTAGTGGCTCAAGTCTCATTTTAGAGGTGTTAAGTCCATTTACACAGAAAATACAGTTTCACTATTACCCAAATCAGAACTTCTCTCCTTCTCCAGCTCAGTACTGTCTCAAATTGTGAAAATTCTCTTGATGAAGGCACATATATCAATATTAGATTAAGATGTGCATAGTCAAACTTCCAGTGCCTTAAAAGAGATAGAAGTTTCTTTCTTCTTTATGTAAAGTCCAGGTCTGGGAGGCTGGTACCACACTGTCATCAGGGACTCAGGCTCCTTATACTAGCTTGTCCATTATTCTTGTCACATGACATCCACTTCCACTTCAGTATGACTGAAAGCACTCAGGGCATCACATCCATATTCTCCCTAGCAGCAGGAAAGAGATGAAGAATGCTCTGTCCCTTTTGTTTAAACACACATTTTGGAAGTCACAGATGACATTACTGCTTACATCAAGCCAAAATTGGATCACATGGCCTCTCAGAAGTACAGGGAGCCCAAGAAATAGTGGGGGGATAGCCGTTTGTCCACTGAAAATTATGTAATTTATCATCTCTTAAGGAGAGAATCAATTTGGGGAAACAGCTAGCATTCTTGGACACAGCACAAAGTTGGCTTCATCATCATTTTTCCACCATACTTTCTACTCCTCCTTCCCCACTTGCCCCTCTGCCACTCTTTCTTCAACGTTATATAGGCAAAGAAAAAGAGGACGAGGCAGAAATGTATAGTTGACTGGCACTGTTGTTAATCTGATGTTGGTGCCTTTATCAGGAAGGTGCCCAATGTTGTCTTTTCCTCTTCAGAATGCTTTTGTGGGTTCCATTTAACAATGGGGAGTGATCCCCCATTTAAAGATTCTTTGATTTCAGTTAGCTGGAATGAAGTTGCCTCCTCCGGCTGTCTGTGAAAAAGCTTGCTTCATTTCTAGACTTGTGGAAATTCACCCCACAGCAGATTATCTCTTTTGGTATCACAGCATCCGGCAGGTGATCCATGTAATCAGTAGCCCTTTCAGGACAACTCACAGTCAGCTCCTGTCTCTGTGCCTTATGTCTAGATAAGAGAAATAGGCTCATTTCCTGGCATTTCTGGAATGTAGTTCCTACATCATGGCCTTCTTTCCGTGCTCTGTTGTCAGGCAAATGGCCAGTCTTTCAGCTTTGGCCTTCTTTAATTCACAGATCATGTCCTAGTCTCCGCCTTCCCCAGCTTCCAGAGATCATACGGCAGATATTCAAGGTGCTTTTTTCTAAAGGTCTCTTACTTGCTGCTCACTGGTTTAAGATAAACTTAAAGCATCCTCCTACCATATAGGATGGGGAAACAAAGTAGCAGCAGAGCTCTCTCTCTTTCTAGAGAAATTTTGTTCATCAGTCTCTCCTGCTTAGTATTCTAGCCCTTCTAGCCTCCCCTTTTGTATTGTCAAAATTACTAATGCAAAGTGGCCAGTCAAGTTTAGGACACAAAGCAGTTGACTATACATGGTCTAATACCTGTCTTTGAAATGTGGGATAAGTTAACCTTTTTAGCTTCGATCCTTAGAGTCTCAAAAAAGTAATGGAAAAATTCTCACTTTTATATTTTTTTAAAGCTTTTTGAAGTCAAACAAGCTACACATAATGAATGTGAATGAATGTGTGTGATGGGATAGGTGTTGACATGTATATAACATAGAACCATTACCACAATCAAGTTTTCTCACAAATGTGTCCATGATACCCTAAGAGATCCTTGAGCCTCTTTGTAATCCTCCTTTGTCTTGTCAATCTCCACTCTTGTCTTCAGGCAACTACTGATTGTTTTTCTGTCACTGTTGATTCATTTGTTTTCTAGAATTTCATATAATTGAAATAATACAGAGTCTACTAATTTTAGTCTGGCTTCTTTCATTTACCATAATGTTTCTGTGGCTTATCTATGTGTACCACATATTAATATTTCATTTATTTTTATTGCTAAATAGTTCATTGTTATAAACACACCACATGGTGTTTGTACATTCACCAATGGACAATTGGAATGTTTCTTGTTTGGGACTAATATGAATAAAGGTAGTATAAAAATTTGTGTACGGATCCTTGTATAGACAGGATTCTGTCTGACTTAGGTAAATACGTACAAGTTAGATAGATAGGTCATATAGTAGATGCATTATCATATTGTCAAGAAACTACCAGTTTTCCAAAATGGTTGCAAAATTGTGTACTTCCACCAGAAGTGTTGAGTTTCAGTTCCTCTATATCATCACACAAACTTGGAAT
Organism: Homo sapiens; assembly: GCF_000001405.40. Classification (NCBI taxonomy): domain Eukaryota; kingdom Metazoa; phylum Chordata; class Mammalia; order Primates; family Hominidae; genus Homo; species Homo sapiens. The sequence continues at coordinate 183,581,090 of NC_000002.12, forward strand.
GATCAGTATTTTTAATTTTAACCATTCTAAAATTTAGTTTAATGGTATTTCACTGTAGCTTTAGTTTGTGTTTGCCTAATGACCAATGATGTTGAACAACTATCCATGCACTTGTTTGCCATCTGTATTAGCATCCTATTGCTGCTATACCAAACTACCATGAAGCTATTGGCTTGAAACACTTTCCATTAGCCTCTTTGACAGTACACAAGGGGAGACTTGAATACTGAACAGGAGAGAATGATGAGAGAAATTTCTCTAGAAAGAGAAAGAGCTCTGCAGGGATGCATTTCTTTCTGGAGGCCCTAGGAGTCACTCTGTGTATTAGTCCATTCTCGCATTGCTGTAAAGAAATACCTCAGATTGGGCTGGGCATGGTGGCTCATGCCTGCAATCCCAGCACTTTGGGAGGCTGAGGCAGGCAGATCACCTGAGGTCAGGAGTTCGAGAGCAGCCTGGCCAACATGGTGAAAACCTGTGTCTACTAAAAACAAAAAACAAAAACAAAACAAAAAAATTAGTCAGGCATGGTGGTGGATGCCTGTAATCCCAGCTACTAGGGAGGCTGAGGCAGGAGAATTTCTTGAACCCGGGAGGTGGAGGTTACAGTAAGCTAAGATCACACCACTGTACTCCAGCCTGGGTGACAAGAGCAAAACTCTATCCAAAAAAAAAAAAAAAAAAAAAAAAAAAAAAAAAAAAAAAAGACAGACCTCAGATTGGGTAATTTATAAATGAAAGAGGCTTAACTAGCTCACAGTTAACAGGCTGTACAGGAAGCATGGCTGGGGAGGCCTCAGGAAACTTACAATCATGGTGGAAGGTGATGGGAAAGCAGGCACATCCTAAATGGCTGGATCAGAAAGAACAGACAGAGCAAAGGGGGCTTTTAAACAAGCAGATCTTGTGAGAACTCACTATCACAACAACAGGAAGTGGGAAGTCCACCTCCATGATCAAATCACTTACCACCAGGCCCTAACACTGGGGATTATAATTCAGCATGAGATTTGGGTGGGGACACAGAGCCAAACCGTATCACTCTGTTTTGCCTCTTCAGCCTTTATAGACTGCCCGTATTCCTCGGCTTATGGCCCCTTTCTCCAGTTTCAAAGTCAATAATTTCCACACAAGCCATTCTCATGTTGTATCTCTCTAACATTGATTCTTTTGCCTCCCATTTACATATTTGAGAACGCTGTGAGGGCCGGGCAGGGTGGCTCATGCTTGCAATCCCAGCACTTTCGGAGGCCGAGGCAGGTAGATCACCTGAGATCAGGGGTTTGAGACCAGCCTGAACAATATGGTGAAACCCCGTCTCTACTAAAAATACAAAAAATTAGCCAGGCGTGGTGGTGTGTGCCTGTAGTCCTACCTACTTGGGAGTCTGAGACAGGAGAATCATGTGAACCTGGGAGACAGAGGTTGCAATGAGCTGAGATCACGCCATTGCACTCCAGTGTGGGTAACAACGTGAGACTCCGTCTCAAAAAAAAAAAAAAAAAAAAAAACAAAAAACAAAGAACCCTGTGATTATTATATGGGGCTCACTTGGGTAACTCATGCTAATCTCTCCATTTTTAACTTCTGCTAACAACCTTAATTACATTTGCTATCTTAATTCCACTTTGCCATGTAAGGTAGCATATTAATATTTTCTGGGGAGTAGGATGTGTATATTTTTGGGAAGCCATTGTTCTGTCTACCACACCATTCATACATACCTAGTAAAGTGTCAAATATTTTGCCCATTCTTTTTATTGAGTCACTTTTTTCTTATTGAGTTTTAAGCATTGTTTACATATTCTGGATACAAATCTAGCATCCAATATGTGATGTGCAGTCTATGGGTTGTCTTTTCATTCTCTTGTAAGTGGCTTTTAAAGAAGAGAAGTTTTTTTTAAATTTACATTTTCTTTTTAAATATTTTAATTTCAGGATACATGTGCAGAACGTGCAGGTTTATTACACAGGTATACATGTGCCATGGTGGTTTGCTGCACCCATCAACCCGTCATCTAGGTTTTAAGCCCCAAATGCATTAGTTATTTGTCCTAATGTTCTCGCTCCACTTGCCCCTCAACCCCCGACAGGCCCTGGTGTGTGATGCTCCCCTCCCTGTGTCCATGTGTTCTCATTGTTCAACTCCCACTTATGACTGAGAACATGCAGTTGTTGGTTTTCTGTTCCTCAGTTAGTTAGTCGAGAATGATGGTTTCCAGCTTCATCCATGTCCCTGCAAAGGACATGAACTCATTCTTCTTTTATGGCTGCATAGTATTCCATGGTGTATATGTGCCACATTTTCTTTATCCAGTCTACCATTGATAGGAATTTGGGCTAGTTCCAAGTCTTTGCTATTGTGAATAGTTCTGCCATAAACGTACCTGTGCATGTGTCTTTATAGTAGAATGATTTATAATCCTTTGGGTATATACCCAGTAATTGGATTGCTGGGTCAAATGGTATTTCTGGTTCTAGATCCTTGAGGAATCACCACACTGTGTTCCACGATGGTTGCACTAGTTTACACTCCCACAAACAATGTAAAAGCTTTCCTATTTCTCCACATCCCCTCCAACAACTGTTGCTTCCTAACTTCTTAATGATCGCCGCTCTAACTGGCATGAGATGGTATCACATTGTGGTTTTGATTTGAATTTCTCTGATGACCAGTGATGATGAGTTTTCATGTTTGTTAGCTGCAAAAATGTCTTCTTTTGAGAATTGTTTGATTATATCCTTCGCCCACTTTTTGATGGAGTTGTTTTTTTCTTGTAAACTTGTTTAAGTTCCTTGTAGATTATGGATATTAGCCCTTTGTCAGATGGATAGATTGCAAAAATTTTCTCCCATTCTGTAGGTTGCCTGTTCACTCTGATGATAGTTTCTTTTGCTGTGCAGAAGCTCTTTAGTTGAATTAGATCCCATTTGTCAATTTTGGCTTTTGTTGCCATTGCTTTAGGTGTTTTACTCATGAAGTCTATGCCCATGCCTATGTCCTGAATGGTATTGCCTAGGTTTTCTTCTAGGGTTTTCATGGTTTAGGTCTTACATTTAAGTCTTTAATCCATCTGCTTGTTTTTGTCAGGTTTGTCAAAGATGAGATGGTTGTAGATGTACTTCTGAGGCCTCTGTTCTGTCCTATTTGTCTATATATCTGTTTTGGTACCAGTACCAAACGTTAGGACAAATAGCTGTTTGGTTACTATAGCCCTGTAGTATAGTTTGAGGTCACGTAGCATGATGCCTCCAGCTTTGTTCTTTTTGCTTAGGATTGTCTTGGCTATGCGGGCTCTTTTTTTGTTCCATATGAAGTTTAAAGTAGTTTTTTCTAATTATGTGAAGAAAGTCCATGGTAGCTTGATGGGAATAGCATTGAATCTATAAATTACTTTGGGCAGTATGGCCATTTGCACAATATTGATTCTTCCTATCCATGAGCATGGATTTGTTATTTTTATTTGTATCCTTTCTTATTTCCTTGAGCAGTGGTTTGTAGTTTTCCTTGAAGAGGTCCTTCACATCCTTTGTAAGTTTTATTTCTAGGTGTTTTATTTTCTTTGTAGCAATTGTGAATGGGAGTTCACTCATGATTTGGCTGTTTGTCTATTATTGCTGTATAGGAATGCTTGTGATTTTTGCACATTGATTTTGGATCCTGAGACTTTGTTTATCAGCTTAAGGAGTTTTTGGGCTGAGATGATGGGGTTTTCTAAGTATACAATCATGTCATCTGAAAACAGAGACAATTTGCCTTCCTCTCTATTTGAATATGCTTTATTTCTTTCTCTTGATTGATTTCCCTGGCCAGAACTTCCAATACTGTGTTGAATAGGAGGGGTGAGAGAGGGTATCCTTGTCTTGTGCCAGTTCTCAAAGGGAATGATTCCAGCTTTTGCCCTTTCAGTATGATATTGGCTATGGGTTTGTCATAAATAGCTCTTATTATTTTGGGATATGTTCCATGAATACCTAGTTTATTGAAAGTCTTTAGCATGAAGGGGTGAATTTTATTGAAGGCCTTTTCTGCATCTATTGAGATAATCATGTGGTTTTTGTCATTGGTTCTCTTTATGCAATGGATTATGTTTATTGATTTGCATATGTTGAACCAGCCTTGCATCCCAGGGATGAAGCCGACTTGAACATGGTGGATAAGCTTTTTGATGTGCTGCTGGATTCGGTTTGCCAGTATTTCATTGAGGATTTTTGCATTGATGTTCATCAGGGATACTGGCCTGAACTTTTCTTTTTTTGTTGTGTCTTTACCAGGTTTTGGTATCAGGATGATGCTGGCCTCATCAAAGGAGTTAGGGAGGAGCCCTTTTTTCTATTGTTTGGAATAGTTTCAGAAGGAATGGTACCAGTTCCCTAAAGTTTTAACTTTTGATGAAGCTCCATTTACCTATTTACTCTTTAATGGGTCATGATTTTGTTGTTATAGCTAAGAAATATTTGCTTAACTCAAGATTATAAAGATTTTATCTTAGGTTTTCCCATAAAATATTTATAGTTTTGGGATTTATGTTTAGTTGTATAAATCATTTGAGTTAATTTTTTTATATAGTGAGAAGCATGAATTGATGTTTTTGCATGTAAATATCCAGTTGTTCTGACATACAAATTGTTGAAAAGGCAATCATTTATTTCCTAAATTGCTTTGCTCCTTAGTCAAATTTTAATGTATGGTTCTAATTCTGTGCTCTCGGTTCTGTTAGACTGAGCTACTTGTCTATTCTTAGGTAAATACCAGACTATATTGATTAGGATGGCTTTTTATTAAGTCTTAAAATTGAGTAGCAAAAACCCTTCAAATTTATTTTTTTTAATGTTTTGCTACCCTAGACACTTTGAATTTCTACATGAATTTTATAGGCACTTTGCCAATTTCTACCGAAAAATATGATAGGATTTCCACTGAGATTACATTGAACAAATACATGCCAATTTGGGGTGAATCGACATTTTAATATTAGGTGTTTGAATTTAAGTATTTAGATCCATTATTTAGATCTACTTTAATTTATCTCAGCAGTGCTTTAAGCTTTTCAGTACACAGGTATTTTGTGTTTATGCCATTCTAAGATAATATTTTAAAATTTTGGAGGAGGCAAGATGGCCGAATAGGAAGAGCTCCGGTCTACAGCTCCCAGCGTGAGCGACGCAGAAGACGGGTGATTTCTGCATTTCCATCTGAGGTACCGGGTTCATCTCACTAGGGAGTGCCAGACAGTGGGTGCAGATCAGTGGGTGCAGCGCACCTTGTGCGAGCCAAAGCAGGGTGAGGCATTGCCTCACTCGGGAAGTGCAAGGGGTCAGGGAGTTCCCTTTCCTAGTCAAAGAAAGGGGTGACAGATGGCACCTGGAAAATCAGGTGACTCCCACCCGAATACTGTGCTTTTCTGACGGGCTTAAAAAATGGCGCACCAGGAGATTATATCCTGCACCTGGATCGGAGAGTCCCACACCCACAGAGTCTCACTGATTGCTAGCACAGCAGTCTGAGATCAAACTGCAAGGTGGCAGTGAGGCTGGGGGAGGGGTGCCCGCCATTGCCCAGGCTTGCTTAGGTAAACAAAGCAGCCAGGAAGCTCGAACTGGGTGGAGCCCACCACAGCTCAAGGAGGCCTGCCTGCCTCTGTAGGCTCCACCTCTGGGGTAGGGCACAGACAAACAAAAAGACAGCAGTAACCTCTGCAGACTTAAATGTCCCTGTCTGACAGCTTTGAAGAGAGCAGTGGTTCTCCCAGTACGCAGCTGGAGATCTGAGAATGGGCAGACTGCCTCCTCAAGTGGGTCCCTGACCCCTGACCCCTGAGCAGCCTAACTGGGAGGCACCCCCCAGCAGGGGCAGACTGACACCTCACATGGCCCGGTACTCCTCTGAGACAAAACTTCCAGAGGAACGATCAGACAGCAGCATTCGCGGTTCACGAAAAACCACGGTTCTGCAGACACCACTGCTGATACCCAGGCAAACAGGGTCTGGAGTGGACCTCTAGCAAACTCCAACAGACCTGCAGCTGAGGGTCCTGTCTGTTAGAAGGAAGACTAACAAACAGAAAGGACATCCACACCAAAAACCCATCTGTACATCACCATCATCAAAGACCAAAAGTAGATAAAACCACAAAGATGGGGAAAAAACAGAGCAGAAAAACTGGAAACTCTAAAAAGCAGAGCACCTGTCCTCCTCCAAAGAATCGCAGTTCCTCACCAGCAATGGAACAAAGGTGGACGGAGAATGACTTTGATGAGTTGAGAGAAGAAGGCTTCAGTCGATCAAACTACGAGCTACAGGAGGAAATACAAACCAAAGACAAAGAAGTTAAAAACTTTGAAAAAAATTTAGACGAATGTATAACTAGAATAACCAATACAGAGAAGTGCTTAAAGGAGTTGACGGAGCTGAAAGCCAAGGCTCGAGAACTACGTGAAGAATGCAGAAGCCTCAGGAGCCAATGCGATCAACTGGAAGAAAGAGTATCAGCGATGGAAGATGAAGTGAATGAAATGAAGCGAGAAGGGAAGTTTAGAGAAAAAAGAATAAAAAGAAATGAACAAAGCCTGCAAGAAATATGGGACTATGTGAAAAACCAAATCTATGTCTGATTGGTGTACCTGAAAGTGACGGGGAGAATGGAACCAAGTTGGAAAACTCTGCAGGATATTATCCAGGAGAACTTCCCCAATCTAGCAAGGCAGGCCAACGTTCAGGTTCAGGAAATACAGAGAACGCCACAAAGATACTCCTCGAGAAGAGCAACTCTGAGACACATAATTGTCAGATTCACCAAAGTTGAAATGAAGGAAAAAATGTTAAGGGCAGCCAGAGAGAAAGGTCGGGTTACCTACAAAGGGAAGCCCATCAGACTAACAGCGGATCTCTCAGCAGAAACTCTACAAGCCAGAAGAGAGTGGGGGCCAATATTCAACATTCTTAAAGAAAAGAATTTTCAACCCAGAATTTCATATCCAGCCAAACTAAGCTTCATAAGTGAAGGAGAAATAAAATACTTTACACACAAGCAAATGCTGAGAGATTTTGTCACCACTAGGCCTGCCCTAAAAGAGCTCCTGAAGGAAGCCCTAAACATGGAAAGGAACAACCGGTACCAGCCACTGCAAAATCATGCCAAAATGTAAAGACCATCGAGACTAGGAAGAAACTGCATCAACTAACGAGCAAAATAACCAGCTAACATCATAATGACAGGATCAAATTCACACATAACAATATTAACTTTAAATGTAAATGGACTAAATGCTCCAATTAAAAGACACAGACTGGCAAATTGGATAAAAAGTGAAGACCCATCAGTGTGTTGTATTCAGGAAACTCATCTCACGTGCAGAGACACACATAGGCTCAAAATAAAAGGATGGAGGAAGATCTACCAAGCAAATGGAAAACAAAAAAAGGCAGGGGTTGCAATCCTAGTCTCTGATAAAACAGACTTTAAACCAACAAAGATGAAAAGAGACAAAGAAGGCTATTACATAATGGTAAAGGGATCAATTCAACAAGAAGAGCTAACTATCCTAAATATATATGCACCCAATACAGGAGCATCCAGATTCATAAAGCAAGTCCTGAGTGACCTACAAAGAGACTTAGACTCCCACACATTAATAATGGGAGACTTTAACACCCCACTGTCAACATTAGACAGATCAACGAGACAGAAAGTCAACAAGGATACCCAGGAATTGAACTCAGCTCTGTACCAAGCGGACCTAATAGACATCTACAGAACTCTCCACCCCAAATCAACAGAATATACATTTTTTTCAGCACCACACCTATTCCAAAATTGACCACATACTTGGAAGTAAAGCTCTCCTCAGCAAATGTAAAAGAACAGAAATTATAACAAACTATCTCTCAGACCACAGCAAAATCAAACTACAACTCAGGATTAAGAATCTCACTCAAAACCACTCAACTACATGGAAACTGAACAACCTGCTCCTGAATGACTACTGGGTACATAACGAAATGAAGGCAGAAATAAAGATGTTCTTTGAAACCAATGAGAACAAAGACACAACATACCAGAATCTCTGGGACACATTCAAAGCAGTGTGTAGAGGGAAATTTATAGCACTAAATGCACACAAGAGAAAGCAGGAAAGATCCAAAGTTGACACCCTAACATCACAATTAAAAGAACTAGAGAAGCAAGAGCAAACACATTCAAAAGCTAGCAGAAGGCAAGAAATAACTAAAATCAGAGCAGAACTGAAGGAAATAGAGACACAAAAAACCCTTCAAAAAATTAATGAATCCAGGAGCTGGTTTTTTGAAAGGATCAACAAAATTGATAGACTGCTAGCAAGACTAATAAAGAAAAAAAGAGAGAAGAATCAAATAGACGCAATAAAAATGATAAAGGGGATATCACCACCGATCCCACAGAAATACAAACTACCATCAGAGAATACTACCAACACCTCTATGCAAATAAACTAGAAAATCTAGAAGAAATGGATAAATTCCTCGACACATACACTCTCCCAAGACTAAACCAGGAAGTACTTGCATCTCTGAATAGACCAATAACAGGAGCTGAAATTGTGGCAATAATCAATAGCTTACCAACCAAAAAGTGTCCAGAACCAGATGGATTCACAGCCGAATTCTACCAGAGGTACAAGGAGGAACTGGTACCATTCCTTCTGAAACTTTTCTAATCAATAGAAAAAGAGAGAATCCTCCCTAACTCATTTTATGAGGCCGGCATCATCCTGATACCAAAACCTGGCAGAGACACAACCAAAAAAGAGAATTTTAGACCAATATCCTTGATGAACATTGATGCAAAAATCCTCAATAAAATACTGGCAAACCGAATCCAGCAGCACATCAAAAACCTTATCCACCATGATCAAGTGGGCTTCATCCCTGGGATGCAAGGCTGGTTCAATATACGCAAATCAGTAAATGTAACCCAGCATATAAACAGAACCAAAGACAAAAACCACATGATTATCTCAATAGATGCAGAAAAGGCCTTTGACAAAATTCAACAACTCTTCATGATAAAAACTCTCAATAAATTAGGTATTGATGGGACGTATCTCAAAATAATAAGAGCTATCTATGACAAACCCGCAGCCAATATCATACTGAATGGGCAAAAACTGGAAGCATTCCCTTTGAAAACTGGCACAAGACAGGGATGCCCTCTCTCACCACTCCTATTCAACATAGTGTTGGAAGTTCTGGCCAGGGCAATTAGGCAGGAGAAGGAAATAAAGGGTATTCAATTAGGAAAAGAGGAAGTCAAATTGTCCCTGTTTGCGGACGACATGACTGTATATCTAGAAAACCCCATTGTCTCAGCCCAAAATCTCCTTAAGCTGATAAGCAACTTCAGCAAAGTCTCAGGATACAAAATCAATGTGCAAAAATCACAAGCATTCTTATACACCAATAACAGACAAACAGAGAGCCAAATCATGAGTGAACTCCCATTCACAATTGCTTCAAAGAGAATAAAATACCTAGGAATCCAACTTACAAGGGACATGAAGGACCTCTTCAAGGAGAACTACAAACCACTGCTCAATGAAATAAAAGAGGATACAAACAAATGGAAGAACATTCCATGCTCATGGGTAGGAAGAATCAATATCATGAAAATGGCCATACTGCCCAAGGTAATTTATAGATTCAATGCCATCCCCATCAAGCTACCAATGACTTTCTTCACAGAATTGGAAAAAACTACTTTAAAGTTCATATGGAACCAAAAAAGAGCCTGCATTGCCAAGTCAGTCCTAGCCAAAAGAACAAAGCTGGAGGCATCACGCTACCTGACTTTAAACTATACTACAAGGTTACAGTAACCAAAACAGCATGGTACTGGTACCAAAACAGAGATATAGATCAATGGAACAGAACAGAGCCCTCAGAAATAATGCCGCATATCTACAACTATCTGATCTTTGACAAACCTGAGAGAAACAAGCAATGGGGAAAGGATTCCCTGTTTAATAAATGGTGGTGGGAAAACTGGCTACCCATATGTAGAAAGCTGAAACTGGATCCCTTCCTTACACCTTATACAAAAATCAATTCAAGATGGATTAAAGACTTACACGTTAGACCTGAAACCATAAAAACCCTAGAAGAAAACCTAGGCATTACCATTCAGGACATAGGCATGGGCAAGGACTTCATGTGTAAAACACCAAAAGCAATGGCAACAAAAGCCAAAATTGACAAATGGGATCTAATTAAACTAAAGAGCTTCTGCACAGCAAAAGAAACTACCATCAGAGTGAACAGGCGACCCACAAAATGGGAGAAAATTTTCGCAACCTACTCCTCTGACAAAGGGATAATATCCAGAATCTACAATGAACTCAAACAAATTTACAAGAAAAAAACAAACAACCCCAATTAAAAAGTGGGCGAAGGACATGAACAGACACTTCTCAAGAGAAGACATTTATGCAGCCAAAAAACACATGAAAAAATGCTCACCATCACTTGCCATCAGAGAAATGCAAATCAAAACCACAATGAGATACCGTCTCACACCAGTTAGAGTGGCAATCATTAAATAGTCAGGAAACAACAGGTGCTGGAGAGTATGTGGAGAAATAGGAACACTTTTACACTGTTGGTGGGACTGTAAACTAGTTCAACCATTGTGGAAGTCAGTGTGGCAATTCCTCAGGGATCTAGAACTAGAAATACCATTTGACCCAGCCATCCCATTACTGGGTATATACCCAAAGGACTATAAATCATGCTGCTATAAAGACACATGCACACGTATGTTTATTGCAGCACTATTCACAATAGCAAAGACTTGGAACCAGCCCAAATGTCCAACAATGATAGACTGGATTAAGAAAATGTGGCACATATACACTATGGAATACTATGCAACCATAAAAAATGATGAGTTCATGTCCTTTGTAGGGACATGGATGAAATTGGAAATCATCATTCTTAGTAAACTATCGCAAGAACAAAAAACCAAACACTGCATATTCTCACTCACAGGTCGGAATTGAACAATGAGAACACATGGACACAGGAAGGGGAACATCACACTCTGGGGACTGTTGTGGGGTGGGGGGAGGGATAGCATTGGGAGATATACCTATTGCTAGATGATGAGTTAGTGGGTACAGCATACCAGCATGTCACATGTATACATATGTAACTAACCTGCACATTGTGCACATGTACCCTAAAACTTAAAGTATTATAATAGTAATAAAAAAAGAAATTTAACGCACACACACACACAAAAAAATCTTTTAATTTCAAGTTCTATTTCTTCATTGTTACTGATAGAGTCAAAAGACAGCCAAATACCGCCCTGCTCATTGTGCACAGAGGGCTTGCTTAAACATGCCCAAGGTAAAAAATTCTGTCCCTTAACACATGCACGGTAAGGGAAATAAATCAATGTGGAGTGGCTCAGACTAAGGGATTGCCTGTGCACTGGGAGAATGGGATAGAGCCACCAGGAATTCTTGCCTCATGGGGGTGGGGCGGGGTAGGAGGGATACACTGGCCTCTTCAGCCTATATGGTCCCTGGTGTTCAATCTGTGAGCTAGGAACACACAGCTTGACCCCCTCTTCTTTTGCTGAGAACTTTCTTTTAATAAATTCCACTTTCCTCACCTTTGATTGTGTCTGTGTGCCTAATTTTTCCTGGTCGTTAGACAAGAAACCCGATTTTAGCTGAACTAAGGAGTAAAAATCCTGACCATTACTATATAGAAATGCCATTAAATTTTGTCCCTTTGGGAGGCCGAGGTGGGTGGATCACGAGGTCAGGAGATCGAGACCATCCTGGCTAATCCTGGCTAACACGGTGAAACCCTGTCTGTACTAAAAATACAAAAAATTAGCCATGCATAGTGGCACATGCCTGTAATTTCAGCTACTTGAAAGGCCGACGCAGGAGAATTGCTTGAACCTGGCAGGCGGAGGTTGAAGTGAACTGAGATTGCGCCACTGCATTCCAGCCTGGGTGACAGAGCAAGACTCTGTCTCAAAAAAAAAAAAAAAAAATTATATATATATATATATATATATATATCTCATTTGTCCCATGCTTGTTGATACATTATTCATTTTTTTTCAGTCTTTTTGCTGGTTTTCATTGATAGTTTCTATTGCCATGTCTACAAGTTCATTAATCTTTTTCTTCTGCAGTTGAATCTGCTATTAGTCCTATTCAACGTATTTTTCATCTTAGATTTTTTTTTAATCTCTGGGAATTCAATTTTGGCCTTCTTTATATTTTACATGTCTCTCCACAATAACCTTTTCTCTACATTCTTGAACATATGGAATATAGCTACAATTTTTTTCACATCTTCATCTATAATTCTATTATCTGTACCATTTCTGAGTCATGTTTCTATTGACTGACTTTGTCATAATTATATGTCACATTTTTCTGATACCTTCCATGTCTGAAAATTTTTCTTGGGTACCGGACATATGAATTTTTACCTTGTTGAGTGCTAGATATTTTTGTACTTTTATAAATATTCAAGTTTTGTCCTGGGCTGCAGTTAATTTACTTGGAACAGTCTGACCCTTTTATGCTTTTAAGATTTGTTATATAAACGCTAGCATTCAATTTAGTCTAGGTAATACTAACCCACAACTAAAGCAACATACTTCAGATAGTCTACCCAATAGCCCATGAATTATGACATATCCTAATGTATCTGGTAGAAACAGGAACTGCTTCCCAGTTTGTATACATCCTGGAGATGATCCCTTCAATACATTCAATCATTTTGAGTGATATTCTCCTGACTGAGCCTAAGTCCTATACTTGCATATGCTGATTAGTGCTATGTTGAAGACATGAAAGGGACCCTTTGCAGATCTCTGGAGTTCAATGTGTCACTCTCTCTTCTCCAGAACTCTGCCTTTGGTCTCACAGGCTCTCAGTTCTATTGGAGGGACTGCTGAACTGTTACTGGTTTCTTCTCCTTGTACTCTAGCCTAGAAACTATCTCCAGGCAGTAAACTGCAGTAATTGTAGGATTCATCTGTTTCCATCTCTTAGTAGCCATTGTCCACCATTGCCTGATGACCAGCGACATAAGAACCACTGTTTCATATATCTTACCTAGTGTTTTAGTTGTTTCAGAGAGGAGTGTTGTGATAGGCAAAATTCTAAGATGGTGGCCTCTGTGGGATTCCCACATCTGGGGCACACATGTCTTTTCCCACTTATGCAATTAACCACTAATCTAAGCACTACTGTAATGGGATTTTGCAGATATAATAAAAGCCCCAAATCAATTGACCTTAATAGGAAGATTGTCTGGATGGAACTGACCTAATCACATAAATCTTTTGAAAGCAAAGTTTTTCTTCACTGATTGCAGAAGAGGAATTCAGAGAAGTTCAGTATACTATTGCTTACTTTAGAGGTGGAGGAGGTCACATGGCAAGGAATGTTGGTGGGCTTGATGGGCTGAGAGTAGTTCCCATCCCACAGCTATCAATAAAATAGAAACCTCAGTCTTACAGCGGCAACATAATGAATTCTGCTAAGAGTACGTGAGCTTGGAGAAGCGGGCCCTTATCCCCCAAGGAGAACTGCAGACCGAGAAATACTTTCATTTCAGCCCAGTGAGACACTAGAGAATGCAGTCATGCTGTGTTCATATTTGACTTATATAACTGTGAGATAATAAATTTGTGTTGTTTTCAGCCACTAATTTATGGCAATTTTTATGCAGGTATAGAAAACTAATACAAGAGTAAGTCCCATTCCTGTTATTCCATCTTTATCAAAAGTAGAATTCCCTCATTTTTTAAAAAACACATTTTGCTATCTGTTACAAATATTGGTAAGAATATTTTTGGCTTATGAGAGGGTTTTGGCTGGGCATGGTGGCTCATATCTGTAATCCCAGCTCTTTGGGAGGCTTGAGGTAGCAGAATCACTTAAGCCCAGGAGTTTGAGACCAGCCCTGATAATACAGCAAGACGCTGTCTCTACAGAAATTAAAATATTAGCCAGGCTTGGTGGTGTGTGCCTGTAGTCACAGCTAATTGAGAGGCTGAGATGGGAAGATTGCTTGACTCTAGGAGTTCAGTGTTGCAGTGTGCAGTGAGCCTTGATACCGCACCACTGCACCCAATCTAGGTGACAGAGTAAGGACTTGTCTTAAAAAACAAACAAACAAAAAAACCAAAGCTCTTTATCTGACTTGGGAAAAACGACCTTTAAAAGGATTTTTCATGTGTATTGGTTTTCTGTGACTACTGAAACAAATTGCCACAAACTGGGTAGCTGAAAACAACAGAAATTTATTCTATAATAGTTTTAAAGACTAGACATCTGAAATCAAGGTGTCTGCAGGGAGCTTCTGGTGAATGTCACCACTAGTGTCCTTGGCCTGTAACCACTTCACTCCAATCTCTGCCTCTGTCTTCACATCACCTTCTCCTCTGTGTGTTTCTTCTCATCTTTCTGTGTTAAATCTCCCCTGTCTTTTTCTCATAAGGATACTTGTCATTGGGTCTAGGGTCTACCAGGATAATCCAGGATTATCTCATCATCTGAAGATCCGTAACAAAATATCTGCAATGTCCCTCTTTCTAAATAAAGTAATATTCACAAGTGCTGGGAATTAGGAGGCATACCTATCTTTTGGGGAGGCTGCTATGCAACCCATTTCATCATATAATTATCCCAATAAATGCTCATTTCTCTATTATTAATACTTTAGTTTGGGGGCTTAAAAATATTAATTGAAGTCTTGGAACATATATGTAAACACAAAGTGGTCACTGTTTATCAGCAATTGTTTACTCATACTTTGGGCTATGGGAACCCATGGAAAGGGAATATGAGTGTTTTAAAGAACAAATGAGTGATGCATTAGGGCAGAAATGCCCCAAGGATAATTGCATATATTTTCTAATTAAGAAGATAAGATAATTTATACCCTGAAAGATCTGGAAATTCCCTCATCTCTTAAATCAGGTGAAAAAGCATAAAGCTGTAATGGGTAAGCCAGGTGGTAGCACTATTGCTATGAGAATCTTCTGATTTTCCCAAATGTACACTGCTATATAATGAATCCCTAAGAGAAATAACCAAGGATATCAAGTATGGCCTAGTTGCTAAATTCAGGTGAAAATAAGGAATCTGGTATATCATGGAGGCCTGTACATAGAAACTCTCTATTCCTAGAAATGATAGGTTGAAGGGAAGGAAAAAAGAAAAAGCTCTAAAATATTTCTTATTTTGACAGGTATCCTACTAAAATAAGCTTTTTAAAAAGAGGCAGGAAGTCAAGAGTTCTCAATTTTATCAATCACATTAGAAATGACACTAGAAATTCTAGTAATTGATACAATCTATAATCCTTTTAATCCAGGACTTGAATCCAAGTTGGCAAAATATATATAGTATGATTCTACTTATGAAAAAATATTCTTATAAGACTAAATATATGAGTAGAAGAAAAAATATCTGTAGGTATTAACAAGAAATTTTAAATTCTTCTTTGTACTCTACTCCCCCAACCTCCCAAATTTGATACCTTGTTCATGGATTTTTTCCATCAAAAAAAGCAATAAATGTTATTTTCATATAAAAAATTTTGTAGCTATGTGGGGCGTTGGCTATAGAAAAAAAAATTTGCGATGCAAAAGAATGGTTAAAAGACTATTGTCATTGCTTGGTCCTGAGAGGACCTGAAGGTGAACTATAGTAGCAGTGGAAAGGAAGAGGAGGGCAGGATCCAAGAGATGGGCATAACAGGATGATGTGACCAACTGGAATTGGGGATGAAAGAGAAGATGGAGGTAAACATGAAGCCAATACTCAAGTGTGGACACAAGAATGTCTCATGGAATTATTAGCAAAAAAAGATGATACAACAAAGATGTACATATTTTTAAATGATGATGAGTTCTGCTCTGGGGGTGTCTAGTTTTAGGTACTTTGGGACTCCCTTTTATTTGGTTATTACCACTGACTTTGACTGGTTTTCACTGGCCAGGCACCATGTTAAACTTATGTGGTTTCTCTTTTTTAACCTTCACAATTGCAATGGAAAACAAGTATTCTTAGTCTTATTTTATAAGTGAGGAATCCAAACTCAGAGGTTAATTAGAGAAGTCAAGGCTCCTGGGAACAAGAACCTGGAGTAACTCTGTCTTAAGACTGTACAAAAACCCCACGGCCACTGGGAGTAGGGTCAAAGAAATGTGGGTATTCAGTAAGAGGATAGCCCTGGGACAACCCAATTTTTCTCATTTATTTTACTAAAGGTTTTAGGGGGACCAAAAGTGTCCATTATCTGAAATGTTGTGCTCACAAAATAATAGTACCTATTATAAATCCAAATGGTGAAAGATCTCAGTCTGTGAGCCAGCCTTATAACATGCTTAGATGAATGACATAATGAGATTGCCATTGTAGGGAAAGAAAAATGGCTTTACAACCAGAGCTGCTCTGCTCCAGTCCATCCACCTCCTCATTCTAACACTGCCAACTTACACCAGCTTTCCTAGACTCATTATTAATTGAAAACCCTTTTATCCCCAGAAGTTCTCAGTTTGGACAATTATATGGCCATCCTAACTATGATTACCAGAAAAATGTGTGAGTAGTTGCATTAGTTAGATCGAAGGCTATGCTACTGTCATCAAGAAAACTACACTGGTTAGAAAACATAGGAATTCATTTTTCTTTTTCCCATAATAGTTCAGGGCAGATAGTTGGTCCCAGTTCAAAAAAAGTCATCCCAGAACCCAGACTAACCAGATAGTTAGGATAGTTCTATTCTTAACATGTCACTTCCAAGATTTTTCAGTTGTTGCTGTTTTCAACCACCAAGAAACGAAAGAGAGAAAATTCAGGGTAGGCAACTTAATCAGTTAAACCAGGAGTTATACACATCACTCCACTCACATACCATAGTTAAGAATTTAGTCATAGGACCACACCCACAAGAAAGGTGAAAGATTTGGGCTCAGCTAGCAGACCTTGCCACAATGGGGTAACTTTACTCACTCAAATCTCCTCTTTGTTTTATTCTCCTACATTGTAGCAGTGAGACTATCAAATTTGTATTTATTAACTAGTGGTGCCACAGCAAAATAAATTTCTGCATAGGTAGGTGGATAGCTGATCAAAATTCAGACTATATAATAATCTTAAAACATAGGACCAAGAGTCAAACTAAGCATGTTACACTTTGTCTGTAGCTTTGCAAATATGTTTCAAATTCACTTTTGTTTGCCTTTGTTGCAGTATTTGCTGTACTAATTTGAAGAATTGAGAGATATAGTAGTAAATCAATAATGAATATGCTTTTCTTTTACCTGAATAATACAGACTTATAGTTTTAATGCAGGCTTATAGCTTTTAAGTGAGTAGGAAAAATAAATTTTAAAATATATTGCTAAAAATGAGGAAAAAATACAATAAATATTCCAAAGTCAACAATGAAAGGTCAATTTAGACACTTTTTAAAATATTGCCAAAACAAGAAATTCCTGTCACTAAAGTTGATTCTAGATGTAAGCAAAATCAATTGCAACTCATTTAATTGTGAAACTGAATTATCACTAGGATAAATCAAATATTTTGTAATTGTAATTGAATATGAAATAATTACAGTAAAGGTTTATATGCATACATCACCATGCAATTATAAACAGGAGGTAAATAAAACTACGTATTACAGCTACATAAATATCTGAAATTTCTAAAAGTAAAAGCAGCACATATATTGGTTGGAATGTTATAGAAAGACCTTCAACTTGTGGATTTTGGATTCTTGGTTTTGAATATTGGCTGTGTGCCCAGCTAAGTTATCATGAATTGTATCTTGCTCCTCCCTCCTGCCTCCTCCAAGCTTACTGGAGATTGGACACACACTCCTGGTCAAAAGAGTATAATAAGCCTTTCTTATTTGGAAATTATCAGAAGCAATAATCTATTATAATCAGGTATTTACTCACTGGCACTTAATTTGTAGCTATTTCTTGATGCAATCAAAGAAACTAAAAGTGGTTTGAAGATAAGAAAAGCTGGAAAAAATCCTATTTTACTTGAGTAATAAATTATAAATTCATTGGATTTGATGCATGTGTTATCCTCTTTGTGTGGATCCCTAAAATAAATGCCACAGGAATAAGAAGGATATATATTACCGGCATCTCCTTTTGGCTAATATGCAATTCAAAAAAGAAATTATGCTATTTCTTCAGCATATTGCTTTATTCTTTTTTCCTCAGTTCATACTTGTGATTAGGGTATAATACGGCACAGAGGAGTGTGCTATGTTTTATTTTGTTGCATATAGCTTTCCTTTTTCACTAAATCACATAATTTAACATCAGGTTGTCTCACCTTGGTCACACAACTATCCCTTAAACTCTTATACCTTTCTTTTTGGATTCAACTACTCCAATTGATTCATTTCAAATATGAATTTTCTGTTCCAACAAACGTGGTTCTGTTTCAGTAGGTCTGGAATGAGGCCTAGGATTCTATATTTTTTACCAGCTCACAAGTGATGCTGATTTTGCTGATGGTCAGGCCATAGTTGGGCAGCAAAACAACTTTCATACTCATCAACAAAACCCAACATCTCCAGCATAAATAAGAATAAAAATTTAATTTTTAGAAAGCTCCTCAACCCCAAGCTTCGCCCTAGAAAAATCCCTAAGTGTGTCTTGATGGAGAAAAAAGGAAGTATGGAAAGTTCCACAACAGTAAGGAAGTTCGACAACAGTAAGGAAGATATCTGTTAGACCAGAAGTTATCGATTATAACAAGAATTTTGTGTAACAGATAAGGACTGTTAAATATTTTAGCTACTTTGGAGCTGAAACTGAGGTGGTAAATAACTTATAAAGTCTTCTTCTGTTCTGGTTTATTTCCTTGAATGTTATTTCATGGGTGCTAGATGGCAATGAGGTATTGTAGATTGAAATTTACTCTCAATCCTACAAATGAGAGTAATCAGCATCAGGTAGGAAGATTCCACAATTATTAAAAACAGAGAATGAAGTGGTTTCACTCTGCTGAATGCCCTGAATTTTTGTTAAAATTATGTGACTTTACTTTTTATAAACTCATAATTTACCCTCTGCACATATCTAAATTTTGTAAAGCACAGAGTGCTTGTTTTAAGTGAATGGCAGGTTTAAAGGAATAAAAATGTTTCATGTTGGAGCACAAACTAAACTATACTAAATATACAGAATTACCTTACATATTTACAGACTGTTTTCATAATAATTTCTGTCTGGGGGGAGTATAATACTCTTACTAAAAAAACACATTAAATAAATACTCTTTAAGTAGTAATATTTCAACTTATAGTTACAGGTAAAGAAAAATGCTAATATTCTCACCATAGGTGCCTGGTTAAGTAATATCAAATAAAACATTTTTGAATTGTGCCTCATATTTGGATTAAAACAAATGTTTTGAGAATGTTTGGCAAGTCTTCTATGACTTTGCAATTGTATTATACATTCATTATACATTATTTTCATGTTTTTCAATGTAGTCTCCTGTTAGATCCTTATTTTGCTTTGATTTTACTATGCTGTGTCTTCGTTTGTGTCATTTGAGTACAAGAGAACTATGACCCCTAAAATGTTAAAAATGTGCTAACGAAACTATTGAAAAATAAGAGATAACGGGAATGCTATAAACTTTCATTACATTAAATTTTCTGAATGAACTATTTACTTCCAAACTGATACTTATTTTTCTCATAAAAACATTTTATTTCTATCTTGGATTGGGATGAAATGCATAATTTTTCCATTAAAATTAATCAAAATATTTGTGTCCATTTAATAGCTATTTACTTTAGTAGCAGGATATTTGGAAATGAATTAAAAATTTTAAGTGAAAGATGCACAACTATTAACATGTATGCCATACATATATACTATGTGTATATCTGTAAATATATATTCTATATATAATATATATACACAGCAGTACCATCAACTCCTTTATTTATTTATTTATTTTTTGAGGCAGAGTCCCGCTGTGTCAGCCAGGCTAAAGAGCAATGGCACTATCTCAGCTTACTGCAACCTCTGCCCCCTGGGCTCAAGACTTCCTCCCAGCTCAGCCTCCCAAGTAGCTGGGAATACAGGCGCACACCATCACGCCATGCTAATTTTTGTATTTTTAGTAGACATGGGGTCTCACCATATTGGCCAGGCTGGTCTCAAACTCCAGGCCTCAAGTGAACAGCCCACTTTGGCCCCCCCAGAGTGCTTGCGATTACAGGCATGAGCCACCACGCCCGCTCAACTCCTTATCATATTTTTTTCACTTCTAAGTGAATGGAAGCAATGTTTTCCAACAGAAAAATTTGCACTCAAATGATCAAATATCAAAATAATAATTCTCTACTTGAAAAAGTAGCAATACTGACATTAAATATTATTCTTATGATTAAAGATCAATCAGGTATAATTGAAATAAAACTTATACAATCAGTGAAATGAAATATTTTAGAATGGATATAACAAAGGTTGTCAAAATATAATTATAATAATGGAAATCTAAAATTAAAGAGATATGACACAATCAGAAACTATTTAAAGAAGATGTGGAACAAGTAATCAAATAATCATAATGATGATGATAATCCTCCATGTAGGGTTAGATACAGGGATATTGAGGTCACTACAGTTGAGATATTTGAACAATTCATACAACATACAAACAGTTGATTGTAAGACTAGAGAATAAGTCCATGAAGACAGATAAGTCACAACATCAGTATAGCTTTTATTAAGTATGAAAAGACTACAAAAATGCAGATAAAGTTTTCCTAAAATTAGACAGCCATGAACAGACTTTGTCAGCTCTAGAATAAAATCACTTTCAGAGTGCAACTTCAGACACAAGATATTCCAGTATGGTAATGAAATATATTGATCCTAGGTAAGATGATATACATAGTATTTGCAGAAATCAATAACCCATCGCCATCCCAAAAAAGTGCATTAATTCAATGCATTTTAATATTTATTAATAAATGAATCACTGAGTTTATAAGTTTGAAAAATGTATCAATCTAGATTCAAAAGAGTAATTCATCCTCAAAAGGGCCAAACTAAATAGACCTTCTTATAATAGTACATATTTCAGAGAAACTATAAAAAGTGTAGTTTTAGAGAAGTTAGCTGAAAGATAAGTTAATGTGTCAATTTGACTGAGTTAAGGGGCGCTTGGATATTTGATACAACTTCATTTCTGGGTGTGTCTATGAGGGTATTTCCAGAAAATATTAGTATTTGAATCAGTAGACTGAGTAAATAAATCCACTCCCACCAACACGGGCCAGTGTCATGCAGTCTACAGAGGGCTGAACTGAATGAAGCGAAAGCACAGGAGGAGGACAAATTTTCTCTTCTTGAGCTGGGACATCCATAATTTCCTGCCCTTGGACATCAAAACTCCTGGTTCTCAGGCCTTTGAAGACTCTGGGACTTACACCAGCAGCCCCCCCGAATCCCTCTACTCCCAACTCCCACCAAATCCTTTCTCAGGCCTTCAGACTTGGGGTGAGAGTTATTCCATAGGCTTCCTTAGTTCTCATGCCTTTGGGCTTAGGTTGATGTATATTACAGGCTTTCCTGATTTTCTGGTTTGTAGGAGGCATATTGTGGAACTTCTCAGATCCGTAATTATGTGAGCCAATTTCCATAATAAATCTTATTTTATATATCTATATATCCTATATTGATTGTTTCTCTAAAGAACTCTGACTAATGCAGGTGATTATCAGTAACATATAGAGCAGCATGATATTCTGAGCCAAATTTGCAAGCCATGCTTTATTATCTTTTCCTTCCATTTTTGACTCATTTTCCACCTCCATGTATCTTGCCTCTTATCCTCCAGGCATTTGTTGCCACTGGGCTTTCAAAATCTTTGAGTTAGAACCTAATAGTCCAAAAATATACTTTTTCTAATGCCCAATCAAAATTTTCACTCTCACCATAATACAGATCTTATCCAGATGGAAATTAATTGGTTGACTTTATGGTAGGCATGATTAAGAAACCTAATCACCCCAGTAATACATACATTTCAAGAGAAGAAATTATTAATAAACTTTGTTCAGACCACCAATGTAGTTGTCTCATATGATTAAAAATAAAGTCCTTTATTTAAAAAAATGGTGACAATGTACTGGCAGGATTATTAGATTAAGAATCCATAGCTTGGACTCTTGTCTGCTCTTTTACCAACAAGCCAGATAACTTTGATGATTTATTTTATCCCCAGTTACATGTTCCACACCTTCAAAATATAATAACAAGTGACTTTTATAAGGGTTGTGATCCATCAAGCTCTTTTGTTAGGCACTCATCCCACAAGCTAACAGGGTAAAAACTATTATTATTCTTATTTTTCAAACAAGAAAGTTGATGCTTAAAGAGGTTAAGTGTATAACCCAAGCACACAGTAAGTGAAGTAATATTACATTTTCTAATTTACATTAAAACCATTTTGCCATAGACTGCATTGTGAATATTAACAGCATTTTAATCTATACCTTTGAATTAGTTAATACAGTTCATCTTTGAACAACACAGGAGTCAGGGACACCAACCCTTGAGCATGTGAAAATCCACATCTAGCTTTTGACTACCCAAAAACAGAATTACTAATAGCCTATTGTTGACTGGGAGCCTTACCAATAACATAATCAATTAACACGTATTTTATATGTTATATGTATTACATACTGTACTATAATAAAGTAAACTAGGGAAAAGAAAATGTTAAGAAAATCATAAGGAAAATTTATTTGCAGTCTGTACCTGGATACCATAAGTTTATGCCGTCTATTTTACAATATGAATTGTCTGAAACAGAGAGCAACTGTGGCTGCAGACCCTATGGTACATATAAAGCAATTCAACTTTTTTGGGTAATGCCATGACTTTTCTCTGCTTCTTGGGAGTACTTGCAGGATCACCAGTGGCACTTCTTATGAGTCTCGATTTTTCATGTTTAATTGCATTAAACATGAAAAATGTGTGAGAACTGCAAGATACCATTTTTTTTTTCTGCCATGTGCAACTTACTGGAGAATAAAACCACTCAGATAGAGACGATGAGAGTCACACGGTGTTTATTTAAAGAGGTTCTGGCAACACTTGGGCTCACTGCAATAGCGACGGGGGTGGCTATGAAATTATTACAATAGTACAGTATGTACTATAGTTAATTGTATGCAGTTATAATTTAATATTACACCTACTTTGTAAACAAACATTTACTTTGTTTGTATTTCTCTTGACTGCCAATGTCACCATGTATGGTCTGTGTGTGTGCATAAGTTTTCATAAACATTTTTTATGCATTTGTATATATTCTGTGATAAATGATCAACTAGGCTAGTATTTACATATTTTATGCATTCATGACTTACCTAATTTTTTCAGTATCTTTAGGCTACATGATTTGTCTGCAAGTTTTTTCATATTGTTGCAAATCTCCAAAAAATAAATCCAATATGTTTATTGAAAAATGTCTGCATATAGGTGGACCCATACAGTTCAGACTCGTGTTGTTCAAAGATCAACTGTTTGTCAGGAGCCTTAATTAAGAATTCATACACAGGTGGTTGCTTAGCAGTTGATGGACTCCAATCAGGATTCGACACTTAGAGCTCACTTCTACAGCTTGGACTATTTCCATCTCTGATCAGCAGTAGAAACTTTGCTAATTAGCTAAGTGATGGTAGAAGAGGTTTTTACTGGTAAAATTAATGTTAACACAGATAAGTGGACTGGCTAGAAATATTTACAAGTACTTTTGCCCTTGCATGAAGAGGATTTAGGAATCTATGATCCCAGAAGTCAGCACACTTCAGAGTGGTGCTGCGATCCACCTGGATATCAAGGTGCATGATTGGCTGACAGTCTCCTGCTGTGTCAGGTCTGCCCCTCACTCTGAAGGCTCCCACACTATGAAATCACTCTGTTTCCTTTCATGTGTGTTATTCTTCAATAAACCTTTTGCACTCCTAATCCTATCTTGATACCTGCTTCCACAGAAAATGCAAATCAGCACAGGTGCTCTGGGCTTAGGACACAATTGGAACTATGTTTATCCGTTAAGAGAGGATTCTGTTGTCTGATTCTGATTCATTTAGCTGTATTCTGCCTGCCTAGAAGACTGAAACATCTGCTTTGAATAAGCCTATTCATGCAAGGTCTGGTTCAGGTGTCTAAAGGATGGAGGTCTTTATATCAAACGCTCACAAAAGAGCAGAGTAATAGATTTTATGACTGTTGTTTGACTGTGTGCTAATAAATTGTTTGTTTCCGTGGAAGGATCTAGTCTGAAGCTTGCTCTCATTATAATTTCCCACCTCTTACAAGTTGGAGAAAGGGCACATGAGTTGAGGTAAAACCTATAGCTCTCACCTAAAAAAATCTCATAATTGGGAATGATGAAGCCGACTTAAATCAGTTCACAGCATGAAGTCAGGTTTTTTACTCAAGTTGCTTAATTCCAAAGGTCATTTCCTTAAACTCCTATGCCATAATATGCTTCCCGAACTTGTCTGTAAAGGATTAAGTGTCCAGTTACATGTTAATAAGCTATTTCTAACAAAGGGTTTGGGAAAACTTGCTCACTATACTTCCCTCTTGGAGATTTCTAATATAAATTACTATACCTTAGGCTTTGGGAAGTCATACAGTGTTTTAAAAAATAACCTATTCACTCGTCGATTTTAGAAAGGAAATGGACCACTTGATCCAATATCTCAAATTATTTAACCATTGAAGCATTTCTTTTTCTTTTTTTTAAATGAGAAATAAGCTTTCTGTGGAATTCTACCTAGGGATAAAAGATAAATAGTATTTTTATCTCCAAAATTCTATGATTCTTTAAAAAATTGGCAAATTTCAGAAGGCAGGCTTCAAAAAATATTTATGAATAAGGCCTTCCTCTTTTTAATAATCAAGCTACCCTTTTCCTAGACATATGCTGCATGACTACAAAATTCACTGATGCACCCATTTCTAAGATTATCAGCCTCTGTGGACTGCACTGAGTCTGTGTAGATTTTCAAAGTTCCCCGTGCTCTGGTCCTATAGTGCTTAGCCATAATTATCAAGCATTACTCATCATATAAACCTTCTATTCAAAAAACTGCTCTCTTTATTGTTTCCTTTATTTCCATCTTTGTACTTTTGCTTCTTTTTTTTTTTTTTTTTTTTTTTCTTGACCTGTTATATCTTCTCCTAGAACTTCAAAGTTTGGTGCATGGCCCCTTCTTTACAAACTTTCTCTAGTGGTTCTAGTCTACATTGATCTATTCTTTTACAAATTCAGTTTTTTAAAAAAAACTGGGCAACTTCTGCTCCAAATGCACAAACCTTGAGTCATCCCTGAACAGTACTGATTTAGTGGGTCTGGTATGGAGTCCAGGTACCCATAGGTTCACAAATCTCTGCTGGCAATTCTGGTATACAGAAAGGAGTGAAAAGCCTCTAACATATAATGTGTCTCCTGCACCAATCAATTAAACGTGTTTCATTGCTTCCAGTGGGCCAAGTGCTCTTCTTGGGGGACTGGATTGCACAGAACATAGTATTACTCCTACTCACAGGTAGCACAGAGTGTGGCTGTTGGGAGGAATTCAATCAGCTAATGGTGGTAAGTGCTAGAAAGGAGAAATGAGTGCACTGCTTCAGGAGCACCGAGTAATGGATGGTAAACAGAACTATGGAAAAAAATACCTCACAAGGAACAAAGTTCAGGTGGCTCTTGAAGAATTGGATTTTGTCTGCTAAATAAACAGCCTATCATGGCTGTGGCTCTAGCATAGAGTATAGCAGAAACAATAGAAATGCCAATAGCGGTCGGAATACAAAGGATTTAAAATACCATACTAAAGATGTCACTGTTTTCCTCTGGATAACAGAAAATAACTTAAGAAAGAAGCATCCAACTTTGTTGTTATCTAGTGTTGATTCATATAATAGAAATCCATATCAGCCTGCCCCCATACATTTTTATTAATAGTGTGTCAGGAGAATCCATTTTTAGTAAGGAACACTAAATCAGTAGCTCTCTAAATATATAATATTATACTCTCAACTAATTTTTTTTTTGCAGGAGTGTTTAATAAGCATATTTTATTTAAATAAATCCTCCAGTAGGAAATGGAGAATTCACTGCCTTTACTTAGAAGGCTATGTAAATAGCTATCTGTCAAATTTATATATGCAGCTCACCAATATTCCCTTACTGGAAACATCAGTATTTCCACATCACATCACAGTTCCCAAAAGGACTTTAAAGTCTCAAAATTCCGTGTCTCCTTTGGCTTGCTTCTCTCTTGATTTCACCCAGGCTTTATTAATGGTTTGCTTCATATCATCATCTCCATCTTCATAAATTTTCTTTAGAACATTCATCAATCCCTCACTAGGATCTGTTTCAGTGTCATAGGAGGGCTTCTCTTTTTCTTTGCACTCTTTTTCAACCTGGGTCAGGTAATCCCACCTTGTGTTTTCCACTTTCTTTCTACACAATATAAGAACTGTATCAGTCTTGACTTTTTTTGAACTGCCTTCCACAGAGATGGGTTTCAAGAGATTGTTCACAATCATGGAGTAACTCTTCCCATTTAAATTCTTTACCAAAAGATCAAATGACCTCTCTGTGAAATGCACCTGCACATTCTCAGTGGGAACTTGATGAACTCCAGTTAAGGTAATGTAGATTTTCACAAACTTATCTGACTGATCCCATCCATAATTACTGATTTTCACCGTATAGCCCGTTGTAATGGGAGCAACCACAGCAGCTGGTTTTTCATTATCAAGAAGTTCTGCTTTCTTCTGCGATTTCTGTTGCAACTTGTTCTTGATTTCGGTCTCAATCTTGGATTTTTCAGCTGTAAGGGCATCACGTACTCTTCCTAGTAGCCTTTTCCAGCAACACCTTTACCTCTTCTAGATCTTTCTGTAGCTCTTCTGAAGCCATGGGGGCTGGGTCAGGCCGAAGGCCCGAGCTGCAGCCGTGCAGAGGAAGGAACAGGAAACGCCGCGCCAAGCCCTCAAACCGAGCGCAGAGGCCTACCCGCACGAGTCGCAGCGCCGCAGCCTGCGCGCACACCGACCCTGTGCGAGATCGCGGCCCTAATTTTTCTTTAATTAGTAATTTATAATGCCCACATTTCAAAATATAATTTAAATGATTCTTGAAGGTCAATATATATTAATTACATTTAGCTTCCACTATAATTACTAATAAAGCCAAGTCCACTAGAATGATGATTACCAGAAACCAATTTTATCTAGGCAGCAGCAAACAGGCAAAAATAGTCTATTATTCTGTCAACTCATGTATGCTGGGTAAATTAGAGACTATTTGCTAAACATCTTAACTAGACCATCTCCCATAATTAGGCCTTATATGGCCTGTGGAACATACGTGGAATTAACGAAATCTAAAATGTGAAGTAGTCAACTATGCTGATTACTGTCAAGAGAACTATCAATTCAGTCATATAAAGAATATATTAGAGTGGAAAGAAACTGGAGTCCTGACAACTAATTGGGAAGATATTAAAATAGTAGAGCTTAATAAAAATCTGAAATATGGCACAGATGTTAGGAAGGCTGGTTAAAGGAAGGAACAGATTTTAAAAGTCCTCTGGAGGCAAAACTGATAGTCTGATTGTTTTGTAAGGAAGTATATTGGGGAATTAAGGATATGGTGGAGTAAAAGTTATCTAGCTTGTTCTTAGCAGAAGTATCTGTTTGACCTTATGCACATTCCTTTCTCTGCCAGGAAGCTACCAAAGGGCGCTGGATTGATGGTGTCACCTACTGACCAAAATCCAAACCACCAGGACACAATCACCTCCTCTCTGGGGCTCTCAAAGTCAGTACACAGGTATTTTTGTCTCCTATTTGTTAAAATTCAATTAATTCAGTTGTGTAAATCAACTTTCTCATTTATATGGACTATCCATATATCTTTCCCTGCTTTTCTATTCATCCCAGTTCTTTCTTAGCTGCGTCGGAAACATTTAGCTAATTTTACCATGGGGAATGCTAGCTACCTCATTAAAAAAAAAAGAAATTACAACCAAGAAAACCAAGAGTAGTACTTGGTATACACACCTATCCCAAGATGAGGGAGCATTTGATCAAAATTAGATGTTTATTTCATCAGCCCCCGCATGTGCTTAAAAGTACCCAGATACCTTCAGAGTCTAACAACCATCTTGTTTTCCTTAAAGCAAATTTCATATACCAGTATTCAAGACCAATATATCATTAGTTGATTCTGTTTTATCATCTTTATATTTAATTAAAAGTACTAGAGCAGCATTATCTTATTTATTATTGTAAGTATACAGCATGCCAGCAACATCATCAAATTGTCTTTTGTGGACATATTTTCATCACATTGTTTTTATGTGAAAAATTCGCTTGAATTTTTAAACTTTTGTAAGGTAATCTTTCACTTATAATGTGCAAGTAGAGAAATCACTGAATAATTGTTCATTAAATAAAAAAAACTATCTCATGAAATAAATTCATTAACCTCAAATTAGGTTTATTTAATATTCCTGGATACTGGTTAGGAAATCTAAAGGACCATGACTTCATACAAATACATAAGTGTGCCAAAGAATATGAAAAATATGGTTGAAATGATACTTATTATATTTCTGTTCCTGCGTGCAGGACTTTCTTAAGACAGTACTCAGGAAGAAATCTGTGGCAGAGTGAAAGAAAATTAAGAAGAGATTGTACTTCCTGAAGGCCTATTATAATGTAATTATGTAATCTTTCTCTAAAGGTGACCCTTTTGCCCCGCCTAACTTTTTAGAATTGTATTTCCTTATGTTCAGTCTTTCCAGCCATGGTTGAGGTGCATGTGTCCCTCACAGAAATCCAGTAGAATGACAAAAACATTTGACATTTACAGCATCTCGTGACCCTCCGAGGCACAGAAGTAATTTAATAGTGATGGAAAAATTTGCCATCAAACTACCCAAGTGTTCCTAAATAGTTTGGCAGTTAATAGTCCTGAGCTATTTCAGAATTTCTCAGTGTCTCCTACTGTACGGCATTGTTCACTAAGATAGCAAAAGCCTCCACTAACAAAGATACATTCAGATTTTTACAAATGCAGAGTGAACAACAAAAAAAGCAAGGTTATGTCTGAATGCTTAAAATATTTCTCATTTATAGGCAGAAGTTTTTTGCTGGCTATAAAACAAATCAGAACCAGCCCTGGAATCACCTAATCACAAAGAAAAATTGTTGTTGTTGTTGTTTTTTTAACTGTAGTCATTGCCACCTTTGGGGTTAGGAGTGGCAGAGAGAGGATTGCTATTTTGATTAGAAAAACAAAGTATCTCTGGTAATATAAGAAACAAATAGGCACACTGGTTCACACAGTAGCGCATATATCCATATGCTTAGTTTTTAAAAAGGTAGGTTAAAACATAACACTGCCAAATTCCTCTGAATAATATTATAAAAGAGTGTCTTTAATGAATGGCTTGATTTGTTCAGTTTCTCAGATGTTAGTTTCCCTTTCAAGGGAAGGCAAGTAGAAGAGACTAGAGACTGGGGTCCTCAATTTGAGCAGAGAAAGAGAAGATGGAATAAAAGAACAGATAGAAGCCAAAGGAGAGAGGTGGTCAATAATTCCCAACGGGGGAATGCTGAAAGAATGGCTTTAGAGGTATATAAAACCTAGGGTTAAACTGTCCTTTTCTGTGCTGTGACTGCTCTCCAAACTGCAGCAGATTTGTCACTACCCTGTTGGTGCCGTAGGGAATTACAGAGAAAGGGTCTTTGTCCACCCATGGAGTGAAAGGGGGTAGGAGGAGAATTTCTAACTTCAGAGAAGGAACAAGAAGTCAAGTGCTTAATGAGTTGAAGCCAGGAGCAGTGATTCAGAGCAAGATGTAAAACATTCCCTGAGAAAATTCCTGTGAGAATCTTCTGAAACACCAGGAACAACCCTGCACTTCCCTGGTCCACACAAGAGGGAGCTTATAGTCACTTTATTTGAATATTAAAAAGTAGGCTGCCCTGAAAAGACAAGAATGTGGAGACCCTTTCATTATCATGCATTATCTTGCTCCAAGAGGCTCATTTACTGCCATGTATACATAACTCAGAAACTTTGGTGCTCAGGAATGAGACTGAGCTGATCACCATCCAGGGAAGGGAGAGCCCTAGGGAAAGGGAGAAACCTGCTTCAGTGTCCTGGGGTCATTTACATGGGTGGAATAAGGGTGAGAAAGTGCATCTAGGGGGTAATGGCCTTGAAATTAGAGTTTCCATTCTTCACTGGGGAGAAATGAGCAAATGACCTCACCTCCGTATCATGGTGCAAGAAAAGTAACAAAGTCAATAATCAAAGAATCAAATCCTCAAAACACATATACACATAAGACAAATGTTATTCACAAACTCCTGTCTATAAGGCCAGTCTTGTATATGGTTATTTAGGAAAAAGCTATTTCAAAATTACTTTCCACAAACTCTCTCCTTAAAAGGCAAGTGGCTAAGAACCGATAGGTGAGTAATTGTTTTGGTAAATTTGGTAAGTTGGTAGAAAGTAATGAGCGAGAAAATGGTGTTATTTGGGCCAAAGGGGAAAAGAAGAGGATAAGAAATAGACTGAAATGGAGAAGTCAAATAAATTGTGCTGTGTGCTCACACTGTGCCAGAGACCAGCCTTAATGAGAGAAGACTGTCTGCTTGGAAGCCTGGAAGAGATACTGGACTTTGTTTTAATTTTACTTTTTGTAAACAGACAGATAAAATTTTATTTATTTATCCTGTACAACATATCATTTTGAAACATATACACATGATGGAATGACCAACTCATTTCACGCACTTAACATTTTTGTGATACGAACACTTTACACTCAGCATTTTTCAAGAATATATTATTGTTAACAATAGTCAACATGTTATACAATAGATTTCTTGAACTTATTCCTCCTATCTAACTGAAATTTTATATTCTTTGATCAACATCTCCCCAAGGCCACTCACCCACCCTCCCCAACTTCTGGTAACCACCATTTTACTCTCTATTTCTATGAGATTAACTTTTTTAGATTCTACATATGAGTGAGCTCATGCAGTATTTGTCCTTCTGTGCCTGGCTTTTTTCACTTAATGTAATGTCTTTCAGGTTCAACCATGCTGTTGTAAATGACAGGATTTCTTTTTTTTTTTAATGACTGAAGAGTATTTCATTGTGTATATATACATTTTCCTTATTCATTCATTCATTGATATACAGTTGAGTCCATAACCTAGCTGTTGTAAATAGTGCTGCAATAAACATGAGTGTACAGTTATCTCTAACATACTGATTCCATTTCCTCTGAATATATGCCCAAGTAATGGGATTGCCAGTAGTACTATTTTTAATTTTTTGAGGAATGTCCATAGTGTTTTTTAAGATAGGTGTACTAATTTACATTTCTTCCAACATTGTGCAAGGGTTCTCTTTCCTCCACATCCTCACCAACACTTGTTATCTTTTGCCTTTTTGTTAATAGCCATTCCAACAGGAGTGAAGTGATACCTCATTGATTTTGATTTGCATTTCTCCAACGATTAGCAATGTTGAACATTTTTTCCATACACCTGTTGCCCATTTGTACATTATCTTTTGAGAAATAGCTATTCAAGCCCTTTGTCCATTTTTAATTGGGTTATTTTTCTTGCAATTGAGTTGTCTGAGTTCCTTATATATTTTGAATATTTACCACTTAACAGATGTATAGTTTAAAAATATTTTTTCTCCCATTCTGTAGGTTGTCCCTTCACTCTGTTGGTTTTCTCTTCACTCTGTTTATTTTTACCTCTGCTGTGCAGAGCCTTTTTCATTTCATACAATTCCATTTGTCTATTTTTGCTTTTGTTACCTGTTTTTTGGGTCATGTCTAAAAAATTATTACCTAGACCAATGTCATAGAGCTTTTCCTCTTTCTATTTTTCTAGTAATTTTGTAGTTTCAGGTCTTCCATCTAAGTCTTTAATCCATTTTGGGTTTTGTATATGGTGAGAGAGAGGGGTCTGTCTTCATTCTTCTTCATGTGGATATGGAGATGACTGACTTTGAAGACGAGGGCAAGGTCATTGGTTAGGGCACAGAAACACACAATCACCTCACTCATGTCAGCTTATTGGAAACAGACACAAAAGCAATAAGTACTCCAAATTAAATTTATATTTTTATTTTTGCAATTTAGTATTATCTATGCTTTTAGTGCTATGCACATCTACTGTATCTTTATAGCAGATATACTATATAATGAGGTACTACACTGTATCTTTTCCTAGTTCTGTTCTATAACATCAGGTTGACAGTTTTTCAGGTTATATAACTTAATTTTTAGTGATGGCTGTGTTACAAAATGGCTAACTAAATTTCAAAAAAATAAACTTAGTTTTTATGAAGTAGTACTATGTATATCCAACACATTTCTGGATGTACACATTTAGCTAGATCCTCATGACTCAAGATAAGGACAAGGCAAAGAACTGTTATGCCTGGTAAAGCTAAGAAAGAGACTAAGGTTCAGTTTAGAGCAGGAGAGTATGGCAGCTGTGCTGCTGGGCATGGTAGAGTAGTGGTACCCACTATCAGAACAGCTATGCATGTCAGAGACTGTAGAATAGCAAAAGATCAGGGACAGTGCCTGCTTTGCATGACATGGGGCAAAAAAGCATGGGTGCTATGGGAGGGGAGTTACTCTCAATTCTTTGTGAGATATTTGGAATATTACCATAAATACAAGTCAGGGAAAGATGAAGAACACTGGAAATCCTATGAATAGTGGTGAAACATGGATATTTGGATTATTGATTTTAATGTAAAATACATTCACAGGCTTTCAAAGCCTAGACAACATTCAGATTATGTCTTCTGCTACGTTCAGGAAGCTAGTTTGCTCAAGATTTATTCTGTCTGTGGCTTTTTGATTCCCAGATTCCAGCTAGGACATTGAGAGCCTGGGTTCAGGGGCTATGACAGGAGCTTCCTGGTTGGGGAAGCTGAGGTTTCCTTAAGTTAGCTGAGTTATTGATACTAGAATCCTTCTTGAAGAGTCAATCTAAAGCCTGCTCTCCAGCCCTTCCAATGATTTTTGTCAGCACTTAATTCCTTAAATACTTTTTGCTTAAACTAGCTAGAGTAGTTTCTTTATTCTGCAACAGGAAGCTCACTCATGCTCTCTTTCATTTGGTGAATTGTGAATCCAAGAAGAAAAATCTTAAAACAAGCTTTAAAATATAAAACATAAATAACAGATTGTGAAGTCAGTTTAAATTGAATTCTTTATTTACTCAAGTGGCATTGTCATTAACCTAACTGAAAAAGAGTCTATGTTGAGTTTATTGAAGAAGAAAAAAACTCACGATTTTTTGCATAACAGTTGATGAAGAAAATCCTTGACTGTGTTGATTCCTCACAGAGATTACTACACAAAGTATTATTTGTATTATCTTATGAAGTTCTCAATTTTAAAGACTGAAAAATAGCTGTTTATAACAGAAAATCCTAGAGAAAGCCTATTATTTTCTCTTTATAAGGTGCTTACAAATATTACAAGTCAAGGGAATTATTGTGATAGTATTAGCTCAGTCAGAAATCTATCCACATCATTAAATATCCTCACCAGGAATCTGAACAACAAAGAAAATTAAATTGGCTTACTGTGATCTGTAACATTTATAAGCAGTGGTTTACCTAGAATGCCTCAACAATTCTTAAAGCACTGTCACACTGATCAACACCACCCTTCTAAGGTTGCTAAGCTTTATTTCCTACTCTGTTTTTATCAGACGTTGTAAGACTTAAAGGTGAATCAATCTGAGTTCTGTAAGGTAGTGAACCTTTTTATTTGTAATACCCACAAATGCCTTGTGCGATTTATCTTTACTCTGTGCTACAGAACACCAACTAGATATCCACAACTCAAACAACTCACAACCCAAAGGCCAAGCTTTTTCCACAGTCTGGTTCTTTCATACCGATTGTCCAAAGAAAACATAAGCAATAAGCATGCCTGCCTATATGAAACCGTGCTGCCTCCCTGGGGCTCAAGCACTGCAGGCTGGCAGCTACATCTGCCTTTTTCTTTTTGAAGATCATCTTGTACTGAAGAAGTGTGCCAAGAATTTAAAAATAGAAACATTTGGCTTTGATTAAAACAGCTTTCTATTTTTAAAGAACTGCCTGTCCATAAAGACTTTAAGGCAGTAATTTGCAATGTCGTGGCCAGGTCCTGCATTTATTTTAATTATTCATACAGTATTTCTTTTAAGTGAGCTATATTTGCCTTTGAATATTTAAACATTATATATTTTCATATGCCATTCAAATGCTTAGAGATTTTCTAGCACGTAGAATAAAAGATCATGTCAATAAGTTTCAGAAAAAAATGAACTGATGTTTAGGATAACCCATCTCAGAAATTTCTCATCTATATTATTTCATAATCCTAGATGGAGAATCTAAAATTAGAAACATGAGTTCTAAAGCACAACTCATGTTGATGAAAAAGGTCTAGTTAAATTACATTTCTTTGATACAATTTAGTATAAATATTTCCATTTAATATTTATACCTGGAGTACTATAAAAACTAGACTCTCAATAGGATAACATAATCATGAGCTAATGAGGTTTCCACAAGAGAACAATCTTTTCCTTAGAGGCACAGATCATACTATATATTTTTAACCCACAAATGTGTAGTTTAAACACCATGTTACAAAATTGCACGTATAAATAAGAAAAATAACTTCTCTGCCATAATCACAATTGTTAGCTTATATTTCAGGATAGGAAGAAAAAATGTTTGTGGTTTGCTCCTATATTATTTTTTATTATACTTAAGTTCTGGGATACATGTGCAGAACATGCAGGTTTGTTAAAAAGGTATACATGTGCCATGATGGTTTGCTGCACCCATCAACCCGTCATCTACATTAGGTATTTCTCCTAACACCATCCATCCCCTTGCCCCACAACCCCGGACAGGCCCCAGTGTGTGATTTCCCCTCCCTGTGCCCAAATGTTCTCATTGTTCAACTCCCACTTATGAGTGAGAACAGATGGTGTTTGGTTTTTTGTTCCTGTGTTAGTTTGCTGAGAATGATGATTTCCAGCTTCATCCATTTCCCTGCAAAGGACATGAACTCATCCTTTTTTATGGCTGCATAGTATTCCATGGTGTATATGTGCCATATTTTCTTCATCCAGTCTTTCATTGATGGGCATTTGGGTTGGCTCCAAGTCGTTGATATTGTGAATAGTACTGCAATAAACATACATGTGCATGTGTCTTTATAAAAGAATGATTTATAATCCTTTGGGTATATACTCAGTAATGGGATTGCTGGATCAAATGGTATTTCTAGTTCTAGATCCTTGAGGCATCACCACACGGTCCTCCACAATGGTTGAACTAATTTACATTCCAACCAACGTGTAAAAGCGTTCCTATTTCTCCACATCCTCTCCAGCATCTGTTTCCCAACTTTTTAGTGATCACTATTCTAACTGGTATGAGATGGTATTTCATTGTGGTTTTGATTTGCATTTCTCTAATAACCAGTGATGGGCTTTTTTCATGTTTGTTTGGCCACAGAAATGTCTTCTTTTGAAAAATGTCTGTTCATATCCTTTACCCACTTTTTGATGGGGTTGTTTTCTTGTAAATTTGTTTAAGTTTCTTGTAGATTCTGGATATTAGCCCTTTGTCAGATGGGTAGACTGCAAAAATTTTCTCCTATTCTGAAGGTTGCCTGTTCACTCTGATGATAGTTTCTTTTGCTGTGCAGAAGCTTTTTAGTTTAGCTAGACCCCATTTGTCAGTTTTGGCTTTTGTTGCCATTGCTTTTGGTGTTTTAGTCATGAAGAATTTGCCATGCCTATGTCCTGAATGGTATTGCCTAGGTTTTCTTCCAGGGTTTTTATGGTTTTAGATCTTATGTTTAAATCTGTAATCCATCTTGAGTTAATTTTTGTGTAAGGTGTAAGGAAGGGGTCCAGTTTCAGTTTTCTGCATATGGCTAGCCAGTTTTTGCAACACCATTTATTAAATAGGGAATCCTTTCCCCGTTTCTTGTTTTTGTCAGGTTTGTCAAAGATCAGATCCTTGTAGATGTGTGGTGTTATTTCTGAGGCCTCTGTTCTGTTCTGTTGGTCTATATATCTGTTTTGGTATCAGACCAAGGTGTTTTGGTTACTGTAGCTTTGTAATATAGTTTGAAGTCAGGTAGCTTAGTGCCTCCAGCTTTGTTCTTTTTGCTTATGATTGTCTTGGCTCTGCAGGCTCTTTTTTGCTTTCACATGAAATTTAAAGTAGATTTTTCTAATTTGGTGAAGAAAGTCAATGGTAGCTTGATGGGAATAGCATTGAATCTGTAAATTACTTTGGGCAGTATGGCCATTTTCACAATATTGATTCTTCCTATCCTTGTGCATGGAATGTTTTTCCATCTGTTTGTGTCCTCTTATTTCCTTGAGCAGTGGTTTGCAGTTCTCCTTGAAGAGGTCCTTTACATCCCTTGTAAGTTGTATTCCTAGGTATTTTATTCTCTTAGTAGCAATTGTGAATGGGAGTTCACTCACTATTTGGGTCTCTGTCTGTTATTGCTGCATAGGAATGCTTGTGATTTTTGCACAATGATTTTGTATCCTGAGACTTTGCTGAAGTTGCTTATCAGCTTAAGGAGATTTGGGGCTGAGACGATGTGGTTTTCTAAATATACAATCATGTCATCTGCAAACAGAGACAATTTGACTTTCTCTCTTCCTATTTGAATACCCTTTATTGCTTTGTCTTGCCTGATTGCCCTGGTCAGAATTTCCAATACTATGTTGAATAGGAGTGGTGAGAGAGGGCATCCTTGTTTTGTGCCAGTTTTCAAAGGAAATGCTTCCAGCTTTTGCCCATTCAGTATGATATTGGCTGTGGGTTTGTCATAAATAGCTATTATTTTGAGATACATTTCATCTATACCTAGTTTATTGAGCGTTTTTAGCATGAAGGGGTATTGAATTTATTGAAGGCCTTTTCTGCATCTATTGAGATAATCATGTGGTTTTTGTTGGTTCTGTTTATGTGATAGATTACGTTTATTCATTTGTGTATGTTGAACCAGCCTTGCATCCCAGGGATGAAGCTGACTTGATTGTAGTGGATATGCTTTTTAATATGCTGCTGGATTTAGTTTGCCAGTGTTTTATTGAGGATTTTCGCATGATATTCATCAGGGATATTGGCCTGAAATTTTCTGTTTTTTTGTCATGTCTCTGCCTGGTTTTGGTATCAGCATGATGCTAGCCTCATAAAAAGAGTTAAAGAGGAGTCCTTTTTCCATTGTTTGGAATAGTTTCAGAAGGAATGGTACCAGCTCCTGTTTCTACCTCTCATAGAATTCTGCTGTGAATCCGTCTGGTCCTGGGCTTTTTGTGGTTGGTAGGCTATTAATTACTGCCTCAATTTCAGAACTCGTTATTGGTCTATTAAGGGATTCGACTTCTTCCTGGTTTAGTCTTGGGAGGGCATATGTGTCCAGGAATTTATCCATTTGTTCTAGATTTTCTAGTTTATTTCCATAGAGGTATTCATAGTATTCTCTGATGGTAGTTTTTATTTCTGTGGGATCATTGGTGATATCTGCTTTATCATTTTTTATTGTGTCTATTTGATTCTTCTCTCTTCCTTATAAGTCTGGATAGTGGTCTATTTTGTTAATCTTTTCAAAAAACCAGCTCTTGGGTTCATTGATTTTTTGAAGGGTTTTTCAGTTTTTCATGTCTCTATCTCCTTGATCTCTGCTCTGATCTTTGTTATTTCTTGTCTCTACTAGCTTTTGAATTTTTTCCTTTTGCTTCTCTAGTTCTTTTAATTGTGACGTTAGGGTGTCAATTGTAGATATTTCCTGCTTTCTCCTATGGACATTTAGTGCTATAAATTTTCCTCTAAACACTGCTTTAGCTGTGTCCCAGAGATTCTGGTATGTTGTCCCTTTGTTCTCATTGGTTTTAAAGAATTTACTTATTTCTGCCTTAATTTAGTTATTTACCTAGTAGTCATTCAGGAGCAGGTTGTTCAGTTTCCATGTAGTTGGCGATTTTGAGTGAGTTTCTTAATCCTGAGTCCTAATTTGATTGTACTGTGGTCTGAGAAACTGTTTGTTATGATTTTTGTTCTTTTGCATTTGCTGGGGAGTGTTTTACTTCCAATTATGTGAATAAGTGCTATCTGTTGTTGAGAAAAATGTATTCTGTTGATTTTTTGTGGCGAGTTCTGTAGATGTCTATTAGGTCTGCTTGGTCCAGTGCTAAGTCCTGAATAACCTTGTAATTTTTTGTCTCCTTGATCTAATATTGACAGTGGGGTGATAAAGCCTTCCACTATTATTGTATGGGAGTCTAAGTCTCTGTGTAGGTCTCTAAGAACTTGCTTTATAAATCTGAGTGCTCCTGTATTGTGTGCATATATACTTAGGACAGTTAGCTCTTCTTGTTGTATTGATCCCTTATATGCCATTATGTAAGGGCCTTCTTTGTCTTTTTTGATCTTTGTTGGTTTAAAGTCTGTTTTATCAGAAACTAGGATTGCAACCCTTGCCTTTTTAGCTTTCCATTGTCTTGGCAAATCTTCCTCCAGCCCTTGAGCCTATGTGTGTCTTTGCATGTGTAATGAGTCTCCTGAATACAGCACACTGATGGGTCTTGATTGACTCTGTATCCAATTTGCCCATGTGTGTCTTTAATTGGGGCATTTAGCCCATTTATATTTAAGGTTAACGTTGTTATGTGTGAATCTGGTTCTGTCATTTTGATGCTAGCTGGTTATTTTGCCCATTAGTTGATGCAGTTTCTTCTAGTGTCGACGGTCTTTACATTTTTGTATGTTTTTGCAGTGACTGGTACTGGTTTTTCCTTTCCATATTTAGTGCTTCCTTCAGAAGCTCTTGTAAAGCAGGCCTGGTGGTGACAGAATCTCTCAGCATCTGCTTGTCTGTAAAGGATTTTATTTCTCCTTCATGTCTGAGGCTTAGTTTGGCTGGATATGAAATTCTGGGTTGAAAATTCTTTTCCTTAAGAATGTTGAATGTTGTCCCCCACTCTCTTCTGGCTTGTAGGGTTTCTGCAGAGAGATCCACTGTTAGTCTGATGGGCTTCCCTTTGTGGGAAGCCCAACCTTTCTCTCTGGCTGCCCTTAACTTTTTTTTTTTTTTCATTTCAACCTTGATGGATCTGAAAATTACGTGCCTTGGGGTTGCTCTTCTCAAGGAGTATCATAAGATGTTCTCCGTATTTCCTGAATTTGAATGTTGTCCTGTCTTGCTAGGTTGGGGAAGTTCTCCTGGATAATACCCTGAAGTGTGTTTGCCAACTTGGTTCCATTCTCCCTGTCACTGTCAGTACACCAATCAAACGTAGGTTTGGTCTCTTCACATAGTCCCATATTTCTTGGAGGCTTTGTTGGTTCCTTTTCATTCTTTTTTCTCTAATCTTGTCTTCACACTTTATTTCATTAGGTTGATCTTCAATCTCTGATATCCTTTCTTCTGCTTGATCAATTCAGCTGTTGATACTTGTGTATGTGTCACGAAGTTCTTGTGTGTTTTTCATCTCCATCAGGTTATTTATGTTCTTCTCTAAACGGGTTATTCTAGTCAGCAGTTCCTGTAACCTTTTACCAAGGTTCTTAGCTTCTTTTCATTGGGTTGGAACATACTCCTTTAGCTCAGAGGAGTTTTTTATTACCCACCTTCTGAAGCCTACTTCTGTCAGTTAATCAAACACATTCTCTGTCCAGTTTTCTTCCCTTGCTGATGAGGAGTTCTGATCATTTGGAGGATAAGAGGCTTTCTGGTTTTTGGAATTTTCAGCCTTTTTGTGCTCGTTTTTCCTCACTTTAATGGAACTGTCTACCTTTGGTCTTTGATGTTGGTGACTTTCAGATGGGGTTTTTGAGTAGTCATCTTTTTTGTTGATGTTGATGCTATTGCTTCCTGTTTGTTAGTTTTCCTTCTAACAGTCAGGCCTCTCTTCTGCAGGTCTGCTGGCATTTGCTGCAGGTCCACTCCAGACGTTGTTTGCCTTGGTATCACCAGTGGAGGCCGCAGAACAACAAATATTGCTGCCTGCTCCTTCCTCTGGAAGATTTGTCCCAAAGGGGTACCTGCCAGATGCCAGCTGGAGCTCTCCTTTATGAGGTGTCTGTTGACCCCTGCTGGGAGGTGTCTCCCCATCAGGAGCCATGGGGATCAGGGACCCACTTGAGGAGGCAGTGTGTCCTTTATCAGAGTTCGAGCGGTGTGCTGGGAGGCCTGCTTCTCTCTTCAGAGCTGGCAGGCAGGAACGTTTAAGTCTGCTGAAGCTGTGCCCACATCAGTCCCTTCCCTGAGGTGCTCTGTCCCAGGGAGATGGGAGTTTTATCTATAAGCGACTGACTGGGGCTGCTGCCTTTCTTTCAGAGATGCCCTGCCCAAAGAGGAGGAATCTAGAGAGGCAGTCTGGCTACAGGGGTTTTGCGGCACTGTGGTGGGCTTTGCCCAGTCCAAACTTCCCTGTGGCTTTGTTTGCACTGTGAGGGGAAAACCACCTACTCAAGTCTCAGTAATGATGGATGCCCCTCCCCCCACCAAACTCAAGTGTCCCAGGTCGACTTCAGACTGCTATGCTGGCAGCAAGAATTTCAAGCCAGTGGATCTTAGCTTGTTGAGCTCCATGGGGGTGGGATCTGCTGACTAAGATCACTTGGCTCCCTAGCTTCAGTGCCCTTTCCAGAGGAGTGAACTGTTCTGTCTTGCTGGCATTCCAGGGACCACTGGGGTACAAAAAATTCCTGAAGGTAGCTTGGTGTCTGCACAAATGGCCACCCAGCTTTCTGCTTGAAACCCAGGGCCCTGGTGGTGTAGGCATCCAAGGGAATCTCCTGGTATGCGGGTTGCAAAAACAGTGGGAAAAGTGTAGTATCTGGGCCAGATAGCTCTGTCCCTCATGTCACAGTCCCTCATGGCTTCCCTTGGCTAGGGGAGGGAGTTCCCTGATCCCTTGTGCTTGCCAGCTGACGTGACACCCCACCCTGCTTTGGCTCATCCTCCATCGGCCGCACCCACTGTCTAACCAGTCCCAGTGAGATGAGCCAGGTAGCTCAGTTGGAAATGCAGGAATCACTCATCTTTTGCGTTGGTCTCCTTGGGAACTACAGACTGGAGCTGTTCCCATTCAGCCATCTTGCCTGGGAATCCCCCTGTATAAGGTTTTTCTAAGCTTTCAGATTCAAATAAAATTGGCAATGTTTCTTCCAAAACCTCCTGGAAGACCAAGGACCTCCCTAAGATTTCTATGAATCCCCAAAGACATACATTTTTGTGACCTCCTCAGGCTTTGAATCCTGGTCTTACCAAACTCTGTCTTGTTTCTGAATTCTCTTGGTTTTCTCCTACATTATTCTATAACTATAGAATAGTTATTCTATAGCATCTATTAACAGTTACCTGTTGGAATCTGACTAATGTCTTTAATAGTGGAAGTAGCAGTTAGGGAGAATAGTTGGGAGTAGGCAGAAGCAGCAATTCTATAAGCAGAAATCTAAAGGTAAGAGGGAGTATTAGAAATAGAGTGAGAGAAAACAAAACAGCACCAAGAAAACATGACAATAGAAAGTGGGATGTGGTTACAGTGAGTGGGGTTAACCATTAAACATATCTTTTGTGGGGATGGATAAAATACTGTCAAGTAGATGGATACCTGGTACCTTCTTGACTGTAAATACAGTTTATTTGGAAAGTGTTATGCTCTAGGAAGAAAAGCTCTTGTATTTAGAACACTTACACTAACAAGGCAAGGGCTTAAAAACAGCATTCAAAGTAAGAAAATCAGCAGTGCTTGAGATGTTTAAGTTAGTGCTGTCACACATACAACTGTAGTCTTATGCGAAGACTGGAAAATCAAGAGTAGGGGCCACAGTCAGAGCTTCCAACAAATGCTCAGAGAGAGGCATTTGTGGTCCCCAAAATCCATTGCCTTGGAGCCAAGTGTGACTCTGGATAATTTATTCAGCACCTCTGAAGCTCATTTCTTCATTTCTGGAATGAGAAATTGACCATATCTCCAAGGTTTCTTATAATCTTATAATTTAGTGACTCCATAGTTTTTTTTTTAACTGCCATGTCCTTCATACTAACATTTTAGGATTTATATGTTAATTGAGTCATGGTGACATTTAATAGTTTATCTTAGTTGAAGGTGAAATTTGCTGATATAGGAAAACATTGAAACCTCAAGAGAGAAAGGTTATTCTCACTTATTAATCTACCTCTCTGGATATTTCAAATTATCAGATACTTATTGCCTCTGACCTCTACAGGGTACCACACTAGGACTATTAGGAGTATAGAAATGAATAAAATATCATTTCTACTATTAAGAAACTTGAGACGAGGAACCAGAAGACATGTACTTAAGATGAACTAAGATGAGTAAATAAAGTAAATTCATGATGTTAGAGAAGTTACCTAATAAGCCTTTGGTTCAGATCCCTAAACTATGATACATAAATATGAATATTTTATCTGACATTATATACATACACATGCACAAACACAGATAAAGAAATACATATAAATACTTTGTGTATATACTTGGGTTAACACACATACATATATACATATCCTGCCTCTCTTTGCCGAGGAGACTTAGAAGAAGTGAAATAATAGTAGCAATAAACCCAAGTAGCATCCAGATCATGATCTCTAACTACCATTATCTAACACAAGGATTATCTGGAGAAATAGTTGGTTCCAGGTCTGAGTTAGAGAAAATATAAGATGAATCTAAAGCATTCTGTGATATCTGAAAATAAGAATGTGTTGAAAGAATTTTTTTGACAGAGCAATTTCCAAAGGATACAGAAACAACCTGAAAGAATGACTAATGGCAAAAGCTGCAACAATTTGAGCAAGAAAATAAATAATGACAAAAGTAAATTATAATCCAAAGGGAAAAATATCTGATTTTATTCTTATATAAATAAATGACAAATAAATGAGTAAGTGAGGGAGAAGGGACAACTCTCCATCAAATAAAACCTCTAAGTAATGAATGTAGACTCCATGAGAAAAAATAGATAATTACCACTAGAATACTACAATAATAATCACTGCAGGCAAAATCCACTAAGGAATGCTAAAAGTATTGAATGAAAGCTTAAAAAGAAACAGAACATTTATATAGCCCCAAAGTATCTAGCCCAAAAATGTATTAATTACTGTGACTGCTTTAACATATGTCCACAAATACTTTGATACTTCTCCCCACAGGAGGTGAATCAATTTTTCTTCCTTTGAGAATTAGCTCAACTAGTGAGTCACTTCTATGGAAAGGGAGAAAATAGTAACCTCACAGTAGAGAAAGATTAACCAAGTGTTAGTTTGCTAGGACTGCCATAACCAAGTTCTACAAATGGAGTGGCTCAAACAACAGAAATGTATTTGGTCTTATAGTTCTGGAAGCTTGAAATTGAAAATCAGGTTATTGACAGAGTTGGTTCCCTCTGAGGGCTGTGAAGAAAGATCCCTTCTGTGGCTCTCTCTGAGCTTCTAGTTGTTTGTTGGCAACTTTTGGCATTCTTTGGCTTACAGAAGCATCACCCCAATCTCTGCCTTCATCTTCACATGGCATTCTCATGTTAGTGTCTATGTCCAAATTACCTCTTTTTATGAAGACAGCAGTCATAGTGGGTGATATGGTTTGGTTCCGTGTCCCCTCCTGATATGGTTTCGTTGTGTCCTCACCCGAATCTCATCTTGAACTCTAGTTCTCATAATCCCCGCCTGTCATGGGAGGGACCCAGAGGGAGGTAATTGAATCATGGGGGTGGTTACCTCCATGCTGTTCTGATTATAGAGTGAGTTCTCACGAGATATAATGGTTTTATAAGGGGTTTTTTTCCCCCTCTTTGCTCTGCACTTCTCCTTGTTGCCACCATGTGAAGAAGGACATGTTTGCTTCCCCCTTTGCCATGATTGTAACTCTCCTGAGGCCTCCCCAGCCCTGCGGAACTGTGAGTCAATTAAACCTCTTTCCTTTATACTCGGTCTCAGCTATGTCTTTATTAGCAGTGTGAGAACAGACTAATACATTGCTCAAATCTCATGTTGAATTGTAATCCCCAGTGATAGAGGAGGGGACTGGTGGGAGGTGATTGGATCACAGGGGTAGACTTCCCCCTTGCTGTTCTTGTGACAGTGAGTGACTTCTCATGATATCTGGTTGTTTAAAAGTGTGTAGCTCCTAGCCATGTAAGACATGCCTGCTTCCCCTTCATCTTCTGCCATGATTGTAAGTTTCCTGAGGCCTTCCCAGAAGTTGAGCAGATGCTGTCATGCCTCCTGTACAGCTTGTGGAATCATGAGCCAATTACACCTCTTTTCTTTATAAATTATCCAGTCTCAGGTATTTCTTTATAGCAATGTGAGAATGGACTAGTACAGTGGCTTAGGGACCC
This sequence comes from Homo sapiens, assembly GCF_000001405.40. Taxonomy (NCBI): domain Eukaryota; kingdom Metazoa; phylum Chordata; class Mammalia; order Primates; family Hominidae; genus Homo; species Homo sapiens. The sequence goes on from NC_000002.12 coordinate 183,625,679, forward strand.
ACCCTATTCCAATAGGGTTAAGACCTCATCTTACAACTAATTACATCTGCAAAGAACTCTTTTCTAGTAAGATTACATTCTGAGGTACTGTTGAGGTTATGACCTCAACATAGGAATTTCAGTGGGGACATAATAACCCATAGCGCTAAGTGATAAATGTTAACATCACCAATAATAAATCATATCAATACCACATAGCCCAATACTATGTAATTAGAATACATCACCTCTGTGGTATTCTTCCCCAAAATTCATAACCTAAGATGAATAATGAGAAAACATAAGCCAAACCTTTATTGAGGGGCAATGCAAAAGTACTTGACCACTACTTTTTAACAGTGTTAAAGCACTGAAAGAAAAGAGAATGCTAAGTAATTGTCACAGATTAGAGGACACAAAAGAGATATGACAACTAAGTGTAATGTGGTATTCTGGTTTGAATCCTAGAACAGAAAAAGGACATTAGTGGAAAACTAGGGAAATTGAATAGTCTGTAGTTAATAGCACTGTGCCAATGTTACTATCTTAGCGTTTTGATAACAGAATTGTCGTTATATAAAATATTAAAATTAGAGGAAGCTGGGTGATAGGTATACAGAAAATATCTGTATTATCTTTGCAATTCTTCTATAAATCATGTTTTTGCAAAATAAGACATTTTTAAATGAAGAAAACATGAATTCAGGGTATTAGAGTCTTTTATTGACATTGTGCATCAATTCTAGATTGAAGTAGGAGGTAAGTTCTACTAAATGATACTTTCAATGGGTTAATTGTCCAAACGATGGACATAAGAGCACTAGAATCTATGATAGTGTAATTAGTTGACTTCATCTGAATCACTAAAATATGGCACAAAAATGTATGTTACTCTAGGAGGATCCACAAGTTTCAAAACAAGTAATATTCCTACAAGCATCTTTATAGAGACCAAATACAGCTTGTTAGAATCAGGATGTTATAAATTATTTTAAAAATATATGTATGAAATAATGCATTATTGTTGATATAGGAAACACTCCTGGAAATCACAAGACATGATTGTTTCAATAGACATGTGGCAGAGTACATAAATTGGCAAGTACACAAGAAGAAATATATAACTAGCTTCACCCACTGCAATAAATCATTACTTAGTTAAAAAAATTAAGAAAATATTAAGTGCTTTTCCATACAAATTTAGCAAGTAAGGTAATAAATCCTACTGTTGGTGTAAACAGATATGCTACTATAATGTTGATAGGCATGTCAATTGATATAAGCTTTTTGTTATTTCTTACCAAAAGTTTAAAAATATTCAGTCGTTAACTCAACAATTTATCTTCCAGTAATTAAACTGAAGTAAATAATGCAATAGGGATATTTATACAATGAAAAAATTGAAACAGCCTAAATGTCTAAGGACAGAAGTATGATTAGAAACTACAAAATCCGTAGAAGAATATTTAAACACTTAAGATTATGTATATAGGTATATATTATGCCACTGATAAATGTCAGTGATCCCCTTTGTTTTTTCGCCCTTGAGATGGAGTCTCGTTCTGTCGCCCAGGCTGGAGTGCAGTGGCACGATCTCAGCTCACTGCCACCTCCACCTCCCAGGTTCAAGCAATTCTCCTGCCTCAGCCTCCTGAGTGGCTGGGATTACAGGTGTGTGCCACCACACCTGGCTAAGTTTTGTATTTTTAGTAGAGACGGGGTTTCACCATGTTGACCAGGCTAGTCTCAAACTCCTGATCTCAGGTGATCTGCCACCGTGCCCAGCAGTGATATCTTAATGATACTGTTACATATGAAAAGCAGGTTACAAATCATATTACTACATATAAATTGTGTGTGTGTGTGTGTGTGTGTGTGTGCACATGTTGATATAGGAGGGAGAGGGCAGGAAGAAGGAGAATAGAGCAGCAAAGGTCTCTTAGAATGCTGAAGTTATCATCTCTGAGAAGTTGTGAATATCTATCAACTCTTAGCTGATTTTTTCTCATTTCTATATGTATTTTGGCATTCATAGTTCTACTCTTAGTCTTAGCCCCCTAATCTATATCACAAAACAATGCACCTGTTTATTAATAGACACATTAGATTTCTTCCTTATGAATATATTCATTTCTTTGTACCAAAATGTCATATCTAAAATGTTTTTATTGGAACACTGTGACTCCTAGAGAAATTTCCTGCTTGTATTTGAAGATTGCAACAACAGAGTAGAACAAAAACAACTGCTCCATCCCCTCTTCTCTAATGATATTCATTATCATCTTCTCTATTCATGCAGAACTCATTAGAACTGTAGACACCCCTAGTTTGAGTTACAAAATATTTCAGATAACATTTTCAATGCTTCAAAACTTTAGTCAATAGATTTCATCCATTTTTGGCTTTCTTGATGTAAAATAAATAAATGATATTATGAATAGTAAAAATTTGCATCTGTCTCTTTTTCGTCTGAAAAATATTACTGTATACATCTATTTTCCCAGTAGATTGAGACATAACAACTATAAATATATTTGATAAGAAGAGAAAAATAAATGTGTGGAAATGCAAGGTTTCATTTAATATCCTTCTGTATAACTTACTTGCTAGAAAATCAGCCATGCCTATAAGTAAGTGTAGTGGCTTTGCACTGTCAGTTAAGTGAAGCTGGAATTTTTCTCAGATTTCTCATCCCCGTGGTTCTGCATCAGGAGTGATCACAGGGTAATTTGCATGAAGCTTGGAAGGCAGAAGTGAAGCATAGTAGCCATGTTTTCCTTCAGAGGTCCAGTTCAGAATCTCATGCTGTTGCAAATCACACAATCATCACTGATCTACTTGCTTATCTTCTTGGCTTGGGCTAGCAGCTCCTCTAGCTCCCTTCTGACTTCTTCCTCCAGTTTCTTGCAATCCTAGTTTAGATGCTTATTCAGCATCAGAACCAACTATGCCAATGTTTTCTGCAAGTCACTAGCATTACTGAAATTGGAGTCAGTGAAGACAGGAGGAAGTTGCAGTTTGTCATAGTCTTTTCCAGTTCATCCTCATGGGTTCCATTTCATCCCTGGCTCAGCAACATTTCACATCCATCTTCCATTCCCACCTGCCTTACTGCTGATTTCATATACATCACCAGATAGAGAAGTGAGAGCCTCAAATGGAGTGCTGAACCAGCTCCTGCAATTGTGTAAGGTCAAACTTCTATACAATGTTCTTCATTCTATGTCATTCATAATGGCTTTGCTTCTCTGTTCAAACCCAACTGTTTTTGATACATGCATAATAATACAGTAAAAAAAATACGTAATAAGGCTTTGGGCCTTTGAGGCCCAGCCCTTCCAACATTTCCTGTATAAACTAGGAATTACCTCTAAACTAAGAATAATAACACTATCTTGAAATGTTATTAGGAGTATTAAAAAGAATGTATGCAAAGTGCCTGCACATAGCAGACCCCAAATAAATGATAGCTATTAATAGTATAAATTCTTATTTATAATTATTAATAGTACAAATATTTTATACAATTTTTAAAGCCCTCACCCAAAACAGCATTCCACAAGAAATAGAGATATATACCATTCAGATAAAGCATTTGTAAAAAGTTGGAATGTTTATTAAAATACCTATCACGCATATGAATAATTAGTGAATGTAAAAAACATTAAAATACTCAATTGAGGTTGTATAAAAACCTCATACTAGAAAAATTAATGAACATAAGCTCTTAAGAGAAGTCAGGTTAGTGATACTGAGGAGTGGAGCCACCCTACAGACTCTCATAAACATTTCTATCTTCATTGAAAAAAACTGAACAAAGCAACTTTCTAACTACTGACCATATAAGGGTCTTGTCAAGCATATTAAATGAGCAATAAGGTCTAATATATACTGATTTTTAACATAATTTCTTATCAGAATCAGTATACTCTTTTGCCCCAAGAATCAGCAGCTCATCAGCTTATACAATTGAGCCACTTTGCTATAGACAATAAGGATACTTAACAGGTATTTGTGCTCTACCTAAACGTTCAAACCTTCCTGGTTTTATAAAAGAGATTACAATTCTCCTCTGCAGATTCTTGTTCCATCAATATAGTATGTATCCAATCCCAGTCCCTACTTTCAGATGAAATATCAATGTGGTTCTAAGACAACAGTTTAATTTCCCTCATATTCTTTTTTTCTTTCTCAAGGCTTTTTGACAAATCTTGTGTCTGATATCTACAAAGTGCTAGTTTCGCTTACTCATCTCCAGTTATTTCTTTTTCTTATTGTGCACTTATCCTCTTACTATCCCCAGCTAACTTAAAATTTATTCAACACCTATATATTGGAACCAAATTCTTGTTGTTGAAAAGTTTATTTTTAAACATTCATCATGCTTGCAAGTTATGTGTACTTCTGTTATTTCCAAGTGTAAGCTCAAAGTTTTATACTCATCCAATGGTACAATATAGAATGGAAAGTGTTCTAGAGCATGGTGGATTATACTATCCTTAGGTCCAAACTTAAACTTACTAGAAATAAAAAAATCTGCTTTTCTTTCCATTATGTCATGTTGCAAAGAGATTGGCATCCTTTATCTGTAGATGACCATGTGCCTGAGATGCAAGCTATAAGAACTAAGCAAAATTATGCACTTACTGTTGAAAATATGTGATAGTTCACTATTACTTTAAATGGGTATACTGATTAATCTCATCCCAGTGTCTCTCATTTGAAGCAAGACAGTTCTTTGTTATGTCCATATATGTTCTTTACATGGAAAGAAATTTAGCATCCCTGGCCCACAAAGCACTTAATACAAATAGCAACCCTTCCTTAGTCACTGTGACTAGAAAAAAGCATTGTTTCCCTTTTTCCCCTTCATTCCAAATATTGTCATTGAGCACTTGGATAAACAAATCACATAAATTAATTTAAATAGTATTATATTTGGACAAGGAAATAATCTAGTTTTATCATTTGCTAGCACTTATTTATATTCACTGAACATTTTTCCAGAATCAATTTAACTTGCAATCATACACACAATATAGACACACGCTCTTAGATTCTGTGTATTACTCCACCATAACTAATGTTCTTTTACTTTTGACTAATGTTCTACCCAATTCCTAAAGTTTAATGTTTTCTATAAGAGTTTCGGCAATCCTAATTCTAATCTCCATTCCCATTTTGCTTTTATTTGATGTATTTTTGTCTCTTAGGGGTCCTTTAGTCCTGTCCTATCCCTCCACTAGTCTTCCTGATTACTTGAAAGCGTTATGAGACAGAAACAGATCTCATAGCAATGGATTCTTTGAAGACACGGCTAAAAGGAGCATCTTTTCTTACCAGCAAATATTTTTCCTATTTGTATAAAACTTTTCAACAAATTTAACATTGCTTCATGATATTTCCTAAGGACATTCATACCTTCTATATTTAGTCCTAAAATAACACATCAATAATGCTGGTATGAGAATAATCTTCACTCCCTAGTTGCAAAGGAGGTAGATTTTATGCAATGTTTTTACAGCATGCTTAAGTGTCTCTGAGAATATTATGTAACAAGGATGACTATGAGCTATTTGATATTTCACAATGGTTAACATGTTCGTTGCATTTTAAAGGTGAATTTGAAAAAATTTGAGTCAGTTCTCTCAAGACTTCTACTCAATAATTTGTGTAAACAAACTTCTGAATGATCAAGCTGAACCTGAATTCCAAACTATTTCAAGCTCATCTATTTCTGTTAAGCCTATCCTTAATGGTCTTATCATTCACTCTTGCTATTTATAATACTATAGAGACTACTGTCATTCAAAAGCATGATTAACAGCATTCCTAAAAACACTGTTACTCAAATATGTTATGTATAACACTTCTGAGACCACTGCTGTGTGAAAGTGCTTTGACAGTCCTGTTGATACTACTTACTTGACCACAATCTCCCAGTACCACTGATGGCACTGCTGTTTTGCTAACACAGCTAATAACAATAGCACTATCATTTTCTTACTTGTCAGACTTTGTTTTTAGACCTGGTGCTAACAGTTGATAGGCACTACAGAGTCCTAATAAATTCTCATTTAAACATTAACCAAGTCAGACTAAAAATGCCATTCCCTGACAAAAGAAAAATATTTGTATTATTAGAAAGAGCTTTGAAGTTCAAAATATTACATTCGTCTTTCACTACTCACAAATTCATTCTTTAGCTATATAATCAGATAATTACAAAGCTAGCAAGAAGTTCTAGAAATTAACCTAGTCTACTGTTACTTAAACTGGTGATATAGGCATATTATTAAAGGTCAGTGAGGTCCATGAGAACTTTGTTTTATGGTTTTAATCTAATAATAATCTTTTAAAGTTATTTTACTAGCAATAGTGGCTAAACTTTACATCTAATTTGCAATTCAAGATATAGTTTAATAAAACCATTTCTAAAGTATTTTTCAAACAACTATACTGGAAGGTACATAAAAATTTTCTTCTAAAAGGAGTCTAGCAACTATTAAAACTTGAGAAATATTTCTTAAGACAGTAATGTTCTTTCTCATCAGAACTAATATGGAGTCAACCTAGATTAAAGAGTAGCTGGTTCAAAATATTCAAGGAAGAGTATATTTGTTTAGTTGACCTTGGCATCCTTACACACAATACACATTCTGGAAATATAATATATGAATGGATGAAAGGATGGATGGATGGATGAGCTAATGAATAAACAATCTCATTTGGTAATGGTATTTCAAGATTTTATAGCAAGAAACAAAAAAAGATAGGACTTCTGGATTCTATTCAGGATGTGGAAACCTGGAAGGAGTATTACTGCCACATTTACAATGATAACATCACCAACTAATACAAAAAATCTGTCAGGCAATCTAAAATTCACAATATTCTTGCTCCTATTAGAGAGCTAGCAACTAACAAATTTCTGGTTAGGCAACTAACGAGCCAAAAATCTAAGGAAAGACAGGTGCCCCCAAGAAGAAATGATATGGAAGCAATATTTTACTTGAACAGATGCCTCTAGATGTCAGTAAGAAAATTCAACTAAAAATCTTAATGAATTGCTTAAAGTTGAGTATAATAGAATACAGAAATCATGAGGGCTTCAGGCACCAGAATACACACCCACTCGTAGGTTCTTCTTCCTGTAACTAACCAGGGGCTCACAAAAAAAGATTAGTAAGAGTTCTAAAAGAGCTCATGTGTGTGGTGTAGAAGCCTTGGGGGAATAAACAGCAACCAATGTGGGAGAGGGACAAAACTCCACTTATATTCTTCCACTAAACAGCTTGGGGGAATGGGGAAAATATCTTAGCAACTATAGTTGGGGGACATGAACAGGAAAAACAAAAAGACAGTGCCCTGAGGGAGGGGCAGGATCATTAAAGGAACTTGAAGACGCTAGTGATCTGAAGATAACCATAGCAGCAATTAAACTGAAACCCTGTTCAATTTCTGACTGGATTGACTCAAACCTCATAGAAAAAGCAAGCAGAAAGATGTGCCCATTTCCAGGAATGAAAAGTATTTACAACTAAGGCTCTATTTGAGTTCTGTAAAAAATGTCCAGCTTTCTACAGAAATAAAGATATGCCAAAAATAAAAGACATAAAAAAGAAAAATCAATATACTTTCAACAGACAAGCAATCAACAGAACCAGACTCAGGTATAATGTACTTTTAGGAACTATTAGAAAGGAAAATTAAGACTATTTTTATTATTTGATTAAAAATTTTAGTGGAAAGGGTGGAAAACATGTAAGATCAGAGGATAATTTTAGCAGAGATGGAAATGATAAGAACAAATCAAATGGAAATGTCTGAAATGAAAAGCACAATAGAGAGAAAAAGAATGCCTGTGATGGGCTTATCAGTGGACTCAACACAGTCAAAGAAAGAACTAATAAACATGAAGAGAGTTCAAATGAAATTATCTAAGTCAAGACAAAAAGAACAGAAAAACAGAAGAAAAGAGGAAAACAAGCAAACAAAACAAAAGAACAGAGCATCTGAGAGCTGGGGGTCAAAATCAAATGGTACAATATGTGTATAATTAGAACGCCAGAAACAGTAAGAAAGAGGCAAAAGAAATAGTTGAACAAATAATGGGTAAGAATTTTCAAAATTAATATCAGACACCAAAGAAGTTCAGAAAACAAGGAACAGGATATATATCAAAAGGCACACACTTAGGTATATCATTTTCGAACTGCTGGAAACCAAAAACAAAAGGAAAATAAATCCACTTTTAAACATATAGATAGGCTAAAAGAATGAAAAACTTGAAAATACTTAAGCAAATATATAGAAAACATGAAAACACAGATCAAGAAAGCTGAGGCAGCTGTATTAATATCAGCAAAAGTAGACTTCTGAACAAGCAATAGAATGAGGAATTTAAACGGACATTACAAACAGTGAAGGGACCATTTATCCAAGAAGACATAACCATCTTAATGGTATATGCATCTAACAATAGAACTTCAAAATCCATTCAGCAGAAATGTATAGAATCAAAAGGAGAAATGGACAAATTCACAATTATATTTGGAAACATTAATACTCCTCTCTCAGTAATTGATAGAATAAGCAGACAGAAAATCAGTAAGATTAAAGAAGATTCAAACAACACAAGCAACCAACTTGATCTAATTAACATTTACAGAAAACTCAGTCTAACAGAATACATAATGTACTTTCATCAGGTTAGACCATATTCTAACTTTTTATTTAAAAGAATTTAAACTATACAAAATATGTTCTCTGATCATAATAAATTTAAACAAAAAATCATAGCAGAAAAATGCCTGGAAAATGCCCAAATATTTTAAAATTAATTCAATTATAAATAGCCCATGAATAAAATAGGAAATTTCAAGGGAAATTTAAAAGCTTTGACCTGAATTATAAGAAAATATATCAACAGTTTTAGGATGCAGTTAAAGAAGTTGTTAGTGGGAAATTTGTAACATTAAATACTGATATTGGAAAGATAGAAAACAAGATATAGAGACATTTCAAATCAATCATCTAAGCTTCCACCTTAATAAAGTAGAAAATAGGACTAGAAACTCTACAAATATAAAAAGAAAATAAGAATAAACAACTTTTGCCAATAAGTTTGACAAACTAGATGAAATAAATTTCATGAAAGACAAAAACTACAAAAGCACATTTATGAGGAAACAGAAAACTTGAATAGTCATATTCTTATGAAATAAATTTGCAAAACCTTCCTACAAAGAATAGTCCAGGGAAAAATGCCTTTGATTATTAAGTCTATCAAACATTTATGAAGGAAATAGTATTAATTCTACAAGCACTTTAAAAAAACTGAAGCAGAGTGACTAGTTCCCCACTCATTTTATTCTAATATCAAAAGCAGACAGACAAAAAGAAGGAAAATGATACACCAACATACCCATTAACAGGAACACACAAAATATTCCTCATCAAAATAATAGTAAATTGAAATCAAAGTATTAAAAGGAAAACGCAAGACTTTTCAACATTCAAACATCAGTGTCAATCACCATATTGACAAACTAAAGAAAACACATGAACAAAAATGTGTGAAAAGTGTGACAAAATTCAACATCCATTCGCAATAATTTTTTTTTTTTTTGCAAACTTGGAAAGAAGGAACTTCCTCAATCCCCTATAAATTGCAAATCTACAGATCATATAATTTTTAGTGGCGAAAGACTGTTTTCCTCCCAAGATCAGGAAAGACAAGGCACACTCAGTTTCATGAATTCTTAACGTTTCCAAAAACCATGAAAAAACTCAGTGTTGTCTGTGGAGAGGAAAATCTTCTTTGTTTTAAAGTCCATAATCTAAGTCTTATAAACTCACTTGGATTAAATTCCATGGGAAGAAGATAGTTTTGGCAGTATGCATTTACAATTTCTGCCTAACCTCTTAGTGTATATTTCTTTGAGCCCTGTGTTTCCTACCTTTGACTATGGAAGTAAATGTATCTCTACACAGTGACGTAGCATTCATACTCTCTCATCAACTGATTTTTCAGTCCTGAGCCACGGTAGCTATTTTTACCACCACTTGCTACAGAATGGCTTAGGTGTACGAATTATACCTCTTGGGGAAAACTTTTCCCACGCATATAATTAATCGAATGCTAACTTGAGGCCATATGGCCAGGAAATAGCCCTCAGGTAAAAGCCACATGGATGCAAGTTTAGCTTCAATTTAGCAAGTGGACAGATACCCGTTTGGCTCTGAATGCAGAACAGAATTTAGTACAGTGAAACAAGTGCTACTTGTAGGCCTGATACTAATAATTTAACCAATAATCTTTCTAATATCTCCTACCAGACTCAACTCAGTTGCTTTGCTGTTAAAAAAAAAACACACACACAACACAGAAATATTTTTCAGTTCACAAATGCCTTAAAGACCTATAAAATCACTTTTTCTTTTCTTTTTTAAAATTTTTTTAATTTTTTATTTGTATTTTTTTATTATACTTTAAGTTTTAGGGTTGAACCTTTTCTTATAATTGAATCATTGCCCTGGAAAAGCTGCAGCAGTGCAGTCAAAGCAGTGCCTCCCCTGAGGTTATGTGTTGCCTGTAATTTAATCCTTGCTGTAGCTTTTTTTTTTTTTTTTAATACTATAAGTTTTAGGGTACATGTGCACAACGTGCAGGTTTGTTACATATACATACATGTGCCATATTGGTGTGCTGCTCCCATTAACTCGTCATTTAGCATTAGGTATATCTCCTAATGCTATCCCTCCTCCCTCCCCCCACCCCCCACCCCACAACAGTCCCTGGTGTGTGATGTTCCCCTTCCTGTGTCCATGTGTTCTCATTGTTCAATTCCCACCTATGAGTGAGAACATGTGGTGTTTGGTTTTTTGTCCTTGCAATAGTTTGCTGAGAATGATGGTTTCCAGCTTCATCCATGTCCCTACAAAGGACATGAACTCATCATTTTTTATGGCTGTATAGTATTCCATGGTGTATATGTGCCACATTTTCTTAATCCAGTCTACCATTATTGGACATCTGGGTTGGTTCCAAGTCTTTGCTATTGTGAATAGTGCCGCAATAAACATACGTGTGCATGTGTCTTTATAGCAGCATGATTTATAATCCTTTGGGTATATACCCAGTAATGGGATGGCTGGGTCAAATGGTATTTCTGGTTCTAGATCCCTGAGGAATCGCCACATCGACTTTCACAATGGTTGAACTAGTTTACAATCCCACCAACAGTGTAAAAGTGTTCCTATTTCTTACTAAGGCCTTGGTGTTTCCCTGAGTTACTTTCACAGCCTCCCATTTTTCTCTGATGAGGCCATTCACTCATCTTCCTCATTGCCTATATAGAATCTGCTGAACAATGTAAAATACAGACCCTCAGCCACAGATCAAGCTACTGGAAGTTGCAGTTACCCATGCAGGGCAAGCTGTCATGCAGCTAAATTAAAACTTTCGTCCAGGTCACAGCAGATGAAAGTCAATGGACAGTTTCCCTCCAAGGACCTAATAGAAAATTCTATAAACTACCGATGTCAAAATGCCTTGTCCCTAAACTAAAGCTCAAAACCTTAGATCTTAAGCCAAGAGTCTCCAAATGTATATTTTGCTGAAGAAATTCCACTTTTCATTCTCTATATGCCTGGTCCGTGCACCAACTGTTAACATTCCATGAGAAGACCTAATAAAGAGCGCCCCTCTTCCCATGTAGGTTCTGAAAAAACTGAAGAAGAAGAAGAAAAAAAAGTGCAGACTGAGGCCAAGATACCCTTTTTATTATCATCATAGGATATGAGTTTAGGTCTGTTAGCCCCATATATGGGAAGATGTGCACTTTCTCCCTCATCTGTCATGCTAACAGTGCCCATCCTTGGAAAAGAATAAAATCAGCAAGGTCAGGGACCTTGCTGGTAAAACAAAGAAGAGGGGGAGGTGGGCTATGCATGCCCAGTTTACTCTTTCTAAATTTACTGAGCAGGTAACTCACTCTCTCATCTCAGGATAGAAGAAATTAAAGGAGTAGGTGTGGAGAGGCCAGGAATGGAGTGGAGCTACCTCCATCTAGAAGAAAAAATCAGAAGTTAGTATCAGCATCGTTCTCTAATACACAAAACCTTAAGCAGGAAGAAATAAATAATATCTGCTTTGAAAAGGTGAAGAAAAGTTACTATTAGGTTACTAAATTATTGGCTGATAAAATATATCAAAACAAAAATGAATTTATTTTAAAAGTAAGTATTTGTTCAGGAAGAAAAAAGTATCTTTAAATAATAAATTACAGTATATATTTTCATAGCCAATAATTAGTCTCTATAAAATATTTGAGTTGATTAATTGCAGCGGCAAAGCAATTACTTTGTTCCTTGTGAAACAAGAGCTTAAAGTGGTAGATGTCCTTGGGTTTGTCCTTTAGAGCCACTCCTGCTAAGAATCACTCTGCAGATACTTGGCTTTTTTTTTCTTTCTTTCTTTCTTTTTTTCTTTTTTTAACATTTTCTCTTACTGCAGAATTTTACCTATAAATTGTAGTGTACTTTTCAAGCTCCAGCTAACTTTAATTTTTAGCAATCTTTAGTTTTCTTTTGATTTTCCTGCCAAATAACTCCAAACACTCATACTGTCTGCTTAAAAAGAGCCTCTTTTAAATTCTGAATACAGTTTTATTGTTATATTTTGACTAGGCATTGAAGTGATAAAAAACATCTTCCAATATAGCATTGCCATGAAGATTATCACGGATAGGTTTTGCACGCAACAAATAAGACCTACGTATACAGAATACACAGCAAATTAGTGAATATAATTCTGCTTTTGTGGAATGAAAGACAGGATTTACCAATATATTTTGTTCTCTGTGCTTGAAGGGAAACCCAGTTTTAATCTAATCCCAGGTAGATCTTAAATTTAGTGGCATGAGAAAGTGGGTAGAGAAAATCACCTTCAGAGAAAGAGACTGTTAGCTTCCGTTGTGAAGTGATATTCCCAAAGAAGACCCCACCTCCTCCTTTCTTATAATGCTCAAATTACTAAAGCCTGGTCTAAAGAGGTCTTTTTATGGAAATACTGTAAATATCATTTCTGAGCTGTGTTAATGGAACAGTCTCCCCTTTATAAAGATTATAATTCATAAACAAAAATGCATTAATGGATTTTATATAAAGAAAAACACATCTATCTAGCATATCCACATTTATGAAAACAAAAAGTTTTTTGAAATTAGTTTTTCTTCAAGCTTCATAAGTTCCCAAATTCTTAAGTATGCTTAAGATTCAATTAAGGTCAAAGTGTCTGTTCTTTCCTTTCCCATCAATAGTCCACGGCTAGCCCCTGTAAGGTAGGAAATTGGAAATAGGACACAAGATACTGATTCTCTATCCCTTCCAGAGAAAAATCCCAAGGTCACCTTTCTGATTTCTCTTCAGACTAGACAATACTTTTTAGCACTTAGCATGTTTCAGGCACTATGCTCAGACATAATCCATAAAAGTTACTGTTCCCATGCTCAAACAGGCTATTACAATCTGCACCCCAAGTTCTTCAATAAAGGTTTTCACAAGGCACTATGAACACACAGAGAAAGGGAATTGAAAATTATGCAGGATATTTTGAAAGGCATCTTAGAGGGATCACTACTTGAACTGAGATTTGACAGAAAGTAGATGTTGGTTGGGCAGAGAAGAACAAGGAATAACCCTGCATGTCTGAAGATCTTCCAGGCCTCCCTGTGGGCTGCACCCACAGGAGAAGAGACATGCTATAAGACTAGGTGTTAATCCAAAGTTTTAGTCTAATCCTGAACTCAGCATCTAGACATTCCAGATTTTGTTATTTAATGTGACAATACATTGGAGGTATTGTGAAGGATTCACAGGGGTTCAAGCTAGAGTCAGGCCTGAACATTAGAACTGCAGAGGGGACCAAAGAAATGGCTTTGGGAAAGAGCAGGCAAAATATATTTTTTAAAGAATTTAAAGCAATAAGCTGGGTGCAGTGGCTCATGCCTGTAATCCCAGCTCTTTGGGAGGCCGAGACTGGTAGATCATCTGAGGTCAGGAGTTCGAGACCAGCCTGGCCAACAGGACGAAACCCTGTCTCTACTGAAAATACAAAAATTAGCCAGGTGTGGTGGCACATGCCTGTAATCCCAGCTACTCAGGAGGCTGAGGCACGAGAATCTCTTGAACCTGGGAGGTTGAGGTTGCAGTGAGCTGAGATTGCACCACTGCACTCTAGCCTGGGCAGCAGAGAGAGACGCTGTCTCAAAAAAAAAAAAAAAAAATTAAAAAAAAAATTTAAGGCAATAGAGTCTTGTTTGACAACTGCCTGGTGATTGAAAAACAAAATATAAGATAACTTCCAGGTTTCTGGTTTGAGCAACAGTGGGAGTGGATCATTTGTGGAGATAGGGAATACATTAGAAAAAGATTAGGAGAGAAGGAAATATGTCCACTTTTAGACATAATAAATTTGAAGTACCTATGGGGCATGGAAGTTGATATATATAGGAAGCAGTTAGACACACTCATCTGAAAGAATATAGATTAGAAGAAAAACAACAGCAATAACAAATATTAATAGAGATAATCAAAGACATTTGAATGACCATATTACAGCTACTCTTTAAAGTATTTATATAGTTTATCTTATTTAAATCTTACAAAATATGATGAAGGTATTATTCTCATTTAACAAATTAGGAAATAAAGAATTAGAGAAGTTAATAATTTGCCTAATGTCACTAGTTGGCAGCCAAAAGAAACCAGGATTTGATTCCACATGATCTAATTCCCGAGCCTCCCTTTATTACTGATGCCAATATTAATATTATAATTAAAATCACAAGCACATTTATAACCTCAAAATTTATCACATTATTCAATATCATTTTTATGACAGTAATTCAGCCAAACAATTGAATTTCTCTGACTCCATCTATAGCCCCGTACTCCTTCAATATTTAGTGTGGGAAACCCAAGCTTCCTGTCATGTTAAGACTTGAATCATTTTGAGGAATGCTTTATTTTGCAGTTTGCCTTTCTGCAAGAAGAAAACTAAACCCAGTGGATTTGAATTTTTCTAATCAGCTAAATTATCTACACTATATGTGATGATGGGTTAAATCAATATAAATACAATGAGTTCATTTTACAGTATAAGTAAGCAAACTCAGTTTAATAAAATATATTTCATAACATCATAATAAATGTAGCTTACAAGATTAGCCCTTAAACTACATTTTCAAGCCCGGTTTCTTCAGCTTAAATATCAGTAAACATAGGTGAGGATCTTGTAAATAATGTAAATGATGATGATAGTAATTATAGTAATAACAACAGCCAGCATATATTATGTGCCTACAAAAAAAAACAAGCAATGTCCAAAGGACTTCAAGCAAATGATCTCTTTTAATCCTCACATTTCACAGATGAGGAAACTGAGAAATAAAGAGATCAAGTAATTTACATAAATCACACAGTAAATTGGTGGAACCCAGGTTTAAACAGAGTCTACCTAAAGTCAAAGGCCGCAGTAAGCATGGTTTAATCCTAAAAGACCTTTTGGACACCAGCTTTTTGAGTACTGAACTTCTGTGGTCACTAGCATGTAAATGCTTTTCCATTTTTCCTTTCATATTTTTATTCACAAAGGCAGTAGAAAGCCCAGAATTTTTATTTTATAAGACTTCCTAATAAATAAAATTGTCATTTATGTTTTTATGACTAATTTTAGGGAAATAATTAAAAGCCCATAATTTCTGATTTTCATAGGATCATGTAGACAAAGTTTCAATTTTTCACAAATAGTAAATACAACATCTACTTAAAATAAGCAGTTTCCTTGTAATTCTACTTTAAACTATTATTTTATTTCTCCAATGAGCATGAAACCCCCTGCAGTGTACAGATCAAATCACCATCATTGAAAAATACAGTATAAGTAGTAAAAATACAAAGTAGAATATAAAAAGCCACTTCTGACATGAGTATTTTGTGTTCACTTTCTCTGACCAATTCTATCATATTTAAGAATATGATACATATAGCTCAAAAATCCAAACAGATCTTTTCCTTTTCACATACTGAAAATAGTTTTTATATCAGTAATAATGCTCACTGAAAATGATTCAAAAGTACATACACATATAAAGAAATCAAGTCATTTGGTCTCCCACCAATCTGAGCAACACCTCATTTGCTTACATTTTGGTCATTCTGTCATGCATCTTTATATGTGTACACATGCACATGCATTTACATGACTATTAATATCCCTACTGAATATTCTTAAAGCATGTCATGCATTCAATTTTTATCATACCTACCTTCCCTATCTTCTTTACCTACCTCCACAAGAGTATCCTACCCCACGTGCTGGCTCACTTAAAGGGAACCATATTAAAAATCTAATTCCTTCTTATTTTTCTTTGTACTCTTATAATCCTATATAAACTGCCAATTATGGAATGGCTGGTATAATTCTAATTTCCTTTTTTTTTTTTGAGTGGAGTTTTGCTCTTGTTGCCCAGGCTGGAGTGCAATGGCATGATCTCGGCTCACTGCAAACTCCGCCTCCCGGGTTCAAGCGATTCTCCTGCCTCAGCCCCCCGAGTAGCTGGGATTACAAGCATGTGCCACCCCCACCCCGCCCAGCTACTTTTTTATTTTTAATAGAGACGGGGTTTCTCCATGTTGGTCAGGCTGGTCTCAAACTCCCGACCTCAGGTGATCTGCCCACCTTGGCCTCCCAAAGTACAGGGATAACAGGCGTGAGCCACTGTGGCCAGCCTAATTTACCTTTCTAAAGGTTGCATAATACTCTCTAGGATGGCTATTCACTACTCAACCATTCTCCTCTTAATGTCACGCACTTTGCTTCCAATTCTTAGTCACTGGAACAAAGCTGGAACAACATCCTTTTGCATATGTTTTTAAAATTTGGTATATTTATTTCTATGTACTAGATTTCCAGTTGTGAAATTGCTGGCTTAAATGATGTATGCATTATTAAATTTTAATATATGTTGCCAAACTGTCTTCCAAAAATGTTGAAACACTTTCTATTTTTATCAGCAATGTAAGAGGATGCCAGGTGTCTGTCCCCCAATTCCTTCCATGAGAGTTATTTGTAATTTTGGTCAGTTTGAAGGATATAATAGCTCATTGTCACTTTAACCTGTGTTTTACTGTTAGAGAGTTTGAGACTATTCATGTTTTGTTGGCCATTTGGACCTGCATTTCTTTGTACTGTTTATTCATAGACTTTGCCACTTCTTCTTTTGGTTACTTTTCTTTTCTTGTCAATTTGTTAGACCTTTCTGTAAATAAATAAAAATCCTTCATCTGTTATCAATATTACAAACAATTATTTTTAGAGCTGTCTCTTATTCCTTAACATTTCTTAGGGTATGAACTGTCAATCAAAGATTTTTACTTTTTTAGATAATCATAGCTGTCTAATTTTATTTTATAGCATCTGGATTTCTAGTCTGGATTTGGTTTTTGCCTACCTTCTTATACTTGCAGAGTTCTAGAATTATATTTTGCAAGATTCTTTTTTAAAAAAAATTCTTATCTTTCCATCTTCCATCTTTTTTTTTTTTTTTTTTTTTTTTTTAGTGTGTATTGGGAAATAGCATCCATTTTATTTTGGGGTGGTAGCCTGTTGTTTCTGGATCACTGGTTAAATACTCTTAATTTTTCTCACTGGATGTTTACTATAATTTTTGTATTAGATCTTACATATCATATGATCCTATGTTTTTTTGAGAAATTAAGACATTCACAATATTTTGCTAGGCCTTTCTTGACTTTTAAATTGATTTGTTATTGGGAGTTTTACCCAAGACCTTCCAGATTTCACTAGGCTTCAGATGTAAATGAAGTCTCACTGATAGTTATACTTACATTTTTCTACTAAAAAACTAATTTTACCATTAGAAAGATAAATTATCAGGAACCTAAATCTAATGCTCTAAGCTCCCATGCTTAAATAGCAAGTCCATTTATTTGTGGAATCTCCCTCCTCCAATTATTAGTGGATATCATGTAGGAAAGTCTAATACAATTGTCATAGTGAATACTTCCTACTTACTGCTAATGTGGGTTCTGAGCCTACAGTCCACCTCCCTTGCCACTTCAATGCTCTTTAACCCACAACTCTACTTCCAATAGCTAAGCCACCAATACTACTTTAAAACTCGACTATCTAGAAAACAGCAGGTCCTCCTTATGCCTGCAGAACTTGAAGAATCTTCTTATATCTGTGTATGCAAAATTAGAAGGGAGGCGGAGGGAGGAAAATGAGATAATCCACAAGGTAACTTTGGACCTAAAGTGAAGCAGAAGCTACAGAAATAGCTGTTTAATTTCACGCATGCTATTATTTTCCTTCCAAAAGCACATACTTGTCAGCAGGATGTCTAGGTAAGTAGTGATTTCAATATCAGCTGCCATGTTATCTACCAAACAGCTATGTACTTGAGCCATGCAGCTGAGCCCAGCAGCCTAGGTCAGATTCTCTCCTCTTCCTAAGGAAAACTTTTTCTCACTAGTGTCTCAGTAATTTTGCTTCTATCAACTCTATAACCAACCCCACAAATACATTTCATACATCTGAATTCCAATGTTAAAATAAATTTTTTTCCTTCTCAGTGGTCTCATAAGGCCAATTTAAAACAATAGATGGACAAGAGATACATGAGGGATAGAGAAGCCCAGCCTGAGAAATGAACCTTAATACTGGCCTACCTGCCACATCCTATAATACATGTAGCAAAGGACCTAGGTTTAAAATGTTCACCTTGAGCTAATTTGCCAGCACTAGAAATTCCTATTTAAATTACCAGCAGGTTTATCAGTATTATGCTCCATAAATGGTCCTGGACAAAAGGCTGATTTTTTTTTTTAAGTCAATAGATTTCCTCTCTGGATGGGAAGTCCAGACTATGGAAGAAGTCTCACTGTCCCAAAGAACTTGTATGCATCTTTTTTGATTGGATCAAATAGTGCCATGTGGATTCTGCTCAGTCATATTTCCTTTAAATAGAAGTTTTTAATAGTTGATTCACCATTTATTTGCAATTTATAAATAATCGTAAGTGGAAAACAAATCAGAGGAACAATCATATACATAAGTTATACTGATATAAGATGTTCCCTTGAACTCACTGGTGCTTTGGAATATTTTCAATAGAAAAGAATCTCCAATATGAAGTGAAAAGTCAGTTACTTGTTTATCCATGATTTAAAGTTCATAATTCAAGATCAGGCCCTTATACTAGCACCTTATTGTTTTGCCCGTGGCCCAAGATAATTAAACAATTTCTCTAAAAAGTTAATATGGCTCTGTTGTTGAATATGGCTTATAATCATTTTACCATCTTAAGCGCATAGATATTCTTCAAAAAGGAAGTACATCTGAATAGTGTTTCAGGCCTGTTTTGATGCATTTTGACTGATTTATTCTTTAATTAACCTCATAAGACTTTGCTTTTGAAAGTCTGTATAATAGGCATAAAGGAAAAATGAAAAGCAGGATTGATGTACACCACTTTGGTAAAACCAAAGCAAGTTTAAAAAGAAAAGAAATGATGATATCAGCTCCTAGTATCTGAAATAGCCTAGTTATTTCCCTTTCCCTCATCTTTGTTTTATTTTCATCAGCATCTACAAGCTGTTTGCAACTGCTGCAAAAAACATCCTGAAATAGTGTCAAAAGGAATCTTTTCAATAGAAGGAAAACTTGCTTAAACTAAGTGTCAGGTTGTTTCACTTTTTGGAATGCTTCATTCCCTCTTGGCTTTTAAGAAATTCTTTTCCACCGTTCAGAAAATTTAATAGGCATTTAATTTAATGGATGTCATGTTGTCCTCCAATAACCTCACGCCTTCATTTTTGTAGCTAACCTTACCAATAAAACCATCTGAGCACCTCAGCTAAACATTCATTTAGCACATCACAAATCCAGCAGACCTTGACTACCTTCCCAGCAAGGCAAATAAATATGTTAAAGGACCATCTTAATGTTCTCATTTTGAAAGTCAAGAAACATTTAGTTTAATGGCCAACTAATTTTTCACACTGAAAGGGCATATGACCTCTGGAACCCCAAACTAACTTGGTCCTGCTTGCCCTCCAGGGAAAAGAGGAGAATGGAAGCTGGCACAAGGGTGTCTCAGTTGTCAGAAATTAGCTCAATATTATATCACACCAGATAAATGTCAAGAATTCATGTAATTCCAGCCGGATTGTTTTCTGCAGTTCTGATCCATCAGTATTGTATTCGGCTCTTCTCCTGAGGGCAAGCCAGGGTTCTGGGACTTCATTAATAGAAATATCTTAGTTCTATGAGTGAGACTACTGACATAGTAGGTGGTACTAGGGACATGCCAAGTATAGAGCTTATATCATTCAGGATCTCATCATGAGACAGAAATCATGCCAGTTATTTCAACAAGTAAAACTTAATATAAAGAACTTGATAAAAGTTGGCCAACTGCTAAAAGGGGTAAACAAAAACACTACAGTGTTTTAGAGGCAGAATCTTCAGGAAGCAGCTACCACCCTGTGGCAGACACACTCTAAGTTGACCCCTAATGAGTCATACCCTTGTTATCATCCCCTATTCTTGAGTGTGGGCAAAATCAATGACTTGCCTCTAACCAATATTACATGGAAAACATGATGGGATGTAACACATTTGATCAGGTTGTGCTATATAAAAGTTCATCTTAACAGACTATAGCAAGAGATTTCTCTTCTGGCCTTGAAGCAGCAAATAGCCATTTATGAACTGCCTATTGGAAGGGCCACATGTCAGAGGACTGCTAGTGGCCTCTAGGAGCTGAGGGTGGCCTCCAACCAGCTTTAAGTAGGATACTGGGGCCCCGAGTCATGCAGCCGTAAGGAAACAAATTCTAACAAAAACTTGAATGAGCTTGGAAAACAATTCTTCCTTAGTGAAATCTCCAGATGAGAACACATCCCAGCTTATACCTGGTTGGGGCCTACTGAGACCCACAGCAGAAAATCCAACTAAACCATACCCAGGCTCCTACCCCTTGGACACTGTGAGATGATAAATATATGTTAAGATGCTACATTTTCAGTAATTTGTTATGCGACAGTAGAAAATTAATAATATTCCTAGGGCTGATGAAAATGTAAACCAAGAAAATCTTAGAAACTTAGAAGAGAATGTCCCCATTTAATGTTAAGACAGAATTCTATGGAAATAATGAGCTACTGAAGAAATGATACCCATACCCACTGCTCTGATCAAGAAGAGACTTGCTGAAGACCACTCACCACCACAGAATCATGCAAACCACTGCCACCTCCAGAATCCATAGCATGCTGACGCTTGCTACCACTCAGTAGAAACAAAAACCAGAGAAGTCTCTCCACCCTCTTGTAGTCTTGCTATCTCCTTCTGGTGTCTTCTTTCAGCAGAGCCTAACTCATACTGGCTAAACAAGAATTAAAAACTGAAGGTCCAACTTTATTATCACAAAATAGGCAAGAAAGTATGTGTTTCAGCTGAGAGGCAATAAATTAGCTACTTACATAAAGTCTACAGTTACAGCTTCTAAGATCACCTTCAAGGAAGCCCATATATCCTGGCAGAGGAAGAAGACAACAGTAGAAGGGAAAGGGAAATTTTTCACATTTTAGGTCAGAGTTGAAAGTCAGTGGATAAAGAGTAGAACCCTCTTCATTTCCTAAAATGTTACTGAATAAAAAGCAAAAGAGGGAAGATAGGGCTCTAAGTGCTTTTGTTTTCTAACTCATGTGCTTCACTCAAAGATTCAGCATTTCAAAGTTGCAAGGTAATTAATCATGTGATGTCCAGAGTGTCTGTAAATTCCAACAACATTTTATGATAGAATTCTACAAGTTTTCTTTGTCTTATGATTTGGTTAATCACTTGACTTTTTAAAACTGCATCCAGGTTTTTTAAACATGCAAATTCTACTATAAGCCATTTTAAAAATGGTATCAGCATTATTAGCATTTTATTTTCCTCACGAACCATTTTCATTGCTATTCCAAAATCATTTAGACTGTTCATTAAAATATACTGAGGCCTTTGACCTTAAAATTAACCATCAAAAGAAACATTGGCAAATTTATAGCACTTTGCAAATGTTCTAGCTTGTTTAGCTCATATTATCATGTCAAGAAACCTACAGCATATTCAAACTTTTCCCCAAGGGGTTCACGTCAGTAACAACTTACAGAAACTGTAATATTTTTAGGCAATTAAGATGAAAGAGCTCCCATAACTCAGTTTAGAATATAGAGTTTAGAAATATTAGTCTCCCCTTTCTATCCTACTTGTCACAGATACACAGCTTTCACTAAACTCACAAGTATAAAGTACGTGTATATATATGTGTATGTGTGTATATATATATATATATATATATATATATATATATATATATATACACATACATACCCACAGTCACTCCCCTTCTGATGCTATGACATTTGTTATGGTCTAGTATTCTAGAAAATATATACACATTAGCTCTCATAATTATGAAGCACACATGTATACTGACCTGGTTGACTCAGATGACACAGTCAGCATTTCCCCCCATCTCTCAGCTCTTTCGTTTTATGTCTGTTGACCTCATTCTCTTGTAGATGGGCTTTCTCTATTTGGTGGTAGTAAGTTAGAAGGAGAGGGTCAGGAAATGTGAGATGTGGAAGTGTGGCTACAAAGAACTTCAAAATTATACTGGTCTCATCTAGTAACTGGTGTCATATAGTAACTCCAAAATAGAGTCTCTCATCCTGCATCTATATAGAAAACACCAAGAAAAGATTCTGATTGGCCCAGTTTAGGTTAAATACATCCAACCTTGAGTCAATTGCTGTGGCCAGGGCAATGAGATACCAGGATGGGCCAAGTCTAAAAAATATTTTCATTCCTGGCCAGGGAAATAGAATACTGAATTGGCACCCTTGCCTAAGCCAGTGGGGGAGAGAAAGAAATAATATGTATTACCAAAAAAGAGTGAGGAGATTCTAGTCCAATAAAAACTAATATTCACCAAGGGTGCCCTCACCATCTATTGGCAGTGGTGAAAACCAGCTAATCCATTCAACTATCATGGGATAAGCTTCAAATTGCTTGGTGGGATAGAATCATAACCTTTTATAAAATTCTCAGTCTCACGACATTCTTGTCCATCTGTTTATTTGCACAGTGCCTAATAAAGAGCCAACTAATTTGACAGTTGAATGGATTCCAAGAGACAAAGAGACCTGGGTCTTGGAAGATTCAACTATAATGTGTCTAAGAGATTTACCAACCAAGAAAAGAGCACCCACATTCTTTCACTTCACTTCTTGTGTTCTTTAATAATTTCTCTATGACAAAAAGCAGCTTTATTAATCAGGTCTCTTAGTTGCAGACAGTCAACTCAAACCAGCCTGCATAAGAGAGAAATATCTTTTTTCATATTATTAAAACTTCGAGGAATATATAGATCCCGGCACTAAAATGTTGTAACTTCTTGTTCTCTCTTAATGTTTTGGCCGCTGCTGTGGCTTTACGTTCAGGCTTGCTCTTTTCTATGGTGGGCAAAATTGGATGCTCCAAGTTTATGTAGCCTTAGTCCTTGCCATCCCTAAGGAAAATAGCATATCTCTGAAGAGCAGAAAAGTCCTGGTGAGACTTCTTATTTTTCCAGCTTGAGTCACATATTCTATCCCGGACCAATCACATAGGCCATGCACAAGTTTAGATATTTTCAGGTTGGGCTCACTTTATTCCACATGGAATGCGTTCCTCACAGAAAAAAGGTGTTCTGTTTCTAGGAAGTATGTAATAGGCTACCACAATCCAGGACAGAGGCAGGGCAGGTTGCACTGTATTTATAAGCTCACAACCATAGGAACACTATCTATGTGGTTCCAAAGAAGTATATTTTCTCAAGACCAATTTAAAGTAGATATTTTGATACAGTTATTTCCAATATATAGCTTCTATTTTGGAATGAGTGAACCTCAGAATAAAGGAGGTATTCTGTTTTGTGCATAATTTGTTAATAATATAAAAACTGAAATTGTAATATTTTAGGTCATGTTTAGATGTCTGTTACATAAATGGGTAGGTCAGAGAAGCTACATGGAAACATAATGTAAAGCCTACATATGAGAGCAGAGACATACCTTTATGGGCACCTGCTCCTACTTTTTAGCACCCATCTGACTAGCAAGGGCCAGAAGAGAAATCAAGTCTTTAATAAACAGGAACAACCTAATGGCTATTAAATAAATTAAGTATGTTTATCATGGCACTATATCTGAGTGCTACTGACAAGAGTACAGACTCAGTGCTTCTCCCAGCACATATTGTCTAAGAATATATCATCAGACACAAAGCGATATTTTTAACATCTCAAGATCTCTGGCTTATGTTGGAGCATAACATTTTTACTCCTCTGCTTATAATATATAATGGAATACAGTATAATATTCTACAGATAAAGATATTTTATAGACACCTAGTGATACAAGTATATCTCTGAAAACATGTTCATAATATGAGTACTTATCTTAGTACTGGTAACAAATACCTGGAAAATTAGAAGCTTAAACACAACTAAGTTTATTTTTGTGTCTAGTAAAAATCCTGTAGGTAAACAGAATAAGACTTGTGTGGCAGTGATGCAATGGCCTGGATCTAGGCTCATATTTAATTGCTCTACTGCACACAGTTTTATTCTCAAGTTCAAGTTATTCTCAAGCTAGAGCTGTAGCCACCTAATTCATGTTCACCAGGTGGATAGTGAAAAAGACTCAAGAAGGTAGTCTCCTGCCTTTTAAAGGAATTTCTTTGAATACACACACGTTTCTACTTAACATCTTATTTGCCAACTCTAAGCCCCATGGCTACACGTAGTTACGAAGGAAAATAGTTAACATTACCTTTTAGGCAGGTGGCAAAGTGACCAGTCGAAGCTGAGGTTTTTAGTAAGGAGAATGAATGTTGAAAAGCAACTACAACCCCTACCACAATCTACTTACCATTAATTCCAGGGAGATAGGAATCAAGCATTAAGCACATTTCTAAATATGTGTGCTACAATTATGAAAATGAGAGCCCATAAAAGAAGAAATTATTGCATATTTTTTCTATAATTGAAATCTGTTAATTCACATTTTTTCATTATATTCTAAATATGGGCACTGGGGTCAACAAACTCATTAGAAATTATTAAACACCAAAGTATCCTATGAATAAATTAAGGTACATTTTCAAGGACAATTTGCTCTTTATTTTGATGAATGGTAATCTAGTGGTAACCTTTCTTTTATAACTTTATCATATAGTTGTGAAACATTTGAGAGTACCACAATAGAATGGCACTAACTTCTTCAAATCTGTAAGAACAAAAATCATTTAGCTATTTGAAATAACGGTAAGGTTTGTTCATTTGTGTGACCTTTACAAATGTAAATTTCCTTGCTAGCAATTCTGTTAGCTGTAGGCTTCCAAAAAAACAGAAATTGTACCGCATATTTTCTTCCCCAAAGGCTTAACTAGTTTCTAAGCCAATGAAGAATGGGATCATACAGCTATGGTAGAGTTGACCCTTCGTCAGTGGGGTGCACAGATTTGCACTTTCTTCAACAACCTCTCATCCAAATAACCAATAATCTACATTTTTAGCATAGCTAACTTGAGTTGTGGTCTAGGCCTTAAATAGAGCTTAATATTTTTACAATTTTCTTCATTAAAACTATGTTATAGCAACAAACATTTCCCAGCTGGTGGGTTAGGAGTCAGAGTGCCATAAGAAAAAAGTTTTAGGAGTAATGAAATGATCAAAGACAGTATTTTACCCATATTAATGATCTTGATCTCATTATTTGAAATATGGCAACAACAACAAAATAAACGATTTAAATGGCAATGCTAGAGAATCCCTATAATAAAATATAGCAATATTGTTAGGATGTAATATAACTACAAAAAGTCATGTTTTCAATGACTTGCATGACACAAGGAAATGCTTACAATGTATTTCATAATTATAATAATTATGAAAATTAAATTTGGAACATTTAGAAAATACAAAAAAAGACAGGAAAAATGAATATCACCTGCAATTCCAACCATCAGGAATTGCTATGACAGAGAGAGATAAATAACCAGATAGAACTTTCTCTCTCTCTCATATACTGTTTCTGAGGGTATGCAGAGCAGGTTTTATATGATAGTCACATGATTTCAGGAAACCACATTTTTTTACGTTTCTCCACTGTATGCAACTTTCATTCTGAAAGTCAGACAAGATTATGCATAAACACACATATACACACACAGAGGTAGTGTATATATTTGTTTCAATGTTATAACATTTATATTAATAAATTATATTAATATTTAATACTAATGTTTCTCAGAATACTATTGTTTGAAAACGTTTCAACTTCATCGTAATATCTTAGATGAATAAAATAATTGATTTGCTAATGACTTATTAGTGTTATTTGTTTTGTTTTTCATGTATTTGTTTTTATATAATGCTATGATCAACTCCTCAAACATAAATAGTTATATCATTATTTTAAAGGAGTAAATTCCTCTAAATGGGTAAACAAATATGAATATATTGTAGCGGTTGACAAAACTGCCTCCCAAGTAAGTTATTACTTGACATAACATTAAAACTACAAAACTGTATACATAGAATTTAACAAATATAAGTACATGTTTGTAATTTACATATAAGTATCCATATACACCATGAGTTAAAAAAAAACAGAAGGAAATTAATGAACACATTAACAGTGGTTATCTCTAAATGGTGGGAGTGCAGGTAAAAAATTTTATTTATGTGTTTTTGTATTTTTTTAAATTTCTAAATTGTTTATACTTTTGTAATAAGATAAAAATGTTAATCTAAAAATCCACTGCAATTTAACATTTGTTATATTTCACTTTTTATCAATTCTATTGTATTTTGTCAATTTATATTTAGTCAAGAATAATGCTGTAATTTATATTAATCAGTACAGGGAAATTCAGAAAACTTTATAATTCATAATATATCTACAGTGCTGAGATGGCTAAATCAATACCTTGAAAGTGAGTCATTTCATGAGTACATGTTATTAACCCAATATGTAGTAAATAATAAATGTTTGAAAACTTTTACAAATAAATACTGAAAAATTGTTTTTTCTATATTCTTTCTAGCTTTTAATGATCCTTTTGTAAGTATTATTATTATTGCAGTATGTGGTTCTGGACATGCACAAGAAAATTTTTAAAAGATAGACAATCCTGTGAGTTTAGACTAGAGAAAAGCAGTTAGAATTAATTTGGAAAAAAATGAATATATAAAAAGTATAATTGCTTTTGCACTTATCACCAGTGACATTGCCATTGTCATCATTAATCTGTCTCTGTACATTACAAGCACTTTATTATAGTTAATGGTCCATTTCTCATTTAACTTCACTCTGCCTCTATATCTTCCTTTATTAAGTGAGTACTAAGTGAACTCTTTACAAAACTTAATTCTATACAGTAAATATCTGCATTTTCTCTTGTATTTTCTAATCATCTGTACCTATGCCCCTAATTTCTATTTAATATTAAATTAGCTACAAAGCATTCATATATACTACCTTTTTGATTAACCATGTAGTTGTTTCTTTTTATTTTAAGTCATAACTTACAATTCATCTTTCTTTACTCTCTTATTCATGGTTGCACCCTTTCTCTGTTTGTTACTAGGAACACAGATATTTTTTCACTATGGGTGATTATTTATTCCTTTACCATCAATGATGAATCACTCTGATTAATAGGAAGAGCTTAAATAAATAGCTTGTAAGTTTATTACTTTTATAAAGTGCTGCATTCTACTAAATTATTCTAAGGGATAATTGAACTATTTATTTGCAAGCTATTTATTTATAGTTCTAACAAGGTAAACAATGACCTACAATAAAATGCACATATTTAAAATGTACTATTTGATAAACTATGACATAAAAAATATAGCTGTGAAGCTATCACCACAATCGAAATACATATTCAGCACCTCCCAAAGTTCCTCATGCCCCTTCTTACTCACCTCCTTGTCCCCAAGCAGCCACTGATCTACCTTCTTCCATTATAGATTAATTTGCATTTTCTATCATTTTATATAAATAGAAACATATGGTATGTAACTTTTTGGAGGGTCTGGCTTCTTTCACTCAGCATATTTTGGGTTCATACATATTGTAGCATTTATCAATAGTTACTTTGCTTTTTTATAACTAAGTAGTATTCTATTGTATGGCTATATCATGGTTTATCCATTCACTGATTGATGGATATATGAGTTATGTACTGTTTGAGGTTATTACAAATAAAATGCTATTAACATTCATTAACATTCATGTATAAGTCCCTCAAAGGACAAACTTTCATTTATTTTGAATAAATACCTAGTACTGGGATGGCTGGATCGTATAGTATGTGTACATGTAACTTAGACATGACACTAAAAACATAATCCATACAATAAAAATTACAAATTCATAAATATAACTTCATCAAAATTTAAAAGTCTACTCTTCAAAAGGGAATGAAAAGAGAAACCACAGACTGGAGAAAATATTTTCAAATCCTATATATCTGATAAACAGATGTATATTGGAACTATATGAAGAACTCGAAATGGAATTTTTAAAAACCTCCATTTTGTTTTTTCTTTTTTTTTTTTTGAGGCACAGTTTTACTGTCATCCAGGCTGGAGTACACTGGTGTGATCTTGACTCACTGCAGCCCTGAGCTCCTGAGCTCAAGTGTTCCCCCCACCTCAGCCTCCCGAGTAGCTGGGACTACAGGCGCACACCACCATGCCTGGCTAAGTTTTGCATTTTTTTGTAGAGACAGGGTTTTGCCATGTTGCCCAGGCTGGTCTCAAACTCCTGAGCTCTAGCAATCTGCCCATTCCACCTCCTAAAGTGCTGGGATTACAGGTATGCACCACCATGCCTGGCCAACCTCCAATTTTTAAAAAAATACACAAGAGTTGTGAGCAGACAACTCACCAAAGAAGAGATATGGTTGGAAAATAAGTACATGAAAAGATACTCAATATTATTCATCATTAGAGAAATGCAAATGAAAACACCAATGAGAGATACCACTAGACCCTATTAGGATGACTAAAAGCTACTAAACCCTATTAGGATGACTAAAATTAAAAAAAAAAAAACTAACAATATCAAATGTTGGCAAGAATGTGGAGCAACTAGAACTCATGCACTGCTGGTAGGAATATAAATTCACCAATCATTTTGGAAAATAGTATGGCAGTTTCTTAAAATTATTTTCTAACATATATTTAGCTGTAAATATTTTTAAATTTAAAATACATTTGAACTAATCTGGCATTAAATCTTTTCTTGAGGAGGATACCTACATTTCTGTAAACGAAAATGTTAAACAAAATCATATTATTATGAGTTAAGGGTATCCTAAAGATCTGATCTTGATTGTTAAACTTTGAGTTAGACAAGGCACAGATATTTTAAAAATTTAATTTTTATTTATGTCTGGTACTGTGCTTTAGCTCATATGACTACTTCATTGCCTCTACTCATAAAATGTACTAACACCTGAGGCTTATAATAAAGAAGTTCAAACCTACATAAGCACAGCAAAAGTTTACAATGACCTTGATCAAGAAAGACCTACCATTTTGTATCTAATTCTAAGAATTAAGATATCTATTTCTAATTAAAACTGTTCCCCTTTAATTCTGACACCTTATTTTAAATAAGCCACAAAATTACAATTCTGGTTCTAATGTTAAACCAGGCCAAATCACTTTTTTCTTTTTAAATCTTAACATTATCACCTAAGAGACAGGTCTTATGCTAGTGTCTCGATACATGGAAGATTAAGATTGTGCTTCTGTCTTTGAGCAGCTCATAATCAGCAGGTTTATGCTGTTGTTTTAGCTTGCAATGATTTGCCTAAGGAGATCCTTTTATTAAGAAGTCTTAGGTCTCCTAAAGCTTGATTGTGGCAACTGAGCTGTTAAATGCCTGTTGCCAATTATCTATTACCTATTACCAGAGAGTTTTGAGGAGTATACAAGAATTCTTTCTCTCAGATATCACATAGCCTTACAAACGAACTTTTAGTCCCTCCTACTCATAGTCCTTTCATGTGATTTCTCTGAAAGAACAATTCCATGAAAACCCAACTCTAATATTCCAAGTTTTTCTTCCATTATTTCCACCAATACAAGATGGGTCTTGTCTTGCTATGCTCATCAGTAACCTTCGAGCTCACGAGTCAATCAGTCTTGGCACTTTTTGAGGTCTCTGAGGCATTTCCCAACCTGACCATTCCTTCCCTCTTTCCTTCTTAAAATTTTCCAGGATGTAGTCCTATTCTTGCTCTCCTTCTAACTCTCTGACCGTCACTTTCTATTTGTCATCAGATCCTAACTTCCTGTCCTCTCTAGCATGCCAGATTTTCCCAGATTTACATCCTTGCCTTTTTCTTTTTCACATGCACTCTCCCTGAACAATTTCATCCATATTCATATTTGTAACTAAAGCCTTTAAGTTAATGATTTCAGAATCTAAATTCTATAGCTACTATTTATGGAATGCCTACTATGTGCCCATAATGCTAGGGACTTTGCATAAATTATCTCATTTAATTCTCAACACCCCAGCTTATTTTACAATCCATATGTCCAGGAAATAAGTTCATGCCAAACCATTTTAGCACCCAGCAAAACCTTTTTCACTTAAACTAAGATTTTAAGAAAATCTTAAACTTCACACTTCAAAAGCCATTTTGACAATTATTATTTTTTAAAAAAGAATTCAGGCAAACTGAAATCACAAAGGGGACTCAAGTAATTTACCCCTAACATAAATGCATGTAAACTCCTTTTCCTTAAAGAGAATCTAAATACCCAAATCCCTCTTTAATTATACTTTTACTTGACGGAAGGGATAAAAAACTATAATAGGAAGAGCTAATGGACCCAAAGGACTACTATAATTTCCAAAAGAGGTATAAAGTATCCAACATTTTCAAATTTATTTTCTCTAGAAAATTATATTTTTATGGAACATTTTGTAAGAACACTGTTGCTCAGACTAGATTCTGGGAGACAGTGATACCAACAGTTTGAAAACTTGTCAGCTTACTTCTGTTTCATTGCACAGTGCCATTTCTCCTGAAATCACTTGACCACATACATCCAACACTATTTTTCTCTCCGTTCCCATTGCCACAAGAGTTCAGTTTCTCATCATCTCTCACCTAGCAATTGCTATGATCTCTCTTAACTGCTTCCAGTCTCACCCTGCTGCAATCTTTTCTCCATGTTTTGCGAATGAGATCTTCCTAGAATGCACATTTGACAACTTGGAACCAAATTTACTTAGCTCCTCATGCGAAATTCCTCTGCCACTGGTCACTCTTTGAATCAATAGCATTTTTCTCTTTAATAGATATTTTTAAATTTTGTATACAGTGGTGTCTGGAACCTTAATTTTTTTTCATTGTATTTATCTGTGCATTTGAAAAACTACTATTAAGAAAGATATAAAGAAACTAAATTAAAATGAACGCATCTGCAAATAGATGATTCATCACCCAGAGTTGATCACCAGTGGGGAATATGAGGAGCATCACATTCCAGTCTTGGATCTCCAAAACTCAACAGGTCTGCTATTTGAAAGATCTCTCATGAATAGATTCATAATCAGCTCATAGAGACCTACAACAGAAACTTATATGCTAATTTCTCAAACTATAAGAAGTTGAATTATCAAGATTCCCAAAAACATTACTGGTTAAGTCACTTTATCTTCATAATATGTAAAAAAATAAAAACTTTATTCAGAAAATTACTTGCCAAGGACGTTAGAAGACAATTCACCATAGAAAAATGCATATTCCAATAAATATTTTCAACATTATTCATAAAAATGAATGCATATTGAGACAATTCCTAAGTCACTAAATACACCTATAAGAACTCTAATACCAATCCTTGAAAAGGATACTTTAACAAAAGACAGTCCTTAACAGAATATTACCAAAATAAATCAAT
This sequence comes from Homo sapiens, assembly GCF_000001405.40. Taxonomy (NCBI): domain Eukaryota; kingdom Metazoa; phylum Chordata; class Mammalia; order Primates; family Hominidae; genus Homo; species Homo sapiens. The sequence goes on from NC_000002.12 coordinate 183,657,781, forward strand.
GTACAGAAAGGGTAATACATCATGGTCATGTGGGATTTATCCCAGGAATTTAACTTTGCTAATATTTGGAAATTAATTAAGGTAGTTCAACATGATAACAGCAGGAAAAAAATCATATTATCTCAATAAATGCAGAAAAAGCATTTTAAAAATTTAATATCTTTCCTTTTATAATTAAAAAATCTTAGGGAAACTATAAAGTAATTGCCTCAAACTTATAAAGAGCAACTACAAAATATCCTGTTGCTGACATTATAATTAAGATGATATATTGAGCTGAAGCACTTTCCCCTAAAAACAAAAATAAAGCAAAGATGTTTGCTATTACTACTTCTGTTCAACATTTTAACAGAGGTCTTAGCAAGTGCACCAAGTGAAGGAAAATAAATAACATGTATACAGGTGATATGGTGTGTCTGTGTCCCCACCCAAATCTCAACTTTAATTTTATCTCCCAGAATTCCCCCATGTTGTGGGAAGGACCCAGGGGGAAGGTAATTGAATCATGGGGGCTGGTCTTTCCTATGCTATTTTCATGATAGTGAATAAGTCTCATGAGATCTGATGGGTTTATCAGGGGTTTCCACTTTTGCTTCTTCCTCATTTTCTCTTGCTGCCACCATGTAAGAAGTACCTTTCATCTCCTGCCATGATTTTGAGGCCTCCCCAGCCATGTGGAACTGTAAGTCCAATTAAACCTCTTTTTCTTTCCAGTCTCAGCTATGTCTTTATCAGCAGTGTGAAAATGGACTAACACAACAGGTTTGAAAGTAATAAAAATATCTTTATTTGCAGACATTATGATTGTGTTTAACAAAGTTCTTATTAATCTATAAAAAGTCTACTAAATCTAGTAAGTAACTATACCAGGAACTAAGAATATTTTACCAATACAAAAAAATCAACTGTATTTCCATATATAATTGAAAAATAAATTTCTAAGAAATGATATAACTTCAGTAGCATAAAATATCAAGAAATAAACTTAACAAAACCCATAAAATACCTACAATAAAAACTATAAAACATTGCTGAGAAGAACTAAACTAGACCCAAAAGATGGATTTATCATGCCAATGATAGGAAGATACAATATGGTTAAAAAATTCTTCCAATTTTACCTATAGATTCAATGTTATATGTATCAAAACCCCAGAAACTTTTCTGGTATAAAGTGAAAGCTAATGCCAAAACATATTTGGAAAATGTAAAAGAACTAAAATAGCCAAAATAAACTTGTGAAAACAAAAGGAATAAAATTGGATGACTTACACTATCTGATTGTAAGACTAATTACAAATCCATAGTAATGAAGACAGGGTGCTAATAGAATAAAGGCAGACAAATTAATCAGTTGAACAGAGTAGTCTGGTAATAAGCCCACATGATTTTCCACAAACTGGCAGTGAAATCCAATGGATATTGGAGAATATTTTCATCAAATGGTTCATTACTGAGTACACACATGAGGGGGAGAAAAAAAGCTTGACCAATACCTCAACCCATATACAAAAATTAAGTCAAGTGGATCTCCAATAAACATAAAAACTATAATTATAAAAATCCTAAAATAAAACAAAGAATATAGAAAACTAATAGCAATTTAGAGTTAAGCAAAGTTTTTAGTTTTTTTTAAGATGGAGTTTCGCTCTTGTTGCCCAGGCTGGAGTGCAATGGTGCAATCTCAGTTTACTGCAACCTCTACCTCTCAGTTTCAAGCAATTCTCCTGCCTAAGCCTGCCAGGTAGCTGAGATTACAAGGCATGCACCACCATGCCCCGTTAATTTTGTATTTTTAGTAGAGGTGGGGTTTCATCATGTTGGTCAGGCAAAGTTTTTTAGAAGGCAAAAATCATTAACCATTAAACAGATTTTCATCAAAGACAAAAACGTTTACTTGTGAAAGTCAAAACACACTAGTGAGAAAATGCGTGTGACAAAGGATTGATATTTACTATAAAAAAGGACATCCACAAGCAACATTTTCCTCCAAGATATTTCAACCAACACTTTACAAAAGAGGATATATAAATAGCCAATGATTCTCAAAATTTATTCAGCAGGGAAAGGCAAACTCAAGTCACTGTAAAATGTCAGTATATACCCACTAGAATGGCTACAATTAAAAATATTAAAACCAGATATTAAAGAGGATGTGGATCAACCAGTCCTCTCTTATACTGCTGCTAGAAATGCAAACTGATACAAGTACTTTGAAAAGCGGTTTGATATTCTCTTGTGAATTTAAACATTTAATATACCTTATCCATCAACTCCAGTCCTGCGTATCTACCCAAAAGAAATATACCTCTAAGAAGACTTCGACCAGTATGTCAACAGCTACTTTCTTAATAAGTGCAAAACTTTTGAGACAGCCCAAATCCTTATCAACAGGATAATAAATAACTGTGATATATTTACACAGTGGAGTATTACTTAGCAACAAAAAACTGACACAAGCACATGCAACAACATGGAAAAAATCTCAAAAATATGGTTCTTATCAAAAGAAGACATAAAAGACTATATATGATAATTCAATTTATATGAAGGTTATGAACTTGCAAAATTAATATGTGGTGATAGAAATCAGAATATTGGTTGTCTCCAGGGAGCAGGACATTGACTGGGAAAGAGCACAAGAGAACTTTGTAGGGTGAGGCCAACATTCTATACGCTGCTAGGTGTGTGATTGCATACGTGTAGACATTTGGCAAAACTCATTTAAGAAGATACTGAAAATTTGTACAATTTACTGAAGATAATTATACCTCAATTTATTAAGACTACATGGAAATACAGTTTTTTACCTGTATTTTTCATACAGTTTTTCATGAGTTTTACAAAAATCCACATTTGACAACACATTCTGCTTATATGGCTGTAGAAAAACACGCACATTCACATGTTTTAATGAGAAGGTAAAATCATACAACTCCTGGAGATCTGGTAAATTTGGAACTATCTGGAAGAATTACAATGTATTTGCTCTTTGACCAAATAATTTCTCTTCTGGAACTTTATACCAAAGATGCACAGGCAAAGATATGAAAATATTTGTATTCAACACTACTTATTGCAGCATATTTGTAATAGGAAAGGAATAAAAATACTAAAATATCTATCAAGAAGGGACTTGTTGAATAGATCAAGGTACACTTAAGCAATGGAGCTCTCTGAAGTTGTACAAAGCGAAAGACAGAAAACTGTATACACTGTTATGGGGATATGTTAGTCTATTCTCACAATGCTAGAAGGACATACCTGAGACTGGGTAATTTATAAAGGAAAGAAGTTTAATTGACTCACACTTCCGCATGTCTGGGGAGGCCTCAGGAATCTTACAATCATGGTAGAAGGAGAAGCAAACACAACCTTCTTCACATGGTGGCAGGAGAGAGAAGTGCAGAGCAAAGGAGGGAAAAGCACCTTATAAAACCATTAGATCTCATGAGAACTCACTCACTATCATGAAAACAACATGGGGGAACTGCCCCCAGGATCTAATCACCTCCCATGAGGTCCCTCCCCCAACATTTGGGGATTACAATTCGGATTACAATTCAAGATGAGATTTGGGCGGGAACACAGAGCCAGACCATATCAGGGGATATATTATTCAGTTCAAAAATGTGAGTTAGAAAAAAGTGCATTTAGGGTGTTACCATTTATCTAAGAGGAAATGATGGATGGATGGATGGATGGATGGATGGATGGATGTAAGAGGAAGAAATGGGTAGATGGATGAATGGGTATAGGTCGATGATTGGTAAATATAAATAGATAGAATAGGTAATTTATATAAAACAGCAACGGAAATATAGGGCAATTTTTTTAGTGATGACTTTTAGAGGAAGAGAGTAGAAGGGATGGGCATAGAGTAATATTTCTCTGAATTTATCTTGCTTTGTAGAATTTTATTTTGGAACACTATAAAGAATCCTTGTGATCATAAAAGAAAATTAAACAAAATTTGCTTTTTAAAATAATTACTAAAAAGCAGTGGTAAAATAAAGCAAATGAGTCTAACTGTAAGCAGTTGGTGATGTAATCACACTGAGATAATATTAAGTGATATTACAACACAGTAATTTCACTAAACACCCCTAGTGATATAACCTTAGGAAAAATAACAGCAAACATATATAAATAGCAGCTAATAAATAATATTATCATTGGTAGTATTAGTATTGATATTATAAAACTATTATTTAAGGTATTGAAGAATAAATTAAATGAGTAATTATATTGGTATTATTGAGAACTGTCATTTTTAGCATGGAAGAAATGAGATATGGATGATAAAATAATTTTAAATTAAAACTCTGTAATACTGCATCTGAATCAACAGTATCACTAAGAACTCAGAAGATACCCCTTATAAAAATAAAATTGACATTTCCTAGTTTTGTCTATTGAAAAGATCCAGAAACAATAACTGTCCCAGTAACAATGAGTATCCCTAGCCATTGTATTGCAGTTTTGTGTCCCACAAAAGAGCCATGACTACTTGGGGGAAAAAATGGCTGATTCCAGATCCAGGGAAGGAAATGCACAAGATGATCCTGGAACATCTTGTTATAACAAAACATAATGAAGCTATCTTGAGAGTCATAAAAAGGACTCAGCCAACTTGAAGAAGCTACTGCTGGCTAAGAAGGGACAAGTATATGTTGTTATCCATGAGTTTATAATAACAACAAATACTTCTTGGTAAATACTGGTGAATGCTACTGAACTTAGAAAATTACTTGGAAAATAATGCTAGTAAAGCATTTTCTAAAGAAATGATCAATATTTGAGATGATAGATATGCTGACTGCACTGATCTGATCACTATAAATTATATGTATCAAAACATCACTATGTACCTCATAAATATGTACAATTATTATATGCCAATTTAATGAAAATTCAATATGAAATATAAAGGAATAGAATTATAAATTTACCTTGCTTTTTCTGTACCCACTAATCCTAAAATTTGTCAACTAGTTGATGAGGAAACATTCCTCTTTATAGGAATATTCTAGCTAAAAAGAAAATAATGAAAAATGAGTAATAGAAAGTCATAATTTTGTAACCACTAAGTAACTAATAGATGAGGGCAAAGATTATTAGTAGCTGTTAACATCACTACAAATAATAGCAAAATTAAATTAAGAGATCACTAGGTATTTTATGCCTCCCAATGGAAGAACACCACATCACTAGAGAAGTATTCTTAAAAAAACAGAATTTGAATCTGATCATACCTCTAGAACAAACATATAATAGGCAAAAGTGGGGACAGATGAACATATTGAACACAATGGGGTTGTGAAAAATAAAATACAAACTATAGGAGCTCTACAAGTCAAATGATTCCATTTCTTCCAGAAATAAACTGCATTAACAAAAAAGAGATAAAAAGGTAATTCATAAGACTAAGAACAAAATCAACAAAATTGCAATATATTACCTTATTTGAATTCCAGTTTAATTAAAAAATAATTATGAAAAACATACATACTTGATCATTTATATTTAATGATACTAAAATAATGTCTGGTATTTTATTCAAAATTATGTGAGCAGGATGTTGTGAATAGAGATAGAAAACAAGATGGAACATGAGTTGATAATTAGTGAGCTGGGATAATGGGTACATAAGGGCTCATTTTTTATTCTCTCCCTTTGAAAAAATAAACAGACTTCAAGAAGAACTTCTAATACTATTTTTTACTCCTTTATTCAAAGTGTCTTTTCTTTGAAAAACCAACCTGAAAGTACAAAAATTTCCAAGGAAGAGATAGGCATGCCCAACACTGGGAACAACATGTACAAAAGGCTATGATCTGAAACAGCTTGATGGAGAGGGAGACTGGAGGAGCACACATTAGCCATGACTGGATGGCAGAAATGTGAGAGGGAGGAACAGAAGATGCATTTGGGAAGGTAATAACCTAGATCTGATGAGTCATCATGCTAAAAAGTTAGGATCTTATTCTGATGAGCACTATTTAGTAGAAATAAAATCCAAGCCATGTGTATACTTTTAAATTTCCTCCATAGCCACATTCAATAAATGATGAAATATGCTTTATTTATTCCAATGAATCCAAAAATATTATCAAATAAGTAATCAATATAAAAATTGAGATATTGTGCTATTTCCAGTACTAATTTTCATAACTCAGTGTATATTGTATACACACAGAACATCTTAATTCATACTGTTTCAAATGCTCAATAGCCACATGGGGGCTGTGATTATCATATCAAACCACATACCTGTAGACCCTTGTGATTTGAAATTTTCAGAATGTATCTGCTTCTCATTCTCTCAGTCACCAAATTTACTCCCCATGACTTCAGTTATTATGATTCCCTAATCCAGATTGTGCCTGAACTCCCAAGACCAACTGTCCAACTGTCTATGGTACCTTAATATCTAATATTTACCTCAAATTAAGTGTCCTGTATTAATATGTTCTCATGCTGCTAATAAAGACATACCGGAGACTGGGTAATTTATAAATGAAAGAGGTCTAATTGACTCACAGTTCCAGATGGCTGGGAGGCCTCACAATCATGGTGGAAGGCAAATAAGGAGTAAAGTCACGTTTTACATGGCAGCAGGGAGGAGGACTTGTGCAGGGGAACTCCATTTATAAAACCTTCAGATCTCATGAGACTTGTTCACTACCACAGGAACAGTATGAGGGAAACCACCCCCATGATTCAACTATCTCAACCTGGCCCTGACCTTGACACATGGGGATTATTACAATTCGAGGTAAGATTTGGGTAGGGACGCAGCCAAACCATATCATATCCCAAACTGAGTTTATTATCTGCCTCCTTCATTTATGCATCTCACTAGAATTACTGTTAGCTTGTTTTCTTTCCCTCTATTCAGTCCCTCCTCCTCATTTAATCAGCTAAACAATTCTAATAATTCCACTTCAAAATCTCAAACTCCTACAACTTCTGTCCAAATGTATAATACTTAAAAACCAGTGCAGTGGCACACGCATGCAGTCCCAGCTACTCAGAAGGCTGAAGCAAGAGAATCACTTGAGCCCAGGAGTTTGAGTCCAGCCTAGGCAACATAGCAAGATCCTGTCTCTAAAAAAAATAAATAAAATTTAAAAACAAACAAAAATACCTCAAATCATGATTAACATTTTTGCAAATGATTCTTTATTTTTTCTCCCTGCCACCATTTGGTCCACATTTTAATACCTCCTCCCTTATTTAAAAATCTAGTAATCATACATAATGAAAACTAAACTTTTCTCCTTAAATATATCCCTGTGGCAAAATTGACAAATATTGTCCCCTGAAGAGGCTCTCAATGCCCTCAAGGGACATAATTGCTAATTTGTATTTATCCTATTTGTTCATAAGGAAAAAAAAAAGAAAAGCAAATACTCATTTTATCTAGAACTCTAAGTAAAGCATAATACTACTAGAGAAAATATGGTGCAAAGTTAATATCAATATTGTTAACCAAAGTTGAAATGTAAGCGCATATTTGCCAGCTTCTTGAAATTAAATCATCTATTCTTCTTCATAAGAGAGAATTTTAAGCAACAATTCCCTCTAGGCTTCATTATTATTCTCAGAAAATTGGTTGATCAGAATCATATGACTTAGTATAACAGCAAATAAAAAAGATACAAGTGCCCCAGAGATTGGAGTGGCTCCTGATTGTGAATGAAACCGTTTGGTAAACAGACTTGAATGGGCAGCTCTGGGTGAATTACAGGCACAAAGTACAGGAAGGGCAGGATTTATACCTAGCATGCACAGCTGGAAGTCAGTAGGCACAAGGACTCTAATATGTAACACAAAACCAACTGCCTTATTCTGTTTCATTGAGACTGCCAACTGAGATACATTATTTGACACTGCTACGCAGAGCCAAATCATTCATCAAGCTGTTTAAAGCTCAGCACACCACCTGTCTATGGACCAGATTGATATAAAAAAATAAAGTGAAAGTTTTTTCAGCCCCGTGACAAAGTGAGGATACTTCCTTTAGAAAGAACAAAAGTTATGACATCCTTTGCAAACAAAGTATGCCATAATACCTGAAAGAATAGACAAAAAAGGAGCAAAGAAAATAAAGCAAGTCACTCAGCTTGGCTGAATGGCAGTAAAAGACACAACTAAAAAGGGGTCATCTAATGTATCACATCATGAGAAATAAAGTGTATTTTCCAGCAGCTTCCAATGTTAAAATACATTTTAATACCTACGATTACAGTATAACATTTTATGCCTTCATTAGTAATCTCAAGATTCTTGTTTTAAATGGATATAAGACACAATAGAAGAAGGCCAAATTAGGAGTGACTCATCCTCAAAATATTCACATCTATTTAAAGACTTTTTGCTGCAGCAGCAATAGTATTTTTAAACATTTTAATTCTTTTGAACTTCCTTAACCATTATGAAAGTCTGGGGACAGGGTTATTTTTAATTCTAGTGACAGACTCCTCTTTCCAGCTGAACTCAGGGGAAAAAAAGGAAACAGTTTTGTGAAAGTCTGTCAAACAAGATTTGAAAAAAGAAAATTGGGGCTAATTTGGTTCACTCAAGCATCACTTTTTCTTTCTTTGGAGTACATCAACAAATATCTTTGTACAGAAGTCACCGAAGGCCCATGAGTTCTCATGACAGATGACAACTGGTTGGGTGAGAGCATTATTGAAATCCTCAAATGAACTTTGGGAGAGGACTGTGAGATTTTAATATGAAAGTCAAGAGTAACCCTAGAGTGAGGAGAATTAAAGACATTTTGATTAGTTATCTAAAATTTAGCATACCATTTACTATGGCATACAAGTTAAAATAATTATATCTAAATGTATCAACCTAGGTAAACATCCAAAGCTTAATAGTGAATGAAAAAATCAAGGTATACACTGATATGTTAAAGTCTAGTTACATTTATATAAATGATTAAATGCACAAAGAGAAACACAGCTCATTTTTTTGAATGGATTCTTTATGTATAGTAACAAGGCAAATAGCCTGCTGAAACAGAATGACCCAAAACTTTTCAGAGGAAGGTTTCATTTTGTGGGGCTCAGAGAGGCAAAATGTTAATTAAAGTTTCCAAGTTGCTAAGAAGGGAGGCGAAGGAAGGGAGAGAACAAGAGAAATTTAGGGAGGGTAGGTCCTGAGAGCCCGAATAGGGACTGACAGAATGCACTAGGACACCAAGCCAGTATAGACTGAACACAGGATCAAGCTTTAATAGGTTGGATTAGCCACAACCAAACAGAAGAGCATGCCCCCCACTTAAACTCATGAACCCTAAATAGTTAAAACTACTGAACTTGTAAAGTAGTAATGAATACTGCCCCATACTCCTTATATATATTTAATAAAAATTAAGCTGCTTTTTTGGTAAACTGTATTACTCTATTATTCATGTTGACGTACATAGAATTATGAGCACTCAGATCTCTTAAACTTAGTAACACTAACGTCTGCTTATCATTCATTTTGAGGAAATATATGGATATACTTCAGATATTCCTTATATTTAACCCCAGATAAAGAGATACTCTACCAGAAGGGTGATGGCTAGGCAAAGTGGTTGACACAGTAATTGTCTTTGACTGTGGAGACCTGTGGTAATGGTAACTCAAATATTATTAAATATCAATGGTATGTGATAGCTGTCATGGGCCCACAAGAACAAATCTGTTTTAAGTTTCTTCTGATAAATAATTTTACAAAATACCAACATCTGATGAGGATTCTCCATGCCCACGATGGAACAAGATAAAAACAAGAACATTTCAACATTATGCTTGAAGAAATAAAAACAGGCACTGTGCAAAGAAAACACCAAGCTTGTTGCCCGCTTTGGCTAAAGAGTAACTGTAGTCTCTCATTGTCCATGGGGGATTGGTTGCAGGATTTTCACAGATACCAAGATTTGTAGATGTTCGAGTCCCTTATATAAAATGGTGTAGTATTTGCTTATAACCTCTACACATCCTCCCATATACTTTAAATCATCCTTACATTACTTATAATACCTAATACAATGTAAACACTATGTTAATAGCTTGTATTTTTAAATTTGTATTATTTTTTATCATTGTATTGTTAATTTTTGTTTTTCAATATTTTTTATCTGTGGCTGGTTGAATCTGGATGCAGAACCCACAGATATGGAGGGCAGACTGTAGTTTTTTGGCAGTGATAATTGCATTTTTGCTTCTTTCTTCTGACATCTTACATAAAAATGTTTTTATGTAAAATGTAATATAAAATCAATGACAGCATAAAAACATCACTGAATTGACTCCTCCCTCAATAACCCAAAAGAGACCTGCAACTTCCTTGAATTCTCCTCTAAAATCACCATCCAGTTGTTAAACCACAGTGTGTCATCTCCCTTACTGCATCAGTAACAAACCTAACTTATTGGGGAACACAAAGTTTTCTTCTTTCCTGGAGCAACCAATATAGGAACACATACACAGGAAAAAGAGACAGAGGGAGAGAGTTGTTGCGGGGTGGTATGGCAGGGAGGGTAGGGAAGCGGGGGAGAAAGAGCACTCCAGCCCTGTAAGCAAAAGCAAATGCAAGGTTCCCTTATGCTTAAAGAAACAGATACCATGAAAAGTTGCAGACCAAAGTATGCATCATACACCTGTGTGGAGAAAGAGTTAACAGAGCAGACCTGAGGCTACTGTCTTTAGAAAGACCTGCTTGAAAGAGTTGCCCTTGCTGACGTCTGGAAACTTTGCTTTTCTAATATCCCCTTAACTGATGAATTTGCTGTGCCTGGACTGTTTGCACATACCATGATCGAAGTAAAGCAGCTGCTTTACTTCTGGGATTCTGCATTTTGGGTACATGTTAGGGCTTGACCCTGATAAAACCTAGATAAAAGCTTGACCCAGTAAAAACCTAGATATTAAGTCTCAAATGGGCTTTTTTGGGAAGAAACATTGAACACACATAGCTGACATTTTTGTTGCTGGCTAAATGGTGTGCTCTATGTGACCTCTGATAGGAAGAGGAGGCACAGAAAGCACATGGACTTCTCAAAATTGTGTAATTTTCCTCTGCTGATAGGTTGTGTATTGTGTCACTGTGATAGATCTTACCCAGTAATACTACTATATAAGGAGTCCTGTGATCGCTTCCAGAAAATTGCCAAATGTGGGAGTGGTCTGAGAGACCCAATAAACAACTTGGAATTGATAATCTTGAGTGAACAGCTGGTTTTACAAAAAAAAAAAAAATGGTCCACTCTTTTACACAGTAATGCAACTTTAAATTTACTAATAAGACAGAAAATCAGACATATTGTAGAGTTATGAGAGCGTTATTAAGTTAAGCCAAAACTTGCCTGTTTCTTCTTGTGTCTTTCATTTTTTTTTTAATCTAAAGACTGTGAATCTAAGGACTGCTATGTAATTATGTGTGGCCATAGTCAAACATGAAAAAGTCAGTGCAGTGAATTTGTTCCTATAAGTGAGTATGGCAGAACATATTGAATAATCTGTCGCTTTTGTTAATTTTTGGAAGCAAAAGGAAAAAATGCAGATGAGTAAGAAATTGAAATCTGTCATGAGATGTAAAAAACTGTATTCAAGAAATGTACTGACTAAAATAGCCTTTTATTCCTTCCAGGTAGTATGAGCTTGGAAAAACATTATTATGTCATTCAACAAGAGTCACAGACAAATGGTTAGGGAAGAGAAGACAGTACAGTAAAGAATGAATCATGCCACTAAGGAATAGAGGATTGTTCCCAGGGGCTAGGAAGAGTAATAGGGGAGTGGCAAGGCAGAGATGGGAATGGTTAATGCGTACCAAAAAAATAAAAGGAATGAATAAGACCTGGTATTTGATAGCACAACAGGGAGACTATAGTCAATAATAATTTATTTGTACAATTTAAAATAACCTAAAGAATATAATTGGATTGTTTGTAAAACAAAGAATTAATGCTTGAAATGATAGATACCTAATTTTCTGTGCTGTGATTATTATGCATTGCAAACCTGTCCCAAAATATCTCATCTATCCCATAAATATATACACCTACTATGTACCCACAATTTTTTTAACTTTAAAAAGAAATGAATCATGCTATTTGAGAGATAATACAAGAAATAAAATAGACTTTGGGTAAAACTAAAAGGTGACACATATACCTCCCAAGCCCTGTTCAGTAACCATATGTCCATACTATACAAAAGGCTTTGATTTTCTTGGGATACTGCTAACTATTTAGCTAATCTTCATCTTTAACCAACATCTTCTAAACATGTTTTGCCCTTGTATTTGTTGAAAGTTTTTTTTTTTAAAACTTTAATTATAAATTTGTAAAGCATATAGCATTGCTTTAGAATTATAAGAATTCTAAGATAGAATTGTAAGAAACTAAGACAATTGACAGTGATCTATTTGGAAACACATTTGAATGTTGTATTAATAAATGGTTTCATGTAATGTGAAATGTATATGAAACTAGATTTTAGCAGTATAGAAGTCCTATTACAGTCTCCTAACCAGAGACAAGGATCTCTGCTGCTCTGGTAAGTTTATTTCCCAGATGTTATAGAGTGGATATTTGTTCCTCTCAAAATTAATATGTTAAAACCTAATCCCCAGTGTGATGGTATTTGCATTTGGGGCCTGTGGAAGTAATAGGGCAGAGTACTTATGAATGAGTTTAGGCCCTTATAAAAGAAGCCCCAGAGGGCATCTTTGCTCCCTCTGCCATGTAAGGACGCAGTGAAAAGACAGACCTATTAATGAACAAGGAAGCATGCCCTCACCAGACACCAAGTCAGCCAGCACCTTGATTTTTGATTCCCTATCCTTCAGAACAGTGAGAAATAAATTTGTTGTTTATCAGTGATAGACTGGAGTTCATGTCCTTTCACACTCTGGGGACTGTTGTGGGGTGGGGGGAGGGGGGAGGGGGGAGGGATAGCATTGGGAGATATACCTAATGCTAGATGACGAGTTAGTGGGTGCAGTGCACCAGCATGGCACATGCATACATATGTAACTAACCTGCACAATGTGCACATGTACCCTAAAACTTAAAGTATAATAAAAAAATATATATAAATTTGTTGTTTATAAGCCATCTAGTCCATGGTACTTTGTTAAACCAGCCCAAACAGACTAAGATACCACATATCTTCCACAAAGATGGTAGGTATGCACGAAGACGACATGTTCTGCAGGTTTCTGATTTCCTTCCTAGGAAGGAGGCACCATACTACAGAATGGATATTGATAAATGAATGTTTTCAGCAAAATATGACCATACTTTCTGCTGGCATAGTAGCAAACGCAGCAGTTTCCACTTTAGTGGACAGAGAAAGAATAGCTTCAAGTCTTTTAAAATTTTTTGAAGTATTAGATCTGCAAGCTGAGATAATATAAGTCCACTCCAACATGGTGATATAGTCATCAACACATTAAGTGGTGATTACTTCTCAGACAAGTCTGTGGATTTATACATGCTTCTTCAGAAAGTACTCTTGAACACTTAACACTGAGCAGTGAATATTAGAGCCAACAAGACACAAAAGTTCTTTTCTTCCACCAGAATGACAACGCATTTAAACTTGAAGTGAGAATTATGATTGAATAATATGCCCACGTTTTTCTCAGAACCAGAATGAATTCAAGGTAACAGTTTCAATATTGCAGCTTGCCTTTTCTGTTATTCCTCAGCAACCATAATAAATTTCTAGTTTCTAGTTTCAATCATCATCTTTAAAAGAAACAATTATTTAGATACCACTCAATGAAATATAGACCCAGACTCAATAAATATGAATTAGAATAAAAACTCCTGTTAGTGTTTGTAGGTGTGATGAGTAGGATAAGCATTTCTTAGCAGACTCTTAAAAGTAGCTTAACTGACTTGTGTTGAAACTTTACTGATGTATCAAATTCCATAGGATACAATATTATTCTAACTATTTGCATGCCGTTATTGTGATCATAAATGGTCTAGAAAAATAATGACTGAAATGTAAAAATCAATATACAAATTTAAGGTATATTGCCATCATTATGATTTAGTTAGTTGCCAATCTTATGTGTTTACCTACGCAGTGAAGGATATGAAGTGGTAAAACAGCAAGTAAATTAAAATAACGTGGCAGAAAATGAAGTCACTGTTCTTACCGTACCCTACTACAGAGTCTACCAATGCATGTGATAGTTTCATGTCAACGGATTTTAGAAGCCAGTCCAGTTAAGTTCATTAATAAATTATAGTTGTCAAGTTCTGAGAGATACGCCATAAAATAAATGACTTAAGATGATGTTTTACCTTTGAAGATTCTGGTATACTTCAAGAATTTCAACTGAAGTCTTAACTTTCATAACTATTTTTTTAAATACTGAAATGATTTTCCTTAAGTTTTTAGCATGATCAGCATCCCTATTCACCGTGATATATGGTCCCTTTTTAGTTGACAGCTGTCAGTCAGGCAAAAACACACATCCATCAATGGATATTTATATTTCAATCAGAGAATTAGACATTATGATAATACTTTATGGGAATTAAATAACCGTTGTTTGGCCACTCCCCAAGTAAACCTTTCCTCAGTAAGATAGAAAAACCTGCCTGTTTCTCAAAATAGCTTTCAATGTATGTACATTAAAAAATATATGACACTATATTACTTGTCAGTTTATGAGGAAACCCAGACTTCCACATTTTCACAAGCTTACTAATAAGCATTATACTACACATTATGAAACAGATCAAGATAAATAAAATATTCTAAATGACCTAAAAGAATAATTAGCCTACAAGAATAAAAGTTGTTCACCAATAATAACAAAATGTATGCAGGAATATGGAAAATACATTTTGGCTTGAGGGGTTTGGAAACCATTAGGAAGAGGCTATAAAAACAGAAGTTCACAGTATACCAAAGGTATATTTTGGAAGCAGTGTCATCAGGCGAAAGGAACCATATGAAAGGAAACAAAGTGGTGAGAAAATACAGATCATTTTTAGATAATATTTAATACCACTGTTGTATTAAGTTCAGGGCAAGTGAAGGGGATCACTGTGAGATGAACCTGGAAAGATAAATGGTTTGAATATGATATTGCAGGCAATAGAGGTTCATTAGGAGTAGAAAATGATTTATGACTTCTATATTTGCAGATATACCGAATTTGAGGTGATAGTGTGCTTTCAAGAGGAATATTCCCAGTGGTACAGGAAAAGCCACCCTGGAACAATGAATAGACTGAGCTAGGGGGGTAAAATAAATATTCCAGAATTACCCATACAGATGCTATATGCATTATTTTGGATTTATATTTTCAAAGAATTTCTGAAACGTATATACCCATTAAATATAAGAATATAAATAAATCAAGAAATTAAAAGACCAAATTGTTTAGGGAAGACATTTATTCAACTAAAAAAGAGAGCAGATTAGAATTTAGTGTTTTCCCAGAGCTACATTTTGGACCATATGCTAACTCTTCAGGCACTTGTCTGCTATAAAATCTACTCTCCCAAATTAATGTACATGAAAATACTTTATGGAATTTTATTTGGGGTTAAATTATATTTTACTATTTATGTAAATCATCTGGCTTAAATTTTTAGAACTCTCATTAATTATAGCACATTATACAGTACTTTACCTCAAAATTAATCAATATTTCATGTCTGGAAATTCCCTAATTTTTCCCACAATAGTTTTTGCTAAATACTATTTATTTTTCAAATACTCTTAACTCCACAGAAAACTCTTCACATACATCTTCTTTTTTGTATTCATTCTATGGAGTAAGAATGCTGCTTTTGCACAGTACTGTGGCAGTAATGTTGGGAACACTGATATTTTAATGCTGTTCTTTTTACAATATTGGTAAAGTTTTATGCTCATGCCATAGTTAACTACTGATCAACACTTGCTTTTTATTGTTGTTGTTAATATTCTAATCTCCTTATCACCTATAGAGAGAGCTTAAGCATCCTGGGGTAACATTGTTTGGTAAGAAGGTGTTGAAGTAACTATATTTTTCAAATAAATATTCTTATTAAAGAATAACATTCTTTCTCAATATGAGCCCCCTATAAAATGGAAACAATATGCTAATCCAGTGTAGTGTAAAAGCAATACAAAAGCAGCAAAAGTAAATGAGACAGAGAAATGAGGTAGGTGAGGAAGAAAGCACAGGCAGGTAACACAGTGCCAAGTTGCCAGCTGCATCTCCAGAAGACACACAGAGCTGTTTGATCATACAGGCAGCTCCAGAGAGGCACTGTGGAGTTACTCTGGTGGTCAGGTCTTCTAAATACTTAGTTGTATCTGATTGTTCTATTAGTTACAAGTTAAGGTGTATGGAAATCTTAGATGATAATTGTAGATTTGTGCATTTCTCCTTTTAGTTCTGTCAATGCTGCCTTTACTATATCTAAAGCCATGTTACTAGTTATGTACAAATTTAGAACTGTTATATATTCCCGGATGATTAATTCTTATTATGAAACATCCCCCTAACTCTAATCACATTCCTTGCCTGAAAATGTCAACCTCATCTTGCTGGGCTGGTTTTCTTTTTCTCCTGAATGTTAGACTGCAAATCCTTGCTGGTACAGTACATCTCAATGTCCTCAAGAAAATTTCAATTAAAAAAATTTTTGTCCATTTTTTCTACTTGTTCTCAACAGGAGCTTCGATTTAAAACAACTTAGTCTGCTATTTCTAGAAATGGAATATGTCAAATGTACCCGCTCCTTACCTCACCAAAGTTGAAAGAAACCAACTTTAAAAAATCATTTAACTTCAGTGCTTTCAGGGAAAAAACCCAACACAGATTGAATAAGACTTTTAGACTTTTCAGATTTATAAAGCAAACAAAGAGTTCCAAAATATAACTTTAGAAATCTAAGCAACATAATTCAATTAATTTCTTAAGATTTTATATTTGAATGTTACTTGGCTAAAAATTCTTAAAAACTATTAAGATAACTTTCTTAGATCTTGGTTCTACAATATTTTTCAGGTTTTTCATCCCTTGAAAAAAGAAAAATGAGTCAGATTCATTGTAAAGGGTTAGACGGTTAGACCTTTTCTTAGCAATGCTTTCTGATGCATTACACTTGGAGGAAGAAGATGGATGAAATCCATCTTTTAAGAAAAGATGGAGGAAATCTTTTCTTAAATGAACATTACAATCTAATTGGATATTTGTTAGAATTTTATTTCATCAGATATTTGAGAAAATAAATGAAAATTCCTTTAATGTGTGTAGCAAATATCAAGAAAAAAAATATAGACTGCCATATACACTTGAGAATATAATTCTCACAATCTCAAGAGTTAGCCCACATTGCTACAAATTTTATTAAAGTACTAAAATGAATCCACGAGATCAGAGAGGTAAAATGTAAGTTTCTGGACAATTAAACCCTATACCTCCTCAATGGATCACTGTTAGAGAAACACCTATGCTAAACAGTGGGGCTGCATCACTGTGAAATGGTGTGTTTAAGTACTCCTTCATTTTCTAGGACTAAAATCTAGCAATAGAAGTAAAGCATTTGACCCAGGTATTTCTCGTGGTCTAGAATATTACTACAATTTTGGGCCTTTCATTATAATTTGGACACCGATTACAAACACATCATTATACAGTTATCTGCATGGAAAACAATTTAGAAGTTTCATTATTAAATGCAAAAATAGAAATTTAAGTATTTTTGTGTTTAAAATATTAGCATTTTTGTAGTAATAGAGCTTAAAATATAAAAAGCATCTAAGATATGTGCACACTAATGATTATACTTTTGTGACTGCATAGTGTCACAGAGGTGAAAAACTAATAAAAAATTATCTAATAAAACCAATATACAGCCTAACAAAACACAACTATTTTCTTCCCTTCTGTCATGAAAAATGTGTGAATACTTCTCAGTACTTACATTTCCCCAATATCAATGAATAATAAAAAACCTTACAGTTAAAAGATAAAATAAATAAAATAAAAATTAAGAAGTATGTAAAGTATAACAAAATACTATGATTTAACCTTGGTTACATTAGAAAAAGCACTAAAGTGATGATCACTGCTTTAATAACACGCTGATCCTGGCTACTGCATGTGTTCTGTTAACACTACTAGAAGCAGGCAGAGACCCACAAACCCAGGCCCATAAAACTCCAGAAAGACAAGCGAAGTATTGTAATTCAGACACAGATATGCACACAAACACACAGGCAAAACAACATTGAGACCATAGTGTCTAATGCTGAGGATCCAATATTGGTAGGGTAGTAAGATTGTCTTTGATGGATAAAAATGGAAAAATATAAACTTAAACACAATTTCTCCAAATGACTCAAATTTAATGACAGAAATCATAATTATAGCCTTCAACCATGTGGCTTAGTTAATAAGATTGACCTACATAATGCAATTTTGAAATTAAAATCCCGAGGGTGTCAAACACTTCAACATTCACAACACTGTCCACTTTCTTTCTATGGGGGTTTGGGGGCAGGAGGGGTGTGGAGTTGCCAGAAATGGAGCTCTGAACAGGGAAGGAAAGAGAAAGCACAACAGAAGAATCAGGCAGCTGGTCAAACTTTCAAAAAGTAATGTTAAGAGCAAATAGATTATGCAGAAGAATAAACTAAAGGAATGATATTCTACATCAAATTTTTTTCTTCACATAGTAAGGCTGAGCAGACCAAAATAAACAGCCAGAGAAGTTGGTCATTTTTACTTCACCATTCACCTATCCTAGCCTCATTCTCCCATCTCATAGTACCTTTCTGAAGTATCTGATGTGCCTGGTATTGGATTTAGTAAGAGCTATCAATAGTATATGAATAGTGGATATAAGTATTCAAGTAATACAAACCTGCATTTTACCTCTTTACTGCAAAATATCCTATGCCACATGCCCTTCCTTTTAACCAACTATTCTTTCACATTTTCCTACTGAGACATCAACATGGAAAAGCTAGTTTTTAAAAAAGTTACATATTACCCAAAAATAGTATACAGTGGAATACAGACATTCACACTTCAACCCAAAGGAATGAAATTATTATTATATAATTTCAGATACAGAAACATGTTGTTAAGGAGAGACTTCTGTGGCTTTTGCCTGGTCCATCAATGTATATAAGATTGGGACCAACACATAAACTCTTGGAGCTTATAGATCCACATTTCCTCTTCATTTTTTAAAGTTTTAAAATGTATGCATTTTTGCGAATATCTTACTGAATTCCTGAAGAGTTGGTGATAAAAACTTTTTGCTTTCTGCAAGATGCTATTTCTATCTCTAATTACTCATCCAAGAAAGAAACATCTGTTGTTGTTCATTACCATTTTCTTCTCATTTCCTTATAGCCTTTATGTATTTTGAAAGTATCTTGGATTATGTTATTGTATTTTTCTAATATTTCTCATTGACATAAATAAGACTCATAGACATTAAAAAGCCAATCTGAACTGAACCACAGAAAATTCAGACAGGGAGCAGTGAGTTCACCCTCCTCAATTTCTTCTCTTTTCCTTTTTTTTTTTTTTTACTTCATGTCAATATTTATAATTCTGTTGCATTTTAAAAAATTTCTTTGCAGAAATTAAGCCTTAATATCGCAGACCAAAAATCAAGTCTCTCTTCTTACCTAGATATTTGGTAGACTTCTTAACTTTTGTCATAAATTATGTGATTTTCATTCTTGAGAGAAGAAGTAGGATTTGCTCCTCTTACTATTGGCTACATTATTAAGATTTTAATAATGCTATTGTTGGGAAAGATACATACTACAGGATCAATAAAAATATTACTTTTAATTTTATCAAAATATGATAGAAGGCCAATTCCATAAGACACAGCATTAGAAGATATCTCAACTATTTGTTATTAGCTTTATATCTTTATTTGCTTGAGTGGTTTATTTAGGCCCCAAATTATATAGATTATATATTAATATATAGATTAAAATTCTCAAGCATTATTTTGATCTTCTTAACTCATGATACCCTTTCCTTAAAGTTAACTTTATAAGATGGCCTTTCTTATCTTAGAACATGAAATCTCTTTTGGCCTCCTAATTGTATCACTCATACAATTTATTAGCAAGTTAGCTCACAGTGTTCTGTTTTATTAGTTTTCTTTTATTGCATATATCCTGTAATTACAACAATTTTTAAATCCTTGAGGAAAAAATCAAGTTCTATTCCTTGGCAAGGTAAAATTAGCACATTGTCATGCACACATTTATTCAAATAATGAGGTTGCTAAGGTGGGGTGGTGTGGAATCATTATAGCAGCCGAAGATCCCACCAAGAACTATAAAACCAATATTGAATACAAAAGTTATATTCTTAAAGGCATCAGAATGCTGCAAAAGAAATAATAACTAGAGACATTAAGTTATGAAGGGGGTTGAACTTCTCAGAGGTAAGTTGCGAGTCTACAACCACTTTTACCCTTAGGGCCTTTGTGAATTCTGGGTGAGGGCTAGAGGCTACACATCTGGACTCGGCACAAACAGAGGGCTACTTCTAGAGAAGAGAAATACCAGCAAAAGTTTTGGCAGTGATATGAAGAAGTGACAAAATTCAAGATTGAAGGACCTGAAACAAAGACTGTTTCCTCTCAAAAGACTTGTTTTCCAAATCCTGAGACTACAATGCTGAAGACTAAAGGGCTAAGCCAAAAAAGGCCTTAAAAACAGAACTTCCCATTGTATTAGTCCATTTTCACACTGCTATAAAGAAATACCCAAGACTGGGTAATTTATAAAGGAAAGAGGTTGAATTGACTCAATTCTGGGTGGCTGGGGAGGCCTCAGGAAACTTATAATCATGGTGGAAAGGGAAAAGCACCTTTTTCACAAGGCTAGAGAAGAGAGTGAAGAAGAAACTTGCCAAACATTTTTAAAACCATCAGATCTCATGAAAACTCACTCACTGTCATAAGAACATCATGGGAGAAACTGTCCCCATGATCCAATCACCTACCAGGTTCCTCCCCCAACAACTAGGGATTATAATTATGTGGGAGATCAGTCAGAGTGGCAGAATAAATTATAGGAATAGAAAGAAGCAAACCTTCTTGGAAAACCAGGGGGCTTTGCATAGCTTCAGGCAGTTTGGCTGAAGACAGCCAGATTTTCCTTTCAGGAGCCAGAGAGCTTAGGGCACAGATACAAAAGAAGGTAGAGTAGTTTATCTAAACAGCTGTTTTATTCATGTGGTCCTAAGACCAACCTTTGATCATTCACGGACAGGATGGCCCTCTCCAGGGGAGAATGCCCAGGTTAATTACCTACAGGTGTGCTGACTCAAAGTCTTTGTCAATTAAATCTGTACTAAATAAATGTGAGCATTGCCAGCTTAGAGGAGCTGCAAACTCTTCAGGCCCTAGTGCCATCAGCCCCCTGGCCCGCTTTTTCACTGAATATCCGTGTCTGAGTACGTGTCTCATCTGTTGTGCAGTTGGGGTCTGCAGGACAGACCCCCGCATAATTCAAGATGAGATTTGGGTGGGGATACAAAGCCGAACTGTATCACCCATCATCTAGTAGTCCTATAAAGGCAAAGACTCACATATGAGAGGAGTCCCTGTAACTATAAGGCTATAGTTAAAGGCTCTAGAAAAAGGGGCAAACTGTCATAATTTGCAGTTACAAGGGGCCTCAGGTAAAAGCCTCTGAAAAAGCATAGTAAAATTTGTTATATTTTCTTGGTACCAAAGGTCAACAGCCCTGCAAGCTCTCAAGTGAAAGCCTTAGAGGCTCATAGTCTAAAAATGGGTGAAAATTAGAGATAGGTGAGCCTTATTAAACTTCAAGGCAGGCTCAGATTAGCTCAGTATCTAATTGGTAGTCCTCCCTGACTCTATAAATGCAGCAAAGAAAAGTCTTCTTTATGATAGAATAAAATACCACCTACATCCTATACAGATCTTTGTTCTTAGTGTACAGCAATCAAAAATATTAGCCAAACCATACAAAGAATAACCAAGAGAAAAAAATCAGACAAGAGAAGAAACCTATAGGATATCCATATATTTTAGCTATCAACAATTAATGTTTAAAATAGCTATAGTAAATTTGTTAAATTACAGGTATATATGTAATATATAATACATAATATATTTCATATTACATATATTATGTATGTCATATATAATATGTAATGTGTACATATATGTGATATGAAATATACATCTCATATATGACATATATATCTGTAATTTAACATACCATACATTAACATATATAACATAGGTAATATATATTTCATATTACATATGTAATAAATTCATTACATATATTACATATGTAATATGTAATAAATTCATTAAATTACACACACACACACACACACATATATATATATATAGAGAGAGAGAGGTGGCAAATTTTACTAGAGAGCCAAATGGGCAGCTTAGTGCTGAAAGAAATTAGTAACTGAATGGATAGATATAAAGAGAAGATTGGCTATAGCAGCAGAAGAGAAGATTAGCCAAATGCTCAAAGCAAAAGGTAGAGAGATAAAAGGTAGAGAGATAAAAGGGAGAAAAAATTATAAGATACACATCAGACATAGTTAAAATGTATAAATATGTAGCATATGTGATTTGAAGTCACAGATTGAGGAGAGAATAAGACAAAAGCAATATTTAAAGTGATAATAGTTGGAAATGTTCCAAAACTGATGAGCAGTATCAATGCACAAATTTAAAAGTTCTGCAATCCCAAGCTAGATGCATATAAAGAAAACCACACTTAAGTAAATTATAAAATTTTGAAAATCAACTACATAGTGTTCAAAATATCAAGAAATAAGATAAAGCAGCAACAATGAAAATGACATCTAACTTCTTATGAGAAATTATGGAACCTAGAAGGCAACGAAATAACATCTTTAAAGTATTGAAAAAACCAAAATGCCAAGAAAGACTTCTATGCACACAGAAAATATACTACATCAGCAATAAAAAATAAGCATTTTTAGACAAAAACTAAGAGCATTCATTACTATACCACTTGCACTTAAAATATACTAAAGGGATTTCCTTAGGCATGAGAAAAATACCAAAGGGGAAAACATTAAAAACTTTAAAATTAATAAAGTATACTTAGAAGGCTAAACATGACGGTAAATCTAAAGGAATACTGTACATACAAAATAATAATGACCTAGGATTTAAAAATATGTATAAAATTAAACATGACAAGACAATAACACAAATGTTAGGAAGTAAATTAATTGAAGATGAACTTGACTCTTTAAAACTTTTAAAATTAAGGTTTAACACACATACTTGTTTTTTTTTTTTTTTTTTTTTTGAGACAGAGTCTTACTCTGTCACCCGTGCTGGAGTGCAATGGCGTGATCTCGGCTCACTGCAACCTCTGCTGCCTGAGTTAAGTGATTCTCCTGCCTCAGCCTCCCAAGTAGCTGGGATTACAGGCACCCACCACCGCACCTGGCTAATTTTTGTATTTTTAGTAGAGATGGGGTTTCACCATGTTGGCCAGTCTGGTTTCGAACTCCTGACCTCAGGTGATATACCTGCCTCGACCTCCCAAAGTGCTGGGATTACAGGCATGAGCCACCGTTCCTGGCCACCTGAGTCTTAAAGTTTAATAAATATTTATATGTGTATATGCTCATATAATCACAACTGAAACAGAAATTTCCAACATGACAGAATGTTCCCTTGTGTCTCTCCCACTGTTCAGACTTCTGTCACTATAAATTAGTTTACCTATTCTGGAATTTCATATGAATTTCACATTCATTTCATATGAATGTAGGTGCTCGTCTCTGATAATCATCCATATTGTTTGCAACAGTTCATTTTTATAAAATAGGAAGTATTTCATTGTATGAATGTTCTACAATTTATTTATATGTTCTCCTGTTGATGAACATATGGTTGTTCCTAGCTTGGAGCTAGCATAAATAAAGCTACTTTAAACATTTTGTCTTTTGATGAACAGATGCCCTCATTTCTGTGATGTATAAAATAAGAGTAAAATTGTTGGATTAGAGGCAGATATAAATATAGCTTTAGTAAATATAGCCGAGGAGTTTCCAAAGTTGTTGTATCAATTTATATTACTATCAGCAATATAGCTCCAGTTGTCTCATGTCTTCACTAAAACATGATACTGTCACAGTGTCTTCAATTTTTTCTACTTTTGTTGGTATGTAGTGGTATCTCATAATGGTCTCAATTTCATTTTCTTCTTGAATAACAACATTGAGCATCTTTTGTTAGGTTCATTGGTCATTAGAATAGCTTGTTAAGTGCCTGTTTAAGATGTTGCCCAAGTTTTGGTTAGGAAGTTTGTCTTCCTTTCATTGATTTACAGGACTTAGATAATCTCCATAAGGATACTTAATGGAATATATGTATTATAATTATTATAATACATATATTATATATACATATAATATATAATACATATATATACATATACATATATATACATATAATATATAATACATATAATAATATATAATATAATACATATATTATATTATATAATATATAAGTATTATAATACTCCTCTGGGAATTTGGCCACCATAACAAATGACACTGTTTTCTACCACTAGGTTAAATGGGATATGGGAGTCTACTTCAAAGAAATAGAAAAAATAATGTATTGCTTTGTTCATTTTATTGTTACAAGTAAAGTGTATACTTACTGCAAATGGATGTAGTGGACATTTACTCATTTATTTAACATAGGATGTTAAATGCTGACAGAGACCAGTTAAGTAATATATAAAAAAGAAATGGACCAAATGACAGGGAGAAAACTGTCTCAGATTTAGAGATACAACTGTGGGCAATGAAGACACTGATAAAACAAAGAACACATGACCCATTTAATTTGAACAATCACTAATGCAATTTACCTGCTTGTTGTGAAGTCATAGTTGCCCAATTTTCTTTTTCTGTAGAATCTAGCTATTTGGAATATTTTAACCAAGACCAAGAATATTTTAGCTATTTAGAATATTTTACCAATATTTTGTTTTTAACATAAAACCCATGAGCCACAAGTTTACGATCCCTGATTTTATATTGAGTGACAATTAAAACTCACCATGGCAGGAAAAATAATGGCCACCCCAAGGATGTTCACTCCCAGTCCCCAGAATCTGTGAATATGTTTTGTTACACAGCAAGAGGAGTTAAGGTTCCAGATGAAAATAAGGTTGCTAATCAACTTGCCTTAAAATAAAAAAGGTTATCTTAGATAATCCAGGTGGGCCCAATGTAATCACAAGGGTCTTTGAATGGAAAAAGTTTAGTCAGAAGAGTCAATGTGTGATGTGATAAAAGACTCAACCAGACATTGCTGAGTTTGAAGATAGAAGGGGCCATCAGTCAAAGAATGTGGGCATTCTTTACAAAGCTCCCAAATTCAGGAAAATGGATTCTGCCCTGGAGTCTCCGGAAAGGAAAGTAGCTCTCTCTATACCTTAATTTTAGCTCAGTGAGACCTGGATTGACTTTTGGCCTCCAGCATGGTAAGATGACAAATCTGCATTGTTTTAAGTCACTAACTTTGTGTTAACCTGCCACAGTGGCACTAGAATACCCCACCTAAAAGATTTAAACTTATTTCAAGATCCACTAAGAATTATCCTAATTTAAGATTGTATTAGTCCGTTTTCACACTGCTGATAAAGATATACCTGAGACCAGGAAGAAAAAGAGGTTTAATGGACTTACAGTTCCACATGGCTAGGGAGGCCTCACGATAATGGTGGAAAGCAAGGAGGAGCAAGTCACATCTTACATGGATGGCAGCAAGCAAAGAGAGAGCTGTGCAGAGAAACTCCTGTTTTAAAAACCATCAGATCTCAGGAGACCCATTCACTACTATGAGAACAGCATGGGAAAGACTCACCCCCATGATTCAATCATCTCCCACCAGTTCCCTCCCACAACACAACATGTGGGAATTATGGGAGCCATGAGATAAGATTTGGGTGGGGACACAGAACCAAACCGTATCAAAGATAATTTTGCTCAAAATAATTTATATGTTACATAAAGGTAAGATTTCTCATTTGACTTACTGTAGGAGTACAGGTGTCACTTTTTTGATACAATAATATATATATAATGAAACTCTTGATTATGTTAAAGGTTTACAATGGATTGCTGGAACTGATAAAGCTCATATCAGACAAGTTGATCAAACATATTTCAACTTATTTTCACAAATATCTCTAATTTTAATTATCAAAGCAGCCAACAGATAACCATTAATGCATTCTAAAATATTTTGTTACATTGTTCCTCTTTTCTAAAACTAAAGGAGTAGGGCTTTCTTCACCTAAAATTTAGAATATCAATACTTAGAATGTAAATCAGCTCAAGTATTGTGGAAGACAGTATGGCAATTCCTCGAGGATCTAGAACCAGAAACACCATTTGATCCAGCAATCCCATTACTGGGTATATACCCAAAGGATTATAAATCATTCTACTATGAAGAGACATGCACACATATGTTTATTGCAGCACTATTCACAATAGCAAAGACTTGGAACCAACCCAAATGTCCATCAATGAAATACTGGATAAAGAAAATGTGGTACATATACATCATGGAATATTATGCAGCCATAACAAAGGGAAGAGTTCATGTCCTTTTCAGGGACATGGATGAAGCTGGAAACCATCATTCTCAGCAAGCTAACACAGCAACAGAAAACCAAACACTGCATGTTCTCCCTCATAAGTGGGAGTTGAGCAATGAGAACACATGGACACAGAGAGGGGAACATCACACATCAGAGCCTGTCAGGGGGTGGTGGGAAAGGGGAGGGAGAGCATTATGACAAATACCTAATGCATGTGGGGCTTAAAACCTAAATGCTGGGTTGATTGGTGCAGCAAACCACCATGGGACATGTATACCTATGTAACAAACCTACACGCTCAGCACATGTACTCAAGATCTTAAAGTAAAATTGAAAAAAAAATTCATTTCAATTAATTAGATTATTCAATATCAAATTAAAAATCCCATCGATAATGCCAATTATAAATATTTAAATATTTAATTCATTTAAATAATTCATTTAAAAATTTATATGCTTATTTTAAAATTTATATGATTTAACAAAATGATTTACCAAATTATCAGTATTATCCAAATGAAACCTAAAAGCTTAGTTTTTGTAATTTTAAACAATTATGATAAATAACAGTCTATTTAATAGTCTGATTTCAATCCATTTAAAAACATTAAATTATGAAAATCAACATCAGATCTATCCAGAAGCAGCATTGAACTCTGATTGAAGAAACAAATCAGACAAAATATTGTTATAGAAATATTTACATTTTATAAACTTTAAATTTTTTATTTTTAATTTTTGTGGGCATATAGTAGGTATATATATTTAGAGGTACATGAGATACTTTGATACAGGTATGCAATGCATAATAACCACATCATGGAAAATAGGGTACACATCCCTTCAATATTTTCAATATTCAATGACACAACATACTTTGCATTACAAATAATCCAACTATACTTTTACGTATTTTTAAATGTATAACTAAATCATTATTGACTATAGTCACCCTGTTGCACTATCAAATACTAGGTCTTATCCATTCTTTCTAACTTTTTTTGGACCAATTAACTATCCTCACTTCACCCTCTACAACCCCATTCCCTTTTCCGGCCTCTGATACCCATTCTTCTAATCTCCATGAGTTCAATTGTTTTAATTTCAAGGTCCCACATATAAGTGAGAACATGCAAAGTTTTTGTTTCTATACCCTGCTTATTTCACTGAACATAATGACCTCCAGCTCCATCCATGTTGTTGCAAATGACAGCATCTCATTCTTTTTAATGGTTGAATACTACTCCATTGTGTATATGCAACACATTTTCCTTATCCATTTGTCTCCTGATGGACATTTAGGTTGCTTCCAAATCTTGGCTGTTGTGAATGGTGTTGCAACAAACATGGGAGTGCAAGGATGTCTTCAATTTCCTCAATTCCTTTATTTTGGGTATATGCCTAGCAGTGGGACTGCTGGGTCATATGGTAGCTCTATTTTTAGTTTTTTGAGGAACTTCCAAATTTCTTCATAGTCATTGTACTACTTTACATTTCCACCAATGGTGAAGGAGGGGGGTTCCCTTATCCCCACATCGTCTCTAGCATTCGTTATGCCTGTCTTTTGGATAAAATCCATTTTAACTAGAGTGAGATGATATATCATTGTAGTTTTGTTTTGCATTTCTCTGATGATGTTGGGCACCTTTTCACATGCCTGTTCACCATTCATATGTCTTATTTTGATAAATGTCTATGCAAATCTTTGGCCCATTTTTAAATCAGATCATTTGGATTTTTTCTACAGAGCCGTTTGAACTCCTTCTGTATTCTGGTTATTAATCCCTTGTCACGTGGCTAGTTTGCAAATATGTTCTTCCATTCTGTGGGTTGTCTCTTCACTTTGTCGATTGTTTCCTTTGATGTCTAGAAGGTTTCTTACTTGACATGATCCCATTTGTTCATTTACGCTTTGGTTGCCAGTGCTTTGGAGGTATTACTAAAGAAATTTTTGCTAAGTCCAATGTCCTGGAGAGTTTCCCCAATATTTTCTTTTTGTAGTTTCATTCTTTGAGGTCTTAGATTTAAGTCTACAATCCATTTTGATTTGATTTTCTATATGGTGAGAGATAGGGGTCTAGTTTCTTCTGCATATGTATATTCAGTTTTCCCAGCACTATTTATTAAAGTCTGTTTTTTTTCCCAATGAATGTTCTTTGCACCTTTGTTGAAGATGAGTTCATTGTAGATGAATGAATTTATTTCTGGATTCTATATTCTGTTCCACTGGTCTATGTGTCTGTCTTTATGCTAGTACCATAATTGCTGTATTTACTATATATCTTCAGTACAAATTGAAGTCAGGTAATGTGATAACTCCAGTTTTGTTCTTTTTCTCAGGATTGCTTTGGCTATTCTTGGTCTTTTGTGGCTCCATATAAAATTTAGGATAGCTTTTTCTATTTCTGTGAAGCACGTCATTGGTATTTTGATAGGGGTTGCATTGAATCTGCAGATTGCTTTGGGTAGTATGAATATTGTAACAACATTGACTCTTCCAATCCACAAACATGGAATATATTTCCATTTTTTTGTGTGCTTCTCAATTTCTTGCATCAGTATTTTATGGTTTTCACTGTAGAGATCTTTCTTGTTTTGGTTAATTCCTGGGTATTTAATTTTACGTGTGGCTATTATAAATAGGATTACTTTCTTTTTCAGATTGTTTGCTGTTGGCATATACAAATGCTACTGAGTTTTGTATGTTGATTTTGCATTCTGCAAATTTACTGAATCTGTTTATCAATTCTAGCAGTTTTTTGGTGGAATCTAGGTTTTTCCAAATATAAGATTGTATCATCTGCTAACAAGGATAGTTTGATTTCCTCTTTTCCAATTTGGATGCTATTTCTTTCTTTCTCTTGACTGATTGCTCTAGCTAGGATTTCAAGTATTATGTTGAATAACAGTAACAGTAAACATACTTGTCATGTCCAGATCTTAGAGGAAAGGCTTTCAGTTTTTCCCCCGTTCAGTATAATAGTAGCTGTGGGTCTGTGGTATATGGCTTTTATTGTGTTGAATTTCTTCTTTCTATATCCCATTTTTTGAGAGTTTTTATCATGAAAGGATGTTGAGTTTTATCAAATGCTTTTTCAGCATCAGTTGAAATGACCATGTGGTTTTTGTCCTTCATTCTGTTGATATAATGTATTACATTGATTGATTTGCATATGTTCAACCATTCTTGCATTCCAGAAATAAATCCCACTTGGTCATGATAAATTATCTTTTTAACATATTGTTGAATTCAGTTTGCTGGTATTTTGTTGAGGATTTTTGCATCAATATTCATCAGGGATATTGGCCTGTAGTTTTTTTGTTTGTTTGTTTGTTTTTCTTTTTGGTGTGTGTTTGTCTGGTTTTTGTATCAGGGTAATACTGGTCTTGTAAAATGCATTTGGAAGTATTCCCTCCTGCTCTGTTTTTTCAAGATAGTTTGAGTGGGACTGGTGTTAATTCTTCTTAAAATATTTGGTAGAATTCAGCAGTGAAGCTTTTGGGTCTGTGCTCTTCTTTATTAACAGACTTTTTATTATGGCTTCAATCTCATCACTTATTGTTCGGTTCACCTTTTGAATTTCTTCATGGCTCAAACTTGGTAGGTTGTATGTGTTGGAATTTGTCCATTTCCTCTAGATTTTTCAATGTATTGGCATGTAGTTGCTCATAGTAGCTACTAATGATTCTTTGAATTTCTGTAGTATCAGATGTGATGTCTTCCTTTTCATCTCTGATTTATTTGGGTTTTCTTTTTTCCTTAGTCTGGCTAAAGGTTTCTTAATTTTGTTTATCTTTTAAAAACACCAACTTTTTGTTTCATTTGTATTTTGTATTGTTTTTCATTTCAATTTCATTTATTTGTGCTCTGTTATTTTTTTCTTCTACTAATTTTAAGATTGGTTTGCTCTTGCTTTTTTAGTTCTTTAAGATGCATCATTAGGTTGCTTATTTGAAGTTTTTCTTTTTTATATGTAGTTGCTCTTAACTATAGATTTCCTGGCAAGTTCTGCCCTCATGTATCTTATAGCTTTTGGCATGTTGTGTTTCCAGGATCATTTGTTTTCAAAAATTTTTCAATTTTCTTAAAATTGAAAAAATGAAAAATTTCTTGAAAAATTGACTCACTGGACATTCAGGAGCATATTGCTTAATTTCCATGTATTTGTATAGTTTACAAAATTCCTTTTGTTATATTGATTTCTAGGCTTTATTTTCTTGTGGTCAGAGAAGATGCTTGATATTATTTCAGTTTTTGAATGTTTTAAGACTTGTTTTGTGACCCAACATATGGTCTATCCTTGAGAATAATCCATGTGCTGAGGCAAAGAATGTGTATTCTGCAGCCATTGCATGAAATGTTCTGTAAATATCTATTAGGTATATTGATTTTATAGTGCAGATTAAGCCTAATTTTTTGTTGACTTTCTGTCTGGAAGGTCTGTCCAATGCTGAAAATGTGTTGAAGTATCCAGATATTATTGTTTTGAGATTTGTCTCTTTACCTGTAATAATATTTGCTTTATATATGTAGGTGCTCAAGTGTTAGATGCACATATATTTACAACTATCATATTCACTTGCTGAATTGACCTCTTTATCATTATATAATGACCTCCTTTGTGTCTTCCTAGAGTTTTTGTCTTGAAATCTGTTTTGTCTGATATAACTACTCCTTCTCTTGTGTCCGTCAGCATGGAATATCTTTTTCCATCCCTTTATTTTCAGACTGTATGTATCTTTGTAGGTGAAGTGTGTTTCTTATAGGCAACAGATTATTGGTCTTATTTTAATCCATTCAGCCACTATTTTTATTGTCTTATCTTTTTTGCTTTTTATTGTTTTTATTTTTATTTGTCTTTTTACTGGAGAGTTTAGGCCATTTACATTCCATGTTATTATTGGCAAGTGAGAACTTCCTCCTGCCATTTTTTTTTTCTGGCAGTTTTCTTGTCTTCACTTTCTTCTTGTCTTCCTTTTAGCAAAGATTATATGCTCTGGTGGTGATTTAATTTCTTTTTATTTTTTGTGTATCCATTGTATGTTTTTGATTAGAGGTCACCATGAGGCTTACAAATTTTATAACTTATTATTTTAAGCTGATGAAAATTTAACACTGATTGTATAAACAAATTAACAAACAAGCAAAAAGAGCACTAACAAAAACTCTATACCCCATCACTTCTTGGCCCTTTGGCTAAGATCAAGTGTAAAAACTTTACACCTTAACTTCATCCCCCAGACTACTTTTTAACTTTTTGTTGTTTCTCTTTATGTTTTATCATACTCTCTATGTCCTGAAAAGTTGTTGTAGTTATTGGTTAATTATTCAGTATTTCCACGCAAGAGTAGTTCAGATACCTCAGTTACAGTGTTATAATATTCTGTGTTTTCCTGTGTGCTTACTCTTACCAGTGAATTTTGTACCTTCAGATGACTTCTTATTGCTCATTAACATTCTTTTCTTTCAGATTGAAGAACTCCCTTTAACCTTTCTTGTAAGACAGGTCTGGTATTAATGAAATTCTTCAGCTTTTGTTTGTGTAGGAAAGTATTTTTCCTTCATGTTTGAAGGATGTTTTGGCCAGATATACTACTCAAGGGTAAAAGTTTTGTTTTCGTTTTTCTCCTTCCTCACCTTCAATATGTCATGCCACTCTCTCTTGGCCTGTAATGTTTCCACTGAAAAGTCTGCTGCCAGACATATTGAAGCCTCATTGTATGTTATTTCTTCTTTTCTCTTGCTGCTTTTAGAACCGTTTCTTTATTGTTGATATTTGGGAGTCTGATTATTAAATGGCTTGAGGTAGTCTTCTTCGGGTTAAATCTACTTGGTGGTCTATAACCTTTTTGTACTTGGAGTTGATATCTTTTTCTAGGTTTGGGAAGTTCTCTGTGATTATCCCTTTGAATAAACTTTCTACCACTATATCTTCCTCTACCTCCTCTTTAAAACCAGTAACTCTTAGACTTCACCTTTCAATGCTATTTTCTAGGTCCTGCAGGTGCACTTAATTGTTTATTATTCCTTTCTGTCTCCTCCAAATGTGTATTTTCAAATAGGCTGTCTTCAAGCTCACAAATTCTTTTTTCTGATTCATCAATTCTGCTCTTAGGAAACTCACGCATTCTCCAGCATATCACTTTCATTTTTCAACTCTACAACTTCTGCTTCTTTTTCATGAAATATTTGTTAAATTTATCCAATAGAATTCTAAATTCCTTGTCTACGTTATCTTGAATTTCTTTGAATTTTCTCAAAACAGCAATTTTGAATTCTGTCTGACAGTTTACATATCTCTATTTCTCCAGGATTGGCCTTGGTACCTTATTTATTATAGTTTATTTGGTGAGGCCATGCTTTTCTGCTGGTCTTGATATTTGTAGATGTTTGTCATTGTCCGGGCATTGAAGAGTTAGGAATTTATTGTGGTCTTCATAGTCTGGCCTTGTTTATGCCCATTCTTCTTGGGAAGGCTTTCCAGGAATTCAAGGGCCCCAATCCCAGTATCACTGTGGTTCTTACAGATTTGTTGATGTACCACCTTGGAGATCTCATATAAAATCTGGAAGAATTATCTCAATTACCAGGCGATACTCCTGTTCTCTTCCCTTACTTTCTCCCAAACAAATGGAGTTTCTGTCTCTATCCTGAGCTGCCTGGGGCTGGGGGTACAGTGACAGAAGCATTCCTGTGGTTACCACCACTAGAAATGCCCTGGGTCAGACCTGATGCCAGCACAGCACTGAGTCTCATCCAAGGCCTGCAGTAACCACTACCTGGCTACCCTGTATGTAGGGCCTAGGGCTCTACAATCAGCAGGTTGCAAAGCTAGTCAGGTTTGTGTCCTTGCCTTGAAAATGATAAGTTCCTCCATTCCCTGGGCAGGTCCCAAGGTACTATATTGGAGCCAGGGATCGGAGTCAAACACCTTAGAAATCTACCTGGCATCCTATTGTACTGTGGCCAAGCTGGCATTCAAACCGTAAGACAAAGTCTTTCTTATTTCCCTCTCCCCTTTCCACAGGTGGAGGAGCCTATCCCCATGGCCACCACCACTGCCAGCACACAGGGAGGTCTGCCAGGCCACCACCAATGTTCACTTAAGGCCCAAGTTATCTTCAGTCAGCTTGTGGTGAATGCTGCCAGGGCTAGGACTCTCCTTTCAGGACAGTGGGCTCCCCTCTGGCCCAGGGCAGGTCCAGATATGCTGTACAAGAACCTAGGCCTGGACTCAGGGATCTGAAAAGCCCACTTGGTCCTCTGTTTCACTGCAGCTGAGCTGGTATCTAAAGCCAGCATACCTCAGAGACTCACCCAAGGCCCATTACATACAATCTAGGTATCACTGCTGGTTCTTCAGGGCCCAAGAGCATTTTAGTCAGCAGGTGATTAATCTTGCCAAGACTGGGTCCTTGCCTTCAAGGCAGCATGCTTCCTTCTGGCCCAGGGTGTGTCTAGAAATGTCATCTAGAAACTAGGGCCTGAAGTGGGGGTCTCATGACTCTACCCAGTACTCTCTCCTATTGTGCCTGTGCTAGTATCCAAGATGCAAGACAAACTCCTCTTTTCTCTTCTCTCTCCTTTCCCCAAGCAGAAAGAAGTCACTTTTGTTGCTGTGAGCTGCACTGCCATGGGTTGGGGTAGAGGCAGCACAAGCACTCTCCCACCTGACCTGTCTGGGGTCTTACTGGGTCATGGTCTGCCCCATTCCACTGGCTCTAATCCCAGCGAAGCACCAGGACTTGCCTAGTGATTGCATTCCTTGTGTCCTAGACTACCTCTCAAGTTCATTTAGAACCCCAGAGCACTTTAGCCCACGGTGGCAAGGCTTGCCAGAACTCAAGTTCCAACTGCTGGGATGGGCACTTCTCTGACTAGCATTGTTCCAAATGCTCCCTCCGTGAGTGAGCACTGGCTGAGTTCAGCATGGTTTTGCTTTCTACTGTGACAGGGCAGCACTGAGTCCAATGCAATGCCCCCCATTCACTGTGCTCTCCCTTCCCCAAGTACACAGATTTTTCTCTCCACACCACATAGCCACTGGTGAGGGAGGAGAAAGGGATGCCATCAGTGATTTAAAATTATCTCACCTACCCTTTTCAGTGCCTCTTTCAGTTATGTGAATTTAAAACCAGGTACTGATTGCTCACTTGATTTTTGGTTCTTATGGACATGCTATTTTGTTAATCTTGTTAAAGTTTGATGTTCCACAGGCCAGATAGGATGATCAGTGGAGCCTTCTATTCCACCATCTACCTTCTTGCTGTACCCTCAAACATTAAACTTATATCAATGTACAAACTACGTTATTACAGTGGTGAAAAGACATTACAAAAAACTGTTGCTTCACATTGCATAAGACCAAAAATGGAATTCTATAATGGTAGAATGGAATCTTTTCTTATAAGAAAATAGTCCCAATAAATAGTGTCAGTTTTACTCAGCCAAACAAATTTTGGTCTCTTCTAGTTTGCTGAGTCACCTTATGTACCTTATGTCTATAATTAACAACAAGCTTATAGTTTTCCTTCATACTCTATACTGTTTTTAATCAACTTCATCACATGAGTTCAGGAGAAGGTATACTTTAACACTTAATATAAAACATTTGGGCTACCCTTGCCCTAAAATTTAAGACCTAGAAATTATAAAGCAGAAGTTTAAGGAACTCAGTTGCCAACAATTTTTTTGGGCCCTTAGTAATTTTAAAAGTTTAATTTATTGCCTACATTTTAAATGTAGAGAAGCTTTTTTAAAAAAAAAACACAAAATATTCAGATTTTTACTTTTATTGAGAATAACAGAATTTCTAGGAACGAATCACATTCCTACCAAGTCTCCTTCTGTGGGAACACTTTAGTTCTCCAGTGTCCCCAGCATACCCGTGGAACTTATATTTGATTCTATCTAAGTTACCTGCCCAGCCTCTGTAGGCTTTTGAGTTTATGAATCTTGACCTAGACCCCAAGGATACAGTTACTTTTTCTGCACTCTATAGATTTTTTCTCTTCCTATCTTCATCTGTTTTGTGCTGCTATAACAGGATACCTGACAGGGTAATTTATAAAGAAAGTAACTATATTTCTCACAGTTCTGGAGCCTGGAAAGTCCAAGATCAAGACACTGGCAGGTTCAGTTGTCTGATGAAGGTCCAGCCTCTGCTTCCAAGATGGTGCCCTGAAGCTAGGTCTTCCAGAGGGGAGGAATACTCTCTCCTCACATGGCAGAAGACAGAGAGTCAAAAAGGGGTAAACGCTCTCTCTCCTCAAGCCTTTATATAATGGCACCTAATTTCCATAAGACCTCTGCCTTCATGACTCAATTTCTTCCCAAAAGCCATCTCTCTCAATACTGTTGCACTGGGCATTAAATTTCAACATGCATTTTTGAGGGGACAACAACATTCAAACCATAGCATTACCAAACCCTCTCACCACCTGAACTTCCTTGGGCAGCTGTCCTCTTCCCTGTCACTGTGTCAGAATGTTTAGGGCAGGAGGACCTGAGACTGTAAAGCTAGAAAGAACAACCGACAATGAAATGAACAAAGATGAAGCAAATTGCCTGCCTGTACCTGACACTCCTTCATCACCAGTGTCCTTCTTGCTGTCAACCCAAAATAATTGTGGCAGATTTACACAAATATGTTTTGTTTACTATAGCAAAGCCACTGTGTCAGGCTCTTTAGGAATAATCCTAGGAGTAGTGTGAATTCAAGTGTAAGGGAATATTTGTTTTTCTGCCTGCAATGTTGCCCAAAATTCCTAGAATAGGAGACAAAGTCTTCCATTTGATAATTCCAGACAGATATTTTTAAATAATTACTGATAGGGTGATAATGCAATAGTTTGAATGAGTTTTATTTAAGATATAGTGATGAATTATATCTAATCTTTTATTTTTCTGTTTTAGTATAATCAAATTGAGAAAGCGCTGGGTATGAGAAAGAGGTACATATATTTCATAGTTGAGGTAAAATACAAACAGGAAAAACTGGAGCCTTTGATGCCCTCTACCACTTTTCCTTTTAGCTAGCTCAGCTACTACTATTATTACTACTACTAATACTCTATAATGACAATTATTCTTGTAATAACATTTATATTAACAATAATAGTAAGAGGAACTACCAGTATTTGGGTACTCACTTTGTTTTAGGCAATGTGCTAAGTACTTCATATGTATTATCGCAGAACACCCTTAAAAAGTAAGTACTGTTATGATATCTATTTTAGAGTATAAGTATCTTGCCCATTGTTGCACAGCAAGTAGAATTGGGAACTGGTATTCTACTACAGGTCTGACTCAAAAGTCCATGGTCTTAATCAGTGTAGGATAACTGGGACATTATTGCTATAAGATATATACTTCGTCCTTGCTTCAAGTGGCTATAACTTCACCTCAGTGGCTTTCATCTGAAAGTACACCTTCAGAGCTCCCATATTGACTCATAAATATGACAGCACTTGTCTCATTCACCTATTATTGGCTAAATTTCAGATACAAGTTGAGAGTGGGAAAGGAAGAATTGGTGAAGAAAAGCACTTGTGAGTACTCTAGTTTAGGTGTAGCAATCCTACCCATGAATCTGTGCTTTACAAGCACACTGCTCTTTATTTTCAACACTTCACTTCAAACTGGTGGTGGAGGATGCCAAAGGCCTTTCAGCTGGAAACCTCCTAATTAAATGTTGAACTTTTAATGGATCATTAAGGTTTTGTTCCTATGAGGAGAAGTTCCTATGGATCATCAAGTGAGAGATTAATGACCTGTCAATGTTTTTCGAATGCAGGGAAGACATTTTATAAATGCTACATAGAAGGATCCAGTTGTTTAATTTACCAAGCATATTTTCTCTTTGTGCCATTTTTAATCCTGCACAGTTGGGGATACTTGGCTCTCTAAAAAAATTCCTTATCTTTGAGATAAAAGGTGTTCCTATTGTTCACACAGACCTTAGGCAGTATGAAAAGTAAAACATAATGGCAGGATACACAGTGATACATTGTTGTACCTTATCAAAATAAAGAGAGAATGTAATATCATTTTCTTTGTCTCATCTCTAAACTCAGGAATATTTGCTGGTGGTATGAAAGAAGTTATACCCAGCAGTTTTACTCAAAGAAACCCACTATGTGAATGCAAGTTCAAAATAGAAATCAGGTAGAAATGCTGTTACAGAGTTGATCTCTGACCTTTCCAGATCTGGGCCACTTTCTTAATTCCTTTCCTTCTTTATGGCCATTTAAATGAGACCTGAGTGATTCTGATATATCTATCTTGGTTATAGCTAAAGAAAGCAGTAAAAGAGACAAAGTTTTATTAACAGCTCATCAGCTCACCTACACTAAATCTAGGCAGAAATAAGTTCAAGCAGCTAGATTTCTGTAGAATTCCTGCTATGTCTTTTATGCATATTATGTTCACCTGAAAGATGTCAACATTATTCAGGTAGCCCATTCAGCACCGAAAGGGTTAAGAACAGAAAAACAGACTCCATTTCTG
The DNA here is from genome assembly GCF_000001405.40 of Homo sapiens. Lineage (NCBI taxonomy): Eukaryota > Metazoa > Chordata > Mammalia > Primates > Hominidae > Homo > Homo sapiens. The sequence goes on from NC_000002.12 coordinate 183,695,971, forward strand.
CTGGATATGTACCTTGAAATTAACAGGAAAAGAGGACCTGGAATTTACATCTTTGTGACTGGTGTAAATTGAATAAATAGATTTTCAGTAAACGTGATGTAAGCACTTTGCTCTTTTCTTATGAATAATACAGCAACCCTAAGTTTTCCCAAGCCTCTCTGGGTCTTTAGATATTAATGAGAACAATTACCTGGCTGGTTGACTGTTCCTGACCAAGGCATCGAGAAAACCACCAATTCTCTTCTGTAATATTCTGAGGACATCCAGAGGAGGTTTCACAGATGTACACCATCAATCCGAATTTCAATTCCAACCTTCCCAGGAAAGCAAGAATACCAAGCCCATTGGGATGCTGCCTGCTCCATTGCATATCACGTCCATTGCTAATGTGTCTGTTCATCTGTGTACCACTTTTGAAGTCCTTGAACCCTCACAGGCTTAAGCCATTCCAATTTCTGTGCAGAACTTCTCCCTTTCTGTTAGACTGTCATCCCAGTATCCACAGTGCTGACCTCCAAAATTCTGCTAAATTTCCTAAGGAAAACTGTCTTGTCAGCTTGTGCTATAAAGGTAGGGCTCAAAAATTAGAGCTGGGAAAACAGATGCCTTGCTATTCTTCCCATTGTTCGTTACCATCAGTCCCTTGCCTTTTCCCCTGGATACTTAGACACAAATATCTTCCTAAAAAGTCCTCTTTGCAAAGGCAATATATTCCCACCAAAGACATCTAGGATCCAACTAGCACCTGTTAGATATGCTAAATATGTCTAAATACAAGGCCTCTTCTGCTTAATACCAGCTCAAATAGTGAGAGATATGATTGTCCTAATTGATTAAAGATATATCAATGCAGTCGTTATTTTACCATGCCACCTTCTTCTCACACTTGAACAACACAACACTACTTAAAATTATCTACGTAAGTTCTTAGTCAAATCACACCTCTTTCTTTACACTTTACCAAAACATTTTTTATATTGATTATAGTATCTCTATTATGTTACTTAACAATCTATTTTAGATTGCTTAAATGTACATTAGAATGAGCCCCTAGTTGCACTATTTGTATTGAATATTATTCATTTTTGTGTTCTCCACAATGTCTAACACAGTACTCTACATTTTGTAAGCATTTAAAATCATTGTATTGAACGAATAATAAAATCAAATTCATTCATAAGACAAAATGACAATAAAACATACATTCCTCCTTTTGCTGGTTTCTGACAGGACTACCTAATATCTTTAATGTTACTGGAATTTATACAAAAGTAATTATAATTACCTAACTCTATATCTGCCTATGTCTGTATGTTATTGGTATATGAATATTTAAATGAAGGGGTAAATGATTTCTCAAAGGCAGGGCAAAATTCTTCAAGATACTATTTTTGTTAGGAAAACCTACAAAAATAACACTGCAATGTCTAAATCACAGTTGCATTTAACAGAATGCTTTTATTTTTAATATAGTGAACTTTTAGTTCTTTATACATTGATAACATTGCTAATTATAAACCTATTTCTTATTATTCCCTTTATTCTACATTGTCTATTCTTACACATAGTTTTTGTAGGATAAGACTCTGGTTCTTACTTGATATCTAGTTTGAATTCCTTTGTACTTTTGTTCATCCTACTCAACTAAACACAAATTTATAGGTGCATTATTAGGAGCAGAGTGATTTATTGAAAACTTCGTGTGACACAATATGATTAAGAAATTAACTGTAACTTATTTTCTTGACAGTAAGTTCTTTATCAATAGTTGAGCATATTTACCTCTCCCTGCTAAGAAAAAGAGAGTTTTGAACAAGAATATCTAATTGATGATTCCCATAGTTGAGTTTGTTAGCCACTGTCATGAAAACTTAGGCTTGAGACAAAATTAAGCAAAACTTTCTAGGTTGGGTCCTTAGGATTGGGGACTGGTGGTCAGACAGATGAAATATGGTTCAGTCCTCCAGACAGCAATACAAGACCACAAAGATCATGAATACTCAGAAAAACACCACCACACACACACACAAAATAAAATGAAGCACAATGACTGACTCTAAAAATATAGATTTTTAAAATGCCTAACAAAGAGTTCAAGTTAATCATCCCAAAGCTCAGGGATCTATAAGAGAACATAGAGAAACAATGAAATTAAATGAGGAAAACAATATATGCATAAGATGAAGAGTTCAACAGAGATAGAAACCATAAAAAATATTATTATTATTATTATTATTATTTTTTGAGATGGAGTTTCACTCTTCTGCCCAGGCTAGAGTGAAGTGGTGTGATCTCGGCTCACTGCAACATTTACCACTCAGGTTCAAGTGATTCTCCTGCCTCAGTGTCCTGAGTAGCTGGGATTATAGTAGCCCGCCACCACACCTGGCTGATTTTGCATTTTTAGTAGACACAACATGGTTTTGCCATGTTGGCCAGGCTGGCCTTGAACTCTTGACCTCAAGTGATCCACCCACAATGGCCTCCCAAAGTGCTAGGATTACAGCCGTGAGCCACCATGCCTGGCCAAAATAATTTTAAAGAAAATTCTGGAGCCAAAGAACACAATGATGGAATTGTAAATTTTCATAGTTTCAACAGAATACATGATCAAGCAGAAGAAATAATGAATGAGCTCAAACACAGGTCATTTGAAATTACCCTGTCACAGAAACAAAATTAAAAAGTTTTAAAAGAGTGAAGAAAACTATGGGACTTATTAGATGTAATCAAGCAGATCAACCTGGGCATTATGGGTATACCAAAAGGAGCAGAGAAAGAAAAAGGGAAGAAAAGCTTATTTAATGAAATAGTGACACTAAACTTTCCAAATATGGAGAGGGAAATGAATATTAAGATCCACGAAGCCTGAAGAACTACAAATAGATCAAATAGATTTTCACAGAAACATGTAATAATCAAAGGAAACCTTCATCAAGACATATTGTAATCAAATTTTCAAAAGTGAAAGATAAAGAGAGAATTTTGAAAGCAGCAATGGAAAAGTGATTCCTTACAGATAATGGAACCCCATGAGATGTTCAGATTTCTCAGCAGAAACTTTATGGGCCAGGAAGAATGAGATGTTATATTAAAAGTGCTAAAAGAAAAAAAAAAACTACCAACCAAAAATACTATACCTGGCAAAGCTGTTCTTCAGAAATGAGAGAAAGTCAAAGACTTTTTTAGATGAACAAAAGTTGTGGTAGTTATTACCATAATACCTGCCTTAAAAGAAAGGCTAAAGGGAATTCTTCAACTTGAAACAAAAGGATATTAACTAACAATAAAAAACATATAGAAGCATAGCATTCATTATAAAGGTAAGAATATAGCCAAATTCAGAATACTCTAATACTGTTATGGTGGTGGGTAATCAATTTTAACTCTAGTGTAAAAGTTAAAAGACAAAAAAATTTAAAATGGCTATAGCTACAGTAATTTGTTAGTGGATACACTATATAAAAGTTATAAATTGTAACCAAAAAATTACAAAAGACAGCAGGAGAGGAAGAAAGGAGCAGAAGAACTACAAAACCATCATGAAACAATGAACGAAATGGCAATAATAAATCTTTACCTAGTAATACTTACTTTAAATAATAGATTAAGTTCCACAATCAAAAGACAGAGTGGCTGAACTGATTTTGAAAAACCATATCCAACCATATGTTACTTATAAGAGACTCACTTTAGCTTTAAGAACACATATAGGCTGAAAGTGAAGAAACAGAAAAAGATATTTCACATGAGTGGCTATACTTATATCAGAATTTTGTAGTCCTAGTCAATACATAAGTCATTCAAATACTCTTATATTTTTGGTAATTTCTCCCTTTGGAATGTGGTTAAGATGATGAAAGAGTTAGTATAGTTTTATTAATTTTTGTTAGTTTTTAGCTACATGTTTCAATGCTGGCTCCAAGTGTTAGGAATACAGATATCAAAATAAATACATTGTAGTTGTCCTGAAGCTTTCATTCTAATGAGGAATATAATATAAATAACATATATTAAATGTAAAAAGTAAATTATTGTATGCTAGAATATAAGAGCCATGAAAGAAAAAAAAAGAACAAAGTAAGGCAAGATGGGGATGGGGATGGCAGTCTAATATTCAATAAAGGATCAGAGTAGATCTTACTGAAAAGTAATTAAAAAACCTTTTGAATCCTAAGACTCAAATAGTATTCAAATATTGGCAAACAGCACTAAAATAATTAATCTTTTTATCGTTTAAAATTATGTTTTTATTATTTTAAACTTTTGTAAGTGTTTAATCCAATATCTTATATAGGATTTTTAAATAAATACATATCTATACAATGAAATTATACTTTATGATTGTTACAACACTATGTAATTATATATTGTATATTTACATCATAAAATAAAAATTCTACCAATGCAATCATAGTAACAAAATTGGAAGATAATATAAAAAATAATTTCTATCTGTATAAAACAAAAAGTTCATATAAAAAGGAGATTAATAATACTTTAATTCTGAGATGAAATAGGACATATTTTCAAATGAAGAACTATAAATGATTTATAGACAAAATATATAACACATAGGTACATTTAGAAATAATTTAAAGTTGCCAATTAAAATTAGTTTTTCTCAGAAAATTTGTAAATAATTTTCCAATATTCAATCTTTGAAAATATTTTGTTATACACCAATATATACTGCTATCAAAAATGCAAATTAGATAAACTTTTCCTGAATTCAATCTATGTATGACTTTTTTAAAATATTCATATATTGATTCATCATTTCCTTAATATATTTTAGTATGCCAGAAAGTAATAAGAATAATCATTAGAAATAAGAATTTCTGAACAACTTACCCAACAGTTACAAAATATATAACAGTATACTGATTTAATTTTTTTTAAAAAATACATAATATAAAACCTACAGCATAACATAAAATGAAAAATCCAAGATACAATATGTATAAATATATATACAAATATAAATATTACAGCATGAATGTAAATATGTTTATGTGGAAACAGAGATGTGAAATACAGATGACTATAGAATTCAGTTTCATCTACTTATGCCAAATATGAAATTTTATTGGGGTTCAGGTCTAATATGAATCTTACCTGAAAAGTTTTTATACAAGAGGGAGAAATACAGTGGTCAATCACAAGCAAGTGCTCAGCATCCACTTTACAAAACTCCTCTTCTGTATTTCATGTTATATACATAGTAATTCTTGTGACTTTAGAACAACTTTTAATTAGCCCTCCAAAGAAATTTACCTACTTGTATCAGTGATTATATTGAAGATCTAAAATAGAGATCAATTTTATCTATAAAGTAAGCATTATACACATATTAAGGAAGGAGTGGTCTAATTCAGCAGAAGTTCAGCTCTGTTACTAGCATGATTCTACTACATGAATAATTATGTTTCTTTAGATACATATCCCCCCATACACACACACAGATTTAGAAGTGTTTCTATGAGGGCCCCAGACAGTGTTACAAAACATTAAATTAGAGATAATTTTTTTGTGAAAACTCAAAAAGCTATTAATTTGTGAATAATACATCTAGAAAAAATACAACTTAATTTGAAAATGTAATTTATTGGAAAACAAGCCTATATAGAATAAAGGCACCAGTGCAAGTAAGAGTGAAAAAACTTATGAAGCACTTATATTTTTATAATGTAAATTAACAGGGACACGCCTTTAATATGTAGAGATGGAAGAGCTTATTCCTGAGTTAAAAAGATTAATGAAGAGGGATTGTGGGTTGGGACAAGCAGACAATTATCAGAAAACATGTTCATTAACCTACAGTACATGATCTGTACATCACCATCATTATCATTTACTATTAGTTATCATAGCTTGGGTTTTACAGATCTGAGGAAGTTTACAGCTGATGTTACTATGCAGAGTTTATTTTGGCTTCAGAATTAATTTTAGACCCTCCATAAATTACATTTGTTCTATGCTTGTAGATTCACAAAAGGTCTGAAGGGATCTATTAAACCACTGATTATATAGTAGAAATTACGTGCTTAAACTACAGCTTTTGTGAGAGTCACACTGACACACGAAAATGATAATATTAGTTTTTTTGATCTCCTAATAAACCCCATTCACCATTAAGTGATTCTCCATTAGAAAGCTTTTTTTCAATTGCTCTTTTTCTAAAAGATTTTATAAATCTTTTCATAAAATAAAATCACTTGAATTTCTCCTTCCCTTTGCACAGTTTTGTATAGAATAAAAAAACAGTCATAGGCAAAGTAAAATTTTTGGCATTATGGGGTAAAACTTACCCAAAACAACCACCAAAAGAAGGGAGGTAATGTTTTGAGAAACAGAGCCAATGTCAGTAACAGGAAAAATCCTATCCAAATACAAGCAAAGAAAATGACAGGCCAATATCCCTGTGAACATAAATGCAAAAATTCTCAACAAAATACTAGCAAACCAAATCCAACAACTCATCAAAAAGATAATATTCTATGATCAAGTAGGTTTTATTCCAGGGATGCAAGAATGGTTCCACACATGCAAATCAATAAATGTGATTCACTACATAAACAGAATTGAGAAACAAAACCTATATGATCATCTCAATTGATGGAGAAAAGGCATTCAATAAAATCTAGCATCCCTTCATGATAAAACCCCCAATGAACTAGAAATTGGAGGAAAATACCTCAAAATAATAGAAGTCATATATGACAGACTGACAGCCAATATCATGCTGAAGGAATAAAAGTGGAAAGCATTCTCCCTAAGAACAAAGAGACAAGACCTACTTTTACCACTCCTATTCAACATAGTTCTGGAAGTTCTAGCCAAAGCAATTAAGCAAGAGAAAGAAATAAAGGCATCCAAATTGGAAGAGAGGAAGTCAAACTATCTCTGTTCATTGATGATATAATTTTATACCTAGAAAACCCTAAAGGCTTCTCTGAAAGACTCCCAGGCTTGATAAATGACTTCAGTAAAGTTTTTGGATACAAAATCAACATTAAAGGAACAGTAACATTTCTGTACACCAATCACATTGCAGCTGAGAACCAAATCAAGAACTCAATCCCATTTACAACAGCTATTTTTAAAAACACATAGGAATACATCTAAGCAAGGAAGTAAAAGATCTCTATAAGAACAACTACAAAACTGATGAAAGAAATCATAGACAACACAAATAAAAAGATTTCATGTTCATGGATCAGAAGAACCAACATTAAAATGACCATACTGTCCAAAGCAATCTACAGATTCAATGCAATTTCTATCAAATTACTGTAATTTTTCACAGAATTTTTAAAGAATTTAAAATTCTAAAATTAATATGGCATCAAAAGAGACCCTAAAAAGCCAAAGCAATTCTGAGGGAAAAAACCAAAGTGGGATGCATCATATTATCCAATGTCAAATTATACTCCAGGGGTATAGTAACCAAACGGAATGGTACTGGTATAAAAATAGACACAAGGACTCATAGAACAGAACAGAGGACCCAGAAATAAAGCCACATACCTAAAATCAGGACACCTTATTCAAAAATGGTGCTTGGAAAACTGGATGGCTATACGCAGAAGAAAAAAATGGGACCCATATATCACCGTATACAAAAAATAACTCAAGATAAATTGAGACTTAAATGAAAGACCTCAAACTATCAAAATCTAGACAAAAACATAGGAAAAACTCTTCTGGACATTGGTCTAGGCAAATTATTTATAATTAAGACTTTAAAAGCAAATGCAACAAAACCAGAAATAGACAAACGAGACATAATTGAACTAAAGAGCTTCTGCACAACAGAAAAAAAAATCTACAAAATAAAGACAACCTACAGAATGGAAGGAAATATTTACAAACTATGCATCTGACAAAGGACCAATAGATTCGGAATCTACAAACAAAGAAGTAAACAAGAAAATACAACCATTAAAAAGTGAACAAAGGATATGAACATTTTAAACAAGAAATGTAAGTAGAAAACGAAACACATGAAAAAATGTTCAACATCAGTAATCAAAGAAATGCAAATTAAAACCACAGAGAGATACCATCTTATATCAGTCAGAATGGCTATTAAAAAGTCAAAAATTAACATGTTGATGAGGATTCAGGTAAAAGGGAACACTAATACACTTGGTGGGACTGTAAATTTAGTATGGCCTCACAGAAAACAGTACGAAGATTTCTCAAAGAACTAAAGATATAACTACTATTTGATCCAGAAACCCTACTACTGGGTATCTATCCAAAGGAAATAAAATTATTGTATCAGAAAGATACCTGCAATCACAAGTTTATCACAACACTATTTACAATAGCAAATATGTAGAACCAACCAAAGTGTCCACTGATTGGTGACTGGATTAAAAAATGTAGTATACAGGTGCCCATTGATAGTGGATTGGATAAAGAATATGAAACAATGTCCTTTGCAGGAACATGGATGCAGCTGGACATTATCCTAAGTAGATTAATGCAGGAACAGAAAGCTAAATAATGTGTGCTTTCACTTATAAAGTTGGAGCTAAACATTGGGTATACATGGACATAAAATTGAGAACAACAGACATTGGAGAATACAAGAGGGGACAGGGAGGGAGTGGGCAAGGGTTGAAAAACTACCTTTTGGGTACTATGCTCGCTTCCTGGGTGATGGGTTCAATCACACCTCAAACTTTAGCATCATTCAATATACTTTTGTAACTAACCTGCACATGTACCCCCATAATCTAACGTAACATTTGAAAACAAAATGAAAATGTGGTGTGTATATATCATGAAATACTACTTAGCCATAAAAAAGAATGAAAACATGTCTTTTGCAGCAACGCAGATGGACTGGAGGCCATTATCATAAGTGAAATAAGTCAGAAACACAAAGTAGGTCGGGCGTGTTGTCTCACTCCTGTAATCCTAGCACTTTGGGAGGCCGGGCAGCAGGTCGCGTGAGGTCAGGAGTTCGCGGCCAGCCTGGCCAAAATGGTGAAACCCCGTCTCTACTAAAAATACAAAAATTAGCCGGGTGCTGTGGTACATGCCTGTAGCACGAGCTACTCGGAAGGCTGAGACAGGAGAATCGCTTGAACCCGGGAAGGGGAGGTTGCCGTGAGCCGAGATTGTGCCACTGCACTCCAGCCTGGGCGACAGAGCAAGACTCCATCTCAAAACACCACCACCACCACCACCACCAACAATAACAACAAAAGAAAGAAAGAAAGAAAGAAAGAAAGAAACACAAAGTTAAATACTGCATGCACTTATTTGTAAGTGGGAGCTAAACAGTGGGTCATATGGACATAGAGAGTGGAACAAAAGACATTAGAGACTTCAAGAGGTGGAAGGGTAAAAGAAGGGTGAGGGATAAAAATTACCTATTGAGTACAAGGTACACTATTCAGGTGACGGGAACAATAAAAGCCCAGGCTTCATCACTATGCAATATACCCACATAACTAAACTGCACTTGTAACCCCTCAATCTATAAACATTAAAAAAATTAAGAAACAAATACAAATACTGTTCATCTTAGATCTGGGTCACAGAGAAGTGATGGGGCACAGAGAGAAGAAATGCATTGAGGGTCTGCTATATAATCGGCACTCTGTTAGGCAATTCACACATATTCTCTTATACAATCCTCAAATAAGAAAAATATTACTTTCAATTTAAAGACTCAAAGGTTACATAATGTGGACAAGATAGCATAGCTAACAATGAAACCAAGTTTTCAAATCCCAATCTCTATGACGCTAAGAAAATTTGCACAAAATATGAACCAGACAAAATTATGAGTGAAAAATACCAATAGGTATGTTTAAGGGAAAAATAGACATTTTACATTTGTCCAGTCGCAGTTCAATTTGATACATAAGTGTGTGTGTAGGTATGTGGGTGTGTGAATGAGTGTGGGAGAATTGGAGAATTGGGGAGATGTATGTATATAGATGTGTGTATCTCTATGTTTTTTATATATATGTGCATATATAGATCTTATATTTTTATAACCTATTTATAATACATAGATACAATTATAGATTTTAATATTATAGATTTGTGTTAGAGAAAATTTCTTTTCTTTCTTTTTTTTTTTTTTGAGATGGAGTGTCGCTCTGTCGCCCAGGCTGGACTGCAGTGGCGCCTTCTCGGCTCACTGCAAGCTCTGCCTCCTGGGTTCATGCCATTCTCCTGCCTCAGCCTCCCGAGTAGCTGGGACTACAGGCACCTGCCTCCATGCCTGGTTAATTTTTTGTATTTTTAGTAGAGATGGGGTTTCACCATGTTCGCCAGGATGGTCTCGATCTTGGTCTCGATCTCCTGACCTTGTGATCCGCCCACCTCGGCCTCCCAAAGTGCTGGGATTACAAGCATGAGCCACCGCGCCTGGCCGAGAAAATTTCATTGTAAGTATTCTAAATTCCTCAGACAACTCTGGACAAATGCTTTACTTTTTAATTTTTAAATTTTTATTTCTTTTTAATTGGAAGTTCTGGGATACATGTGCAAGATGTGCAGGTTTGTTACACAGGTGAACACATGCCATGGTGATTTGTTGCCCCTATCAACCCATCACCTAGATGGTAAGCCCAGCAAAATGCATGACCTTTTTAAGATTCCTTGTAGCACAATGCATCATTTCATTTAAACTATTATGATATAACGAGACTCTTTCAAGTAAAATATTCTAGAGTTTTAAGTAAAATGTTGTAAGAGTTTTCTCTTCAAAATTTCGTCTAAGGAAGCAATGTATTTATTTTATAATACTGTTTATAATTTTAAACACTTTAAAAACAATCTCATTGTAATTTTTACTTTTAAAAATGAAATATGGTTTTATTATATAAAAATTATTTAGATTTCTCCAACTCTAAATATTTTAAAACAAAGGATGAAGCACAATTATTAAGTTTTTAAAAATAAACCATTATTTTGTGGGAAATTTAAAACAGAAGTTTGAAAATACTTGGAATTATCACAACAATGGAATAAATATAAAGCTCCCAAGATATTAAAGAAAAACATTCATCTGAATAGGTATTTTAGTTTGTAAAAATCAAATTTTAAAGTCAAGTATCCTAGGTTAGTTACAAAATATTCTGTGAAATATAAAGATAAGTCAAAATGAAATAAATTTATTATTAGAGTTCCAAGTGAACATATAAGTAACAGAGTTATGAGTAACACATATTTTATATATAAATAACATGTTTTTAAATTAAGAGTATGATAAATTACCAAAAATGTCAAGCTGTGATTTGAGGTCACACATTGATAGGAGCGTAGAATAAATTTGGGGGAGAATCTTAGACTTTATAATGTTGTAGTCCAATGCTTAATTTGAATGAAAACCATGATACTGAAAAGTAGATCTTAAAAATAAAATTTGAACTCAAACATGTCATCAGGGTTCCCTATGGGAACTGTAGGGATCACAGAGTGCCATGGGGTAATAATTTGTATAAGTATTGAGACAAATTCCATTTATCATTAGAATCTTTCCTATTACTCCCATATCCCTTTTAATTTTTAAAAATGTTTTAGCTTTTTAAATTTTTTAATTTTCTTAAATTAAAAAAAATGTTTTCTGGTTTCCTCATCTTCTCTTCCTTCTTTCCTTCCTGTCTTCCTTTAGTAAAGGTGATTTTCCCCTGGTGATATGATTTTGTTTCTTTTTGTTTGTGTATCCATTGCATGTTCTTTGGTTTGAGGTTACCATAAGTGATACGGCTTGGCTGTGTCCCCACCCAAATCTCATCTTAAATTGTAGCTCCCATAATTCCCATGTGTTGTGAGAGGGACCCAGTGGGAGACAATTGAATCATGGGGACGGTTTCCCCCATACTGTTCTTGCGGTAGGGAATAAGTCTCACAGGAGCTGATGGTTTTATAAGGGGAAACCCCTTTAGCTTGGTTCTCTTATTCTGTCTCGCCACCACCACGTAAGAAGTGCCTTTCACATTCTGCCATGATTGTAAGGTTTCCCCAACACGTGGAACTGTGAGTCCATTAAACCTCTTTTTCTTTATAAATTACCCAGTCTTGGGTATGTCTTTATCAGCAGCATGAAGACGGACTAATAATACAGTGAGGCTTGCAAATATTATCTTATAACCCATTATTTTAACCTGATAACACTATTTGTATAAACAACCAAGCAAGTAAAAATAAATCTCTACTCAACTTCATCACTTTTTAACTTTTTGTTGTTTCCATTTATATGTTATTGTACTATGTTTTGAAAAGTTGAAGTCCTTTTTTCTTTTATTGGTTCATTGTTTAGTCTTCCTACTTAGGATAAGAGTAGTTTACACAGCACAGTTACAGTGTTACATTATGCTGTGTTTCTCTGTATATTTACTATTACCAGTAAATTTTGTACCCTCAGGTGATTATTACTCATTAATTTCCTTTTCCTTCTGATTGAAGTACTCCCTTTAGCATTTTTTGTAAGATAGTTCAGGTATTGATGAAATCCCTCAGTTTTTGTCTAGAAAAGTCTATCTTTATGTATGAAGAGTATTTTTACCAAATACACTATTGTAGAGTAAGTTATTTTCCCTCAGCAATTTAAATATGTCATGCCACTCTCTCCTGTCCTGTAAGGTTTCCACTGCGAAGCCTGCTGCCAGACATATTTGAGCTTCATTGTATGTTGTTTCTTTTCTTTTGCTGCTTTTAGCATCCTTTCTTTATCCTTTTCTTTGGGAGTTTTATTATTAAATGCCTTGAGATAGTCTTTTATGAGTTAAATCTGTTTAGTGTTCTATAACCTTTTTGTACTTGAATATTGATCTCTTTCTCTAGGTTTGGAAAGTTCTCTGTTGTTATCCCTTTGAATAAACTTTCTATCCTTCTTCATCTACCTCCTCTAAGGCCAATAACCCTTATATTTGTCTTTTTGAGGCTATTTTCTAGATCCTGTAGGCATGCTTGTTTGTTTTATTTTTTCTTTTGTCTCCTGTGTGTTTTCAAATAGCCTGTATTTAAGTTCATTCTTTCTTCTGCTTGATTTATTCTGCTAAGACTCTGATGCAGTCATTTTTCAGTGTGCCAAATGCGTTTTTCAGCTCTAGAATTTCTGCCTGATTCTTTGTAATTCTTTCAATCTCTTTGATACATTTTTCTTTTAAAAATCTGAATTCCTTCCCTGGGTTATCTTGAATTTCCTCAACACAGCTATTTTGAATTCTCTGTCTGAAAGATCATGTCTCTGCTTCTCCAGGATTGCTCCCTGCTACCTTACTTAGTTCATTTGATGAGGTTATGTTTTCTTGGGTGATGTTGATGCTACTAGTTGTTCTTTGATGTCTGGGCATTGAAGAGTTAGCTACTTTACATGTAGTCTTAACTCTCTGGGCTTATTTGTAGCTGTCTTTTTTTTGGAAAGGATTTTCAAATATTTGTAAGGACTTGGGCATTGTGATCCAATGTGTATCTGCTTTAGTAGGCACCCCAAGCCCAGTACCACTGTGGTTCTTGCATACTCATAGATGCCTTGATAGCTTTGGACAAGATCTAGGAGACTTCTCTGAATTACTAGGCAAAGGCACTTGTTCTTTTCCCTTACTTTCTTCAAAACATATACAGTCTGTCTGTCTCTGTTCTGAGCCACTTAAAGCTATGGGTGGACTTACACAAGCATCTCTGTGGCCACTACTACTATGACTGTCCTGGTCAGATCTGTAGCCAGCACAGTACTGGGCCTCATGCAAGGTCTGCTGTAACAACTCCCTGGCTACTGCCTGTGTTCACTTAAGGCTCTGGGGCTCTACAATCAGCAGGTGGCAAAACCACCCAGGCCTGTGTCTTTCTTTCCCTTTAGGGTGGCAAAATTCCTCAGGCCCCAAGTGGGTCCAAAAGTGCTATCCAGGAGTCAGGGACTAGTGTCAAAAACCTTAGAAGTCTACCTGGTGTTCTACTGTACTGTGGCTGAGCTGACACTTAAATCACAAGATCACAAGATGCAGTCCTTCCCACTCTTCCCTTCCCTTTCCAAAGGCAGAGGAGCCTCATCCCATAGCCACTGCCACCCCTGGCCATAGGGAGTACTGCCAGTTGCCAGTCTACCACCAATGTTCCATTAAGGCCCAAGGTCTCTCAAGTCAGTTTGTCTTGAATGGTGCCTGGCCTGGGACTCAACTTTCAGGGCAGTGGACTCTCGTCTTGTCTGGGGCAGGTCCAGAAATGCTGTCCAAGAGTAAAGTCCTGAAAGTGGGGACCCCAATAGCCCACTTGGTACTCTACCCCCATGGCTGTGCTGGTACCTAAGGTTCAAGACAAGTCTCCATTACTTTTTCCTGAGCTTTTCTATAGCAGAAGGAGTTTTCCCCCATAGCCACCACAGCTGATATGCTGAGTCTCACTCATCTGAAGCCTGGAAGTCTGAGAAGCTCACCGAATGCCCTCAATATTATACCTCAGTATTGCTGTCAACTATTCAGGGCTCAAGGGCTCTTAGGAAGTTATCAGGTGATGACTGCTGCCAGGACTAGGTCCTATCCTTCAAGGAGGAAGGTCCCCTTCTGGCCCAGGTTGTGTCTAGCAATGTTTTCTGGGAGCTAGGGCTTCAAGACTCTGACCAGTGCCCTATCCTGTTGTGTCTAAGCTGGCACACTAGATGCAAGACAATGTCTTCTACACTATTCTATCTCCTCTCCTCAAAGGAAGGAAGGGGTCTCTTTTGGAGCCTAGTGCTATGCCACCTGGGACTAGGGGAGGGATAACGTCAATACTCCCTTGACTGCCCCAGTTGGTATCTCAGTAAGTTACAGACTGACAAGTCCACACTCTCTGGGCCTAGTTTAGTACTGGGACTCAGATAAGAGTTGCAGTCATTATTGTGTCTTTCAAATGTACTTGGAGACACAGAGTGCTGTAGCCCTCAGTAGTGAGGTTGGCAGGCACTCAAGTTCAGACCACTGAGATTGGTGATTCACTTCTGGCTATGGCTGGTTTAAATGTTCCCTCTGTGGCTGGGCATCAGCTGAGTTTGGTCTGGTGTTCCTTTCTGCTCTATCAGGACAGCACTGAGTTCAATGCCTCAGAATTGCTGTGTTCTCCCACCTCCATCACCCAGAGATGCTCTCTGCAACGTGCTGCCTCTGCTGGGATGGGAGAGGGGTGGTGTCCACAATTCAAGGACTTTTTTTTTTCCTTAATAATCTCTGCAGTGCCTCCTTCAGTGATATACAGTTAAAGCCAGGTACTAAAAGTGATCACCTGATTTTTGGGTCTTATGAAGGTTTTTTTCCTGTGTAGTTGATAACTTGGTGTCCTTGGAGGTGGATGCTGAGTGGAGTTTTCTATTCCACCATCTTGCTCTGCCTCCTCTACTCCCATATTGTTTATAAACTTTAAATGTCATTTTATAATTGTTTTACTAAATTTACAGGCTGTAAACAGGATATAAATATTTTTAACTCATGTTTTTGTTTGGTTTACATTGAAATTAAATCAGAGGATAATATAAATACAATAAGTTTAACAGAATAAGATTACCATTTGAGACAAAAATGAGTAAATGTCAATGTAAAACTTCTAAAGTTGAGATTTATTTTCTTATTTTCTTCTTTCCTATTCGATTAGTTTTCATAACTAATTTATGATAAAACAAAAAATAAATTGCACTAAATACTGACTTGAACATAAAGTTTTTTTTGATTGTTTGTTTTCTGACACAGAGTCTTGCTCTCTCGCCCAGGGTGGAGTGCAGTGGCAGGATCTTGGCTCACTGCAACCTCCGCCCCGCTGCCTCAGCCTCCTGAATAGCTGGGACTATACGCGCCCAGCTGATTCTTGTATTTGTGGTAGAGACGGGGTTTCACCATGCTGGGCAGGCTGGTCTAGAACTCCTTACCTCAAGCGATCTGCCCGCCTTGGCCTCCCAAAGTGTTGGGATTACCGGCGTGAGGCACCGCGCCTGGCCATGTTTAACTTTCCTATTGTAACTTTTTTTTTTTTTTTTTTTTTTTTTTTTGTGAGACCGAGTCTTACTCTGTCGCCCAGGCTGGAGTGCAGTGGTGCCATCTCAGCTCACTGCAACCTCCGCCTCCTGGGTTCAAGTGATTCTCCAGCCTCAGCCTCCTGAATAGCTGGGATTACAGGCATGTGCCACCATACCCGGCTAATTTTTGTATTTTTAGTAGAGACGGGGTGTCACCATATTGGTCAGGCTGGTCTCAAACTCCTCAACTTGTGATCCACCTGCCTCATCCTCCCAAAGCGCTGGGATTACAGGCGTGAGCCACCGGGCCAGGCCTCTATTGTAACTTTTTTAAGAAAACTTTTTATTTTGAACTTTTATAGAAAAGTTGCAAAAATGTTAGATTTTCCTTGTATCTTTCATCTGATTTCCCTAATGTTAACATCTTGTATAAGCTTAGTGCAATTATCACAAGCAGGAAATTAACATTGGTACAATATAACAGACCTCATTTGAATTTAACCAGTTTATTAATAACTTCTACTGTCCCAGGAGTTTGAGAATCCCATATTGCATTTAGTTGTCCTTTCTCCTTACACTTCTCCCGTCTGAAACAGGTCTTTTGTCTTTTATGACTTTGGTACTTTCGAAAAATGATGAACAGTTTTGTAGAATGTCCTTCGATTTGGTTTGGTCCAGTGTTTTTGCATGCTTAGGTCATACATATTTGGTAATATTACCATAAAAATGATTTTGTGTACTTTTAATAAACTGCAAATCTGCTTTTTATAATGTTTGTACCATTCTGCATTCTCATCAGCAGGGATATGGTAAGCCTCCTTAGTTTTAGGCATTCTGTGGTTTTAATGGTATCTGTACTGGAATGTTGAACATCTTTTTTTATATGTTATTTGTCACCTGTGTGTTGAAGTACCTGTTCAAATCTTTTATCCATTTTTAGTTGAGTAATTTGTCTCCTTATTAAGTTGTGGTAGTTCTTTACATATTCTGGATACAAGTCATTTGTTGAGTGTATGTTTTATAAATAGTTTCTCCCTATTTGTGGCTTCTCTTTTCATTTTCATAACAGTGTCTTGCAAATTGCAAACATTTTTTTAGACTCCAATTTGAGTTTTTTTTTGTATTTTGTATTTAATGTTTAAGACATTTTTACTAAACCTGGTATCACCTATATTTTCTTCTATGGTTTTTATAATTTCAGCTCTTAAATTGGATTCTATGATCCATTTGGAGTTAAATTTTGTATATTAACAAAAACTAAAGGGTTGAGATGTTTTACATATGGTCATTCAACTGTACCAGCATTTGAACTCTATTGCTAGTTAGACCAGGATAAAAACATATTTAAAAAGGTTATATCTCTTTACACATCTATATTTAATCAAGGCAAATTCCTAGAAGTTTAATTTCTGGATCAAACTGTACACACATTTTTAAAAGCTCTTGATACATACAGAAAACTTACCTTCCACAAAGCTTATTCCACCTCACTTTCTGATCAGTATTACATTAATGTAATTTTGTTTACAGATTTAACAAGTAAAAAAATACATTTTATTTTTATTTACATTTTTATTTTTTAAATTACCAATATAGTCAAACTTTTAATATATGTAACTATGTGTATTCTTCCTTTTGTAAGTTATTTTTCTGCAAGCCTCACAGTTTTTCTACTGGTAAGAGAGGTTTTCATATATTTGGAACAGGATCCCCTATACTTGTTATATATCCTACAAATTCTCTTTTCACACTTCATGTTTTATAGTATGTAAGATGTTATACAAAATCTATAATGTTAGATAGTTTTCACTCTTTTTTGGTTTGCGCCTTTGTATGCAGAATAAAACCTATGAGACCAGTTAAAGAACCATGAGAGCAGTTAAAAATGTGACATAGAACACTTTTCCTAACATAGTACGTCAGAAAAGAAGATTTTAAAAGAGTGTATCTGATATAAAATCAATTTTAATGCATAGGGAGAAAAAGACTAAAAACCCAAAGTGTTGATTATCATTGCTTTGTTATGGTCTAACAGATTTTTACTAACTTGTGTATTTCCTAGATTTTCTCTTATCAATTTTTGTTACTTATCAGAAAGTAATCATTTTAAAAAGTGATACCATCTTCCCCAGGTGTTTTGGGGATGGTAATCATTTGTATTTTAATAAAAGCTCTGTCAACACTGTAGTTTTCAACGATTATGCTCTTAGCTTGAATAAACTTCCCAAGTTTCATGACATTCTGTTAGGGTAACTGAATCAATATTCACGTCCAACTGTGTAATATGAAAAATTAGCATTATTTTCCATGTTACTTCAACTATGTTTACATATTTGTGACTAAAACACTTCAGCTGTAATTCAATTCTACCCACATTATAGGCATATTTAGTAACCTTGTGTCCATTTGAGCCATAATGCTTTAAGTCAATTAAGCATTCATGAGATCTGGAATAAGCGGAATATATACAATCTAGCCAGGCTGCTGCTGTTTTATACTATTGCTATCATGCTGTTCTCTCCTGGGTGATTATTATCTCATTAACTTTTAAGCCAGTTTGGAAATAATTTAGTCAAAATTTAGCCTTAATTAACATTATTGAGGGTCACTGCAACATTGGGAGCCAGTCTTATTTAAATTTTAGCTTTTAGAACTTTACCATAATAAGTAGGGAATCATCTATTTTTTAGGAAAAGAATATGACATTATTATACAATTATAATTAAGATGGATATAAATGAACTCCTGAATTCTTTATGTCATTCACTGCAAGCCATCACTTACTTGACACAATGGCCCAATTTTTTTATTAATTAAACAATGTGCTTGCTAACAGGATGGGAGACAGTTTTCATCATGATATTTCTAGGATGGCTGATGAGCAGTCACTGCTCTGATTTAGGACCCAGGGTTAGTCCTATCAGTTTGCTAGGGTTAGAAGATGTGAGTGACTTTCCGATTACTATGGGTCAGTGGACACAGGAAGACTGAAAACAGGACTGAAGGTGAAAGGATGTCAGGAGTCTCATTTCAACAGGAATCAGCAATAGAGCAGTGCTAACATGAATGGCACAAGTTTAGACAGACAAAAATGGCTTTATAGATATTTAAAAATAATTATATTGGTATATAGTAAGGAGAAAGTATGAATTGGAAATAGTTTCAAAGGACAAAAAGGTCTGTAGTAGTTCAACTACACTGCAGTAATTCAAGACACTGTGATACAAACGCAGCGAGGAGAAGATGGGGAATCTGCTTCATTGTGATTCACTTGCTCTGAGTCTGTGAGTTATTTTACCTGTTTATTAGTTATATATTCTGAACTTTTTTTTTTAAAAAAAAACATACTTTAATAAAGGAAGAGCTGAAACTGGATAAACTCTTGCTATCTCCTCCAGGTTGGTTTAATCCTAAAATAGCAACGATCAGAGACTTGCACTCATACAACAGTATACGGTAATCTTGCTTACTGGGAAATTTTAAATAGTGTATGTGTGAATGTAGAAAATGTTAACAATGGTCCCCATGATCCCCTTTCCCTAGGCAGTGTGATCATAGATGCCTTTCATTTCTTCCTTGCACATTTCTACATTGCCTTCTCTTTTGTTAAAATCAGGAGAAAAATGATTTTTTTTTTCAAAAGAGGGAAAAATATGAGAAAGCTCAGTAGTAGAATTGTCTGGGACATTAGTGGGATGGAATAAAAGCTTAGACAAGTGATTTTTATTTTTAACGAGATATAGGCTCTGAAGCACTGGTGTTCATTCTTGGCTGTGCTCTATAATCACTTGAAGGAGATTAAAAGAAATATCCTTTCTTTGGTCCCACTCCCTGGGATTGCAATTTAATTTGTTTGGTATATGGCCCAAACATTTGTCTCCTTAAAAATAAAAAAGCTCTCCAATTTATTCTAATGTGTAGCCAAAACTGAACAACACTTCTCTGAAAGAGAGCTAAGAATTATTATTGTCTATTCGAGACATGATGCCTTTGGTTAAAGAGCTAGAACAATTTTCTAGGGATAAAAGTAACATTTTAGAAAATAAAGCATCTGAGAATTATACAATCCCCACAGACCAAAGGAAAAAAAAGAAAACTTTTATTATGTGCTGAGACACCGAGTATTAGAAGTCCCATATTTGAGAAAAGGGAAGTATGACATCAGAAACATGAGTCTTTCTATTGAAAGGGAATCTTGTACAATTAAAGGAATAGGTAAAATGCATGTCACTTGGACCTAGATGAATTTTATTTATTCAGACACTGAATTATGATTTCCTTCTCCTCTGTGCTAGTTAGTGAAACAAAACTTATCCAATAAGCTTTTTAAAAAGAAAGAAAAGTTTTTACTACCTAACTAAGGCAAAACAAGTGTCAAGCAAGATTAAATTGGACTCTTCTGTGTGCCTGTCTCAGGAGTGACAGTTTTCCCTGTTAAGGTTTGCTGCCCTTCAGGGTAAAGTAATGCAACTCTCTTGCTATCAGACTTAGTATAAGATCCTGTCTTTACCCATCTGAAACTACATTTTAATATTGGAACGTATATCCAACTTTGTAAAATATGTCTTACATAATTGAAAACAATCATAAGATTCAATTAGTGCAGAAAACTACAGTTTATAAATTTAGCTTATAGCTAATCACTTTAGAGATCACTAAAGTTCAAATGTACTTTTATTTATTCTTTTCTTGTCATTAACTAGATTCCTATACCTCACATGCTCTAAAAAGCTCAGGCTAACAATCAGCATTTAATAAAGCAGTGTTTATCTCCTTTCTACAGTGGTTTTTATGAAATTACTTCTAATTGTTTGTAAACCTAAATTTCAAATGGAGCTGTATTTATCCTTAATGCCTGTTATACATCAACAACTGTACCTGATTTTCACAAATACCATCTTATCGTCATTCATTTATTTAGCCAATAAATAACTATTCATCACAATCCAGGTATCAGGGACTGTACTAGGGATATAAGCGTGTAGTAGAGTTTTGTGAGGCTTAGAGAAGCAAAGGTGAGACCTGAAAACTATATAATCAATGCTAGAATCAGATGAAGCCCACAGTGCCAGAGGGCCTATAGGAGGAACACACGGCCCAGTTATGAGGAACTCATAAATTTTTCTGAAGGTAACTTGAAAGAGAACTCAGAGTTAATCAAGTGAGTTAGGGAGAAAAGGAAAAAGTAGGGGAGGGGGTACAGAAGAGGATATCTAAAAATGTGACTACCATAGGCAGATGCTACATCATGATACACTCACACTTGTAGAAAGAAAGAAAGCATAAGCTTACATCTCAAAGCAAATTGTTTAATACAATGAGAGTATGAATTATTAGTGGAGACAGAAACAGAGGGAGTCAGATTTGAAGAATCCTATCTAGCTCCAAGAAATTCAGGCTTTAGCCTTAGTGAAATAAGGAAACACTGGAAGATTTTAAGTAACAGAGGTACATGATCAGATATTCATTTTAGAGAGATTACACTGGCCGCAGGGTAGAGAATGAATTAGAGGAGAGCATGATTAATTTATGTAGACCAGGTACGAAGCTGTAGTTTCCATCCAGGTGAAATATGGTAATAATGGCCAGTACTAAAGTAGTAGCAGCTTTATTTCTCACTCATACTTTCTAATATAGGAATTACCATCCCTTTTGGCAGATAAAAATGTGAGGCTCAAAATGTTTTATTAATTTACAAATATCACAGCTAATAGGTACCAGAGCTGAAACTTGATACCAGAACATTCTGATAGCAAAGCCCAACTTTGATAAATACAAGAGAATTGATAATAAAAGTGGTTGCAAATAAGCATCATATTTTTCTAACATTGTAATTCATTTTTATTCACTCAAAATATTTCATAAACATTTATTGGACATTCACCATTCACAATTCTGTATGCCAGTAATTTGGGGAAATAAAAATGAATTAAAGCCTTGTTCTTAAGTGCTCGGTAAATAATTCTACAGCCTTTTTGCCATAGGGACTGCCTTGTAGGTTGCCTAATTGTGAGTTACTTCCATAAGATAACAGATGCTTCCTGTTTAGCAGGTAACAAAGGTTTTACTTAGAAGCTCTGCGTAGTCTAGTTATTAAAGCAGTGTTTTACACATATTTTTGTGCCAGGTGTTCTACATTACTAAATAGACATGCTCCATATGCTCCGAGGTTATTCCAGATTGTACAAATCCTAAAATGCTACAGTTAAATAATTTATAGATAGGATGACTACTGAATTTGGGATAAAATTTAAAGAAATTATATTTTGTAATATAGAGACTAACATCCAATAATAACAGCATATCAAAGTATAAAGTTATTAAATCCTTTATTGATACATAAATACAATGTAGTGAGAAGATCAATCAACTACCTAAAGTTTTCAATACATGTGTTTTCCCTTGGAAAATACACTTTTTCCTCGTGGTTTTTATAATTTCCCTCTACATTCATTTCCAGTATACAGCCTCATTTTTCATCTTTGAGTAAGCAGACCTTCTGCTTTCAACATTACCCAACCTTCTATTTACTCTGTCAATTTGTCATTTTCCTGACTGTAAGCCTACATGTGGAAGACTAACTTAAAGGAATTTATATAATAGTCATTTATTCTCTTAGAAGTAATTGTTATAAGTTGAATTTTGTCCCCGAAAAAATTCACGTATTGAGGTCCTGATCTCTGGTACCTCAGAATGTGACTTACTTGGAAATAAGGTCACTGCAGATATAATTAGTTAAACTAAGATGTGGTCATGAGGGATGAATCCTAATCCAGTATAACTGGTGTCCTTATAAAAAAGAACAATTTGGAAACAAACACGTGAACATAGGGAGAATGCCACGTGAAGATGAAAGCAGAGATTGGGGTGATGCTTCCAGAAGACAAGGAGTGACAATGATTGCCAGCAACTACCAGAAGCAAGGAGACACATCTAGAACAGATTTTACCCCCAGTCCCAGAAGAAATCAGCACTGCTAACACCTGGATTTTAGACTTCTAGCTTCCAGAGCTGTGAAACAATAAATTTCTGTTGTTGAAGCCATTGTTTGTGGTATTTTGTTATGGCAGACCTAGCAAACTAACACAGCAGTGAATTGTAAGTACGAGTGTCAGCCATCCTGTTTGCAATTTATTTTACTTGCTGACTACCCTAGACAGTAAATCTCAGATTAGTTTAACTAGTTTCTGTGGTTTGAATGTGTCCTCCAAAAGTTCATGTGTTAGAAACTTAATTCCCAATGCAACAGTGTTGTGAGGTAAAGGCTAATAAGAGGTGATTAGGTCATGAGGGTGGAGCCCTCATGGACAGACTAATGCCATTATCACAGGCGCACATTAATTATCTCAACAGTAGATTATCAAAAAAATTAATCCTTCCCCTGATGCCTTTCTCTCAGTCTCATACACTTGCCCTTTTGCCATATTATATCTTAGCATGAAGGCCTTCACCAGATGCCAATGCCATACTCTTGATCTTCCCAGCCTCTAGAACAATGAACTGAACAAATCTCTTATTTATGAAATTACCCAGTCTGTATTATTCTGTTACAGCAATAAAAAATGGACTAAGACACGTTCCATTTAATAATAATGTTAACAGGATACCTATGAAAACCAAAAGTAAATATCAATGTATATTAAAGACTGTTTTATAGAATATTAATTGCATATTACAAAAATTAGGTGAAAAAATCTTTGGACAGCAATTCATTTTGGGTATATTAAAGACTGTCATAGAGAATATTATTTCCATAAGATATTACAAAAATTAGGTAAACAAATCTTTGGGCAGCAATTCACTTGGTGTATATCAAAGACTGTTTTTGTTTTGAGATGGGGTCTTGCTCCATTGCCCAGCCTGGAATGCAGTGGCATGATCTCAGGTCATTGCAACCTCTGCCTCCCGGGGGTTCAAGTGATTCTCCTGCCTCAGCCTCTTGAGTAACTGGGATTACAGCCGTGTACCACCAGGCCTAGCTAATTTTTGTATTTTTAGTAGAGATGAGGTTTTGCCATGTTAGCCAGGCTAGTCTCGAACTCCTGACCTCAAGTGATCCACCTGCCTCGGCCCCCCAACATGCTGGGATTACAGGCATGAACCACTGTGCCTGGCCCAAATACTGTCTTATAGAAAAATAATTCTATTCCCCAAATGAATAGCTGTCCAAAGATTTTTTTCATCTAATTTTTGTAATATTTTATAAGATATTCTATAAGAGTCTAGAAGACAGCATTTAATATACACCAAATGAATTGCTGTCCAAAGATTTTTTCATCTAAATTTGGTAATATTCTATAAGAATTTATAATATTCTATAAGATATTATAAAACTTAGATGAAAAAATCCTTGGACAGTAATTCATTTGGTCTACATTAAAGACTATCTTATAGAATACTAATTTCATAAGATATTACAGAAATTAGGTGAAAAAAATTTTAGGACAGCAATTCATTTGGGGAGTCATTGAGTTAAACAAAAATAAATTTATCTGCTGCAAGACTTTTCAGAGTGCTTCACATGCAAAAATATGTTGTGAATCAACTAGAAAAGAATACCTCATAAGAATAAAAAGGATATTCTAATGCAAATACATTGACATAGCTGTTTTGATACAATCATTTTAAAACTATGTTTAAATGACACAATAAAAATGAAAAGTCATTATGTGTCCAGTAGATATCTCACACATTTCCTTCATAACTAAGTGTACCCAAATTATGGGAAACTTTCACTTTTTGCTTCATTTCTGTATCATTTGGAGTTAGTATGAATTTGCATTACTTTGTAAGCAAGAAAAAATATTTTAAAATTTCCACACTGGTATGTTTGTTGTATCCTTCAAGACCATCAATACTTCAATATAAAAGAGCTCTATGTTATGAAATACATGTGTGTGTATGTAGGTAGGTATGTATGTTTATCCTAATAAAAACACTCAACATCCAAGAATAAAAGGAATTTTCTCAATCTGATTTTTTAAAAAAGCATCCACAAAAAGATTATGCCTAATATCACACTTCAGAGAGAAATATTGAATGTTTCCCTTTAAAACTGAGACAAGATTGCTCCCCCCAAGTTCAAATTTGCTCCCACCATGTCCATTCAGCATTATACTAAAAGCCACAGTTAGTGCAATATGGCAAGAAAAAAAATGGAAAAGGAAAATTAAAATTGTCTTAACTCATCAGAGATATGATAAACTATGCAGAAAATTACTGGAACTAATAAAGTTAGAAAGTCTGCGAGATACAAAGTTCAACATTTTAAAATCCACTATAGTTGTATATATTAGCAATAAACATTTGTAAATTGAAATTTAAAAAAATTTTTGCAAAACCCAAAAAATTATTTAAGAACAAATTTAATAAACTACAAGAGCTTTTTACTGAAATCTATAAAGCACTGCTGAGAAACATTAAAGGCCTTAATAAATGGAGGGTCAAGGATTAAAAGATAATATTGCTATGATAAAAGTTCTGGTCAAATTGATGTAAAGATTCAATACCATCTCAATCAAAATTTCAATAAGCATTTTTGTAAAAAATTGATATTAGTGTCAAATATGGAAATACGAAGGGCTTAGAGCTGCCAAACTATTTTTTTTTTAAAAAGAACAAAGTAGGAATGGGCATACTTTCTAATTTCAAGACTTTTTCTAAGGTTAGAGTAATCAATAAAGTCTTCTATTCACATAAGGGTTAGACTTATAGATATCAGAAAATAAGAGGAACTAGACCCACTAACATAAAAGTTTAGTTGATATTTCACAAAGTGCAAAAGCGTTTCCATGGGGGAAGAATAGTAGGATAAATAAATGGTTCTGGAACAACCAGATTTCCATAAAAAAGAAAATTAGTCTCAAAACTGCCTTATTTCATATAAAAATGTTAAATCAAAATGGATCATAGAATTAAATACAAAAGTCAAAACTGTTAATTGCATAGAAAAAAAAAAAGACATAGCTGAGTATCTTCATAAGTTGGAATAGAAAAAAATTCCTGGGAACCATGAAAGAAAAAATGATTAATAGGACTTCATTGAAAGAAAAAACTTTGCTTTAACAGAAAAATTGTCATTATTTGAACTGTCTAGTCATTTCCTAAGGTGCTGCGTATAGTTGGGGCAAACTATATGCTAACCAAAAAGCTTAAAAGAAAAAGCTGAGGAAAGAGATGTCTGCATGGGGGCTTCTAGAGTCCCAGACATATACCTGGAACTCCAGAAGGACATACACATGTGTAGGGCTGTGTACATATTCAGGACTATTTGCATGCTCAGAAAACATCTCAGCAAGCCCTATGCTCCCACCACTCATGGCAGATCTGGAGGCTCTGTGGAATCACAAAGCAAAGGCTAAGGCAGAGTCGAACACTACCTGACTGTTAAAAATGTGCTCATACACATACAGAGCGCCTCTCAGTAAAGACAGAAGTATTGGATTTACCCTTGTATTTAAGGAATCATCTGTTCAATCATTAGTTGACCACCAAGCTAACCAAGCAGAGACCTCAACGGCCACGTTAGAAATGCAGACTTTATTACGAAAACATTATGCTAAGTGAAATAAATCAGACACAAAATGCCACATAATATATGATTCCATTTATGTGAAATGTCCAGAGTTGATAAATTCAAGTGACAGAGGATTAGTGGTTACCAGGGCAGAAGGTTGGGGGAATGGGCAGTTACTGCTAATGGGTATAGGGTTTCATTTGGAGTGAAGAAAGTGCTCTGGAATTAGTGGTGGTGGTTGTGCAATCTTGTGAATATACTAAAACCCACTCAGTTGTACATTTGGAAAGAGTGAATTTTATAGTATGTGAATTATATATTTAAAATGCTATCCATATTAAATACATACATATATGCCTAAAATGAAGATAAAATAAGGATGATTTTAGGAAAACAAAACCTGGGTGAATTTGAATTTTTCACTAGCAGACTTGTTCTGCAAGACGTACTAAAGAGTTCTTTAGGCTAAAGGTAAATCCTCACAGGTAGAAATAGGCAACTACTAGAAAAGGATGCAAAGAATGCCAAGGATGGCTATGTGAGTAAAATAAAAATGAATATTTACTGTTTAAAACAAAAAGTAATGTCTCTTGGGGTTTGTAACATACAAATTACATGAAAACATTAGGACAAATTATAGAAGGAAAATGGATTTAAACTCTTGTAAAGTTTAAATCCATTTAAACTTTTACAAGTTTGCATCATTTGAGCTGTGCTAAGTATTGATATAAAGACTGACACTCCTACATGCAGGTGACTAGGGAGAACAAGTAAGTCTTTGACATTGTTGGTGGGGTTGGAAATTACTTTGAAAACTATTTGCCGTATCTACTAAAGCTAAATAGCATTTCCACTCCTGTAATTGCCTGACAGCTTCTTCCTGCCTGCTACACAAAGAAAATTAATTCATAGAGATCATAGCATTGCAGTAAAGAGTTTAATTGACCAGAGGCAGGCCACATTGTATGGGAGATGGAGTCATTATGCAAATCAGTTTCAAAGGCCTGAAGGTTAGGGGTTTTTCGATGACAGTTTGATGGGCAGAGGGCTAGGGTATGGGAAGCGCTGATTGGTTGAGTCAGAGATGAAATCATACTGCTTAGGTGATGGTTGCACCAAAATCTCACCAATACCACTAAAGAACTTACTCATGTAACCAAACACCAACTGTTCCCCAATAACCTATGGAAGTAAAAAATTACCAAAAAAAATAAAAGAAATCATAGAGAATCAAAGCTGTCCTGTTGCTTGAGTCACTTCTGGTTGGGTCCACAGGAGTGGTGGATGGGTACAGGTAAAGCCATTGGTCATCAGACATGCAAAAAACCTCAAAAGATATCTCAAAAGGTCAATCTTTGGTGTTACAATAGTGACATTATCTGCAAGATTAATTGAGGAAGTTGCATATCTTGTGACCTGTGGAATAATGGCTGGCAATCCTTTATGTCTACACCTAAGCACAGGTGTCCCCAAACCCCTGGGCCACAGACTAGTACCATTCCACAGGCTGTTAAAAACTGGGCCTCACAGCAGGAGTTGAGCACAGGCAAGCAAGTGAAGCTTCATTTGTATTTACAGTGGCTCCCCATCATTGCATTACTGCCTGAGCTCTGCCTCCTGTCAGATCAGCAGCAGCATTAGATTCTCATAGAAGCATGAATCCTATTGTCAACTGCACATGTGAAGGATCTAGGTTGCCTGTTCCTTACGAGAATCTAATGCCTGATGATCTGTTACTGTCTCCTATCACCCCTGGATGGGATCATTTAGTTGCAGGAAAACAAGCTCAAGGCTCACACTGATTCTACATTATGGTGAGTTGTATAATTACTTCATTATATATTACAATGTAATAATAATAGAAAGTGTACAATAAATGTAATACCCTTCAATCATCCTAAAACTACCCACACCCCCTAACCCCCCCATCTGTGGAAAAACTGTCTTCCACACAAAACAAGTTCCTGGTACCAAAAAGGATGGGGACTGCTGCCTTAGGAGAATTCAGGCTCCTCTATCCTCCTAGCCTGGTGGTCTCTCATTAGCTTAGCAAAGGTAACTGAGTTTTGGAGAAGGACTAATTGAAGTATAAACTAAATGTCTCCCAAAGTTAGTTTGACTTAATCCCAGGAATAAAGGCAGCTTGAAGGGTAAAGGCAAGAAAAGGGTTAGCTAGATCAGATCTCCCCCACTGCCATAATTTTCGCAAAGGTGGTTTTACTCCTGGGTACCCAACAGAAAGAAACAGTATGTGTACCTAAAGACATGTTCAAGAATGTTCATAGCTTTATTCATTATAGCCAAAAATTAGAAACAACTCAAATGCCCATCTATAGTGGAATGGATGAATAAATTGCAGTGTATTTATGCAATGAAATATAACACATTAATCAAAAACTACTGCTGCATTCAACAACATGAATTAATCTAACAAAATGTTTGGCCAAAGCTGCTGCTGTGGTCTAAATGTTTGTGTGCCCATGAAAATTCAAATATTGAAACTTAATCCCCAATATCATAGTAGTAGAAGGAGGCAAGCCCTATATCCTCCTGATAATTGTGGTTATTTACTCCTACCAGGATGGTAAAATTCATTTCTTTGTTCCTGTTCTCTTGGCCCAAGAAGCCCAAATTTACCATAGAACAGTCAGAGCATAAAAACTGATAAGCCCTTACAGTGTGTTCCCTGATAGGGGCATTCCTCCTCAACAAGGCAGAACCTCTGTATCCACAGAAGCAAAAGTCACATGGATAGGAAGCACAGATTCTTCCAGTGGGTCACAGATAATGATGGGATGTGGACCACTCTTATCCCCACTCCTTTAGAACCCCTGTATAGTAACTATTGGACACAGCCCTAAAAAATGATCATAAAAAGTGGGCATATACGGCATTCTGCAGTTGCATCCTAGAGCATGGCACTGTAAATAAAAGAAAATGACCAAAGTGAGTCTTAATCACTTTAAGAGGTTCATTTGCCAAGGTTAAAGATACACTCAGGAAAAAGAATACAGAACCACAGGAAAAAATCTATGGTCCTTGCTTTTTTTTTTTTTTTTTTTCTCTGAAGAGGGTCTGGGGAACTCAATGTTTAAAGGGAAAAGAACAGGTATTGGGGAAAAGAGGAAGAAGGAAAAAATTTTAAAGGGAGGGTATATAAAAGAAGCAAGCAGGCCAGGCATGGTGGCTCACACCTTAATCCCAACACTTTGGAAGGCCAAGGTGGGCAGAACACCTGAGGTCAAGAGTTTGAGACCAGCCTGGCCAACATGGTGAAACCCCATCTCTACTAAAAACACAATAATTAGCCGGGCTTGGTGGCAGGCACCAGCAATCCCAGCTACTCAGGAGTCTGAGGCAGGAGAATCAACTGAACCCAGGAGGCAGAAGTTGCAGTGAGCCGAGATCGTGCCACTGTGCTCCAGCCTGTGCGACAGAGCGAGACTCTGTCAAATAAATAAGTAAATAATAACAAAGTAAAAGCAGCAAGCAATTGCATTATTTTAAGTCTTTGATCAATGTTCACTAAATACACATTTTACATGTAAGAAGGGGTAGAGGAATAGTTATTAATGCATTCGTCTCCTGCTCAGTGAATATTCATTTTTATGTAAGATTAAAAAAAAAATAGGGAGGAGAAAATAGTGAGATATGCATTTGTCTCCAGTGAGCAGAAGGATAACTTTTTGGTTCTGTCCTTGGTCCCACACCTGCCAAGACAACCTATCAATTTACATTGTCAGGGTGAAACTCAGCAGAACTGTTTTAGGGTAAAGATCTTGGGGCCCAGAAGAAATTTTTTCATAGGCAAATTATGAGGAAGGCCTGTAAGCTTTTCTTTTTTAAATCTATGTAGCTATCTTATTTAGGAACCAAATGGGAGGCAGGTTTGTGTGACCCATTTCTCAGTCTGACTTTTCCCTTTGGCTTAGTGAGTTTGAGGTCCTGAGATTAATTTTTCTTTCACAGCATCTATATGTGCAGGGTTTCATCTCAATCTGGCTGCTTGGCTGCAACTTCAAACAGATGTTTCATCATTGTGTCAGGATAGCAGCTTCTAGGTAGTATGATATGTGATAGAACAAATACATTCATAATTGAAGTCCCATTGCTGTATCTCTTTTTCTGTAAAGTTCCTTCTGGCTCTATTTATGCCCAGTCCTCTATGCACCACTAGCGAATAGGGCCTGATAGGGATGAAGTACCTGATCACAGGGCATCAAAGACTGTGTAGCCTGAGTGGCCTACCATGACCTTGGTTCTATTAGACTCACAAATCATGGGGTCAGTAGGCCCAGCAGTAATCCGTCATATAAAGGAAGTGGGACATAGAGGACTGATGGGGTATGAGAAGGGTCAGAAAGTACAGGCAGGTGGCTCAAACTTCTACGTCCAGTGATATGTGGGTAATATTTAAAAACTGGCCATCTGGATAAAATAATGCTCTAATTTATTTCTCTGATGTAAATACTCTGACCACAGTTGATTTGCAGCTCCCAATGCCATTTCCCTGAACAGAGTTGGAAAATGATGTACATATTTGCTCCTACCAGCACCTCTCACTCTTCCCACATCCATATCTATACGGGGGTGAAGGGAAGTTCCTATGGCCAGCTGTACAATTCTCTGCTGAAAATGACATGGCCTTCTTCAAAATCTTAAATATCTATACTTTGATTCTCCTATTGAAGCTTGGCATAAACTCTATATGGTGTCTTTTCCCACCACAGAAAGCTGTAATACCCTCGTGTTCACTGGGTTGTACAGCCCAAGGTACAGGGCTGTGAGCATCACAGACCAGAGCTGATGCAAGCTCTTTCCTGCTCAAGGACAACTCAAAGTAGACAGCTCTCAATGTCATGCGATAAACAAGTCAAAGAAATAGTCCCAAGTTCCTAGCAGGCATTGTGTTTATGATTTAGAAATAAGAGGTTAAAAATGCAATAATTTGTCCTTTTCTTTTGAAGAAAAATCCCAGCATGATACACCTACTGGATCCCTAACAACTTCACTGATGGTGGCAGGAACTTGAAACTCTACAGGGCTTATCTCCCACCCTCTGAAAAATATATGGCTTATAAAGCCTTCCAACATACTTGCCATTTCTTATTCATCTGATTCAGTTAACCCAATGTCGTTGACACAATATACTAAAGTGATGTTCTGCAGAACATCCATGCAGTCCAAATCTCTTCAGACTATAACCTAACAGATTTTGTCCATTACCCACAAATGAAAATGGCTTCTGTCTTTTTCCTAGATAAGCATGAGAAAGAATGCGTTTAGTAGATCAACACCTACATACTGCATGCCTCCAGCAGACATCTAACCACATCTGACAAAACAGTAGCCATTGGAGCAACTGCTTGGTTGAGTTTTGGGGCTCCATTGCCATTTACAGGATCTGTTTGATTTTTTCTTGGGCAAGACTGGTGAATTGAAAGATATATGATGGGAACTATGACCCCTGCATTCTTTTAGTCTTTAAGGAGCTTGCACTGATCTCTGCCACTTCTCTGTCTCCTGTACTTCTCTGCCTCTCAAATGAGATACTATCTTGGCTATGTGTGCAGTTTCAGAGATGTCTACTTGACCATCTGTCTACAATGGATTTTACCCCATAGGCTGCACATCTTACCAAATCTTATTTTTCATCCCCATAGTTCTCTTCAGGCCAGGCCTCCTCTGGCTGCAATTTTTGACTTTGCTACCTCATTATGATAATTGTACCCAACATGCTTTAGATAGTTGTGCTGCCCTTATGTCTACGTAATTTTGGGATCCTATCACTCCTATTGTCACAAGATAGCCCATTTTATTACAGCATTCCCAACCATCAGCCCCACCCTGGAGTGGACTGCCACAAATAACCTTCATAATGCTGGGGCGCATCTCAAATCAATAGTCACCTGGGGACAGAGACGGAGAGATGAAGGGATTGCAAAAAGGCACAAAGAAACTTTTGGAGGTGACGGAAATGTACAGTATCTTGGTTATAGTGGTGACATGTGTATACACGTGTCAAAATTTATTGAAGTGTGTACTTTCAATATGTGTTGTTCATTGTATGCAAATTGTACCTCAGTAAAGTTGTTTAAAAAAAACTAAGCCTAATAGTGGATTTACATTCAAAATAAAAACAGATGCAGAATACAGATGCTGAACAAAAAATTAATGTCTGTTTCCATTTAAAGATCAGCTTGTCTTCTATAATATGGTAAGAGAAAAATTTTGAAAAGTATTTTTAACATATTTAATACTCTTTGTAAAGTGTCACAAAAACAAATTAAGCAAAAATGATCAACCATTAGCTGACAGGCTAATATTTCATATTAATTATATTTCAAAATTCTATGTAGTGTTCTAACCCTCTAAATGATATGCATGAAAAGAATGAATCACAATTTCCTCCACAAAATCTGAAGGGTTATCAAAGTTCAGTATTGAGGCTTGAGTTTTTTCCCTTAATGTTAGCATCACAAAAGATGTACTGTTTATACATAAAACTAAATTGACTATATTGCACTAAAGTAACACATTTTATATAATATTAATGATTTAACAATTATGAAATATCTTAAACTCAGTTTGCCTAAATAAGTCACTTGCCTGACATAAAAAATCAAACAACAGTTTTGCAAGATCTTTTGAATGGTGTGACTATTATATGCTTGATCTTTCCAGGTTTATCTAACTATACCTGGATTAACAGCAACAGCAAAAACTCATTGCATTATGGCAACTTAATAACTTCAGAGAAATTTAAAATTCTTCCCTCCAACATGATCGTCCTTAATGTTCATCATTTCTGCCTAATCCATAACTAAAATTGCAGTAGTGGGTATTGATTTATGTACGTATTAGAATGAATACATGGCTTTCCATCTTTAGTATGTAAACCATTTTGTTCTCTAAGGGGTTCCCCCCAAGGAAATGAACACTTTATTTTTAAAGTTTATATGGAAAGGCAAAAGGACACAAATTTCAAAGACAATGTTGAGGGGAAAAATAATTGAAAAAAAATTTATCAAGGTGAGGCAATTTCCTCTATCAAATATCAAGATTTTTCATACGACTACATTAAGTTAATCATTAAACCAGGGTGATGTTGGAGCACACCAGAAAGTCCAGAAATAGTCCCACATATCTGGAGGTTGAGATATGACTTAGAATTGTATATTGATTCAGTCATTTCCTTCTCACGTCCCAGACATAAAATTATTTTTCTTTCACTCAATAGTTCTTTGCATAATAAAGTATACAATAGTAACACCAAATAGTTATTGGGGTCTCATCTTGAGCCAAATACTTAGCATTTATGACTAAGTACTTCACATGCAATATTTCATTGAATCATCACATAAGGTAGTCACAATTACTAGTAACATTTTCTAAGTGCAGAAACAGAAATAGAAGACAATAATAAATATTTCAACTACACAGAAATTTTAAATTTTGTTTATAATATGACCCTATAAAAAGCAAAATGAGTAGCTGTAGTTGAGACCCTAAGGAGGAGATATTTGCAATACATATATTTGACAAGTGATTAATATCAAGAATATATAAGTATCTTATAACTATCTCCTACAAGGCAGCACCCCCCCACCGGCCCCACCAAGACAGAGTCTTGCTCTGTCGCCCAGGCTGGAGTGCAGTGGCGCGATCTCAGCTCACTGTAACGTGTGCCTCCCGGGTTCATGCAATTCTCCTGCCTCAGCCTCTTAAGTAGGTAGGATTACAGTGTGCATCACCATGCCTGGCAAATTTTTGTATTTTTAGTAGAGACGGGGTTTCACCATGTTGGCCAGGCTGGTCTCAAACTCCTGACTTCGTGATGTGCCTGCCTCAGCCTCCCAAAGTGCTAGGATTGCAGGTGTGAGCTACCACGCCCAGCCTACAAGGCAGTTTTCAAAACACAACCAAATGGAAACATGAACAAAATAGACCAGTAGTTAGAACCTGGCAGAGGAAATCCAAATATGAAAAGAGTATCCAAACTCACTAGTAAAAAAACCGCCACCACCACCACCAACAAACAAAAACAAAAACGAATTGAAAATATCAGATTCCATTGCAGGTCTCTCAACTTGGCAAAAATTTTAAAGTCTGACAAAATTAGTGAAGGACAAAAAACTCTCTTATACTGCTGTGGGAATGTAAATTCACATTAGTACCGTGAAAATCAATTGGCAATACATATTTAGGTTAAATGTTGTGCTCCATGACCCTGTAATTCCTTCCTCTCCTATGTATGGTCTGGAAATTTTCATACACGAAACATACATACACAAAATGAGACATGTTACAAGAATGTTCGTGGAGCATTCTTAAAATAGGAAATAGTCATCAATGGAAAATGGATACATAAGTTGAGGAACACTCACACAAAGGATTTTAAAACACTGAAAATAAACTAGAATTAACATATCATTCTGAATGAATCTCACAAAGATAAGTAAAAAGCACATTGCAAAGATACATGTACTGTGCTCCATTTTGTTACAGATTTGACATTTTATCACTCCCTCTCCGATTTAACATTTCTTACATTTGGTTTTTCTGAACATCATGATCTTAGATGTCCTGCTACATTACTGGCAAATTCTCAGTCTCTTCTGTTTTCCATCTTATTTCAGGATTTGTTAATGTTGGAAGATCACAATAATCTGCCTTTAGACATTTTCTCTTATGAATTTTCACTTTTTCTTCTTGATCACATCTTTTTTCATTGTTTTAAATACTATCTATGCACTGATGACTCCTAGATGGCCCCAGGCCTTTTCTCTGGATTCCCGATTCACATATACAACTATCTATTGCCATATCCATTTGGATATCTTATTAAATATATCAAAAACTTAACATGTCTAAAATATCTTCCTTGCTGACTTTCCAAAACCTGGCTCTGTCCTTTGTCTTCCCCACTGCAGTTAATGGCAACTTTATTTTTTCTTCCTGTCCCACTTGAAGAAATTGGACCAATTATCTTACACCTCCTGAATTTGTCAGTGTTGTTAGCCTGTTTCTCTAGCCCGTATATTTCTTGTTAATTTTAAGTCTAAGAACTTGGTCAAATTCAAGTCGTGGTTAAAACTGAACACTGAGTTAAGGTAATGACCACCTGATACCTCCATTGTCTAACTGAAGAAAGTGAGCTAGCTGGTTTAACACTGTATTCGATTACTATTGCTGCTGTAACAAATTAACACAAACTTAGTGGTATAAAATGACAATAATCCATTATCATACAGTTTGGAGATCAGAATTCCAAATGAATCAGCAGAGCTAAGGGTCTAGGGGAGAATATATCCCTTGTATTTGCAGCTTCTAGAAGCTTCCCGCCTTCCTTGGCTCATGAACCTGCATCACTCTGACTTCTGCTCTTGTCGTCATACCTTTTACTCTATCTCACTTAACCTTCTTCTTATAAGTCCCCTTAAGTCTGCAAAGTCTCTTTCACCATGAAAGACAACTTTCATGCTTTAAGTGCATTATTTCAACAGGAGTCAGAGATTAGGATGTGAACATCTTTTGGAGGGGATGGAAGGCATTACACTGCCTGCCACAGGCACTACACAAATGTTCATCTCTCCATCAGTCTTTCAACCAGTGGTTTTAACACCATTGTTCATCATCGCTCAAGTCAATAATTCTAATAAAGATTGAAAAATAATAATTTTTTAAAGGGAGTCTATTTCTTAAACCTAAAATTCAAGTACCACAGCAAAGGCAGAAAAAAACATGCTTAAATATTTTCTTTTGATTTCCATTTTTTAAAGTAAAAAAGTTAAATAACAGCTTTGAATGCTGACAAATGAATTTCTTTGGTTTTCCTAATCATTCAGTCTCAATGATTTTTGCAGAATATAATTTCAACAATTGTAATATTCATCCTCTTATGCATATTGTCACAATTTTGGCCATTGGGAGTTCCTTTGAGCTGGCTCCTGTGTTCTTTGACATGACACTATCAATCTTTGAATCCTCTTTCATTTACAGTATAATTACATGCCCTAGGACCACCTTGTACTTTCCTTGACCCACATTTCAAATCAGCCATTTCTCCAAGGAGGGAAATAGTATTAGAGGACACAACCCTAGTGCTACAAATCATCATTGTTACTAGGGTGAAATTGCTTCTAAGCAATTTCAGTGGACAGAGATATATAAATTAATGACTTTATATTTGATATACAATACAATTTCAATATGTTTCCCTCCTTTTATTTTATTCTTGTATATATTCCAACTTACACGAAAGTATTTCTTTTTGTTGTTATATTAACATTTGTTTCATTCAACAGTATAAAGAGTATCAATATAAAAATAGCAATATTACCTTTTAAAAGTTAAACTACTATCCAATAAAGTTTTGTGTAGACATAGCCAAACTCATTCTAAAATTTATTGTAGAAAGGCACAGGACCTACACTAGCTTGAATAATTTTGAAAAATAAGCATAAAGTGGGAAGAATCACTTTACTCAAAACTAGGGCTAACTATATAGCTATAGTAATCGAAACAGCATGATATTGGCAGAGAAACAGACACACAGATCAATGAAACAGAATAGAAAACCCAAAAATAAAGCCACACAAATATATCCAACTGATTTTTGACAAAGGTACAAAGGTAATTCAATAGAGAAAGGCTAGTCTCTTATTGGAGCAATTGGACATTCATAGGTTTAAAAAAGCACAAAGAAAGTAGACATAAACCTCACACCTTATACAAAACTAAACTCAAAGTGAATCCCAGGTTTAAATTTAAAGTATAAAACTATAAAACTTTAGAAAATTAAATAAAATATTTAGTCCTTAGGGCTAAGAGTTCTTACATTTGACAATAAATTACAATTTATAAAAGAAAAAATGTATCACATCAAAATTTAAAACTTTTGCTTTCCAAAGATCCTGTAAAAAGGATAAAAAGATTAGTTACAAACAGAAAATATTTATAAACCATATATTCAACAAAGGACTTGTAGCTAGAATATATAAAGAACTCTCAAAACTCAACCATAAGGCCGGGCACAGTGGCTCACGCCTGTGATCCCAGCACTTTGGGAGGCCAAGGCGGGCGGATCACGAGGTCAGGAAATGGAGACCGTCCTGGCTAACACGGTGAAACCCCGTCTCTACTAAAAATACAAAAAAAAATTAGCCAGGTGTGGTGGCGGGCGCCTGTAGTCCCAGCTACTCAGGAGGCTGAGGCAGGAGAATGGCTTGAACCCGGGAGGCAGAGCTTGCAGTGAGCAGAGATCGTGCCACTGCACTCCAGCCTGGGTGACAGAGCAAGACTCTCTCTCAAAAACAACAAGAACAAAACAAAACAAAACAAAAAACTCAACGGTAAAATGCAAATAAAATAGTTGAGTTATAAAATGGGCAAAAGACATAAACAGACATTTACTGAAGAGGACGTATAGATGGCAAATGATCACATGAAAAGTTCAATATCATTAACCATTAGGGAAGTGCACATAAATCAACAAGCTACCTACCACTACACACCTAACAGAATGGTTAAAAATTAAATAAAAATAGTGATGAATATCTAATGCTAGAAAGAATGTGAGAAACTGGATCAATCATACATTATTAGTAGGAATATAAAATGATATAGCCAGTCTGGAAATGAGTATGGCAGTTTCTTATAAAACTAAACATATTTACCATATTGCCCAGTTGTATTCCTAGTTGTATTCCTGAAATTTATTCCAGAGAAATGAAAATGTACGTCTACCCCCAAACCTGCACATGAATGTTTATATCAGCTTTGTTTGTGAATCTAAAAAATAGAAACCATTTAGGTGTCCTTAAACAGGTGAATAGTTAAACTGTGGGACATCTATACTTTGAAATACTACTCAGCAATAAAAAGGAACTATTGATAACATGAAACAGTTTAGATAAAGTTCAAGGGAATTATGCCAAGTCTTGAAGTATTTCAAAAGTTTCATTTTATAAAACTATTATTTTTTGAGACGGAGTTTCACTCTTGTTGCCCAGGCTGGAGTGCAGTGGTACAGTCTTGGCTCACTGCAACCTCTGCCTCCTGGGTTCAAGCGATTCTCCTGCCTCAGGCTCCTGAGTAACTGGGATTACAGGTGAGTGTGCCACCACACCTGGCTAATTTTTGTATTTTTTTTTTTTTTTTTTTTTTTAGTAGAGATGGGGTTTCACTGTGTTGGCCAGGCTGGTCTCAAACTCCTGACCTCAGATAATCCACTCGCCTTGACCTCCCAAAGTGCAGGGATTACAGGCGTGAGCCACCACGCCCGGCCCGAAATTTTACATAACATTTTTGAAAGAACAAAATCACCGGGGCCTATTGTGGGGTAGGGGGAGGGGGGAGGGATAGCGTTAGGAGATATACCTAATGTTAAATGATGAGTTAATGGGTGCAGCACACCAACATGGCACATGTATACATATGTAACAAACCTGCACGTTGTGCACATGTACCCTAAAACTTAAAGTATTAAAAAAAAAAAAAGAACAAAATCAGAGATGGAGGACAGATTTGATGTCAAGGAAGGCAAATAATTTTGACTATAAGGAAGTAGAATAATTGAATCTCGTGATGAAACTCTTCTGTATCTTGACTGTGGTGGTCACATGAATGTACACATGATAAAATCACAGAATACACACACACACACACACACACATAAAACTGATGAAATTTGAGCAAAGTCAATAGATTGTATCAAAATCAATTTTCTGCTTGTGACATTGTTCTATAGTTAGGCAAAATATTACTGTGGAGGGAAACTACGTAAAGGAAGAATCTGTATTTCTTAGAAACTGCAAGTGAATCTACAATTATCACAAAACAAGAAATTTTAAAAGACTAAACAACCAAAAAAAGTTCGATTTATCTTTACAGTTCTTTTTATTCTTAGAATGCACCGCACTAAGCATACACAGTCAAAAGATATATATTCTAAAATCAGTTGAAATAAATCTTTTGTGGATTTATATTACCAACGCAATATCTAGCTGGATTTATTTGCTCATTTGTTCCCATTTGCTTTCAATATTAGGGATTTCTTACTAAATTGGGCTGTGTTTTCTCAACAGGTAGTGTGTTTACACGATTCAAGAGTTACAATATAAAGAGACACCTAGAAAAGTCTTGTTTCCCTTACCGCCTCCTCCTTTATTTGCCCTCTCAACCCCTTGTAGGTAAATACTTTTATTTTACAAACAAATCCTGAAAGTGTTTGTTTAGCATGCAAATAATTGCCTTATCTTACTAAAGAAATCAGCATATACTATGATGCATGTTGCTTGTTTTCCTCAGTATGTCTTAGAATAACAATATATTCTCTATCATAATACACAGAATATAGCTTCATTCTATTTTTTATTAATTTCAACTTTTATTTTAGATTTACGGTATACATGTGCAGGTTTGTTACCTGAGTATATTAAGTGATGCTGAGGTTTGGGTACGATTGATCCCATCACCCAGGTACTGAGGATAATATCCAATAGTTTTTCAACCTTTGCTCCCCATCTCCTTCCCCATTCTGTACTTTCCAGTGTCTATTGTTCTCATTTTTATGTCCGTGTGTACCCAACATTTTGCTCCCACTTCTGAGAACACTTGGCATTTGGTTTTCTGTTCCTGCATTAATTCACTTAGGATTATCACCTCCAGTTGCACTCCTGTTGCTGCAAAGGACACAGTTCATTCTTTACGTGGCTGTGCATCATTCTTTTCAAAAACTATTATATTCCACTGCATGGATATACCACAGGTTACTTAATTAGGTCTCTTTTGCTGGACACTCAGCTGTCAAGTAATACCACATAACCTAGTACATATGAAATTTCTTATTCAAGTATATCTATATAATGTATTTACAGAAATTTGATTGTTAGGTTTAAGGATTAAAGAATTTGTAATGTTCTTAGATAGTGCCAAATTTTCCTTCATAGGTATTGTACCATTTTGTACTCTTTCCAGAAATAACAAGTATCTCTCCAATAGAATTTTCAAACTTCTGTATTTTCCTCAATTTGATGGTTAGAAAATGGCTATTACCAGTTAATTTTTATTCATTTTATTGAGAGAAGTTGAATATCTTTTCAAATACTTAAATGCCATTCATAAACTTTCTGTGATTTGTCTTTTATGACTTTTGTTCTTTTTTTGGTTGGTTTTTTCTTTCTCTTCTCAATTTCTAAGAGTCACAAATATGTATATGTAGATATATAATTTACATATTACATATTTCAAACATATACTATACAAAATATGATTATGTATTTGCTATATATATATACTTATGTTTAATATATGTATGAATATATTGTGTGACATATATAATATATATTTATGTTACATATTATATATTCATAATATATTTGAAAATCCTATAAATTGAAGCTTATATATTGATATATATGATTATTCCTTTGTAACATGACTTGCAAAAAGATTCACACTCTATTGATTTTTGTCTTTATCTTGATTTTTGCCATGTAAAATTCGACTATATAAAATTATCAATATTTTATGTATTCTGGGTTTTGGATATAGGTCTTCATTTTAAGATTTGGTTTTATTTATTTTTGAGACATTGTTTCATTCTGTTGCTCAGACTGTAGTGCAGTGGTATGATCATGGCTCACTGTAGCCTCAACCTCCTGAGTTTGGCAATCCTCCCACCTCAGCCTCCTGAGTAGCTAGGACAACAGGCGTGTGCTACCATGCCCAGCTGATTTTTTGTATTTTTTTGTACAGATGAAGCCTCCTTTTGTGAACAAAGCTGGTTTCACACTCCTGGGCTCAGGCAATCCTCCTGCTTTGGCCTCCCAAAGTGCTAGGATTAGAGGTGTGAGCCACCACAGCAGGCTTGGTTTTGTTATTTAGATTTTTGGTCGGTTTTAACTAGTCTTGATGTATGACGTTAGGTATCAGTCCAATCTCATCATTTTCCAAGTGGTTATCCAGGTATCTCTGCATCATTTAAGTTCCATCTTTGCTTTTTAGAGTTGAGATACTACTTTTATCAGATACTAAATGTTCATGTGTATTTTTCCATTTATTAATCTGCTAACTTAATTATACTCTAAGGTTTCACTGCACATCTTAATATCCAATAGAACTTAATCGCACATACTTTTTTCATTCCAGTGTTTTCATGATTGTTCCTCCTAGTTTAGATGCATTTAAAGTTACCTTATGTGGCCAGGCACAGTGGCTTAGAGGCCTATAATCCCAGCATTTCGGGGAGAACAAGATGGGAGGATCACTTAAGCCCAGGAGTTTGAGACCAGCCTGGGTAACAAAGCAAGACCCCATTTCTAAAAAAAAAAAAAAAAAAAAAAAAAAAAAAAAAAATTAGCCAGGCATAGTAGCATGCACCTGTAGTCCAAACTACTCAGGAGACTGAGGTGGGAGGATGGCTTGAGCCCAGGGATTTGAGGCCATAGAAAGCTATGATCATACCACTGTACTCCAGCCTGGATGACAGAAGGAGACCCTGTCTCATTAAAAAAAAAAAAAAAAGAAAAAGAAAAGGTAAAAAAAAAAAAGTCGTATTTAGTTCAGTTCAGCAAAGAGGGGCAGGAATGAAGAGTTGGCATTTTTTTCTCTGAAATCTCATTAATTTATAAATGAATTTAGGGAGAATTGACATATTGACAATCTTCATATCTAAAAACATTGTACATTTTTCCACTTTATGGTTTATTTTTGTGTCGCAAAGACAAGAATCAACTAAAAAAACTATGTGTTTTACTATTTCTGTTGCTTTTATAAATGGGTTCTGTCTTCCATTTTATATGAAAGATTCTTCCCCTCTATTTACATATGTTTTGCTCACTGACATGTTCTCCAGAGCATATAACACCATGGACATGTATAGTAGGTGCTCAATAAGTGTTTGTTAAATGAATGAATAAAAAGATTTGTTCTGTGTATTTGAGGGATATATACAAGTACAGTGAAAATAAAAGGAATATCTAAATGCCAAGTTAATATATGAATTTGAAATGAACTCCATGTGCATAAATTCTGCCATTTGTATTCATATATTAGCTAACTTACATAAAACCTGTAATTTATATAACCTATAAAAAGGGTACTAAAGGTAAAGAGAATATTTTCTCATATCTTTC
This sequence comes from Homo sapiens, assembly GCF_000001405.40. Lineage (NCBI taxonomy): Eukaryota > Metazoa > Chordata > Mammalia > Primates > Hominidae > Homo > Homo sapiens. The sequence goes on from NC_000002.12 coordinate 183,738,584, forward strand.
ACGAGGTTCTTAATTCTACTATCAGGGCCATTTCATGGGCACTAAGATGAGCCCCGTGTTTGGTTGGATGTTCTGCTGTTTTGAAATTCTTAATTTTTGAACAAGAAGACCCATAAATTATGTGGTCAGTCCTGAGGATATGAAGTATAAACAGACCAAAGAAAATTTTAGGCATAATAGAGTCAGTTTAAATAAGAGGTAGAGGCAGCCAAGACAAGGCCACTCCTAGATACTACCACACGGTTGCCCCTCTACTCAGATGCTGTTAAAAAGAGGTTTAGACCAAGCCCTACTTTTTCACAGTATATCCTCTACCCCTTTTCTTTTTCTAACTACTCTCAGCCTTTGAAACACAGCTAAAATAACACCAATTCTGTAAAATCAGGTCTCCTAATAGTTCCCACTATACTTTGTTCAGAATTTTGAATATTCACCACATAATTTTCAAATATATCTTTTTATACATCTCTCTGGGCAAATTTTGGTGTTGGAATTATAGAGATCTTGGCTGAAATCCCAGCTCACTACTTTAAGTCTCTGGGTTTTTATCCATAGAATCAAGTTAGTAAATACCCACCTTCTTAGAGTTGTTTAGAGAATAAAATAAGAATATGCGTGATTTCAAGAAAGCATGTTCTACCCATTGTGTTGGTTCCCAGATAATAATTCCCCTAAGCTTCCTTTCTCTAGGAAAAAAATTATGTTGTATTGGCCTTTATATTCTTAGGACAGAGCAAAATATCTGACCTGTGGGAGTTCAAATGTTTATGGAATGCCCAAATGTATGAATGATCTAGTCTCATGCATCAGAGACATAGAATGACCTCTGGCTCCCCAATCTGAAGCTTTTCCCTGGTTGGAATTGCACTGTCTCATGGGTCTTTGGCTCCCAGAAGTAATAAACCATGCTTTACTTGACTGGTCTCGATAGCCAAAGTGTTCGCGGCTCTAATGCTGCCTAATTTCATTTTTATTCAGCAATTCTTCTCAGAGGCTTTCCCAGAAGACCATGAATAAACTATTCCAGGTGCCTCTCCTTCTCCATCCATTGACCTGGCCAAGTACAGAGACTTCCGCTGCTGGGATTTCAGCAAGAACCAAGTCATCACTTGAAAAGCTATTTGCTCTGAAATAAACCACAACTTTGTGTGCAAATGGAAGATGCTGTTTCTCTAAACTTTAATCATTTAGCTTCCAATAGCATTTACAAAGTCTATCAATCACAGTCACAAATTAAGCTGCACTTTTAAAGTAACCCAAGGAATGTTAAACAAGCAAGCTGGCCTTCTGCGGTCACTTTTTCCCTTGGAATAATTGCACATTTGAGACACAGCATGAAAGGACTAAAATTCAAGGCAAAGGATTTGAGCAGAGGATCACTGTGGAATAGTAGTATAAGATCACTAAGATACATTTATATTTGATACATTATTAAGTTTTGAAACTTTGAAGGGTAATCTATTAAAGAAGTAAAATCTTAAGTTGAACTTGGTGGAGAAGGGAACACGGTCAGGAGGAAGGCAAAGAGAAGCAGAGAGTCTGGAGAAGTAATAAAAAAGAAGTAGGATGGGCAACAATTTCCAGGAAGAATTAAAGAGGAAATGTGGCTCAAGTATCACAATTCCCTGAGAAGAAGTCTTCATCATAGAAGGAGGGGAAGAAAAGGTTAAATATACACAGGAGTGGGTTGGGCCAACCCATCTGCTGAGTCTGACAGTGTATAAAAGTGGCTTGCTCCAGCATTGCATCAACATTATCGTGTGGGAAAGTGAGAGTTGGAGTGTGGTAGAGGCATTATGAATCACCTGCTTAGACCTACTTCTCAAAATTGTTGCTTGGAAATTATCTCTTACCCAAATAGAGGTACAATGGCGGCAACAGTAGCAGTGACTCAGGAATGTCACTGAACAGAATGTGTGTAAGTTCCTCAAGATAGTAGTTAGGCAGAGAGCCAGGCACAGCCACCCAGCTAGCCAAAAAGGAATAGAGGGAAGAGAGTGGCTGTGAAACATTCCAGGAGCCACTTTCCAGCCTTTGAAAATTAGGGGAAGGAAAAAAAAAATCAAAAGAGTTTTACACATGATGCGACCATTTTCCATTCTCACTACATTCCTAGGCCAGTGATCTACTAAACTATCAATGAAAGTCAGTATTTTAAGAATTCTCTGTAAATTTCTAGATATACAATCATGTCATCTGCAAACAGGGACAATTTGACTTCCTCTTTTCCTAATTGAATACCCTTTATTTCCTTCTCCTGCCTAATTGCCCTGGCCAGAACTTCCAACACTATGCTGAACAGGAGTGGTGAGAGAGGGCATCCCTGTCTTGTGCCAGTTTTCAAAGGGAATGCTTCCAGTTTTTGCCCATTCAGTACGATATTGGCTGTGGATTTGTCATAGATAGCTCTTATTATTTTGAGATACGTCCCATCAATACCTTATTGAGAGTTTTTAGCATGAAGGGTTGTTGAATTTTGTCAAAGGCCTTTTCTGCATCTGTTGAGATAATCGTGTGGTTTTTGTCTTTGGTTCTGTTTATATGCTGGATTACGTTTATTGATTTTTGTATATTTAATCCGCCTTGCATCCCAGGGATGAAGCCCACTTGATCATGGTGGATAAGGTTTTTGATGTGCTGCTGGATTCAGTTTGCCAGTATTTTATCGTCTCAGCCCCAAATCTCCTTAAGCTGATAAGCAACTTCAGCAAAGTCTCAGGATACAAAATCAATGTACAAAAATCACAAGCATTCTTATACACCAATAACAGACAAACAGAGAGCCAAATCATGAGTGAACTCCCATTCACAATTGCTTCAAAGAGAATAAAATACTTAGGAATCCAACCTACAAGGGACGTGAAGGACCTCTTCAAGGAGAACTATAAACCACTGCTCAAGGAAATAAAAGAGGATACAAACAAATGGAAGAACATTCCATGCTCATGGGTAGGAAGAATCAATATCATGAAAATGGCCATACTGCCCAAGGTAATTTATAGATTCAATGCCATCCCCATCAAGCTATCAATGACTTTCTTCACACAATTGGAAAAAACTACCTTAAAGTTCATATGGAACCAAAAAAGAGCCCGCATCACCAAGTCAATCCTAAGCCAAAAGAACAAAGCTGGAGGCATCATGCTACCTGACTTCAAACTATACTACAAGGGTACAGTAACCAAAACAGCATGGTACTGGTACCAAAACAGAGATATAGATCAATGGAACAGAACAGAGCCCTCAGAAATAATGCCCCATATCTACAACTATCTGATCTTTGACAAACCTGAGAAAAACAACCAATGGGGAAAGGATTCCCTATTTAATAAATGATGCTGGGAAAACTGGCTAGCCATATGTAGAAAGCTGAAACTGGATCCCTTCCTTAAACCTTATACAAAAATTAATTCATGATGGATTAAAGACTTAAACGTTAGACCTAAAACCATAAAAACCCTAGAAGAAAACCTAGGCATTACCATTCAGGACATAGGCATGGGCAAGGACTTCATGTCTAAAACACCAAAAGCAATGGCAACAAAAGCCAAAATTGACAAATGGGATCTCATTAAACTAAAGAGCTTCTGCACAGCAAAAGAAACTACCATCAGAGTGAAGAGGCAACCTACAAAATGGGAGAAAATTTTCGCAACCTACTCCTCTGACAAAGGGCTAATATCCAGAATCTACAATGAGCTCAAACAAATTTACAAGAAAAAAACAAACCCATCAACAAGTGGGCGAAGGATATGAACAGACACTTCTCAAAAGAAGACATTTATGCAGCCAAAAAACACATGAAAAAATGCTCACCATCACTTGCCATCAGAGAAATGCAAATCAAAACCACAATGAGATACCGTCTCACACCAGTTAGAATGGCAATCATTAAAAAGTCAGGAAACAACAGGTGCTGGAGAGGATGTGGAGAAATAGGAACACTTTTAAACTGTTGGTGGGACTGTAAACTAGTTCAACCATTGTGGAAGTCAGTGTGGTGATTCCTCAGGGATCTAGAACTGGAAATACCATTTGACCCAGCCATCCCATTACTGGGTGTATACCCAAAGGACTATAAATCATGCTGCTATAAAGACACATGCACATGTATGTTTATTGCGGCACTATTCACAATAGCAAAGACATGGAACCAACACAAATGTCCAACAATGATAGACTGGATTAAGAAAATGTGGCACACATACACCATGGAATACTATGCAGCCATAAAAAATGATGAGTTCATGTCCTTTGTAGGGACATGGATGGAATTGGAAATCATCATTCTCAGTAAACTATCGCAAGAACAAAAAACCAAACACCGCACATTCTCACTCATAGGTGGGAATTGAACAATGAGAACACATGGACACAGGAAGGGGAACATGAAACTCTGGGGACTGTTGTGGGGTGGGAGGAGGGGGGAGGGGGGAGGGATAGCTTTAGGAGATATACCTAATGCTAAATGATGAGTTAATGGGTGCAGCACACCAGCATGGCACATGTATACATATGTAACTAACCTGCACATTTTGCACATGTACCCTAAAACTTAAAGTATAATAAAATAAAATAAAAGAATTCTCTGTAATTTTGCAGCATGAGTAGATAATTTCCTAGTTGGTGGCAAGTGGATCTGAGTTTGAATTATACTTCTGCCATTTACTGGCTATGTGGCGATGGCCAAATGACTTAAGGTTCTAAAGGATCCATTCCCTATTTATAATAGGGGAATAACAACACTGATTCACTGTATTGTTGGGAGAATTAATTCTTCACAAAAAGAATATCTGACACATGATAAAAACTCACTACATGTTATAGGTCTTGTACCACATTCTTTAAATTCTTTCATGATTAAAAAAAGTCTTAGTCTTTTTTGCCTTAAAAAAATGAACTTTGGCCTCAATGTTAAAATAAATAAAGACTGAATATTTAAAAGTTAATATAATAAAGACTAGAATATTAAGGTACCTAAGCAAGAAAATAAAACAATATTGAAATCTATCACAGTCAGAATGCTATGGACAAGAAGTCTCAGACAGATTGTTGGTAATTATTTCCTCTGTCAACTTCAGAGGTAGAGTTGAGTAGGGATGAATTTGAATGATACAAAATTTTATTTCGGGTCCTCCAAAGAATTATAAGTTTGAATAGTTTTAACATCAATTCAGAATATTTCTGCATGAAATTCTGCTTTACATTTCATTAAATAAGTGAGGAAAGATATTTGGACAGGGTCTTGAACACAAGGCCAAGGAACTCTAATTTTAGTTGATAGAATACAAGAACCAGCAAGGACTTTAAATAAAATTATTAGAAGTATACTTTATGATATTATTGAGAGTATAGAGAGTATATATATTGAAGAGAAAATTTGCTTTACTCAAAAACAGCATTCAGTTGGCACAAAATATATGAACCAAGGCATAGGACAGGTTGGAAGGACAGAGGCAGATTGAATGTCATCACAATGAGATAATCTTTCAAGAGCAAAGAGGTCAAAGATGAAGCTAATTTCTTAAGAACAATAAAGATTTTGAACAGCCTCTGTGGAGTGGTGTTATAAAGATCCATCAATATAGCAATAGAGAAGTGATAATCTGTAACAAAGGATCAGTTTGTAGGAACTCACTCTGCACAATTAGGACTTCTCCAAGCAATAGTCAACTGATATACAGCAGGTAAGTAGGGCAATTGAGCATTGAACAATCAAGATAGAAACAACATAAAATCAAGAGTATGAAGAGCCTGTAAATAGTTGCAAGGGAAATGTTGAAACTACCTTAATGTTATACTATAATTATTAATGTTCATGAATAAAAAAATTGAATATCTTTTCTCTTAAAATAACTTTGGTGTAGGAAGAACATACAAATGATATGTAGTTTTAAGTGAAGTGGTTCTTTATTTAAATAACAAGAAGTATGATGTCTATGCTAAGAATATTATGATTCTTTATTTAAATAAAGCATGATGGGTAGAGAAACAAAAGAACACCCACAAAAAATCCTGAAGCTTTATTGAATTTTTCTCCTAAAGCTTACAGAGGACATAGTAATTATCCTGTGAAATTCCCTGCTTTGGTGTAGAGATAGTAAGACTAATGTGGCTCAAGGTAGTATTGGGATATACCACCTTGTAAAATAAAGACTAGAGTAGGGATTGTAAGGAGAGGAGGAGAGCAGCATTTATTGAAAATCTACTGTCTTCAAAAGTTCTAAAGTGCTTCATATTTGCATTTTTATCTTTCACATGTTGACCCTTTGCAGTAGGTATTATTAACCCCACTCTAGAAATGAGAAAACTAATGTTCAATGAGGTAAATTCACTGACTAAAGTCACTCAGCTGGTGGATAGCAAAAGAGCCAGAGTTATAACCCAGATGTGTTTATATGGAGCCAAACTCCATATTCTTTCCACGATGATATTCAATCCCATGTGAATATTGCCTTGTGGAAAATGATGGAAAAGAGATCAATATGACCATTGTCATTTTCAATATACTGTATTTAAAACAAATCTTAACATGCTTTCCTCTCTAGCTTACAACAGTTATAACAGATAAGTGACTAAAAATAGCTTCTCTTTTCAAATGTGTCATTTTTATCCTTTTATGGATTGTATGTTAAAGATATACCAAACTGTGCAATAACAAGTTTTTCTGAGATGTCCAGCCCAATAACCTATTACCGTTCTAATGTTTATTTTTAAAGTAATAAAGAAACTCTAAAATCAAGAAAACCACTTATGGGTTGTTTTGGCATGGGGTGGTTAAATACATTCTTATTTTTGTTGCTAAAAAATAAATTTAAAATTCCAAATGCATAGCTCTGTGTAGGATGTATAATTGAGTACATTAGTGAAAATTTCAGCAACACTATGCCAAAGTTATTTTTACAGAATTACTGAATTTATATAAAATGATGTCAATATAAATAAGTTTGACCAGTGGAATTAAAAAATTCCTCATGTAGAGAAATGGCTGGACTATTTATATACAATATACAACTACTCCTTCATAATTTTTTAAATTCTTATAAAAACTAATTTATGTCATTTAGTTTTCTACATTTTACTTTTTTCATTAGACAGGGAAGTTTCAACCCAACATGTTATTTGCAAAGAAAATAATTAGGCTTGTGTAGAACACTATTATGTTTCTTAAAAGGTTTTTTGTCCTTTTAGAGAAGAAAATAACATTTTCTTGTAACGTTCTTTTAAATTCACTGAAAAAGAAGATCTATCCTGAAATTTAAACACTAAGTCATCCTTAAGAAAACGCTTGTCTGATTTAATAACAATGATTAGGAAATTATTCAGTCTCCAGTATTTTTGAAATGTTGGCCTTTTACCTATATTTTTATGCCGTACTTTAATTCTGTTAATAAATTATATTAACAAAAGCTTTAGAAAATACCTAAAATATAGAACATGTTATTAGATTTTGTTCCTCTGCTTTCAGATATTTGGGACAGGGGATCATAATAGCTCATTAAATCTACTTATTTATCTGAGAAGTAAAATTCCTCTGGAAGTTATCTTTACCTAAGAGCAAATATATTCAAGTCACAGGGAATTTGGTCCTCTTATTCTGTAGGTATGATTGTTAAAATGAGCCAACCCTCTATAAGGGCAAGTAATGACAGCTCTCAAGTTTTTATATATGTCTTCCACTTTTGACCCAGTAATTATACTCCTAGGAATTTAGCCTATAGAGATGCACACAAGCACTTAAAATATATGTGAAAGACAATTATAATTGTAAAAGTCTAATTGAACAGCAGTTATAGATTGAATAAATTGTGTTTAAACAATTAAATGCTGTGAATCCTTTAAAAGGTGAAGCTAGAACTATATGTATTGACATGAACCGAAGTATACAACATATTGTTGAGTGAAAGAAGCAAGTTACAGAGTAGCATGTATATTGCAGTCCTACATATGTTTTATTATATAGTCTGGAAAATACAGTTCAAATTTTTAGTAGAGGCTATCTCTGTTTCCCACCTGCAATTTCACTGTGAATTTTTTCCATTTACATACTTCTATATTGCACTAGTTACAACAGGTACATATTGCTTTTTTTTTTTTTTTTTTTTTTTAATTTTTTTGAGACAGAGTCTCTCTCTGTCGCCCAGGCTGGAGTGCAGTGGCGTGATCTCGGCTCACTGCAAGCTCCGCCTCCTGGGTTCACGCCATTCTCCTGCCTCAGCCTCCCAAGTAGCTGGGACCACAGACGCCAGCCACTACACCCGGCTAATTTTTTTGTATTTTTAGTAGAGACGGGGTTTCACCGTGTTAGCCAGGATGGTCTCAATCTCCTGACCTCGTGATCTGCCCCAGCTCAGCCTCCCAAAGTTGCTTTTATTTTTTAAACCACCCCTATTTAATTCAATTACTTTTAAAGGAGGCAATCTACTGCAATATAATCTATCACTGTTATTATGGATCTAAAATACCTTAAGGAAAAAAAATCTCATAAGCTGTCTTATGATTTCATTTTGTGTCTCAATTCCCAAGGCCTCCAATATGTAATCCTTCTGCCAGCTGCAGCATCTTTGTTTGGGAGTTGGATAGTTCCTACGGCGGTCTCTGGTTAAGGTCCTGGCTATTGCTGCGTTAGTTCCTGCCTGTTTCAAACCTCCTTCTCCCATATCCTCAGAGTTTACATGAGCTCTCCAACATCCTTTACCAAATTCTTTTTAGTCCTGCTGAGTTTCTGTTGCTTGCACCTAAAAACCTACTACACTTTGTCTTCAGAAGCACCGTGATGGTAGAAAAAAATAGTTCTCTAATTCCTCTCATCTCTCCTCAGATTCTGAAAAGAGATGCCCCAATCAACAAAAAAGATAATTACGATTGTTTTCAAAGGTTTTGCTTGGAGATACTTAATTCTATTGCTATTCTTCCTGCCCATCTTAACACAGCTCAAGTTCCCAGAGAAGAGAAATAATTAGCTATGGTATTCTACTCTAAAGGACTTTGCTGCTATACTCACCTCTATTTCCCACAGAAACTCTACTACTTAAGCAACACCTCTAGGTCACCGAGGTCGCAGGGAAGTCACGGGTTGAAATTAGAATGTTGCTGCTTAGAGACTGTCTTAGTATCTCATTCATTTTACATGTAAGCAACACTCTATTCCACATCCATATTAAGTTTCACCAAATTTATTCTTCTTTAACCTGTTACTATTCCTTAAGTATAACACAGATCACTATATTACAATAAAACTCCAAATGCCAACCACCATTCAATTAAACATTTTCTTGATACTTCTTTCCTAAAAATGTTCTTCTTCTACAACTTCTCTTTTATGCTCCCTTAGGTTCTCATATCATTCTTCTTAGACATGCAAGGAAAAGCAACCAATTAAAAATATAAAACCAAAAAGGAAATATTTACATTCATTCAGATATTTATTGAACACCTACCATGTGTCATTCTTCTAGATGGTTAGTGGACATCAGTGAGGAAAAGGCTATTTGTCTCAATAGTCTATATAAAACACTCCCCAAACTATTTAACTTTATTTTTCTCTAATTTTTACTCTGCATCTATCCAAGACCCCAAGATTTCTATCATGGTACAAAAATAGCTGTTGACAAATATTGAGAACCTGCCACTTTTCAGATACTTGGTTAGATATTTTGCTAATATCCAAATCATTGGGAAAACTTCCTGAAAGACAATAGGTAACATTTACTATTTGTTTTACAGGTGAAGAAATGGGGACAAGAGACATTGATTTTTTCAGCGCAACTCCACTGTTGGTGAAAAAACCTTTCAGAGAATTTAATAGATTGCTGGTTTTCCTAATAAATATGCCCTTATGGAAATATTTAAGTTATAGGCAGGCATGCTTATGAAGACTTCCCCATGACCTTAATACAAATTTTTCAGAATATAAATATAACTGGAATTAAAATACATCTATTATAGTATGATATGTAAAACACTGCCTGTTTTTTTCATGCATGTATCTTAATACCTTTAAGGTATCCATTCAGCATTGCCTCAAGAAAGGGAGGATATCAAGGTTAGAAAGAGAAAAAAAATACTCCATTTCTTGGTTTTAACGTTTTAAACAAGAAATCTAATTTTAAGACTGACATTTAGGGAAAATTTTTTGATAAGCAAGTCCTGTAGACTGATTATTTGTGCTCCCTCTCAATATTCCTATCATGAAATCCTAACCCCCAAGGTGATGGTATTATAAGGTGCAACCTTTGGCAGGTGATTGGGTCATGGTTCTTTAAGAGAAAGCCCATCCACGTTCCCTAGACTACAATAACACAAAGAAGAACAGAGATGATTGAAATTGGTGTTAGTAGCAGAAAAGTCCTGAGAGATGCAAGCCCATAGCACAAATCCAGAAAAGGTACAGGGGACTAGCTTAACCTGAGCTATACTTTTAAGCAGGGTGAGAATGTTCCCACAGAGAAAGGTGGCAGGCAGAGAGGGCATTATGGATTGCAACTACAGTAGACAACAATGACAGGACAATAGCAAGGCCATAGATACACAAAAGCAAAGGCAGATATACAAAAGCAAAAGCAAAACCAAAAAAAAAAAAAAAAAAAAAAGAAAAAAAGCAAGGCCATAGATATACAATAGATATACAAATAGTATGTAAAGACACTTACATACTATTAAGTAAATGTCGTGACTGGCCAATTGTGCGTATCAGAAAGAAGCAGGAAAGGAAGGAAATGGATGCCTCCTCCCCACTAACATTGCAGGACCAGTTCCCTGCAAAATCAACCCCAAGGTTGGGGAGCATTGCAGAAATCTTGAATGTGCTTGACTTATAAACCTGAAATGACTGAGCAGTAACTGACTGACCTCATTTACACCCCAAAAGATGAAAACTCGTTAATATAACATGACTGTTCTTATCCAGAAGAGACCAGACTAATTTTTCTGTTTTTGGGAAGGCAAAAATGAAGATTCAGAATAGAAATTAATTTCAGCTATGGGAAAATAAACTTACAATTTTGCCAAGCAAGATTTTCACGTAAATATCAAGCCCACAACGTTTAGAATCATGTAGACACTGAAACATCAGATTCTACTTGATTCCAAGTCTGTTCATTTCCATCACAACCCCCATGGCAATTAGATTGTGTCATGATCATCATCCCTTTCTCTGTTACATACTATTCATCACAGGGATCCAAAATTCTTGAACTATGTTCTGTACTCCCTGAGTTTCTTGAAATTTGTTGACAAGTCCCAGTCTAAGTGGAAGAAAAAAAAAAGGGACAAATCAAAGTGTATTTCCTTTGAAAAATCCCAGTTTTCACTCCTGTAGTACATTTTTAAAATACATAAAATGGAGATGGAGTCTCAATATGTTGCCCAAGCCAAGTCTTGAACCCTTGGACTCAAGCAATCCTCCCACCTTGGCCTTCCAAAGTGTTGGGATTACAGGCATGAGCCACCACTCTTGGCCTCTTTCTGTACTACTTTTAATTGTTTGGTAAAGAATCACTTCTAATCCTTCCTTCAGTCTGTCTTACCAGTGTATTCACTGGCCAACCTCTTAGGTCCCACCCCCATGATCCCTATATTATACAGCATATTTGCTAATGGCAGAAACAAACTGGATTTCAGGGTCAAATAACTTTCCCATCACATGACCCAGTCAAGATTCTCGTCCCCATCAGATCATAATAAAATTATTCAAATATCACTTACCTTTTCATTTAAAATGTCACCATTATCCATACTATGGGAATATGTATGTAAATCCATGAAGCCACAAATATTGTTTATCTTCTTTCCTGCTAGCCTCTCTTGATTTACTGGTCACCTCTCCACTATTTTTACTCTTCCTAAGTCAGCTTGTTTCCCTCCATAGGGTATAATTTAACAGCTTGTTTGGTTCTTTTTCTCTACCCACTAATATATCAATGCCTTCTTGTTCTGGTCAGCAAATCTTCTGCCAAGTATGTTCTCCCCACTCTTCATTAGATGTACTTTCTTTTGCCAGGAGCATTAGTTTAGAATCATGCATCGTGGTCCAGAAAACTAAATTCTGTTCTTTGACATCATATACAGAGCCAGCTGTTCACTTCTCAGTTCCTTCTTTATCTTCCAAAGTTATGACCTTGGATTAGAAGAAATTAAACCACCACCTGCATCCCTAAGACCTTCAGTTTCTTGCTCAGGTTTCTAAATACTCCATGCATAATTTTTACAAGCCTTTTGTTTGCATTCATATTTTCAACTGAACTACTGAAATGTCTAATTAGAAAGCATACCTGTGTGAAGATATCAAAAATGCTAAGTGACTTCCTATGGATTAAGTAATGTTTTCTCATCATGTAGTCTTCAGTATCATTAATGAATATTGTCATATATTAATCCTTATTTTGTCTACACTAATTTCACTTTCTACAGTGAATCATTTCAGTGTAACACTAGAAATACATGAGGCTAGATGTTTCAATTTAAAAATTTCTCTTAAAAATTTTTGTAATTATATTCTTGTAAGAATTCTGAAGAACTAATTTTGCAATAGTTTAACATTCGGGACTCAATCGTCAACATGTTAATCTTCTCTATTTAAAGACTATCTCTTATGTTCACTAATTGTATGCCTTTATTTAAGCTATGGATTTCCGCACAGTTGAGATGAAAAGTCTTATTAAAATATTAAAAAGCAATAAAAGCTTAACTCAACTATTATTGAATTAAGCTAAGAACGAGGGTTGTAATCTATTTTATCTTTTTTAAAATACCAAAGACTTTTTCTACAACTTAAAGAAATATGTATTCAGGGAAAAAGACAATCATTTATTTGAAAAATGAAACTTAAAATGAACTCACAATTATTTTCAACAACATGTTTTTCTGTTTTTGGTCCTCTCTTGTGTTGACACTATGGCATGGAACAATGTAACTTACAGATGGGATTTTAAGTTAAATTGTAGGTCAAGGCACTTGAGAAGATTTACTGCTCATGCACAAATGCTCTCCCCCTTATTATTGAATTAGTATATTCAGTTGCTCTGACCATGTGAAAATGAATGTAATCCTGAACTCTTTTCATGTAATCCCAACATCACAGCACCCATGAATTCAGACAAGTCATCAGGACAGTTTCTGTTTCCTCATCGCTTTGTAAGCATTCATGAATTTGTGGATGTGTGAAGTGAGTTCTAATCCTCTAGCCAGAATAGGGTAAAGGTTTTATCTTTCCAGTAAGGGCTCCATATCTATCTATCTCCCTCCTATCACTCTAGCACCCTGTACTCTTTGGGGCACTCTTTCTATTAGCAGATAGAGCCTTATCAATGTTCTCGGGACTTCATCTGATCCTGTTCTACATGAGAATCATCTGGGAAGCTTAGACAATAGGTACTGTCTTGCCTCCATCCCAGAGCAATTAAGTTGGAATCTCTAGGGGTAGAGCACAGTTGTTCACATTTATTACTCCCAGGTGATTCTAATGTGCCATCAAGGTGGAAAACTTTGCTATAGATGTTGAGGCAGTGATACTCAACGTTAGCTGCAAAGTGGAATCACCTGGGGATTTTTGTTTGTTTGTTTGTTATAGAATTCCCACAGCCCAGACTAGTTATATCAGCATATCTGGGAGCGAGACTAAGGCATCAGTTTTTTTAAGAAAACCTCCCCAGGTAAATCCAAGCAAAGCTGAAAACCATTGAGGCAGGCAGTGATTCCACTGAACTTTTAACATTCACTCTCGTAACACCACCCACAAATGTTTTCTTTCTACTCTCCACTGACAGATACAGATCTTATCCTATTTTCTTTACTCCCACTTCTGTCCTCACCACACATATACACAGACACACACAAGTGGTATTTCCATGAGCTGCAGACTTTATTGAAGGTTTGGAACAAAGGAAGAAATTTATATTTGAGAAAAAAATCCTGCTATTTATTATTAGATATCCTCTGCCTCAAAGTTTTTGGCCACCCTACCATCTGCCTGTTTTAAATGCTAAAGGTAACTTTACCTATCAGATCCACTCACATTTTTATATAGGGAAACGTAGCCCTCCCCCACACTGGCAAACATTACATACCCAAACATCTTTGGGTTACACTATTTTCTTTCTTTCTCACTACCAGTCTCTAAGTATAAAAGAACACCATTAAAAGTCATAAAGAATACTATAAAATTCCGTCACCCGCCCTACACACAGCTAGCCTGAAGGAGGCAGAGATGTTAAAGTCAACTTTAAGTTGACTTTTTTTTTCTGAACAGGTACACAAATAACTGCTACATGAATGAAAGTAATTATACAATGAGAATTGTGACTTTTTTTCTGAACAGGTACACAAATAACTGCTACATGAATGAAAGTAATTATACTATGAAAATTAGACAATTCTCAATTGAACTCTCAAAGTAAATCAGTGGAAACCTTAAACAAACCTTTATAAACACTTGCTTATAAAAAGTCAAAGGACACACAAATTCAGATTCCCCAATAAGTAGACTTTCCTGAAGCAAAAGTTAGAAAAATGGTCTGTGAAGGAAATAAAATACCAACTAAGAAGCTCTTCATTTCCAATTTTCTATTTTTAGATCATTCAATTTGAGCCTATTATCTCTGCCATACTGTTTGTTCTCATTAATTTTCATTTGTGTTTTTAATATTGTTTATACATTTGTTATGCCTTCTCCAGCATCTTAGATTGCCCATTTATTATTTCTATTTCCCACTAATTCTCAAATTACTTCCCAATTAATTACATACACAAATAATTGTTTTTAAACTTAATAAATGCTCTATTAATGAAGCTTTGGGAAAATAACGTTATGAATTTTTATGTTAACTTTTGAGGAAGAACATTGTTGCTTAATGAGATCACAGTAATAGCTATGAACTAAACCCAACTATTACTCAATAGTGCTGTTTTAAATCACACCAAATTTCAAAGGCATACAACAATAATGAAAATTAATTTCACAAATATGCATCAACTGGAATTAGGCTAGGATCAGGCTGGGATGGACTGTGATTGGCTCTAGATCAAGGTGTGACCAGTATGCTCCCACAGTGGCTACCCAAGCCATGTTCTTCTTATGATAGGCGTTCGAAAGAACAAGCCCAACACACAAATACATATCAAGTCTTGGGTCACATCACATCTACTAACATCCTGTTGGCTAAAGCAAGTCATATGGTCAAGTCCAAAGTCAAGAAACTGAAAATATAAACTGCTCAGCATGAGATCATAATAGATATTTAATATTACTATAGGGAACAATTTTTTTTTTTTTTTTTTTTTTTTTTTTTTTAGAGTCAGGCTCTATAACACAGGCTAGGGTGCAGTGGTGCAATCATAGCTCACTGTAACCTTGAACTCCTGGGGCTCAAGCGATCCTCCTGCCTCAGTCTTCTGACTAGCTAGGACTATAGGCATGCATCACCATGCCCAGCTAATTTAATTTTATGTAGAGATGGGAGTCTGTCATGTTGCCCAGGCTGGTGTTGAACTCCTAACCTCAAGCAATTCTCCCACCTCAGCTTCCCAAAGTGCTAGAATTACAGGTGTGAACCACCATGTCAGCCAAGAACAATTTAATTTACCATATTATCCTAGAAATACCATTTCTGGAACATACATGATAGGGTGTTAATATTTCTGTCCATATTTCTAAACTCAGTAATAACCTTGAGTCTTTCTCTCTACCTCCTTTATTCTTCTTTGAAGTTAAAGAAATATCTCAAATGCCAGAGACAATGGACTATGGTATTAAATAGTTTTGGCTCTGGGGTCACACCCCCTGAGTTTTTATCCTTGCTTAACTATCTCTTAGATGTATAACTTCAGACAACTTAACCTTTCTGTGCCTTAACTTTCTTATCTCTAAAAGTGGGGATAATACTACAAGCTACCTCATAGTGTTGTTATGAGAATTAGCTGAAATAACCCAGGTTAAGCCCTTAGAAGACTACTAGTGAATGGGAAGTACTCAATAAAAGTTAGCTAGCTAATGGAAGGAGAAAGGAGTCATCAGTAGAGTTGGACCAAGGTTAAATGTTTTCATCTCCCTTCATTTTATCCCTGAAGCCTTTTGGTAAAGAGGAAGTCAAACTTTCATCCTTTTTCTTCCTACATGGCTATTCTGACAATTACCCTGTGCTGGTCAAAGAAAGCCCCACCCCAGGAAAGAAAACTTGGTGTAGGCTTCTTAAGTAGCTGTTTTTCTTAAAAAAAAAAAAAAAAAAAAAAAATACAAAAGAAATTCCTTTGTTTCATGATCCTTTCTCTAGCTGAGGATGCATGAAAAATATTTGCTACATAATTTCTACATTAGTATAAGAGCATAATTTGAGTGCTTACATTGAGCCAAGTAACTTTGCTAAGCATTTTGCATATTAACATTAGGTTGATGCAAAAGTAATTGAAATAAAAGTAATGGCAAAAATCACATTCTCCCAAAGTTCCTAGGAAATGAATAACATTTTTATCCTCATTTACAAATGAAGACAACTGAAACTTAATTTGCCAAAGCACTCAGAGGTAGCAAAAGACTAAATTTGCATCGAAAATGAGCCTGTAGAAAGGACATACACACACATAAAAAACTACAGACCAATATCCCAGATTAACATAGATACAAAAATCCTTAACAAAATACTAGCTACCCAAATCCAATAGTATATCAAAAAGATAATACATCATGATCAAGTGGGTTTCATACCAAGGATGCAGGGATGGTTTAACATAGCAAGTCAATAAATGTGAGACGCCACATAAACAGAAAAATAAGAATAACATGATCATTTCAATAAATGCAGAAAAAGCATTTGATAAAATCCAGCATCGCTTTATGATTAAAACCCTCAGCAAAATCAGCACAAAAGGGACATACCTCAAGGTAATAAATGCCATCTATGAAAAACCCACAGCCAACACCATACTAAAGCAGGGAAGTTGAAAGCATTCCCCTAAGAACTAGAACAAGACAAGGATGCCCACATTCACCACTTCTCTTCAACATAATACTGGAAGTCCCAGCCAGAGAAATCAGACAAGAGAAAGAAAGGTCATCCAAACTGGTAAAGAGGAAGTCAAACTTTCATTTTCACCAATGATATGATCATATACCTAGAAAACCCTAAAGAATCATCCAAAAAGCTCCTAGATCTGACAATTGAATTCAGTAAAGTTTCAGGATAAAAAATTAATGTACACAAATCAGTAGCACTGCTATATACCAACAATGACCAAGTTGAGAATCAAATCAAGAACTCTATCCCTTTTACAACAACTGAAAAAGTAAAGTATGTAGGAATATACTTAACCAAGGGGGTGAAAGATCTCTACAAGGAAAGCTACAAAATGCTGCTGAAAGAAATCAGATGACACAAACAAGTGGAAACACATCCCAATGTCTTGGGTGGGTAGAATTTTACGAAAATGACCATATTATGAAAAGCAATCCAATTCCCATCAAAATACCATCACCATTCTTCACAGAAGCACAAAAAAATCCCCAAATTCACGTGGAACCCAAAAAGAGCGCACATAGCCAAAGCCAGACTAAGCAAAAAGAACAAATTGCGGCATCTCAATACCCACCTTCCCACTATACTACAAGGCTATAGTTACCAAAACAGCATGGTACTGATATGAAAATAGGCACACAGACCAATGGAACAGAATAGAGAGCCCAAACAAAGAGAGAATGTTTTTCTCTATTTTGTCAACTCATCTTTGACAAAGTAAACAAAAACATGAAGTGGGGAGAAGACACCCTATTCAAAAAATGGTGCTATTACAATTGGCAAGCCACATGTAGAAGAATGAAACTGGATCCTCATCTCTCACCTTCAAAAATCAACTCGAGATGGATCAAATACTTAAATCTAAGGTCTGAGACCATAAAAATTATGGAAGATAACATCAGAAAATTCTTCTAGGCATTGATAGGCAAAGAATTCATGACGTGGAACCCAAAAGCAAATGCAACAAAAACAAAAATAAATGAATGGGACTTAATTAAACTAAATAGCTTCTGCACAGCAAAAGAAATAATCAGCAGAGTAAACAGACAACCCACAGTGGGATAAAATATTCAAAAACTATGCATCCAACAAAGGACTAATATACAGAATCTACAAGGAACTGAGATCAGTAAGAAAACAAATAATCCCATCAAAAAGTGGGCAAATGATATGAATAAACAATTCTCAAAAGAAAATATACAAACAGCCAACAAACATATGAAAAAATTCTCAGTGTCACTAATCATCAGGGAAATGCAAATTAAAACCACAATGAGATACCACCTCACTCTTGCAAGAATGACCATAATTAAAAGTAAAAAAACAGTAGACGTTGGTGTGGATGTGGTACAAAAGGAACACTTTTACATTGCTGATGGGAATGTAAACTAGTACAACAACTACGGAAAACATTATGGAGATTGCTCAAAGAATTAAAAGTAGATCTACTAGTTGATCCAGCAATCCCACTACTGGGTATCTACCCAAAGGAAAATAAGTCATTATATATAAAAGACACATGCACACACATGTTTAAAACAGCACAATTCACAATTGCAAAAATATGGAATGAACTTAAATGTCCATAAAGAAAATGTGGTATACTGCTCAGTATACTGAGTGGAATACTACTCAGCCATAAAACAGAACAAATAATGGCATTTGGAGCAACTCAAATGGAGCTGGAGACCATTATTCTAAGAGAAGTAACTCAGGAATGAAAAATCAAATATCGTATGTCCTCACTTATAAGTGAGAACTAAGCTATGAAAAATGCAAAGGCATAAGAATTATATAGTGGATTTTGGGGACTCAGGGGGAAGGGTGGGAGGGGGCTGAGGGATAGAAGATTACATATTGTGTACAGTGTACACTGGTCGGGTGATGGGTGCACAAAAATCTGAGAAGTCACAACTAAAGAACTTATCCATGTAACCAAAAACCACCTGTTCCCCAAAAGCTGTTGAAAGTGTTTAAAGGCACATGATCACACACACAAAAGAAAAACAGACGACTCTAGAGTCTCCTTGAAGAAGTAATATAAGAAGTTCTTCAAAATGGAATATGACTTCTATACATTCTGAAAATATGCACAAAATAAGTATGAGGTTGTAGTGCTTCATATAATCTCACTAGGAAGAAAAAATTCACTTCGGCAATTTAATGATGGAATGTTATCCATATTTTTCAGGGAAAACCAGGGTTGAAGTGTCCTTTTAGGTATCAGAACTTACTCAAGGGGAACTTAATCAGGCCATCTAATTGTTTTCCAACTGAGTTCTGTTGAGTGCCAGGGTTTCCAGTGTTAAAAACAGAAGATTTGCAAACCCCTAAAAGGAGTCCAAATCCATTTAACAGAGGAGATGCGGGAGGCCCAGGAATATGAAACAACCTATCTAGCAATACTCAGCTAGTATTAAACTGGGGGTTAAAATCCAGATCTCATAATTAAAGATTAGTACCCTATTATATTCAGAAGCTTCAATTTCAAAAGATTTTGGCAAAAAAAGTACACATTTATTTACAAATCAATAAGCATTGAGACATTTTCTAAATCATCTTACCTAAGAGTGTCTTCCAGCCCTTGTATATCCCTCACAAGTTGCTGAGATCATATTGACATCCAGGGCTACCATGGATGGCCATACAGGTGTGCACAGCACAACTCTAGGGGGCATTAGTTGTATAAAATATAATTTGAATGGCACCCCCTGCTGTGTGACATGGTAGCCCAAATAACATCCCACCTATTTAAAACTCAGATTACATAAAATGAGTGTTCTGATATTCTCCCCATCCATTCCATGGTGTTTTAATTGTGTTTACAAAAAGCGACTTTTTTTTTCTGGTGCATTGTTTAGGTTGATTTGCTGACTACAATAAGCCTCCATACAAAATCTGAGAACATCTTGCTAAACAAATGCAGAATGGTTTAGTTCTTATTATCTTCTTTAGCTGGAGAGTGTATGTAAGTTCTAAGTGTCTGTCACAGATAACAACTTCATATTAACTTTCTAAGATACTCTTAACATCCATCTCAGTTTCAAAAGACTACAAACCCTGTTACTTTCAGGTATATTTTGCATTTTATTTATTTGTAGGGTCTCCCAGCAATATTAAGTGACATTACAGTCTGTATGTGAAAAACTGTCTTTTAAAATAACTATAATATTGCACTTTATAAAAAAATGTAAGTGCATTTTCTTGTAGAAACCATGACTTACAAAAATGACTATTATCTATATGCAATTATTTCTGTTATCTTGGAACATATTGACATTCATTTATTTAAAGATAATGTAACACATTTATATTCATTGAAGCAATCTATGGATATAATTAAATCTGGATGCCCATCTTATGCTAAGTAGTAACATGAAAAAAATTTGCAATCAGAGCTTTGGCACTGCTAAAAATAGCTCATATCAAATTGAGAAAACTGCGTTATGGCTTATTTCAAACACAACTGCAAATTATTATAAGAAAACAAAATTACAACTTGGATAACTGCTATACCAGAACATTCATTCCACCCAACAATGGGACATTGGAACTAGTCTAACAGGGCAAATGCTTCAATGAGAGCATCACTGACTGTTCGAGTGATTGCCCATTTATCTCCATTATAGTAGATGGATCCAGAGAGATAACCAAGCAGTGGCCAAAGCATGTTTTTATAGAAAACATAATTGGACATGATGAAATAAGCTTTTAAATATTAACTAAAGAATGTATTTGGTGGAAGGTTGGAAATATAGCCTAAAGATTTATAACAGAATTTTCTTCTCTTAATGCTCTATTTCATAAGGCAGTTTAATGAATTAGGTAATCATTAATTATCAGAGATTTATATCTGGGAGCAAAACAAAAAGTGAAGATTAAAATACACCTAAATGCCAAGAAACTTTCATTTTAATATACCCAAACTTATAACACTTTCATGCTTTAAGAAAAAATGTTTTGAGAGTGTCACCAGAAATACAATATCACTCATCAAAAACTAGTTAAAAGGAATTTTCTTACAAGTGGCTCTAATTAATGGTCCTCCTGGAACTCCAGAACAAAGCTGTTTTTATTCCATGCCACCCACAATGTTGTCTTCTCTCAATATTATTGGTCCTTATCTAGAGCACATTAGGGCTTCCTTGTTGCAAGGTTAATACCAATTATTCTAGGCAGGGTTTCCCATGGCAGGAATAATTAAGTAGCATCACTGGTAGATCAAACAGTTCATTTTCAGATGAACTATGAAGTGGCTGGAGAGACTAAATATTACATTTTATTTGCATTATATAGTTTGAAAAGTATTCCATATGCGAGTCTTTCCACATGATACTTTTACTCTAGGGTGGCAGCAAAAGGAGAGAAGTTATATTAACATGTGAATTCTATTCTACTTTCACTATCAGAAAACTTGTCAAATCTAAATTTACTTTATTCACTAAAGAGAATGACCCAGACTTACCGGAATAAATTTAATTGATATCTAACTCTCCCATCATTTTTCTTTAAAAAGTCAGTATTTTGATTAGAAACTTTTTGGTAAGAGATACAGAAGTGTTTAAAAATCAAGGTTTATATATAGTAATTTATTTAATTCCTTTTTAAAAATTATAGACATTTGATTCAGAGCATTAAAAATGAAACGCACCAACTCCAGCCTAGCTTCTGCACATACATCAGAGTATCTCTGGGGAGGCTGTAGGATCAAAGTGAGATCTGATCAACCCTCCTGCACCTGGCTATTTAATAGAAGCTCTATGTGGCAGATAATGTGAATTGGTATTATCTGTTTGCATTTCTTCCCCCCTTCTGGCTGGACATGCGGAAACTATACTTTGCACCTTATCTTGGACCTATGTTCTTAGTGTAAAGTAGGATGTATGAGATTTGGAAGGTGAAAGGAACACAGGGGTCCTCTGCTTCCCCTTCACCTCTCTTCTGCTAAGAAACAGAGTCCTGGACATTTCTGACTTTCCTGTCCAGGTCTCTAGTGTCCATTTTCCATCCTAGGAGACTGGAGGCTATTGCAACAGCAATGGATACTGTCATTTCTGGCTTCGTATCCCTGGATCACAGCTATAGGGTATGCCTTGAAATCAGAGTACTAGTGGAGGTCTTGGAGATGGTAGCTCTCCTAAGGAATTAGTTCTATCTTGTTCTGGGAGTCATTCTGGAAATCTAGTGTCTACTTTTTGCTAACATATAATTTCCTATATTAAATCATTTCCTGCTTAAAATTATGTTTCATTTTCTCACTGGAATCATTGATGTACCCTGCCTGTCCTCTAAAACAAAAAGCAAAGTCTCTTCAGAGAGGACTCAGCTGGTGGCAAGCTTGCTCTTTCATAAAGAGGCTTTACATTAATATACATTTACTTATTACTGTAGATTTATAATACACATATCTATATATACACATAAGTCTACATATTTATAAATATATACATTATAAATGTTTATATACGTCCCTTCCACTAATATATGTTAGAAGAGGTGATTATGCAAGGAAAACTTTTCTTGATTGTCTCAAGAAAGAAGAAAGGAAATAAGAATTTATCCGGTAAGAAAGAAGCCATAGTAAGTATTTAATTTACAAAATGCTAAAGTATTTCTAGTCTATGAGGCAGTTCTCACATTGCTATAAGGAAATACCTGAGACTGGGTCATTCATCAAGAAAAGCATTTTAATTTTTAAATTTTAAATATTTAAAAACCTTTAAAAATGTTCCCTGCTGTTCAGGAAGCACGATGCTGGCATCTGCTCAGCTTCTGGGGAAGCATCAGGAAACTCACAATCATGGCAGAGGGCAAAGGGGCAGGCATATCACATGGCCAGAGCAGGAGCAAGTGAGTGAGAGAAAGCGAGAATGAAAGAGAGCAAGCAGTCGACGGAGTGAGCTACAGTAAGAGGGGAAGTGCCAAACTTTTAAACAACCAGATCTCGTGAGAACTCACTATCATGAGATCATCATCTAGGGGATGGTGCCAAACCTTTCCTGAGAAACCCACTCCCATGATCCAATCACCTCCCACCAGGCCCCACCTCCAACCTTGGGGATTACAATTCAATATGAGATTTAGGCAAGAATACGTATCCAAACTATATCAACTACTTACAGCCTGCTTTAACTTTTCTTAAGAGTTATAAACATTTATGTCTATGTTAATACACATATATTTTCACAGCTATAATTAAAAGCGAAGGTAAGACATTCAAATTCATCAAAACTGAGTCTAGTGACTTGACCAAAAGCACAAAGTCAGACTGGAGCTCAGCCTTCTACTCTCACCTTTGAGTTCTGCCACTGACCCAGGAAAGGTAGGCCTCAGTTCACAGGCCAGCCCTGGCCTCTGCTGTTGTCATATCTGATCTTGGAATCTGTACCCAATGGTCACATCAACATGAATGACCACATTTTCCACATCCTTCAACCAACAAAAATAAAAAATTTTAAAAATTACAACTATGTAGTTGGGATTTTATTACTGAAGATCCATCTCAGTTTCTGTCTGTTTGAATTTCTATCTGTGTTGCTCTATTTCAGTTTGTCTGTTCTTTGTATCTGTCTACTTCTGTTGCTTTTTTGCTACTCTTCCCCATGGCAAGAAATTATTTTTCTTTCTCCCTTTCACTTCATTTCAATTCATTAAATAGCTGTTCTATAAAATTGAAATTTATATTTCTTATAGTACATATTGATGTTTTAGTCTCTAAAAATAAAAGATTAGAAAGTTTTATAATTTTCTTTAAAATCATTGATTTATTTTCTTTACAACAGTTAACTCTTGATAAAGAAAAATCTTGCATGATTTCTCAAACCTACTGCCTGCAAATAAAATGTAATATTCATATTGTAACCTGACCTCCATTTGGAATCACTTCTAACTTTGAAGGTTTTTTTTTTTTTAATTCTCATATCCAGGGTATAAAAAATATATTCAATTTTGGCAGCAGAATTTCTTAATTTTTTCCTTTACTTTGTATTTTTATAGTATTTTAAAGAGAAATAAGCTAGATTATTAAAGTGTAAATTTACAAATAAATATCAACATAAGATCCCAGTTTCTCAAAAAGCCATAAAAGTAATTCACACACATCAACATAAAATTAAAACTTTTTAGGGCAACATTTGTGTTATTTGAAATGGATGTTTTTCCTCCTGTAAGGAAAAATGTACTCATGAATAAATTTCATCCACATTACCATGGCTTTGTTTGCAACCCAGCCAATTTAATAAAAAATAGACAATAGGAAACAAAATCAGAAAATGTTTTGTAGAAAGAACAGTGGCTGCTTTAACAATTCTAGCCTTATCTCTTCCTAGAGTCCATCGAAGGCTTCAGTTCACCTTTTATTGCTCCATAATTACTTTGATGTGCTGGGTTTTGTGAAATTAAGCATTTTTAAATACCCATGCCCTATTTGCCCTATTTCTTTCAGTTTAATTTCAGCCTATATTGATAGCATTCTGTCTTCTCTTCTATCATGCAACATTTGCTATGGAACATGCTCAGATTCAACCCAAGAAACTTAATTGCCAGCCAATGTAACTGCACCTGAACCTCATCAGTGAAAGAGCACTTTGTAGCAAAAAGAGCCCCAGACTAGTTGTCTAGATACACTGGTCAAGTTTTTATTCCAAATGACCTTGAGCATCTATGTCAATTCTCTGGTTCTGACTTTCTTCACCTGGAACAGAAAGATCCTGGCTTAAAGTATACAGGATTCCTTCCAGCAAAACAGTCAATTATTCCAGGATGTATTTTCCAAATGTCAGATATAATCTATTAACCAAAGTCACATGCTCTGTGAAGGTGAAAGTAGCTTTTTGAACAAATATAGCCCAAACAAGCCAGCATTTACAGAAGAAATATACTGTATTTGATATCATGATATAATTAGAAGTCCCTACCCTTGGGGAGGGTAAGTCAAATTAAGATTACAAGGCATTAAGTTCATAAAGCAAGTATCCAAAAGACAAATTCACAAGCGCTGATCACAAGAGACAAAATGGAATGAAACAGAGCCAAGGAAAAGCACAAAATGCCAGGAGGAGATAATCAAAAAAGATTTCCTAGAGATGTCTGAGTTCCGAATGAATCATTAGAAATAAGATTTACACACTAGGAAAGGGAAGTCAAGTGTCTGGGGATAAGAATCCGTGAAGGGACAGAGGCATGGG
Source organism: Homo sapiens (assembly GCF_000001405.40). NCBI lineage: Eukaryota > Metazoa > Chordata > Mammalia > Primates > Hominidae > Homo > Homo sapiens. The sequence goes on from NC_000002.12 coordinate 183,763,776, forward strand.
CAAATATTTAAAGTACAAGGACAACAGTCAGAGGTAATTTGTTATGTACAAGAGTTTCCTAAAATACAGAAATGCACCCTTTAGCATATGTGAGGCAAAGGAAATGTACTCCTTTCAAGTTTATTTATGCTAAGATCACATCAGGAGAGATTGTCTGCAGTGCCACACAGCTCTCAGGTTCACAGGCTGAGTCTAGTCAATGTTCACACCCCTGTGATCTCAGTCTTTGTGATACAAAAATTCCCCAACACTACCCCAAAACTCACTTGGAGGTGATAATTAGACAGCATATTGTTGTGCCCCCAATTACTCTTTACTTAATTCTCATGTGAGTTTTCTCATAATATTACCATGAAAAGGGATCCCTAACCAAATGATTGGGAGTGACATCAACAAAAATCACCCTCACCGAACCCTGTCCATTCCTATCACTGTTCTCACTTGACTTCCCTAACTTTGCAGTTGTAAGAAAACCACCCTCTGAAGATTTTCAGATCTCCTTTTCCTATTTTCTCAAATGACTTCATTGGGTTTATTAAATTAATTCATTATTTCTACTTTACAAACCTAAAACATTTTCCTCTTTAATGAAATATACCACTTTTGGTAGTACTATCCAATAAGGAGATTAGTTCATTATAGAAGACTACAGAGAATCAGAAATTTTTATTGTGGCTTTATAAAATCCATGACACATCCATGATGAAATTTGCACTTGAGGAAAATTTTATTAGCAATTAGATATCATAGATAGGCATGATAAATGAACTGACGTTAGAGGCAAGTGAAAAGCTGGATGACTATTCCAGTCTTCCCAATATAAAAAAAGATCAACCTAGGCTAAAATAATGGCATGGAAATAACAGAAGAGCATAAATCCAAGATATGTATTAATACATAAATAAGTGTTAAAACCACTTAATAACACACTAAATTGGAGTTAGGAGTACATACATAAATCAGAAATATTGCAGGTTCAGTTCCAGACCACTGCAATAAAGTGAGTCACACACATTTTTTGTTTTCCCAATGCATAAAAAGTTATGTTTACACTATCTTGTAGTCTATTAAATATATAATAGCATGTCTAAAAAGATAATGTAAATACATTAATTTTAAAATACTTTATGCTAAAAAAATGCTAACAATCATTTGAGCCGTCAGTGAGTTGTAATCATTTTGTGGGTGGGAGGGTCTCACCTCAGTGTTGAGGACTGCTGACTGATCAGGGTGGCCGTGGCTGTGGTAGCTTCCTAAAACAAGACAACAATGAAGTACCCTGCATCAGTTGACTCTTCCTCCCATGAAAGATTTCCCTGTAGCATGTGTTGCTGTTTGATAGCATTTTACCAACAGTAAAACTTATTTCAAAATTATAATCAATCCTCTCAAACCCTGCTGCTTTAACTAAGTTTATACAATATTTTAAATCCTTTATTATTTCAACTATGTTCACAGCATCTTCACCAGGAATAGTTTCGGTGTCAAGAAACCACTTTCTTTGCTCGTTCATAAGCAATTCCTCATCTGTTCAAGTTTTAGCATGAGATTGCAGCAATTCAGTCACGTTTTCAGACTCCATTTCTAATTCTAGTCCTCTTTCCACATTTGCAGTTACTTCCTGCCACATCTGCAGTTCCTTTCTCCACTGTAGTCTTGAACCCTTGAAAGTTATCCATGAAGGTTCAAATGGACTTCTTTTAAGCTCCCGTTAATGTTGATATTTTAACCTCCTCCCATCAATCACAAATGTTTTTAATGACATTTAGGATGATGAATCCATTCCAGAAGGTTTTCAATGTCCTTTGCCCAGATTCAGAGAAATCGCTGTCAATATCAGCTATAGCTTTACAAAATATATTTCTTAAATAACAAGAGTTGAAAGTCAAGATTACTCCTTGATCCATGGGATATAGACTACAGATTGTATTAGGAGGCACGAAAACAACATGAATCTCCCTTGTGTACTTCTCCATCGGAGCTCCTGGGAACTAGCTGCATTGCCAGTGGGCAGTAATATTTTGAATGGAATATTTTTCTGAGCAGTAGGTCTTAACAGTGGGCTTAAAATATTCAGTAAATCATGCTACAGAAAGATGTGCTGTCATTCAGGCTTTGTTGTTCCATTTCTAAAGGACAGGCAAAGTAGATTTAGAATCATCATTAAGAGCCCTAGGATTTTCAGAATAAGTGAACATTGACATCAACTTAAAAGTCACCAGCAGCATTAGCCTCTAACAAGAGAGTCAGCCTGTCCTTTGAAGCTTTGGAACCAAGCACTGACTTCCTCTCTAGGTATGAAAGTCTTTTCCAATATGAGGCTGTTTCTTTTCCATTGAACATCTTTCATTTGGTGTAATCACCTTCATCAATTGGCTACATCTTCTGCATAACTTGCTGCAGCTTCTATATGAGCACTTGCTGCTTCACCTTGCCCTTTTATGTTACAGAGGCAGTTTCTTCCTTAAACCTCATGAACCAACCTCTGATATCTTCAAATTTTTCTTCTGAAGCTTCTTCACCTCTCTGTCTTCACAGAATTGAGGAGAGTTAGGGCTTTACTCTGGATAACGCTTTGGCTTGAGATAGTGAGTTTCATCTTCTATTCAGATCACTAAAAGTTTTTCCCTGTCAACAATAGGCTGTTTTACTTTCTTATATTTGTCTGCACTGGAATAACACTTTTAACTTCCTTCATGAACTTTTCCTTTGCATCATTCTTGACTTTGCTAACTGTTTGGCACATGAGGCCTTGCTCTCTATCTCAACTTTTGACCTGCCTTTCTCACTAAGCTTAGTCATTTCTAGCTTTTGATTTAAAGAAATGCGAGACACTTCTTACTTGAACACTAAGAGGTTATTAATTAATTGTCCTAATTTCTATATTGTTGTGTCTCAGGGAATAGGGAGGGCTGAGGAATGTGGAGAGAAAAGGAGTAACAACGGCCAGCCAGTGAAACAGTCAGAAGACACAAAACATTTATCCATTAAATTAATTGTCTATATGAGTGTGGTTTGTGGCACCATAGAAAAATTACAATAGTAACATTAAAAATCTCAGATCATCATAACAGATATAATGAAAAATATAGAAATATTGCAAGAATTTCCAAAATGTGATACAGAGATACAAAGTGCATATATGCAGTTGGAAAAATAGCAGCAATGAACTTGCTCGATACAGGGTTAACACAAACCTTCGATTTGTTTTAAAAAATGCAGTATCTGCAAAATGCAATAAACTGAATGAAATGCAATAAAATGAAGTCTTCCTATAATAGAGATATAGGTAATAACATTAGAGGACTAGGAGAATGGTCAAGTCTTACAAGGCAATGGAAAAATGGTGAGGGAGCCAGATTGGAGATAAGTAGGGTTGCAACATTCATCCATTAGTCCTAAATCTTCAGAACTTACTGATGGCCAGGCACTGCACTGGTTCCTAGGAGGACCATAGTTGCTAAGACAAACCTTTTCTCTTTGTGTAGCCTACAAACTATCAACATATGATTGTCAGTAATCAATTTGTGTTTAAAGTACTGCATTAGGGAATTTCAGGCTATACTAGGACAGGAGACCCAATCTAGTTCTAATATCTAAGACAAGACCTGAAGGGAAAAGACGAAAAAGAATTGGGAAAAAGCAATGCATTCAAATGCAATCTGTTTTCAGCGTACTTCATTTGAGGTAATCATGAGAATTCTGTTATTTTCTAGAAATTCTACGCCAGATCCGTCACATATGCAATGCAAAATGTATAGCAGCTCTAAGGTAATTATTACTCCATTTTCTAAATCCAGAAACTGCAAATCTAACACATTAAATTAACCATGGTGGCAAGGCAGGTAAGTCCTAAATTTGGAATTCGCCCCAGTCCGCCTGCCTCAAAGACCTTAGTCTCAGTACATTAGGTTAGGAGTTTCTTCTTTATTCTGAAGGAATCTACCATACTCACATCCTTTGGCACTAGCTCCACACTGAATAAATCCAGTCCTTCTGCCTTGACAGCCCTTAAAATATTTAAAGGCACAGTTATGTTTGCCAACACAGCTTTTAATCTTGCACCATATTGTAAGGATATGTATGTTTGCATATTCCAATCACAAGAAAATGACCTTAATCACCACCTTCTGCCTTGTTTTTTCTTAAGGTTGTAACATCATATTCTATTGAGACATGGCCTTTTGTTAAGAACCTCATATATATATATCAGCATTCTGCCCCCTGCTCTTGTGTACACCAGATTCCCTTTCAGTCGTCTTCAACCTGCATTTTAAAAAATCTCTGATTTCCCTTATTACCATCCTAGTGCTTTCTGACATTGGTTATCAATGAGCATTTGGGACAATGTTCTCTACCATTTGGCCCTCTCTATCTCTTGTCTCTATTACCTGACATTTTTAATTCTCCCACTTGCTTTGCAAAGCTTCCCTAATTGCTGTCTCTCTTACTCATTAGCTATCTCAAGGTTCTGCCCCCTTAAGTTAAACTGCTAGAGAGTATGTCGAATTTTCTGTGCCAGAGCTAATATGTTTATTTCAGTCAACTAATAGCCAAGTTCTAATTATAATCCACAAGTAAAATGTGAAATAAAGTTTGAGTTGGAAAACACCAGGTGAATTTGTACTGAAGAAAACATCTGTTTAAGATGTGGAACTCATAAACGGAAAAAGGAATCACTTTCTACATTTATTTTAAAAATGTATATTCAACACTTTATTTTTCTATGCCTATGAGATCTGAGGATCATTGATTTGAAATAATAAAGCATATACAAAGCTCTTTGGGGATTTTAAACTTCATCAAATGCCTCTACGACAAGTATTAATAGGTGTTTTATGATTTCTAAACATTGATTTCATAATCACATTCAGCTTACAAAGTCAGAGGCCTATTTGTCCCACTGTAAATTAAATCCCATTAATGTTAATGGTAAAACAAAATGAGCCTCATCGTATTTGGGGATGGGAGTGTAAAATACTCAAACTGAAAGAAGATGTCTTAATTGTTCTACTGTCTTTAAACTGGCAAAATCTACTGGATGACTACACCACTTAAAATTCCTCTACATTATTTTCAATATCACCAGTAACATTTTTTCTTATTAGAGTCTCCATTAATCAATGCTGACTATACACCATAAAATTTATGGGAAGCCAAAGCTTCTATTTTCACACACACACACACACACACACACACACACACACACTTTATACCACTTCTGAGGAGAGGAAGTTCTGATATTAGGAAATACACAGGACAAAAGTGGCCATAATACCCCACCTATAGTTTTTAATAGAAGAGAAGACCAGAGGCAAGAGAATGCGTAGGCACTTGAAATTCAACAACTGAGAGATCCCTTTTGAATCCATTTCTTCTGATTTGTGTCTCCACTGGCACTCTTGAGCCTTTTCTTCTAGATTTTTTTTTCTCATATATGTGGTGTAATAAGATAGGCCTAAGGTAAGGCTCCCCGCCCCTGGGAGACAGGGTGAGTACAGGAGGGTCTATTTTGTTTCTATTTGAAAGTTTTTACCTTGTCACATGAAGAGATGCTTCTTCCTTTTCAGAAGTATCAGGGCGAGAGCTTCAAACCTTTCCACTCTGCTCAGTCTCCCTCAAAAGAAGAGTATGTCTTATCAAATTGCACAGTGAGAGAAGAGTTGCCTCCCACACATAGCCAGGGCTCTCTTCTCGCCTTTTGAGCCATGGAAAGTGTGAGTGCTTTTCTTATTCTTGATCTTCTGTGGGAAGCACACCTGAGTCTACAGCACCAATTTTCAAAGTGTAGTCCGCATTCAGCAGCATCAGCATCACCTGTGAACTTGTTAGAAATGCAAATTGTCCTGCTTCATCCCACAGTGAGTTAGACTCAATAAACTTAACCATGGAATTAGAGCCTAGGAAACTGTGTTTAATGAGTCCCTCTAAGGGATCTTTATGCTCACTAAAGTTTAAAGAGCAGTGCTTTAAAAACACTGCTTCTAAAATTTTAACATGAGAAAATTGTTAAACAGCACATTGTGGTTCTGAGATGGGGCCCAAGATCTTGCATGCCTAACACAGTCTCAGGTGATACTGATACTGTTAGTACATAGACTACATGCTTTTTCAATATGGGTTGAACACTGGAATCACCTGGAGAACTTAAACACCACTAATAATTGAGTTCCAACCCCAGACATTTTGATTTAATTAATCTGATGTATAGCCTGTGGTTCTGGGCCAATTGTGGTTAAAGATACAGTTGATATTTCAGTCTGTAGGTCTATTTTTCACAAGCTCTAAGTCCACAAAGAGAACAATGGGATTGCTACCTTAAATCCCAACGGGAAAATTCATTAAGAAGTCAGTACCATAATCTGACTCTACTGCAGTTCGTGAACAGAAATCTCCACGGAGAGATTCCTTGGACTCATTTGATTGCTGCTGTTCTTTCATAAGAATGTTAAGACATAAGACTTAAAAGACCAAGATTAAGACATGAGCCTAGGAGAAAGAGAGGAAAGAGATTTCTCAGCCTGCTTTTTAAAAGGAGGGATCGCAGCACTCATATAATCTCCTGGTTCATCAGAGTAAGAGACCAGATAAGGGAATTAGGCCTACTCTCCAGTGGGCAATATTGTACGGATTAATTGAGTTTACTCAGTGGTAACCAGCCCTGCATACCTTACAATAAAAAGCAAATAGCAAGGTGATCACAGAGTTGGGATCTTTGTTATCTCCTTGAAGACATTCCTAGAAATTAACATCTACTGAGAATCCAGGCAACCAATACATATTTGTCAGATATCTCCTTTAGGCAAGCTCAGTGCCAGGCCCTGAAGGGCAGATAAAATCACGAACAAAGGAGAATTGAATTTCCAGAATGGTGGCGTTAGGAGGCTCCTCTCCTTAGCAAAACAAGCATAACAGGTGAAAATTATATTTAAAATATGTAAAGTATCTGCAAGCTTTCCTAAAGGCAGAGACAAATGAAGAAGCATATATTCAAGAAAATCTACTAAAACTCAGTGAAAACAGCAAGAGTCTATGACATTTGTACCACTACTTTCTCCTTATGAATAAATATATACCAATAAATTCGATAGATGTAATGAACAAATTCCTAGAAAGATAGAAACTACCAAAATTGACTCAAGAACACATAGAAAATCTGAATAGACTGATAAGTAAAGAGATTGAATTAAGAGATCAAAAAGCTACTCAAAAAGAAAAGCCCAGTTCCAGATGACTTTATTAGTAAATTCTACCAAACATTTAAAGAAAAATGAATACCAATTACTTACAAACTTCCAAAACATTGAAGAGGAGAGAATACTTTCAAATGCCTTCTATGGGGTCAGTATTACCTGATTCCAAAACCAAAGACATCACAAAATTACAGGATAATATCCCTTATGAATATAGGTGTAAAAATCCTCATAAAAACTTAGCAAATCAAATGTAGCAACATATAAAAAAGACTATACATCATGACTAAGTGAGATTTATCCCAGGAACTCAGGTAGATTTAATATCCAAAAACAAATTAATGTAATATATCATATTAATAGAATAAAGGACAAAATCCACATGGTTATTTCAATAGACTCAGAAAAAGCATTTGAAAAAATCTAACAACATGTTATGATACAAACTTTGACTAAAAAGAGATAAAAGAGATCTTCTTCAACTTGATAAAGGGCAACTATTCAGTGCAATCCCTATCAAAATCCCAAAATGTTTTTTTGCAGAAATTGGCAAGCTGATTCTAAAATTCATAGGAAGTACAAGGGACCCAGAATAATCAAAACAATCTGGAGAAAGAAAAACAAAGTTGAAGGATGTACACTTTCAGGTTTCAAAACTTACTACACAGCTACAGGAATCAAGACTGTGGTATTGGCACAGACAGGCAAACAGATAGATGGAACAGAATTGAGAGTCCTGAAATAAACTTTTACATTTACAGTCAATTGATTTTCCATGTGGCTGCCCAAACAAATCAATGCAGAAAGAATAGTCTTTTCAACACATTGTGTGGGGAAAACTGGATAGCCACATGGAAAAGAATAAAGTTGGACGTTTACTGTCTTAGTCCCTTCTGGCTTGCTATAACAAAATACCATGCACTGGGTGGCTTATAAATAACAGAAATTTATTTCTCATAGTTTAGGAGGGTGGGAAGTCTAAGATCAGAGTGCCAGCAAGGTTAGGTTCTGGTGAGAGCCCTCTCCTAGGTTGTAGACTGAAAACATCTTGCCTTGCCTTTACAAGGTAAAAGGGAAGGAATTCCTCTGGGATCTCTTTTTATAAGAGCACTAATTCCATTCATGAGGGCTCTACCCTCATGACATAATTACCTCCCAAAGGCCCCACTTCCTTCACGTTAGGGGTTAGGATTTCAACATATGAATTTTTGAAGGACATAAACGTTCAGTCCATTACATTTACCACCTTTAAATTGGCGAGGGATCTAATTATGAGTTACAACTGTAAAACTCTTAGAAAAAAATATAGGTGTAAATCTTCATGACCTTGGATTTTTAGTTATGAGATTTAAATCACAAGCTACCAAAAATACTATATACTTGGACTTCATCAAAATACTCAACTCAAAAATAAAAAGATAGCTCAATTTTTTAAATGAGCAAAAACATTTCTCCAAAAAAGATATAAAGATAGCTTGTGAGCATATGTAAAATGCTCATCATTAGCCATCAGATAAGTTCAAATAATCAGAAAAACATAACTTTACACGCACTAGGATGGCTATAATTAAAAAAGACACATAATAACAAGTTTTAATGAGGATGTAGACTGACTCATACACTTATGGTGAAAATTGTGGCAGTGTATGGTGGCAAAATGCTTCAGGAGTTCTTAAAACATTACACAGATTTGGCCGGGCTTGGTGGCTCACGCCTGTAATCTCAGCACTTTGGGAGGCAGAGGTGGGCAGATCACGAGGTCAGGAGATCGAGACCATCCTGGCTAACATGGTGAAACCCCGTCCTACTAAAAAAAAAAAAAAAAAAAAAAAAAAAATTAGCCAGGCATGGTGGTGGGCGCTTGTAGTCGCAGCTACTCGGGAGGCTGAGGCAGGAGAATGGTGTGAGCCCAGGAGGCGGAGCTTGCAGTGAGCCAAGATGGCACCCCTGCACTCCAGCCTGGGTGACAGAGCGAGACTCCATCTCAAAAACAAAAGAAAACAAAATTCCACAGAGTCAACATCTGACTCTGTGATATGGTTTGGCTCTGTGTCTCCAAGCAGATCTCATTTTGTAGCTCCCATAATTCCCACGTGTTGTGGGAGGGACCCGGTGGGAGATGATTGAATCATGGGGGCAGGTCTTACCCGTGCTGTTCTCCTGATAGTGAATGGGTCTCACGAGATCTGATGGTTTTAAAAATGGGAGTTTCTCTACACAAGCTCTCTCTTTGCCTCCTGCCACCCACGTAAGATGTAATTTGCTCCTCTTTGCCTTCCGCCATGGTTGTGAGGCCTCCCTAGCCATGTGGAATCGTAAGTCGAATAAACCTCTTTCTTTTGTAAATTGCCCAGTCTTGGGTATGTCTTTATCAGCAGCATGAGAACGGACTAATACACTCTGCAATTCCACCTCTAGCTATATACTTATAAGTAGTAAAACTTGTACGTCCACGCTACAAAAACTAGTACCTGAATGTTCATATGCATTATTCATAATAGCCAGAGTAGAAACAACTCAAGGTTCCATAGCGGAAGGATGTGTAAACAAAATGAGATATATCCATGCAATAGAATATTATGCAACCATAAAAGCAATGACAACATGGTTGAATCTTGAAACATTATGCTAAGTGAAAGAAGTGAGTCACAAAAGATCACACATATTATATAATTCCACTTACATGAAATGTCCAGAATACGCAAATCTACAGAGATAGAAAGTTGATTAGTTGTGTTGGGCTGAGGTAGTGAAAGAAAATGAGTGGGTGCCTGCTAAGGGTACAGAATTTCCTTTGTGAGGGTTATAAAAATCTTGTAAAATTTATTGTGGTGACAGTTGCATAACTGTGCATGTACTAAAAGCCATTGAATCAAAATACTTTAAAAAGGTGAATGTGACAGTATATAAACTATCTTTCAAAAATGAAATAAAATATAAAATTAAAAAGTTACCAAAAACATTGAAAAAGATCACCAATAATCTCTGCTCTCAGGGAATATGCTACCCTCATCATTTTCTTCCAGAGTCGAATTAGATTCCACGGGAAGACATAGGAAGGGTCCATAACCTTGACTTGGGAGAGGAACTTTTGAACTTCCCAGAGAAAACGACAAGAATTATTGAATAAAGAGAATAACTAAAGCAAGTTGAATATTTCAAACAAGGAAATTTACATTGTACAGGTCTAGAGCAAGAGAGAATGTCGACATTTCAGACACTAAAATAAATTTTGTAGACTAGTAAAGTGTTATATGATAACTGGGGCATGTCTGTGAGGTGTGCCAGAAGAGGCTGGAGAAAGCATCATGAACAACCATGTGGACTGTGGCATAAATCTGGATTTCTATTACAGCCCAAGAAGAAATGGAGAGCTATTGAAGAGTTCTACAGAGAAGGAAGAGAGGCATTAGTAAGAGATGGCATCCCATACATACTCTATTTGGATTTATTTGGCTAATTTAATAGTTCTTGAGTTCCCTTGTATATGCCTAGGAAAAAAAATAAATCTATTTATATAACATAAAAGTCAGAAGATGTAATTTGTCAGACTGACAAGTTTGGCTACACAAAAGTAAAGAAAAAAGTCTTCTTTTTAAGAAAAATACTTTTTTTTTTACTTAAAGTAAGGAGACAATTACCAAACACCTCTAAAAGCAAAATCAGAAGACTATTGCCAGACTGAAAAAGTATACACACACACACACACACACATACACACACACACACACACACACACACACAGCCTATTTGGCTAGCAAAGCAAAGCTCAGAAAGTCTGAATACATGCCATGTCGGCAAAGATATGAGTAAAAAGATACTCTCATACATAACTAGCGACAGTGCAAATTGGTATAACCTCAGTGGAAGGCAATTTAGCAATAGTTATCAAATCAAACATGTTTTGATTGGTAATTCAGCTTCCAAGAATTTAACCAATAGTTAACTCATGTGCATGCCAAAGACCTATTTATGAGTCTTTTCATTACTTACTTACATTTATTATTTTTAACGTTGTCTTTAATAACAGTAGATTCGAAAGACCTAAATGTCCAACATTAGAAAATTACTTCTATTTATTTTTTCCTCCTTTTTTCATTATACTTTAAGTTCTGGGGTACATGTGCAGAACATGCAGGTTTGTTACATAGGTATACACGTGCCATGGTAGTTTGCCACACCCATCAACTCGTGATCTACATTAGGTATTTCTCCTAATGCTAACCCCACCCCCAGCAGGGCAGGCCTCAGTGTGTGATATTCCCCTCCCTGTGTCCATGTGTTCTCTTTGTTCAACTCCCACTTATGAGTGAGAACATGTGATGTTTGGTTTTCTGTTCTTGTGTTAGTTTGCTGAGAATGATGGTTTCCAGTTTCATCCATGTTCCTGCAAAGACATGAACTCATTCTTTTCATGACTGCATAGTATTCCATGGTGTATATGTGCCACTTTTTTTTTTTATCCCATCTATCATTGATGAGCATTTGGGTTGGGTCCAAGTCTTTGCTATTCTAAATAATGCTGCAATAAACATATGTGGACATGTGTCTTTATAGTAGAATGATTTATAAACCTTTGGGTATATACCCAGTAATGGGATTGCTGGATCAAATGATATTTCTAGTTCTAGATCCTTGAGAAATTGCCACACTGTCTTCCACAATGGTTGCACTAATTTACACTCCCACCAACAGTGTAAAAGTGTTCCTATTTCTCCACATCCTCTCCAGCATCTGCTGTTTCCTGACTTTTTAATTATCACCATTCTAAATGGCATGAGATGGTATCTCATTGTGGTTTTCATTTGCATTTCTCTAATGACCAGTGAAGACGAGCTTTTTTTCATAGGTTTGTTTGCTACATAAATGTCATCTTTTGAGAAATGTCTGTTCATATCTTTCACCCACTTTTTGACGGGGTTGTTGGCTTTTTTCTTGTAAACTTGTTTAATTTCTTTGTAGATTCTGGATATTAGCTCTTTGTCAGATGGATAGATTGCAAAAATTTTCTCCCATTCTTTGGGTTGCCTGTTCACTCTGCTGATAGTTTCTTTTGCTGTGCAGAAACTCTTTAGTTTAATTAGATCCCATTTGTCAATTTTGGCTTTTTTTGCCATTGCTCGTGGTGTTTTAGTCATGAAGCCTTGCCCATGCCTATGTCCTGAATGGTATTGCCTAGGTTTTCTTCTAGGGTTTTTATGATTTTAGGTCTTACATTTAAGTCTTTAATCCATCTTGAGTTACTTTTTGGATAAGGTGTAAGGAAGAGGTCCAGTTTCAGTTTTGTGCATATGGCTAGCCAATTTTCCCAGCATCATTTATTAAATAGGGAATCCTTTCCCCATTGCTTGTTTTTGTCAGGTGGTCAAAGATCAGATTGCTGTAGATGTGTGGTGTTATTTCTGAGGCCTCTGTTCTGTTCCATTGGTCTATATATCTGTTTTGGTACCAGCACCATGTTGTTTTGGTTACTGAGCCTTGTAGTATAGTTTGAAGTCAGGTAGCGTGATGCCTCCAGCTTTTTACGTTGTGCTTAGGATTGTCTTGGCTATGTGGGCTCTTTTTGTGGTGGGCTCTTTTTTTGGTTCATATGAAATTCAAAGTAGTTTTTTCCTAATTATGTGAAGAAAGTCAATGGTAGCTTGATAGGGATAGCATTGAATCTATAAATTACTTTGGGCAGTATGGCCATTTTCATGATATTGATTCTTCCTATCCATGAGCATGGAATGTTTTTCCATTTCTTTTTGTCCTCTCTTATTTCATTGAGCAGTGGTTTGTAGTTCTCCTTGAAGAGGTCCTTCACATCCCTTCTAAGTTGTATTCCTAGGTATTTTATTCTCTTTATAGCAATTGTGAATAGGAGTTCACTCATGATTTGGCTCTCTGTCTATTACTGGTGTATCAGAATGCTTGTGATTTTTGCACATTGATTTGTATCCTGAGACTTTGCTGATGTTGCTTATCAGCTTAAGGAGATTTTGGGCTGAGATGATGGGGTTTTCTAAATATACAGTCATGTCATCTGCAAACAGAGACAGTTTGACTTCCTCTCTTCCTATTTGAATACCCTTTATTTCTTTCTCTTGCCTGATTGCCCTGGCCAGAACTTCCAATACTGTGTTGAATAGGAGTGGTGAGAGAGGGCATCCTTGTCTTTTGCTGGTTTTCAAAGGGAATGCTTCCAGTTTTTGCCCATTCAGTATGATATTGGCTGTGGGTTTGTTATAAATAGCTCTTATTATTTTGAGGTTCGTTCCATAAATACTTTTATTTCTTTTTATTTTTTCCTATTTTTACTTAGGTTTAGTGGGTACATGTGCAGGTTTGTTTCATGGGTAAACTGTGTGACACTGAGATTTGGTGTAGGAATGATCCCATCACTCAGATAGTGAGAATAGTTTTTCTACCCTCGCCCCCATCTTATCCTCCCCTCATCTAGTAATCCTGAGTGTCTATGGTTCCTATCTTTACATGCATATATACTCAATGTTTAGCTTCCACTTACAAATGAGATCATACAATATTTACAATATTTGGTTTTCTGTTTCTGTTTTAGTTTGCTTATGGTAATGGCCTCCAGTTGCATTCATGTTGCTGTAAAGAACATGATTTCATTCTTTTTATGGCAGTTTAGTATTCCATGGTGTATATGTACTACATTTTCTTTATCTTCTCCACTATTGTGAATAGTACTATTATGAATATATGGGTTTATGTGTCTTTTTGATAGAAAAATTTATTTTCCATTGGATATATACCCAGGAGTGTAATTGCTGGATCAAATGGTAGTTCTCTTTTAAGTTCTTTGAGGAATCTTCAAACTGCTTTCTACAGTGGCTGTACTAATTTACATTCCCACCAACAGCCTATTCCCTGCAAGCTTGCCAACATCTGTTACTTTTTGTCTTTTTAAAAATAACCATTCTGACTGGTGTGAGATGGTGTCTCATTGTAGTTTTGATTTGCATCTTTCTGATGATTAGTGATTAGCAATTTTTCATTTATTTGTTGGCCAGTTGTATGATCTTCTTTGAGAGGTGTGTGTTCATGTTCTTTGCCCACTTTTTAATGGGGTCATTTGTTCTCTTGTTGATTTGTTTAAGTTACTTATAGATTCTGGATATTAAACCTTTGTCAGATGCATAGTTTGTAAATGTTTTCTCTCATTCCGTTGATTGTCTTTTTACTCTGTTGATAGTTTCTTTTGCCTTGCAGAAGCTCTTTACATTTATTTCTAGTGTTCCATTATTGGAATGCCAAGCTTGTGGGAGTGATTTATATCCTACCGCCCAAGGTCATCACCAAGGTCTGATTTTTCACACAGAAATTTGCAACCTCTGGTATAAATGGGTTAATTTAGTCCCATTTGTCAATTTCTGGCTTTGTCAAAATTGCTTTTGGGGACTTAGTCATAAATTCTTTGCCAAGGCTGATATTCAGAATGATATTTCCTATGTTTTTCAGGATTTTCATAGTTTGGGGTCTTACATTTAAGTCTTTAACCCATCTTGAATTCATTTTTGTATATCGTGAAAGGTAGCATCCAGTTATATCCTTCTGTATATGGCTAGCCAGTTATCCCAGCACCATTTATTGATTAGGGAGTCCTTTCCTTATTGCTTATTTTGGTTGACTTTGTTGGAGTTCAGATGATTGTAGGTGTCTGGCTTTATTTCTAGATTCATATCCCATTCCATTAGTCTACATGTCTGTTTTTGTACCAGTCCTATGCTGTTTTGGTTGCTATAATCTGCTAGTATATTTTGAAGTCAGGTAGTGTGATGCCTCCAGCTTTGTTCTTTCTGCTTAGAATTTCTTGTGCTGTTTGAGTGCTTTTTGGTTCCATATAAATTTTAGAATAGTTTTTTCTAATTCTATAAAAATGACTTTGGTAATTTGACAGAAATAGTATTGAATCTGTAGATTTCTTTGGGCAGTATAGACATTTTAATGATATTGATTCTTCCAATCTATGAACATGGAATGTTTTTCCATTTGTTTGTGTCATCTGTGATTTCTTTCAGCAGTGTTTTGTAGCTCTTCTTGTAGAGTTCTTTCATCTCCTTGTTTACATGTATTCCAAGGTACTTTATTTATTTATTTATTTATTTGGGTGGCTATTGTAAATGGGACAGCACTCTAGATTTGGCTGTCAGCCTTAATGTTATTTATGTGTAGAAATGCTACTGATTTTTATACATTGATTTTGTATCCAGAAGCTTTGCTCAAGTCATTTATCGGGTCTAGGAGCCTTTGGTGGAATCTTTAGGGTTTTCTTTTTTTGTTTTTTCTTTCCAACTTTTATTTTAGGTTCAGGGAGGTCTTGTGAAGGTTTGTTAACTGGGTAAACTGCATGTTGCAGGGGTTTGGTGCAGAGATTGTTTTGTCACCCAGATAGCGAGCATAGTACCCAATATAAGTAGTTTTTCAACCCTCACCCTCCTTCAACCCTCCACCCTCAAGTAGGCCCCAGTGTCTATTGTTCCCTTCTTTGTGTCCACGTGTACTCAATGTTTATCTCCTACTTGCAAGTAAGAACATGAGATATTTGGTTTTCTGTTCCTGCATTAATGTGCTTAGGATAACGGCCTCCAAACTCCAGCCATTTTACTGCAAAGGACATGATTTCATTATGGCTGTGTAGTATTCTATGATGTATATGTACTGCATTTTCTTTATTCAGTCCATTACTGATGGGCATCCAGGTTTATTTCATGTCTTTGCTATTGTGGAGGAGGAAGGACTCCTCCCTAACTCATTCTATGAGGCCAGTATCATTCTGATACCAAAGCTGGCAGGAACACAACAACAACAAAAAAACTTCAGGCCAGTATTCCCTGTGGACATAGATGAGAAAAAACCTCAACAAAGTGCTAGCAAAATCCAGCAGCACATCAAAAGGTAATCTACTACAATCAGGTAGAGTTTATTACTGGAATACAAGATTGGTTCAATACATGCAAATCAATAATTATGGCTCATCACATAAACAGAACTAAAAACAGAAGCCACATGATCATATCAATAGATGGAGAAAAGGCGCTCAATAAAATTTAACATTATCTCAAATCTTTAGGGTTTTCTAGGTATAGAATCGTATCAGTGAAGATAAATAGTTTTACTTGTTCTTTTCCTATCTGGATGCCTTTTATTTCTTTCTCTTGCCTGATTGCTCTGGCTAGAAATTCCAATACTATGTTGAATAGGAGTGGTGAGAGTGGGCTGCCTTATCTTGTTCCAGTTATCAAGGGGAATGCTTCCATATTTTGCCCATTAAGTATGATGTTGGCTGTGGTTTGTTGTAGATAGCTCTTATCATTTTCAGGTATATTTCATTAATGCCTAATTTGTTGAGAGGTTTTTATCATTAAGAAATGTTGGATTTTATCAAAAACTTTTTCTGCATCTGTCAAGATGATTATCTGGTTTTTGTTTTTAATTCTGTTTATGTGGTGAGTCACATTTCTTGATTAGCGCATGTTAAATCAGGCCCGCATCCTAGGAATGAAATCTACTTGATTGTGGTAAGTTAACTTCTTGATGTGCTGCTAGATTTGATTTGCTAGTACATTGTTGAAGACTTTTGCATCTGTGTTCACCAGTCCTATTGGCCTATAGTTTTCTCTCTTTGTTGTATCTTTACAATGACATATTTTAATAAAAAAAAAAAAAGTTCCTGAATTGGAAACCAGTGTTAGAAACCAGACAAGGAAGTCCAGGTGTGGTGGCTCATGCCTGTAATCCCAGCACTTTGGCAGGCTGAGGCAGGTGGATCACTTGAGGCCAGGAGTTCCAGACCAGCCTGGCCAACATAGTGAAACACTGTTTCTACTAAAAATACAAAAAATTAGCTGGGTGTGGTGGTGCATGCCTGTAATCTCAGCTATTTGGGAGGTTGAGGCATGAGAATCACTTGAACATGGGAGGTGAAGGTTGCAGTGAGCTGAGGACTGCAACCTGGACAAAAGAATGAAACTTTATCAAAGAAAAAAAAAAGAAGAAAGAAAGAAAGAAAAAGACATGGCACATGTATACATATGTGACAAACCTGCACATTGTGCACATGAATCCTAAAACTTAAAGTATAATAATAATAAAAAATAAATAAATAAATAAAAAAGAAAAGAAGAAAGAAAAAAGACAAGGAAACTAAAAATAACAGGGACAAAGATAGGACTTGGACAATTCATATAAGCCAATGTTGATCTTAAAAATACCTTTGAAAAGTACACTGCTGCCATGGTTCATAAGAATAAAGTTCTGTGAGAGCAGCTTTCTTCATCTACACCTGAGGTAAAGAGCATGCTAAGTGAAGACACTGCACAAAAAGGCTTTTGAAGTGAGTAGATGTGCTTGTTGAGAAAATTCTACTCCAGGTACGTTTTTGAAAATTATTTATAACTACTTGCCATGGAAACTGGACCTGTAATCTTGCAGATTACACTTCTACAAAAAACCCACAAAAATCTGTATCTGAATCACATTGGACATGAACATTGTCTGAAAGAAAAACGTTAACCCTTTAAACTGGACATAAATTGATTATATGGCTTGGCTCTGTGTCCCCATCCAAATCTCATCTCAAATTGTAGTCCCCACGTGTCGAGTGAGGGACCTTGTAGGAGGTAATTAGATCCTGGGGGCGGATTTTTCCCTTACTATTCTCATGATAGTGAGTCCTCATGAGATCTGGTTGTTTGATCAGTGTCTGGTGCTTCTGCCTTCTCTCCCCTGCCACCTTTTGAAGAAGGTGCTTGCTTCTTCTTCACCTTCCATCTTGACTCTAAGTTTACCAAGACCTCCCCAGCCATGCAGAACTGTGAGTCAGTTAATCCTCCTTTCTTTATAAGTTACCCAGTCTCAGGTAGTATCTTTAGAGCAGTGTGAGAATGGCCTAATACAGGAAATTGGTACCAAGGTAGTGAGGTATTGCTATAACATACCTGAGAATGTGGAAGTTACTTTGGAACAGGGTAACCAGCAGAGGTTGAAACAGTTTGGAGGGCTCAAAAAACAGGAAGATGTGGTAAAGTTTGAAACTTCCTAGAGACTTGTTGAATGGTTTTGATCGAAGTGCTGATAGTGATATGGACAATGAAGTCCAAGCTGAGGTGGTCTTGGAGATGAAAAACTTACTGGGAAGTGTAGTAAGGGTCACTCATGCTTTGCTTTAGCAAAGACAGTGGCAGCATTTTGCCCCTGCCATAGAGATCTGTGAAACTTTGAACTTGAGAGAGATGATTTAGGGTATCTGGTGAAAGAAGTTTCTAAGCAGCAAAGCATTCAAGAAGTGACCTGGCCTATTCTGAAAGGATTCTGTTTTATGCATTCACAAAGAGATGATTTGAAATTGGAACTTATGTTTAAAAGGCTAGCAGAGCATAAAGGTTTGGAAAATTTGCAGCCTGACCATTTGGTCTAAAAGAACATCCCATTTTCTGAAGAGAAATTCAAGCTGGCAGCAGAAATTTACATAAATAATGGGGAGCTGAATGTTAATAACCAAGACAATGGGGAAATGTCTCCAGTGGATGTCAGAGATCTCATGGCAGCCCCACAGATCCCAGGCCTGGAGGCCTAGTGGAAAAAATGGCTTTGTGGGCCAGGCCAGGGCCCTGCTGCTCTGTGCAGCTTCAGAATGTGGTGCCCTAAGTCCCAGCTGCTCCAGCTCCAGCTGTGGCTAAAAGGGACCAAGGTACAGCTTGGGCCATTGCTTCAGAGGGAACAAGCCCCAAGCCTTGGCGACTTTCCATGTGGTGTTGGGCCTGCAGGTATGAAGAAGACAAGAGTTGAGCTTTGGGAGACTCTGCCTAGGTTTCAGAAGATGTATGGAAACTCCTGAATGTCTAGGTAGAAGTCTGCTGCAGGTGTGGAACCCTCATGGAGAACCTCTGCTAGTGCAGTGCAGCAGAGAAATGTGAGATTGGAGACACCATACAGAATTCTCACTGGAGCACTGCCTAGGGGAGCTGTGAGAAGAGGGCCACCATCCTTCAGACTCCAGAATGGTCACTGACAGCTTGCACTGTGAGCCTGGAAAAGCCACAGGCACTCAATGCCAGTCCATGAAAGCAGCCATGGGGACTGTACCCTACAGAGCCACAAAGGTAGAGCTGCTCAAGAGTGTGGGAGCCCACCCCTTGAGTCAATGTACCCTGGATGTTAGACATGGAGTCAAAGTACATGATTTTGGAGCTTTAAGATTTAATGAGTGTCCTGCTGGGTTTTAGATTTGCATGGGGACTGTGGCCCCTTTGTTTTGGCCAATTTCTTCCATTAGGAATGGGAACATTTAACCAATGCCTGTACCCCATTGTATCTTGGAAAACTACCTTATTTTTGATTTTACATGTTCATAAGCAGAGGGGGCTTGCCTTGCCTCAGATGAAACTGGACTTGGACTTTTGAGTTAATGCTAGAATGAGTGAAGATTTTGGTAACTGTTGGGACAATATGATTGGTTTAGAAATGTGAAATGACATGAAATTTGGGAGTGGGCCAGAGGTGGAATGCTATGATTTGGCTCTGTGTCTCCACCCAAATCTCATCTCAAATTGTAATCCCCATGTATTGAGGGATGGACCTAATGGGAGGTAATTGGATCATGGAAGTGGATTTCTTCCTTGCTGTTCTAATGATAGTCAGTGGGTTTTCATGAGATCTGGTTATTTGAAAAGTTTCTGGTGCTTCCCCATCTCTGTTTCTCTCCTGCCACCTTGTGAAGGTGCTTACTTCTTCTTCGCCTTCCACCATGACTCTAAGTTTCCCAAGGCCTCCCCAGCCATACAGAACTGTGAGTCAATTAAACCTCTTTTCTTTATAAATTAACCCGTCTCAGGTATGATCTTTATAGCAGTATGAGAATGGACTAATAAAACTGATCACCCTATACTTAATGGCAAATATAAAACTTTTCATACATATGAGACCCAAAAGATGAAGACCACTTTATCTCTCCTTACCTAATCTTCTTTTGACCTTCAATAGTTCATTTGGCAATTTAAAACATGCTAAATATTCAGTTATACTATATATATAGTATTGTGTATACATACATATATACACATACACATAGTATATATAGTGCGTGTGTATATATATACACACACACAGTATATATACATATATACACATATAGTATGTATATATGTATACATATACATGTGTATACATGTAGAATATATACACACATATATACACATATAGTATATATGTGTGTGTGTGTATGTGTGTGTGTATATATATATTTCTATCTCCCTGGAGAGTATTCACTCATCTGTCTATTCATTTCTAACTTTAAAAATGTGTACATATTGCCTAATATTAATCATTCTCATGCTGTTTTTGTGTCTCTGGGTTTATTATGATAAGTTTGGCAGATAGACCCTTCCTCCTGAAGTATATATAGGAAATTACATTAATGAAGCAATTATACAGGAAATACCTATTGGCAAAATATAGTTAAATGGAGGAGACATATAAGAAACCTTAGAGCTTATAACAGGGCAAACTAACCTGGGCTTAACTGAAAAACTGATATTGGAACTGACATCTGGAAAATTATTATAACTCAAGTAGGAAAAGAGTTGAGCTAGGAAAGAGTATTCCAGAGGACGCACTATATTCTTTAAGAGTCTGAGGTAGACAGAAGCATAGCTAATTAGTGGAATTGAAAGAGGGACCCTTGGCTGGAGCAAAGTGAATAAGAAAATAATAATCTGAGATGACACTGAAGAAGCCGATAGGGAAAAAATCATTCATCTATAATGTCCTCTTAGCTCATGTCACATGTTTTTTCTTTTTCTTTATTCTAAAAGCAAACCATTTTAATCTAGAGAGTAATATGATCAGTTTTTCATTTTAAGAAAACTTTATCCTGTAGAGAATGGATTAGAGGGGGGCAAGAGAGTATGGAGAGCTAAGGTAAAAAGGGGATTCCTAGTCCATGCTGGACATGATAATATATGGGAGTCGTAACAGTGGAGTCAGAGACAAGTTGATGGGTTACAGGAATATTTAGGAAATAAAGTTTATATGATTTGTGGATAATTGGAATGGAAGATGAAGGAGAACGATGTATCAAAAGATGATTCCCTAGCAATCGGCCTGCAGAGATGGTGGACTAATTTAGAAGAAATGAGGATGAGTGCAATTTTAGATATGTGGAATTTGAGGTTTTTTTCAAGGAAAGTGTTGGTGGAAGTTTGATAGATAGGTTGTTACTTAAGCAACAGTTCCAGACTGGGAATAAATATGTGTAGATTAGAATAAGCAAAAAGAAAGGGTAGAATGGGAAGAGGAGACTAAAATAAAATCTTGAAAAATTCACACATTTAAAAGTTGAGTTGAAGAAGATGGGCTGGTGAAAGAAATTGAAGAGTAGATTAAAAGAGGACAATTTTCCATTAGATTTAGCAACATGGAATTCATTGTTAGAGTGATTTGTTTTGATGGCATAGTGGCAGGGGATGCATGGAAATGAGTTGAAAGTGTAAATAATATATGGAAAAAGAGAAACAATGATGATAAATAACTCTTTGAGAAAGTCAGGAATGTACCTATTGGAGAGATGGAAGTATTTACAAATTATAGATGTTCAATAAATACTTGTCCAATGATCAAACGAGCAACTACATTTATTACATGATTTCTTTTAAATGATTAATATTGAAAGTAACTAGTGTTGAATTCTTGCTATTTATTAGGTCTTTCATTTAATCCTTCTCAATCATCTTGTGAGATGGATGATATTGTTCTAATTTTTCATATATGCAAACTGAGATTCAGAAAGGTTATACAGTGGCTCATGTTCACACAGCTAAAACATAGCAGATCAGGAACCAAGTCCCTCTTCACAGTCTGTTCTCTTCCTGGAAAATGTCAACTTATTTGATGACAATAGCCTATTTCCTATATGGGGAGCAAGTCCTAAGAATATACTTTCTGGGCTTAACTTTCTCGGCCCTTTCACAGACAGGTGAACACAACAGGCAGTAATTGCTAAGAATTAGGATGACACCAAAGGCTTCATAAATCTTGGTTCTTTCTTTGTGGAACATTTTAATTCAGTAGAAGAATGTCTTCTAACTTTATTGGTATGATGTATCTTCAAAAACCTGCTCATAAAGGTGCTCTTTTCACCTAAAGTAAAGAGGAAAGACCCAATCCTAACAGAAGTGTAGAATGCTGAGTTTTGACTACCTATTGCTCTTTCGTTCCAGTGGTATGTGGAGCAAGTATCTTAGAGGTATCTTAGAGGAGCAAGATTATGAGAATTCACTTCTTTATAGAGATTTTCTTTTCTTCTCCTAGTTGCCTGAAGGATGGTAAATGTTGGAAATAAAATACTTTCGTGGTGTTTAACCAGGAAGTTTGTGTATTTGTATGTTTCTCATTTTGAGATAAAAGTAAAAGCAACCTAATATGAACCCCAATATTAAGACAGAAAATATTTCAACCTCAGCCCAGAATTCATTTACCATGAAGGGAGAATTCTCATAGGGTTATGTGGGCAAAATGAAAGATTTTCCATTTTCAGTTGCCACTCTTTGTTACACTGCTGTGCACTGCAGTGGCTGCTTTGGGACTAGAAGCTACAAAGTTTTACACTTTTCAAAAGATAAAACACATCCGACATCATAACACATCAACCACTGTTAAAAATGGTAACTTTAATTAATTGTCATCATTCTTTTTTACAATTTCAGTAGGTTTGAGTTGTAACTCATGGTGAGCTCAGTGAGAGGATAGCACATACATAATTCACTTTTACTAATGCAGATATCTTTGATTTTCTTCTTCCTTATCATTAGGCTCTTAATACACTGTGCATGTATCTTTCGAAGTAGCTGCTATTCTATTGTCAAGAGAATTCTTTCTGTTCTCAGAGATCCACTAGAATAGTGTTCATTCTTTTTTTTAAATTATGTATTAGTTCCCATTTGTTATAATGGGCTAATGAATTCTGCACTTAGGGGTAAAAAAATTCAGAGAAGCCTCTTTTTATATGTTTACATTTAATTTTTTCCTATGCAAACGTCAAATTTCTAGCCCTGTCACTAAAATTTATAAGGATTTACTGCATGTAAAAAGACAGTGGCATGGTGCCTTAATATTAATTATCTTAAGTGAGTGAAACATATATAAAGAAGTCTCACAGAGTATTTATTTATAAATAATCCTTAAAAATAAATCAAGTTAAAGTTTTTTTCTGGGTAAAAATGGACAGTGGTAAGAATAAGCAAAGAATAATAGTTTTTACAATTTTTTTTTATCTTTGTGAGTAGAAACATCTGGAAATGAAATAGATTGAAACTACATACTGCTTTTTCTCTCCCTTCCCTTTTCTTCAAAGATAAAGAATGCTTCAAAGAGTGCTTTTCCTTTTTTATAGCAATAAAGGTTGTTATGTGCCATATATTCTATGTCACATACATCTCGATAAAAGATTAGATAATATGTATTCTATTAAAATAGGGTTTTCCCTTTAAAATTTTTACCTAGTGTAAGTTAATGTATTATTATAATAAAAATAATATGCCAAATATTTCTTCTTAGGGTCACATTGTCTAAAGCCTCAGAAATTTGGTCAAGCAGAAAATTTCAGTCTTACTTATAGTACCTGTGGTTTTTGCAGTCAACTTACAGCAAATACTTTTAAGAAAGGAAATAATTATACAAGAGATCCTGACCAATGCTTTGGTCTCTCTCGTCCTGCACCACTGCCATTACATTGTTCCTGGATTTTGAACTTGACTTCCTTGGTAACCTTATCTTCCTGGGCAGCCAGTCTTCTGCCATTATGGCTATTTTCCTGACCACAGCTGCTAGTGTCACTATGGCTGCTCCACAAACTCGCTTTTCTCTTGTCTTAAGTGAGTAGATTTTATTTTTTGAAGTCTATCTCAGAATCTTGACATCTATATAGTTAAGTGTTTTCTGTTTTGTTTGTTTTTAGCTCCCAAGGAGTAGGCAGATTTTTAAATTTGAATCTTTTCATCTGTCAATAAATTCAGATCAGATACTGGGGTTCATGAACAAAGTGTTACATAAGCCACAAAATCCAGTTTAAATCTCAAAGAATTTCTGGTTAATTTTGAAATTTAAGAATTCATGTCTGTTGAACCTCCTCAATCCCAGGCAAGTTTTTTTTAAATCTTCCTAAAGTGCTATTTTATCCTATCCATAGTTCAAACAGCCTTCATTAGTTCTTTTTAATTTGAAACTCTTAATCCCAGTGTCTTTACCTTCCCTCTGAAAATATCCTTTATAATTTCTTCTACACATTCTACAGTCTGCCCCACAAAATAATAATATTTTATCTTATGCATATTTCTTTGAATTATTGAGGTTGAAATGTATTTTGGATTTCATTGTTAACACTGGCTGTAATTATTACTATAGTCAAAGCTCCATGCCAACATAGGGAAGAATGAAATACAGAGAATGCTCTCAAAGGGCAAGTTGCTGTTAAAATATATAAAATAAAAAATTAGTAATTAATCATTTATAATAACTTTTGTGTTCTATTTTTCAAAGAAAGTCTCAGCTAATTTCAAGAAATTTCCATCCTATATATTCTGAGACCATGATTAATATAATTAAAAATCAACAGAAATGCTAAAATTCATTTGATTAGAAGTTTGTGAATGTGGGAGGTGGTTCCAAGATGGCCGAATAGGAACAGCTCCAGTCTACAGCTCCCAGCATGAGTGACACAGAAGACTGGTGATTTCTGCATTTCCAACTGAGGTACCGGGTTCATCTCACTGGGGCTTGTCAGACAGCGGGTGCAGGACAGTGAGTGCAGCCCACCAAGTGTGAGCCAAAGCAGGGCGAGGCATTGCCTCACCTGGGAAGCACAAGGGGTCAGGGAATTCCCTTTCCTAGCCAAGGGAAGCAGTGACAGATGGCACCTGGAAAATCGGGTCACTCCCACCCTAATACTGTGTTTTTCCAATGGTCTTAGCAAATGGCACACCAGGAGATTATATCCCGTGCCTGGCTCAGAGGGTCCCACCCCACGGAGCCTCGCTCATTGCTAGCACAGCAGTCTGAGATCAAACTTGAAGGCAGCAGCTAGGCTGGGGGAGGGGTACCCGCCGTTGCTGAGGCTTGAGTAGGTAAACAAAGTGGCCAGGAAGCTCGAACTGGGTGGAGCCCACCACAGCTCAAGGAAGCCTGCCTGCCTCTGTAGACTCCACCTCTGGGGGCAGGGCATAGCCGAACAAAAGGCAGCAGAAACCTCTGCAGACATAAATGTCCCTGTCTGACAGCTTTGAAGAGAGTAGTGGTTCTCCCAGCACGGAGTTTGAGATCTGAGAACTGACAGACTGCCTCCTCAAGTGGGTCCCTGACCCCCAAGTAGCCTAACTGGGAGGCACCCCCCAGTAGGGGCAGACTGACACCCCACACAGCCAGGTACCCCTCTGAGACAAAGCTTTCAGAGGAAGGATCAGGCAGTAACATTTGCTGTTCAGCAATATTCACTGTTCTGCAGCCTCTGCTGCTGATACCCAGGCAAACAGGGTCTGGAGTGGACCTCCAGCAAACTCCAACAGAACTGCAGCTGAGGGTCCTGACTGTTAGAAGGAAAACTAACAAACAGAAAGGACATCCACACCAAAATCCCATCTGAACGTCACCATCGTCAAAGACCAAAGGTAGATAAAACCACAAAGATGGGGAAAAAACAGAGCAGAAAAGCTGAAAATTCTAAAAATCAGAGCGACTCTCCCCCTCTGAAGGAATGCAGCTCCTGGCCAGCAATGGAACAAAGTTGGAAGGAGAATGACTTTGACGAGTTGAGAGAAGAAGGCTTCAGACAATCAAACTTCTCTGAGCTAAAGGAGGAAGTTTGAACTCAAAGCAAAGGAGCTAAAAAACTTGAAAAAAGATTAGAAAAATGGATAACTAGAATAACCAGTGTAGAGAAGTCCTTAAATGACCTGATGGAGCTGAAAACCATGGCACGAGAACTACGTGACGAATGCACAAGCTTCAGTAGCCGATTCAATCAACTGGAAGGAGACATATCAGTGATTGAAGATCAAATGAATGAAATGAAGTGAGAAGAGAAGTTTAGAGAAAAAAGAGTAAAAAGAAGTGAACAAAGCCTCCAAGAAATATGGGACTATGTGAAAAGACCAAATCTAGGTCTGACTGGTGTACCTGAAAGTGACAGGGAGAATGGAACCAAGTTGGAAAACACTCTGCAGGATATTATCCAGGAGAACTTCCCCAACATAGCAAGGCAGGCCAACATTCAAATTCAGGAAATACAGAGAACACCACAAAGATACTCCTCGAGAAGAGCAACTCCAAGACACATAATTGTCAGATTCCCCAAAGTTGAAATGAAGGAAAAAATGTTAAGGGCAGCCAGAGAGAAAGGTCGGGTTACCCACAAAGGGAAACCCATCAGACTAACGGCGGATCTCTCGGCAGAAACTCTACAAGCCAGAAGAGAGTGGGGCCCAATATTCAACATTCTTTTTTTTTTTTAATATACACCACATTTTCTTTATTCATTTGTTGATAGACACTTAAGTTGATTCCATATTTTAGCCATATTGAATAGTGTTGTGGTTAACATGGAGGTGCAGGTGTCTTTTTAATGTAATGATTTCCTTTCCTTTGGATAAATTCCCAGAAGTGGGATTGCTGGATCATAGGTAATTCTATTTTTAGTTTTTTGAGAAACCTTCATACTGTTTTCCATAATGGCTGTACTAATTTACAATCTCACCACCAGTGTATAAGAGTTCCCTTTTCTCTGCAACCTTGCCAGCATTTGTTATTTTTTGTCTTTTTTTTTTTTTTTTTAGATGGGCTCTTGCTCTCACCCAGTCTGGAGGGCAGTGGCACAATCAATCTCAGCACACTGCAACCTCTGCCTCCCAGGTTCAAGAGATTCTCTTGCCTCAGCCTCCCAAGTAGCTGGGATTACAGGTGCATGCCACCATACTCAGCTAATTTTTGTATTTTTAGTAGAGATAGGGTTTCACTGTGTCGGCCAGGCTGGTCTCCAACTTGTGACCTCAACTGATGCACCTGCCCTGGCCTCCCAAAGTGCTGGGATTACAAGCGTGAGCCACCAAGCCTGGCCTATTTTTTGTCTTTTTGACAATAGTATTTTAATTGGGGTGAGATTATATTTCATTATGGTTTTGATTTGCATTTTTCTGATGATTACTGATGTTGAGCTTTTTTTACATACCTGTTGCCTATTTGTCGTCTTCTTTTTTTTTTTTTTTTTTTTTTTTTAGTATTTATTGATCATTCTTGGGTGTTTCTTGGAGGGGGATGTGGCAGGGTCATAGGATAATAGTGGAGAGAAGGTCAGCAGATAAACACGTGAACAAAGGTCTCTGGTTTTCCTAGGCAGAGGTCCCTGTGGCCTTCCACAGTGTTTGTGTCCCTGGGTACTTGAGATTAGGGAGTGGTGATGACTCTTAAGGAGCATGCTGCCTTCAAGCATCTGTTTAACAAAGCACATCTTGCACCACCCTTAATCCATTTAACCCTGAGTTGACACAGCACATGTTTCAGAGAGCACGGGGTTGGGGGTAAGGTTATAGATTAACAGCATCCCAAGGCAGAAGAATTTTTCTTAGTACAGAACAAAATGGAGTCACCTATGTCTACTTCTTTCTACACAGACACGGTAACAATCTGATCTCTCTTTCTTTTCCCCACATTTCCCCCTTTTCTTTTCAATAAAACCGCCATCGTCATCATGGCCCATTCTCAATGGTCGCTGTCTCTTTGGAGCTGTTGGATACACCTCCCAGATGGGGCAGCTGGGCAGAGGCGCTCCTCACTTCCCAGACGGGGTGGCTGGGCAGAGGCGCTCCTCACATCCCAGACGATGGGTGGCTGGGCAGAGGCACTCCTCACTTCCCAGATGATGGGCAGGCTGGCAGAGACGCTCCTCACTTCCCAGATGGGGCAGCTGGGCAGAGGCGCTCCCCATTTCCCAGATGATGGGCAGCCAGGCAGAGGCGCTCCTCACCTCCCAGATGGGGCGGCCGGGCAGCGGTGCTCCTCACCTCCCAGACAGGGTGGCAGGGCAGAGGTGGTCCTCACCTCCCAGACGGGGCGGCTGGGCAGAGGTGCTCCTCACCTCCCAGATGGGGCGGCCGGGCAGAGGCCCTCCTCACTTCCCAGACGATGGGCAGCCAGGCAGAGGCGCTCCTCACCTCCCAGATGGGGCAGCTGGGCAGAGGCGCTCCTCACTTCCCAGACAGGGCAGCTGGGCAGAGGCGCTCCCCACTTCCCAGATGGGGCGGCCGGGCAGAGGTGCTCCTCACCTCCCAGATGGGGCAGCTGCCGGGCAGAGACGCTCCTCACCTCCCAGACAGGGCGGCTGCCGGGCAGAGGCACTCCTCAGTTCCCAGATGGGGTGGCCGGGCAGAGGCGCTCCTCAGTTCCCAGATGGGGCAGCTGGGCAGAGGTGCTTCTCACCTCCCAAACGGGGTGGCGGCCGGGCAGAGGCACTCCTCACATCCCAGATGGGGCGGCCAGGCAGAGGCGCTCCTCACTTCCCATTCGGGGCAGGTGGGCAGAGGTGCCCCTCACTTCCCAGATGGGGCGGCCAGGTAGAGGCGCTCCTCACTTCCCATTTGGGGCAGCCAGGCAGAGGTGCTCCTCACTTCCTAGACAGGGCGGCAAGGCAGAGATGCTCCTCACATCCCACACCGGGTGGTGGCTGGGCAGAGGCGCTCCTCATTTCCCAGACGGGGTGGCAGCTGGGCAGAGGCACTCCTCACTTCTCCCAGACAGGGTGGCCAGGCAGAGGCGCTCCTCACTTCCCAGATGGGGCAGCCAGGCAGAGGTGCTCCTCACATCCCAAATGATGGGTGGCCAGGCAGAGACGCTCCTCACTTTCTAGATGGGGTGGCGGCTGGGCAGAGGCGCTCCTCACTTCCCAGATGATGGGTGACCAGGCAGAGATGCTGCTCACTTCCTAGACGGGGTGGCGGGCGGGCAGAGGCTGTAATCTTAGCACTTTGGGAGGCCAAGGCAGGAGGCTGGGAGGTGGAGGTTGTAGCGAGCCAAGATCACGCCTCTGCACTCCAGCCTTGGCAACATTGAGCATTAAGTGAGCAAGACTCCGTTTGCAATCCCAGCACCTCAGGAGGCCGAGGTGGGCAGATCACCTGAGGCCAGGAGCTGGAGACCAGCCCGGTCAACACAGCAAAACCCCATCTCCACCAAAAATACAAAAACCAGTCAGGAGTGGCAGCGCCTGCCTGGAATCCCAGGCACTCGGCAGGCTGAGGCAGGAGAATCACGGGAGCCCGAAGCAGGGAGGTTGCAGCGAGCCAAGATCACGGCAGTACAGCTTCAGAAGTGAAGGAGAAATAAAATACTTTACAGACAGGCAAATGCTGAAAGATTTTGTCACCTCCAGGCTTGCCCTACAAGAGCTCCTGAAGGAAGCACTAAACATGGAAAGGAACAACCAGTACCAGCCACTGCAAAAACATGACAAATTATAAAGATCGATGCTAGGAAGAAACTGCATCAACTAACGAGCAAAATAACCAGCTAACATCATAATGACAGGATCAAATTCACGCATAACAATAGTAACCTTAAATGTAAACGGGCTAAATGCTCCAGTTAAAAGACACAGACTGGCAAACTGGATAAAGAGTCAAGACCCATCAGTGTGCTGTATTCAGGAAACCCATCTCACGTGCAGAGACACACATAGGCTCAAAATAAAGGGATGGAGGAAGATCTACCAAGCAAATGGAAAACAAAAAAAGGCAGGGGTGGCAATCCTAGTCTCTGATAAAACAGACTTTAAACCAACAAAGATCAAAAGAGACAAAGAAAGCCATTACTTAATGGTAAAGGGATCAATTCAACAAGAAGAGCTAACTATCTTACATATATATGCACCCAATATGGGAGCACCCAGATTCATAAAGCAGGTCCTTAGAGATCTTCAGAGAGACCTAGACTCCCACACAATAATAATGACAGACTTTAACACCCCACTGTCAACATTAGACAGATCAACGAGACAGAACGTTAACAAGGATACCCAGGAATTGAACTCAGGTCTGCACCAAGTGGACCTAATAGACATCTACAGAACTCTCCACCCCAAATCAACAGAATATACATTCTTTTCAGCACCATACCACACCTACTCCAAAATTGACCACATAGTTGGAAGTAAAGCACTCCTCAGCAAATGGAAAAGAACAGAAATTATAACAAACTATCTCTCAGACCACAGTGCAATCAAACTAGAACTCAGGATTAAGAAACTCACTCAAAACTGCTCAACTACATGGAAACTGAACAACCTGCTCCTGAATGACTACTGGGTACATAACGAAATGAAGGCAGAAATAAAAATGTTCTTTGAAACCAACGAGAACAAAGACACAACATACCAGAATCTCTGGGACACATTCAAAGCAGTGTGTAGAGGGAAATTTATAGCACTAAATGCCCACAAGAGAAAGCAGGAAAGATCTAAAATTGACATCCTAACATCACAATTAAAAGAACTAGAGAAGCAAGAGCAAACACATTCAAAAGCTAGCAGAAGGCAAGAACTAACTGAGATCAGAGAAGAAATGAAAGAGATAGAGTCACAAAAAAACCTTCAAAAAATCAACAAATCCAGGAGCTGATTTTTTTTGAAAAGATCACAAAATTGATACACTGCTAGCAAGACTAACAAAGAAGAAAAGAGAGAAGAATCAAATAGACACAGTAAAAAATGATAAAGGGGATATCACCACCGATCCCACAGAAATACAAACTACCATCAGAGAATACTATAAACACCTCTATGCAAATAACTAGAAAATCGAGAAGAAATGGATAAATTCCTGGACACGTAACCCTCCCAAGACTAAACCAGGAAGAAGTTGAATCCCTGAATAGACCAATAACAGGCTCTGAAATTGAGGCAATAATTAATAGCCTACCAACGAAAAAAAGTCCAGGACCAGAGAGATTCACAGCTGAATTCTACCAGAGGTACAATGAGGAGCTGGTACCATTCATTCTGAAACTATTCCAATCAATAGAAAAAGAGGGAATCCTCCCTAACTCATTTTATGAGGCCAGCATCATCCTGATACCAAAGCCTGGCAGAGACACAACAAAAAAAGAGAATTTTAGACCAATATCCCTGATGAACATCGATGCAAAAATCCTCAATAAAATACTGGCAAACCGAATCCAGCAGCACATCAAAAAGCTTATCCACCATGATCAAGTGGGCTTCATCCCTGGGATGCAAGGCTGGTTCAACATACACAAATAAATAAACGTAATCCAGCATATAAACAGAACCAATGACAAAAACCACATGATTATCTCAATAGATGCAGAAAAGGCCTTTGACAAAATTCAACAACCCTTCATGCTAAAATCTCTCAATAAACTAGGTATTGATGGGACCTATCTCAAAATAATAAGAGCTATTTATGACAAACCCACAGCCAATATCATACTAAATGGGCAAAAACTGGAAGCATTCCCTTTGAAAACTGGCACAAGACAGGGATGACCTCTGTCACCACTCCTATTCAACATAGTGTTGGAAGTTCTGGCCAGGGCAATCAGGAAGGAGAAAGAAATAAAGGGTATTCAATTAGGAAAATGGGAAGTCAAATTGTCCCGGTTTGCAGATGACATGATTGTATATTTAGAAAACCCCATTGTCTCAGCCAAAAATCTCCTTAAGCTGATAAGCAACTTCAGCAAAGTCTCAGGATACAAAATCAATGTGCAAAAATCACAAGCATTCTTACACACCAATAACAAACAAACAGAGAGCCAAATCATGAGTGAACTCCCATTCACAATTTCTCCAAAGCGAATAAAATACCTAGGAATCCAACTTACAAGGGATGTGAAGGACCTCTTCAAGGAGAACTACAAACCACTGCACAAAAAAATAAAAGAGGACACAAACAAATGGAAGAACATTCCATGCTCTTGGGTAGGAAGAATCAATATCGTGAAAATGGCCATACTGCCCAAGGTAATTTATAGACTCAATGCCATCCCCATCAAGCTACCAATGACTTTCTTCACAGAATTGGAAAAAGCTACCTTAAAGTTCATATGGAACCAAAAAAGAGCCCGCATTGCCAAGACAATCCTAAGCCAAAAGAACAAAGCTGGAGGCATCACGCTACCTGACTTCAAACTATTCTACAAGGCTGCAGTAACCAAAACAGCATAGTACTGGTACCAAAACAGAGATACAGACCAATGGAACAGAACAGAGCCCTCAGAAATAATACCACACATCTACAACCTTCTGATCTTTGACAAACCTGACAAAAACAAGAAATGGGAAAAGGGTTCCCTATTTAATAAATGGTGCTGGGAAAACTGGCTAGCCATATGTAGAAAGCTGAAACTGGATCCCTTCCTTACACCTTATACAAAAATTAATTCAAGATGGATTAAAGACTTAAGTGTTAGACCTAAAACCATAAAAACCCTAGAAGAAAACCTAGGCAATACCATTCAGGACATAGGCATAGGCAAGAACTTCATGTCTAAAACACCAAACGCAAAGCAAAATTGACAAATGGGATCTAATTAAACTAAAGAGCTTATTCACAGCAAAAGAAACTACCATCAGATTGAACAGGCAACCTACAGAATGGGAGAAAAATTTTGCAATCTACTCATCTGACAAAGGGCTAATATCCAGAATCTACAAAGAACTCAAACAAATTTACAAGAAAAAAACACACAACCCCATCAACATGTGGGCGAAGGATATGAACAGACACTTCTCAAAAGAAGACATTATGCAGTCAGAAGACACATCATCACTGGTCATCAGAGAAATGCAAATCAAAACCACGATGAGATACCATCTCACACCAGTTAGAATGGCAATCATTAAAAAGTCAGGAAACAACAGGTGCTGGAGAGGATGAAGAGAAATAGGAACACTTTTATACTGTTGGCAGGACTATAAACTAGTTCAACCATTGTGGAAGTCAGTGTGGCGATTCCTCAAGGATCTAGAACTAGAAATACCATTTGACCCAGCCATCTCATTACTGGGTCTATACCCAAAGGATTATAAGTCATGCTGCTATAAAGGCACATGCACACGTATGTTTATTGCAGCACTATTCACAATAGCAAAGACTTGGAACCAACCCAAATGTCCATCAATGATAAACTGGATTAAGAAAATGTGGCACATATACACCATGGAATACTATGCAGCCATAAAAATGATGAGTTCATGTCCTTTGTAGGGACATGGATGAAGCTGGAAACCATCATTCTCAGCAAACTATTGCAAGAACAAAAAACCAAACACCTCATGTTCTCACTCATAGGTGGGAATTGAACAATGAGAACACTTGGACACAGGAAGGAGAACATCACATACCAGGGCCTGTTGTGCGGTGGGGGGAGTGGGGAGGGGGGAGGGAAAGCATTAGGAGATATACCTAACGGAAATGACGAGTTAATGGGTGCAGCATGCCAACATGGGAGATGTATACATATGTAACAAACCTGCACATTGTGCACATGTACCCTAGAACTTAAAGTATAATAAAAAAATAAAACAAACAAACAAACAAACAAACAAAGAAATTTGTGAATGTACTCCTAAATAACTCATGGAATATTATGTGCTATGGTCTGAATGTTTGTGTCTCCCAAAATTCATATGTTAAAATTCTAACCCTTGAGATGATGATATTATGAGGCAGGCCTTTTGGGAGGTGAATAGGTCATGAAGGTGGGGCTATTCTCAATGATTAGTGTTCTTATAAAAGAGGCTTAAAGAGATCCCTTGCCTTTTCCACCATGTGAGGATGGAATGAGAAAATGCTGTCTATTAACTAGAAAGTTGCTCTTCACCAGACAGACACTAAATCTGCCAGCACCCTGTACTTGAATTTCCCTGTCCTCAGAACAAAGATATACGTTTTTGTTATTTACAAGCTCTCCAGTCTGATATGTTGGTATATCTCAAATGTACTAAAACATCACAAATGGACTAAGGCAATGAGAAAATCAATATGGACATGAAAATATTGAGCAATAAACCAAAAAAAAATCCTACATAAAATTTCTACAGAATAAACTTAGTTTATTAGTACTAAGCTAAAGCATTAATTAAAGAAAAATGTACAGCCTTAAATTTATTTATTAAGGGCAGAATTAATGAAAACTCAACAACATATGCATGCAATTTAAGAGGATAGAAAAAGAAAAGTAAGGTAAGTATAGGTAAATAAATAGTAAAGAAATGATAATATTAAAAAAATAAAAAAATGAACAAAATTGTATTCTTTGAAAATGTTGAGAAAATTTGACAAATTATTTTTATAAATTTCCATTTTAGTTTTAGATTCAGGGTGTATGTATGCAGGATTTTTACAAGGATATACTGCATAATGCTGGGGTTTGGGCTTCAATTGATCTCATTACCCAGATAGTGAACATAGTACCTAATAGGAAGTTTTTCAGTCCTTACCACCCCCCCACCTCCTTTTGGAGTCCCTAGCATTTATTCCCATCTTTATGTTTGTACATACCCCAAATTTAGCTCCCACTATAAGTAAGAACATGCAACGTTTGGTTTTCTGTTTCTGCATTAATTCACTCAGAATTATGGCCTCCAGCTGCATCTATGTTGCTGCAAAGGGTGTGATTTCATTTTTTTTATGGCTGTGTAGTATTTAATGATATGTATGAACCACATTTTCTTTATCCAGTTCACTGTTGATAGGTATCTATGTTGATTCCATTTCTGCTATTGTGAATAGTTCTGGCTGGGGTAAGGTGGTATCTCATTGTGGTTTTAATTTGCATTTCCTTGATTAGTGATACGGAACATTTTTTCATGTTCGTTGGTCATTTGTATATGTATATATTTTTAAGTATCTATTCGTGTCATTTTCCCACTTTTGATGGGATTATCTGTTTTATTCTTGCTGATTTATTTAAGTTCCTTGTAGATCCTGGATATTAGTCATTTGCTGGATGTGTAGTTTGCATATATTTTCTCCTGCTCTGTGAGTTTTCTGTGTACTCTGATGATTATTTCTTTCACTGTGAAGAAGCTTTTTAGTTTAATGAAGTCTCATTAATTTATTTCTGTTTTTGTTGCATTTGCTTTTGGAGTCTGAGTCATACATTATTTGCCTAGCTTTCTTTCTTATCTAAGTTGTTTTGAGTTTTCAGTCTTGCATGATTCTGTATATATTTTATGTTATTTTATTATATTTTGGTGAAAATGTCATTGGAATTTTAATAGTGACTCCATTTGATCTTTAAATCACGTTGAGTATTATAGACATTTTTAGTAATTTTATTTATTCCAATTCATGAACACAGGATTATCTTTCCATTTATTTGTAACTTCAATTTCTTTTATCAGTGTCTTATAGTTTTGGTCATGTAGAATTTTTACCTTCCTCATTAAGTTTATTCCTATCTATTTTATTATTTTGATAGTCAGATAAGTAGAATTGTTTATTTTTCTGTTTTGGGGGTAGTTCATTGTTAGTGTATGAAAAGTAAGTGATTTAGATATGTTGATTTTGTTTTACAACTTTACAGCATTTTTGTCTTCTTTACTTTCTTTGGTAGATTCTTTAAGACTTTCTATATATAAGACTGTCAGCTGAAAACAGTCAATTTTACTCTTTCTGATTTGGCTAATATTTGTGATGTTTTGTAACCTAATTGCTCTATAATTTTGGTACTATGTTGAATACAAATCATAAAGATGGGCATTCTTGTTCCTAATCTTAGGGAAAAGATTTTCTTCTTTTCACCAGTAAGTATGATGTTAGCTATCGGCTTTTCATATGTAATCTTTATTATATTGAAGCACATACCTAATTTGTTGAGAGTTTTTATTATGAAAGGATGTGGTTTGTCAAATGCTTTTTCTACCTCTATTGAGTTGACTATATCCAAAGTTTGTCCATCATACTGTTAATGTGGTCTATCACATTTATTTGTTTGCAAATGTTGAATCATTCTTGCATTGTCCTGTATAAAAACCACTGGCTCATATTGTGTGATCCTTTTGTTGAATGCGGTTTGTGTTTGTATTTTTTTCAGGATATTTGCATCTATTTTCCTCAGGGATATTGGCCCGTAATTCTTTCTTTCTTTCTTATAGTGCCCTTCTCAGGCTTAGTTATCAAGGTAATAGTGGACACATAGAATAATTTTGTAAGTGTTCCCTCCTTTTCTATTTACTTGGAAGAGTTTGAGAAAGATTGCCATTAATTTTTCTTTGAATGTTGGGTAGTATTTAATGACAAAACCATCAGGTCCTGGGCTTTTCTTTGCTGGGAGACTTTTAATTATTGATTCAGTTTTCTTAGTTGTTATTAGTCTATTGGGATTTTGTATAACTATATGATTCAGTATTTGTAGGTTATATGTTTCTCCATATTTACGTGGCCAAGAAACATATGAAAAAAAGCTCAAGATCACTAATCATCAGAGAAATGCAAATCAAAATCGCAATGAGATACCATCTCATGCCAGTCAGAATGGCGATTATTAAAAAGAGAGGAAACGATAGAAGCTGTGCATCTATTGCACAGCTGTGCAAATAGGCTGTGGAGAAATAGGAATGCTTTTACACTGCTGGTGGTAATGTAAATTAGTTCAACCATTGTGGAAGACAGTATGGTGATTCCTCAAGGATCTAGAACCAGAAATACCATTTGACCCAGCAATCACATTACTGGGTATACATCCAAAGGAATATAAATCATTCCACTAAAATGAAAGGACACTAACAACATAAAAGTGTATAAAAGTCTAAAACTCATTGGTAATGGTAAATATATAGCCAAATCGAGACTACTGTAATACTGTAAGAGTGCTTGTTGCAAAATCACTTAACTCCAGTATAAATGTTATAAGATAAAAAATATTTAAAATAACAGAAACTCTAATGATTTGTTAATGCATACATAATACATAAAAGATGTAAGTTTTGACATCAATAACATAAATTGTCAGAGGAGGAGACATTAAAGAGGAGAATTTTTGTATGCAGTCAGAGAAGTTGTTAAGATAAGTTGTTGTCTGATTAAAACAGACTGTAATGATTATAAGATGTTTGATGCAAACCTCATGGTAATAACAAAGAAAAAAACCTGTCGTAGATACACAAAAAATAAAGAGAAAGAAAGCAGGTCTATCACCACTGGAAAAAATCATCAAACCACAAATGAAGATAGTAAGAGAGATATATTAATATTTTCTATTTTTCTTCTTAGCTCTATTTCATTTACATCAGCTCTGTTCTTTATTATTTTCTTCTGCTAAATTTGGGCTTAGTTTTAATTTTGTAATTTCTTGTCATGTTCAGTTAGGTTGCTTATATGAAGTGTTTTTCTTTTATGGAGAGATTTATCACTGTAAAGACCCCGGTTAGAATGATTGGTGCATCCTGTCAGTTTTTCAGTTTTGTGTTTTCATTCCCATTTGTCTCAAGATATGTTTTGATTTTTCTTTTGATTTCTTGTTTCATGCACTTGTTTTTCAGCAGGTGTTGTTTGATTTCTAGATATTTGTGAATATTTCAGTTTTCCTCCTGTTATTGATTTATAATTTCCTATCATTGCGGTTGGAAATGATACTTACTATTTCAATATTCTTAAATTTGTTTAAACTTCTATTTTGGCCTAGCATATGATCTATCGTAGAGACTGTTCTATGTGCACTTGAAAATAATGCACTTGAAAGTAATGCATATTGTGCTCCTGTTGAGTGGAGTGTTCTGTATATGTCTGTCAGGTATTTGGGCTATAGAGTTATTCAAGTCTGCTGTTTTCTTATTTATTCTCTTCTGGGTGATCTATCTATTGTTAAAAGTTAGGTTTTGAAATCCCCTACTATTACTCTATTTCTCTATTACTGTCTATTTTTTCTTTTAGTTTTTTAAAATATTTGCGTTTTATATTTAGGTGCTCCAATGTTGAGTGATACTATTTTTTTAATCCACTTAGCAACTCTATCTTTTGATTGAAGAATTAATCTATTTATCTTTAACTATTGATATTCTTATAATTTTGTTGTTTTCTGCCTGTCTTATAGTTTATTTGTTCCTTTTTTCTTTTCTTATTATCTTCATTTATGGTTTGATGATTGTTTTCAATGGTGATAGACCTGCTTTCTTTCTCGTTATCTTTTGTGTATCTACAACAGGTTTTTTTCTTCGTTGTTACCACGAGGTTTATTTCAAACATCTTAAAATTATTATAGTCTATTTTAATCTGATAGCAACTTACCTGACTGCATAAAAAAATTCTCCTTTTTAAACTTCTCCTTCTCTGACAATTTATGTTATTGATGTCAAAACTTACATGTTTTATGTATTATATATGCATTGACAAATTATTATAGTTTGTTATTTTAAATATTTTTATGTGATAACATTTATACTGGAAGTGATTTTGCAACAAGCACTCTCATAGTATTACAGTAGTCTGGATTTGGCTATATGTTTACCATTACCAGTGAGTTTTAGACTTTTATATGCTTTTATGTTGTTAATGTCCTTTTATTTCAGCTTGAGAAACTACCTTTAACATTTCTGATAATGCAGATCTAGTGGTGACAAACTCCCTCAGCTTTTGTTTGTGTGAGAAATTATTTATTCATCCATTTTCAAGGATAGCCTTGCTGGGTATAGGATTGTTGGTTGACAGACATTTTTTTTTTTCTTTTTCAGTACTTTGAATATATCATTTCTTTCTCTCTTGGCCTACAAGGTCTCTGCTGAGAAATCTGCTGATCCTATAGAGTTTGCTTTGTTTTTGATGAGTTGCTTTTCTTGCTGATACAAAAATTCTTTGTCTTTGACTTTTGGGAATTTGATTATAATTTGTTTCAGTAATGATATCTTTATATTTAATTTATTTTGGGTTCTCTGAGTTTCATGATTTGGTTGTTAATTTTCCTGTCCAAATTTGGAAAGTTTTCTGTCAGTATTTTTTAAATAAGTTTTATTTATTTCTCTGCTTCTTCTGGAATTTTTATAATGCATATATTAGTTTAGTTAATAGTGTTACCAAGCCCTATAGACTTTTAAAACTCTTTTGAATTCTTTCTTCTTTTTGTTTCTGTGACTAGGTTATTTCCAATAACCTGCTTTTTAAGCTTGTTCATTCTTTTTTCTATTTGACCAAGTCTGCTGTTAAAACTTTCTGTTTAGTTTTAAAGATTTGGTAATTGTGTTTCCCACCTCCAGAATTTCTGTTTGGCTCTTTGTGTGTTTTCTGTCACTTATTTTTTGAAATTTTCATTTTGTTCACATAGTATTTTCCAATTCCTTTTATCACCTGTTTCTGTTTGTTATTTAATTAATTATTTGTTTATTTATAGCTCACTGATTTTCCTTAAGACAAATCACTATTTTTTTACAATTGGTTACGAGTGCTTTATTTTGTTACTTTGGTGGTCTCGTGTGTGTGTGTGTGTGTGTATGTGTGTGTGTGTGTGTGAGATTCCTATAGCTTTTTGCTGGCATATATGCATTTGAAGTAGGTACCTTGTTCTGTCTTTACAGACTGCCTTCAGCAAGGAAAGCTCTTCACCAGTCAACCTATCCAGAGATTTTGTGCAAGCTACCTGGTGGGGTTCATGGGTGAGCTTACTGCTGGAGTCCTTGGGTAGGTTAGCCTGGTGCCTAGGTCAGGAGTTAGGCAGGCCTGGCACC
Organism: Homo sapiens; assembly: GCF_000001405.40. NCBI lineage: Eukaryota > Metazoa > Chordata > Mammalia > Primates > Hominidae > Homo > Homo sapiens. Next base: position 183,803,694 of record NC_000002.12, read on the forward strand.
TAGGTCCACAGGGGCTTGCCTAGTGCCTGGGTCTGCATGAGTGGGCCTGGCTTCTGTATCAACTGAGTTGGAACTGGAGCCTGGATCTGTGAGAGCTGGCCTAGAGCCTGTATCTAGGTTGGCTGGCCTGCTGCCAGTGGCTGCTAGAACTTAGAGCTTTTGGAGCCTGAGATTAACCTGGAGCCATAGGGCCTGGCCTTTTGCCTGGGGCTGCAGGGGCCAGTTTGGTACTTGAGTGGGTCTATACCCTGAGTCTGCATGGGATGACCTGGAATCAGGGGTCATGAGGGCAAGCTTGGTGCTGGAGTAGGCCTAGCACTAGGGTCCACAAAGGCTTTCCTGGAGCCTTGGTCCGTGGGGACCAGCTGACACCTTTTGAGCAGCCTGACTCTGGGTTGGGCCTGACGATTGGATCTTCAGAGCTGAGTCTGGGGCCTCAGATGCCACCTGACACTTTAGGGGTCAGCCTGGCTCTGGGGTCAACCTGGATATTGGGTCTTTAGGGTCAGGCCTGGAACCTTTGTCCATAAGGTCCAGCCTGGCACTGGGTAGGTCCAGAGCCTGTGTCTATGGTGCTTGGCCTGGTACTTGGGTGGGCCTGTGGCCATGGGGCTTAGCTTGGTGCTGAGGTTTGCTGGGGTCTACTTAGTGATGGAATCCATAGTGAAGTCAGGTGCTCACTTTCATCTCCATCCCCTATGCAGATATTATCTCTTTTATGCTGCAGTGTGTGGGCTTGGGGGCACAGGGAATAATATAAAACTGAGTTTCCTACCCTCTTCAATATATTTCTTTGCTCCACCTATGTGCTCTAATCTCTCACTTAGATCCCTTAGCTCTTGTGGAGGTGATTTTATATATGATTAATTGTTCAAATTTATGTTTCTGTAAAAAGATAATTGCTGGAAAGTCCTATTCCACTGTCTTGCTGATTATACTCAAATTTTGCTATGGATATATGTGTCTATTTCTATACATGTGTCTCTTCCATTGATCTATGTGTCTGTCCCTTTTCTAAAACCATACCACCTTAATTACTATAGAAATAAATCCAACTCCAAATTTATAGACTTTTAGAATTTGTAAAGGTTATAAATAATGGAGACAGCTCAATATAAAATGATATTAATTTTACCCAAATTTATCTATTAACATTGAAGTTTTAGAAAAATTCTTCATAAGCTGATTCTGAAATTACTATAAAATAGGAAAATAGCAATTAATTAGGAGGATTTACACTACTAGATATTAATAATTTAAAGATTATGTTGAATTTGACACAGTGACACAGTGATATTGATACGGGAATAGACAATTGTACTGATGAAACAGAATAGTGAGACCAAAATGTATTATTGTAAATATGGTGAAATAATTGACTAACATATTTTCTAGTGTTGCCACAGGGCTTAGGTGAGTCTCCAGATGCCATTAAGACCCCAGTCCCAGCCAGTGTTCTAAATTCCTGACACTGTTGCAAGAAATAATTCAGGGACAAGTCAGAATGAAGTGAAAGGCAAGAAGCTTTTATTGCAAAGCAAAAGTACACACTGAACAGTGGGAGTGCAAGCGTCCTCAGGAGAGTGTCTCACAGAGTGGAGTTTGGATTTCTAATGTTACGGGCTCTTCTAATTAGGGGGTGGAATAGCCATGAGGTTTTCTGGGAAAAAGGTAGATATTTCTTAGAATGGGAGTGCCACCCATTTTTACACTAAGTATGAGCATGCTTGGATGTGTCATGGCGCTGGTGGGTGTGTGATTTAGTATAATAATGAGTGTATAATTAGATCTGGATGGGGCACAGGCCAAATCCAATTTCAAGTTGGATTTAGCTGGTTTCAACCAACCTAGCCTCTTTCCTGTTTGTTAGGGTCTTATGAGCCGAGGCTCATCCTTGTCCTTGTAGCTAAATTTAACAGCTCCTTTCTTACTGGTATGTGAAATTACTGCTTGATACTCTTCTGCTTCTGTGAACACCTAGTGTTCCTATTTTATAGGAAATTCTATAAAATTCCTATTTTATACTCTTTCTTTAAGTAGGCGATAGAATAATCATTAGGTATTCTGAAGAAGGAGGGGATTTCAGGAACCCTCAGTTATCAGCTACTTTCTCTCTCATTTGGCTTTGTCCAGAAAACTCATGGACATGTCACCCTGACAAGGGTTTTGGCTGTTTTCTCTACCTATTTTGGGTTTTCCGTTATCTTGTAGTTTCTTTGCCTTGTTCTTGTTTTAGCTGTTGGTGGGTTTCTCCATCCTCCTGCAACCACTCAGTGTTATTTCTATATCACTAAGGCAATTGGTTATACATCTGATTGATAAAAGATAATTGATAAGAGAAAGTGATTTCCATCTCACAATATTTATAAAAACGGACAAAATTTTTAAGGTTTAAATATGGAAAACAAACAAACTTTTACTGAAAAGCAATAACATAAACTTTAACTTCAAGACACAAACTGGGAAAAAATGTAGTGTATGTTTTAGCCATCAGGAAATGCAAATTTCTTGGATTTGATATCTGAGAATATGATGACCTTCAACTAATCCACAAAAAAAGGCAAAGAGTCCTTATAAAATGAGCAATGTATATAATCGTAGTCATAATGTTCAGTCATAGTAAAAGAATAGTAAATCAAAATAAAATCAAAACTTAGTTATCAATTTATATTCATAAAGCTGACAAAAATTAAAGTGTCTGATTGTCAAGTAAGGATATGGAGAAATGAGAATTCTCATGGTGTTGATATAGGAGTTAAAAAGAAATTAGTTAGGCAGATAGTGAGGGTAAGAGAGTCCGTGGTAAGGTTTTCCTTTTACTAAACAGTAGTCTCAAAATCATTTCTTTTCTAACAAAGAGCAGCCTGTGAAATTGAGCTGCAGACATAGATAAGCAATCTGGAAGCTTGCACTGGTGAATGGTGGCAGTTGTGCCAATAAGAAAGGGCTACCTGGGGGCTAGGCATGTTCAACATGGCGGTTTCATCTTCCCTTTACTTTGTCAACCATGTATACAGTAAGGAATAGACAACATGGTACCTGCCAGATAGAGAACCCATCTGCTTAATAAAGATTATGCAAGTAGGGTGGCCAGCTTCCTCTGGTAATATGTAAATGACACACCTGGTCCAACCAATCTTTGGGCCCTATGTAAATCAGATACCACCTCCTCAAGCCAGTCTATAAGACCCTCGTGCACTTCGCTGTGAATTGGAAGACATTTGGGCGCCCCTCTCTCTCTCTGCAGGAGAGAGAGCTGTTTGCTTTCTTTAGTCTATTAAACCTCTGCTCTTAAACCCACTTTTTGTGTGTCCACATCCTTGATTCCCTTGGTGTGAGACAGTGATCCTATTTACCACAGACAATGACACCACTTCAGTGTTATAAATGTTACAGTGACTTTGTAGAGGAATTTGGCAATTTCTAATGAAGTTGGAATTTGGCATTATACTCTTTAACTCAAAGATTTCATACATAAGTAAATCTCCTAGAGAAACTCTGGCATATCACACGAACAGACATCTGTTATAAGATTCACTGTAGTTTGCTTTTCATCATTTAAAGTTGGAGACAACCTAAATGGTCATCAATAGTGACTAGGTAATTACATCATGGTATATATTAAACAAAAGTTAAGAATATATTAATTATAGTTGCAAATATGAATAAGGATCTACATTTTGAATAAAAAGGGAAATTGCAGAATGTGTGCACTATCATTTTCTAAAGTTTAAAAACTGGAAAGCAAAACTGCATACTGTTTGTGGGTACATGTACATGTACAGAATAATAAAATCAACATATCTTAGGAAGAACAAGATTTCATTTTAGGAATAGTTATCTTCTATAAGAATGTGAGAAAATTATTTGGGAGATAGTAAGAAGATAGGCTTCATTTTCTAAAAACATTTTATTTTTTTACAAAAGTTACTCTGGAAAATATAGGAAGTTGCAAAATATTTTAAATCTGGAGGATACTCACAAGAATATTAATTATATTCTTTTCAACTTTCTATATGGTTAAATATTTCATAATATGACTCATGGGAGGAAGTTAAACAGTACTATTAAAGCTTTATACATTATTCTAAGAGAAAATAATTTTGGTGCAAGCTACTAGAAAATTTTCAAATAAATATGAGATTATTTTATATCTGTCACTCATTTCAATTATTGTATGTGGAACACTAAGCTTGAAACTAATAAACTACCTAAACGTATTTTCTAAAAATCCAACCTACAGTAGTAGAAAAAATTTTAAAATCTCCATTATTGATGTGACTTTTAGCTTTTGGAAAAATTTTTCTGCAATACCTGTTTTCTGAGTTTTGGATCGTAAACAAGCTAATAAAATGAAATCCTCAGTGACTAAGCATATGAAAGTCAGGGTTAAGCGCAAATAAAGTACCATACATTTTGATGGCTGTGACATATAATAGACTGTTTTTATTACATAATTTATCTTTCAATTTGATTCAATTTTCTTTTTATTTGAATAGTCAGTAGTCTCTTTCCCCATTAGTACACTTTTTTCCTCTTCATACTTTCTTAGAATGTAATTTTAAAAATATGTAACACATAAACTTCCAATTTTTTTAGCTTTTCACTTTAAAAAACAATTTGTTTATGACTGTACAATTTCTCACACTAACACATGTCATACACATCCAAAATTCTTTATAAGCTGATTCTGAAATCAGCTTCTTTTTATGCCATAAAACAAAAAATAACACTCACATATATTAAGATGTTTGGAAAACAAAATGATTAAGGAATTGTTAAGAAAGAAAGACATATGTCTTACAAAAGAGGAACTTATAGACAGTGTTAACAAAACAGGCTATAACCTCAATTATGAATGAGTTTTCTATTAACGTATTTTCAATTAAAACAGCACAGAGTAAAAAAATTGAATATTTCTTGAATAAACATTAATTTCTTAATATGGTGAAAAGAATAGCAACTGTGTCACATTTACTATATACCAGCCACTGTGCTTTACATGCACTAAATGTTTACTTATCAGATCCTCTCCAAAACTCTGTAATTTAGGTACTATCATTATCTTATTTAGATCAGGAAATAGAGGCCTGCTGAACCTGATTAATTTTACCAAATATGAAGAGCTAGAAAATGGTAGAAATGGGAGTTAGACTTAACAGTTTGTTTTGAAGTCCATGTGTTTAGCCGCTTTTTTTTTTTTTTGAGACAGAGTCTTGCTCTGTCGCCCAGGCTGGAGTGCAGTGGTGCGAGCTCTGCTCACTGCAACCTCTGCCTCCTGGGTTCAAGCAATTCTCTGCCTCAGCCTCCCGAGTAGCTGGGATTACAGGCACCCACCACCACGCTCAACTAATTTTTTGTATTTTTAGTAGAAACGGGGGTTTCACCGTCTTGGCCAGGATGGTCTTGAACTCCTGACCTCATGATTCACCCGACTTAGCCTCCCAAAGTGTTGGGATTACAGGTGTGAGCCATCGCTCCTGGCCGTGTTTAACCACTATATTAAGGAAGAAAGGGTAAGCAGTTACATCTTAGTTGCTGCAAGTTGGCCTATCCTTGTTGATTTTTCTCTTGCACATGACAAAACAGAAACATCCTCACTGATGGACATTTTCAATTTGAGCATTTTCATCTCCTTACTTCCTGAAGTATTAGCCTCATATGTTCTCAGTCTTTTAGATTTTACATTTTAACAACAAATATTTGATTTTTTGCAAGAGGGCCACAATAATCATTTAATCACTGGTAAATTGTAAATGTGAGATAACGCATGTGGTTCTTGGTTCTAATACGTTGAAATATATTCAGTTTATTTACTTTGTTTCAGAGAATTGAGAAGGATTAGTAAGCACATTTGGCTGAAAATGGGTTACAGGGGCCTGATAAAATCTTACAAATGTTTGATAGTTATAATTGGCATAGTTCTGCATTCCTTCCCTTCCTCAATTATCTGTAAGAGCTGACTCTTTCTCTTTAGGTATGCGTGACTAGCCCTACATTTATAAAATAGATTTCCTACTCTTTCTTTTTTTCTACTGTTGTTCTAATAATGGAGTAAAGGACTTCTATTAGTTCATTTATTCAAACATTCAACAAATATTTACTGAGCATCTACTTTTTACTAGTCACAGTTCTAATTGCTGAGGATACTATCTGAGCATATAGTAGTAAACTAGAGCTAATGTTTGAATGTGGGAGAATATATCACTTCCTCTGTCTCTTCCATGCCCACCCAATTCTCCAGTGGAAACTAGTTCAATTAACTTATAGATTTTAGGTAATCTTTTAAGTTCCACAGCAGATGTTGGGCTTTTTCTAGAATGCTGTAATTCTTAGAATGCCTATGGCAAGAGATCTTTTTGAAAGATAATAATATTAGACAATTCCTGCTTGATGATTTTGATTCATTGATTGCCATGCTACTGGGAATACAATTTAAAAAGAATTTGAGGAAATCTTATACTATTTGGCTTCTAAGAAAATCTCCTTGCTTCCTGAAGTATTACCCTTATATGTGTTCAGCCTTTTATATTTCAAATTTTAACAACAAATATTTCATTTTTCATAAGAGGTCCACAAAAACCATTAAATCACTGGTAAATTATGAATGTGAGATAACACATGTGGTTCTTGAAGATAAGGTGGCATAGACCCATTATTTTTTTTGTTCCTCCTCACTAAGCACAACTTTAAATAAACCCTGGTAATAATACAAGAGGCAATCAAAGGAGAGCAAGATAGTAGGAGGAAAAGAGTTGGTTTGGGAATCCCAGGACTGAAGGAACAACGGTAGCAGGGCATCTAACTTTAACCGACCTAGTAGAGATACATCACGCAAACCTGGTACTTCCTGACTTCCTGGGTTCAAGTTATTCTCCCGTCTCAGCCTCCCAAGTAGCTGGAATTACAGGCATGCTCCACCACACCTGGCTAATTTTTGTATTTTTAGTAGAGACAGGGTTTCACCATATTGGCCAGGCTGGTCTCGAACTCCTAACCTCAGGTGATCAGCCCACCTCAGCCTCCCAAAGTGCTGGGATTACAGGCATAAGTCACTGAGCCCAGCCTGAATAATACTCTCCTTTCAACTGCAAATACTAACTTTGAATTTAACCATGCTTGATTTTAAATTTAAAATATTAAAAATTTTAAATTATTTTTACATTGTGCTCATTACACATATATTGGATCTGTCCTTTGTTGCATGCTTCTAATCTTGCATGAATTTTAATGAGACTTTTGAAGTTTATAATGTCAAATGTGTCTCATGTTTAATTTTTTTTTATAAGAAACGCAGGAATGCTTTAAAGGTTTTGAAAACATTTTTTATTTGTTTTCTTAACCTTTTTCAACATTCTATACCTTTTCTAATGCTTTTACTTATTTTTTTTCAGAAATAAATTTGCTATTAAAATCTTGCTATTATTAATCTTGTTATTTGAATTAAAAAACAAACATGAATTCAAAATGCAGTTAGAATTCTTAAATATAACAGAAGTGATTATCAGAAGAAACCTCAGAAGTATGAGTATTCTCCACACTTTTTAGTAAATCTTCTTTATGTTTATGTACCTTTATTTGAAATTCATTTTTAAAGGAGTCTAATTGCTGTAGATGAAGATAGAATACCAAGGGGATTTGATTGTGATATTGTGTATTATTATAGTTAAAATGCAAGTAAAAGCTGGGCATGGTGGCTCACACCAGTAATCCCAGCACTTTGGGAGGTGGATTCCTTGAGCTCAGGAATTTGAGAGCAGCCTGGGCAACATGGCAGAACTCTCTCTCTACAAAAATTACAAAAATTAGCCAGGAGTGGTGATGTGTATCTGTAGTCCCAGCTGCTTGTGGGGCTGAGGCAGGAGGATCGCTCAAGCCCAGGAGGTTGAGGCTGCAGTGAGCTGTCCTTGTGCCACTGCACTCACTATAGCCTAGGTAACAGAGTGAGACCCTGTCCAAAAAAAAAAAAAAAAAAAAAAGGCAAGTATAATGTGGACACAGTTAGATTGATTTTGAGTTATATTGTTCTTATTCAATTAGATCATTTTCTTTCTTCTGGAACATCCATAGTTAGTGAACACGATGTGGAGTAGGGGGCAGAAATTATGGGGCTTTCTCATTTTTTTGTCTTGACACCACAGTTCCCTACATTTGTTCCTTTCTGTAATTGGGTTAATAACAGGTTGAAAGAAAAATTGTTCTCTGAGATATTATAATCTGTAGCAAGTGACTCAGGGAGCATTTTGCACCCCAGAATGATGAAAAAGCTGTTGGTTTGTGTCCTGTCTTGGAAAATGTTAATGGATATATGGAAGAATCTCACATTGATCTAGAATTTGTCCCTGAATCAAATTCTGTCCTGAAAGAGCTGGAAAGGATTGCTGAGAGGAATGAAATAAGGCAAGTGACTCTCTGCTTTGCTCTTCCCGTGGCTAGATTCTCTTTTTTCTAAGCAGGATTTTTCTATCTTCATGTTAGAAGGTTATTCCTCAATAAACAGAGTGTGCTGAGCATAATTTACCCTTTTCTTGATGACTCAGGCTTATCATAATGAACATTGGTTAGGATACTCAACTGTATTAGAAAGAAGCCCTTAAGAGCTATTAAGGTATGCAGTACTGTTTGCCCTGACTGACTAACTGCTCCCAGATGATCTAAATGTTCCAGACTGCAGTCACTCCTCAGTACAATGTAGACTAAACTGAAAATGTGTTCTTGTGGGCTGCAGGGAGATATGTATAGGGCTAAATCCAAACATAATACTGTTACGCTTGCCTCTGTTCTTTGAAGTAAAAATTCTCCTCCCTAATTGTTAGCCACTGCATGAAGATTTGCCATTATCATTCCAAATCTATCTGAGGGCACAAATGATTATTTCCAGGAGTAATAAGAGAACTGGGTATTTAATGCCAAACTTAATGATTTATGCAGCAGGCAGCATCACCAAGGGAAGAACTTAGTCCTCGTAATATAAAACACATTCAAAAGGAGATCTCTGTTCCTCCAAAAATCATCTCAGTTCTAAATTTAGTTCTTCAAAGTAACATACTCTATAAATAATATTTGTCACAAAATTTATCAGAGTTCTGTTAGTTCTGCTCTCCAAATACAAACAACATAGGAAGGGTTAAAAGCCTGTTATTTATTATTATGAAGTAGACTATTTGAATTATTTTCATCCTAATGTCTTATTAAGGGACTCAGATTTTTTGATGGATGACAAAGGTCAGGGAAAAGAAAAGATAATTTTGAAAATTCAAATATTTTTGGCAGGAGGGTGGTATTTTAGATGGGGATGTCACAGTGAGAGATTTGAGCCTTCATAAGAAGGTCCAATGAAGACAGTGGGCATTTACGAAGGAAGAGAAGTAGAACCACGGGAAGGAGAAAGCAAGAAAAAAAGACAAGCAAAACCTCAGGGAGTTTTTTTTTTTTCTCCTTCTAATTTACTTTTAAAAATAAGGACATGTGAGACTCTGTCTCAAAAAAATTTAAAAAAGGACATGCTTCACTATATTCAATTCATTAAAAAAGTATATACATGTTGAAATGGAATAGATAAATAATATTTAAATGCATTAAAATAATTTTTTCAAAACAAATTTCACATTTATTATTCAATAATTTGATTTTCTAAAATAATAATTAAAGAAGTTTTCATAGAAATATCAATATAGGATATTTAAAAATGTACAGTAACATAGTTACTGTTTCACAAACATTATACATACGTTGTTAAAGTGGTTAAGGTAATCCAACTTTCAAACTGATAATTATCATAAACTTTTCTGTTTACTCTAATTTTCTTAATGCCTCTGTTCCCTTAGTTACAAATAGGTATCTTAATATCATGTTAAATTTCAAAGATATTAAGGAGAAAAGTTTTAACCTTTAATACTGTGGTTAATATCCTGAGCAACAACAATAATATTGAGAACATAGTTCAATAAAATCTCACATGTGTATGATAGTTAATAGTTTTGAAATGAATTTTAAAAGTATGTATTCTTATTTTCTTAAAACTCCCTGATGTGAAAAAAAAAAGTTCTCCTATTTTTATAGGAAAAGGTAAATGAGGCCCAGAAAATTAAGTTTTTGTAATCGGTGACACAAATAGTACATCATAAATTTATAACTATAATTTAGTTATTAGTTTTGGAGATTTGATCTTTTTACTAGGGCACCTGAATCCATGCCCTAGGGCATGCTATTCCCCATAAAGCCAGAAACCAAAGTACATTATTTGTGAAGTTTTAAATATGAAGAAAACAATTTAAATACAAAATATTAAATGGAAGAAACATGAGAGGAATCATTTTCATTTGTTGCTAAAAATAAAACTATTTTTACTATTATATGTTTGCTAATTATTTTAAATATTTTAGGTAGCTTTACGTTTGACATATCCATTAACAGGAATAAAATTATCGTTTTTATTTTTCATGGAGAAGATAATTATTGGTATGTGTTCACATGTTATTTATATTACTTTTTCTTTTAAATCTGTTTCTAGCTGAATGCTTACAAACAATGGTTATAACTGTCATTATAATGTTAGTAAATAGTTTGGTCTATTGATATTCATTCCAGATGTCTACCTATTAGTCATTCACATTTCACATTTATAATATATATTCTTCAAAGAAGTATAATAACAAGCTTCTAGTGCTTTTTGCATAGCTGAAAGATCAAAAAACTTGAAAACTGATTAAAAACTAAATCCAATATATGCTATCTACAAGGGACCACAGCGAAAACAACAGCAACAAAAACAAAACAAAACAAAAAACAAAGTAACTTAATAAAGCTAAAATAATAGGATGAATAATCATCCAGCAAACTGATATAAATAGAAATCAAATAAGAGACAAAACTCAAAAAAGGGCAAAGTTTGCCATTTTATAATCTGTATTGGATTAGTCCTTTTAAACTTTTAAAAAACAGGCTGGGCGTGCTGGCTCACGCCTGTAATCCAGCACTTAGAGAGGCTGACGCAGGAGTATCACTTGAAGTTAGGAGTTCAAGATCAGCCTGGCCAACATGGTGAAACCTCATCTCTATCAAAAATACAAAAATTAGCCAGGCATGGGGTGGTGGGCACCTGTAATCCCAGCTACTTCGGAGGCTGAGGCAGGAGAATCGCTTGAACCTGGGAGGTGGAGGTTGCAGTGAGCCGAGATCACACCACTGCACTCTAGCCAGAGTGACAGAGCGAGACTCCATTTCAAAAAAATTTAAAAAATTAAAAAATAACTTTTAAGAAACAGTTTCATGCTGTATATGATGGTTCTACAGTGGGAACTGGCCAACTATGGCTCATGGGCTGGCTACTTGTTTTTGTACATAAAATTTTTTTGGAACACAATCACATCTACTGATTTATGTATTGTCTATGGCTGCTCTAGCTCTCCAGGGGCATAGTTGAGTGGTGGTAACAGAGAATAAAAATGTATGACCTGTAGTCCTAAACTATTTAATTTCAGACCATTAAGAAACAAAATATAATGTACTGGGAGAATTTTGTATTAAGAAGTTGTGATATCTCTTATAACAAAATCAGATCAAAGTAATATTTAAAATTTACAGACAATAGTGGACATTTGCCATTCATGGCTCGCCAATATCTTTATGTTCCTTTTATTTTTCTGTTTGTTTCCCACAAGGGCAGAATCTAGTCTCATTTTTATCTATGGAACCAGTTCTACCAATCCAGTTAGATCAGTGTGAGACCTGAATGTGTGGAAGAAACTTTGTTGTTTGCAACTAAAGGCACTGATTGACACATAAAGCAATCCTGCTTATAAATATAAGGGAAAAACTCTAAAGCATATTTTAGCAAATATGATTCACCATATTATTAACAGGTAATTACAAGTTGGTAAATATTCCTGGAATCAAGTGTGGCGAGATCAAATTCTTCAAAATTCAAAGACACTTTAATATCAACACAAACAAGAAGAGAAAGATTAACTTCAATATGGTGAAAAATATCTCAAGGTGGGGAAACTGTCTTATGTTGACACATTAGAGGCATCTCTACTATAATCACTAATGCAGTAAGAATCAATATTAATTTTGTTAAACTAATATGAGAAACAACCACTACATCCACTGGAAATGGAGGAGTTAAGTATTTGTTTCCATAGAAAATCTAATTAGAATTCAGTAGAACAACAAGAAAGTTTAATAAACTAGCATATAAAAAGCAAAATTTTAAAAAATATATACTTTTATGTGTTATTTTATCAGTTAGAAATCTGTCAGAATATAAATCCACTACATTTATGGGAATATAATATTTAGTAATTAGAATTTACGTAATCCTGGATAAGCAGAAAGAGAATTTCTGGAAGGGTCTAGGGAGTTCAGAGATCAGAGGAACAGCAACGAATCATAATTCACTGAGGCACTAGCATGGGTGAAAGCATGCAAGTTTAGGAAAAATCTTCAAAATTGTATGTGACTGGCCATTGAAGAGGGTCAAGCCAAGGGGGAGCTTTTGGAGAGATCTGAAATTTGCTGACTGTGTAGCAACTGTTACCTCTTTAAAAACATATCTCTGGACCAACTGCTGCTCCTCTGTGAGATTTGCCCTATCTGTGGGTTTGTATCTGGTGGTAGACACGGAGCAGTGGGTGTTTGGTAGGGCAAGCAGCTGGAAAAATGTATAGGGAAGAGAATAAGTCAAGCTGTGCCTCTCAGGGAGCAGTCATCATTGGATCTGTCAAACATGATCATTATGTGAGTAATTGCCAGTGCTTCACTTGCACTTCCAAATCACATTTACAATCCGGTCTTTGGCAAATGTAATGTAGAACAGCACAGGGAAGAGGTCTGGGAAATGGATTTTCCAGCCTTACTTAGAAACAGTAGTGTCAGGTTAACAAGAAACAATCCAGCACAATCAGCAATAACAATGGAAAAAAATTTTACCAAAAAACCGTTGATCAAGATGGCTTCCTCAGTGATTTATATCGAATATTTGTACCTTTTGAATTTTATTTTATTTATATTCCAGCAGTTTTGAAGGAACAGGTGGTGTTTGGTTACATGAATAAGTCCTTTCGTGTTGATTTCTGAGATCTTGGTGCACCCATCACCTAAGCAGCATACATAGTACCATATGCGTAGTCTTCTATTCCTCATCCCCCTCCCACTCTTCTTCCTGAGTCCCCAAAGTTCAGTATATTATTTTTATGCTTTTGCATCCTCACAGAGTAGCTCCTGCTTATAAATGAGAATATACAATGTTTGGTTTTCCATTATTGAGTTACTTCACTTAGAATTATGGTCTCCAACTCCATCCAGGTTGCTGCAAATGCCAATATTTCATTCCTTTTTATGGCTGAGCAGGATTCCATGGTCTATATATACATCACATTTTCTTCATCCCCTTGATGGGCATTTAAGTTGATTCCATATTTTTGCAGTTGCAAATTGTGCTGCTATAAATATGCGTATGCAAGTGTTTTTTCATATGACTTCTTTTCCAATAGTGGGATTGCTGGATCAAACAGTAGTTCTACTTTAATTCTTTAAAGAATCTCCATACTATTTTCCATAGTGGTTGTACTAGTTTACATTCCCGTCATCAGTGTAAAAGTGCTACCTTTTAACCACATCCATGCCAACATCTGATTTTTAATTTTTTTAGTTATGGTCATTCTTGCAGGAAAAAGGTAGTATCTCATTGTGGTTTTGAGTTGCATTTCCCTGATAATTAGGGATTTTGAGCATTTTTTCATATGTTTGTTTGCCATTTGTATGTCTTCTTTTGAGAATTGTCTATTCATGCCCTTTGCCAACTTTTTGATGGGATTATTATTTTTTTCTTGCTGATTTGTTTGAGTTCCTTGTAGGTTCTGGATGAGTCCTTTGTCAGATGCTAATTTGTGAATATTCTCTCCCACTCTGTGGGTTGTCTATTTACTCTTCCAATTATTTCTTTTGCTGTGCAGAAGCTTTTTAGTTTAATTAGGTCCAATCTATTAATCTTTGTTTTTGTTGCATTTGCTTTTGGGTTCTTGGTCATGAATTCTTTGCCTAAGCCAATGTCTAGAATAATTTTTCTGATGTTATCTTCTAGAATTTTTATGGTTTCAGGTCTTAGATTTATGTCTTTGATCCATATTGAGTTGATTTTTATATAAGTTGAGGGATTAGGATCCAGCTTCATTCTTCTACATGTGGCTTGCCAGTTATTCCAGCACCATTTGTTGAATAGGGTGTCCTTTTCCCACTTTATGTTTTTATTTGCCTTGTCAAGAATCAGTTGGGTGTAAGTATTTGGCTTTACTTCTGGGTTCTCTATTTCTGTTTCATTGGTCTACCTGCCTATTTTTATACTAGAACCATGCTATTTTGGTAATTATAACCTTGTAGTATACTTTGCCATCAAGTAATTTGATTCCTCCAAATTTATTCTTTTTGCTTAGTCTTGCTTTGTCTATGCAGGCTCTTTTTTGTTTCATATAAATTTTAAGATTTTTTTCTAGTTCCATGAAGAATGATGATGGTATTTTTATGGGAATTGCATTAAATTTGTAGATTGCTTTTGGCAGTATGGTCATTTTCACAGTATTGATTCCACTCATCCATGAGCATGGGATATGTTTCCACTTGTTTGTGTCATGTATGATTTCTTTAAGCAGTGTTCCGTAGTTTTCCTGTACAGATCTCTCACCTCCTTGGTTAGGTATATTGTTAAGTATTTTATTTTTTGCAGCTATTGTAAAGGAGGTGTTGAGTTCTTGATTTGATTCTCAGCTTGACTGCCATCTGTGTATAACAGTGCTACTGATTTGTGTACATTAATTTTGTATCCTGAAACTTTACTGAATTTATTTATTAGATATAGGAGCTTTTTGGGTTAGTCTTTAGGATTTTCTAGGTGTACAGTCATATCATCAGTGAACAGCAACAGTTTGACTTCCCATTTACTCATTTGGATGCTCTTTATTTCTTTCTCTTGTCTGATTGTGCTGGCTAGGACTTCCAGTATGATGTTGAATAGAAGTGGTAAAGTGAGCATCCTTGTCTTGTTCCAGTTCTCAAGGGGAATAGTTGAAAGTATTCAACTTTTTGCCATTCGGTATGATATTGGCTACAGGTTTGTCATAGATGGCTTTTATTACCTTAAGGTATGTTTCTTCTATGCTGATTTTGCTGAAAGTTTTAATCATAAAGGGATGCCAGATTTTGTAAAATGCTTTTTCTGCATCAATTGAGATGATCATGTGATTTTTATTTTTAATTCTGTTTATGTGATGTATCACATTTGTTGACTTGCATATGTAAAACTATCACTGCATCCCTGGTATGAAACCCACTTGATCATGATGTATAATCTTCTTGATATGCTGTTGGATTTGATTAGCTAGTATTTTGTTGAGGATTTTTGCATCAATGTTCATCAGTGATATTGGTCTGTAGTTTTGTTTTTGTTGTTATGTCCTTTCCTGGTTTGGGTATTAGAGTAATCCTGGATTCACAGAGTGATTTAGGGAGGATTCCTTCTTTCTCTGTCTTTTGGGATAGTTTTAGTAATATCGGTACCAATTTTTTGAATGCCTGATAAAATTCAGCTGTGAATCCTCTGTTCCTGAACTATTTGCTGACAATTTTTAAATTACTTTTTCTATCTTGCTACTTGTTACTGGTCTTTCCAGAGTTTCTATTTCGGGAATTTATCTGTCTCCTCTAGATTTTTCTAGTTTGTATGAGTAAAGGTGTTTATAGTGGCGTTGAATGATCTTTTGTATTTCTGTGGTATCAGTTGTAATTTCTCCCATCTTGTTTCTAACGGAGCTTATTTGGATCTTCTCTCTTCTTTTTTTGGTTAATCTTGCTAATGGTCTATCAATTTTGTTTACCTTTTCAAAGAATCAGCTTTTTGTTTCACTTACCGTTTGGATTTTTTTGTTTCCATTCCATTTAATTCTGCTCTGATCTTTGTTGTTCTTTTCTTCTGCTGGATTTGGGTTTGGTTTGTCCTTGTTTCTCTAGTTCCTTGAGATGTGATCTTAGATTATCTACTTGTGATATTTTTGACTTTTTGATGTAGGCATTTAATGCTATAATCTTTTTTCTTTGCACTGCTTTTACTATGTCTCAGAGTATTGATAGATTGTGTCACTATTATCCTTTAGTTCAAAGAATTTTTAAATTTCCATCTTGATCTTATTGTTAATCCAAAGTTCATTCAGGAGCAGATTATTTAATTTCCATGTACTTGTATAGTTTTGAGGGTTCCTTTTGAAGTTAAATTCTAATTTTATTCCACTGTGGTCTGAGAGGGTACTTGATATAATTTTGATTTCCTTAAATTTATGGAGACTTGTTTTGTGGCCTATCATACGGTCTTTCTTGGAGACTTTTCCATGGGCTGATGAAAAGAATGTCTGCAATTCTGGGGTAGAATGTTCTGTAAATATCTGTTGAGTTCATTTGTTCTAGAGTATAGTCCGTTGTTTCTTTGTTGACTTTCTGTCTTGATGATCTGTCTAGTACTGTCAGTGGACTACTGAAGTTTCCCCACTATTATTGTGTTGCTGTCTATCTCATTTCTTATATCTAGTAATAATTGCTTTATAAATTTGGGAGCTCCCATGTTAGGCACATAAATATTTCGGATTTTGATTTTTTTCCGTTAGACTGATCCTTTCATCATTATATAATGTCTCTCTTTGTTTTTTTAATTGTTGTTGCTTTAATGTCTGTTTTGTCTGATATAAGAATAGCTATTCCTGATTGCTTTTGGTTTCCATTTGCATGGAATCTTTTTTTATCCCTTTACCTTAAATTTATATGAGTCCTTATGTGTTAGGTGAGTCTCTTGAAGACAGCAGAAATGTGGTGGCTGGGTTTTTGTCCATTCTTCCCTTCTGTATCTTTTAAGTTGAGCATTTAGGCATTTAGGCATTATCTTATTCATCATGCTAGTTGTTCCCTGAATACCTTTTTTTATTGTGTTATTATTTTACAGGTGGTGTGAGAATTATGCTTTAAGGAGGTTCTATTTTGGTGTATTTTGAGGTTTTGTTTCAAGATTTAGAACTTCTTTTAGCATTTCTTGTAGTGATGTCTTGGTAGTTGGAAATCCTCTCAGCTTGTCTGAAAAAGATATCTCTTCTTCATTTTTGAAGCTTAGTTTTGTTGGATACAGAATTCTTGGGTGGCAATTATTTTGTTTGGGAAGCTAAAGACAGGATCCTAGATCCTTCTGGCTACCAGGGTTTCTGCTGAGACATATGATGTTAATCTGACTAGTTTTCCTTTATAGGTTACCTGATGCTTTTGCTTCACAGCTCTTAGGTTCCTTTCCTTCGTCTTGCCTTTGATAACCTGATGACTATGCTTGGGTAATTATCTTTTTTGTGATGAATTTCCCAGGTATTCCTTGAGCTTCTTTTATTTGTATGTCTAGATGTTGTTTTCTCCTCCCTTTAGAGCAGGGTTGAGGTTGAGCATAGCAGAGGAGACAAAGGAAAAAAGAATGAAAAACAATTAAGCATCCTTACAAGATCTAGAAAATAGGCTCAAAAGGGCAAACTGAAGAGTAATTGACCTTAAAGAGGAGGTAGAGAAAGATATAGGAGTAGAAAGTTTATTCAAATGGATAATAACATAGAACTTTCCAAACCTAGAGAAAGATATCAATATCCAAGCATAAAAAGGTTATAGACCACCAAGTGGATTGAACTAAAAGACTACTACCTTAAGGCATTTAATAATCACACTCCCAAAGATCAAGGATAAAGAAAGGGCCCGAAAAGCAGCAAGATAAAAGAAACAAATGACACACAATGAAGCTTTAATACATCTGGCAGCAGACTTTTCAGTGGAAACCTTACAGGCCAGGGGAGAGTGGCATTATGTATTTAAAGTGCTGAAAGAAAAAAACAAAACAAAAAACTTTTATCCTAGAATATTATATCCAGTGAAAACATCCTTCAAACTTCAAGGAGAGATAAAGGCTTTCCCAGACCAACAAAAGCTGAAGGATTTCATCTATACCAGGCCTTTACTATAAGAAATGCTAGTACTTCAGTTAAAAAGAAAAGGATATTAATGAGCAATAAGTAATCATCCAAAGGTACAAAACTCACCAGTAATGGTAAGCACACAGAAAAACGCAGAATATTATAACACTGTAACTGTGGTGTGTAAACTACTCTTATTCTAAGTAGAAAAACTAAACAATGAACCGATAAAAAAACTACAACAACTTTTTAAGACGTAGATAATATAATACAATGTAAATAGAATCAACAAAAATTTTTTAAAATGGCACGATGAAGTTAAGGCATAGTGCTTTTCTTTGCTTTTTTATTTGTTTATGAAAAAAGTGTAAAGTTATTATTAGGTTAAAATAATGGGTTGCAAGATGGTATCTGTAAGCCTCTTGGTAACCACAAATGAAAAAACATGCAATGAATACACAAAAAATAAAAAGCAACAAACTAAATCATATCATCAGAGGAAATCATCTTCAATAAAGGAAGACAGGAAGGTAAGACAAAAGGAAGAGAAGAATACAAAACTACAAAAATAACAAAATGGCAATATTACATCCTCATATATCAATAATAACATTGAGTGTAAACGGACTGACCTCTCCAATCAAAAGACAGAATGGCTGAATGGATGAACAAACAAGGCCCAATGATCTGTTGCTTACAAGAAATACACTTCACCAATAATGACATATGTAGGCTGAAAATAAAGGTACAGAAAACGATATTCCATGCCAAAGGAAGCCATAAAGAAGCAAGAGTTGCTATACTTATATCAGACAAAATGGGTTTCAAGCTGAAAACTCTAAGAAGAGACAAAGACAGTCACTATTTAATACAGGGGTCAATTAAGCAAGAAGGTATAATAATTTTAAATATATATGTACTGAACACTGGAGCACCCAGATATATAAAGCAAACATTATTAGAGCTAAAGAGAGAGATAGGCCCTGATACAATAAGAGCTGGAGACTTCAAAACTTCACTTTCAACATTGGACAGATCTTCCAGATGAAAAATCAACAAAGAAACATTGTACTTAATCTGCACTACAGACCAAATGGATCGAATATATATTACAGAACGTTTCATTCAAGGGATACAGAAAACACATTCTTTTACTAAGCACATGGATGATTCTCAAGGATAGGCCATATGTTAGATCACAAAAGAAGTCTTAAAAATTAAAAAAAAAATTGAAATAATATTAGGCATTTTCTTTGGCCACAATGGAATAAAACTAGAAATTAATAACAAGAGGAATTTTGGAAACTATACAAATATACAAAAATTAAGCAATATGCTCCTGGGTGACCAGTGGGTCAGTAAAGAAATTCAAAAGACAATTGAAAAATTTATTGAAACAAATGATAGTGGAAACAAAACATACCAAAACCTACAGGATGCAGCAAAAGCAGTGCTGAGAGAAATGAACAGCTATAAGTGCCAACATAAAAATAAAGGAAAAACTTCAAATAAACACTCTAACTATGCATCTCAAAAAAACTAGAAAAACAAGAGCAAATCAAACCCCAAATCAGTATAAGAGAAATAATAGGCTGGGTGTGGTGGCTCATGCCTGTAATCCCAGCACTTTGGGAGGCCAAGGCAGGCAGGTCACAAGGTCAGGAGATCGAGATCATCCTGGCTAACACGGTGAAACCCCATCTCTACTAAAAATACAAAAAAAATTAGCTGGGTGTGGTGGTGGGCACCTGTAGTCCCAGCTACTCGGGAGGCTGAGGCAGGAGAATGGCGTGAACCCAGGAGGCGGAGCTTGCAGTGAGCTGAGAGTGCGCCACTGAACTCCAGCCTGGGTGACAAAGTGAGACTCCATCTAAAAAAAATAAATAAAGAGAGAGAATAATACAGATCAGAGCCAAAGTAAATGAATTTGAAATGAAGAAATCAATAAGAAAGATTAATGAAACAAAAAGTTGTTTTTTGAAAAGTTAAAGAAAATTGGTAAACCTTTAGCCAGACTGAGAAAAAAAAAATAAAAAGAGAAAAGATAGAAACAAATCAGAAATAAAAACTGGTACAGCAGAAATTCAAAGGATAATTACTGGCTATTATGAGCAACTATGTGCCAACAAATTGGAAAATCCAGAAGAAAGAGACAAATTCCTAGACACATACAACCTACCAAGATTGAACCCAGAAGAAATCCAAAACCTGAAGAAACCAATAAGAAATTATTAGATCAAAGTTATAATAAAAAGTCTGCTAGTATAAAAAAGCCCCAGGACCTGATGGCTTCACTGCTGAATTCTACCAGACATTTAAAGAAAAACTAATACCAATTCTACTCAAATTATTCCAAAAAACAGAGGAGGAGGAAAACTTCCAAGCTAATTATATGAGGCCAGTATTACCCTGATACTAGAACCAAACAATGACACATCAAGAAAAAGAAAACTATAGGGGAAAATATCTGATGGATGCAAAAATCCTGAACAAAATACAAGCAAACTGAAGTCAACAATGCATTAGAAAGATCATTCATTGTGACCAAGTGGGATTTACCCATGGGATGCACAGATGGTTCAACATATGCAAATCAATCAATGTGATACATCATATCAACAGAATGAAGGAAAAAAGCTATATGATCATTTCAATTGATGGTGAAAAAGCATTTGATAAAATTCAACATCATTTTGTGATTAAAAAGTCTCAAAAATTGAGTATAGAAGGAACATACCTCAACATAATAAATAAAGGCCATATGTGACAGACCCATAGCTAATATCATACTTAATGGGGAAAAAATGAAAGCCTTTAAGATCTGAAACATAACAAAGATGCCCACTGTCACCACCGTTTTTCAACATAGCACTGGACGTGCTAGTTGGAGCAGTCATTCAAGAGACAGAAATAAAAGACATCCAAACTGGAAAAGAAGAAGTGAAATTATTCTTATTTGCAGAGTATCTGATCTTATATTTAAAAAAAAAAAAACTAAAGACTGCACAAAAAAGCTATTAAAACTGATAAATTCAGTAAAGTTGCAGGATACAAAGTCAACATATAAAAATCAATAGAATTTCTACATGCCAACAGTGAAGAATCTGAAAAAGAAATAATCAATAGACATAATTGCCACAAATAAAATTAAATACTTAGGGATTAACATAATCAAGGAAGTAAAAGATCCCTATAATGGAAACTACAAAATAATGATGAAAGAGGACATAAAAAATAAAAAAATTCATGTTCATGAATCAGAAGAATCAATATTGTTAAAATGTCCATACTACTCAAAGCAGTCTACAGATTTAATGCAATCCATATGAAAATAGCAATGACATTCTTCACAGAAATAAAACAAAAATCTAAAATTCATATATAATCACAAAAGACCCAGAATAGCCAAAGCTATCCTAAGTAAAAATAACAAAACTGGAGAAATCACATTACCTGACTTCAGATTATACTATAGAACTATAATATCCAAACAGAATGGTATTGTCATTAAAACAGACACATAGACCAATGGAAAAGAATAGAGAACCCTGAAATAAATCCACACAACTATAGCTATAAGTGCCAACATAAAAATAAGTGCCAACTCATTTTTGACAAAGGTGCCAACAACATACCCTGGGGAAAAGGCAGTCTCTTCAATAAATGGTGCTGGGAAAACTGGATATCCATCTGCAGAAGAGTGAAACTAGGCCTATATTTCTCACCATATACAAAAATCAAATGAAAATTACATTAATGACTTAAATCTAACTCCAAACTATTAATCTACTACAAGAAAACATTGGAGAAACCACCATGGCATTGATTTGGGCAAAAATTTCTTGATCACTAAATACCCCACAAGTACAGGCAACCAAAGCAAAAATGGACAAATGGGATCACATCAAGTTAAAAAGCTTCTGCACAGCAAGAGACACAATTAACAAAATGAAGAAACAACCCACAAAATGGGAGAAAATATTTACGAACTGCTCATCTGACAAGTGATTAATAACCAGAATATATAAGGATCCCAAACAACTCTATAGAAAAAAAAATGAATAATCCCATCGAAAAATGGACAAAAAATTTGAATAGACATTGCTCAAAAGAAGACATACAAATGGCAAACAGGCATATGAAAAGATGCTCAACGTCATGGATCATAAGAGAAATGCAAATCAATACTACCCCAGTTAAAAAGGCAATAACAAAAGTCGAGCAATAACAAGTGCTGGTGAGGATGTGGAAAATAGGAAACCCTGATACACTTTTGGTGGGAATGTAATTAGTGCAGCCACTATAGACAACAGTTTGGAGGTTCCTCAAAAAACTAAAAATAAAGCCCCCAGATGATCCACCAATCCCACTGCTGGGAATATACTTAAAGCAAATTAGTATATTGAGGAGATATCTGCACTCCCATGATTGTTGCAGCACCGTTCACTATATCTAATATTTGGAAGTAACCTAAGTGTTCATCTGAGGTAGGAGGCAGGGCTTGAACAGCAGGCAAAATTGAAGCCTAGCCAAAACACGTCCAGGGCAGAAGCATCTCCCCATAAGACACTCCCAACAGTGTGCCATGTCAGTTTGCCATTGCCAGGGCACCACCTGGCAGTTACCATGATTTTCCATGGCAACAACCTAACAACCTGGAAGTTACAACCCTCATTCTAGAAATTTCTGCATAAACTGCCTCTCAATATGCATGTAATTACAGTAAGTATAAATATGAGTGCAGAACTGCCTGTGAGCTACTATCTAGGCATATGCCTATGGTGTAGCTCTGCTCTGCAAGGAGCAGTCTCTGCTGCTGCTATACATTGCCACTTCAATAAAAGTTGCTGCTTAACACTACCAGCTTGCTCTTGAATTATTTCCTGAGTGAAGCCAAGAACCCTCCTGGGCTAAGTCTCAATTTTGGGCCTTGCCTGTCTTGCATTACATCAACAGATGAATGGGTTAGGAAATTGTTGTACATATATACAGTGGACTACAATACAGCTATAAAAAAGAATGAGATCCTGTCATTTGCAACAACCTGGATGTGATCGGAGATTATATTGAGTGAGGTGCTCATTGCCAGGTGTCGCCCTGGCAATGGCAAACTGACATAGCACACTGGTGGGCATGTCTTATGGGGAGACGCTTCTGTCCTGGAGCTGTTTTTGTTAGTATTGAATTTAACCTGGTGTCCAAGCCCTGCCTCCAATGTTGAGTTCTGCCTTTTACCTCACATGGATACCTAGGTTGCTTCCAAATCAATAAGCCAGACACAGAAAGAAACAAATTGCAAGTTTTCACTTATTCACTGGATCTAAAATAAAAACTACTGAATTCATAGGAAAGAGAATAGAAGGATGGTTACTAGAGGCTGAGAAGGGTAGTACATGGCTGGGGGTGTGATGGGGATGGTTAATGTGTAAAAAAATAAATAAAATGAATAAGCTCTAGAATTTAGTAGCATAACAGGGTGACTACAGTCAATAATGATTTAATTGGCCAGGTGCAGTGGCTCACGCCTGTAATCACAGCACTTTGGGAGGCGTGGCAGGTGTATCAAGAGGTCAAGAGATCGAGACCATCCTGGACAACATGGTGAAACCCTGTCTTTACTAAAAAATACAAAAATTAGCTGGGTGTGGTGGTGTGCACCTGTAGTCCCAGCTACTTGGGAGGCTGAGGCAGGAGAATCGCTTGGACCTGGGAGGTGGAAGTTGCAGTGAGCCGAGATCGTGCCACTATACTCCAGCCTGGCGACAGAGCGAATCTCCGTCAAAAAAAAAAAAAAGATTTAATGTACACTTTAAAATAACTAAAAGAGTGTAATTGGATTGTTTGTAACAAAGGGTAAATGTTTGAGGAGATGGATATCCCAATCTGTATAATATGATTATTTCACATTGCATGCTTGCATCAAAACATCTCATGTACTGGACAAATATATACACCTTCTTTGTACCCCAAAAATTAAAAATAAATTTAAAAATTATACATTTTTTCTCTGTAACAAAGCCTATATCAGAATCCAATCAGAAAACAAAAAATACATGGTAATTTGAACAGGAAAAACTTAACATGAAGAATTAACTAGAGTTTGGACTGATGGGCTTTGGCTAGTAAGAGGTTGTTTTAGTCCATTCTTACACTGCTATAAAGAACTAACTGAAAGTGGGTAAATTATGAGGAAAAGAGTTTTAATTGACTCACAGTCCCACAGGATTAACGGGAAGTATGACTGGGAGGCCTCAGGAAACTTGTAATCATGACAGAAGGCAAAGGGGAAGCACGCACATCTTAAATGGTGGAGCAGGAAAGAGAGAGTGAAGAGGGAGTGCCATATACATTTAAACCATCAGATCTCATGAGAGCTTACTATCATAAGAACAGCAAGGGGGAAATCTGCCCCCATGATCCAATCACCTCTCAATGCCCTTTCCCTGACACATGAATTACAATTCAACATGAGATTTGGGTGAGAACACAGAGCCAAACCATATCAGAGATAAAGAAAATTCTAGAAAATACAGAAATAATAGACATAGTGAATGGCTATTACAACTAACTGCAAAATCCACAAAAGAACCCCATCCTCTCCCACTCGGGACTGATAGTCAAACTTCACTGGAGAGTAGTACCATGCATTGCAGAATGGCGGAGAAAGCTTGCTGAGATACTGTGCCAAAGACACTTGCTAGAAATACACCTTCTGGAGTGCCGGGCATAGCCATCACCAGAGAGGTTCTGTGTCTTGGAATTTTGCTCTAAAGCCATCCAAGAGATTGCTGGGGGAAGCTGCCCATGGGAACGTGCTGTGTGCCAATGTCACTGGGTGCTGTCCTGTACTGACAAACTTAACTTCATGTCAGCTAGCAAAGGGAAACAGTACAGCATCCAGCTATATAACTGCAAACCTGGAAATGAAGGACAGATTTGGAGCTGAGCAGTAATAAAACTGATAACTGGCACACCAGCCATTCCACTCCTAGATATTTATCTAAGAGAAATGAAAAGATATCTTTACAAAGATGACTTTTAAGAAGAATATTTACATCAGATTTATTCTGAATAATCCTAGACTAGAAGTGTCATATAGTGGAAAACTACTTAGAAATAAAAGGGAACACAATTCTCATACTAAACAACATGGATCAATCTTCAAAATATTATGTTGGGCCAAAGTTGTCATACACAAACTATATAGGTGATATAATACAATTTGAAAGTATTTAAAAGGCAAAAACTTATCTATATTGAGTCATCAGTAAAATGGGAAAGATTAAAGAGTAGGATTTGGGGGCAAAATCAAGAAATACAGATACAAATGTGATATCAGGGTAAAAAGATATTTTCTAAGCAAGATGGCTATGGAAGAAGTGATAAAGGGAATCATTGTTAGATTTAACAACATTTCTGAATTATTTTTAAAAAACACACTTCTCTGAATTTCGTGGAATCAAAAGTGGTAGGCACATATTTTGAGATGTCTCTCTTTTCTTCTATTCTTTCCTATTTCTTTAGAAATTATGCGTGTGGGTGTGAGCATGCACATGTGCAAATTTCTTTACACACCAGAAAAAAATCAGATATTATAGTCAAAAGAATGTTCCACTTAATGACATAGTGAATTTAATGTTCTAATGAAAACACATGAGTACTTTTTCAAGAGGATAATTCTACTGCACAGTAGCATGGTATTTGGTGAACATTACAGATCATTATTACTGTAATGGATGTTTTTCTCCAGATTTCCTGGTAGGAGATATGGTGAGGTATTCCTCTGAATTTATGCATCTGAAATATGCCTACCAAGTCCAGAGCCTTAAACAGAGATCTTCTCTCTGAGCTGGTGTCTTGTTTAATAACCTGTAAATGACACTGTTATTGCTTCTTTGCCTCTCATTTATGAACACCATTATTTCTCACAGTGGGTTGTCTTTGTCAGAAAATAAGGGTAGAAAAAGTTTTTGAGCTTGTCAGAGATTTATTGATATAAATGAGAAAAAAAGTTGGGTCAAAATTAATGACAGTGGTTTTCTGTATAGGGTAAGGAGAACACATTTTAAAAATGATGGCTCATTTTAAGATACATGATTCTGCCTTGGAACAATATCTCTTTTCTATTACTATGCTCTGGATTTCAAGTTTACATACTCATTTACTGTAGTTTTATGCTGTCTAAGAAAAACAACAAAAGTTGGCTACATAAACAAGCAGAGGCCATCTGTCTTGAAACTCAGCATTTAAAAAGTTTTGCGTGTGTTGTTTCGTGACCATCAAACTATAGTATTTGGATTTAAGACATCTTTTGTTCATTATCAAACTGAACCATGATGGAAGGCATAAGCATGATAAAATGAATGCTTATCAGGACCAATCAGCTTTGTATTGTTCATAGTAATTTCAGCAAATACACAATTTGAAGGCTTATTGCTCCCTTGTCTCTCATCAGCAGAGAATAAGGAAATTAAATCTGTAGAAAACATAAGTTTATTTGATACCTCAAATTTTAAAAAGCCCCTTTGGAGTAATTTGGGTTATAATAACCAAGTTTCCCTAATTGAAGAAAAATCACCACTTATATAGCTAATTAGTCTGAGAAATGTTGATGTTTGAGTTGAAGTAGCAAATACTGACTGGAAGAGCCATGTATCTGCTAACATGGACACGCTTTCATCTCTGGTATTTTAAATGAATTTGTGACCTACATTCACGTTTCTTTTTAGTATTACTAATGTGATCAAATTCCAAGTTATTTTCCCTATGTCCCTCATTTTTCTTGCTTATAGAAAAACTTTTATATTCAGATTTTAGTAGTGAAGGAATTATAGTTTCTAATGCTTTAATAGCTTTCAAAATAATAAAGAGGAATAAAAGTAGAGTTGAATGCATTGTTGGTTGAAATGCCACTTTAGAAAATGAAGTTTGATTTATTTCAAGGATAGATTTAGTGAGAGTAAGGGAAAGCATGTTTAAGAGCTAAAACACTTTTAATGACTCTTTACCAACTTCTGTTTCTTTTAGGGAGGGAGGTCTCAGGAAACGATGACATGCTGAGAATTTTGATGGCTGATCTTGCCATGGAGAACTTTGCAAGTTTGTGGGCCTAGAATTCAACTCTTTTCCTAGCTGCTAAAGTTGCTGTCTGTTACTTAGCATTCACTCTGATATTTCTTATCAGTATTGACAAATGTGCTATGGGACAAACTGAGTGTTAAGAGCACAGCTTAGATAATTCACACAAAAAGTGTGGAGACTATAAACCATTTCTTCTCTGCTGTATGATTACTGACTTAAATTTCCAAGATAATTAGCTTCAGGTGAGGGTAAATGCCAATGCACATTTGTGTTGAATTTTTGTTCAACTAATATAGTTAACCAGTGAGGTGTTAAAAGTGTTGGAAGGTAGACTACCAAAACAAATTAAACTATTTTAGGAACAAATCTGATACTTTCTAAAAAAAATGAATACCCAAGTTTGAAGTAGAAGAAGGAATGAGATTCTTTATTATGGGAAGAATGGAAACCAATAAGCCAATTTCCTAAGTTTTATCAAGCAAAAAGCTGTGTGTAAGCAGAAGCCCTAAGCAATGGATCATATGTGATTGTGTCATGCACGACATTGGCAAATTGATTTTTATTAGCTTCCCTAGACCTTTCACATAAATTTGATAACACATTTTGCTGTTGGGAAAACTGAGATTACTTAGAAGTGCTAGGATTATAATATATTTGATATGGCTAACATAGGACAGTTAGGGTATCAGTAGCAGTTTCTGATTTTCTATGCTTTGTAGAATCATGAGTTCTGTTTTGACCTTGGGTTCTTTTCACAAAGTGAAATTATATAATGGATGCTTTGTTTTTTGGACTGGAAGTCTGTATTGATTGATGAAATGCTCCAAGAATTCCGGGAAAATTGAATGTCTTGAGAGTTTTAATCTAGAGTCCCTACATCCAACTCCCAACTCTTTCCTATTCTCCCAAAGCCTACTCCTTTACACAAATAAATGTTTCCGTTTAGGGTTACTAGATCCTACTGTGGCAGTGAACACCATGTGGATGAGAATAAATGCAGGATTCCTACTATGTTTGAGATTTAAGTTGCTGAGTTTCCCATAAAGTTATGTTCCAGGTGTTTTTAATTTCCTTCTCTTAGTTTTGATAACTGAATATAGTTTTATCAGTCTACCACAATAAAGTATTATTTAAAAGTATATATTAATAAATATGTTTGTTTTCTTATCAAATGACAGTTATATTTCCAAGTTAGCCCTTTATTCTTCCTGGTTTTGTATTTATGTGACAGGAATGACTCACTTCACTATATATTTCTATTTAGCCAGAGAACATCATCACTAATTTTGAAAAATATGCTTTGAGAACCTAAACATTTTAAACATCAGTGGCAGGTATGCAGATGGAAGTAAGTTATATTTTGAAACTATGCTTTAAAAGACTCACATAAAAAACAATGACATGTATATAATTTTTATGCTATATACCATATTCAGAACAAAGGAAAGGAACTACTCTGTTACTTAAAAAATAACATTTTTCCCTGAAACCTTAAACTTTCCTCAAAAATTAATATGTGCATTACAGAAAAAACAGAAGTTCAAGAGGCAAAAACACAAAATCTTCCAAAATTATAAGGAGTTTACAGTTTGATGTGTCTTTCTGAGTCCTTGTAGATATATAATGATAAATGAGCATACAGTTTCATGTGGTTTCAATTCTAAAGTATGTATTGCTTTTTTATGTTGTGAATATTTACTAATTCTAAGTCCCAAAGCCATGATAACCAAGAATACGTGCCAATCACTCAATCAAGAAAAAGTGTAATTCTGACTTTCATGGGGACAAAATTTCATAAAGACAAAATTGGCAAAAGGCATTTGGATAAATATTGGTAGAGTTACAAGAATATACTGTGTTGGCCAGGCACAGTGCTCGCATCTCTAATCCCAGCACTATGGGAGAATGGGTGGCAAGATCACTTGAGGCCAGGAGTTTGAGACCAGCCTGGGCAACAGAGCAAGACCTTGTCCCTACAATTTTTTTTTTTAATTAGCCAGGCATGGCAGTGCGTGCCTGTAGTCTTAGCTACTTGGGAGGCTGAGGCAGGAGGATGTCTTGCACCCAGGAGTTTGAAACCATGATGAGCTTTAATTGCACCACTGCACTCCAGCCTGGGTGACAGACCCAGACTGTCTCAAAAAACAAACAAACAAAAAAAAACTACACATTTCCTTAATGTTCAATTTAAAATGTGGCAGGAGAATACAAGTATGATGCTTCTGTGAGAATTTATTATCAGATCTATACTATTAAAATATCAGGAAGAAAATGTTCCCATCAAATTATGTAATAGCGTATTCATATATTATAGCCCCAAGTGAAGCACATATGCATCAATGGATATTATTAAATTATGAATGTGTATAGAACTGCATAATCCCACTCTGCACTTTCTTTTGTCCCTCCCCACTAACCCAGTGAACAACCCTGATGCATGCTTAGAGATGCTTTAAAATTCCCTGTCCATAATGCTTATTCAGTATTAATTATAATATATCTACAAATTGGTTAACTCTGCTATTTATCACATATTGCTACCTCAATATATGGAAGATCTTAGATGTTAAGAAATAAACAATGCACATTGTTCTTAATAAACACAGGCACTCACAAAATATCCATGTATAGAACTTTGGTCTGTGCTATCTTCCACAAAAGGATATACTATCAAGGAGTCCATTTTTCTTCTTCCACCATCTCAGTGACTAAGCACAAAAATGTGCCTAGCTCCAAAAGGTTGATTGACAAAAAGCAATTCCCAAAGATAGTATTTCTTAATCAATGAACACAAGTCTATTTATAAAGAGGTTATTTTTATCACCTCTACTTTTAGGCACTTAGGAATCATTTGTTTTATAAATATAGATCAATAGTAACTAAAATGCACATACAGAACAGTAGTTAGACAATCTCCTCTGGTTTAACAGCTCCTGGGTATAGAACCCTACTCTGCCTCTGCCACCCAGAGAACAGTCCCATTCCCAAAAGGCAAATATCCATATGACTTCCTAACAAAAAAGTGTTTTTATAGCCTCTGCTTTCAATACAGGTTGTGTACTTAAAACATCTAGAAAGGCTAGATATTTAAAATAAAGCTTGTTTGTGCACTATATACACAATAGCATCGAATAAATTGCATGCATGGGCCAAAGGCTAATATAAAAGCATCTTTTCAACAGGAACCTTCTAGCCTAGAACCTTTTCTTTTTGTACCCCTCTCAACCCACTGTACAAGTGTAAGCATCTGTAATGCTTAGAGATGATTTTAATAATTTTACATCCACAAGTCATTTTCAGAATATACATTTTTACACAAAATATACTAGTTTATAAACTTTGTCATACAGTGGCAATCTCCTTAACTCCTGATGTAAAATTAAGACTCATTTTTCCATTATATTTGCATATACATATATGACAAGTACATAGACCTATTCAGCTCACTGTAAACTAACTGGAGTAGAACCTTTGCACTTCATTCTCTCCTTCCTCCCCTGAAACCAGTGTACAAACATAATGTGCTACCCGAAGAAGTGGTTTGGTCACTTCATTTCTAAAAGAAATGTTTCACATAAACTTTAAGAGTATTTAAAAATTATCATATTAAAATTTGTCTAGTGAAAACAAAATATATACAGTATAGCAAAGTTAAAATTCACATTAGGATGTAGGGCATCAGATAATCAGAAATTTTCTAGTACGCACCAGAAAACTTTTGAAACTTCTTTCCTCCCACCTTCTTCAACCCAATGAGTAAGTACAAACAATATAATGCTCAAAGTAGTAGTTTAACAATTCCATTTCCAAAGATAATATTACATAAGTTTTAAAAGCTATTTACAAAGTGTTTTTTAGTACCTCTACTTTTAAATATAGCTGGTACTTAGGAACATCTAGAAAGACTATGTACTCCAAATAGGAACTTGTCCATTATAAATAATACTGTTAAATAAAACTACACAAACAATTCTAATCAGAAAGTCTCTAAATATGACCATTCTGACCTTGAATTATTTCTTCCTTTCTTTCTTCTCTTTATGACCTTTCCAGTGGCCAAGTACAGATTATGTAATATGAAGTATAATTGAACAAATCCATATCCAAGTCATTTACAGAAGTCAAGTTTTCCTGTGAGTTTTGAAACAAAGTGTATAAAATGTACTGATCTTATTTTTACTAAATCTACTGTGTCATACACTGGCAATCTTTTTAACATATCTAGTAACTATTAATAGATGTTGGAAAATTAGGAGTCATTTTTCTATTGATATGCTACATATACAGCAAAACACAATACACATAACATCCGGGAAGTGGTTTATTTGAAACTGTCTGTCTACTAATAACACTAAGAAAATTATCTTTTGTAATTTCTTCCTTCCCACTTTTGTTAAACCATTGAACAGTATTGATAGTGTTATACTGGTCTTGGAAGTATTTTTTTTAAAGTAAGGAAGAAGGAATTACAAAAGATAATTTTCTTAGTGTTACTTTGAACACAATATTTTGAAGTATGTCTACATTGGGAAATGGTTCAATTAAGTCAATTAAAATATGCATTATCTCACATTCCTATTTTTGTAGTAAGAACTATTAAAATCTATTTTTTCAGAGATTTTCAAGGATACAATACATTGTCATTAACTGCAGTCACCATGTTGCAAAATACATCTCTTGAACTTATTTCTCTGTAACTAAAATTTTGTATCCTTTGACCAGCCCAGCATCTTCTCAACCCCCTATACAACCTCTAGTCCCTAGTAACCAGCATTCTACTCTCTACTTCTGTGAGTTCAACTTTTTAGATTCCACCTGTGAGATTTTGGCATTATTTGTCTTTTTGTGCCTTGATTATTTCACTTAACATGATACCCTCCAAGTTTATCTATGTCGTCACAAATAGCAAGATATCCCTCTTTTTTAAGGCTGAGTAGTGTTCCATTTTGTGTAAGTACCACATTACCTTCATCCAATGATAAATACATAGGTGGTTTATATATCTTGACTACTGTGAGTAATACTGCAATGAACATGGGAGTGCAGACATCTCTCTGACATATAGATTTCATTTCTTTTGGATATATACCCAGTAGTGGGATTGCTGGATCGTATGGTACTTCCATTTTTAATTTTTTGAGAAACCTTCATACTGTTTTTGATAATGGCTATACTAATTTTCATTTCAGCATGTGCAAGAGTCCCCTTTTCTCCACATCCTTGTCATAGCTTATCTTTTTTCTTTTTGATAACAGACATTCCAACAGCCATGCGAGGATACTGTGGTTTTATTTTGCATTTTTCTGATGATTTGTGCCTTAGTCCATTTGTGCAGCTATAACGGAATACCTGAACCTAGGTAATTTATAAAGAATAGAGACATATTTCTTACAGTTCCGGTGGCTAGAAAGTTGAAGTCTTCCCGACTGGTGAGGGCCTTCCTTCACCAAATGTGAAGCATCTTTCACCATCTGGTGAGCGTCATCCCATGGTGAAAAGTGGAAGAACAAGATAGTGTGAAAGCATGTACATGTGAGAGAAGGGGACCCAAACTCATTGTATTTATCAGGAACTCACCCCATCAATAATGGCATTAATTCATTAATGAGGACAGGACCCTCATGACCTAATCATTTCTTAAAGGTTCCACCTCTCAACACTGTTGCATTGGAGATTAAGTTTCCAACACACGAACTTTAGGGAACACATTCGAACCATAGCATTTAGTGATGTTAAACATTCTTTAATATACCTGTGGGTCATTTGCATATCCTATTTAGAGAATGTCTATTCAGGTGCTTTTCTTATTTTAAAAGCAAGTTATTTTGTTGTCTTGCTTTTAAGTTGTTTGAATTCCTTATATATTTTGAATATTCCTTAACAGATGTACAATTTGCAAATATTTTATCCCATTCTCTGTGTAGTCTCCTTACTTTGCTGATTGTTCCTTTGTTGTGTGGGAGCTTTATAAATTGATGTATTCTCATTTGTCTATTTTTGGTAGTGTTACCTCTGTTTTTGGGATCATCTCCAAAAAAATCATTGCCCGGTACAGTCCTTAAAGATTCATCATTAAGATTTTTGAAAATATGCAGTATATGAGGGGCATTTAAATAACCTATAAATTTGTCTTTAGCAGTGAAGCAGCATCAATGGTTCTGTCAACCAGCTTTGATTATTCCAAAGAACTTAGAAGTGCAAAGAGGAGTCAGTCTATGAATAAAATCTAAGCCATGACCTTAATAGTAAACTCTTATTTAATGACAGCTTATCATATTTATTGCATTACAATGGAATACCACGATTACAATACTGGGGTGAAATAGAGATCAGCGGTTCTTTTTGTCCTAAGGCTAGAATTTGGAAAGTGCTATGATGGGATAAGTATTGGTTACAGATATTATGGCAGTGATGGCCTGTCTAGAGCAGCTGCTGCCATGATGCTGGCTGCAGTGGGGGAGGTGCAGCCAGCATCATGAGGTGGGAGCCCTGCCCCCTTCTGAGTTCGTGGGCAGGAGTCCTGCACTTCATGATGCAGCTGCAGCCACCCAGCCATGGCTGTGGACCTGGGCATCACTCTGCTCTTGGGGGCCCAGGAGGCCTCTTGCCCCTGCAGGCTTGAAAGTGCCTGCTCTCACTCCCTGCACCTGCTCAAATTTTGGAGCAAAATTGAAGCTGACCCCTGGTGCGATTACAACCCAGCCAGGTGTGCATGTACTCAAGGTGGCACTGACACACCAGCCCCCTGCCACCTTGGCCCTCTCTGGATTTTGGGTGATAATGAGTACAGGAGGGAAGACAAGGGTGGCTTCATATGGACCTGCAGGCACCCCTCAGCATGAACAGCCTAGGTACCATGGACAACATGATTGATGGTGGCAAGAGGCAGGCAGGCTCCTGGGCAGAAAAGGGAAGGTCCTTGGCAAAGCCCCACCTTCAAGCCAGGGATGGCCTGAAGCCTAGAGGTTTGGCTGCCAGTTCTATGAACTGGAGTGAGAACTTATGGTGCTTTTCCAGGCCCACCCATGGAGCACATGGACAGATCAGCATGGACTTCATCCCCTCTGAAGCCCATAAAAATCCTGGAGTCAGCCGCAACTTGGGGATACGACCTGCCTGTGGGAAGGAGCTACCCACTCTGGCTCTCGTCTTGGCTGTGAGCTGCACACTTGTACGGATGACCTGCCTGTGGAAAGGAGCTGTCCTTTGTATGTCTCCTGGGAACTGTTCAACTGCTCAATGAAGCTCCTCTCTACCTTGCTCACCCTCCAGTTGTCCGTGTACTTTGTTCTTCCTGGATACAGGACAAAAACTCAGGACCTGCCAAATGGCAGGACTAAAAGAGCTGTAACAGAAACAGGGCTGAAACATGCTCCCCACCACATCCCGCTCACCACATCGTAGGCAATGGGGACAGACGAGTTGTAGCCTTTCATGGAGCACAGACCTAGGGGATCCCTGAGCCAGGGCTGTGACACCCTCTGTGGAGTTCTATGGTTCTTGGCATCTCCAAGCTTCCGAATGCTACTGCATTTCCCTTGTCCAGATATGGATGCCTGCAGCAGAAGCTGTATGTAGCACATCTGGTCCAGCTGCAGCCTTGCACAGAGCCATCACCTGTGTTGGCATCTGGAGCTGCCTGCCCTCTGCAGCAGCTAGCCTGTCTGGCTGTGCGCAATGGCTGGGCCCCATTCTCACTCATTTACACACCTCTCACCACTCTGTGCCTGGCTCGCCCTTGGCAGGTGTGGGATCTGGGCTGGTAACAAGACCTGAGCACAGCCTGCTGGGCCGAGTGGGTGGAACAAGCCCAGTGGGCATGAGCAATACTTAGGCAGAAGGCGCCACCAGCCACAGAGGTTTCCAGCTGGTGAAGTGACACCTCAAGGATCCTGTGACACAGAGAAACAGCAGTCGAATCTCACTGGGAACATAAGGAATGCTTCAGTGAGTGACTCCTGCCAGAGTTAGATTTCGAGAAGCATAGGAGATGGTTAGACGGAGAGGGGTTAATTTCCTAGCAAAGAGTGCTAGCAGTATATGAAAAGTAGGAGAATAGGAAACAATTCTAGAAACAGTAGGATGTGTTGAGAGGTGGAAAACAAGGACCAATATTGGGAGCCACCTAAAAATGGGATGAATTCCCTATTAACCAAGTGTGAAATAAATTCACTTTGAAATGACAGAGATGTCTTCATTAACTGAGAAAGTAAAAGCTTCATTTTGGGGCTCTTATCGGAGTAGAAGGAAGCCTCCTCAGTTTGAGGCATGGAAGAAAGGAAAACAGTCTCAATCACAAGCTCTGGATGTCAAAAACATTAGGGTGGTAGACACACATCAGGGCCTTCCTGGCACCAGGGCTCTGCAGTCCACCTTCCAGCTTCCATTTAAAATAGGGTTTCTAGAGAGGGATCATGGTGGATGGGAGACAGAACTAGATTGCAGCTCCAACTCAGGTGGACAGAGCAGTGTGTGAAGGCTTGCATAGTGAATTTTTGCTTCAGAATGACTGCAGGAATAAATCAGGAAATGTGAGAGGAACTACAGACCCTCTGAGGGAAGCAAATTGCTCTTTCAGGGCCTGGGAGACACCCCAAATACTGTGAGTGCCCAAACTGTGGAAACGGGAAAGGGAGGTCATCTGTCCCTGACACACATCCCTACTGGGGAGACCGAAGGTCTAGATTATGGGAGACTATTCTGACCTTACTTGGAGCTGGGTCAATTTAGAGAGCTGAGCAAAATACAGGGGTAGAGGAAGCAGTGGAAAAAGCCCTGTGAGCTTGCTGGGTTCCCTGGCAACCCATTTCTGCCTGGCCTTAGAGAGGTCCTTAAGAAAGGTGGCCAGAGATACTGGGAAAAGGCCACAGGGAGAAGGAAACCTTGAGCTGAACTTTGAAGTGATCCAGAAGTATCCTGGCCAGAGCTTGGGGGAGGGCACGAATCTGGTGTGCAGAGTCCACAGGTGGGGGAAGAAGAAAGAAAAGCCATACTTGCTTTCACAGCTGAGAGGTGGGTAGACTGGGGCAAGTTCTCAGTCCTGCTCACTCGCTACCTGGAAACAGACTCAGTGCTGTTGGTGAGGACATCATGAGAGAGAGACCAGCCCTTCGGATGTGTGGGAGCTGGGTGAGGCCTGTGACTGCAGGCTTTCCTGCACTTCCCTGACAACTTGCATGACATAGCAAAGACAGCCATAATCCTCCTAGGAACATAACTCTATTTACCTGGGAACCTCACCCCCATCCTCCACAGCAGCTGCAGCTGCAGCAAGACCTGCCCAAAAAGAGTCTGAGCTCAGACATGCCTAGCTCTGCCCCCACCCACTGGTCCTTCCCTACCCACCCTGGTAACTAAAGACAAAGGGCATATAGTTTTGAGAGTTCCAGGGCCCCACCCACCACGTGTTGCTCCCCATGCTACCACAACTGATGCTCTCTGGAAAGCGCCACCTCCCAGCAGGGGGCCAACCAGCACAAAAATAGTGCATTAAACCACCAAAGCTAAGAACCCTCACAGAGTCCCTTTTGCCCCCCTCCCATCTCCACTGGAACAGGTGCTGGTATCCACGGCTGAGAGACCCATGGACAGTTCATATCACAGGACTCTGTGCAGACAAACCCCAGTACCAGCCTGGAGCCTGGTGGACTTGCTGGGTGATTAGATGCAGATGAGAGATAACAAACGCAACAGCTCAGCTCTCAGAAGCTACATCCATAGGAAGAGGGGGAGAGTATTACATCAAGGGAACACCCCATGGGACAAAACAATCTGAACAACAACCTTCAGCCCTAGACCTTCTCTCTGACAGAGCCAACCCAAATGAGAAGGAACCAGAAAACCAACTCTGGTAATATGACAGAACAAGGTTCTCTAACACTCCACTAAAATCACACTAGCTCAACGGCAATGGATTGAAACCAAGAAGAAATCCCTGATTTACCTGAAAAAAATTTCAGGAGGTTAGTTATTAAGCTAATCAGGGAGGCACCAGAGAAAGTCAAAGCCCATGTAAGGAAATACAAAAAATGCTACAAGAAGTGAAGGGACAAATATTCAAGGATATAGATAACATAAATTAAAAAAATCAAAACTCCAGGAAACAATGGACACACTTATAGAAATGCAAATGCTCAGGAATGTCACAACAATAGAATTGAACAAGTAGAAGAAAGAAATTCAGAGCTCAAAGACAAGGTCTTCAAATTAACCCAATCCACCAAAGATAAAGAAAAAAGAATAAAAATATATGAATAAATCTCCAGTAAATCTGGGATTATGTTAGACAACCAAACCTAAGAATGATCAGCATTCCTAGGGAAGAAGAGAAATCTAAAAATTTGGCAAATATATTTGGAGGAATAACCAAGGAAAACTTCCCTGGCCTTGCAAGAGACCTAGATATCCAAATACTTGAAACACACACACGCAAAAAAAACCTGGGAAATTCGTCACAAAAAGATCATTGCCTAGGCACAATGTCAACAGGTTATCTAAAGTTAAGATGATGGAAACAATCTTAAGAGCTATAAGACAAAAGCACCAGGTAACTTATAAAGGAAAACTTACCAGATTAACAGCATATTTCTCAGCAGAAATCCTACAAGCTAGAAGGGATTGAGGCCCTATCTCCACCCTCCACAAACAAAACAATTACAAGCTGTGAATTTTGTATCCAGCAAAGCTAAGATTCATATATGAAGGAAAGATACAGTCTTCTTCAGATTAACAAATGCTGAGAGAATTTGTCACTACCAAGCCACCACTATAAGAACTGCTAAAAATTCCTGGGCAAGATTGCCAAATAGGAATAGCTCTGGTCTGCAGCTTCCAGCAAGATCAATGCAGAAGGCGGGTGCTTTCTACATTTCCAACAGAGGTACCAGGCTCATCTCATTGGGACTGCTTAGACAGTGGGTACAGCCCACTGAGGGCAAGCAGAAGTAGGGTGAGGCGTCACCTCACTGGGGAAGCAGAAGCAGGGTGGGACGTCACCTCACTGGGGAAGTGCAGGGGGTAGAGGAACTCCCTCCTCTAGCCAAGGGAAGCCATGAGGGACTGTGCCATGAGGAATGGTGCACTCTGGCCCAGATACTATGCTTTTCCAATAGTCTTTGCAATGCTCAAACAGGAGATTCCCTCAGGTGCCTACACTACCAGGGCCCTGGGTTTCAAGCACAAAACTGGTTGGCCATTTGGGCAGGCACCAAGATAGCTGCAGGAGATTTTTTTCATATCCCAGTGGCACCTGGAACACCAACGAGACAGAACTGTTTACTCTCCTGGGAAGGGGGCGGAAGCCAGGGAGCCGAGTGGTCTAGCTCAGTGGATCCCACACCCATGGAGCCCTTTCAGCTAAGATCCACTGGCTTGAAACTCTCACAGCCAGCACAGCAGTCTGAAGTCAACCTGAGACATTCAAGCTTGGTGGAGGGAGGCGCGTTGTGTTGGCCATTACTGAGGCTTGAGTAGGTGGATTTCCCCTCACAGTGTAAACAAAGCTGCCAGAAAAGTTCAAAATGGGTAGATCCCACTGCAGCTATACAGCCACTGTATCCAGACTGCCTCTCTTGATTCCTTCTATCTGGGCAGCGCATCTCTGAAAGAAAGGAAGCAGCCCCAGTCAGGGGCTTATAGATAAACTCCCATCTCCCTGGGATGGAGCAACTGGGGGAAGGGGCAACTGTGGGCGCAGCATCAGCAGACTTAAACGTTCCTGCCTGCCAGCTCTGAAAAGAGCAGCGAATCTCCCAGCACAGTGCTCGAGCTCCGCTAAGGGACAGACGGCCTCCTTGAGTGGGTCCCTCACCCCCGTACCTCCTGACAGGGAGACACCTCCCAGTAGGGGTCAATAGACACCTCATAGATAAGAGCTTTGGCTGGCATCTGGTGGGTGCCCTCCGGGATGAAGCTTCCAGAGGAAGGAACGGGTAACAATCTTTGCTGTTCTGCAGCCTCCGATGGTGATACACAGGCAAACAGGGCCTGGAGTGGACCTCCAGCAAATTCCAGCAGACCTGCAGCACAGGGACCTGACTGTGAAAAGGGAAAATAAACAGAAAGGAATAGCAAAACATAAACAAAAAGGACATCCACACATAAACCACATCCGAAGGTTACCAACATCAGAGAACAAATGTAGATAAATTGAAGAAGATGAGGAAAAACCAGCACAAAAAGATTGAAAATTCCAAAAACCAGAAAGCCACTTATCCTCCAAAGGATCACAATTCCTCACCAGCAAGGGAGCAAAACTGAATGGAGAATGAGTTTGACAAATTGACAGAAGTAGGCTTCAGAAAGTGGGTAATAACAAACTCCTCCAAGCTAAAGGAGCATGTTCTAATCCAATGCAAGGAAGCTAAGACTTGAAAAAAAGGTTAGAGGAATTACTAATTAGAATAACCAGGTTAGAGAAGAACATAAATGACATGATGGAGCTGAAAAAAACAACATGAGAACTTCATGAAGGATACAAAAGTATCAATCGCTGAATCAATCAAGCAGAAGAAAGGATATCAGAAATTGAAGATCAACTTAATGAAATAAAGTGTGGAGACAAGATTAGAGAAAAAAGAAAAAAAAAGGAATGAACAAAGCCTCCAAAAAATATAAAACTATGTGAAAAGACAAAACCTACATTTGTTTGGTGTACCTGAAAGTGACAGGGAGAATGGAGCCAAGTTGTAAAACACCCTTCAGGATATTATCCAGAACTTCCCCATTTACTAGCAGGGCAGGCCAACATTCAAATTCTGGAAATACAGAGAACACCACAAAGATACTCCTGGAGAAGAGCAACCTCAAGACACATAATCATCAGATTCACCAAGGATGAAATGAGAGAAAAAATGTTAAGGGCAGCCAGAGAGAAAGTTCAGGTTACCAACAAAGGGAAGCCCATCAGACCAACAGCAGATCTCTCTGCAGAAACCCTCCATGGCAGAAGAGAGTGGGGCCCAATATCCAGCATTCTTAAAGAAAAGAATTTTCAACCCAGAATTTCATATCATGCCAAACTAAGCTTCATAATTGAAGGATAAATAAAATTCTTTAAAGACAAGCAAATACTGAAAGATTTTGTCACCACCAGGCCTGCTTTAAAAGAGCTCCTGAAGGAAGCACTAAATATGGAAAGGAAAAACCAGTACCAGTCACTGCAAAAACATACCAAATTGTAAAGACCATCAACACTATGAAGAAACTGCATGAACTAACAGGCAAAATAACCAGCTAGCATCATAATGACAGGATCAAATCCACACATAACAATATTAACCTTAAATTTAAATGGGCTAAATGCCCCAATTAAAAGACACAGACTGGCAAATTGGGTAAGAAGTCAAGACCCATCGGTGTGCTGTATTCAGGAGACCCATCTCACGTGCAAAGACACACATAGGCTCAAAATGAAGGGTTGGAGGAACATTTACCAAGCAAATGGAAAGCAAAAACAAAACAAAACAAAACAAAAAACAAAACAAAACAAAAAACCCTCATGTGCTGCAATCCTAGCCTCTGATAAAACAGACTTTAAACCAACAAAGATTAAAAAAAGACAAAGAAGGGAATTACATAATGGTAAAGGGATCAATGCAAGAAGAGGAGCTAACTCTCCTAAATTTATATGCACCCAATACAGGAGCACTCAGATTCATAAAGCAAGTTCTTAGAGACCTACAGAGAGACTTAGACACCCACACAATAATAGTGGGAGACTTTAACACCCCACTGTCAGTATTAGACAGACAAACGAGACAGAAAATTAACAAGGATATTCATGACTTGAACTCAGCTCTGGACCAAGCAGACGTAATAGACATCTACAGGACTCCACCCCAGATCAACAGAGTATAAATTCTTCTCAGCACCACATTGTACTTATTCTAAAATTGACCACATAACTGGAAGTAAAACACTCCTCAGCAAATGCAAAAGGACAGAAATCATAATAGTCTCTCAGACCACATTGCAATCAAATTAGAACTCAGGATTAGAAACTCATGAAAAACCACACAACTACATGGAAACTGAACAACCTGCTTCCGAATGACTATGGGGTAAATAACAAAATGAAGGCAGAAATAAAGAAGTTCTAAATCAATGAGAAAAAAACACAACATACCAGAATCTCTGGGACACAGCTAAAGTCATGCTTAGAGGGAAATTTACAGCACTAAATGCCCACAGGAGAAAGCAGGAAAGATCTAAAATAAACAGCCTAGCATCACAATTAAAAGAACTAGAAAAGCAAGAGCAAACAAATTCAAAAGCTAGCAGAAAGCAAGAAATAACTAAGATCAGAGCAGAACAGAAAGAGGTAGAGACACGAAAATCCCTTCAAAAAATCAATGAATCCAGGAGCTGGTTTTTTGAAAAGATTAACAAAATGGATAGATTGCTAGCTTGATTAATACAGGAGAAAAGAGAGAAGAATCAAATAGACACAATAAAAAATGATAAAGGGGATATCACCACTGATCACATGGAAATACAAACTACCATCAGAGAATACTACGAACACCTCTACACAAATAAACTAGAAAATCTAGAAGAAATTGATAAATTCCTAGACACATACACCTTTCCAAGACTAAACCAAGAAGAAGTCGAATCCCTGAATAGAACAATAACAATTTCTGAAATCGAGAAAGTAATTAATAGCCTACCAACTAAAAAAAGCCCAGGACCAGACGGATTCACAGCTGAATTCCATGAGAGGTAGAAAGAGGAGCTGATATCATTCCTTCTGAAAATATTCCAAGCAATAGAAAAAGACAGACTCCTCCCTAACTCATTTTATGAAGCCAGCATTATCCTGATACCAAAACCTGGCAGAGACAACAAAAAAAGAAAATTTCAGGCCAATATCCCTGATGAGCATCGATGCAAAAATCTTCAATAAACACTGGCAAACTGAATCCAGCAGCACAACAAAAAGCTTATCCACCAAAGAGAACAAATTTAAAAACTACATGATTATCTCAATAGATGCAGAA
This sequence comes from Homo sapiens, assembly GCF_000001405.40. Lineage (NCBI taxonomy): Eukaryota > Metazoa > Chordata > Mammalia > Primates > Hominidae > Homo > Homo sapiens. The sequence continues at coordinate 183,845,755 of NC_000002.12, forward strand.
AGACGTTTGATAAAGTTCAACACCCCTACATGCTAAAAACTCTCAATAAACTAGGTATTGATGGAAGGTATTTCCAAATAATAAGAACTATTTGTGACAAACCCATAGCCAATATCATACTGAATGGGCAAAAGCTGGAGGCATTCCCTCTGAAAACCAGCACAAGACAAGGATGCCCTCTCTCACCACTCCTATTCAACATATTATTGGAAGTTCTGGCCAGGGCAATCAGGCAAGATAAGGAAATAAAGGGTATTTAAATGGAAAGAGAGGAAGTCAAAATGCCTCTGTTTGCAGATGACATGATTGTATATTTAGAAAACTTCATCATCTCAGCCCCAAATCTGTTTAAGTTGGTAAGCAACTTCAGCAAAGCCTTAGGATGCAAAGTCACTGTGCAAAATCACAAGCATTCCTAAACACCAATAACAGATTAACAGAGAGTCAAATCATGAGTGAACTCCCATTCACAACTGCTACAAAGAGAATAAAATACCTAGGAATACAACTTACAAGGGATGTGAAGGACCTCTTCAAGAAGAACTACAAACCACTGCTCAAGGAAGTAAGAGAGGACACAAACAAATGGAAAAACATTCCATGCTCATGGATAGGAAGAATCAATATTGTGAACATGGCCATACTGCCCAAAGGAATTTATAGATTCAATGCTATATCCATCAAGCTACCAATGACTTTCTTCACAGAATTAGAAAAAATACTTTAAATTTCATATTGAATCTAAAACAAGCTTCTATAGCCAAGACAATTCTAAGCAAAAAGAACAAAGCTGGCAGCATTATGCTACCTGACTTCAAACTATACTACAAGGCTCCAGTAACCAAAACAGCATGGTACTGGTACCAAAACAGATATATAGACCAATGGAACAGAACAGAAGCCTCAGAAATAAAGCCACACATCTACAATCATCAGATCTTTGACAAACCTGACAAAAACAAGCAATGGGGAAATGATTCCCTATTTAATAAATGGTGTTGGGAAACTGACTAGCCATATGCAGAAAACTGAAGCTGGATCCCTTCCTTACACCTTTTACAAAAATAACTCAAGAGGAATTAAAGAATTAAACATAAGACCTAAAGGCATTAACATCCTAGAAGAAAACCTAGGCAATACCACTCAGGACATAGGCATTGGCAAAGACTTCATGACTAAAACACCAAAACCAATGGCAACAAAAGCCAAGATTGACAAATGGGATCTAAATAAAGAGCTCCTGCACAGCAAAATAAACTCTCATCGGAGTGAACAGGCAACTTTACAGGATGGGAGAAATTTTTTGCAATCTATTCATCTGACAAAGGGTGAATAATATCCAGAATCTACAAAGAACTCAAACAAATTTACAAGAAAAAAAACAACCCCATCAAAAAGTGGGTGAAGGATATGAACAGACACTTCTCAAAAGAAGACATTTATACAGCCAACAAACATATGAAAAAATGCTCATCATCACTGGTCATTAGAAAAATGCAAATCAAAACCACAATGAGATACCATCTCACGCCAGTTAGCATGGCAGTCATTAAAAAGTTAGGAAACAACAGATGCTGGAGAGGATGTGGAGAAATAGGAACACTTTTACACTGTTGGTGGGAGTAAATTATTTCAACCATTGTGAAAGACAGTGTGGTGATTCCTCAAGGATCTAGAACCAGAAATACCACTTGACCCAGTATTCTTATTACTGGGTCTATACCCAAAGGATTATAAATCATGCTGCTATAAAGGCACATGCACACATATGTTTATTGCAGCACTATTCACAATAGCAAAGATTTGGAACCAACCCAAATGTCCTTCAATGATAGACTGGATAAAGAAAATGTGGCACATGTACACCATGGAATACTATATAGCCATAGAAAAGGATAAGTTCATGTCCTTTGCAGGAATATGGATGAAGCTGGAAACCATTTTCAGCAAACTAACACAGGAACAGAAAACCAAACACCACAAATTCTCACTCATAGTGGGAGTTTAACAATGAGAACAAATGGACACAGGGAGGGGAACATCACACACCAGGGCCTGTCAGGGGGTGGGGGGCTAGGGGAAGGGATAGCATTAGGAGAAATACCTAATGCAGGTGATGGATTGATGGGTGCAGCAAACCACCATGGCACATGTTTACCCATGTAACAAAACTGCATGTTCTGCACATGTATCCCAGAACTTACAGTATTAAAAAAAAAAAAAAGCAACTGCTAAAAAGAGCCCTAAACCTTGAAACAAATCCAGGAAAAACATCAAAACAGAATGTCTTTAAAGCATAAATCTAACAGGGTCTATAAAACAAAAATACAACTTAAAAAACAAGACAAAAACCAAGGTATACAAGCAAATAGCACGATGAATGGAATGGCACATCACATCTCAATACTAACATTGAATTTAAACTGCCTAAATGCTCCGCTTAAAAGATACAGGATTGCAGAATGGATAAGAATTCACCAACCCACTATCTGCTGCTTTCAAGAGATATACCTAACACATAAGGACTCACACAAACTTAAGGTAAAGACTTGGAAATAGATATTTCATGCAAATAGACACCAAAAGTGAGTGGGAGTAGCTATTCTTATATCAGACAAAACAAACTTTAAAGCAACAGCAGTTAAAAAAGACAAAGGGGGACATTATATAATGATGAACAGCCTTGTCCAACAGGAAAATATCACAATCCTAAACATACATGCACCTAACACTGGAGCTCCCAATTTCATAAAACAGCTACCAATAGACCTAAGAAGTGAGATAGACAGGAACACAATAACAATGGGGGACTTTAATACTCCACTTATAGCACTGGACAGGTCATCAAGATAGAAAATCAACAAAGAAACAATGGATTTAAACTATATCCTGGGACAAATGGACATAACATATATATACAGAATGTTCCATCCAAAAACTACAGAATATACATTCTGTTCAACAGTGCATGGAAATTTTTCCAAGATAGATCATATGATAGGCCACAAAATGAGCATCAAGAAATTTATGAAAATTGAAATTATATCAAGCACTGTCTCAGATCACAGTGGAATAAAACTGGAAATTAACTCCAAAAGAAGTCTTCAAAACCATGCAAATACATGAAAGTTAAACAACTGGCTCCTGAATGACCACTGGGTCAAAAATGAAATCAAGACGGAAATTAACAATTTTTTTGAACTGAATGACAATAGTGACACAGTCTATCAAAACCTCTGGAATACAGCAAATGCACTGCTAAGAGGAAAGTTCATAGACATAAACACCTACATCAAAAAGTCAGAAAGAGCACAAACAGACAATCTAAGGTCACACTTCAAGCAAATAGAGAAACAAGAACAAACCAAACCCCAACCCAGCAGAATAAAGACAATAACCAAGATCAGAACAGAACTAAATGAACTTGAAACAAAGAAACAAACAAAAACAATACAAAAGATAAACAAAATCTGGTTCTTTGAAAAGATCAATAAAATTGATAGATCATTAGCATGATCAACCAAGAAGAGAGAAAATCCAAATAAGCTCAATAAGAAATGAAATGGGAGATATTACAACTGACACCATAGAAATAAAGATTATCCAAGGCTACTATAAACACCTTTATGCACATAAACCACAAGACCTAGAAGAGATGGATAAATTCCTGGAAAGATAGAACCCTCCTAGCTTAAATCAGGAAGAATTAGATACCCTGAACAGACCAATAACAAGCAGCAAGATTGAAATGGTAATTAAAAAATTACAGGGGGGAGGAGCCAAGATGGCCGAATAGGAACAGCTCCGGTCTACAGCTCCCAGCGTGAGCGACGCAGAAGACAGGTGATTTCTGCATTTCCATCTGAGGTACCAGGTTCATCTCACTAGGGAGTGCCAGACAGTGGGTGCAGGTCAGTGGGTGCGTGCACTGTGCGCGAGCCGAAGCAGGGCGAGCATTGCCTCACTCAGGAAGTGCACAGGGTCAGGGAGTTCCCTTTCCTAGTCAAAGAAAGGGGTGACGGACGGCACCTGGAAAATCAAGTCACTCCCACCAGAATACTGCGCTTTTCTGACGGGCTTAAAAAACGGCGCACCACGAGATTATATTCCGCACCTGGCTCTGAGGATCCTATGCCCACTGAGTCTCGCTGATTGCTAGCACAGCAGTCTGAGATCAAACTGCAAGGCAGCAGTGAGGCTGGGGGAGGGGCGCCCGCCATTGCCCAGGCTTGCTTAGGTAAACAAAGCAGCCGGGTAGCTCGAACTGGGTGGAGCCCACCACAGCTCAAGGAGGCCTGCATCTGTAGGCTCCACCTCTGGGGGCAGGGCACAGACAAACAAAAAGACAGCAGTAACCTCTGCAGACTTAAATGTCCCTGTCTGACAGCCTTGAAGAGAGCAGTGGTTCTCCCAGTACACAGCTGGAGATCTGAGAACAGGCAGACCGCCTCCTCAAGTGGGTCCCTGACCCCTGACCCCTGAGCAGCCTAACTGGGAGGCACCCCCAGCAGGGGCACACTGAAATCTCACACGGCCGGGTACTCCAACAGACCTGCAGCTGAGGGTCCTGTCTGTTAGAAGGAAAACTAACAAACAGAAAGGACATCCACACCAAAAACCCATCTGTACATCACCATCATCAAAGACCAAAAGTAGATAAAACCACAAAGATGGGGAAAAAACAGAGCAGAAAAACTGGAAACTCTAAAAAGCAGAGCACCTCTCCTCCTCCAAAGGAACACAGTTCCTCACCAGCAATGGAACAAAGTTGGATGGAGAATGACTTTGTGGAGCTGAGAGGAGAAAGCTTCAGACGATCAAATTACTCAGAGCTACGGGAGGGCATTCAAACCAAAGGCAAAGAAGTTGAAAACTTTGAAAAAAATTTAGAAGAATGTATAACTAGAATAACCAATGCAGAGAAGCACTTAAAGGACCTGATGGAGCTGAAAACCAAGGCTCGAGAACTACATGAAGAATGCAGAAGCCTCAGGGGCTGATGCGATCAACTGGAAGAAAGGGTATCAGCAATGGAAGATGAAATGAATGAAATGAAGCGAGAAGGGAAGTTTAGAGACAAAAGAATAAAAAGAAATGAGCAAAGCCTCCAAGAAATATGGGACTATGTGAAAAGACCAAATCTACGTCTGATTGGTGTACCTGAAAGTGACAAGGAGAATGGAACCAAGTTGGAAAACACTCTGCAGGATATTATCCAGGAGAACTTCCCCAGTCTAGCAAGGCAGACCAACGTTCAGATTCAGGAAATACAGAGAACACCACAAAGATACTCCTTGAGAAGAGCAACTCCAAGACACATAATTGTCAGATTCACCAAAGTTGAAACGAAGGAAAAAATGTTAAGGGCAGCCAGAGAGAAAGGTCGGGTTACCCTCAAAGGGAAGCCCATCAGACTAACGGCGGATCTCTCAGCAGAAACTCTACAAGCCAGAAGAGAGTGGGGGCCAATATTCAACATTCTTAAAGAAAAGAATTTTCAACCCAGAATTTCATATCCAGCCAAACTAGGCTTCATAAGTGAAGGAGAAATAAAATACTTTACAGACAAGCAAATGCTGAGAGATTTTGTCACCACCAGGCTTGCCCTAAAAGAGCTCCTGAAGGAAGTGCTAAACATGGAAAGGAACAACCGGTACCAGCTGCTGCAAAATCATGTCAAAATGTAAAGACCATCTAGACTAGGAAGAAACTGCATCAACTAATGAGCAAAATAACCAGCTAACATCATAATGACAGGATCAAATTCACACATAACAATATGAACTTTAAATGTAAATGGGTTAAATGCTCCAATTAAAAGAAACAGACTGGCAAATTGGATAAAGAGTCAAGACCCATCAGTGTGCTGTATTCAGGAAACCCATCTCATGTGCAGAGACATACATAGGCTCAAAATAAAAGGATGGAGGAAGATCTACCAAGCAAATGGAAAACAAAAAAAGGCAGGGGTTGCAGTCCTAGTCTCTGATAAAACAGACTTTAAACCAACAAAGATCAAAAGCGACAAAGAAGGCCATTACATAATGGTAAAGGGATCAATTCAACAAGAAGAGCTAACTATCCTAAATATATATGCACCCAATACAGGAGCACCCAGATTCATAAAGCAAGTCCTGAGTGACCTACAAAGAGACTTAGACTCCCACACATTAATAATGGGAGACTTTAACACCCCACTGTCAACATTAGACAGATCAATGAGACAGAAATTCAACAAGGATACCCAGGAATTGAACTCAGCTCTGCACCAAGCGGACCTAATAGACATCTGCAGAACTCTCCACCCCAAATCAACAGAATATACATTTTTTTCAGCACCACACCACACCTATGCCAAAATTGACCACATACTTGGAAGTAAAGCTCTCCTCAGCAAATGGAAAAGAACAGAAATTATAACAAACTATTTCTCAGACCACAGTGCAATCAAACTAGAACTCAGGATTAAGAATCTCACTCAAAACCGCTCAACTACATGGAAACTGAACAACCTGCTCCTGAATGACTACTGGGTACATAACGAAATGAAGGCAGAAATAAAGATGTTCTTTGAAACCAACGAGAACAAAGACACAACATACTAGAATCTCTGGGACGCATTCAAAGCAGTGTGTAGAGGGAAATTTATAGCACTAAATGCCCACAAGAGAAAGCAGGAAAGATCCAAAATTGACACCCTAACATCACAATTAAAAGAACAAGAAAAGCAAGAGCAAACACATTAAACAGCTAGCAGAAGGCAAGAAATAACTAAAATCAGAGCAGAACTGAAGGAAATAGAGACACAAAAAACCCTTCAAAAAAATTAATGAATCCAGGAGCTGGTTTTTTGAAAGGATCAACAAAATAGATAGACCACTAGCAAGACTAATAAAGAAAAAAAGAGAGAAGAATCAAATAGACACAATAAAAAATGATAAAGGGGATATCACCACCGATCCCACAGAAATACAAACTACCATCAGAGAATACTACAAACACCTCTACGCAAATAAACTAGAAAATCCAGAAGAAATGGATAAATTCCTCGACACATACACTCTCCCAAGACTAAACCAGGAAGAGGTTGAATCACTGAATAGATCAATAACAGGGTCTGAAATTGTGGCAATAATCAATAGTTTACCAACCAAAAAGAGTCCAGGACCAGATGGATTCACAGCCGAATTCTACCAGAGGTACAAGGAGAAACTGGTACCATTCCTTCTGAAACTATTCCAATCAATAGAAAAAGAGGGTATCCTCCCTAACTCATTTTATGAGGCCAGCATCATCCTGATACCAAAGCCTGGCAGAGACACAACAAAAAAAGAGAATTTTAGACCAATATCCTTGATGAACATTGATGCAAAAATCCTCAATAAAATACTGGCAAACCGAATCCAGCAGCACATCAAAAAGCTTATCCACCATGATCAAGTGGGCTTCATCCCTGGGATGCAAGGCTGGTTCAATATACACAAATCAATAAATGTAATCCAGCATATAAACAGAGCCAAAGACAAAAACCACATGATTATCTCAATAGATGCACAAAAGGCCTTTGACAAAATTCAACAACGCTTCATGCTAAAAACTCTCAATAAATTAGGTATTGATGGGACGTATTTCAAAATAATAAGAGCTATCTGTGACAAACCCACAGCCAATATCATACTGAACGGGCAAAAACTGGAAGCATTCCCTTTGAGAACTGGCACAAGACAGGGATGACCTCTCTCACCACTCCTATTCAACATAGTGTTGGAAGTTCTGGCCAGGGCAATCAGGAAGGAGAAGGAAATAAAGGGTGTTCAATTAGGAAAAGAGGTAGTCAAATTGTCTCTGTTTGCAGACGACATGATTGTATATCTAGAAAACCCCATTGTCTCAGCCCAAAATCTCCTTAAGCTGATAAGCAACTTCAGCAAAGTCTCAGGATACAAAATCAATGTACAAAAATCACAAGCATTCTTATACACCAATAACAGACAAACAGAGAGCCAAATCATGAGTGAACTCCCATTCACAATTGCTTCAAAGAGAATAAAATACCTAGGAATCCAACTTACAAGGGATGTGAAGGACCTCTTCAAGGAGAACTACAAACCACTGCTCAAGGAAATAAAAGAGGATACAAACAAATGGAAGAACATTCCACACTTATGGGTAGGAAGAATCAATATTGTGAAAATGGCCATACTGCCCAAGGTAATTTACAGATTCAATGCCATCCCCATCAAGCTACTAACGCCTTTCTTCACAGAATTGGAAAAAACTACTTTAAAGTTTATATGGAACCAAAAAAGAGCCTGCATTGCCAAGTCACTCCTAAGCCAAAAGAACAAAGCTGGAGGCATCACACTACCTGACTTCAAACTATACTACAAGGCTACAGTAACCAAAACAGCATGGTACTGATACCAAAACAGAGATGTAGATCAATGGAACAGAACAAAGCCCTCAGAAATAACGCCACATATCTACAACTCTCTGATCTTTGACAAACCTGAGAAAAACAACCAATGGGGAAAGGATTCCCTATTTAATAAATGGTGCTGGGAAAACTGGCTAGCCATATGTAGAAAGCTGAAACTGGATCCCTTCCTTACATCTTATACAAAAATCAATTCAAGATGGATTAAAGACTTAAACGTTAGACCTAAAACCATAAAAACCCTAGAAGAAAACCTAGGCATTACCATTCAGGACATAGGCATGGGCAAGGACTTCATGTCTAAAACACCAAAAGCAATGGCAACAAAAGCCAAAATTGACAAATGGGATCTCATTAAACTAAAGAGCTTCTGCACAGCAAAAGAAACTACCATCAGAGTGAACAGGCAACCTACAAAATGGTAGAAAATTTTTGCAACCTACTCATCTGACAAAGGGCTAATATCCAGAATCTACAATGAGCTCAAACAAATTTACAAGAAAAAAACAAACAACCCCATCAAAAGGTGGGTGAAGGACATGAACAGACACTTCTCAAAAGAAGACATTTACGCAGCCAAAAAAACACATGAAAAAATGCTCACCATCACTGGCCATCAGAGAAATGCAAATCAAAACCACTATGAGATATCATCTCACAGCAGTTAGTGTGGCGATCATTAAAAAGTCAGGAAACAACAGGTGCTGGAGAGGATGTGGAGAAATAGGAACACTTTTACACTGTTGGTGGGACTGTAAACTAGTTCAACCATTGTGGAAGTCAGTGTGGCGATTCCTCAGGGATCTAGAACTAGAAATACCATTTGACCCAGCCATCCCATTACTGGGTATATACCCAAAGGACTATAAATCATGCTGCTAGAAAGACACATGCACACGTATGTTTATTGCGGCATTATTCACAATAGCAAAGACTTGGAACCAACTCAAATGTCCAACAATGACAGACTGGATTAAGAAAATGTGGCACATATACACCATGGAATACTATGCCGCCATAAAAAATGATGAGTTCACGTCCTTTGTAGGGACATGGATGAAATTGGAAATCATCATTCTCAGTAAACTATCACAAGAACAAAAAACCAAACACCGCATATTCTCACTCACAGGTAGGAATTGAACAATGAGAACACATGGACACAGGAAGGGGAACATCACACTCTGGGGACTGTTGTGGGGTGTGGGGAGCGGGGAGGGATAGCATTGGGAGATATACCTAACGCTAGATGATGAGTTAGTGGGTGCAGCGCACCAGCATGGCACATGTATTCATATGTAACTAACCTGCGCAATGTGCACATGTACCCTAAAACTTAAAGTATAATAATAAAAAAAAGAAAAGAGAAAGAAACATAAACAAAAAAAAATTACAATTAAAATAAGTCCAGGAGCAGATGGAGTCATAGCAGAACTCTACCAGACATTCAAAGAAGAATTGGTACCAAACCTACTGACCGTATTCCACAAGATAAAGACTGAACCCTCCCTAAATCATCCTATGAAGCCAGTATCACCATAATACGAAAACCAGGAAAGGACATAACAACAACAACAACAAAGAACTACAGACCAATGTCCCTGATGAACATAGATGACGAAATCCTTAACAAAATACTAGCTAACTGAATCTAACAATGTATCAAAAAGATAATCTACCATGATCAAGTTGGGTTCATACCAGGGATGCAGGAATGGTTTAACATACGCAAATCAATAAATGTGATACACCACATAAACAGAATTAAAAACGAAAATCACATGATCATCTGAATAGATGCAGAAAAAGGATTAGACAAAATCCAGCATTCCTTTATGGTTAAAACTCTCAGCAAAATCAACATTCAAGGACACACTTGAATGTAATAAACCCCATCTATAACAAACCAACAGCTAATATAATGCTGAATGGGGAAAAGTTGAAAGCATTTCCCCTGAGAACTAGAATAAGACAAGGATGCCCGCTCTCACCACTTCTGTTCAACATAGTACTGGAAGTCAGCCAGAGTAATCAGACAAGAGAAAGAAATAAAGGGCATCCAGATCGGCAAAAATAAGTCAAACTTTTGCTGTTTGCTGATGATATGATTGTTTACTTAGAAAACCCTAAAGACTCCTCCAAAAAGCTATGAGAACTGATAACTGAATTCATCAAACAAATTTGTACACAACTCAGTAGCTCTGCTATACACCAACAGCAACCAAGCTGAGAATCAAATTAACAGCTCAACTCCCTTTTTACAATAGCTGCAAAAAATAAAATACCTAACAATATACATAACCAAGGAGGTGAGAGATCTGTACAGAAAAACTATGGAACACTGCTTAAAGAAATCGTAGATGACACAAACAGATGGAAACTTACCCCATGATGATGGATGGGTAGAATCAATATTGTGAAAATGACCATACTCACAAAAGCAATCTACAAATTCAATGCAATCCCCATCAAAATACCACCATCATTCTTCACAGAATTAGAAAAAGCAATTCTAAAATTCATATGGAAGCAAAAATGAGCCTGCATAGCCAAAACAAGACTAAGCAAAAAGGATAAATCTGGAGGCATCCCATTATCTGCTTTTAAACTACCCTGTAAGGTCATAGTCACCAAAACAGCATGGTAGTGATATACAAATAGACACATAGACCAATGGAACAGAATAGAGAACCCAGAAGTAAACCCAAATACTCACAGCCAACTGATCTTCAACAAAGCAAACAAAAACAAAAAGTGCAGAAAGGACATTCTATTCAACAAATGATGCTGGGATAATTGGCTAGCCACATGTAGGAGAATAAAACTGGATCCTCATCTCTTATCTTATACAAAAATCAACTCAAGATGGATTAAGGACTTAAATCAGAGACCTGAAACTTTAAACGTTCTGTAAGATAACATTGGAAAAACCTTTCTAGACATTGTCTTAGGAAAGGATTTAATGGCCAAGAACCTAAAAGCAAATGCAATAAAAACAAACATAAATAGCTAAAACTTAATTAAACTAAAGAGCTTTTGTGGGGCAAAAGTAACAGCAGAGTAAACAGGCAACTTACAGAGTAGGAGAAAATCTTCACTATCTATACGTCTGACAAAGGACAGTATCCAGGATCTAAAACAAACTCAAATCAGCAAGAATAAAACAATCCCATCTATAAGTGGGCTAAGGACATGAATAGACAACTCTCAAAAGAAGACATACAAATGGCCAACGAACATATGAAAAAATACTCAACATCACTAATGATCAGGGAAATGCAAATCAGAACTACAAGTGATACTGCCTAACTCATGCAAGAATGGCCATAATCAAAAAATTAAAAAATAATAGATGTTGGCATGGATGCAGTGAAAAGGGAACACTTCTACACTGCTGGTGGGAATGTAAACTAATACAACCACTATGGAAAACAGAGTGGAGATTCCTTAAAGAATTAAAAGTAGAAGTACCATATGATCCAACAATCCCACCACTGGGTATCTACCCAGAAGAAAAGAAGTCATTCTACGATAAAGATACTTACTTACACATGTATGTTTATAGCAGCACCATTTGCAATTGCAAAAACGTGGAACCAACCCAAATGCCTATCAATCAATGAGTGGACAAAGAACCTGTGAGATAGATAGATAGATGTATATATATATATATATATATATATATAATCAGATGTGTATATATCTATGTATCAGATGTGTATATATATATCAGTAGCATCAGAACCTGTGGTATATATGATGGAATACCACTCAGCCATAAAAAGGAATGAATTAGTCCCATTCACAGTGACCTGGATGAGATTAGAGACTATTATTCTAAGTGAAGTAACTCAGGAATGGAAAACCAAACGTCGTATGTTCTCACCCCTAAGTGGAGCTAAGCTATGAGGATGCAAAGGCATAAGAATTACACAATGGCCTTTGGGGACTCAGGGGGAAAGGATTGGAAGGGGGTGAGGGGTAAAAAACTACAAATAGGGTGCAGTGTGTACTGCTTGGGTGACAGGTGCACCAAAATCTCACAAATCACCACTAAAGAACTTACTCGTGTAACAAAACACCACCTGTTCCCCAATAACCTATGGAAATTAAAAAAAAAATAAAAAAATAGAATAGGGCTTCTAGTGCTACTTCCTAGATCCCAAGGAAACCCTTTTCATGCTTTGAAAACCTCGCAGTCATCTTTGGCTTTTATAGACATGGTACATATTGAGAGAAAGCACCCATAGAAATCAGTGAGCTCAGTATTTTCTATACATTACAAGGTAATAATTTGAGACTGTAGTTTGTCTTCATTCTTTAAAACATAAAGAGAAACTGGATGAAAAGGGAAACTTGCTCACAAGGCCTTAGAATACAGAGACAACTGTTTTGTTGTTTATGGTTCATAGTTTTTATATTTGTACATTAAAAATACTTCCATATTAACATTGTTATTTATATGAGACTATGTATATAAGTTGGAGGTAATGACTTAGCATTTGAAATATATAATAAGGAATTCACACTGTAGAAGAAACGTAACTACATAAACACTTCAAAAAATTGTAACCAAAATCAATGCCAAGAGATCATAATCAAAATTTTGTTGGTAAAATAAATGGTGCTCAGGTTATATGGTTGGCTACCACTCCTGCATGAACAAGGTATAAGTATCACACATGCTCTGTACCCCATTGAGACCTACCCTCAAATTCTACAATTCCTTTTGGCACTGCCTTTACATATTTCGTGGAAAACTCTAGCATGCTCTCTATCAATATGGTTGACTTTTCCTGACATCAAAGTATCTTTGTTTCCACCTTCACGTGTAAGATTCAAAACATTATATAATATCCCTTTTGCTAAAAGTCTCTTCTAGCATACTTCATACTGAAAGTTTTATGTTTCTGGGACTTGCTTTTTCACATTTTTGTTTCACTGCTAACTATTGAGAATCTAGTAACTTTTCCTTAACATTTTATGTCCTCTTATTTGCTGGTGAAAGCAAATATCTCATAACGAAAAAGTAGTTGATATTTCTTTCTCCTTTATAACTAAAAATAAGCAGATCCCTTTTGGTACCACAAAATCAGTTTTCATAAAATAGTGAAGTGATGATGTCATGAATATATTAGTCTTACTCCCCCTATTCACTATGGAGACTGTGTAAACATGATTCATAAACCCCCTTTTCTGGTTATCGTTAAAAATCATCTTTGGAAATATTTGTAAAAAAGAAGTCTGTGAAGACCAACCACCATTTACACATTTTGGACATTTTATTTGTAAAAAGTTGTCTGTGAGGAAACATGTGAAGATTCCAACATTGTTGCTATGTCCTGCAAAATATAACCAATAACCTCAAAATGTCTGATTGGTACTTTAATAAATTATTGTTCTAAAATATTTAAATCACATATTTATATCCTGAAACATATAGATAACCATGAAGTTCTTTTTTAAAGCAAAAAGAAGTTCTTTGTAATTTCTTTCTTTTCTATTTATTCAAGAAGATATAATAAATTCTACTCAAATTATTTATTTGAAGAGAGCTTGAGAATCTTTTTCTCATTTAACTAAATGAAGTAAACCTATTCAAAGACCTTGCTGCAGTATCTAAGTATAGAGAATGAAGATTTCCCTAATCATACAAAAATAAGTTTTATGACTATGTGTTTGGCAGAACTTAGTCTGAATTCTGTTTTTAATGACGCATACTGTCTGACAGGATACAGGAGGGTCATGTGGCTAGGGTGATCATGTATTTACCTGTGACAATTCTGGCTTATATTTTTGTTCCAGCATGATTATTAAAAGGACTCCCTTTCACTCCCAGAAATGTCTCCCTCTTCAGATCATAACTTATATGGTATATGTATAGTCCCTACAATTGCCACACTTATAATCTCCTGAGACTTCCCAATACTTAATGAACAATTGACAACTGTTGAATAGCGAAATTGATTTATATCTGTTCACAACAATAGTAGTCAGACCTTTGAGCAATATCAGAACAAAACAAGTTCATTCCTACATTTTAGTGTAGCTTTCAGTTCACCTTGAGCATCTTTGGGCAAGGGTCATACCTCAAGTTGAAAAAGTTTTGGTCTTTAATTTCTATTGGAAATAGTGTATTATCTTGTGAAGATTAATTCCTTTAGCATGACACAGTGTCTGTCTAATCTCACACTCTACACTATCTATAAAAGTAATTTTCCTAAAAGGAAAATCCTATGTCACTGCCTTGCTTAATAATTCCTCGTTGTTTTACCATCACCTTCAGAATTAAGTCTCAGCTGCTGCACATCAACATTTAAATCATTAAATCATTTAAATCTCTAAGCTTATTTTTCCCTCTTGACTTTCATATTCAAATAGCCAAGTGTCTATTCAATATCCTATTTGGATTCATTCCACAGACACCTCATTTGCAGAATGTGGAAAACTGATCTATCATCTTTTTCTGTAAACCTGTTCTTCCATCTGTGTTATTTTATGTTGGCACCACTATTCATTCATATTCAAATATCTGGTTGTTTTCCTTCATTATTGTTTCCAAGGATAATCCTACTATAACAGCAAACTCCAAAGTGTATCATCACTCAGACATGAAAGAAAGAAGTTGGTTTCCTACTCAATACAAAGTCTTGAATGATGGTCTGGATAGTCAGAATTATCTATTCCAAGAGGGGATTAAGAAAAATCAGTCACTGTCCATCTCAGAGTTTCATTATCTTCAAATACCAAGGGAGAAAAATGTATGAAGGATCAGGAATGGGGGTAGTTTACAGGCCAGGCCCAGAAAAGATATATCACCTCCTCATGTTCCGTTTAGTAAGATGGCTCCACCAAAGCCATATAGTGCTGCTGAGTGCCCAGGAAGAAGAGAAAATAGATTTAATGAGGAGATGGATAATAGTTTTTGCCATATTTCTCCACGATCCTTAACTGCTCATTACAACTTTTCACTGACTTCATTTTATGTTCTAAATATTAGTTCTGGCTCTCTAGTCTTAACACTACTACCCATGATCATCTCTCTTCTGTACTGAAGCAATAGTCTTCTAAATCAACACTTCAATCTAGATTCTATTCTGACTGATCCTCTCCAGAAAGCTTTCCCTGAACCCTCTGACCCAGCTAAATGTACCCCTTTCTCTCTCCAAAGCACCGTATGCATTTTAGTTTATTATGTTGCTTTTCTATTATTTATTACATCTTAATATATTTTATAATATTTAAAATACTGCTTCTGTCCTCTTACTGCACTGTGAAATCTTCAAAGAGATGAATTTTTTTATTTCAGTTTTTTAATGCCTTATAGAATTTCTGCATTGATAATATATAGAGCTAATTTTAATGGAGAAGAAATTGGTTTCTCTGCTGAGAATGTTATTCCTGTCGGGGTGCAAAAAGGAGTTTCCTAAAATAGGTGGTTTCTGGATGTTAACTCACATTCTGAGTAGACTCTTTAGTTCTTGTCTTTTGTCTCTTATCTCCAGTCTAACTGGTCTTATTCCTTTTTCAAGCACTTCCTAACTTTTTTCCTTTCCTATTAGCTGAGGAATCTTTTCTAGTCTCCAATAAAGGAACTTTATTTTTCTCATGATATTTTTGTCAATTGTCTTTGTTTGAGTTATTTCCAGGCCCTTAATCTTGAACTATATGATGTCTACCATTTAAAAAAAAAATTTCAGCATGAGTATATAGTCCTGAGGTATGTGTTATTTGCTTTAAGTTAGGTGCTAAGAACATTTAGTTGGGGTAATTAGAATATGCACTCTAGGGATAAACAACTAATCTTTTTTTTTTTTTTTTGAGACGGAGTCTCGCTCTGTCATCAGGCTGGAGTGCAGTGGCGCTATCTTGGCTGACTGCAACCTCTGCCTCCTGGATTCAAGCCATTCTCCTGCCTCAGTCTCCCGAGTAGCTGGGACTATAGGCACATGTCACCATGCCCAGCTAATTTTTGTATTTTTAGTAGAGATGGGGTTTCACCATGTTGGCCAGGATGGTCTCGAGCTCTTGACCTCGTGATCTGCCCGCCTCAGCCTCCCAAAGTGCTGGGATTACAGGTGTGAGCCACTGCGCTCGGCCATCAACTAATCTTTCATCAAACCCAGGGATGATATTTTAAGTACTTCAATGATCTTTATCTCCCATCAACAATAGAGGTACGGTAATTTCTAAACTGAAGGTTAGAAATAGATCCCCACTAGTAAAAGAAACAACTTATTAATTAGCATAATGGAAATCAGAAATGAGCTTTTATTGGTGAAATTAGTGGGTCGGCTACAGTATTATATGGAAGATTCTTTCATTGAATAAGAAGACTATAAAAACTGTCATCTGTCCTGAAGCCTCAATAGTGCTTCTCTAGGATGAATGGTCCCATAATTGTGCTTCTAGCTGGGACGTTTCTTGATCCCCTTCTTACAGTTGACTACACCTGAAGGTGGAATATGGCCACATTTGCTTCAGTAAATCACTCTTGTGAAGTATTTTGGGGATACACAGAGTGACAGGAAGCTGAAACATCAAGGTTCAATGTATGACTTGTGTGTTTGTGCCAGGTTACCAATAAATGTTGGCATATGTGACAGGACTTGACTGAGAATTTCTTTCTCTCTTTTTTTTTTTTAAGAGGGAACAGCCAATTCTCTACTATCTCTAGTGGCAGCCCCCTGAATTTCAGGTGTGTATGTCCAAATTGGGGTAGACCAGTCCACTACACTAGACTTTTGAAATTCTAATCCAAAGAATCAATTCCCTTTATTCTTCTCTGTCAAGCGTTACTCAAGGCAATTAATGAGAGTTTCTAGATCCTTGAATGGCAAAGACCCAGAGAACATAGGGAAATATGCTAAATGCAAACTATTGCTTAATAATTTTAAAATATTACCCCAATATAAATATTTGCTGATTTAAATCTTATAAAGGCAACCCTCTATATTATTTATTTCTCAGGTAAAAAATTTTTAAGTCTTTTTATAAGAATAAATTAAAAGATATCACCTTATTCCAATTCTCAATCTCCCAAATATATATATTTTTTTCTTTTTGAGAGAGGGTCTTTCTCTGTTACCCAAGCTGGAGTGCAGCAGTACAATCACAGCTCACTGCAGCCTTGACTTCTTTCCCAGGCTGAAGCCATCCTGCCACCTCAGACTGCCAAGTAACTGGGTATACAGGCACATACCACCATGCCTGGGTAAATTTTTATTTTTTGTAGAGATGGGGTCTTGTCATGTTGCCCAGGCTGGTCTTGAACTCCTGGGCTCAAGTGTTCTTCCCACTTTAGCCTCCCAAAGTGTTAAGATTACAAGCATGAGACACTGCACCAGCCTCAAATTCTTACACTTAATGCTCAGATGTTTAAACCCCTCTAAGCAGTACCTGTAAAATCAGGAAATATTATTTCTGAGGGACTCATTAATTTACATCCTCAACATTCTGAGAAACATGTGTCTGTTCTCAGACCAATGGCTCAGGTTATGCATTGCAAGCAGTATATTAATTGTTGCTTCATAATTGGCCTCTTTTACACATTCACATTGTCTACTTGGCCCTTATACACATTGAATTAGAATACTTGCTCTGGAAGTTACTAGGCTATTTTAAAATATTGTAATAATTTACTTGTAAATTGTTATTTGTCTTTAAAATAACTATGCACTAAATTTAGGGTGAGGATGAGATTAGAAAACCACTGCTTTTAGGTACGTCTATATCTATTGTGGGATATTTAAAAAATATCCTACTCAGAACTAAGGGAATTCTCACACACTGAACTTCCCAACTGGGAATCCCATACACCCTCCCATGCAGCACAATCTTTTTTGTTTTTTTGTTTTTAATTTTTTTCCTCATCATAGTTTTATCCTGTATACAATATTCTTGTGTGTAGTATTGGCAATTCTTCCTAATTTAAAAGAAGGTCATGGTTTGTGTTATTCCCTTTAAAACAATGTACAAACTGAGCAACCTCCTGCTGCTGTTGGCATCGATTTAGATTTTTCTTGCTTATTTCCGCTTCATCTGCCCACAATGCACGAGGGATGAGAAAAGATTCAATTTCCTCATCTGTAAAATGAGGGTGATCGTATTAGATGATCTCTAAGGTCCCTTCAACCTCTAAAATTTTATGACTCTAATAATGTAAGTTTAAACCCCATTAGTAAGAGTAATGGCTTTTCTTAGCCTAATCTGTGGCACAGTTTTCTTAAATGGCCCACTTTGCCTCAAAACATTCCAAGAAACTGCTTTTTTTTTCTTTCCCAAATTTACTTATAGCATGTTACTCTAACTTTCCAATGCTGAAATTTCATTGTTCTTTAAAATATGGAAAATGTTATTTATATGTGTAGCTGACTTTCCCTCCTAGAGAGGGGCATCATTTTCAGCTCACCTTTTGTCCATGTAGTGTATTGTCTTTTCCGTTGTAAATGTTTAACAAAGTCTGTTGAATGAATGAACACATAACTTTTGTACAGTCACACCTACGTAACATTTAAGTCAATGATGGACCCTATATATGTCAGCGGCCTCATAAGATTATGACCCAATATTTTTATTGTACCTTTTCTATGTTTAGATACATAAATACTTACTACTGTTTTAAAATTGCCTACAGTATTCAGTACAGTAACATGCTGTACAGGTTTGTAGCCTAGGAGCAATAGGCTATACTATACAGGCTAAATGTGTAGTAGGCTATATCATTTGTGTTTGTATAAATACATTTTTTGATGTTTACACAACCACAAAATCAGCTAAAGATGCTTATTTCAGAACGTATTCCTGTCACTACATGACATATGACTGTATCTCACATTATAATTTATAAAGTACTCTCATTGTCCATTATCTATATCACAGAATTATGAAATGTTAAATTTGAAGGGATATTAGAGATATCGCTAATCTAGTGGTTGCCAGTTGGGGTGATTTTATCCCCCAGTGGCATTTGACAAAGTCTGGATACATTTTTAAATTGTCCTAACTTAGGAGTGGGTGCTGCTAGCATCTAGTGGGTGGAGGCTAAATATCCTATGCAATTCACAGCATAGTCCCTACAACAAAGAAGACTTCTGTGCTCACTTGGATGGAGAAGGCTTGGGAAGAAGCCATATAGCAATCTTCCCAGAGAACAGCAGCAGCTGGTAGTTGAAGAACAATGGAAAGTGACCATCACCCAGTGAGTTATTTAATGGCTACTTCTATATAGCAGGCAATATGTGCTAAAACCAAGCCTGCCTACTCAGTTTTCCCAGGACTATATAGATCCTGAAGTTCTCGAATACCCCCAATAATGAGTAACAGTGAACTTTCACTAACATTAGTAAGTGATAATCAGGATCTTTAGAAAAAGTAAAATAATGTGACATTCTTCTCCTGCTATCATGAATCACTTTGGACCTAATGTATTCCCAAATACAGAGCTGATATGACATTGACTAACACTTTTCAAAATTTTCAGTTTTCTCAATTATAAAATATCTCCGCATCCTTTGCAAGATTTGCTGAGAATCAGTTTACTGGACAAAAGCACACCTCCACTGGGATGTCTCAGCAGAGACCTGGTAGACCACAACCTGTAACTACTGTTCCATTCCTGGTGTCAAGGCAACATCTTGTATGGGGATATTCACCTTCAGTAACATAGGTTTTACTCCTTCCTCATTTTAGCCATTCCTGTCTTAAGCCTCTTGGATAAAAGCTTTGGGGAAAAAATCTGCTATGTCTCTCATAGGTACAAGAGAAACCCATTGTTCCATGACATATCCCTAGATAACTTCTTGGGGTAAACAATAGAGAAAGTTTAAGTTAAATATTTTGTTGCGAGCCAAAAAAAAAAAAAAACAAAATATATGTAGCCATGTTTGCTAGATTGTTGGATTTATCTTTTAATAAATCATGGAAGAAATAGGTTGAAAAGAAAATCTTGTCAATTCAGGTGTTTTCCTTGCCATTATGTTGCTTTACATGACCTATAAGCTTAAAATTGTAAACTTTTAAGTGACATACAGCCTGGTGGCATTATCCTTTCCTTACATAAGTAAGAAAAATGCTATTCACATGTGTAGATATGTGCTCTGAGACTGCCAAAGAAAGCTCTACTGCTTCTCATACCACCTAATGACAGGAAAGGAAATACCACCTGAAGAGTGGTAAAGTATATGAAAAATATAAAGAAAAGTTTTGGTGTAGGTAGATAGTAACTCCATGTCATAGATAGGTTGATTCCATGTCTTTGCTATTGTGAATAGTACTACGGTACTAGAGTATCATTCAGAGTTTGCAGTTCACACAATGCCATAAAGTCATTAAAGTTTTTCTAACTTTTAGCAATCACAGTTTTACCTAGCAGTTACCTCAACATCAATGCTAAAGGAAAGCTCAGACATGCATACATTCATGATTCAAGTAAGGTCTTTTAATAAAAACTGTTGATTTATTACTCAGCTTTTGTCTCCTTGCTCACTCTCACCTTCTACCTAGCCTTTACTTTTTTTTTAAGTCAATCTATCCTTATCAGCTCAGTCCAAGTCTCCACTAAGGGAAACCCCATTTTCTTTGCCATAATTCAGGAAGCCAAGCTCATGCCTATCTGAACATAAAATTTTCCTGGCCACCAGATGTTTAGGAATGGGCACATGCTTCTGCATGAGTCAGTAAACTTCAAGGGAATGTTTACTGGAGGATTCTGCCAATGACGATCCCTCACCATTAGGAGAGAATTACTGGAACGAATGGGTTCTCTCTATCTCTGTGTATTGTTGCATATAGCTATCAGGCTCAGATCTGCAAGCCCTCTTACCACTGGTTGAAAAACAGAGGCAATAGGCCAAGTAGAGCAAATCAAGACACTACAGAGAAATAAAATCAGAACACTTATTCAATCTCATCTGATTCCAACCCCATCCCTGAATTTTTTTCAACTATATAAACCTGTAATTTCCCTTTATTTTTAAACTTAGTTTGAGTTGGGTTTCTAACTATTTAAAACTGACATTCAAAGTGAAATGTGGGAACATTTAATTTTTCAATATATTTCCCAACAGTAGTTGAAATAATTTTTTCATTGGTTAGCAGATATATTTTCTGAGACAAATATAACAAGGTTTGTACCTGAGGGAAGCATTGCTGCATGTCAAATCGAAAAAGGCTGGACTTAGGAGCCCACACTGAGGATAGACGCTCTAGCTCTAGAAATTAGGCAGGGAGCAGGCACGCCAACTCTAGATGCACACGGTACTATGCTTTAGAAGAACCCGTGCTTAGTTTAATGTCTTGC
Source organism: Homo sapiens (assembly GCF_000001405.40). Classification (NCBI taxonomy): domain Eukaryota; kingdom Metazoa; phylum Chordata; class Mammalia; order Primates; family Hominidae; genus Homo; species Homo sapiens. Next base: position 183,867,492 of record NC_000002.12, read on the forward strand.
TGTCATCATCCTGAAATTGTTGCCAATTATGTAGTCAACCCTGAAATGGGAGGTAAATTCTGTTTTTCTGAGTGAAGCACATAGATAAGTCTTGAAAATAAGTGGAAACAGGAAGATCTCTGTTTTAAAAGGAGGTGAGCCTAGTTGAGCATGGCAGGTGAATACATCCCTAGAATCACAGCTTGAGGACAGGTGGAAGTTGGCTGATTTAATTGCAGAACTGTCATAGAATCCTTTACATTCTTACCCTTCAGAGACCATACTGGGCTCAGTGACTGAGATTATTGAAAATTAAGAGTTTTCCGTGAAAGCTAGGGGATTCCAAGAAGAAAGAGTCAGGTAAGTTATCAAAGAATCATTAGAATATGTCATCTGACATATTCCATACTGCAGTATGGGTGAAAAACCTGAAAACTAAATCTGTTCCTTAGATTAATATTACCTTGTCAAAGACTCAATTTTTCTAATTAGGTGCTTATATACCTTTTCTTTTTTTAACATGTTTGTATACCCATAGCTTTAAATGGATAACTTTATTTTTAAAGACTTTAGTAGCAAGATTCTTAAAGAGTACACTATTAAGGTTTTTATCCACTAAAAAAAGTTTTCTTAATGGGTGTGTGTAGTGGGCCAAATTGTTGCCTCAAAGATATGTTCATCTATGAATCTCCAGAACCTGTGGATATTTCTTTATATAGCAAAAGAGTGAGTATCATCTTACATGGCAAAATACGTGGTTGAGTTAAGGATCGTGAGAAGAGGAGCTTATTCTGAATTATCCTTCTGGGTAGACCCTAAATGCAATCAATCATATGCATCCTTATGAGAGAGAGGCAGAGGACATCATGACACAAACACACAGAGAAGAAGCTGATATGAGGATAACAGATGTGGCCACAAGCCAAGAAATGACATCAGAAACTGGAAGAGGCAAGTAACAGATTCTCCCCTAAAGTCTACAGAGGAGGCACAGTCCTGCTGAGATCTTGATTTCAGCTATGTAAAATTGATTTTGAACTTCTGGCCTCCAGAACTGTAAGAGAATAAAGTCCTGTTGTTTTGAGCCACCAAATCTGTAGTAATGTTTTATGGCAGCCACAGAATACTAATACAGTATGCTATTAATAATGATGCAAAATGATGAAATTCAACATTTTATTAAGAAAAAGACTGTCGATATGTAGGTATGAGGTGGGCATGACAGATGATTGAAAGGTATTATTAAAAGGCCTATAATTTACAGGAAGCCCAGGCACTATTAAAAGCATTCAAGTTAAAATCTAGAATAAGGCCTTGTTAAAGATAAAAGTACCAGGTTCTCAGTTGAGGGATCCAGTCCAACACCAGAAGCTAAGTATGAGTCACTGACAATGGCCAAGAGCTTATTAGCTGTGGTGAATGTTTTCAGGACAGCTATACAGGAAATTGATAGCTATTAATATTTAATGATTCATTTTATGCTTGGCAGGCTACCTACCCGAGTACAGACAAGTTCACCCACAGAAGAGTTTTGTTGCTCTTGGAAATATTTTTATTGTTGTGTATATGGGCAATGGAATTTTTTAAATCAAACATTTGAGACTGTGACTTCACATAGACATAGCTCATCTGAAATATTTATCATTTAGTATCCATCCTTATAACCTCAAAATAGACATAATTAAATATTTATATTTTACTTTATTCTATCATGAATTTGGGATGGTTAAGATATATAATAAAATTCAATAGTTTTTAACTGAGTATAAAAAGGAGAAACTCATAACTGGGAAAATGTAAGATTTATTTTCAACACTGTGACAGTTTATGTAACATGAATACCCTAGCCATTTAGGTGATTTTTCACACTTTCTTTTGCACCTTATCAAATTGTTCAATTCATTATTATGTTTATTATAAAACTAAATATGTTTCTATTTATATTGCTGAAGTTCTATCAGTCTTCTTAAAAATAAATCAAAAAAGTGAGAAAGATATTTCTGAAATGTCAGGGGAAATAATGTTCATGTAGTTGAATGGGAAATAAGACACCAGATTCAGATAAATATTCACCCGGTAATTTTCTATAAGAAAAAAATTAATTTAGTAAGTATTTATTGAACATCTTAAAAATGTAGGCACCAGAGCTGAAGGAATGAACAAGTTACAACCACTACCCTGAAATTCACAGAGTAGAGGGTGGGTGTGGGAAGGTAGAGATGCTCTCTGCTGCCATTTCTTACCTCACTTCTCTCATACTTCAGCCACACTAGCCCCCTTGCTTTTCCTTGAGAATATCAATTATGTTTCTTCTTCATAGCTTTTGTACTTGCTGATTCCTGTGCCTGGAATGCCCTTTTTCCATTTCTTCATTTCTCCAAGAAGTAGACCCAGAGCCAAGGATTCAAATGCAAGTAATGCCTTAGTAAGAAGGCATTAGGGAAGCCCCCCTCACCACTGGAGCGTGAATGGCATCTGAGAAAAGAGGCTGGGCTTTTGTATCCTCATGCCATTTGGTCACTGGCTTTGGGTTACTAAGGGAAAAGAAGGAATTAGTACATATAATCTCCTAGGTACTTGGCTTTCTATGTCTAAGGGAAATCCTTTAAAAAAGGTCTCTGCTGTGAGCCATATGCAGTAAAGTACTAAGAAGCTGGGATCTGGGCCTTCATCCAACGAAACTACACGTCTGCAGGACCTACTTTCTCACTGTCTCTGATGTCTCCATATCACGTAGAGGACTTCCATTACTACCCTGCTGTAGGGACCTACTCATACCTTCTAGCTGTTCACCTTGCATTATGCTTTCCTCAGATCATGCATTAATTTATATTACTATTTATTTATTTTCTGTGCCTCACCCCACCTATACACTAATATGTATAGTATTAAGTAATTGAAATTTATGGCAAAAACCCGAATTACTTTTGCACTAACCTAATAGTTTAAGCTCCCTAACAGTGGGGACTTTATTTTGTTGACTGTTGTATATTCAGTGCCTAGATCATTCTGGTCAAAAATTATTAAAAAACAATTGTTGGAAGAATAAATAAATGGATTTTGATGGAGAAAACATTCTGAAGGTAGAGTCAATATTGTTAGAAAAAACTTCAACCTTCTTTTGAATTTAAAAAATAAGGTAGAAATAGTAAATAGTATACTTAACTTTAGAGAAAAATAAATGACTCCACAGAATCATAGATAGTCTGTCATGGGTGAAGTGGAGAATTCATTAAATAATTTTTATTCACTTTATCAGCCATCTCATATACTGTGTGTTCATTACATGCCAGACATACTATTATGGTCCTGTATTCAAAGTTGGACTGTCTGCTATGGTATGAATTTTTGTGTTCACCCCTAAATGTATATGTTGAAATCTCATTCCTAGTGGGATAAGGAGGTGCGGTCTTTGGGAGGTGATTAGGTTATGAAAGCAGAGCGCTCATGAATTACATTAGTGCCCTTATAAAACAAGCCCCAAGGAGTTCCTTTGCCCTTTCTACCATGTGCGGATGCAATAAGATGCCACATCTATGACCAGAAAGCAGGCCCTCAGCAGACACTGTACGTGCTGGTGCCTTGACTGTGAACTTCTGCGCTCCAGAAGAGCGAGAAATTTGTGGTTCATAAACTACCCAGCTTATGGTATTTTGTTATAACAGCCCAAATGAAGTAAGATAAAAACTGGGTACTGGTAACTCTGGGTGCTGTTGTAACAAATACCTAAAAATGTGGAAGTAGCTCCAGAGCTGGGTAATGAGTAGAGGCAGGAAGAATTTTTAGATACAGGCTAGAAAAATCCTATATTACCATAAAGGGAACTTTAAAGATGATTTTAGTGAGAGCAACTAAAAGGAAGAAGTAGCCATTTACTAAAGCAAAGAGGGTAAAGTTTCTAGGTAGACCTCAGGAGTTAACTGTTAGACATTTTTTAAATATCTTATTAATTCCCAAAGTTAAAAGAGTCAAGTCTAATTCTTAAACCGTATGTTCAGACTACTAATAATGCAGTTTTGATAGGCAACCCCACATAGGAGCACAGTGTACCTCAAGGACCAATGGGAGAAGGTAATTCCACTCTCAGGTACTCTAAAAACAAGAGGATCTAGTTTTAAGACACAAACCATAGCTTCTAAAGGAAGTATAATGGGAGGATTTGGTCAAGTGTGAGAATGCACTGAGGTGTTCATTATGTTATCTGCATACTTTAAAACATTTTTTGAAATGTTTATTTAAAATAAAGTTCCATAACTTGAGATGCTTTCAGATGTAAACACATGTATGTACTTACATCCATATGCATATAAATACATGTATATACAGATATACCATCTTTTATCTTTTGAAAATTAGTGATAAGCAAACTTTGCTGTAAATGTGCTTTTTAAAATCACATATCATTTAATTTTTTTGTTAATTCTCCATTTCAACATTTTCCTATTATATCTTGGTTAGGTCACTACAAAATGTACTATACATTATCTTTTTTATAATATAAAAACATCATATCTAATATCTAAAGAAATACACGTATAAGTAATAGTCTTCACCCAAGTCTTGCTTTCCTGTGCCAACCATGTCTAATTATCCTAGCTGTTTTCATCTTATAGTTCTCAAAATATTTCTGCATACTAGGATTCTAGTGCTCTTCTTAATTAATTTGGTTGTTTAGCTAAATATAATAATTTAAATTATGTAATTCTCCTACTTTCCCTCCCTCTCACTACCAATATATTTCCACCAGTTTTAGATTCTCATTTAATCTCTCTATCCAAGCACTATCTAAGCACTTTTATTTCATGTGTCACTATCTCAGGACAGGATCTCTGACAGTGCATTTTGCAGGAAGAGGCCACTATCATGATTATCTTCTGTAAGCACAAACACATATTAAAAATAAGAGGCTTAATTTTCCCCATTTAAAACAAGGAAGGATATTTCATGCCCTTCTGTTTACTAAGAGCATTTACTTTGGAAAACTTGTAATTATTTCTCCTCTCTTGGATATGTATAAACTTCCTTTTGAGGATAGTAGTTTTTCATCTTATGACTTAAGGATGTCTTTTGTGAAATGTTATCATAAAGGAAGATAGTGTCCCTATCTCACAGCTTCTGTGAGAGTGCTGGAGCCTAGCTTTCGTGGGTCTCTTGCTCCCAGTTTCAAAATTACCTCCTGCCATAGAGATATAAGATAGGATGCATTGTGTGTGACAAATGGTACTCTTAAGTCCTCTTACTTGAGGACTAGTTATTATTTATCTTGAAAGCTTGTGTGTAATGGAGTATATCTGCTTGGCTATACACACGGATGAAACTCTTTTCTGTCTCTGCAAATATCTGTTAGCAGATTTCCTATGATGCACATTGCATTCTGCTTCAGTGTTTATTCAATAATAAAAGTGGTTTCTTTCTTCACTATCTTTGTGGAGCGATTTCTGAGTTGGAATAAGAATTTGCTTTTCATTATATTTCCAAAATTTCCTACTGAGGTTTCCTTCCTCCTTCTACATAATTTTTGTCATTTATGAGCTTATCTCTGTACTGTGAAGGTTGACAACATTACCTTATCTTGATAATCATAATTAAGTCCTTTGTGTTTTGTATATTGGTTGAGTACTTTAGTCAGATCTTTAAACCGTGTCTTCATTATTGTGATTGTATAAATAATGTTCACAGAAAAGCACAGCTCACTGATTTTTCTTTGTGTTAAAAAAAATACTTACCTGGGATTAGTAGTTGCTATTTCCATTCTCCCTCACCTGCCATTTACTTTATTCATTCCCTTAGTTTTTCAAAGTCTACATTCAGTCCACTTTTCTGTCACCTTTTTCCTCTGTCTTCCCTTTAAGAGCCCCACATCCTTCTGTTCCAATTTGGGCTGCCAGCTCCATAGACCTGGTGCATGGCCATCAGCCTGGATCATGTCTTTTTTGTTCCACTCCATTCTCTCCTGTATCTCCCTCTTTTTGGTTTTCATGCTCATTTTTGCTGGGTTACACCTTTAGAAATGTTCTAAGTAAGCATGTCTGAAAGGTAAATCTCTTGAGTCCTTCATGTCTGAAAATATACTTATTCTAACCCAGCATTTACCCTATTTTTTGATTGTACGATTCTGAACTAAATTTTTTTTCCTTAGATCTCTGAAAGTATTGCCCCATCATATTGTATCCAATGTTTCTGCCTGGATGGATATTCTCCTTTGTAGTTAATTTTTTAAAAATTATTTTTGAAAGGTTTTACGATCTTTTAATAATCCTTTGGGTTCTGAACTTTTCCTACTGATTGACTAGAAGTGGTCATATTTTTTCCATTTGTTTGCTAGATTTAATAAGGACTCTTATTTTGGAGACAAATGCTTCGGCTTTGAAATATGTTGTGTGTACATATGTATGTGTGTGTTTGACAATTTCCTCTACTCAGTGTACTCATCTCTTTTCAGAACTCATATTACATATCATGTTATTGGATCTCCTAGATTGATCATTTATCATCAGTTTCCCTAATTTTGATGGTTTGTATGTATGTATATATGCTTTCTAAAATATTTTTGACTTACTTTTCCAACTCTTGTGTAGAATTTTTATTTTGGAAAATGCACTTTTATTAAGAGCTCAGTTTTAGTCACCAAGTTTTCTTTTTTATAGCATCCTTTTCTTTATGGATTTTCTCAATGATCTCTGAGGATACTAGAGTTTATGAAGTTCTGTTTTCTCCTGATATTACCTCAATTTCTATTCATTTTTTCTTTCTCTTTCATTTTGGAGAATTTTATGATAGTCTGATGTCCATTCACTTTTAAGATTAAGTCATTAACAAGTTGTTCAGTGTTTCTGGGTACAAAGAAGAGATTTAAAAATGTCAGGCTTCACTTTAGATTGTAGAGTAAAAACCAGCTATTGAAATAGCTACATCTCAATGTTGGAGTAGAATCTTTGCTCTGTAGTCCCTCAGTTCCCCTAGAGAAGAGATAGGTCTACCATGGGTTTCAGGTGTATGATACTCAACATTATGAATGGGGATAGAGGTGGGAGTATAAGTGAGGGAGGTAATTTTTCAATATAGAAATTTATTTAACAACATTGTTTTTAAATTCCATATATATACCTTCTGGTTTGCATGACATTTATAAATTGCAAGCCTTTCCTGGGACTGATTCAATCCATATCTCAGTTGTCTTCTCCCTGTACTCTAGTTTGTGGCATTCTCTATTCTGCCCCAATTACCTCTCCCCCATCTGCTTTCTCTTTTCTAAATATATACTGCTATATCTTATCAGACAAGGAATAGTCAGTCACCAGCTCTTTCCATTGTTGCAGATTTAGATCAGTTTTATTTCTTTAGTTTCACTGCCATAGTTTCATAAGAAAATAATATAATGTATGTAATCAGTATCCCATTGTAAACCTAAAGTCATCCTAATTTCTTCTTTATAGTTTCAACAAAAATAAAGTTAGCAATTAAAATCATCTGTCTCTTCAACAAGAAGATATTTCATACTTTAAAAACAAACAGATAACAATAAAAATACTTGCTCTAAGAAAAACATTGTATCTAATAAACAGAACTAAGGTTTTGGCTGATGTCTCAAGAGATTTTTAGGGACTTCACAAATATACTCCCTTGGTACTTACTAATGCAGAATAAATGTAGTTTTCTTGTGTTTCACATTTATAATTATTCTCTCCCTCCTAAAAAACAATACTTGTTTGTTTCTTAGGCCACTTTTCCCTTGAGTTACTTCAGGGCTAGGGTCATGTAATTCATTTTTATATCACCAATGTTTATCACACATTATAATTTTATGGAGACATTGAGTAAATACTTGTGTTTCACTTGTCCATTTCATGACATTTGCTTAGTGGAATGGGATCATAGGAAAAAATATCATAATCTTTCACCATCATGGTGCCTCCCCTCTCATTTGAAAGGCATACTGACTTAGTAAATTTAATTACAAGTTCTTATAATGGAAAATAATTCTGTCACGTTTGATACACAAAATATGAAAACATCAAATCCTCCTCATTTACACCATATACCTCTGGATGTTTATCACTAAATGTACCATAATGCTTTTCTCATGTTGATTAGATAGGATATCTGCAAAATCTGGTATTTCTAGGCAAATCCAATTAATTGTACTGGTTCTTAGTGTGTCATCAGAGCTATCAGGTTATTCACCACATCAACTCCAACAGAAAAATGCTCATTTATCTTACTGTGTGTAGGAAGAGAGAGATTAATAGCTATTGCATGGTAAAATAATGAAGATAAAGGCACTTTTAGAAGGATAGTGATATAAAAATGAATGACATGACCCTAGCCCCGAAGTAACTCAAGAGATAAGTGGCCTAAGAAATGAAGAAGTATTGTTTTTCAAGAGGGAGAGAATAATTATAAGTGTGAAATGCAAGAAAACTACATTTATTCTGCAGTAGTAAGTACCGAGAGAGTATATTTGTGAAGTCCTTAAAAATCTATGGAGACATCAGCCAAAACTTTAGCTCTGTTTATTAGATACAATGTTCTTGGAGCAAGTTTTTTTTATTGTTGTTATCTGTTTGTTTTTAAAGTATGAAATATCTCCTTGTTGAAGAGACAGGTGATTTTAATTGCTAACTTTATTTTTGTTGAAACTATAAAGAAGAAATTTTTAGGTTCAGTAGACTGAGTTTAGAGCTATAGAAGAGAGAACATATACATTAAACAATGAGTTCTCACAGCACAATAGAGGGACTGTGATTATGAAAACAGTTGGAAGTGTAGGCCACAAACAGGAAGCAGTACATCTGTCCTCAAACTCTGGAGGACAAGGACCAGAGAATTTTGCTAAAATTAGGCAGTTATTTGGAGGGAGTAAGAAGTTTGAAAATTCATACCTGGAAGACTACACTTTGGAGATGTAATCCAGTAAGCAGAAGAACATTAGAAAAATAGTTCAAATCAGAACTTTGGTGCTTCACCTACATTTGAGAGTTGTTGAGTCATATGTAAGCAACAACCAAGTAGAAGGAGCAGCTAGGGAATGAGTTGTCTTCTAGTGCAACCAGTAAGTTTGATTTCAGATTAGACATTCTACCTACTGGAGGAGGACAGTCAATATGAGAACATGATTTACCACTGGCTTATCAGAATAACTGACCTGAGTTCTTGGTTTGATGATTGGCAGCATTTTGGAAATAGGCTATGGAAAATCATCAATTAAATATGGTTGAAATGACACAATTATGTAATGAGAACAAAATGCTTTTCTTTGTGTGAATATTTGGCATAATACAAATACAGCATAAGTCAGTGATACCCAAGGCTATGGCATTCATGCCTGCAGCTGAAAACAGAGGACACTCTTTATTCGTTTGTTTTATAAGGACTCACCCTGTTTTCATGCAATTGTATGTACATATAACACTCAGTGTATATAATTTTATCTTTGATTCGAATTATTGGTCTGATTCTTTTCTGATTGCTACTAGAGAACTTTAAAATTTCTAAATTTTTGCTTAAAAATTTAAATCTCTGTTTAAAGGGAGACATTATGCTTTGAATTTTAATGGAACTTATAGCTCTGCTTTTAGATAAAATCCATTTATTAATTAGGATGAAATAACCTAATGACAACAAAATGATAACTTGAGAGATAATCTTTTTACTTTACCTTACTAAAACAGAGCACATCACTATCAGTGATCTTCCTGTCAATCTAGCTGAAGGCCTATCTATCTTGGAATCCAGGCTTTATCCCTGATTTTATTGACTAACTCACTTTTTTAAAAAATTAAATTAATTTTTAAAATTTTTATTTTATATTTCCATAGGTTTTTGGGAACAGGTGGTGTCTGGTTATGTGAATAAGTTCTTTAGTGGTGAGTTTTGAGATTTTGGTGTACCCATCACCCAAACAGTATACACTCTACCTGATTTGTAGTCTTTTATCCCTCGCCACCCTCCTACCCTTTCCCCGCAAGTCCCCAAAGTCCATTGCATCATTCTTATGCCTTTGCATCCTCAGAGCTTAGCTTCCACTTATGAGTGAGAACATATGGTGTTTGGTTTTCCATTCCTGAATTACTTCATTTGAATAATGGTCTCTAATACCATTTGGGTTGCTGTGAATGCCTTTATTTAGTTCCTTTTTATGGCTGAGTAGTATTTCATGGTGTGTGTGTGTGTGTGTGTGTGTGTGTGTGTGTGTGTGCATATCACAATTTCTTTATCCATTCATTGATTGATGGGCATTTGGGCTGGTTCGATATTTTTGCAACTGCAAATCGTGCTGCTGTAAACATGCCTGTGGAAGTATCTTTTTTTGTATGACTTCTTATCCTCTGGGTAGATACCCAGTAATGGGATTACTGGATCAAATAGTAGTTCTACTTTTAGTTCTTTAAGGAATCTCCACACTGTTTTTCCTAGTGGTTGTACTAGTTTACATTATCACCAGCAGTGTAAAAGTGTTCCCTTTTCACCACATCTACACCTACATCTATTATTTTTTGATTTTGTAATTATGGATATTCTTTCAGGAGTAAGGTGGTATCTCATTCTGGTTTTGACTTGCATTTCCCTGATCATTAGTGATGCTGAATGTTTTTCATATGTTTGTTGGCCATTTGTATATCTTCTTTTGAGACTTGTCTATTCATGTCCCTAGCCCACTTTTTGATGAGACTGTTTGTAATTTCTTGCTAATTTGTTTGAGTTCCTTGTAGATTCCGGATATTAGTCCTTTGTCAGATGTATAGATTTCAAAGACTTTTTCCAACCCTATGGGTTGTCTGCTTACTCTGCTGATTGTTTCTTTTGCTGTGCAGAAGCTTTTTAGTTTAATTAAATCCTATCTATGTGTCTTTGTTAATGTTGAATTTGCTTTGGGGTTCTTGGTCAAAATTCTCTGCCTAAGCCAATGTCTAGAAGAGTTTTTCCAATGTTTTCTTCTAGAATTTTCATGGTTTCAGATCTTAGATTTAAATCCTTGATCCATCTTGAGTTGATTTTTGTATAAGGTGAGAGATGACGATCCAATTTTATACTTCCACATGTGACTTGCCAATTATCTTGACACTATTTGTTGAATAGGATGTCCTTTTCCCACTTTCTATTTTTGTTCACCTTGTCAAAGATCAGTTGACTATAAGTATTTGGCTTATTTCTGGGTTCTCTATTCCGTCCTGTTGGTCTATGTGCCCATTTTCATACCAGTATCATGCTGTTTTGGTGACTATGGCCTTATAGTATAGTTTGATGTCAGGTAATGTGATGCCTCCAGATTTGTTATTTTTGCTTAGTCTTGTTTTGGCTAGGCAGGCTCTTTTTTGGTTCCATATGAATTTTATGATTGCTTTTTCTAGTTCTGTAAGAATGATGGTGGTATTTTGGTGGGAATTGCATTGAATTCGTAGATTGCTTTTGGCAGTATTGTCATTTTCACAATACTGATTCTATCCATCCATGAGCATGGGATATGTTTCCACTTGTTTGTGTCATCTATGATTTCTTTCAGCAGTGTTTTGTAGTTTTCCTTGTAGAGCTCTTGCACCTTCTTGGTAATGTATATTCCTAAGTATTTTATGATTTTTTTTGCAGCTATTGTAAAAGGGGTTGCGTTCTTGATTTGATTCTCAGCTTGGTCACTGTTGGTGTATAGGAGAACCACTGATTTGTGTATGTTAATTTTGTATCCTGAAACTTTCCTGAATTCATTTATCAGTTATCAGAGGTTTTAGGGGAGTCTTTACTGGTTTTTTAAGTATTCAATCATATTATTAGCAAATAGTGACGGTTTGACTTCCTCTTTACCAATTTGGGTGCTCTTTATTTTTTTTCTCTTGTCTGATTGCTCTGGCTAGGAATTCTAGTACTATGTTGAGTAGAAGTGGGGAGAGTGGCAACCTTGTCTTGTTCCAGTTCTCAGGGGAAACGATTTCAACCTTTCCCCATTCTGTATTATGTTGGCTGTGGTTTTGTCATAGATGGCTTTTATTACATTAAGGTATATCCTTTGTATGTCAATTTTGCTGAGGGTTTTAATCATAAAGGGATGTTGGATTTTGACAAATGCTTTTTCTGTGACTATTGAGATGATCATAAAAGGAGCCCTCAAAACCGTGGAAATTAAATAACATGCTCCTGAATTATTGTTGGTTCCACAATGAAATCAAGCTGGAAATAAAAAAAAATTATTTGAGCTGAACGATAATAGAGACACAACCCATCCAAACCTCTGGGATACAGCAAAGGTAGTGCTAAGGGGAAAGTTCAGAGCATTGAATACCTACATCAGAAAGTCTGAAAGAGCACAAAGAGACAATCTAAGGTCACACCTCAAGAAAATAGAGAAACAAGAACAAACTAAACCCAACCCCAGCAGAAGAAAAGAAATATCAAAGATCAGAGCTGAACTAAATAAAATTGAAAAAAAAAAAACTACAAAAGATATATGAAACAAAACCTGGTTCTTTGAAAATATAAATAAAATTGATAGATGATTAGCGAGTTTAACCAAGAAAAGAAGAGAGAAGATCCAAATAAGCTCAATTAGAACTGAAATGGGAGATATTACAACAAATAACACAGAAATACAAAAGATCACTCAAAGCTACTGTGAACACCTTTATGCACATAAACTAGAAAACCTAGAGGAGATGTATAAACTCCTGGAAATATACAAACCTCTTAGATTAAATTAAGAAGAATAGAAAATCTGAACAGACCAATAGCAAGCAGCAAGATTAAAATTGTAATAAAAATAATTGCCAGTGAAAGACAAGTCCAGGACCAGATGGATTCACAGCTGCATTTTATCAGACATGCAAATAAGAATTAATGCCAATACTACTGACACTATTCTACAAGATAAAGAGGAAATCCTCCCTAAATCATTCTATGAAGCCAGTACCACCTTCATACCAAAACCAGGAAAGGACATAACAAAAAAAGAAAATTACAGACTAATATCCCTGATGAATATAGATTCAAAAATCCTTAACAAAATACTAGGTAACTGAATCCAACAGCATATCAAAACTATAATCCACCATGATCAACTGGGTTTCATATCAGGCATACAGGCATGTTTTAACATCCACAAGTCAATAAATGTGAGATACCACATAAACAGAATTAAAAACAAAAATCATCTATTAAGTAACCATTGTTCCCTTTACACAATCCACCATCTGTTTGATCTTTTCTTTTTTAATACTTATTAACAAGCATTGTTCAAAAGCATGTCAACAAACACTAAGCTTATTCTTAACAATCACAACTCTGCTCTTTAAATTTTCTCCATGGATCCACCATTTTCCTTGCCTTTAGTATGCTTCTTTTTTCTTTAGTTTGTTATATTTGATTATAGTAACCTAGAAGTTATTTATCTATGGGAATTATAATGCTAAAAAATAGTGCTAATACATAGAAAAAATATAGTCAAATCTGGCTGTATAGATTAACAGGCCATATATTTCTAAAAAAATTAAAATTAGCATCATTTTTATCACGTATTTTGAAGTAGTCTAAAAATCAGTTCTTAGAACCAGAATTCCAAAATTTTCATAAAGATGATATAGTACATATATTTTACTTAATTTCCCTCCTCCAAGTCATCTGAAATAAATGAAAAGACTAAAAAATATGAAACAGAAACATCATTATACCATAGACTGTGAAGAATGTTTATGAATGAAATTTAAACTAAATCACTGAAATTTGGCAAACTTCCACTTCCCACTACCATATATATTTCTCTAAAAGACAGTGAGAGAGGCCTGAAAAACAGTACATATGAGCATGCAAAAAAGAAGAAGAAAAAAGAAAGAAGTGTAAGTGCTGTGGTATAGACAGACCACCAGGAAAAAGACAAATAGCTTGGAGTTGATGTAGGGAGCACAAGAGGCAAAAATGTGAAACAGCCACACAGCCCCTAACCACAATTACCTAAGCAGAAAACTCTTAAAAATCATTAAAAACAAACCATTAAATCAAACCAAAACACCTATAGTGCCTGGGCTCCATGCTGGCCACAAGTGTGTAAGAGCTAAATTTTGAGGTGAAAATCTCTTAGGACTGCATTCTTCTGAAGACCAAGGACTTAAAAAAATGTAGTGACAAATCATGGGAAAATAATAAACCAAAATTGAGGCTCTATGTTTCACTTAGCACACCAGTTCTTTTCCTGACTCTAAGCAACTAAAAGACTCAGAAGTTGTTATAAACCAACAATATTGAGTCCTACAATTCAAATTCTAAATTTCAAAGATACACTTAAGACAGTTTCCAGTCATCAAGTCAATAATTCTCCACCCTTACTTTTTCTGGGAAATATTAGGTCTGGATGAAATTAATTATATGTAAAAATAAAGTATTCAATTCAAATCTATCTTTGAATAATTTTAAGACACTAAAGGAAATGAATACAATAAGCAAAATATAGATCTCTGAAACATAATCTGGAAATGTATTGCCCCAGAAAAATACACATATTATTTAAAATATTAATAATATATTAAAAACCATCTTAAAGAAATTAAAAGGAATATGAACTTTCAGAAATAAGAGATCAATTTAGAGATACAAAGGTAATCAAAGAGAAGATAACACAGAGGAGATGACAAAATTGGGAGAAAAAATGAGATAATTTGGAAGAAAATAAACAATTTAAGAATAGAAACATAATTAGAGACCGTAAAAAGCAGGGTTACTATAATGGACAAAATTTCCTTTAGAGTTTTTGTTTTGTCTTCAAAGAATAATGATATAGGAAAATACAATTTTATTTATATCTGATTATATGTCACAGTCTGACAATAATTATCTCTAGGTTACAGTATATGTATAACATATTTTATTCATTTCACAGTTTTTATATTTTCCAAATTTTAAAAAGACAATATATCTGATAAGAAAAATGCAATGACAAAATTTTCTTTTTCTCTTTCAACTTCTATTTTAGAATCGGGGGGTACATGTGCAGGTTTGTTACAAAGGTATGTTGCATGATGCTGAGGTTTGGGGTGTGACTGAACCCATCATCCATATAGTGAACACAGTACCCAGTAGGTAGTTTTTCAGCCCTTTCCCCACTTTAGTGGTCTCCAGTGTCTATATCCATGTGTACCCAATGTTTAGTTCCCACTTATAAATGAGAAAACTTGGTACTTGGTTTTCTGTTTCTATGTTAGTTAGCTTAGGATAATGTCCTTCATTGCATCCATGTTGCTGCAAAGGTCATGATTTCATTCTTGTTATGACTGTGTAGTAGTCCATATATTTATGTACTACATTTTCCTTATCCATTCACCATTGATGGACATCTATGTTGATTCCATTTCTTTGTAATTGTGAATAGCTCAGCGATTAATACTCAGGTGCATTTGTCCTTTTGGTAGAATGATTTATTTTCCTGTGTGTATATACTCAGTAATGGGATTGCTGGGTCAAGTTGTAATTCAGCTCTATGTTCTCTGAGAAATCTTCAAACTGCTTTCAATAGTAGCTGGACAAATTTAGATTCCTACCAACAGTGTGTAAATGTTCCCTTTTCTGCACAGCTTCGCCAACATTTTTTTTTACTTTTTATTTTTTTCTTTTAAATACTTTTGTTGAGATATAATTTACAGACCATACAATCCATTCAAAGTGTATAATTCAGTGGTTTCCAATATACTCACAAATATACGTGTAACCACCACCATAGTCAACTTTAAGGCATTTCATTACCTCAAAAAGATACCCCATACCTTTTAACTATCACCTCCCCCAATCCCCTATCTGCCCTGCCCAAAGTCACCACTTTCTGTCTCTATAGATTTCCCTATTCTGGACTTCCATGTGAAGAGAATCACAGACTCCAAACTACTTTCAATAGTAGCTGGACAAATTTACATTTCTACAAACAGTGTGTAAATGTTCCCTTTTCCGCACAGCCTTGCTAACATCTTGTATGACTTTTTAACAAAAGCCATTCTGACTGGTGTGAGATGGTAAGTTTCTCATTGTGGTTTTGATTTGCATTTCTCTGATGATTATTGATGATGAGCATTTTTTCATATGTTTGTTCCCTTCTTGTATGTCTTATTTTGAGAAGTTCCTGTTCATTTTCTTTGCCCACTTTTTAATGGGGCTATTTTTTTTTGTTGTTGATTTGTGTACATTCCTTATAGATTCTGGATATTAGACCTAATAAAATGCATAGTTTTCAAATATTTTTCTCCCATTTTGTCAGTTGATGGAAATTTGAAAAATATAAAGTTTGATAGAAAACGAGGTAAAAATTTTTCCAGAAAAGTTGGTAGAAAAGTTTAAAAATGAATAATCAGTATAAACACAATTGATATTTGTGAAGAATAGTATAGAAAAAATGGAACAAGTTTCAAAAAGCAAATTTAGAAGGCACCTTATACAAAAGAAGAAAAATCAGCACATAGAAAATTTATAGATCAGTAAAATAATTAGAAAAAAAATTGAGATTATAATATATTCTGGAAAATGGGCTAAAGTTAAAGGATAAAGAATTCTAAAAGCATTCAGGCAGAAATATTTCATCTACTATGTGAGAAAAATATCCTATTGCTCTTACATTTCTCTTGAATAATGCTGAATACAGAAAGACAAGCTGTGTCATCTAATGAAGTGTTTATAAAAAGAATATGGTCATGTATAGCTTCATTTTTAATATAAACCTTATTAAATATGTAGCAAAATGCACCAGTTTATAGTTTTATCAATTTTGACAAATGTACACACTTGTATCATTACCATTCTAATCAATATATAAAACATTTCCTTCATGCCAGTTTCCCTATGAGTCTTAGCAGACACCACCCCCAGTCCCGAGGCAATCACTGCCTTATTTTTACAACTATAGATTAGTTTTGTGTATTATAGACTTTCTATGAAATCATACAGCATGTAGCCTTCTGTTTCTGATTCTCCACCCCCTCCATTATTTTTTTGAAATTTAAATACATCATTGATTGCATAGTTCCTTTTTATTGCTGAATAAGAATCTAATTTGCAGGTATACTACAATTATTCTATAATTCTGTGATGGATATTTGGATTGTTTGCAGTTTTTAAGTATTATGAGCAAAGCCGCTAGAAATAATTGACATTTTATATGGACATAATTTTTCACCTCGTGTAAAAACTCAAGAATGTGATTGATGAATTTTATAATGAATGCATATTTAACTTTAGCAAGTTTTTTGCTGAAAAAAAGCAAGTTTTTGTAAGTGGTTATTATATACTTCTACCTGCAGTGTTTGAGAGTTCTAGGTGATCCATGTCCCCATCAATACTTGGTATTGTCAATAAGGTTAATCTAACAAATACATAACAAAACCTATATCCTGTGATAAAGAACATCCTTCTATTTGTGCCACCTTAGAGCTTTCAGGGTAATTGATCATATTAGGTTACAAAATTGTTAGTAAATTTTGCATTGCTACACAAATGAAAATAAAAACAAAAGTAGACATAAAATTAATTCATGACTCAGAAGTTGAAAAACAAATTCCTAAGTGGTTCTGAGAGCAATGAATAAGATGATAATATTCTGAAAATCTGTAAGAGTAATAATTTAAAATACAACATCTTAAAACTATGAGAATTTTTTAATGCAGAAATAAGTTAAAAATGTAAATCCTTTAACTTCTGCATATCTACACAGGAACAAAAGAGCAAAACTAGATTAATTAAATATTCACCCAAGAAATTAGAAAAACAAAACAGAAAATAAATCTGATGGAAGGTGAAAGTAAAATTAAATAAATCCAAAAATGTATTTTCAAATACACAAAACAATTACATGCACAAATTAACAAAGGAAATCAACAATTTTTTGAGAAAAAATGAAAATAGGGATTAATAAAAGGAAATAATGAGATATAGAAAAATATAAGAATTGTATTTTTACAATATAATCCCCTAGAAAAATTGGACACTTATAAAGGAAAATACTGATGACATTCTTCAGCTCTGTGTTCCCACTCGAATCTCATTTTGATTTGTAATTCCTATAATCCCCACATGTCAAGGTAAAAGCAGGCTGCCCAAGCCAGCAGCGGCAACCTGCTTGGGTCCCCTTCCACACTGTGGAAGCTTTGTTCTTTCGCTCTTCACAATAAATCTTGCTGCTGCTCACTCTCTGGGTCTGTGCCACCTTTATGAGCTGTAACACTCACAGCGAAGGTCTGCAGCTTCACTCCTGAAGCCAGCAAGACCACCAGCACACTGGGAGGGACAAACAACTCTGGATGGGAGGAATGAACAACTCCAGACGTGCCGCCTTTAAAAGCTGTAACACTCACCATGAAGGTCTGCAGCTTCACTCCTGAAGTGAGCGAGACCATGAACCCATCAGAAGGAAGAAACTCCGGACATGTCCAAACATCAGAAGGAAAAAAGTCCGGACACGCCATCTTTAAGAACTGTAACACTCACTGTGAGGGTCCGCGGCTTCATTCTTGAAGTCAGCAAGACCAAGAACCCACCAATTCCAGACACATTTTGGCAGCCATGAAGGGACTATCACCAAGCGGTAAGACTATCGCCTATCGCCAAGCAGTAAGTACTATCGGACCCCTTTTGCTTGCTATTCTGTCCTATTTTTCCTTAGAATTCAGGGGTTAAATACTGGGCACCTGTTGGCCAGTTAAAAGAGACTAGTGCAGTTGACAGACTAAAGACATGGGTGTCAGGCTTTCTGGGAAAGGGCTCTCTAACAACCCCCGACTCTTCATAATTGGGAGCATTGGTTTGCCTTGAACCAGCTTCCACTTTTCCTGTACTTCTGGGCTGAGCCGAGGTTAACAGAGAGGAAAGGCATTCAGCTCCGGGGTCCCGACAACAAGTTGGTTGACCCTGCGGCCATGAGTGGAACTCTCAAAGGCATGTCACCCAAGTGAGACTTGCCCATCCCTTGTCCCCTGGGTCCTAACGACTGCCAGACAAACTTCCTCTCACTTCTCTTCTCTGAGGCAATCCCACTTCTAAAAACCACTCCCTGTCTCTGGTTCTTTTCTAGTTTCTCCTATAAGAATAATTTCTAGTATAAACTCCAGGACTCTATTCCCTTCTTTAGGCAACCGGGCTCACAAATCAGAAAGACATAATTTTGACCCAAAGACCTGTCGTAGGGGCGACTATCTGGAATTTTAGGATCCTTCCTCAGACAAGCAGGCCTAACAAAAGCTATTCCTGAAGCTAAGATATGGGGAGCCTCAGAAATTGTATCCTTCCTATTCATATAAGTGAGGACAAAAGGCATCACTCTTCCAACTCTGGAGATCCCTTCCCTCCCCCAGGGCATGGGCCTCCACTTCATTTTGGGGGCATAACATCTTTATAGGACAGGGGTAAGGTCCCAATACTAACAGAAGAATGCTTAGGATTCTAACAGATATTTGAGAATGTGTTGGTAAGGGCCACTAAATCCGATTTTTGTCAGTCCTCCTTGTGGTCTAGGAGGACAGGCAAGGGTGCAGGTTTTCGAGAATGCGTTGGTAAGGGCCACTAAATCTGACCTTCCTTGGTCCTCCTTGTGGTCTGGGAGGAAAACTAGTGTTTCTGCTGCTGCATTGGTAAGCACAACTATTCTGATCAGCAGGGTCCAGGGACCATTGCGGGTTCTTGGGCATGGGGAGAAACAAAACAAACCAAAACCATGGATGGTTTTGTCTTTCAGATGGGAAACACTCAGGCATCAACAGGCTCACCCTTGAAATGCATCCTAAGCCTTTGGGACCAATTTGACCCGCAAACCCTGAAAAAGAGGCAGCTCATTTTTTTCTGCACTATGGCCTGGTCCCAATATTCTCTCTCTGAAGGGGAAAAATGGCCACTTGAGGGAAGTATAAATTATAATACTATCCTGCTGCTTGACTTTTTCTGTAAGAGGGAAGGCAAATGGAGTGAAATACCGTATGTCCAAGCTTTCTTTTCATTGAAGAAGAATACACAACTATGCAAAGCTTGCAATTTACATCCCACAGGAGGACCTTCCCCAGCTTACTCCCATATCCTAGCCTCCCTATAGCTCCCCTTCCTATTAAAGATAATCCTCCTCAAATCTCTCCCACCAAGAAGGAAATAAGCAAAGAAATTTCCAAAAGACCACAAAAACCCCCAGGCTATCAGTTATGTCCCCTTCAAGCTATAGGGGGAGGGGAATTTGGCCCAACCCGGGTACATGTCCCTTTCTCCCTCTCTGATTTAAAGCAGATCAAGGCAGACCTGGGGAAGTTTTCAGATGATCCTGATAGGTACATAGATGTCCTACAGGGTCTAGGGCAAACCTTTGACCTTGCTTGGAGAGATGTCATGCTACTGTTAGATCAAACTCTGGCCTTTAATGAAAAGAATGTGGCTGTAGCTGCAGCCTGAGAGTTTGAAGATACCTGATATCTTAGTCAAGTAAATGATAGAATGGCAGCTGAAGAAAGGGATAAATTCCCTACTGGTCAGCAAGCCATCCCCAGTATGGATCCCCACTGGGACCTTGACTCAGACCATGGGGACTGGAGTCATAAACATCTGTTGACTTGTGTTCTAGAAGGACTAAGGAGAATTAGGAAAAAACCCATGAATTATTCAATGATGTCCACCATAACTCAGGGAAAGGAATAAAATCCTTCTGCCTTCCTTGAGTGGCTATGGGATGCCTTAAGAATATATACTCCCCTGTCACCCAAATCACTCGAGGGTCAATTGATTATAAAAGATAAGTTTATTACCCAATTTGCTGCAGATATTGGGAAAAAGCACCAAAAGCAAGCCCTGGTCCCTGAACAAAATTTGGAGGCATTATTAAACCTGGCAACCTCGGTGTTCTATAATAGGGACCAAGAGGAACAGGCCAAAAAGGAAAACCGAGATCAGGGAAAGGCCACAGCCTTAGTCATGGCCCTCAGACAAACAAACCTTGGTGGTTCACAGAGGACAGAAAATGGAGCAGGTCAATTACCCAGTAGGGCTTGTTATCAGTGTAGTTTACAAGGACACTTTAAAAAAGATTGTCCAAGGAGAAACAAGCCACCCCCTCGTCCATGTCCACTATGCCAAGGCAATCAATGGAAGGTGCACTGCCCCAGAGGACAAAGGTTCTCTGGGTCAGAAGCCCCCAACCAGAGGATCCAACAACAGGATCCAACAAAAGGGTGCCTGGGCCAAGCACCAGCTCATGTCATCACTCTCACTGAGCCCCAGGTATGCTTAACCACTGAGGGTCAGGAAATTGACTTCCTCCTGGACACTGGCACAGCCTTCTCAGTGGTAATCTCCTGTCCTGGATGACTGTCCTCAAGGTCCGTTACCATCCGAGGAATCCTGGGACAGCCTGTAACCAGGTATTTCTCTCAACACCTCTATTGAAATTGGGAGACTTTGCTCTTTTCACATGCCTTTCTTGTTATGCCTGAAAGTCCCACACCCTTATTAGGGAGGGATATATTAGCCAAAGCTGGAGCTATTATCTACATGAATATGGGGAACAAGTTACCCGTTTGTTGTCCCCTACCTGAGGAAGGAACCAACCCTGAAGTCTGGGCATTGGAAGGACAATTTGGAAGGGCAAAAATTGCCCACCCAGTCCAAATCAGCCTAAAAGATCCCACCACTTTTCCTTACCAAAGGCAATATCCCTAAAGCCTGAAGCTCATAAAGGATTACAGGATATTGTTAAACATTTAAAAGCCAAGGCTTATTAAGGAAATGCAGCAGCCCTGCAACACTCCAATTCTAGGAGTATAAAAACCAAACGGTCAGTGGAAACTAGTGCAAGATCTTGGACTCATCAATGAGTCAGTAATTCCTCTATATCCAGTTGTACCCAACCCCTATACCCTGCTCTCTCAAATACCAGAGGAAACAGAATGGTTCACTGTTCTGGACCTCAAGGATGCCTTCTTCTATATTCCCCTGCACTCTGACTCCCAGTTTCTCTTTGCCTTTGAGAATCCCACAGACCACACATCCCAACTTACATGGACGGTCTTGCCCTAAGGGTTAGGGATAGCCCTCAACTGTTTTGTCAGGCACTGGCCCAAGATCTAGGCCACTTCTCAAGTCAAGGCATTCCGGTCCTTCAGTATGTGGATGATTTACTTTAGGCTACCAGTTTGGAAGCCTCATGCCAGCAGGCTACTCTAGATCTCTTGAACTTTCTAGCTAATCAAGGGTACAAGGTGTCTAGGTCGAAGGCCCAGCTTTGCCTACAGCAGGTCAAATATCCAGGCCTAATCTTAGACAGAGGAACCAGGGACCTCAGCAAGGAATGAATACAGCCTATACTGGCTTATCCTCACCCCAAGACATTAAAACAGTTGTGGGGGTTCCTTGGAATCACCGCTTTTGCCCAGTATGGATCCCCAGATGCAGCAAGATAGCCAAGTCCCTCTATACTCTAATCAAGGAGACCCAGAGAGCAAATACTCATCTAGTAGAATGGGAACCAGAGGCAGAAACAGCCTTCAAAACCTTAAAGCAGGCCCTAGTACAAGCTCCAACTTTAAGCCTTCCCACAGGAGAAAACTTCTCTTTATATGTCACAGAAAGAGCAGGGATAGCTCTTGGAGTCCTTACTCAGACTCGTGGGACAACCCCACAACCTGTGACATACCTAAGTAAGCAAATTGATGTAATAGAAAAGGGTGGCCTCACTGTTTATGGGTAGTTGCAGCAGTGGCTGTCTTAGTGTCAGAGGCTATCAAAATAATACAAGGAAAGGATCTCACTGTCTGGACTACTTATGATGTAAATGGCATACTAGGTGCCAAAGGAAGTTTATGGCTATCAGACAACTGCCTACTTAGATACCAGGTGCTATTCCTTGAGGGACTGGTGCTTCAAATACATATGTGTGTGGCCCTCAACCCTGCCACTTTTCTCCCAGAGGATGGGGAACCAATGAAATGTGACTGCCAACAAATTATAGTCCAGACTTATGCCACCCAAGATGATCTCTTAGAAGTCCCCTTAGCTAATCCTGACCTTAACCTATATACTGATGGAAGTTCATTTGTAGAGAATGGGATACGAAGGGCAGGTTATGCCATAGTTAGTGATGTAACCATACTTGAAAGTAAGCCTCTTCCCCCAGGGACCAGTGCCCAGTTAGCAGAACTAGTGGCACTTACCCGAGCCTTAGAACTGGGAAAGGGAAAAGAATAAATGTGTATACAGATAGAAAGTATGCTTGTCTAATCCTACATGCCCATGCTGCAATATGGAAAGAAAGGGAGTTCCTAACCTTTGGGGGAACCCCCATTAAATACCACAAGGAAATTATAGACTTATTGCAAGCAGTGCAAAAATCCAAAGAGGTGGCCATCTTACACTGCCGAAGCCATCAAAAAGGAGAAGGAGAGAGGAGAACAGCAGCATAAGCGGCTGGCAGAGGCAGAGACAGACCAGCAGAGAGAAAGAGGAGACAAAGTCAAAGAAGGAAAGAGAGAAAGAGAAATAAAGTCAGAGAGAGAAAGAGAGAGAGAGAGGAAGTGACAGAGAGAGTCAGAAAGAGAGAGACAAAGAAGAAGTCAAAGAGAAAGAGAGATAGAAGTAGTACCTATAATTGATAATTGAAGGCCTTCTCTGTAACCCTATAACACTCCAATACCACCTTGTTGCCAGTGTAAACAAGGGCGTAGCCCAAAAGCACTGAGGCCACTGACAACCCATAGCCTTCCTATGAAAAATCCTTAACCCAGCAGGTTTCCCAACAGAGGATCTAAATCTTAATTAATTACCATACAAAGTTCCGACCAGATCTAGGAGGAACTCCCTTCAGGACAGGATGATAGATGGTTCCTCCTGGGTGATTAAGGGAAAAAGACACAGTGGGTATTCAGTAAGTGATAAGGAAACTCTTGTAGAAGCAGTTAGGAAAATTGCCTAATAATTGGTCTGCTCAAACGTGCGAGTTGTTTGCACTCAGCCAAATCTTAAAGTTCTTACTGAATCAGGAAGGAGACATCTATACCAATTTTAAGTTAATATGGACTGAACAAGGTCTTATTAATAGCAAAGAATAATTGAAATCCCAAACTTACAAGGTTTTCAACAAAGTAAAGTTTGCTAAAAAAGTTAACAGTGTAACATGTATTATCCTAACTTCTAATCTTGTGGAAATCAGACCTTATCAGTACCCCTCAAAGCTCAAGTCCATCAGCGCAGAGCCATACAACTAATACCCCTACTTATAGGGTTAGGAATGGCTACTGCTACAGGAACCAGAATAGCTGGTTTATCTACTTCATTATCCTACTACCACACACTCTCAAAGGATTTCTCAGACAGTTTGCAGGAATAACAAAATCTATCCTTGCTTTACAATCCCAAATAGACTCTTTGGCAGCAGTGACTCTCCAAAACCGCTGAGGCCTAGACCTCCTCACTGCTGAGAAAAGAGGACTCTGCAACTTCTTAGGGGAAGAGTGTTGTTTTTACACTAAACAGTCAGGGATAGTATGAGATGCTGCCCAGTATTTACAGGAAAAGGCTTCTGAAATCAGACAATGTCTTTCAAACTCTTTTACCAACCTCTGGAGTTGGGCAACATGGCTTTTCCCCTTTCTAGGTCCCGTGGCAGCCATCTTGCTGTTATTCCTCTTTGGACCCTGTATTTTTAATCTCCTTGTCGAATTTGTTTCCTCTAGAATCGAGGCCATCAAGCTACAGATGATCTTACAAATGGAACCTCAAATGACCTCAACTAACAACTTCTACCAAGGACCCCTGGACTGACCCACTGGCCCTTCCACTGGCCTAAATCATTCCCCTCTGGAGAACACTACAACTGCAGGGCCCCTTCTTCACCCCTATCCAGCAGGAAGTAGCTAGAGTGGTCATTGGCCAAATTCCCAATAGCAGTTGGGGTGTCCTGTTTAGAGGGGGGATTGAGAGGTGACAACGGCTAGCAGTCCTCACTTACTCTCGGCACCTCCTCGGCCTTGGCATCCACTCTGGCTGTGCTTGAGGAGCCCTTCAGCCTGCCGCTTCCCTGTGGGAGCCACTCTCTGGGCTGGCCGAGGCTGGAGCCGACTCCCTCTGCTTGCGGGGAGGTGTGGAGGGAGAGGCGTGGGAGGGAATCGGGGCTGTGCGCAGCACTCACGGGCCAGTGTGAGTTCCGGGTGGGCGCAGGCTTGCCGGGCCCCACACTTGGAGTGGCCGGCCGGCACCACTGGCCCCAGGCAGTGAGGGTCTTAGCACCTGGGCCAGCAGCTGCAGAGGGTACGCCGGGTCCCCCAGCACTGCTGGCCCGCCTGTGCCATGCTCGAATTCTCGCCGGGCCTCAGCCACCTCCCCATGGGGCAGGGCTCAGGACCAGCAGCCCACCATGCCTGAGCCCCCCACCCATGGGCGTGGGCTCCCGCACGGCCCGAGCCTCCCGAACAGGTGCTGCCTCCTGCTCCATGGCACCCAGTCCCATCGACTGCCCAAGGGCTGAGGAGTGCAGGCATGCGGCGTGGGACTGGCGGGCAGCTCTGCCCATGGCCCTGGTGCAGGATCCATTAGGTGAAGCCAGCTGGTCTCCTGAGTTGGGTGGGGACTTGGAGAACTTTTATGTCTAGCTAGAGGATTGTAAATGCACTAATCAGCACTCCATGTCTAGCTAAAAGATTCTAAATTCACCAATCAGCACTCTGTGTCTAGCTAAAAGTTTGTAAACACACCAATCTGTGCTCTGTGTTTAGCTAATCTAGTGGGGACTTGGAGAACTTTTGTGTCCAGCCAAAGGATTGTAAAGGCACCAATCAGTACTCTGTGTCTAGCTCAAGGTTTGTAAATGCACGAAGCAGCACCCTGTCAAAACAGACCAATCAGCTCTCTGTAAAATGGGCCAATCAGCATTCTGTAAAATGGACCAATCAGCAGGATGTGGGTGGGGTCAGATAAGGAAATAAAAGCAGGCTGCCCGAGCCAGCCTCAGCAACTCACTTGGGTCCCCTTCTGTGCTGTGGAAGCTTTGTTCTTTCGCTCTTCGTGCAATAAATCTTGCTGCTGCTCACTCTTTGGGTCCGGGCTGCATTTATGAGCTGTTAACACTCACCGCGAAGGTCTGCAGCTTCACTCCTGAAGCCAGCAAGACCATCAACCCATCTGGAGGGACAAACAACTCTGGATGGGAGGAACGAACAACTCCAGATGCGCTGCCTTTCAGAGCTGTAACATTCACTGTGAAGGTCTGCAGCTTCACTCCTGAAGTCAGCAAGACCATGAACCCATCAGAAGGAAGAAACTCCACACACGTCTGAACATCAGAAGGAACAAAGTCTGGACACGCCATCTTTAAGCACTGTAACACTCACCACGAGGGTCCACAGCTTCATTCTTGAAGTCAGCGAGACCAAGAACCCAACAATTCCGGACACAAAGGGAGAGACCTGGTGGGAGGTGACTGGATCATGGGGGTGGTTTCTCCCATGTTGTTCTCATAATAGTGACTGAGTTCTCACGAGATCTGATGGTTTCATAAGTTTGACAGTTCCCCCTTTACACACACCCTTTCTCCTGCCATCTTGTGAAGAAGGTGCCTGCTTCCCCTTCTGCCATGATTGTAAGTTTCCTGAGGCCTCCCCAGCTGTGCAGAACTATCAGTCAATTAAGCCTCTTTCTTTTGTAAATTACCCAGTCTCTGGGAAGTTCTTTATAGCAGTGTGAAAACACACTAATACAACCAGTTAACAAAATGGATTAAAGTACAATAGTGAAAAACACCAACATAATGATAGTCATAGGTTAATTGCTATTGCCAAAGAACCAGCCTCTACTACAAGTGTCAGTCTAACATATTTCAGAAGAGAATTCTTCCCTAAAGTTCAGTAAAATTCTACTTAAAAAATAATTACAAAGTGTAGAAAAAGGATCCGTTCCTTATTTCACAAAGCTAACATACCCCTGGCATTAAAATTCAAAAGATAGTACAAAACTAGAAATATGTAGAACAATGTCACTTAACGAATATTAAGACAAACTAAAATATTGTAAAGATGATGTATATATATTTTAAAAATATTTCATTTTAATTTATTTGAAATTTACTGGGAAGAAACAAAGGGAAATATTTGTATAATATATGAAAGAGGAACTTTTAAAAATTTGTCAAAAATAAAATTACCTGCCCAAAGTCACATGATTACTAAGTGGTCATAATTGCCCAGCTTCCTGAGCTTCTAATTTAGCGAGCTTTCTTTCTGTAGAAAGGATAATTGTCAGTCATCTGTTAAGAAGTAGCTATAAATATCCACCCATTAAAAATTTTAATTTTCTGTATATTACAATCAGGGAGTATATTTATGAAAAACATTAAAACCAGCTGAAATAATAAATGTCAAAATTATGTTCTGGTAGCTGCATTAATTGTATCCCCAGTCCTATCCAACTTCTGGGAAATAGATATGTGACCCTGAACTTTTCTAAGAATTGAATCCTAATGGACCTATGTTTTTCAAAAAAGTTCTTGGTGTTAAAAGGTACCAATGAATTATTTTGATGTATTTTCAACTTCACGAATTACATGTCTTTTAGCAAATCAATTATCATTTAGAGATAAAAATCCCGTTTGTACCAGGCTCATACTTTCTGCTACTTTTTAACACTTTCAGTTATTTGCTGGGACCATATGTCAACATCGTCTTTCTGTCACTCAGAGCCTTTTAAGCACCTATTTGCAAATAGCTTTATTTTTGGTGCTATTCAGAGTAAGTTAAAACTTAATGGATCTTGCATTTGAGGAGTTTAAAGCAGAAGATGGAACCATCACCTAGACAGAAAGTATTAGAAATTTAAGAGGGTAACAAGCTGTTCAGATACAAAAAACTCTTGCTTTTAACAAGATATAATATAGGTTTTCAGAACATTAGGCCATCGGTCTAATGCTTCAAAGTGGAGGAAAAAAAGATTTAGAATGCTTGTATTTCTGAATGTAAGCCAAATTGAACTTAAATGGGATTTTTTCCCCCTTATTTAAGTGTGTCCCAAACTATTTCAATCAGTGGCAGATCTAGACAACTATTCATTAGCTATTCTAAAAGTCTTTTAGAAATGATTACAAAGATTCCTTGAGATATGATTAGTAGGTAGAATATGCCTATTATGGTCACTGAGAGGGTAGATGGAATTCTGGGGAGCCTCACAGCTCTAGAGCTGTGTTTACTTCTTTCAGCACTGCCAAATCCATCCCTCTCCATGTGATCAGCAAATTGCCACTTGTGCCTTGCTCTGTACTTTCCTAAATTTGATAATAAGACTATTTCACTTCCAGCTGGGCTTTTTGAAGATTACTTAAAAATATTATTTCCTGAAAAAAGATCTTGCTATTTTTAACCACACAAATTTTCATACTTGTATAATTAAGAAAAAATTATTCAGAGACAAGTCCCCTATATTTTTTCCACTTCAAAAGGCATTTTGGGCAACTTACTTTTTTTTCAAAATTGAGCAGAGAAGGCAGGGGTAATGACTATTAATTATGTGCCTTTTTATTTCTTCAAATTATAATATTGTACATGGAAGACCTTTACCTAAACAGTATTTTATTTGGATGTTCATTCCCTACCAAGATTTTGGATGATCTGAGTTTACCCTAGTTTTGTGAAATAATATGTAGGTTTTCAGAAAATTCTAGGCTAGGTTATCCATGGATCAGTTGTTACTGTACAGAAAATGCTGACATATTGGAGAATGAGGTCAAGGTATCCTGAAATAGAAATGAATACAACACACATTTTTAAACTATGCCAATCATTAAATATTTTTCTCAAATACCCATTTTGTTTTTGGACCATCTTCCATTAATACTAATGGAAAGTCTATGTAGAATTAAAATAAAATACTATATTGGTTTATTTTTTCCAATTATATTAGAGTTTCTGGAATTAATTTTAAGTAAGATTTAGTTTATGACTCAATTGTTCATTTATATATTTATTTATCATATATGTTCCTTAATAGTAAAATAATGATTACATTCTGAAGAAGCCAAATGTGTGGTATATCATTATCTTGGAAATCTATAAAGGGATTCAGTTTATAGCAATAGAGCTGGTAATGGGGCAATGTTACAGACTCTTGGACCTACAATGATGTGAGACATACATTTTCAACAAGAATGATATCATCCCTAAAGGAATGAAAGTTGGTTCTTGGTGTGGGAAAAGGGCAAAAATATATATTTATATTCCAACAGTCTATGGCTTTCCAAGGCTCAAAATTTTATTTCTTCATGTTTAATTTCTGTCATGGGATTTTCTTGGGTATCACAAAAGTAGCACTGAGTTCTTGAAAGATACAGGCAATATTTCCAAGATCAGCGGTATGAAATTATGAGGACTAGATGGCTGCACTTGGTGGGCTTTCTCTTGATCACTTGTTTAATCTAGAGGTCATTCAGAAGAGATGGCCTTCACATACCTATTGGTGGCCATTGGCTGCCTTGTGCCTTGGCAGGTTTTTTTTTTTTTTCCTCAGTGCTTTTTTGTGAACTTGGGTTTGAGAATTAAACAAAAATAGCTTATATTTTATTACTTAATTCTATATTAGTCAACCCAGAATTAATTTAGTCAAGTGTCAAAGAGAAAAGCATGTTTGCCATATCTGAATGACTGACTGTCCAGCTGCTAATTAAAAGTTATTTTCTCATGTTAAGCACAAGGTAAAAGTTAAGTTTACTACAGTAATTTTAAACAAGTAATTTAGTTTATCGTTTACTGCTACTGAGAAAACATTTTGAATTATTATTTTAAAATTTTGATTGCTACTGTTATAATGTATTTATATATATTTCTTATTTGCATATATAATGATGTGATTGTTTAAGTAAGTGAATTATATTAAATGCTACTCAGGAAATATAGTTATAAATTGTTACTGGCATTTATATTTTTACTTGAAAATTTTATTTAGTTATTCTTGACCCTGCATTGAATAAAGAGTAGACTTTATATTTATTCTTTTTTTTGTATAAAGCTCAGATAGAAATGCATCAACAGTAACGTAGTGATAATGGAAAGGAAAGGTTGGGAAACACAGATGTAAAAGTTTAGATATCTGAGACTTGGGCATTAGGTGTTGGTTTCAGGCAGAGAAGGTTTTGTTGCCAGTGGGTAGGTTCGGGTTTTTTATTTTGCCACGCAAAAGAATTTCAGAACGAGTCTAAAGTGAAAGTAGGTAAAGAAATTTATTGCAAAGCAAAATATACTCGGCCAAGTCCGAGTGGCTGTTGGACAATGAGACAGCCCTGACTGGCTCTGGTGAAACTCTCTTTATGGGAGCCTTACATAATTATTCATGAAGGGGCAGGAATGGTGCTGCCATTTAGCATGTTATGGATGGTCTTTTGGTGGCACGTGTGTTGTGGTTGTGCATGTTAGTACATATATCACATGTCTCATTAGCATCTTAAATATCCAGCCAGGAGTATGTTTTTTACCATTATAACAAGCATGGGTCAGCCAAAGGACATTAACAGGTTTCTGTGCTTGCATGAATTTGGGGGTTTTCCTTTTTGCTCATTACCTCCTTACTGCAGGGTGTTCTAACCAGGAGCCCAGGATGCAGTTTGTGTACTGTGGGGCAGTTTGTTCTAACAATTTGGCAAGCTTGTGCCCCTTTAAGGGAGACTATGATCATCCTAGGTCAGAATTAATAAAGATACCAGATTCTATCCTATGGAAGAGCTAAGGCAGGGATTGGGTGAAAAAAGAAGAAAAAAATCTCAGTGAATTCCAAGTAAAGTAGAAAACATCAACAAAAACAATTTCAGGCCGGGCATGGTGGCTCACGCCTGTAATCCCAGCACTTTGGGAGGCCGAGGTGAACGGATCACGAGGTCAAGAGATTGAGACCATCCTGGCCAACATAGTGAAACCCCATCTCTACTAAAAATACAAAAATTAGCTGGGTGTGGTGGCACGTGCCTGTAGTCCCAGCTACTCAGGAGGCTGAGGTAGGAGAATTGCTTGAACCTGGGAGGTGGAGGTTGCAGTCAGCCAAGATCACGCCAGTGCACTATAACCTGGTGACAGAGCGAGACTCCATCCCCTGCCCGCCAAAAAAAAAAGCAATTTCAAGACAAACTCAGTAATGGAGAGCAAAACTATATAAAAGGAGACAGAGAATTTCTGTGTCTGGCTGTCTGGCTTTAATCACTCTCTATGTTGGTAATGTCAAAATGTGTACACCCCAGACCTCTTTTCTAAGCTCCAGACTAATTTTAGAGACTTTGGTGCCTCAGACTTTAAGACTGAACTCTTATTATCCCTCTTTTTAATGCCTTTATCCCTTGTTCTTCCCCTGACTTTCCAAACTCAGTATTTTGCAGAAACATTCAATCCATTGTTTGAGCTAGAAGCAGAGTGGTTGAGTCATACTTGATTCTTTCCACTTAATTCATGCCAGTAGCAAATTCAGTAGCAAGTATTGCTGTCAAAAGCTTGTCTCAAACATCATCACCTTTTCCTGGCTCTCTAATGAACCAGTCTAGTTTCTTTCCATTAATTCTTATCTCCTTCCAATCATTTCTCCACTAACAGACTTACTTATCTGATTATAACTTAATAAAGATTTACTGCGCAAAACTCTTCATTGATTTTTCATTACAATTAAAACACATCCAAGTTATTTATTAGGCACTGTAAATTCCTTCATTGTTTGGTTCTTGATGAGGTCTTCAATTTTTCATTTTGCCACTTTGTTCTCACCCCAAGAGGATGTCAAACTTACATTCTTTCAGTTCCTTGAGTAAGCCCAGTTCTTTGTTGCTTTAGGGCTTCTGCTTAGGTTGTTTCTACTGCCTGAAATGTTATTTTTTGGCCACCCATTAAGTAGGAACTTTGAGATAATTATTTTTGTTACAAAGACACATGTTTTATTTAAAACCAATGAGAGAATATTTGTTCATATTTAGAAAAAACAACGTAATCATTTTTAGACTTCTCAATTTAAAAAATCAAAACTACAATTTTTTCTTAATTTTGAACATTTGTGTAATAATTGATTAAATATGTCAATATCTAAAGAAATAGTCAAGTTTTCCCATGAATATTTGTAGTCCTCTATTGCTTATATTTTACAATATATCCAACAATTGCTGTGGTTTAAGTAATATCAGTTTGACCTTTATTTTGTTTTAAAAACATATGTGATATTATCTGTGACAGATATCAAAGGATAAAATAAAACTGTTTTGTTACTATTACCATTAAAAAAGTAAAAGGAAGCAAAATTGTCTCATAGGCTTTTCAATAAAAAATTCTTTAAGTTAATATTTAAAGCTAAATTTTATTTGGAGATGCTTTTCCATAATACAAAATTATTAGAGACTTTAAATCTCTAAAAGCGGGGCAGGTGTGGTGGTTCACACCTGTAACTTTGAGAGACCAGCAGTTTGAGAGTACAAGGCAGGTGAATCTCTTGAGCCCAGGAGTTTGAGACCAGCCTGGACAACATGGAGAAACCTCATCTCTGCAAAAAATATAAAAAATTAGCTGGGCATAGTAGCACTCACCTACTCAGAATGTAAACTGGGACAGTATGAAGCACCACTATGGAGGTATTCAAGATAAGGGTCAAGTTATGAATTGAAAAGTTTGACTAAGGAGATCATCTGATGGTTATGTAATGTTACCTTTCTTCTGAGAGCACAATTTAAATGGATATTATGAATGAATGAGGAATATTGCCTTTTCCATTTTCATAGGAATTATCAACGAATTTCACCCTTCACCCAGTTTCAATGAGCTCACCTATGAATGTAAACTAGAAATCACAAGTCCCATGTGAGAAGAAAAGACCTGGGGAGCCATGTGAGATTTCCCAGTTTCTTCCTGCTTGGTCTGTGCCTCTTCCTTGTTTGTCTTTGAAATCACTAGTAAATCCTGATACTGAGTAAGAGTTCTAATTTGTGAATCTGATTTGATGATATGATTATTTGCATTAGCTCAGTAATCATGATTGTTTATTCGATAGCAGCAGTAAAATCATCAATATGAGGTTGATTTTTCATCATCAATATATTGAGATTAAAACAAATTACCACTGGAGGAGATGGCAATGCATGATTATCTTTCTGAGGGAAATTGTGAACATTTAAGAGCAAATATTTAATTGCATGTTAATGTACAGTAAACACTAGGGAAAATATACAGGTTTTTTAAAATAAGAAATAGCTTGCATATAATACTTAGATGATGACTTATATAACATTTATGTAATGTCTTTATTAGTTTGAATCCATGGGTAATTTTTAAAAAAATGATCTGAAACTATCATTTTGATATGATAGCTCCAAATCTGGATCTGCACTGTATATTGTAGATGTAGAATTAATTTTCTGCACAGAAATAGCAGTGCCTCATAATTATTGCCTGTGTTCCATTCTCATTACTAGGTAAGAGTGGGGATGAAGTGAGGAGACAACATCCTTATCAATGTCTGACTTCTATACTTTTCAGTCCTTAAGGCTTTGCTTTCAATCTGCCCTGTGGGTGAGTTGAATAAAAGGATTTTTGGTTTTTATTTTTGATTAAAAGAGAAGGAAATTTATCTTGTAAGGTGATAAATCATTCTCCAAAACACTATGTAAAGTAGTACTATATATATAGTCTGAAAAAAGTTATGTTTTCATGGAATTATTTCAAGATTGTCAAAACTAGAATTTTTTCAGTAATTACTTATGACATGTAATTTGGATGATATTTAAAATTTCTATTATGAATAACTAGATTTAATTAAAGACTTCATCTAATTAGTACTGATAAGCATAACTTTGATTTACACATTCAAAAGATAGTTTCAATTTAATGTATTGAATTCTCTTTACAGACATTTGATTACAATTTAGATTGGGGTGATCACATTTTTAATCTGTTTTTATTTTGCAAGTTTTTAAAAGCCATATTTTAGTTAGTAATAATCATTTAGATTTTCTACAACTCTGTTCAAATGCATAGCCCATTAAAGGAATAAAAATGGTGACATAAAAGTTTTAAAATGCTATGTATATGAAACTAGAGTTTATAACCTCCATAAACTCTAATACACATATCAAGTTTTGATTATTCAGGTAAATGTATAAAAAATTTGTGGGGTTTTTTTACTCATTATACCAAACAAAATAATCTACGATATGTATCTTATTCTTCTGAGGAATAAAATTAAAATTCCAAGCCTCCACCCAACTGAATGAACACACTTTTGTTCTAGGGATCCCCGAGAAATCTTGGAAGCTGTGTTACTGGCGATGATGGGACAAGAGATTGGACACACCTCGTTATACCCCCTCGTCACTAACTGACATTAAGTATTGCTTCTTATGGATTAAACAGAAACGAGCCATTCTGAAAGACTCCACACCAATATCAACAAACTCCCTGATGCTTTCCCTCCCTGTCTGCAGTTTCAACACAACTAACCAGTACTTCTCTCTTATAAGACCATCAACCACTGAGTGGTTCTGGCAAGTCTATGGAGGATGCACAGTGAGGTTTTTTTTTGTGTCCTGTTTTTCACCTTTTGACATCAGAGGGCCAAAATCTCTACCCTCAAATCATGCTAATGCTGCCATGGGACCCATGGAGAGGCATGAAGCTCAATTGTACATATGCATGCTTGTCCTTTCATAAATATGCATTACTCCTCTTATAGCTTATGAATATGCATATTTGGCCACCCCATTCAGCATAAATCCCTGTCTTGTTCTCCCAATCCTTGAAGTGCCTGTTTATAGCCTCTAGGCCAGAGACTATGCTTCCCAGCCTGTCAGAATGGCCACCCTGCAGACTGCAAGCCATTATGAGAAATAAAGCACTCTTTTTAAAATTTATGAACCTTGTCATTCTTCAGTTGACAGTTTTAAGCTGATAGAAAGAACTATTAGTACTACTTTTATGCTTAACATTACAAAATGTTTTTCTTTGTAGGAGGGAAATCACAGGTAAAATACATCTTCAAAGGCAACCTAAAATAGAAACAGTTCTTTTGTATGAGATGTGTTTATTTAAAGTCAAAGAATAAATAGTTTAAAGTGAATCTTCCATTATGTAGTTATTTTATCTTTATTCTGACCAGTGATTAGTTTGAATTAAATATTTGCTTATAACTTGGCAAGATTATGACTTGAAAAGCAAAATATCTAGATGGACAATTTTTACATAACAAATTAAACATGGAAAGATATTCTTATATTCTTCAGATCCACAAAAATATGTTATCTTCCATTTTGGGGGAATATTCGGCCTTCTGGTCTCTATTTTATTTTGATCAAAATCTAAAAAGCAAAGAGATATTATTTATTTTTTAATAAATGAAAGAGTAAAAACATGATGATGGATTCAAATGTCAATTAGTCTCTAAGAAAGTAAGATAAAAAAAAATGAAAAAGTTTGTGGCAAAATAAAAAGTACATGTATTCTTTCCAAAGAGGACATGTATTACTCAGTGCATAGAAAAAAGTCCCTGGAAAATATTTATTTACAGACTCTATAACTGTGCTAGTTTTTTTCTACATTTACCATTGAAGATACTTCTTTAACCTTTTCTGCTCTACTATCTGCTCTGGTAAACACTCCTGTGAATTATACCTATTGAGTTCACTTTCCCAGTGGTTTTGGTTGAATTGGGCAAAAAAAGAGCCATTTGTAGGAGGAAAGACAGACCAAAGTGATTATTTTCCCCTCCCTTTTCTTGCCAGGCTGAGGCTTTGGCAGTAGCTACTCCTTTTGGAATGCACATCTCCTGCAAGTACAGTCTTTGCTTGTATCTGGTTACCTCTGTCCCCCTTTCCATTGAGGACTGGGAGTTGGGAGTAAGAGCTTCCTATTCATGACAGCTCCTGGGTGAATCACCACTGCATGTTGTTTCACTTAACTCTACCTAGACCTCTAAATAGCTTCTTCCTTAAACTTCTTTCAACTAACCCTTTGATTGTACCATCTATTTCACGGCGGGACTCTGAATGATACCGTAATTATAGTTAATGTACTTTGGTTGATTCTTGACTATGCAGGAATGAGGGCTCTATTTTGCTGTGCCTTCTACATATTTATTAAAATGTGTAAATTCAAATTTTTAAACATATAAGCAGAAAAGTGCACATATCATATTTCTATAGCTTTATGACTTTTCACAAACTTTATATACCCATATGATCCACATTGAAATCAGAAAGTAGAGGATTACCAGGTCCCCAAATGTCCCAATTTTGCTTCTAGTTACTACTCTCTTAAGTGTAATGTCCTAATTTTTCTAACTGCATGAATTTGTCTTACCTCTGTTTGAACTTTATATAAAGGGAGTCACTCAGCATGTACAATTTAGTCTATGCATTTCAATTCATATTGTTAAGTATAATTGAATTAATTTATTCTCATTGCTTGGTATTCCAACATAATTTATCTTTTTTAATGGACTTTTGGGTTGTTTCCAGTTTCCTGCTACTATGAGTAAAACAGCTATAAGCACTCCATGCTTATTTTTTTCTTAGCCGATATGTATTCTCGGAATTGTAGGTCAGAAGTAAGGATAGCATAGGTTTGTGATAGTATTTTGTGCATCCTGGGTTATTTTTGAGAAGGGTAAGGAAAGAGGTTCTGTTCTAGATTGGGAGTTGTCATAAAATTATGGCAAATAAGTATTTGTATATCTCAATCATTTCTAATCTAGAAGGTAAGACAAAAAAGTAGAATAGTATTGTCATATGTAAAGAGGCAGTCGTCAGTCATTTGGCCAGGAGAAAGAGAAATTTAGTAATTTTTATGATTGTATTATGTCCTTGTATTTGGTTTTGTTCCATTATGGTCATGGAATAATGCCATCAGATATTGATATTCTGTGAAATCATTTATATTCAGCAGGGAACATCATGGACTGCTGTTATTTGCCAAGCCAATTACCAGTTGTCAGCTGTCAAGGCTGTTTTGTTGTTTCTTAGTTTACCATTTTGGTCAAAGGCAGATAAAGTCAAGCTCCATTATATTAATCTATAGTGTTCAGAACTACACCACTGCCAAAATTCTATTGACCAGGAGGCTGTTTAACAGATGTTGTTTGCAATTGAACTGAAGTTAGTCAACCCTGATCCTTTTGTTTCAGAGTGAATGATTTAATCATCTGATATGGCAATAACTCTGAAGAATTCTGGCTAGGATGTATCAGCAAACTGCAATGCAGGCAAGCATCAGAAATAAATGATTATTAGTTCTTATAATAGGTCTTGAAACCAGGGGCCTAGATGACTAACCACATACTAACAAAATATGTTGTAAAGACTAGCTTATATGTTCTACAGATTAAGTTGTATGTTGTATAAGTCATTTTCCATATCAACTTGCAATAAGGAAAAGCCCATGAACAGGGATGAGATTCCAAAGCACATAGGAATACCGAAGAAAATTTGATGGTCAATCAAGTACTAGGTGAAAAGTCAAGGCTTTGCTAAGTTTTCAGAGTTTAAATACGTGATAACACAGTAAGCTTGCTATTTTTAATTTCTGTTTTTAAATTTGAATCATTAACAACTATTAAATCAGAATTATTCAAGGTATTCTTCAAGAGTTTTGAATGAGGTATGTATTACTTTATAAAAGAAGCTAAACGATAGTAGTACTTTCCTTTCTGAGGAAGGAAAAGGAGAGTTGCTGAGTTCAGACTGTTGCAGTGATAAATAATGATATTTAAAGGGGATAAAAACAATGAGGGAATTGACAAATCTCTAGAGTGCTTCAATTATCTCATAAAGTATATTAAAGTTAAGTCCAATAGATAAAAAGATTTCAACCTAAAAACCAGAAAACAAAATCCATCTTTGTGCTTAGATTTGAATATACTGCCTTTAGCATGAAAAGTGTATACTTCTTGAAACACATTAGTATACTTTATACATAATTAACTTTAGAAGACTGCTTTTGTTTGTTTGTTTGTTTGTTTGTTTGTTTTTTATTTTGAGGTGATGTCTCGCTCTTTCACCCAGGCTGGAGTGCAGTGGCTCAGTCTTGGCTCACTGCAACCTCCGCCTCCCGGGTTTAAGTGATTCTCCTGCCCCAGCCTCCTGAGTAGCTGGGACTACAGATGCGTGCCACCACACCTGGCTAATTTTGTATTTTTAGTAGAGATGGGGTTTTACCATGTCGGCTAGGCTGGTCTTGAACTCCTGACTTCAAGTGATCTGCCCACCTCGGCCTCCCAAAGTGCTGGGATTACAGGTGTGAGCCACCACACCTGGCATCGATCTTTTGATTTGTTTCTTTAACATTTTATTTTAAGATAATCATAGATCCACATGCACTTGTAAGAAATATCATGGAGAGATATGGTATACACTTCATTCAGTTCCCTCCCATTGTAACTTACTGTATAACTGTAGTACGATATCATAGCCAGGATATCAATACCAGTATAATCAACCAACTTGAGATTTTAAAATTTTACATGCACTCAATTCGGTCTCTGTGTGTGTTTGTGTGTGTGTTTAGTCCTATGCAATTTTATAACATGCAGATTTATGTCACCACCACCACAGTTAAGATATAGCACCATATTATTAAAATAATCTCTTGTGCTACTATTTTACAGTCAGTCAATTCCTTCCCCACTCTTATATTTAACTCCTTGCAATTATATAACAATACAATATATAGCACTGGATTTTTTTTTCTCAGCATGATTCCTTTGGGATCTATCCAAGGTTGCATATATCAATAGATTGTTCTTTTTCATTGCTGAGTAATATTCTATGGTATGTATATACCACAGCGTGTTTCAGCATTTACTCTTGTAGGACATTAGAATTTTTCCCAGTTCTTGGCTAGCTATTCATGTTCAGATGTGAACCTACTTTCATTTTCTTTTTCTGGGCTAAATATTCAAGTGTACAACTATGCCCAAGTCACACAGTAAGCACAATGGTAGTTTTGTGAGAAACAGCCACAATTTTTTCCTGAATGTCTGTACCATTTTACATTCCCACCAGCAACTTATGTGTCTTCCAGTTTTTCCAAATTTTCACCAGCATTTATGGCTACCACTATTTTTTATTTTTCTTTAGTCATTCTGATGGTTTTGTAATATCTCATTATAGTTTTATTTGCATTTTCCTAATGACTAATTATTTTGAACATCTTTCCATGTGATTATCTTATTTATCAAAAATATTTTACAGATGTCTTTCTAATATAATTTGTCAACATCTCTATTATTATACTAAAATTTAAAGACTTTAGAAATCATTTAAAAACCCCAAGTGTCCTATCTTTTTTCATCTTGAAATTTAGTGAACAAGTGCATTATAGAAATTTATACTTTGTGTTTTTTGTTTTTAATTTTGGCTTTTAGCAAGATGGGATTTACATATACATTTTTTTTCTTGTTACCTGGAATGAGATAAGTAACTTTCCATGGTCCTCCTTAAACTATCAACAAATGTCAGCTTACTATACTTAACTTTTAAATTCTTATAAGGCTTATACCAATTAACCATTTAAGCTAGCTTTGTTTTGCTTTTTAATTTCTTGATCTCACAAAATGATATACAGTTTGGTAGATGCCAGGAGAATTAAAAGGATATATGCCAAAACAATCTACATTTTTTAAATCAAAATTTCCCTCTCCTTTTTGGGGATTGGGATATCCTTAATAAAGGTGTAGAGATTAGAATATAATCAGTGTTTAAAGCTATATGCAATCATAATTTCTTCCAGATGGTGATACCTTCTTTGGGAACATTGAGGAAATACCATCAGGCAGGAGAGGGAGAAGGTAGGGAAAAAAAAAGAGAGATAAATAGGAAAAAAAGTGAACACAATTTAGGTGAATCATCAAGTATAGTAATGTGGCTGGACAAAGTGGTTAGAGTGTTCTATACTAATAAGATCAAGTTTTCATAGTGTTGCTCAACATTTCTCTATTATTAATAATTTTCTGTTTGTTCCATAATATTTGAGAGGGAAGTGTTGGAATCTCTAATTGCAGTTGTAAAAATTATCTATTTCTCCTTCTAGTTCCATCAGTTTTTGCTTCATGTATTTTGAAATTCTAGTATTGGCTTCT
The DNA here is from genome assembly GCF_000001405.40 of Homo sapiens. Lineage (NCBI taxonomy): Eukaryota > Metazoa > Chordata > Mammalia > Primates > Hominidae > Homo > Homo sapiens. The sequence continues at coordinate 183,907,506 of NC_000002.12, forward strand.
TGCTATATTGACCCCTTTATGATGAGAAAATGACTTTCTTCATTCTTGGTAATATTTCTTGCTCTGAAATATACATTGTATGATATTAATAAAGAAACCCTAGGTTTTAAAAATGTTGTGTGACATATATTTTCCATCTTTTTACATTTAACCTAATCTCTTTATATTTGCATTGCTGTGGTTCAGTTAGCATATAATTATCTTGCTTTTTATCCAATTTAAAACTCTCTGTCTTTTAGAGTGATTATATGATTTGTGTTTAATCAAGTTCACTTATGATGGAGTTTAAACCTATCATCTTTCTATTTGTTTTCTTTTGCTGCTTCTATTTTTTGGTCCTCTTTTTTCATGTTTTTCAGACTTCCATGATATGAATATTTTGATTTCATTTAACTTTCACTAAAGAAATAGCAACTATACTTCTTTGTTTTGTTTTTAAGCAACAAGTTTAAAAGTTTGTTTAAATGAGTAAAATCCATTTTATATTTACTATGTAATTACAATTTCTCATTACCTGTATTCATTTGTTAGAAAATTTTATCCAGTATCATTTTTTCTCTCTCAAATTTTCTTTAGCATTATTTAATACAAGCTTGTTAGAAATGAATGATTTAACACTGTTTTAAGATGGTTCAATTTTCTAAATCTCATAGCTTCTGATAAGAACTCTGCTGTCATTCTTATATTTTCTTTTATGTATAATGTGTTCTGCCAACCTCCTTTGTTTGTTTTTAAGATTTTCTCTTTTTTTTTTGAGACAGAGTCTCGCTCTGTCGCCCAGGCTGGAGTGCAGTGGCACCATCTTGGCTGACTGCAAGCTCCTCCTCCCGGGTTCATGCCATTCTCCTGCCTCAGCCTCCCGAGTAGCTGGGACTACAGGTGTCCACCATCATGCCCGGCTAATTTTTCTTATTTTTAGTAGAGACGGGGTTTCACCATGTTGGCCAGGATGGTCTCGATCTCCTGACCTCGTGATCCACCCGCCTTGGCCTCCCAAAGTGTTGGGATTACAGGAGCGAGCCACCGCGCCTTTATTGTAGTTTTTAGAAATTTGATTATGTACCTTACTGTGCTTTTTTTTTTTCTCCTTAGAGTTTTTTGTTTTTCTCAGTCTGTGGCTTTATAGTTTTTTTCTTCAAGATAACTATCATTAAAAATTTGTGGCCATTATTTTTTCTAATTATTTTGTGCTCTCTATTCTCTTTCTTCTCCACATACACTACTGACACATATTTATACTGCTTAATATTATCCTGCAGGTCATTGATGCATTATTCATTTCTTTTGTAGGCTCTTTTACCTCAACATTTCATGTAAATAGTTGATAGTCTCTTTTTGTTCATGCAAGTTGAGTATTCCTAATCTAAAAATCTGAAATCGAAAATGCTACAAAATCCAAAACACTCCAAACCTGAAACTTTTGAGCACTGAAATGACACTCAAAACAAATGCTTATCCAACTATTTTGGATTTGGGATTTTCAAATTAGGAATGCTCAACCAATAAGTATAATATAAGTATTCCCAAATCTGAAAGAAATCTTAAATCCTAAAACCACTTCTGGGCCCATGCATTTTGCATAAGTGATGCTCACCTGTATTTCTTTTGAATTGTGTCTCTGCACTTCACTCTGGATATCTTCAAGGTTCCTAACCGTCTCTACTTCAGTTTCTAATATGTTATTAATTCCATCTAGTATAATTTTTCTCACACATAGTTTTCATCTCTAGAAGTTTAATTTTAGCATTTTAAAATCTCGTTCTCCCCTCATCATATTCATGTGTTTCTCTATCTTCTTGACATATAGTTTATATCTGTAATACTTGACTTTACTTACTTGCCTACTAATTCTATGATTTATGTCATTTCTGAGTCAGAATCTACTCACCAATTTTCCTCCTGGTTATGGTTTATATATTGTTTTGTTTTTTGAATGCTTATAAAGTTGTTATTTGATTCCAGAATTATTAAGTTTACTTTGTTGGCTATAAGCTTTCATTTTTTTCTATAAATATTGCTGGGCTTTATTCTGTGGTACAGTCAAGTTTCTTGCTTTCAGTATAATCTTTTCAGGATTTGTTTTCGACCTTCCTAAGAGTGAGTCTATAATAGCTTTTAGTCTAGTACTGTTTGGTCACACTAATGAGGAAAAACAGTTCTGATGACTCTATTCAATAAGGTCTAATCTATTAGGAGAATTTTTTACTCTAGCTGATGGGATCATGTACATTTACTTTAGCTGATGGGATCTGTGTGCATTCCAGTATTTGTATTGTGACATTTTATTGTTGTTCTTTCTCTGGCTTTGGTTCATTTTTTTCACATATATGCACAAAATAGTACTCAGCCAAAGGCTTGAGGGGACCCTTCTGCAAATCCTGGAACAATCTCTCTGTGTGTCTCTTTGTGTAGCTTTTTCTTCTTGAGTATTTTGTCTCTCTCATTCTAGCCAGGTTGATCTCTTAGAACCATATTTTTTCTTTATAATTTAAAAGGCTGCATCTTCCCCTCTGTGCTGTGCCCAGAAACACTCTTCAGACAGTAAGATGAGTTAACTGTAGATCTCTCTTCATTTGTTTCTCTTATCTAAGGGATCACCTTGCTGCCAGTTGTCCAATGTCTTAAAACTGTCGCTTCCCATATTCCGCCTCATTTTTTAGTTGTTTAAAATGAGAGAGTGTCTCATAACTCCATCATAGCCCAGAGTGGAATTTTCTAAGGGTGTCTGTTAGACACCATTAATTTAAATAAGGTCCAGTTTTTCAATTTTGTTTTTGACGTTAATGTTTTTGTCTCTTATTTTTTTCTTAGAAACTATGTGTAATCTAAGATTCTAAGGGTGTTCTCATATATTTATTTCTATAACTGTATTTTTCACATTTATACTCATGATTTATTTCAAATTAATCTCTATGATAGCATTGATAGTGATTTAATCTGGGATTATTTTATTTCAACCTATTAAATTACCTAAATTTAATTCTGAACAATCCAATAATTTTGTGACAGTTTATTTGCATTTATTTCTGAATTCTGTCCTTTAATAGACAGCATTAGAAATGTTCACTCTTGGCTATGATGGAGTAAGAGAGATTGCATTTACTCTCCTAATTTACACAACTAGAAAATTATAAAATATATATATATATAAGTTGATTATTTACATTTAAAAAAATAGATGATGTTTATTAGCTCAATTCCATTCAGTCATACTTTGTATAGAGCTGAGAGTTCTCTAGATCTAAGTAAATTCTCCACTTTTTTTTTTTCTCTTTGACGCCAAGTCATTCTTTTTCTCAATCTAGTTCAGTGAAATTTCGTTTGGCTGTATTTTAGTTGACCACATGGATCACCAAAACATTAATTGTTGAAACAAGTCCTATTTATCTTTAGTTGCATTAAAAATTTGTATTTATCATAAATTGAGTGAAGTTTAATATATTTTTATGTGCTTAAGAGCCACTTTATTTCTTTTACTTTTTTGTGTACCATTTGTTTACAAATTTTGGCAATATTTTTATGTCTTAATTTTTGATATTTTATTTATTAATTTATAGTAGCTGTTTGTATTTCAAAGAAAGTAGACCCTTGGCTTTGATATTAGTTGCAGATATTTTAAATTCTTATCTAAAAATAAAATTTTAAATAAAATAAAGTAACCCCTTTAGTATTAGTTGTAGATATTTTAAAATATTATTTATATTGTAACTTTTCTTTAAGTATGCCTACTTAATTATTGTAGGATAAAAATGGAAGTAAAGAAATTTGAAGGCAAATATTAAAGGTACTGGGGAGTGAACACTAAAGGATCAGAAAGATGCCTTTTGATACTTGCAAAGGCTTTAGAGTCAGACTGTGTATGTTTCAGTCTGGGATCTACCTCTTATATTGTAGGTTTAGACAAGTTGCTAAATGTTTCTTGTCCCAGTCTTCTCATCTACAAAATGGCAAAATTAGTGCACAAGCCTCATGGGAAAACAACTTTAACATGGCTCATTGAAGGTGCTTTGTTAGCTATTTATGAGTGCTAGGACAAAAGCCTTCTTGTATACTGACACTTCACATAGGGGAAAATGTCAGAGGAATAAAATCTTAGATTTAAAAATTCTTAAAATATCTTTCAGAATACAAATTTTTGAAGCTGACTTTAAATTGAGTTAAGGCTGCAAAAATACTATTATAAAGGGTATTTTAAAATCTTCCTCAATTGAATAACTGTATGATCTAATTTAAATAGCCTGTTTTATCTCAGGGTTTTATTAGCATAAAAGAGATTCACATTATTATCATTATCATTCTTACTGTCATTTGCTTTATCTAAATAGTCATTTCAGACTAGCAGTGTAATAGAGAAACTCTGTTGAGAACCTCATTCCAATTGTGGGCTATTCAAAACTTACTAAAAATGTTTTGCATCGTCTTTTTAATACTTTTTCATAATCAAAACTTTGAAGATTAATTTTAGCCTCAATATAATATAAACATTAATTAGCATATAATACCTTTTACATTATTTTTCATAGTTTTTTTGTTCACAATTGTGGATTGTAAAGTATGCTAATTACCAAGGTAAATGTCAGATGAATCACAAAAACTGGCTTTAGACACTGATATTATTAATTCATGTAATTAATTTAGCTATATGATAGCCCCTTCCTACTGTGATAAACACTGACAATTACATATTTGGCACCCTACTATAATCTTATTGCATGAATATCTTACTCATTTAAAATCATCGTTGTATACATAATATAGCTACATTTATCTAGGTAGCTACCTATGTATCTATCTATCCATTCATCCAGATGCTGTGAGATATTATAAATTATTGTAAGCTAAATATATTCCATGTCTTCTTTTTACCTCCTTAAATGTTGACCTAAATGACATTTATGGTACATTAAATCTTTTGGGGCTCAGAAAGTGATACCCCAAAGTATGGCATTTCAGGATGCTAAGTACTTCAACCTAAAGGACATTGGAGAGACCTCAGAAGAAAAGTTTCTTTCTGACTTCCTTCTCTCCTTCTTTCTCCTGCTTCTCTTTGTTTCCCAAGGCAGGCCATAGGATTCCTCTTCCCCCAAAGTGGGTCATAGGATGTAGAAACATTACTCTAACCTTTTCTCAGTTTTCTGCTTAGGACTTAGAATAAAGAAATTCTCTGACTTACCCTACTCTAATAATAAGCCATATAATCATAATTCCAGAGTGATCCTGGCCCATTTTTGGGAGAAAGAAATGTTACAAAAGAGAAGCCAAGAAGAATATGATCAGAAAACCATTGCTGGGTTTCCCCACTTAATCTATTTCCATTGGGTTATTCCCTTTTATCTAATCACCTTTTGACGCAGCTGTCCATGCTTCATCACACTTAAGTATAAAAATAGACAGTATTCTCTGAGTGTTTGAGGTTTTCATTTTTGAAGTCTTCTGTGTCATGTAAAACTTTGATTAAACAAGCCTGTTATGGTCTCCTTTTGTTAACCAGTCTTTTTTATAGGACTGTTGGGCGTAACCCCTATGATGGGATAGGAGAGTTGTCACACCTTACTGACCCTACACATTCAACAACAGAAAAATACAAACTATTTTTAATGAGAAAAATAGTATTGCTTTTTTTAATAGTAATTTTTTTAAATTTTATCATTATTATACTTTAAGTTTTAGGGTACATGTGCACAACCTGCAGGTTTGTTACATATGTATACATGTGCCATGCTGGTGTGCTGCACCCATTAACTTGTCATTTAGCATTACGTATATCTCCTAAGGCTATCCCTCTCCCCGCCCCTCACCCCACAACAGTCTCCGGTGTGTGACGTTCCCCTTCCTGTGTCCATGTGTTCTCATTGTTCAATTCCCACCTATGAGTGAGAATATGCCGTGCTTGGTTTTTTGTCCTTGTGATAGTTTGCTGAGAGTGATGGTTTCCAGTTTCATCCATGTCCCTACAAAGGACGTGAACTCATCATTTTTTATGGTTGCATAGTATTCCATGGTGCATATGTGCCACATTTTCTTAATCCAGTCTATCGTTGTTGGACATTTATGTTGGTTCCAAGTCTTTGCTATTGTGAATAGTGCCGCTATAAAATACATGTGCATGTGTCTTTATAGCAGCATGATTTATAATCCTTTGGGTATATACCCAGTAATGGGATGGCTGGGTCAAATGGTATTTCTAGTTCTAGATCCCTGAGGAATTGCCACACGGACTTCCACAATGGTTGAACTAGTTTACAGTCCCACCAACAGTGTAAAAGTGTTCCTATTTCTCCACATCCTCTCCAGCACCTGTTGTTTCCTGACTTTTTAATGATTGCCATTCTAACTGGTGTGAGATGGTATCTCATTGTGGTTTTGATTTGCATTTCTCTGATGGCCAGTGATGGTGAGCATTTTTTCATGTGTTTTTTGGCTGCGTAAATGTCTTCTTTTGAGAAGTGTATGTTCATATCCTTTGCCCACTTTTGGATGGGGTTGTTTGTTTCTTTCTTGTAAATTTGTTTGAGTTCATTGTAGATTCTGGATATTAGCCCTTTGTCAGATGAGTAGGTTGCAAAAATTTTCTCCCATTCTGTAGGTTGCCTGTTCACTCTGATGGTAGTCTCTTTTGCTGTGCAGAAGCTCTTTAGTTTAATTAGATCCCATTTGTCAATTTTGGCTTTTGTTGCCATTGCTTTTGGTGTTTTACACATGAAGTCCTTGCCCATGCCTATGTCCTGAATGGTATTGCCTAGGTTTTCTTCTAGGGTTTTTATGGTTTTAGGGCTAACATCTAAGACTTTAATCCATCTTGAATTAATTTTTGTATAAGGTGTAAGGAAGGGATCCAGTTTCAGCTTTCTACATATGGCTAGCCAGTTTTCCCAGCACCATTTATTAAATAAGGAATCCTTTCCCCATTGCTGTTTTTCTCAGGTTTGTCAAAGACCACATAGTTGTAGATATGCAGCATTATTTCTGAGGGCTCTGCACTGTTCCATTGGTCTATATCTCTGTTTTGGTACCAGTACCATGCTGTTTTGGTTACTGTGGCCTTGTACTATAGTTTGAAGTCAAGTAGCATGATGCCTCCAGCTTCATTCTTTTGGCTTAGGATTGACTTGGCGATGCAGGCTCTTTTTTGGTTCCATATGAACTTTAAAGTAGTTTTTTCCAATTCTGTGAAGAAAGTCATTGGTAGGTTGATGGGGATGGCATTGAATCTATAAATTACCTTGGGCAGTATGGCCATTTTCATGATGTTGATTCTTCCTACCCATGAGCATGGAATGTTCTTCCATTTATTTGTATCCTCTTTTATTTCATTGAGCAGTGGTTTGTAGTTCTCCTTGAAGAGGTCCTTCACGTCCCTTGTAAGTTGGATTCCTAGGTATTTTATTCTCTTTGAAGCAATTGCAAATGGGAGTTCACTCATGATTTGGCTCTCGGTTTGTCTGTTATTGGTATATAAGAATGCTTGTGATTTTTGTACATTGATTTTGTATCCTGAGACTTTGCTGAAGTTGCTTATCAGCTTAAGGAGATTTTGGGCTGAGATGATGGGGTTTTCTAGATATACAATCATGTCATCTGCAAACAGGGACAATTTGACTTCCTCTTTTCCTAATTGAATACCCTTTATTTCCTTCTCCTGCCTGATTGCCCTGGCCAGAACTTCCAACACTATGTTGAATAGGAGTGGTGAGAGGGGGCATCCCTGTCTTGTGCCTGTTTTCAAAGGGAATGCTTCCAGTTTTTGCCATTCAGTATGATATTGGCTGTGGGTTTGTCATAGATAGCTCTTATTATTTTGAGATATGACCCATCAATACCTAATTTATTGAGAGTTTTTAGCATGAAGCGTTGTTGAATTTTGTCAAAGGCCTTTTCTGCATCTATTGAGATAATCATGTTGTCTTTGTCTTTGGTTCTGTTTATATGCTGGATTACATTTATTGATTTGCATTTGTTGAACCAGCCTTGCATCCCAGGGATGAAGCCCACTTGATCATAGTGGATAGGCTTTTTGATGTGCTGCTGGATTTGGTTTGCCAGTATTTTATTGAGGATTTTTGCATTGATGTTCATCAAGGATATTGGTCTAAAATTCTCTTTTTTGGTTGTGTCTTTGCCAGGCTTTGGTATCATGATGATACTGGCCTCATAAAATGAGTTAGGGAGGATTCCCTCTTTTTCTATTGATTGGAATAGTTTCAGAAGGAATGGTACCAGCTCCTCTTTGTACCTCTGGTAGAACTTGGCTATGAATCCATCTGGTCCTGGACTTTTTTTGGTTGGTAAGCTATTGATTATTGCCTCAATTTCAGAGCCTGTTATTGGTCTATTCAGAGATTCAACTTCTTCCTGGTTTAGTCTTGGGAGGATGTATGTATTGAGGAATTTATCCATTTCTTCTAGATTTTCTAGTTTATTTGCATAGAGGTGTTCATAGTATTCTCTGATGGTAGTTTGTATTTCTGTGGGATCGGTGGTGATATCCCCTTTATGATTTTTTATTGCATCTATTTGATTCTTCTCTCTTTTCTTCTTTATTAGCCTTGTTAGTGGTCTATCAATTTTGTTGATCTTTCCAAGAAACCAGCTCCTGGATTCATTAATTTTTTGAAGGGTTTTTTGTGTCTCTATTTCCTTCAGTTCTGCTCTGATTTTAGTTATTTCTTGCCTTCTGCTAGCTTTTGAATGTGTTTGGGCGCCTGCCATTGCCAAGTTAGTTGTTTGATTAGGTACACAAAGCCTCCCAGAAGCTCGAACTGGGTGGAGCCCAACACAGCTCAAGGAGGCCTGCCTGCCTCTGTAGGCTCCACCTCTGGGGGCAGGACACAGACAAACAAAAAGACAGCAGTAACCTCTACAGACTTAAACGTCCCTCTCTGACAGCTTTGAAGAGAGTAGTGGTTCTCCCAGCATGCAGCTTGAGATCTGAGAACGGGCAGACTGCCTCCTCAAGTGGGTCCCTGACCCCCGAGTAGCCTAAGTGGGAGGCACTCCCCAGTAGGGGTGGACTGACACCTTACACAGCTGGGTACTCCTCTGAGACAAAACTTCCAGAGGAACGATCAGGCAGCAGCATTTGCGGTTCACCAAAATCCGCTGTTCTGTAGCCACTGCTGCTGATACCCAGGCAAACAGGGTCTGAAGTGGACCTCTAGCAAACTCCAACAGACCTGCAGCTGAGGATCCTGTCTGTTAGAAGGAAAACTAACAAACAGAAAGGACATCCACACCAAAACCCATCTGTACGTCACCATCATCAAAGACCAAAGGTAGATAAAACCACAAAGATGGGAAAAAAACAGAGCAGAAAAACTGGAAACTCTAAAAATCAGAGTGCCTCTCCTCCTCCAAAGGAATGCAGCTCCTTACCAGCAACGGAACAAAGCTAGACAGAGACTGACTTTGATGAGTTGAGAGAAGAACACTTCAGATGATCAAACTACTCCGAGCTACAGGAGGAAATTTGAACCAATGGCAAAGAAGTTAAAAGCTTTGAAAAAAAATTGGACAAATGGATAACTAGAATAACCAATGCAGAGAAGTCCTTAAAGGACCTGATGGAGCTGAAAACCAAGGCATGAGAGCTACGTGATGAATGCACAAGCCTCAGTAGCCAATGTGATCAACTGGAGGAAAGGGTATCAGTGATGGAGGACGAAATGAATGAAATGAAGTGAGAAGAGAAGTTTAGAGAAAAAAGAATAAAAAGAAATGAACAAAGCCTCCAAGAAATATGGGACTATGTGAAAAGACCAAATCTACATCTGATTGGTGTACCTGAAAGTGACAGGGAGAATGGAACCAAGTTGGAAAACACTCTGCAGGATATTATCCAGGAGAATTTCCCCAAACTAGCAAGGCAGGCCAAAATTCACATTCAGGAAATACAGAGAACACCACAAAGATACTCCTTGAGAAGAGCAACTCCAAGACACATAATTGTCAGATTCACCAAAGTTGAAACGAAGGAAAAAATGTTAAGGGCAGCCAGAGAGAAAGGTCGGGTTACCCACAAAGGGAAGCCCATCAGACTAACAGCGGATCTCTCCGCAGAAACTCTACAAGCCAGAAGAGAGTGGGGACCAATATTCAACATTCTTAAAGAAAAGAATTTTCCACCCAGAATTTCATATCCAGCCAAACTAAGCTTCATAAGTGAAGGGGAAATAAAATACTTTACAGACAAGCAAATACTGAGAGATATTGTCACCACCAGGCCTGCCCTAAAAGAGCTCCTGAAGGAAGCACTAAACATGGAAAGGAACAACTGGTACCAGCCACTGCAAAAACATGACAAATTGTAAAGACCTTCAAGGCTAGGAAGAAACTGCATCAACTAACGAGCAAAATAACCAGCTAACATCATAATGACAGGATCAAATTCACACATAACAATATTAACTTTAAATGTAAATGGGCTAAATACTCCAATTAAAAGACACAGACTGGCAAATTGGATAAAGAGTCAAGACCCATCAGTGTGCTGTATTCAGGAAACCCATCTCACGTGCAGAGACACACATAGGCTCAAAATAAAAGGATGGAGGAAGCTCTATCAAGCAAATGGAAAACAAAAAAAGGCAGGGGTTGCAATCCTAGTCTCTGATAAAACAGACTTTAAACCAACAAAGATCAAAAGAGACAAAGAAGGCCATTACATAATGGTAAAGGGATCAATTCAACAAGAAGAGCTAACCTAAATATATATGCACCCAATACAGGAGCACCCAGTTTCATAAAGCAAGTCCTTAGTGACCTACAAAGAGACTTAGACTCCCACACAATAATAATGGGAGACTTTAACACCCCACTGTCAACATTAGACAGATCAACGAGACAGAACGTTAACAAGGATACCCAGGAATTGAACTCAGGTCTGCACCAAGCTGACCTAATAGACATCTACAGAACTCTCCACCCCAAATCAACAGAATATACATTCTATTCAGCACCATACCACACCTACTCCAAAATTGACCACATAGTTGGAAGTAAAGCACTCCTCAGCAAATGTAAAAGAACAGAAATTATAACAAACTGTCTCTCAGACGACAGTGCAATCAAACTAGAACTCAGGATTAAGAAACTCACTGAAAACTGCTCAACTACATGGAAACTGAACAACCTGCTCCTGAACAACTACTGGGTAAAGAATGAAACAGAAATAAAGATGTTCTTTTAAACCAATGAGAACAAAGACACAGCATACCAGAATCTCTGGGACACATTCAAAGCAGTGTGTAGAGGGAAATTTATAGCACTAAATGCCTACAAGAGAAAGCAGGAAAGATCTAAAATTGACACCCTAACATCACAATTAAAAGAACTAGAAAAGCAAGATAAAAATAGTATTTCTTATGATAGACCACACTGTGGATAATAAGAAATGCCTCAATGCATCTGATAAGGATTCAAATCATGCAAATCATCATTGATAACAGTAGTGGAATATATTTAGAAATCTATAATAATCTGAAAATGTCCATCTTAGTTTATCTTCTGTTGCTATACCAGAATAAAGTCATACATCACTTAAGAGAGTTTTTTTTCTGTGAAATGTGTCTTTAGATTATTTCATCATTGTGCAAATAACAGACAGAATGTACTTACACAAACCTAGATGATATAGCCTACTACACACCTAGGCTATATAGTACAGTCTATTGCTTCTAGGCTATAAGCCTATACAGCATGTTATTGTATGGACTCCTGTAGGTGATTGTAACACAATGGTAAGTATTTGTATATCTAAATGTAGAAAACGTGCAATAAAAATACAGTATAAACAATAAAAACTGATACACTTGTATAGAATACCACCAATGGAGCTTGCAGGATGAGAAGTTGTTCTGGGTGAGTCAGTGAGTGAATAGTGGATGAATGTGAAAGTTTAGGACATTACTGTACACTACTGTAGACTTTATAAACACTGTGCACTTAGGCTACACTAAATTTATTTAACATTTTTTTCTTCAATAGGAAATTAACCTTTGCTTACTATAACATTTTTACTTTACAAAATTAATTTAAAAAACTTTTTGACTCTTCTGTAATAACACTTAGCTTAAAACACAAACACATCGAACAGCTGTAAAGATATTTTCTTTCCTTATATCCTTATTCTGTGAACTTTTCTATTTAATTTTTTTTAATTTTAAAGTTTTTCATTAAAAAGTGAGACAAACACTCACATTAATCTAAGCCTACACAGGGTCAGAATTATCAACATTCCTCTCTTTCACTTCCACATCTTATTAACACTGGAAGGTCTTCAAGAGCAATATCATGCATGGAGCTGACATCTTCTATGTTAACAATTCCTTCATTTGGAATACCTCCTGAAAGACCTGCCTGAGGCTACTTTACAGTTAATTGTTTTTTAAGTAGAAAGAGTACACTCTAAAATTATGATAAAATATATAGTATAGAAAATAGATAAATCAGCAACATAGTTGTTTTTCAACTTTTACCAAATATTATGTACTGGGTATAATTGTATGTGGTATACTTTTGTAAGACTTGACACTATAATAGGTTTGTTTATACTAGCATCACCACAAACACAGGAGTAATGCATTGCACTACAATGTTACAACAGCTATGATGTCACTAGATGACAGGAATATTTTTAGTTTCGTTATTATCTTATGAGATCACCATCAAATATGTGGTCCATTATTGACTGCAACATCCTTATGCATGCATGATTGCAACATAGACTGGGTAATTTATAGAGAAAATAAGATTATTTAGCTCACAGTTCTGGATGCTGCGAAGTCCAAGAGCATTGCATTGGCATCTATTGAGGGTCTTTTTGCTACATCATAAATTGGCAGAGGGCATCAAATGATAAAAAGCCAAGAGCAAGAATGGCAGAAAGAACTTGATTTTATAACAAATCCACTCTTGTGAAAAGGCACCTATTACCGTGATTGTGACATTAATTCATTCACGAGGGCAAAGGAATTAAGTTTCCAATACATAAACTTTTGGAGAACACATTGATATTATATACTTTTCCAAATATTTAGAAGCTAAAACTTACTCATGTACATCTAAATAATTCATGGGTCAAATAAGAAATTATAACAAAAATATGGAAATACTTTTAGTAAATACAAATTCAAAACAACATTAAGTATGTGAGATGCAGCTATTGCAGTGCTTAGCAGTAAGTTTTAACACACCCAATAAACACATATTTTAGGACAGTAGAAAAGTCCAAAATCTATAACTTGGTTTTCTGCCTTAAATGAGAAAAAGATGAGTTAAACGTAAGTAAGCAGAAAAGACATAATAATAAAGATTAGAGGAGAGTTTAAAAAACAGAAAAAAAAAATAGAGAAACTTAGTGAAAACAAAAACTTGTCTTTGAAGGGATCAATCTAACTGATAAAACAATAGCCAAGACTGATTAGGGTAAAAAGGAAACACACGAATGGTCAATATTAGAAATGAGAGAGGGGACATTATCACAGTTCCTACAGACACTTAAAAGATACTGTGGAAGTATTATTAACAACAAATAAATTCAACCACTTAGATGAAATTGATGAATTCCTATGAAAGTTCACTTAAGAAAAACACGGATTACCTAACATGCTCTACTAAGAAAAATAAATTTGTAGTTAAAAGCTTCACACACAAACACACACACACACACACACACACACACACACACACACATCTCTAGGCTCAGATTCCTGTGCTGGTAAGTCTTACAAAATATTTAAGGAAGAAAGAATGTGTGTATTACATAACTTTTCTAGGAAATTGAAGAGAAATAAATACTTTTAAACTCATTCCATGATGCCAACATCTCCCTACTACCAAAACCTGAAAAGGACATTAAATAGAGAATTACAGAAAAATATTCCTCATAAACACAGATAAAATTTTTAGACAAAATGTTAACAAATTAAATCTAACAATATAGAAAAACGAAAAAATATGATAAATCTGCCTTATATTAGCAACGAAAAGTTGTATTAATTTATGTAATTTACCACATTAACATGCTTAAAACATAAAACTCACATAATCTCAGTACACACACAAAAATTGGATATTAAGTCAACATATATACATGAAGAAAAACTCTGAGTAAACTAGAGAACAAAGGGAACCGCAATCTGATAAAGGGCTTTACTTTAAATCTATATATAGCTCGTATCATTCTAGATAATGAGAGTGCTTTCTCTCTGATATGGTTGGGCTTTGTGTCTCCACTCAAATCCCATCTTGAATTGTAGTCCCCATAATCTTGTGTCATGGGAGGGACCTGGTGGGAAATAATTGAATCATGGGGGCGGTGACCCCCATGCTGTTCTTGTGATAGTGAGTGAGTTCTCACAAGAACTGATCGTTTTATAAGGAGCTTTTCCCCCTTTGCTGAGCACTTCTCCTTCCTTCCACCATGTAAAGAAGGACGTGTTTGCTTCACCTTCTGTAATGATTGTAAGTTTCCTGAGCCCTCCCCAACCCTACCGAACTGTGAGTCAACTGAGCCTCTTTCCTTTATAAATTACAGAGTCTCAGGCAGCTCTTTATATTAGTACCAGAATGGACTAATACAACTCTCTAAGATTGGGAATAGGACAAAAATATCTCATCTTATCCACATCTTACTGGTAGCTTCTGCAGTACTATCAGGAAATAAAAGTAAATTATTTAATATAAAGATAGGAAAGAAGGAAGTAAAATGTCTTTATTCTCAGACAGCATGGTCATTTATGTAGAAAATCTAAGGAAACTACAGAATCTGTTAGAAATAAATATGAGTTACAAGTTTGCAGTATAAAGAAATAATATTCAAAAATAGATTTTATTTCTGTATACATCCAACCAGCAATTGGAAAATTAAATGAAAAACAAAGCCAATTACACTAATATAAAGTTACAAAATATTTAGGGATAAATTTGAATGAAAGATGTTCAACACTCATACACTGAATTCTACAACAGAATTGTTGAGAGAAGTTAAATACTACATATATATATATATACACCATGCTCATAGATTGGAAAATACAATATTTTAAAAATATATTTTCCCAAATCCATATTAAGAGTCAGCATAATCCCAATAAAAATCCAAGCAGAATTTTCTTATAAAAATTAACAAGATGACTCTAAAATTTACATGGAAATGCAAAGTATCTAAAATAGCCAGAAAGTTTGAAATATAATAATAAAGTTTGAGATTTACTCTACTGGTCTTCAAGGCTTAGAATAAATCTATAGTAGCCAAGACAACTTAAAATTGATATGCAAGCAGATGATTAGATTAATGAAACAGAATAGAGTACACAAAGAGACCTACAGATATATGGCCAACAAATTTTTAACAAAGGTTTCCAGGGTGATTTTATACAGAAAATGAAATCTCTAAACAAATGATGCTGAAACAATGATAGCCATTAAAAACAAAACAAAGAAAGCTTTAACTTTTTTCTTAAACCACAGACAAAAAATTAACTTGACATTGGTATAGAACCAAATGTAAAATTTATAAACTTCCAGAAGAAAACAGAAGAATATCTTGGTGACTTCTGGTATGACAATTTTTTTTTCTTTTTGAGACAGGGTCTCACTCTTTCACCCAGACTGGAGTGTAGTGGCCCAGTCTTGGCTCACTGCAACCTCTGCCTCCTAGGCTCAAGGGATTCTCCTGCCTCAGCCTCCTGAGTAGCTGGGATTACAGGTGCATTCCCCTACCGCCCAGCTAATTTTTGTATTTTTAGTAGAGACGGGATTTCACCATGTCGCCCAGACTTGTCTCAAACTCCTGACCTCAAACGATCATCCGCCTTAGCCTCCCAAAGTGCTGGGATTAGAGGCATGAGCCATCATGCCCAGGAGACAAATATTTTTTAAAAAGAAACAAACAACAAGAAATATAAAAGAAAATAATCAATAAACTGGACTTTACAAAAATTTTAAATACTTGCTCTTCATAAGACACTGTTAAGAATATAAAAGGCAAGACACACTCTGAGACAAAATATTTGTAATATATAACCAATAATTTTTATTTAGAATATATAAAAGTACTCTTACAACTCAAGAATAAGGACACAAACCAAACTTCAAACTATACTTCAAGGCTACAGTAACCAAAACAGCATAGTACTGATACAAAACCAGACACACAGACCAATGGAACCAAATAGATAACCCAGAAATAAGTCCACACAACTACAACTGTCTGAGCTTCAACAAACCTGACAAAAACAAGCAATGGGGAAAGGATTCCCTATTTAATAAATGGTGCTGGGAGAACTGGCTAGCCATATGCAGAAAATTGAAACCGGACCCCTTACTAACACATTATACAAAATTTAACCCAAGATGGATTAAAGACTTAAATGTAAAACCCAAAACAATAAAAACTCTAGAAGAAAATCTAGGCAATACCATTCAGGACATAGGCACAGGCAAAGATTTCATGACAAAATTTCCAAAACCAATCACAACAAGCAGTAATTGAAAAATGGATCTAATTAAACTAAAGAGCTTCTGCATAGCAAAGGAAACTATCAATAGAATGAACAGGCAACCTACGGAGTGGGATAAAAATTTTGCAATCTATCTATCTGACAAAGGTTTAATGCCCAGAATCTACCAGGAACTTAAACAAATTTACAAGGAAAAGACAACCCCATTTAAATGTGGGCAAAGGACATGAACAGATACTTCTCAAAAGAAAACATTCATGCAAGCAACAAACATGAAAAAAAACCTCAACATCACTGATCATCAGAGAAATGCAAATCAAAACCACAATGAGATACTATCTCATGCCAGTTAGAATTATGATTATTAAAAGTCAAGAAACAACAGATGCTGGTGAAGTTGTGGAGAAATAGGAACGCTTTTAATCCATTGTTGAGAATGTAAATTAGTTCAATCATTGTGGAAGATGGTGTTTTGATTCCTGTAGGACCTAGAACCAGAAATACCATTTGACCCAGCAATCCCATTACTTGGTATATACCCAAATGAATATAAATCATTCTATTACAAAGATACATGCATGTGTATGTTCACTGCAGCACTAGTCACAATAGCAAATACATGGAATCAACCCAAATGCCCATCAATGATAGACTGGATAAAGAAAATGTGGTGCATATTCACCATGGAATACTATGCAGCCATAAAAACGAATGAGGTCATGTCCTTTGCAGGGACATGGATGAAGCTGAAAGCCATTACCCTCAGCAAATTAACACAGGAACAGAAAGCCAAATACCACATGTTCTCATTTATAAGTAGAAGCTGAACAATGAGAGCCCATGGACACAGGGAGGGAAACAACACATGCTGGGGCCTGTTGGAGTGTGGGTCGGTGGGAAGGAGAGCATTAGAAAAAAATAGCTAATGTATGCTGGGCTTAATACATAGGTCATGGATTGATAGGTGCAGCAAATCACCATAGCACACGTTTACCTATGTAACAAACCTGCACATCTGGCACATGTACCCCAGAACTTAAAATTAAAATTAAAATAAAAAAGATTCAGACATTTAACTAAAAAACATATGTGGAAAGATGCTCAGCATCATTAATCTTTAAAGAAATGTAAGTTAAAACTATAATTTGATATAACTTTATATCCATTAGCATGGTTATATTAAAAATGTCTTATCAAAGCAAGTGTTGATTAGGATGAGATGCTACTGGAACTATTATGCATTGGTGATAGGAATATAAAATTATATAATCATTTTAAAAATTTTGCATTCTCTTAAAATGTTATATATATTCCTACTGTATATAGCCTAGCAAAACAATCCTAGACATTTACCTAAGAGATAGAAAGTATATGTCCACATAAAGACCTGCACCCAAAGGTTACAGTAGCTTTATTTGTAATAGCCCAAAACCTGGAATTAAAAAAAAAGTGTCCACCAGGAAGTAATAGATGAACAATTTGTGGTAAACCCATAAAATGGACTATTACGCAATCATAAAAAAATAATCAATTAACACATGCAAAACATGGATGGATCCTGAGGTAATTGTGAGTAAAAGAAACTAGAAAAAGAGTTTGATTGAAATCATACTGTATAGACACTTATAAAATTGTAAAACTCATATAAAATTGTAAAAAAGCATACAATTGATAGTGTAAAAAGTAGACCAGTCTTTGTTTGGAGGGAGAGGGATTGAAGAGATATGGATTAGGGACGGACATAAGAAAACTTCTGGGTGTAATGCAAATATGTGTCATCAATATTGCAGTGGTAGTTTCATGTGTATACATATTTGTCAAATATCAAGTTGGATATTTTAAATGTATGCAGTTATTACATGTAAATTATATTTTACTAAAGCTGTTCAATTGATGTTAGCCTCTTCTTAGGAAGTATTTATGCGTCAATGTGCAGAAATTGACATCTTTATTCTATTCATCTTTCTACCCATAAACAAGAGATATCTCTTGATTTATTTAGGTTTCCTTAATATCTTCCAGTAAACTATATATATATATATATATATATATATATATATATAGTAAACTATATATATATATATAGTAAACTATATATATATATAGTAAACTATATATATAGTAAACTATATATATAGTAAACTACATATATATAGTAAACTATATATATATAGTAAACTATATATATATATATGCATATGTGTGTGTGTGTGTGTTTTCATATGGGACATGAAACTGATAGATTTATTTTAGATATTATTATTTACAGTGAACATTAAGCTGTTATACCAAAGAGTCAAACACTACAATGGATGACATAAAGTACAATTACATTTATTTTTCTTATAGTATATATTTGAGTCATTCATCAGGGAAAGATATTGAAAAGCAGGCCTTCCATAGGGGCTAGTTTAGCGATCAGAAAATTAAAGGATTTTAGCAAAAAAGCTTGTTTGATTAATTAATTAATTAATTAATTAAAGCAATTCCCTCAAAGAATAGTCTTCTGGGCTTACAGGTATTTTTATGGATCATTATCTTGCTTTGTTTATGGCTTTTCAGCTTGACCTATCCCAGTTGGCCTTATTTTATTGTTGACTGCTGTGCTGGAAAGTGTTAACTCAGCAGGCCTTGGTTGTGCACACTGTGTACCTTCCCAAGAAAGGTTTTGTGGACTGTCCAGCTCTTAGGAAATAAGTTCTGTGTCTTTGGAATGTTATGCCTGATAGGAGTATTTTTATATGCCTGAGATTTGGGGCAACACTGTTCCAATTTTATCAGATCGTTTATGCTAACAATGTTATTTATAATGAACACCTGCTTTTGTATGCCTGTGGCCTTGGGCCATATGGTGCCAGTTTGATCAGATAGTTTACATCTACAGTATAATATATAATGAGCTCCTGTTTTTGCTCTGAGTAAATGAAGTCAATCACAAGTGCTGCAATGACTATATGACCCCCAGTAAAAACTGTGGACACCAAGGCTCAAATAATCTACCCCAGTTGACAACACTTTGCTTGTACGGCCACTCATCACTCATCATTACTGAGAAAATTACATTTATTTATGCAACTCCACTGGGAGAGGACACTTGAAAACTTGATCTGGTTTCCCCTGGACTTTATCTGCAATTTTCCCTTTGCTCATTTTAATCTGTATCATTTTGCTACGATAAACTATAACCATGAGTATAACAGTCATTTGAGTTCATATGAGTCATGTGAGTTCTTCTAGCCAATCCTTGAGCCTGGGGGTGGTCTGGGGGACCCCTGACACAGCTATCTTGAAGTCATTTCTAATGATAGGCATATTGGGAAGATGAGGTCTTAGCCCCAAACCTTTTATTGTTGGCTCTGAAGTCTTAATTGGCCTTTGAGAAACAATTTGAGCAACATTCATGATTTTTGCAGCTCAGAAGGCACTTTAAAGGTTGTTTTTATTAATGCCTCCAATCAGTGGCTCTCTGTATTCTTGCTGCCTTTTAATGTTTCAGTCTCCTCCCCTTTGACTCTAGCCTTGTTCATGTGTCTTGCTTTGGCCAATGAGAAGTTAGTAAACATAGTACAAATAAAGACTTTTTAAAAAGTTCTTGTACTTTTCTGTTTTCTCCTTGGAACTCTGCCCAGCAGAGGTCATTTCAGCCTAGGAAGCCTCCTCCTGACACACTAGCTGATTATGAATATTTGAAAGACTCCCCAACCTGCCCACCAGCTGACTTACAGATGTTTGATTAATAAACACTTCTTGAGGGTTTTCAGATGGCTTGTTAGGCAACAGCATTATTGTAGTCATAGTTAACAGTAATAGGCCCTAATAATGAATTTTTACTATTTCCATTTTTGTCAACCCACATTAATAATCTGACCTTTTCTACCCTGTTCCCTTAGAACTATATACACTCAAAGCACATGGTCTGACTTCCAAGTGATCATAGTGTAAGCAGACCAGGAGAGTCTCCAGGGATTATAGGAATTTAATAAACTTTAGCAATCAGCCTGTTTCACAGCCTCCTGGCCTGCAGCCTGTTTTTCCCCAAACTCTGTGTGAAATGTAGTTGCCTAGTTGGTTGGAACCAGCTTCCGAAAGACCTCAGCAAAATAGATAGACCCCAGTGAATTTTCCTCATAAGCATACAAAAGTCTCCCCTCCCACGTGAGAGCTATGGCTTCATTACTATAGCATGCAACTTGCGTGCTGGCATAATGACTCACTGAGTCTGCAGCACTAGGATGCCTCCCCTGCATGCAGTGATGCACCCTCTCCCCACTCCATTGCCCATAAAACCCTCCTGTCTGTTTCCCTCCAGGAGATACCGCTTTAGATAATACTCCCAGTGTCCTCCTTACCTGTGCCAAGTAATAAAACTCCTATTGATCAAAACCTGCATTCTCATGGACAGTTGTTTATTACTCACCAGAAGAATTAACCCTGTTTTTTTTATGGGGGGTGGGTAACAAAAGCCTATAGTTTTATCAAATGTTTTTCCATGGCATATTCTAGCCTTAAACATACATTAAAGCCAAATGTGTCTCAACAACTCCTCTGCTTGTATCCTGCTCTGCATTACTATAATTTCTAAATTCAATAATTTATAATAATTCTATATTTCTTTTTGTTTATTTTCTCTTATCTTCATAAAGTTATTTTCACCACATAATTTTAGGGTGATTCCTTAAAAATATAATTGTAATCCTTTGGACACTACTTTCAGAAAAAAATCCAAAACTCTTACATGCTTGGCCTATTAGTCCTATATGATCTGGCCCCCAGCTATCTTTGTGACCTTCTCACCTTTTACTTTTACCCCTTCCCACTCAGTTTCCACTAAGTTTGTGTTCTTGCTGGTCTTCACATTTACCAAGCCAGGAACATCCCTAAGGTCTATGCATTTACTGTTTCCTATACCTGTCTGACTCATGCCCCCAGACATCTACAGGGATTACTCTCACATTTGTTAAAGTATTCTTATGCAGGGCTGAAATTCAGTAAAGCCTGTTAGCAGTCGTCTTCATAATTAATCAGGCACCTATCTATGTAGTAAAGTGAGTATGCCTCAGAAGTTGCTAAATATTCTAATACTGTTAGTGTTAACTTGCCACCTTATCTGGGAAACTTTCCCTGTCCATCCTATTGAAAATAGCATCTGCTTTTACTGCGAAAATATTATTGTTTATATCCCTTTTGCCTGTCTTTTTTCTTCACAGCATGACAACAGCTGTATCTCTCAGAATAGAATGTAACCGTATGAGAACAGTAATCTTCATCTATATTTTAGTTTTGCTCTGAACATAATAGTTCCCCAGTAAATACTTGTTGATCAAATAAATGACTATCTACTCCCATCCTAAGCAAATTGTCTTCAAAATAAGTTAGTTACTTTAGAATAATAAACCCATACAATAGGTTGTTTTATGGTGTTCTTTCTCCGTCCAAGTCCAGTGGAACAAAAAGTGGTAGACATGAGACTTACTAGTCTCATTCATTTTTCAACATTTTCCCACCTCTGTGAGTAGCACACATGCCTCTTTATTTTTCCCAGTATCCAGCATGTGACTGTTATATCAAATGTGTATACCACACCCACAAACATATACACTCTTACCTTCCAGAGCAATAATTCTCCTCAAGAGCACGTTATAAACCCATAAGGAGGAAGAAAACTGTAGTATTAACTGCCTCTAATGGTGAAACTCATTTCTCACAATGAAATTTGAACTTTATTTACATATGTGGAGGAGTTTTAGTTTCCCTAATCCATCCTTAAACGATTATTAAAGAGACTTTCTTAAGTTCTTTTGCTATACCTCCCATAGCCTTTGTGATTTGATTCACTCTGCTTTCACACATGGATCCCTTGACCCCAATCTTTGAAAGACGTTTCAAGTTCAGCTGCTCTCCTTGGTGTCTCTGTCCCCACAGGATAAACTTCTTTGACTAAGTCATTGGAATGGGGGCTGCCCCCAACCCAGGCATCTCTCTGAGTTTTGCAGATCCAGTCAGCCATGTACTTTTGTATGTTTTTCAAAAGGAAAGTGTTGGGCTTTAGATCCTGTGTCCTTCAAATTCCACGTGGCACATATTAAGTGATTCTCTATTTCTCTTGCTTTCCTTCTCTGGGGATCACAAATCTCAGGCCACCCATTTAGTATTTAGGCCTAGTGTGAAAATAATATTTAACTATTGTTCTAAGTTCACCACCTGAGAGGACAGGGAACTTATAATTTTATGTTTCATTAAAATGAAAATAAAGAGCATTTTTAATTTGTAACCCCCTGAGTAACGACTTAGAAACAAATTGTCATTTCATTATAGCATAGACCTTTAGAATTGATTACAACATGCTCAAACAGAGTAATTGAGTGAGCACAAGTTTTTGAAAGATTAATTTCTTTACATTAGTCTTTTTTACATATTGTCAATGCTTTTAGTTTTTTTCTCTCTTTATTTTATCTCATTTATTTTTTAACCAAAGACTGTTGTACCTTGTTGATGAATGTGATTACAATATGTTAAAAAAACGGGGATTTCTATGTTTTGGGGAACATTATAGGCTTCATAAATATCCCTTCTAGAGGCAGAGTCTGTTTATGGGAATTTATCACATTGACAGACATTAATTAAAAAATCTATCTTTCAACAGTCTTAATTATTATGCACAATGCTGATAAAAATATATTATGAATTAAAGACATTTTATTATGTCTCAAATGTAGATAGTAGAAAATCAAAGACACAGATGAGATAAACCACACATGAAAGAATCTTATAGAATAACATACAAAAAAGAAAGTCAGATCATAACAAAAACAAAGTATTTTCTGGTTTAGGGGGAGAGTTAAAAGCAAGTAATTTTACTCAGAAAAACATCCATCCTATAAAGATGAGATTCTATATGAGTCATGTATAAGAAAAGAGAAGAAAAGCCAAAAACATTCTTTACTATTTTCTCTATAAGGAAGAGAAAACTACTTTGAATTCACACTGTGCGAGAATGGTAAGTTATGTTGATTTCTGAGTTGGCTTTCAAAATATCTTATTTTTACAAAGTTCTTCTGAATTAAATTTTAACATTCTCTTCTCTGATTAGGAATGTAAAGATTAAATTTTGTGGCTTAAAAAAAACACCAAACATATACCTGTCTTGTTTCCTCAGCTATAAAAAGTAGAAGTAATAACACCAACATTGATACTGTACATAATAATATAGTATTTTCTACTGCTTAATTGTATGAGATGGACATTTAAGGATAGTGTCAAAGAGCAAATCATTATGTTACTGTTTATGTTCTTTTCTAAATATTTAGAAAAAAATTACAGATAATTTTGCAGCTGTTTTCCATAGTTTAATTCCCATTGAAATCCCATCACTTCTACTTAACTTGTATGTAATATATTGTTGGGAAGTATTTTCAAACACTGTAAATTTAGAATACTTATTAATTCCATAGCTCAGAGAAATTTTTAATATTTTCCTTGTGTTAATTTTTATGCTAATAAGTACAATTGCATATCATAATTGAACTATTTGAATGTTTTCCTGATGCTTTCTTTAGTTGGGACATTAATCTCTGATTTATGATAAAATGTTGCTATTTTTATCTAGGGGAGAGCATTCCTTTAATTATAGAATATTTATTTATAGCCATGAATATACAGTAGAATATTGTTATGTGAATTAGCCAGATTTAAAGTGTAGTCTTCATTTCATTGCTTTAAAACATAAAGTGACTTAAAGCCAAACATCATTTCATGAAAATTAACAGATTTATTTTAAATACTGACTAGTTTTAAATGTATACCGTTGCTACATGTTGATAAATCCATTGTAAATTTGAAAAATTGTAAGCTGAACCATTGTTTAAGTCAATGATCATCTGTAGTCCCATTAGAATCCAATCAGATAAGTGCTTTAGTAGAAATTAATGACTTATTCTATGTCACCAAAAACAAAATTTCATGACAGCAAACATAAAATACTAAATATAAAATTTCTTATTTTGTTTAGACTTATAAAGAGTGGATAAGAAATATGTAATTTAATAACAAGAAATTTTATAAAATGTGTTTGCTAAATGCTATTGTTATCACTGCCATGCTTCAGTTAGTTTGGGTCCTCTGAGCAGCAGACACCAGACAAAAATAACTGTGCAGGTGATGTTCTGGGGAAAATTTATGTAAGGATAAATGAGAGAAATTAGAGAAGGGGAAAGCATAAGACTGCAATTTAGAACTAACCTCTGTGGAGGAGATAGGGTAGAAAGGAGGATTGAGGAGGAGGAATCTTGGATTGCAGTACCATTTTAAGAAAAGTCTTACCAGGTTGGTTGAATAACACTCAGGGCAAAGTTGCTCATAGGAATGGTCCTGTCTTAATATACATGCTAACCTTAGTTACTGACTGGGAGCATCCTACAGTAAGTGGGGCTATGGCACAGAGGTAGGGTAGATGCAGTGTATAGAAGTCAATCATGCTCCCTGAAATAACAGATCTCATTAGCACATTTTCATGTCCAGGATAAGCCATTTTTAGTTTGTTAGAGGATTGAGAGGATCTTCTTAATCTTCTAGGAGATCTCTAAAATTTCTCAAGCATCTGTCTTTCTTTATATGCCTATGGAATGGAATTCAATCTGTGCCGGGACTTCCTGCCTCTGAGGACATAACTAGGAAGGGACAGTATGATAACCCACCATCTAAATTATATTTACTGGAGAAAATAACCAATTTCATAGGAGATAATTTAGTCTGGCATGATATTCAAAGGGCATAAAAGTACCTAAGGCGGGGTAGACTTCACAAACAGATTATCTTAGCAGGTCTAAGAGTCAGATAGACCATAGGAATGAGAAATTCAAGAGTCAGAAGTATGTAGGAGTTTAAGGGAAAAATCAAGTAGCAAAATCTCTGCCACTGGACTGGGATTCAAGCACAGGCTCCAGTCCTTGGGAAGTTAACAAGTTGGGTAACTATAGGGAAATACCCCAATCCTAGAGTCTGGGAATTAAGCCATTTTCAACGTAGAGACTGAAGGTTACAGAAACAGTCAAAAAAATGAAAGTCCAATTTTAAAAACTGGGATATAGGATCAACAAAATCTAGAGCAAATTGGAAGCTCAATCTAAACAGTCCCGTGAGTAAGAACAGAAACAGTAAGTTGATAATGTGTTCCATGATGTTGGGCTCTAATTTCTTAAAATTTTCCTGCTTTATCAGTAATTTTAGAGGATTGTCCAGAAATGTGCCACATTGGATTTAAAATTGTTTTAGTCACTGTAGAGGCTAAAACTTAGGAATGAGGTAGGACCAGATGCCTGCTTCTTCTAATTCAGACGATTGCAACCTTATCATTGTTCCCCTTGCTTCCATCAGAGTCAGTCACAACACTGAGGAGAAACTTAGATGGACTTAAGATAAAGATACACTTGCTCCTAGTCTGCATATGACCTCATTGAATTGTCTAGATTGTTTCCAGTAACATTAATATTCTAGCATCACTGATTTTCATGCAATGTTATTGCTGTGGTAGCTAGTCTGTTCTGCAGAATGCTACAAAGGGCTATTTAAATTTTATATTTCAGCAGTATTTCATAGGAGCCTTGTCTGAGCTAATCTTGGAAATTTTCAAACAAGATGTTCTTAGCTCTTCTTCATTAGTTATTAATATCTAGAACTATAAGTTTCAATGGCTGTACTATATTAACATAGAGCTGTCTAGAAGTATTGTTTATCATAATTGGAAACTATTCTTTTTTAAATTATTTATGTTTATACGAGTTTGTAGGAAGCAATTCAGCAACTCTAACAATAGAAAGTTATCAGTATAAGAACATCTGTTTAGCGTATACAATTTCTTATATAGTCCCATCATTTCCATTCGTAAAAAAATGGTAATTTGTTATTATAATACTGAGAAATACATTCTATGAATCATCAGCTATTTTGTTGCTTATAAATATAATTTTTAAAATTTCAATTAATGTTTATATTAATTATTCATAACTGTGGTATTGGTCTAAATTATCCTCAAAGAACTACATTAATCTGGAAAGTCACTTCTGAAATATTTAGTAATTTATGTAAACATATTCAAAAATAATTTTAGATCAAACCCTTGCTTTTTAGTAACTACAATAAAAGTAACATTTTTTCATATTTGTATTTAAAACATTGTGATTTCTGAATTAGCTAATAACTACCTACCTTTTAGACTTTAAAGAGTGGGTGTCCTCTCAAGTGAATAAAAGCTATTTGTTTTAATTTTCATAATTCTACTCATTTTACAGTTGACATAATACATTTTTATCTCCAGAGTACCTTTCTATGTTTAATAAAACCTCCATTCTTACTGCATTTTAGGTTAGTAGAAAATGATTTATGCTTTTTCATTTCTAACTTTTCATAAAGCACAGAATTTCAATGAAAATGCATTATTCTGAAAATCTTTCTCTACTGGAAAATTTCCAGACCAATATCTCTTCAAAAGAGGAAAGGCTGTTAAATAATGGGCCCCAATGCCATTATGATACAATCCATGTAAGTATTTGTTACATGAAGAATATCCTGTTGGGTGCAATCGATTATGGCGAATGTACTTAGATTGATTTCTGGGCTCTCAATATGGAAGCCTCTCTTTAATGAGTATGGTGGATAGACAAAGAGGGAGGAGAGGGACAATTTATTAAAGACAATTACTAGAGTTTGAAACTTTTTTGTAAGTGCATTTATTATCATTTGCTAGCTCCCCAGGAAATAAGAAGTTCTGACAAGATCTTTTACTATAACATGTAAAAATTTACTTAAGACTTGCAAGCAGAAAATGAGACATTAAACAGCTTAGTTGTGAGTTATTTTCATTCACTGAGCATTAAACATTAATAGGATAATATTTCTATTTAGAACCAAGAAGCACTATATAATTAATATACTAACATATTTATTCATGTGGTTCATATAAATACATTAATAACATTTTTCTTGATCTCTAAAGAAAATGCTCCATTAGCCATTATTTTCTACCAAAAATGAAACATTTTCATTTGCATAAGCCTGTGGTATTTCCTTAGGAAATGCTTAGTTAGACATTTTTATATCGCCTAATAAAGTCAAGAAGTATATTCTGTCGAGGTCTTATTGCATCACCCCCTCAAGGTGGTGAAAGAGCAGGGAGAATCACCTGTAGGTATCAAGTGCTTAGATTGTTGGGAACCAGCCAATTCTCAGGGCACCAGCCTAGGGAGCTTATGCCTCTCTCTGGTCTTGGTTGGCTCACAGGCATTAATGCCAAGAGAAATAACAGGTGAGACAACAGAGGTAAGTAACTATAGGATTTATTGCTCATGCTGAATTGACGAGTGTCAGTAGGAGAAGCAATTAGTCAGCAGTTGCAGATACTCTCTAGAGCAGTGCTTCTCATACTATAATGTGCATACAAATCTTCCTGAGATCTTGTTAAATTGAGGATCTTGATTCAGGAAGTCAAGGTGGGGCCTGGAATTCTATGGTTCTAGCAGTCTCCTGAGTGATGCTCATCATAGTGATGTATAGTCGTAGACTCTGCACTTGGAGTAGACTGCTCTGGAGCACAGCCGGCTCAAAGTTACCTGTGCCTGAGGCACAATCTCATCCCTACCAGATCCCCAGATCTTCCCACAAGATGGACATAATCAGTCATTTGAAGTATGTTTTCCCATTATAACTCTGTGCTTTACAGTGGAAGTCTTTTTGCAAGGGCAAGATGGAGACATTTAACTCTATTTTCTCAGAGAGCTATTTGTTACTTAGTCAACTACTACTATTCGACAGTCTGTATACTGTTTCTCTTTCTCTACCTCTCTTCCTGCCCAAAGTCTGGCCAAACTGTACAACTACTCCAATGCCTTCCATTTCTAACTAGGTAATTCTGATGACCTTCCCTTAAGCTATTCAATAGATTCTCCTGCATATCAATACTTCAAACTCAACTAAATCCATTAAGGATTATGAAAAAGATTATGTATGTTTTTAATGTAAACCCTATATATTTATCTGGACAGAGTTTTTTAAAAACATGATAGAAGAGAATAAAACTTCCCAAACAGTTCTGAGCAAATATGCAGTTAAAAAATAAGCTTAAATTAGATATAAACAATAAATCATTTTCTAACCCTCTGTACTTCTCCAAAGGTGTTTCAAGTTTGTTTTCCTATGCATACCTTCATAGATGCAGAGATGTCAACTTAAATTTGTAAAATAATTTTCATACCAGAAAGGACCACATAGATTGTTTTTATTTGAAGCAATTGAGGAGAAAAGTGGGCTCTATCATTGCTCATGTGTTACACTTTGAATGATGTTGAAAGTTATTTCTGCTTCCATACAGTAATCCTCTCTATTAGACTTGCAGTAGTGCCTAAAATGCCACTTAGGTTATTTGTGTGGGTAAGACATAGAAGTCTTAATATGTTATTATTAAAAGATCAGTGCAAACTAAAAGATATTGTGAGAATTTATCAAGTTTATTCCAGTCACATTCTCCAGCCAGTGTCTTCTGCATCCTTTATGTTTATATATTTATCTTATACATTCTCTAAATGTTGCAAGTCTCCAGGAATCTCTCTCTTACATTATCTTTTTCTTGTGTTTTTCCTGCTACTATTAACACAGGCTCATTTCCTTCACCCAGACGTTTTTTTTTTTTCAGTTATAAAGAGCACACTAAAGATTCTGAATTCTTACTAAGGCTGACATAGTGTTCTTGAGCTCCAGAAATATATTTCTTCTACCTACTTTATATATGCAAAAGCTAGATGAGAATTGATATTTGAAAGTATTACAATTATTAAAGGTTCTAATAGTATGTTAGTATAACCTATTTAGGTTAACATGCTTGTTAGTGTATATCGTATGTTTGTTAGTGATAAGAACATATTTATTACTACCAATTCCTTTATCAAGTGCCCTGATCAACTTGTTTATTATTAATTTTCTCAGAATGTTCTTCTCACTAAGACTGAAAAATACAACTATAAGGAGTGGTCATAAAGTATATACACTTTCAAAAGGAAAAATAAATATTTTTATATTTATAATTTCTGAGTGTCTGAATTCATATAATTTCTCATATATAAATTGAATTGTCATTTTATAGCAAAAATGTGTTGCATGATTTAAAAGTAAAATTAATTTTGAAAGTGAATAAATAAATGTTCATTTAATTGATAAAACTCTTGTTTGTATTATCTTATTGTGACATATCCTGTTAGTAAATAGTAATGCCTGTTGCTGAACATAAAAAAAAGAAGTTTTCTTGGTAGCTGTTGCCCATGTGTGGCAACTGGGAGCCCGAACACAGGCCCACCATGCCCATTGTGCCTGTGTGCACCATCAGGCAGCCTGAGGACAGCTCCTCACTACCTGCAGTCAACACCGGTGGCACCCTCTCAGGTTGTTCAAGGGCCTGAGGCTTGATCCACCCTGCCTGCAACTGTTGGCACCCATGCATGCCATCCAGGACCTGAGGACAGACCTGTCCCACTGACCACTGCTGTTGGTGCCCAAACATGTTGTCTGAGGGCAGCCTGGGATTCAGTCTTCTTCCCTGCCCACTGCTACCAGCACCTGATGCACTATCCAAGAGAATGAGAACAGGCCTGCCCTTTCTACCACCACTCTTGCCAATGTCCACATCATTTAGGGGCCTGGGGGTTGACATATCCCACCCAATACCATCAGCAGCATACCCTCTGGGGGCCTCAGGATGAGTTTCCCTGCCTTCCACTGCCATTCACATGCGCCGTCCAGGGGCTTGGGAATAACCCACCCTACCTGCTGCCAGTGCCCACACATGCCTTCCTGGGACCTGGAGGACAGTTTTCTCAATCTACAGCTACTGCTACCACCATTATCCACCTGCATGTATGACCTGGGAGCCTGGGGATTGGACTGCCCGACTTGCCACTGCCACCAGTGGGACCCCACACATGTTACTCAGGGGCCAGCGGGTTGACCTACTGATGCTACTGCCACAGCCACTGCTATGCATGCTTCCCAGGAGTTCAAGGACCTGCCCTTCCATACAGTCCATCATTGTCACTAGTGACACTTGAGAAAGCAGTCCAGAGGCCCAAGGATGGGCCTGCCCAGATTTTCCACGACCAGAGCCCACTTAAGTCACCTGAGAGCCTGAGGCCAGTATGCCTGCCTGCCATAGCCACTGTTACTTTGTTAAATAGACTTTCAATGATTTTGCCCATCTCTTCTTCTGAATCTCTTGAAATTCAAATAGTTTGTCAAAGTATGACGTGCTATATGTCAGATAGACTTACCTCATATTTAATCTTTTGTTGTTGTTGTTTTTGTTTTGGTCTGATTTAGTTATTTCAGAAGACTTGTGTTTAAGTTCAGATATCCTCTCTTCTGCTTTCTCTAGTTCACCTAGCATCCCCAGCAAAGCCTTGCCACAACCTCCATTAAAAACTGCAGCCCATGCTACTGAGAAACTCAGATACCCCTAAACTGATTACAGCCAAATAAATCATACAAAGACTATTGTACTGCACCCACCTAAAATCAAAGCCAAAGCACCCTGCCCAACCAACAATACAGATACAGCTATAGAAAAGTGTATTTCCTATGAAAGTCAATCCATAAAATTGGAAGAAATGTACAGATATCAATGTAAGGAAACAGGAAAAGTAAAAAAGCAAAGAAACATAATAAAACAGGAACACAACAATTTTTCAGTAACAGATCCAAGTAGAAACAAAATCTGTAAAATAACTGGAAGTTCAAAACAATGATATTAAAGAAAGTCAGTTGGATACAAGTAAAAACTGATAAATATTACAAAAATAAGGAAAACAATTCATGATCTGAATGAGAAGTTCAGTGATAGTTCTCATGAAAAAGAACTAAACAGAAATCTTGGACCTGAATAATTCAATGAATGAAATAAAAAATAGAATTGAGAACTTCAATAGTAAACTAGATCAAGCAGAAGAGAGAATATCTAAACTTGAAGACAGGTTTTTTTGGAATAAACCAATCAGACAAAAAAAAATAAAGAATAAAAGAGAATAAATAAGGACATGACATACAGGACTGTATACAGGGAATTAATATTTGACTTTTGAGAGTTGCAGAAGATACGAATGAAGTCATAGAAAATCTAACAAAAAAATACCAGAAAACTTCCCCACTCTTGTAAGAGACATAACCATCTAAATACAGGATGTTCAAGCATTAATCAAATAGATTCAGTGCAAAAGTGTCTTCTTCAAAGCACATTATGGTCAAACTTTCAAAAGCCAAAGTCAAAGAGAGAATTCTAAAAACAGCAAAAGTGTCACGTTACACATGACACTTAGGAATTCTCATAAGACTAACAGCATAATTTTCAGCAGAAACCATACAGAGCATGAGAGAATGGGATGATATATTCAAGGTATTAAAAGGATAAAAAACTGTCAGCGAAGAATACTATTCACAGCAAAGCTACCCTTAAAACTAAAGGAGAATTAAAGTGTTCTTAAGCAAAAACAGAGAGAATTCCTCACCACTACATTGACTCTACAGGAAGTGCGTCAGAGAGTCCTACATTTGGAAGTGAAAAGATGATATCTATTAATACCATCATGAAAATACACTTGATTATAAAATTCACTCATAGAGCAGATACACAAATAGGAAGGAGAATGGAGTTAAACATTACCGCTACAGTGAACCACTAAACTGCAATGATAAACAATAAGAGAGGAAGAAAGGAACAAATGATATACAAAACAACCAGGAAACAGTTAACAAAATGACAGGAATATGTTGGTCCCTATTAATAATCTGGAATGCAAACACATTAAATTCCCCAATTAAAAGATACAGACTGGCTGAATAGAAAAATACTTTGAATACTGCCTGCAAGAAACTCACTTTACCTGTAAAGACACATATAAACATGAAGCGATGAAAAAACATCCCTTGCAAATGGAACCTAAAAGTGAGCAGGAGTAGCTATACTTAGATATAATAGACTTTAAATAAAAAAAACTATAAAAATAGACAAGGTCATTATGTTATGATGAAACTATCAATTCAGCAAGAAGATGTAACAATTCTAGGTGTGTATGCACTCAGCATTGGAACACTCTGTTATATAAAGCAAACATTATTAGATGTATTGGGAGAAATAGACTCTAATACAATAATAGTTGGTGAATTCACCATGGCACTCTCAACATTGAACAAATTAGACAGAAAATGAAGGATGAAACATGGATTTAAATTGCATCTTAGACCAAATAGACCTAACAGACATTTACAGAACATTTCAACTAACAACTACGAAATACACATTTTCTCATCAGCACATGGAACATTCTCCAGGATAGACCATATATTAGCCTACAAATTAAGTCTCAACAATTTTTTTAAAAATAAAAATTATATCAACTATCTTGTAAGACTACAATGGATTAAAAGTAGAAATCAAAGAAAAGAGGAAGTTTGAAAATGCACAAATACATGGGAAATAAAAAACATGCTCATGAATGACCATTGGGTCAACAAAGACATCAAGGAGAAAATTTTAAAAAAAAAAACCTAAAACAAGAGAAAATGGAAATATAACATACCAAAACCTACGGAATACAGCAAAGACAATGCTAAGAGGAAAGTCTGTAGGAATGAAAACTACATACAAACCATAGAAAGATTTTAAACACCCTAAAGATGGACCTCAGGAAACTAGAAAATTAAGACCAATTTAGCACAAAACTAGTAGAAGGAAAGAAATAAAAAGAATGGAGCACAACTAAACAAAATAGGGACAAAAAATTTGATCAAAAAAACTGAAAGTTTTTGAAAATAAAAAAAATGATAAACTTCTGGATACACTCATAAATGATTAAAGAGAGAAGACCCAAATAAATAAAATAAGAAATGAAAAAGGAGACATTAAAATTTATACTACATGGGCCGGGCACGGTGGCTCACACCTGTAATCCCAGCACTTTGGGAGGCCAAGGCAGGCAGATCACAAGGTCAGAAGATCGAGACCATTCTGGCTAACACAGTGAAACCCAATTTCCACTAAAAAAATACAAAAAATTAGCCAGGCGTGGTGGTGGGCGCCTGTGGTCCCAGCTACTCGGGAGTCTGAGGCAGGAGAATGGCGTGAACCCGGGAGGCGGAGCTTGCAGTGAGCCAAGATCACACCACTGCACTCCAGACTGGGAGAGAAAGGGAGACTCCATCTCAAAAAAAAAAAAAAAAAAAAAAAAAAAAAACTTATACTACATGAATGCAAACAATCATTCAAGTCTCTTATGATTGACTATATGCTAGCAAATTGAAAAACCTAGAGAAAATGTATAAATTCCTGAAGAAGTACAGCGTACCAAGATTAAACTAAAAAGAAATAGAAAACCTTAACAGACTAACAGGATGTATAAGATTGCATCAATAATAAAAAAAAACTCTCAAGAAATAAAAAGGCCAGGACCAGATGGCTTTACCGATGAATTCTATCAAACTTATGAAGAACACCAGTTGCTCTTAAACAATTCCAAAAACACAAACAGGAGTGAATTCTTCCTAACTCCTTCTATGAGGCCTACTACCAAAACCAGAGAAGGACACAACAAAAAAAGAAAAATACAGACTGATATCCCTAAGGAACACAGATGCAAAAATCCTCAAGAAAATAGTAGCCTAAATTCAACAACACATCCAAAAGTTAATACACCATGATCAAGTGGGTTTGATCCCAGGGATGCAAGGATTGTTCAATCTACACAAATCAGTAATTGTTATATGTCATATCAACAGAATGAAGGTCAAATGTCATATGATCATTTAAATAGACACAGAAAAGAGAATTTGATACAATTCAACACACCTTTATAATAAAAGCTCTCAACAAATTAGGCATAGAAGGCACAAACCTCAACATAATAAAGAACATATTTGATAAACTCCCAGCTTTCATTTACCATATGAAATGGAGGAAAGCTGAAAGCTTTTTCTCTAAGGACTTGAACAGAGGTCCCCAATTTCACCACTCCTATTCAACATAGTACTGAATCGCCTAGCCAGAGCAATCAGGCAAGAGAATAAAATAAAAGACACCCAAATTGGAAAAGACAAAGCCAACTTATCCTTCTTTACAGATGACATGATCTTATATAGAGAAAAAACTAAAGACTCCACCAAAAACCTTTTAGAACTGATGAACAGTAAAGTTGCAGGATACAAAATCAATATACAAAAAAAATCTGTAGTGTTTCTATATACCAATTACA
This sequence comes from Homo sapiens, assembly GCF_000001405.40. Taxonomy (NCBI): domain Eukaryota; kingdom Metazoa; phylum Chordata; class Mammalia; order Primates; family Hominidae; genus Homo; species Homo sapiens. Next base: position 183,942,241 of record NC_000002.12, read on the forward strand.
AATTAGCTTAAAATAAGAATGAAATCTCATTTACAACAGCTACGAGAAAAATAAAATACTACAAGATACATTCAACCAGGCAAGTGCAAGACCTCTATAACAAAAACTGAAAAGCACTGATGAAAGAAATTGAAGAGGACACAAAGGAAAATACATCCCATGCTCATGTATTGGAAGAATTAATATTGTTAAAATGACCATACTACCTAAAATAATTTACAGATTCAATGCAATCCCCACTAAAATACCAGTGACATTTATCGTAGAAATAGAAACAATAATCCTAAAATTTGTATGGAAGCACAGAAGACTCTGAATAGTTGAAGTAATAATGAACAAAAAGAACAAAAGTGGAGGCATCACACTATTGGACTTCAAAATATACTACAGAACTATAGTAACCAAAGCAACATGGTACTAGCATAAAAACAGACACAAAAACCAATACCATGGAAGTATAGTAATGAAAGCAGCATGGTACCAGCATAAAAGCACACACACAGTCCAAAGGAACAGGACAACCCAGAAATGAATCCATGTATTTACAGCCAACTTGAGTTTTGACAAAGGAGCCAAGAACATTCAGTGGGGAAAGGACAGTTTCTTCAATAAATGGTGTTGGGAAAAGTGGATATCCATACGCAGGAGAATGAACCTAGACCCCTATATCTCAACATCTAAAAAATCCAACTCAAAATCGTTTAAAGAGTTAAATGTAAGACCAAAAACTTAAAAAACACTATAAGAAAACATAGAGGACAAGCTTTAAAAAATTGGTCTAGGCAAAGATTTTTTTGGCTAAAACATAGGCAATAAAAATTAATGGATGAGACTATATTAATGAAAATCTTCTGTACAGCAAATAAAACAGTCAACTGAATGGAGAGATAACCAAAAATTGGCAGAAAATATTTGCAAACTATTCATCTGACATTGTATTAATATCCAGAATACACAAGGAGCTCAGACAGTGCAATAGCAAAAAAAAAATGCATTAAACAGTGTGCAAAGGATCTGAATAGACATTTCTCAAAAGAGGACTTACGGATGGCCAACAGGTACATGAAAAAATGCTCAGTATCACCAATCATTAAGGAAATTCAAATCAAAACCAGAATGAGATATCACCTCACTCCTGTTAGAATTATTATGAAAAAGACAACAAATGCTAATAAGGAGGCAGAGAAAAGAAAACCCTAGTACACTGTTGGTGGGAATGTAAATTAGTACAGTCATTATGGAACATAATGTGTGAAGGTTTCTTAAAAAATTAAAAATAATTTTATGCAAACTGGATTTCATGCAATCACTAATTCCCCTACTGGGTATTTATTCAAAAGAAAAGGAATCAGTATATCAGGGATACCTGCATCTCCATATTTACTGAAGCACTATTTACAATAATAGCTAAGGGATGGAATTAACCTACAACTTCATCAACAGAATAATGAATGAAGAAAACATATGTAACACAAGGAAATACTCTGCTTCCATAAAAAAAAAATCATTTGCAAAAACATGTATGGAACTATAGAACATTATGTAAAGTGAAATAAGCCACGCACAGACAGACAAATATTTCATGTTCCCATTCATATATGGAAGCTAAAAAATTTGACCTATTGGAGTAGAGAGTAGAATGATAGTTACCAGAGGCTAGGAAGGGTTGAGGAGGGGATAAAGAGGGATTGGTTGATGGGTACAAACATACAGTTAGATGGGAGGAATAAGTAATATTGTTCGATAGCCCAGTAGTGTAACTATAGCTAACAATAACTTAATTGTATATTTAAAAATAGCTAAAAGAAAAGATTTGGAAGTTCCCAACACAATGAAATGATAAATATTTGAAGAGATGAATACCCTAAATAATCTGCTTTTATAATTACACATTGATGCATGTATCAAAAATATCAAACATATCCCTTAAATACGGACAATTATGTATCAAATTTAAAAAATAAAAAATGTTTTATTCATTTTATTTAGAGATAGGATCTTGCTTTGTTGCCCAGAATGGAGTGCAGTGGTTCAATCATAACTCATTGCAGCCTCAAACTACTGGGCTCAAGTGATCCTCCTGCCTCAGATCCCAAGTAGCTGGGACTACAGGTGTGTGCCACCACTCTCAGCTAATTAAATTAGTTTGTCTGTGTGTGGAGTTGGGGATCTTGCTCTGTTGCCCAGGCTGGTCTCAGTCTCCTGGCCTCAAGCGATTCCCCCACCTCAGCATCCCAGAGTGTTGGGATTACAAGCATGAGCCATCATGCCCAAACAAAAATGTTTTCCCAGTAGTCTTCAAACTTTAGCAAAAATATTACTTTTCATTATTATAAAATTATTTATAAAGATAGACTCTATTTTGCACATTATTAAGTGGTTGCTTTATCTCCCTTGGCAACTTGTTTCATTTAGCATTACAAATGAATTTTTTAGTTTTGCATGATATTTATTTTTGTCATCACTAATTACCTACCTTTATTAATAAAGTACTTGCCTAAATTGTAGAGCAAGTCTTCTAGAATAATTTAACTTTTATCCTGTAAACCTTACCATAATTTTTAAAAATCAGTTTAATTAAATAATGATTAAGGAAATAAAAGAAAAATATTTTTAAACCTGAATTTTTTAAGTAGTTCAAAAGTTTGGAGATAATTACAATCTACAAAATAAAGAAATGTGATAAGGTACAGGCCAATAATGCCTCAAACATGTCTGAAGTACAGCATCAAAGTTAATGGTTCAAGGAATCATGAATTAATGAGGAATGGTCATTTTATTGGACAAAGGTAAAATATATTTATAGAAACAAAATAGAATAATTTTTAAAATGTTACTTATTAATTAGAATATTATAATAAAGAAACTAAATAAAAACTGAGATTTTGGAAGCTTTGTAACTCATAAAATTGCCATTATATATTACAATATAGGTACTTCTAATTTGCAACTCAGAACATCTTAATATTTTGTTCAGAAATTAGAAGATAGTTAAAATTTTGAGGTCAGGTCTATCAGATGTAGCAGCGAACCTACATCATCATCTAAGAGTCATGAAGCCGTCCTGATAGCTTTTCCAAGTAGTAAGCTAGCATTCCTCAAGGGGATTCTTTTCAAAGAGCAGCCATAATGTAGGCAATTCTTGCTAATTTAATGACCATCTACAAGCACTATAAGAGCATAATAATAAGGATGTCTTGAAGATGCCATTGTCATAAAAATACAGGTGTCTGTACATGAGACCTTTAATAAAACTTTTATTTTCTGTGACTGGCTTACTGATTTGCAAATTAGCTGTATTAAAAGTAATAATAATATATTTTAAAAAATACATAAATTGCTACAAATCAGTGAAACTGACTGTACATTAGAAGGCCTATGTCATATAGAACATATAACTAACATATGTTACTTAGTGTTTGCTTTGCCCCTCCACTCACCTGCACAAGTCTGCTGCATTGCCGGTTCTTCCTTTTTCAAGAGCCTTCCCATGCCATAGACAGCTGGGCTGTGAAAGCTAAGGTGGGCTCTTGACTACAGATGCTAATAATCAGAATCAGGACTCTAAAGGTACAGGAATTTTATATATATATATAAAAGCAGGAGGGCAAATACTTGGAATTTGCCCAACTCATATTACAATCAAATACTGGAAAAAGAAGAGCTCAATTAAAAAATTATTAATATTTTAAACAAATATGTCATATATAATACATATATTACGTATTTAAATATGTAATATATTTAAATACGTAATATATGTATTATATATAAGTATGCAATACCTATTAAATAAATATGTAACATGTATTTTATATATATATATTTATGGTGATTAACCTATTTCTACTTTAATCTCATATATGACAGGCTGTGTCAGAGAAGAAATTTGTCTTTCAGGTAAAATTTACCGGACCAAAATTAGCCAAGTCCACACCCAGAGAATGGAATGGTAGACATAAAAATTCTGGTTCATGAGTTAGATTTAGTGCTCTGATGGAAATAGGAATTTGCCTCCCTAAAAGGGCAGATTATGCATTTATACATAATCTATTAATTAATTAATATATGATTAATATAATATACTTTATTATAAAATATAATATAATGTTGGTGTTATTAATATAATTAATATACAGATTAATAATATATATTAATTTATATAAATACATTTGATATATATTGACTATATAATATGAAATAAATACATTTAAAATTTTTTTTAATCATTTGTCAATATTTTATCATGAACTTTATATGATGTTGTGTTCTTTTGCACATTAGAAATTGGTGTTTAAACCCACCACCCCATCTCTCTTCATTCTAGTTTTATTCATATTTTGCCAAAAATCTAAGCTGTGCTATGCAAACTCTGATCCTGGACATAACCAGCATCCTGAATAGAAACATGCCTATACCATTTGCCTGGCATTATATTCTGAATTTGTATACGATTTAATCAAACAGCGTTCATGGATTTTGGCAAGAACATGAGACTCCTGAGTCAGAGGTTAAGGATTTTAATACTCATGGCCCAAAAAATAATACAAGCATCAGTATACTCTTCTCCATTTATTTTACTGCTATTTTAGGAGGTAATGTAGATGTCTCACATAGATATCTACACACATATACACAGTGGGATATGTGATTAGGAACCTAGAGTTTAGGAACCTGAATCTTTTTTACTAGGCAATAAGCATTCCTGCACTTTGCTCTGAAGAGAAATGTTATTTCTATTTTCCAGTGCAGAAACTGCTCAGGAATATAGCAGTTAGTGCCTCACTTGGAAGACATGTAGAAAGTCAAGAAACTCATGGAAAGTTGTTCCCCACCAAGATGAATAATATATCATTATCTGAAAAAATATTAAATCCTTGCCAAATTCCTTCCTGTTTCATCACCACGACCAACCCCCTTCAACTTTTCTGTGAACTTCAATTAATAGATTAAGGGAAAATGTATTTGGCCAAATAGGCATTACAATGTTATGTGTAAGATTTTGTAGAAATTTCAAAAAAATATGAAAAAAATTGTAAAAGGGTACAAGAAAAATATGGCTGTTATGAAAACACTATAATATTTCATCTGCTAATGTGACGAAAAACTGCTGGCCAGGATTCTAGAAGATAAACAATTTCAAGAACTTTAACACTTAAAGTTGACTAGTGGTCAGCTGCTACAATTTATTTTTTAATTGTATGAAATAACATCAATAGAACTAAATTTATACATTAATGTTTATGTAAGTAAATATCTTATAATCTCTCATAATTTCTTCTTATATGTTTAATACTCTAAAACTTAAGTATTCATGTCAAAATTAGAAATAATATGCCCACATTTTAAGGGTTGTCATTTGTTTTTTTTTGAAAATTAGTGAAAGTTACGTGATGAATTGTCTACATTATATAAGAAACAAACAGCACATTGAAAACATTAAAAAGTTAGGTGGTTCAAAACTTATTAATCCAATATTTGTAACAAAGTTAGTCTTAATTTTGGTGAGAAAAACCTACTTTTGAATAAGTTCCTCATAGTAATTTGACAATTCTACCATAATAGAACCATTATATTATCATTTTTCTTATTCAGTTTTTTAAGGATTTGAAAGCGGTAGCATTAAAATTGAACTATCATGAAAAATCCTGGTGACAATCACAGAAAAATATAATCATACATAATAGTAAGTAAATGTTTGGGGTTTCTGTGTCTCTGAACTCCTATCAACGAAAGTAAATTAGAAATTAAAGGTGTTATTTAAACTTGTTAAGTAAGTTGGTGTGAAAACACAAGCTCTTAAAAACTCAAAAATTTCACGTAATATTTTTATACTTTTGAGAGAAAGCAACTGATGCAAAAGCAAGGGCCAAAAGAGAATCAAGCATAATATCAGTATTATTAGGCTGCCTCTAAAATAGTCTTCATTAACAAGACAAAATTATGAAATTGGATTTACTTTGTTTCAAAAGTTCTGCCATGAGATAAAGATATTTTCATTGTTTTGAAGTGTCTTTTCTCTTCTATCAGTTTAGATTAAGTTATCTGAGAAGCTTCTATTATTGAGAAAAAAATTGAAGAATGGGTATTAAAAGAAAATTCTACCATATTTGGCTCTTTTGTCACACACCTGCTCATGCACACTCTCCATTCTATATACTGGGTAATCTACCCTTTTAGGGAGACAAATCTCTAATTCCATCAGAGCACTAAAACTAACTCATGAACCAGAATTTCTATGTCTATCATCCCATTCTTTGGGTGTAGATTAGGTTATTACTGACCTGGTACATTTTAAGCTAAAAGACACATTTCTTCCCTGACACAGCCACTAGTATGTGAGAGTGAAGTAGGACTAGGCTAACAACCATAAAAAATCATATTTGAAAAAGGACAATGAGAAACACATGGATTTACTGGTGTGTAATTATCATAACCCAATACCAGAAATAATAAAATTATCTACTCTGAGAGTGGGATAAGTTTCTTCATTAGCCCATCTAGCAAATACTTACTTTGCTTTATGAAAGAAATTCGTTTCTCATTTCTCTCCCCACTCTTGGTTCTGAACTTTAAGAGATTTGATCTTAATCATTTTTTTCTTGTTTTTTTTTTCATGTCCAAACTGAAGTAATTCATATTCAAGATTCCCCATGATCCAGGAAAGCCACTGATGCTACAGCTATTTTCTTCACATTTCATATAAGAAGAAGGAGTAAAATTGGGAATTCCAGCGAAATGACATCTGCTTACATCTGTTGGCCATCTCTAGCTGCCAAGGAGACTGAAAAATATAGGGTTTTTTTGGCCAAGTATGTTGTTTATCAGCACAAAATTATGGTGCTGCAAGTAAAATTGAATGGAAACATAAATATTGGCACAGTAACTAGTAATCTATGAAACAAAGCATAACATCAAATTAATCCTCTTTCTGCAACTGTGGTGTTCTCTTCCCATTTCCTGGTGAAGCCTTGGTAGCACCATCCACTCAATGAGCAACAGAAATCTGACAGTAATTTTTGATATGTATTTTTCTCTCTCACCTCATATCCAATCATGAAAATATTCTCAGAATTCTCTCTCTTTTTATAATGTCAGCCAGATTATGTGCTGATAGCATAAGAAGGTTTGAGGAAGGCATGTCTCACACATGAGTCTGAAAACCTAATCATCACACTTGTGAACCACAAAAAGATCTCTCAGGATGCTTAACTACCTTCAACTTGGGTCCTTTAACTGCATGACACTCTAGCTCCAGCTACATGTTTTTTTCCTTGCACTTTCAATCCAAAACATTAAAACCTATCAGATATATTCATGATCAGTTTCTCATTAGTTTCTTGATCCTTTGCAATTTGTTTTCTATTGCTTTTCTCCAGTCTGCACACCCCTTAAAAAGGTATTCAAGGACATCGACTTGCTAAATCAAGTAAAACTTCCAATTTTCATTTTATTCATTCTCACTGAAGCTTAAGGCTCTATTGCTCACCTCCTACCATCTTGAACCTCTTTTATCCTTTTGACTCCACTTTTACCATCCATTCTTTCTTCCTTCCTATAACTTTATAGGAACTCCTCTTTCTCTTCTATGTCAATTAACTCACCTGTATTTAGGATACTATTTATTATTATTGCCTTAGAAACTATAAATAATCATCTGTCTTCTTTATATTTGACCACTTTATATAAAATAAGTTAATCCCAACGATATTCAAATATCCTGTATTAAGCAGAGTGGCTCTCAAAAGATGTCCATGCCTTGATCCCTAGAATGTATGTGTACATTAGATAAACTAGAATGGATTTTCCAATGTAAATAAGGTTATAGATCTTAAAATAAGATGATTATATTGTATTATCTGGTTGGCCCAGTCTAATCACATAAATCCTTAAAGGAAAGGAAGGAGTGTAGTGGAATAAAACAATGGAGTTTAGAAGTGTAAAAGAGATTTGACCTGGACGACCTGGAAGGGCTAAATGGAAAGCATGCGAAGAAATGAAGACAACCCCTGGGAGCAAAAATTTGCTCCCAGCTGACAGAAAGGAAGTGAGAACCTGAGTCCTACAACCTCGAGGAACAAAATTCAGCCAATACCCTGAATATGCTAAGAAGCGGATATTTCCTTAGAGGCTCCAGCAGGGAAAGCAGCCTTGCAAAAACTTAATTTCTGCCTCTCAGAGTTTTGACTTACAGATACTTTGTAATAATAAATTTATGTTGTTTTGAGCTGCTCAGTTTGTGGTAATTTGTCATGGCAATAATATAAAATTAACACACACAAAAAATACCTTATCATCTTAACACAAATAAAGGAAATTCTGGGTATTTGGAGCCTTAACATGGCTCTCCTCCACTCCCCAGCCAGACTTAGGTTATTTGCCTCTCCTGAGCCCAGTGGCTGCTGACACTTGCAGGCTATTAGGAGAGACTAGGCCTCAAGATTTGTGGAGGTCCCTTTAAAGAGTGATATAGGGGACAAGAAATTTCCTGCAATAAGGCTAAAAAGTCCAGAGGCTTTAATGGAAGAAAAAGCCTCCTGCCAGGAGCTGTTTGTGGGGGAATTAGTGAAATCTGGGCATAATGCCATAGCCTTCTGTGAGTGCCAGAATGCCAGAAAGATACTAAAAGTGCAAGCTGGGTCTCTCCAAAATGCCAAGGGGAAAAAAGCATGTTTGTCTTCTTTACATATAAAATAGGAAAGTATACAAAGACCCACAAGGGGAAAGATCTACTGCAACGGCCTTAAGCAGAAACTAACACTTTGCCCTTAGTTCATAGATGCACAGTGTGCCCAGTCCTTTTGATTTTGTCTGACATTTAGACATGAGTCCCAATATATCCAATAATTAAGTGCATAAATGAATGTATAAAAATGCGTAAATAAATGCATAAAAATCTGCTCTTTTGATAGGCTCCCCACATAGATAAAAAAGGGTCAGATTGAATAATCAAAACACATTACCCATTAATGCAGAATTAGTAGGGAGAAGTGACCAAATCTTGGAATAAAAAAAAACCCAAATACTCAAGCACTTGAAAGTTATTTATTTTTAATTTTTAATGTTTATTTATTATTTATTTTAGAAACAGGGTTTTGCTTTTTTACCCAGGCTGGAGTGTAGTGGCATGATTTTGGCTCACTGTAGCCTCAACCTCCTGGGCTCAAGTGATCCTTCTGCCTCAGCCTCCTGAGTAGCTAGGATGACAGATGCCTGGCACCATGCCTGGCTATTTTTTAGCTTTTAGTTTTTTGTAGAGATGGGGTCTTGCCATATTGCCTAGGCTGGTCTTGAACTCTTGGCCTTAAGCAATCCTCCTGTCTCAGACTCTGAAAGTGTTGGGATTAAGGGTGTAAGACACTGCACCTGGCCAAAAGTTCTAACTGCAACATTATAAAGTGCTCTGGGAGCATGGCAGCACACTAGTCAAATTCAGAAAATTCAGTTTATGAATTAAAGGAGAGTATGATCAAGATTGAATGCTGAATTAAATAATATAGAAGATCAGATGCAATAAATATCTCAAAGAACATACACGTAAAGTAAACAAGAGCTGTAACACTTACGCAATAGATCCATGAGGCTGAATGTGACTAATAAGTTCTGATGGAGAAAAGGGAACAGGAGGAAAAGAGTAAGCAAACAATACAAGAAAATTGCTTTGAGCTAAGAGGTCTGAATTTGCAGGTCTAAAGTTTCTAACTGTAGTGACTTAGACAAGTACAGTGTTTATTTTTCTCACATTGGAAGATGTCAGATTTTTAATCCAGGCCTGGAATGGTGACACAACCGTATCATGGGGTATCCAGAATCTTCCTACCTTTCAGCTCTCTAACCTTAGTATGTCATTTGTCTTCATGCTCCTAAGATGGACTGACCGCATCAGAACTTCCTACCAATTGTGAATAGTGAATGCCAAGAGCTTTCACCACATGAAGTTTTATCTTTAAAATGGGAAGTGGAATATTCTACTAAGACCACATTTACTTCACAATTGTTAGAATGATAATAAATACTCTTTATAAATATTCACAGTACTGCCTGCAATAAATAACATAAAACCTGAAATCTCAATAATTTATATCAACAAACATTTATTTCTCACTGATATTAAATGTTGGTGTCTGTTTCTTTGCTGCACATTTCTTTTTCACTTGTATCAGGCAAGAGGAGCAAACCATATTTGGTTTTTAACCAAATGCTGTATCCGAGGCAGAGAGAAAATATCAAGTGTTGGAAACTTCCAGTGTTCCTTAAAGCTTCTGCTTAGATGTAACATACATCACTCATGTTCACAGTCTATGGATCAAGGCAAGTCACATGGACAAACCTGATAATTAAGAAATAAGTATATTTTGTCTGCAAGGAGTTGTTCTCTGTCACATTGCAATGCATACAGATGTCTAATCCTCTCAGAGGAAATGAAATAAATATTTGGAAAATAATTCTCCCCATCAGTATAAATCAATAATTAGAAGACAATTTAGTACAGTATATAATACATGAGCTTTGAGGTCAAACAAACTTGATTCAATTCTGGCTCTGTTGATTACACGTTGTTTCTAAGCCTTTGACTTCTTACTGGCAAAATATGTTAATATCTATGACAAATGCTCTATTATAAAACATTTATGCCTTAAGTTCCTTTGAAAATGACTGGCACATAGTTACTGCATAACAATTTCTTATCATATCTTAGACTATATAAACATAATCTTATTTTTCAATGGTAATATCAACCAACTTGCTGATAAGTTCGTGGTATATATATATATGAACATACTAATTATCTGGATTTTCATGGTACATCTTGTTTAGACAGAAAGGGTTAAAGTTTTGGCATTTGTATAGGGGATTAGACCTTTAGTAAACTAAATAGTAGTGTAAACAAGTCATGTTAAATTCGAATAGCTGAATATGCAATCATATTTGGCCTTAAACAACCATATATACTTTATGAATTTTCATTAAATGACTTTTGTTCAAGAATGTAAAGACTGATTGCTATTTTTCAGATTGTGAACAGTTAAGTATATATACGTATATCTAGTCATTCTCGGATCTTGCAGAAGATATCCAAAACATATTTATAAATTTAAGAATAAAAGGTACTATTGATTATTCAGGATTTCAGCCTATTTATTCATCTCTATGGTAACAATCTTGTATAGTTTTCCAAATTACTCAAACAACTATTGACAAAAATGAGATGAGATTAAGTTTTGTGTCTTCTGATTTTGGAAAGGAACTGGGCTATTGATTTATGCTCTTTTAAGTTTCTTTCTTTATTGATTAGTCCATTTTTCCTTAGCTCAGTTTTTTCACGTGGTTTGTTTAATTGACAAGGAAGTTTCAAGAAAGCATAATGAGATTAAATTAAATCTTTGTTCGGCAATCTTCTCATTATCTTTAATTTTGCACTCCCTGATACAAATTTTTTTATTCTCCTATTTTTGTAATTCATTAGACTCCCAAAAGCTTTCCCTTTCCTTTATCAGTATCATGGTTTAAAATTCCAGATGTATGCAGTACTAAATAACTATTTAAGGATATTCAGCTCATCATATTAGCACTGAAGTAAAATATGGCATTTTTTTCTGAAAATGCAAATATCTCAACTATTTAGAGACTAACTTGTGGATGTGTTTATAATATACATTATAGACACTTTTTAAAAAAAATTATTTTGGCATAACAAAGCAGATTTCACATTCCAATGACTGTCCCAAGGATCACAAGGTAGCTATTGCATTTGACTGTTAAGCGCATTTTTTAAAATCCCATTTTCCCTCTTCTAATCAGAGGTCCAGCCCTCTGACTCTATGTATAGATGTGTATTTTAGATTCAGATACTTGTAGTATCTCATTCTTTGGAATATAATGAATGCTCTAAAGGTAGGCCTCAGATTCAAGCAAGACCAGAGTCTGTTTCTCTAGGATTGCTATGTAGACATTGGAAAGAGAAACTCTATTTCTGCTAAAATGGCCATGTAAGAGATGTGTGTCTGAAACCTTTGGTAACTGACTAGATCCTGGTTCCAGTCTTGAGGCTCTGGAACTTGCAGCACTTCTTTAGATCTTGTAGCTACCATGAGATCCTCCCAACCAAGAGAACCAGTGTATCTCTCTTTACTACATATGTTAACCAAGTCTCTGTCATTTATAATAGCCCAGATGGTCATTTTTAAAGTAAATAATAGGGGTTCTTACTTTGATAAATTATTAATTAAATATAAGTTTCCAGAACATTAAGAATCTTTTCTGCCCTTGATAAATTGAGAGTTATTGTCTCAAAGACCTGGTTCAGGTCAAGAAAAGATGAGTTGATGTTACATGACTCTGTTGTGTTTTACCTTGCAAGTGGAGAGGAAGGGAGGCTACACCTGCATAGTTTCTGAACTTGTTAAAAATATTTTATTTTTCAACTGGAAAGAAGAAAAGTAATACAGTAAATCTGTGTCATAAATTAACTTATATTGATGCAAATAGAACTGTCTCTCTGCTCCTTCTTCATATTCAACAATAAATAAGAGAAAGGGAAGGAGGGAGGGAAGGATAAAGAAAGAGAAGAACTTTTTTATTTGTGTGTGCATGTGTGTGAGGCCAAGTAAAATCAAATCCAGAAAGATGAAAGAATATGGTTAAGGTAATTTTACAAATCTTGAACTTTTTATCCTACTGTTCTTTCTTTTCTACTTCCTCCTTTTTGTTTATGTGATTAAAATATAATCTAATGCTTATTTAAATACATTACTATGCAAGGTTTTTTTTATCACTTAAACTGATGATATCACTTAAACATTAAGATATTATCAAGGGTAATAATTTTGACTCCACCTTATGATTTAATTGTAGAATCTAAATCTTATGTAACTATGACTCCCTTATTTTGAAAGCTGTTTCAGCTTTCCAAGTGCATGTTAAAAGAAAGCATGGAGAAGCAAAGGAGTGGGAAGCAAAAAACACAGGAAAAAACATTAGGTTTTGACTGAGTTTAGACACATTTTTAAAAAGCATTGCAAACTCAATGCCAAAAGACTTGGTGTGAGCTCTCACGTCCCAGAGTAGTAGAAAGACACCTCACAATGAATTCATCGAGGAATACTTAGTTATGACAAACCATTTTAGGGATTCATTATTAATTAATACGTGTTCACATTGAAGAAGAAATTGTTATCCTTGCCCCCAACATGTTTGTTTACCAGAGAATGGGATGAGCGAGTAGCTTTTTTAGGTGTTGTATTGCTCAAAAGTTGCCAATTAATAACTTGTTCTGATATCTAAAAAAAAAAAATAGCAGAAACAGGTTTGGATAAAGCTTCCGGTAAAATATAAAGATGAGTAATAATCTAGTATATTTTTTAACATATTACAGAAAATCTCAAACACTCGCTAGAGAAGATAGTAAAACAAACCCTTATGACAACATCATACAACTTCAACAATTATGTGCCTTGAGCCAGGAAAAGGAGAGAGTCAGAAAAATACAGCATCTAACAATTAGGAGGTGTGGTTGGTGTTTTGAACAGAAAGAATAAAACCAAGATTTTACCTCATGATCAGTTCTAATAGACTTAATGAGAATCACAATAACTAGAGACTGTTTGATCCATATTCCGGACTATTCTTGAGCCAGGTAAAGAGTTAAGATCAAGATAAGAGTAGAGACTGATCAGATTTTTAGGCATGATGCTCTATGCTATGGAAAACAGTCAATCAACCATTTAAGACTAAGCGATCTAATTCATATTATTTTTTAACTCTGACTTTAGATGCAAACCATTTCATTGTGAAAGTTACCAGCAGGGAAGAGAGTAAACCAGAAATAGCAACAGGAACTCAGAGAACACCAGTTATTAATTACAGAATATCATAGGAAAGGGATCAGAACAGTACAAATGAGAATGCCATTTCCAAGGTTTTTTTCATTCTCTAGGATTCTTTCAGACGTTTTCTTTCCTTTTTTATTCAAACTTGAATTGCAACTTTGAATTGTATTAGAGAATCTGGGCTATAAAAAGATTTTGCTTAAACTCATTAAATGGTAAAACTGCTTATATGCTTGTATCTTTGCCAATTTTCAATCTGAAGGACTAAAGGCATGTTTTTAGCTATGAAAAATGAGTAAGATTACTGATTGGAATTTGGTCACATCATTTTTTGACTTAGAAAGAGTCTGCGAATAGCATCAAAATGAACAATAAATGCCTACCCTAAGGCTTTCTCTGTTCAATACTTCTTGCTCATGACTGTTCTGTTCAAGTTGTAGAATAATAAAGCTTAGAGAATGTTCTGCTTTGAGTAAGCTAAGATTCCATAAACAGCTTTATATTGGCGTAAAGACACAACTAGGAATTAAATGTATTTAGCCCCCTGGATAGTCCTTTGCTAAATTAGATCTTCATGTCATTTCTATATTTTATAATTTTTAAAATAATAATGTTTTACCATTTATTAAGGATCTGTATACATATGTAGGCCAGGCACTATTCCAAATGATTTATATTTAATGACTTATTCAATACTCACACCAATCCTTTCAGAAGTAAAATATTATTAGCTTCCTTCTTTGTACTGATAATGAAAGATTTCTGAGGCACAGAAATGTTAAGTATTTTTCCCAGAGCACAGAATTAGTAAGTAGCTGAGCAGGGATTCAAATTCAGCAAGTCTGTTTCCAGGCCCTAACCATTAACCTAGACAAACAAAAAGCAGCAACACAAAAATAAACAGACAATCAAAAGTTTAAAACATTTTCAGTTGATAGATATTTATAAATACATCCACTGGCTTCTATTGTTCCCAAATTCAAAGTAGTAAGAAAGGGAGCCAAAATTTGCAAATGCAAACATTTATGGCCTTTTCCATTTCAGTAATGATGGTAACACTTTGTTTTAGGGTTTACACAAGATGATTTTTTTAAAAAAACTGTAAGGATAAGACTAGAAAGGTCAAAATAAATAAATAAATAAAAATTCAAACAAATTTTTATCTGATTTCTTCAAAACACATGAATGTTTTCAGATTTTTGAAAACGCTTTTTGGGGAAATAAAAGCACTAGAATCAGAATCAAAGTTGAATATGTTAGCAGAAGAAAGGCAAAGGAAGACCTATACATTTGTATAGAATGGTGGCAGATACTGTATACTGTGCTGTACCTCTTAGGATTCACCAAGTCCGATATGCTACAGAATTGACAACCATTGTTCAGCAGTCATCAAACAATAAGTTCACATATAAGTATTCCAGCTCTCTCATCTTCCAAGTAGCATAACTTTAAGTTTGACATCATTTCCCAAATTTTTCTTATAGGATTAAGTTTCATTCACTCACAGTGATAGCTGGCTTGATGATACCCTCTTTTTACTGCTATTTTTTTTGGAATATTTATTGGCATTTAACAAACTACTCCAAGTATTAGTGGCTTCAACACCAATCATTTTACTGAATTTTTCAATTTTTATAATTTACACCTTTGGGCAAAGCCCAGCTGTACATTTCTTCTGATACATATCACGTCAACTGGGGACACTCAGTAGTAATCAGCTGGTGGCAGGGATGATACTGAGGATCCAAAATAATTTTGCTGACTTTGTTCACATTCCTAGTGCCTCTATGAGGACATCTGGAAACCTGAGCCCAGCTGGATCTCTCTCCCTCTCCATGAACTATTAGGACCTTCCCACTTGGTCTCTCTTAACAGGTAATTGGACTTCATACATGGCTGTTTACTGCCCTGATGCCAAGTGTTTCAAGAGACAGAAGGTGAAGCTGCCAGTCTCTTAAGGCTTTGACCTAGAAATTGGCATGGGGCCCCTCTGCCATATTCTATTTGTCAGAGAAATCATGACCCCTTCTCCTTTTACCAGGGCGTCATGCTTAATTGAAGGGGTAACCTCTCAATCTCAGGGGCTGAAAACTGTGTGGCCATCTCTAATCTGTCACACTCTTTTCTCCTTCCTCTCTTTCACTTGTTTACCCTCCTAGTGTTTTAAATTTGTATAACTCAAAAACTACCCGTTCTAAATTTACTATCTCAGTGTTTGTTTCTGGTGGAAACCAAACCAAGAAAAGGATGTTTGTATTTGGCCAAAAGAAAGATTTTTATAGACAATTATTATTTTGATTCTTATTCATGGTGAAGTGGTTCTTAATGCTTCTTTCTCATTAAATAGATTGTGAGTGAGAGATGGTAGCTGATTTGTCTAATAAACACTTGGGACTTGAACAACATTTTTCAAACCATAACTACAATGTTTTTGCCACTGTACCTAAGGATGAAATAAGGAGATAAACCTGAAAACAGTCATTTAAAGCTGCAAACACCAAGCAGTTGTTGGCTTTATTTTTTAACTCACTTGATTAAATTCAATTTGTGAATTTTTAAAAAGCTGTTTCTTTTCTGACAATTCCTCGAATGATCCTTTCAGTTGACATGGAGTCAAAGGGTTGGCTAATTTACTTACTCAACTACAGCATCCCTGATTCTTTGATTTTCCCAGGAAGTAGGAAAGAAGGAGGATTAACTTTTGCTGCACACCTCCACTATGTCAAGCACTGTGCTGTTCACATTCACTGCTCTTTTATTTAATCCTCACATCATAGGTAATATCCACATATTTTTAGATGAAGAAACTGCTTCAAACTAAGGTAGCAAGCAGGGATTTTGATGCAGTCTGTCTGGCCACGGAGCCAGACAGATTCGACTATACTTTACTCTTCCCAATAAGAAGAAAATGCTTAGTGGCGATTTCCCTGTAGGGGAAGTGAATTGCAGGCCCTGGGAAACCATGAGATTCTTTTGCACTGCAACTAGTAGTTTTAGTGCCCTGCTGGGGAAGTTGAAGCAATTTTCTCCTGCATGATAGGTCCATAGATTTTATTATTATTTTTAAACAGCTCCTATTGAGGTGAAGTTTGACCTACTCCTGATATGATTGCGTTTCTGCTTCTCCATGTTTTCTGTGCCTGCCTTTATTCTTGACTGTCCAGTCTTACAAATCAGTGGTTTTTATTTTTTAAGTATTCACAAGCTAGTTCTTCTTACTCTTGCTCTCAAGTTTATTATGCTTCAAATGTCACTATAGAATCTTAACACTCCAATTACAGACAGTAAGTTAAAAAAAACATGCAAAAAGAAGCCCCTTATACCCTTGCTAACATGACGTTATAAATTTTTTAAATTTGTTGACAATATTATGGATTTAAAAAGTGGTATATTATTTTTTAAGTGGCATTTACCTGATTCCAAATAAAACTAAATGACTTTTCTATCTCCCAATTTTCTTTCTTTTTAGAATTGAATTATTTTATTAATATTCTCAAATTAATTCATAAATTTCCTATGTATATTAAAGATTTATATTTTGACTGACATAAAAATTGCAAATTTTTCTCATAATTTGTAATTTGTCTTTTAATGCCGTTTACGGTATTGTTTGTCATTGAGATGTTTTAAATTTGTATGAACTCAAGTTTATTAGTATTTTCCTTTATGGGTTCTGGCTTTTCTATTTAAGAGTAAGTAACACAATGTAATAGAAATATTGTGTTAAATTTTTATTGTTACATTTAAATATCTAGTCTTAGATGATGTATTTCTTCTAATATATAGCTAATTATATGTATACTCTATCTTTCCCAATAAAATGAAACCTTATTAAAAATTATATCCTTACTTTCTCTACATGCAAATATAATCCCATATCCTTTATTCTATTTTTTTCTTTTTAGAGAAAGGGTCTCACTCTGTTGCCCAGGCTGTAGTGCAGTGGCATTATCATAGTACACTGCAACCTCGAACTCCTGTGTTCAAGTGATCCTCCTGCCTCAGCTTTCCAAGTAACTGGGACTACAGACAGAGGCCAACATGCATAACTAATTTATTTTTATTTTTGGAGAGATAGATGGGGTCTTGCTCTGTTGCCCAGGCTGTTATTGAACTCCTGGACTCAAGTTTTCCAAAGTGCTGGAATAACAGGTGTGCACCACCATACCTGGTCCCCTTTCTTTTTAATAGCAATATTTGCAGGTTTAAATTCCTCAATGCACTGCTTCATCTGATCTCAGAAACTTTGATATTTTGTATTTTCATTATAATTTAGTTTCAAACATTTAACAAGTTCCACTGTGATATCTAATTTGACCCGGGAGTTACTCATAATTGTATGTTTTAATTTCCTAATGTTGAATTCTATTAGATCAGAAAAATTATTCTGTATGATTTTAATTTTTTAAATATATTAAATCTTGTTTTATGGCTCAGCGTGTGCTTTATCTAGTTATGTACACTCATAAAAATTGTGTATTCTAAAAGTCAACCTCATGAAAACACTAGAATGGCTGAGGGGAAGCCATTACCAGGACCTCTGGGGAAGAGGAATTGGGGAGACGTTGATCAAAGGGTACAGTTTCAGTCACAAAATGAATAAGTCCTAGAAATCTACAGTACAACATAGTGCCTATAACTAAAAATACTGTATTGTATGCATTAAGATTTGTTAATAGGGTAGCACTTATGTTAAATGTTTTTACAACAACAACAAAAAGAAGGAAGAAAACATTTACAGGTGATTGTTATGTTTATGGCTTTGCTTATGGTTTCACAGGTATATACTTCATGTTCATTAAGGTATGTACATTAAATATGTACAATTTTTGGTATGTCAATCATACCCAATTAAAAGCAAAAAGATTATTTTAAAAAACAACAAAATATGATAAGTATTAAGTGTAGTAGTAGACTTATGTGTACATTTTAATAGTGTTTGTAGGAAAATATATGCCTTTAGTTTCAACAGTTTACATGCATAGAGAGTCACATGTGGAATGCTATATACCAAACTTTGATATTTGTTACATTTGAGAACATATAGAATTGAAGAAGAGAAAGAATAATTTATTTATATATTTATTTATTTATGTGCTACTGCATTATTTTATCTAAATGCAGTATTTTTGTACTTCAAATTTCAGTAAGTATAAAGCTAAGAACCTCATTATAATAAAAATTCAATAAGTAAAATAATTATGTAATTATATTACATTCTTTTTTTCATTTTCATAGTTTCCTGTTTTTAGCTTTTGTAAATATGTATTTCTAAATAAATCCCAGGTAAACCCAGACTTAGCCAATTTATATAAAGGTTTATATAAATAATATGAGGTGTTAAGAATAACAAGGAATCTGTAGAAGACCATGTTACCTAACAATAGCGTACATTGGGAAATACTGAAAATTCACATAGCCATATTTAAAGTAAAAGGCATTATTTATTGAATTTTGAGCTTTTACACTTTTAAATTACTAGCTGCTGATAGCTTCCTAGATGTGATTTAGTATTTGTACATAGTATTTGTGGAAGCTTTTTACAGTAACCTTCAACTGAATGCAAGTTTAGTTTTGAAACATTCCTTATAGATACACAAACGTTTCATCACACTTGACTCAGTTTTGAATATTACCCAGCCAACACTGGCATTCTGGCTGTTTTTGCAATTAACCTCTAGCCTATTGACAACAGCACTTATAATTATTATATTCCATATTTATGAAATAGACTATGTCAACTGAAATAATAGGCTATTGATTCGAATAGCCATTTTAAATGCAATTGAAAATCCAATCAGTTTTCGCAAAACTACTGAATATTCATTTACTATACTTTTGTGCTCCATTAATAACAGTTCTTGCTTCATCTTAGAAACGTTAGACAGTATTTTATTTAGCATTCATTAGATAACAAACAAAGGCCTACCACATTTTTATTTCAACAAGAGTTGAAAGAGATTGCCTTTATGGAATATCTTAAACATGTTTTTTTTTCCTTTTGATATAATTCATCAAATTACATTTGAAAGTGTCATCTGATGGTGGAAATATGTCCACTTTAAAGATTAAGATTCTCCATACTCAGTTTGACTCAATAGTTAGAGGATCACACATAAGGTTATTCAAGTTACTTCATGTGCTACATTGATACATTTTATTTGAGTAATTTAGGGGGTGGCTGTTTGAAGATAAATGCTTTCTTTTATATCTCATCTAAGTTTGTCATAGAATCTTTAAAGTAAGGCATCTGATCACATTTTACTTAAAAAGAAGTATTTCTAAATTCAATGACTACTTTAAGAAATTTAAATTTTCAATGTTTTGTTTTAGGTAATTGATATCTCTAAACAACATTTTTTGAGAGCTTGTTATATGTTAAAATTTGTGTTAAGCTATTATTTTATTTAATAATAGTTTAAATCTTTTAATTGTAGTAACTAGAAATATGCAGATATTTTTTCTCTTCAATGACTTTAAGAAAATATACATTTTATTTATAAAAAGGCATGTTATTAAAGGAAGTATTATTTTATTTTAAAGAGTGATAAACAAAATATACATTTAGTTATTTGTGACAGTGGAACTGAACTAGATTCAATTTCTTCCTTTCTGTATATTAAAGTCCAGAACATATGACA
The DNA here is from genome assembly GCF_000001405.40 of Homo sapiens. Taxonomy (NCBI): domain Eukaryota; kingdom Metazoa; phylum Chordata; class Mammalia; order Primates; family Hominidae; genus Homo; species Homo sapiens. The sequence continues at coordinate 183,962,711 of NC_000002.12, forward strand.
TTTCCCATCCATCTATTTATCAGACATTACTTTATCCAATAAATATTTATTTTGTCCTATTATGGCATTTGCAGGCACTGCTTAAATGAAGATGAATTACAGTCTATGATCTGAAGGAGCTTATAGCCAGTAATGTAAATAAAACATTATAATTCATTTTGAGAAATGATTTAACAGTAGTATGTGTATGATCACAAAGGAAGGAATAACAATATGGTATGACCATGTGCAACTATAGTCACTTGTAGTGAATGAATACCTGGGTAAAGAAAATGACAAAAAGGAATATAGGCATTGCAACATTGTATGCCAGCACTCAAAGCATGGAGAATTTCTAGCAATTCCATGTGCACCTAAGTATGGGATTCAAGAGCAGGAGCAGCAAATACTTAGGTTTAATAAATAAAATGGGTGAGATCCAGAAATGCTCTGAACCTAGGAACTTAGATTTATCTTATAGTTGCTAAGGAGATTGAGTGTTTTGCAGTAGTTAAGTGAATAAGATTTTAGTTTGAAATACGTAATTCCAGAAGTTTAATCCATATTAAAGAGGACTGAGAATGGAAACAAGGGGAAAAATAGGACAAAATTTTAGTTGCCCAGAGGAGATTAATGAGGTCTGCCATGAAGACTATCTTAATTCACAGAAAGAGATGGGATAAAGAGACATGGAGAGGTAGTGTAAAGAGTGTTTGGTCAAAAATAAGATGGAAAAATGGAGTACAAGTGTATGAGCTACAGGGGAAAGTCTAAGACAATTCTTAGGTTTCAAGACTGGGTGCAATTATGCCACATTAAAATGGCAGATGTTGGTATCTCATAAATGACATAGGAAATTCAAGAGATGGTTGGAGGACGAAATGAACTCATATTTGGACATGTTAAATTTGAGAGGCCTATGTGAAATAGCAAAAAGATATAGAAAAATAGGAATTTAATCTTGGAATTGAAGACTGATGTGAGTGCATATCTAGATATAGAGGTCATTGAAATATAAGTGATTATTGATAGAAATATGTGAGCTCAATTCTCTTGGATGTGTAATAGAGAGGAGATGTAATAAAAATGCAGTCATAGCTTTTAATAGACAGGTACAGGAAGTGGAAACAGTGGTAAAGAATGCTTCATAAAGGTGTGATAAGATCCATGAGCAAACCATGTCCTGGAAATCAATGGGAAGGAAAGTTTCAAACGAGAGGCAGAAGAGCAGAGTGAATGAGAATGTGACTCCTAGTAACAAAGAGTTTTATCTCTAATTACAATTTCCTACCATTGTGATCTTGGGCAAGACTTCATGGAGAGTGATTTTCTCTCTCTGAGTTTCATTTCCTCAGCTGTAAAATTGGAACAATAATGGTTTCTGTCCTTTATAATTGTTTTAAGGATTAATAATATAAAGCACAATGCCTGACATATGATAAGTAACCAACAAAAGCTTCTCAATATTAGGAAGAGGTGGTTAATCATTGCAAAATTTCGAACAGGAAAATGAGAGAAGTCTCCATCTGATTTGGCATGCAAGTGGCGATAGGTAGTTATCTTATACTTTCTTTTCAATGACAAAACTCATGGTATAAGATGAAATACAAAATGTAGATCATAGAAACTCATTCTGTTTTATTTTTTTCAAGAGTGGAGGCTAATTCTGCTCACTGTAGATTGTCAGAGATACAAAAGTCCCTTGCTGTTAACATGAAGATGCAGGCACTTAGGGAGAAAGCACCAATATCAGAATAGAGAAAATTGTCAATATGAATAATCATCCTAAACCATCTAAAGGCCAGTTGAATATATTGATATAGTTTTGATGTAGGAATAACTGACACTGCATTTCACGATGCTCTGAAGGGAATATAAGGCAATGGAGAATGTTTGTCTGATCATTCTGTTGTATTTTTCTATCACTTCTCTTGCCACTTTCCTCCTGGGTTGAAATTACAAAAGGCATATGGAAAAAAAAAAAACAAAACTAAACAAAGCTTGTTTTATTACTTGACTGCCTCATAAAGGTGATTGCTGCTATCAGCAGTGCCCAGGGCTTATTTTCTTCTGTGAAGGTTGAAATGGGAAAAAGAAGCACAGGACACAGTTGCGTTGCTAGCACCATCCCAGATGGGAAATAGAGAAGTGAGTGAGCTTATCTCTAGACAGCATTTGATATGTTTGATGAAGATTGCCTTTGATGTATATAGATTATCTTCAATGAGTTATGTTTAATACAATTCAGAAAATATAAAATATGTATTCAGTAATGATAATGAATTATGATAATCTTTTGCAAGCCTGATAAGACATCATTCCGAAATTAGTAGTACTTATCTGTTCACTCTGTGTACTAGAATTTTGATAGCAAAATTAAATTGGTGTTCTTAAAGTCCAGGTAGCTATATAAAATCATTCCTTTAATTTAAGACTTTTCAAATTAGCAAAATTATTAATGAAAAATGAGTAAATAAACTTTATAAAATGGAAACAATATGCCATTTATATAAACATGATTATTTGTTTGACAAATTTTAAATAGTATATACATGGCACTCATATTAACTTCCAATTTCTTCTTACTATGTAAATGCTGAAAATACCTGTGCAGATACTGTTAAAAATGTGGTCTTTTTTCTCATTCTCTCAGTGTTCATTTCTCTCATTGTCTGAGTTTTGATGACATATTTTTTTGTAGCTCATTGTATTCTACAGTAAAACCCTGCCTTTGTTGTTTGTTTAGTGATATAAGAACACTAGCTTTGTTGTTAGGCAAATGTGTTCCTAGTACTAGCACCACCAGTGACTGGTGGGCAAGTCACCCACCCATTGTAGCCTTGATTTCTGCAAAAGGGAATACGGTATACCTTAAATATTTATTTGAGGACTGCATAAAATATTGTCTATAAATTGCCTACCACAATGTTTGATGTATTATATAAGTTTTATCATTATTATTGTGATTATTATCTTGATCATTTTCCCAGTTGAATAATATTATTAATCTCTGTATCAGTACATGCTCAAAGTTCAGATTTTCATATATCAAAGTCTTAATCAACTGTATTAATTATTGTTACTTCCTCTAATAATGTTTTCTTACAATGCCTAATGCCAAAAACTTATAATTTTCAATAAATTTTTTCCAAATTAAGATCCAGTTCTTTAGTTTATTGTCTCATTCTTCTGGTCATTCTTTGAATGTTTCCTCTTTCTCAGTTTTCTCAGTGTTATGTCCTCTCTGCTGTGATATCTTCTAGTTTACAATCTTTCCTTTCAGATGGAAAGCATAACTTTTAGCCTGCACCTGTTCCTAAAGTGAACTCTCTCATGCTGGAGAACTATGGGTGTCTTTATACCTTATCTGTGTTTTAGCAATACCAAGTTTTATTGACTAATTATTTCATATTCATAATAAAATAATTTGCACATGTGTATCATATGAAGCATTGTCTTAACTATGTCTTTAATTATTTTGAGGTTTTTTTTTTTTTTTTCAGAAACAAACTAGAAGGAAAATGCAGAGACAAAGAGCAGAGATCACAGTGAGAAGAAAGGCATATTTGTCATCTAAAAGTGGCAATATTGCTTTACCGGGACAGTGGAATTTTGATTCTGGATTTTTCTGGCAATTACACTGCTATACACTCCCTAGAGGGAGAGGGCTATTTTATAAGGATGATGCTTTAACTATGTCAAAAGAAATACTAGAACCTTGCTCTAGACATGATTGATGATAGTCTTTCAAGAAGTAACCCAAACTATCAGTGAGAAAGACAAAAGGGTGTGACTTTTCTCTAGCTTCTGTAGCTGGACCAGCAATTACTTGACAGGATACATTATTTTAAGTTGTTCATTTTCATACAGAAAAGGTGGTTAAAATTTTTGGCTATTTCCACATAAAGGAAGTGAAATAGGCATTTGAAAATTTGTAAAATAAAATAGGGATTTTCTGTTGGGAAATGGAGGTTAAATTGAAGGTTGAGTGACCATTTTTTTCAATATTGATAAACCGATAGCATTTTCTTGTGTGGACATAGTTTGTGTTCTACCTATTAGCAGTCTGTACATTTGCCTCTTCAAAATAGCATGATGACATTTCTTGTATTTTCCTTGGACAATACTTAATATAGTGCTGAAAAGAATTTTTCATCAAATAAAAGTTTTTACGGATGCTGCTTCTAAAAATATGCTTTCCTTTGTGAAAGTTTTTTCCTTTGATGGTTTTTGGTTATCATGAAAATGAATTACCGCAATTACAAAGTATATAACTATATAATTTATACAAACAACACATGCCATTTGAATAATTTATTTAATAGAAACTTTTAAATATATGGACTGTGTAGTGCTATATACTAGCAATCCAAGGTCTGCTCTTAATACATACATTTTTATGTCCATTAACAGTAATCACCTGGACCTATCTTCTACTAATTGTAATTAATATAAGCACACTTTCAATCTTTGCCCTTTTCATTATAAGTGCATAAGAAACACTTTGCAAAAGAGATAATGTCTTGAATAAATTGCATTGTCTCAACAGAAACTGGCCGGAAAAAAATTGTCAGGAAGGTTCAATTAATAAAAGCAATGCTATATGTAAGATTTTTATATCTAATACATATTTTCATTTTATATATAGTTTTATTTTTAACTCTAGGCATATTTTCATGCATATTTCCTTGAAACTGTAATTAGGATATCAATAGGACATATGTCCATTAATAAACGTTTTTGTAATTCATACCATGTTCCAGATGCTAGTCTTTACAAATATATCTTTTAAATATTGGTTAGAATATAAATATTAACTTTTTAAATTAAAATAGTAATCCTAGGAGGTGGTAATTCTTATTTTACAGAGGAGGAAACTGAGACACTCAGTGGTGAAATAATTGCCTGTGATCATACACCTAATAAGTACAGTAAATCCTCAATATCGTTAAATAGGTTCTTGGAAACTGCAACTTTAAATGAAGCAATGTATAACAAACCAATTTTACTATAGGCTAATTGATATAAACAAAATTAGATTCATTCCTATGGCTTATTTCTGATCATAAAAAAAATCACCAAACTTTTAGACAAAGATCTAAAACACTTCTAGTATTAAACGTTAAAGAAAATGTGAGTTATACATAAATTTAAGAAAGAGTAGTTAAGTAAGACAATAGTTTACCCGCTTACTTCAGTTCAGGGTCACAGATCACTGAAGCATCTCTTGGCAGCTCAAGGTGCTAGATGGAATCCACCCTGCACAGGATGCACTTCCATTATAGGACGCCCACACACACACACACACAGACTCACTGAGGCGGAGACCATTTAGACATACCAATGAACCTAAGGTGCACATCTTTGGGACATGAGTAGAAACCTGAGTATCTGGAGAAAACCCATGCAGACATGGGACAATGTGCAAACTCCACATAATTTGTGACTTTTGCGTCCGTTAACTTTCCAGCAGTATAATTCTGACTTTCTTAACTTAAATGGTTTTTCAGTAATGAAATGTGTTTTGTTGGATTGTTTCTCATTCATATTAGGGCCTAGGGATATTATTTTTTTAACTCGAATTTGAAACAGTGTCCCGAACACTGATTCACTATGTGCTTGAGATCTCCTAATAACTCAGGACGTTTTGTTGCTGGATTTCATGATATACACTAATGATTCCCTTTGTTTCAGAAACTGCACAGCACCCTCTCAGACTTCCCATTGACCTTCTCTCAGAACTTGTTCTACCCAGACCTAGTCATCTTCTCCCGGTGACCCTGTGTCCAGATTTTAGCTAAGTGATTGAAAAATGCATTTAAATAGATTGATAATGGAGACTAATGGCTTCTTTTTAACATTTATATTTGATCATTTCTTAAATTAGAAGAACAAGTGAGGCAGCAGAGTAAAGAGAGATAATATGCAAAAATGTAGAACCGTGGTTGTCAAAATTTTCAGTGCATTAGAATCACCAGAAGGATCTGTTAAAATAGATGACTGGGGTCCCATTCCCAGAGTTAATTTCTAAAATGTTCCCAGGTGATGCTGATGCTTCTGGTTTGGGGAACTACACATTGAAAAACACTGATATAGAGCTTCATACATTATCAAGACACAGAATGGGACCTGTACCTCCCTGTTATTGCTTTCTTGTAATTTAAGAGGATTAAGAGCTGTACTGTATATCATCTCATTTCTATCTTGTGTTAGCAATGACAAAATTTAAACTTCTTCAAATATGAGTTCCTGTCTGCTAGTTATCTATCATTTTAACCACAGACGTTTACTAAAAAGAAAAGAAAATTAAGCTTTTGGTGTGGGCTGAGGTGAGTCAGAGGTGAAATGGTGGATAATGATGTCTTAGGGGTCTTTAGAAGTTCACTGGATTAAAATGTATTCAGTAAGTAGGAGGCTTGCAGGAAGTGGAAAAGATGACTTCTTAAGGCTGCTCTATTAATATCATTTTCTATAAAAGACAATATAGTAAAAACTAGGAATTATGTATAAGGATTTAAAAAGGAAATTTTGAGAAAAATAAAATGTGAGTAATGATAATATTTAGATAAAATTCTTTTTCTGCTCATAAAAATTTTTGCACTATTTTCTGCATCGAATGGTAGCTCAGAAAGTAATTTGTTTTCCCTCTACCGTCTTTAAGGGTATATTATTGTCAAATTTTAATTTGAATTTGTATTACTTATTCAATAAATAATCTTGGATATTCACTCTGTCAGAAAGCATGGTATAGACTGGGCCAATACGCTCACATTATTTAATAAAAGTGTTATCAATTAAGGATCTGAAACAGTGCCTGAACACTGATAGCTGCTTGATAAATATTTTTAAGTTACGTTAAGAATAAATGAACGGAACTAAGTATTTACAGAAATATATGGTCAATTTCTTTTTTTTTAAATTTTATTATTATTATACTTTAAGTTTTAGGGTACATGTGCAAAATGTGCAGGTTTGTTACATATGTATACATGTGCCATGTTGGTGTGCTGCACCCATTAACTCCTCATTTAGCATTAGGTATATCTCCTAATGCTATCCCTCTCCCCGCCCCCCACCCCACAACAGTCCCCAGTGTGTGATGTTCCCCTTCCTGTGTCCATGTGTTCTCATTGTTCAATTCCCACCTATGAGTGAGAACATGTGATGTTTGGTTTTTTGTCCTTGTGATAGTTTGCTGAGAATGATGGTTTCCAGTTTCATCCATGTCCCTACAAAGGACATCAACTCATCATTTTTATGGCTGCATTGTATTCCATGGTGTATATGTGCCACGTTTTCTTAATCCAGTCTATCGTTGGACATTTGGGTTGGTTCCAAGTCTTTGCTATTGTGAATAATGCCGCAATAAACATACATGTGCATGTGTCCTTATAGCAGCATGATTTATAATCCTTTGGGTATATACCCAGTAATGGGATGGCTGGGTCAAATGGTATTTCTAGTTCTAGATCCCTGAGGAATCACCACACCGACTTCCACAATGGTTGAACTAGTTTACAGTCCCACCAACAGTGTAAAAGTGTTCCTATATCTCCACATCCTCTTCAGCACCTGTTGTTTCCTGACTTTTTAATGATCACCATTATAACTGGTGTGAGATTGTATCTCATTGTGGTTTTGATTTGCATTTCTCTGATGGCCAGTGATGCTGAGCATTTTTTCATGTGTTTTTTGGCTGCATAAATGTCTTCTTTTGAGAAGTGTCTGTTCATATCCTTCACCCACTTTTGGATGAGGTTGTTTGTTTTTTTCTTGTAAATTTGTTTGAGTTCATTGTAGATCCTGGATATCAGCCCGTGGTCAGATGAGTAGGTTGCAAAAATTTTCTCCCATTCTGTAGGTTGCCTGTTCACTCTGATGGTAGCTTCTTTTGCTGTGCAGAAGCCCTTTAGTTTAATTAGATCCCATTTGTCAATTTTGTCTTTTGTTGCCATTGCTTTTGGTGTTTTAGACATGAAGTCCTTGCCCATGCCTATGTCCTGAATGGTAATGCCTAGGTTTTCTTCTAGGGTTTTTATGGTTTTAGGTCTAACGTTTAAGTCTTTAATCCATCTTGAATTGATTTTTGTATAAGGTGTAAGGAAGGGATCCAGTTTCAGCTTTCTACATATGGCTAGCCAGTTTTCCCAGCACCATTTATTAAATAGGGAATCCTTTCCCCATTGCTTGTTTTTGTCAGGTTTGTCAAAGATCAGATAGTTGTAGATATGGGGCATTATTTCTGAGGGCTCTGTTCTGTTCCATTGGTCTATATCTCTGTTTTGGTACCAGTACCATGCTGTTTTGGTTACTGTGGCCTTGTACTATAGTTTGAAGTGAGGAAGCGTGACGCCTCCAGCTTTGTTCTTTTGGCTGAGGATTGACTTGGCGATGTGGGCTCTTTTTTGGTTCCATATGAACTTTAAAGTAGTTTTTTCCAATTCTGTGAAGAAAGTCATTGGTAGCTTGATGGGGATGGCATTGAATCTATAAATTACCTTGGGCAGTATGGCCATTTTCACAATATTGATTCTTCCTACCCATGAGCATGGAATGTTCTTCCATTTGTTTGTATCCTCTTTTATTTCATTGAGCAGTGGTTTGTAGTTCTCCTTGAAGAGGTCCTTCACATCCCTTGTAAGTTGGATTCCTAGGTATTTTATTCTCTTTGAAGCAATTGTGAATGGGAGTTCACTCATGATTTGGCTCTCTGTTTGTCTGTTATTGGTGTATAGGAACGCTTGTGATTTTTGCACATTGATTTTGTGTCCTGAGACTTTGCTGAAGTTGCTTATCAGCTTGAGGAGATTTTGGGCTGAGACGATGGGGTTTTCTAGATATACAATCATGTCATCTGCAAACAGGGACAATTTGACTTCCTGTTTTTCTAATTGAATGCCCTTTATTTCCTTCTCCTGCCTGATTGCCCTGGCCAGAACTTCCAACACTATGTTGAATAGGAGTGGTGAGAGAAGGCATCCCTGTCTTGTGCCAGTTGAATGATGTCTCTTCTTGGATGCAAACACACTGGGGTAGCATGATGCTGAGCTTCTTGGCAGGATAAATAGCCCTCATCACTGGCGTATTTCACAAAGGAAGACCATTCTAAAGAGATGCTGCTCAGATATTTCATTCTATCTAGCTTCAGTGAATGTCTACATGAACTCACATAGTTTTGATGGCAGATTCCTAAGCAGAAACTATATTCTTGCTTGTGTGTTGAGGCAGTTGCTTATGTCCCATTTCAAATTGCAAGCTAACCTTTTCAAAATGTCAACACACTTACTTCCCATCTTTACAATCACCAGGAATTTACATTTATTCAGTAGCTTCACAGCTTGAGCACTGTGTAAAATTATTTTATTCTCTGAGAACCTATGTTCCAAAGAAGAACCATCCACCTCATATTTAAGATACTTAGAGATAACTGGCAAATAAATCTGTACAAATATTTCAGCCTACCTTTCAACATGCTACTCACTTGGGGATAGGAGAATTCTGTCATTTTGTTGATAAGTGAGTGTTTCAAAATGACTGTCTACTCATAAGTTAATTGTGAGCATATGGAGAGATGACATTCATTGAAGCTAGTGTGTGTGTATCTCTCTAAATCCTTATTCTTAAAATGAAGGGTCCCCTGCAAAGATTATTGGAAGAAAGTCAGATGACATAGTTTCTAAAAACTTTATATAACATGGCTATGTAATTAAATTAATTTCCACTAAATTATGCTAGCTCAGACATTTGACTTATAATTGTGCAATTGTTGGAAAGCCAAATTACATCAGGTTGCACAGACAGCAAGTTATTAAATAAGACATTAGCAGATATCAGATGTTATTATCTGTTTCTTAAAATGTTCTGTTTTGTAGAAGTTAAGCATCAAAAGTTTTTGTATCACTGAGAATGATGAAATTAACTATATATGAGAATCATCCTAAAGACCTATCTTCAAAAATTGCAGGACATGTTCTAAGAGTGGGATTTCTATTGTATGTTTGCCTATATGTCAATTGAGGAGAAACTTCTTTTATTATTATTACCTTGATTTGAGGACAAAGTTCATTGGCCAGTGAGGTTCAGGTCACTTTCCTTCCACCTGAATTCAAGATCCTACTAGATTAGATTCCAGATAGACAGTCTTCACCGTCAGGCTAATTTGTTATCACACTCTGTATTTCTTCAACCCAAAATACACTTTTCTGTTCCTAAAGGAAATGTAAATGGTAAAGAAAAAAGCAAAGTGATGTGTTTTCCAGTATTGTACATCCTTCTGTTCCTGAAGTGGCCATCAGAACACCACCGTTGGATTTATCAAACTGATGACTCCAGCAGCCCAGCAGAGAAAAAATAATCATGGTACTTTTCTGTATGCTGCTACATTGTTACACACACTTTACTGACAATAGTGATTTATTAATGTTACAAAACTAATACACTTATTTGGATTATTGTTTACCTCCTTCTCATCTGAACTTTCGTATGCCAATTGATTTTTTTAATTTTATTATACTTTAAGTTCTGGGATACATGTGCAGAATGTGCAGGTTTGTTACATAGGTATATGCCTACCATGGTGGTTTGCTGCATCCATCAAACCGTCATCTACATTAGGTATTTCTCCTAATGCTATCCCTCCCCTAGCCCACCAGCCCCCAAGAAATTTGTAAATTTGTTTAAGTTTTTGTAGATTTGGGATATTAGCCCTTTGTCAGATGGACAGATTACAAAAATTGTCTCCCATTCTTTAGGTTGCCTGTTCACTCTAATGATAGTTTCTTTTGCTGTACAGAAGTTCTTTAGTTTAATTAGATCCCATTGGTAAATTTTGGCTTTTGTTGCCATTGCTTTTGGTGTTTTGGTCATGAAGTCTTTGCCCATGCCTAGGTCCTGAATGGTATTGTCTAGGTTTTCTTCTAGGGTTTTTATGGTTTTAGGTCTTTCATTTAAGTCTTTAATCCATCTTGAATATAAAGTGTAAGAAAAGGGTCGAGTTTCAGTTTTCTGCATATGGCTAGCCAGTTTTCCCAACAACATTTATTAAATAAAGGATCCTTTCCCCATTGCTTGTTTTTGTCAGGTTTGTCAAAGATGAGATGGTTATAGATGCGTGGTGTTATTTCCGAGGCCTCTGTTCTGTTCCATTGGTCTATATATCTGTTTTGGTACCAGTACCATGCTGTTTTGGTTACTGAGCCTTGCAGTATAGTTTAAAGTCAGGTAGCGTGATGCCTCCAGCTTTGTTCTTTTTATTTAGGATTGTCTTGGCTATATGGGCTCTTTTTGGTTCCATATGAAATTTAAAGTCGTTTTTTTCTAATTCTGTTAAGAAAGTTAATCGTAGCTTGATGGGGATAGCATTGAATCTATAAATCACTTTGGGCAGTGTCGCCATGTTCACAATACTGATTCTTCCTATCCATGAGCATGGAATGTTTTTCCATTTTGTTTGTGTCCTCTCTTATTTCTTTGATCAATGGTTTGTAGTTCTCCTTGAAGAGGTCCTTCACATCCCTTGTAAGTTGTATTCCTAGGTATTTTATTCTCTTTGTAGCAATTGCGAATGGACGTCACTCATGATTTGGCTCTCCTTTGGTCTATCATTGATGTATAGGAATGCCTATGATTTTTGCACATTGATTTTGTATCCTGAGACTTCGTCGAAATTGCTTATCAGCTTACGGATATTTTGGGCTGAGATGATGGGGTTTTATAAATACACAATCATGTCATCTGCAAACAGAGACAATTTGACTTCCTCTCTTCCTATTTGAATACGCTTTATTTCTTCCTTTTGCCTTATTACCCTGGCCAGAACTTCCAATACTCTGTTGAATAGGAGTGGTGAGAGAGGACATACATGTCTTGTGCCGGTTCTCAAAGCGAATGCTTCCAGTTTTTGCCCATTCAGTATGATATTGGCTCTGGGTTTGTCATAAATAGCTCTTATTATTTTGAAATACATTCCATCAATACCTAGTATATTAGGAATTTTTAGCATGAAGGGCATTGAATTTTGTTAAAGGCCTTTTCTGCATCTATTGAGATAATCATGTGGTTTTTGTCATTGGTTCTGTTACGTGATGGATGGTGTTTATTGATTTACATATGTTGAACCAGCCTTGCATACCAGGGATGAAGCCAACTTAATCGTGGTGGATAAGCTTTTTGATGTGCTGCTGGATTCAGTTTGCCAGTAATTTATTGAGGATTTTCGCATTGATGTTCATCAGGGATATTGGCCTGAAATTTTTTGTTGTTGTTGTGTCTCTGCCCGATTTTGGTATCAGGACGATGCTGACCTCATAAAATGAGTTAGGGAGCATTCTCTCTTTTTTCTGTTGTTTGGAATAGTTTCAAAAGGAATAGGACCAGCTCCTCTTTGTACCTCAAGTAAAATTTGGCTGTGAATCCATCCAGTCCTGGACTTTTTTTTGTTGGTAGGCTAGTAGTTGCTGTCTCAATTTCAGAACTTGTTTTAGTTCTAGTCATGGATTCAACTTCTTCCTGGTTTAGGCTTGGAAGGGTCTATGTGTCCAGGAATTTACCCATTTCTTCTAGATTTTCTAGTTTATTTGTGTAGAGGTGTTTATAGTCTTCTCTGATGGTAGTTTGTATTTCTGTGGGATCAGTGGTGATATCCACTTTATCATTTTTTATTGCATCTATTTGATTCTTCTCTTTTTTCTTCTTTATTACTCTGGCTAGCAGTCTATCTATTTTGGTAATCTTTACAAAAATGAGTTCCTGAATCCAGCCAAGATGGCCGAATAGGAACAGCTCCAGTCTACAGCTCCCAGCATGAGCGATGCAGAAGACGAATGATTTCTGCATTTCGAACTGAGGTACCAGGTTCATCTCACTGGGGATTGTCAGACAGTGGGTGCAGGACAGTGGGTGCAGTGCATTGAGTGTGATCCGAAGCAGGGCGAGGCCTCACCTCACCCAGGAAGCGCAAAGGGTCAGGGAATTCCCATTCCTAGCCAAGGAAAGGGATGACAGATGGCACCTGGAAAATCGGGTCACTCCCACCCTAATACTGCACTTTTCTGATGGTCTTAGCAAATGGCACACCAGGAGATTATAACCCACACCTGGCTCGGAGGGTCCTATGCCCACAGAGCCTCGCTCATTGCTAGCACAGCAGTCTGAGATCAAATTGCAAGGCGGCAGCGAGGCTGTGGGAAGGGCGCCCACCATTGCAGAGGCTTGAATAGGTAAACAAAGCAGCCGGGAAGCTCGATCTGGGTGGAGACCACTGCAGCTCAAGGAGGCCTGCTTGCCTCTGTAGACTCCACTTTTGGGGTCAGGGAATAGCCAAATAAAAGGCAACAGAAACTTCTGCAGACTTAAATGTCCCTGGCTGACAGCTTTGAAAAGAGTAGTGGTTCTCCCAGCATGCAGCTTGAGATCTGAGAACGGAGAGACTTCCTCCGCAAGTGCGTCCCTGACCTCCGAGTAGCCTAACTGGGAGTCACCCCCCACTAGGGGCAGACTGATGCCTCACATGGCTGGGTACTCCTCTGAGACAAAACTTCCAGAGGAAAGATCAGGCAGCAACATTTGCTGTTCACCAATATTCGCTGTTCTGCAGCCTCCACTGCTAATACCCAGGCAAACAGGGTCTGGAGTGGACCTCCAGCAAACTCCAACACACCCGCAGCTGAGGGTCCTGACTGTTAGAAGGAAAACTAACAAACAGAAAGGACATCCACACCAAAACCCCATCTGTACATCACCACCATCAAAGACCAAAGGTAGATAAAACCACAAAGATGGGGAAAAAACAGAACAGAAAAACTGAAAATTCTAACAATCAGAGCACCTCTCCTCCTCCAAAGGAACCCAGCTCCTCACCAGCAACAGAATAAAGCTGGACGGAGAATGACTTTGATGAGTTGAGAGAAGAAGGCTTCAGACGATCAAACTACTCCGAGCTAAAGGAGGAAGTTCAAACCCATGTCAAAGAAGTTAAAAAACTTGAAAAAAGATTAGCCGAATGGATAACTAGAATAACCAATGCAGAGAAGTCCTTAAAGGACCTGATGGAGCTGAAAACCAAGGCACGAGAGCTACGTGATGAATGCACAAGCCTCAGTAGCCAATGTGATCAACTGGAAGAAAGGGGATTAGTGATGGAAGATCAAATGAATGAAATGAAGCGAGAAGAGAAGTTTAGCGAAAAAAGAATAAAAAGAAACGAACAAAGCCTCCAAGAAATATGGGACTATGTGAAAAGACCAAATCTACGTCGGATAGGCGTACCTGAAAGTAACGGGGAGAAGGGAACCAAGTTGGAAAACACTCTGCAGGATATTATCCAGGAGAACTTCCCCAATCTAGCAAGGCAGGCCAACATTCAAATTCAGGAAATACAGAGAATGCCACAAAGATACTCCTCGAGAGGAGCAACTCCAAGACACATAATTGTCAGATTCACCAAACTTGAAATGAAGGAAAAAATGTTAAGTGCAGCCAGAGAGAAAGGTCGGGTTACCCACAAAGGGAAGCCCATCAGACTAACAGCGGATCTCTCAGCAGAAACTCTACAAGCCAGAAGAGAGTGGGGGCCAATATTCAACATTCTTAAAGAAAAGAATTTTCAACCCAGAATTCATATCCAGCCAAACTAAGCTTTATAAGTGAAGGAGAAATAAAATACTTTACAGATAAGCAAATGCTGAGAGATTCTGTCACCACCAGGCTTGCCCTACAAGAGCTCCTGAAGGAAGCACTAAACATGGAAAGGAACCACCGGTACCAGCCACTGCAAAAACATGACAAATTGTAAAGACCATTGATGCTAGGAAGAAACTGCATCAACTAACGAGCAAAATAACCAGCTAACATCATGATGACAGGATCAAATTCACACATAACAATATTAACCTTAAATGCAAATAGGCTAAATGCTCCAACTGAAAGACACAGACTGGCAAACTGGATAAAGAGTCAAGACCCATCGGTGTGCTGTATTCGGGAAACCCATCTCACATGCAGAGACACACATAGGCTCAAAATAAAGGGATGGAGGAAGATCTACTAAGCAAATGGAAAACAAAAAAAGGCAGGGGTTACAATCCTAGTCTCTGATAAAACAGACTTTAAACCAACAAAGATCAAAAGAGACAAAGAAGGCCATTACATAATGGTAAAGGGATCAATTCAACAAGAAGAGCTAACTATCCTAAATATATATGCAGCCATACAGGAGCACCCAGATTCATAAAGCAAGTCCTGAGTGACCTACAAGGAGACTTAGACTCCCACACAATAATAATGAGAGGCTTTAACACCCCACTGTCAACATTAGACAGATCAACAAGACAGAAAGTTAACAAGGATAACCAGGAACTGAACTCAGCTCTGCACCAAGCAGACCTAATAGACATCTACAGAACTCTCCACCCCAAATCAACAGAATATACATTCTTCTCAGCACCACACCTATTCCAAAATTGACCACATAGTTGGAAGTAAAGCACTCCTCAGCAAATGTAAAAGAACAGAAATTATAACAAAATGTCTCTCAGACCACAGTGCAATCAAACTAGAACTCAGGATTAAGAAACTCACTCAAAACCGCTCAACTACATGGAAACTGAACAACCTGCTCCTGAATGACTACTGGGTATATAACGGAATGAAGGCAGAAATAAAGATGTTCTTTGAAACCAACGAGAACAAAGGCACAACATACCAGAATCTCTGGGACACATTTAAAGCAGTGCATAGAGGGAAATTTATAGCACTAAATGCCCACAAGAGAAAGCAGGAAAGATCTAAAATTGACACCTTAACATCACAATTAAGAGAACTAGAGAAGCAAGAGCAAACACATTCAAAAGCTAGCAGAAGGCAAGAAATAACTAAGATCAGAGTAGAACTGAAGGAAATAGGGACACAAAAAACACTTCAAAAAATCAATGAGTTCAGGAGCTGTTTTTTTGAAAAGATCAACAAAATTGATAGACTGCTAGCAAAACTAATAAAGAAGAAAAGAGAGAAGAATCAAATAGATGCAATAAAAAATGATAAAGGGGATATCACCACCGATCCCACAAAAATACAAACTACCAGCAGAGAATACTATAAACACCTCTACGCAAATAAACTAGAAAATCTAGAAGAAATGGATAAATTCCTTGACACATACACCATCCCAAGACTAAACCAGGAAGAAGTTGAATCTCTGAATAGACCAATAACAGGCTCTTATATTGAGGCAATAATTAACAGCTTACCAACCAAAAAAAGTCCAGGACCAGATGGATTCACAGCCAAATTCTACCAGAGGTACGAGGAGGAGCTGGTACCATTCCTTCTGAAACTATTCCAATCAATAGAAAAAGAGGGAATCCTCCCTAACTCATTTTATGAGGCCAGCATCATCCTGATACCAAAGCCTGGCAGAGACACAACAAAAAAGAGAATTTTAGACCAATATGCTTGATGAACATTGATGCAAAAATCCTCAATAAATCACTGTCAAACCGAATCCAGCAGCACATCAAAAACTTATCCACCATGATCAAGTGGGCTTCATCCCTGGGATCCAAGGCTGGTTCAACATACACAAATCAATAAACATAATCCAGCATATAAACGGAACCAATGACAAAAACCACATGATTATCTAAATAGATGCAGAAAAGGCCTTTGACAAAATTCAACAACGCTTCATGCTAAAAACTCTCAATAAATTAGGTATTGATGGGATGTATCTCAAAGTAATAAGAGCTATCTATGACAAACCCACAGCCAATATCATACTAAATGGGCAAAAACTGGAAGCATTCCCTTTGAAAACTGGCACAAGACAGGAACGCCCTCTCTCACCACTCCTATTCAACATAGTGTTGAAAGTTCTGGCCAGGACAATCAGGCAGGAGAAGGAAATAAAGGGTATTCAATTAGGAAAAGAGAATGTCAAATTGTCCCTGTTTGCAGATGACATGATTGTATATCTAGAAAACCCCATCATCTCAGCCCAAAATTTCCTTAAGCTGATAGGCAACTTCAGCTAAGTCTCAGGACACAAAATCAATGTGCAAAAATCACAAGCATTCTTATACACCAATAACAGACAAACAGAGAGCCAAATCATGAGTGAACTCCCATTCACAATTGCTTCAAAGAGAATAAAATACCTAGGAATCCAACTTACAAGGGATGTGAAGGACCTCTTCAAGGAGAACTACAAACCACTGCTCAACAAAATAAAAGAGGATACAAACAAATAGAAGAACATTCCATGCTCATGGGTAGGAAGAATCAATATCATGAAAATGGCCATACTGCCCAAGGTAATTTATAGATTCAATGCCATCCCCATCAAGCTACCAATGACTTTCTTCACAGAACTGGAAAAAACTACCTTAAAGTTCATATGGAACCAAAAAAGAGCCTGCATCGCGAAGTCAATCCTAAGCCAAAAGAACAAAGCTGGAGGCATCATGCTACCTCACTTCAAACTATACTACAAGGCCACAGTAACCAAAACAGCATGGTACTGGTACCAAAACAGAGATATAGACCAATGGAACAGAACAGAGCCCTCAGAAATAATGCCACATGTCTACAACTATCTGATCTTTGACAAACCTGACAAAAACAAGAAATGGGGAAAGGATTCCCTATTTTATGATGATAATTCATTATTTAGTAAATGATATCATTGGCTTTTAATCACATAAAATGTTTGAAAACTTTTAAGAAGACCAGAAAAAGAAATCAGCAAGTATATCAAAACAGTGACAATCAAAGGGAAGAGTCCTGTTTTTTTGAGACAGAGTCTCACTCTGTCACCCAGGCTGGAGTGCAGTGGCAGGATCTTGGCTCACTGCAAGCTCCGCCTCCTGGGTTCACACCATTTTCCTGCCTCAGCCTCCCGAGTAGCTGGGACTGCAGGTGCCCACCACTGCGCTAGGCTAATTTTTTGTATTTTTAGTACAGACGGGGTTTCACCATGTTAGCCAGGATGGTCTCCATCTCCTGATCTCATGATCTGCCCGCCTCAGCCTCCCAAAGTGCTGGGATTACAGGCGTGAGCCACCGTGCCAGGCCCATTTTTTTTTTTTCAACTGGGAAATGATTCTAATCGTCGGCTTGAACTCCAGGCCCAAATTTCAGAATGACTTTTCTTGGTATATACATACCTTAAACATCCCCACCTGAGTGCTGAATGTAAATTCCTAAACAAAACACCTGTTAAACAGAAAATCACTTAGGTACAGATAAATGAATTATTTCAAGTACATTGTGCCACAAAGCTCTATCAACTATATTCCCTTGTACAGGGAATTAAATTTGAAAGAGGTAAAGAATAATGGTGAATGCTAGAGAAAGCTATGAAAAATTGGTGTATGTTTTCAGTTTCATCGCATTTTTCACCCTTGAACTTAAAAGGGATTTATCCATGTGTAAAAACAATACCTCAGATTCACATTTACTGACGTTGAGTTGAATTTTTACAATCCAAAAACCAAACCAGGTGAGAATATCAGACTTTACAAAAGTTAAATAAATACTTGAGAAGAAAAGTGATTTTATACATGAAAATACATTCTCTTGTCAATCTTAGTATCTGTAGATTATAAGAAATATAATATTTCATTTTGAAATCAAGTCTTCATACTATTTTCACCTGGGACACTTTACAAAAGATGTTCTGTGTTCCTTGATGTTGTGGTACGGACCCATAATTTGTATGCTCATGATATGTTCCTCTCAGTTTACTTCTGCTGTACTTATGCAACAAGTAATCAGAGGGGAGGGTTCACTTTACCTCACAATTTGCATTAACAAGACAGATGTGTTGAGTGACATTGCTTGACATTGGTGTTTAAGTTGTTGTTTATCAGTGGAAGACACAAGATGTAGCCAGGTATGGTAAACATTGATGGCTCCCAGGAGAGAAAATGACTGTCAGCGAAGTTAAAAGGAGCAGTGCAAACTCAAAAAGGACAAAGATTCTATAGTGATAATGCAGAATAAAATAGATACTAATAAAACAAACCAAAGTGAGCAGCTGTTACATATATATGTATGCATACACATTTATCATTATAATACCCCATTAGAAGAGTTTCATTTGCATCTATGAAATCTAGCTATAAAATGACTCTCTGATTAGAAAGCTTTTCATAAGAGAATGCAAAAGTCTAAAAATGATTCTTATCAGTTGCATTCTTTTTGAACAACATTCCAAGTATCAAATACTACTGTAATGCATCAGTGATGGCACACAATTATATTTAAGCCTCAAGGCACAATGAAAGTGCTAAAAGGTTTAATCAAGTAGACAGTATTAGAGCATGTTTCTCAGCAATGTCTCCCTTTACAATCTCTTATGCTTGTGCAGATCCCTACAGTGGTGTTTATCTGACTCTTCTCCATCTCTGAAATGCCCAGTGATTTTCCCAGAATGATCTTATTTAGGTTGACACACTTTAGGGGCTGATTCTGCTCTCAGTTTGATCCTGTTAGGAGTGTTTACACAAGAGAGCCTATTGTGATCTTCTCAGGGACATTTATTTTTCATTAACTTTACTTGCTTGATTAAAATAAAAATTGATTTATGTTTTTGATTTCTCAGGCTATATTAATTAGCAGGCCTAGTTCTAGAAGATGGTAGCTATATAGTTTTATCTCAAAGTCTCTTGGATGCTTAGGGACTTGGAAAAAAAGGAAGCCATTGCTATTATATAAGTGACATATTTGCAATATTGTTCTTATTAATAGATAATTATTTTTGAAGTTTTGAACACTTTTAGAATTAACATAGCAATTTGGGATATTTTGGGGATGCTCCTAATATATTTAGCAATTTAATGAGACTTACATTAGAACCCAAACAGTTGGATAGTCATATATTTGCTGAATGATCATTCTAATTTGAGTGTTTTTCAGCATTTGAGTGAAATTGCCAATGGATATAATAAAACTAGAATACAGTACTTTCTGTTAACTGAACATCCTAAGGTGTTTACAAGTTTTTACAATGTATACATCATCATAGTAAAATTAATAAGAAGCACAAAATCAAAAGGAATTTTTAAGGAAGAAAAACATTTAGAAATTGTATGGTTGTTCTGACATTTTACCCCATGTGATTCTATGGAAGTCAGCATGCAGTCTGTAATTACGTACCCTTAAAATCAAGTATAATAAGAAATAATTTCCATGCAAGGTCATTTCTTGTCATGAAGAAAGTTGAGCAAGAAATAAGAATATATTACTGCTGATGTTCACAGGGGGTAACCAAAATCCTGTATCCAAATATCTATAGAGAGAACAATAAATTCATTAGCAGTTGTCAAAAAGTGGTCTGAGTCTTACATTCATTTTTTCTTTGTTTCATAATGAAGTATTATCAAGTAACTAATCAGGAATCAAACTGATTTTAGTAATTGCCACCTTGATAATTTCTGTGTAATGCTGGTGGGTCAGCTAATTCCAGGTCATGGTAATCTTAGAGGTGGATAATTGGGTACTATTATTATTGCATTTACTCAAGACTACAAATGGTTGATTTAGTGTAATAAAAAGACTATATGCACTGAAAAGGAATCATGTTACAGGTATTTGGTCATACTGTTGTTATCTGGAAGATTTCCTGGTAACCAGCATAGTAAAACTATTTCCTTCCTGATCTTCAAAAAATCTTACTTTTGCAAAAGTGATATTAGCAGACTAAAACAATCTACAGAACTCAATCTCAGACTCTGCTTGGCCAGAATTACACTTTATTTTATAAACAGAGAAAAAATGTATTTCAGGAAGGTTTGAAAATAAAAATGAGGCCTGGCACGGTGGTTCACGCCTGTAATCCCAGCACTTTGGGAGCCCGAGGCAGGTGGATCACCTAAGGTTGGGAGTTGGAGACCAGCCTGACCAACATGGAGAAACCCTGTCTCTACTAAAAGTATAAAAAATTTAGCAGGGCATGGTGGTGCATGCCTGTAATCCCAGCTACTCGGGAAGCTGAGGTAGGAGAATCACTTGAACCCAGGAGGTGGAGGTTGTGGTGAGCCAAGATCGCACCATTGCACTCCAGCCTGGGCAACAAGAGCAAAACTCCATCTCAAAAAAAAAAAAAAAAAAAAAAAAAAAAGAAAGAAAATACAAATGAACTAATAGAATAGTGATTCAAATGTCTGTGTCACTTTGGCTAGGGGGATAAATGCTGTGCTTGCTTGGTTACAGTTTCCAAGCTTCCCTACTAACTTGTATCTGTTGCTTAAATATTATAAAAATAAAGAATATTTTACAAGTTGAATTAATTATCAAAGCTTTCACTCCCCTAACATGCTAACTCTGTGCTAATTCCTCTGTGAGCCTTAACATTTTCAAATGCTGTATTATGGTATCATTCTATTGATTTTCAGTTCCATTTTCAGACCTCACAATCCAAAAAACAGGATTTTCTGACTTTTATAAATAACTAAATTGATGTAGCTATTGCCTTCACTATATCACCTCTATCTAGCCATTTCCTTCTGTCTCAGCAGCCACAAGTTTTATCCTAGCCCTTGCTATCTGTTACCACAAATATACCAGTGACCTTGCAGATCTTTGTTGTTGGTCATCCTATTATCTTTATTATATATCGTTGTCCAAGATTTCTGTAACAACTTTCTCTGGAACTTTATTTCCTCTCTTCAGAACAATAAACTGATTCCCGAAATGGTTCTACCTAATAAAAACTCTGATTCCTTTCAGGTTTGCCTTTAACCTTGTCTATACATATACTTTCTTACCCATTAAACAATTTTGTTAGGATTGGATTGTGTATGAATACCTGGCTAGGCCTAAGTGGTCTTTCAAGTTATTAGGAATAAAGCTATTTGAAAAATACACCTCTTTCCTGATCAAGAACATTATTTATCAACTAGACCCATTCTACCATCTGTAGCTCATTGTTCATTACTTTTCTAAATACAAATCAATTTCAGGCTTCCTAACCTTAGTCTACAACCCCATCTTTCCTCTCTTCTTGACCTTTACTGATAGTCCTTCATTCTTTAGATGGTTTCTAAACCCTTGCTCTCTTTGAAGCACAATGGAACAGAGCCATTCTTTCTAAATGATCATAAGTTATTTTCCAACTCTAATTACTTTAACACTACTTAAGTTATATTTTCTAGTATTCTCTCACATGTCTACAAACTAATGTCCCTAGAATTCAAAAGACAGAAGTGAGCCAGTGCAAAGGAACTTAAATATTTATGTTGATGTCCTAACTCTCCAGGTCTTGCAGGTAATTATCTATTGTTACTCTTATTGTGTAACAGTAAGCCAGTAGTCTTTAAACTTTTATTGTAGATAAAAATTTACTCCTCTAAATAAGGAAGCATTATGTAAAATGCAGAATTTCTGACCCACCTCTTGAGATTGCTGTCTCAGAATCTGTATATTAAATGGCACAGCCAATACTACTCTTAGAAAGCCACACCTAATAACACTTGGTATCTGTTGGAGGAAGATGAGACACAAAGGAACAACTTCACATTTAATGTATATAGAGTGCTTGAATGAGTATAGCATACATGTTGGTATACACACATTTTACTTGCTTGTTTTGGTACATGCTGAGTCAGTTTGCTGCCTCATTTCCCATTATAATTATATTTTCCATACAAAGAGGGGATAGTACTTCATCTCAGAAAAAAAACCTGATGTCACAGTGTACTACATACACAGTGGGATTTTAATGCTGTGATTTTACTAGTTACTTTTGTGTTTTGTTGAACAACTTCTTTGTACCAAACCTATTTAATGTGGTTTACAAATATTTTCTCAAATTGACATAAGAACCTTGTAAGGTAAGTCTAAGTGCATTCCATATTATAGACAAAGAAATTGAAACCCATAGAGGCTCATGAACATATCTGTGAGCAAACATCTAATAAGTGGCTGAGCTAAAATCTAAATTTGACTCCTGATCCCATGCTTTTCTCCATAATGTCAGATAGCTGATTTTGTTTGATTGACTGTCTTGTTAGATGAATTATAAATTTGCATTAGGGCTTTATTTGGATAAAGTATTTTAAGTCATCATATCAATTTATCTTTGGTTTTAGAAAAAATATAGACAAAAATATTTAGCATGGCAAATCATAACCAAGAGAATTTCAAATACTGTCCTATGATTTTGTTTTTTGTGGTTATCACACTTGAAAGTGACCCCATGAACTCTGTCTCCTCGAATTCATGCCTTTGTGTATCATCTTCCCTATGATTCTAATCAATGGTATGTATTGATCATGTTTAGGTGATTACATAAGATTGTATTTCCTATATTGCTAGAATTTCTTTCTGTTGCTTGCTTTGAAGAAGAAAGTTTTTTGTTTTGTTTTGTTTTGTTTTTATGAATCCTACAGTTTCAAGAAAAGGAATTCTGTCAATAATCTTAGGAAGTTTGAAAACAGATTCTTCCTCAGTCAAGCTCTGATGAGACCTCAGCCCTGGTGATCACTTTCAGCCTGTGACCCTTTAGCAAGTGACCCAATTAAGCCATGCCTGGTCTCCCGACTCACAGAAACTGAGATAATAAATGTATGTTGTTTTCAGCCATTAAGTCTGTGGTAATTTGTTATGCAGCCATAGAAGACTAATATGGTTTTGATTTATTTTTATCCTTGGAGTCTAATTATTGATTACCTAACCAGATACTGAGTTTTTCTCTTTTCAGCATATGTAAATTGAGATAGCATTTTTTCCCATGTCTTAAAACCATTATATGAATGAAAATGCCTATGTTTTATTTGGATATGGGAAATCATTAATTTTTCTCTTTTTAATCCTTTTAACCCCGATAAAACCCTCATTAATTGAATAGACTAAGCATAACTCTTTGCCTCAGTGAGCCTGTTCTACATTAGCTAATTTTTTTTACTTTATGTTTTCCTGCTGTGTTTTAAAAATGTTTTATCAGCATCTAGTAAATGTGTGCATAATACTTTTTATTGTCATTTAAGGTTACACACATTTCCTCAAGTTTATTAAACTAGAGCTTTAGTATTTTATGATACTTGGGTTTATGATTATAGATTTTAAATGACTGAGAGAGAAGAGACCATCGACAATGAAGTCTTGATGTCTACCAACCTTTCTTGTGTCCCCACCATTTCTCCAAAATCTCCCCAGAAGAATATGAGGTTTAATATCTAAATAAAATGTAGGTAGAACATTGTGTTATTTTGAGTTCTCTAGAGATAACCAATTATATGCATATAATTGGCTATATATATAATTTCACATATATATAAAATAAGGTAAGGTATTAGCTCATGTGATTATAGAGGCTGAGAAGTCCCCAATCTATTCCCACAATCTGTCATTTGCAAGCTGTAGACCAAGGAAAGCTGGTGGTATACTTCAAAGGCCTGAGAGCCAAAGAGTCAATGGTAGATTCAAGTCCAGGTCTAAAGACCTGAGAACCAGGAGCACTGAGGGCAGGAGATCAATGTCCCAGCTCAAGCAATTAGACACAGAACAAATTTAACCTTACTCTACCCTTATATTCTAGTTAGACCTTCAACAAATTGGATTATATCCACATACACTGAGAAGGGCCATCTTCTTTTCCCAGTTCACCAATTCAAATGCAAATCTTTTCTGGAAATACTCTTACAGACACACCCAGAAATAATGTTTAGTCAGCTATCTGGGTATCCCATGGCCCAGTCAAGTAGACACATAAAAGTAACCATTTAGTAAGTATACACACATGTATTTGCTATGCATAAACCCTGTATATTTTTACAGAGTCAATCTTCAGTCTTGGGAAAGGCTGCTGGGTAAATTTAAGAAAAAATTAAATTGCCCAGCAAAATGAGAAAATACAAAAATTTTTAATATTTTTATCCTACCATCTTATTTTTTTAAAAGTCCTCTTTATATAACTTCTAAGTTTTATACTTCTAAATTGTGAAGTGATCACATCAACATTCATACCCTCCCTATATTATGTGCAAAAATAGAATTCCAATGTATAAAGAATTTTTTTCAACTTTTATCTTAGAGTCAGGAGGTACATGTGCAGGTTTGTTACCTAGGCATATTGTGTGATGCTTAGGTTTGGAGTACAAATGAATCTGTAAAAAAGTAGTGAGCATAGTACCCAGTAGGTAGTTTCTTTCAATCCTACCTCTCTCCCTCCTTCCCTCTCTTATATTCCACAATGTCTATTATTCCCATTTTTATGACCACGTGTACCTAATATTAAGCCCCAACTTACAAGTGACAACATGTGGTACTTGGTTTTTTGTTTCAAATTTAGTTAGCTTAGGATAAAGGCTGCCAGGTACATCCCTATTGCTATAAAGGACATTATTTTATTCTTTTTTATGGCTGTGTAGTACTCCACAGTGTTTGTTTATCACATTTTCTTTGTCCAAACATTTGTTGGTAATTACCTGAGTTGATTCCATGTTTTTGCTACTGTGAAGAGGGCGTGATAAATATAGGTGCATACGCATTTTTGGTAGAATGATTTTGTATTCCTTTGGGTGTATACCCAGTAGTGAGATTGCTGGGTCAAATGGTGGTTCTAAATTATTTGAGAAATTGCAAAATTGTTTTCTGCAGTGGCTGAACTAATTTACATTTCTACCAAAAGAGGATGTTTCCTTTTTTTCCACAGCCTTGCCAACATTTGTTGTTTTTTTGACATTTTAGTAATAGCCATTCTGTCTGGCATGACATGGTATCTCATTGTGGTTTTGATTTGAATTTCTCTGATGATTAGTGATGTTGAGCACTTTTTTCAAGTTTGTTGGCCATTTATATATCTTCTTTTGAGCAGTGTCTTTTCATGTCTTTTGCTCTCTTTTTAATAGCGTATTTTTTTTTTTTTTTTTTTTTTTTTTGCTTATTGATTTGTTTAAGCTCCTTACATGTTCTGGACATTAGACCTTTGTCAGATACAGTTTGTAAATATTTTCTGCTGTTATGTAGGTTTTTTGCTTACTCGGTGGATAGTTTTTTTTTTTTTCTTTCTTTTTGCTGTGTTCTTTAGTTTAATCAGGTCTCATTCAACAATTCTTATTTTTGCTCAATTGCTCTGAGGACTTAGCCATAAATTATTTGCCAATGCTGATATTGAGAAGGATATTTCTTGGTTTTCTCACAGAAGTTTTATAGTTTGAGGCATTACATTTATGTCTTTAATCCATCTTGAGTTAATTTTGGTACATGGTGATGGGTAGAAGTCTAGTTTCATTATTCTGTATATGCATAGCCCACTAGCCAGAACCATTTATTGAATAGGAAGTCTTCTTCCCATTGCTTATTTTTGTCAACTTTGCCAAAGATCAGATGGTTGCAGGTATGCTACTTTATTTCTGGGTTCTCTATACTATTTCATTGGTCTCTGTGTCTGTTTTTGAACTAGTACCATGACATTTTAGTTACTGTAGCCTGGTAGTATAGTTTGAAGATGGGTACTGTGATGCCTACAGCTTTTTGTTTTGTTTTGTTTTGTTTTGTTTTTTTGCTTAGGATTGATTTGGCTATTGGGCTATTTTTTTGGTTCCATATGAATGTCAGAACAGTTTTTTTCTAATTCCTTGAAAAATGTCATTGGTAATTTGATAGAAATAGCATTGAATCTGTAAATTGCTTTGAGCAGTGTGGTCATTTTAA
The DNA here is from genome assembly GCF_000001405.40 of Homo sapiens. Taxonomy (NCBI): domain Eukaryota; kingdom Metazoa; phylum Chordata; class Mammalia; order Primates; family Hominidae; genus Homo; species Homo sapiens. Next base: position 183,989,339 of record NC_000002.12, read on the forward strand.
TGATACTGATTCTTTCAATTCATGAGCATGGAGTATTATTCTGTTTATTTGTGTCATCTCTGATTTCTTTTGGCAGTATTTTGTAATTCTCCTTGTGGAGATATTTTACCTTCTTGGTTAGCTGTATTCCCAGGTATTTTATTCTTTTTGTGGCTATTGTAAATGGGATTATGTTCTTGATTTGGCTCTCAGCTTGGATAGTATTTGTGTATATTAATGCTACTAATTTTTGTACATTAATTTTTGTACATTAATTTTTTTATCCTGAAGTTTTACTGAAGTCATCAACTCTAGGAGCCTTTTGTTGGAGTCTTTAGGGTTCCCTAGTTGTAGAATCATATCATAAATGAAGAGAGATAGCGTGACTTCTTTTTCAATTTGTGTGCTTTTTATTTATCTTTCCTGATTTCTCTGGTGGCGACTGGCAGTACTATGCTGAATAGGAGTGGTGAGAGTAGGTATCCTTGTCTTGTTCCCGTTCTCAAGGGGAATACTTCCAACTTTTGCCTGTTTGGTATGATGTTGGCCATGGGTTTGTTATAGACGGCTGTTACTATTTTGAAGTGTGTACCTTCAATGTCTAGTTTCTTGAGGGTTTTTATCATGAAGCAGTCTTGGATTTTATCAAAAGATTTTTCTGCATCTGTTGAGAGGTTGTTGTTTTTAATTCTCTTTATGTGGTGAATCACATTGATTTACATATGTTGAGCCAAACTTGCATCCTAGAAATGAAGACTATTTGAGCAAAGTGAATTAATTTTTGATGTACTGTTGAATTTGGTTTGCTAGCATTTTGTTGATGATTTTGGCATCTATGCTCATCATAGATATTAGCCAGTAGTTTTTTTGTTGTTATTGTGTGTTTACAAGGCTTTGGTATCAGGCAAATAGAATGAATTAGGGATAAGTCATTCCTCCTCAAATTTTTGGAATAATTCTAGTACCAGCTCTTCTTTGTACATCTGGTAGAATTTGGCTGTGAATCCATTTGGTCAAAAGTTTTTTTCTGTCGGTAGATTTTTTATTACTGATTCCATCTCAGAACTTGATATTTGTCTGTGCAGTGTTTAAATTTCTTCCTGACTCAGTCTTGGGGGGTTGTATGCTTTCAGGAATGTATCCATTTCCTCTAGATTTTCCAGATTGTGCAGAGGTATTCATAAAAGTCTCTGAGTATCATTTGTATTTTTGTGGGATCAACTGTACTGTCACCTTTGTCATTTCTGATTTTGCTTATTTGGATCTTGTCTCTTTGTTCATCTATCTAGCAGTCTATAAATTTTGTTTATCTTTTCAAATACCTACTTTTGGTTTTATTGATTCTTTCTATGTATTTTTCGTTTTCAACTTCTTTCAGTTCTGCACTGATTTTAGTTATTTCTTTACTTCAGCTAGCTTTGGGCTTGTTTCATTTTTGTTTTTCTAGTTCCTCTGGTGTAATATTTGATTGTTAATTTGAGATCTTTCTAACTTTTTGAGGTTGGTGTTTAGCATTATAAACACTCCTCTTAACACTTTTTTTTAACGCTACATCCTGGAGATTTTGGTATATTGTTTCTCTGTTTTCATTTATTTCAAATAATTATCTTGATTTTGTTATTTAAAAGTCATTCAGTAGCAAATTGTTAATTTCCATGAACTCTGTAGTTTTGAGAGATATTCTTGGTATTGATTTCTATTTTTATTCCACTATGGTCGAGTATTGTTGGTATGATTTCTTTTTTTTTTTTTGTATTCATTAAGATTCCCCCAAGGATCTCCTATATGGCTTGTCTATGGGTTAGGAATTCTCTTAGTGCTTGCTTGTCTGGAAAAGCTGTTATTTCTCCTTTGCTTGTGAAGCTTAGTTTGGTGGGATATGAAATTCTTGGCTGGAATTTCTTTTCTTTAAGAATGCTGAAAACAGGACCACGACCTCTCCTGGCTTATAAGGTTTCTGCTGAGAAGTCTGTTCTTAGCCTGATGGGTTTCCCTTTGTATATGATCTACTCTTTTTCTCTAACTACCATTAAGATTTTTTTCTTTAGCATTAACCTTAAATAGACTGGTGACTATATGCCTGTTGATCTTCATTATGTATAGTATCTCACGGGTATTCCCTGGATTTCTTGTCTCTGGATGTCTATTTTTAGCAAGATTAAAGAAGATTTCTTAAATTATTCCTTGAAATATATTTTCCAGGTTGTTTACACTTCTATTTCTCTCAGATATGCCAATAATTTGTAGGTTTGGTAGCTTTACATACTTTTATATTTCTCAAAGACTTTTTTATTTTTTTAAATTCTTTTTATTTTTCTCTGAGTCTATCAGTTCAAAAGACCAATCTTCAAGCTCTGAGTGTCTTTCTTCTGCTTGGTCCATTCTATTGATGAAGCTTTTAATTTTTTGTTTGTTTGTTTTTGAGATGGCATTTTACTCTGTTGCCTAGGATGAAGTACAGGGGCAAGATCTTGGCTCACTGCAACCTCCACCTCCCAGGTTCAAGAGATGCTCCTGCCTCAGACTCCTGAGTAGCTGAGATTACAGGAATGCACCACTACGCCTGGCTAATTTTTAGTATTTTTAGTAGAGACAGGGTTTCATCATGTTGTCCAGGTTGGTCTCGAACTCCTGACCTCAGATGATCCACCTGCCTTGGCCTCCCAAAGTGCTGGGATTACAGGAGTGAGCCACAGCACCCAGCCTAAATTGTATTTTGAAATTCCTTAAGTGAGTTTTTTAAGCCTAGAAATTCTGATTCATTTCTTTTTAAGATGTTTATCTCTTCCTTCATTTCCTGGATTGCTTTAGGAGTGTCTTTGTTTGATTATCAACCTTGTCTTGGATCTCATTCAGCTTCCTTGCAATCCATGGCTTGAATTATTTGTCATTTCTGAGTTTCCATTTCAGTTAGGGTGCATTGCTGAAGAGCTAGTACAATCCTTTCTTGGTGTCACTGCATTCAGATCTTTCATTTGGCCAGAATTCTTGCACTGGTTTCTTCTCATCTGGAGATCCTGGCACCTCTAAGTTTTGTAATTATTTTTATGTGGGTAGGATTTTTTCTTTTTCTTCCTTTCCCTACAATGTTATTATTATTTTCTTCTTTCTCTTTCCTTTCCTCTCTATTTCTAGGAGTTGTAAGGCATGCTGGTAGGGTCTCTTGGCTTTGTTTCTATAGCGCTATGCATTTCTTTCAGCAGATTTTATATTAGGCTGTGGAGTTTGACATGTAAGCCCATGGATGGTGCTTATTGGTAAGAACAGACTGTGGCCAACGTGGCTGGGTATATACATAATCCTTATTTACTGGCAGCTCTCTGTTGCCTCAGGCATTGGGATGATTTGTGGAGTATACAGTAGTTTGAGCTCCCTGTTGTGCCCTAGGAGCAAGAGACTGAAGGGTGGGACCAAAACAGACAGGTTGACCTATGGGTCCCCCATGCCAGGCAGAGGCACCAGCAACAAGGGGAGAATCCAGTGAGTAGCCACCAAGCACCCAAAGGTGTACCTAGGTGTGGAGGTAGGAAGCCACCTACTTCAGCTCCAAGTTCTCTGCACAGGAGTAAGGGATGGCCTAGATTTCTAATCTAGTAGAGTGGGTGCTCCAGATGTCTGGAGATCTGCCTGGGCATGTAGCAGAGTGGGTCCTGCTGCACCAATATTTCTGCACAGGAGGGGCTGGGCAACTCAGACTGCTGATTCAGGTGATCTTGTGCTCCAAATGTCTCGAAATATGCCTTGGTTTGGAGTGGAGAAGGCCTCACTACACCATAATCTACATTTGGGAAAAGTGGGGCAGCTCAGGCTGCTGAATCAGGCAAACAGGTGCTTCACAAGTCTGGAGATCAGCCTGGGCATGGAGCAATGAGGGCCTCTTTGCATCAGAAACTCTGCACAGAAGGGTGGGGCAGGTCAGATTGCTGATCCAGATGAGCAGTTCTCTGAATGACTGGATTTCTGCCTGAGCGTGGAGCAGAAATGATCCCCCAGCACCAAGCAACTCAGGCTGCTGGACTAAACAAGCAGGTGCTCTGAATGCCTGGAAATCTGCCTGGTTGTGTAGTAGAAAGGATTCCCCTGTGGCTGGATCTCTGCACAGGAAGGGTGGGACAGCTCAGCATGCTGATTCAGTCAAGGTAGTACTCCAAATGTATAGGATCTGCCTGGGAATGGAATAGAGAGGGCCCCCCACACCACAATTTATGTCCAGGAATGGTAGTGTGGCTCAAGCTGCTGAACCAGGGTAACAGGTGTTATGGATGCCTTGATATCTGCCTGGGCATGGAGCATAGAGCCCCACTGCACAATCTATGTCCAGGAAGGGTTGGGTAGCTCAGGCTGCTGGTCCAGGCAAGAACATGGTCCAAATTCCTGGATTTCTCTCTGGGGGTAGAGCAGAGGGGAGCCTCTACTGCACCATGATTTCCAAGGAGCAGCATGGGCTACTCAGCAAAGTCACACACAGATGAGTTCCATGTCACCAAACTGGGCCTTGGTGCAAGTCTTGTTACCCAGGAGAAACCACAGCCGTAGGAGTTCTCTTCCTGCCCTAGGCCTGCTACAGGGAGGGCACAATTTTAGCCATACTGCTGAGGCACTTTCTGGCTGTGGAAGTCCCTACCCCACTCCAAAGCAGATACTCTAATCTCTGGTCTGAGACTAAAATGTTTGCACAGCCACACTGCCAGGTAACCAAGGAATGAATAATGAAATAATGAAAGCATCATTATCTGCAAGTAATGTGATTTTATATGTAAAAATTTCAAGACTCTACAGCAAAACTATTGAAATTGTTAAGTTAATGTATCAAGTTGCTGGGCTCCATTATGTATTACAATATGTTATATGTTTATACACCAGCAATAAATTTGGAACTTGAGAAAATAAGGTATTTTGATTTTGCCAAAAAATCAAAATATATAAATTACCTAAGAATAAATCTAATTAAACATGTACAAGACCTCTAAACCGAAAACTACAAAATATATTGGGGAGTAAAGTAGAAAAGTATCTTCATTATTTTGGGTTAAAAATTTTTCCTAAATGGGACAGAAAACTACTAATCATGAAGGAAAAAAATTACAAATTAAACTATGTGAAAATGAAAAACCTATACTTACCGAAAAATGTCATTTACTGAGCAAAAATGCAGGCCAGAGAATAAATGGAATTATTTGCAGTACATATACCCAATGAAGAAAGTTTTATATCCAGTGAAGAAAATGCAAATTACTCCTACAAGTGATTGAAAAGAAAGAAAAAGACCATCTGATAGAAAATGATTTCAAAAGTCTATAAGATGAAATAGAAAGTATGCATGAAGCACTGCTACTGCATACCAAAGTATAATGCTTATCTCAAAAAAAAAAACCACTAAGATTGCTTGGATTATGAGCTGAACGAGCTGCTTTTCTTCATGGAACACCATTTTCATTTGAAAAGTAACAGACAAATTACAGTTATTACAATTTGGGTATTTGTCATCAATTTTCTTTGTTAATCATAAAATTTGAATTTTCAGGGAAAAAATAGAAATTTTAGAAAATTTGCATTCACCACTGTAAGCTTGAAAGCTTACAGTGCAGAACACTTAGCTATCTGATTAGATCATTACTAATATTAACAAATGTGGTGGTTTTTATATTGTATGATATATATGTCAAAGTTTGGAAGATCTGCATAACTCAGTGAGCTAATGTTTTACAAATGACCAATGCATGAAGTAACACAATCTAGCAAGGGCTAAATTCCATTAAAATGAAAGAGAGATCAAGAGATTTTCATATAATGGAATATAAAAACTACAATGATATTTAGATTCCACATTGCAACTAAGTTTAAGAAACTACCATTTGTTGAGTTTGGGCATATTATCAGAAAGGAATAATAATAAATTATTTTCAGTAAAATAATCTGAAAAGATTTCTCTCTTTTCTAACTATATAACTACATGAGGAGAGAGTCTTATTATATACTTCAACCAAAAAAATATATTGCAACTTACTGGATGCAGAAGAAGATATGAGACTCCATCTGTCCTCTCTTAAGCCAGAAATTAAAGAAATTTGAAAAAAATATAAAACATTACCACTTCTTAGTTTCTTTCTGTTTTAGGAGATATCTTTTTTAAATAAAAATAATGTGACTATTTAATGGTACTATTATTGATATTTTAAAAGCATTAATAAACATTTTAAAATTTGTCAGTTTTAATTTCTAAGGCAATAAATATTAACAGATATAACCCACATAAAGAAAAGCTCATTGGAGTCCCCACTGACTTTCAAAATTATAAAAGGATGTGGAGACCAAAAGTTTTAAAAACCATCATTGTTGAGCTGTGAAATGAAGCGAGAGAATCTGAGAGGTGTGCCATGTGGCCGGAGACTGTAGAAGTCAATAGAGAAAACCCTGAGTTCTGAGATTGGCAGAGTACCAGGGTGCTGATGGGCCTTTAGATCTGGTTTATTTGAATGACATTATAGATTTCAATGACTCCTTACTGTTTGCTGCTGAGATGCTTTTCTGTTTCACCAGTGGTGACACATGAAAAAGTACTGATTATTTACTTAAAACAACCAGCAGCTGCCAGAGACATTGAATCATGTTACTTTTCTGCCTGAATACCTTCAGTGGCTCCCTGGTTACTGTTTTATGTTGGAACTCATTGGCATGACACAAGGAATCCATGATCTGGTCTCTTCATATCTGTTCAGTTTTATCTTCTTCCAGTGCCCCTTCACATATTACTTCCCATTCATCTATTTCTGTTACTAAAACATTTTTTCACTTTATCACATGCCATTTCATAGGAAGAAAACTTTGTTTCTACTTGGAATTTTTTCACTGTCACTCCCCCTTTTTTAAATAAATAAATAAATCTCCTGTTCTTTATCCAGATTCATCTAAAGCATCTCTTCTTTATGAAGCTTGGCATTTGACTATCCTTTCTGTTATCTTTGCACATGATATATTCCTCCAAAATAGCATTTACCTCAATAAATCTATTCATCTTTATCCCTGGACTATAAAATCTTGCACACACACAAGTAGTAATTTTTATGTTAGTATCCCTAGCATCTAGTATCTTTCCTGGCACACATAAGGAATAAACATAAATGAATGAACCAATTGTGGTAGATAAAAGAAGGAACATAGTAAGATTAGGCTTTGGGATTCATTACTGCCCAGAAGAGTCTACAAAGGAAAGCATTCAGAGGAATTGCAATACGAATTATAAATTGAATTTAATCACTTTTCCCCACTTATTCAACAACATCTAGTGGAATCAAGAATAATAAAAAACTTAATAGAGAGTTCCTGCTGTCTAGTTAAGATTACAGAGCAAAATAAAGAAAAGAGGCAAAAATGGCATGCTTTGAACAAAACTGTTTCTTCTAAATTATACAGTCAGACAAATCTATAAAAAGCAATAAATAGGTCATCAAAGTCTCCTCTTTAGGATATAAGTTTATTTGGAATCCTTTTTTCTTTTCTGGAGAATTTCGGCTGTAAGTATTCACATCCCTTTCTTTAATCTTTTTTTCTATTTTTGGCCTTTATAAAGCCACTTTTCTTTTATTCTTGTTTGAGCCTCTATTCTTCTTTGCCACCTCCTCTGCTCTTTTCTGTTTAACACCCTTGGAAATCTCAAGACCCTACTGTTTGAGATGTGATTGCTGTGGAATGTGTTATTACCGTCTCTCACCCAGACCATTGTAATAACCTCCTAAATAATCTCCGCTCCTTTCTCTCCCTTTGGAGAGGAAACAATATTATTATTTTGTATTATTATTCAAAATCTTTGTATGTCTTTGTTAGGGTTTCCCTCCTCCCTGTGGGAGAATTGTGCTCTTGTCTTTTGATGTCGGACTTGACCCCATGATTTCCTCTGGTCAATGAAATGTAATTAGAAGTAACTCAGGGCACTTGTGAGCAGAAGGTTTAAGAGGCAGCACCTGGTTCACTCTGTCTTTTTCCCTTCGCTATGAGACTGGCAAGGTTCCAGATAGCAACTGTTCTAGCAGCCAGGGTCCTGGAGAGAAGTCAACATGAAGCAGAGCCACAGATACGCCACAGATAAGCTTATGTAATGAAGGTAAGGAAACAATTTTTTTTTTTTACTTTGCCTTTTAAATCTCTGAAATTTGTGTTGTGTGCTACCACAGTATAATTTAGTCTATACTGATACGTTATCCCTCCCCACCCCCCAGCATTTTCTCAACACAGTAGCCAGAGTAAGCCTTTTAACATTGTAAACCAGATTATGCAATTTATCTTATTTGGACTTTGAATGTTCCCCTATTCCACAAGAGTAAAAGAGTCTTTCAGTGGCTGAGGAGACCCTGCCTATGTGCCATCTCACTCCCTCCTTAGCCCTCTCAACTCAATTACTGAGCATCAAGCACTTAGGCCTTCTTGTTCTTTCTTAAATTAACTCGTATCTTAGGTTTCACTCGCGTCCCTGTGAAGAGACCACCAAACAGGCTTTGTGTAAGCAATAAGGCTGTTTATTTCACCTGGGTGCAGGTGGGCTGAGTCCGAAAAGAGAGTCAGTGAAGGGAGATAGGGGTGGGACCGTTTTATAAGATTTGGGTAGGTTGTGGAAAATTACAGTCAAAGGGGGTTGTTCTCTGGCTGGCAGGGGTGGGGGTCACAAGGTGCTCATTTGGGGAGCTTTTGAGCCAGGATGAGCCAGGAGAAGGAATTTCACAAGGTAATGTCATCAGTTAAGGCAGGGACTGGCCATTTTTACTTCTTTTGTGGTGGAATGTCATCAGTTAAGGCAGGCAGCCATTTTCACTTTTTTTGTGGTTCTTCACTTGCTTGGGGCCATCTGGACATAAACGCGCAGGTCACAGGGGATACCATGGCTTAGCTTGGGCTCAGAAGCCTGACATTAGGAACTTTGCATTTACTGTTTCCTCTTTCCTCTGGCTAACACCCTCACTTGCTTCAAGTCTTCACCCAGGTGTTACTTTCTCAATGACTCCTACCTTAACCACCCTATTTAAAATTGCAACCTATTAACCAACTTCTCCCCCACTGCCTGCAGATTTCATATCTCCTTTGGCCTAATTCACACTTTTCTTCATTCCTTCTGTCAACTTTGAACATACTATGCAATCTATGTAACTATTTACATTTAGTTTTTATTGTCTGTGAACACTCAAGAGAGAGCTTTGTGAAGTCAGGGATCTTTCTGTTCATACAATACTGAACTAGGATAGTGGCTGATATATAGTAAGCATTATTTGGTGATAAGCATTGGACCAAAAAAAAAAATTTCTATCCGTTTCCTGTCCAAAAGACTACCAGTATAGGTAGAGAATAGAAAAGAGAGTTTTACTGGAAATATCAGTTTACAAACTGGGGAGAGATAGTCTCTGGCTTTAACTGAAACTATTCTCTCTGAAGAAGATAGAGAAGGTTACAGGTTTTATGAAAAGGAGAAATGTTATGTATTACTCTTTGAGAAATTTCATTGGCACTAGTAAGGTTTTGAGAAATTGGCAAGCTTTGATTGGTAAGTGACAACCAGAACCTTGGGCAAAACTAGTCTGAGAGTTGCAGCAGATTGTTTCAGTGGTCATTAGATAAAACTGGTTTTAGGTTACCTTAAGGCAGTTTCAGCTTCCAAGCTTGCAGAAAATTACATTTGTGGAGGAATGTTATGTGCCCTGAGTGCTCCCCCACCCGCCTCCTGCTGGCTTCTTGACTGTTTTGGTTGTGTGTGACAAGAATGATGCAATTCATATGATCAACTTTCACATATTCATGACTTTTTTCCTAATTACCTCAGCTTACCTGTGAAGTCCTAGTCTATAAATCTTCATGAAAATAAATGTGCTACACTAGAGACTGGACCTAAAGCCAGAAAACATGGTACATATTTGGTATTCAGTGGTCTGAGGGCCACTGCCTTCACAAGAGCCCTAGAAACAATAGGTGTAAGTAAAGTTTGCGTTTGGTTTTTCAGCTCCTTTGCTGGGTTTTTTGTTTGTTTGTTTGAATAAAAGAGGGTAGAATTATAATTATTCAGGTGAACAAACATAGATATCATATTTGATTTCTCTTACACGACAAAAATAAAGGAAATAAAAATATTAAGTAACTTTCCTGTTGTCCTTCTTCCCTTCACTCTAACCCAAGTGTAAACAAAATGAGTCAAGGAGAAGGGACAGAAGACCCAAGTGGAGAAATTGACAAACTCAATCCTGGCCTCTCTTCTACTAAAGATTACAGATCTTAAGGCATAGAGTGCAAGAAAGCTTAGAAGTAGATGAAAAACTAAAGCCTTGGTATTTGGTTGTATTGGAGTTTTTACCACAAGAAAAAAATAGTTTGATGGTGCTGGTTTAAAGGATGGTGATGAAAAAGAATCAAGCTTAAATCCTATTTAATCAAACTCAATACGGTTATGCTATTATTGCTTAAAAGTATTTTTATATGTGCCTAATTCTGTTTAATGATGACTTCCTAACTGGTCTTTGCAAGTTCAAAGATCAATGAACCTTGATTTTATAGACCTTATTTTAATATTAAATACATCCCTCTTTAATGAATATCTTGTATAATTATAGGGCTGTATTTTTCTTAATTTTGCCTGGTGTTTAATAATCTTATGTGAGGCATTAGAAAGTATCTTTTAAATTATTTTATCATAAATTTTGTTTTATTTGTTACCTTTGGAGAGTTAACTCCTAATCAGGTTATTTAAAATCCTAGGGCAGGTCGAATGTTAGACTTTCCCCCTGTTAAAATAGAAACTTTAGACAAATTAAATTTAACTGTGTTTAAATAGGCAAAGAATGATTAGCAAGTTAGGCAGCCCCTAGAACCAGAATAGATAGGGTCAGAGCAATTCCGGGGCAGCCATGTGATTGGATAACATTTATTCAGAGAAAAAGGAATGTGACATACAAAAAAATGGAAATGAAGTACAGTAACAGCTGGATTGGCTTACAGTTTGGTGTTTGCCTTATTTGAATATGATTTGAACAGTTGTATGCTTGTGATTGTCCCAAACTTGGCCACTGTAATTACACATCCAGTTAGGTTATAGTTCACTATGTATGGAGAAACCTTTAGACTCAACTTAAAATATGTAAGGAGGCAACGGTAGGCTAAACTTAACACTTTAAGCAGATTTATTTTACAGTATCAATTGCCACAATAGTGCCCTATGCTTTAAAAGGACTATTTTTGAAGATTAAGAAAATGTCTCTGAAAAAAAAAACTTAATTTTAGAGATACAAGTGTTCAATTATAAAAGCTTCTGGTTGAATGTGTGATATGATTTTGCTGCTGCTCACTCTTTGAGTCCTCGCAGCCTTTATGAGTTGTAACACTCACCGCCAAAGTCTGCAGCTTCACTCCTGAAGCCAGCGAGACCACAAACCCACCAGGAGGGACGAACAACTCCACACGCGCCACCTTTATGAACTGTAACACTCACCGCAAAGGTCTGCAACTTCACTCCTGAAGCCAGCGAGACCATGAACCCAATGGGAGGAACAAACAACTCCAGACGCGCTGCCTTTAAGAGCTGTAACACTCACTGCGAAGGTCTGCGGCTTCACTCCTGAAGTCAGAGAAACCACGAACCCAGCAGAAGGAAGAAAATCCAGGCACACCATCTTTAAGAACTGTAGCACTCACCACCAGGGTCTGTGGATTCATTCTTGAAGTCAGCGAGACCAAGAACCCACCAATTCCGGACACAGTTTGTCTGTGTCCCCACCCAAAATCTCATCTTGAATTGTAATAATACCTGTGTATCAAGGACGGGACCAGGTGGAGATAATTGAATCATGAGGGCGGTTTCCCTCAAACTGTTCTCCTGATAGTAAGTGAGCTCTCACAAGATCTGACGGCTTTATATGGGGCTTTCCCCTTCACCCAGCTCTCATTTTCTCTCCTGCCACCCTGTGAAGAGGTGCCTTCTGTCATGATTGTAAGTTTCTTGAGGCCTCCCCAGACATGCTGAACTGTGAGTCAATTAAAGCTTTTTCCTTTATAAATTACCCAGTATCTCGTACATCTTTATAAGCAATGTGAGAACAGACAAATACAATGTGGATGAAATATGTTATCCAGCCAGTTCCACCCTGGTATTTCTGCAATGGCACTTCTAGGCCCCAGGGAAACCAGTCATAGATGATATAAAAATTCAGAAAGTTAATATTTTTGTTCAAGAGAAACTAATAGCTTTGCAAGCCATTCTTTAACATAGAATCAGGGATGCTTCACATTTAAACTGTTTTTGTTTGTTAAGAAAACTAGAAATGTTCTTAATATGGTTAATGATAACCTCTTATATTTGTCAAGTATTTTGTAAAGCAAAGAACAATTTTACATCCATTACTGGGATTTGTTTCATAACATCCAGATAGAGAATGGTTGTTTTGTAATTTACCTGAGGACTAACAGGAGCACAGGTCTTCTGTTTTTTGGTACACTTTACTATTTTGATGGAAAGGTAAGTGGTTATCCCAAGTCCTGCATCTGGGAAAACACCACAAATTCTGTTCTCTCAACTGTGAAATGTGAGTGCATCTAAAAAGATTAAAGTACACTTTATTTTGCTTTAGAAATTCTGCCATCTAATATCAGGCTGAAGGATAAAACTCAATTCAAATATTTCAATTACCTTAGGCCCTTGGCTGACATAACAGTTGAAATGTATTTGCTTTCCAGAATACCTTCACTACAAAGTCATCTGTTTGGGTCTGGAATTCCTTCCATAAAGTTACAATTTAGATGAAGTTTTCTTTGATTTATTCAATCTTGTTCTATGTATTTTTTACTCTAACTAGTTAATGCTTTTTGAATATTGCTATTTAATTCATTGGCTGTTTCTACATAAAACTTACTCTCAAGCAGAATTTTACAAATGTATTAAAATATGTAAAAGTATAATGAGACTTAGTATGTTAGCTCTCTCAGTGATATTTGCAATTACTCTTAAGATAAATAAATTTCAGATATCCACAAATAATTTAAGAATTTTTGAGGTAATTATAGAGTGCTTTTTTTTTTAAATTTCCTCAATTCATACTATAGAGTGATTGCTTTTTCTGCTCAATATGCCTGGCCTATGGACACTGTGCATTCACTTTGCCCCAGTAGTTGGTTGGGGGAATCTGGGAGTTCAGAAGTGATAAAACTGCTATACAGTAATACCTGAGACTGGGTAACGTACAAGAAAAGAGGTTTAATTGGCTCACAGTTCTGCAGGCTGTACGGGAAGGATGGCAGCATCTGCTTCTGGGGAGGCCCCAGGAAGTTTTTACTCATGGTGGTGGGCAAAGCAGGAGCAGGCATCTGACATGGCAGGTGCAGGACTGAGAGACTGAGGGAGGTGCCACATTCTTTTAAACAACCAGATCTCATGAGAACTCACTCACTATCACAATATCAGCACCAAGGAGATGGTGCTAAACCATTCATGAAGGACCACCTCCATGATCCAATCACCTCCCACCGGGCCCCACCTCCAACACTGGGGATTTGACATGAGGTTTGGGTGGGGACACAAATCAAATCATATCAATGTGATACATCACGTTTACAGAATCAAGAAGTAAAAATGCATGATCATTTAAAAAGATGCAGAAAAAGAATTCAATAAAATTCAACATATCTTCATAATAAAAACTCAATAAACTGTGTATAGAAGGAACATACCCCAAAATTATAAGGGCCATATATTGCAAACCCATACTGAACAGGGCAAAACTAAAAACCTTTCCTCTAAGACCTGGAACAAGGCAAGGATGTCTCCTTTCACCAGTTTTATTCAACATAATACCAGAAGTCCTGGCCAGGGCAATCAGGCAAGAGAAAGAAAGGGCATCCAAATTGGAAAGGAAGAAGTCCAATCAGCCTTGTTCACAGACAACATGATCCTATATTTAGGAAAACCTAAAGATTCCACCAAAAAACTGTTAGAAATAATAAACTAATTCGGTAAAATTTCAGGATACAAAATCAACATATAAAAATCAGTAGCATTTCTATATTCTAATAGTGAACAATTTGAAAAAGAAATTCAGAAACCAATCCTATTTACAATAGCTATTAAAAACACCTAGGAATAAATTGAATCAAAGAAGTGAAAGATCTCTATAATAAAAACTATAAAATCCTGATGAAAAAAATTGAAGAGGACACACACACACAAAATGAAAATATATGCCATGCTCATGGATTGAAAAAAATAATATGGTTAAAAAGTCCATGCTATCCAAAGTTATCTGCAGATTCAATACAATTAATTTCAAAATACTAATGACATTATTCACACAAATAGAAAAACAATTCTAAAATTTATATGGAACCACAGAAAACCCAAGTAGTCAAAGCAATCCTGAGCCAAAAGAACAAAGCTGGTGGCATCACACTACCAGACTTCAAACTATACTACAAGTCTATACTAACCAAAGAAGCATGGTACTGACATAAAAATAGACATATAACCAAGGGAACAGAATAGATAACCTGGAAATAAATCTATGCATTGATAGCCAATTCATTTTTGACACAGGTGCCAAGAACATACATAGGGAAAAGACAGTCTCTTTAACAAATGGTGATGGGTATCCATATACAGAAGAATGAAACTAGACCTCTACTTCTCACCATATACAGAAAACAAATTAAAATGGACTAAAGACTTATGTAGCTATTTTTGATTAAAAATGAGTTAGATTTCAACATGTATTTACTTGAAGAGATGTCCATCATATGTTATCATATATAGACAGAAAAAAAAATCTTAGATAAAAGTGTATAACAGAGGTCATTTTATAGAAAAAAGTAGAAAATCATATGTTAGTACAAACATAAATAAATATTTCAAAAATTGTGCAATTAACATTTGACACTGATTACTTCAGAGATGTTGGAGAAAAGGAATTAATAGTTGATTAACTTTTTGAAATAACTGCATTGTTTAATTTTTTACAATAAAACATTTCTTTTTATAATTAAAAATTCAATAAAGTACAGGCACATAGAAAAAGAGAATGACTTGTAATTTTTCTTATTAAGATAACATTGGTTGACTGACATGAACAGGATGAGGGGAATGGAAATGCCCCCGTACTGGCCATGACTAATTTCTTCTCCCCATGCAGTTTGTAGGGAAAGCCTGTGGACAAGTGTGGCTGTTTTCTCTTCCTGCCAGGGAAAGAGAATTCTGGTTTGCCCTAATCTGTCCTGTCCAGTTTTCCAGGGAAATCCTTGTTTGCCAGAAATGTTCTTTGCTGCTTTGTCAATTGAATTAGAAAGGAAACAGAGTGTAGCACAAGGATTGAAAGATTTAGATTAGGGTGAGGTGTGTGGGTTTGAAGGAAAGAACATTTGGTATGAGAAGTCTGAGGCCAGCTGTATAATAGGAGGAAAGAAGATAGAAGAGAGGGCATGTTAAAAATACCTCAATGACTAATATATCAACTTCAAACTGCTGGAGAGAAGCAAGTGATGACATTGAGGTAATTTGATTCTACTTTGGTTATTAGTCTTAAAACAAATGCAATACCCCAACAGTGCTCTGAAAACAGAGCATGTGAGTTATCCCTCTAATATCTTAAAATAATGTTTTTCTTAGATTTGTTTTTGGCTCAAATTGACCAAGTTGTTGCATTGCAGACAACTTATATAAGATGTAGTTTTAGTCAGTTTTGCATGATAAGTCTGCTTAACAAACAACCCAGCAATGCCAGTAATTTACAACAAGAGACACTGTCTCACTCACAGGTCTGGCAGTTGGCTGGAGTGGCTTTCTTTAGTCTGAAACTCAGATTCATGTCTGCTCCACATGTCTCTCATTCTAGGACCCAGGCAAAATCTGATGACAGATGGCAGAAGCACAAAAGCACAAGGCAAACCATTTGAGCTAATTTAAAGCCTCTGATTTGATGCATCACAGATTATATTCACTCACATATGATTGGCCAAAACAAATCATATAGCTAAACCCATATTTGGAGAGACACAGGAGTTCACTTCAACAGAAAGGCATTAAAAAGCTGCTTGGAAAAGGGCGTGAATGAATAATTCTATTATAAGGAGAGAGTGGACAGCTGATAATAGTGATCCATGCTGGGGCTGGATCACAGGGAGTGAGTGGATAGCTGATAATAGTAATCTACATTGGTGCTAGATCACAGGGAGCACTTCCTTAAACTAGGTAGGCCTAAAAAGTTTCAGTCCTAACTCTAAATAAAGACTGCTCTCTATCTTGTTTTCAAACTCCCCTTCTACAACATCAAATCTTTGCTTGAGTTTTACCACTGTGATGGTAATAGAGAAATG
Source organism: Homo sapiens (assembly GCF_000001405.40). Lineage (NCBI taxonomy): Eukaryota > Metazoa > Chordata > Mammalia > Primates > Hominidae > Homo > Homo sapiens. Next base: position 184,005,641 of record NC_000002.12, read on the forward strand.
GAATAGAGAGAAATGGGCGAAAACATGATAAGCCAAGTCTTCTACTTTGAAAACAGATCTACTACTTAGCATTTCTGTTCCATGGACAGAGGGAGTTAGGCTGAGGGCTATGTCCATATGAAATCTGGTGCCACATTGTGACTCCACCTATTATTTGTATGTGCTCCAGTCAGTGTAGTAGAAAATAATCCATAGCGACTTCTTATGGGGCAAAAATAGGGAGATAAGGTAGGGAAAGAAGCTCCAAACTTTCTTCCCTGCCTAGCAAATACACTGCAGAAGATATCTATCATTTTTGGCCTGCTCAACTTTCATTTTTACTTCTGGCAAAAGCATTATTGCTTTTTCCATTTACACTCTATGTGTTTTGAATGAGATGGAGTTGAACCCTGCTCTGTGAGTGGCCTTTTGACCAGGCTTAAGCAAACAGATTCCAAGGATTAATTTAGGGTTGAGTAGATGATCCAATCAGAGTTCTGAGGGTTAGATTCTAGGATTTTTCTTGGAACTGCTGAAGATAATATCCTTCTACCTGCCCCACTGGAGTTGCTCTTAGGATGATTTATAACCTGTGTAGTGTAGGCAGCTATCTTTCTACCTTGTAGGGGGAGCTAAGAATTTAACCAAGCCATAGCAATGTAGAAAATGTAATGGCACAAGCAAGAAAGCTTTTTTTGACATTGTTTTATTTTCTGTAGCTAGCCAGTCCTAAAAATACTCCTAGACATTCAAGTTATATGAGTCAATAAATGCACAGTTTTAATCAATTAATTTTGCTTGTTTTTTTTCTGTCATTTGCTACCAAATTACTTCCCGAATAGTTAATGTTAGTATCTACATTTTATCTAGTTAATGTTGGTATCTGGACAAATTTTGTATAGAAGATGCCTGAAATAAATATGAAGGCACACACAACTGAGAAGAAAATTTCCTACAAATTCATGATTTTATTTTTAGTGTTTTTTTCTATAATTCATTCCTACCCTTGTCTATGCCCAGTGAAATGTGTTTGTTGAATATTCTTATGTGAATAGAAAGTTCATTAATGCCACTAATTAGACATGGCAAAATGATTCAAATACAAACCACTGTCCCAAAAAGTTGCATTTAGAATAATTTTTTAAAAGAACATAATAGGTCGATGCAAAATAATTGCTGTTTTGGCATTTTAATTGCAAAAACCACAATTTTTGGACCAACCTAATATAAAGGTAATTATATAACAAATACTCCCTATGATCAAAAGATATTATGGAAGGTGACAAAAGCATTTTCTCTCAAAGAGGTATTGATACTTATGTGCAGATTTGGGCCATCAGAGGGCCTGAGTTTTGACCTGCTTCATGACTTTGAGGAAAATCACTCAGCTTTCTGGCCAGCAGTATCATCTACAAAATAAGGGACCTGAATTAAACCACTTCTAAAACTGCCTGTCTCTTTAAAATGCTATATGCTCTCCCACATTGCTCACATTAGTTTCACTTTATTATTTTTTATTGTTTTTAGACACAGGACTCACTCTGTTGCCCAGGCTGGAGTGCAGTGTTGTGATTATAGCTCACTGTAACCTTGAACTTCTGGGCTCAAGTGCTCCACCTGTGTCAATATCCCAAGTAGCTAGGATTACAGGCATATGTCACCATGCCTGGCTAATTTTTATGTTTTTTATTTTAGCAGATATAGGGTGTTGCTATATTGCCAGGCTGGCCTCAAACTCCTGATCTCAAACGGTTTTCCTGCCTCTGTCCCCCAACTCACTGGGATTATAGGCATGAGCCACTGCACCCACCCTAGTTTCACTTTAAATGGCATGTTTTCCTAAGTAAATGGAATATTACCTTTATATACTTATGTATGTCTGTAGTGTCTATAGAGTAAAATGTGTCCTTGATTTTACCTTTGGAGAAGTAATTCCATTCTTAAGCATGTGGAACCAAGTAAGGAAATCAAAGAATGACAAAGTGGCTTAATTTGTATAATCTCAACTTTGTCTCCTAAGAGAGTGGAGATAATACTGACCAATTCACTATGCATAATGTATCTCAACTCTGTGGCTCATGCTGACACACTCATAGTATTTATCTGAGGGAAGAAGAAAAAAAATATTATGCAATGGGTTGATGCCCCAATAATCATATTCTCAAGTATTTCAAGTACTTAATTATAAGCTAAACACTGAAACCTTGCTATAGAGAGGTGACTTCCTCTGGGACCAATACAAATTTATATTGTTACTGAACAAACTGGAGAACTTTGAAAAGTGGATTACCAAGAAATTTCTTAAGAACTAATTTTCTATACTGGATTAGTGAAGTTTCTTGTGGTTTATTAATTTGTATCCCCTTTAGAAATCTTTTTATTTATCTTATTACTTACCTTTGCTTGAAAAATCCTCACGAATCTTTGAGCTAAAAGAAAAATAAGAGGATTTTTCAAGGTTTCTTTGTTGCCTAATTCAATAAAAATTGGAGATAAGAAAATGCTATTAACATAGTTTTAAGGGTGTTTTTATTCTTGTACAAACTCAATGAGTATTAAAATATACACAAATTGTTAAAAGATTTAGATAAATATAGGAGCAAATTATCCTTATAAACATGAAGCCTGATGAAATAAACATGACTAATTTATATTTATTTGTTTCAAAAAGGAGTTGAAGTGGCTTACAATATGTGTAGGGAAAACGGCTAAAGCAAATAGCTGAGAAATTAAGTAAAGGAAAAATAAGAATAGGAAGATAACAAAAGCAGGGATTCATAGAACACAGGCAGAAATGCACATCAGAGGCCCTACTAGTTACTAGAAATATGCCACATTCAGCTCTAATTCACTCAAAGCCAGAAAAAAGTGAGGATCATGATCCAGTAGAAGATTCATCATGTTGGTAAGATAAATATAAACCTACTGTTACTCAGAAGACAGGTGTTTCTGAAACTGAGACTTGAATAATAGTTCTCCTATGAAATCTTATGGGCAATACATGATATTAAAAGACACTTTGATATTAGAGACAACATCCTTCATTTGAAGCATCATAATTAAGCCACAATACATTTGATAAAAGTTCTAAAAATAATATATCTTTGAGTTGATTGATGGTATAAAGTGGAGTTCAGTAAGAGTAATCCTGTGAAGCCAATATAGTGTAGCTCATTTGTATTGATATATCATCAAGCTATTAAACACCATACATTAACTATTATTATGGTGATATTTTTGGAGAATGATATATATTTCATGTTATAGACAATAAGCTAAATGACAGTCTACATTTTTAGTTATAGTGCATAAACTTTCATTTGTACCAGAGTGAGCTGGGTGCTATCTGGTATACAGTTAATTTCATAAAACACAAAGCATGCCAATTATCTGTTAGGTAGTTGGTTGTAACGATGAAAACTCCTGGCTGCTTGTCTCATGAGGTCAAGTTCTACTACTGTGCAGAAAGCACTCAGGATTACTGATACAGGCTGATGGGCCATTTTGTGTCCCCTACCCATCAGTAGCCCTCTTTAGAAGTAGATAAACAGGTAGTCTACAAAACAATCTAGAAGATACTTTACTCCATAGTGCTCTGCTCATAAGAGCTGCATTAGCTTTATTAACTGTGACTTAAATCATACATACACACACACATACACATGCAATCTAATAACCATCAATCTCTTTGAAAGTTCAATTTAAATAAAAATGGAGACATGAACTTTTTTCTAAAAATGTAAATTAATCCAAGTATACCGTGAGGGAGGAATACAGTATTGCTTATAAGCTTCACATAGGTGAAAAGCAGAAAATATCAGAAGTGATGAAATATGATGGCTGGTCTATGAGTTCATCTCAATGGAATTGAAAGCTTAGAAGGGGTTAAAAAAGTGAGCTGACAATATTTGCAGTGGCAATCTTGATTTGGGTTTGGCAATTTTGAATATTTTTGGGTGATTGGTTGTCTATAGTTGTGTTTCTTGCTATATGATCTCTATTTTAAAAAGTTTTTTGTAATTAACATATATTAATTTCACAATTAGGAACACTAATAATGACTGTGACTTCAAATTGCCCAACCTGAAAAATTTTAATAACAGGATCAGATTTAGTGATGTCATTAATAAACTTATGGTTGTTTCTGGAAATTTTAGCTAGAATGATATAGAATTAGAATATCTTTACCTCAGGGAAAGCCTGTGATTTTTATAGTAAAGAAGTAAAAGAAAGCATTTCCATTTCTCATATGAGATAAGTGCACTACAAGTCTTACTACTGTTCATTAATCTCTTTTTGAATCTTTTATACTATGTCAGAGTAGAAGGAATTCATGATTGGTTGGTGAGCAGTGTTAAACTGATGAGAAGTAGAACCCTGGAAAATGGGTAGAATTGAAAACGTTTCTTTCCCACGACCCCCTTCACCTTTGGAAACCCTATCTTTCAAACTCTATTTCTATTTTGGCACATTCTAGCTTCCTTGTGGTGGTTTATTTGGGGATGTCAACTTGACTGGATAAAGGGATAGCTGGTAAAGCACTATTCATTCTCAGTGCTTCAGTAGGCACTGAGCTTGTCCCTCTGCTGAAAGAGAAACCCAGGTGGCTTTGATTTTGATTAAAGATTGGGCTGACCCAGGTGTCTGTGGGGATACTTCCAGAGATTTCCATGTGAGTGGGTGGGTTGAGGGAGAAGATATGCCTTCAAATGAGTGGGCAATAGCCCAGACAAAACAAAAAGGCAAAGGAGGGAGAATTTTATTTTTTTCTCTCCCAGAGATGAGAAGTCCTTCCTCTGCCCTTGGACATCAGAATTCCAGACTTTCTGGCCTTTGGACTCAGAACTTGGCATCAGCAATCCCTGGGGCTCTTGGGACTTTGGCTTCAGACTGAGAATTATTCCATCAATTTCCTTGGTTCTGAGGCTTTGGGACTTGGCCTGAGCCAGCTACCAGCTTTCCTCGTTCTCCAGCTTGCAAACAGCCTATCATGAGACTTCTCAGCCTCCATGATCACATTAGCCAGTTCCCCTACTAAACTTCTTTTTATCTGTATATCCTGTAGGTTCTGTTTCTCTTGAGAACCCTTGCTAAAACCCTGAAATAACCTAAGTAGAGATAATAATTTTACTCCATTAGTTCTGAGGATGGTGTTGCAAGATGGTGCCCACCCCAACTATCTGTTTCTATTTTGACATCACAAGGGGGATGAAACATGAACAATCAACAAGTATTCTTAACCAAGTCATGGCAGTTCTATAAAAGAATTTAACATGATTATACTGACCAATAAATATGAAGTTTGCATTTTAATTTTGTGTAATTAAAATCTAGCTAAGTTGTTAAAACAATTTACGTGAGGTGAAAGTTTGTTTTTTTTTGTATTTATTTTTCTGAGTTTGACTAATCACAATCTTTGAAATTTATTTCTTCTTCTTTTTTTGTTGTTTTTTAAGCATGAAATGAAGCAGCAGGTGTATTTTTCTCAGAAAGCTCATCATCTAATCGGTCAATCTGTCTGATTATAATCGGTACTTATTATTTTTGAGGGAGAGGTAGGTGTAACAAAACTTAACATAAAATCTTTCAGTGATTTTAGTTATACATTTGGATTGCCTGCAAGTCTTTAGGAGGAAATCTTTGGATACTTAAATGTGGGATGGGAATTGAGAGGCTTCTTACCATACTGGATTCCTCTTGGCCCAAGGCTGTTTACTCACTTAGCAAAATTTATTACACATCCTAGGCTTCTAACTTACAAGGAATATGAGAATGCTTTATGTAAAAGAAAATGAATTTTAAAAAATTAAGAAACTCTTCATGTTTTTATTTAAAATTTCCATTCTATAAATAAGCAATATTCTATAATTATATAGCCATAGTTTATAACTTATTGCTGACCAAGTTGGATATAATCTATTCATTCACAGCTCTCAGATTTGATGCTTGAGACAGAAAAAAAATGTGTGGCAAATAGTTACTTATTCTATGTAGTATCATATATCTAAGGGGAAAATCTTTACACTATTAGAGGTATTTTTCAAAGCCTCACATCAATTTACATCACTAATGGCTTTTATTTCTGGCTGTGTTTAATTCATTGGTAATATAAGCTTGGGGGAATTTACCTATACTTTGGGCAGGACTTTGAACATCCACAGGAATGAGGTGGGGATGCAAAGGAATCTCATGTAGATCTTATAGAGCAAACTAACCTCACCAGAAATCTGAGTTACATAAAAACAGCTGATTTGGAAAACAAGAAATCTCTAATGCCCACCAGAATTCACATCAAGACCATTTTTGACTTGTATTAAATCATCCTATCTTTTTCTATCCCCATGCTTAGTGGTTTATGAAATGGCTTTACTTTTAAGTAATTGCCTTTAATACCTAAGAATTACTACTGTGAAATTGTCTTACACTGAATTCCTTGTAGTTAATTCTGAACCATCCTACTATCGGCACTCTTGTATTTATGTTTTTACCTCTTAAGAAAGCATTTTATTTTCTGCAGGATCACAGATATTCAATAAGTTGACATGCATTGAATTCTTAGTGTTCAGGCTACTGCTGCAGAGGGAATTGTAATAAAACTAGGATACTTGGTTCTTTAAAAATCTCATTATATGGTAGGGATGATGGGGCCAAAACAACTGGGAAACATAAACCATTTGTAAGGATAATGGACAGAAACATATGACACTCAGGAGGTTACATTCTCAGCCATCCTATTAACTAGAGATGTAACATGAAACAAGTCAATACACTCTTTTTCTGAGTTTCCTCATCTGAAAGATAAAAAATATTACTTCCATGGTTCCTTTTGTCTCTGCAAATTGTACGCTTTTGTTGTAATTGTTATTTCTTCATGTTTTCTGACATGAACAATAATTGTACATACCTGTGATTTCAGAATAACATTCTTAAAAGTATAGAAGAAACACTTAAGCTTTAAATGTTCTAATTTATTTTTCTAAATAATATTAACCTCAAAATATAAATAATACATGTTCATGTAGAAAACTTTGATAATATATTAACATATAAAGACAAAATTCAGATTCTCCCATAAGCCATCCACACCTACAGAAGCACTGAAAAACTATAGTATACCTATGTAATAAATATTATTTTTAGACCTGGGTATGCTGCATTTTATGACTTTAGTTTATATTTCAGGTATTTTAGCCAAAATGTTGTCCTTATATTTGAATCAAGGCCTTGAGAAAGTTCTATGAATTTAAAAATTCAGTGACTATGTCCTAGAAAGTAATACAAATGATGTTGTAAAAAATAAACCAGAGTCAGCAGATACCTCAGATAGCCACAATAATTACATCAGGGGAGAGTAATATAGAATGTTATTAGCCATTACATTCATTTATAAACAAAACAGAATGAAAGCGATGGAGAGGAGAGGTAAGGTAATGTCCTCAAACAATAGTGTTCTCGGAATTAAGTGGACTTCTTGATGCCCTGGGATCCTGGACCTATTTTCCTGCATGCTTTTAAGGAAGGTGCACATTTATAACCTAGATTATGTTACACACTCAACAAAAGAAGTTCTTGAAAAAAACTCAGACTGAAAGAATAATAGGCTCTAGGAGAATTTTAAGGTTGCTAATAAGCAAAGTTAGCAGAATTTCTTGATCAGTTTTCAGATGTATTAGTTTTAGACCACATGTGCGAAAAATATTCATCTTGCTTAGACCAAAGATAATTTTAAGTGGCTATTATTATTAATCATGAGCAAACATGTGGAAATAAGAAAATCCAAGTGGCAACATAATCTTTGCTTGTATGTTATGCATCTGAGTTCCTTGCCATCAGTTTCAGACTCTGTTGTCATGGGAAGTATGCTAAAAGTGTAGTGTTGGTTTTATTGCAGTTTGAAGAAAAATTTTAAAGGAGACCATTGCTATGTCAGACAAGGACAAGGTTCCATGGAGACAGTTATCAGTAAATCTGGATGCTCTCAGAATTGCACATCAGCCCCTGGATGTGGGAAGGGAATGGAGGAGCAACTGTTTTTCTCTGTTTTACCCAATAGTCTTTACTACTTGAAAGAGGAGCCCATATGCAGGAAGTAACTAAGTGCCTCTTGTCTCAAGTGAGTAAAGGGACCTATAGGAAAGAAGAAGGAGGTTGAGAGAGTCCTGAATAGGAATTATTTAAAAGATTTCTAGAATTAAAAGTAATACACTCTGAATCTTCCCAGATATTATTTTTGACCACACCTAATTTACATCTTCAACAATATTTGTAATTGTGTATTCTCTCATTTTTTCCTCTCTGATAGTACCTATCAAAGATTTAGCTCTTATATAGGTATCCTGCACCCTCTCCAAAAAGGGGTAGCATTTGGTTTTATTAATTTATCTTTTCTTCAATTTTATTTATTTATTTATGTTTATTACTATTTTTTCTTTCACTTCCTTTGAGGCAATTTTTCTTTTTTTAAGATTTTTATTTAACAGCATAATTTTATTAAAATTCTCTAATAAATATATTGAAGACTATAAAATGTATTCTGAATGCTTTAGATAGATTTTCATACATAGTTAATTCTGTACTAAATTAATTGTCATTATATTTCTGTTTCTTCATTATCATCAAATTTATTTGAATATTTAGCTGATTTCTAAATGCAAAATTCTAGAGTCAAGGGGGCTGCCTTTTGATTTTTCTATGCTAATTTTACTGCATTGCATTCAGTGAATATGGCCAGTATGATAGGAGCTACTTAGAATTTGTCGAGATTTATTCTGTCTTCCAATGCTTGATCAATATTGTTGTTATGCTATATATATTATAAGAGAAAATGTTAGGAAGAAAACAAAGGACATCATTTCACACATTAAAGATCAAGCGTATTAATTATGATAATCAAAACCTATCACATTTTTGTACTACTATTTTGGGTTTTAATTTATGTATTTAATCAATTTGCCACCAAATATTTATTGAGCATCTACTGTGTTCTGGGTACTGTTCTGCCTTGCTTTCCTCCTTCCTTATTTGCTTATTTACTTTCCTGTCTTTCAGCTTCCTTTTTTCACAGTGGGTTTGCTAGTCTCACATAGTAAATCCATTTTAACATGACCACCTTCCTGGGTCTTCTGATGCCTTTCTCATTGCCCTGCCAAAACCTGATTTGATGAGGGACATATTTGTGTCTAAGTTTGAAACAGCTATCCTGAAAGTATACTAGGACTGAGTGCATACCACTTCATCAAGCTATTGTATCCTGAGTTACAGGGGTGAGCCCTCATATCAACAAAATGTTTCCTACTGAGTATTTAATCTGTGCCTCTGTTGTAACCCTGAAGACCTACACGTATATGTGTTACTCTAGGCCCCACTGAAATATATTAGTAAGATACTGTAGATCTTTGTTTTGGTAAATCATCTATTTTCTTTTTCATATCAGGGCTTTGCTATGCCAAGCTATGTTAACTGAGTGAGCTATGCTGAGCCATGTCTCTGATTATTGATCTAGACCATAAGAGAAGGAAGGGGAGTATATTAAGGAGGATAAGCATCATTTTATGAGGCATTTGCCTGAAGTGTGGCTTTTGTGATGTCTTTGCAACAGTAGACACAGTACTATAGAAAGGTGGCTGCTTCTGCTGGCCTAGGGTTTTCAGAGGAATCTGAAGATTTAAGTTTCTCAGGCATGTGCACCCAAATATCATCATTCTAGATTTTGGATTCCAACTCTTTCCCAAGCAGGGCCCTGATTTTAGCGTAGGAGAGTTTCTGGGGTGTGTACTCAATCTCTTTTGTAGCTTTACCACTCTGGGAATCAAATCCTATACCTGCTTAGTAAAACTGCCTTATTATTACAGGAGATTAGGGCTCTTTAAATATTGGCATTGAGGTTTTCTGGTTTTCAGCAACAAGCCCTAGGTCTGGAGTTGGCTAACATGAGCCTATTATTCTCTTATTCAAGGATTCTAAGGTAGCTACCTAAAACAGCTAATTCCACAATCCTTTTAATGACTTTTGCTTCCATATTTTTAAGCCACCTGTACTTCACTCCAATCCACAACCACTGAAAGTCTTAGTAATTATGATGTCACAGCACACCAGGAGTTATTAGTATACCAATTCTCATAACAACTGTTTTGGTTTGGGTTCCCCTAAAAGCAGACCCTAAGAAAAGGACTTAGGTGCTGGTATTTTATCTGGGGTGTGATCCCAGGAACCACACAGTGTGTGGGGAAAGTCAACAGGGCAAGAGAAGAAGCCAATTAAAGGATGTGTTAACAAGCAGGTTACCACTTTGTGCAACTGGGGCTCAATCTTACCAGGAAACCTATGAGGTACCTCACAAGCATCCCACCAAAGAAATGGGAAGTTGGGGATATTTATCCATCAAATTCAGTTCCTCATTGTTTAAGGGTTGCACCTGGGAATATGGAATTCTCAGATCTTTGGGGCATTCCTGGATACAAACTGAGCACACTCCAGTGGTGCTGGAGAAAACCTTTAGGAACAGAAGGAGAAAGCTCAGGCACTTGATATGGTAAGAAATCGTGTTGGGAACTGTCCACTTCAGCTTCAGGCAAACTTAGACATGGATTAAAATGGCAGGAAATGGAAGCATCAAGTGTCTGCTCCAGTATGTCACTGTGTTTTTAATATACTTCTAGTATATAGCAAATAGATGATTTTTTTTTTGCTTTTTAAGTATACCCATATGTATCCTGTTTGCTTCAGATTGATTTTTGTACTCATTTCTTCCCAGAGTTAGAAGTTATGCAATCTCTCTTTTTCTCTAGATGTTTTCAAGTTATATTTCTCATCTAGTTTTTTAGTGCTTGAACTTAAATGGTTAACTTAATTAGCCTTTATTCCTCAACAATATTTTGAATAATCTAGTATTCACTCTCTTCTGCAAATATGTACTCTATGTTCATGTGAAATTTTATTTACAAATTGATGTTAAGAATTAGTAATCAAAATATGTGATAATATTTTACTAATTTATTTGGTCACCTGTGCATTTGACACTTTCTCTTGCATTCATTTTTTTCACTTGATGGGCTATGTATGAATCGTAAATGTTTACATACCTAAAATATCTTAATTTGCTATATCCCTTGAATGTCTTTTTGGCTAAGTATTATGTACTATTCATAATTATATATGCTATACTTTTATAAAACAGGCAGTGCAGTAGGTTTGTTTACACCAGCATCACCACAAACGTGAGTAATGCATTGTGTTATGAGGTTACAATGGCTGTGACTTCAGTAGGTGATAGGAATTTTTCAGCTCCACTATAATCTTATGGAACCACCATATATAAGCTGTCTGTCATGGATGGAAACATCCTCATGTGGTGCATCACTACGTAACTATGAATTTTTTTGTTCCATCTCCTATATTAATTTTTTTTCCTCCACAGGTACTAGTTCTGCTTCTTGAATCTGCTTGTTTCTCCTTAATGGCCCTAAGTTTCTGCATATATTTGCTGATATTTTTATTTAGAGCTCACACTTTGATATGGTTTGGTACTGCGTCCGCATCCAAATTACATCTCAAATTGTAATCCCCATGTGTCGAGGGAGGGATATGGTGGGAGGTGATTGGATCATGGAGGCGGTTTTCCTCACACTGTTTTCATGATAGTGAGGGACTTCCCACAAGAACAGATGGTTTTCAAAGGGGCAGTTTTCCATTTACGCCATGTCTCTGTCTCCTGCTGCCATGTAAGACATGCCTTGCTTCACCTTCACCTTCTGCCATGATCATAAGTTTCCTGAGGCCTCCCAGCCTTGCAGAACTGTGAGGTAATTAAATCTCTTACGTTTATGAATTATCAGTCTCAGGTATAATCTTTATAGGAATGTGAGAATTAATTAATACAGAGAATTGGTACTGATAGAGTAGGGCACTGCTATATAGATAACCTGAAAATGCACAAGTGACTTTAGAACTGGATTAACAGGAAGAGTTTGGAACAGTTTGAAGGGCTCAGAAGAAGAAAGGAAGATGAGGGAAGATGAGAGAAAGTTTGTAATTTCCTAGAGACTGTTGAATGGTTTTGACCAAAATGCTGATTGTAATATGGACAATGAATTCCAGGCTGAGGTGGTCTCAAATGGAGATGAGGAACTTATTGAGAGCTGGAACAAAGGTCACTCCTGCTATGCTTTATCAAAAGATTGGCAGCATTGTGGCCCTGCCTGAGAGATCTTTGGAACTTTGAACTTGAGAGAGATGATTTAGAGTATCTAAAAGAAATTTATAAGCGGCAAAACACTCAAGATGTGACCTGGCTTTTCCTGAAAGAATATAGTTACATGTGTTCACAAAAAGATGATTTGAAATTGGAACTTATGTTTAACAGGGAAGCAGAGCATAAAAGTTTAAAAAATTTGCAGCCTGACCATTTGGTAGAAAAGAAAACCTCATTTTCTGGGGAAAAATACAAGCCCACTGCAGAAGTTTTCATAAGTAGTGAGGAGATGAATGTCAACAGCCAAGACAATGGAGAAAATGTATCCATCACATGTCAGAGATCTTCGTGGCAGCCCCTCCCATCACAGGCCCGGAAGCCTAGAAGGGAAGCAATGGTTTCGTGTGCTGGGACCAGGGCCCTACTCTTCTGTGCAGCCTCAGAACTTGATGCCCTGCATCCCAGCCACTCCAGCTCCAGCCATGGCTAAAAGGGGCCAAGGTGCAGCTCAGGCTGTGAGCTCAAACAGTGCGAGCCTCGTCTTGGCAACTTCTACATACTGTTGTGCCTGCAGGTTGGGAGCCTCTGACTAGATTTCAGAGGTTGTATGGAAATGCCTGGATGTTCAGGCAGAAGTCTGCTACAGAGTCAGAGCCCTCATGGAGAATCTCTGCTAGGGCAGTGTGGAAGGGAAATGTGGGGTTGGAGTTGGAGTCCCCACACAGAACCCCCACTGGGGCACACTGCCTAGTGGAGCTGTGAGAAGAGGGCCGCTGTCCTCCAGATCCCAGAATGGTAGATCCACTGACAGCTTGCACCAGCTGCCTGGAAAAGCCACAGGCACTCAAAGACAGCCCGTGAAAGCAGCCAAAGGGGCTGTACCCTGCAGAGCCACAGTGGTGAAGCTGCCCAGGGTCTTGAGAGCCAACCTCTTGCATCAACATGCCCTGGATGTGAGACATAGAGTTGAAGGAGATTTTGGAGCTTTAAGATTTAATGACTGCCTGACTAGGTTTTGGACTTGAATGGGGCCTGTGGCTCCTTTGTTTTAGCCAATTTATCCCATTTGGAATAGGAACTTTTGCCCAATGCCTGTAACCCCATTGTATCTTGGAAGTAACTAACTTGTTTGTGATTTTACAGGCTTATAGGTGGAAGGGACTTGCCTTGTCTCAGATGGGACTTTGGATTTGGACTTTTGGGTTAATGCTGGAATGAGTTTAGGGGACTGTTTGGGAAGGCATGGTTGGTTTTGAAATTTGAAAAGGACATGAGATTTGGGAAGGGCCAGGGAAGAATCATATGATTTGGCTCTGTGTCCCTACCCAATTCTCATCTTAAATTGTAATCCCCGTGTGTTGAGGGAGGGACCTAGCGGGAAATGATTGGATAATGAGGGATCATGATAGTGAGGGAGTTCTCACAAGATCTGATGGTTTTCAAACTGGCAATTTTCCCTGTGCATGTTCTGTCTCCTGTTGCCAGGTAAGACATACCTTGCTTCCCATTCACCTTCTGCCATGATTGTAAGTTTCCTGAGGCCTCCCCAGCCATGTAGAACTGTAAGTTAAACCTCTTTTGTTTATGTATTATCCAGTCTCAGGTAGTATAGCAGTGTGAGAATGAACTAATACACACTTATATTTAAGATTTCTTATTTGATTTTACCTTGTATCTTTGCCACTGTTGTTTGTGAGGATAAATACAGTAGACTACAGTGGCTTTTAATGCTGCGTTTCTTAAATGAGAATGAAAGGTCTGTAGACGATTTGTGTAGCTTTGCTTCTGTTACCCAAGCTCCTGTCTCCACTGCTGTGCTTTAAGGCAGACAATCAATTACTTGGCAAATTGGCCCAAAGAGAGAGGGGATATGATAAAAGACAACCACCTGTCTACTCATCCCTGTACCTCAATAGTCATGTGGAGGATACTCCTGGATTACTTTCCTGTGCTTGGTATATACCATCTCTAGAGTAAAACACTTTAGTTGAATACCACCTTTAATATTAGTCCTTTCTCCCTGCCCTCTATGAAGTTCTGTAAATAGTTCCTTTCATAATTTTTCCAATCTTATTTTCTCTTTTCTTTGAAGAATCATTTATTTTTATTGCCAGATTTAGTAAATAAAATAGTCTAAACATTAAAAACTTACTAAATGTGCTAAATACACTAAATATTAAATGCTAAAAATAATGTTTTGGTTACAAGCATATCCTAAATATTGCATAGAGCCTACTTATACCAAAAAGACATTTGTTTTTTTATCGGAAATTCAAATTTAACTGGGCATCCTGTACTTTATCTGGCAACCGTACTCATATTTTTTGTTTAGCTGTGCAGCTGTCTTCTTATTCTTGGCATATTCGTGCATCTATTTAGTTTTACTTTTTTTCTGTCATTGCTAGGCATCTGGAGTGTGTGGCAAAAAGGGTGTGTGTGTTTCATGTGATTCAAGTTTTTAATTGCATATTGATTTGAAGTGTTTAGTTATTTACTCTGTGTAGAATTCATTTTCTATATGTGATATGAGATATGAATCTCATTTTACTATTTTTTCAAAATAGATAGTCTATCATCTTCATACAATTAATTGAATAAGCTGTCATGTCCTCTTTGATTTGCAACCATTCAGGAAAAATATTGACATTATCCTTAAGATACCTCTTTCCTTCACTCCTTCATCCAGTAGATCACAGAGTCTTGTAGAATTTAACCATTAATTTGGAAAGGTAAAGAAGGCCTCTTCCTCTTATCCTCCTCATGCCCCCTTCCCAACCCCACACAGAGTTTTCTTACAGTTCCCTGCATGAGTTATGGCCAAGGGTAGCTAATGACAAATTGAGCTTGATTATTTCACATATAGAGCTTTCCAAGGGTTAAACTTTAATGTGCTTTGGGCCTGGACTCATTTCTGTTGTCCATTTAAGTTGATTCTATGTCTTCTTTTTTGGGCCAAGCTGCACTTTACTCATGTGTCATGGAATAGGCATTAGGGTGAATGCTCTCTCTCTCTCTCTCTTCCTCATCATTCTGTCCTTTGTCACTCTTCATATGGCCCTCAAGTTGTACAGTCATATATTCTCATGTTCAGGGTTGAAATTAGATCAAAGAAGCCACTTAGATAAAGGTAGTGTTTTGAGTATACTCTTGTTGTAGGCACTGTAATACTGCCCATATCCTTCTCTAGGAATCAAGAATTTATTACTTCATCTCTTAGGAGTGTTGCTGACCTTCAGCTATTGGTTCCCTTGGATAACTGCCTCTGCTCAAGATACTCACTCAGTATCATGCCCACTTCTTAGGATGGCCCATAGCCAGTGAATAATCAATGGGAGGTTATAATGACCTGATTCTCATCTAAACTCACGACATTCCTGAGAGGTCACTAAATTTTAAAATTCTCTGTATAGTTGGATGTCTTACCCTGCGAATACATCACAGTGCAACTTTTTTTTCTGCTCATTCCTACTTGCTTCCTACCCCTTTCCTTTCATTTTCTTAACTTTCCTTTCCTTCCCCTGGTTTTACTTCTGAGAGCACTCTTTAATAAATCTCTGAAATGTAATCTCTGTGTCTTGTTATTAGAAATTCAAACCTGCAACTCTGTATTAGAGTTCTGCTTTAGAGCCATTAAGGCAGAGCCACTGGTCAATATAAAGTGACATAGTGCTATACTCATTATTTACCTGGGCACATCTCTCTCTTTTGGTACTCTGTGGAACAACTGATATAAAGTTGAATTAACATAATAATTGGTTTGATCTCACATGTTGTCTTTTGAAATTATAATTTTGCCTTTTATTATGTTTATTTTTAATTTTTAAGATTACAAAGCAATTTAGATATACTCTAGACAGTTATAAAATACAGAAAAAATAGTAAAGTGCAATAAAAATATCAGATTTTCACAATCTATAGGTTACTATTGTTAACACCTAAAATTATATTCTTCCACATAGTTATCTATGTATCTACATAAATGTATATGTATTTTTGTCACAAAGATCATAGTGTACCTACTCTTTTGTAATCTATCCTCTTTTAGACAATGATTCTGACTATTATATTTCAATACATTTTCTTAGAATACCAAGTCTATATTCACATTTCCCCAGTTGTCAAAATGTCCTATATTGTTGATATCATTATATCAGGGACAGACCTTGTATCTGGCTGTTTTTTCTCTAAATATTTTTAAATTAAATTAGATAAAACTCCCTACACCCCAATGTGCAATTATAGTATTATTTTAGCCATCTTAATAGTGTGGTTCAAACCCTGGATTTAGACCACATAATGTCTAATTCTAGTCCATTTACTTGTTAGTCATGCTCCTTCTGTAATGTTTCTATAATCTTTCTATGAATCAGTTTCCCTGTATGTAAAATAGAAAAGATATTATTACCTATCCCATTCAGTTATTTTCATTATTAAATAAAATAATACGGGTAAAAGGCCTAGAACAGTGTGTGACACATTATCATTGTTCTACTCTTATTAACTATTAATACTTTCATTGCAATTTTGCTGCTAACTCAATCAACCCTCAATAACGCCTCCTAAACAGCTCCATAATCCATTCATTGTTCTCATTGTCAATGTTTGCCTCTAATCAAGTATCACCATAGCTTCAGAAGCAGAATACCTATATCCAATATTTTTCCTTTCCAAATAATTCATCATGTTGCAACCAGGATAATTTTCTTAGCACAATTCTGATAATGACAATTAGCCTGGTTTAAATATCTTCATGAATTATATTGTAATTCTTATTATAAAGTCTAAATTCATTGCCATATTTTATAGAACGATTTCTGATCTAATCCTCCCCTGTCCCTTTACTCTCTTCTCTCCCCTCTCAAAACTTTCCTTTTCAAGTTTTTCAGGTATTCTATGCTGTCACACACCTTTGGAACCTGAAAGATGGTATCACCATTGCCTGAAATGGTTCCTCTTTTTTCTTGCTGAATCTTGTCTGGTTTACTTCCCTAGTCTCAGCTGGGATGTTTGTTCTGCTGTTAAATCTTCTTTTATTCCCTAGACTCAATTGGATGACCTTATTATGCTCTGCATTGAGTCTTCTTCACCATTGTTAAGTCTCAATTGATTATAATTGCATGTTTAAACTCTTGTCTCTAATCACTTTTGTAGAAATAGAGGAAATATATCTGTTTTATACATTATTGTTTCCCCAGTACCAAGAACATGGTATAGGCTCGCTAAATACCTGTTATATGAATCACTGATTAAATGAACAAAAAAGGAGGCTCAGGAGATAATGATTGTTTGTCTTCAGTAATTCAAATTTGTGACTAAAAGAGTATTTTTTAAATAAATATTTGTAATGGATCTTACAGACTGATGAATGTGAAGCTTAAAAAGTTTAGCAAGAAAGAGTTTCTGGCATGATGTAAGGAACTAGAAAAGTAGAGGACAAATGACTGAACATGTGAAAACAATTCCCTGTAAGGCTGAAAGAGGAAATGAAAATAAATGGGCTTTACTTTCTTATATGGTTTTTTTCACCTAATTAACAACAACAACAACAACAACAACAACAACAACAAAAATTGGGGCTCTATTGAGGTCATTCATTTTCAAGAGGAATGGGATAATTAGATATGATAAAAATAAGAGACTTGGGATAAAATCAGTCATCTTCTTGTTTATCTTAGAACAATGTTAAATGGAAGTTTCAGGCATCTACTGGTTCTGAGCAACTATATAATTTCAGTGCTTAAACAAATAATTGGGCTGGTCAGGAGAAGAGAAAGTGGAGCCTGCAGGTTTACTCTACATTTTGGGTTAAGTGGCAAGAATTGAGTAGGCTTTTCCAATTTCTTATTTTATAGTAGTAACATATATCTCCTCTCCTTGCAGCTGGGCAGGCTTTTGAGTACTTCGGCCAGTAGAATAAGTAAACATGGTTACATACAGTTTCTGGCCTCAAACCTTGAGAGATTGGTACTTAATACTTTTAATGCTTGTGATACCATGAAAGAAGTCTGATTACTCTCAGACCACAGCACTAGAAAGGCCAAATGTAGCTACTCTGGTTGACTGGAGGAGTGAGCTCAGTCATTCAGCCATTCTTGAAAAAATGCCAGATATGTAAGGGGTACCTTCTTGGATTCTCCAAATTTGCCTATCTACAGTTGAACACTAATGAGTGACCAATTCAATGCCACAAAGAATAAATTAATTTCTCTATCTAAAATTCTGAACCACAAAATCATGAGATGAACCATAAAATCATGAGATGATAAGATATTTGGTTTAATACATTAATGTTAAGGAACTGTGTATGTAGCAATAAAAGGCCAAAATAAAATTTAGCATCTAGAAGTAGGGTGTTGCCTAAAACTTGTGACTTTATTTTTGTGATGGAGTGACAGATAGGAGCTGGAAGGGCATCATAGAAACGGTTAGTAAGGATATTAAAAAGAGTGAGGAAATGCTGCTGGAGGCTAGACAAAGGGTACCAGATGTCTCCAGCAGTAAAATGGGAAATAAAAAGGTCACTTAATGATCTGGCCAAGGCAGGGATTTGACTTCCGGTTGCCTATGATAAAAGAGAAGAATGCAATAAATGAAAGGAGGAGCTGTTCGATTTTTAAGTAGAATTTAGAGAAAATATATGGGTGCCAGTTCTGAAAATAAAACTGTTTCTCATCCTTGGTCTCTCCCACCAAGAGAATCTCAATTTTGAATGTTGTCAGGGCAAAACTGAAATGTAGAACAGCTAGCAGTAAGCATGGCTTAAGGTTAAAAATCACGTGTTGTACTGTGGGAACTTTTTTGATATATCAGAAAAATTTAAGGGCCAGCACAGTAGGACTTCAAAAATTCTTAGTACCTCCTCTTAGACATCATCTCTGATAGGATGAGAAAGGGTCTACAAGTCTTAGATAAGGCTACCAGAATGTCTCAATATGCCAATGACTTAGAAGAATCTTAAGAACATTTTCCTGTAGGATTCTGACTATTAGCTCAAGGTAGAGAAGGGCCTGTCTCAGAATTTGTTTAGTAGAGTGAATTGTAATTTGATACACAAGGAACCCTCGCGATTCTAAAAGAATTAAATCAGCTTAGATTGAATGTGACAGAGACAGTGCAAAATGAAAAGGGGTCTTGGGACCTCCAAATTTCAGTAAAGACAAGGCAGGCTGAGAAGCTACACAGTTATGAATATAGCATTTCAAATGCATGTGATACATGAACTAGAGGGCAGAAACAAGGGCTCAGAGGGTACTGTCAAGAATTATCCTGGAGATTAGTACTGGGCCTTAATCAAAGAGTAGAAGTCATGTGCCTGATTAGATTTCAGAAATGTCATGGACTTGTTACTGCTGTGTCTAAGTCTCAGCATTGAATGTTATGTGTGTGGGGGACAAATTATTTGCTTCACAGATATTCAGAATGAGAGATGCTTTACCTGAGGAAGCAAACCTGAGAAGGCTCATCTCCTTCTGGATGTGATTTAGGTGACAAGATCGAGGAATTTGAACAAATACTATAATGGGAGGAGACATTGGGGGTCACAGGAGTAGATAAGTGTATTTGATATGGAGGAAAAAATAATTTGCAGCCAGAGAGAAGCCTATGGCTAATTAAAGATAGTCACAGTATTTTAAGAACATTCCTTCCATAGAGGTGTATGTGCATGTGTACAGGGCAAGGGGTGTCTACAATTCCTCTCCTTCAACCTGGGCAGGTTTGGTGACTGCGTTGACCCAGAACATTTGGGACAGATGGTAATACTGTGTCTTATGAGAGTGGCAGCTTCCACATTCTGTGTCTTACTTAGAACACCTTTTCTGGAATCTCTAAGTGGTTTTGTGAGAAGTCAAACTACTTTGAGACTGCCAGGCTAGAAAGGATTTGTCTAGTTGCCCAGTTCAGCAGTCACAGATGAAACTAGCTTTCCTGGCTATCCCTATCAAGGTGCCAATATTTGAGTTAAGCCCCTCTGAATACTTCAGACCAGCCTATCTTCCAACTAAATACCGCCAAGTGACCTAAGTTAACACTACATGGAGCAAAAGAGTTGCCCAGTTTAGCACTGCCCTATTTCTTGACCCACAACATTATTAAATATAATAAAACAGAGATTTTTTAAAGTAGCCATTTTGGGATTATTTTTTATACAGCAGTAGATAATTAAAAGAATTAAAATATTTTTAAAATGAGATTATAATATACATATGATTTATAACTTCTTTTTAGATCTATGATATATTATAAATATCTTTCCATGTCAATAGGTATTCATCTAAAATATAACTTATAATAGCTGAATAAATATATTTTCTCAACATACTTATTGGAAATTTGGATGTTTTAATTTCTTTCACTGCCACTTTTTTCAGGGTCAGGAAACCATCATCTCTCAGATGTGGTAAAAAAAAATTTTGGGAGGCTGAGGCTGGCGGATCACTTGAGGTCAGGAGTTCGAGACCAGCCTGGCCAAGATGGCAATAACCCATTTCTACCAAAAATATGAAAATTAGCTGGGCATAGTGGTACATGCCTGTAATCCCAGCTATTCAGGAACCTGAGGCTGGAGAACTGAGATCATGCCACTGCAATCCAGCCTGGGTGACAGAGCGAGACTCTGTTTCAAAAAAAAAAAAAAAAAAAGAATTGTTGAGGAGGCCATTAGGCTGAGACGGCTCCAGTGCATTAGATAAGCAAACCAAAACCTAATTCAATGTAAACAATAAAACAAAGTTAAACCTTCTACTAATAAGCAACAGCCAACAAATCTCTAACTTGGGACTTTTTACCAGACCATATTCATATGCAAATAAGGTTAATGCCGAGAGGTAGCCAATTAAATAATTTCTTACTTTGATTCCTTGTTTAGCTTATAAAAGCCCACTGTTCATGTTGCTAAGGTGGAGCTCTTTGAACCTCTTCTAGTTTTGAGTGTTGCCTGATTCATGAATCATTCTTTGCTCAAATAAACTATGTTAAGTTTAATTTGTCTAAAGTTTATCTTTTAACAGTTGGGATATAACAAAGGTGTTTAAAATTTCTCTCTACATTAATTCTCACTTTTATTCAGTCTGTTCTCTATCCTGAAATGAGAATTATTTTTGAAAACAATCATCTGACCATTGCAAGATAAATTTCCTAAAAGTGGAGACCATGAATCTTTAGTTTACAGGGCCTTACATACAGTAGATGCTGAATAAAACATTGTTGCAAGAATAAATTAGTTTGCCATGCCTCTACTCAAAGGATTTCTGTTACTCTCCATTGTATTTAAATATGAACAAGTCAACTTGGTTTACCCAATCTTTATATGATCTTAGCTTAAAATCACATTGTACTTTTTTCAATGTATTATGCTTTTTCCCTGCTGCAATTCCCTTGCAAATGCAAATTTTATTGACTGGCTTATTCTTTTTCCTCACTATCCTTTCTTCATTTACGAGTTTATCATTCATCTTCCAGGATTCAGCTTCTATGCCACCTTCTCAAGAAATTCTTCTTTTGTTCACTTTATCTAGGTCAGAAATCTAGGTTTTAAGATCTCATTGCACCTGTATGATCTCTGTAATTATGACATTTACTCCCAGCTAAGCTAAGCTATAAGATCCATAATTGTGATAGTCTCAGAGTAATAATGTTTACCCCTAGTGACTGGAATATATTACTTATTTTAAAAATAAATGTTAATTTGTATTTTGATGAGCACTTTTATACCTTCTCATTGCCCAATTATTTACAAAATATTTTCCTAGTAACACAATTACAGAATAAAAGAGTAAACATGATTGTTATTATTTGAATTATATATAATTCAAATAATTCAACAAAGTTTCTTCCAGTGCACTGAATAAATATTTTGGCATTTTCTATGACTTTTTCTAAACATTTTTAGTAATTTCATTAAAAACAATTGCTATATTGTAGATATTTTAATTTTATTTCTTTGATTATTAGTAATGGTGAACATTTATTTATTGGCTATTTGTTTATATATGTTTATTTCTTTTGCCATTTTGTCTTTGTCTTATTGACTTATCAAATTCTTTATATATTAACATTGTCCTGTTTATTTAATATTTTGCTCTTTATCTCCACATTTTATATCATTTTGATGTGTAAACATTTTAATTTTTAAATAGTTTTTACTTTTAACATTGGCTGTAAAAATTTATATTGTAAAGATTTCTGGTACATATTTTGGTGTGTTGTAAGAATATTGATCTAATATTTCTCTCAACTCTATCCATGTTGACCCAATATCACTTCTTCATTCTTTCCTTTTCCAGTATTTATGAAACAAAAACAGTTTCAAAAAATGTGTAAGACTTTAGATTTTTATCAATCTTAGCACTATGGAGAGGTACTAATCAAGCTATAACATGAGCTTGAATACTCATGGTAATCAATTAAATCTGTATCCAAATGACAAAAAATATGAGATATTTTATCTCTCCTAAGATCATTTAATGTAAAATATTCTAAAAATTATTTGTCAAAATCATGGAGTAGAATTTTCAGTTTTCTACGTGATTTTCTTTATAGTTTATTGGGAAAAATCAGAAAACTATCCTGCCAGAGAGGTAAAAAGTGGGGAAGGAAAGCAGGAAGAATATGCAATTGTAAATTCAAATATGAGTCCTAAATGGGCTACATTGCCTTATTAACATTGAGTCAGATACCTGGTGAGATTCTAAGTCATCAGCAATATAAAACAATAATTTTACTTAGTAAATTTTTAAAGAGATGGCAATATATATGGTGTTCTGGAGGTATACCAGTATCTCCTGTATCTTCATCTTTCTGTAGGAAAGTGTAACAGTTTCTCCATCTTTCTGTAAGATAACTACTACTGTGAGATGAACTGATCAGCTTTGTTCCAATTAGTTACTTTCAGAAAGAAAGAAATCTGAATATATGTGCATTTGTGCCTTTACTGTGGAATGTATGTGTTAATAAGTAAAACTCTGAACCATTGAAAAAAGACATTCAGCCAATTATTTTGAGTACTGCTCAAAGAGGCCTTGTTATTTTGAGGTCTACTTTTTATATTTTTTTCTGAAAAATCGTAATGCAATTGGTTTAATCACTGTCATCATCAGCTTTCTTAAGGAAATTCATTTCAAATTTGTGCATTGTACTTGCTGGTATTTGAGTTTTGTGTTATGTGCTGTTTTATTAACAAGAACATCTATATTTTTTCTGAAATATTAGTTTTGAATGACTAATTTAAACAGATGAAGGAGTTAAGATAGACATTAGTCTAGAAAAAGAAAAAAGTGATTATTTAAAAATTATAATCTTAAGATTATATTGTTGGAAGGAAGCTTAAAAACTAGCCACCCATCTGGCAGCCGATTTTTAAAAATCTCATTTTTATCAGTTAGTGGATATTCCGTTCTCTTCCATGACAGGAAAATCTCTACTTGTTGTGTAATAAGCTATCTAATTTCTGGGTACCTCTGAGTCTAGTGAGGTTTTCCATCTTTACTTGAAACCCTTCTGTATATGGCTTTTTTTTTTTTACAATAGCCAAAACTGTGACCCAAGAACTATGCTTATACTCTGCCCTGTTCCTCTAAGTAATTATGACATAATGGAACAGGTTGATGAATATATAGCAATAATTTCTATCTTATGAGAAAAGTGGGGAGACCTCTTCCTCACTTCTTTCACACACTGATGGATGACATCATGCATCCCCCTACATGTAGGACAAATGCTTTTCAGTAGGGCAACGGCTGTAAATAGCATCCATCTTCTCTGTTGAATTCAGAACCATATGAGAGTCAGTCAGATGGCCATCAACATGTCAGCTTTATTGCTAGTAAAGCTGACTTCCAGGGTTGGGGGAATATATGGTTTTATGTACATAACTAACATACTCTCCTTGCCAGTTTAAATCATGTGACTGCCCATCTAAAATGAAAGTTTGGGCCTGGGATTACTGCATCACATTAATGCAACAGACAGAAAGCGAAGCAAAGACAAAAAATCTATAAATACTTATAGACTGAAAACAAATAAAATTAGTACACCATTGAGAAATGTGGACAAATTAGTCTGTTAGAACAAGCAAGAAAGGGTTCAGACAAAACACCAGACTTACTGCTCTATGGAAATACAAATAGTGGGATTTCTGTTGTCACCCAATGTCCAGGTGGTACTATATTGGACATCTTATTTTAAGAATAATAGCAAATGTTATTATTCCTGTGGACTTGTGCGAAAAGTTATTTCATTTAAAACTTGGAAAATTAGTTCAAGACCAGTCTGCCCTACATGGCGAAACCCCATCTCTACTAAAAATACAAAAAATTAGCTGGGCATGGTGGCAGGTATCTGTAATCCCAGCTACTTGGGAAGCTGAGGCAGGAGAATCGCTTGAACCCGGGAGGCAGAGGTTGCAGTGAGCCGAGATTGAGCTGCTGCACTCCATCCTGGGCGACAAGAGCAAAACTCTGTCTCAACAAAACAAAACAAAACAAAACAAAACAAAACAAAATTGGAAAATTAGTTTTGATCGCTTAAAAAAAGGAAACTTATTTTACACTCGTGCTGTAGAAAGGGTGTATGGTAAATACAAGATAAATGTGTCAAGTTTCAGGATTCAGCCACTGTCTGTTGATTGTCATCTGAGTGCCAGACGCCATGTGTATTGCTTACACATTTAATTTAGCTAGCATAGCTCGGGACGTAGAGATGATTTAAAAAATACTTCAGATAAGAGCTAAATATTTTTGTTAAAGTCACATAAATATTAAAATCAAGATTTGAACAGATTATGTTGGGCATGTTTTCTTATATTCACTCCTCTCTCTTCCCTTCCTGTTTATAAAAGGTCTAACAGCTAGTATCCTGTTCTCTCTAAGGACTGACATGATTGTCCTGGTTGGTGTTTTTATGCACATTGTAACTACTGGTGACCAAAAAGGCATAGTTTAACTCTTAAAATTATAAAATGCTGCAAAGACATCTTTTTGCACTTTCAATGTCTGTCATTTGATGCTTGAAACTTTATGAAATAAAGTCACCTATTTATTTGATTTAGAGAACACTTTCAGGGTAAATGACAATTCTGTGTTTTTAAATGGTGGGTATAGATTCACAGGCTTCCAAAAATTCCTTGCAACAGTGCTTTAGAATGCATTCTAAAGTGTTTTATACCTATATATTGGGTCCTCTTTTTGAATGTATTCAAAATAAAGTTCTCAAATAAAGATTCATAACTCAGATGAAAAGATGTTGTAGATATTTTACAAATTCAATATGATTTCCTAAAACATTCAGCTGCCTTTCAAGAAAATCAGTCTTTCTGTCAGGCCTTGGCAGTTAAGCTATAGTCTGCTGAGATGGCAGTATTCAACACCCTACATCCTGCTCTGCAGCAGACGTTAAGCTTTGGCTGTGACCATGCAATCCCACTTTAAACTCTTGTCTCTATATGTGTCAGTTACAATTTGGCAGCTGGCTGGAACAATCATTCAAATCTTAAGATCTGAGGATTTAATTAAAGTACTCTATAATAAAATGAAACCATGAATTCCATGGTTTGTAAATATATAGTTAAATAATTCCAAACATCTAAAATGTATGTTGGTATGTTTCCTTTGCTGTTCTAAATTTAAAATTAGAGTGCGTTTTAATATTGTAAAAACCCAACAGAAGTTACATGGGATATAATATTCTAAGCCTGAGCTCTTAAGTGGTGTACGTCTTTCTTCAGTAAGGTCAATTGGCAGAGAACAAAAATGCAGAGCTCAGGAGAATGAATTCGTAGCTTTTTCTCCCATCTGGACATGGAGTTACAGCTCAGTCCTTTGCTGATGGCTGGCTCAGCTATGACCTTTTACCCTGTTCTAATCTCTTAGAAATAATTCTAGTGAGAATGGAGTAAAAATTCACTGTTTAGCAGTTTAAGGAACCAGGTAGTTCCTGACCGCATGCCTTTATACTTGATTTCCTAAAGGTGCTACAGACTTGGTAGGCCCTTTTGGGGACATGCTAGAAAAATTCATTGGAAAAGTTTCTGTGGTGTCAGATTTTGGGCATAGTTTCTGTTCTTACAGAACTTGAAACTGTGGCATGTCAGGTAGTGGCAGACAAAGACAATCATTTCCATTTGAGGAAGCAGGAACAAAGAAAAGAACCAGCCTGCCACATAGTGACAAAATTGCTTTAGGAACCCAGACCCTTTAATCCCTAGTCCAGTTCCTCACCAACTCATAGCACACTGCATTCAAAAAGAATCACTATGAAATTTTAAGAGAATTTTTCTCCCCGCTGACTGGGAACAACTTACTATTTCTGTGTCCATGTGGCTCTTCATGATTTCAGTTTTTTAAAAAATTTTATTGTATACTAATGACAGTAATTTTTCAATGCTCGCGTTTTGGCACATAAATAAAACATGGTACAAGGGAAAATAGTGGGATTTACTGGTAGAATTACCGAGATAATAGCAAAGTGGTTAAGAATATGGACTGTAGAGAGCTAGATTCCTAAGGCTTGAACACTTAATTTGCCACTTTTTCAGTGTGGGATCAGGGACACATGACTCACCCTTGTATGTATGTTTGTTTCCTCTGTGTGAAATGGGGGCAAATATTAGTAGCTGTCCCATTGAATTGTTTAAGGATTTAATTAATCTATATTAAGTACTTTTAGCAGTACCTGGCACATGGTTAAGTTTGTATAAGGGTTAGCTATTACCATTATTAGTTGGACAAACCTAGACATCTTAATCTCTCTGAGACTCAATTATTTGATCTGTAAACCGTGGGTGTTACTTATCTCGTAAAGTTTTTATTAACATTTAAATAATACATAACATAAATGAAATATATATAATTATATAACACATGCACACAGCCTAGCAAAATAACTGACAAAAAACAGGTAATCAATATCTGTTGGTTCACTTTCACTAAAGAGGATACACTGATATTTCCTTTAAAAATATGTATTAATTTGTTTATATTTTTGAATGGGCAACACACTTTTACATGGGTTAGAAATTAAAAATTTTCAAATCTCTACAGTAGGAAGTTCAGCATCTAACTTTTTCCCATTTATTCAGTTTCTATTACCCACTATCATGGTTAATAATTTTTACCAGTTGTATATATGTCCTTCTAAAGTTGTTTCATGCAAATATAAATACATAGTTTTATTTTTTCCTCTTCCTTTCACATATGAAGCACATTACACAAACTGTTATGCATCTTTCTTTTTTCACTTAATATATTTTGGAGAGTTTGGCATAGTGGTAGTATAGAGAGCCATTTCCTTTTATAAATTTACAGCTGCGTAATAGCCCATTGCAGGAATGTACTATGATTTCATTAATCAGTGCCCCGCTGATGGTCTTTTGGGTTGTTTCCAACCTTTTGCTATTAAAAGCACTGCTGCAATTGAGTAACTTTGTACGTAGATTACTTTGCACTTATGGAAGGCCATCTGTGAGAAAAATTCCCAGAAGTGAAATTCCTGGGTGAAGCGTATATACATTTAATTGTCAAATTGTCCTCTAGAAGAATTGTACAGATTTACCTAAGCATTAGGTATTGTATAACTTTTGAATTCTGCCTGTCTGAATACATGAAAAATACACCTCAGTGAATTTTTTAATTGTATTTTTCCTATTACCATAGTGAATAAGCATTTTCCCATTGTTTAAGGGTAGTTTGTATTTATTTTCTATGAACCTTCTTTACAGGTTTGTCTTGATTTCTTAGGAACTATGAACATTTAGGGAATGAGCTCTTCATCTGTAATAAGATTAGCAACTGTTTTTCCTAACTCAACATTATTTTTATACTAATTTTTCCCCATACAGGCATCATAAAACATCTTTATGTGTTTGAATTTATTTTCTCTTATGTGAATTTTGCATCTGTGTTAGAAAGGCTTTTCCTATTCTGAGGAAATAAAATAATTCTCTTATTTTTCCTTTAAATACTTTTATGATTTCCTTTTTTTCACTTAATTTTTTAATCAAAAGTAATTTTTATCTGTACTCTGTATTCAGTCTATTGGCATTTATATTACCTCACTATTATTCAAAGCACCTACTGGCATGTAGAAGATGCTAAATGTATGTTTATTGAGTTGAATTGCATACATTATTCGACTTTACAAGATATTCTTAATTCTGTAACACTAAGGTCAAATAACAGCCCCACATCAATGCCATGCTTGGGTCCTGTGTGCTGCACTGTGTGCTGCACTCTACATCATTCCAGGAACACCATTGCCATTGTGATGGGGCAGAACTTAACCCTCACGGCCATGAGTTGCAACCTGCCTTCTTTGTCCTACCTCCATTAGAGAGGCATCAGTCCTCACTTCAAATTGTTGATAGGTTCTTGGAATCTGTGACTTTAAATGAAATGACATACAGTAGGCCCTCAAATAATGTGGTTTAATTGTAATATAAGAAAAAAATCTGTTTCATTTTAGTCAATTTGCTTAAGGTAGCAGTTTTCAAGAACCTATTAATGATGTGAAGTAAGGATGTATTGTACATGTTACAGCCTACTTGCCTTCCCATGATGTCATGATCTGCTTGAAGGCAGATACTTTGAAAATTCAACCTCTGATACCTAGAACATAACAGTATGCTTGCATACCTTATATATGTTATGAATCACTGTGGAATGAATGATCACATACCTAATACATTTTTGAAAGTGGAGACAGGTTGTATTTGTTTCATCTACAGTGTCATTTTTTATTTAAGTAAGCTATTAAATATAGTTCATCATTTGAACTAAATGTTCATTCAGTATTTCTTTGCGAGAATAAAAAAAGGTTTTACTCATACATTATTCCTAGAGGCAAGGGTTTCTCATGGAATTGCATAATTTTTAATATTTTTAAAATGACTGCCATATTCAGAAAGGTACTGTATGGCTTCTAGAGGAAAACTTTTATTTATGCTTGTTTTAAAAATGTAACTACAAACAGGTATCATTATTGAGCACATCCTACAGCTATAGGCACGATACTAAAATTTTGGCACACATGCTCTCTCATTTAATTCCTTACAACGATATGATCATTATCTCTATTTCATATATAGGAGAATCACAGTGTTCAATGTCTTAAATTGGAGATATTAAGACTCTTGCCCAAAGCCACAGACGTGGTTAGAGCCAGACTCTAAATGCAAGTAATCTGAATCTAGGGCCTAAGGGTAACAGCTATGGTATTCTGCCTCTCTCCTGACCTTGTTGAGGCTCATTATCCTAAGATTACTGATATGAATGTGTAAAATTAGAGGCAAAAAAGAGAGAGAGGTCACTAGCTGATATGGTTTGGCTGTGTTCCCACCCAAATGTCACCTTGAATTATAACTCCCACAATTCCACGAGGAACCTGGTGGGAAGTAATTGCATCATGGGGGTAGGTCTTTTCCATGCTTTTCTCATGGTAGTGAATAAGACTCATGAGATCTGATGGATTTAAAAGTGGGAGTTTTGCTGCACAAACTCTCTTTGCCTGCTGCCATCCATGTAAGATGCACCTTTCACCTTCTGCCATGATTGTGAGGCTTCCCCAGCCACATGGAATTGTGAGTCCATTAAACGCTTTTTTCTGTATAATACTCAGTCTCAGATATGTCTTTATCAGCAACGTGAAAATGGACTAATATACTAGCATTGCTTGATTCCTTAAACATTACTTTTAAGGAGAAGCTCCTGATTTTCATTTCTTTCATGCCAAAATCCCTCAGAAGACAGTGGATCTCTGAATACCTATCATCACCTGGAAACCACTGAAGAATGACCTGGTGGTATCATAATAGCCAAACAGTACACAACCAATGCATTTCTGGATTTTGGGCCTCTCTCTAGTGGTCAGGAATATACGTTTCCTTTATTTTAGAGCTGCAGAGACCCAAGATCATATGTTCTCGTACTCAGATTGCCTGTGAGGTATAAATATTTTAATTACATTCTCTCCAACCACTAAAGTTAGCTTTGCCACTGCCCCTCTGCCTATATCACAACTTAAATACCCCAGTCCCCACCTAACAGGTAATTGTATGTGTGAACGTGTGTAACCTGGTTGAAGTTCCTCTAGTAATTGCAGAAAAAAAATACATTTTTAACATTCGTTTATCTCTCAACATTCTTAAAAATACTTTCTGGTCTACATATTGTTAACTGCATGATGAATAAACATTCGACTGAGGTACTTCATTATTTTGGGCTTTCAGGATTAGCCTAACTCCAATGAACTGATAGTCATTTTCCTCACACATAAAAATGAATGCCACAAATGGGAAAACCCTCCAAATTCTATCATATTAGATCAATGATACATGATATAGTACAAGAAGGAGAGAGACCAAAAACAATGACATTAGTAAGTATGGGTTAATTGAAAGATTGTTGGATAAATAATCGCTACTTAAAAAAAATGCCTGTGGTAAAATCAGAATTCTGTTCTGAAATGTTAACTTCTTTAGCTTTGTATTTTGACTTTTCATGAAATTCAGTATCCTGTTCATTGGTTATTCTTAATTTATACATTGCTACATTTAAACATGTGAGAAAGTAAAAATTAACTTGGACTAAGAAAGTAAAGGTCTACCTAGCCATCCATCAGGCTGAAATAACAGACATAGATGAAGTTAACAGTTAATTTATCGGGAAACAATATTTTTTCCAAGGACACACTGCAGGTGGAAAGTGTCATAATGACCTCCTTCACTCAATTGGAGACTGTGTTTTTACACACTGAGAAACTTTGTTCTCTCAAATCATAGACTATCTGAAAATTTGCTCTTTGAAATTACATCAGTAAGAATTAAACACTGCATTCTTGCCTGGAGTACCAAAGTCACTTTGACACGAAGAGGTAACTCAGTTTCCAGCCTAGTCCTAGAGCTTCAAATATGGGGTTTCTAAACACAACCTTCTACCTTTATCTTGACTTTTTGGTTTCTAAGAAAACAAGATCCAGAATCCACTTTGCAGGCCATATTCTTTTTTACACAGTTCTGCTTTACACCTATTAATACCCGGCTTCATTTAAATTTCTCTTATGCTCTACCCTTCTCAATCTTATAAAACTCCATCTTTCTTTCATTTAATGAGATGCCCCAGATTTCTGCTAGAATGTAGTTTCCTTCATTGCAATTGGTCAGTAAATTAGGTTTGTCCCTGGTGTTAATGGTCTGATTGGGCTGAGACACATGGTTAAATATATATGAAAAAAGATACATCTGATACATCAGGGAGAAATAGTACTACAATTTATAGGGATAAAGGGTTCAAGTTGAGTAAAGAATGTGAAAGATTAACTCATAAAATATGTGGCATGCTATCCTTTGCTTTTCTAGGGATGGACAGCAAATTTACCTCTAGGCATGCAAGTAGCAGTGAGAAACATGCAATCAGGTTCAAAGCTTGCAGTATTTAAGAAAAATCAAATCAATTGCCTAGAAAAAGTTAAATTCTTTATGCCACTGGGATTTGCAAGAAATGTGTCCTCAGAAACACTGTGATGAAGTGAAATGTAGTCTCAACTCTCTCTAAATTGAATAGAGAATAGTAACATGTTCCACAAAGCAATTAATGTTATTGAAATTCCTCAGGACTAAAGAGCTGCTCTTGTCTGTGTCTACATTGATCACATTACCTCTCATGACCTATCTGAATTGCAAGTCTCTCTTGCCATTATCTCATCCTCTGGGAAGTGATGGAGAGCCTTAGTCGAAGAGCATGCTCGTCTTACATGTACCTGCCAAGCTACTAGAAACATGGAAATTACGAGAAAGTGCACAGGCAGCTGCAGTCAGCCCCCTCATTCCATTTCCCATGATTTCTCCCAGAGTTTTGGCAATGTACAAATTAGGGAAATAAAAATATAACTCTAACTGGTCTGCTCAGAAATCCCCTATTATATGCATAAAATCATCCATACAATCATAAAGTACTTACTTATTTTCTATCAAGGATATGGAGAAATAAAAAGAAGCAAGCTGTATGCTAAGGATATTATGGCTCTCCAACACCTTTAAGAAGATATACAAGGACAAATAAACTCTTGAAAAGGAATGTGCTCATAGTTAATTTGGGTCCATACTTTAGGTTTCTAAAAGACTATTTTTAAATTTAAGTCCTAGTTTTTATGAAAGAGAAAAACAAAATTATATAATTTAAGGAATAAAATGCAAAATGTATACAAACTGTAACTTGAGAATATTGTTCATTGTAGGGAACAATATTTAATCTTTAAAAATATTTTAATGATTAAAATAAGATAAATATAATTTATTTAAGTATTTAAAATTAAAATTTATGATAATTTATCTAAAGTCAAAAGGGAAAAAAACTGTCACAGCTATTAAAAATGCTTTCTGTTTCTTTATCTCAGTCTTGACAATTGTTCAAAATAAAAAAGTTCTGTTGTTTTAGTGAAGTTATCTTGCATCAATATTTTAAAGCATTTGAAAGTTCTGAAATTTTTTTCATACATACTTATTTTCATTCTGGTGGTGCTATTTTTTTGTGTGAAACTTTTTGAAAACATTATCCATCAATCAAACCAGTATGTTTCAATGTTAGGTATTGTGAAAGCTAAGAAAATTAAAAAAAAGACATATAAATTGCAAGGTTTGAGTTCTTGTCACAGAGGGATTTGTGACTCAGTTTGGGAGACATTTCTTTATTACTTATTATTATTAAATGTAAGCAAGTGTGGATCTAATGAATGCCAATTAGAGGCAGGCAATATCCTAGGTGCTTAGTGACCCAGTGGTGGGTGTGTCAGTAGGGTCTTGGCAAGGATCAGATGGAACACTCAAACTGGGTAATTTAAGAAGCTCTTTACCAAACTAGAGGTGGATTTTAGGGAAGTCATCAAGGTATTGTGCTGCAAAGGCTGCCATCAAAGGGGAGTTGTTTCTACCTCCACTCTGTGGGTGGAGGTAGCTCAGTGGATGTGAGACTAACATCTGACTGAAAAGAGAAAAGTGAGAGACAGCATGATGTGTCAGGAGAAGTAAATGTAATTATAATATTTTATTGTCATTTTTAAGTGTATGTATGTATGTATTTATATGTTCATATTTGTGGTTTTTTTTGTGGAGATGAATAAACGTGGGAAATTTGTGGAGATGAATAAACGTGGGAAATTTGTAGGACTAGAATAGTTCAAACTTCTGATGCTATGTCAGTGGTGTAGAAGGAGAAAATGGATTATCCAGAAAGTATTTAAGAACATTAAGCGGGAATCACAGATGGAACATAACGGGAGCTGCGTAAGAAGCAGGAGTTAGAGATTAGTCTTAGTTTTTGGTTTTGTGGAATTTGAGATTTGTAATTTTATTTACTGGAATAATTAATAGGGAAATGTAGTTGGTTTTGTAATATAGATTATTTTCCTGATTTCTAATCCCAAATTATTTCATTGAATTCTCTCATCCAAAATCATTGATCTTTTCACCACTGGAACTTGAAATTTTGTATTTCTTGCTCTGATAAATAACTAGGCTCAATCCCTAATATTTGAGGAGCTTACAACAATACAAATGAGGATGATGAAAATAAGTTCTTGCTTGGGCCACATAACTTTAACTTTAAAGAATAGTAAATAATATAACCAAATGTCCGTGATTGTGGTCCTGCAGTCAAAATCATAAAAGATAAATGAAAACTCAGTGTTATAAATTATTTCAAATACATAGATTCGATATAAGGTTCCATATTTCATATTTAGTTTGATATAATTTAAAAAGCCAGACATTATCTTTTAGAACTCACCAAGAACAGAGATCCTTTGTTTCTGTTTTAGGAGCTTAAATCAATAATTTAATTACTGTAGTTACCATTCTTCTCTTATCCTTACTAGGCCCCAGATTTCATATTGCTTTAATACAATTAGCTTATCTGTGTGTCTCATTTATATATTTATGGTTTGAGCAATTCTAGTTTTAAAAATAGTTAATTGCGATTGCAGAGTATATCTGAGTTAATTTAGGATTATAATGTGTAGTGTTCCCATACCATTAACTTATTTGGGAGCAAGGGATATTTAGGGGCAATGATGTTTTCCTAATATAAATAAGCGTTATTCCCAGATACTAGAAGTACCCAACTTCTCCAGAATCCTGATTTGTATCTGGACTGTGGAGTTTAAAATTTGGAGGGAAACAGTATGGAGGCCTCTCAAAAAAGTAAAAATAGGACTACCATATGATCCATCAATCTCACTTTTGGGTATATCCAAAGGAAATAAAATCACTATTTTGAAGAAATATCTGCATTCCCATGTTCCTTGCAGCATGATTCACAACAGTCAAGGATGGAAACAACCTAAGTGTTTATCAACAGATGTACTGATAAAGAAAATGTAAAAAAATATATGCATTGTATATAATAGAATATTATTTAGCCTTAAAGAGAAGGAAGTCCTGCTATTTGTGACAGCATGGATGAATGGGAGGCCTTTATACTACATGAAATAAGCCAGGCACAGACAGACAAATACCACATAACCTCACTTATATGTGAAATTTAAAATAGTCAAACTTACAGAAAGAGAAAATAGGATGGTGGTTAACAGTGGTTACAAAGGGCAGTAATGCAGAGATGTGGGTTAAAGGGTACAAACTGTCATAAACTGAACAAGTTCTGGCGATCTGATGTATGACATGGTGAGTATAGTTAATCATAACTAACTATATACTGTATACATGAAATTTTCTAAGACAGTAGATCTTAAGTATTCTTACCACATTAAAAAAGAGTAACTATGTGAGGTGATAGATATGTTAATTATCTTGATTGTGGCAATTATTTCACAATGTATATGTATACAAGTCACCACATTGTGCATCTTAAATATGTACAATTTTATTTGTCAATCATATCTCAATAAAGCTGAAGAAAGCTGCTGGAAAAAGCAGAAAGTGTTACTCCTAAAGCTGTTAAATTTTAAGTACTGTATACTCAACCTCAACTGCTGAAGATCTTCTGCCTGAGTTTCAGAGGGAAGAGTTTATTGGGTTATAATTTTCACACAGATTAAAAATGGTTAGGAGCTCCAGGAAAAGATCCTTTCTAAATTGTCTTTTCCTTACATTGTGATAAGTGCTTATATTACTTGGTATTGATTAAACATTTGTTTAAATAGCTGAGGAAAAAAGGGAGAGAGATTGATTTTTTGTGGGGCGTTAAATCCTCCAAATTATTTACCATGAGAAAAAACACAGTAATTTTTAGGTAAACAGTCACTAGAGTTTCTCTCTGAAAAACACACACAGACACATACACAGATGCACACACATACTTGCACACACACTGGGGATGTTTATTTACCTCTTATTTATGTTAGCTTTGAGGAATCTATGGAGACTCGTTATATTTATAATGATATAAAAATGCTCTTTCCTAATGTGCTTGCACTGTTAAAGCAATGTTGATAGTAAAACAGTGTGAGAACATTCCAGGGATATTTTAAAGAGATTAAACCTTGACATGGAGCTATTTATTATAATAAAAGACATTTTTAGACTGGGCATGGTGACTCATGCCTGTAATCTCATCACTTTGGGAGGCTGAGGCGGGCAGATCATCTGAAGTCAGGAGTTCAAGACCAGCCTGGCCAACGTGGTGAAACCCCATCTCTACTAAAAACACAAAAATTAGCTGGGAGTGGTGGCACTCGTCTGTAATCCCAGCTACTCAGGAGGCTGAGGCAGGAGAAAAGCTTGAACCCGGGAGGCGGAGGTTGCAGTGAGCCAAGATCGCGCCACTGAACTACAGCGTGGGCGACAGAGTGAGACTCTGTCTCAAAAAAATAATAATAACAAAAAAATACATTTTTACACACACTTTTCTAGTTTTTCATAGTATCTTTAAAAATCTATTGTAAATAAGTTTTCAAGAAAACGTCTGCAGCATCTTGTACATTGATACTCATAACATATACAGTCTTGTGCCACATAAGGACATTTTGGTCAATGACAGACTGCTTATACTATGGTGAACGTATAGGATTATAATGGAAATACAACATTTCTGGTCTTTTATGCCATATTTTTACTGTACATTTTCTGTATTTAGGCATACAAATACCATGGTGTTACAATTGCCTACAGTACTCTGTACAGTAGCATGCTGTGTAGTTTGTAGCCCAGGAGCAATAGGCTGTATCATATGTGCGTAGCAGGCTATAACATCTAGATTAGTGTAAGCACACTCTATGATGTTCAGACAATGATGAAATCACCTAACAATGCATTCTTCGAGCATATCCCTGTCGTTAAGTCACACATGACTGTATTTACATAATTACACCATTTTAACATTTTAGCTCAAGTTTTAAATTCATAATAATTAAAAATCTGTTTTAAACTGAAGGTTTTGATTAATATATGCATGCCTCTACAGTAAATATGCTATCTTAAGATTTAATGAAGTAGTGCTTTGATCTCAGCCCATGAAAAACAAATGAAGAGCAAATTTAAAAATTGGGTTATATTTCAGTGACGAAACTCTGCCACAGTGAAATAGTGTTCTTTGAAAAAAAATCAATAGATATTTGCAGCTTAGAAAAGCAAATCTTATTGTAGTTATGTCTTGTAAATGGCTCTTTCAATTCATTTTAAGTGCCAAAATACACTATAGTTGGACTTATGTTTAAGTATTATTTTTTACTACAATCACATAAAGTATCTCCTAACCAATTCTACCTAATGGTTTTCCTGGATAATGTGAATAGTTCTTTATTTTCTTTATGGGGAAAATTAACCATGTATTTAGTTAACAGATTAACTATTGCTGATTCCTATTATAGTCAATACTGTGATATTCTACTCAGATCCCCTTCCCAGAAATGACTGTCTCCTAACTGCTCTGTGTGCTGTTAGCACATACCCCCTTCAGGAAGTCTGATATAGTTTGGCTCTGTGTCCCCACCCAAATCTTACCTTGAATTGTAATAATTCCTGTGTCAAGGGGAGGACCAGGGAGAGATAATTGAATCATGGGGGCAGTTTCCCCCATATTGTTCTCGTGATAGTGAGTGTGTTCTCATGAAATCTCATTATTTTATAGGAGGCTTCCCCCTTTGCTCAGCTCTCATTTTCGCTCCTGCAGCCCTCTGAAGAGGTGCCTTCTGCCATGATTGTAAGGTTTCTGAGGCCTCCCCAGCCATGTTGAACTCTGAATCAGTTAAGCCTCTTTTCTTTATAAATTACCCAGTCTCAGGTTTTCCTTCATAGCAGCATGTGAACGGACTAATACAAAGTCCTTTAACTGAAGAATGCCATGTTCCTGGCTCAGCTTGCATCCAGTGATGGGTTAATGTGGATGATAAAGGTTAAGTCTCTTCTCTCCCAACTCAGTGCAATTCTGAAGGGTTATTCCAGCTCCAGAGTTCCCTGAGGGGTTGGCTGAGGCTTTTCTTGAGAATGAATCACAACCCAAACTTTCCATCTGCCCAATCCCACTTTCTTCCTTATCTTTTCTTTTCACACTTATTGATCTCAAGAACAGTCCCTAATAATCCCTCTTTATGCTAACCTCCATTTCAGAGTTTGCTTTTAAGGATGCAACCTGCAACACACACCGAAATCCCATGGCTTCCAGGCTGCTCTCAAGTATGCCCATACAATTGATTACTGCAAGCTTACCCTGTCCTGTGTTATTATAAAGAGTTAGGTGTATTTTCCCTAATTTATCTATTGTAGTTATTTTTGTAATTACATGATTTAACTGAAGACTATATAAACAAGGTAAAAATGTGAATTTTTTTCTTCTGATTATTGTTTTTCATTAAAAATATTTGCAATGGAATTAGGTGTGGGCAAAAACAATTGCAATTTAAGGGGTTTTTTTGTTGTTTGTCTGTTTGTTTTGTTTTGTTTTTTTTGAGACAGAGTCTCGTCCTGTCACCCAGGCTGGAGTGCAGTGGCGCAATCTTGGCTCCCTGTCACTTCCACCTCCTGAATTCAAGAGATTCTACTGCCTCAGCCTCCTGAGTAGCTGGAATTACAGGTATCTGCCACCACACCCGGTTAATTTTTGTATTTTTAGTAGAGGCAGGGTTTCACCATGTTGGCTAGGCTGGTCTCGAAATCCTAACCTCAGTTGATCTGCAATTTAAGGTATTTTAAATTGCAAAAATCTATAAAATTTTATGAACAGATTGATTAAGTAGAATAAATTTTTTCTCTTTTCACTTATAAGAAATAAAAGCAAAAGTTATAGAAGATGTGTAATGGGTGTGTTTTAAATCAGAAAAACAGTGAAAAACTCTTCTCAACAGACCTATATTCAAAGACAAATCTTTAATTAAAATATCATTAAAAACATACATGTATATAATTTTATTTACTTATTTTTATTTTATATTATAATTTGAGACAGAGTCTTGCTCTATTACCCAGGCTGGAATGCAGTGGCATCATCTTGGTTCACTGCCAGAGCCACCTCCTGGGCACTAGCGATTTTCCCACCTCAGCCTCCTATAGCTGGGACTGCAGGCGTGCACCACCATGCCCAGCTAATTTTTGTATTTTTTGTAGAGATTGGGTTTTGCCGTGTTTCCCAGGCTTGTCTCCAACTCTTGAGCTCAAGCATTTCACCTGACTTGGTCTCCTGAAGAGCTGGAATTACAGGCATGAGCCACCATGCCCAACCTAATTTTATATTATAATAAAATATTTCAGTTGTAAATATGGGTTAAACATTTTTCACTTAGCCAATAAACTTACTGTCAAATGCATCAGATAACAAAACACACTATACTGCATAATCAAAACAAGTAAAATATTATGACACCTTTATTTTTCATCTGTATTTTAAAACAAAGTTGAATATATGGATAGAGATTATCTGAAGGGGTTTTAAAACTCTTGAAAGCCAGATGACCCAAGAAAGGAAGAACACACAGAAACTTCTAGTCTGCTTTGTGCCTCCCATCCTGTACTATGGCTACAAAGAGCCTGATGAATTTGTTAAGATGCAGATTTGGATTCAGTATGCCAGTGGAGGGCTGGCATGGAGGGGCTGGAAGTTCTGCATCTCTAACAAGCTCCAGTCCAGGTAGATTCTATTGCTATGAGAACCAGCAAGATCTAGAAAACTAGCTCAGCCATTTCAGTATAATTCATTTTTCCTTTGTTCCACTCTTAATTTGTACTTTACTTCTAACAAGGGGTTCCCTGTTAGTGAATTGCTTGTTATTCACCATTGTATTAGTTCATCTTCACGCTCCTGATAAAGACTGGACAATTTACAAAAGAAAGAGGTTTAATTGGATTTATAGTTCCACGTGGCTGGGGAGGCCTCACCATCATGGTGGAAGGCAAGGAGGAGCAAGTCACATCTTATGTGGATGGCGGCAGGCCAAAAAATAAAAAAGCTTGTGCAGGGGAATTCCTCTTTATAAAACCATCAGATTTCATGAAACTTATTTACTATAATGAGAACAGAACGAGAAAGACATCCCCCATGATTCAATTACCTCCCACTGGGTCCCTCCCATGACATGTGGGAATTCAAGATGAGATTTGGGTGGGGACACAGCCAAACCATATCAACCACTTTTAAACTTTAATTCTATTCTACTTTTCCTGCTTTGTTTCTCCGTGTAAAACTCTATTAATTAATGTATGGTAGTCCCATTAGGTTAACTATTAAGCCAACACCTAGTATGGTTAGAGCACAATTCTGAGGTGATTTTTGATAATATCTGATGGGATAATTCTTCCTCCTTTCCTACAGTTTCTGAGTCACTGGCTATAAGGTCCTATTGCAGAAATGAGTAGCTAATCATGCTGAGAAGTAGAATAGAGATATCTGATGGAATTGAATGAGTAGAAGTGTTGAACAGCAAGATCTGGCTGCAGTGGGAAAATATATATTTTAGCCTAGTGCTGATAATCACAAATAAAGTGTTCTTTTTCTGAGAAGATGAGATTGGATGTATGTGTCTAACAGAAAAGGATTATAGAGCTAATACTGCATCTTGGTCAAAAAGGATGCTAGTCTTGTTTGTAACTTTTTCACATTATGAAGCTGGTAATAACAGTTATACAGGAAAAAAACTGTCCTATTTTTGAGATGTTCAATGTTTTTCTGTTTGTGGACATATATATTGGTTCATAGCACATTGCGTTATAAAAAGTTTGCGTGTACTCATTCAACAAACTTTTCCTTGCATCCAAAATAATGGTTTTGGAATCTTGTTTCAAAAATTAGTTTTTCAAGTTGGCTGAGACAGTTATTAAAAAGCATTTCCTCTATTAATAATATTTGATAACAATAGGGTTCTTTTTGCTTGTAAAGAACAAATCCCAACTGCTTTTGTATTTTTCTCAACCTTGTTCCACATATTTAACTTTTTCATAAGCTCAAGAAAAAAGTACAGCTTTAATTATACAGCATTAAAATAATTGGGGAAAATAACTATATTTATAAATGTATTTTTTAGAAATAGACATAAAAAGACGTCAAATCCATTAGTGGTTTTTCCAAACAAAGAATTACTCTTTGGTTGTCTGTTTGCCATACATTACTAATATTTCCTAGAAGGAACTCAGCAAATTCTTGTTGATTATATGACAGCATTCCAAATATTACAGGGACATCTTGTCTTCATTTAAGATATAATATTAGGGATGATTTTGACTTAAATAATATATCAAACTTGATAGTATCAAACAGTAATTTCTCAGGCTAACAAAGAATCTATAATAAAAATAAAACAGCCTTCACCCTGTCTGAATATATATGACTTAATTATAATGTTGATTCAGAAGATAGTTCAGAGAATTTAGTGTTGCAGAAAAGACAAAAAGCCTTAAT
Organism: Homo sapiens; assembly: GCF_000001405.40. Taxonomy (NCBI): domain Eukaryota; kingdom Metazoa; phylum Chordata; class Mammalia; order Primates; family Hominidae; genus Homo; species Homo sapiens. Next base: position 184,046,633 of record NC_000002.12, read on the forward strand.
TCTGTTAAGATTAACTGCATAGACTTTAAAGATATCTTCATGGCAAAAAAATTCTAAAGTAAAAACAAAAAAAACAGGTATTATTCAAGCTGGTAATTCCTACCCTGACTCTGTAAGATATATCTGGTTTACAAATCTAAGTGCTCACTTGTCCTTTATTGTAAGCTTTAATAGTGTTATTGTTTTTTCAGGAAATAAAGTGTGGCTGTGATACCACAGTTTACCATAGTATTTGTTGGCCAATACTGTCTGTAAACCTCTACCCTAATTATTAGCTTTGGTGGGAAAATCAGGAGAGGCAGCCTGCATGAGTAAGTTGTACCTCTCTCTTATAAATCCAAGATCCTGTGGTCGGGTCAAAATAAACAGATTTAAATATTCTAATCTCAGAAGCGACATTCCATCATTCCCAAACAGACTCCTGAGATTTGTTACTATCCTGTAACATTTCCTTCTCAAGTAGCCACTATGGCTTATTACTAAATGTATGCATTTGATTTGAGATAGTAAACCTGAATCTTGCCTTGACACCATTACAACTAAGCATATGAGGTTCCACAGTAGGGAACAACAACACAAAAGAATTTCACATCCTGAGATAAACTAAATACATATATAACATCTTGCCTAGTGCTATCCTTCAAATAAATAGCAGACTTGAGCCCTTTCTTGTAAGTTGCTAACTTCCTAACACAAACAATTTTATCTCTGACTTTTGCAATACTGGCATCTGCAGATATGTGGATATTCTTACAGATATGATAATGCTGTAAAAAAACTGTTGCATCCTCCCATTGTGAAGTGAATGGCAATAATCATGGTTTTATATTTTATATCAGACATACTGTATATTAGATATATAATACTTATGAAGTTTTATAAATATAAATATGAATATAAAACTTCTTATGAAGTCTGAACTCTCTTTCAAACCATTTGCAGGTAAAAATATACTTTTTATTTTCTTAATGCTTTTATCTGTGGCTTTTCTTTCCAAAGATGGAGGTCCCACCAAATTGCTCAGATTTAACTACCGGTGCCAAGTAGATGGTTTTGTCCAAGAGATGTAACTAATGAGCTCCTCATACTCAGGTCAGCCTTTTCCAGCTCTAAGGATAAATCTCGTAATTCCCAGATAAGAAAGTTTTTCTCTTGCTGACTCATGTTACTATTGCAGATTCTAGTTCTTGGTGAAGTCTGGTTCTCTTTTGTACAAGTTTGCCAATACATGGCTTCTATTAGTGGTAGAACATTAGGAGCCTAGCTTTGATTATAATATCGGATTAACTGGTCTTTGTCAGGTAACAGAAAACAGAAAGTGTGAGCTTTTCTTTATAGCTGGCCTTTTTATTACTGTCTTTGTCTTGATGATTCTGTCACCTCTTTCTTGGGACACCCATGACCTTGCCACCAGGTTATAAGATATCATAGGTTTAGTAGGACCATTAGCCAATATCAGTCGTCAGGTTGAAAAGTTGCTTGTGTCACTTTTTGTCTTCAATACAGAAGGTTATTTTGTCTTCTGACTTTCAGTAGCATATTTTTTTGTTGTTGTTGGACTTGTTTGTGTACCATTAGGACCTCAAATCATTAAAACAAAAACCACAAAACAAAAGCAAAGCTTTGTGCCCCGTGGAGTAAAGAGCAGCCCCTGGATTGAAAAACCGTAACAAGTTTGTCTCAGATATGTTTTGCACTCCTTGACTTTTCTATTAGAGAGCTAAAGCAATCAACAGGTGAGTTTTTGTTGAAAATAAATTGTGTGCTTCTCTTTTAACCTATGGCTAAATTTGTAAAACTGAGTGTGACAGTTTTCTGTGTGTATATTTGTGTAGATGTAAAAACACAGAATATTTTAGTATCTTTTTATAATTGGAGTGGTTTTTTTTTGTCTGTGGCTGGCATATATTCAGTTGTTTTTGGACTCTGTATAGGTCATTGTTGTGTTTTAAAAAACATGTTCACACATGCTATGATTTTTTTCCCTCTTCAAGAAGTGGAGATTTGTTTGTGTTCCCTTGAGTATAAACTAGAATTAATGACTTACTTCTAAAGAATAGACTATGACAAAAATGATGGGATGTCACTTCTGAGATTAGAATATTCAAAAATTGTGGCTTTGTCTTGAGATTGCACTTTTCTAGGGGGCAGCCAGATGACATATTATGTGAGCAGCCCTACGTAGGGGACCATATGGCAACAGCTTCAACAACTTGACTGTTTTATTCCTGAGATAACCTGACCCAGACCATTCAGCTAAACCACTCCCATATTTCTGACCCTCAGAAATCATATGAAATAATAAATGTTTTTTTTTGTTTGTTTTAAAGCTGTTATGTTTGGAGTAATTTGCTATATAGCAACAGATAACAGTAATGTTATAGACAAACTTATTTTTTTTACTTGAAATATAAAAATGATGTGCAAAGTTTATTCATGTGGCAACATCCTCTCTAGAGAGTGTGAGTCTTGGAAGTGTATGATTTTGTGGGGTCTTATATAAAAATTTAACTAAAATGGAATTATAAAATTCATGGGTTCATGTGTGGTATAGTATATTGTAGCTTATCAACAAAAACTTAGAGTAATGGTTAGAAAAAATGCTCTTAAATATTGCTTGATTATTTGATCAGTGAATGAGAAGATTCTTCATATTGTTCAGGCACCATCTCTTTCTCTTCAGTTCCAGGAACCATCTTTTCATGTTCATTATCATTAATTGTACATGCATAGCTAACTTCCTGTCTCTTACCACATGGAAAATGTAGCAGTACTGATGCAATGCAATGGCTTTTGGGAAAATGTTTGTATTAAAATAATATAGATCTTCCCTCTGCAGTTCTCCAATATCATGTATTTAAACCTGGTTACATCATTAATTATGAGGCTGCATCATCTATCATCTGTCCCTCCCATGAATACTGGCTTCCAACAACTCCTTTTACAGTTGTTAGTGTGTTTCTTTGATAATGATCACAATTTCAACACTTGCCCAGAGCATGCAGCAAAATGTGTGTGATATTTTGTTTTCTGGTCATGTTAAATTTAGCTTTTGGAATGTGTAGGTGTAGAATAGCACATCTTCCAATTGCAACTTCTCTGGAACTGTAAGATTGTAATCATTTCATTACCAGAATGTGGTCTCTTTCAGTGATGAATGCAACTACTTCCTTCTGCATATTGCCATTCAAGGAGCCATGGGTAGAACAAGAAGAGTAGTACCATCCATGCAAGGAACGATCATCACTCCTGAAGTGTGGTTTAAGAGTAACCTGGAAAAGCACAGTATCACCCTTTCAATAAAAGGCAAGAACGGACACCAATGGGAAGAGCCCATAGCCTTGCAGAACAATAATCTGAGAAGTCCTTAAGTCATTTCAGGAAATGGTTGCAGCCTGCTGGGGGACTGCCTGATATGTAGTGAGGCTCCTGTGAAAGAGATGGAATGGCCAATTTCAGTGTCAGTGAAATGGGTAGGCACACAGTGAAATGTAGTGGGTACACAGGATAAAAGATGCCTGCTGTCACTCACCTCTGCTGCCCTCAGGAACTATAGACCAGAGGTGGCAACACAGTGGGAACACTGACAAGTCCATACATGTGGCTTGAACTCAAGGTTTGACGATGTCCTCAAGAGCTCTAAAATTGTCTCAGGTCCCATGTAAGTGAGAATTTTCCTAAACATCGTTATCACCAAGGTCATCGTTATTCTGGTGGTCTAATCTTGCTTCTTCCTGTGAAAGAAATATTGCATTTGCCTGAAGAGGAGAACTCTTGCCAGTGCCAAGCCATACAGCTCTGAGATAACCCTATAGAATCATATTCCAGGGATCTGGAACCTATGTATGGTGTAGAAAATAGGAGAGCGTACCTAAGGGTTTTGAAAAACTGAGATGGGTTCCCATGTTGGATCTGGGGCTAATTTAGGAGCAGATATGACCTTGGATTTCTTTGCCTGAAGAGCACTGTTAATCTCTGCTGATTCCAGGCAGAGGAAGGGAAGCATCTCTAAATCAGGGGGCACTATGAGTATACTGAGGCCTCGAGACCAGGGCAGAGGTCTGAGGGTGATAGCATAACTAGGGCTGAGCATAGGCTAGGTTCAGTAGTAGCAAAATAATGGACATGGTTTTGCCTGCTTATTAAAGGAAACATTAGAAATTTATTAATGTGATAAATTCTCTATTGTCTTGTATGTTAAGGTGACTATATCTTAAACACTTGAAGTTGTTTAATTATATGAATGCATCTAGGTACACATATATACATATGTAGAATATTAAATTATAAAGAAAACAAATAATGAAGAGAAAAATAAGAAAAAATGGTATTTAAGTATAAAATCTGTTCTTAATAAAACCATAGCATTATTGTACAAAGCTTGGTCATAGAGATGTGCAAGTCTATGTGTCAGACCCTACTTTTTTGGGAGAAGCCAAGCTAAGACAAATATACAAAATGCCTCTGCTGAGTCACTTTACTTTTCATGGAAATGTAGTAATTTATGTATATTTCATAAGAATTTGTCTTCTTTCCCAAAAATATATAACTGGACAAATCGAATTAGTAATCGTGGCAATGATAAAAATGTCACATTTAAATATATATATCATTCCACAGACATAATAAGCCTGCTATAAAGAAACAGGGACTTACACAAGCACTCCCAGGAAAAGGGCCTCATACCTGATCTGTGGCTTACGCCATCCACACCTCATAGGCTGCGTGTGGGAAAATTGCCCTCATACAGTGTGGCCTTGTGGAAGACAACATAAAATTCTAAAAAAATACATAAAACTGATATCATTTTAATATGTTTTGGATTGTATCCTTTAACAACTTTTTAGTATGGTATCTTTCAGATATTTTTATAAGTACCTAACAATTAACATACACAGGAGAGTACACACACACTAATTTGTGTACACCTAAATACACACACACACACACCCCTCTAAACAGGGCTTTAGATGTCTTAAAAGTGATATGAACAAAAATTTGCAGTAGAGAAGAATCATGTTTTTTACCTTTCAAAGGATCTGTTTTTATTTTCTCTAGAAATTATACATGATAATTTATATTCTTGTTACTATATGTATAGTATTGGGTACATGCTTGCCTATGTGAATCTTTTAAATTGTTTTAAACTATAAAAGTCCACTCTATTGCCAGGCATGTTTTGCTCAGTTACTTAAAGTGGTTGAGATGATAGAATTAAGACCATAAGGTTAATTAAGATACATTTTGTTGCATAGCCACTAAACATGTTCCTAACAGCGGTCAGTGAAATCACACTGAATATGCAGTACATGCACTCAAACTGAACTTCAAAGGCAAATGGTTCTAATATGGTAATGGTCACATTTGTTCTATTTTTGAGTGGAATGCTACAAACTGATCCAGTATTTATGAAGGAACCTAAATTTGTGCTTTAGATATTAATCACAAATATGGCTCTTCATTTGTCTGATATCACAAAAGTTGATAAATTTTAAGTGTTCTGGGCCTCTTTTAATGTCTGAAAAGACTATTCTTTGACCATTGTTTCCTGCTTTTAGAAGCAATCAAAATATAATATAAACCAAAGTAGAATTCGCTGATCTTTGTAACTTAAAATGTAAAAGAGTCAAAAAAATTGGTCACATTAAAAAAATTTTTACTAAATAAATATAAGGCAAAACATTGCTTAAAAATATGAATATAGTCATGTTGAGGAAAACCAGTATTTTCAGTATGAATGAGAAATAATTAATAAGAATGACTATCTGTAGGCATAAAACATTTAATATAATTTTTGTTCTTTTCTCCATTTTTCTACTCTGAAAAATGCATTTATTTTCTTTACAAAAAAGTACAAGATAGGCCGGGCGCGGTGGCCCATGCCTGTAATCCCAGCACTTTGGGAGGCCTAGGCGGGCGAATCAGTTAAGGTCAGGAGTTCCAGACCAGCCTGGCCAACATGGTAAAACCCTGTCTCTACTAAAATACAAATATTAGCTGGGCGTGGTAGCATACATCTGTAATCCCAGCTACTTGAGAGTCTGAGGCAGGAGAATTGCTAGAGCCCAGGAGGCAGAGGTTGCAGTGAGCCAAGATCACACCACTGCACTCCGACCTGGGCAACACAGTGAAACTCCATCTCAAAAAAAGAAAAAAGAAAAAAAGAAAGAAAAGAAAGTACAAGATATTAATATTTTAAAATTGCAAACAAACCAAAACCAGGTACTTCTCATTTTAACAAGTAAATGTGCTGAAATATTATAGTTAAATACAATTTGTTTTAAAATTGCAATTAAGACCAGCTATATGCAGTTGTAAAACTTTCTACAAAGCAAATGATGTTGCTATAGAGTAGTAATTTCCTAATTAATGTACAGGTTTTAATACATTAGAGATAAAGGAGAATATGTAACGGTCTATAAGAAACCTTGGTTCTGACAAAATATAAATGGTATATTTTGTCAATATACTGTGTTACAAAATAAATGTATTTCTAAATTAATATCAAAGATGTAAACAAAAGTTCTCTGAAAAGAAATTTGGAAAAAAGAGACTTTTTTCCAGTGAACAGTTTGCAAACTGGTGAGAGACAGCCTCTGGTGTAAAATGAAGGTGCACTATAGAGAACAAAGAAAGAGTTTTGATTTTATAGTAAAAGTGTCTTTCCAGATTCCTAATCAGGTCTATTTATGCAAAGAAAGGACTGAAATTCACATAGTTCTGATTGGTCTGTATAGCTGAATTCTGATTTGTTTGTTTTCAAGCCCCAAACCAGAAGTCTCTGTCAGATGTTTATTTCAAACAGTCAATGGGAGTAGTAGTTTCTGGCCAAAGTTTATCTTGGCACCGACAACAGGAAATGATTTGGCTTGATTATAGAAAGAGGTGCTGTGACACCTTTACAATGTCTTTCTGAGAACACAGACATCCCTCACCCAGCTGTAGCTTCCTGGTTCTGTTGTAACTTTGAATACCTCAGTTAACCATGAGGAGTCTATTTTGGTCGTCGGCCAGGGCTCACTTTAACAAAGCTATAAGAAAGATAAATTAAGTGGGTCCATGAAGGTTTTGAATATATTAAGCCTATTTTATGTTTAAAAATATAAAGCAAAATAAAACCCCCTTATCAAAATTTAAATTCGTGCTTTTATTTGAAGCAGGCTCTGGATCCTTAAGCGTAATCTATGGCTACTTCATGAATGTTTCAGAGGGAAAACTGCTGGGCATGGAAGTATGACTCAGGACAGCTAAACAAATTAGAAGCAAACAAGTACACAAAATAAAAAATCAAATTGAAACTGGTCATTGACCATTCAGATCTAGATTTTGCAAATGTATGTATGTCTGAAAGTTTAAATGTTATAATAGTCAAAAAGTGCAAATAGAAAAATAGGGTTCTATTTTTATTGCACCACCTAGTGGAATTGTTATATAATTTTAATACCAAAAATATAGTAAAATAAACTAAATCAAGTGCCCTTTTTTATTTCTCTTTCTGGGCTCTGGCGTGTCTATAACATTTATTTTTCTGAATAGTTAAACCTCCCACATAAAAAATGGTGTACTATTGTTTAGCTACTGGCATTTTTGTACAGGATGAATGCTTTATTATTATTATGTTTTACTATTCCCCATTCCTTTTTTTTTTTTTTTTTTTTACTTTAAATTCTGGGATACACATGCAGGACGTGCAGGTTTGTTACATAGGTACACACGTGCCATGGCGGTTTGCTGCACCCATCAACCCGTCATCTATATTAGGTATTTCTCCTAATGCTATCCCTCCCCTAGCCTGCCACCCCGGACAGGCCCCACTGTGTGATGTTCCCCTCCCTGTGTCCATGTGTTCTCATTGTTCAACTCCCACTTATGAGTGAGAACATGTGGTGTTTGGTTTTCTCTTCCTGTGTTAGTTTGCTGAGAATGATTGTTTCCAGCTTCATCCATGTCACTGCAAAGGACATGAACTCATCCTTTTTTATGGCTGCATAGTATTCCATGGTGTATATGTGCCACATTTTTTTGTCCAGTCTATCATTGATGGGCATTTGGGTTGGTTCCAAGTCTTTGCTATTGTGAACAGTGCTGCTCTGTTCTAAGGATCAATGAGAATAAATACCAGCCTTCTAGGATCAATCTCTAGTGTGTCTAAGGAGCAGAGATAAAGCATTAGTATTGATTCCTGTTATTAAACCAAAGCTGATATTTTCTTTTTTGTTTGTTTGTTTTTTTGAGATGGAGTCTCGCTCTGTCACCCAGGCTGGAGTGCAGTGGCACAGTCTTGGCTCACTGCAAGCTCCACCTCCCAGGTTCACGCCATTCTCCTGCCTCAGCCTCCTGAGTAGCTGGGACTACAAGTGCCCGCCACCACATCCGGCTAATTTTTTGTATTTTTAGTAGAGACAGGGTTTCACTGTGTTAGCCAGGATGGTCTCGATCTTCTGACCTTGTGATCCACCTGCCTTGGCCTCCCAAAGTGCTGGGATTACAGGCATGAGCCACTGCGCCTGGCCCAAAGCTGATATTTTCATTCAGAAATTCAAAATTTGCAATAAAAATGCTGGTTTGCTATACATTGGCATTTGTATGTGATTTGTTCCCTCTTTACTATTTATAAATATATGAATATGCGTATTATATTGTGTTTTCTCCATGCAATCATTTCTTTTCTTTTTGTTTCCTTTTTTTGTTCATTTGTTTGTTTTTTGTTTTTTTGAGACAGAGTCTCACCTGTCCCCCAGGCTGGAGTGCAGTGGTGTGATCTTGGCTCACTGCAACCTCTGTCTCCCGGGTTCAAGAGATTCTCCTGCCTCAGCCTCCGGAGTAGCTGGGACTACAGACACGCACCACTACGCCAGGCTAATTTTTGTGTTTTTACGAAAATTAGAGACAGGGTTTTACCATGTTGGCCAGGCTGGTCTCGAACTCCTGACCTCAGATGATCTGCACTCCTCGGTCTCCCAAAGTTTGCGGATTACAAGCATGAGCCACCACACCCAGCCACTTCTTCTTTTCCAAATGCAAAATGTTAGCTATCTCAGTAAAATAAAAATATGCCTGTGATTATTACAGTATGCTGTAATTTCAATTGTTATTGAAATACTTTCAGGCCAGGTGTGGTGGCTCACGGCTGTTATCCCAGAACTGTGGGAGGCCAGGTGGGCAGATCACTTGAGGTCAGGAGTTTGAGACCAGCCTGGCCACCGTGGTGAAACTCTGTCTCTACTAAAAATACAAAAATTAGCTGGGCGTGGTGGTGCATGACTGTAGTCCCAGCTATATGGGAGGCTGAGGCAGAAGAATTGTTTGAACCAGGGAGGTGGAGATTGCAATGAGGCAGATTGCGCCACTGAACTCCAGCCTGGGCAACAGAGTGAGACTCTGTCTCACCAAAAAAAAAAAAAGAAAGAAAGAAAGAAAGAAAAACAACTTTCTCTTTTTTACTTATTAAAAGGAAGAACTGGAGAACATTTAAGAAGGTAAAAATATATGCGTACGAAGTGTAGCCTAAAGTTTTATTTTATATCTAGATCAGATAGTTCATTTAATCAATATTGCATAGTGGTTAAAATCATAGCTCCTAGAAGCAACATGTCTGATTCCAACTCTGGCTCTGCCACTTACTGTTTGGCCTTAGATAATTTTCTTAAACTGTTTGTGCCTTAGATTTTCATCTGTAATTTGTGTATTATAATGGTACCTGTTTCATAGAATATAAAAATTATGTTATTATATTTGAACACTTAGAAAATATTTATAACTGGCAGTTATAACACACTATAAAACTGTCAGCTTTATTATCATTATCATAATGTAATACTATTGTTATCTAGCTCACTATTTTTTCTATACATTTTATTTTATTTAGTTATCTATTACTAATATTAATATTACTACTACTATTATTATTTCCTTGTTTAATCCATTTATTTTACAAATGAAGCCAAGAATGTAACTTGCTAATGGTCAACCATCTAGATTAGGGAACTAGATTTCAGTTAAGAAAAAGAGGAGGAGGAGAAACTAGCCTCCTGAAGGACAATATTCAAACTTGTTATTATTATTATTATTATTATTATTTGAGGCTACAAAACAAAGCATTCTTCAGTTTCTCTATTGGTCCTTGTCCCATTTTTTTGCTTTTAAAAGGAAAAACAAATCAACAGATTCTTGCCTAGAGTTCTGAACAAACCTTGTTCTTCAGGTTTTCCAAAAAATCTAAATCCCTGGAAGAAGTAATACATTGTATTATAGTCTGAAAATAAAAGTCAGAAAATAGTTTCTGCCAAGAAAGAATGAGGGCTCCAAGCATGAGGTCTGGGAGCACCACAGGCCCTGAGATCCAAGCTAAATAGGTGATGTCTGTTTCATGAGATTGTAGTTAATTCTTTTGCTTAAATGGCATCAAATGTAGTAAAACATAGTAGTTAAAAACATGAAGTTTTGTGGGTTCATATCTTAGCCTTATCATTTATTATCTGAGGGATATCAGTCAAGTTACTTGACCTTTCTGAGCTTCTGTTTCCTCATCTATAATGAAATAGGTATAGACAGAGTACCATTCTCATAGATATGTTGTGAAAATTGAGTAAAGGTCGCCAGGCGCGGTGGCTCACGCCTGTAATCCCAGCACTTTGGGAGGCCGAGGCGGGCGGATCACGAGGTCAGGAGATCGAGACCATCCTGGCTAACACAGTGAAACCCCGTCTCTACTAAAAAATACAAAAAACTAGCCGGGCGTGGTGGCAGGCGCCTGTAGTCCCAGCTACTCGGGAGGCTGAGGCAGGAGAATGGTGTGAACCCGGGAGGCGGAGCTTGCAGTGAGCCGAGATCGCGCCACTGCACTCCAGCCTGGGTGACAGAGCAAGACTCCGTCTCAAAAAAAAAAAAAAAAAAGAAAGAAAATTGAGTAAAGGATGTAGTACAATTTCTAGCATAGGATAATTTCTCAGTATTTAACATTATCATAAACAGGTATAAAATGATTAGTATTTTAGATATTATTACTTATAGGAAAACATATTTTTTAAAGAAAGATAATCTGGGCTGGGCACGGTGGCTCACACCTGTAATCCCAGCACTTTGGGAGGCCTAGGTGGGCAGATCACAAGGTCAAGGGATCGAGACCATCCTGGCCAACATGATGAAACCCCTTCTCTACTAAGAATACAAAAATTAGCTGGGCATGGTGGCGCGTACCTGTAGTCCCAGCTACTCAGGAGGCTGAGGCAGGAGAATCACTTGAACCTGGGAGGCGGAGGTTGGCAGTGAGCAGAGATCGCCCCACTGCGCTCCAACCTGGCAACAGAGCGAGACTCCATCTAAAAAAAAAAAAAAAAAAGATAATCTGTCATTAATTTGAATAGTTCTGCTACAAAAATTTAAAGGCAATTTTGGCACATGCAACTATATAATATCTGTTACTACAGTCTCACAAAAATTTCCCTGGGTAATTAGTTTCAAGGAATATTGCTGAGTTTGCAGATCATCGTCCTTTACAGCACTTTTGAGAATAATTAAATACAGCTCAGAGACAGTTTCTCTTATCACAGATTTATATTAACACATTAATTAACATAGAATATTTAGTGCTTGCCAAATGACACTAAGAACCCTCAGTTTTACCTGCTATCAAGTTTCTCATCTCCTGGGGTCTCTATTTCTTATCAATGACTAAACATAGCACAAGTCTTTCTTACCCTCCTGGAATCAATCTTTGACTTCAAAGTAGCCTTAGCTTGCTATTCTGAAGTCCAAGATTCAGGTGAATAAAATGTTTTCATTTTCCCCTGGAAAAGGAACAATTTTTTTTTTTTTCAAAGATTGGCCATGTTTTCCTGTTTATTCCTGGGCTCTATCCCTTTACTGTCATCATCACTGTCATCATCCCACCTGAAGAGCTTAGCTCTATGTTAGGATCCTTTTCCTGTGGCACCTCTGACAGAACTTGCTTGTGAGTTTTCAGTTTTCTCTAGTATGTATAATTTTGTCGGTACTAAAGTGTTAACTAGAGTTGTTTGAGATTTAATGATTGGAATTCTACTTTCGTGGCCAGTGGATACTCTATCACAACTAGAGATGAAAGTTGTGGTTAAAAGTATCAGGAGGCTGTGTGTGGTAACTGGGATTAACTGTGACCCTGGAATCAAGAGATTGGGGTTTAATTCTGTGGCTGTCCCTTAATTTCCTCTGTCTGTATCCTTTGGTAAGTCATTGAATCTCACTGAGGTTCAGGTTCCTCACAGATTAAATATGATAATAACATCTACTCAAAAGGTTATTCTAGGACAAAGATCCTTAAAGCATAGTCTGGGAATCTCTTGCAGATCTCAGAGACACTTTCAAGGGGTCTATGAGGTCAAAACTATTTTCATATTAATACTAAGACATTATTTGCCCCTTTCACTCCTATTATTTCGCAAATGTGCTGTAAATTTTTTCAGTGGCTATCTGACACGTAATATCACAACAGACTGAATGTAGAAACAGCTCCAAGAGCCCATCTGTCTTCTATTTAGCCAGAAATTAAAGATATTTGAAAAAAGGTAAAGCATTGTCATTGTTCTACTTCTAAAAAATATAGTTATTTTTATTAAACTATATGACGTTAAACTGCAATAAAATTAGTATTGTTATTTTGAATGAATTAATAGATATTTTAGGCATTTCTCTGTTTTAATTTCTAATATGGCAAATACTGATGGATATAATTGTCATAAACAAAAGTTCTTTATGGTTTCCAATAATTACTAAGAGTGCAAACATCCTGAGACGCTGTTTGAGGGGTTTTGAGAACTGCTGTTTGTTCTAAGGATTAAATGAGATGTCTCCTAGAATAATGCTGTACAAAATAGGTATTCAATAGACATGTTAAGAATTACATTGACTCTGGTAAGATGAGACATAACTGTATTTTTAGCTTCTGTTCTTTTTATTATTTATTTATTTTATGATTTCAACTTTTATTTTAGAATCAGTGGGTACAAGTCCAGGTTTGTTACCTGGGTATATTGAGTGATACTGAGATTTGGGATATGAAGAATCCCATCACCCAGGTAGTGAGCATAGTGCTGAGTATAGACACTGGGGACTATCATTGCCATCTTTATGTCCATTAGTACCAAATGTTTAGCTCCTACTTATAAGTGAGAACATGTGGTATTTGGTTTTCCTTTCCTGCTTGTTTGCTTAGGATAATGGCCTCCAGCTGCATCCATGTTACTGCAAAGGACATGATTTCATTCTTTTTTATGGATGCATAGTATGCCATCACATGTATGTACCATACTTTCTTTATGCAGTCCACCGTTGATGGGCACCTGGATTAATTCCATGTCTTTGCTATTGTGAATAGTGCTGTGATGAACATACACGTGCATGTGTATTTTCGGTAGAATTATTTATTTTCTCTAGGGTATATATCCATAAGAGGATTGCTGGATTGAACAAAATAATGTTATTATTGCTGCATTTCCTGTTCTTATAATTTTTTAATTTTACTTTTAAGTTCTGAGATACATGTGCTGAACGTGCAGGTCTGTTACATAAGCATATATGTGCCATAGTAGTTTGCTGCACCTATCAGTCATCTAGGTTTTAAGCCCTGCATAAATTAGGTATTTGTCCTAATGCTCTCCCTCCCCTTGCCTCCCACCCACCGACAGGCCCTGGTGTGTGATGTTCCCCTCCCTGTGTCCATGTGTTCTTATTGTTCAGCTCCCACTTACTAGTGTGAACATGCAGTGCTTGGTTTTCTGTTCCTGTGTTAGTTTGCTGAGAATGATGGTTTCCAGCCTCATCCATATCCCTGCAAAGGACATGAACTCATCCTTTTTGATGGCAGCATAGTATTCCATGCTGTATATATGGCACATTTTCTTTATCCAGTCTATCATTGATGAGCATTTGGGATGGTTCCAAGTCTTTGCTATTGTAAATAGTGCCGCAATAAACATACGTGTACATGTGTCTTTATAGTAGAATGATTTATAATCCTTTGGGTATATACCCAGTAATGGGATTGCTGGGTCAAGTGGCATTTCTGGTTCTAGATCCTTAAGGAATCACCACACTGTCTTCCACAATGCTTGAACTAATTTACAACCCCACCAACAGTGTAAAGCATTCATATTTCTCCACATCCTCATCAGCATCTATTGTTTCCTGACTTTTTAATGATTGCCATTCTAACTGGAGTGAGATGGTATCTCATTGTGGTTTTGATTTGCATTTCTCTAATGACCAGTGATAATGAGCTTTTATTTGCATGTTTCTTGGCCGCATAAATGTCTTCTTTTGAGAAGTGTCTGTTCATATCCTTCACCTACTTTTTGATGGGGTTGTTTTTTTCTTGTAAATTTGTTTAAGTTCCTTGTAGATTCTTGATATTAGACCTTTGTCAGATGGATAGATTGCAAAAATTTTCTTCCATTCTGTAGTTTGCCTGTTCACTCTGATGATAGTTTATTTTGCTGTGCAGAAGCCCTTTAGTTTAATTAGATCCCATTTGTCAATTTTGGCTTTTGTTGTCATTGCTTTTGGTGTTTTAGTCATGAAGTCTTTGCCCATGCCTATGTCCTGAATGGTATTGCCTAGGGTTTCTTCTAGGGTTTTAATCGTTTTCGGTTTTACATTTAAGTCTTTAATCCATCTTGAGTTCATTTTTGTATAAGGTGTAGGAAGAGGCCCAGTTTCTGTTTTCTGCATATGGCTAGCCAGTTTTCCCAGCACCATTAATTAAATAGAGGATCCTTCCTCCATTGCTTGTTTTTATCAGGTTTGCCAATCAGATGGTTGTAGATGTGTGGTGTTATTTGTGAGGCCTCTGTTCTTTTCTATTGGCTTATATATCTGTTTGAGTACCAGTACTATGCTGTTTTGGTTACTGTAGGCTTGTAGTACAGTTTGAAGTCAGGTAGCATGATACCTCCAGCTTTGTTATTTTTGGTTAGGATTGTCTTGGCTATACGGGCTTTTCTGTTGTTTGAAATGAAATTTAAAGTAGTTTTTTCTAATTCTGTGAAGAAAGTCAATAGTACCTTGATAGGAATAGCATTGAATTTATAAATTTCTTTGGTCAGTATGGCCATTTTCATGATATTGATTCTTCCTACCCATGAGCATGAAATTTTTTTCCATTTGTTTGTGTCCTCTCTTCTTTCCTTGAGCAGTGGTTTGTAGTTCTCCTTGAAGAGGTCCTTCACATCCCTTGTAGGTTGTATTCCTAGGTATTTTGTTCTCTTTGTAACAATTGTGAATGGGAGTTCACTCATGATTTGGCTCTCTGCTTGTCTATTATGGGTGTATAGGAAAGCTTGTGATTTTTGCACATTGATTTTGTATCCTGAGACTTCGCTGAAGTTGCTTATCAGCTTAAGAAGTTTTTGGGCTGAGGCAATGGGGTTTTCTAAATATACAATCATGTCACCTGCAAATTGGGACAATTTGACTTTCCCTCTTCCTATTTGAATACTCTTTATTTCTCTCTTGCCTGATTTCCCTGGCCAGAACTTCCAATACTATGTTGAATAGGAGCGGTGAGAGACGTCATCCTTGTCTTGTGCCAGTTTTCAAAGGGAATGCTTCCAACTTTTGCCCATTCGGTATGATATTGTCTGTGGGTTTTTCATAGATAGCTCTTATTATTTTGAGATATGTTGCATCAACACCTAGTTTATTAAGAATTTTTAGCATGAAGGGGTGTTGAATTTTATCAAAGACATTTTCTGCATCTATTGAGAAAATCGTGTGTTTTTGGTCATTGGTTCTGTTTATGTGATGGATTACATTTATTGATTTGTGTATGTTGAACCAGCCTTGCATCCCAGGAAAAAAGCTAACTTGGTAATGGTGGATAAGCTTTTTGATGTGCTGCTGGATTCAGTTTGCCAGTATTTTATTGAAGATTTTTGCTACAGAGTTCACCAGGGATATTGGCCTGAAATTTTCTTTCTTTGTTGTGTCTCTGCCAGGTTTTGGAATCAGGACGATGCTGGCCTCATAAAATGAGTTAGGAAGGAGTCCCTCTTTTTCTATTGTGTGTGATAGTTTCAGAAGAAATGGTACCAGCTCCTCTTTGTACCTCTAGAAGAATTAGGCTGTGAATCCATCTTGTCCTGGACTATTTTTGTTTGATAGGCTATTAATAAGTGCCTCAATCTTAGAACTTGTTATTTGTCTGTTCAGGGATTTGACTTCCTGGTTTAGTCTTAGGATGGTGTATGTGTCTAGGAATTTGTCCATTTCTTCTAGATTTTTAAATTTTATTTTCATAGAGTTGTTTATAGTATTCTCTGATGGTAGCTTGTATTACTGTGGGATCAGTGGTGATATCCCCTTTATCATTTTTTATTGTGTCTATTTGATAATTCTTTCTTTTATTCTTTATTAGTCTGGCTAGAGGTCAATCTATTTGGTTAATCTGTTCAAAACACTTGTTCCTGGATTCACTGATTTTTTGAAAGGGTTTTTTTGTGTCTCTGTCTCCTTCGGTTCTGCTCTGATATTAGTTATTTCTTGTCCTCTGCTAGCTTTTGGATTTTGCTCTTGCTTCTCTAGTTCTTTTAATTATGATGTTAAGGTGTTAATTTTAGATCTTTCCCACTTGCTGATGTGGGCATTTAGTGCCATTAAATTTCCTCTAAACACTGCTTTAGCTGTGTCCTAGAAATTCTGGTATATTGTGTCTTTGTTCTCATTGGTTTCAAAGAACTTCTTTATTTTGCCTTAATTTTGTTATTTACCCAGTAGTCATTCAGGAGCAGGTTGTTCAGTTTCCATGTAGTTGTGCAGTTTTGAGTGAGTTTCTTAATCCTGAGTTCTAATTTGATCACACTGTGGTCTGAGACACTGTTTGTTATGATTTTCATTCTTTTGCATTTGCTGAGGAGTGTTTTACTTCCAATTATTAGATCGATTTTAGAATAAGTGCTATGTGGCGCTGAGAATAATGTATATTCTGTTGTTTTGGGGTGGAGAGTTCTATAGATGTCTATTAGGTCCACTTGGTCCAGAGCTGGGTTCAAGTCTGGAGTATCATTGTTAAATTTCTGTCTCCTTGATCTGTCTAATATTGACAGTGGGGTGTTAAAATCTCCCACTATTATTGTGTGGGAGTCTAAGTCTCTCTGTTGGTCTCTATTAATTTGCTTTATGAATCTGGGTGCTCCTGTACTGGGTGCATATATATTTAGGATAGTTAGTTCTTCTTGTTGCATTGATCCCTTTACCATTATGTAATGCCCTTCTTTGTCTTTTTTGATCTTTGTTGGTTTAAAGTCTGTTTTATCAGAGACTAGGATTGAAACCCCTGGTTTTTTTTTGTTTGTTTGTTTGTTTTACTTTCCATTTGCTCGGTAAATTTCCCTCCATCCCTTTATTTTGAGCCTATGTGTGTCTTTGCACATGAGATGAGTCTCCTCAATATAGCACACTGATAGGTCTTGACTCTATCCAATTTGCCAGTCTATGCCTTTTAATTGGGGCATTTAGCCCATTTGCATTTAAGGTTAATATTGTTATGTGTGAATTGGATCCTATCATCATGATGCTACCTGGTTATTTTTCAAATTAGTTGATGCAGTTTCTTCATAGTGTCGTTGGTCTTTATATTTTGGTGTGTTTTTGCAGTGGCGGCTACTGCTTTTTCCTTTCCATGTTTAGTGCTTCCTTCAGGAGCTCTTGTAAGGCAGCCCTGGTGGTGACAAATCCCTCCGTATTTGCTTGTCTGGAAAGGATTTTATTTCTCCTTCGCTTATGAAGCTTAGTTTGGCTGGATATGAAATTCTTGGTTGAAAATTCTTTTCTTTAAGAATGTTGAATATTGGCCCCCACTCTCTTCTGGCTTGTAGGGTTTCTGCAGAGAGATTCACTATAGTCTGATAGGTTTCCCTTTGTAGGTAACCTGACCTTTCTCTCTGGGTGCCCTTAACATTTTTTCCTTCATTTCAACCTTAGAGAATCTGATGATTGTGTTTTGGGGTTGCTCTTCTCGAGAAACATCTTAGTGGTGCCCTCTGTATTTCCTGAATTTGAACGTTGGCCTGTCTTATTAGGTTGGGTAAACTCTCCTGGATAATATCCTAATGTGTGTTTTCCAAATTGATTTCATTCTCCCTGTCACATTCAGGGTCCCCAATCCATTTTAGGTTTGGTCTTTTCACATAGTCCCATATTTCTTGGAGGCTTTGTTCATAACTTTTCATTATTTTTTCTCTATCTTATCTTCATGCCTTATTTCAGCACCAAGCTTGATTTTAGTAAGTTGATCTTCGGTCTCTGGTATCCTTTCTTCCACTTGATTGATTCAGCTATTGATACTTGTGTATGCTTCACAAAGTTCTCGTGCTGTGTTTTTCAGCTCCATCAGGTCATTTATGTTCTTCCCTAAACTGATTATTCTAGTTAGCAGTTCCTGTAACATTTTCTCAAAGTTCTTAGCTTCCTTGCATTGCGTTAGAACATGCCCCTTTAGCTCAGAGGAGTTTGTTATTACCCACCTTTTGAAGTCTACTTCTGTCAGTGCATCAAACTCATTCTTGGTCCAGTTTTGTGCTCTTGCTGGGGAGGAGTTGTGATCATTTGCAGGAGGGGAGGTATTCTGGTTTTTTGAATTTTCAGCATTTTTGTGCTGTTTTTTTCGCATCCACATGGATTTATCTACCTTTGATCTTTGAGACTGGTGACCTTTGGATGGAGATTTTGTGTGGGTGTTGTTGATGTTGATGTTATTGCTTTCTGTTTGTTAGTGTTTCTTCTAACAGTCAGGCCCCTCTTCTGCAGGTCTGCTGCCCTTTGCTGGAAGTTCACTCTAGACCCTGTTTGTCTGGGTATTACCAGCTGAGGCTGCAGAACATCAAAGATTGCTGCCTGCCTCTTCCTCTGAAAGCTTCGTCCCAGAGGGGCACCAACCTGATGCCAGCTGGAGCTCTCCTGTATGAGGTGTCTGTTGACCCTTGCTGGGAGGTGTCTCCCAGGCAGGAGGTGCAGGAGTCAGGGACCCACTTGAGGAGGCAGTCTGTCTCTTAGCAGAGCTTGAGCACTCTGCTGGGAGAATCTTCCTTGTCAGGATTCACTGCTCTCTTCAGAGTCAGCAGGCAGGAAAGTTTAAGTCTGCTGAAGCTATACCCACAGCCGCCCCTTCCCCCCGGGGCTCTGTCCCAGGAAGATGAGAGTTTTATCTATAAGCCCTTGACTAGGGCTGCTGCCTTTCTTTAAGAGGTGCCCTGCCCAGTGAAGAGGAATCTAGAGAGGCACTCTGGCCACAGCCACTTTGCCGCGCTGTGGTGAGTTCTGCCCAGTCCAAACTTTGGTCTCCTTAGCACTATCAGTGGAAAACTGCCTACGCAAGCCTCAGTAATAGTGGACACCCTTTCTTGCACCAAGCTTGATCATCCCAGGTCGACTTCAGACTGCTGTGCTGGCAGCAGGAATTTCGAGTGAGTGGTTTTTGGCTTGCTGAGCTCCGTGGAATTGGGACCCGCTGAAGGAGACCACTTGGCTCCCTGGCTTCATCCCCCTTTCCAGGGGAGCAAACAATTCTGTCTTGCTGGGGTTCCAGGCACCACTGGGGTATGAAAAAATACTCCTGCAACTAGCTCGGTGTCTGCCCAACCCGCCACCCAATTTGTGCTTGAATCCCAGAGGCCCTGGTGGTGTAGGCACACGAGGGAATCCCTGGTCTGCAGATTGCAAAAACCATGGGAAGAGCATAGTATCTGGGCCAGATAGCACAGTCCCTCACGGCTTCCCTTGGCTTCTGGAGGAGGTCCGCTCCTTGCATTTCCAGAGTGTGGCAATGCCCCACCCTGCTTCTGCTTGCCCTCCGTAGTCTGCACCCCCTGGCTAACCAGTCCCAGTGAGATGAACTGGGTACCTCAGTTGGAAATGCAGAAATCACCCGCCTTCTGCATTGGTCTCGCTGGGAGCTGCAGACCAGAGCTGTTCCTATCTGGCCATCTCCTGTTCTTATAATTTTTAAGTGATATAGTGTAAACATATAAAAAAGAGAAAACTGTGTTGAGTATAGATAGTTCTGTATAAATATTTTGATAACATTTGATTTTTTTTAAAAAAGAAAAAGTTTAGACACTGCAGTTTTGTTATTTCTTGAGAATACTGGGCTATATATATATATATTTTTATATATATATACACACACACATTGGGCATTATATACATATTTCATCTTGTATATATACGTGTATATATATGTACAGTTTTTTATGATGCAGTCAGTTTTATACAGTATTATTTAACTCACATCATTTAACAAATGAGAAACTTTAAAAAGTATTAGAAGTTATTCACTTCCATTATCTGCAATTTATACATTAGCTAGTATTTCATTCATTCATGTAGTCATCCACATATTTTTCCTTTCAATCAGCATATATGTATTGATGATCCATTATTCTAGCCACTGTGATCATTTCTGGGATGCAATGATACTCAAAACTTAATTCTTGCTCTCATCAACATTACAGTTAGCTGAAAACAACCACAAACAAAGAAAATGAGTATGACCAAGTGCAAGCTGTAGATTCTCTAACTTGCTACCAAACTTGAAAATAGGAGACAGATTTTTTTTTTTCAATTACACTGCTGGAAACCATGAATATCCTGAAGAAACTATTTGAGTATGGAGAATGAGATTAGATGAGGAAGTGCAGATGATGGCCGGCCAGAAAATGATGTGCTTCTGAAAAGCATGAACATGTGAAATAAAATTATGACTGCAAAGATGCTGTGTGTTTGCAATAATTAGCCAGGTGTGGCCCTGCTGATAGTGCTTGGCAGAATTATCTATAGAACAGAAATGGAAAGTTTGCAGAGGATTGTAATTTAAATAGAACAGCTACTCTGTGTAGGGAAAAGTGTAAATGGAGAAAAGTGTAAATAACAGCTGGCAGTAGTTATGTGTCTCAAAAATCCAATAGTGTTCTGTTTTTGAATATAGGTTAAAGTAGATCTGATATGCCAGTGCTTTTTTTAGGATCTGGAGTCCTAGAAGTCTGTAGAAACAGAGACTGGTGTAATTTTGTGCTCTGCAGGATGTAGGCGCTCTTGGTTTACTTATTTGATAAACCTGCTGTGAACTACTGGGAAAACTTTATTATTTCAGAAACGTTTTGTCAATCCAATGTACACTTATTCCTATATCAGTTTTTAAGTCTATCTGTTTTTAAAAGCCTATCCATACACCTGGTAATAAGAAGAGAATGTCTAATAACCATGTCCATACCACGGTTGGTGGTATTATCACACTACTCTTTCAATATAGACTGATGGTGTTACATGACAAGCTCTTGAAAATTTCATGAATAATCCTTCTTCTACTTACAGTGAATGGCATTCCTGGATTAACATGTTTAGGTTATAAAACAATATGAATTTGTGTGTTTCTAATTTTTCAGAAGGAATATGCAACTTTAGATTCTCTATCTTGCATTTTCAGGGATATTTTTGTTTTATAGTATCTGTTATTCCTGTAAAATGTGATTCTTAGTGATAGGTATATATCTGGCTATTGTTTAGTAAGCAAGGTTTAAAAAACCTCAAATTATATAGGAAGCATCTTTAATTTTGATAATTCTATAATTTAAGAGAACACAGTTGGCATTATGAAGCTGAAAACAACAAAAAAGAAGAGTATAACCAAGTGTAATCTACAGATTCTCTAACTAGCTGCTGAACTTAAAAATAGGAGACTTTTTTTTCAATTATGCATGTTTGCCTGTGAAGTCTGTTAAACATGGTTTTTTGTTTTGTTTTGTTTTGTTTTTTTGCTGATTACAGCACTCCTATTAATTCGGAAAACCAAATCAACAATCATGCTAGAGTAATAGATTCTTAATATCAGAAGAACATAAGAAATTCAAGTAGCTTAAAAATCCATATTTTGCTTGATACTATCTATTATTGAGTACTTTTGTTGACAGCAAACTCATTAATCTTTAGGACCTCCAATTCTGTTTTTACATGTCTCTAGTTGTTGGACCTTACACTCTCAGCTATTGGCATTTTCTCTCTAACTACAGTGAAGAGCTGTGCCTTTTCCTTTTAGTAGTGTGATTTCATCATCTCCCAAAAAGTAGCCCTAACATCCTTGCTCTTTTGATAATCATGTAATAAAAATCAATTTTTCTTTCTGGTATTTTTGTTGTTTTGTTCACAAAGCTTTAATGTTTAGATGTCTTAATACTTATCATTTTTGTAAATCCATGCTACTCTTTTTTATTGGTCCCTGATTACATGCATGTATTTTTAAAATTTGTCTTTTTTTTTTTTTTTTTTAATCAGTGTCTCCTGGAAATCTCTGGGCAGCGCTATCTACTATATATATTTCTACAGTTTCCACTTCTTTTTATTTCTTCTTGGTGTAAATGGTCATTTTGTATTTAGAATTCATTATTTTTGTTTTTCTTTTAGTCTCCTACAATGGAAGCGGACTTAGGAACTTTTTAAAGGAATGTGTCTTCCGACAATTGAGGCGTGTAACATTTATCTGCTTACATGGCTGCTCCTGTTGCCCTCTCATATAAAGGGATTTGCTTCTGTGTTCATACAGAATTTACTAGCCTAAACAACAATTTCCAACCAAAACGTTTCGCCTACTTGTAGGAAAATAAAAATATTGTAACATGTATTTTATAATTATGACCCAATTTAGCTTTGATTCTCCAACACACTGTACTTAATTTATTTTCCTGCCTTTTAAAGAGCCACTGAAATTGTATCTCATGGCTGGTTACTCAGGAATGCTACATTGCAAGATGTAAAATAACCTTTGCTAATAAGCTTTGAATGCAATTATTTTCTACCCAAAAATCATGGTAAAAATATCAAATAAAGGCCGGGTACGGTGGCTCATGCGTGTAATCCCAGCACTTTGGGAGGCTGAGGTGGGCGGATCACAAAGTCAGGAGATGGAGACCATCCTAGCTAACAGGGTGAAACCCCGTCTCTACTAAAAAAATACAAAAAAAAAAAAAAAAAAAAATAGCCGGGCGTGGTGGCGGGCGCCTGTAGTCCCAGCTACTCGGGGGAGGCTGAGGCAGGAGAATGGCATAAACTCAGGAGGCGGAGCCTGCAGTGAGCCGAGATGGCGCCACTGCACTCCAGCCTGGGCGACAGAGCGAGACTCCGTCTCAATAAATAAATAAATAATAAAAATTTAAAAATCAAGTAAATAAAGAGTTTTTTAAGTTGTATATGCAGTATGTTATTTCCATGGTGCAGCAGAGTTTTCTAAGTTTTCTTTTTTTTTATCAAATATATTGTTTTTGGGGTGATGTCTCCTACTCCTCTAATAATATGTAGGAGACATCTTACTAGAATGATAACTGGCTTTTTATTTTGATAACCTAATTCTTTTTGTTTTTCCTCACCACTTTTTCTTGACATGTGGTATAACCAATGAAAAGCCTAGAGATATCATTTTTAGAATGCGGTTACTTCTAAGATAATATTTAACATATCACTTATTTGTTTATTAGCTTCTCATCTATAGATATGATCTTTAAATGCTTTAATATTCAAAGTACTTGATTTACCTTGCCTTAAACTAAGAAAATTAATGCAAAATTATTGTTTCTTTTCATAATGCACAATGGATATAAACTAAAATTTTAGTAAGTTCATGAGTCTTTTAGTGAGTTTTGTTTGTTACTTTATGATTTAATGAGTTCTAATCATCCACTTTAAAAAGTATGTTGACAAGTTCACAGCAATATGTTAACCTCTATCTGTTTTTATCTTTTATATGACAGGTTGATAGTTAACTTTTTCTTGTAACTCCAATTTTGTTGAATTGTTATAAGAGTAGCAGTTGAAAATCACTCTGCCCTCCATTTTCCGAGAACCAGATGAAATAGTTGCTGTTGTTACATTTACCAGAGAGAATGTAAAATTTACTTAAATCAGCCTTTATTCCTCTCAAGTTCCAAGAAAGGAACACTCTTAGTTTCCTATTGCTAACCATTGTTCACTCTTGTGCCTCCTCATCTCAACATTTTTCGACCAATTGTAGGATAGTGGTAGGGAGTTCATTCATTTCTTTTCATTCTTTTTTTTTTGGGAGGGTTAGGCAGAAGCATATGACAGTCTACTGAAGAATTGCCATGGGTGAAAGGAAAGGGAGAGAGAAAATGGTTTAATGGTTTTACTTCCACAGGACATGATCATTTCTGTAGGTAATGCTCTGGACTGCAATGGCCATTTTCCAGTTCTGAGATAAACTAAGCCAAAATGTTGAGGGTAACAGAGAGAAATAACTAGCATCCTTGATAATGCAATTGCCACATCCCTTGAACTGTTCTCCCTTAGTGCTTAATGTTATATTAAATAATAATTACATTATTGCTTTAAAATGTTTTGATTCAGGTCTTCTTATACTTGTAGTGAAACATACAACCCTTTTTATCTTGTGATTAAAGCCCTTTAATTTCTCTAACCTCATTTATTCACCTGTGATTGGAGCTTCCATTTTATTTAAATTTCTTTCCTTTACACTTTTTTATTTCCTTCTCTTCATACTACAAGTAGAGAAGATGAGAGACATTAAAACTAACGGGATGATAAATTAAAAGAAAGGAGTTGGGTTGACTGTAATATTCTACTCCAATTATATTTAATAGTATTGACTCTGTGAATAACATTATAGAAATCAAGAACTAGAAAGCAATAAATGTTTATTATTTTTCATATCACTGGTCACTGGTCAATATGCTAAGTGTGTATCACACTAAATACATATTTTTAATGGTTATATATCTTCCCAGAACTTTGTTAAATAAAAATATAACATTTAAAAGTATTTTAATAATTTTACAGCTCAAAAACTTAGTAATGCAGAAAATATTTCTCTTTAAATTTTTCTGAAAGCCAAGCTTGATCTTTATATTGAGCTCCCATTTTGCTTGACAGAAGGGAACTTTTAAATCCCCAGAAATTTTACTTCCAAAGTAATTCACTGAGAATATAGTATATTTTAAAGTTAAGTTTTGTCAAATTCAGATTTTTCCTCCTCAACTTTTTTTATTTCTGTTGTAGAACCTGTATTCCTGTGGCTTTTATGGCATTGCGATATTTCATGAAAAAATAGTCCACACTCATTTTATGGTGGCATCCCTGAAAAATAGTCAGCCCACACAGACTTTAATTATTGGCACCAACCCACAGTGGCTCTTGTCAATATATCCATTGTCCTATTGCACTTTTAGTGATGCTCAACTGCTTTTCCCTAACCTGGTTTTCAGATCCATTTGAGCCACTGGTTTGCCATCAATACTGCCTATACCCTTTTAATAGTCCCAGAGACAGTTTACTGTGTTTCCTTCATGCGGGGTATTTGAAGATATCAACAAAACCTCTCTGTTCCTAACATTTCATGCAGTGGTCTTATTTCAGGATAGAACTTAAAACTGATAGGTGAGGCTGTCACCAGTCCTTTTTGTGATATTTAATATGCTACCAAATATTTATAAAATTTGAAAGCAAAGTAAGTATGGCATAAGAAGTGACTTGAATATCCTTATTAATCATTGACATATTAGAATACAGCCAAGTGGAAACTTGCAGAATTTTAGCGTTGCCACTACTAGAAGCATTCTTTGGAATGGAATGCTGCTTCCTAAGAATTAGAACTGCCAACAATAGTTTAGGTGGGGCATTGTCCTCCCTCTCTCCCTACCACCAAATCCCAATCTTAATCAGCTCTCTCCTCAATCACCCATGTAAATAAGTACCTCTTTAAGATACCTTTTATTACAACTAGATCTCCATGACTAAGGCCTGCTTAT
This sequence comes from Homo sapiens, assembly GCF_000001405.40. Lineage (NCBI taxonomy): Eukaryota > Metazoa > Chordata > Mammalia > Primates > Hominidae > Homo > Homo sapiens. The sequence continues at coordinate 184,072,432 of NC_000002.12, forward strand.
ATAGAAAGCAGAATATGACTCTGTCATAAGTACTCTCACTTTGTTATGTAGGAGATATTCAAATTTGCAGTTTTTTACAGTAAATAGATCAAATAAGTACAAACTCTTTTATTTAGTATTCCTTCGTAAGTAAAACATGATGCTTATGAACTTGATTCTAAACTATTTTGTTTATTTCAAACTTTATTTCATTTATAATTCACATAATAAGTGTACATATTGTGCAATGTAATGGTTCAATTCATGGATACATTGTGTAATGATTAATCAAGGTAATTAGCATATCTATCACCTTAAACGTTTCATTTCTTTGTGGTGATAATATTCAAAATTCTCTTGCTATCTTAAAATATCCTATACATAATTAATAGCTATGGTCACCCTACTGTGTAATGGAACACTAAAACTTATTCTTCCTGTCTAACTGTAAATTTTAGAATCTTGATATAAGTCTCATCTCTTACTTGAATGAGAATTTATTTTTCCAATATTTCTAAGAAGATTAGTCATGGTTCTAGGAACTCTCCGATCAAATTATCTTTTATAGTCCTGTGGTCTCTTAAAAATTATAATTTTTTAAATCTTAGTGAAAACTGAAAAAAAAAGTATGACTGTTAATTCCTTTTATCCAGTAAATAACATCATCTGTGTGTCCTTTTCTCAAAAATACATATTTCATATTATTGCAACAAATAGAACTTTGCAAGAGTTGCACATTACTGAAAAATATATTTATTCAAAAATTGTACTAGGTAGATCTTTATTGTTACTCTTAATTAGCTTTGGACCCATCATAGATAATGGAGCTGGAATCAGACATCATCATGGCCAATCATTTTTTGCTGCAGGGAGAAAAGTTTAAAGAACAAAACAGCTCTCTTCTGTTTGAAACGGATATCTGATTTGAGGCAAAATCTTCTGAATCTCCTTCTGAATCTATAGCTGATACTGTTGTGGCAATATTTGAACATTGCATAATAGCATTTGGAGCATAGCTGATGACTTTCCTTTAGCCTCTTTGTACTCTGAAATTTCTACCTCATTGCTTATCTTAAAAGAAACAAAATCAAGCCTAGTTTACTGAAGCTACTCCTGACTTTCAGCCAGAACCGAGTATACTGAATTTCTGACTGTATTTTATTGTTAGAGTTCTGAAAATATTGAGTATTTTTTTTTTTTAGTTACTTAACTTCTATCTCCTTATGATACACACCTTCACATATTTGGTCCTATTCTTCTCTCCGGAGCAACAGAAGAAATGAATACAATCTTTTTCACATAAGTCTATTTGGGGGAAACTGTATATGTCCTGGCTATCTCCAAGTCCTTTCCTTTGCTATATTGCTATTCCCTTGTTCTTTAATCAGTCCTTACCATGTTTTAGTACTACGTTGTTGAAACACCAGGAAATACCCTAAATGTAGATTAATACATAGACGTCAAGTTAAATCTATCCTTTAAATGTAAATAAAACATTCAAAACATGGGAGCATTTTTATCTTTTCTATCAGAAAGGCTTTCACTTTTTTCTATCTATATCAAAGGTAAAAATGCACCTGAATGTCTTTGCACCTGTATGAGTGATTGATTGCCACAATAATGCTGAGTGACAAGCCAGTATAAAACCTTATCATAATAGAACAATAAGCATTGATTGCTTACACATCTGGACTCAGCTGGGGATTGGTAAGGTGCTTCAGTTGATGAACCTTAAATTTAATCAAAATTTTAGAGGTTGGCTGGCTATTGGCTAATCTAAGTTGCCTTTGGCTAGAGTGACTGGATGGTGAGCTTTACTCCCTAATTTAGTTTCTTTTGAAATAAGCCAGGACTTGCTTTGGCTGTTTATGCATGTGCACAAAAGTGTGGCAAACACTGAAGAGCATAAAAGGTAGAGTGCAAATGTGTAAGCATTTTCAAGCCTCTGCTTGCACATTTAACATCCCATTGCCTAAAGAAGTTCATATAAATAAGCCCAGAATCAATATAGCAGAGTACTACAAAGTTACCTAGCAAAATGGGAGGATGAAAGGAGGGATGAAAATTTGGGGCCAGTTTTGCAATCTACCTAGAAATGCTTAATTCGGCAAGTATTTAAAAAGAGTCTGTGAATTCAACTCTGTGCCAGGAGGTCTGAAGGTTTTAAAAGAATAAACATGGTTTCTAATTCTATGATAAATGAGCTCACATTTATTGTTTATAGTGATGATAAAATTTTAAAAATGATTATCGACTTTGCATTAGCTGACATACTACATGCCTGTTAATAGTTGAGCTAAATTACAGCTTGTTAAAATTGTGCAATAAATCATCATGAGGAAAAAAGGAGAATCCAAAACTACCAGTTGATCAGTTATTTAGAAATAAAAAACTGAACTTATACCTGAAAAGCTTTACCCCAGATTTAATGAACCTGAAATTATCTTCCATATCTTTAAAGTGGTTCTGAATCTGTTCCTGGTTTTTTAGGCTAAATGTGTAAGGATCTTCCTGAGATTTGAATAAATATAGAATCATGACAAACTGTCCTCCTTTCTTCCCTCTTCCACTCCACTGTTCCCCTCCCTCCCTCCCCTCTCTTCTCTTCCTTTCTCTCTTTCTCTCTCCCTCTTTTTCCTCCCTCTTACTTCCTTTTTTGTACTAAATAAAGTCTGATTTTGTAAGTTATTAAGTGATGAAAATGTCTGAATATGGTTTATCATAAGCAATAAATAATCTAAAACTCTTTAAAACAAGTACATATAATTATTTTCTTTAGGTGATAAAAGTGACATTTGATTGTCATGATCCATTTCACTTCATTTCCAGCATGCAACAGAATCATCATAATGCTTCATGTGATAATTGAACCATTTAACATTTATGTGACAGACATGAAAATACTAGAAAATATAAAATATATTAATCCTTTTGCCATGTATTTTGTATAATGACATATTTTCTACCAGATTAGGTTTCAAATAAGATTATACAATTCCAGCTTCACTTTTGGCTACCCTTTTTTTTATATTTTACTTCAACCCTGGTATATTTCTTTCCATTCCTCAAATATACTTTCTCTGAATACAGGTTGTCTTTTTCTTATAAACTTGTTTTTTTGAACTCTTAAATCAAGAGAGACCTTAACCTCCATGAGATCATGGTTAATGTCTGAGTCACTCATTATTTTGTCCCTGGGTGTCTAGTAGAAGATTCAATGTAAAATAGGCTACAATAAATATTATTAAGAGAATAAATAATGTTTATTTTATACATGAATAAATTCTGTTTCTCTGCCTTATTGTTTCCATTTGATGCCTTGAATAAACTCCTTTTTCATTCTCATTTTGTCCCTAGGTGATAATTCTAAACAGAGTTAGCTCTGCTGATTAAAACCCATAAAACCCGTAGGAATTTCTGCCCCACTCCCATGCTCAGTTCAGACCCTCTAGGATTGTTCAGCACTTACAGTTCCTGCTTGTCTAGAGTACGCCTTACTGCTAAGAATGTAGATGAGCATATGGGTTCTACAATATTGAAGTAAGGATAATGCTTGTTATTAATCAAGAAATTTTTATTTTTAGATCAAAAAGTATGACAAATTATGCATTATATGTTTGAGTATATTATTCATTGAAAAATTTCTTAAATATTTTAATGTTATTATTTGTGAACCTTTAAGAAAGATTTACTGTTTGATGATCATCTCAAACTTACTTTACTATTGAACCTTGTGTGTTTATGAATCATCCACAATATTATCTGTGCTATACTTTGAAAACACTACAGGCAAATTAAGAATATAATCATAAGACTAATTCAAATTTTTGCAATGTGACAGTTGAGACCATTATGTTAAGTGAAATAAGCCAGGCACAGAAAGATAAACATCACATATTCTTACTTATTTGTAGAATCTAAAAATCAAAACAATTGAGCTCATGAACATAGAGAGTAAAAGAATACTTACCAGAGGCTGGGAAGGGTAGTGAGGACCTGGGGGAGAGGTGGGGATGGTTAATTGAAACAAAAATAATAGAAAGAATGAGTAAGACCTATTATTTGATAGCACAACAGGGTAACTATAGTCAATAATAATTGTACATTTTAAAATGTACAATTGGATTGTTTGTAACTCAAAGAAAAAAGGCTTGAAGGGATGGATAACCCATTCTCCATGATGTGCTTATTTCACATGCCATGCTGGTATCAAAATACCTCATGTACCCCACAAATATATATACCTATTGTGTACTCACAAAATTAAAACAGTGATTTTAGTGAAAAAAAGCTAAAATTGAAATGAAATAGCTAGGTTTCACTAAATGCAAATGGAAGACATTATTGGTATTTTCATCAGATGCCAAAGAGTGTAATTTTACATAGAAATAAACAAACGCTGTCTCATTAGAACATTGAATCTCTGAAATCTATAAATTATTTATCATGACTTATATGACCTTTATTAATTGATATCAGGGATACCTTAGTCAAATGATCTGGCAGCATTTGGATAACCCTACACTCTATGAACAATGTCCTCATTCATTAACTCATTTTTTAATTAAAATTTATTAAATGGTAGATACTGAGTTGGGCACTAGCACAACAAGGATAAGTAAAATATATGCAGACATCTTAAACTCCACAAGAGAAGAATCACTCCTTTAACTTAAAATGTAGTCACCCTTAGAAAGCAGCACTTTAGTTTTACCAATAATTAATACATACATCAGTAGATTTAAATTCTTGATTACAAGCATGAGAACCTCAGAGTACAAAAAGTTAAACGGTAGGATGTTGGGACACAACAGAGCAGGAAAAAGCAGTGGGTAAAAAATGAAGAAAACTAATATTAATTTACTCCCTTCTATATGTGCTAAGTTCTCTACTAAAAGGAATCTAACACAAACTTTCTACATATTTTCAGACATAAATGTTATGTCCTAAAATTTGCAATGATTTTGATGAGTACACTTAATTGGTACAAAATAATTTTGAATAAGCAAAGAATGGGTATTATTATGTAAGCAACCAGATGACTAGTTCACATATAGTAGTAGTTAATAAATTAATACTTGTTACACTGAGTTGAATTAAAGCTTTTGGTTTCAGTAAACAACAGTGCTTTATATATTGAAAACTTTTAGAATTACAGCCTTGTTTTAAAGCAGAGGAAATAGAAGAGTTTCTTTGTTTGTTTGCTATATTAAAAATCTTGTATTTGCTAGAGGCAGATTTTAACTCCTCAAAAACATAATACAATTACCCATTCTATTCCAACAGCAGTACCATCTGATGATTTATGGTATCAGAGTTATAGGCACTTCGAACTTGTAGAATAAACATGACTGAGTTTTCCTCGTGGACCGGGGAGGAAGAATCAGTAACTATTCAGCAAAGGCAATGGAAAAATTGGTCCCTAAGCCAAAATACATGTTGTACTCCAGGGTTCTAGGAACTTTGGTGATAACTGTTTTCAGTGGAATCTCCAAAGGCTGAGGTAATCATATAATGTTCATTATTAGTCTCAAATTAAAAGTAAACTGTATTTCATTTTTGTTTTCACATTAATGCCAAACAATACATAATGTTTCAGATGTTTAATTTGAAAGGGAATTGTATCTATGTAAAGCTAGAACCAATTTTAGTTGTCTCCCCAGAGGACTATATTTTCCTAAAGAATGTGAGAGACATACACATTCTTAAACTCATTTATCCATAACCTCAAAATATGGAAAATATAAAAATGTACTTTGGAAACAGTAGTTTAAAGAGGGTAGATCTAAGAAAAATATCAATAGTTGTCAAATAGTAAAATATAGTTATAAATTAAAGTCCTTTGAAATAATGTCTTTGGATGATTTTTTAAAATATATCATTTTTATTTGGTTTGAACTTTAATTTTGTCTTATCTCTCATAGATGATTTGAAAATGCCCCGCTCTTGATATCTACTTATAATATATGATGGATAAGAGTTTAAAAAAAACTATTTCCAGCTTTTTAAAATGCTATATTTGTTGATTAATATGCTGACCACTTCAGACCAATTTGGTTTAACTTTTATGTAACAAAGTTGAGAGTTGGTTTTCATTGCCATGGATCCTAAGGTAATGAGCATACCCAGATGAATTAAGTGTGCAACTGCATGGAGAACCTAAGTGCTTGGACTGAATTAAGAAGTAGATACTGCATGGCAGGATCCAGGACCCTGGCATAGCCCCATGAAAGGACCCAGTCAGATCATGCCTCCTGGCATCACCTCATTGCAAGATCCAATCACATCACGCTTCATTACCCTATGCTTACAAAGCCCAATTCAAATGTCAGCTCATGGAGACAGATCTGAGTGTTTTCTCCTGTCTCCTTGTCAATTAACTCACCATAAAGCCTTTCTTTTCTCAAAAGATCGTGCCATGGCATTGGCCTCTATGCACATTGGGCAGTGAGCTCACTAATTACTTGGTAACAATTTGTTTTAAATAATAAAATTAAGTAAAAACCAAATAATAAATATCAACAATAGTGGTCACTAGAGCAGATCCAAATTTACAGTCAAAACTTTTTACCTAAATACTTTTATATTTATATATAATTTGGATATAAGAATGTGCTCAAATTTTAAGTGTATAGATTGAGAAAGTTTGACAAATATAGGCATTCATAAAACTGTCACCTAAATCAGGCTATAAGATATTGACATCACCCCAGAAAGTTTATTCATGCCGACTTACAATTCCCCACCCTAAGAAACAACTGATTTCTATTACAAAAGCTTAGAAATTTGATATATGTATGCATTGTTTTGTGTTTTGCTTCTTTCAATCAATATAATGTTTTTGAGATTAATTTAGCTTTTTTCTTATATCAATAGTTATTTGTATTATGGAGTAATATTCCAATGTATAAATATATCAGAATTTGTTAACATTCATATTATAACATGGGTTTTTCCAGTTACAGATAAAACTGCTATTAACATTCTTGTACTAGTTTTATGTGTACATATGTTTTCACCTCTCTTGGCTAAATAAAAAGGAGAGAGAGGAAATTACATGTCTGAGTTATAAGAAATTGTCAAATAATTTTCTAATTTGATTATATACTTTCATATCTCCAACAGGAAAATGTGTGTGTTCTAATGTTTTTGTCAATTTGGGCTGCTATAACAAAGTACCATTGACTGCATGGCTTATAAACAACAGAAGTGTATTTATCCTCATTCTGGAGGCTGGAAGGTTTAGATTAGGGTGCCAGTGTGCTCCAAGTCAGGGGAGAGCCCTCCTCTAGCTTGCAGACTTCTGACTTATCATTATAACCCCTCACATGGAGAAAAGAAGATGAGCTAGCTGTCTGGCTTTTTGTAATAAGGACACTAATTCCATACATGAGGGCTCTACCATCATGATCTAATACCTCCTAAAGGCCCCATTTCCAAATATCTTCACATTGAGGATTAGATATCAACAAATGAATTTTGGGAAAAAAATACATTCAGTTCACAACATCCGATTATTACACATCTTCTCCAAACCTAACTTGGTCAATTTAAAAAAACTAGTGGATATAAAGTGGTATATCATTATGATTTTATTATGATTTTAATTTGAATTTTTGTGATAACTAATTAAAGAGACATTTGTATATTTTTGATGCAACTACTTTTCTAGATATATGCATTGTGAATATTTTACTCTAAACTATTTTGCCTTTTTATTTTCTTAACAATGGCTTTTGAAAAATAGGTATTTTTCATTTTGAAGAAGATAAATATGTCAATTTTTTTCATTTAATGGTTAATTCTTTTTGAGTCTTAAAGACTCAGAGTCTTTTTACTTACCATTACTTTTCAAATATTACTTTTCTGTTTTTTTTCCTAGAAATTTTATTATTTTTATCTTCTATGTTTCGACCTATCTCTTTGAGATAGTTTTTGCGTTTTTGTGTTTGGTGAGAAGTAAATGTTAAAGTTCATTTTTTTAACATTTTTTACATGGATATCTAGTAGCTCTAGCACTTTTATGAAAACACATCTTTTTTCCTGGTTAACTTACCTTGGTTCTTTGTCAAAAATTAATTGGCCATATACGTGTGAGTCTATATTTGGATAATCTATTCTGTTCTACTATTTATTTGTCTTTATGGAAATAATAGTCTTGACTCATGCTGTTTTAAAGTAAATCTTTAAAAAAGTAGTATAAACCTTTCAAATATGTTCTTTACTGAAAGTTTTGGCTATTTTAGTTCCTTTGCATTTTTATATAAATTTAAAAATCAGTTTATCAACATTTCCATAATAAGTGATTAGGATTTACACTTCCAGAGCACAGGTAATAGCAGGCCACAGTTTCATTCTCCTAAATGAGACGACCAAAGAATGAACAAAGTATATGAAATGATAATTAGGCAAACTCTGGCTATAAGAGAATGAAGAATAGTGATCCTGAAGAGATGAGAAACAGATAAGGGTGCACCAGGTTGTGGCCTTAAAAATTTTTCTAGGCCATGATAAAGGGAGGTGAACACAGGTGGAAAACAGTGAGGTCCCTGAATTGAGGTTGTAGAGCTAAGATTTTGTGAAGAATGCAATGACTAGAGTTCACAGGACAGAATATCAGAGAAGAGAGATCTATATTGAGAGAAAATTCTGGAAATCTGCAGATAGGTAGTCCTCCTTGAGTACTAAGCTCAGTCCTGATTAGGGAGTGCATTTGTATGAGAAAACTACCTGCCCCTGGGGAAAGTACTACTCAAAAGGATTAGAGATTACAGTACTCAGCATTCACATAGGACAGAGAATGGTGCTTCTTCCCACCAGCCAGACTGGAAAACAAGTCTGGTGAGGATTTGGGTAGAGTACACAAAAGGCTAACGTCAATAGTGGAGAATAATTAGCTCTAGACTAAGTGCTATTTCACTCCCACCTACAAAAGGTAGAGGAAATGCATACAATAAACAAACAGTTTCTAATTAAATTAATTCTGTGCAAGAAGAACACTCAAGAATATTTTTTTTTTTTTTTGGAAACCAAAATTTCCAGTACTCTGTATGGTAAAATTGACAATATCTGACATCTGATCAAAATTGACTAAGCACATAAAGAAACAGGAAAAATGTGCTCCATAATGGGAGCACACGTAGAACTGATACCTATTTTAAAGTAATGAATAAAATCATTTTTATGAATAGATTCCGTTAAAAAATATGTTGAGATAAATAAGATATAAAGAAGGACCAAATCAAACTTCCAGAGATAAGATCTTCAAGTGTGTGATGAAAAACACACTGGATGATATTTAAGACAGATTAGACATTAAGGAAAAATATTACTGAATTTGAAGTCATAGAAACAGAAATTATCTACAATGATAAAGTTTAAAAAATATTTTTAAAAGGTGACACACAATGAATGACATATCAGTGAACAAGGGGAGAACTTCAGGCAGCCTAATATATGTGCAAATGAAGTATCTTAAAGAAAAAAAACGAGGAAGAAGCAGAAAGAAATATGTATAAAATTATGGCGAAATTTTGCCAAATTTGATGAAGCATGAAAAAATTACACCAAGGCATATTCTAATTAAACTGCTTAATACCAGTGATAAAAAGGGAGTTATAAAATTAGCCAGAAGAAAAGACATGTTGTAAACCAAGGAGCAAAGGCAAGTATAACAGTTGATAAAAACAAACAGACAAACAAACAAAAAAACTGCAAGTGGGAAGTCTATGGTATTTAACATATTTGAAGTACTAAAACATGGTGTCAACCTAGAATTTTATAGAAAACACAGACGTCTTTTCAAGAAGAAGGCAAAATACTCATTTGGACAAACAGAAGCTAAAAATATCACAGCATACCCACATTTTAAGAATATTTAAAGAAATATTTTTAAAGGATGATTGGCAATTTAAACAAAAATAATAACAATAAATTTGGGATTTATAATGTGTAAAAATACAATGAACAAAAACAGGACACAAATTAGGAATGGAAAATATGAACTGTACTATTTTAATGTTCTTGTACATGAAGTTGCATAATATCACTTGAAGCTAGACTGTGATACGTTAGAGATATAAAATATTGGCTCTAAAGCAATGAATAAAATAACATACACAGAAACACCTCATAAACCTAAGTTAATTATGGAGATAAATAAAAACAAAAACACCAAAATTTATGTAAAAGAAACCAGGAAGAAAAGGAAAAATGGAACAAAAACAGGTGAGATAAATAAATATATAGCAAATTGTTAGTTATAGACCTAGCCGTATCAATAATTAAATTAAATGGAAATGGTCTAAATATAAAAATAAAAAAGTAGAGATTGCCAGATTGAATATACAATATAGGCTGCCTAATAGAAATAAATTTCAAATTAAAATATACAAATGGGTTAATAGTAAAAGGATAGAAAATAACATAGCATATTAAAACACTTAAAATCTATTTATATTAGTATCAGAGAAAGTAGATTACAAAGAAAAGCATATTAACAGGAATAATTTCATTTCATAAGGATGCAGGAGTCAAGTCATCAAGTGGACATAAGAATCCTAAACATTTACTCACCTAATAAGAGAGATTCAAAATACATGACACACAAATGGATAGAATTGCAGGAAAATATAGAAAAATCCACAAATATATGTTCAAATTTCAATACTACTCTTTCAATGGTTGACAGAACAAGTAGGTAGAAAATTAGTTAATTATAAAAATAATTTGAACATCAGCAGCCAAATTTACACAATTGGCAAATTAACCAGATAACCAAATTAACTTAATAGTACTTGCCACCCAACAATAGCAAAATATACATTTAAAAATGTACCTATGAAACACTTATCAAATGAGACAATGCTTGGGTCCATAAAACAAATGTTAACTTATAAAGATTCAAGTCATGCAAAGTATTTTTCTGATCACAATGGATTAAAATAGAAATCAATAACGGTAAGTAAATCTTTGGAAAACCTACAAATATTAGGAAATTAAACAACACTCTTCCACGTAACCAAGAAGCCAAAGGTAAAATGAAAAAACAAAATCATTATTTTCAAGTGAAAGAAAGTAAAAACACAATATATCAATATTTGTTTGATAGCATTAAAACATTATTTAGGGATAGATTTGTACCAATAAATATTTATATTAGGAAATATGAAAGGGTTAAAATCAATTACCTCAGCTTCTACCTTAATAAACTAAAAAGAAGAGCAAATTAAATCCAACAAAATGAGAATAAATAAATAATAAATGAACATGTAAATAAATTTCTGAGTAGAAGTCAATTTAAAAAAGGAGAAAGATAATTGAGAAAATTAATTAAATCTAAAGCTTTACAAAAAAATCATTGATGTCTCCAGCTTTGCAAACTATGATTCTGACAAAGGTCTTATATCCAGCATCTATAAGGAGCTCAAATAAATAAAAAAGCAAAAAACAACCTCATTAAAAAATGGGCAAAGAAGCCAGATGTTGTGGCTCATGCCTGTAATCCCAGCACTTTGCAGGCCGAGATAGTCGGATCACTTGAGGTCAGGAGTTCAAGACCAGCCTGGCCAACATGGTGAAAGCACCTCTTTACTAAATATACAAAAATTAGCCAGGCATGGTGGTGCACATCCGTAATCCCTGCTCCTCAGGAGGCTGAGGAAGGAGAATCGCTTGAACTCAGGAGGTGGCGGATGCAGTAAGTTGAAATTGTGCCACTGCTCTCCAGCCTGAGTGACAGAGTAAGACTCTGTCTCAAAAAAAAAAAAAGGCAAAAGACATGAACAGGCACTTCTCAAAAGAAGACATACATGCATACACGCAGCTATGCAGCTAAACAAATAAGCATATGAAAAAATGCTCAATATGTATTTCCCTAATAAATAGGGAAATGCAAATCAAAACTACAATGAGATACCATCCCACAGCAGTCAGAATGGCTATTATTAAAAAGGCAAAAAAAAAAAAATAGCAGATCCTGGTGGGGTTGCGGAAAGAAAAGGAAATGCTTATAAACTGCTGGGAGGAATTTAAATTAGTTCAGCAACTGTGGAAGGCAATCTGGAGATTTCTCAAAGAACTTAAAATACAACTACCATTCCACCCAGCAATTCCGTTACTGGGTGTCTACTCAAAGGAATATACATTATTTTACTATAAAGACACATGTAGTCATATGTTCATTGCAGTACTATTGACAATAGCAAAGACGTGGAATCATCCTAAAGGCCCCTCATCGAATTAAAAAAATGTGGTACATACACACCACGGAACATTATGCAGCCATAAAAAAGAATAAGATCTTGTCCTTTGCCACAAGGTAGGTGGAACTGGAGGCCATCAATCTGAGTGTACTAACACAGAAACAGAAAACTAAATACCACATATTCTTGCTTATAAGTGGGAGCTAAACACTGGGTACATATGGAGACAAAGAAGGAAACAAGAGATACTGGGCCTACTTGAAGATGGAGGGTGGGAGGAGGGTGAGGATGGAAAAACTACCATTGGGTCCTATGCTGATTATCTGGATGATGAAATAATCCATACACCAAATCCTCATGACATAAAATCTATCTATATAACAAACCTGCACATGTACCCCTCAACCTAAAATAAAGTTTTAAAAAAAATTTAAATTGATGGGTGTCTAAAAATGCTGATTAGAGAAAAATATAATGAAATTATAAATTACCAATATTGATCCTGTGCAAAATGACAGCAGTAAAAATTCTACAGATATTAAAAGGTTAATAAATAAATATTAGACATTGTGTGGCAATACATTCAACAACTAAGATAAAATGGACAAATTCCTTGAAATAAACTGTTAAAGCTGGCTAAAGAACAAATAGATTACTTGACTAACACTGTATGTATTGATATAAACACATATCCACAAATTAAGAGTAGAAGACAATTTCCTCAAAGCAATTGATAAAGGGCATCTATGTAAAACCTAGTATAAATCAAATACACAGGAGAAAATCTTTGTGACCTTGGCTTAGGCAAAGATTTCTTAGACACAATACCAAAGATAAAATGGATAAATTGGACACTATCAAAATTTAACATTTCTATTTTTCAAAAAGTATTATAAGGAGAATGAAAAGACAAACCAAAGACTGGGAGAAAATATTTGCAAATCCTGTATCTTATAAAGGACTGTAATTACCAGTTTTCTGAGGTTTTTTTTTTTTTTTTGCTTTTAATTATGAATGTACATTAAATTTTTAAAAAAATATTTTTTCTGCACATATTGAGATGACTACTTTGTTCTGTTAATGTCATGAATTAATTAGATTCATTCTTGAGTGTTGAACTAACCTTGCATTATTTTTATTGATGTCACCTCATCATTATATAATACCTTTTATAGCTTGCTTGATTCAATTTGCTAATGTTTTCTTGAGAATTTTTGGATCTTAGTTCATGAGGGACTTTGGTCTTTTCTGGTAACATCCCTGTCAGGTTTTGCTCTTTCTTCTTTGACCTGTGGGTTACTTGGAAATGGTTTTTTTTTTTTTTTTTTTTAACCAGATAATTGGGATTTTTCTATGTATTTTAATGTTACTGATTTCCAATCTGTTGTAAAGAGAATGTACTTTGTATGACTTCTTTCCTTTGGAATTTGTCAAAACCTTGTTTTATGGTCCCAGCGTAAAGTCTCTCTTAGGGTTGGCAAAGTATGCTCTGTAGACTGGCAGTTATTGTGTGTGTGTGTGTGTGTGTGTGTGTGTGTTACTGAATGTACTATGCACATTTCAAGAGATGTATACAGTTAGCCCTCCATATCTGCAGGTTATACATTTGTGAATTCAACCACTGTGGATTGAAAAAAATGTTTTAAATACAACAGTGTAAGTAAGCAAATAAAAATACAATATAACAACTGTTTATACAGCATTTACACTGTATTTGGTATTATAAGTAATCTAGAGATGATTTAACATAAATGGGAGGATGTACATAGGTTATATACAAATACCACACCATTTTATATAAAGGACTAGAGTATCCATAGATTTGGTATTTGCAGGGGTTCCTGGAAACAATCTCCTGCAGATACTTAAAGGAGACTTAATTTTCTTTCATAGGTGTTGTATTTATAGCTATCAGTTACCATGAATTGGTTTATAGTGTTATTTAATCTTCTGTATCTTTATTGACTTATGGCCATTTTTAATGAATTACTGAAAGAAGAGTGTTAAAATATCCAACTAGGATTGTGGGTTTTTTATTTTTCCTTCAATTCTGTGAATTTTAGAATATTTTAAAAGAGTTAATTCATTTATGATTTTGAAATAATGTTTTTGTATTTTTGTATCACTCTTAAAATATAGCATATCAACATCTTTATTTGTTTTTCATGATATATTTTTTCCTATATTTTACTTTTAATTTGTGTATCTTTTATATGTTAAATATCTCTCTTGAAACTAGACAGCATGTAGTTAGTGATTTCTGTTTTATTCAGCCTGACAATCTTCAGCTCTTTGACTTTTAATTGGAGTTTTGGTTTATTAACAACAAATATATTAATAATTATAATCTAGTTATTAATATGGTGGACTCTATCTACACTAACATGCTATTAGTTTTTTCTTTGTTTCCTCTGTTCTTTGTTCCTTATGTCCATCCTTTTGTGTCTTCCATAGGGAAAATTGTGTAATTTTGATATTTTTTCAGCTATAATTATTTGCTTTTAATTAGCAGTACCTGTTTGATTTGTAGTTGTTTCATACATGACATATGCAATTTATTCACATTATACCTTGATTTTATATTATACTACTTCCCATATAAGGTTAACACCTTAAAACAATATAATTTCACTTATATTTCTTCTGCCCTTTGTGTTATCACTGTCATATATTTTACTATGACATCTGTTACAAACATCCCAATCCCTTGTTATATTTTGCTTTAAATAACTAATAGACATATACTTTTAAAGAAAAGAAGGAAAGTTTTATATGTACTCCATATTTTCCATTTGTAATGTTCATTTTCGCCTGTGGATCCAAATTTCCGTCTTATACTATTTCTTGTTGGACGTAAAGAAGTTTTCCTTGCAGTTTTTGTAGCGCATGTTAGTTTTTGTTTGCCAGTAAATATCATTTCTCTAATTTTAAAGGACTCACTGTGCATAGAATTCTAGGTTGACAGTTTTCTTCTTTTAGCATTCTAAAAATGTTTTATTGTCTTCTGGCCTCTATTGTTTCTGAGAAGTCAGCTTTCATTCTTATTCCTTGTATGTAGTATTTCCCTTTCCCGCAAGCCCCCATAAACTCCCATTTCCACTCTCACATTCCAAGCAAAAGCTATCTTTCTTTGGCAGGCTTGCTCCTTGGACATTTTGTCCCCTAGTCTCAGCAACTGGCACAGATATGAAAGTATCTTCTGTTTCCTGTTCACTTAAGGAATACTTGTCTTACAGGAGTTTGTTGGATTCTTTTATGCTCACAGTTCTTCGATGGATTTAAGGCAAAGAATAACATTTTTGTGTATCATTAACTTCTTATTTCAGTGGTTGTGACAGAATTTTGTTTTTCTACATCCTAACTAAAAGTAGATCATTATACATATAAATTTTAAAGGCAATAAAATGACAGAGATTGATGTTTTTGTCTTTTAAAAAATTTATGCATATTTACTTATTTAATACGTGGGTGTGGGTGTAACAAACTCCTGTAAGACAAGTATGTGCGCTCTCTCTCTCTCTTTATATATATACATTTATTTGTAAATATATATGCACATTTATTTATTTACCTTTTCCAAGGAATAAACAACTTTGAGAGAGATTCGATGACAAGATTTGGTCATAATTTAGAGTTTCATATTGACATGCATAAACTATTAATTTGATATGTACTTACTAAATGTCTACTAGGTCTTAAAATTATGCCAAGTGTTGTGGAGACATTGTATTTGGAGATATAGTTATGTTATCTCAGAAGAAACCACATCTTAACACACATCATTTGATCGTTAAAGAACAAAATGATTGCTAAAGCCATTTTTATTTTAGAAGTTCACAGAAAGAATACCAATTAATCTTGGCTGAAATGAACAGAGAAGAATTTTTATTCAAACTGTTGGGACTTATAGGAGAAACAGTGGAGAGTATCAGATAAACAGCCATTTTGAAGAGCATAAGCAAATGCTGGTGAATATATGACTTATTTAAAGGAAAGAACAAGGATCATAACAACCTATTAAAAATGAGAGCAGTTTTAATCACTTGTTCATATTTATTTGAATATTAATAAAGTGAAGGGCATATAATTTTACATGTGAGGGTCAATTAACTTAAACAAATACACTCATCCATGCCACCACCATACAAATTAAGATATAAAAGACTAGTAGAATCCTAGAAGCCTTCCTCACATCCCCTCCCAGCTATTCTCTCTCCTGAAGGTAACCATTATTGTGACTTTCAATTTCAAAGAATAAAGCTTCCTGTTTTTGAATTTTTCACAAATGGAGTCATATATATGACACTCTGCTATGTCTGGCTCCTTTCAGTCAATGTCAAAATAATTGTTCTCTATTACAAGGAATTCCTTAGAAGAATAGAAATAAAAGAAGGAAAAATATAATAATTATAGCCACTAGGCTGAGCCTGATACAAAGGTCAGTATGACATGGACAATATTCCTCAAATCTGAGATGTAAGGTGCATTTTGAGTTCTTTGTGTGAAGTCAGGTAATTTAATAATGTTCAATAAATTACTTGATTATTGATCTCAATGGTTTTTGATGTAAGAGATACAAACTCATAAGACAGAAGTAACATAATTATTTCATGTGCTTCTAATGATACAAAGTCTTTGAGGGGTGACAAGTTTGCAGAAGTTGATAGGGTAAAGTGTGCATTAAATGAGAAAAATAGTAAATAAAGGGTTAGAGGAAACTGAAATAATAAAAAAGTTACAGAAAAGCTATTTTTTTTACTTTTAAAGACATTATTACATTACTATACAATACTTAATTTTATATAAAATTTAGCAATGTAAAATAGTCAATTTGAAATTTAAATAAGTATCTTTGAAGAAAACTGAGCTTCATGTCTGTCTTCTTTAGATCTTTCAAAGAAAAAAGAAAGGTTGAAAGTATACATGTTTTACTCTTTGCTCATTAATTTTTAAAGTCTCATCTTTGAAATGTCTGCCGTACAATGATGTTTCACCTGATTGGTTATGGCATACACATTACTGTCATGTCACAAAACATGCTGCTTTAGAGAGTTGATTAATTTTGAATACTTGGTTAGAGATGAGAAAACATTGGTAGGTTGATTTTAGAATAAAGAATCTATGTGGAATTAATAATGCAATCTACAAGTTCAGGCAAAAATTGCCTATGTGCAGCATTTATGTTAATCATAGAATCACTGAGGTGATTTGCTCAAAAGGCATATTGATAAGGTAGCTAAATTTTTTCAGACATCAGGGACATAATAATTAATGTTTCATTTATTTTCAACATGCTGAAAAATGCACTTGTAAGCCAATATTTGGACATTATAGAAAACTTATTACTTTAGATATAGGTGTTTCATAATTTTAGTTTAAACAATAATCTCTTTTTCAACAAAGATGATAAAAAATGTAATAATGATTTATAACTTTCAATATCTTTACAAGTACACAGTTTGCCTGCATAATAATGATATCACCTCATGACCTTTACTCCATTTGTGTCTTAAAATAGGGCTTTCTTTTGGATGCCTGTTAAATATATGTTATGATAGAACACCAAATTTATTAGCAGAAACTAGAAAGTTGCTTTAGATCCAATATTAAAACTCTATATTGTCTGAAAAAGAAAAGTGAGAAAGGAAAAGGGAATGGAGGTAAGAGTAAACAGAAGCATTAAATTTAAAGTGAACAGGAGATGAAGGGGGGAAAAAGTATGATTTGTTGCGTTAGTCTTTTCTACTCCAAAGTTTTCTTTCCTTTCTCTCTTTTTTCTCCATTCATGACTACTCTCTATATTAATCTTCATTTTACAGACTTCAGAGGCTAGGATTCTGAGCTGCATCTCTCCAGTCAGTGGAGAGATGTAGAAATCCTTTGGCTCCAGCTTTAAGGTTTAAACACACTTCTATTGGGTCAAACTCCCATAAACTTCGGACAGAAAAGATTAGCTCTGCTCACTGGGACATTTGCCTTCGCTGACAATATGCAAATAGAAAATTCACTTTTTTTTTTTTTTTACTTTGCAATTTAACAAAAGGTAATAGGTCTTTACTGAGAATAATATACTAAGTTAGCCTATGAAGCCATAACCCAATAAGGGCTATTACCAAACATCAGTGAGATAGGCTTCATGAAATAGTGCAAATATATGCCAAAACCTGTGTCACATGTTCTTAAAAACGACGATTTGATAGAAGACAGCTAGTTTGGACAGTATGTCCAATCCAAAAGCTCTACCAATCTGAAACATGGTTTCCATATGCCCACAATATCATCTTCTATTTGTTGTCAATGCTTTCCAGCCAAAGAATATAAGAAATACATATGTAGGTGAGCAAGTTGGATTTATTAATCATTTCAGTGAGAAAATATGCATATGGGGGACACCTATGAGGTGTCTCAGTAAGAGGGTATTAGAAAGGACTTAGAGAACTTAGGCTTTCGTTGGGTGATTTGGGGCACAGTCCTGTGAAGCAGGGGTTCACTTTGAATTAAGAGCTTTCAGAAAGCAGAACCAATTTTATGGCGGTACACCTCAGTAAATCTTATCCATAGAGTGGGGACACTAAAGCAAAACTAAAACTGTAATTGATAAGTAGTTAGCAGTCACTCAATTAGCCTGAGATGAGGATGTTAGAAACTTTTTGAGATTTGGACAATGTTTTGTATGTGTTCAGACATGATTATGGAGTGGTTTTGTTTTTGTCTTGATACACCATGGTCACAGAATGGCCTTGTCTGTGGACAATCTTTTTTGAAGTTGTTCATCTTCAGCAGAACGCCAATACCTTATGGTGATGCTGTTAGAGCCTGGATACCAGGTCTGGTTTTTGTTACACAGTGGTCCAGGATGTAGGGTACAATTACTTCTCCTCCCTAACAATGACGAAGACATGTTTTATTTCTTATCTCTTCTTTATCATAACGTAAAATTCAGCTGCATGATAGCCACGAAATAAATAATAGGTGAATGAGACTGAATAAATGAATAAGTATTGAAATAGGCACATAAACCAGAGGTTAGGCTAAAAAATGAGCTGAGCAGGCAAAATGATCACTTAACCAGATATCCATTGGCACTGACTTGAGCAAATTTTATTGAAACACAGGATGATTATAATAACAATAATAATGATAAATATTTGTTAATAATCTATGATAGTCACTCTGCTGCATAATCTATTCAATTCTCAAATGAGTCTTTAAGAATCATTTTAACTTTAAAACTACAGTCTGGAGAGGATCAGTTATTATCTCAAGGTCATTCAGATGGTAAGGGTGGAGTTGGTACTCAAACCTCAAATCTCAGGCGTCCCACTCTCAAACTGCCACTTCCTCTTTATCCTTGAAACTATTATATTTTTATCCTATTCCTTGCAACCAAAGCTGAGTATACTGCAAATAGCCACCCAATTGCCATATTCAATAGCCTCTTTTCAAAGATAGTATTACTTAACTCCTCTATAGGTTTCAAACAGTACTGGATTCTTTTTTATATATTAATACATGGTTTATTGATCATTATTTTTAAGAGGTAATATTTTGTTTGACAAAAATTATTGTCATTTCCCACTTTGTGTTATTTATAGTTCTAATGATTGAATTTTTAGATCAGATTTTAAAAGATCAATTACAAGAAGCTTGAGGTAGTTTGGGGCATTTCACATTTTAAAAATCTCTAAAGGTTTAAAGGAAGTACAGTTTTGCACCACATAATGACATTTTGCCCAATGACAGACCGCATATACGATGATGGTCCCATAAGATTATAATGGAGCTGAAAAATTGCTATTGCCTAATGATGTTGCAGTTGTCCTAATGTCATAGTGCAACACATTCTTCACTTGTTTGTTATGAGGCTGGTTTGAACAAACCTACTGTGCTGTCTGTCATATAAAGGTACAGCACATACAATTATGTACATAAAACTTAATAATGGTAATAAATGACTGTTACTGGTTTATGTATTTTCTATACTATATTTTAATAGTTACTTCATTTTTTTAAAATTTCAATAGATTTTGGGGGAACAGGTGGTATTTGTTTACATGAATAACATTTTTAGGGGTGATTTCAGAGTTTTGGTGCACCCATCATCCAACCAGTGTACACCAGTGTACACTATAACCTGTGTGTAGTCTTTTTTTTTGTTTTTTTTTTTTTGAGATGGGGTCTTGCTCTGTCACCCAGGCTGGAGTGCAGTGGCATGATCTTGGCTCACTACAACCTCTGCCACCCGGGTTCAAGTGATTCTCCCTCCTCAGCATCCTGAGGAGATGGGATTACAGGCACATGCCACCATGCCTGGCAAATTTTTGTATTTTTAGTACACATGGGGTTTCATCATGTTTGTTAGGCTAGTCTTGAACTCTTGAACTCAAGTGATCCGCCTGCCTCGGCCTCCAAAAGTGCTGGAGTTACAGGCATGAGCCACCACACCCGGACCACTGTGTGTAGTCTTTTATCTGTCAACCCCCTAAACCCTTTCCCCAGAGTTCCCAAAGTCCCTTGTATAATTCTTATGCCTTTGCATCCTCATAACTTGGCTCCCATTTATGAGTGAGAAAATAAGAGGTTTGGTTTTCCATTCCTGAGCTACTTCACTTAGAATAATGGTCTCTAATCCTATCCAGGTTGCTGCAAATGCAATTATTTTGTTCCTTTTTATGGCTGAGTAGTATGCCATAGTATACATAAATACACACACACACACACACACACACACATATATTACATAGTATATATATACACATACATACACATATACATATGTGTATGTATATATATACACACACATATATATCACATAGTATATATATACACATACATACACATATACATATATGTGTATATATATACACATACATACACATATACATATATGTGTATATATATACACATACATACACATATACATATATGTGTATATATATACACATACATACACATATACATATATGTGTATGTATATATATATATACTATGTGATACGTGTGTGTGTGTGTATTTATGTATACTATGGCATACTACTCAGCCATAAAAAGGAACAAAATAATTGCATATATATCACATAGTATATATATATACATACACATATATACACATATACATATATGTGTATGTGTATATATATATACTATGTGATATATACACATATGTATATGTGTGTATATATATGTATATATCACATTTCTTTATCCACTCATTAATTGATGGGCATTTGGGCTGTTTCCATATTTTTGCAATGGCAAATTGTCCTGCTAGAAACATGTGTGTGCAAGTATATTTTCATATAATGACTTCTTTTCCTCTGGGTAGATACCCAGGACTGGGATTGCTGGATCAAATAGTAGATCTGCTTTTAGTTCTTTAAGGAATCTCCACACTGTTTTCCATAGTGTTCGTACTAATTTACATTCCCACCCACAGTGTAAAATATTCCCTTTTCACCACATCCTTGCCAACATCCATTATTTTTTGATTATGGCCATTCTTGCAGGAGTAGAGGTGGTATCGCATTAAGATTTTGTTTTGCATTTCCTGATTATTAATGATGTTGAGCATCTTTTCATATGTTTGTTGGTCATTTGTATATCTTCCTTACAAAATAGTCTATTCATGTCTTTAGCCCACTTTTTGATGAGATTGTAAGTTTTGTTCTTGCTGATGGTTTGACTTCCTTATAAATTCCAGATATTAGCCCTTCGTCAGATGTATGGATTGTGAAGATTTTCTCCCGCTCTGTGGGTTGTCTGTTTGCTCTGCTTATTATTTCTTTTGATGTGCATAAGCTTTTTAGCTTAATTGAGTCCCATTTATTAAATTTTGTTTTTGTTGCATTTGCTTTTGGGTTCTTGGTCATGAAGGCTTTGCCTAACCCATTGTCTACAGAGGTTTTTCCAATGTTGTGTTCTAGAATGTTTATTGTTTTAGGTCTGAGATTTAAGTTTTTGATCCATCTTGAGTTGATTTTTGTATAAGGTGAGAAGTGAGGATCCAGTTTCCTTCTTCTATATGTGGCTTGCCAATTAGCCCAGCACCCTTTGTTGAATAGGGTGTTCCTTTCCCCACTTTATGGTTTTGTTTGCTTTGTCAAAGATCAGTTGACTGTGAGGATTTGACTTTATTTCTGGTTTCTCTATTCTGTCCATTGGTCTATATGCCTGTTTTAATACGAATACCATGTTGTTTTGATGACTATGGCCTTATAGTATATTTCATAGTTTGTAGCAGGTAATGTAATGCCAGATTTGTCCTTTTTGCTTAGTCTTGCTTTGGCTATGCAGGCTTATTTTTGGTTCCATATGAATTTTAGTTTTTTTTTATAGTTTTGTGAAGAATGATGGTGGTTTTCTGATAGAAATTACGTTTAATTTATAGATTTCTTTTGGCAGTATGGTCATTTTCACAATATTGATTTTATCCATCTGTAAGCATGGGATGTATTTCCATTTGTTTATATCCTCTATGATTTCTTTCAGCAGTGTTTTGTAGTTTTCCTTGTAGCCGTCTTTCATCTCAGTTAAGTATATTCCTAAGTATTTTATTTAATTTTTGTAGCTATTGTAAAAAGGATTGAGTTCTTGATTTGATTCTCAGCTTGGTCCTATTAATGTATAGCAGAGCTACTAGTTTGTGTACATGAATTTTTTATCCTGATACTTTGCTGAATTTATTTACCAAGTCTAAGAGCTTTTTGGATGAGTCTTTAGGGTTTTCTAGGTACAAGATAATGTCATGAGTAAACAGCCACAGTTTGACTTCCTCTTCACTGATACGGATGCCCTTTATTTCTTTCTCTTGTCTGATTGCTCTGGCTAGGACTTCCAGTACAATGCTGAATAGAAATGGTGAGAGTGGGCATCCTTCCTTGTTTCAGTTATCAGGGGGAATGCTTTCATCTTTCCCCCGTTCAGTCTAAAGTTGCCTGTGGGTTTGTCATAGATGGCTTTTATTGCCTTAAACTATGTCCCTTCTATGCAAATTTTACTAAGAGTTTCAATCATAAAGTGATACTGGATTTTGTCAAATGCTTTTTTATTTGCATCTATTGATATGATCATGTGATTTCTGTTTTTAATTCTGTTTATGTGGTGCATCACTTGTACTGACATGTGGATGTTAAACCATCCCTTCACCCCAGGTATGAAACCCACTTGAACATGGTGGATTATCTTTTTGATATGCTGTTGGATTTGGTTTGCTAGCATTTGTTGAGAATTTTTGCATCTATGTTCATCAGGGATATTGGCCTGTAGTTTTCTTATTTTTTTGTTTTGTCATTTCCTAGTTCTGGTATTAGGGTGATACTGGCTTCATAGAATGATTTAGGGAGGATTCCCTCTTTATCTTTTGGTATAGTGTCTATAGGATTGTTATCAATTCATCTTTGAATGTCTGATAGAATTCAGCTGTGAATCCATCCGGTCCTGGACTTCTTTTTTTTTTTTTTGGTAACTTTTTAATTACCATTTCAATCGTGTTGCTTGTTATTGGTCGGTTCAGAGTTTCTATTTCTTCCTGGTTTAATCTAGGAGGGTTGTATATTTCCAGGAATTTATCCATCTCCTCTAGATTTTCTAGTTTATGCACATGAAGCTGTGCATAGTAGCCTTTAATGATCTTTTGTATTTCTTTGGTATTGGTTGTGATATCTCCTGTTTTATTTCTAATTGAGCTTATTTGTATCTTCTCTCTTCTTTTCTTGGTTAATCTTGCTAATTGTCTATCAATTGTATTTATCTTTTCAAAGAGCCAGATTTTTGTTTTATCTTTTGTATTTTTTTGTTTCAATTTTATTTAATTGTGCTCTGATATTGCTTATTTCTTTTTTTCTGCTGGGTTGGGGTTTGGTTTGTTCTTTTTTCTCTAGCTCCTTGAGGTATGACCTTATATTGTTTGTTTGTACTCTTTCAGACTTTTCGATGTAGTCATTTAATGCTATGAGCTTTCTTCTTAGCAGTGCCTTTGCTGTATCCCAGAGGTTTGGATAGGTTGTGTGACTATTATCATTCTGTTCAAATAATTTTGTAATTTACATCTTGAATTCATTGTTGGCCCAATGATCATTCAGGGACAAGTTATTTAATTTCCATGTAATTGCATCATTTTAAGGGTTCCTTTTCAAGTTGATTTCCAATTTTATTCCACTGTGGCCTGAGAGAGGACTTGCTATAATTTGGTTTTCTTAAATTTATTGAGACTTGTTTTGTGGCCTATGATATTGTTCATCTTGGAGAATGTTTCATGTGCTGATGAATAGAATGTATATTCTGCAGTTGTTGGGTAGAATGTTCTGTAAATATCTGTTAAGTCCATTTATTCTAGGGTATTGTTTAAGCCAATTGTTTCTTTGTGGATTTTCTTTCTTGATGACCTGTCTAGTGCTGTCAGTGGAATATTGAAGTCCCTGCTATTAATATGTTGCTATTTATCTCATGTCTCATGTCTAGTAGTATCTGTTTTATAAATATGGGAGGTCGAGTGTTAGATGCATATATATTTAGAATTGTGATATTTTCCTATTTGACTAGTCCTTTTATCATTATATAATGTCCCTCTGTCTTTTTTAACACTGCTGTTGCTTTAAAGTTTGTTTTGTCTAATATAAGAATAGCTAATCCTGCTCATTTTTGGTGTCTATTTGCATGGAATATCGTTTTCCACCCCTTTACCTTAAGTTTATGTGAGTCCTTATGTATCAGGTGAGTCTCTTGAAGATGGTAGATAAATGGTTGGTGAATTCTTATCCAGTCTGCCATTCCATATCTTTTAAGTGAAGTATTTAGGCCATTTACATTCAATGTTAGTATTAAGATGTGAGGTACTATTCTATTCATCTTGCTATTTGTTGTCTGAATACCTTTTTTTTCATTGTTTTGTTGTTTTATAGGTCCTGTGAGACTTGTGCTTTAAGGAGATTCTATTTTTGTATACTTTTGATAGAGACAGTAGACAGCCAAGTGCCACCCAGGCCATTGTGAACAGGGGGTTGGCCTAAACATGGCCACAGTGAAAAATTCCACCCCTTAACACACGCACAGGAAGGAAAATAAATCAATGTGGAGTGGCTCAGATTAAGGGCCTGCCTGGGCATGGGGAGAATGGGGTGGAGCCACCGGGAATTTGTGTTTTATGCAGGGGAGGGGATCCTGGCCTCTTCAGCTCCTGTGTGGTGGCCTGGTATTCAGTACGTGAGGTGGGAGACTGTTGGCAGGAGCCCCACCACCCACCCCCTCGGCTTTTTTTTTTCTCTGAGAGCTTTCTTTTAATGAATTCCATTCTCCTCACCTTTCAATGTGTCAATATGCCTAATTTTTCCTGGTCTTGAGACTAGAACATGGATTTTAGCTGAACTAAAGAGCAAAAAATCCTGCAATATTTTGAGAATTTGTTTCAAGATTTAGAGCAGCTCTTGTAGTGCTGGCTTGGTAATGGCGAATTCTCTCAGCATTTGTTTGTCTGAAAAAGACTGTCTTTCCTTCATTTATGAAGCTTAGTTTCACTGGATACAAAATTTTTGGCTGACAATTTTTTTGTTTAAGGAGGCTAAAGATAGGATGCCAATCCCTTCTAGCTTGTAAGGCTTCTGCTGACAAGTCTGCTGTTAATCTGATAGGCTTTCCTTTATAAGTTACTTGGTACTTTTGTCTCACAGCTCTTAAGATTCTTTCCTTCATCTTGATTTTACTTAACCTGGTGACTATGTGCCTAAGTGATGATTTTTTTGCAATTAATTTCCAAGGTGTTCTTTGAGCTTCTTGTATCTGGATGTCTAGATCTCTAGCAAGGCTGGGGAAATTTTCCTTGATTATTCCCTCAAATATGCTTTCCAGACTTTTAGATTTCTCTTCTTCCTTGGGAACACCAATTATTCTTAGGTTTGGTCATTTAATGTAATTCCAAACTTTTTGGATGCTTTGTTTATTTTTTAAAATTATTTTTTCTATGTCTTTGTTGGATTGGGTTAATTGAAAAGCCTTGTCTTTGAGCTCTGCGGTTCTTTCTTCTACTTATTTGATTCTATCACTGAGACTTTTCAGTGAATTTTGCAATTCTCTATTCATTTCCAGAAGCTGTGATTATTTTTTATTTATGCTATTTATTTCACTGGAGGTTTTTCCATTCATATCTTGTATCTTTTTTGTTAATTTCTTTAAGTGGGACTTTACCTTTCTCTGATGTCATCTTGAACTACTTAAGAGTCGATTTTCAGAATTCTTTTTCTGGAAATTAAGAGATTTCATCTTGGTTTGGATCCATTGCTGGTGAGCTAGTGTGATCTTTTGGGGGTGTTAAACAAACTTGTTTTGTCATATTACCAAAACTGCTTTTCTGGTTCCTTCTCATTTGGTTAGACTATGTCAGAGGGAAACTCTGGGACTCAAGGGCTGCTGATCAGATTCTTTTGACCCACAGGGTGCTCCCTTGATGTGGTTCTCTCTTCCCTCCCCTAGGAATGGGGCTTCCAGAGAGCCAAACTGCAGTGGTTGTTATTTCTCTTCTGGATCTAGCACCCAGTGGAGATGCCAGGCTCTGGGTTGACACTGGAGAGTGTCTGCAAGGAGTCCTGTGATGTGATCTGTCTTCGGGTCTCTCAATTGTGGATACCAGCACCTGATCTGGTGAAGATAACAGGGGAGGGAAGTGTACTCTGTGAAGGTCCTTGATTGTATTTTTTTAAATGTGCTGGTTTTGTGTTGCTTGGCCTCCAGCCAGGAGGTGGCACTTTCAAGAGTGCATCAGCTGCAGTAGTATAGGGAGGATCAGGCAGTGGGTGGGGCCATAAAGCTCCCAAGAGATTATGTTCTTTGCCTTCAGAGTTCCTCAGCTGTACCATGGAGTCTACAACAGCAATCCACCCCCTTCAAAAGGCCATGGATTCTCTTGGCTTTTCAGGTACGTTCCAATGGTAATTCTTGGAACAAAAGTTCACAGTGTAGATCTCCACACACTGCTCAGGCAGTGGGTGCTGAAAGCTAGCCCTGCCTCCTGACTGCCATTTTCCTTCAATGATCTCCAGTATTGGATGTTAAACCCCTCATCTCCACTGGCTTTCATGGCTTGCATGTCATCCAAGTTGCTCCTCTGGCTCTCCTCCTGTATATTTATTTCCTTCTTGTTTCATTTTTTTTAAATCACAGTTTCCTCAAGTTTTACCCTTCATTCTAAGTCTTCTCCTTTATTCTTTCTCCCTGTATAATTTCACTCCTGCAATTTCATTTGCTCCCCATCTTTCCAACTTTATATCATCACATCTGAGGGTGCATTTGAGCTCCAGTTCTGCATTTTCAGGAGCCAATTACACAATCCCACATGCATTCCATGCAGGCTTTTTTTTTCATACATAGATAGATAAATAGGTAATATTAATATGGACATTTGTCCCCTCCAAATCTCATGTTGAAATGTGTTCAAATGGTGCCTGGTGGGAGATGTTTGGGTCATGGGGACTTGGAGCCCTCCTTGAGGTAATGAGTGAGTATCACTCTATTAGTTCACATAGGAGCTGATTGTTTTCAGTGTGGCATGCCCCTCCTTGCCACATGACACACTGGCTCCCCTTGCCTTCTGCCATGAAGGAAAGCTCACCATGAAGTTGAGCAGGTACCAGTGCAGTAGTATACTTCTTGTTTTTTTTGTTGTTGTTGTTTGTTTGTTTTTGTTTTTGTTTTTGTTTTTGGAGACAGAATCAGGATCTGTCATCCAGGCTGGAGTGCAGTGTCCTGATCTCGGCTCACTGCAACCTCTGCCACCCGGGTTCAAGCAATTATCCTGCCACAGCCTCCCAAGTAGGTGGGACTACAGGTGCGCACCACCACACCCAGCTAATTTTTCTATTTTTAGTATAGACGGGGTTTCACCATGTTGGCCAGGCTGGTCTTGAACTCCTGACCTCAGGTGATCCACCCACCTCGGCCTCCCAAAGTGCTGGGATTACAGGTGTGAGCAACTGTGCCCGGCCGCATACTTCTTGTAAGGCCTGCAGAACCATGAGCCAAACAAATTTCTTTTCTTTATAAATTATCTAGTCTCAGTTATTCCTTTATAGCAACACAAAATGGACTAACACAGATAGATAGATAGAGATAAAGCTCTCTCTCTGTATATATGTATATATATAAATATGTAGTTATATATACATATGTTAGATACATTTGTGTGTCTATATTTATAAATAACACCTTTCACTAAACGTTTTTATTTTATCTTTCTCCAACTCACTTAAATGAGTCCACAGAGTTGCCTGAACACAAACTTTAGAGGTGAGAGCAATCCTGATTCTATCTTATTTCTCATATTCAATTGGTGATAAAGACCTATCATTTCAATCTCTCACATACCGCCCATCATTCAGGGTACTTACAAGTGCCTCCATACGGATATTCATCTCTTCAGTAAAAATTAACTCTTCTTACTGTATTTAAAGCACAGATCTGATTCGGTTTTTTTCCCCACTAAATTCTTACCCTTTTCTAGGCTTATAAGATATTTAACCATTTAATCCTAACCTGACATTCCAAATTTATTGTCATTGCTTTTCCTCCAATTGTGATCTCTACCAAAGTATATACTTGACCTAACTAAGCCCTATCATTTTCTCTTTACCATTTCTTCCATGTGGATTCCCCTGTCTTTACTTGGCCTCGTGGAAAATTCCTACTCATGTTAAAACACAAGATTTATGAAAGGCTCCTAATTTCCTAACATTCTATAAAGCCCTTTACATAAATTTTCTTATTTAATCTTCAAAACTACCCTATGGCAAAAACATTTTTGCATTTCCATTTTACAGAAGAGGGAACTACAGACTAATGTGGATAAAAACCTTGTTCATGGGCATATCATTATCGTGTAGTAAAGTTTGTATTTGAACTCATACTTTTTACTATAAGCTATATTAGTCACTTCCAGTGCCAACTCATACAGTTTTTCCCCTGTAAATTCATTTGTGTTTCCCCTCTTCTCTTGCCATAATAATTATTACATCCCCTTGACCACAGAGCATACTTTTAAGCTTCTACTGTAGAATTTGTATATTTACATGTAATTGTTGTGTCTAGTAATTGAGTATCTTGATAGCAGCCATTGTACCTTATTTGTATTTAAATCCAACATTAGTGCTTGGTAGATAGTAAGTTTTGTTGAATGAAAACTAAATAAAGAGATGACCCACAATAAAAGAAAGTATAATATTTTGGTCACTAACATAGGACAGTGATTATGTGTTTATTTTCTAGTTTGAAAACAATGGTAAAATACAAAAGAAAAAGTATTATTTATTTTCATATAAAAGATTTTATATGAACTGTATGAATCCTCTTATCCCTTTTCTCCAACATTCTAAACCCCATCCCTGAAACCTACCTAAAAATAAAATTCATGTAAAATGAAGAAGAGGAAATAGTGCCTTAAAAATTTCTAGCATCGATTCATATTACTCTTTTGAATTACTTTTAAAGTGTTCAGTTAAACCACTGTTTTGGAATTTTTTTAGCATATGAATTTTCTTGACAAATCATGTTGTGACATTTATAAAAAATATTATACCAGAAATCCAGAGTTGCAGTGTCAAAAGTTATTTTAAAATATCCATGAGTAGGTAGACAGCCAATTACATTCCTGTAGTTTTCATCTACTGACCAGTGTAAATTATTATATGGGGAGAGGATTATCCATGACGTAGAAATATCACTCTTTTCAGTAACTCTTCTCAAAGTCTGAGACATTTTCAGACTCTAATCACCTGGAAAGTGAAACACCAATTTTTCTCTTAAGTTGACAGGAAAATAACTTCTGTAACAGGTGCAAGGATCAATACAGAAGTTACATAGTATACAAAGTTTATCTCTTTTTACCTCAAAAACTTCATTGTGGCCTATATGCTACTGGATAGTAAAAACTAACCTAAATAAACTAAAAAGCAAAGAAACCAGTGTTGTAGGTGGTCAGTTCAGGTTCTTGACTTTGCCACACAAAAGAATTTGTGAGTCCAAAGTAAGAGTAAGCAAAGAAGTTTATTGCAAAGCAAAAGTAACACTCTGAGAGGCAGAGCATCTTATACGTCTGTAAAGATTCTAAAACACAACTTCTAATATCTGGCTTCCACCAAATTATCAAAAAATACATATTCTATGTCTTCTTCCTGAACCTAATGAATCAGGATTATTAAAGAGGGTACCCAGATATTGTATGTAGTTTTATTCCACCTCAGTATTTCAAACTCTTATGCATGAATGTCCTTTGAGTACTGCTGCTTTACTGTAACCCATTTAGGATGGAAAACAAATGAGAAATCAAAAGAACTGTTACACTAACAGCCAAGTACACTGTACTTCCTACTATGAAGATTACCTTGATATATTGAAAGAAATAAGAACTAAGCCTACTTAATGATTTTAAATTATTAGTCACAAAAATGACATTTATCCTATTCTCCATCTATGACTGGGACTGTCACTATTTGTGCTCAACCTGTTTCATCAACTCCTATCTGAACTAGCTAAAGGAACAGGCTAAGTGGGCATTTGTCTGGAGTAGTCAAATATCACTCAATTGTAAAGAAATGGAGAAAATTGATGAGACCTCCTCTCAGAAGAGTTCTGAGTATGTTTGGTAGTAATAATTTGATAAACTCCTTGCTGGTTATATGGGGCGGCAGTGAAGAGAAATGGACTGATGACACAGAACACCTAAGGGTAAAGGACAGATTTTTGTACACTTACTTGATAACCACCCCTCTGACACATCCCAACTCTGGATTTCTGGTATAATATTTTTTATAAATGTCACAACATGATTTGTCAAGAAAATTCATATGCTAAAAAAATTCCAAAACAGTGGTTTAACTGAACACTTTAAAAGTAATTCAAAAGAGTAATATGAATCAATGCTAGAAATTTTTAAGGCACTATCTCCTCTTCTTCATTTTACATGAATTTTATTTTTAGGTAGGTTTCAGGGATGGGGTTTAGAATGTTGGAGAAAAGGGATAAGAGGATTCATACAGTTCATATAAAATCTTTTATGTGAAAATAAATAATATTTTTTCTTTTGTATTTTACCATTGTTTTCAAACTAGAAAATAAACACATAATCACTGTCTTATGTTAGTGACCAAAATATTATAGTTTCTTTTATTGTGGGTCATCTCTTTATTTAGTTTTCATTCAACAAAACTTACTATCTACCAAGCACTAATGTTGGATTTAAATACAAATCCAAACTATTATATCTGGAATAATAGTTTGATATGCAATTTTTAATTAATCAAAGCTCCTCCTATGTTGGAATTTAGAATAAGAAAAAGTCTATGGAATATTACTTTATACTATTCGGAGTATAAATATTTCAAATAGCTAAAGTTCTTTTAAACGGTAATCATTCATGAATCATGTGTGCTTATTTTCTTTAATCAAATTTATTTTGTGTATATAAAATAATGTGTGTCATTTTGTTGGGGGTATTAAAATTGTTCAAGAAGACAACTTTTCCAAAAATCTGTAAGCATAATGAACCCTTAAAATTAACAGTACTAGCTACTTACAAATAATTTCTGTCCATTCATTAGGGTAAGCTATTTCAAACTTACGTTAGGAAGCATTTCTAGAGCCCACATTTGAGCTAATCTTCATATTTGGAAGTTAAAAAGCTTAAGATGTAAAGTATCTTGCAAATATGTACTGAACAACTTGCTATTTTTAATGTCTGAATATCAACTTTTTATCTTTATATTTTCTAATATAAAATGCTTATTTTTTATTTTTAATATAAGTATTAATTTGATATGTTTAGGTTATATTTTGTGATTTATTTTATATATGTATATTTTTAATTTCACTATTTTGCTGAAAGTAAGAAAACTCATGGTACCAAGATAAGAAATATACCCAGCCTCATCTTGGTATTGTTTCAGAAAGAAATCAGATGGTTTGTGATTACTTCTTGCTATGACGTTTGCTTGCAATATTTCATTGCTCTCTCCTGTGACATTGGAGGACACCATCTTGATGTCAATAAACTTGTCTATGTTTCTGCAAATCAGACTAGCTTTCTCTTACCCTAGGACCCCAAGGATCCTATAACTAGTAAGTAGATATTTTTAAATATATATTAATGTTGAATTGTTCAAAATGTTATTGATTATTCTACTTCTTTGTGGTTGCTGCTTGGGTAAAATTATATCCAAATTAACTGAAATAAATATTGAACATTCTTCCCAAATATTTTTTAAACATTGTTTTATTAATATCCAAATTTCTCTATTAGATCAGTAAAAAGATAGTTACTACTCTTTGTCCTTAAATACCCCTTTTTATATAATATGTGAATTATTGCCTCAGGAATATAATATTCTAGCCTGTACTATTCTGTACCTTTCAGGATACTGAACACAATGACACTTTGACTTTTATGCTCATTTAAAGTATTGACTATTTTATGAGACAGAGAAAATGACACAGCATTTCTTTACAGACTTTTTTTTTGTTTGCTGATTTCACTCTTATCCTATTTGATCAGAGAATCGTTATCTTTCCTGACATCACATTTTATATTCATAGAGAATTATTTTTTAAGGTGTCATCATTGAAATTTTTTAAATGGACTTTACAGTTAAATGTAAACACAATCTGGTTCTCCATAGTCACTGTAAATGTTTTGCTTCACTATTTAACTGAATACACTTTTTGTAAAATTTTATTTACCTTCTTTTAAATTTGGATTGTGTAAGTTTTACGTTTCAGATATCTTCTATGAAAATAAAAGTAATTTTACATAATATGGCAACAAATGACTTCAACAAAGTGCTGTGGTTCATAATATATTTTTACTAAAGGTTAGAAAACAGCAGAGGGTAGTTGGGAAAATGAGAAAGGAGCAGCTTTTAACTGAACACCAGATAACTTTAAAAAAATTTATTGGTCTTTATTCTTTATAGAGAACCTTGTACAAACTATGAAGCCTCAAGTTCCATAACTGTGATTATCTTCCTTAGCCCTGCTTTCTCCTTCAAGGCCTTTCTTTTATATTTCCCCTTATATAAGTTCTTCTCTTGGCTCTACAGTTAATAGGATAAAAATTGGAACCTCTCTCCTCTTATTATCGACAAAATACTGGATTATTTTTCCCAATACAAACCTCCTTCTTCTACACTATGTAAATGGGGCCATTTGTTTTATCACCCCAAACACGTTTTTATGACTTGGAAACTAAGAAGACGTCTACCATGAATAGCAATACATTTACAACTACAAAGACTCGATAATTGATTGGATATAGAATTAGAGAGAGGAAGCATTAAGAATAATTTTTAGATTTCTGGAACTGAGCACCTTGGAGTTCTTTATTGAAATAGATAGTATAGCCAAAAGCAATTTTGGGGAGAAGATGATGGAATCAGTGTTGGACGCATCAATTTTTGAAGTATTGAATGGATTACTGTAGGGCTGGGATTTTACCTGGCTGGGGCTACAGATGATAATGGGGCAAAGGATTCGAGAGTGTTGGCAAAAGAATAGTTGGGTGGAGCAAAGGATTTGAGAATATTGGCCAAAGAATAGTTGGTTGAAACAATGTGACACAAGGTTTGAGTTATTTAGGGAAGCAGGTGAAAACTAAATGGAATTAATAGGAAAAGGTAGAGGGGTAAAGGAACTAAAGATTTCAGTATGCTTAAAGAACAAATAGATAATGTGAGAGTTGGAAGAATGAATGCTAGTTTAAGGATTTCGTAAGTAATTCTGGGAGATGACTGAATGGGCATGGATGGGTAAAATATAACCAATGTTGTTAGTGTTATAAAAGTAAACAGTAAATAGCTGAAAATCTGGACATATTATTTTGCATTATCAAAGGACACCAGAATGATGGCAAGATTTAAGTTAGAAAAGAAGTATTTGAATAATGAGAAGCCATGCAATTGACAGATGAAAATGATAATACGAGAACGATCTCATTTATTAGATTGAGCTTAATTTCAAAGGAGGTTTTATCTAGTGTTGTTGGAGCACCAGTGATCTGGAAGTTGCACTGAGTATTCAGGGGCATGCTAAGACCACTTCAAGCCCCAAATTAATGGAGTATAGAAGAATAAGTGAAGTCCAATGTAGAGGGTGGATAGGAAAGTAATCCCTCAGAAAAAAAAGCTAGAATTCGTTTATGAGAAGAAGAAACAGTATATGCATAAACTAGTGGTCGACACAATGTATTTTTGAAGATAGTTGTATCAGAGGACAAAGAAGAAAGGTTGGGAAGGAGGCAGACAGTGGAAATCTGGCTTAGATACAAGAAATCACAGGCCATATATAGATGAATGCATGGGGAGATGGACATGTCAGCGGTCAGGGGAATTACTTTAGGAAAATGGCCAAGGATGGTGTTGACATGAGGTTTGCTGTAGTGATCTGGCTTTACAAGTAAGTACTTCTTCATCATTCTCTAAAGAAATAGGATAAATTTTACCTTTGTTGAGAAAATGTCCCTCACCCTGGTAGCAGCAATAATGGGGCTAATTATTTTACAGGATCCTCACCATAATTAGCAAATAGCACATACCTAGGAAATTTTTATTATATTCATTAAATCATTATGAATATTTATTAAATACTTCTATTCCAGACACTGTTGTAGAAATTACAGTTACAACAATTAGCAAGGCAAACAAGGTCCTGGCTTCCAAGGAGCTAAGCCTATGGAGCACATACTGATGTGAAAGTGCCCCTCTCTCTGACAGGAAGTTGGAAATGAACTGTTGACCAAAGTCCTTGAGTAACAAGAGACTTGAGTTTCTTGAGAAAAACTCCCTAGGCCCACTGAGGAGGAAGGATTGGCTAAACTGGGCCGGGCACGGTGGCTCACACCTGTAATCCCAGCACTTTGGGAGGCCAAGATGGGCGGATCATGAGCTCAAGAGATCAAGACCATCCTAGCCAACATGGTGAAACCCCGTCTCCACTAAAAATACAAAAATTAGTGGGGCATGATGGCACACGCCTGTAGTCCCAGCTACTTGGGAGGCTGAGGCAGGAGAATCGCTTGAGTCCAGGAGACAGAGGTTGCAGTGAGCCGAGATCACGCCATTGCACTCCAGCCTGGATGACAGGGTGAAACTCTGTCTCAAAAAAAAAAAAAAAAGAACTTAACCTC
Organism: Homo sapiens; assembly: GCF_000001405.40. NCBI lineage: Eukaryota > Metazoa > Chordata > Mammalia > Primates > Hominidae > Homo > Homo sapiens. The sequence goes on from NC_000002.12 coordinate 184,107,765, forward strand.
AAGGATCTAGAACTAGAAATACCATTTGACCCAGCCATCCCATTACTGGGTATATACTCAAAGGATTATAAATCATGCTGCTATAAAGACACATGCACACGTATGTTCATTGCAGCCCTATTCACAATAGCAAAGACTTGGAACCAACCCAAATGTCCATCAATGATAGACTGGATTAAGAAAATGTGGCACATACATACCATGGAATACTATGCAGCCATAAAAAAGGATGAGTTCATGTCCTTTGTAGGGACATGGATGAAGCTGGAAACCATCATTCTCAGCAAACTATCACAAGGACAAAAAACCAAACACTGCATGTTCTCACTCATAGGTGGGAATTGAACAATGAGAACACTTGGACACAGGAAGGGGAACATCACACACCGGGGCCTGTCGTGGGGTGGGGGTGGGGGAAGGGATAGCATTAGGAGATATACCTAATGTAAATGACAAGTTAATGGGTACAGTACACCAACATGGCACATGTATACATATGTAACAAATCTGCACGCTGTGCACATGTACCCTAGAACTTAAAGTATAATTAAAAAAAAAAAAAAAAAGAAATTAACTACTTTCAGAGAATGACAATTCTCCTTCTTAATTTTTAAAAAAGTGTATACAATGCATTAATGCCATGGATATAAGGCTAATTGTTTATGGTTCCTATAGCAGTCTGAATTTTAATAAGGGGTAGGAACAGAATTATTTTTTATTTGTTTTGGAAGCTGCAAGAACTTGACTCTATATTTCAGAGACATTGTTAATAGTAGGTGGTGGAAAAGTTAAAGGTCTACATCTCTTTACACTGTTACTTGGGCAAGCATATTGAGTCTTGTGCAAGATATTCCAGTGAATCTTAAATATGAGATAGAACATATGCTAATGTTTTCATTTGTAGGTATTTAGAAACTTGTGTGGCTTAGTTAATTTTTTCTTACGTATTTGTTTTCTTACATTGACACTCATAAAATTTTTGAATAGAATGATGAGACATTTTTTCCATGTCATTTTCATGCCATTGATTTAATATTTCTTTCATGATATAAACTAGCTGATTGGAAGTTTTCTGGGTAAAAATTATTTATTTATTTAATGGGTAACAGAATATTGTATTAAACAAAGTACTGGTTGGTTATTTTAATACTTTGTTTTGGAGATAATCAAGCCAGCTTTATTTTCCATTCCACTCCCACTTTTTCTTGTACTCTTCTCTCCCTTTTTCTTAATCAATACCTGTGTATATGAGGAGTGGGCAGAGAAGGGGCAGAAAATATATTGCCACCCTCCCATCTTATGGCATATAGTCAGATTTTTTTGTGAAATTTCTCCAGCATTGAGAAGTATTTGATCTCTACTTGAAAATCAAGGTGCAACTTGAAATAGTCATAATGTGAATAATGACTTAGATTAGTACACAGAGTTTTTATTCTTTCCAAAGTGGTGAATCTCATATTCCTGTTGTCTTCTGCTATACGTGATACTTTAGAGGGATTTGAAAAATTTCCAAGGGAAAAAGTATTTTTTTCTAAGAAACCCAGAATACACTCAATTTCCTTTTTATTATATTACATTGTTGCATGTTTTATTAATTGAATAATAAAATTATTAAATATCTGTATACATGGATATCTATATATAAGAAAATGGAGAGATTATGTGAACATTCCTAAATTATCTGATATACCCATGTTCCTGATTTCTTATTAAAAATGCAGTTTCATAAAATGGTCATTTATTTTCTCCTAAGTACTCATGTTAAAGAAATAGTTCCATGCTCTTTAAAAGACTATGTGCTTATCATCAGTATAGTGGCACTGGCTTTATTAATTTCTAATTTTTTTAGAAATTAATAAAGCTTAATTAATTTCAAAAATTTTAAATTTTAATCCTGATAAAACAAAGATTTAAAAACTTTAGCAACCACTTAGGAAAGCCAGGATAATAGACTTAAATATTATATTTTTAAGTGTTATTCCTTAGGGTATTTGGACGGGCATACTTCTTCTAACCTTAAAAATGCTAAATCCCCCTTGTTTCCAACCTGAGCAAATGTTATTCATGTGAAATGTCACTTTAATAAACATGTCTATGTTTATTCTGTTAATGAGACTCTGTAGACTAAAAATTTTTTGAAAAAATAAATCTATTCTTGAATTTAACTCTCAAAGACAGGGTTCAGGTCTTGAAATGGCATAACTATCACATGATAGGTATAATGAAATATATTGATAATATGTTAAAATTTTCAAATAATTATATAAAATTCTTCCCAGGTTCACACAATCCTTTGTGGGCAATAAATAATATGTCACAAATATGAATGAGATGGCCAGGTAAAAATGATGTGCACCAGGGCAGGTTTGGTGGCTCATGCCTGTAATCCCAGCACTTTTGGAGGCAGAGGCAGTGGATCACCTGAGGTCAGAAGTTCAAGAGCAGCCTGGCCAACATGGTGAAACCCCATCTCTACTAAAAATACAAAAATTAGCCGGGCATGATGGCAGGCGCCTGTAATCCCAGCTAATCGGGAGGCTGAGGCAGGAGAATCATTTGAACCTGGGAGGCAGAGGTTGCATTGAGCTGAGATCGTGCCACTGCATTCCAGCCTAGGTAACACAGCAAGACTCTGTTAAAAAAAAAAAAAAAAAAAAAAAAAAAAAGATGTGCACCCATAGTCCCAGCTGCTCAGGAGGCTGAGATGGGAGAATAACTCAAGCCCAGGAGTTCCAGACCAGCCTGGGCAACATACTGAGACTGTCTAAAAAAAAAGTTTTTTTTTTTAATGATAGAGAGTGACAGTACTTATGCCCAAGCGAAGGACACGTGTCTCCTAAATGCATTGGAATTAGAATTTTAAAAGAGAAATATTCTGCTAGTCATCTATACACTGTTCCCATCACTTTGCTAATTCTACATCATTCTTTACTACCATTTTGAAAGTTTCTTTGTGAAGTGGCAAATTTTGGGACTAAACACATGTTTCTATTTGAAAAAAGTCTTATTTTTTGACTCAGAATACAAAGGCATACACTTGTATGTGATTCTTGTGAATATACAATCTTCTCTCTCTACTCGATGTGACTTTTCTAGAAGGGCTTTGAGGTGTGAATATGAATCAGGCCATTTTTGCTTCCCAGTATTCTTCCTTACACCTTAGTCAGAATACATCATCATCACCATGTTTGAGCCGACTCTTCAAATAGAACATATTGTTGTAATAATTACCAAACCCTAGCCTCTTATATTTGAGCTGCTCTCCTAAGTAGGAATTTGATTCATAACATATTGTAGGAATCTGTGCATTTTAATTGTCCTTCTCTGTAACCTGACTGTGAAGCACTCCAATGTCAAGGATGTTGAATAATTCATCTTTGTCTTCTGGCACTTAACCGCAGTTCCTTGCATATGATAATTCTACTTACAATTTATTGAGTATCTTCTCTATGCTAGGCACTTTGGTAATTACTCAGTGTAGCCTTAACTAATTAACAAATTAATGAATGAAAGTTGAGTTAATCCTTCATGTTTGATGGCTAGAAGAAAAAGAAAAAGACCCATTTGTTCCATTCTGAGGGTGAAAGGACTGGTATAATTGGAAATGGGTGCAGATGGTAGCAGACTCACAGTGTCTGGCCGGACTTAGTATCTGCTAGTCTGATGCCCATAAAGGGGAAAAACACTGCAAGAGAAGAAACTATTGGAAAAATACCACTTGTGGGAAAATGAATTACTGCGCTTTTAAATAAGTTTTATGGAATTTAACAGATAAACATTACTATAGAACAACGTATTTCAAAATTGAAATAAAATATAATAGCATTAGACTATTGGGCAATAATTATTCATGGATAACTATTATTTGTGCACATCTTAAGAATGAGGCACTTTTGGAAAAGGCAGTCTCATGCATACAATCTTTGACTGGCATTAGGCCACAAACATTTGCTTTATATAAAACATTTATTTTATATAAAACTCCCATTATAAAACTTTTGTGTTCTCTAAGTTCAAGGTCCCTAGGAATTTCTGTAAAGCAACTCACTGTGTATATCATTTAATCCTCTTCATAGTACCCTTTATAAATTGTGGAAAGAGGACTAGTACAAAAGAATAATGACATACTAGCTACTGATATTGATCTGTGTAATAAAGTATTTTCTGTCTCTGACTGAGGAGTCCTGTGTCTCTACCATCATCTATGAAACTGTGGCACTCTCACATGACAACTTGCAAGTAGAGTAAAATCTCAGTCCCTTCAAAGCTCTTGACATAGACCTGCCTGGAATTTGGTATTTATTAACATTAGCCATGTTTGACAATATCTTACCATCTTTTCTTAGTATCTTTTTCCAGCTCTGAGAATTTTAAAGTAAATGGGTAAATGTAACAAATACTAATTAATATTTCTCAATGATGGCATAATTGCCAGTAAAATCATCCACTTTGGTATCACTGTATAACTTTTATAGAGGAAAATAAGACATGAAAGTAGGCTGGTGTAGAAAATTCACCATGGATTTAGATATTGAGCTATATTCATATTTTTAAGGACATAAGTAAGGCAAGTAATAACTGTAATAATCTACATAAGTAATGGAAAGACTGTTTTGATACTTGCATAAAGATATTTGAAATATAATTATTAAAATATAAAGAAGGTTTTTAATCAATATGTATACGTGGTACATTTTTAAAATCTGTGGGTTTTGGGCTTAGGATAATTTTATTTAATTTCCCTTACTGAAATAAAAAAGATCTACTAAGAACGAGTCTTCCTGTGAAATGAGAAAAAAGTTTTTAAAGAGTTTCTGTACTGAATATTTAAATACCCACACATTACTACAATCTGTAGACCACAGAGCATAGCAGATTCTCATGTTGGAATTGTGAAGCTAAATATTGTTGAGTTACTGCAATGGAGCATATGTTTGTGACTTAGTCTCTCACCTCTAATAATAGTCTTGTTATAATTGCACTGCAAAAAATGTTGGTTTTAAAACATCAGATTATTAGGGAAAAATGTAATAAAATATTCTAAAATATTTTAATACTTAAACACTTAAAAACCATAAAGTAGGCTTTAAAACAACTGTCTTTTAATTCCTTTTTAAATATTCTTTTCAAAATTTTTTCTCTGCTTTCTCAATGCAATACTTAATATATTTAAGCAGCAACTTTAAAGAAATACTTTTCTGGTTATTTCTGTTTGAAGCGTCTTGAACAATACAATATAGTGTATACACTACAATTCTTTAAAGAAGCTCAGAAGATATAGTGTATATATAGAGCCAGTCCAAGCCCCAAAACTGAAGAACTTGGAGTCCAGTGTTCGAGGGCAGGAAGCATCCAGCGCGGACGAAAGATGTAGGCTGGGAGGCTATGCCAGTCTGGTCTTTTCACATTTTTCTGCCTATTTCATATTCCAGCTGCACTGGCAGCTGATTAGATGGTGCCCACCCAGATTAAGGGTAGGTCCTCCTTTCCCAACCCACTGACTCAATCTCCTTTGGCAACACTCTCACAGACACACCCAAGATCAATACTTTGCATCCTTCAATCCAATCAAGTTGACCCTCAGTATTAACCATCACACTATGTTAGGTCAATCATATCATGGTAAATAAGATCTGTATTGGGGCTCCCTTACTTGCATTCAATTATCATTTTTCATTAGAATATAATAGCACATGGGCAGGGCCTAATGTGCATGGAATGCAGTGTTCCAAACAATGTCTATTCATTTTCATACATAATTTTACCTTGTAGCATGGTGTGTCAGGGATCCCCAAAGCCACCCTCAGGCTTGATCATTTACTAGGACGTGCAGGACTCAGAAGCTGCTATATTCATGTTTATGGTTATCACAGTGAAATAATACAGATCAAAATCAGCAAAAAGAAAAAGTGCATGGGGTGAAGTCCAGGAGAAACCAAGAGTAAGCTTCCAGGTGTTTCCTCCCAGTAAAGTCAAACATGGATGTAGTTACTCTCCCAGAAATAAAAGTTGACAACATGTGTAAGGTTTTGCCAACCTGGGAAGTTCACAGGAGTCTTTCTTCAGGATTACTACTGGAAGTTAGTCACCTAAGCATGACTGACCTCAGCTATCAGATTCCAGCACCATTACCTCCTTCCCTCTCACTATGTCCTCAGCAAAAGCAGGCATTCACTTTAAATCATAGTGTAAAGATAAAACACTGACACTGCCCATAGATCTAGGTATATTGCCAGAGGAACTCAGTGAAAATAAACTTACTGGAATAAATGAGGAAAATAGTTGTGATGAAAAGGATCAGGAAGTCTCAGAAGGAATGATGCTGGCAAAAAAAAAAAGAAAAAAAAATTACACTAAAAGAACTCTAGGAGATATTTCCTGACATTGAAAGTGAAAAGAATAACATGTTGTTAGATGATTCAAACCTAAAGAGCTGTATGACGAATCATCATGGCTTAGAAAAGACTATTGTTCCATACTGCAAGTTACGGTGAGTAGGAAGTACTGTTTAAACTACTCTTGTTCATTTTTAATTTTTTTTACAAAAATACAACTTAATGTTTAATGTTTAATGGTTTAAGTTGGTGCACTAAGTAAATATTAGTTTTATTAGTTTTTCATTTCCCAATACATTTATAACTGAAAGAGAGTTTTTAATGTTTTGACAAAAAAAATTTTTAAAGGTCATGGGACAATTGTACTTTTTCCTATTAATTATTTAAAAGTATTTTTTGTTTTTAATTGTGGTAAGAAACACATAACATAAATTGTACCACGTTAATGATTTTTAAGTGCATAGTTCAACAGTGTTAATTGTATTTACATTGCTGAGCAACAGATTTTCAGAACATTTTCATCTTGCAAAACTAAAACTCAGTACCCATTAATCAACAACTTCCCATTTTCTCTTTCCCCCAGCTCCTGTTAACCACCATTCTACTTTCTGTTTTTATGAATCTGACTACTTTAGATATCTCATATAAGTGAAATCAATACTATTTGTCTTTTTGTGATTGGCATATTTGACTTAGCATTATGTTATTAGGATTTGTCCATGTTGTAAAATGTGACAGAATTTCCTTCTTTTTTAAGACTAAATAATGCATCATACACATATGCCATCTTTTGTTTATCCATTCATCTGTAGATGGACATTTAGTCCCTGTCTCCAGAGAAATATACTTGGGAAATAAATTGTATTAAGTGTTCACATAGCCTTAAAGAAAAATGTTCACATTCAGACACATTCATACTTATGCTCAGATGATAATACACTCATGTATATCTATAGATGTTCCTTTCACTGATTTGTTAATACTTTATATTAATTTCAAAGACTCTTACAGTCATTATCAGAATGCAGATTTATTTATAGTCCTTCATGTTTCTAGGATTAATATTTTCATCTGCTATTTTGAACATGCATTCATCCAACAGATGTTTACTTGACTTCTGCTACATTCCAGAAGCTATGCTGGGTGCTTGGAATACATAAATTGATAAGGTCTCTGTCATATTAGAAAGTATATTTTTACATGGGGAGAAAGTAAACAAGTATGTATCATAAACAAGAAAATTGAGTAGTATGTTAGACAGTAGGTATTCTGGAAAAAAATTAAAAAATACAGAGCAAGATGAAGCAGGCTGGATGTAAAGAGGAGAGAGCAGGCAAGTTGTAGTGCTTAACAGGATGGTCAGGGAAGTCTTTAGTGAACAAAACTTACATGTGGTAAAGGCTTTGTCCTTGTGGATATAGGGTGAAGAAGATAATCTAAGTGGCACAAACAGCCAGTGAAAAGCTCCTAAGGCAAGAGCAAACCTCTTATGTTCAAAGAAAGTAGAATCCAGTGTAGCTTGAGCAGAGGCAACAAGGGTAAGAAAGGTAATGGATGAGATCAGAGAGGGGGCTCTGATCATTGAGAGGACTCTGGCTTTCACTGTGAGGAAATGGGAATGAAGCCATAGCAGGGTTTTGAGTAGAGGACTAAGTGAATGGACTGTCTTTGTTAAATGGCTCACTCCAGCTACAATGTTCAGAGAAGTCCATGGGGCTAGGGGACAAAAGTGGAAATGAAGAGATCACACCAGAGATACTGCAGTTATCCAGACAAAACATTATGTTGGTAGCAGTGAAAATGGTGAGGACTCACTGGGTTCTAGATATATTTGAAAAGTAGAGAATATTGGGTTTCCTAAAGTGATGGATTTGGAGTGTAAATGATGACAAGCTTTGGCCTGAATATTTTAATGTATAGAACTGTTAATCATCTGAGATGAGGAAAGCTATTGGAGAAACAAATCTCTGGGAAAAAATCAATTAAGTTCGACAATATGATTTTGAGAATTTGATATTATTAAAAGGGAGATGCTATAAAGTCAGTATGTTAAAGAAGTTTTGAGTTATGGAGATAGGTATGAGCTGTAGATTTCTGTTTGGAAGTTGGAGAAATCAACAGCTTTGAAAGCAGGGCCAACTACATAATAGGTGGGATCCAGGGCAATAAAATGTGAAATACCCTGTTCAAAAGACAGAAAATCCATTTTTTAATTCAGCACTCTCTCTTTCAATGAGTGAGTTCACATCCTCACAGACACTCAGGTCCCCACCTGGCAGCAAAGGGCACAGGCCCCCAATTTTAACCCTCCTTACACCCGCACCCAGGCCCCTTGCAGGTGCAGAAGGTGGCAGTGATGGCTGGGTGTGGGCAATAAGGCAGGAGGCAGAGAACCTATCTTGGAGAGGTGGAGAGGTGATGGGAGGAGAGAATGCATGCACCTACCTTGAAATGTAAGCCCTATAGCTTTAAATGACTTTCAATTTCTTTGTGGAATTTTATAAGACAGATTATATTACTCAATGATTTAAGCACATGGGTGTATTTTCTTTTTGTTTCTTTTTTGTTGTTGTTTGTTTGTTTTGAGATGGAATTTTGCCCTGTTGCCATTGCCCAAGCTGGAGAGCAATGGCATGATCTCAGCTCACTGCGACCTCCGCCTCCTGGGTTCATGCGATTCTCCTGCCTCAGCCTCCCGAGTAGCTGGGATTACAGGCGCTCACCAGCACGCCTGGCTACTTTTTGTATTTTTCGTAGAGACGGGGTTTCACCGTGTTGACCAGGCTGGTCTCAAACTCCTGACCTCAGGTGATCTGCCCACCTCGGCCTCCCAAAGTGCTGGGATTACAGAGGTGAGCCACTGTATCCGGCCACACATGGGTGTATTTGCTTGACATTTGGGCAGCCTCTGTTTTTAAAGAAATCCTTTGGACAAAAATCAAGGTGGTCAAATCATTAATCTACTAATTTTTTTCCACAAATATTTCTTGATCATTTACTATAGTCTTTAAATCCCTAGGATACATTTTTTTAAAGATTAAGTAAAATTGTATTATTAATATTTATTTTAAAATTGTGTCTCTTATTTGAATACTCAAGACATTTGTGTAAATAGCAACCCTTTTTATAGATAAATACACATTACAAAATATCAGTTGACTATTTTAAATAACTTAATTTTTGATGTTTATTTTAAAATCATCTTATTACAATATTAGCATTTCTAATTTTGTTTTACCACCCACATAACAGTTTTTTAATGTGTAAAACCTGGGTTAGAATAAACTTAACACATAGCACATTTATGCAATGAAAATTATAACAAGATTATACTAAAAGGTTTCATTTCTAACCTTGATTCATCACTATTGACTTTAAAAGGGAAGATGTACCTTTCTTTAAAAATTATGGAGATGCAAATTTAAAAACACAAAATAGCAAAAATGCATGCTAAAATAAATATAAAATAAAAAGAAATAGCGGAGTTGTGGAAAGAATAGTTATAAGGATAAATGCTTTTTCAGGAAGTAGATTATATGCCAAAGCAATTCCAAAATTAAGTGTAATTATTTTTAATAGTAGTAGTTAATTCTTCTGAGACATACATATAGTTCTGTATTTTAAATATTTTCCATGCTGTTTTATGTTGGAAGTGACTTGTCGTGGACATTAAATTTATACAAAGTCAATTGTACTATACATTTATTATGTTTAATGTAAATAATGATTCATATTTTAAAGATGAGATTGTTTATATACAGAATAATGCTTTGATAGAAATAGTGATGTTACTGTTAATAGTGAAAATATATCAGCAATATTCCTACCTCGTATTCTAGTATCAAATTAGTGTATGGTAAAATCTAGTTCTGGTTTTTACAGAAGCTGACTTATTAAACTTATTTAACCCATTTTAAAACATGCTTATTATAAGGTTCTTCACTTTTCCCTATTTTATTCCTTGTCCCGACAGAAAAATATAAGAGTTTCTTGGCTGCTCTGTGACCCAGCCAGCTGCATGTTTTCCTCTGCAGGCTGAATCTAATAACGATGTTCAGGTTCTTGCCCAAAACACTGACAGAAACGTGCCCTGGCCCTGAGCCAAGTTCCTTAAAGTTTCCTATAAACTCCATGCACCTTAGCCCCTCCTTGTAAATATATTGAGATAGAATATCCCTTGTATCACTTTCCTTTGGAGGATACACTGCAGCCCCACCGCTCCCAATATAAGTAAGTTCCTCTGATAAATGCTTTGAATTGCTCACCCTGCCTTTTAGTGCTTCTTTCTTTGGAACCAGAACCAACCTCTGTCAAGATGGTTTGGGACACCTCCTCTTGGTAATACCTCTGCCACCACTTTTGGGGTGACTACAGGCTCAGATTCATCAGGACAGAACCTGTGCTTGATTAAACACAGCCATTTTAATTAGAAATAAGAAAATAACCAGGCTGTTTGCCATTTTGTTCACCTTCTTTCATTGTTTCCTTTTTCCATTTTCCACATTATTATTTTGGAATATCAAATTCATCTGTGAGAGTTACTTGCAGATTGGTGTTTTTAGGCACTTGCACTTCTTTTGGTGGCATATAAAATATAGCATTAAATGTTCAATTGTGTATCCTTTCCAATTTTTGAGGTTTTTACTTTTCTTCAATTGTAATTTGAGATAGTCTATAAGAGGCAAAATTTCTCATTTTAATTTTGTCTAAAACTCCAAAAATTATTGACTACAATGTCAGAATGGTTATCATGGATTGTTTTTGTGTAATGGAGGGAAGATAACTATTAGAACATCGACCATTTGACATTCTTACTCCTCACATTAAGGAAATGATAAATATTCTGTATGTATATAATTAATAATGTAATCAAATTATTCATTTTGAAAAATTTAGTTGAAATTTATAAGATAATTCATATAATGGCAAGTTGCTTAGTGTCTCTAGGTGAGCCCATAATTGCATTATAAATGCCCCTATAATCAGCACTGACAGCAATCTCGGATGTGTTCTACTTGTTCCCATGGAGAGAGGTGCTCAAGCATTCTGTTTTGAATGAAAACTCACATTAACATGCATGGATCTATTATGTTATATATCTTCATATAAATTTTACATCTTTTAAACTTCAGGAAATATGTATATGAATATGAGCAATCAATCAATGAATAGGTTTTAATTATCTTTAACTTCTCCATATTGTTGTAATTTAGAATTTCTCTAACACAGCAAGCTTGACACTTCTATATGTAACTAAATATTCAAGATTCATGAAACTTATAATTTAGGCTCATTTTCTTCATTTTTTTTAATTGAAAGCATTCAACTCTGTATATAAAACTCTTTTCCTTCCTAAGAAATAAAATCAAATTCATGCCTGTCTAAAAGCAGAAAATTAAGTTATATTGTGAGTGTGACCCATTTAAAGCAGCTCTATTTTATGCCTCACAGTTTTAAATGGACCAACTTATTTAAGTAACTGAACATAGGCTTAGAAGGGAAAATCTAACAACTGGAACAGTGTGATGATGATATCTTGTAAATTTCCCTCCCCTGTGATCCATTGGCTTGTCTAAGCTTTATTTTTGTTTCTTTTTTTCTCTTCTGTAGGTTATTTCCTGTAGAGACAGTAGGAAAAACTGAGGGTTATTTTTCTGTTCTTGCTATTGAAAAATAAATCTCTGTTTTACATTCAGTGTTTCGTTCTGCTCTAAGTATCTTAGGTAATATGCATATCTACTTTATAGGTATTGCCTAAAGCATAAAATAATGTAACAGAAAATTAATGAAATGCGTTCTCTTATTTCTCTTTTGAAGAGAGTGTCAATGTTTATGAAAATAATAAATTGACCAGTAGCTAGGCAAGTTCAAGTTGTTCTTTTTTTTTAAAATAGAATTGTTGCTGGATAAACATTTTGATCAGAGGCATGCTCACTGGAGGTCTTTCTAAGGACAGCTTGCTAGTGATGTCAAATTAAGAAGTGCAGGCTAATGTTCTGGGACCTTCTGTATACTAAAGCCAACAGAACAGGCTTAGATAAAGTGCCCTGTTCCTGTCAATGTTAGATGGGTTGTATAAGCTCTGTCTGGCAGCTTGTGAAATTATCTTTCCAAGAGAGACAAGAAGGGTGGAGATGTTATTTAAATAAGCATCAAAAGTACCCTCTGCTTAGTTATTCAGGGCCAAAAAATTAGCATAAAAATCCTAGTTCTGTAAAAATGTACATTTTCTCAAACAACATTAGGCAACCCACAAGCTTTAGACAAACAACTGGCACATTGCTTCTGACATGAAAAATGAACCCCAACCACATGGAAAGCACATTCCAGCTATAATACTTGTCTTCTCATCATGGATCATAGCTTTGGCCTGGAGTCTTCCATTCCTCTTTGCTGAAGTAACAGCAGTGAGAGAAGCCAGTATCTTGGGGCTTTCCATTGTGTCCAGGTCTTAATCATGGCCCTACATAGGCAAAAATGTGTCAAAGTGGTTGGCAATATAATGACCCAGAAGTGTTAGCCCTTTTGGCAAAATGCAGGCCAGCATAAGGTTGCTCCATATGTGCTTCCAATGAAGAACTGATTTGCCAGATCTCTCAAACAGCCTAGCCATGAGCACTGCGAGCATTGGAAATTTACCATAATGGTAAATGAAACAGCAAAATAGCCTTTCATTAACTTCACATCTGAACTAAGGACAGAATTCTAGGTCATTAGAATGTCTTATTTTTGAAATCCAGTCAAAATCATTTATGATGTACAATGATTGAGTTGTAGCACAAGAGGAAGCAAGACATAAATTTACTTCAAGTAAAACAGAAATCTAGAGAAATTAAATATAATGTCCATAAAATAAAAAAATTGAAAATGTAATCTAGGTTTTCAAACCCTGGGTTATGAACTCTTGTAACTGCACAAAAGTGACTGACTTTACCCTGCAGAGAGTTAAACTAGTAGTTTGTTCACTTATTTGGCAAATATGTTTTGAGACTAATGGTACGTCAAGTACTGACCTAGGAACTAAAGATAAAGAGGTAAGTCAGACAAGAGGGTTTATGGAGCTTAAATTCTAGGGTGGGGAGACACAGAATAAGTAAGTAAAAAAAAATAACAAAATAATTTCAGATGAAGAAAAGTATTGCTAAATTATTCAGTCAATCAAATAGCCAGTGTGAAGAGAGGATGGGAAGGTTACTTTAGATTTAGTGGTAAAAGAAAGAATTCCTGAGAAAATGATATTTGAGCTGATATCTTAATAGTAAAAATAAATCATCCCATTACATGGTCTTGGGGAGAACATTTCAGGCAGAAGGAACACAAAGTGTTACGGCCTTAAAATGAAAATGATCCTCATGTGTAAAGGAATAAAAGGAAAACCATGGTGGCAATAGTAGATTTGACAAGGAGGAGAGTCTTCTGGAATGAGGTAGCCAGTGTCCAGATTATAAAAAGTTTAGTAAACCAGAGTAAAATAGTTGCTATTTTGTTCCAAATATAATGAAATAATTTTCTAGGGTATTAAAGAGGGTAGTGACATCATCCTATTTGTATTTTGGAAAGATAACCCTGGCAGGAAAGGTAAGGGGGAGTAAGAATATATTTATGGAGACTGCTTTGGAGTCCAGGCAAGCTAAATGGTGGCTTGGACTAGAATTTTAATATTGGAAATAGAACATAATATTGGACATATTTTGGAGACAAAGTTGAAGAATTTGTTGGTGGATAAATTTTAGGGATGAGGGGAAAGGGAGTGTCAAAAATAACTTCTGAGATTTGGCTTGAGTAATTTGTTAAATAGAAATGGACTTTATTTAGATAGAGAAGGAACCAAAAAGAAGTAGAAATTTTTGTTGGGTGGGGGAAGATAATCCAGAGTTCTATTTTGGCCATAAAAGAAGTTTGAGACAGTCATCTAAAATTCCCGGGAAAGAGTCAAGAAGGTAGTAGTGTATAAAACAATGCAAGTCAGAGGAACAATCAGAGCTATACATGTATCTTTCTCAGTTAGCACTGGGTCAGCATGTCTTGAAGTGTACCTCTAGGTATATGGAACATCTAGGGGGAGAGTTGTTTTGCTGCTTTCAGAGTCCTCTTTCTCCATCATCCTTAAACATCTCCAAGTTAGAGCACATACTATTAGACTATACTACTGCTACTCAATGTACCCCTCTACAGATTCTCAAGTTGTTCTTATTCCCTGAAAATTTTAGGATACAATTTGCATGCTTTCTTTCCAATACTACTCTTGTCATAGTCTTAATTCTGAATATCCATATGGGCAATCATTCTCATACCCTAGCTTCAGAGTTTCATGATCTGTAATAATCTTCTGCCCCAACATACCTACTTCCTTAGTCACTTACCATCTAGATCTTGCCACTGCCCCCAAAGACTCAAATTTGAGCATCCTATTTCCTAACAGCCATCTTCTGCCTTTCTCATGGTCCCTCTTGTACTTAGATTCCAGCTATTCTCTCACTAATATTTGATTGATTTTCTTCCTCTTTTTTCCTCCAAGACTCTCATAATGATCCATCATTGTAATCACTTCCTTCCATCTCTTCTTTACATGTTTGGCCTCTTAACCCTCTATGTTTCCTGCCAGTCAAACTCTAAACACAAGTTAAATCCAACCTTTTCCCCATTCTATGCCTAACTCTGGGCAATTAAATGTGGCTAGGAATAAGCAATCATGCGTATGTATTTCCATTTAAATTTGATACTCACTAAGTTCAGATGGTCCTTAAGGAAATTGTTGAATTTCCATTGCCAGTTCACTTTTTGACAGTTCCTGACAATTCTTCAACACTGTCTATGTCTTCCAACTTTTAACACCTTCGTTTTTCCTTCAGACTTGGGCTGATAACTTTGTTTATATTTCTTTGGAGGGCAAAACTATATATATAAAGTTAGAAGAAAATAATCTGGAAATCTCCACTCTCAAATCTACCAACCTCTATCCATATACCCTACCATCTCTCCTATTATTATGGAATATTCTCCATGCTCACAACAAAGCCATCTCATCCATTTGTGCAATGAATCCCGTCCCCCAGCAATTCAATGACATTGCCCCAGGAATTTTCCCCTCTGTCTTCTCCATCAATATTTTCCCTTCATCTTAAATAATCCTCATTAGCCTATTGACCTGTGGTTACACCTGATAGGAATCAAATTCTTCTTCTTTGAGCCTACATCCTCCTTCAGGTATCACCTCATATTTCTGGCAATGCATTTAGCAAAATAATTTACAAGAGCTCTCTGGAGCCTACCAGCCATTCCTGCCTCCTCCCTCTATTTATTTCACACTCTTGTAGCACTTTATTCCTTCTACCTTCAGAAAATATACCTAGTTCATTGACTACTCTTCATCTCAACTAATACCACCCTGGATCAAGCCATTATTTTCTTTTGCTCAGCCTGTAATTGACACCATTTGGTTTCCCTATATGAATTTCCTGCTTTCCTAGAGGAGTTACTGATACTCTTAAAATATAAGTCTGATTATGCTATTTTTTTGCTAAACCCCCTTCACAATAACTTCCCATCGCATTGTAAAAACTAAATGTAATTGTTTTACATTTCTCATCTTTCCATCTTCACTGTAAGGCTTTCTCTCTGTTGCTGCAGTCCCACTACTATCTTTCCTCTCATGCCCAGCCTTTTTCCACTATGGGGCCTTTGCATGCACTGTTCCTCTTGGCATCACTGGTTCCTTTCATTTCTCAAGGCTTAGAAAAGACTTTCCTAAATCCTCATAAATAGAACTTGTTATTATAACATCATACTTTCTTCCTTCATAGCATTTTTTCAATTTATAAATACATATTTACTTTTTGTCTGTTTTATCTTTTTTTTTAGACTATCAACTTCATGAAAGTAGAAACTATGTTTCATTAATTACCGTTCCAATATTTGGTAGTATGCTGCTTGCTACATAGTAAATGTTTAACAAATAGTTGTTAAAAAGAAAAACAGTAACAACAAACACAGCTCTCTGTACTCCCTGGCTTCACTTATACTCTTCCATTTCTCTCTTGAATCAACTCCAGTCAGATTTCTTATTCCATCTAGCTAGAGAAACAATTTTTATTAGAGTCACCTGAGACCTCAATGTGATCAAACTCAACCAGTAACTGATTATTTTCTTTCTTAGCTTCTGGGATTATCACCGTATTGAGAATTTCCTAAATCACTGGTGCTTCTTTTCTGTTTGCTCTGCTAGTTCCACTTAATTTACACTTACAAATTTGGAGTATATTGGGGTTCAGTCTTTATCTTAGACAGCTTCTCTTATTTATCCACACTAATTTCTCATACCTTCAGTACACTATGAACCATAAATTTCGACTTCAAGTCTGGGCAACTTTCTAGAGCTCTAAATATGAACATACAACTACATACTCAACATCTTTATTTTGATAACTAATAAAAATCTTAATATGTTAAAAATCAAATCTCTGATTTGATTGTAAATTCCACCAACTCTATTCTGCACTTCAGAAAATATCAACATTATTCATTTAATGCTTCTGGTTAAGGACTTTAGAGTTACTTTAATTGTTCTCTTTTTTTTTTTTTCGTATCCCAAATCCAAATTATCTGCAAATCTCTCTTCCATTTATGCTGAGAATATTACCAGTTCTCACTCTACTACCACCTTTATCCAAACTATTATACTTTTTGTCTATGGTATCTTTCAGTAGTCTTTTCTGGTCACTAATTTCAGGTGTCAACTTGATTTGATTAAGGAATACCTAGAGAACTAGGAAAGTATTATTTTGGGGTGTATCTGTGAGGGTATTTCCAGAGGAGATTTCATGTGAGTCTGTGTGGACTAAGTGGGGAAAGTCTTCTTTCAATGTGGGTGGGCACAATCTAATTGGCTGGGGTCCCAGATAGAACAAAAACTGAAGAAAAGTGAATTAGTCTAGCTGTCTTGTGCAGCTAGGATACACTCTGCTTCTCCTGCCCTTGGACCTCAGAATTTCAGGAATTCTGGCCTTTGGACTCCAAAACATACAGCATGGCTACTCAGGTTCTCAGGTTTTTTGACTTGAAATGAGTCATGCTACTGCCATCCCAGGGTCTTTGGTTTGCAGACCACCTGTTATGGAACTTGGCCTCCATAATCATGTGGGCCAATTCCCTTAATAAATCTCCTCTCATCTATCTATCTATCTATCTATCTATCTATCTATCTATCTATCTATCATCTATCTATTTCCTATTGGTTTTATCTGTCTGGAGAGCCCTGACTAACACCTCTTCTAAATGGTCTCTCTTATTTCTACTCTCGCCCTTCTATTGTCCATTCTTCTCCTTTTTTTTTTTCTTTCAGTTAATAAAATTGTGTTAGGGAATTCTGTTCAGTAGATTTTCTTTCCTTTTCTTAATTATACTTTAAGTTCTGGGGTACATGTGCAGAACGTGCAGTTTTGTTACATAGGTATACATGTGCCACAGTGGTTTGCTGCACCCATTAACTCATCACCTACATTAGGTATTTATCCTAATGTTATCCCTCCCCTAACCCCCACTCCCAGACAGGCCCTGGTGTGTGATGTTCTTCTCCCTGTGTCCATGTGTTCTCATTGTTCACCTCCCACTTATGAGTGAGAACATGGTGTGTTTGATTTTCTGTTCTTTAGTTAGTTTGCTGAGAATCATGGTTTCCAGCTTCATCCATGTCCCTGCAAAGGACATGAACTCATCCTTTTTTATGGCTGCATAGTATTTATTCCATGATGTACATGTGCCACATTTTCTTTATCCAGTCTATCATTGATGGACATTTATGTTGGTTCCAAGTCTTTGCTATTGTGAATAGTGCTGCAAGTAGTAGACTTGCAGACTATCTGTCTTTTAAAAGTTAACTCAGATAATGTCACTTCTTTTTACATAATCCTATGGTAAAACAAAAGCCCTTAGAATGATGCAGCAATGTATCTGTGATCTCTTTGCTCCCTCTTCAGGTTCACTGTGTATCATCGTGCCTCTTGCTCACTTTGTTCCAATCATCTGGTTCTCCTTGATGTTCCTTGGACACGCAAAGGAACATCAAGCACACTCCCACCCCACAGCATTTGCACACTCTCTGGTTCCTATTCTTCAAATTCCTGTGTGGTTCAGTTTTTCACTTCCATATTGTCTTCTCTTTTAGTCTGTTTGTGTTGCTATGCAAGAACACCTGAGGCTGGGCAATTAAAAAAGAAAACAGGTTTATTTGGCTCATGATTCTGCAGGCTATACAAGAAGAACGGTGCCAGCATTTGCTTCTGGTGAGGGCTTCAGGCTGCTTCCACTCATGGTGGAAGGCAAAGCAGAGCCAACATGTACAGAGATCACATGGAAAGAGAAGGAGGCAAGAATGAGAAAGGGAAGGTGCCAGGCTCTTTTTAAAACTAGCTCTTGGAGTTATCTTTCACAAGACTTAATAGAGTCAAAATTCACTCATTCCTGCAAGAATGGCACCAAGCCTTTCTTTCCTGAAGGAACTGCCACCATGACCCAAACACCTCCCATTAGGCCTAACCTACAACACTGGGGAATCACACTTCAACATGAAGTTTGGAGTGTCAAATATCCAAATTATAGCATCTTCCTTAAGCACCTTTTCTACAATGACTAACTTCATTCAACCCCATCCCACATTGTCCTATTCTCCTTGTAATACTTATTGGTACTTACAGCTTTTGTATTATCTGAAATATTATATTTAAAATTTTTTTTACCATTTCATCTCTAAATTATATTATTAATTCCATGAAGGAAGTTGTGTGTGTTTTGTTCACTGCCATATTCTAGTGCCTAGAAGGCTGGCTGGAACTTACTGAGCATTTCATAAATCTTTGTTGAAACAATGAATATAGGTGCATTTTAAATTCAAGAAATTGTTAAGGTGATGTTTCTCAACCTTGATATATCTTAAATATTATGTGATGCTATTTATTAGAAATTCTAATTAAGTAATTTTTAAATGCAGCTAGAATTCTGTATTTATAATGAAATAATTATAAGTTCTCATACATGAAGAATTGAACAGAGAAAAAGAACTTAGCCAGGGAAATTGCAATTGGTTCTATTTTGTGACATTATCAAATAGCGAATAGCATTTGTTATATTCTCTGTTACTTTTAAAATTTACACAACTTGGATTTGTAAAAAATTTGTAACAAGCTAGATTCTCCAACCTGAGATTTAGTTTCTAACATAATGACCATAGTGTTTTTTCATATTTAATATAATTGTCATTTTGCTTTTGTTATTGCACTAAGAAATTAAGACAAGTGAATACTACCTACAAATTTACACAAATTAATATCTTAGTAAAATGCTGAATACATTGCAGTTTTATTTTAACAAATAACTAAATTCAAATTAAACATTAAAATTTTTATCTAAATTTGAATAGCACAGAGCTATTTACCTTTCATATGTTTTTAAATATCTTTATTGTTATATGTTGTTAGTTGGTTTTATTTAGAGAGTATTGTCTAGACATAAAAAAAAAAAATCCAGCACTCCAAATGTCTATGCAGTTTAATGCACCATTTACCTTACTAGAAAGTAAGGCATCACACCTAAAGAAAGGAAGAGTAACTTACCCAGTGTCACAAAATGGCCTTTTACGAATTACTCCTCCATTGTCCACCCATCTGATACTCACTGTCTGGATTTCTTGGTTATAGTAAATCTAGATCTATCTATCTATCTATCTATCTATCTATCTATCTATCTATCTATCTATCTATCTGTGTATCTCTCTACCAGCTTTTTTTACTTGTTCTTAATTGTTCAATTTATATATTATGAGAAAATGGTTATAATTTTCTGAGAGCTGAATTACCATAGTAGGCAAAAGAGTTGCAGCAGCAAGGACAACATTGCACT
The DNA here is from genome assembly GCF_000001405.40 of Homo sapiens. NCBI lineage: Eukaryota > Metazoa > Chordata > Mammalia > Primates > Hominidae > Homo > Homo sapiens. The sequence goes on from NC_000002.12 coordinate 184,127,993, forward strand.
TCTAGATATTCCACAATGTTTCCCCTTTCCCATAAATTACAATTTAAGTAGTTCTCTCTTTGTTACCACAGCCGAACTGCTGATTACATGTCAACTCAGAAAATATATTCTAGGCAATTCGAAAGTAGTTCACTCACAGCTGCTAATCATTTGTAATATGCAGGTGATTCAAAAAATCTTGATTTTGCAAAGGACTTTAAAGTATCTTCCAGAGGAATGATGATGCATTAATTTTTACCTGGCTTTCTTGTTTTTATTATTTCTAAAAACTTAATAGTCTTATCAGTATTTTTATTTACATTTGTGTTTCTTTAAATTTCTTTTAAAATACTAAGCTCACACACCTGCATCCACCAAGAATAATTTGTGGCAGCTCTATTTGGTTAAATGTTCCTTGTATAGAATGTGATTACATTATTAATTTGGACCAATTTATATATTAAGCTAGGGGGCCTACAAAATAATTCCTAGCCCGATAGATATCACTAATGATAATTGATTTGGCAAGATCTTTACATGTTAAATTCAACTTTAAAAGCATAGGTGAATTTTTATTTTAATTTACTATTTATGGATTATATGCTTCATATGACTTCATATAATGCATTAATATTGATTTAATTGTAGAATGGCATTTGTAAAATGAACTTTCGTTTCCTCATATTCATTATATAGTATTTTTTCTATTTATGTCACATATTGTTATGTAGTACTCCAAGGTATTCCTAAGTGCACTTTTAGTCACTTACTTATATTAAGTAAATTAATTTATATTAATGCAATCATTTTTATTATTCTTTTCAATTTTGTTCATTGCAAGAAACATCTCTTTTGTAAGCTCATACTTACAGATATCCACACATAAAAGTTTTGGATTCCCCTTTCTAGATATGGACTTATGTAAAAAAAAGTCAAATTTATTGAAAATGACAATATTGCAATATAAGCAATTCATTTAAATGAACAAAACAATTTTGAAACTTTTTATAAGAAAAATATGGTATATACACAAGGGTATACATTTATTAAATATATACATACACATAGGTATGTGTATATATGTGTGTGTATATATATATATATATATATATACACACACACAGAGAGAGAGAGAGAGAGAGACAGAGAGAGAGAGAGAGAGTGTATAGCAGGCACTATTGCAACCACTCATGTACTCTCAGATCTATTTCCCATTTTCATGTACTTGCCATGATGCATTAGCTCTCCCAGAAGCAACAACTGCTTCTCTTTGTCAGAGGGCTGTCCCCTGGCTGCCACAGTCTGTTTTGCCTACATGCACAAAGAGTTGCCCACAGATACATGGAAGCATCCTGATATTTACAGGTTCATGTTGGCTGCTAACCAAAGACTGGTGCAGAACTGACTAGCGCTCAGAGTTGCCATGCAAGTGTGAGGCAAAGTTATCTGCCCTTCAAAAGATTTTGCTTTAAATTGCACCTAGTCATAATATTCTGCTAGGGTAGCTTTGAAAATCCTGAAATGAAAAGAAGTCCAGTTTTTAATGGGCCATGATTGACAGAAGTTTTTTAATGACGCACATTGTTGCAAGAACTTTGTTGTAAGAATGTTGAGGAAGCATATCAAAAGGCTAACAGAAATACACATGTGAGAAGAGACCTATTATATACAAACTGTGAAGCTCTTGTTGGCCAACCAGTGAAAGTGTGAGTGGTATGCTGTTTGCTCTGTTCTGCCATAGGCCCTGTTGCCCCCTGAATCTGCTGGCCATCAACTCCACCTTCCCCTGAAGTAGCCCAAAGTCACCCTGGAATAAGCACTATTCATGCCCACCTTCAGGAGAAGTTGCTGCTTTGTAGGACTCTCCACTCAGGAGTTTGCCTAGTCCATGGAGGACGTGTTCAATTGATTGAATTGAGGACAAGGCAAATATGAGTTCATTATCAGCTTGCAGTGTTTCTTCAAAACACACATGAATGAGGCCTATGGCTATACCAGATTCTCAGTGGCGGTGCTGATGAAAACTCCACTACTGATTCCTGTTCAGTACTTTCAAGTATGCACTAGAGCTGCTCTGGTGACAGTCTCTAAGGCTAGGGCCCCCATGGCCAAACTGTCCGGGTTCTGTTCTCTGTTCTGTCCATATCCCTCTGTCCCTAACAGCACTATCCCCCAATGCCTAATGATATAATTTTTATATCTGTGGATTTAATAAAACTTTAACCAGTTAAACAAACAAACAAAGATGGCCCCTGAGGAGATTTCCTTCACCAAGATGAGCAATGTATCTGTACAGTTTGCACCATCATACTAAGGAGCTCACTAATTGCTGTCCTGTTGGGCCATGATTGACAGTCCAGAGATTTTTATGGAATTTGCTTCCTTAGTCTCAATAAAGATGATCGAATCCAGAATGCCTGTGGCCAGGAGCACAGTACTTAATAGAGTAAGGTGGAGAGAATTATGGTAATGAACAGCAAAGATGGAACAATGAAAAGGGGGCTCTGAGCTGCAGGGGATTATAATAGACCATGGTTTTCTAAGGATGGCCAACAAGGATGTTGCCTCATATATAATAATGTAACTGTAGATACATAGTGTGTATTATATGTTACATACACACACACACATACATAAAGACCAAAGTGCATGAGCAGAAGGCTTATGTCAACCATCCAAAGGCTATTTCCTTATTAGTTTCCAGATGGAGGCCTATTCTCTGACCCAGAGCCACTTACTAGCAGGAGTGGAGGCTGGCTCACTTGAAAGAGGTCCCTGCAATGCCACAGAAAGTATATACAGTAGTGATTCCTCCAATCATTTCCCAAAGGGAATCGATGGTCATTCATATGAATAATTTTACACTGGGGCAAACGGGGTTACTCAGATGTCCAAAGAGATTAGATACAATATATGAGAAGATTTGATCTGAATCTGAAATGCTGTCATGACATCCCTGCTCAGGTGGGAGTGCAAATAAAGTACAAAGGGTACACAGTCCCATCTGCAGTTCATTTCTCCCTCTCTCTGAGTATATAATTGAGATAGATACACTTAGCAGTTGGAGAACTTTTAGGTTGGCTACTTGCCCTGTATGAACCATCATAAAAGCCATGATAATTGTGAAGACCACAGAGAAGACCCTGAAACTACATGCAGATAAATTCAAATACTATTCTCAAAACTGTTATCAGAGAATTAAAGGATATAGGATTCATGTGTTTCAGAATAATCCCATTAATTTACTTATCTGGCTCCTGAGAAAAGCAGATGTACTGTTGAACTGACAGTGGCAGTAAGATGGCAGTGGTGATGGAGTGTCACAATCCCTTGCCAGGTGTCTGTATTTGAGCAAGTTTTAGAACTGAACTTTGTTGCCTGAGGAAGAGACTTCTTCATTGTAAACTAAAGAGCAATATCAAGTTATTCTTATCTGGAAAAGCCCAGAGTATTTAGTCAAGTAATTTGTCTACAGCAGATGCTCAATTCTGATACATAAATAAATGAATGTTTTATGCTAAAATATCTTGGCCTTTGCTTATTATTTCATAAGTCTTTCATAATATGTGGATTTTGCTAAATAATACTTACTATAACATTTTATATGTAATATATGTGTTATAATACAAATTTTCTATTAAAAATTTAAGTATTACTAAAGAATTTTTGAATTATAAGAGCATACACATCTTTATATTTTCATATAATGTATCTAATATTTTTATTTATTTATTTTAACTTTTATTTTAGGTTCAGAGGTATTTGTGCAGGTTTCTTAGATAGGTAAACTCATTTCACTGGGGTTTGATGTACAGATTATTTCATCACCCAGTTATTAAGCCTAGTACCCATTAGTTATTTTTCCTGATCCTCTTCTATCTCCCAACCTCCATCTGCTGGTAGACTATGGTGTCTGTTGCTCCCATTTATGTGCCCATGTGTTCTCACCATTTAGCTCCCACTTATAAGTGAGACCCTGTAGTATTTGTTTTCCTGTTTCAACATTAGTTTTCTAAGGATAATGATCTCCAGCTCCATCCATGCTCCTACAAAGAACATGATCTCATTCCTTTTTTATGACAGCCTAGTATTCCATAGTGTATATGTACCACATTTTTTAAATCACGTCTACCACTGATGAGCATTTAGGTTGATTCCATGTAATTGCTATTGTGGATAGTGCTGCAATGAACATATATGTGCATGTGTTTTTATGATAGAACGATTTATATTCATTTGGGTATATACTCAATAATGGGATTGCTGGGAGTTTAGCTCTTTGAGGAATCACCACTTTCCACAGTGGTTGAACTAATTTACACTCCCAATAGTGCATAATTGTTTCTTTTTTTCGACAATCTCTCCCGTATCTGTTTTTGGTTTTATTGTTTTTGTTTTTTTACTTTTTAATAATAACCATTATAACTGGCCAGGCACAGTAGCTCACACCTGTAATCCCAGCACTTTGGGAGGCCGAGGCAGGCGGATCACGAGGTCAGGAGATCGAGACCATGGTGAAACCCCGTCTCTACTAAAAATGCAAAATTTAGCCGGGCACAGTGGCAGATGCCTGTAGTCCCAGCTACCGGGGAGGCTGAGGCAGGAGAATGGCGTGAACCCGGGAGACGGAGCTTGCAGTGAGCTGAGATCGCACCACTGCACTCCAGCCTGGGTGACAGAGCGAGACTCAGTCTCAAAAATAAAATAAAATAGAATAAAATTAAATTAAATTAAATTAAATTAAATAACCATTATAATTGGTGTGAGATGGTATCTCATTGTGGTCTTGGTCTTGATTTGCATTTCTCCGATAATCAGTGATGTTGAGCTTTTTCTTCATATGCTTCTTGGCGGCATGTAGGTCATCTTTTGAACAGTGTCTATTTATGTCCTTGGACGAATTGTTTTGTGTGTAAATTTAAGTTCTTTATAGATACCAGATTAATATCTAATGACCTTTGTCATTAGACCTTTGTCTAATGACCTTTGTCAGATGAATAGTTTGCAAAATTATCCCATTGTGTACATTGTCTGTTAACACTGTTGATAGTTTCTTTTGTTTTGCAGAAGCTCTTTAGTTTAATTAGATTCCATTTGTCAACTTTTGCTTTCATTGCAATTGCTTTTGGTGTTTTTGTCGTGAAATCTTTGCCACTTTCTATGTCTAGAATGGTATTGCTTAGATGTCTTCCAGAGTTTTTATAGTTTTGGGGTTTACATTTAAGTCTTTAATCCATCTTGAGTTGATATTTGTGTATGGTGTAAGGAAGGGGTCCAGTATCAAACTTTTGCATATTTCTAGCCAGTTATTCCAGCATTATTTATTGAATAGGGAGTTTATATGGTTTGGGTCTGTGTCCCCACCCAAATCACATCTTGAATTGTAATCCCCGTAATCCCCACATGTCGAGGGAGGGAACTGGTGGAAGGTGATTGGATCATGGGGGCAGTTTCCCCCATGCTGTTCTTGTGATAGTGAGAGTTCTTACAAGATCTGATGGTTTTAAAGGGGCTTTTCCCGCCGGGTGTGGTGGCTTATGCCTGTAATCCCAGAACTTTGGGAGGCTGAGGCTGGCAGATCACCTGAGGTCAGGAGTTTGAGACCAGCCTGGCCAACATGGTGAAACCCCGTCTCTACTAAAAATACACACAAAAAAGTGAGCTGGACATAGTGGAGTGCATCTGTAATCCCAGCTACATGGGAGGCTGAGTCAGGGGAATTGCTTGAACCTTGGAGGTGGAGGTTGCAGTGAGGCAGGATCATGCCACTGCACTCCAGCCTGGGTGACAGAGCAAGACTCAATCTCAAAATAAATAAATAAATAAATAAAAAGTTAAAAAAAAGTATAATGGGCTTTCCCCCCTTGGCTCTCTCTCTTTCCTGCTACCTTGTGAAGAAGGTACTTGCTTCTCCTTTGCCTTCCACCATGATTATAAGTTTCAGGAGGCCTCCCCAGCCATGTGGAACTGTGAGTCAATTAAACTTCTTTCCTTTATAAATTACCCAGTCTCCAGCAGTTCTTTATAGCAGTGTGAAAACAGACTGATACAGGAGTTCTTTCCCCATTGCTTGTTTTTGTCAGCTTTGTCAAACATCACATGTTCATAAGTGTGTGGTCTTATTTCTAGACTCTCTATTCTGTTCCTTTGGTCTATATGACTATTTTTGTACCAGTACCATGCTGTTTTGGTGAGTGTAGCCCTATAGGATAGTTTGAAGACTGGTAATGTGATGCCTCCAGGTTTGTTCTTTCTGCTTAGCATTGCCTTGGCTATTTAGGCTTCTTGAAACGTTTTTATACGAATTTTAAAATAGGGTTTTTTTGGCTTTTTTTGTTTTTTTTTAGTTCTGTGAAGAATGTCATTACTAGTTTGATAAGAATAGCATTGAATCTATAAATTGCTTTGGGCAGTATAGCCATTTTTACCATATTTGTGCTTCCTATCTATGAGTATGGAATGTTTTTCCATTTGTTTGTGTCATTTATGGTTTATTTGAATACTGTTTTGTAGTTCTCATTGTACAGATCTTTCATCTCCCTGGTTTGTTGTATTCCTAGGCATTTTATTCTTTTTGTTGCAACTGTGAATAGAATTGTGTTCCTAATTTGGCTCTTGGCATGACTTTTGTTGGTATATAGGAATGCTCATAATTTTTATTCATTGATTTTGTAATCTGGGACTTTGGTGAAGTTGTTTATCAGCTTAAGGAGCTTCTGGGGCAAGACTATGGGTTTTATTAGATGTAGAGTCATGTTGTCTGCAAACACGGATATTTTGACTTTCTCTCTTCCTATTTAGATGCCCTTTATTTCTTTCTCTTTGATTTCTTCAGCCAGGACCTCCAATTTTATGTTGAATTGGAGTGGTGAGAGAGAGAATCTTTGTCTTGTTCCAATTTTCAGGTGGAATGCTTCCAGCTTTTTCCCATTGTGTATGATGTTAGCTGTGGGATTTTTATAAATGGGTCTTATTATTTTGAGGTATGTTCCTTCAATACCTAGTTTTTTGAGAGTTTTTTAACATAAAGTGGTGATGAGTTTTATCAAAATACTTTTTCTGCATCTACTGAGATACCCATGTGTTTTTTTGTTTTTAGTTCTGTTTACGTGATGAATCATATTTATTGATTTGCATATGTTTAACCAACCTCGCATCCCACGGATAAAGCCTACTTGATTGTGGTGGATAAATTTTTGATGTGCTATTGGATTCAGTTTGCAAGTATTTTCTTGTGGATTTTGGCATCAATGTTCATCAAGGCTATTGGCCTGAAGTTTTCCTTCTTTGTTGTATCTCTGACAGATTTTGGTATCAGGATGATGCTGGCCTCTTAGAATACTCATAGAATAACTCATAGAATACTCAGAATAACTCATTCTGAGCTAGGGAGGAGGTCTTCTCAATTTTTTGTAATAGTTTTGGTAGGAATGGTATTGATTATTATTTGTACATCTGGTAGAATTCAGCTGTGAATCTGTCTGGTCCTGGGATTTTTTTTTTTATTGGTAGACTGTTTATTACTGTTTTAATTTCAGAGTTCATTATTGGTATGTTCAGCAATTCAATTTCCTCCTGGTTCATTCTAGGGAGTGTGTATGTCCAGGAATTTATCCATTTTCCAGTTTGTGTGAGTAGAGGTATTTACAATATTTTGTGATTGTTATTTGTATTTCTGAGGACTCAGTGATAATATCCCTTTGTTATTTCTAATTGTGTTAATTTGGATCTTCTCTCTTTTCTTTTATACTACTCTAGCTAGCAGTCTATCTAGTTTATTAAATTTTCCAAACAAAAAACAACTTCTGGGTTTGTTGATCTTTTGAATGGTTTTTGTGTCTCAATCTCCTTCAGTTCAGCCCTTATTTTGCTTATTTCTTGTCTTCCGCTAGCGTTCAGGATGATTTACTCTTGGTTCTCTTGTTCTTTTAGTTTGAGATGTTAGGTTGTTATGTTGAGATCTTTCTAAATTTTTGAGGTGGGCATTTAGTGCTATAAATTTGCCTCCTAACACTGCTTTAGCTGTGTCTCAGAGATTCTGATATGTTGTATCTTTTTTTCCCATTACTTTCAAAGGGCTTCTTGATTTCTGCCTTAATTTCATTATTTTCCCAAAAGTCTTTAAGGAGCAAGTTGTTTAATTTTCTTGTAATTGTGTGGTTTTGAGTGATTTTCTTAGCCTTGATTTGTAATTGTATTTTGCTGTGGTTCAATATCACTTTTTCTTTTTTTGCATTTTCTGAGGATTGTTTTATGTACGATTGTGTGGTGGATTTTAGAGCATATGCCATGTGGCAATGAGAAAAACATATATTTGTTGTTTTCAGGTGGAGATTTCTGTAGATATGTATTATGTTTATTTGATCCAGCACTGAGTTCTGGTTCTGAATGTCTTTGTTAATTTTCTGCCTTGATGATCTGTCTAATACTGTGAGAGTGGGATATCGAAGTCTCCCATTACCATTGGGTGGGAGTCTAAGTCTCATTGAAAGCCTCTACAAACTTGCTCTATTAATCTTTGTGCTCTTGTATTGCATGTGTATATATTTAGCATAGTTAGATTTTCTTGTTGAATTGAACCCTTTACCATTATGTAATGTCCTTCTTTGTCTTTTTTGATCTTTGTTGGTTTGAAGTCTGTTTTGTCTGAAATTAGGATTGCAACCCCCTGCTTTCCTCTGTTTCCCATTTTCTTGGTAGATTTTGTGTTATTATGCTGACTTGTTTCTGTTGTTGCTTTATAGTGTCTCCGGTATATGTGTTTAACTGTGTTTTTGTAGTGGCTGGTAACAGTCTTTCCTTTCCAGATTTAGTGCTTCCTTTAGGAGCTCTTCTAAGGCACATTTGGTCATAACAAATTCTCTCAGCATTTGCATGTCTGAAAGGATTTCATTTTTCCTTTGCTTATGAAGCTTAGTTTGGCTGGATATAAAATTTTTGTTTGGGATTTCTTTTCTTTAAGGATGTTGAATATTTTCTCTCAATCTCTTCTGGCTTGCAGGGTTTCTGCTGACAAGTCCACTGTTAGTCTGATGGGCTTCCCTTTGTACGTGACCTGACCTTTCTGTCTGGCTGCCTGTAACATTTTTTCTTTCATTTCCACCTTGGAGAATCTGATGATTATACATATTGGGGATGATCTTCTCGTGAAGTATCTTATGAAGGTTCTCTGCATTTCCTGAATTTGAATATTGGCCTCTCTAACTAGGTTGAGGAAGTTCTCACGAGTGATATCCCGAAATATATTTTCCAAGTTGCTTTCATTCTTCTCATCTCTTTTAGGGACATCAATGAGTTGTAGATTTGGTCTTTTTACATAATCCCATATTTCTCAGTGTTTTTTTTTTTTCATTCCTTTTCATTCTTTTTTCTCTATTCTTCTCTGTCTTATTTCAGGAAGTCAGTCATCAAGCTCTGAGATTCTTTCTCTAGCTTGGTCTATTCTGCTATTAATACTTGTGATTGCATTATGAAATTCTTGTAGTTTGTTTTTTAGCTCTATCAGGTCAGTTTTATTCTTTTCTATACTCGCTATTTTGCCTGTCAGCTCCTGTATCATTTTATTGTGATTCTTAGCTTTCTTGGATTGGATTTCACTGTTCTTCTGCATCTCAATGATCTTCATTGCTATCCGTATCCTGAATTCTGTTTCTGTAATTTCAGCCATTTCAGCCTGGTTTAGAACACTTGCTGGAGAGCTAGTGTCCTCATTTAGAGGAAAGAAGGTGCTCTGGCTTTTTGAGTTGTCAAGAGTTCTTGTGCTGGTTTCTTTCTCATCTTTGTGTGCTGATGTTCTTCAATCTTTGAAGTAGCTGTCCTTTGGATGGATTTTGGGGGTTTTTAAATACTATTTGATAGGATAAATCAAACCCTTGAGGGTTTGAATGTTGTATATAAGGTGGGTTCAGTCAACTGGTTTTATTTCTGGAAGATTTTAGGGGGCCAAGTCTCAGCTCACAACTTCTAGACTGCATATTCTAACTCTGGGACACTGGTATCAGGCCCTGAGTTTGTTCTCTGGCTTCTCAAAGTTAGGAACTCCTTAAGCTGGGGGGCAGGGGGTGGCCCTGAGATGTTCTGTAACCATTGGTCCCAGCACTCTGAAGGGTGGCACCAGCTGAAGCATTTCACAGGGCAGTGGCAGTGGGATCCATCATCATTTGCATGTGTCAGCAGCAGGTGCAGCGCAGCAGGGTCTGCTATTGTCTGTACCTAGTTTCACTCTGGCAGAAGTGTTGGCACAGGGGTGGGCCACTGCTGGGAGTGGGGCTTATGGGCTCTGTGTCCACCAAGGCTCTGACTACAATGGCAGTATGGTGGGGGTATTGGGGGTGGGGAGAGCTTGGAGTGCACTCCCACCAGCAGCAATGGCAGGGCAGCATGCATGCATACATGTGCACTGGCGGGGCAGGGAAACTAAGATCTGCCTGCCCACATACACACTCTCAAAGTGATGTGGAGGGTGGCCGTGAGCCCCAGAGAAGTTGAAGGTGGGGGAGGGAGCTGGTGGGCTGGCACATGGCCGTGGGGCCTGCCCCACTGAAACTCTTTGTCAGTCAGGTGTTGTCCCCAGGGTAGTAGCTATGATACAGGTCCCCAGGTCACCTGAAGCTGCACTACAAGTAGCTGTGGCCAGGCTGGGGCCCCTGGAGAGGTCAGGTTGAACTATCTCCATCTAAAGGGCAAGACCACCCTGCAGAGTTCAGGTCCAACAGTTCCTCTAGAGCTAAAGTCTCCTATGGGAGCAAGTGGAGCCCAGAGGGTTGGGTGTCCCTGGCCATACTCCACAACAGATGCTCCTGCATCAAACCCTCTGGGCTCCACACCAGCTGGTGTGCGGTCCCTACCACCTCTCTAAGCAGCTCTCCCTGCCAGCTCAAGTCTCTATGGTGGTCAAGGGGTCTTCTCCTGTCAGGATTCCAGAGGGCCATGGTGAGAGCAGGTTGTTCCTTGCCAGTTCAACTCATCTATTCCCCCGGAGTCACTGGGGTCCAGGAAGGAGTCCCGCTGCTGTAGCCCATGCAAGGTTCTGAGCTTCCTCCTCCTTTAGCCCAGCTTCTGTGTCTTCCCTCTGGACACTCTCAGTGCTTTCCCTCTGAAGATCTTTTAGGAGTGCACTAATCATCTGGGTCCCTTGGTGGCAGCTGTTCCACCTTGCTGCATCTAGTTGGCCTTCTTGCCCAGTCCCATTCTAATATATTTAATTTACCATTTTTATAGGTAAACACTTCTCCCAAACCCCATTTTTCTTTACAAGTTTTACTTTTTCTCTCAAAATAGAATGAGTGTTTTGAAAGACTGTCTAAATTGTACACTGCCTATTACATACTATCGTTTTGAGGTTATGATTTTGAGAATGGCTTTTCAGGTGAGTTCCTTGAGATAGTAACACTACTTTTTAATCAATAAAGAGTATATAATCACAGGGCTTTTAGGGTTGCACTTTTCTCTCAGCCAGATGTTCACTGTAAAATCATCCACTAACACTGAATAAACTTACTTTTATTTTCATTACTGTGTTTATACATATCTATGAGATAGAGATTTTTGACTTGGATATCCAAACCTTTAAATAAAAAATATATTCACAGAACTGAAGACATGAGGTTTTTAAATTCAATTATCTGGTTTATTATAAAGACTTTATTTTCGTGTTAAAAAAAAATCTCATGAATATCTCAAAGTATCTCATGAGTATCTCAAAGTATGAAAGTTGATATCATGTAAATGAACAGGCATTATTTCTCCAAATCTATAGTTCATGTGTAAATTTTTCCTGTGTATCTTTGAATTACTGTTCTCCCATTACATTTCTTACTATTATTAAGAGAGAGTAACACCTTCTGCATTGACAGAAAATTTGTTATTTATACTTTCCACTTATATTTGATGCTTTTTATCATTCAAAAATTTTAGGTTGCCTAAAAATATAACCTATATGTTGTTTCAGCTTAGTGGCATTAGAAAACCATGCATTTGAAGTGGCTGAAAGTATGTGCCTAAAATTAGCTTCAGATATTTATTGTATCTTTTGTAAGACATTTACAAATAAATTAATTCTTTTTAATTCCAGGTAAAATTTCCAATTTTTTTTTTAATGATCTTGGCTTTGAGTTGATGAAATACTCCTTTGGAAACTGAAGTCTATAGTTGAGATTAATAAAGTTCTCGTGCTTTTAGTGTCAAAATTGCAGATCTGAAATGTTGAACCAAAATGGAACATCTTTCAAAAGCTGAAGAATGAAATCCTTTAAAATTATATGTGTGTCTTTAAAGCTCCATAAATCATTCTTTTAAAATAAATAATTCAGTCCTAATTTTATTCACTTATAAAAGAGAATAAACTCGAAGCATTATTAGAGTAATTACTTTTTTTAATGAACTGAGTTCAGAATATCTATAAAGATTTCTTTTTTCTAGTGAAATTTAAAGGTATGCATAATTAATATTAACTGAATAGATACTTTAGATATTAGTGGTTGAACTGTACTCTTGAAAAAGGAAATTTATGCAACCAGCGTAGCAGGTAGTAGAAATGGTTATTGTCAAACTTTAAATTAGCAATCTTTTGATAAAAAAGCAAATAAAAGACATTAAATATTCAAGCCTAAAATAGGAAAATTGAGAAAAAATTATAATTTTAATAAATGTGTTTTTCCCAAGTTCAATATTGGCACCGCAATAATGTTTTTCTCCTATTAAAAGTAACCAATTCATTCATCAAAACTCTGTAGTACTTAATAGTTTACCTTATTCTTTGTTCTTTCTGATTTCACATCTATCAATCAAAACTACTGCAGTAAATGCTAGCCTAGTGCCCAGTTTCAATAATCAAGAAGAAGTCACAGTGAATCATGATGAAATTTGAATTTAACAGGAGTAACTGGAATGAGAAAAAATATTAGGATTCCATAGGAATAGTAAGTGGTCGATTACAAGAACAAACTATAACCCATATTCTCTATCTAAAAAGGTGTCTGAAACCAATCAATATATAAAGAGTTTCTATATGGGACTAGAGTTTAGAACAGGTTAAATGTAATACCGTGGTCCTGGGCTGGGAAGTGGATTCACAGTAACACTTTGGGAAGAGGATGAGAATCTATATATAAGTGGATTGGAAACATACTCCCAGTGAAATGGTCTAAAAGGAACAAATGCGAGTGGAATTGTTCCAGGTCACTGAATTGGTGTTCAATGTAGTATGCAAGCTCTGGAGAAATTAAAATGCTAGAAATGGGAAAATTAGGCCAATTGACAGTTAAAATGAACAAACTCAACATGTGAAATATGGGCAAGCTTGGTTAGAACACAGGTGGCAAGTAATTGCCTCTGGCAAACAATGTAATAGATTTACAAATCAATACAAATACAAATCTTAATATACTTTCTAGGGAGGTCTAAGTATTAAATCTGTTCTGTCCAATAAGATAGCCACTAGTCACATATAGTTATTTGTATTAAATTTAAATTAATTAAAATTAAAATGTAATTCTGACTCTGCAGTAGACATTCTCAAGTTCTCAATAGTCTCTTGCGGCTTTTGGCTACCATATCGTTCATCATGAATATAAACATTTCCATTACTGAAGGAATTTTAATTGCTACTGTTTTAGGTGGACACAGTGACTCACTTTTGGTCAGTCTAGGGCTATGAGGTGCAATTTTTGTGATTAAAAAAACTCATGCCAATAGAGAATATAACCTATTTAGGGCCTTAAAATAAATATAGATAAGATAATGAAAGTTATGAATAACTACAAACAGAGCTGTTCATATTTCCAGGAAAATCTGTAAAATATAAGCAATTGTTCTCTCAAAATCCAGTAAACAGAACAAAATGAAATAAAATAAAAAGACACTTTCATCTATGCTGGAACCATACATTTTAAAAAATATATTAAAATTATAACAAAACAAGAAAGAATGCTGAGAGTCAATATATCCAAACTAGAAATTAAATAATCTACAATGCTGTTTGGAATGTCATAACTGAAAGTTTCACTTTTGTTTAAGATGTAGAAATTTACAACACACAGCTGTTCCTTTGCTCATAACTGGAGAATAACCAAGAAACTTAAAAACAGCAACAGCAGCAACAAACAACAACAAACTACATATGTATTTCATAAACACAAAATCAATCTATAAAAAGATATGTGAAGCAAATAAGTTAAGAATGAGCCCTTCCTAAATGAGTACTGATTAAATCACCAGAAGCATTTGTTGGATCATGGAACTGAAGGATTGGATCTGCCATAGAAAAGGAGACTGCTGTGAGTAAGCAAAATCAGTAGAGGTTTTAAAGCTATGTGGGCTGGCCTGGTGGACTGGTTTCTTGTGTTCGAAGAAGGCTATTTTACCTACCTGCCAAGACTTCTCATGGGACTTTTGCTGAATATAGTGATGGTAGTAGTATGACAGGCTGGGATCTGTTCTACAAATGGGAGGGAGGGAGGGACAGAGGGGGAGAGGGAGAGACAGAGAGAGAGAGAGAGAGAGAGAGAGAAACTCCATGTTATTACAATTTTATATATAAGAATTATGCTAGAGGAAGACTTCTATAATATACATAGTGCATAACTTGACCCCAAGAATTTTAAAGCAGAGGTAAACTTAAACTAATTTAATTGCAACATAGTTCAATCTAGCAGAATTCCCAATTAAATTTAAATGATTAGCCTCTTTTACTATCTGATGAACAGAGAAAGGGACTTTTTCCCTCTGAAGAAAATAATATTTATCTGAATCTCTTTGATTCTTTAATCAAAAATAGTCACCATGAAATATATATCAGATATGTGAAGAATAATTAAAATTGGCCATAATCAAGAGAAAAATAGTCATAAGAAGTAGATACAGATGTTGGAAATCGCATCTGGCCTTTAAAATAACAGTTATAAATATATTTAAAAAATTAGAAGAAAAAATGGACAAAATGATGAAAAGTACAAAGATTTTAGCAAATAAATAGAATTTCTAATAAAGACACAAAATAACATTCTAGAACTGAAAAATATAGTATCAGAAATTGATTTAATAAAATACAGGACAGAGAAAAAAAGAAACAGTGAACATACGACAGGTAATAGAAATTACCAAAGTAAAAAATAGGAGAAACATCAAATAACAGAAAAGACTGGTGAAGAAACTATGGACCATATCAAAATCCTAACAAAAATATAAACTGAAGTTATAAAAGTTGAGAAAGATTTAATGAGGTAACATAATGAGTTGATAAAGAGAAGAGGGAGAATTTCTTGTAATTTGAGAAATTAAGAAAACTTAAAAATAAAAATAATAAAATCAAATAAGAATATATTGTTGACATAATGCTAAAAACTAGAGGGAAAAGAAAAAAAATTAGAGAAAAACAAAGACACATTACATTCAGAAGAAAAATAACAGTGATTTATGCCAGACATCATAAAATTGGAAAAATATAAAATAATGCCTTAAAAAAACAGACAGAATATAAAAGTTTACCTAGAATTTCATGCACAACAAAACTCTTTTAAAAATAAAGAAATCTTTTTTTTTAATTTCTAAAAATGAAAGGCTGACAATTCTTCACCAGTGGGAGCACATTACAAAAAACACTAAGAAATTTAAAAAAATCTTTCAAAATAAATTAAAAGGATCCCAGATCAAAACATGGATCTACAGGAGAGAATGAAAGGGAAAAGAAATGATGGATATATAAGCATATGTAAAAAACTGTATTTTTAAATTTAAGAAACCATTTGAAAAGACTGTTGATATACTAAAAGTCCACAAAAGCAGTTGCAAGTAAAACAAGAATTAACCTAATTAGGCTAAAGAGCTTCTACAGAGCAAACATAGCTATCAACAGAGTAAAGAGACAACCTACAGAATGGGAAAAAATATTCGCAATCTATGCATTCAACAAACGTCTAATATCCAGAATCTGTAAGGCTCTTAAATAATTCAACAAGTGAAAAACAAATAACCCTATTAAAAAGTGGACAGAGGACATGAACAGATACTTCTCAAAAGAAAATATACAAGCAATCAACAAACATATGAAAAAAAATGCTCAACATTCCTAATTTGCATTTCCAGAGACATGCAAATCAAAACAACAGTAAGAAACCATACCAGGTAATTTAGAGTGGCTATTACTAAAAAGTCAAAAATTAACAGATGCTGGCTAGGTTGTGGAGAAAAGGAAACCCTTACACACTATTGTTGTGAATGTAAATTATTTCAGCCAATGTGAAAAGCAGTTTGGAGATTTCTCTAAGAATTTAAAACGGAACTACCATTTGATCCGGCAATCCAATTACTGGGTAAATATTTAAAGGAAAATAAATTGTTCTATCAAAAGGACATAAGCACTTGTATGTTCACTGCAGCACTATACACCATAGCAGAGATGTAGGCTCAACCTAGGCTTCCATCGACAGTGGATTGCATAAAGAAAATGTGGTACACATACACCATGGAATATTTTACAACCATAAAAAAGAATGAAATTTCATCCTTTGCAGAACATGGATGCAACAGAAGGCCATTATCTAAAGTGAATTAGTGCCGGAATAGAAAACCAAATACTGCATTTTCTTACTTATAAGTGGAAGCTAAACATTGGGTACACGTGGACAGAAAGATGGAACAATAGACACTGGGAACTACTGTTGGTGAGAGAGAGAAGTGGGCAAGGGCTGAAAAACTACCTATTGGGTACTATGCTCACTACCTGGGTGATGGAATTATCTGTACCCTAAACCTCAGCATCATACAGTATATCCAGGTAGCAAACCTGCATATGTACCTCCTAAACCTAACTAAAAGTTAAAATTTAACAAAACATAGTAACATTACTGTATCATGGGGTATATTTTATATATATATATATATATATATATATATATATATATATATATAAAATGTACATGAAGAGTCTGCCTCCAGGCCAAAACTTCTATATGTGATTTGTTTTTAGGTCAACCCTAGGCAATTACAGTGCTTTGCTCATCAAGCCTCATGTGGGAAGCTGCCTGCCTGTATAAGATATGGCACATAGTCAGTGCACTGTAACTTTCTGAGGGACATACAGTCAAAGACTTACCCCCTAGCTCACTCCCAAAACCATGTACATATGCATATCTGCATTCCTAGCCCTGTGCCTCTGTTTGAAGGCTTCCTGATTAGGGGCCTCAGCTAAGGCAATTTCCAGGCACCTCCTTTGAGATCTCTTTACCAGTCAGGCCCTAACTGATAGAGTTTTCCCCACTTTGACTCAGTATTTTTCCACTCCAGGCCCTTCTCCAGCTCTTTCCTTGTGGGAGCCCAGGTCCATAAAATGGCAGCAGGTTTTTTTTCTAGGAGCTCCTCCACTTTGACGTGATTCCCTCAATCTGTGCTCCTTGTCATCTGACCTTCACCTGGTGCTGTTCCATGGCAAAATATGGAACGCCAAAGTGTGGTACTTTCCCCTCTGCTTCTTGCCTGCCCTGTTGTCATAAGAAAATAACAGCCTTTTCAGTTTGGCTTGTCTTAATTGATTACCTCAACACCTGCCAGCTTAACTATGTGTGTGTGTGTTTGTGCGTGTGTGTGTGTGTGTGTATGTGTGTATGTGCATGTGTATATGCATAGGTATATGCATGGTTGTAAGGATTTATTTTCAATAAAGTGGTAAAACTATATCAAAATAAATTACACATGAATAGGAAGAAAATCAATAATAAATGAGAGAATTAATCCCAAACAATTCAGCAAGTACATTAAATGTAAATAGACTATTCAGTCTAAGCAATACCAGAGATTGTTATTTGGAGTGAAACAAAACAAAAAAGATCCAACTCTAAGATGTCCAGGAGAGTTACACTTTAAATAGACACACATGGATTAAAAGTAAAGGCATTGAAATAGAAAACACAACCACCAAATACTAACCACAATTTTATGGTGTGAACATATTTATATCAAACAAATTGTTCTAAATATTGTTATGAGAGATACCAAGCAATATTACATAAAGGTAAATCTTGTTCTCTAGAGGGACCTGAGTTCTAAAGGTCATGCCCCTAATGATGTAACTTCAAAATGGATGAAGCAAAGTAGACATGACCAAGGAGACAGAGATGAATGTACAATTATTATTGAAGATTTTAACTCCCCTACACTGAAACAATTTTACTGGGTTTTGTGATACAGAAAAAAAGTAAAAATAATAAATGCATTGCCCAAAGAATTTTCACACTCTAAGTGCATCTGTACCCAACTCAAGAATGTCACCTAAACTTTAGAAAGTATCTTTATACACTTCTCAGTCATCTCACCAAAAGGCGAACAGTATTTTGACTTCTATTAACATGTATTTATTTACTTTACTTATTTTTCCTGTATTTTAACTTTACTTAAATGATTTATTTAGCTCAGAACTAGGTCAGATTCACTTATATTGGCTCATGTAGCAGAAAATTCTTTATTGTTTAGCATTCAACTGTATGAATATACCATAATTTATTTATTCATTCTACTCTTGATGGATAATTTTGATATTTATAATTCAGGATTTTTTTTTTTCTTTTGGAGATGGGGTCTCACTCTGTCACCCAGGCTGGACTGCAGTGGCATGATCTCAGCTCACTGCAACCTCTGCCTTCCAGGGTCAAGCAAACCTCCCACCTCAGCCTCCCAAGTAGCTGGGACCACAGGCGTCTGCCATCACACCCAGCTAATTTTTTGTATTTTTGGTAGAGATGGGGTGTTGCCATGTTTCCCAGGCTGGTCTTGAACTCCTGGGCTCAAGTGATCTGCCCGCCTTGGCCTCCCAAATGCTGAGATTACAGACATGAGCCACCAGGCCCAGCCTGGAGTTCTAATTAATAAAGCTACTATGAACATTCTTATGCATTTATCTTATAAATATAAGTACATATATCTGTTGAATGTATACATAGGAATAAAATTGCTGGACAAAATGGTATGTGTATTTTGAATGTTAGTAGATATTATAAAACAAGTTTCCAAAGTGTTTATATACATTTTTATTTCCACCAGTAGAGAATGGGATTCTGGCCAGGCACAGTGTCTCATGCCTGTAATCCAAGCACTTTGGGATGCCAAGGAGGGCGTATCACCTGAGATGGGGGATTCGAGACCAGCCTGACCAATATGGAGGAACCCCATCTCTACTAAAAATACAAAAAATTAGACGGGCATGGTGGTGCATGCCTGTAATCCCAGCTACTCGGGAGGCTGAGGCAGGAGAATCACTTGAACCCAGGAAGCAGAGGTTGCGGTGAGCCAAGACTGCACCATTGCACTCCAGCCTGGGCAACAAGAGGAAAACTCTATCTCAACAAAATAAAAAATAAAGAGAATGGGGTTCTATTTTATTAGTATCTGTTTCATTTTTCTTATTGATGTTGTAATTCTTATTTTTTTATGTATTTTCTCTCTAAAGCTATATTTTTATATATCATTGTAGCTTATATTTGCATTTATTTGATGAGTAATGCCAATGAGAAGCATTGTAAATATAAGCTACCATGTGCACACTTTACATGTATAATTTGCAGTTTACATGTGTACACAATTTACATGTGCATACAATATGTGCACTTTACATGTGTTTATAGGCATTTCTGTATCTCCCTATAAGATTCCTTTTAAAATCATTTCCATATTTTCTTTTACTGAATTGTATATATTCTAGACACAAACCCGTGTTCAATATTTGTATTAAAAGTAACTTCACCTATTATGCAGATTACACTTAAAATTTTAGTAGTGTTTTGATGAATAAGAATTCTTAATTTTAAGTCAGTTCACTTCATTAACTGTGTCCTTCATTGTGAGCATTTTTGAGTTATATTAAAATAATATATAGACTTTTAAATGTAATGCTTTTATTATAAAAAAAAGATTAGTAGTGCTTCTGGGTGATAAGACTCCAGATTTTAAAAACTTATTTCCTTTTTTGTATTTTAAAATTTTGTTATAATGTTGTTTATATTCCTACCATTGATGATAGAATTAATCATACTGCTTAGCTCATTTTAGTTTATGAGGACTGGTCTGAAAAGGACTGTATTCTGTTAAGTTAATTGAATAATTCATTCTCTTTTTCCTCCTATCCCACTTTCGTCCTTCTCCCCATGGACCACCATGGACCATCCTTCTATTTTATGTGTTTTTATGAAAAGTCTATTATATCAAACATATCTATTTAATTGCTTAAGATATGACTTTGCTTTCACAATTTTTTATTAAGCATTAAGTTTTTAAGAACATTTTATGTTGATATGTGTACCTCAAACCTGTTGGATCTATTTGATATATAATATCCTATAGTTTGAATTTACCACATTTTACCTACCTATCTAAGTGACAGATACACATTGCCTCTGTTGTACCAGATTGCTCTTCAGAAGTGTCTGTGCCTGTATTAGTCCATTCTCACACTGCTACAAAGAACTACCTGAGATTGGGTAATTAATGAAGAAAAGAGATTTAATTGACTCAAGTTGACTCACAGTTCTGTTCCTCAGCCTCTATAGCAAGTATGGCTGGGAGACCTCAGGAAACTTCCAATCATGGCAGAAAGCAAAGGGGAAGCAAATATGTCCTACCAAGGCGGGGCAGGACAGAGAGCCAAAGGGGAAGTGTGACACACTTCCAGATTTCATGAGAAATCACTCATTCTCCAGAGAACAGTAAGGGGGAAATCAGCCTCCGAGATCTAATCACCACCCACCAGGTCCCACCCAACATTGGGAATTACAATTCAACATGAGATTTGAGCAGGGGCATAGAGCCAAACCATTTTGCCCCTGACCACTCCCAAATCTCATGTTCTTCTCACATTTCAAAACCAATCATGTCTTCCCAACAGTCCCCCAAAGTCTTAACATTTCTAGGATTAACTCAAAAAGTCCAGCTCCAAATCCTCATCTAAAACAAGGCAAGTTCCTTCTACCAATCAACCTGTAAAATCATAAACAATTAGTCAATTCCAAGATACAGTGAGAGTACAAGCATTGGGTAAATATTCCCATTTCAAAAGGGAGAAATTGGCCAAAACCAAGAGGCTTCAGGCCCCATGAAAATCCAAAACACAGCAAAGTAGATGTTATTCCTAAAGCTCCAATATAAACTTTGACTCCATGTCTCACATTCAGACCACACTGAAGGGGTGGGTTCCCAAGGCCTTGTGCAGCCCTGCCCCTGTTGCTTGGCAGATTACAGCCCCGCCCCTGTTGCTTGGCAGATTACAGCCCCATGGCTGCTTTCACAGGCTGACATTGAGTTTCTGTGGCTTTTCAATGCACAGGGTGCAAGCCATCAATGGATCTACCACTCTGGGATCTGGGGATGGTGGCCCTTTCTCACAGCTCCACTAGGCAGTGCCCCAATGGGGACTCTGTGTCAGGGTTCCAACCCCACATTTCCCTTCTGCACTGCTCTAGCAGAGGTTCCCCAGAAGGGCTCCACTCCTGCAGCAGACTTCTCTCTGGACATCCAGGCATTTCCATACATCGTGTGAAATCTAATTGGAGGCTCCAAAACCTCAGCTCTTGTCATCTGCACATCTGCAGCCCCAACACCACATAGAAGCCACCAAGACTTGGGGCTTGTACCCTCTGAAGCAATGCCAGAACTGTACGTTGACCCTTTTCACCACAGCTACAGCTAGAGCAGCTAGGATTCAGGGCACCATGTTTTGAAGCTGCACAGAGCAGTGGGGTCCTGGGCCTGCCCATGAAACCATTTTTTTCCTCCATGGCTTTGAGACATGTAATGGGAGGGCTGCCGTGAAGGTCTCTGAAATGCCCTGGAGGTATTTTCCCCATTGTCTTGGTTATTCACATCAGCTTTTCTACTGCATGGTCAGGCTGCAAATTTTCCAAACTTTAATGCTCTGCTTCCCTTTTAAACATAAGTTCTAGATTCAGGTCATTTCTTTGTTTATGCAAACGAGTATAGGCTTTTAGAAGCAGCCAGGCCACTTCTTGAATATTTTGCTGCTTGGAAATTTATTCCACCAGACACCCTAAATCATCTCAAGTTCAAAGTTTCACAGATCTCTAGAGCAGGGGCACAACGCTGCCAATCTCTTTGCTAAAGCATAGCAAGTATAACCTTTACTCCAGTTCCCAATAAGTTCCTCATCTCCATCTGACATCACCTCAGCCAGGACTTCACTGTTCATATCACTATCAGTGTTTTTCGGTTGTATCCATTCAACAAGCCTCTAGGAAGTTCCAAACTGTCCCTTATCTTCGTGTTTTCTTCTGATCCCTCCAAACTGTCCCAACCTCTGCTCAGTACCGAGTTCCAAAGTTGCTTCCACATTTTCAGATATCTTTATAGCAATGCCCCACCCCTGGTAACAATTCTCTGTATTAGTCCATTCTCACACTGCTATAAGGAATTATCTGAGACTGGGTAATTTATAAAAAAAGAGGTTTACTTGACTCACAGTTCCACAGGCTATACAGGAAGCATAGCTGGGAGGCCTTGGGAAACTTCCAATCATGGTGGAAGGTGAAGGGGGAGCAAGTGTGTCTTACCGTGGCAGAGCAAGTGAGAGAGCAAAGGGGGAAGTTTTAAACACTTTTAAATAACCAGATCCTGTGAGGACTCACTCAGTATTATGAGAACAGCAAGGTGGAAATCTGCCGCCATGATCCAATCACCTCCTACCAGGTCCCTCCCCACATTGGGGATTACAATTCAATATGAGATTTGGATGGGGACACAGAGCCAAACCATATAAATGCCCATCTATATTATATCAGAGCATGAGGCTCTATTAAGGTAATATCATTCAATAAATTGTTTTTAGCATTTTAAAATAGATATATTTATGTTTCATGCTTATTTTTAGTATCACTTCTAATGATTGTATGAATGTTTTCCTTTAAGCCTATAATATGATGTATATTACCTGATTTCCCAAAACATATTAGCTTATTCTTGGAAATATTTTACTCATGGTTGTTTTATATTGTACTATATATATAAAGATAAATTGCATTTAGTGTTTGTATTAATATTCTATTGCTGCCATAACAATTGCCACAAAAATAGTAGTTTAAACAACACAGATTTATCAGCTTCTTGTTCTGAGGTTTAGAATTCTGGCATAGGTTTCAATGGGCTAAAATTAAGTTTTTGGCAGGACTGAGTTTATTTCCGAAGCTTCTAGGGAAGAATATGTTTCCTTGTCTTTTCCATCCTCTAGATATCTTTGCCTTTCTTGTCTTGTGGCCCCCTTCCTCTGTTGTCAAAGTTACAGCTACATAGCATATTTTGGACTCTTCTTCCACTACCATATCTCATTCTCTGACCACAGCCAGGAAAGATTCTTGCTTTTAAGGATTAATGTAGATTAATTGGCCTCTCTGGGATAGGGTAATTCAGGCATATCACCATTTTTCAAGATCCGTATCTTTAATCACAACTGCAAGTCTCTTTGCCATTGTAAGGTAACACAATCTCAGGTTTTAGAGATTAGGGCGAGGAAATCTTTGAGGATCCATTATTTTGCCTTCCATAGTATTATTCATTTAATAACATGTAAGTAAGACTCATTTGAGGTAAGTTATTCACCTGTTTTGTTAGACCTGAGTATTAGCATTACAGTGCTTTATAATATGATTTGCAGATCACCTTTTCCTTTTACTTGAAAAGTAAAAGATTTGAGTTTTAATATTGAAATAGCATATGGTATATTATTACTTCTTTGAATATGAGAAATATATTTCTTATGAAACCACATGTGTGCATCTCTTTAATAGGGTCTGGTTCCTAAAATCTATATCCAGCTTTTTTCCTAAGTATTAGATGGCGTATGCTTTTGTCTTATCACAAACAGTAATTATTTCTTACTTTCAATTCCTCTTGTTGTGATTATACTCCCTTCCACTGTTCTAAGATTGTTTAATTTTGTATTCGTTTATATTATTGCATTCATTGACATTAGATATGAGTTTTAAATTTATTTTCAAAGAATCAGTATGTCAGTATGTTCAATTTTTTACCTTCTACTTTTAAACTTAACTTCATAAAGCAACTTTTTTTGATTACCTGACCCTGACTCATTCCAATTACCTGCTCTGTCATAACCATTTTTCCCACCAAACCACTCACCCTGTACTCTCTTTAAATTAGCCAATCAGAATTAGTTTAGCCCGTGTGGTCTAACTCCAGCCAATAGGGGAACGACACAGCAGCAGGAGCCACATGTGTCAGGGATAAGAACCCCTTCCCCTCCCTTGTCCAAGTGTGCGCTCCCTATTGCTCCATCTGTAAGGGCGTACCCTTCTATAGAAGTACCTTGCCTTGCTGAGAATTGAAACGAAAATTTTATATTTGAGTGCTATGTCTTTTGCAGCACTGAAACTTTATTTATAACAATTGATCTTATTATTGTGTCATAATTTCTGATTTTGTTCTGTTTTAGAAAACATCATTTTGATTTATCATTTTAATTCTTTTGTTCCTGAGTTTGTTGTGATATTCTTTCTACTTTTTTTTAACCACTTTACTGAGGTATAATTGACATGAAAAAAAAAAACTACAGTTATTTAATGTATACAATTTAATGGATTTGAATATATGCGTATATCTGCAAAGTCATCACCATACTTCTTGAATTGCATGGCATGTTTATTTCCTTTTTCTTAATTCCTTTTTTTTGTTGTTGTTGCTGAGATGAAGTTTCACTTTTGTTGCCCAGCCTGGAGTGCAATGGCACAATCTCAGCTCACTGCAACCTCTGCCTCCCAGGTTCAAGCAATTCTCCTGCCTCAGCTTCCCAAGTAGCTGGGATTACAGGTATGTGCCACCATGCCTGGCTAATTATTTTTTTCATTTTTAGTAGAGGCGGGGTTTTGCCATGTTGGCCAGGCTGGTTTCAAACTCCTGACCTCAGGTGATACACCCACCTTGGCCTCCCAAAGTACTTGGATTACAGGCATGAGCCACCACATCTGGCCAATTCCTTATTTTGTTTTAATGAAAGTTTAATATTTATACATACTTCACTGTATACCGTTTTAGCTCCCTGAAGTATTTTTCCTCTTAGTGATATCATAATTATTAGTTGTTTCCTCTTTTTGATGCCATAGTTACTTAGAAAAGTATTTTTTGAATGGTGTTTGGATAGCTTTTGTTTGTTTGCACATTTCTGCATCTCCCATCTAGGCCCATATATCCAACTGCTCGCTTATTTATGTTCCAATTTTATCATGTCTAAAATTGAACTCTTGATTTTTAGACTTCCAAATCAGGGTGTGGAAATTATCCACTATCTTTATCCAGAATTATGAGCTTATAATAACTTTATCCATCTGAAACTGAGTTTGAAATTAAAATTTTCAAAAACCCACTCAAAACTTGGAGTTCTCCTTTCATGAAATAAAACGGAAATCATGGTATAACTATATTAAAGTAGACATTTAAGTATAAGGTAAATAATCTACTCATTAATTCCACAAATAAATATTGTCTCCCTATTCTGTATCAGGCATGATGTTTTTTTTAAAAAAATGACAAGATTTGATTTCAGTCTCCAGCCATTAAAAGGATCACTGTTTAGTGGGAGCGACACACATCAGCACTAATGGTAGAAAATCCAATATGGCAAAATCAATGAGAGAGACTGTAAAGAGCACTATCAAAGCAAAAAAAGGGGAATCTAACCAGGGTCAGAGATGGCAAAATCAGGGAACACAAGTCTTGTTTTAACTCAATAAATACATATTGTGCTGTCCTTTAGTCATAAAATTACTTAACACACATTCTGTGTTTTAACAATGAACTACAGCACAGTGGTTAAAAACACAGTATAGAGGCAAACTGCTTTGATTTAAAAATAAACTTCACCAGTTAACTGGTTTTGTGAGCATGGACAAGTTAATTAACTTTTTATTGCTTCAACTCCTTTATCAGTAACATGGCAATAATAGTAGAATCTCGTGGGATTTTTAGGGACATTTAATAAGTGATGATAGTACCTAGAAAATAATTTCAATGTAAGTGATCACTGTTATTCTCTAATAAGTAACTCAAATATTTGGATCAAGGAAATGAATAAAAAATGAAAAGAGCAAAGCTTGAATTTAAAATTATGTTAATACATTTTGAGTTCCTCTAACATTCTTCTCTTAGTATACTTCCAATTTTCTCATAGCTAGTCTTATTTGCTTGGAACAGTCTCTATAGAGATGTATATGAGTATATTTACACAAAAAGAATTAAGGAAGGACATGCATTGTTACATCACTTTTTCAAAATTGTAGAGGAATTTAGTGGAAGTATGCACTGTATTTGTTAATCATACATTGTTTTCTTTTAGTTAACTGCTGGTATTTTAGGAGTTCTCTTTATTTTCCTACTAATTAATAACATAAATGGATTTTAATCACATAGAGTGATTTATTATATACTTTTGTTCATATGGCTCACTTCAAATTGCTACAATGTGATTTAGATTATTTCATTTCAAGTTTTATTTTTTCCAAAAGTTTAAGCAGCAGATTAACACTTCTCTGACATAATTGTTCTAAGCTGACATGTTCCCTTTTGTCCGGTTGCCTGATTAGACAGCATATGAGTCTGTAGCTGGTGAGCTCTGTTAATTAGTGCATTGCACTGAGTCAAGGCTGACTTCCCACTTTAGGGCTCATGGCTGTGCTCTGATTCACATCCGCAGGGTGCAGTCTGCACTACTAGAAGTCTGACAAATAGTATCCTACTGGTCACAAGAGGGGCCAGACAAGGTAGTATGAGTGCATTGGTACAAACCTGTCACCATTGCTGAGGGGGAAAAAATGACAATATCTGGCTTGTTGCCAGTATATTAATAGTATCATCTTTATTTATGAAAGACAGCACATTGTGGCCCACATCCAACAATTAAGGTTCTTTGTGACCTCTAGTTCTTGCTCTGAAATCAGAAATAGTTGGCTTCATTTGAAATAGCTGGCTCAAGAGCATAATAAACTTTATGTCTTCACTATTATAAAAAAGAGTGAGAAAATGTTACTCCAAACAGTTTTCCATTCAATGCTCCACATGGAAGAAGTGGGTAAGTTTTAGACCTATGATGGAGAAAGGCATTTCTCTTAGTACTTTGATTTTTAGTGACTGCCAGATCATGTGAAGTCTATTAAACCAACGATATACAGACTTCTAACTGCTCCTGGCCTCTGAAATATTCCTCCTGAGGAAGAGATGTGTAGCTATTTCATGTTGGGATATTTGCAAATCTCCCACACATTCTTCCCAGATTTTTTAAATGTACACACACACAACATAGAATAAATGCAATTGCTATGGGAAATAGATATGGTAGAAATTGCTTTCAGTTAGCTGTAGGGGGACTATGGAGATTAAGAAAAACTCTATATTTGTAAAACTTTTTTATTAAATCTGAAAATTAGAGTCATATTAAGCAAAGATTCACAGAAATAGTCTATAGTAACTTAAACTTTCCTAATACAAAATTTAAAAAAAAGAATTTGCATTATAAAAATGTATGTATTGAAATTCCATTATTTTTTTCATACACAGTTAGTGATGGTGTGTTTTAATACAATGGTTTTTAGTATAAGTGTCCCATCTGAAGAATAGCAACTTCATTAAACATTTATTGTGTAGCAGACATGGGCTTGGGAATGTATCTCTAACATAAATTATTTGTAAAGTAGTAATTATATCATTATTTAGAACTATCATTTTATTTTAGCATTCTATTAAAAATGGTAACATTTAGAAACACTTGATTGAAGGTAAATTCTTCAGGGGACTTATTAGAAACATCTTCAGCCCACACACAAAATAAGACCCTTCACTTATGGTGTATTTAGCATGTTGATTGTTATCTTGATCCTTGATCCCCTTAGATTAAATACAATGCTAAAGCAAATCTCTGCTTTACATTGTGGTCATGGCTATGAATAGAATGTTCAGCTAAGTAAGATCATTACCAAAAACACAATGGATCTGGTATTGAATAATTTTTAACAACCATAATCAGTGCGTGCTGCAATGTTGCAATTAAATCTGCTACTCTACTCTTTAACTAGCTTGGTTGTGGTTGGGAATTCATTCAATCTAAGACTTAATTTCTAAGTGTATGTGTGTGTTCTCTTTTCACAACACATTGAATAAAATGATTTTCAGTGTGAACTTTGGAGACAGATATCTGAGTTCAAAACCCAGATTTTCTGTAATTTATCTGTTGTGGATCTTAGGTAATTGATGATAATCTTTCTGTGCCTCAGTTTGTCAGCAAAGTGGAGGTAATAGAAGCAATCACAGTACATGTTATTATGTAAAATTGTTATCAGTATATACATATTCATACATCCACACACTCACAGACACACAGTAGTTAGATCTGTATCTGCCATACATTAAAGTCTCTTACAATATTAATTATTATTCTGTAATAATATTTAACAGTAATTAACTACAATAATTTGGAGCCTTTTGAATTAGAAATTGATAT
This sequence comes from Homo sapiens, assembly GCF_000001405.40. NCBI lineage: Eukaryota > Metazoa > Chordata > Mammalia > Primates > Hominidae > Homo > Homo sapiens. Next base: position 184,156,467 of record NC_000002.12, read on the forward strand.
GCTTCAAAATAAAGATCAAACCCTTGAGAACTAAAATCCTTTATTGCTAACTTTTGTTTTCACTGAATGCGGCACATGACATAGTCATTATATAATAATATTTGAGAATCAATTAAATATTATGCTCTTCCTTTTGCTGTGGCTATGAATATATGTAACTGGAATTCCCTCATTTATTGTGGCTTATGCTAATATTAATAATGATAAATAACAGTCTACATTAATTGAGAGCCAACTCTGAGCCAGGTACTGATTTATATTCACAATCTTTCTGCTTTATATCCATCATTTCCAACACACCCTATCATTCTACAAGATAGGAGAAATTAACTTTATTTTACAGACTAAGAAACTGAGATTTAAATGTAAATTAGTTACCAGATTTATATGTGTGTATATATATATGTTTATATAACATATTATACATACATAATTATTCTTTATCTGTCCTTGAATAGAGACATGAAAGAAAATGGTACATTTTATGTACGAATAATTATGTTTTAGACATAAATCTATATTGAGAAATAGCTTCAATCACAGATTAACAAACAATCAAATACTCTCTTAGTTGATTATATAAATAACTGATTCACAGTGATCTGAATGTTTTCACACTAACCCTCTCCAGAGGAAAACAGGAGGCCTGCTGAGGCCTTTTTACAACTGATAACCAGTGAGAATTTGGGTTCTCTTCTCTGGTTCACTTTGTTTCCTCGTAACTAGTGTTGGAAATCCAAGTGTAAGAACCAGAAGAGCTCTGCAAGTATCTATAGAAACTGAGAGAAAGTTGACACTGACCTTACATGTCTGATCTTTCTGGCCTCTCTGTGACCAGAAGAGGCTAAGGAAGCTAGAAAGGAAATGAGTGAGTGGGGTGATCCAGCTCTGCCCTGAACTTGAGATAGAATCAGGACTCTAACAGTAGGGCCTGCTTTATCACCAGTTCTCAGTAGGACTCTCAGGTAATATAGAGACAAACTAAGAAAACAAATATTCGTGAATTTAAGAAAGCCCAACAAATTGGAAACAGGAAAATTTGTCAGAGCAATGATAACATATATACAACAAAACAGAAATAGTGAAAAAATAGAAGATACATTAATTTATTTTTTTAATTTTTTTTAAATGTAGGCTATATTTGTAGGGTACAGGAGATATTTTGATACAGGTATGCAATGTGAGATATTTTGATGCAGGTATGTAATGTGATATAATCACATAAATGGAGAATGAGATACCCATCCCCTGAAGCATTTATCTTTTGTGTTACAAACAATCCAATTCTTTTAGTTATTTTGAAATATACAATTAAAATATACAATTGAAATATACAATTAAGCTATTATCAACTGTAGTCACCCTGTTGTGGCATCAAATAGTATATGACTTATTCGTTCTTTCTTTTTTTTGTACATTAACACCTCCCTGCCAGCCCCCCACTATACTTTGCAGCCTCTGGTAACTGTCTTTCTACTCTCTATGTCCATGAGTTAAATTGTTTTGATTTTCAGATCCCAAAAATACGTGAGAATATTCAATGTTTGTCTTTCTCTGTCTGGCTTTTTTCACTTAACATAATGACCTTCTGTTCCATCCATGTTGTTGCAAATGACAGAATCTCATTCTTTTTTATGGCTAAACAGTAATCCATTAGTATATGTACCACATTTTCTTTATTCATTCATTCATTATAGAGGTCTTTTTCACTTCTTTGGTTGATTCCTAGGTATTTAATTTTATGTGTGGCTATTACAAATGGGAGTGCGTTTTTTATTTCTTTTTCTGATTGCTCACTTTTGGGAAATAAAAATGCTGCTGATTTTTGTAAGTTGATTTTGTATCCCGCAACTTTTGATGGACACTGAGGTTGCTTCCAAATATTAGCTACTGTGAAGAGTACTGCAACGAACATGGTAGTGCAGATACCTGTTTGATTTGCTGATTTTCTTTCTTTGGGGTATATACCCAACAGTGGGATTGCTGGATCCTACAGTAGCTTAATTTTTAGTTTTTTGAGGAAACTTCAAACTGTTCTGCATAGTGGTTGTACTAACATTCCCACCAAGAGTATTTGAGGGTTCCCCTTTGTCAACATTCTCACCAGCATTTATAATTGTCTGTCTTTTAAATGTAAAATGTAAGCCATTTTAACTGGGTTGAGATGATATCTCATTGTAATTTTTATTTGCATGTCTCTGATAATGATGTTGAGCACCTTTTCATATGTCTGTTGGCCAGTTGTATATCTTCTTTTGAGAAATGTCTATTCAAATCTTTTGTTATGTTTTAATCAGATTATTAGATTTTTTTTTTCTATAGGATTGTATGAGCTCCTTATATATTCTGTTTTGGTTACGCCCCTGATCAATGGGTAGATTGCTAATATTTTATCCCGGTCTGTGGCCCGACTCCTCATTTAGTTGATTGTTTCCTTTGATGTGCAGAGGCTTTTTAACTTGATGTGATCTCGTTTGTCTATTTTTGCTTTGGTTTCCTGTGCTTGTGGAGTATTGCTCAATAAATTTCTGCCCAGACCAATGTCTTGGAGATTTTCTCCAATGTTTTCTTGGAGGAGTTTCATAGTTTGAGGTCTTAGACTTAAGTCTTTAATCCATTTTGATTTGATTTTGTAATATGGTGAGAGACAGGTGTCTAATTTCATTCTTCTGCATATGGATATCCAGTTTTCCCAGCAACATTTATTGAAGAGACTAGCTTTCCCCAGTGTATGTCCTTGGCATATTTGTCAAAAATAAGTTCAATGTTAAGTGTGTGGATTTATTTATGGGTTGTCTTTTCTGTCCCATTGGGGTGTGTGTGTGTGTGTGTGTGTGTGTGTGTGTGTGTGTGTGTGTTTTATGCCAATAGGATGCTATTTTGATTACTATAGTTCTATAGTATAATTTAAAGTCAGTAACATGATTCTTTCAGTTTTACTACTTTTGCTTAGGATAGTTTTGGCTATTCTGGATCTTTTGTGGTTCCATATAACTTTCAGGATTGTTTCATCTATTTCTGTGAGGATGTCATTGGTATTCTGATAGGGATTGCTTTAAATCTGTAGCTCGATTTGGGTGTTATGGGCATTTTAACAATATTGTGTCCTCCGATCTGTGAACACAAAATATTTTTCAATTTTTTGGTGTTCTCTTCAATTTCTTTTCTCAGTGTTTTATTGTTTTCATCGTAGAGGTCTTTCACGTCTTTGGTTAATTCCTAGGTTTTTAATTTTTTGTGTGGCTACTGTAAATGGCATTACATTTTTAATTTCTTTTTCAGATTTCTCACGTTTGGGATATAGAAATGCTACTGATTTTTGTATGTTGATTTTGTATCCTGCAACTTCGCTGAATTTAACAGTTATAATTGTTTTTTCATGGAGTCTTTAGGTTTTTCCAAATATAGATTATATAATCTGCAAACAAGGATAATTGGACATCTTCCATGTCAATTTGGATGACATTTCTTTCTTTCTCTTGATTGCTCTAGTGAGGACTTCCAGTACTATGTGGAATAACAGTGGTGAAAGTGGGTGTCCTTGTCATGTTCTAAATCTTAGGGGGAAGGCTTTCAGTTTTTCCCCATTCAGGATGATACTAGCTGTGAGTTTGTCTGTTACATATAGCTTTTATTTTGTTGACGTGTGTTCCCTCTATACCCAGTTTTTTGACGGTTTTTATCTTAGAGGGATATTAAATTTTATCAAATGCTTTTTCAGCATCAATTGAAATTATCATACGGTTTTTAGCCTTCATTCTTTTGATATAACGTACCACATTGAATGACTTGCCTATGTTGAACCATTCTTGCTTCCCAGGGATAGTCCCCACTTGGTCATGATGAATGATCTTTCTAATACCTTGCTGAATTTGATTTGCTAGTATTTTGTTGAGGATTTTTGCATCAATATTCATCAGAGATATTGCCCTGTAGTTTACTTTTTATTATATGTCTTTATCTGGTTTTGGTATCAGGGTAATATTGGCTTCATAGAATGAGTTTGGAAGTACTCTCTTCTCTATTTTTCAAAATGGTGTGAGTAGGATTGGTATTAGTTCTTCTTTAAATATCTGGTGAATGTTTTCTCAGTAAAGATGCATTCTCCCAGCAAAAAATTATCCCAGTAAAGATAGCTTCACTGGTGAATTAGATTCTGTTCAGGTTTTGGATTTCTTCCTGGTTCGATGTTTGTAGATTTTATGTGTTCTAGGAATTTGTCCATTTCTTCTAGATTTTCCAATTTATTGGCATATAATTGCTCATAGTAGCCAGTAATGATCCCATGAATTTCTGCAGTATCAGTTGCAATGTCTCCTTTTACATTTCTGATTTTATTTATTTGGATCTTCTCTCCTTATTTCTTAGTCTGACTATAGGTTTGTTGATTTTGTTCAACTTTTCAAAAAACCTACTTTTCGTTTCATTGATCTTTTGTATTATTGTCTTCATTTCAATCATTTATTTCTGCTCTGATCTTTATAATTTCTTTTCTTCCACTATTTTGGGTTTGGTGTGCACTTGCTATTTTAGTTCTTTAAGATGCATTGTTAGATATTTTGTTTGAAGTTTTTTCTCTTTTTTGATGCGGGCACTTAGAGCTATAAACTTCCCTCTTAGTATACCTTTTGCTATATCCCATAGGTTTTGGCATGTTGTGTTTCCATTGGAGGCGATTCGAGATTCAAGACTTTTTCTAACTGTTCAGTGTCTTTTTCAGTAATACATAGTTAAAATCAGGTAGGTACTATGAGGGCTCACCTCGTTTTTGGCTCTTAGGAAGTTTTTTGTTTGTTTGTTTGTTTTTTCTGTGATAATAGTTGTTAACTTGATGTTTCCTGTCAGGGAGATGATAGGTGGAGGCTTCTAGTCCATCATCCTCCATTTGGTTTTTCTAAAATGACATAGTTTTAAAAACTCTACATTCTGAAAAAAAAAGAACATTTTAATAACTTTAGATTTCAAATAAAAAATTACAGAAAATGAATAAAATTCATGTATTCCATCTATAATTTTTTATGCTTTAAGTCAGTGGAATAGCATCTGCTGATTATGGGGAGAAGGGGACTAACCCAACAATATTATATTCAAGATAAATGTGATTTATCATCTGTCAGGATGGAATGAAAACATTGAAAGAAATGCAATTATTTATGACATCTGAGAAAAACAACACAAAGAAGGATTCTAAATAACAATAAATATAATAGTTTAGAACTTGGTATAGAAGACGAAGAAGAAAAGAAACAATGCTAATCAATGCTCTTTGGTTTCTCTAACAAAACATATATCTCTCTCATTTTCTCTCTGTCTCTGTCTTTCTCTGCTTCTTTATTCACACACGCACACACACATACATACACACACACATACTTAAAACCAAATAGATGAAAAGCATTGTCTTGAAATTACTAAATAATGCCAACTAAACAGAGGAAAATAAAGAGAATTAAGTGAAATCATTCAAAAAGTTTCATTCAGGGCAGGTAACAAGGGTAGAGAGTTGCAGCGGGGAAGGGATGTCAGAATATTCTAAACTTATCTTGAAGTAGAAGTTGGGGAAATACAGTATCTTGGCAAGACAGCATTTAGATAGGGAAAGGGTTGGTATGTTGTTTTCTAATAAAAATAGAGAAATATTTATCTAAATAGAAGAGCACATATGGGAAGATGGCCATTAATAGAATGAGAAGGTACAATAACATGTTCAAATTAAAAAAAGAAAATGAAAGAAATCACATCTTGCTGTAACTAGAAAAAGTAATCAAAAGACCAGAGGAAAACACAGGATACAGTATAAAATACTGAACTTAGTTTACATGGAAGAAATAAAGCTTTTATTTTAAAGTATTTAAGCTATACAAGTATATAAAATTGTTAATCATCTTAATAAGACAGATATAGCCCTAGCAAAAAAAGTATAAAATCTAGGCAAACAAAAAGACCTAAACAAATAATATAATGTTTTGAAATGAAAAACTTACTGTGATAAAACTAAAATTGTCCCAAATGTATATTTATATTTCCAAATAATATTTGCTGTACATTTACATTCACCATTAATGGTGTAATTCCAATTAGAGACAGTAGGGATTGTGGGGATATTGGACAAAATAGTAAAAAATATTTGTTTAGAATATGTATTTAAGAAAAATCAAGAAAATTACACACGCACACATACACAGACATTCATACATGCAAAAGGTCTTTTTGGGTTTGTGTTTGTATATCTGTAGTTGTGAAGGGGTATGCACCTTATCTGGTGTCAGTTACTACTCCACAGTAAAATCAGTTAAAACAGAGGAAAGCATTTACAAAATATATTCTAGCATACGTAAGAATTTAAAATAAGAAGAGACTGATAGTCAATTCAGTGTGAAATGACATTATTAAACCAATGATACTTAATGTCTGGCTAACCAATGGGAAAAGATAAAAATTGACTCCATTCTTCTGTTTTATACACTATAATTTTATGTAGATTTAAGGCTTGTGTATAAAAATAAATCTAGAATCAGAGGATACTTTAATTTTATAAAAATAATATATGCATATGTGATTAAGTATAATATTTGTGTAGAAAATATATTACAATTATTTCATAAGCAAATGACTGACTTGAGAAATAATTATAATGTAGATTGCATAAGAAGTTGTTAATGTCTACAGTCTATTGCGGGGAGGGGTTAAGGTAAAAACATGTTCACATATTGAAAATGAATGTGAATTGTTAACAGCTTTTTGGAGACCAACTTGGAGATATCTATTAAAATTAAAAATACCAATATATTTTAATGCAGTAATACCACTTCTGGAAAACTTTATCTTAGAATTCAAAGCAATTGTAGTAAATCTATATGTGTAAGTATGTTTATAGTAGTATTGCTTATAATGGCAAAAACAAATATTCTTGCCATTAACAGGGAAATTATTGTTTAGATTATGTCATGTTCTTTTAAAAGCTTTCCTTAAAAAAGGAAATTTTTTCTTCCTTTTTTTAAAAAAATTGTACAGCAAAGGAAACAATAGTTGACAGAGAACCTACTTAATGAGAGAAAATATGTGCAAATCATCTATCGGATAAGGAGACAATTTCCAAAATACATAATATATAAGGAACTCATGTAGCTCCACTGCAAAACATTCATAACCCAATTTTTAAAATGGGCTAAGACTTGAACAGACACTTTTCTAAAGGAGATATACAAATGGCCATTGAGTATATAAACAGATGCTCAATGTCATTCATCATCAGGGAAATGCCAATTAAAACCAAAATGAGATATTATCTCATACAAATTTAGATGGCCACAATCAAAAGAACAGGAAATAATAAGTATTGGCCAGGGTATAGATAAATTGGAACACTTCAACACTGTTGGTAGGAATGCAAAATTGTGCAGCTGCTACAGAAAAGAATATGGAAAGTCATCAAAAAAATAAAAATAGCACTCCCATAAGAACCAGAAATTCTACTTCTGGGTATACAGTCAAAAGAATTAAAATCAGTATTATGAAAAAGTATTGGCACTCCAATGCTTACTGTGCCATTATTCACAATAGTCAAGATATGCAAAGAGCCTAAATGTCCATCAATGGATAAATGAATAAATAAAATGGGATATATATGTGCAATGAAATATTATTCAACCTTTAAAATTGAGTATTTTGATAAAATACTCTTATTTGAGAAAAAAGATATAAAAATTATATCCAATATAATCATACATTTTAAAATGACATTTTTAATATATATTCACATATAATTACATAAGCATGGAGAAATAACTGGAACATAGTAGTGATGGTGGGCAGACAGAATAGAAAAGGAGATGAACTAAGTAAAAAAAGATTAGAATAAAGATTGTACAACATACAAAACATATATATAACCAGAGTTATGTGTTAATAACGTGTACGTGTGTGTGTATGTCTGTGTATGTGTGTGACTGTGTCTTTATAGCTAGTGAGAATTTATTCCTTTAAAGTAAAATAAAGTTATTGGTACACAAAAGACCTCTCAAATTTTTAAGTGACTGCCTTCCACTATCCCTCCTCTCAACTTCTCTACCCTACTAGAAGGAAGGAGATGACTTACTGGAAGAATAGCAGCTAAACAGACAAACATAGGAACAAAGAAAAAGAAATAGTCTTGGCAATATTGTGAAGCCAAAAGAAAACAAGCAATCTCCCCTATTTCATTCCAAAAAGAAAAAGAAAAAAGTACAGCACCATCAGCTTGCTTCTTGCCTTTTCTGATAACATTAGTATTATATTTATTTTCCTTTCAGTCTACTGCTTCTAAAATGGTCAATAGTAGTGTGATGGGATTCCACCACTACTGATTTTTCTCTTTTATTTCTTATCCACTTGAAGATTTCTTTTGATTCACTCAGTTATTTTTCTATTTCTATTCATGACACAAGTTTCATGTATTCTACAACTCTTAAGCCACCAAGTACCATGAGGCATGTCTGGCCTTCCCTGAAATAAGAATTGTATCCACACTATTTTCGTTAACCAGACAATTGTTAGTTGCAAAATCATTTAAGCTTTCCCAGCGCGGTGCCACAGTCATGGGAATCCATGACACCATTTGTGAGTGGGTCAGTAGAAATAAGGCACAGATACATACTCACCATATAAACAAGCATTTACCTTTCTTGGGTAAAAACAACACAAAAAAGCCACAGCTGGTAATTTTAGAAGAGTTCATTTAAGTGGTGGAAGGACCCTCCTTCTTTTTACTTTGTGAATGCGGTCTCTGGGTATGGGGTCTGATGTGTCCATTGTGGAGTGGAAGTCCCACAAACTAAGGTGAATACTCAGTCTCCTGGCTCACAGACTTTTTTTTTTTTTTTTTTTTCACATTGACTTTATTTTTTCATTGGAAGAAAATGCCTGCCAAGTACTGGTAATTTTCTTGTTTGGTCTCAGCCTCCATTACTATCCTCCTGTGTGTTATCCTTTTATGTGTGTTAGGGGTCTACAAACATTGAGCTACACTTTCTAGACTTCTTTCCTGTTGACTTTTAGTTAGATTCTGCCACTGAAGCACTAGTATTAGACTAAAAGTCAGAATAAAGGGAGAAGAGATAATCTGCCTTATGTTTATGGCTTCTGTGTCCATCCCAGATGGGTCATAGTCTTTTACTTGGGTATCTTCCAGTAATGGGCAGCAGCTGATTCCAACATTTTTCAGCAGTTCTAGCAAATGCAAGGTCAAGCATCTTCCTCAGTCTCAATCCTAGTATTAGTTCTGAGCATTCCTTCAGAAGGCTCAGCACCCTACCCCCACCTCCAAGGCAGTCCTCAGATCAACCAGGTGGCAATTTCAGTGGTCCAGCACCCACTATGTGACACTTGCATGTGGTGTCCAAGCTTTATCCCAATGCTCCTTTGGTGGTTGATGGTCCTGCCACTACTGCCAGCTCCTAATCCAAGATTTTTTTTTTTTTTTTTTTTGAGACGGAGTCTCGCTCTGTCGCCCAGGCTGGAGTGCAGTGGCGCGATCTCGGCTCACTGCAAGCTCCGCCTCCCGGGTTCACGCCATTCTCCTGCCTCAGCCTCCCGAGTAGCTGGGACTACAGGCGCCCGCTACCACGCCCGGCTAATTTTTTGTATTTTTAGTAGAGACGGGGTTTCACCGTGTTAGCCAGGATGGTCTCGATCTCCTGACCTCGTGATCCGCCCGCCTCGGCCTCCCAAAGTGCTGGGATTACAGGCGTGAGCCACCGCGCCCGGCCAATCCAAGATTTTTGAACTTTGATCACAACTTCAAACTTAGTTCCCCCAGCCTGAGAGATATTAACTGTTTGCTATGGATAATGTTCTCTGAGTTATTTCACTGTTTCCTTTTTGTTCTCTGAGCCCTTCTCAGTTTTCTAATGAGCATTCTATGTTAAACTCGTTTTTGAAAGCTCTACAGCACTTTGTTTTCCTGACTCCAGGGAGAAAGAGGAATGGTGCATCATCATTTCAACTTGTAAATCTTTAAATATCTACTTTAACTACTGTAGCATCTGGACCCAGTGCCTGAATTTTTAATGTAGAATTTCCCACTATGCTGCAGGCTTAGGAACTTTACAAATTCACAACTAGGGCTTTCAAAAATTGTAGAGATTTTCCACCACTATTGCCTTTTCTCTTTTATTTCTTATCCACTTGAGGATTCCCTTTGGTTCACTCAGTGATTTTACTATTTTCATTCATGAGACAAGTTTCATGTATTCCACAATACTTAGCCCACTAAATACCATGAGGCATATCTGGTCTGGCCTCCCCTGAAATAGGAATTATATCTTCACTGTTTTCATTAACCAGACAATCGTTAGCCACAAAGTCATTTAAGGCATCCTAGCTCAGTGCCACAATCATGGGAACCCATGACACCATTTGTGGTTGGGTCAGTAGATATAAGACACAGATATAAACTCACTATATAAATAGATATTTACCTTTCTTGAAGGTGTATCAGGCTACAGCTTATTACAAGGCATGAAAGGCACTTTATAAAATGATTGTTCCTATCTCCCATTCTGACCTCCCTTACTGCAACACAGCAAGCCCCTTTATTCCAGCCATACTAAATTTCTTGTATTTCCCAAAATGCCATATGCTGGCATACATCTATAATCTTGTACAACATATCTGTCTACATGGTATACCCTTCCCAGTTCACTCCTCATTCCTTATCCTCTTCTAATATTAATATCAAAACTCATCTTCTTTCAGAAACTTTCTCAGCCCCAAAGATGTCTCTGCATCTTATGTTTACCTGCAGGATGAACTATCTAATTGTTGGTTTGTTTAGCTCTTAGCCTAGAATATTTTGAGCCCCCAAGTTTTCTCTTTTATATCCTTCTCCAATGCTTAGTTCATTATAAGGCACAAATTGATTCCAATAATAAAAAGCCCAGAGCCAGATTGTCTGGTATAAAATCCTAGCTCTGACAGTTACTAGCTGTGTGACTTCAACAAGTCACCTAAACACTCTTAGGCTTAGTTTCCATTTATGTAAAGTTACTGTGCAGAAAAACTTTAGTTTAATTAGGTTCCACTTGTCAATTTTTGTTTTTGTTGTAATTGCTTTTGAGGATTTAGCCACAAATTATTAGCCATGGCCAATGTCAAGAATGGTATTTCCTAGGTTTTCTTCTAGGATTTTTATCATTTGAGGTCTTACATTTAAATCTTTACTTCATCTGAAGTTAATTTTTGCATATGGTGAAAGCTAAGGGTTCAATTTCATTCTTCTTGATATGGCTAGCCAGTAATGCCAACACCATTTATTGAATAGGGATTGATTTCCCCATTGCTTATTTTTGTCGACACTGTAAAAGATCCTATGGTTGTAGGTGTGCAACTTTCTTTCTGGGTTTTCTATTCTGTTCCATTTTCCATGTACCTGTTTCTGTGCCAGTACCATGCTCTTTGGTTACTGTAGCCTTATAGTATAGTTTGAAGTTGTAATATGAGGCATGCAGCTTTGTTCTTTTTGTTTAGAACTGCTTTGTCTATTTGGGCTCTTTCTTGGTTCCATATAAATTTTAGAATAGGGTTTTCTAATTCTGTGAAAAAATGATGTTGGTAGTTTGATTAAAAAAAGTGTTGAATCTTTAAATTGATTTGGGCAGTATGGCCATTTTAACCATATTGATTCTTCCAATCCATAAGCACGGGGTACTTTTCCATTTATTTGTCTTGTCTCTGATTTCTTTTTCTTCTTATTATACTCTAAGTTCTAGGGTACATGTGCACAACGTGCAGGTTTGTTACATATGTATACATGGGCCATGTTGGTGTGTTGCACCCGTTAACTCGTCATTTACATTAGGTATATCTCCTAATGCTATCCCTCCCCGCTCCCCCGACCTTATGACAAGCCCCGATGCGTGGTGTTCCCTGCCCTGTGTCCAAGTGCTCTCATTGTTCAATTCCCACCTATGAGTGAGAGCATGTGGTGTTTGGTTTTCTGTGCTTGCGATAGTCCTGATTTTTTTCAGCAGTGTTTTGTAGTTGTAGAAATATTTTACCTCCTTGGCTAGCTGTATTTCTAGATATTTGTGTGTGTGTGTGTGTGTGTGTGTGTGTGTGTGTGTGTGTGTCTGTGTGTCTATGGTAAATGGGATTGTGTTCTTGATTTAGTTTTCAACTATAATGTTATTGGTGTACAGAAATGCTACGGATTTTTGTACATTTATTTTATATCCTAAAATTTACTGATGTTTATCATTTCTAGGAGAAGACTCTTTAGGGTTTTATAGGTATAGAATCATATCATCAGCAAAGAGAGATAATTGAAAAATTATGCATCTGACAAAGGTCTAATATGCAGAGTCTGTAAGAAGCTTATAACAAGCAAAAAGCAAATAACCCCATTAAAGAACAGGTAAAGGACATGAACAGACACTTCTCAAAATAAAACATTCAATCAGTGTGATGGTTAATTTCACTCGCATCTGTGTGAAGAGACCACCAAACAGGCTTTGTGTGAGCAACAAGGCTGTTTATTTCACCTGGGTGCAGGAGGGCTGAGTCGGAAAAGAGAGTCAGCAGCGAAGGGACATAGGGGTGGGGCCGTTTTATAAGATTTGGTTAGGTAAAGGAAAATTACAGTCAAAGCGGGGTTGTTCTCTGGCAGGCAGGAGTGGGGGTCACAAGGTGCTCAGTAGGGGAGCTTTTGAGCCAGGATGAGCCAGGAGAAGGAATTTCACAAGATAATGTCATGAGTTAAGGCAGGAACAGGCCATTTTCACTTCTTTTGTGGTGGAATGTCATCCGTTAAGGCAGGAACCGGCCATCTGGATGTGTACGTGCAGGTCACAGGGGGTATGATGGCTTAGCTTGGGCTCAGAGGCCTGACAGTTAATATTAGGTGTTAATTTGATTGCATTGAAGGATGCTAGATGGCTAGTAAAGTGTTGTTTCTGGCTGTGTCTGTGAGTGTGTTGTCAGCGGAGATTGGCATTTGAGTCAGTGGACTGGCAGAGGAAAACCTACCCTCAGTGTGGGTAGGCACCTTCCAATCAGCTGCCAACCCAGCAAAAACAAAGCAGCCATAAGAAGATAGGATAACTTTGCTTGATGGGTCTCTGGGTGTCTTCTCTTTCTCATGTTGAATGCTTCCTTCCATTCCCCCTGCCCTTGGACATCAGACTCCAGGTTCTCTGGCCTTTGGACTCTTGGACTTACATCAAGTGGTTTGCAGGAGGCTCTTGGGCCTTTGGCCGCAGACTAAGGCTACACTGTCGGCTTCCCTAGTTTTGAGGCTTTCAGATTCGGACTGAGCCACTACTGGCTTCTTTCCCTTCCCCAGCTTGCAGAAAGCTTATCACAGGACTTTACCTTGTGATTGTATGAGCCAATTCTCTCTAATAAACTTCCTTTCACATATACACGTATCCTATTAGTTCTGTCCCTATGGAGAAACTTGACTAATACAAACGAACAGCAAACATCTGAAAAAATTCTCATCGCTAATTATCAGAGAAATGCAAACTGAGCCACAATGAGATACTAGCTCATATGAGTCAAAATGGCTGTTATTAAAGAGTCAAAATATAACAGATGTGGATGAGGTTGTGGAGAAACAGAAATGCTTATACACTGTTGCCAGGAAAGTATGTTAGTTCAGCCACTGTGAAAAACAGTTTGGAGACTTCTCAAACTTAAAACAGAATTACATTTAACCCAGCAATGTCATGACTGGGTATATACCCAAAGGAAAATAAATCATTGTACGAAAAGGATACATGTGCTCATATGTTCATCACAGCGCTATTCATGATAGTGAAGACATGGAATCAACCTAGATGCCCACCAATGGTTCATTGGATAAACAAAATAAAGTTGATAAAGAAATACATCATGGAATACTATGCAGCCATAAACAAGAATAGAATAATGCCCTTTGCAGCAACATGGATGCAGCCAGAGGTAATTATCCTAAGCTAATTCATTTGGCAACAGAAAACCAAATACCACATGCGGGAGCTAAATATTGTATACGCATGGACATAATGATGGGAATAATAGACATCAGGGACTACTAGAGGGGAGAGGGAGGGAGGAGAAAAGGCCTGAAAAAGTACCTGCCCAGTACTATGTGCTCTTCCTGAGTGCCAGAATCATTTGTACAGCAAACCTCGGCATCACACAATATACTCTTGTAACACATTTTCACATTTATCCTCTGAATCTAAAATAAAAACTGAAGTTATTTAACAATAAATAAATGAAGTTGGGATAGTAATAGTATGAAGTCAAATATGTAAAGAATTTAGAATAATGCCTGGCACATTGTAAACACTGCATAAAAGCTTACTATTATTATTATTATTACTATTACTAAATAGCTATTCCTATTAGGTTGAAGATCAAATATTATGCTTAAAGGTAGAACAGCTGTAGTTTGAAGAAAGACCTTGGAACTTGACAAAATGCTGTATTTTCTTATTATGCTTATAAAAAGCATAATCAGTAGACAAGGCTTTAGGACCATAAACTGGACTTATAAATGAAATCAAAATTCTTAGGTTAATTTAAAACAACCAGATAGATATGGGCTATTACATGTAATTTTGAATTTTCAAAAAATTACACTCATCTTTAGCACCACTGATGCAAAAAAAATACATAGTATGTTAGGCTGAGTTCTCCACTCATATAACTTGGCATAACGTTTCTTTTGTTTTATTGTGTCATGGCTTTGGTGTAGCTTCTATGACACTTTGGATTTAGATTATTTCATGAACATCCAGAGGGTAGAATGTCACCTAATGAATCATTAATACTGCTGTAGCAGCATGATTTTCCATTATACTTTCTTCCTGAATGGTAACCTGACTTGACCCTAATGATTCTGGGAACTAATAGAATCATAGCTCATCTGGCTGTATATATAATAATAGGGATAGATGCACAGAGAACATTCTTTCCATTTTATCAGCAATGGAATGGATCCATTTGGTGATAATCATTATGTGAACAGATGATGGATTTATTCACTCATTCATGAGGTTCCATACAGCTTCCTTTCTCAATTGTCTATGTAAACTAGATGGTTCCTTCACTACAGGAAACTTGAGGTATTTTTCCACTACAGAAAACTTGAGGTAGTTTTTCATGTCCCTGTAAGAAAAGAGTTTTTAAAAGATGCTATAGAAGGCAAACTATAAGTACTCTTTAAAAAGTATTTTTAAAAATCACAGACTATTTAACAGGAGTTTTCCAGGAAACAGACCCTGAGTCTATGATGTACTTACAGGAAGTTTATTGAGGTGTGATATCTGCAGCAATACCTGTAAGGGAGCAGCAGCAGAATGCAAAACAAAAGGAGTCAAGTATAATGCAGTTGTACAAAGGGATCACATGATCCAAAGGTACTACAATCCTACTGGGCCTTCTTAAGCTGGGATGGCCTTCCAGAGATGTCCCAGATTGAGGAATGAGAATCAGGCTTGTATTTTTGCATCAACTAATCATTGATATCATGGTACCCAAGAGGGGAACATAAACTTGAATGAAGTAATGGGAAGTCAAGAGTTGAACCATCAGCAGTCAGCACTTCTGGCAGCTGAGGAAATAGGCAAAGTGAGTGTCACACTACAATATCTCTATACACAGAAATCTCCAAAGATCAGCCATGATACACTAAATCTTCTACATTCAATCATGATGTCTTCCATGTGTTCCAAATCACACCAATTGTGTATATGTGTGTGTGTGTGAGAGAGAGAGAGAGAGAGAAAGAGAGAGAGGTGGCGAGGTGGACAGAGGGCGAGAGAGAAAGGAGAATCAATCTAAGCATGGACATTTATAGTGCAAAGTTCATATTTAATTACAGAAAGAATGTGAGAAAATAGAAATTCCTGAGATTTATTTAAATAGTGTATTGAATATTTGCTTTAGCTTTGGAGATTGTCTACCAGGACTCTGTAAAACAATATTGTATTCTCAAAAGCAATAAAAATTATAAGGGGTTGCAAGTTATTTATAGCCTGGTGAAGAAAGTTAAAATACTCTTACATAAAAACAGTCTTTCATATATAGAAAATATTCTAGTGATTCATTCAGCTAAAAGTTAATTATAAAAGTGTCATAATTTGCAAATTCAGTTTTTTATAAAATGTCAATATTATTATACATTATTTTTTAATGTGATTAAAAACACTTTTTATTTGTTTTATGGTATTAGAAGGTATTAACAAAGCTAAAAGTAGTTTTGTCAATTACGTTTTTTCAGTTAATAAGAAATCTGGCCCCTTCAATGCAAAGTTAATATGGATCATTACAAAAAAGCAGGCTAATTGAACAAATCAAATGAAGTATACCAAATAACAAAATAATAAAATAAAATGTGTCTGTTGATTATATCACCTATTTTCCAAAACTCAGTTTTATATCATACTGCCCAAATTATATCTGACTGTTAAATTGTGCTGAAAAATGTGAAGAAAAAGAAAGGAAAAACTAGTAACTTTATTATAATTCAGAGTTACTGACCTATTTTTAGGGCTGGTTGTGAGGGATCAGACAGAGACACTTTTACCTGACAGAATAAAACTAAAAACAGAAACACTTGTAATAAGAATAAAAGATGAGGAAAATATGTCTACTTTAACCCAAAACAGAAAAAATAGCTTTTAATGTCATGTTCTTCACATATATTCTTAGTTATTTCTCTAGGGGAAGTAATTTTCTATATAATTGAAATGACTTCCTACTTAGCATGTTTCAAAATATGACATTATTCTACTTGTAAAATTTGAAAATTAACATTTAGGTATAGGAAAGTGATCTGAAAATAAAGTGAAATACAAAAACAATATAATATATATAATATGGTTCCAAGAGGTAACCATTATTGATATTTTGATTTATAAACATCCACATAATTTTCTATGTATGTATACACACATACCTCTGTGTCACATAAGTATATCCAAATAAATAATGACTGTGTATATAATTTCTATATTAACATGATCTTAGTAATAGTTCTGTAACTTTTCAACTTAACATATCGACAATTTTCTCAGTCAATAAATGGACATAGAGCTTTGGCTCTTGTGAAATTTATGTCCCTTGATGAATGCTTCTATTCTCAATATTTTGTAATATTTTTAATAAATTTCTAATCATTTTCTATAGTTACTATCAACGCTACAGTATACAACCCTATATTTACACCTTACTTGATTCCAGGTAATTTTCTCAGAAAGAATTTCTAAAAGTGGCTTATTTTTTTAATATGTTTTTAGCAATTATTTGGAGGCACATTTTAAATTGACCTGTAGGACGTTTCTGTCATCACCTTCACTGCTAGTATAGGACAATACCAATTCTCCACTATCTTTTTTTGTTTCAGCGTATTTGTATTTCTTTTTAAATCTTTCCTAAGCTTCTAGGCAAAAATAAAAAGGGGAGGGGAGAGAGGCCCATTATCTTAATTTGCACTGCTTTGATTACTGCTTATGCTGAACATCTTTCATTTGTTGTGGGCCATTGCATTTCATCATTTGTAATATGTTTTGTCTGTCTTTCAATTGTGGTTTTGTCTTCTTATAATCGTTTTTAAATTTTATTTACATATTAAGGACATTAAATTATTAATCTATTGCTTCCCTATAATTTTTATTTACTAGTCATTTTTCTTTTAATTTTGTTTAAGGCCTTCATATTGTATTTATCATTTAATTTTGTTACAAAGAAATGTTTAAGTATATGGTCAAATATCAATGTTTTAAAAAAATTTCTGGTTTTCCTCTATATGTAATAAGGTCTCTTTTTCAAAGTTTCTTTGCATTGCTCGAAGAATATAAAAATAAAAACAAACATTACAACACTCCAAAGTCAAGAGAATCACCAGCTGCCTACTAGAATACTGAAGAATGTCTTGAAATATCAAACTAACCATACAGTATAGATAAGGGATTATATAGAGATGAGAAACTCCCAAGAAAATAGAAGCCAAAGAAAGATCCCCCACTCCTGTGAAAGAGTCTTCCCATGAAATTCTTGGGATAATATTTAGTTTAGAGTAGGGAATGGAAACAAATGCGGGTTTGGGAAGTCACTGGAAAAATTTGTCAAATGTTTGTGGAACAGCTACTCTAGTATTGAAGAGTAGATTTTGATATCTGAAACACAATACTCTCAAAAATTTGAAGACCTGCAGAGGGGATTAGAGTGAGGCAGGCCAGAGAGACAAAAGGTTAATCTCTGTGTAACTCCAATCTCTAAAATAGTTCGGGTGGCCTTGAATCCAAAATGCAAATCCCTTTCCATAGGAAAAACTTGACAAGGAAATCTAGCTGGGATTTACCACAGGCAAGATCCTTATAATCAGCCTTTGGATTTAAGACTTTCAGCACAGTAAGATTCATTTACATGGAGAAAGTTTATCCACGTCACCAATATTGCTGAATTTATGCCCTCACATGAATCAGCAAGAATCACTAGCTTTTCGAAGAAATACAACACTATGAAATAGCAAAGTCGGGCTGCAGAAACAGTGGAATTGAAGTACAAAACGTAAGAGATCTTTGAAATGTCTATTATTTGACTGCTCAGAGAAACATTACAGAATACCAAATCCCAAAATAGGCGATATGAAAGGGATCGAGGATATCAGGAATTAGAAAGACATCTCCACTTTAAGATTACTATCTTTTTGAAAACTGTTTTCATTATTTCAACCTTTATAATGCTGAAATTTGAGTTTAAGATATGAGGCAGGAATTTAATGGAATTTTATTTTAACTTGTTAGCTAGATTGTATAGTATTTACATTTGCTCTATGTGCGGCTCATCTATGCTTATGTTAGTATCACAATGTTTTAATTATTGTAATTTAATATATTTTGCTATCTACTGGGAGAAATCCTTTGGCCATTGCTCTTTCTAAACACATCTTATCCTAATTGCATTTTATATAAAACTGTTACATCATATGTTGAATTTCCAACAAAAAAAACCTCTCTTTTTAGATATTTTAGATGACTGCTAAATTTTTAGATGATTGTAAGTTGAACAGACATATTTTAATATCTGATATTCTAAATCAGTAATATGGCTTCTATTTATTTATATGTTCATATATGCCCCTTAATAAAATGTTTTCTGTTCTTTATGTATGTAATATGTAATCATATTTTTAAGATTACATATGTAATCTTAAATACTATGTAATCATATTTTTAAGATTATTGCTATTAATTGAATATTTTTGCTCTTTTGAATTGCCTATTTTTGTAATATCTTCAAGTCCTGATATATGAAGACATGTAGACTTTAGAAACAATTATAGAATGTAATACAAACAACACTTAAGCAGATTTTTTATCTTCTTTAGGAGGGGAGTTTCTAGATTTAATCACATTGTCTACAAATGTTTATAATTACTTTTCCTCTTTTCTGATAGGCATATTTCTTTCTCTTTCTTTTTTTCTCTTTTCAAAATTTGTAGTTGGTGTCTTTGCCCAGTGTCATGCCTATAGATCAATGGTTCTCAGATTTTCTTTGGTTCAATAAACTAAATCTGATAATAATTATGGACTTTCTCCCCAAAAAAATACTTAAATGTTGAAGTTGATAGTCTCCATTAAATCAATATTAAGAAGCCTTCCTTAACATTTCATTGTTAAAAATAATATTTTATGTTAATTTCATATAAGCACTTATTGTTACATTAAATAAATATCTTTGTAATCCTTGCTTACTAAGTAAACTTCAGAACAAAAATAGATGTTTGTAAAATGGCTTCTTTTTTGGTAAATACTGAGATTATATTTTTTTCTTGAACCTATAATTGAATTAATATGATAAATTACATTAATAGACACCCAGGATTGCTCTATCTATACATTCCCCAAATAAAGTATACATAATCATGTCACGTTAACTTTGACCATATTGATGTATCTAACATCCCACTGTAATTTGTAGGATTTTGGGATTTGCCAGGTTTATCTAACAGATTTACTATAGACCATGAAAAGATTTTGTGTTTCCTTCCCCCTTATGCAGTGGATGTAATGCGGACCACTTTTTTTTTTTTTAATTTGATAGAACTTTTGCACAAAACCATCTATGTCCAGCCCATCTCAACGGGAAAGACCAGATAGCTCTTAGAGATTTTTACAGTTGCAATGAAGGAGATGTTAGTGACAAAGGAAAGAAACTCTATTTACCATTGGCCTAATTTCCTTGTATTTATCATGTCATTTTGATTTGTAGCAATTACTCCAGAAAAGGCTTCAGCAAGGATGTGACCCTTCTTTAGTATTCATTGACATAGAGAAGTTTGACTTTTGTAATGGTTGGTTTGTTTTAGGGTTGTACTGAGAGAGGGCTGCTGCAAATCAAATTCTGAGAACTACCTTTATTCTTGAGTAGTTTTTAAATATGTTGTTTTTAAGTAATTAACAATCAGATTCCAGCCTTATATAATTCCTCCTAATTGTAGCATGGCATATCTCATATTTCTTAGAGGAAAAGGAATGTATTGATTAACTATTTAAAAATAAATGAATACATTCTTACATACATTTGAGCTAGTTTATAAGTTAGCAAAATATTGTAAGAAATAAAATTATGCTAAGGATACTTGAAAGAAGGCTGAAACTGACTATAAGCCAGCAGGTAGCTCTGGCTTTATCTAGGAGTTGATTCTTCTGATTGTGTAGACTATATGATGATGATTTATTCCAGCCCTGACACTATATGTTTTTAGAAATTCTCTCTATTCTCAGAAACTTCTTCCAAAGCTTTCGTCTACTTGATATTAGCTCATAAATTTGACGATAAAATAAACAGTATCTTTATGGTCAGATTTTGTTGTTGTTGTTGTTGTTGTTGTTGTGAAGGACTCTCGCCTGTCATTCAGTCTGGAGTGCAGTGGCATGAACTCAGCTCACTGCAACCTCTGTCTCCCAGGTTCAAGTGATTCTCCTGCTTCAGCCTCCCCAGTAGCTGAGACTACAGGTGCCCGCCACCATGCTCGGCTAATTTTTTTTTTTTTTTTTTTTTTTAGTATTTTTAGTAAAGTTAGGGTTTCATCATGTTGACCAGGCTGGTCTAGAACTCCTGACTTTAGATGATCCAACCGCTCGGCCTCCCAAAGTGCTAGGATTACAGACATGAGCCATCGCACCTGGCAGATATTCTAATATTTTAGGTGCTTTGTTTTAGATGGTAGGATACACAATTTCATCTTGCAGCTTCTGAAATGATTAAATTAGCATTAGCTACAAAAATTATTTTTGAAAAAATAACCAAATTCATTTAATATCACCTATTTTACTCCAGATATATATTTTTCTTGAATAAAATATAGTTTTCCACTATTTTTCAAATTGCTTCTATGTTCACATGATGTCCTTTTTATTTCTTATTCCTTTTTTATTATTGACTGGTATGACCTTGCTATATTCATGGTGAGCTTTTCTTTTACACTAATTATTTTCATTTTTATTGTGTGTGTGTGTGTGTGTGTGTGCGCACATTCAAGAGGAAACAAATCTGGAGACTTTTCCTTTCTTTTAATTTTCTAAGAAATGTGAACATCAATGGGGATGGTAGTTTATACTCTACCCCTTTAACTTATCAGCAGTATATTATATTCATCCCTTTAGCTGAAATTTAACGTTTAAGTGGGTTTTTATTAGGATGAGGTCTCAGAGTTTCTAATTCAGATGTCAGAGGTTGGAGGCAATATCAATAAGAAGCCATCGGCAGGGACGTTATTCCTAATTCTTATCCTGACATGTTACAAAAATAAGCATGATAATTTTATGGCTTCTTTTTCTGCCTAAAATGTAACTACATTAATCTGAAAGACAGCTGATTTTTCAAGGTCAAAAGTGCTTAGTTACAAATTGATGAGCTATTATGCGTGTCTGTGGTTTTCTTGATGGCACTGTATTAATAATATGCGTGCAGAACAGGCCATAAAAATTCCATTTAAAGGTATTAAGGCATACTGGGACATTTAATCAGGTTAAAATTCTTGTCAGTTGGCTCCAGGCACGATGTTGTTCAGTCAATGATTAACAAAGTGTGTGGAATATAAAGATGCATGTCTATTACATGAGTTCAGATTTCACTGAAATGACCTTTTGTTTTGTTTTGTTTTCTGCATCTAGCAAATGATCCAACTAAAAACACATTACAGTGATATTCATTGTTTTAAACAGCTCCTACTGTCTCCCAGTCTGGATTGTTTTGATTAGAAAATTGGGAGATAATATACTTGTAAAGATGTTGACATTCTTTCTGGATAGGGAAAAAAGCACTTGTGGATGAAATGTTTTAAAAATATAAATCACACTTTAAATTTTCTGTTGTGATTGATAAAAGCTATCTTACCAGGTGTGCACTATGCTTTTATAAAACCTAGATAAAATAATTGAGAGAAAGCTATGGAAAAGATTCTTCTGATAGTCTCTTCCAGTATACCTTACAAGTTCAAGGGGAATGCTATTTAAGAGACAGAATATAATGCAAGAGAAGTGAGAATTAGTCTGCAGAAGCAAACGTATATTATAAAAACACAGTCACATTTTTCATATAAATAAAAGAATGAACATTCCTAGTTTATGAAAATCTTTCACTTTTTCCCCAGTAGTAGATAAGGAGTAATTATAGAACGCTTTCTGAGAACACTTTTACATACCAAGGAAATGGTCAACTATTCAAGTAGCAATTATAGAGCTATAGAAAAACCTATGTTTTATTTTTTAGTTGTGTAAAATTAGCTAAAATTTATACTTGTCTTTCACACACATTTCATTTTCATATCTATAAGAATGTAAAATATTTTGGTAAGTAAAAAATTATACAATATTAAAAAATAAACTCAAAACCTGAATTACTTTGTCCTTTCACTTGAGAAGAATAACAATCTTTCCCATCTCTTAAAAACCCAGCTTCTCTTTAGCGCAACCTTACGTACTAATATTTTTAAAAAATGAATAGAATTTTAAAGCAGTTTTAGATTTACAAAAAAAATTGTACAGAAAGTGCCATATCCTCCCCCACCCACAGTTTCACCTATAAACATACTGCATTAGCTCGGCATATTTGTTACAATTTATGGACCCATACATTATTTATTAACTAAAGTGTATCTTTTATATTAAGTTGCACTCTTTGTGTTATACAATTCTAAGGGTTTTACCAAATGCATAATATCATGTATCCACCATGGCATTATGATACAAAATTGTTTTGTTTCCCTGTCCTAAAAACCCCATGTGTTCCTCTTATTCATCCATTCCCACCTCTACTCCCGAACCCCTGGCAACCACTTATTTTTTACTCTCTCGATAGGTTTCCCTTTTCCAGAATGTCATATAATTGGAATCAAATACTATGAAGCTTTTACAGACTGAATTTTTTTTAACTTAGCAATACATTTTTAAGGTTCCTCCATGTCTTTTGTCTACCAAATAGCTCGTTTCCTTTTACAGCTAAATAATATTTTCTTTTATGTATGTGTACCATAGTATGTTTATCCATTGACCTATTGAAGGAAATCTTGGTTGCCTCCAGGTATTGCCAACTATGAATAAAGCTTCTATAAACATTCATGTGCAGGTTTTAGTGTGGGCATAAATTTTCAACTTGTTTGAGTAAATACCAAGGACCACAATTGTTGGATCATTACTGAATGTTTTAGCTCTTTGAGAATGACAATTTTTTGTTTGAGAAATTTCATTACTAACTAGACACAGATGCCAAATGCAATTTAATTTTAACATTATGTGTTTTGTTTAATTAGATAATTTTCAAATATCAAAAGCAATTTTGCTTTTCAAATTAATTTCTGTAAAATGTCTATTTTCAATCATAACTAAAGGATATGATCTAGCCTGAGATTCTATCTTCCAGTAAAAATACATGCTTTGTTTATTATGTTGTTTAAAACAATGAGAAATATTTAGAGATTCCAAATTCCTATAAAATTTATGACTTTATCAATATTTCATCACCTTTTATTAATAAAGTATATTTTAATGTATTTTCTTATATTCCACAATATTTTATAAGGTTGAAAGCTTTGATTGATAAATGTTAAGAAATATATTACAACCTCAGGTGCTGCTTTTACACTTGTATTCTGATATATTAAGCTATCTAAAATGAAAGACAACTGTTATATCCGGCTATCATAAAATTTCAGTAGCACATTTATGCTGAGCTCATTGTTGACTACAACATGGGAAACAATTTTGTGCTTCAGTGAATTAAAGAGTTTTATGAGAGTGTAGAAATTTTACAAACTTAGTTGTAATGGATTATTATCAGATACTTTAAATATATAACTCAAATTTGTTATACAAATTGTACACACACGTATAGTGCCATAAGAACTGTTTAAGCCATTTTGTTTACCTCATTGGCCTAATTGCACTTTATGGATTAAACATTATATAAACTCAAAGAGGAAAAAGCACTTTTAGGCAACTAAGTAAGTTAAATTAGAAAAGAATATAATAAGGTGAAATGTATTTATAAAAATATTAAATTCAGATCGTTGGAGTAAACAAAACTAATAATTATATATTTAGAGGATCTTTATATTTCTCTATTCTAAACACCCATGTTGAATTTTTCTCTCAATAGCTTTGCCAATTGATATGAGCATATAAGTTACACATTCATATCTGCCTATATCTGTTTGTTCATTGTCTGAATTATAATAGCTATGTAATATTAGCACTCAACTTTGTCCAATTTGGCAGAGATAGTATCTATAAGATATTAAAGCATTTGACAATAAGTTAAAACATTTATTAATCATATGGGTGCTTGATTATATTGTGCTTTACATCTGCTATTCAAAGTTGGCTCTAAAAATCTAATTACAAAGATAGGTTGGATCATTTAATAGAAAATATTACCTAACAAATTGAAAAGTACAACGTTAGAATATATAGCAAGAGTACCTAAATCAAAATTAAGATATCCTCTGAACAATGAAAATGGGACCTAATATTTGGTGAAAACTTACTATGTGAAAGACATCATTCTAAGTGTTTCACATGTTTAATTTTTTTATAATCACAGAAATTTCATCTGGTAGTTAATGCCATTTTCATCATTTGTAGAAGAAATGGAGGCTGAAGATCAAGTAACTTGCCAAAGATTACTAAGCTAGTCAACGGTGAAGCCATAAGGTAGCCCAAGAAGGACAATTATAAGAGCTTCCAACAACTCTCTAATACCGATACTCTGTACTCTATGTATATGAAAGTTCTAGCAGAGCAATTAGGCAAGAGAAAGAAATAAAATGCATACAAATTGGAAATTAAGAAGTTAAATTATCCCTGTTTGAAGAATACATGATCTTTTAAATAGAAAACTCTAAAGACTCCACCAATGAATAGTTAGAAGTAATAAGAAAATTCAGTAAATTTGAAGGATACAAAATCAACATACAAAAATCAATAGCATTTCTATATACTAACCGCAGCCTATCTGAAAAAGAAATCAAGAGAACAATCCCATTTACAATAGCTAAAGAAAAATAAAATACTTATAAATAAATTTAACCAAAGTGGTGGAAGATTTCTACAATGAAAACTATAAAATATAGGTAAAAAAAAATTAAGGGCATAATGAAATGAAAGATATTCTGTATTCATAAATTGGAAAAATTAATATTGTTAAAATGCCCATACTACTTAAGTGATCTAGGGATTTAGTATAATCTTTTCAAAATAGTGATAATAGTCCTCAAAGAAATAGAAAAAAAAATCCTAAAATTCACATTATCTGACTTCAAAATATACTACAAAGCAATAGTAATCAAAACAGCATGGAACTGACATAAAAACAGACAGCAGACCAATGGAACAGAAAAGAGAGACCAGAAATAAATCCACACACTTTCAGGCAACTGAATTCTGGAAAAAGTGCTAAGAACACACAATGGGGAAGACAGTCTCTTCAATAAATGGTGTTGGGAAAACTAAATAGTTACATGCAGAAGAATGACATTAGACCCTTTAATCTCACTATATATAAAAATCAACTAAAATGGATTAAAGACTTAAATGTAAGAGCCAAAAGTATGAGATTGCTAGAATAAAATGCAGGGGAAATGCTTTATCATATTGGTCTTCAGAAGTATTTTTTGGATATCATCTCAAAAGCATAAGTAGATAAGTGGGTTGATTTAAAATTTAAAAATTTCACACAGCAAAAGAAACAACAGTGAAGAGGCAACCTAAGGAATGGGAGAAAATATTTGCAAACTCTATAGCCAATAAAGGGATAATATTCAAATTACATGAGGAATTCACAACGCTAAAGAAACAGGTAAACAAATAAACTAATTTAAAAGTGGGCAAAGGATCTGAACATTCCTAAAAAAAAAAAAAAGAGACATACAAATGGCCAACCAGTATATTTTTTAAATGCTCAATATAATTAATCATCACAGAAATACAAATTAAAAGCACAATGAGATATCACCTCACTCCTGTTGGAATGGCTATAATCAAAAAGACAAAAGATAAGTGTTGATGAAGATGTGGAGAAAAGGGAACCCTTACACAGTTGGTGGAAATGTAAATTATTATAGCCATTATGGAAAACAGAATGAAGATTCCTCAAAAAATTAAAAATAAAACTACCATATAATCCAGCATTCCCAATGCTGGGTATATATCAAAGGGAAATAAAATCAGTATGTCAAAGATATATCAGCACTTTCATGTTTATTGCAGCATTATTCACAATAGCCAAAATATAGAATAAACCTAAGAATTCATCAAAAGATGAGTGGATTAAGAAAATATGTGGCGTACACAATGGAATCTATTTAACTATAAAAAATGAAGGAGTTTTTATCATTTGTGAAAACATAAATGGAACTGGAAGGCATTATTTTAAGTGAAATAAGCCAGACACAGAAAAACAAATACTATGTGATCTCACACCTATGTGGAATCTAAAAAAATTGATCTCATAGAAGTAGAAAATAGAATGGTGGTTACATGGGACTAGAGAAATTGGGGAGGAGGGGGAATAGGGGATAATGAGAAGTGATGGTTAATATGGAATGTCAACCTGATTGGATTGAAAGATGCAAAGTATTGTTCTTGAATGTGTCTGCCAGGGGGTTGCCAAAGGAGATTAACATTTGAGTCAGTGGACTGGGAGAGGCAGACCCACCCTCTATCTGAGTAGGCACCATCCAATCAACTGCCACCACAGCTAGGATAAAAGCAGGCAGAGGAACGTGGAAGGACTAGACTGGCTGAGTCTTCCAGTCTTAATCTTTCTTCCATGCCGTGTGCTTTCTGCCCTTGAACATCAGACTCCAAGTTCTTCAGCTTTTCGACTCTTGGACTTAACACCAGTGATTTGCCAGGGCCTCTTGGGCCTTCGGCCACAGTCTGAAGGCTGCACTCTCAGCTTCCCTACTTGTGAGGTTTTGGGACTTGGACTGGCTTCCTTGCTCCTCAGCTTCAGCTGGCCAATTGTGCGACTTCACCTTGTCATTTTGTGAGTCAATACTCCTTAATAAACTCCCTTTCATGTGTACATCTATCCTATTAGTTGTGTCCCTTAGAGAACCCAGACTAACACAGGAGCTATTGGCCAAGAAATACGTAATTACAGTTAGGAGGAATAAATTCAAACGATCTATTGTACAGCATGGTCACTATAGTTAATGACAATATATTATATTCTTGAAAAATTCGAAGAGTGAATGTGAAGTGTTCTCGCCACAGAAATAACTATATGAGGTAATGCATTTGTTCATTGGCTAAATTAAACCATTTCACGATGTATATATACTTCAAAACTTGTTGTATACAATAAATGTATATAATTTTATTTGTCAATTAGAAATAATTTTTAAAAAGCAAAGCTCAGAAGTTATGTAAATTTATTAAGGTGACATTGTGAGTTATCTGAAGGAGCGGAGCTTCAGATGCAGATCTCTGCTTAAAAACTTAGGCTCTTTAAAGGTAGGTGATATAGTTTCCCTTGAATATTCTTATTGATTAAAAATTGCTTTTTATAATAAAATTTCTTTTTATAATTCAAATTTCTTTTATAATAAAAACTTCTTTTATAATAAAAAGCAATTTTTAATCCATAAGAACATTCTGTTTTTAAATATAGTTTTATGCATTTAATTGATTCTATATTTTTGTTAGTCAGCCATGCCTTGTCTTCATGGACCTAAAAGTTTGTCTCTTCAGAAAGATATTTACTATCTCACTAGTAAAGACTGAAATGTCTTTGTCACATAAGCATTGGAATTCATTGTCCTTAATACAGAAATGTAATTCATCTTTTCCCACACCTCACATGCAGCTATTAAATAGGAAAACTCACTTCTAAAAGTTGCCTCTAGAGTTGTCTAGTTTGGTGGATTTCAGAAAATGTTACTCTTATAAATAATTTTACCTAGCTATGAGAGAAAATGCCATAGTAGAGTATTCCAATTGCATGTTTTTAATATTAATGTTAAATTTTCTAAAATAAAAAATATCTCTATTATATATTATTTTCAACAACTTTTGAATACTCAGTAAAATGACTTTGTTCTTTCATTTGGTGATGTGAGTTCACCTAGGGCCTTTTCTTGCCCAAACTATTACATACTCTTGTTCCATTGACAAACATTATATGTGTTGTCAAAGTTCAACCACTTACTTAGTGACATTTTCACTTTAAGCTATCTCTATTTTCAGTATCTAAGAGAGAATTTTAAGAAATATTTTTGAGTCTAATAGGTCAACAGTTTGTGAAAAGAACAAAAAAAGTACTTTGTGTAATTTACTTGAAAGCTTTGCAGGAAATGTCATGGTAAAGTTTAGACAATTGTTTGTTGACAAAATGTGATTTTTGACTTAGAGGATAAGGCTACTTCACTAACTATACATTCACAGTAAATGTCATTAATTCATCTTAAATAATTTAAGGATGGCTTGGAGTCATATTGATAAGGACAGTAGGGATAAATAATTCAATATTTATGTATAATGAGTGCATTAATCAGAAAGGGGCAGTGTAGTGACAGGAAGCAGTGTAATAGATTTTCATAGATAGAATTTTATATTAATATATATTTCAAGCAGTTTTAGTAAGAAACTACAAACATCTATCGTATTCCTCTTTTCTTTTCTTTCTTTTTTTTTTTTTTTTTTTTTTTTTTTTTTTTTTTTTTGGTTTTTGAGACGGAGTCTCACTCTGTCACCCAGGCTGGAGTGCGTGCGGTAGAGCGATCTCGGTTCACTGCAAGCTCCGCCTGCCAGGTTCACACCATTCTCCTGCCTCAGCCGCCCGAGTAGATGGGACTACAGGCGCCCACCACCACGCCCGGCTAATTTTTTGTATTTTTAGTAGAGACGGGGTTTCACCGCGTTAGCCAGGATGGTCTCGATCTCCTGACCTCGTGATCCACCCGCCTCGGCCTCCCAAAGTGCTGGAATTACAGGCGTGAGCCACTGTGCCCAGCCCCCTCTTTTACTTTTCTTCCCACATGAATATTAATACTTTTCTCATTGCAGCATCCCTTAGATTAACATTTCTAAAACTGAGTGAGTGTCTATTATGTATCTAAAGGGTAATGGAAATTGAGGTCATATCATTTCAAACAGATATTTGCTGAAAGCATTAGCTAAATGCAGGAAAAATAGATTCATTGACCTCATGGAATATTATTCTTTATTCCTTCTTAACCAACATGTAAGAGTGTAAAAAAAGAGCATGTGTATATGTGTAGAAGACAGCAGAGAGAAAATACTCAATTTCAATCGTCTCTCTCATAGGCTGAAGTGATTATTATCTTACAAATTATCCAATAATTTATTAAACATTTATTACAGGCAGACCTAATTACATAACTAAAATGCATAATTATAAATAAGATAAAATGAATAGCATGTTTTTAATAAAATTAATTTTTATCACTCAATAAATTATTCCTAGTAAACTGAAGAAGTTTCTTAAATTACGGAGACCTTTATAAAAATCTGTTATCATTCCTCCTGTGACATATGGTTATCTAAGATTCATTTAAAATGAGGTTTACTTTTAGTACCATTTTGAAATAATGCAAGTACTGTTGCATGGGAGCACCTGGTGAGAACTGATCACACGTCAGGGTCAAGATGGGATGGAGTAATAAAGTATCAATGACGCAGCAAAACTGAGGACCAAAGACTGAAACTTTGTTTTCAAAAGGCTGGAAATCTGATGAGCCACAGGGCAGGCTCCAAAGTTGAGTTACTCAAGTAGGTAGTATTTGACTACGCTGTTGAGCTCATCCTCTTGAATGGAGTATCCATAAATTGATTTAGCAGAGATCTTAAACTAATTATAAGGCAGTCTCCTGATAAGGATATTTCATAGCTTGACCCTCCAAAATAGTTACTTTACAACAATATTAAAGACCAAAATACATTGCTATTTTTTATCATATTAGGCTATTTAATAACTTTTTGTCTTTGAGTGGTCAGATTTTAATGGTAATTTCCATGTTATGGTTTGGAAATTCTCTTTATGTTTTCAGTTCCCTGAAAATTCCACGTTTTTAAAAGATTTTCAAAAACTCAAAAAAAAATTACTCGATAACTTTTTGCATTGTGCTTGAAGTATTTTAAAAACACACAAAATATTTTCCAGGGCAGCCTTAGGTTAAGGTAAATTAAGTTGGTAATATAAATTCTAACTAATAGATGCCCAAGAATTGAATAAACACTTTCAAACAAATTTGCCAGCACCTAAGAACAGAAACTTTATAGGACAAACCTTGAGGAATTTAGTTGCAGGTCTGCAGACACTTGTTAGGTTTTGGGTCCTGGCCTTTCATTCCATTTGGGCTCTTATATGACTCGGCAGTGAAGACAGAGGTCAACATACCAATGAGAGTAGAGCTGTAAAGAGTAAAGAGGGATTTTACTATAAGTCTTGAAACCAAGTAGACTTTCCTATGGTCAAAATTGATGTTGGGGCTACAGAAGCGGTCCCCAACCTTTTTGGCATCAAGGATCAGTTTCCTGGAAGACAATTTTTCCACATATGGGAGTGGGGGTGGGATGAAACTGTCCCAACTCAGATCATCAGGCGTTAGTTAGATTCTCATAAGGAGCACACACCTTAGATCTCTCGCATGCGCAGTTCAATCGCATGCGCAGTTCACAATAGGGTTCCAACTCCTATGGGAATCTGCTGCTGCCCAGTCTGCCGCCTCCTGCTCACCTGACAGGAAGCGGAGCTCAGCCAGTAATGCCCACTCTGCGCTCACCTCCTGCTGTGTGGCCCAGTTCCAAACAGGCCATGGACCAGTACTGGTCTGTTGCCCAGGGTTTGGGGACCACTGGGCTAGAGGATAAGTTTGGAGAGAGGTGAAACAACATGTCAGCACAGCTAAAGCCTTCTCACTAATCTGAAGCAGAACCTAGAAATTTACACTCACTAGGAAAATATCATCTTTGTAAAATGTATGTTCACCAAGTTTAGGGGATGCCTGCATTGTTATTAACAGTGACAATATATTGGCTAAAGTTCAGGTACAATATATTTTACTATCAAAGCTTCATCTTTCTTCATTGATTGAGTTTCTTTGATTCTCCCACCATAGTTTACATTTCATGGATTAAGATACATCTTGCCCACATCACGATATTATCCTACTCCAAATTTATGCATGGTGTCAAGGGGTTGTTCCCCTTAGTATTATATAAACCAGAAATCTTTAAACATATTAGTAAATCATGCATCTTGCATGTCTTTCTCTATATAACATACACATTTCTTCATTGTACTTTTTTGCATGTAGGAAGAGAGTCTCGAGATCTGCAGTAGCATATGGGTTTGAATCAACATGGATCTCCTGGAATATCAGATTTTTTCTGTTTTTCTCATGAGAATATAGAAAGTAATTATTATTAATAATTGTATATTAATGTATTAGTCTGTTTTCACGCTGCTGATAAAGACCTACCCAAGACTGGGTAATTTTTAAAGAAAAAGAGGTTTAATGGACTCACAGTTCCACATGGCTGGGGAGGCCTCACAATCATGGCAGAAGGCGAAAGGGATGTCTTACATGGCAGCAGACAAGAGAGAATGAGAACCAAGGGAAAGGGGAAACCTCTGATAAAACCATCATATCTGTGAGATTTATTCACTACCATGAGATGAGTATGGGGAAATCGCCCCCATGATTCAGTTATATCCCACCAGGTCCCCCCCAACAACACATGGGAAAGATAGGAGCTACAATTCAAGATGAGATTTGGATGGGGACACACCAAGCCATATCAATTAAGCACTTATAAAGTATGTAAGTAGGCATACAGAAAATAATGAAAAAAACAACAGCCCTTATTATGTTACCCATGGTGGTAATGGCTCTTATAGCTGTATTAGTAAACAATACATACATATACACATGACAGTTATTACACACATGTATAGATATGTGTACACATATATATACTGAATAGTCTATCATTCAGAATAATGTTTGGAGTAGAAAAAGAGGTTATATAAAATGACATATGTTGTTTTGAGGCATGAGCATAAATGTGAAAAGATCAAAATTTTGGAAATATTTATTAAGAAATTGCTGAATTTCTAATTTATACTACTAAATTTTAACCTTAAGTTTGTCTCATTAATTTTCAGTTTGCAATTAATATTGTACTTGTACTATTGTAGAGCGGTATTGTTATTGTCTATTATTATTTTCAGAAAATGCTTTTCAAACTTTATAATGCCCCTTATACTACAAATTACAATTTCAGCAACATCATTTCATTGAAGTACAAATTAATTAAAAGTACCTAAAGAGTTTTTATTAATACACTCACATGTACACTAAAAAGTGTAATAAAAGGTATTTTAATTATAGCAATACAGTTGAAAAAAGTCAATCACTTTATTTTTTTAATCACTTTATAACGGTAATAAAAAGGCATGATCAAAATGACAGAAAATTCAAGACAACTTTATAATATAAATGGCAACATTAATGGACCAAAGAAAATAGAGAATTTTCTGTTTTTCAATTGACATTTTAATATAGGCTACTTAAAACTTTTTTCCTGAGTGTATTATTTTTCAAAAGGAAAAGTCAAATTTTTATCAATATATCATAGTTTTCCAAGACACATCAGCACATAATCCAATTAACATAATCCAAGGCATATGTTGCATGATTTTAAATATTGCATTAACAAAGCTGAAAAAATATAGACAGATAAAAGTGGGTATCTCTCACAGAGGGATGATAATTTAAAACCATGTTCTTCTATTGATCTTCTCAAATACACATTTGATTCTAATTTTTCTTGTTTTATCTTGATAATCTAAGAACTCGTTTTGGGTGAAAAATATTCTAAGGATGTCATAGTCTTCACCGATTGCTAAAACTGCAGTGAATAGGCAAAGATATAATTTTGGACTTGATATTGCAAACAAGATTAAGCTTCCATGACTTTATAATGAATTTCTGTGTATTAATCTTGAACATTATTTTCTTGAAAATATTGCATAATTTTAGCACTATTGCTCAGAATTTCACACTGAATTCTCTCTCTCTCTCGCTTTCTCTTTTTTTTTTTTTTTTTTTTGTCAGAGCTTCTCGCTTGTTGCCCAGGCTGGAGTGCAATGGTGCGATCTCAGCTTACTAAATCTTCCGCCTGACATGTTCAAGCAATTCTCCTGCCTCAGCCTCCCAAGTAGCTGGAATTACAGGTGCCCACCACCATGTCCAGCTAATTTTTTTTTTTTTTTTTTTTTTGTATTTTTAGTAGAGACGGGTTTTCACCATGTTGGCCAGCCCGGTCTTGAACTCCGTCAGCCTCCCAAAGTGCTAGGATTAACAGGCGTGAGCCGGCACGCCCGGCCTCCCCGCTGAATCCTTTCTTCATTTTATCATAATCCTTCTAAATGTAAGTAAAAGTTTTTTATTTATATAATAAAATATTTGTGAAAACTCATTTTAAAATTATCAAAATGTCTCTGGTGCTTCTGATAATGCAGATGAATAATGGCAAATACATTTTGTAATCAAAATTAAATATTAAAATACTAAATATGACATTTCTTGAAAACGAGATGTTATATTGCAACAGAATTCTCTGAACTTGAAGAATGTATAAATTATTACTTTTGGAATTGTTTTCATTTGTAACTCATTTTTTTCCAGTTTTACAAGCTCTACTGCTTTTCGGCTATGAAAAATGAGGATATTAACATGTTTTGCTTTACTTTCATCTCCCTGTTGTTCTGCCAAATTTTGTTATTTATATTTTTAATTTTACATTTTAAATCTTCACAATTATGGTACACGTTAGTAACACTGATAAGTATTTCTAGTACTCTTTTCCAAACATATGGTACAATTGTAATTTCTATTCTGGCCTCAGTCAACTCGGGCTTCCATAACATAAGACCAAAGCTCCACTGAAGACTTTCCTCAGGCTGGTGGTCTGAGGAACTTCCACAGGCACTGTCCCCTGCCGACCTATATCTATGTATTAATGTGGTAGAAATGAATACTGTTTGTTGTGCTAAGCCACTGAGATATTTCAGCAAATATTACTATGGTATAAGTTAGCTCATCTGGATGTATGTACAAAACTGTACAATTTGATCTGTATCTGTAGCTTCCACATGTTTTAGTTCTACAATTTCATCTCCATCACCAATCTATCTCAATCACTTTATCTTGTATTATTTAACTTATTATCAAATAGCTTTCTTTTTAAAAGGTAGTATGCAATGTTGTGCATTTTTAGGCATATCTATACTCTTTATAAATGAAGGAAATACAGTGATTAGGTTTGTTTTATTTTTCTGAACTCTAAAATTTTTTTTACTCTTTTCACATTGAGCTCTGTTTTAGAGAAGACTGAGAATAGTGTGATATTTTTCTTCTTATATTTGATGTTCTTTTCCGCTGGAGAGAACATGAGTGTTTAAATTCTTTGTATTAAGACATATTTTACGCATATAGAAAAGTACACAATACATAAAGGATGATGTAATGAATAATTACAAAGCAAACTTCCAGCCTGAAAAATACAATATTGCCAGGTTTATAGCCTGCCCTTCAAGAGGCCTTATAAGATTATTTCTCTCTTCTCCTCCTGGAATGACAACAAATACTTTAACTTTTCTTATTACTTCTTGCTTTCTTTATATTTTGCCACTTCTGTATATACTTAAAAATATAAATTTATTTTTTATAATTTTCCAAAACTGGGGACTAAAGGAAATGACATGAAGTAGTGAGTTTATCAACTGTCAGTGAAAAGATTGAAAAATAAACGAAAACAACTAATGTTAGAAACTTTAGTTGGAAGAATCAGTTACTTGAGGAAAATCTCCATAAATGGTAAAATTTAGAGGGAACAATTAAAAATCACTTCATGGTTTTGTGTTAATAATATTGCAAGGTAACGGTGTCACTCAAACCTGCAATTTTTTTAAAAGAATTTTATTCACATTTATTGTAATTTACATTTACATATGCATTTAGAGACCAGGGCATAGATAGAAAGAGAGAGATTGGTGTATATAATAAAATATGGCAGCTACTTCCTTTGACGGGCAAATATGGAACCTTCCAATGTGTATATATTTCTTCTGGAAAACAAAGTTCTTTTGTTATAATTTAAATTGTTCATGCAAACACCACTGCTAAACACAAAAAGTTATATATTTTTTTCTTATTAGAAATGAAATATAAAACACTACCTTATTTTAATCTTAAGGAATATTTTGACATATAGTTGAGCTAAGAGTATGTTTAAACAAAACAAAAGAGCAACTATTTAATAGAGTTATTCCCTGAAAGGCTAGCACCGTGTGTTCATAAACAATCTGAAAATGTTTTTATTTTTTTTCTTGATGGCTTATTTGTTGTTGGCAGGGTTTTGGGGTTTTGTTTTGTCTTTGAAAGCCTAAAATTACTAAGAAAAAATGGATTTGGAATATACTAACAAAGATTTTCTGGCATATTGGTTTGTATTATCATTGTGACCAAGCACTTGATTAATAGTGTAGAATATATTAAATTCTTTGGGTATGTTTGGGAATTGAAATTGTAATCCCAGAAATGGTGATACACACTTTTGAGAGATGCCTAATATTTTCTCTGTAATTAAAATTTTGATTCTAAGTTTACATGTCACATAGATTCCTTATGGATCAACTCTTCCTGAAAGACATTTTTATTGTGATGTTAACAAATTACATGCATTTTTATTGGTTTAACGCTCAAAAGAAGCATTCAACAAATTGCAAAAATTTTCCTCCACTTACTAAGTGCCTTGAAAATGTTCTTTGGTCTCTGACCTTTACAAGAGCACAAATTTGAAGCCTTAAATAGTGAATGTCAGAGTACTTTCCTGGAGGCGTAAGGAGCTCACTTATAGCTATTACACAACTCACATACCTTTATATAGTTTCTGCTCTAGGAAATAAAAGGTTAAACACATCTTTCACAATGCAAAAGCCAAACAGTGACAAATGAAAGGTCATGTTTTTTAACCTCTTTTTCTTATCTATAATGTTCAAAAAATACTACTATGAATAAAACATTTTAAATAGAATTGAATAAATTGAATAAATAAATTGAATAAAATTATATTCAAAGGATTGTAACTTTCATGACATCTTATGTCCTAGTAGCATGCAAACAAATTTGGAAATCATTCTAACAGTTAAGGCTAGCACAATGAAATTGTAATTACAGGACAATATTTTGAGGTAAAGAATAAATGGGAAATTTCAACCATTCATAATCAAAATCAACAAATAGAATCTCCTTTGCTGGGAATATATGACATATAACTATTCCATACATTAATGTATTTTAGTATTCAGATTTATCATCTATTTTTAATCCATGGTAATTGAATTTTTTTAATATTGACAATTTTTAATTATAAACAATTATCTTCAGAGAAAAATTCTCAAAATATTTATATTGAAATATTATAGGATTTTTTTTTTTTTTTTGGCTTTCATCTCTATGAAAAAAGCTGTCTTTGAAACTGGCATCTTCTATAATCAGAAAAGTTTTGACATTGTGACTCAGTATTTTTGATGTTTGGAGATTTTAGCAATGACCCTTAGGCTTTAGGAAACTACACTGAAAATCCAGTGTCTAGGCTGCTTGTGAAGATATGCAGAATCAAATATGGATAAATAATGAAATTAAAGTAGATCTGAATTATTGAAGGATCCTCTAATCTATCAAAGGCTGCAAATGACAAAAATTCACTAGTTTAATGAAATAACATCTAAACAGAGAGCATAATCCAAACATGTTTAACAAAAGAAAAGTAATGGAACAGTCAAAGTGAGAGTGAGCTTCATTCTCTCAGATCAGAGAATTTCAGATGCATATGATATGTAACTTTTTGACACTGAAGTTTCACTCATACATCATAGTGACACATTGTCCAATACAAATTCAGATATGTGTAAGTGTAAAATACACACTAGATCTCAAAACTTAGTTGAAAATGTATGTCATATAGCTTCAATAATTTTTATGCTGATTATATGGTAACATGATATTTTGAATACTAAAATTAATTTCACCTGTTTCCTTTCACCTTTATAAATATGCCACTCAACAATGTTAAATTATATATGTGGTTAACATCATTATCACAGTTAACTGAGACTCTATGGTCTTGAAGAATTATCTTTATTTTTTATGAAAGTTTGTGATCTCCAAGTTAATAAGAAGCTTTACCATGACTCTCTAGCAATGGCTACAACTGAAGAGTCTTCAAAGTTTGATTTACTAAGAAAATCACATTCTTCTCTAAATATTTCACACCTCCCTTCCTTTTGCAAGGGTCTGGTTAAGTCCTTTTGAGGATCATCATTTCAACATTTTAAGATTTGGATAAACTCATTTGATATGTTTGAGGTTATTTGGATGATTGCTTGTTTTAGGCAGTAAGTTAATTTATAAATAGTCTTGAGAGTTTTCTAGACCTTAAACA
This sequence comes from Homo sapiens, assembly GCF_000001405.40. Classification (NCBI taxonomy): domain Eukaryota; kingdom Metazoa; phylum Chordata; class Mammalia; order Primates; family Hominidae; genus Homo; species Homo sapiens. The sequence goes on from NC_000002.12 coordinate 184,194,476, forward strand.
TTGAAAACTTCAGTGTAATGTGAACCTCTCTTTAAATAAATAATTATTTTCATGAAAAAGAAGAAAATACATTAAAACTCACAAGCCTCACCTTGAAATGTTTGCACGTTAGATTTTATAAACCACACCATTTGATTACTGTTCTAGTTTTTCCGATAATGCTCTACAATCACTATCTGTATTTTACTCAAGCACTCTATATGTACTACTGCATTATATTGAATACATTTCATGTGTTATGTATTTAAAATGTATGAAACATGTTTTAAATGGTTTAAAAACTTATTTGTGTAGGAGATGTGTATTATCAATCGGACTAGGAAGTTAGAAGAAAATGTAAAAAAAAATTGCATGCAGTTTTGATAAAACGATCCTCTTCAGCACTACAAGTCTTTGGTTTTGAATCAGATTTACAAAAATTAAATGTAATTTTATAAATATACTAACATGTTTTCATATTTTGTTTTTGTGTCTACAAACCATTTTGAAATGCAAGAAAATATAAAGCCATTAAAATATTTTCTTGAGTTGAAGTTCTTTTCCAAAGGGTCATTTACACCTTTACATATTTTTTTGTTTTAGTGATTATTAAAGTACACTTCTTGAGTGTGTGATGCTCTTCAAAAGTTAATTTTACTAACTTTAGCGAACTAGACATGAATATTTAATATATAAATTACAAATAAAATTGTTTTAAATCTCTCACCTATCTCTTAGAATTGCCACATAATTTGAGAATTATATAACACAATTTCCAGATTGTTGTAGAAGATCAAAGCCAGAAAAGTATTATTTACATGTATTTTAAGTCAATTGACCAAAGATTTCTTTGTTTGCCAATACAATGCCCATGTGGTTGGTATGTATAACTATAGATTATTCATTATTCTGTGTAAAATATAACTATAACATTTTTTACAAGGTATCTATACAAGGAAGAACACTAAAATAAAAATAAAAAAATGATTTCCCTTTTGTGATCAACATGGAATTTATCTCATCGTATTTATTTCAGATAGACATCAAAAGAGTCTGTAGGGAAGGGCCTGATGCAAATACCTTTCTCTCATTTTTCTGACATGTGTAATGACTCATTTATTATCTAATTTTCACTGTTTAATTGATACAATATGCTAATTAGGGCTTAGGTTTACAGCTTTTGCATATACTTTATGATATCATAAAGAAAAGAAACACTGTGCAATTTTCTCAATTGAAAGTATTGCACTTGATCATATGAACCTTGTATTTCTTGAGACATGCACAAATACAGTATAAATAACCAAACCTCACAGATTAAGCAAATGTTCTCTGACATAAAATGAAGCACTTGCTTTGAAAACTATTGGATGATTTTGACATTAAAATATGCGTTTTGAACACATATTTTCACAGTAGTGAAGGGTATGTAGTGGTAGGCATTAAGGATACACCATAATACCTTTGTAGTTCAAAACATTAAATTCTCCTTTGAATGGCTCCCATTATTCTTCCTATTGAAGGACATTTTCTTCCCTCAAAAAATAAAGTAACAACTTGAGAAGTAGATTAATTTCCCTTCAGGAACAAGCAATCTTAGATTGATCTTATGTATTTTATTTGTGTATACTTTGCTGTATATATCTGCAGGATAATAATAATGGGCAAAGCTAGAAATGCACATTGTTATGCTCATTTTAACTTTTAAATTTAAAATTTATTCCATATGCAACTGAAATTGACAGTGACATTCCATAGTTGTGAAAGAAAGCAAAGTAAAACTTTGTTATTGTTTTTTAATTACTCAGAGAATATTTGAAATCTAATCTGTATTTTTCAGTTAAATCCAAATGGTCTTACAAGGTTTAAATCACAAGACATAGCTTCAAGTTTTCTTCTGCATTTAGAAGGCAGAAGAAAAGGATAATTAAGCTTCAGCTAGCTCCACACTTAAATATACCTTTTCCCTTCTAGTGGTCTTTTATTTCTTATTCTCAATTGTGTATGTTTTCTGTTTATTTTTTCTACCAAGATCAGAATTGTAATTGTGTCCTTCTATTTTCTTTGCACTTATTTTATTATTTCTTTTCCAATTTAGGTCTCATACTTAGTTCATTTTCATTATTTTTGTTGTAGATAATCAAAGAAACTCTGTAAAATAGTATGCAGATACAATTTTATTGTTTCAGCATTTACTTTCTGACATTGAATAGTCTCCTTTTTGTAGTAATACCTTTATGCTTTGATATTTTTGAGTTATTTTTCTGCTTTACATAGAGATCATTTAAAATATTCTCGGAGTTTCCAGGTTTTATTTGTTTTTATTATTTTTATTTTGCTTATTTTCTATTTTTATTGAAAAACTATGGCTTAGTTATAAAGTTAAATATTGTAAAATATATCAGTTATAGTGCTTGCCCTCTTTCTCCATATATGGAGGATTCGTTATTTAATCCTCACTTTAGGTGAAACCTGCAAGGGAAACTCTTAAAGTTACTACATTTTTTATTGGAAATAAAGCAAAGGTTATTGGCAATAATATCTTACAGCTCAACCAGAAAACTATATGCGTTAAGACTATTAAAGGGAGGAGCTATTTTGGGTATTGCCTTGTGCAATTTAAAAAAAATAATAACCTTTCCTTTTTTAGTAACCACAAAAAACCTTGCTTACTGCCTATGTTCCACTGAAGAAACTGATTTCTTTTCAGAAATGGTAGAATAAGAAGTGAAAGGGACAAAATGGAAAGATAGAGACTTGAATAGTACTTGTTCCTGAAAATAGCCAAATAGAAAAACAAAAAATAAAATAAAATAAAAATCAAACAAAACGACAAATCTGAGGCAGTGACAAGGGAGAAACAAGAAAGAAGACTGGGGCTGAAACGTGGGGTTTCTGCCCCTAAATTTGGCCAGGCACGGTGGCTTACTCCTGTAATCCCAGCACTTTGGGAGGCCAGGTTCCGGTGGATCACCTGAGGTCAGCAGTTCGAGACCAGCCTGGCCAAAATGGTGAAACCCTGTCTCGATTAAAAATATATATATATATACAAAAAGAAAGAAAGAAGATTGAAGTATTGCACTGTGGGACATTTACCACAACGGATTTAGTACCTCCAGTGTCCAGGCTGCCTGTAACTTGGGCCTCTCCCTTACCCCTCTCCCTCTTCTCCCTTCTATTCTTTTCCAGGTCATTTATTTGCAAAGCCATGTGCTGTGACCATTACCTTCTGCATTTTCATTACAATCAGTTAAACTATCTGTAACTGTTTACCAGGGTTTTAAACGTTCTGACTTCTCATAACTGGATTATTCTTGCCATTAGTTTAAATAAAGGCAGTGCTGCCAATTATTGTGCATTGATATTTTTCAAATCTCATATATATATGTATATATGACAATTTGTCATGTAAAATCTGATAAATGGATATTTTATGATTTTCATGAAAGTTAGAAAGGCTATAGTCTTAGAATGTGGTTAAGAAAAAGTAAAAAATCTAGATAGAAAAATAATTTGCTTACATTAGAACTTGCTTGAGCTCTAAGGGAAGAAAGTTAATTGCTTTCCCTGAAGGTTTTTCATTTCTTTTCTTTTCTTTTCTTTTTTTTTAATAATACATCTTTATTTTTCTGGAAGCTTTTATGTAGAGCCAAGACTTGAGGCAGAGAAATAGATTAAGATATTCTTGATCAATAATTTTATGAGATTTAATTCTTTTGCTCAAAGTGTCAGTTTTTCAGAGTTAAGTCTGTTTCCAGGCTCATATAATATAACCAAATTTGTACTGTTACTCTGAGAATTAAATATGATTGACCTTGCTACACACCTAGCATAGTACCTGTCACATGGTATACACTCAGTAAATGTTATCTATCATTACCATTCCTTTAAAAAATAGATTTAAATACAACTCAGAACATAATTTTAATTTGCAATTAAACAATGACAGGCACTGGAATTTTTTGTTCCCAACTGCCAACATAATTATGGTATCATAAAATTTAAAATGTTCAGCAAAATTTTTGGTCAAATAAGGAGATGATAAAGCTAATAACTAAACTCTTGTTTCTTTGGTGATCTATTCTTCTCTATGTTCCCTCACGGGGATTTCTAATTTTAGCTTTTATGCTAATGACTACAGAAGACCAATTTCTAATCTAGCCCTGTAAGAAACTGAGTTACAGTAGAAAAGGTAATTAAAAAAAAAAAAAGCACAGAGAATGTTTTGCTGTAAAAAGCCATAAAAGTTCAAATCTTGGAAAAATCATCTTTCTATATGCATACTATATACTTATATTGCAGATAAGTAAGGCACAGAGTAGCTAAATATGTCAGGCCTCTGAGCCCAAGCTAAGCCATTGCATCCCCTGTGACCTGAACATATAGGCCCAGATGGCCTGAAGTAACTGAAGAATCACAAAAGAAGTGAAAATGGCCTGTTCCTGCCTTAACTGATGACATTCCACCACAAAAGAAGTGAAAATGGCCGGTTCCTTGCCTTAACTGATGACATTACCTTGTGAAGTTCCTTCTCCTGGCTCATCCTGCTCAAAAAGCTCCCCCACTGAGCACCTTGTGACTCCCACTCCTGCCCGCCAGAGAACAACTCCCCTTTGACTGTAATTTTCCTTTACCTAACCAAATCTTATAAAATGGTCCCACCTCTATCTCCCTTCGCTGACTCTTTTCGGACTCAGCCCGCCTGCCCCTAGGTGAAATAAATAGCCTTGTTGCTCAAAGTCTGTTTGGTGGTCTCTTCACACGGACGCGAGTGAAAAAATATCTCATCAAAGCATCAAAGGTCACAGAATTCAAATCTGTCCTTCCTGATCTAAAATTATAGCCAGTATAATTCACTTACATAAAATATTATTTAGTAGACGATGATGATTATTATTTTGAGACAGGATCTCCCTCTCTTGCCCAGGCTGAAGTGCAGTGGTGTGATCTTGGCTCACTGAAGCCTCAAACACCTGGGGTCAAGCAATCTTCCTACCTCAACCTCTCAAATACCTGGTACTACAGACGTAAGACAACATGCCTTGCTAGTTGTTTTTTTTGTTTGTTTGTTTGTTTGTTTTTGAGACAGGGTCTCCCTATATTGCCCCGTCTTGAACTACTGGGCTCAAGCGATCCTCTTGTGCTGGATTAGAGGAGTGAGCCACTGTGCCCAGCCAGAGCAGATTATTAACAAGCTCAAAGATAGTGATCTATTTCATAGTTGCTCTGTATCAGGGTAATAAAATACAACTTTAGCCAATTCATGCATACTCATACTCACAGATAATAAATGTATATACATATGTTGTACATAAGTGCAACATGTCTTTGTATATGTATATACATATACATATATGGTTTCTAAGTTATAGTAACATTAAACATGCACACACACACTCTTGAACTAAATGTTTGGAACTCAACAACATGCAACAATCTATGATATTATTCAATGGCATATGTTTTACAATACCATGTCCCAAAATATAGTTTTACTAAAAAGCTGGTTTGCTCTTGATGGTTTAAAATGTTGTTTCCCTTCAATTTAAAACATGAAAAATATCCAATTTCCTTTAATACTAGTAATTTTATTATAACTCACATCCAGGAATAACACAGCATTATCTCAATTCTATTCCAGTAATTCACCACTTCATGTTGGTTCATTAGTCATACCATAAATCAATAGCAGGTTGTCCAACTGCAATATAAGAATATTTCACTTAACTTTTATTTTGCTACTATCCACTAGAAATAGCAGTTCAGGGCTTCAGAGAAGAAACACAAAAATACTGAAGCTTTACTGGCATAACTTAAGCTCTATTAAATTAGGTCAGATGCAAATATATATGCATGTATTTTAAATTAAATTATATATTAATACAGTAGAATTTTTCCATATATAAATGTTTCCATATATATATAAATTTATCACTGGACACTTTTCCTCTTAAGCACATCATTTATGGAAGATTTCTATGTGGTAAATGGACTGTCCACTTGTTACTGGCAGATCTTGTCTACCTAATGAGTTGCCTCCAGCAAAATGATTTTATCTATTTTTCTGATTGAAATACTTCATATGATGTAAATAATAATTTTAATACACATATTCTTTTCTATACAATGAAAGTTATATAAAGGAAAGTGCTTTTAAGTAACTCTTCAGTAAAATCACATGGCTACTAATTCTAATTTATCAAAATTGTGAAAGAAGAAAATGATACAAGGTAATGTTTCTCAATTACAATAAAATGTTTAAGTTCTGCAGGATAGCACACATTTGATAGGGTGCAATTTTACAAGGTACAGAAGTTTGAAATAATATATAGAATTACTAAATAAAATAAGAGAAGACACATCCAAAAAGATAGAAAAATGGTTGAGCCCAATAAAAGAGTGATAATGAAGGAGCTGGTTCATGTCAAAGAAAAACATCTCAAATAAACTCCATCATATTGTATTGAAATTCTTTTATTTTTGAAAAAAATCCGTATTTTTACTAAAACGAAAAATACTTTGACAGACAATGACTGTCATGAAATGGCACTGGCAATTGGCATTTGACTTATCAGTAAATACCACTTTCTAAAGTATTATACACCAGTTGTAAATATGTAATATATATACTCACCTTAAGATGGGCATTGAAAAGTTGCTCTGCTCTGTACTTTATAAATACTACTTTATACATTGAACGCTAAATTGTATAATGCTATGTTTCTTTGAAAATAACCTGTCTTTTGGCCTGGGCCTGTAATCTCAGCACTTTGAGAGGCCTAGGCGGGAGAACTGCTGGAGGCCGGGAGTTTGAGACCAGCCTAGGCAAAATAGTGAAGACACCCATGTCTACAAAAAAAATTTTAAAAAATAGCTACGCATGGTGGTATGTGCCTGCAGTCCTACTTGCTTGAAAGGCTGAAGAAGGAGGATCACTTAAGCCCAGGAGTTTGAGGTTACAGTGAGCTGTGATCACACTACTGCACTCCAGCCTGGGCAACTAAGCAAGACCCTGTCTCTAAAATAACAACAACAATAATAATAATGTGTTCTTTTTTTCACCTGGACATCACCTCAGCTTAGTTCTAAATACCCTCAGAAATCTTTAGATAATTCAATAAAATAGTATTGTTTCCTACACTATGTTATCCTAAGTGCTGTAATTATGTTATAATATAGTCCAGCTGGTGAAAAATATTTGTCTCAATTCTCCACTCTTTTTTTATTTAAAGACTTAAGTGTTTTCTATTTCACAAAACATTAGACGCAAAATTATTTACATCTTTGGCTTTGATTTTAAAATTCATTGCCTTGAAATATTGCGGCTGTTCCCACAGCAGTGGGAATCATTTCTAAATGCTTATCATGCATTTAGAATGGCACTCAAAGAGATTGTCCATTCAGGCAATCGATTCCATTTTGGTTTGTTTTCAGTTTGATTATATTTCTCTTAAAGCTTAGAAATCCTAAATCCTATGATACTCCTAAAATAAATAAGGATTTTTCATTAATGACACTTCCTTCAAAATATAAGCATTTTTGATCTTTAATAAAAATTATAAATATTTGCTCGGAAAGAAAAACTTATCTTTCTCCTTTCTCCTACTCATTGATAATCTTCTTATTGAAGCATAGCATGTATAGGGATTTATCTACTGTTTCCTCAAGACTTCTAGAGGTAAGAACATAAGTGATAGAATTTTGAACACGGCTGAGAGCTTGTAGAAAAGTCTAAATCAGAGGAGTGTATTTGACCTATTTAAGGAAGGAAAATTGACTTAAAGTTCTCATTATACAGAACAGAAAAGTAGTAGATAAATGATAATTTGAGAAACATTACAATCATTTCTCTGAGGGGTACATACAGTTAATGGTGGATTATTTGGTTTGTCTCTGGGTCAAGAGAGAAGTACTGGGATTCAATTGGCATCACTCTGTGTGGGGCTGAAGAACGGATATCTAAAATCCTGTACTCATGTGATTATAGACTGAATTGACTATGCATCCAAGTTTTTTCCAGGACAGTCTTGATAATTTATACTATTTTTTTCAGTTTATTTAATATTTAGTGCTCCATTTAACTCATTAAAATGTCTTTATTTGAAAAATAGATTATTTTGGCACTCTATTAAACTAAATAAAAGAGTCAAACTGGCCATTGGACAAGTGGCTTGGGTAAGGAATAAAATATAAGTTACGTAGTCCAAGCAATGTGGTGTGAGGAATCAAATAATTTCGTACAGAAGCAAAAGTTAACAGGAGATGATTCAGAATCTTTCTACTACTAGAGTACAGGTATTTCCTACAATGCCTTGCACAATGGCATCTTAGGTTATTTGAGTTTTTATTAAAATATCTGTGCATGAATGAATAGGAAAATTGAAGGGAGAAGTTCTAGAGAATATGATTATACCTAGGCTTGTCAAAGACAAAGAAAGGAATGTAGTCACTGCAAAAGAAAATAAATCTTTTTTGAGAGACAAAAATAAGTATCAATTGACATCCAGGGGAATACTAAGCATAAACCAGAAAGTACTGTCCTTTCCTTACACTGAGTGATGTTATGTCTCAAAATCAAATGCTTCAAATAATAGTTGTGATCTCAGTAGTTCAATAAATGCTATCAGCATTGATAAATGATGATAAACAGATGAAAAACCTGTGACGAATTAAGTGTAAATTTGTCTCCTGATCATGGAATAATTAGATGTCTACAGGAAATAATATATGAATACATTTGAATATATAAATGTAGACATATACAGCATATCTGAGTATTAATTGTAAAATGCTTTTAACAAAATGTTTATTATTTAATTCTATCAAAGTTATTTTTAAAAGTACAATTCTTTATGTTTATTTTTAGACTTGTTTACGCAGCAAAACCCGACAATAACATTCATGGCATAGAAAATTTTAGGAAATTGTTTTGATGCATAAAAGGATATGGAAACTGTAAGAATACAATGAATGAAGTAATAGGATTTACTTAGCCACAAAATATAATGATTCATAAACAAAGATATATATAATCGAATTGATAAAATATTCAATTAGTATATGCTTGATGTAAAAATATATGGGTATACACTTACTTTAAAATGTGTTACATTACTCAAGCACTTGGAAGAAATAACCAACATTTTAAGGTATACATTCTTAAGTATTTTCTATTTCTTGGACCTAAAACAGACACTAGATTGTTGGCTTTAATGTATGTACAGTTTATCTTGACAAATACACAAATGTATTACACTCCAGGAAATAATACATGAATTGTTCCCTTTTAAAAGCAGCTTGCTTTTACTGTTAGAGATATAGAAATAAGCATATTTTTATTTGTGTTTCATTAAGTTATGTGGTACCCAATATGCAGGGTACTAATGCAGTGCAGTCTGAAAGGTGAACAGATGGGGTTTATTTTTAGCTTGCATTAGCACACCCCACCAAATACTCATTTGCCTGATACACCATTATAAACTAGCTTAAAAGTTTAAAGTATAGCTTTGTCAGTGATATTCAACTAATAAAAGACAAATACGGAATAAATAATTATAACATTGATAGCCAATGAGTAGCTAAAGCTATTTATTGTAAACAAATGGTTAAAAAGGTTATTCATATTGGGAGAACATATAGAGCTCTCAGTAATATAAAAGTTGGAAAAGCCTTTTCATTCAGCAGTTTTTTCAGGAAAAATTTGCAATGAAGATGGCGGAAATAATTAAGGATACATAAATACCTGATGAAGTAAATTAAAGAAACAATATGTTATATTTTAAGATTATAAAATTCTGTTGCACCTTTTTTGAGGTATAATTTCTTTTTTTTTTTGACACGGAGTCTCGCTCTGTCACCCAGGCTGGAGTCCAGTGGCGCGATCTCGGCTTACTGTAAGCTCCGCCCCCCGAGTTCACGCCGTTCTTCTGCCTCAGCCTCGCTAGTAGCTGGGACTACAGGCGCCCGCCATCATGCCCGGCTAATTTTTTTTGTATTTTTAGTAGAGACAGGGTTTCACCGTGTTAGCCAGGATGGTCTCGATCTCCTGACCTTCTGATCCGCCTGCCTCAGCCTCCCAAAGTGCTGGGTTTACAGGCGTGAGCCACGGCGCCCGGCCTTGAGGTATAATTTCTGTTTCAGCATAAACTCCCAGTTTAAAGATATTCAAAATATTTAATACAGATGACCACTATGGAATAAAATTTTATTTTTATCTGTAAAAATTTATGCATCATTGTTTATATTTAATATTTGTCCTAAAAGTTTAAATAATAGTTTTTCATATATACTGTTTCTTTATTTACATTTTTCAAAGAAATTAATTGTATTTCTCACGAAGTAATTTAATTATTGATTCCACTTCTTATTTGTGTATCTGGAGTAGGGGGGTTACAATTAATTTTTAAATATCATTTTGATGGTTCTGACAACCTACTGTTTAAACCACTTACTCCAGTCTGTGTATGCTTAATGGGGTTAATATCACTCCAACTGAGTGAAAATGGGTTCTTCAGTGGAGGAGGGGGGTAAAAATGTTTTATACTATTACTACGTATAAAATACAGATATACGGATAATATAAAAATGGGGCTAATATCACCTCCAACTGAGTGAAAATGGGTTCTTCAGTGGAGGAGGGGAGTAAAAATGTTCATACTATTGCTATGTATAAAATACTGATATATGGAGGATATAAAAACAGATGTTTGTGGTCTTGAAATTTCATGGGGGGGATAATGAAAACAATGTATAAAAAGACTCTTTATGGAGGCAGTAATTTAAAAATGCTGAGACATGCAATTCTGATTCATTTTTTTTGTTTTCCTCTCTTCACCATCTGAAGTTAAGGTGTATTTTACATGGAGCACAATGTATTGATCTTAAGTACAGACTTAAACAAGCTTCACAAATACATCCACTGCAATCATGAAAAAAATTGCATCATGAGTAACAATTCCTGTCAGCATCTTTTCAAGCAATGCCCCATAGAAACAAATATTTATTTGTAATTTCGTGTCTGTTTTCTCCATTTCTATCACAGTAAATTAATTTTGCCTGTTTTGAGCTTTATATAAATGGAATAACACGATATCTACTGGTTGGTAACTTTTTTTTTCTTAACATAGTTTCTGTGAAGATTACACAATGTAAATATGACATGATTTAGTTATTCGTTCTTCTGTTGATGGACATTCAAGTTGTTTCCAGTTTTTGAATTATTAATAAAACCAGGATGACATTATAGTATAAGAGAAAAATAAAGAAATGAGAGGACAAAAAGTCTAATTTCAGAGGAAAAGAAAAAAATACTATCTAAAAATAAGACAATCTCATAAGCCTTATCCAAGTGACCCAAAGGTTCATATGTATATAAAAAACAAATTAAATTCATCTTGAATCAGGAGAATCTTAAATAGAAAACATATTAAACTATCAGAATATGTTTTAAAAAGTAATTTCATAGATAATTCATCAAAAGAATCTAACTTAGCATATTATATTATTTATCTTCCCCCCGTAGGCATATGCTTCCAATATTTAAAAAAAGTCTAAACTTATAACAATCAAGCAAATGGTACACAATTGTTTTTTGTTGTTGTTGTTGTTTTTCCATATTGAGCTTGGTTGATTAGGAAATGAGTGATACAATGATACAACTTACCAAGAATCAAACGTTTTCATTCAGATGTCTCATCTCTGTCTTAAACTTGCAAATCTCACAAATAAAGCATCAATTTAAATGTTATTTTCCTGACTAGTTTTCAGTTATTGCACAATTAAGTGTTGATACAAATGCAATAATTAGGAATGTTCTGTGGCAATACAAAGATGTTGATTGCATTTGTAATTTAAGTCAATTTAGCAAAGTTAAATAAAGATTCGTTCATTATACAAAACAATAAATTAATCCAATTGACAAAACAAGTTGTAGAGACAGTAGTATTGTTTCCTAAAGATTATCTCTACATTTCTCAGTAAATTATCTTTCAATTACTACTATTTTGGAATATTTCATAGTTAAGGAGAATGAAAAAAATCTTTAAATGCCAGAGTTATTGCTGTGGTACTATATTTACTTCTTATGATCATCAATTTTAATCTTTTCTAAATCATAACTCTTAGTTTTAGAGTCAATAATTCTTTTTGTTTGTTTGTTTTTTGAGACGGAGTCTTGCTCTGTTGCCCAGACTGGAGTGCAGTGACACAATCTTGGCTCACTGCAAGCTCCGCCTCCTGAGTTCAGGCCATTCTCCTGCCTCAGCCTCCCGAGTAGCTGGGACTACAGGCACCCGCCACCATGCCCAGCTAATTTTTTGTATTTTTAGTAGAGACGGGGTTTTTTCGTGTTAGCCAGGATGGTCTTGATCTCCTGACCTCGTGATCCTCCCACCTCGGCCTCCCGAAGTGCTGGGATTACAGGTGTGAGCCGCCGCGACCGGCCTAGAGTCAATATTTCTTATGTTTTCACTAAAAAAAAAAATTGACCGTTACCACAGTGATGGACAACTCTTGAAAATAAAAATAAGAAAGCAGTCTTAGTTATTGACCACTAGTCTCTCTCTAAAGAGAACTTTGCTATACAGAAGTGCAATCTGTGTGGTGTAGCGATACCCAATGCTCTGTATAAACACTAATAACTTGATAGTCTCTGACAGGTGACTATCATTGTCAGCTAAAATTCTGTGATAGTGTATGTGCTATGGTCTGAATGTTTATGTTCCCCTGAAATTCATATGTTTAAATCCTAACTCCCAAAGTGATCATACTAAGAGCTGGAGCCTTTGGTAGGTGATTAGGTTATCAGGATGGTCCTCAAAATTGGGATTTGTGCCTTTATAAAAGAGAACATGTAAGGATACAGCAAACAGACATTGTCTGTGAGGAACTGGCCCTCACCAGATACTAAATATTCCTGTTGCCTTTATCTTGGATTTCCCAGCCTCCAGAACTGTGAGAAATAAATGTTTATTGTTCATAAGCCACCCAGTTTGTGGTAGTTTGTACTAGAAGCCAAAATGGAGTAAGACAATATGGAATACTATTCTTTATTGAGAAAAGGTTACATTTTTGTCAAAATATTGTTTTACATTGCATCATATGCAATCTTTAAAAAGTGAAGCGTAAAACAAAGTATAATATCTAAAGCTATAAGACTTCTAGCGAAAACAGGAGAAAAACTTTTGTGATCTTGGTTAGCAACGATTTCTTAGATACAGCACTAAAGGCATGATCTGTTAAGTAACTATAAATTGTACTTTCTCAAAATTGAGAACTTCTGCTCTTTAAAAGATGTTATAATAAAAATATAATGCTACAGGTTGGAATGAATGTTTAAAAATCATATATCTGATATATAATTTATAGAATAAATAAGAAATTCTCAAAACAAACGGCAAACAGATTAAAAATGGGCAAATGTTTTACACGATCATTGATCAAATAATATATATGTATAGCATATGTAATCACATGCATGAAAAGATGCCCAACATCATTAGTCATTTAGAAAATTCAAATTTAACTCCTAACAAGATATGACTAAAAACCTACCAGGGTACTAAAATGTCTAAGTGAAACAAATGTTTAAAAAGTGACAATACAAAGTATTGACAAGGTTGTGAAGTAAGTTGAACCCTCATACATTTTGGTGGGAATGAAAAATGGCAGCCATTATAATTAGAAAATGAAAGCAGTAATGTTTCAACAACCTTGTATATCGGTTATATAATTCATAAAACTATTAGTTCATAGAACTTCAGATGGCAAATGCATGCCAAATTCTCATTATTTTGAGCATAAAAATAACATTCCTGTATTTTTTTTTCTTCAGTTGCTATCAATGGACATTGAACCAATTTACAAGCACCTAATTATTAGCTAGCCTAGGTTAGCTACCAACTTTGACAGTTATTCAGTTATAGATATCCAGATGTTTCAAGCTTTTCAACACCATGACACCTGCTGAACTAATAGAGATGTAGAAACAACTGTTCAGGAAGTAGAAAATAAAAGTTCTACGTTTGGGCACTGAAAGCCTCAGCCACAGACCAGGAAAAGTTCTTTTAAAGAATTCTGCTGGCCGGGCATGGTGGCTAAAGCCTGTAATCCCAGCACTTTGGGAAGCCGAGGCAGGCAGATCACGAGGTCAGGAGATCAAGACCATCCTGGCCAACGTGGTGAAACTCCATCTCTACTAAAAATACAAAAATTAGCTGGGCGTGGTGGCACTTGCCCGTAATCCCAGCTACTCGGGAGGCTGAGGCAGGAGAATCGCTTGAACCTGGGAGGCGGGGGTTGCAGTGAGCCAAGATCACACCACTGCACTCCAGCCTGGCGACAGAGCAAGGCTCCATCTCAAAAACAAAAAAAAGAAAAATTATTCTATTAAATAACACATGCAAGTGTGTGTGTGTGTGTGTGTGTGCGTGCACATACTCACATACATCTGGGATGTGAACCTCACGTACTTATTTATTTATTTATTTATTTTGAGACAGTCTCACTCTAGTCACCCAGGCTGGAGTGCAATGGCAAGATCTCAGCTCACTGCAACCTCCGTCTTCTGGGTTCAAGCGATTCTCCTGCCTCAGCCTCCTGAGTAGCTCTGGGAATAGAGGCGTCCACCACCAGACCCAGCTAATTTTTTTGTATTTTTAGTAGAGACAGGGTTTCACCATGTTGGCCAGGCTGGTCTCCTCAGTCTCCTCAGGTGATCCATCTGCCTCGGCCTCCCAAAGTGCTGTGATTGCAAGCATGGGCCACTGCGCCGGGCCTAACGGACTTTTGATTCTTTGTGGCTTAGGTACTTACTGCTTTCAAACTTGGACTTTTTTGATTTGGGGAAATTTTCATTTATTTATTATTTTACAGTGTGGTCTTCCTCCTTCCCTCTGTTCTCATTCTATAATTGCTGCCAGATTGTGGAGCTCATTCATCTAGCCTTCAAATTTCTAAATAGTTTTAAAATGATCCCCATGTCTTTATATGCGCTGATTTCTGGGATCCTCTGCTAAATCTCTGTGTTCACTAATTTAATTTTAGATGTGTCTTTTCTATTACATTTAGCCATATCTTGTTTATTTTTTGTACATTTTGGCAATTATATTTTTAATTTTCAATACTTCTTGTTTTCTTTTTCATAGCAGCATTTTTAGGGAAATGTAACCACTGTAGGTATGATTTCTTTATTGTTTTAAGTGTTTTTCAATGTCTTTTAATCAGCATTTAACTATCTTCAGGGCAATTTGCCAATCTTAGCAACTGAATTTTCTTAAATACTGCTGGTCTTTGATTTTTCTGTTAGCATTTCTTTTTGAAGAAATAAATTAAAAATTTTCTGTAATTACAGAGCATTTACTTCGGCAAAGAAAGAAAGTTTTGTCTCTTGCAGTGAATGTCAGATTCTGTTTAGAAGAGCTCTGCCTCTAAAAACTGCATGAGAGTGGGGATGTGGGGGTGTGGGGAATGGTAGTGATGGTTGTTGGCAGGAATGAGTATTGGGTGACCTACATGCTGTCTGGATGCATTATTATGTTTCAGTCAGCCAGTTTGTTTTCTGGGTATGGTGACAGGGCCCACATTCTTCAGGTGAGCTGAGTTGACAGAGACTGCCCTTTAGTTTGACCCAATGCACATTTTTAGTTTTTTCTTATATTTTTGTGATATACCTACAATATTTGCTTCTAGATTTGGGGAGGTCCAAATATCAGAGTCATTTACTGTAAGTGTGGAAAAATTCCCAGCTGATTTTTCTTCTATTAATTACTTTCCCAAAGAAAATAATCTTCCTTTATCTTCCACTGGCTTTGATTTTGAGGTTATTCCTTGACTCCACTAAGAAAACTCACTGTGAGGTTTTTGTCACCTACCTCAAAAAATTGGTGTTAAGAATTAAATGGAGCAATGCATATAGAGAACTTAGCGCATAAGTACTTATTAAATATTTGTGTTACTGTAGATTTGGTTGTTTATAGCTATTATATCATTTAATAAATATAGGTACCAGAAAAATAGTAATTTCAGATATTAAAGTGAATAATTATTCCTTTAAGTAAACTGCTGAATAAGCACTTAGAACATCCCTGTGTATGCCACAGTTGTTTCCTGTTGCTGAAAACATAAATGATCTAATTTTGGCAAACAAGATTATGTTAAGCTGGGTTTAAACACATTCACATTTTGTAGAGAAAACTGACCACGAAGTTATATGGTCATATTACGTGGGCATAAACACCTGAAATTGGTTTTTCCAACATAAGTATAAAAAAGCAATCTTTGATATTCAGAGCTTTATTTATGAGTCATTCTTTTTCATATTAAAAATAACCTCCATTTTGAAAGTTTCAGCTTTTGATTTAATTCTAAACATAGGCAACGTTCTAAGTTTTAATTTTAACAAAAGATATAGATTCTAGGAAAATGTCTTTATTTCATGCACTCTAAAATGTTTGTTCTTGGTATATAATTCATATTAATTTCTACTGGAGGCAAAAGCAATAACCAGAGAAGGCGTTAGAGAAAATAATTCAGTGCAATCTCTGTTTTTAGTTTGAACTGCAGCTGTAATGGAAAAAACAAGAGATATAGAAGGAAATGTAATTCCGAAACATTAATGACTAAGATTCTGAATTTATTTTACATACTAAGTGCTTTTATTTAGGTGAGCTGATGTTTCCTGTCAATATAAATGTTCACATGAGGTAAGGGAGAATACAAATTGATTTATCCAAATATCGCCACTTTTACTAGTTTTATCTCTACTTCTGTAAAGTCAAATGATTATTCCAAAAAATGTATGTAAAAAGCTTAACCACAACTATCTACATATCCTTAATATCCCCTTAATATTTTTTCCATTGTAATTGAAGTATAATTTACATTCAGCTATAAAACAATGTATTTTTAGTTTACACATCAAGGGGTTTCAGTAAATTTGTAAAATTCTGCAACTTTAATCACAACCACTTTTCAGAATAATTAAATCACCCCCAAAGTGCCTTCCAATCCTTTTATATTTAATCTCTACCCCACCACCATGTCTAGGTACACATTGATCTATTTTTGCTGTAGTAGTTTTGCTTTTACTAGAAATTTCATATACATGGAATTATTTAATAAGTGATTGTCCCTAGCTTCTTTCAATTAACACAATATTTTTTAAAGTTATCCATATTGCTGCACTTATTAATAGTTTGCTATTTCTTTATTCTAAGTAGTATTTTATTGCATGAACATACCATATTTTATCTATTTGACATTGGATGAATAGTTGCATTATTCCAGTTTTGGGCTACTGGATACTGCAGGAGTAAGGTGATATCTCATTGTGGTTTTAATTTGCATTTTGCTGATGATTAGTGATGTTGAGCATTTCTTCAGAACAGATGTGTTTATCACACATCTGTATATCTTCTTTTGAGAAATAGCTATTGATATGGTTTGGCTGTGTCCCCACCCAAATCTCATCTTTAATTGTAGCTCCCATAATTCCCATGTGTCATGGGAGGGACCTGGTGGGAGGTAATTGAATCATGGTGGTGGATCTTTTCCCTACCGTTCTGGTAGTGAATGAGTCTCATGAGATCTCATGGTTTTATAAATAGGAGCTTCCCTGCACAAGCTCTCTCTTCTCTTCTGCCTGCTTCCCCCTTGCTTTCTACCATGACTGTGAGGCCTCCCCAGCCCTGTGGAACTGTGAGTCAATTAAATCTCTTTCCTTTAAAAATTACCCAGTCCCAAATATGTCTTTATTAGCAATGTGAGAACAGACTAATACATCTATTTATGTATTTTGCCTACTTTTGGATGGGGTTATTTTATTTATTTATTTTTTCCTGGTGATTTGTTTAAATTCCTTATAGATTCTGGATACTAGTCCTTTGTTCGATACATAGCTTGCAAATATTTTCCTCCATTCTGTAGGGTGTACTTTCATTTGGTTGATTATTTTTTTCATTGTACAGAAGCTTTTTAGTTTAATTAGGTCCCACTTATTTATTTTTGTTTTTGTTGCATTGACTTTAGTGTCTTAGTCATGAATTCTTTGCCCTGGCCCTTGTTTAGAAGACATTTCCAATGTTGTCATCTAGAATTTTTTTGGTGTCAGGCCTTATATTTAAGTCTTTGATCCATCTTGAATTAATTTTTGTATATGGTGAGAGATAGTGATCTAGTTTTTTTTCTTCTGCATGTGGCGTACCAGTTTTCCCAGCACTGTTTATTAAATATTGTGTCCATTATCCAATTTATGTTTTTGTATGCTTTGTTGAAGGTCAGTTGGCTGTATGTATTTGGCTTTATTTCTGGGTTTTCTATTCTGCTCCATTGGTCCATGTGCCTACTTTTCCATTGGTCTGTGTGCCTACTTTCATACCAGGACCATGCTGCTCTGGTAACTATTGCCTTGTAGTATAGTTTGAAATCTGGTAATGTGATGCCTCCAGATTTGTTCTTTTTCCTTAGGATTGCTTTGTCTATTTAGGCTCTTTAGTGTTTCCATATGAATTTTAGGATTGTTTTTTCCAATTCTGTGAAAAATGATATGGTATTTTTATGGGAATTGCATTGAATCTGTAGATTGCTTTTGGCAATATGGTCATTTTTACAATATTGATCAATGCTACTGATTTGTGTACAGTGATTTTGTAACCTGGGGCTTTACTGAATTTATTTATCAAATGTTAAGAGTCTTTTGGATAAGTCTTTAGGAGTTTCTAAGTATATATTCATATCATCTGCAAACAGTGATAGTTTGACTTCTTCTTTTCAAATTTGGATGCCCTTTATTTCTTTCTCTTGCCTAGCTGCTCTGGCTAGTACTACCAGAACTATGTAAAGTAGGAGTGGTGAAAGTGAGCATCCTTGTCTTGTTCCTGTTTTCAGGGGGAATGCTTTCAACTTTTCCCCATTCAGTATGACATTGACTGTAGATTTGTTACATATGGCTTTTATTATTTTGAGGTAGGTCCCTTCTATGCATAGTTTGTTAAGAATTTTTATCACAAAGGGTGCTGGATTTTGTCAAATGCTTTTTCTGCATCCATGGAGATGATCATTTGGTTTTGTTTTTAATTCTGTCTATGTGATATATTACATTTATTGAATGTCATGTATTAAATCATTCCTGCATCCCTGAGATGAAAACCAATTGATCATGATGAATTTTATATATATATATATATATATATATATATATATAGAGAGAGAGAGAGAGAGAGAGAGAGAGAGAGAGAGAGAGAGAGAGAAAGGAGAGAGAGAGGGGGGAGAGAGAGAGAGAGAGAGAGAGAGACCCTCTCTGTTTCCCAGGCTGGAGTGCAGTGGTGTGATCTCGGCTCACTGCAACCTCCACCTCCCCAGTTCAAGCTATTCTCTTGCCTCACTATCCTGAGTAGCTGGGATTACAGGCACACACCACCATGCCTGGCTAATTTTTTTTTTTTTTGTATTTTTAGTAAATATGAGGTTTCATCATTTTGGCTAGGCTGGCCTCAAACTCCTGACCTAAGGTGATCTGCCTGCCTCAGCCTCCCAAAGTGCTGAGATTACAGGCGTGAGCCACTGCACCTGGCCACAATTATAGTTCTAATGTGCTGTTGGATTCAGTTAGCTAGTATTTTTTTGAGAATTTTTGAATCTGTGTTCATCAAGGAGATTGGTCTGTAGTTTTCTTTTTTGTGTTTTTTTTTTCTGGTTTTGTTATCAAGATAATATGAGCTTCATAAATGATTTAGGGAGGACTCCTTCTTTCTTCATCTTTTGGAATAATTCCAATAGGATTGGTAACAATTCTGCTTTGAATGCCTGGTAGAATTCAGCTGTGAATTAATCTGGTCCTGGAATTTTATTTGTTGGCAATGTTAAACTATTGAGTCTATCTCATTGCTTGTTATTAGTCTGTTCAAGGATTCTATTTCTTCCTGATTTAATCTAGGAAGGTTGTATGTTTCCAGCAATTTTTGCATTTCCTCTAGGTTTTCTAGTATGTGCACATAAAGGTGTTCATAGTGGTCTCAAATGATCTTTCGTATTTCTGTGGTGTCAATTATTATGTCCCTAGTTTCTTTTTCTTTTCTTTTCTTTTCTCTTTTTCTTTTTTCTTTTTTCTTTTTTTTTTTTGAGATGGAGTCTCATTCTGTCACCCAGGCTGGAGTACAGTGGCACTGTCTCGGCTCATTGCAACCTCCACCTCCTGGGTTCAAGCAATTCTCTTGCCTCAGCATCCTGAGTAGCTGAGAGTACAGGTGCCTGCTACCACGCCCAGCTAATTTTTGTATTTTTAGTAGAGATGGAATTTTACCATGTTGGCCAAGCTGGTCTCGAACTCCTGACCTGGGTGATCTGCCCGCCTAGGCTTCCCAAAGTGCTGGGATTACAGGCGTGAGCCACCACACCCGGTCCCCAGTTTCATTTCTTCTTGAGCTTATTGGATCTTCTCTTCTATGCTTGATTAATCTAGCTAATGATCTGCTGATTTATTTTTTCAAAAAAACAGCTTTGTGTTTCATTGATCTTTTGTAGTTTTTTTTGTTTGAATTTCATTTAGTTCTCCTCTGATCTTTTTTATTTTTTTTTTCTAGCTTTAGGTTAAGTTTGTTCTTATTTTTCTAGTTCCTTGAGGTGTAATATTAGCTTGTCAATTTGTGCTTTTTCATACTTTTGATTAAAGCATTTAGTGCTATGAACTTTCCTCTAAGCACTGTTTTTGCTGTATCCCAGAGATTTTGATAACTTGTCACATTATTATTATTCAATTAAAATATTTGTTAAATTTCCATCTTGATTTTTTTCTTCAACTTTTATTTTAAGTTCCAGAGTACATGTGCAGGATGTGCAGGTTTGTTACATAGGTAAATGTGTGCCACGATGGTTTGCTGCATAGATCAACCCATCACCTAGGTATGAAGCCCAACACCCATTATCTGTTCCTCCTGAAGCTCTCCCTCTCCCACTTCCCACCAACAGGCCCCAGTGTATGTTGTTCTCCACCATGTGTTCATGTTTCCTCACCATTCAGCTCCCACTTATACGTGAGAACATGTGGTGTTTGGTTTTCTGTTCCTGTATTAGTTTGCTGAGGATAACGGCTTGAGCTCTATCCATGTTGCTGCAAGGAATATAATTTCATTGCTTTTTATGGCTGCATAGTATTCCATGGTATATATGTACCACATTTTCTTTATCCAGTCTATTGTTGATGGGTATTTGGGCTGATTCCAGGTCTTTGCTATTATGACTAGTGCTGCAATGAACATACACGTGTATGTATCTTTATAATAGAATGATTTATATTACTTTGGGTATATACCCAGTAAAGGCATTGCTGGGTCAAATGGTATTTCTGCCTCTAGATCTTTGAGAAATCCCCACACTGTCTTCCACAATGGTTGAACTAATTTACATTACCACCAACAATCTAAAAGCATTGCTTTTTCTCTGAAACCTCACCAGTATCTGTTGTTTCTTGACTTACTAATAGTTGCCATTCTGTCTGGCGTGAGATGGTGTCTCATTGTGGTTTTGATTTGCATTTCTCTAATGATGAGTGATGTTGACCTTTCTTCATATGTTTATTGGCTGCATGAATGTCTTCTTTTGAGGAATGTCTGTTCATGGCTTTGCCCACATTTTAATGGGGTTGGGTTTTTTTTGTAAATTTAGTTAAGTTCCTTATAGACTGGATATTAGACTTTTGTCAGATAGATAGGTTGCAAATATTTTCTACCTTTCTGCGGTTGTCTGTTCACTCTGATGATAGTTTATTATGCTGTGCAGAAGCTCTTTAGTTTAATTAGATCCCATTTGTCAATTTTTGCTTTTCTTGCAATTGCTTTTGGTGTTTTCCTCATGAAATCTTTGCCCATGCCTATGTCCTGAATGGTATTGCTTAGATTTTGTTCCAGGGTTTTTATAGTTTTGGGTTTTACATTTAAGTCTTTAATCCATCTTGAGTTAATTTTTATATAAGGTGTAAGAAAGAGGTTCCGTTTAAATTTTCTGCATATGGCTAGCCAGTTCTCCCAGCACCATTTATTAAACGGGAATCATTTCCTCATTGCTTGTTGTTGTCAAATTTGTCAAAGATAAGATGGTTATAGGTGTGCAGTCTTATTTCTGAGTTCTCTATTCCATTTCATTGGTTTATGTTTGTGTTTTTGTACCAGTATCTGCTGTTTGGCTTTCTTTCTTTTTTTTTTTTTTTTTTCTTTTTTTTGAGTTGGAGTCTCACTCTGTCGCCCAGGCTGGAGTGCAGTGGTACGATCTCAGCTCACTGCAAGCTCTGCCTTCTGGGTTCATGCCATTCTCCTGCCTCAGCCTCCGGAGTAGCTGGGTCTACAGGCACCCACCACCATGCCCGGCTAATTTTTTTTGTATTTTTAGTAGAGACGGGGTTTCACCATGTTAGTCAGGATGGTCTTGATCTCCTGACCTCGTGATCCACCCACCTTGGCCTCCCAAATTGCTGGGATTACAGGTTTGAGCCACCATGCCTGGCCTGTTTTGCTCTCTGTAGCCTTGTAGTATAGTTAGAAGTCAGGTAGTGTGAGGCCTTCAGCTGTGTTCTTTTTGCTTTGAATTGCCTTGAGTATGTGGGCTCTGTTTTGGTTCCATATGAATTTTAAAGTAGTTTTCTCTAGTTCTATGAAGAATGTCAATGGTAGTTTAATGGGAATAGCATTGAATTTATAAATTACTTTGGGCTGTATGGCCATTTTCACGATATTGAGTCTTCCTATTGATGAGCATGGAGTATTTTTCCATTTGCTTTTGTCCTCTCTGATTTCCTTGAGCAGTGCTTTGTAATTCTCCATGGCGAGGTCCTTCACCTCCCTTGTTAGCTCTATTCCTAGACGTTTTATTCTCTTTGAATTATAACAATTGTGAATGGAAGTTCATTCATTATTTGGCTCTCTGCTTGCCTTTTGTTGGTGTATAAGAATGCTAGCAATTTTTGCACATTGATTTTGTATCCTAAGACTTTGCTGAAGTTGCTTATCAGCTTAAGAAGCTTTTGGGCTGAGTCAATGGTGTTTTCTAGATATAGGATCATGTCATCTGCAAACATGGATAATTTGACTTCTTCTTTTCCTATTTGAATACACTTTATTTCATTCTCTTGCCTGACTGCCCTGGCCAGAACTTCCAATACTAAGTAGAATAGTAGTGGTGAGATAGGGCATCCTTGTCTTGTGCTGGTTTTCAAGGGGAAAGCTTCCAGCTTTTGCCCATTCAGTATGATATTGGCTGTGGATTTATCATAGATAGCTCTCATTATTTTGAGGTATGTTCCTTCAATACCTAGTTTATTGAGATTTTTTAACATGAAGGCATGTTGAATTTTATCAAAGGCTTTTTCTGCATCTATTGAAATAATCATGTGGTTATTGTCCTTATTTCTGTTTATGTGATGAATTACATTTATTGATTTGTGTATGTTGAACCAATCACCATGCATCCCAGGGATAAAGCCAACTTGATCATGGTAGATAAGTTTTTTGATATGCTGCTGGATTCAGTTTACCAGTATTTTGTTGAGGATTTTTGCATTGATGTTTGTCAGGGATATTGGCCTGAAGCTTTTTGTTGTTGTTGTATCTCTGCCAGGTTTTGATATCAGGATGATGCTGGCCTCATAAAATGAGTTAGGGAGGATTCCCTCCTTTTCCATTGTTTGGAATAGCTTCAGAAGAAATGGTACCAGCTGCTCTTTGTACCCCTGGTAGAATTTGGCTGTGGATTCATCTGGTCCTGGCCTTTCTTTTGTTTGTGAGCTATTTATTATCGCCTCAATTTCAGAATTCATTATTTGTCTATTCAGGGATTCAGTTTCTTCCTGGTTCAGTCTTGGGAGGGTGTGTGCATCCAAGAGTTTATCCACTTCTTCTAGATTTTTTTTAGTTTATGTGCACAGAGGTGTTTTTTATAGTATTCTCTGATGGTTGTTCATATTTTTGTGTGGTCAGTGGTAATATCTTCTTTTTCATTTTTTATTGTGTCTATTTGATTCTTCTCTCTTTTCTTCTTTATTATTCTAGCTAGCAGTCAATTTTATTAATTAAAAAAAACAGCTCCTGGATTCATTGATTTTTTTGAAGGGTTTTTGGTGTATCTATCTCGTTCAGTTCCACTCTGTTCTTGGTTATTTCTTTTCTTCTGCTAGCCTTGGGGTTTGTTTGCTCTTGGTTCTCAAGTTCTTTTATTTGTCATGTTAGGTTGTTGATTTGAGATCTTTCTAGCTTTTTGATGTGGTCATTTAGTGCTGTAAATTTCCCTCTTAACACTGCTTTAGCTGCATCTCAGAGATTATGGTATGTTGTCTTGTTTGTTTTCTTTAGTTTCAAAGAACGTCTTGATTTCTACCTTAATTTCATTATTTACCCAGGAGTCATTCAGAAGCAGGTTGTTCAATTTTTATGTGGTTGTGTGGTTTTGAGTTTCTTAGTCTTGATTTCTAATTTGATTGCACTGTGGTCTGAGAGACTGTTTGTTATGATTTCCTTTTTCTTTTGCATTTGCTGAGCAGTGTTTTACTTCCAGTTATGTGACAAATTTTAGAGTGAGTACCATGTGGCAATGAGAATAATTTATATTTTGTTGTTTTGGGGTGCAGGGTTCTGTAGATATCTGTTGTGCCCACTTGATTCAGAGCTGAGTTCAGGTCCTGAGTATCTTTGTTAATGTTCTGTCTTGATAATCTAATATTGTCAGTATGGTGTTAAAGTCTCCCAGTATTATTGTGTGGGAGTCTAAGTCTCTTTGTAGGTCTCTAAGTACTTTCTATATGAATCTGGGTGCTCCTATATTGGGTACATATATATATATGGCATAGTTAGCTCTTCTTGTTGAATTGAACGCTTTACCATTATGTAATGCCCTTCTTTGTCTTTTTTGACCTTTATTGGTTTAATGTCTGTTTTGTCAGAAACTGGAATTTCTACTCCTGCTTTTTTTTGTTTTCCATTTGCTTGGTAAATTTTCCTCCATCTCTTTATTTTGAGCCTATGTGTGTCTTTGCAAGTGAGATGGGTCTCTTGAAGACACCATACCAATGGGTCTTGACTCTATCCAGTTTGCCATTCTGTGTCTTTTAATTAGGGCATTTAACCCATTTGCATTTAAGGTTAATATTGTTATGTGTAAATTTGATTCTGTCATAACTTGCTTCTTATCAGCCATCTTGGCCCACGTCCTCCCTCCATCTTGTTTCATTGTTAACCCAGAATCTTTTGGAAGCAGATTATTTAATTTCCATATATTAGTATGATTTTGAGGGTTCTTTTTGTGGTTGATTTCTATTTGTATTCTGCTGTGGTGTGAGAAGATACTTGATAGAATTTCAATTTTTGAAAATTTATTGAGACTTGTTTTGTTGTCTATCATATGGTCTGTCTTGGAAAATGTTCCATGTGCTGATGAGAAGAATGTATATTCTGCAGATCTTGGGTAGAATATTCTGTAAATATCCATTAAGTTCATCTGTTCTAGCATGTCATTTAAGTCCATTGTTTCTCTGTTGACTTTCTGTCTTGAAGATCTCTCTAGTGTTGTCAGTGGGGTACTAAAGTCTCCCACTATTATTGTTTGTCTGTCTATCTCATTTCTTAGGCCTAGTAGTAATTGTTTTATGAATCCAGGATCTCCAGTGTTTGGTGCATATAAATTTAGGATTATAATATCATCTTGTTGAATTTATCCTTTTGTCATTATATAGTGACTTTCTTTGTCTTTTTTTTTTTTCTGTTGTTGCTTTGAAGTCTGATTTGTCTGACATAAAAATAGCTTATTCAGCTGGGTGTGGTGGCTCACACCTGTAATCCCAGCAGTTTGGGAAGCCAAGGCAGGTGGATCACCTGAGGTCAGGAGTTCAAGACCAGCCTGGCCAACATGGTGAAACCCCGTCTCCACTAAAAAATACAAAAATTTGCCAGGTGCAGTAGCATGCACCTGTAATCCCAGTGACTCAGGAGGCTGAGGCAGGAGAATCACTTGAACACAGGAGGCAGAGGTTGTGGTGACCCAAGCACTCCACTGCACTCTAGCCTGGGCAATAGAGCAAGAATCTGTTTCAAAAAAAAAAAAAATTTGCTTACCCCTGCTCACTTTTGTCTTCTGTTTGCATGGGATACCTTTTTCCACCCTTTCACCTTGAGTTTATATGAATTCTTCTGTGTTAGGTGAGTCTCTTAAAGACAGTAACTATTTGGATTCTGATTTTTTTTTTTTTAATCAGTTCTGCCCTTCTGTATCTTTCAAATGGAGTATTTAGGCCATTTATATTCAACGGTAATATGGAGATGTGAGGTACTATTCTCTTCATTAAATTGATTTTTACCTAGCTTTTTACTGTTTTGTGTTCTTGTTTTATAGACCCTGAGAATTTCAACCTTTCAAGATGTTCTATTTTGTGCATATTAGGCATTTGTTTAAAGGTTTTGTATTCCTGTTAGGATTTTTGTAATGCTGGTTTAGTAGTGACAAATCCCCTCAGCTTTTGTTTGTCTGAAAATGATTTTATTTCTCCTTCATTTATTAAACTTGGTTTTGTGGGATTCAAAATTCTTGGCTGACAGTCGCTCTGTTTAAGGAGGTTAAAGACAGAACTCCAATTCCTTCTGGCTCCTGCTGAGAAGTCTGCAGATAGGTTTTTCCTTGCAGTTTACCGGATGTTTTTGTCTACTGCTTTTAGAATAGACTGCATTTTAATATTTCCAAAGCTTGTTTTAAAATTCTCTTTATGATTTCCTCTTTGACACCTAGGGTATTTAAGTATATCGTTTTTTAAAAAATTTCTGGGATTTCCCATTTTTCTGTTATTGATGTCTAACCTAATTTCATTGTGCTCACAGAATGTCTTTTATTGAAGATATTGAAAAATCTTAAATGCCTTTTATATGGTCTATACTGAAGAATGTTCTAGGTAAACTTGAACATTATGTGGATTTTATTATATAAATCAATTCAATCAACTTTAATAATGTTAAAGTTTCCCATGTTCTTACTGGTTTTCTGTCTTTTTAGTCTGTCAAATTTACTGCATTATTTTGGAACTGTTGTCATGATATTGTCATTATGAAATATCTCTCTATACATGTAAAAATATTCCTGTCTTAAAGTCTACATTGTCTGACATTAATATATCTACACCAGTTCTTATTGTTTTGATTGAATGATGTCTTTTTTATTCCTTTATTTTATGTTTTTGTGGCTCTGAAATTAAAATGCTTCTTTTTCGGATTACCTATAATTGTATCTTGACTGTTTTATTCAGTTTGGCAATCTCTGACTTGGCATTTTGAAGCATTTAGTATATTTACATTCAAGATAATTAATATAAGTTTTGAAATAAGGTTTTTGCCATTTTTTATTTGGTTTCTAGATGCCTTGCTGTGATTTATGTCATTATAGTTTCTATTTTGGTTTTGATGCCCTACCTTGAGACTGGCCATATGATTTAGCCCTGTCCTAATGAGAAATTCCAGGAATTTTGTTGTGGATCATTTATAATATGTCTTTTATGAGATTTTTTTTTTAAACCTGGCAGATGGCCCAGTGCTTAAATGTCTCACCCATAACCAGGTGTCTTTCTCACAGGAAAATTGTTTATACTGTCAGACCCCTTTGTAGCTTTTGTCTGACCTGTGTTCAATTTCTTCTTTCCAAGAATAAAACTACTCTCTAAGAGATAACACTGACCAGAAAGGTTAGGTTTAGATTTAGGTGGGTTGGTTAAATGAGACACAATGAGGAGGCAAAAACAAAATGCATGACACTGAAGAAAGATATTACTTACAGTTCCCAGAAAGATTAGAGGTGATGATATGGGGGGCAATGGGAAGTCCAGATGTGGCAGGGAACTCAAGCAGTGAATAGGAAGCAGGAGAGGACCTGTGGAACTACACCTTCATTAAGGTCCATGATCATTATCCCTTAGACATTCACACAGGAGTTGTGATTAGCTGTTTTAAAGATGGAGTGTGAAGGGAGAAGTCATTTACATAATTCTGGCATTAAACATTAGGTTTTATCATATTCAGTAGTAGCTGTGGGTGGTTTGGTTGTTGAGTCAATGGGATAAGGAACAAGTGGACTATATTACAAACAATCACATGGGGAGGGGAAGTTTTAAGCCAAAGGTTACAGGTACAACTGAGTTTTAAGCAACTTATATCAAACTGAAAAATGGATGTCAAGGAAGTAACTTCATTAAAGAAATTTATGACATGTCTCATATCTTTGTTATTCCTAACATTTTTACTCTTGTTTCTGCTTTGTGTTAAACAAATATTTTTAGTGTATCCTTTTATTTTCTGAATTTTTAGCTATATATATATATATATATATATATGTTTGAATTTTTTTTTTGCATGGACTGCAATATGCTTCTTTGATTTAATCATAGTTTATTTTAGGCTAGCAGTCTCTTAATTCTGGTAAATTATAGGAATTATGTCTAGCATAGCTGTATTTTGTCATTTTTGTGCTATTATTGTCATCTATATTTCATCTAGATTTGTTAAAAATTCAAAAATACTGTGCAATATTATCCATCAATTATGTGTTGCTTAAACAAATTTAATAATGTTTAATGGTAACAACTTTGAATTTTTTTATTTTTGTGAGGGTAATTGTTTCTTTTTTTTAAACTTAAATGAAAAAATCTCTGTCTTTCAAAGCATGCTGTCACTGATATGTCTGCTCAGTTATTTTTTTAACATTTTTATTTTTAATTATAGTTCTCAAAAGTCACACGTGTGACTATGTTTAGTTTTTAGCCAATAATGTGGGCAAATTTTGATAACACATTCGTGCCTCAAGGCTTTCCTTCTCTGTGAACTCAATTATATGTACCTGGAGAAATTTATTCAAAGTTGCAGCCAAATTTCAAGTCTCCATTGGCTTTTTTTTTTCTTTTTTTTTTTTTTTTTTACCAGAATCTCTCAGATCTCTCTTAAGCATTTATAATTTAAAGTTAGCTCGGGATATACAGAGACCTTATTTAACAAATTCTATGCTACTCTCACTTCCACAATTTCTAAATTAATTTTTACTTGTTCTGCTGCTTGTCCTGTCCTGAAAAACAGAGCTGTGGCTTCTGAGATAGTCCTTCCTCACTGGAAGCCATGAAATCCATGGGTCACTCTACTTCTTCTCAGATTAAATCCTCCACCTCTGTTGACAAAGCTGCTGGTTTTGTGGCCAGCCATAAAGGAGTAAATACATAGTGTTCACCTGGAGGGCTGGCAGTAGGGAAAATGGGAGCCATTATAAGCAAGAAGTACATTAACTTCATTCTTGCTCAATGACATAGCAGTTTATCAAGGAGGAATCCTCCTCAGTTGTTGCCAGCCTATGCTTAACTTTGCTGTCTAAGTTTCATTGAAATGGTTGTTTTTCGAAATGGGTAAAGTTCATGTCTTCCTGAGCTGTTCAACAATGACCATCTAATGTTATCAAGTTAGCAACAAATCAATAGGTAGATATAAGGAAAGTGACGCTCGGAGATACTAAAGGCATCTTGAATGTATTTTAGCCTTTGGGTTCTATAGGAATTTTCTGAAAGCTGTTGACCTTTTGAGCAAACATTGCAAACTAACGATTCTGTGCATAGGTTCTAAGAGTTAGTTATCTAAAGTGACACCAAAAATTACCAACGGATTTAAACAATGAGACAACTGCAGAAAGTATGTGGCCAACAAAAAGAACTGTAATTTGAATAGCAATAATGACTAGACTTGGAAGACTTTAGGATTCAAAAGTGCTGGCCTATGTATCATCCTATCTTTGAGAAAGAATACTGGAAGTCTCCATTATCTAATTAATATAAAAATGAAGGCAAATTCTTGACCTTAGGTTGTCATTTATAAATGTAGGGAAATATTTTTAATATAGAGTTTGAAAGTCTTTTGTAGTCTCAAGTAAAAATACAAAAAGACAAAAGATCATGATATTTCAGAGTAGGTATGACCTGAGGAGATGAATTTTAAAATAATTTTGAAACAAAAAAAGAAAATTAAAAAAAATTTAATATCGATCACAGCTTTGCTTTGAACTAGTACATCACTGGGGAAAGGCGAAATCAATGGGTGTGTGTCCAACAACTGAAGGGAAAGTGGAAGTAAATCACAGGAATGTCAGTTCTTAGATAATGTAAAATTGAGTAACTAAAAATATTCAATTTGTCCAATGATCAAACCCTTTCTAGAATGAGCAGGCTAAGTCAGATTTTTTTGAATTCTATAAAGACTGGACTTCCAGGAGTGGTTTGCCTGGTTCTTTAAACTGCCTTATCACACTTTGTCAAACTGCAAGACAATTAGGTTGTCTTTTTTTTTTTTTCCAAAAGTTTAGATTGATAGAAATTGTTTGTAATTAAAATATTAAGTTAAATTAGACTAATCCAATTTTTATAACATCATACAAACATAAGCATCTCAAAGTGGAAAGTCATGTTTCCATTAGATATTGGTTTCAGCTAAGCATGAACAACTAAAATGAATTTAAAAAGCTCACTGTCATTTGTTCAGTTTGCTAGGATTCATTTTTATCCACTGCAAATAAAGTTGAAATTCATACAATTACCTAAAATATTTTCAAATGATGTGGTATTGTCTAGATTGGGGCAAGAGAGTCCTGGAAATAAGCCACAGCTATGACCCTTGGAAGCCTTATTTTTTGACAATTTTTAAACCGCATTATAACTTAGTTCCCTAATATAAATGTGAATGATAGTACTTACCTTCTAGAGTTATTTTACAAATTCTTAAGTAATTTATTTCATTCATTAACTACATTTTGGGCATTTAACAAGCACTGTCCCCTTTGCCACTAAGAACCCAGAACTATGAGAAAAACTGGTGAAATGTTTAACGAGATGCCATGTTTCAAAAATTAGAAATGGACAAACAAGACAAAACTAACGTTACCTGCAGAGTCTGCAAAAGGTGACTGGAACTACTTATGCAGTCTCTTTAGACTTGGAATAGAATTGAGTGATTGAAACTATACACCAGTAGCTATGTGATCTTTATGCAAGTGGGGACATATCAATCATATTGCCTGCTATTTCAGCAAGAGCTAATATATAAAATGTTTAATTTAAGATTTATTTTGGCTGGGCGCGGTGGCTCACGCCTGTAATCCCAACACTTTGGGAGGCCGAGGCGAGTGGATCACGAGGTCAGGAGATCGACACCATCCTGGCTAACACGGTGAAACCCCGTCTCTACTAAAAATACAAAAAATTAGCCTGGCGTGGTGGTGGGCGCCTGTTGTCCCAGCTACTTGGGAGGCTGAGGCAGGAGAATGGCGTGACTCCGGGAGGTGGAGCTTGCAGTGAGCCAAGATAGCGCCACTGCACTCCAGCCTGGGTGACAGAGCGAGACTCCTTCTAAAAAAAAAAAAAAGGTTTTATTTCTTGATGGAATAATATTGTTCTTCCTTTTCTCCTGATTATGGTACATCTAAAACATGTTAGAGATTTTTAATGTTAGCTTGTGAGAAGAAATAAAAATAGCTAGCAAATGACTGTAAACGTGCTGGTATTTATACCTAAGGCTTCTTATAAAGGGATCTATTTCTTGCCGATGAGGAAGATACAATTCACAAAAGAAATTCAAAGTCAATGCATTTTTGTTCTTTCAGACACTTTCGGGAACTTTAAAAGATGCCTACCACCATTTGTCTCTCATGAAGATGTGAACTGCGACTGGAAACAGCTCAGTCTCTCACAGGTGACACAGACAACTCCAATAACCAATTTACCGTAACATTGTGACATAATCTCTTGTCTTCTCTAGTCTGTCTAAAAATTAACACCCCACACTAAGCTTCAAAAATCTCACACACACACACACACACACACACGCACACACACTGATAGGGTTTGGCTGCGTCCCAACCCAAAATCTCACCTTGAATTATAATCCCCATAAGCCCCACGTGCCAAGGGTGGGACCAGGTGGAGGTAATTGGATCGTGGGGGCAGTTTGCTGCGTGGCATTCTTGTGATAGTGAGTGAGTCTCATGAGATCTGATGATTTTACAAGCATCCAGCATTTCCCCTGCTTGCACTCACTCTATCCTGCCACCCTGTGAAGAAGGTGCCTGCTTCTTCTTTGTCTTTAGACTTGGAATAGAATTACCATGTTTGTAAGTTTCCAGAGGCCTCCCTAGCAATGCGGAACTGTGAGTCAATTAAACCTCTTTCGTTTATAAATTACCCAGTATTGGGTATTTCTTCATAGCAGCATGAGAACGGACTAACACACACACACACACACACACACACGCACACCCCGATGTAGAAAATTCTATTTTTGGTCTAATTTTCTGGTGTAAAATGTTTGGACATACGCAGACAACATTAAATTTATCTATAAAATGAAGTAGAAAGTTGTTAATTATATTATTAATCTGATAAATACAGAAAACCAAACCTAATAACTTAATGATTTAGGAAAATAAATTGTCAGAGACAGCTGTAGTTGAAATATCTATTTTTCCATATGGCAGTATGAAACAGTGCCACACATTTTTGTCTCACCAGAATGAGAAATAGTCACTGAATGTAATTTTCTCCTAACAGTGTTTGATTATTCATCAATAAAGATGAGTAAGCAAAGGTGTTTGTAATAAGCTTCAAAATGTAATTTTCAAACTTGAACATTTTTATACAAACATAAATTTTTTGGCCTTAAGGATTTTTAAATATAATGCCAAATAAGCGGACATCCTTATGTTTTAGAACTGATAGATAAAACCTATTATTCTGCAGCCACTTCAAGCACAATCAATCAAACTGGCAAAATGTGTTTGATAACAGAAGAGTAGGCAACAACATCATTTAAAATATGAAAACTATGAATGGCCATGTATTATTTGAAACAAAATTACCACTTTACTTTTTATTCTTCCATATAACTTAGCTATTGAACTACAAATAACACCTATCAAAATCATAAACTTTTAATTAATATGGGATCATGACTTTTTGTAAAGACAATTATTCTTAATAAAGATGAAGGGGAAACATCAATATTTTATTAAATAACATGGTTTAATAGAGTTCAGTTTTCATTAATCACTATTCACTTGGCCTTTAGGTAATTTTTCTTTATTAAAGTTTATCTCCCATTTTTTTTTTAAATTCTCAACCAATTATATTACCTGCATAAGACCCGTTCCATGAAAGAAGTCTCGTAAGCAATTCAGTCAGCTGAAGAAACACTGTAATCCAGTAGTGCTCTGATGTTGGAATAGAAGATATAAGGTTTTGATTTCTGCCTTAATCAATTATGAGGTATATGCTGATAAAATTACTAAGCTTTCTAAGCCACAGTTTCCTCATCTTGACAATGGGCATAATACTAATTTCCTATCTCATAGGGTTACTGTAAAGATTACAAAATATAATGTGTAGGAAGAAGCTATGACTGCGTTTGTAAGTATTAATCATTAAATAAATAGTTGCTGTTGCTATTTAATATGATATTTATATAATTATCATACTTTGATACATTGTGTTTCACACATCATTTTTTTCCAGAAAAAATAATTAATAATTAAAGTTAATTAAACTTTCTGACATAGCTCTGCAACACCTTTTCCTACATTATTTGGCCATATATATTTTGATTACCTCCTTATGTGATGATGGCTTGGTATTCGCTTTTCATTTTTTTATTTTATTTTTCTCCCAGTTTTGGATGTCAGAATTCTTTTTTTTTTTTAGATTTCAGATAATTTTCTCTTTATATTATTATTATTATACTTTAAGTTCTAGGGTATATGTGCGCAACGTGCAGGTTTGTTACATATGTATACATGTGCCATGTTTGTGTGCTGCACCCATTAACTCGTCATTTATGTTAGGTATATCTCCTAATGCTATCCCTCCCCCTCCCCCCACTCCATGACAGGCCCCAGTATGTGATGTTCCCCTTCCTGTGTCCAAGTGTTCTCATTTTTCAATTCCCACCTATGAGTGAGAACATGCGGTGTTTGGTTTTCTGTCCTTGCGATAGTTTGCTGAGAATGATGGTTTCCAGCTTCATGCATGTCCCTACAAAGGACATGAACTCATCCTTTTTTATGGCTGCATAGTATTCCACAGTGTATATGTGCCACATTTTCTTAATCCAGTCTATCATTGATGGGCATTTGGGTTGGTTCCAAGTCTTTGCTATTGTGAATATTGCCACAATAAACATACATCACACATCATTTCTTAATTGTAACTCCAAGATAAAACAATACTGCATTTATTCCTGGTGCTCATTTACAATCGTGACACATTGTTTTCTTTTACAACACATAAACAATTAACTTTACTATAACTAGAAATAAGATTTGAGATATTAATAAAAGATCACTATG
Source organism: Homo sapiens (assembly GCF_000001405.40). NCBI lineage: Eukaryota > Metazoa > Chordata > Mammalia > Primates > Hominidae > Homo > Homo sapiens. The sequence goes on from NC_000002.12 coordinate 184,228,826, forward strand.
CCACATATAAAATATAATTTATAGATATACCTGTTCAAATTTCTCTATTATTTATTTCTGATTATGACCCAAAACATAATGTCCAAAAATATTTTATAGATAAATATATCTTTTATAATATCAAACCTCTCTTAAATTATACCATAATAATTATATGAGAATGAGGTATAAGCATAAAAACTGAGTTGTCTTGTGAAATGAATTGAACAAAAAGTTGTGTGGTAATTTTTTAAAAAAGCTTGAAAGATAGTTTGGGACATTTTGTCACATTTAAACTATAGCTTTCTCCATTCCTATGGAGAATTGCCATTAAGAACTTAGTTTTCTCCATTATTAATGGAAGGTTGATTGGCTGTGCATGGCAGAAATGAATTGTTCATAGAGTTATTCATTTGCATAAATAGAAATGCATTTAAAAATATATAAATAAACACATATATATAAATATACATACATACGAGTGTGGTCTGTATTTAGAATAGCTTAAACCATGTAAGTCCAGCAAAAACTCACTACAATATAGTTTATTTCTAGAATAACTATTGAATTGCAAATGTTCATTTACCTGTAATTTATGCTATGCAAGAAAAAAAGGAACCAAGAACACATACCTATTGTATTTATAAACTGCTCAGGATCTGAGAATTTTAGAGAGGTAGAGATTTTAAAATTCTGCTTTTCTCCTGTGAAACTTATTACTCAGAGTCATGGAATTTTCAATTAAATATAAAAGAATGTAGCAGCCCTCTGGTACATTTACTAAAAAAGGGTATGCACTTTATTTCCTTTTTTGACTATTTTAATTCCACCTATAAGCAAAATCTATGTTTACTCTAATCCTAATCTAAACTATTTGAATGATATTAAATTAATTTTTCAAATTTGGCTATGTCAATTGAACAATTTACAGATTGGCATGTTTTTCAAGGTAAATATATTTTAATGTATTATGTATGTATATGACATTCATGTGTTCTGCCTAAAGTACAGACTGTCACATGGAGTTTCATTTATTCCTTAAAAAATTAATTTAAAAAATCTATCTGATATGAATAACATGACTTTTTTTCTAAAATTAGAGGCCACTTGAAATTGTCTAAATTCCTAATTTTTGCTGCCTATTTTAAAGTTGCATTGTTATTATACTTTAAGTTTTAGGGTACATGTACACAATGTGCAGGTTAGTTACATATGCATACATGTGCCATGTTGGTGTGCTGTACCCATTAACTTGTCAATTAGCATTAGGTACATCTCCTAAAGCTATCCCTCCCCCCTCCCCCGACCCCACAACAGTCCCCAGAGTGTGATGTTCCCCTTCCTGTGTCCATGTGTTCTCATTGTTCAATTCCCACCTATGAGTAAGAATATGCGGTGTTTGGTTTTTTGTTCTTGTGATAGTTTACTGAGAATGATGATTTCCAATTTCATCCATGTCCCTACAAAGGACATGAACCCATCATTTTTTATGGCTGCATAGTATTCCATGGTGTATATGTGCCACATTTTCTTAATCCAGTCTATCATTGTTGGACATTTGGGTTGGTTCCAAGTCTTTGCTATTGTGAATAGTGCCGCAATAAACATACGTGTGCATGTGTCTTTATAGCAGCATGATTTATAATCCTTTGGGTATATACACAGTAATGGGATGGCTGGGTCAAATGGTATTTCTAGTTGTAGATCCCTGAGGAATCGCCACACTGACTTCCACAATGGTTGAACTAGTTTACAGTCCTACCAACAGTGTAAAAGTGTTCCTATTTCTCCACATCCTCTCCAGCACCTGTTGTTTCCTGACTTTTTAATGATTGCCATTCTAACTGGTGTGAGATGGTATCTCATTGTGGTTTTGATTTGCATTTCTCTGATGGCCAGTGATGGTGAGCATTTTTTCATGTGTTTTTTGGCTGCATAAATGTCTTCTTTTGAGAAGTGTCTGTTCATGTCCTTCACCCACTTTTTGATGGGGTTGTTTGCTTTTTCTTGTAAATTTGTTTGAGTTCATTGTAGATTCTGGATATTAGCCCTTTGTCAGATGAGTAGGTTGTGAAAATTTTCTCCCATTCTGTAGGTTGCCTGTTCACTCTGATGGTAGTTTCTTTTGCTGTGCAGAAGCTCTTTAGTTTTATTAGATCCCATTTGTCAATTTTGGCTTTTGTTGCCATTGCTTTTGGTGTTTTAGACATGAAGTCCTTGCCCATGCCTGTGTCCTGAATGGTATTGCCTAGGTTTTCTTCTAGGATTTTTATGGTTTTAGGTCTAATGTGTAAGTCTTTAATCCATCTTGAATTAATTTTTGTATAAGGTGTAAGGAAGGGATCCAGTTTCAGCTTTCTACATATGGCTAGCCAGTTTTCCCAGCACCATTTATTAAATAGGGACTCCTTTCCCCATTTCTTGTTTTTGTCAGATTTGTCAAAGATCAGATAGTTGTAGATATGCAGCATTTTTTCTGAGGGCTCTGTTCTGTTCCATTGATCTATATCTCTGTTTTGGTACCAGTACCATGCTCTTTTGATTACTGTAGTCTTGTAGTATAGTTTAAAGTCAGGTAGCGTGATGCCTCCAGCTACCTGTTCTTTTGGCTTAGGATTGACTTGGCGATGTGGGCTCTTTTTTGGTTCCATATGAACTTTAAAGTAGTTTTTTCCAATTCTGTGAAGAAAGTCATTGGTAGCTTGATGGGGATGGCATTGAATCTATAAATTACCTTGGGCAGTATGGCCATTTTCATGATATTGATTCTTCCTACCCATGAGCATGGAATGTTCTTCCATTTGTTTGTATCCTCTTTTATTTCATTGAGCAGTGGTTTGTAGTTCTCCTTGAAGAGGTCCTTCACGTCCCTTGTAAGTTGGATTCCTAGGTATTTTATTCTCTTTGAAGCAATTGTGAATGGGAGTTCACTCATGATTTGGCTCTCTGTTTTTCTGTTATTGGTGTATAAGAATGCTTGTGATTTTTGTACATTGATTTTGTATCCTGAGACCTTGCTGAAGTTGCCTATGAGTTTAAGGGAATTTTGGGCTGAGACAATGGGGTTTTCTAGATATACAGTCATGTCATCTGCAAACAGGGACAATTTGACTTCCTCTTTTCCTAATTGAATACCCTTTATTTCCTTCTCCTGCCTGATTGCCCTGGCCAGAACTTCCAACACTATGTTGAATAGGAGCGGTGAGAGAGGGCATCCCTGTCTTGTGCCAGCTTTCAAAGGGAATGCTTCCAGTTTTTGCCCATTCGGTATGATATTGGCTGTGGGTTTGTCATAGATAGCTCTTATTATTTTGAGATATGTCCCATCAATACCTAATTTATTGAGAGTTTTCAGCATGAAGAGTTGTTGAATTTTGTCAAAGGCCTTTTCTGCATCTGTTGAGATAATCATATGGTTTTTGTCATTGTTTCTGTTTATATGCTGGATTATGTTTATTGATTTGCGTATGTTGAACCAGCCTTGCATCCCAGGGATGAAGCCCACTGGATCATGGTGGATAAGCTTCTGGATGTGCTGCTGGATTCGGTTTACCAGTATTTTATTGAGGATTTTTGCATCAATGTTCATCAAGGATATTGCTCTGAAATTCTCTTTTTTGGTTGTGTCTCTGCCCAGCTTTGGTATCAGGATGATGCTGGCCTCATAAAATGAGTTAGGGAGGATTCCCTCTTTTTCTATTGATTGGAATAGTTTCAGAAGGAATGGTATCAGTTCCTCCTTGTACCTCTGGTAGAATTCGGCTGTGAATCCATCTGGTCCTGGACTCTTTTTGGTTGGTAAGCTATTGATTATTGCCACAATTTCAGCTCCTGTTATTGGTCTATTCAGAGATTCAACTTCTCCCTGGTTTAGTCTTGGGAGGGTGTATGTGTCGAGGAATTTATCCATTTCTTCTAGATTTTCTAGTTTATTTGCGTAGAGGTGTTTGTAGTATTCTCTGATGGTAGTTTTTATTTCTGTGGGATTGGTGGTGATATCTCCTTTATCATTTTTTATTGTGTCTATTTGATTCTTCTCTCTTTTCTTCTTTGTTAGTCTTGCTAGCGGTCTATCAATTTTGTTGATCCTTTCAGAAAACCAGCTCCTGGATACATTAATTTTTGAAGGATTTTTTTGTGTCTCTATTTCCTTCAGTTCTGCTCTGATTTTAGTTATTTCTTGCCTTCTGCTAGCTTTTGAATGTGTTTGCTCTTGCTTCTCTAGTTCTTCTAATTGTGATGTTAGGGTGTCAATTTCGGATCTTTCCTGCTTTCTCCTGTGGGCATTTAGTGCTATAAATTTCCCTCTACACACTGCTTTGAATGTGTCCCAGAGATTCTGGTATGTTGTGTCTTTGTTCTCGTTGGTTTCAAAGAACATCTTTATTTCTGCCTTTATTTCGTTATGTACCCAGTAGTCATTCAGGAGCAGGTTGTTCAGTTTCCATGTAGTTGAGCAGTTTTGAGTGAGTTTCTTAATCCTGATTTCTATTTTGATTGCACTGTGGTCTGAGAGACAGTTTGTTATAATTTCTGTTCTTTTACATTTGCTGAGGAGTGCTTTACTTCCAACTATGTGGTCAATTTTGGAATAGGTGTGGTGTGGTGCTGAAAAAAGTGTATATTCTGTTGATTTGGGGTGGAGAGTTCTGTAGATGTCTATTAGGTCTGCTTGATGCAGAACTGAGTTCAATTCTTGGGTATCGTTGTTAACTTTCTGTCTCGTTGATCTGTCTAATGTTGACAGTGGGGTGTTAACGTCTCCCGTTATTATTGTGTGGGAGTCTAAGTCTCTTTGTAGGTCACTCAGGACTTGCTTTATGAATCTGGGTGCTCCTGTATTGGGTGCATATGTATTTAGGATAGTTAGCTCTTCTTGTTGAATTGATCCCTTTACCATTATGCAATGGCCTTCTTTGTCTCTTTTGATCTTTGTTGGTTTAAAGTCTGTTTTATCAGAGACTAGGATTGCAACCCCTGCCTTTTTTTGTTTTCCATTTGCTTGGTAGATCTTCCTCTATCCTTTTATTTTGGGCCTATGTGTGTCTCTGCACATGAGATGGGTTTCCTGAATACAGCACACTGATGGGTCATTGACTCTTTATCCAATTTTCGAGTCTGTCTTTTAATTGGAGCATTTAGTTCATTTACGTTTAAAGTTAATATTGTTATGTGTGAATTTGATCCTGTCATTATGATATTAGCTGGTTATTTTGCTCATTAGTTGATGCAGTTTCTTCCTAGCCTCGATGGTCTTTACAATTTGGCATGATTTTGCAGTGGCTGGTACCAGTTGTTCCTTTCCATGTTTAGTGCTTCCTGCAGGAGCTCTTTTAGGGCAGGCCTGGTGGTGACAAAATCTCTCATCATTTGCTTGTCTGTAAAGTATTTTATTTCTCCTTCACTTATGAAGCTTAGTTTGGATGGACATGAAATTCTGGGTTGAAAATTCTTTTCTTTAAGAATGTTGAATATTGGCCCCCACTCTCTTCTGGCTTGTAGAGTTTCTGCCAAGAGATCTGCTGTTAGTCTGATGGGCTTCCCTTTGTGGGTAACCCGACCTTTCTCTCTGGCTGCACTTAACATTTTTTCCTTCATTTCAAGTTTGGTGAATCTGACAATTATGTGTCTTGGAGTTGCTCTTCTCGAGGAGTATCTTAGTGGAGTTCTCTGTATTTCCTGAATCCGAATGTTGGCCTGCCTTTCTAGATTGGGGAAGTTCTCCTGGATAATATCCTGCAGAGTGTTTTCCAACTTGGTTCCATTCTCCCCGTCACTTTCAGGTACACCAATCAGACGTAGATTTGGTCTTTTCACATAGTCCCATATTTCTTGGAGGCTTTGTTCTTTTCTTTTTATTCTTTTTTCTCTAAACTTCCCTTCTCGCTTCATTTCATTCATTTCATCTTCCATCACTGATACCTTAAAGTTGCATTGACCAATAATTTGCAACTTGTGTAAAAAAGTTAATCAGCACCAAACATGCTACTATTGAGGAGTCTGAGGATTGGTTTTATTAATTATGTCGATTTTGAGCTCAGAATAGATAGTGGTAGCATGTGTTCTGTGTATTCAACACTCCTATTTTATGGCTTCAGATATTTTTATTTATGGTAGCTCACAAAATTCTCAGAATGTTAAATCTCCCAAATGCTATATAAATGTAATGCTGCCAGAAAATAATTTCCATAACAGTAGGCCTCTTTGTCTATTTTTTTTTAACTGATGTATCCCAGAACCTAGAACTTTTAAGCACTCATTATTTTAAGCACTCAAGAACCGTTTATTGAATAAGGTAATTTATACTCAAATAGATGCTACCTAGTGCAGCTGGAAATCAAATCATGTGTTCTGATTTAGGATGGTTTTAAAGAAAATATTTATGACTGTGACAGGCTGTATTTTTTTCCAAAGCAAACCACAATAGTAACTTCTATCCCACAAACCCTTCTTAAATGTGATTTTGGCACTCCTCCCATCAACAAGAAGAGTCTAGATTCTCTCTGATTGAATCTAGACAGGCTTGTGACTTATCAGATAAGGTAATATAAGCCTACATAGTTTTCACCTGGCTCTGTTGTTATGCAGCCATGGAATCCCTGAGGCACCATGTAAGAATTTCCAGGCTATTATGCTTTGAGGAAACCCAGTTCACGGTGAGTTCATATGCAGAAATATTTCAACCCAGAACCCCAGCTGAATTCCTCATCAACCCCCAGATGGACCAGTGACAGTCCTTGAGACAGACTGCAGATACACATCACCAATATCAAGCATGGACGAGTAGACTGCTATGGATAATAGGTGAAAAGGACAAATTTCTTGGATGACATAACCTACCAAATGTGACTCAAGAAGAAATAGCTGTAACTCAATTATAATAAATCAGGTCCAGATAGCTTCACTGGGCTGTTTTAATGGCTTAATACTCATTGACTATTTCCTGTAGGCCAGAAGTTAAGTGAGTTTGGCTAGTTACTTTGCTTAAAGTCTCAATAGGCTGCAATCAAAGTATTGGTCAGCCTGGGTTTTTATCTGGAGACTCAAGGGTAAAGGATAATCTACTTCCAGTCTTAATCGGGTTGTTGATAGAATTAAATTCTGTGAAGTCGTAGAGCTGAAGTCTCTATTTCTTTGCTCACTGTCAGACAGAGGTCATTCTTAACTGTAGGAGGCTGCTCACGTGCCTTGGCTCATGGTCCCATCCATCTTAAAAGTCCCCAACAGATCACTGATACACTCAACAACTTGGATAGATCTCAAGTTAATTATTGTTAGCAAAAAGCCAGTCTCAAAAGATCATATAATGTCTGATTCTATGTATATAACATTCAGAAAATGACAAAATTATAGAGAGAATGAAAACTGATTGGTGGTTGCAAGGTTTAGGAATAGGAGTTGACTATAAAGAGATATTAAGACAGAGATGTTTGTGGTGATGGAATCTGTCTTGAATGCAGTGTTTGCAATGGTAGTAGATTTACACATGTGACAAAATAGCATAGCACTATATAGGCAAATAGTACCAATGCTAATATCCTGGTTTTGATATGCTTCTCAAAAATGTATGCATGATCTCAGGAGTGTATAAGCCTTGTGCCTATTTTGTTTGATTCATTTATACTTGATGTAGCTTGAAGTTTAGTTTAAATGATATTGTTTTTCAAATTTTGTTTCTATTGTTTCATCACAACATATAGAAATACAATTGATTGTTGTATATTGACCTTTAATCTGCTAAACTCACTTAAGACTCCTAGCTGTCTTTTTATAGTTCTTAACTATATGTGAACAGTTATATTTGCATTCATTTCCTTTTGCTGCTGTAACAAGTTGCTACAAATTTAGGAGCTTAAATCAACACAAACGTATATGACAGTTCTGAAGGTCAGAAGTTGAAATGAGTTATGCTACACTAAAATCAAGTTGTCATCAGAGCTGATTTTTCATTTCAAAATATGAAAAATTTTTTGGCTTGTGTTTTGCATTTTCCAACATTTAGAGACTGTGCACATTCCTTGGCTCATGGCTTCCTCTGTCTTCAAAGCCAATAATGGCCAGTTGAGTCTTTCCACCTGCAGGGTCACCTTCTCACCCCTTCCACTGTCTTAACAACATTCTAAAACTGACACTTCTGCCTCCCTCTTAATCTTTTAAAGACCCTTGAAATTATATTAGGCTCACTCAGATAATCTGAGAAAATCACGCAGTTCAATATTCTTACTCACATTTGCAAACTCCCTTTTGCCAAGTAACATATTCTAGGAACTAGAATGTGACAGTCTTTGGAGGTTCATTATTCTACCTATAGTAATATTGCATATCAATAAACACAATTTTCTCCTTCTTTTACAAATTATATCTTTTTCTTTTTCCCAGCTTTATTGAAGAATAATTGATGTGCAAAAAATATACCTATCTAGAATATGTAATTTGAAGAACTTTGACATATTTGCTTTCCTGCTTGAATAATATGCATATAGTGAGCATATTTTTATGTGTTGTCATTCATTTATGTTTCCTGGAGAAGTGACCATTCAAATATTTTCCCTTTTATAAATTTAACAATTTATCATTTATCTTACAAAGTTTTTATTTTTAAACAGCTTTATCAAAATATGATTCACATACTATAAAATCCACTTATTTAAAATATAGAAAAGATGTCCATTTTCCTCAAGTTGATCTATAGAGTTAATGAATTCCAATCAAACCCAAGCAGATATTTTTAAACATTAATAAGCTGATTCAAAATTTATATGGAAATGCAAACTACCTAAACAATATTGAAAAGGAAGAACAGAGTTATGCAACTCTGAATACATAATTTTCAAAGTTAAGATGAAGCTTCTTCAATAACAGTAGTGAAGTATTGGCTTTGGATATTTATATATATCAGTGAAACCATCATATAAATGACTGATTAATTTTTGATAAAGACACCAAAGTAATTAAGTTGGAGACATATATTTAAAAAAATTGCGCTAGAACATATATTTATCTTTGTTAATAAAAATAAACTCTGTATTATATTATATCACATAAAAATTACAGGATGAATTCTAGATCTAAATATATGAGTGAAATCTATAATACTTATTTGAAAAACACTGGAGAAATATTTGATTCCTCAAGTTAGTCAAAGATTTATTAGTAGTACACAAAAGAAAAAACTATAGAAGAAAAGAATGATTAACTTAAATATTTTAAGCATATTAACTTCAGCTAAGTAAAACAAAACAAAACAAAAAAACTCTCAAGCTACCAGCTTGTGAGAAAATATTTACAAATAATATGTCTGAAAAAGGTGCTGTTAACTTTTAAAATGCAACAATATGAAAACAAGCAGTCAATTAAAATGCACACCAGATTGGAAACAACTCGCCAAAGAAAATATACAAATGGCAAGTAAGAATGTAAAAAAAAGTTGAACCCTATTAGTTTGTAGATAATTCAAATTAAAAAACAATGAGATACCAGTATATACCCAATGGTATAAATAAAATAAAAAAGATTAACAATACCAAATGTTAGCAAGAATATACAGCAACTGGAACTCATACATTGCTTTTGGGGATCGAAAATAGTATAGAACTGCTTTGGTAAACAATTTCTCAATTTATTATACACTTAAATATACAGATACCCTAGAACTCAGTATTCTACATTCTACAAGTTATTTATCTAAAAGAAACAAAATGATATCTATATCTATTTATAGATATATAGTGACAAAATGTAAGACAGTGGTTGCCCCTGGTCATTTTGGAGGAAATTAGTTGACTGTAAAGGGGTATTAGGACACAGTTCAAATCAATGCAAATATTCTTAGTTTCAGGGGTTATCTAACTATTATGGGGGCATTTAAAACTCAAACTATACACTTCAAATTAATTATCTTTATTTTATGCAACTTATACCCCAACAAAGCTAAGTAGAAAAGTAAAGCCTATATGTAACTATTTTTGAAGCATAAAAGCTATAAAACCCTCTATCTTTGGTAGTTCAATTTCTTTATAATTTTTTACAAGATACTACAATTTCTAATCTAATAAAAATAATACCTGAATAAGTTATAGTTCATAGTTATTTTTAACTCATTAGTGAGTTGAAGATTTTCTAGAAACTGAAATGAATTAATTCCATAAAGTGACTAGCGTTTCTTAGGAAATAAAAGACACATATCTACTTTCATCCCTGGCAGAGTTATGGGAGAAGAAACAAATCCTTCCAATGCAGAGGTATGGCAAAACTAGCCATTTATACAGTTCCTTACCGGTTCAAAGCTTTTTATCAAATTAATTGTATCTGATAATCTGACACAGAGCTTTCATTCTTCAATGTGTGGATTAATAAGAACCTCATCAATCTCACCAGACCTACCTTACATCTTTTTCTTTACCATTAAAAGACTTTGCCATCTTAGGTCATGGATCTGAAACACCACTTGGCAATATACATTATTCTCAACCTGAAGCAGTGATTTTGGGTTCAGATTGAAACTCAGTCTCGCCTGACAAATTAAGGTTCACCAGCAACAAATGTACTTGGTTTTAAGAAACGAACAGGACAGGTAATAACACAGATTACATGTCTACAGCATAGCACTGTTCTCATAATTCCTGGGTGTAGCCACTGATGATTTGCACTCAGAATATACATAATCATATGTTAAGAGAGTGGATGAGAAGAGGTCATCTGCTGAAGATTAATTAATCCATTATCACAGCAGTCCTATATCTTTTATACATTTCTAGTAGTCCTCTCTGGGGTAGTTCTCATTCTCTAGTGTAGTTGCATCTCAACAATGATAGTTGCTTGTTACTCAACAAATAGTGTTGATAATGAAATATGGATGTTTGGTCTGGTTTCTAGTAATTTAGGCGGAATTCTCATTTATCTTGGAACCAACCTAGGGATAATCCTGTAAATTCTGTGAATTGATATTGTAAAAACACTGCTAAGTAGCAAATTTTTTAGAAATTCCTGGAGTTAGGGAAAAGACATTCTAAACATTTGTTAACGCTTTCTTTTCACATAGTAAATTCCCAAGTAATATATAATTGTCTATTTGTCAAATAGTGAAAAACCCTTCTGGTACCTTTTGAAATTCAACAATTACGGTTTAGTCTCTACCACTTTTTCAATCCACCTCACAGTAAAAATAATATTAAAACAAATTTTCAGCAAGTTCAATTTATTGCATAATTCAAGAAACACTGTTTCAACTGTTTAGGTTTACTCGTTAAAAGAATGAAACTTTCACATTTCTAATGCAAATATTCTCTCTACTTGCATAGGCTTTATAATTTTAAATAAAATTGACATCCACTTCCATAACAACCTTAAGATAAAGACAATTTACACCACAACTAATGAGATTCTGATTATGATACGTATTCCTATTAGAAAATTAACTTTTTTTTCAGAATGTTGTTGATGCAGCTACATTTTTATCAGAATCTGGTAGAGTTTGCCTTATATTATTCCTTGGTAATATGTCTCAACAATTATAAATATGTATGTTTCCACATCTCACATATATACAAAGTATAGCAATATAAACTAGAATATGTTTGAAAAAAGTTTAACATTTAAATTTAATGTTCTAAGGTTTCAGTGCCAACTGTGTGGTTTCCCTCTATTTAAAATTTAAAATAAAAATGATATGGGGTATATTAAATGTGATCATTTACTACGCCATCAATGAACTGTATATTGTCTTTATACAGTGAATTGATTAATCTGATGTTATCCTTAGCATACCTAAGGAAGATGAAATAAAGACTTCAGATACTATTAATGGTAACTGGAATAAGAGGAACAGAAACCAATGTTCTAAGTAGTTCAAAAGTTTGTTTTTCCACTAAAATAACTATAAACTAGTAATATAAATATAAACATATTAATAAGCAAATACAACAGGTATCATTAAAATATCATTTGCCTATTAATGTTGACACTTTAGGTATATGTGTTTGTGTTTGAGTGTACATACCTCTGTGTGTGATGTTTAAATAAGCTATACTGCAATGGGTTGGCATTAGCAGAATGAAATTTCAATTCATATCAATCAAAATTCAATTCATATCAGTCAAAATTGAATGTGATGTAGCAGCTAAAATGTGAATATAAAGAAACTAGGAGAAGCTGTGTCGTTACCCAGATGTTGAGTCTGATCCAAGTACTAAATGACTGTGTGATTTTTACCAGATTATCAAGCCTCTTTGAATTTCCAGATCTGTCTCTTCAACTAGGAACAAAGGTTTTTGAATTTAATTTTCATTGAGTTCCTGTTTAAATATAAAGATTTAAAATTTGTGTGGTTCCTTTTGTACTGCCCAAATTGAAATCTTATAAATCCCAACATTCAGCATTACATTGTTTTATTTATATGCAGGTTTTAACCAGGCACATTGACTAGAGTTATTTCAAAATTTTAGAATACACTTGTTTAACAACCCATGGTGGTTGTTTATTCATTATTTCTCCATCATACTTAACTCCATTAGAAGTGATATGATATTACTAAACATTTGCTTATCTTTACAGAAAATCTAATGATTTACACAAATAACAAAGAAGTTCCCAGATGGTATTATACATGGATGTTCAAATGAAGAGACTAAAACTTTTATACTTTATGAATATTAGTGAGATAAATAAATAAAGATTAGGGTTTTTTTGAAATAAAGATTAGGGGTTTTTGACATCAATAATTGGGTCAATTTGTAGAGAATAGATTTTCACTGTGTTTTTTTTTGTACTCATCAAAACATTATACTTGTGTTATTTCATATTTAAGTATCTACCAAGATCTACTTTTGTAGGACTCAGTGCTCTTGATTAAGGATAATAAATACTATTGTATTCTGCTTTGTATTTTGCATTATACAAATCCACACACTTTTTTAGGCAAAACAAGAAAAACACCTGTAAAGCCCACATAGTTCTAAAGCATTTGGAAAAACTACAAAACAATCTTTCTTAAGTTTTTGTAGTATTGGAAATAACTGTCAATTAAATACATATTAAATATAAACATAAAATAAAATATACATGTATAAATGTAAACATATATATACAACTGTCCCAGATTATACAGCAGTTGTATAATGTAGCATTTTTAGATATTTTGGGTTATACTAATAAGGATTTGAGCAAAATATTGAGCAAAGCCCTAATTGTTTTGTATAGAATTCAACAGGAAAAAGCTTACTGAGAAATAAAAGATGTATAAATTTGACCTAGGCATATATATGTACTTAAAAACAAATTGAAAATTAATCTTTCTAAGCCCCCAAGAACTCCAGAGATAATGATAGGAAATTTGTACCTTCAAGTGGCCAAGCTTCATTGTACTATAATGTCTAGTTCTCAGTCCTTCAGATACTTTCCATGATTAAGCCACCACTTGCAGACTTAGATCCATTCCAGCCTATGAAAATTTTTTGTTTTTTCAGAGTAAATTTCGTTCAATAGCTCTATAGCTTCCTATTAAATTCACAAAACTAATGGACATTTTTCATCATTAAATGGTGTGGTGATCCCATGGCCACCTTTCTGCATTTTGGTAAGTTTTAGTAACCAAACCACCTTCTTAATTTCTATTATCTTACGTTAATAGACAAATTGTTGCTCTCTTCATGCAATCTTCTTTTTAAAAATCAGTCATCACCTGATGTCCAATCAAGCTGCTTCCCACCCTTGCAAGACATATATCACTACAATTCTCTCATGCTGAGAACCTACTGCTTTAGATATATGACTGTACCTGGCTTAAGAGTTCCAAAATGCTTCATCTGTTTGCTATGATTCCCTACTCTTCCCTAATAAGGAAAGTTTTACTATTGGCTTTCTCTGCATTGTGATCATTTAATTTCCAGCTCTTCCTTAATTTTCCTTCTCTACCCAAAAAACTCCTTGTTCTAAATCTACTTAGATGGGAAGAAGAAAGGAGAAGTTTCTACTTTCTCCATGTTTAGGGTTGGTTTTTCCCACTTAAATCAGAAGAAACCATTTTTCCACTTATTGGTGAGTAAACACAAAAGAGACAAAGCAAGAATAAGCTCTGACTCTAATTTCTACTCTTCCAGATGTAATGTGACTGTATTACAGATTTGAGACAGATCTAATTAATTCCTGTTATCCTCTTTTCACTCACAAAAATGTCCCTATTTGAGAAATAAAATATATGGTAACCTTAGCCAGAGGTGTGGAAGTCAGTTAATACAAACAAAAAACTTCCGAGGCTATGACTAGAAAGGAAGCAGATTAAAATGAAGGTAAACCTCATAAAATAAGAAGTGCAATTGAAAATGGTTAGACTCCCACACATTAATAATGGGAGACTTTAACATCCCACTGTCAACATTAGACAGATCAACGAGACAGAAAGTTAAAAAGGATATCCAGGAACTGAACTCAGCTCTGCACCAAGCGGACCTAATAGACATCTACAGAACTCTCCACCCCAAATCAACAGAATATACATTCTTCTCAGCACCACACCGCACTTATTCCAAAATTGACCACATAGTTGGAAGTAAAGCACTCCTCAGCAAATGTAAAAGAACAGAAATTATAACAAACTGTCTCTCAGACCACAGTGCAATCAAAATAGAAATCAGGATTAAGAAACTCACTCAAAACTGCTCAACTACATGGAAACTGAACAACCTGCTCCTGAATGACTACTGGATACATAACGAAATGAAGTCAGAAATAAAGATGTTCTTTGAAACCAACGAGAACAAAGACACAACATACCAGAATCTCTGGGACACATTCAAAGCAGTGTGTAGAGGGAAATTTATAGCACTAAATGCCCATGAGAGAAAGCAGGACAGATCTAAAATTGACACCCTAACATCACAATTAAAAGAAATAAAGAAGCAAGAACAAACACATTTACAAGCTAGCAGAAGGCAAGAAATAACTAAGATCAGAGCAGAACTGAAAGAGATAGAGACACAAAAAACCCTTCAAAAAATCGATGAATCCAGGAGCTGTTTTTTTGAAAAGATCAACAAAATTGATAGACCGCTAGCAAGACTAATAAAAAAGAAAAGAGAGAAGAATCAAATAGATGCAATAAAAAATGATAAAGGAGATATCACCACCGATCCCACAGAAATATAAACTACCATCAGAGAATACTATAAACACCTCTATGCAAATAAACTAGAAAATCTAGAAGAAATGGATAAATTCCTCGAAACATACACCCTCCCAACACTAAACCAGGAAGAAGTTGAATCTCTGAATAGACCAATAACAGGCTCTGAAATTGAGGCAATAATTATAGCTTACCAAACAAAAAAAGTTCAGGACCAGATGGATTCACAGCTGAACTCTACCAGAGGTACAAGGAGGAGCTGGTACCATTCCTTCTGAAACTATTCCAATCAATGGAAAAAGAGGGAATCCTCCCTAACTCATTTTATGAGGCCAGCATCATCCTGATACCAAAGCCTGGCAGAGACACAACAAAAAAAGAGAATTTTAGACCAATATCCCTGATGAACATCGATGCAAAAATCCTCAATTAAATACTGGTAAACTGAATCCAGCAGCACATCCAGAAGCTTATCCACCATGATCCAGTGGGCTTCATCCCTGGGATGCAAGGCTGGTTCAACATACGCAAATCAATAAACATAATCCAGCATATAAACAGAAACAATGACAAAAACCATATGATTATCTCAACAGATGCAGAAAAGGCCTTTGACAAAATTCAACAACCCCTTCATGCTAAAAACTGTCAATAAATTAGGTATTGATGGGACATATCTCAAAATAATGAGAGCTATCTATGACAAACCCACAGCCAATATCATACTAAATGGGCAAAAACTGGAAGCATTCCCTTTGAAAACTGGCACAAGACAGGGTTGCCCTCTCTCACCACTCCTATTCAACATAGTGTTGGAAGTTCTGGCCAGGGCAATCAGGCAGGAGAAGGAAATAAAGGGTATTCAATTAGGAAAAGAGGAAGTCAAATTGTCCCTGTTTGCAGATGACATGATTGTATATCTAGAAAACCCCATTGTCTCAGCCCAAAATTTCCTTAAACTCATAGACAACTTCAGCAAGGTCTCAGGATACAAACTCAATGTGCAAAAATCACAAACATTCTTATACACCAATAACAGACAAACAGAGAGCCAAATCGTGAGTGAACTCCCATTCACAATTGCTTCAAAGAGAATAAAATACCTAGGAATCCAACTTACAAGGAATGTGAAGGACCACTTCAAGGAGAACTACAAACCACTGCTCAATAAGATAAAAGAGGATACAAACAAATGGAAGAACATTCCATGCTCATGGGTAGGAAGAATCAATATCATGAAAATGGCCATACTGCCCAAGGTAATTTATAGATTCAATGCCATCCCCATCAAGCTACCAATGACTTTCTTCACAGAATTGGAAAAAACTGCTTTAAAGTTCATACGGAACCAAAAAAGAGCCCGCATCGCCAAGTCAATCCTAAGCCAAAAGAACAAAGCTGGAGGCATCACGCTACCTGACTTCAAACTATACTACAAGGCTACAGTAACCAAAACAGCATGGTACTGGTACCAAAACAGAGATATAGACCAATGGAACAGAACAGAGCCCTCAGAAATAATGCCGCATATCTACAACCATCTGATCTTTGACAAACCTGACAAAAACAAGAAATGGGGAAAGGATTCCCTATTTAATAAATGGTGCTAGGAAAACTGGCTAGCCATATGTAGAAAGCTGAAACTGGATCCCTTCCTTACACCTTATACAAAAATTAATTCAAGATGGATTAAAGACTTACATGTTAGCCCTAAAACCATAAAAATCCTAGAAGAAAACCTAGGCAATACCATTCAGGACACAGGCATGGGCAAGGACTTCATGTCTAAAACAACAAAAGCAATGGCAACATAAGCCAAAATTGACAAATGGGATCTAATTAAACTTAAGAGCTTCTGCACAGGAAAAGAAACTACCATCAGAGTGAACAGACAACCTACAGAATGGCAGAAAATTTTTGCAATCTACTCATCTGACAAAGGGCTAATATCCAGAATCTACAATAAACTCCAACAAATTTATAAGAAAAAAACAACCCCATCAAAAAGTGGGTGAAGGATATGAACAGACACTTCTCAAAAGAAGACATTTATGCAGCCAAAAGACACATGAAAAAATGCTCATCATCACTGTCCATCAGAGAAATGCAAATCAAAACCACAATGAGATACCATCTCACCCCAGTTAGAATGGTGATCATTAAAAAGTCAGGAAACAACAGGTGCTGGAGAGGATGTGGAGAAATAGGAACATTTTTACACTGTTGGTGGGACCGTACACTAGTTCAACCATTGTGGAAGTCAGTGCGGCAATTCCTCAGGGATCTAGAACTAGAAATACCATTTGACCCAGCCATCCCATTACTGGGTATATACCCAAAGGATTATAAATCATGCTGCTATAAAGACACATGCAGACGTATGTTTATTGTGGCACTATTCACAAGAGCAAAGACTTGGAACCAACCCAAATGTCCAACAATGATAGACTAGATTAAGAAAATGTGGCACATATACACCATGGAATACTATGAAGCCATAAAAAATGATGAGTTCATGTCCTTTGTTGGGACATGGATGAAGCTGGAAACCATCCTTCTCAGCAAACTATTGCAAGGACAAGAAACCAAACACCGCATGTTCTCACTCATAGGTGGGAATTGAACAATGAGAACACATGGACACAGGAAGGGGAACATCACACACCGGGGCCTGTTGTGGGGTGGGGGGAGGGGTAAGGGATAGCATTTGGAGATATACCTAATGTTAACTGACGAGTTAATGGGTGCAGCACACCAACATGGCACATGTATACATATGTAACTAACCTGCACGTTGTGCACATGTACCCTAAAACTTTTTTAACTTTTTTTATCCTAAAACTTTTTTTTAACCCTAAAGTATTAAAAAAAAAGAAAGAAAGAAAATGGCTAACCATAGAGAGAAAATTCCTAGGATCCAAGTAATTTCATTGAAATGAAATGAAACAGGTAAAGTGAAAGAAAAACATCACATTATGGTAATAAAATGAAATAATATAGCTATTAAAGGAAATAAAGACTAAGAGAAGGAGGATAAAAGAGGAATATGATCCAGGATATTAGGAGAATAGAGACGCAACTAATGAGGAAAAGAAAGTAAAAATAAAGGGATTGTTTGCAGGAAAGGATGGATTGTCTTTTAGAAATTGTAGAAATCATTCAAAATGCAGTTAAAAGGGCAGAAAAGTGAAAACCAGAAAGACATTGAAAAAGTTGGAGGCATTTTATTAGCAAAGGAAATTTTAGTGGGAAGAGGAATATATTTAAGATAACTCTACAAAAATAAGATGATACTCAATCTGAGCTTTTAATTTTTATATTGTTATGCTGCTTCATTTTGATTTAAATATCTCACCAATAAAATGTACTTAAATTTTATTTTTAATAGTAATTTTCACGTATAAACATGATTTTAAATGTTTATAAGAAATATGACCAAAGGCAAGAAATCTTTAAAAAGATATGCAGTATCACCTTAAAGAGTTACATTCAATTGTCAGTGTTTCAGAAGACAAGAAACAATCTCTGCAACAAAACAAACCAAAAGAAAACAACATTTAATAATTAGGTAAGTGACTTCCAGGAAAATCCACATGTTATTTAGGACAACAACATATATTAATAGAGTACTATTAAGTATTACTAAAAAGGGAAGAAGAAAACAATTAAGATTATTGAAAAATGTTTTCATAGAGGTAAAAGAATGGGTGGGAGGAACTTCTGACAATTAAAATTTTTACTTTGATAGACTTAATGAAAAATGTAATTAGAAGGGAGTAAAGTAGTTATGAAAAAAATAATGAAGAATAATGTAACGTGACTTTTATATAGCTTTATAAGAAATTTGTTTTTAAACTTTTAGAATAAAAATGTACTTCTCATATATATGTATACATACAAAAAATGTGAAGCAATTTATTGTGTGAAAACTCACTAAAAATTGCCTGGTGTCATGTCCAATCGTATCAAATTTATCACATCATCATCTGAAAATATCTTATAAGAAATAAACTGTAAATCATGGTTTTATTGAACTTGAGTTCAGCGGTGTCTCTCATGGTGTCTTATGGTAATTACTGAATTTATGAAGATACTAAAAAAGGCTATGTCATTTATTTTCTGATGAAGTTTATAGAAAATCAATCCAATTGATAGTTTGTAATTATGCAGAATGCTAATGCTAAATGGGTATATAGAAAATTAACTGTTTCTTCCTAAGATACTCAAGTGTTAATTTTTTTCCCCTAGACTGTCAGGCCTATGAGTAAATACTAAATCTATTAGCTGTCTCCACTCATAAACCAAACCAAACCAATACAAAGATATTAAATGAGGAGAGGAAATGTAGTAAAAATACTGTCTGGGTCTTATGGTTGGGATGAGTGATTTTATAACATATTATGGTGATAATTTTATTCTAGGATTTTATTTTTGGCCTAATATAGGAATGTTTAAAAAAGGCTTTTCTATGAAAATTATAAATTTATACTTGAGATTAAAGTCTAGAAGGGGGAGGACCTTAAAGCTAAGTTACCAGTAAGACAATGAATAATTCAGAAGAGAACACTACTCTTTTACTGACTGAGTGCCCAAGATGCCAATTTCCATGAAGTCTTGATTTATATAGTAAACGTTATGCACATATATGTGTGTGTTTTCTAACAGTTATTTTTTAAGCTTTAGAGATAATTTTAGACTTTCAGAAGAGTTGTAAAAATAGTAGAGTTCTTGTATACTCTGCACCCACCTTGCCCTTATGTTGACATCTTACATAACAATAGAACATTTGTCAAAATTAAGAAATTAACCTTGATATAATACTAACTAAAGTAGAAAGTTTAAAAAGTAGAGATTTTAGTCTTTTCACTAACGTCCTTTTACTATTCGAAGACCCAGCTTTGCATTTAGCTGTCATGTCTATGTTGTGTCTTCCAGCCTGTGATGTGTATCATAACAGGGGATACCTGATGTTGTAATGTATTTCTGGTGTTGTTAACTTTGATCACTGTGCTAAGGTGGTGTCTGCTAGGATTCGCTACTGTAAACTTACTGTGTTTTCCTTGTAATTATTGAATATTTGCTGGAGATACCCTGAGACTATGCAAATGTCCCATTTCTGCTTAAACTTTTGCTCATTTTACTATCCATTGGCAGATCTTGCTTGTGGCAATTACTACTGTGGTGTTCTAATGGTGATATTCTGTTTCTCTCAATCCTTCTACATTTATTATTGGAATTCTTCTGTAAGGAAGAGTTGTCACGTCTGGATTTATATTTTTAACTATAATAAGATATTCAGGATAAGTATAGATTTAGAACTTAAAGATGTTAAATCATGTTAAAATTATTCCAAATACCATATCAAAGAAAACTAAGTTGGTAATCTATCTCAGAAAATATATGTACTTAAGAAGGGAAATAGTTTTTATGATTTGTAGAATTGATTCAACTTTTTACTTAATATTGACTTTGGACTGAATTCAAAGTTTTCTTGAAATTCTACATCTGGACTTTTTAAAGTGTCTAGATTTATATTACTTTGGGGATCATTTTGTCAAAGTCTTGAATAAAGTTACCCAGTCCTGGCATGATAAATTTAAAAAAAAAGAAAAATAATTTAATAAAAAAGAATGAGACATGATTGTGTGTAATTATAGTTGCCCATTGAACATTTAAAGTTTAAAATGATTATCAAGAGAGGGCTAATTCAGGAGTCAACAAAGATTGGTCTAATATAGAAGTGCAGAAAGGAATAAGCTTCATAAAGTTCTATAACGGATGTGCTGTAATGGATGCTATTTACCTAGTATACTAGCATACCTTTGTACTACCTGGTCATCTCTATTATTGATTCTGAAGCATCATTATTGTTACTAGAGTGTGATCCCCTCCAGGAAAATTTATATAAGTGGCCATAGGAGTAGAAATGAAATCTTATCCAAAAGAACTAAAATTCAATGCAGAAAATAGATATTTATTAGCATCTAACTTCTGTTTTTTCATGGATTTATCAGCCATCAGCTTGATGCTTTATACTTAGAAACAATTACTTAATAAAAAGCATGTCAAGAAGGGAGTCACTCCTGCTTTTTGTTTGGTATGAATGTTATATGTGACTACTTCTGCATGTTCACTTCATATCTCTTATTTTGTATTTAAAAATTTCTGTTTGAGGTTTTAGAAGCAGATTTTAGAGGCAATGAGAAATGAGAAAACAAAGTGAAGCCTCCTCTTATCTCTGTCCCCTTCCACTCTGTCCAGTCCCATCCATGGCATGCATCCTAATTTATGCTAAAGAAAAAGTGTTAGTTTTAAGTACACGCTTCTGAAATAACTGAGGTCCTCAGTTTACCTTGGTGAAAATAATTCTACATGCTCAGGAGATAAGAGATATTATATGCTCTCTAAAACATTTTCAGTAGTAAGATGTAGAATGAGAGAAGTAAAATAATTCCATTTGAAAATACTCGTTTCAAGTTATAGTCTTTAAGACAGTGTCCGCATTAATAGTATCTTGGCATTTCCTGTTGCCTATTTCCTCAGCCAAAAAATTAATGTTGAGAGTTTAAAAAAAGACATGGTTAAAGTATAAAAATACACAGAACAAATTTATGTATTTATAGGTTATCACAAATTTTATAAAGAAAAATTAGGTAAAGCTGAAAAATATGCTTACCATTTGAGGAGAAAATATTACTTCATCATGTAGGCACTGTGATGGCCACTGAAGAAACATTTTCTGGTACATGTTATACATCCCAAATAAGAGTTCATTTTTCTCATAGTAAACAAAATATCTGCATTTATAAACACAAGGACATGATATTTATACCTTGTATATAATAATAGAGCAGTTTCCACAAAAAATAGGATAAATATTTGTTTGGTTTGTTTTTATGTTTATTAGGTAAACTTTCTTTTAACAAATCTTTGTCTTTATCTCATCAAGATCAGAAATCTTTCTAAACGTGATCTGTAGATTTTATTTATGTATATAAATTACCCTCCATACTTTGAACTAATGTGATCAATGAAAAACTTAAAAAATTAAAAGTTTGAAATAATAACCATAAATATATTAAATATACTGAAAAATTGATTCAGTGTTAAGAGTTAAAAGCATAATGTTTAAAATTTAATTATTGAAAGAATCTACAGAATTGGTTTTTCAAATTGCAGGCTTTTTAAAGACAGGATCATTATCAAAATTCTAGAAATTATCAAAAACCAACAGCAAAAAGTAAATTAAATAGTCCTTCTCGCTTAGACTTAATTGGCTTACAGGTGTCTTTCATATGATCTACATGTCTGACTTTGCCTTATTTACTTGTAAGCTCTTTATATACTGATAGGGCTCTCTGTCTTAGAAAGCTTGATAAATGCAGAGACCTTATCTATCCTATAACTTGCTTTACTTCCAACATCCAGAAAAATATCAGTGTTATTTCCTCCACAGTCTATGGTCTGAACAACTACACAAATTATACAAAACCCTTCAATGGCTTGCTATCTCATTTAGGATATAAACTCTAACCCTTAGCACCACCTCCATGGCCTTACCTGTTTTTGCTTCTACCTTTCTTTTAATCTTACCCTCTCCAGTTCCCCACAGGCACACTGAGCCAAGACACACCAGCACTGTACTCAGCAGAAATGCACTGAGTGTAACATTCTTAAGTTCTTGCTGTTTCCACTCTTCCTGGAGTGCTGTACTCCAGACATCCCCATGACTAGAACTTCTCTTTGACTCAGGCCTCCACACCAACACCATCTTATCAGAGGGGCATTACCTACCACCTCATCTAAAAGCACAATTCCCCCTGCTCACTGTGCAATGTTTCCTCACCCTGTCTTATTGTACTTCTTGATGGTTATGTCCAACAGACATTTACATGTTTAGTTAATTGTTCTTTTATTTTTGGACCCTATCTTCTGTTTGAGATTTTATTCATTTCAAACTCTGTAGGTCATGAGAGAGCATATCACAGGCATTCAAATAAATGTTTGTTAAAAGAAGAAATAAATGACTGGATAATTATCAGAAGAGCTCCTCAAAGAAACACACTAGTAGTCCCGAGAGTTCTCCAGGTGTCTTCTCAAGAGAATATTCTATTATCTTCTGCTTGGCTAACTGCTGCTTCAGACTATGAGATTAGTAACACATTAATATCAGAAAGCAGACTCCCATCCAAAAGTGAGGCAATAACAAATGCTCTCAAGGATATGGGGGAAAGGGAACCCTCATACACTGCTGGTAGGAATGTAAATTAGTGCAACCACTACAGTGAACAGTTTGGAGGCTCCTCAAAAATCTTTAAAAAAAGAACTATAATATGATCCAGCAATCCCATTGCTGGGTATGTATCTCCCAAAGAAAGGAAATCAGTAGATTGAAGAGATATCTGCCCTCTTATGTTTGTTGCAGCACTGTTCACAATAACTAAGATTGGGAAGCAACCTAAGTGTCCATTAACAGGTGAATGGAAAAAGAAAATGTATTTATACACAATGGATTACTATTCAGCCAAAGGGGGAAAAAAAAAGAAGAACGAGATTTTTTCATTTGCAAAAACATGGATGGAACTGAAGGTCATTATTTAAGTGGAATAAGCCAGGCATGAAATGACAACCATTGAATGTTCTTGCTTATTTGTGGGATCTAAAAACCAAGACAATTGAACTCATGGAGATAGAGAATAGAAGGATGACTACCAGAGTCTGGGAAGGGTCGTGGGGCATGGGGGAGGGAGGTGGGATGGTTAATTAATACAAAAAATAGTTATGAAGAATGAATAAGTCCTAGTATTTGACAGCACAACAGGCAGATTATAGTCAATACTAATTTAATTGTACATTTAAAACTAAGATAGTATAACTGGATTGTTTCTAACAAAAAGAATAAACACTTGAGGGGATGGATACCCGATTGTCAGTAATGTGATTATGCATTGTGGTTACATACCTGTAGCAAAATATCTCATGTACCTCATAAATATATACACCTATTATGTGCCCACTAAAATTTAAAAAAAATGAGAAGAAGAAAGAGGACTCCCATTGCTACTTCAATCACTCCTACCTCTTTTTAAGCATGGCAATAGAACAGAGGTTAGATTTTGGCATTTGACATTAGTTTACTGAAGGTTGAATAAAATCAACAGGACATAAAATACACAGGAGACTGCTGAATTTGACTATAGTTAGAATATGAATTAGTTGAATATGGTTGTTTGTTTGTTTGTTTTGAGATGGAGTCTCTTGCTCTGTCACCCATGCTGGAGTGCAGTGGCGCAATCTCGGCTCAGTGCAACCCTCTGCCTCCTGGGTTCAAGTGATACTGGCACCTCATCCTCCCAAGTAGCTGGGATAATATTGTTTTTATTATTATACATTCTTTTACTATTATCCCTGAGACTATCTGTTATATTTACCATTTACTAGTGTCTATAAATTCATAATTGTACCACTTCATGAACAATGCTAGAATCTTACAATATTTTGGCTCTACTTGCCACCCTGTGCTATTCATGTCAAGTACTTAAATGTTACATATATATTCTACCCCACAAAGAATTATGATTTGTACTTTAAATAGGAATTTATTTACATTTACATTAATACCTTCTCTGTTGTGCTTTTCTTTCTTGCAACTGGGATTATTTTCCTTTAGCCTGATAAAGTTCATTTAATATTGTTATTATTCCTGATTTATTGGCAATTTTATCTCTCTCTTTCTGAAAACCACTGTATATTGCTTCTTTTGGTAAATAATATTTTTAGTGGGATAAGATTTATAGGTAGGTCATTAGTTTTCTTTGAGCAGTTTAAAGGTTATCTTTTGACTTCCTCAATTTCTGTTAAAAAGTCGACTTTTGCTCTTATTTTTTCTCTTTTGGAAAAAGTTTCCTCACCACTTGAGCTATTTTTAATATTTTTGTTATTGGATTTTAGCAGTTTTACTATGTGATGTTTTAAATGCTTATTTCCCTGAATTTGCACTACTTGACATGTAATGTTTCACAATTATTTTGCTTGAAGTCTGTATCCAAGTCTCTTTGGAATATGCAGGCTAATATTTCTTCAAAATTGCTGCATTCTCCTTTCATTTTTATTCTGAAACTCCAACTTGCATGTATATTAGATCATTTCACCTTATGTAACGTGTACTCTTTCTGTATTGTTCATCTTTTTATAATTTCTTTCTGTACTTTAAATCTGTATATTTTTTTCTGACTTCTTCCAGTTCACCAGTTTTCTCTTTTTCTGTGTTTAATCTATTGTCAAACCTATTTCTCCAATTCAAAGTTTATGTATTGTGTATTTCAGTTTAAGAATACCCACTTGATTCATTTTTACCAGTTCTAGTTTTTTGGTTAGCATTTCCATATGTACTGCTTTCTTGAACACATCAAACTTGGTTATTATAGACCATTGGAGTCTAATAACTTCAATATCTGAATCTCCTATGGTTTTACTTTTTTCAACTTACTCCTTATATTTTAATCATTCATCCCTGTTTTCTATGTGTGGTAGTACACATATTTTATTTGAATTTCAAATATTCTGTATGAGAATATGTTAAGTTGCTAAATGACTGTGTATTCCTCCAGAAAGAATTTACTTTTCTGATGCAGCTGTGCTACTGGTAGGTCATCTTAATCTAATGAAGACTTAGTTTAAGATTTTGTGAGGAATGTTCTTTCTCTGGTTTGCTCTTTCTCTTCTTTTATCAACTTTTATTTTAGAATTAGAATGTACATGTGCAGTTTTACCACAAAGGTATATATGCTGAGATTTGGAGTACAGGTGAGTCCATCGTTCAGGTAGTGAGCATATTACCCATAGGTAGTTTTTCAGCTCTTGCATCTCCTCTATCTCCCTCCCCTCTAATGATTGTTAATGTCTATTGTTCCTATCTTTACGTCCACGTGTGTCCAATGTTTAGCTCCCACTTATAAATGAGAACATGTGGTATTTGGTTAGTTTACTTAGAGTCATGGCTACCAGCTGCATCCATGTTGCTGCATGGATATGATTTTGTTCTCTTTCGTGGCTGCATAGTACTCCATGGTGTATATGTACCACATTTTCTTTATCAAATCCATCACAGATGGGTACCTGGATTGATTCCATGTGTTTGCTATTTTGAGCAGTGCTATGATGAAAATATGGGTGCATGTATCTTTTTGGTAGAACAGTGTATTTGCCTTTAGGCATATACTTAGTAATGGGATTGCTGGGTCAAATGGTAGCTCAACTCTTAGTTCTTTGAGAAATATCCTAACTCTTTTCCATAGGGACTCGACTAATTTACATTACCATCAACAATGTATAAGCTAAGTCCTCAAAAGAAATTGCAACAAAAACAAAAATTGACAAGTGGGGCCTAATTAAGCTAACACATTTCTGTACAGCAAGAAACTATCAACAGAGTAAACAGACCACCTCCAGAATGGGAGAAAATATTTGCAAACTGTGAATCGGACAAAGGTCTAATATCCAGAATCTATAAGGAATTTAAACAAATCAACATGCAAAAATCAAATAACTCCATCAAAAAGTGGTCAAGGATATGCTTTTACTCTCAACTTAAAGACTGGAATGCTTCCTAAGACTTTTAACTTCAGGCTCTGAACTTTCATCACTAGCTCTTCAGCATCAGTAGACTATAGGAATTTCTGTTAAGACCCTTAGCACCTTGCCAGCTCCTTTCTTGTTTTTGTCTCAGGTCACAAAAAATGCAAGTTGGCAATCACATTGAGAAAATGTTTCAGGCAAAATATTGGGTTAAGACTCTATCTTATCTTGTATTTTGGCCACTTGAGTCCCAGCTGCTTTGGCACACAAAACTCTAAACACTGTCTCTTCAACCCAGCAAACCCTAAGCCACCTCTTTTTAATTGACCTCTATTTCCAGCACAGTGAATTGGAAATTGTCAGAGAGAAACATGAGTTCACTTTAATGTTTCTTTTCTCTTTTGGAATTTAGTCTCCCTTACTTCATCTTCTTCTATGTTTAGTCTATTATAAAACCTATCTCTAAAATTCTAAATGTATATATATTATATATTTCTGTTTGAGATTATCCATGTGATTCACTTTCACAAGTTCCAGTTTGCTAGCTGTATTGGTCTTCTCTTACATGTTTAAATAGTTTTTTGTTGTTGTTGCTTGGGTAGTTGGTTTTGTATTTTATTGAGATTGTATTATTTTTCTCTCCACGAGAGTTTGTTAGATACAAGACATTCTGTTATTTCCAGAGGAAATTTGGCTTTAAATAGCATTTTATATAGGTCATTAAGTCTCCAGTCCACATTTTACTAGAGAAATAACTAACTGTGGTGTAATATAGTTCTACTAAAACAGATCTCTTGAACATTTAGTCTAAACATTTCCATTCTTTTAAACTTTGACTCGTATTTTTCCAAAAAACACATATTGATATAAATTTTTATATTTGTGTTGTTAAAGAATATAATATAGTGTTTTTTTCAGGTATATAAAGTAAACAAATGTTACACAAAGAGAATAGTACATACAATTTTAAGCTGCTAGTTTTCTTAACTTATGTTTATTAGGGTCTTAAAAATTCTGGGGTTCTACTCTTATCCAAAGTACACAGGTACATATGTCTTTATCTGTACTTATAATCTATATTTTTTCTTCTACTTTTATTAATGCAATTTCTTCATAGAATTTAGTCGAGGAGCTCTGAAATGTATAGAGTCACTTCCACTCTATTTTTTCCTTACTTAAGAATGCCATCTCTTATTTTGGAACTAAGGTCAAGCTTGGGAATGTAATGCTAATCTTTAGCATGACTTTCTCTCTGCATGAATACCAAGTTGCTAGGGAGGAAAAATATCAAAGCAACAAAGCAGGTCTATGGTATTAGATATGAAAGGAAAATCCTCTTGCCAGACTCCCTAGAAAATCAGACACCATGTCAGGATTAACTTGATACCTGATAAGAGAGAAAGTTATTGAAGTGAGTTTCTCACATAAGTTTTTATCATCTTCTGATTTCATTTTTTTCTCCTAGAATAAAAGAATTGAATTTCAGCTAAATAATACTTCTTGACCTTCAGAGAAAATATGAATCAAAGCAAATAAATATTAGTTAAAATGGTGGAAGAAATACTGATAATGATTAATATCTAGCTTTATAATCATGTTGCCTAAATTGTAATCCTAAGTTTGCAACCTCTATCTTTAGTATTTTTTCAACCTTTCCTTCTAAGCCTAATATATTTCTCTGTAAAGTAGGCATAAAATAGCATCCACATACAAGGCTTTATATTATTATAGTAATATATACAAAGTCCTGAACAAAATGTCTACCATGTAAGAAGCCCTCAATGAATGTTCAATGCCATTTTCATTACCTACCCCATGCCTAGTATAATAAAAATAACCTAGTCTCAAAAAATTAAAGGTAACTCTTGAGGATGCAGACTCTTCATTCTATTTCCCAATTACAAATGTTTCATTAAATTTAATTTACATTTTTCCTCAATCTCTTTTAAAAAAAACCAAGCCAATAGAAGTAACATTTGATTTTGATTAAGGATGCAATCTATTAAAACTCTGTTTGCTCCTTGCTGATGCATTGATCATAATTATCTTGTCATATGTCACTAAAGGCAGTGACAAGGTGGTAATGAAGCTTTGCAAGTTTAAAATAAAATCTTTCTTATTATTAAGCCTGTGAATTCTGGAGCTTTTAGTCAAGTGTGAAAAATACTCTTAACAATAATTGAAACAAATAAAATCTAACATGAAAAACTTGAAAATCACAGCACTTTGCTTTGGAAGTCACGGTGTTATTTATGTAGGTATTAATAATGCCTTTTCATACCCAGTACAAAGCACAGCATATGGTACTCACTAAATGCTTAATTGTCGAATTTAAATTAAAACAGATTTCAAGCAGGTGAAGCTGAGACATGGGTGACAATACAAGAGATCTAAATCAGAGGTTCCAGATTATGTGTCCATTTACACAAGCTGACAGTTCTAAGCAGGTTTCAATTGCAGGGTGGTCAGTTAGAGTAAACAGCTATGCTGGTAAGAAAGTTCAGTAGGCAGCAAGAGTGGCACTTATTTAAAAAAAATCAGATTATTTACTCTCTGCCCTTATTTTGTATTATTGATGGAGATAGGAAATTCTAGATCCACTGTTATTGAATTTATATGAAAAAACACATGTCTGAAGATTAATGCCCATTTGAATTGAGTCATAAGCAAGAGGCTACTATTTTATTACCTCACATATTGAGGTTTGCCTATTAAGTGTTTTCAATTAGTTTTCAAATAGAACTGGATACCAATTATTACTCGCATATGTATATATTTAATTCTGAGGTTTCTAATAATGAATTGTTCAATGTTAGTTTCATATGGAACAGAGAATTTGGTAAACGGAATCACACATTAAAATTCAGTTCAGAATATAGAGAAAAGTGATACATTTGCGGAAAATACATATCTGTGTCTAAATAAGTTATGGTGGAACAATAATCCAAGTTAGTTAATTAACAGCATTGACTAAAAACTAAGCTTCCCATGGAAAATAACTCTCTATTATATAGACTTTATATATTTATCTTACTCAGCTAAAGTTTCCTATAATTCTTCCCAAAACCTTTATTTGGTGACTAAACTGTGGTTACCACAGCGATTTAATGATAAATTCATCAGATAACTCTACATATAATTATTATATTATGGTATGAAAAATAATATTACAAAATGAATTAATGTAGTTGATAACATGGATACTTCTAAATCCCTATGTGATTATTAGGATCACTAAAGGAAATTTTATGAGATGCAGATACTGGGGACACACTCAAAATATTCAGAATTTATTATAATTTGTCTTGGGACAAGCATCAATATTTTCTTTTAAAGCTCCCCAATATGTCCCCTGGTAGAGACCTACTGATTTGATTGATGGAGGTCAGTAAATGCAACAACAAAAGTATAGAAAGTAAATTTAAAATTTGTTAAGTAAGGAGAGAAAAAAATAAATTATTATAATAAACCCATGGATATGTAGAGTTAAGAACTCCTTAATTGGAAGGAGAAAGTCTATTCTATCCAGCAGAGAGAGATAATTATTCCTGGTTAAATCTCTCAAAAAATCTCTATGGTTTATTTTTGTTTTCTTTTGATATGTGGCTTAATAATGCATTTGGACATATGAAGAATTTTTTTTTCTGCTGACAAGAGTAGGAATTATAGATTTAGGTTAGAAGAATGAGTTCAGTCAACTGTGGGAAACAAAATACAATATGTATATTTAAGAACTTTAAAATTATAATCAACGAATGTATGTATAGGAGATTAAATGATATTTATATAATAATATATAATGATATAATTATTTATATAATAATTAAATGATATCTTTTCTGGTTCTTTGTAACTATATTAGTCAATAAAAATAAAATATAATAAAATGTCAACAAATATAATTTTCTCCAATATTTTAAAAACAGATTGATACTAAATAAACAAAATTAATTAAACTTTTACATCTGTTCATCATATTAGACATCCCTTTTACTCTTGTACTCCTGCACTCTTTTGCTGTTTTCTTAAACATGATTTTAAAAATAATAGTATTTTAATTAATAAAAAAAATAGAAAAGCAGGTATACAACATAAGAGAAAGGCTATTTTCCCTTAGCTGACACAAATATAAAATATTTTAGTATAAGGCATGTTACTTGCTGCCTGATTTTTTCAAATGTTTTCAAGTCCTTTGAGAGAAATAAAATTATTTAAGTGAATGAAATAAATGATATAACAAATTTCTTTCTTTCTTTCTTTCTTTCTTTCTTTCTTTCCTTCTTTCTTTCCTTTCTTTCTTTCTTTCTCTTTCTTTCTTTCTTCTTTTTTTTTTTTTTCCAAGATGGAGTCTCGCTCTGTCACCACGCTGGAGTGCAGTGGTGCAATCTCGGCTCACTGCAACCTCCGCCTCCTGGGTTCAAGTGATTCTCCTGCCTCAGCCTCCTGAGTAGCTGGGATTAAAGGTGCACGCCATGATGCCCAGCTAATTTTTTGTATTTTTTTTTTTTTTAGTAGAAACAGGGTTTCATCATGTTGGCCAGGATGGTCTCGATATCTTGACCTTGTGATCTGTCCACCTTGGCCTCCCAAAGTGCTGGGATTACAAGCGTGAGCCACCGATATAACAAATTTCAAATTCAAACTAAAATTTCAGAAAATGCCTTCTTACATTTGTGTTTTGTCTTCATTTGAGTGAATTAAAGAATTTTGAAACATCAAAGTATTTAAAAAATATTTATCTTTAAAACATTGTTCTCAGTTTCCAGACAGTGTTGGGAAAAAGGAAGACCTTCAACAAATTTGAGACTTGAGAGAATCCAGTGTTTTAAAGTCCACTGGTTGTGTCAGTCAATAAAATTGAGATGATAATCAAGGCAACAATCTGAGATTAATGACTTCCACAAGTATGAGGTGTGTTTTAGAACTAGGAAGCATTTTAAACATTATTAAAAGTGAGAAAGACACACAGTCATATGCCACATGTAATGTGCAAACTAAATATGTTGATCAAGAAGAATATAATGCATTTATTTTTCACCTATTAAGGATACAAAACTTTCAAAAATGCCGTCTCTGAAATTTGTGTAATTCTCATTCCAAATACAAGACAGCCCAAGTTTATATAGCTGATAATTAGTGTAGCTGATGAAGCTAAGACTGATATCTAAAAGTAACTAAAGAATCTGTTTATCTCACAGGTTCTGGAGATTAGGATGTGGACATCTTTGCGATGACTATTTTATAGCCTAACATAGCTTTGTTTGGGTAACAGAGACTTACTCAGGTTACCTCCCCTCGAAAATTGGGGAAAAACTTAAAGATAGGTGTCAATTGATAAGATAAAAGGTCTAAGAAAAGCAAGAATCTCAGTCACACAAGAATGCAGAATTAGACTGATGAAAAAGCAGGAATCATAGCACAGCTTCACTTCAAGATACTGGAATTGGATATGGATATTCTTTTCAAACCCAAGGCAGCTCTGAAGAACCTCAGCATATGAAGTTTGTAGAACTCTACTTTAGACTCTGCAATAATGTCACTTCCAAATTGCCTTTGTGTTTTTATGTATACTCCCTATTCACATACTAACTTCTTTTTTACGCTAATACTGCATGCATTTCATGGTTCATGATTATCCAAAACTTTGAATTTTTATTATTTTAACGGATATGCCAATAATAATTTTTTTTTGCCAGTGACTCTCACCATTAACCCTAAGCTTTTGCTCATGTTATGACCTACCCAATTCATTCCAGCTTTCTTGGCACATTTTTTCTTAGTGTCATTCATAAGAACTCTTTTGTTAGAACTGCCAAGAATTACTATTAAAGATACAGCTTCCTGAATCTAGCAACCAGAATCAGAGGACAGGGGTGGGCCTGGGATCTGACTTTTAAGCAAGCTTCCCAAATAATTCCTATACCCAGCAAAAATTGAGAAAACATATGCCTGAGATTCACCTGGCTATTCCTCTTATACTTGTTTAAGCAAAATTTGTTTTTCACAAATTGGCCAAAAATTGAGTGTCTGCCAAGTTTCTTTATTTACTGTCCTTAAATCAGTAAGGGACTGAATCAATATGCTTTTCTAGCAAATTGTTTTAAAAGTAAATTTATTGGAAATTTTATTCACTTATTGTCTATTAATCTATCCATCTATATTTCTATATCCCACTATGTGTCACTTTCTGTTCCCAATTTTGGGAAAACTTCAAGGAAAAACATAATGTTGTGAAATGGTAAATAAGTTATAATAGTAGGTAAGAGCTATGATACCACTGAGGATAAATGATCATGGCAGTAGAAATACCCTATACCAACTTTCTTTGAGTGGGAAAGTTAATGAAAAATAGCACTTTTGAGTCCAGGTAATGGATTCCTAATTCTGTCCAGCCCAGCCTTCTCAGATTTAGTCCCAAAGAACACTAGTGTATGAGTAAATTCAGGGAGCCGTAATATTGAGAGACTTGGCCAATTTGGGCCTGGGACATGCCTTTCTGCATGTTATATTAGGGAAGAGGTCATTGGCCTCAGCCAAGAGGCGATGACCATGCCTGGAGCAGGAGCCAAAGTCCTAGCCAAGTAGGGTAAGAGCTATCAGACATAGAGTTGTGCTGTGGTAACAGTGGGGAAAGTAACGGTGTCCAACTTTGGGATGTATGGGTTTCAACTGTGACACAAGGCTGTGGCTATGTTGGCATATATGATTTATGATAACATAATATATATAATATATATTATATCCATATATAAATATGTACATTTGTGTATAGATACATATTTTTCCAAATGAATATGAAACACACAGTAAATAGTCGCAGAGTGAAGTAAAAGGTATTCATTCAACCTAATTTTATTGATTTTCTCCTGAAATTTAAAAAATTTCCAATAAACTTTTTATTCTCAGTTTTGTACATGACACCTGATGATATGTGTCCATCAAATCAGAATGTACCTGATATATAAGCATTAATTTCCATGTTAAAGTTAAATTATACACTTAAAAAGAACAAAATAACTTTGGGAAAAGCAACCCTAGAACACAAACTTCACTAATTCAGATAATCCTCTTCATTCCTAAAAGAATATAGGTAGTAAGTCCAAAGCTTGTTTTACTTTCTACATTTCTAATATTTTAAGTGGGCACATGTGAGAAATGGAATATAGTTTTTACTATTCATTATCTAATCATTAATATTCATGAGTGAATTAGTAAAGAATTCAAATATAACAATAATAAAAATTATTGTTTCTTAAAAATTGCCTTTTGCAGGAAAGATTCTCATTAGTTTTGTTCCTCTAGTCAACAAATTATTCCACTTTAGTAGAAATGAATATGCTGTTAATATTTGATGTTTGTTGGAAACTTGTAGCTCAGTTTCATCTAAGGTATTATCATTTCAGAGAACTGAAAAAAATAGATGTCTTAGTCTGTTTTTTGTTGCTATAACAGAATACCACAGTCTGGATAATTTGTAAAGAAAAGAAATGTATTTCTCAGAGTTCTGGAGGCTGGAAATCCTATATCCAGTTGCTGGCATCTGGTGAGGGCCTTCTTGCTGCATTGTCCCATGGCAGAAGGTATAACATGAGGAGAAAATACCCAAGAGAGGGAAGAAGGGGCAAGACTCATCCTTTTATAAGCGACTCAGTCTGGAGGTAACTAACCCACTACTAAAATTAAGGCATTAATTTATTTATTAGGTCAAGCCTTATCACCTGCTTACATCTTAAGAGTCCTATCTCTCAACACTGTTGCATTAGGGATTAAGTTTCCATCAAACAAATGTTGGAGAACACTTTCAAACCATAGCAATAATCTATACAGATTCTGGGATTCAGAATTGTGATTATAATTTCTATCATGGCACTATGTCCAATAAATCCTTAAAAAATTTCATAATTTCAAAAAGTAGTTTGAATCTTAAACTAAAATTGTTATATGTAAATTTGCATGTTTATTATATTAAAAATACTTTATGACTCCTCATTAACGAATCATAAAATGATTATTAATGACAGATGTTTTAGCTCTTCACGAGATTTTATGTCCAATTAAATATTACAGGTCCATACAAAATGTAAAATGGCAAAGTTAGTATTGTAAAAAAAGTTTATCTTTATGAGAAAAAAATCTGATTATTAATACACATTAATGAACTACTCATCAAGAACAGCAAAGGAAAATGAAAACAATACTCTGGTGCTTACATTCTTATAAATGGGAAACATTAATCTATAAGTATTAAATGTCTTCCGTGAAACATGTAAAATCACATAGCTATCTGCAATTCTAAAATATAAAAGTTCTGAAAACTGAAAGATTTTTGTAAATATGCAACACTCAGTTGGCATGCTTTCTATGCTGAGGTGAGATATTTATATTGGTATTTTAAATATTGATAAAACTCAATATCAACACATTTTAGAGTAACTTTTCATGTTTTGCTGCAGGAATAGTAATGTGTTGATTATAGACTGATACTTCAGACTCTTCAGGGTGTTTATGCAATATTTGGCATACACATACTTAAATATTTTAAAAAGTTGAGGAATTCTGAATTATGAATCACAACTGGCTGCAATAGTTTGTGGATTTGTAGTAGGAATTATACAATTAAATAATCTGCAACACATAACCACAACTGTAATAAACAATACATTTGTAATTGTTATTATAGTATTTTTAAATTCCATTGAAATAGTGAAAAAATATTCCTCAAACAAGTACTATTAAGTCCCAACAACAAGAGCATGACCCACATAATTCAATAAATTGCTGGATTGTTTGCCAAAGATTTCCAATTCCAGCAGAAAATTCAATGTGTGTGGGTTTGTGTGTTTATTCACCAGGATTATTAAAATGGTGAGGCAGATGAAAATATACAAAGTATTGTGGATAAAAGACAATTTGGAGGAAGTAGATAAAGACAAGCACAAAGTAAAATAACTTGCTTAACTATTCACATTATATTGGATAGAAAATTTGAGACAGAAAATGAATACTACAAAATGAAAGTGGCTTTGCATATGAACAGGAGAAAAAAATGAAGAGCTTTGTATTCACAAAACCAACTCAATTACATAAGGAAAACTCAAAATAAGAAAAAAATTGTAACTGTGATAATCACTTTTACTTAATATATCAGAGTAACTTAATATTAGGGAGAGTGGGCTTACAAGGTGGAAAAGAGCATGCTTAAGAGTCTCATTGAGGGAAAGAACTGTAGCTATTTTTAAAAATCTTATAATAATAGATCTTAATATTCTATTTTAACATTTTGTTTTATTAGAATTTAATATGTTGTTACAGATAGAGTATCAATCACATTTTATTTTTATTCTTTTTTTTTTTAATTTAAGTTCTGGGATACGTGTGCTGAACCTGCAGGTTTGTTACATAGTCATGTGCCCTGGTGGTTTGCTTCACCAATCAACCCATCATCTAGGTTTTAAGCCCCTCATGCATTAGGTATTTGTCCTAATGCTCTCCCACCCCTTGCCCCCTAACACCCGACAGACCCTGGTGTGTGATGTTCCCTTCCCTGTGTCCATGTGTTCTCATTGTTCAACTCCCACTTATGAGTGAGAACATGAGGTGTTTGGTTTTTCTGTTTCAGTGTTAGTTTTCTAGAATGATGGTTCCATCTTCACCCATGTCCCTGCAAAGGACATGAACCCATTCTTTTTTATGGCTGCATAGTATTCCATGCAGCCATGGAATGTGCCACATTTTCTTTATCCAGTCTATCATTTATGGGCATTAGGATTGGTTCCAAGTCTTTGCTATTGTAAAAAGTGCTGCAATAGAGATATGTGTGCATGTGTCTTTATAGTAGAATGATTTATAATCCTTTGGGTACATACCCAGTAATGGGATTTTTAGGTCAAATGGTATTTCTGGTTCTAGATCCTTGACGAATCACCACACTGTCTTCCACAATGGTTGAACTAATTTACACTTTCACCAATAGTGTAAAAGTGTTCATATTTCTCTGCATCCTCACCATTATCTGTTGTTTCCAGACTTTTTAATGATGGCCATTCTAACTGACATGAGATGGTATCTCATTGTGGTTTTGATTTGCATTTCTCTAATAACTAGTGATGATGACCTTTTTTTCATGTGTGTTGGCCTCATAAATGTCTTCTTTTAAGAAGTGTCTATTCATATCCTTCACCCACTTTTTGATGGTGTTTCTTTTTCTTGTACATTTGTTTAAGTTCCTTGTAGATTCTGGATATTAGACCTCTGTCAAACAGATAGATTGCAAAAATTTTTCTCCTATTCTGTAGGTTGCCTGTTCACTCTGATGACAGTTTCTTTTGCTGAGCAGAAGCGCTTTAATTTAATTAGATACCATTTGTCAATACAATAATACAAACTACCATCAGAGAATACTATAAACACCTCTGTGCAATTAAAATAGAAAATCTAGAGGAAATGGATAAATTCCTGGACACATACACCCTTCCAAGACTAAACCAGGGAGAAGTCGAATCCCTGTAGAGACCAATAACAAGTTCTACAACTGAGGGAGTAAATAATAGCCTACCAACTAAAAAAAGTCCAGAACCAGACAGATTCACAGCTGAATTCTACTGGAGGTATAAAGAGGAGCTGGTACCATTCCTTCTGAAACCATTCCAAACAATAGAAAACAAAGGACTCCTCCCTAACTCATTTTATGAGACCAGCATCATCCTGTTACCAAAACCTTGCAGAGACACAACAAAAAAAGAAAATTTCAGGCCAATAGCCTTGATGAACATCGATGCGAAAATCCTCAATAAAATACTGGCAAACTGAATCCAGCAGCACATCAAAAAGCTTATCCACCACAATCAAGTTGGCTTCATCCCTGGGATGCAAGGTTGGTTTAGCATATGCAAATCAATAAATGTAATGCATTACATAAACATAACCAGTGACAAAGACACATGATTATCTCAATAGATGCAGAAAAGACTTTCGATATAATTCAATACGCCTTCATGCTAAAGACTCTCAATAAACTAGGTACTGATGGAATGTATTTTTATTCTGTAAATGTTTTACTACCATTTAATTACAGGACAATTAAGTATTCTGAAGAAATAGTCAATAACTCATAATTTTATTTAGTTGTCAAATAGATTAGCTCTTTTCTCAGAAATTATTAATTACACTAATGGGACCATATGAACACATTTTGCTAGGTGAATGTAGGCCAATTTTATTATAGCAGGAATCATTTACAGTTGTCATAATATCCTAATTACTCAAAACTTTGATATTCTTTATTAAAAATAAATTCTTTGTCCATTCTGCTGTTGGTTTTTGAATAAATACATTACTCAAAATGTAAACAGTTCATCAGACGATCACTTTTCTAGTAACATTAATGTAAATCCTAATACATTTTTAATCCTCCAGCAAATTTTTAACTCTTACCTAAAACTGAATAAGGTTTAAAGACACCTTTACTTTACTCAGTCTTTTACATAGCCAACTATTAATGATCAATAAGTCAGTCAGTAACCTTGGTTTTATCTTGTCATTAAATAGCTTTATCACTTATATATTTTTATCCATATTGATAAGAATATGCCCCAGGTAGGTAAGTAAAATAAAAGGAACATTTTCTACTTGGGATATGATAGGAAAATTCACGTTTAAAATACATAGCTTTAGTGTCTTGGAAATACCCAATGAGGTACATGCTAGCTCCATTTTCTGACGGTGTCCCTGGATATTAGTCAGTGTCAAATCTTCTTTCAGATTAGAGCAAATTCCTTATAATTTGACTTTCTATTTTCATATTAGAGGGAAATTTACCTTTTATGATATCTGAAAAAAAAATCCTTTAAACAGCTACACTTCTGACAAGTTGACTAAAGCAGCAAGCAACACAAACTTGAAAAAAAATAACTTCTTGGGTAAATTACTACTTTAGGGTATTCTGATTATGCCAGTGAACTCTTTGGGTAAGGATGCTACAAGACCCTCTAAACTAAATCTATTCCTTTCCAACTTTCATATGCATGCAAATCACCTGGGGATCTTGCCAAAGAGAAGATGCTAATTTAGTAGGTCTGGAGTGGGACCCAGGAGTCTGTAGTTCCAATAAACTCACAGGTGATCCCAATGCCAGCCACTGGTCTGGGGGCCATAGTGGGTCCCAAGGTTCTAGAGCATTGCATCTCACACTTTGGTGTTGGCTTGTGGATACTGATATTATGCCTCTGAAAATTCTGAGGAATAATTAGTTTGTGGCAAGGCCTTGGCATTGAGATTTTTAAAGTTTCTTCAGGTAATCTAATGGACAACAAAAGGTTGAGAACCAGTACTCAAGAGTGAAGCAATAATTTAGAACATTTCACAAACTTTCGAGAAGTTCTGGTTACTGAAATTGTAAAAGTTCTACTTCAGGGCTCTGGAGGCCTGGAACTTATATACCTTTAATGGTTGCCTTGCAAACAAGAATACCTCTAAAGCCTGAGCACAGTCTTGAAATAAAAGCATGCTTTGGGCAAATAATACTTTTAATTGAGACAAATTGACCCTTAGGATCAAGCTAATAATGCCCATTGTTCCTTCTCTATCATTAGCAGACATCAGTAGGTGGATCAGCATAAAAGTAGCAAATGAATACTTTGTGTGGTAATAACTGTACTAAATCTGAATATTTCTTGAAACCATTTGCACAACTTTAATGTACCTGTGATTTAGACATCTCCTTGGAGTGCAGTTTTAAACTGTTGCTCCCTCGGTTTAGAAACCTGTATGTGGTTTATGACCCAGTTAGTTTAAATTGATTCTTTCCCTATGTACCCAATTAGCAATTATGGTTTTCAGAGCCCAAAGCGGGGAGGTGTGTGTTGATGGTAGAGAATCAAAGTCATTAAATACAAAACCACTAACAAAAACCAAATGAAAACAAAACCAACTTATCTTAGCCATCTCAGGAAAATATACTGTAAAGGTTGTTGGTTAAATTATTTTAACCATTATTTTGTTTTTATATGGCAGGTTTATCTATTCTTAAACCTTCTGTACGTGACAGTGTCAATCAACAGTGGAATGCTTAAGTCTGTCTATAATACAACTTCCTTTCTCTTTCCCTTCACTTAGCCAAGTGTTGATTCTGACATTCCCTTTCTTCAGAAGACTGGGACTTTCTCATGCTTCTCATGCTCTAAGCCCTATTTTCAGGTAAATTATAAAATTACTATTAATACATGTAAAATATGCAACCTGGGGACTGTTACAGCTTCTTGTATTACTTGAATCCAATAATTTTCAAATTTGAGCCAAACAAATTAATTTCAATGAGTATAAAATGAGGCATCATTAATAGCCATGGAAACCATCTGGCATAAAGTGAACTTTCAACATTATTGATCTCAGACTTAATCCATGCACTTAGCTGGAGCCTGTCTGTGGTCCATAACATACGGTGTTATTTGGAGGGAAAACCTGCGTATTACAATTCAGACTGAACTCTCCATTTTTCAGTCTCCTAGCATTGCTCCCTTACTCCCAATATAGAAACATATAACTGGGCAGCTGCTGTCTCAGGGTAGCTGGGGCAGATCCAAAACAAACAAACAAACAAACAAACTGAACACTAAGGGAGATGGGGCAACGGGATGTATTGGTTTGCTAGGGCTGCCATAACAAAATACCACAAACTGGTGGCTTTAGCAATAGAAATGTATTGTCTCACAGTTCTGAAGGCTAGAAATCTGAGATCAAACTTCTATCTGAAGTTGACAGGGTGTTGACAGGGTTGGCTTCTTCTGAAGAAGGAAACTTGTTGGCCTCTCTCCTGGCTTTCGGTGGCTTGCTGGCAACTTTGATGTTCCCTGGCTTGTAGTTGAATCACCCTGATCTCTGCTTGATGTTCACATGCAGCTCTCCCTGTATTTGTGTCTGTCTCCAAATTTATTTTTTGTAACAACAGTCGTTTGGGATTAGGACCTGCCCTAATGACCTCATTTTAACTTGAAGACCATTGTAAAGACTTTACTTCCAAAAAAGGTCACAACCTGAAGTACAATTTTTAAAGATTAGGGCTTCAACATATGAATTTTGGAGGGGCACAATTCAACCTGTAACAGAAGGCAAACTTTTTGGGGTCAGGTTTTGGGGGAAGCATTCAGTTATGAGAGCAAAAGAAG
This sequence comes from Homo sapiens, assembly GCF_000001405.40. Lineage (NCBI taxonomy): Eukaryota > Metazoa > Chordata > Mammalia > Primates > Hominidae > Homo > Homo sapiens. The sequence goes on from NC_000002.12 coordinate 184,269,662, forward strand.
ACTAAGAATCCAATTTTTTTGATGATAACTATATACTCCTGAACTTCTACTGGCATCTTGATCAAAAAGAGGTTTACTACTAACGCATTCATCAACCACTTTGTGCATGGTATGCCTTCCTCTAAGTGCTCTACTTCAGCAGCCCCCAAACATTTTGGCACCAGGGACTGGTTTTGTGAAAGATAATTTTTCCATGGATGGGGGTGGGGACAGGAATGGAAACCCGAAACCATTAGTTATATCCTCATAAGGAGCACACAACCTAGATTCCTCACATGCACAGTTCACAGAAGGGTTTGTGCTCTCATGAGAACATATTGGTGCCACTTATCTGACAGGAGATGGAGCTCAGGCAGTAATGATCCTGGCCCACTGCTTACCCTCTGCTGTGTGGCCTGGTTCCTCACAGACCAGGGACCACTACAGGTCCGTGGCCCAGGAGTGGTTGGGTATCCCTACTCTACTTCATCTATTTCACACAGTCATAATAGAAGCTCGTTGTAAAGAGGAGGAAACTGAGACACAGAGAAATTAAGTAATTTGCTCAGGGTCACAGAGTGGAGGAAGAGTCAAACCCAGAGTCTGATTCTAGAGGCTTCATTTTTAGCCACAGTAGGAGACTAGGTGAACTGTCTGCCTCCACAGAAAGGATATGGATCTTGATTGAGCAGTGAGTGGTTTCAAAGGTTTCCTGCTAGACATCACTGCCTGTTACCTTGTTTATTTTCTACCATTTTACAGAGACTAAATATTGAATACTAATGAAATCCTCTTTTCAGTTAAATATATATGATATAGATTTTGTCTCATTTATTTAGGGTCCGTTTAATAAAAGTGAAACTAAAGTATGAATAACCTGAAGACCTTTGCAGAAATGACAAAGTAGAATGATGCTTAAAAAGGGTTGTGTTGCATTGAATTTTTAAAAATGCATGAAATTGAGAAAAGAGAAAACAAAGATATTTAGCTTCTTTAGAGAGAATACAGGTAATTGTGAAATCAGTTAACAGGGAATTTAAACCACTTCCTTTGTAGTGAGAATGGCAGATTCAAGGCAAGAACATAATACCCAGATGGGTCTTTGTTGATTGTGGGAAGAATTATTCTCCCGGATACGCCGGCAGTATTTTCTTCCTTAATGTCTACAGTTCAGCTGGAATCACTCATGTAGAGATCAGTTAAAGGGGCCACTGAACACATGGTAAAGAGAGATTTGAAGGCATTTCATCAGAGGCAGGAAAGCTCACGACAGAATAACAGGAGAGTTTCTAATGAAAGGGAGATGGGAATTGCCTAATAATTGCCTTTCCGCAGAGTTGGCAAATGTGCCACTAGATCCCTTTGGGAATCCAGGCCTGCAAAGAAGGGAGAATATGCATCTTGGCAGGTCACAAGCCTAGGAAGAGACATAAAAAGACAAAATAGCAAAACAGCAAAATAATACAAGTAAATCCACAGAGCAATAATAGCATTACTATTTGCCGTTCTTATCCCAAGTGGTTTGTTCTTTTCTCCTCTTAAACATATTCATGATAAACATTTACGTTAGCTCCTGTATGTTGTTGCTCTATTTTTCACTTAATCAGGTCAAAGAATCTATAATAGAACCTGACTTTGTAACATTCACAGGCATGGGTGGGAAGAGGTCAGAAGCACAGTTTAGAAGAGAAAAACATATTTTAATGGATGAAGTATGGGAGTCAGGGTAGGAAACAGGTTGCTCTTAAGTAGAGAAGCAGCTAACAAAATACATACAGGAAGGTACAAGTGAGGCAGAGTTCAGGCAAATACATAAGAAGCATGTGTTTGAAAATCCTACAAGTAAAGAAAACTGCCCTGCCAAGTATCCAGGCAAACAGAAACCTGAAAATCTGCTAGAAATAAGGGAGCGAGGCAAAGCAGCAGGAGAAAACAAGAAGTTACCATTAACAGAGAAAGACCTTAATAAGTGAGCAGAGGCCTGCTTTATCCCAGAACTTACATTTGTTTCCTGTGGATCAGGAAGTAATGTACAAGAATAGCTGGGCTGAGGCTCGTGGGTGGAGAGAATTAAGAATATTACATTAGTAAAACACTTCAGAGAAACAAAAAATACCTGTTTACAGAACTTTTTTTCTTTGCAATAAATAGAACACATTTACTCTCATATATTAGGCTCCCTTAACCTTTATCCAGAAGTATGATTTGAAAAGGGGAAAAGACTATATAGTTTCAAAAGGTGATTTTAATGAAGAAGCCACATGTAAATTAAACATTAGTTTCATGGCAAACACATTCTCAACAAACAAACTGAAATGTAAGTGAGATCTCGTCATTCCATTTTGGTTGTTTTCCCTGGTGGACTCCAGAAGGGGTTTATTACTTTGGGTTGTTCTCAACCTGAAACCATCCTGTGAGGCACAGTTCAGGGTTCCCTTGGAGTCACACTCATTTTCATATATGTTATCTTCAGGCCCCAATATGTTGTTTCACTAAACTAGAAACTAGTTCATTGTAATCTGCTAACATAAGGGGGAGGAGGCAGAAACCTGATGGCAGCATAAAGGTAAAGTGCATGTGGATAATGATTCTAATAATAGAAAATTGCAAGTCATCCAGAGACTGGGAATCTGAAGTGTAGGCTTTTCATAATCTGGTATCAACATACCTCTCCAGTCCAATCGCTGGTTATTCATTTTATTAATACAACAATGACAAGTGTTCCTGAAAAAACAAAACTGACATCTTGCCCTGCTGTCACTAAGGATGGGCATATAAATCATATTCCACAGTTAGAAGAAGAGGCACTTTGTACCCTGAAATGAATAATAACTACAACAACAACAAAAATGAGGGTCACTTTGTCTTAATAAATGACACCTTCACATTTCTCGTGATTTGCTGATTCCTTCACAAAATACATTTTCCCCTGACTTTCCAATTGTTAATATCGAAAGAGAGATGATGAACTTGGTCAGTGTAATAATCACGTGAGAAAATTCCAGTTTTTCCAACATAAACTGACAAGCTGTAGATCCAGCAGTATTGAAGATGTTGTGTTTGTTGTCCTTTAAATACTACTGTATTGTTTAAAGATTACTTGACAAGTCAATTTTTTACTGTCTAGACTCTCTTGCAAATCTTTTTTCTCACTGTTTTGTTATTTCTGAGACAGACTTTCTGAATCTTACTGTTTATCCTGGACTCCCAGACCGTGAGCCACACTTTCTTACCTCTGTGTTTGGTTTACACTGTCCTATCCTTCTAAATTTCTTTTTCCTTTGCTTTTCTATCTAGCAAGTGCCTATCCCTTCTTCATGGCCCAGATTAAATCCTGCCACTTCTATAGAAGTTTCAGATTTTGCTTCATTCTAATTACTCTTTTCAATATGTTCCATACTATTTTGTTATCTTATGACTAGTTACTAATTTTGGAATCTCTACTTTCTGGGATTGTACCTGGCATTTAGTAAATATTAATAAATGCTGACTAGAGAGGATTACTGATCATATGAGAGATACTTTGGAACACTCCATCAAATTTAACATTTTGATAGTGACCTACTTTGCCTACGTATTAGTCTGCTCTTTCTCAAATATATATAATTCACATAAAATTATCACTAAAGCAAAATATACAATTGTAAAGAATACTAAATATATCAATTTTGCCTTTGCTTAACCTATAAAGTATCAGCTTTTAAAATACAGTAATATTCTAAATATTTTGTCACCTTCACTCAATTAGAGCGATTCCTGCTATTGACTGTAAGTGTCAATAATAAGAATAGTGCAATTAAATTGGGTGTGTGTGTGAGCAAGAGAGGATCTTACAAAACACTAAGGACCTGAAAAATAAATTCAGCTCTAATAGAAAACAAATTTGAAATGTATGCTTTTTATGTAAAATACGATAATGTATTCATATAAAATGAGCATTTACTGACAAGCATTCCATATTTTGCTTTGTAGTAAACACTGTGTTTCTCTTTCTACATATAAAGAAATAAAACTATTATATATTACTCACAACAATAATTCAGTGGTTAAATAATACTTCATTTTGGCTCAAGGAATCATTGAATAGTTGGACGTATGAGTGCTAGTGTCAGATTGCCTGGGTTCGAATATCAACTTTCCTACAAGTTGTATGATCCTGGTTAGGTGATTGAAATTATTTATGCTTTACTTTAACAAAATTATTTTGGGAAGAATTTAGAGAAGTGTCTGACAAAAAGAAAGCCTTCAAGTTTAGCTATTATTATTTCAATTAATAAAGAGTCACAGAATATTCACAGAGTGGTTCTCTGCTTTACTGATTGTTACATGATACATACATTCCTAATCTTTTGAATCAAAAGTCAACTCAGAAGTCTTCAGAACTGGCACAATTTGGGGCAAAATATTCCTATTTCTGAGTATTTTATTTTACTGTAATAATTTTCCAAAGCTCTCTTCATCCACTGATCATTGCAATACTCACACCTAAAATTCCAATTTTGTCTTGTGCTGTTACTTTTGCTATGGTTTTAAATAAAATTTTTTCAGATTATTAGTAGGGAATTGAATGATTTGACATTTTCTTTAATGCCTAGATTTCACTGAGCAATTATTAAGTCTAGGCAACACTGTTGATTGCATCTATAATTTAGTGCAATATAAATTATATTTAGTGCAATATAAATATAATTCAGTAGAGATTTTAGTGTTCTAAATCTCCAGATCAAGTGATGATATATGCTTAACTTTAAACTTGCTTTATAATATTCATTCAGTATCAGTTCACAAGAAGCTAAGTATGACCACTTATAATATTTGAAATTCATAATACAGAAAATAAAATATACTGACAACATATTACCTTCACAAAATGAATTGAATTATATGTCTCTCACAAAATAGCACATGCTCATCTAGAAAGCCATCAGTGTCAATGCTTTATGTTTTCCAATGTATCCTAGTTATGACTTTTTTTCCTTCTAAAGAAGTTGGAAAAAACCAACCAGAAAAAGAAATACAAACAAAAATTAGCTCAAATGAAGCTTGTGGGAGTTTAGAACAGTAAAGTGCAAAGTCATTATAAGGGCAGAACAACCACGAAAACTAAAAAGTGGTAATTTGTCCTTCTACTGATAGTCTACATAGAAACACAACTTTGGTCATATAGATTCATACTGTAATTGTGAATTGTCTGTGGTAGTATTTATTGCCATAATGCTTCAACTACAAAACAAGCCACTGATTATTGCAATGCCCATGACTAAAATTTCAATACATAGGCACCATGTATAGAAACTCCATAGACAATTTCCATGACTTCACTTTTTCTCCATAAAATATAATGCCCATGTCTTTGAACATTTTATTTATGCTCTTGGTTATTACTATTCTGTAATTTAAAAAAATAACTGTCTAAACTGTCAATATTTTATTTTAACTAGAAATGACTTTAGAAAGCTCAGGCCAGTCACCACAGGACACTTCTCTGTCACATTTCCCCCCAGAGCTTGTTAATTTATTATATTAATAAGTTTGGTTTCACGATTATAAGCAAACATTTTTTCTGTCTTGAGAAAATATGGAAAATACACCTGGAGTAATAATTAGTAACTAAAATTAAAATCTTCTTTACTAAATATAAATTTAATTAGAAATTTTCTAATATACTTTTAACCTCAAAAATTTAAACTGAAAGCTATAGTTAAGAAAAGTTCTACTAATTCTACACCTATCTTAATCTCAATCATTAAGATGAAGGGCTGGCTTATGAGGCACAATAGATAACTTCCTGTAAAGATATTTTCCCACCCTGATGCCACATTTTCTGAAATTCCACCACAGAGATTTACTTCACCTGAAAATCGTCATTAATAATTACAAGCCGTTCTTTTATTTTTAGTCAAATTAACTCACGAACAAATACAGAAGACCTCACAGAGAAAAGCAACTGTTCCCCAATCCATACCACAGCACCACTGCACAGAGGCTACCACTTTTTGAAAACTTGCAATTGTAATTTTTTATTTCTATACCTTATGATAATTTTATATTTGAATTTTTATTTTGTTCTCAGAATTCTTACTAAGTAACATGAGGTTATAGTTTACTTGTACCTTCTCTCTGCTTCCAATTATTAGTGATAACAGCCCTAGCAGTTTTTCCATATATGGTCCTTGAAACTTTAAATAATGAATATAATATCTATTTTATAGTTCAACTATTTTTCTGTACTTTTAGAATTTAAATTTTGTAAGATTTGAAAATTAACATACTTAAATTCCTTCTACCTCTGCTCTTCACATTCGCATCACATTGTAAAGGAAAGATATACCTTTACTGTTATACTTTCAAGGTAGACAAGTCTATAGCTCCTATTTGTTTTAGGGGACGTTGTCTATATATTGAACCTAAATGTTGGAAATCAAATATCATAGTTTACATTTTATGACCATATAAATATATTTCAATTTATTTTTAGTCTGAAGGCAATGGCCTGAAAAAGCATTTCTAAAGTTCTATTCAAGCTCGATTCTGATGAAACAAAACCTCTCAGAAAATCTGCCATGATCATGAGGATGCATACTGAAAGAACATGTGGTATATAGACCAGCTCTGCTGCAATATGAGGAACAGATGCTGGCAAGCTCTTATCCTGACAAAAAGAGGGTCAAACTTCAGGGATTAGTCATGTAAAGATGAAGGTTTCATGCTTCTCAGGGAACACTTGACTGCAGGTATTTATTGTGTGTGATCCTAGCAGGTCACATTGGGTAACTTGGTGCTAAAAGATGTTCATGAAGGTCATACGGGTTTCCTAGGTGCGTCCCTATTCCTGAGGCTAAGAGAGTGCTAACACCTTTAAATGGAAAGTTCTGGGAGCAGCCAGGCTTCTTCCTAGGAGCTCAACTGTTGCTTCTAGTACTTCCATAGATTTTAGGAGAATGGACTGCTCTGCTTCCTACTACTCAGACTCCTAGAATGACCAGAAATATGAGTATCCAAAGAAAATGAAGATCTCCTTAGGGGATCCAGTAGAACAGTCAGCTCTAAGTGAAATAAAATTCCTGGAGTGGACAAAAGACAATAAACAAATAATAAAATATAATGACAGAATACAAAGGAGATTCAATTAAAGATTAATACTGTGGAAATAAAGCATAGATTTTTGGTTAAAGATTTAATATGCAAACCTAAAAACAAAATAGCAACTTGCAAATGAAGTGAAAAAAATAATCTCACAACACAAAATATAAGGTAATGGAAAAATGAAAACTTTTCAGATAGATTCAGTATATCAAATATGCAAATTTCAAAAGTGTAAATAGTTGATCTTTTATTGGAGCAAAAGAAACAGATGAGGCATAGGGTCTAACAAAATAAACTGATATAAAACTTTATTTCACTTGCTGAAACTTTCAAGTCTAGAAGTAAAAACACTGAAAATTCCTTATAAAATTGATGTTATCAGTACACTCTCCTAGACCCAGACTACTATATATTATAGTAGTGATGATTATAAAATATATACAAAATAGCTAGAATATATGATTTCCAACTAATGAAGGAAATAAAGTAAACCATATCACAGTTCTCATCATCTATATTGAAAGCTATGAGGCAGTGGAATATGTATAGAATACAAAAGGGAAAATAATTATGGATGAAAAATATTACATGCAGCAAAGATAGCATTCTTCTGTCACAGCAAAAGAAAGATGGTTTTGAGATATTAAAGGATTTTGGATATCCATCACTAACACATGCCATCTGAGTAATTTAGAAACTACCCATCCCAGAATGGGATTCCTGCGAAGCAGACTTTGAGATGTAGATTTACCTGTGAGAAAAGTATTGGTGAATATTTTCAGAACCTGTGCATTGTGAAGGAAGCAGGATTGGCAAAGGATGAGGTTGAATTGTAATGCTTTTGTAATATAGGCTTCCACTATTTGATTCATATTTTTTACATATTGGGGAATAGCACCATATAAAGTTCTTTAAAATGTGTACTATTATGTCCTAGAGAATGATGTTTAATTGACTCGCTTCAAAATTAGGTTACATCACTTTATCAGACCACTTATGAGTGGTACCATATATATGATATAAAAGTGGATTCTGTGATCCTGGGGCCTCACCTCCACCTCCTTTGTGGTAAAGTAGGTTCCATATCTTATTCAATTATATCTACATTCCTACATTAAACATTCTTAAGCCCTCCAAGGTGCTGGTGAAAGTTGATATATTATTTAAAGATTTTTCACACTTTGTATCAATTTTCCTGCATCCACTCATATCATTAGCCCAAGTTTGCTTAACCTTAATCTTCCAGTCTTTCTCTTTTCAGGTCCCTGACCAAGCCTTTGGTCAAGAGTGTGTATATATTCTAACCACTTCTATTTTCATACAAGATTGGTCCCCAAGTAAAATGCCCAAATTCTATCCATTAGGAGAATTTTCCCTTACCATTCTCTTTCAAGCCCACCCTTGAGTGGGAATATGTGGCAGCTATATTCCCGTAAAACTAGCATACATTTTTGGCTTGCACCACTTACGGAGTCAACTTATCTGTGAACTAAGCTTTAGGTGTTCCTCTTCTGTCATCTGGTCATACATGATTTTATGTATGGCCATAGCTGTGACATGAGAGAGAAAAATTTTGGTGCAAGCTTGGTGGAGGACATGAGGTTCTGGGCTGCGAGTTTTTGGAACTTGCTTGCTCTCTCCAATCCTCCTTCTGCGAAATTAAAGATGTACCATTTATACCTGACAATGGATTATTATCTGTACTACTTATATCATGGGTTTGACAGAAGCTGGCTAATGAGGGGAAGTTCTGTCCAACTCTACAAGTCTTTATTGTGATTCTACATATGACGTCTTTTCCCATAACTTATATTCCGATTTCACAGGTTCCTTAATGTATACCACTAATGTCAGTATGGGTCAATTAGCAAAGCCACTTGCTCAGCAGTTTGGATTTGTGGCAGAGCCCTTTTCTATTCCGAGTCTCACTCCTATATTATTCAGCTCAGGCTTCCCTAACAAAATATTATAGACTGCATGGCTTAAACAGCCTCAGTTCCGGAGGGTGGGACATCCAGGATCAGAGTTCTAGCAAAGTAGGTTTCCTTCTGAGAGCTGTTTTCTTGGCTTGTGGGTGGTTGCTATCTCTTCATATGCTCATAAGACCTCTTCTTTGTGCACCTACAGATAGAAAGAGAGACAGAGAGAAAGAACAAGCTGTCTGGTATGTCTTCTTTTAAGGACAACAATTCTGCCGAATCAAAGCCTCACCCTTATGACTTCATTTAACCTAGATTGTTTGCTTAGAGGTCCAATCTTCAAATACATCCACAGTAAGGGTTAGGGCTTCAACATATACATTTTGGGAAGATATGAATATTCAGTAACAACTCATTTTCTGTCTTCTGAAATATGGCCCAGAAGAGTACTCACAATTATAGAATATTCTGTCTCTAGAACCTGAAGACGCCTACTTAGGTATTATTACTCCTTATTAGTAGTGGAAGGTTCAAGATACACCAGATGGTTCTTTACTTTGAAGGGTGTGTCCAAGTATGTCCCAAACTACTAAATCCCTAAAATCTTTACTTATGTGGTAAAGGTTCCTAAATCATCATAGGACATAGCTCAAACTCTAGGTAGCACATGTGTCTTCCCAAGACCTCAATGTCTTGCTCATCCAGTCTGGTTAACGCAATTTCAGTGATAGAGCATGCTAGCATATTGAGAGATATCAAATAATCCAAAATTGTTTGAGCTATATTATGATAGAGGGAAAAAAGACTTAACATAGAAATGTGATGAAACTGAAACCTCTAAATATATGTGATTGTCGTTTTCATGTGAATGTTTACTGTTTCTTATCTTCTTTAAATGGAGACTGGATGAAGGCCATCACCCATGTATCCTGTAGGTCATCAAGGGTAGTCATTTTTATCAGAATCTAATGTTTTTATTATTTGAATATATTTGCTGAGTTTGGGACTCCACTTTTCTTTTTCCACTAGTCTTACAAGAACTCTTACTCCACATTCAAGGGTCCAAAGAAATGCTTAAGTCAACTTTCAGGTATGTCATATTTCAATCATTTATTCAGGGACTGGCTAAGTGGTCACTAGGTGGAAGTGCAGAGGCAGTGGGATTGCTGTAAGCTGGACCCAGATCAGTATTGCATCTATTATCAGGCTCTCATACACTTTAACCCTAATGGGCAGTATGATAGGGGGATGAGGGTGAGGGTGAGTATAATAAGACCTCAGTTCTCTGAATATCAATTGTAATTCAGACTCGGAGTCAAAAAGCCTTTGGAATGTTCAAGTTTTTGCTTTTCCCAGTGTACAGTTACACTCTCCGTACCACAGGGATTTATGAGATGACCGATAGAATACAATGGCTCTAGTGGCAAAAGAGAGATGCAGCCAAGAAGGATCCCTCTCAACGTATAAACAGATCAGAGATCTCGTAAACAAGTGGTATATTCTTTCTTTCGAAGATGGAACTAATTGACATAAAAAGAGCTCTGGTGCCCAGGAGGAAGTACCTTGCAGATTCCTCATAAGCTGGCAGGTGTCTTAGTTAGCTTGGTCTGCTATAATAAAGTACCAGAGACTTGGGTGATTTAGAAACTTATCTTTAATGGTCTGAAGTCTGATATCAGTGTGCCACATGGTTAGGTTCTTGTGAGGCCCTCTTCCAGGTTTCACATTGTTGACTTCTTATATGCTCACACAGCAGAAGGGGAGCTAGCTGGACTTTTCTTATAAGAACAATGATTCCATCCATGAAGGCTCTATTCTCATGACATAATAATCTTCCTAGGCCTTACTCCCAAAGACCATTATCCAGGGATTAGGGCTTCAATGTATGAATTTAGGGCAGAGGGTACACAAACATTCAGTTAATTGCAGCCCAATGATTGGGTTGTATTAAAAGCATATAAATAAAACAAGTACTATGCGTTTTGGTTACCATAGCCTTGTAGTATAGTTTGAAGTCAGGTAGCGTGATACCTCCAGCTTTGTTCTTTTTGCTTAGGATTGTCTTGGCTATATGGGCTCTTTTTAGGTTCCAAATGAAATTTAAAGTAGTTTTTTTCTAATTCTGTGAAGAAAGTCAATGGTAGCTTGATGAGGATACTATTGAATCTATAAATTACTTTGAGCAGTATGGCCATTTGCAGGATATTGATTCTTCCTATCCATGAGCATGGAATGTTTTTCCATTTCTTTGTGTCCTGTCTTATTTCCTTGAGCATTGGTTTGTAATTCCCTTTGAAGAGGTCCTTCACATTCCTTGTAAGTTGTATTCCTAGGTATTTTATTCTCTTTGTAGCCATAGTGAATGGGAGTTCACTCATGATTTGGCTCTCTGCTTGTCTGTTATTGGTGTATAGGAATGCTTGTGATTTTTGCACATTGATTTTGTATTCTGAGACTTTGCTGAAGTTGCTTATCAGGTTAAGATTTTGAGCTGAGGTGAGGGGGTTTTCTAAATATACAGTCATGTCATCTGCAAACAGAGACAATTTGACTTCCCCTCTTCTTATGTGAATACCCTTTATTTCTTTCTCTTGCCAGATTGTCCTGGCCAGAACTTCCAATATTATGTTGAAAAGGAATGGTGAGAGAGGGCATCTTTGTCTTGTGCTGGTTTTCAAAGGGAATGCTTCCAGTTTTTGCCCATTCAGTATGATATTGGCTGTGGATTTGTCATAAATAGCTCTTACTATTTTGAGATACATTCCATCAATACATAGTTTATTGAGAGTTTTTAGCATGAAGGGATGTTGAATTTTATCGAAGGCCTTTTCTGCATCTATTGAGGTAGTCATGTCGTTTTTGTCATTGGTTCTGTTGAAGTGAAGAATTACATTTATTAATTTCCATATGTTGAACCAGACTTGCATCCCAGGGATGAAGCCGACTTGATCATGGTGCATAAGCTTTTTGATGTGTTGCTGGATTCGGTTTGCCAGTATTTTATTGAGGATTTTCACATCAATGTTCACCAGGGATATTGGCCTGAAATTTTCTTTTTGTTGGGTCTCTGCGAGGTTTTGGTAATAGGATGATGCTGACCTCATAAAATGAGTTAGGAAGGAGTCCCTCTTTTTCTATTGTTTGGAATAATTTCAGAAAGAATGGTACCAGCTACTCTTTGTACCTCTGGTAGAATTCGGCTGTGAATCCGTCTGGTCCTGGTACCAAAACAGATATATAGACAAATGAAAGAGAGCAGAGGCTCAGAAATAATGCCACACACCTATAACCATCTGTTCTTTGACAAACCTGATAAAAACAAGCAATGGGGAAAGGATTCACTATTTAATAAATGGTGTTGGGAAAACTGGCTAGCCGTATGCAGAAAAATATAACTGGACCTCTTCCTTATACCTTATAAATAATTAACTCAAGATGGATTAAAGACTTAAACATAAGACCTAAAACCATTAAAAGCCTAGAAGAAAACCTAGGCAATATCATTCAGGACATAGGCATGGGCAAAGACTTCATAACTGAAACATCAAAAGCAATGGCAACAAAAGACAAAATTGGCAAATAGGATCTAATTAACAAAAGAGCTTCTGCACAGCAAAAGAAACTGTCATCAGAGTGAACAGGCAACTTACAGAATGGGAGAAAATTTTTGCGATCTATCCACCTGAGAAAGGACTAATATCCAGAATCTGCAAAGAACTTAAACAAATTTACAAGAAAAAAAAACAAGAAATGCTAACAAAAAGTGGGCAAGGGATATCAACAGACACTTCTCAAAAGAAAACATTTATGAGGCCAACAAACATATGAAAAAAAGCTCACATCACTGGTCATTAAAGAAATGCAAATCAAAACCACAAGGAGATACCATCTCACGCCAGTTAGAATGGTGAACATTAAAAAGTCAGGAAACAACAGATGCTGGAGAAGATGTGGAGAAATAGGAACGCTTTTATGAGTGAAAGTCTAAATTAGTTCAACTATTGTGCAAGACAGTGTGACGATTCCTCATGGATCTAGAACCAGAAATACCACTTGACCCAACAATTCCATTACTGGGTTTATACCCAAAGGATTATAAATCATTCTACTATAAAGACACATGTACATGTGTTCTTATTGCAGCACTATTCACAATAGCAAAGACTTGGAACCAACCCAAATGTCCATCAATGATAGACTGAATAAAGAAAATGTGGCATATACACACCATGGAATACTATGTAGCCATAAAAAAATAGGTTCATGTCCTTTGCAGGGACATGGATGAACCTGGAAACCATCATTCTCAGCAAACTAACACAGGAACAGAAAACCAAACACCACATGTTCTCACTCATAAGTGGGAGCTGAACAATGAGAACACATGGGCACAGGGAAGGGAACATCAACACCAAGGCCTGTTAGGGGTTGGGGGGCTATTGGGAGGGATAGCATTAGGAGAAGTACCTAATGTAGATGACAGGTTGGTTCAGTAAAACACCATGGCATGTGTATACCTATGTAACAAACCTGCATGTTCTGCACATGTATCCCAGAACTTAAAGCATAATGAAAAAAAAAAATCCAAACCACACAAAAAAATTAAAACAAAATGAAGCAAAACATGTATAGCTAGCATGGAATGAAAAATGAAGAACAGCTGAGTTTCAAAACTGGAGCTGGCACTGAGACTTGCCCAGGAAGGAAGCAAATACTCAAAATGTGTCTCTCAGGGGCCATCTGATCATATATGTATCTCACTAGGAATCTTGTCTCCTCTCATTCCTTTTCTACTCACTTAAATAAAAATATCTTGTAGAGAAGATCTTTATTTTTTTACAACTTTATTTTATTTTATTCTATTTATTTTTTAAATTATACTTTAAGTTCTGGGATACATGTGCAGAACGTGCAGGTTTGTTACATAGGTATACACATGCCATGGTGGTTTGCTGCACTCATCAACCCATCACCTACACTGGGTATTTCTCCTAATACTATCCCTCACCTTGCCCCCCACACCCCGAAAAGCCCCAGTGTGTCATGTTTGCCTCCCTGTGTCCATGTGTTTTCATTGTTCAACTCCCACTTATAAGTGAGAACATTAGGTGTTCGGTTTTCTATTCCAGTGTTAGTTTTCTAGAATGACGGTTCCATCTTCATCCATGTCCCTGCAAAGGACATGAACTCATTCTTTTTTATGGCTGCATAGTATTCCATGGTGTATATGTGACACATTTTCTTTATCCAGTCTATCATTAATGGGCATTAGGGTTGGTTCCAAGACTTTGCTATTGTAAATAGTGCTGCAGTAAACATATGTGTACATGTGTCTTTATAGTAGAATGATTTATAATCCTTTGGGTATATACCCAGTAATGGGATTGCTGGGTCAAATGGTATGTCTGGTTCCAGATCCTTGAGGAATTGCCACACTGTCTTCCACAATGGTTGAACTAATTTACACTCCCACCAACAGTGTAAAAATGTTCCTGTTTCTTCACATCCTCTCCAGCGTCTGTTGTTTCCTGACATTTTAATGTTCACCATTCTAACTGGCGTGAGATGGTATCTCATTGTGGTTTTGATTTGCATTTCTCTAATGACCAGGGATGATGAGCTTTTTTTCATAAGTTTGTTGGCCGCATAAATGTCTTCTTTTGAGAAGTGTCTTCATAACCTTTGCCCACTTTTCCATGGTGTTGTTTATTTTTTCTTGTAAATTTGTTTAATTTCTTTGCTGGATATTAGCCCTTTGTCAGATGGATAGATGGCAAAATTTTTCTCCTATTCTGTAGGTTGCCTGTTCACTCAGATGATAGTTTGTTTTGCTGTGTGGAAGCTCTTTAGTTTAATTAGATCCCATTTGTCAATTTTGTCTTTTGTTGCCATCGCTTTTGGTGTTTCAGTTATGAAGTCTTTGCCCTTGCCTATGTCCTGAATGGTATTGCCTATGTTTTCTTCTAGGGTTTTTATAATTTTAGGTCTTACGTGTAGGTCTTTCAATAGATGCTGAAAAGGCCTTTGATAAAATTCAACATCCCTTCATGCCAAAAACTCTCAATAAAATAGGTATTGATGGAACGTATCTCAAAATAATAAGAACTATTTATAACAAATCCACAGCCAATATTGTACTAAATGGGCAAAATCTGGAAGTATTCTCTTTGACAGCAGGCACAAGACAAGGATGCCCTCTTTCACCACTCCTATTTAATATAGTATTGGACGTTCTGGCCAGGGCCATCAAGCAACAGAAAGAAAACGTATTTAAATAGGAAAAGAGAAAGTCAAATTGTCTTTGTTTGCAGATGACATGATTGTATATTTAGAAAACCCCATTGTCTCAGCCCAAAATCTCCTTAAGCTGTTAAGCAACTTCAGCAAAATCTCAGGATACAAAATCAATTTTCAAAAATCACAAGTGTTCCTATACACCAATAATAGGCAAACAGAGAGCCAAATCATGAGTGAACTCTCATTCACAATTGCTACAAAGAGAATAAAACACCTAGGAATACAACTTACAAGGGATGTGAAGGACCTCTTCAAGGAGAACTACAAACCACTGCTCAAGGAAATAAGACTTGAGGACACAAACAAATGGAAAAACATTCCATGCTCATAGATAGGAAGAATCAATATTGTGGACATGGCCATACTGCTCAAAGTAATTTATAGATTCAATGCTGTTCCTATCAAGCTACCATTATTTACTTTCTTCACAGAATTAGAAAAAACTACTTTAAATCTCATATGGAATCAAAAAAGAGCCCATATAGCCAAGACAATCCTAATCAAAATGAACAAAGCTGGAGGCATCACACTACCTGACTTCAAACTATACTACAAGGCTGCAGTAACCAAAGCATCACAGCACTGGTACCAAAACCAATATATAAACCAATGGAACACATCAGAGGCCTCAGAAATAGTGCCACATACCTACATCCATCTGATCTTTGACAAATCTGACAAAAACAAGCAACGGGGAAAGGCTTCCCTATTTAATAAATGGCGTTGGCAAAACTGGCTAGCCATATGCAAAAAAAATTGAAACTGAAACTAAGCCCCTTCCTTACACCTTATACAAAGATCTTTATTTCTTTTAAGCTTCCTGCTAAATAATGCTAGGATGGTATCTCAGATCAGTAGACATTTATTTATATTTTCAAAGAAAACCTAGGACCTTTCAAGGAGTAGAAAGCATGAATAAACTCATTACATGATACTTTCCTCTTACAAGGCCACTAAAGATAGATAAACAGAAGAGCAAACATAAATTGTATTATTGTTCTAACCTGAAAGAGAAATCCAAAAAGGCAAAGAGTATTGCTATGAAATATTCATCGCCATTCTTGTTAACATTCCTCAGACACAAAATGCCACTTTCTCTCCTTACCACAGAAAAGCAGTGGTATAATATAAAATCAATTTAACTATTATTGAAATTAGTAAATTCTCCAAGGTTTTCTTTTTTATCAGAAATTATATAAATACTGCTTTTGAATCATAACTACTACTCTTCTATCATTTTAGAGGTTCATAACTAGGTGGGATGTTAGGTTTGAGTGGAGAAGTGTCACAACTGGGTAAGGAAAAATGTATACAAATAATTGCTGCACTTTTAAGTCAGGATAGAGCATGTGATAAATGTGAAAAGCAAAGAAATGAAATTGCATTAAGAGTCTCTTCTTGTATTGAAAGAAACACTTAGAAAATGCTTAACATTCATGTAAGACAAGCTGCGTGTCATTATTTGATCAATTAAAGCAGTTATTTCTGATATTAACATATTTTATAGCTATAAATAGTTTTCCTTTTTTTTTTTGCTAACTCAAAGGAGAGCAGGGTATTTTTTAAAATGCGTGTCCCACAGTGTATCTCAAAAGTGCTTACTAGTTAGACAAAAATCACAATAATCCTTAGATCCTAGGCTATCAGAAAGGTTTGTAGTCACCAAGAGACTTGCAAAATATTTTTGGAATTATCTGTGTTTTGCAGATGCTCTTAAGCCACAGAGAAAATTATATATTGGGAAATTTATATCCCATAAAGGATTGTGTAGCTGAGAAACTGGATTGCATGACTGACCAGGATTTAGGTAAAATCCAAGTACACCTCATCTGTGTGAGATCATCTGCCAGTCTCTGCATAGCAAGTGCATTTCACTCAACTTCCTGTCCATGTTGGCTGAGGTGTTTTATCTGAGAGACATATGTAGGTCCCGGGGGCCTGATCCTAGGGGTCCAGCTAGAGGGAAATAAAGACAAAATGAATATTTAAGTTTTGGGGGCATTCTTAAATTGGGTCTCAGGGAAGTTTGTGTTAAACTGCTTAGCAATTGTGATAGAATAAAGTATTTCTAAGAAAACTAATATGCTTTTTTTCAGAGGTTTCTGAAGTTATAGATAACAATGTAGTAACTACCCCTATCAGAGTATACAAAAAGGAAAAGACAACAAATATTTTCCAAAACTCTAGTAGATCAATATTTTCATACCTCTGGTATTTAGTTAAAATTAGAAGATATAGAGTTTTCCACATAATTAAGAAAACGCTTTTTCATTAAAATAGGTATATATGTACTAGAAGATTTAAAAACATGTAAAATAAACAACTAAACAAATCTTTGGTGTATTTAGGTTAAGATAAATCTTAAGAACACTTTATTTTAAATAAATGAAATTCAAACACTAAGAATTACATTGATTTATTTGTTTGGTAAACAAAATCCACATCGTGGGGGAGGGAAATCAAAATAAAACAACACTATGCTGACTGTAAAATGATGTTTAAGTACTTGACAGGTTAATATGTATAAACCATCACTTACTCTTTAATTTTCAGTATAGTCATTGTTTTATGACTTTATAAAAATATATAAAATAATGTTTTATAAACCTTGAAACTAACTCAAGCATGGATAAAAATAAGCTACACAGCATATTCAAGGTGCCTTATCTTCAGGTATCAGAAGCTTGTGGGAGGACACAGCGGGGGGAAAGGTAAGAGATAAAACATATAGAAAATATGCAATGCCAATTGAGCCTGTAATCTTTGCCTAAAAACTCAAATCAGCAAGATAATTTACTAAAGAGAAAAGCTGATTTTCCTTATTAAGTGAAAATAGATGATTTTGATTTTGTACATTTCTTCTTAAACAGTTTCCTCGCCCCACCCCCATTAACTTCTTGGTTTGTTTGTCAGCACTATCTTATATCAAACATAATTATTTTTTATTTCAACGTATTTTTCCATTCTATTTTCAATTACATATCAAATATAATTTATCCAACACCTTAACATGATTAGTTTATTTCCACTTTATTAGCAATACAAATTAAGCACAGCATTTTGTCAATATTTCTGCTACTACTAAGTATATCATTATGCAATATTTCTAGTCCTTTGAGGAAGTTTGGTTCTGTATTATTTAAGGTCCCAGTAGGAAACAGCACACTCGAAATTGAATGATTAAATGAGAGTTTACTAACAAAGAGTCATTTCTAATGATGTAATCTCAGGAGAAACTGAAGAAAAAAATAATTATTTTCTGTCACCCCCAACCCCTGCCTGATAGGACAGGGAAAGAAAAATTGCCAGAAACTGGAAAGAAAAAGACTTGTTTAGAGAAGGTCACCTTTGAGAGACCAAATCATTCTGCTGAGGACAAGGTCAACCAAGGTGACACCACAGAGAAGAAACAAAGGGGGTTAAATACCCTGACTTCACTCTTCATCTTCTCCAGACTGAACCTCTCTTAACTTTTTGGTAAGAATTATCCAAAACTTAGAAATTAAGCAAGAGAAAGACTGAGAATCTCTTCAATTTCATATTGGGGTATTATTTAACAAGTCCTTCTAAGAATTATTTATTTTTTTAGGAGCATAGAGCAGTAATTGATCTTACTATTTGCTACTAATTATAGGCCCAGACTATGTGAATCTGGATGTTAAGTTGCAGATTTTTGTCTGGTGGAGATCAAGTTATTTTTGTCTGATAGCAAAGATAACCTCTAGTTGTATTTCCCTGTATGATGTTCTTACTGGTTTTCATTTTAATTATTGAGTTGACAAATATCATTGGCACTTTTCTGTTATATTTCCATTTTTAACCGAATCTGATCAGAAACGAGGAAGCACAGCAGCCCTGTTAATGATCAGGTCAGTCTCAAGAGCAGAAAGTAGGGTGGAGAAGGATGGATCATACATCTGAAAGAGCAAATGGAAGATATTCTACCAAGTTACAATTTTTGATCTGATGTTATTTTTTCCTGAATATGACTAATCGAGTCATGAATACATTTTAAAATTACTGTGAGTAGATATTTTTGTACAAAGAGATCATAGACACATACCACTAAAGCCCATGGGAGGAAGATAAAAATTATGACTTATTAGGAGAAAATATTACAAATAGTAAAATATCTATTAAATATAATATACATTATAATATAGTTATATATTGTATATAATAAATATTATGATACAAAATATGTACCCTGCTTTCTGACTTGCCTCTCTGTTTCAGAGCAGAAACAGTAAATCCTAGAAAATAGGCCTCCTTCTATATCATTTTTCCTGAATTCTTGATGCCTATTATGTTAATGGTGAATAAGTTATATTACAACTTCTTTCTCTAAGATCCAAGTGAACCATAGTTTTTATTCCGATGCATCACTTATGTGGATTAAAGCTTTAGGTTTGTTCATCTTGAATGGTTTATTCAAGTCATTTGTAGGGTGTTTGATATATATGAATGTGATTCCTTTTTATAGGCCATTTATTATTTATAACATTTGCAACATACTATATAGCGCACTTGTAGTGTGGAAGAAGTTGCTCTCTGAACTGTTCAGAGAGACTTAGAAAAATACACGGTAATGTAACTAAAGAAGGACCTCCATTTTTCTAGATAGTGTAGATTCTTTCCTCATAAGAAATATGTAAAAGACAAATCCACTTGGGTTTATATTTCACACAATTGCTTTAGTTTAAAAAAGGTTATTTTAAATACTATTTTAATAATTTATACTACTTGCTAATGTGGGTAACTTGTTGAATCTGTTATGCTTTATATACCCATAGCACAATTCAGCTAGTAAAATAAGCCTACTTTTTGCTTTTGATGGATACAAGTGTCTTGAACCTCAGAATAGCATTCACCATAAAATGCTGTTATAACCTTTGTGCATAGAGAGACATTTACTCATTCTGAATAAATGATTAAATATAATAATATGCATAATATATTTGAATAAGATAAACCTGATAGTACTAGATATTTCTAAATTGTTTTGAGACATAGGTTTTAGTTTTAGTTTTGTACTTTTTTTCCAGACCAAACTAATTTATTCAAAATTACTTCAAAAAATTTTAGTAATGTTTATTTTGTGCAATATAAATGCACATGTGAATATAATATACATGTGCATATATATTCTATACTATACACATACAATATAAATGTAAATGTGAATGTTGACCTAAATATAAAATCAACCATTGTCTGTGGTGCTCTAGTATCTCTTTTAGTCAAGGAGAGTTAAAAATCAATATGTGGTCCTTAGGCTTACATAGCAGAATAGACTATTAATCTTTTCCAGTGCACATACTCTATAATCCAGTATATTTTTAATGCAATTTACTTTTAATTTACTTTATGCATTTGTCTGAAGTGCTTTGCATAAATTATGTATGATAATCAATACCTTGGGAATAGTACTGAAAAAATAAAGAAGCAGAAACTCTAATAGCATATTTCACATGCAAGCACTTTATTTCTAATATCCTTCTATAATATCATGTGGACTATTTAATAATGGAGTCTAGGTATATGCTCATCTACATTTTGCATAGTAAGATTTATCCTCACTGCAAACTTTTTATAAAATTCTAAAAGTACTTACATTTTACAAGGTGCCTTATGTCAAAAAATCTGTCCCCTGCATATACCTAAGTTTACAAAATCTACCTGTCTTCATATTCTCAATCCCCTTCACCAAGATTCCATGACAGAAATTGTAGGTATCAAAGTGCCTGTCTCAATTTATTAGAAAACAGTTGGAACTATGGGCTCATAAATGTGGGACCATAAATATTTGGAAAGTTAGAATGAGGGAAGAACCAATGAGTGGTCATTAGAGTTGAGTAGTTAAGTGTTTTAAGTGGTTAATAATAGCACACATTAATTATTGAAGGACACTGTAGATCAGTTTCATAGGTGACATATACTGAGAAGAATATTTCCAACAGGTAATAGTGACATAGGGATAATATATAGCCTATACAAGAAACTCTTACAAAAATGCAAAAAAGAGGATAAGTATTAGGCAAAAGATATAAACACGTAGTTTACAGGAAAAGGGACACAGAACACTAACAAGAAAATAAATGGATATTTATAGTGATACTACGTTTTTCAGAAGTGCTAAATAAAACATTGATATTACTTTACTCATTTTAAATTTAAAAGCCGGATTAT
The DNA here is from genome assembly GCF_000001405.40 of Homo sapiens. Classification (NCBI taxonomy): domain Eukaryota; kingdom Metazoa; phylum Chordata; class Mammalia; order Primates; family Hominidae; genus Homo; species Homo sapiens. The sequence continues at coordinate 184,291,132 of NC_000002.12, forward strand.
GACTAATTTAAAGCTCTGCAATAAAAGAGGAAAGACTTTTAAACTTCATATTTCCTTGTGCCTTTGTATTGGGTACAATCATCTCTATGTCAATTGGGAACATCTTAGGAAAATTAAAGATAGGCATACCCTGGGATACAGTAATCTCATACCCAGGTAGAATGAAATATTAAGAAAATCTTATTTGGATTTTGAAAATTATATATACATCAGTATTAATTGGAGTGCTATTAAAGGCGGCTACGCTTTGAAGACAATCTTGCTAAACTGGGACAGTTGATAGTAAAACACAGTGAATATAAACATGAAATGTTTTGCTGTGTTTAGAAGTAACAAGTTGGACATATACATAGCAATATGAAAGGATATTTAAATATCATATTTATGACAGCATTAAATGCTTCAAAACATAGGAATCTAACAAAATATGTACAGGATCACCATACAGGAAACAAATAAGCAGAAATCATTGAGAGGAATTAAATATTGAGATGACTTAGACTGATTCAGTTATATACCATAACCATGGGTTGGAAACTCAATAGTAGAAATATTAAATTGACCTATATACTAATACAATCTCATACAAAGTCAATAAATTTTAATTTATTGTTCTTTTTTGTGAAAATATATAAGCTGATTCTAAAAATTGTATGTAAAAGAATAGGGCCAATAGTAAGTAAAATAATGTGAAATTAGAATAATTTTGAATACATACTCTTATTAGATGTTAAGACAATAAAATATTATAATAATTAAAACAATGTGGTATTATTGAAAGGCTTAATATACAGACTAACAGAAAAAAATAGAGTCCAGAAATCAACTTACACATATATGTTTTCCTCACTATGACAATTTGGCACTACAGTGCTGTGGAGACAAAAAACATCTTTTCAACACACTTTGCTAGATCAGTTGAATCCATAAGTCAGAGTAACAAATTTAACCCTCTGCCTCATAGCCTTATACTATATGCAAACAATAAATCCTAGATGTGAAGGGAATAATAATATATGCAGACACACGCACATAAAGATGAACACACATTTTTCCCAGAAGAATATGTACAAATCTGTCTTCTGAATTTCTGTAAGACTTCTTAAATAGGACAGAAAATTCACTAACCATAAAGAAACAAACTCATATATTATACGGTACTAAAATTAAGAACATCTGTTACTTAAAAGAGACATTAAACATGGGAAAATTCAAATCATAAAGGTAGGAGAAGACATTTGGCATACACATATTTAACAAAATATTCATATCCAGAAAAGAGTTATTAAGACAAAGACAGCACTTATTAATGAGCCAGAGACTTGGACATGCACTTAAATGTGCATGTAGATACCCAATAGTTACATTAAAGGATTCCCGACTTCATTGATCATTTGGGAAATAAATATTATAAACAAAAAAATTATAAAAACAATACCAAATGTTGTCAAAAATCTGGAAAAAGTGGAACACTTACATATCTTCTGTTAAGAACAAAAAAGTAGCACAATTTTGGAATATTCTTTTAAAGTACCTATAAAGCTTAACATTTGCCTATCCTATGAACTAGCAATTCAACTCTCATATATAACAGAAATTCATTTATATGTTCACCAAAGGAGGAATGTTCATGCTGCCATGAAACATAAATCACCCAAAGGTCTATAAACATTAGAATGGGTAAACATATTTTGGAGTAGTCATAAAATTATATATGTAATTTTATATGTTGATGTATGTATAATTATATATAATATTATACATGTAAATATTCATAACAATGAAAATGAACAAGCAATTACTGCATTCAACAAAATAAATGACTACCACAAACATAATTTTTAGCAAATGAAATCAGACACAAATGAGTCTAAACTGCAAAAATCCCAAAAATAAAAATAAATTGTATATGCAATTTTGTATATGCAATTAGTTGTTATGATAATGGTTACCTTTCAGAGGGTCAAATAACTGGGAAGCTATATGAGGCTGGCTTCCAGAGTGTTGAAATGTCCTCTTTCTTCATCTTCATGCTGTTTACAGCATTATGTGTGTTTTGAGAAAATTCATTAAGTTGTCCATTTATGTTACATATACTTTTCTAAAAGTATACTGCAACTTAATTTAAAAAGAAATGTTTATTTAAAGGCAGTGCTTTAGAAAATTGGAACATGTGCATTGCTGGGGTAATGTAAAATGATGCAGCTACTGTGGAAAATGGTACAGCAATTCCTCAAAAAATTAAGCATAGAGTTACCATGTGATCCAGAAATTCCGCTACTGGGTGTATACCTTAAAAAAGTGAAAGCAGGGATTTGAACAGATATTTGTACTCCCGTGTTCATAGCAGCGTTATTCACAGCAGGCAAAAGCCGGAAGCAATTAATGGATAAACAAAATGTGGCATATACGACACACAGTGAAATATTATTCACCACTGTTACCGAGCTTCTAAATTTCCCTTGCCTTAGAGGTCCTCAGAAACACTGAAAAGGACCAGGGGAATATTGTTTAAGGAGCTGATTTGAAATAGTTGAGTAATTTGGTGATTTATTATTAAAGACATAATAGTGTGTATTTTCGTGCTGATAACTTTAGTTTGGATATTCTCTAAGCAATATGTATAGAAAAGCCTAATTTGGATAAAAAATAGTGAATAGCAAAATAAAATTCTTGGAGCTTTATTTATTTATTCAGTTCGTTAGTTTTTCAGCTAGTATTTATTGAACTTTGACTATAAAAACTATGTTAAAACTATCTCTTTTAAATAGCACTTTTTATTTTTAAATTTAAATCATATTAAATCTGAAAATATATGCTTAGCATATACTATACAATGAGAAGTTTGTTGTACTTGCTGATTTATAAAAACCATTGGAAGACAGCTTTTATAGCAAAGGAGTTTATTACATTTTGAGATTATAGATTAGTGGAAAAATGAGAGAGATCACCTATATGGGAAAGATTTGACAAATATAAATTTGCTCTATCAGTTTGTAGAGTTTTTTTTCTTTTTTATTTTTTTTTGGGTGGGAAGAGAGGTAAACACATAAAAATCAATTTGGTGGCATCACTGTATTTTTTTGGAGATGCCACGTGGTATGACACTTCTTTCTTTTATGATTCTTTTATAAATATCAGAATTTTACCTTTAATAAACAGTAACAAAGCTTACATTGAGAAAGTGCATTTCTTAGATATAAAACACATTGTGAAGTTAACATTTGACAATTAACTGGTACGTGTTGGACAGGTGCTTATCAGTTACAGCAATTTAGGTTAGAAGAAGAACAATAAAGCAAAAGAAAGAAGAGAAGCAAAAAATCTGCTTATGTGGGAAGAGTTATGTGGGATAACTACGGAAATGTAATAACTATGTAAAGGGAGTCAGGTTGAACTTCAATGCTGCGTCATTTCAAAAATAAAATTTTAGGAATCTTGTTATTCATTTCTTTTATTCCATTGAAGTAAATAAATTTTCATGTAAAGTTATAACTCCATTTTATTTGGAAATGTTATCATTTTATATGAAATAATGATATAGCTTATATATATAGTTTTTTATATATTTGTCTGTTATTTTATATACATATATGTATATGTCTGGGTATAAAACGATTGGTAAAGTGAAAAAAATAATAGTTTGATTCTTTCCCTTTAAGTGGTGGTAGAAGCCCAAATATGTTTCTAACTAATCAACAGTAAAATTAGTTTCCACCCAGAAGGTATTAAGCAAAGATGCAGCAGGCTGTTTGCCTGAGATTAAAACTTTGGTGAGCCAAATCCAGTAAACGTGAATATAAGAACACAGTTTTCCTTGCTAGCCTTTAAAACTGTCATCTGGTTTTTTGCCATGGCTTTAAAGAGACTTGCTCAGTTGCTTCTAGTCCAGATGTTCCCAGTAATAGCAATTCCCCATTGTGTTTTCTTTGATTCTCTCCTTAATTACTCGTGGGGGTGGGATTTATAAAGTACATACAGTACACTGTAGTTCAGAATTAGACTTAATCATCATTATTATTTTATGCACTTTAAGGACCAGTTTCAAACTGTACCAAATCCTCACTCACTGGCTGATGCAGTAAATTGGTCTCTAATATAAAGTGGGAACTTGGAAGTAGAAATGGGCATTACTTGCTTTAAGATTTTTTTCTTTTTTGCATTTTCTCCAAGTGCACATGTCAGGGGGTTGACTGTGTCTTCTGATTTGGGGTTTGCCAATTGTTTAAAAATCATTCTTTAGTTCTCTTTCCCCTCTCCTTAAGTGCTCCTGTGATAAAAGATCACATGGCAAATAGCAGTTACTCTAAAAATCACTTTAAGCATGATATAAAATGAAGTATATTACATTAGAGCTGATTGCCTCACTTTTAATTTTTTTTTTTTTTTTTTTTACATTTTAAAATCTAATTTTACATGTTTTTCTACTTTTCCTGTATGGTTTCTGACCATTCTTTCTACTCTACTTCTTTCTGTGTTTCTCAAGATTTTCTTCCTAGCAAATTTTTGCATTAAAATAAATCCTAGGAAACATTCAATTACTCTCCCAATGTTGCTGATGAATTCCAAACTTAACGTCTTCTGTTCTCATGCGGTACTTACTTTTTATTCAGTTACATGTTTTGTCCTCAGCCTAAGATGATCATGTCCAAAAGTGAAATTAATGTATTTCCTGCCCATATTGGTTTTATTCTAAAATTATCCCCACTTAAGTCATTGGTGCATACTTTATTATTCAAAGTTAGAGATCCTCACATCTTTTCTGCCTTTCCTTGCTTTCATTTTTTTCCCCTAAATATTTCTGGAGGAAAGTAAAATGTTTTTTCCTTTCAGCACCTTTTGGGGCTGTGCCCCTGTCTTTCCTCTCTCTTCACCATCCTGATTCTCATTTTCATAACCCCATCCTATGATTCTTCTTCAAGCCCCCTAGAAAAAGTTCCTAGGCCAACTTATTTGAAAGCACTAGTGAATTTTTTTTTCTAAATATGCCTTTACCCTATCACTTCCCTTCTGAAGATATAAAAACTCTGTTGTCTGGCATTTAAGACTCTATAAATGTGTTCCTTGGTATTTATTCACCTTTATCCTATACTATATGGGAGCTGCCTTATTTGGAGAGATTACTCAGCAACTCATCTCTTTTGCTCAGTATATACATTATCATGTCTTACAAGATATTTGCATTTTTTTATTTTTAAGCCTTTAGATGTTTTCTTTCCCTGATTGAAACATTATTCATTCTCTAAATCCCAGATTAAACTCTGCCTTCTTCATGTAATTCTCTTTGAGCTACTGTTCTTTACTTTTTGCAACCTGCATTGCAGTTACAATCAGTATCAATTTGTGTTACTTCATTATTTCCTTCCTCATTTCACAGTATTTTATCAGATTGATGGCTACATCAAAATAGAGAGCACATAATTTCTTCTTTTGTTCCCCTACAGAGTATATCATGTGCTATGTATAAGGACTCTTAAAGTAGTCTTTATCAAATTAGCAATTCGATTATTTTTGTTTAGACTCTCGTTTATATACACCAGCAATCCACCACTTATACTGGAATTTTGGAAATTTTAGTCTAGAAGGCAGTCAGTGTACATATCACAGAGAAAATATATCTTTGGCAGTTTACAAGTGACATTCTTGTTTATATAGCACATTCTGAGATGAGATATGTTCTTACAAGAGAAAAAATTATGTTGACTATGAGAGATCAAAATGAAGATCAATGCTCATATTTATCTCCGCCTCCTTTCAACATAATACATCTTTAAATTATTATAGCATTTTTGTTAACGTAAGGGTCCCCAGCTAGCAACTGAGTATGCCTAACAGTCCTCTAGTGAACTTTGGATTCCAGAAGGTCAAGAATTATATATTCACCAGTAGTTTTCAGAGGGTATAAAAAATAAAAATTAATTATTGCTGCACAGGTGATAAATTTAATGTAAAACTGTCTCCAAATCTTCAGTTGTGTTATTGAAAATGAAAGGCAACTAGGTGATGGGACACATAAGAGAAGGGAAATGTTTACCTTAACTTTCCAAGCATGCACATAGTTTTGGACTTCAAAACAGTTATGCTGCTCAGTATTATTCATTCCTCAGATAACTTTCATAAATCAGTGCATGAATACAAACAAGGCTCAGGGCTGTGTGGTGGATATTCCAGGTTAATAAATATATTGGACATAGCTGGATATGAATAAAATTTGACTTAATGATGCATTCCAGAAATGACATAACTTTTACAACACTATTTGCATTTATGACCAATTGTGATTAATTATTTTCCAAGTCTACCAAGGATTTATTCGTAAGTCTGTCATTTCATCGACAATGCTAAGAAGGCATTTTGAGAAGGGAGTTGTGTATCACACCTTATATCATTATGGACTGGAGACAGAGAATGTTTTTATATAAATTCTAAGAATGCTTCTTATTGTGAAGGTAAAATAGAAATTCTAATAATTCAAGCAAAACAGTGCAAGATGTCTTCTCAGCAAGTGATTTCAAAATATCACTGTCATCCTCACTGGATACACCAGACCGCTTGACCCTGAATATTGCTGGGCCAACATGAGTAGTAGCTCTGACTGTGATGGGGGCAGAGACAACAAAAGGGCTAAGATGAAACACATGGCTTTCGTAACCAACATTACATCAGTGTTAAGTTATTGGTATAAGAGTATGTATAAATAGAATTAAAGAATAATAAAAAAAACTCATATTATTTTCTGCCTTTTTATTTGCAAAAAACTGGGGAAAAGACATGTGCACATTGGAAAAATGATTAAAGATACTATTTATGACCCTGTCACTAGAAAGATAATCAGTCTCGTTATGTTTATTAGACATAAATCTTTCCATCACAAGAAATCAACATTCTGCTTATGAAGCAACATATACGAAGAGGATTGCCTATGTTTGATAGTATTCTCAAATGTAAAGTAAAACCATTAGTGACCATATCAGACGTACCACTTACACTCCAACGCATATCCTCTCATCTCACCTTTTTATTCTAGCAATGGCAATGGAAACCAGCTGTATGCAAATGTAATCCAGCTTCAACTTGCTTAGCTGAATCATGTATATCTAGCTTTCTGCTCTGGGATTCTTGTCCACTACCATATGAGATTCTGACATGTATGCAAATCTACAATAGTGGGTGTGCTAATCCCTCATGGTGCAAACCTAGACTATTAGGTGATGGGATCTGGGAGATACTCACTTCTTTTGTTCTTTGGACAGACAATTGCATTATTATTTGTATAAATATCCTCAGAATTTCCCTAATGAGAATGAGCCCAGTTTTTCTGCAATGTTGGTCAACTTGAAAACCTACCATTTGATAACTTTTTCTTCTTTCCCATTTCAGTCTTTCCAGTTGTCCACTACTCTTTCCAGTCATCCACTACTCTTTCTCAAGATCACTTCCCCAAATAGCATAGCTGTATCTAGTCCTTAACTCAGTCTCAGTTTTTAGATGGAAGCAAAGATATACATTTCTAATAAAATGGCTTCATTAAAAAGCTACAAATTAATTTAAAAATTTATTTTAGAGAAGTAAGAAAAATCATATGACTCTTCTGTGTAACATTTTATGCTTGATTATTGAAAACACTTTTAAAAAATGATCAAAACTAACTAAAGTAGATATTGCTGAAGGAAGAATAAATGTATCAAATAAATTATTTGATTTTCAAAAGTATTTTGATCATTTCAAAATAAGAACACTAATGGCATGCTTACCATGCTCTAATGATGTATTTTAATGATACAAATAATGACTCTGCTATAATTATTTGTTCCAAGGTTGATAGCTCACTCAGTGCATAAAATGCATATTACTACATGTAGTAGCTCAGGAAACAGCATGTAGCAAACACTTGTTGAATCAGTTATTATAAATAACCTACAGTTTATAAGTGAATTCTAGTTAGGTTAGACATAACAACAACACTAGTGCCAACTCCTTGGGCATCCATTTGTTAAACCTGATAATTGGTTATTTACAAGAAAATCACTAGTACTGCCATTCTTCAATGAAGGAAATTTGCTACTTAACAAGAGTTCTCAAGGATCATGGTGAAAATATTCCAGGAAGTCATTTACCTGTCCAAGAAATATTGGTATTTGAATGTTTAGCTACCAAGTTTAAAAGATTCAAGCCTAAACTCAGGGGAGCACAATTTATTATTTTCAGGATGCAAGAGACCTTGAAAGAATGCCCTTTGACTCATTTAAGTGGCATAAACATAGCTGGAAAAGTTATTCTTGAAATTAACTTTGCCATACTTTAAGAACTTAAGTTGCAAATCACATATATCTCTGTGAAAGAGATGCACTTACATATCTTTTACACTTATGTACTGCTTAATTTATTCAAAAGTATCTATTTGATGCCTAATCCTATACTGTCACTATACCAGAAACTTGTGACACAGAAAAGAGGAAAATAGAGTACTTGTCCTTTAGAGGCTTGTTATCCAAAGAAGGATACTATAAGCATAATTACAATAAAAGTAATGAGTGCTTTAATACTTGTATGAAGTGTACTGTGGAAGCACAGGAGAGGAAATGACATTTTGCAAATACTACTTCTTATTTAGTTTCTTCATTAGCTTTTATTTTATGTTTAATTAAAATTTATTTTACTGCTATAGTTTGTAACAGACCTAGAGCATATCCTGTGAACATGAAATACCAAAGCAAAATCTAAATGCACTATTAGTTTATTTCTTAATTCTTTTACTCTGTTCTTTATGTTAATAGTTATTCTAGTTTGCTTTTAGTTTAGTGAGTTTTTTGAACTATTTTTGCTACATGTGATAAATATACTGGGTTTTGTAAATCCCCAAATATCAGTCTATTATAGTGCAAAGGGCATGAATTCAAACACAGGAAGCTCTAATTCTTATAATAATACTGCAGCAAATCCCCAAGTCACAGTGTTTCTGAATCTAAATTTTCTCATTCTTAAATTTTTTTAAAAAAGGTTAAATTTCAATGAGTTTGTGAAGATTAAAGTTCAATGGCTATAGGCTTGTGATGGGACTCAGCAAGCAGAATTTCAGCCAATTTTATTGCAACGTTGATAAAATTATAAAGGCATTTTTGTACTTTGTGAAAGCATTCAGCCTGGGTATAAAAAGAGCTTATGTTATGTGTTTTTGCTATAGAGTGACATAGGCTTTGAACACTCATAGGTTCAATTGGAACTCTAATCCAAGCATTGAATAGTTTATATTTTCACCTTTAATATTCTTTCTTATTCTACCATTCATTTTATTTTCTTTTTGCTCTTTTCACCATATCTAAATATAATATGTACATAATAAATCAGCTACAATATTCTTTTAAACTCAATTTTTAATAGTTTACTTAAAATTGTATAATATCCTTGAAATAAAAATAAGAGCAAGAAAGATGGTTATTGTTGATATTTTGGTTCTATTCAGTTATATCTAGAATAATAACCATATGATTTCTCTTTTCTTTTTCTTTTCTACATTATATAAATAGCATAAAATAAAAATTACATGCTAAGAATTTAAGGAACCACTTTCAAGCTTAATAAAAATGTGTACGTATTTTCTAAAAAAACTACTTTAATAAATATTATAAAATATCATATACATTTAAATATGTAGTTGAAGAAAACAAAATTTTAACTTTTGTATTCAAACATCCGGAGAAGTATGTCAAAGTTATATTTTAAAACAAATATATACATACATAGCTACATATACTTATTTAGCACACAAAAGGCCATTTTGATGAAAATGTGCTCTGGGAATTTGTAATTATTTGTAATGGTACTCATATATTTATAATCAGTTCTCATTATATTTCCATGGGAAAAACATAGTTTATAGCCTGTTAGCATCATTTAAACAATTTGATTATCTGAATATGTTTAATCAAATACAAAATTTAGATAAAATGCTAAGTTTAGAGAACAGAGACAATGGAATTTGCATATCATATATTTATCTATGAAACATATACACAAAAGAAGAGAAAATGATGTTCATATTTAGGAAGCAAGATAATACCATATCCTGAAACTTAGGGTAAGCAGTCTAAACTGTAAAGTAGTGACAGAGGAGCACAGGTATGTGTACCTGTGTATCTGCCAAAGCGTTGTTTATTTCATTCACAGATAAATCCCAACTGCCTGGAAAAAAGTGTCTGGCATGCAGAAGATGAATAAATATTTGTTGAAGAAATGAATGAATGAAGGCAGGTCACTGAAAGGGTAGATTCAAGATGATTTCATATAAGACTGCTTTACCATTTGACTTGTGTTGATATGCAAGTGGTGTGCATAGCTCAGTTCTTTAGCTGAATTATGATAGAACTGACAACATGCTTTTGTGATCTTTTTCAGATGAGCTTCCATAAAGGCTTAGCATGTTGTGTTTTGATAATGAGTCCTAAAATAAGCTCATGAGAAAGAGTCAGTGCTCATCTTGCCTGAGTTAAGTCTGCGGCTCAACTATTCTCTAATCACATTATTGAGATTTAATATGTGTGACATATTGGTTCTGAGAAAAGGTGACACCTTATACCATCACTTTCTTCCAATGCCTAGACTTAGAAGAATTAGAAATCTTGATTGTGCCTCATTATCTTGCCCAGTCAGTACTGAAGCTGCTGTTTCTTTTTTCTGAATATAATATCTGCTTTTTGACTGGTTCCAAACTCAAAAATTTGGATAATCATTACTATCTAAATCTGAGCAGAAAATAAATTAATACAGCAAAGTGAAAATAAAATGTTTTCAATTTTTACCGTCTGTACTAATTACATAACCTACTAGTTATGTTTTATATGTTATATCAACTTACAAAGTATGTTGACCTAATACATCTTATTTGAATCAGAGAACACAAATCATATAATGTAGATGGGAACACATTGGTTATTTTATAATCACATGGACAGGAATCCCTGTGGAATAAATCAAGGAAACTAATTTAGGAATAAATATTTACCAGAAGAGAGAGTTATATGCTTTTAGCACACAATACATAAAGACAAGAAAAGCTGCAAAATGAAGTAAAAAGATTTGTTTTTAATTCTGGATTTACATTTTATACTTGTGGGGTATGAGTAATCTGTTCATAAGCTTCATATATAAGATAGGGATAAATAATACCTATCTCACAGGATTTTGATTAGGATTAAATTATATAAGATATGACAAGTGCATAGCATATAGTAAGCATTCCACAAATAATAAAGCAAAACCAGAATAGTTCAAATTACAGGAGTATCCCCTTACCCTTGTGGGATACCTCCCAAGATCCTCAATGGACGCCAGAAATCTCTGATAGTATGGAACCCTGTATATACTATTTTTTTTCCTATACCTGTATAACTATGGAAATTTTAATTTATAAATTAGATACACCATTCTTGTGCTTTGGGGCCATTATTAAGTAAAATAAGGGTTACTTGAACATAAGCACTATGATACTACAATAGTCCTAAGTTTCTAAAGGTTAAGGGTTGTGGATGGCATGGATACATACACTGGACAAATAGATGATTCACAGCCTGGGAAGGATGGAGCAGGACTGTGAGAGATTTCATCATGCTACCCAGAATGGCTGCAATTTAAAACTTATAAATTGTTTATTTCTGGAGTTTTCCATTTAATACTTTTAAACTGAGGTTGACTGCAAGTAACAGAAACTACAGAAAGCAAGACCACAGATAAATGGGGGGACAGTGTACTACAGATCTTGGGAAAAAAAAACAGAAAAGAACTCCTCCAGGACATCACAGAATTCATTGGTGAAATATGTTTATTGCATTTATGGAAATATTTTTCTTTTTCATCAAAATGCTGATTACACTGTGAAGAATGCAAAAAAAGTGCTGTAAAATGTAAAATAAAATCTAATTTACTGTTTTCTACACCTTCATTACCCAAATATTTTATCTATCATTGCAACAAAAATGATGCTTAAAGCAGATTGTCTGTGATCCCTTTTTGTGCATAAACTTGTTCTCTACTAATCCTTGGATATATGTTACTGCATTCTAAGGTCCCTTTGTACATCTTAAAACAAGAGTTTAACCAAGGAGTTAGAGGCTTCATCTATTTGCGTATTTTCCTATTTTCAAGTCTTTGTATATTTCAAGAGAGAGAATAAAATTTTGAATAAAAATGTAACTTCCATAATTGTAATTATTCAAAATGTGTTTAATTTTTCAGATTGTAAAACTCAGAAGTATAATATCCTTGGCACTAAGGTAATGAATTTGAGCATTTCTTGGAACCCAAAAATGTATGCTTGTTGTTTTCTTAGTATGCTTTCATATTTACTGAATAGAACTTTTATTTCTATTTTATAGCAGTAATATGAACTTGGCTCAGTCTTTCAGAAAAATAAGTATAGATAATACATGAAATTACTTCAAATTAAAATTTTATGTTTATGCCAGCGTACAAGTAATTTAATGTGACCTCAACTCTTTTGACATTTTTTATGAGAACAAATATTTCATTGGCTGAACAAAAAGTCACTTCTTGCTATGATTATTAATTCTCTAGGTTTATCTTTCTCAGCCCAAAGAAATACAGATAAAAATACAATAGAATTTTATCATAAAATTATGGTACAATATGAAAATTAAAAGTTCAATTTGATAGTTCTGGAAGAGAATCCTCTAGATGCCATTTATTAGCACTTTGAAATAGGATGTTTTAAATCTTTCTAATGATCAGTATCTTCCTCTTTAAAATGAGAGTTATAATGATATTCACTCTAAAATTTGTATGTTTTAAAAGAGAAATTTCACATAATATTCAGTACATAGTTATTGACTTAGAATAAGCACACATTAATTATATTCCTATATAATATATATGACATTTTTGAAGTTCAAAACTAAAGTTATATTTGGAATACTATAATTACTACAGATGTCAAATCTAAGACATCTTGTAACCTGGCCTCCAGGGATGGTCTAAACTTAAGTGCTCAAACATATTACATTTTTGTGTGAATAAAGTTTGACATCCTGCCATACATTCTGACCAGTTCTGCATGATTCCTTTGATCTATCCAGCACACTCCTACACCATGTAGCTAGCAAATCTAAAAATGGACCTCTAACATTTCCTTGTGCTTACTCATAAAACCATTTGCTTGAACCTTTTTTATACAGTTCATCCTGAATTGTTCCCCACATTCTGAGCTTCTGTCTTCTTGATTTATTTTTTAGTGTCAGTTTTGCCACCCCCACAGTTCTGACATTTAGGTTCATTTTACCACCTATGATGTACTTTCGTCGTGGTCTACAATTTAGAATTCAGTTCCTCTGACTTCAACTACCCTGAGAAAAATCTTCCTAGTCCTTGGGATGATATACTACAATTTATCCCACTAAGAGATATTTCTGCTGAGCTCACCTTAGAATTATGTACCGACATTAGATAAATCCCAATTACTTATATTTTATCAAAATGGCATTCAAAAGCCTAATAAACTATAGCTTGGCTTCTGGGCAGAAATCAGTAAATTATTCTGAACAGCCAATACATTAACAAATACCCAATTTCACTCTGCACTACTCTACCTGGCAGCAACACCCTCTTGCCCACAGTTATTGTCCCACCTGTACGCTAACCTCGGTTTTGGGATTCTTGAAGAGATTACATAATAATTTTTTGCTTGAAGAGATGCTGACCCAGTTTCAAAAATCATTCTTGGTATGGCTTCCTATAATTGACATCTAGATCATTAGAAAGAGTTTATCTTTACCCAGCCTTTCTTTTCTTTGTATCTTGATGTTTATTGCTCGTTCTGTATATTTAAATCTCCTTTTAAGAGGATATATATACACACATATATGTTACATATAATATACATACATACATTATGTATATAATTAATGTGCACTTATTATATTTTAGTATAATTAGTATAATTCTGGAGTAAAAGAAGGATTATTGACTTCCATATCTTGTAAGCAAATCTCGTACCTCTTCCCAGGTACAAACTACAGATCGTAAGTTTTACAGTAATCTATTCACCCCTGAGCCTCTCTATGTCCATCTAGCATGCTTACTTGGAAAGCCACTATCAGCCTGACCTTTCAGATTTATACTACTGACGTAGATACAGTCATGCATCACTTAACAAGAATACATTCTGAGAAATGTGATATCATCATTATATGAACATCACAGAGTGTACTACACAAACCTAGCTGGTACAGCCTACTAAACATGGAGTTTATGTGGCTAGGAGCCTGTTGCTCCTACGCTACAACCCTGTACAGCATGTTACACTGTACTACATGTAAACACTGTGTACTACATGTAAACCCTGTACTACATGTAAACACTGTAGGAATTGTAACATAATAAGCATTTGTTTATATAAATATATCTAATCATAGAAAAGGTACAGTAAACATATGGTATAAAAGAGAAGAAATGGTACACCATTGTAGAGCACTTATCATAATTGAGGCTTGCATGACTGAAAGTTGCTTTGGGTAAATCAGTGAGTGAGTGGTGAATGAATGTGAAGGTCTACAACATTACTGTACATTACTGTAGACCATAAACACTGTGCGCGCTTAGGCTACACTAAATTTATTTTTAAAATTTTCTTCAATGATAAACTAACCTTAGCCTACTATATTTTTATTTTATAATGTTTTTAATTTTTTACCTTTTTGACTCTTTTGTAAGAAGATTTAGCTTAAAACACAGACATGTTACCTGGCTATACACAAATATTCTCTTTATATTTTTATTCTATAACAATTGTTTCATTTTTAAAATTTGTTATTATTATTTTAAGCTTCTTTGTTAATGCTTTTGTTTTTGCATGAACGCATACATTAGGCTAGACCTACATGGGGTCAGGATCATCAATATCACTGTCTTCCACCTCCACATCTTGTCCCCCTGGAACATCTCCAGGGCAAATAACAGACATGGAGCTGTCATCTACAGTAACAATACCTTCTTCTGGAATACCTCTTGAGTGACTTGCCTGACGCTGTTGTGCAGTTAACATGTTTTATGTATATGTAGAAGAAATACACTCTAAAATAAAAATGAAATGTATACTATAGTAAATACATAAACCAGTAACATAGCATGTCATGGGGGTTTGGTGTACAAATTATTTCATCACTCAGGTAATGAGCATAGTACCTGATACATAGCTTCTCCATCCTCATCCTCCTCCTACCCTCCACTCTCAAATAGGCCATAGTATCTATTGTTCCCTTCTTTGTTGCCACCTGTACTCAGTGTTTAGCTCCCACTTATAACAGAATATGCATTATTTGCTTATCTGATTTTGCACTAATTTGCTTAGGATTATGGCCTCCAGCTTTATCCATTTTGCTGCAAGGGCCATGATCTCATTTTTTTATAGTTGCATAATATGTCATGGTGTATATATACCACATTTTCTTTAGCCAGTCTACTACTGATGAGCATTTAGGTTATTTCCATGTCTTTGCTACTCTGAACAGTGCTGCAATGAACATACACATTGCATGTGTCTTTACAATAAAATGATTTATATTCCTTTGGGTATATACCCAATAATGGGGTTTGGGCATCAAATGGTAATTCTGCTTTGAGTTATTTAAGAAATCACTAAACTGCTTTCCACAATGGCTGAACTATTTTACATTCCCACCAGCAGTGTATAAACATTTCCTTTTCAAACCTTGCCAGCATCAGTTATTTTTTGACTGTTTAATAAATAGCCATTCTGACTAGTATCTCATTGTGTTTAAATTTGCATTTCCCTAATGATTAGTGATATTGAGCATATTTTAATATGCTTGTTGGCTCCATATATGTCTTCTTTTGAGAAATGTCTGTGTGTGTCCTTTGCCTATTTTTTAATAGGGTCATTTGTTTTTTGCTTGTTAATTTATTTCAGTTCCTTATAAATTCTGGATGTTAGACCTTTGTCAGATGCATAGTTTGCAAATATTTTATCCCATTCCATAATTTGTCTGTTTACTCTGTTGATAGTTTCTTTTGCTGTGCAGAAGCTCTTTAGGTCCCACTTGTCATTTTTTGTTTTTGTTGCAATTGCTTTTGGAGACTTTGTTACGAAGACTTTGCCTGGGTAACGTCTAGAATGGTATTTCCCAGACTTTCTTCTAAGGCCTTTTATGGTTTTAGGTTTTATGTTTAAGTCTTTAATCCATCTTGAGTTGATTTTTATATATAGTGAGGTGTGAAGGTCCAGTTTCAATCTTCTGCATATGGCTTGATAGTTATCCCAGTACATTTATTCAATACAGTCCTTTCTCCATTGCTTATTTTTGTTGGCTTTGTCAAAGATCAGACAGTTGTAGGTGTGCAGCTTTATTTCTGAGTTCTCTAACTTGTTCCATTGGCATCTATCTATCTATCTATCTATCTATCTATCTATCTATCTAATCTATCTATAGATAGATAGATATATCAGTACCATGCTGTTTTAGTTAACTGTAGCCTTATAGTATAGTTTGAAGTCAAATAATGTGATGCCTCCAGCTTTGTTCATTTTGCTTAGGATTACTTTGGCTATTCAGGCTATTTTGTGGTTCTAAATGAATTTTGGAATGTTTTTTCTAATTCTGTGGAAAATGTTGTTGGTAGTTTGCTAGGAATAGCATTGAATCTATAAATACATTTGGACAGTATGGTCATATTAACAATATTGTTTCTTCCTATCCATAAGCATGGAATGTTTTTTTCATTTGTTGTGCCATTTCTGATTTATTTCATCAGTGTTTTATAATTCTTGCTATAGGGATCTTTCACCTCCCTGTTAACTGTACTTCTACAGATATTATTATTTTTGTGGCTATTGTGAATGGGATTGCATCCTTGATTCAGCTCTCAGGTTTCATATCACTAGTGTATAGAAATGCTACTGATTTTTGTATATTGATTTTGTAACCTGAAACTTTGCTGAAGTTGTTAATCAGAAGAATTTGGTTGGAAGCTATGAGGGGTTTTTTTTTTAGGTATAGTATCATATCATCTATGAAGAGAGATAATTTGACTTCCTGCCTTCCTATTTGGATGCCTTTTATTTTCTGTCTCTTGCCTGACTACTCTGGCTGGGACTTCCAATACTATTTTGAATAGGAGTGGTGATAGTGGGCATCCTCACCTTGTTCCTGTTCTCAAAGGGAATGCTTCCAGCTTTTGCCCGTTCAGTATAATGCTGGCTATGGTTTGTAATAGATGGATTTTACTATTTTGAGGTATGTACCTTTGAAGCTTAATTTGTTGAGGGTTTCTAACATGAAGGGATGCTGAATTTCATCAAAAGCCTTTTCTGTGTCTATTGAGATGATTATGTGGATTTTGCTTTTAGTACTGTTTATGTGATGCATCACATTTATTGATTTGCATATGTTGAACCAACCCGGGAGTAAGTCTGTAGTCATTCATCATTATATACCACACATAAGTGTATGTGCTATACTTTTATATGATTGGCGGTACAGTAGATTTCTTTACATCAGCATCATCACAAACACATGAGTAATGCATTGTGCAATGAGGTTATGATGGTCACAATGTCACTAGGTGATGGAATTTTTTAGTCTCTTATGGGACCACTATCACATATGCTGCCTGTCCTTCATAGAAACATTGTTATGCAGCACACAATTGTACTTTCTTAATCTGAATACTGAGAATGGGTCTGTTTGTGTTATTCTATCTAACTTTACTAACTCCTTGACTTCATAGGCTTTCCATTTAGATTTTTGTCATGTCAGCATATTTCTTACCTAATCAGGGGTTTTAAACTGTCTCTATTACCAACAATCTATAGATGTGCTTGCTTTAACAGATTACTGGGCTTGCTTCTGTCAACCTAAATAACAAACAGAGAGAGGCTCTCCAAAAGAAAAGTTGTTTATTTGGAAATAAACCCTTACAATGGGAATATGCATGCCATAGTAAACGATGTGCACATTCAGGGAGGTAAAGAAAGACAAATGTTTTTAAGGAAAAAAATAAGGAAGGTTACATAATTATTTTGAAATAATTATCCTTGGTTACAGAGATTAATACCAGTCTGAAGTGATGCCAGTCTGAAGTTGGACAGGCAGGTGCTAGGCAGATGTCCTTGTGGAGGTATTCTTTTGTGTAAGGCTGCAATGGCCTTTGTACAAGCTTGTGGTTTTTGTAGTCTTTTGTGATTGTTTTTGTTATCAGGCATGCAAGCATGAGAACCCTCTCTTCATGGCTTTTCCTGGCTCTATCAGGGTTTTCTTAACATTAGTGACACAATTTTGATTTTGCCAACTTATACATTTCTTCACAGATTACCTGATCCTAACATTCATTATCTGTAATACATGATTCATAACTTGAAATTGTTATTTCCATATATAAAACTGGTTAGAAATATTTAACATCAGAACATACCATTTTTTCTTCTTTTGCTTAAAAATCGTATGTTTGTGCATATATATATTATACAATGTATTATATAATATATATTACACACATATATTATACACACATATATGTATATGTTGTGATATGTGTCTGCATATATGTATACACTGGATCATATGTGTGTATATATATACATGTATATATACATGTATGTGTATGTGTGTATATATATGTATATGTATATATATATGTACACACACACATATGATCCAGTTTAAAATCTAATTATTCAATTAGCAATATTGGGAGATAATTTTGTATCTCATGATTAATTTGGTTTCCTTTCTTTGGCACTGAGTCTAAGTGAAATTTTATTTCTTGCTACATGTTCATTATTAAATAAGCTTTATACCTAGAGTGATAAAATTGGTATTGTTTTACAAAGCAGAAAGAAAATTTTTGATGGCCTTTTTTACAGTCTTTTTTCCTTTAAAAATAGTATCATTGTATTTAATTATTAAGTATACACTAAAATTAACTACCAACTAATTTTAATTTTATCTAAATTACTTGAATGTTTCTTTAAAATCTTCTAGGCAGAAAGGTAGTAGATATATTCCCTACTTGAAGTTATTGGATAACTTTCAAACTGTATTTGTACAATTTTTTCTGTATTAGTCAAAGCCATTTACTGCTGCAGCCTGTAATCAAAGCTCAACGTACTTAGAAAGACAGCTATAACTACATTATTTCTCTTAAAGCAGGGATGGCTATTGTAAAGAAAAATCTGACCTGCAGAATTCATGTAGAGAGCCTTTGCATTTGATTGCACATTGGTAAAACAATAAAATCATCTTTCTGCCACCAGTAACTTCAAGAAAAAGATAACTCGGTGGGTATATTTTATGCAATATGACAACTTCGAAATCAATGAAGACTTCGTAATTCAAAAAATAGAATAAAGAGATAATATTAAATTATATAGTTATTCAGCGATGGCTGTTACAGTTACAGATTCTTCTTACTGCTAAAGATGAAATGAAAGAAAGCCCAAATCCTGCAAATGCATTTTTTTGACTTTTGGAGATGATTATATTAAATTTGAAACACATGAAGCAAAGTGGACTTTATGCAATAGATGAGGTATTTTTATCCAGAAGTAGTTTGTTTAATCGTTTTTTAAAGTTCATAATTGGGTAACATTAGCTTAATGTACAGAAAAGAAAATCTCCCAGTGTACTTATTATTTATTTCATACGAAATAGCAAATGACCATTTCACACAATTGATTCATTGACACTATATCAATAAGGCATCAGCTCTGTCACATTATTTATGTTGCAGTTAATAACTACAACAATGTGGATTTGCATATAGCACATTGGCAATAATACAGATAAATTCAATTTTGCGATATTTCAAGCAGTTTTAAACTATAAATACTAAACATTTTAATCAAATACATACAGAAATTCTGAAAGATTAGGAAAAAAATACCTAATAGAGCAGTTATTAAGCCTAGTAGAATTGTAGCTATCTGAAAGTCACCATTACATACCGTTAATCCCCAAATTCCTAAACACATACACACACATGCATACACAGCATAATAACCTGCAGAATCAGAGTCATGTTTATTACTTCCTACATGAAGAAAGAGCACTCACTTCACAGGATCTTACTAGTGTCCCAACAGAGAGAGGTGAGGTGAAAATTTTATGAGGTCTTTGGTTGTAGGATTGAGAGGCTTAAGGTAGGTGTTTCCATATAGGAAATCTGAACATGATTGGGCAAATTTTATAATATTTTTCAGATTGGTAGACACCAGAAGTTTAAGGTCTTGGAGGAAACCTGGATAAGTAAAGAACTGTTTAATAAGCAAATACTTCACTCAGTTTAGTAAATCAGTGCCCTGATAAAAAGGCTAAGTGATCAATCTATTTAAAAAAATTCAATTTTGGAAAATTGCTTTCATATACAATGAAGTTATTGACAGGTTTAGAGCAGTATCTTCCTCAGTAAAAAATTTTCTGGAGAAAATAATAATGTAATGATGATATAGGTAATCTCAGTTCTTAGTACTGACTGTTAAGCTACGTTGATGCAGGAATGTCTCTTTCACAGTCACCCCTTTTGGGCATTATTTAGGGGGAACTGGAAAATAAACCATTATGACACTGTCAAGAACTATAAAAGGTCTGGGATTTGGACATATTTACAATCTAGCAAGTTAGCCTATTACGGTTTCATAGATAGTGGCAGAAGAAGTAAGATTCCTGGGTCAGAGGCAAAGGACTTCATTACTCATGCAAAATGCAGCAACTAGAGCAGTTCCACATGCCTTCCAAGGCCTATGGAGGGGTGGCAGGTAGGAGGTCAACACAGGATGGACAATGGACAGATGGTGTCCATTTGGGTAACTGCATTACCTGAGAACAACACTGAATTTGGGAGGTTTTACTACTTTTGTAGCAAGGGAAAGAAAGTTTGCTCCTTTAATAATCCATCCTTCAGCCTAGCATGGTTTCAACCAAACTCAAATTTTCATTTGAGTGTGGAGCTTTGTTGATCACTTCGAGTAATGTAACCAAAAGAGGATTGGACCAAATCCATTTAATTTTTCTCATACAGTATTTAATTAAAGACAATATTAATATAAGTAGCATCAAGAGACCAACTTGCAGCATTGACCTCCAGCACTCCCCAGTGTTCCAGATTCAGCCAACTATAAATAAGTCCCGGGGGGAACCAGTAGGTCACTTTTCAGAAAGGAAAAAAGTCTAAGGCAAGGCTATAATTCATTACAACTTTGTTTAATCTTCTTTAATTCATGGGCTAAGAAAAGATCATTCAGACTTTTCTGTCAAGTACAACTTCATTTTCAAATTCAATTGAATGTCTGTATAAGTGTTTTCAGGATTATTATTTAAAAATCGCTGAGATAAAATGTAGAATATATTTTCCAAGATGTATTACTAACATAAGTCAAATTTAGATATCTGTATGTCTGATGTAATTTATTAGTTTATAGGGCACAAAACAAAATAATGCTGCCTCTGATAATGTATGACAATAAATAAAAAGAGTAACTAAAGCTATAATTTTAAAATTTAGAATTATGATAGAGGACAGTATTCTTTGGTAAACCTATGTGTATGTACCTGACTCTGGTGTTTGTATTTGGCTGATAATTAATTATGAAAAAAATATGTAGAGAGCATAAATAATCACTTTAATTTTATTAAATAAACAACTGTCTTTATCACTCTAATGACAAAAGATATATAATGATACCAATTAATTAATCTAGAATTTAGTATGTATTTAAACCTTTTAAAAGATGAGCTAATGTGAGAACTGGAATTTCTCGTTAAGATCAATTGCTGGAATATTACTGCGTTCCTTTGGAGGTGTCATATTTCCTTGCTTTTTCATGTTTTCCGTGTCGTTATGTTGATCTCTGCACAACTGGTGTAACAGTTGTTTCTTCCTGTTTTTGAATTTACTTTTGTTGGCGGGGGGGTTCCTTTTTACTGCGGATGCATCTGTGGTGTTGGTTGGGTAAAACCCTTTGGCTTTGCTTCTGGGTACATGGAACAGTGAAGCTTCCAGTGATTTCTCTGGCCATAAACAACGTTAGTGGTATCTGTGGTTTCCTCATGGTGTTAGGGTATGGTTATTAGTGGAGGCTGTGGTGATGTTGTACTGGGGACTGGAATGCCAAATGGGCCCATCTTCAGGCTTCAGTGGTAGTGACGGTGGGTTAAATGTGTCTATCCTTCTGTCCCGGGGAGGCATACACTGGCACTTGTGTTGGTGGTTTGTTGGAATTAATATTTTATAATATAGTTAGAGTCACTAGATTTATCTACATTTAAAAATTATGCACATATAATCTGAAAGAGAACAAGTATTTTTTTATCTGCAGGTTTTTTTCAGTATGTCATGAAAAATACAATAGTCTCCCCCAAATTTCAGTTACATTCTGAAATAATCTGTTAACGAATACTGTCTTAGGAAGTTTTAGAAGCAAATTTCAGGATTTATGCTCTCTGCCTTTTTCTAAAATAACTGTCACTCACGAACAATGCGTTATCTGAATGGGAGTATGAAAGGGCAAAGAGACTAATAATATTCCACCTCTCCACCATACAATCTGAAATCAGAACATTCCAATAAGGCCAGACTATGTTGTGGCAAGGCTCATACTTCCTCTGTAACTGAAATTTTATAAGACAGAGCAATAAAAGTTGCATCCCATTTTATGGAATTTTGAATAATCTTATTAACAATCTGATATAGCTATTGTATAGTTTTATTGACAATATGTATAATGTTAATAGTATTGATTTTTTCACTGAACTTTTTATCTGATAATTTGAAATACTTGATAAACTTATATACAATAAGATGATTAAATACCATTATGCTAAATGTGGTGGGTAGGGAAATCAAGTAATTTATTAGTTTGATAAACTTGATCCTCACTATAATGATTTCTCAAAATAATTTTTATGTGTTCAGTTGTAACAAATCACAGAATAAAGAAATAATCAGCCCTAACAGTTGCAGATCCTCCAACATATTTGTCAAATGGTTAGTCCCTAATTACATCACATGATATTATTTTTTTCCTTGGTTTCAGCTCACATACTAGTAGCATAGATAAAATTTTTGCCACATATATATTTCAATAATGTTTTTAATTAAATATGCTATTAATAGTAGTGCATTTTCAGATCATAAATGATGTAAAGTGGTTAATTTCATACCCTTATATTTGCATTTAGTTTTAAATTACAGATTAGACATTGTGAATTTTTCTTAAGTTCAAAATGATAACCCATATAAGATAGGATTGATGTCATTTTTGTATACCCTCTGGCGTTTCTTTATTACAATGTCTGTAATACAAAATGTATGTCTCTGTGTCTTTCTCTTCACTAGCTGAACTTTATTTTAAATATTTTCTCTGAAATTGCTGCTACTTTGAGTTTAACATTCCACTGACAAATGATCAAAATATAAAAATGCATATACTCACCTACATTAGGAAGAAATTATCTTCTATAGACTCTTAGCATAGGAATCCAAATGAAAATACAACAAAAGTTAGTTTCCTAAAAATTCTAGTAACCTGAGAGATAAATTTATAACTTGGCAGGGAGCTCAAAATGGGCAATATACCTTTTGTTCCGAAATGAGATCTCTAACTGCATTGCCAAGTTTTGAGTCAGATAGCTATATTTTTATGATTTTCACAGTACTATATGCATTTTCTATAGATCTTTCTTTTTGCTTCATGCACCGTAAGAATTGATAGTGCTTCTGGCTCTGATTACTTATCTTCTTTTTCACACTCAAGCTATACAATGTTTAAGAGTAGTAGGAAATATTTTATCTCTTACATAATAGGGAGAACAATGTGGTAACCTTCATTTGTTCCCTGCCAAACTGTTCCTCCACTCAGCCGCAGATCTGCACCACTAGTGCAGGAATAGCTCACCCAACTGCACTCACTTAAATTTTCCCCTAGTAGACATCATTGCCTCCTGGTTTTACACCTACATCACTGGTTATTTTCTCTCAGTATCCTTTTCCAATCACTTATAAAGCACTGTTTCAGGTCATTACTTTAATTGGTTTGGTTACTATTTTTATGCATTCTTTTCTTTGTTTTTTTTTTTTTTGGAGACGGAGTCTCACTCTGTCACCCAGGCTGGAGTGCAATGGTGCGATCTCGGCTAATTGCAACCTCTGCCTCCCAGGTTCAAGTGATTCTCCTTTCTCAGCCTCCTGAGTAGCTGGGACTACAGGCGTGTGCCACAATGCCCTGCTAATTTTTTTTTTTTTTTTTTACTAGAGACGGCGTTTCACCGTGTTGGCCAGGCTGGTCTCGAACTCCTGACCTCAGGTGATCCACCCACAATGGCCTCCCAAAGTGCTGGGATTGCAGGTGTGAGCCATCATGCCTGGTTAACAATTAATTTTTCTATGTATCCTTTGGTCCCTAAGTAAATCTTATTCATTTATTTTTTACATTCATCCAGCAATAATTCATTCATTATTATTTTATTTATTCACACTTTTTGTTACTCAGTGGTAATGGAAATTAATGGATAAAAAAATCTAAGAGTATATCAAACATACCAAGAGTGAAAAAAAAGTGATTTTATGACATTTTTAGTTTCTATTAGTTTAGTATCATTTTTATGATGAAAATCAGAAATGAAAACAAGAGCATTGTAGGAGTTTGTATAAATTTCAGAGAGTTGGGTGAGAAAATGAATTAGTTTGATTTTAGAAAACATAAACAAATGCATAATTATTTACAATTTAATCAAAAACATAATGAAGAATATTTCCCAAAGTAAATTTATCATTTGAAAAAGTGACCAAGTGATGTTATGGAAGACGGTGGAGTAGGAGGATCAGGAATGAGTTTCTTCACTGAAATAACTGAAGAGCTGACAAGAAATGTCAGATTTGACTATTTCAGAACTCTGGAATCTAGGCCAACACTTTCAGTGTCCAGAGAAGTGCTTGATTAAAAAAAACAACATGCAGATAAATTTCACCAAGTATTGACGATTCACATAACATATACAGTGCCCTTCTTTGGCCCCATAGAGGCTGGCTATTGTTTCAACCCCATCATTTTGAAGCAGCTTCTTGGGCAGTGTTCATTGAAATAATTTAAAGAGACAGAATACTTTTTATTTCTTCTACATTCAAGCACTTGAGGACATTCCAGTCATGTCACGGGCTGACTGTAGAGAAAATGGAACATATGACAAGGAATGTAATCCTTGGAAAAGAAGTTTGGAAAAATCACTAAACAAATGGATGACTGTGGCCCTCAACAAGCAGCAACAACAATACCTGGGGAGAAGAGAGAATTTTATTTACAGAGTTATCACATTACAACATTACAAATGTATAGCTCTCAACAAATATTATAAAGAATACAGAGAAATACAAAAGTATGAATCATTCACATTTCAAAAGAAATCAACAGAAACTGTCTCTGATGAAGCGCAGAAACTGGACTTACTAGAAAAGACTAACTGCTTTCAGTATGCTGAAAACACTAACAAATAAAAAAGACAATCAAGATGATGTCTAGGAACATGTAAAGATTATTAATCAGATTACAAATTACAGGAAGAACCAAATAGAAATTCTGGTGCTTAAAATTCAAATATTAAAATAAAAATTCACTGGAGAGATGCAACAGTAGATTTGTGCAGCCAGAATAAATAATTAGGGTACTTGAAGAGAGGTCTATTGAAATTAACCAGTCTGAAGAATAGAAGGAAAGAAATAGACAAAAATGAGCAGAGGCTAAGGGAATTATGGGATATCATATAGCATACCAACATACTAATTATGGTAGTTTCCAAAAGAAGAAAGGAAGAAAAATAGTCAAAAAATGTTTTTAAAATGGCGAAATGTCCTAAATTTAATAAAACATATGCAACTACATATCCAAGAATTTCTATAAATTCTAAGCAGATGAAGTCAGAGATCCACACCAAAAATAATCATAAACAATCTGTTGAAAGCCAGACAAAATAATATTGAAAGTCGTAAAAAAGAAGTGACTCATAGGGTACAGAGAATCCTCAGAAAGATTAGAAGACACTTTCTCATCAAACAAACAAATATATTGTCATTCAAGAATTAAATATCCAGCAAAACTATTCTTCAAAGATAAAAGAGAAATTAAAACATCCAAGATCAATAAAAGCTAAAGGAACAAGTTCCTAATACACCTGACCTATAGTAAATGCTGAAAAGAGTCCTTCAGGTGGAAAATCAATGAACATTAGTAGATAATTCAAATCCAAAACAAAAAAAATCTGATAAATCTATAAAAACTAGTGTGATTATGTTTTTTTGGTATCTCCTGTTTTTGTTTTAATTATTACAAATAATATTATACAAAATATGTTAAACAAACATTAAATAAAACAATAGTAACTCCTGTTTTGGCATTAATTATCACAAATATACAAAATATATTAAACAAATATAATAATATGAAACAAAACAATAATATTAAACAGTTGATTAATCAGGTAAATATGTGGGTGTAGAACATGACTGTCTATACTCTCTGGGTTTTTATCTTTTCCCTTTGATTTATATGTCTATCATTGATCTAATGCCACACATTCTTCATTCTAGAAAGTAAATGTTGAACTTGGGTAATGCAAGTCTCTCAAATTTATTTTTCAAAATTGTTTCAGATATTCTAACTCCTTTATATTTATATATAAATTTTAGGTTCAGCCTGTCAATTTTGACAAAAATTGCTTACTGGAATTTTGATTGTGAATACATTAAATAAGTTAATTTTTGGAGAATGTACACATTATATCACTTATATTTAGGTCCATTTTTATCTCTGTGACAGTTTTTTTGAGACAGCATCTTGTTAAGTTGCCCAGAATGCTGAACTCAAACTCCTGAGCTCAAGGGATCCTCTCACCTCATCTTCCCAAGCAGCTGGGACTACAGGAATGCCCCACTGCAGCCAGCTCTATTTTGCGGTTGAAATTTAAATATGTGGCATGTATTCCTTTAAATTTATGTTAAGTAATTTTATATTTTTATGTAATTTTAAGGGTAAAAATTTTAAACTTTAACAGTTGTTCATTTCCAGAAAACAGAAGTACAATTTATTTTTGTATACTGACCTATATTCTATGACCTTTTCAAATTCACTTACTTTTTGAAAATTGCATAATATTATCTGCTAAACTGATCACATTGTCTTTGAGTGAAGTCAGTTTTATTTCTTTTTTTCCAATCTGTTTCTTTGATATATTTTCTGGCCCTATTGCACTGAATAATACCACTGTAAAGCACTGAATAGAAGTAATGAGAGTGAACATTCTTGATTTTTCGTAATGTTCATGGAAATCATTCTTTCACTATACAAATATAATTTAACTCTAGATTTTTTTATAAATGGTTCTTATCAAAACGAAGAAGTTCTCTACCATTCTTGGGTTGCAACAATTTCTAACATAGTGGTTGTTGAAATTTCCAAAATGCTGTATCTACATCTACTGAGATAATTTCATGTTATTCTTCAAAATATAAATATGGTCCTTTATAATGATTAATCTTCAAATATTCACCAACCTTACATACAGTAGGATAGAGCCACTTGGTCATGATGTATCAGCTACTATATCTATTGCTAGAATATTTTCTCATATTGGGCTAGAAAATTTTAAGTTTATGTAATGAATGTGATACTTTTTTTACTTTTATATTTTTATAATGTGTTTAGTTTTAATAGCACTGGTTTTATAAAATTAGTTGTGTGACATCTCATCTTCATTTTTAGAAGAGTATTATGTAATTTCTATTATTTCTTCATTAAATATTTGGTAGAATTCATTAGGAAAGGCATCTTTGTCTTGATCTTTGTGAGAGTGTAATAAAGACTCATTTTCTGTAATAGATTTAGAGCTAATTAGGCAATTATTTTTGTAAGTGAGATTTGATGGTTTGTGTCTCACAAGAAATATGTCCATTTCAACTCAGCTGTTTAATGGGTTGACATTCCAATGTCAGTAATACATGTAATGTGTGCTTTCTTATGTTTTTTGAAAAATCAGCCCAAAGGTTTACAATTTTATTAATCTTAAAAAAACCCTACCATTGCTATATTTTCTCTATCCTTTCTTCATTTTCTAATTCATTGACTTCTGATTTTATATTTATTTTCTTTGTCCTTCTTATATCAATTTATTATTTTTAATGTGGAACCTTACATCATTAATTGAAGACTTTTCTTCCCTTACAACATAAGCATATAATGATACATATATTTTTAGGATTGTTTTAGTGATACCACACAAATTTTCACTAAGATGTTTCCATTTTTCCATTAAAATAATTTATAAATTTCTTTATAACTTTCTATTTAACCTATCAGTTGTTTGAAAGTATGTGTTATATTTCCAAATATTTGGCAGTTTTCCTGTATCTTTCTGTTATTAACTTCTACTTTAATTTTGTCATGGTCTAAGAATATATTTTGTACGTTTTTATTTGGTGAAATAATACATCATTGACTGATTTCAATTATTTAAGTTTGTTTTATTTTGTTTTGTTTTATGTTTATTAGCTCTTCTCATATAAGCCTAAACATATGAACATAAACGATACAATTTAAAAGATTAAAAATATCCTACAGATCTAAATATGGTGATTTTGCCTTCTGCTTACATATGTTAAGTTTTGAAAACTCACACAAATAATAGCTCCCTGATATATACTTAGATTCCTTGTCACTCCCTGCTGTGTTTGTATAAATCTTCTTTGAGCTTCGAGATGTTCTGTAGCAGTATATAATACGCTCCGTGAGAGACAACCTGGTGATGTATGATATGCATGGGTGACTCTCCTAAGAAGTATAATAGGCCTGTTGAAGCCAAATTCCTCTTTGAGGGAAGACTGTATGATTAACTGGTGTATACAGTGGTGGAATAGTTGTTATTGAGTTATCTCTTTCCAGAACATTGTATGTGTGGTTGTCATAGAAAATGACCTAAGAGGCTCATGGTTACCCAAGCAATTGTCGTTTTATTCACACATCTTGAAAAGCTAAGTCCAAAACATAATAAACATAACATAATCAACATTCTCTTCCTTTGATTTGCTCTTTTTTTCTCTTCCTCTCTCTGTTCTATGTTCTCCTCTCTTATTTTAGACAAGACTCACAAAATTAACGATCGTTACATGAAAAGAATAAAAGGTTTGAGTTACTTCTTTATAATGAGATATACATTTGGAATCATAGTAATTTAATTAAGATTTCTAGTATAAAATTAATGCAAATTTAATATAAAGATTACATTTAGGAAACATAACATGTGCCCAGAACATTGCACTTGGTATACAGCATTTAATATGTCACTCTTGTTTTTCTTCTACAAGAGACACAAAGAATGTTTTCTTATTTATCTGTTGGTATACTCTGAATCATTACACTTCTTCTTAGAAACAGTCAACAAAAGTCATACCATGATGAGATCTGGATGTAAATCAAGATCTGTTTTTAAGACTCGCAAAATTAATAAACTTTTTATGAAAAGAGTAAAAAGTTTGAGTTACTTCTTTATAATGAGATATACATTTGGAAGCATAGTAGTTGAATTAAATTTCTAACACAAAAAAGAATGTAATGAAGCACAGGGTCCATGATAAAAAATAAAACATGCTTAATAATAAATGGAACTCAGAAGAACATAATACACTCATTTTTAAATATATCTAGTCTTAAAAAATAGATAATCAGAAGACAGTAAAATATTTTAAGCAAAGAGTAATTTGGTTAGATTTATAATCTGAAATATAATAACAAAAATAAGGTAGTAACCACAATAACCACTTAATTCTGACAGTGGTGGGTGATGGTTAGGAATGAACAGAATATTATGAAGGGACTGTCAATAGGCCGTTTCACTGAGTCAATATAAAAGATACAGAGAAATTTAACCAAAACAGTTGAGAGAATGAATAAGAGGAAACAAATTTGTGAAATATGTGGGCAATATAATAGAGACAACTTTGCCAAATAGATGAATAGATGGAATCTTGAGGACATTACGCTAAGTGAAATAAGCCAATCACAAAAAGACAAATATCTATGATTTCACTTATATGTGTCTCCTAGTGTAGTCAAATTAATAGAGACAGAAAAGTAGAATGGTGGTTGCCAGAGATTAAGGGACAGTGGAATATGGAGTTAGTGTTCAATGGGTATAGTTTCAGTTTTGTAAGGCGAAAAGAGTTCTGGAGATGAATGATGGGAATGGTTACACAACTATATGAATGTATGTAATACTACTGAGCTGTACATTTAAAAGTAGTTATGTGTATTTTACCACAATAAAAATATTTTATTAAAAAGAAAACATTAGAATATATTAGAAATACTTTATATAAAACAGTATGTCTGTGGCCGGGCGCGGTGGCTCACGCCTGTAATCCTAGCACTTTGGGAGGCCGAGGCAGGTGGATCACAAGTTCAGGAGTTCGAGACCAACCTGGCCAGTATGGTGAAACCCCATCTTTACTAAAAATACAAAAAAAAAAAAAAAAAATTAGCCGGGCATGGTGATGCATGCCTGTAATCCCAGCTACTCGTGAAGCTGAGGCAGGAGAATCGCTTGAACCCTGGAGGCGGAGATTGCAGTGAGCTGAGATCGAGCCACCGCACTCCAGCCTTGGCAACAGAGTGAGACTCCGTCTCAAAAAAAGAAAAAAAAAAAAAAAGTATGTCTAAAAATTAAAAAAAAAAACTGTTAAATCAATCAACAAATATTTATTGAATGCCAAGTGGTGTAGTTCCAAAGAACAGAAGTACATTTTTTCCCCAAGACAATACATAAGAACATTATGACACAAAGAGAGACAAAGAGAGGAAGATGGAAAAGGTATTTCTTCATAGATGATTTGATCTCCTTGAAATACAAGATGAAATTATTTCTTAGGCTTAGGACAGGAGAGATGTAGTTTTCAGAATAGTTGATAATTATGTACAACAATGAGAAAGGAACTTAGGCATAGAAAAGTTTATAAATCAAATGTGACTACTTATATAATTTAATACATTTTATAAATATAATTATGGAATGAACAGACCATAATGTTAAAACCATCAATAAGCAAACTGCATTATATCTCTTTTAGGGGACTAAAAAAAAAAAGATTTAAAATGAGCAATTCTTGGGCTCTGTCTAGAAAAGACTTATTAGAAGATATAAATTTAAAAGGTTTCATGATACTTTCCATTTGTGAAAAGCAGAAAGCAAAGAAAAATTGTTACAGAAAAGAACAATATACGAGAGGTAAATGGAGCCCTAAAATGTTACTGGAACACAGAATGAGTTATGCGACCCTAATATTTCAGAGTCAGAAACTGGAGAAAACTATAAACAGGGAAAGAAGCAGACTCTTCCAGCATCACTTGCTGATAGCAGCAGAGTAAGTAAACTCATATCAGCTGGGCCGAGCATTTTAACACAGAATTTAACAAGTTCTGCCAATATATTTGTCTCATCTGTCACTCAGGTATCAGGAAAGAAAAGGATGATTGAGCTTGAGGACTTTGGTTTTTAAATGGGTAAAATGTGGTAAAAACAAATCAGGATGAATGTTATGGGGACTGTCATGGTTAATTTAACATGTCAACTTGTTTGGGCCATAGTACACAGTATTAGTCAAATACCAGTCTAGATATTGCTGTGAAGGTAATTTTTAGGACGTAATTAACATGTAAATCAGTAGACTTTATAGCCTAGCTGATTACTCATCACAATGTGGGTGGACCCCATCCAATCAATTGAAGGCGTAAGAGAAAGGACTGAAGTTCCTTGAAGAAGAAGGAATATGCTTCCAGATAGCCTTCAACTAGAGAAAGTAACAATAACTTTTCCCTCGGTCTCTAGCTTGCTAGTATCCAAATCCTTTAAAATAAATCTCTGTGTGTGTGTGTGTGTGTGTGTTTGTGTAAATATAAATATATTAAATAAGTCAATATGTATGTGTGTATATATAGGCATAAATGTATATATATAAACACATCCTATTGGCTATTTCTTTAATGCAGAAACCCAGAGTAATAACCCAAATGATGATGTAAAATTCTAATATAAAACTAAGAGATTAAATTTTGAGTCAGTGAGAAAGATAAACGCTAGTCCTAATAATGAAATGTCGTTAATTAACTTACGTAAAACAATATTTGCCAATACTTCTCTCATGAGATATTGTTTAAACAAATAAACAAAAGACAATAAAAAAGAAAAAAGAGCAACAGTATCTAGTAAATTGAAAAAATGTTGCATTGAATAGCTTTCACATCAGATTTATAATATTTATATTATTTGATTCACATCAAATAATGTGTCAGAAATCTTTCAGTAAAGGCAATTGTTTAGCTTTATTTAACCCTTTCAGTAAACACTATTGTTTGGACATTATTTGTCCTAGGATTTCACAAGTTCATTTGACTATCAAATCCTGAATGGAGTGTATGTTTAGTAAATGCTTATATGAAGCTTTGAATAGGACTAAGAAGAAAAGAAGAGCATATTAGCCTGTGCTAACAGAATTCCACAGACAGGGTGGCTTAAAAATCAAAGTACTGACAGAGTTGTTTTCTTCAAAATCCTCTCTCCCTGGCTTGCAGACCACACTGCTTTTTCTTTGTGCACATGCATTGCTGGTGTCTCTTCCTATTCTTAAGGACACTTGTTCTATTGAATTAGAACCTTGCCCTTATGACCACATTCAACCTTAATTACCTACTTAAAAGCCCTCTCTCCAAATATAGTCATGTTGTGGGTAAAGAGTTAAACCTATAAATTTGAAGGGACAAAATTCAGTCCATAACAGTGATTTCTTTTCCCTCTTAATGTGGTTGCTTATATTGGTAAGACTGATGGATTTTATCTGGCCAGCTTGTAAGCATGATACCTTTTTTCATCTAATTAAACTGACATGCTGAAACATTATACCAATCCTTGAGAAATATGAAATGCCAATTTAACCATCAATAAATACAATATGTTCCAAGAAAGTTAAATGCTTGCTTACACATCACAGTGCAATCTCTTAATCTATCACTTTTCTGAGTGTTATTTTTTACTTTCTGTACTTATAATGGACCAGTTAAAATATGTTTTGCACTTCATAAGGTAATATGACAGTTCGATCGTGTTTTTTTTTTTCCTTTTTGTTTGTTTGTTCATTTGGTTTTGTTTGTTTTAGAAAACTCACACCAGAGGCCAGCATTCCCAGGGATCGCAGGATGGCATGGATTCCTGAAGGACCCAAGAGTTTCTCTCCTCTACTGGAGAACGTGTCCAAATTGTAGCCCATTCCAGAAATTGATTACATTTTTATGAGAAGTTTCTGTCAAGCTGAGGGCCCAGGAGTTCATATCATCTTCAGGATGTTTAGCATGGCCAGGTGAATTCAATTTTTCAGAAACAGAATTTAAAGGATTATGCAAACGATGCAATTCCATTGCATCATAAGCCCCAGAGGCTTATCTGTGTTATACAAAAGATTTAAAGATTTAAACAATTATGTTCACTTACTGATTCCAGCAATTATTAAAACAGAACTTTTTCCAAAGTGGTTCCAGGATGAGCATTATCAGCATCACCTGGGAACTTGTTAGAGATGCAAATTCTTGGAACTCACCACCAGTCCTCCTGAATCAGAAACTCTGGAAGTAGGGTTCAGCAATCTGTGTCTTACCAATCTGTCCAGGTAATTCTAATAAATAAAGTGTTTCCTAAATGCTTCTTCCTTTTATCTGAGTTTCAGTTGGAGTTGTATTTTATAGTGAAAGTAGAAGTGCTCAATGAAAGGAACCCTTTAATTTCTTTTCTTTTTTTTTTCTAATGGAGTATTTCTGAAAATATACTCCAAAGGAAAATCAAAGCAACCAATTCTGTGAAGGCATGTTAAAAAACATGCACAAAGTTCCTAAAATGCTGCTAAAAAAAAACAAGAAAACAAAACAAAACAAAACAAAAAACCCATGCTTTTCTAGTCCAGTATGTCTTAAACATATTGGACCTAAGAGCCTTTTTTTCCCCCAACAAGTTACATCCACTAACTTTTTAAAGGTCAAGTGTTTCCTTTCGGGGATCATCTCTACTTCTTCCTTTGTGTGCCATCCCCCTGAGCTAGTCAGTCAAGAGTGAACAAAGAAGTTCACTTGACAACCTAAACCTATCAGACTGTTGTCTTGGTAATTTGCCTCTTGAGCTAAGACAAGAATATAAATTAATTATAGCTGATTCACTCCTTTACTCATATTGTGTCACAAAATAACCAAAAGTATTATAAAATAAAATATTGTATCACTTTTAATTATCAAATTATAAGACTTTCTCTTGAGCAGACTAAATTATAGATTATAAGAGCATTTCCTAAGTTATTATAGATACCCAGAAACTGTCTCCTGCTCTTCCTGGGATCTGATTGTTAAGCTTCTCTTCTGATTTATAAACACACAATAAGGAAATTAAATAGTTCAGTAAGAAAAAAAAATGCTGGCCTCTGGTGTGAGTTTTCTAAAACAAACAAAACCAAATGAACAAACAAACAAAAAGGAAAAAAAATTAGTGTACAAAGGACTTGAAAAGACACTTCTCAAAAGGAGACATACAGATGGCCAAGAAAC
The DNA here is from genome assembly GCF_000001405.40 of Homo sapiens. Lineage (NCBI taxonomy): Eukaryota > Metazoa > Chordata > Mammalia > Primates > Hominidae > Homo > Homo sapiens. The sequence goes on from NC_000002.12 coordinate 184,325,771, forward strand.
ATGAAAAAATGCTCAACATCATTAATCACTAGAGAAATACAAATCAAAACCACAATGAGATACCATCTCACACCAGTCAGAATGGCAATTATTAAAACGTCAAAAAACAAGAGATGCTAGTGGGGCTGCAGAATAAAGGGAATGCTTATACACTGCCCGTGGGAATGTAAATTAGTTCAGCCACTGTGGAAATCGTTAGGAGATTTTTCAAAGAACTTAGAACTACCATTTGATATGGGTTTGATACCCCAAATATATAAGGAATTTCTACAACTTAATAGAAAAAAAGGCCAGAAAACAAATTGCCTGATTAAATATGGACAAAATATTTAAATAGACATTTCTCCAAAAAAGACATATGAATGGCCAGTAGGTATATGAAAAATATGCTCAACATAACTAATCATCGGGAGAATGCAAATCAAAACCACAATGAGGTATCAACTCACATCTATTAGCATGGCCAGATGGCCAGATGGCTGTTATTAAAAAAAATGAAGTAAGTGTTGGCGAGGATATAGAGAAATTAAAACCCTTATGTGCTATTGGGGAGAATGTAAAATGGTGAAGCTATTGTGGAAAACAGTACAAAGGTTCCTCAGAAAGTTAAAAATAGAACTACCATATGATCCAGCAATCCCACTTCTGAATATTTATCCAAAAGAATTGAAGCCAGTGTCATTAAGAAGTATTTGCTCTCCCACATTCATTGCAGCATTATTCACAATATCAAAGAGGTAGAAACAACACAAATATTCATCAATGGCTGAATGGCTTTGGAAAATGTGGCATCTACATACAATAGAATATTATTTGACTTAAAAAATAAGGAATCCTGTTATACACTGTATCATTGAAGACCCTTAAGGACATTATGTTAAATGAAATAAGCTACTTGTGGAAGAACAAATTCTGCAGTATTCTACTTATTGAGGTATCTAAAATCATTCAGCTAAATAGACACACAGAAAGTCGAATGTTAGTTGCCACTGGCTGGGAGATGGAGGAGGAAATGTGTAGCTGCTGTTCAATGGATATAGAGTTTTAGTCACAAAAGATGAAAAAGTTCTACAGATCTACTGTACCACATTACTATAAAATTGCTTATAGTTAACAATATGTTACTGTACACTTAAAAATATTCGTTAAAAGGGCAGATCTCAAATGTGCTTTTTATCACCATAACAAAAAGTCTTACTATGAGTAGTTAAAATGGTAAGATTGATTATACATTTGTTATTAATTTGTTCCTTTTGTTATTTTTATTTTTTGTGCTGAAAGAATTTGTAATGAGTAGACTTGCAATACAGAAAAATAAAATTGTTAAAGGATGTTCTTCAGTGAAGGAAAATGACAACATAAGGAAAATTAGACCAACCCAAAAAAGACACCAGAAATAGTAAATATGTGAATAAGTATAAAAATAATTTTCTCATTATTTTCTTAAAGATAATAACTTTTATAAAATGATACAAATATATTGGAATTTTTATAACATTTGTGGAAGTAAAATTTCTTAAAACATTGTACATTGTATAAGTACACAAATTAGCATTGCACACGTGGCTTGTAATTGTTTTTGCAAAGATCGCTAGTAGTTCGTTCTAATTAGAGAGTGAACCACTTGGGAGAAATGAGTATGCTTTTCATCATGTAATTTCAGCATTTAATATATATTATTGTCTTAATGTTTGCATTTATTTACTTACAAATTGTCATAAAATTGTGTATATAGTATACAACATGATATTTTAAGTATATATATATATATATATATAGTGGAATGGCTAAATCTAGCTAATTAACGTATGTACCATCTCACAGTTACCATTTTTGTGCTAAGAACATTTAACAGGCACTGCTTTTCAAGAATACACTATATTGTTAATAACTATGTTACCACATTGTACAATGGATCTCTTGAACTTATTCTTCCTAACTGAAATTTTGTAGCCTTTGACCAACATCTCTTGGTTGTGGGGTGGGGGGTAGGGGGTAGGGGGTAGGGGGTGAGGGGTGGTGGGGAGGCTCAGGCATGGCGGGCTGCAGGTCTCGAGCCCTGCCCCGTGGGGAGGCAGCTAAGGCCCGGCGAGAAATCAAGCACAGCAGCTGCTGGCCCAGGTGCTAAGCCCCTTACTGCCTGGGGCTGGCGGGGCCGGCCGGCCGGCAGCTCCGAGTGCGGGGCCTGCTGAGCCCACGCCCACCCGGAACTCGCACTGGCCCGCAAGCGCAGCCCACAGCCCCAGTTCCCGCCCGCGCCTCTTCCTCCATACCTCCCTGCAAGCTGAGGGAGCCGGCTCCGGCCTTGGCCAGCCCAGAAAGGGGCTCCCACGGTGCAGCAGCGGGCTGGAGGGCTCCTCAAGCATGGCCAGAGTGGGCGCCACGGCCGAGGAAGCATCGAGAGTGAGCGAGGGCTGCGAGGGCTGCCAGCACGTTGTCACCTCTCAGTACTAAGTCTACTTTTTCCAGAAGTGTAAGACTTTAAGAAGTAGTGGAAACTTGAAAGTAAGAAACTAATTCCATTTTAGACCATTATTTCAAAAACTGCAAATTTTTTTTTCCCATTTCTGATAGGGTCAATCCTTTATAACTGGTGTTTTGTAATATTAGTGTAAAATATTGAGAAAAGTTAAACATGTAAAGTATAAAAACCTATCCTTTTAATATGTGCAAGAAGTTGGAGAATGATTCAACATACTGAAATCAGGTGATAAAGTATCTATATTCACATATAAATTAAAATAATGATGACAGAATTTAATTTCCTTTTGTGCATCTTCTTTGAAACTGTAATAAAATACATCTGTAGTCTGTATACTGGAGATATATCCTGGGCCAGTGGTGTTGAAGTTAAATTTTTGTTGGATTGCTGTGCAAAGACCTCTAGGAATTTGAAATTTCTAATTAGAGACTTGCTTAACTACTAGGAATTTTGGAATAGCCACCCACCTGCCAGGTTTACTAGCTGATGAACACCATGGATACTTGAAGTGTTTGTAGTTCCCTTTACTAAAAAATGACTCTGTGTAGTAATTAAGATGCTTATGGCATCTTCAGCAGCAAAACTAGACCATGCAGCAGCAGTTATATTTTAATCATTTCTTTTTGTTCTTATTTGTGCTAGCTCTTATAATAAATTTTTGTAAAAATTGGGCCCAAAGCATGTGTACATTAGAAGTCAATTAACTCATTTATAGCACAGAGATAGTATTTTAAAGTTGTAGGTTCAGAAAATTGTTATTTGAACAAGGTATGATTATCTGAGGCGTCTTTGACAAATTTTATTATTCCCAGTAGGTACCCATTCAACACACATTACTCTTCCAACTTCAAAGAGTTTGCAGTCAGTTTAGTTAGTAAGATGTACATTTTAAGAGTAACTAAAATGTAATGTAGTAAGAGTTTTTGAAACAGCCCACACAGGGAGCTCTGAGAGCACAAGGACACACAGTACCTGCAGCCTCAGGATAGGTTTAGAAAACAATAGTAATTAAGCTGCCTATTTACTAGGCAAATAATTGGAAAAGAGTAGCAAGAGGGATATTGTGGTGATGGAATAGTTAAGTGTTTTGATTATGGTAGCTATTATATAAATATATAGGAGATAACGTTGTATAGAATACACTCAAAACACACACATTTGAGTGCATATACATATGGTAGAAGCTGACTAAATTATGGGATTATACTGATTTTAATGTCTTTGTTTTGATATCAGACTAGAGTTATGAAAGATGTTATTATTGAGGGAAACTAAGTGACAGGTAGCTGGGACTTTTCTGTATTTTTTAATAATTTTCTGTGAGCCTATAATTATTGCAAATTTATTTTTTTAATGAAAAAGGAGAATTTGAGAAATAAAATTATACACTAAGACTAACATTTGGAATGATACAGATATTTTAAATAGATTTGTAATTTTTAAATAGATGGGAATAGAAAGAGAAGAGATTTGACTTAAAAATGTGGTTTGTGGCCAGGTTCCATAAGGCATTCTACACAATGCTAACACATTTGGATTTTCGGCTGAAATCATAAGATATTAGTCTGTCTTAGAAACAGAAGCAAATAATCAGGTAAAAACCCCTCCGAAATATATTCAATTAACGATATCAGAATCTCTGCTGTCTTTTTGCAATGAAGGAGCTCTCAGGAGATTTGAGGTGTCCTTTATAGAATTATTTTTGTTTATAAATGAATGAACATAATGCACTTAATTCAGTGCTAACAAATAAGAAGGTTTTTCTGGGCTTTTCTTAAACATCAATTTTGTCTTTGGTAAATGGCATTTACATGGGTATTGTACTGTTTCATTTTACTGTATTTTTTAGAGACAGGGTCTCACTCTTGTCACCCATGCTCCAGTGCGGGAGCATGATCATACCTCACTGCAGGCTGAAATTCTTGGGCTTAAGCGATCCTCCTGCCACATCCTCCAGAGCAGCTGGGACTACAGACACAAGCCACCCCACTGGCTGTATAATCATTTTTAATGTTTTGAATTAAACACTGGAAGTGTAATACAGTAATTTCCAAATTACTTGTAAGAAAATGTATTACAATTCTTCGTAAAATATTTTGAAAAAATACAGTACAATGGAATTCTATCATTTACATATTTATGAACTGTATTCGTCCATTTTCAAACTGCTGATAACGACATATCCGAGATTGGGCAATTTACAAAAGAAAGAGTTTTACTGGACTTACAGTTCCACATGGCTGGGGAGGCCTCACAATCATGGTGGAAGGCAAGAAGGAGCACGTCACATCTTATATGGATGGCAGCAGGCAAAGAGAGAGCTTGTGTAGAAGAACTCCCATTTTATTTTATTTTATTTTTATTTATTTATTTTTTCTTTTTTGTATTTTTAGTAGAGACGGGTTTCACCGTGTTAGCCAGGATGATCTCCATCGCCTGGCCTCGTGATCCGCCCGCCTCGGCATCCCAAAGTGCTGGGATTACAGGCGTAAACCACCTCGCCCGGCCCCCTGAACTCCCATTTTAAAAACCAAAGCCCAGTGCGGTCTGGGAGGCTGAGGTGGGCGGATCACCTGAGGTCGGGGGTTAGAGATCTGACCAACATGGAGAAACCCCGTCTCTACTAAAAATACAAAATTAGCCGGGCGTCGTGGCGCATGCTGTAATCTCAGCTACTCAGGAGGCTGAAGCAGGAGAATCACTTGAACCCAGGAGGTGGGGGTTACACTGAGCTGTGATCGAGCCATTGCACTCCAGCCTGGGCAACAAGAGTGAAACTCCGTCAAAAAAACAAACAAGCAAACAAACAAACAAAAACGAAAAACATAAGATCTCGTGAGACCCATTCACTATCACGAAAGAAGCACAGGAAAGACCCACCCCCATCATTCAATTATCTCCCACAACACGTGGGAATTATGGGAGCTACAAGGTGAGATTCGGGTGGGAACACAGAGCCAAACCATATCATGAGCTGACTTTAAAACCTGATGCTTGAGTAAGTGTCATTTAAAATCTCTATTATTCATTGGATGATTTAGTAGGAGAGAACAGGCAGGTAGTAGTTTTTTTTAGAGTTACCAAAGACATATTGTATGACAGTCAGATCAAACAAGGCTTAGACCAGTTCAAATCCAATAAACACTTATTCAGTCTGACATAGTCCGCAATGTGTTTCACATGTATTATTTATCTTAACTCCGACAACAAACATACCATTTAAATGTATTAAAGTTATAATAGACATACTTTTGAAATCGAGTGGATTAAATCCTGAAGGCAAGCAGGAGGGCATCAGAATTATCTTCTTCTCAATCACTTTATTTATGCTCGCTCCCCACAAGCGCACACACACACACACACACACACACACACACATTTGCCACTCGAATTTCGACAGTTATCTTAAAAGCAGAATGTCTGGTCCCTTGTATATTGCCTTTTCTTTTGTTCTTTGTAACTTTCCTCATTGACCCTGAAATCTTACCATGCATAAGTTTGACTAAATACGGTGTCATACAGAAAACTATAAACATTTTACTTCATCTGTATTTAGGAGATTTTGAATATTAATTTTTGATGTTCTAAATTAAATATTAATTTTCAGTGTAAAATTCTTACCTCACAGATTGACTTTATCAACTAGCCTAGCATTAAATGCATTTCACTTCCATTGTACCTCAAGGTATATAATTGACTTCTGGGGTAAGTAATACAGCTGACAAAATAAAATCTTATATTTTAAAATTTTTTATTTATTTTTACAATGTTCACAGGCATGGAAAACATATGTTTAAGACTCACTTAAATACAACAATTATCCTTGTCTGGAATTTTGCTAGCTTACACGTTTCCTTAATGTAATGAAATAATTGATTCATCATTTTGGGTTTAAAGATTTTTTTATGGACAGATGAAAAGGCTACTTTTTGTCAGTTAGAACCTATCTAAGCATGCCACTGTTATATATGAACAAAGAAGAATTTACACATTATAAAAATCTGGCTGACCTCCATTAAAAAAAAAAAGATTGTGTTTCACTTAGGGTCTAATTGTGCTGTCACTTGTTGTCCTCCATGTCCTCTAAAGCAGCCATCTAAACTTCCAAAAGTATGTTAATAAAAGATTCCTTGAAGATGAGACTAGAAATAAAAATTTGGCTTTCCATTACAATAAAAATCAAAATAATAATTTATTAATACTATTTCACATTTCTATCTTAAGTGTGTGCAATTTAATTATGTATTAACATACTTGTTACCTTGAAAAAATTATTGTAACTTTTAGCTTAAATTTATTGATATAAAATGAAGTTCTTCACATAGATTTATCAATCATTTAATTAACAATTATATAAAAGTAAGTACATTTATGTTTTATCATGTTCTTATAAATTGAGATACAATATACAATTGAATGATAGAATGTTTTAGTTTTTTTAAAAAAATGGCTTTCCAAATATTTTCACATCTTTTTAAAATTTTGTTTTAGTTTCCTACTCTCACAATCCATTCTACTGTTTTATTTCTTTTCCACTTTAGGGAAAGCACAATGACACAGAAGGAAATATAGAAGTCCCCAAATTAGGAATCTTGGATTTTAGACCCAGTGTTCCCTTAACTGCTTAAAGTGTGACCTCAAGTAAGTTTCTCATCCTCTCTGAGCCTCAGTTCTTTTGCCCAAATAATGCCTCAGTCTAGATAATCTTTATGGTGTCCCTACTGATGCAAATATTTCTCTGCTATGAATCTCCTAAATCTGAGATCATCCAGAAATAGAGATTAACAAGAATAATTTAATGCAAGCAATAAGAGAAAGAAATATTTAAGAAAAAAACAAAATTATGGAAGAGCTATTTTTCACTTCAAAAAATATTTTCATCAGAAGGTTAATATGTAATGTCATTGTACTCATGATTTTTAAAATATATTTCAAATTTAATCATACTTTTAGTCAAAAGTTTTCTTCCTAGACAACTGGAAATTTCTCATTGCATTTAGATAATTCATTATATGGCAATTCAATTATAAACTGGTTTAGCAGAAATTTTCTCTTGGAACAAAATGTTTACAAATTAATACAAGAGCAAGATAATTATTGATGCTAGGTCGAAGAGCAGATACAGCACATTAAATGCAGACAGAGAAGCAAGAATCAATACTGTTGACTCCACATGAAACAAAATAATTAGAGATATATACTTACAAAAGGAATAAACAATAGAGACATGATTATTTGTCTTTGATTGATGAGTAAAGTCCTACAGGAACTTTATCAGCAGTATAATTACCTTCTTTTCCTAAAATTTTCATTTTGTATAAGGAAAACATGCAGGGAATCAAATCTGAAGAAAGCTGGTCTTTCTGCTTCTCTATGCTTAAGTAACAATGACCTAAGTGGAAAAATTAGAATGATTCAGGCCAGTAGCCAGTAGCATATTCAGACTTTCATTTAGCCTGGACACCTCTTGACTCCAAAGGGAAGCCACAAGTTCAGGCAAGTGGTGGATTTTAAATGGTCTCATGTGTCAAAGAGGTTGAATGAGCAGACTTAAAGTTGAAGGTAGCATAGAAAGATAAGTAGAACCATATGATAAGAATTTTAACAAAACTGAATTTTTGAGCATATTAAATAAATCAAAACCCAAGGTATTTTATATCATCCAGAAAGTAGAAGGCATATGTTAACTAATTGCCAGGAGTATATGTTAATGAATATATGCATATAATTATAAAAGTAAAGTTATTCTAAACTCTTTAACTCTTGTAAGAGAAAATGTCTTTTTTATTCTGTCAAATAAAATTATTCGCAGACTAGAGTTAGCAGATAATTATTAAAATATCTAGGAGGCTTGCCTCTAAACCCCATCTCATAAAAAGGTGTAGCAACTTCATATGTAAAATAATAGAAGGTAAAATTTTGGGAGGATCTTAACTTCTTATTTTACTTAAAATTATATGTCCAAAAACGCACATATTAAATTTAGAGAATCAGCATCTCTGCGCTAGTCATGATTAAGGACAAATCCACCCACTTGATAGTCTTCCCACTGAGTTAGTGAAACATGTAAGTGAAATGTTGATTACACACCTGCAAGGGCTTTCTAACCTATGTGTGGTCCTGCTAGAATGCTTTCTGGTCATGGTTACTGCAATCAAAACCACCTATAAGAGGACAGGTAGAAAAGCTAATGCTTGGTAAAACACTAGTTATTTCATTCCCATCACCAAAAATATTCTGTTTATACAATTCTCTTTAATTAAGTGTAGCACAATTGCCATTTTTATTAATAGAAGCAAGATTTAAATGAATAGGTTTTTTCAGTGTGACAAATGAATAAAAGCCAACGGAGAACATCATTATTGTTTCACATTTCCATTAACCTTAAAAAGTCTCAAGAAACTGTGTGTTTGAGCACCAGAATATATAGGTTTTAATTACAAGATGACTCTATTTGGTATTTTTAACTTGTTACATGCTTTTACTTAGGCCATATACTGACATCAACACTTAGGAAGAAATAGGACTGCAATGAGGACAAAACCTGTTACAGGGAAAGGAAATGATAGAGGCCTGGAAAACAAAGCAAATAACAAGAGTCAGATGTTGAAGGAATAGAGGGAAATATACTAAGAGGAAAAAATGTATGTATTATATCAAAATATGATATATATTTTATATAATTTATATTTACATATAAATATATATTTTGAATATATAAGTCATAATATACTATAAATTTATATAATTTATATTTATATATAAATAGATATACATTTACAATACTCATTTTTAAATTTTTTAAATCACGGCTTTCAAGAATAATTTGAAAAATTGGGCTCTTTCAAAAGAGTTTGGTGAAATTAACAGCAGACATATTTATAGGAAGAAATTAATGGCTATGACAGTAGCTAACATGTTAGATGATACCAATATGCCATGCAGCATTCTAAGTTTCTTACATGTACAAACTCATTTAATCATCTCAACAGCCCTAGAAAATAGGTAGAATTATTATTTTTGCTCTGAGATCAAAATATTGCTTACAACTGCACTGAAGTAATCAGAATAGAAGAATAGGCATAACTCACATACCAGCTTTCATATCTACATACTAATCTTTCCTATTTGTTTCCACAAATGACTCTCTATGCTCCTATAAAAATTAAATCCTCCTTCCACTTGTGACTAGAACTGGGCAATAATAATCCTATCCCATCTCTTCCATAGCCTCCAACTCTCGTGCTCTACTGAATCATTTTCATCTGCATGCAGCCGTGCTATTACTTTTTTGTCTCATCTTTATTCTTATTATTTCAACAAGCTAGTATTCTATTTATTTTCTCCCCTTTGAAGTAAAACTCAATCAAATTCACAGTGTCTAGTCATTTTATCCATTCTTTCTTAAACCCATGCTATCCACATCTAACCTCTACTCCATTAAAATATTCTTATTAATTGCCAGCAATAGCCTCTATGTTGCTAAATTTAATGATCATTTTATTTGGCCTTTGGGCATCATTTGTCATGGTTGATCACTCTCTCTTCATTGTTAGACTCTCTCACTTGACTTGATCATACCCATAAAAGCAGCATTTAAAAAGACGAAGGAAGGAAAGTCCGGTACAGAACATACAGTTTTCAGATAAAGCAATTTGACTTACGTAAATACAAAGGTATTCGGTGTCATCGTTAAAATTTGTAGTGTCTAGGACAAGAATATCACCAGGGCCCGCTTTACCATATGTCTCAATATTTAGAAGTTATAAATCGAGTTTAAAAAAACTGTGAATAAACAAAATATATTATGTCTTTATCCTGGCTGAAATGCTTTTATAACAACAACTTTTCTTTTGTTGCTTTATTTTTCTGTCCTAAACTGTGTTTTTGTGCATTTTTTCTTTCTACAATGACCTTGATTTTTATTTATTCTCAATTATCAAAATGATTGTTGCAACAAAAAAATTTAATTGTATTTAAAATGTGATTATACGTGTCTTGAAAAACAAATTGAACAGAATGGGACACATTGGAAAAATAAAATTATTTATATAGATTTGAAAAACTATTTTATTGTAATCTAAAGCATTCATTGCTTACTGAAATTATATATTAATATTAAAGATAAAATACAAATTTAAAAAGTTAATATTTAAATCGAATTTATTTAAATAAATCTGGATATTTAAATTCATTTGGGGGAATTAAATACATGTTAGTAAACTGTATAAAAATATTATTCAGTACATAATTACTTGTGAATGTAGAAAATTATTACTACTTTTCACACACCTTCTATCTAGGCCCCCCAGATATACAAACGTAAGGGTAATTCAAGTTAATTGATATAAAATATTTCTCAGTCACCATGTGCAAATCCTACAAGTGCAATGCAAATTCTTGATTACATACAGAACTACCTAGTGGGCCATGAACAGAAACAAACAAGAAGATTGTATCTACTATTGAGAAACCATATTTTGTTTTGCACAAATTTATTGCATTCATGTTGAAAAGTATTTGACAAGTTAATTTGTCTTCTCAGTTCCACTAATTGAACTATCTTTCCCTACACTCCTACCAGTTGTCTGTTTCAATGTCAGCATAAGTTAAATCCACAAACTATCCCAGCAATGAAGCTTAGTCATCCTGTTTTCCAAGGATATGAAGTAAGAAGTATAGAGAGAAGTACTCTGGAAACAAGAGAGTATTAGTCACAAAAGAAGATGTTTTAGGATTCTGAGTAGTGTTGTTCTAGTTCTGGGTACCTGATCTGAAGAAACAAATGTTTCTGTACATTCTTTACTTAATTTCTTTTAGACGTTTGCAAATATGCAAGGTCCTCTATGGAGGCCAGGACAAAGGCCTTTAGTGCCTGGATTCATACCACAATTCTGTGAATTATTATCAGTTATTATTGTATTAAGGTTATTAAATGTGTCATTAATGTATGAAGCATTACTATAATAGGCACCACTGATTTATAAACTATGTTTTTAAAGTTTTCATGAATGAAACTGAGAAGTTACAGAGGAAAACAACAAATTGTGATGTGGACATACATTCTTAATTAATACCACAACTCTGGTTTTATTAAATTTAGAGAAGGAACTTTTTACTCATACTTTTTGTTTGCTTTTTAAAATATTGCTGGTGAAAAATTATTTAAAAAGCATTGTAATACACAGTAGAGTATAACTTGGAATAAACTATTTGAGATTTATAGACTAAAATGCACTACAAAATTGTCAAATTTATATTCATATTGTTCATATTATGAGTTTTTAAAATACTGCATTTACTACTTTAAGTTTTTTGATAATAGAGAGTTTTTGATGTTGCAGGATTTGGACTTATATATTTTAAATTATAGTTTTAATAGATACCATAAGATATCCTTTAAATTCCTTATCTCTCAAAGCAGCTGCATCTTTCTGAGCTCTTAGAATTGAATTGGCATTTGAATCAGAATATAGACCTTTAATTTCTCAGCTATTTCCATTATTCTTTGCTCTGCTAGAAACCAAAGTTTAAGATGTTAAGAAAAGAAACAAGATATGAGTCTAATGAAATTTGTTTAAAGCAAGAAAAAAACCTGAAAACAATGTGTTGCCTATTCATATTGTTATCTGTCAGAAACCAAAGGAAATGCTTAGCTTGTATTGCTTAATTTTAAACTATAGATCTTCAAAAGACTGATTCAAATTTGCAATGAACTTGGCATACCTAAATGAAATACCTATAAAAATTGGGGGAAAATTGTGGATGAAATACCTGGGTACTATAGCAGCAGGATGTAATTAGAAAGAGCGCAAACCCTTAAAAGGGCATTTGGCTAATGATAGTCTAGTTAATTTGGAAACTTGTAAGTCTAATGATTAATAAAAAAATATTTAACATAAATTTTTACATTTAACCTAGTTGAGACTTGAGAATCTGGTGGAAAGGGTGAAAAGGACATAAGATCAGAAATCACCACTTCTCATGAAAAAAGATCATCATTAACAATACAAGCAAGTTATGTCGACATAATTTACGTGAACTTTACATGAAAACAAATTTGTTTTGGAATCTAGCATTATAGACACCTAGCTTTTCTTCTCGTTAAAGATTTGAACACGATCATTTGCTGTTATTAATTTTTTTATATATTTTTCTTTTCAGCTATGCTTTTATCAAATAGAGCAATCAATGATATTCATTCCTTCTCCACCTTTCTCCTTCTTCTTTATATAAGAGAATATAAACAAACAAGAATCTTAGAAAAATAGGACTGTAGAAGTTAAATTGGAATTAACTTGAGAGATAATTTTGTCCAACATCCTCATTTTGTGTAAGAGAAAAAAAAAAAAACCCAGGAGTAGTGATTTGAACATACCACAGCTATTTATTTCCCCAGAATCATATCTGCAGCTCCAATTACTATCATTGGAGACTGAATTTTAATTATGAGCCAAATGACAGGGATCAAGAAGTCCTTAGTGTTTCTCTCAGTTGGATCGAGCTTTAAACGGGCTTCTTTCTGCCTCTAAGTCCCTGACCCGTGTTTTTTTGTTTTTTGTTTTTTTTTTTTTTAAAGAGCATTTACTTTAGAAATCTTGTCATTGTAAATTCGTTCCTCTGTTCCTTTGAGGTGTAAATCATTTTAAAAGCTTCTTGCTAGTTTTACAACCTAAGAATGTCTTTCTCAAAGACCTGGGAGGCATTCCTTTGAAATGTAATGTTAAAGAAGTGCCCCTATCTTCCAGATTCTATGGAAAAATAAGGGTCTAACTTCTGCAGGGAACCGCCTCCAAAACCACCTCTGCCAAAAAGGGAAGGTTTACTCTTCTTTTGGGTAAAGGCAGTAAGCAAACACCACAACTGGTCTATAACTCATCCTCCCACCTCAGCTTTTAAGAACTCCTAGCCCTTTGTTTTTGTCTCTTTGGTTACTGATACATAATAATTGTATATATTTATGGAGTTCATGTGATATTTTGATACATGCATACAATGTGTAATAATGAAATCAGAATTTTTAGGATATCTATCACCTCAAATATGCATCTTTCTGTGTGTTGGGAACATTTCAAATCTTTTCTTCTATTTTGAAATACACGATAAATTACTGTTAACTATAGTAACACTGCTGTGCTATTCAACACTAGAACTTACTTCTTCTATGGGAACGGAGGGGTTAAGAGAGGTTGGTTAATGGTCTCAGCCCTTTGTTTAAGCAGGTTTAATTCAGACTGAGTTCTGCCTCTATCCACTGTTTCAATAATAATTCAATAACCTTGAATAAGGTCATCTTGCCTAATTAACTTTGTCCGGTGTAATTTATTCTTCAATAGCAGCTACATGCATTTGGCCAAATAACATTAGAGCATAGCATGCCTAGAAAAGTAATATAACTGATGAAATATTAATGTAAATGTGTAGGTTTGGGGGGATAATATGAAAGACTGATAAATTTGGGGGATTTTTTAGATACAAGAGAAGGTGAACAAATATTAAGAATGTCTCAGCATGTCTCAGGGAAATGGAGTATCATTAAGAATACACTTAAAGTCTCTCAGTATGTTTGCTAACTTAGCTTTAGACTCTAGCATTATGGATGTTTAAGTTTTCCTCTCTTGAAGTACTTATAAATAACTATTTTGAAATGTCTACATTTATGATATAATTCACATATTTTAACTAAGAAGGTCTGATTATTACATTTACCATAATATTTGCCTTTTCCTGTTGAAAAGATTTCATACTGGGGAAATGCATATTTAATCAATTGTGGCAAAAGATATATAGTTGTAATACAGTCATAATATCTAATCACAAGGAATTTCCTGAACCAGGCACCGTCCTTAGTTGACACAAGTATAAATTTCAGTTAGACACTTAGATTTCTCAAAAATGAGTAATATGATTGAAATACAGTTATATTACACACACACACACACACACACACACACATTTAGCCTTCATGACTCATCTAGAAAAAATTTCAATATATAAAGATGATAAAGATAAAAGATGTCATAAGTTAAGCCAGGATTCTGCCATTTTGTGTAGTAATGAGGAGAAAACATCAATAATAGAACAAGAGTTAATGACTAACTCATGTTAATACCATATTTCACTTCAGTTTGTTTGCAATTTAGAATTATTCTAATTACAAGTCACTCACTGGTCCCTCCTCCCCGATACCAAGAAGGGAGGCTAAATCTCAGATAAATTATAGCAAACAATGTACTTGCCTTTCATTGTATTTACCTTTCCCCCAACCTGTTCCTAAACCTCTCCTTACCTCTGGGGAAGATACAAAAAAGAACACAGTAGTTGTATATTTCAAAAATTTCTCATTTTTAGTCATTACTTACTTGGGGAAATTTGCCTCACGAGATATTTGTTTACCAGATTCAGATAGAGCTTTTTTAAATTGAAGATGTCAGTCTTTACTAATGTAGTGGCCATATACTATGTTTTGACAGCCTAACTTTTAACAAGTACTATTATAGTTGTGAATTGTGTCACCAAATTAATTATAATTCAGTATGATTAACGTGGAAATACTGTGAATCTAGGTATCTTTAAACAAAGAGGTATTCAGGCTTCCACTACCTACATATACTGCATTTCTTTCTGCTTTATTTTAATTCCCTCACATCCAAAATTTGGATGGGTGCATAAAGGCTTGGTGATAGCCATGAAAAGTACTTGGTTTCTTATAGATGTAGCATCATTACCAGAGATAATAATGTTTACTTGAAAATTATTAATATATGTTTATTTCTGTTATATATCAACTAACAATGTTCAATTCTTTTCTAGCAAAACCACATATAAATAATCATAAAGTGATCATACTATTTTTTTTGAGACAAATAATAGAAACTGTCAGGTGTATCCGTGGAAAGCATCCTAGGGATGTTTAGAGATTCTTGGGCTTCTTAGCTCATATTGGAATAAAAACTAACAGGAAACAAGTTTATTCATGAAAAGCTGGAGGTACAGGATAGGTAGTAAAATATGGAAGAATGCTACATTTTATTCACATGATTTTCTGATATTTTAATACATGTAAGTAATTAAAACTAAATGAGTATTAACTGAGCACCTTGATGCCCAATCAATGCATTTCTGGGAAGAACTCAATTAGTTTATAAAAGGTTAAAATAGCATAAAGAAAATAGTTTTGTTGTGTTTCAAGTAAGGCTGTAATACCAACATTTTTATATTCATAGTTACAATATTATCTTAGTGGCTATTTATTCAGGTGTGTTAAAGTTTTCAAAGAAGCATTTATTGTAGTTGTAAAACTTTCCATTATAATATTGTTTTAAAAAACTATTTTGAACAAGAAAGATGAAATTTTAAAGTAAAATAATTTTTACCAAATACTTTGTTTTATAAAACATTTATATTTAAGCCCATTTGTTATTGTATATATTTAAGATATACAACATGGTGTTTTGATACACATATACATAGTGTAATCAAATTAACATTTCTATCACCTTCAACAGTTACTTTTCTGGAGTAAGATCCTCTGAAATCTGCTCTCTTAGCAAGTTTTCAGTATACAATACAACATTATTACCTATATTCCTCATGCTTTACATTAGAGCTCCAGATTTATTCATCCTACATAACTGCAAGTTTGTATCATTTTCTACTTTTTATCTATTTCCTCCCAGTCTCCACTCCTGGTAAGACACTGATAATTTCAAATAAATAATCTCATAAGAAAATTATGAACTTTTGTTCTCTGATTAATTGAAATTTTCTTTTGAAATCTAGCATTAGTTTTAAGCCCAAAATAGGGCAAAGTAAGTTTTTATACTATATTGCTGAAAACATAGCATGCTAGCCAATGTTATTATCTCATTTTAGATATGCATATATTTTTGAAAATCCACCTGAAATAGCCATGAATTTTATGTTTTACCTATACATATATTAGTGGGAGATACATAAAATGTAAACTTACGTTACGTCTGTCTTTCCCTGCATAATAAACTGTTTCAAATTGAGGTAGATATCATACAAATGAAGTCCTTTTGTGATAAATAGGGAAGAGTTTTGGCAAAACTGTGCTCAAATCATGTTGTCTAGGCTTGTGCACTGATTGCCTCAAACTAATCTTCACTGTATTAGGTGTGAAGAAATTAACTGGGACTTAAATCTTCTTAAGAAATACTGGCTTTTGGCATTACACAATTCATTAGGATTCTGTGTTTGTCCTTTGTTGTGTAATCTTAAGGTGGTTGCTGCATTGCTCTCCCTGTCACATGTAAATGATATGGAGGGTAGACTGGGGTGCCAAGACGTTACCCTGACTTATGCACTCACTTTGTGTGCAAATGGAGCTCTCTAAGATGCTCTAGCCACCGATTCCAGTGTTCCACACAGGATAGTAGGATGGTACCTAAATGTGCTATTAAAGCATGATATGTGAGCATTGTTAGCTGCTTGTAATGTCAAACGTCTGAGCTGGAGAATCTATAGGCAGAGCTGTGACCCCCTAAACAGGAAAAATGTGATAACCTAAGTACTTCATGTTCTCTGAGACTAGATACTAGATCCAGGCTGGCAGGCCAGGCTGGAGATCTAAGAGTCCAGATACACAGGGCTTGACAGACCCTCTATCTCCAGCACACTTCCCTTCCAAACTCTGGCAAGTGAACTTTCCTATTGTTCTTTCCAATGTATTTGGTTCTCTCCTATAGGAAACCCTTTGGATGAGAAATCTTAGAGAGGTAATGTGAGAGTATAATACATTTGAATATGCTGAAAAATATGTTTTTTACATTTATATCAAGATTTATGAAAGGTGCTAATTCTGACCTGTGGCACTCTCTGGGTTTGCCTAAGGAGCCCCTTTAACACGCACTGGTCTCCAATTACAATCCTCGTCAAAGAAGTTAATGGGAAGAGTACTAAATTTACCAATGAGGAATGAGACAATTTGTTTTCTGTGAATTATGTGTAGATTCCTAGACATCAGCCTTAATCCAGCACTAAGATACCTTGAGATGCCAAGAGAATGGTTTGGTTTAGATTCTCAATGGGGCCCTCTTTAGGCCTTCTTGTGACTTAATGCTTATACTCCAGTAGGACTTTGATTATCTGATTCAGCTGTATATATTATAAAAGCAAAAGCTACTTATATAAAAGTAATAAAGTAATTTAATTTAATCAGTTAATGAAAATATTTTTAAGTAACTGTGCCAGGTGGTAGCTTAACATTTTAACTTTCTAATTTAATTTACATAATTTAAAAAGAATATGAAAATTCCACATGACTTGACTTTCACTCCCATAAATTAGGCCCAGTCAATATATTCAGTGTTTAATGCCATTTAAAAACTGTGTAGCTTTATTTTCATTAATTTACCATGTATATAGAAAACAATTCCTAAATTGCTTTTATTTGAAAGCTTGCCATTTTTTTAAAAGCCTTCAGAATTATATAAAGGTTGCAAGAATCGTTCATCGAAGTTCTGTATGCCTTTACGTACATTTGCCAATTTTCATCATTTTGCCACCTTTACTATATCTTCTCTTTTTCTCTTTCTCTCTCCCTTCCTCCTGTCTCCTTCTCTCTGTCTCTCTGACATTTCTGACATTTGGCTGAACCATTTGAGAGCAAGTTACAGACATGATCAATTATCCCTTAATAATTCAACCTGTAAGAACAAGGACATTCGATCACATGTTCACAGTACAATTAACATGTTCAGAAAATTTAACATTGATATAATAATTATATCTAATACACTATCTATACTCCAATTCTTTCAATTGTCCCAGATATATATATATAGATAATATTTTTAATTGATCCAAGATAATGCTTTTATTAATTTGTGGGTCTCTTTAGCCACCTTTAGACATAAACAATTGCTCACCTTTTCTTTTTATCTCATAACACAGGCACTTTAAGGAGAATATATGGATTTTTCTTTGTTTTCACATGATTAGATTCAGATTACGCATTTTTGGCAAAAATTTAACATATATAATATCACAATTTTTTTTAGTACAACACATTGTGGGTGGCATAATGTCCATGAGTCCTAGTTGTTGTATGTTAATTTGACATATTTAATTTAGGTGGCATCTTTTATATCAGTATATTAAAAAAGCAGCCTGTTGAGATTCTCTGAGACTATGTAAGTATTCCATTCTCCATCACATTTTAACTGATGGTTTTGGCAGTCATGGACTATTCTTGGCTGAAATATAAATAAAAAATTGGTGCCGGGAGTTATTTTTAAAATCTATTGTTTTTACACCTACGTTATTTATTTATTAATACACTTACTTATAATCACTATGGGTTCATAGTCAGTGGATTATAATCCGTTCTTTTTACAATACGTTTCATGCTGAAATTGTCCCATAATTGGCTAGTGCGAACATTTTCACATTGACTTGAGTCCCTCCCCCTTTAATGGTATTTTCTTACTTTCTGGCAAATGAAGTGTTATGAGTTTACTTTGTACTTTCTCTGCCCCATCCTTTAAATCAACTATTTCTTCAAAAATTACTTGTTCCCTTAAGTGAATAATAGTTTTGAGGAGCCAGATATAATTGCTTGATGACTTAATGCCTATTGGGTTGATATTGCACTTGGATCCTTTTAACAAAGAGAACTATAATTTAGTAGGTTGGTAGGAGGGTGGGTAGATAGATATATTGATACATAGATTTTTAAAAATCATGTTTATGTTGTTATCTTCAATACTCAACTAACAACACAGATTTCATCCTTGCCTTACTAGACCCCCCATTCCATATTTGTTTTTTCATAGCATGAATACTTGCTTCTCATAATGTCATACATTTGTATTTGACATATATTTATTTATTTGCTTAATTTTACAATATGTATGGCCTTACTATACAGAAAATTATTAACACAGTGGGTTTAAATTGCTACCCTTGAAAAGTTCTGCTTGTAAGATGAGCTCTTGGCTGGCATCTGGGAACTTGGATTTCAAGAATGTTCCTACACTCCTAACTGGTAAGAATTGCTCACTGTGTCTAAACTGTTTGGGTAAGCAATATGGTATATCCTGAACACCTACTTTCCTTCTAAGAGTCTGGAATTTTTGTACATACCAGGTAGAGGCCCCCTATTTGACTCGGCCCAATAAAAACTGTGGATGATGCTTCTGTATCCGACTTCCCAGTTGAAAACATTTCACATGTTCTTGCTGGGGAAATTAAGCACATTCTGTGTGATTCCACTGGGAGAGGACCCGTGGGAAACTATCTGCTTTCCCCAGATTTGCTCGATACAACTTCTCTACTAGTTAATTTTGTCCTGTATCCTTTTGCTGTGAGTAAAACTTGTGCTAAATTCTGTGATAATTCCCCCTAGGGAATCATCAAACCAATAGTCTTGGGTACCTCTGACACGCCTGCAAACAGAACACCTCTAAGGAGAGTTTTAAAAATTATATCTTTTTTTTTTCCTTTCATTAGACTGAAAGTAGTCAGAAATACACAGTCAGAAATTACCTTTTTCTTTTTACTTTTTGTTTTGAAATAATTGCAAATTCACGAGAATAGCAAAAAAAAATAAAAAAAGGACAGAGAGCTCTATGTACCTTGTACCAAGTTTCCTACAGTGATTATATTTTACGTAACTATAACAAAATATCAAAGAAGGGATTTGGCATTGGTATAGTGTGTGCTTGTGGTTCTCTGTGAGTGTAAATTCAGGTAACCACCATGACAATCAACCTATAGAACTATTTCTTCAACACAAAGTTTCCCTTCAGGCTGCCCACTTTGCAGTCACATGTAACTCCCTTCTTATCACCACCCCCATCATCAGTAGAAACACTGATCTGTTTCCATATTTATTATTTTGTCCTTATGAGAATGCTATATAAATGGAATCACATGGAGTGTGACATTTTTGGGATTGGTTTTTATTATATAGTAATTCAGGTGAGATTAAACATGTTACCGCCTGTATCAGTAGCCTATTCCTTTTTACAAATGTAATTGCCTTGGGCAGTATGGCCATTTTGATGGTATTGATTCTTCCCATCCATGAGCATGGAATGTTTTTCCACTTGCTTGTGTCATCTCTGATTTCTCTGAGTAGTGATTCGTGGTTCTCATTGTAAAGATCTTTCACCTCCCTGGTTAGCCCTATTCCTAGGTATTTTATGCTTTGTGTGGTAGTTGTGAATGTGATTGCATTCCTGATTTGGCTCTCAGCTTGGCTGTTTTTGGTGTACAGAAATGCTAGTAATTTTTGTACATTGATTGTGTATCCTGAGACTTCACTGAAGTTTATCAGATTAAGGAGATGTTTGAGCTGTGACTATAATGTTTTCTAGATATGAAATTATGTCATATGCAAACAGGGATAGTTTGACTTAGTCACTTCCTATTTGAATACATTTGTTTCTTTCTCTTGCCTAATTGCCCTGGCCAGGACTTCAAATACTACCTTCAATGGGAGTGGTAAGAAGGGCATCCTTGTCTGGTGCTGGTTTCCAAGGGGAATATGTCCAGCCTCTGCCAATTCAGTATGATGTTGTCTGTGGGTCTGTCATAGATAGCTCTTATTATTTTGCGGAATGTTCCTTCAATACCTTGTTTATTGAGAGTTTCTAACATGAAAGGGTGTTGAATTTTATCAAAAGCCTTTTCTGCATCTATTGAGATAATCATGTGGTTGTTGTCTTTAGTTTTGTTTATGTGATGAATCATAATAATTGATTTGCGTAGGTTGAATTGAACTTGCATCCCGGGGATAAAGCCTATTTGATTATGATGGATAAGCTTTTTGATATGCTGCTAGATTTGGTTTGCTAGTATTTTGTTGAGGATTTTTGCATTGAGGTTCATCAAAGGTACTGACTTGAGGTTTTCTAATTTTTATCATGTCTCTGCCAGGTTTTGGTATCAGGATGATGCTGGTCTTACAGAATGAGTTAGGGAGGAGTCCCTCCTCCTAGATTTTAAAAAATAGCTTCAGTGAGAATGGTACCAGATCTTCCTTGTACATCTGATAGCATTTGGCTGTGAATCTGTCTGGTCCAGGGCTCTTTTTGGTTGGTAGGCTATTTATTACTGATTCCATTTTAGAGCTCATTATTGGTCTGTTCCAGGATTCAGTTTCTTCTCGGTTCAGTCTTGGGAGGGCATATGTGTCCAGGAATTTACCCATTTCTTTGAGATTTTCTATTTTGTTTGCATAGAGGTGTTCATAATATTCTCTGATGGTTATTTGTATTTTTGTGGGGTCAGCAGTAATGTCCCCTTTATTGTTTGTAATTGTGTTTATTTGGATCTTCTCTCTTTTCTTTATTTGTCTGGCTAGCAGTCTATTTTATTATTATTTTTTTCTTTTTCAAAAAACAACTCCTGAATTCATTGATCTTTTGAATGGTTTCTCATGTCTCTGTCTTCTTTAGTTCAGCTCTGATATTGGTTATTTCTTGTCTTCTGCCAGCTTTGGGGTTGATGTGCTCTTGGTTCTCCAGTTCTTCTGGTTGTAATGTTAGGTTGTTAAATTGAGCTATTTCTAAATTTTTGACCCAGCAATCCCGTTATCTAAATTATCAAATTTGTCCATAATCCCAGATGGCATTCTTAGTTCTTAAGTCTGCTCTGTCTGCAACTGACAGAGCTACTCCCACTTTATTTTGATTAGAGATAGTATGGTATATCTTTCTCCATCCTTTACTTTTCCTCTATAGAGTTCCTTAGATTTAAAGTGAGTTTCTTTTAGAAAGTATATAATTGGGTCTTATTTTTTGATGCACTCTAAAAATCTCTGTCTTTTAATTCACATATATTAATTATTGATACAGTTGGATTAATATCTACTATATTTGTTACTGGTTTCTATTTGTTGCCTTTATTCTTTGTTTCTATTTTGTTGTTCACACTTTGTCTGTTTTTTTTTTTTTTTTTTTGGTTAAACATTGTGCACTTTATATAATTCCTTTTTTTCTTATTTTTTATCTTCTTTTCACATCAATTATACTTCTAAAGTCCACTTTAGAAATAACACTGTACTGCTTCACAATTAGCATAAGTATCTTACATTCACAAAATATTCCGAATTCTTCTCATTTCTTATATCATTGCTGTCTTTCATTTCACTTGTACAAAAGCATACATAAGCTGTCAACACTTTAAATATTTTACTACAATAATTGCTTGCATAGTTTCTGAGAAGTTGGATGTAATTCTTATCTTTGCTCCTCTATAGGTATTTTTTCCCCCAGCTTTGTTCAAATTTTTTTAATCTTTGATTTTCTGAAGCTTGAATATGCTGTACTTAGGTGTAGGTTTTTTAGTATTTATGCTGCTTGGTATTCTCTGAGCTTTCTAGATCTGTGATTTAGTGTCTGACATTATTTTGGGAAAACTTTTAGTCATTATGGCTTTAAATATTTCTTCTGTTCATTTCTTTCTTCTACATGTGGTATTCTCAATATGTGTACGTTACACTATTTGTAACTCTGGAACTAGTTGTTCCAGAGTTCTTGAGTATTCTGTTCTCAGGGGTTTTTTGTTTTTTTGTTTGTTAGTTCTTAGTTTTTTTTTCTCTTAGTTTTTTTTTTTCTCTTTGCTTTTCAATTTTGGAAGTTTCTATTATTATATTCTCAAAGTCAGAGACTTTTTCCTCATCTCCTCCAGTCTACTAATGAGCCTATCAAAGGTATTCTTCATTTCTTTTACAGTGTTTCCATCTCCAGCATTTCTATTTGATACTTTCTTAGAATTTTTCCATCTACTTACATTTATCTACCTGTTCTTACATGTTGTCTCCTTTTTTCGTCAAAACCCTCAGCATATTAACTGTAAGATTTGTTTAAATTAAATGAAATTAAATTAGATTTATTTTAAGTTTCTGCTCTGATAATTCTAATATTCCTGCCAAATCTGACACTGTTCTAACACTTATTTAGCTTTCTCAAACTGTGTGGGGCTTGTTTTTGTTTTGTTTTGCCTTTCAGTATGCCTTCTAGTTTTTGCTGGAAGATAAATATGATGTACTCGGTAATTTTAAAAAAAGGCAGTAAATTGGTCTTTAGTAATGCAGTTGTAATGTGGGGACAGGAGGAAGAAAGCAATCTGTAGTCTTATTATTAGGTCTTAGTCTTTTGGTGAGTTTGTGCTCCTGGCCTATGGATTTCACCAGTGCTTCTTTATTCCCTCCCATCCCACTTAGGTGGGACAAGATAAGTAAAAGGGCTGGATTTTGGGTATTTCTCTTCCTCCGCTTAGTAGGCTAGAGGTAACTAAAGTAGGGTGTTTTACTTGCCCTGGGTGGGTTAGACTCTGGTAAAGCTCTAGCAGATTAAGGCTCTGATAAAAACAGTTTCTCCTGAGGGAAGGCCTTCTTAAGAAGAACAGAGTGCTCTAGTATATTTCAAAGGGGTTACTTCTCCCCTCTTCTGCTCAAAGCAGGAGGGGATTTTTCTCTGATATTCACTGTGATGAGCTGGTATAACTCCTGGAAATAAACCCACAAAAGCATTAGGGTTCCCTATAACTGAGTCCCCCTGGAGATTTTAACTCTCAGACTTGTCCATCCTGAGCCTCCAGCAGTTGCCCCATTACCATTTAGGTTTCCTTACTATGATAACTGGTTCCTGTGGGGACACCTGCTCTGATAAGTGGTGTTTTTTTGTGTGTGTCTGTCTACCTACCTGTTCCTTCAATTTTGGGCACAGTGGTTTGCCCCGTGATCTCACTTCTCCGAAATACCTAAAAAGCTTTATTGACTTTAAAAAAAATATTTAGCTTTTCATTTGTTGTCAGGATCATGTGGTGATTTCTAAGCTCCTTGAAGGACAGACCAAAATTAGAAGAATTTGCCCATTCTTTTTAAGTTGCTGAATAAGTTTTTACGGCAGGGATATACCACAGTTGGCTTAGCCATTTGCCTTTTAAAGGAGTTTTGGTTGTTTTCAGTTTTGGGTTATTAAAAATAAAGCTGCTATGAACATTCTTGTACAGGTTTTGTTTAGGTGTTTGTTTTGAATAAGAGCCATGTGACAGCTAGGTATATGGCATGTACATGTTTTTGTTAAATTTTAAAGAAAATGTCAAACTATTTTGAGAATGAGTATATCATTTTACACTTCCACCAGCAATGTATACAAGATCTAGGTTGTCATCCTCATCAGAATTTAATATTGTCACATTTTAAAAATATATTTTATCTACTCTAGTAGGTGTGTAGTAATATGTCATTGTAGTCTTAATTTCCATTTCCCTACTGGCTACTGGTGTTGAACATCTTTTCATATGGTCATTTACCATTCACATATCCTTTTTGTGAAATATGTGTTTATATCTTTTGGCCATTTTGTATTTGGATCTCTTTAAAGCAACAGCAGTTAAAAAAGACAAAAAGGATCACTATATAATGATAAAAGGCCTTTTCCAACAGAAAAATATCACAATCCTAAATAATATACACCTAACACTGGACCTCCCAAATTTATATTACAATTACTAATGGACCTAACAAATGAGACAGACAGCAACACAATAATAGTTGGGGACTTCAGTACTCCACTGACAGCACTAGACAGGTCATCAAGACAGAAAGTCACCAAATAAACTATGTATTTAAACTATACCCTGGAACAAATGGACTTAACAGATATTTACAGAACATTCCACCCAACAACCACAGAATATACATTCTATTCAACAGCGCATGGAACTTTATCCAAGATAGACCTTATGATGGGCCACAAAATGAGCCTCAGTAAATTCAAGAAAATTGAAATTACATCAAGCACTCTCTCAGACTACAGTGAAATGAAACTGATGGTCAACTCCAAAAGGAACCTTCAAAGCCATACAAATACATGGAAATTAAATAAGTGAAATCAAGATGGAAATTTAAAAATTATTCAAACTGAATGACTACAGTGACACAACCTATCAAAACCTGTGGGATACAGCAAAGGCAGTGCTAAGAGGAAAGTTCATAGCCATAAACACCTACATTGAAAAGTCTGAAAGAGGACAAACAGACAATCTAAGGTCACACCTAAAGGAGCTAGAGAAACAAGTACCAACCACACCCAAACCCAGCAGAAGAAAGGAAATAACCAAGATCAGAGTGGAACTAAATGAAACTGAAACAACAAAAAAACACAAAAGATAAGTGAAACAAAAGGCTGCTTCTTTGAAAAGATAAATAAAATTGATAGACCACTGGTAAGATTAACCAAGAAAAGAAGACAGAAAATCCAAATAAGCTCAATTAGAAACGAGATGGAAGATATTACAACTGACACCATAGAAATACAAAAGAAACAAGGCTACTATGAACACTTTTATGCACATAAACTAGAAAACCTAGAGGAGATGGATAAATTACTGAAAAGATACATTTTTCCTAGCTTAAATCAGGAAGAACTAGATACTCTGAACAGACCATTAACAAGCAACGAGTTTGAAATGGAAATAAAAAAATTACCAACAACAAAAAAAGTCCAGGACCAGATGGATTCACAGCAGAATTCTACCAGACATTCAAATAATTTGTACCAATCCTACTGACACTATTCCACCAGACATACAAAGAGGGAACCCTCCTCAAATTATTCTATGAATCCAGTATCAACCTAATATCAAAACCAAGAAAGGACATAACCAAAAAGAAAACTACAGACCAATATCCCTGATGAACATAGATGCTGAAATTCTTAACAAAATGCTAGCTAATGAAATCCAACAACATATCAAAAAGATAAGCTACCAGGATCAAGTGGGTTTCAAACCAGGGATGCAGGGATGATTTAACATACACAAGTCAATAATTGTGATACACCACATGAAAATTACATGATCATCTCAATAGATGCAGAAAAAGCATTTGACAAAATCCAGCATCCCTTTGTGATTAAAACCCTCAGCAAAATCGGCATACTGTTCAGTTTTGAGAGTACGTTATAATGTCTACATACAAGTCTTTTGTCAGATGTGGCTTGAAAATATATCTTCTAGGTCTATAACTCATCTTTGTATCATCTTAACAAAGTTTTACATAGAGTTAAAATTTCTGGTTTTTATGAAGTCTCATTTATCAATTTTTTTCAAGGATTAAGCTTTTGGTTTAATGTCTAAAAACTCTTTACCAAGCCCTATATCCCAAGGATTTTTCTATTTTTTTCTAAAAGATTTACAGTAGTTTTACATTTAAATCTCTTATTAATTTGGTATTAATTTTTGTATAAAGTATTGGGTTTATGTTGATGCATTTTCTTGGCTGTGTGTATCCAGTTGCTTCAGGACTATCTGTTGAAAAGGCTACCTTCCTTCACTGAATTGCACTAGTACTTTTGTTAAAAATCAGCTGGCTGGAGGTGTAGTTGTCTCGGTCTTTTACTTGGCTATCTGTTCTGTTTCATCAATCAATGTCAATTCCTTTGCCATTAACCCTTAGTCTTGAATACAGTAGCTATATAATTAAATAAAATTGGGGAATGTAATTCCTCCCATTGTGTTCTTTTCCATACTGTTTTAGCTATTCTATTTCCTTTCCTTTTTCATATAAGTTTAGGGTAAGATTGTCTGTATGTAAAATAAAAAGCTGAGGTTTTTACAGGAATTGCTGTGAAACCTTAGACCAATTAAGAATGTTTATAACCTTATTCTCAAAAAATGTATTAATTTATTCATTTAAAATATTTAATAAATGACTGTATTCTTCAAGTAAAGTTCTAAGCCCAGGGAATGCAGAAAAAGGGATAATCACAAGGCATGCTGTTTGTTATTAATTTTATATTTATTAAGCTTCTAAAATAATTATTCTACCTGGGACCTCAGTGCACACATGTAAGCAACTTTTTAATGATGAATGATTGAGATAAAGAATGTGACACCTTACATACAAAACTGGTAGAGAATCATGCTAGAATCCTACTAATTTGCACATCCCAGGTGCACCCGACCCTTACAGAAGCAAAGGTAAAATAAAAATGGAAGAATATTTGATGGAGGGAGAAAATATGTAGGAAAGAAATGTAAATAATTTATTCAAAATGCATATGTTTTAATCTGGGAATGATTAAAATGCACAAAATAAATTTGAGTATTAATAAATAATAAAATGTAAGTAATGCTTGTGTTATGGGAGAAATTAACAGAGTGATGTGATAGTTAATAACAAGCAGACGACAATACTTTAGGTAGACTGTCAGAAACCTGAAAGTTGAAAAGGAAGAAGTAGAATGTGTTACAGAACAGAACTTGTTATCTGAGCATTTAAAAATCCTGTGTTCCAGGAACATAATTTGAAAAGAAAAGAGGTATATTGGGTGAAATTTGGGAGGTAAGAAAGAGCCAGATGAAATTCTCAGATTAATTATATGTATTAGTAGTGATAACAAACATTATTTCAAGTCATTGAATGTAGTAGATATTATCCTACTGCATCTTTAAATATGTTGATTGCTTTGAGGATGAGTTGTATATTTCTTATAAATGTTAGTATTAAAAGAAACTACCTTTTCTTATTTTGTAGAGACATAATAATTCATTCTAAACAATGGATCTTAAGTTTTTTCTCACCTAATTCAAATCTACATTGGAGATTTGTATTTATTTCTCTTTTTAATCTACTAATATATAAACTTTCATGTAGTTGCAAATACACACATTTATAATTGTGTCCCTCTCTCCATATATAGAGAGACACAGAGACATATTCTTAGACTTCCCTGAAATGCAATACTCTTTACTGGGCTACATTTTTCTAAATTCACATTCCTAGATAGCTGTTTTGACCTTTCTATGGAGTGATGTCTTTATATTCTTCCTCTGCTACTTTTATGTTTCTTAAATGTCACAATATCAATTGTTTTTAAGATCTTATTCTCTCTTATATTAATATTGCTTGATATTTCAAAGGCTTTCATTGTTATAAAATCTTCCTGTATTACAAAACTATCAATGTTGGATTTTTATTTTTCCTTACTGGATTATGTTGGAAGCAAATCTCTTAGTTTAATGCATTTCTTTATTCTCTTTTGCACTATATATATGTATGGCTCTGTATAAATGATAAATAATAACTCTCAAGCCAAACTACTCAACTTCCTTAATGACTATTTGGACCTCCCTCAAGAGGATACATAATATCTTTCCTTGATAGTGGTGGGAGTAAAAGGTAAAAGAAAATTAACCTTAATACTATTTTAAGATTGTATTGATGAGCATCTAGAGATAATAGGTTTACTAAAAAAGAATTTCTAGAAAAACCTGATTAAGGCTTTAAAAGGAAATATTTCACAAATATATTTTAATTATTGTACTGTGCAATACATGTATATTGTACCATTTTTCTAAAATCAGATTGAGTATGTCATTTACAACTTCCTTTTAAAGGGGAAAGACCAAGTTTAACAAGATAGGTGATATCATCTTGTCTTTTGCTATCTTTTGAGTAATTTGAACCTTAATAGACCTCTGACGCACAACTATAGCCTAATAAATGGCGTAAGATGTAAAGCCTAAGAGAGTAGAAGATGTCACATGAAATTTGAATTTGAATCCTTTAGGATTCTCGAAAAAAAAGTTTTACAGAAGATAACACAGGATCATGCTCAAAGTAATTTGTAACAATTAGCAGAAATCTGTGTTTTTTTTTAATATGATGAGAACCTCACCTAATCTCTCACATGTTCTATGAAAAGTCCAACTTCCAGCAATAATATTAACATCTAAAAGACAAGTAAATACACACAAGTTATACTAATGGAAAATTTCTAGTTTAATATTGTACTATATTTAAGACATAACCAGTGAGGAAAAATTGAATGACGGGTACATCTCCGTACTATTTTTGAAATTCTCTGTGTTTTGTAATTACTTCAAAATCAAAGTCAGAAGAGAAAAATATATTCTACTTTTCATTAAGTATACTGAGTTTATTATTCAAGAACATCAATTCCTGCGTATCTTTATGACATTTGTTATCTAACTTGTCTATAAAACTATTACAATTTCTACTTTAGTTAAGTTTTTTTTTAAAAACTAAATCTTGGGGAACTTTAAAGTATATTATTTACTCATACATAACAAAGATATAGGTAATTATCTTTCTTACAGGAAAAAAACTAAAACCTTAATTGTCTTAAAAGCATTTAAATGTCTCTCTCATAATAATCTTACTAATGGACTATTATGCAATTTAGTATGGATCCCATAAACTACAAAATTTATAAGGCACCTCTATCAGTCTTCTCTGTCTTTGCTCCTTATGGTTCTAACAGAAAGATACTATTGAACAGATTTATTAAGTGCTAACATATTGCATCTTTATATTTTGCCATTATTAATAATTTATTTTAGAATCTTTCCAAAAACTAAAATTTTGTGTAAACTTCAGATAACCTCCAATATATAACTATATAACACACATGCATATATGTGCACACACACACACACACATATTCAATTTATTCCTCTAACAACTTTAGACTAATTCACAATGCAAGAGATCTGTATATGTAACACTATATCCAAACAAACGCATTCCTTCATTTAATTCCTAGTTTCCAAATGTGATTAGTGATGACAATCAGTGATATCATATGAATCTCTTTAAAGAAAACGTGGGACTTTGTAAATCCAAACATGCTTTATTAGATAATAATTTCAAGTGAAGCATGATAATTATAGTGTACATTCAATTACAAAAATGCATATTTCTAAATAAAATAATCAATTTATATAATTTAAACTTTACTATCTTCCTAGGTATAATAGTAGCCAAAAAGTTGTTACGTAATATTTATGGAAAATAAAGATATAGAATGAAGCATTTCTATGAACTTTAATTCTTTTGGGACTGGATTGGTAATAATAATAAAAAATAATAGCCAACATTTTAAACATTTTTTAAATGTCAAGAACACTAGCAAATATTTAACTTGCAAGAACTCATGTTGTTCTTTCCTTATTCCCCTAAAGCAGATATTATTGAAGTTATTTTTTACAAATGGAGATATTATTGACATGGGAGAGGAAATATCCTATTTTTTGTTTATGTTTAGCTACAATAAATAATTGATACCAGATATTGCATGTCAATATTTGTGATCAAATATTGTATATCGAAATACTGCTTTGTTACAAAATAAAAGTTTTTATTCATGTAAAAAACAGGAAATCGAACACTAAGTACAGAATTTCAAGAGCTTAGAAATGGCAAAAGGTTGTCTATCAATCAGCTACATGTATATGTAGAGAGACCCAATCTTAAATACTTTTCCTAAATATTATAGATGAGTGATTTTAAGTAAATATGTCAATCCTGAATTATTATTTTTTACCAAATGATTATTCTACCTCTCTTCCATCCTTACAAAATTACTCTGTAACCAGAATTTTTTTAAAACACCATGCAGAGTTTCTTACCAAATAAGTAAGTTAATTAATTAAAACAAAACACCCTATTCACCATCGTGTTAAATGTACAAAGTAGATCTGAGTTTCAAATTTTACATGACAGAAAAAAGTCACCATTTTTGTGCCTAAACAAGTCAAATGCATTAATTAAAATTGAAACATATATTTTATTCAATCATTCGGACTCTCAAATTTTCAATTTCTCACTAGTGCCATTCACTTGTCTAAGTGCTGGGGATATATCAACAAACAAATAAGACCAAAATTGTGTGCCCCCATGTAGCCTGCATTCTTCTGGAGCAAGGCAGACAGGACAAATAATAAAATTGAAAAGTATATTAGCAGGTGCTAACTTAGACGGAGAAAAGCCAAAGCAGATCAAGGTAAGAAGAACTATGAGTGCAGGGGAAATTCATTGAAATATTTAATGTTTGGTCAGAGTCAATCACATCAAAAGGGTGCATTTGAGAAAATACAGAAGGATATGGACAAGTTAGCCAAACAAATATCTAAGGGAACAGCACTGCAGGAAGAGAGAACAGATACGGCAAACGTCTAAATGAGGAAGTGTGCTGTGTTCGTTTGAGATAGAGCAAGGAGGCTGGTGTGCCAGAGCAGGGAGCACAAAGCTTAATACAGATGTGATAGCAAATTAAAGGTAAACCAGATTATGTAGGGTCTTACAAGGCATTTTAAGGACATTTACATTTAAGTATAAAATAAATGGGGAGTCACTTCAGGATTGTGAATAGAAGGGTGGCAAGATACATTTAGATTTAACAGGATTAATCCAGCTGCTCTGTTGAGACTAGACTGGGTGTAGAGTGGGGTGCGGGGTTGGGGTAGAGTGGACAAGAGAGACTCATTTGAATATGCTTGCATTAATCCAGTTGAGAGATGTTGGTATCTAAGACCAATGGAGGGAATAAGATGTGGTCAGAAAGCTGATATATTTTGAAGGCAAGGTAACAGGATTTTTTGATAGATTGGAAGTGTGAGGTGACAGAATAGTCAGTATGATTCTGTGGTTTGGGAGAGACAGGTGGCAAAAGTATGTGAAGGAGGAGCAAGTGAACTGTGTCAAATGCTGAAGGTTAAGATTAGAAAATAGCATGAGAACAGCTAGTTGCAAGTAGTCATATGTTGCTTAATCTTAACATTCATTCTTTTAAGTGTTTTTTTTTTTTTTTTTTTGACGGAGTCTCGCTCTGTCGTCCAGGCTGGAGTGCAGTGGTGCGATCTCAGCTCACTGCAGCCTCTGTCTCCTGGGTTCTGTGTGCCCAGCCTCTTTTAAGCTTTTAAGTTATTTTAATTAATTATTTTAAGTTTTCTATTTTGAAAAAAATCAGGCTTTAAGCATGAGTACTGATTTTAGAGAATATTTCGTCCAACATTGTGGTATTTTTAGCACAATTTAAAAAATATTTTTAATGGCATGATGATGCACAAACAAATTTTTATTTGGATTTTTCTTCAAAATCCAAATAAAAGCTATTTATTTTGGAACATGAATAATGGTATCTAGAATCAGTTATTTTCATGAGATATAGAAGGTATAAATGATAATGTTATTGCAACAAGACACCTACTTGAATTAGATAATTTACAATATTTGTTTTTATATAAAATAAGTGTATTACATTTTACTTTTATCATATACAGAACTTTTTATATTAAATATCATAGTTATAATACAATATCTCTCTTCTCAGATTAATACAGTAGGACCTATCCCCACAAAAAATATACAAAATTGGAACCAAATTGTGTTGAAAAATACTCCTTCTATTAAAATATCCTTTCTATTAAACTTTTAATAAAGGTCAACTGGATAATGAGGCAAATATAATTATAGTGGAGCCACTAAACTAATAATATTTCAATTCCAAAAGTAATAATTAGAGGAAAATTTAATGTAAGGCTTATTATTAGAAAGAATTCTTATTTTGGGAACTGTAATACACACATTTAAAAAAAGACTTAAAAACATCAAATGACTGACAGAGTAATTACGAAAAATGTAGTTAGATTTGAATGCATACATTATGCTGCAGGTGTGAATTTCAGAGCGTACTGGGATTATTAAAATGACATTCCTTTTTGAAGTTAGTAAAGAAAGGCTCTTGAACTTGACAAAAATGTTTGTCAACATATAAAAAATAGTACAGAGCTGTAAAGTACAATTACATTCTCCTCTTTTCAAGCAAGTATGGTTTCAATATGTTTGTCAAGTACTATACTTTGCTCGTCTCACCCACGGTATCAATCACTTCAAGGTTTACTTTGAAGTTATATTCAGATGATAGCAGAGACTGGTTAATATCCATGCAACAATAGTAACCTCTTTCCTTTTAGCCATACAAACCATGATGATTTTAGAGGAGAGAAAAAATGGTAGAGTATTCTAACCAACCAATTTGCATATTCTCCTTGCAAAAGTAGAACATTTTCAATATACAATATTTTATGCTTATTGTGTTAATCTTGAATTTCAGGGGAAGAAATGCTTGTTTTAATGCTATACCTCAGAGAGCCTGTGCTCAGTCTTTTCCTTGTTAAAGCTTTTGCTAGTATTTGTTGGTGATGTTGCTGTTGTCCCTTTGTTCTGGGCCTTTTGTTAATCCACAGGACTTTTGTCCTCCACAGAATAACCTTTTAATTGATACCAATATCTTAGATTAAGCTCATTTCATAGGTCAAAGTAACATTTGTAATCCATTCTTAGGCATTATATTTCATATGCATTTTTAAACACATAATTGGATTTTAAAATTGAGTTAAATTGAAGAGACAGGCACTAGGAAATTCTTATTCTATCTCTATATCTGCATGCCTCAATGACAAAAATTACTAAACACTTTTTCTCTCCGTGAATTGCTTCTTAACTGCCTCTATAAAGTGATAGAGAGACAGAGACAGACATAATGGAAGCCACAATCTCATGTCTCATCTGGGACCTTGCACAACCAGTCACTCTCTTTCTCTTTCATCTTCAATCTCTCACTTCTTTATCGACCACTTATGAAAATATGTAATATAAATTACTTCTAACCCTCATTTTTTCTTCAAAACATCACTGTTTTCTTTCATTTCTTCACTAATAAAGCATATGGCATGGGTGTATATGGTCTCACTTCTCATTACCTCCTTAAACCAACCCATTTATTTGGTTTAAGGAGGTAATGAAACATCTGAAAATGTTTCTTAATAAATTACTAATAACTATTTGCTTGATGTATCTAACATGCCTGAATTAAATTTAAATTTAATGTTATATAAATAGTGAAGTGAGAATGTGATCTACACTTTGACCTGATAATGGCTGCTCTGTGAAAAATGATCTATTAGGGAAAGGAGCAAGACTAGGAGCAAGGCAACTAATGAGGAGACTTGTAGTATTACAGGAGTGAGTGATAGTATCTTTCACTTGGGTATTAGGATATTATTATTTTTTAAAAATTAGATTTATGTTGTATTTTGAAAAATGTATAGACATGATTTACTAATAGACTGGATGAAGAGTATGAGACAAAAGGGAAAATCAAGGTTTTTTTTTTCAGAAATGTATGTGTAAATGTTAAACTGACTAGATATAAGTGAAATGCAGGAGTAAGGCAGTAAAAATGTAGACACGGAGTCACTAAACAAAAATATATTAAGAAATGAGACTGAACTTACCTAAGGGGAGGTTGCAATAGGTTTGGCAAGATGTACGTCATCACTATTTTTGATAAGCCCTGTTTTAGGAGAGAAAATAGGATAAAGCTCAATTAGAGTTGATTAAGAAGATTATGAGAAGAGAGAAGTTGGTGACAGCAAGATATATAGGTAGAAATAAGTGTATGATAGATAAGGTTTTTGTTCTATTGAAGGAAGGAAGGACATAAAAGTGAATAAATACTTTTAAATTGTGGTAAATGCTATTAAGAAAAGAAAACATAGTGGAAAATAACTGAAGAAAATTAGCATTTTGTGATGGGAGCATTGATGAAGAAGTGACATTTCAGCTGGCAACGGATTGGGCAAGAAAGTGGAGACCTGGTCCATATGTTTCTTTGGTTACTCTGCCAGCTATTTTCTGTGTATTCCTGGGAATAATTTTAAGCATGCCCAAGATTCTGGGGATCAGCATTTTGTTTGGGAAGGATCAACATACTTGCTTAAATCAGCCTTGCCTAAATTTAAGAAGAAAATCTTTAATTTTTTTTCTCACATAACTACTAGAATAACATCGATTTGGAAAATCATTATGGTAATTTATTTTCCTCTTAAATATTAAAGCATTTAAAAGAAAAATAGCATCACCACTAAAGACAGAAATTATTTTAATTTTATAGGAAGAAAGATCAAGGAGCATCTCCAGTTCAAATGATAAAAATAGGGTTTGATATTTGCAAGGACACAGCATATTATTAAGTTAGGATACTACTTGCTCCTACAAAGGTAAAAAAAAAATGCTTTATTTAAAAACACACACAATAAGTGGGAGCTAAAGAATGGCTATTCATAGACAAAGAGGTGGCAACAATAGACACTGGGGACTTCTAAAAGGGGGATGGAGGGAGGCAAATAGGATTGAAAAACTAAGAATTTGGTACTATACTCAGCATCCGGGTGATGGGATCAATCATACTCAAATCTTGGCATTATGCAATATACCCAGATGAAAAACCTGGGCTTATACCCCCAGAATCTAAACTAAAATGTAAAATTATGTATTTTAAAATAACATACGAAAATCTGATCATTTTAGTCAATTCCTATGGCAGCCTTAATCTGACTGTTTCTCAGGTATATGGTAACTGTTACAGGGTTGACAAATTTTAGGCTATTTTAATTGGAAAGGAAGAACATAAGTACAATGATGCATCCATACACTTGAGATTTTAGCATATTCACTGGTCCTTGATTATAAAAATCCTGAAAATGAATTCCTTTGTAGTTAGTACAATTACAATAAATTTCAATTAACATATGCTTGTGTGAATAAAACTGTATATCTAATTAAATGAATATCTCTTTATGACTATCATCCAACTATCTATCTATCTATCTATCTATCTATCTATCCATCCATCCATCTATCTATCTATCATCTACCAAGAAAGGGGCTGAATGATGGATTCACTTTCAATGAGAAATAAAAGCTCAGGAGCATAAGCTGTTTTGTGAACAGACTTTTGTATAAAGAGTGACCTCTTGAAGGAGGTCCCATTGTTCTGGCACTTTGAAAAATGGAATTTACAATAATAGAAGATATTTAGCATAGCAATTCGGCCTGAAAATAACCAAATAAATTGTGCAATTAAAAACAAAAATTCCAAGCTAGAGGAGGGCAGTGCTGCCTAGTGAGTTTCATCTAGACTATACTCAGTCAGGGAGAAATGGTACATCCTAAAAGGAAATTGATGTTATTCAGAATTGGAGACAGACACCGAGCAACCAAATGAAAAAAAAAAGTGCACATTTCATTTGAGAATTAAAATCATTCTACAGTGGCACAAATTCTTAAAAGACGACTTCACAGCATTATTAATGTCTGTAATTAGTTTTAGTACTCAGAAAAAACATATATATTTCTTCTCTTATGTTAAGGCCAATTTGGGTTCAATGAAACATATTTAGATTACACAGAAAGACATAGTTCTGGAGAATTAATAAGTGCAATTGATTATGGTGTGGGAAGACTATGAATTGATTTCTCTGGTGCTAAAGTAGACTAACTTGTCACCTGGCAGGAGTAGTTTGATGTAGCATAGGGATATAGAACAAAGAACCTCTTAAAAGTCTTAAAGTTCTATATTCAAAGATTCTCCCAAAATATATGATTATTTTTGTAGTATGTGTTTTAAAAGAATCAATTCTGAAATAATTTGTAACAAAAGAATTTGATGCTTTATCTAAGCTCTTTGATATAAGTAAAGGTAAGAATCCCCCAGATTGTCATTTATAATACATGTTATTAAAAATGTTACTTTTTGTCAAATGTTTTCTCAATGGTCCATAAAATTAAGATATAAGTCATAATTGAAATGTCCATTAAAAAGCTTTGCTTTAGAGTAATATTATCACTTATATGTCAGCATTAAGCAAAACAAAACGAAACACACTCACAAATATATTTACTACTTTATAAAGCATTGCTTATCATTTGATCATTTTTTATTTTGTTTTGTGATTCTGAAAGATTTAGGAAACTATATGTCAATCCCAGGGCAATTTAGTTTCAAAAAGACTTTGGCATCTACTAAAACATTTTAAGTCTAAACATTGATTATGGATATTTTATCAGCAAGTAAAATTAATAAGCATGTTATAAAAATAAAAATAGCAAATCTGATTCTTTTCTGTGAATCAAAATTGTGTGTGTGTGTGTGTGTGTGTGAGTGTGTGTGTGTTTATCTTCATATAACAGGAGTGGGTTTTACATTCACTACTTCTGAATTGGCGGAATAGTCTTATCTCCATTAGTTTATTTCCAATCTCACCCAAAAGTAGGTGCTGGAGGATTTCACTTCTTAACTCCCTATTCCAGTGTTCTTACCCAACATATTAGAAATCATAAGGAGGCTTTTAAGATATACTGATGTTTTGTCCCCACTCCCGACCCATTACAACAAAATCCTTCTAGCAAAGGGGTGTTGAGGTCTGAGTATTGGTGTTTTTATCTTTTTACCATGTGTGTCTGATGTGCATCCAGGGTTGAGACATATGTGACCGTCCAGGGCAATTATGGCCTTTGGACACATGCACTGCCATCACGTGGCAGCTTGTTAGAAACACTGAATCTCAGACTGCACTCCAGGCCTATGAAATAAGAATTTGCATTTCTACAATATCTTCCCGTAATGCATGCACAATAAGGCTTGAGGAGCACTCAATGAGATATGAGCATCTGGGG
Source organism: Homo sapiens (assembly GCF_000001405.40). Classification (NCBI taxonomy): domain Eukaryota; kingdom Metazoa; phylum Chordata; class Mammalia; order Primates; family Hominidae; genus Homo; species Homo sapiens. The sequence continues at coordinate 184,363,558 of NC_000002.12, forward strand.
CATTGCAAAGAAGGGTTTATCGATTTGGTATAATAAGGCAGAGCTCAACAAGTGTATCAATTCTATTAAATAAGCATGGAGGCATGTAAGGTCCTGGGTAAGATGAAGCTCTCCACATATGACAAGGAGAGGGAGTGCAATTTTCTCTCCATTCTGTAGACTATGTGCACTGTGGACATGAGGGCCTCTCATGCAGTCTCATCAGGATATTAAAAATAGTTTTTGCTCTGGCAGAGACTGACCAACTGCTGGAGGTCAACTTTGCACACCTTTATGTGCACATCCTGGGAGATGAGCACCGCTCAGCCCTCCTGAAGTAAGCCCGTTTCTCACTGACAGCGCTAGAAACCCCAGTGGAGACTACCTGGTCCGGATCATCTGAATCTTTCCCCAATCTCTTACCCCTTTATTTTTGTCTAAATAAATTATGTCTTCCTTCCTCTCAATTTCAGCCCTTTTAATCTTAAAATCTATTTTTTCCCACAAAATGCGCACCTGTTCTAAACAAAAGCTGTGGTTTTCAAACCATTGTCTCTATTATGATTTTGTAATATTGCTTAGAATCTCAAAAGCAGAATATAGTTTTTTTCCTCTGTGTAATCTTTCAGTAAAGTTTTACATTTTCTCTGATTAAATAGATGCCTTAAACTTAATGAAAGCAGGGAGGCACTGAAAATAACTTTGAGAGAACTGGTAGAGCCACATATTACAAATGAATGGATATCTCCAGGTAGTTTTAATTTGAATATTAGTTTTTAGACCTTCTATTTCTTTTCAATTGATGCTTTGATGTAAAGAATCTTTATATTTCTTTTTAACTCTAAGAGACAACAATGTTGTTGATATTATTGACTCAGTGCCTATTTTTCTTTCCCTGTGAGGGAAAGTAAAAACAATATAATTTGGATCAAATTGTTAATAGTATACATGAATGTTACTTACAGGACTTCATGCACTCACCACTAAAAAAGGATGCATTTTCCTAGCATGTTATCCATGATCTCCAAGAGGTGCTTCCTAATGGGCTGATTTCATGATCAGAATTTATTACAGTACATTAGAATGATGTCTTTTTCCTCAGTAGGATGGCAGCTAACTGGTATAGGAAAACCATAATACATAATATAGCATATGATTATCTAGTAGTATCTTCTCAAGGTACATATGGCTAAAATCAAATGAGATTTAATTTTACTCTAGCTCAGAGCACACAGATATTCAGGAACAGCATCATTTCATAATATCATTTGAAATGAAAACCAGTGTTAAGCTGTGTCTACATAAAGAACTATTATTAAAAAATGGCATTTTCTGTCTAAACAAAGGCATATGTTTATATAAAATTTGATTTATATTAACAAAGTAAACAGAATAAGTCATGGATCATTTAAGGAACAATAACACTGAGTATACTAGTCAAGGATTATATGGTATTACCAAACACCTCCCAGCCTTCAAATCTGCTGATTTGGGTTGGTTAGAATTTTTCTACATCCAGATACTTAGAGATCCAAGTTTCCTTGATCTTGAGATGCCACCACAGCATCTCAATGCATGATGTTCAACTGTGCCAAGGTAGAGGAATCAGATTCATCATGCAAGCTTATAAAGGAGAGAGAAAAATGAATGCCTCTGTTTTCTTATATGAAGGCAGTAAGGAGAATTCAGTGCTTCTATAAAAAAATCAGAGTATAAGTCAAAAGTTTACATATATGTAAACTTGTATAAATCACAAGTTTACGTATATGTAAACTTGTATAAATCACAAGTTTACGTATATGTAAACTTGTATAAATCACAATGTATAAATCACAAGTTTACATATGTGCTTGAAAGTATGTATATAGATCTAGATATATAGTATATACATGTTACATCTATATATACACACACTTATATATAGAATGTATTTAGGTCGTGCTTATATTCCATTATTTTATAACAACTAAGTACCTTCATTCCTTTAATTACTAATATGTATTAGTACCCACTATGGGCCAGGACATAGTTGTTATATCACATAAGTGATTTGATCATCGATACATTATTTAAGCATGTCTTACAAAAATAGGCTCAGATCTATAATGCCTAGATGTATTTCTACTTGTATTTGTGTTACAATAACTTATCTGTTGGAACATATTGTATGAATGGACCATTACGTTGTTGCTTCTAACATCCTATTTCTTTTTTTGTGTGAATATTTCTGAGGGAACTATTAGAAACATATATAAATAGATGCTAAAGAATTACTAGAGTAATTCAACACACTCCTGCTTCAGCAACTCTATTTGAATCTTTTTATATTTGTTGTTTACAACAACTCTGGGTAAAATGTAAATTTTCCCACAGGTTCTTAAAATAGATGTGTTTTAAAAAATTCTCAGGAGGAACATAGGAGTTGAATAACAAGAAGTTTTCCTTTTATAAAGCCTCTTAGAATATTTTTTTCTTGGGGCAATTCAAACAGACTAAATAATTTTGACACAAATAAGAGGTGCTTAAATTGTAATTTTAAAAGAAGTCTTGAAATAGGTATGTCTCCTCTTGAGAAGAATTGATGTGCATGTAGTATGAAAACTCATTCCCAAAAGATAATTGGAGCATTTTTCTTTCATCTGTGAGGTGATTCTTAATAAGCAAAAAGTGTTCTAATTTTAAAAAGGAGGGAAATAAAAAGAAAAATAAAACCCAAGTTAACTCAAAAAGTTAATGGTGGAATGAACTAACAGCAAATGGGGCACTTCAGGAATGTTTTCTTCTTTTAAAATATATCTTCTTATAGCTTCTGAAATTAGTATTTATGTACTCTAAAAGCTATAACATAGCTTGTAAGTGATATCAGCAAGTTCTTAAACACATTACAAAACTTTAAACAATGCAACTTCCTTGGCTTAAGGAGAAAAAGAATAAAAACCGTATGTCTTAGTCCACCTGCGTTTCCATCAAAACTATCATACACTGAGTGGTTTAAACAACACAAATTTGTTTCTTCACAATTCTGGAGGCTAGAAGTCCAAGAACAAGGTGCCAGTTTGGTCAGGCTATAGCTTGTAGATGACTGCCTTCTCGCTGTATCCTTGTACAGCAGTGAGAGAAAGAGGAGACAGCAAGCTCTCTGGTGTCTTTTTTTTTGCACAAGTGCACCAATCCTATCATGAGGGCTCTGCTTTCATGACCTCATCTAAACCTAATTAGCTCTCAAGGCCCCATCTCCAGATAGCATCTCTTGTGTGGTTAAGATTACCTAACTGGAAATGTCCCTAATTTTGTCATTTCAAGAATGTTAAATAGGCCAGGCATGGTGGCTCATGCCTGTAATCCCAGCACTTTGGGAGGCCAAGGCAGGAGGGTCGCCTGAGCCCAGAGTTCTAGACCAGCCTGGGTGACATAGCTAGATCTCATCTCTCCTAAAAATACAAAAATTAGCTGGACATAGTGGCAAGGGCTTGTAGTCCAAGCTACTCCAGAGGCTGATGTGGGAGGATCACTTGAGCTGGAAAGGCAGAGGTTGCAGTGGGCCCTGAATGTGCCACTGCACTCTAGCCTGGGCAGCAAAGCAATACTCTGCCAAAAAAAAAAAAAAAACAGAACTCAAATTTAAAAAGAATGTTAAATAAAATTATACAGTACATAAGATTTGAGCATTGTCTTTTTTCATTTGGTATAATTTTCTCACAGTTTGTTCAGGTTATCACACGTCAATAATTCCATGTATTTACTACTAAGCAGTACGTCATGGTGTCTATGCATAATAGTTTATATAACAAGTAATCCATGGAAAGACATAGGTCATTTTCAACTTTTATTTGTTTTAAATAAAGCTTCTGTAAATATTAGTGTACAAGTATTTGTGTAAATGTATGTGTTCATCTCTCCGGGATACTCAGGAATGCAATTATGGGTCATATGGCAGTGGCAAGTTTAGTCATGTAAAAAACTACCATCCTGTTTTCCAGACTGGCTGTACCATTTTATATTTCTATCAGCAATATAGGAGTAATCTGCTTTCTCTGCATCCTGATCATTATTTGCTGCTGTCAACGTTTTAATTTAATTTTTATCACTCGTATGTGTATTTAGTGATATCTCATGGTTGATTTAATTTGTGTTTCCCTAATGGCTAACATTATTGAATACCTTTTTATGTACTTATTTTCCATTGATATGTCCTCTTCAGTAAAATTTCTGTCCATGTCTTCTGCCCATTTTCTAATTGGATTGTTTACTTTTTTACTGTTGAATTTCAGTCTGTTGTATAGTCTATATTTCAGTCCTTTATTTTATATGTGATTTGCAAATATTTTCTCCTGGTCCACAGCTTGTCTTTCCACCTTTTAAATAAGGTATTTTTTAGAGAAAAAAAGTTTTAATTTTGATGTATCCAATTTGTTAACTCTTTTTTTCTGTGTCATGTTTACTCTCATCAAGTATAAGAATTCCCTGCTCAGCTAGAGATCCTGAAGATAATATCCCTTGTGGTCTCTAAAAGCTTTGTAGTTTTACATTGTACATTTAAGTCTGTAATACCTTTGAGTTAATTTTTGTATGAGGTGTAAGGTTTAGATGTTTACATTGAGGTTCAGTTGTTGGTCTATGAATAACCAATTGCTCTAGCACCCTTTGTTGAAACGGTTATTCTTCCTTCATTTAATTACTTTTGACCTTTGTGAAAAAGCAGTAGAAGAAATCCAATACTTCTATATGAATCTACCAAAATACATATTGCATCTATTTGTAGAAAACAGCCAAACACTGATGAGAAATATCATAGGAGAATAAAATAAGTGAGGAAGATACTTGGTGTTTGTGAATTGAAAGAATCAATATTGTTTAAATGTCAGTTCTTCTCAATTTGCAGAATAGTTTCACCACAATCCCAATCCAGATTCCAGCAAGCTACTCTGTAGATGTTGACAATAATTCTAAAGTTTACATGAAAAAAAGAAAACAAATAAAATGTAGTACATATACACAATGGAGTACTATTTAGCCATAAAAAGAGTGAGATGTTGTCATTTTAAACAAAATGGATGGAACTAGAAGACATTATGTTAAGTGAAATAAGACAGGTACAGAAAGACAAACTGCACATTCTCACTCATTTGTGGGAGCTAAAAATTAAAACAATCGAACCCATTGAAATAAAGAGTAGAATGATGGTTACCAGAGGCTGGGAAGAGTAGTGAGGGATAGAGTGGAGATGGCTAATGTATACAAAAACATAGATAGAATGAGTAAGATCCAGTATTTGATAGCACAATAGGATGATTACAGTAAACAATACTTTACTGTACATTTTAAAATAAGAAAAACGTATAATTAGAATGTTTATAATGTAAAGAAATGAAGAATGTTTGAGGGGAAGATTACCCCATTTACCCTGATGTGATTATTACACATTATATGCCTGTGTCAAAACATCTCACATGCACCATGTCACGAGGACATAACTTGTACTTTCTCCAGGGTTTTATGGCACAGGAAATGACAACAACCAGCAACTCGAGTTAGATGCTTGAATCACATGATTTATTAATTACTATAACCAACTGCCATTTCTCAGCACAGGCAAAAACACAATCAAAGGGGGTTATTAAGGGCCAGCCTCACCACGGCAGTTAAAATCATTCAATCCAAGTTCCATTCAACATTCAAGTGTACCCTTGGAGGATCAAACAACCTCCAGTCTGTCCATCCTGGTCTTGTCAGATGTCAGAGTGAATGGGCAGAGGGCCTCCACACAGCTAGCTCTTGCCGCTAAGCATGCAGCAAGGGGCATAGAGATTGATCGGGGATTTGCCACAGACAACTGGTCGTGAAGTCCTTCTTTTCTGTGCTTCATCCTTAAGTGTAGTCCTGAGTCCTTCTTCCTGATTGGTTATGCCCGTGGTAATCCCTTGTTGTTTTGATCCATTTGTTTGCCAAAGTCCAAAATCAAAACATTTTGCAATGTCCATGACTGCTTACCTAACTTGTTTATCAAAATCCAAAGTCCCAGATACGTTTGGCAACATCTGTGTCAACATCTTTCTATTTTATCTTGTTTTACATGTCCTGACTATTTGATCAACACATGCTTACACTTTTATCTTTTTTTACCATGTCTTGACCTTTGCCAAAACATGTTCACAATGTTATTATACCTTATACTCCTAACACACCACAAATATATACGCCTACTACATACCCATAAAATCAAAATTTAAAAATAAATTTAAAAAATTCTCCCTCAAAAACAAAAGAACTGGAATAGCTAAAAAAAAAAGAAACAAAAAAAAAAGCTTGAGAAGAACAAAATTTAAGGACTCATACTATCCAATTTCAAGACTTACTATAAAGCTACAGAATTAGAAGCTGCAGAATATTAGTAGAAAAGTAGACACATAAATCAATGGAATAGAGATGTAATAGAGACCCCAGACATGAAGCTGAACAAATATAGTCAAGTAGTTTTTAACAAAGTCACAGAAGCAATTCAATGAAGGAAGGATACTTTTTTTCAATAAATGATGCTAAAGCAATTAGACTTCTGTGTGGAAAAAAAAAGAATCTCGCCTGATCTTATAAATTACACAAAAATTAACTTGAAATAGACTGTAGGCTTAAATTTAAAATCCAAAACTAGAAAATTCTAAGAAAAAAATAAACATAAGTAAAAATTGGTGTGATAATGAGTTTGGCAATTAGTTGCTGGATTCAACATCAAAAACAAAATTCATGAAAGAAAAAAATAACTGATAGTTTATCAATTTTAAAACTTATCTGGGAATGACATTGTGAAGAGTATCAATAGACGAGGCCCAATATCAGAGAATATATTTGGGAAACTCATAAGGACATGTATACAAAATAAAGAAGTCCTAAAACTTAACAATAACAAAACAAAGCACCCAAGAAAAAACTGGGCAAAAGCTCTGAACAGACACATCACTAGAGAAGAAACACAGGTAGAAATAATCACCATCGTATATCATTAAGACACTGCAAATTTAAATAAAATTAGATTTTACTACACACCTACTATAATGGTTAAAATCCAAAAAACTGACAATGCTGGTGAGGATGTAAAGCAATAGGAATACTGCTCATTTGTTGCCCTTGGGAATGCATAATTGTACAGCCACTTTGGAAGGCAGTTTGGCAGATTCTCACAAAGCTAAACATAGTCTCACTATAAAATGTAGCATTCATGCTCCTAGGTAATTACTCAACTGATTTAAAAACTTATCTCCAAACAAAACTTTGCTTGCAAATGTTTATAACATATAGTTTAGCCATAATTTCCACAAACCAGAAGTAACCTAGATGTTCTTTATAGGTGAATTCATAAACTATGGCATATCCATCCATGTGACAGAGGAGGCAGTTAGAGGCCAGTTATGTAGATAGAGAGGGAGGGTCTTGGGAGTGGAAAAACACTTTGGGACCACACCTGCATTGCCCATGTAGATAATGGGAAGAAATTTGATTAAGAACTTCCTCTTATGCCAGGATGTTTGCTCAGAAGGGACTGTCCCAACTTAGGTGCAGGTGAAATAAATCAACCTAAATATCTTTAACTGGACCCAGCTCATTATAATATCATTAACATGACATCAGCATGTGGCTTTAGCCCCCCTGTAGGTTTCACTTCTGCACTCATGGGTAATAACCAAGATGTAGACACTATGGCCAGCCCCAGGCATGCACAGATGCAACACCCCTAGGAGGGAACTTTACCTTTCCCATTTGGGAAGAACCCACAGAAGACTTCCTTGTTCTTGCTACATGAGAAAAAAAAAACAGAACTCAGGCCCATTTCCAGTGACCCACTTCAGGTCTCTGTCTTTGCTGAGAGCTTTCCTTTCGCTTAAGAAATCCTACTCTGCCTTACTCACTCCCCAGTGTCTACATGCCTCTTCTCAGTAATGGGACAGGAACTTAGACCTAGCTGAACTAAGAAAACTGTAATACATGAAATATTATTAAGTGCTTTAAAAATGAGTACTCAAGCCACCAAAAGACGTGGATGAATTTTAAATGCAAGATGCCTATCTAAACAGGCTGCATACTATATGATTTCAATTATATGGCATTATGAAAAAAGGCAAAACTATAGTTACTGTAAACATATTAGTGGTTGTCATGGGTTCAGATGGGGAAGGGCTGGATGAGTGAAGCAGAGGGTATTACTAAGGGTAGTGAACCTGGTGTTTGTGATGTTGTAATGGTGGATATATATCACTGTGCATTAGTCCAAACTCATAGAGCTTTATAGGATAATGAGTGAACTTTAATGTATACAGATGAATGCCAGATTACTTAGGAGGTCACGGGATCATAGGATGGAATGTAGAATATGATGAAAGACATTCATTGTACTACAAATGCTTGAAACAATCTACTGAGAATGATGGGGAATAAGATACTGGCCTGCATAATTTTGGAAATGAATAGAGTCTATAAGAATAAAGGCAAATAAATGAATCAATATAAATGAAACCAATCAGAGATCCAAAATGTTAAGTGTCTCAGGTCAGACACTTAAGAAAATTAGAAGTCATCACTCTCATCTTCACAAGAAAAAAGAGCTAAAAACTTTAATGTTTTCAACTTTTCTTAAATCCATCAAAGGCGAGCTGCTGTCCTTCAAATTAGAGACATAGGCAACTATAGAGAATCACAGCTTTTTGGAAAAGAAGCCCAGGAGCAGGAACCTATTGCTACAGCTAGCTCTGGGATAGGGAAACCTAAACAGTAATCATTGAATTGCTGGCAGCTCAATGTGCACAACTTTGAGACTTAAGAACTAGAGGGAGAGCCGCCTTGTAGGGGGACCCACATTTTCAGAAGTTTCACCCCCAGAAGTCCCAGCAAATTCTCAGGGCAAAGATCTGAGGAAATTCCCTGTCAGGGGAAGAAGAAAAGTAACCATTTAAAAATATAACCAGAGGATTCTGTTCTCTTTAACAAAAGCCCTCCCTCAAGTCACACTATTTTACCAGAACCTAACCACTGTGGGTTTTACAGGAGCCTGACATGGGGGAATGGGAATACTTAATTCCAGTTCCTTCCTGAGGGGAAAAGCACTAGCAAGAATTTGTGAAGATCACAGCCCTGGGTCACAGGCTCACTAAAAGCTTGCAATCTAATCATAGGACAATAGAAAACTTTCTCTCCCCCCATACCTTACCACCACATCAATAGGACTCCTGCATAATAATAGGCAATTACAATGGAGAGAACTGAAAACTTAAAGCATTATTTAAGAAGGAGGATCTAAAGAAACACAAAGAAAAGAAAAGAAACAAAAATAATGACAACAGAATAAATTTTAGCCTCTGAAACTTAAAGCTATAGAAAACAGTAAACACGCCTAAATCATCACACCAATTTTTACTTATGTTTATTTTTTTCTTAGAAGTTTCTACTTTTGGATTTTAAATTTACACCTACAATCCATTTCAAGTTAAGAATTATATAAGAAAAAAAAAGAGGTCAAATATTAATCACATGAGAAATAAAAGAGGAACCATCACTCCTGAATCTGTGGATATTAAAAGGGATATTATGAGCAACTTTATGCCTACAAATTTGATAATTTAGATGAAATGGACCAATTTTTTAAAAGAAACAATCTCACAATTTTCAGATTTCACAAAAGAAGAAATATATAAAATAAATATATCTGTACGTCTTAAATAAATTGATTCAATAACTTTTCAAATCAGAAAGTACTAGGCCCAGATGGACTCACCAGTATATTCCACAAAACATTTAAGGAGGAAATCAGGGCATTGCTTTACAATGTCTTCCAGATAATAGAAGCAGAAGGAATACTTCCTGACTCATTGTATTCGGTTAGCATAAACCTAATACTAAATGAGAGAAATATTACAATAAAGAAAACCATAGACCAATATCCATCATGAACCTAAATGTGAAAAACCTCAACAAAATATTACCAAATAAAATCTAACAACAATATATAAAAATATTTATATACCATGACTTAGTAGGATTCATTCCAAATAGGGAAAACTGAATCAACATTCAAAAATAAGTCAATGTAATCCATTACATCAACAAGCTAAAAAAGAAAAAAAATGTTTTATCATATCAATAAGTACAGAAAACATGTTCGATACAACCCAACATTCATTCATTATAAAAAAAACTCAGCAAACTAGGAATAGGGGGAACTTTATTAATGTAATAGAGACTGTCTCCAAAAGATAACTACAGCTAACATACTTAATGGTGAGAGGCTAGATGCTTTTCCAAGAGCAGGAACAAAACAAAGATGTTGCCTCTTACCATTTCTATCAACATCTTACCAGAAGTCTTAGTTAATGCAGCAAGCCAATAAAAGTAATTAAAATTGCATACAGATGGGAAAAGAAGAAATGAAAATATATTTTTTTGCAGATTACATAATTGTCTTTGTGGAAAATCACAAAGATTCAACAACAATGACAAACTCCTAGAACTAATAGGCAATTATAGTAAGTTTGTAGGCTATAAGGCTAATACATGTATACCTTGTTTTATTTCACTTTGCTTCATTATGATTCATGGATATTGTATTTGTTACAAATTAGAGATTAGTAGCAACCCTGCAGTGAGCAAGTCTATCATTGTCATTTTTCCAACAGCATGTGCTCACTTCATGTCTCTGTATCACATTTTAGAAATTCTCACAATATTTCAAACTTTTTCATTATTATTATATCTTTTAAGCTTATCTGCAATTAGTGATTTTTGATGCTATATTGTAGTTGTTTTGGGTCTCCATGAATCATCCTCATATAAGATGGAGAACTTAATAAAAAATGCTATGTGTGTTCCAAGTGGTTCACCAATGACTGGTCCCCCATCTCTGTCCCTTTCCTTGGGCTTCCCTGTTCCCTAAGCTATAGCAATATCAAAATTAGGTAAATTAACACTACAATGACCTCTACATATTCAAGTGACAGGAAGAATCACACATCTCTCACTTTATACTAAAAGCTAGAAATTATTAATCTTAGTGAGGAAGGCATGTCAAAAGCTGAGATAAGACTAAAGCTAGGCCTCTTGCATCAGTTAGCCAAGCTGTAAATGCAAAAGAAATGTTCTTCAATAAAATTAAAAGCACTGCTCCAGTGAACACATGAATGATAAGAAAGCAAAATAGCCTTAGTGCTGATGCGGAGCAAGTTGTAGTGGCCTGGATAAAGGATCAAACCAAGCACAACTTTTTTATAGGCCAAAGACTAATCTACAATAAGGCCCCTTCAGTTCTATGAAGGCTGAAAGGGGTAATAGATGCACAAAAGTTTGAAACTAATAAGGGTTGTTTCATAAGGTTTAAGAAAAGAAACCATCTCCATAAAATAAAAGTGCAATATGAAGCAGCAAGTGTTGATGTAGAAGCTTCAGCAAGTTATCTAGAAGATCGAGCTAAGATAGTTGATGAAGGGTGCTACACTAAACAACAGATTTTCAGTGTAGATGAAACAGTCTTATATTGAAAGAAGATTCCATCTAAGACTTTCACAGCTAGAGAGGAGAAGTCAATGACTGGCTTCAAACCTTCAAAGGACAGGCTGACTCAATTGTTAGGGGCTAATGCAGCTGGTGACATTAAGTTGAAGCCAATACACATTTATCATTTTAAAAAACCTAGGGTCCTTATCAGTGATGCTAAATCTACTCTGCCTGTGCTCCATAAATTAAATAACAAATTCTGGATGACAGCACATCTGTTTACACCATGATTTACTGAATATTTCTAGCCCAGTGTTGAGACCTACTACCCAGAGGAAAAGATTGCTTTTAAAATATTACTACTCATTGACAATAAACCTAGTCAGTGAAGGGGTTTGATGGAGATGTACAAGGCTCATAGTGTTTTCATGCCTGCCAACACAAAATCCATTGTGCAGTGCATGGATCACAGAGTAATTTTGACTTTCAAGCCTTATTATTTAAGAATATTTTATAAAGCTGTTTTTCCATAAATAGTAATTTCTCCATTGCATCTGGGCAAAGTAAATTGAAAACTTTCTAGAAACAATTTGCCATTCCAGATGCCGTTAAGAACATCCATGAATCATTAGAAGGGGTCAAAATATCAACATTAATATTAACAATTGTTTGAAATGAGTTGATTTCAAGCCTCATGGATGACTTTGAGGTGTTTATTACTTTGGTGGAAGAAATAATTGTAGATATAGTAGAAATAGCAAGAGAACTAGAAGTAGAAGTGGCAATTAGAAAATTGAATTGCTGAAATCTTATGAGAAAATTGGAATCAATGAGGAGTTGTTACTTATAGATGACAAGAAAAGGTGGTTTCTTGCAAAGGAATATATTCCTGGTGAAAATGCTGTGTGAATACGTTTGAAATCTCAACAAAGTGTTTAGAAAAATATATCAACTTAATTGATAAAGTAGCAGCAAGGTTTTGGAGTATTGATTTAAATTATCAAAGAAGTTCTACTGTTAATTAAATGCTATCAAACAACATCATATGTTAGAGAAGCCTTTCATGAAAGGAAGAGTCAACTGATATGGGAAACTTCAGTGTTGTCTGACTTTAAGAAATTGGCACAGCCACTGCAAACTTTAGCAGGCACAACTCTAATCAGTCAGCAGCCATCAACTTTGAGGCAAGACCCTCCACTAAAAAAAGAATACAATGCACTGAAGGCTCAAATGATTGTTACACATTTTTAGCAATAAAGTATATTTTAAATAAGGCCTGCACATTATTTTGAGATATAATAGTATTGCACACTTAAACCACAGTATAGTATAAATATAAGTTTTATACACACTGAAAAACAAACAATTTGTGACTTTCTTTATTGCATTTCCCTTTATTGCCTTGGTGAAGAACCAGAACTGCAATATCTCTGAGGTATGAGTACATACATAAGTCAATTGCTTTCCTATACACCAGCAATGAACAACTAGAATTTGAAATTAAATACACAAGAATTACAATAGCACCCTAAAATAAAATACTTAGTTTGGTATAGAAAAACAAATATGAAGAATATCTATGTGAAAAAAACAAAACTCTGACGAAAGAAATCTAAGATCTAAACAACTGGAGTTAAATTCCATATTCATGACTAGAAAGAGTCAATATGGTTAAGATTGTTCATACTTCTCAATTAGATGTATTGATTCAGTGAAAATCCAATGAAAATTTTAGCATGTTATTTAGTGGATACCTAAAATGTATTACAAAATTCATATGGAGGGGAAGAAAAACAAAGTTGGAAGACTTAGATACAGTAATTCAAAAATTACTATTAAACTATGTTAATCAAGACTGTGTTATTGTTAAAAGATATATGGAACAATAAAGGGCCCACACAATATACCTGTCACCTTTCTCAAAATTAACTTGATATACAACACAGACCTACATGTACAATTCAAAACAATAAAACTCCTAGAAGACAACATAAGAGAAAGTCTAAGTGATGTTGTGTTTCACAATGCCTTTTTAGATACAGCACCAAAAGCAAGATCTATGAAAAGAAAAATAAATTGGTAGGTTTTACTTAATATTAAAAGCTTGTGCTGTGCAAAAGACACTGTAAAGAGAATTTTTTAAAAGCTGCAGACTGGGATAAAATATTTGCAAAACACATATCTGAAAAATGCTTCACATCCAAAACACAGGAAGAAATCTTAAAACTCAACAAGAATTCTGATGAAAAAATGGGTAAAAGATTTTAGACAGATGGCTCACAAAAAAAGATATACAGATGATGTCTTAGTTTGTTTAGTCTTACTGTAAAGAAATACCTGAATCTGGGTGATTCATTTTTTTTTAAAAAAGGTTTATTTGGGTTATGATTCTGATTTTAGATTGAACATCTGCATCTGGTGAAGGCCTTAGGCTGCTTCCAATTATGGTTGAAGATGAAGGGAAGCCAGTGTGTGCAGGGATCACATGGCAAGAAAGAAACCAAGAGTGAGAGGGGAGAAGTGCTAGCCTCTTTTCAACAGCAAGCTCTGTTGGGAATTATTAAAGTGAGAACTCACTCACCCCTGAGGGAGGGAATTAATCTATTCATAAGAGATCCATCCCCAAGAACCAAACACCTACAGTTACACCCTGCCTCCCAACACCTCCACATTGGAGATTAAATTTCAACATGAGATTCATGAGGGACAAACAAACAATAGCAGACGGCAAATAAGCATATAAAAAGATGCTCAGCATCATATGTTATTGGGGGATTGAGAATTCAAACAACTGTGAGATACCACTGTACACCTGTTAGAATAGATAAAATTTGATACAGTGATGACGACAAATGCTGGTGGGAATATGGAGCAACAAGAACTCTCATTTCTGCTGGAACTGCAAAATGGTACAGCTACTTTGGAAGAGACTTTGGCCATTGTTATAACACTAAACATAGTTTTACCATACAAATCCAGCAATCACACTCCTTGGTATTTATCAAAATGAGTTTAAAACTCATATCCACACAAAAACCTGCACACATATGTTTATAGCAGCTTTATTCATAATTTCCAAAATTTGGAAACAGCCAGATGTCCTTCAGTGGATAAGTGGATGAACAAACCATGATACATTCATACAGTGGAATATTATTCAGCCATGAAAATAAAAGATCTATCAAGCAATGAAGACATGGAGGAACTTGAAATGCATATTGTTAATTAGAAGATGCCAGTCTAAAAAGGGTACATACTGTATTATTCAACTATTTGATAATCTGTAAAAAGCAGACTGTGGAGACAGAAAAAACTCTGTGGTTGTGGATTCAAGATGTTTAAAGCACAGAGGAAAGAAATAATAGGAGCACAAGGGATTTTTAGACAGTGAAATTATTCTGTATATTATTGTCATGGTACATTGATGTCATCAATTTGTCAAAACTCATAGAATGTTCAGCACCAAGAGTAAACGATAATGTAAACTATGGATTTTAGTTAATAATAATGTATTCAATGCTGGTTCATCAAGTATAACAGCTGTATTGTACTAATGCAAGTCATTAACAATGGAAGAAACTAAGTGTGGAGGGAGAGAGGGAATATGTAAACTCTGTTCTTTTAGTTTTCTGTAAACATAAAACTGCTCTAAAAGTCTGTTAATTTAAAACATTTTAAAAAGCATGCAACTATACACAAGTCCCATAATCTAGTTGATAAAGTTGCTTTCGCTGGTATATAAAATAATAATTCTGGAATTATGCATGTATACCGTAAATAAAAAATTAAGTGTGTTGATGGCAGATGGCAAAAAACAGATTTCTTATTCTTGGAATAGGAGGTTACAGAGACTCAAGGGGAAGATGCTAGAATAATTTATGTGGTAATGTATTGGAGCTGGCAACATCAGTATGAACTCATGTTTACCATAATATAGATAGATATTAAATTGATGCAAAAGTAACGGCAGTTTTTGCCATTAAGTTGCGGTTTTTGCCATTATAATGGCAAAAACTGCAATTACTTTCACACCTGCTTAATAGAGTGAGAGCGAGTGAGAGAGAGAATTACATATAGAAATATTTATAAGTACATGCATGTAAATCAATTATCACATACACCTGTATTTTCTTTTGCTCTAAACTAAGAGAGTCAAGAATCAAGGACACTCCAATAACAGTGTCCCTAGCACTCAGAATTTGGTTCCATTCTTCAAGAAAAGGGGCCAGAGCTCCTTGGAGAAATGACTAATTCTAGGACGAGGGCCTAGAACACCTTTTGTTTTCAAAAAGTAAGGAAGTGTTCAATAACCACACCCTGCCACACACACTATAATTTTGATTAGAAATTTTTAAAAAATTAACTTATATGCATGTTTTTTTAGAGAAATATTAAGGAGACATCAATAAAAGAATATGACATAGAATAAATAACTTACGCAGTGAAAAATTTCATGAGGGAAGTGGAATGGAAATAAAAGTTAATTTTTAAGTGTAAATTACTTTAATATTAAAAAGAGCTTACTCAACTATTTTAAATGAATGCTGAAAGCTGTATGATATTTAGATTCTACTCATCAGCTTTAAAAGCAAAAACAACTTAATGTTTAAGTTTACAAAAACTTGAAAAATTGCATTACTTGGAACTTCATAAACCTATAATGAAACAAATTTTATTTTAACTTAGTAAGTGTGAGGAGGTACACAATTTTCAAATGCGATTTAGAGAAAAATTAGAAAACCTGTTTGTGGCCACACTGCTCTAGAGAATTCCAAATAAAGTTTTTCCTAAATCCTTGTGGTGCCATAAACCTAACTTGGATTAATTTTTTGCAAGCAAATAATTTGGGCTCTGGTTTTATTCCAATCACTATTTCCCCCTCCTCTCAGAATAGTATTCCCCCTCCTTAGAAGAATATTACAAAACATTTCATATTTACAATGAATTCCCATGACCAACCCACCTGTAAGAGAGGAAGATGGTGTGAATGATGGGGTGGTAGCATGGGACAGATGATGTAGAGAAATAAAGCTCAGTTTATCCTGCCAAAACTCACTGTTTTGCTTATGTAGTATTTATAATATTGGGGTCATGGATAATCTAGTTTTACATTATATCTTTCTGATATCAAATGTGCTGCGGTAAAAAGAAGAGGCGTACACATGGCCAGGAGTAATTTGAGTTACCAGAGGAAGCATGGACCTGTAACTGACAGAGTGAGGATTGTGCTCCAGAAGTAAAACATAGTTTCAAAGCAACAGACAGGGATTCATAAGGGGTAAGTGTAAGAATGAACTCAAGACAGCAGCAGAATTGATCCATAAGTTATTTGAATGTTTCAGAATATTATTCCAGGCTAATTTATTGTGGGTTCAATGACTTTGCTGCTTAACTAGGTATAAAGGTATAAAGTAAGGCCATAGTAGTATGAAAAGAGTTAGCAGCAGGAAAAGAGGGCCGAGGAATGCAGGAAGCCTAAAAAGCTGAAATAACTACATGTATCAACAAGGCAAGGGCTCTGAGGTAAGAGGGCTTTGCGTGGCCTCAGAGAAGTTGAGGTGCCTTTAGAGTTTACACAGCCTATTTCTTTGGGTAAGCAGAACCAAGAAAAAATGAGATCAGCTATAACTATATTTCATTCTCTATATAATTAGAGAAAACTCATTGATGTCATAACTGAGGTTTAATGTTGAAAATTATCTTTTAAACATTTTTTCATATGACATAAAATATTTTCCAAAACATTATTTATGTTATCTACTTGATATATTTTATTTAGGTATCCTTTATTTAACTGTTTCTTTTATTTGGGTTGCACATATGGGTTATTTCCAAATTTTGAATATTATAAATAATGCTATGAAGAAATCATTCATTCATTTTTCTCTTTAATAAATATTTAAGTGCCTTCCTATGTACCAGGCATTATTATAGTCTCATGGGGTAAAATGATAGGTTTAAAAAAGAGCTTTTTTAACTTGATTAGAATGTTTAACTTAAATACATTATTTTCTAGAGTCTTTATTTGTATAGCATTTACACTTCCCAGAATTAAATGTGTTTCATGAATGTAGTCCATGAATTAAATAACCTCAGTCATTTATTAATAGCCTCAATTATTAAAAGTATTAGAATTTTGTTTGACAAGTATTTTCCAAACTAATTTTTTGGTTTATTGTTGTCTTTTACTTTTTTATTTTTAGATTTTCAAAAGCATTTTAAATATTTACATGGTCAAATACACTGACCATTTTACTTTGTGATTTATCACATTTCTATTACTCTTAAAAATTTTTTTAATCTAAGACCCATTAATCAGTATATATATTTTCTGTTTTATAAGTTATTGGTTACTTGACTTTTTTCAGTCTGATATTTATCTGATATTAAAATTTGAAGTAATGTATAAAATAAGGCTTTACTTAATTTTATATTTGTTTCAGCCAGTTTCCCTGACATTTTTTGCTAAATAATCTAGTGTTAACATTCTTATTTTCTTCCTTGACTCTCATCTATTTCATGAATTTATTTATTGATTTTCCCAACATCACTGTACTGCAAAGCATTTTTGTTGTTTTTAAAAGATTTTAATTTCTGGCAATTCTTTTTAACACACAGCAATTGTCACATTTTCTTTTTAGATATTATTTTTTATCACAATATTTACAAAGAGATGATTGCATTCAGTAGCATTCATAGAAATACCTTAGCAGATATTTTTCCAATTTTGCAAATATTATAATGAATAATAATGTTCAATCTTTACAAAAATTGTGAAGAAAAAACTACCTTCAGACACAGGAGGTGGGTTTCTAATTTTACGACATTTTTGTGAGGAATTTGGCAGCAGCCATCAAATTAAAACTGTGTTCATAAACCTACAGGAGGACTATACAAAAATTCTGTAAAATATTCAGAATATATATTTCAAGGAAAATTTAAGGATAATAACAGAATGTATAATTCCATGATGTAATAAGTATCTACCTATCTGTGTAAACATATATGTAAAAATAATCTGGGAGGATATACACTATTTGGTTAATAATGATTACCTGCTAGTGGGTGACAGTGGGAAGGAAGGGTCAGAAATTATTTGAAATAAAAAAGAAATAAAAATAAATACCTTTTTGTGGTAGGCAGAAAAACAGCTCTCCAAAGATGTCTACATGAAAATCCTGACTCTGCGAATGTATTACTTTACACAGCAAAAGGAATTTGGCAGCTGTGATTTAATCGAAGATCATGAGATGGAAAGATTATTATCTGTGTGCATCTAACATAATCACAAAGGTCCTTTTAATGTGAAAGAGGAAGACAGGAGAGTCAGAGGGTCAGAGAAGATGTGAATACAGAAGCAGAGGTCACAACGACGTGAGAAAGGCACATCTGGCTTTGAAGATAGAGGGGCGATGTGCCGAGGAATGCAGGAAGCCTAAAAAGCTGAAATAAGCAAGAAGTGGATTCTTTCCTGCTGCTGCCAGAAGGGACATACCCCTGCAGACACCTTGATTTTTGCCCCATAATACTCTTTTTAGATTTCTGACTCATAGAAATATAAGATAATAAATTTGCTTTGTTGTAAGCCACTAAGTTAGTGGTAAACGGTAAGTTTGTAAAGCAATAAGAAATGAACAGACATTTAAGAATATTATTTTAAGTCTATGCTTAGACTTTTCCCAAGAATATTTATGCAATGGGATTATATTCTAGTTTTATAACTGAGTTAATTTATATAGCAATATATCATAAATGTCTCTTCAAATTAATACATGCACATCTATGGTAATAACTATGAATTACTATGTAGTATATTTTATGTATATATTATAGTTATTAATCAATCTGAAATTGTGAGGCCTTTAGTTTTCTTCTTATATTTTTGCTAATATATAGAGTGTTTGGGAAAATATTTTTATATATGAAACTGTGTCAATCTATGGTTTTTTTACTTGTATTTTCAAATCTAATATTATTATTTAGTATAACATAAATTATTTTGATGGGAAACTCATATTTTCAATGTTTTAGGTATATAACTAGTTTGCCTTCCAAAAAAGGCAAATTAATTGCACCAATTATTAATTAGCCCCATCAGTTTATAAGATAGGTGGGAGAAGGGTCTGCCATTTTTAGTTATAATCTAAAACCCCCAAAAAACAGAACAGTAGTTTTTTTCTGAAAATCAGATTTCTCACAGAATGAAATAAATTAAAAACTCATACTTGTTATATTCCCTTAAAACAATAGAAGAATGATGTAGATGGAGTATATGTCCTTATCATGCAACTCAGATTATATACCTAAAAATATGCAACTCATAGTTATTTGAAAAATTAATATAGAAACCTAGATTGAAACCTTTAAAAAGTTGCCAAAAATCACCATTTAAAATTAGTTGATTTATTAAAATTTTGAACAGGAAGTTTATTCAATGTATTTAAGACAAAAATTAATGTTGGTAGATATTACATAAAACCTAGAAATCTATTTCCCCATATTAAAAACGAATAATGAAGTAAGAAAAGAGAGAGAGAAATGACGGGAAAAAATGAATACACAATAGATAGTTCAAATGATTAAATGGTAAGTGAAAAGGATTTAAAAAATAAAAAACAGTGAGGAAAAATATTATCTCCAATGGCTGTGTCTCATAGCTTATTAGTCTCTTATCAAATGCACTGTTTTAAAGAAAATTATTGCAGTAATGCTAATTTCTTTATATATTTTGGACATGAAAACCTGTATTAGGAGGCAACAAAATAATTTGCACAGTAGTATGAATACTGTATTTGATAAACAATAATTTTTTAAGATGGGTTTGTAGAGTACCACGGACTATATTTCAGATTTCAAAAGTAGAAGATATGAGCAATTTCTTCTAATAAATGTTTACAAAATGATCAGGTAAATAAATCACCTTTTACAAATCTATCAAATTAAAAAATTGAAATCTGGAGAAGTTAGGAGGCTTGCCAAATAGTTCAAAGAAAGTATTTTTATGAGACTCCAACACTATTGACTTTCAGCTTAACACTTGTTTATATCATGCACAATATCAAATATAGAGTATAAGAAGGGAATATAATACAGAAAGTAATATAATCATTTCAAAAAAAGTGAAGCTGAATTTTTAAAAAATATAATTCTCCTATAATTTTTTAGGTACTTGAAAATTATATTGGCCTATTTTATTTATTTTGTTAGATAGTGATGGTGCAAATACTGGTCTTTAGAAACAGAACAATGCTCCAAAATTACCCTATGCTGCATATTGCCAATAATATAACTGTAAGATATGTATTTAGTCTTAAACTATCTTATTTATCACCAAATACCTACAGCTAACAGCTGAAGGGAACGATACAATTCTGAATAAGCATGTATAAAGAATGCTTAGGGCTTAAGCACAAACTAAATAAAGTTTATCGCTTTTGTCTTCTTTTCTCATCGCTTTAAAGGATGCTTGTTGCAATTCTAAAACAGAATAGTGATGGAACCAAGGTCCCCATTTTCTTTCCGGCTGTCAGGTGAGGGCCACTCACAACTTCTTGAGGCTGCCACGTTCCTTGTTTCATGGTCTCCCTCCTTCCTCCACTTTTAAAGCTAAAGACGTGAGACTGGTCATATTGAAGGTCTTTGGCCCTCCGTTCTCCATCTGTTCTCACATCTCTGACCACAATCAGTAATAATTATCCACTTTAGGGCCTCATGTGATTATATTTGGTCCACTTGGATAATCCAGGATAATCTCCTCATCCCAACATTCTTAGCTTTATCACATCTGCAAAGTCCCTTTTGCCCTGAATTACAACATATTCACAAATTCCAGAGATAGGGTTGTGGGCATCTTTGGTGGGTGCAATTATTCTGCCCACCATACTATAAGATTGTTTAAGGTAGTGGAAATAAATCTTTCTTAAAAGTCCAGAAAGCATATAAAATGACTTACTGGTAATTACGCAGAGTTAAATATTTTAACTATCTGTTAAAATGATAAATGTTATGACTTAGAATAAAAACGTACTCCCATTATAACCTTTGTTATCAAAATACCTGCAATAGTAAGATCTTCCAGTTTAAAAAATAATAGTCATTTTTGATAAATGGGTATGACCGATGTGCAGAATTTTCTTTTTAAGTAAAGCTTTTATAGTTAACATATAATATAAATTTCAAGGTGAGGAGATGGGGCAAGATGGCAGAATAGAAGGCTCTACCGATTGTCCCCTCTACAAGGACACCAATTTAAAAACTATTTACACCATAAAAGCACCTTCATAAGAACCAGAATTCAGGTGAGCACCCACAGTACCTGGTTTTTAATTCATATAGCTGAAAGAGGCACTGAAGAGATGTAAAAAACTGTCTTGAATCGCAGATGCCACCCCACTCCCGTTTTCCAGCAATGGCGGCATGGTGCTGAGAGCATTTCCGTAACTTAGGGAGAGGAAGAACTCAGCAATTGTGAGAAATTTGAGAAATTGAACTCAGCGCTGCCGTGTTAAAGCAGAAAGAAAATGCTGACCAAACACTGCTGATGCTCCTCCATGGAGGGAGCATTTAAATCAGCCCTAGCCAGAGGGGAATTGTCAATCCCAGCAGTCAGACCTTAATTTCCTGCAAGCATCACCACCACAGGAGAAAGGCTCTGGGGTCTTAAATAAACTTGAAAGGCAGTTTAGGCCACAAGGACTGAAACTCCTAGGTGAATCCTAGTGCAGAAAGGGACCTAGAGCCAGAGGACTAGGAGTGCACAAGACTGACTGAGACACCAGCCTGGCTGGCTAAGGGAGTATTGGCCTCACCCCTACCCCAAACCCAGGCTTCACAGCTTGTGGCTCCAAAACAAACCCCTTTCTTCTGCTTGAGGAGAGGAAAGGAGAGAGCAGGGAGGACTTTGTTTTGCATCCTGGATACCAGCTAAGCCACAGCAGGATAAGGTATTGGTCAGAGTCATGAGGCCCACTTTCCAGGGCCTAGCTCCCGAATGACATTTCTAGGCAAACTCTTGGACAGAAGGGCACCTGATGTCTTGAAGGGAAGGAACCAGTTCTAGCAGGATTTATCACCTGATGACTGAAGAGACCTTGGGTCCTGAAAAAACATCAGCAATAGCTAGGTACTACATCAAGGGCCTTGGGTGAGACACTGAGACTTGCCGACTTCAGGTAAGACCCAGCCCATCCCCAGCTGTGTTGGCTACAGGGAGAGACTTCTGCTTGAGTAAAGCAAAGGGAAAAGTAAAGGAGACTTTGTCTTATACCTTAGGTAACAACTCAGCCACATGGTCATAGAGCACCAAGTGGGTTCTTGGGGTCTTTCATTCCAGGCCTTGGATCTTAGACAGTATTATTGGACCTGCCCTGGGCCAGAGAGGAGCACACTGTGATGGTTAATACTGTCAACTTGATTGGATTGAAGGATGCAAAATATTGATCCTGGGTGTGTCAAAGGAGATTAACATTTGAGTCAGTGGGATGTAAAAGGCAGACCCACTCTCAATCTGGGTGGGCACAATCTAATTAGCTGCCAGTGTGTCCAGGATATAAAGCAGGCAGAAAACAATAAAAGGCTATACTGGCTTAGCCTCCTAGCCTACATCTTTCTTCCGTGCTGGATGCTTCCTGCCCTCAAACATCAGGCTCCAAGTTCTTCAGCTTTGGGACTTGGCTTGGCTTCCTTGCTTCTCAGCTTGCAGATGGCCTATTGTGGGACCTTGTGATCTTGTGAGTTAATATTCCCTAAAAAACTCCCCTTATAAATATATTATTGGTTCTTCCCTCTAGACAACGCTGACTAATACACACTCTGTCCTCAAGGGTGAGTCCAAGGCCAGGCGGCATTCACCACAGGCTAATTGAAGAGCTCTTGGGCCTTAAGGGAACAACAGTGGTAGACTGACAATTACTCCCCATGGGCCTGTGGTGGTGATGGCCCAGAGTGAGACTCCTCTGCCTTTGGAATTGGAAGGAAGAGGAGGAACAACATCTTGTGGTTTGAGTGCCAGTTCAGCTGTTGTGCAATAGAATACCAGGTAGACCTCTAAGGTTTTTCACTCTGGTTCCTGGCTCCCAGATCATACCTCTCGCTCTGCCTAGGGCCCGGTGGATCTCACCAACCTGTAGGGAAGGACACAAGCCTGGCTGCCTTGGTCACCTGTTGATTGTAGGGCTGCAGGGCCCTGAGTGAACATAGGCAGTAGCCAGGGAGTGGTTACAACAGGTCATAGGTGAGATGTAGTGCTATGATGGCTTCAGATCTGACACAGCACAGTCATAGTGATGGTGGACACAGGGAAGCTTCTGTCACTCCACTCCCAGCTCCATGTGGCTCAGAACAGAGAGACTCCAGTTGTTTGGGAGAAAGTAAAAGAAGAGAAGAAGAGTCTCTGCCTGGTGATCCAGAGAATTCTTCTGGTTATTGTCCAAGACCATCAAGGCGGTACCTCAATGAGTCTGTAAGAACCACAGTGTTACTGGGCTTCAGGTGCCCCATAAAGCAGATACAACTTAGATCACAACACCCACTTCCTTTTGAATATCTGGTAAACCTTTCCAAGAAGGATGTGCACAGAGAAGCCCAGACTGCTAAAACTAAAATAAATATCTAACTCTTCAATGCCCAGACACAGATGAACATTGAAAAGTACCAAGACAATCCAACAAAACATGACCTCACCAAATGAACTAAATAAAACACCAAGGACCAATCCTGGAGAGACAAAGATACATGACCTTTCAGACAGAAAATTAAAATAGCTGTGTTGAGGAAACTCAGTGAAATTCAAAATAACACGGAAAAGGAATGTATAATTCCATCAGATAAATTTAGCAGAGATTGAAATAATGAAAAAGAATCAAGCAGAAATTCTGGAGCTGAAAAATGCAATTGGCTCATGAAAGAAAGTATCAGAGTCTTAATAGCAGAGTTGATGAAGCAGAAGAAAGATTAATGAGTTTGAAGACAGGATGTTTGAAAATCCAGAGGAGACAAAAAAAAAAAGAATAAAAACCAATAAGTCATGCCTACGAGATCCAGAAAGCAGCCTCAAAAGGACAAATATAAGAGTTATTTGCCTTAAAAAGATATAGAGAAAGAGATGAGAGTAGAAAGTTTATTCAAAGGGATAATAATGAATAACTTCCCAAACTAGAGAAACACATCCATATCCAAGTAAGGGAAGGTTATAGAACACCAAGCAAATCTAATCCAAAGAAGACTGCTTCAAGGCCTTTAATGATCAAACTCCCAAAGGTCAAGGATAAAACAAGAATCCTAAAAACAACAAGAGAAAAAAAACAAATAGCATACAATGTAGCTCCAATATGTCTGGCAGCAGACTTTTCAGTGGAAACTTTACAGGCCAGGAGAGAGTGGCATGACATATTGAAGATGGTGATGAAGAAAGAAAACAAAACAAAAACTTTTACCCTACATTATTGTATATGGTGAAAATATTCTTCAGACATGAAGGAGAAATAAGCACTTTTCCAGATAAAGAAAAGCCAAGTGATTTCACCAACCCAGACCTGTCCTATGAGATATGCTAAAGGGACTATTGCAACCAAAAAGAAAAGGATGTTAATGAGCAATAAGAAACCTTCTGAAGGACAAAACTCACTGAAGTAAGTATATAGAAAAACACGGAATATTATAACAATGTAACTGTAATACTATAACACTGTGGTGTGCAAACTAATCTTAAGAAGAAGTACTAAATGATGAACCAATTAAAATGATTACAACAACTTTTCAAAACATAGACAGTACAATAAGATATAATTAGAAACAACAAAAAGTTAAAAAGTGGAGAGATGAAGTTAAGGCATAGAGTCTTTATTAGTTTTCTTTTTGCTTATTGGTTTATTTAGACAAACATTTTTAAGTTGTTATCAACTTAAAATAATGTGCTATAAAATAGTATTTACAACCCCAATGGTAACCTAAAACCAAGAATTATACAATAGATACACAAAAAATAAAAAGCAAGAAACAAAATCACATCACCAGAGAAAATTACCTTCACTAAAAGGAAAACAGGAAGGAAAGAAAAAAGAAAATAATACCGGCCAGATGTGGTGGCTCACATCTGTAATCCCAGCACTTTGGGAGGCCGTGGTGGGCTCATCACCTGAGGTTGGGAGTTTGAGACCAACCTGACCAACATGGTGGAACCTCATCTCTACTAAAAAATACAAAAATTAGCTTGGCATGGTGGCACATGCCTGTAATCCTAGCTACTCAGGAGGCTGAGGCAGGAGAATCACTTGAACTTGGGAGGCAGAGGTTACGGTGAGGCAAGATCATGCCATTGCACTCCAGCCTGGGCAACAAGAGTGAAACTCTCTCTCTCTCAAAAAAAAAAAAAGATAATACCAATTAAAAGAAAGGTAAGACCACAAAACAGCCAGAAAACAAATAACACAATGGTAAGAGTAAGTCCTTACTAATCAATAATTACATTGAATCATTGAATGTAAATTGACTAAACTCTCCACTCAAAAGACATAGAGTGTCTGAATGGATAAAGAAACAAGATCCATTGATCTGTTGCCTACAGAAAACACATTTCACCTATAAAGGCACACATAGATTGAAAATAAAGGGAGGACAAAAGATATTTCATGCCAATGGGAACTAAGAAAGAGCAGGAGTAGCTATAATTATATAAGACAAAATGGATTTCAAGACAAAAACTATAAGAAGAGACAAAGAAGGTCACTCTATAAATGGGTCAATTCAGGAAAGGAATATAACAATTTTAAATATATATGCACCCAACACTAGAGTACCCATATATATAAAGCAAATATTATTAGAGCTAATGAGAGATATAGGCCCCAAAACAATAATAGCTGGAGAATTCAGCATTCCATTTTCAGCATTGGAAAGATCTTCCATAAATAATATCAACAAAAAATTATTGGACTTAATCTGCATTATAGACCAATTATATGCCAGTAAATTGAAAAATCTAGAAGACATAGACAAATTCCTGGAGATGCACAACCTACCAGGTTTGAACCCATGAAGAAATGCAAAACCTGAACAAACTAATAACAAGTAGTAAAACTGAAGCTAGAATAAAAACTCTTCAAGGAAAGAAAAATCCAGGACTCGATAGCTGCACAGCTGAATTCTACCAAATATGTGAAGAACAAATACCAATCCTACTCAAACTATTCTGAAAAATAGAGGAGAAGCGAATACTTCCAAACTCAAATCTATGAGACCAGTATTACCCTGATACCAAAACCAAAGACATATCAAAAAAACAAAAAAAACTAAAGGCCAATATCTATGATGAATATTGATTCAAAAATCCTCAAGAAAATACTAGCCAACCAAATTCAACAATAAATTTAAAAGGTTATTTATTATGACCATGTGGGATTTATCCCTGGGATGCAAGCATGATTCAAACATGGACACATGAAATCACATCAAGTTAAAAAGCTTCTGCACAGCAAAGGAAGCAATCAACAAAGTGAGGAGACCACACACAGAATGGGAGAAAATATTTGCAAACTATCCATCTGAAAAGAGATTAATAACCAGAATATACAAGGAGCTCAAACAACTCTATATGAAAAAAGATCTAATAATCTGACTTAAAAATGGGCAAAATATTTGAATATACATTACTCTGAAAAGATATACAAATGGCAAATAGGCATATGAAAAGATGCTGAACATCATTGATCATCAGAGAAATGCAGATCAAAACTACAATGAGATATCCATCTCACTCAAGTTAAAGAGGCTTTTATCCAAATATTAGGCAATAACAAATGCTGGTGAGGATGTAGAGAAAAAGAAACCCTCATACACTGTTGGTGGGAATGTAACTAGTACAACGAGTATGGAGAACAGTTCAGAGGTTCCGCAAAAACTAAACATTGAGCTGCCATATGATCCAGCAATCCCACTACTGGGTATATGCCCAGAAGAAAGAAAATCAGTATATTGAAGAGATATCTGCATTCCCATGTTTGTTGCTGTGGCATTATTCACAAGATCCAAGATTTGGAAGCAACCTGTGTCCATCAACAGATGAATGGATAAAAAAATGTGGTACATATACACAATGGAATATTATTCAACCATAAAAAGAATGAGATCCTGTCATTTGCAACAACACAGATGGAACTGGAGTTCATTATGTTAAGTGAAGTAAGTCAGGCACAGGAAGACAAACATCATATGTTGTCACTTATTTGTGGGATCTAAAAATCAAAACGATGGAGCTCATGAACATAGAGAGTAGAAGGAAGGTTGACAGAGGCTGGGAAGTGTAGTGCAGGGCAGGGGAGGGTTGAGGATGGTTAATAGGTACAATAAAAATCATAGTTATAAAGAGTGAATAAGACTTACTATATGATAGCACAACAGGGTGACTATAGTTAACAATTTAATTGTACATTTTAAAATAACTAAAACAGTATAACTGGATTGTTTATAACACAAAGGATAAATGAGGGAATGGATAACCCATTTATTGTGATGTGATTATTATGTATTGCATGCCTGTATAAAAACATCTCATGTGTCCTATAAATATATACACCTAGTAAGCACCCACAACAATTAAAAATTAAAAAAATAAAAATGTAAATAATAATAATATAAGGTGCATGAAGGGCAATGACTTTCATTTTCTTTTTTATCAAACTAGCTCCAGAACTCAGAACAGTGCCCAAAAGACAGTACATGCTAAAACTATGTGTGCAAGAAATGAGGGAATTAATAAGTGGAGTGTAACTAATGGCAATTTAATAAGGATTATTCAAATTTGATATTAAAAATAAAGTTAAAGTTAGTAAGATAACTAAGTCTACTAGCAAAACGGGCTTGTACACAATTGTAAAGTTTGTACTACACATGTTCACACAGATGGGCCTTTATTTAAGTTTTGCCGTCATTCATTGTTGCCTCAATATTATTTTTGTTGGTCCCCCAAAAGTAATGTATTTTGAAGTCCTGCTACCTTTGCTATTTAATTACAAATCAGAGTAAGTACAGTGTAACTCTTATCTGTTTACTTTAATGCAGTCTTTTGTTTGTTTTTGTTTGTTTACAGTACATAGTAACAAATACATCTATAATCTTTAGCTAGTGGTTTTCCATATCCTAGTCTTTAAGATAAACATGCATTGTAATTCAATATGAATCATTAATATCCTTATTTATAAAGCTATTATAGTCATAATTTTTCAAAAATTGTTGGTATAATGTTTTAGTTTTCATGTTGAATTTCATTTCCTAATGAAAAAATAGAACACATAGGGAAAATAATTATTTAGTCCTTCTTAAGTGAGTTCTGGTAAATAAAATTGAGTTCTGGTTCTATGCCTAGTATTAAATGTTACATTTTAAGAACAATGCTAAAACATGTTAAATAAGGCCTTGGTTGAATTTTGCAGAGGACAGCGAATATGGAGAAAATATCTCATGAAGATATTCCATGAAAAACAAGTAACGGATAGAGTTCAATTAACAGAAGAGATGCCTTTGAGAGGCTATGGAACTTTTATTCAAATAGTCTTGGAGCTTTGTGTGTTAGAAGAATTGGCCTGATACTATTAGTTCCACAAGTAGATCTGTGTTAAAATAAATGTGTAGACATTACCCAATGACATATTGTGGTTCAAGGAAAGCATAACTTTCTTACAACTCGTTAAATTCACAAATAAAATTTAATATTATATGTAATGTGATGGGTGCACTGTTATCAGAGGAATTCAAACAGAGCTACCGAGTAAGGCATGGTTAAAGAGAAGAAACAATGATACCTCCTGAAGGTAGTATACTCTGCTACCTCCCACATTAAATTTATGTCTCCCACCCCCATAAAAATTTGAATTTCTAACCCCTTAAAGTTGAAGAAGGAAGAGGGAAATGAGAGAAAAGCAGAGGGAGACAGCGAGCACTCAAACAAGCACCTGAGCCTCAGATGCTGATGCTAGTCTGCAGATTACATGAAGAGTTGCTATCTGTGGTCTCTGCTAGCTTTCAACACTCCAGGGAAGTGATATAATTTCAGTGTGGAATGGATGGGATGCAAAGTGAGAGGCAGGCTTGAGGGGAGGAGGAAGAATGCTGCCTAGAAGACTAAACCTTACGGCCCAGAATTCTCAGCCTAGAAAAAGGCTAATATGGATTATTTAACATTGAAACTGAATACCTTGTATCTCAAAGGAT
The DNA here is from genome assembly GCF_000001405.40 of Homo sapiens. Taxonomy (NCBI): domain Eukaryota; kingdom Metazoa; phylum Chordata; class Mammalia; order Primates; family Hominidae; genus Homo; species Homo sapiens. Next base: position 184,393,213 of record NC_000002.12, read on the forward strand.
CGTGCTGACATGGATAATGATAAGTATGGTATACACTGACCATATAGAACTGAAGATTACAGAGTCTTTCTATTTTCTATATATTCAATATGTCTCCTGGAGTCATGAAACACAAAAATAAGAATTATTACAATGAAAGATTGAAGTGATTTGTTCTATCAACTCTTGGAATCAGAAATACTTAGATTTAGAGAGCTAAAATAAATAATTTGTTCATCTCTAGTATATACAACTTTCAGCAGTAAGATCATGTATATACATTACACACATAGAAAAAATCCATATGTGTATATATATAGAAAATGGCTATAAATATGTAGATCAATTATTCATAAGTGTGTATGTCTGAATATAAATATTTTTTTCCTGTCATTATGGAGACAGTATGATTCATATATAGTATACATATACATATAAGAACTTAACAATAGCCCTCCTCATAAGCGGGATTTTGTGGAGAAGTAGAAAGGGAGGACTTTTAATATTTACTATATTCTCCTGTATTGCTTCTAATTTTGCAATAAGCATAATTTTTATTAATATTAAATATTTTCAAAACTTCAATAAATAAAATCATTACTTTTTCTATTGTTCCCCTCAACCTCTGCCTTGACTGCTACATTAAGAATAGGGTTCGTGTGTGTGTGTGTGTGTGTGTGTGTGTGTGTGTGTGTGTTTTCTTTCTTGATATTTCTTCAGAGCCTATAATAGGGCTTCGCATATGACAAGCACTGAATAAATATTGAATGTCTGAATTACCTCTAGATGGATAGTGTAACATTCTAAAGGGACAGAATTATGTCATTCACATTTAATGAACATATGGTAATATAATGTCATTGAAATGGTGAATAGTAATATTTGATGTTTTTATTTTTGATGCTTTATGACATTAAGTTAAATAATCTCTTAAAAGGAAAATAAATATATTTTAAACATTTCTATCACAATCAATAATAATTAAGGGAAAAAATAGTTCTAACATTTGCAGGGTAATCTTCGTGATGTGGGAATTATGCATAACAGGACTAAGGGCCACATAGAGGGCGCTGGGTCTCGTTTTCATGAAGGACATAGCAATGACACTTTTGATATTAATCTCCAACTGAGGTTATTCATAAAGTCAGTGTATTTTCAATGTGTTAAAATTATCAACTGACTATCTGTAATCCTTTAAAGCCTAACCTCATTTTGATAAACTTGCTTTGATATTTCATCATTTATAATATATTGGGGCTCTCAAAATTCAAAATATCCTAGGCCATTTTCAACCTCTGGGATATGTTGATGAAAACATCTGAAAATGCCAGATGCCCTGAGAATTTTTCTTTTTTTAAACCCTTGTTCTAAAAAGTTATTTATAATAAATTGTGACAAAAATGGGACACAGGCTTTAAGTGTTCATTCCTAATGTGTATTAGCATTTTCTCTATCATATTTTATGTAGGGAGCATTAAATTTAGCTTTGTAACTCTAAATTTAATTCTCTCTCTCTCTCCCCAGTTGTGTGTGTGTGTGTGTGTGTGTGTCTGTGTGTGTCTTGTTTTAGATTTACTAATGATACTGACTAGGGGGAAAATACATGAAAAAAATCCAATTTAACTTATTAGTTCACTGAATGAGCCAGGCACTTTGCCAGGTATGCTCATGTTTGTGATTCCATCAATGTTTCACTAAATATTCTATTACACAGGGACTTGAAAATCATTTGTTTAGAAAAATGTTAGCTATTTTGCTGATTTCCATATTTGGGTTTATGTTATGTCAATCAAAAATAGGAGTAGATTATACTCTGATATTGTTTTTCAACCATAGGAAACAGAAACTTTAGCAAACAAAGAGATATAAACAAATCAAAGTTTTAGTTTTTTCCTTATTCAGGCAAGTTGGTAATCTTAACCCATATGAACATTTCTGAACCAAACCACCTCTTGCTGAAATTTATTTGTTACTTATTTTTGCCTTATTAGGAACAGAGAGGGACATGTGCTTCCTTAGTCTATCTGCTGACACAGAAATGTTATGAAGTAGGTAGAATTTTTAATTAAGGTAGTTTTAGGCTTAGGTTTACAGAGGTAAGTTATGCTGTTTCAGGCAGATACTGTATAGCTTACCTGTACATGTTGGTGTTTCTTCCTTAAACACATTTTCTTATTTGGTACAGCCATATCATTCTTTGGAAAAGGAAAATTCATTATTTGTACGAGACAACTTGGGCACATTTGGGATATTCCCAAAGATATCTAATAATAATATGAGTGAATAACTTTATTTAATTAAGCAACAGTAAAATCAAATAGCAATCAATTTGTTCAATGTAACTGTGACAGACTGTGATCTTTCAGGAAAACAATTGAACTACATCAGATTTTTTAATTAATAGACCACATTTGCTTAATCCATAGATTTTATTTAAAAATTCTCTAAAATATTAAAATAAATAATTCTCACAGATTCTGTGATCCAAAAGTCAGTCTAATGAAGAATGTAATATAAAGTGGTTGAATTTCTCTGATGATCAGTGATGTTGAGCTTCTTTTCATATGTTTGTTGGCCACATAAATGTCTTCTTTTGAGAAGTGTCTGTTCATATCCTTTGCCCACTTTTTGATGGGGTTGTTTGTTTTTTTTCTTGTAAATTTGTTTAAGTTCCTTGTAAATTCCATATATTAGACCTTTGTCAGATGGGTAGATTGCAAAAATTTTCTCCCATTCTGTAGGTTTCCTGTTCACTCTGATGATGGTTTCTTTCGCTGTGCTCTTCAGTTTAATGAGATCTCAGTTTTCCATTGTGGCTTTTGTTGCAATTGCTTTTGGCGTTTTTGTCATGAAGTCTTTGCCCTTGCCTATGTTCTCAATGGTATTGCCTAGATTTTCTTCTAGGGTTTTTATAGTTTTGATTTTACATTTAAGTATTTAATTCATCTTGAGTTAATTTTTGTAAAAGGTGCAAGTAAGTGGTCCAGTTTCAGTTTTCTGCCTATGGCTAGCCAGTTTTCCCAGCACCATTTACTGAATAGGAGATCCTTTCCCTGTTGCTTGTTTTTGTCAGGTTTGTGGAAGATCAGCTGGTTGTAGATATGTGGTGTTATTTCTGAGGTCTCTGTTTAGAGAAATGCAATTCAAAACCACAATGAGATACCGTGTGACGCCAGTCAGAATGGCAATTATTAAAAAGTCAGGAAACAATAGATGCTGGCAAGGCTGTGGAGAAATAGGAACACTTTTACACTATTGATTGGAATGTAAATTAGTTCAACCATTGTGGAAGACAGTATGGTAATTCCTCAAGGATCTAGAACCAGGAATACCATTTGACCCAGCAATCCCATTACGGGGTATATATCCAAAGGAATATAAATCATTCTACTATATAGACATGCACATATATGTTTATTGCAGAATTATTTACAATAGCAAAGATGGAACCAGCCCAAATGCCCATCAATGATAGACTGGATAAAGGCAATGTGGTACATATATACCATGGAATACTATGCAGCCATGAAAAGAAATGAGATCATGTTCTTTGCAGCTGGAAGCCATCATCCTCAGCAAACTAACACAGGAATAGAAAACCAAACACCGCATGTTCTCACTCAGAAGTGGGAGTTGAGCAATGGGAACACATGAACATAGAGAGGGGAACAACACACACCACGGACTGTTGGGGGTAGGGTGCAAGGGGAGGGAACTTAGAGGATGGGTCAATAGGTGCAGCAAACCACCATGGCACACATAGACCTATGTAACTAACCTGCACGTTCCGCATATGAATCCCGTTTTTTTTAGAAGAAATAAGAACAAAAATTAAGACTTATATATATATAATAAACTGGTTGAATTATTAGTGTCATGTAGACATCATTTGGAAGTACAATCACAGGCTGTGGGACACAAACAGAAATTAACAAGGGAAAGTATTTTCACCTCTGTTACCTCCTTAAGTAGAGATTATTTATTCAGCCAAACACTGGTGCTAGATGCACAAAAACTGTTTATTATGTGTGAGCAGAATAAGCTTCTATCTTTTAGAGTAGAAATATATGGATATGCTGCTTTCAAAACGATTTAATTTTTTATATTTTGATTTTTTAAACTGAGATAAAATACATCTAACATAAAATTTGAAAATTTAATGATTTCAACTGTACCATTCAGTGACATTAATGACAATCACAATGTTGTACAGCCATGACCAGTATCTACTTCCAAAAATTTTCCGTTATCCCAAACAGTTATGCAGTACTCATTAAGCAACAACTTTCCATTTCTGTCTCCCTCCAGTATCTGCAAACTCTAATCTAGTTTCTATCTCTATGAATTTATAAATATTTTATATAAGTAAAATAATAAATTATTTGACCTTTTTATCTGACTTATTGAGCCCATCACAATGTTTTCAAGTTTCATTCATGTTGTAGCATATATCAAAACTTTGTTCCTTCTTGGCTAAATAATATTCTGTTATATGTATAGATCACATTCTGTTTATTCATTCTTCTGTTGATCAACACTTGGATTCTTTCCACCTTTCCGCCATTTTGGTCATTGTGAATAATGCTGCAATAAGTATTGGTGCAAATGTTTGAGTCCTTGTTTCAATTCTTCTGAGTATAAGCCTGGAAATGTAATTGCTGGGTCATAGGATAATTTTGTTGAACTTCTTGAGGAACTGCTAAACTGTTTTTCACAGCAGCTGCACCATTTTACATTTTTCCAGCAATGTATGAGGGTTTCAATTTCTCCACACTCACAAAAAATTATTTTCCCTTTTTGTTTATTAATATAAAAAGCCTAGGATGTACAAATTGGTATCTAGTTGTACTTTTTATTTGCATTTCACTAATAACTAATGATGATGAACATCTTTTCATGTTCTTTTGGCCATTTGTATATCTTATTTGGAGAAAAGTTTATTTAATTTCTTTACCCATTTTAAAATACGGTAGTTTGTGTGTTGTTGAGTTTAACAGTTTTTTATATAATGTGGATATTAAATTCTGATTTTAGTATATAATTTGCAAATGTTTTCTCTCATTCCGCCAGTTTTCACTTTCTTGTTAATATTGTTTGATCCACAAACATTTTTAAATTTTGATGAAGTTCAATATACATTTTTTCTTTGTATTTTGTGCTTTTGGTGTCACTTTATAATTCTCTTGCCATATCCAAGGTCAAGAAGATTAACCCCTACGTTTTCTTCTGAGAGTTTTATGCTTTCAGCTTTTGTCGTTAGGCTGTTGTTCCATTTCAATTAATTTTTACATAATGTGAGTCTAATTTTATTATTTTACATATGTAAAGCCAGTTTCTCACCACCATTTGTCAAAGATGCTATTCTTTTTCAACTAAGTAGACTTGGCACCTTGACACAAATCGACTGCTCATTCATGTATGGATTTATATCTGGACTCTCAATTCTGTTCCACTGGTCTATATGTCTATCCTTATGCCAATACAACACTTTTTTGATTATTGTAGCTTTGTAGTAGGCATCAAACCTGAGAAGTATGAGGCTTCCAACATTGTTCTTCTTTTCCAAAATTGTTTTGGTTATTGGGGGCCAATTTAAATTTCATATGAATTTAAAGATTGGCTTTTCAATTTCCTCCAATGTTTTACAGTTTTCAATGTACAAGTATTTCACCTCCTTCATTACATTCATTATTTAGTATTTGATTCTTCTAGAGGTTATTGTAAATGGACTTGCTTTCATAATTTCATTTGGCAGATTGTTGCATATTGATATTGTATCCTACACCTTTCCTGAATTTATTAGTAGCTCTGGAAGATTTCTTGTGGATTATTTGATGCTGTCTATGTAGAATGATGTCATTTATAAACAGAAGTAACTTCCTTGCTAATTTGGATTTTTTTAAAATTTCTTTTAATTGTCTTATTGTTCCATTTAGCACTTCCAGTACAAAGTTGAATAAGAGTGGTCGAAAGCAGGCACCCTTGTGTTCCTGATCATAAGGAGAAACATTTTGGTCTTTCACCATCAAGTATAATGTTAGCTATGAGTTTTACATAAATAGCCTTTAATAGGTTAAGAAAATTCCCTTCTTTTCTTTGATTTTTGAATATTTTAGCATGAAAGGATGTTGATTTTTTGTCCATTGTATTTTCTACATCAAGTAAGTTGATTACGTGTTGTTTTTCTTAAGTCTATTAACATAGTGCATTATATTTATTTATTTTCTTATGTTTAACCACACTTGAATTCCTAGGATAAATCTCATTTGGTCATGTTAAATAATCCTTTTAATATGCTGTTTGATTAGTAAGTATTTCTTTGTTGATTTTTTTTTTTTTACCAATTCAATCTCTAAAAGAGCTTTATTTGCTTAGAATTCGATATTTGTTAAAATATAAGGGAATAGTTAGTGCCACCTACTGTTGCCAGACCCTATGATAAAATACAGTGTGCAAAATTGTGAAGGAAGACATGATTCTTATAATTTGTAGCTTATAGTATAGAAATTTGAGACTCTACATGTTTTTCTTTTTTATTCTTTCTTTCTCTTTTTAAGGGACCAGGGTATCATAATGTGAAGCAAAGCATCAATGAAAATGATTACAAAAAAGATGCATGACTCTGTTTTTCAATCTGAATCATTTGTATGTTTTCAGTATGTTTTCTAGGTTATACACATTGAAAAGTGACATTTATTTAAATTGAAACTTGGTTCAATTTAAATGAAATTAATGTTTCAATTTAAATGAACTTAAAAGTAGTATAAACTCACAAATGATAGTTTCAGTGTCTTCCTGGGTTAGCCAGGGACTATCAAGGGTTAAATAAAAGTAAAATAAAATTCCCATCGATTTATCCAAGACATTTATATGAAGGTAGACATCATCCTTGTAACTTGTTTGATCTTTTGAATAACGCCTTATATTATTTCATAATATTTATTTGTAATTTTTGCACATATTATTAGTAATTATTAAATGAATTAGACTTTTAAAGACAATGTATTATACAAATTAAACTATAATAAGTTTGCATGTGTTATAAACATGGAAAATTCAAGTTTATGAAATGGATACTTTTTCTCTGTAATATTAGCTTATCTGCCACTGCTGTATCTTTGCTGGTACACACACATACACAAACACACACACACATACACACACACATATTCAACTCCATACATATACTTTATTTAATTGGAAATTATATAATACATGTATCAATAATTATGTATGTCTACAAACATATTTACACATGTGTGTGTACAAATGTACACATTTATTTTCCAGAATTATATTTAGAAATTTCTTTCCCACATTTAATGTTTGATGGAAATAATGTTAACACTGGTTTGACAGAGTTGACTGGGTATTAAATTGCAGAAACTTACTGATGAATTCTTCCACAGCACTGTAGTCTTTATATAAAAGTAATAAACATTGTTTTAATACTTTTACTTCCAGTAAATTAACTAAACAAATAAATTAGTTGGTTGGTGATTTTTTAAAAGTCTTAAAAAGTTTTTGTGGGTACATAGTAGGTGTATATATTTATGGGGTACATAAGATGTTTTGATACAAGCAGGCAATGTGAACTAAGCACATTGCAGAGGGTAGGGTTTACATCCTGTCAAGCATTTATCCTTTGAGTTACAAACAATCAAATTATATTCAAGTTATTTTAAAATATGCAATTAAGTTATTACTGACTATAGTCACCCTATTGTGCTGTCAAATAGTAAGTCTTACTCATTTTTTCTACTTTTTAGTACTCAAGATTGGTAAAATTTAAAAATACTACTTGGAAACGAGAGATTGTGGTATGCTCAGTATATATTTAGTTCATACCTTTTGGATATGCTAGGAAAGGAAGAAAAAAGGCAAAATATTAGTGTAAGCCCACTGAAAATAAAAGAATAACAGTGCAATCACTTTTAAGAGAGAGTATAAGAATTCTTCAAATTTCTGAATGAAGAAGATAAAATTTACTAGAGTGCTACAAGCATAGAGGTTTCACTTGGACACCCTTATTCCCCAGTAAAATATAATATTAACAAAATGCATGAGTAAGCTTAAGAGAATTAAATTAAATCATCATGCAAAAAGCAAAATATTCAAAGGCAAACTATGTAAAACTAAAACAGGTTAAACCCAGCAAAGTGCAGTGGGTAGAGTGGTGGGAGGATCAGACATATTGCCTATGTGGATTGAGATATGTAATTTTAATCCTTCTATGCACATGTCAAATATTGTCTTTGGCCTGCATGACATATACAGTTTAACGAGGCCACTGCATAAAACCAATGATATAGTTTGAATGTGTGTCCCCTTCAAATCTGATGTTTAAATGTGATCTCCAATGTTGGGGGTGGCCTAGTGGGAGGTGTTTGGGTCATGAGGGTGGATCCTCTATGAATGGCTTGGTGCCAACCCCTTGGTAATGAGTGAGTTCTTGCTTTAGTAGTTCATATGAGAGCAAGTCGTTTAAAATGACATGGCATCTCCTCTTCTCTTTCTTGTTCCCACTCTTGCCATGTGACACGTATCCTCCCTTTCCCCTCCACCATGATTGGATGGTTTCTGGGACTTCACCAGAAGCAGATGCTGTTGCCGTGCTTCCTGTATAGTCTGCAGAACCATGAGCCAATAAATCCTTTTTAAAAAATAAATTGCAGAGTCTCAGGTATTTCTTCATAGCAGTGCAAAACAAACTAACACAATAAATTCTTTGAAATGTTTGGGTCCTCCAATAAACAAACCAACCAACAAATAGTCAAAAAATCTAATTCATTTACTGGCCCAAGAGAACAGGATGTTTTGATAATTTAAAATAAAGTAAAATATATTGAATATTTAAAATACCATAGCTAACTGAGAAAAAAAGAATAAATTACAATGACAATGTTATAAATTATTTAATACATATGTATAACTATCTACTTGTGTACAAATATATTTGCATGTTTTCTTGATGAAATCCAATTATTGTAAAGAGTGACATCACCAAGATGGTAGGGTAGGAGACACAAGCCTTGATAGCAAAATAAAAGTGAAAACAATTTGCATATAAAAATATATTGTTTACTAGTATTTAATGGGGCGTAAATCATGAAACACTGTCACTCAGATTACAGGTTCATGTAATATCAACCTCAAATTATAGATTGGAATGACAGTTTATAACATTGAAATGTGTCAAAGTGCCCATAAAATGAGAATATGGAAGGGAGAAACAAGCTTAAAGGTCAGCTGATTATATCTTCCTTCTAAAATTGAAAAACATTCCATGGTATCCATGACCAGTGTTCATCCAGGTTCAGCTGAACACTTCCTGTGACAGGAATGCACCACTCTGAGAGACAGCTCATTCCCTTGGAACTGTCCAACAGGAGCTCTAATTGTTATAGAGGCACACCACTTTGTACTGAACTGAAATCTGTCTCTGAATAATTGTCACACATAAAAGTTGTTTTTGTCATCTACAGCAACATAATTTAATCTAGCCACTATTTTCCATGACAGTACATCAGCTATCTGAAGGTATTTCTTTTGTATTTCATAAGTCTTGCCTTATGTAAGTGAAACATCTTACCTTTTCCTAATGTTTTCTCATGTCATACAGCTTCAAGACCTTTCAAACACAAGGCCAATCTTGTGTTTTATAGACTACAGCCTGTAAATACCATTCCTTAAAATGAGGCAAATAAGTCTAATAAGACATTTCCATTTAATTGGTCCAGGATAGAGTATTGTGGAGATAATAGAGATTAAGATCCAAACATTATTTTTCTTCTAATCCTGTTTTTTATTAAATTTGATTTGTTTTTCTACAAGCATATTGCATTTTCAAAATCACAGCAAATGTAGTCATTTGAGATTTTTACTGCTGTTTTCTATTAACAGTCTTTAAGCATTCCATAACTTTTAACTTTGCAGTTGTGTCTTTGAGTACAGCTAAAGAACCTTAAGTAGCAGATATGGTATATGGATCTAGCTTATAAGCACTAAGGAAGATTCATTATTTAGAATCCCAATTTTGCTAATTTGTGTAATAGCTTTCTAATTCTCTTATAATTGTGTATGATTCATTATTTAAGTAAAAGTCCTTTCTAAAATATGTGTTCCTGTGCTCATATTTAGCTTGTGTTTTAAATCCTGTGTCTGCACTGATTTATCAGTGCTTGTATCATGCTTATAAAAATTTTTTAATTTCACTTCTGTTACATCTAAGCAATTGATTCAAAATTTTAATGTTTTCTGAATGAGACCAAGGAAATTTTCAGTAACTCGTTTCTAATGTCATCGTATAGAATTAACATCTTTGACAATCATTTGAATATTTTTCTAGTTGTATCAGCATCTATATAATGTTTCTCATGCATACTCTTAAATAATTAAATTTTCTCAAAGGTCTTAGTGACGAAAGAACATTTTTAACCCATTCTGCGTACATTTTTACTTCTAAAATTGATTTTTATAATAAATTTTTAAAAAGTGGACATTCTTGTAAAATTTTTATATAATGTGTCATTCTTAAGTTTTTCGAAACCTCTTGTTTAACATAATCTTTTCTTTTTTTTTTTGAGATGGAGTCTCGCTCTGTCACCCAGGCTGGAGTGCAGTGGCATGATCTCAGCTCACTGCAAGCTCCGCCTCCCGAGTTCATGCCATTCTCCTGCCTCAGCCTCCGGAGTAGCTGGGACTACAGTCTCCCGCCACCATGCCCGGCTAATTGTTTGTATTTTTTTTTGTTTTTAGTAGAGATGGGGTTTCACTGTGTTAGCCAGGATGGTCTTGATCTCCTGACCTCATGATCTGCCTGCCTCAGCCTCCCGAAGTACTGGGATTACAGGCGTGAGCCACCACACCCAGCCTGTTTAATATAATCTTGAATCTTGCCAAACTGCTACTTGTATATCTAAACACTTATATATATGTACAGAATAAAAAATTATAAATAATAGAAATTACTCTAGTGTGGGGTTGTTTTTAACCAGTGATATTTATTTACAAATCTGTTGGTGAATTCAACCAGAAGTGGCTACGTTAGGGTATTTATGTCCATCACTGTTTTCTTTTTATTAGCTTGGTTGTAGGTCCCTAAACTACAAAGGATATTTCTACCCTTGCTTTCCTGATGTGCATAAACAAGTGTCATGTCACACATTTCAAAGAAGTCCTTCATGGATCATTTTATGACAATTTAGGGGCCCTGATGTTTACCAGCAGAGCCGACAAACACAGCAAACACTTTCTTTTAGGTATAATGCCTTACTAAACAGAAACAAACAAACAAAAGAAGCAAATTCTCTCCAGAATACAATCTTATAGAATTTCTGTCATCATTAAATAATGCAGATATTTATCTGGACTCCATAGGGTTTATGGGATGTGCTTAAACTAGGTTAATACTATAGTTTTATCCATGGGTATTATATTTGTAATTCAGTTCCTGGCCTATATAATCTGTCAAACACTGGGTGAATTTTATGTCTTCCAGAGATTCCAAATTTCCTACGGAAATAATCTAGCTGTTTTGGGTTATGACAGAGACATAGAGTGCTCTCTCTTCCATGCTAAAATGTGAAACAACCCTCTCATTTTTATCATATACATATGGTATTATGGTATTTTCACATACATATATGCACATCTTTCACATAGAAAATTTTTCCTCTTTGAAATGGTCATTAAACCCTGATTAGTGAAATTCATGATGCAGAAGCAGACTATATTCAATGGAGTTCAATTGTTTTCTCTTTAGACCCTCAGATTTTCTTTGCTATGTTTGATTACACATCACATTATATGCAAAAATTAACTCTAAATGGATTAAAGCTCTAATTACAAACTTTTTATAAAAATACCTGTTTTCTGAGAATTACAGAATTCTTAGAAAAACATGCATGTGGCCAGGCATGGTGGCTCACACCTGTAATCCCAGCACTTTGGGAGGCTGAGGTGTGTGGATCACGAGGTCAGGAAATCGAGACCATCCTGGCTAACACGGTGATACCCCGTGTCTACTAAAAATGCAAAAAATTAGCCAGGCGTGGTGGTGGGTGCCTGTAATCCCAACTACTAGGCAGGCTGAGGCAGGAGAATGGTGTGAAACTGGAAGGCAGAGCTTGCAGTGAGCCGAGATGGCACCACTGCAATCCAGCCTGGGCAACAGAGTGAGACTCTGTATCAAAAAAAAAAAGAAAGAAAGAAAAAAAGAAAATGCATGTATCTTTTATTGTCATGTGTTGTTTGGCAATGGATTCTTAGGTTATACACCAAAATTATAAGCAATAAGAAAAAAATTGAGAACTTTTGCAGTTCAAAGATAACTATCAAGAAATGTGAAAAGATAACCCACGTAAGAGGAAAAATACACAATAAATATATATATTACATATTTATTACACACACACACACACACACACACACATATATATATATGAGATAAGGGCTCGTATCCAAAATATGTAGATAACAATTAAAAGACAAACCAATTGAAAATCAGCAAACCTTAAATAGATATTTTCCAAAGAAGATATAGAAATGTCTAGTACGCACATGGAAAGAAGTTATTAGTTATTAGAGAAGTTCAAATTAAAATCACAATGAGGGCTGGGCATGGTGGCTCACACCTGTAATCCTAGCACTATGGGAGGATGAGGCGTGTGGGTCACCTGTGGTCAGGAGTTTCAGACCAGCTTGGCCAACGTGGCAAAACCCCATCTCTACTTAAAATAACAAAAATTAGCCAGGAGTGGTGGCAGGTGCCAATAATCCCAGCTACTTGGGAGGCTGAAGCAGGAGAATCACTTGAACCTGGAGGGCAGAGGTTGCAGTGAGCAGAGATTGCACCACTTCACTCCAGCCTGGGCTAAAGAGCAAAACTCCATCTCAAAAAAAAAAAAAAAATTACAATGAGATACTACTTCAGGCCTACTAGAATGTCAGTAATAAAAAAGATAGACAATAAGGGACTATGCTGAGAAGATGCAAACTTCATATATATCTGATGGAAATGTAAAATAGTGCCACCACTTTACATACAATTTGGCAAATTCTTAATGAGTTACACAAAATGTACTACATGCCCCAGCAATTCTAACTCTAGGTATCTATGAAGAGAACTTTAAACATATCTCTGCCTGAAGATTTGTACATAAATGTCTATAGGAGAATTTCTTCAAAATAGCCAAAAAGTGGAAACAATTCAAAGGTGCATTCACTAGTACCTGGACAAACACAATCACACATGATTTCATTTACAGAAACTGTCATTAAAAGGCAAATATTTAATAACAGAAATTAGATTGAAACTACTGGTTATGAAGAACTGGGGTAATAATAGGGGAATTGCTGCAAATGTGCATTAGGAATCTTTTTGAAACTCTAAAACAGGATTTTGGCAGTGGTTACATAACTATAAATCTACTGTTGTGGGAAGTCAGGGACCCCAAATAGAGGGACCAGCTGGAACTGCAGCAGAAGAACATAAATTGTGAAGATTTCATGGACATTTATCAGTTCCTAAAATTAATACTTTTATAATTTCTTATGCCTGTCTTTACTGCAATCTCTGAATATAAATTGTGAAGATTTCATGGACATTTATCACTTCCCTAATAATATTCTTATAATTTCTTATGCCTGTCTTTAATCTCTTAATCCCATTATCTTCATAAGCTGAGAATGTACGTCACCTCAGGACCACTATTGTACAAATTGATTGTAAAACATGTGTGTTTGAACAATATGAAATCAGTGCACCTTGAAAAAGACCAGAATAACAACGATTTTCAGGGAACAAGGGAAGATAACCATGAGGTCTTACTGCCTGCGGGGTCAGGCAGAATAGAGCCATGTTTTTCTTCTTGCAGAGAGCCTATAAAAGGACGTGCAAGTAAGAGAGATATCGCTGAATTCCTTTCCCAGCAAGGAATACCCTGGGGAAGGAATGCATTCCTGGGCGGAGGTCTATAAATGGCTGCTCTGGGAGTGTCTGTCTTATGCGGTTGAGATAAGGACTGAAATATGCCCTGGTCTCCTGCTGTACCCTCAGGCTTACTAAGATTGGGAAATTCCAGCCTGGTAAATTTTGGTCAGACCAGTTCTCTGCTCTCAAACCCTGTTTTCTGTTAAGATGTTTATCAAGACAATACATGCACAGAGGGACATGAACCCTCATCAGCAATTCTAATTTTGCGCTTTGCCTTGTGATCTTTATTGCCCTTTGAAGCATGTGGTCTTTGTGACTTACTCCCTGTTCGTACACCCCCTACCCTTTTAAAATCCCTAATAAAAACTTCCTGGTTTTGCAGCTTGGGGACATCACAGACCTACTGATATGTGATGTCACCGCTGGAGGCCCAGCTGTAAAATTCCTCTCTTTGTACTCTTTCTCTTTATTTCTCAGACTGGCCAACACTTTGGGAAAATAGAAAGAACGTACATTGAAATATTGGGGGCTGGTTCCACCGATAATCTACTAAAGGTTTTTACCTTTGAGAAAGCCAACAAGAACATATATTGGGGAAAGCATAGCCTTTTCAATAAACATTGCCGGAAAAATTGGATTGCCATATGCAGAAGAATAAAACTTGACCTGTTTCTCCCACCATATACAAAAATCAACTCAAGATGGATTCAATACTCAAATGAAAGACTGAAACCATAATAAAACCAGAAGGAAACCTAGGGGGAAATCTTCTGGACATTGGTCTAGGCAAATAATTTATGACTAAAACCTCAAATGTACAGGCAACAAAAACAAACAGACAAAAGGAACTTGATTAAACTAAAATTTTTCTTCACAGCCAAAGAAATAATCAACAGAGTGAACAATCTGGAGAATGGGAGTAATATTTGGAAACTATTCATCCAACTGGGGACTAATATATAAAACATTCAAGGAATTTAAACAACTCAACGATAACAAGAAATAATCCCATTTAAAAGTGAGCAAAGGACATGAATAGACAATTTCAAAATATGGCATACAAATGGCCAAAAGGCATGTGAAAAAATGTTCAACATCACTAATCATTAGAGAAATGCAAATTGAAACCAAAATGAGACATCATCCATCTTGCACCAGTCAGAACAGCCATTATTAAAAAGACAAAAAATAACAGATGTAGGGGAAGATGTGGGAGAACTCTATAAACTGCTGGTGAAAATGTAAATTAGCACAACCTCTATGGAAAACACTACGGCGAGTTCTCAAAGAACTAAAAGTAGAACCACCATTTGATCCAGCATTCCCACTATTGGGTACTACCCAAAAGAAAAGAAAGAAATAATAATAAAACAACCCTATAATTATATGTCTATTACAGCACTAGTCCCAATAACAAAGATATGGAATCAATCAACCTAAGTGTCCATCAATGGATGAATAGATTAAGGAAATATGCTGTATAAGTATATATGTATGTATACATATATATATATCCACACACATTTAATGAAATACTATTCAGCTATTAAAAAAAGAGTGAAATCATATTTTTTGCAGCAACATTGATGGAACTGGAGGCCGTTATCTTAAATGAAACAAGACAGGCACAGAAAGTCAAATATAACATATTCTCATTCATAAGTGGGTGCTAAAAATGTGTACATGTGGATAGAGAGAGTGGAATGATGGACAATGGAGACTCTGAAGGGTGAGGTGGTGGGAGGGGGTGGATGAAATTAGTTAAGGGGTACAATGCATGTTATTTGGGTGATGGATACCCTAAAGGCTCTCAGTTGTTAAGTAAATTAAAATGGATATAATTTATTCTATTTTACTTTATATTTGTTGTTCCATCAATAAATATAAAACCAGATATTTAGGGGAAACACTGTAACACAGAGGTTGGCAAACTTATCCTATAAAGGAAGATAGTTAATAATTTATGCCATTTTAAACATAATACACATAATACATGGTCTCTGTCACAACTACTGTGAAAGTGGTTAGAGACAGTATGTAAACAAATGGGTGTTTGTATTTACAAAACTTGTATTTACAAAAATATTGGTAGGCCAGATATGGCCCATAGGCTGTACATTTCCAACTGCTACTGTTACAGAAGTAACTGATGGGGTTTAAATTGGTATGTCTTTTCTTTCTGGAGACAAATTAGTCAAATATCAAAAGTTTTACTTGATGCTTTTTCATATTCTATTTTTAGTTTTTTGTCTCATGGCAAAAATAAGATCAGTCATACATTTAAGATATATGTGTATAAATATATATATCACATATATAATTAGTGTATTTGTACACATACATATATACATAATCAAATGTCATTTCTAATAACTGAAATTTAGAAGTGGTAACATAAATTTTGGTATCATTGTGCAATGAGACTCTATATGGCCAAATTTATATTTATAAAAATAGATTTTTATTGGCATGGAAACATATTCAACACGTATCAAAAGAAATACACTTATATGAATTGTAATGATTCTAATTTGTGAAATAACATATGTACATATTTGTGTACAATTTATAGATCTGTAGCTTTATGGGGGCAAGTCTAAAATATATGCTTCTAATTTTTAGCAATATTATTATTTGGAGCTATAATTTCTGATAATTAAATATTTTAAAATATGTATTTCCTGTATTGCTTATTTTTCTATAGTGAATATATACAGCAACACTTAAAATGAAGTGGGAAAATAAAAATCAGTATTGGCACATTTTCTTTAATAATTAAAAACATAAAAATCTGTTCTTAATATACTGATTTGAAGTTTCTAGTTAATTAAACTTTTATGAATATTCACTATATCATTACAACAAAGTACTTACCAACCACATAAAAATGAAGTGCATAACATATTACTTCAAAAATCAGTTAATTAAATATTCAAATCCATGCCTGAACTTGAAATATGACTGATTAAAAGCAATCAATTTTTAAAGCCATTTGAAAAGCACTACTCGTTGTTTCTTTGTAAAAACTGACCTGGATTACTAAGCTACACACTTTTAATTATAGCAACAAACATATTTCTGCTACATATTATTTTGTATAATCATTTATTAATTTCCTCCACTATCTTTCAAATGTCATTTAAACTGCTATATAAACAGCAAAGTCTAAATCATTTTAATTGCTAAATTTCCTTCTCAGGAATACTTAAAAATAAAAAGGCAATTCAGGCAATTAATCTGTCAGTAAGAAGACAACATAGATAAAAGCCTGATTAGCTAGAAGCCACCTTATCAGATACTTGTTAACTGTAATTTTGGAAACACAGTAACTTTAGGAAGAAAAAATCGGCAAAATTTAGATTTAGAAGCAAAGCAAACACACAATATCCCCACCAAAAAGCTTTGGAAACCATCTGCTCCTTTTCCCTTAAAAACAAAGGTTATCATTTAAATCCTGTCTTACTTCTTTTTCCCAAGACTCAGAAAAAGTCTTAACCTTAAACTCTCTTTGCACAACTACTAGTCAAGGTTAATGCCTTCACTTCTTGGCTTTCATCCTTTGTCATCCCATGACTGAGCTGCTGAACTCTACTGGGTATAATATAGCGTCATTTATTTTATTCTTTCTCCTTTGCCACTTAAGTGATTTAATCATATAAATATACCCTTATTTCCTTCATCTTAAAAAAAATTCACTTTGCAACTAAACTTCACAAAGCATTCAACTATGTATCTTCCCCACTTTATTACCTTGTATTATTACTATGCTTCTCCCTGAATTTGTCTTTTCTCAACTATTCTAAAATCTTTCTCAGGTGTTAACTGACTTCTCAACAGCCACATTCAACGTAAAAAGCTTACATTCAAGAAACCCTGGCTGCTCCAGTGATGTTTGTATAAGCTCGGGCAAGCTGTTCAGCCTCCCTCAGTCTTAGTTTTATCATCTTTAAGGATTATTATAGCTCGCATAGCTATTTTATTAACAAGTTTTGAAAAATTAAGGAAAGCTAATGTGAAGTAGCTACTCAACAATTTAACATTTTTAGAGCATGTATGAAAAATAGTAAATATTTTTTTAAACGTACTAAATTTATTAACATCATTAGATGACTTTATGACCTACTAAATATTTAACTTTTCAAAACTTACCTACAAAGAGATATAGATGGCTAATAAGGACGCGAAAATATACTCAACAGCATTTGCCATCAGGGAAATGAAAATCAAAACTATAATGAGATATCCTTTGACACCCATTAGGATGGCTATAATAAAACAGTCAGAAAATGACAAATGTTAGTGAGGATGTAGAGAAATTAGAATCCTTATATATTATTGGTGAGAATACAAAATGTTGCATCCACCTTGGAAAACAGCCTAGTGGTTCCACAAAAAGTTAAAAATGGAATTACTACATGATATAATTATTAAGTTACCTCAATACTAGTTAAGGGAGAAATTTTCTGATCTTAATCTCTAATCATTCAACTCTCTTTTCTTCCTAGTCTCCTTAAACCTTGAAGTGTCCATAAACAATAAGGTATTAAATGGGTGAAATTCTCATTTTCTTCCCCTCCTTTTACCTATAGAAAGCCCCAGCTGGGGGGCAGAAAGAGTCATGTAAAAATTTATATCGAATTCATAGTCTGGATTATAACATAGAACTGAGTATTTTAATTTCTAAATTGATACTGTTTTAGTAAAATTAAATGATCATGAAAATTGTATTACCTGAAAATCGTCAAAAATATCTCCCAGGAGTAAGGGAAGAATTTTTTCCAATGGATATATTTTAAAGTCACAGTGGGACACAAAAATACAATTTTCTTTAAATTGTAAAAACACAAAACATTCTGTATGAAGGATGTTTGCAGAAAAATCATAGCTCATTAAAAATTATAAAAGGCCAGTATGGTGGCTCATGCCTGTATCCCCAGCACTTTGGGAGGCCAAGGTAGGCAGATCACCTGAGGTCAGGAGTTGGAGACCAGCCTGGCCAACTTGGTGAAACTCCGTCTCTATAAAAATACAAAAATTAGCTGAGCGTGGGGGCACATGCCTGTAATCCCAGCTACTCTGGAGGCTGAGGCAGGAGAATCACTTGAAACCAGGAGGCGGAGGTTGCATGAGCCCAGATCACGCCACTGCAGACAGAGTGAGACTCGGTCTCAAAAAAAAAAAAAAAAAAAAAAAAAAATATATATATATATATATATATATGTATATTATATAAAACACACAAAATAAGATAATTTCATTTTTTAAAATAAAATTTAATGTGCACTATGCTTATATTTAATTTGTTTATGATATTGAGTGCTGTCTTTAAATGCCTGTGTCTTTGGAGATCTTAAAGAAACCTTGTGACTGTAAGCCTAAGCTTGCCTGAGAACATTCAGAAGACTTTTGGAAAACAAAGTTCAAACATTTAGGAAGTACAAGTTATGAGCTCTGGCAACTAATAGTCTTTAGTTGGTGCCTTAATGAAGACTAGACTTTTACATTGTTCCTGATATAAAATCCTGCACTGAATTATAGTTTCTGTAACTGCGTCTTTATTGTTTCTAACTTGAGTCCACTTAATGGTCTGGGTAATATTCCAATTTCATGAAGATTGCTCTCCCTCTTTTTTCTGTTTTTGCTTACTGTTTCCTACTTAAGTGTAAGTGTTGTTTAATACTCTCTCCTACACTGAATGATTTACATAATATTGAATATCAATATACAAACTCTTTTTTATTAGAGACACATGGCAGGCCTTCAATCGGTAGTTAGTCAATGAATAAAGAATATATGTTGATATTAAAGTCAGTCAACATTGATTTATGTGATCTATTATTTTATACTGTTCTTGGAAACCAATGACATGTCTGCAATTATTACCTATCATGTGTTGTATATTTGAGTTATTAAGTTATGTCTGCCAGTATAGATTTTCCCCAAGAAAATAGCTGGAGATGGGTCAGCCACCTTGGTGTTTGCCCCCTACTACTAAGTAGATTAGGTTCCAGTTCCCCTCCACCTATGCTGAAATGGGTCATGCCTTGTTGTGTCTCCAGTATGTCATATTCCATGGAACTACTCTCCTGAAGACATTTTAAAATTATATTTTCAGTCAACATAAGATAGCAGATGGATAATCTGCTTGAAGGCAATTGAGGTCATATATCGTTAGGCATCAGGGAAAGTCTATATGTAACCAAACATCTGTATTTGAAAAATATAGTCAAAAGCTTTCCAAAAAAATTCTCAAACCCTAATTCTTGCCAATTTAACATCTGAAAAATATAGAAAAGTCCGTGGATTTTTGAACTGAAAGAGCCACTAGAGATCATGTTTTCCAACTCAATAATTTCACAGATGGAAAATGGAGCCAAAGGAAGTTAAATGCTTTACCTAGATTCATATAACTAGTTACTGACAAAAGTGGGACTGAAATGCAAGTTTTTGATGGTGTTTTATTACCATGCTGCTACCCTCAGCCTACTGAATCTATTAAATCCTGTGTATATATTGTAGACATTAAGTTTGTTCTCTAAATATAATACCAAAGTCCCCAATCATTTTTAATGAAGTTTCTGTAATCATATTGGAAAAATGAGAGTCAAAATTATCTTTCATATATTCTCGGAGAATGCTTTCTCCTGAAGGAAATATTCAATATAAGATTAGGATAACAAGATCTCTTTAAAATGAATGTTTCCATTTGCAGAATTAAATATTTAGAGCTTCCCAGAAATGTGTTGGCATGAGTTCACATTTGAATATCTCCTTTCTAGTTTATAAGAAATAGCCTAAGAAATGAAGAAATATGGAAGCTGTATCATCTGGAAGCTAGGGTAAATCATTTTGAAAATGCCAGAAACTATGAAGAATGTTTGATATATATGGGGTAGATGAGGCTCTAGACAGATTGATAAATTTTCTTCCTGTAACAGTATGGCTTAATGGAAAAGCAATGGAGATGATGAACCACTGGGGATTAGGTAAAATGGGGCAAGGACTGTCAAGTGGATTGGTAATTTGATTAAAGTTCCTTTGGTCCAGTGGTTTTTAACATGGATGTTCCAGTGTGAAGGCATTATTGATTGAAAGGTGCTATTCACAATTACTGGATTTGTGCCAGAAATGCTTGAAATCTGGCCATGCTCTCAACAGTTCTGCATAACAAGATCTGCTCCATATCTTGCATCCCTCATAATTTGAATGATATATTGATTACTCATGTAGGTGAAAGTGAGTTTATTAATAACTGTGTTGAGAACCTTTATTTTTCACATAAATACAAAATATTTCTGTACATATTTAATACTCAATGAATTTTACAGTAAGGTAATTACTATTTATGTAGATTTAAAACAAGACCATACTTTTTTTTTTTTTTTTTTTTTTACAAGGCATAGAATGAGTCATTCCTCATTTTGGGAAACTGTTTTCTTGTATTTTTTGAATAGGTCATCTCACAGAATCATTTCTGTCTACAGTTGTACTCATGACATTTTCTATGATTTTCTACATTTAGGCACAAGCATTTTGCTCTTTCAGTATTTCCACTTGTATAGTCATCTCCAAGTTTTTGTGTATAAAATATTTTTATTATAATCTATTCTCCATTTTATTATACATTTATATTATACTTAGGGCATTATATTTTTTAAATGTATGTAGCCATAATTCTGAATTTCATTTCAGGTTAGATAAGGGAATGAATAAAATATTCAATTAAAAATGGGGCAATGGGTCTGACTGGGTTGCAAGCCACTGGTCTCACTGTTCTGAGGAATTTAAAGTCATCAGTCAACACTAGGACCCCACAAGCTCCTAGGACCCCACAGGAGGCTAAGAACAGAATGATTACTTGGTAGTGCCAGCAACATATAATGCTGTAGATTAAAGGTCACTGGCTCAAATCAACATAGAGGCCAAGAGCAAAATAGCAAGATGTGACTTGGGCAAGTAGAAAACAATCGAAATGCTGCATTATAACGTGGAGGAAGTTCCTTATCTCTAGTTGATTGCTGATCTGAAGTGTAATAATATATTTTAGTGAGCACATGCCACCAAGATACCATTTCAAGGAACTAGTGCCTATCTCTGTAGATGTACTTTAGCAATTAGCTTCTTCAATAATTCCATCCACTTTAAAAAAATATTTATTTTTCATTGTTTTGAGATGGGGTCTCACTCTGTCACCCAGGCTGGAGTGCAGTGGCACAGTTTTGGCTCACTGCAGCCTCCACCTTCCAAGTTAAGCAATTCTCCCACCTCAGCCTCCATCACGCTGGGCTAATTTTTTGCATTTTTAATAGAGATGGAATCTCACCATGTTGGCCAGGTTGATCTTGAACTCCTGACCACAGGCGATCCGCCCTCCTACACCTCCCAAAGTGCTAGGATTACAGGTATGAGCCACTGCACCTGGCCAGGATTGATTCCACTTTAAACAGCAGCCTCCTCCAGTGTAATCTGATCCAGCCACCATAGAACCAATGCTAGTTTGAGGCAGAATATAAATGTGGACACTGTGTTGGGCCATTTTAACTCTAGAGTGTCTCCTGGGGTCAGCTCAAGCTGTCATTGGTGTTGCCTCCCTCTGACCAACTTGCCTAGACTCCGCTGTTCCACAGGTATTGATCCTAAGGGCACTCCCTAATTAACATTCTGCCCATTTAGCTCAATCTCAGAGTCAGCTTCCCAGAGTTCTCTGAGAACCAAGTACGGAACATTCATTGTTAAAATCTCATAATGATTTTCAAGAGAAAATGGCAATGTGAATTCTTATGTAAACTCTTCTGATTTTTTAACTATTGCCAGCTAATTTAAATCTTTTTCCCATCAACACATTGTAGGCTCATTTAGATCACAGTTAGGGAGATTATAATTCAGGATTTTCTACAATTGTCTCAGAATAAGCATTAATAGAACCCCTTTCATTGTTGAATATGTCCAGTTTAGACAATTAATGAATTTTATGATCACCCTTCTCTTAGACCATCAGCTTGCTACCTCTGCTTGAGAAAAAAAGATTCCTGAGGCAGCACATTTCTGCCAGGCTCAATTAGGCCAAATTTGTTCAATCAAGAATGGGCCACTGATTGCCACAAGGCATCTAGGGTATATTTGTTCTTACACTGTGGTTGGCAGTCTGGTGACACTGGATGAAAAGTAAAAGCCATTTCGGTGTCAGAAATGGCAGCCAACCAAACCAAGTCTGGCACGATGTTTTGACAAAACCGTTTTCTCAGAAAGAGAAAAACTCCTATTTCCCTGCTGGGTTTATTCGTGTTCTTGGCCTCTTCACAAGTCTACTTAGTCAACTGTAAATCCTTTAAGCTGGTAAAAAATCCTCCACTTTGATATGTTAGATAAAGTGTCTAATTTTCTTTAAGTGTCTAGGAAACATAGAAAAATGACCGTATAGTAAATCTCAAAAAATGTAAATAAATGCAAAGAGCAAAAATGAAGGAAAAAATATCACTGACAATATAAATGTCAATATTACAGGCATTTTAATAAAACTATAAACAAATACAAACACGTTACTTGGTTATTAGCTAATTAATTAGTTGATTAATATAATCTGGAAAAAATTAATAATTAATTCTCATATCAGAGAACAAGTAAAACTGCACTGACTTAATGCCTGGAAAATAATAGTGTTGAGAACATTCCCTATCAAAAGGTGTGGGATGCAGCCAAAGTAGAAATCAAAACCAAATCCATAACATTGGGAGCATTTATTTAATTTTTTAAGAAATAAAAATAAATGAAAAATTTTAGAAAAAAGAAAAAGACAAAGAAAATAATAAGGCATTTATTTTAAAGTATATCATTTATTTGTAAGGCAAAGGGTTGCTTTTTTGAATAAATAAAAACGAAAATGATTAGTTAATACCCTGAATGGGAGCTATGTATGTATGTACGGGCATGTATTTGTGTGTGTGTGTGTGTGTTTGTGTGTGTATATATGTGTGTGTGTGTATATATATATATGTGTGTGTATGTATATATATGTGTGTGTATATATATGTGTGTATATATGTGTATATATATGTGTATATATATGTGTATATATATGTGTATATATATATGTGTGTGTATATATATATATGTAGACATATATACAAGGGAAACTGAACTTAATCTAACTTTACTGAAGCAGGTTGAAGGATGTGACTAACCCGATGTGCTAATTACACTGTGGGAGCTACGGAGGTGCTTATAAAGATTTATGATGAACAGAACATGAGACTAAACTTGATGTAAAATTGTGAAAAACAGGATATCAGAGTAAGCTTAATGTAACAACTTGACACAAATTTAATATCTGCTTTTTATTTACTAAAACTAGGATGATGTATGAAAACTTGTATAGCTTTTTTTAATGTATATCTTTCCTATATACTAGAAATTCCCCACACTTTTTAAGCTACTTGCTGACTGCCTGCTTGCATTCAGCATATTTTTTGTGCAAATTAGCTAAATTCTATAAAATGCTACACTATATATAATATATAACTATACTATATATAAAATACTATAAAATAAAATTCTATAAAATACTATAGTATGTATATTTAGGACAATTTTGGCTTTGTAAATAATTTGGCTCAATATATTTCTTAGAGTTACCCTTTTAAAATTTTTTATCAGTTAAGTAAATTTTAATAGTTTGTTCTAAATCAAAGTATTTATTTGAAAACCCTTTTATTAGAAAATTATATATATCTGCCTCAATATTCAGTAATAACACTATCAAGGATAGTCTCCCTCTCTCTCTCACGGGAGAATTAAACCAAGACCAAAAGAAACATGTCAATTCATAAATATGGAATTACCTAATTTGGAAATCACTATTAGCTGACTAGGTTAGTAAGTATCCAATAAATGTTTGCATTGCTAGGAAAAAAACAATATGATTCATATCTGTAAGTAAGGGCTAACACAGACTGAGTAACAAATGTGTGCCAGACACGAGGAAGACCATTAAACATATTGTCTCTCTTAATTCTCAAAACAAACAACTGTATTTCCTTGGGACTATAGCTCTTTTTACAGACAAGGAGACTAAGACTTAGAGAGGTAAATCCATTTATCCACAGTCACATAGTAAGTAATGTATTTGACTTAGTAATAATGGGGTAAGTTTGAATGGAGTAGGAGACAGAAATTACATTTTTTTAACTATACAAATTTTTCAGCATTTCCAGTATAGCATTTTTAGTATATTTTAAATCAAGTTTATAAATTGCATGTGTGTGTCTGTGTGTGTGTGGGTGTGTATCTGGATTTTGGAATGTTTACATACACATTATGGGATATCTTGGGGAAGGGACCCAACCAAGTCTAAATATAAAATTCATTTATTGCTCATATACAACTTAAACATAGAGTCTGAAGGTAATTTTATATATACCTTAAAGAATTTTTTGGATGAAACAAACTTCATGTACATTGAACCATCATAAAATAAAGGTGTCATGGGATACTACTCAGCCATATAAAAGAACAAAGTAGAGTCTTTTGCAGCAAGTTGGATGGAGCTGGAGGGCATTATCCTAAGTGAAGTAACTCAGGAAGAGAAAACCAAATACCATATATTCTCACTTATAAGTGGGAGCTAAGCTATGTGTATGCAAAGACATTCAGAGCGATATAATGATATAATGAAATGGAGACTCAGAAGGGGGCCAATGAATAAAAAAAAACCCTACATATTGAGTACAATGTACACTACTCAGGTGGCAAGTGCACTAAAATCTCAGACTTCACCACTATACAATTCATCCATGTAGCCAAAACCACTTGTACCCCAAAAACTATTGGAATTAAGCAATTTTTTTTAAAAGAAAGTTTGTCACAATTTTAGCCACCCATGGGGACAATCTGGTTGTTTGCCATCACCATCATTCTTGGCTCTTAATTTATATGCTACCAATAGGCAATCTTTTTTTACACTTATTCATATAAAAGTACTTAACAGTAAAAAAAATACAATTAATACAGTGAAAACGTGTTCAGGGTAACTAAAGTAGTAGCATCACCAGAATACTTGTGTCTGCTGTTAAACAACTGCAAAAACAAACAAGAGCAGGCTTTCAGTCACCACCTACAACGTTGTGTATTGATTTAAAAGTTGCTGTATGCTGTATTTTTCTTTTAGGTGAGGAGAAACATCAGAAGCAGTGGGGAGACTAGGAAGTTGGTCCTCTAGGGATAAGGAGGAATTCTACTAGACATTTTTTAAAGGTGTTTCCTCTGGTCTTCTGCCTCATTAAACATACGTTTTGTCTTAGAAGTCTCTCTTTGATTTTCTATACTGACATAATATCTTTTCTGTTATGAATGCACCCTGCTCTAGTTTTTAAATAAGCCCATCACACTTTTTCACCATGTCATATATAGGCACTTTTTCCTCAATGTCAACGACATGATCTCTATTCTTACTATTATCAAGATTGCCTTAATTCACAACCATTTTGGCTATTTTACCATCAGTCAATGAATGAACAACTGTAGCCTCAATATAAATGTATAAAACTTCTTTGATATCTACTTCTTCAAGCTTACTGATGAATTCTGAAGGTATATTTTTTTGCATATGTAGGAAAGTCAGCCATTTTTTTTTCTCACTTGAGGGCTGTTGTCACCCAGTGCAGCTTCCCTGCAGTGAGCATGAATCACCTGTAGAAGAGCTTTGTGAAATCAATCAGGAAGATGTTTCTGGTGATCCATGCCTTTTGTTATCATAATAATGGGCTGATAAGAAATTCTCTCATTTAAAACAGCAAAAATGCAAAATTTTGCCTATTTCAGCAACTTTACACTTAAGCTTGCCTACTGCACTAGCACATCCCAGCATAGTTACTCTATCCTTAGCATCCTTCATTCCTGTAGAAGCTGTCTCGTCAGCTGTGGTCAGTGTCTTTATGGAGCAATAACATCAGAACAATGATGTTTTATGAGCATTAAAGACTCGTTCTGTTGTAAATTCTCATCTGCAATGATCTTTGTTAACTCCTCAATGAATTTATCTGCTACTTTGTGATCAGCAGATGCTTTATCAGCAGAAATCATTAAAAATTTAATGCCATGTCTTTTCTTAAATATTTGCAAGTGGTGTGTTGAATATTCATAGTTCCCTTCAATTTACAGTTCATCATGATGGATCTTTGCTTATTTTATGATTACTATTACTGACATGTAATAGTAATCACTGCAACACTTGCAGATCCACTCTTCCAAAATATAATCGACATCTTTATTTTTAGCTTTATGCAATGTTTTCTTATTTTTCACTAACATTCGTTTATCACTTTCAGCATAGAACTCAACAATTTATCCTGTTTCTTCAGGCCATATATAGTGGTAATTCCAACACCATACTCTTCTGTAAGACATTTCACACTTACACTGCTCTCTTTCTCCAACAGCTTGATTTTCTATGCTATAGATAAACATAAATGCTTATTATTTTTGGTCCCACTGTTACTGATAGGGGTATCTGCAGGCTTTTTTGACTTTTTCAACAATATCTTTATACCGTACAGCAGAGATTATGCAAACAATCTCGATGAGTAATTCACATAGATTTTGGTTCCATGTAGGGCATTGTGGGGATCCTGCCACTGGTGCATTTAGCCCTGACCACATGCTTTTCTTTTCTTTTTCTTTTTCTTTTTTTTTTTAAAAAAAAGCAAAACAAAACAAAACAAAAAAACTTTAATGTGTATGCTTGCCTGGGGGAATCCCGGCATGCAATGGAAAAAGATATCACAGCTTAAGTGGACTGGGAGGGTCTTTTTCTCTTGGGGACTCTAAAAAACTGAGTTGTGTGGCTACATTTTGACTGTACCTGTCACACGAGGTCAGGTGTGGAATTTTCCACCTGTGCATCATTTTAGAACTCAAAAAGTTTTAGAATTTGGAGCATTTCATACTTTAGATTTTTGGATTACAGATGCTCATCTGTATACAAAATAAGTAGGAGCTACATGTACTGATATAAAAACGTTTTTATGATCTAGCATTAAATGGAAGATAATATGTAAATTATGATACTACTTTATGTAAAGAAAATGTTTTTTGAAAAAAGATTTACTAAAATGTAAAGACATTTATGAAATATTAAAACGCTTCTATATTATCTCATTTAATAATATTTTCATAAAACTGTATAACTAGATTATTTAGTAATAATCATGCTTATTAAGTGGTAAAATTTTATGTAGTTGATTTTATTTTCTGCTATTTTTAATTGTATTTTATAATTTTCTTTCACAAGTAGTAACACTGTTAATGCAATAGAAGTCTTTAATAGGCCGGACGTGGTGGCTCACGCCTATAATCCCAGCACTTTGGGAGGCTGAGGAGGGCGGATCACGAGGTCAGGAGACTGAGATAATCCTGGCTAACACGGTGAAACCCTGTCTCTACTAAAAATACAAAAAATTAGCCAGGTGTGGTGGCACGCGCCGGTAGTCCCAGCTACTCAGGAGGCTGAGGCCAGAGGATTGCTTAAACCCAGAAGGTGGGGGTTGCAGTGAGCCTAGATCGTGTCACTGAACTCCAGCCTGGGCGGTAGAGCGAGATTCCATCTCAAAAAAAAAAAAAAAAAAGTAAGACGTTTGAAATTTACTCTCAGTTATTTTGAAATATCAAAACATCACATTGTACTTCATAAGTGATCAATTATGACTTGTCAATCAAAAACAATCTTAATAATAAAATTTAAAATATCTATTGGTAAAAACTAATGGTTTTATGTAAAGCATAAAATTTATCAATATTTCTTCCGAATGTTCTTTTTGAAACTGTGTATACTGATTGGGAAACTGCATTTATTGTAAGAGTTCATTGGAATTTTAACTTACATAACTAGGTGTCAGCTCTGGATAATTTTTATTTTGGTATTGAAAGAAAATTGGCTGAAATCCTATTCCATGTATGGTTGGGAACTGTGCACCCTTTAAAATGCCTGCCAGAGATTTTAGGGGACTTTTGTTATACCTGGTCACTTCTGAGGTACATTTGCAGCTTCTCCTACCTTTAAGAACGTTCTCATTTCTTGCTTCCTATAGTAATTTCCTTATTTGCAACACAAATGTGAGAGAAATATAGTCCCATTTTACTTAGTTACCCTAGGCATCAAGATAACAATTGTAATTCATCCAATCCTAGCATAGAATGCAAAATTAAATTTAAACATATTTGTATCTTGTTTCTATTATTTCATCCGTCTTTGATTCCTTGTCAGAGAAATTTCATTTGTCACATCTTCTACCCTGACTCAAGCATCTTGTTATATTGTTGAGTACCTTCCACCTCCTTTAAACTCCTCTCTTCCCGTTTGTACATACCCAGCCTTTAAATTTTTATTTTTTTTTCAGATAAAGTTATTCTTTGATTTGTTTGAACTCTAACCTAAGAAAAATCTTTCCACAGTTAAAATGATCCATGAAAATATTTTGTCAGTTGGTTTTCTTCCTCTCCATGGGGAATTATGAGGTCAACTTTACATTTTTCTTCTCACAGTATATGTATTACAACAGCCTAATAAATAAGTAGCTATATCTAAAAAGTTGATCACATTTTTCCATGATATTAATATTACATGGTCATTCTACATCCTCAGTGCTGCAGTTTTAAAGTTATCTATTTATCTTTTTAGTTAATCACACTTCAGCTCAGGAATGCTGTTCCTATCAGACTTGTTACCATTGGCAAGCCAGGGTCTCTAAAAGCATTTTAGTTTACAGATGTGCTAAGTGAGTTGGACTATAGGCTTTCTAAGAATATTTTCAATTTATGTAACATAGGTATGTTTTTAGATGCATCCATTAAAGAAGATAAAAAGAAAAATAATGTACCTAACTAGTACATTTACTTCATTTCCTAACACAAATTTATGATTTGAAATATGAATCCCCAAGTCCTTAAAAAAGCTAGGCTAATTATATTTTAAGAAGTATTCATTATCTTATTTCCTCTTTGGATTTTAATAAAAACAAGCTTTTAATTTTCAGTAACATCATTATAAGACATTTTTATTTGTAGAAGTAACAATATTTCAAAAATAATTATTTTCTTGCACCAAATCTTGTGAATATAAAATCCAATCTACAGCTCTAAATTGGGAAATCTCCAGGGATGTTTTGAATGGTGGCATTATTTTGCCAAACTCCATGTCTCAGAGAAATTTTAGAGAAAAGCTACAGCTTTTTCTTAATGAAAGTAAGGTAGAAGAATCCACAAAAACTAAAGATAATCATTTGGTATGGTTAAGAGAAAGACTATGGAATTTTTATTAAATTAAATTAGGACTTTAAAAACCAGACTATAAACTATATGCTTATATATATAAGTAATATAGTAAACTATATGCTTCCAATATTTGCTTTTGTTCACATATCAACATTTGTCTAAAAGGAAATGAAAAAAGAAAATAGAGAGGATAATTAAAACAAGCCAATGTATTGAGAAAATTGCATTAAAATGGTAAAAGATGGAAGGAGAGAAAAGGAAGAATAAAAGAAAAAAAATATATTTTATCATATTTTCTTCTACATAATCTCTTTATATACCTATTTAATTTAGAGAGTTTAAATTCCTCTTCCCTCCAATATCATGTGTTAGGTACTCAAATTTGATTTCACTCTACCTTTTTGAAAGAGAATTTCCATTGTATCTTTCGAAACAGTATTGCTTAAATAGGCTATAAATTTCACTTCCAATCTCTTAGACACATAGTTTTCTTGCTGTGATGTAGTCTCATCCTTTGTCTCTTTCTAAGGAAATTTTTCTCCAATAGAATTTACTTCTAATTTATAATAAAGATTCTGACTTCATTTTTTATGTTTTACTGCTGGCTTCTTTCAATTCCCACCACTCCCTCTGCCTCTTCTGCCCCATATTTGAGCACGCCGAAAAGAAAGCACAGGTACTCCTTCTTTGGAAGCCAGGAGTTCAAAGCAATTAAGCCCTAGCCCACGTGTGAGAACCTTCACCTTAACCTTTCCCTAATCACAAAAAACCCAAGCCAGGCAACTTTTCATACTCTCTCAAACCACTTTTGGACCTGCTTGCTGCTTGCCCTGCTCTCCTGAGAAAGTCTCATTATGAGAGTAATAAACTGTTTCCTTAACCTCTTAGTGTGTATGTGGCATCATCAGTCTTGACATTCCAAGCAAAACTTTGGGGGATGGGTCTATCCTGTTTCTTCGTGGAGATCACAAAATGTCTGCATTATTTAGATAAGTCCGTCCTCACTCCCTTGGGGTGAAACAAGTAAAGAGACACACTTGGTAATTTTTCCAGGTGCATAGCCATATTAGAAGAGGATCTTGTTTTATATTCAGGAACATAGGAAACAAGACGGAATTGTTGACTCCATGCAATCCCCTCCATTTTGTTTTGTTAACCACTGGGCATAACAGTAAGTGAATGGCTCTCCAGCATTCTTTAGCTATTCTTTAAGCTATTCCCATGTTCTTTAGGGAAGGGGAATATCTGTTTAGCATAGTTATTTTACTCTCATTTTCTAATGCAACATGTATCCTTCTCATAGCAATGTTTAGTTGCTTATGTTTTTGACCCCAGAAAGACCTGAAATGGTTTAGACAGATACACTAGTTACAGAAACCCAAGGCCATAAAGTTCCCTAGCTCCAAATTACACATTTTTATGTTTTCATCTTAATTATTTTTCCCAGGAACAGGGTTAATTATAACTCACTGAAGATTATATAATGATTCAAATGATCTTATAA
Organism: Homo sapiens; assembly: GCF_000001405.40. NCBI lineage: Eukaryota > Metazoa > Chordata > Mammalia > Primates > Hominidae > Homo > Homo sapiens. The sequence continues at coordinate 184,424,895 of NC_000002.12, forward strand.
AATCAATCTTAATAATACAATGTCAAAACTATTATGCCACATATTTGATCATTATAAAAATTTTCCTATTATCAAAACCCTAATAAGAAATTAAAGTAAGATAAGTAAAATTCTTTTAAAAATTAAAAATCTATGAAGTAGTCCCAGTTTTATATTGGAGACATCATCTCAACAGTATCACACCAAAACCAAAAGTCAAGCTCTCTTTTCTTCTTATGTTAATTTCAGGCCCCAAAACACAAGTGCAAGAAAAGCAACAAAAATATTTAAGAGAAAACTGGAGGTTAGAATTATGACAAGCCAACATGTCATGTGGATAAAGCAATTCTACAAGACTAAGAGCCCAGTACTCATTCCCCAGGGTAACATTATGTCAGCGTGTCATGCCATTGCTTTGACAGGGTAACCCAAGGGAGGTTGAGCAATGTCTGTGTCTTAGGTAATGTCTTGGTTCAGCGAGCTCAGAGGACCTATGCCCTACATGTTCATCTGAACACTAAATTTTTAGAATAAACTAATTTGTTTTTATTATAAACCCAATTATTGATAAAACATTAGCTAGATTAAAATAATCCCCTAACCAAGGTGCTTCCAGTTTCCCTAGAGTCATACCGATGCAGCTTTATAGATACTAGTACCAACTTAACCCCGCTCATGTGATAAGTTTAAGACACTAAAGCCTTGAAAATATTTAGCAAGCACCAGTCTGTTTAACTGATTGTTATGTTATTAAGAAACTCTTCATGCAAATTTCTGCTCTTTCCAAAAGAAAATTCTACCTTTCCACGATGTAAGAAAATGAACAGTTTGAGCAATTTGTGATTGTGGTATCTCCCCTGCCAGGTAAGTATCAGTTTGAGCAATTTGAATTTATTTTCAGGGTTCTTTCATAGCCTTACTCATAAACTTTGTTCTCCCTGTAATTTCCAGAAGTCAGCAAACTACATAGAGTTAAGATAATTAATTTGGCTATTTCAGTCATTCTTACTGCTTAGGTCACCAACACTACCAGTTTTAAGAGTCAGTGTCTTTTTCTAATCTCTCTTCTCTGAAGTGGAATATGATTCCAGTGTTTTTCTAAATCTTTTGGGTTGGTACATGAACCATAGTTAGCTTAGGTTATACAAATACCAATTTAATTATGGCAGTCTTTCTTGTAACATCCTTATTTTATTTCTAGTCAGGAAATACGTAATATATTAATAGTTCTTTTCCTTGTCATATTTTCTTAGCATTGAATGAGTCAGTGCCTAGACACTAGTATTTCAAACGTTTCCAATATTACCAGAGACCCTCTTCCCCGACTATTACATGACAACCATGGCCATGAATAGATACTAACTGTATTTATGAGAACAGAATGTGATGTTGCAAGTCAACATGTATTTTATTGTGCAGTTATAATAGAAGTTAACTTATATTTTGCTAAGAAAAAGCAGTTTACTACTATCCTCTCAAAACAAAATTAGATAGATTTCTTATTTTAAAATGCCAATGATGAAGAGTATCAGTTTTTGTATTCAATTCTTCCTTCTATTTTGATATTTAGAATTGATTTGATTTTGCTAACTTAACCAGTAAAGGTTATATCTTGCAATAAATCTTTCAAAGTTCTACTAGAGCTAAATTGGTTAAGAAAAAATAAAACATTCTGCCTCTAACACAGCCTAATTTGACTTGTTGGATATTTGTGACAGCAAAGTTCAAAATCTTGCCAAGATTAAGACCTTGGAAAAACCAAAGAGTTCCAAAGATACACTGATCTTCCAGGCCTTCGGAATAACTTACTGTTACTTATACTCCATTCAAAGAATGACTATGAAAAATGGCCCCTTTCTAATTTTACTTCTAAATAATTTTATCATGGTCTCTCAGGGTCCCAGACTTGCCCATCTGCTCAATATTTTCAGAAAATTCAAATATTCTGCTTCTAAAGTCTAGAACATACCATGTTTAAAAGTTAAATATTACATACCTGTAGTTTCAGCTACTAGAGAGGCTGATGTAGGAGGATCCCTTGAGCTCAGGAGTTTGAATCTAGCCTAAGAAACATAGCAAGTTTCCATCTCTTAATAATAATAATAATAGAAACAAATATTAAAGAGATCCAGTCCACTTAAAAATCAGTGTTAATTTTGATAATTTATTTTAAATGATACCCAAGTTATTTAATAGTAAAATAAGGTAGAATTATTCTACCAGGGCCCAGCGCAGTAGCTCACGCCTGTAATACCAGCACTTTGGGAGGCCAAGGCAGGCGGATCATGAGGTCAGGAGATCGAGACCATCCTGGCTAACACGATGAAACCTCGTCTCTACTAAAAATACAAAAAAATTAGCTGGGCGTGGTGGCGGGTGCCTGTAGTCCAGCTACTCAGGAGGTTGAGGCAGGAGAATGGCGTGAACCCAGGAGGTGGAGCTTACAGTGAGCTGAGATCGTGCCACTGCACTCCAGCCTGGGCAACAGAGCGAGACTCTGTCTCAAAAAAAGAAAAAAAAGAATAATTCTACCAGTAGGCTTAATGTTTTAGATAGAAGATGCTAAGAAGCATATGTCAATAGTTTTAATTTTTGTATTGCATATTTTGATTTACATAGGGAAATTTGACCTCAATCAATCAGTGAATCTACCAGTTTCCACTGATTCAACATTTACCAAGTTCAGCCTATTATCCTTGTTATGAAATCATGCCAGTGTGGTCGCAAGCAATTAATTAGCTACAGTTATGAGCACTCTTAGTAGCATTAATAAATTCACTTCTACATGTATACTTCTAATGCATTTATAGGTGACATCATATAGTGGTTTTCTGGAGCAATGTATGTCTTTAAATTAGCATTATCTATAACAAATAATATTTTTAAGAAATCATTTTGGAAGGGCCGTTACAGATTTTAGTAAGTAATGTGTATTCTTTATTTCTTTATCTGTATGAGTTTTATATAAGTTTACAATTTTCCAGACTCAGACTTATGATATACTATCAAAATATTTCCAGGGATATAGAAAATTTATAATTTAGAAAGAAATAAAAAGATGTCATTTTACAAGTCTGGCATGTGATCCAGTAGCTAAGAGACTCAAGGCTTCAAGAAGAATTAGTTAAAATTAAATTAATTGAAGGTTTTATTTTAATGAGTACTCTGAGAAGATTGTTGTAAGAAATTAAAATTCAGTGCTTTTCAAAATGAGAAATGTCTTCAGGCAGAGTTTTCGTGTTTACCAGTTAAACTATAAGCAAATCACAGGAAATGAAATACTTTTTTTTCTATTACCTGCCACCAAATAAAAAACTTTCTTCAAGGTGCTTTCAAAATTAATGTCTTTTTTTACTTGTACAATTGTACTAATGGTATTTAAAATGTATAGTTTTTTTAAGCCTAAATTAATTTAAAATTCAGAATCGTTTCTTTGAAAAGCTAATAAGGTATACAGATATTGATGTGCCATTGTAATTCTACAAGAATACTAAGGCCCAGATGTATGTCTCTAACAAAAACTTAGAAAAGCACAGACACACAATAGTTAATGAAACAACAATTACGAATTGTAATCTTAAATAAAAATAAAAACATAATCATTATAAGTTATTTAAAAGCCCTGGAATATCTTTACTAAATTTAATATTTAAATATTAAAGTGGTATTACAATTTCAAAAAGAAATCCATAATAATGAATTTGAAATTATAAATACATACAAATAAATGGTGAAAATTATCAAACTCAAGCATATATGATTAGAATTGCTATCATAATTCTAACATTAACTGCGTAAATTTGCAGCTCCTTTTTGAATCTGAGCTTATTTTTTACAAATGGAATTAAAAAAAAAATAAGCAGGCACTAGATTCTTATTGCCCATTTGGAAGAAACAACAAATCATGAAGGAAATTAATTCTTTCTCAGTGTTTAAAAAGATTTCCAGAGACTTAATTCTGGGGTTCTGATACAGAGAAAGTATTTTAAAATACTTATTTAATGGCATATTTTGGTAGGAATGATAAATATAAGTTGGAACATGACATCAAAATAAGTTTTAGTATACACAATTTTTAGAAGAGAGCCATGCATAAAATCTAGAATAAAACTGAATTGTATGTCTTACAAACTGCCCTGCAAAAATATTATCTTTACCATAATTTTTTAAAAGACAAATTAAAATGTTTAAGGTTACATTATATTTTAAAGGCTCAACATCAAGTAATAAAAGTCATCTCTATATGTTACTGAGTATGCAGATAAAATGCTTGTCAAAATTTTTTGAAATTAAAAAACTTAAAACTTTCACATATGTTAATTATATTTTACACACAAACACACACACACATACACACGTATAAAATTTCACTCAGAAAGTTATGAGAGAGTTTATTATCAATAATCTAGTAAGTCCTTAAGTACTACAGGGAACATTTACTATTAGATGACTAAATATCATAATTTCCATTTGATATTTTAGTGTATACAAAAATGAAGACATTTAATTTGTCATAGCATTAATTTGAATAGAATTTCTTAAGGATTAGACCAGACTAACCTTTTCTAAAGAGTCTAGGTAAACAATTTCACCCATGAAAAATTAATATGCTAAGATAGCAAACATTTTTGATTCTAGCTCAGCATGCTACTTTACATTATCCTGGATGAAACGCATAATCCTCACTTTATGGTAATGTGTTAGGATTTAAAGATGATGGAGCATAAAGGAGGAAGATGCAAAGTCTAGGTAACTACCACAGTTTGAGCACTGAATATTTGCATACACACACATACTCATGTATGTATATACATATGCATATAGAAATGCATGTTTATTATGTGTACATACATGTTTATTAATTTTGCTGTTTTTTGCCTTTTATAGTCTTTTGTTGGATACCAAGAATGCATTTTTTTAATCATAAGGGGTGTCACACACTGTATTTCTCAATATTATCTTTAGCACTTACTTTGTCTCTTGCATATAGTAATCGTTTGACCTAACTTTGCTGAAAAAGTGACATCAACCTGTGAGAAAACTTATTATATGAGGGCTGAAGCAGTGTGTGTTACTTATCAGCATGCTGTCTTATCCCAGATTACATTTGGTAGATTTTTAAAGAAATAGCATTTTGTACTTCCAAGTTACAGATATGTCCTTCTTTCATTAAAGATTATTTTTCATTTTGAATATTTTATAAAAGTGTTAATATTTTGTGAGTCTGAGAGAGAGAGATGTGAAATGAAAAGCCATTGAGCTGGGCATGGTGGCTCAAGCCTGTAATCCCAGCACTTTGGAAGGCCAAGGCAGGTGGATCGTTTGAGGTCAGGAGTTCAAGACCAGCCTGACCAACATGTTGAAACCCTGTCTCTACTAAATACTAAATCCTAAGTACAAAAAAAAAAAAACAGCTGGGCGTGGTGGCGTATGCCTGTAATCCCAGCTACTCAGGAGGCTGAGGCAGGAAAATCGCTTGAACCAGGGAGGCAGAGGTTGCAGTGAGCCCAGATTGCACCATTGCATTCCAGCCTGGGCAACAGAATGAAACTCTGTCTCAAAAAAAAAAGAAAAGAAAGAAAAGAAAAAGCCATTTATTGTGACACATTTTACTTGCCTGTTATAATCATTTTGTAATTGAGCAATTTTATCAAAATTAAATATCAAATTTTTATGTATGACAATTGACATTATAAACTAAATTAAAAGACAAATGATAAACCAGCACACAATATTTGGCAAGTAAAGGGCAAAAGGTTATATTTTCTTATATATGAAGAAAACATAAGATATAACTTTAAAAAACACACAAGTAATCCACAGAAGAGAAAATGAAAATGAACACTCATTCATTCATCCAATTAACCAGAAATTCTCAAATACTTACTCTGTAACAGATACCATTCTAGATGCTGTGAGATCAGTGACTTGAATTAAAAAAAAAAAAGAAGCTCTTAGATTTATACAATATTTATAGTCTAGTGGGGAAAGGTTGGGAAGCAGACAATAAATAAATAAACAATTGAATGTATTGTGATTTCGATGTTAAGTGTCTTGAAGTAAAATTAAGTAGGATGATAGGGATAGAGTAGGTCGAGTTGGAGAATGTTGTTATTTTACAGAGAGGGATCATAGAAAGCCCTATTTATAATAAGGTGATATTAATCTGAGGACTGAAACAGGAAGGGAATGAAACATATGGGTGTCCTTCAGAAAGCAGAAGGGATAAGATGTGGAAAGGCCCCAAGGTATGATCACGATTGTTTGTCCAATGTGAGGAGGAGACTGATTATGGAGAGTGGAATTCTGGGTGATGTCACAGAGCTAGCTGGGCTCAGATCTTGTAGTCTTTTGCACACCACTGAAAGGCTTTGGTGTTGACCTTAGTGAGGTGAAAAGCCATTGGAGGGTTTTGCACAGTTGGCATCCAGTTGGCATTAAAGACATAAAGTTACTTGAATAACCCGAAAATGAGGGTATAGCATAGCAAAGAGGTCTGAGGTCTGGGGCACTCCAACTTTTAGAAGTCAGAGGGTGAAGTTCCTACCAAAGGAGACTAAGAAAGAGAAGGAATGATGTGAGAGAAACAGCAAAAGACACAGATATGCCAAAATACAACCAAGAAAAGTGCTTCAGGGAGGAAATAGTTGAAATGTTTCCAAATATTTTGATGGTTCAACTAAGAAGTCTGCAAATAGAGAATGTAATGTGGCAAGGTAGAAGTGGAGTGGGTGGCTTTCCCAAGAACCGTTTGAATGGAGTGTGAAAATAAGACCCTTAAAATGAGGTGGTATGTGTGTAGAGGTTGAAGAGCATGTAGAAGAGGAATCAGAATGGCTGAATAGTGGTTTGGGGGCAGTGTGGTTTGTTCTAAAGGGAAGCAGAGGAATGAGGAGATAGTGAAGGGAAATGTGGCTTCAAAGGAAGGATCTTTTTAAGAAAGAAACAATCACTGCTGTTTGTATTTAAATGTTTCCATAGCTCCAATAATTATCAAAGAGAAAGAGAGAAAAAATGGTGATACAAGAAATAGAAGAGACAATTGTTGGATCAATATTCTTAAGAGGGCATTAAGGGATGGGAGCTAATGTACAAGTAGAAGTTTGCTTTATGTAATAACAAAGGCAGTTCATCCACAGTGTATGCTTAGGGGTCCCTAGAGAGAAAAAAAAATGGGCTGATTCAAAATACAAACAGTTAAGGAGGGTTTCTTTATATGAGTGAAAGTATAGGGAAATGATATTTTTTAAATGCCTAAGCTGTTACCAATCCTGAAGCCAAAGTGACAAAAAGAAGAAGGGGAAGACAGGGAATGCTGTCAAGACAGCTGCCTAACAGAGAGGTGATCTATCCATCAATAGGTAAATCATAGTGAAGACACACATGGGTTATTTTGATGCTTTATAAGCTGATGACTTTGCTCTATATAGTTTTCTCAACCTTGTCTATGCATTAGAATCACCAGGTACAGGGGGGTGGAAACTCTAAAATCATTCACTCCTTGGATACTGCAATAAGAGATTCTGATTTAAGTTATCTGGGTCTTGCCTGGACATAGAATATGTATTTCCAAACGTTCACAACATTTAGTTTGTAAACATCTAAAAATGTTTTGACCTGGAATCATCTGTAATATTTTATTCAAAACACAAGTTGTATATTAACTAATGGGTATGGTTTGATTTAATATTTGTAAGCTATGGGAAAATATGTGTAATATCTATGTATATCTGTATCACATTTATATGTGATACATAGGTTTATACGGATGGAATGGTGATAAATGGTAAAAGCAAAGAGTTTTGGATTTCATCCTATTTTTTAGTCACTAAAATTAATGTACTATTTTGTAGGCTGAAAGAAAATCTTTAATAACATATAAATTAGGTATATCAGATTAAATTAGAAAGGAAATGAAACGATTGGCCTATAAAACCATCATTGTTTGCTGTCTTTTTTTTTGACTCTTTTTTGGAAAATATGGAATAGCTTATTCAATAGCTGTCAACCTGTTCAATAGTGTAACAAATCATTTCATAATCGTTGACCTTTCTTCATCTTAAGTGCAATTATTTATTTATTTATTTTATTATACTTTAAGTTCTGGGATACACGTGCAGAACATGCAGGTTTGTTACATAGGTATACATATGCCATGGTGGTTTGCTGCACCCATCAACCCGTCATCTACATTAGGTATTTCTGCTAATGCTATCCCTCCCCTATCTCCTCCCCACCTCCCCCGCGCCACCCCCGCTGACAGGCCCCAGTGTGTGATGTTCCCCTCCCTGTGTCTATGTGTTCTCATTGTTCAACTCCCACTTATGAGTGAGAGCATAAGGTGTTTGGTTTCCTGTTCCTGTGTTATTTTGTTTTTCCTTCGCATTACTATTTATACTTTTAGCAGTATTCATTTTGCTTTTTGATTTTTTAAAATTAAGATAGGATCTCGCTGATGCCCTGGATACTGCCACAAGGGATTCGCGTGGGCTGGAGTGCAGTAGCACCATCACAGCTCACTGCAGCTGCAGGATCACAGTTCATTGCCCCTTCAACTTCCTGGCCTCAAGCCATCCTTCTGCCTTGGCCTCCTGAGTAGCTTGGACTACTGGTGCTAGCCACCATGCCCAGGTAATCTTTTCTTAAAAAAAGTTTGTAGTAGAGATGAGGTCTCACTATGTTGTCCAGGCTGGTCTAGGACTCTTGGGCTCAAGCGATCCCCTGGCCTCGGCCTCCCAAAATGCTGGAATTACAGGCCTGAAACACTGCGCCTTGCTCCTTTTGCTTGTTTTAAATAAAAATTACTTTAGCCTTGCAGCCTACATTTGATTCAGCTTCTCATTTTATTTCTACTTGGTATTTCAATCTCATGTTTAATATTTTTTTCAAAGTACATTTCATCAAGTTTTATTGAATTTTAATAAAATAGAAATTAGATTAATTGCATAATCTTATTCTGGTTTTAGTTATTACATATTTTTCTCTCCAACGAGTATTACTTTCCTTATTTTGTGTATTGCAAGTTTGTACAGCTACATTTTGTGAATGTGAATGTGCTTATATTTGCGAATGTGTTTGGTTACTTATATTTGAGTCCTAGCTAATAGCGTCCTCAAAATTGTGTGAATTCACCTTGTTGCTGCTCACTATCCAACTTCTTGTTTCTATGTGTCTCTTCTGAGAACTTAAACCAAAGATCAGCTTGTGAAACATTTCTACTTCTAGCTCAGCAATTACTAACCTATGAAGAATTCCACAACTATGGTGATCCCAGCATACAAAGTTCCTTTATGCCATTTCTTACTGATAACTGGTGTAGTTGGCCTGTGAAGGACCAACTTTCTGAGATGATTTTGTTTGGTCCAGTTTCCATGTCAATGTCATAGTATGTACTGATCTCCTTGCTACAGCTGATCTCTTTGATTTTTTTTTTCTTATTTTAGCCATTGCCTTTATACTAGCATTTATACTTTACAAATTGAACACATGCAAGTGCTGCTAACCGCCTATGATAAAATTAAGTGGAAGTCCTGAAGGTACAGGGTGTCAGACAGGGTTTTTTGACTATGTTTTCTATCATTTTTAATGCTTTTCGCTATTTTGTTGCTGTATCCTTAATTTGCCTATTTTGAGTCTTCTACTGACAATGGTAATTGTAAGAATCCCACACTCATTGCTTCAAACTGAAGGTCGAGATCTACAAGATCTTTTACACTTAATTCCTATCAAGGACAAGCTCTTATCACCTAACAACTACCTACTTACTTAGCTGTTGTAAAACACCTCTTACACACAAGTGCCATTGCTTTAAACTTCTACTCATTAGTGGTATAAAACAAAATCAATGTGGTTTCTTTAATCCTTACTTCCACCTCCAATCTTCACTCCTGAAAAAAATCTGGGATTCCCCAAAGGTCCTTATTGATCCCATGTTTCAGAAAGGAATAGAAGTTAATAAGTTAGACCCATTAACTTCTTCATTCTGGTTCAATGACAATGTATTTTCCATTATTTCCTTGAGGATTATTTATAATACAATTCCCTATTTTCCGAGAATTCCAAATTTGTTCAGAATTTTCTTCCGGTAGCTATTTTAATAAAACTCTGAGCTTAGAAACTGAGACAAACACTGTACTTATTTTATCATATAACTTGGAAATCTGGAGTTATTGTTACAAAATTAGGTGGTTATTTTAAAATTCAAAATATGTGTTGTATTTTGAGACACCATTGAGGCTTAAATCTGGGCTATATTCTTCGTTGAACATCTGCATTAGGTTGTTTATAACTGCTTGCTCTTTTCATAATTTGATTGCATATGAATTAACAACTCTATTCAGGTCACAACCAGATGTAAATAGTTTTATTTTGATTTAATCACACATCCTAAAATTGTGAAAGCGATTTAGACTTCCTTTTCATAATCAATACAACTTCCTCCTAATGCTGATATCAGCCAAGAAGTCTTGTCTATTTTAATACAATCATGTGAGATTGACTAATGGTAGGTTAATCCTGCCACCACAATTTGAGTCACTATGCGTAAGAAGCATTTTCTCATTCAGCCAGTGGACCAATACAGTTTTTATGGTTGGCAGATGACATTCAAGGTAATGTATTTAAGGACAAGGGCCACTTCCAGCTTGCAGTTTTACCATCCCTTGTGTCCACTTTTCCATTTGATTCTAACAGCAGGAAGAGTAAAGAGAATGTGGAAGGGGCACATTTACTTCTTAAAAGGCTTGGCCCAAAAAGTGAATATTGCAACAGCTCTGCTCAGATTCTACTGGTGAGAACAACTTTCTGGGATATGAATGGTCTTCCCTGGTTACAAAGCAAAGTGAAAATCAAAGCAAAATAATAATTCCTCTTTATATAAGTTATTAGATAATGGATGACAATAATAGCTTGAATTGTTTCTTTTTAGGAGGATGAAATTTAACCACATCAAAGAAACCTACAGCTCTGATACTCTCAGAAAAAATAAGACTCAACACAAAGAGAGTAAAAAGAGTTATTCTGTCAACGAAGGGTCTTGACCGAATAATGTATACATCAGATCTTTTCATCTTGCACTTCTTGGACACTGTGATTCAAAAGGGAGATTATTTGTGTCAGTAAAGAAGTATCCATAATGATAAAACACAAGTACTTCAAAGAACAACCTGTGCTTCTCAAAAGGAAAATAGTTTGGATCCATTTACTTTTCTCCTCTACTTCACATTCTAAATGACTGAGAAAATGTCTTCTCGTTTTCAATACAACCCATGGGAAATCATACTCAAATAAGTAGTAACTGAATGAACTAATCTGGAAAAGTGGTCCTCAATTTGTTTCTGTAATATCAGCTATCACAATACTGCCTTGATATTTCATACAATTCTGCAGAGTATAAAAAAGCAAAAGCCTCTAAAAGTTGGTACTAGAATGTACTACACGCTCAATATAGACCACAAAATGGATCAGACATGAAGCTTAGTATTGTCTGTGTGCACAGTGTTTAAATATTCCCTTGTTTTAAAAGTGCCAGTGTTTGTTAAGTAACTTAAAATATTTGCCACATGTAGCTTATTTTTTTTACTTTTTATTATATTTTTGTCATAGGTAAAAAAGTGAAAAGATTTATGACAGTCATTTTTTTAAAACTAAGTTAAGCTATATAAATTGTTGTGAAATAAAATACATTTTAATTATATACAATAAAGATCCTAATTTTAATTTGCAAGTATTTTCAAGATTACAAGTAACGTTATCAATTGTTTTACTTATAACAATATTCCTAGGGTGTCTACATTTAATAATTCTAAGTTTTTAAAACAATTTTAAACTATTTCATTTAACAGACAATACAAACTAACTAAGATAAATTGAGAAATATAAATATCCCTCACCTGTGTTTTTAAAATTAGAGACAACTTTTGTATCATTCCAGATATAATTTATACCTATATAAATGTGTTTATTTTAAATGTGCCATTTAAAAGAACTGGTTTATGCTTTGAAATGGCTGCATAATATTCTACTCTACCTAGATACCATTAAATATTGAATCAGCTCTCTATTGTGTGTTTTTTGCTGTTGTTACTGACAGATTTTGTAATTACAATGCAGATTAAAAACTTGTTTTAAAAAATGTGATTTTGCTCATAGACATATGTCTTTAGAATACATTCGTCATAGTACAATTGCTGAGACAAAGAGTTTACGCATTTGGAAATTTTATAAATATTATCACATTGCTTTCTATCAATATCATCTCACAAGTATAATGACAAGTGAAAGATACTAGGTATGAACATTTATGTAGTATTCAAAAGCAGATAAGTTTATTACCCTGTCAGAAGATAGCAAAATGATTAACTTTATGAAGGTTTCAAGCACTTAGTTTGAGGGAAGGCAGGATAGGCAGTTTCATGAGAAAGGTATGTCCCATCTCTTGATCAGGGTGAAGTTTAAATGGAGTTGTTTCCTTGATGATGCATCAAAGTCACCACTTGAAATTTGATTACTTTTTAATATATGCTATACTTCAAAATGTTTATTAACATGCAAATCATATAATGAATTCCATTAATTTAGTGAGAGAAATTTTTTTTATATGCTTCGAAGTCATTTGTTTTGTTGTTTGCGTTTACTCAGAACAGTGTGTCAATCTCCTTGACTGATATTTCTATTGTTTCTAGCAGGTCATTTAATAGTTTATAATGTTTATATTTTCAAAGTTTATTGGGGTGTAATTTATTTATAATACTGTACATATTTAAAGTTCAAAATAAGTTAAGCCTTAACATGTATATACAGCCATGAACACATAACCATAAAGTAGGTCCTAAATATATTCACCACTCACAAATGTTTCCTTGTGAACCTTTGTCATTCCACCCGCCCTTACTTCTTCCGCATAATCTCCATCTATAGCAACTACCAATCTATTTTCTGTTATTATAAATTAATGTGCATTTTCTGGAATTTTATATAAATGGAATCATATCATATGTACTTTGTTTTGTCTTGTTTTTTCAGTAAAATTATTTTGAGATTCATACATGTTGTTACATGTATCAATAGTTCATTACTTTTTATTGTTGAGTAGTATTTCATCATATGGATATGCCACAATGTGTTCACACCTTAACATAAATTTGTCAATGTAGTTTCCAGTCATTGGTTATTAAATATAAAGTTTCTTGAAAACTGATCTATAAGTATTGATATGGAATGTGATTTCTTTTCTCTTGGGTAAATTCCTGGAAGAAAATTGGTTCTATCAAATGGTGTTTGCATGTTTAACAGTTATAGCCAAACCATTTTCCAAAGTGGTTGTAATATTTTACATTCCTCACAGCAGTGTATGAGAAATCAAATTGTTCCAAAAGTTTGCTAAGACTTGTACATTTAGATGTATCACCAATTTTGGGTAAATTTTTGTACTAATTGTGAGTTGCAATTGAGGTTCACTTTTTTATATGGATACTCCTTTTTTTACACAATACATGTTGAAAGCATCACCTTGTATTAATTGAACTGCCTTTGCATCTTATTAAAATCAGTTTCAATATATGTGAGGTTCTATTTCTGAACTCTATTCTCTGTTACATTGATTTATGTGAACACTTTTTCACTGAAGCCACACTATTTTGAGAACTGTAGTCTTGAAATTGAGTATTGGTAATCCTCTAAATGTGTTTGTTTTTATAAAAATTGTTTTGGCTATTTAGATCACTTTGCCATTCAAATAAAATTTAAAATCTGCTTGTTGATAGCTACAGAAAAGTTACTGGCATTTTAACTAGGAATACATTAAACTTATAGATAAGATTGAGGAGAATTGCCATTTTATTCTTCCAATTAATGGCTATATTACATGATTCCATTTATTTAGAACTTTTGAATTTATTTCATCATTGCTTTGTATTTTTCCATGTATATTGAGTTAGAATTATACCTAAGAATCTCAGTTTTGGTGCCATTATGAATAATATTGTTTTTTAAAATTTCATATCTCAATTGTTTAATTTTGGTATATAGGCATATGATTGACTTGCATATTAATGTTATATAATAAAAAAGCTAACAGTTCTAGATTTTATATAGATTATTAGTTTTCTAAGTAAGAAATCATGTCATCTAGAGAGAGAAAGAGTTGCATAACTTCTGCTCCAATCTGTATGTCTTTTATTCCTTTTTCTTATATTATTGTACTGGTTAGATTTCCAGTAAAATGTACAATAACAGTGGTAAGAGTGGACATCATTTCATTGTATTATTCTCAACCTTAAGGAAAAGATATTCAGTCAGTAAACATTAAACACAATGTTAGCTATAGATGGTATTCATTTTGTTCTATTTAGATGTTCTTTTTCAAGTTAAGGCATTTATATCCCTAGATTGCTGATGGATTATTTTCTTTTCCCTTTTTCTAATTATCATGAATGGATGTTAAATTTTGTCAAAGTTTTTTTAAAATCACCTATTGAGATGATCATAAAGCTTCTATTCTCTAGTCTGTTAATATGGTGAATTACATTGTTCGGTTTTTGAAAGTTGCAAAATTCCTCCATTCCTGAAATGAACTCCACTTGGTTGCAATGTGTCCTCATTTTTATATGTATTGGATGTTCTTTAATAATACTTTCCTAAGAGCTGTTGCAGGATATTTGGTAGAATTCTCCAGTGAAAATATAAGGGTTCTCTTTTTTGGAATCTTTTGCATAGAACTCTAATTTATTAAATAGATATACGACTAGCCTTATCATCTATATCTTCTTGAATGCATTTTGATAGTATCTTTCAAGGAATCATTTGTTTATTTGTTGTAACTTGTAAACTTTATGGGCAAGAGTCCTGTGTCATAGTCCCTTATTACCGTTGAATGTTTCTGGGATCAGTAGTAATATTTCCTCTTTCATTCCTAGTATTGGCAATTTTTGAGTTAACTTAAAAATATTTTCTCAATGAATTAGCTTTTGATTTGATAAACTTTCTCTATTTTTTCAATATTATTGATTTCTGCTCTAATTATTATTTCTTTACTTCTACATCCTTTGTTTCTCCCTTGCTGCTTTTTCTTCTTTTTTCTTTCTGTTGCCCACGCTGGAGTGCAGTGGTGTGATCACGGCTCACTGTAGCCTCAACATCTCAGGGCTCAAGTGATACTCCAACCTCAGCCTCCTAAGTAGCTGGGACTATAGACATGCACCACCAAGCCGGACTAATTTTTGTATTTTTTTGTAGAGACGTGTTTCCCCATGTTGCCCAACTAGCCTAGAACTCCTGGGCTCAAATGATACGCCCATCTCATCCTCCCAAAGTGCTGGGACTACAGGCACGGGTCACTGTGCCTGGTATTATTTTTTTGCTTTATATAATAAAACTTTAAGTTATGATATTGAGACTTATTTCTTTTTTGATATAAATATTAAAACCTGCAAATGTCCTTGTAAGCTGTGCTTTACTTATAGCTTATAAATTTTAGTATATTTTAAATTTTATTAATTTTAAAATACGACTTTCAATTTTTCTTAAAACTTTACTGTTGACCTATGGGTTATTTAGATGTATATTGTATCATATCCAAATATATTTTGGAATTTTTCTTATGTCTCTAGTTATTAATTTCAGATTTAACTTTGCTATATGATCCAATAACATACTCTGTATGGTTTCTATTCTTTTAAATTTCTTAAGCTTTCCATACGGGCTTGGTTATACTTTATCTTCATGTTTACTTGAAAGAAATGTACGTTTGTGGAGAGTACCATAAATGTCACTTAAGTCAATTAAGGGCATTATCTTTGATTCCATTTATATGCAGATCAAATGAGAGCAATTGAATATGTTATGAAAAATATTAGTTTGAGAATGATCTATAAGGGATGGGAATTTACCGGAAGGCACCATGAGGAAATTTTTGTGGGTGATGAAATGTTCTGTATTATAAATTGGATGTTTTTTACATGGGTCTATATATTTTCTGAACTTATCAAATTTTACAGTTAAGAGCTGTACATTTTACTATTTCACAAATTTTGGCCAATTTTTTTTTTAATTAAAAGAGACAAGGGCAGGAATTTTCTCAGACCACTTAAGGGGAATATATAGTCTGCATAATTTTGGAAAGAATAGTGACTATTTTTAACCTCTGTGTACTTCTATATCTGTGGTAACATAAATCTAATGATTAATAAATTTCAATGTGACACTCTTCAGTTATGAAACCAAAAGTACAAATTTCCAATTTCAAGTTGACAATCTTCTTCTGTAAAAATTTGATTACCAGAAACATATTGTAGCATTGTCAAAACTCTATCATTTCAATAGAGTTTCAATTGAATTATCAATATCCTCCTTGCCACCATTAGATTATCAGAACCCAATAACTTAACTATACTAAATTAAAAGATATTCTATCATCATTTTTACCCTCAGAGATTTATTGATTTGTTTTCTTTCTGATTTTACACTGTGCCTACATATGATGAAATAGCAAGACAAATAAATAGGAATTACATGGTACTATTTATCCATCTCTATAGCTTGTACTCTATCATAAAAATGCATCTAGTTTACCCTTAATAACTTCCAACATTCAAAACTAAAATGTTATCTAATGTTACATTGTTTAGAGACTAATATTTATTAGGCATCTGCTATTTTGCTAACACTATCATAAGTACTTTTTGATTTCTCTAACTTTATCTTCACAACTTTATAAGAAGTTGCTATTATTCCATATTATAGATCATACAATTGTAACTCAGGCTTAACTCCTTTAGCCTTATGTATTAGATAATTTGAGGAACTGCTGTTCAAAGCTAATTTGGTAAGACAACATTGTCCATGTTTTTATTACACTGAAGTGCTATAAAATATTCCCCTTTTCATCTTTTTGCCAGTACATATTAGTAGTATTTTTAATATCTACATCTATCTAATAAACAAAGATGATTTCTTAATAACCATGTCTCCTTTAACAGCAACCTTCTTCACTCTTATATATATCTAAATACACATTTACATATATTACATTTTAAATAGTTCATTAGTACATAAAATACTCTTATGATTACTTGGCTAGATTTTATATTGCAGAAAGTCATGGTTTCATTGAGTGCATAATGACTTTCAAGTTATAATTTAAGGACTCCATAGATTCAGTGTTGCAGTTTAAAATTGCTTTCCTTCAAAGTAAATAGCCCCAGATCTTCAAATAATTCTATTAAGAGGATATCACAAGGCTACTTTTAAAAAGACCTCAAATGTTGTATTAATGTTTCAAACATAGTTAATGTGAATCCACAAAAATATGTAATTATTCACATTAACAAAATCCAAAAGCCACAAGTCCTGGGTAAATTTATCTGCTGTGTGTGTCTTCACTCTCATTATAAATTAAATTAATTTCTACTTGTTTTTCTGGGATGATATTTTAATTTTTTAGGATATAGCCATTTAACACATACAAGGTAAGTTCGTATACCAACTAAATACCGCAATCAATAAACTTTTGTTTTCATGTTTTATTTGATTTTTTGAAACAAGTAAATAGGTTTAATCTATCAACATATGAAATTTACTAAAAACTAAACAAATTAATTATTTCAATGTCTGACACAAAGTTTGTTATAATATTGGAAAGTTGGTTTAACCACTATATTCGAAAGTAACCTTAAATCATATACAACTGAAAATTTTAAGGACATGCCAGTTTTACTTTTTATTGTTTACTGAGCTGAGCACATGGTAAATACTTACCATTTGTTGAATTTATCACATTTCTTGTATTCAGAACATCACTTTCAAAGGCCTAAGCCATGCTCATTTGTTTAGCAGACTTAATTGTTTTATTGAGTTATTATTTATTTAAAAATTGTTTTTAAAGTACTTCACTCACCAAAATCACATTTTATTTCAAAAAAATTTTGAAGTTAAAAATGTGGCTGGTAAAATACTTCTATAGCATGTTCAACAAGTTGTCTTTATTTCCAGGCATTATTTTTAATAGCAAGGATCTCATATATTTGATAGAATTATGACATTTAATGACTTCTGAAGACTTTGCATCTAAGAATTGAAAGCACTCAATACCTGGAAAAGACAACTGACAAAAAGCTGGGTTAACTTGCTTGCTGCAAACAAAAAGAGTTTATAGTTCTCTGCACAAACAATATCTGCCTTGATAATCCACCAATATGTGGTGGCTCAAGACTAAATTTCATAAGATCCACTTTATTGTAAGTACTTAAAATGTTAGGCAAAGACCATTACATGTTAGGACCAAATTATGTAAAGTACAGTGGGAAGAAATACAATATTCGTGATGTCTTTGTCTACTTGTTTCTATGGTAAAATAGCCTCTAATGCATTTTTCCACTCTTCAGTTACTAAATTAAATATGCTCAGAGTAATAATTGTTTACATAGTGATAACAGAACATTAAGTATAATATATGGTAGCTATATCCTTAAAAAGTGTACATAACCTCAACAAATTAAATATGAATCAATTTTGTAAAATATGACCCTAAGTCTGTAGTTTTGATGTTTAATATGGGATAGTTTTCACTCACTGCAGGAATTATTCTTCTTTAAAAATACTTTTAAGCAGCAATTTCAGTTTTTGGGTGTAAATTGTTAATTTTGATCTGATTTTAGTTTTTCAAACCATACCTTAAGATTTAAATGATTTTGATATTTTATAGAATTTATGTGAATGAGATGTAGTACTCACTTTTGTATAAAATAAATGTATGTAAAATTGAAAAAATGTTAATAAACTAATTACATAAGTCAGTAAATAGTAACAATTTACAATAAGCAAATATGGTAAGTGCAAGTCAACCATACAACCAATAGCCTCAATAATATTTGCAGCATTGAGAAATCATACCCATTTCTCAGAATACATTAACATGGAATTGTGAAGTTAAATTAGATCTGGCAGTAATAAGAGAGGAGGTAAGGTCTACAAGTGGTGATGGTTGTGTTTTGTGTGTGTGTGTGTGTGTGTGTGTGTGTGTGCTAGGAGCAAGGATAAATATGAAGGGAGTGGGCAATAGTTGCCTTTACTATACACAAAATATGGAAGATAAGTAATGTTTTGTCTAATAGGCTGGCAGAGCTAGTTTTTCTTGAATTCAGTCTAATTTTTATTATGAATTTCTTTTTTATTTACTTGGAAAGTTTTCTTCCTTCCAACATAGGGATATAATTTCTTTCTTTACATTCTTGCTCCCTTCCCACACATCTTCAGGATATAGATTATTCTTAGGCCCTTTATAAATAGATTTAATCAACAAGGTAAACATTCACACAGCAATTATTGCAAATTAACCAGTTTGATGTTAATCATTTCTATTTGTGTTTTTCAAACTTGATTTCTTATGTCTTTAAAAGAGATAACTTTACTATCCTCATAAGATGCCAACTTTTTGAGTCATCAACATCGTTAAAAATAAAGGGGATCACCTTGAGCTTCAAAAATGCAAATCAACTGGAAAAACACCAGCTGGCCTTAATCTTTCAATATTGCAGTTTAGTCTGCCTCATGTCAGCAGGCTAGCAGGTATTCTTTTTATAGAAACAGAAACTTAGCAGATGTAGCTGCTGTTTCTTCCTTGTCAAAAGCGTATTTCTCCCTTCCCCAGCTGTATCCAACCCCCACCCCACACACACACCTACTCTCTCTCTCTCTTTCCAGTTGCACCTAAATATACATTTGAAAAATAGTATCAGGGCATTAGATTGAAGGCCTTTTAATTAATTTTCTACTTTAATAATGTAAAAGGTGAAATGTGCTTTGCAGTTTTTTTCCAATGAATTATTAATAGCAAAAAGTAAAATAAAATATAAATAAACATGCCACAATCATTAGTAATATACTCTTTTTTAAAAGATGTGAATGCCAGAGATGGTCATGAAAGTTAACCTGAGGTTATGCTCTAGTTTAAAAATATTCAACTGTAGTTCACTCTCAGAATGTTCTGATTCAGTCTCCCTCTCCATTTTTTGTGCCCTTATTTTTACAGCAGATAATAAGTCACTGTCTTCTTTTCTATGTTACTGCGTCCCAAAAAAGATGAAGAGGTAATATATGCAACCCAAAATAACCATTCCTTTTAATAAGTAAAGGTTAAAACTATTTATACGGTGACTCATATAGACATCAAGTGCTGCAAATGTATCAGGCATCTGATGGCGTCCACATACAGTCAAGGTGGGTTACATGGAATTTATGTACCTGCACCTAAATTCAGGAAATAAACCTACTCTATTATTTTTCCCCATGAAATGGGACACCATATGAAACTAAACGTTGAAGAAAAATGAAACATGAAACATAACCTATTTCTATGAAGTAGTTACAACTACTTCAATTTTCTATTTATCCAGCTATTTCTCTTTCCTTGGTTTATACACTATTCTATATCATCAGAGGTTATAAACCAGATAATAGATAGCTACACAGTTTCTTTCTCTCCACCATTGATCTACAGTTGCCCCTTTATACACTAATAAATTGCATGAACTATTTTTGACTGTTAGTTCCCTAAATTTTTTGTGTAAAGAATAATGGTAGATGCTTTTTGGCAATGAAGATCTCTCACTATGATTTGTACCAGCTCTGGGATGATGTGAAAATATTAATTTATATAAATAAGCTGCTATTGTATGCCTAACTACTGTTCTGAGTATAGCAAATACTACTAGGAGTGCAGGCCAGCTGCCATGGGGTTTCTTCGTTTTGCCACACTCAATTCCTTTTCATGTATCTACTCAATATAAAAGAATTAAACGTGTTCACAAGTCTTTAAATGCAAGGGAAAAAAAACTGTGAAATCTGATTCATTGTCTATTTACATCCTACATTTGTGGAGATGTTGAGAGTAGTTTTATATCAAAGAGAGGAAAATAAGAAATAAAAAATATCCACAGTAAATATTACATAACATGCTGTATAGAAGTAGACCACAAAGAAACATGACATAGTTAAAATACTAGTTGCTCTATATTTATTACATTTTTAAATGTACTGCAATGCTGTTATATTATTTATAAAGTTTAATTATAAAATATACCAAAAAGAAAAATTAATTCAAAACAAAAAATTCATACTGTTTCTATGATTAATGTATATTAACATCTTACTATACATGTTTCAGATATATTTTTAGGAGCTAAAACATACAGCTGTAACTATAATCCTTCAATTTTTTTCTCTAAACTTTTATTTCCAGATTAAGTTTACACTTGAAGTAACTGTTAATTATTCTGTTAATTTTTGAAGCTTTCCAACATGCATATGTAGTCACAGGTGTATATAAATATCATTGCATAATTCACTATTTCACAGATAACATAATAATAAACATGTCTTTTTGCAGCTCAATTTTCACCTAAATATTTTGATATTAGGTGAAAATTGCTGTCTTTACACGTAGCTTTATTTTGGTAATTCTAAGTGCTTTGTATTACTATTCCAGTGTATAAATAAACCACAGTTTAGTTATTTCCTGCAAATCGATCATTAATTTGATTATTTCCTTTTAAATTGCAAACAATACCACAAGAAATATTTTCTATACGTTTTCTTGCCTACATGTACAGGAATTATAGAAATATGTATATTTGGTGAACTCCGTGTCACAGAATATATACATTTTCAAATTAGTTATGACCAAATTTTCTCCAAATGTTTGTACCATGTTATACTCCCAACAGAAATGTATGAATCAATTTTTCTCAAATCCTCTACCCCTCGTGCTATACAATTTTATTAACGTTATTTTTGCTAATCTATTTTGGTGACCAGCCATGTCTCATTTTGTTTTAATTCTATTTCTCTGATTGCTAGGGATTTTGAGTACATTTTCATGTTTACTAGCCTTCAAATATCTTTTCCCATATATTTTCTGTTCATATCATTTGCTTGGTGTTCTAACAAATACTTATTTTTCATTTTTGCTCCATAGAAGTTCTTTAATACTCAAAATACCTTACATATCTTGTTAAGAGTTGCATATAATTTGTCTCCCACTGCGGCTTTTCTTTTCACTTTGTATATATTTTTACATAAAGAAGTTTTTCATCAAATTTTCATTTAATTAAGTGTATCAATCTAGTCCTTCATGGTATGACATTTTGAGACTTGAGTATGTAATCTTTCCTACCTTGATATCATAGATAACTCGCTTATGACCAACATGACACATGTATACATATGTAACCAACCTGCATGTTGTGCACACGCACCCTAGAACTTAAAGTAAAAAAATAACAATAATAAATAAATAAATAAATAAATCCTTCTCAAAGTTAGTTTTTTTAATTTTAAATATTCAATTTATATGTATTATATTTACGTACATAACATGAAGTAAACATCTAGAATTTATCTTTCAGTAACAATAGTAAATATACCAGCAGCACATTTTGAATGGGCCATTTTCCCCTACTAACCCATAATGTCCCATATTAAATTTATGTATCTGTTCCTAACTTCATTTTCTAATATTGATGTATGTATGCATATATGTATTAGTACCAACTGTTTAAATAATTAAGGTTTTTGGATATTCTTGGTTCTACATTGGTCCTTGTACATTTCAGGCTTTGTTTGTCATTTCTATAGATCATTAATTTTAATAAAATAAAAAATTATGTATAATTTTATAAATATATACATGTAGTGTATACATTTATCTAATATTTATTGTGATTACTTTCCAAATTGATTCATTTTTATAAAAAACATTTTAGTTATTTGTATACTGTCCAATGGATATGCAAAAATTTATTTAGCGAAATTATTATTTGGAATTTATGGATTATTTCTGCTTTATATTATAATTAACTTTCTTGAATAATTATGTATATATACATATATAATATATACATAATATATAATTTTATATGTATATTATGCCAAAAATGAAGTAAATAATTATAATTTTTTTTTTGAGACAAGGTCTTGCTCTGTCACCCAGACTGGAGGACAGGTGCATGGTCTCGGCTCACTACAAACTCCGCCTCCTGGGTCCAAGTGATCTCCCGCCTTAGCCCCCCAAGTAACTGGGATTACAGGCATGCCACCACGTCCAGCTAATTTTTGTGTTTTTAGTAGAGATGGAGTTTCACTATGTTGGCCAGGCTGGTCTCGAACTCCTGATCTCACTCAAGTGATCCACCTGCCTTGGCCTCCCAAAGTTCTAGGACTGCAGGCATGAGCCACCATGCCTGGCATATATATATGTGTGTATGTGTGTGTGTGTGTGTGTGTGTGTGTATACACACACACCTGGCATATACATATGTGTGTATATATATATTTTATATATATAAAAATATATTTATATATTTATATATATAAAAATATATTTATATATATATATAAATATATTTATATATTTTATATATATTTATATATATAAATATATTTATATATTTATATATATAAAAATATATTTATATATTTATATATTTATTTAGAGATGAGATTTAACTATGTTGCCCGACTGGTTTTGGACTCTTGGGGTCAAGTGATCCACTCGTCTTAGCCTCCCAAAATGCTGGGATTACAGGCGTACACCACCACACCTATATATCTTTATATGTAATTAGTTATCTAATATAGAATCTCCAAGTGAGAATATTAAGGCAAATGATACAGATATTTTGATATATTTTGATATATTATAAAACTGTTTTCTAAAGACTCTTTTTATTTGTAATGCTACCCATAAGGTATGGCAGTACTAGATAAAATATGTCTGTTTTAACACTGAATATTGACATATAACAATGTTTCAAATTTGATACATAGTAGCTAACACATTGTGTGCCCACACATCCATATACCTTCCCTCAAGGGGGACAATTAAAAGTCTCATTCACTAACTGTATCCTGCTTATAGACATTGATACCTGTGAGGTTGCCTGGGTAAGGTTGGATGTGGCTTTTTAAGGTTGAGAAACCTAGAAAGAAAAAGAGGTATTTTGCTTTCCTGCTGGCCCCTTCATCCCTGATACGCCTACAAAACTAACAGAAATATGCAAACATAGTAAGTCCTTTCTATCCAGAAATTTGATAAGCATTCACTCCTATTTTTCCCTAACTTCTTTTTAAGTAGTTTAAAAATATTAAGGTCACTTACTATAAATTTTGATACGGGATATGAATATAGAAGTTTTCTTAATATAATATTTTTTCAAAGCTGACCAAGTTATGCCAATATAATTTGATAATTTATTTTCCTTTCTAGTTTTATTCTCCCTTTGTCTGTTTTTGGTCTTTCAGCTCCCTTCCCATTCCCAGGTACTCCTTAAACTTCCCCAAATTATTCACAGTGATTTTCAAGTTTGATGAGAATTCACATTTTTACATATTGTGATATGGTTTTCCCACTCTGTTGACAATAGTCTAATATTTGTAGCAATATCTTCTTTATTTGCAGTGTGTGCACATGCACATATGTACGTATGGATACATCAGCACTGAAAAAGGCTGTGTCTGTGTTGTAACTGTCCTATCGTCCTATAATGACATACAAATAGCTCTCTTCATGGTGTTTCTGTTGAACTGCAAGATTTAATTTACAGTTTTTATTTCAATAGACTGCTGGTTATCTTGATGCTCTTGACTACTTTTTGAAGCTCTCTCAAAATTTATAAAACCATTCCATCCTGATTCTTCCTACTTGTCTGAGAGACTAAAGATTACCATCATGGTACATTCTATTTTATATATCAAACAATAGGTTTTCCATAACTTTACTCTCATTTATTTTTCCTTCATATTTAAAGATTTTCTGGCTTAATTTACAATCTGTATGCTAATGATACTCAAATCCATAGCTTCAGGTCTCCTATATACAATGAAATATTGGACATGTCAGGTTGGTGTAAAAGTAATTGCGATCTTTGCTCTTACTTTTAATAGCAAAGATAGCAATTACTTTTGTAACAACCTATAGCCATTTCAAAATAGCAGTAGTGGCTCAAAATTTAACAAGATTAAATTTTCAAAATTGCATCAGTGACTTTTATCCTGCTGCTTATCTTCTCATCCATTTGCTATCTTGAGGCTCAGCCCCAGTCACCATCTGCTCTACCTGTTTATTCTTCTACATCCTCCCTCAGTGAATGACTTAACAATTCACCCTGTCTCTCAAGTTAGAAACTGGGAAGTCCACCTCAATAATTATTTTCCCCTTTCTAGCTATATCCAATGTGATATATTTTCTGTCATTTTTATATCTTAAGTACCTCTTGTTCTCTAACCAGCACCGGTAGCTAAAATTTAGGCCTTAATTTTTCTCTTAGTTCCATAGAATCCTAAACTGTCCTTTGGTCTGCAATTTTATGCTCCTTCCTATCCATCCTAATTATACAAACGTGATTGTCAAACATTTTAACTTGATCATACTACTCTTTCTCTGCCTGGAGTCCCTGAGTAAGTTCAAGCTTATTAGATCTTTTCTTACCTGCTTCTGAATCTTTTATCCTGTTCTCTAAACACATCTTTATTCCAGACACATCCTGTAAAATGTCCAACTTGTTGAACATTCAAAATCTTTTTTTCTGGATGTTTGGACATGGTTTACACTCTGTTTGAAATGTTCAGTCTGACCTCATCCATATCATTAATTCCTATTTTTCTAGACACAGCTATAGAGTCACTATCTGGTAAACATTACACTGAAGCCGATACACAATTTACTTTAGGTCGTGCATTAGTTGGGGCTCCTAGGAAAATGGAGCCAACAGTCTGCTGATTTAAAATGTTAATCTCATTTAAAAAAATCACAAATCTGTGGGCTCACTGGCTGTTGACATATAGAATTAACCATTTTCTGTGCTTCTTTTCTGTATTTCTGCAGCACTCTGGCTACTTTTTAGGAGTTTGTTTTTTTTTAGTTTTTAATCAATGCATTCTTAAGCATAGTATAATGATAAAATTGTACAGGAAGGCTTATTACATAAAGCAAGAGTCTTCTGTCCTTTCCCTTCCTTATTTCTTGTATTACACCTTAGAGAAACCACTTTTACTCTTTTTCTGCTTGTAGTATCTCTTGTAATTAATCGCATATTGTAAACAATGTTTTATAGCTGTTTTTAAGTTTATCAGCTTCCCATAAGACCTCTTTATTTTCTTACTCAGACCATCCCCAGTAAAAATCGATCTCTCCCCAAAAATAATTTTAGGTCCTTTTTGTTTTTACTTGCAGTTAAAGCAATATGCTTATACTTTTAGGTATTGATGGTTGTGATTGCCCACTTTATAAGATAAGGATATGTGTGCCTTTGTCCTTATCTGCATTTTTCTATTCTTTCAACCTCTCTATATCCATCATGTCATATTATTGTTGCATTATCAGATAGTGATAGCATTTAACTTTTTCTTAAACATTAAAAACTGTATGTACTTTCTGCATGAATATATCATATACTCATTTGGAAAGCCAGGCAGAAGTTATACCCTACTTGCAACTTAGCTTCAAAAGGGACATAGCATCACTTCTGCAATGTTCTATTCATAAATAGTGGGTCATTAAGCCTGACCCACATTCAAGGGAAGAGAAAGTATTCACATCTTTTGAAGAGGAAATATCAAAAAATTACAGACCTATTTTCACTTCATTTTCTTTACCATGTTAATAAAGTTATCTTCTATTTTAATAGTTTAATTTATATCATAGAAATGAACATCAATGTCTTCTAATTGCATTTCAGCAGTTTCTTTATTGTATGTTTAATATGTCAGGAAGAAATATCTATCACTGCTGATCATCCACATGCTCCTCTCTGAGGTCTACTTTTCTGAATCTTCCAAGCTTGGTCCTTTCCATCTGCTGGCCAACGAGCAGATCATTTTGTTACTGCCTCTGAATTCATGTATATCCTTACTTCGAGTTATATTCTCTCCACAGAAAGTAGATAACTAAGTGCATTTCCTGCAGCTATAATCAGTGGAGGAGTATTTCCTTCCCCCACTGTCTTTTAGGGTCACCACTGACTGTGTCTCTAATGCAGCAATCATTCATTTTCAGCTTACACTTACATACAAGGCTGGTACATTCATGACGTGTTTCATTCCCTGTTAGCTAGTCATAGAAAATCACCCATGAGGACTTTTTTCTGACAATGTAAATACATCAACGTAACAATGATAGTGACATGTACTTTGTGTCAATGTTTAGTACATCTTCCTATGCTTGAACCTAATTGTGAAAGCAACATATACATTTTAGGATGGATTGCATTTAGACCCACTTTATCTTATGATTGGGTTGGTCTGGCAGTACCCAGGTCATGATGTTCCTTGATTAGAAACTCAGTATGTACTGAGAACCTTTATATGCTAAGAGCTGTTTTGTGAATGATGTAAACTTCTTTGTTGTGGGGATCATGGCTTTGCTACCTAACTTCATGGGTCTGCACTGCGACTTTCCTATTGGCACTTGCCAAAAATTCCACACAGCCTCTTTTTCTCCCCCAAACACCTCTAGTAACTTAGAATCTGTTGAGTCATATACAATAAACCTGAGAGTTTCTTGTGTCCCAACCTATACCTACTCCAGTACTTGCCTTAGAAGCTACCTCTCTCCAAATAAATATATCACAGCATTATTCCCAAGAGCAGAATATACAGCCATTAATACTTAGACTGTCATGCTTCTTTTTTTTTATTTTCTAGGATGCAAAAGGTGTAATTAGTTGCTGCCTACCTTATGGGTCTTTTTCTAGCATGTCACAGACCACTGGAGCTTAAACTCTTCACCAATGCGGCAGGTTGTGAGTTTCTTTTGGGTTATTCTCCCACAAGCTGGAGCACATTTGTCTATTTGTTTCTTTCCTTTGCTTCAAATGATTAGAGTTTGTTAAACAGCCCAGTTGGACACTTGCTCATTGAAACTTATTTCTGCCTCAGCCCCAGTTGTTTGAGAAATGCAGGAATTGTTTTCACCAAAAGATCACCTCACCCAAGAATGTTGAAAAGTTAGCTACCTTAGCATTATTGCTACCTCCAACCTCCAATGAGATCTAAAAACCTAGAAGATTAAATGTAGAAAAATGTGAACAGGAAATATAATTTACAAGTCATTTAATAACTATAATTACACAGAATTTACTCACTTTTCAACTTTTTCTGAATGAATACAAAATTTGTGAAACAAAATATACCATGTTATACCACATGAGATACCAAGATGACTGTAATCAAAAAGACAGAAAGTAACAAGAGTTGGCAAGAATGTGGAAAGACTGAAACCCTCATACATTGTATGTAAATGAGAAAGTCACTTTGGGAACAGTGTGGCAGTTCCTCAGAAATTTGGGTTGTTTCCTCTTTTTGTCTGTTGTGAACAATGATGCTATAATCACTTGTGCACAAATGCCTTAACAAAGCATCACAAGCACTTGCTACTTGGCACTCGTTGCTGATCAGGTCTCAATATTAACAAATATTAATATAGTGGATGTGGTGTTCTCAAGGATTTATAGTTAAATACTTAATTATTTACCTCCAATCTCTTCCCACTAAACTAAATATTTTTCTGCATTTATTGGAAAGAGAAATTCTGCTATTCACTCAAAAAAACAGGTTAATAACATCTACTTATAAATGTTATATATAGTCAGGATGGCCAAGTTATCCAAATATGAGTAAACATGTATATTTTCCAGATAATGTAATATAAATTATATATTTACAATGAAAGACTCTAAAGCATGGATTGTTTTTATTCAATTTGATAAGAGCCCTTAATGTTGAGTCTCTTGTTTAATTATCAAAGCTCTGTTAACTAATGCATGGATGGGTAAAAGCTCAGATAATATAGTCTAGGATATACATGTAACCATGAAGATTATCCCTGTCTTCCTGATGTGTAATTATGGCAGAATTCCAATTTCTTTAATTATATTATCATACTAACAACCAGGCACTTAGGTAACCATCATTAGCTACTTAATAGTTTACTGCTATTCATGTAGAAACCTAGGAAATAAAAAATGGATGGCAGGCAGCCAATTAAAGAAAAGGAAATAAATTAGAACATCAGTGAATTGCTAGAGTCTACTATATGGATGTAAGTATAAGTAAGAGAGATTAATCACTCTAAATCTTAACATTCTTTTTTTTAACCTTCATACAATACCTAAAAGTGCCATGTAATTATATCACTAGGTGTATCACATGCAATATGTTTTCTTTTGTAATGAACTCTGTTAAATAAACTATGGAAGTAACATTTCAATCCTTATTAAAAACATGTGATATGTATACTTGCAATTTTATTTTTTCATATCAATATCCTTTATTTTTCAAACAGCTTTAGGTTTATAGAAACATTTAGCAGAAAGTACAGAGAATTCTCATAAAGGCAGAGAGCAGATTAGTGGTTTCTAGGCACATTGGGTATGGAGGAGTGGGAAGTGACTGCTAATGTACATGAGGTTTCTTTTTGAGGTGATGAAAATATTGAAAAATTAGATAGTTCCACAACTCTATGAATATACAAAAAACAGTGTACACTTTAAATGGGTGAATTTTATAGTATGTGAATTGTATCCTAATAAAGCTGTAATTAAAGTACAAAGGATAGAATAAAAACAGCTTACAACTCATCTGCAATACATAAATATTATCAATATATGATGCATAGCAAACCAAGTATCTCCATGAGTATATGTGTTTTAATTTACTCGAATTATCTCTTACTATCTACAGTTTTCAGAAATTGTTTTTATGTTGTACAATAGTATTGATAGACATATTTTCACTGAACAAATTTAATTCTAGATAATCGTTTTCAATGACTAAAAGTATTTTTGTGAAAACATACTGAAGGGTACACTATGTTTAAATAAATTGGTTTTAACTTTTAATTATTACAAATATTTCTCCAGCAAACAATTTTAGCCCTTATTATTTTGGAACATATGGACTTACCTATGCACGGTAAATTTAGGAAAATAAAATTACTAAAATCAAAAGAAATAAATACTTAACATTTGATACAAAATTCATAATTGATAACCTGAAAGATTATATTTCTTTGTACTTCAATAAATAATGTAATTAGGGCCAGGTGTGGTGGCTCATCCCTGTAATCCTAGCACTTTGGGAAGCCAAGGCGGGCAGATCCCTTGAAGCCAGGAGTTCAAGATCAGCCTGGCCATCATGGCGAAACCCCTTCTCTAGCAAAGATACAAAAATTAGCTGGGACTGGTGGTACACACCTGTAATCCCAGCTACTCGGGTGGCTCAGGCTGGAGAATGACTTCAACCCTGGAGGCAGAGGTTGCAGTGAGCCAACATCTTCACCAGTACACTCCAGCCTGGGTGACAGAGCAAGACTCTGTCTCAAAAAAATAAATAAATAATGTCATTATTCCACACTCTATAAATATTATTATAAATATTGTTGGGCTTTATCAATCATTTTAATTTTGTCTATCTCAATATGTACCTATTATTATGCTTTTAATACTGAATATATCCTAACAGTGACACACATACATAAGATGACTTCTTTTATGAGCTTATATCTTATATATATTTTATTTAGATATTCTAACATTTGCCTTAAGGCAAAAGTGACACAGATGCCTTGGTGTACACTCCTACTTTTTGAGCTTCTGTTTTAAATCATTAAAAGTACAAGAATATATCACTTTATAATTTTCAAAATGTTCAGATTTATGTGAAGATCACATACAGACAATCAGATTTATAACCACATGAAGTAGCTATATGTGACTTTCTAATAGACATTAGTCTTAAGCTTTAAACAAGTAAAACAGTTTGGTACAAATAGGTAACCCATTTAATCACAACATACATTAAATATGTTTGATAAATCCCTTTCTATAGCTTTCTAATACATACTGTATACCGTATGAAATAAATAGTAATTTGTGAATAGTATAACTATGCTGACTCATCATTCAAACATTTATATGCAAATATTCAAAGTATGTTTCTACAGATTATATTAGAATTACACATGTCTAACTCCATAGCTCTGCATCTGTATTCAAAATTTATGCTTCAAATGTTTTCATCTCAACTTCTGAGATAAGCTCTTTGGAATATAATTAAATGTGTAAGGACATACAATGCTTATCTTTCTGTGTCAAAGAAAACATTTTGTACTAGAAAATTAAAACTTTCTATTTATAGAAATAAGTATGATCTAAATTTTCTAAAGTAACATAAAATGTTACAAAGTAATTAATAAACCCTGTCTTCTCTTTCGGCATCCTGATTCACTTTTTTTACTTCTCTGATCTGTCTCTTATCTCTTATTCTTTTTCTACCATTCTACTGTGGGTTTTCATACATTTTGTAGGAGAAATTACCTACAACCAGAAATCTAGAGAGACATGAAAATCCAGCTAAAGCTATAATCTGCGTACCTGGAGCAGAGGCTGCTGCGGTTACGAACTGGTGGGAACACTTACGTGTTAACTTTGATAAGTTGCTGGAGGCTGAATGTGGATTCCCCTGCTAGAGAAAACCCCGTAGGGGCTAGCTACGATCTTAGTGGGACCCTCAGACATTTTCATGGGCTTTCCTCTTATCAACCCCAGGGGGAACTGAGACAAAATCCCTTGTGGTTTTGTCATGGGAAGCGGACCATAAATTATAATGATTGATGCCCAGAATCATAATGATTGATGCCCAGTCTCATAAAAAAGGCCTGTATTCAGGCTGGGCGCGGTGGCTCACGCCTGTAATCCCAGCACTTTGGGAGGCCAAGGTGGGCGGATCATGAGGTCAGGAGATCAAGACCATCCTGCCCAACATGGTGAACCCCGTCTCTACTAAAAATAAAATTAGCTGGTCGTGGCGGCGCGTGCCTGTAATCCCAGCTACTCGGGAGGTTGAGGCAGGAAAATCGCTTGAACTCGGGAGGCAGAGGTTGCAGTGAGCCGAGATTGGGCCACTGCACTGCAGCCTTGAGACAGAGGTAGAGTCTGTCTCAAAATAAATAAATAAATAAATAAATAAATAAATAAATAAATAAATAAATAAAAAAGCCTGCCTTCAGACAAAAGGACTGTACCAGAGGTGCATTTTTATCTTTATCCCAGCTGAGGAAAGGGAATTCATCCCAGTTCAACCCGCTTATTTCTTTCTGTCTTACATAAGGTGAGTGTGGCACAGTCAACAGAGGTCAGACATTAAAGGGAATAATCATAGTAATAACTCTGTAATCAGGAAAAGGAGTAGGGATCAGGAGAAAATAAACTATACAACTAAAGAAATATTTGTGAAGGCCACAACCCAGAGGCACAGACCCATTAAAAGAAAGATTTAATTGGAAAATTATAGAATGCTCTATCTCCCTACCCTTTCCACCATACATATAATAGCAACAGAATATAGATGACAGAGTTTCAAGACACAGAATCTCTCTGAGGGGGCATCCACATGGGAATCCAAAGTAAAGAGAGGAGAGAAAAATAAAGATTAGAAACCTCTGGAACCTTTAGCTACAACAAACCTTAAACATAGCCTGATTCCCAGCCAGATTAACATCATTCTCCACAGCAAAGTCCTGTTTAACTCAGTTTCTATTACCCAATACAGCATCCAGCTTTCAACAACAACAACAACAAATACAAGACATTTCAAAAGGCAAGAAAAAACACATTCTGAAGAGGCAAAGCAATCACTGGAACCAAACTCAAATATCACACAAATGCTAGAATTATCCAACACGTAATTTAAAATAACTATGATTAGTGTGTTTAAGGGTCTAATGGAAAAAGCAGACAACAAATAAGAACAGATGGGTAATGTAAACAGTGAGGTAAAAACTCTAAGAAAAAATCAAAGTGAAATGCTAGAAATGAAAAAAAAAAAACAGTAACAGAAAGGAAGAATGTCTTTGATCCCCTCATCAATGGATTCAACACAGCTGAGAAATGAATCAGCAAACTTGAAGATATATCAATAAAGCCTTCCCAAACTGAAACACAAAGACTAAAAAGAATGAAAAATAACAGAAGGCAATATTCAATAAACGTGTGACAATATTCAAAGGGCTAACGTGCAATTGGAATACCAGCAGGAGAAGAAAGATTGAATGTGGCAGAATAAAAAATTGAAATAATAATGACTGGAGACTTTTCATAATTAATGACAGATTAGCAAATCATAGATTTAGGAAGCTCAGAGAACACCAACCAGGATAAATATTGAAACACACACACACACACACACACACGCACATATCCTAGGAATATAATACTTAAACTGCTGAAACCGAAGACAAAGAGAAAAATTATGAAAGTAAAAAGAGATCTACAGTCTTAAGTTTAAAATTGAGGAACATTTTTCACTTTATAAAAAATCTGTTTTTATAATCTGTATGAAAACTTCATAGTTACAGATATAGGTACATTTCTTTATTTCTGTGAATGTAAGATGCAAAGTAATATAGTTGTCCAAAAAAACCCATAAGGAGTCTTATGTAGAACAAGTAATTTTAAGATTATTGTTAATAGTTTATAGTGTCTGTATTTTTCTGAAGAAGAAACACATTCTGGAAAATAAATGCTTATTAGATGAGTGGGAATACTAAATTACATGCTGCTCTTGTTAATCAAATAAAGTTATTTATAAACAATATATTTATTTTATATGTTTTGTACGTATACAATTAAAAATAATTACCATAACTATTTTACATATTTTTCTTAAATATGATATTACTTTTGTATATTTCAAGGCAATTAGAATGTGGATGTGTATTTAGTTCTAAAACTTGAGAAAAAAATTTCATGCTATCAGCTGTTTACTATGTACCAATTTGACTGCTTAGAAATCTTAAAAGTAATTATAAACATTATCCCATATAAATAGGGCATCTATTCTCACTAATTAAATCAGTGATGCTACACAATACATATATACAATTCCAAATCTAACAAATGCCTGATGACAGAGTACTAGGCATATCAAAATCTGAATTTATTGTTTTGCATCCATATCATCGCCATTTCCCACATTCTTCATTTGTGATAATTGAATTTCCATGCTTCTATCTTCCTCATTCATCAAGCTGTTCAATAATTGTATAAATCCTGAAACCCTGTCTACAAAATGGCATTTAAGCCAGGTTTCTTTTATTTTCTTCTTTTCTAGGCGATCCTGATCCTTTTCTCATTGTCTAGAAGATATTCTTGTTTCTGGTCTTTCACCAAGAACATAGTGCTTCCATCTAATCTCACTTCTTTGATAAATCGTATTGGTAAAATTACCTAGATATTTGCTGTTCCTTTATATATATCAGGATCCTTATCTTGTCCTTACAAAATAAATCTAAATGTGCCAATGTTAATTAAACAAATAAAAATATTAAATATATGCTATATTTCATAATTTTGAACTAATTATATCTGTATTTATCATTATTACATTACATATATATGTCAGAAAAGAAACTGATAGAAAAAGTCTGATTAAAGTTACTACAGACCAGATTGAAATATTTGTTTATTTTTTATCAAAATTACAACAAATAATTATCTGGCCCAAAATCTCAATAGTGGCAAGATTGAGAAACTGATTTTAATAATTAACTATTAGGAATATAAATTAGGATGGAGTGAAATGGGCACTACAAGCATCCTTTCTGATTATTAAAATTGTAAATCTCTTCTGTAAAGAGAGTTTAGTGATAGAGTTTAATGATACACTATCAATATTTAAATACAATCGTATGAGGCATAATAATGTTTCTGTCAACACAGACTTTGTATACAACAGTGATCCCATATTATTATAATGGATTTGAAAAATTCCTAGTGCCCAGTGACATCATAGGCATCCTTATAACACAGCATAACACATTTCTCATGTGTTTGTTGTGATACTGGGTAAACACATTTACTGTGCAGCCACTTGTATAGAAGCATAGCACATTTAACTATGCACTGTACATAATACTTGATAATAATAATAAATGACTATATTACTGGTTTATGTATTTACTGTACTTTTTATCTACATATGAAAACAAAAGTTAACTGTAAAATAGCCTCAGGCAAGTCGTTCATGAAGTATCCCAGAAGAAGACATTATTATCATCAGAAATGACAGTTATACAGTAATTGCCTCTGAAGACCTTCCAGTGGGACAAGATGTGAAGGTGGAAGACAGTGATATTGTTGATTCTGACCCTGTGTGGGCCCACACTAATATGCATGGTGTGTCTTAGTTCTCAACAAAAAAAAGTTTTAAAAGTTTTGAAAAATTTAAAATTTTAAAAGTAGAAAAGAACTCATAGAATAAGGATATAAAGAAAATATTTTAGTATGACTGCAAAAAGCGGTTATATTTTAAGTGAAGTGTTACTACAAAAAGTCAAAAGTTAAAAACAATTATAAGTTTATACAGTTAAAACGTTATAGTAAACTAAGATGAATTTGTTATTAAAGGAAATTTTTTTATAAACAGCGTAGTCTAAATGTATATAAAAATAGTGTGCAGGATTAAGAAAGTCCACAGAATGTACAGTAATGTCCTAGGCCTTCGCATTCACTCACCACTCACTCTACTGACTCACGGAGAGCAATTTCCAGTCTGCAAGCTGCAGTCATAGTAAGTGCCCTATACAAGTGTACCATTTTTTATTTTTTGTGTTGTATTTTTATTGTCTCTTCTCTATGTTTAGATACAAAACTACTTATCATAGTGTTATAGTTGCCTACAGTATTCAGAACAGTAACATGCTGTGCAGATTTGTAGCCTAGGAGCAATAGGCTATATCGCATAGCCTATGTGTGTAGTAGGCTATACCATCTAGGTTCGTGTAAGTACACTCTGTGATGTTCACACAAGGAAATGGCCCAAAGACACCTTTCTCAGAACTTGTCTCTGTTGTTACGCATCACATGGCTGTATAGAGTAGATCCCCTTTTCCCTTTTCCACAGTTGCAGTTAACAGCAGTCAACAGCAGTCAGAAAATAGGTATACAGCAGAATGAAATATTTTCAGAGAGAGAAAGAGGAAGGCCACATTTGCATAACATTTATTAAAGTATATTTTTATAATTGTTTTATGAAATTATTAACTATTGCTAATCTCTTACTGTGCCTAATTTATATATTATAATTTATCATAGGTACATCTGTACAGGGAAAAACATAGCATATATAGGCTTTAGTACTGTTCATGGTTTCAGACACCCACTGGGGTATTGGAATGTATTCCCCACCAATAAAGGGGGACTACTGTACATGATTTGATTTACTAATTCTACTTCTAGAAATTATTATAAGAATATAATTGAACAAGAGCTGAAAAAATGCATGTGTGGCTTTGTTCATCCCAACATTGAATGTTAAACTGCTAAAAACTGAAAACTATCTGATATGGGAATCTGTATTTAAATGATGATAAGTACATACAACAGAGTACTACGTAAACATTAGAAAATAACATATAACCCCTATCAGGTATGGAAATTAAGTCATGACAATTTACAGAAATTGAAAAAGCTTTAAAATAACAGGTACATCATGAGTTAACTTATTATAAATAGACATATAGTATAAATATATGCATTTTCCATACTATTTTTGCATATAGATATGTATATGCATGCTTGCCAAATTGAGAGCAATATTTAACACACGGTCATGAAGTAGAGCATTTTTTAAACCTTTATGTTGGTGTACTATAATTATTAATTTTATGTGAAAATAGGTGTTATCTTTATGTTCACAAAATAGAAACTACCAATGAATATATATTATTTGCATAATATAAATGATTAATGTAGTTCTTTTTTTTTTTTTTTTTGAGACGGAGTCTCGCTCTGTTACCCAGGCTGGAGTGCGGTGGCGTGATCTCGGCTCACTGCAAGCTCCGCCTCCCGGGTTCACGCCATTCTCCTGCGAGTAGCCAGGACTACAGGCGCCCGCCACCGCGCCCGGCTAATTTTTTGTATTTTTAGTAGAGACGGAGTTTCACTGTGTTAGCCAGGATGGTCTTGATCTCCTGACCTCGTGATCTGCCCGCCTCGGCTTCCCAAGTGCTAGGATTACAGGCGTGAGCCGCCGCGCCCGGCCAATGTAGTCCTTTTTCATCAACAGTTTCTGTTCAAGGTTAGACTAATATTTCAAGCAAAATTATTCTAAAGTCAGTTTTAAAAGATGTCAAATTAAAGTATGTAGAAACTCTTTTTAGGTTGTAATGCCCCTTTACTCTTTAAATTTCCCAAGAATGGAATTTTAGCTACCTGCAAAATGCACTTATTTTATATGTTTTTTATAATGTCCTATTTATTTATTCACCCCGAGGAGCACTTGATATTGGTTTTCACTGACAATTCATGTATAAAACAATGAAAAAATACATTATTGGAACTATTGCTGAACTATACAAACAATAAAATGAAATGTGAGTGATCAGCAAACTAGCAAATGCAAAGAGTAGTGACTGTTTATTTTTAAATTTTTCATAAACTCTAATAGGGCCATTCTTTACAAATTAAAAGAGGTTCCAGATAGGCATATTACAAAACGACTTATCACCTTTCTTTATCTTTTCCTAAGAAAAAAATCACAAAGAACCTATTTATTTTCTTGGTTATCTGAAAGGAAGAATGAAAAATATGAAAAGCACAGGAGGATAATTTAACTGAGTACAACAAGTAATCAAACACCTTAATAAGCCATTGTGATTAAGAATCAAAAATGATTTCAAAACTATTTCTCTGAATATTTAGTTCAAAAATTATAAAAAAACATTTTCATTTTAGTGTTTAGGATATACTTTAAAGCATTTTCTGTTCTGTTAAGAAATTAGCAGATTACCAATGTAGAAAAGATCACACAAGATAATTGTATTTGGCAAATTACATTTCAAATGAAGATGATTAATAAGACATTTTCCATCACAAGGACACAAAAATAGAAACAGAATTATTATGAATTTATTTCAGGACATTAATGTATTTCCATCTTTCTTTGCATTTATAAAATGTCAAGTATTTTCAAATAGTTTGCCTACTATTAGGGATCTAATACGTATTTGTCTTGATATAGTGGATGAACGTCTATATTCTCTGTCTCTTCAATAGCCTAAAATTAGTGTGCATAGCTGGCAAGGCTTTCTGAACTCTAGGAAGTTACAAGAGGCAAATATCTTTGTGATATCCACTTTGCCCCTGACAGTAGAAGTATGCTTACTTTTCAACTTTTATAACCTTTGCAGTCTTTGTAGCTTTTTCTTATTATTTTATTTCAATTTCTCAGCTCTTGGTCCCAGACCTACTCTTGTATTCCTATTTCAAATATTGAAGCTGAGAATATTTAAACTATAGACTTCCTTACAAGCTTGCTTTCAGTTGTGTTCAGCCAATATCAGGCACTGATCAGAACTGAGAAGTTTGAAGAAGAGAGCAACACTGATCCTATTTCAGATTCTTTTCCATGTTAGCAGCAAACACCAAAGGATTCAGTACTAGCTAAAGTCTCCCTGTTCCCCCATCCCAGCTGTGGCAACTCCATACATTTCCAAAGTTCCGACTCTGAACTATATCACTCTCTCTCAGGTCTTTCAGCCTTCTAAGAGCAGTGAATACGTTCTGTGTTTTGCATCTCTTATTTTGAAATAGCTAGTATGATTTCTGTTTCTCTAGGTGGACTTTGATACATAGCCTGTGAAGCACTTGCAGAGGAGAAGTTGGGGAAAGAGAGAGAGCCTTCCTCCAGGTGCATAAATGAAAGAGACAACTCACCACCTGGAGCACTGTTAACATACATGGGCAGAGACACTGTTTGCCAAACGGCCCAGAAGTAAGGTACAATAACAGTGAAATCTGATTTCCAGTGAGCAAACATTTAGGAAAATAAAACTTATCTATGAGATTTCGCAACCACTGAGAGAAGGATCAAGTGGACCACATAGGAGAGGTGGTTAATAAGAAATACACTACTAGAAAAGACAATAATACCTTTATCAGATATAACATGGGAATTTAGGAGACTAAAGTAAAGCAATCACAGACACAAAAGACTTCCTGGACCTTAAATTTATAATCTATAAAAATTTAGTACTTAGCATTTTATATTACTTAGCATTTAGTATTTAGCATTTCTTGTATGAAAGAAGGTAATAATTAACTCAAATTAGCAAACTAGCAGACGAAGTGAACTTTTACCCAAAATACAGTGTAAGGGAAAATATTCTTGTCTTTAAAACAGATCTAGAACAACTAATATTGAGATAATAGTTTCAAAAAGAGGAAAGAAATTGAAGTATGTAATACTAATTAAGTTTTCAATTAGAGAATAAAATATATTCCTAAGACATATTAGAAAAATTTTTCCTGTACTCAAAAAAAAAAAAAAGATCTGAATTTGTAGAGAGCACATTTTTACCAAATTAAAGGGAAAATATATGCTTATACCTGAACTTGAGCTATGCATATGGTGGTATAATTCATAAATTCTAAGAACAAAAAGAATGTTTTTTAAACAATCATTTAAGACGTCATACCAAGTTACTTAAAAATAATGAGACTGAGCCAGGTGCAGTGGCTCAGCCTGTAATCCCGACGTTTTGGGAGGCTAAGGCAGATGGATCACTTGAGGTCTGGAGTTTGAGGCTAGTTTGGCCAACATGGTGAAAGCTGTCTCTATCAAAAAATATAAAATTTAGGTGGGCATAGTGGCACGTGCCTGTAGTCCCAGCTACTAGGGAGGCTGAGATGGGACAATTACTTGAACCCAGGAGGCGGAGGTTGAAGTCAGCAGAGATTGCACCACTGCACACTACACTCCAGCCTGGGTAACAGAGTGAGACTATATGTCTCAAAAAAAAAAAAAAAAAAAAAAAAGAATCAGAAAGAATTTCACACCCAGCTAAGTCATTATTCATCCATCTAGACAAAAGAAAGTTATTTATTTAGGTAAATATGAGGATTCTAAGAATATATTTCTCTTGTATTCTGAGAAAGGGTCATAAGAAAGAAATCTGTCTAAACTGACAAAAACAAAAGGATGCAAAGTTTATAGCTAGTTTTAGTTAACTTTAAATAGATTACAATAGTATGAATTAGAAAGTGTAAGTGAAGAGATAAAAATGACACTTGAAAGGAAATGAAAATAAGTTTCCTTTGCTATTGTAAATGTGGCTTAAGAATGATGCAGTAAAAGTACTTAAAAGCTTTCATTATTTAAGATGTTAGCAGGATAGAAATGAAAAGGTAAAGTAGAACACTCACCTTGAAAAAATTTTTGAAAAGAAGGTGGAAGGTGATAAATACAACATAGACCAAACAAGCTAGTAGGAGGAAAAGAAAAAAAAAAGTACAAAAAGTAAGCCATAAAAGAGAAAAATAAAAATAAAATAAGTTTATTAGTTGTTGCATCAAATGTGAATTCAGCTCTTTAAAAAATTAAATAGAGATTATTGGAGAAGATGAACAAAAATAGCACCCAACACTAAGGTTTAATTTCAGAAGTTGCTGCTGCTTTTGGTGACTCTAGAGGATTGTTAAGAGAATGACTGTGGCTGAGTATTGGTAAGTATTTTAAAACTACCTAGTAGAGGAAGCAGGATTTTGCAGAATAAAAAGAAGAGGAAAACCAGACTTGTTAGAGTATGCTGATATTTTGTTTTTCTTATTCCTGGCAAAATATCTGGAAAGACATTGATGTAGAAGGTGGATTTAAAAGTCTCTACCTCTGACTATGATTTTCAAAAGAACTGAATTATTGTATGGAGTAGGAAGGATACTGGTCTGAGGAACTTCAGACTCATGATGGGTGGATCTGACCTATTTGGAGCTGACTTGGGCGAGTTCTGCTTCAAGCTTAACTTAAATAAGCACAACATACACAGAACGTCCTAGTGACTAAATAAAGAAACATAAGGTTTAACAAGAGAAGCCAGGCATTCTAGATAGAGGTATTTAGCAGCACTGGCGAGGCAGACAGAGCTTTGTTTCAAGAATTAAAAACCCTGATCAACGCTTTATAGACATTGGGGAAGCTAATGGCAACCCTTCGTTTGAGTATTTCAAGAAACAGCTGTTAAAATGAAGTAACCCTTAAAAAAAGATGAAGAAACTCCGCCAATGTGCCAAACATGAGAACTTCTCCCAATTTGTCTCTAATATGCCCTCCTTGGGCCATATATAGAAATTGCGTCTTGGAAAACAAACAGACTTTATAAACAACGCTGGAAAGTAAATTGCCCAGCATCAGAGTGAAATATTTCTTCCCCGGTAGAAATTTTGAAAATCACATGTTATTATGAAAAATGTACATGTCATAATGAACTGCCTCCACTGGGAAATAATCTATGGTTTGTATTGCACAGGTTAGAGCAAGTTTGAAGAGTCTTGTAGAATTGGAGAGCAATGAGGAATGAAATTCTTCCAGATCCACAAAGCTCCATAGGTATCCATTTCTTCTGACATGTCTGCTCCAATCACAGGGTTGAATGTGAGGGCTGTCACCTATGCAGTCTAGTAACCACACTATCCATCAATCATCTAAACCGGGCACATCACCTGAACTGTGAAGTCCAAAGTCTGGGCATATAGAGTCAGGGACAATGAGAAGATAATCAGACCATGTTTCCTACAAAATTGACTACATCTAGCTGTTTTGAAATCAGGCATCAGTTCTTTCCCAGTTTAGGAACTAGTTATTTTCGGTTCAATCTGCCTCAGTGAAATTTTTATCACTCTATCATGGATAAAGTTCTATTAGAGGGTCAGTGCTACAAAAGAGAGTCTTGAGGGGGTAGAAATTAATCACCATCAAA
This sequence comes from Homo sapiens, assembly GCF_000001405.40. Taxonomy (NCBI): domain Eukaryota; kingdom Metazoa; phylum Chordata; class Mammalia; order Primates; family Hominidae; genus Homo; species Homo sapiens. Next base: position 184,466,674 of record NC_000002.12, read on the forward strand.
GGCTAAGACACAAGGGTCACATAATGATTGTAAATACCAGGTCAATTTTATTTCTTACTCCTTGAGGGAAAGTACAAGAAAGCTGATAATATGAGTAAGATAATTTGAAGGTTAACAGCATCTGGAAAACATGTCAATATTATTTGCAGGAATGCAAAGACTTAGTAAGGGTAATGTGGTATAATATTCTGAGATGTTACTCTACATATTTTCTTTTTTATCTGTACCTACTTCCCTGCATCCCTTGCTCAGGCAGATACTCAACTTCTTCAAGCAAACAATCCAGAAAGTTACCCAGAAAAAGAAGGGAAGAGGGAAGGAGAAATGAGACACATCTCTAGGTTCTGAAGCAGAGGACACCGAGCCAACAAATTTCCAGAGAAATGGCTACACTGGAGCATAGTCACCCTCACAATATTCTCCTTTCCTGTGAGTGACATGGAACAGGTAGGGAGCTCAGTCCTAAAATGCAATGATAGGTGTCTCCAGTATTTATGTGAACCGCTGATGAACAGAGGACCCCTTGTTACCACTATAAATCACCAATATCTCGGCACTGGCTAAGGTCCCTAAGAACTAAAGGAGGGAAAATGAAAAAGGAGTTCGTTGTTTCCTCTAGCTTAGCAGAACAGGGGTTTAAATTCACAGCCCAATTGGCACTGTTAACAAATAACGTGCCATTTCTTGCACACTTCACTTTTGTAGCCTTGAGATTCATATCCACTACATACATGTATTTTGAATTGTGTGCCCAGTGGGCAACACATGAGACCATATTGTCTCTAAAAATGTATGGGATACATACATAAATTGCCTGTATAATATGCCATAACCAAGTGTTATTTATTTATTTATTTATTTATTCTGGAGACGGTGTTTTGCTCCTGTCTCCCAGGCTGGAGTGCAGTGGTGCAATCTCGGCTCATGCAACCTCCACCTCCCAGGTTCAAGTGATTCTCCTGCCTCAGCCTTCCGAGTACCAGGGATTACAGGCATGCACCACCATGCCCAGCTAATTTTGTATTTTTAGTAGAGACAGGGTTTCTCCATGATGGTCAGGCTGGTCTGAAGCTCCCGACCTCAGGTGATCCGCCCACCTCAGCCTCTCAAAGTGCTGGGATTACAGGGGTGAGCCACCGCGCCTGGCGGTATTACTTTTTAAAAAGCAGAAATTACTGGAACTAGAGGGAGGACTCCAGTAGACAGCCTACATAAAGACAGAGCCCTCAGTCATTGAGCTGCAAGGAAATGAATTCAGCCAACAGCCTGAATGAGCTTGGAAGCAATTTTTCCCCAATGAAGGCTTCAGATGAGAATGCAGCCTGGTTGACATCTGCATTCTAGCCTTGTGAGACTCTGGAAACTCTGACCCATGGAAACTATGAAAATAGTATGTGTTGCTTTAAGATGCTAGATTTATTGTAAGTCACTATACAACAATAGAAAACTAATGCAGTATTAATTGCCAGATAAAATGTGAACTTTTAAGCAAAACTTATAATTTTGAAAGACTTACGCTGTTTCTATTGTTGATTATACTATAAGCTTCACAGCTTCCCAATACTGAATTGATTTCCTCATGAGATTTGTGGTGGTGTTAATGAATGTGATATTTTTCTATTGCGTAAGGAAATGTGTCAACGTTTGTAAGATCCATGTAACTCTATGAACCAATATTTTCAAAATGACCAATTTGTGATGCCACAAAATCATGGATAAATAAAAGTGCAAGATAGAGCACTGAATTTAAAAAAGTAAGGGTTTTATTTTGAAGTCTTGAATTATTTCCACATGTAATACCGCCTCTAATACTTTGTAATTAATTTATTTTTTCAAGTTTCACAGATCACGTTAATTTTTTGCTAGATTCTCACATCAGTTTCTGCATTCTATTTCAGTCTGTTGCTGCATGTATTTTCTCTACTTCCAATTTCCAAGCAAATGTAGATTCACGATATACAAAGAAATGTACACTTTCACCCAGCCTACTCCAATGTTAACATCTTGCGTAACTGTAGAAGGATATTAAAATCAGTAATTCGAAATTGGTACAATCCATTGAGTTTATTCAGATTTCTCCAGTTATTTATTGTACTCATTTGTGTGTGTGTATAGATCTGTGAAATTTTATTACACATGTAGCTTTGTGTAATTACCACCACCATTAAGAGACTGGCTTTATCATCACCTTGAACTCCCTCATTTGCCCTTTCATATACACACTCTCTCCTCTACATCTTTAACTACTGGCAACTACTAACCTTTCTTCCATCTCTATAATTATGTCATTTCATGAATCTAATGTAAATGGAAGGTCGCAGGTTGTATCTTTTTGAAATTGGCTTTTTTTCTCCACTCAGCATAATTGCCTTAAAGTTTATTCAAGCTATCCTTTGCATGAACATCCTTTGTACTATAGTTCAAACTACAGTATTACATGGTACGGATGTACCACAGTTATTTAACCATTTAGCCTTTGAAGACCGTTTGGCTTGGTTACAGTTTAGGCTATTTTTAATAAGGCTGATATGAACATTCATGGAAAAAAAGTATTTAAAAAATAAAAAGCAGGAATAATAATATCCATACTATCTGGCAATAGTATTATGTAATAACCAAAATTGCAAGTAAAAGCTTTTAAGCATTATTCCTCCACTAAAAGTTGTTAAAGTGTGTGGAAAAGGCAAAACTGAGAGTTGCAAATATTTAAATATTTGGGAGACAGCCCAAAATAGTAAACAGAAGAAAAATGCAGCCTTCAATGCCGCATTTATTAGAAGATAGACATATAACAACATGGGAACTTGAAATCCTAGCATCTTTGGATGGATATGATCACATCTCAGAAAAAGGAGCGAATCATCAGTTTTTGTGTACATGAAGTCTGATGTACTTTTCATACAAGGTTAGTTAATATTGTATTGCTAATGAATCTAGACAAATACTTTCAACAAAGTGGAGTTATCAATTCATCTGCAATATCATAAATTTTCTTTAACAGCTTTTTTCATTTCTGAACCTTCAAAAGACCTTGGCATATTATACAGTTAGAAACACAGCAATTGAAACTGGAGCCAGATTTGATTATTTTTAAAAAGTACAAAACTCAAACACATCCTCCTGTGTTAGCACTCTTTTCTGTTTGCAACACTTTAAAGAAACATCAATGGATGAAAGGATAAAGAAAATGTAGTCTGTATGCATAATAAAATATTATTCAGCTATAAAAATAATGAAATACTGTCATTTGTAACAACATGGATGGAACTGCAGGTCATTATGTTAAGTGAAATAAGCCAGACACAGAAAGAAAAGCATCACATGCTCTCACTCACATGGGGAAGCTAAAAATGTGGATCTCATGGAGGTAGAGTAGAGTGGTGGCTACCAGAAGCTAGGAAGGGTAATGGGGAGGGAGAGATGAAGAGAAGTTGGTTAATGGGTACAAAAATACACTTAGGTAGATGGAATAAGCTCTAGTATTCTATAGCACAGTAGGGAGACTACAGTTAATGGTAATTGATTGTATATTCCAAAATAGCCAAAAGAGAATAAATGGAATACTTCCTACACAAAGAAAAGACACATGTATGAGATGACAGCTACTCTTTTTGCCCTGATTTGATCATTGCACATTGTATACATGTATTAAAATTCACAGGTACCCCAGAAATTTGCACAACTATTATATATCAATTAAAAAAAGTAAAATTGTAATAGCCAAGAAAAGAAGGGTGTATATTTATCTTCTGATTTTATTGTTGCTTATATCTTATGTACATATCGGCCTTCTTATAGAAAACCAAAATGTTTAAACTAATGTTCTTAGAGTTCATATTTATATTTTCTTAAAGATTTTCTGAAAGTGCTATAATATTTAATATTGCATTCAAAGGCCAGATTCAATTTTGTAGTGTCAAAATTTAAACAGCTTTCCTATTCCTGCCATATCTTGTGATTGGTATTGACAAAAATGTGAGAGCACAGTGTCCTGAATTTGATTTATGAACATGCAATATTTACTCTAAACTAGCAAACATCCACATGCACTTCAACTATGTTTTTCTATCATCCATTTTACTTTTACATTTTTAGAATCCTTTTAATTTATACACTTTTTAAGCCACTATACATGAAAATTTTTTCATACTACTCATGTGTTGCTTTCTCCTCATAATTTCATGAGCGTAAATATTCAATATCTAATTTCTTTTGTGGGGAATAACATCAGTGTTTGAGATATGACACTAGGTGTACACATTAAATTGTTTAATTTGATGATTAGCAGTTGCCTGGGTAATGGCAAAGAAATCAGCGTTTTGTCGTTTCTTTGTTTGTTTTTAGTTTTTTAAGCTGCATACAAATGTTCACAGTAGTGTTACTATAGTAGCTCCAAACTGGAAACAACTAGATACGCATTAACTTGGGAATGCATTGAACAACATGGAATATATTCTTAAATGCATAAAACAACATGGACTACAGTGGACTCCTACTTGGCAATGAAAACAAATAGACGATTAGTGCATACTGGAACATGAGGAATCTCAAAATAATTATGCTAGTGAAAGAAGGCAGATACAAAAGGCTATAGACTGTATGATTCCCTTTATACAACACTCTAGAGATTCCATAATTAAGACAGTCAGTGGTTAATGTTTGCAAATGGGAACATAAGAAATTTTGGGGTGATCGAATATTCTATTTGTTGTGGTCTTTGTTACACGACTACACATTTGCAAAACTCATCAAACTCTGCATTTAAAGTAGATTAATTTTGCTATATGTTTATTCCAAAATAAATATAATTTATTTTTTTAAAAAAAGGTAAGAAGGAACATGGAGTTCCAGATACTTGACCCAACTTCAACACTTAGAAGAAAAAACAGTCCAATTTTCTTAACTTCAGTTTTATTAATACATAATATGTAGATATTTAGATTATACCTTCTATGCTACTGTACAATTAGAGATGGAAATTATATATATGTAATATGTATTTACATTTATACTGTGATATAAGTCCTAAATTATGAAAATGCTACAGCCATTTTCTTATAACCTAAATAATACAATCTATTGCTTCACTAGTACATAAATTAGAAATACCTTCAGCTTTTTGAAAGGAAATCAAAATGCTTAAACTAATGAGGGTTTATTTTTCTCATTTGATAGAAAGTCCCAAGTTTGTTGGCCTGGGCCTGATATTATTATTCAAAGATGTTACTATAGACCTGGATTCTTTCTTCCATATCTTTCTTGGAGTTCTGGCTTTTGTATTCATGCTTATTACCTCATAGTCACAACATGACTGCTGCCAAATCCAAACATTGTACGCATAATCCAAATCCAGATATCATACCCATATTCCAAGCAGTAAGAAGGAGGAGGATGAAGGGAAGAATGACTTTTTCATCATGAAATGTTCCCAGTGAAGGCTGGGCAAAGGGACAATACAGGAACTGAACCATCCATCTGGGCAGTGGGGTCCTGTGGTCAGAATGTGGAGTTGCACTGCCAGGACTAGAAACCCAACCAGCACACAGCAGATGCGGGCAGTTATAATTGGTGACTTGACACTTGACAAAATACAGAGGAGAGGCCAAAGAGCAGGAAGGCAGTGGAGAGGTGTTTGGTTGTTTGGTGTGTTGGGTGGTAGGGCAAATTTTCATAGCTTATTTTTTTATTCAAAATAGGAGCATTTCAGGGACCTCAAATAATGTGATGTGGCAAGTTTTCATCTTCTATTCAAATTGTTAACTAAATTCGAAAATGAAATAAAATTAAATTATGGGAATTTGAAGGAACTTACTGATTTTTAAAAAGCAAAATATCATATAATAGAAAACAAATATGATGTGTCTATAAAAATGTGCCTCAGCGATCTCTGACTGCCCTGCCAGGAGTGTAATTGCTGATGTCCCCAATGGCTGCTCTTTAAAGTCCATAACTGCATTCCTGCTGAAGCCACACCTTGCATGGCTTGCTCCTAACCAGTGGCTGAATGCAGCTGGGATAATAAGCCAGGTCTCTTTCTGTGAGAGGTGGCATTCCCCTGAGGGGTGCCATTAGTTCAAGAATTCCCTGATAGTCTTACCAAACCTTCCTTGGAATTGCACTAGAGTCAAATACACTTCCATCTAACCTTCTTTTCAGTTGAAATTAAAACTCTTTCTGTTGAAATTAAAACTACAGGGTGGTCTGATAGCTCGGCCAGACTCTACACTTCCCCTCATTTCCCCTAACAGGCATTGCTCCTAATAAATCTCTCCCACTGCTAATCCTGTTTTGGAGTCAGCTTCTCAGAGAATTCCAACTAACACAAATGGCAACACTTTTTCAGTCATGTGAGGCAATAAACAAACAAAATTTGAAAGGAACAATACAATAAACCCATATTTGACAATTCTAGCTTAGGGTAAAAAAAAAAAATAGCATTGACAAGATTTGTAACACAAAAGACTACCTACCAACACTAAGGGAATTAAATATAAGGATAGAAACAATTTTATAACAAACAATTTGAAAATTAATGTCCTCAAGTATTAATTGAATTAATCATTTTTAATATTAATATATTAATTGAGATATTAATTATTTAATATAATTTAATCATTTAATGGTGATTAATCAATGAATATATTAATATCAATATAATATCAATTATTATTAATTGCTATTATGTATTCATTATTATAATTTTATATATTCATATAATTAATAAATATAGGAATATACAAAATTATAATATATAGTATATAATAATTATATGGTTAATAATTAATTATGAATTAATTATTAATAATCAATTATTAATATTCTTGGTACATTCTTAATTCATTTATATATGCATTTAAGATATACATATGTGTATATATGTGTATGTATATATGTACACATGTGTGTATATATGTATGTACATATATATGTATGCGTGTATATATGTATGTACACATATGTGTATATATGTGTGTATGTGTGTATACACACATAATATACATACACACATATATACACACATACACACATATGTGTGTATATATGTAAATTTACACACATGCATACACGTGTGTATATATACACACATATAATACATATACACACATATAATACATATACACACATATGTATATATGTGACCTATTATGTGAAAAGGTTGGCAGCAGTAAATAAAACAGACAAAACAAAATAGACAAAAAAAATCCTGGCCTCCTGGATTTTATGTTGTAGTGAGGGAAATACTAAATACAAGGAATAAGTATATTATTCTTCATGATAGGTAGTGATAAGTTCAAATAAGTAAAATAAAGCAGGGAAGAGAAAAAATGTGTTGATGAGTGGGTAAGAGGCTATGAAAATTTCAGATAAAGTGGCCTGGAAGGACTTATTCAAAAGGTTACATTTAAGTAATGGCCTCAAGTAAAGAAGAAATGGGCCCTGTAAATATATTACTTTATCAAGGAAAGTGTATTTAAGGCAGAGAGAACTGTAAAATGCCAAAAGCCTTGGGCAGAAGTATGTCTAATATGTTTGAGTAAAATCAAGGAAGTCAATGTCCTCACCAGAGAAAACTGGGGAAGAGTGAGTGCTATAGGAGCTTAGGCCAGAGAGTAAGGTCATTTGGGTCTTATAGGTCCTGGGATAATTTTGGAAAAATAAATAAGCAATATCCCATGATCTTTACTTAGCAGGATAGGTCTAGTTTCTGTGTTGAAAATAGACTACATAGGACTAGAAACTAAAAAGCAGGGAAACCAGTTCAGAGGCTATTTCAATAATCAAAAAGAGGTTACGGTGGACTGTGGCAAATTGATGGCAGTGAATATTTTGATAAGTAGTGATAGCTTAATATATACTGAATTTAAATCTCACTCATTCTGCTAAAATCTCAGATGTGAGGGATGAAAAGGAAGAGAAGAATCAAATTTGGCTCTTTCTTTTTTCCTGAGCAAATGGACACCTTGAGTTTTTATTTATTGATTTGAACAGTGAGAGAAAGAGGACGGTTGGGAAGTGGGAATTCTTCAGAAATTTAATTTTGGCTAGGTATAGTTTGTGATACTTTTAAGATATCCAGTTAAAGTGATCAAGTAAGCATTTAAAGAACTAAGTCTAGGGGTTAGAAGAGAGGCCAGGTTGAATATTTACGTTAGGGAGTCATTTTAATTTTGATACCATGCTAATAAAAGTGAGATAACTAAGAAAACTGTGTAGTTAAATAAGGTGAGCACAGAGGACTGATATTGATGGCAATTAATGATTGATTATTTAGAACATTTTTAGTGAAACAGTGGAAGCAAAATTCTGGTTAGAAAAAATGAGAATAAAAAAAAAATTGGAGACAGCAAATGTGTAAACTGCTTCAGGGAATTTCTCTCAACAGGCTGGAAAGGAATAGGCCAGTAGCTAGAAAGACAAATGAGAACAAGAAAAAAAAAAAAAGAGAGATTTAATAGCTTATTTTAAACTGATTAAAAATGGATTCAGTGAAGAAGGAAAAATTGATGGAAAAAGAGAGGGAGTTTGTGGAGCAGTGTTTTTGAGTAGACGAGCAGGAACAATTGAAGAGTGGATGCTGGAGCAGAGATACTGACTACCCGCCATATATCCTTTCAACTGCTGGGTTCATCCACAGCTGCAGTAGATAGCTTCCTTCCTCAAACCATTTTCTGGCACTGCAGAAGATCCTCTGCTAAAACTAGACACAACCTGGAGGTATGGAGGTAGTTGTGGGAGGAGGGGAAAGTATAGGGATAACACTCCAGGCAACTTAGGAGAGTGGATCTCATGGTCAACGCTCCAGTTTCCCAATGTTCTAGTGAGACAATTCCCAGGCATCATTCAAAGGATCCCCAGCAGATTGATCCCACATACTCAGTGTGGTAACCAGCTCCTTAAAATCTTTTCATTGACTTTACTTCTTTTCTTCTCCCACTTTCCCCATTCCTTTACTTTCTTTCCTAAGATCACTTCTCAAATAGACCGCCAGAAAGTGAAGCATCATTTCAGAATCTGGGTTTTATTGGAGGGAAAAACCTGATAGCGTGTCTGACTCTAACTGAGAGTGTGGACAATTTGTCCATAAAACTGGAGACAATGCAGAAAGTGGACACAGACACAAGTAGGAGGCATGTGTGGAAGTGAAAGTTTGAGGAGTTCTCTTTAAATCGCTTCTGTTTTCTCTCTGAAATAGGAAGCAAGTGATAAGCTGAGTATGAAGATGTTTTGGAGTTTAAAAGAAAGAGGAGAATATATAAAATGGCAACTAGAATAATGATAGAAAAAAATTGATTGATAAAACATTGTATAATTTCTGGGCAGTAAGAAGAGCCATAAACATAATCTAAATTATATTTCCTTTAAATCTGAGTTTCTCACTCTGCCTAGACCACCATACCATTCAACCCCTTTCTAATATCTACTTTTACATATCTCTTTTAAAAAGTATGTTGAATATAATATTTACAACTGATATGATGTGATCTCTCACATCTGCAAATCCCTGATTGAAAGAACAAACAGCCTAGCACTGCTTCTGCTTAAAGACTTGCTTTAACAAATCCTTTTGCTCCTCTCATTGCATTATAACTGGAACGGAAGAAATAATGATATGTAGAATTTTGAAAATAGCTAAATGGAAAAGCATAAACAATTACTATAGATATAATAAAAGAAATGTTTGTCATCTTTACATTCAGTTATATTAAAGTACATTTTCATGTGGCAACACTTGTATAATCTACATTTTCCCCATTTTTTCTAAAAAACTAAATTTATAATCCCTCTCCTTTTTTTTTTTTCAAAAAATACTTTACACAAATTCTTAGAAGCTTAAAACAATAAGCATTTGTTATCATGCTTACAAGACTGGTTCTCTTCAGGTGATTCAATCTCAGGTTCCCACACTGGGGTCAGATAAGATACCTCTGCCTAGTAAATTTCTTATTACTCTTGACCGGGGGCTATCCGGAACAAAGTCCTTATTCTGGTAGAAGCTGGGGAAAGGAATGAGGAGAATCATACTTTGCATTAACTTGGAACTGACACACTTTCATATTACTTTGGCCAAAACAACTCTCGTGACAAAAGCTATGAGCATAGGAAAAGAGAAAAATTGGTAACAGTAGTTAACAGAATCTACTATACCTCACATGACAGCTCCTTCTTTTAAATAGTTTCATTTAATTCAATCACAGTGAATTGTGTATGCAATTATTTGGGTAATAATGTTTCTCTTCTTAACAGGTAACCCATGAAGGCTGTCCAATTCCATCTAGCTGAGAGTCTAACATAAAGTTCAAATGCAGTAAGTATTTGTTGATTTATCACTAATAGGTAACAAAGTATAATACTGACTTAATCAAAACACAATATACTGAGAAAATCAAAATGGGATCTTGGAATAGAAAAGAAGAAATAAGGATTCTAATCATTAGGAGACATAATACTACAGCTGAGTAGTAGTATTGACGCAGAAGATGGATGGAAAAAGTCATTAAGAACATACACTAGTTAAGGCAAATTGCAATAAAATGGAAGACTTACTTCAAAGTATAATTCTGAAAAAACATTTAGAAAGTAAGGAATAAGGGGAAAAGGAAGGCAGAGGAAAAAAGGAAGGGAGAGAGGAAAGGGAAGAGAATGTAGCAAATGTGTATTAATTAAGTTCTAAGGAATAGAGTTAATTTTATTAAGTGAATATTTCAAATTCTGTATATACATTCAGGCTAAGAAGATACTAAGTTTTACTTTAGTAGATTTAGGGAAATGTTAAATCTTCCCAGTTTTTCTACTCACATATTGCTGGCCTAATTTAGAATAACTAAAGATCTTAAACATTTTATTAAAAGAAATAGGCAAAAGAAAATAAATGACTCAAAAAAAGTCTGTAAAGAATAATAAGAAAAAAGAAAAAGTTACCCTGTTGTTTGTGGCTCAGCAACAGGTCTTCATATATGAAATCCAGCACTGTGTTTTTACTTTGTAAGAGAAAGCGAGGACTTGTACAAACTTTTTATTACTACAACTGCCTACCTCTATACATTTCCTTATCCCCCTTGCTACTGGCTTGTGAGAGGATATAACCTGAGTTGCTCTCTTCTTGAAATTTCCATCTACATTCTGAAGATTTTTCCTCCCAAATTGCCTTTAGTGTTAACTGATATCTTTAATACATTTTCCTTGCTAATTCCAAAAGAAAATGTAGCTTGTCCTTTATTCCCTTTGGTCTCTTTTTGGTATTCAACATGGAACTGGTTATTTTAAAGAAGACATCTTGGCCAATTAATTTTTTTTTTTTTTTAAGAGACATGTTGCCTAGGCTGGCCTCAAACTCTCAAACTCCTTCTTGGGTCAAGCAGTTCTCCCATTGTGGCTTTCCATGAGCCAATGCTCCAGGCAAAAATCTATCTTTTATAGAAGTATAGACCAAATTCAGTACTAAAAGCCACAAGGTTTAGAAAAGGCCATTAGCCACCAGGCATGGTGGCTCATGACTGCAATCCTAGCACTTTGGGAGGTGAGAGGCTGAGGCGGGTGGGTCACTTGAGGTCAGGAGTTCGAGACCAGCCCAGCCAACATGGTGAAACCCCATCTCTACTAAAAATACAAACATTAGTAGGGTGTGGTGGTGTGCACCTATAATCCCAGCTACTCAGGATGTTGAGGCAGGAGAATGCCTTCAACTGGGGAGGTGGAGGTCATAGTTAGCTGAAGTCATGCCACTGCACTCCAGCCTGGGCGACAGAGTGAGACTCTGTCTCAAATAAATAAATAAATAAATAAATAAAAATAAAAAAAAGAAAAGGCCATTAGCACATGCTGTTAGCATATGGCAACTACAGAATTATAAGAAGTCAAAAAAATATATAGAAGTTTGGTGTCCTTTTGCTTTCTAATCTAAGAAGCAAATATATAATTCATCAGACTAAATCAAGGTCTTCAATTAGGGATATATTTGCCAGTCTCCTCAGGCTGCATTTGGCAATGTCTCAAGACAGTTTTGGTTGTTACAACTGAAGGGGTTTGGCAGTTGCTACTGCCATTTAGTAGAGGAGAGCCCAGGGAAGTGCTAAGCATCCTACATTGCACAAAGCAGGCACTCATAACAAAGAATTATCCAGCTCAATTGTCAGTAGTGCCACGCTTGAAATACATTGGCACTTAATATATGGAAATTCAATGTAAGGAGTTACAACGACATCAAAGTTTGTAAGATTAGACTTCAACCAGATTGAATGTCTATCAGAAAAGAAACTGTGTCCCCCAGAAAAAAGGGTGGTGACTCCCAGGCCTATGAAAACAGTAATTCTTCAAAAACCAACATCAGCAATGACTACAAACAAGGTCCAGAAGGGAGAAGACCTTAAGCACAGACTTATCTGCTACTGGTAAGGTCACCCCTCTAGAAAGGAATCCAAAGACTCTGTTATTCTGGAAACATTCAGTTTATCTAACAGACTTCCACTGTTCTGATTTCCTTGCCCTCACTTTAGTTTCAGATTACCAATTCACTTCCCATGGAGGATTGCTTGCCATAGGAAGAAAATATATTCATCATGCATGCACAGGTATCCGGGTTCTGGTAACAGTTACTTTTATTATTCACACAAATTGTTATTTGTATTATAATCTATGTTCCCACACAGGTTCCCTAAACAGAAAATATTTTGGCCATGTTGATACAAGTATTAGTGTCTGTATTTTGTGTTGTTTTTAAAATGTTATTCTAGTAATCCACACCACTATTTTGCATTGATTAAGTGGAATCCATTTTTGAAATCTGCATCAACTTCAGAAAAGCTGAAATTGTTATACTTCTGAATCTTTAATGCTAACATCCAAACTCTAGGCAACACAAAATTCACCCAGAAAATACATGTCAATATTTTGGAAGATAGTCAATTGTTCTTTGATTTAACTGTGTCTTAACTGATTATTTCCCTTAAATTTTCACAACTAGTTCTTTAAAAATCTGTGCTTTATTCATATTCTGCCTATATGTCTGTTCTATCAGACATATAGAACATGTATTTTATAATGGCTTCCAGAGAAAAATCAATATGTTGGGAATTTTAAAATGTAAAAATATTAATGTGCACAGATTTTCCCTTCTGGACTTTTTTTTCTCCTTATAAAGGCAAATAAGATTCCTTGATGTTAATTAAGATGTTAAATTTCTCAGAGGCATTTCTGTCAAAGCTGGTAATAATTTCACAGGTACATAATTATATTAAGCTCTCTCTCAATCTAGTGTCTACCAAGGAGTTCTTTGTTTGGGGAAAATAAAAATAAAATGATGGTGGCTCAGGTAAGTTTTATTTTCTGTTATTGAACACTTGTGCTTTAAACTTATCTATAGCTAGTAGAAAAATCTATCTACTTATTTTCTTTTTAGTAAATAATGTTATAGTTTCTGACCACATCTGAAAGATCTAATAATAAGAAGATGGCATATAAATTTCCAAGCTATTTTAAGTGTGGATATCAAGTATTCAAGATACTGTGAAAAATAACTTATAATAATGATCCAGAAGCCCCTTAATCAACAAGCAATGTTTTACCTATTATGTCAGCATGATGAAAAGCAACATCTTTAAATATTCGGTAGCTAACAAATGTGATTTCCCTAGCATTCGTTTTCCAAACAAAATTCCAAAACTGTAAAATTCTAAGCAAATCATAAAATAACAACAGTTTTCCTTATGACATCTAGATGAATTGTAGAAATGCACATGCAAAAGTCACTTTAAGTGTGTGAAGGTCAAGACTTTCTTATTTTTTCATGCAAATTAAAATTGTTTGAGATCTTTACAATGTAAAATTGTTATTTTAAAGAGCATGTCATAATATGGGTTGCTTGTTTTTGTTTTTGTGTACAACATCAACCAGAAAGGTAAAGAAAAATAAAAGTATCTATAAACAGCAACTTCCTGTGGAATAGACCCCAGAGACCAAAAAAAAAATGCAGAATTTAGCACCAGGTATTCACTATTAGCACACTGATGAATTCCAGGTAAGCTGTCTACCTTTTAATAGGTTAATAGGTAAACTTTAGCCCACGTAATAGACATAGGTCAGAGCAAGGGAGAACTCCTGCAGCAAAACCAAGGCAACAGCCACTTCTACCCTCCCTAGAGCTGCAGCCTCAGGAAGCAGCCCCTCTGATTCTGCTCACACCAACCTCAGGAAGTTGGAGGGAACTCTCTCAATATCACTGAAAAAAGACCTTGTACAGCCCAAGTAGTAGAGACTCAGAAGCCAACATACTATCAAATAAAAACATTCCAGACCATAGTTTTATGTCTCTATTGTTATAAAGAGACTTCACAATTTATTCTAGGGCTTCTCCATGTTTACCCCAGTCACCATCAAAGTCAACATTTGTCATTTTGTTTATTATATGTCACCTGCAATTAAACTTTATCACTTTCCATAAATCCATTGATTCTCTCTTCTTTTTCTCCATCCTTTCTTCTCTCTCCAAAACCCTTGAACTCTATGCAGTCATTGACTTCTGCTTTTTGTTTTCCCAGCACATTTGCTTTTTCCTTAACACTGTCAGAGCACTCCTATATAGCCTTGACTTAACTAACCCTCATTACACTCTGCAAAAATTGCTTCACTGGCCTTTTCAAGGTAGGTTTGTGTTTTTTCTATCCCAAGTCAAACATATAAGGAGAGAGAAGTTTTCCTTTTCACCTTCATTGCCATTTCTTGACAATCACACCTTTTTCCTACAAAATATTTGCTCCTTATGAAGCTGCTAACTTCTTCACTGCTGGTCTCATACCTCACTTAAGGTGATACTTCACTTAAGGTAACGGATACATTTTGGCTCTGTGTCCCCACCCAAATCTCATCTTGCAGTTCCCATGATTCCCATGTGTTATGGGAGGGACCCAGTGGGAGATGACTGAATCATGAGGGTGGGTCTTTCTAGTGCTGTTCTTTTGATAGTGAATGGGTCTCACAAGATCTGATGGTTTTAAAAATGGGAGTTTCTTTGCACAAGCCCTCTCTTTGCCGGCTTCCATCCACATAAGATGTGACTTTCTCCTCCTTGCCTTTCGCCATGATTGTGAGGCCTCCCTAGCCATGTGGACTTGTAAGTCTAATAAACCTCTTTCTTTTGTAAATTGCTCAGTCTCGGGTATGTCTTTATCAGCAGCATGAAAATAAACTAATACAGTGGCTAATTGTTCCAGTTTGCCCAAAACTGCAGGGGTTTTCAGGAAAAGGGACTTTCAGTTGTGAAATCATGAGTTGGCCATCCTATTCCTGACTCACAGTTATTGTTTCAGTGTCACTTTTACTATACAAGGACATTGGATTTCCATTCCCTATATGACATCTTTAACTTGTTATCTATGACTACCTCATTTGTTTCCTTATAACTTGTCCACTACTCTCAGTTACCTCTCCCATTGCCACACCCAGAAATTTACTGCTACTAAAACTGATGCAACAATTATGAAATTTCACTTTTCTGACCTTGTTCTCCAGCCTCTTTCCTTGTCAATCACGTTATTAATTATCTTAAACAATATACAGTCCTTCTGGAAACAGCCAAAGCATTGATTGCACTGGTTTGTAATTTTATCTCTGCCCATTATACTTTATATTGTACTTTGTCCACCTTAAGCTTCATGGTCCATTATTTGTTGCTATTTCCAGAGCAGTACTATCAGAAGCACTAATTTATCCCGAGTAGGAAGTCAGTAGCCTCATCAGTGTATTTCTGAATTATAAGTCAACATTGGCCTGATTGACCTATGAAAACTGCTCTCAGATGGCTGTGGAATTCTCCAGGAACTAAATCCTAAACAAAGCATGATTGTGAAGATGAAGGGAGATGAAATTCTGTCAATATGGTGAAGACAAAGAACACTAGGAAAAAACAGGCTATTATACCCTCACTGGGTGTATTATGAAATGGTTTGGCCCAATCTAATTAAATAAGAAGGGAACTAACAAATGACTCAAGAAAAACACCTTAGAAAAAAATTGTATTTACTTAATTTATAGAGTAGCATATAAAACGCTTATAAATAAACATACTTGAGTTTGAACACTAAATTCCATAAGGATGCAGTGTGTTTTTAATTATCTCAATAACTGACATATGTTTAAAGATTTAAACGAAACAAAATAATATAAAACTAAACAAATAGAGCCAAAGTTCTAGAAAGTGTTTTCAGTTTACATAAATCATTTTTTACATCATAGAATGTGCAGTAATTCATAAATGTTTAAAAAAGTCATGTTAGTATAATTTTAGAGCAAAACATACTCATCAATTGTATTTTAAGGAAATAGTGATTAATTAATAGATATTTAGTTTGTACATGGGGAAATAGGCAAGGACAAATTACCAGTTACAGTAAACACAGAATATTTATTATACACATAGTAACCAAAGGAAAAATCCTTCAAAATATAATTTGAGCTATATAGATAATATATATACATAAAATTATATAAATTATACATATACGTATAATTTACCTTTAGTAATATGTGCACTATTGTAATGAATTTTGGTATCATTTTGGCTGGTTTTCTTTTTTCAAAAAAATGCTTAAGTTTCCTAAGCATTCCTTCAAAAATAAACTTTCTTTCATATATTTTGCTATACCAAATGGTAGCTACAAAATTCCTGCAATTATTTACCAAGTTGCAAACTACCAGGGTATATGATTTGCCATCTTTATTTCATGTTTAAGCAATGCTTAGAGAAAACATTCAAATCTGTAAAGAAAAAATAAATATCTTACTGCACGTATTTTTAAAAACCTTAAATCATTTGTTAAAGTCTAGCAATAGTTGTTTTGATCAGATTGCTCTGGAGAGAAACATCAGTGCCCATTAGGGCCCTACAAATGTAGATAGAAGATAAGTAGGAAGAAAAATATGTGCCATCATTTGTGGGAGAAGAAAGTCTAATGAGAAATATAACCTGATTTAAGTTGGTTTTAAGCTCTTTCTTTTTTTTTAGTTTTGCCACCTTGGACTGTAAGTAATTAATAGCAAAAGTTCCTCTGAGCTCCCTTCTAATGTCAGTAAGATGCTAAAATTGGTTAGTAGGCACTGATTTCTTCTCTGTTTCCTTCATATTTTAATTCATCACCTGGTCCAATTACCTTATTTTCTGAGTTCCCAAAACTTTTTTTAATCCCTCAGAAATTCCAATATAGTTCCAATTAAAGCCAACCACATAAAATTGAGAAGAATTTCTTATGATCAATAGAATTACAAAAAAAATTAAATGAATTAATGATTAGCTGCCTGTGGGGATTATTAATTATTTAAAGTTATATAAAAAAAACCCGCAGCATTTCTGTGACGTTCAGCTTCATTGCATATGTCATTCTGAGTAGCAATTATATTTTTTAATAAAAAGGTACTGACTTTAAATATTTTCCTTTGTATTTTATCTTTAATTATAACTGTAATATTCAATTTTAGACTTACAAAAAGTTACAAGTAATACAAAGAATTTCCACTTGTTCTTTACCTAAAATTACCAAATTTTAATATTTTACCATACTCTCAAAATAGATAATTTTTTTAATTATCAGAGGGAAAATTGTAGATAAAGTACCTATTTAACTCTAAAACTTTATTGCCCACTTTTAAAAATCAAGATGCTTTTGAACATAATTTTAGTCCACTTATCATAATCAGAAAAATAACGATGAAATAATATATAATCATCAGCATTTAATCGGATTTAACAATTGTTCAAATAATGTTCTTGATAGCAAAAGAAATGTCCAGATTATGAATTATATTGTGTCATTTTAGTCTACTTAATCTACAACATCTTCTCTGTTTCTTTTGTGTACCATGAGATTGGCATTTTCAAAGTAAGCAGTTATTTTGTAGATTATCCTTTGGGCATGGTTTATGTGATGTTTCCTAATGATTAGATTGTGCTTCTACATGTTTTTGAAAAGCACCACTTTCATGATGCTTTATATCAGAAGGTACATGATTTTGATTTGTCCATTACTGGTGATGGACCAACTTTGATCACTTTATTAAGGTAGTGTAATAATTGTAACTTCATTTTAAAGTTACAATTTTCCCATTGCAAACAATAAGCATCTTGTGGGAAGATACTTGAAGTAGAGCTTGGAGACTATGCCAATATCTCCTTACTTCTCAAACTTCTAAACTCAGTTTCAATATTCATTTATGGCTTTTCCCTAAATCAGTTATTATCATGAGAACCAGTTGTTTCCAGACCAGAGACTGGAAAAATAAAAGTTATGCCAGAAATATTATTTGTAGTGCCTGACAGTAAGGTAGGACTCAAAGATTAGTGAGGCTGTGTTAGAGAACACAGAGCCCACTTAAAAGAGCTCTACTGGCCAGATCTAGAACAATATGACCATGAAAATAAGGAATGCTAGTAAAAGTTATAATTCATTGAATAAAATTAGAATCAATGACCTATTCAGAAGGGAATTAATTAAGAGAAAGCTTTTTCTTACAGAAGATGTTAAATCAATAAATATACAAAGAATGATGAGATTCAAAAATCACTGTATGAAATGAATTTTATTAAGGAGCAGCATCAGCATTAGGGCTTTAGAGAAAAGAAGAGAGTATCATCAAGGATCTGAATTTTGCAAATCTTGGTTTATACAGTCACAAAGAATAATTTTGCATAGATCACAATTTTCTCCAAAATTAACTTTGAATTGGGTACAGATATAACTGGGAATGTTATTCCTGGTATGTTTTGAAATAAAGTAAGATGTAAACTTAAAAGTATGCAGAATCATAACCAACAAGGCAGAGAACGAACTTCAATGGGAAGTCATCAAAGATGATGTAGTTGGCTGTTTTCCAGTTAGCAAGATCTAAAAAACCTACTAGAACTTAGAAACATTGGCATATTTCTACAGATGGTGAAGCTAAATATAGAAGTATGGAAGTGTAGGATTATCCAACTTTCACTTCATCCCTATAATAAGAAAAAGAAAACTGCCTCTGTGGATAACAGGACCTATAGGCCTTCACTCAGAACTAGTTGGTTTCAAGGATCTAATTAAATTTACTAAAAGTGGCAGTGTATTCAACATAGGAGGATTTCTTGTAGTTGTGTAGACTGTCCTTACATGAAAGCAAAGCTTAGGCTGAACACCTGCCTCAAGTATAAGCAAAAGTTTGCATTATTTTATTCGAGTGGAAAGTTTACCGTCTTTGCCATTTACTTTTTGGAGACACCAGAAGAGAAATATTTATTACATGTAAGAAGAAAATTTTGTCTGGCAAAATGGTCTTTACTAGCACAACGTAGGGCCAAAACATCCTACATTGAGAATGTGCACTGGCATTGGAGTGAAGAAGGGGAGAAGAAACTCTGGATAGGCCTTTGTTTTCTTTCTTGATCCAAAAGTTATGGAAGATACTGGGGACTAATATTGGGCTGTCACAGGAATACAACATGTATAGAATATAATTTGACCATTATGTGCAAGAAATTAAGTCAAGCTACTGATGCAAAGTGAACAACTGGCAGAAATTGATTGTCTGGACTTAGAGGTATTGCTGAGTTGGAATAACATAAAATACTGATAATAGATTGAAACATTCTCCTTTTGTACTGTTCTTTCATTTTTGTTTGCCATGATGCAGTCAGAATGATCTTCAGTTTATCAAATGTAATACAGCTTTCTCTGGCTCAGGAATCCCGCACATGCTGTTCCTTCTATTTGGAACACTTTTCTTCCCTTTACCACCCATACCTTTTCACCTTGGTAATTGCTATACATCCTTTAAATCTCTGCTCTAATATTCTAGCCTTAGGAATTCTTTCCTAATCTTCTTAACCAGGTAAGATTTTATTAGAAATAAGATTTTACTTAATAATTATTTTCATATACTGACTATAGTTGCAATTTAACATTAATTTGTATGATTCTTAAATTAATGGATGCCTGGATGTTGAGCTTTATTCCTGTTTTTGTTTTTCTGTCTACTTTCTTAAAGTCCCCTTGGACCTAGGACATTTCCTGGCACACAGTACATCCTAATTAATGGTTTATTGAACAAAAAGTAGTGGGGGATGCTATATGTGGATATATAAATAAGAGCTGATAATGCATAAACAGTTAAGAAAATGGCTGCTAAGGTAATTCTGTCTAGTTTTTCAGATGATTCCTATTGTGCCCAGGGTATTTTTATTTTTTCAGGACACAACTGTTAAAAACGTCACCCAGAAACAGAGAAAAAAGCCCTTAAAATTGATGAAAAGGAAACCATTTTTCATTATCAAAATACTTTCAAACTTCATTGTATGTGTGTGGATTACCTTTTTTAGTATAACCCTTTTAAGGTATATATTTTACTTCTCTGTTAGATAAGGAATTTCTGGTCAGAAATATCAAGACTTATACACCAAATCAAAATTAATATTGACTCAGCAGAAACTCAAGCCCACATCTTCTAAATATATGTAAAAATTGCTAGATATCAGAGTGGCAGTAATCATTTAGCTCATATAATTTTTTAAGAGTGTATTGTTATGTGGAATTTTTAATGGGGATTTGTTACTTAAATTGAACTTGATTTAATCCCCTTAACCCTACCAGAAGTAAACATGATATTTTTACTTTGGCTCCAAAATGGAAATGCAGAAATACTGAAATGATTTTTAAATCCATTTATTACCATGTTTATAAAAGCATGTTATACTTGTTGCCAGCTAGACTTCATGTTAATAAGGTGCTACCGCAATAAGTATCACCAGTACTGATTCATGTTATTATTAAAATCAGATCATATGCTTTAACAATTAATTTATGTTCTCTGACTTAAAACAAAAAATATTGTAAAATATCAGATTCTAGAGACAAATAATAAGTAAAAATAAAGTTTTGATGTCTGCTAGCTAAGGTTTAGTATCATGCTTATTTACAATATGTGGATATCCTATTATGTTGCCGATTCCTTTAGCTTTTCTGTAGTTACTATGTCATCCTAAATTATTTCAGCTCCATTGCAATGAAAGTGCCTATTAAATGTTTATATAAAATGTATAATGATTAAGTCTTACAAATAAATATTTATGGAGGCTTCATAGTTCCTTGGCAATACTATTATGTATTGAAGAAACTTGACGTTTCTAAGAATCCAAATGACTTTTAACCAATGGGTATTATTATTATATTAGAGATTTATGTTTCCCACCAGATGATGAATGCTGAACATTGGAAGAGGTCTTTCTAGTATTTCAAATAGCTTATGTAAGCAGAAATAATAAATAAAAATTTTCTAACAAGTAAGATTTCCAGAAAATGACTTATAAAACATTCATTGTATTTCCCAATGTAATGCTGAGGAAAATCCATTTTATTACTATGGAGTTAGAATACATCTATTCTTTCCTGACTTCATGCATTTGATTTATATTTTTCACATTTTTTTCTTAAGGAATCCAAGTCATCAGGCTATTTCTTTGTATGATATATTCATGATATATTAAATTTCCATCTTCATAATTGATCAGTATCTTATATTTGTATAATTCTCTTCAGAGTGCTCAGTGACTTCACCACATTTATCTCTTTTGATCACAATAATCCTGTTGTAAGTAGGAAAAAATCTTTTCCTTTTGCCATTTAGAAAATTAATACTCCGAGAGATTAAAAGATTGCCTAAGGTCAAGCAGGGAGTAATGTGGGAATCTCAACCTTGAATCCACTTTTTTTTTCTTTTGAATCCAGGGATTTCATCTGTTATCACAGGCTGTTTTTTTATTAAATATTGTAAGGCCAAATCTGCCTCCTATCCTAATCTTGCAGAAATCCCCTTTATCCGAATAAGCATTCAAATTTAATTTCATGATTCATTCAGAATCTAGTTATTTTATTAGAGAGTTAGACCTTTATATAGTTGATTAATTTATTCAGCTTATTTTAAAACAGACATTAGATGCCAGAGGATACAAAGGGTAAACATACCCAGTCCATATTTGTAATCATCATACAGGCATAGAAACAATTACTATAAAGGAAAGATATGCAAAGTATGGTGGGAGCATGCAGAGCTGCACAGCATGTAAGACTGCCTGGGCATTAAGGAGAATCTTCTCCAGAGGACTTTTATGTGATGGGGAGCTGTTCACTAGATGAATGTGCAGGAGCATAAGACATCACAAACAGAGCATAAACACTTTTCCAAAAGCATGAATGAATGGAAAGCCAAGGAAAAGAGTTTAGTTTCACTATGATTTAACGTGAAGACTGAGTAGAAAGGAAAAGTCTTGACAAATGGGCAGGCAATGTTATGAGAACAGTAAGTCTCATGCATCAGTGTTTAGATTTTACACTACAGACAATAGAGACATGTGCGACGTAGAGGATAGTGCGCAGAGGTACCTGTGGAAGGACAGGATGGCACAGGAATAAGCAGGTTAAGGAGGCTAAACCATCAGAGAAGAGACCCAGGATTTGAGAGCTATTTAAGATTTGGAATTCATAATTAATTGGACAAGGTCTATATTTAAATATTATTTAGTTGCAAGTTCCATTAACCCAATTCCTACCAGCTTAATAAATAACATGTATTAACAGACTCTTCTAACTGGGAATTCCAAAAGCTGGATTTGACTTTGTGCCAGGGTGAAATTCACATCAGTAGGACTCTCTTTCTAGATTCCTCAGCTCAATTTTTAAAATCTAGGTTTTATTATCAAGCATTTACGCCAACTTCACAGCTAGTGATTCTAGAGTAAAAATTATGATTCTCTATCCTATGATATCTCTATTAAGTAGAGACATTTTCCCACTCCTGGTCTAACCACAAACTCTCCTCATGATGGCAAGACAGGATCTGTTTATTCATAGCCCTTCCAGAGTCAAATTTAAGTGTGGAAATGTACATGATAAACAGAAAAATAAAAGATGTTTGAAGCAAACATCTAGGAAGAATTCTGAATTCCTGGATTAGACAACCAGACAGATGACAGAGCTCTTAATAAAGTTGGATGCAAGAGGGTGACGTATGATGTGCCTGTGAAGCACCCAGGTGACATTGTCTATTAGAAAGCTTATTGCTGAATTTTGAATACAAAATAGAAATCTATGATTTTTGTATGTCTAAGGCCTATATGCTATCATTGAAGTCATGGAGACAGATGAGACTGCTAGGGATTTTGTGTAGAGTAAAAAGACAGTATTATAAACAACATCAATATTGTAATGCCTTTACTTTAATCAAATTTTCTCTTTTATTTTCTTTTTTTCATTTTTTTCTTTTTGAGACAGGGTTTTTCTGTCACCCAGGCTATAGTGCAATGGCATGAGCACAGCTCACTGTAGCCTCGACCTCCTGGGCTCAAGTGATCCTCCCACCTCTGCCACCCAAGTAGCTGGGACTACAGGCGTGTGCTAGCACGGCAAGGTAATTTTTTAAATTTTTTGTAGAAACAAGGCCTCCCTATGTTGCCCAGGCTAGTCTTGAACTCCTGAGCTCAAGTGATCCTCCTGCCTTGGCCTTCCAAGGTGCTAGTATTACAGATGTGAGCCACTACAACAGGTAACTTTTATGTTTTCCAAAATCACCACAAGCCAAGACAAAGCTTTTCTCCATACACATATGTTAAGTAGCACCAACCTTCAAACCATATACTTGAATAACAGTACATACTAGGAGGCATTTGACAACAAAATCAAGATTTCATACACTTGAAAATTAAAACACAATGTTTAAAAGCCTATGTTCTTGTTGATATTCTACTTGATTGACTTTAGTGTTACTTAGTTTAGGACAACAAAATGAAGGAAAAATTTAAAACCAAAATATTTGGTGGAATTAAATCATAAATTGCCTTATACTTTGAGATAATTCTAATAAAAAGAGAGTAGTTGTAATAAAATGTGCATTTCTCTCAAAATATCTTCTTTAGACATTAAAATAAATGCCACAGTTGGAGAGATGCAGCAAAGGAGGAAAGGAGAGGAGAGATGGGGTAGAGAGGGAGAGCAGAGAGATTGGGGGTATGAAAGAGATTCCAATCAACACTGCTGGTATTAAATTTGGAGGAAGGGTACCATGGAGCAAAAAATGTGGGAGGCCTGTAGAAACTGAGGGCAATCCCCCATCAATGGGCATAGGAAACCGAGACCTCATTCCCACAACCCCATAGAAGTGAATCCTCTCAGCAACCTGAGTGAGCCTGGAAGCGGGATTTCTCCAGATTCCTCAGTGAGGGATGCAGCCATGCTGACTTCATACTTTAAACTCACTGAGACCCATGTCAGAATTCCAACTTATAGAACTCCAAGATAGTGTATTTGTGTTGCTTAAGCCTCTAATGGTAACTTGTTATGAAAGCAGCAGAAATTTTTTAAAAATAGTAATACATTCACATCTTTTATGTAAGGTGAATAAGACATCTTCCTTATTCTACGTGGGCTATTAGGAAATACATTTTACATTTACATCTGTAAATTACTTAAACTCTCTGGATCTCATTTTATTCATCTTTAAGGTGAAGAATTTGGGGGATTTTTAGGATAAAATGTTTGCAGATGGATACATTTTATATGCATTTACAAATGTCCATTCATATAGTCTTGAAAATTTAAAAGAATTAAAAGATTTTTAGTTTTACATTTAAGTACTTAAATGATCTTGAACTAATTTGTGTATATAGTATAAGGAATGGACCCAGTATCAATCTTCTCCATATGGCTATCCTGTTTCCTTGCATCATTTATTGAATAAGAAATACCATTCTAGACATAGTACATGTCAAATATTTCATGACGAAGGCACCAAAAGCAATTGCAACAAAACCAAAGCTTGACAAATGGAAATGTAATTAAACTAAAGAGCTTCTGGATGCAAAAGAAACAATCAACAGAGTAAACAGACAACATGCAGAATGGGAGAAAATATTTGTAAATTATGCATCTGACAAAAGTCTAATATCCAGAATCCATAAGGAACTTAAACAAATCAACAAGCACACACACACACACAAACATACAAAACAAAACAAATAACCCCATTAAAAAGTAGGGAAAGGACATAAACATACACTTTTCAAAAGAAGACATACATGCAGCCAAAAATCATATGAAAACAAATGCTCAACATCACTAATCGTTAGAGAAATGCAAATCAAAACCACAGTGAGATACCATCTCACACCAGTCAGAATGGCTATCATTAAAAAGTCAAAATATAACAGATGTTGGTGAGGTTGTGGAGGAAAGAAAATGCTTATACACTGCTGGTGGGGATGTCATAAAATAGTTCAGCCATTGTGGAAAGCAGTTCGGTGATTTCTCAGAGAACCCAAAGCGGAATTGCCCTTTGACCCAGCAATCCCATTATTAGGTATATACCCACAGGAATATAAATTGTTCTACTATAAAGAGACGTGCACATATATGTTCACTGCAGCACTATTCACAATAGCAAATACATGGAATCAAACTAAATGCCAAACAACATTAGACTGGATAAAGAAAATGTATACATACACATCATGGAATACTGCACAGCCATAAAAGAACAAGAACAAGATCATGTCCTTTGCAGTAACGTAGATGGAGCTAGAGGTCATTATTGTAAGTGAACTAACATAGGGGCAGAAAATCCAATACTATATGTTCTCACTTATAAGTGGAAGCCAAACATTTAGTACATATAGACACACAGAAGGGAACCACAGACACCAGGTCCTACTTAAGGGTGGAGGGAAGGAGGTTGGTGAGAAACAAAAAACTAAAGAGCTTCTGCATGCAAACTATGCTTATTACTTGGGTGAAATAATCTTTACACCAAACCCCTGTGACACACAATTCATCTATATCACAAACCTGCGACTTTCATGTATCCCTGAACATAAAATAAAAGTGAAAAAATTTACCTTCCTGAACACTTACACACTTTTGATAGGAATGTAAATTAGTTCAGCCTCTATGGAAAGCAGTTTGGAGATTTCTCAAAAATCTGAAAATAGAACTACCATTCGACCAAGCAATTCCATTACTGGGCATATATCCAAAGGAAAATACATTGTTCTACACAAGAAAAAAAGAATCAAAAAATTGTCAATTTGGCTGAATTTTTCAATTTAATTAAACACTGGATCTTAAGGAAATTTCTCTTATCAATTTAGTATGTGTTACAAACCCCTTTATTAGATTCTCCAGTTCATTTCCTTCCCACTCAATTAGAATAAGATGATGATCCTAAAAAGATAGAGAAACAGGCCAGGCATGGTGGCTCATGCCTATAATCCCAGCACTTTGGGAGGTAGAGGCGGGCTGATCACCTAAGGTCAGGAGCTCGAGACCAGCCTTGCCAACATGGTGAAACTCTCTCTCTACTAAAAATATAAAAATTAGCTGGGCATGATGGGGGGAGCCTATAATCCCAGCTATTCGGGAGGCTGAGGCAGGAGAAATGCTTGAACCTGGAAGGCGGGGATTGCAGTGAGCCGAGATTGCACCATTGCACTCCAGGCTGGGTGACACAGCAAGACTTTGTCTCAAAAACAAAAACAAAACAAAACAAAACAAAAGATAGGGAAACACTTAGAACCCCTCAGTACTTCTTGTTTCTATTCCTGTCTTCCACACCATATACATGTGTATTAAGAACTCTGACACTATTTTTTCTTTCATTTGTTTAGTTTACATATAATAATTATATGTGCTTATAGAGTACACAGTAATACTTTGATACATATAATATATAGTGATCAGGTCAGGATAATTTGCATATTAATCATCTTAAACATTTATCATTTCTTTGCGTTGGGCATATTCAATATCCTCCTAGGTATTGGAAAGTATGCGATATGTTATTGTGAACCATAGTTATCCTACAATTCTTTAGAACATTAAAAATTATTCCTCCTATTTAACTGTAATTTTGTATCCTTTAGCAAATCTGTATTTTCTCCTTCTCCCTACCCTTCCCAGCCTCTAGTATCCTCTGTTCAAATTTTTACTTCTATGAGATCAACTATTTTTAGCTTCTGTATCTGAGTGAATCTGCAATATTTAACTCTCTTCTCCTCACTTATTTCATTTAACATGAGGACCTCTAGTTCCACCTACTTGCCACAAATGACAAGATTTGATTATTTTCATTATTTTTTATGAATGAGTGTAATGTACATACTCATAACAATATGAGTATAAAGTACATATACATACCACATATACTTCATCCATTTATCTTTTGTTGGACATTTATGTTAATTTCATATCTTGGCTATAGTGAATACCAATGCAATAAACATGGAGGTTAAGATGCCTCTTCAATACTGATTTCTTTTTCTCTGGATAAATACTCAGTAGTGGGATTGCTGAATCATATGATAGTTGCATTTATAGTTTTATAAGGAACCTCCATACTGTTCTCCATAGCTGCTGTGCTGGTTTACATTCACACCAACAATGTATAAGAGTTTTCTTTTCTCTGAATCCTTGCTGGCATTTAGTATTTTTTGTCCTTATTTTACAATATCTATCTTAATTGGGATGAGATGATACCTCATTGTAATTTTGATTTGCATTTTCCTGATGATTAGTGATGTTGAGCATTTAAAAAATATATATTTTGGGGGCATTTCTATGTCTTCTTTTGATGTGTCTGTTCAAATTATTTGTCCATTTTTAATTGAATTATTTGATTTTTGCTGTTGAGATGTTTGAATTTCTTGTGTAGTCTGGATATTAATCCCCTGTTGGATAAACAGTTTGCAAATATTTTCTCCCATTTTGTAGGTTGCCTTTTCTTTCTGGTGATTGTTCCTGTTGCTGTGCAGAAGCTTTTTAGTTTTATCTAATCCCTTTTGGGTTTTTTTGCTTTTGTTGACTGTGTTTTTGAGGTCTTTTTTATAAAACCTTTTCCCTGAGCAATGTCCTAAAGCATTTCCCCTATGTCAAAAAACTAGAAAAATTTCAAATACACAGCATAACAATACATCTTAAAGAACTAGAACAGCAAAAACAAACCAAACACAAAATTAGTAGGAGGAAAGAAATAAGATCAGAGCAGAAATAAATGAAATTGAGACTAAAAATGTACAGAAAATTAACAGAACAAAAAAGTTGTTTTTTTAAAGATAATATTGACAAATAGTTTCTTAAGACTAGCTAAGAAAAAAAGAAAAAACTCAAATAATTAAAATGAGAAATGAAAAAAAAGGTGTCACAACAGATACCACAAGAATTACTACCATGAACAACATACACAAATAAATTTGAAAACCTAGAGGAAATAAATTCCTGTACACATACAATCTACCAAGATTTAACCAAGAAGAAGTAGAAAACATAAAGAGACCCATAACAAGTAATAAGACTGAATTAGTAATACAAAGTGTCTCAACAAAGAAAATTGCGGGACTGTTCATGCTCATGGACAGGAAGAATCAATATCATGAAAATGGCCATACTGCCCAAAGTAATTTATAGATTCAATGCTATTCCCATTAAACTATCATTGACATTCTTCACAGAATTAGAAAAATAAATAAATTCATATGAAACAAACAAGCAAACAAACAAAAACCAGCCCAAATAGCCAAGACAAACCTAAGTAAAAAGAACAAAGCTAGAGGCATTACACTACCCCAATTCAAACTATACCACAAGGCTACAGTAACCAAAACAGCGTGGTACTGGTACAAAAACAGACACATAGACCAATGGAACAGAATAGAGAACTCAGAAATAAGACTGCACACCTACGGCCATCTGATCTGCAACAAACCTGACAAAAACAAGCAATAGGGAAAGGATTTCCTATTTAATAAATGGTGCTGGGACAACTTGCTAATCATATGCAGAAAATTTAAGCTGGTTCTTACACCATATACAAAAATTAACTCTAGATAGATTAAAGACTTAAATGTAAAACTCAAAACTATAAATACCCTAGAAAAAAATCTAGGCAATACGTTTCAGGACATAGGCATGCGCAAAGATTTCATGAGGAAAACATCAAAAGCAATTGCAACAAAGGAAAAACTTGTGAAATGGGATCTAATTAAACTAAAGAGCTTCTGCACAGCAAAATGAACTATCACCAGAGTGAACAGACAACTTACTGAGTGGGAGACAATTTTTGCAATCTATCCATCTGACAAAGATCTAGTATCCAGCGTCTACAAGGAACTTAAACAAATGTACAAGGAAAAAACAAACAACCCGAAGGCAAAGGCCATAAACAGACAATTCTCAAAAGAAAACATTCATGTGGCCAACAAACATATGAAAAAAAGCTCAACATCACTGATCATTAGAGAAATGCAAATCAAACCCACAATGAGATACCATCTCATGCCAGTCAGAATGACAATTATTAAAAAGTCAGGAAACAACAGATGCTGGCAAGGTTGCAGAGAAAACGGAACACATTTACAGTGTTGGTGGGAGTGTAAATTAGTTCAACCATTGTGGAAGAGAGTGGTGATTCATAAAGATATAAGACCAAAATTACCATTTGACCCAGCAACCCCATTACTGGGTATATACCCAAAGGTATATAAATCATTCTATTGTAAAGAAACAAGCACATGTATTTTCCCTGCAGCACTATTCACAATAGCAAGACATGGAATCAACCCAAATGCTCATCAATGATAGAATGGATAGAGAAAATGTGGTACATAAACACTGTGAAGGTAATGAGATCATGTCCTTCGCAGGGACATGGATGGAGTTGGATGCCATTATCCTGAGAAAACTAACACAAGAACAGAAAACCAAACACCTCATAGTCTCATTTATAAGTGGGAGCTGAATAAAGAGAACACGTGGACACATGGGGGGAACAACACACACTGGGGTCTGTTAGGGGCTGGGGGAGGGAGAGCATAAGGAAGAATAGCTAATGGATGCTGGGCTTAATACATGGATAATGGGATGACCTGTGCAGCAAACCACCATGGCACACATTTGCGTATGTAACAAACCTACACATTCTGCACATGTACCCCTGAACTTAAAATAAAAGGTGAAGAATAAAAGAAAAGAAGGAAAATTGCAGGACTGGATGGCTTTACTGCTGGATTCTACTGAATCATTAAAAAGTACTTAATACAAATTCTTCTCAAATTATTCAAAAAATTTGAAGTAGAGGGAGCTCTTCCTAACTTATCTACGAGGCTAGCAAACCTTGATACCAAAACAAGACAAGGAACTAACATAAAAATGAAACTACAGGCCAATATCCCTGATGAACATAGATGCAAATATCCCTAACAAAATACTAGTAAACTGAATAAAACAATAGATCAAAAATAACACATCATGACCAAGTGAGATTTAACTCAAGAAAGCAAGAATGCTTTAACATGGGCAAATTAATAAACATGATACATCACTTCAAGAGAATTAAGGACAAAATGTAATATGATAATCTTAGTAGATGCAGAAAAAAGCATTTGATAAAATTCAACATCCCTTTATGATAAAAACTCTCAATAAATTAGGTAGGAATAGAAAGTACTTCAACACAATAAAGGCCATATATGACAAACCCACAACTCATATCACACTGAATGGGGAAAAGCTGAAAGCTTTTCATCTAAGAACTGAGACAAGACAAGGGTGCCCACTCTCGCTACTCTTAATCAACACAGCAATGAAGTCCTAGCCAGAACAATTAGGCAAGAGAAAGAAATAAAGGGCATCCAAATGGGAAGGGAGGAAGTCAAATGGGCTGTGTTTGAAGGTGACATAATGTTATGTATAGAAAAGCCTAGGTTCTGGTAAATGTTTTTAAATATGTATTTATGGATATATAGAAACACATATATAATGTAGTCATGTATGTATGCCTGTGCACATGTATATATCCCCCCATATATAAACACATGCATGTGCATGTGAAGAAAGCTATGTATTTAGACTTTACCAGATTCTCTCTTCACTCTAGCACATAAGGCATGTGTAAAAATACTACACTGCATAAGAAGACATTTTAAAAATTTAATAACAAGAGGAAGTTTTAGACACAAAACTGCGTATAGTAATGGTAAAAAGGCCTATAGGCATCAGAGGAAGACCTCTAATAAAGACAGTGTAATGTTAAATGTTTGTGGTGTAAAAACAATGGCAACAAAAGCCAAAATTGACAAATGGGATCTAATAAAACTAAAGAGCTTCTGCACAGCAAAATAAACTACCATCAGAGTGAACAGGCAACCTACAAAATGGGAGAAAATTTTCGCAACCTACTCATCTGACAAAGGGCTAATATCCAGAATCTACAATGAACTCAAACAAATTTACAAGAAAAAAACAAACAACCCCATCAAAAAGTGGGCAAAGGATATGAACAGACACTTCTCAAAAGAAGACATTTATGCAGCAAAAGACACATGAAAAAATGCTCATCATCACTGGCCATCAGAGAAATGCAAATCAAAAACACAATGAGATATCATCTCACACCAGTTAGAACGGCAATCATTAAAAAGTCAGGAAACAACAGGTGCTGGAGAGGATGTGGAGAAATAGGAACACTTTTACACTGTTGGTGGGACTGTAAACTAGTTCAACCACTGTGGAAGTCAGTGTGGCGATTCCTCAGGGATCTAGAACTAGAAATACCATTTGACCCAGCCATCCCATTACTGGGTATATACCCAAAGGACTATAAATCATGCTGCTATAAAGACACATGCACACGTATGTTTGTTGTGGCACTATTCACAATAACAAAGACTTGGAACCAACCCAAATGTCCAACAACGATAGACTGGATTAAGAAAATGTGGCACATATACACCATGGAATACTATGCAGCCATAAAAAATGATGAGTTCATGTCCTTTGTAGGGACATGGATGAAACTGGAAATCATCATTCTCAGTAAACTATCGCAAGGACAAAAAAACCAAACACCACATGTTCTCACTCATAGATGGGAACTGAACAATGAGAACACATGGACACAGGAAGGGGAACATCACTCTCTGGGGACTGTTGTGGGGTGGGGGGAGGGGGGAGGAATAGCATTAGGAGATATACCTAATGCTAAATGATGAGTTAATGGGTGCAGCACACCAGCATGGCACATGTATACATATGTAACTAAACTGCACATTGTGCACATGTACCCTAAACCTTAAAGTATAATAATAATTAAAAAAATAATAAATTTAAAAATTAATAAAATAAAATGACTTCTGCTGGAAAAATTCAAAGAGTAAATAAATATTATATCTAAAAATAAAAAAAATAAATGTTTGTGGTGTTGCAATTATGTTTAATTGTATGTGTTTATTTGTACACTTCATATTTTACAAATCTGTTCAAATATATTCACCAAAATATAGTCACAAATGTTTATTTTAAACAAACCAGTAGCACTATTATAGTGGTGCTTTAATGCACATGGATAATTGCGTAAGATGTTGTACTTGAATTTATAGTCTTCAACAGTTTTGTACAGCCCTGATTTCCACTCAACTGAAATCAGATAACCACAGGTCTTACCACATTCGATTTATTACTTCAAACAATGTTGATATAGTTCCTTCTGTTTATTTTATATATTTATTTATTTATTTTCATTTTCTTTTCTGGCTCACATTAGAAAGTATATTAAGGCCAAGGGCTATGTATTATCAATTGCTGTAATTTTCATAGCAACTGATACATTAAATGCTTAATGTGTAAATGTCAAAGGAAACAGGTATTTAGGTTCATATCAATACAATAATGGTTTCAATTTTCTTCTTTCCTCCAATTCTTCACATATTTGAATTAACAAATAAATTATGACTTTTATTTTTGTATTAGTATAATATTCAAACTAAAGCATATCTGTACTATGGGTAAGTAAGTAGATATTACTGTGAGTAATATGTAGATACATAGTACGTAATTTTATTTTTGTCATTTTAAGGTAATCTAATAAATCTTTATTGAGTATGTAACAGAAGCAAAAGAATAAGATTAGTTCCCAGTATTATACACAGAAAAATAAATATATATAAGCATTCCTGACAAACTATTTTATCTAAAAATCTTCAAAATTGTCAATTTTTTCAATGTAATCATGTTTTAAACACTCAGTTAATACAAAATTAAACTCATAATGTGTCAGTTTAGTAGCTTATTTGATATCAACATAGTTAAGTTTGAAAATTGTGTTGAAAACAAAGGAAATTAGTACTGCATTATGTATATTTCCTAAGTGTGTAAAAGAGAAAATATCTCATTGAGTCCCTGCATTCTTAGCAGTAACTGTGTATAATAGACACGGAGGCCCACATGCTTTCCATAACACACTTACCAGAGTAAAATTGTACATTAAAAACACGGCTGTGGATGTAATTGATTTCATGAACTAACCTACCTTCAATTCTAAATGCCAAACTGTCCATCAAAGCTACAATTAACCAGCTGTAAAAGAGAAGCAAAGTTCTATGAGGAGAACTCCTTTAAAATGTCACTTTAAAATTTTATTTTGCCAGATAATTCCTCACTTGAATTGTCAAAAGCAGTGTTTCCCAAGAAGGTTTTACGTTTCTGTATATTCTTAACGTGCCTTTCTGTCATAGATATTCAAAGTTATAATTTCAAGTTTGCTTTGTTGCTGTTAATATTTTTCATCTGTAAGACTTCAGCTTAACTTTTCAAGACAAGGAACACAATAGTCAATATGAAGAGAATAATTAGGTTCTAAGAAAGGTGGCACCCCCAAAAATTCTGTTGGAGAAAAATGTATTGATATCTTATTAAGAGCAGAAATTTGTATTGGAGAGACATTCTGGCTATCAAGTCCTGGCTATCAAGTCTGGCTATCAAGTTCAATGGGAAGGTACCCATTGAAAAAGGACTTTGAAGTCAAATTCTGTTCCTGAATCTCATACTGGAGAAATATATAGTGTTAGCTGTCTTGATGACAGAATCTGAAACACGTTCTGCCATCAATACTCTGAGTTTATTCTTTTAATTATTTAATTATGCATTCTTTATGTATATATTAATTATTTGTAAAATATTATGTATTATATTGAATACACAAAAGAGCATATAAATACATGTATGATCTAAAGAATAACAAAACTAACACCTGACATGAGAAAGTGAACATTATAAATACTATATCTCAATTTACAATATTTACCATTTGTCAATCTTCATTTTCATTCTTCTCTCCTCTCCTTCTGCAACCAATATAAATTTTCTGTTTATTATACCTTTCCTTTATTCAAAATTTTGTCACACTTTCACAAATACATTATTCTCTTTTTAATTTCTTATCATACATGTGGTATAATATAGTATTTCACAAATTTCTATTAGAATAATTTTTACATGTCTATGCCAGCCAAGGTGATGCTTATTATTTTCTTTGTATTTATTTTCACTGCTGCAAGGTATTCCATAGTATGGAAACATCATAGTGTATTTATATATTCTCCTCTCAATGGACAGTTGGGTATTTGAGTGCTTAAAAGTTGTTGCTATTATGAACACAGGCTATGGTCTTTACATGTCTTGTATTGAAAAAGTGTGTGGATTTCTCTAGAATAAAACGAATAGAATTGATGAGGTATGGGTTATGTTAACTTTCTACTTTCTTAGATAATTCCCCATTGTTTTCCAAAGTAGTGGTATCAAGCTGTTTTCCCACCAGAACTCTACTACTCTGCATCCTCACGAATATTTGTATTGTTTTTCTAGATTGATGTGAAAAAGTGGGTTTGTTAAGCACTTATTGCACTGCGGTTTTAATTTAGTTTCTCTAATTTCTAACTTCTTTTCACATGTGGGTTGATTTTTCATATGTTATTTTTTAGGAAATATCTAGTCATATTTAATAATATTGTCCTAAAATTTGATTTTCCCAAAAGTCTATTTTGGCTGATATCAATATAGCTACTGGATATTGCTGATTAATATTAGCCTTGTACATCTTCTTCCACCATTTTGTTTTTAATATTTTTTACTATGTATGTGCCATGTGTCTCTTGTAAGCAAGAGATATATAGAAAATTTTCCAAATCATATAATTTTTGCCTTTTTAGGTAGATAATTTAGTTTTTTTCCCCTCTTTTTCTAATTATACTTTAAGTTCTAGGGTATATGTGCACAACGTGCAGGTTTGTTACACATGTATACATGCGCCATGTTGGTGTGCCGCACCCAGTAACTCGTCATTTACATTAGGTATTTCTCCTAATTCTATCCCTTCCCCCTCCCCCCACCCCACGACAGGCCCCGGTGTGTGATGTTCCCTGCCCTGTGTCCAAGTGTTCTCATTGTTCGGTTCCCACCTATGAGTGAGAACATGCAGTGTTTGGTTTTCTGTCCTTGCGATAGTTTGCTCAGAAAGATGGTTTCCAGCTTCATCTATGTCCCTACAAAGGACATGAACTCATCATTTTTATGGCTGCATAGTATTCCATGGTGTATATGTGCCACATTTTCTTAATCCAGTCTATCACTGATGGACATTTGGGTTGGTTCCAAGTCTTTGCTATTGTGAATAGTGCCACAATAAACATATGTATGCATGTGTCTTTACAGTAGCATGATTTATAATCATTTGGGTATATACACACTAATGGGATCGCTGGGTCAAATGGTATTTCTAGTTCTAGATCCTTGAGGAATCACCACACTATCTTCCACAATGATTGAACTGGTTTACACTCCCACCAACAGAGTAAAAGCATTCCCATTTCTCCACATCCTCTTCAGCACCTGTTGTTTCCTTACTTTTTAATGATTGCCATTCTAACTGGTGTGAGATGGTATTTCATTGTGGTTTTGATTTGCATTTCTCTGATGACTAGTGATGATGAGCATTTTTTTGGTGTCTCTTGGCTGCATAAATGTCTTCTTTTGAGAAGTGTCTGTTCATATCCTTTGCCCACTTTTTGATGGCGAAAGATTTCAGCTTTCTACATATGGCTAGCCAGTTTTCCCAGCACCATTTATTAAATAGGGAATCCTTTCCCCATTTCTTGTTTTTGTCAGGTTTGTCAAAGATCAGATGGTTGTAGATGTGTGGTATTATTTCTGAGGGCTTTGTTCTGTTCCATTGGTCTACATCTCTGTTTTGGTACCAGTACCATGCTATTATGGTTACTATAGCCTTGTAGCATAGTTTGAAGTCAGGTAGCATGATTCCTCCAGCTTTGTTCTTTTGGCTTAGGATTGTCTTGGCAATGTGGGCTCTTTTTTGGTTCCATATGAACTTTAAAGTAGTTTTTTCCAATTCTGTGAAAAAAGTCATTGGTAGCTTGATGGGGATGGCATTGAATCCATAAATTACCTTGGGCAGTATGGCCATTTTCATGATATTGATTCTTCCTACACCTGAGCATGGAATATTCTTCCATTTGTTTGTGTCCTCTTTTATTTCGGTTAGCAGTGGCTTGAGTTCTACTTGAGAAGGTCCTTCACATTCCTTGTAAGTTGGATTCCTAGGTATTTTATTCTCTTTGAAGAAATTGTGAATTGGAGTTCACTCATGATTTGGCTCTCTGTTTGTCCGTTATTGGTGTATAGGAATGATTGTGATTTTTGCACATTGATTTTGTATCCTGAGACTATTCAGCCGTAATAAAAACGGAAATTCTGTCGTCCATAGCCACATAGATGGAACTGGGGACAATATGTTAAGTGAAATAAGCTAGGAACAGAAAGTTAAACACTGCATGTTTTCATTTATATGCAGAAGCTAAAAACTTTCATCTCATAGAATCCAGCAGCACATCCAAAAGCTTATCCACCACGATCAAGTTGGCTTCATCCCTGGGATGCAAGGCTGGTTCAACATACGCAAATTAATAAATGTAATCCATCACATAAACAGAACCACAGACAAAAACCATATGATTATCTTCAATACATGCAGAAAAGGCCTTTGACAAATTTCAACAGCACTTCATGCTAAAATCTCTCAATAAACTAGGTATTGATGGGACGTATCTCAAAATAATAAAAGCTATTTATGACACACCCACAGCCAATATCAGACTGAATGGGCAAAAACTGGAAGAATTCCCTTTGAAAACTGGCACAAGACAGGGATGCCCTGTTTCACCACTCCTATTCAACACAGTGTTGGAAGTTCTGGCCAGGGCAATCAGGCAGGAGAAGGAAATAAAGGGTATTCAATTAGGAAAAGAGGAAGTCCAATTGTCCCTGTTTGCAGATGACATGATTGTATATTTAGAAAACCCCATTGTCTCAGCCCAAAACCTCCTTAAGCTGATAAGCAACTTCAGCAAAGTCTCAGGATTTTTGTCCTCTGAATAAGGAAAATGGGAAGTCAGTTATTTATCAAAATGCTACCATGCTACCAGAGTACTTAAGCCTGTTAGAATTTAATACATTTATTTTAAAATTTACTTTAACAAATGTATTTTTAATTGATTTTCTTCAAGGAATCACTACCGTGTATCAGTTCCTGATTTCCTTTTTACGTTTTAAGTAAAATGAAGAGACATCTAGAGAAAGCATACTTAGAATGGCAATATTTAGCTTCCTCAGATTCCCTAAGCCTTTGAACAATTAGCCATGAGCCTTTGATTTTTAACCACATATCAAATGCTTTTCTGATGACTTCTGTCTTACAAAACATTTAATTAGACTGAATTCATACACCATTCTGTTGCAATTGAGTTTCTCTTTCATTTTAGGTGGATTCTCAAGCTGAAGATGGAATGATGGAAAATCAATTATCTCTATTCTTTCCTGGGTATCTGTTTCTCCACCTGACTTGTAAATCTTGAGTATTCAGTAATTTACTCTGAAGCCCTAACCACTAGAGTGGTTTCATTTATCCTTTCAACAAATATTAACTAAGTGTCTTACATGCTAGTGAACTTCTATATGTTATCTGTGAAGGATACAATTGAGAACAAAGCCAACATACTACCTGGTCTCAAGGAGTTTACTTTTGAATTGGAGAAAAGTACTATTCCAGCAATTCATGCATGTAATAAAAATATATATAACCTTAAAATCAATGGCATTATCTAGTTTGGAAGATAGACAAATATAAGGGATTAAATAGGAAGAGGATAGACAGTAGAAAAAGCAATTCAGAAAATGGGAACTACATCAAGAGGGAATGCAAGTAGTCCAATTCATAGAACCTGTGGAGAACTAGACAAACTGAAGAGGAAATCTTCACACCTGAGACTAAGAATGCCTCTAGGCAAAGTCCAAGTATAGAATGTCCCCACCACTCCCTATCCATATGGCTCCTACTTCTGACCTCAGGACTAGAAGCTGTTGGTTCTACCCAGAGCCACACACTAGAGATTAAATTTCCTTCTTGCTTTTGGAAAATGTAGTGGCAAAGTTTTTTAAAAAAATAAATAAAGAGAAGAAGATTGAATCATTTCATGTGAGGTTGAATTTTTTTTTTAATCTTAATCTCATTATTACCCATTTTAACTAGACATAGGCACATAAACTTAGAACACATGTGGTCTTTCTCAAAATGCAGTCTTTTTATTTCTTCTGTTTTTACTAATTTTATTCCTTTTCAGTTGCTTTCGGTGAATTTTAGGGGAGTCACCACAGACCATATTGATTTTTAAAATATGTTTTGTGACTGATTATAACATATTATGCTCTTTTAAACGTATTGCCTTACCACTGTTTTTTATTTCTTTTATTTTTTTTAACATGTTGACCACCTATTTGAAATTGTCTATAAAATGATTTACCCTATTTATCAGGAATAGTGTTAATTAGAATAATGTCTATGGAGATTGTATTTGTGCATGTGTGTATATATACTATATATAGTATAGCATTACATACAATATTATTATAGTGAAATATATATAATATATTCTATAGTGGACACTTAAAATTTGTCCTGACAAGAGGAACCGCACCTATATATCTGTGAACCGTTTTAGCTTTGTAAATATAAGCCTGGGTTCTACTCATTAATCTTTGGCAAATCCTGAACCTGGAAAATTAACCAATTAAACAACAATTATATGTACTTAGATGTTTGCAGTCCTAGTTGTTAAATTTATATGTTTAATAATGTAATATGCTATCACTATTGAGGGTGACATGCAAATCTACGAAGATCATTATATTGTAAAAATACCTTTTTCCCACTAATAGTGGAAGAGAGACCAGGTTCTAAAACTCTGAACTTGAGTGAAGAAGGAGAAAAAAAAATAGACTTGCAATTTGTGGAGAAAATATATTCTTTCAGCCGTGGTGGAAGACTGATTTCTAAGGAGAGAATCACAACCGGGAAATTCCTGTGAATGACAATAGTGATAGACTTTGAAAGCTATGAAATTTCGCATTTGTAAATTATGTTAAACTTGAGAAGTGAGTTTTGGAGAATAAATATTGAGTGCTAGTGCTCTGTGAAGCAAAGCAGTCAACATAGAAAGATTCTGAGATAATTTTTTGTTTGGACATTCTTTAAAAGGTGACCAAACAATTTGGAGGCACTTATTAAAAAATTGTATTATTTTATTATTTCATGCTCATTTTCTCTCCTTTTCCTGTTCTCAACCTTATTCTTATCTAGTTTCACCCTCTACTATCCCAGCTTTTCCAGTCCACCCTTGGATATATAAAACATTATAACGTTCGTGGAATTTCCATGTTTTACGAAGATGCAAATCAAGTTTCTTATTAAAATATGCAACCAACACCATAATTCTAAAAGTATTTTTTCATAAAATCAGAGCTAGATTTCAACTGTATTCAATTATAAAAGTTCAACTATTTCCTAATGAGGCCACATCCTTTTAATAAGTACTAACCTGTTAAAGGCCACATTTAATTCCAGTAAAGGTTATAGTCTCTTTGGGCCCTCTGTGTAGTCCAAATGCAACTTTACTGGCTCCACCTCAGTCTGGCATTAATTCCATCTGCAGGGATCTCTTGTGATACATGTAAGTTTCTCAGAAGCAATAGCATCTTCCACTTAGCTTCTTATTTCTACACTGTCCTTTCTTCCCTTATTATGTAAATAAGAAAGAAAAAAAGAAAGAACAAAAGGAAAGAAAAAGGAAGGAAGCAAAAATTCCCACTGAGTGAAAATATCTTAATAGTATACATAATGTTCAATTGAGAAATTGAAATTTTATTATTTAATTATTTTCAAATAAAGGGCTTTGAAATGTAAGGCAAGAAGAAATGGCAGTACTATTCTTCACACCTAACCTCCATTTAGTACATTTCCTACTTCCTAGCATCTAAGGTGCTTCCAGTTTATGACTGGATGAGCTAATTGAGTAGAAGATAACATTTAAGTAGTTCATAAGGCAGGTGGCATAATATAAATATGATTATATAATTAAATTTATAATTATAAAAATATGATATAAATATAATATATAAAACTGTGTAAATATAATTATATAATTATAGTTATATATTATAAATATAATTTCATATGATCCTGAAATTATACATGCATATGTAACATATTAGAAATATGTAATAAAATTTTAAGGTTTATTTTATTTAATCTTTGATTAGCCTGGGGTTAAAGACTTGTTGTTAACAACAACAGACATTGCAAACCTGAACCCAACTAATGCCTGTAGGTCTCAGCAATTTTATTTTGTGTGATTTATTGTGATTTTTTTTCATAAGGAGGAATTTTGCCCCTTTCCTTTTCCCTGCAGTATGAATTTAAAATTGCCGATGTTGAATTATCTTCGTTGCAGTCAGAAGGGAGGGAAATGAGCTTCAGTAGGTAAATACCTGACATGATGAAGCTCGCTTTCTTATGAATTATGCCAAAGGAATAGAAATAATTAACTTAGAACAAACATGTCCAAGGAAGCAATGAGTTCTGTTGCAAAATTACTACAGCAAAAATAACTGCTTTTCACGTTACACTGAAATGGTAGAAAAATGAGCAAAGATATTTTATAAAGATTTCGCACATAAGAAACATAAAAATTACATAAAATAAATTGTGTTTAATATGCCTAAAATCTATTTCAGGTGGAAAGTTACATATGGCTTGTTTGGTTTAAATATTAAAAAGTACTGAAAATAAGGAAATGTCATCTTAATGAGGTATAGGGAGCTCTGCACCATATCAAGAGATCTGATTTTGGACCTAATTTATCCACTAAATAGCTATATGCTCTTCTGTAAAGCACATTTCATCCTCTGTGATAGTTTTTTAATGAGTAAGAATAACAAATGTTGGATTAAATGCTACTTGAGGTCCTATTCAACTCTTATATTTTAATTTGTGGATTCTTCTGTGTGTTCTATACATTTCTATGTACATTATATGTATTTTAAATTTTTAATTGTGGTAAAAACACATAATATAAAATTTACTATCTTGGCCATCTTTAAGATGCAATTCAATGGTATTAAGTATATTCACGTTTTTGTATAACAGATCCTCAGAACATTTTTATCTAGCAAAATTGAAACTCTATACCAACAAAGCAACAATTCCCCATTTCCCCATCCCTGCAGTCCCTGGTAAACACTACTCTACTTTCTGTTTCTATGAATTTCACTATTTAGATACCTCACATAAGTAGAATTATTCCATATTTGTCTTTTTGTGATTGGTTTATTTAGCCTAGCCTAGTATCCTCAGGTTTTATACATGTTATATTAGGTGACATGATTTATTTCCTTTTTAAGACTGAATAATATTACATTGTGTGTGTGTTTTGTGGATTCATTCATCTGATGATAGACATTTGGATTCATTCATCTGATGAATGAAAATTCATTTTGTGGATTCATTCAGCTGATGATGGACATTTGGCTTGTTTCCACCATATGGTTGATATGAGTACTGTTGCTGTGAAATAAATGGGTGTGGAAATATCTATTCAAGACCCTGCTTTTCATTATTTTGGAAATACACCCAGAAGTGGAATTGCTGAATCACAACTTCATTTTTAATATTTTTAGAAACCACTATACTATTTTCCATAGAGATTGCACCACAATAAGTATGTTATATATTTTAAGTTGATATTTATTTCATTGCCATCATCTATATTGTCACTTTCTTCCTTAACACTTAAAAAATTAGAAGATATTCAATAAACATTCTGGAGTGTGGTCATACCTGAAAATCACCACTTTCTGATAATATATCAAACCCTGTCATGAGACATTTATCTTAGAATATTAACCAGGAAATTTATAAGAACTAATAAAGTTACTTACCTAAGGTTTGCAGCCACTAACATAATCAGTGGGAATTGTTTATATTTCTTTTTAAAAAATGTATTTATGTCAGGCTATAACTATGGATGTAAAAAGTAAAGAGCATTTAAGTATTCTTTATATGATGGGACGATATGAGGGGATGGGAGGAACATATGGGACTGAGTGTGATCTTTTGCCTTTCAAACTATCAGCTTAGAATACTGAAAGAAGATTGGGACTTTAGAGGATGAAGACAGAATGCCTGTTACATTCTAGGCAAAGCAGTTCAGAGCTGCTCTATTCCTTAAGTTATTTGGAAGTCGTAGTAATGTGGATGGAAAAATCTTAGGAAGTACCTTTTTCTTGTTTGAAGTTTCTACTGCAGTTCCAAAATTTTCTCCAGGGACAGACTATTGTATGCCATAGTCTTTTGGGATATTTCAGCTAAATTAATCTGCTGACTGGACTCTGAGTAAGAGTCTTTTAAAAATTATTTTGATTTTTTATTTTAGATTCACAAGGTACATGTGCTGGTTTGCTACATGGGTATCTTGAGTGATGCTGAAGTTTGGGCTTCTAATGATCTCATCACCCAAGTAGCAAACACAGAACTTGATAGGTAGCTTTTCAACCTGAGCTTCTCTTCTTCCTTTCCTGCTTTTGGGGTCTTCAGTATCTATTGTTCCCATCTTTGTGTCCTTGTGTGCCCAGTGTTTAGCTTTCACTTATAAGTGAGAACATGCAGTATTTGGTTTTCTGCCTCTGGGTTAATTCACTTAGGATGATTGCCTCCAGCTACATTCATGTTGTTGCAAAGGGCAAGATTTCATTATTTTTTGTGGCTGCGTAATATTCCATGGTGTGTATGTACCACATTTTCTTTATTCAATTCACCATTGACAGGCACCTGGATTGATTCCATGTCCTTACTATTGTGAATAATACTATGATAAACA
Source organism: Homo sapiens (assembly GCF_000001405.40). Classification (NCBI taxonomy): domain Eukaryota; kingdom Metazoa; phylum Chordata; class Mammalia; order Primates; family Hominidae; genus Homo; species Homo sapiens. Next base: position 184,509,779 of record NC_000002.12, read on the forward strand.
TATGAGTATAGGTGTCTTTTTGGTAGAACAATTTATTTTTCTTGGGTATATATGCAATAATGAGATTGCTAGGTCAAATGGTAATTCACTTTGAGTTCTTTGAGAAATCTCCATACTGCTTTCCACAGGGGCTGAGCAAATTTGCACTCTTTGGCCACCAACAGTGTCTAAGCATTCTCTACAACCTTACCAATATCTGTTATTTTTTGACTTTTTAATAATAGCCATTCTGACTCATGTGAGATGGTATCTCATTGTGGTTTTGATTTGTATCTCTAATGATTAGTGATGTTGATCAATTTTTTATGTTTGTTAGCTGCTTGTATGTCTTCTATTAAAAAGTATCTATTCATGCCCTTTGCCCAGTTTTTAATGGGGATTTTTTCTTGTTGATTTGTTTAAGTTTCTTAAAGAATCTGGATATTAGTCCTTTGTTGGATGAGTAGTTTAAAGACCTTGTCCAGGGGCAATATGGTTTCAAAAGGATGTTGCCTCTCATTTTTTCCCACTTCAAAGATTATGTAAAGAATTGATAAGGCATGTATTTAAAATTAAAAATGATGTGGAGGAAAATAAGCTATGAAAATTATTACAAAGGTATGCTTATAAAGTATTTTACTTTTTCAGTCTTTAGTCAATGTATTTTATGTTTTCACTAACAGGATTTTAAATAAATTATTATTTATTTTGCCACATAAACAAAAGTAAACATTTCTACAGGTTTTTATGTACTCATATATTCAATTCATCAACAATCATGCATTGTTTTCTGTTCAGCATTGTTGTAAAACATAAGCAAACAGAACTAAAAGGCAGCTAACTAAAGAAGATAGAACAGGCAAAAATGTACAGAAATTAAACCAATGTGTGTATTAGTCTGTTCTAACACTGCTGTAAAGAACTACCTGAGATTGGTTAATTTATGAAAAAAAAAAAAAAAAAAAGAGGTTTAATTGACTCAGTTCCACATGCTGTATGGGAAGCATGGATGGAAGGCCTCAGGAAACTTACAATCATGGTGGAAGGCAAAATGGAAGCAAACACATCTTACCATGGTGGAGCAGGAGAGAGAGAGAGTGAAGGGGAAAGTGCTACACACTTTCAAACAACCAGATAGCCTGAGAAATCTACCAAGAGAACAGCAAGGGGGAAGTCCCACCATGATCCAATCAAGTCCCATGATTAAATCACTTCCCACCAGGCCCCTCCTTCAATACTTGGGATCACAATTCCACGTGAGATTTGGGTGGGGACACAGAGCCAAACCATATCAATACACAACAGATGTTGTAGTATAGAGCTGATCAGATTTCCATGATTGCATGAAGCAAGCAAGACAGGGTGATAAAAAGCTTTGTGTGTTTTGGTACTTAGTCTAAAGCCTATAAAGAACTACTGAATAATTTTAATTAAGTATGTGATACAATTAGATTTGTTTTAGAAATATTATTTTGGCACCTCTCCGGAGATTTGATCATGTGGAGACAATTTGAAGAAAGAGAGACTGGTTTAGAGGACACTGTAGTAACACAGATAAATAGTGAAAATAGACTGAGTGTGGAAACGAGTGGACGAATGACAAATATATTTAGATGACTAAAATGGGCATACATAGTGATCATTATGGATGAAGAGAATAATAGAAAGAACAAATCAAGGATGCTTGCAAATTTTCCTAATTACTGAAACATAGGTACCTGATATTTTGTTTCCATAGTTCCAAAGTTACTTGTTTATTATCAAATTTACTGATCACAAAGGTCACTTCTGTTTATTGATCCAATTTCCCAATAAAAGTGAGTCTCTCAAGGGCAGTATGGCAGTATACAAAACAATACCTGGCACAAATATTAGTTGATGATATAATATTGATCTTATTATGTATAAAAAACACCTCTTATTTACCAAAACAGCTCCTTTCATTTCTACTTCTATTAAACTTCTCTGTGATATTTGATATCACAGTAGTTAATCTGTGAATTTTCTCTTCCTTATCGTGATGTCTGTCATGTAACGGTTATTCAATTATATTCATCTCTACGCTCTTACTTCCTCTCCTTCAAAATACCAATCTTCCCTTGCTCTTTGATTGAAATCTCACAATGTCACTCAGTCTCTTTTAGCATATTTTATTCCTTTTTTTGTTTAAAGTTGGTAGTTTGCAAATATCTGTTCTTGACCTTATTTTATTTTAGTCCACTGTTTTCTTCTGTGTAATTTCATATCTTCTCTTATCATTTCATTTTCTACCATTATGTGTAGACCAGTGGTTCTTGTGTCAGTAGTCTCATAACTTTGCAAATAAGCATACTTTTAGAAATGATTCTTGAAAGTTAACATCCCAAGCACTACTTATATTTATTACATGTGACCATAAGCAAATGACTCTCTTGCCATTGGGCCATGTGGAATGTAGATCAGGAATAGATTTTATTATTTCCTCAGATGGAATGATCTCTATCACTTGCTTTCACTCTGTAGTGTACACACTACAATCAACTCAGGTACCTATTAAAAAGGATATTACTCAAACCCCATGCTTTATCATATAGATAGAAACAATTTTGCATTTTGGTAGAGTTCCTAGTTTTCTTTCATGGGATATTCAGGGCATATTCAGGGCTCTTGTGTCAATAGTTTCATAACTTTGCAAATAATTTTTGCATAGGCCACAATTTTTGCAAAGAGAAACTTGCTACAGAACATATGGAGCTGGGATCATAGTTATACACAAGTTGGGTATCTGGTATGGAAAAATCCCTAGGAATATACAATCAGGTCCATAACTTAAGTTACAGGAAGTATTCAAATTCTGCAGATAAGGGATTGGGGAGATAGTGTAAGGAAGTTATTGTGCCTCTCTTAAAAATAATTTATCTTAGGTAGCAAACACAAGAAAAAGGCTCCACTACACATACTTTCAGGTTATACAAATGTATCCTATACTTCAACTATAGAGAGTGCCCACAAACCATTTTCTTGACTCAAAAACTCCCTTCTTTCACCACGATTATAGTTGATTCTTATATCCTTTAAGATTGTATTCACTCCTGAGAACTGTAACTGTCCCTATTTCCATATTGGAATTCCTTTCATATAAAAATGAAGAATGCACAGGTGTCCATATAATCCGGAGTCATACATGATAATATTTTATTTTATAGATTCCAGATTTTCTTTTTAGCACTATGTAAATTTGGCAGATATTATAAATGCCCTGTGTATTATCGTAAGGGAATCTCTAGTAACTAAATAGTATAGCAAAAAGAATGCTATTCAGAAAGAAGAATCCTAGAATAACAATCTCAGATCTGAAAGGTACCTCAAGAGTCACTTATCAAATTTCCTATCTGTTCCCTAAACATATCTATTAAATAGTTTTATGATAAGGAAATAAATACCTTAAAATTATATTACATAAAGCCTTTTAAAAATGTATTTCCTCTTATATGGTCATTCTGGCTTTCCCTTTATTGGACACTTTCTCAGAATTTTTGCCCATATTTCATTGTTTCCTTCTTTCTTCCTCTTATTTTTTTAATGAATTCATTAGTTATTAAAATTTACTGGACAGGATGCAGTGGCTCACACCTATAATATTTCAGAAAATGTTAAAGTGTCTGGTGTGCTGATACCATCTCTTCTTTCTAATGCAGCATCATTAGATTTAATTTATGAGATACGGATTTAGCTTATTCTAGATCTTTTATGTTACTTTTAGAAATGTAAAAAAAGGAACTAAAGACACATATTTGTCTACAATTTTTTCCATTGTGCACACATTTTAAAAATAAGTCTTAATAATATGAAGACATGTTTTATTTCTCAAATCCATCTATCTAACCTGTAATGTTTCAACAATTATGGAAAACTGTTTTGGTTGCTCTTCATTATACTGTCTGTTTCCAATTTATCCTAAAAATTAAAACAGCAACAACAAAATAACACTATATACCTTTAGCATCAATTACTGGAAATATCATTAGAATTCTGATATTAAAATTGAAACTTAAATGTTAGCTAGCAATCAGTGACACCACGTAGAACCTGAGATCAAGAGCCATTAAATGGTCTGTGAAAGACTGTTTCGTAACAAGATGATTTATGATTTTCAATGTATAATGCACTGAAATTGCATTGTATGTGTAATGTTTAATGCAGGTTCTACAAAATAATGAGTAACTTCTGGTTATATAGAATTGAATGTATGCATTTCTCTCCACTGCTTATAAAATCCCACATTAATAGTCATAAAGGATCAAGAATGGCATCAATTCATCAGGCCAAAAATTTTTTAAAAATGAAAATATTGGAAACAAGTGGTTTACTGAATTTTTATAAGCTAGAAAGCACATGAACCAGTAGTAACTGACTTATATTACAGGAGAAAGAGTAAAGAAGAAATAAGCATAAGGGTTAAAAACTTTAAGTACCATAAACCCATAGGCAGGGATGGAGACTCAAGGATAGAGACTCAAGATTATGTAAAATTCTTTTAAGGAAGTTATTAGAAAACCAGAAATCCTTCCACAGCCCACGAAATCAGTCAAATACACTTTTGCTCTTCTTTCAGAAGATGTTTACTCTCTGGAGAGGTTAAAAGATAGATTCTGGCTTAGGGAAAAAGAGGTCCTGCTGTGGGGAGAAGTGAGGCTGAAAACAGGATTCAGTGAAAATCTTCATACTGATGATGAGCTCCTCATACAAACACAGCTTTCCTTTTCTGAACTCCTAGAACACCAGCTTATATGTACTAAACAGGAAACAGGAGGTTTTTGGAGAAACTAAGCAGCTCAAAAGAAAATACCTATAGGTATTCATATTTGGGAATTCCCCAATATAACAAGCTAGTCTGGTCACACTAAGTGAGGCCTAGCTGTCAACAAGCCTCTACAACAAACAGAGCTTCTAATTAGTTCCTCAGGATCTTTCTCTTTTTAGACAGCCACATTTCACTACATATTCAGAAAAGGTCTTGTTCTGACAGAAAAACAAAAACAATTAATAGAGAACCAAACCAAAGCAACATTACTATATTTTATATTGCCAAAGATTAGAAGATTCTAAATGCTACTAGAAACGGAGGGGGAGGATACAGATAAAGAAGCAGAATTGGAAGCTAGAAAACAGTGGAGAATAATCTTCCAATTTTGAGGGACTCAACTAATTCTCACTGAAATGTGAGACCATAATAAAAACATTTTTAGGTATAAAAATCCCCTCAAATTTACTTTCAAAGTCACCTATCTCAAAAATCCTAGGAAAGTGTACTCAATCAAAATGAGAGAATAAAATGGGAAGAGAAAATATGGGCTCTTGAAAACTGGATCTCCAACCCAAAAGAGGTAAAGGAATTCATAATATGAAATCAAGGGAAGTACAGAATGTCAGCTATACACAGCACTAGAAAGCAAATAATCCACATGAGAGGAGAAAGATTATGGTTTCTACTGATGATTTCTAAAAGAAGAAAAATGTTAGTAAATCATCAGGTATGTGTGAAAGAAAAATTGTGGGTAAGCAGGTGATTTAAAAGTTGGAAATTAAATGTATGTAAATGAAACTAACATTGTTTTCAAAGAAAGCAAATATATATTTATATATATATACCTTTAGCATCAATTATAGTAAGCATATATATATGTATATATGAAGAAATGTCTCACTACACACCTATCAAGATAACTAAGATAATACATAGTGATATGACATAGTGATGGTGAGGATACAAACTGGATTACTCCATATTGCTGACTGGAATGTAAAATGGCACAACCATTCTGGAAAACAATTTGGCAGTTTTTTAAAACACTTTGCATGCCATAATTTTGTGACTCAGCAATTACACCTCTGGCCGTTTATCCCAGATGATTAAAAACTTTCATTCACACAAAACCTGTACATGAATGTTCAAAGCAGCTTTATTCGTAATAACCAAGAAGCAGAATTGTCCTGATGTCCTTCAGAGCAAGAATGGTTAAACAAACCGTGGTCCATACATACTATAGAATAATACTCAATAATTTAAAAAATAAATTATTCATGTACACATCTGGGTGAATCTCCAGGGAATTAAGCTGAGTGATTAAAGTCAATAGAAAGGTAATATACTATATGATTCAATTTGTATAACATTTTCAAAAATGAAGGAAATTTTGTGTAGAGGACAAATTAGTCATTGTCAGAAGTTAGAGAAGGGACCAGTCAGGGGGACTAGAGAGACTAGAGAGAAGCAGGCATGGTTACAAAACAGCAACATTGACTGTGGTAATGAATTGGGAGCCTACACATATGATATAGAAAATTCTGTAGAATGTAACACTCACACACACATATAGACAAATGAGTATAAGTATAATTGGGGAAATCTGAATAAAATGGGTGGATCATCTTTAGGTGAATATACTTTTTATGATATCACACTGTTGTTTTACAAAATATTAGAATTGGGAAAAGCTGGGCAAAGCATATAATGGAACTCTCTGTTTCTTCTTAGAGCTGTATGTCATCTATAATTTTATCAATAAAATTTTCCATTTAAAAATTTAAAAATAGAAATGCAGGCATAGTTTCCTGTTAAAGTCAGCTGTGTGAAATATATCATCATAATTTAGGAGAGAGAGTGCAAAGTCATGTGAGAGCACATGTGTGTGCATGCATGCATTCACACAGAGGGAGGTGCAAGAGTTGCATAACTCTTCCTATATGTACAATATAGGATGTTAAACAATAATACATAAAACTATAATATATTTAAGATACATGTAAGCATGTTACATAAAAATATGAAAGTAAATACCACCAATGAGATTTAAAGGAGTTAAAAGTGCTTGTCCCTAGAAAAGGGGAATCTGGGCCAGAATATTGCTGTGTTGTTTTAAGCTCCATGTTATTTTAATTTTAAAATATGTACACAAATTATTGCATTTTGTTAACATTAGAAGTTAATAAATTAAAAACATAAATATTATGTAAATAGCATTGTGAAAAGGTAGAATAACAATCTAATGTTTTAAAATAAATACCTGATTAGTAAATAAATATGAATATGTGAAAATGGATTTATTACATATATGAAGCATAATCTTTCAGCAAATGCAATCTAAGTGATCAGTAAGCAATCATTTAAAATCAATAGGCTAATATTGCTTAGAGTATTACAAAAGGTTTTTTATGTATACTTGCTGGTTTCTAGACACATAGCTTTTAAAAATTCATATATAATTTACAAAGACAATTTTCTATTTGCAGATACAATATGCTTATATTATAGATAAATGTAGACCTATATAATCTACATTTATAAATACTACAGTACTCATGTGTTTTAAAGTAAAATAACCTTAAAGGCAAACAATAAACTTCAATATTATGAGGTTCAGCATGTTAGTCAGAGACATTGTTGCATTACTAGACTCGATTTTTACAAGTCCCACAGTCCTCAACTCCAGGAAAGCCATTATGGGTAATAAGTCAGGGACTATGTCTGTTTTGCTTATCATTACAGCTCCAGGAACTGTTATCTAGAACATATTATTTCCATAACAAGTATTTATTGACTACTTGATTCATTTCTATACATAAAAATACTACTTCCACTTTTGCTATAATTTTAGAAAAACCAATTTTACAAATTATTCATGTGGTATTATTTTTAAATCTTTAATCTTTTGAGTTGATTTTGAGTATGGTGTAAGATACGAGCCCAATTTCATTCTTTAGCCTGTAGATATCCAGTTTTTCTATTATCAAATATTAAACACTATCCTTTCCCCATTGTGTGTTCTTGGCACCCTTGTTAAAAATTAGCTGACTATATGGATTTTTTTTACTCTCTACTTTGTTGCATTGATCTATATGTCTGTCTTTATGTCAGTTCCATAATGTTTTAATTTCTATTGCTTTGTTATATGTTTTGAAATCAGGAAGTATGATGCCTTCAGCTTTGTTCTTCTTTCTCAAGATCATTTTGGCTATTTGGGGTCTTTTGTGGTTCTTTGTTAAATTTATATTTCTTTTTTCTATTTCTGTAAAAATGCCACGAGGATTTTGATAGAAATTGCATGGAACCTGTATGACACTTTGGGTACTTATGGACATTTTAACAATATTAAGTCCTCTGATGCATGAACATGGGTGTCTTCCATTTATTTATGTCTGTTTTGATTTATTTCATCAATACTTTGTAGTTTTCATTGCAAAAGTCTTTCACCTCCCTGAAATACTTAAGTATGTTATTCCTTTTGATGCTATTGTATATGAATTTTTAAAATTTCATTTTCATATCATTTATTATGTATGTATAGAAATACAGCTGAATTTTGTATGTTGGTTTTGTATCCTGCAACTTTACTGAATTTATTTGTTCTAAGAGTTTTTTTAATGGTGTCTTTAGGATTGTCTACATAAAAGATAATGTCATCTGCAAACAGAGGTAATTTTACTTCTTTTCCAATTCAAATGCCTTTTATTTATTTTTCTTGCCTAATTGCTCTTTCCAGGACTTCCAGTACTGTGTTGAATAGACTTTGTGAGTGTGAACTTCTTTTCTGTGTTACTGGTTTCAGAGAAAAACCTTTCCATTTTTCACAGTTGAGTATGTTAGCTGTGGGTTTTTATAAGTAACCTTTATTATGTCGAGGAAATTTCCTTTTATACCTAGTTATTGAGAGTTTTTTTAAGATCATGAAATGTACTGAATTTTGTTAAATCCCATTTCTACATCTATTCAAATGATCATGTGAGTTTTAGTCTTCGTTTTGTTAATGCGGTCCATCAAATTATAAAATTCCTAGATAGAAATATAGGGAAAATGCTTCAGGTCATTGGGCTAAGCAATAGTTTCTTGAATATGATAGTAAAAGCACAAGCAACAAAAGTAAAATTAGACAAGTGAGACAACATCAAACTAAAAACTTCTACACAGCAAATGAACAATTAACGGAGTAAAATGGCGACCTATGGATTTAGAGGACATATTTGCAAACTATATCTTATAGGGGATCGGTATCCAAAATATGCCAAGAATTCCTAAAACCCAATCACAGAAAAGAAATCACTTGATTTATAAGTGGGCAGAGGGTTTAGATAGACATTTCTCCAAAGAAGACATAGAAATGGCTACCATTTCTATGAGAAGATGCTCAACATTACTAAATGTTAGGGAAATGAAAATCAAAACTGCAATTAGATATCATCTCTCACTTGTGAAGGTGGTTATTATGTCTATCTATCTATCTATCTATCTATCTATCTATCTATCTACAAAGATAACAAGTAATAAGAATGTGAAGCCATTAGAGCTATTGTACACTATTGTTTGGAATATAAACGGATGCAGCTGCTATAGAAAACAATATGGAATGTTTCATAGCCAACTAGAATAACCAGTATTTCTAGCACTAGTGTTTGAATAACCACTATATCGCTACAGATTTCAAGTGGAAGTCTTATAGAATACTAAAGTGGAATGTTTAATTATTTTCAATAAGCACGTAGAGCACATAGAATAAAAATTAAAGACTAGTATATTGAATTTTGCCTTTTATACCAGTTTCCCCCATGGATTGCTTTCTGCCTCATATTCTATTTTATCCGATAATTATATTGGTATACCAGTGTGTATTGCTTATACTAGCTTTTCCATGGCATATTTTTACCATGTCCTTTATCCACCCTTTTGCACTGTATTATTTTGGGTGTATCACTTAAAGGGCAAACACTTACATTTATTTTCTTTTACTAATGAGAAGCTTTTTCTCTTAAAGAAATGACATTTTCTAAATAATAATAAATATCAAATTTTAATAATTATTGCTTTTGTACATCACCTTACCCTACATCACCTTTTATAATTTAAGAAAAGTTACCATATTCCCTTCATGAAAGTTGTGCCATCATTTTATCCTGTCTCCCAGGCCTTCTCCTTCTCTTCCTAATATTTCCAAGAAAATTGACAGCTATTCAGAGATTTCATCTTCAATTTCTTTCTCAGCATTCTTGAATGGATGTTATCCAGGCCAAGAGATTTACATTTTTATAGAGCAACTAAGTGCTCTCTAAAATTATCCTTTCTAAAAATCTTCTTTCTTATCTTAGACTTCATATCACTTTTACCAATGTTGAGTCAAATTTTGTTGTTTGGGGTAGCCATTCACCTTGCCAGAAAAAGCTGAAAATTTGTATAATTTTTGATGATGTGTTAGCAATGAAGCATTATCATAAAGTAAACTGAGCATTGATTTTAGCATTTCTTGTCTTATAATAAATATAATTTAAGAGACCACTATATGTCATTTAATACTTTTTCACAAGAATCATATCATGCTAGTTTTGCTTTACAAAAGTTTTCATAGCTTGCTGCCAATTTGTTATAATTACATTTAATTAGCATACTTTCTGTGTCATCTTTTATGTATTTTATTACAATACCTTCAATGACTGGCTCCTTAAATACTATTACTGTTTTTTTCTTTCTTAAGATTATTTGTGATCACCTCTTTAGAATTTTATTTCTTAAAGTAATCCATTATCATTAATATGTTTCCTATTAATTAATTCTATGTTGTCCCATAAATGAGTAAATTTCAGTAAGCATTTTGTTTTTATTTATCTCTATTAAGTTAAAGTTTTTAAAAAAACTTTTCCTGTTGAAGGCTGTTTATTCGACTAGACCAAAGTAAGCATCCTCAACAATAATAAATTTTAAGAGTTTAGATTGAATTTATGTTAGATTTTCTGTCATTTCAACTTCCCTGCCAGTTACTTTTCATTGGCTGGAATTAAGTATAGAATAATCCCTCTCATAATTCTCTCTAGCTTCTAAGAGATTAAATTGACTGTAAGGCAAGCCAAGCATTTGCCAGACTCAGCTTTTAATAGAATTAGTTCTGTGGAAAGTCTGAAAAGATTAAATCATCCTTTTTTATTATATTGTCAGTTTCTTAAACTCTATGAGCTTCTGTTTCCTTATCTGTAATACAGAGGTAGTAATATTTTCTCTTGCTTGTGTATTTTCCATTTATTTCAAAGAATAAATGAACCCAAAAATATTGAGATATTTTGAAAATCTTTAAAAATGCTTTCAACATGCTGTAAGAATTTTATTTTATGTAAGCATTTTGAAAAATAGTTTTGCTTCTTCTAGCCACAAATCACACAGGATTATGACTCCTTTTATTTATTTCATCATGTGGAACACACTTAAATAGATAGGTTATCAAACAGATAATTTGCTTTAATATCTATCATATAACTATTCACACATAATTAGACTGATTCAATAGTTAACTAATGAATACAATGAGTCAATCTAAGTAATTTATTCAGAATTTAATGCCTACTCTGCATGGTAGAAACAATATATCTCCCCAAAGATGTCCATTTCCTAATGGCCAGAAGATATGTTAGGTTACATGGCAAAGGGGAATAAAGTTGAACATGAAATTAAGGTTGATTAGGAACTGATCTTAAAGTAAGGAGATTATCCTAAATTATACAGGTAGACCCAAAGTAATCACAAGAGATCTTAAAAATGGAAGAGGAAGGTGGATGGAGGAGTTGCAGTCAGAGATACAATGTGAAAACAACTTGGCCCACTATTGCTGGCTGGAGGAAGCTGGTTGGATGGAATAAGAATACCATGGGTCAGGGAATTTGGGCAGCCTCAAGAAGCTGAAAGAGCCAGGAATTCAAGTCTCTGTTACAACCTCCAGAAGGAAGGAATGCAAGCCTTACACCACGTTTACTTGAGCCCAGTGAGAACCATTAAGATTTCTGATGTCCCAAACTGTATAATAACAAGCTTGTGTTGTTTTAAGCCACTACCTCTATGATATTTTGCTTCAGCAGTCATGGAAAACTAATACAACCAATATTAGTTTGTATTAATAGCAACACTACAAAATATCTTCTTTGAATAAAAGCACCTTGGACAACTACATAAACTGGACAAGCCTGATTGTGGGACTGTGGAAACATATTTCACTGTTGTATTATAAGTGCATTCACTTTGGTAAAATGAACAAATAGAAAAGAGGCAAAACAATTGTCTTATGTCTTTTCCAAGACAAGTATTTAAGGTGATTTCCTCCTTGGCAAATCTCTTTCTAGTTGGCATGAAGGACTTTATAGTTTATTGAAAATGCCAAACATTTAAAATTTGAACATTGAAGATAAAAAAATTCAAGACTCTTCTTGGGTTTTCACTAAGTGGATCTCTAAGGTGTATTTCTCATGAATATCACTACTACCATAATGGAAGTTATAGAGATAAGTTAGATGAAATAATAAAATAAAAATAACATGAATATTGGCATAACAATATTACATGCATAAATACTTCCACAGGCACATGAACACACACACACACACACACACACACACACACACACACACATGCGCCAAAGATAAGCTGAAGTAGTTTCATAAAAGAAAGTATTTGGTTGTATAATAACTACTAAAGTATCTCTAGGAAGTATGAGCTTAGAAAAGTCAGATAGACTTCCTTGGAAGACCAGAAAAAACTTATTTTTAGAAGAAATATTATCATTGTCTAATCAATTTACAGTTTATTGTTTCTGATATAACCTTAAGATAATCTCCTAGTGATATTTTAAAATAATTCAATGTTTTCAAATTATTTAGTCTGTCAGATGCATTTTTTAATTGATTAATATCCATATCATTTAGTAAACCATAAACTTAATAGCAGAAGGGTTCATTATTTTATCTCCAGAGCTCAGGATTTGTGGCAGGGTAAACATCAATGAATATTTGTCTAATGAATATTTTTAATTATAGAATAAGTTCTTAATATTTTTTAGATTATTTTACATTCACTGAGTGTTCCGGATAGAAAAATTTCTGCCTTTCAGAAAGCTTGTTCTATACCAAATGACAAAGAATATGAAGACTAATAGTATATAGCTTCTCTGGATGATGTCCAGGAAATACATGTCAATCATGAGAAGAAAAAGTACTTCTAGGTTATTCAAACTCGAAATTAGAGACTTCAAAATAAATTACCGGATATCCCAAGTTGTCATCTGAGGTGCAGATATCTAAGACTTCTGAGACTTTTATGGCATTAGGAACCAGTTTTGTTTCTGATGTCTTCTGTTAAAAAAAAAAGTGCTATTTTAAGATTAGTACTAGAATTTGCAATGCTATACTATATCTAGAATAAAATAAGTATTATAATAATTCAAACCAATATACAAATTCAAACTGATTTAAAAATGTTGAGGACATTAGGTTTTTATGGTATTTTCAAGGGTATTATAAATAAGTTACAACTGGAAAATTATGAATCAATGCAGTCATATTTCAACTGGATTTTATATATGCTTCTTTTTTACTCTAGAGATAGTGAATAAATGCTTCAAAATGCATATATTCAAATGCGATTTACCTATACATAGGAAATAAAAATAGTAAAAAAAAGCATGTTCACATTGTGAGATTACACAGTTTCCAACAAATTTTTTTCATTTTGAAGTATGATTAACAAAGCAAAGACTTTTCTAAATTCAAGGCAATGTACTGAGAAGCAGAATAAATCAGAAGAACAAAATAACCTAGATATTAAAAAATGAAAGAAATTATAAATAAGTTCCTAAAGTGTATTCTTATGTAATACAATATTTAAATATGTCACATATTTCCAGGACATATGTTGTGTTTCATAGTGTCAAAGCAGTCAGGGGGAGTAGTTCAAAGAGAAATAAAAATCAGAATTCTGCTTAGTAATACAATCAGTTGATTGCATTTTACACAACTCCTCTCTTTGCCTTATTTCTTGTAAGTAAATGTACAATGTCTTTTTATCAAATTTATAGCCAACTGTAACTGATAAATGCACATAAATTGTATGGATATGTCACAGGATACTTTAGGTGCCGCTTCACTAGCCAAAAACCTCTGTGGCCAGCAGCACCTTCTACCTGAGTATTTTTCACACCTGCTGTGTTCATTCCACCTACTTGGCCTGGCAGGCTGCTCTCAGCTCGTGCTACCGACCCAGATCCCACATTTACCAAGGGCACGTCAGGCGCGGAGTGGCAAGGGGCGTGTGGGTGAGTGAGTGCAGGCTCTGGCCACTGCGCACAACCAGACACACTGGCTGCTGCGGCAGAGTAGGCAGCTCCAGACACTGGCACAGGTACCAGCTCCATGTGAGGCTGAGGCTGGACCAGACGTATTCCACGTGGCTTCCACTGTGGGCACTTCCATCTGGAGGAGGGGAACATGATGCCCCCACAAGCTTGGAGACACCAGGATCCACAGAACCCTAAAGAGGGTGTCACAGCCCTGCCTCCGGGAGCCCCCAGGGCTCCCCAAAGGGCTGCAGCTCTTCTCTCCTTCTCGCCGCCTGTAATATGGCGAGTGGGGGAAGCGTGTTTCAGCCCTGTTTGTATTACAGCTCTTTTATTCCTACCATTCAGCAGGTACTCAGTTCTTGTCCTGCATCCAGGAACCATGAGATATGTGGACAACTGGAGGGTGAGCAAGGCAGAGAGGAGCTTCATTCAGTGGCAGAAGAGCTCTCAGGAGACCCCAAATGGGTAGCTCCTATGCGCGAGCAGGTTATCCTAATGTCTACAGCTCTCAGCAGAGAGGAGACCTGAAGTGGGTAGCTCCTATCCACAGGCAGGATGTGCCAATGAGTCTATTCAGCTCTCAGGTGATAGGAGACCAACAGTGGGTAGGTAGCCCCTCTCTGCAGGCAGGTCATACTGACATCTGCACAAGTCTGGCTGAGTCCAGAGATTTTTATGGGCTTTAGAAGGGAGGAAGTGTGTGCAGATTGGTCCATGGGCGGCCATGGGTGGGCCCGGAAAAGGCACCGTAAGTTCTCATTTGGATTCGCGAAACTGACAGCCTGGCCCCCAGGCCTCAGGCTATCCCTGGCCTAGAGGTGGGGTTTCACTGGGGACCTACTCCTTTTTGCCTGGGAGCCTATCTGTCTCCTGCCACCATCCACAGCTCCCAGGCTGTTTCTGCCGAGGGGCACCTGAAGGCCTACGCTGAGCCATTCTGAGTTCCCCTTAGGCTGCCTTCCCATGCACGTTGGTGCCCAAAGTCCAGAGGGGGCCAAGGTGGCAGGGATCTGGCGGGTCAACACTGCCCAGAACATGTTCACACCCAGTCTGGTTGTGACAGCACCAGGGCTTGGCCTCAAATTTGCTCTGAAACCTGAGCAAGTGCCAACAGTGGGGAGAGGCCAGTCAGCGGGAGCAGGCACTTTTGAGCCTGTGGGGAAAAAGGGGCTTCCTGGACCCTTCTGAGTGCAGAGATGCCCAGGACCACAGCCACAGCTGGGTGGATGTAACTGTTCTTGGGAAGGTGAGGCTACCACCCCTCCAACTCAGGAGGCAGGGGTCCCGCCTGCTCCTAGCTCCAACCGGCTCTGTGGAGCACGTAGCAGCAGCTTCACCACCCCAAATGCAGCCACCATCATGGCAGCAGCGACTTCAGATGGGCTGCCACTGCCCATCAATTCCCTCTCTGAAGAGGTACGTTTAACTGCTGTTAGGATAGGGACAATGACTGCTCTTAACTGCTTCATGCTGACAGGGGGCATTGTTTTGAGGAAAACGGCAGTCAGACCTTCTGTGAAAGGCCTATCTAAGGGTCCCCAGTAAGAGGGAGCCATTGTCCAAGGTTCCATTTGCATGACCATTTGGAGTTTGATGGCCTGAAGATGAAAGAGACAAACCGTGATATTAGAAGACAGGAATAAAAACAAAACAAGGGGTAAGGACAGCTCAAAAATAGTGAGGCTGCTGACACACACAGAATTAGAATATTGATTCAGATTTGTACATTACCTCTCCCTTTTGTCTCTTCTAAACTTCAGTCAGTGATCAGTGGTTAGTTCACAGGAATAAGCAAGGTTAGTCTAAAATGCAAACCAAAGATTGACAAAAAAAAATTAGTTTTTTTCTTTGCTTTACAGTAACTTAACATAGTAACCCTAATTATGATTGATAGCATGTACTCAGATATTTGACTTTTAGAACTCCCATACAATTTTGGAACATATATTAATATTATTCACTAAAATATAACCTGAAGAAGATTAAAACTCATTTTAATTTTGACCCTCTCGTGTAACTAAACATGTGAAATATTCCTGTTTTTGGATGCTCCAGTGGCCCTCCATCACATCCCAAACTTACGGGTTAGAGAAGCCAATTTCAAAGCTGAAATTTGATTTTGGGAAGCCTAGCAAATACGTTAAAGCTTTAAAACACTTGATATCATGAAATAGAATTCCAGGTTTCCATAAGACATTTATTTAGCTAAAATGATGACTCCAAAAAAACAAGGCAAAAAACCTTACTCATTGAGAGGGAAGACTTAGCTTTCTGAATAATCTTTCTCCGGTCTTTCTCTTCTTTTTTCAGCAGTTTATTCACAAGGCAAATAAAAATCTTTCATTATCCTTTAACATTACATGAAATTCTCGTTCAAGAGAAAGAAAGCCAAATTTCACCCTTGCATTAGTCTATTATTAATATCAACCCCAATTTTTCAATGAAATCCTATAGACAAATCTGTCAAATCTTAATCAGTTTGACCATGAGGTGATATTCTTATAAGTCTTTTATAACACTTAACAAATTTTTGCTAAAGAGCAGATTAGTGCCTTAAGAAACCTTTTTTGTGCTTTTATTCAAATGTTCAAATTACAGAAAAACCAAATAACAACCTTTTAAATTTACTCAATATGTTCACACACAGAATTGCTTTTACAAAATTAACATTTATGAACCTTCCACAACTTGATTAAACCTTTTACTTTATCTTATATAATTTAAAACAATCCTTTAACCCTATAAAATAGGAGAAAATTGACATTCCCATGCCTTCTTATAATCTTTTACAAAAGACACATTTTATTTTCCTTACACACCTTACATGTAAATCTATTTTTAGTAGTCTCAACAACATGTTATAATAGTAACTCTTACCAATGTTTAATTCTGGTGTAAAACCTAGAAAGTTATTTTAATTATGCCCTAGGTGCAGATGAGGTCTGACTCTTTCCAGCATAGTTAGGGGTGTGGTTAAGTTCATATGTCCCCAGGCCTTACCAAACTGTAAAGCAGGCAAGCCAAACAGTTTTCAAAAGCCAAAGAAGCAGTTTATGACCTTAAAGCATTTAGCAAACCTAGTTTCTTACCTGCATGATTTAGACTACATGTCTACATTTCTAAGACATTTTTATTTTACCAATAATTTTTAAAGCTGTTTTGAATTTTCCAAAAATTAAACTCACATTAATTAAAAGGCATTGCAGCTTTATTTTTCTTTAAAATTTGATTTAAGCATGCATTTTTTCTTAAGACAATCAATAAGAGGTCATTTTCATATAAACATCACACATATAACCCATATATAACTACACAGAGAGACAGAAAAATATTCAGTAGTTGTAAAATTTTTCATTTGCCAAAGTCTTAATTGTATTACTGGCCTCAAGGTGGAGCCCTTCAAGAAACAGGGCTAGGAAAACCTGCAGTTTATAGGTGCCTAATAATCAGGCATGGTGGAAAGACTAAAACAGGTTTTGAGAGGGATCCATCAACCTCTAATTCCTGGGGTCCAATGAGGAAAACAGGTTTTTTTTTTTTCCCAATATGGGGTCAGTGGCACCTCCTCTGTTTGTCTCAAGGAGTTCCAGGCCATCAGAATATATCTTAGGGCCTCTCATGTGTGCATTAAGAGTGGCAAGACAAAATGGAGAGAAATAATTGAGTCAACTGAGAAGAAACAAACCTTTTTTCAGAAAAACAAGGTCCATGAAGAGAAATGGTATAAAGGCCTTTTGAATAGACATACAACTTTGATATCCACATTAAGTTAAGGTGACTTTTAACCATATCACTTCTTTTTTAAGAATTCCTTTTAAATCCCTACTACCCAACCTTAGCCATGCCAAATGGCCAATACTTCTGACTTTGAACTCATGGAGGAGCAGAGAATACAGTGATTTTTACTATTCCCACAACCAGTTTGCACAAAGAGAACCCAGAAGTCTAACTGCTAAGAACTTTTACCCTTTTGCTGGCATGTCAGGCTTCTAGTTTCCCTTTCCCCTAGCGATGGATGGCCTCTTCAAGAGATTGCCAAGCAGCTTAATGTTCGGGGAAATTAAATGTTTCCCAGTTTGGGGGATGCATCTGAGGAGTGTCCTGTGGTACAGATATGTGATTCCATAAAGAGAGGACAGAAGAGGATAACAGAAAAAAGTTTTTTTTTTCTTTCTCCAGAGTCTGAGGGTCAAGAAAATTCCAATGATTAAGGATGCACTCAAGAGGAGTGAATGCTGAAGATGATTGGTTATCCATCTGGAAAGAGGGGAAAGAGGTGTCCCTTTGTTCCTTTCTGTTTCCAGCAAATACCAAAGATACATGAGGGAAAGAAATAAAGGTGTCCCCTTCTTTCTTTTAACTTTATATTCCCAAATCCTGGCGACCTTTGCAAGTGTCAACCATGGGTGCAAGTGTGACCTTCACTCATGAAGTGGGGAGGCCTAGTGGGTAGGAATATTCACACTTACTTTTATGCACTGCCCTATCCTCCCACTGTTGGGAACATTTGCATGCTAGCATGACCTCGATCCACAAATTGGGAGGGCTTAATTTTCAGGAATTAGTTATGCTCACCTGCACCATGCCCCTTTACTTCTGCCATCATCTCTCTCTGGGTCCCTCAGGTCTAGCTTTGCATTTCAGGGCTTCAACATGAAGCTTGCATTGTCTCAGGAATGTGGATGGACTCATTAAATTAAGTTTCAGGTGGCCCTCACCAAATTGCTGCCAGCAACTGGTGGGGCAGACCTTCCATTGCTTCCCTGTCATAAGCAGATGAAGCAATGGGACCAGGTCCTCCTCAAACAAGAGAATGAAAGGGAGTCCTTGGAATTGGTGACCTGACCTAATAAGGTGCTTTCCAAAAGGAAACAAACAAACAAACAAAAACCTGACCCCTCACATAGAAAATTCCTTGTATTTGCAGGACTATGCTGACTCCTGACATGGTGTAGGGAAAAAAAAAAAGAAAAACAAGAAAAAAACCTTAAGTTCAGGGGAGGGGCTTGCAGAGTGGCTTGCTTTTCAGCAGTACTCAAGGTTTGATTCAAATGTAGTATGACATAATTCCAGCAGAGTTCAAATACTTAGGTTAAGTCCTGGAAAGCCTTTATATGCCTATGAAGTTCATCTGAAAACTTGCCAAGATTCCCCCTTACTTTGCCTTAAGTCCTGTTGAGAAAAGGGTACCTGGATCTTCACTGGGCCATATTCACCAGGCATCTGTTGCAGGGGCAGGAGTGAGACTGACCTGACTAAAATGAGGATTTCTAGGTTGAGCCAAGCTTGAGAGACAACCTGGATAAGAAGGAGCAAATGGAGTTGACTCCCCCACTGGAGGTACCTCTTGGGTTTGCTTCCTTAGTGCCCTGGGATTGCCCCTTGCAGCATCTCCTTTTATGGCCACTGGAAGGCTGAATCAATACTGCATTGACAAAAGTCCGCATTACACTACAAGGCAAAGAAGGCCTGCACACATGGGACCTTAGACCATTTGCTCTTGTGTTTATGCAAAAGGTCCATTTGCAGGATGATATTGAAATTAATGATTCCTTCCTGAAGCCATGCTTCATTCCTGTGCCTCAAGGTGCTTGGCACTAAGTTGGCAACCAAGGAAATGACAATAACATTTCTGCCACAAATTTATGTAAAGATACCAAGGCACACTTTGCTTTCTCTGTGCTACTCTTAAACTTTGATTTTACACTCCTGATGGCCAAGCCAACTGCCCATTCTACCCAGTAATATCATCTCTATGATTTGCAAGAACACCCTTAACATTGTATGCAAAGAAGAGGATAGCAACCACGGCAGTCTTGAAAGAAAGAAAAAAAAGAAATTCCAATAAGAAAGACTGAAGGTCTGAGTGCTGACACCCTAATGAACTCCTGTCAGGGACTGGAGCAGGTCTAGGGGCCTTCAGGCAACACTGAGGTGTGACCTCAGCCAGATGCCCTTATTTGCCCCAGGACCTTATTCTGATCTCATACGATGGCTAGACCTCCATGAAAGGAAAATGTATTGGAAAAAGCCAACAGGCCAATCCCCGAGGGTAATGGGGGATTCACGACAATGTCCTCCCCAGCAAGCCTGTCCTCCGTGTCTTAAGTCTGGCAGCCGTGCTAGTCACTTTTAACTGGCTGACAGAGGCCCAGTATTTTTCTTTCATTTTAGCTTTTGTGGAATTTAGGGACTTTGAAAAAAACAGGATAGAAAGCAGCAAGTTTATTTTATCTACACTTTTGCAGATCCCAGATGTGCTGGCAAAAATGTCATGGGATCCTTGGGGTGTCATTTCTCTGGCCAGAAATCTTTGTGGCTGGCGGCACCTTCTGCCTGAATATTGCTTTCACTTGCTGGGTTCATTCTGCCCACTTGGCCCATGAGGCTGCGCTCAGCTTGCACTACCTACCTGGATCCCACACCTGCTAAAGGCAAGCCAGGTGTGGAACGATGAGGGGTGTGTGGTCATCAAGTACAGGGTCTGTCCTGTGCACAGCCAGATACCCTGGCTGCTGTGGTGGGGCGGGCAGCTCCAGGCTCTGGCTCTGTGAGAGGCTGCTGCTGGACCAGATGTACTGCACGTGGTTTCCACTGCAGGCACCCGCATCTGGACAAGGGGAACTTGGTGGTTCCCGGAAGCTTGGAGATGCCAGGTACCACAGAACCCCAAAGAGGATGTCACAGCCTTGACTCAGGGAGCCCCGAAGTTTGAGCTCCCCAAAGGGCTGCAGCTCTTCTTCTTCTTGTTGCCTGCAAGGTGGTGAGTGGAGTGGCTTGTTTTAGCCTGCTTGTGTTACAGCTCTTTGAGTCCTGACATTTGGCAGGTCCCAAGTTCTTGTCTGGTGTCTAGGAAGAATGAGATACATGGACAACTGCAGGGTGAGCAAGGCAGAAAGGGGCTTTATTGAGCAGCAGAACAGGTTTCAGGAGACCCGAAGTGAGGACCTCCTCTCCACAGGCAGGTCATCCCAACATCTGCCCATGTCTGGCTGAGTCCAGGATTTTTACTGGCTTCAGAAGGGAGGAAGTGGGTCCTGATTGGTCCATGGGCAACCATGGGTGGGCCTGGAAAAAACACCATAAGTTCTTATTTGGGTCTGTGGAACTGGCAGCCCAGCTCCCAGGCCTCACACTGTCCCTGGCCTGAATGTAGGGTTTCACTGGGGACTCACCCCATTTTGCTTGGGAGCCTGCATGCCTCCTGCTGCCATCCATGACATCCAGGCTATTCATGCCAAGGGGCACCTGCAGGCCCACACGGAGCCATCCTCAGTTCTCCCTCTGCCTCACTCCCATGCTCACTGATGCCCGAAGTCTGGAGGGAGCCAAGGCATCAGGGGTGTGGCATTTCCATGCTGCCCCGAGTGTGCACACATCCCTCTGAATTGTGACAGCATCTGGGTTTGGCCCCATCTTTGCTCCGAAATCAAAGCGGTTGCTGAGAGCGAGAAAAGGCCAGGCAGCAGGAGCAGACACTTCCAAGCCTGTTAGGAGGGGGCTTCCTGGACCCGCTAGAATGCAGAGATTCTCGGGTCCACGGCCACAGCTCTTTTAGTTATTCAAACCGGCTACCACTGCCATCGGATATATATATATATATATAGTTTTATATATATATATATATATATATATATATATAGTTATATATATATATAGTTATATATATATAGTTATATATATATAGTTATATATATAGTTATATATATATAGTTTTATATATATATATAGTTATATATAGTAATATATATAGTTATATATAGTAATACATATTTATATACAGTAATATATATTTATATATAGTAATATATATATATAGTAAAATTATTGGGTACATATGAAAATCAAAGGAAGTACTGCACTTATGTATGTCAAACCAGAATCAGGGAAACGAAATTCAAAATGAAAAAAAAGTCAAAATGTGCATGTAGTTTATGATATCATGTCTTTATTTTTAAATGCAGTAAAAGGAGTTTATTAAACACTTGAAGTCATTGTGTAAGGTCTTACTATACCATTCATGAAGATAAATATTCACTAAAGTGTGACCTAATGTGATGTTAATGTTTACTGTCTTTTGATAATGACTACCGATATTTTATAATGTGTATTTAGGTCTAATCTTAGTTCTATTGTTAATTAGGTGTGCAACTTGAGTATATTACCTCATGGGACTTATGTGTGAAAGGAGGATAATTTTTACCCTATACTTTTTTGTTGAAGTTGTGAGATATTTGTAAACCACCTCAAACAGAATATAGTTTAATTACATTATATGTAATATAGAAAGACACTTTATTGCTTGGATATGACTCACTCAAAATTGAATAAGATCAAGTCCATAATTGATGAAGATTTTCTAGTTCAATAATGAAGATTGTTTTTATCTAGGTTAAGGATCTTAAAACAAAAACACTATACATTGTTCCATTCCAAGAAGAAGAAAGCTCAGTAGAACTAGAGTGAAATTTACCTACATGTATATATGAATATATATATACATATATATTTATGTACACTAGCCATAAAAGTTTAAAGTTGATTTTTTGTATTCTTCTGGGTAAATACACAATGAGCCACTATTTTTGTTGATTTATAGATTTTTTAGGGAAAAATAAAAATACTTAGATTTTCCAACTCTAGCAGCCATAACAAATATTTCAATAGAAAACAGCCTTCCTTTTAAAGTAAAATAAAATAATAATATGCTGTGTGTATTGCTAGAGCAATAAACTTTACTCAGGTGCCCTTGGCCTAAACTCATTTTGAGAATTACCACATTGTTCAACACTAACATTTTGCTTTTTAACTGTCATGGTTACAAAGGTTTTTGTTATTCAGATATGAAATTCTTTTCTTTTAATACAAGAGCTTTGGCAGCTGATTCACAATTTCACATTGTTTCATGCCAATTCATTTTATTATGTGAAAATTGTTACTGTTATATGTAGTTCCCTTGGGATTTTAGAGTAAACTTGCTGTATCATATCATAGTCCATTTTTAGAATATATTACTCTTTTTTAGTTTATGGTTCATTTTAGTTCAGAGAGAAATAAAATAATATTAGAGTTTCAGGCAACACAAAGTAAAAAGATTAGCTATAGTTTTTGTTTTCCTTATAGCCTGTTATTCTGTCATGCATAAGTTTCAAATAACCAAGGTTTTTATTAAATAGTAGTGCCTAGGAATAGTTTGAGAGCAGTTTAATGAGTATTTACAGTACTTTAGATGTGTTCTTTTTATTTGCATTAATTTTATATATGCAGGTTGTCTATAAATCCTGGAAAGAGGTAAACGTACCTAATCATTATGTAGGGGTGTGTGTGCATTTATATTTATATTTTTATGGTGCCCTTAACTTCATACATTAAGAATGATATGATTTCTAAGAGGAAAAAAAAACACATGTAAATTGTTGATGATGGCTCTATCAGTCTACTAGGGCTATCATAACAAAATATCACAGTCTCGGTGGCTAAACAGTGAAAACATATTTTCTCACAGTTCTGGAGGCTAGATGCTTAATATCAAGGTCAATGTTGGTTTCTGGTGATGCCGCTCTTCCTGGCCACCTTCTCATTCTGTCCTCATGTGACCTCTTCTCTGTGTGCTCACTGATATAGTTAATACAGCAGTTGTTCAAAAGAGGTAGGTTCACTTGAACAAAATTTTGACTTAGCACAATTAAGTTACTTGCCAAAGATAAGTGATAGTGAAATGATTTAAATCTTGATTGATTAATTAAAATTTTAGTTGTATGTTTGTTACATCATGCTGGTTCTCAGTGTAATGATTTAAGTTTTGATTGATTGATTAAAATTTTAGTTGTATGTTTGTTACATCATGCTGATTCTCTTAGTTTGATTTGTTTGTTTCAGGAAGCTGACAGAAAAATTGTTAATTTTGATAATTTATAAGTATATTACTTGCATTTTTTCTGTAAAATTTTTGCACAATTTATCATTTTGCTTGAATTTCACAGGGTAAACAAATATGTAAATACATAAGTATATAAAGAAGTTAATATGACCTTAACACTAAAACTAATTTCTTAACAGGGAAATAATTTCATTATAGCCTATTTGTTATTTCAAGGAGAATTGATTATATAATTCCATTCTCATTAGATAATAAGACACTCAAAATGACTTATAGGCACAAGTAATTACTGCTTTATTACTGAGGAAAATTTACAACTAGTAGAAAATTCAGTTAAACTATTTGAAAAAGCTATGATAAATGAAGTGTATGAATCTAAATTTATACATAACAGAATTACCTTCTATGTTCCTATCTTATATTTACACAATGGAATCCTATGGCAGCCATAAAAATGAACAAAAACATGTCCTTTGGAGCAACATGGATGCAGCTGGAGGCCACAATTCTAAGGGAATTAACACAGGGACGGAAAGCCAAATACCACATGTTTTCATAAGTGGGAGCTAAATATGGAGCATACACGGTCATAAACATGGGAACAGCAGATACTGCAGACTACTGGGTTGGGGAGGGAGGAAAGGGGGCATAGTCTAAAAAACTGCTTATTAGGTACTATGTTCACTATCTGGATGATAGGATACATTCTCAAAACCTCTGCATGGTGCAATATAACCATGTAACAAACCTGCGCATATACCTGCTGTATCTAAAATAAAATTTAAGGTTTAAAAAAGAAAGAAAAGAAAAATTAAAGTTTACCTTGGGAAATAGGAAGTTAAGAATACAATCCATTTGCAAAGACCCAGGGATATGAGAAAGCAAAAATACTAAGAGATTAAACTATAATAAGTGTTATATGATTTCACAATAAATGGTAAGGTAGGAATGGGCAGAGTTGGCACAAGGGAGATGACAGTCGCTAATGTTTCTCTAGTACTAAGCCCCAGACCTTTCTTCTAAACCTTTTATATTAATTGTCTCAGTCATTTCTCAGAACAACCCTGGGGATTGTGTCGACATATTACAGTTAGGAAGATCACTGCACTGGAGCTAGATTGCCATACTTATTATCAAGGTAACCATGGTTACTCTCTGAATGCCTTCATTTCCTTCTCTGTAAAATGGGAATAATGCTAGCATATCTCTTTACCATTTGATTGTGAGGATTACATGAATTTACAGATAGGAAGCACTTCGAGTAGTGCCTGGCAAATAATAGACACATTATATGGTAATCACGTTTTAATTATTTATAATATATTTTCTGCCCTTTATATTTGTAGAAACAGCCAGTGGTATTTTAAAAAGACAAGTCAGAGCATGCCAATACTATACTCAAAAGCCCAGATGGCATTCTTGGCACACATAGAGGAAAAGCCAAATTCTGGGCCTTTAAAACATACCTCAGTGGTTACTATCCTCCCCTTTCCCCATCCACAAGAGACTCATTGGCCACCTAGCGTTTTGTTAAACATTCCACTTTACACACTTAACACTCACTATTTCCTCTAACCAAAAACTTCCTACAGGTATAATCTCAACTTGCACCTTCATTACTTGCAGGCTTTTTATGAAAGAGTATTTTTCTGACCACTTTAAATAAAACAACAAAGCCTCACCAGATGGGGGGTGGGGGGAATTTCAACTAGATTAATCCAACTTTATGATAGATCAGTGATTTTTTATTTGAGGCTTTAGATCTTCTTTTACCCTTAGGAACTGGAAAGAGCACAAATACATGAAATAACAGTTTTCGGAAGTTGGAAAACAGGCAGCACAGTATTGTGATTCCTAAAGAAATTAAATAATTAAAATGAGAAGTAAGATTAACATTGCTGACTGCCCAGAGTTAATTTCCAAACTGAGGGCCAGGGAAGGAAAACTCAATCAGAATTTAGCAGACTTTTTAAGTAGAGAAGACAGAGGCCAGAGTCTGGGGAGGCCAAAGTGGTTGGAAATTGAGAGGAAGAGTAACAAAGAGGAGGGAACTATGTAGAGAAAAAAAATCCAGAGATTTGCACAGGGTTATCCTTAAGTTGTTTCCAATAAATGACTAGTGGGTGAAACGCTATTCATTTGTGTAAAAAAATCATAGAATTATAAGTTTAAGAATTCCAGAAATTCATACAGGATAGGAGAAGTTTGAGTCCCAACCAGCCAGTGATTTCAACCCTACAGACAGTCAATAGCATTACCAGTAAGGACATGCCTTATTAATAGGATGGAACCATTCACTAAATGTAGGATACTTTAAACCATCTTATCATAGCTTTAGTAGGCCTATGAGACTAACCCACATGAAACTTAACCGCCTGCCATGAAAGAAAATATCACTAATTAAATGAAGACAAGATTCAAACCAAAAACAACATAACATTCATAAAATCTGTACTCTTTTTCTTGGACTGCCATAACAAAATGCCAAAGACTGATTGGTTTAAACAACAATGATTTCCTCAAGAGTTGTTGAGGCTAGAAGTTCATGAGCAAGATAGCAGCAAATTAGGTTTCAGACAAGGGCCTTCTTCCTGGCTTGTAGTGTTGACGGAAATTAAGGAACTGGAGAGATTGAATGGAGTGCAGGAAAGTGTTTATTTAAGGGGTACATCAGCTTAGTGGACACGTGTTTTGAAAATTTGAGCTTAGAATAAAGAAAACGAGTTTTTTTAAAGAATTTTGAGGCAGGCATTATGTGAAGTAGGAAGCAGCTTTATAGAAGTGAGAATAAAGGCTGCTGTGATATTTTGGCAATATGTCTTATATTTCCGGGAAAATTTGGTTTGCCGCTTATGCTTATTTGTTTTGTGACCTTGGAACCCGAGGGAAGAAAGAAATAGGAGTTTACAATATGTATGGAGGGCAGATATGGTTAATGTTTTTTTGGGAGAGACAGTTAATATGTTTTTTAACTTTAATTTTGGGGGGGGCTATTTAAATTTTTTAGCCTTGGTTAATATAGCAGTTTATTTTATGAGCTATTGTTACTTTTTTATTGTAATTATAATTATTATTTATGCTATTATTTTGTTATATTTTTTTAATTTTTTACTTCAGTAGATGGCTATCTTCTTGCTGTGTCCTCACATGCACTTTCCTTGTTGCATCATGCAAGGGGAGCAAGGGAACTCTCTGGTGTCTTTTTGTCTTCCTGTGATGATACCAATCCTGTCAGATTAGGGACTCACCCTTACGGCTTCATTTAATCTTAATAATGTTCCAAAAGTCTTTAGCTGAAAATAATATAGTATTGAGGGTTAGGCCTTCAACATATGAATTTCGGGGAGACAAAATTTAGTCCAGTCCATAGCAATACCCAATATCCAATAACCTGTGTCAAGATATGCCAAGATGGAGGAATATGTAACTTATTATAAGTGGCAAATATTGATAAATAACACCCCAAAATGTCAGACACAATGTAAATAACAGACAAAAATGTTTAAAGGGCTACTTACATGAATTTAAAGGAAAATATAAACAAAATGAAGAGTTAGAAGCTAATAAAAACTAAATGGAACTCCTAGATATGAATATAATATATTAAATACTGTCTGAAATAATTTTATTTGGTGAGAGTAACAGAAGATTATACACTTCTGATAAAACTTTGAATATAGCAAAATAAATCATCCAAAGGGGGAAGCACAGAGGGAAGACAATTGTCACAGAGAGAGAAAGAGGGAGAGAGAAAGGAAGGAAGGGAGGAAGGAAGGGAAGGAGGGAGGTAGGGAAGGTGTGGACTAGGGACAATAAAATTTGATCTAACATACATGTATTAATAATTAGAGTCCTAATATAAAATAAAAGGGAGGGCGGGCAGAAAAAAAATATTTCAAGATAGAAATAACAGTGTTTTCTAAAATGGATAAAAATTATGAATTAGTACTTCCAAGAAGCTAAATCATCTCAAGGATGAAAAATGAAGAAATATACCCCCAAAAAGCTAATAATATTTAAATAGCTAAAAAATACTGCTAAAGAAACAATATTAAAAGTGGGAAAAACAAAAAGATAAATTATATACAATGGAATGAAGATGAGCATTACTGTATACATTTCTTTAGATGCTATGCAAGCAAGAAAAGGACAATATAAATAAAGTGCTCAAAAAAGGGGGAAAAAGTCAAGTAAGAATTTCAAATTCAATAAAACTCTTCAAAAATGAAGGTAAAATAAAAACTTATTTTTGGACAAATAAAAACTGTAGAATATGTTAATAGGATTGCATTATAAAAATTGCTGAGGAATATTTCTCAAGCATATAAGTAATAAGTTAGATGGAAACATACACCTATGCAAGTAAAAATGGTAACATAAAAATGGCAATAATGTTAAAATTATAAACTTTCTATTATACGTAAACTCCTTAAATTCAATGATATTCTTCCTTAAGAAGCTTTACAAACAAGAGCAAATTAAACCCAGGATGAGTATAAGAAATAAAACATAAATAAAAATAACTGTGAAAAATCAATAAAAAAGAAAATGGACAAGCAATAGAGAAAAACTAATAAAAGCAAACATCCCTTTTCTGAAAAATCAATAAAACTGATAAATGTTAGCTGTGTTGATTAAAACAATGTAAAAAGAATGAGGAAATTCACAAATGTCAGAATTGGAACAGAGAACATAACTACAAACCCCATAATGATAGTAAATGAATAATAAGTAACTGTCGTGAACAACTTTATGCCAACAAATTTGACAGCATAAGGTAGAAACTAATCTTGAAAGACACATGTTACCATAATCAATTCTAGAAAAAATAGAAAATCTTATTCACCTTCTATTTTAAGTGATTTTACTTTGTAATGAAAAATCTTCTTACACAGAAAAGTCAGGTTAGTTCCATCAAAAAATTAAAGAGTAATTCCAAAATAGTACAAACTATTTCACAAAATAAAAGGGAGATAACACATGTCAACACAGTTTATGAGGCTACATTTACACTGATATTCAAATTTAACAGAGACATCATAGAAAAACTAAAATGTAGAAGCAAAATTCCTTAAAAAATATTAGTAAGTTATATCCAGTAATGTTTAAAAGGGCTAATGCACCACATAAACGCTATCATAGGAAGGTAAAGTTGGTTTAACACTTTAACTTAATTGAAACATTTACACAAAGTTTAAGTTTTGGTATTTATTAATTAAAACTTTTAGTAAACAAAACGGTATCAAACTCAGTCTGATAAAGGGCATTTCTAATCATATAACTTACATCATACTTTATGATGAAGGACTGAATATTTTCTGTGATTGATTGGTAAAAAAGGCAACCATATCAGCTCTTAATCTTCCTGTTCAACACTGTATTGGAGGTCCTAATCAGAAATAAAAGGCATATATTACTATTTCAGCATTAAAAAATTAAAACTGTCTTTACTTTCAGATAACCTGATCACATACATAGGAAATCCTTAAAAAATGCAAAGATGACTCTAGAACTAATAAATGAGTTAATTAAGGTCACAAAATATGGATCATTTAGTACATTTATATGTTAACAATTAATAGTTTTATATTGAAATGTAAAAATTGCTATTTTCAATAGCATCACAAAACATGACATATTTGGAATAAACGTTTAAAATATTTGTGTAAAACCTGGACACATAAAACTATATAGCATCGATGACTACAATTATATACCAAGTATAGAAATTGGAAAACAACAGTACTAAGATATCAGTTCTCCAAATATTGATTTACATATTCTACATTATTCAAATCAAAGTCTCAGCAGGTGTTTTTATAGAAACTGACAGGGAAACTCTGAAGGTATGGAGAGATGCCCAAGAGAGAGATCAGAATTGGGCAACTTCTATTACCCAATTGCAAAGCTTAATATAACACAGTAATCCAGACATCATAGTATTCACATAAGAGCAAATATACAGATTAATGAAACAGAATAAAGAATGAGTGTATAGATAGATATTTATATAGCAATATCTATAGGTGTATAGTTTGTGTGTGTATTCAATTTGTTGTTGACAAAGGTGCCAAGGCAGCCTGTAAGATGGCCCACAGTGATCCCTGATTCTTGGTATTCACAGCTTTCTGTAATCTCCTGAGTTTGTGTAATTTCTTTCTAACCAACAGAAATTGGCAACATTAACCAGGCATGGTGGCTCACACCTGTAATCTCAACACTTTGGGATGCTGAGGTGGGTGGATTGATTGAGCCCAAGAGTTTAAGACCAGCCTGGGTAACAAAGGGAGGCCCCGGTCTCTAGAAAAATAAAAATAAAAACAGAAAAATAGCTGGGCATGGTATTCACGCCTATGGTCCCAGCCACTTGGAAGTTTGAAGTGGGAGGATTACTTGGGAAGTGGAGATTAAGGCTACAGTGAGCTGTGATGGCATGACTGCACTCTGGCTGGAGTGACAGAACAACACCTTGTCTCGGAAAGAAAGCGAAGAGAAGGGAAGGGAAGGGAAGTGGAGGGAAGAGAAGGGGAGGGAAGGGGAGGGAGAAGGAGAGAAGAGAAAGAAGGGAGAGGGGAGCAAGGGAGGAAGAGAGAGTGGGAGGGAGGAAGGAAGAAAGGAAGGAAGGAAGGGATGGAAAAAGGGAGGAAGGGAAGGAAGAAGGGAAAGAAAGAAAGAAAGAGAAAGAAAGAAAGAAGGAAAGAAGGAAGGAGGGAAGGGAGGGAGGGAAAGAAAAGAAAGAAAGAAAAAAGAGAAGAAAAAAGGAAGGAAGGAAGGGAGGGGAAGGAAGGGAGGAAGAGAAAGAAAGAAAAGAAAGAAAAAAGAAAGAAAGAGAAAGAAGAAAAAGAAAGAAGAGAGAAAGAAAGAAAAGAGAAAGAAAGAGAGAAAGAAAGAAAGACAGACAAGTAGGCAGTGTTGAGGGAATGTCACTTTCATGTTTATGTTACAAAAGATTATGACTCTCATCTTGCTAACACTCTCTCTCTCTCACTGGTTTTGATTCAGCATGCTGTTGTGTAGGAGAGGCTCCCATTGTAAGAAACTCAGGTGAGCCTCTGACCAACAGCCAGCAAGGAATTTGAGTTCTCAGTTCAATAATGTGCAAGGAACTGAATCCTGCCAACAACCATATGTGTGAGCTAAGGAGTGAATCTTTTCACAGTTGAGCATTGAGGCGAGAGCATCCCTAGACAACCCCCTTATTTCAGTCTTGTGAGAAACAATGAATCAAGATACCCAGCTAAGTTATTCCCAGTTCCCGACCTACAGAAATTGCAAGAAATTAAATGTGTGCTGCCTTAAAGAATTACATTTTGGAAAACTATGAGAAAGAATTGCAAGAAATTACAAGTAAAGCCCTCTTCCCTTGTGCTCCCTTCTAGTCACTCCCATGAAAGAATAACCACTCTCAAAATTTCTAATTGCATAAGCAAATTTCACATTTTTTTACTTTTGTATTTCATATAAACAGATTATACATTGTATAAATTTATTTTTGCCTGGCTTATTGCATTCAAAATTATGTTTAGGAAATATGTCCTTAATAATTTATAATAAAAGTCATTCATATTCATCGGTGTATAATTATCTATTGTGTACACAGAACACATATTATTGATTAATTTGAATCATAATGGGACTTTAAATAGCTTACAGTTTTTTTTAATTTTTAACTTTGAAAACGGTGATGCTATGAATATATTTAGTCCATATCATTTGATGAACAAGTATACTCATTTCTTTTTAGGTGTATTCTTTGGATGGCAATTGCTGGGATATAGAATACGCATTTACCTTTAGTAAATATGGCCACTTATAGTTCACTGATAGACACAGTAATTGTTTTGTACTCTGAGAAGATAATGCTATTGAAAAGAAAACAGACATTTTTGCCTGTAAATATTCAAATTTTATTTAGTAAATATTTCAATGAATAAGATGCCTAGGTTTTGTTTTGTTTAAATATACGTGAGGTACCATGCTACTGAGAAATTGTACTCTTGGGCACTTATACAAGAAAAATGACCACACATGTTCACATAAACATGACCAAATATTTAGTCATTAAATATGAAAATATGACTCATTTTAGTCATAGTACTATAAGTTAATCCGTTGGAATATATATATTCCAATATATATAATCACAAGTACAACTAACCATAGTGTACTTACTCCTTAGCACATAAGCTATATATATTTATAAGGAATAAGTACAGTATAGTTAACCAGACTTGATTCATAAACCTAACCATAAAGAAAGGAAAAGGGGAAGGGTAGCCATATACTTTGATTACCATTCCCCAAAATGGTAGGAGAGTAGATTGCTAATTGTAGAGAGAAGAGATACGGGATGACTAAGAAAAGACATGTACACTACAACTAGATTAGAAGATTTACACAATTTTCTTCATTTTCAAAATTATATGAGCATAAAGTTCTCTGTTCTTGAAGACATTTATGCAGCCAAAAAACACATGAAAAAATGCTCATCATCACTGGCCATCAGAGAAATGCAAATCAAAACCACAGTGAGATACCATCTCACACCAGTTAGAATGGCAATTATTAAAAAGTCAGGAAACAACAGGTGCTGGAGAGGATGTGGAGAAATAGGAACTCTTTTACGCTGTTGGTGGGACTGTAAACTAGTTCAACCATTGTGGAAGTCAGTGTGGCGATTCCTCAGGGATCGCCTGAGAAACCCAAATACTATTTTGGTTTCCAGAACTAGAAATACCATTTGACCCAGCTGTCTCATTACTGGGTATATACCCAAAAGACTATAAATCATGCTGCTATAAAGACACATGCACACGTATGTTTACTGCGGCACTGTTCACAATAGCAAAGACTTGGAACCAACCCAAATGTCCAACAATGATAGACTGGATTAAGAAAATGTGGCACATATACACTATGGAATACTATGCAGCCATAAAAAATGATGAGTTCATGTCCTTTGTAGGGACATGGATGAAATTGGAAATCATCATTCTCAGTAAACTATTGCAAGGACAAAAAACCAAACACCGCATGTTCTCACTCATAGGTGGGAATTGAACAGTGAGAACACATGGACACAGGAGGGGGAACATCACTCTCTGGGGACTGTTGTGGGGTAGGGGGGTGGGGGAGGGATAGCATTAGGAGATATACCTAATGCTAAATGACGAGTTAATGGGTGCAGCACACCAGCATGGCACATGTATACATATGTAACTAACCTGCACATTGTGCACATGTACCCTAAAACTTAAAGTATAATAATAATAAAATAAAATTTAAAAAAGTTCTGTGTTCTTGAATGTCCCCTTTGATTTAGTGATAGCATGGAACCAATGTTAGTACATTTATGTAATATTTTACTGAATTCTATCTTTAAACTTTTAGAATCTCTTAATTCCTTGGACATTTTTATACAACAGATGCAATGCCATATAATTTAGGTTCACAGTTATTTGGTAAGAAAGTCAAATATCAATCATTGCTAACACATTGTTAGCTTAAGAGGAAGAGGTATAAATACCTCAAACACATTTCCCTCTGGAAGAAAAATAACAGGGAACTGTAATTAAACACAAAAACGTGTTCAGTTGAACTTCAGTTTTGTTCATAAGCATAACTTCTAAGCTCCATTTGCTTTTTTTTTTTCTTTTAACATGATGGTATTTCTGTGGAAAGTATTAGAAGCTTACCCATACTAAAAGAGAGTCACTGAAGATAGCAGAGGATACCAGGAGCAAAAAAAAAATTGAATTCAGAGATTATTCAGTAATATATTTTTAACCATTTGCAGGTTTCTAAGCATCAACTATATTTCTCCTGTTTATACTAATTTCGTCCCAGCCTTTCAAACTACTAAAATAGGGATCCTAGATCCATAGCAATGATAATTTTATAAGTATCATTATATTCTATCAGCAATCCAGGTTTTCTCAAACTTGAAATGTGACAACAAATGGAATATTTTACAAAACTTTGTGAAAAGCTTTTCTTAACACTTAAGAAACACTTAGCACATAAAAATAAGAAAATTTAAAATTTGTTCAAAAGATTAAAAACATTAGTAAAAAACAGTACTGAATTGACCTGGTTATTTTTAGCTTTAAATTCAACTCCATGTTCTTAAAAAATAAAAGGATTCAATTTATAAAGTTTAACTTAAAATAAAGTGCAAAATTCACAGATAAAGAAAACAACTATTTGAAACTATAGTAGTCTTCCCTTATCTGTAGTTTCACTTTCCAAGGTTGCAGTTACCCATGGTCAAGTGTGGTCCAAAATATTAAACGGAAAATTCCAGAAATGAACAATTCATAACTTTCAGGTTTCACATCATTTTGCATCATCCTGCTCCATCTTGTCCAGGAGTGCATCATTCTACTCTCCAGCATATCTATGCTATATACACTACCTGTCCATTTAACACTTAGTAGCTGTCTTGGTTATCAGATTCAAACAACAACAGCAACATAATATATATAGGGTTTGGTACTCTTAAGTTTCAGGCATCCTATGCAGTCTTGGAATGTGAGTCTGTGAATAAGAGGGGACTACTGTGAGTAAGAGGGGACTACTGTAAACTCCACACATAACTACTGATTGGCCAATATATGATAGATGTAAAACATAAAAGGAAACCTTCAATCTCTGTTTTATAAAAATACTAATATTCCCCTAGGACTATTTATTTAATTTACTTTCATTTTAAAAGTAAAGCAGAGGGGATAATATTGTTAAAATCCAAAAACAGTCCAATTTCTTTGGAAAATTGGAAATATGTAATTATAAAGTGGGCTAAATCAATTTATCAGAGAAGTTTAGATGTTCCCAGTAGGATGAATATTTAGCTTCTCTCCAAAAAGTCTCTCATTACTGTGTGTCATTTAAATAAGCTTGTGAATGTAGTTATGCTGTAGCCACTGATTTGCAGTTTAGCTTTTGGAAAGTTAGTGTTTTTGCTGTTTTATAAAAAAAGAACCTGTGCAATTATATTTTATATGCTTTAGTATGGCTTTTACATTTTTGTCTAGAAACACCCCTAACACAAAGAACATGGTTAATAATATTTTGAATGAATAAATAATAAGAGTATAACTCACCTCTGTGACAAGGTAGAAGACCAACCCCCAAATTACCAATAAGCAAAACTTAATTTATCTGAAGCATAATTTGGATCCCCTAAGTGTGCAAACAATATTTATCTAACTTATTAAAGTTCATTGATATCAACTTTTTCTAACAAAGAAAAAGCTAAATACTTTTAAATTTTTTTGAGACAGAGCCAACTGAATTGGAATTCAAGAAAAACAGAGATCTGAAGAATAAAAACTTTTTGGCATATATATATAACTGTTCACAGTATTTCCTTATATATTTTTTTCATTTCTGTAAGGTAAGGAGTAATAACCTCCATTACATTTTTTATTTTAGTAATTTGAATCTTCTTGGTGTTTTTCTGAATCAGTCTAGCTAAGATTTTGTCAATTTTATTGATCTTTTTAAAGAACCAACAGTTGGTATTGTTGATTTTCTTTCTTATTCTTCTGTACTCTATTTTATCAATTATCACACTAATTATTATTTCCCTCATTCTGCTTGCTTTGTGTTTAGTTTTCTTTTTCGAGTATCATAACGTGGAAGTTTAAGTCATTGACTCAAGATTTTCTTTTAATGTGGGTGTTTATAGCTACAAATTTCCCTCTACACACTGTTTTGGTTGCAATTCATTAGTTTTTGTATATTGTGTGTCCATTTTCATTCATCTTAAAGTATTTTCTAATTTCTCTTGTGATTTCTTCTTTGAGTCTTTGATTATCTAGAAATATCTTGCTTAATTTCCAGATATTTGTAAATTTCCCAAATTTCCTTCTGTTATTCATTTCAATTTCACTTCATTGAGATCCAAGAATATACTTTGTATGACAAGAAACTTTTGAAATTTATTTTGGCTTGTTTTATGGTCTAGCCTATGGACTACCCAGGAGAATGTTCTATGTGTACTTGTAAAGTATATGTGTTTTGCCATTGTTAAATGGAGTGTTCGATAGATTTCTGTTAGGCCCTATATTACTTCCCCGGGGCTTCCATTAAAACCTACCACAAACTTGGTGGCATAAAGCAACAGAAATTTATTTTTTCATAGTTACGGAGGCTACAAGTCTGAAATAAAGCTGGGTCATGCTTTCTTGGAGTTTCTAGGAAGATTCTGTTTTATGTTCTTCTCAGCTTCTGGTGTTGCTGGCAATTCTTAGTGTTTCTTGGCTTGCAGCTGTGTAACTCCAACCTCATTCTCCATTGTCACTTGGCATTCTCACTGTAAATACTTGTCTGTGTACAAATTTCTCTCCTCCTATATTGAGAATCCATCATATTGGATTCAGGCCCACCCTAATGACCTCACGTCTACTTAATTACCTCTGCAAAGATCTTCTTTCCAAAAATTTTTATATTCATAGATTTGGGAGTTAGGTCTTAAACATATATTTTAGGGGTACACCATTCAAGCAATAACACTTACTATTGTGTTTTACTTATTTATTTTTTATATTTTCTGTTTCCTACTAGAAATAAGCCCTTTGAATGTAAGACATTGGTCTTGTTTCATTAATTACTTAAACCTCTGTGCTTAAAGCAACAACTGGACAAAACTGGTGTTCAGATAATATATTTAGTGAAAGAATGAATAAATGGCTGCCTTCTCTTTTATGCCAACCTCCATCTCAACCTAAATATTTGTGCTCAAAAGCTTATACAATGATGCTTTACCCAGACTACAGCTGTGCCTTAATTAGTGCTAGTTTCTTCATTGCTATTAAAATTATCTCATTATCTCATCTTTTTTCTATGTAAATGTTGATTATTCAGTAATAATATGAGTTCTATCTTTTTTAGGATGTTTTCAAACTCAGAAACCTGACAGTCTAGAATAGAACAACCAAATTTACCTTCTATTTTTATTAATTATACTGTTAGCTCATTTTTAAAATTTTCTATGTTGACTGAAATTTAGTTTAGCCTAAGTTCTGCATATGCATCACTTTAATAACTGAGGTTATTATAACAGTTGAATATATATGATATGGATCCAAATGTATTGAAATAAATTTTGGCTGCGTGCTTCACATTGTTATTTTCAAGCTGAAATTATAATTCTGGCAAATGTACCTAAGACTATGTACAGCTTCCTACTTGAAATATAGATTAATATAAGCCAGAATTGTTACTATCTAATACAATTTTTGAAATTCAGGGTTCATAAACAACCAATCCTGGCTACTCTAATATCCTCTAAAATATTTTATTTGTTTAGGTGTTTTGTAAATTCTCATTCTGATAGGCCAGACAAGTTGAATTTGAAACTGGCTTAATTGCTGTATAGAATTGATATTTATGGTTTCTTTTGAATAAACAAAGAAATTGACCCTCTCAGTCTTTAATTTAAGAAATAGCTACATTTGTCTTATTTGAGTTCATTTCTCAGTAAACTAACAATCAGGCCTCCTAGATAATACCACGAACTGAAATTTGCCAGATCACCCCATCTAGACAATGAGACACCAGACCTGTCACCTATCATTGTTGCCACACCAACCACCTGCTTCCTGTTGTCCAACTCCTCTTCTTTATCCTTCCCTAATTCCTGTTTACCCATGTATAGTTACCTTCCTTCCCCACTATATAAACCCTCAATTTTAGTAAGTCAGGGAAATGGATTTGAGACTGATCTCCCATCTAATTGGTTGCAGCACTTGATTAAATCATTCTTCCCCAACAATACCCATTGTCTCAGTAATTGGCTTTCTGTGTGGTGAGCAGCAGAACCTAGACCAAACACCTAGTGTTATGGTTACAAAGTGACTAATAAATTATTATTATTAAATGAAAATATTATCAGACTCCCCAATGTTCAAAATATGCAAAAACTGATTATTTAGGTTTTAAAACATCATATTAAATTATGTTACAATAGTAATGACACAAATTTCCTAAGATAATAAATTTTAGGGATGCAGTGGTTCATGCATATAATCCCAGAAATTTGGGAGGCCCAGTTGGTTGGATCACATGAGCCTAGGACTTCAAGACCAGCCTGGACAACATGGAGAAACATCATCTCTACAAAAAAAAATTTAAAAATTAGCCAGGTGTGGTGGCATGCACCAGTAGTCCCAACTTTTTGGGAGGCTGAGGTTGGAGTATCCCTTGATCTCAGGAGGCCAAGGCTACAGTAAACCATGATCACACTGCTGCACTTCAGCCTGGGCAATAGTGCGAGATCCTGTTTAAAAAAAAAAAGAATAAATAAAGAGAGAGAGAAATAATGAATTTTGGCAATGTGCTTTTATATTACATCACTTAATACAGTGTCTTATATTTATAAATTATACATATAAGTACATATATATGAGTTTAAATGTGTAGGAATGTAGTTTATTTTTTGTAATATTTTGTAGAATGTTTGGTGAATATTTAATGTAATTATTTTAGTAAATGATCAGGAGAAAATTAGCTGTAATCATTTCAAAATGTTTAATATACTTCATTGCTGGCACACGTGTATTTGTTTTCTTATTTCAATTTAATACCAATCATTAAAATTTGGATGTTATTTATAAGCTTGCTTCATCTATTTCTTTTGTCTGTTGGCTGTCTTGTTTTCTTTTATGAGGTGCATTATATATTGTATATGATAATACACATTAAATTGGGCAATGCATGCTATGTTGATGCCCTTGAACCTTACTGTTGAACCTGATAAACTAGATTAATACTGTAGCGAAAATTCATTCTAAGCCCAATGAGAAGAAATGATCTGTACAATGCATAAAACATTTTTTCATGAATTACCCTTAAAGAAATATGTTATGTATCGGTTTATATGTGTGTCTTCTTTAACATCTAACAGTTTCACAGCTCATTTGTTGTTTGATACAGGGGGATAATGGACAACAATAATTTAAGAATTGGCATGTCTTGACAAGGTATGTTTGAAATGGTTTACAGATTTATGCCTTGGTGAAGGCACCATTTAAAAACACATTGTTTTCTAAGATATTTCTGAGTTTGCCAGTAAAAACAATACCACTCCCTTATAGAATCACATCATCTATATAATCCTATTCACTTATGCTCTTAAACCTTGAGTTATGGGCTTCCTCTTACATACTGGAGTTGTTGAAGGAAAGTATCAGTGTCTATATTGTCTTTATTCCAAAAATATTAAATATAATTATTATAGTAAGCTTTAAATTATTAAATGCTAAATTGTGTTTATGAATACTAATTTTGACCAATTTTAAATATAGAAAAGAACATACATAAAGAGGGGCATTACATAATAACAAAAGGCTAAATTATCTAAGGAAATGTGGGAAAAAAAAAG
The DNA here is from genome assembly GCF_000001405.40 of Homo sapiens. Classification (NCBI taxonomy): domain Eukaryota; kingdom Metazoa; phylum Chordata; class Mammalia; order Primates; family Hominidae; genus Homo; species Homo sapiens. The sequence goes on from NC_000002.12 coordinate 184,549,143, forward strand.
AAAAACTTAACTATGTGTGTACCCAACAATACAGAGAGTCAAATACATGAGGCACGACTGATAAAAAATGGATTTATAGACAACTCTACTATTATAGCTGAAAGCTTCAACATTTCTTTGTCAGTAAGGAAATGACCAAGAAGTCAGAAAATCAATAAAGATGTAGTTGACCACAATAGCATTCAACTTGATCTAATTGACATTTATTGAATACTCCATGTAGCAACAGAATGCACATTTTTCGCAAGCTTACCTAGAATATTCACTAACATAGACTACATTCTGCTCCAAAGCACACCTTAATACATTTAAAAGAATAGAAATAATACAATATGCATTCTCAGATTACAGGAATTAAACTGAAATCAAAACTAGAAAGAGAGCTAGAAAATCCCTAAATATTTGCAAATTAAGAATGCCTTCTAAATAATCCATAGGCCAAATGAAAAATTTTAAAATAAGTTTTAGAATATTTTGAACTAAATATAACTGAAAGTATAGCTTATCAAAATTTATGAAATACAGTGAAAGGAATGGTTAAAAGGCAATTTACAGTATGGAATGCATAGATTAGCATAAAAGAATAGTGTTAGTGTCCTAAATGTCCTTCTCTACATATTCTTCTCAGAAAACAAGAGAAAGGAGAGCAGCATAGGCATAAAGAAAGCAAAATAGAATAAATAATAAAAGTTATAGCAAAAATAAATGCATCAAAAATCCATAAAAAATGGAGAATTTCAATGAAACGAAAATCTAAGGTTTTGAAAAGATTAATCAAATTGATAGACCTCTAGCCAGGCTAACAAAAAAAAAATAGAGAAGATAACACATTTCCAATATCTGAAATGAAAGACGGGCATCACTATTGATCCCATGAAATTTAGAAGTATAATAGATGAATATTATTAAAACTACGTGAGGCCACAAATTTGACCACTTAGATAAAATGGTCCAATTCCTTAAAAGACATGAAATAACAAAATTCACACAAGGATAATAGATAATATGAGTAGCCAATTTATATTAGAGCATTTGTACTAATAATTAATAACATCCAAAAACAAAACATACAGCTCAATGGCTGCACTAGTTTAGTCTGCCAAACCTTTAAGAAATTATACCAATTATTCACAATTTCTTCCAGAAAGCAGAGGCAGAGATACATATTTTGAAATAACATGTTCTATACCATCAATAAATACAATTTTCATTTGTCAGTTTCAAAAAAAGTACTACTACTAATAAAAGAGAAGCAGAAAGAACATTTGCTAAATCCTTTAATAACACCAGAGTTATCTTAGTATTAAAACTGGCAAAATACATTACAACAAAGGATGACTAGAGACCAATATCTTTTATTACCACCAATGAAATATCCTCAACAAAATATTTGTAAATGGAATCCAACAACGTGTAGTTATATACCACAACAAAGGAGGATTAATTAATACCAGATGTGCAATGTTGATTTAACATTCAAAATTGTTCAATGTAAATTACATCAACAGAATAAAAACAAAAAGGAATTTTTAATGTAAATATATATATATATTTAAAACATGATATACATTATTTTGTTGTACAGCACAAGGCTTCGAAATATGTATATGTATTTCTGCTTCTATTTTCAGGAAGATCATAGATAATTGGTATCAGCTCTTTCTTGAATATTTGGTGGATCTCACCCGTGAAACCACTGGATTGTGTGCTGGTTTCTAGAAGGTTATTAATTATTGAAACAAATTTTCTAATAGACATTAGCTACTCAGATTATTTATTACTCCATGAGTGACTTTTGGTAATTTGTACATTGCAAGAAATTGGTCTATTTCATCTAAGTGATCAAAATTACACACACACACACACACACACAATATATATATGTATATGTATATGTATATGTATATGTATATGTATATGTATATAAAATAAATGCAGTGAAAGCAAGGGTCAATACTATGTATATATACACATATATAAATTTGGAATAAATATATATATAGATCACTAGCACTAAAATAAAACACTTTGTGTAATCTAGTAGAATGTGTACTGGATCTAAATGCATAAAACTACAACACTCTAATGAACAAAATCAAATACATTTTTAAATGAAGAGATATTCCATATTCATGAACTGGAAGCCTCAATATTGTTAAGATGGTCTTGCTTATTTGAACTATAGATTCAACACAATTCACAATCTCAATCAAAATCTCGGCAAATTATTTTGTAGATACTATAAAACTAATTATAAAAATTATATAAGATGTCCAAAGACCCACTTTTCTACTTGCAGTAGAGAAAAATCTGTGGGCTGAAGGAGATGGGGAGAATGGAAATCAAGTGGTTGTTAAACAAATACTTGTGGGTCCCTTGTTACACATGCTGGGCCTAGGACTACATAGAATGCAGCATGTGTTCAAAATGGGATTGTGCGCTAACAGAGCCCATTTCCCCATTCCTAAGGTTAAATTCAATCAATGCTGCGATATGTTAAAAAGAAATTGGCACATGAAGTGAATAGGCAGCTGAGGTGCTTATAAAATCTTTTCTGTGTTTGAACATGGAGGAGGAAACATAAAGGTCATAGTTTCCCCAGAGTGGGGGAAAAAAGAATTTAAAAAATGTGCATAGAAATAACCATAAGTGAGAAGCAATTTGCACAGCCCATCAACAAAATGATGAAAATCTCTGCAACTGTCTTCAAGGTCATATGAAATTTGAAGAACAGTGGCAATAAACCACTCCTATCATGTACTTCTTTTCACTAGAGAAGTCCCACAGATCTCAATTTAATGATGTTTATAGCATTCAAGCCATACTTCAAGTAGATCAAGTTATAAAATATAAAGACAATGGTATTTCTATGCTGAGCTTTGGACTCAGATACATGCCCACCCACTGTGTTAGTAAAAGCTAATGTTTCAACTTCAGCCCTGCCATTTACTAAGAGGAAATGAGTCTTTGGTAAGAATTTTAGTCAAAAAAACAGAAATACTAGCCTCCACCCTGTCTATTTTCCTGGATCCTCAAGTAAATTGAGGTAATATACGTGTAACACAAAAACTCTATAAATAGGAAAGTAGCATTAATGTTTTTTAAGTCTATAAATTGTACTCTGTTTTTTCAATTACTTGAAAAACTATTTATAGGATGATATAAAAATTATGTGACTTCTGCCCTTAAGAAGTTTTCAATCAACAAAGAGACATGACATAGTCCTGATAACATTTATTTGACAGAGCAAGTTATTATAAGGCTGATTTGCAAGATACTTTTAACTTTAAGGGATGATAAATGAATTTCAGTGGGTAATGCAGGATAAAAGCTGGCTATGCAGCATAAGAAGAACTTGAATATTCAAATTAAGGTGGAACAAGAAGGGAACTTAGATAATTGAAACTGCATAAGTAAAAACATCAAAGTTGGAGGTAAGCATGGTTTATTTCTAGAACAGCAGGGAACCTGGTAGACTTAGCTGGAATACATGAAAAAAATCATTAAAAAATTTTATATATTATTCACGTATAAACCAAAAGTTAAGTTTAAGGAGTAAAGAAACAATCAGCCATACAAAGACATGAAGTACTCATACATACTGCAATGTGGATAAATCTGAAAAACATTATGCTAAGTGAAAAAAACCCACAAATAGTCACATATATTTTTCCATTCATTTGAAATAAAATATGCAGAACAGATACATTTATAGAGATAGAAGCAAAGGCTAAGAGAGGGAGGAATGGCGGGAGGTAATTGCTTAATGGCTATGGTGTTATATTTTGGGATGATGAAAAGTTTTAGAACAAGATAGAGTTGGCGATTGTACAACATTGGGAATGTACTAAATGTAGCCGAATTGTTCACTTTAAATGATTTATTTTATGTTATGTGAATTTCACCTTGATGAAAAGAAAATTTAAGAAGTGAGGAAATGATTTCTGAAGTGGGCTAGTGAGCACAATCATAGCAGGGTATATATAGGCACTAGAATGCCCCCCCCAAATCCTTTCTCAAAACTGAGAAATATTTTCCAAAATTAATGTGTTATAGTCAGTGAGTCCTAGCATTGCAATTGTAAACACTAAATAGCTTCACTTGTCATTGCATAATTGTTTCAATTTCAATTATCTTTTTAAAAGTTCATCTTTACCCCCAAAATGTACATCCTCAAAAGCCCTATTATTGTAAACATTCCTCTAGAAAAGCAGTATAATAAATGTGCCTCCCTTTTTCCAAATTCAGTACATTACTTTGTATTGTTGATTATTTCTTCATGATGCTCATGCAGTTAGCACATCTTTCTCTTAGAACATCATTATTTTACTACTTGGTCATTGAAAAATTCATTTACTCCTTCTTCATCCTTCTCCTGTCATATAATATCTACTCACTGATTCTAGATTAATTTTAGTAATAGTAATACGAGTTTGCTTCTCAGGTAAAATAATTACAAAAGTAGACTGACAGATTCTCATAAAATGGCTCCAAAATCATCAGAGACTCAGTTTCCTTGAATCTTTCTGATACCCATTTCTGGTTCATGGTTCCCATCCTTAGGATTACTTCATAATCCAAGATATCTTGAGATATCATGTCCCAATTTTAAGTAACTCTTAATAAAAAGGATGTGGAAGATGATAGCAAAATAAGAACACTACCAAGTTGAGTCAGCTCTCTAAGAAACTTTCTAAGAAATCTCAGACAACACTTCTGCTCTTATCTCATTGGTCACAATCGACTGCAAGGGAGTTAAGGGAATAACATATTTTAAGGAGATAATCACTAGTTTTAAGAAAGTTAGGGATTTGGTCATGAAATTGCATCACAAAGTATACATCAGACAGGAAATAAGCAATCTCTTCCTTTCATATATTAAATAATACATACATAGTAAATAATCAAGTGATAATATTAAGGTTTTTGCATTATATATTTTATGTTATATGTTACGCATTATGTGTGTAAACTGAACCAGTCACTATATTAGAAACTATAATTTTATTCATTAAACAAATATTTGTTGACTACCTACTGTATTTTTGGCATTAGACTAAACACTGAAGAGCAAAATTATACTTGGTTCCTATTCTCAAGGAGGTTGTAGTCTGGTGAGAAAAGCATTCTTTAACTCCATAAACATGTACATAAATATTTAAGTATAAATTGGGAAACAACCTTTTATGAAAGTCTATAAAAAAATCTGGCTTCAGGGGAGAGAATCTCCTGAATATTCAGAGTGAAATTGGCATTTGAGCTGAGATTTGCAGGCTGATAGATGTTAAGTAATTGTTGTAGGTACTTGTGAATAAAATAATGGGCAAAAACAATGGGCAAAAACCCAGTGGAGGGAGGAAAGGACTAAATGTATCTGGTGCAACCATAGTCACAGGGCTAAGGACATCAATGTGAAGGAGGTAGGATGGCAGAAAATAAAGCATCTTTTCCACAATGTTAAGGAATTAGATAATTACCCAAGAGACACTGAGTACTACCACTCACTGCTTCATACTTTATCATAATCAAGAGCTGCTTTTTATGAAATCCACACACAGAATGATGTTCTTGCCTCTATATTCACTGAACTTCTTGCTCCTGCTTCCTGGCCTGCTCAGGAACTGCCCACTCCCTCTTGCAAAACTTACCTGTCTAAGTCACATACATCCTTTGATGTATCATAGGTAGAATCTTTTTCATAAAGTCTTCTTCATGACATCAGCCTCAACCACATACTTCAGGTCATGACTGGAAAAATACTTTATCATAAAGTGTACATACTTCTATTTTCATTCTTTCCTTGTCTGTTTACATTTTGTTTTTATATCTGCCTCCTCCAATAGGCTCTGCACCTCTTGAAGACAGGAATATTACTCACTCTTGTTTATTTCCCTAGCCCCAAACCACAGGCTTGGCACAGATACTATTGCCATTAACACTGACTCAAGAAATAGTTGCTGGGTTAATAAATGAATGAATGTTGATTACATTGATTTAATCTATAAATCTACTTCTAAGACTCACATTACATTATTATACAAATTTTTTTCTGAACTGCAAAACATTTAAGGAGGAAAATAATGTAAAATTACATTTCTGAACCTTTAAATGTAGTATTTTGACTTAAGCACACCATTGGGATAGTTTAATAAAAGTCTTCTGACATTAATACTGCACCTCTTCAACACTATTAAAAGCAAATTGTTTTTATCTTAGCAACAGAATTGTTAGGAATTTCTGCTGAAGATGCTTTCAATTGTTTAATAACCACTTTGTTTATTACTCTTATTATTTACTAAAAGCTATTATATACTCAGACTATCTAAACTGGAGGAAATGTTCCTATCTGCACTCATGTCCGTGTGTGTGTGTGTGTGAGTTTGCATGTAAGCAGTAAAACCATATTTATTGAGTATTGAGATGATGGCAAACAAAACATAACATTATTTCCGGTTGTGGTCAGTATGCTCACTTGGAAGGAATTCAAACGTATGCATTTTACTATAATTTCTATCTGCTTGGCAATATTATTGAAATCTCTCCCTGTAGAGGCTTCACCTAAAGAGTGAAGAATGGGCCGGGCGCAGTGGCTCAGGCCTGTAATCCCAGCACTTTGGGAGGCCGAGATGGGCGGATCACGAGGTCAGGAGATCGACACCATCCTGGCTGACATGGTGAAACCCCGTCTCTACTAAAAATACACACACAAAAAATTAGCCGGGCGTGGTGGCGGGCGCCTGTAGTCCCAGCTACTCGAGAGACTGAGGCAGGAGAATGGCGAGAACCCGGGAGGTGGAGCTTGCAGTGAGCCGAGATCACGCCATTGCACCCTAGCCTGGGCGACTGAGCGAGACTCCGTCTCAAAAAAAAAAAAAAAAAAAAGAGTGAAGAATGGGTGTATTTGAGGAGAGTGGCGCTGCTGTATATCTTTGCTCCTTTTGCAAATTAGAAAAGCTCCATATTTTCCCTCTTCTCTTGGAGTGTTCAAACGATTCTTTCCTTAAATTATTTAACTTTTTCTCATATTCCTAGAATGCTTTGCAAAAATTATTGCAAAATTGTGCTGCTAAAATGCCTCAATCCTGTGTTTCTCTCTGAAGAGTAACATTGTTTCAGAGGTTAAGCACATAAATGTACATGTCAATCAATTCATGAATATGACAAGTGTTTTAAAGCTGAGAAGAGGGCCAGGAGGAGGAAAAAATAATAATAACTTTCATCATGTTTTATGTGTTGGTCCTGAAAAGGCATTTTTATTTTCATTAACTTAATTTATTTTCTCTGTAATGCCAATAAATAGGAGAGGCAGGTATTATTATCTCCAGTTTACTTATCTAGAAAATGGGAATTTAAGAATGCTGATCTCATACAGTTGTTGTGACTATAAATGACACAATGCATGTAAATTGCTTAGAAAATTTTCTAGAAGACATTAAATACCTAATAAAATTAAATATTATTGCCCCAATTTCAAGGAACTATCTTAATGCTAAGAGGTGTTGACTTGTTTGCCCAAAGTAATATGGGTTAAATTCTGGATTCAAATTATATCCTTCTGGCTCCAAATATATTGTCATTCCCATTGTGTTTCTCAGGAAAGATTGCATTTTCTTACAAGGCTTTTGGAGGCACCTGTCTTTATAATCAAATTTACTACTGATTTTAATGGCAGAATTGCCCAATATTTGGGGATAATGGCTAGCAACGTTTAATTTGATCAGGACAATGTGGAAGAGATTGTATCTAAGAGGAATATATTTAGCAATCAAGGTTAATTAGAACAGAAATAACTCAGTTTGGTCTGCATTTCAATGTTTAAACCTCAAAATGTTACTTTAATTAAAGCATCAATTCAGCTATAAACTATGATATTATGTTTCCCAAAAAGAGCCTCTTTGAAAAAATATAGATCATGTGATTCATTAAATTCCAGTGATCAGAAGTTAGGATAAAATATGGTTATCTACATTAGAGAAGCAGGAGTGAAGTATGATTTAATAGGATGTAATAAAAAGCAGACAAAGGCTTATAAAGGTCTGTTTTCATGAGAACTTATTTTGGCTCATAAACCATGACTGCATTGTTACAAAAAAAAATTGTGTGCTTTTTAAAATTTTAAAATGATTTCAATATACCCTTAATTTGTAAATATGCCTGGTGAGAAAGCACCCAATTAGAAGCAAATTGGTAGTTCTATCATTTTGACAGCACACATAATAATGGGAGAAACTGAGTTTTGGCAATAGCTAAGTGGGAAACTGTTCAGTTAGCTCTTATTATAATGTCCTAAACATTAAATATCAGAAAAGATGCAGTTCTTAGACAGGAGATAGCAGAGGATACATAGCAGAGGATACATGATTGAATGCCTACAGTTCAGGTGAGGAATATATTAGACAGAGCTGCTACAGGGTATGAAGTGTCTCTCAGTGCAACATTTAAAAGTGTGCTTTAGAAAAAAATGTTGTACTATGATATTAGTATTATGATAATTGATATGTAAATTAACTGTTAGTAATGGGAATGTTATATAAATATACATATATATATAAAACTTACAAAGATATTTAAGATAATGTTTTGGTTCATCTGTTTAATTAATAAACCTAAAAGAAGTTACGCACTTTGAGAAAATCGCTTATGAGTATATTTTTAATGCATCCTAACATATAATTTATTAGATATATATGTAAAAATATAAAACAAAATTTTCAGTTATTTTTTACAAAAATAAACTTTGACTAAACACTTAACAAGTTCTTAAGCCATTTACAATGCAATTCATTATTACATATAACTGATTTTTTAAACATCTAATACCTTAAATAGAAGACAAGATAGGCTGAAATGCAACTTTTACATAGTATATTATTACATTTATACTTTGAGTTATTCTAAAATATCAGCACTACCTATTTAAGTCATTTTCAATATGTCTACAACCTCATTTATTCCTACTTAGGTTTATAAAGATATTTATTTTGATATCTTCCTTGGTTTGCTATAATATTCTAGGAACAATAAGAAAATGCTGGCTGCTCTGAAGTGAAGATCCTCAGATGCTCAGAGTAGCCAACATTAGGGGACATGGATTATCAAACCATTGATTCTTTGTCAGGGCCTGGGACCTCATTGCTTCTTTCAAGGGGATGTCCAGTTATGTAAAAAGGCATTTATAATTAGTCTGAGGCTTTGCTTAATTTTTCAAAGCTACATTTTACTTGCTAAGGAAGAGAGACTTTTAAAACTTATCCATGACTTTCACATAAGTCTTATTACATAGAAACATTTTGTCTCCTCCTGAAATTATGAATTATTTTAGACCAGTAATATTATACAACCCACAGTGCTATCATAATGATCCTTTCACCTTGTTTTGTTAGCATTATCAAATATTGTTTATGTCTGATTTGTATTTTATTAAAATTAGAAGAGCCATATAGAAAATCATTTGCCAGATGATGAAGATTTTATATGTTGTGGTCAGGCCTCCATTTTAGGGTATTTGCATAAATTACCACTTAAAATGTATCCTTGAATGCTCCTTGTAGCTGTAGTTTTACAACATTGTTAATTAGCTATTTGGTTCCCTGCTAGGTTATAAAGTGTGACAACTGATGGTGATTGGTTCTTCCTATTCTTGGTAGCGATTTCCACTTTTTTTGTTTTCTTTTGTGAGGCTGTTAAGCTAATTCTCAATTCTCTGCGCTTGTCATTTTTCCTGCCTTAAAACGTGGTTCATTTGAGTGAAGAACAATACATATTGTGATGGTTAATATTAAGTGTCAACTTGACTAGATTGAAGGATGCAAAGTTGACAGAGGAAGAGAAGACTAGGGCCTGGTTTATAGATGGTTCTGCATGATATGATTGCACCTCCCACAAATGGACAGCTGCAGCATATAGCCCCTTTCTAGGATATCCCGGAAGGACAGTGGCAAAAGGAAATCTTCCCAGTGGGCTGTACTTCAAGCAGTGTGCCTGATTGTGTGTTTTGCTTGAAGGAGAAATGACCAGATGTGTGATTATATATTGACGCATGAGCTGTAGCCAGTGGTTTGGCTGGGTGGTCAGGGACTTGGAAGAAGCATGATTAGAAAACTGGTGACAAAGAGATTTGGGGAAGAGGTATGGGATAGACATCTCTGAGTCATCAAAAACTAAAGACATTTGTATCCCACATGAATGCTCACCAAAGGGTGACCTCAGAAGAGGAGGATTGTAATTATCAAGTGGATAGGATGACTGATTCTGTGGATACTACACAGCCTCTTTCCCCTGCTAGCCCTGTCATCACCCAATGGACCCATGAACAAACTGGCCATGGTTGCAGGAATGGAGTTACACATGGGCTCAATGACATGTACTTCTACTCACAAGGCAGACCTGGCTACAGTCACTGCTGAGTGCCCAATTTGCCAGCAGAGACCAACACTGAGTTCTCGATGTGGCACTATTCCTGGGGGTGATCAGCCAGCTACTTGGTGGCAGGTTGGTTATATAGGACGTCTTCCATCATGGAAAGGATAGTGGTTTGTCCTCACTGGAATAGACACTTACTTCAGATACGGGCTTCTCTATCCTGCATGCGATGCTTCTGCCAATACTACTATCTGTGGACTCATGGAATGCCTTCTCCATTGTCATGGTATTCAACACAGCATTGCCTCTTACCAAGGCATTCACTTTACAGCTAAAGAAGTGCAGCAGTGGGCTCATGCTTATGGAATTCACTGTTCTTACCATGTTCCCCTGAACGTGTACATCATGAAGCAGCTGGGTTGATAGAACAGTGGAATGGCCTTTTGAAGGCACAATTACAACACCAACTAGATAACAACATTAAGGGATCTCTGGGGTGTCCCTTTTCTGGCGGGAAACCTCTGTGGCCAGTGGTGCCTTTGCCCAAGTTCTTGTCCTGTGTCCAGAAAAAATGAGATATGCAGACAGGTGGAGGGTGAGCAAGACAAAGAGGAGCTTTATTTAGTGTTAGAACATCTCAGAGGAGACCCACAGTGGATAGCTCCTTTGTAGACAGGTCGTCCCATGGAGTGTTCAGCTCTCAACAGGGAGGAGGCCCTGGAGTGGATGGCTTCTCTCTGCCAGCAGGTCTTCCCATCCTCTCTGCAGCTCTCAGCAGCTGGTAGCCCTCTCCTCTCTGCAGCTGGTAGTCCTGACGTCTCTGTAGGTCTCTGAATCTCTCAGCAGACAGGACAGCTCCTCTCTCGAGCTGCTCACCTTCTCCTGCTATCAGCAGAGAAGGTAGCTACCCTCTGCAGCCAGTCATCCCATTGTCTCTGCGTCATCTGGATGCTCTGGGTGAGCCCGGGGCTTTAATGGACCTCACAGGGGAGAAAGTGCACGCCAATTGGTCCATGGGCGACCATGGTTGGGCCAAGAAAAGGCACCAACAGTCCCCACTCCTGTTTATGGGACTGGCAGCCTAACTCCCAGCCTTCTGGCGCTCCTTGGCCTGAAGGTGGGGCCTTACCAGGTAGCCACCCACTTCTGCCCAGGAGCCTGTCTGTCTCCCGCTGCAGTCCTTGGTGCTTATGCTCCTGGCACCAAGGGGCACCTGCAGGCCAGCGCTGAGTTGCCTGCAGCACCCCTTCGGCTTCTCCTCTCACTCTCGTCCCTGCCCAAATTCCGGAGGGGGCCGAAGTGGCAGAGGTCTGGCATGTCAGCCCCCAGGAACACACGGAGGCTTGGATCTGCAGCCGCAACTTTGGTGGCTGTAGCTCCTCCCAGAAGGGCGGGGTTCCCGCTGGCTCCGTGGAGCATGCAGCCCTCCCTGCCACAGCCAGCGTGATGGTAGCGGCTGGACATCTGGAGCGGCCGCTGCCGTCAACAATACTTTGTAGGACCGGGGCAAAGTTCTCCAGAAGACTGTGTATACCCTGATTCAGTGTCCAATATATGGTGCTATTTCTCTCATAACCAAGACCCATGGGTCCAGGAATCAAGGGGTGGAAGTGGAAGTGGCACCACTCACCATCACCCCTAGTGACCTACTAGCAAAATTGTTCCTACCTGTTCCTGTGACATGTTCTGCTGCCCTAGAGGTCTTAGTTGCAGAGGGAGGAATCCTGCCATCAGGAGACACAACAAATGATTCCATTAAACTTGAAGTTAAGATTGCTACCTGGCCACTTTGGGCTCCTCCTACCTCTATGTTAACAGGCTAGGAAGGGAGTTACATTGTTGGATGGGGTGATTGACCTGGAATATCAAGATGAAATCAGTCTACTACTCCACATTGGAAGTAAGGAAGAGTATGTATGGAATACAGGAGCTCCCATAGGGGATCTCTTAGTATTACCATGCCCTGTGATTAATGTCAATAGGAAACTACAACAACCCAATCTAGGCAGAACTACAAATGGCCCAGACCCTTCAGGAATGAAGGTTTGAGTCACTCCCCTAGGCAAAAACTAAGACCCGCTGAGGTGCTTGCAGAAGGCAAAGGGAATATAGAATGGGTAGTAAAAGAAGGTAGTCATCAATACCAGCTACACCCATGTTACCAGTTGCAGAAACGAGGACTATAATTGTCATGAGTCTTTCCTCTTTATTTTGTTTTTGTTTTTTATTTTTTGAGACAGAGTGTCACTCTGTTGCCCAGGCTGGAGTGCAGTGGCACGATCTCAGCTCACTGCAACATCCGCCTCCTGGGTTCTAGCGATTCTTCTGCCTCAGCCTCCCGACTAGCTGGGACTACAGGCATGCACAACCACACCCAGCTAATTTTTGTATTGTTAGTAGAGACAGGGTTTCACCATATTGGCCAGGCTAGTCTCGAATTCCTGATCTCATGATCCGCCCACCTTGACCTCCCAAAGTGCTGGGATTACAGGTGTGAGCCACCGTGCCTGGCCTATTTTGTTAAGAGCATGTTTGTGCATGTATACACTTGTACTAAGAAAATATCTTCATTTTACTTCCTTTCTTTTTCATTTATCATGTGACATAAGATTTATTGACTTCATTTCATCATTTAAGTGTTGTTAACTTTATGTAACATTTAGGTTAAGGATTAGTGCCCTCTTGGTTGTACTAGGGATAGCTGTATTATGTTAAGCATAATTATGACCTTATTATTGTCTTTATTTGGAGATTATATATGATTTCAGGAGAATGTGCATGAGATTAAGTTGAAAAGGGGTACACTTATGGTTAATATTAAGTGGCAACTTGATTGGATTGAAGGATGCAAAGTACTGTTCCTGGGTGTGTCTGTGACGGTGTTGCCAAAGGAGATTAACATACGAGTCAGTGGACTGGAAGATGCAGACCCACCCTCAATCTGGGTGAGCACCATCTAATCAGCTGCCAGCATGGCTGGAATAAAGCAGGCAGAAGAAGGTGGGAGAGGCTGACTTACTGAGTCTTCCAGCCTTTATCTCCTCCCATGCTGGATGCTTCCTGCCCTGAAACATCATACTCCCAGTTCTTCAGCTTTTGTACACTTGAACTTACACCAGTGCTTTGCCAGGGGTTCTTGGACCTTCAGCCACAGACTAAAGTCTGCACTGTCAGCTTCCCTAGTTTTGAGGTTTTGGGACTCAGACTGGCTTCCTTACTCCTCAGCTTGCAAACGGCTTATTGTGCAACTTCACCTTGTGATTGTGTGAGTCAATACTTCTTAATAAACTCCCCTTCACACATACATCTATCCTATTAGTTCTGTCGGTCTAGAGGACCCTGACTAATACACATGCATTTTCAGTGTATTTAAGATTCATGATAGTTATCTATGCAATGTTCATAGTTTTCAGGAAATAGATTTTACGGTAGAAATTTAAGTTCAGGGATTCATTGTGGATTGATCTCAATATCAACACATAAGGAGAGGTTACAAATAGAATTGGGCAAAGAGAGAAGTTGGAGTGGAAAGTATTCACAACGAAGCCCTCCACCAATTTCAGGAGAGTTTTGAAACTTTGATGGCCCTTCAGAGTTGTCCCAAATTTAAATAATAAGATGGTACATACACTAGTCATTGAAAGCTAACTGCCCCTTAGAAGTGGACTTGAGCATAGGTAAAGTGGTTTTCTTCAGCAAAAGTCCTTATGGTAGCATAGAATTTCTTCCCTAATAGTGTTTAAAATATTAGTTCATAAACCCTATGATTTTATGAATTTGCTAATATTAAGAAACCATGTATATAACCTAATATCTGACACAATATGACATATATTAGTTGCCTTATAATACTGGTTACTGAGAGTTATTGAATTTATCCTGCAAAATCGTATATTAGGTTATTGGTAAGCATATTGTGATGTCCTTGTTTGACAAAAGAGACTTAATTTCCTATTATTTCAGATATTTAATGACTGAAAACTTAGGATAAAACCTTCTGTCAAGCGTTTTATTTATGCTGTTACTAAAATGTATATCTAAAATATATTGTAAAATTGACCTAACAATGCTCTCTCATATGAAATTCAACCTTACATTTTATAAAATATTTTAGTCAATACCTGTCAGTAAAATATTTGATAAAAGTATAGATTATTTAGCAATATTTCTCACATTTATACGCTGAACCAAGTAACACAAGAATTTTATTCAGATATTTTGACAAAGTTCTATTTTTATTAATACTGATGTTGTCAAGGTTGTTCATTTTCCAAAAATGGATAAATTTAAGCACTAGTTACAAAGAACACTGGGTTTTTAAAATCACATTTAGAATATTTAATTTCCCTTCCATCTGATAATAATTTTGCATGTAAAAAATAACACAAAACTATGTCAATTTGAAATAACCACCCACACACCTTATGGATTTAAAATATTGTGTGGGCTTGAAATCATGAGCATGTTCTGTAAGCATGATCTCCAAAAGCATATTTTTCTTAAAAAATTATAATAATGACAGTTGTTGAACCAAATGATTTGATATTTTAATGTCAGGAACTTGCTCAGTAGTCTCTGGATCTTGGTTTATAGTGTTAACTAGAACATTTGGATTTCAAGGACATAAAGTCTCATGATAGTAAAATATAGTAACACAAAATTTTAGAATGAAGAGGGAACAGAAAGTCCATTAAAAGCTATCATCTAACATTGCTTGGAGTGTTTATTTTTAAGTGCATATTTTTGTTGTAGAGGGAAAGATTATGATCTCTACCAATTTAAACTGTACTTTCCGAGCATATGGATGTAATATAAGATAAAGGGTACACATTTTCAGGGAGTCTTTAAGAACTATGTTTAATTCCTGAGCAGACTTGGCACTGTACAAGTGGAATGTAAGGCATGATTTACAATTTCACACAACTGATTGATACTTAAAACATGGTAAGATAAATATGGAGATTTCTTTTCCCTTTGCTGTCCACTAAATGAGTAAAATTGTTTACTGCACATACATGGGCCACTTGGAGCAATTTTCAGGATAATTTTTCTATTCAAACGCTCCTGAGTGTTAACTGTTCCTTTTATATCTGGTTTCAAATTAAAGGCTAGAGAGTAGTATTCTTATAAACATGTCCCATATTTTTCTCATTAGGGTAATTATCGTACATAAAGCAATATTATAACAAATAGAAAAATGAAAAGATTTCATTAACAGAAAATGAAATGTGTAAAACTAAAAAAAAAGTGTAAGATAGTCATGTAAACTTACTCAGCAGCATTTTCCTTCTGGTGTCTTACTGAAATTTAATTCACCAGGTTTACACTTAACAACTAAGGAGGGATTCATAGGTTTTAAATATATTTATAACTATGTTTAGTCATTCTCAAAATATGTGATTTAATCATCATTTGGGGGAAAATGTATTCTTTTTTTGTTTTATAAACATTAAATGGATTAAAACTGGAATCTATTTTTTATTTTAATATTCCTAAATTCCAGTAAATAGACATACCTCAGTTTATTCCTCAGTCAACAACCACTGTTTCATCTATTTACTAATTTTGAACATTTAGATGTCCTTTGAAAACAAGTGTTGAACTTACATAGACATTATATGTAGTTGGCATTTTCTAGGTCCCTAATAACATTATTAGGTCCCCATTAGGAACCTAGAAAATACCAAATAAATATATATGACATCAACCACATTCCTATAGGCAGACATGTCACTGGATGGATAAATGACATAAACATGAGGAATACATAACTAACCAAAAAGAAAAAAAATTATAATTTCACAGTAATTAAAATGAATGTTCAAAGGACACTAAAGAAGTAAATATCTGTATTGCAGTTATTAAGAATTGGTTAAATATAATTTTTAAAAAAATCTCCACTATCTATATCCAGGGTTAGCAAGCCTCAAGAACTCATGTTTAGACTCAACGCTATAAA
Source organism: Homo sapiens (assembly GCF_000001405.40). Lineage (NCBI taxonomy): Eukaryota > Metazoa > Chordata > Mammalia > Primates > Hominidae > Homo > Homo sapiens. Next base: position 184,565,464 of record NC_000002.12, read on the forward strand.
TTATTGGTATATTAAACAAACAAACAAACAAACAAACAAAAAAGTGTTTTTGTTTGTTTTAACCATGAAGTTGGTGTTTTATTCTATACTTGTACTATTTAAATGTCATTACATTGACTTGATTTATTTGTATTATCAAGGCTTAATTCTTTTTTTTTTTTTTTTTTTTTTTTTTTTTTTTGAGACGGAGTCTCGCTCTGTCGCCCAGGCTGGAGTGCAGTGGCGGGATCTCGGCTCACTGCAAGCTCCGCCTCCCGGGTTCACGCCATTCTCCTGCCTCAGCCTCCCAAGTAGCTGGGACTACAGGCGCCCGCCACTACGCCCGGCTAATTTTTTGTATTTTTAGTAGAGACGGGGTTTCACCGTTTTAGCCAGGATGGTCTCGATCTCCTGACCTCGTGATCCGCCCGCCTCGGCCTCCCAAAGTGCTGGGATTACAGGCGTGAGCCACCGCGCCCGGCCTCAAGGCTTAATTCTTGAGTGGAAGAAAATTACTTAATTGTGCCATCTGTAAAATACTATCACCAAATTGGCCTGTTAACATGGAAAAAATGTAACTGTATATTTATCCAATTGCTTGTCACTATTGTGAAGTCATTTTGTAATGTCAGAGGAAAACAGAGTAGATGTTTGATAAATGTTTCTGCCTTGTAAGTATAGGTATAGATGTTCAGATGCTGGATTGGGCCTGCTATTGGGCCACAAATCAAATTCAATTCTGCTGATATACATTAAGCGGTTATTATATGAGAGGCATTATGTACAAATTATATAAAATACATGAGAAATATGTAGATGTTGGTTTTTTGTTGTCCACAAATCTTATAGGCTACAAACATATGTAAACAATTAATTAAAATATTAAAATATTTTTCTGTAAGTGCAGTCTATATGAGAGGCTCTACATAGTGTGGTTAAGAGCGCAGTAACCCAGAGCACAGATCAAAGCTCTACCACTTGCTAGTTGTGTGACACTGTGAAAGTAACTTAAACTCTTAACTTCAGTCCTCTCATATGTAAAATGGTAATAATAACAATTTTTCACAGATGTGTTGTGAGAACTAAATTAGACACCTACATGTAACGTCAGAAGTTCAATGACTGTCATATGGCAGATGTTCAATAGACATTACCTGTTATTTTGCTATTGTTAAAATCATTTTATTAACAAGGTAATGTTATGAAAGAACAAATGTGTAATTCTGGGACACAATAATTGTTTATATTATTTTATATATTGTGCTAATTACTTTAGATCTTATAGTAAATTAAATCCTACACAACTCTAAAAAATAAACATTACTATTTTTCCGATTTTATAGCTGAGGAAAATGAAGCTTAATGAGGTTAAACTGGCACTCGAAACCAGGTTCATTTGCAAAACTGCTGCCACTGAAATATTCAGTGCGTAAGGGACAGGGAGGGGCATGCTAGGTGGAGAGAATACAATGTGTAGAGACATGTTTATTCACTGAACATTTTGTCTCAGCCTGTTTTTTCTGTATAATACTTCCTATGATTGCCAACCCCCAGAGTTTCTTGTCTTCAGCCACTTCTCAATTAAGATGTATTTACACTACCCATGTATTTATCACCCATGCTTTAACTGTAACTAACTCTTACTGGAATTCCATTTTCCAGTCAATTCTCAAAGAGATAGGTGATGCTTCTCAATTCTTCAAAACCAAATGAAGCCCTGAAAGCTTGGATTTCAGTGCTGTTGCATCTGCCTTGATCTTCATTGTGCAAATGTCTCCTATTATTCTGCAAATGGTTGTTTTGCTTTAGTGAAGCTGGATTTTTTTCTGTTTTTTTTGTGAATATAACTTTTCTTATTCCTTCTTCTATGCCATTGATCCAACTCCTACTGCCTTCTAGAAAACTTTCCCCATTCTGTTCCACTCATTTAAATACTTCAATTCTCCAATATCTAGATTGCATTTCTTCTACCCCAACTCTGAGATTTTCATCAATCCTAATGATCCCATACCTGAGGCAAAATTTATCAGGGAACATTCTATCTTCAAAGCTTCAAGACATTCTGTAATGCCAAAGTATAAAGTGTAGGTAGAAGACAGCCTCCTGAGAGATTATTCTCTGTCCTTTTGCTTTTAAAATAGAATAAACCAAACATCATGATAGTATGCCTATTATTGGTGACTTTTTTTTTTTTTTTTTTTTTTGAGACGGAGTCTCGCTCTGTCACCCTGGCGCGATCTCGGCTCACTACAAGTTCTGACTCCCGGGTTCACACCATTCTCCTGCCTCAGCCTCCGAGTAGCTGGGACTACAGGCGCCTGCCACCACGCCCGGCTAATTTTTTCGTATTTTTTTTAGTAGAGACGGGGTTTCACCGTGTTAGCCAGGATGGTCTCGATCTCCTGACCTCTTGATCTGCCCGCCTCGGCCTCTCAAAGTGCTGGGATTACAGGCGTGAGCCGCTGCGTCCGGTCTGTTTGTTTGTTTTTTTATTACAATGGCAAGCACTTTCAGATTCAGAAGTTCTTGGTGGAATAAGTTGTGCTGCAAAATATATAAAATACAACTCAAAATAAGTTACATAATCAAGGAAGTTTGTTGGCCCAAATAACAAAAATGTCCAGTATTACCAAGTACTTCAGTCAAGGCTTGACCCAGAGACTTAATGATTTCACCAAATATCGGACTTCATTTTTATTTCTGCAATTCTTTCATTGCAGAAGGTAGCTTTCATCCTAAAACTGCCCACTGCCCCCAGTCACAACCCAATGTAGTCAAAATACAGCTGCCAGGAGATCATGGAAGGAACATTATTTTAATTTCTATCCAGCTAGAAAAGGTATCACCTTTATCTGGTAATTTTTTGACATCCAGTATTCTGAGATTCACTCTGATTGGATTGACCAAGTCAGAAAGCACCACTAAATCTATTGATGGAGCCAAGAAATGGAGCACTTTTTTATTCAGTTTAGGTTACGTGCTTTACATTCTCAATATGAAGTTAGATTTTACAGAACCAAGAGAAAATTAGGGGAGGATGAAAATCTTACAATATTGAATCATCCAATGAATGGTCTTTAAATATTTCTTCAGTTGTTTGGCTGATATTATTTTTCTCTCAGAAATGGTTTAGTTTGTTTCCAATTTAGAAGTCTTGAACATCTTTTATTAAATTTATTCCTAGGTATTCTACATCTTTGACGTTATTGTAAATGATATTGCTTTTTAATCTCAATTCTGTTTTTTGTTGTTAAAAGTTAAAAGTCTATTCATTTTATATACTGACCTCTTATCCAGAAGCATTGTTAAATTAATGCTTTGAATAATTTTAATTTATTTAATAACATATGTTTCATTAATAATATTTACATAATTTCTTTTGGATTTTTTAATGTACAAAATAATTCATTTTCAAATAATGTCAGTTTTACTCGTGCTTTTCATTCTTTATAACTTTTTTCCTTTCCTGCTATTTTCTCCTGGATAGGAAAGCCAATATAAGATTGAGTAAAAATTATAAGAATGAATATTTTGTGTCCTTTGAATTAAGATGAAAAGTGTTGAATATTTTACCTTTAAGTATGATGTTGACACTTTTTTATTGTAGATGAATTTTAACAGATTTTGTAAGTTCCCTTTACTGAGAGACTGTATTTTAAAGAAATATTGAATTTTAACAAGTGCCTTTTCCTCATTTGTTGAAAGAATGAAAAAATTTCTTTAAAAACACAGCTATTAAAACATTTTTCTTAGAATTTGTCAATTTTATATTAATTGGTATACAGACATACGGTTTCTTAAACATCTTATTGTCTATAAATGTCTTTAATACCTGTAGTAATATCCCTTATTTATTGTGAATAAACAGGGACACAAATTTTTTTTATTCACAGAATCTCTTTTGTCTTTAATGAAAGAAAAAAGGTAACAAATGTTGATGTGGGTCTGTATTGTACATCTACTTTCTATTTCATTAAGTTCTACTCTTACTTTTATTACTGGGTTTCTTCCATATTCTTTGAGTTTTTCAAACTTTTTTTTCTTCTGTTGGAAAATTACATTATTAATTTTTCAATCTTCTTGTAAATATATATGTATGTACCTATAATATATGCAAATATAGATGTATGCAAATATATATTTAGAGGTAACTTTTCCTCTAAGCACTGGGTCGGCCTCATAAGTCCTGATATGTTGTATTTCCTTTTTTTTTGTTTAATATTTTTAAAATTTCCATTGTGATTTACTTGACATATTATTTATTAATACTCCTTAATTTCCAAACATTTCAGAATTTCTATCCTTCAGTTATTGATTTCTACTTTTCTCTTATTAATTAGCAGTTTAAATTCACTGAAGTAATCAAGTCTATTTTATGCAAATTCTTTGAAATGAAAATGACATGTACACACACACCCACACACACAAATACACATCCACTTGCCCTCACAAGCATGCATGTATATACATTTAATTAATTCAAGTGGGCGAACTGTGTTGTTCAAGGCAGACATGATGTTCACTGTTTTATTCTCAGTGCTTGTCATGGTACAAGACATGGAATAAAATATGTTTGTCTGACACTATGTATTTTTTGGGAGAAATTTAACACTGTATCCAAAGGAAAATGAGTTTCAAGTTTTCATAAAAAGATTTCAAAACAGGCATTTAAATTACAAGAAATGAAAAAGTTAGGAAAAAATTCATAATTAAAACCATAAGGGTTTTGATTAAAATGAATTCAAATATTACTTGATGAATACTATTTGCTATCTAGAAAATGTATTTTTAATTGTCTATGCATATTCAAGAGTTATTTTAAAAATAGAAATTGAAACATGCCTTTTCAACTTATAATAATTTTCAGTTTCAAATTTGCTGTACACAGAAACTACAATCTACATAATTAATTTTCAAATCTTACATGTGCAGTACTTTTAATGGCATTGAGATATGTTAGTAGAGTAGGTCCACCAGGTCATTTGCATCTACCCTTCTTAACGCATGATAATGTGTCTGGGAGCTTCTATTATTCCTACCTTAAATTCTCTCCTTGAGGTCTACCTTGAAAATAATGTATCTGAAGCTACTGGAAAACTATTTTTGTCAGAGAGATATCAGAAATAAAATTCTAGAAGGATGAAAATCATCGGACAAGAATTAATTGCTCCTTCAAAATGTTTTCCTTTCTTTGGTCCTATATAATTTGAAGGCTATATCAGAATTGTTTTAGACAATGTAATTTTCTATTTAGATAAAATAGATTATTACCTCTAATCCCTCTATCCAGACCTCTGTGCCTAAGTTGTCTACTTCAAAATTTGGTACAAAAAACATTTTAAGGTTTCTACTAAGTTTTTCATTCCCTGAGAAAAAATCCTTAAAAGTGTAGAAAACAAATTATCTCTAAATATTTGTATGCATGCATCTGTAGATTAAGAAATATGTGAACTAACACAGGATTCGGGGATTTAAATGTTGATCTCAGTTCAAAAATTTTTTAACAACACCCTAAAACTAGATTTTCTAACATTTCTAGAAATGTAATAGCATTTTTAACGTTCTACAGAATTTAATACTTTTTTCTTATTGACAAGTGTTTTGAATTCACACTTATTAGTCATAAAATATGTTAAAAATTATAAAATTTAGAGCTATTTAAAGAGTTATAGAACTTATCTAATCCAGAGTTATTTGACAGATAAAAAAACTGAGATCCAGCAGGTTTTCAGGACTTGGCAAAATGTTATTTGACAGGGCCAAGGATGAACTATGGTTTCTTGATTTTAGAAATCTTGTTTGGATTTTTCAGACACAGACTTAAAGCTCTCATTTCATGTGAGTGATTTCTAATTCCCATATAACTTGTGGAATTAGATATCATTTCCTAATTCCACAAATTATGCTAAACTGTGTGAGCCTCATGTGCCTTAAGCATCCACCACTCCCAAAGTTATTGTTTAGCCAACTTTATCACAACTTGTAGAGCAATGACTACCTTACACATCATTGTATCTCCAGTACTATTAACCTACTCACAAAACAGGAGTTCTGTAAATATTTTATAAATAAATGAATACATTCAAGAGACAATGAAAAAAAGCAAGTAGGCTTACTTACAGGGGCTGAACTGTAATCATCAAAATATGAAACAACACAAATTTCTTTTTACTGAAGAATGTCTAAACACACTGTGGTACATTCATCCAAAGGAACACTACATTAAAATGGAAAGAACTAATGTGCACAACAATATGAATGAACCACAAGGCACTACTCTAAGTAAAATTATACAGATATAAAAGGTTATGTACAGTATCACTTATATGACATTTCTGGAAAAAAACAAACTATAGGAACAGAAAATAGATAAATGGTTTTTAATTGTTGGTAGTGGGAGAGAGTGGTTAGCTGAAAAAAAGACAAGAGGAAATTTTCTAATGTGACAAGCAACTTTAATGTTGATTATAGTGGTGATTACACTACTTTATGCATTTGCCAAAAGTTGGAGAGCCATATGGGAAAAAAAATGGGATGAATTTACTCTGTGAAAATTGTTCTCCGATGTAATGTGTAAAATATATTTTATTTATAAAATAAAATATAAAATTGGTTATTTTACAAAGTTGCTTTAGGATTATTTAATAGTAATCCCGATTATTAACTCAATTTTACATTAAATGAATATTTACTACCATGTCAAAATTTATGTTTCTTTGTTTTGCCGGTATATCAGTCAGGGCTCATTAAGAAAAAGAAAATTGTAAGGAGATATGGTGAGAGATTTATTACATGGGATTGGCTTAAACAATTATGAGGCTGGCTACACAAGTCCAAATCCACAGGTCCAGCCAAGCTGGAAATCTCAGGTGTGGGCTGAAGTTGCTGTCCACAAGCAGAATTTATACTTTATCAGGGACACCTCAGCTCTGCTTTTGAGGTCTTTGAACTGACTGAATCAGGCCTACTCAGGTTATCTGAGATACTTTATTTTATTAAACCAAATTTGATAGTTATGCCCTTGATAATCACAGGCAAAATTCAAAGGTTCAGTTTGTTATTATGAAACAGTAACAATTCTTACGACTTTTAAACAAATGTGGTGAGCCTTAATCTTTTAGCTAAAAGGGTTTTTGCTAGAAAGTTTGCATCTTCTAAAACTCTTTTTCAGAGATTCTTTTCCAATTGTAGAACTGTCAGGCCAGAAATCTATGAAAAGTTAAAACCTCTCCTAAATATACATAAAATAATAAATAAAACTAATCACTCTTCAAGGGAAGTTTATCTTGTACACAAGTAGTTCTATGAATTTTTAATATCATTCCTATAAGCAGTCTAGTATGTTTAAGAAGACTCCTTTAGAACTTAAATTTGTTCTATTATATTTTTTTAAAGTTTAACATGAAAGTTAAAATAGTAAAATGTAGGTTTATAAAAGCCAATATAATTCTTAATTTATTTAAAGGCTTGGATATAAGGATACTAATAAAGAGTTCTCTGTCCTAAGAGTCTGTCAATAACAGGGAACCAAAAATAACTGAAATAAAAATGAATCTTATATCTCCTTTAAACAAATATAAAAGATTCAAGGATTGGATCTATTTCAAAAACATCCACATAGCAGGAAAAGAGAGTTCTATTCTTGTTTCTATCATTAAGTTCACTTGCTTTCCCCAGTAGATATGGTTACATAAAGTTTTCACTACATTTTTGTAGAAATAAAAGTTCTAAAAGACTCTACTCAAGATATTAAATAGTATAGAAAGATGTTTTATTATAAAGGCAAGTAAGGAGTTGATTCCAGATTATCTCATTTGGAACATGACTGGCTGTAGCATGTTATAATTCTGTTGCAATGTGTTTTATTGGGGAAAGGAAATAAACTGAAAATCGAAAAGCCAAAAATATAAAATAGGTAAAATAAATTACTATTTACATACCTAAGATTCTGTAATGAATGGTTAAACAAAATATTTTATCAAAAAGATTTTTGAGAGGAATAACTGTCAAAAAGCAAAGGATAATGTAAATGTATATTTTTGCTTCTTAAAAATGTGGTTCTAATGAGAACACCTGGACACAGGGAGGGGAACATCACACCTTGGGGCCTGTCAGAGGTGGGGTAGAAGGGGAGGAACAGCATTAAGACAAACACCTGATGCATGCAGGGCTTAAAACCTAGATGATGGATTGATGGGTGCAGCAAATCACCATGGCACATGTATACCTATGTAACAAACCTGCACTTTCTGCACATGTATCCCAGAATTAAAATATAATAATAATAAAAAGTGGTTCTAAAATAATTTTATAACTTCCGCTCTCTTCCAGAGAAAAAATTAAAGTGTTATAATGCAGATTGTCATGGAGAAAGGGAAAGAGTAGTTCAATATATTTAAGAGACTTTATCTAAGAAATAATCTCCTCTCAACACAACTTTTCCATTTTAATTGTATGTACTGATTCCTCACAAAACTTCTATCAAAATTCCCCTAAAAACAAAATTGAGTAAAGCGTGCACTGATATATTAATCTGGGTTCCCTAGAGGGACAGAACTAATAGGATATATGTATATCTGAACGGGAGTTTAAAAGAGAATTGACTCACACGATCACAAGTTGATTTCCTACAGTAGGCGGTCTGCAAGCTGAGGAGCAAGGAAACCAGTTAAACTTCCAAAACCTCAAAAAAGGAAAGCTGACAGTGCAGCCTTAGCTGAAGGCCCGTGAACCCTGGCAAATCACTGGTGTAAGTCCAAGAATCCAGGACTGAAGAACTTGGGATCCGATGTTCAAGGACAGGAAGCATCCAGCAGGGGAGAAAGTTGAAGCCTGGAAGACTCAGCAAGTCTGTTCTTTCCACCTTCTTCTACCTGCTTTATTCTAGCCACTCTGGGTCTGCCTCTCCCAGACCAGTGACTCAAATGTTAATCTCCTCTGGCAATATCCTCGCAAACACACCCAGGAACAATACTTTGCATCATTCAATTCAATCAAGTTGACACTCACTTCTGTTATATACCTTACCACCATACCAAGAGTGAGTGCTCCAGCATAATAACAATGGGTTATAGCTAAAAGAAATGCAAGATACAGACTATCTCTGAGCAAGAGTACTTAGGGAACCCTAAAATGAAGAGGGGAAATAAAACCAAGGAAACTGGAGAAATTTGTATTCACTAGCACTTATAGCTACAGCAAACATTAAACACTTTTCAACTCCGAGCCATATTAACGTAAATACTAAAGGCCAATTTACCTCAGTTTCCATTACCCGACATTACTAATGACTGAACATTACAACATGCCTTCATTTTAACAACAACGGAATTATAAGCCATGCCAAAAATCAAGAAAAAACACACTCTGAGGAAACCAGGCAATCATCAGAAACAGACTCAGGTATGGCACACTGCTATAAAGAACTACCTGAGACTGGGTAATTTATGAAGAAAGAGGTTTAATTGACTCACAGTTCCACAGGCTTAATAGGAAGCATGACTGGAAGGCCTCAGGAAACTTACAATCATGGCAGAAGGCAAAGAGGAAGCAACCATCTTCTTCACAAGGCAGCAGGAAAGAAAGAAAGAAGGAGGAAGTGCCACATACATTTATACCATCACAACTCACTATCATAAGAACATCAAGGGAAAAATCCACCCCCATGATCACGGCACTTCCCACTAGGCCCCTCCTCCAATTCGACATGAGATTTTAGTAGGGACACAAATCCAAACCATATCACACAAATATTGGAATTATCAGAAAAGGAATTTAAAATAACTATGATAAATATGTGAAGGGTTCAAGTGGAAAATAGACAACATATGAAACAAGTGGTATAAGAAGAGATGGAAATCCTAGGAAAGAATGAAAAGGAAACACTATAAATGAAAAAGACTAAGAGAAATGAAGAATGCCTTTGATGTCATCGGTAGACTAGACATAGCTTATAAAATAATCAATGAACTTGAAGGAAAGTCAATGAAAACTTTCCTAAAATATATAAAGAAAAAATAATAAAACAATATATAACAAAACATCCAAGAACTGTAGCACAATATCAAGAACTGTAGCACAATATTACATTTATAACATAACTGTAATTGGAATACTGGAAAGAGTAATGAGAACACAGAGCATAATAAATATTTGAAGCAGTAATGGTTGAGTTCATTCTAAAATTAATAACAGACGCTGTATTAGTCCGTTCTCAGGCTGCTAATAAAGACATACCCAGGACTGGGTAATTTATAAAGGAAAGAGGCTTAATTGACTCACAGTTCAGCATGGCTGGGGAGGCCTCAGAAAACTTACAGCCATGGCGGAAGGGGAAGCAAACATGTCCTTCTTTACATGTGGCAGGAAGGAGAATGAGAGTGAAGAGTGGGAGAAGTTCCTTATAAAACCATCAGATCTCATCAGAACTCACTCACTAACACAAGAATAGCATGAATGTAACTGCCCCCATGACTCAATTACCTCCCACTGGGTCCCTCTCATAACACGTGGGGATTATGGGAGCTACAATTGAAGATGAGTGGGTGGGGGACACAGCCAAACCATATTAGACACCAAACCAAAACCCAGGTCCATGAAGCTCAAAGAACGTGACCAAACAGAATAAATAAAATAAACCAAACCAACAAGCCAACTTAGACCTATATTCAAACTGTAATAAAGCAATAACAAAAAAATCTGGCCGGGCACGGTGGCTCACGCCTATAATCCCAGCACTTTTGGCTCAAACGCCTATAATCCCAGCACATTGGGAAGCTAAGGCGGGCGGATCACGAGGTCAGGAGATGGAGACCATCTTGGCCAACATGGTGAAACCCCGTTTCCACTAAAAATACAAAAAATTAGCTGGGCATGGCAGCGCATGCTTGTAATCCCAAGTACTCAGGAGGCTGAGGCAGGAGAATTGCTTGAACCCGGGAGGCGGAGCTTGCAGTGAGCCAAGATCACGCCACTGTACTCCAGCCTGATGACAGACCTAGACTCCGTCTCCAAAAAAAAAAAAAAAAAAAAAAATCTTGAAATAAGGTGGGGAGGGTGTTTACTCACAGGGGTATAAGATAAGAATTATAGTGGACTTTTCATGAGAAATTGTATAAGCAAGAAGAAAATGAAGTGGAAGACCAGGTGCAGTGGCTTATGCCTGTAATCCCAACACTTTGGGAGGCTAAGGGTAGCAGATAGCTTGAGTTCAGGAGTTCAAGACCACCTTGGGCAACCTGGTAAAACCTTGTCTCTACCAAAAAAAAAAAAAAAAAAAAAAAAATTAGCACACTTATAGTCCCAGATACTCAGGAGGCTTAGATGGGAGGATTGTTTGAGTCCATTCCATTAGAATGTCAAAATATATGAGGCAAAATGATTGAATTGAAAAGAGAAAAGAAATCCACTCTTACAGTTGTAGACTTCAAAACCCCTATTCCAGTAATTGATAGATCAAGCAAACAGAAAATCAGTAAAGATATAGTAGACTAGAACAGCACTATCCATCAACTTGAATTAATTGACATTTATAGAATAATACTAGGTATTTACCCAGTTGAGTTGAAATCTTATGTCCACACAAAGACCTGCATAAGAATTTTATAAACAGCTTTATTCATAATTACCAAAAATTGGAAACAATCAAGATGTCCTTGCATAGATAAATGGATAACTTTGATATGTCCATGCAATGACATACTATTCAGTGATAACAAATAATGAACTGTTAAGCAATGCAAAGACATAAATTAATCTTAAATACATATTGAAAGATGGAATCAGTCAGTCTAAAAAGACTATGTACTCTATCATTCCATTTATCTGACATTCAGGACAAGACAAAACTACGGAGACAGTAAGCAGATCAGTGTTTTTCAGGGGCTTGGGTAGGATGAGATTGGAATAGATGAAGTACAGTGGATTATTTAACATGATGAAACTGTGCTGTATGTTGCTATCATATTGGATACATAGCAACACAAAATGTTAACCTAATGTATGGAACTCACACCACAAAGTGTTAACCTAATGTATGAAATCTAAAAAAATCATTTAGAAGTTTTGAGATCTAAGGAAGGAATGCAGAATGTAACAAAGGAAAATATTTGTATTATAAATATATTAAAAATCCTTCCTAAATCATGTGGGTAAATAGATGCTTACCTTAGTAGCTTTGGAAATAAATTGATTCTATAAGACTAAGGACAAAATTAACTATGAGCAACTATAAGTGAACACTATTCTAGGTAATAAAGTTACTTCCTATTTGGGTAAATGTTAACAAACCTGAAACAATGATTGTCTTAGTCTATTAGTGTAGACTAAGTGTTACTATAAACGAATATCTGAGACTGAGTAATTTATAAAGAAAAGAGTTTTATTTAGCTTGTAGCCTTGCAGATTGTACAGACGGCAAAGGGGAGCCAGTATGTGCAGAAATCACATGGTGAGAAAGGAAGCAAAAAAGAGAGAAGAGGAACATGCCAGGCTCTTTTTAACAACCAGCTGTCAGGGGAACTAATAGAATGAGAAGTCACTCACCCACAAGAGAGGGCGTTTATGAGGAATGTGCCCCTGTGACACAGACACCTCCCATTGGGCCCCACCTCCAACGATAGGATCAAATCTTAACATGAGGTTTGGGTAACAAACATCCAAACCATAGCACAATGGAATCAATGAAGTAAGTAAGTAAGTAGGTTTCTTATTGTTGGAGTGAGAGATTGCATATAAGCAAGGGAGTCCATATGGCAATGGATTAGAATTGGAGTCATCAGTATAAACTCAAGTTTAATTTAGGTAGTTAAATATAGATACTGATGATTTTATATAGAAATAATCATATACATGTGTATATATGTGAATTAGTATACAGATACATATTTCCTTGTTCTGTCAGCTGAGAGGACCTATAAGCCATGACATCCCAGTAACAATGAGAATGCCTAGTGTCCAGAACTTGCATTCTAATACATCTTCCAATTAAAGTATCCAGAGTTCTTGGAGTAATGGCTGATTCTGGGACTGCTGATCCTGGAATGTTTGAAGTGTCATAAAGAAAGGAAGTGTTCCAAAAAAATCTCCTCAAAACCCAGAATGATGGACGTATGTCAAAGGGACAGAGGAACCAACTAAAAGAACTCTTAGGGGCCATTGCTCAAATAATATGCCTAATGCATGTAATGTAGTATTGGGTTGTAGCCAAAGTATAAAATGAATATTCTTACTTATATCAATATATGATTGAATAACTAAGTAAATAGGAAAGAATGGATAAATATCCCATGCCAAAGAATTCCAAATAATTTGTGTAGATAATCCTTACTCAAGAAAATAGAGCACAATGCCCATTGCTTGAATGCTGGCTGCTCATAGTGACATCCCTCTAAAGAGTACAGTATGGAAAGGGGCAAGAAAGGAGTATCTTAGAGTGGAGAAGCTTGAAAAACACTACCTCAACCAGGTGACCAAGATCAACATTAATAGTAATAATTCATGTTGATAGCATGTTCTCTGAATAAAATGTGATTAAAATGTCACCTCTCCTTGTGATCTTCCTCCCCAAAACCCATATTCCAAGTCTAATCATCACAAATGCGTCAAACAAATCTTGACTAAGAACATTCTACCAAAACCTGACCAGAATAAGAAACTGGTAGAGCCCAAAGGAGGATAAGCAAACATAAAAACTGCATGTAATATGGTATCCTGGGTAGAATCCTGGAATAATAAAAAAGTTAGGTAAAAAACTAATGAAATCTGAATAACTGTGAACTTTAGTAATAATGTATTAATATTTGTTAATTAATTGAGAACTACGTAATCTAAAATGCTAACATAAAATAAGCTAGATATGCTGTATATGGGAACTCTGGAGTATCATCATGATTTTTCTGTAAATTAAAATCTGTTCTAAAATTTAAAAGTTTACTTAAAAGTATGACGTTTCCTGTCTGCCTATGAAATCATTTAGTTTTGTTCTCTTTAAATAACACGTCAGCAGGTTTGAAGAGAATAGAAGTATTATAAACATACTCATTTTGAATTGACAGTAGACTCAAGAGAAAAGCATAGGAGAAAGAATAGTTACACTTATTATCAAATATATATTTTTCATGCTTCATCCAAATTGTTCGTATCTTACAATGCAGCTCTTAGTTAGGTCCTGAACAAACAGCCCTAAGTTATCATTGTAATAGAGCATAGTAATAGATATTCATAATGACAATTTTACATTTATTAGCATACCAGATTTTATTAAAAAACCCTGTTTATTAAGTCAGTGAAGTATGTAATATATTTAAAATTAATGAGTTTTTAAAATTTTAAGGGTATTGAAAATTCACTTAACTAGAACACTTAAATCCCTAATGATGGCAGGCAAATTATTTCGTAACTATATGGTAAATTATATGTCCTGAATTCCATAACAGCAATTAGACTATATATAAATGATGTTTCCATTAGCATATCTCCTAGGGATAAATTTACATTATATAAAAAGTAAATTCTCATTTGACCTTTTGATGCAATATATAGTTTGATTTATAATATTAAACTGTCTTGTATTTCTGGCTTAATAAATGGCCTATTTTGCCTTTGCATAAATAAAATTGTTTTTTTCTTACCATTTTGCATGAATACTTTATCTTGGTATGGAAATATTACATAAAAAGCCGTTCTCCTTTAAGAAAACAATAACTTCTGAGGGGTTTATGTAGCATTGCAAAATAATTTGAGGACGCCACTTCACCTTTTTTGTAGAGTGATATTAGTTGTAGGATACTTTCAACTTGTATCCTTGTAGAGGATACTTGTAGATACTTTCTTTTTTTCATTCTGGAAATTTCACAATGGTCATTCACCATTGTTTAATCGTGGTTAATTTATTAATTTAGACTGTATCATAGGCAATGTAACTACAACTTTTTAACCCAAATCAAGAATTCAAAATCGATTTTATATACTTCTGTGCAGCCCTGTATTTCAGTTTTTAGTAACTGTTTGATTCAATTTCTTCTTTATTCTTCTTGATTGTGTATGTTTTAATGAGAAGTTGAAGGGGAATATTCAAGGACTTCTGCATGCTTATGAGCATTAATTTTGTGCCATCTTGAGTATTGAGGTTCATCTACTACTTGTTACTTTAGAATAGAACGTTGTAGGAAATTGGCTGACTCTTCAAAGCACTTCTGTGGAGCCTGTGTTCTAGACCCTTACAGGACCTAGAAGCCATAATACTGACATGGATCTTTGTGCTAATGCATAATTTTTCTCCAAAGTTTCTGCATCTATTACAGTTGCATGGCAAATGCAGTTTGGATTGCAGCTACCTGCTTTGTCCTAGCTTGAACCTTCCTCCTGTTCTTTATTCTGCCTACTCCTGCTTTTTTTTATTTGTGTGTGTATATATGTATGTGTATGTTATCTGATACATGCAATATTATTTTAGTTTAAAATTTTAATTTACATTCTCTTAGTTGACAACCTATAATACTTCTAGGTGATTTTTAATCTTTTCAATGAATGGCTCTGCCAAGTTAGATAGGTACTATTATAACATTCTTCCTTATTAGCAACAGCACTCCTGTACTGTTTAATGGCAAACTGAATGTCACTAGTTTATCATTACAGGTGATTATTTTCATACTTATTTATATTGAAGAGTTGAATTTATTTTGATCAAAGTATCTTAATATTTGGTCCTAAAGCTGATCATTCGGGTTCTTTTCTCAGTCCTTTAGCAATATTTTTCTTCTAACTTTAAAAAGGTTCCAAGATAAAACATCCCTTTTTAAAAAACCTGGTTATGATTTCAGTATATTGCTGCCTCAGTTCAGAAAAAGTCTGGCTATCAATTCAAAAATTGAGTGGTACAAGCCACCTCCTGCTTGTTAGCTAGCAGTCCAATATTTTGCAGGTTTCACAATTCTACCTAAGAATCCATAGATATGTTTACATATTTTTATAAATAACAATTCTAGTTCAATTGCTGTTGCTTAATGTAGCATGAGTATCTCCATTTCACCCTTTTAGACTAAACTACAACTACTGATAAATAGACAGTACTTCCCTTTTGTCTCAATTGCCTCTCTATTGCTTGTTTATCTCAATAGCCACTGATACCCCTGCTGTTGCCTGATAGAGCTGAAGGAGCTGGATGCTTGCACAAAATACCCTGCTAAGAGTTGAGGAAAGAAGCAGTTTCAAAGAATCTCCTATTCTCTCTAGCCTGTTTCCTTGCTGGCCACCACTTTTATCTCTCGCAGCTGCCTACCAGTATGGATGTATCTTCTTCTGGTTGGCCATCATTCCTCTCAGTGTCACAAACATGAAGAGTAAAGCACAGCAATATTGTGTAGGTCCATATTTATACAAATCCTCACATTTATATTCATAATCCTATTTACTTAAAGTACACCTATGACTCCCAAGTTATTAAATTGGGTCCTGGAACTAGTATCACTGTGTTTAATGTATATTAAATCTGACTTTCTGGTCGAAACTCTAAGATAGTGAGTTACACGGAGACTTAAGGTATTATTATTATTTCAATCTGACTATTCAAAAAGGTTATTAGTTAACTATATAGTTTCCCATATTTTAACTTTAATACAGGGTGAAAGAATAGTGACAGTTTTCCAGTACCCCTTTTATAAGATGCCATTTACAACTATGCAAATATATAGGTATAAATGCATATGAAAGATGTTAGCCAAGTCCATTATGTGGCAACATATTCAATCAGGGAAAAATGTTGTTTTGTAACACCACCAAATCTGTCTGTATCCAAATGTTATTTACCCCCCAAAACTTTTGTAATAAAATACAGAGGATAAGCAGTTCATAGAATTTCCATGATTTCAGTATAATCTAATCATGTTTATTGATGAAGCAAATATTAAAATGATAACTCTCTTCAATATCTTCAAGTATTACATAGGAATAAATTATTGACAGAAACTTGGAAGGTAAAATATCCATAGCTGGTTACCTGGTGTGTAAAACACAAAGTGTCCTATAGTGAATAAAATTCTCAATAATTAAAAAAAAATTAAACTTGCCTCTCAACCATTTTCTTCAATTAAGTTTAATTGTATTAACAAAATAAATAGTAGTAGCACATATGTGCAACAATTAAAATGATATAATTTAATTAAATATGTTTCAATTAAGTGATAACTGAATTAGCCATATGACTGAGATAAATTATTTAATTTTTTATATAAAATTATGTAATTATATACAAGACAATTTATATAAATATGTTCATTTCTACATGTAGTTTATGTACCTATATTACAAATAAAAATATCCTTGTTAGATCCTGAGGGATGATTATGCTATTGAAAATGTATATCTTAACATTATTTATTTCAGATTTGGCAGGATATTTTCATAAATTCATGTAAAAAAGTTGATTGTTACACAGTAGTTTTGAAAGCGATGAATTATCTTTTCTTCAGCTTGGATTTTAGGAAGACAATTTTATAACTGCTTTTATTTGATATTTATTTATGCTGAAAAATCTTACGTAATAGATGGAACAGACAGAAATTGAGAGTTTCCACTGAGACCAAGTAAAAAGAAAATGAAATCTTTAAGATCTGAAACTGAATTTTTTGAGGGCTACACTATTTGTATGTTGAACTAGAAGCCCAAATAATTGTATCTTAACACTTCCTCAAAGAAGATATGTAGTTGGTAAATAAACATAAGAAAAGATGCTCAAAACAATATGTTATTAGGGAACTTCAAATTAACATGATGAGATACCATTATACACCAATTAGAATGTCTAATATCTGAAAAACTAACAAATGATGGCAAGGATGTGGAGCAGAAGGAATTCATTCATTGATGGTGGAAACGTAAAATGGTACAGCCACTTTGGAAGACAGTTTGGCAGTTTCTTACAATATAAGCATAGTCTTACCCTATAATCCAGCAACTGATTTCTTAGGTATTTATCCAAACGAGTTGAAAAGTATGTCCACACAAAAACATGCTCATAAATGTTTATAGTGGTTTTATTGATAATTCTCTAAATTTGGAAGCAACGAGTATGTCTTTCAATAGATGAATAAATACAATGCAATACATTGGTATAGCAGAATATTACTTAATAAAAAGAAATATGCCATCAAGCATGAAAAGCTGAAATACATATTGTTAAGTGAACGATCTATTGAGACAACGAAAAGAGAGTGGTGCCCAGGGTCTGGGGTAAGGAGAGAAGAATGACTAGATGGAGCACAGAGAATATTGAGCACTGTGAAATTACCCTGCATGATACTATAATGGTGGATACATGACATTATGCATGTATCAAAAACCATAGAACTCTATAACGCACAGTGAATCCTAATATAAACCATATGCTATAATTAATAATGATGTATAAATACTGGTCCAGTAATTGTAACAAATGTACTATACTAACGCAAGATAATAATAATAGGGAAAATTGCATGACAGAAAGGTAAGAGGGTTATGAGAACTCCATATCTTTTGCTCATTATTTTTGTAAACCTAAATCTACTCTAAAA
The DNA here is from genome assembly GCF_000001405.40 of Homo sapiens. Classification (NCBI taxonomy): domain Eukaryota; kingdom Metazoa; phylum Chordata; class Mammalia; order Primates; family Hominidae; genus Homo; species Homo sapiens. The sequence goes on from NC_000002.12 coordinate 184,583,994, forward strand.
ATGAATCAATTAAAAATAAATTAATTAAAATAGTCACTCATTTAGTTTCAGATTCTTACATAGTGAGTGTTTGACACACTATTGTCCTACCATTAAGATGGAGGTTGCTACTCCCAACTTAAATTAGACACTGTTTTAGATTTGCATATAAGATTTAAAATACCTCAAAATAAAAGTAAGACATATAAAACAACTTTTAATCATTTGAAATCATAATCGCTTTCTTTCGTCATGTAAGGTTTGTTTCCTCACAACTAGTCAGAGAAAATGAATGCTGCAAAATGTGGCTTAATGATATTTGTAACTATACCTCTTTCCACTAAAAATGGACACGATAAAAATACTGCAAAATAAAATGAATATCTAAAATATCTCATTTTCTTTCATGCTTTCACTCTATTTTATTTATTTGTTACTGGAAGTCATCACAAAAAATTTATCTGTTTTGTTTGTACTTGTTCAGTTGACCACTCATATGCTTCCTACAAATATTCTAAATTTGGCCTCAATATTTATTTATAGTCTACCTGTCACATTGTTACTGTTAGCCATATTCTTATATTTTAGTAAAATAAATCTTTTGTGTAATTGTACCTCTGTGTCAGATACTTTACTATGGAATTTTAAACAGCATTTATGTTATAGTATTTTGATTTGATGCTATACTATTTAGCAATACCCTTCTCATTATAATTATCTACTTAAGAAGCTGTATTTTGTGGGCTAATTTCGAATAATTTAAAATAACATTTTTAAAAAAGTATTTGAATTTTGTAATGATAAGCATTATTTGACCAAAAGGTCAGACCATAAGCTTGAATGATGAAAGCATAGCTACACCATATGTGCTTGATAGTGTAGTGGCATCAAGGAAAATCTATTTTTCAGCTCTTGAAGAGAAGGCTGTGGTTATCACTCCACTTACAGAGATCTTAGACACCGTAGCTCTGTTCAGAGAAAGAACTTGCAGCAATCAAAACGCTGGCTGTGCATACCGAAGTTTCTCAAAATGTAGTCCACACACTAGAGAGTAGCAGCCTCAGCATCCCCTGGGAACTTGTTAGAAATGCAAATTATGAATTCTTACCTAGGACATACTGAATGAGAAACTCGGGTTGGAGTACAAAAATTTCTGTGATTTTTTTTTTATTTTTAACTTTTATTTTACATTCAGGAGTACATGTGCATATTTGTTATACATTTAAACTCATGTCATGGGTTTTTTGTACAGATTATCTAATCACCAGGGTATTAAGTCTAGTAACCAATAGTTATTTTTTCTGTTCCTCTACCTTTTCCCAACCTCTGCCCTGCAGTAAACCACAGTGTTTGCTGTTTCCTTCTTCGTGTTCATGAGTACTCATTATTTAGCTCCCACTTATAAGTGAGAACATGCAGTATTTGGTTTTCTGTTCCTTCATTAGTTTCCTAAGGATAATGATTTCCAGCTTCATCCACGTTCCCACAAAAGACATGATATTATTCTTTTTTATGGCTGAATAATATTCCATGGTGTATATGTACCACAGTTTCTTTATCTAATCTGTCGTTGATGGGCATTTAGGTTGATTCAATGTCTTTGCTATTGCAAATAGTTTAGCAATGAACATTCACATGCATGTGCCTTTATGGTTGAATAACCTATATTCTTCTGGGTATATATGCAGTAATGGGATTTCTGGGTCAAATTGTAGTTCTGTTTTTTAGCTCTTTGAGAAATTGCCATAATGTGTTCCACAATGGTTGAACTAATTTACTCCCCCATCAACAGTGTATATGTTCCCTTTTCTCCACAAGCTTCCCAGCATCTGTTACTTTTTGACTTTTTAATGATAGCCATCATGACTGCTGTGGGATGGTATCCCACTGTGGTTTTGATTTGCATTTCTCTAATGATCAGTAATGTTGAGCATTTTTTATGTGTTTGCTGGCTGTATGCATGTCTCCTTTTGAAAAGTGTCTGTTTGTTTCCTTTGCCCACTTTTATTGGGGTTGTTGGTTTTTCTCTTGCAAATGTATTTAAGTTCATTATGAATGCTGGATATTAAACCTTTGTCAGATGCATAGTTTGCAAATATTTCCTCCCATTCTGTAGGTTGTCTCAAAAGTTTGTGTTTTGAAAGTCATCCAGTTGATTTGATGCAGACTGAAGTTTGAAAACCTGTACTTTACTGCTTTGAGTACAGCTTATAGTCTCAGCAATGAGGCTATGATTTAAAGATTAAAACAAATTAATGCAAAGATTACTGAGCCTTAGTTAATGCTAAACATTGATCATTAAAATCAAGGCAAAAGTTTCATACAGAATAGAATACTTCAGCTCTACGTACTGGATTTTTGTGTCTTTTGTTTTTGTTGTTGTTGTTGACTTACAATTAAGGTTGAGCTATGAGAATGAGAACTCTTCATAATGGGGCTTGCAATCAAAGATAAGCAGAGTTAATACATATCTCTGTCACAAAATAAATCCCAGTCAAAATGGTATCTCTAAAATCAAATAAGGAATATTAGAATATGGGATGGGTCCAGTGGCTTACTCCTGTAATCCAAGCACTTTGGGTGGCCAAGGCCACAGAATCTTTTGAGCCTAGGAGTTCAAGGCCAGCCTGAAAAGCATAGCAAGACCTGTCTCTACAAATAATAATAATAAAAATAATAAAAAAATAATAAAAAAATAGCTGGACATGGTGGCATGTACATCGGTTCTCAGCTGCTCAGGAGGCTGAGGTGGGAGGGTCACTTAAGCCCAGGTAGTCACGACTGTCGTGTTCACACCATTGCACTCCAGTCTGAGCAGCAGAGTAAGCCCTTGTCTCAATATACATACATATATATATATATATATATATACACACACACACACACACACACACACATATATTTATATATACATATGTATTTTTGGAATATAAGTTTTCAAGACTTAAGGCCCATTGCTGCGTGTTAGTTACTATAATCAAAGAGGGAAGACGAATGAGTGCATTGTTTTCTATTAGTCAGTCATGATACCCACACATTAGGATGAATAGTCACAATGATGCTGCTGCTTTTCTTTCCTTTCTTTTCCAATGAACACAAAGAATCTTCCTTGAGAAACATGTTTTTAAAGTGTATTTTAATATCACCACCTTGAAGTAAGTTAGTTTGTTGGGAAGGAGGTAAATTAATTTTTGTCTATGGTACTAAAAGTTTAAACTCAGAGTTGTAATGTATTAAATGCAGACTAATTATAGAAAAGCTAAGTTTATGTGGAATAATTAAGTTATGAGGGTAAAATACAGTTGAATATCAATGTGTAACAGTTTACATTGGGGTTTTCTGGCCTCATTTCCCTGACATTCAACAACATTTGAAGGTCAAATTTTATGGATTTATTAGAGTTGTAAGAGTTATGTTGAAAGTAATTACTCATATGGGCCAGGCGCGGTGGCTCACGCCTGTAATCCCAGCACTTAGGGAGGCCCAGGCTGGCGGATCACAAGGTCAGGAGATCGAGACCATCCTGACTAACACAGTGAAACCCAGTCTCTACTAAAAATACAAAAAATTAGCCGGGCGTGGTGGCGGGCACCTGTGGACCCAGCTACTGGGGAGGCTGAGGCAGGAGAATGGCGTGAACCCAGGAGGCGGAGCTTGCAGTGAGCTGAGATCGTGCCACTGCACCATTGCACTCCAGCCTGGGCGATAGAGTGAGACTCCATCTCAAAAAAAAAAAAAAAAAAAAAAGAAAAAAAAAAAGAAAGTAATTACTCATATATTTCCTCCTCATCTCCAAATTTCTTTTTAAATTTCTTTTAGTCAAATACTACATTCTGATTTTTGTGTTTCTGGTGTATGTAACATCATTGAAACGTTGTCAGCAGCATGTATAATATATGGGCAAAAGAATGAAAAAAAAATCAGTCCCTCACAAATATATATCCCTAAAATAAAATGTCCCATCACTTTAGAAACTTTATTAGTGTTGCCTACCAATATTAATTCTCTTTTATTTCTTTAAAATGCATTTGTTGAATTTCAGGTGGATACACAGCCAAACACTACACACCCAAGCCTCCTGTTGCAGCTTTGGGTGGCTATATGTCAAGGTTATAGCTAATTAAAATATGAGCGGAGAACTGTCCCATGTAACTTCACAGCTTTTCTTTACAAGAGACTTTCTCTTGAAGAGCGATGCCCTCTACTTTCTCTTATCACCGTTGTATTAGCCACAACATGTACACAATGATGGAGACAAGAGCAACCATCCTAGATTACAAGATGGAAGCCATACATTGAGCATGGCAGAACGCCAAGATCCTGGGTCACTGACACCATTTGGACTCCCTATCGTGTACCCTGACTGGCATGGATAAGTAAAATAAGCTATTTCCTTAAGCTTTTGTTGTCTGGAAGTATTTTTAGAGAATCTGATATTGATTTTCACTGATGTACTAGGGGAGCCTAATTTCCTTCATGTTGTATTGTTTATGAATACAGAGGCAGGATATTTGTTGAACTGGAATTAAAATAAAAAGGTAAATCATGGGGGAAAGTATTGCTATAATGTGTTTGCGTTTTCAAACATTTGCTCCAATTTCTTGTAACTCAGCCAGTCAACAATAATTACTGAGCACATTCTAAAGACTGAGTACACTTCAAGGCCCCGGGGAATGCAACGATGGGCAAACCAGCCAAGGCCACTACCTTTAAAATGCCTTCATTTGTGTTGGGGTGCTAAAATAAATAAACGGATAAAATTAAAAATGATTGTATTTATTAAATTCATTGAATGCATTCTAAATAAGTCAATTTAAATAGGCATAAATATTTCTGAATTTCTTTGAAAAGACCAGTATTATTATAGTCTCCACTGAAAATTATTAAGAAATATTCTCATTTGAGATTTTATGACACCCTCCTCCACTCAATCTCCTCATCCTCCTCTCAAAATTATCCAAGTTAATGTTGACAGTGTTAACGACTGTTAAGTGTTTGTTGCATATCTAGTCTTTCTTTCTTCTATGATTTTCAATATCCATCTGCTTATGTGTTGAAGAATACATATCCTTATTTATACCAAAATGAGATGATACTGTAGTAATTGGTCTTGATATCCTTAGATGAAAATTCTTATTATTTATTTATTATTTTTTGAAATGGGGGTCTTGCTCTGTTGCCCAGGATGGTCTTAAACTCCTGCGCTTCAGTAATCCGCCTATCTCAGCTTCTCAAATTCCTGGGATTATAGGTGTGAGCCATAGGAACCCAGCCAAAATCCTTCTTAATACAGACATATGTATGTTTTAACAATTTATCTCTGGTATACCATTGTATAAATGTACAGTAATTTCTACTATTTTTCACAGTATATAATGGTATTTGTCAAATTTTAGATATTACAAACTGTCTGCAGGGAGCATGTCTATGCTCATATTTTTATCTTTTCATGATATTATTTCTGTGTCATAGTTTGTGAGAAGTAAAATTGCTGAGTCATGGGATATGTGCTTTTTAAAAATGTTTCATAAAATCAAGTTACTTTTCAAAAATTATTATCAATTTATGCCACCACTAGTCTTAAAAATCCAGCATATAATATTTTTGTTTGGACAATGTAATAGAAAAAATAAGGGATCAACAACAACTCATGTTTATTGGCTATTCATATTACTTTTTAAATTTTTTCTTTATAGATTTTTACTTGTTTTCCCCAAACATTTTGCTTTATGCATTTTTATGTTATGTTGTTTGTTTGTTGTGGAAATACTTTTGACTGTTATGTTTTCATCACTGATTGTACTCTTCAGTGTTTTTAAATATTACTTGATATTGGTAGAAATGTAAATATTACAGTTTTCTTTGTGTTTGTATTTAATTCTGCTATCTTTCCCATTTGTTTACTTCTAACTATTCTGTCAGCATAGATTTAGTAATATCTTTTGTTAGATTTCCCAAACTGAATATCTCCTTTTATGGAATAATTAAATTATTTCCATTCATTTTGATAACACATATGCTTGTCATATACCTATTTTTTTCAATTTTTACTAGTTTTTATATTTTTACTATTTCTTATATTCTCATCAATTTTTGCTAGATCAAATCAATTTAACTTATTATTTTCCTAGATTTTTATAATTAATATTTTTTCTTTATGTAAAGAAAAATTATCACATACAATATGAACATATGCTGAAAATATTTGAGAAAAACAATTAACCTTAATTTTACTCTTGAGAGGTTTAACTATAAATATTTTGTTACAATGCTTTTTTGTATAATTTTATTTTTATTGATTTATTTAAGATTCAGAGGTATGTGGGCAGGTTTGTTACATGGGTATATTACATAATGTTGACGTTTAGGGTAGAAATGATACCATTACTCAGGTACTGAGCAAAGAATCCCAAAGGTACTTTTTCAACAATTCCTTTTTCCCTCCCTTACCCCTTTAGTAGTCCTCAATGTCTATTGTTGCCATCTTTATTTTCATGAGTACTAAATGTTTAGCATCTACTATAAAGTGAGAACATACAGTATTTGGTTTTCTGTTCCTGCGCATTAATTCGCTTAGGATAATGGCCTCCAGTTGCATCCATGTTGCTACAAAGGACATGATTTTGTTCTTTTTTATGGTTGTGTAGTACGCCATGATGTATATGTATAACATTTCCTTATCCAATCCACTGTAGATGGGTACCTAGGTTGATTTCATGTCTTTGATATTATAAAAATAGTGCTGTGATGAACATATGAGTGCATGGGTATTTTTGGTAGAATGATTTGTTTTCTTTTGGATATATACACAGTAATGGTATTGCTGGCTTGAATGCTAGTTCTGTTTAAAGTTCTCAGAGAAATCTCCAAACTGTTTTTCATAGTGGCTGAACTAATTTGCATTTCCACCAACAGTGTATAAGTATTCTATTTTCTCAGCAGCCTTGCCAGAATTTGTTGTTACAATATTTTAATGTCAATTTTTTTCTTTGTGTATATTATTTGTGTACGTACCTATGCATGTGAGGGGGTGTTTTTGTGTATATACAAATTCAATCTTATATCCTGTCACTTTTGTAACATTTTCTTCATGATGATTTTCTCATGCCACTAAAATAGCATAAATGTTATATGTTGTTGTATATTTTTATTTAATGTTTATGATTTTATATCAGATATAATTTTTAATATATTACTTCCAATAATATATCTTGTGTATTATTTGAATTGTTTAAATTTTTTCATTGTTTAAATATTATCACTCATGCTGTTCATCTATCATACGTAATAGATAAACAAATATCTTTTTTCTTCCTCAATATTTATAACTAGAATTCAGAATCCTCATGAAAGAGTTAAAGATTATATATTATAGATGAAATCAGTTACATTAATCCAATTCTTACTAAATTTATATGAGGAATTTTATTATAAAGATTCAAAGGTGTCATATATAAATAAAATATTAAACCAAGTAGATCTTAAGAATATATCTTTAGGGACATTCTCCATTCTTGACCTCTCTAGAATAATACATTATAGAAATAATGCCCATCAGTTCTTCCTGAGCTTCTTAGAGTTCAGGTACAAAAAACATTATTGGTCAGCCCTAAAACTTAGCATGAGCCTCTTGGGCTTGTTTGGTTTAGGAGTATTCCATGGATAAATTAATTTTGGTAGGCAATTGGGTGATCTAACAGACAAAGCTACATCGATAGTGGAATGGAAGTGGAATTTATGACACACAGATACATATTTCCACATTTATTTTTAGGAATATTATACTACCAAATATTGCCATCTGAATTTTGCAAGGCACCCGTTTCATGTTACCAAATAAACATATAAAAGTATTTGTTAAAACTGCCATGAGGTTACAGGAAGATGGCATCCATCTGCAAACCAGGAAGAGGACTTTCATCAGAATCTGAATGAGCTGGCACCTTGATCTTGGACTTTCCAGCCCTCAGAACCATAGGAATAAATTTCTATTGCTTAAGACATTCAGTAATGGTATATTTATTACAGTATTTTAAAATGACTAAGACAAATATATTTTATGTTAATGAAATCTATGTAGTTTTAATTAATATTTATCTTGTTCTAAGTCAACATGACCATACATAAATTTGAAACCTCAGTGGAAATTCCCACATCTTCTTATCAGAAAGGGGTATGGTAGAGAAGAGAACAGTTTGAGTATATACAAAAGTTGTGTTATGGAACAGTATTGTGTCTTAACTTCCTATACTTTTCTTAAATCTGGCCACATCTGTACTACATAGAGAACTATTTCTACAAAATTTCTCTCATATGAATAGCACAGATGCCTGATTACTCAACTGTGCTGCAGAATTTAGTTTTTGTAAATTATATGCAGTCTTGTTAGTATATTCTAGATATTACTTTGTTAAAGTCACCAATGACCTTCAAGATGGCCAAATTGAGATCATTTATTCATCTCATTTTTCTTAAAAGCTATCAGTAGCATTCCTCACAGTTGGTTACTCTTTCCTTAAAACTAACTTTTTGCATTGGAAGGAAGGATTTATGAGGCATCTTATTTTCTTGGCTTTACAATCTTCTCCCAGGAGCTTGTTTTCTATCTCCCTTTTTAGCTGTTGCTTCTCAGGTCACCCCTGATCTGTCCTGGGGCTCTTTATCTATCTGTATAAGCTCTCACATGATCTCATGCAGTCCTTGCTTATAAATGGCATTGATATGCCAGTGGCTCCCAAATCGGTTCTGATCCTGACTCCATATTTTATACCTGCACATCTCACTATCTCTATTTGTATATCCAAAATGAATCCAAATTTTATAAACAATTTCCTCAATCTGTCCCTCCTCCCCATCTTTACTTAACATCTTAGACCAATTACTTTCATTTCAGTATCTTCTTAATATTCTCCCTGAGTTTACATATCTCCTAGAATCAGTTCTTTACATCCTAACTAGAGCGGTATTTGTATCTTCCTCCCTCCCACCAATGCTTCCTTTTTCCCTTTGTTTTTAACCCAGAAACAATATGTGTCTGTAGGTGCCTGCTTGTCACCTTTATCTTCCCCCATACCATCTTTCTCCTTCTCTTCTAGTTCTTTCTTCTCCCACTTACCGGACACTAAGAAACTCATGATGACAAAATACATGCACCCTTACCTTATTAATATCTGTTTATTCTTTCACAAAAATGTACACTTGTTCTTGTTTTTATACAAAACTAAATCCTAATCTACTCTCTTGTTTGTAATATACATTTTTATATAATAAAACAACTAGAAAATCCTACCTAATCAATGTGTATAAACTTTATTATTTTAATAGGTATATGAAAGTCTGTGAAATATATCATAATATATCATAATTATGATATACACCATAATTTATGCAACTATTTCATTATTGAAAATGACTTTCTTTGTTTCCAGCTTTTTTATAATTATAATGTTAAGCTAAGAATGTTACCTTAATGTTACATTAAGTGTTCTTGTAAATATCAGTTTATACTGGTAATTTTACTCTACGTAACAAGTCCCAGGAATGCAATGGCTAGATATAAGGTTAGCTGTAATTTTAATTTTAATAGATATTACAAAATTTCATTCAAAAAAGGGAATAAAACACAGGAATGTAGTTATTGTTCATCTTTTCTTCTTTACTCATAATAATATATCTTAAATTTATTCCTTTTGGTAAATTAATTACATGTCATCCAATTGCATTAATTTTTTTGGCAACATATTAGAAATGTAGCTTTGGCTTTCCAGTTTGCATTGTTTTGGCATTTATCCCAAGGCTACTTATTAGAATTAAAAAGTAAGGGGCAAAAATGCTTGAAAAATATAAATATCACCTAAATATTTTTTACAGCCTAACAAGTGCTCTATCATTCTTTTAAGATGTAAAAAGTTGCATAATTAAATTAGTTTATCTACTTATTAAGGTTGAATCCAGAAAAATTATGAAATTTCTCTCTAATCCTTTTTACATTTGTATCAATTTCCACATTTCCACAATTTCTACAGTTATACCAGCTATTCAAGAGACACATCTTCAAGTGGGGAGCTAAGTTGGTATTCTGTTCTGCCAGGCATAATCAACATCAGCTCTAGGCAAGTTGCCAGAGAATCAGATAATTAAGCTTGAAAAAACATAAGATAATATCTTGCTTATTCCCTTTCTTTCAAAGGTTAAATAAGTGAAGTTAAGGGAGTCTGAATAATTATTTGCCCAATATTCAAAAGTTGTTTTAGTTGAAGGTGCCTTACAGTGGTTTGTAATAAGGTGTTAATTGTGATAGAATCCACACAAATATAGGTTTCACACTTCCTTGATTAGAAGATGCCTTTCTGTTTGTAACATCTTTATATATGTCTTATAATCAGTGACAATTTATTGATCCTTGCTTTTAACAGGACCATATTTCAACTCAGCCGAATTTGAATACAGAAACAGGGTTATGATCATGGAGCTACTTTTAGGAAATTATTATCTAATAATTACCTTAAAATTTTAACCATCACCCATAAAATAATACAATTGCATTATCATCTTCAGGTAATATCAGTTTTGGTATTCAATATATATCCCATGACTAGTATAGATCAGCGTTTCTCATACTAAATATCATATAGACATTTTCTTAAATATTCTCTTGAATACACTAAGTTCACTTGAGGCATAATTTTACTTAAATATGTTAACATCAAACTAATTATACAACCCCATATGCTTATAGCTCTTATGTAAACACAAACCAAAAAAAAAGAAATCAAATGAAAATACAACAGGCAAAATATCCAAATTTCCCAACTTAATTTAATACAACAGATGATGTTGCTTTGCTGAAATCAAATCCTATCTCAAACATGAATTTGTTTATGAGTGTTTGTGTGTCAACGCTAATCTCCACATGCCTGAAGTTTACAATGACTATGAGTGCACTATGGTGATGCTGTTCCTCTACCACTTTTTCCAATTTAACTATGTAGCACCTTCATTTATGCAGCATGCCATCATATCGCTTGGCATTAACTTAGAGTGAACAATCGAGTGTTAAATTTTTATTATTCACAAATAATAAAAGCAGTAGTGTTGGGCACCAATGTGATAATAAACATGAATGTAAACCAAAGTGATAAATAGTGGCAACACTAAGTTCCAAATTATCCAGCTGTATGGTTATACAGATGATAAAAATATGCTTAAGATTATTACAGTAATGAAAAGGAAAATTTTGAATCCCAAAATATACTCAGTGATGACTATGAATACGTCCCAGACACATATGAAAAGTGGTGGAATACATATTTGCTTTGTATGTTATTTCAGGATGACATAAGATTAAAAACTTGGTTCACAAAAGCCCAGGTAAGCCTGAATTGCTGGAACCCAGAAGTCAATCTAATTTGTGGATTTTTTCAGTTGAGTGATGGGAAGTTATTCAGACATAGTAAAAGCATCCAAAGATTTTTATGACATGAAGTAGCGAGTCCAGTGGAAAGGCATGTGGAGGTAGTAACATATAGTGTTAAACATCAGTAGGTAAACTCAGGAAAGATTTACCTACTCCTGGAAGAGCTGGACTGAATGAATCTGGAAAGGGATTTAGAACTCAGAGGTCTAGCCGCTGGTGTAGGAAAGGAGCAAGACCTTGGTTTCACATGTCAAGGTGACAACACTGTCCTGAAATTTTGTGTGAGCCAGAAGCAGATGAGGAACAACGCTGAGCAGAAACCTATTATCCAAATTTGAGTTAAGCAAAGCAAGATAAGTGGGATAAATCAGTATAAGAGCAAAACTTAAAGAATCTTGATTTGAATTGCAGTTGTAAATGGCGAATTGAAGGGGCAATTGCAGTTGCAAAAAGGGCAAAATTGAAGTGAAGTTGTAGCAAAAATGAACTGCAAGTTTTTAGACTAATGACACTTCTTTATTTACATTTTTAATTATAAGTTGTTCGGCTAGAACATTGCCAACTGAACACAAATAATCTGTAATTATTCCATAAAATATTTGAAATATTTTCTAAACAAGAAATGATTCTGCATATTTATAATAAGCAGGTATATATTTAACCTCATACATTAAACCTATTGTCCAAATTACTGAGATATTTTTATTTTTTAAATTAGGGTGACTCGGTTCCCCAGAAACATTTCATTCCAAAATCTTTACCAGTAGTCTTGCAAAATAAAAATTGATTTAAATAATAGGAATAATAGGAAGGATATAACAAGTGCTTGCAACACAAAGGCAAATTTAAAGATACACTGATACATACATATATGCAAACTTTGCCACTAGAAGCACAGTGTGACATTCCACGTAGACTATATTCTGTTCCATGGGATGAGTCATATATCAGTGTTTCCCATTTCCTGAACTGGATATTGAGCTTTATCCTGTAGATGAAAATTTTAGAATTTCATTAGACGTATTTTGATAGAAAAATATTGCAAAAAACCTCCTAAATTACATTATTATAAATTAAAAAAAAATAACCTACATCATCTGGTCCTTTCACACATGGTGCTTCTTCTACTTCCCTACAAGCTTCCTTGGTATAGCTTATTAATACTAACAATGTTATCTCCTTTCTAATAACTAACTTTGGAAAGTTTACAAACCTTCCAAAGACATACTAGAAATCATACAGGTTATTAGTTCTTTCCAAAGTTGACGTGTCCAGAGAATGCCTGCATTTTCAAAATGTAAACATAAAACAATATTTTTACGATAGCTGGAAATGGATTTAATTTCCATGCAATATTTAGTGTAGATCAATTACATGTTTTTCCTCTGATAGAACTGTGTTCATACTGAATTCTAACAAATTATTGGGTGATCTGTTCCACAGAGTACAGAAGTTTTGCAAATTCTCGCTTTCTCCCGAGACTTGCAGACTCCCCCAAGTGGATATCTGAAAAATTTAGCCAAGTGCCTCTAAACAACTCTGACCCTTCATAATGAGCTTTGATCAAACCATACCAACTTTTTTTTCCCCTTTGTTTGAACTGAAGCATAATACAGGAAGAATGACTATGTAAATGTGGTAACTTCCCCTTTCTACCATCTATGAGTTATAATTTACTCACACTACTATTGACTCTCTTTCTTCTCTTTTTTCCCTCTTTCAAAAAGTGAAATCAAACTGTCGGATTTATTTAAGGAGCTTATTATGGATTGCAGGGCCACTGCTACATAAAATCCTACATATGAGACACACAGAGTGGAATGTATTGCAATCTCGATTCTCAAATAAACAAGTTTCCCAAATAAACACAGTTTATATCAAAGTGCAGTTTGTTCTGACATAGGGGCATCAGAATGTCTGGAATCTGCTTTAACCAATTAAGCCTTTCAAGGCAAAGGAAAAATAAAGCCTTCAGTAAATCCATTGAAGGTACCATCTCCCAGCCTCCCACTGCCTGTTATCGATCTTTTTAAGTGCCGACTGATGAATCGTATATATATCTGATGGGATGCTCTCACTCCACCACCTCAGAGGGGCTAAACTTACACAAAGAGAGAATCAACTGGGTGGGAGGCAGGGTGGGAGGGCACAGCCGGGCTGATGGCTGCCTTGGACCCTTGAAAACCAACCAGAAAGTCTGTCTCCAGGGAATGCTGCAGACCCGGTTCCCTACTTTCCGTGACAAACCCATTAGTTCGTGTGCAGATTTTTCCATTCAGGTCGCTTCTAGGGCGAACGCTTTTGTTCGCTACCACTCTGTAGTGCGAGAGGAACTAGAGAGGCATGTAAAGCAAGCTTGAGGCAGCAGCGCCTTTGCCGCAAAGCATCCCTTTCCCCTCAGCTTTAGCAATTTAGGAAGAACTGAGGTTCTCAGGGGAGGTGGGGTGAGAGGATTGCCAGGAGGAGGGACATATAAATCAGGAGTCCCTGCTTTTACCCTCTACTCACTTGTACTCGCATCGCCACAACTACCCTCCCCCGAAACTATCATCAACACAAGCACTTACGGTATCTACAAATGTGTGGGAGCAGGGGTGGGTGGGGGGCATATTTTCTTTCCTCGCCTTTCCCTAAGACTGAACAGGGTACCAGCCTCCATACCAAACACACATTAAATAACAAAATCAAATAAGCCAAACCCAGTGGATAGCAATTATCTTGAGAAAGAAGCCGCTGCTGGCACCGGCCTGGATTCGCTGCAGTCGGAAGCGGGTGGCTTTCGGTATTGAATTATTAATTTATTTATCCCCCTCGCCCCCACCCCCACGCCGACTGCCAGGCAAGAAATCGCGGCCTCTTCGCTTCCTCTCCGCCCCCACCTTCCAGGAGTCTCCCACTTGGCGGTGGCCGTCGCGTCCCCGGCCCTCTGCGGCAGCGGCGCCGCGCGGGGCGCTCCCACTCGCGCTCGGGCTGGCGCGGCCGCGGGTCCCGGCGGCGGGGTGGGCGGGGGAGGCAGCGGGTGACAGATGTACTCCTCTGACAGCTCTCAGTATCAGCCCAGTGGCTCCCTGCCATTGGCTCAGTGCAATGGACCGGCAACGCCGCTCACTATAATAACACTCATGCCTGCCAGCAGCAGCAACTCCGAGTGCAGGCGCCGAGCGCGGGGGATGCTGCCGCCGCCGCCGCTTCTGCTGCCGCGCGGGCGGCTCCCGCAGCCCCGCTCCGCCCGGCCACCGCGCGGGCACTGACTCCCGCTCGGTTCCGTTTCGCCGGCCCGGCCCCCTCCTAGGCTGGAATCCTCCCGCGGGGCTCGTCGTCCCGACGCGAATCTGAGGAGAAACAGGAGCGAGAGACTGAGGGGAGAGCGCGGCGAGCATGCGGAGGCGGGGGAGCCTCGGCGCTCACCACAGAGGGGTGCAGTGAGCCAGTCTCCAGAGGACGTGCCGGGGGTGGCTGCGTGCCCTCGTGGCGGGTTCCCAGCCCACCGTCGCCGGCCCCGGCGCGCTGCGGCTGTGGGCGCGGGGTGCGTGGAAGCGGCGGCTGCGGCGGAGGAGGCGGCGGCTGCCCCATGGAGTGTTACTACATTGTCATCAGCTCCACGCATCTCAGCAACGGACACTTTCGCAACATCAAGGGAGTTTTCCGGGGCCCTCTCAGCAAGAACGGGAACAAAACTCTGGTAATCGCTTCTGTTTTCCTCTCTCTCTCTCTCATATTTAAGAGGGCATTTGGAAGATTGAGTTTTTGGAGGTTTTGAGATTCAGTTTGGTTTATAATTTACTCATTTTTTTATCTGGTGGGCGTGGGGTGAGAATTGGGTGTAGAAAAAGGAAGGGGTCTTAGGGAAGCTGTGATCCATGGCTTTGGTTGACACTTCCACAATGCTCTGGACTATCTCACCTCACTCCATTAAGCTGAAGATTACCACAGTCTCTCCTTATTTGAAGCAAATGTGTCAACAGGACCTGTTTAAAGAGAAAAGAAAAGAACTCTAACCCCAAGTTACCCCATAACCTCTTTTGTTTGGCTTAGGAGGCTGAAGGTGAATGAGGATGTGGCTGTCTCTGATGGAGGCAGGGAACCATGTGGCTGGTCACAAGGAGGAAGTGGCGGGATTGAGTGATGGTCTCAGAAAGAGTTTGTATTCCAGCTCTTTCCTGAAGGACTGATAGCAAACTTCTCCAGTGAGAAGTTGTCTGTGCTAAGCTTAAGAGAGTGACTCTAGAACCTTATGCTGTCCACTTTCAGCTATTCACTGTAAAGTGGTGGCGGATATGTGTGAAACACTATCACTATGTCACCATTAGAGCCACTAGGGAAAACGTGAGGCAGATAGAACCCATGCAGTTGCTGGAAGGTTCTCACTGGATCACAGAGCTTCATTTTTCAGGATCCTAGTCGGAAGAGCACTCCTGATTGGTGGGAGAAGATGTACTGAGCATTGAGATAGTGCAGGATGATTGCTCCTACTTCTCATCCAAATCCCCCTTTAGCTATAAAACCTCCCTGCAGAACTGACTTTCATGTATTGGTATGTTTGGAGAACTATACACCTCCATAAAGTAAAAAAGGAAGTAGAATAAAGGCTCATTAGGCTTAGTACTGCAAAGAGTAAAGACAAAGTAGGGTGGCAATATGAAAATGTATGATTCACTGAAGTCCATGTTTATTAGCAAGCAGCCTCCCTTCCCCTTTCTTACACAGTGGTAACTTAGCCTGAATGAGGAGAGTAGAAGTTTAAGGACAGACTCAAATAGTCCAAAAATAAATATAGCGTTCTTGATCGAATTTTCTTTATGTATCTTAAAATATGTTTCTTTATGAATAAAGAAAATATGCTGTGATGTGTGTTTTCCAAGAATGAAAAGTTCTCATCTAAAGTTTTACGTAAATTCTTGATGCATTTAATTTCATTCTTTTTACTTGAATCTCTTGGCTACTTGCTTTCAGCCCACTTAAGACTCACAAAAGCAGGGCTAGTTTGTTTCTTTTATTGATTTTGTGGATGTGGTTGTTGGTTGTTGTTGAACAAAAGAAAGTGAAAATACTCTTCTGCAGTCTTCTTTAGTAGAGTAGCACAAAGAGCAGTAGCCAAAGGCTAAAGGAGTTATTGAAATTGTTCTGGCCCCACTTAGAGAAGTAAAAAAGGAAGGTAAAATTTTGGGGGAAAAACTTTCAGTCTGAAGAAAGTACACACTGTTTTTTCAATTAAATTTAACTTACGGTTAAAGGCAAACTTAATGCACAAGATTTCATTTCCATATTTACAATAATGGTGTAGGTGATAAAATGCATAGTGGGGTTTATAGAAAAAAAAAGTTATTTTCCAAACCTCAACTTGTTAAAATTCTATAGGTCTTGATTCTCAAGTTAATCTTAGGTTCTAACAATAGTTGAATTTGCTTATGCTGATGTGTTTGTTGTGTGTTTGGAGTTGGTTCATTCTTCATGACTTACATTTGCAAAAGGTAGGTTAAAGTCTAGATTTACCATTGTAACCTTGTGAGTAAATTGGGTTCTAAAAAACAGCTATGTAAATGAGATGAATAAACCTAAATATAGACAAACATCAGAAAGAACAAACAAGGATAAAATGGCTTTGAAATAACTCCATAATTATCTTAGTTATCATGAAAGAGACTTTAGGCACTTCTGAGCTAGTCCTTCCAGATGATTTTAAAACGGCCCAAGTTTGTATTTCCTGTGTATGAGATTTGCACTGACTGAAAAGAAGTAAATTTTCATATATGATGTGAATATATTTGAAACTACTGCTTTACAAGATAATATATTCATCTACTATATGTGCTTTCTAGCCTTCTCATGAGTATTATTATGGAAAATGATGAGATTTATGCCTGTCTTTAAGTATAACAGAAAATATTCTAGATCTATTCATAAATGAATGATTTCAATTTTAAAAAGAGCTGTCTATACTCACCCCAAAGTGATTCTTTATAGCACATAGGATGCTATGAGCACTTACATATATGCTAAAACATACTGTCACTTAGAAATAGGAAACTGGATCTGAAACTTCTAAAAATTAGCAACTCAATAAGAAATACAAACATCATCTTAGAAGGTATATATGCCACATTCTATAAATTTTCAAGTAAGAATTTATGCTTATCATGGTTTTACAGTTTTATTTTTTATTTTTTAAATTGACAGATAAACTTGTGTTTATCGTGTACAATGATTTTAATCCCAGTTTTATGGAGTAATAATTATGATATCTTTCCAACTTTATATTTTATTTTAATATATTTGAATTTTGCCATTAAAAATCATCACATTTTTGTATTTTGAATCGTGTACCAAGTTCTAAGGATTTTAATAATATCGCAAATGTTTTTTTTCTTACTTCGGGGAAGTGCAACTTTAAACATAAAATTACTCAGTGAAAAGGTACTTTGATTACTGCAAGACCTTTTAGTTAGTTTCTGTCAATAGATACTTAATGGCTATTTGAGAATTTTTAAAATTCAAATTTAGAAAATAATTTTATAATCTTCAAAAAAATCACAGGATTAATTTAAGTTAGCCTGTAACTGTTAATACAGTCTTCTTTTATGAATTAGATGTTACTTATAGGATAACCAGGGTAATTCATATTTTAGTGCCAGTGATTAATTGCTTTAATCCTAAATCCAGAACGTTATCCTGCCATTCATATTGAGAAGATAGTCAAAATATATAGTCCCTTCTATAGGTCATATTATACCACCCAAACATAAAATTTTGGAAAATAAAACAACAACATTCTTGAAGACTAAGCCTCTTGTTAATGTTGACCCTATTTATGAGCTTTTAAATATATTCCTTTTGCCAATTCTAATGAAAAACATATAAATTTTCATTTTGCAATGTCTTACAAGCAAAAAGAAAGGTCAACCTATTTATCATGATTTCTGTTAAAAGCTGCAACATAACTGTGATATAGTTTTAATTTCATAGAACAAGAAATAAGTGAATATTTAGTAGTTCTCCAGAACATTTCTGGATAAGTTATAGGGCTTAACAGAAAAGAATAAAGTTTATCTTCCATCTAATCTCATTCTTTTTATTTAGATTTTCCCAGTTAATCATTGTGTAAGCAATTGCTTACTGAATGAAGACATTTGGTACATCCTTTTTGGAATTGATTTACAAAGTTTGTCTTAATTATATATTTAAATAAATACAGAATATTTCTGTATACTACATATTTAACATGGAATTTAAATATCCCTTTAATCACTTTAATATGTAATTTGGGATTTGTCTTGGGAAACTTGGAAATCATTACTAATTTGTTCATTACATTCTATTATTTGGTCAGCATTTTAGTATCTCATAATAACATTATATCTATTTCACTGACTATAGAATTCAAAAGAATCAGTGATAGTTTTGAGGTCACACAATGAGTCAATATTATCAAGCAGATTTCCTGACTCCAGACATATTTCCTTTATAATTTATATGCTAAATTATGGAATATCTAGGGATCATTATGATAATATGATTAAGAGATGGTATTGTGTTATCTGTTTGGTCGAAGGCACTTTATTTTTCCAATTGTCTACAGATGTGGATAAGTAGTGCCAGATTCACAGAATAATTTGATTAAATTTGTTTTACTACTCATCCTCCACATGCAAATATCACTCATTTCTGTCGGACCTAAATGCCTTGTTTCTGTAGGCTGCCCTGCATTTCTAATATATGAAATACTATGTTCCGCAAGAAAAGAACTGCTAATTTACTAATCGGTTCACAAAATATTTGTTATTTAGTTCATTCAAATTTATCGAGGTGCCTCAATTACAAAGCACTGTTCTAGGCACCACAGGCTCTGTATTAGGCACTAAATAATACATGCTAAGGAGCATTTTGGGCTGCTCTTGCTCATTTTGAATCTGTTAAAAAATATATTCACATCTTTTGACATGTTTGTAGGTTTCTTGTCACTCAGGACGTTGTCATGTGTGTTAATTTTGAAAAACCTGAAAAAATTCTGTGTTATTTCCCTTGTGTATATAGGAACACACTAAAATTTGGCAGGCTTTTGAAACACTATTTGGCCTTTTGTTTTAGTTTTCATTATTGAATATAACTTATTTTTCATATAATTCCTTTGAACATTTTCTAAATCTCTTGGAGAATGTAATTTAAAAGGCTTCTCTTCTCATCGAAACCCATTTAGGTGGCACTTTAAGAGTGTGCATGTAAGACTAAAGAGATCAATTGGTGAATTGGTGCTGCTGGAAAAGTTATTATTTTTAGGTTAATGTCCTCAAGAGAGCTCAGGGGTGAGGGTGGATTAGGGTGATATCCTAAAATATCTTCATACCTTCCCACTTTATAAACTTCTTCACACAAGCAGTCCAATTATATATTCTTCCAAATTTCATTTAAACTCTTATATATTCAATATTAAAGACCATCTTGTGTTTCAATTTTCTGAACTTAAGGTGTCATATATTCTTGCTCTGTTGGTTTTGAATTCTAGTGAAACTTTACTACATGTCCTTTTTCAGAACACATTATTCTAGTATCGAAAATAACTGATATTTGAATTAGTGTTATAACACAAACATGCAAGCAGTATTTTAAGGCAAATGTCAAATAATATTCATGATTACCACATACTTTTGTTAATTCATTAAATATTGAGTTATGTTAGATAGCTGCAATTTGAATAGCGATATAATGTCTTGACTTCTCACTTCTGCACCAATAGTTTCAGGTTATGGATGACTGCAATTACTTTTTTTTTTTTTTTTTTTTTTTTTTTTTTTTTTTTTTTTTGAGACGGAGTCTGGCTCTTTTTGCCCAGGCTGGAGTGCAATGGCGCCATCTCGGCTCACTGCAAGCTCCGCCTCCCGGGTTCACGCCATTCTCCTGCCTCAGCCTCCCGAGTAGCTGGGACTACAGGTGCCCGCCATCGCGCCCGGCTAATTTTTTTTTGTATTTTTAGTAGAGACGAGGTTTCACCGTGTTAGCCAGGATGGTCTCGATCTCCTGACCTCATGATCCGCCAGCCTCAGCCTCCCAAATTGCTGGGATTACAGGCGTGAGCCACCGCGCTCGGCCACATTTTTAATGAAAATACAGATCAGCGAGAATTTCAGGGATGACCTAGTCTAGAGGTTAATGGAATTATATTCAGGGCCAAATTCAGGCTGCCAAATTAGTTTGTTTAATGTGCACAGTGTTTTAAAATACTTGGGTTGAAATGAAGTTGGAAGAAGACACTTCTCCGTTTTCCACTGTCTACGCTACATTCTGTTGCTATGTAGGCTATTCATTTACTTAGGTTACTTTCCTGACCATTGAAGGCACTTCAGTGTTCCATACCTTGCTTAGTTCGAGGACCGAAGTTTACCTATGTGGAGACAGAAATATTTCTATCGTTATATTTTATTCTGTAGTACCTGTTTGCCACATATTGCTTGAACTGAATTAACAGTATTCTCCAAGTCAAATATCTAGGATCTCTATCATAATAAGAAATATACAGGGATTTCAGAGTGATAAATTTTTGCATTTTAAAATTGCAAACTTTTACTTAGGCTACTGGTGTTTTTGGTATTTTGCTGTTGTTTTTGACCTCAAAAAACTAATTTAGAATGTAATTTTATTCTTTAATATATACTTATATAAACATGTTACTTTTATATACCATATTTGGGAAATGGTTTATTAAAAGTATTATACATAGTGTAAATCATATTTAAATACTTGTAGTAATGATATGGCATTGAAATAGTTTCCTATCGTGTCCATTTAACTGAGATAGTACTGTTGAAGCGACTTGCTGTTAGGAGTTTGAGTAATCCTACCAAAAAAAGATAGCAGTTATAATCTATGGTGTACTGCAACAAAAATTTATGAAGAAATTACTTATATCTGTTTATCACATTTTTATATTGCTAACCACAATAATAAATATAATTGTGTTAGTTTCTCTTCCTAAAAATTTTAACCTAAACCATTTGATCTGTTTTATCTCATTCTAAATTATCTACTGTATCTGAGAAAATGTTACAATACATAGTAGGACCTTCATATCCATGGGTTCTCATTCATGGATTCAACCACTGTGGATATTTTGAGTATCTCAAATACTCAAAAAAGAAAAAAAGCACATTGTATTTGTACTTAACTTGTACAAACTTTTTTTTCTTGCCATTATTCCCTAAATAATACAGTATAACAACAGTTTATATAGTATTTACATTTTACTGGGCATTAGAAGTAATCTAATCTCCAGAAAATTTAAAGAATAAGGGAGGATGTGTATAGACTATATGTAAATACTACACCATTTATGTAAGGGACTTGAGAATCTGTAGATTTTGATATATATCCTAGGGGGATCTTAGAACCACTTCCCCATGGATATGCAGAGATAACTGTGTACTGTATTATGATAGTGTCTTCAAGTAGCCATGATTCATTAATTTTATAAATGTATTATAGTACACTTCCTATTACAGTATAAGATTAAGTGGAGTAATAAATAATTAAAATTCAATCATGGTTGTCAAAGTAAACAAAATCCATTACCTGAGGTATTACTCTGAATTCTTTCATAATGGTTTAGCACCATTGGAAGAAAGTTATATACTTTTCTAAATGTAAGTACATTTAATATACTGACTGTTTATGAGGTCAATGGTGTGTTCAAATTATAAGAAAACAGTTTTTCTTAAATAGTATTAGGAAAATTACCTGTATTAAACATGATGGCTAGTTTTATGTGTCACCTACAATAGTAGCATATTAGTCAATTCTCACACTGCTAAAAAGATATTACCCAAGACCAGGTAATTTATAAAGGAAAGAGGTTTAATTGACTCACATTTCCACGTGGCTGGGGAGGCCTCAGAAAACTTACAATCATGGTGGATGGTGAGGGAGAAGCAAGGACCTTCTTCCCATGGTGGCAGGAGAGAGAAGTGCAAACAGGGGAAATGCCAGATGCGTATACAATTATCAGATCTAGTGAGAGCTCACTTACTATCACGAGAACAGCATGGGGGAAACTGCCCCTATGATCCAGTCACTTCCCTCCCTCAACACCTGGGGATTACAATTCAAGATGAGATTTGGGTGGGGACACAGAGCCAAATCATATCACGTAGCCAGTTATTTAATCAAATTCTAATGTAGGTATTGCTATGAAGGTATTTTGTAGAAACACATAATGTGGACAACCAGTTGACACTTTAAGTAAAGGAGATTACTCTTGATGATGTGGTTTGGCCTGATAACCAGCTGAAAAATCTAAGAGCAAAAACTGAGCCTTTCTGGAGAAAAAATTCTACCTGAAAACTTCTGTAACAACTCCTACCTGAGTTTCCAGCCTGTAGGACCTGCCTTCACATTTAAGATTTACCAGCTCCTGCAATCACTGAGTCAGTTTGTTAAAATAAATCATAGGTGTGTCTACACACACACACACACACACACATACACACACACACACATATCATATTGTTCCTATGTTTCTGGAGACCCTTAACTGATACAGTGAAAATCAGTTTATAATATTTCTTTTATAATGAGCTAACTAAATGTTTGAAATGTAAATCTCACTTGGATTTAATAGGAAATAGATGCATTGATGTTGATAACTATATAGGTTTAAAATTGATAGAGCTGATTGTGAAATTTTTCTGCTATTTTATATACAGGTTTACAATAACTTTATCTGAAATGTTTGCCTGGATTACAATTTCTCTCTCTCAATCAACACACCTCAAGCATCTAAAACAACCTCTATGTAAAATGGAGTTATTCTTATCTGTTCAACCCCAACAGCTTACCACACATGTTTATTGTACTTGAAGAAAGTCAAGCTCTCTCTAAATTAGATAAAATATTGTATTAGTCTATTCTCATGCTGCTATAAGGACATAATTGAGACTAGGTAATTATAAAGGAAAAAGGTTTAATTGACTCACAGTTCTGCATATCTGAGGAGGCCTCAGAAAACTTACAATCATGGCAGAAGGGGAAGCAAACACACCCTTCTTCACATGATGGTGTGAAGGAGAAGTGCCGAGTGAAGGCCCTTATAAAAGGCCTTTATAAGAGAGAAAAGCCCCTTATAAAACCATCAAATCTGGTGAGAACTCACTATCATGACAACAGCATGAGGGTAACTGCCCCCATGATTCAATTTCCTCCCACCAGGTCCCCCCCTTCCACCCCCATGACACGTGGTGATTATGGGAACTACAATTCAAGATGAGATTTGGGTGGGGATACAACCAAACAATATCAAATATCTTTTAAAGTTAATTTCAAAAGTTTATACTTTGTTAGCCTGAATTTAAGCAAATGAGCTTTAAATTGAGATATATAAAATGAAGGACATTCATTTTACAAAACAAAAATGTCTTCATGAAATATACAAAATATGTACAGAGTTATGTCAATGTCCACCAGCCAGAAATACCAGGACACAACTCTAGTTGAACCAAGTTGGGAACATTGGTATTTGTTGAAACAAGGTTAACTGCACACCATGGAGAACCTTGATGCATCTCTTTTTTTTTTTTTTTTTTTTTTTTTTTGAGACGGAGTCTCGCTCTGTCGCCCAGGCTGGAGTGCAGTGGCGGGATCTCGGCTCACTGCAAGCTCCGCCTCCCGGGTTCACGCCATTCTCCTGCCTCAGCCTCCCAAGTAGCTGGGACTACAGGCGCCCGCCACTACGCCCGGCTAATTTTTTGTATTTTTAGTAGAGACGGGGTTTCACCGTTTTAGCCGGGATGGTCTCGATCTCCTGACCTCGTGATCCGCCCGCCTCGGCTTCCCAAAGTGCTGGGATTACAGGCGTGAGCCACCGCGCCCGGCCGATGCATCTCTTGAAGAGAGTATAAGGGGTTGTTCTTTCGGATTTGGGATTGTGTGAGGTGTATTTTCTGGATAGTTTACTAAAACATTGTTTAATTCTGGATTGGATACTGTGATAAAGAAAAGACAATTCCATATTGGGTATCTTAGGACTTTCTATCTAGGAGCAAAGAGAAACAAAGTGGGGGTAGGGCTGTAATTGGTGGAAAAGCAGCTTTCCTCATAATGGCTGGCAGAGGGAGATGTTGGGTAAGAAAAACTGTGTTTTTGGTAATGTATGTGCTCAAATGTGATTGTGGAGTGGACTTGTTATTGTTAAGCTCCATCACAGTCATAGAGTGACCTTGTCTGACATTAGTGTATCGTGAAACTTTATATTTGACAAGAGAATACTATTCCTCACTTTTAGATCCAGACAAGCTCCTACCCATCAGTTATTGAGAGCTGCTTTTTCCTTTCTCAGATATGACCATGAGATGGATGATTGCAAGAGAAGGTAGGAGGACAAGCTTATAAGAGAAGATTATTTCAGGGACATGAGATCCAAAGCTGAGAAGTTTTAGGAATGAGGTGTCAAGATGGAGCAAAGAGGGCTTGTGCCACATATTACCACATTAGTATAAGGAATTTGGAGGATAAAACATCCACCTCTGGAGAGAGATACAGGGTAAATAGTGTTTTCAGGAGAAACAGGCTTCACTTAGAGCAAAAAAGAAAAGAAGTTTAACTTCAGTGAAAAGTTTGAATCTACAGAATTTTTTTGATAATAGACACTTACGAATTCAAGGAGGACATAGTCCAAGAGTTTTAGGATATGTAGAAATATAGAGATTTGTGTCAGAAAAGAGGATGTAACCTAGCCATATGGAGAATAAAGTTCAGGTAATGAGGAAGAATTTGGGAGTTCTGGGCTTCTTGTGGTGAACAATGTCACTGGAGATACAGGGTAGGATAAAATTGGTTCTGACAATCATACTATTGGTAGTAGCAGCAGTGGAGTGGTGGAGGGAAACAGATATAGGACTGTATGGGCAGCACTCAGAATTTTGGGGCTCACCATTGACTACTGCTGTGACACTGAATTATGCATGACCCTTTCTCTGAGCTTCAGAGTTCTCTCCTGACTCCTGTTGAAGTGTTTTGACAGAGAGGCGTGATTACTGCTAGTGCACAGACTTTCTCCCAGATTCAGCCACTAGGAGTTAAAATTATTAGCAACAATTTAAAAATTAACTCTTTGCCTTTGATTGGGCTTCCATAACAAATTAATATAGACTGGGTGGCTTAAACAACAAATACTTATTTCTCAGAATTCTGGAGTCTGGGAAGTCCAAGATCAAGTTCCTAGCTGATTCCATATCTGGCGAGGACCTGCTTCCTGGTTTGCATGTGGTCTTCTCATAGCATTCTCACATGATGGACGACAGAGAGGGAGGTTAGTTATTGTGTCTCTTCTTATGAGGGAAGTAATCGCATGCATGAGGGTTCCACCCTCGTGACCCGATTATCTCCCAAAGGCTTCATCTTCTAATACCATCACATTGGGAGTTAGGATTTCAGCATATGTATTTTGGGGGATACAGAAGTCACATTCATAGCACCCATCTGTATTGTCTTGTTTGTGCCCCTCAGACGGGAAACACCTAAAGAATGAAAAGTAGAGGGCTATGGTTTGAATATGTCCCCCAGAAGCTCATGTGTTGAAAAAACTTTGTCCCCACTGCAGCAGTGTTGATAGGTGGGACATTTGGGAGATGATTGGGTCATAAGGGCTCTGCCCTCATGAATGGAGTAATTCATTCATAGGTTGATAGATTAATGGTCTATCTAGGGAGGGTGTTTATTATTAAAAAAATGGATCTGTTATAAAAATCAATTTGGCTGTTACTCGTAAGTCCACTTGCGATGTGATGCCCTGTGCTGCCTCTGGACTCTGCAGAGAGTCCCCGCCAGTAAGAAGCTTGTCACCAGATGCAGTCCAAACCCTTTACCTTGGATGTTCCAGCTTTGACAACTGTAAAAAATAACTTTTTTAATGTATTATCCAGTGTCAAGTATTCTTTTATAGCAACAGAGAACAGACTAAGACATCAGAGTGAGTAAGTTTTGTTGCAAATACTTTAGAAAAAGTCTGAAACTCTGGGAGTTGCCAAAGACTTTTAGATTGGTTATGGAAAGCAGGATGTTTGAAGTCAATAAGTTAATAGGAAGGAAGTGAGACTAGTTGCAGAAAAGGAATGGGTTTAATGAGAAGTGTGTAGTGATTTTTTTTTTTAACAACTGGTCAAGGACAAAAAGATGGAATTATATGTAGATTCTGTCTTTGTTTAGTAAAAATGTCTCAAGTGGCA
The DNA here is from genome assembly GCF_000001405.40 of Homo sapiens. Classification (NCBI taxonomy): domain Eukaryota; kingdom Metazoa; phylum Chordata; class Mammalia; order Primates; family Hominidae; genus Homo; species Homo sapiens. The sequence goes on from NC_000002.12 coordinate 184,610,595, forward strand.
TAATCTAGTGACCCCCAAGAAAGTATCAATGGAAATACTGTAAAATTACATTTGTGTTACCTCCTTCAAAAGGTTATGTTAGCAAAATACCACTCCCTGGTGAAGACAGTCAATGTCTGGACAATGTGCATTTATAGTTGAGAAGAAAATGACTGCTTTCACTCCAGAATAGTGTTCTTGCACCCAATTTAGCAAGAAAGTCTACTACAGCCAGTCACTTGTGTTATGACCTGGGTAAAGTTCACCTCTCTCCCTGTTAGTTATGTTATCTTTAGATAAAAGATATGATAATAAAATTAGCTATGTATGGATTTACATAATTTGGACACTATTAGTATTGAACCATGTCAACATTTCCTTTTTTTCTCAGTGTCTTAGCCTGTTTGAGCTGTTATAACAAAATACCACTGATTGAGTGGCTTACATACAACAGAAATGTACTTCTCACAGTTCTAGAGGCTGGGAATTCCAAGATTAAGGTGCCAATTTGGTGTCTGGTGAGAGCTTGCTTCCTCATAGTCAGACTTCTTCCCATATGGGGGAAGTGGGCAAAAGAACTCTCTAGCCCTCTTCTATAAGGGCACTAATCTGTTATGAGGGTGGAGTTCTCATGACCTAATTACCTTCCAAAGTCCTCATCTCTGATACCATCACATTGGGGCTTAGAATTTCAACATATACTTTTTTTGGGGGAGGGCAAACATTCAGAACATTGCTCTTAGCTTACCCGTGGCATTTCTTACATGTTTACCCATACCCCAAGAATGTATAGAATCTTAAATATGTGCTGAGCCCTAAATATTTTAGGGCTAAATATTTATGGCATGATATTTAGGGCATGAATATTTAGCCCTAAATATTTATGAAGACATGAAAATCATAAGGAAACCCTCAGATATCAGTCATTGCTGTGACTCATAAAGTTCACGAAACAATGGGAAGCTTGCTCTTTTGGGAAGCTTAGAAATTCTTTTAATTCTCTTCAATAATAATTTTGATAGCTGTAATTCCCTTGCAATGTCTTCTAGATTACTGAAGTTCTGAAGTTACAAAATTAATATTTACACTAGGGGGCGACATAACATTTCCTCTTCTTTTCAAAAAAACAGGCATAGTAATCAACCATAGATTAATAACATTGTCAAATATACTTAGGACAATTTTATTAGTAAAGAGTCAGTTTAAATTTTGTTAGCCAGAAAGTCAATATAAGAAGGCAACATAGGGGTGATGTGTTTGCTGTGTACTTTATTTGCATACTTCACCTAGTAATTATTTTTGGCCATTATCTATTTTAGTCACATGTGATACATGGATAAGATATTGCTGACATAGAGTTGATGACCAATTATATCTTCATTAGGTGTCACTCTTGGCTGTAAAAGTATCAGTCTTCCTATTGAAGCTGATGTTTTTAGGGTTTTTTAGTTTCTTAAACCTTTTATGATTCTTAATACCTAATTTGCTTTAATGTCATAGCTAATTAATCATTAAATTTGATTGAAATGTTCATGGAGTACATTATTAACCAAAATAAAGGTCAACTGTGATGATAGTTACTTGCTGAAAGAATACCAAAAATATGAAATAATATGTGAAATTTTGAAAATTATTTCTTATTTTCATGATTGCCATAAGTGATATTATATAAATAGAAAAAAATAGTTGAAAAATATCTGAGATCCAAATTTTCAAACTTTATTAAAATTTAATGGAATTTTCTTCATAGCAATTAGTATTATATTTCTAGGGAAATAGTACAGATTGTTTAAAATTATACAAACTTTTCTATTTGTATTACCAATCACTGGGAAATTATTGGTTCAACATGAAAGATGTAATTTTTTTTTTTTTTGGGGGGGGGACGGAGTCTTGCTCTTGTTGCCCAGGCTGGAGTGCAGTGGTGTGATCTTGGCTCACTGCAACCTCCGCCTCCCAGGTTCCAGCAATTCTCCTGCCTCAGCTGAGTAGCTGGGATTACAGGCTCCCACCACCAAGTCTGGCTAATTTTTGTATTTTTAGTAGAGACAGGGTTTCTCTATGTTGGTCAGGCTGATCTTGAACTTCTTACCTCAGGTGATCTGCCCACCTCGGCCTCCCAAAGGATGTGATTTTTATGGATGAGGACTTAAAGTAGTTGATGTTATGATACATACTGTTACTCAAAAACACACAAAGCTTTTTCACAGGTAGACTGATAGTAATAGAATTTCAGATGGAGTTTATTACTTATTGCTGTCCTGAAGAGCCACATTGAAGACAATCTATTTCCATATTATTCCACAGTAAAGGGTTAATTAAGTAAATAATAATAATAAATCAAAACACACAGATCTTTGTGCAACAGCTAGCATTATATAAGCTAAATTTGATAAAGTAAGAAACATTTGGAGACTGAGGATGTTGTTTCCTTATGTGATACCACAATTTAACTCACATATGATGTTGTATGAACAATTATTTGCCTTTCAGGCATCCAACATGCCAACTATTTTGACACATTAGCAAGGTGCGGATATAATTCTATGAAGTATAGAAACTGTGTAGAGTATGAGACACTCTCCTCTTTTCTCTTAGAACCCTTCATAAAATAAGGGCAATATCTATTCACAGGTTCAAGGCAAAACAGACATGCACATGTGGAACAAAATCATTCATATTCTCTCTCTTTCTCGCTCTCTGCCCCACTTCCTGTCACTCACTCTCTTGCTCTCGCTGTCTCACTACACACCATGGTAGTAGAGGGTGCTGTTATTTCAGTTTCAGCCTGTCTGAATGTTTGTTTCTCCTGAAGTCCACAGAATTCTACTAGCATCTTTAGCCATGGCCAGAAATGTAAACAATAATTCATTTGAAAAGGAAGAACTTTCTGGCCGACCAATATAATACCAGAGGTCTGAAAATCATGTTAGTAAGATTTGGCAAAACCTGAAGTAACTCAGTGGTCAAAGTTCCACTGGATGGACAATCCTACAAATTAAAAATTAATAAAAAGAAAGAGATGGGGGTAAGGGGAAAGAGAAATTAATTAATTCTTCTAAGGCAGTAAGAAGCTAATATAAGCTAACATAGCTGATATAAGAAGAATTGGTGCTACAAAGAGAATAAAATACCTAGGAATACAACTTACATGGAATGTGAAGGACCTCTTCAAGGAGAACTACAAACCACTGCTCAAGGAAATAAGAGAGGACACAAACAAATGGAAAAATATTCCATATTCATGGACAGGAAGAATCAATATCATGAAAACGGCCATACTGCCCAAAGTAATTTATAGATTCAATGCTATCCCCATCAAGCTACCATTGACTTTCTTCACAGAATTAGAAAAAACTATGTTAAATTTAATATGGAACCAAAAAAGAGCTGGTATAGCCAAGACAATCCTAAGTAAAAAGAACAAAGCTGGAGGCATCATGCTATCTGACTTCAAACTATACTACAAGACTACAGTAACCAAAACAGCATGGTACTGGTACCAAAACAGATATATAGACTAATGGAACAGAACAGAGGCCTCAGAAATAACACCACACATCTACAACCATCTGATCTTTGACAAACCTGACAAAAACAAGAAATGGGGAAAGGATTCCCAATTTAATAAAGGTGTTGGGAAAACTGGCTAGCCATAGGCAGAAAACGGAAACTGGACCCCTTTCTTACACCTTATACAAAAATTAACTCAATATAGATTAAAGATTTAAACATAAGACCTAAAACCATAAAAAACCCTGTAAGAAAACCTAGGCAGTACCATTCAGGACATAGGTATGGGCAAAGACTTCATGTCTAAAACACCAAAAGCAATGGCAACAAAAGCCAAAATTGACAAATAAGATCTAATTAAACTAAAGAGCTTCTGCACAGCAAAAGAAACTATCATCAGAGTGAACAGGCAATCTACAGAATGGGAGAAATTTTATACAATCTATCCATCTGACAAAGAGCTAATATCCAGAATCTCCTGGCATTATTAATAATGACACTGCCTTTAACTCTCACAATTAATTTGGATGATAACTTATGTGGTAACCCTGCTAAATAAAAAATAAAAATTACCATAGTAACAGGAACTTAAACAAATTCACAAGAAAAAAACAAACATCCCAATCAAAAAGTCGGCAGAGGATGTGAACAGACACTTCTGAAAAGAAGACATTTATGTGACCAACAAACATGAAAAAAAGCTCATTATCACTGGTCATTAGAGAAATGCAAATCAAAACCACAATGAGATACCATCTCATGCTAGTTAGAATGGCAATCATTAAAAAGTCAGGAAACAACAGATGCTGGAGAGGATGTGGAGAAATTGGAAAACTTTTACACTGTTGGTGGGAGTGTAAATTAGTTCAACTATTGTGAAAGACAGTGTGGTGATTCCTCAAGGATCCAGAACCAGAAATACCATTTGACCCAGCAGTCCCATTATTGGATATATACCCAAAGGATTATAAATCATTCTACTCTAAAGACACATGCACACATATGTTTATTGCAGCACTATTCACAATAGCAAAGACTTGGAACCAATCCAAATGCCCATCAATGATAGACTGGATAAAGACAATGTGGCACATATACACCATGGAATACTATGCAGCCATAAAAAAGGATTAGTTCATGCCCTTTGCAGGGATATGGATGAAGCTGGAAACCACCTAATGTAGGTGACAGGTTGATGGGTGCAGCAAACCACCATGTCACATGTATACCTATGTAACACACCTGCACATTCTGCACATGTATCCCAGAACTTAAATTATAATAATAAAAAAAGAATAATTGGGTGATGGCACATCCAGGTTTGCCAAAGACAGTCCCAGTTTATGCTGTTGTCCTGGCATTATTAATAATGACACTGCCTTTAACTCTCACAATTAATTTGGATGATAACTTATATGGTAACTCTGCTAAATAAAAAAAATAAAAATTACCATAGTAACAGGAACCTACTTGAAATGATGCCTCTGTTTCTATTCTGGCTTGAATTCTGCATTCTTTGAGGATTTGTAGCCTCATGACAGAATCCTATCTACAGGTGATGTATTTCATATGATTTTTGGCTATTTTTTTAACAATCTCAAGCCCAATAATAGGCAGTGATATAAGGAATGTAGTTACTTTCTCCCCACTTTCTGGCAAGTTAAGTTTAGCCACCTGATACAAGAAGGGACATTCAGAGGTAGGATGGCACAAAGACACAGGGTCCACTGGAGATCACTGGAAGCAGCTGCAGCAGGGTTAAGAGAAGGGAGTCCCAGCGAGTCTTCAGTCACCACACACTAACATCATCAGTGAAAAGTTCCTGGGCCTGAAGATCCAGCTATGTTGTTTCTAGTTGACTATTTTAAGTGACAGAACTTGGCCCAAGCATTGACCATTTTGGTTCCTCAATAAGCCTGATTCAACAGGGTCACCTTTGAATCTGTCCTCCACCTTTCCAATAAACCTATTTTATGCATCATTCAGTGAGTTATTTATTTATTTACTTTTTTGCTGAGAAACATGACTAGATTTAGGAAAAATGTAGAATTTTACTTTTTTTTCAATATTTTCTGGGTTTTCCAGAGTTTTCACGTGTTTCACACCTTCCTTTGCTTCCCACCATTCCCCTTTCTATTTGGAACTAGAGAGACATGAGTTTGAATTCTAGCTGTGTAACCTGAGTCAGTTATTTAACCTCTTTTTGTTTCTGTTTCTTTGTCTGTAAATAGCAAAAACTACAATTAACTTTAGTCCCTGCTGTACACCAAATGTTATCTTGAAATATTATACATATTATATGTAATTACTACTGAAATGCTCTAAGATGCCTATGTGTGAATGGCATTGTTGTAAAGATTAAATAATATAAGGGAAGTGTCTGCTTCAGTGTCTGGCATATAATAAAAGCTATTATTTTTACGATTATTTCCATCTTATAGAAGAATTATCGTTCTTCCCTTCCAAAGCTAATAAATGGACATGTGTTTATCAGACAGAACGTAAGAGCTGCCAAATAAATAGGGAATAGGTGCTTTCGGGAGTCTAGGGAAATAAAGGTCAGGGAATTGTTCATAAAATTTAGTACCCATAAATAGCCTATAAGTAGATTCCCTAGTTTATTCTATGCAGGAAAATAAAGTTCTACGGAGCACAGATTCCAAAACTAATTGGTCATAAATATCACCTGAAAGTTTAGAAAATGTAGCATCATGGACCTCTTTTCATAGGTTCTAAATCTTAATATCTGTGGGATGGTGCAGGAATCTAGCTTTGCTAAGTGCCCTCAGATGACTCTTGCTGTTCTAGGCTAAAATACATGTGGTTTGGCTTCAGTGGACATGTTCCTGAAGAATGTTTGGATGTCACACATTCATATTTAGTATGAGAGATGAGGTCCTCCTCTCATCATTTTCTTAGGTTCTCTTCTCTCCACTCCTTACCCTCCCATCACTTACAATAAATCTTTTAGAAAATTAGCTATACATTTGTTTCATTATAAAAAAGAAAGAAGATAAATTAAAAAAACTTGAAAAAACTGTAGTTATAGTTAAAGGACATAATTTTAAAATTTAATAGAATCTAACATCTACAGAATGGGTGGAAATGTAAGACTATTTTGTAAGCACAATAAATCTAGTTCTAGGTTAAGCTTCATGAGAAAATTTAGTTAACTTGGCCAATTTCCTTTTCAAAGATGCTTTAATGTCTTAGTTTATGTAGAAATTAGGTATAATAATGCATTCATAGTATTCAATAATTTACAATGTATGCTGTTTTTTAAAACCATTGTGTTGAATAACAAAGCAAATGATTGAGACAATAAATTTGTTTAAACATCATGTAATTTGAAAAATAAAAAGACATAAAAGTAAACAGCTTTATGAATAGCAGAACAAATGCAAGGTGTTTTTACAAAAAATTATATCGAAGATTTAACAATTGAGAGCTTGGATTTATAAATAAAATAACTTTTACCAATTATTTTATTTTAAAATATGGTATAGGTACTCTTAAGTCATTTCTGGATATATGGAACTTTCATCACTGTTTAGAATTTTTACTTATATTGTGATTATGATGCCTTAGGAATCAATTCTACATTAATAATTTTGTGGTTAAGTCAATTATTTAATACAGTTTTATAAATATTCTAAACACCTTTGATTAATCTTCTCTAAATCATATTTTCAAATCATTAAAATAAATCAACAAACTTTAAATTAATTTCTCACATATTGAGCACTTATTCTTTGTTAGGTCCATTGATAAAAATTTACATAAAATATGTCAAACATTGCAGCAACTATTTAATTTGATATTATTATAATTGCCATTTTAAAAATGAGAAAACTTAGTGTTTAGAGGTTACATCTTATCCAAGGTCATCTATGTTGTCTTTAATTTATACATGTCTTGTGGACACTAGAGTATGGACAAGAATACTAAGACTTTAACATATGTATATTTATATTTATTCCATTGTGTTTAGTTTATCTCACAAGTAATGAATAATATGCATTCTCATATCCTAGAAAATATGGCTATGCCCAGTTATTGAGATTAGAATTAGGAAACACGTTTATAAATCATTCAATATTGCCTCCAAATATCATGGTTTAATTTGCAAAAATAATTTGCTCTTTCATTTCTTTGTTTTTCTATTTTTGGTATAAACATCTGGATACTTAATTAAAATTGGCATTATTGCCTATTTATTAACTTACCAAAAAAGTTTTCAGCAAAGACATTTTCAGGTTTGTTTTTCACCTTATTACAGGTAATTGAACAGAAGCTAGTCAATTAGATTATATACGCACGAAGTAGCATGTTTAATGTACATTATATATTGCACCAAGATAGGAAAAAAAGATTATTTAATAAAAGATATGATTTTGGTAAAATTCAGGTGTTAAAATATTTTTCTAATACAGTTAGGTCTCCATATCCATAGGTTTCACAGGGCCTACCATGGAACGTTAGCATCCTCGGATTTTGGTATCGCTGGGATTCCTGGAACCAAACCCCCTGTAAACCTAGGGACGACTGTATCAATTCATGTTGCAATTTTCTCCCAGCTTTTAAAAATTCCTAGTTCTGAAACCTTCTATATACTATTAAGATTAATAAAACTTCTCACATTAAATAAAGAATTATTTGCAGGCTGTTTATACCTAGAAGTGCACCACCATTTTCTGGAATATATTATTGTTTCTTCCATTTAAAGGAATAAGATAAGCAAAGCTGCCCATTTTCTAATCACTGGGCTTTGCAGTACACGTTTATAGAGATTGGTTTTCAGCTAAGACAGTTTATAATGTGTAAGTTATGCTTCCATCTTTTCAGAAACTAATTTCAGGGAGAGTATAAGAAGATAAAAAGATCGGGGGCCTTTTAATATATTTTTTGGTAAGATGCGGATGCATCTAAACTTATTTTCTACTAATTGCTGGCTTTGCTGCAGGGAATGGGAGGGAGCAGGGAGGAGAAAAACACCTTGTGATGTGTGAACAAAAAGTAATCAGCAAGGAGCCTGTGAGCAGACGTTTGGTGTGATTTGTAAAGAGGTTTCTTATTCTTTCGGTCTTCATTAATTTGTTCCAACACCAAATTTACGTGTAAAGATATATAGTGATAAATATTATATAGATTTATGCATGTATTTATGCATATATAATCTGATCAAGATAACAACTATAATGTAGTTAGAAGCTTTTATTTAAAAATAGAAGACATATTTTTGTGTGTTTTTTTAAGGTTACTGTATAGTCTAGACTGCTTCAAGTTATATGAATAGAATTGGATCATTTTAAGGGTATTTATGTTGAGAAAATATTGTACTGACTTTTGAAGTGGAGAAGAAAGGAAGTCAACATTATTAATGGCAATAAAGGAAGCTAGAAACAATTACTGTAAGGCTAAGAATAAAATTAATGATATCCTTCAAATGGATGCTTGCAAGTTAATATCATGCCTCTATATCACATTTCTTCTAAGTTAGTATTTTTATGTAAATATGTTTATAATAAAAAACATGATTTTAAAGCAGGTGGGTACAGTTATTACCTCCATTTTATGGATGAAAAACTCTAAGTATCTAGCCAGAAGTTATACATGCTTATGAGTGGTTCAGACTAATTTTGACTTAGGTTGTGATCTCATCACAACCACAATAAATTATCGTTATTTATAACAATTCTTATAATAATGATAGACTATAAACATATTTTACAAAGAAGAATAAATACAGCAGAGAAGTCAGTTAATTATATAATTCAAACTAAATAAATTATTTGCAAAAATGTGTTTCACATTATACCCTTAAAAACAATTTATGATTAAATCTATAGGTAACAAAATACATCCAATTGTAAATCAAATATACATTTCTCAAAATAAGTGTGTGAGCATCCCTAGGGAAGTATATTTTGTAGGTTCTTAACTATTTTATATCACAAAATTATATATGATATCAGATTATGAATAATATGATAAACACTTATTTCACTGATTTAAAAATATAAACTATTAAAGAAAGTTTGTATGGAAATATTTGAAAAACATAAAGTAATCACACTTAATGATAGGTTATTGAGCTCTAGCTTATAAATATCTCTGATCTGTTTTGTTTGCCAAATATTGCGTTATAATTCTTTAACATTCCTTCATGCAAATCAAAAGAAACAAATAGTGTGACAAAGATTCCTACAAATAAGAGTTAAAATATATTGCTTAATTTTCTGCTAAAAAAATTGCTAGTTCTGCAAATCAGTTCATAAAAGGAAGAATTGTCTAAGCAATACTTTTCACCAAGAGGAAGACTATCTGTGAAAATAAAGTTGTGTTTTTGACATTAGATTGGAATCTAAGTGATTTGATTTTTATTTTAGCAACTATGCCTCATTAAAAATTGGCAAAACGAACTCATCTATTTATTCATCAGATTGAATTAAACAGGGTAGTAACAGGATATGATGATTCTCCCTTTATGAAACCTCTGGTAATTTCTTAGTCATCAGGGTATGGAATCACACATATTATTTTTGCTTGAGCCTGTTGAAAGTCATTTTCAAGGACAGTATAATATTACAATAAGTGGAAAAACAAAGGAAGAGAGAATTTCATATGGAAGGCAAAAAATTGTAAGTGAAATAGATGTAATAAGCATTCTGTAGAGAAGTGTCACAATTATTGGTAGTATAAAATGTGTAGTAATTACTTGATTGATTTCATTAGTTGTAAACTTAAACATCCTATCGATATTTTTATAATTTTAGTATACAAGGAATGGTATCATAAATGGTAGTAAATGTTTAATAAGAAGATAGCTGCAATTTATTTCACAATTATTTGGATTTTTAATAGCATTTATTTTTCTGTATCTTTAATTTCCTATAATAAGAATAATTAATAGATGATAACTAGATAATGACAGAAGCAGACAGAAATAACAGACGAACATAAACAAACATTCAAGTCTGTCAGTTTTGGAATTTCAGAAGGCTAGAAAAAAATGTATGTACGTATATAAAATACTCAAAATTTTCACATATTATCTCATACATTTTTAGTTCTATTTTCAAAATATAGAATCATTTAGAAAAATAACTTTCCAGATGAAATATATTTCTTTTTTTAACAACACTGGTAGATAATTTTTAAATCATTGGGATAAAACTTAGAAATTGTAACAAATATCAAGTAAGATACACTATACATTTGCATGTTGATCCCAGCAACAAATTATTTCCCATTACCAGCACTTGTATTAATAATTATGTATGTGCATGTATTTGTATATAGCTATATATCCATGTATCCATATTTCTAGATGGACAATCCGACATAAATGGCTTCAGAATTTGTGGATTTAATTTCTGCCGTATTGTTCCTGGATAATTACACTATGCTACTAGAGAAAGTATGTGTCTGCATTGGTGTGTACATATTCATTTATTTCTATATTTCTGTAACAAATGTCTATTGATTGCCTCTATGTAGCTGATACTCTACTAGGAGTATTAATACAATGTCCTTTTTTTATAGATTGTACTGTTTAGTGCAGTGGTCTCCAAAGTAGGATGCATGTACCCCAAAAAAGTGTGTAGTATAATTTACTGGCAGCAAGTAGAAATATTTTTAAAAATTATCTGGATATTTGTGATTATCTTATTTAAAAATATTTCTATAACATTTTATAATGTATAGAAATGCTTGTACCTATTTTCTTAATTTGAAGGCCTTCTTAATAGCATTATGCTATCAAACAAATCCAGAGATTTGATTGGCATATGAGAAAAGAATTGACTGCAATCTGCAATGAAAACATCTTATGGCCAAAGACAATAATTTTGAAATATGGCCTGAGTTTGGTTTTTGATGTGAAATTTTGAAACATCTCAATTAGTCATTAATTTGACTGTTCTGTATACATTTCCAGGCATTTTATTTGTATTTTATCCTAACGGAACGCTATTTGGAAAGTACTCTGATTATATCTTACTTGTGTCATTCAAATTCAGGCAATCTGTCTTCAGAGCCAGAGCTTATATTCACTATGCTAGTATATCTCTCACACGTCAAGTTCATTGAAAGGGTACAATGATAACTGTAGATCAGGAAATAAGTATGATATTAATAACTGTAATCCATTTTTCATTATTTGCATCTTTATATTGTGTCATGAAATAGGAAGTATTTCAATTCCTCTAAAGTATACCTTTCTCCACAGTGTGAATTTATGGTTTTTCGATTGCTTTCTTTAAATGTTTGAATTGTAATCAAAGATTGAGTCAAATTTGAACTTAACAATGTTCTGATCACCCAAGACCTGGGAAAATGGAGCTTATTGAGATAAATTTCTTGCACCAAAAGGAGCCTTGATTTTGCATTAGATATTAATATAATATTTTACATTATATGTACTGCTGAGTGAAAAAATTGCCTACCACCTTCAATAGACTTTCATTCTATTGAAACCAATTTATGCCATATATATACACTTTGGAGTGTATGTATCAGCTTTTTGTCGATTTCAATAATACTGACATCTTATTAGTTTTTAAGTTGCTTTCAGAAAACACTATGATGTTAAATGTATAAAAACAATACAACAACATTGAAAAAGACTTCATTGATTTGTATAAGATGTGTGTATGCAAGAGTAAATTATCTAGGAGAATAATTTAAGTAAATTAGCCTGAAAACAAACTGAGGAAAGGAAAGAACTTAGAACCGGAATACATATTCTGCAGAAAATTTTCAGTGCCTATAAGTGTACTTGAAAATAGCATTTGAAGAAGAGGTGCCCACACAACAAAGATATGATATTGCACTGAAAAATCAGAACTTAGAACAATCTATCCCTTGTATCAACATCAGTACTACACAAATGAGAAGCTATATGCTATTAGGTGGACAAGAAAGGCATTCCCTTTATTTGCTGGAAAAATTAGCAGTGGGTTATATGAGCAACAATTACTTTGTAGACTATTCTTTATTGTAGTCATAGAAGAGGTAACTAAAAATGTCTGAATATTATCAGCCGTTCCTTAATTGAAATCTGCAATAATAGTAAGTACAACATGTTTTATCCTCAAAATTCATAAGAAAATAATAAAGTTAATATGCATAAAATACTACAAAATAAAATACTGGGAAGTAATGGGATATTAGAAATAAATTTACTAAAAAATAAAATCCTGACATGAAATTAAAAAAATTCATTTTAATGCTTGCATGAAGTAAAAAACAAACTCTCAAATATAAAATAAGCACAAATATTCTCTATCTTTTCATATTTAGAATGATAATTAATAGGATTTGTAAAATATCCAGAAATTATTGAAGATTTTTCAAGTATTTTTGTGTCACTGTACTAAATGTATGTAAATTAAGGGTGGGTCACATTTTTCATATATTTTTACTATGTTAATGGTTCCAAGAAACATTTGTTTTATTGACTTTTGGGTACTGCTTAAGATCAAATTAATGATGTTCAAAGCCATGCCTAGCTTTAATAAGTGACACATGTTGAATATCACAAAAGTACACATTTGCAGAAGATGACATCCAAACCCAGCACTTGACCCAGATAATGTTACTGCATTGGAGCATGATTGCCATTGCACTGACCACAATCTTTAAAAAAGAGCCACATTAACAAACACACACTCAGGTGTGCACGCACATACACAACTTCCCCACATGCAATATATGGCAAATGTCACAGCAAAACTATTAATGAAGTTCGTTTGATTGCTAGATTAAGCACAAATCATCCTTACTCAGATTATAACATTCCACCAGGCCTCAAAACTTAAATAAATCATCTGATTTTAAGAGGAAAGCATAATTCAAGATACTTCTGGAATAATATCGAGAAATCAGTATGCTTATTTAAACAATTAGTCAGGGGGACTAAAAATTCTTAGGTATGTCTGGCTTTTCCAAAAGTTGCACAAGCATGTCAGAATTCCTCATAATTGATTGACAAGGATAGTTAAAATAGTGCTGGCCCATTAATACATTTGCAGTTACCAGTAGATTAAAGGAGTGTTGGCTCCATTTTTATTCAGATATTCTTTCATGTAATGTTGATAAAAAATACTATGAGAATGGTGATACAACTATGTGTATGTACTTAATGCCAATGAGTTATACACTTAAAATGGTAAAAATGGTAAATTTTATGCTATATTTTACCACAATAAAAAAGCCTAAAAATACTATAAGACATCTACAAGCTAGCTGTAAATATAAATGCTTGGAGACTTCTGTGAAAGTCTTTCATCTCACTTTGATAAAAATATAATTTTAAGTATCTGAATTCCAATACTCCCATGTTTATGCACATGCATGTCTGCATGTGAGGGATGTGGTAAGTTCTATATTACATTTTTCAGAGCACTAGCAATGATTCTATAAAAGACTGAGCATATGTGCCAAGTTGGATCACTTACAAACTGGAGAAGACACACATTTTTATAAATTTTTGAATTATTCATAACAGAGGTTCCAGGTTGTAACTAAAAAATGGGGCTCCATTTGTAGTATTCTAAATTCTACACTACTATAGTAGATATCCCTCCTTCTGTGAGGGTCAACTATACCTTTTTCTGATTAAACTAAACACTTATTTCCAATTTGTTTTGATTATGCAACATTCTTGGTGAAAAGCTGGTTGTCATTCAGAATTGATTTCTGTATAGTTTTGAATTTATAACCATGAAGAATAGCAGCTGATTAAATTAATGAGTAACACTGCATTACAGAGTAAATTTGAAAATATATCACTTTGTTGAATGGGAGTGGGTGAGTGGCATGCAAACTGCTTCTGCGTATTGAGTTCCAGTATTATATTACTTACAGCAGTAAGTGATTGTTCCGTTTGTGATGGGAATGTTCTGTTGCTTCTGATCATTAAAATAAGCAGGATACTTTGATTATACCTACAAGGTACTCTTGGTATCACCAAAACAATTTAATCTTTCAGAATTATGTCTAAAATTTTTAATTCAAGAGCACCCAAATGAAAATGTCAAGAATCAGGTTGGCAGAAGTGGGAGGACAAAAATAATAATAAATGTGGGTTTTTCCCCTCTAGTAGATATCAATTTCAGTAATGCAGCATGTGACAGATATAATTTTAAATGTTATGTCAAAATTATAAATACGACAAAAATTATAAAATAGCCATCAGTTTATACACTATCATTAAGCATTTTATTATTGCTTTCTTATTTTTTCTCACAAAGTCATAAATTAGATTCCTTGGAAAATTAGTTAACTTGAATGTTTAACATTATTATATAAGTATAATTTTATGTCTAGATAGATAAAGAGTAGGTAGGATCTGGATCTATGTTTTCAGTGTAATCTAGATAAATGACTTAGTATATGTTTCATTACATAAAGATGAATACAGTATAAATAAAATTGCTATTTATAATGAACAACAGAATATATGTGGACAGATGGAGAAATAAATAAGTAGATAAAAGGCACGATTTAAGATGAATATATTTTCATAAATCTTGTTTGAGGCTATTTTACCTTTTATAGTATAAAGCAGAGTGGGATGGATTATTTTATAGTAACAGTTTATAAATTAATAGTACTCTTTCACTAACTTATTTTGAGTAATATTATTAGTGTTTTACCATTTAAATTCTTCCTAGAGATTAATTTAAATAGATGTTTTGAACACAATTTACTATACTTGAAATTTTATACAGCTAAACACCAACAGATAACCTAACTTTGAGGATTTCTTTTTTTAATTTTATTTATTATTTTTTTTGAGACGGAGTCTCGTGCTGTCGCCCAGGCTGGAGTGCAGTGGCATGATCTCTGCTCAGTGCAAGCTCTGCCTCCCGGGTTCACGCCGTTCTCCTGCCTCAGCCTCCCAGGTAGCTGGGACTACAGGTGCCCGCCACCACGCCCAGCTAATTTTTTGTATTTTTAATAGAGACGGGGTTTCACCGTGTTAGTCAGGATGGTCTTGATCTCCTGATCTCGTGATCCACACACCTCGGCCTCCCAAAGTGCTGGGATTACAGGCATGAGCCACCGCGCCCGGCCCGGATTTCTTAATATATAATACTTCTAGGACAGGGCAATTTTCCAATTTTTCTTTGTAATCTCTAGCCCCGGTTGTTTTGTTTAATTAGTATTTTGAGAGCAGCTTGAGTGGTATATTTTCAGCATTGTGGATGGAGTAAAAATGATCCTTTAATACATTTCTACATTTTTCTGCTTGAAGATCTGTTAAAGACTGCACGAAAATTATTAAAAGAATTTATGCTTTTGGAATTTTTGAAACTATTTTGTATGCTTACTACTTGATAGAAATTAAAATCCACATTTTTTCATAAACTTAAATAATTTGGAAAAGAATTTTTTCTTAGCCATATAGATATGTCCATTATATTATAAATTATTATGACTACATCTGAATTACATAGACATATACCTCAGTGCTCAACAAGTAAATTATTATGTTTATCTATTCATGCTATCCTCTTGGTAATTTTTTTGTAATGGTCACAAATTTAGAAATGATATGTCTTTATGGCTGAAGAGAATAGCCCCTAAACCCTCTGTGTCTTATTACTAGAATGTTTGTTTTAAATAAGTACACAATTGTATAATTAAATGACTAGTGTACCTTGAAATATTTTGATAGAATCAAATTGTAATACCAACATGTTAATTTTTTCTTCAAAATTGTCATTTATAGAAATGAATCGTTCAATGTTATAACAATTGGGATGGGTATGAGCAGAGAAGACATTCAAACCATGTGGACTGTCATATATATGGACTTTCACGTAACAGCAGAAATGGAGAATTAATGCCCACTAAAATTAATTGCATACTTCTTTACCCATAGATAAAATTATAGCATCTCGTGTGGTTCTCTAAACGAAATTTCTTGCAGTGTTTAATTTAGGCTCAACTACAATGAATAAATACATAGTTCTACAGTGAAACAAAATACATGTATTAAGATGCTGCTTAATGTTAGCAAACTAGTCTGGAATAATGCCAATACCAGAGAAGGCTAAATAGGAAATTCATTAATTATGGTCTGTTTGCCATTTTTTTGTCAACTCTGATCATTAAGATTATCTATCTTGACTTATTTTATTAGTACATAAAATGAATCATAATACAATTGAATTTAACCAGTATATCAAAATTTCATGTTTGTGTTTTTTCCAGAAAAAAAAATACATTGACTTATTGCTACCTAGAAAGATGAATTTATATTTCATGTTAATTATACAGATATCTAATTAATTTGTGCCTGAAAAGTTCTATTGTGATACAGAAACATTTTGTTACTTAAACATTTGGCTTTTTTAACTGAAATCTTTCTGATTTATTTTCCATTTTTCCTTGATCAAATTGTATTATTTGTCAGAGATCTTGCCTTGAAATGAATTGCATCTACAATGTACTACCCACACTGCACTAGTTTCATAATTATTATTAGCTTGACATTTGTTGAATAATAAGTGTATATGCAAATGTATTATATAAATCTTACATGTGTATGGTAAGCAGAAAATATACTATTTAAATAATTTATCTTGAGCATTGTGAATTCAAAATTTGCCATGATTATTAATCATCCTTTAGATTGCATAGGTAGCTAAGAGACATTAGAAATGGATTTATTCTAAGAAGCTCTTCAAGTTAATATCTCAGCTAGGTCAAGAATCGAAGTCTTGAGAACTGCCAATCTAGGGATTCTGAACTCATTAAATCAATATGGGTGCCTTGAATTTCAACTTCCTAGGAAAGTTTAGAAGGAATTAAAACAGAGGAAGAACTGGTTTACTCAATATTTATTCAACATGGAGTTTCTTATGTATAACTGTCACAGGCAATGGGAACAAAAGAACAAAATTTAGTAAGTTTATAAAAGATGTAAAGAATATGGCCGGGCTCAGTGGCTCACCACTGTAATCCCAGTACTTTGGGAGGCCGAGGCGGGCGGATCACCTCAGGTCTGGAGTTGGAGACCAGCCTGACCAACATGGAGAAACCCTGTCTCTACTATAAATAAAAAATTAACCGGGCATGGTGGCGCATGCCTGCAATCCCAGCTACTTGGGAGTCTTGAGGCAGGATAATCGCTTGAACTGGGGAGGAGGAAGTTGTGGTTAGCAGATATTGTGCCATTGCAACAGCCTGGGCAACAGGAGTGAAACCGTCTCTGAAAAAGAAAAGAAAGAAAAAAAAGGTGTAAAGAACAAAATTTTAAGGCTGATCTGGTAATATTAAAAGAAATATTTATTGTTTAAAAGCAGATATGGAAAATTACAAGTATTAATAATTACAAAAATTAACTGAAGAACATCTGAAAATTTTAGAATATATGCCAAAAGTCATATTTTTCAAATTTGGAAAACAGACATTTGTATCCAGATAAAAATAAATAAATATTATTTTAACAGATTTATTTTAAATTCTTACTCAAAATTAAATATTTTTCAGTGAGAACATTATTGTTACCATTTGTATTTTAACTCACAATATGTTCTTTGGTAATCCTTTTTTTTAAAAAAATACTTGTGTTTGAGTTCATCACATCTAGAATTGATGGTACAGAATCGTGGTATTTCTATTGCATACTGTGGTACATGCCCATGAGTTTCTTTTTTTGTATACACCTAGAAATAGAATTGCCAGGTTGTAGTGTATATGCACATTCAAATTTATCAAGTAATAAATGTTTTTCAAAGAGACTTTATTGTTCATTCTCTGATAGCAGTAGGTTGGAGTTTCTGTGGTATTCACATACCAAATAATACATTTTTTACACACTTATATTTTTTGCTTAATTAGTGCATGAAAATTGGAGTCTTGTTAGGATTATAATTTTTCCTTATACCTTTTTTCATTCTCTCATTTTTTGACATTCACTTTTATTGAATATTTTAGTTTCCCTAATTTGTGAAAAGTGTTAGAAATGTCTTTTGCCTGTTGACATTGTTCACTTGTTTATTGCTATGTTGAATTCCATGTCTTGTTCTTATTGATTCACGGGCATTCTTTATATATTCATAGTATATTCCTTTGTTGATTTTATGTGTTGAAAACCTCTTTTTAACCAATTTATCATTCACTTTATTGTGTCTCTTGTCAGAGAGTAGTTTTAATAATAATGTTATTTTTTTGGCCAATATCTTTCCTGCATTCCTTAGGGGGTGCAGCAAAAGCACTCCTGAGAGGGAAACCTATAGCCATAAATGCCTACATCAAAAAAGAAGAAAGATCTCAAATAAACAATGAGTTCAGGCACATTGATAAAATCAAGTTTTCTAAATTGAAGAAGTAGGGAGAGTTTCTTATATTTTTCAAAGTTTTATGTGTTACAACATTGTAATAAACTAGATAGATGACCAAAATGAATGAATTCAGGATGAGAGTTGTTAGATGAGCAAATAATAGAAAATAGTTAATACAAATATACAATAAACACTTCAAAGTAAAATACAGCTTCAGTTGTATGTAACATTAAAATAAAAAGCCTTTTGAGGTTGATCATTATTGCTATATTCTAAAATAATATTAGTCAAACTGCAATATTAAAATTAATCAGTTTAGGACAGTTTTCTGTAATCTAGCTATTGCAAATAACTGTACTGAATATTCTGAAGTTACTTGTTGGACTAAATAGAAAATGTCTTTACTAAATGTGCATGTTCTAGTGGGCAGAGAAAGAAGACTATGACAGGGTATGTAATGTAATTGTTTGTGATATCTCTGGCATTAGGCTGAGTGCTGGGGATAAAAGTATGAATTAGGCCTTAGAGGCTTGCAAGGTGAAAACAGAACCACAAAATCACCATACACTATACATTTCCTTTGAAACCAACATAATAAAAAATAGGTTTTCAAGCCATCTCTGGTTAAAATAATGACTTTAAAGCAATGTTTGTCCTCCAGGGCTCTATTTAGTTTTTTTCCATGAGTTCTTTACTGCTTAGTAGTCATTTCAGTCTCTCACTTTTAGCTACCAGGTCTCTGGTACTGTAGCAGTTTTCAGTGTACTTCTGCTATAATCTAAGTGAATGGCTTGTTACATTCCTAAGTAATATTTTATTTTCTTCTATATTTACAGTCTTTTATACCTAGATAAGATCCGAAAGATAATTCGTTCAACTGCTATTCGGAAATTTGGATACGGAAGTCCAGAGAGAGACTATGACCTGTCCAAGGTCATTAGCTATTAAGTCATAGCCAGGATGTCTCCTGGCTCCTTTCAGGTCCCTTTTAACAGTGGGTAGGAAATCTCAACTAAATCCTTCCTCCGATTTTTTACAAGAACACCTCAATGCCAAACACTTTCTCCTAACCTCTTATTTTCTCAGAAGAAATATTTTATAGAAATATAAGAAGGTGTAATACAATGCTTTATGTGTTTTGTGGTTCTTGATTCAAAAGCAAAAAGAGTGTTCCACTTCTAAATATAATCCTGAACAAAAGTAATATTTGAAATAAAATTCTAAGGGTAAAAAATTCAAGGTTTAATCTACTCATCTATCACTTATAATAGAAGCTATGCAACTAATGATCCATTCATCATTTTGAAATTCTACTTCCAGTTTATCAGGCTGCCAAATGCCTGGAGATTCAAAGGACTGGAGTGAGGTGCTTCTATTAAAATAAAGTTGGAAGTGATGAAAATAAACTGTTTATACCAAGAGCTGTTGAGGCACTTGGAAATTCATTTTTAAACAGATATAAATAAAATCTGTCATTTTAAAAAAAAATACATTAAAAATATTTTATTGCTAAAATTGATTAAAAACTTGAAAGAGAAGTATTTTATGGTATTCTTCAGAGATTGGATTTAATAAATATGTAGCACAAAGTAAAGAAAATATATTTTTGGTCTGTGAAAATATTCTAGTAACTATGTTGCTGTTGAACTAAAGCATATTGAAATTTGGTGTAACTTTGGATAATTCCTTAAATAGCTCTGGATTATATGTTGATATATTGTTTATTTATTTTGTGAAATATAAACAGCCATTCAAGCTTCCAAATCAGCTTGCAAACTTTGTACATTTCTAGGTTTCTTTGAATTAAGTGTGTCTCCAGACAGTGAAAGCAAATTTTACCATATACGTAAGCAAAGCATAGATAGGAAATCTGCAACTCCTTTCACTCTGCTGTCCCCCAGCAAAAATAAAAGCAATAGTAGAAAACAAATATCAAGAAGTCAGTTCTAAAGCTTAACACAGGTGCTTTGGAGTTACCATTATTGCACTAATTTTTTATATTTTAAAAGTTGTAAAGTGCAAAATGTTATGCCGGCTTCATTAATATATTATTCTAGGTGATAATACTAAAAGTCACTGGCATATCATCTTTTGCTATGATTGATTCTGCATATTTAATTAGGTTTATTTAATACTAAATTTGGGAGATTTCTCAATATATTGAACAAGAACAACCCGGACAACACTGGCACTGACCAAATAAAATGAATACAAGCAGCTAATAAGTTACAGTTCATATACAGTTAATATCAGGGTTCATAGTGGAATTCTGTCCACTTTTTCAAAGATTAATGAAATGAAATTTGGTAAACAATCTCTTTGTTATGTTGATGTCTAATTTTAACATGCAGATTTCTCTTTTTCCCTTCTAACTCAATTGATAACTTTGATTTATGAAACAAAATCACTCCAAAAAGCTTATTGTCTGCATTGAAATAAAGGAAGATAGTATATTAAACTAGAAGTAACTTAACTTTTATGAACCTTTGATGTAGGACACTTGGATTTGGAGAATGTGAATATGAAGTTGGGGATCAAACAGAAATATTCCTATAAAAGGGAGCAAAGTGTATAAAGAACAAACATAGAGAAGCTGGCCTACAAAGTAAAGTAAAATATAGATACAAACACTCACTATTTGACTTAGAAAGAATATTAAGTAATAACGGAATGTCAGACTTGATAAAAAATAGATTTTCATACTGATGTTGGGAACTGGGTACCTTTACAAGTGGTCAGTAGAAGTATATAATGATACAGCTTTTTTTTTTGCAAGAAAATAAGAAGTGTCTTTCAAAAATTCTTAATATTCATACACTTTAACTCAGTAATTTTATTTTTAAGAAAGTTTGAGTAATCTTATCCATCAAGGTATAAATATTATATTATTTTATGTTTTCAATCAGTGAGTTTAACTATTAATGCTAAATTATCTTTCAATCACCTTTAATGCGTACTTTGGCAAATTCCACCATATTTGGTAACTTTTATTTATTTTACTAAGTACCATTTAGTGTTGCTTGTTTGTTTATTTTTTGAGATGGAGTCTCACTCTGTCGCCCAGACTGGAGGCAATCTCAGCTTACTGCAAGCTCCGTCTCCTGGGTCCAAGCAATTCTCCCACCTCAGCCTCCTGAGTATCTGGGATTACAGGGGCGTGCCACCACGCCTGGCTAATTTTTGTATTTTTTAGTAGATACAAGGTTTCACCATGTTGGCCAAGCTCAAGGGATCTGCCCGCCTCTGCCTCCCAAAAAGCTGAGATTACAGGCGTAAGCCACCTTGCCCAGTCCTACTTAGTTTTAATTGTCAGGCTCATATTCAAATGAAATGGCTTAACTATCTTATATTCCCTTTCTAAACCTCAGAATTTCTTATTTTGTTGGGGTAGAAGAAGGAAAAGGGGAAGACAAAGAAATGTGTTCCTTCCCTATCTGGCCAGAGTTTAGCAAACATTGCTAGTCATATATAGAAGGTTATCAGTCTAACATTGACTACCTATGAATGCCTCCATGTAGCAAACATATTGGTCTGGGGACTGAATTCTTAGAAAGTAATGCTTAGTAGTTTTGATGTGTGATTCTCTCATATCCAGACGAAGTTTGACCTTTTCTACCCAGCTTCGGCTTTGCTTACCAAAACATTTTGCTTCTGACAGCCCCCACCCCACCCTTTCTTTTTTATAAACAGCTCTCTTGATTAGGGTGTCAGAAAGATGGCCCCAAATCTTAGTTTATTCTATGATGTTTGCCTGACCAACAGGAAGCTCACTCTGCATTGCTATTCCCAACAGTTAGCTTTTAAGCTATCAATTCTGTCCTCTCTCTACCCTGCTATAATCTCTTAATTCTACTTTATGTAGTCAGAGCAGATACATGTATCTATTGCTTCAACAGAACTCTTACCTGGGAATAGAATGTCAGTTCTTCTATCTTGCAAACATTACTAGTCTCTGTAACAGATTCTTTTGGGATTTTTTTAAATAAAAAGTAGGTGGCGGAAGAAGTGCTACTTAAAATTGCTCTATTTCCCACCAGGCACATTAAACCACAACACTACACTTACCCAGTTTTCTACTTAAATAAACTGGACAAAGGAAACCAGTAGATGTCAGTCTGGGTAATAAAAGTAGTTAATGACTTAGTGACTTGAACGGAGGTAAGTAGCTCCAAATGTTGATTATTCTTCAAATTATAAGGTTTTTATGTTACTTGTTTTAAGGATAAAAAGTTCCACTTAACATCCTGATAAAATATTTGAAATCCAACTTAGATATATAATCACAAATGTCCACAAAGAAATAGAATCAAATCTATACATTTTAGCGTTTTTGTAAACATAAAATATGTAAATCAAAGCAAAGACAACCTGAATGTTTAATGTAAAAAAAGAGAATTATTCTAAAGCTAAACTTAAGAATTCCCCCAGCCTCCATTGAAATGAGAGTTTTCTAAGGTCTAAGATCACCCCTGGCAGTGTGTTCATATGACCATATGTTTTTGTAAAAATCTGCAAAAGTGAGATATTTTAACAGCAGTTGGTTAAGACTTTTTTCTTTCCAACTTCCCCAAAAATATAGATACTATCTTAGTATATATGGCCCTGCTTGTGCCACATGAAGCCTGATGATTTCAAGCAAACTGAGTTGGTGGCTGATAGTTAAATGGACTAAAGAAAAAAGTATTGAAGTTATAAAACTGATATTCCCAGGTTCACAAATTATTCAATATATCAGTTGCTAGATCCTAAGAATTAATTGCTTACAGAATCACATAGATCAATGCAATGTTACAATATGTCAAAACTTTTTTTCATTATTCTTTTGCATACCTTAATTTCTGATTAATTTTGTATATTTTAAAGAATTATCAACCATACCCAAATTTGGTTATTATAGAAAAGGCATATCCTAGTGAAAACAAATACTTAACCTGTGTAGTAGGCAATTGCCCCCCTCAGATGTCCACATATTAATCCCTGAAACCTGTGAATTTATTACTTTTAAAAGTGACTTTGCAGATGTGATTAAGGATCTTTAGATGGAGAGATTATTCTGGAATACCTGAGTGGGCCCAATGTAATCACAAGGATCCTTATAGGGAAAGAGGGAGGCAGTAGAGTCATGGGCAGAGAAGGAGATGTGATGACAGAAGCAGAGGGGTGAGGAGGGAGGGAGGGCGTCAGGGAGAAAAGGAAAAGGGAGAGAGAGATTTGAAGATGCTGTACTGTTGGCTCTAATGATGAAGAAAAACATTGCAGTTGGCCTCTAGAAGCAGAAAAAGACAAAGAAATAGATTCCTACTTAGGGCCTTTAAAAGGAGCATAGCCTTGCCATCACATTCATTTAAGTTAATAAAACCTGTTTCCAACCTTTGACCTCCAGAACTGTGATGTAATCCATTTGCGTTGTTTTGAGCCACTAAGTTTGTGGTCATTTGTTACAACAATAGGAAACTAATACAAACCAAAAGAAAATGTTTGTGGTATTTGTCAGGCTTAAATTATTAATTGTTTATATTGGTCATTGAAAAGCAATATCCATTTGTTTGAAATTTTGCATTGCTAATTTTGTATTTTTTTAAAAAAATAAAAGCTGTATAAACACATGACTCACAGAGATTGTATCTTTCCTTGCATTAAAGAGTGGTTAAATTTTTCAGAATTTTTCCTTTTAAAATAATTATAGTAGTCTACTTATGAAATGGATATTATTCTTTTGGAAAGTACTTTCACAAAGACCTAAGCTGTTATGTAATTCATACTCTTATTTAATTGTATGTACCTGTCGAGCAAATAATATATATACATTCAACAAGACAGCTATTCTTTCACAGTACAAGCATTTTTCCGTATGAAACAACTACATATTGTTTTTCTAACACCATAAAGGATTTCCTATGGAAGTTTAGCAATAAGTCAAACCAGATGCTCCACTTCAAGAATAAAGAGTAGCTTGGCACTAGTATTATAAAGCTGTCTACTTGCTTTTATTTAGAAGTCATTAAGCACTACAGTAAAGTAACTACTGCTGTTCAAGATATTATTATCAACTTGCATAGACAGTCAGTATGGGAGATAACACAATAATAATGAATCTTATATTTATATGGCAAAAGTATTATTAAAGAAAGCAAATACAATATGTTCTCCAGAATTTGACCACTTATATTTTAATATATATAAACTAGTTAACAAATTAAGCTCAATGGGGATTGATTAACTTAATGATTCAGTATCATATTAGTTTTTGAAATATAACTCAGTTTAATACTTTATATATCCTGTTCTTATTAAAATGTCTTTAGTAAAAGCATGCAAGAGCTTTCTTGTTGGGAACTATCTCACACATCGTGATTAGGGTGTCAGAAAGATTGAATGATTATTTGCTTGTTTTTAAAAGACAGCAAGAGCTATAGGAAGTTATTTAAGATCATAGACTTAGCATACACTCATTGACTAGTTGATAGATAATGATATGTTAAGGAAATACCAAGAAAGATTGTTAATTTGCATCTATTGTGCCTGATGGGAAATGAAAACAAATAACAGTTTGATTCTTAAATTCCACTACTATTTGAAAATACTGGAATTCTTAGGTTTGTATTTTAAGCTATTTTATCTTTCTTGTCCATTTTTATAATTCTAACATGGATTATGAAGTAAAGTTGAAGTAAGTGAAAATTATTTTTATTATTTTCCAATAGCTCTTAATTTTTTATATATGCATGTACACGTATACCCACTGCATAAATTGTATAGGAAGAAAAAAATTACTTTGCTGATAGTAGAAAAGACTGAAAAATTATGCCTTTAATCAAATATTCAGTGACTCAATGGCTTTTTTTTTAATGTTTCTCCCATTAAAACAGAACTAATACTATGCCACTGAAATGCTGATATTTTTATTTTCTTGTTTTCTTTTGTGTGTGTGTGTGTGAGAGAGAGAGAGAGAAAGAGAGAGAGAAATATTTGTGTTTTTTCTGTCTCTCAACTAGGTGCTTGGGCTAGGACAAAGCATTGTGAGACTGGCTCTAGGGCTGTGTGTGTGTGTGTGTGTGTGTGTGTGTGAGAGAGAGAGAGAGAGAGAGAGAGGTAAATATTTGTGTTTTCTCTCTCAACTAGGTGCTTTGGCTAGGACAAAGCATGTGAGATTGGCTCTAGGGCTGTGTGTGTGTGTGTGTGTGTGTGTGTGTGTGTGTGTGTGTCTGTGTTAGTGTGTTCCCCCAGTCATAATGAAAAATTGTTCCAAAGCAGTGTGTGTACTTCACTGTTTTTTTCTTTATTATTTGTCCTAGATCCTTTTTTTTGTCTTCAAATCATTTAATGCTTCTAATTATGAAGGCGATTGATGAACCTACATTGACAATCACTATCACCCAGAGATTATAGTTTACATTATGGTTCACTAGTGGTATTGTATGTTCTAAGAATTTGGATCAATGTATAATGAAATGTCTCCATCATTATATTATCTTAGTCTTTTTACCACTTAAGAATTCTCTCTTCTCTATCTACTCATTCCAGGTATTACTTTTTAAAATAAATTATGATATTTCAGCTCAGAATAACTTTATCTCTGATATACACTCTTGCTATTTGAAATCAATGCAATTTAAAATGTTGTGTAGAAGATTTTTAAATTGCTTTCATAGTGATGATCTATGTGGTTTCAATAGTTTCTGAAATATCAGTTTCTTAATCTGCACATTATTCAAATATGTCTTATTTTTAATTGCAGTGGATTGAGTTTAAAATTAAAAACCTCTTTTTAGAATTAGGGGCATTTTTCATTTAAAAGACAAATTTTTATCTGCTGTAGGTGGTTCCTTTAGAACTCCTGATAATTATATAGTAAACGAGGAGCAGATGAGATGTGAATTATTTCATGAAGTATTTTCCCCAAACTTGGCACATTTTTTTTAGGCAGCAGGAAACTGAGCATTATTTTAAAAATGCACAATGTTTACATTGAAAACTTGGTACTCTCTGGAGAAATAGACTTAGGAGAATATTTCCAGTAAAATCTGGATTATTATATTTAAGTCTTTTCCATATTTGCTGCAAAAGATGTTTTCTGTTTAACGACAATTTAACATTTTATTGCTGTATTCCAAATATAAAAAGTATAACATTTTAGTGTTTTCATCTGAAATTAGTTATGGCCAGGTTCCTAATCTGTTAATAATTCTGTTCAAAACAGGAAAAGAGACAGTGCAGTATCTTAAAGCAGATTTATCTTGTGTTCATTTCTACTCAGAGTTAATATGTTATAAAATACTCTGCAGGCATAATTTAGAAAATAGCTTTTTAAGGTATTTTATGATTATTGCACTTAATAATTAAGCTATTTATTTTGAACTAGCTATTTAAATACAACATAATAAAAGTTGTAACTAATGTTTTTCTGGGCCACTGTAGCTTGAGGGTGCAATTAAATCATAAAAGTGGAATCAAACAAATTTTCTAATCCAGTCCTCACACACAAAAAATTGAGAAACTCCTGCTCCTTCATATAACTTTTTACCATTATATTCTGAACCCCTGGGAAACTGGAGAATGGTGTTTTCCTTCTTATGACCTCCAGTAATGGTCAGGTATATTCTCAGTCAGTTAAGCTTGTCAGTATTGTAAAGAACCTTCCCCTTGTCTGAACTTGGCTATACAGAGAACTTGCCATTCAATCCTGTTGTTGTGTGCCAGTTAATATCCCCGTGCTGTAAAATGTTCTCTGATCCTCCTCCTTGTGCAACAATATAGAGCTGTTAGGTTTGCTCAGGTTTCACAGAGATTTTTCAAACTATAACTCTTATATTTAACTTATTATTTATTCCATCCTCTCCAATCATAGATAAAAATCCATTGAGGTATGATTAGGGAACAATCTGGATGACAGACTTGGGGCTTCAAAATTCACATTTATATGATGACATGCAGACTTTGTATGTGGATCAAGATTGCATCGAGGTTCATTGGTCTACCTCTGATGCAACAGTCATAGACAATTTTCAAAGACTGCAAAATTGAGGCTCCTAATCTAGGATCTTTCATTCTCAGAGACCTCATAATGTGTGGTATAAAAAATACCTTAGGTCTGTGGGTATGTTTTTATTCATTTTTATGGGTGGTATTCTTTAGTCAGTACAAACTTCAGAATTTGAAGTTCAAAAGTATTTTCATCAGATTTCAATTACATTTACATAATTAGTGAGTATATACATTTGGCTGCAATGTATAACTTACTAGATTTTATGTATATAACCTTAAGTGGCTTTCTATTATGGATTGTCACTGAATGTGATTCATAAAACCATTTCCAATGTCTTGCCTCCATTTTTCTCATTATGTATATTTTGTGAGAAAAAAGAATGCATGTTTCAATGGTTTAAAAATCACAGATATTTTTATCTTCATCACATAATTGATGCTTACCATACACCATTCGTATTTCCAAAGGCTACATGCTCACATTTAGCTTTCTTTACTCTTCATGAGGCCTCCATTCCCGTAAGGTTGATATAGGGAAGCAGATATAATCATAGCACATAATTCCACTTTAAAGTCACAGTTTATACTATTTAAGTTGTTTCTCATCAAATCACACTCTTACAAGCTTGAGTTCATCACTTTGTTAGGTATGTTCTATAACTTACTTCATGCATCATCTTCTCTAGGAAGCCCCCTCCTTTTTTTTTTTTTTTTTTTTTTTGAGACAGAGTCTCACTTTTTCACCCAGGCTGGAGGGCAACGGCGTGCTCTCGGCTCACTGCAACCTCTGCCTCCAGGGTTCAAGAAATTCTCTTGCTTCAGCCTCCCAAGTACCTGGGATTACAGGTGCCCACCACCACGCCCAGCTAATTTTGGTATTTTTAGCAGAGACGAGGTTTCACCATGTTGGTCAGGCTGGCCTCAAACTCCTGACCTCAGGTGATCCACCCGCCTCGGCCTCCCAAAGTGTTGAGATTACAGGTATCAGCCACCGCGCCTGGCCTAGGAAGCCCTTTTCAAACATTGATGATTCAGGAGATTAACCTCCTCAGTGTCACCCAAATATGCTTTGTGAAACTTTATGGCTGTTCTTAATATATAGTTTTGATTTTTCAGTTTCCTCGCTCCATTTGATATTGATGTTCTTCAAGATTGAGAATATGTTTAATATTTTTGATTTTTAGAAACAAAGAATGCCTATTAAATAAATGCATGAGAAAGAAGACAAAAGAAAATATATTAAAATAACAAAAGGTTGTCATGATTAAGACATTTTAATTTCATCTGTATTTTGAGTGTTTAAATTCATAAATTTTTATTTTGGAGGAGGATAGGAAAATAGAGATCAAGGGCCGGGCGCGGTGGCTCAAGCCTGTAATCCCAGCACTTTGGGAGGCCAAGGCAGGCGGATCACGAGGTCAGGAGATTGAGACCATCCTGGTTAATATGGTGAAACCCCGTCTCTACTAAAAATACAAAAAATTAGCCAGGCGAGGGGGCAGGTGCCTGTAGTCCCAGTTACTCGGGAGACTGAGGCAGGAGAATGGTGTGAACCCCGGAGGCAGAGCTTGCAGTGAGCCGAGATCGCACCACTGCACTCCAGCCTGGGCGACAGGGCGAGACTGCGTCTCAAAAAAGTAAATTAATTTAATAAATAAATAAAATAAAAAAAAATAGAGATCAAGGTAACTCAGTACACATATAAATCTAGCCTTGATAATTCTATACTTTGGAACTCATATATGTGTAAAAATACTGATGAATTATGATTCTAGGCAGGGGACATTATTGACATTTTTACCAAAGAAAAAAAAGAAGTAGGAGGAGGAGCAGGGGAAAAGAACGAGGAAGAAGGAGGAGGAGGAGGAGGAAGAGGAGGAGGAGAAGAAGAAGAAAGGAGGAGGAGGAGGAATGGTAATCTTTATTTCATAGGACATTATTAAAATGTTATACTTTTACATAAAGTACTTTGACTTAGAGTTTCTTTTTTTTCAAATTTTAAAAAGTCATTCATTATATGACTTCACTGATGAATTCTATAAACATTTTACAAACAAATAGTACCAATCAATACTATATAATTTATTTTAGAATATAAAGGAACAGAAAACACTTCTTCACTTATTTTATGAAGCCAATGCTTCCTTAGTAACAAACACCAGACAAAAAACATTACAGAAAACTACAGACCAATATTCCTTATTAACATAGATACTAACATTATTAACAAACTATAAGTAATTGAATAATAAGGATGATATATAATATCAGGTGAGGAGTTGAGAGGTTTATCTCATGAATGCAAGATTTGTTTAATATTCAAAAACATTTTATTCATTATATTAGAATAAAAGATAAAAGACAAATGATTATCACAATATACTTAGAAATAAGTTTGTACAAAGTTTATGATAATGGCTTTAAGCAAACGAAATACATGGGGCATCTCCCGTCTTGATAATGAACATCCATGAAAAATCCACAATTTACATCGTACTTTAAGATGAAAAGACTGACTTATTTCTTTCTAAGTTTGAGAATAAGGCAACAATGCCCAATCTTTCCACTTATCTTTTTTAAAATTTTTTATTTTATTTACCCTGATATAGAGTCTTGCTCTGTCGCTCAGGCTGGAGTGCGGTGGCACAATCTTGGCTCACTGCAACCTCCGCTTCCTGGGTTCAAGCAATTCTCCTGCCTCAGCCTCCTGAGTAGCTGGGATTACAGGAGCCGGCCACTATGACTGGCTAATATTTGTATTTTTGGTAGAGATGGGGTTTCACTATGTTGACCAGGCTGCTCAAACTCATGACCTCATGATCTGCCCACCTCGGCTTCCCAAAGTGCTGTGATTACAGGTGTGAGCCATCATACCCAGCCAAAACTTTTAATATTGTACAAATTGCTAATATAAAGCTAAACAACTGATATATGGAGCAGCAGGCATGGATCCCAAAACATTATGCTGAACCAAAGCATGTAGAAACAAAGTATAATCTATAATGACAGAAAGCAGATCAGCAGTTGCTTGGGGCCAAGGATGAAATTGACTAGGAAGAGAAACAAGGAGCTTTGTGGAGTAATGGAAATGTTTTATGTCTTGATTGTGGTGGTGGTTGAGCAGGTGTACAAATTTGTCAACTCAAAAATGTATGCTTAAAATGATTACATTTTATCATATTTAAATCATATCTTGAAATATTTATTTAAAAAAGAAATTGCACTGTTTCATTATAGTCCAGAAATATGTACACATATATATCATTGCACAAAATAGCAAATTATGTATAAAAGAGCACATTCAATTGTTTCTTAAATATTAAAGCTTTGTGACTTTGCCAGGAAAGTTTCCAACATATGTCTAATCTTTTTATAGTGCTTTGAGTAAGATTTTCTAGAATTTAATTGCAACATATGCAGTAAGTGAGAATGTTTTCTTCAACACAGAGATAAGCTATTTACAATAGGTTTCTTGCCTTTGTTGACTATCTGGAGTTAGAAAACAAATATTTTTGTATTAATGTAAAATAGGTCTTTTGTCCTAACAGCTTTGTTAGAATATTGAGAGGAGAAATGAATGTCACTCATCTGATAGATTTTAGAATCTGAAATATTATCTCCTTTAACTTTTAATGTCTGTCTTCTCATCAAGCACACACACACACATGCACACATTTATGCACGTGACCATGCACTCTTGATGTTTCTCATTCACATGGCTAATTATTTTCTTACAGTGTAGAAAGACCCCCAAATACATACAAATTGAAATGTTTGTGGCACTATTTTTTTCCTGAGAGTAAATTTAATTATATAATTTCATATGTGTTGCTGATGTATTTCAAGGTATTAAATTGTTTAATGAGTTCCCTAACTTTATGACCTACTGAGAGTAACACTGTTTTCTTTTGTTAATATTTGTGCCTAAACTGTCCTCAAGTAGCAATTACTCACCATTTCTACTCTCCATTCATATCCTTTCCCTTCCATTTTCTTTGCTTTCCTTTCCATGGATATGATCTTATTTATTGAATCAGACATACTAGCTGAGGAAGTATTGTTCTCCAAAACAGAAAGGATGGTTTAAAGTTCAGAGTTTACTTGGCTCTTTGTATCAACATCTTCATAACCCGTAATTGTTTTAAAAATTCATTAGTCGGGATATAAGAGGAAAAAGAACTATAGAAGTAAGATAGTATACTACTTTCCCCTTCCATTTTGTTTTCTTTATTCTCTCTTTCAACATTATCTTCTGTGGGTATATGAAAACCAGTTGCTGGCCAAGCCAAGTTTCATTAGTGACTCTGGCAACATCCCCAACTCATTCCTCCTACTACCCACGTTTTATACCCACATTTTAAGGATAACAATTATAGAAGCTCTTGTGTGCCAAGGATGGAAGAAGTCTAAAGAGCACATTCTTAAGACCATATTCTCAACAACTATTCCTGTATTCTAATAAAGCTAGATTCTTTGCATGTTGAAAACAAAATCTTTTAGAATGACAACTGCCAAATTTTCTTGATATGGTAATGGATAATGGAGTCATATATATTGAAGAGAATACGTGTTAATTGATATGAACTTTTCATAAACATAAAAACAATTACAGTTCTCTTTTATTGATCTACAGCTTCTCTAATAAATACTCTATTTATCTAGAGTGGTAAAAATCTGGATGAAAAATTGTAGACACAGAATCTCACATTAAAAAGCACATCTACTAGTGGCATGGCATAAAAGATGAGATCCTGACTGAAAATATTATGTAATGCCCTACATTTTTTATTTTCCTTCATGCATTTAATAAATATTTATTACTTTTCTTTTTATTTGTTTTCTTTCTGTGATAAAGGACAGCAAGTTATAATGCAAAATATAGTATAGTGAAAGGTTCTTATTTTTGTTTGTCATTTGTTTGTCATATGGCCTTGGTCAAGTCACGTAAACATTTTTGAACCTTGGATTTCTTTTCCCATAAATGGCAATAAAAATACTGTCTAGGAGTCTTTTCTCATAGTAATGTTGTGAAGAATGTACAATATACTTGATAAATTTGCTTTGAAAAATTAAAAAGAGATATACTCATTGTAGTTACTATTAATTCCCTGATATTGTCTTATTCTTACAGTATACCTATAACTCAAGAGCAACAAATCTATTTTACTATACAATTCAAATAAAACTGTATCAAAATGTTTTCTGGCTTTTCCCATAGTTAAGAATGCAGAATCAAGAAACACTTTATTGTGGATTCTTCTAATCATAATGTTACATATTGAGAAAATTACTTATCTTGTAGAAAGTAAATGCTCTTGCAATTTTTGTACATGTAAATTATAGGTAAACATGTGCATATAAATTTATATAGACATGTATAAATATATATATACATATCAATATATAAAATGTGGATATGTGTATATGTTTTATATAATATAAAGTATAAAATAAACAATAATTTTAAAAAGGCATTGGAAAACCGAACAGAACCTGACAATATGGGTTCCAGGTGTTAAGAATAACCCATGCATTCGTGTATCCTATAAATATATACACCTACTATGTACCAATAATAATTTTTTAAAAAGAATAACCCATGCAAATAACTTCTATTACTAGCATGATTCTAAAAATATTTTACCATAAAATTCTCAAACTACCTTAAAATGCCTTTCAGGTGAATCATGTTAATTCAGTTATTTGTTTTTATTGAAGAGTGTAGGATGTGGAATTAGGAATTCTGTCTTCAACCTTCTGAAAAAAAATACTGAAGTAAATATGCAAAAATTTAACTGTCAGGGTTAGAGGTACAAAGACAAGAACCAAGGAGAGATATGAAGATTGCAATACAGCTATATATCATATATATATATATAAAATACCTCATCTGTTACATGGCATTGAAGTGCAATTGAAAGGAAACAACTGAATAGATTTTGAAAATAGTATTTATAACCCATGCAGAAGCAACAATATTTGTGTGGCTATTGTTTTATTTTTTATATTTTTGTGTTTTAGTAATTTTTTAAACCAGTTTTCTTTTCTAAATATAAGGTAAGTTATTATAAAATAAAATATTAAAAGGCATAAAAAGTCATCCTGGTGATATATAAAATTAAAAAATCTGTAATTATTTGTTTGACAGTTAACTTCAAATTTTCTGTTTCTCAATTAAAAAAACCTGTATAGACATTTTATGTCCTGTAATGTCGTCATTAAATCTTATACTAATGTTTAGTATTTGCATCTGAGGTAGAACTTCTTTGTTCGTTCTTAAACTACTATGTAAATGAAGATAAGACACTCTTTCAAATTCTATGAAAGCATTACAAGGCATGAAGAGATAAACAAGATACTGATTGCTCAAAGAGGTTTAAAACTCTGTTTCATACCTTGCTTTTCATTTTAAGAATTATCAAAAGAGACCATGTTAAGGAAACATTTTAGATAAATATTTTTCTTTTATTTTTTAAGTTCTGATGTTTAATATTGTACCACACTGGGGCAGCAGTCAGCAAGATTAGTTTTCTTAAATAAAAATCTGTCACAATTACCTGGTGTATGGCTTTTATTTAGAAGGCTAATAGTAAGTTTACATTTCCTTTTTTCATATATTTGGCTTCATAATTATCACCTGCTTGTAGTGTAATTGTGAGAGGATAATTCCTAGACACTTTTGATTCATCAAAGTTATTTGTGTACCAGATCAGCCTCTAAAATCCTATAAATGACATAAGCCCATTAATGTAAGATATCTCTTACATATTTATTTTAAAATTAATGATGAGAAGTAACACAATTATTTCTATAGTTTCATTTGTATTATCTGTCTCCCATTTCAACGTTTTGTCTTCATATGTTATTATGGTAATAACATCCACATAGAAAGGAAATTAGTTTCAAATATACTTTCCTCTGATACTAATGTTACTTACTGCCATAGTTTTCTATTTTACATTGATGATATATTGAAAATGTCTACAGTACAAATATTAAAAGGGCAAAAGGTTTTCTCTGGTATATTGCTAAAGATATGATGACCAAAATAGGCCAGTTTATTAGCAAAATAAAGTGACTTTCTGTTTTTCATAGTGGGAGGTGATGAACGTTTTTAAATATTCATTTATTAGATATAGCTGTTTATTATTTTTTAAAGTTCCAGAGGGAAACTAGTTGATAATAAAAGTATAACACTGAATTAAAAAAGAAAAGCTGATAACATTATTGGAATATAATAGGTAGAGAATATTTTAAGCTATGACAGCAAGATACATCATTTAATAAAACATTTTAGGGATTTTTTATTTTCCCAAAGATGGGGGATTAGAGGCTTTCAGCATGCTTTAGCCTCTTGGAAATAGCAAGATAGTACATAAAGATCAACTCTGTGAGCTCTAATTCAAGAAGGAAAATGGAAATGCACCAGAATTGTGAAGGACATCCCAGGTCCCAGGGAGGAGAACACTGAAAAATAGTTCCCATAAAGATGTGTGGCTGATAAAAGTAAGTGAAGCCCCAATACATGAGAGAGGCAGAGAGCCTCCCTCTGGAGTCACCTTTCCACTGGGCTTTTGGGCAAGTCAGGATGAGGGAGAGCGCTTTGTTTTTCTCAAGTCCTGGAGTGAACTTGTGAGAAACTTGGAGATACTGTAAGGGAAACACACCTGGAAAAGCTGCAGATATTTTCCCAGACCCAAGACTGAGAGCAGAGGCCATTTTTAGCCAACCACATACATACAAAGTCAGCCACTTTTTGGTAACTCAGCAGCATGACCACATGGCATTTAAATTTTGGGCCAGAGATTCGAGTGCCATATCTGGAGTGGGGTAAGGGCTTCCACAGCCAGAACTATGTAAAGTGCCTCAGCAGTCAGCAGTGGAATTGTGCTCTGGCCTGTTGTAAGCCTGGGGCAGGAAGAGTGCTACTACAGCTGTAGTTTCTCTTCGGCAGTGAGACTTGCAGCCAGGTCCAGCTTGGTGAACTGGAACTGGTTTGCATATGCCATTGCTATGTGCTCCAGCCTGCTCCCTTGAGATGTTGGTGCATCAGGGCCCTCTGTGGTTTATGCCCAGGCAGAGCTCCAAGTATTCAGAGCATTTGCTCAACTGGATCAGCAACCTGACCTGCCCCACCCTTCCTGTGCAGAGATCTTGGTGCAAGGGGGCCCTGTCTGCTACATACCCAAGCAGATCTCCAGGAATTCAGAGCACCTGCTCACTTAGATCAGCAGCCTGAGCTGCCCCACAACTCCTGTGCAGAGATTAGCTGCAGGGGGCTCTCTCTGTTCCATTCTCAGACAGATGTCCAAGTATCTGGAGAATATACTCTCCTTGATTAGGAATTTAGACTACCCCCCATCCCCATGCAGTTAACTTGAGGCCATGGAGATTTCTCACCTCCGTGCCTAGGCAAACCTCTGAGCGCTTGGTGGCCAGACACTGTATTCTCCCTTTGGCACTGGTGTTTCCTCCTGCCATCAGAGGACCTGTCGGCAGATTTGCCTGATCCAGCTCTACTCATCTTGGCCCCTGCCACCTGGGGAGTGAGCAGGGAGCTCAGACCACTGTGCATTCCAAGCATCAGCCCATTGCCTGAGGTAACGTAGACAATCACTGGTAAACAAGGATCAAGTGTACACCCAGCCATGTTTGCTGCAGCTAGCTCTTACTTATAAAAACCATCAACTGGCTCATAGATCAAACTACACAGGCCAATAGAAACCTGTCTAAAGAAATGCATAGGTTTATAGAAGTTAAGCCAAAACAGCCTACCCAGTATTCACTATAGTTGCACCCCTAGGAAGGAGGAGATAGGAAAAGGGAAAGAAAAAACAACAATGATAATATGGCAGTGGGGGTGGGCAAAGAAAAACCTTACCCTCACTAAAATGATTACAAAGCTTGTAATTGCCGTTATCTCCAGATGCAAAAGAACCAGTGCAAGAATTCTGGCACCATAAAAACTCTGAATGTAGTGACGCCAACAAAGGATCACATTAGATCTCTTACAGTGGTCCCTAACCAAAATGGAAACTTATAAATGATGGATAAAGATTTCACAGCTTGGATTGCAAGGAAGCTCAACAGGATCCAATACATGGTTGAAAATCAACACAAATCAATCTAAAGCAGTCCAGGAAATGAAGGAAGAGATAAACATTATAAAAATAAATCATTCAGAGCATCTAGAATTGAAAAACTCACTTAAGGAATTTTAAAATAAAATATAAAGATTTATCAACAGATTGGATCAGGCAGAAGATAGAATGTCAAAGCATGAAGATCTGTATTTTGAACTAACTCAGAAAGACAAAGAAAAAATGTTTTTAAAAAGAATAAATTCTTCAAGAAATATGGGATTATGTAAAGTGACCAATCTTACAAAACACTGGTATTCCTGAGAGAGAAAGAAAAAAGGTAAACCACCTGGAATACATATGTGAGTTAATAATTCAAGGAAATTTCCCTAATCTTGCTAGAGAGGAGACATCCAGATAGGAGAAATTCAGGAACACTTGCAAGATATGCTACAAGTTGAATCTCACCAAAGGACGTAGTCATCAAACATTCTAAAGTCAACACTAAAGAAAAAATGTTAAAGACAGCTAGATAAAAAGCTCAAATAATGTACAAAGGGAACTCCATCAAGCTAACAGCAGAATTCTCAGCAGAACAAAGGCCAGATGGGGGCCCGATTTGCACATGTCCCCTAGAAGTTAAAGTATAAATAATTTTAAGAAAAGAAAAGAAAAGAAATGCCAACCAAGAATTTCATATCTTGCTAAACTAAGCTTCATAAATGAAGGGGAATTAAAATCTTTTCCAACCAAGGAAGCACTAGATAATTTATTAACACTAGAACAGCCATACAAGAGATTTTTAAGGGAGTTTTACACATAGAAGCAAACAAATAATACCCGCTACTACAAGAACACAATTAAATACATAGCCCACAGGTCATATAAAACAATCACGCAATAGAAACTCAAGACCAACCAGCTAACAACTTCTTGATAGGATAAAAATCTCACATATCAATATTAATCATGAAAGTAAACAGTGTGAACTTCCCACTTAAAAGACATGGACTAACAAGTTGGATTAAAAGTAAAAACAACAAAACAAACAAACTAAAAAACAAGACCCATAATCTGTTGTCTTCAAGAGATAACACCTCACATGTGTTGAAACCCATAGGCTCACAGTAAAGGGTTGAAGAAAGATCTGCCATAGAAATGAAAAACAAAAAAGAGCAAGGGTTGCTATTCTTATATCAAATAAAATAGACTTTGAAATAACAATTGTCAAAAAAGGTGAAGGGCACAACTTATGATAAAGGATCCAATTTAAAAAGAAGACTTAACTAAACTATATGTATACTCACCAATTATTGGAGCACCCTGATTTACAAAACAAGTACTTCTAGACCTAAGAAAATACTTACACAGCTACACAAGAATAATGCAGGAATTTTAGCACCCAGTGTCAGCATTAGACAGATTATTGAGGCAGAAAATTAACAAATTCCGGACTTAAACTTGACACTTGACCAACTGAACCTAACAGACAGCTACAGAATACTCCACTCAAAACCCATGGAATATATATTATTGTAATCTGCACACGGAACACGCTCAAAAATCAAATAAACACTTAGCCACAAAGCAAGTCTCAATAAGTTAAAAAAAAATCGAAATTATATTAGCCATACTCTTGGAAGATAGTAGAGTGAAAATAGAAATCAATACCAAGATCTCTCAAAACCGTGAAATTACATAGAAATTCGACAACTTGATTGTAAGTGACATTTGAATAAACAATAAATTAAGGCAGAATTTTTAAAAAAATCTTTGAATAAATGAAAATAATAACAAACCATACCAAACTCTGTGGGATGCAGCAAAAGCTGTGTTAAGAGGAAAGTTTATAGCACTTAATGCCTACCTCAAAAAGTGAGAAAGACTGATAATTAATAATCTAACATTACATTCAGAGGAACTAGAAAAACAAGGAGAAACTAACCCCAAAGCTACCAGATGAAAAGAAATAACTAAAATCAGAACAAAACTGAATGAAATTGAGAATGCATACAAAGAATTAACAAAACCAAAGCTTGGTTATTTGAAAGGATAAACAAGATTGATAGACTAACAACTAGATTAAGAAAGAAACAGAGAAGATCCAAATGAGCACAATAAAAAATGACAAAGGTGACATTACAACTAATCCTCCAGAAATACAAAAGATCCTCAGAGACTATTATAAATACCCCTATACACACAAACTAGAAGACAGAGGAAATGGATAAATTCTTCTAGAATTTCCTCTGGAAGAACACAGTCTCCCAAGACAGGAAGTAATTAAAAGTCTCCTAAATCAGGAAGTAATTAAAGCTCTGAACAGACCAATATACTGTTGTGAAATTGAATCAATTATTTAAAAAACCTACAAATCAACCAAAAAAAAAAAAAAGGCCCAGGACCAGATGGATTCACAGCTATGTTTCAGCAGAAGTACAAAGACAAACTAATACCAATTCTATTACAAAAAATTTGAGGAGGAGGGACTCCTTTCTAACTAATTCTATAAATCCAGCACCACCCTTATACCCAAACCAGGCAAACACACAACATAAAAAAGAAAACTGTAGGCCATTATCGCTGATGAACATAAAGGACAAATCCTCGAGAAAATACTAGCACCCAAATCCAACAGCACATCAAAAAGTTAATTCACTATGATCAAGTAGGCTTCATTCCTGGGATTCAAGGTTGGGTCAATATACACAAATCAATAAATGTGACTCATTATAGAAACATAATTAAAACCAAAAGGCGTAAGATCATCTCAGTAGGTAAGGAAAAAGCTCTTGACAAAATCCGAAATCCCTTCATGATAAAAACTCTTCAGAATCTAAGAATTAAAGTAACATACCTCAAAATAATAAGAGCCATCTATGACAAACCTGTAGTGAACATCACTCTGAAAGGGCAAAAACTGGAAGCATTCTCCTGGAGATCTAGAACAAGACAAGGATGCCCACTTTCACTGCTCATATTCAGCATGGTAGTGGAAGTGCTAGCCAGAGCAATCAGACAAGAGAATGGAGTGAAAGGCAACCAAATAAGATAAAAAGTAGCTAAGCTGTCTCACTTCACGGATGATATAATTTTATACTCAAAAAGCCCTAAAGACTCCACCAAAAAGCTCCTGGAACTGATAAATAACTTCAGTAAAGTTTCAGAATACAAAATCAGTAGCATTTCTTAACATCTGAGAGTCAAACCAAGAACACAATCCCATTTACAATAGCTAAAACTGAAACAAAACAAAACAAAGAACCAAACAAAAACCTAGGAATACATGTAACCAGAGTTGAAAGGTCTCTGCAGGGAAAATTATAAAATACTGATGAAAGAAGTCATACATGACACAAATGGAAAAACATTTTATGATCATGGATTGGAAGAATCAGTATTGTTAAAAACACTGCCCAATTAAGCTACACATTCAATGCTTTTCTTATCAAACTACTAATGTCATTTTTCACAAAACTAGAAAAATATATTCTAAAATGTGTATGGTATCAAAAAGAGCCTGAATAGCCAAAGCAATCCTGAGCAAAAAGAGCAAAGACAGATATATCATATTACCCAACTTCAAATTATACTATAAGGCTATTATTATAGCCAAAACAGCATGGTACTGGTATGAATTCAGATACATAGACCAATGGAATACAATAGAGAACACAGAAAAAAAGCCATACACCTACAACCATGTGATCCTTGAAAAGGTGACAAAAACAAGCAATGGGGAAAGGACTCCCTATTCAGTAAATGGTGTTGGGATAACTGGCTAGCCATATACAGAAGGTGGAAACTAGAGCCTTACCTTTCACCGTACACAAAATTAACTCAAAATGGATTAAAGATTTAAATGTAAGACCTCAAATTTTAAGAAGCCTAATTAAAATCTAGGAAACAGCATCCTGAACATTGGCCTTGGGAAAGAATTTATGACTAAGTCCTCAAAAGCAATTGCAACAAAAACAAAAATTGGCAAATGAGACCTAATTAAACTAAAAAGCTTCTGAACAGCAAAAAAATTATCAATAGAATAAACAGACAACCTACACAATGGGAGAAAATATTCACAAACTACACATCTGACAAACATATCTATATCTGGAATCTATAAGGAAACTAAACATTTTAATAAGCAAGAAACAAACAACTTTATTTAAAAGTAGGCAAAAAATAGGAACAGACACTACTCAAAAGAAGATATACAAGTGGCCAACAAACATGAAAAAATGTTCCATATCACTAATCATCAGAAAAATGCAAATCAGAATCACAATGAGATACCATCTCACACTACTCAGAATAAGTATTATCAATAATTCAAAAAATAATAGATGCTGGCAATGCTGTGGAGGAAAGGGAATGCTTATACACTGTTTGTGGGAATACAAATTATTTCAGCTTCTGTAGAAAGCAGTTTAGAGGTTTCTCACAGAAGTTATAACAGAGCTACGGTTCGACTCAGCAATCTCATTACTGGATGTATATCCAAAAGAAAAGTTGTTCTGAAAAAAAGACACATGCACTCATATTTTAATTGTAGAACATTCACAATAGCAAAGATATGCAATCAACATTGGTACCTATCAGTGGTGGTCTGTATAAAGAAAAGGTGGTAAATATGTGCTATAGACTATGATGCAGCATAAAAAAGAACAAAATCAAGTTTTTTTGCAGCAACATGGATGGGGCTGGAGACCATTATCCTAAGTGATTTAGTGAAGGTAGAGAAAACCAAACACTGTATGTTTTCACTTATAAATTTGAGCTAAATATTGGGTACTCATGAACATAAAGATGGCAACAATAGAAACCAGGAACCACTAGAGGGGAAGAAAGGAAGGGAATGAGGGTTGATAAGCTACCTATTGGGTACTATGTTCAGTACCTGCATGGTGGTATCATTCGTACTCCAAACCTCAGCAATGTACCTAGGTAACAAATCTTCTCATGTATCTCCTGAATCTGAAATAACAGATGAAAAAAATAAAAATAAGGTAAAATTGTATTTAAATATTTTAAATGAAAAATATGTTTAAAACTTTTTTACTAATTCATTGGATTTTGAGAATGGGAGTTTTTGGTGAAATCCTGTTCTTGGCTAATTCCTAGGGCAGTTAAAATAAAAACCTAAGAAAGAGAGCTCTTTGTTTTTCTCTGTTAAGTTGCTTGCCTTTCCAGTACCTTTCTAAGCATATTTCCTCCTGCCTTCATTCAATGTAAATCTACCTTTTGATCTCTTTCTATATGGTTCGGCTGTGTCCCCACCCAAATTTCATCTTGAATTGTAGTTCCCATAATCCCCATGTGTTATGGGAGGGACCTCATGGGAGGTGATTAGATTATGGGGGCAGTTCCCCCATGCTGTTCTCCTGATGGTAAGTTCTTACAAGATCTGATGGTTTTATAAGGGGCTTCCCTCTTTGCTAGGTTCTCATTATTCTCTCCCCTGCCACCCTATGAAAAGGTGTCTTCTACTATGATTGTAGGTTTCCTGAGGCCTACTCAGCCCTTCAGAACTGTGAGTCAATTAAACCTCTTTCCTTTATAAACTCAGCCCTTCGGAACTGTGAGTCAATTAAACCTCTTTCCTTTATAAATTACCTAGTCTTGGGTGTTTCTTCATAGCAGCTCAAGAATGGACAAATACACCTTCTCTGATTCTTTCTACTTTGCTCTTTCATGTTTCCTCATTAAGGTATGAATCAATACTATTGCAATTGAAATCATGTTGCATGATTGGGAATTCAAACAACAACCAGGTGTTATTTAATGGGCTTGTTAAGAATTAAAAACTTAAATATTTATATATACGAATTTCCTCAAAACTTAAATGTCTACATTTTACTTCCATAATATAAAGACATTTTGGATATCCACAAAGACTGTTAGGGGTGGTGAATTTCTGAGTTACCAGTGGCGAATCCATATGGGTCTGCAGCAACATCAGTTCTCGCCTCCTCAGAAGAAAGTATTTTACTCAGGGACATAAGGCAGAAAAAGAGACCAAGGCAAGTTTCAGAGCAGGTTGGAAGTTCATTAAAAAGCTTTAGAGCAGGAAAGAAAGGAAAGTAAACTTGGGAGACCCAACTGGACATTTGGAGATCGAGTGCAGAGTTTGACCTTTAGACTTTGGGTTTTATATATTGGCATACTTCTGGAGACTTGCATCCATCTTCCCCTGGTTCTTCCAATGGGGTGGGCTGCCCACATGCATGGTGGCCTGTGAGCACTTGGGAGGTGAGCATGCACAGTGCATTTACAGGAGTTGTATGCATGTTCTCCTGAGGCATTCTTCCCTTTTCTGGTGGAATGCCCCCAGAAGGTTATACTCCAGCAGTTTGGCTTTTAATGTCCATGCCCATTGGCCCCAGTCCTGAGATATTATTGGAAGCTTCTGATTACCAACTTCAAGTGTTTTATTTTATTGGAAAATTGCGTCTCCCTGGTGCTGGCTGCGACCAATGATCATTTTAGAGAACCAGTGTGGTAACTGCCAGACCATCAGGAAACGGCCTTTCCCTAGTGCCAACTGTGACCAGTTATCATTTTAGAGATACAGTGTGATAA
This sequence comes from Homo sapiens, assembly GCF_000001405.40. NCBI lineage: Eukaryota > Metazoa > Chordata > Mammalia > Primates > Hominidae > Homo > Homo sapiens. The sequence continues at coordinate 184,654,030 of NC_000002.12, forward strand.
CTGCCAGACCATCACCTGATGGTCATCTGACATTCCTGGTGGGTCGGGGGAGCCCAATCCTGCCCTGCTTATGCCTGACTAGCTACCTACTCTAACAAGATACACAGATAAAAACAGATACAGCCTATATCTTCAGCTTTTGCTATAGCCCGGTTCTGATGCCATCATTTGTGTTTGACAGAGACACAAAGACAGGCAAATAAAGAAATGGGCAAGGCCTTAGGTATTTTCTGCTTGGAGGTTTTTGGCATGGGGTAGCTGGAGGCAGATTAACTAGAGACAGTACATCATATGTGATCTGTTTGGGGAATATGCTTCCTTTTTCTGGTTGGTTCTGAGTTGGAAATAAGGGCAAAAAAAATTGGGAAGGTGGCTGTCATTGAATACATCCTGACCATATTGCTGATTGCTGCAGAGGTTATGGTTTGTTTTCCTGGGCTCCTTGCTGCAGAGGTTATGGTTAGAATTCTATTGTCATACATTGTTTGGCTGTTGTTTGTATATTCAATGTCTCAGTGCCCCCTTTTAGTCATTCTCTCACTTGTGATAGGTAGACCAATTTAAGGAAATCTAGAGAGGCAGATCTTTGCTGCTAAGTGTTCAGTTGTCTCCATAGTCAAATATTTCACAAGAATTTATTGACCAATTTATTGTATCCATATGAAAAACATTTGAGAAGATAGCAGCTATGAAAAAGCATATAGGATTCTGGATGTAATGCATTGGAATAGCATCATGGTCATCATGTTAAGAAAAAGAATGCTTCTCCCTGTAATATGCTTTAGAACCAGGAACCCCAAACACCCAACCTGGGCCAAGAGAGATAATTCCATTGGCTATAAGGATCTATCATAAAGTACCAAGTGAGTTTTTCCTTATGGTGATGTACCTTGCCTATTTCATTTATTTACATACAACAAGACTTAGAAATGGCACAGATGCCACCATGGCTAGCTAACAGGAAATATGGAGCAATGAGATTATACATCTCTACTCATTACAATGAGTTGAGAGTGAATTGTATTCTATCTAGGGAAAAGGTGGTTTGTTAATAATTACGCAAGAGTTAGTGATGCATTTCTTACAGGCTTTTCTATTTATATGATTCCCACCATTGGAAATACTGCCCAGATTGTTTGCATTCTTTTTCTAAGTAGAGCATAAACAAGTGTGGCCACGTTTTAGATATCACTCCCCTTTCACAAATTCCAGTCTTGCTGATTTGTAGAATTAGTGCTTCTGTGTGCAGTCAAGTCACAGAATGCTGTTGATAAACTGCAGAAGGTATTGGTCTGAGACAAACACTGTCAAGTTGCAAAGGATGGAGGATAGAGTAGGGAAACATGGATATCCACTAAAAAGGGAGCTGTTTACAGCCCAAGATTACAACTGAATTTTTGTGTTAGCTGGGTTGCATATTCAAATCTCTAGTGTCTCAGGTGGGATGCATTTGATCAACGACCTAGGAAGTTTGTTGCATTTAAATTTAGAATTAACTTGGGTCTGTTTAATAGATTATAAAATTGGTCCTTTTTGGATGAAAGTGTCCTAGTAAAGTCAGATTTTGATTTTATTCAATATAATTTGTAGATATAGGTTCAATGAAATATAATTCTGTATGGTTTTATTTGATAGAATGGAATTCTCTAGAGGTTTTTTTTTCGTGGAGTTCAAGTGATAGATGGCATATTAAGCAGTCAGTATTATTGAGGGAAGGCCCTACTATTTGTGACAGCCTATAAAGAGTATTATAATGAATATTTTCTGCCTTAACAATTACCATAAAAAAGAAAGAAAATAGAAAACAGGCCATTAGCGGTGGATGGCAACCATTGGTCTATGGAGTATTTGAAAATGAAATTTTTTTATGTGAATGAAAATTTTGCATGTGAAAAGTGATGAAACTCAAAGTAGGAGTTAAATAATTAGATATGTTAATTGATTAATAATTATTAATCTATTTAAATTCTAAATTTGGATTCTAAATTTAAATTCTAAATTTAAATCCAACAAACTTCCTAGGTCGTTGAGCAAATTATTAATCAATTATTTAGATATCTGAATTTTAATGTGTTCTGTCATTAGTTTTCCTTTGTCGGTAGAATTTTTAACCCACAGAGTGGCATTTATGGTATGTGTATCTGTGGTATACATCAGATATAATGGAGAAAATAAAGATATAAGCACATTACACATAGTTATGCCTAGATATTTTCTCTGGAACCTCAAGAGATAGTCTCTACAGTATGCACGCAATATTGCTATTTCATTTGTAAAGTAATACTTTCCCTACTAAATTTATAGGAGTGTTATTACAGTGCATGGAAGAGTGTTTTGTTAGTGGGCTATGAATTACAGTTAAGGTGGGAAATAAGGAAAATCTGAGGAGTATTTCAAATACCTACCATCTGTGTGGCATGTTTACTTCTATGAAGAAATTAAGCAAAGGTGGCTGGTTTTAAGGTAGAAAAAGTAGTGCTTACATATACCAGGAATGGATTGAGGTTAATCAACTACATTTATAGTTAATTAACCTTAAGTGTTTAAAGTTAAGGCAGAATGTTGTATATATTTCTCTTCCTCAGAACATACTCACTGATCTGAATTGGGGCATTTTTCTTTATCTTTTCTTTATCTTGTGTGTGTATATATACATATATACACACACACCCATACATATATACACATATATATACACATATATACACACACACACACACATATATATATACACATACATACATAAAATACAGGACAATCATTTTCCAGTGTCCCTTCTGTTTATATTGTGTACAGTTGTCCAGGTGGTCTGTTGGGAGCAGGGCCATTAAGTTTATTTGAGGTCTTGTCCTGTTTTTGTTCTCGAGCTCTTTCAAAATGTTCTGCCAGGTAATGTATCTGAGGTAAAGGGTAATTTTTTCATTCTAATTTATGTTTTCCAATTAGGTCTCTGTTTTCAAGTTGAAGTTCTTTAACTGCTAAATATCATAGAAAACATTTTTGTCTATCCTGAAAATATCTAGCAGTTTCCTATTTTCTTTCTTTGTGCATTTGTGAGATAGAATTCTTTTTAGTTTGTTTGTCATGCTCTATCTTCCAGGCTGGAGTGCAGTAGCGACATAATGGCTCACGGCAGGCCTTGATCTCATGGGCTCAATTGATTCTCCCACTTCAGACTTCCTAGTAGCTGGAACCACAGGCATACACCCCAATGCCTGGCTAATTTGTGTATTTTTGGTAGAGATGGGGTTTTCGCCATGTTGCCTGGGTTAGTCTCGAACTCCTGGACTCAAGTGATCCATTCTGTTTGGCCACCAATAGTGCCAAGATTATAGACTTGAGCCACAGCACCTGATGTTGCCTATGAGATTGAATTCTAATCACTTGCTTTTAATTGTCAATGTTTCAGGAATTGCTCTTAGTAGACTTTGCCCTACTTTTGGGGCTTTTTGTTTTTTGACGCTCAGGCTTATTAAAAGGGATTCTGTACATCCCTTTTCCGATAACTCTATTTAGCTTTTTACAGAGCAGGATTTATCATCTGAGATTTCTTACAATGTATACAATTTGGTGTATGTCAAGAAACCTGAGTATATGCACCCAAATTAATTATTATTTTTCTATGAATAATCACTGGTCTTCTCTGGGTTTAGGAAAATTCTTAATTATGATTCTTTGTCCAGTTTGGGCTGAAAGTTTAAATTCTACAGTTGCCTGAATACTTATCTAATGGGAGGGATGGATTTTTATAAGCAATTGGACTATTTGGAGTCATTATGAAAAGGTAGTTGGTCTAGAAAGGGGAAGAGGAGAAAGGAGTTAACAGGCTGTGGAAGGAGAGAGATCAAATGGATAATTGGAGTATGGAGAACTGTATATAGGAAAGCAATGGAACAACAAGGAGCAGGGAGTAGTCACTAGAAAAATTACTTTGTTCCTGCTCAATACGATTGTCAAATTGTTCATTAGTGTTGGATAAATAACCTTTTAATGAAATAATTTTTTAAAATCAGCATTTCATGGAGGTCTTCACATAAAATTGTTTCTCATTTGGTGTGATAATTTTTTACCTCTTTGGTGAATTTATGATATTTAGACAAATGGCACACAGATTAGGATTGTAGTAAGAATAATGAAAGTACACATAACACTGAGAAGTTTTTTTCCCCCCAGGCCAGGTGTGGTGGCTCACGCCTGTAATCCCTGCACTTTGGGAGGCCAAGGCTGGTGGGTCAATTGAGGTCAGGAGTTCAAGGCCAGCCTATCCAACATTTTTAGCCTACTAAAAATACAAAAATTAGCTGGGCGTGGTGGCAGACGCCTGTAGTCCCAGCTACTCTGGTTGAGCCAGGAGAATTGCTTGAAACCAGGAGGCAGAGGTTGCAGTGAGCCAAGATTGTGCCACTGCACTCCAGCCTGGGCAGCAGAGCCAGACTCCATCTCGAGGAAAAACAAAAAACAGAAAACAAACAAACAAACAAAAACACCAAGAATTTTTTTTCTGGGGAAGAGTATTTAAGAGTATTTAGACTATGGAGGAGAAGGAGATTTAGATTTAGGCTATGAGAACTGGGGATGGTTGGTTGAAATTTATGCTGGTACACTTGGTGTCTTGACCAACTAACCTGACATTTGGCTGCTTCCAAGTTCACACCCAATAATCAGTGCTCCCTAGAAGTTGGAAAATGAAAGTTAATGCTCTTCAAGTATCAGAACATAGGTTTCAGGACAAAGAAGAATGAGCCAAAGGAGAATCTTTTCAGGTTATGTTTCAGGCAAATGTTTTCAGGCAAAGAATGTTTTCAGGCAAAACAAACTTACCTGAATGTACACTGGTCCAGTTAAGAATCTTTCATTTACTATTCTGCAAACCCAGTGCAGAGAGGAGCTATATATGACCTTTTCTTGTATTCTACCTCAGAATATTCCTATGGTAAACAGCAATTTTAGATAGCACAACAAAATATCCAGAAAGAATGCAAAAATAAAGGAAGGAGTGGCTTAATTTCACCAATGATGCCAAACAAATAAGAACCAATAAAAACCCCAATATCAAACTAAGAATAAATAGCTTAGGAACTGTGATTTGTTTAGGGAGAATATATGGCTTTTTCTGGTTCGTCTTGAGTTTGAAACAGGCAAAAAATAAGGAAATTGACAGTCACTGACCAAGTCCTGACCACTCTGGGCTTATTACTACAGAGGTTAAGACATGGTTTGCTGGACTGATTGCTGAAGCAATTGTGGTTAGAACTGTATTGTCATATATAGTCTGGCCACTATTCATTTGTATGTTTAATTTCCCAGTCCTCCTCTCAGTAATAGTAATATTTGGCATTTATCAAGCAGCTATTACATGTTAGGCACTTGGTCAGATACTTTATATGCACATTTTTAATTAAAAATTTCCAAAACAGTTTTAGTGTTTTATATATACCTATATATAAAACAAATATATATACATATATAGAACATACATGTATATCACATATATATTTGAAACCTTATAAAAACACATTATGATATAGATATTATTTTCAGTTTATCAAAATTGTAAAAACCCACAAAGTCTCATATATACATGAATTGTCCAAAGTAAAACTATATTAATAAGTGATGGGACTAGGAGCAAAACTCAGGCATGGCTGACCCCAAAAGCCATGTTCTTAAGTACATCATCATATGAATGAATATTTCCTGTATATACATAACTACAACTTAAAGTATTAACTCCTTTCGGAGTTTATTATTATTTTCTGTGCAAATATGATTAGGCATAAAAAATGTATAAGTAGAAAAGTGTAAGTACGAAGCACCTTACAGCTGAAGTATACGATAGTCAGATGATCTGCAGTTCTATATCCAGCCAAGAGGCAGACCTGAACAGGGGGAAATGTGTCAATTTCAGAACCTTAAAAATTAGGAGGTAAAATTAGCCGGGTGTGGTTTTGTGTACCCGTAGTTCCACCTACTCCGAAGGCTGAAGCAGAAGGCTCTCTTGAGCCCAGGAGTTCAAGGCTGCAGTGAGCTATGATCTTGCCACTGCACTCCAGCCAAGGTGACAGTGAGACCCTGTCTAGCAAACCATCAAAAAAGAGTAGGTAAATCCCTTTGCTCATTAGTAGTTTTAATGTAATTAAGAAGTTCTTGATCCAATCCACAAAACACATAACATTTTGAAATTTGTATGAAAGCACAGTCTAAATTCTTCCATTTAAAAAAGTCAGATTCAACTAGAATAGGACATGTTTTTATTTTGCCTAATCTGTTTTACATTATTCTTGCCAGCTACTTTTAAAGAAACTATGAAATACTTTATAAAAAAAATCTCTCTGCCTGTTCATTTGTCCTTAATCAACTGAAAGTTTCTCTTAGATTCTCTAAAATAAAACAGAAAGCTTGTCAATAAATTATTTCAGAAACAGATATTTCAAATATTTGGAGAAAACTTTGCATGCACCCCACCACTGCCTGTCTTCTCTCCTCTTGTCTTCTGTGCCCATACTCACTAAAGTTAATGAAAGGACTGAGTCCTGAACACAATTCTTCAATTAAAAAAATCATTTATTAATCTCTCATACTATGTCAAATGTCCTTCTAAGCACTGTGAAGATTCAAAGAGCCATTTGTGTTTGCCTTCTAGAAACGTAGTCTACTATGAAAAAACACATACACAAAATCTGGAATATGAAGGAGGAATTGCTACACTTGGGATATCTAGAGAAAACTGTGTGAGACAATCTAAACACCTGCCAATAAGAGAATTATTGAATAAAGTCACAAAGCATGGTGCGTTGCACCTAGTGAGTTCTCAGTAGATACTAATTTATTTTAAAACTGCTATCTTACTTGATATGATTTTCAGAACTATTGCTTTGGTAACTCTATTCTCATTAATATTGAGTATGTCAATAGCCCTTCCAGAAGTAGTTTGAACAGTGTCTTGTGCAATGAACTAATATGTTTTTCTAAAAAACAAAGTTTTCATTCAAATTTATAATGAACCTGTTGACCATAAAATATTAATAATTTTATCTTTAAATGAATGTTAAGATAGAACATTGCTATTCTTTATATATGAAATTGGCATTTAGAAATGTATAGTATTTGTGGTTCAGCAGGTGGGAGGGAATGGCGTCCAGTGGCTTTTTCTCTTCCATTTATTAAGTGAAAAGGAGAGTTACAGCCCTTTTTATCTTGCCACCCCACAGCTCAGCATGCCAGCCAGGAGTGTCACAGCTCTTTTTCTGCTATAGTTCAACGAGTAGGAAGGGAGGGTTACAGCTCTTTCACTCGCACCAACCACAGCTCAGCGAGTGTTACAGCTCTTTTGCTCCTGCTGCCCATAGCTGGGTGAGTTTCGGGTTCTTGTACTGTGACCAAAAGGAATAAGCTATGCAGATACTATAGAGTGAGCAAGGCAAAGGCAAATTTTATTGAGCGACAGAAGAAAAGCTCTCAGCTGTGAGAGAGGACCCTAAAAGTGGGGTAGCCATCCACGAAGCTGAGTCCAGAGGTTTGTATGGGCTTAGAATGCTGACTGGTCCAGCAGTAGGCTTGGAAAAAGCACCATTCAATTGGTTAAAAAGCATAATCTAGAAGGAACCAATAGAGAAGAGAGAGGGTAAGATGGGGATGGAAGTTCTCACTTTGGTCATGGACTCTACCGGAACCAGCAGCTTGGTTTTCAGGCTGAATTCAACTGTCTTTGGCATGAAGATGGGGTTTCACCAGGGACCAGTCCCTGTCTGTCTAGGAATTAATCTGTCTCATCACTCTCAAGATGATATAAGTTATTATTAAATTTTAACATGTTATTTGAAACTGTTGTTCCACCAACATTTTTAAACTCCAGTTTCTCCTTTCCAGTATATAATTTGGAATTAATTTTAACATTTTACATGCTTGAAAAATAAGCCTGCTGGATTTTCTTTTAAAACAAATATTAAAGTTTTTGAAGAGAACAAATTCAATAACTGATTCTTGGGGCACAACCCTGGAGAACTTTCAGTTTAACGACAATTCTTTAATAAACACTTTTTAGTCTCAAGTGTTTTAATGACTACGTTTGCTCTTTTGTTAAGTACTCTTTTTAAATGGCTTACCAAAAATCCAGGGAATGTATCTACTTGGGTTGAATGTTTTGTTCTGTTGCTATTATACATACTGAAATAGCAACATTACCTGTTGTGTCATCAATATGGAGTTTTTGACTACGTTCGTTTTGTATTTTCCACAGAGACTGAGGTTTTGAGATGATTTGATCAGAAATCAGGTTTACGAATGATGTAATAATAGACTATATACTTCATTCCTTGGAACTGTCAGGAAGCGTCAGATTTTTCTTATGCTTAAAGACTCATAATAAAGTTCCCTCTTTGTGTGACTACCCAAATTATCTAAAGAAAATATAAGTGTCCATTGAGATAACTCATTAGTCTACTTGGCTATTTGAGAAACGTATCATCAACTGGATAATACTTTGAAATATTTGAATGGTGTCTCAGTGAGTATTTGCTTATTACTTATCTTACTATCTTTTTAATTCAGGAAAATATTAGAAATTTCTACCAGTACTCTGCTGGTGCTGAGGTTAACTTTCCTTTACTTGAAATTCATACCAAAATAATTTTAATGGTTATGTGAAAATGCATAGTAAAATAATAATTGTACCTTTAAAAATTATTCTAAAATTGTATCATAACTTAGGATCAGAACATATACATCCTCAGGAAAAATTAAATAAGAGCTTTATGATATAAAGTGATGTTGAAGATGTTATGCCACCTAACCTTGAGACTACCCTTTATTTAATACATCAAGTATTTTTGAACCATGCATTATCTTTTTCCTTTCAATTCATTGTTAATCATACAGTATCTGAAAACTTCATAAGTATTTAGAATGCTTTCTGTAGAAAATTTACCTAATATGCATTTTATTAGGTTACCATACAAGATATTTATCATTGATGTAGTATTAGTGATGGCAGCAGTGGCCCCTCTGGAGTAGCCTCTGTGAAGACACTGGATACAGAGTGGGAGGCATGGCCAAGGCTGCATGCTCAATGGACCTGGCAGGAGTCAGGAACAGGCAGGAGGCCTGCTGTCCTGGCCACAGCTGCAGCCACCCAGCCATGGCTGTGGACCTGGACATCCCTGTGCTCTCTGGTGCCTGGGAAGCCCCCATACCCTCACAGGCTTGGAAGTGCCTGCTCCCACTTCCTGGCCTTTCCCTGCTCACTGCACCCACTTCGATTTCAGAGCAAAGTTGTGTCTGAGCCTGGGCGCTGTCACTGCTTGGCTGGGTATGCACGTGCCGGGTGGTGCTGATATGCCATTCCCTTGCCACCTGGGCCCCCTCTAGACTTTGGGCACTGTGCATGGGAGGGAGTTGGGGGTGTTGAGAAGGGTGGTAGGGATGGGGGAGGGTGCCTCGGTGTGGGCCTGCAGGTGCCCCGTGGCACAAACAACCTGGGAGCCATGGATGATAAGTAGATGGCAGTAGGAGGCAGACAGACTCCTGGGTGGAAAGAGGTGGGTTCCTGGTGAAGCCCCACCTTCAAGCCAGGGATGGCCGGAAGCAATGGGGGCCAGGCTGTCAGTTCTGGGTTTAGTCCATGGCCCAGATTGGGAATTTAGGGTGCCTTTGTTTGGGGCCCACCGATGGCAACCCATGGACCAATCTGCACACATTTCCTCCCTTCTGAAGCCCATAAAAACTCAGGACTCAGCCAGACTCATTGTCTTTTGCCCTAGGCAGACATCACAAATAGATTATAGCCCTCGTATGAAAGAACGCTTGCTATGGGAACCCAGTATTAATCTCAGTCTCCTTCATAGCACAAAGCTTAATTCAACAGTTTTCAAAAAGCAGAGCAAATGATTATAGGAAAGAAGGTTACAGAAGATGCTGACAAGGAAACTTCCCAGAAGAATTTAGAAGAATATGGAAGATAATAAGAAATAATTTTAGAAGTCACCAAGTTCTAGTTTCATGAAATTGGCTTGAATATATACTTTGTCTCTTTTGTGTAGACAAAAACTATTTTGTATGTTTTATTATTGTTGCCTACCTCATTTGTGAAGAAAATTGTTTAGGTTTTCAAGAATAGTAGTGAAACAAACTAGAGTTAAATGACACTATTTGTATCAATACCAGTATTTAGCTTTCAGAAATGTTCATATATTATAAAGCTTAAGTAAATCAATGGAAATAAATAAGCACTGGAACAAAATTATGTGTGTCAGAAATTTTTATGGAACTATAAAGGATTGAATTAGATATTCATCATGTATGTTGAAGAGTATAAATTATAAACTACACAATATTAAACAAGTGGCTTAATAATCTACACAAGTAAAATGGACATAATTCAACATAAAATAAATGTTATTTATAATTCTAACTATAACCTTAAATATGAAGAACATGTATTTCCTCTTAGTAATTCTGATCCTAAACTATTTGTAAGTTTGATAAACCTATTCCCATTTCTTTACTCAAATTTTTCATCTTTTAATAATCTCATAATATGATTGATTATTTTAAGGAGAAATTTAATTTTTTTTCTTTATTGTTTTGCAGCTACAACATCGATTTCTCAGTTCATCTTCATGTTCTTTAGCTGCATCATGCAGAGAAGAATAACTTGATACTGTCACTAGTGTCAGTTTCAATGCTATCATGTTTACATTATTCTTGTTCAGAAAGTGTTTGGGACAGAGGGAGGCTTGTTATGGCAGTGGCTGTTTTATCATACAACAATATTTTGTCTTTACGACAGCTCTTGTAGGCATGGTTTTTATATTTTAAAGACTGTAATTATGTGTTTTCTATATTAATTAACTAATGCAATAATTGGTGTAAACATTTCTGAATGGAAATACTTTAGAACTAAAAACCAGCGTAGTATACTAGAATCCTAGAGTATCTCTAAAATCTAATTATAATGATAATTTTTTAAGAAGCACACCCTGATATTCAACTAGTTTAACTTTCTTTAAATCACAAATATAGAGAATTTGAAGCTGTATCATATATATTTCAGAGATCTACATTAATATTTACACAAAGACAAACACAAACTCTTAGTATTAAAACAATCATTTAAAATACTGCAGGCAACACATTTCAGAGTTCTTAAAGATGATAATTCAAAGCTTTTTAAAAGGTAGTACTAGATAAGCAATATCAGATGACAATAAGGAACTAGCACTAAAGATTCAATATTGCTGGTTTTATGTGATATTTTGTGATCATGAAGATGCCCATGGATATGCCATAATATACAGGACACCATCCCTTATGGAATTATGATACTTCTGTGCCTGTATCTCAGGTTCTTCTGAGAAAAATATCAGTTCTTCACCTAAGAAGCTCATCTACAGAAAGAACTCATAAATTTTGGGATTCCAATTTGGAGATAGTAATTGAGTTACCATATTAGTTTTCTCTTGCTGTACAACAAAATACTACACATTTAACAGATTAAAACACCATACATTTATTATCTCACAGTTCTGTAGGTCAGAAATCTGGCACAGAATAAGTGGATTCTCTCTGTTCAGGGTCTCACAAAACCAGAGGCAAGGTATCAGAATGGGTCAGCTGTTATCTGGAAGATCTGGGGAATAAGCCTCTTTCAATCTCATTTAGTTTGTTGGCTGAATGCAGTTCCTTGAGGTTGTAGGACTGAGATCCCTATTTTCTTGTTGACAGGCCCCTGGGGGCTGCTATCTGCTTCTGGAAGTTGCCTGCATTTTTTTTTCTCCTGAGGCCAGTCTCTATCTTCAAACCAGAAAAGGGACATTGCATGAGTCCCTCTTGTACTTTGAATTTCATTGACGCCTCCTCTATCACATCCCTCTGGATTCCTTTCCTGCCTCCTTCTTCCACATTTAAGGACTCAGGTAATTACACTGGACCCACCTTGATAATCCTGGATAATCTCTCTATTTTAATATCAACCAATTAAATTTGGTTTCATCTGCGAAATCCTTTTTACTGTGCTACTAACTGTGGCTATAACACCACAAATTGAAAATTATGGTAACCAAAATTCTGAGTACCACAGTTACTTTCCAAAGGATATTTGTACATTTGATACAACCACTTTTTTTCAAACATTTCCTTTACCCAATAGCAAATACATGTAGAGCAATTTCAGTATATAAGAAAACTTAATTGAATGCAGTGTACTTTTTTATAGATTTTAATATCGTATATCATATTTGATTATCTCAAAATAGCCTTATTAATTAGTATCATAATGTATTCTTCCTTCAGAAGCTAGAAAAACAGATTCATTTCAAAGCCTATGCAGAAAAACAAAAAGTATGTTACATCTACAAGTACAGTATGATAATCTATTATACCAGATTCAAAATACATGTACTCTAAATTTTTAGCTAATCAAATACAGTAGGAATAACATATGCAAATAGAAAAATGTACAATTTATATCTAATATAAAAATTTATATCCCTACACTTTATATTTTAATTATAAGCTGTAATAGTATTAAACACTATGTTAAAATGATTTTGTGGTCACTTTGTCCTGCACAAGTTGTGTGAATGTTTTCTTATGATCAGCAGAAATTCTGAATTTCCAAATTGTGTGCTATCATCTCAGGCAAATTAGCATAAAATATAATTTCTGCTAATTAGCTAGAGGCAAGGGAGGCAAATTAACTTGACATGTTAATATTGCCTTCACGGTATTATCATAATGTGCATGTTCATGGGAAATTTATTAGTTATTCTCTTTGCATCAATATCAGAATTCACTACTTAGAGTATATCAGCTGAGGGAAATATACGTGTATAAAATACATTGCTAGAAAAATTGAATTGCAGAAAACTGGCCATTTAGAAAATAGTCCCAAAAGATAATTTCATGGAACATAGTTTTTGTTAATTACATCTAAATTTTGGTTTTGGTTATAATGAAGATGCATTTAACTTTCAAGTGTTTATAATGTTGAGGGTATAGAAAGGCAAATAATCCAAATTAGCTGAGAATTTAAATTTATTTTGTGGAATGTATTGACCTTAAAATGCATTGTATTGAGGTAAGAAACTTAAAAGAGTTTGACTATAATTTGAATTTTAGTGCTTTATACTATATTTTAAATAAATGTTGCCTTTAAGACATTCTTACTGTTTTTGCTTAAATTATTTATTGACTAGAATTGTATTTAGTTGTTAAAATACACTCTAATGTTTTCTTGGTCTTTTAAGATTCAGATCTCTTGTATAGACTTTCATTAACTTTCAGTAACTTTATTTCATCTCATAAACATTCTGCATTTGTGAAACATCAGTAAGTAATTAATGGTTTTTAAAAGGTCTTATTATTCATTTGACCTAGTTAGCCAGAATGTTAGATTCTATGTTAGGGAAAAATTATCACACACATATTGACATATACTGGTATATTTCATCTGAAATTGTGGGCCGAGGATCTACTATGTCAAAGACATTATCCTGGAAGCAATGTGAATATAATTATGACATAGATAGAAAATTGCCCTCTAGCAGGATTACATAATGAAAAGGGCCTTTCACTATTCATAAACATATTAGGAAATTTAGAAAATGCCATTAAAGAGTTAACATCAAAAATGTATACGAATTAAGTTTCTTTTTTCCTAAGTTTTATTTGTAACTTGATCCAGTTCCAGATACATTTAAATCTCAGCTTATTATCTGTAGTGTGGAGAACATATATGTTAATTCACATATAAGAGAATTCTTGTGAGAATTAAAATAAATCTTTTTGTGTGAAAATTATTTAAAATTTCTAAATAGCTATCATATAATGTATCTAACCAAAATAAAAATATCTGTGTTTTCATAATATCTTCAAATTATTAAGTCTATTTCAAAATAATGAAAAATCAAGCATTCTTAATACTCATTGCTTTGAGGCAATGTGATCTCTTGGATTGAAAACTAATTTTCAGTATATTCTAGTTCAAGTTTTTTTTTAAAAGGGCAACAGAATCAACTTTACAAAATAAGGGCTCCAGTTATCTCAGATGTAAATTTAAAAAGATCAATTAGGACAGCTATAACAACTCAAAGGACATATTATTTTCTATGTGTTAATGTTTATTTTAAAAAATGTTTAATAAATTATAATTGTATATATTTATAGCATACAATGTGATGTTTTGATCTATGTGTTCAATGTGGCATGATTCAATAAAATGAATTAACATATTCATCACTTCACTTACCTATCAATTTTATGGTGAGACATTTGAAATTTACTCCAGAGGACATGTTGCTAAGTGAAATAAGCCTGACACTGAAAGATATACTGTTTGTGTTCACATTTATAATAAATTACAAATAAAATATAATAACCTGCTAATTTTTTGACAATTGAATTTAAACAGAACAGTATCATCATTGATTATATAATTGAAATAATGTTATTACTTCTCTCCATCAACAAATTAGCAGAAGAAAATGTATGATTTTCTTTTTCTTCACAATAAAACATGGTAGGAAATTTAGTTGCCAGAAGCAACAGGAGCCCCTCAGAAGGTTCAAAAACTCTTGAGATAAGCTACAATGGATCCTTGAAGAAAAGAAAAATGTTTACTTCAAGAGATATTTGGAAAGTTATACTACTTAACTGCAATGATCAAGATTGTAGAAGATTAACCAAAGGGCAAAGAACCTTCCTTAGTGAAGTGGCTTATTATATATTATAAATAGCTAGAGAGAACAATGTATCTACAAGGTCAAAGAGGATATATTATGTCTATGGAAATAATAAGTATAATTTATGAATTTAATTCATTAATGTTGTAAATAGTATTGCCCGAGAATTGGTAGGCCTAGAGACTACATTGTGAGATCTGCTATTTAAGTTTCTTTCTTGGTCAGCAGAACATCTAAGTGACACCATTTTTGTATTTAGTACCAGTTCTTCTGAGGAAATAACTGAGCCTCATACCTGCTCTTTCAAATATATAGTACTCACTTCCCTCGGTTTTGTGAGGGAGCATCCCTTTTGGTTGCAGAAAATGAATGTAACAACTCTGCTACCCTTCCTTTATTGTGTGAAAAATGGTATTATGAGACAGAAAATATATATAATGCAGTTTATATAGTAAAAAACATGGCAGAGTCTCCAAAGGATACATAACAACTCCTATATTCTTGCAGATACACTGAGAATACATATTTTTTCTGGAAATACAGCCCATGAAATGTTGAGTCTTTAGTAATTAGCTGACATATAAAGTACTTCATACAAGTGAGATTCTTATATAGTGTATAATTATTTGTTGTTTATGGTTCTGATTGTAGGTTCTGAAAGAACAGACACAGTTTCAAATCGTATCTTATAAGCCGTAGTTCCTTAGAAAAATTATTGAATTATTTTCTGAGGTTCAGTTTTCTCTTCATTTAATAATACGTATTTCTTAAGTTAAAACATGAAAGGCAAGACTGGTAAAAAGTAATTTCTAAAAATTATTGATCTCCTTCTTTGCCACCCTGGTTCTTTATACATCCACTACCCACATGAAATGTTGAAAATGGCTGATGAGTAGTTGTGAAATAATTGAATAGATCCACAAATCACATAAATAAGAAAACTATTTTCAAATTTTTATGGCTGAAGAGTTTAAAATTACATCAAATATCATTAAACCATATGTCAGTGATCCTCCTGGATGACTTGGTTGCCACATCTCTCTCTCACACACACACGCACACACACACACACACTCAGAATATTTTTTTTCTCTAAATTAGTTTCAGCTTTTTAAGGACAAATAATAATTTGTGTTATTTTTATACTTGAGTTAATTACATTTATCTGACAAATATGAAGACTTTGTAAGCCGGCAATTTTTTCTTCCATTCTCTTACTAAGTTGTATTGTTTGTTAATTATTTCAGTGATGGTCTGTGGCTTTTAAACTATACTAATGTTTGTTCATATGAAAATTCATTTATTTTTCACTAAGTTTTTAATGATAGCTTAGCAGTGTTAAAATTCTAGCTTAACACTTATTTTTGTGAAGCATTTTGAAGATTTTTCTGCCTAATTTTCTGAAAGTGTTAGTATTGCCTAAGAAGTCTTTTGTCAGCCTAATTGCTATTCCTTTCTATATAAATATGCTTTTTCTGTCTGATAGCTCTATTTTTTTCTGTTTATTCTGAATGTTATGTACTATCAGCCCAATGTATTTAATTGTTGGTTTGATTTAATTAACCTTTCCAGTACATGGTTTGTATCTTTAATCAGAGTACCCCAGTTATTATATTTCTAGGAAATTCTCACTTTTCCCTAAAAAATAGAGCTTCCCCATTATGCCCTTTATTTTATTTTTTTTCTGGAACTTTATTAAGACACATGTTAGAGCCTGTCAGTTTCAGAGCGATGCCTATTGATGGCTCAGACATGGTTTTATTCCTTTTCTTCTCTATATTCTGGGAGATATACCATATTTTAGTTCTTGGATTCCCTATTTGACTGTGATGTTCTTAGATATTGCAGTGTCTAGTGAGTTATTTAAATGACTACATATATTTTTATTTATGAAGATTTAACATTTTCACTTACTAGTCTATGCCTTTTTAATACAATTCAATATTTTCTTATTTGTATGGATGTTATATTTTTCTTTATCTCTTTGTGGACTCTAAATTTACTTATTTTAAACCATTCTATATTGCACTCATATGTCTTTTAGAGTAAAGACATCTTCTATTGTTTATTTATTGAGTGTTTTTCTTTAATTTTGATTATTCTTGTTGGATTTTAGTATATTTGTTATAGATTCATCTTGAATGGATGGGTGTCTATGTGTGCATTTGCCCTCTCTCTTCCCAGCTGTCTTCCTCTTTGCCTAGTGGACTTGCTTTCATCTTACCCATTATAGTTCTCAATCTAACCAGGTTATAGCATCTACCTGGGGCTTCTTTTCTGCAGCAATATTAGAGGTATTACAGATTTAATATCCAACCAATAATCTATTTGTTCAGGTAGTAATTATGGATGTAGAACTGGTTTGCCTGCCTAAAGTGATCACGTTCATACAATAAGTTAGGGCCCCAAGCAGTAATCAGTTCAGGCTTTTGAGCTTTTTTCTTGGACAAGGTGTGCCACCTAAAGTTTTGTTTTGAATCAATGAGCCCAGTTGCTTTTACTCACCATCTGTGTAGACATTATGTTTGCCTCTCTCTATCCACTTTCATCATGTCTGCTCTTATTCAAGGAAACTAATCTGTTTAGAACCTTTCAATAGTTTTATTTATCTTCTGACTACTGTCTGGGTTGAATCATAGAGAACTCTAGCCAGGGACCAGTGGGAAGAAGTAGAGAGAGGCTGAATTATTTATTGCTGTGGATTCTTTCTTGAGTAGTTACAAGAGACTGGGGAGTCCCTGCAGGTAGATTGGCTTTGTATCTCCACTGAAGTGACCTCCTTTGTATTATATGGACCTATCTTTTTAGGTTTTGGTATTTATGGTTCTCCTCTATTCCCTAGAGTCTGGAGTGATTAACGGCATTCCTCTGGGGTACAGCAGAAGCCCTAGTGCTTTCTCAATATTCAGGAACACTTTGGTAATTAGTCCCTTTATTAAACTTGATATTGATTGAATAAAGTTGAATTATTTTGATATCCATATGCTGCCACTGTTTTGTCAATTGATTGATAAGCCATCTTTGCAGAGCCACATTGGCCTCCCTTGCTTAATTGTGAACCAGTAGTCCCACTTGTCTGTGTCTTCAGATTCACAAATCTCTTTGCTGTTTTCTCCCATTTCAGTCCAATGAAATGTTTAATTCAGATTATGAGATTTACCATAGTGTGTTATTGTTCTTTTTCTAAAATAATGCATCATTCATTGCTAAGTGCTTTGAGCAGGGGTAGAGTAAATCAGTTGTTTATAAGATGAACTTAAAATGTTATATGGACTGATGTCTTGGTTCTCTTCACTTACACAGTACTAAAGTTTTCAGAACAGGGGAAGCTTAAATGCTGCACCTGTGAGCTGTGTGTCAAACTTTCAAATTATCTAAGACACTGTTTGAAGGAGTGAAAATTAAACTAGTTCATGAAAGCTAGACTCAGTGATGGTACTAGAATTTCTGAAACAGCATGGGAAGAGCAGAAGTATGAAGATAAATAAAGGCTACTTTTGTACTATCTTTGCTTATTGCATATGTTTTATGCTCTATGGTCCTAACAGTTTCAGAAGTTAAAAAAATAAAGAAAAATGAGAAACTGTAGATGACTTGGACCATGAGTCCAGAATCTTGCAGAAGAAACTGGAGAGGTCCTCAGAGAGATGACTGATCCACTGACAATTATTAGGCTATTTCTATAATATCCTTGCTTGCTCTGAGTATCCCATGCCCTACGTTTCTAACAGCTTATCATTTAAAATTAGTATTAGTGGAAATTTGTTCCCAGATACATATATCCTAACAACATCACTGACCTTTTATTTGAATAAGTTGTTTTGTGATGAAATTATAAAATATGTTAGCATTCATAAAAATCTCTGGATTCTAGATGACTACCAGAAATTTAACCTTTTAAAATTTATTACATTTACTTTTTGAATTTCAGTTGCATAGTAGTTTTGTGAGAACAAGAATGACTTTTTTTTTTTAGTGACACAGAAGGTAGTGATGGCATCTTGCCAGATGGGCAACAGATAACTATTTCTTTTTTTTTCTTTTCTTTTTCTTTTTCTTTCGTTCGTTTTGTCACCCAGGCTGGAGTGCAGTGGCACAGTCTCAGCTCACTGCAACCTCTGCCTCCCAGGTTCAAGCAATTCTCCTGCCTCAGCCTCCCAAGTAGCTGGGACTACAGGCATCCGCCACCACGCCCAGCTAATTTTTGTATTTTTAGTAGAGACGGGGTTTCACCATATTGACTATTGGCCAGGCTGGTCTTGAACTCCCAACCTTGTGATCTGCCCACCTTGGCCTCCCAAAGTGCTGGAATTGAGTTTATAAATCTCATCATAGGAAAAGCAAGAAAATTACAGAAAAAAAAGATGAAGGAAAGAAAGGAGAAAAGAAAAAAATGAAATAAAAGAAGGAGGAAGGGAAGAGGGTATGAAAAGATGAGAAGGAAACAAAAAGGGAGGGATGAAGATAAGGAAAGGGGAAAAGCCAGAGGCAACCTAATTATCATGTTCCTACATTTTTCCAAAAAAGGGATAGACATTGCTTGTGTTTGATATTCAAATGTGTTTAATAACCCATCATTTTGTATGCTTTGCAATTATCCTACAGCTGCCCCTTCTCAATGTTTGGAACCTCCATAGTATCCATATAGCTTTTGTCTTTAATTCATGTATCTGTGTTGCAATTCAAGTTACACATTTACCATATCTTGATTATCCAATTGCCAAGAAAGCTTTGCTGAAATCAGATTCAGCTTTGATGAAGCTTATTTAGAATAAATATTGCTTGCTGGAGCACCTAATTGTCCAAGGCCTGTGAGATTTGACAGTATCCTGTTCACTGAAAAATTGCACTGCAGCAGGAAAGAGGGTACAATAAGTATTGATTTATTTTGTGCATAGAACTTGTTTTGCCACAGCTTGTGAATTGCCTCATGAGCTGACAATCTATTAAGTATTGCTTTGTGTGTCTCTTCCTTCATTATTGCTTCTTTTATTGCTTTATGTTTTACTACCATTAAAATAGACTACCAAAGAAAAACGGGCAAAGGGAAAACTATTGTGGTAGCACCACAATTTGTAGGAAAATAAATGACTTTATTAGGTAAAACTGGATTTCTGCCACTACTTCCAAGGACAGACTTTAAAGAAAACTTAAAAGGATTATATTGAAATGTCTTATAGCAAAGTAGGTAATAGAATGAATAATTCCATTCTAAAAATCAATAGTTTGACTTTGACATTTTATGTTACTCACAAATAATAAACTATCTCACCCGCTAGTGAAATTGTTGCAGTTTTATTCATTTTTTCATGTTGGTTCTGAATTTTTTATGTGTAAATGCAGAGACACATTTAAAATTTAACTCTCACCATTTTCAAATGGCAAGTTTTTTTATTGTAAGAAACTTGAAGATTTAAAATAATTTGTTATGACTTTGGTGTCTGTTCCTCATTTCTCTGTACTGTTTCATCGCAGTGCAACAGTTTAATGTTAAAAAATATTAAATATTACATTGTAGAAATTTAAAATATTTATGTCATTATCCCTCTTTTCTTTTAATTGGTTGGCTTCAGACTCATCTTGACTTAAAGTTGTGGAAACTAATAATCTTAAAGCATAAGAGAATAAACATAATATTCAAATTTGCTTACAAGGACTAGAAGAAGATGTATTACTATGACATATGAAGGCTTGTAAATGAAGAAACACAAGCAGAAAATCACAAATAAAAAAGAGAACATGATTTTTTGCAAAACAACATAATGACATAGGGAATCAAGAGACAAAATTTGAAAGAAAATTAACTCTACATTATAAATAATAGTGAAACTTGAGATTGTGTGAAACTAATTTATTGATACCTAGGAATAATGAGAGGGTAGAAGTATAAAATGAAGAGGATAAGGGAAAGGAGAGGAAGAGGAGAAGAAAAACAGTAGGATGGGATGGGCATCACTGGAGGATATATAAGTGTGAAGGAAAAAGAATGTTGATTCAACTTAAAAATTACATGTTTTTCTGAATTAGAGACCAGAATACAGGAATACAGATAATATAAAGAAAAATTATTTTAAAATTTTCCAAGTCTAAAAAAAGTAGAATTATAAAATGTGAACAACTCACTGTTAAAAAAAGTAAAATTCCATGTCAACAACTTTTTAATTAAAATAATAAAGAAAAAGAAACAGTCTTATAAATGTCTTCCTAAAGTTTACTTATTAATTGATGAACATAAAATAATGTCAGTGGTCCATACCTACACACCAGATAAAGTCATACATTAATCTGTTAAATCTTATATATGCCTTAGTTATGTATATACGTATGTGCGTGAACATGGCTGTACATGCACATAAATACATGGATGTATGTATTTATGTAAGTATGTACTGTGCATGTATGAGTGTTTTGTGTTTAGTTATGAATGTATATATAGATGTAGATGCATGTGTATACCTACCTATGTGTATTCACACAAAGAGACGTATGTTCACACACACATATATATTAGGAACATGCATGCGTATTGAAAGCATTGAACATATATTTTTCATATTATTGTTATTACTAATCCTATTATGACTATCTTAAAGTACTATTTTTACAACTACTGCTGTTATTGTCATATCTCCACAATATAAAGCAATAAATTTGACTTACTTTTGTGCACAGGTTTGTTTTTTACAAAATCATATGCATCAAACCCTAGCATTATTACATATTACAATGATATATTTTATTTAATTTTCTTGCATATGTTTGATAATTCTTTTTAAATAAACGGTAAGTTAAATCACTGCATGTAGAGCAAAACCTGAGATACCTAGATTGTTTTGTTATGTATAAAATCTAAAAATGTTTGAACCTTACTGTGTGCCAGATACTACTGGGACTATTTTTTATTTCTATTAACTCACTGAATTCTCACAATAACGCTATTAAATAGATACTTTTTAAATTTTCATTTTGTGGAAGAAGTGAGGCACGGAGATATTTAATAATATTCTGATGGTCTCATAGCTAGTAAGTGAAAAACAAAATCAGATCTCCAACATAGTACCTTGTTTGCAGCATCTGTATTCTGCCCCTACTATTCCTGTCATTTCTTTTTTCATTGGATGAAATACTTTCCACACTAGTGAACACAAGAAAAATATATTATCATTGAACTAGATAAGCTTATATACATTTTAATGTATGTACTAACCTCAATTGTTTATTTTCTTGTTTGGTTATCAAAACATTAAGAACATTTATTAAAAAAAATTCAGTAACTCAGTAATGAAAATACCACAAAGAGGGATAATATGTATATTTATGACTTCTACTCACATTACTTACAGAATTATTTTCACATTTACATGAAAGTAACCAAATCATGTTGGCCATAGCCATTATAATGATTTTTCATAAAGAATTCAGTTTATTAACTAAAACTGATATAATTCTATCCCCTGAGATTGAGTGGGAATTCCATTTTAATGAAAATATACTGAGGACAATATGTCAAGTAAAGTTTATTGTTATATTAAATATTCTACAGTGAATATATGAATTATTTAGCTAGGATATAGATATCTTGCTTCACTTTTTTTTTTCCAAATCTTAAAAGTCAAACATTAGAAATATGTTTGAAAATATTTAAAAAGCATTAATCACACACACTCACACACATATGCATACACACACACTCTATTCTGGATTTTGTATATTTGTAAAAAATAGTTTAACATATTATCAAGGTTGAAAATATATTTTAATTTACAATATTAGGTTGATAATTGAATCTAAGTTAATAAAGACTGAACAAATTGATGAAGACATTATTAAAATAAAATAATTTTGTATTATATGTTAATAATTTCCACTACAATATCATATACAATATGAGTATTTTTGTGAGATCCCATAGGCAACAGTATAAATATAATGTTTTTTCTGAAAGCTGTTTGTAGCACTGTGTATTCTATAATCTATTAATAAAAATGCCAGTTATATTTTAATATGACCATAGTTTACTGGTTAATCTGCACCCACAATGCTCTAGGAGATCAATAGTATCTTGAACTTTACAGGACCACACTGTAGTGTTCTATGACCTTTTAGACTTCTGAAGTGGACTATGTTCAGTACATCTTACATTAAAAAACAAAACTGTTAAATAACTGTCTACTTCTACTAAAAATATAAATGTAAATAGGTTCAACATAAATAAATTTTATTAAAAAAATATTTATTTAACTTTACTCTTCATTTTGTTTGAAAGTATTATTCAGGATCAGGTAAATCTATTATATTTGGAGTTAAAAACATTGAACTTTTCAAGAACATTGTACTAAAGCAGTAGAACAAAAAAGAAAAAAAACATTTATTTTTTCCCTATTATTATCAGATATACTTGTTCTGATGATTTCAGCTACAAATAATAGAAACACGGAATCAATGTGCTTAAACTGTATAGGATTTATCATCACACATAACAGAAATCTGAGGATTTAGAAAGGTTTCAGGTAGTTGATTCAAGAGATATAATCAACAATACAATTTTTTTCTAGGTTGTCATTCTTGATGTTGATTGTCGTCATCACATCCAGGCCATATAGTAATATCTAGAGGATAAAGAGAGATCATTTCCTCCTGTTTATGGCTGACTCACTGTCACTATTTCCTTGGTCAGAATTGGGTAAATTGCTCAATTCTTGGGAAGAGAAATGAGATTACCATGAGTGGTGTAGACAGTACACGGTCATCTGAGATAGAACAGATCTTGAAAATTATCTACAATGTCAATAATACTGAGTCTACTCAAAACTAGACAAATAGAAAAAATATGAATTCCAACTGGCTATATTTAGGGCATAAATTGATCTAATGACTCATATAATTTATAACATCAAGGTATTAAAAGTTCAGAATATAACCCCAAATCTTTGTCTATATATTTTAAGTAATAGTTATTATTATTTAAGAACAAAATCACTGCTGTAAGTAATATCAAAGTTATATTACTAACTCAATGTTCAAAATGATTTAAAAGAAAGCACATTGCAGTGGGAGAAATGCCTTCCTCAACTTTGAGCTCTCTTTAAATTCTATATTTATTGCTATTATACTGATAAATCAGCTTTAAAATTATATAATTTTTATCCTGTTTCTATTGGAATTCGGTCCCACCACAGGCTTGCATGAGTTTACAACCTAGTGAGTTAGTCCAGGCTGTAATGTTAAATAATTTACACTATCTGACTATCATATCCACTGGTTTTAACCCAGTGGTTAACATCTTAACCTTTTAACATCTTAGAAGGTCTGAAGATCTGGATATTTATTTTTTAAAAGGTCAGAAGCACAGTAATAATTAATTAGTTAGTGAATTAATTTAACCACAGATTTGACTCATTTTCACTGTTGTTTT
Organism: Homo sapiens; assembly: GCF_000001405.40. Classification (NCBI taxonomy): domain Eukaryota; kingdom Metazoa; phylum Chordata; class Mammalia; order Primates; family Hominidae; genus Homo; species Homo sapiens. The sequence goes on from NC_000002.12 coordinate 184,678,123, forward strand.
AATATATCTCCATATACTTTGAAGTTATATGTATTTTATAACTTTCGAGAGCATTATTTCTTTAAAACAGTGTAAGTGATTATATATTATAATACTTAAGAAGAAAACTTTTATGTGGTTTAATATAATTTTGAAGTAGTCAGCTAATCATGTGAGTGATTTTTTATTGCAGGCATTCTGAAAACCAGACAGTGTGCTATACTGGTATTTCCAGTATTGATATTCAAAACCGAATTAAGTTTAATATAGGAATGATTTTCTGTATTATCATGCTTATTTTTATATCAAGTCTATTTCCTACTATCCACTTTTTCTGATTAACTTAGAAATGCTTTCTGCTGAAAAGTCACCGTAGCAACTTTGCAATATTTAAATGTACTTGAAAGACATAAGAGAACAAGGAACACATGCCTGACTTTTTCAAGCTAAATGTCCTGATTTGGGGACAGATTGAAAGAAATGAATAGTCAACAGAGATACAGGATGATGCCGGAGAAAAGCATTTGCATTGCTTTTCTTGATTTAAGCCTACAATTACCAAATAATAATCTTCTACCTAAGTATAGCCCACCTCAAAAGCCAAGGATAAATGTGTTGTCAAGAAAAACAATGAACACAATATTAACATGAACTAATGGGTGCTGAATGCTACAGACATACCAAAATGTATGTGTAACACTATATACTGAAGAGGAATAGGATGGAAACAGTTGAGGGGGATCTCAGTGATATTCAGGAGAATGCAGACAGAAAAAATATCTTAGTGTATTCTTACAGATTCAAATATCAAAGTACAGAGATATGATAAACACAAAATACATTTAAAATATGGAAACAAACCATACATATTATTATAAATATATAGTGAGACTCGGTTATAAAATACCTGACTTTAATGTAATAATAAAAAAATAAAAGAAACATGTCTAGTGACAAGACAAAGTAGTAGAATTCCATTGTAGAAATTTGTACTGTTAATTGGCAATTAATGAATCCCACAGAATAGAATGTGGATTAAGATGTTGAACGTAGATTCAGACAAAAAATAAATTAGGTGAAATGTGTTTACTTAGAGGAATGTGCTATAGATCACTGGGTTAGGTGGAAGATGTGGATGATGTTTTCATAATCCAAAGATACAATAACACAAAATACAAATGTAACTAATAGACAAGGTAGATGGGTCATTGCGATGGCAGCGGGGACCCATTTGTAGCAGCCATTGCAAAGATGCCAGCTGTAAGTGGGGAGGCATGACCAGGGATGCATGCTCCATGGAGCTGGAGGGAGCTGGGGACAGGTGGAGCCCCACCCCTTATGAGTTGGTGGGGCAGGAGCCCCACCCTCCCCGGTGCAGCTACTACTGCCCAGCCACTACTGTGGACCTGGACATCTCTGCACTCCCGGGGGCTCAGGAAACCTCTGCCTCCACAGGCTTGGAAGTGCCTGCTCTCGCTATCTGTCCTCTCCCCACTCCTTAGGCCTGCTCTGATTTCAGAGCAAAGTTGAGGCCAAGCCTGGGCACTGTTGCAGCCTGGCTCAGTGTGCACTCACTTGGGGCAGTGCTGACATGACAGCTCCCTATTGTCTCAGCATCCTCCAGAATTTGGGCCCCGATGAGCATGGGAAGAAGGTAGAGAAGGGGCTAAGGGTGGCTTGTCATGGGCTGGGAGGCTCCCCTTGGCAAGAACAGTCTGGGCTCCATGGGCACTGTAGATGGCAGGTTAATGGCGGCAGGGAGCAGATGGGCTCCTGGGCAGAAAGGTGTGAGTTCCCAGTGAAACCCCACCTCTAGGCCAGGGAAGGCCTGAGCTGGGCTGCCAGTTCCCAGGCCCAGAGTAAGAACTTATGGTGCTTTTTCTGGGCCTGCTCATGGCCACTCATGGACCAATCAGCACACACTTTTTCACCTCTGAAGCCCATAAAAGCTCCAGATTCAGCCAAACTTGGGAGATGACCTGAAGACCTGCCTTTGGAGAGGAGCTACCCACTGTGGGTCTCCTGTCTGCTGAGAGCTGAACAGACATCAGGAGGACCTTCCTTTGGAGAGAACTACCCACTGTGGGTCTTCTGTCTGACAAGAGCTGAACAGATGGGATGACCTACCTGCGGAGAAGAGCTACCCACTGCGGGTCTCCTCTCTGCTGAGAGCTGAACAGATGTGGGGAGGACTTGCCTATGGAGAGGAGCTACCCACTGTGGGTCTCCTCTCTGCTGAGAACTGAACAGATGTCGGGAGGTCTTGCCTGTGGAGAGGAACTACCCACTGTGCATCTTCTCTCTGCTGATTGCTGAACAGATGGGATGACCTGCCTGTGGGAAGAGCTACCCACTATGGGTCTCCTCACTGCTGAGATCTGAACAGACACTGGGACAACTTTCCCATGCAAAAGAGCCACCTGCCTGCAGAAAAGACTGTGCATCTCTTCTCTGCTGAAAGCTGGACAATCATCAGAATGATGTTCCTGTGGAAAGGAGCTAACACTTGCAGGTCACCGCTGAGCTGTATTGTCACTCAATAAAACACCTCTTTGTCTTGCTCAACCTTTACTTGTCCATGTTCCTCATTATTCCTGGATGTGGGACAATAACTTGGGACCCACTGAATGGCAGGGCTGAAAGAACTGTAACATGAACAGGGCTGAAACATGTTCCTTGCTTGCCATGTGGCAGGAGATGAGAAGGAGAGAAGAGCTGTGGTTCTTCAGGGAGCTTAGACCTAGGAGCTCCCCCAAGCCAGGGCTGTGACAACCACTTTGGGGCTCTGCAGTTGCTGGCATCTACAAGCAACCAGGCATCACTGTGCCAGCAGTGGAAGCTGCTTGCAGTGTGCCTGGTCCAGCTGCAGCCTCATAGGGAGCCTGCACCTGTGCTGGCACCTGGAGCTGACCATCCCACCACAGCTAGCATGCCTGGCTGGACCCCACGCTCACTCGCTCACATACCCCTTGCTGCTATGTTCCTGGCTTGCCCTTGGAAGGTGCAAGATCCAGGGCAGTAGCACAAGCCTGAATGCAGGCTGCCTGGCTGAGTGGGTGGAATGAGCCCAGTGGGCCCAGGCAAAACTCAGGCAAAGTCACCACTGGCCACAGAGGTTCCCAGATGGAAAAGTGACATCCTGAGGATCCCATGACAAGGAGAGACTTCAAGAGCCTACACTATGCCACAAAAAAAATCCCACTAAAAGCAGATTGTAAGAAAAATATTAAAAGATTCTTATGTTACCAAACAAAAAAGACAGCCCCAATGATGCTAGGACTTTGAATTAATTTCTGCCTAACCAGAAAGAGCTGATATCAAAGTGACATTATTCTTGTGCAAAAGTAGCATACTGTCGGTGGATCTATGGGGAGTGCATGGTCTATAGAGAATTTAAAAATAATAATATAGCAACTAAAAACAGGTCTGAGTTTTAATATGACCATATGCCAGGAATTCTGAACAATGTCAATAACAAACTCCTCCAATTATCATTTATTGGTTTAAGTTCTAAGCAATTGCTGCTCTTACTGATGGCATCCGCAGCCTGTCTGGTGCAGTCACTGCAGGGATGCCAGCTTCAACAGGGGAAGTGCAGCCCGGACTGTGCACTCCATATAGCTAGCAGGGGCCAGGAACAGGAGGGAGTCCCACCTTCTACTGAATTAAAGGGGCAGGAGCCCCATGCTTCCCAACACAAATGCAGCTGCCCAGATGTGGCTCTGGACCCAGGCATCCCTGTGCTCTCAGGAAGCCCCTCCATGCCCTCACAGGCTCCAAAGTGCCTGCTCTCGCTCCCTGGCCTCTACTCACTCCTGGCACCTGATCCAATTTCGGAGCACATATTAAGCCAAGTCGGAGTGCTGTTGTGACCCAGACACATGTGTGCATGCTTAGGGCAGCACAGACACGACAGCACCCCCTGCCGCCTCAGCCCCCTCTGAAACTTTGGGCACCAACAAGCTTAGGGAGGGAGACCAGTGAGGGCTGAGTCTTCGCATGGGCCTGCAGTCAGCTCATGGCATGAACAGCCTGGGTGCCATGGGTGGAGTGTTGATGGCAGGAGGCAGACACATTCCTGTGTTGAAAGGGGTGGGCCCTGCCAGGCAAAGTGGGCAGAACAAGCCCGGAGGGTGTCAGCAATGCTCAGACAGAAGGCACCAGTGGCCAAAGAGGTTTCCAGCTGGTGAAGTGACATCTCAAGGACCCCATTACGTTATGGTTGAGTATTGATAATATGTATTTAATCTTTAAGTAGTATATATTAATTATTTATATTTTAGTAATCATTTTACGTGGATGTTAATTTGGAGTACTTCCAGTTATACAATCAGCCCTTGACATGGGTAGAATTAGCTACATTTGATTTTTTTTGTGACTTTTTTTTGCTTGAGAATTAATTCATGTGGTAGAAGATGTCTTTCGAGACGCAGATGATGTCTCCAACCCTTGTGGCACTGCATACTCCTTCATTAAAATAACAGATTGTAAATAGGCAATTGTAGTACAGTGATTTTACAGATGGGAAAAACAAACAAAATGAATTATTTAACTCTGTCATTCGATATGCAAATCAATCTGAATTTTGTGGCGTTTACTCTTATTGAAGCATTTTCTCATGGGTTTCCACCCCCGGTAAGTTAGATTAATGTAATTAAACTTTGGAATGCTGAGGTGGGTGGATTGCTTGAGCCCAGGAGTTCAAGACCAGCCTGGGAAACATGACAAAACCAGATCTCTACAAAAAAATACAAAAATTAACCCAGCATGGTGGTGTACCCCTGTAGTCCCAGCTACTCTGGAGGCTGAGGTGGGAGAATCACCTGAGTTTACAAAGTCAAGGCTGCAGTGAGCTGTGATTGTGCCTCCGCACTCCATGCTACAATGAAACCCTCTCTCAAAAAATAAAATAAAACAGAGTGAGACCCTGTCTCAAAAAATAAAATAAAATAAAAACATCAATTTAGTTTTTATTTTTCTTATTTGAATTGCAGCATGTATTTTATTTGAATTGCAGTATCTATTTTATCTAATTTTCCTTGGCATCGTATTATGTCTCTGTGTTGCAGGTGTTGTGTGCTAGGTATGTGTAATTCAGTACAATGAACAATTCAATGTCTACTTTTTAAACCCACATTATTATTTGTTTCATTTCATGATTATTAATTTAGTTGTATGGGGGATATACACTTTTTTTTCTGTAGGTTTCAAGTATGTCAAAATAAACCTCTTTCGCTATACAACTTTAAACTGAAGTTATTCAGCCACATTTTACATTTGAGATTACAGTGCTTTTATATTTCCTACCTATGCAACATATTCTTAATGTTGGAGGTCAAATGAATGATAAGCCCAAATGCAAGTGTTTTGACTTGCTTCCATGGTAATACTTTCCCACCATTTATTGTTCTTATTTATTTCCCTGCATCACTGCCCCAAAGATTGATTTTTCAGAATTTTGGGCTATATCATTTTTTTCTTCTTGAGCTTCAATAGCAAGAACAGTTCCTAAAGCAGAGTTGCTAAATGGAAAAGTGTATATGAATACAGGCAAGGTAGAGGGTGAGGGAAGTGAGACAAAAAAATTGTACAATGCTGATTTAAGAGTGCCATAAGGAGGTCTATCCAAGAATATGAGAATATGGAAAAGTATTTTAATAATAATATTCAGTAAAATATTCTATAATTTTTCTCCTTAACATAGCAAAAAATTCAATTTATGTTGGTTGTAATAATGTCAGCTTTCTTATCATATGTTCTATTTAATGCTTTAATAATATCTAATTGGGGCCTCATTATTGTCCCTTGCTCTAGATAGCATCCTCTATTGTTTCTTTTGTGGTATATGTCTGTTTTATGTTTTATTTGGTAACCTTTTATTGACTACCAGTAATGTCTCTTACCTTGATCTCCTCTTCCATATTTAGTTTGCTATTCCTTTAAAACATGTCTAGGCAGACGTAATTGTAAGCAGGCAGATGGCTGTAGAGTGATACTTTTTGATAAGGAAGTGGCTTCTTCTGAAGCTATGACTTTACAACCACCCTTGCCTAAGGCGTAATGAATGATTTGTGAGTTTGTACTGGATACTTTTAAGTTCCAGGAAGACAGAAAAATAATGTACATAAACACGGACATTTAAGAACAAAGTGCCTGAATTTCTATGTTGATATTTTGTTTGCTAACAGTAGGGGTACACAAATAAGTGTATATGGGTAGAAAATTGTGTTTATGTAAATGAATAGGATTTCTCTGTTAATAACTACCCAGTTAGTACAGCTATAAGAAATTTGAAATTATAAAACTAAATTTATTTTGTTTTATAAGCTCTATCTAATTTATGGTGGAAAGCTCTATATGTTGCTATAAACCTTACAGTCTGCAGTATGTATGGAGGCTGAGTATTTTTCGAGAGAATATTGTATATTTGCATGCTGAAGAATCATTTTTTGTTTTGTTTTCTTTTTTATTAAATGTAAACTTATATTTTACATACTGGGGGGTACATGTGCAGGTTTGTTGTATGGATATATTATGTGATGCTGAGTTTTGGGATATGGATCCCATCACCCAGTTAGTGAGCACAGTACCCAATAGGTAGATTTCCCTCCCTCCCTCCCTGATCTGGTAGTCTAAAGTGTCTATTGTTCCCATGCTTCTGTTAAAGTTAATATTTAGCTCCCACTTATAAGTGAGAATGTACGGTGTTTGATTTTCTGTTCCTGAATTAATTTGCTTGGGATTATGACCTCTAGCTCTGTCCACATTGCTGCAAAGGACATGATTTTATTCTCTTTTATGGCTGCATAGTATTCCATGGTGTATATAGGTCATGGGATCTATGGTGGTGCCTTCTGCCTGAGTGTTGCTCACACCGGCTGGGCTTGTTCCGCCCATTCAGCCCACCAGGCTCCTCTCAGCTCGTGTAACCAGCCTGGATCCTACACCTGCCAAGATTGAGGGAGGCATGTAGTGGGGAGGAGTATGGGGGTGAGTGAGCGTGGGGTCTAGCCACTGCACACAGCCAGGCACGCTGGCTGCTATGTGGGGGCAGGCAGCTCCAGGCTCTGGCATAGGTGCTGGCTTCGTGTGAGGTTGTAGCTGGACCAGATGTACCACATGTGGCTTCTGCTGCAGGCCCCCATGTCTAGATGAAGGGAATGCAGTGGCACCCAGAAGCTTAAAGATGCCAGGAACTGCAGAGCCCCAAAGAGAGTGTCACAGCCGTGGCTCAGAGATTCCCTATGTTTAGGCTCCCCAAAGGGCCGCAGCTCTTCTCTCCTTCTTGTTATCTGCAATGTGGCAAGCAGAGGGTGGGGGCATGTTTCAGCTCTGTTTGTGTTACAGCTCTTTCAGTCCCCCCTTTTGTAGGGTCCTGAGTTCTTGGCCCACGTCTAGGAAAAATGAGGTATGCGGACAATTGGAGCATGAGCAAGGCAGAGAGGAGCTTCATTGAGTGACAGAACAGCTCTCAGGAGACTAAAAGTGGGTAGCTCCTTTCCACAGGCAGGATGTCCCAATGTCTGTGTGAGTCTGGAGTTTCTATGGGCTCAGAAGGGAGAAAGTACATGCTGGTCAATCCACGGGTGGCCATATGTGGGTCAGGAAAAAGCACTACATGTTTTCATTCCAGGCCATGGACTCTACCTGGAACAGGCAGCCCGCTTCAGGCCCCCAGGCTTCAGTTCATTCATGGCTTAAAGGTGGTTTCACCAGGGAGCTGTCCCTTTCAGCCTAGAAACCTGTCTACCCTCCACCATCAACATCCAGTCCTTAGCGCCCAGGCTGTTCATGCCAAGGGGTGCCTGCAGGCCTGTGCCAAGCTGCCCTCAGCCTCTGATGGCCTTCTTCCCATGCTCATCAGTGCCCAAAGTCTGGAGGGGGCTGAGGTGGCAGGGGCTGGCATGTCAGCACAGCTCCAAGTGCACGTACACCTGGCTGGTTTGCAACAATGCCTGGGCTTGGCCACAACTTTGCTCCACACTGGAGTGGGTGCTGGGTGTGAGGAGAGGCCAGACAACAGGAACAGGCACTTCTGAGCTTGCGGGGCAGGGGCTTCCCAGGCCCCCAAGAGTGCAGGGATGCCTGGGTCCAGAGCCAAAGTTAGGTGGCTGCAGCTACACTAGGGAGCCTGGGGCTCCTGCCCCACCAACTCAGTAGGGGGCGGGGCTTCCACCTTTTCCAGCTCTTGCTGGCCCCCTGGAGCATGTAACCCCAGCTGTGCCTCCTACACTGCAGCCAACATCTTCTCAGTGGCCGCTCCAGACAGACCGCTGTTGCCATCATGTGTACCACTCTTTATCTACATCATATGTACCACACTTTCTTTATCTAATCTACCATTAATGGACACCTAGGTTGATTCCATGTCTGTGGCTATTGTGGCTAGCACAACAGTGAACATATGAGTTCATGTGTCTTTTTGGTAGATGATTTACTTTCCTTTGGGTATATGCCCAGTAATGGGAGCATTGAGTTGAATGATAGCTCTGTTTTAAGCTCTTTTGAAAATCTCTACACTGTTTTCCATGGTGTCTGAACTAATTTATGTTCCCACCAACAGTATATAAGTATTTCTTTTTCCCATCAGCCCTGACAGCATCTGTTGTTTTTGACTTTTTAATAATAGTCATCCTGACGTGTGAAAAGTTATCTCATTGTGGTTTTGATTTGCACTTCTCTGGTGATTAATGATGTGGAATGTTTTGTCATACATTTGTTGGCTGCTTGTATGTCTTCTTTTGAAAGGTTCCCATTCATGTTCTTTGTCCATTTCACAATTTTTTTCTTGCTTATTAATTTATGTCTCTTATAGATTCTGGAAATTAGACCTTGGTTAGATGCATATTTTGTGAATATTTTCTCTGATTCAGTAGGTTGTCTGTTTACTCTGTTGATAGCTTCTTTTGGTGTGCAGAAACTCTTTAGGTATCACTTATAAATTTTTGCTTTTGTTGCGGTTGCTTTGGGGATTTAATAAAAAAATTCTTTGCCAACGCCAATGTTGAGAAGGATATTTTGTAGGTTTGCTTCTGGGATTCTTATAGCTTGAGTTGCTACACTTAAATTTTTAATCCATCTTGAGTTAGTTTTTGCATATGGTGAAAGGTAAGGGTCCAGTTCCACTCTTCTGCATATGGCTAACCAGTTATCCCAGCACTATTTATTGAACCTGGAGTCCTTTAGTCATTGCTCGTTACTGTCGGCCTTGTCAAAGATCAGAAAAATGTTAATGTATATATTGCTGGAAGATGTCAAAGATCAGTACCACTTATTTTTTATTTATTCAGCATTGTGATCAGTTTAAAAGATTTATTGGGTCAGATCAGTACAACATGTAAGTCAATAGTGAATGCTGAAAGATGTCAATATGTTGTGATCTTTGAAGAAGTAAATATGTAAACTGTGATTTATACTTATTTAAAAGACATAACACAAGGACTAAAATTCACTACCATGTTTAAAATTGAAATTATAAAACTCAGTAGATTAGACATTACTGATGGCTGAGAGAAGGGAGGAAAGGCATGTCATTGCTTAATGGTTATAGAATTTCTGTTTGGGGTTATGAAGAAGTTTTAGAAGTAAATAGAAGTCAATTGTAGTTCTTGTTGAATGTAATTAGTACAACTGAATTATATAATTAAAAATCATAAAAATGGGAAATTTTATGTTCTGTATATTTTACCACAATAAAAAAAATTTAGACAGGCCAAATGTGAAAACAATTTCATAGGCCAGGCGTGGTGGTTCACGCCTGTAATCCCAGCACTTTGGGAGGCCAAGGCGGGTGGATCAACTGAGGTCAGCAGTTCAAGACCAGCCTGACCAATATGGTGAAACCCCGTCTCTACTAAAAATACAAAAATTAGCTGCGTGTGGTGGTGTGTGCCTGTAGTCCCAGCTACCCAGGAGGCTGAGACATGAGAATTGCTTGAACCCGGGAGGCAGAGGTTGCAGTGAGCCGAAATCGTACCACTGCACTGCAGCCTGGGTGACACAGTGAGACACTGTCTCAAAACAAAAACAAAAACAAAACAGAACAATTTTATAAACATATAATAAATAAACATTTCTAAATCATAGCATAAATCATATATATTCAATATAGTGATAGAACAAATTATATACCCGCCACACACTCCCCAGTTCATTCTTCTCTGCTTAGGATACTGGGCAGGATTTTTAGGCAAAATTTATGTATCATTGGAGAAATCTTTTTCTTTCTCTCTCTCTCTCTTTCTGTGTGTGTGTGTGTGTGTGTGTGTGTACGTGTGTCTCCAAAGTATAGCAATACATTTTAATATTTGGTATATATAATCTATAATATTTCAAAGAATAAACCTAAAAATTTTCTTAAAATGATTTAAGATGACCAAATTTCTTTTTTCAGACACCCCCCTAAAATATCAGCAACACTTAAACTGAGAGATAGGATTACTTTTGCCATTCTTACCTATTTTACTATTTTAACTATTTCCCACAATTTTATGATTTACATGTCTCTCAATATACAATACTTCAAACCATTTTTAATGTTTACTTGACAAGGGATATAAAACTATATTTGATTTCTTGAAAAGCTTTTTTGAATGAGAAAAGTATTATGAACAATTAAAGGAAATAACAATGTTTCTTTGTGCTAAAAGGAACATTTTTAAAAACTTAAAAAGTAAAATGCACTTAATGATACCCTAAAACCTATTTTTAAAATTCCAATTAGAGATATGCTAAATATCTGACTATTTTAAGTAAAGTTAAGAGAAATGAATTATAGACTGCAGTGTATATCTCATACCATCAAAATATTTCTGATTTGTTTGGAGAGAAGTTATGGATCTTTTATACCTAATAACCAACATGTTTGTAGAAGCAAACAGATATGTATCTTAATCTATAATATTTAGAGTATAAAAAATAATTTAACAACATTTAATAACACATATACACACTAGTAGAATATGGAATATTCTACACACAAGGAATATGACACCCACTAGGTTCTGTGTTATGTGTTATTCCATCAAGCTTTGAATCGATGGGTTAGTTTACATTGTTCATTCCTCTGACAGTCTGAGCATCTCTCCTTCGTCTCTGCTCCAGCCATCAGAAATATTGATCTCACCTAAAAATATTCAAATATTGAACAATACTCCAAATACAATATTTCTGATACAATCATCTTCTAGATTATTTGCCTTCAAGTAACACTGATGAAAAATTGCTCACAATAAAAGAAAAATAAACCTGACATTAGCAGTCTAGTGTTCAAATTTTTGACTTATCCTTTAATGGTTATGTAACCATTGGAAAAGCATTATCTCTCTGAACTGTAGTTATTTCATCTACTAAAAATATACACTACCAGAATAACTAGATTTGCCTAAAAATTAAGGAATTTGGTAAGAACATATATTTGAAAGCTATTAGTGAAAATAATATATTTTAAGAAGATAAGAATAATTTTAGGTCTGGTCATAAAATTAGGGCCATGCTTTAGGACTACAAGATAATAGTTAGAGAAGTATGTAGTTTAATCTTTACTATATTTAAATATGTAATATATGCTTAATGAGTTTTTTATAGACACAACATTTTTAGCTCTTTATTTATCCTGTTTAGATTGAAAGTTCTGCTCTTCAACAGGGCTGCCATAACAGAAACTACATTTGGAAGAGGTTCCTTAGAATATCGTAAGATTCTGTTTATTCTCTCATATTCTATGTAGCCTTGGAATGTGACCTATGGTGCAAACTCCATAGCTGAAAGTAAAACAACACATAATGTAGTAATAAAAGAATCAGGCAGTTAGCCATTAGATGACATAATTTTCCTTTTCCTTGGAATTATATATGGAAGTAAAATACCTTAGACTTTTATGGAACAATTTTAATAAAATAATTTGTATACATCAATTTCAAAACATCTCTCAAAAACCATTAAAATTGAGAAATGTGTGACTATTCTAATTAATAACATGAATTCTAAGATTTATAAAGTTTCATAATCAATATCCTGTAGGGAGGCTTTGAATAAAAATTAGTTTGCCCTACCGATGAAAATGCAGCATTGCATTAAGAAAGTCTCAGGAAAAAAAAAAAAAGTGATATAATAAAAATGTTAAAGCTATCATAAATATGACAGGGATAAATGGTGACAAGACTGTTGTATATTTGGTGTATTATTGGACCCTAAATTTGAGTATCATAGCACCATGCATTTTGCAAAACCATCAAGTAAAGATTATGTAGTGTGCTTACTATTCCATTCTAGTTGTCTATCAAATCCTACATGCCTTGTATTCTACTCATTCAATTATAAGCTCTATATGGAGTTACATGAATAATCTGATAAACTACAAGTGAATGGCAACAGCCTGTTGAATTGAGATAGAATACTTATGTTTGCTAAAATTCTGTAACCTAGAAGAGAAATTCTAAGCATGGAAATTTCTTATGACCTCACAGGTAACTTTACAAAATATTACTGAAATCAAGAGAGGGGAACAGTTTTTAGCATGCCTTTAGTAAGCCATTCATTAAATCAAGAAATATTTACTGAATGTCACCTTTATGAAACAATTGAAGTAGTCCCTTTGCACCTAATCTTCAGTGAAGACGCATTGATCGTAATGTTTTCACCAAAAGTGTTTTCTAAAACAGAGGGAACATCTCTTTGGAAATGTGTGTACTGTGGGTGGTTTAGAAAAATATCACTCTTGTATTCTGTTTTGTATTTACTTATATAACTATACATGTTAGACCATAATATGTGAACAGGTATACAAATAGATTCTACCAATTTTTGTTTGAAAAAATATCTGGAAAAAAAATACTGCCTATATCTGGAAAATAAATATATGCAAAAAAATTCACAATAATTTGTTACATTTGATATATTTAGTGAGCAAAACTTATAAAGAAGACATATTTAGTGAGGATACTTTTAAAAATAAGATATATTTAGCGGGGTTCACTCCATCTGTATGGTACTTTTATGCACAACACTTTTGTGTTGGGGCTTTTGAAGGGATGATCATGCTTTTTCTTCATATCATTTTCATGAGGTGATATTTAAGGCTTATGTTAGTATCTACGGATTCATGTCAGAGAAGAAAATAGAATTTTGCTCTGATCTTTCAACTTGCTCAGCAAAAAACCTTCAAAAACTTTGCCTATCTCTTTTTTCTAGAAGTGCCCCTTTCTTTGTAGGAAGCTAGGAAAAACTACCAATTCTAGAATAAGTTGATGCTCTACAGGATTTATGTTCCTTTTGTTCCAAGTCAATTGGTATGAGATACAAAATCATATATTCTATATATATATATAGTAAATGTTGATAATTATACAACTTGATTTTATTTACTATTTTATTTTTATTTATGAAATGGCTTCTTTGTTGAGACAAACTAGTTTACAAAAGTGAATCTATACATAAACCTTTATGTAAATAGACATCAGCACAAACTGATATTTCTATCTACAATATCCAATGTTCCTGAAAATATTAGAATATTATTATTTGGATATACTGTTAATATAAACTTTCATTTTTAACCTGATGATGCAATTTAGAATTAGCATTTATTCATATCTTTTAATATAGGTAAGGGAAGGATAGAATAAGAAAATTTCTATGTCTTTCTAGTACGAATTCGTTGTTTTATTTTACATAGTATTTATTATTTATATTTTAGATAAATACTTTATACTATATATTTCTCCAAAACTGTAAGTGAGAGCACAGTGATCCCAGAAATAGCCATTAAAAGAACTGGAACAGATTAAAACACAGAGAAATGATCCATAGTTTCTTATGAGAGAAGCAATGAAAGATCTTTTACAATTGGTAAAATGATTTATAAGTGAAAGTTTCTAAAGGTCTGTATTAGATGTTACTTTCTCTTAAAAGAAAGTTTAACTGTATAGCCTACTAAAAGCTTGATATGTTTTAAGGCTTTATGTCTTTGTCTAGAAAAAATAGCATAGCATTTTATTTTAGGAATCAAAAGCAGACAGCAGTTGTTCAACAATATGTGTCTTTATAAATATTAACTAGTGTGTGTGAGTATCTCTGTATATGCATGTGTGTGTTTGTTTAAATGCAGGGCAGAGCAGTTAATAGCTACAATACTTCGCACACACTGATTCAGCACTTAGATTTTATTAGAAAAACCTGTCTTCTGTCATGGTGTGAATGTGTCTGGCCCTAGGACTAGCGCCATGTGTTGAATTCATTACAGTCTTTCATAAGATCCCAGGAGACTTTATTCACAGATGTAGGTTTCCTGCCAACCACCCATAACTGTCTATTTGGCCTTCACTGTGAGCACAAAGACAAGAAATTATCCAGTGGAAATAATTCATAGCAGTGCATTAAAAATAATAAGCATTACTCCTAGTCAGCGATGCTGGAGGTTTATAGTTTCTGACATTTGACTCTGGTTTTGTGGCAGCCCCCAGGATTTATGTGTAATATCCTATGTCCTTTCAATGTCTCACAGTAAACCCTGAGGTTTTACAGCTTCAAAGAAAGCTGTAGAATGCTGACACCAGAAATCTGTCTATTTTATTGATTTTCCCATAAGGGTATTTAATTATTCATTGAAGGATCCATTTAACAATTACACCTATTTTTAACCAATTAAGGTCACATTAAAGATTTACCAATATCATCGTAATAATAACTACTATTTCATGGCATTTAGCCAGTATAAGTAGCAAGTAGGATTCTCCTGACTATTACAGATATAAAAATTTAGAGTTACTATGCCTTCAGACAAATAAAAAAAATACATAGCTATCACCTTCTATAAAATGAATAGTTTAATAATTGAGATAGTGCTATTTATAAAACCACATGGTTTTGACAGCCATATAATATTAGTAAAATATTTTATCCAGTATTTTTCTTATAGGAGTAGAAACTTTCAATTGTGATACTACAAATATAAGAAGTGTCATCATATAAAATTAAAGAAGGAAGTGCAGAAATCATTCATTGTGGGGTTAGAACATATATTATTTCTGCACATCTGCCAAACCTGTGTACTAAAATGCAGGGTTTTTATTTTTTCGTATTATTATATTCCTTTTAGTGGTAGAGAAAAATCTAGGATTAAAAAATAATTATTTAGAATAAGGTATTCTCAATTATCTTTTATAAGGGGTTATAGAATTTATGAGTTGGAAAGTATTTAAAAACCATATATGGCATACACCTCATTTTATAAGTAGATAAATTAATGTCCACAATGGCTTGTCCAAGGTCATCAAATATTAATAATATAATTCTCACACCATTTGCCTTGCAATCCAAGATAATTTCTACTTATTGCATTTTATAATCCGCAGCTCATAATTTATGTTTGTTATATTGCACTCACATTTCTCCATAGCCCCATTTCAAAATAAGTATTCATATATGCAGGCTATGTTACAGATGGCTTCTGTTACTTACCTGTTTTCCCAGGAGGAAAATTCAATGTTAATTGCTTAATTTTGACTTCCAGTCAATTTATGCCTCAGATATGACTTATATTTAAATTTAAATCCACTTAAAAAGATAATAGTTCCTATATGTGCCTATGCATTATTTTTTTCTTTATTTTGTAAATGTTCTTGTAGCTGGTGTTACCCTCTTGATAAATTATTTTTTGTACCTTTTTATCTTCCTGGATTTATTCTCGCTTTGCTCCATATAATGTCAGCTTGGCGTCAGTGAACATCAGCATAAAAATAGCCAAATAAAATTTAAAAAACCTAATCTCATGAATACTCAACTATTCTAAGAATAAAAAAAAAAATCGATGATGCAACTAACTTAGTCTTTTTTTTTTTTTTTTTTTTGACGGAGGCTCACTCTGCCACCCAGGCTGGAGTGCAGTGGCATGATCTGGACTCACTGCAAACTCCACCTTTTAGGTTCAAGTGATGCTCCTGCCTCAGCCTCTGAGTAGCTGGGATTACAGGTGTGTGTGACCACATCCTGCTATTTTTATTTTTACTTTTTTTTTTTTTGTATTTTTAGTAGCGATGGGGTTTTACCATGTTGGTCAGGCTGGTCTCGGACTCCTGACCTCAAATGATCCACCTACCTTGGCCTCCAGAAGTGCTGGGATTACAGGCATGAGCCACTGTGCTAGGCTTAGTCTTTATTAGAGTTCCTAAAGTAACATCTTCTGTTATAAATTGCAAATGATATAAAAATTTCAGTGTCAAATGGAGACCACCACAAATTGTTCTTTCACAAATCTTGTTCGCTTGTCCATGGATGATTTATTTTAGGAGCTTGGTTTTTACCATTACATAATGTATTTTTATATAATTATGTGTGCTTTCATATTCTTAATACTTTTGGTATATAACATACAGATAGATACATATTTCTTATATAAATTGATCAGGATATACATGTGTGTTTATATGGTATACAGTTTTGAAACATTTTAAATAACCTAAGAGTATATAATTGGCATTATCTAAGTTTGAGTTTCCTAGAAGCAGAACCTGAGACAAAACTTCAAGAACATAAAATTTATTCAAGAATTCTTCTCAGAAATAGGATCACTGGCTTGAAATTTGAATTTCAGATAAACAGTAAACATGTATTTGAAATACTTTGGACATATTTATTCTAAAATAATATTCATTTATTTCCTGAAATTCAGATTAATCTCAGAGTTCCTTATTTTATCTGACAATCTTACTCAAGAGAGAGGAAGTGAAGAAAAGTTAGGGCAGAAGGAGCTAGGCAAAGGTGTCTTGTCAGTCGGAATCTGACACTGCCCTGATCTGTGGGGAAGTTCTGTTCCTATGGATGTACGAATTACACTATAAAGTTGGCCCCATCTTGGGGCAGGTCTTTGGTACAAACTTCACTCAATTATTCACTGCAGGCTCTGAGGGGAAAGGTGAGATTGAGTGGGGAAATAACCTGGATGGGCGAAACTCCTGTTCATGCATACAGACCTACAAACCCACCTTGTTTTTTCTTGGAATGGAAATACCTTAGTTTATAACTTCAAAATATGTAGAGAGATAGAGATTATCAACAAAACATATAGAATGACTTTTTAAGGCTGGGAGTGGTGGCTCACGCCTGTAATCCCAGAACTTTGGGAGGCCGAGGCAGGTGGATCACAAGGTCAGGAGATCGAGACCATCCTGGCTAATACGGTGAAACCCCGTCTCTACTAAAAATACAAAAAATTAGCCGGGTGAGGTGGCATGTGCCTGTAGTCCCAGCTACTCGGGAGGCTGAGGCAGGAGAATGGCGTGAACCCGGTAGGCGGAGCTCGCAGTGAGCCGAGATTGCGCCACTGCACTCCAGTCAGCCTGGGCGACAGAGCGAGACTCCGTCATTAAAAAAAAAAAAAAAAAAAAAAAAAAAGAATGACTTTTTAAACTTTTTTTAAGAGACAGGGTCTCACTCTGTTTTGTTCCCCAGGCTGGAGTGCATCGGCATGATCATGTTCAGCTAATTTTTTTACATTTTTGTAGAGATGGGGTCTTGCCATATTACCCGGGCTGGTCTTGAACTCTTGGCCAAAAGCAATCCTCCCACCTTGGCCTTCCAAAGTGTTGGGATATCAAGCATGAGCTACTGTGCCAGGTCTGGAAAGACTTCTTATAGCAGGTATTTAGGGCATCTTGTCACCAAAAGTGGATTTAGACTTGTTCTTGTTTGTCATGGTATCATTTCTTTCTCTTTTAGGATTTATATATGTATATATATTTTTACTAATCATTGAGACTATTGTATCCTCTGCTTATTATTTTTACAAAAATTAGGCTGTACCATTTGCTGAACAGAGATGACTTCTATTATTTTTTCCAGTGTTTATATATTATCTATAAATCAGTTGTAATTTTCATAAACATGATGTGAGTTCTAACCAGCATAACCAATTACATTATAATATCCATTGCGTTGTTATATTATTGCTGATGGAGAAGTTTCATTTCTACACTTCTATAATGTAATTTCGGAGACACTGCAGCTCTTAGCGGAATATGATACATACAGGAGCCTCCCAGGCCAGGTGACACCTTCTTAGTTAGAGGACAAAATACTTAGTTTTTAAGGGGCTAAGAATCAGGTGAGAGAATACTTTCAACAAAGGCGAGATTGGGTTTAAAAAAACAAAAGAGGAAGACCAATTGCATTATGTGTTAAGGAAAGTTAGATTTCACAAGCTGGAAAAAAACAGGCAACAACATCAAATCCAAGTTAGGATTGAAATCTCATGTATGTAGAATCAAAGTCTGAAATCTAGTAAAAAGAGGGATGGGGTGAGGGCAAGTTAGAAATAAATGTAAAAGATTCTGGCTTATTATTGGGAAGTTCTAATTGTCTGGGACTGCTTATATGGCTTTTTGGGGTCTAGAATGTTGTTCTAAAGGATGAGAGTTTCTGGGAATGCCACCTTACACATATAAATTATTGTAAAATTCTTATTATTTCAAGAAATGCAATATCATGCAGCACAGTTCTCACTGAAATATTTTATATGATTTAAACAAAGCAAGCAACCAATCTTTTAATAATTTGACAATACAGTTTTATTATAAATTAACATATGGTTTTTCACAGAAATCTGAAGTATGAAAAATACCACCCTTAGTTAATCACTCAAAACCAACAATAGTTGGTTTTCATTCCTTATTCCTGTGTTCTTGCTGTGCATATAATTTTTACATAATTGTAATCAAATGGGTTATATAAATTAAATATGCTGATTAAGCTATCTGTTCTTCCTGATTATAGGTAAATATTTGCTTGTTGCAAGTAATTTAAAAATGTAGAAACAAATGTAACGAAAAAAAATCACCCAGAAGCCCACAACCTAGAAGTGAAAATTATTAATATTTTTATATTTTAGGTTATTATTATTCACTATTAAAAAATAGTGACTTCAGTAATTTAGTATAAATGACATTGATATAAAATATGATTACTCTTTACAGTGAACAAATAAAGATAACCTCTGCATGTGTGAAGAAGAGATTATATTTTAAATTAATTATAGCAAAATAAATCCCAACAGTTTAAAGATTGTAGCTATTATTATTGCAAGATAATAATTAATAGCACTTAACAGTGATTTAAGAGGTCACCAACAAATCATAGAACTTGTGGGATTTGTGAAGGGAATAATGAAGCTAAAAAAATATGCTTTCTGTTACATGAAGAGATAAGGAAGATGAGAAGCAGTTGAACCATGCATTACGTGTCAAGCCTTTGTTTCTGGGTCATAGAATCTGTATGAGACACTTAACAGAATCCAAATGAATAGGTGAGTTTGATATCCCAGTTGATTAAGGAACAACTACTACTTACATTAAATGCTAGAAAATCTGAATAAATTGCTAATCCTATAATTTGATTTAATTTACTAATATATAAATTTAAGTACAGAATTAGAATCAGATAATAATATATTAAATCATCCACGGGAGATTACTTTCATGATTAGGCTAATGAGGGATGTTATGAAGATTGAAAAAGCATTTATCAAGATATGATAATTCAAAGAGTAATACTTATCAAAATAGTTTAGTTGTCCTTCTAACATTAAATAATGAGAAATTATCACCATGAAAATGACTCAAACACACACACACAAAATCAAGCACTTGTTGTACTTCATAATATTTTAAAAGTTAGTTTCCATTTGATTTTTAGGAACTTAAAATATAAAATCTAGAAGAGGGCTTCAAGATCATCGAATTCGGTGGCTTTTAAACTATCCTCAGTGAAGCACAAATGTTTCACTGGAGACATTGTTTCATTAGATTGTGACTTTGATATTCACTGGGTGGGTCTGAATCCCCTGCTCCCACTTGAACCAAACATATTTACTGTATATCTAATATATATTGGATTTCATACATAGACTTTTATTTGGAAAATTGAAGTTTTAGCTCCCTTTAAAAGGAGGTAAAAGGTTCAGATTTAATTTGAGTCTATTCAGTCTTTATGTGAGGAATTAGAGGTTTTTCCAGTAAAATTCACACACTAATTCATTCAAAATGGGGACTGGCACCTAAGTCTTTTAGAAGTGCTAGAACAGTAACCATCCTACTACATCATAATAATGTATATGATGTATACAGTTTAGTTTGCTGTACAGAGAACATAAAGGGTTCAACCATTATAAAAGGTTGATAGTCTTAAAGTTTTTAAGTTACATTTTAATCCTCCAAATTCATTTTTGTATATGGGGAAATTATAAAGCTTGATAACTTCTCTTATACAGCTAAAAGCAGTATCAGTAATATTACGGAGAAAGGAATGTGCCACTACTACCATTTAAATCATGTAATTTCTCAGCAGCTGGAACATAAAGGCTCTTATTGGCTGAGTTAATTTATTCCGCCTTAACCTTTGTAACTTCAATTGTTTTTTGAGGGAACACTTAGATGGTCTTTAATATCCTTTTTATCCTGTGTCATTTAGGATGCTTTACACTGCAAATGGTGGAGGACTGTCGCTGAAACTGGCTTAATCAGAGAGGGAATTTATTACCACACAATAGAAATTGCAGAGATATGGTAGACTTTGAGATTTGTTGACTCAGCAGTTCAAGTATGTCAGGTAGACCCAAATTCTCTGTAACTCTCTGTATGAAACTTTCAGAGTTGGCTATATACTTAGCTGGTAATAAGATGTCTGAAGAAGTTCTAAGTGTCACATCCAGATGCAATACTGTCCGTAGGTAGAGAGAAACATGTATTTATTATTTTCTCTTAGAAGACAAGAACTTTTTTAAATAAGCAATTCAGCTGAATTGCTTTCATTTTGAATGGATTAGAATTGGCTCACATGCATATACTTGTACCAATCAATGGCAGGGAAGATTAATTTACTGGACCAACCGTGCCCACTCATGAGACTTGGTGTTGGTTCACTTTATCATGAAGTGCATAGTTATATGCATGGTGCATGGGGGTGGACACCTGAATAAAACTGGGATTCTATAACTAAAGAAAGCAGGAATGGATAATGATTAGGAAAACATCTGTGTCCACTACACAATGCTAACAATATATGGCTATGTTTATAATTGGCAATGATGGCATAATCAGAATAGTAATAAGATCAGACAAAATAAAACTAATTTGAATCTAAATAGAATTACCAAATATTCTAGGCATTTTTACCCAAGTCTTCTCTAGCCATTTAAACCTTTGTAAGAATCAGCTTAAAAATAATGGAACAGATTTGCATAAGTAATACCAATCTGAAAGCTTTCAATGAGTTAATATTTAGGCACCATTATGCATAATGATGTATTGATTAGATAGAAAATTAAATGGTGAATCCAGATAACCAAGTGACCTCAGGAAATTTGGCATAGAAGATGACCAAAGCTGCTGCCAAAATGCATACCTTCATTGTCAATGTGGACTTCAGGACTTGAGCCAGCTTTCATATTCACAGTATGTAAGTAGTTCTAGCAGGGAACTCTGTGTGACACTGACTGGTATGTCAGGGTAACCAAAAACGTAGTCCTGAAAATCAAGCTAGTGTTGCCATGATTGTCATATAAAATATTTTCATTGCAGAGATCACTGAGAGCAACTAAAATACAAAATAGAAAATTAAAAATAATGGTAGACAACATTTACTGAAACCTCAATGTTTAATGCCAGGTAATATTGTAAGTGAACTAAAGGTTTGCAACAAACCTATAGAATATAGATTCTGTTGTTATTATTGTTATCAACTTTGTATAGATGAAAACACTGGAGTTGGAGAAACGGTAGGAAATGCCTAGAGCTATGCAGTTACTAAGTAGTGGAGCTGGTAATCTCACTCAAACAATACGCCACTAGAGCCCACATTCTGTTAAAAACTATACTACCCTGCCTCTAAGAGCAGTGCAAGAGAGAAGAGATATGTGGATCATGTGCTTATTTATACCACTAATGTGTTTAAGCCATGTTGCCTCAATCTATTTCCAGACTACATAGTTCTTAGAGAATATGGTAAGGTATTTGATGTAATATTATAAGAATAACATTAATATTCTAAAGTCATATTTGTAAACTTATTGTAAATCTGGGCCATTTATTTCTTCTAAAAGTGTTTTCAAGCATTTTTGTTAGATGTCCAACAGACTTAATTGAATACAAAAGTGTTTTTGGTGAATTCATGAATGACTGAATGAATAAATTTAACTAAATAGATTGGTGGGACATCCTTCTATCAGTCCTATAATTTCCCATACTGTTTACTGAAAAATATTTTTGTGTAAAAACTGGTTTTAAGGACACATGCAGTTTACATAAGGCCTCTGTATTACAGGAATCTAGGCAGCCTATAGTCATAACCAAATACTAAGAATTATATGAAGTCCATTTCAAAGTGATGAAAGTTAAAAAGAAATGATTGCGAGTAGAATAATAAACACCATATATTTGACATAGGCTTAAATAATAAAAAAATGACTTATGAACTGACATTAGGGCAGCTGTAAGTTTCAACCTGTAAATTCATTGGAAGACAACCTTGAATGACAAAGACAAACTAAAGACAGCAATCTGGAAAAGAAAACCAACAAAAATACCAAACTGATAGAAACTGACATGATAAATATATAGTGTAAATGGGGAAGAGGGCAGTTCTCATTTGATAGAGGCCATTGTTATCTAAGTTAAAACTGCATTAGCAAAGAACTTGTAAAATTTATAAACAGTAAGTGAATTATGTGTGTATTATTTGGAAATGACCCTCCATTGTTAAGATGAAAGGGTGAAGAAGAAAGAGGAGTTCTGATATATGTATTCATTGTATAGTGATTAAATCAGAGTAATGAGGATATCCATCACCTCAGACATGTATTATTTCTTTGTAGGGAGAACATTCAGAATCCTCTTTTCTAACTATTTGGAAAAATAAAATACATTGTTGTGAACTATATTGACCTTAATGTGGCAAAGGACACCACATCACATTGAACCTCATAAATATGTAAAATTATTATATATCAACTTAAGTTAAATAAATTGTACTTAAAAAAAGAAATGGGCTATGTTTTAGTGTTTGCCTTACTTTAATTGCATGCATTTTAATGTAAAACTGTGATTCAACCCTTCTAAAATCACTAGTTTTATAGTAAATAGACTACCAAGAGCCACAAAAACAATGTTACGACAGAATACAGCCAAAGACTTGAAGTGTTTCCAGGTATAATTTTGGGAAATAACTAGAAAGATATTGTATATAAACACAATAGAAAAAGGCAATTTTTGGCCATTCTGCTAAAATAAATTTTCTGTTTCTTTCAGTAATAAAACGTTTCCAAAATAATTTGAATATATACCTTCTTTTCTTCAAAGTATGTTTTAGTCATTTTATAACGTTGCCTGAAATCATGAGTAAGAAGGCAAATTAATATCTAGTTTGATTCAAATGAGGTTAGCTGTTTTGCCTGCCACTGCTTACAGTCATTTTATTATGCCTTAGGAACATTTTATCTAAAGGGAGAAAAGAAAGGTTTAGTGCCACTAGATGTCTAGAATAATCAAATGGCCATTAACAGCTTGATTTTCTTAAAAATCAGGTTCTTTTTTTTCTCCAGGTTGATATCATAAAAATATGAAGGCAAATTAAATGCTATGCATTCATAGTACAGTCTCTCTGGGAAAATGCTATTACTGTAGAATTGCTAACCAGTAACAAATTACTACAATTAGAGTTAACTGAGTGTTGTTTTAAGGCCACTCTATGTCACTAAAGTTATGTGATTCCAGAATTTGTGTTTCTTGCATTAATATTAAGACTCTCTGAGTGCATAAGGGGAGATACTTAATGATTATTCATTTGATAAAGCACTTTGGTGTTAAAAAGAGTTCTTTAGAGTTTAGATTCTTGTAAATCTGAAGTAATTATAGGTCTTTGGAGAAATTTGTCTGTATTTTTATTTTAAAATAAGAGCTAGAAGGAAAATCACTCTTTGTAAGCCAGTTGTAGAATAAAAATAAAAATAAAAATAAACTATACTTGTTTTCTTTTTAAAGAACCTTGTTTTCACTGCTATGTCTAAGAATTAAAAGTCTGTGTGTACTAATATATGCTAATTGTATCAATAATTGCATAGTCACAACCCTTTATCTATGATCATTTCCTTCAATAATCTGTCAAATTTTGATTTTTTGAGACAACTGGAATGCAACTGTTTAAAAGCTGTTACATGCTATAGAGATATGAATTTACATGCAAGAAACTGAAGTATTTATGGTAGAAGTTATGTGCATTTCATATTTTAGCTCTTCAGGCAGTCATCCTTTGGCTTACGATTCCTCAAACCTAATTCATCAGTTTCTGATTTTGAATCTGAATAATCCCTTTAGTTTTTCCAGTTCTGCCACTTTAAATTTCTAATCCTGACTCCTGATTTCTTCTCTATTCCTAACTCCCTTCTTTACTTCTATATTTATGATATCATCCTGATAAAGAGTTCACTAAGCAAAATTTTAACTACCACCTTGAAACTTTGATTTCAAAACTGATCTGGTTCATAATAAAGATATTATCCTGATTAACAATAAATGTAATGTCACTTTTCTCAGTCACGTACATATGTCGTAAAGTATCCAATAGCACACTGAATGGAGAAATTCAGGGAAGCAGCAATTTACAGTTAATATTTGAGTTACAATTATGTGACATTTTTTATGGAGTCACGTTTACATAGGTTAATTTGCCTCTGTATGTTATGTGTATATGTTATGTATATCTATGTAGAGATATACTTAAAACAACTTTATTAAGTAATGGCAGTTTTGTTCCTTCTCATTTTGTCAGCCAATTTTATAAGCATATTTATACCTAACAACTCAGTAAATATTGTTTGAATATCTGGGCTTTTAATGTCTATGCATATGTCATATTATGCATATCAGAATTTTCTGTCTGGCTTCTTTTGTTTTTTGCAGTAGCTCCTTTTTGATTATAAGCAATTTAATTGCAATATAACCATTACAGCTTCTACAACACAAAGGCTTCTTTTTCTTACATTTCGTGAAGTGTTTACTACCCAAATAATTTTAATGGAAAAACTGTAGTATTTACTATTAAAAGTTTGAGTGTTATATACGTATTTTCTCAGAATCACAATCACTGTTGCTAAAAAGTAGTTTTATCACTGGCTTGTTTGAACCAACCTAGTATAAATGGAATCTGTTAGAGTTTGATTTAAAATAAACATACCACAAACAAAATATTGCTAAACCCTGTTCCATAAAGCATGCATAGTGAACACATATACTCTAGTTATAGTTAATAATCATTGAAATGAAAATATCAATGCAGGCCGGGCTTTGTGGCTCACACCTGTAATCCCAGCACTTTGGGAGGCCGAGGCGGGCAGATCATGAGATCAGGAGATCGAGACCACGGTGAAACCCCGTCTCTACTAAAACACAAAAAAATTAGCCGGGCGTGGTGGCGGGCGCCTGTAGTCTCAGCTACTGGGGAGGCTGAGGCAGGAGAATGGCGTGAACCCAGGAGGTGGAGCTTGCAGTGAGCCGAGATTGCGCCACTGCACTCCAGCCTGGGCGACAGAGCAAGACTCCGGTTCAAAAAAAAAAAAAAAAAAAAAAAGAAAGAAAGAAAGAAAGAAAATATCAATGCAGGAAACATTTGTTTGCAAAAGAAGAGCTGTATATTTTGAATGAATGCTGCAGTATAGATATGAGGCACATTTAACTTATAAAAAAAGTGAAATTTATAATAGTGCATATATAAAATCCAGAATAATTTGTTTTGAAGATAAATCTGTTGAGCCTAATTAAAACTAGAAGTTCAACATGATAAATCTCATAGGACTATACTTTTTTCAAAATTACAAAATTTTTAGGATAAACTACTTTGTTTTATTTCAAAGATGCGAAAAGTTCTCTAAGGACCTTAAAGAGAGTTGTAGGGGTACCACCAGCCACAATGTTAATATATTAAGATACAATTATACCTGATAAGTGAATCTATAGTAATGATTGGTATTTAGAGAAGAGAGAGAACACTTTCAGATTGAGTTTCAGGAAATCTTTTTTTTTTTTTGACACCGAGTTTCACTCTTGTTGCCCAGGCTGGAGTGCAGTGGCGCCATCTCTACTCACGGCAACCCCCGCCTCCCGAGATCAAGCAATTCAACTCCCTCAGCCTTCCTGAGTAGCTGGGATTATAGGCATGCTCCAACATGCCTGACTAATTTTGTAGTTTTAGTAGAGACGGGGTTTCTCCATATTGGTCAGGCTGGTCTCGAACTCCCAACCTCAGATGATCCACCCGCCTCAGCCTCCCAAAGTCCTGGGATTACTTCTTAAAAGAGGTTAAAAAGAATATAGGTAGAATTTCCAACAGAGAAATAGGAAGGACATTGAAAGAGTGGATCCATATGGAGTGTGTTGAAAAGATGTTCAAAGTTATAGTTTAGGTTAAGTTCTTGTGGAAGATTAGTGAAAAAATAAATTAGTCAGAGTCCTAGGTTTTTGAAATCCCTTGAATTAAAAAGAGTTAAGAGGTTTGAACTTTGGTTAATAGAATTTTTTGAAGACAGAATGGAAAGCCCAAAGCAAATATCTTAGCCTGGGTTTCTAAGAACACAGAGCCTGAGGGTAAGCTTATATGCTTTTATTTTCTTAGGGAATGAATCTCAAAGCACAAAAGTGAGGGACAATGCATTGACACTGGGAAGGATAAAAAGCCTGAATGACACTGGTCGCTAACAACTGACTGCTCAAACCTTGAGGGGATGCCCTGAGAATCCTTGTAGACTCTGCTTGGACTGTTTCTCATGGAAAGAAAGAAGAAAGTAAGAATAGTTCTCAAATTACAATTGGTTAAACAATTTGAGAACAATTCTCAAATCACATTGGTTAAACATTCACACCATAAGTTGTTAATACTCCTGCTCTTTCAGATTATAAATTGGGCAAGAAATGAGGCAGTGTTAGATTGCACCTGTTTGAGGTTAATCAGAGCCTAAGCAGAGATGAGACTGGAAGAAGTGATGCCTGGATGATAGGAAATATGTAGGAGATTTCTGATAGTTGCGATATTTTAGGAAAACTGGTTTCATAGCATAATTGAGAAAAGGATATTGAAGACAGTAAGCCCAGTTAGAAAAATTTTAAAATAGCCCAGGTGAACATAGTGAAGAACTTTATTGACGTAGTGGTATTTGGAATAGGAAGAAAGGAGTGACTATGAAAAGGTACAGGCAAAATAAATTTTCAGAGCATAGCAGGTGACTGGATATGGGAATGTAAAAATAAATATGATATTACATATGTACGCCCTGATTTCAATAGTAACAATTTTCTAATCGTGTATATGAAGAGTGTAGCTAAAAAGATAACCCAGAATATATTCTCATTTTCATATTTAATAAATGTTTTCTGCTTTTTTCTTCAGAGTACAACTACAATTATAACCTCAGTCATTTTTGTAGTAACCCAAGGGGTTAGGAGATGACAGTTCTCTGAAGGCATGGTACCTATTTTTTTTCTTTCCCTGAAGTGTACGTTTGTGCTACATGATTAATAATTTATTTCAGATAGTTTATATGGACTATTTTTTAAGAAAAACAACTTCCTTTCACACATAAATACACACACATAACACACACACACACATAAACACAATGAATACGCATCTTGGCAAATGACCATTTCATGTGCTGGGGTGGTAGAAAATGTGGTTTGGGGCTTAAAACACAAAAAATCATGGCTTTCTTTTCACAAAAGTTATTGAACAACAGATTGACACCTGACATTACCTCTACCTCTGCTACCATGGCACCTTTTTTTATGAGCCATGGATCAATGAGAAGAGTAGCTGAGGAAAGAGGCTGACTGCTATTCACTTGATTATTAAAACCCTTTGCTGCTGAGGTCACCTTTTGGTGACTATTCACATGGGACACAAACACCTTCTTGTTCTCTCCCCCACACCCCCATACAGTGAGCTCTATCAACATAACTCTTCACCAGACTTCTTTATCACTATTTTTTCAGTCATGTTCCTTCCAAGTCCCTGACCATTCAGCCAAACCAGTGGATACAGCCCATGAGTTGGTATATTATCACACATCTGGCCACTTCTCCTTCCAAGCAAAGTGAACAATCGCTGTTGTTTGAGGCTGTCTCAGAAAGAGGCTGTAGTCCTGCAGCTGTCCACTTTAAGGTGGTGTGTACATGGTATATGTTGTACAGGCTCATTCGTTAACCAGACCTGAGTCTTCTTCCTCTGTTAAGTAATTTTTGGGAACTCCTCATGAGGTGATAGGCAGAGAAGGCAGTACAGCGAAAGTGCAGGCTAGGGGCATTGAAGCCATTTCATCATGTAACTTACTTGTTAGTTCAGGGTGTGATCATGTATATACCATTTTCATTTGTTGATAGAGAGCTGCTGATAACTTTAAAATTTATGGTTAGGTGGCTCAGATGACTGAGCCTCTGGCTTTAATGACATGAAGGTGACTGAGAGTTGTCTAGCCTGACATTTCAGTGAGAGATATGGAGTCTTCAGATGATCTTCCCCTATCTTGTGAAATACCTGACCATCAGGATAGCTGTGGTTTAGGACTACATATTAGACCATACAGCTGTAATAGTTTTGATTGCACTCTATGTTTCATTATTCATTGGAGAGCTGGTATCCACAATATCCAACTTCGTGTGTCAATATATCATGTGTTTAAACATTTGGAATTTTTGTAGGAAATGTGTTCTATACTGATGAGCATTTACTACTTTCTTCTACAAAATAGAATTAAAACTACATGAATATCATTGGGAAGTAAGCCAGACAGAGTTTATATGTGTATTTCAATAGTTTTAGTAAAGCATATCAGCTTATCAGGAGTCCTTATGTGCCACATTTTTATGTGAAAATCTTTTACCTGAAATGCCAGGTTTGTTAACTTCATAGGCATAAAGAGATTCAAGGCTGCCAATTGTCTACTGCTTTATAACTTGTATTGACTCATTAGGACTGACCTTGCAGATCCAAATATAGTATGGAAATATTACATTGAAGAACGTTAACTTTTTTTTTAGAATGGAGGTGTTCTTCCTTTCTCTGAAACCACTCACCTAGCCACTCTTAATATGTGTACATGGGTAATTTTGGAGGGAGTGTGTGGGGAAAGAATTACAATTTTATTTCATTTTTACTTTATTCTATAATTGCAACTTTTATTTTAGATTCAGGGATAATGCCAGATTTGTTACATGACTATATTGTGTGATGCTGAGGTTTGGGATACAGATGATCCTGTCACCCAGAGAGTGAGCATAGTACCCAGTAGGTAGATTTTCAAAGCTTGCCCCCTTCTCCCTTTAGTAATATTCAGTGTGTATTATTGCCATCTTTATGTCCATGTTTACCCAATGTTTAGCTCCCACTTATAAGTGAGAACATGTAGTATTTGGTTTTTTGGTCCTGTGTTTATTTGCTTAGGTTAATGGCCTCCAGCTACATCCATGTTGCTGCAAAGAACACGATTTTATTCTTTTTATGGCTAAATAGTATTCCGTGGTGTATATGTATGATATATTCTTTATCCAATCCTCTATGGATGAGCATCTAGGTTGATTTTCATATCTTTGTTATTGTGAACAGTGTTGCATTTTTGAATATATGTGTGCATGGGTCTTTTTGGCAGAATGATTTATTTTCTTTTGGATATATACCCAGTAATAAGATTGCTGGGTGGAATGGTAGTTCGAAGTTCTTTGAGAAATCTCCAAACTGCTTTCCACAGTGGCTGAACTAATTTAAATTCCTACCTACAGTGTATAAGCATTTCCTTTTCTCCATGGCCTCATCAGCATGTGTTATTTTTGACTTTTTACTAATAGCCATTCTGACTGGTGTGTGATGGTATCTCATTGTGGCTTTGACTTGCATTTCTCTAATAATTAGTGATTTTGATTATTTTTTCATATGTTTGCTGGCTGTTTGTATGTCTTCTTTTGAGATGTGTCTGTTTATGTTTTGTACATACTTCTCAATTTTTTTAAAATGCTTGTTGATTTGTTTAAGTTTCTTATAGGTCCTTTGTCAGATGCATAGTTTGCAAATATTTTTCCCATTCTGTAGGTTGTCTGTTTACTTTCCTGATAGTTTCTTTGCTGTGCCTAAGCTCTTTAATTAGGTCCCGCTTGTCAATTTTTGTTTCTGTTGCCATTACTTTTTAGGACAAAAAAAGAGCCTGAATAGCCAAAGCTATTCTAAATAAAAAGAACAAAGCCAGAGGTATTACATTACCCAACCTCAAACTATACTATAAGGTTACCCTAACCAAAACAGCTTGGTACTGGCAGAAAAAGAGACACCTCAATCTATGGAACAGAATAGGGAGCCCAGAAATAAAGCTGCACACCTACAGCCTTCTGATCTTCAACAGAGTCAACAAAAATAAGCAATGAGGAAAGGACCAAATTCAACAAACGGTGCTGGGATAACTAGCTAACCATATGCAGAAGATACATATACAAATACAAATATTACTAAAATATTATATTGCCATATACAAATATTAACTCAAGATGGGAAATTCTATATAATAACTTAATAAATATTTAGTCTTACAATCTATGACAAGGAAATGTATATCTCTATAAATATATACACTATGTAAAGTAATCTCTGTCCATTGAATAAAATGCCTCGTGAAACTTTAATATGTAACCACCTCAGGCTTTCTTCCTGCTTTAAACATCTCAAGGATTTCCCACTGAACTCAGAATGACATTCAAACTCCTTATCTTAAGTCTATTTCAATCTTCTTACTACTGTAGTCCCATCTCCCACTTCACACACCCTCGAAACTCCATTGAGCCTCCACGTGGCTGCTCTGTTCTTGTCATTCAGCTCTCTCCAGTCACATGTCATCTCCCCAGATGAAACCTTCCTGGCTATCAAATCCAAACGCCTCTGCAGTTTCTATTACTTCAGTGATTCTACCTTCTTGAGGAATACATCACCATGTGAAATGACCATTAATATTTTTACTGCCATGAGCAAGGACTTAAAGAGGGTTTGTACTGCCCTTTGGGGTATACAACAATCCTCCACTTGGTCTGGAATTTGAATTCAGAATGTCAGTGCCTGCTTTTACTCTCTGAAACTAAAGAATTTTATCTAAAGAAACAAGTTGCCTTCAGATCTTCTTTTACTCTCACAAATGAAACCAAGTCATGTAGATATGAATCAGATATGAAGTAATATTGAAAATATATTTGAATTGCATTTATATACTTTAATATAGAAAATTAAATGAATATCTATCTATCTATCTATCTAATACTTCTGATTTCTCTGAAATTTTTTTCCTGTTTCCAATATTATTCTGAGAACAATCCTGTAAGTTAAGGAAGTTTAAGAAGGCTGATATTTCCTGACTATAAGGAATACTTTTGTATATTTGAAATATTTAAAAGTGGTACAGTTTGCACATGAGTGTAGAGTTTACTGTAACTAAAGTATCAAAAAAACCTCGAGTCTTCTCTCAGAAACAATCTAAAAAGAATTATTTTAGTAGATGAGAAGTTACCAAAAAATCGTTTCTAAAGGTGACTTCCAAAATAATGATTTTTGCATATACTTTTTTAAAAAACATTCTTGGCTCCAAACATAAACTTCCTAGTGTACTGCTTTCCTTCTTTAGACTTTTCATATATATATATAAAATATTGTGTATTTTAATATGAGGAAAATATATTTTTATAGTATATATTATAAATATATAATATATTTTAAGACTGCATAAAACAACAAAAATCACATAAAAGCATAAAGTATAGGAATTCTTCCACATTTCCTTTATATTAATATACCTAATTTAGTTATGTAAATATATAGTATTTATATTGCTTTGTGGGCTTCACACCAGGAGTTCAAATAGTTTTTATTACAGGAAATGATACATTTGTATCTGTTTTTTTATTTGTTATTCTTTTTCTTAATACAATGGAAGAATCTCCAAGTTATTACCTTCAAAGTGGTCTTGTATTTTTAATTTAATGTTTTATTCAGGTATAATTGACACACAGTAAACTGTACATATGTACTTACAAAATTGTGTAAGTTTTGAAGTACGTGGGCATGGGTGAACTGTCACTATAATCATGATAATAAACATATCCATCACCCTCAAATATACCTTGTGCCCCTTTACAATAATATTTTTCCTACTGTTGTGAGCCCTGAATTCCCAAGAAACCATTCATTTACTTTCATTCACTGTTGAATTGTTTGCTTCTTTTATAATTATAAAGAATTTATACCATATATATATATTTATTTTTTGTGCCTTTAAACCACATTCTGAAAGCAAATACCTTATAATTTTAATCTTCATAAATTTTACCCTTTCTTTCTTGCTTTTATTGTAGTGAGAACACTTAACATGATATGTAGCCTCTCAACAAAGTTTTAAGTGTATAATACAGTATTGTGAACTCTAAGCACAGTGTTGCATAACAGGTCTCTAGAACTTATTCATCTTGTAAAACTGAAACTTTATACCCTTTGAAAAAGAACTCCTTATTTTTTTCTCACTGCAGCCCCTAGCAGTCATCTTTCTATTTTGTTTTTATGAATTTGACTGTGTTAGATTCCTCATATAAATGAAATCATGCAGTATTTGTCCTTCTGTGATAAGCCAATTTCACTTAACATAGTCCCTCCAAGTCCAACATGTTGCATATGGTACGATTTCCTTCTTTGTTAAGGCTGAATAGTATTTCATTCTATGTCTATGCCATGTTTTATTTGTCCATTTATCCATTGATGGACATTTAGGTTGCTTTCATATCTTGACTTTTGTCAATAATGCTGCAATGAAAATGAAAGTCCAGATTTTTTTGGAGATCATGATTTTAATATTTTGGATATATATCCAGAAGGAAGATTGTTGGATCATATATTAGTTCCATATTTAATGTTTTGAGAGATGTGACTATTGTTTTTATGGCAGATACTTCATTTTACATTCCCACCAGCAGTGTACAAGTG
This sequence comes from Homo sapiens, assembly GCF_000001405.40. NCBI lineage: Eukaryota > Metazoa > Chordata > Mammalia > Primates > Hominidae > Homo > Homo sapiens. Next base: position 184,711,135 of record NC_000002.12, read on the forward strand.
TTCCAATTTCTCCACATTATCACCAGCATTTTAATCTTTTGTTTACTTTTTTATAGTAGCCATTCGAACAGGAGTGTAGTGATATTTTGTTGTGGTTTTGATTAGCTTTTATTTGAGGATTAGTGATGTTGAGCATCTTTTCATATATCTGTTGACCATTTATATATTACTTTGGAGAACTGTTTTCTCACATTCTTTGTCCATATTTTAACTGGGATACTTGCTTTTTTGTTATCAAGTTGTAGAAGTTACCTGCATATTTTAGATATTGATCCTTTTTCAGATATATGTTTTGCAAATATTTTCTCCCATACTGTATGTTGCCTCTGCACTCTGTTGGTTGTTTCCTTTGCTGTGCAGAAGCTTTTAAGTTAGATGGAGTACTACTTGTCTATTTTTGCTTTTGTTGCTTGCACTTTTTATGCATATTTTAAAAAATTGCTTAGTCTAATGCCATGAATCTCTCCTTCTATGTTTTCTTTTATGATTTTTAATTAATCTTTAATCCATTTTATTTTGTGTATGGTGTAAGAGAAGCATCCAATTTTATTGTTTTTCATATGAATCCTCAGTTTTCTCAACACCATTTATTGAAGAGACTGTCCTTTCTCCTTTTTGTGTTATTGGCACCCTTGTCAAAGATCAGTTGACCATACATATATGGGTTTATTTCTGGGCTTTCTATTCTGTTCCATTATTCTGTCTGTCTATTTTAATTTCATTATTATACTGTTTTGATTACTATAGCATTGTAGTGTATTTTGAAATTCGGAATTGTAATGCGTCCAGTTTTGTTGTTCTTAAGATTGATTTGGATTTTGTGAATCCTTATGAATATTAGTATAATTATAATCTTTTTCTGTAAGAAATGCATTAGTATTTTGATAGGGATTTCATTGAATCTGTAAGTCTTCTTGAGTAATGAGGACACTTTACCAATATTAAGTCATCCAGTCCACAAACATGGGATGTCTTTTTATTTTTTTGTGATCTCTTTAATTTCTTTCATCAGAGTTATGTAGTTTTCAGTGTCCAAGTCTTTCAACTACTTGATTAAGTTTATTCCTATGAAGTTAATTCTTTTTGATGATATCAAGTGGGTGATCTTCCTGCCTCAGCCTCACAAAACAGTCTACTTAATTTTTGGTGGGGAGTTTTACCAGACATAGTATATTCCTGGGTTGCAATTTTTTTATTTCATCCTTTTGAATAGATAATCCCATTGTTTACTAGTCTGCAAGGTATTGCTAAGAAACCCATTGATAGTCTTATTGAAGCTCTCCCATACATGATGAGTTTATTTCGATGCTTTCAAAATTATCTCTTTGTCTTTAATGTCGACACGTTGGCTGTAATGAGTCTTGGTGTAAGTTAAACTTTTGGTTGATTCTGTCTGCAAACTTCTGAGCTTCGTAAATCTCAATGTCTATTTCTCTCTCTGTATTTGAGAAGTTTTGGCCATTATTTCTTTAAATAAGCTTTTGATTCCTTTCTTTTGTTCTTCCAGAACTTTCATAATGCATATATTAGTTGGTTTGATGGTGCCCGTAATTCTCTTAAACTTTCTTCACTCCTATTCATTCTTTTATTCTTTTTGTTTCTCTTATAATTTCTAATGACCTTCAAGCTTTCTGGTTCTTTCTTCTGATCAAGTCTGCTGTTGAACTACACTAGGAAATTTTTCAGTTTAGTTATACTCATCAGCTCCAGAGTTTCTCTTTGCTTCTTTGCATAGTTTCTGCCCTTTGTTGATATCCTTGATTTATTCCTGTATCATTTTTTTCTTATCTTATACAGTTGTCCATCTTTGTTTTTTGTAACTCACTGAGCTTCTTTAAAACAATTATATTGAGCGTTTATAAGGAAATTTATAGATTTCCATTTCTAATTTAGGTAACTGGAGATTTATTTATTTTTTAATTGAGTCATGTTTCCCCAATTCTTTTTGTTCCTTGTGGCTTTCCATTAGCGTCTGTATATTTGAAGAAATAGCCACCTCTCCCAGTCTTTACAGACTGGCTTCAATAGTAAAGGACCTTAACCAATCAGCCAAGTTAGACAGTCTAGATTACTCCTCAATGATTGTGACAAAGATGGCTATTTTTTTTCATGATCCAGTTCTATATGTTGCTCTGGGAGTCATTTCTGGGCAAGCCAGTTCTCCATATTCTCCACTGACTTTATATATGCACCTAGTTCCCTCTGTTATGTTATATTTGCCTAATATAGCTAAATTGAATTTCATTTTCTGCAACTAAAGCTTCATAAAATTATCCAAACCACGGTTTAATTTCACCATTATGTGGGAACTTACATGAACCATCTAAAAAAAAAGTATGTCTTCCATGAGTGATAATAGGTTGTATATGGCACTCTAATGATACTTGTCTACATAGTTGTACTTGTATTTCATATTTTCCTCTCTAGATCACAAAGTCTTGAAACAATAACTATGTGCCATATACCAACATGTACAGAACAATATCTAATTCTTAGTTTTGGAGAATATTTTAAGACAAAATAAAAGTATAGGCTATATCACAGGATTATCATTAAAAATTCTGGACAGTGAAAATATTAACAACGCATTTGTTTCTAAGATATTTCATTAGTAACTACGTGCTAGCTAGGAAACAACTATTAAATGCTGCCTTTTGTATTAAAATGCATACTGAGTACAAGGCAAAGAAAATTTGTCCTTAATGCAAAAGAGGAAATAATATGTTGTGTCAGATGAAATTAAATTCATATTTGGTTTGTTGCATATACAAAATAATATGCATGGGAAATTAAGTAAGGTCATTTTGAGATCTTTTTAAGCAACATGAAGAGATTTATTAAAAATAGGCTATGCAATAAGATTTTGTTTAAAAACACCGGTACAGAGAATAAATGGATTAAATATTTAACAGTTATAATAAATTACTCCACTGTATTTTAATGTTTTAACTTTAAATGCCTCTTATTAACTAGAATAATTTGTATATTATAGGGTGGTTAATTGTTAAATCATGTTGGAAAGTGGTTGATCTGCTTCAAATGGTTCCTAATTTGAATTAAAATACAAAAGTCATTCAGAAACATTCAGGTGCCTCCCTCTTACTTTGCTTTCTGTTCATCTTACTCCCTCTGACAATCCCAAATCAGCAGAAACAAATTACATGCACATGCACACACTATTCCTGGCTGCCAACATTTAAATGTCTCCATTTTATTTTAATGTTGGTAAACTATTAAATATGCATTACTACTCATATGTCTACAGCTACATTTCTAAAGTTTAGAATTGTTATATTCTGTTTCATTTTTATGTTAAAATATATTTACATTTGTTCAGTAAAAAGCTGGCATTGCATATTTTCAAGGATGACTTCTACAGCTTGTGAATTATTCCAAGTGACTGATAGGATACAGTCAATAAATGAAATTATCTAAAAAGTGCTAAGAAAGCATTCAGAGAACAGTGAATGTGAAGAGTGGCTTGGTTGCTGTAGTGTTGTGAATGAGCATTAAAAGAAATAATAAGGTCCACACAATTTTTCGAGTAAGGTAACTTGTCTACATAGTTGTATTTGTATTTCATATTTTCCTCTCTAGATCACAAAGTCTTGAAACAACAACTATGTGCCATATACCAACATGTACACAACAATATCTAATTCATAGTTTTGGAGAATATTTTAAGACAAAATAAAATAAAAATATTTCTTAATGTGAAGGACAATCCAAGACTGAATACATTTTATAAATGACAGAGAGAAAGGAAATCTGGCATTACTGCTTTCCTTTATACCTTCTTCATACTCAGAAGAAGTAAATATTGAAGGATGAGTCTTCAAAAAGGTCGGAGTTAGTAAAAGTTTCTCTCTGGCTTTAGCCTTCTTCCATATAAGGCTGGTAGCCAGACTAAGAACTTAAATACCCTGTGTCCCACGAGAGTAGCCTAAGGAAAATCTTGGACACTTTTTCACAAAATTGCAAAAGGTTCCTAAGTATCAATTTTTGTAGTCTTCAGGATTCAAGATTCAAAATAGCTTGGGGACTAACTGTTCTGGACTTATAGAATGAGTGTAATTTGGACAAGACCTATTATTGGGTAATGAGGACTAGGTGACACAGACATAAGTTATTGAGTACTCATGAAGTTTAGTTAAAGTGCAGTTAAAGTGTTCACTTCTGAAAATATGCCCACATTTGTGACTGAGTTTTATAGTTCTTTACCTTACTCTAAGAATAATAAAAGATATAAGTGCAACATTTTTTTTAAAGAGACATGGTCTCACTGTGTCACCCAAGCTGGAGGGCAGCAGGATGATCATGGCTCTCACTGTTACCTTGAATTCTGGGCTCAAGTGATCCTCTCATCTCAGCCTCCCACATATAGCTAGGACTACAGGCATATGCCACCATGCTCAGCTGATTTTTTAATTTTTATTTTTTAATTCTGGTAGTGATGAGGTCCAGCTATGTTGCCTAGGCTTATCTTGAACTCCAGAGCTTAAGCCATCAACTCGCCCCAACCTCCCAAAGTGCTGATATTATAGGCATGAGCTACTGTACCCAGCCACATCCGATACTTTTTAAAAGACAATTATTCTATCATGTTCTTAAATATTTCTATAACTTTATCAATTTTTATGAGTATTTTGGTAAATTATTAATTTCTAAAAGAAACACTGAGTATAGGGGACTGATAAGGAATTACAATATGTTTACATTGTTAGTTTTTCACTAAATCTGCTTTGCTTCACGCGGGTTTTGGCTCATAATAGGCATTCAACTAATACATTTTTAATGAATGAATAAGTTCAAGCAGATGCTCTAACATTGTTTCACGCCAACAGGTCTAATGCATATAAGAGCAACATTTGGGAGAATGAGCCCAACCAAAATCCATTATTCCTATCAGTTTTGTAACTTGTAAATAGTGAGTTGTGTTTAATTTAAATTACTTAGAAGAAATATCAGAAGGCATTATATAGCTTTTAATTTTAGTAAACAGAAATAGAACAATGAGAAAACCAAAGAAGCATTATGACTCCAGAATCATAAAATTTGAGGAATGTAACTATAATTATATACCTTGCCATTTTCATGATTATGAATGTCTGGTAGTACTTTCTTCATGTATTTTCCTAAGCCAGTACTTTCACATTTTTGTAATGGTATTGCAAATAGTATCTTATATTCTGTTTTATCTAATATTTTGATATAAGTATTTTATATTTTCTTTTAGTAATGTAATAATATATGAATAATCAATGCAATATTTACACAATTCATGATTTACAGATTATTAAAATCAGTAAAAATTGCAATTGGCGAAAAGGCACATAATATAAAAATTTTGCAATATAGTAAGTGTTACAGTAATTTATCTTTAAGTAACTCCTGATGGCAGTAATGTGCTCACGATTTCTAGGCTTGTGGGATCTAAAATAAAAGACAGGATGAATTAAATATCTCAATTTTGTGTAAGAATATCATATAATTTAAACACATAAATTATTGAATGCTTACATGGAGTGAATAACTTTTAGTTATTTGAATTTTAATACTACCCAAGACAAATATTATATGAGCCAAATACTAGACAAGACAAATTCTAGCAGCAGGTTTAAGAAGTGTTTTAGTTGGTTTGTGTGTGTGTATATGTGTGTACACGCAACTGAGTTTGTGAACATGAATGTAAAAATATTCAAGATTATAACTAGTGTGAATGGAGAGAAGAAAATAATTTTTTGTTTGTATTAAATGTCAGATTTTCTTTTTGTACTTCGTACATGTTAATAAACTTTATACTCCTCCAACTGTCCTCTTTTGACCACAGTGTAGAACACCCTGGAAGAGCCTAGGTGGAAACCCTGTCATAACTCCTCTCTAAAATCATAATATAATAAACACCAAGCACTACAGGCATCCCATCCTGGCAGGGTATCAGATGTAAAGACAAACGAATTAGACATAAATAAATAATTTGAATTATGATTTACTGAAATTTATTGAAAAATGGCAGATGGAGATAATATTTATAAATTACTATGCTTCTTAAAATTAGTTTTTGTACGTCTCTCTCTCATGATCCTTCTTGTGCAGCAACTGCCCTGAAATCTTTTCATTTATTTTTGTCTTCCCAGTTTTTTAGAATTATTTTCCCAAATTTCTTTCAATTATGTACTCTTACCTTTCTCCAGATTCTTTTTTTTAGATCTATTTGCTGTTGTTTTGTTGGTTTCATCAGTAACTCTGTCCTGCTGTTCCAAAATAATTTTTCAACATCCTTTTAAGGCACCTCAGTGCTTCCCTTTACCCAGTTTTCAAATTCTTCACAGTAAATGTCCAGGTTTCAAATTGGCAAAACTAGAATTCTTTGTGTTGAATACAAGATAGGAGAGAAGAGAGATACTGTGAATTCACACAAGTAAGATTCTCTTTTGCCGCCATCCATTACAAGAACTGTGGAAAAGGGTTATTGCATTACATGTAAGTTGGCAAACAAACCATGGTCACTTTTAGAGTATACTCATAATTATATGTATTTTATTTTATTTTTATTGAGACATAATATTTGTGCATGTTTATGGAGTACATGTGATATTTCGTTACATGCATATAATGTGTAATGATCAAGTCAGGTTATTTAGTGTGTCTATCACTTCAAGTATTTATCATTTCTATTTGTTTTTAACGTTTCAAGTCCTCTCTTAAAGCTATTTTGAAATATACATCATATCAAATGGGGAAAAGCTCAAAGCTTTTCTCTAAGAACTGGAACAAGACAAGCATGCCTGTTTTCACCCTGTTATTCAATATAGCATTTGAAATTCTAGCCAGGACAATCAGGCAAGAGAAAAAAATAAAAGGCACCTATATTAGTCCATTTTCATGCTGCTGATAAAGATATACCTGGGACTGAGCAATTTACAAAAGAAAGAGGTTTATTGGACTTACAGTTACACATGGCTGGGGAGGCCTCATAATCATGGTGGATGGCAAAAGGCAAGTCTCACATGGCAGCAGACAAGAGAAGAGGATTTGTGCTGGGAAACTTACGTTTTTAAAATCATCAGATCTTGTGAGACTCATTCACTGTCAGAAGAACAGCACAAAGAAAACCCACCCCCATAACTCAGTCACCTCCTACTGAGTCCCTCTCACAACACATGGGAATTCAAGATGAGATTTGGGTGGGGACACAGCCAAACCATATCATTCCACCTCAACCACTTCCAAATCTCATGTCCTCACATTTCAAAACCAATCATGCCTTCCCAAGAGTCCCCCAAAGATTTAACTCATTTCAGCATTAACTCAAAAGTCCATAGCCCAAAGACTCATCTGAGACAAGGCAAGTCCCTTCTACCTATGAGCCTATGAAATAAAAAGCAAGTTAGTTACTTCCTAGATACAATGGGGGTACAGGTACTGGGTAAATATAGCCAATCCAAATAGGAGAAATTGGCCAAAACAAAGGTGCTACAGGCTCTATGCAAGTCCAAAATCCAGTGGGCAGTCAAATCTTAAAGCTCCAAAATGATCTCCTTGACTCCATGTCTCACATCCAGGTCACGCTGATACAAGAAGTGGGTTTTCATGGTCTTGGGCAGTTCCAACCCTGTGACTTTGCAAGGTATAGCCTCCCTCCTGGCTGCTTTGACAGACTGGCATTGAGTGTCTGTGGCTTTTCCAGTTGTGTGGTGCAAGCTGTTGGTGGACCTACCATTCTGGGGTCTGGAGGACAGTGGCCCTCTTTTCACAGCTCAAGCAGGCGGTGCCCCAGTGGGGATTCTGTGTGGGGATTCTGCATGGGGGCTCTGACCCCACATTACCTTGCCCTTCCCCCACACTGCCCTAGTAGAGGTTCTCCATGAGGGCCCCATCCCTACAGCAAACTTCTGCCAGGGCATTCAGGCATTTCCGTACATCTTCTGAAAACTAGCTGGAGGTTCTCAAACCCCAGTTCTTGACTTTTATGCACTTACAGGCTCAATACCACATGAAAGCTGCCAAGGCTTGGGGATTACACCCTGAAGCAATAGTCTGAGCTGTACCTTGGCCCGTTTTAGTCACGGCTGGGGCAGCTGGGATGCAGGGCACCACATCTCTAGACTGCACACAGCAGAGGGACCCTGGGCCCCACCCATGAAACCATTTTTTTTTTCTCTTACACTTTCAGGCCTGTAATGGGAGGGGCTGCCACAAAGGTCTCTGACATGCCCTGGAGACATTTTCCCATTGTCTTGGGGATTAACATTTGGCTCCTCATTCATTATGCAAATTTCTGCAGCTGGCTGGAATTTCTTCCCAGAAAATGGGATTTTCTTTACTATCATGTTGTCAAGCTGCAAATTTTCGGAACTTTTATGTTCTCCTTCCCTTATAAACCTGAATGCCTTTAACAACAAGCAAGTCACCTTTTGAATGCTTTGCTGCTTAGAAATTTCTTCCACCAGATACCCTAAATCATCTCTCTCAAGTTCAAAGTTCAACAAATCTTTAGGGCAGGGGCAAAATACAGCCAGTCTCTTTCCTAAAACATATCAAGGGTCACCTTTGCTCCAGTTCCCAACAAGTTCCTCATCTTTGTCTGAGACCACCTCATCCTGGATTTCATGGTTCATATCATTATCAGCACTTTGGTCAAAGCCATTGAACAAGTCTCTAGAGAGTTCCAAACTTTCCCACATTTTCCTGTCTTCTTCTGAGCCTTCCAAAATGTTCCAACCTCTGCCTCTTACCCAGTTGCAAAGTCACTTCCACATTTTTTGGTATCTTTTCAGCAGTGCCCCACTCTTCTGAATATCAATGTAAAGTATTATTTTGTTTTTACACTGCTGATAATGTCATGTCCAAGACTGGGCAGTTTAGGAAAGAAAGAGGTTTATTGGACTTACAGTTCCACATGGCTGGGGAGGCCTCATAATCATGGCAGAAACTGAAATGCACACCTCATACAGTGGCAGACAAGAGAAGACGTTTTGTGCAGGGAGACTCCTGTTTTTAAAAGCATCAGATCTCATGAGACTCATTGACTATCATGAGAACAGTGCAGGAAAAACCCGCTCCCATAATTCAGTCACCTCCCACAGGGTCCCTCCCATAACACATGGGAATTCAAGATGAGATTTGGGAACAGACACAACCAAACCATATCAACACCCAACTTGGAATATAAGAAATTTATATTGTTCCTTTTTACTTATGACACCTTATTGTAGAAATACCTAAAGACTTCATAAAAACACTTTTAGATCTGATAAATAAATTCAGGAAAATTGCAGGATACAAAATCAACATACAAAAACCAGTAATTTTTCTACACACCAATAATGAACTAGCTAAGAAGAAAATCAAGAAGGCAATCTCACTTATACTAACTCCATAAATAAATAAAATACCTAGGAATGAATTTAACCAAGGAGATAAAAGACCTCTAGGAGTAAACTATATATTTCTGATGAATAAATTAAAGAAGACAAAAACAAATGGAAAGATGTCTTATAATCATGGATCAGAAGAAATAAAACCATTAAAATGACGATACTACCCAAAGCAATATACAGATTCAGTGCAATCTCTATCAAAGTACCGATGTCATTTTTCACAGAGATAGAACAAAAAAATTCTAAAATCTGTATGGTATCAAAAAGACCTCAAATAGCCAAAGCAATCCTGACTAGAAAGAACATCACATTACCTGACTTTAAGATATAGTACAAGGCTATAGTAACCAAACAGCATAATACTGATACAAAAACAGATACATAAAGCAATGCAATAGAATAGAGAACCCATAAATAAGTCCATATATTTGCAGCCAACTGAATTTTGACAAAGGTGCCAAGAACATACACTGAGGATAGGACACTTTCTTCAATAAATGATATTGGGAAAATTTGATACCCATATACAGAATAATAAATCTGGACTCCTATTTCTGATCATATACAAATATCAACTCAAGATGAATGAAAGACTTAAACATAAGACTCAAAACTATTAAAATCCTAGAAGAAGACATAGGGGAAACACTTCTGGAAATTTGCCTAGGCAAAGATTTTGTGGCTAAGACCTCAAAAACACAGTCAATAAAAACAAAAATTAGACAAATGAGACTATATTAAACCAAAAAGTTTCTGCACAGCAAAGAAAGCAATCAACAGAGTGAAAAGACAACCTGTTAAATGGGAAAAATATGTGCAAACTATTCATCTAACAAGGGACTAATGCCTAGAATATACAATGAGCTGAAACAACAGTAAAAAAATAAATAAAAGTGAGCAAAGGACATTCATAGATATTTCTCAAAATAAGACATACAAACGTCCAACAGGTATATAAAAAAAAATGCTTAACATCACTAGTCATCATGGAAATGCAAATTAAAACCACAATGAGTTATCATCTTACTCCTGTTACTATGGCTGTTATTAAAGCTACAAAAAAATAACAGGTGCTGGTGAGGATGTGGAGAAAAGGGAACTCCTATACACTGTTGGTGGAAATGTACATTAATATAAGCATTATGGAGAATAGCATGTAGTTTTCTCAAAAAGCTAAAGCTACAAATGGAACGACTGTACGACCCAGCAATCTCACTAGTGTGTATTTATTGAAAGGAAATAAAATCAGCATCAAAAACATGCCTTTATTCCCATGTCTTTTCCAGTACTATTCAAAATAGCAAAGATACAGGATCAGCCTAATGTCTATCAATGAATAAACTGATAAAGGAAATGTGATATATATACACAATGGAATTCTAGGTCATAAAAAAATGAAATCATGTCATTTGCAGCAACATGAGTGGAGCTGGAGGGCATTATGTTAGGTGAAATAAGCGAGGCATAGAAAGACAAAGTTTACATGTTCTTATTCATACGTGGGAGCTAAAAGAGTTGTTCTCATCGAGGTAGAGAGTGGAATGATAGACACTACACTCTGAGAAGAGTGTGTGGGTGCGCGTGTGTATGGGTTGGGGGGGATGAAGAAACATCATTTTGACGTAAAAAAAGCTTATGTAAAAATAAATTCATGTTCTCCACTGCTTTCTTAATCATGTTATGCTTAAGTAGACAGTTGTGTGTCTACATCTGCAGCAAATAATTTAAGAGTTGCTTAGTAATTAATACTTAGAACAATGTAAGTAAATCATCCGATGATTTAAAATGTTCTTCTTTATGCCGTGTTTAAGATGGCTGGAAAATAAATGGTGTACATCGAAATTTTACATCTGTGAAGTTTATGTTTTTAGAATTTTGAGTTAAACATGGCTATCTAGGAAATGTGAATACATTACAAAATCTACTGTGAATGTTTCTGAAGACAGAAGTTTCATTCTGAAATTTCATATCTATAAATAAACACAATGAATCCAATTTACCAATTATATTTATAATTATTGAAGAAAAGTCCAGAGTTACCTTCAGAGAACTTAGAGAGGGAGGTTACTATACGCAATAGTGACGTATGAATTGGTTAAATATGTGTTCTGAAAGTCAAATAACACCACTGATACGTGTTCAACAATGAAAGTTATAACTTATGGTTTGTATACCTGTAACTTTGATGTTACAATGACTCTATACTCAGAATTAAGGTGAAATGTCATTTATCTTTTCTAGATGTGATCGCTAATTTAACCTTGAAATGCATTATTCAAAATAATTCTCCCTAAGAAAATTTCATCAGAATGTGAAACTCTGACATTGATGGAGATCATAGATGAGTTTTAAAATTGCTTCATGTTAACGGTATTTACCCTACAGGAAAGTTTAGGCTTCATTTAAAGTGTGCAGCCATTCAAAACAGTGTTACTTTGCCTAGGCTATTAAGGTAATCATCCAATTTAAGAATATATTACTGTGAAGACACCATCTGGCATAATACAAAATCTGAAGGCTAGGCTTAGTTTTAGTATGGATTTTTAGAGAAATCATCGAGTAACATGGATAATCTGTTAAATAACCCTGTACCATGTTAAAAATTACCACAGAAGGTAAAATAGATACATACACACATTACAGTATATTCCTTTTTCATTTAATAGAAACTTATTCTAAAATATATGCTTAAAGCAATGATATATTCAAGTAGAGAAAGGTTTATATGATAGAAATTTTAAAATATCTAAATTACTGACTCATATCACATAATTAGCAACAGGCTCGCGTGTATCACTGTGATTGACATACAAGAATTTTCTCCAGTTGGAAGAAATGGTCATTTTATGGCTCAATATTAGAATAAGATGATTTTCAAAATGTTTAATTTTTTTTAAATTGGGAGAAAAATTAAAACAAGTATATTTGGATTAAAATGTCATTTCATTTTGCATACATCATAGAAGTTACTTTGGGCTGTATTGTAACTATAAATACTGAAGCTGATTTTCCTGCATGGATATCAGTTTCATTATTTTATAGGAACACCATTCAACCATTACATATTAGTGTTTTCATCCGAAGTTGTAAAAACACAGGTTACTTTAATGAAAACATTTTTTAAGTAAGCTCTTTATTTCAGTTAAGTATTGGCTTATTGCTTTCAGTCTATATATTGGTCTGTTAAATGTATATTTTGATCACTGTGAAAACAGCAATGATTTTCCATACAAGATTGTGTAATCCCTAGCAAAACTGTAATGATTTTGGTCACTAGATTGGTCTGCAATGGTGTAGGTATTTGGGGATTTCTATATTCAACAAAGTATTTATTTTGCTTCTGTTCTAACACTTAATTATGTATTAGAAGGACAGATACATAGATGGATGGATTTTAAAAATCTCTTTTATTCTTAAAAAGTTAGTTGACATATTGACATGAAAATTAACATACTTAGAAATTAATGAAGATCCTTATATACTGTAGAATCTGTGAAGTTCAACATAGTTTTGGCAGTTGTTATATATCTCTTATAATATTGTGCTTATTCTTTTACTTCTATTTCTCTTCCTCATCAAAATCTCCTAGCACTCATATGTGAATTAAATTTTTCTAAGCTATGCACCAGGAAAAGGCCATTGTAATCCTGCTTCAAGCAGCTGGTAGTAAAAGAAACACATTAATAAACTGTGCATAAATTCTTAAAAGATGGAAGAAGAAATGGCTTTGAATTACATTTATTACTTTATGTAAGTAAATGAAGTACCGCATGTAGAATATATGTATTTAATGCTCTATGTACATTTATTTGTCTTAAGTGAAGAAAAATGATAGCTGCTATAATTTAAAAATGTACACGATTTTGAAATCATGATATTTCCCATAGGAAGCACAAAGAGAACATCATGGATGTGATATGATTATCTAAAAATGAAGACAGGCAAAGAATCAGAGAGTTCAGAGAGTTTCCCAATACAGAAATTCACGGAAGCATGAGAAATCTTGGGAGGATGTGCATTATATAAATGAAAAGATACTAAGATACTACTGTATTATTAGATCGAGGGAATATTAGTCACTGAATAATAGTCACTCTGTTATTGGCAAACTCTTGCTAAACCCAGATCTTGTGCTGATGTCTGATTCTATAAGTATGAATAAGAAAATATTCTACTCTGAGTCCACCATCTAACTACAAAGAAGGGCATGTAAATAAGTGAATTACAAGGCAATTAAAGCAGCACGGGAAATGTATGCCTATTGCAGGAACGACACAAAAAAAGACGTGAGAGTATGGCTAGAAATTTGTCAAATAGCAAAGTAGTTTTATAAGCAGCAATAGTAACATGTGGAAAGGCTTAGTTAGAGAGATGAAATAATGTGGTAATTTTAAGGCAGTAGGCTGATGCCTAAATTTTAAGATAAGAGTAATGTGAAAGAGTTGCATTTCTCATTGATGCAGGGTATTTTAAAAATTAGTGAATACATACAGTTATTCCTAGGGATTTATAATTATTTTTTGAGAATTAAGGCTTTCACTATTGAATATTAGAATAAGACACAGTGATTAGCTACTAGGACTAGTTCTGCATATTGATTTGCCTGTTAAATATAGAATGACCTTTGGAAATTTCTTAGCTTGTCTAAATCTATTTTTACCTCCTATAAGAAGAGAATAACAGTGCTTACATGTAAGGTTGCTGTAAGTATACATAGAGAGTGCTACTGAAGCATGTAAGAGTTGATTATTTTTTAATATAACGGTTATGGTTTTGAAGAAAATATTTAAATCATATTTCTATGTTAGCCAGCATCAGTATGATCTTCTCTTCTTAATAAAATTTAAATATGCAATGTTATCTTTAACTATGTAACATTTTATTTTATAAAGTAAATATAAAATAATATGACTCTACCATCAATTTGAATAAACTTCACCTACTCTAATAATAATTTTCCACTGCACAACTTGTTTGTAATTACCCATTTTGAAACTTTCATTTAGGAATATTTATAGACTCACAGAAAGTTGCAAAAATAGTACTGAGAGGTCCTGTATACCTTTCATCCAGTTTCCCCCACTGGCTGCATCTTCCATAACTGTAGTATAATATGAAAACCAGAAAATAACCAAGATGTAAAGTGTGTGGGTAGTTCTATATCATTTTACCACATAGGTAAATTTGTGTAACTACCACTGCAATCAAACACAGTATTATTTCACCACCAAGAAGCTCTGCCTGATGCTACCCCTTTATCCCCTTTATAGTCACACCCTCCTCTCCCCTACTCATCACTGCTAATCCCTGGTAACCACTAATGTGTTTTAGATCTCTGTAATTTGTTATTCCAAGAAATCATATAGTTTCTGAATCTTTTGAGTTAGAATTTTTCATTCAGCATGATGTTCCTGAGATACATTTAAGGTGTTTGCATTCATTTAGAGATGATAGCTTTCTAGCAAAGTAATATTTTATGGTATGGATGCACCACAGTTTGCTTAAACATTCACCCACTGTAGGGCATTTTGGTTGTTTCCAGTTTGGGGCTACTGCAAATGAAACGGCTATGAACAATAATATACATGCTTTTGTAAAGAAATAAGTTTTCTTCATTTCTCTGGATAAATGCCCAGAAGTGCAATTGCTAGATTGTATGCTATGCGTATTTCTAGAGTTTTAAGAATCTTCCCATTTCCCAGAGTGTTTGTGCCATTTTACAATCCCACCAGCAATGTATGAGTTTATCCACATAAGTTTCAGCATTTGGTATTGTCACCATTGTTTGTTTTATTTTAGCTCTTCAAATAGGTACACCTCATTGTGGTCTTAAGATACTCATATAAAATGAAAATATTCATTTTTGTAGGAACATATTTCTGAATAGGTAAAAATACCTTTATCTTTTCTAAATAAGGTATTGAATTGAAATTTGGAAAAATAAAATTCTGCTACATTATCAGAGAACTGTCGAAATTCAGAGAGAAAAAAAAATGTATTTCCAATTGGATAGGGCTGAAACCAGAATTTTGGACGAGAGTTAAGAAGCATTTCAAATTGTCATGAGAAAATAAATAATTACATAAATGCATTTCACGTATATCAGTGACAATTAAAAAAACAGTCAAACTAGCCAGTAATTGTTCTTCGTATTAAAATTGCATTCGTTATCCATCCTTCTGCAACATGACTCCAAGAATTTACATTTATTATTTAAATATATATCTTAAAAATACTTTTGTAAAAATACACAGTTATCCCTTGAATAAATGCCTTAGGTCTTAGGAAAGTATATACCTTGTAACAGTTTTGATCTAAAGATGCTAGCTCCATAGTCCCTAAATTTAAAAAAGAAAGGCCTATGTGCAAAACATTAAAAGAACAATTGTTTTTAGTATAATGCATGTTAATACAGCATAATAATAGTAAAATTTAGAAGTTGAATGCTCTAGCACTACAAACATTGAGGAGTTACGTGGAATTGGAAAATAGTCTCCTTGGTAATTTAACCAAAGTAAACCTTATCTATAAGCAAAATAACACATAAAACATAACATTTTCTTTGCATTTTCTTAAAAGGAACTTTATATTTTTCAGAACATATGTTAGCATTTCATTTAGGGTCTTATTAAAAATGCCCTGGCATTTCTGTTTGTCTGAATAGAATTTCGCTCCCTCACACATCTTGAGCATTATAAAATACCACATTAACCTTTCTCACAGAGCTTGGCATAATACAGAAGATATACTCTTCCAGGAGAATGTATTATTCATTAAGTAAATAGTGGAAGCAATATGAAAGAATTGTCTGAGTACTAAAATTTAATCAAAGCAATTAAAGTCAAAGGTGTTAATATATTACCAGACATATCAGAGTCATTAAATATTGTTGGTCTCTTCCTGCAGGAATGAAATGGACTCCTACTTCAAGTACTCAGCTAAACTTTTATTATGCCTCATTATTTTTCTACTAACTCATGATGCCTAATTTAGTCCAAGTACTATGTATAAGATACATTTGATTTTATATTTTTCTGTTTGTGTATATCTTATAAATAATTTTTAACTATTTTAGTACCACTTTACAGATCTAAGATGATAATATCCCAGAGAAAATATTTAAACATAACTAGAAATAATTTTATATACCAGGAAGTTAATAATTTTCACAGCAAAAGTATTGCATGCAATGCTTAATGATTTAATAGGGGATACTCACATGCCAAATGCTATCTATTTAATTCTACTAAACACTTACTTATAGTCAAATACAGTATAAGAAGTGATCAGTTTATGAGTATCTACAGTGTGGCAGATTCCATCTTAGATAGCTTGTTCTCAGAATTTCATTTGGTATTGTTATTATTGGCATTTTGCAAATTAAACTCAGAGAATAATCTGCCCAAGAACATTCAACTGGTAAATGGCAAACACGGTCTGTGAATTGAGAATATATTAAAAATAGCATTGGGTGGTTATTAACTGTGGATAACCAGATGCAGTAACAGGAAGTAATCAACATATAGCAGTCAGATGACCCATACCTAAAAATATACTAGTTGAGTAACGCTTGTGAGTAGAGTTTTCAAATGAAAATCTATTAAAAAATGAAGAAGGTATTTACACATGCTGCTCTTTATAAAAAGGAAAGACATAATGCATTAAATCACCAGAAATAGAAATAACCAACTCGAGAAATATTTCTGAATTCCGAATATGAACAGGCATCTGAGGATACAAATATTAATAACATTTTAGAGACTATTTTCCAGTTCCGTGCAATTTCTCAATGTTATGGGATGATACACAAAAATTAAAGCTGATTTCTCACTTTGAGCTATGCCATATTTTGATGTTTTTAATCACAATGAGTAAGAAAACTCAGATCATTAAATGATGGAGATAATTTGTATTATTACTTCTATGCTTTATCAAACTAGTTCCCAGCAATAGTCAGCAAATATCCATGTTGTTTCCAGCTTTAAGCCTGTGATTTCAGAATGGGTAATAAAGAAGATGATAGGACTTTGCACCTAGAGATTCCTTCTGGTCTGACAGACTGTCTGAAGATGGGTGGTATTCTAATTCCTCAGTACAGAAATCTGAGCCATGTGGATAACTGTTATAATTCTCTGATTTCACTTGTGACATTGGAAGAAGTTTCTTTCTATCCTGAAATGGAAACATGAAAAATAAGCCAGCATAATTTTCAAAAAGAGATCTTGATTTAGCTTGCTTAAGAAAAAAAATAATAACAGTGTGTTAGTCTCTTTTTCTTCCTTTAAAAGTAAAATGTTATATATACTACATTTTTTATACACAATACAATACTATTTGGCTATTTTAAAAAAGGAAATGGTCTTATTCGCAACAACATGGATGAACCTGGAGAACATGATATTAAGTGAAATAAGCCAAGCTCATAAAAACAAATACTGAATGATTTTACTTGTATGTGGGATCTAAAAATGTCCAATTCACAGAAGCAAAGACTAGACTAGTGGTTGCCAGAAGCTAGAGGGTTAAGGGATTGGGGAGATGTTACTGAAATAACACAAAATTTCATTTAGACAGGAGGAATAACTTTAAGAGATCTATTGAACATCACAGTGAGAACAATATATTGTATATACTAAAATTACCAAAAGAATAAATTTTAAGTGCTCTCAACACAAAATATAAGTATGTGAGGTAATTCATATTTTAATAGCTTGATTTAGCTATTCTACAATGCATATATATATATTAAAAATCATGTTGTATGCCATAAATATATACAATTTTTACTTGTCAATTAAAATAATTTTTTTTTAAGTAAAATGTTACTTCCTGAAATTAAAGGGTCTCAGCTCAGTAAGAAATACCTCATGATCTCCCATAAAAACATGAGTATATGCCAACAGTGAAACCATCTTTAAATATATTGCATTTGAAATGGAACCCATGATTTCAAATCAATCAGTTGGTTCAGTTCAGTCAGATTCTTGTTTTCAAAATTAAGTATTCTAATTTCCTCAATGTTATCTCTTGTAAGCCAATTTACTCATCCAAAGTAATCTGAAAATCATATTGCTGTGCAAATCATTGAATGCAAAGTGAACAAAAAAATAGATTTATTCAGTTGATGGAAATGAGTTGCTTAATCAAACGTTGAATATAGACTGTAGAAATCATTTTGTTACTGACACGTTTTTCCTCAACTCTATGTATTTATGTAGCACTTATTACTATAGTGTCTAGATATCTTGACAAATGTGTCATGCCAACATAAAACACTATAGTCTCTGGCCAAGCCTATGGAAATCCATATGGCACACTGAACTATTCAAAAGCAAACACAAAAGTAAATCACCCTGTGTGATCAGGCATTGAATATTATCCTTAGCTTATCACGGTATGAATTTCTCTTTGCATGCCTGTCCCAAACACTCATGGAGTAAATATGTGCCATGGAAATTACTAGTATTGGTCCTGACTCATAGTATATGACCAATAAATGGTAACTACTACTATTAATATAACTACTAATA
Source organism: Homo sapiens (assembly GCF_000001405.40). Classification (NCBI taxonomy): domain Eukaryota; kingdom Metazoa; phylum Chordata; class Mammalia; order Primates; family Hominidae; genus Homo; species Homo sapiens. The sequence goes on from NC_000002.12 coordinate 184,730,048, forward strand.
TGGTTGCCATTACCTGAACAAACTCCTTAAGAGATTATTTTGGTAAAATCAAGATTCAGCTAAATCTCAGGGATTTTTTTCTTATTCTTTAATTTTAATAAGCTTATAATATCCTCTAGGTAATTGATTATAAAGACGATTTTCTTTAACTTGGTTACCATTTTTTAACAGTATTTTTTTTAGAATAGTTTTAGGTTCACCACAATATTGAGCAGAAAGTACAGAAATTTCCTACACACTCCTTGTCCCTGTGTATCCATAATTTATTTCATTATCAACAACCCCTACCAGAGTAGTATATTTGTTAAAATTGACGAATATACACAGACACATCATTATCACCTGGAATCAATAGTTTGTGTTAGGGTTCACTTGTTGTTATACATTCTATGGGTTTTGACAAATGTATAATGACAGGCATCTGCCACTGTAGCATCATACAGAGTAATTTCACTTCCCTAAAAAATATTTTGTGCTGTATTCAACCTTCCCTTTCCCCCACACCTGGCAACTACTGATCTTTTTACTGTTTCCCTAGTTTTGACTTTTCCAGAATGTCATATAGTTTGAAGCACAGTATGTAGCTTTTTCAGATTTGCTTCTTTTACTTGGTGCTATGTATTTATGTTTCCTCCATATCTTCTTGTGCCTTGATATCTCATTTCTTTTTAGCACTGAATAATATTCCATTGTCTGGATGTGCCATGGTTTATTTGTCTATTCACTTACTAAAGAACATCTTGGTTGCTTCCAAGTTTTGGCAATCATGAATAAACCTGCTACATGCATCAATTTGCAGCTTTTTTTTTTTTGTGGACATAAGTTTTGAACTTCTTTGAGTAAATACCAAGGAGCATGATTGCTGGATGGGATTATAGGATTATGTTTACTTTGCTAAGAAACTGCTAAACTGGGCCAGGCATGGTAGCTCACACCTGTAATCCAAGCACTTTGAGAGGACGAGGTGGGTGGATCACCTGAGGTCAGGAGTTCGAGACCAGCCTGGTCAACATGGTGAAACCCTGAAGCCCTGTCTCTACTAAAAGTACACAAATTCGGCAGGTGTGGTGGCAGGCGCCTGTAATCCCAGCTACTCAGGAGGCTGAGGAAGGAGAATTGCTTGAACCTGGGAGGCAGAGGTTGCAGTGAGCTGAGATCGTGCCACTGCACTCCAGCCTGGACAACAAGAGCTAGGCTCCGTCGCAAAAAAAAAAAAAAAAAAAAAAAAAAAAAGGAAAAAAGAAAAAAAAGAAACTGCTAAACTGTGTTCCAAAGTGGTTGTGTCATTTTGCATTCCCACTAGCAATAAATGAGAGTTCCCATTGCTCTACATCCTTGTCAGCATTTGGTGTTGTCAGTGTTCTGGATTTTGGCCATTCGAATAGATATGTAGTGATGTTATAGCGTTGTTTTAACTTGGATTTCCCCAGTAACGTATGATGTGGAACATCTTTTTCTATGCTCATTTTTCATTTGCATATCTTCCTCAGTGAGATGTCTGTTAAGGTCTTTAACGCTTTTTTTTTTTTTTTTTTTTTTTGAGACAGGGTCTTGCTGTGTTATCCAGGCTGGAGTGCCTTGGTACAATCATGTCTCACTGCAGCCTCAACCTCCTAGGCTCAAGTGATCCTCCCACCTCAGCTTCCTGAGTAGCTGGGACTACAGGCATGCGCCACACTACCTGGCTATTTTTTATTTTTATTTTTCTGTAGAGATGATGTCTCTCTATGTAGTCCAGGCTGATCTCGAACTTTTGGTCCCAAATGATTCTTCTGCCTCAGCCTTTCAAAAGTGCTGGGATTACAGATGTGAATCAAAACACCTGGCTTTTAACCCATTTCTTAATTGGGTCGTTTGTATCCTTATTAATAAACTGTTAATGTTTCTTTGTATATTTTGATAACAGGCCATTATCAGAGATGCAATTTGCAAATATTTTTCCTAGTCTTTGAATTGTATTTTTATCCTCTTGACAGTGTCTTTCATGGGTCAGAAATGTTTAATTTGGGAGAGGTCTAGCTTATCAGTTCTTTCCTTTGTGGATGTTTTATTTGGTGTTATGTCCAAAAATATCTTGCCAAACTCATCATCTAAGTTTCTTTCTATGTTATCTTCTAGAATTTTATAGTTTTGTGTTTCATATTTAGGTCTGGACTCTATTTGATTTAATTTTTGTGAAGGGTGTAAGGTTTGTGTTTAAACTCATTTTTTTTTTGCATGTCAATATCCAGTTGTACTAGCATACTTTGTTGAAAATACTCTTCTTTGCCATTGTATTGTCTTTTCTCTTTTGCTAAAAATTTGTGTGGGTTTACTTCTGGACCTTCTATCATGTTTCATTGATCTATTTGTCTATTTTTTCACCAATACTACACTGTCTTGATTACTGTAGACTAAGAATAAGTCTTAAAGTTGGGTAATGTCAGTTCTTCAACTTTGTTCTTCTTTATTACTGTGTTGGCTATTCTGTGTCTTTTCCCTCTCCCTATAAATTTTGCTTTGTCAATATCTTCAAAATAACTTGCAGATATTTTTACTGGAATTTCATTTAATCTGTAAATCAACTTGGGAAGTAGTGACATCTCAAATATATTGAGATTTCCCATCCATGAACATGGAATATATTTCTATTTATTTAGTTATGTAATTTCTTTCATCAGAGTTTTGTACTTTTCCTCATATAGATATATATTTTTTAAGTTTATACCTAAGTATTTTGTTTTGGGGGATGTTAATGTCTAATGTAAATGGTGTTGTGTTTTTCATTTTACTCCCCACTTGTTCATTTGGCATATAGGAAAGCAACTAGCTTTTCTATATTAACCCTGTGTTTTGCAACCTTGCTGTAATTGCCTATTAGTCCCAGGTCTGTTGCCATTGTTGTTGATTCTTTTGTATTTTCTACATAGATGATCATGTCATCTGTGAACAAAGACAGTGTTACATCTTCCTTCCAAATCAGTGTATCTTTTCTTTTCTTGTCTTGTCTTATTAATTAGAACTTCCAATATGATATAGAAAAGGAGGAGTTACAGGGGACATCTTTGTTTTGTTCCTGATCTTAGTCAGAAGGCTTTGAGTTTCTCACCATAAAGTATGATGCTAGCTATAGATTTATTGTGGATATTCTTTGTCAAGATGAGGAAGCTCCTCTGTATTCCTATTTTATGTTTTAGGTTCTGTTATTTATGGGTGTTGAATTTTCTCAAAACCCACTTCTGAATTTATTTCTATGCTCCTGTGATTTTTTCTTCTGTAACCTGTTGATGTAATAGATTACATTAATTGATTTTTGAGTTTTAAATGAGTTTTCTATGTGTGGGATAAATTACACTTAGTTGTGATGTATTATTATTTTTATGAATTGTTGGATTTGATTTGATATAATTTGGAGGGGAGTTTTTTACATTTCTGTCCATGATAGTTCTTGGTCTGTGGTTTCCTTATCTTTGTCTGATTTTGGTATCAGAAAAATGCTGGCCTCATGGAATGGCTTAGGGAAACTTCCTTCTGCTTTGATCTTGTGAATAAGATTTTAGAGAATTACTATAATTTCTTCCTTACATATCTGGTAGAATACTTTAGTAAACCCATCTGAGCTTTGTATGTTCTGTTTTGGAAGATTGTAAATTATTAATTCAATTTATTTAATAGATGGAAGCTTATTTAGATGGTCTATTCTTGTGTGAATTTTGGCAAGTTGTGGCTTTTAAAGAAATTGTCCCTTTCTTCTAGGTTATCAAACTTGTGGACATAAATTTATTCATAGTATCCCTTTATTACTCTTTTAGTGTTTATGTAATCTGTGGTTATGTCTCTTCTTTAATTTCTAATTTTAGCAATTTGTGTGCACTTTTTTTTTTCTCAGTTAGCTTGTCTAGAGACATATCATTTTGTTGATCTTTTAAAGAACCAGCTTTTGATGTCTGTATTTTAGTTTTCTTTACTGATTTTAGCTGGTTTTTTAGTAACATTGTTTCTTCTGCTTACTTTGTATTTAATTTGTTCCTCTTTTTCTATTTATGTATTTATTTGATATTATTTTGAGATAGGATCTTGCCGTGTCACCCAGGCTGGAGTGCAGTGGTCTGGTTGGTCATAGCTCACTGCATGCTCAAACACCTAGGCTCAAGATCCTCCTGCCTCAGTAACTAGGACTACAGGCATATTCCAGCATTTCCTATTTTTCTATTTTCCTAAGGTGGAAGCTTAGATTGTTGAATTTTACATCTTTTTGTTTTTCAAATATGTGCTTTATTCTGTAAATTACCGTCTAAACACTGTTTTTGCTACATCCTACAAACTTTTGTAAATTGTGTTATTTTAATTTAGTTCAAAATATTAAAAAAATTCTCATGAAATATCTTCTATGACTTATGTGTTATTTAGAAGTGTGTTATTTAACCTCTAAATATTTTGGGATTTTCCAGCTATCCATCTGTTACTGATTTCAAGTTTAATTCCATTGTGGTCTGTGAGTAAACATTATATGATTCCTCTTATTTTATGATTTGTTGAAGTGTGTTTTATTTGCCCAGAATGTGGTCTATCTTGGTGAATGTTCCATGTGAACTAGAAAAGAATTAGTATTCTGCTATTGTTTGATAATGTTGTTTATAGATGTTCATTTTATTTAGTTGATTGATGGTATTTTTGAGTTCAGCAGTGCCCTGACTTTTTGACTGCTCATTCTGTCCATATCTGGCAAAATGATGCTGAAGTTTTAAACTATTGTGGTGATTCACCTGCTTTTCCTTGCAATTCTAGCAGTTTTTTCCTCGTATAACATGATGGTTTGTTGTTAGGTGCATTTAAATTAATGATTGTTATGTCTTCCTGGAGAATTGATCCCTTTATTATTATGCAATGTCTCCCTTATCTCCAATAACTTTTCTTGCCCTAAAGACTGCACTGTCTGTATTAACATAACCACTCCTGCTGCTTGTTAATTAGTATTTGCATCATATGTCTTTCTCCAACCACTTTAATCAATACAGGTCTTTATATTTAAAGTGTATTGCTTCTAGATAACATGTAGTGGATCTTGTTTTTTAACCCTCTCTAATAATGTTTGTCTCTTAATTGTTGCATTTAGTCCATTGGTGTTTAAAATGATTATCTATATAGTTGGATTTCTATCTACCACTTGGTTTTTTTTCAGTTTATTTTTAAAAATAATTCTTTCCTTTTCTTTCTTACATAGGTCCAAGATCAGGCTGTAAAATACAATGAAAGGCCTGATTAATGAAATAATTATTTACATTATGTATCATTCTCAGCAAACTAACACAGGAACAGAAAACCAAACACTGCATTTTCTCACTCATAAGTGGGAGTTGAACAATGAGAACACATGGACACAGGGAGGGGAACATCACACACCGGGGCCTGTTTGGGGGTGGGGTGTTAGGGAAGGGATAGCATTAGGAGAAATACCTAATGTAGATGATGGGTTGATGGGTGCAGCAAACCACCATGCATGTGTATACCTATGTAACAAACCTGCATGTTCTGCACATGTATCCCAGAACTTAAAGAATAACTTTAAAAATAAATAAATCTTATGACTTACATATTATTACACTAATTTCTGGTACTCAATGTTGAAGGTAAAAAAATGATGGTATTTGATGAATAGTGTCAGAGAAATTGCTCTTTAGCATGACAGTTTGTGGAGTAAAACAGTGGTTTTCCAAGAGCAGTGTTCATATCAGTGCTGATTCATAGTTTTTATTCTTCAAGCCAAAATGAGGAAAGTAAGAAAACTATGCGTAGTTTACTAGGGGCAGAACTAAGCATGTAGAAGTTTGTGGGAAATGGTGAAGCAAAAATACTTAAAAATTACTGTAATACTTTTAGCCACCACCACCACACAGGCACAGAGATACAACATTGAGTAGATGATTTATTTTTATATTTCATTGTAGTCCATCACAATCTAATATGAAATATAAGTATCCTGAAAGATAGGAAATGTACCGGATCCTGAATAAAGCTTGGCTTACTGATAAAATAAGACATTTCATAGTCTTTCCATTTTGATGTTCAGTCTCCCCTCAGTTTCATTCTAACACATGCACATGCCTCTTGATGTCTAGGCTACACCTTAAGTTCTTTATTGATTGCTTACAGGATGAAAAACACAGCATAGGGCAACATGATTTCCATGTGATCCTGACCTTACCAATTTCTTAGGCTAGCAGTAGGGAGACAATTTTGTCTACTGCCCTTTCTTGAAAATATTTTTGTTCGATATTATTTGCTCTCTTTGATATTTAAATGACCATTATTTTATTAAAATATGGAGGCAATAGAAAATAAGTGTTCATAGAGAAAATGTGGTACATATACACTATGGAATACTATGCAGCCATAAAAAGGAATGAGATCATGTCCTTTGCAGAGACGTGGATGAAGCTGGAAATCATCATCCTCAGAAAGCTAACACAGGAACAGGAAACCAAATACCACATGGGAGTTCAACGATGGGAACACATGGACACAGGCAGGGTAGCAACACAGCTGGGGCCTGTTGGGTGGTGGGGACGAGGGGAGGGAACCTAGATGGTGGGTCAATAGATGCAGCAAACCACCACGGCACACGTATACCTATGTAAGAAACCTGCACGTTCTGCACATGTATCCCGAACTTAAATTAAAAAAAGAAAAAGGAAAAAAGAAAATATGTGTTCTAGTTTATTTGTTTGTTTTTAACTTAACAGTGGTTAATTCGTTTTCTAATTAGGTGATCTCATTTATAAATAATAAGTTTTTTCTCTTCCCTTCCAATATTTAGAACTCGTATTTCTTCTTTTTTTTTTTTTTCTGCATAAAGCACTGGCCAGGACTTCCAGTACTATACTAAATAGTGGTGGTATTTATGAACATTCTTGTGTTTTTTCTGTTTTAAAGAATATATTAAACATTGGTTCATTGAGAATAAGTTTTGTTGTAGATGTTGTTACTTATATCAAATTTTAAAAATTCCCTTTACTACTTTTTTTTGTTTGTTTTTTGTTTTTTTTTTGAGATGGAATCTCACTTTGTCACCCAGGCTGGAGTGTAGTGGCGCGATCTCGGCTCACTGCAAGCTCCACCTCCTGGGTTCACGCCATTCTTCTGCCTCAGCCTCCTGAGTAGCTGGGACCACAGGCAATCGCCACCATGCCCGGTTAATTTTTTTCTATTTTTTTTTAGTAGAGACAGGGTTTCACCGTGGTAGCCAGGGTGGCCTCTATCTCCTGACCTCGTGATCCACCTGCCCCGGCCTCCCAAAGTGCTGGGATTACAGGTGTGAGCCACTGCGACCGGCTTTACTACTCCTTTTTAAGCTATTTTTAAAATCATGAAATAGTGTTGAACTTTGTCACGTGAATTTTCTGTAATAATTGATAAACTGTATGCATTTTCTTCTGTAATACAATTTAATGATTTACAATGATAGTCATTTGTGTAAAACCTTATACTTGGTGCTTTTGAACATGTTTATGTAATTATCATTAATATCTCTCTAAACTAAAAAATAAACATGACTTGCTGACCTATTTACTTGATTTTAATTAATAAATATGTTTAATTTTCTCATATTTATTTCAAATTATATTTGTCTATGCCATTCATGAGAACTAAGGTGTTATAAATATTCATATGGACTTTCATAGTAATATACATTTCTGTAGCCTATATGAATAAACTCTTCGACTTGAATAAGTATTAACTGGGTCCAGGACAAGAATTGCATTTGAAAAGATAACCTATATTTCTCAAAAGAAAAATAAAGAAAATATCAGATCTGTCCAGGCGCAGTGGCTTACGCTTATAATCCCAGCACTTTGGAAGGCCGAGGCAGGCTGATCACCTGAGGTCGGGAGTTTGAGACCAGCCTGACCAACATGGAGAAACCCTGCCTCTACTAAAAATACAGAAAAGTTAGCCAGGCATGGTGGTGCATGCCTGTAATCCCAGCTACTTGGGAGGTTGAGGCAAGAGAATCACTTGAACCTGGGAGGCGGAGGGTGCAGTGAGCCGAGATCATGCCATTGCACTCCAGCCCGGGCAACAAGAGTGGAACTTTGTCTAAAAAAAAAAAAAAAAGAAAATATCAGATCTAAGGAGAAATGGAAGCCAATGAAGTGAAAGTTAAAATGGGAAAATAAATAATACTGATTAGTGGCAAGGCAAGCTGAAAAATAGATAAAATCAGTTTTGAGAAATTGATGGATGAGCACTGCTAAAAAAAAAGGACAGTACATGTGTAAGCATTTAACTTCCTGGGTTCCTAGAGTCAGAAACAGTTGGGAAACTTAAAAAAAACATGGACAATTAGAGTCTTAGAATGAATCTTTTCCTGAGCTCCGCTTGTTATTTTGATGATCCTTTTGGATACATAGCCTAATAGACTATGTTGACATCAAATTATAGATAAATTACCTTATCTAAGGATAATTAAATGGTTTACTGTACAAAGGCATTATTGTAAATTAGAACATAGTTCATTTCACACCTGTGATCAAGTTAGCATTAGTGTATTCTTTTTAGTCCCATTATATTCCATTTGCTGCATTCACTTTGTGCATCTAAAGGACTAGTTTCCAACAACCCCACCTTTGGCAAGTATCCCAAAGTATCATCAAAGTAACAAATGGAGTTCAGGAAAAGATTCATTCTAAGATACTAATGTAATTGAAAATAATTTGTTATGCAAAAGTTGGTAAACACAATGTGTACAACTGTGTGCTCAAAATAAATGGAAACAAGACGTCTACAAAGCATATAAAAGAGGAAGTTGAGCTTATTCTAATTTTATGTATGTTTTGCAGATATAAAACACTTCTACAGACAGCAAAGAAAATAAGTATGAATTAAAATTCAATTGACACATGTTATCAAAACAGTTAATTTATTATCTTTGGTTTGTAGAATCATTTATGATAATTAGCAAATAAACACAAGGTTGAAATTTTACACGATTCTGAAATTTGATTGTAGGATAAACAATAATAACTTTGACTCCATAAACCTTTTATCATGCTGACTAAATTTGAAGCTTGAGATTTTATTTTAGCTCCCATGATTATTTTGGAATACAGTTGTATGAACAGAAATTGAAAGTTTTATATTAATTATATTAGGTTACATTTGATCCCTAATTGCACCCACCATGTACATGCTTAATTATAAACTCAAGGAATAAAAATAGTCATGTATTCTCCAAATAAGAGTCACAAATTAGTCTTATTGTAGTTACATGCTGATTTGAAAGGCTTAAGCAATAAGAATATTGGCTATTGTTAATAATTCCTGCCATATGTTCTGTGATTAACAAATAAAAAGATGATTTCATGACTTTTTTTGCAGTGTGGGGGGAACAGCGTCTCACTCCATCACCCAGGCTGGAGTGCAGTGGCACGGTCGTGGCTCACTGCAACCTCTGCATCCTGGGTTCAAGCGATTGTTGTGCCTCAGCCTCCTTAGTAGCTGGGACTACAGGTGCTCACCACAAAGCCTGGCTCATTTTTTTTATTAGTAGAGACAGGGTTTTGCCATGTTGGCCAGGCTCATCTCAAACTCCTGACAAGAAGTGATCCTCCAGCCTCGGCCTCCCAAAGTGCTGGGATGACAGGTGTGAGCCACCATGCTGGGCCTCATGACTATTCTTTATAGAACTAATGCAAAATACAGATATACAATAGCTTACCTCCATACACAACCACTCAATGTCCCAATACTTTAATCTCCCCTGCTCTTCAGATCTTACATGTTTTAGCCTTTTTGTCTCTGCCTGTATGCCTTAGCTGTAAGCCAAATATAATCAAATAATTGAAAACTGACTATGATTAGAATCAGTGCAGACATTCTCCAACATTCATTTCTATATTTAAACATTCATTTTCTTCAAAAAAATTAACTCAGTTGTTGAATTAATTGAAATAGAATGAAATACAATTTTCTTGTAAGATTTATCACTTGTTTTTCTGTATTTTAGTCAACCATCTGTGACAATTTTGTTCATGACTTGGTAAATGAATCCTGAAACTCATTCAACACCTGTTTAAATTCAATATTTCAAGGGACTCATAGTCTCATACTGTGCCACATTAGTGCTTCAGTCAACTCCATAAGTGGAATTTCATATTTTTTGTATATTCTTAAGACTCCTCAAGTCACCATCTTCTCTATTAAGGCTCATGTGCATTTGTTAGAAATATCAAATGTGACTAGCACCAGGTGAATATATTTTAGAAATGCCCAATTGATATTTATGGTCACAATAATAAGCAAGGGAGATGAGCAAGTTTTCTAAGGGTGTTAAATAGCATTAGAGTGTTGGCCTCTTTACGGTGCTTACATAATATGCTTAGTGAACACTATCCAAAGACTGCACTTTGATTTTCTGATGACGCTGAAGAACATGTCTCAAAACTCAGAATATTTCAGAAGACAAATCTTTTATTTCTCAGGCATAGATTTATTAGTTTTTTCAAAATTATCTTTCCCTGTGATTAAATAAAACCTCAGGAAACTTTTAGAAAGATGATAGCTGTGAGAAACAGAGCTGGGATAGAAGTTAATTTGTTTTTAGGGCAAGAGAAAGAAGTTCCCCTTTAAAGTATTTGTAATTTAGTTAGTAAATTTAAAATTTTAGTAACATTCTGTCTTATATTCAACTTATTTCTAACTTTTTGAATTTTTAATATGTTGAAAGTCATGAAGTCGATATGGGGGATTTCAACCATAAAGACAGAATATAAAAATTCATTAAGATTAGGATAAATATTCACTTATCTTCACCACTGTGAGAGAGAGCTTTAGGACCTAGCAGAAATTACTCAACTACTTCCTTTCCTTCATCTGTAAAGCAGACTTTATAATAATATTTAATTCAGGAGTGTAGTGCAAGGATTAAATGATCAATGACTACAGTTAATAGATGTCGGTTGTAAAATTATAAAGATTAGAATTAAAGTAATTTTAATTGCAAATTTAGGGAGTAATCTGCAATACTCTCACTTTTGACACCAATTGTAAGTTCGAGTCTCCAAGACCACCGCTTGTGACACAAACTGCAAATTTAGATGTTCCCAAGATTATCCTCAGTTTCAGTTCTTCACTAGAATTCATTGAATTCACTGAAAGCAGGTATACTGACAGCTACAGCTTCTTTTCTTGAAATAATAAAGATTAAATCATCCAAAGGAAGAGCTGTATGGGGCAGAGTTTAAGAAAGTAATAAACACTGAAGCTCTCAGTTGTTCTCATTCAGTACAAGTTGCAGACAGCACTAACTTTCCTGGCAATGATGTGTGACTATTTGCACAAAATATTACCAGTCAGGGTAGCTGACTTGAGGCTTGATATCCATCCTTTTTATTGGGGATTCATCAACACATTTAATTGCCCATATGAGTATCCTCAGACTTCATCCCCTCTAGATCTCCAGGAGGCAGAGCTGATACTGTGTGACTCAAAGTCCCCACCATAAATCGCAGAATATCTGGCATGACCCCTAGCTAAATAAAGATGATTTTATCAGGCAGGGCATTCAGAGGCTTAGAGATTACTTCTCAGGAGCTGAGAGCAAAGGACACATCACTCTTTGGGCAGGAATAATTACTTACTATAGCTACACTGCTGAAGTTCTAAATGCTATTATTAGTGTTTCAGAATAGAAACTCAAATATGTAGAAAAATATACAGGTAATATTTGATGCTACCCATTCTTTTAAATAGTTAATAATACACAGTTATCATAGGCTTTCCATTGTGATAAACTGGTCATTCTTCTAGAAGCAAAATGTTAATTGTGTCTTAATAGTTTCTGTTTCAGTGTACAAGTAATTAGAATTTTATTTGCCCTCTGGAAAGCAAGTAACATTTTTCAAATTATAGAGAAGCAATACAGTCATCATTTTGCACTTGTTTATAATAAATATTTTTGCATTTTAATTTATATATTCAGTCTAATTTTTATTTTTTATTTTATGTTTAGTTTTAGAAATTGATTCTTATCAATAAGATATAAAATCTGCTCTTATAAAGTAGCCCTGTTGGTGTAAGTGTAAGGTACCAATTTGCAGATCATTTTGAAAAAAGTAACCTTTCTTTTTAATCATTTAGTCTCGGATATGGTGTGTAACTATATAGACAAGTATTTTTGTGCATTCATTTCAATCATTATGATAATAAGCTTAAAGAGAGAAAAGCTGTTCTATTTCTTATTATCCATTGTTAAACCTGTGTAAGTGTTTCAATTACCATAATTTTGAAAAAAATTATGGCTTAAAATTCTCAGGTAATATATTCCCTTTCAAGTATTCAATTTCATTTTTTGTATTCAGACGAAAGTACCTGACAGCTGCCTTTGAATATATTTCATGGGTATTTGCAAAGAGTAAAGTATAGGGTAGGAATGAAAAGAGGATAGAACAAAGTTGATTCTGACAACCTATCACCTGATAGAAAGAATAAGATATTTTTGCATATTGTATGGCACTTAGATAAAAATAAAATAAACTTGCAGTAACTACTTTATTTCCTAAGTTTTCTTCAGAATTTTCACATTGAATTTAACTGCCTCAGAACGTGCTTTGTAGCCACTTGGTTAATAAATATTTGTAAATTATTTGTTGGTCACCTATTAGGTTCTAGGATTCTGGTGAAAAAATATAGAAAATAGATAAATAAATATATATATATACATACATAGCAAAGTTCTAAATGCTATTTATGTGTGTGTATGTATATAACTATATGTGTGTGTATATATATAACTATATTATATAGCTTCCAACTTCTAAGACGTAGGAGTCTAATAGGAACAGATCTCAATCTGGTGAAAGTGAGCCATGTTGTAAATAAACACATAAAAAATATCTCATAGTTCACAGTTTCAGGCTCATGGAGTCGACTTTACTCTCAGCCAGTCTGTCAATATTGAGTTTGAAGATTTTTCTCTTTTAGACAGTGAAAATTTCTGGTATATATATCTTTGCCATGTTGTTTGGAATTATAATCTATAGTTGGCAAAATTGATGTTTTTTGTCTCATTCATTAATAATCACCTGACCTTAACATAGCCTAGGCAGTACTCTATATCTGTCTCTTTCCCCTTTGGAGATCGCCAGACTGAAATCCTTTCCAATCTTTCCTAGTGCAATAAGCAGCATCATTATCCACCCCACTTGAATTCAAAGCCAAAACCTCTAAATTATTCTTGAGTCTTCTGACTTAACATCCAATGAATCAGCAAGTTACATCAACTCTATTTCAAGAATTATTGGGAATGCATCTATTTGTTTCTAATAGCAATGGTATTCTTGACTCACTTTATATTGTTCATAGTTGATGCCTTTGAACAGTGGTTGGATAAGCATTAATTTTGATTATTTCCATTTGGGGAGCTTTCCAAGTAAAATGTTTACTCATGTATATCTATTATTATTTTAATTTGTCTTGAAGTGCAATAGTATTTTAAACAAATGAAAGATAAAGAATGTTAAGATAAAATCACAGAAACAAACTTTAAAATTCTAAATGAAACTGCATACGTGGAATGCATTGCATGACACTATATTTAGTAGGCTCAATAAATATCAAATTAGAAAATATAGGCCTCTTTATTTTGAATTTCCACAAATAATATTAAAATATTAAAATGGGAGAAATAAGAGACTCCCAAGACTTAAAATATTTAATGGTGGTATATTTTGTATATATCTATACTTAGTTTATTCTTACTGCGATTTAATTTATAACAGAATAAACTGGAAATGCTATAAATTTGATGAGTGTTTTTAGAAGCACTCTCTATATAGCATTCAAAACAGACATGAAGTATAAAAGCCTAAGGTGAAGGGATTTAGTAGTATAAGAAGTAATTAGCTGCCTAGAGAATCCTGTAAGTAATGTGTGGTCATCATTATATTGACATCTATGTATTAGTTTTGGATTCATATGGTAATATCTTATTTTAAATAAGCATTAAAATGAATCCATTTTCTATTACTTAAAATAACCACTTGTTAATGGGCACAAATAACACAGGAAGTGGAGAACTGCTCTATTTCAGCTCTACCATCTCCTAGCCATGTGAGCCTTTATGTATCTAGGTAAATGCCTTTACTTTTCTGCTCTTCATTTTCTTTATCTACTAATTAGAACTATACATAACTACCCTTTATAACTCATAGATTATTACAAGGATCAAACCAACACATTGCAATTATTTTGTATTATATACAGTATAAGTACATCATATTATCATAGAATGTACTATGGTCTGAATGTTTGTGTCTCCCCAAAATTCATATGTTGAAACCCTAACCCCTAAGGTGATTTTAAGAGGTAGTGCCTTTAAAAAGTGATTAGACCATGAGGGTGCAACCCTCATGAACAGGATTAGTGCCCTTATAAAAGAGGCCCTAGAGAGAGCCATGCCCCTTCCACCATGTGAGGACACAGCAAGAAGGAATATCTATGAACCAGAAAGCAGGCCCTCACCAAAGTCCGAATCTATTGCAACCTTGATCTTGATCTTCCAATACTCCAGAACCATGAGAAGGGAATTTCTTTGTTTTTTAAGCCACCCATTTTATAGTGTTTTGTTATAGCAAACCAAACAAAGTAAGACATAATGTTTCCAAAAACAATAATATGGTTTCCTCTGAAAAGTATTAACAACTCAAGTAAGTGTTAGTTTACAAGTGTGTATACAAGAGAATTAAATAACTCCAAAATAAAACTTCATTCCCAACATTTTCTGTTCACCAAACAACTATCCGTATAAATATGCAGTTTATTTTTTACAATTAACTCCCAATTATTATTTTAAGTAGATTTTCCCTCTGTGACCTCAAGTCCTAATCATGTGGGATGAAAAAAAGTATTTCAGACAATAGGGCCAGAAAGACCTGATTACAGTAATGTGTCTATTTTATTGTTTTTTCACCATAGGCAAGTTGTTCACATATCTATTCAGTGGTTAAAAGTGCCTTTTAAAAACACTGTTGCTCTAAGGATTGAGTTATTATACTTTATATTACTTACCATTGTGCCTGCTGCATAAAAACATGCTTAGTGTATTATACCTATTTTTACATGTATAGCACAAAATAGATAATATGCACAATGCCCAGTATTTACTCAAGAATAACAGATATTGGCATTGTAATATTGTTGAATATAAAACCATTAAATTTGAAACTGTACCCTACATTAGTGTTCCCGGTTTTACAAAGAAAAAGGTAACACTAATTCAAATTATAAGACTGGAACAATCATATGGATGGATTCTCCGTAAATATGAGTTTTGCTGAAACATTTGCCATGCATAATAGCTAATGTATTCAGTATTAAAGATCAATTAGGAGATTAATAATTTTTCAGAAACAACTATCTACTTATGTTAGTATTCCTATTTAAATCAACGTTTTACTGATGCGGTTTTTCAAGAATGTAATTATCACTATCCTTCAGGGAACATATATAAGCTATTTGTATGAAATATGAAGAACAAAAGCCTAAAGTCCTATTTATAGAGAAAAGAATGTTCTTCAATCAAATGTACAAACAGAACATAAACTCATGCATATTTAATTTTTCTTCTCTAGGCATTAACAGATATCCCATTTTTAGAATATTTTATTTTCTTAGCACAGATGTGGAACCAATGTCTGAAGTGAAAAAAAAAAGATTACTTGGATTATTACTACTTATGGGCAAAAATCATGTTCTATGTTGTGCCTTTATGCCCTAGCATAATGCTTAAGACAAAGTAAATAATGGAAAATATAGATTGAGTGAATAAATTTTAACAAAGAATGTAATCAATGTATACCATATAAAATATCAAATAGTGTATGAATTATTTAAAGTATATGCTGGTATTTTATGCCATAAATACAATAAAATTTGACATTATTAAATAAAAGTTTTGTTCCTATACTTTTTAAAAATTAAGCTTTATTTTTTCCCCTAGAAAGGATCATGAATCAAAAAGCACGCATTTTTTTTCACATTTTTCCAATCTTTAATGTTTACTGAAACATAATATTTGATAAAATACATACACACATATTTGATAAAATCTGGATATGTGGTATATCCATCACCTAAAACATTTATCATTATTTTGTGTTGCGAACATTTCAACTCTACTCTTCTAGCTACTTTGAAATACACAATAAGTCATTGGTAACTATAGTTGCCCTATTGTGATACGAAGCACTAGACCTTATTCCTTCTAAGTGTATTTTTGGACCCATTAACTAATCTGCCTTTATCTTTCCTCCTCACTACCCTTCCCAGCCTCTAACAGATTATATTCGCTACCACTATGAGATCGATGAAAAAACAAACAAAACAAAAAATTGTGGGTACATAGTAGGTGTATATATTTATAAGGTACATGAGATATTTTGATGCAGGCTTCCAATCCATAATAATATCAGGGTGAATGGGGTATAAATCACTTCAAACAATTATCATTTATTTGTGTTGCAAACATTACAATTATACTCTTTTGGTTATTTTAAACTGTGCATTACATTATTGTTGACTGTAATCACTCTGTTGTGCTATTAAATACTAGATCTCATTCATTCTATCTAACTATATTTTTATATCCATTAACCATCCCCACTTTCCCCCTCCCCCATCACCCTTTCCAGACTCTGGTAACTATCATTCTACTCTTTATCTCCATGAGTTCCATTGTTTTCATTATTAACTCCCACAAATGAGTGAGAATATGCAACATTTTTCTTTCTGTTCCTGGCTTAAGTTTCATTTAACGTAATGTTCTCTATTTCCAACCACATTATTGCAAATGACAGGACTTCATTCATTTTTATGGTGGAATAATAAAGGACGTATTTTTGAGAAATCAAACTGAGAGAGTTTTCAGTTCATTTCAGACAATCGACAAAAGATTGCATGTTTTACTTGAAGCTCTGAACAGATCCAAATCCCTCTTGCAGAGTCACATAGAAATATATTCTCTTACAGCCTTCAAAGATATCAGCCCTGCTCCTTTATTAGTTAGCAATATTTTGAGCCAGTTCAACATTAATATTAGTAAAAAGTTTAGTTATACTTTTCAAGAAGTAGAGAAGTTCCATTCTCTAACCTTTTCTGCTTTAGCCTCTGAAGACTTAAATACATAGAAAACAAAACAGAAATGAAATTAAGAAATGTTTGAAATAGGGCAACCCGCTCGGGTCCCCTTCCACACTGTGGAAGCTTTTTTCTTCCGCTCTTTGCAATAAATCTTGCTGCAAAAAAAAAAAAAAAAAAAAAGAAATGTTTGAAATAAATAAACAACTTGTAAATGTACAGATGTTCTCAAAATAGAATAAATGTATTTTGCTCATTTTTTAAACACATTTAAACAAGTATGATTTTAATATATTTTACAATGTTATGTTTAGAGTATGTTTTACATACAAAATAAATTGATCACACCGTTATGTATTTCATAAATAATGTTCTTCTACTTAATATAAGCGGAAATAAAAAGAGAATATATGTTTTAATTTAATGTCATAATTTCTTATTTATTTTAAGCACAAAATATTTTCATATCAGGTAATGTTTGCCACTGGGGATTCTGTTTTAAAATATTTTCAATTTTAATTTTTTTTTTAATTTTAGCTTTTATTTTAGATACAGGAGGTACATGTGTAGGATGGTTACATGAGTATATTGGACTCTGATAGTGAGCATAGTACCCAATAGGTAGTTTCTCTGTGAACTCATTCCTCTCTCCCCCATTTAGTAGGCCACAGTGTCTGTTTTTCCTATGCTCTCTTCTATATGTGCTCAATGTTTAACTTACACTAATAAGTAAGAACATGCAGTATTTGGTTTTCTCTTCCTGAATTAATTTGCTTAGGATTATGACCTCCAGCTCCATCCATGTTACTGCAAAGGACATAATTTTTTTTATGGCTCCATATGTATATGTAACACATTTTCTTTAGCCAGTCCACTATTGATAGGCACTTTGGTTGATTCCATGTCTTTGCTATTGTAAATAGCATCGTGATGCATGTGTCTTTTTGGTATAATGATCTATACTCCTTTGGGTATATACCCAATAATAGGATTGCTGAGTTGAATGTTAGCTTTGTTTTAGGGTATGTGAGATATCTCCAAATTGCTTACCATGCTGGCTAAACTAATTTACATTCCCACCAACAGTGTATTAACATTTTCTTTTCTCCATAGCCTCACTAACATCTGTTTTTTTTTTTGACTTTTTAATAATAGCCATTGTGACTGGCATGAGATGGTTTCTCATTGGGATCTTAATTTGCATTTCTCTGATGATTAGTGATGTTGAGAGTGTTTTCATACATTTATTGGCCCCTTGAATGTCTTCTTTTGAGAAGTGTCTGTTCATGTCTTCTACCCAATTTTAATGAGATTATTTGTGTCCAGTTTGTTTATTTGTTTAAGTTCCTTTTAGATTCTAGATGTTGGACTTTTGACAGTTGCATAGCTTGTCAATATTTTCTCCCACCCTACAGATTGTCTCTTTATTCCACTGATAGTTTTTTAGGCTATGCAGAAGTTCTTATTTTAATTAGGCCCTATTTGTCAATTTCTGTTTTTGTTGCAATAGCTTCTGAAGGTTATTTCCTAGATTTTCTTCTAGGATTTTTATTGTTTGAGGTCTTAAATTTAAATGTTTTATCAATTTGAGTTAATTTTTTTATATGGTGAAAGGTAAGTGTCTAGTTTCGTTCTTCTGCATATGGTTAGCCAGTTATTTTAGCACCATTGATTGAATAGGGAGTCCTTTCCTCATTGCTTCTTTTTGTTGAACTTGTTGAATATCAGCATGTTGTAGGTGTGCGGCTTTATTTCTGAGTTTTCTAGTCTGTTCCATTGGTCTGTGTGTCTGTTTTTGTACTAATAACATGCTGTTTTGGTTACTGTAGCTTTATGGCATAGTTTGAAATCAGGTAGTGTGATGCTTCTGGCTTTGATCTTTTTGCTTATAATTGCCTTTGCTATTTGGGCTCCTTTTTGGTTCGATATGGATTTTAGAATAGTTTTTTTCTAATTTTGTGAGGAATTATATGGGTAGTTTTATAAGAATCTGTAAATTGCTATGAGAAGTATGACCATTTTAATGATATTGATTCTCCAATCCATGAAAATGGGATGTTTTTCCATTCATTTGTGTCATCATTGATTACTTTCAGCAATGTTTTACAGTTGTTCTTGTAGAGATCTTTCAACAATTTGGTTAGCTGTATTCCTAGGTATTTCATTTTATTTGTGGCTATTTTAAATGGGATTGTGTTCTTGATTTGGCCTTCAGCTTGGATGTTATTGGTGTAGAGCAATGCTCCTGATATTTGTACATTTATTTTGTAGCCTGAAATCTTGGTAAAATAGTTCATCAGTTCTAGTAGCCTTTTGCCAGAGTCCTTAGGGTTTTCTAAGTATAGACCCAGATCGTCAACAAAGAGGTAGAGTTTGACTTCTTCTTTTCCTATTTGAATGCCTTTTATTTCTTTCTCTTGCCTCATTACTCTGGCGAGGGATTCTACATCTAAAAAATATTGTATCTTTTTTATGTTTTAACAGTATAATAAAAGTAGCTCACAATTGTAATGATTCATTATTTATTTTTGGGATAGACCAGCCATTTTTTGGATGTAAGAAATGAATTCCCTAATTTATTACTTTATGGCATTTCTTGTGGTTAATTGGCTTCATGGGTTCCAATGAAGTTAAATAACATTGCATTCAAGTAAAACTGCTAAAGATTTTTCATGTATTCAGCTTTCATTTGAAATTCTCACTCATTGATTACTTTAATACTAACTATTACAAAAGATTTAAGATCCTGCAAAAGTATAAAGATAATAATTCTTACTGCTGTCAGAACATTTTAGTGGGATTTGCATAAAGATAATGAATACTTATATACTTATTTAATTCTGAAATAATTCATAATACAAGATGGTCTCTCAGAAAGTTCAAGCTTGGGTATTACTGAAGTTACATCGAGACTGTATATATGTGTTGTTCTTTCTTTGTACTAATTTTTTATGATGTATATTTACTTGTGTTGGTTAATTTTTGTATTTTAAATTTATTGAGGAGTGATAACTTAGCTTTATTAATTTCTTTAAGGATTCTATAAACCAACATGGATACATGATAATGTCAATGAAAATGATCTTCACAATACAGCATAGCATAACCAAGTTGCCAGACTCACCTTAGCTCTCATTGAATAAGGAATACAAATTATTCACATCTTAATGTGACAAAAATACATATTTTCAATATTATATCTTGAGCTCTGCCAATCAATACATTACATCTCATTTTGAAAAAGTTGATTGGTTTTATTCATAATGAATTGCCATTGGAAATATTGATCAGGAAAGTCAAATCCTGGGTACAGACATATATAGTTGCACTAATCGTTTTTTAAATCACTTTATTGAGATATGTTTGGGATACAAAAATTGCACATTTTTAATGTATACAACTTGGTGAGTTTGGAGCTAAGTATATACCTGTAAAAATGTCACCACAATCCATGTCATAAACTTATCCAATAATCTCCAAAAGTTTTCTCCCATCTTCTTTATTATTATGATTACTAATTTTATAAGAACACAACATAAGATCTTAGCAAATGTTTAAGTGCACAATACACTATTGTTAACTATAGGCACTATGCTATATAGTAAACCTCTAGGAATTATACATCTTTTGTAACCAAAACTTTGTCTTTTGCCTGATACCTCCATGTACCACCTCTCCTGCTCCCCAAGACCCTGGAAACCACCATTCCACACTTCAGGCTTCTATGAGTTTGACTACCTTAGATTTTACATATAAGTGAAATCATGGAGTACTTGTGTTTCTATATCTGGCTTATTTCACTTAGCAAAATGGTCTACTGTTCACCCTGTTGCCACAAATGGAAGGATATTCCCCTGTTTTTAAGACAATAATACTGTATTGTCAGAATATATCATATTACTTATCCATTCAGCCGTCAATGGACATTTAGGTTGCTTGCACATCTTAAATGCTGTGAATAATGCTACAATCAACACGTGAGTGCAGATATTTCTCCAAGATCCAGATTTCAATTTTTTTTGGATATATACAGAGAGGTAGGATTGCTGGTTCATATGGTTGTTCTATTTTTAAATATTTAATAACCTTAGGGTTCATGAATGCACAATGGGGAAAGAATAGCCTCTTCAAAAAATGGTGTTGAGAAAACTGGATATCCACATGCAAAAAACTTAAATTGGGCTCTTATACAATACAGAAATATCAACTCAAAATGGATTAAAGGGTTAAACACAGGCCCTAAAATAACAAAACACCTGGATTGACATAGGGTAAGAGTTCTGGGCATTGACTTTGGCAGTAATTTCTTGGATATGGCACCAAAGACATAGGTATCGAAACTAAAAATAGGCACGTGACACTACATCAAATTAACAAGATTCTACATTCAAAGGAAACACTATTAAAAGGCAACATACAAGGATTCATGATGAATACCCCCAAAACAAATGCAATGAAGCAAAGATAGACAAGTGAAACTAACTTAAACTAAAACGCCTCTGCATAGTAAAAGAAATAACAGAGTAAACAGACAACCATTGGAATTGGAGAAAACATTTGCAAATTATGCCTCTTACAAAGGACTAATATCCAGAACCAACAAGTAACTCAAACAACTCAAGAAAGATACAAACAACCACATTAAAAACTGGGCAAAGGACATAAAGTGACATTTCTCAAAAGAAGACATACAAGCAGCCAACAAACACCACAAAAAAAATGCTCAATATCACTAATCATGAGAGAAATGCAAATTAAAGCCACAATGAGATATCATGTTACATCAGTCAAAATAGCTTTTTTAAAAAAATCAAAACACAAGAGATGTTGTCATGGATGCAGAGAAAAGGGAATGCTCATACCCTGTTGGTGGGTAGTATATTAGTTTAACCTCTTTGGAAAACAGTACGGAGATTTCTCAAAGAACTAAAAATAGAAATATCCTTCAACCCAGCAATTGGACTACTGGCTGTCTACTCAAAGGAAAAGAAATAATTATATAAAAAAGACACCTGTCCTCATATGTTCATTGCAGCAGTATTCACAATAGCGAAGTCATGGAACCAACCTAAGAGTCCATCAACAGTTGACTGAATAAAGATAATGTGGTATATATACACCATGGAATACTACACAGCGACAAAAATAATAAAATTATGTTCTTTGCAGGAGCATGGATGGAGCTGAAGGTCATTATCCTAAGAGAACTAACTCAGAAATGGAAAATAAAATACTGTATGTTCTTACTTACAAGTGGGACTAAATAATGAGTACACATGGACATAAAGAAGCAAATAATAGACACTGGAGACTCCAAAATGTGGGGGATAGGAGGAGGGTGAGGGTTGAAAAATTGTTTATCAGGTACAATGTTCACTATTTGCAACTGAGTAAACTAGGAGCCCAATTCCCACCAGTACACAATATACCCATGTAATAAACATGAACTTGTGCCCTGAATTTAAAATAAAACGTATTTTACATAAAGGCAACAAACAGAATTGGAGAAAATAGTTGCAAATCAGAGCTGATAATATTCCTAATACGTAAAGCTTAATATTCAAAATATATAACGTTTAATATTGAAAAAATATAGTCTAATTAACTCAATAGCAAAACATGATCCAATTAAAAAATAGGAAAAGGATCTGAACAGACATTTTTCCAAAGTATACAAAGAAATGATCAACGGGCACATTAAAAGGTGCTCCACACTGCTAATCATCAGAGAAATGCAAAACAAAACCACAATGAGATGTTATCTCACATCTGTTAACATAGATATTATAATTAAAAAAATAAGTTTTGGTGAAAATCGGGGAAAAGGGTACCCTTTTACATATAAGATCATGATTTTACTGGGGTAAAAACCAAGTAGAGAAGAGCATCATGAAAACATTTTACATTATGTTAATTTGGTAGAAGTAATGAGTCCATGATCATAAACTCTTGGCCCAGGAGATGACCTGATGCTGACATAATGATTTGTTGGGGTTTTATATTTGCCTTATAGTTTCACACTTGTTTAATATCAAATATTCTTATTTCAAGAAAAATGTTTTTAAAAATTGATAATAATTATGTATTTACAAAATGAGGCTGGGGGGCGTTGCTTCTCAAGGCAATAGGCAATAGGCTGGAGGGTTCCTCCTTCCATGTTGTCCTAGAATGACAAAGGAACTTCAAGATAGTCATACATAAAATCTGAAAAACAATGCTGGACGGCATATCACAAATACACATACCATGCTACTCTTAGGTCTATGCAATACCAATTCCCTCATAAATTTACAAAAATGCCTCTCTGATCAATGTTTAAAAAAATGGGTCAAAAACAGCTAAATATTAATGCTCTGGGCCTAGAATTGCCTGTCTTGGATGGCCTGTGATACTGTACCACTGCTGCTCTGTATTCTCCTGTTGGAATCTAATAGGTGTCCTAACATTCTAGTGTTACCTGTAGCAGTAAAAATGTGTTGTGGATTATTCACATGATAACTCAGCAATGTTAGCAACTTCTCTTTGAACACTCTTTCTAAATCCAATTTAGTAATCTCCAACCTTGTGTTGACAGACACTCAAAAAAATCAGAAGATTTCTAAAGGTGAGATTATCACAGGAGCCTTCATGAAGGAAATAGGTTTATAAGCTAACATGTGGATGAAGTATAAAATTCTCCTGTTTTTCCTTGCTAAGTATCCAGAGACTAGGCTTGCCAGATTACAAAGTTAAAACAAAAGATATCCAATTAAATTTGAATTTTAGATAAATAATACTTATTTTAGTATAAACATGTTCCAAATATTGCATGGAGAAAACACATTTTATCTGTCTATATACCCATTCATCTTTCTCACTCTCTCTCTATCTCCATATCTGTATTTATGATCTGAAAATAAAATTAAATATAGCATCCTATATTTCATCTGGTAACCTTACTTGCGACATAAGTTTGATCAGTTAAGAATGTCCCCAGGCTCATGTTCTGTCCTCAGGATATGTCCACAGCTTACCTCAATAAAGTTAGGTACTCCTTGTTTGCTAAACACTGGACGAAGACACTATTGACAGATATTGTGCAGTTTAGTTATAACGCTCTAATTTAGCACATTTAATGCTCAGCAATAAATTGTATTCCCTTATAGACCTATACCAATATGTGAAAACATTTGGGGTTGATAAATAACAATTGGTAAATAGATTATGATTAGAATATTTATATAATTCCTGAACTCACTTATATAACCGTTTCCCCATTTTTCCTCTGTTAAGTGTCTAGTGCCTACCTCATGCTCCTTGTCACTGTTCACATATGTGCTATTCATGAGCACATATTCATAGGTTCAAGTCATTCCCTATTTCAGCTATTGGTTTCTTTATAAATGTTTTTTAAATTAATGGTAGAAATAAGTGTTTTGTTTATTCTACTTATGAAGGTAAATATCTCGAATTGAAACACATCAAAATAAATATTTTCAGCTTTGTTTTTTCTTTGAATTATATATTTATCATTGCAGTATTTGGTATGCAGTGTTATCTGTATTTATTTATATTTTTCTTTCTCTAGTACAGTGTGAGCTTCTTGGCTTGAAAAATTTATTCATCTTTTTTTTAAAAAAAATTGTGTCTTATTTCCTTTAGTGTAATCATATAAAAGTATTCTAGAAATAGTCTAAGGAAATGTACAATCATGGTGGAAGTTGAAGGAGAAGCAAGGCGTGTCTTACTTTGCAGCAGGAGAGAGAGAGAAGAAAGCCACACACCTTTAAACCATCAGATCTCGTGAGAAGTCATTCACCATCTGAAGAACGGCACAGGGAAAACTGCCCCCATGATCAATCACCTCCCACTAGGTCCCACCCCACATACATGAGGTTTATAATTTCGGATGAGATTTGCGTGGGGACAAAGAGCCAAACCATATGAGAGCAGAATGATCTCAGTGTTAAAGAGGACCCTTAATTTACATGAGAACAATCTCGGAAGTTATGTCAAAGTTAGTCTTTGAGGTTACCTACATACAATATAGTCCTCCATTTCCTGGGGAATATTAACTATATGATTCGTGAGCGTGTTTGATGGTGACCTTATAATGTCGACCTACTAGAAAAATATTAAGGCTTCTCCTTTGGACGTAGAGTCAGTTTTGGCCAACTTTCTATAATATGATTCCTTCCTATAAATGAAGTGTTTGTTTCTATCTAGTCTTCTCAATAGTTCACATGGGGTGCATCCCAACAATGCATTTAACTTGGCCCCTAAGGCAATCATGTTCATATTTTATATTTCTCAGCATATTTGTTATTTTTGTATGTGTTATTCACATATTTATGAGGCTGTGGGATGAATCCTTCTGCTTCTTATATTGTCATTTTCTTTTTCCTCCTAGAATTTAATTGTGAGTTTTAGAACGCAATAAAAATGGATTCTTTACTTTCATTGTGTTGAGATGCAGTGTTGAGGTATATGGATTTATTGACAGAGAGTAACAGATTTGTGAATAAAATGAATCACAACACACCTGATTTTTAGCAATGAATATTTTTAAAGCCCATTTTAATGTAAACTAGTCAATTCTTGATACATTTGTAAAAGATGTGTGCTGCCTCTGACTTTACTCTCTTCAAATGCATCCCTGATTAGTTGGTTTAGTTGCTTTGTTCTAGAATAACCTCAAATGCTGTAACAACTAGACATTTTTCTGAATTCTACTCCCAGAAGAGGAGAGAATATATTTGAAATACACGCTGTTTATTTTCATTTAAAGTCATTATAAGTCTCAAAAAATACATATTTTCTTCATAACATGCAAATTATTTAATGTTTAACAAAATATTAGTTTGCTTGTTTCTAACCCTTGCAAAAACAAACTGTATGAACACAAGTAAATATTGGCTCAGGAAATACCCTGAAGCTATAGTTAAAATGTGCTTTTGTTTATAGAGTTTTTTTCCTCAGTATTTATAAATATTCATTTCTTACTCAACCTTCTAATTCAACATGATTTTATATTGTATTTTTTTTCTTTTTTGAAGGTGTGTTCTCATTATTTAAAAGGGACTTTATTGAATTTGCTTAAATTTTTAATTTTATTTCATGTTTTTAAGAGATGGGATCTTGCTATGTTGCCCAGGCTGGTCTCAAACTCCTGGGCTCAAATGATCTTTCTTCCACAGCCTCCCAAATTGCTGAGCTTGCAGGTGTCAGCTACTGCAACCATCTTAAATTTGCGTAAATTTTATAATGAATATGTTTCTGTAACTAAAGAATTTTGAGTTTTCACTTATGTCAGATTCATACACTTATAGAATACTTTCCCTTAATATTTTCTTACATTTTATGTATAAATTTTATAGGTTTTAAAAGCAATGTTACTTTTCTTCAATTATTTTTAGGAAACTCAATGATTCAAAGATTTTTCTATGTAATAATCATAAAGGAGTGCCTAATGTATACAGCAAGACTAGTATGTGCATATATTATTTCATGTGTCCATTTTTAAGTAATATCCTAGAAAATGATTAAATGGTCTTAATGTGTGTATGTATATACATAGACATTTAAATACATGTGTGTATAGGTGTACGAGTGTGTATAGGTGTAACTATGTAGATACATGTGTCTTTTTTCATAAATACATTTCTATTTCTAACTTGCTATTTTTGGTAAACAAAATACTCTAAAATTTGTTTCCCTGCTTTTATAACTGATATGTTGAACACACCAGAGACAACTGGGAAAATGAGCAGTTTAGTGCCAAACAATTTATGACTTTAAAACTTAGCTCAGTCTTCCATCTTTCTAAACAGTTATTTTATGTAGGTTTAATCAGCAACTTCAGTTTTCCTCTACGTCTGGTTTAAACATTCCACAAGTCTCAAGGTCTCCACTAAATTCTTGCTTTCTCATGCTGAGCTGTCATATTAATTTATCTTACATGATAAACTCTTTCAGTTTCCAGAGCTGTAGTATATCACCATCTGATCACGTGACCACATCTTTAATATTGTAAAAACAGCTTCCTACTCTCATAATTCAGTTGAAGATCAAGGAAGTGATCTTCAGAGGGTAATTGAAATTCATGTCAATGTGAACTTCAGGTTTGTTCCATGAATCAAAAGGGAAACCTGACCCAAATCCTTGCACAAAGTCTGTATTTTCCTTTCCACACACTCTACAATGTCTAAACACTAATTCTCACCTCTTAAACATGTGCAGGTTACACTTCCTTCATCATCTCCTGCTTGAATTATTGCAACTATCTCCACATTAATCTTGCTTGTTCCTTGGGATATCTGTTCCTCTTAAATCAATATTTTATTTTACTACTGATTTTTGACTGTGGCCTTTTATTTAAAGACCAAGTCATCTTACATTTATGTTTCTTGGATGCTTTTCTCTTTCAGTCTTTTTGAATGACAATAGGTATCTATGGAAAATTATAACACAATGCAATCAAATGATTTGAAAGTTGTTTTGTTTGTCATTATAGTTTGAAGAGTAGAACATTCACCTTAAAAAACACTGGCTAGTTCTGAAATTATGTTTAATTTGTATTTTTTAAAATGTTATCTGGAGGATGCTGTACTTATTCTTTCATCCTTGCCATGAGATTCAAAGTGATTATGTGTAGGGGTGTGAAAACAAACAAAACAATAAAAATATCTAATGTAAGCAGAAAGACTTAGCTGATCCCTCTAGAGCTTGAATAAATAGACATTTCAGTCTTTTCCTGTTTGGAGTTTCACTAATTTTCTTGAAGGGAAATAGAAAAACTTGAGAAACCATTTGAAGATTTCCCTTACTGTGTAGCCTTCTTCTGTTTTATTGATGGGCTCTTTCTGTTTCAAGAATTGCAAAGCCTGGGAGGTATTGTTGCTTAGCATTGTGCAGGAAAAGCTATCATAATGGAGAATTTTAAAAGAAAACATTGTCAGGAGTGCTTGTAGACTCTACTATGGGGAAATTTGACATCTCTTTTGCATATTGCCACATATTTCTGTGGATTCTTAAAGAATTGAATGGGGATAAATATTAAGCTTCCGGTGAATATATTTATTAGTTTTATGACATGAGGAATGAAAAATAATATCATTCAAGATAGCGAATTAGGTAATATAAAAATGTTCTGATGATACAAATAAATATCAATAATGGCACTTATATATACAATTAGTTTATGAAAATGATTACTAATAACACTGATTATTTACAAGTCACTACACTACTTTAGGTGTTTTACATGAATTTACTAGTTTAATCCTTTCAACAATTCTATAAAGTAGATACTATAATTAACTGAATTTAACAGGCAAGGAGACTAAGGCATAGTTCCCAAGGTTACTCAATTTGTAATAATGCTAGGATTTCAAGCATATTGTCTGCCTTTGTATTCATATGCTTAACAACAAAGTTACAAAGTTATAAGTAATTTATTTATCAAGTCTAATATTTTGTAGAAGACATCATCAAATTATGCTCTCATTCACTTAAACTGATTTTGAACCTTTAAACAGTGGATTTTACAGTTATTAATATGCTTCTATATTATGACATAACTAATGATATAACACAATATGATTAACATAATGCCTCTCCATTGCAATTATGAACCACAAATCATTGGGTATATTATTGGGTGTATTTATAACTTAAAAATAGAATTTTAGTAAAATTGAGAATTTTAAATTTCACAAAGTTAAAAATACTAACTGTTCCACTTCTCATCACCTATATCTATGCTTGTTTACATTGCATTTCTGCAAGAAAGTAGTATTCAATTTTCTCAAATTTTTTGTCAGGAGATACATACCTAGACACATACACACATTATTATGTATATGCAATATCATATATTTATGTTATATGTAGATAGAAGTGCTTATAGAATGTAGTATATATGTAATATGTAAGCTGTAAATTGCTTGCCTTATGTATTATATATTATATCTAATCTGTATGTATAATATGTAATATGTATAATTTATATATATGGAGGTATTGTTATTCTCATAACAATCATAGGGAACCAATTATTAAGAAAAATATTCATTATTGAAAAAAAAATATGGACACCTATCTTGTAAAAGAGTGCATTGTTAAAAAGTATAGCATGCTAAATGCAATGGATCCTGGATTGAAATCTTACACAAAAAAGGACATTGGGAAAAAAGTCTGTAGTTGAGGTAATAACATACTAATATTAATTCTATAGTTTTTTTCAACTACATCATTATGAACTGTATTGACATTAGGAAAAACTTATGAAGAGTAAACAGATAAATTGCATACCACCTTTGCATCTTTTCTGTAAATCTAAAATTATTCCAAAATTTTTATAATATATATTTTTAAAAAGAAATAGAACATGAATACTAAATAGTCTTTCTATATTCACTGACAATAAAATATATAAATTATCTCATGCAATAAGGATAGCAATTGATTTTTTTAACTTTAGGAATGATATTATTGTCAGGCCTCTGAGCCCAAGCTCATATCCCCTGTGACCTGCACCTATACATCCAGATGACCTGAAGTAACTGAAGAATCACAAAAGAAGTGAAAATGGCCAGTTCCTGCCTTAACTGATGACATTACCTTGTGAAATTCCTTCTCCTGGCTCATCCTGGCTCAAAAAGCTCCCCCACTGAGCACCCCACTCCTGCCCGCCAGAGAACAACCCCTCTTTGACTGTAATTTTCCTTTACCTACCCAAATCCTATAAAACAGCCCCACCTCTATCTCCCTTTGCTGACTCTCTTTTCGGACTCAGCCCACCTGCACCCAGGTGAAATAAACAGCCTTGTTGCTCACACAAAGCCTGTTTGGTGGTCTCTTCATAGGGACGTGAACTCGCTGAGTCCGCCCTTAGTAATGTCATCAGTTAAGGCAAGGACTGCCATTTTCACTTCTTTGGTAGTGGAATGCCATCAGTTAAGGCAGGAACAGGCCATTTTCACTTCTTTTGTGATTCTTCAGTTACTTCAGGCCATCTGGGCGTATACATGCATGTCACAGGGGATACAATTGCTTGGCTTGGGCTCAGAGGCCTGACAATTATGCCTTATGCAAAATTGAAATCTTAAATAAACATGACTGTTTATTTGAACGAATTTTAAATAAACTGATAACTTTATATACTACAAAAATGGAGACATAGTTATGTAATATGTAAATAAGTACATATGCATATGACATATATAATTATTTTTTCATTAAAATACATATAACTTTCTATTGAGATAATAGATCTAAGTTAAATTTCAGATTTCACTTTGAAAATAATCTGATTTCTAAACTGTGGTTTTACTGTATCAGCAAGAATTTTAGAAAGGCATTATGTATGTTTAAAGTAGAGCTTAAGTTGGCATATTATGTGAATTTTAAGGTACTATATCTTAATTGGCCAAACATATGGTAGCATATCTTTCATATTTCACCATGACAAAGGTAACAAGAAGCCATATGCTCTTCTCTTGCTTCAAGGGTTGGCTTGAAGAAGGAGACTACAGACACCCCATCAAGGGTTGGCTGTTTTTGGCTACATGCTTGGAATAAAGATGATTGGGGATAAATAAGTCTCACAACCAGGTCTCTAGAATAATTTGTTTGCTACTCTTCAGGTTATATAGTAGCTTTTCTTTTATTTTTCTCCCACAATACGTTATTGGTTGCCTGACTTCAAACTCCAAGACCTCATAAAATGTATGAGACTTTCTCTCCATTTTCCAAACCTCAATATTCTAATCTGTAAAAGGTTTAATTCACCGGCTGGCACATGGCATATCTAACTGTTAGCTACAATTTAACTTGCATTTAATTTCCTTTTCTCGGTCATATAACTAAAACTACATTTTTATTTGTGTTGATATCAGATAAGCTGTTAGGCTTTAGAAAGCCAACTAATGTGTTGCTTTTGAGTTCTTACTGGAATACTTTTCACGGAACTTAAATTAGTTTTACTACCTCAGCATATTTTACTTGAGGTATGTTTGAAAGTCAAGAGATAAAGCTGGTCTGTGATTTCTATAGAAATTTTGACAAACACAAAAGTGGTATAAAGCCATTATGCATACAGGCAAGCACAGTTGGGATATTTTCAGTCTGTCAAGTTTGCATTTTTAAAAATGTAGTAAGGTTTTATGAAAAGAAAAATTGCTTTTCCTTCAGTTTTCTTATCTCTTTCTTTGAATTTCAGGATAAATTTGTAAATCAAATTGTGTTCAGCCAGGTAAGGCTCAAACTTGAAGCTTACAGCTCTAAGAACTCTTTTGAGGCATATGCATAGGATAGTTTGATGCATAAAATGATTGAAATAGCATTGCAAGTTTTTAAGGCAATAGCGGGAATATAATTTAGTACTTACAACAGTCTATTCCAGTACATAATTTTAAATATAATGGGAAAATGAATCCCGGACTTATTTACTGAATTCTTTGTGTGCCAGTCACTGTGCAATGGACTTGGGGGCCAAGTAGGAAATAAAAAACATAACTGAACAAAACAAAAACAAGTTCTCAACCTCCAGATATCACCACAGATGTGCAAATAAATTTGGGATAATATTAAGTGGCACAATGAAAGTATGTTTGTGCACAGAATGTAGATGATGTAAGTGTCTGCAATTGTTTGAAGGTGTTAAGATCATGTCTATTAAATAGAACTGAGATGAACTTTTAGGATGTATGGATCTGGCATTATTCCTGGCTGCTATTTACCTCAGGTCCCTGATGAGCTTTTGAGCCTAGAAATTATGAAACTAAACTTTTGATACCATCTTCTGAAGAAGGCTATATTTTAAATTTTTCCAACCCAATGGAAGCATATTCTGTAGTTTATTACTTCCTTCAAACTGCTGACGTATAGCTTAGATGCTGAAAGGAGGATAAAGGAATATATCTCTGTCACATTCCATGATGTCTCTCTCTCTTTTTTTTTCTCACATTGTCTCCTCCTTCATTTTCTCTGTCTGCTTTCTTACTATTTAAATTCTGATTTCTCTGTTTTGGATAGCCCTAATGAAATGCTTTCTTTCTTTTCTTTTCTTTTCTTTTTTTTTTTTGCCTATGGTTATATTCATTCATTCAACAAATTTTTATCAAGCACCTACTATTTACTAAACATTATTTTCATTTCAGGGAATACAGTAATGTGTGAAACAGACAAAATATTTGTTATAATCAGGTAATCCGGAGTCAAAATGAATATATCGCATAAGGTCATGCATGTTACAAAGAAAAATTTATCAAGTGTATACATATCTTTCAAGAAGAATTATGTAATGTTTGAGAATCTTGAAACTAAAATCTAAAGTTTATAAAATTAAAAAATATTGTGTCTTTTTAAATGGCAAATATTTGCCTACTCTCTGTTACTTATATTTGAAATAGTTACCATACATTGATAAAAGCCAAATAGCTCACACATTTATTATATATAATAATAAATGGTTATTAACATTAATGAAGGCTGTATAAGGTGTTCATCCTAAATAGTATGTAAAATTTGGGGACTATTTATCTGAGTTTTTAATTATATCAAATGCTCAAAGGAGAAGAATGACACAATAAAATAGTTATTATTTGTCTATTTTTATTTGCTATTTATCAATGATGACCTTACAATCAATTCTGCCCAATTTCAATATTGCCGTTATTTCTAAGCAGTGAGGAAATGAATTTGCAAATAAACATTTAAAAGAGAATAATATAACAAATAATTTAAGAGCTTATAGTTGTAAGGAGGACATTCCAAGCATACTCCTTAAATTACTATGAAAGAAGTCTTAAAGCTTTTGGCCTCTTTTAAATCACAAATGTTATTTCTAGCCATTTAGTCATTAGAATATGTAAAAATGTATCAAATAATTTTAAGTATTATCTTTTTTGGCATGTGCATGAAATCATTTCTTCTACCTAAATATTTCTCAAATCTTTCTCATGATCTCAATTCTCATGGCCACCATCTAGATCTAAGATGCTACAGGATGAATCGTGTCCCCAAAAAGATATGTTGAAGTTTTAACCCTTAATACCTTACAATGTGATCTTATTTGGAAATAGGGTCTTTACAGAGGAGTTAAGTAAAGGTGAGCTCTTTATGATGGGCCCTAATTCAATATGACCAGCGTCTTTATAACAAGGAAAATCTGGACACAGAGACAAACATAAATAGAAGAAAAAGATTCGTAGACAGCCATATGATGAGAGAAGCAGAGGTTGAATTGAAACAATGGAGTATTTTTCTAATATTGTTCGTTTCTTTGTTCTTCTATGAAGTATATTTTCTTTAAATATTACTACTAAGACTTCCTGCCTTCATATTCTTTCCAAACCATCTCAAGTTAGGCTTTTCTAACAGCCCAATGAAACCCACCATTATGAAGGCCATTAATTTATTTCTCTGAATATCTGGTATTAAGGTGCCCATCTACCACTCTCTATTGCTTTACTTTTTTTCTTCAAAGTGCTTTTTTTTTTTTTTTTTTTTTTTTTTTTTTTTAGTGGAGTCTTGCTCCGTCGCCCAGGCTGGAGTGCAGTGGCATGATCTTGGCTCACTGCAAGCTCCACCTCCCGGGTTCATGCCATTCTCCTGCCTCAGCCTCCTGAGTAGCTGGGACTACAGGCACCTGCCACCACGCCCGGCTAATTTTTTGTATTTTTAGTAGAGATGGGGTTTCACCGTGTTAGCCAAGATAGCCTCGATCTCCTGACCTTGTGATCTGCCTGCCTCAGCCTCCCAAAGTGCTGGGATTATAGGTGTGAGCCACTGCGCTGGCCCAAAATGCTTTTTCCTTTAATGGTCTCTATCTCTAACTTATACTGTCCTCTCATGCCCACCCCCATGAAAACAAGGACTTATTATTCACTACTTTGAGTCTCTATTCCTAAAACACATATTCAGTTTTCAATTATTTTTTTAAAGGATTGAATTCAGTGAATCTCTGATATAAAACCCAACTAAATACAAACTAAATACAGACTTTGGCTAAAATAAGAACAACTTTCAAATACATAAAAACATAAAAATTATGACTTTTATTCATTTTTTTTTTCTGGTCTACACACTAAATGCATCCTTACTAAAATAGTCATGAAGCCATCTTTATGTGGGTTTATTTGAGAGAATATTTTGATTAGGTGGTCATTAATTTTAGCCAAAAATATGTCTAAATTTGGCATTTTAAGTTAAAGGACTCATAAAATAAACCAAACACGTTTCAGTATTTTGTATTTCATTCCTCATTTTCCTCTTATAAACATATCACCTCAATTTCCTTGAGTAATTAACCACAAAACACACTCTTAGGAAGAAGTGTGATTTGACTTTCAGAATTCAAACTGGACATATGAAATTGTCCATCAACTGGGCAGTGCCCCTTCTGTGACACCTAGGGCAGACCGTCATTAGCCATACACTGTGTAATCCAGGTATATGATTCCCTTCCCTTCTTTTAAAAAAGATACAAAACAACAATTTATACAGGCACATCTTCATTGCCAGTCAGAAATGTAATGTCTATAAATAGACTCTTTAAGAAATAAAAGCATGAGATAATAAAACTGTTTTCATATTACCAAATCATCCCCTTGATATTTGTCTGTCGCAAATGACAGCCAAAATTAAAGTCAATATAATAGTTTATGAAAAAAATGATGTGCAAGTAATTTATACTGTTTTTAATTTCTGAATGTTTTAGTCCATACAATTATGACAATCATTTAAAAAAATCTAACTGCTCCAACTAAATTTTAAAGTTACTGGAATAAATGACTAGAAATTTTATTTAGAAAACAAAAAAAAACTATTTTTTTAAAAAAACTATTTCCTTGCCTGAATAAAATGTCTGTGAATTCAATTTTATGTGAAAAATTCTTACAGGTACACAAGTAAGTAGTTTCAAGCCAGATTCTGAACTGTCTTTTCAATCAGTATATTTGTGTTTTTAATTGGTATATTCGTAAGAATATAGTTTTGCTGGTGACATTGTTTTCTGAATTGTTTTGTAGAGAGCCATGTAACTACTGTGGGTAAGCCAATTTTATCTCTGACTTCAGTAGCATATTAGTGACTGATTGGGCTGAATAAGCATACAGGAGTAAATTGGAACGTGCTGCTAAGTCACACTACTATGGTAATAAGGGAGGAGAGCACCCCTCCTGTCGTCTTATGCCCAATTTCTGCCTCCAAAGAAAGAAGTAAAAACTAAAAGGCAGAAATGAAATCCACAGGCAGACAGACCGGCACTGCACCCTGGGCCTGGTAGTTAAAGACCCACCCCTGACCTAATCTGGTTATATTATCTATAGATTACAGACATTGTGTAGAAATGCACTGTGAAAATCCCTATCCTGTTTTGTTCTGATCTAATTACCGGTGGGTGCATGCAGCCCCCAGTCACGTAACCCCTGCTTGCTCAATCAATCACTACCCCCTCACATGCACCCCCCCCCCTTAGAGTCGTGAGCCCTTAAAAGGGACAGGAATTGCTCAGTCGGGGAGCTCAGCTTTTGAGACAGGAGTCTTGCTGATGCCCCCTGCAGAATAAACCCCTTCCTTCCTTAACTCAGTGTCTGAAGAGTTTTGTATACGGCTCGTCCTGCTACAGTAAGAGACTGAAACTGAAAGTTAATTCTTCCAATTCTATTACTTTCTCATGCCATTGAGGAGACTCTAAAATATTTTTTCACAACAAGTAGTATTTTATTTAATAATAGGTCTTTGTGAATTTCCCAATTTTAAGTAGAATTATATATCTGCAATATTTTCTACTGAAATATGACTTTGAAAAAATCAATATAACACTTGCCGTCATGTTATTTGGTTAGAGCAGGAGAAATAAATTATTATTGTAGAAATGAAATACAGCATGTTTCTGGCATTTCTTTTAAAGAAAAAATGGTTATTAATTTTGCCCCACAACATGTATCGATGTACAATATATCAGTTAAAAAGAATTTATGCATGTAAACGTGCCTATTACTTTATTGTTAAGTTTCTGTTACTATAATTTCTAAGTTGCTAAACACACCAAATTAATTCATTGCTAAATTATTATTTTTATGAATAAATATCAAAATTATTGTTTGGTGATAAAATGTCTATTCAGATGTTTTGAATCTTAATAGATAAGAATATTAGTAGATAAGTTTTAATCTGCAAGTTTTATATAGCATCATCACATCACATAAATAACAATTCTTTATTTGTAGAACTAAGCACAGATAAACAATCATAGATATACCCAAAAGATTTTTAAGATTTTTAAAAATGATAGTTTTTTTCTTTTTATTAGGAAGCATAAATATTAAAGAGTCTAATTGAGGCTTCTGTTTTAGAGTGAATATATAACCTTGTCTTTGAGTACTTGGAAACTAATAAGATTATCCAACAAAATATCTGTTCTGTCTGTATCTTTACTGTGCGATATGACTGTCTTGTAAAAATAACTTAATATGGTGGTTGCTCAAAAAAAAAAAAAAAGAGAATTACCTTACAATCCAACAGTTTTATTCCTGGGTGTATCCAAAATGATTGAAAGCGAAAGTGTCTCAAAGAGATATTTATACATTCATATTGTCTCAAAGAGATATTTGTACATTCATGTTTATAGCAACATCATTCACAATAGCCAAAATGTAGAAGCAGCCTGCCTTGAGCTGAACTGTGTCCCATGCAAAATTTGGAGGTTGGAATCCTAACCTCCAATGGTACTGCCTTCAGAGGTAGGGTTTTTAAGGAAGTAATTAAGGTTAAATGAGGTTTTAGGGAAAGGCCATAATCCAGTAAGACTGGGGTCCTTATAAGAACAGCAGGACATACCAGAGGCATGCAACTACAGAAAAAAGGCCATGTGAGGACACAGCGAGAAAGCAGCTTTATCTACAAGCCAAGGAGAAAGGTCTTAGAAGAATGTAACCTTAACAGCACCTTGATCTTGGATTTCCGGCCTCCAAGACTGAGGAATACATTTCTGTTGTTAAATCTACCCAGTTGATAGTATTTTGTTAAAGCTATTCTGACTAACACACAACCCAAATGTCCACTGGTGGATGAGCAGATAGACATAATGGAGTATATGCACACAATGGAATATTACTTAATCTTACAAAGGAAGGAAATTCTGAAACATTCTACAAAATGGATCAACCTTGAGGAAATTGGGGTTAGTGAAATAAGCCGGAAACAAAAAACAAATACAGTATGATTCCACTTACATGACTTATCTGAAGTAGCCAAACTCATAGACACAGAAAGTAGAATGAGTTACCACGGGTTTGTGGAAGGGGGAAATGGAGAGTTGTTTAATGGGTATAGAGTTTCAGTTTTGCAAGATGAAAATATTCTGGAGATCACAAAACAATATGAATGTATTGAACACTGCTGAACTACGTGCTTCAAAATGGCTAAGGTGGTAAATTTTATGTTACATATATTTGCCACAAAGTGTCAAACAAACAAAAGTCACCACTCACTTTATTAAAATGATCAGGCTACTTAAAGATAAGTCTTTAAAATATTATTAACTATTGCTTTTGAAATGTAAAAGTAAAATTATAATTTCAATATTAGGAGTAAAAAACACTTTAGGTAAAAATGTAAGGAATTACAAGGAGTCTACCTTCTTAAAAAGTTCAAAGGGAAAAACAACATGAATAGTAATTGTAAGTAATCCAAAATTGTTGCAAATAAATAAGGCAGGCATCAGTGAATCCAAATCTGTTCGCTACTAAAGCATTCTTTTTAATTTCTTCAGTCATGTTTTATAGCTGCTATATGTAAGAAGCAACATTTTAAAAAGTTACTTTCTATTTATTATAGCCACATAAATGGTAAACCAAATATATAACTAGGACAAAGTAATTAACATTACAGTTGGTGCTCCGTATCTACAGATTCCTCACCAGCAGATTCAACCAACCCGGATCAAAATATTCAATAAATAAATAAAAATACAACAGTAAAAAATACAAACTTAAAAAGCAATACAGGAAAACAACTATTTGCATAGCATTACCTTGAATTAGGTATCATAAGTAATCTACAGATACTGAAAGTGTATTGGGGGATGTGCATAGAGTGTATGCAAATACCATGCCATTTTATATAAGGGACTTAGCATCCTTGAATTTTGGTATCTGCAGGGGTCCTGGAACCTTTCCTCTGAAGATATCAAAAGACCACTATACTGCAATGTTTTAATTATACTAATATAAAACTCCTAGTGGACTTTATGAAACATTGAAAATACATCCTTTGAAGATCTGTAATTTGGAATTTTGGGTACATATAAAGGAAAGATGAAATTTAATTTCAAAGAATGGTGGTTCTTAAATGTTAGAGTGCATTGGAATTATCTGGAAAGCTTGTAAAAGCACAGATTACTGGGTGAATCTCCTTAATTTCTGTTTCAGTAGGTTTAAAGTGGGGTCTGAAATACAGTATTTTTAAGAATTTTTCAAGTGATATTGATGTTTCTGGTCTAGGGACCACATTTTTATAGCCACTATTATAGAAAATAGGGTTATTAAGGGGTATACCTTCAGTTGTGGAAATAAGATCATGTCTTATAAAACCAAAATACTATAATTTTGGACCTTTGTTAAATTCACCAAAATAATTAAGTTTATATTTACAAATGACTTAGTAACTTTACTGACATTTTGTACAAATTAAATGATTCCCAAATGATCATAGCAAAGCAGATCTTTAAAAAGTATTTAATAAATGTACCCTTTAGTCGATTTTGTCTCATCTTAATCACCCTCTTTTAACTGTGTGCATATAACTACAAAAGAATCAGATCATCACCATTATTTACAGAGTGAATATCCTGCATCTATGTTTGATGTATCAGATTTCAGCTATCTTATTCTGATTTTGCTTTTATTCATATGTTTTATAGCACTTTCATGTCTTGTGTAGAGGGAAGGAATATTGTCTTCGATCACATTGCCTCTGCTTCACAGCCACTTACTGCTCCTTCTGATTGCTAAGTGCCTCTGGAGAATGACCTATAGTAATTGCACACTTTCTCTTGGCAAAGCTCTGTCTGCTTCCTTTAAGGAAAGAACACACTGCTGTAAGTTATGAATCAGGCTTGCAAAATGTAAGTTCTGGCAACAGGCTCCCGAGAACCTACATCCTGTATTATATCATCTGAGCTTTATTTCATGCCATTATTCTGAGGACATACCTATGTATCATTTTCTCAAAAGAAGGGCTTTGGTAGCCTAGTATTGAATCTTTTTTCAATTTTATATTTCTGGAACCAAAATTAATTAACTGAAAATCTAGCAAGAGCACAGCAGGTATCTCAACATGTTGAAGCGTTGAATAGTATAATTTAATAGAACCATAGAAATCCTGAGTCTTTTTTTATTTATATAGGCGAAGAAATGGAAGGTCTGCTATATTTAGTGTCTACAAAGTTGCAAAGATGGCATCTGTATATAGGAAAAGAAAATAAAGAGACATTAGCATCCCAATCCAATGACATTTACCAGAAAGCAACACATTCTGGTGTGGCAGAGGAGAGCAAGGAAAGCCATGATAGCCCAGAGATATGGATATTCCTCAGAAATATGAAGGTAAATAGAAATAAGGGTACATAGTTCTGGGTCAGAACTGTGTTCTTTGCATTCATCTTAACAAGGCTTGGTAATCAGAGCTCAGATGTTTGCCAAGTAAGATATCATTATTAACAACCTTCAAGAAAGCATTTTT
This sequence comes from Homo sapiens, assembly GCF_000001405.40. Lineage (NCBI taxonomy): Eukaryota > Metazoa > Chordata > Mammalia > Primates > Hominidae > Homo > Homo sapiens. The sequence goes on from NC_000002.12 coordinate 184,769,888, forward strand.
TTAGAAGTTGGGCTTGAAAGCACAAGTAAAACATCTGTTATTGCAAAACTAGAGAGATAATTTTTCCTTTGGATATAACAAAGATACATAAATATTTTAAAGTTATAATTTTGAGTTTCGAAGAAAGATTGTCATATTTTAACTAGATAAATAAGCTTAAGTATATATACAGTTTATCATCAACCTACATTCTACCATCTACTCAATATGTAAAGTCATAGAGGAGAACAACTGAAAGACAAGTTAGAAATCATCTGATTTAAAGACTATCCACCAAACTTTCTTACTAAAAAATATGTGGTCCAAATGATTAAGGGAAGTTATAGTAACAAATTGTGTGTGAGTTTTGGTGCTCCCCTTTCCTTTTATACTTAGAATTCACCCACTTTTCCAACCCAAACTGCCCAGAGTACTATAAAATACATATTATAGTTTGATAAATTGTTTTTCTTAAATTTTAAATTTTGTGAGTAGAATGTGTTATAACGTTTTCATAAATTGGCCAGAAAGAATGTCATTAAACTAAGCTGCTTCAGCATTAGTAGCCATATATTGCAGTTCCACTCCCTTTAGGAATGCTTTTTAAAAAGGGCATGGGGAGAAGGGACTGACTACCTATGTGAGTAGTTTACTCATTTAGCAAACATTTATGTTCTTTATGAAACATTTATGTTCTTTATGAAAGCTGGGTATATAGGTGTATAAAAAAGCGGACAAAGTTTACATCTCAAAAAGAAAATGTTGGTCTTAGTAGAGAAAGATAAATTATAAACAAGTAAGATGACATGAAAAATGTCAAAGGCTAATATAATGTGATAGTTATTTCATGGAAAATATAGAGTACCACTACCAAATATCTAAAATCAAAACTATCTGAAATGTAAAAGATATATAGAAACCCAAATTTTTGTACCCTCCTGGCATGAGTAGAACTATTGTGGAAAACTGGCAGTGTCAATAATTCTGAATATATAAATATTAGATATTCTATAACCCAAAATCTTGTCTATAGGTATATTCAATTGAAATATGTGTGTGTTTGTGTATATTTCACCCAAAGACAGATACGTAAATAAGAATATTCAGAGCAACATAACTCGAACACTACAAACAACTCTCATGTAAATCAACAACAAAATGGATAAATAAATTTTGATATATTAATTTACACAGTGGTATGCCATACAGTATGAAGATGAGCAAACTAATACCACACACAAAAGAAATTACTCTCATAACCATGCTGTTGGGCACTGGAAACCAGGAAAAAATATTTACATTCTTTGATTCTAACTATGTGCTTTTAAAATAGTCAATACTATTTCAACATTTTTGAAATTAAAATATTGGTCATTTTTGACAATAAGGTTGTAGTGCTTGAGAGGAGAAAATATCAGCAATGTATAGCTGCATAACAAGTCACCACAAGCTTAGTGGCTTAAAAAAAAACAAAACATGTATTTAATATATCACAGTTTCTGTACGTCAGGTGTCCAGACAGGTTTTGCTGGGAACTCCACAACAGGGCCTCATCAGGCTGCAGTTAAGATGTCTATTGCAGTTAAGATGTCTCCTGGGGCTAGTTGGGGTGGCTCATGCCTGTAATCCCAGCACTTTGGGAGGCCAAGGAAGGAGGATCACTTGAGCCTAGGAGTTCAAGACCATCCTGGGCAATATAGCGAGACCCCAGCTCTATACAAAATTTTAAAATAAAAAAAAAAAAGAAGATGTCTACTGGCCTTTCTCATCTGTTAGATCAACTGGATAAAAGTCTACTCCCAAGATCACTTCAGTTGGCAGAATTCACTACCTTATTGTTAGAGGACTGAGGCCCTCAGTTTGTAGACTACCTGCAGCTCCTGGCATGTGGACATTTCCATAGACAAGTTACGATGATGCCCACTTGCTTTATCAAGGCCACTAGGAGAGTGAGAAAAACTAAGAGTCTTTTATAAAACAATGTAATCTCAGGAGTGACACCTGATTGCTTTAGCGATATAACATAATGTAATTATGAGAGTCGTATCCTATCACCTTTGTCATATTCTACTGGGTATAAGCAAGGTAAATGTCTCACTTCCTCTCAAAGGGAGAGGGAATAGGGAATGGTGTTCACACCATTGTGTGTGAAACAAAAAACAGATCATTTGGTGTCCCTTTAGAATCTGTCCATTATAATGTTAATGTTCTATTTCTTGATATTTTATTTTCCATTATTTTCTATAAACATAAATATAAGATACTGCAGTTATTCCAAAACAGATAAGCAGATTTTCTGTTTTGTTGATAATAGCTTTACTGAAATGTACTTTGCATATTTTTCAGAGTTGTGCAACTGTCATTGCAATTTTAGAATATTTTCATCACTCCCCTTGACCAAAAAAAAAAAAAAACAATAGCAGTCACTGTTTCTTCTTCTACTCCAGCCTTATGCAACAAATGATCCATTTCCCATCTCTATAGGTTGCCTATTCTGAAATTTTCTTATAAATAACATTGTGAAACGTCTTTCGTGACTTGCTTCTTTCATTTAGCATTTTGTGAAGACTTATCCATGCTGTAGGATATATCATTATGTCACTCTTTTTATAGCTGAATAATATTTTATTAGCTATGTATATATAAAATATTTGTTTATTCATCAGTTTGGGGTGTTTCTACTTTTTAGCTATTGTCAATATTGCCACTATGACCGTTTGTGTACAAGTTTTTGTGTGGATATACATTTTGAATCTTTTGAGTATGTACCTAGAAAAGGAATTTCTGGATCATATGACAACTATATTTAAACTCCCAAGGAATTCTCAGACTGCTTTCAAAGCAAGAGCATCATTTTGCATTCCCACCAGGAGTGTATGAGAGTTCCAACTTTCCCATATCCTTACCAACCTTTCCCATATCCTAACCAAAACTTGTTATTATCTGTCTTTTTTGTAATAGACATCCTAGTGGATGTGACATGGTATTTCACTGTAGTTTTCATTTGCTTTACCCTGAGGGCTACTTTAAAATACATACACACACACACACACACACCCCACACACATATATATACATATACATATATACATATACATATATATGTATATATATATGTGTGTGTGGGGTGTGTGTGTGTATATATATATACACACACAAATATATATGTGTATATATATATTTTTTTAAATGTGCACACACACATACATGTATATTTGGCCTGTTAAAATGTATTGAGTTATACTTTTGTGATTGAGTTATACTCTTATGATTTGACTATTTTTCTCTATTTTATAATGGATTAGCTTACTTTTAAAAAAAACAGAGAAATAGAAAAATACCATTACTAATATCTGTATCATATGGGTATTAAACAGTTCTTTTAGATTTTTGTTTGTTTGTTTTTTTAACCTGGTCATCAATTCTCTCTCCAACCAATACCTGTATCTCACACCTCTGCTGTGAAAATAGAATAATGCAAGTGGAAATCCTGGAGAATCAATGCCTCTGGTCTCTATTTCAATTGACACACCATTAGACCATGAGCAAGAGAACAAACCTGCTAACAATGGTCAGGAAGGGAAACCAAGTAGCCGATTAAAATTAATAGGTCTAAGGAAATAATGGCATTCATAGCAACCTGGTTGGAATTGCAGACCATTATTCTTAGTGAAGTAACTCAGGAATGGAAAATCAAACATTTTATATTCTCACTCATAAATGGGAGCTAAGCTATGAGGATGCAAAGGCATAAGAATGATACAGTGAACTTTGGGGACTGAGGGAAAGAGTGGGAGGCAGGTGAGGTATAAAGACTACAGGTTGGGTACAATGTACACTGCTCGGTGATGGATGCACCAAAATCTCAGAAATCGCCACTAAAGAAAGAATTCATGTAATGAGAAACCACCTGTTCTCCCAAAATCCATTGAAATAAAAATTTTTTAAAAAATTATAAATGATTAATAGGTCTAGCAAGCTAGTATCAAACAGCAAGAGGGGAGCCAACAGAAAACACCATATTGAAGTTTAGTATTAAGTGTTAATGTAAAGTCAGGAGACAAAATGGTAGAATTTAGGGCACTACTGATTGTTCACTTCATCTGCACATTGGGTTTGAATCGAGAGCTGTGTCAGTAAAAATTAGAAAAATACTTAGTCTGCTGTCCTCCACAGTTATTTATTCAAAATTGTCTGTCTTAACAACTTTCCTAAAATCTTGCCTTTTTTAGGTATTTTGTGTATTTAAAAAAGTTAGGAAAGGAATCCTACTATTTGATATGTATATAGTGTGGGGAATTTAAAACTTATTCTATGGCTTTGTTGGTGATGATTAACTGCTTTTATTTGCTGTTGAATCGTAAACAAAATAAACATACACAGAATTTACATCTATTTGGTAAACTATATAATGAGGTGGCGACTAATGTCCAGGTTGGCAAACAAAAATCCTGGTGTACAGCATGTGTGTCTTGTCCCCAGCAACATAAAGAACATATAATGTTACAATATACTTCTTTATTACAGAAGAATATATGGTTGTGTTTTGAAAATATTATTTCTTTGTAGATGGTTCTCAGGGGTAGGTAAAAAAAAATCTTGTCTGGGAAAAAGTGGAGAAAGTGGAACATCTTGTTGCTGTTCATTTTATTGGTTTGGTCAGAAATTGTGAAAGGGGGGTCTTCCATCCTTAACTGTGCTTTGACCTCAGTGCTTTTCTTCTTTTCTCCATCTGTGGCAGAATTGATTCTTCATATCTTTCTCAAGGTCCATTTCAGCAGTTGATGAAGCTTTTTGAAGAAAAATTAGTTCTATTTTTAATCATTTTATCAAAAATATTTGCTCTGTGAAAGATATCTCTGTGATACATTTTTGCCTTATTTGAGGTAGTGTTAATGAGGGAGGAAAGGGTCAAGTGAATATGAAGATGTGAGAATGAAATCAAAGAGTGGGAAAGCTAACACATGTGACATGTGCCTTCTGGACATCAATAATATTATTGTGGCCATAAACAAAGCAGCTACCCTTCATGAGGGAAGAGATGGATCACTCTCTTTTTTTTTTCTTAATGCTGGATTTTATTTATTTGCACTTTACATGAAAATGAAATTTTCGAAAAGCAACATAAATATGTCTATATTTGTTTAATGGCATGATTGCCTTAGTACCTATGTAAGAATAATTTTGAGATGGTTATCATGATCTGCATTTCTTAATATTTCTTTTTGACCTATTGTAAGTAATAATGTAAATGTGTAATTATGGGCATGTTTAATATGTATAATTTCCTCAATAGTCTTTAAAATTAGTTTTAAGATCTTAGGAGTGTTATGTATTTAAGTAAACTTTTTAAATTGTCACAAAAATATATAAACAACTCACTGGGAACTTGTAGGTTCTTTTGAAAGTGACTTTATGACTATCTTAAAGAAGACAGGTTATTTACCTAGTTTGGGAAGCAATGATATGAAACCACAATAACAACTAAGAAAGGAGAATCTCCTGCATGCCAGTGTAGTAATAGTCATTGTGAAGGAAAGTTTTAACTTAAAGAATGAGTAAATATTCTTTACATGATACTTAGCTGTCTGCTATGAAATTATAGAGTGGCCGGTGCCATTTCTCGGTTCTACACTTCTACTTTAGAGAAAACAGCGCTATCTTACATGAATGTCATATCATCATGAACTCCTGAGCCAATTTTGGTAAATGCTTTTACAAGACCCTTTTCTTTTTGTGAGTTAGGACTGTTAGTAAACAACAAATTGTTCTTCTTTTCATATTCTCAGACAACTTCCCCCAAGCAATTTCCCATATTTTAATTATCCACGGAAGCTTGAATACTTAGTATCTGTAATGCCATGGCAAAGGATTTGTACTGCTCAAGCACTTCCTAGACATGAAGCAAGATAAAAATCACACTAATTCTCATTACCAAAAATGAAGATGGCTAATGGGGTACAGCACTAGATGTTTGGATATGAGGGTAAATCTTTGTTCAGTTAGGTATTAGTATTTCAGGGCTGAGTCAACAACTCCAAAAGTTATAAAACTCTAACTACGCTCCAGAAGAATTTTGCTTAGAAGTATGATTACATCTCATAACAGTCATTAATAGTGTTTATAAAACTGATAGAGCTAGAAACATTTATCTTTCTACAAGTATTTACTAAGCACCTTGTTTGTACCAGGCACCATTTAAAATGACACTGTAAATGCAGGGGTAATAAAAGAGGTAATGTTTATACCCTAACATAGTTTCTTAGAAAAAAGAACAGTTAAATCATAAATAAAAATCGAGGAAATATGCAATAACATATGCAACAAATAAAAGAAAACAGAGTTTTTTGTTAGAAAGTTCCTGATGGCTATAGAAGAGTTGAGGGAAGATTTCTTTGAGAGAGAAATTAGAAATCTGGCATTGAAAAAAATGCTGGAATGACAAGAAGAACAAATGTAGAAAGACATTATAATGGCTTAGATGAGGACGGCAACAGTATAGATAGAAAAAAATCTACTATAAATTTTGTTTTATTAAAAAGCTCTTGTCATTATTGAGTGATTAGATGACACTTTGGAGGTTCAGGTTTTGTTGGTTGATTTATATAAACCTCATTTTTTTTTTTTGTAAACCTCTGTGTAAAAGTTAGTACTTCGGAATGTGTAATTATTCTCTCTGTCAGAATAATTATTCATACCTTTTGAAGTAAGGCAAATTTGTCTGAGACACCTTCCATTGTCATAAAAATAGTGAAAACCACCTGAGGATTGTTTTGGGAAATGTAATTAGTTCGCTTTTTATGTTGTATTTATTAAATGTCCCAGTCTTAGTAAAGTTTCATGCTAACCTGTATATTTTTACCACATGGAACTAGTACCCCAGGGATTAGAGTTTTGCACCTATTGGACATTAGCCAGTTATCCTAACATTGCTTAGCCTTATAAACCCTCTTCAGACTGGTTTGAACATCTCACTGTTCCCCTCATTAATTAATGAGTGGAAAAAATTCCTTGACACCTGTTTATTTCATGTTGAAGTGTGGGACTCATTACTTTATCTTTTTAAAAATTATATGTTAGCATGTAAGGCATTTATCTCAAGATTGGTGGCTATGGTTAGCAATGTCCACAGCTCTGTTTCTTGCAGATCTGGATGTAAAAGAGAGCAGAGAACTTCTTGAATCTAATGATTATTCCAGCACACCCTCAGAAAATTTTGATGGTTGCCTCTGTCTTTGTTTTTGTCCCAATTGTAGCTGATTTCATGAGTCATCCTCCTTACCCAAAAGACACCTTACAGATCTTTCAACCCCCAAACTATTAATAAACTCTTCTACTTTCTTCAGTTACCCACTCACATAGTAACCAACTGGACCCACCATTTTGATATACCATTTTGGAAATTTTAATGCCTTTTATCCTAATTTCTGATGATGCATACTTACCCTTCAGTGTCTTAGTTTACACTGCAAGTCTACGTGTTTCTAAACCTCAGAAAGACTTAACCAGGCTTTAAATATGTTTTCCAGATTAGTGACTTTTTTAAACCCTTTCTGCTGTTTTCCTTCCCTATTGGTTTACATGATACGAGGAAGTATCTGAACTGCTCTCTCAGCATCACTGTCATTCCCTTCACTTCTATCTTTACCTCATACCAATGCCCAGTGTCCTAACTCTGAAAAAAATGCTGTCTACATTTTTTTTTACTGCTATCTAAAGGAAGATAAGCCCTAGTTAAAAAAACAAAAGAAACTCATACAACCATTCAAAATTTAAATAAGCTCCATATATCTGTTGATCAAGTTTTAAAAAATCCTTTAATTTATAGCTTCACCCTTCATTTATCTTTTAATTGGTCTTTTGTTGTTGTTGTTGAATGATTTCATGAAATGTGTTTAGTGGGTTGTTTGTCCTTTAGAGTTTCCCATAGCCTTTTTATCTATTCTTTTTCCTTCCTGGACTTATTCCTATGCTGTGATGAACCACTGTGTTTACCAACACTATAGGAGTGATTTTGTTGAGTTGATAAAAATATTAGCTAAATTAGGTGAGTATCAAAATATAATTGACTGAACAGCATACTGTAATATAAGCAATTAATAATTCATTTACAAAATGTAATTGAAATAATGTTTTTAAAAGGATTATGTTAGCTTTTTTAATGTGACTTTTCCCCTGCAGTTTAGAAGATTCTACATTGGAATAAAAATATGTACCCTTTGCTTCAGCTTGATTCTAGCATTATGCTGCAAAGTAGCTGTGTTAAAGCTCCTGTTATGTCTGATAATTTTCTTGCTTTGCTTTCCATTAAGAAGCTTTTGACATGCACAAATTTGTTTTATAATGATTTCATTCTGTCACGTTATATAATATTCTCATTTAATAAATATTCATTGAGCATATAACTCTCAGGAGGCATTGTTCTGGATCCTGGGCATAGAAAATTTAACCCCTTCTCTAAAGATGATAATTTTTTCCCCAAAGATATGGGGAAAAAGCTAACAATATTTTACTTTTTGTTGGGTGTACATTATAGTGATGAGAGAGTCCATTAACAAACCGACACATATGTATAAAGTGGTTATAAGAAAATAAAACCGGACAAGAGGACTGAGAGGGACAGGGATATACAAGATACAGATGGAATTTTCAGGGAATGACTGCTATTTGTAGCAATTTCATAATCCTGACACAATTTACTTTTAAACATCTCAACATTAGCCCAAGATATGCAAATAGCTAGGGTCCCTACACAGTAATGAAAAATATCATAACCAGAAATTTTAAGGTATAACCCTTTTCCAAAGCAACACCAGGCATTCTTTAATAATGTGCTATTATATACAGTTATTGTACTAAAATTCACTGGGTACCTTTAATGATCCAGGGACTGTCATTGATGTTGGAGGTACAGAGGAAAATTATATAGACCTTGAATGTAAGAAGCTCAAGGACTAAAATGACCAGAGCTTCACAGACTTGACAGTGTATACCTCAACATCCAAAGGCCTACTGAATCATCATCTTCAGGAAATGAGTTAAATTTTCTATATTTATAAAGATTATTTTTTGGAGTCAGTTGAGAATAAGTGAATAGGGTAGTAAATTTAATAAAAATTAGAAATTAGTAAATTTAATAAAAATTAGAAATTAGTAAATTTCTAATTCAACATCCACCAACACAATTTCACCATTGTTTATCATTTGTTTCTCTCTGGCTACCATAAGACATTTTTCCCCTTTCTTCTGCTCTTAAAAAATACTCTTGTGGTTCTGAGGTCACTAGGATGCCATATTCTGAAGCTGCCAACTGTAGTTGTACAGGCAGGTTTTCCAGGTGTAGGCATGACAACCAGTGTGGCTTTGAAGTTGGGTTGGCCTCTCATCTGTGATTTTTGAGCCATACACCACTTGTACTTTCATTCTTTGTTTGTTGTTATGTTTTGTTTTCTTTTTTCCTAGGAAATATTTACTATTATAGCTGTTTTATTTCTGTTGCTTCAGAGCTGTTTCTACTTATAATTCTTCTACAAATATGAGGGAAAATGTCACCCTATGATGCACAAATCTTAATCCCCAGAACCTGTGAATATGTTAGGTTACATGGGAAAGGGAAATTCTGTTTACAAGTTGTAGATAGAATTAAGTTTGCTGGTTAGCTGACATTAATATAGGGAGAGCATACTGGATTATGGAGATGGGCCCAATGTAATCACAATGGCCCTTAAGTGCAAAAGAGGTAGAAGAGTCCCTGTCAGAGTGACTTGAAGTGTGAAATGCTTGAATGGTTATTGCTGGATTTGGAGATGGGAAGGAGCTATAGCCATGAAACGGGGCTGGCCTCTAGAAGCTGGAAAAGGTGAAAAAGCAGATTCTCTGCTAGAACCTTCAGAATGGAACGCAACTCCGCAGACACCCTAATTTTATCCTGGTGAGATACATTTTGAACTTCTGACCTCTAGAGATGTCAGATAATGAATTTGCTGTATCTTAAGCTACTAAATTTTGTGATGTGTAAAATTGTTACAGCAACAAATAGGAAACCAGTATATTCACCAAGGTTTCAAGGGTCTCAGTTCTGTGAGACAGTCTTCATTATAAAAAAATTTCGCAATAATTTTTGTATTAGATACCATGGTCCCACAGGCTCCCAGGCTTCACAGGTTCACGACCATTCTAGAACTTTCTAAATGTGTATATACTGACTGTATGTACAGCTCAGACTGTGTGATATCTCCATTATAAAGTCTACCTAATACTGATTAAGGTATGAGTAAGAACATGCCCAGTAAAATGTTTCCACACAGGTGCCAGGTTTTACAACTGGCCATGTTATGTAGTACCAGAGCGAAAATTTCAGCCAAAAGGCATGTTGATGTCAAACAAACAAACAAACAAACAAAACAACTATGTAGAGTTACGGAGAAGGGTGAGGCTAAATCACCACTGGAAGGGTTTAATTCTTAGTGAAACCAGTAAATAATAATTTATATGCTACGTTTTAAACTTTTTTAAAAAAATTATGGTAAAATAGACTTAGGAATTATTCCATCTTTTACAGGTAAGAAATCTGAGAACTGAAAACTGAGAACTGAAGAATTATTCTTAAAAGTGGTTCCTGTCTTTCTGTTTGTTTTTCCATTTGTGCTTATTCCATTTCAGAACCTTAATCACAGATGGAGGGAGGTACATGAAATGAAACAGAAAATGAAAAATGGCTCTAAACTCAGAGGTTAAACCTGATGGGAGTCAAGGCAAACTCTGGGGCAAGGTTTTTGACACCAGAGCTTCTTATACTGTTGAAGTGAAACGAAGAAAAGCTTTTTTATCTTGGAGAAATTATCCCTTCCCTAGACATCTTGAAACCATAAATGCTAGGTCTTAAAAATTCTGGCTACACTTTAAAAATTCTCTTCAATAATGGATTGAGTGCAATGAGCAGTAAACTGAAGACTAGAGACTTGCATTTCAATCATGGCTCTGTCCTTAACTTCAGCAGGAGCTATCAATTAGTTATTTACTCCACTTGCATCACAAATTTCTCTCTAGGGGTGGGTTAGTCTTCTGAAAAGGACACAAGTAACCTGTGTCCTTTATAGAGAATAGCAGCAACTTAGAGGTAAATTCCATGAAGTCTGACTGGGGAGATGTTTTCCGAGTCCTTGTGCTTCTCTGCATGAGAATCTTGGAAATGTGTGATCTCTCATCCTTGGAGATTAGCAGAAGCCTTGCTCACTGATATTTAAATCTTGCCAATCAAAATACACATTGTATTTCTTCCAGAACTCTAGATTTGGGGAAACAGAGACATCATTGCAGGAAATGACACATGCATATGATTGTGCACAAATTTATCTTAGTAATTTGACGTTTTCTGTTATATTTTGGCTTTGCAATGGGCCAAGAAAAGCTGCTATATTTTCTCCTAGGTACAATGCCTATGTCATATGATGGCTTATTTGGGCAATAAGGAAAAATAAGCTATACTTTTCCCCAGGAGAGAATAACTGTTAAATTACATTTAACATGTATTTAACTCATTTATATTTCCCCACAAAATCACAATCTTTAAAAATAAAACAAGATAAAGTAACATTTCATTAACTTTCAAACAATCATTTCTTGATAATAACACAATGGTTTAAGTACTTATTCTACTTTATGAAAAAACTTTGAAATATTCTTTTTTGGGAAATTTTCATTTTCTGAATTCCTATGGGTACCACACTACACCTTGGCTGCTTGGAGTCAAAAGTGCTGTGTACACGTATTTTCTGTTATTGACTCCACTTGCCTTATCTAAGCTCATCTGTGACTAAATCTTGGTAATTATAAAAAGGGTTTTAGCTCACAGTAACTTCTACTTTTTTGCATCATCTTTGTGCAAGAGAAAACAATCTTTCTGAAAATTTTTCTTTTTGTAATCAGAGCAGAGAGAAAAATACATGAAAGAGTTTGCATTAGTTTTCTAGGGCTGTCATAACAAAATACCACCGACTGGCTTAAAGAACAGAAATTATTTTTCTCCCCATTCTGGAGGCTAAAAGACTGAGATCAAAGTGTTTGCAAGATAAATTCTTCTAAGGCCTCTCCCCTTGGTATGCTGATGGCCATTTCTTCTTGTATCTTCACATCCTCTTCCCTCTGTATGTATCTGTGTTCTAATCTCTTCTTTTATAAGGATATGAGTTAGTGGATTAGGGCCCACCCCTCTGACCTTATTTAATCTTTATTATCTCTTTGAGGGCCTTATCTTCAAATACAGTCACATTTTTAAGTACTTGGGGTTAGGACTTCAACATATGAATTTTGTTGGGGGACACCATTTAGCTTATAGCAGAGGTACTTTACAATAGGAATTTGACATTTTGTTTTTGTAGTGGTTAATACTGAGTGTCAACTTGATTGGATTGAAGGGTGCAAAGTATTGATCCTGGGTGTGTCTACGAAGGTGTTGCCAAAGAAGATTAAGATTTGAGTTAGTGAGCTGGGAAAGGCAGACCCACCCTTAATCTGGGTGGGCACCATCTAATCAGCTGCCAGCATGGCTAGAATATAAAGCAAGCAGAAAACAAATAAACAAAACAACAACAACAAAAACATGAAAAGACTAGACTAGCCTAGCCTTTTGGACTACATGTTTCTCTCATGCTGGATGCTTCCTGCCCTTGAACATTAGACTCCACGTTCTTCAGTTTTGGGACTTGAACTGGTTTCCCTTGCTCTTCAGCTTTCAGATGGCCTATTGTGGGACCTTGTGATTGTGCCAGTTAATATTTATTAAGCATATATATATATGCTTAATAGGATATGTATATCCTATATATAGGATATATATATATATATCCTCTTAGTTTTGTCCTTCTAGAGAAGGATGACTAATACAGTTTTCCAGTAAGGATTTTTTTTTTTTTTTTCTGAACTCTTCTCACTCTCTAGATTCTTAGTCTCTGAAGTTTAGAATAAGCATAAAAAATTGATTTATATTGACAACATTGTAGTCAACTTAGCATGCTCCCCATGATGGCTCTAAGATAACTATTCCAGGAGAGTATTGTGTTTCAAACTTCTTCAGCAGCAAGACATTTTTGCTGCATTAAATCTCATATAGCTAGATGTATATTTATCTCTATTTTTTGTTCATTTTTGTTTTTAATAGGAATATTTTTTCCTCCACAGTGTGATTTCAAATTTGTGTTCCAAAATATTTGGTAATAAATATATATGTAAAATAATTTTTCAATTAAAAAAAGAATTATATAAAAGAGTGAGTTTTTTTTTTTTTTTTTTTTTTTTTAGGTAATACATTTTTAGAGTGGACAATCCTTCAGTTTTAGTGGATAGACTACCACTGTGAGTGATAGGATACAGCGGGTAGGCAACAGTATCTGGCCCAAAATTTAGAGTGATCTACATAAAAATGAATGTGGTTAGTGATTATCAGAAGCTTCCAAGTTTTTATTATAAACTAGGCAGATATCTTTATTTGTTAAAGTACATTTTAAGATATAACCATGAAAACTAATATATTTCTAGAAAATGCTTTTGGAAGAGCAATAAAAATCTTACGATGTACTGAATAATCATTACAAAATAAATTGTATTATTTTAAAATTTTTGTCTCTGTTAGACCAGAAGGTAGTTCTACAGAGGTATGTAATGGATGCACTTAAATTTGGAAATGAGTCTCTTTCTGTCTCAGTCACTTTTCTCTGGCACTTCTTCTGTTGTTTTGCCTTTATGGTTTTCTGTTTTATCTATGAATGGAAAACCTTAATACATCAGCTTCTCTGGTTTCTCCTGTAAGCCTACAATTTTAACATCTCTTTAATCTCTGGCAGAGCCACGTATTCCACAGTGCCCTTTCCATAGCACATCTAAGCTCTGGAAGTCGTTGTTATCTCACTGATTGCTCCACTTGTAGCTCATTAATAGATGACATCACTATTGTTCCTCCTTTGTTTAGGCATGAAGGTATCCTTGTTTGTATTACAGAAAGTGGTTTGTCAATTTCTGATAAAACAGGCTCATTCTTCGGAAGTATTGCAATGCCATAAAATAATTTTAAGACAATCACCACATTTAGATTGAATAAAATGTTAAATGCTTCATTATTGCCAGAATAATGCCATTATGTTTCTAGTTTTCTTTCTAAATATTGTTTACTAGTGAATTCATTATCATGAAAACATCCAGTTTGGTTATCAGAAAGCTTCTACTAAACAGATTCACAGAGAAACACAAATGAAAAGGTGCTCATGAATCACTGTGCTTCATGTTTTAGGTGGGGCTCAATACAACTTTGGTAAGGTGAACCATGTTATCTTTTAAGGATTGAAGACAATCTTCAACTGATGGCTCTAAGATAACTATTCCAGGAGAGTATTGTGTTTCAGACTTCTTCAGCAGCAAGACATTTTTGCTGCATTAAATCTCATATAGCTAGATGTATATTTATCTATCTATTAATACCTGCCATCCCATATTTATAGAAATATGTATTACATACTACATATTACTATATTAATAATGTAAATGTGGGGTTATTCTTGCTGGAGGTCTGATGGCATACAGTTTATTCTTCATTTTCTTTGCAATCTCTCAAAAGGTTTTGTTGGTTTGTTTTTATATACCTACAGCAGTAGGAAATAGGCTTCACTTTAAGTAACTGAAACTGCTGGAACTACTTGTAAAAGTATCCAGTGTCCCAAGATAGTAGCAGACAGGTTGTTATTTTAAGTTTGCAATTGGACAAAACTGTAGAGTAGGACAAATTTTCCCAGTACTTCAGTTGTCTTTTTGTGTGTGTGAAACTATTATGTTTTGCTATAAATTTTGTTCTCCTGAGGCAAGGGTTGCAGCTGATTTCTCTCTGAAATGTTGAACTTATTTCACTTCTTAACTCACCACATGTAACAAATACATGCTTAAATATGATTCATCCGAGGAATATAAGCATTGTAAAAACAACAATGCCATAAGTCTTGAGAAAGGAAAATTTAAGACTTCCATCAATGGTGGATAAACTTGGACTTGGGAGTTAGGTGGAAGCTGACCCAGTGCCTCCAAAATCAGGTCGCTTGAGAGACAAGCTTCCCTACCTATTGATCCCCTTCGCCTTGGCTGTCTCCCCACATTTGTTACCTTAATTATATGCATGATACGTATGTAAAAGTTTGTTCTCACATAAACATTTCTATTGCTCATAAAAATCCATGTGGCATTGAGCTAGTATCCCTGCAAGGTTGCTATCTTAGGGTTTCCATCCCAGTGAAGAAAAACTCCCAGGTATCTACAAATGGCCTACCCTCCTTATCCCCCTGCTCACCTATTGCTTATTTAAGTTCATCAGGAATATAATTTATTGCCCAGTAATATGCCATAAAATAATTTATATGTAAATCTGCATAAATTAATAGTAATTTATTTTAAAAATTAAGAGCATTTCAAGTCTAAATACTCTGTGATTAAGTGTGCTTAAGTGCAATTAATGTAATGAAGTACTAATAAAATCCAACCACACGTTTGGATAGTGTAATAATGTGCCATGAATAACTATTAATTTTTTATCTGTTAAAACCACCCTTATCATCACACCGCTGGTTTTCCTGATATTATGGAGGTGTAATGGTTATTAATATTTTTAAGTTTTAAAATGAAGACAGTCTATTTTACTTTAAGTTCTATGTTAACTTTTGTATGGCCTTGCTACATAGAAGTCATTCACCAGAAACTATGAAAATCCAATTCAAGTCTGGCTAAGATTAGTAAGAACAAGAAGGTTGCAAAAGACATATATAAATAAATAGGTAGGCATATACATATAAATGTATATGTGTGTATGCATATACAAGAACATTTGTATACCTTCTGATGTATTAAACATAGATACCACACATAAAATACATATCTGTGCATATATAAATGCATACACATATACCTGTACACATTGATTATACTGGAATTACAAAAACAGAAGTCAGTAGAATCAGCTGGGGCAATTCAACTTTTCTTAAGATCATATCCTTATATCACTGAAGTGAGATACTTTATGTTAGATGCAGCCAGCAGAATCTGGGGCAGAAATGATCAATACTTGTTACGTTGGGATGTAGCTGAGGTGAGAGGTAGATCTAGCTGAAGTCAGAGGTGTCTCAAATTCCCAGTGTATGAAAATCAGTAATAATATGGAACTGTAAAGTCAAAAAATCCATGCAAAAGGACATCATGCAATTCCAAAGAAAATCCTAACTCTAAAGGTAATAAAAGACATAACTCTTTTAAAAGTTTACATTTAGCTTTATATATTGCTTATTTTTTCTTACACATCCTTTCTAGTCAGTAAATACTAGGAGAAGAATGGTTAGCTTGCTTTTCGTTGGAATTCTCAAGCTAATCAATAAGTTCTCTTGTTCAGGTTCTTGTGTTCTTCTGTTTTTTCAGCTATTAAAAAAATTGAAACATTTTGTAAGCAATTCCCTAATAACTTTTTTTATATTTTGTAAGACAAAGGATATGAACTACAGTGAAAACTGGAAACTCACTTTGGACTAGTCATTTTGAATGTATGCTTAACATTTTAAACATTTTTGTGACTAAATCTTTATAATAGTACCATTAAGGAAATAAATTATTTCCTCCTTCGTATAAATTTTAAAAATCTGTTTAATTTAGTTCAGAGCCTGAAATTAGAAGGGCCAGGTTTTGGAATGCAGATTAATGGAAGTCCCAGGTCATCGCCCTTTCTCCTAATTCCTTTTTATTCTGATATTTTTACTAGCCTACTGGAACATAATAAATTAGCAGGAATGTCCTGAAGAGCAATTGTTTCCTCTTTCATTATTGTTTAAAAATAAATAACGTTGATTACTTTACTATAAAATTCTTATTGATGAACTTTTAACATGAATATAATTTTAATTCCAAATCTGACCATAATTCCTAATGTATTTCTTTAGATTAAGTAACTTTATTTTTAGAAATTTGATTTACAGAAAAATTGTAATGATGGTAGAGAGTTTGCAAATATCTTACAGCAAATTTCTGCTATTATTTAACTTTAATATAGTCTATCTAAGTACAATTTAAAAACTAATATTAATATACTTTTTTTTTATTCATGAGGTACTTGTGCTTGTTTGTTCCACCATATATGTGTAATGGTTGGGGTTGGGCTTCTAGTATACCCTTCACCCAAATATTGATCGTTGTACCCAATAGGTAATTTTTCAACCCTCACCTCTCTTACTGTATTCTCTTCTGGAATCCCCAGAGGTTATTCTCTTCATCTTTATGTTCATTCTTACACTTTGTTTAGCTCTCGCTAATAAATTAGAACATTCAATGTTTGATATTCTGCTTCTCTGCCACACTTTCTTTGTCCAGTCAACTGATAGACGCTTAGGTTGGTTTCATGACTTTACTATTGTAAAGAGTGCTGCAGTAATCATATAACTGCAGGTGTCTCTTTTATATAATGGATTCTTTTCCTTTGGGTAGGTATCTAGTAGTGGGACTGCTATGTTGAATAGTAGTACTATTTTTAGTTGTTTGAGATACCTCCATATTGTTTTCCATAGAGGTTGAACTACTTTGCATTGCTACCAACAGTGTCTGAGCACTCCTCTTTCTCTGCATACCCACCAACATCGGTTGTTTTTTTGACTTTTTAATAAAAGCCATCTGGCTGGTGTAATATATCTCATTGTGGTTTTAATTTGCATTTCTCTGGTGATTAGTGATGTTAAGCATTTCTTTATGTGTTTCGTTGGCCACTTGTATTTCTTCTTTTGAGAGATATCTGTTCATGTCCTTTGTCCAGCTTTTAAGTTTTTTGGTGCCTTTCTCGTTGACTTCTTTTAGTTCCTTGTAGTTTTTGTATATTTGACCTTTATTGGAGACATAATTTGTAAATATTTTCTCCCATTCTGTAGGTTGTCTGTTTATTATTTCTTTTGCTGTTTTTTTTTTTAGTTTAATTAAGTCCCATTTGTCTATATTTGTTTTTGTTACATTTGCTTTTGAGGTCTTTGTCATAAATTATTTGCCTAGGCAAATGTCAAGGAGAGCTTTTTCTTAGGTTTTATTTTAACATTTTTATGGCTTCATGTCCTAGGTTTAGGCCTTTAATCCTTCTTGAATTAATTTTTGTACATAATGAGAGATAGGATAGTTTCATTCTCCTGCATGTTGCTAGCTAATTTTCCCAACACCATTTATTGAGTACGGTGTCATTTTCCCATTGTTTATTTTTGTCAAACTTATCCAAGATCATTTTGTTTTAGGTATGTGGTTTTATTTCTGGGTTATCTATTTTGTTCCAATGATCTATGTGTCTATTTTTGTACCAGTACCACGCTGTTTTTGTTACTATAGCCTTATAGTATAATTTGAAGTTAAACAATGTGATACCTTCAAATTTGTTCTTTTTGCTTTGGAATGCTGTAGGTGGTCTGGCTTCTTTTCAGTTTTATATGAACTTAAGGATATTTTTTTCAACTCTGTAAGAAAATGATGCTGGCAATTTGATAAAAGTTGTGTTAATCTAGATTACTTCGGGTAGAATGGTAATTTGAACAATATTGATTATGTAAATCCATGAGCTTGAGACAATTTTGCATTTGCTGGTGTTGTCTACAGTTTCTTTCATCAGTGTTTTGTAGTTCTTGTAGATATCGTTCATCTCCTTTGTTAAATACATCCATTAGTATTTTATTTTTTGTATAACTATTGTAAATGGGATTGAGTTCTTGATTTGGTTGTTAGCATGAATGTTATTGGTGTATACAAATGCTATTAATGTTTGTACACTGATTTTGTATCCTGTGACTTTACTGAAGTCAATCATCAGGTGTAGGAGTCTTTAGAGTAGTCTTTAGAGTTTTCTAGTATAAGATTATGTAATCAGTGAACAGAGATAATTTCACATCCTATTTTCCAATTTGGATGCATTTAATGTTTTCTTCTATCTGATTGTTCTGGCTAAGACTTCTCTTACTATGTTGAGTAGGAGTGGTGAGAGCAGACAGACATCCTTGTTTTGTCTCAGTTCCTGGGAGAAATACTTTCATCTTTTCCTCATTCAGCATGATATTGGCTGTGGGTTTGTCATAGAGATGGTTCTTATTATTTTGAAATATATTCTATTTATGTCCTAGTTTGTTGAAGGTTTTTAGCATGAAGTGATGGTGGATGTTATCGAATGGTTTTTGTGCATCAACTGAGCTGATCACATGGTTTTTGTACTTAGTTCTGTTAATTAGGTGGATCATGATTATTGTTTTGTGAATAGTGAAACATCTTTGCATTCCTGGAATAAGCCCACTTGATCATGGTTAATTATTTTTTGACATGCTGTTGGAATTGGTTTGCTAGCATTTTGCTGATTTTTGCATCTGTGTTCATCAGTGATATTGGTTTGTAGTTTTCTCTCTTGGTTGTGTTTTTGCCTGATTTTTGTGTAAGGATGACACCTAATTCGTAGAATGAGTTAAAGAAAGATGTTTTCTCCTTGATTTTTCGGAATAGTTTCAGTAAGATTGATAACAGCTCTTCTTTGTGTGTCTAGTAAACTTTGGATGTGAATCTTTCTGGTCCTAGGCTTTGTTGTTGTTGTTGTTAATTTTTAGGACTCATTCAATTTCATTACTTGCTATTGATCTGTTCAATGTTTCTGTTTGTTTCTGATTCAATCTCGGGAGGTTGTATGTTTCCATGAATTTATTCATTTCCTCTATGTTTTCTATTTTGTGTGCACAGAGGTGTTCATAGAAATCTCTGATGATCTTTTGCATTTCTCTGGTAACAGTTGTGATATTACCTTTATTATTTCTGATTATACTTATTTGAATCTTCTCTTATAACAGTGTAGCTAGTAGTCTGTGATTTTTGTTTATCCTTTCAAGAAACCAACTTTTAGTTTCATTGATTCTTTGTATCTTTATTTAATCTGTTTCATTCATTTCTGCTCTGACCTTTTTTTATTTCTTTTCTTCTGCTAGCTTTGGGGTTGGTTTTCTGTTGTTTTTCTAGTTCCTTGAGTTACAATGCTAGGTTGTTAATTTGAGATTTTTCTATCTTTTTGACATAGACATTTAATGCTATAAATTTTCCTCTCACACTTCTTTTGCTGGATCCCAAAGGTTTTGATATATTATATCTCTATTTTCATTCTTTTAAAATATTTTTTATTTCTGCCTTTATTTCATTGTTTACTCCAAAGTTGTTAAGAAGCAACATGTTTATTTTCCATGTACTTGTGTAGATTTGAGAGTTCCCCTTGGTATTGATTTTTAACTTTATTCCACTGTGCTCTGAGAAAATACTTGGTACAACTTCATGTTTTTTTTGCTTTTTTGTTTTTTTGTTTTTTTTTTGAGACTTGCCTTATGGCCAATCATATGGTCGATTTTGGAGAATGTTCTTTGCAAATATGAGAATAATGTATATTTTGTAATTGTTTGAGTATTACGTTCTGTAGATGTCTATTAGGTCCATTTTGTCTATATCCAGTTTAAGTCCAGAGGTTTTTGGTGATTTTCTGCCTCAATGTCTCTATTGATATCAGTGGGATGTTGAGGTCCCCCAGTATTATTTTATTACTATCAATCTGTTTTCTTAGATATAGCAGTATTTGTTTTATGGATCCAGGTTCTCCAGTGGTGTATGCATATATGTTTAGGACAGCTAAATATTCTTGTTGTATTCAAACCTTTATTCTTCTTATTATTTATTTTTTATTTATTTATTTATTTTTGAGATGGAGTCTTGCTCTGTTGCCCAGGCTGGAGTTCAGTGGAGTGATCTCGGCTCACTGCAAGCTCCCCCTCCTAGGTTCACGCCATTCTCCTGCCTCAGCCTCCAGAGCAGCTGGGACTACAGGCGCCTGCCACAACGCCCGGCTAATTTTTTGTATTTTTAGTAGAGACAGGGTTTCACCGTGTTAGCCAGGATGGTCTCGATCTCCTGACCTTGTGATCCACCCACCTCGGCCTCCCAAAGTGCTGGGATTATAGGCGTGAGCCACTGCGCCCCGCCTCAAACCTTCATTATTATATAATGCCCTTCTTTGTCTTTTTCTCCGTGTTGTTGATATAAAGTCTGTTTTATCTGATATAAGAATGGCTACTCCTGCTCACTTTTGTTTTCTATTTGCATGATATATCTTTCTCTACCCTTTTGCTTTGAGTCTGAATGTATCTTTAGCCAGTAGGTGGGTCTCTTGTGGACAGCAGATGGTTGTCTTTTATTTTTTTTATCCAGTTTTCCACTCTGTATCTTTTTAGTGGGGAATTTAGGCTATGTGCATCAAGGTTAAAATTGATATGTGAGATTTTGTTACTGATGTAGTGTTGTTGGCTAGTTGTTTTGAAGTTTTGATTGTTGCTTTATAGGACCTGTGAGCTTTGTATTTCTATTTCCTTTGCTGATGGTGACTATCAGCCTTTCATTTCCGTATTTGAAAATCCTTTGATTGTAGGATCAGTGTAGTGGTGACAACTCTTAGTGAATGCTTGTTTGGGAAAAGACTTTATTTCTCCTTCATTTATGAAGTTTAGTTTGGCAGGATACAAGCTTCTTGGCTAGTATTTTTTCTTAAAAGAGGCTAATAATAAGCTCCCAATCTCTTGTCCCTCGATTTGTTTTTTATTTTTTTTATTTTTAACAGACTTTATTTTTAGAGCAGTTTTAGGTTCACAGCAAAATTGAAAGTACAGTCTCCATATATCCCCTACTTCCCCCAACCTCACTCCCAACACACACACTCTATCAATGTTCCAAACCAGTGTTACATTTATTACAGTCAATGAACATATGCTAACACATCATTATAAACCAAAGTCCATAGTTTACATTAGATTTCACTCTTGGTGTTTCATATTCTATGAGTTTTGACAAATATATTAATGACATGTATCCACGGTAATAGTATCACATAGAATAGTTTAAGAGCCCTAAAAAATCATCTTTCCCCAAACCCTGGCAGCCACTGATAGTTTTACTTATCTTCATGATTTTGCTTTTTCCAGAATGCTATATAGTTGGAATCATACAATACGTAGCCTTTTCAGATTGGCTTCTTTCATTAAAGAATATGTATTTTAGGTTCCTAAATGTCTTTTCATCACTTGATAACTCATTTCCTCTTAGTGCTGATTAACATTCCATTGTCTAAATGTACAACAGTTTATTTATTTATTCACCTACTGAAGGATATACTTCCAAGTTTTGGCAATTATGAATAAAGCCACTATAAACATTTGGGTGCAAGCTTTTGTACGGGCTTAAGCTTTTGGTTCATTTGAGTGGATACCCAGGAATGCAACTGCTGGATCATATGGTAAGAGTATGTTTAGTTTTGTAAGAAACCACTGAACTGTTTCTTCAATCGTGGCTGTACCATCTTTCATTTCTATCAGCAATGAATGAGAGTTCCTGATGCCCAACATCGTTGTAAGAATTTGGTGTTGTCAATGTTTTGGACTTTTGCCATTCTAATAGATGTGTAGCAGTATATTTTTCTAGTCTGTAATTCCGTAAAGACATATGATGTTGAGTATCTTTTCAGATCCTTTTTTGCCATCTGTTTATCTTCTTTTGTGAGGTGCCTGTTCAGATCTTTTGCCCATTTCTTCATTAGTTTGATCATTTTTTCATTGAGTTCTAAAAGTTCTTTGTATATCTTGAATATATTCTCTTGAATTTCTTTATCTGGTATATACTTTGCAAATGATTTCTCCTAGTCTATGGTTTAACCTCTCATTCTGTTGACAATGTTTTTCACAGAACAGAAATTTAATTTCAATGAAGTCCAGTTCATCAATAATTTTTTTACTGGATCTAAAGTCATCAGCTTGCACAAGATCATCTAGGTTTTCTCTTATGTTATCTTCTAGGAGTTTTTCTTTTTTTTTCCAACTTTTATTTTAGATACAGGAGGTCCATGTTCAGGTTTGTTACATGGGAATATTACATGATGCTGAGGTTTGTAGTATGGATCCCGTCACCCAGGTAGTGAGCATAGTACCCAATAGGTAGTTTTTAACCCAGCCCTCCCTCCTTCCCACCACCCCCTAGCAGTCCACAGTGTCTATTGTTCCCCAATTTATGTACATATGTGCTTGTTGTTTATCCCATGTATAAGTGAGAACATGTAGTATTTGGTTTTCTGTTTCTGCATTAATTTCTTAGGATTGTGGCTTCCAGCTCCATCCATCGTGCTGCAAAGATCATGATTCCCTTCTTTTTTTGTGGCTGCATAGTATTCCATGGTGTATATGTACCATGTTTTCCTCATCCAACCTACCATTGGTGGGCACCTGGGTTGATTCCATGTCTTTGCTATTGTGAATAGCACAGCAATGAGCATATGAGTACATGTGTCCTTTTGGTAGAATGATGTACTTTCCTTTGGATATATACCCGGAAATGAGATTGCTGAGTCAAACAGAAGCTCTGTTGTAAGTTCTTTGAGAAACCTCCAAAGTGCTTTCCACAGAGATTGGCTTAATTTACATTTCCACCCACAGTGTATAAGTGTTGCCTTTCCTCTGCAACCTCTCCAGCATCTGTTGTTTTGACTAGTTAATGATAGCCACTCTGACTGGTGTGAGATGGTATCTCATTGTGGTTTTGATTTTCATTTATCT
Source organism: Homo sapiens (assembly GCF_000001405.40). Taxonomy (NCBI): domain Eukaryota; kingdom Metazoa; phylum Chordata; class Mammalia; order Primates; family Hominidae; genus Homo; species Homo sapiens. Next base: position 184,793,515 of record NC_000002.12, read on the forward strand.
GATGATTAGTGATGTTGAGCAATTTTTCATATGACTGTTGGCCATTTGTATGTCTATTTTGTTTTTATTTCCATAGATTATTGGGGAACAAGTGGTGTTTGGTTACATGAGTAAGTTCTTTAATGGCAATTTATAAGATTTTGGTGCACTCATAACCGGAGCATTATACACTACACCCAATTTGTAGTCTCTTCTTCCTCACCACCTTCCCACCCTTTCTCTCTGAGTCTCCAAAATCCCTTCTGTCATTCTTATGCCTTTTCATCCTCATAGCTGAGCTCCCACTTATGAGTGAGAACATACAATGTTTGGTTTTCCATTCCTGAGTTACTTCACTTAGAATGATGGTTTCCATTCTTATCCAATTGGCTGCAAATGCCATTAATTCATTCCTTTCTATGGCTGAGTAGTATTCCATCATATACATACACCACAGTTTCCTTATCCACTCATTGATTGATGGGCATTTGGGCTGGCTCCACATTTTTGCTATTGTGAATTGTGCTGCTATAAACATGTGTGTGCAAGTATCTTTTTAAAATAATTACTTCTTTTCCTCTGGGTAGATACCCAGTAGTGGGATTGCTGTGTTAAATGGTAGTTCTATTTTTAGTTCTTTAAGGAATCTCCACACTGTTTTCCATAGCGGTTGTACTAGTTTCCATTCCCACCAGCAGTGTAGAAGTATTCCCTTTTCACTGCATCCACGTCAACATCTAAATTTTTAATTTTTTTTTATTATGTCCATCCTTACTGGAGTTAGGTGATATTGCATTGTGATTTTTATTTGCATTTCCCTGATCACTACTGATGTTGAGCATTTTTTCATACGTTTGTTGGCCATTCGTATATCTTGTTTTGATGATTGTCTATTCATGTCCTTAGCCCACTTTTTGATGGGATTGTTTCTCTTTTTTCTTGCTAATTCGTTTGAGTTCATTGTAGATTCTGGATAGTAGTCCTTTGTCAGATGTATAGATTTTGGAGATTTCTCCCAGTCTGTGAGTTGTCTGTTTACTGACTTCCTTTTGCCTTAAATCTCATAGTACCTATAGAACAAAAATACTTTTTTAAAGAAAGACAAAAAAACCAAGGTATACAGGCAACAAATAGCATGATGAATGTAATGGTACCTCACATTTCAATACTAATGTTGAATGTAAGCGGCCTAAATGCTCTGCATAAAAGATACAAAATTGCAGAATAGACAAGAATTTACCAACCAACTATCTGCTGCCTTTGAGACACATCTAACAAATAAGGATGCATATAAACTTAAGGTAAAGGGGTGGAAAAAGAAATTCCATTCAAATGGACAACAAAAGTGAGCAGGCCTTTTCTAACAGGGAAATATCACAATCCTAAATATATATGCACCTAACATACTGGAGTTCCCAAATTTATAAAGCAATTGCTAATAGACCTAAGAAGTGAGATAGACAGCAACACAATAATAGTGGGGGACTTCAGTACTCCACTGACAGCCCTAGACAGGTCGTCAAGACAGAAAGTCAACCAAGAGACAATGGATTTAAACTATACCTTAGAACAAATGGATTTACAGATATTTACAGAACACCTATCCAACAACCACAGAATATACATTCTATTCAACAGTGCATGGAAGTTTCTCCAGGGTAGACCATATTTTAGGCCACAAAATGAGCCTAAATAAATTAAAGAAATGTGAAATTGTATCAAGCACTCTCCCAGACGACAGTGGAATAAAACTCGAAATCAACTTCAAAACAAACATTCAAAACCATGCAAATACATGGAAATTAAATAATCTGCTCCTCATTAAGCACTAGGTCAGAAACAAAATCAAGGTGGAAATTAAAAATTTATTTGAACCAAATGGCAATAGTGACACAACCTAGCAAAACCTCTGCAGTACAACAAAGGTGGTGCTAAGAGGAAAGTTGATACACCTAAATGCTTACATCAAAAAGTCTGAAAGAGTACAAACAGACAATCTAAGGTCACACCTCAAGGAACTAGAGAAAAAAAGAACAAATCAAACCCAAACCCAGCAGAAGAAAGGAAATAACCAGGATCAGAGTAGAAATAAATGAAACTGAAACAACAAAAAGATACAAAAGATAAATGAAACAAAAAGCTGGTTCTTTGAAAAGATAAATAAAATTGATAGACCTTTATCAAGTTTAACCAAGAAAAGAAGAGAGAAAATCCAAATAACCTCACTAAGAAATGAAACAGGATATATTACAACTAACACTGCTGAAATAAAAAAGACCATGCAAGGCTACTATGAACACCTTTATGTGCACAAACTAGAAAACCTAGAAGAGATGGATAAATTTCTGGAAAGATACAGCCCTCCTAGCTTAAATCAGGAATAATTAGATGCCCTGAACAGACCAATAACAATCAGAGAGATTGAAATGGTTATTAAAAAATTACCATGTCGAATGCTTTTTTTTTACATCTATTGAGATGATCGTGTGATTTGTTTTTAATTCTGTTTATGTGGTGAATCACATTTATTGACTCGCATATGTTATGCCATCCCTGTATCCCTGGTATGAAACCCACTTGATCATGTTGGATTATCTTTTTGATATGTTGTTGGATTCAATTAGCTAGTATTGTGTTAAGGATTTTAGTATCTGTGTTCATCAAGGCTATCGGTCTGTAGTTTCCTTTTTTGGTTATGTCCATTCCTGGTTTTGGTATTAGGGTGATACTGACTTCATAAAATGATTTAGGGAGGATTCGTTATTTCTTTATCTTGTGGGATAGTGTCAATAGGATTAGTACCAATTCTTCTTTGAATGGCTGGTAGGATTCTGCTATGAATCTGTCTGGTCCTGGAATTTTGTTGTTGTTGTTGTCGGTAATTTTTCAATTACCATTTCAATCTTGTTGCTTGTTATTGGTCTGTTCGGGTTATCCAGTTCTTCCTGGTTTAAGCTAGGAGGGCTGTATTTTTCCAGGAATTTATCCATCTCTTCTAGGTTTTCTAGTTTATGTGCATAAAAGTGTTCATAGTGGCCTTGAATGATCTTTTTATTTCAGTAGTGTCAAAGAACAAACTTTTTGTTTCATTTATCTTTTGTATCTTTTTGTTGTTGTTGTTTCAATTTCATTTATTTCTGCTCTGATCTTGGTTATTTCCTTCCTTCTGCTGGGTTTGGTTTTGGTTTCTTCTTGTTTCTCTAGTTCCTTGAGGTGTGTCCTTAGAATGTCAGTTTGTGCTCTTTCAGTCTTTTTGATGTAGGCATTTAGGGCTATGAACTTTCCCCTTAGCATCGACTTTGCTGTATCCCAGAGGTTGGGGTAGGTTGTGTCATTACTGTTGTTCAATTTGAAGAATTATTTAATTTCTATCTTGATTTTGTTTTTGACCCAATGCTTATTCAGGGTCAGGTTATTTAATTTCCATATACTTCCATGGTTTTGAATATTTTTTTGAGGGGTTGATTTCCAGCTTTATTCCACTGTGGTCTGAAGAGTGCTTGATATAACTTCAATTTTTTTAATTTATTGAGGCTTGTTTTATGGCCTATCATATGGTCTATGTTGAAGAAATTTCTATGCACTGTTGAATAGAATGTGTATTCTGCAGTTGTTGGATGAAATGTTCTGTATGTATCTGATGAGTTCATTTGTTCCAAGGTATAGTTTAAATCAATTGTTTCTTTCTTGACTTTTTGTCTTCATGACCTGCCTAGTGCCATCAGTGGAGTATTGAAGTCCCTCACTATTATTGTGTTTCTGTCTATCTTATTTCTTAGGTCTATTGGTAATTGTTTTATAAGTTTAGGAGCTCCAGATTTAGGTGCATATATGTTTAAGATTGTGTTATTTTCCTGTTGGAGAAGGCTTTTTACCATTATATATTGTTCCTCTTTGTCTCTTTTAACCACTGTTGCTTTAAAGTTTGTTTTGTCTGATATAAAGAATAGCTACCCCTGCTTGCTTTTGTTGTCCATTTGCATGAAATGCCTTTTTTCTTCCCTTTAAGTTTATATGAGTCTGTGTGTTAGGTGAGTCCCCTGATGGCAGCAGATAGTTGGTTTGTGAGTTCTTTTCCATTCTGCAGTTCTGCCTCTTTTAAGTGGAGCATTTAGGCCATTTACACTCAACATTAGTATTGAAATGTGAGGTACCATTCCATTCATCATGCTATTTGTTGCCTGTTACATACAATGTTAGTATTGAGATGTGAGGTACTGTTGCATTCATCATGCTATTTGTTTCCTGTGTACCTTGGATTTTTTGCTCTTTGTTTTTGGGTTTTTACTTATATTTTTGTTTTATAAGTCCTCTGTGATTTATGCTTTAAAGAGTTTCTGTTTTGATGTGCTTCCAGGATGCGTTTCAAGATTTAGAGCTTCTTTTAGCAGTTCTTATAGTTGTGGCTTGGTAGTGGTGACTTATCTCAGCATTTGTTTGTCTGAAAAAGACTGTATCTTTCTTTCATATATAATGCTTAGTTTCAGTGTATACAAAATTCATGGCTGATATATGTGTGTGTGTGTGTGTGTGTGTGTGTGTGTGTGTGTGTGTGTGTGTGAAGATAGGGCCCCAATCCCTTCTCCCTTGTAGGGTTTCTGCTGAGAAATCTGCTTTTAATCTGATAGTCTTTCCTTTATAGGTTACCTGGTTCTTTTGTCTGACAGCTCTTAAGATTCTTTCCTTCATCTTAACTTTAGATAACCTGATAACAATGTGCCTAGGTAATGATATTTTTGCAATGAATCTCCCAGGTGTTCTTTGTGCTTTTTTTTATTTTGATATCTAGGTCTCTAGCAAGGCCAGGGATATTTTCCTCGATTATTCCCCCAAATATATTTTCCAAACTTTTAGATTTTTCTTCTTTTTCAGGAACACCAATTATTCATAAGTTTGGTCATTTAACATAATCCCAAACTTCTTGGAGGCTTTGTTCATATTTTCTTATTTTTTTCTTTATCTTTGTTGGATTGGGTTAATTTGAATACTTGTCTTTGAGCTCTGAATTTCTTTCTTTACTTGTTCAATTCTATTGCTGAGATTTTCCAGAGCAGTTTGCATTTCTATAAGTGTTTCCAATGTTTCCTGAAGTTTGATTGTTTTTTCTTTATGCTATTTCCTTGAATGTTTCTCTCTTCACTTCTTGTATTATATTTTGGTTTTCCTTGCATTGGGCTTCACCTTTCTCTGGTTCCTTCCTGATTAGCTAAATAACTAACCTCCTGAATTCTTTCTCAGATAAATCAGGGATTTCCTCTTGGTTTGGATCCATTGCTGGTGAATTAGTGTGATTTTTGGGGGTGTTAAAAAGCCTTGTTTTGTCATATTTCCAGAGTTGGTTTTTTGGTTCCTTCTCATTTGAGTAGGCTATGTCAGAGGGAAGGTCTAGGGTTGAAGGCTGTAGTTCAGATCCTTTTGTCCCACAGGGTGTTCCCTTGATGTTGTAGTCTCCTCCTTTTCCTATGTATATGGCTTCTTGTGAACCAAGCTGCAATGATTGCTGTCTCTGTTCTCGGTCTAGCCACTCAGCAAGTCTCTCTGGTACCGCGGGCTGTCAGCACAGAGTCCTGTGATATGAATCGTCTGTAGGTCTCTCAGCCATGGATACCAGCACAGTATTTGGTGTGTCTCCCAGGTCCTGGAGGAGCACTCTAGAGGGTCTGTGGGTCCTTTGGAGATTGCTGGTTTGTTCTTGCATCAATATGGAGCTAAAATTCATGATGCCAGCCTCCACTCACTGCTGTCTGTCCCAGTCAGAGCTGCAATCTAGTTCTGCCTCTCATCCGCCATGATGATTCCTGATGCACCGATTGATTTTTTTTAATGTCAAACTAGCCTTGCATACTCATATAAACCCCACTTAGTGATGGTGTATTATGTTATTTTATATATTGTATTCTATGTTTTGAAGTTTTTTTGCATTATGTACCTGAAATATATTAAGCTACAGTTTTCCTTCCTTATCATATTGTAATCTGGATTTGGCATTAGAGTAACGATGGTTAAGAAGGCATTAGCAAGTATCTTCTACTTCTTCTTTTTTTTTGAAACAAGGTTTCACTCCTGTTGCCCAAGCTGCAGTGAAGTAGTGCAATCACAGCTCACTGTAACCTCCACCTCCCTAGGCTCAGATGATCCTTTCACTTCAAACTACCAAGTAGCTGGAACCACAGGCACACACCGTTATGCCTGGCTACTATTTTTATTTATTTTTTTCTTTTTTTGTATGTGTAGAGATAAGGTTTTGCCATGTTGCGCCAGGCTGGTCTCGAACTCCTGAGCTCAAGCCATCTGCCTGCCTCAGGCTCCCAAAATGCTGGGATTACAGGCGTGAGCCACTGCAGTTAGCCAGCAATTGTTTTCTATGCTTCTGCTTTATGGAAGAGATTATGATTACTATCAATTGCCTTAAGTGTGGGGAGAATTTGTAAGTGAAATCTATGTGGTCCTGATGCTTTTTTTATGTGAAAGTTATTAATTATTACGTATATGATCTATTTTTTTTCTTTTGTGTGAGTTTTGGTAGTTTGTGTCTTTCAAGGTATTGTTGTATCTAAGTTATCAGATATGGGCATAGAAATATTCATAATATCACTTATTATCTTGTTAAAAGTGATGTGATTACTAGTGATGACCTCTCATTCACTTCTCATATATGTAACTTGTGTCTTTTGTCCTTTCTTCTTGGTTTAACTGGGTTAAATTTATGAATTTTCTTACTCTTCATAAAACTAGATTTTCATGTTCTTATTTTCTCTATTGTTTTCCTTCTTTCAGTAAGTCTTGCTGAAATTCTCATTGAAGTATTTTTTAAGTATTATTATTATTGCTTTTCTTCTGCCTTATTTAGGGTTAAATTGTTCTTTTTAATTACTTTAATTGTTGAAGCTTAGATTATTGATTTTATTTACTTTTCTAATATATACATTCAATACTATATATTTACTCAAAGAACTGCTTTAGTCATATCTCCCACATTAAGTTGCATTTTCTTTTTTATTTCAAAATATTTTTAAAATATCTCAAGACTTTTTCTTTGACCTGTATGTTACTTAAAAGTATTTTTTGGATCTTCAAATACTTATAGATTTTCTAGCTATCTCTTAATTTCTAGTTTACTTTTGTTTTAGTTTGAAAATATTGTACAATTTTTTTATTTTTTAGAGTTCGTAATCTAAATTTTTAACTAGTCTAAGTCCCTCATCCAATAATACCATACTCTTCACATGTAGTGTTGATACTTTATAAAAAAGCATACCTAATTTTTCACTCCCATCACTTATGATATTTCTAGAGTTCATTTTATTTATTTATAAACCATATAACCACCCAATATATAGTCAATTTACTTTAATCAGTCAGTTATCAATTAAGAATAAGAGAAAGAAAATATATCTTTTATATTTATTCTTTATTAGATGCATTTTTTAAATGTAGATCTGAGTTTCTGAACTGTGTCATTGTCATTTTTATTCTCCTTGAATAATTCTTTAATATTTCCTGCAGTACAAGTCTATTGGTGATGACTTTCATCAGTTTTTATACTGTTGAGAATGTTTGTTTCTCCTTCTCTTTTGAAGGGTAAGTTTGCCTGACGTAGAACTCTAGGATTCTGTTTGTTTCAACACGTCAAATATTTCACTTCACTCTTCTTTAATGCCTAATTTCTGTTGACAATTGTCTACAATTCTTGTTCTTTAATCGGTATTGTGTTTCATCTTTTGACTTTTTTGTGTTTTTATATTTCTTCAGCTTGAATATAATAAATGCTTAAGTGTAGAAGTTTTGCTATTTATCCTGCTTGGTGTTCTCTGAATTTCTGTATCTGAGATTTGTTATCTGTCAAAATTTTGGAAAATTCTTGGCCATAATTACTTGTAGTATTTCTTCCATTCTTTTCTTTCTTTATTCTATGTCTGGATTTCCAATTAACATAAGTTAACACCATTTAAAATAGTCTCACAATTTTTCAATGTTCTGTTCTATTTTTGTCATTCTTTTTCTTTTTGCAATTTCATTTGGTAAGTGTCTATTAACATATCTTCAAGCACACTGATTCTTTCTTGGGATATTTCTGATCTATTGATGATCTCTCCAAAGACATTCTTCATTTCTGTAACAGCATTCATGACTTCATTCATTTCCTTTTGATTCTTAGAGTTTTTACGTTTCTGCTTACATAAACCATATGCTTTGCATGTTATTTTTTTGTCTTTGATTACATTAACAACGTAACAGCTATTTTAAATTCCTGTTTGGTAATTCCAAAATCTGTATAGCATAAATAACAGTATACTTCTGATGCTTGCTTTGTCTCTTCAGAGTGTAGATTTTCTTGCCTTTTTGTCTGCATTGTAATTTCTTATTGAAATCTGGGTATTATGTTAGGAGCGATGGAAATGGGGAAATATGCCTTTAGTGTGAGGTTTTATGTTAATCTTGCTAGGAGTTGGACTGTGTTTAACATTGCTGTAGCTGTAGGTGTCAGAGGCTTCAAATGTCTAGCACCCTGTTGTCCGGGGGCTTGCTTGACAACCACTCATTAGGTCGAGGCTGAATATTGTAGCTCTTTAAGCTGTAATCCACTTTTATTATTCAAGAGACCTGTTCATGGTAGTAAGGTGCCGAAGAAAGGGTACCTTTCAGAATCCTGTGATTAAATCTTAGCCTTGTATTGGCCTTTGTCCCTAGTATGTGAATTTCACAAGTTTTGCTTCACCTTCTCCTGCTCATCTCACTTAGGAGAGACATGAAAGTTACAGAGGGTTGAAATTGGGCAAAGGCTGTCTACCCAAGTAAAGTTAGGCTCTGCTCAAGTCTTTTTCACTGGAAAGTAAACCTTTGTTATGTAGATTACCCTTCAGAGTTTAAAAGCACTTCAGAGTTTTTCTGGGCCCTTTATTGGAGAATATCGTTGTGTCCTTTAAGGTAAAATCCACAAATATGTGGAAACTGCTAAGACTGTGGCCTTCAGAAGTTTCTCACTCATGTTCTAACTCACATTCAAACACAACTAATTTATCAAAATTACCATTTAACTGTTCATAACAGTTTATGTGTCTGGTGGCAGTTGCTCCAAGTAAGCAGATTTCAACTGTGACTCTCTGAGATCACTTCTTTCTCCAGATTTTGGGGTGACAGTTTGCCCTACAACTTCAATTCTCTGATGAGTGCAAGGGAAGCAGTTGAATTTAGTTTGTTCAGCTTTTTTACTTCTTGGAATAGTATCTTCCAAACCCTATATGAGAAAGCTAAAATAAGAATTCCCTGCTCATACAGTTTTAATTATTTTTAAATACTTGCCATTAATCTTCCAAATAAATTACATTTCTTAATATCACCCAATTAGGAGTCATTACTGTGTCCTGATCAAAAGGATGAACTTTGTACTCAGACTTTAGATGTAAATCATGACTTCTGCATGAGCTAGATATCTAGCCTTAGGAAAGTGATTTTACTTCTTAAGGTTCAACCTTCCAATCTGTAAAATGAGTACAAGTCACTGACTAGTAAGGTTATAGAAAGATTTATTAAAGTAAACCATATGAGTTATCTGAAATATAGTAAACTAAGCCCTAAATAAATATTAACTATTAATATTTGCTATTATAACTAGTTTCATTATTACTATCACCCTATTAGAGCCACATTGGCACGTTATTGTTTCTTGAGCATATCAGGTACTTCTCCTTCAGCCTTTGCAGTGTCTGTTTCCTCTACCTAAAGTGCTCTTCAGGAGTTAACTGCATGAATAACTTCCTCATCTCTTTCAAGTCATATTCTAGTCTCTTTAAATGTCATATTCTCATTGACGCCCACCCTGACTGCCATATTTATAATTGCAACACCCATCATTCTTTATTATACTTTTGATACCCCTTGCCTTCCTTTATATTCACATAGCATTTATTTTTTTCTAACTTTTTTTAATTGTTTTTATTGTCTTTCTTTTTCCTCTCTATTTGAACTACATGAGCAAAGGGTTTTGTGTTTATCTAAGCATCTCCAAATACTGTCCAGAACTATATGTGAATTATCATATGTGCTAGATACCCTGTTGTTGAAAATTTGAATTCTGCTGAACAACACCTACATAAGAAAGAAACATTTATTTACAGATTGTGGGCATGAAATTGTATTAATTTCCCAGCACTACAATCTAAAAATACTAAAATCTTGAGTGTTTAAAACAATTGCAATTTAATTCCTCATACTTCAACAAAGGTCTAGGGAAGAATATTTTCTTACCTCTTCTAGCTTCTGATGGCCCCAGGTGTTGTTTGGTTTGGAGCTGCATTACTCCAATCTGTGTATCTGTCTTCACATGGCTTTCTCTGCTGTGTTTATATCCTCTTCTTTTCTGTCTTTTTTTTTGGGGGGGAGGGGGGTGATGGAGTCTCACTCTGTCACCCAGGCTGGAGTGCAGTGGCATGATCTCGGCTCACTGCAACCTCCGCCTCCCGGGTTCAAGTGATTCCCCTGCCTCAGCCTCCTGAGTCTCTGGGATTAGAGGTGTGCGCCAACATGCCTGGCTAATTTTTTTTGTATTTTTAGTAGAGACGGAGTTTCACCATGTTGGTCAGGCTGGTCTTGAACTCCTGACCTCTTGATCTCCCCACCTCGGCCTCCCAAAGTGCTGGGATTACAGGTGTGAGCCACCGTGCCTGGCCTCTTCTGTCTGTTATAAGGACATTTGATCATTTTATTTAGAATTCACTCGGGTAATCCCAGATTATCTTGATTTGTGATCTTTAACTTCATTGCATGCACAAAGACTTTTTTGCCAAACAAGGTGACATTCAGAGGTCCTGGATAGGCATGTCTTTTGAAGAGGCCACTATTAAACCAACCAGAGACAGTATATTTGGCATCACTGTTTAAGCATTTGGCAAATTGTGTCCGGATGTATCTGAAATAATTATGCTGCTACTCAAAATCTGGTCTCTGCATAAGCAGCATGAACATCATCCAGAAACATTTTAGAAATGCAGAATCTCAGGTCCCACACTCAAGTAATTGAATTAAATATGCATTTTAACAAGATCTTAAGTTGTTTCATATGCACATTGTAGTTTGAAAAGTCTTGATGTAGAAATAGAATGGAGCAGAAACTAGATAATGCAGAGAAATTAAACAGCTATAAAATTGGAAACCAAAAGACAAGTGTTACAGAATTTTATGAAAATGTGTGGTAGGAAATTTACAAAAATTGAAAAAGCAAAGAAGGGTGAGTAGTTTAATGTATCCAGGAAATACAACTCAGAAAATCTATGGGGAAAGAAAAGCTTGATCAAGTGAGTTATATCAAGTGCGTTATACAGCAACAGGAAGAAGAAAATCACCCTATAAATATAGCCGTACACTTCGCTAGGATTAGCTATAGCTATATCTATCTTCTTTAACTCCAGACAGATCTGGAATACATAAGACTCACTTGGAGGTCTTGTTAAAATCATATTTCTATGTATACCCGCAGATTTTCTGATTTAGTAGGTATGGGACAGGCTACAGAGGTTTTATTTCTAACATGTTCCCACATAAGGTTGATGCTTCTGGTCCAGGGACCACACTGAGAGGACATTTTCCTTACAGCTATTCAGAGCATTTATCTAGATATACTAATAAACAAGAAACATAAAAGCTTAAGTTCCTTGAATTACAATTTTCCTTAAGAACCTCCTTCTCAGTTTTAACAGGGTCTATCATATTATTTTTTCTGCTTTTAAGAAAAACAGGTAATAGTAGAAATGAAAGCAAACTTTAGGTGTGAAATATCTGTATCTCTGTGTTCATAACATTCTTAAGATATCTTAATATTTCTAATAGTTGAACAGTGCCTTCTGTCTTTAACTTACAAATGATATAATGTCTTAGTACTGTATATGCTTAATTGGTAATGTCAGGTATTTATGTCTAGAGATGTAGTTTTGGAATATGCTTGTTAAATGAATGTTACTGAATGCAATCTCAAACCACTTACTGTACTTTAGTTGGGAATAGCAGGCTATTCCAGCCCTCATAATCATTTTCTAAATATTTCAGAGCCTTCCTCAAGAATATCACCAAAGGAAAAGTAAGGAGATCTTAGGGGGAAAAAACAGTCACTTTATTTTTGTGGTCAAAATGTTTGAATTGCTTTGAAATTTAAAAAGAGAGAGACTTTCAAAAAGATTTTAACCTCTTTTTCAGAATAGGTAGTTCAAACTTAAAAACTAGAAGCCATTAGCAATTGAACTAAGGAAACGTGCAAATATTTGAGGAGTTTGAGATTTTGACATTTATTAAAATGTGAGGCAAGGATTAAAGAAAAATACTGGGTTATTAAGTTATTGAGCCAAGGACTTTGTCTTCTCTGAGACATCCAGGAAGTAAGTCTGTTATAAGAAATTATGAATCTAACCAAGAAAGAGAAGCTTATTATATCAATAGTGAGGATTCTTAGCATTTGCACATATTATCTACAATTCTGTAGAGGATCAAGAAGCTGAACTAGGACTTTGAAAATGTTTAATAATCTCCGAACCAAACAAACATAGAAGACAAATTTATATCAAAGGAAGTTAAAAAAAATCCACTTTGTTTCCCCGGGATATTTATAGTCAGAAAAAAAATTATTTTTTTGTATCCATCACTATTGACTTTAGAAGCCAATTAATAAATGGCATTGAATAAGTAGGCAACCTCTGACAACTTAGAATAGAGCAGTGAGTTCTCTAGAGCACTGCAGGAAGGAAAACACCTGTAACTTCTGCTGGCAAAAATTTCATACTCTTATACATTCGTAGTCTTTTTCCCTCGTGTCTTTATTTTTCTTTATTGGGGATCAATAATAGAAATATAGAAATTTAATATGTTTTTTAGAATGCATACAATTTTAGTCAAATAAATAAATGTGTGTTTATTTAATTTGGATATAAACATTTCATCAACATTTAAAAAACTGATTTCTTAATTATATTTCTCTTCGGAATACAATTATTTATGGTTTGATAGGTGCTACTAATTGATCATCACAATCAGGAATGATGAGCAAGAAATATTTTTTCAAGCCAGATAAAATAATAGGACAAATTGTCATGACATAAATGTAATAACTGTAGATATTGTTTAATATACAGTCACATTGTTTAATATACAGACATATTTCCTAGAAAGTGTCACTATCATTAAGTAATGCATATTGTATATTAATATGTGACATACATCATCCCTACAATTTGTGTACTCTTAGGCTAAAGGATTACTTTTATTTTTACAAAAGTACTAAAAACCGTGCTACAGTCTAACATTTCACTGAAACTGAGTTCTACTAAAACAGATAAAGATCTTTTCTAAAAGAAAAAATTAATTTGTTTATAAGATTATTAGTGACTAAAAAGATAAATATTAAGTATATTAAAGTCTTTATTTAAATAGAACAGAAGTTGCATTGTCATATTTGTATGAAAATTCTATTGAATTATCAAAAGTCAAGAAAGAAATTATGTTTATGTATTTTATTTTCACTGATGAGGAAACATTAGTATGACTAGTGTTATATTGTCTCTGCTCTTTTCAGATAGCCCCTGTCCAACTTGGCATAGTCTTTACCTTGAATATTTTGAAAAAAAAACTAGACTAAATATGTGTATCAGACCTAAATCAGAAGCAAAGAAAACATTGTAACATTCACTCCAATCATATTACTATTCCTGTCCTGTAAAAATAGAATGCTAGAAAATAAAATTGCAGGACGCAAAGCCTAGTGTCAACTTGTCATCATGTTACATTTAAGGTAGTTATTAAAATAATTATGCTATCAACTTGTGAAGTTTGGATGCACCAAATTTAGCAACCTGGGTTAATTGTTTGCCATTTTCTGTTGAGTGAAAGAAAGAAATGAAAGGGGGTGAAGGGATAGATGTGAAGGGATAGATGAAGCTACATGTTTTAGAGGTATTAATACACATAAAGATTTTCTATAAAAATACAATGAAAAATCATTCTCAGCATGAATAGTGAATAAATGAAGGCTGGTTGTTGAACTTAGATTCTTTTTTTGTCTTCAAAATCAGGAATAAAGCACCTGTCTAATTATCTGCAGTGATGGAAGAAAAGCTGAGAAAATGCTGTTTTAAAAAATGCAAGAAAGCAAATTTGACCTTGAATAATATAACTACTTTTTGACATTAAACAGAACAAGTCCCATAGAGTCTTTTTTTTCCCAATTGGTTTGAATTATGGACTGATGAGTAAGACTGTCATTGTGGAATCTAATGTGTATTGTTTATAATTAAGTTTCCAATACAGCAGTATAGACTAGGAAAAACACATATTAAGGCATTCATTTTTCTAGCTGCTTCTTTTGGCCTTGAATATTTGTACAAAGACCAATATTATTTAGAGAAAGGGCAAGAAATAGACTTGTATCCAATATTCTATTTAGAATACAGATTAAATTTGAATAATTATTTGGTTCTGAACCGTAATCATACTATAGGCTTTTTTCATAATTTAATTTGTTTATATTTTAAAAATGTGTTTTCTTTGAATTGCAGAATTAGCAACAAAAAGGTAATATTCCTTAACTTTATGGGATGAATCTAATTCAATATTAATATTTACTGATAATATAAGACTATTAGTTCAGTATAGAATTCTATACTTTTCATTTATTTACACATTACAGAAAGATTAATAATATGACTGAATAAATATAAGCATGTATCATACACAATGTTATAATTTTTAATTTTCTATCTTTCTCATTTTATTTTACAGGTTTAATTTTGTTTTTATAGTATATTTTTACAATCATATATGTTTTCCTATGTTCTTTGAAAGCCAAAACTTTTTTGAAAATACAACTTATTTTATGTCTAATTTTCAGTGGTTAGAAGATTGGATTGATTTGGGCTCAAGTTCATGATTTTTGGCAGAAGTGATGTAAAATAATTAAATTTTGAAGAGCTAAATTATTATCAGACAGAAATGTGAATCTCTTATATTGAAAGCGAGATACAGACTTTAATTCAACATTCAGATTTAGAATAATACATATATGAAATTTTGGATTATATCTTAGTTTTAAAGCATATATCATTTAGTTTTCAAATTATTTAAATATTAATAGATTATATTTTTACACTTAATTTGTGCACTAATACACTTTTATGCCTAAAGACACACAAAAAAAAACTTAACATTGAGTAATCAGATAAAAATGCAAACCCTAAATATTTAGTAAAAATTGGTTTTAGAATCCAGAGGTAAAAACAGAATTTAATAAAATGCTTTACAAATCACAACAAAACAACGACTTTTAATGTTTAAAAATTAACTATTTTTAGTATTTTATTTTAATTTTCTACATTTAGTATGTATAGCCACAAGCATATTTGTTAACCCAGTCCATTGTAGACGTATCTTTCTGCAAAAAAACAAAACAAAGCAAAATGATACTCAGATTTTCTAAACTTTTGTTGTTTAGGATGTTATAAAATATTGACTTAGCTCCTCTTTATAAATCCAGTCTCAATGCAATCAGAGATCTAATGAAAAATTTTTTGTATCTATACCAAAATCAAGACTTGAAGTAGTTAATTATTGAAAGAATATCTGTTAGGCAATGTTTGGGGAAAACAGTTTTGGAAAGGGATATATCATGCTGTGTATGGCATAATGGATATAATTTTATAAAAACACAATATAGGGTATTAATTTGGTTATAAAGTATTGTAATAGTTCTTTCTCCCAAATAGGTAAATGGATAAAATTATTATTTTTATTTTATTTGAAAATAATTTTTTATAAAGTATACACATAAGTGGAAGGGACTCAAGAAAAGAATGAATGAGTAGGAGAAAGTGAATGGAGGAAAGAAAACATGTACTTAATATTTCCTGATATAAGCCAATATTAAGTAATACAGGACAAAAGAAAAGTATTCTGGATTGCCTAGGAGGCACAAAGATTTAAAATATAGAAAATATTTGCATGTGTATTTAGAAAATTTGTTTATTCTGGTTATTTTTATTTAGTCATTGAAAAGACACAGTTGAAGTATTTTACAAGTCATTAGAAGGGAGCCATCTAGTTCTTTTTGATATGTCAATATTTTACTTATAAATATTATTCTAGAACCTACATATGTATGCATTTAGTATATATACTATATATTTTATGGTAAAATAGTCACTATGAGTGTTGGCTTTTTAAGGTGGGGGTCAAAAATGCTACAAAAAATTATCCCTGTGTGTCTATATATGCGTGTATGAATATGTATTTATATGTGTATATATGTTTATATATACAGTAATCTATTCAAATACTCTCAATACCTTGACTCCCCAGATACTCTCTCGTATATTTTGCTTTATAAATATCGAGGTATAATATAAACCTTTAATATCCCAAATGCCATAGCAAAATATAAACATTTTGATTTATGATAACTCTCAAATTAAAGGCCCAGTGAATTCAAATAGCAAAAAGGACTAGGCAATTAATTTTCAATAAATGTTTGACTTGAGCCATTTGTTAAGTATAACACATATTAGGTTTTTGTCTGCAGATTATGAATGGACAAACTATCGCCCAGGACTAAATCCAGTCTGAAATACTGGTGAAAAACTTAGTGAAGTAAGTTTTATTAAAGCACAGCTTTACCCTTTGTCTATGTACTGCCTATGACTGGCTTTTTCTGACACTAGGAGAGTTGAGGAGTTGGAACAAATACTATATGGTCTCCAAAGACTAAAATATTTGCAATTTTTATAGAGAATTTGCCAACGCCTGCTATAGGTGATGATCATATCCGGTTGTAAGAATTCATCTGGATCTTAGATTATTAACAAATCAATTATATGTGTTCACAGCTGTTCTGGCACCAGTGCACACATTTGCATACAGAATCATGTACTTATTTTTTTAGATTTACCCTCAATTTGAGAGTCATAGTTGATTTTTTCTTATTATAATTACATTTCTGAAACATTTTTATGTTCTTTTCCTTTTTTTTTTTTTTTTTTTTTTTTGAGACGGAGTCTCACTCTGTCGCCCAGGCTGGAGTGCAGTGGAGCGATCTCTGCTTACTGCAGGCTCCGCCTCCCAGGTTCACGCCATTCTCCTGTCTCAGCCTTCCGAGTAGCTGGGACTACCGGCGCCCGCCACCACGCCCGGCTAATTTTTTGTATTTTTAGTAGAAACGGGGTTTCACCATTTTAGCCAGGATGGTCTCGATCTCCTGACCTCGTGACCTGCCCACCTCGGCCTCCCAAAGTGCTGGGATTATGGGCGTGAGCCACCGCGCCTGGCCGAAACATTTTTATTTTCATGAGATTGATCAAATACACTAAAAACCATTCTATTATATGGATTTCCACCAGAATAAGAGCGTAGAAATAGTGTTTAAATGAAAAATATCTCTGAAAAGGTGTCTTTATATGTATAAGAAATTTTCATTAGGTGTCAAATGCTATATAATACTTTCTTTGCAATATAATCATTTCCACGCTCAACATTAATTTTTACAGACTCTTTCAAAGTGAGAGTAATAATAAGATATTGGATGTACAGATGCATTTCTAAATGACAGGCACTGAGGTGTTACAAATTTGCAGTAAAAATCTGCTTGCACATTTGTCAGATGTTCCACTTTGGGGATGGCACGCTATGGAGGTGGCAAATTACGCTTACAATTAAATGCTAGGATTCAGCCAAGCCCATCAGGTATATAGCATCAAAATCATTGACAAGGAAATGACACATAAACACCAGCTGTAGTGCATACCGATGGCATGCTCTTCATTCCTTTATAGTGTCAGTAGCCTTGCATAGTAATTTACTTTCTAAGTTGTTTCATAGATAAAACCACCTTTTTAATTCATTAGTAAATTGAATCAAGAACCGATGATAACCTATTGTCAATTTTATCATAAACTGGTCAAATATGTATTACTAAGATTATTAGTATCATTATTAGATACCTAGGATAGAACTTTCTTTTATTTCCTTTTCTATTTTATTAAAATATATAGAGCATAAAAATACACGCATTATAGTACCAGCATTGGGATAGAATTTAAATATTGAAGCCAGGTGTGGTGTTGCACACCTACAGTTCTAGCTACTGAGGAGGCTGAGGCAAGAAAATCCCTTAAGGCCAAGAGTTTGAGACTGCAATGTGCAATTATGGCACCTGTGAATAGCAACTGAACTCCATCCTGGGCAACATAGTGAGACACTATCTCCAAAAAAGTAATAATAATAAAGAAAATAAGTCATCAAAATTTAGTGAAAATGAATCTATACAGGATTTTAGCCTCCATCTTAATTAATATTTTAACATTTCAAAATTTACAACATGGCAGTCAAACATCATTTTAGGAGTTTTCTTCCTAGCTTTGCAGATTAATTCAGCAGAAAACTAGCATTACAAAAAAGTTGTTATTATTTTAGAAAAGGTGAGAACACAGTCGCCCATCACTCGGGAATCATTCAAACATGGACAAAGTTTTAAGTCACTTATTGTAGTTTGAGTTGTATGACTTACACAAATACCTAAATAACATACTAATAAAAAACTCTGAATTCCAGCAGTGCTATTGGCAAACCATAGTCAGTTTCTTTAATTATATATTTAGGAAACCTTTCCTATATTAACTTTCTTGTAGATTTGAATATCAGTTACCTGGCCCTACAAGCTCCATAATAACTCTGAGACCACCTAATATTCAACTAAAATGAAAAATGGCCATGTCTTTTCTAGTCCTGCTGTCTCTAGTTCGCCAACCACACATTGTCTGAGTTGGGATATTCTGTGAAATCTGGTCAGAGTCCCAGAGGGAAAAATGTAGAGGGAAACCTTTGAGTAATGAGAAAGAACTCAAGGAGAGCAGAAAACAATTCCTTACAGTTTCTTTCCCTTTCCCCTTAATAGTTTCGGTGAAGATAAAGATTAAAAAAACACAATGGAATAAAGAACTTTTTATTTTTCCCCTCTTCTCTGACAGCTCTCTGTGTCAGATTTGACCTTGGAAGATCACAGAGGAAAAGCGAGAAGGAGTAAGGATCCTTTTTTATGAAAGTACATAGGCAGTGGCCAATGAAGTCCTCAAATGAAAGGAAAAAAGGGGACAAAATTCCTATAAGTATCATTTACAATAGGGGTGTGCGGGCTCTACCTGCTGGGAGGTGGGTAGCTGTTGGCACTGGAAAGCACTTTTCTTTCTAGGAAAAAGAGCTAAAACATGATGAACAAAAGTAAGAAGATTGTTGTTGATTGTGAGGCTGTTGCCCTGACTGTATTTGGAGTTATTTTCTTGAGGAAATACAATTTCTCTCACTCTCCATAAAATGTAAGCAGCATGGGTTTATTATGTTTGTTAATGTTAACATTGGTGAGAGTAAAGAATACATAAAAATAAATAATGAAATAATAACTCGTGAAAAACAAGGCACCAGTATTAAAGTCAAGCAACCCCACCTCATTAGTAGTGCATAACACTAAAAAAGAAATGCCAAAATAAATATTCAGTCATATATAAGCTGCTTGTTTGTGTTATAGTGAGGTGAATATCATCTGTGGAACTACATGGAAGATGTCTGAGAGTCGGCTTTGAGTGGAGTTGTCAGAAGTCACATTACTGTTGAATTTTACTATATTTAATTGTTCATTTTAACCAGAAAAGTATTTATTCATACAAAGTGGTTTAAAATTGTGTTTTATGGATTATAAGGTAACTTAGTAGGCACTATGATAATTAAAAAAAAAGTATAAAACTGCTCTCTAAACTCAAAGTCTTTATAATCTATTTGAGGAAGTAATATACGTTACTCATATGAAGATAACCAATATGAGAAAACTGTTAAAATTGTCAGGTGCTCATTTCTGAATGGTGAGATAAGAAAATTGAGGGAGAATTAGGGTTTGAGCTGGATATTGAAAATTTGGCAGGATTTAAAGTAATAGGAAATAGGACATTTCTAGAAAGAAAAACATGGTGACAAATATTGGTTGAGATTCTGGTCACCTTGTAGAAGATTTTGCCTGAGTTAAGAGTTTTTTGAGTAACAGTATCAGGGGCAGAATATAAGGGCAAGGCAGAGATCCTTTCTATTCTAATTGAATAGAAATTTAGCAGAAATTTAAGAAGTGAATGAAAGTATGCAGTTTTACGTTGTGATTTTTCACAATTTTATTTAACCATCTGCCCAGGGTTTTCAAAGCAAAAATTTAGTGTTATATGACATGTGCCTGCCACTACAGGTCTATTCTATCTTCTGAAGTCCTCAAATCACCCCTATGACAACCATTCAAAATATATTATGGTTCACCAAACATACCTTGTTCTTCTTTCCTCATAAAACTTTCTTTAGACCTCTGCTATTTTTTCCATCAAGATGAAGCTCTTCTTTGATTGTCTCCCTTCTGGATGCCTTCAGTACATGCTTCAGGTTTTTACCACTGTGTGCTTGAAACACTTACTATATACTTTAGGGCATGTTTGAGAAAGGCAGCTTTTTTTTTTTTTTTTTTTTTTTTTTTTGGCTTGTCTACTACTCTGTTCCAAGCACCTAAAATAGTACCAAAGCATAGATATTCCTCAAAAGAGTGTGTATTGGCTGAAGACTGATTTCTCTCAGGGTAGGCAACTTGTGTTATTTTGAAAGGTAGAAACTGCCATACAGTTCCTGATAGTTCCATGTTTGAGATAGTTTCATTATATATCAATACATTGCTATTAAATGAATGGTTGATTGGAAAGACAAATGCCTAACCTGAATTATTGAAAAGTACAAAACTAATATGTTGATTAAAAAAGTCTCTAGCCTGAGAATTTCATTGTGATTTCCAGTACTACTTTGATTCAAAATTGCTGTTTTGCACTCGATAAGTTAGAGAAGTTATTCAGACGTCAGTTTTCTCATTTGTTAAATTAAGGAGCTGGACACTGTACAACTCTATTACTTGTTAGGAGCTATTTTTACACATTCACCCAATATATTCTTCAATAAAACCTCTGCTTCAAAGGTTGCTGCTTTGCTCCACAAACACGTAATTTAACACCTAATTGTCTCCACATTATAGGAAATGAGAAAGTTGTCATGGAAAGGTCATTGAGAAGAATTTATTCAGCACAGCATGGCAGTTTCTGGCTTTCAAGAGCTGCCTGGGATATAATCACTTGTCTGGTAGCTGAGAGGCCTTTCTAAACCTGAGTAGATTTTCCTGACCTACTTAAAATCCACTTATATTTCTGGCATCTTTTTAAAACGTGGGGACTTAATTTGACATATGTAAATGAGATCTCCGTCACCTGGGTAGTTGCTCTTGCATATCTGTTGGGTTAATAGGTATAGTTTTAAGCATTTCCTTTGTGTAGGTAGAATTTTAAGTATAAGAGAAATTCTGGCCTATGAAGGGCCTGACATTTTTAAATACCTGTAGCCCTTGTCTACATCACATTGTTGCTATCAAGAACAGACATTGCTAGCCTCAACTCTGAGTTTTGCTTTGGAATTTACAAGAATATCTTCTTTATAGAAAATTAAAGTTATTCTTGAGGAAGAAATTGATCAATAGAAATAACGTAAAACGTACAAATATTTTCTCATGAATGTTAGTGCTCTGATGAGTGATTACCAATTACTACAATTTGAAAGTCAGTGAGTGATACAGTGAAGTTAGTGTAAGAAGTTCAGAAATCCACATTATCCACAGATTAAGTAATCATCCACAAGACCTATTTTTCAGTACCGATAGATGCTGTTAAAAAAAAACATAAAATAATTATCAAATCCATACTAGGTTTTGCAATCTAATATTTTCTCAAATAATATGTACTAAAAATAAAGCCCTCACTTGGAGTTATTATTCTTAACCTGTTATTTTAAAATGTTGGACTTCATGAGAAAAAATAAATAAATTATATGAGGGTATTGTGCTATGTTCATAATTCTGTGTTTTCTTATCTGTTAAAGTTAAACATAAATGGACATTATAATAAAATAGTAGTAAAATAATATTATAAATCAGAATAATATATAGCTACTTGATTTTATTTTCATGATTCATAGTTTCAAAATATTTCTAAAATAGAGATAGGTTGTAAAATCAGTGTATATGCTAGTCTTATTATTTAATATCTATAAAGCAGTTTTAATTTAATTATGTCTTTTAAATTTACTAATGTACGGATTCATAGGATATAATAAATTTTTTCCTGGATAGAATTCATAAGGGGTGCTGTTATATAAAATGAATATACTAACCTTAAAAATAATCGCAACATGTAATATAGATAGTTAACATCTTACAATGAATGAAATGCTATCACATTGACTCTATCAAGATGAGGAAATGATATCTGGAGTGCATGTAAAAAAAGGCCACAATTTGATTTGGTTTTTGTATTTGTGTTGCTGTGGCATGTTAGTTTGTGGCCTCTTGTCAATTTGTCTTGTTTTGATACATATAAACACCAAGTGCCTTAAATCTCTAAAATGTCATTTTAAAATATACAGGTACAGTACATAAGCTGTCATTTGACAAATGCATTATGAACACAGAGCCAGGAACATAACATCTTTCATCATTCCATTTTCCTCACTGCTGATTCTCGTTTCCCTCAGGCAATAAAAGACTCCAGAGATTCCTTAATGGAATACAACTTTAGGCTACAACTTTATTAGCTTAAACCAAGAATATGGCAATTGTTCCCAGATGGATTCAGCAAGCCACTAGGCAGCAATGGCGCCTAATTCCCCAAGTGACTGTTTGATATCTCTTTTGACACCTACTTGCCTTTTATGATGGGAATTGGGCTCTCCCTCCTACCTAATTCTTTTACTTGGAATACAGTTTTACCTTTGGAGGGCATATTTGCAATATAGTTTTATCCTTCGAGGGGCTGTGTTTATCATTTGGCACTTTCTCCATTAGAGAATTTCAAGATTTAAAGAAAGTAGTTTCTGTTTCTAAGTAATTGTAAGATTGTGAAAGTTCTAACTCTTAAGCTCAGGGATTTCTCCCTTTCTGGGTATTTATTTTTACAATTATTCAACGTTCAATGTTCCTTTTTATCTTCTTCATGACTTCTTTAGAATTTGATCTTTAGAACTAATTTTTGCCATAAACATGGTCAAAACTGTCTCATTTATCAACCGATCAATCATTCAAGCCTTCTTTAGATTCCCACAATGTTACCGTTATCTCCCCTGACTTGCTAAACCTTTGAAAGTGTTGTCTCATCATGCTGTTTCTTGTTTGGGAGTATTTTTTTTGTCATTGCTGCTGTTGTTGTTTTACCTCTCTCTCACTCCTCTACTCAGATGAGGGACAGCGTGGATGCTTGAAATGATTTCCATAGCTACCAGTACTTTTTAATAATTAGATCACAAGTTTTTAATGGTGAGAAGGGATGTTGAGACCAGGAAGTGTAAAATTTTAAATGAAGTTTATGCTTGATTAAGGGTGTTGAAATATATCTTAAGTACTTCAGCCATTTAAATTTTTAGCAGATCAGTACGTTATTAATATTTGTAGTTAAAAGAGGGCAGTATTAACACTGTAAATATTGTATTTAAAGAAAAAGGAAAGCAAGAAGACCAGTAAAACCATGAGCATTTGGAGAAGTGGTCATGGTAGTGAAGATATAAAGTGGGAAGATGAATAGAGAGATAATCAGTACCTTTCTGGGACAGAGCTCCCAGAGAAAGGAGCAGGCTGTCATCTTTGCTGTTTCAGTCTCCACTGGTGATATCTGGAGGTAAGGGATAAAAACAAAGCCACTAGGGTCTGGAGTGATCCCCCAGCAAACTACAGCAGCCCTATAGAAAAATGGCCTGACTGTTAAAATAAAAATAAACAAACAGAAAGCAGCAACAAAAACATCAACAAAAAAGACCCCACACAAACTCCATTCAAAACTCAGCAACCTGAAAAATCAAAGGTAAATAAGCCCACAAGGATAAGAAAGAATCAATGCAAAAACACTCAAAACTAAAAAAACCAGAGTACCTCTCCTCCAAATGACCACAATACCTCTCCAACAAGGACACAGAACTGGGCTCTGGCCAAGATGGCTGAATTGACAGAAGGAGGCTTCAGAAAGTGGGTAATAATGAGCTTTGCTGAGCCAAAGGAGCATATTGTAACCCAATGCAAGGAAACTAAGAATCATGGTAAAGCAATACAGGAGCTGATAACGAGAAGAGCCAGTTTAGAGAGGAGCATAACTGACCTCATGGAGCTGAAAAACACAACACAAGAAATTCACAATACAGTCACAGGTATCAATACCAGAATACACTGAACAGAGGTAAGAATTACAGAGCTTGAAGACTATCTTTCCGAAATAAGACAGGCAGAAAAGGACAGAGGAAAAAAGAATGAAAAGTAACAAACAAAACCTCTGAGAAATAAGGGACTATGTAAAATGACTTAATCTACAACAGATTGGGGTACCTGAAAGAGACAGGAGAATGGAACCAATTTGAAAAACATACTTCAGGATATCATCTAGGAGACCTTCCTCGAACTAGCAAGACAGGCCATCATTCAAATTCAGGAAATCCAGAGAACCCCAGTAAGATACAACATAAGAAGATCAACCCCAAGACACATAATCTTCAGATTCTCTAACATTGAAATTAAAGACAAAATATTAAGGGCAGATAGAGAGAAAGAACAGGTAACCTACAAAGGGAATCTCATCAGACTAACAGTGGAACTCTCAGCAGAAACCTTACAATCCACAAGAGACTGGGGGCTAATATTCAATATTTTTAAAGAAAATAATTTGCAACCCAGAATTGGATATCTGTCCAAACTAAGCTTCAGAAGTGAAAGAGAAAGAGGATCCTTTACAGACAAACAAATGCTGAGGGAATTTGTCACCACCAGACCTGCCTTGCAAGAGCTCCTGAAGGAAGCACTAAATATGGAAAGGAAAAACCATTACCAGCCACTAAAAAAAATACTGTAATCCACAAACCAATGACACTATGAAGCAACCACATAAACAAGTCTGCAAAATAACCAGCTAGCATCATGATGGCAGGATCAAATTCACACATAAAAATATTAACCTTAAATGTAAATGGGCTAAATGCCCCAGTTAAAAGACACAGAATGGCAAGCTGGATAGAGTCATGGCCCATTGATATGCTGTCCTCAATAGATCCACCTCAAGTGTAAAGGCAGACATAGGCTCAAAAAAAAGGGATAGAGGAAAATTTAGAAGGCAAATAAAAAACAAAAAGCAGGAGTTGCAATTCTAGTTTCTGACAAAACAGACTTCAAACCAACACACATGGAAAAAAATAAAAAAGACAAAGAAGGGAGTTACAAAATGGTAAGGGGTTCAGTTCAACTGGAAGACCTAACTATTCTAAATATATATGCATCCAATACAGGAGCACCTAGTTTCATAAAGGAAGTTCTTAGAGACCTACAAAGAGACTAGGACTCCCACACAATACTAGTAGGAGTCTAACACCCCACTGACAATAATAGACAGATCATTGAGACAGAAAATTAACGAAGATATTAAGGACCTCAACTTCAACTCACCTCTAGATCAAGCAGACCTGATAGATATCTACAGAACTCTCCACCCAAAAGTGATAGAATACACATTCTTCTCATTGCCACATGGCACTTACTCACTCTAACATTGATCTCATAATCAGAAGTAAAACACTCCTCAGCAAATGCAAAAGAAAGGAAATTAAAAAAAAAGTCTGTCAGATGACAGCACAATCAAATTACAACTCAAGACTAAGAAATTTACTCAAAACCACACAACTACATGGACCCTGAACAACCTGCTTCTGGATGACTCCTGGGCAAATAATGAAATCAAGGCAGAAATCAAGAAGTTCTTTAAATCTAGTGAGAACAAAGAGGCAGTATATCAGAATCTCTGGGACACAGCTAAAGTAGTGTTAAGAGGGAAATTTATAGCACTGAATGCCCACATCAAAAAGTTAGAAAAATCTCAAATTAGCAACCTAACATCACAACAAAAGTAACTAGAGAACCAAGAGAAAACAAACCCAAAATCTAGCAGAAGACAAGAAATAACCAAGATCAGAGTGAAGCTGGAGGAGATGGAGACACGAAGAACCCTTCAAAAAACCAATGAATGGAGGAGCTGTTTTTAAAAAAAAAAATTTAATAAAATAGACTGCTAGCTTGACTAATAAATAATAAAAGAGGGAAGAATCAAATGACACAATCAGAAAGGATAAGGGGGATATCACCACTGACCCCGCAGAAATAAAAACAACCATCACAGAATACTATAAACACCTCTATGCACATAAACTAGAAAATCTAGAAGAAATTGATCAATTCCTGGGAACATATACCCTCCCAAGAATGAATCAGGGAGAAATTGAATCCCTGACTAGACCAATAATGAGTTCTGAAATTAAGGCAGTAATAAAGAGCCTACCAACCAAAACAAGCCCATGACCAGATGGATTTACAACTAAATTTTACCGGGGGTACAAAGAAGAGCTGGTATCATTTCTATTGAAACTATTCCAAAAATTAAAAACAATGGACTCCTCTCTAACTCATTATATCAGGCCAGCATCCTCCTGATACTAAAACCTGGCAGATATACAACAAACAAAGGAAACTTTAGGTCAATATCCCTGATGAACATTGATGCAAAAATCCCCAATGAAATACTGACAGACTAAATCCAGCAGCACATAAAAAAGGTTATCCAGCACGATCAAGTTGGCTTCATCCCTGGGATACAAGGTTGGTTCAACATACGCAAATCAATAATTGTAATACATCACATAAACAGAACTAAAGACAAAAACCACATGATTATCTCAATAGATGCAGGAAATGCCTTTGATAAAATTAACATCCTCTCACATTAAAAGCTTTCAATGAACTAGGTATTGAAGGAATATACCTCAAAATAATAAGCGCCATATATGACAAACTTACAGCCAATATCATACTGAATGGGCAAAAACTGGAAGCATTCCCCTTGAAAACCAGCACAAGAAAAGGATGACCTCTCTCACCACTGCTATTCAACATAGTATTGGAAGTTCTTGCAAGGACAATCAGGCAAGAGAAAGAAATAAAGCATGTTCAAATAGGGAGAGAGGAAGTCAAATTATCTTTTTTTGCCAATGACATGATCCTATATATAGAAAATCCCATCATTTCAGCCCAGAAGCTTCTTAAGCCAATAAGCAACTTCAGCAAAGTTTCAGGATACAAAATAAATGTGCAAAAATCTCTGGCATTCTTATACACAACAACAGGCAAGTAGGGAACCAAAACATGAATGAACTCTCATTCACAACTGCTACAAAAATAATAAAATACCTAGGAATATAGCTAACAAGGGAAATGAAGCACCTCTTCAAGAAGAACTACAAACCACTGCTCAATGAAATCAGAGAGGCCACAAACAAACAGGAAGACATTCGATGCTCATGGATAGGAAGAATCAATATGGCAAAAATTGCCATATTGCCCAAAGTAACTTATAGATTAAATGCTATTTGTATTAAATTATCATTGACAGTCTTAAAAGAATTAGAATAAATTATTTTAAAATTCATATGGAACCAAGAAAGAGCCCAAATAGCCAAGACAATCCTAAGCAAAAGAACAAAGCTGGAGGCATCATGCTACTGACTTCAAAGTATACTACAAGGCTGCAGTAACCAAACAGCATGGTACTGGTACAAAGACAGACACATAGACCAATGGAACAAAATAGATAACTCAGAAATAAAACTGCACACCTACAACCGTCTGAGCTGTGACAAACCTGACAAAAACAAGCAATGGGGAAATGATTTTCTATTTAATAAATGGTGCTGGGAGAACTGGCTAGCCATATGCAGAAAATTTAAACTAGACCCCTTTCTTACACTTTATACAAAAATTAACCCAAGGTGGATTAAAGATTTAAATGTAAAACTCCAAACCATAAAAACCCTAGAACAAAATCTACGCAATGCCATTCAGGATGTAGGCATAGGTAAATATTTCATGAGGAAAACACAAAAGCAATGGCAACAAAAATGAAAATTGAGAAATAGGATCTAATTAAACTAAAGAGTTTCTGCACAGCAAAGGAAACTGTCATCAGAGTGAACAGACAACCTACATAATTAGAGACACTTTTGCAATCTATCCATCTGATAAAAGTCTAGTATCCAGATTCTACAAGGAACTTAAACAGATTTACAAGGAAAAGACAAACAACCATATTAAAAAGTGGGCAAGAGTACATAAGCATATACTTCTCAAAAGAAGACATTTATGCGGCCAACAAACATGAAAAAAAGCACAACATCACTGATCATTAGAGAAATGCAGACCAAAACTACAATGAGATACCATCTCACACCAGTCACAATAGTGAATATTAAAAAGTTCAGAAACAGCAGATGCTGGCGAGGTTGTGGAGAAAAAGAAACGCTTTTACACTGTTGGTGGGAGTGTAAATTAGTTCAACCATTGTGGAAGACAGTGTGGTGATTCCTCAAAGATCTAGAGGCAGAAATACCATTTGACCCAGCAATTCCATTACTTGTTGTATACCCAAAGGAATATAAATCATACTTCGGTAAAGACACATGCATGTGTATGTTCATCGCAAGGCTATTCACAATAGCAAAGATATGGAATCATCCCAAATGCCCATCAATTGTAGACTGGATAAGGAAAATGTACATATACACCATGGAATACTATGCGGCTAGAAAAAGGAAGGAAATCATGTCTTTTGCAGGCCCATGGACGGAGCTGGAAGCTGTTATCCTCAGCGAATTAATGCAGGAACAGAAAACCAAACACCACATATTCTCAGTTGTAAGTGGGAACTGATCTATGAAAACATCTGGACACATGGTGGGGAACGACACACACTGGGGCCTGGCAGAGCATCAGGAAGAATAGCTAATGGATGCTGGACTTAATACCTAGGAGATGGATTGATTCGTGCAGCAAACCACCATGGCACACATTTACCCATGTACCCTGGAATTTAAAATAAAAGTTGAAGAAAAGGTAAATAGGAGACATACATGAGATTGAATTTAAGAGTTGAGTGAAAGAGTAGTGTCTAAGAGTACCTCTTGAATCCAGCTTAAACTTTTGAGCAGATTTTTTTTGAGATTTATTTTTAAAACTAACTTAAAAGGTAGGATAGAACTTTGGGTGAGGAATGGTGAATTCCATTTTGTTGAATTTAAATTTGATAATCTTATAGAACACAAGACTAAATACTTAGTAAGTCAATAGCAATATTAGTACATTTAATACAAATGTATACATTGTTGCTCAAATTAACCATTTTATTTCAGATATTCAAAGTCTACCATATTTATAAACCTTGTTTGGGATTATTTGATTTGATCTAAAGAAAATGTTATTTTTTTGTCCATATGTGTATGTGTATGTGTGTATGTTTTAGTATATATCTGAATTGTACCTGTGTTTCAGAAGAGCCAAATAAGACAAATAGTCGTTGTCTTAGTCCATTCTTGCTACTATAACAAAATGCCCCAGACTAAGGAATTTATAAATGATAGAAATGTATTTCACACAGTATTGGAGGCTAGGAAGTCCAAGATCAAACTCTAGCAGGTTTGGTATTTGGTGAAGGCCTGGTCTCTTTCCAAGATGGCACCTTGAACACTCTGTCCTCTGGAGGGGAGGATTACAGTGTCTTCACATGGCAAAGGGAGGGAAAGGCAGAAAGGGCCCACCTAGATTGATCCAGTGATTTTATAAGGTCATTAATCCCATTTATGAGAGCTCCACCCACATGATTTAACACCTCCTAAGAACTCCAGTTCTTAATACTGTTATATTAGGATTTAAGTTTTAACATAAATTTTGAAGGGGACACATTCAAACCATAGCGATCATAGAAGTTCTCTGATCACAGAGCAGTGACTCTTAAAGTTCAGGAGTTTCTGATCATTTGTTACTGATAGTAGTATTCCCAGTTTCTCACCCAGAACTATTGACATACAGGATAAAACCAAAGGGATGACATTAGTCTATGGCACATGATTTATTACTAATGCTTATTAAATCCTTTTGTCAAAATTGTCTACAACAAATATGCCATTAATGTGTGATATACGTATTTTTTTATTGGATATACAGCTTTAGAATGGGAAAAAGGAGGGAAACATGCTGTGTTTTCCTTCAGATACATGAATTTCATTGGTCTTCTGAGTATATCTATTTCTGAATTCATCATTGGTGATATACTTGAAAAACCAAAAACCCTTTATATAAGAATTCCTCTTGTGAGATAAAATATGTTTACAATTATTAGTTTGTTGGGAAATTACATCCTGAAATGTATGATCTTCATGATTCCAGCAGGTAAGAAAAAATTCATATAAATTGCCTTTAAATCTTATATCAAAAATACTAAAGAGCATAACAAATTTTCTCCCTTTACAGGTAAGCTTTACAAGCAAATATTAAGATATCTTTACTTTTAATAGTAAATGTTTCTTTATTTCCTCCATTGTAAGATTTTATATTTATTGAACTCTTGAAAAAAGATCAATAGATACGCCCGGAATGTTCTCCCAGCATGGAAACAGAATTTCCCTCACTCTGTGGCTGTCCTCTTTAAAACTTCTAGTAGCCTATAACTCAGGCAGAAGTGAGACACAGCTGGTTATGTTCAATGCCACACTGAAAATTAAATTAAATTAAAATCTTATCAAATAAAGATAAATTCACATTCTGTTTACATTTCTGAAAGCCTCCATGACAATATATATTTTTTAAATATTTCAATTAAATTCACATCTCGTGTATGTCAAACTTTGACTCTAAATATTTAAAGTACATATCTTTGGATGGTCACTAAAATGTGAAATGCGGCAGTCAAGCTGACCTTAAAGCTATAACTTGATAACGTTTGTTACATCTTTATATGTGAAGAAAACATGGAAGCATATTCATGTCCTCGGTAAAAGAAAAAAAAAACAGAATGGACATTTTAGTGTGCTATGATTACTATTGCTTATAACGCTCTCTTACGTTTTATATTTTCTCATCCTTCTATACACATCTCCAATATTATTTACTGTTCTTATTACTATTTCTGCCTAAGAACAAACTATCTCATATTTGGTGGCTTGAGACAACCACTTTTTTATTGTAATTCTGGATTCTTTGGGCCTGTAAGTTAGGAAGGATACCGTGTGAATGGTTTGTCTCTTGCCTATGGTATTACAGGGTTGAATCAAAAGCTGAAGGCTGGAATCCTCTCAGAGCTGGTCCTTTCACATGTCTAGGAGCTCATGCTGGGACTGGCAGCCAGGACTTAGCTGGGGACACCAGCTGGAACACCTGTAAGAGGCTTTTTTTTCACAGCATAACGACCAAGGTTCAAAGGGAAGACTGTGACCATTTGTGACCTACTCTTAGAAGTCCTATGGAGTCAGTCCTAGAGTAGCCACAAGCCAGATTTAAGGGAAAACATGTAAGCCCCACGTCTCAATATGAGTGTCAAAATCATATTTATGATGAGCATATGAAATGTGAAATTTTATTATGGCTGTTTTTAGAAAATATAGTCTGTCTCCAATTCTATTTTATGAACGAAATTTATGAGCTTCTCTTTCCAATAATGCAAGGAAACAGGTATCAGTCATTTTTTCACTTCTAGCAATTAACACAATGTTGATGTACAAATAGGTAGTCACAAAATATCTGATGGATAAATAAATTAACTAATTAGAATGAATTAATTCAGTCATTAAGAAAAGGGACTAAACAGAATAAACTATTTAAAATGGTTAAAATGTTAGTAGTACAGATAAGTTTATATATCAGAATTTGATCCTGATTGTTTTTGCCCTTTTTTTGCAGGGCACAGAGGATACATTGATGAATAATAACAACCAAAGTGTCACATGTTTTGTTTTCTTATGCAATGTAGTCCTTTCAGGGAGACAGATATAACTCAAATATAAAAATTAATGTGTGTGCATGTGTGTGTGTGTATATATATGTATATGTAAATGACAGATTGATACCAGAGCTCTAGCAGAAAGGAACAACATATTATTATATCTCAAAATGCTCATAGGTGTCTCAAAAGGGCTCCTTTGAGAAAGAAACTCTTGACCAGGTAACTTGGGCAAACAGGAAGCTCAGTGGTATTTCAAACCTAGGGAATGTTCAAACATACAAAGACTGTGGTATGGGACAAAATGGAAAAGAAGTCATTACTGGGAGTTGATACAGATTTGCATCTTCAAAATAAATTAATGAATGGAATATATATTACATATATGGGCATGTATGTAAGTATATGCACATGTGTATGCATCCATGCCTTTTTATTTTTTTAATTTAATTTTATTTATTTATTTATTTTTCTGAGACAGAGTCTCACTCTGTCACCCAGGCTGGAGTGCAGTGGCACGATCACGGCTCATTGCAACCTCCATTTCCCAGAGTCAAGCGATTCTGTTACCTCATCCTCCTGAGTAGCTGAGATTATAGGCACATGCCACCATGCCAGGCTATTTATTTATTTATTTATTTTGTATTTTTAGTAGAGACAGGGTTTCACCGTGCTGGCCAGGCTGGTCTTGAACTCCTGACCTTGTGGTCCACCCACCTCGGCCTCTCAAAGGGCTGGGATTACAAGCATGAGCAACCGAGCCCAGCTCCCTTTTTACTTTTAAATAATGGAATGTGACATTTTCTATATTTCAAAACTGTACATCTATTTGCATATATTTAACAGCTTTTTTGTTCTTTAAAATTTTGTCTAATTTAGAAATGAAACATTATGGAATGAAATACGTATATTTAATGTGTCCTACTATCTTATGAGGAAATGACTTCTAAAATTAGACTTTCAGATCTTCCTACAGTTCTTATTTGTGAACAAGGAATTTATTCTCTTAGGAGGTGAATTATTTTCAGATTAAATTTCATGGAAATTAGTGAACCATAATTATTTTCTTTATATTTGTGAAATTGTTTAAAAATTATTGAAATTATTATATTTTAATGGTCTGCTAACCATTTATTCCTTAAAAACACAAACAAAAAGGGACATTTGTGACATTGCTTTTTATTAATTGACTTCACTCAAGTTGGAAGTTTTATTTTTAGAATTTCTTACTAGGTCATTGAAACTTTATTAATACATACTTGAAACCTCAGTTGATTACTTATTTGAAGTTTACTCTAACCGTTGAAAAAATTCAGAGAAACCTGTAAAAACACATTATATTATCAAAGCCTACTGTTATTGTTCATTCTTCTGTTTTTTACACTGCATGTATATTTTTATATAGTAACAGCATTAAAAACAAATTTTTGAAAAATGACAAACGGCATGACCTAGGAAACAGTTAAGTCCCCATTGTCAACATTTATGGAGACCATTTTCTTTTATATACTTTTTACTTCATTTTATCATGTGTATTCTTTTATATAGTTTTTACTTCATTTTATCGTGTGTATTAAATCTTGGTCATATATTTTTGCCCTACCACTCAAAATTCAATCAATTCACTTAAGAAAACATAGTAGTTAAGATCTCTAAATATCTATAAGCTGTTAAATGTCATTTCTACTGCAGAGGTCCTACATGAGTTAACATTATTCAACCTGAAAATGGTCAGCATATTTAACTAAGTGTGAATAATTAATTTTATTAAACTATGGACAATTAGTTGATCTGGTTCTATTATAGATGAGATATATATGACTATAATATGGCTCTTCATTGAAATAGATATTATATAACATTAAATGTTGAAAATCCAGTTATATTTTTATATAGAAAGTAGGCCCCCACACACTCACTTCAAACTTTTTAAAATCAACATTGGAGGTACAATTTATAAATAATAACACTCATCCATTTAATTATTTAAATTGATAACTTTATATATATTTATATAAAACATAATATATAAATATAAATATATTTATATATACTATAATATATATTTATATATATATAAAAATATATATATATAAAACTTTCACCCCAATTATAATATGTAGTAGTAACCTCTACCCAGGAAATATACCCATGCTCCTTTGCTGTCAATCTTTCCACCAACCATCTGCTTCAGGCAAGCAATAAGTAGATTACTTTTGCATGTTCTAGATGTTCAGATAATGGAATCAATATAAACTAATTTGTTTCTAGTATTTTTCACTTAGCATAATATATACAAGATTCATCCAGATTATTGGCTGAATTAGTAATTTATTCTTTTTTATGGTTGAGTGGTGTTTCATTTTATGAAAATCTTACAATAAGTATATCCATTCACCTGGTAATGGGTGTATAATACCCATTACTGTCAGCTGTAAGTCAGGCTGTTTACACGTTGATATTCCAAATATCTTTAAAAAATTTTTGTTTCTTTCCTTGAGAGTGCGTACTTGTAATAAAATAATTCGATGTTCAGATGATACAGCATCATTATAATCTCCTATCATCTATTCTATTTAATGGTTTACCAAGAATAATATAAAAATTACATAAAACATCATTAATGGTGGCATGAGTTTTCATCAAATATAACCATGATAATGACAAAATAATAATAAATAATTTTATGGAAGATACAGTACATAAGGCATAAATATTTTATACAATATTTTATTTATTCCAAACTGTAAAAAACAAGATAGGTTTTATGTTCCCTTTTCAAAAAGGAAACTTACAGAGGTTAAGAATTTGCCCATGATCACATGGCTAGTAAACAACTGAATGATTTTCCATCCAGTAGACTCAGAGTCCACAAATAGTTTTATTTTGTTAATATAATTACAATGTGATAACAAAATAAAACTATGAAATAACTGAAGTAACAAAAGCTGATGCTGCAAGTAAAAACTGTGTATTCTATTTTATATTGTCTCCATGTTTCCAAAAGGAATAATGCTTTACTCTTTTAATTTTGATGGTCACAATTGTAAATACAAAGAGCTCTTTGTTTATTTTCCTTCATTAAAATTTCCAAATTTTCCTTCATTAAAAAAAAAGATTATATACCTTCCCCCTCAATTTTGTACTCTTTATTTTAGTAGTTTCTCTTATTTATGCTTTGCCTGTTGGTAAACTTTATAATTTTAGGTACTGTATTTCAATGCTTATTTCCTAATATATCAATGTTACAGGTTCCCTTGACTTCATGATGTGTAAAATGAGAAAATTAGGCCCATTCTACATCTCCCCTCTACTTTTGAGCTTCTGTTAGCTCTACTTTTTACATATTTAGAGCTTAGTAGCTTGATATTCTTTTCTAGATTTCAGTTAAATCTTGTTCTCATCATTTATAATTTGAGTCTAAAATCTGATGATGATAGGTCACTAAAACTATTCTTCTTAAAGGAGAATCAAACGAAAATGAGACTGAAATGAATTTGCTTTTCTTGAATTTTATCAATTGTATACATCCTAATACTTAGCTTTCACAGTATACTTCACATACTTCCTCAAAATCAAAATTTTTTGTTAGTATGTTTTTTATAAGGAGATAATTGAATACAAAACTAACAGAATGAAACTTGATCTCTATAAATATAAATGCATTTACTATGTATAGTAAATGTAAATGCACTTTATCACATGTATCATATATTATTTATTATACATAATCTAAATCTAAATGCACTTTATCATATACATCACTTATTATATAGAGTGCATTTAGATTTATATCAAATGTGTATATATTACTTATCATAGAAGTAGCTAGCCTAATTAATAATTTAATACTTTATGTAGTATTTTATATAATGTGAGAAGTATGTTAGAATAAATAATTTTTAAAGACTTAGTTATCATAACAACTCATACTAATAGACATAGAAGACATTAAATGGCCTTTAAAACTTTCTACTGACCTGGCCATTGTCATTTTAAATATAAGAGTATAAGAATTGCTATTTTTTTATTCTTCAAGCAATGTATTCTGTATATGTTAGAGGGCATTTTCAGGACAATACCTTACAAAATGTTTACCCTCCTAAAGATGATACTTATTTCTGATTTGCTTCCAAAAAGATTTCAGTGAGCTACCATTCAACTTACGGGCAAAAGAAAATCTAGACTTATATTATCTGATATTATCTGATGTAGACAATATGATGAATTATTTTACAGGAATTATTAATTTTATTAGGTGAACCATAGATTATTCTCTTAATCTTTGGAGATTAAGATTTTCTCTTAACCTTTTCACTGATTACATTTTTTTCCTATTTTAAAACTTATAAAATAAGAAAATAGGCTGGGTGTAGTGGCTCATGCCTATAATCCTAGCATTTTGGAAGGCCAAGACTGGCAGATTGCTTGAACCCAGGAGTTCGAGATCAACCAGGGCAACATGTCAAAACCCTGTCTCTACCAAAAAAAAAAAAAAAAAAAAAAACAAAAACAAAAAAAAAAAAACCACACACACACAAATGGACTGGATATGGTGGCACTTACCTGTGGTCCCAACTACTGGGGAGGCTTAGGTGGGAGGATCACCTGAACCCAGAAGGTCAAGGCTACATCCTGCCACTGTACTCTAGCCTGGGTGCCAGGGCAAGACCCTGTCTCAACAACACACCCACCCACACACACACACACACACACACACACACACAAATAATCTTAATCTATTTGACAACAATTTTATATTTTGCAAATACTACTTATGTATGTAAAGTGTAATTATAGTGTTGAACAAATACATATTTTCAGATTCTATTTACTCATAAAATGCTAATAAATTTGTGTCTATTAAATGGACAGAAATACACCTGATTTATTTTTTATAAGAAGTCTAGCTTGAAACAAGTTTTAAAATATTATCAATTAATTGTTTACCTTGAGATATAATATGTGATCTGCTTGGTTAACTCACAAGTCTCAGGTTTAATAATAGAGAGATTTTCTTCAGTGGTGAAGTCTGGGGATTTTTTGAAACAGTAACCAGGATTAAAGATAGAAGTAATTACTTTTTTACCTGAAGATTCTATCATTTGAGACAGGCATTTTTGAGAGGTGATTTAAATAAGGAATTTGTGTAAAGCAATGATGCTGTGAAATGCTAACGTAAGTATCTGTATTTTAGTAAGCAGACAAGTAACTCTGATCCTTTTGTCAGTTCATGAGTGGGGAATTGGATTTAAAAAGAAAACTGTTAGTACACAAGTGAGATACCTTGCAGTATCTAGTCACCAAACTTTGATATTGATATTTCATAATGAGTCACCTTCCTCCTCCTAGAGAATGGAATTGGTTCTCTGAAGCACTGAAAAGAGTTCCATCAGAATAAAGCATTTTACTTACTATATGATGGAATCTGGCTTGGGTACACAAATGGCTATAATTTTTACCAACTACTTCTGAGAAAATAACATGACACAATAAAATAGAAATTTTCTTTAACTGTAATCTCAATTTGAAGGAGTAAGCTAGAGGGTAAAGAAGCAAAAATATAGTTATTGTGCTAGAATAAAGCTCTGCAACAAAGTATGTTTTAAAATCTCCAGAATCTACTGACAGAAAACACTGGTATATTTCATAAATTTTTGAAAGCTACATTAAGAATAAAAAGGCATATTTTCTTCTAAAATGCGAGAGGAGAGAAAACAAGATTTCCCTTCCAGGTACAGCACCACTTATTTATACGCCCGCTTTTATATGTTATTAATAAGTAAATTCATATTCAAATTAATGGTTGGTGTTAGTGTTAATGATGCCTCATCTTTGGATTTTGAAAATTAATATTAAATCAGTTTTTTTTGCATTTTTTCCTTTACTCTGTGTGTGTGTGTCTTTTTTCAGTAAGTATCACCTGCTCATGTGATTTAATCACTCTTTCTCTGAATGAAACTGATTGTTGATTATGTTATACAGAAGTTTCAACCAAAGGAGATATTGATGTTTTCTGTTATTTTCAAATGCTTTTGAAAAACATTTCTTAAATATTGGAAACTTTAGGTATCTGAGTGATTTCAGTTTTTTTGTTCACATTGCATTTCAGTAGCATCAGTGTTGCTTGAGAACACCTTGGAAATTCAGAATCTCAGGCCCCAGCCCATGTTAATGAATCAGGAACTGCCTGTTGACAGGTGATTGCTATGTATATTTAGATTTAGATTTGAAACACACTGATTTAAATAGTCTCTAGTTGAATTAATCACTCACATCTGAAGAAAAGGAATATCCTCCTATGTGATGTTGGCCTCACTTAAAAAAAAAAAGCAACCACTACAACAGCAAAAAACCACTGAATGGAATGGAAGAATGGAAAGTGTACACTCTTGGAAAGAGTTTTACTTTCCATTGAAAATATTCCATCAGTTTTAGATTCCTGGATAATGCCAGGAATATAAATGGAACCTTGCATTTTTTGTTATAGAAGTCAAAAAGTCTTTCTAAATTTTTAATACTGAACTACACGTGAGTGGAAACGAGTTTTTCTCTCTTACCATATATAGAAAATAAGGAGATTCAAGGATAAATAATTAATAAAAAATGCATTATTCTCTGTAGGGCTTTTATTCAGTCTCTCTCATTTCAATGATTATAAATTCATCAAAGTATACTTGGCTTTACCAATTAACTATGCAATTTGTCCATCTCTTTTATCCACATCATAATCAAGCATCCATTCCTCCAGTCCATAAGAAGCTATCGAAGGCCTGTAACAACTTGGTAGTTTGCCAGTGGGGGGTCCTAGATATCCAAATATCTCCTGTTTTGCAATTATAGGCACAGCAGGAATTTGCTATGTGCTTAAAGAATGCTGACTTATATGACTCCTTTAGGAGTCAAGAACTTAGTTTGGAAAAATGTCAAAGCTCTTTCCAGAGTTATTATACCATGTTACATTTTAAATGCTTATTCTTCATGAATATTTCTGTTAGAAAACACTCTTTTTTGGTTATAAGGTGTCACAAATTATTTGCAATGAAATCGGTTAATTTGGACAAAAATGTAGATTGTTTAATCATTAAAACTGTTCTGGCCTAAATATTGGGTCCAGTTATCTTCTTTCATATTAAGACTTAGATATCAAGAGATGAGTTAATCATACTCCCAGTTTATAGCATGTTTTTATCATTAATTTATGAAAGATCTTCTCTTATTTTTTTTATACTTTTCATTCTTAATTTCCACTATCTTTTTCATCCCCCAAATAGACATCTATTGTAAATTGCTTGATAAATGCTCTTACATATACATAAATGTTATACAATCTATAATTTTGATATTTTTTAATGTTTTAAATGTACATCAATGATATTATACCAAAAGTTCATTGTGTTTTATACTTTTTCCATGATTCTCTATATTTAGTTGTTGCTTCATCCTTTGCACATTGCCAATAGAATTCATAAATATTTTACTTATCTGTTCTCCCAGAAATGGAGATGTTTAGATTTTCTCGTAATTTATGCTGCCACAAATAACCCCAAAATTTTATTGGACTTATGCAAGAATTCACCTTAAATATTTTCCCAGCAGTGAGATTCCTGAGTTGCAGGGCACATGCATACTTAATTTCATTAAATACTCTTAGAGAATTGCTTTCCACTGTAACTGTCCTAGTTTATATTCACACCAGCAGTACCCCAAAGTTTTCTACTCTCACACTTATCTCAGCAATGGGATTAAGTATTTTTTGTAAATTTCCCATGCTATATTGTATTGTTCCTGTCTTACCTTGTACTTCTGTGTTACATGTTAGTCATTTAGGCTTCCCATTTTTTTGGATTATACATTATTATCTATCACCACTTATTTTCTATTAGGTTCCTTAATGATTCCTTATTGCTGGAGTTCTTTGTAGAGTCTAGATCTTCAGATCAGTTCTGTCCAACAGAAATATTTGCATTACCCAAAATTCTATAGCTGCACTATCCCATACTGTCACTACAAGCCACATGTGGCAGTTTAGCACCTGAAATGTAGCTAATGTGACCTCAGAACAGAATATGCAATTTAATATGTTCTAACTAATTTATATTAAAGTTTATGTAGCTACATGTGGCTACTTGTTACCATGCTTAACATGCAGCTCAAAATATTGATGCGTTGTTGGTTTTAGGTAATATATTTCTAGTTTATTTGTTGTTAATTTCAAGTTATTTTCTTTTCAACATACAGTCTTTATTTTGATGTGTTCTTGAATCTTTCACAAGAATATCATGAAAGAGGGAATGTAATTCTCAAAACATTATATCAGGAGGCACAAGATGCCACTTTGTCACATCTTTAAGTTAAAAGTGATAGTTATCCCTCCCTTAGGGTGCAGCAAACCACCATGGCACATGTGTACCTACATAACAAAACTATACATTCTGCACATGTACCACAGAACTTAGAGTATAAAAAAATTATTTTAAAAATGTGGCAGTTGACAATTTAATACTGTGAAAAGCATATGACTTCCTTTGTAAGTAATGAATATTTTTGGGCAGATATTTTGAGACCGTGTAGATTTCAATTTTATATTAAACTTCCACTCACTTATTTTAGCATCTATTAATGATCCTCGCGTGAATCAATTAATGGTTGTGAGTGATGATTTTTCCAAATCTAAAATCCTTTCCTCATTTAGTAATTTGCATTATATTATAAAAATACTTTTTATCTCCATGATTTATTTACATGCTTAAATCAATATATTCATAAATTCCTATTATATCTGATGGTTTATGTCAAATAATAACTGTTTATTTGATGCTAAACATGTCCAATATTTGGCCACTGGAAGATTCTTCAAGCTGGCTTCTATGAAGTTCTGATATGTACCATCATTCTTCACATATTTTCTTACTTGCTGTCACACATGATACTCCAGATTCATCTTTCCTTCTATGCCCTTAGCCCTAGAATCAGCTATTTCTCCAAGATGCCATGAGCCTTGACATAGGACTGAAAATCTGGGAGCTAGATGTTTTGTTTTCTACCAGAATGCCATTTCTTTTAAATCCTCTTAGTGGACAGAGCTAGAAAATGTGTATCTCTCATACACTCCTCTCTCTCTGTCTTGCTGCTGCTCCCTTTACCTTCCTTTCTCTCTCTCTCAGAAAGAGTTCATACAGATATATTCAATTCTAGTCCAACATGCAACAAAGGAGGGTTCAGTCTAGTATTTCTCATTTTCATGATTGTTTTTTGATCTGAACTGCTTTGAAAGTAATCTGTAGAATTTATCTGAAGCCTGAGGTGAAACTATCTATCACCATAGAATATTTATGATTGCTTTTGTGTATTTTACATTCCTGTTAGAAATATACATGCTTCAATTTCTCTGCATGTCAGTCTGGATGTCTCAGCTTTGAAGCCCTGACTATTCACTTAAATCCCTGGATTATGCAATTATGCAATTCAGGGATTTCATGTAAATTGAATTATGCATATTTTCATGAAAGTTATGAATGTTGAATTATGTAAGTCATATGTAAGTCATGTTGAACTGTATAACTCAACTTACATGAAAGATCAACTGACTACCTACTATTTGGCAGGCACAGAACTAGGTGTTAGGGATTTAAATGTTAAATTGTTCCTTCCTCAGCAAATTAACAGGATAGAAGAAGACCCAGGAAGATGTTTATAATGCTGATGCTGGACAGGCAAGCCCCAAAATTGGGGTTTGTACTGGGAAGGTTCTGAACTCCCCCCAGGAGAGAATTCAAGGGTGAACCAGTATTGTCAGACAGCAGCTTTTATTGAAGCAGCAGTGTAGAGCAGCAGCAGAGGTACTGGTCCTTGCAGACCAGGGCTATCCCATTGGCAGTGTGCCCAGAGTAGCAGCTCAGGGGTAGCTATGCAGTCATATTTATATCCACCTTTAACTTGCAAATTAAAGGGCAGATTATGCAGTAATTTCTAGAAAAAGGATGGTAACTTCTGGGTATCCAGTGGTTGGAAAGGGGCAGTAACTTCTGGATGTTGCCATAGCAATGGTAAACTGACAGGGCACTGGTGGGCATGTCTTATGAAGAAGTGCTTTTACCTCTTCCCTGTTTCAGCTAATTGTTAACCTGGTCCAGAGTCCAAGCCCTGCCTCCAGAGTCAAGTCCCACCTCCTACCTCAGTACTGTACTGTAATAACTATCAGAACACAAATGAGAGAGAAATAATTCATTTAGCTCAGGAAGGCATGAAAAAAAAAAAACAGAAAAAAGATGAAAAAGAGGTGACCTTAAGTGGAACCGTAAAGGACTAACAGACTCAGACACAGGTGGAGAACATTTGGTGGAAGGAAGAGCAGCAATGGAGACACAGAGTTGAAGGTTCATGGAGTGTCTGGGGACAACTGGTTTGGTGTTGCAGGCAAGTTTGTGGAAAAGCACTCAAGAAATTAAATTGGAAAGAGACCTTGACTTCAGTCTGGGAGTGTTTGTATGTCACAATAATAAATAAGATATTTGTTCTATAGACAATGGGGAACCATCAGAAGTTTTAAAGTGAAAAAGGAAATTGAATAGACTCATGCAGGCAGATTTAAATCCTAACTTTGCCACTCACTACCACTGAAACTTGAATAACTATGTTATCTCTCTGGGCCTCCTTTCCCTATCTATAAATGAGAATTAATAATACTTACTGGATTGCTGTAAAGGCTAAATCAGAAATGCCTAGCATGGTGCTTGGCACATGGTAGTTGCTTTTTAAAATTAAGTTATTTAATACCAAAGAAGTCTTTCTTGGGGAAAGAGAAAAAGGATAGATAATGAGTGCCATTATGGCAGGGCCTGTTCTTTGTTTGCTGCCTGTTACTAAAAGCAAGCAGTTTCCTAAAAAGGAGCATCCACCCAGGCCTGAAATCTGTTCGTGTTCACAAACCTAGGGGAGTTGTTTGTGCACACACCATGTTGCTGACACTGGGAATAAGTCATTACAGACAAGATACAGAATCAGTGTCTTAGAGGGAAGAGTAATAACGGAAGTTGAATTACAGTGGGACAGTGTGATTACAACTGATAAATATAACAGTAATTCTACAGAACTTTTCAAACAGTATCCTCACAGATTAGATAAACTCATTCATTATTATTTAAATATAAATATCATAGAATTGTGTTCTTAAAATCAATATGAATGCTGATCTTGGAAATAAACATAGATATTATAGGTAGATACATAGATATTATATAGAGATATAGATGCTTTGTGTGTGTGTATATATATATATATTTTTTTTTTATGATAGACTCCCTCATCTCTTGCGTGAGCATTTTTTAATAGTCTTTTCACAGCTTCCCTATTCTTAATCTCTCTTTATATTGATATGGTTATCAATATAAATAACTGCAATCTCCTTAGCGTGCCATATGCTTTGTGATTGTGCCTTTACCCCTCTCTCTATTCTTATCTCTTACATACCCTGCATAATACTTTAAGCACTGATAATATCAAACTGCTTTTGTTCCCTGACTGCATCAAGTTTTTTTCAAGCCTTTGTGACTATGTACATGGTGTGTCTTCTTGCTGGAAATCTGTTCACACATTGCTTTTCTTGGATAATTACTACTGCTTCTTCGCAGATCAGTTCAGTAGTCATACTCTTCAGAAGCCTTCCTTGACCCTCCTGTGCTGCAATGAATCCTATGAAGTCTTTACCATAGCGCTTACATTACTTATATTACTAGGTGGACAGCATCTATTTATATGAGTATCTTACTAGGTCTTATGTTTCTTGATACCAGGAAGAAACATGCGTCCTTATTATTCCTCCTCATAAACTCAGAATCTGGTATAGTGATTGGTAAACAGTAGGTTAGACAAAGAAGAGAGTGGCCACCTCTCTTCAGGCTAATTTAGCCCCCAAATTATGGCATATTTTCTAGCGTTAATTTTACTTATTTTAATGTTTGCTATAGTAACATTAGATATGATGGCTTCTTTAACTTTAGCAAGAGTATGGATAAAATTCTCAAGTATATTTTCAGACTTCTATGATTTTTAAGTCTGTTTATTTGTTTATAATACCTCGATATTTTAAAGAAAAATTAAAATCACTTATGGCACATACTGATAGAGTAAGAGGCATAATTGCAGCAGTGATTTTTTCCTAAAGACAAAGAAAGAAATAGAATAAC
Organism: Homo sapiens; assembly: GCF_000001405.40. Classification (NCBI taxonomy): domain Eukaryota; kingdom Metazoa; phylum Chordata; class Mammalia; order Primates; family Hominidae; genus Homo; species Homo sapiens. The sequence continues at coordinate 184,837,604 of NC_000002.12, forward strand.
AGCACTTTTTTACAGAAATATTTAATAATCTTAAAAGGTATAAATTTGAAAAACAAACATGATATGAAGAAAAATATTATGATCTATCATTTTATTTAGTATTTACTTATAGATGCTTAATTTTATTTGAATGTGATTTCTTCACTGGAATAAGCTCGTGTATGAAGGCTCACTGAGCATATTCTACAAGATATACAAGCATTTCTCCACTTATGAGGATGCCTGGCATGAACAGCTCTGCCCTCATCCACTGCCAGTGGAAGCCTTCTCAGTGGCTTTGGTCATAACAAGATTTATTAGCCTTAGTATGATCACCATAGCCTTTGGGAGCTTGCCTTGAGAGAAACAGCAGGAAAAAAGGCAGTTTACCTTGCTCAGTGGTCAGAGGAGCCCCAGCAGCAGAAATTTCTGAAGGCAGGACCTGGTAGCCCAGAAAAAGAGAGAACATGCAGGAGTGCACGTGGGAGCCTCTCTCAGGGGATATTTGCAGGGTGTTGGGACTACTGAAATAGCAGGTTGGAGTTTAAGACAGAGAATTTTTTTTTATTGTTCTTATGATTCTATATTAAATTCTAGAGTTCAGCAGCTTGGGCAATCATGGATTGTGTTCATTTTTATTATTAGAACCCATTATTATCAGCTTCAATCAAGACAGCATAGCATTAAAACTAGACTACTTATCTTCAAATCTAGATAGATTCTGCCACCAAAGCTGTTTGATCTCGGGCAGGTTAAACTGTCTGTGCCTCAGTGCACTCATATCTAAAATGACAACAATAATAGGAACCAATGTTATGAAGTTGTTATGAGAAGTGAGATCCTTAGAAACTGACCCTGGCAAGTAGTAGATGACACATAAATATTCAATATTATTAATATTGTGATTATTCTATAGAGATTTCTAGGAAATTTCTTTATTTTGCTAATTAAACTTTTCTTTGAGAAAGTCAGATCAACATAGAGAATAACCCAGAATTAGTAAGACATTAAATATTCATATTTTTATTAAATACAATCTGTACCATTTTAATATTTTTCTGTGTATGCCTTATTTAAAATAGCTTGTGCTAATGTGAATAAGAGCCACACAGAAAGTTGTATCAAAGTATAGCCATAACAGAAGCTATGTATAGCCATAACAGAAAAGGGACAATTTTATATTAAAAACCAGAAGCATTATCTATACTATAGAAAAAAAAATTCAATATCAGCCCGGCAGTGCTCTATTTGTTCTTACAATGCATGCATATGATATTGCCTACAAATTGATTATATAGAAAACATTGTTTTCATAAGGTTTTTCTCTGTGTTAGAAAACTGAATGATAATACTTTATCCATTGATATGATAGAATCTACCTAGGCTAAAAGTTGTGTGTTGGTTACATGGTCATTACCTTTCCCAATGTCCAGAGAATTGAACATTGAAATCTGATATAGTCTTCATTATATTATTCAAACTAACATTCTCATATTTTTTGTATACATGTTCATGACGTACTTTAAGAAGTACTTTGAAAGACAAAGAAAAATGTAAACCTAACCTAAACTGCCACAATTCCAAAGCACAAATAAAGCACTATAAACAAATTGCTATAGACATCTATGTATGTGTGTATGTAATTTAAACAAATGATGTCATGCTACATGTATACATGCCAATAAATAAATGTATATTATTATTTTAATAGCTACAAAGTATTTTATTACATTAGAGTATCATATCATTACATTAAAATTAAGTTTATTAAGTTTTTGGGGATTCGTATGCAATTTAAAAATCTGGACTCCTGTGCAAAGTTATACATTCTCAGATTTTTAAAATAGTGTTATTAATTTAACATGTATTTCCTAAAGTAAAATATTAACTCACAGCTGAAAAATTATATTTCTTTATCAATAGGATACTCATTGTTGATTTATAGGTGTTTTGTAGTACAAAGAAACTATAAACAGGTTGCCCTCTCTTTCAAGAAAGGCCATAGCATAAAATAATTTTGGCAGTACAAAAGAAAAAAATGTAGTGTCCAGAATTGAACTTACACTTTAAAAAGTGTTCAGTAGCCTCATTATCCTGAGTAATTAATTCACGATGTAAGAATACATTTAATAAGATTTCTCTTAACAGAATGTTTACTACATATAAATAATTCCATAGGAAAAAATATAATGAAATGAAAACTTTGTTCTGTAAAAGTTAAAGAATTTTGAGGTTATTTTTTCATTTTTGATTAATTAACATTTATCAGTTCTCAATAAATCTCTTTTAAAGGTGGCCTGACCTGAGTTATTTGTTTTTAAAAAAATAGAATAAGGGACCATAACCGACCCCTTCAACTTGGATTGAGGTGTCCATGAACTTAATATCTAAGTCTGCCTGCACAATTGCTAATTCATCCTAATAAGAATTTTTTAATTATTGGAATAGACTCTTTAGATAAACCCATTGAAAGCTACTTCTCTAAGCTATGAATGGAACTTTGTTTTAGCTTCACCTAGGCTCATGGCCATCGTGGTGGTTCACACCTGTAATCCCAGCACTTTGGGAGGCCAAGGTGGGAGGATCACCTGAGGTCAGGAGTTCGAGTCCAGCCTGACCAACATGGTGAAACCTCATCTCCACTAAAAAACACAAAAATTACCTGGACATGGTGGCACCCACCTGTAATTTCAGCTACTCAGGAGGCAGAAGAATCGCTTGAACCTGGGAGGCGGATGATGCAGCGAGCTGAGATCATGCCACTGCATCCCAGCTTGGGCAACAGAGTGAGACTCTGTCTCAAAACAAAAAAAAAAGTCAATGAGACTCAAATCTTAACTATTTTCTTGTTATTCTCTGCAAAAATCAGTTTAAAATCAAACTTTTGTTTCCAGTGTTCAAGAAATAACATGTTAAAAGCTGAATTGAAATTGATATTCTAAATTAGAAATGTCATTTTTAATTAATTCAAACGTCATATGCTGTGTGCTCTCTAATTTTTTCAGTATCATGGAAAGATTCTTTCTTTTAGTAAAAGCAAAACAAAACAGAAATATTTACTGACCCCCTTATTTACATATGGCAAGAAACCCAGCAACCAATTTCTCCCTTCCAAAATATACACGCCCGCTAACAAAACTAAAGGAAAATTTATTTCTCTCAGTCATCTCTTATTCAGCTTAAGAATTAAATTAAATTGTTTAATAAGAATTAAATGGTTATTCTTAACTTCCTTCTCTAACCACTCTTTTCTTCTCTGACCTTGTATCTACTCAAACATAGACCCTAGGTATCGACTTTTTGCTTTACCCCTGAAACACCACCATTTCTTGACCATATTCAGTTGAATTTTACTTAACATTAGGAGAAATTAAGACGTTTCGCCATAATGCTGCAAGCGAACAATGGAAATTCAGTGAGTTTTTCAGATTCATGAAGGTTTTCAGTTATCTTTGCCTCATGATTTTCTCTCTGTACGTGTTTTCCCTTTGAACTTTGTTATCCAGTCATCTGGGTGTAATTCCTGCACTATCTTTCACGTTTTTGTCATATGTCCCTGTATGTCTTCTTTATACAAGCCCTAGAAATGTGAAATCTCTCCATTTCTTTGGGAAAAGCAGTTCATTCCTGATTTGTTCTCATCCTAACTCACTCCAATTACAGGAAAAGGAATAGTGGTGGAAGATACTTCTACTTTCACCACAAGTAGGCTATCAAAATATCTTCTAACTAAATATTTTTGTTACTAAACAGAATTTCAAAACCATCTTTTAAAATGATATTTGCAGGCTACATTTTGATTAGAGTTTAATTACAGCTACATCTTATAAATATTTTAAAACCTCATAGTGTTTCCATTATCTAATTAATGCCACTGTGATTGTGGCATGACACATTATATTCATGAATGGGTTTTTAACAATTTATAATGACTAGTAAAACAGCATTACTAATCTACTCCTTAAGCTTGGTTTAGTTTTATTGTAATATTTGTATAGTCTTATATAAATGTTACTATTTAATGTATCACCTTCTTAAATACACTGGCTGACCAGTAATAATACATTTAAATTAAAAGATGGGATTAAGTGTTTTATATTATCATATGCTTACATTTTAATTTAATTTACATTTTAAAAAATACTTCATCCTTAAATGTTTAATTTATATTAAAATCTGTGTTTCAGATATATCTTTTTGCTGTGTCAATTTTTTTTAGGGTACTATTTACTCTTCTTGAGAGCAATGTCAGGCAGAGACAGAGGGTTAGCAGATAGCTCAGCAAGAGTCAACTAAGTGTCAAACTTCACCATTACATGGTATAAGACCCCAGGCAAATAATCCTTCCCCTTCGTGTCTTGTTTTTATCATATGTAAAATGGGGCTAATAATATTTGTCTGAGGGTTAATATTGTCAAAGCTGAGATAATTTGAATGTAGTGCTTTTTTGTAGCATCAATAAATATTAATGTCCTTCCCTTACTCATTGTATCTTCTCCATCCAATTTTTAGTTGTAAATTTTTCAAGTTAAAATGCTTCTCTTTTCAAAATATCCCTTTTCTTTTGGATATCTGAACATGTGATTATTTCCAAATGGGATTTCCCTGCTGTGCTAACAATGTGTCAAGTGCACAGACTATCACTCCCATTTGGAGTTCAAGACAAAGCAGAATTAACCACAGGGGCAGAGCCTGCTGGCGCTGATGAGAGGGACAGCATGTCTCTATATATTGTTCCTCTTATTATGGAAGCTATGGTTGCATGATGATCTTTCAAAGCATCTGGGGAACCCCTGTGATGTGACACCTACAGTGTCATGCTTGCTTTTTGAGAAAATATTTTCTAAAAATTCACAAAGCTAGAAGTTTTGAGAACTATTATTTTACCTTATTTTGTCCTCAGCAAGGTGATTTCCTTTTGGAGCTGGGATTTTTTTTTTTAAAAAAAAAGGAAATTTATGATTTTAGGAAATAGTAGAACTAGTATAAAATTAATTTGGAATTCATTTTCTTTTTAAAATCTGTATTTGACTTTTTGATCTGTCTTATTCTATGTTTAAAATACATAACAATGAAAAAATAATAAGAAATGACCTATAGAAAAGCATTATAATTGCATGAAATTAGATTTGAGTGAGGCTAGAAAATATTAAACAATTCACATATAAGCTCTGGGAAATTTTAGTCTTGATAGAAAAAATAAATAAATAAAACACCTCAAGATCAGTTTCACAGATTTAACAGAGTAGTCATTTCCAGGATCATCGACAAACTGTAAATATAGTTTCTAGAAGAGGAGGATAATTCAGACAGTGAGCACCATAATGGTAGAGGTGAGGTTGCTTTATGAAAAGTTACTGTTTCTACTAAGGGATACTCCCAGAGTCCACAGATTCTGGTGAGCTCATGTCTTGCCCTTTACTTAAAACCCCTGCTTTGGGTTAGTTCAGTCAGAATAGCAGATGCTCTTGGTTTCCCATTCATACTCACAAGCAATTATCATGTCCATGTATATAGTCCTGGCCTCCAGCTGCTATCACCTGAACTCTTTTCGTGGGAACTTTCTTTGAGCACAAGAGATCACTCCATCCTTGAGTGTGAAAAACCCAAAAGTTCCAGGTGCAAATGCCCACTGCAAACTGCCATCAACACTTTTTTTAAAGTTAAATTAAATTACATTTTATTTATTTATTTTTTTGAAACAGAGTCTCACTCTGTTGCCCAGGCTGGAGTACAGTGGCATGATCTTGGCTCACTGAAACCTCTGCCTCCTGAGTTCAAGCGATTCTCCTGCCTCAGCCTCCTGAGTAGCTGGGACTACAGGCACCTGCCACCATGCCCGGCTAATTTTTTTTTTGTGTGTGTGTTTTTAGTAGAGATGGGGTTTCACCATGTTGGCCAGGCTGGTCTCAAACTCCTGACCTCAGGTGATCCACCCACCTCAGCCTCCCAAAGTGCTGGGATTACAGGCGTGAGCCACCACACTTGGCCCTGCCATCAACCTTTAGAGGAATTTGTTGGGTAAGTTACATAACTCCCTTGTGCATGGATCCTAAAACACTGAAATTTGTGTTCTCCATGAAGTTCCAGAGTTTTCAGCATAGACAAGCTTTTTCTACCATCTCTAGTAACGGTAACACAGTCTTTAATGGCTTTTGTCTTTTTAGTTTTAACCTATCTGATTATGTATATTTAAAGTGGTTTGCTGTAGACAAAAATAGTTAGTCTGGCTTTTTTAACTCACTCTGACAATTGTCACCTTTTAATTGGTATAATTAGGCCCTTCAGTTTTAAAGTGATTATTGGTATAGTTGGAGTAATATCTACCATGTTTTTAATGTTTTGTATTTGTTGTATTTTTTCTTTGTTTCTCTCCTCCCCATTTTTTCTGCCTTCTGTGGTTTTAATTGAGCAATTAAATGATTCAATTTTATCTTCTCTTTCAGGGCATCAATTATACTTCTTAATACTCTTTAGTGGTTGATTTAGAGTTTACAATGTACATTTTTACTAATCTAAGTCCACCATGATACAACACTATAATAGTTCATATGTAGTGTGGATACCTTGCAAGAGAGTATTCCTAATTATACCCCCCCCCATTTCTTCTTAAATTGCTGTGATTCATTTCATTTATACATATGATATAATCAGCCACTTCATTTTCAGTATTATTGCTTAAAACAAAGTTAATTTTTGGATCAATTAAGATTCTGAAAAAATAAAATATACCACTTAACCTTCATTTATTCCTTCTACAACACTTCTTACATCATTTTCTTCCTGAAAAGCTTCTTTTAATAGTTTTTGCAGGGCACATTTGTTGGTGATGAATTTGGCAGTTTTTGCTTGTCTGAGAAAGTCTATTTCTGTTTCACTTTTGAGAAATAATTTCACTGGTTATAGAATTCTAGGTTGTTGTTTTTTCTTTCAATATTTCATTTTATTCTCTTCTTTCTTGCATGATTTCTGATGAGAAGTCTATTGTAATTCTTATCCTTACTTCTCCATAGGTAACACTTTTTTTTTTTCCTTTAAAACATATAAATTCAAGACTTTTCTCTTGGGTTTTCTGCTGTTTGATTCTGATATGCTTATGTGTTTGTTGTTGCTGTGTTCTTATTTATTTTGTTTGGTTTTCTCTAAACTTCCTGGATCTATGGTTTGGTACCTGTTACTAATTTGGGGAAGTCCGCAGCCATTGTTACTTCATCTATTTCTTCTACTCCACTTCTCTCTCTCTCCAGCTTTTGATATTCTAAATATACATATGTTACACCCTTTGATATTATTTCAAGTTATTAGATGTTTTGTTCTGCTTATTTGCTTCTTTCCTTCATTTTCTCCTTCCTTCCTTCCTTTTTAGTTTTTCTTTGCATTTCAGTTTGTTCAGATTCTATTGGCACATGGTCAATGGATAAGTCTGTTGAAGACATTTTTCATTTAAGGTATATTTAATTTCTAATATTTTATTTTTATTTATTCTTAGCATTCCTGTCTCTTTGTTTATATAACTTGTGTATTCTTGCATTGTGTCTACTTTTTCCTTTAGAAAACTTAACATATTAATCATAGTTACATTAAATTTTCTCTTTGATAATTCCAACATTTGTGTAATGTCTGAGCCTTGTTATGATGTTTAATTTTTTTCTTCAGACTGTTTTTTCCTTAACTGTTAGTGTGCTTTTTCTTAAAAGCTGGAAATGTATCAGGTAGTAGGAACTGAGATAAATAGACCTTCAGTCTTTGATAAAGATTAAACATTAGCCTCTTAATGTCTCTATCTCTCAGTGCTATGACTGTAATAATTGTTTCTTCTGTGATATAGAATTTTTTTCTTTCTCCCCCAGGCCTTTATTCCATTTTTGGCTACAGAGTTTCCTGTCAGTTTTCTTGAAGCCCTGAGCTCTGTTGACAATGTTGCCCACACTTCCCCAACTTGGGTGAGACAGAAAGGCTATGGGGTCTGGACTGGTAATAAATTCCTTCCCCTGGCTGGAACAAAGTAATTGAATTGAGCTATGGAAAACCTTTACCTCTTGGAACCAGGCCTTTATTAATAGAGAAGGCTATTGGCTTATTTCACATTAGTTACTACTCCCATTCACATGCCAAGGACATGAGAGACTCTTTCTCAGATCATCATCATGAGAATGTGGTAGGGCTTATGAAAGGAATGCCCACAAAATTGTTTGGGGGTGTCCCTCTAAGATTGCAGCCATCAAGAGTTTCTGTATATTACACAGAAATTTCTGTATATTGGGCCACGGTCAGCCTATAGCATTTCACCAAAGTTAACATTTAAGAGTTCCTACCAGTTCATGACTCCAGCAGCTTCTGCTCCAGATGAACAGTTCTTAGTTTCTGTATCTCTCTGAATGTGATTGTTTCTCTGGATTTTAAGATGGTATTTTACCCCATGATCTCTGTTCTCCAATAATACTAAGACAAATAATTGATTTTCAGGTTTCATAGATTTTCTTTTATTAGGACAGATGTGTGGACTCTCAAGCTTCGTATGTGTCAGAGCTGAAACCAGAGGTCTTTATAAGCTTCCTACTCTCTCTCACTTTGTACTCTTCTACCAGTGTTTCCTGAAATCTCAAAGCACTCATGTGTTTAAAATAAGCCACTTAAGGTATTTGTCTCAGTGTGTATTTCTGACAGGACCACCAGTGAGACAACTTACTATGTAAACCATCCTGCCTTACCCAAGACTACTGTGAAAACTGAGCTAGTAATACATACGCAGCAGATCATTATATGCCTTTTTTCTACCTTTCAGAGAAAATGGCCAATGCCTATACATATAAGAGATTTCTAAGTTGAAATAAGTACCCTCAATTACTATCACTTATAATCTACAGTGAGACTCTTTGCAGAATCTACTTATATAAAATTTTCATATTAAAAAATTATATGTATGGATTTTATATATATGCACTAGAATACAACATACCTCAGCTAGTATTTAGTTTTAGAAAACCTGATGTACATGTTCTTGTTTGCCTTAAGAGATTAAATTCCCCCGACAGCCCTGATTATGCACAGAGAGACTGCAGGGTGATGTTAAGTTTCAGTCAACTATTAAAATATACTATCCTTCAGATTTTTCCAAACATGAAGGTGACTAATCTAACTCGGTGTTTTGATGACTTGTCCAATTGTACTAATTACTAGTTTAAATTACCCAGAGAGTCTAATAAGTACTGGTCACAGGCTACTTCTTCCATTAGAGTCCAGCGATGAAAAATAAAACAGATGCCCCAATGAGGCATTGTCTTGATGATAAGTATAGCTAAGTAGAATGGCCAAACCTTTACTGTGACAGCTGAGGCTTATGGGAACTATCCTTCTTGTACATGAACAGATTCTAAGGTTAGAAACCATGCTGTTGGTCCAATAGTTTTTATCAGCTAAATAATCACAGAAGAGAAATAGTTAAAACCTATGAATGTACCTCTTTCCTTGAAACTAATTCTTAAAGGAGATATCACTTTTCAGAAAGAATTTTTCTTGTTCCAGTTCTCAGAAATGTGAACATTAACGTATCTTTCTTTATTACTGTTGAGTTGTACTCAATTTAGCTCGCCAGAGGAATCTATAGAGATATGATATTCAATACACAGCCTTTTTAGTATTCAGTCTCTGCCTTTACCTTTGATGATGGTGTAGATGAGTTTGCATTTCTGTGGAATCTTTTTTAAAGACCTTACATCTAAATGCGTGTTTTTAGTAAAATTCTGTTCAGTATATCTGTGACTTTTGATAAAATTGTGACTTTCTAACTCAATTGTTATTTGTCCCTTTTATATTCTTCAAAATCATCTTATGATCCATTCTTCAGCCTTTGAGATAATAGAACCTGACCTTTCAGAGCAGAATGACATTTATAATGAGACAACAGCAAAGCTTTTTATCACCCAGAAACAGTCGCCCTCTTGCCAAACAGGGAAAAGATTTCAACAAGATAAAGACTAGCATTAGTACTGCCAGGATGTATTTCTACAACAACACTTCAGACACCACATACGTGGGTATTTTTTCCTCACACTAATTAATCCTCCAAATCTCTGGACACCAACTGGGTTAATGTCAGACTCCACAGGTTAAAGTCTGAGTCCCATAAGACTGTTCCCATTTTCAATGTCAGTCTCAAGTCCAGATCACCTGTACTTCTGACCATTGGCTCTAAATTGGGAGTTTCTAAGACCCCCTCCTCAGGTTTGGTAATTTTCAAAAATGACTCAGAGAACTCAGGCAAATAATTTATTCATTATTACTAGTTCATTGCAAAGGATAAAACTCAGGAACAGCCAGATTGGAGAGATGCACAGGGCAAAGTATGGGGAAGGGTTGTGGAGCTTCCTTGCCCTCTGTAGGTGCACCACATTTCCAGCACCTCTGTTTTCCATAGTTTAGGGATTTTTTAATGGAGGTTTCAATGTGTGGACATTAATTATAACGTCATTAGCCATTGATGATTGACTCAATCTTCAGCCCTTCTCTCCCTGTTAGAGGTTTGGGAGTGAGATCGAAAGTTCCAACCTTCTAATCATGTCTTGGACTTTCTAGTGACCAACTCCCATCCTGAAGCTATTCAGGAGCACCCAGCCACCAATCATCTCATTAGCATAAAAAAGGCACTAATCACTTGGGAGAATCCAAACATTTTTAGCAGCTCTGTGCCAGGAACAAGGGATAAAGCCCAATTATGTACTTCTTATATCACAATATGATAACCACTTTTTCCACATGCTTATGTTGTACTCTGTCTCTCCCTCATTGTTAATATAGCTATGAGACTCCAATGCCCAAAGGTATTCTATCACTGTTTCTTCCTGAATAAATTTTCTCTTTATATTAAAAGGAAAGATATAAGAGGGAAATAAAACAAAGATTAAAAAGTATTTCTCTTCTAGAAAAATGATAACAGAAGTAGAGAAAATAGCATTTTTAACAGAGATCTGCAAGAAGTGAACAAGTGTGTTATGCAAACATCTGTTATAAGAACATTCTAGGAAGAATAAATAACAAGTCCAAGTGTCAAAGTGGGCATATAGTTATGAAAGCTTCAGAAACTTTAAGACAATCAGGGTGGTTAAGTGAGGTAGAGAGCATGATAGAAGATGATGACACAGCTGTAGCTAGGAACCAGGTAGCATAAAACCTGTAAAGACTTTGTAAGGGTATTTATGCTAATAATTGTGAGGAATTATTGGAACAATTTTAACTGAGGAATGATAACATCTTAAATTCTAGAAAACATAGCTTCACAGCAAGATATTCATAGAAAATAACAAAAACCTTATAATCTTAGCCCAGTGCTTCTTGAAAGTAAAGCCTAGGACAAAGGCTTGTGTGTAGATAATTTATTTGAGAAGTGATCCCAGAAAGCAGAAATGGAGTTCTAGAAAAGTAGAAAAGGTAAAAAAGGAAAACAAATATACTGCTATATTGTTTGCCACTATTACAACTAACTGGTGCTCCATCTCACTGTGACCCTCTTTAAAATCTTAGAAATGTATCTTCAAAATGCCTGCCTGTGAAATAAAAGAGAAAATAATTTACACTTGAGCCCTCACCAGCCACAGTGGTCAAGGGTGGACCCATGTGGTATTAATTTCTCAGAATTTTGGGTTGTTAATTTATCAGTATGGAGCGGGATTTTGCAAGCTCCCATACCATGAGTTATAGTAGCCCCTGGACAGGAAGTGAAAGATGCTTCAGCATAGGCTGAGGCATAACGCAGTCAGAAAGGTGACAAAAGCAAACTTTGGGGAAATGACAGTCTCTTAAGTAAGTGCTGCTGGGAAAAATGGATATCTATATGGAAGAATGGAAAGAGACTGCTAATAATGCAGAAGAATGGAACTAGGCTGCTAGTATTATATGAAAAAATGCTCAATGCCACTAAACATCAGAGAACTGTAAATCAAAACCACAAGGAGATACCATCTTTCCCCAGTTAAAATGGATTCCATCCAAAAGATAGGCAATAATGAATATTGGCAAGGATGTAGAGAAAGGGGAATCCTCATATACCATAGGTAGGAATGTAAATTAGTACAGTCACTATGGAGGATAGTATTGAAGTGCTTCATAAAGCTAAAAATAGAACTACCATATGATTCAGCAATCCCAGTGCTAGGAAATTAGTATATTGAGGAGATATCTGCACTCCTATGCTTATTGCATCACTATTCACAATAGCAAAGGTTTGGAATCAACTTAAGTGTCCATCAACAGATGAATGGATAAAGAAAATGGGGTTCATATGCACAATGGAATATTTTTCAGCCATAAAAGGAAATGAAATCCTGTCATTTGAGACATCATGGATGTAACTGGAGGTCATTATGTTAAGTGAAATACGGGAGGCACGGAAAGAGAAATTGTGTATGTTCTCACTCATATGTAGAACCTAAAAATTAAAACAATTGAACTCATGAAGATAGAGTAGAATGATGGTTACCAGCAGCAGGGAAGGGTAGTAGGGAGTGGGGGTAAAAAGTGAGGATGGTTAATGGGTGCAAAAATGTAATTAAAATGAATAAGATCTAACATTTGATAGCACAACAGGATGACTACAGCCAGCAATAATTTACTGTATGTTTTAAAATAATTAAAAGAGTGGAATTAGAAGGTTCCTAACACAAAGAAATGATGAATGCTTGAGGTGATGGATACTCCAATGACCCTGATGTGTTTGTTAGACATTATATGCCTATATCAAAACATCATGTGTACCCATAATAATTAAAAATTAATTTAAAAATGCAGTCAAGTAGTACTACATGAAGCTGCTGGAAACTGGCTGACTCAATCAGTTAAGCAACGAGTAGAATAAAAGATATGTACTATTGCATAGGAAGTATAGATTATGGATTTCCAGATGAATTTATTCTGTCTGGAAATATTCTTCCAGAAGAGAACAATTTTCCCCTCTCTCCCTTGATGAATCTTTTTTGTATAATCAGAATTTAGCAAATGATGTTTTTCTCTTTCTTTCTTTTTTTTTTAACTTTCTCTCTTAAGAACTTATAATGAAATTTACACTACATATAAATTTCATTTCAAAATGATAAAAGCAAAGATGCTTTTTATCCTTGAAGGAGCAGTAGGGAAGAGAGAGAGAGTGATTTTCCAAAGCATTTTAAATGTTAATTAGATACAAATGTTATTTTTCAACATTTAAAATAATTATATATTAACAGTTCCCAATCTATTTATATCTTTGCAATTTTAACTTATTTAAATGGGATATTTCTAGTAGAAATGCAAGGATGTATGTGATTACAACTACTATTCATCAATGGTAATTTGTACATTAGCTTGGTATGAGCTACAAAGGTGTCCCTGAAATGACTGGGTACCACACTCCCAACCATGAGCGGTTATTTTAATAATATATGAATCTAGTACTTCTAATTTCTGTTCTGTTTGCTTTTTTACACATTTTCTTTTATAAAATTTATTTTTAATTGGCAGCTTTTATGTATTTACCATGAACAATATGTTGTTTTGAAACATGTATGTATTGTAGAATGTCTCAATCAAGCTAATTAATATATGCATTACCTCATATACTTTTAATTTGTTTGTGGAGAGAGCACGTAAAATCTACCCTCTTAGCAGTTTTTGAGAATGCAATACATTGTTATTAAGTATAGTCACCATATTGTGAAACTAGATCTATTGAACTTATTCTTCCTAACTGAAATTTTGTATTATTTGACGAACATCTCTCCATACCCTCAACCCCTACCCCTATACCCTGGGAACCACCATTCTCTTTCTGCTTCTGAGTTCAATGTTTTTAGGTTCCACGTATACGTGACATAATGTGGTATTTGTCTTTTTGTACCTGACTTATTTCACTTAACGTAATGTCCTCCAGGTTTATTTATGTTGTCATAAATGACAGGACTTTCTTCTCTTTAAAGAGTGATAGCATTCCACTGCGCATATATACACAACACATTGTCTTTATCTCTTCATGCATCTATGGAGGTTTAGGCTGATTCCATACCTTTGCTACTGTGAATAATGCCACAATAAATATTGAAGTACAGATATTTCTTCAACATACCAATTTCATTTCTTTTGGATATATTCCTAGCAGTGGGATTGCTGGATCATATGGTAGTTCTATTTTTTAATGTTTGAGGAATCTCCATATTGTTTTGCATAATGGCTTGCTAATTTACATACCCACCAACAGAACACAAGGGCTCCATTTCTCTACATACTTGTCAACACTTGCTATCTTTTGTGTTTTGCTAACAGACATCCTAACAGGTTTGAGGTGGTATCTCATCGTGGTTTTACTTTGCATTTCTCTGATGATTAGTGATACTGAGCATTTTGTTTCATATATCTTTGGGGCATTCGTATGTCTTCTTCTGAAAAATGTCTATTCAGGTCCTTTGCCCATTTTTAATCAGGTTATTTGTTTTCTTAGTCTTTAGTCATTTGAATTTCTTATCAATTTTGGTTATTAAACCTTATCAAATTTATGATTGAAAATACAGTAGTCACCTGCTTATCTGTGGAGGATATTTTCCAAGATCTACAGTGGATGCTTGAAATCACAAATAGTACTGATAATATACTGAATATAAAAGTTATGTGAATGCGGTCTCTTTCTCTCTCTCTCTCTCTCTCTCTCTCTCTCTCTATCTCTCAGAATATCCGATTGTACTGCATTCACCTATTTTTTGGATGGTTGACCATCAGTAACTGAAACTACTGAAAGCAAAACTATGGATAAAAGGGGGCTACTGTATTTTTCCTGTCCTGTTGGTTGTCTCTTCATCCTATTAATTGTTTCCTTGACTGTGCAGAGCTTTATACTTTGAGGTTATCTCATTTGACTATGCTTTTTTTTTTTTTTTTTTGGCCTGTGCTTTTGGAGTCACTGCCAAAAATATATTGCCAGACTAATGTCATAGAGATCTCCCACCGGCTTTTTTTGTTTTTAGCAGTTTTACAGTGTCAGGGCTTATGCTTAAGTCTTTTATCAATTTTGAGTTGGTTTTTGTATATGATGTGAAACAAAAGTCAAATTTTATTCTGCATGTGGATATTTAGTTGTCCCAATATCATTTATTGAACAGACTATCCTTTCCCCATTGTGTGTACTTGGCAGCTTTGCCAAAAATGCATTGACTGTAAATGTGTATATTTATTTCTGAACTCTCCATTCTGATCCATTGGTCTATGTGTCTTTTATAATGTTAACAACATGTTGGTTGCTATATCTTTGTGGCATATTTTGAAATTAATTAGTGTGATGCCTCCATCTTTGTTCTCTCTATTCAAGGTTGCTTTGACTATTTGGACTCTTTTTTGGTTTCATATAAATTTAGGATTTTTTTTCTATTTCTGTGAAAAATGTCATTGGAATTGTATAATAGAGGTGCCATTTAATCTGTAGATCACTTTGCCTAGGATGAATATTTTAAAGTATTAATCCTTCCAATCCATGAACACAGAATATCTTTCCATTTATTTATGTCATTCAATTTCTTTCATCAGTGCTTTAAAGAGTGTACAGGTTATTCACATCCTTGGTTAAATTTATGCCCATTATTTTTGTACTTATTTTAAATGAAATTGTTTTCTTACTTTCTGTGTTGGATTGTTCATTATTATTTTATAGAAACATTAGTGATTTTTTATATGTTGATTGCATATACTACAACTTTAGTGAATTTATGTATTAGTTCTAACAGAACTTTGGTGGAATCTTTAGGGTTATCTCTATATAAGATTATTTTATTTGAAAACAAGGAACTTTGACTTCATCTCTTGCCTAATTGTATGGATAGGACTTCCAATACTATGTTGAACAGTTGTGGTAGGAATCAGCATTCATGTCTTTTTTTCTGATATCAGAGGAAAAGCTTTGAACTTTTTACCATTGAGTATGATGTTAGCTTTGAGTTTGTCATACATGGCCTTCATTGTGTTAATGCATATTCCTTCTATATCTAATTTTTGAGAGCATTTATCATGAGAGGATGTTGAGTTTAGTTAAATTTTTTTCTGCATCTATTGAAATGATCATACGGTTTTTGACCTTCTTTCTATTAATATGGTGTGTCATATTTATAGATTTTTGTATGCTGAACCATTCTTGCATCCCCAATATAAATCTCAACTGATCTTGGTAAATAATGATTTTAATGTGCTGTTGAATTTTGTTTGCTAGTACTTTATGCTGAGGATTTTTCCACCAAAAAAAATTGATATTACAGGGATAGTAACCTTAATTTTGTTTCTTTTTTTTTTTTTTTGGCAGTATCCTTGTCTGATTTTCATATCAGAGTAAAGCTGGCCTCATAAAATGAGTTTGAAGTATTTCCTCTTCTTCAACTTTTTGGGAGAGTTTGAGAAGGATTGGTATTAGCCTTAAATGTTTGGTAGAATTCAGCAGTAAAGCCATCAGGTCCTGGGCTTTTCTTTGATGGGAGACTTCTTATTTAATCCTTGTTAGTAACGATTTGATCTTCCTACTCATTATTGGCCTGTTCAGAGTTTCTATTACAGGTGGAGTGTCCCTAATACAAAAATCTGAAATCTGAAATGCTCCAAAATCTGAAAATTTTTAGAGCTGATATGATGCCACAAGTGGAAAATTCTATACCTGACCTCATGTGATGGATCACAGTCAAAATACAGGCACACTACACAATTTATTCAACATCCCCCAGGAAAAAACATCCAGCTTCTTGCAGCTGTGAAATAACTTTTCCACACTTGCTCAGATTCCCCCATGCAAGTATTCCCACATAGGGTAATAAAATGATATGCATGCAGGCCAGATATGCCAACAACAAGTTCCCTGTGATGCCTCATACAGGGTAAAGTTCGATGTGCATTACCCACTGTATTTTTGCTTATTCACTACCCTGTGGTGTAAAAATATTGCTGAAAATGTCAAAAGGACCTACAGATTTTTCTATAGTTAACAGTTGTAAGAATAAAAGCATTCATGTTCATCTGTAGCACAAAAAGTCAAACTGAACAATAATGTGTGTAATGTCTTACAGAAGAGTATGATGTTGGAATGACCTCTTTATAAAACCTGAAGAAAGAGAAGGATAAACTGTTGAAGTGCTATAATGAAAGTGATCAACAGAAGTTAATGATAAATAGTAAAACACTTTATAAAGCTAAAATGAAGATCTTGATTGTGTTTTGAAAGAGTGAATCTGTCAGCACTGAAGTAAACATATGCTACTTAATGGTATGCTGATCATGAAACAAGCAAAGATCTATCACAATGAACTATAAATTGAATAGAAATGTGAATATTCAACAGAATGGTTGCAGCAATTTAAGAAAAGACACGACATTAATTTAAAAAAAATGTGTTGATAACATATTTACTTGTCACAAAGGAGTAGAAAATTCATCAATGTATTTCCCAAAGTTATCACTGATGAAGATCTGATGCCAAGTCTACAGACTGTAATAAACCAAATCTATAACGCTGATTAAACATCACTGTCTTGGTGTTATTGCTCTGGAAAGACACTGACTACAACCAATAAGACAGCCCCTATAGAAATTAAGGATGCCATGGGTAGAATGACTGTGCTGGGATATGCTAATGCAGTAGGCATGCATAAGTGTAAACTTGCTGTCATAGTCAAAAGTTGTGTCCTCAGTGTTTTCGGGGAGTGAATATCCTACCAGTACATTATTGCCTTAACAAAAAAGGCATAAATCACCAAGGACATCTTTTCCCATTGGTTTCACAAACCTTTGTTTTCAATGGCTTGCGCTTACTGCTGGAAAGATGGACTTGATGAAAACAGCCAGATTTTGTTATTTCTTGAAAATTTTTCTTCTCCTCCTCCAGCTATAATTCTCATCAAACATAACTTTTATAGCATGTACTGTCCCCCAAATGTGACTTCATGAATTCAGCCCTGTGACCAGGGTATTCTTAGATCAATGAAGAGTATATATAGAGAAAGTATATATATACTGTAATGTACACATACACATATATATATATATACACACACACACACACACACACATATAAAGCACTTTCTTGAACAACACACTAACAGCAGCGAATGAATATGTGGGTGGGTGTGGAAGGTTTTCAGGAGGAGTGTATCATGATGGACGCCATATATTCTGTTTTCAGTGAGTTGGAACACAGTAACTAAAGACACAGTTGTTCATGTCAGGCACAATCCCTGTCATGTGAATATGTTCATTAATGAAAACAACCCAGGTGTTCACTTTGAAGGACTCTATGTCAGGAGATAATAAAATAATGTATGACTTCCTTCAATCCTCAGAAACAGACCTCCAGAGTCCATCAGTAAGGAGAAACAAATGACTATCAAATAACTTTTTAATGTCAATAATGAGACTCCAGTTATTCATTTACTGATAAATGGAGAAATAGCCAAAACGATTCTGAAGCAAGGTGATAATAATAATAGTAACAATCAAAATGCTGTTGTTAATAGTGCAGAACAAGCTCCTATAGACAACATAGTAAATATGTGTGATGGGCTTTTTTCAAGGACTAGAGCAGCATGTATTGTAAGCCATGATATAAAGAACCATAAAGCATATCAGTTTATAAAATCAAAGACAGATTTCTAAAACACATATTGTTAATGAAACAAATGATTCTGGAGGAAACATTTTAAAAAGCCATCTTTCCAAATTTCTTCTCATTTCTAGAGGAACCACTTTCTCTTCCCTCAACTGTTTCCAATGTTTCTTTTTATCTAAAAAAAAAAATGATGTACAGTAATCTCTTAATGAAAACAAAGCGTCATAGGTAGAGAGTGAAAGTCTGCTGTTTTTTAGTGTTGTTGTTATTCAACCATTTACACAAGTATTCTGGGGTTGCTACTGTGTTGCTTAGTTACCCTGAACACATTATTTTTTCACTTTATAATAGCATGTCATATGTTTTACTGTTAAGTACGTATGTGTAAGTATAAGAAAATGATTGTTTATCAGTTGCGTATAAATTCAGAATCAGGAATGATGGTGATACCAAACAACCACAGATCGTACAGAAGTGGCTGAGATAGTGACACCTTTGCTTTCTGTTGGTTCAGTATATTCAAACTTTGTTGCATGCATATAATTGAAAATATTATATAAAATCACCTTCAGGCCATGTTAAGGAATATATGAAGGACCCAGTGAATTTTGTATTTAGATTTGGGTCCCATCCCCAAGATATCTCATTATGTACATGCACATATTCCAAAATCTGAAAAAATTTTAAGTCCAAAACACTCTAGTCTCAAGCATATCAGATAAGGGATACTCAACCAGTACTTCATGATTCAGTCTTGGTAGATTATGTATGTTTATTGTTTTTCTAGTCTTTCTCTCATTTGATTTTGTTCTGGTCTTTACTATTTCGTTCCTTCTGCTAACTTTGAGCTTGATCTTCTTTTTCTAGTTCTGGGAAGTGTAATATTATGTTGTTTATTTGACATCTTTCTTTTTTTTGATGTAGGCATTTATTGCTACCAACTTTCCTCTTTGGATTGCTTTCGTTGCATTCCTTAAGTTTTGGTTTTATTTTCCATTGTCTTTCATTTTCATTTGTTTGAAGATAATTTAAATTTTTCCTTTTAATTTCTTCAGTGACTGATTGGTTGTTCAGAAGCATGTTGTTTAATTTCCATGTATTTCATACTTTCCAAAATATCTCTTGTTATTGATTCCTTGTTTTATACCATTGTGATCAGAAATAAAGATTGATATAATTTTAATTTTCTTAAATTTATTAAAACTTGTTTTGTTGCCTAACATATAGGCTATCCAGGAGAATGTCCCATGTACACTTGAGAAGAAAGTATTTCCTGTTACTGTGGAATATAATACTCCGTACATGTTGGTTAGGTCCATTTGGTCTAAGATGTAGTTTAAGTCCCATGTTTCCTTATTGATTTTCTGTCTGAATGAACTGTCCATTGCTGGAAATGGAGCAATGAATTTCTCTAATATTATTATATTATAGTCTATCTCTCCCCTCAGATATTTAATATTAGTTTTATGTATTTACACACTACAATATTTATATGTTTATATTGTTATAGCCTCTACTAAGTTGACCCATTTAACACTATATAATGACCTTTTAATCTTTTTTTCAGTTTTTGACTTAAAGCCTGTCTTATCTAAGTATAGCTACTTATTTTGGTTTTCATTTGCATGTACATCTTTTTTCATTTATTTACTTTCAGCCTCTATGTGTCTTTACATGTGAAATGAATCTCTTAAAGGAAGCACATAGTTGGGTCTTGTTTATTTAATGTATTCAGCCACTCTATATTTTTGATTGGACAAATTAATTAATTTATATTCAAGGTAATTATTGATAGGTAAGAACTTATTGCTGTCTTCCTGTTAATTGTTTTCTGGTTATTTTGTAGATCTTTTGTTTCTTTCTTCTACTCTCGATGCCTTCCCTTCCATTGTGATGAAGTACTATTTTCTTTAGTGATAGACTTTTATTCCTACTTTTTTATCTTTGGTATATCTATTATGTATTTTTGCTTTGTGGTTACTGTAAAACTTAAAATATATATATTTTTTATAGTTGTAAGAGGCTGCATTAAAATAATAACAACTTAGGCCAGGTGCAGTGGCTCACACCTGTAATCCCAGCAATTTGGGAGGCCGAGGCAGGTGGATCACCTGAGGTCTGGAGTTCAAGACCAACCTGGACAACATGGCGAAACCCCGTCTCTATTAAAAATATAAAAATTAGCAGGACATGTTGGCACACATCTGTAATTCCAGGCACTCGGGAGGGTGAGGCAGGAGAATCACTTGAACCTGGGAGGTGAAGTTTGCAGTGAGCCGAGATCGCGCCACTGCACTCCAGCCTATGCAACAGAGTGAGACTCTGTCTCAAAAAAAAAAAAAAAAGATAACAACAACTTAAATTTGAGAGCATTAAGAAACTCTACATTTTCATTCCACTCCATCTTGACATGTATTTTGATGTTTTAATTTACATATTTTAATAGTGTGTTTTTGTTAACTAATTATTGTAATGATAATTATTTTAAATATTTTTTTGAACTTTCATACTAAATATATAAGTGGTCTATACACCAGCATTACATTATTAGATTATTCTTAATTTGTACCTACTTTTTCAGTACTCACTTTTATCAGTCAGTTTTACACTTTCATATGTTTCATGTTACTGGCTTGAAGAACTCCCTTTATCCATTTTTGTAAGACAAGTCTAATGATAAGTTAACCCCTCAGCTTTTGTTTGTCTGGGAAAGTCTAACATTCCTTCATTTCTAAAACACAGATTTGCTGGGCACAATATTCTTAGCTGATAGTTTTTTTCCTTCAACACCTAAGTAATTCATCCCACTGGCTCCTGGCCTGTAAGTGCTCTGCTGAGAAATATGTTGCTCGTTTTATTGGCCCTCCTTTATATGTTATTCGATTCTTTTTTATTGCTGCTTTCAGGATTTTCTCTTTGTCTTTAATTTTTGACAGTTGGAGATCTTTGACCTTCCTGTACCTAGATATTTATATCTTTCCTCAAATTTTGAAAGTGTCTGCTATTGTGTTTAAAAGTAATCTTTCTACCCTCTTTTTTCTCATCTTCTATACTTTTATGATTTAAATATGTGCTGCTTGATGCTGTTCAATAAATTCCATAAGGATCTTTTATTCTTTTTTTTAATTATTTCTCCTCTGACTGTATATTTTTAAATATTCTTTTTTGAGTTCACAGATTTTCTTTGTTGTGGTAAATTCTGCTGTTGATGTTCTCTAATGCATTGTTAATTTCATTCATTGTATTTTTCAGCTCTAGAATTTCCTTTATTCTATATATTATTGATTCTTTATTAAATGTATTATTTTGGGTCATTTATTGTCTTCCTCATTTTATTTACTCATTTTTCTGTGTTTTGTTAAAGTTCACTGAGCTTCCTTAAAACAATTATTTGGAATTCTTTCTCAAGCAGTTTTTATATCTCCATTTTCTTAGATCAGCTAGTGGGAGATTTTGTTCTTTTGGTGATGTTCTTCTATATCCTTGGTTTTTCATGGTTCTTATTGCCTTACGTTGATGTGTATGCATTAGAAATAGTTTATTATTCCAGGTTCTTTGTCTGGGAAACCCTACTTCAGTCAGTCTGTCCAGAGATTCTGAGCAGGCCACCTGGCATGATTCAACAGTTGGCTTATTGCTGGAATCTAAAGTCGAGTTGTCCTGCTGCCTAGGTCAGGAGGTAGGTGGGCCTAGTACCTATGGCTTTCCTAAGCCTGTGTCCACAGGGGCTGCCTTGGCACCGGGGTGGGCCATGAGCCTGAGTCTTCAAGGGCTGGCTACCCACTAGGAAGGGTTTGGCATTTGGTTCCATTGGGATGAAAATGGAGCCTTAACTCCACAGGAATAGGTCTGGGTCCTGAGT
Organism: Homo sapiens; assembly: GCF_000001405.40. Lineage (NCBI taxonomy): Eukaryota > Metazoa > Chordata > Mammalia > Primates > Hominidae > Homo > Homo sapiens. The sequence continues at coordinate 184,860,037 of NC_000002.12, forward strand.
CCATGAGGACTGGCTTGGAACCTGGGTCTACAGGGGTGTTCTTGGGCCCTGAGTGTCCTCAGTGTCCATAGGGTGTGCCTTGGCACTGGAGTATACTATGGTGGGCCTTGGCCTTGGGTCCTCCGGAGTCCAGGGCATGTGGACTTGCCTGTAATCTTTATCTGCTGATGCTGGCCTAGAGGCTAGATGTATAGGTACTGGCCTAGAGGCTTGGTCTGTGAGAACTGGACTGGGTCCTGGGTCCTCAGTCAATAGCCTGGAACCTGGTTAAACAAAAGAAGTCTTGGGGCCTGTGTCCATGGTTACCTGTTTGATGTTTGAGGCCAGAAGTGCCAACTTGGCATTAGGGCAGACTTGAAGTCTAGGACCACAAGAACTGGCTTAGCAGTGAATGAACCTAGATTATATCCACAGGAACTTGCCTGGAGGCTGAGTTTTCAAGTGATGACCTAATGACTAGGGCTGCAGGGGCCAGTGTGGCATTGGGTTTGGCCCAGCACATGGGTCCACTAGGGTGATCCAGAGCCTGAGACTACTGGGATCAGCCTGGTGCTAAGAAAGGCCCAGAAAGAGTCCGCAAGGATAGCCTGATTTCTGCAACTATGGGAACTTGCTTAGTGCCAGGGTGGACTTGGAGGCCCTGTAGGTGGGTACCAGCCTGGAATCTGATGCCACAGGCAGTGGCATGGCAATGGCTGGACCTGGATCCTGTGTCTGCAGGGGATTGCCTGGGAGTTGAGTTTGTAGGTATTGACCTGATAACTGGGGCTGCAGGAGTAGACTTTTAGCTGATGAAGGCCTAAAGCCTGGGGCAATGGCCAAGCTCAGTGCTGGCGCATTCAGGAGTCTTGGGTCTCTGGGGTTGGCCTAGGGTATGGGCAAATCAGAGCCTGAGGCTGCTGTGGGCCAGCCTTGTGCTGGATGAGGTCCAGAGCCTGGGGCTACTGAGGTCAGCACAGTGGTGGAGCAGACTGAAGATCAAGTCTGTTGCTCAGGCCTGGAGCCTAGGGCTATAGAATCTAACCTGGTGCTAGAGCAGATCTAGAGGCTTAGTCCACAGGTACTGTCCTGGAATCTGCGGCTCTGGGGCCCTGCCCAGCATTAGTTTTTTGGGGGGACAGGACTGGTGTTGGGATCTGAAGCAAAGTCCTATGTTCACATTCCTCTCCTTCCTCATGTGGAAAATATATCTCTCCATGCTTTCTTGCTTGGAGCTGGTGGAAGGGTGACATAGGTAATGTAATACTATCTTTCCTACATTCTTCAATGGGTATTTTCTTATTTCTGCACTATACACAGGTGCTACAATCTCTTATCTGGTTTCCTTAGCTCTTATGAAGGTATTTTTGTGTGTGAATAGTTGTTTAAATTGATGTTTCTGCAGGAAATAAGCACTAGGGTGTCCTATTTTCCATCATCTTGCTGACATTGACCCTCTTTCCTTCTGTACTCATTTTGAAGACAAAAAGCACAGTCCTAATGTCATGTATTTGTTATTTGTTGAGTGTCTGCTAATGCTGGGCTCTGATAAAAGCTCTGGAAATACAACAGTAAGGAAAACAGGTACAAATTCTTTCCCTCAGAGAGCTCACACTTGTCAGGGAAGGTTACTTGTATATACCCTACTAACAGTACTTTAGGAAAGAGGCCATATGCTATGATGAGGCTACTATGAATTGCGTCATGTTGGAAAATAATGTTTCTCCCTTCAAAGTTCTACTTTGGTGCTATTCATATTTTAGTATTGGGGGATAGATTGTCCTTGGGGTGTGGATAAACCATTATCTTCTCTATTTCACTTCGCTGTCTACAAAATTTATTATACTGCCAAGTTGCTGTGGTCACCCATTAAGATTTGTGATTTTATAACTTGAAGGTATATGCATACTGCTTCCCTAAAAGAAAGGATTCAGCCTTTACTGTTTTTACATATATGTAAAAAGTGCTGAGTTAGAATGACCTGACTCGTTGCAGGAAGATTGTCCTTCTTTTTCACTTTGTGCCTTCACTCTCAGTGACACAGTACAGAAACTGTGCTCATAGTTCAACCTAGAATGGCTTTACCAGATAGAGGGTGAACATTTTGGATTGTATATATAAGAACGGCTGTGCTCCTTTTTCATCTCACTCAAATGTATCTCTTACTTTCTGCAGTGGGATGGCTGTATTTAATATGTGCTTTAAAGTATCAGTCAGTACCTGTTTCAATATTAGCCACAATGAAAGAGAGGGGTCATGGAACGTGTCAGCCTAACTAGGACTGATTTTGTCTACATACATGTTTTTAAATGTATGATCAGTAACAATACATATGACTCCTTTCCCTTAAGATGCACATACAATATTGAAGTCTTTTTTACTCTGATAATGTTTTCTAGAACACAGCCTTGATTCCTTAATTGCACTTAACATCAACTTGAAAGTCTGGCTCAAATGTTTGTAATTGTACTATCATTTGCAAACTTAACTTCAGCCATGCTATGTTTCCTTTAATAATTTAGAGGAGGATAGAGATAGAGAGAAAGCAACAGAACACACAAATATATCAAAATGTTAACAATAATTTTATTTAAGTGAAAATCATATGAGTCTTTTATCATAGTTTTGTAACTTTTCTATAGTTATTAACTTTTTTTAAATGTGAAGTATAATTTTAATTTTTTTCTGAAAAATAAATTGTAATGAGAAATAAAGCAAAGAGATGGGGAAATACAGAATAAAAGAGACTAAGAAGCATAGAAGATGGTAATATATGGGCCTTAATGGAATTTTGTTTTGAACAACCTATTTTTAAATATTAGAGAATTGGAGCTATTTGCACACACTGACTGGGATATTTGATGACAATAAAAAATGATTGTGGTTTCTCTACTGTTTTTGTTTCTTTGTTTTGGTCTGATATTGCTTTTGTGATTATGTTCTTTAAGTCATCCTGATTTAGAGAGATATACTGAAATATTTACAGATAAAGTGATATAAAGCTAGGAAGACATTTAAAAATTATTTGAGTAAGATGAAAGGGTATGAGATGGGATAGGATACAATAAATCAAGATTGATCCTGAGTTCATAGTTATTGAAGCTGAATAGTGGATACATAGGGATTATTATACTCTTCTGTCTTTTTTATGTGCTTAAAAGTTTAGAAATAATTAAATGCTATGGACAAGAATATTTGGGTTTAAATATGGAGTGAACATTTGCTCATTATATCCTGGAGCTACTTAACTTTCCTGTGCTTCATTATTTCCATCTGTAAAGTGAGGAAATGAAAAGAATCAGGATTAAATGAGTTAATACATCCAAATTATTCATCAGTGACTGACCCTAAATAAGCACTAGCTAATAGCTATAGTTACTTTTAAATTACTGTTTTTATTTTTAAAACTGGGCTGAAGCTAATATTTTTGAAGAATGCAATTTGACCAAGAAGTCTGTTCCGCTAAAAACCTCCCCACTTTTGTAGACTGGGTAAACAGAAACCAATTATTGCTTCTCTAGAGGAATATCAAACTTATTAAAAAAAAAAAACACCTTACAACATAATAAGAGCTAATCAAATATTTAGAGAGAGGAAGTAGCTTTATTGTAATTATAATGAATGGGGAAAATCAACTAGTTTACCATGAAATTTCTGTTGGTTTAAGATTGTCCAGAGAGCTAATTCAGCTTTAATCCCAAAATTATTTTCATTTCCTCTATTGATTAGAATGTTATCTCTGCCTCAAACGCTTTAGCCATGAAATCATATTACTTAATTTTTGTTTCCTTTAAATTGACTAATCCATAAAGTATTATTTTGAAGATTTTAGTGAAAATTCAATAAGCAATTTGGGTCTATATTACTTACTTTTACCTTTTTAAGCTAAGAGTTTTTAACATATTGGAAGAATCAATTAGTATAAGTAGGAATAATTGACAAATTTGCTGAGAAATGGTGCATTACTTATTGAAATTGATGGAATTATGCATAAAAAATTAAGTTATTTTGTGATTTATCACTGTCTTAGTTCATTTGTGTTGTTCTAAAAGAATACTTGAGGCTGGGTAATTTATACAGAAAATAGGTTTATTTGACTCATGGTTCTGCAGGCTGTACAAGAAGTATGGTGCTGTCATCTGCATCTGATGAGGGCCTCAGGCTGCTTCCACTCATAATGGAAGGGGAAGGGGAGCTGGTGGGTGCAGAGATCACACGGTACAAGAGGAAGCAAGAGAGAGCTATAGGAAGATGCTAGGATCTTTTTAACAACCAACTCTCAAGAAAATTAATATAGTAAGAACTTACCTCAATCCTCCATGGAGGGTGTTAATCTATTGATGAAGGATCTGCCCTTATCACCCAAACACCTCCCATTAGGCCCCACCTCCAGCATTGAAAATCACACTTTAACATGAGATTTAGAAGGGAAAATTATCCAAACTGTAAGAGTCACCTTTGTTGTGCAGTTGATACAACTAATAAAACATAACAATAGATTATTATCTTTAAAATGAGAAAGTAAGCTATGTATTATGGCAAATGTATGCATTGATTACTATAAACTATGCCTCCCAAACCATGGTGAACTTTACTATATGTGATGTATGCATGAATATACAGTGCAATAACATAAGCAAAGTATTAGTCATGTATTAAATTACTGGTGAACCACTTTTCAGTATTGTAGAAACAATTTAAACAAATTGCTTTAATTTCAGACTATAAGTCCTTTCTAGTTTGTGTATTTAAGGAGGATAAGTGCCATTGCCATATAGAGGACTACATTTTATTTAAAAATATCAGTGCTAAAAGTGTGTTTTATAATAGTAAGTAAGAGACTTGAATATATAGTTAGGATTTTTTTTTTTTTTTTTTTTTTTGAGGCAGATTCTTGCTCTGTCGCCCAGGCTGGAGTGCAGTGGCACAATCTCAGCTCACTGCAACCTCTGCCTCCCACGTTCAAGCAATTCTCCTGCCTCGGCCTCCGAGTAGCTGGGATTACAGGTGCCTGCCACCATGCCTGGTTAATTTTTATATTTTTAGTAGAGACAGTGTTTTATCATGTTGGTCAGGCTGGTCTTGAACTCTTGACCTCAAGTGATCCACATGCCTGGGCCTTCCAAAGTGCTGGGACTGCAGGCATGAGCCACGGCGCCAGGCCTAGTTATTCTGAATTTTAAAGGAGTTGTATATAAGATAATCTGGAAGTTAGAAACATATTTTACAGTGAGGTCTGAAGTTTAGGTCTTCTTCACATCATGAATAATGTTTACACACGGAAACATTGTCCAATTTTCACTTATTCAGTGAAAGAATTGGACAGTGTTTCCGTGTGTAAACTTTATTCATGTCTGGCAACATTGAATTGAACACTGCATCTGGTGAGGGGCTCAGATTGCTTCCACTTATGGCAGAAGGAGAAGGGGAACCAACAGGTTCAGAGATCACATGTGGCGAGAGGGGGCAAGAAAGAGCTTCAAGGAGGTGCTAGGCTCTTTTGCCATTATTTGTGACACTTACTTCATTGACATTTAAGTAAGCATGAAATAGCAAGTAATTTATCTTTAATGTAACTTAAAATCCACAGTCAAACATTTGGCCATTTTATGCATTGCAAACAAAAGCTAATGATGACTGGCTATATGTTCATCTTCTCAGGGGTTTGGTTATATCACTGTCTTTATTTACTGTGAGTATGATGAAAACAATCTGCTTGTGCAGTTTAATCCTTTTCAGTTTAGGTAAATAACTGAAATAACCGCAGAAAAGGGTTTTCTTTTCCAATAAATAGAGATTATTTTAATGTTCATTCTAAATTGATATGGGTCAGGATAAAAAAAAATCAGTCCAGTTAAATGCCTAGATGGAATGAATAATAAGTTACTATATAGATAATTGAAACAAACAAAATACAAAACTTGTATATTTGTGCACAAATATAGACCTTTTCAAACAGAACACATTTTACATGTTCAGAATAGAAAAATTTTATGTTAGCTGAGTCATTGCCAGGAATCCACAGTTGAATCAAGATAGCTATGTGATTTTCAGTTTTTATGCTAACCTAGCATAGGAACTTGTTCAATCAAGGACTTCTATTTATTTCTATCATTTGCATTTCTCCTCCACATTTGTGCTATTTTTCTGTTATTTATCTTGGCTTCTTCTGTTAGTCTTTTAATTTTTAAGTTATAATTTATTCTAACTTGGTTTTCTAGTATTTGCTTTCTTTTTCTCTTTGCTGTATTCTGTTTCTAACTCTAATTATTGTACTATAGTTGACAACTGCTAAAACAAAGTAAACACAGGGGAGAGCTAATTGTATCCTTCCTTGAAATTTTATTTTTCAGGACTATGCTGAGAAGGAAAATACCATAGCAAAAGCTCTGGAAGATCTGAAGGCAAATTTTTACTGTGAACTCTGTGACAAGCAGTACTATAAGCACCAGGAGTTTGACAATCACATTAATTCATATGACCATGCTCACAAGCAGGTAAGAAAGAGATGTGAAAAAATTCTGGCATTTCTGGACTTGTGTAATAGTTTTAATTGTGTAGACTCTATGAATATGATATGATATTCTTATTTAATTTAATTTGCTGTACAGTTTTGAAATATATCATTCTGGGATGATAATTTGATGACTTACAGCAAAATCCTTTTTTTTTTTTTTAAAAAAAAAGGCACCAATAGCAAAGTCTGAAATAATCAACATAAAGAAATACCATTCAATTGCCTTTTAATGAGTAAAAGTGTTTCGAAAACAATATTCTACAAGTGATGATCCTCTTATTGTCCTCAAATGTATTGTTTTAAATATTTAAATCAATAATTTATGCATTATATTATATATTTATTGCATGTTATTTATAAATCTAATATATACATATATTTATCAAAGTTAAATAAAATTTAACATAGTTTTCCATAGAAAGCATTTTGGATTTAAGCTACTATGAAAACATGTGAAAAAAAGATTGAGTGTACTACAAATGGTCCTAGGTTATTGATTGAGTACTTAATATATCTATGATTTTGTTCATTTTAATATTTTCATTTTATTGTCAATTATAAATCCCAGATTAATTATTACTATCAATTATAAATCCTAGATTTTTCAACACTCTATGTAAATGAGTTTTAAATAGTAGTGTTATAAATGTAATTAATACAAATTCCACTTTCTAATATGCCTTATATTTACCAATGCAACTTCATTCATTGTTTAGCTAACTTGATACAATACACAGTATTAGCATTAATTTATAAACATTTTCTATTTTAGCTATCACCCTCAAATACCATGCCGAGTACTCATTTTGATATGAATTTAAAGGTACATTTTTAAGCAGTTGAACCTGCCCTAACTTTCTGTTATATCAGAGTTATTTATTGTAAGAAAGAAAAAGTAGGGAAAGTGATCATGTTAAACGATAATGAACCAATTGTGTGTACTTCCTTTGCTGTCAATCCTGCAGTCGTTCATACCAACTACACTGTGCTTGGAGAGGATGGTGTAGGGAAGAATTTACCCTTCAATTACATACTTCACCGATTAATGCATACTTAGCTTAATGATCTGTCCTTGCCTTTCTTTCCCCTGGTAGTAGATCTGTTGGCCCACTGGTTAAGGGAAAGGTTTTGATGGAAATATTCCTTTTCTTACATAAAAATACATACATAAGTATATCATTGCTTGATTTGAACATTAACATTCATTAGGAAATGGTATTATTTTGTGATAATGTTACTGACGTTTGTTTTATCAAATAATTCTGGAATGCTGTTTTGAAAGAGTTGAAGTCTGAGAAAGTCATTCCTCTGATTTTTCCTATGTATCTAAAAGCCTGAGTATATTACTACACATATGTCTCATTGTGTAAAGTAGGTATTTGGAAATGCATGTGTGTTATAAGAATATCTATTATCATTTGCAAAAGAATGCTTCATTTAGCCATATGGCTGTCTTGAAGATAAAACTTACTAAAGTTAGCCCAAGGGCATTTTCAGTTTCTTATTCTTAGTGAACTTAGTATACTATATATTCTATACAGAGAAGTTAAAGGGAATTTGGGTTGGATCTGGCTTGCAATTTTGGTATTCTAGAGGCCCACCTTTGACAATGCTCAGAGTGATCAAATCCTAAAAACAGCTACTCAATCAAAATACTCATAAACTCTGGTAGACAGCACAGTCCTAATTGATTAATTCAATGTGATATGATGTTCCAGAAGCTAAAAATATTAAAATCTATAGAATCTTTTATGCCTTCCCCGTAAGATAATAGTGCGTCTTTGAGCGTGTCTTCCTAGAGAATGCTCTCCTTTTTCTGAAAAAATAACGTCATCGCTATGACCATCAATATATACTTCTACCACATGACTCTAACACATTGTTCACTTTGAATGAAGTAGAGGGGGAAACAGATTGGATATAGACAATTCAGATGTTTCTCTCTTGAGAACTTGAAATTGGGATGTGATTAAAAAGAAAAAAATGCCTAATGTCTGATAATGGCTGTACTTGACACTTAAAAATGTAGGGATTGTTCAGTGGTGAAGTTGATTAAAAAGCTGAGAAAGCTGGTTTGCATAAAGAGAGAACAAAACAAACTTAAAAGAGAATGAGATACAAGTGACCCTGTGACAATTGAGAGTATGGAAATAGCAATTTTGATTCCTAATGACCTTCAGATTCCTAAAAGCTGTCTTTCCTACAACTTTTATGCAGATCCTGTCCTTGAGTTTTGAGAGACATTTCAGCTTGCTGCTAATAAACATACTTAAGACAAAGCAAATGAGCAAATAAAACTAAAACTCCAGCCTAATGCTTGTTAATACCTGCAACCAAAAAAAACTCTTCATAAAATATTAAGCTCTCTGAAGATCAAAGCAATCTTTTTGGTTTCCCATAGAAAATACCTTTACAAGAAACAGGTACAGGTTGAGTATATCTAATCTGGAAAGCTGAAATCCAAAATGCTCTAAAGTTTGAAACTCTTCGTGCGCTGAAATGCATGATGTTCAAAGGAAGTGCTCATTTGGACATTTCGGATTTTGGATTTTCGGATGTGGGATGCTCAGCTGGGTACCTATAATGCAGATATCCCAAAATCTGAAAAAAAAATTTCTGAAATCCAAAATACTGGTTCCAGCATTTCAGATAAGGGACACTCAACCCATATACTCAAAATCCATTTGGCCTTCAAATTCCTAAAAGCAGTCTTTCCTACAACTTGTATGCAGTAAGTCACTTAAGCACTTAAGTGTCATATGGGTACTTACATGGAATTAGAGCACTTCCTGAATGGAATTAGAAAAAGGCAAATTGTGCATACTACTGATGCATTCATTTCCTACAGAGATATGATACCAAGGGCCAATAAGTGAATAGAAAAAGGGAGGAGGATTTATTAATGGAATGAGTTCTAACCCTGTCTCTTACCAGCCATATGACTTTGGGTTAAATAATCAAACGCCCAATGAGCTCAACTGTCTATTATTAGGGAAATTAAATGAGAGAATGCACATTAATATGCATTGCAGAGTACATGGAAAATAGTAAAAGCTTAATATTTAATACGTTCTTATTATTATTACTTACTAAATTTTTTTTCTCCTAGAATATTTGGGACACTGACAGTTTGCCTTTGAGACCATTCTTTATTTAGGCCTCCCAATGAGGATCTGTTTTCACTTCATGTAGGCTAATAGAGTCTTTAAAACACATCCAGGTAATCTGGACCTAAGAGCTGTTGTGAATGCCTCATATATCTTTGCAAATCTGTTATGACAGAATATGTGTTGCTTTGAACTCTAAACTTCAAAGGAAATTCGGTTTCCTTTCATCCACATTCTCTTTGCATAACTTTAAAATCTCTCTCACTTATCACTAAGACTTGCTAACAGAGGGTTAAAAAGAAAGAAGAAATACAGGGGTACAGATATGATTACAATAGCTCACAAATTACAGTATCTTTGTTTGAATTTTTTTTTAACTTTGTAACTCAAAAGATGTTCGATTGTAACAATTTTAGGGCAGGGACTCTTTCTTACATGCCCTTATCTTCCCGGTGTCTAGTGAAGTGTCTTGCACAATTTAGACACAATTAATGCTGCTATATAAATAAATGTAAAAAGGCTAGAATCAAAATTCATTTTGAGATTTTATATTTTATATTCTCCAGAGTAAAGCAAAGTGCAATGCTTTCATTTTTAAGGTTACAGATATATGTGATTAATCTTTCTTTGGAAAATGGAAAATGATGAATATGACACTCAGGATAGTGGTTACTTCAAGGGGTGATGTAGGGTGATGGGATACCATAGGAGACGTAAGTATGTGAAATATGTTCTAATTCTTAAACTAGATAGTGGTATCAGAGATATTCAACTTAGTTTATAATGCTTTATATGATTGCATAGATCAAATACTACATAATAATTCATTAAAGGAGGAAATATCATGAAAAAATCCAATATTTTGATCTCATACTCTCTGAAACTCTGCTAACTCAAATATATAGAAACTGGAGAATTATAATTAGTGCTATTGTTAACTCTTCCATGTGCCATTCAAGTCGTTCACTGTTTCTTAAAAAAATACACAATTTAGACACCCAATTAATGCTGCTCATATATATAAGTGTAAAAAGGCTAGTGTCAAAATTCATTTTGAGATTTTGTAATAAGTCAAAATTTTGTGGTAGGTAAGAGCTTCAAAAAACAAAATGATCTATTTATGGATTTAAACTTAGATAAAACTATTTGTAAGGAGAATATTACATATGAGGATGGTGTGACTGTTACAAGATGAATGAGTTATTCGAACATTCATAAATGTCCATCCTTCAGAAGAGTAATGCTACTGATGATAATAATAGCAACAATTTACATATAATATATGCACTCTATAAAATTCTTCACATGCATAAAACCATTTAATGTTGATATAGTTTGGATTTACATTGTTTTTCCATGTGAGAACATGATTTAAGAGCAAATAACACTTTCAGAAATGCCTTAGAATTTTCACTTTCATCAGAAGAGCATACAAGATACTCTGAAAGACTCTTCTACTACAAAATAAATAGATCTTCCACAATACAATTTTCTTAATTCAGTTGCTGAGTTCCTATAAAGGATGATATCTCCAAAGAGCCCCTGCTACCAACACCACCCTTGGAGGCTGAGGAGTAGGAAGCTACTGGCTAAAACTTGGACCTACAGTAATAATCACCTACAAAGAGTGAAATTGAATGAAGAGTAGATACCACTGTGAGCTTTGTAACCTGGGAAGTGAACTGTGGACAGCAGTTGGTAAACTCTGATGATGATTTCTGGGTTAAGATGAAAGCTGCACTTAGGTCTTGACTGAAACATAGAAATTACTCCAGCAAAAAAAAAAAAAACAAAAAAAAACTCAATTTAGATTTTCCACTGAATATTATTAACAAAATAGGAATTCACAGCCAAGGTTTTAAAAATAAACATATATATATATACCAAGAGAAAAATCGCCAAGAGTGAGAATTAACAGGAAAAAATTACTTGGGTATTGGATTCATTAAATACAGAATACAATATATATGTATGAATGAAAAGTTTAAATTAGTAAAAAGTATAACAAGAGTAACATCAAAGAACCTTTTAGAAGGACAGTGATGAGTTTTATAATGAACATGTAGAAATGTCCTAAAAGCAAACCTTAATTGTTTAAAATTAAATAGTTTAAGAAAATAAAAGATTAGTTGATTTAATATTTTAGTTTAGTTTACTAGGAGAATAAAAACAGATGAAGAAAAATAAAGTAGGAAATGAAAGATCTTTATCAAGAATTACTCAGACTGTATCACAAGGAAAGCAAGAGCTAAAATCTTATATGTATCCAGAGTGAAGAAATAGATGATTTTCAAAACAGAATAGAGCAATCTAGAATTTGAACACAGAAAATTATCATTCAAGAATTAAGAACTAATGAAGACCTACTTCTAGTTTCTTTTGAAAAAGTTTGAAAAAGCTCACTAGTTATTAAAGGAAACTAAGATGCAAACTGCGTTTAAAAGTAAATGTTTTCATTAAAATGTTATAAATATCTTTCATTAGATTGGCATTTATTTCATAAAATTTAGTAAATATATATGAAAATCTATTTTAAACCAAGAATAAATCTTCTGATCTGCTGATCAGACAAAAGCTATCTAACTTTCATATGAAGAAACATCAGTCTTTGTGATGAAATACCAAACACATTCTTTTTAGGATTATAGATAAAACAAGAATGCCACTATTCTTTGAACAGTATACTGAGGTCGTAGAGCAAAAACAAATGAACAACAAAATAGGGGTTAAAATGCAGAAACAAAGCTATCATTATATTATTCACAGATCCTATGATGGTCTAATGAGAATTTGAAAAGTTGTCTGGCTATTATATTGCATTTCTGGACTTGCACCAATTTTGAGAAAACAAAAACAAAATTAAATACCAATGAGAAGAACAATAGACCATATATGATAAACCTAAATGATAAACCTAAAAATGCCATACAACTTTGAATTAGGAAAGTTAGAAAATTGTTTTTAAAATGCATTAAATGGAAGGACAAAAACCTGTTCACATATACATATAAAAATAGACATAATCATAGAGACACCAATTTGCCCCAAAACTGACCTCAGATTCAACAAAGCTTTTAGTCCAAATGTCAGTATTTTTTTGTGATAAACTTCTCAAGCTGATTCCAAAATTTTTATATAAGAATGAATACGGTCCTGAAGAAATAACTAAAAGTGGTGAGATCTTGCCTAACAGTTACCAAGACTATTACATACAGTTCTGCATTCTGAAGATGTGTTTTGTTGATACAGGTATAGACAGATTGATGAATGGAACAGAATATAGAGCTGTGACACAAAGATTATATTTAGAAATTTATTAAGTGACAGGAGCAGAAAGCAGGTCAATAGTGAAGGGATATACTTTCCAAAACTTTTTATTTGATGATTGATTATCCTTATTTTTAAAAAAGAGATTGATCTTTTCTTCATAGAGTAAACAAACAAAATCAATGTCAGATGAAGAGTTTAAAATTAAAGAGGTTAAAATGGAAGTCAAAACTTTATATATTTTAGGAACATATCTAGGGAATTATTTTTGTGACATTGGGGTATATAGGTAAAATTTATAGAAGTATTAAAAGCACATGCCTGTAATCCCAGCACTTTTGAAGACTGAGGCTGGCGGGTTGATTGAACCCAGGAGTTTGAGATCAGCCTGGGCAATATAGTAACACTTTGTCTCTATAGAAAATACAAAAATTAGCTGGCCATGAAGGGCCATGCCTGTAGTCCCAGCTATGCAGGAAGCTGAGGTGGAAGGATCGCTTGAGCCTGGGAGATCGAGGCAGCAGTGAGCCATGATCGCACCACTGCATTCCAGCCTGGGTGACAGAGCAAGAACCTGTAAACAAACAAACAAACAAACACAAAGTGTTGTGTGAAAGTTTTGTAAGTTTAACTGCATGTAATATGATATTTATTACTAGGAATTTGTAATAACATAAAAAGGCAAGCCAGAAATTGGGAAAATATAACTGCAACTTACAAAACCAAGAAGAATTTAGTATTATGATTTTATTGTAGAAATATGAACACATATGAAAAATAGAAATGGCCCAGTAGAAAACTGAACAAAAATATTTGAGGACATTTTACAAAAAAGGAAACACTAAAGGCTTATATGTGTATTAGAAATTGTTCAAAAATAAGCGACAGTTTTACAACATAGATTTAAAAAATGTTGATAATATCAAGTGATAATGTGGATGAATAGAAAATATTACACATCATTTTTGAAAGTATGATTGATTTAGCAACTCAGGAAAATAATCTTGTAAATTTATATATTAACATATTAAAAGAAAACAAATCCCTAATGTTAATTCTAATAGGTATGAACAACAATATTTGTAAATTAATTAGGATATAATCACAAAATGCAAAATTATTCTGCAGTGCAAATTAACTGTAGGTAGGTGTTTCATGAAAGAATCTTAGAAATAAAAATAGTGAACAAAAGATTGCAAAGACTACACCTTTTTTATATTCTTCAAATTAAAGCAAAATGTAATGTTTTCATTTTCAAGGATACAGACATGATTAATCTCTCTTTAGAAAATGGAAAATGATGAATACAAAACTCAGGATAGTGGTTACTTCAAGAGGTGATGTAGGATGATGGGATACCATAGGAGACGTAACCATGTGAAATATATTCTAATTATTAAACTGGATAGTGGTATCAGAGTTATTCAACTTAGTATATAATGCTTTATGTGATTGCATACATCTCACATCACATACTACATAATAAATCATTAAGCCAGGAAATATCATAATAAAGCAAATATTATGATATCAAATTTTCTGCAACTGCCCTATTACAGATATAGAAGCTGTCTTAATTTCAGGGAAATACTAACTCAGTAGTAAGTGGAGAATTATAATTGATGCTATTGTTAACTCTTCCTTGTGCCATTCAAGTCTTTCACCATTTCCTAAAAAAAATTAAAATATCTCCCCTGTTCAGTAATTATCAGAGTAATCTTGTTTCAAATTTCATTTTGTTAAACTTTAATCAATATTAAAATAAAATTTTCTATGAAAAATCAAAAGGCAGTGGCATATTTCCATGTCTCTTTCTCTTTTATCATCTGCCCATACCAGCCTCTTTTTATTAATGTAAACAGTGCTCAGATTTCTGTCACACTTATGTTCTTATAGCATGTTTTATTCAAAAGTCCACAGAAGCACAGGATTTTATTAATGCACATAAAATTTGATTTTATGCAGATAAATGTTAAATGCAAATCATTATCTTAAGCTACATTTGCACTAATAGTTAAATTATTATTGTAAAAACATAGGAAATAGCTTTACATAACAGGAAATACAGTATTTTAAGGATAACTATACATCTCAATATTCTAGGATGGTCTCACTTTCTACCACTGTCCTGATTTAATTATGAAAAGTCCCTATTTGGATAATAAATAATATGATCACAATATGTATGTTTGTGGAAAAGCAGCAATGTTTTTGGATACTTTTTAAAAAGATGGAAGTCTAAAGGCAATGGCCTAGTTAATGTGACTCTTCATGCTAGTATAATGTAAAGTTAAGAGCTATGTGTTAGATAGAGTTTAGATATTTTTGCCCTTGGAATCTCATGTGGAAATTTGATCCCTGATGTTGGAGGTAAGACCTAAAGGGAAGTGCTTGGATCTCTGGGCTGATCCTTTATGAATGGCTTGGTGCCATTCTCATGGCAATGAGTGAGTTGTCACTCTTACTTCCCAGGAGAACTGTTTGTTAAAAAGAGCCTGGCACCTCCTCCCTCTCTTTCTTGTGCCCTCTCTGGCCATGTGATCTTCCCATGCTGGCTCCCCTTCTCTTTCTACCATGAGTGGAGGCAGGCTGAAGTCCTCACCAGAAGCAGATGCTGCCCTCATGTTTCTTGTACAGCCTGCAGAACTGTGAGCCAAATCAGCCTCTTTTCTTTATAAATTACTGAGCTTCTGATATTTCTTTATAGCAACACAAATGTACAGAGACGGTGTCCATCATAAATCAGCAATATGTACTTAATTCTCAATTTCAAACTTTCTAAGTGATTCTTTCATATAACAAGATAATTAAAATAGTTCTCAGTAAAGGTATGTCACTCTGAATTTTAGTCATTGACATTAAAAAAAAAAAAAAAAAAGGAAAGCTCAGAATCAGGTAAAGAGAAAAAAATTTCCTGTAGACTTCTTCATCTGCCCTTAAAGTAAAGCCACAGTTGCGTCTGTCCTCTCACCTGGCAGCCTATGGGCAATTCAAAGTTATTTTCCCTGTAAGAGATTTGTCACACTGATGCTTTGAAGAGATAGAAAAGGGAATGATTGTCTTATTGCTGCTGCCCCTCAAACATCTTGATTTTTGCTTTAGTGGTTTCAATGTAACTGAAATACCTCCCAACAGGCACTGAAGTGATCTTCACTTCAGCAAGTCAAGATTCCTTGCTTTGCAGCATGCTATTTTGTTCTGCCCCAGAGGAAGTCAAGGTCAGGCCAGGTTGTTGGAATGTTTTGTTTCTGCCAGGACTTCTATTGCTATAGAAATGAAACAGATTTAGCCCCAAATTTGAGCATTTCATAATAATTTAAACTGCTGTTTAGTGATCTGACACTTAAAGGAATTACTTCTTGATATTTGGTAATAGAAATATTCATTTGTGGGGAAAAATGTACTAAAGCTTAATTTAAAAGTAGGAGATACTGGCAAGGTAATGCGCAATACAATCACTTCACATATCTTCCATGGGATTTTTTGGTGTGTATGTCGTGTGTACTTCAATCTAATTGAACTTCTGATGGTTTTTATTTTAGCCATTTAGAACATTGTTCTCTTAGAACAAATTAAAGACATACAGTTTGCTCCTACAGAGCCCTCAAACCCAGAAATATTTTTGCTCCAAGAAATGCACACAGGCACACACATTTACATATATATAGCTAATTATAAAAATGTCCTATTTTGACATTTCTCATTTAAAGCCATAATTGGGACTGAAATAAATTGTATATTTTGTCTTGAGTATGCACCAGACTCTGGATAAAAGAATCATTTCTAGCATCTGAAATGTTGCCATTTTCGTACACCTTCCCCAAGTCAACCTTATGGTTCTTCCTTCCCTTCCTTCTGCCATCTCCTTTCAGGTGGATGGCTGTCTATTGACTCAGCCCCTGTTGAGGGTAGGGAGCAAAAACTAAAACTGTAAACAAAGATTTCTGTCCTGTTACCTAAATATAATTATTCCCCACCAAAAGAAAAAAGAATGCAAGAGATAAATGCATCTAATTTTACGGATTTCATTTTATAAATTCAACTTAGCACTGTAATCCAATAAAAGTCCTACCACGTTGAGTTTTTACCACTAAAACTTTTATATGCATTAAAAAAAACTATAAGAAAGCCAATTAGAGTCAAAGTAATGCATATTTATTTTTATTTTAATAACCATTTATTAACTCTTGGAAGTATATTTTTCTTATAGTTTACATGATGACTTGGTTGGTGGTATCAGTGAAACTGTACAGCTTTATTTTACCATTTTATTTTTAATGCACTTTTTAAATGACCATCCTTTAACAAATACACTTTCTAAGAATAAATCTGTTTGGGGAAATAGTTTGTGAATTTATTATATCCTTTATTCTGTATAGATTTACTAATACTTTATTTTATTTTAAAGAAATTGAGACACCTTCTGGGAATTATTCTTAGTAAGTTCAAAATTTTAAGAAGAAAATTCATCCAGGAAAAAATATGCAAAATCTAATATTACCATCATGTGGAGATTTGAGAAGGGTACATTCCTAGAATCAAAATTTTTATCTCCTACTAATCCTATCAAGAACCAAACCTTAAATTATCTGCTGAAAGGATTATCTCATAATATATTTAAAATTCTCCTGGCACCTATAGAAACTAAGATGCTAGGATTTTTTGCTCTCTGTGGTAAGAGATAAATATGGTAAATAGCAAGAAAACTTTAATTCTAGTTGAATATGAGAATAACCAGAGAAGTTTTTAAAAATAGCATTCCCAGAGTCTGGTATAGGTCCATGCTACCTTCTTTCTTTGAAGCTTTCCAGAAAATTATAGTTTGAGGCCAAGGTTGGAAAAGAGAGTCAAAATGCCAAGGATCATGAGGTTATTGTTACTTCCCCTTTGATGATGTTTCATCCTTCTATGATACAGAAGAATAGTGAAGTACATCTCCACTTCTTTCAGAATACTTGTTGAAAAAATAATATGAAGAAAATAAAGAGAGAAACAAAGAGAATGGAGAGAAGCAGTTAAGCAAGTGTATTGTGTTCTCCTTTCCCCAGGCATTGACCCGTAGAAGGGGAGACGCATTACAAAGATACAAAGAAAGTAGGGATTCTGGACAGAAAGTGTCTTTTGGGCAACTTTCTCCACACCAATTTGTAACTCAGCCAATATCAATCTCAATTTGACAGCAGAATGTGTTATGCAACAAGTTTGTTGGTTGGCCTTCCCAGATTGCTGTGTTTAAATTTTCCATTAATGTTGCCAAGAGTTTCTCTTTTACTCTCTTTAGAGGACTAGTAAGATAACTGATTTGAGACCTGGTAATCCTGCTATGGACAACAAAGAAATGCAGGTAGATTATGTGAGCCAAAGAGTAGGACTGAGGGCACAACTAGACTCAGAGATGTCTATTTTACCAGGGAGAACTACCACAAAGCTCGGTTTGAGTCACCTGAAGGTTACTGAGTCTTCAATCAAAGTTGTAAAAATATACAATGGGCTATACTAGCTTCCGACTTCAATAATGGAGGCAGCAATATGATATGTGATTAGAGGAATCAGGTATTTTATATAGAAAGCGTAAGGATTTTGGTTGTCAAAAGGACTTATAAGCCATCTCCTGGACCTCGGCATGCCCTCAAACAAAGAATATTTGGAAGGAGCAAGGATCATAAATAAGAAATTGAAGATACTTAGCAGTTATCTCAAAAAACTTGTCAGTAAATTATGTATTTAAAATATGTTGGAATACTATTCATTTTCTACAACTCAGTGGAGGATGGCTCAGGTAAACATGAAGGTAATTTATTTAAAAAATAAGAAAGCAAAAATGTATTTTCACATTTGTGATGTATAGAAATTTTTCACCCAATATGGTTACATATTTTACCAATGAGCCCTATTATTATTGTTGATAATAAAAATATTTGTTTTTTTATTCTTTAAGCTATGACAATCACCAGACCATACCCGAATTTTCAGAAATTTTCAAATTATATCAAATTTGATCATGAATAAAGTCTATGGAATGGTTCATTTATTATGCTTACCTATCATAATATTTACCTATATTTAAGAATAAGATGAACTACACTTAGAAGTCATCAACTAGTGTCTTAAACATAACTCACTCACAATAACCTGGATAACTTATGATAACAAATTATGTCTATACTACTACAAACAAAATGATGCCTCACGGAGTACTAGAAACAAAGAAAACAAGATATATTTGTGTGTGTTGTGTGTGTGAGAGAGAGAGAGAAAGAGGAAAATAATCTACATTCTTTATTAATGAATACAAATATTTGCAATCTTGGTAATTTGAGGTTGAAAATACTATAAATAATTGATATCTCCATGAGCATCTTTGACAAATGAGAGTTCTGACAGTCTTTAACTCACTTAAATTATGTAAAATAGACTTCTTTATTATGGTCACACTGTAGGAAAGGAGAACATAGTGAAGTTTTCAACCTCATTTCCAATAAACATTTCTTTCTTTTTTCTTTTTTGATTTTTAAACTTTTATTGTATCACTCTTATCAAACACACATCAGAAAGCATACCAACCGTGCACCTATGGTAAATCAATTTACAACAAACTGAACAAGGCAATTGTGTTTACAGAAAAAGTCTTCAGCAAACAAGTATGCAATAGAGTCAACTGAAACACATTGTTCATACTTTTTAGGAATATAGGAAGGTGAAAAATCTTTTGCTGTTCAGCAGGAAAAAGAGTCTAAAAGATTTGAATGGAAATCAGAAATTTAGGGATTTGAGAAAATAATTTTTTGGTACTGACACACATCTACATATATAGCCCCATTTAGTTTTTGTTTTGTTTTTGTTTTAAACAAAACCTCACAAACAATGAGACATTGCAAAGAATACAGAACCATAGTGCCAAGAAATGCCAAGATGAATGTGCTACTGAAACATCTGGTAGAAATGTTACAGACAACTATTCACTATGTATTGTAACATTCTTGTGGTTCTGAGGTGAAGGTAAATCAACAGGAGAGATTACTGCTTGTAACTGGCTTTGGTTTAAGCGATTTTTCACATTTTTTTCTAAGCATACCTTCTTATCAAAAATGTAGCAATTACATGTTACTGAGGGAAAATAGTACTAGGTTTTAATATTTGCAACCAACTACTTCAGCTGACACAGGATGCCATCAACTGTTAAAATTTATTGATCATAGTTAGATTTTCTAAGAGTGATCGACAGATAGCAAAGATGGAGCCCTTTTGGGAAAAAATAAAATCCCTTCTACCCCAGATTTGTCACTGTTAAGAGGTTATAAAGGAATGTTAAATTATTTAAGATATTTCAAAAAAAATTAAGAATGGAAGAGTAAGTTATGCTGGAAAAGATATGACAGCTTTACCCTAAGCAAAGTAAATCATCTACAGAGATGCAGCTTAGCTTTTTTTATTACAATAAACATACTTCCATAAGGTGCTGTAACTGTGCAGCTAGTTCTTTTCTTTGTACAAAATTATTTTTACTGAATGTTTCACTCATCTATGCTTTTTCAAGCTTCTATTGTTAAGACACATTTTTTAAAAAAAAATTAGACTTGGGAGAAGTTATAATATAGGCAAACACAAGTTATTGTGTAACCTAGTATCATCAATTCTTCATTTATTGAAATTCTTTTGTGTCTTAGTAATCAATTATTCTGTGGACAGACAACTTTTTTTTGAGATCTCATGTTTCTTAGTCTGTTGTGTGCTGCTGTAACAGATTACATTGAGACTGAGTATTTGTTTGGATAGAAATTTATTGGCTGACATGTCTGGAAGCAGGGAAGTTCAAGATTAAGGAGACAACATCTCCTGAAGTCCTTCTTGCTGTGTCATCCCATGGTGGAAGGCAGAAGGGCAAGACAGAGCAAGAGGGTGCCCAATTCACTCTTTTATAACAACACCAATACCACCTATGAAGGCAGAAGCCCTCATGGCCTTATCATCTCTTAAAGGTCTCATCTTTAAATATTGTTAAAATGACAATTAAATTTCATAAGAATATGATGAATTCAGAATATGGAAAAGAATGAAGATCATCGACATTCAGGAGATAGTTGAAACCCAATCCAAGAATTCTAAGCAATAAAATAAAATGATACAGTAGATTATAGGTGGAATGTCTATTTTAAGAAAGAATCAAAACGAGCTGATAGAGCTGAAAAACTCACTTCAAGGACTTCAGAATACCATCCCAAGTATTAACAGCAGAATCCACCCAGCTGAGGAAGGAATCTCAGAGCTTGAAGGCCTACTCCCCGAATTAACTCAGTCAGACAAAAATAAAGAGAAAAGAATAAAGGGGAATGAATGACACTTCTGAGAAATATGTGATTATGTGAAGAAACCAAGTCTGTCACTCACTGGCGTCCCTGAAAGACAGGTAGAGAAAACAAGCAACTTGGAAAACGTACTTCAGAATATCATCCATGAAAATTTTCCCAAACTTACTTAGATTTGAATCAACATTCAAATTATGGAAATGCAGAGAACAAGATACTACGTGAGAAAACAATCTGCAAGACACATAGTCATCAGATTCTCCAAGGTTAAAATGAAAGAAATACTATAATACTAAAGGCAGCTAGAGAAACATGGCAGTTCACTTATAATGGAAGCCCCATTAGGCTAATAGCAAAATTGTCAGCAGAAACCTTAGAAGCTAGCAGAGATTAGGGGTCTATATTCAGCATTCTTAAAGAAAAGAATTACTAAGAGTTTTTTTTTCTTTATTAGTCTAGCTAGCCAAGCCAAGCTTCATAAACAAAGGAGGAATAAGATACTTTTCAGACAAGCAAATGCTAAGGAATTTCATAATGACCAAATAACTACCAGAACTGCCTTACAGGAGGTCCTTAAGGGAGTGCTAAACATACAGGAAACACTATTATTAGCCACTACAAAAACACACTTAAGTACATAGAACAGTAACCCTGCAAAGTAAACATGTAAACAAGTCTATATAATAACATCTGACAATATCATGGCAGGAACAAATCTTCACATATCAATACTACCCTTGAATGTAAATAGGTTAAATGCCCCAATTAAAAGGCACAAAATTGTAAGTTGGATAAAAAGCAAGACCCAGTGGTATGCTGGTTTCAAGAGATCCATCTCACGTGCACTGACACACATACACTCAAAGGAAAAGGAGTGGAGAAAAATGTACCAAGCAAAGAGAAAACAGAAAAAAGCAGGGGTTCCTATTATAATTTCAGACAAAACAGACATTAAAACAACAAATATCAAAAAAAGACAAAGAAGGATATTATATAATGGTATAGAGCTCATATCAACAAGATGATTACAAGAAGATCTAACTATGCTAAATATGTCCACATGCAACACGGGAGCACCCAGATTCATAAAGCAAGTTCCTAAAGACTTATGAAGAAAGAGACTTCAATAACCGTAACATAATACTGGAAGAATTCAATACCCCACTGACAATATTTGACAGATCATTGAGGTACAAAACTAACAAAGATATTCAGGACTTGAACATAACATTTCACCAAATGGACCCAACAGATATCTATAGAGCACTCTACCCCAAACAACATTATATACATTCTTCTCATTTTCACATGGCACATACTCACGATCATATAAAACAATGCTCAGCAAATTAAAAAATAATAATAAATTGAACCACATTCTTACAAAATAGTGAAATAAAAATAGAAATCAATACTAAGAAACTTGCTCAAAACCATATAGTTACATGGAAATTAAACAGCCTGCTCCTGATTGACTTTGGGTAAATAATGAAATGAAGGCAGAAATCAAGAAATTACTTGAAACTAATGAGAAGATGCAACATACCAGAATCTCTGGGACAGAGATAAGGCAGTGTTAAGAGGGAGGTTTATAGCACTAAATATCCACATTAAAAAACTAGAGAGATCTCAAATTAGCAACCTAATGTCACAACTAAAGGAACTAGAGGATCAAGAGCAAATCAACCACAAAGCTAGCAGAAGAAAAGAAATAACTGAAATCAGAGCTGGATTGAAAGAAATTGAGATATAAATAGCCACATAAAAGATCAACAAATCCACAATTTGGTTTTTGGAAAGAATAAATAAGATAGATCACTAGCTAGACTAACAAAGAAAAACAGAGAGAAGATCTCAAATAACACAACCAGAAATAAAAACAAAGTATATTACTACTGACCCCACAGAAATACAAAAAGATCTTCAGAGGCTACTATAAACATCTGTGTCCACACAAGCCAAAAGAAATGGATAAATGCCTAAACACATACAACCATCCAAGATTGAACCAGGACAAAATTGAATCCCTGAACTGATCAATAATGGATTCTGAAAGTAAATCAATAATAAAACGTGTACCAGCCAGAAAAAACCCAGGACCAGACATATTCAAAGCCACATTCTATGAGACATATAAAGAAGAGCTGGTACCACTCCTACTGAAATTATTACAAAAGAATGAGGAGGAGAGATTCCTCCCTAACTCTTCTATGAGGCCAGCATCATCTTGATATCAAAACCTGGCAGAGACACACACACAAAAAAGAAAATGTCAAGCCAATATCCTTGATAAAATAGTTGCAAAAATCCTCATCTATGCAAAATCCTTTTGAATAGATGCAAAAATAAGAGCTCCAAACCCAACAGCACATCAAAAAGCTAATCCACCACAATCAATTAGGATTTTTCCCTGGGATGCAAGGTTGGTTCAACAAATGTAAGTCAATAAATATGATTGACTATATAAATAGAACCAAAACTAAAAAAACACATGATCATCTCAATAGATGAAGAAAAGGCATTTGATAAAATTCAACACCCCTTCGCATTAAAAACCCTCAACAAACCAGGAATTGAAGGAACATATTTCAAAATAATAAGGGCTCTCTATCAAAAACCCACAGTGAACATCATACCAAATAGGCAAATGCTGGAAACATTCCCATTGAAATCTGGAAGAAGACAAGGATGCACTCACTCACCACTCCTATTTCACATAGTACTAGAGGTATTTTACTAGCCAGAGCATTCAGGCCAGAGAAAGAAACAAAAGGCATCTGGATAGCAAAAGAGAAAGTCAAACTATCCTTGTATGCAGCCAATATGATGTTATACCTAGAAAACTCCATAGTCTCTGCCCCAAAGCTCCTAGATCTGATAAACAACTTCAGCAGTTTCAGGATAAAAACTCAACATACAAAAATCAATAGCATTTCTATACATCAGCATACAAGCTGAGAGCCAAATCATGAACACAACACAGTTCACAATAGCTACAAAAGGTATAAAATACCTAGGAATATAGGTAACCAGGGAGGTGAAAGATCTTTACAATGAGAATTACAAAACCCTCCTCAAAGAAGTCAAAGATGACACAAATGGAAAAATATTTCATTCTCATGGGTAGGAAGAATTGATGTTGTTAAAATTGCCATACTTTCCAAAGCAACTTACAGATTTAGTGCAATTCCTACCAAACTACCAATGATAGTCTTCATAGAATTAGAAAAAAAACTACTATAAAATTCATATGGAGCCAAACAAGAGCCCAAATAGCCAAGGCAACCCTACTTAAAAAAAAAATCAAAGCTGGAGACATCACATTACCCCTTTTTAAACTACACTGTAAAACTATGGTAACCAGAGCACCATGGTACTGATACAAAAACAGAACCATAGACCAATGGAACAGAATAGAGAACCCAGAAATAATGCTGCACATGTACAATCAATCTTCTTTATACTGTATACAAAAATTAACTCAAGATGTATTAAAGACTTAAATGTATAACCTAAAGACATAAAAACCCTGGAAGATAACCAAGGAAATAAATATAATTCTGTACATAGGCCCTGGCAAAGTTTTCATGATAAAGACCCCAAAAGCAAGTGTAACTGAACCAAAAATTGACAAATGGGATCTAATTAAATGAA
Source organism: Homo sapiens (assembly GCF_000001405.40). Classification (NCBI taxonomy): domain Eukaryota; kingdom Metazoa; phylum Chordata; class Mammalia; order Primates; family Hominidae; genus Homo; species Homo sapiens. The sequence goes on from NC_000002.12 coordinate 184,884,867, forward strand.
AGAGCTTTGTACAGCAAAAGAAATTGTCAACAAAGAAACAGACAACCTGCAGAATAGAAGAAAACACTTGCAAACTATGCATCTGAAAACAGTCTAATATCCAGAATCTGTAAGGGAGTTAAACAAATTTATAAGAACAAAAGCAAACAACCCCATTAAAAAGTAGGCAAAAGACACGAACAGACACTTTGCAAAAGAAGATATACACATGGCCACCAAGCATATAAAAAATGAACATCACTAATCATTAGACAAATGCAAATGAAAACCACAGTGAGATACAATTTCACATTAGTCAGAAAGGCTAAAAATCAAAAAAACGACAGGCTCTAGCAAGGTTGCTGAAAAAAGGGAACACTTATACACTGCTCGTATGAAGGTAAACTAGTTCAACCACCGTGGAAAACAGCTTGGTGATTTCTCAAAGAACTGAAAGCAGAATTAACCTTTGACCCAACATTTTCACTATTGGGTATACACTCAAAGGAATATAAACCTTCTACTATAAACGACACACATGCTTATGTTCATCACAGCACTATTCACAATAGCAAAGACAGGAAATCAAGCTAAATGCTCATCAAAAGTAGAGTGGATTAAAAAAATGTGGTACATTTACACCATGGAATCCTACACAACCACATAGAAGGATGAGATCATGGTGTTTGCAGCAACATGGACAGAGCTGGAGGCCATGTATTAGTCTGCTTTCGTGCTGCTGATAAAGACGTACCTGAGACTGGGAAGAAAAAGAGGTTTATTTGGACTTATAGTTCTGTACGTTCTGAGGAGGTCTCAGAATCATGGCTGGAGGTGAAAGGTGCTACTTACATGGCGGCAGCAAGAGAAAATGAGGAGGAACCAAAGTGGAAAACCCCAGTAAACCCATCAGATCTTGTGAGACTTACGCACTTTCACAAGAACAGCACAGGAAAGACCGGGCCCCATGATTTAATTACCTCCCCAAGGATCCCTCCCACAACATGTGGGAATTCTGAGAGATACAATTTAAGTTGAGATTTGGGTGGGACACAGCCAAATCATATCATTCCAACCGTGGCCTCTCCAAATCTCATGTCCTCACATTTAAAAACCAATCATGCCTTTCCAACCGTCTCCTGAAGTCACAATTCATTTTAGAATTATGCCAGAAGTCCACAGTCCAAAGTCTCAACTGAGACAAGGCAAATGCCTTCCATCTATGAGCCTGTAAAACCAAAAGCAAGCTAGTTTCTTCCTAGATACAATGGAGGTACAGTTATTGGGTAAATACAGCCATTCCAAATGGGAGAAATTGGCCAAAACAAAGGAGTTACAAGGCCCGTGCAAATCTTAAATCCAGCTGGACAGTAAAATCTTAAAGCTCCAAAATGATCTCCTTTGACTCCAGGTCTCACATCCAGGTCACGCTGATGCAAAAGGTTGGTTACCATGGTCTTGCGCAGCTCGGCCCCTGTGGCTTTGTTGGGTACAGCCTCCCTCCCAGCTGCTTTCACAGGCTGGCATTGGAGTGTCTGTGGCTTTTCCAGGCACACAGTGCAAGTTGTCAGTGATCTGCCATTCTGGGATCTGGAGGATGGTGGCCCTCCTCTCACAGCTCCACTAGGCGGTGCCCCAGTAGGGACACCGTGTGGGGGCTCCAATCCCACATTCCCTTTCTGCACTGCCCTAGCAGAGGTTCTCCATGAGGGCCCTGCCCCTGTGGCAAACTTTTGCCTGGGCATCCAGGCATTTCCATACATCTTCTGAAATCTAGGCAGAGGTGCCCAAACCTCAATTCTTGACTTCTGTGCACCTGCAGGCTCAACACCATGTGAAAGCTGCCAAGGCTTGCGCTTGCACCCTCCAAAGCCACAGCCCAAGCTGTATGTTGGCCCCTTTCAGCCATGGCTGGAGCAGCTGGGACACAGGTCACCAAGTCCCTAGGCTGCACACAGCGTGGGGGCCTGGGGCCTGGCCCACAAAACCACTTTTTCCTCCTAGGCCTCCAGGCCTGTGATGAGAGGGGCTGCCATGAGGGTCTCTGACATGGCCTGGAGATATTTTCCCCATGGTTTTTGGGATTAACATCAGGTTCTTTGCTACTTAAACAAATTTCTGCAGAAAGCTTGAATTTCTCCCCAGAAAACGAGATTTTCCTTCCTATCATATAGTCAGGCTGCAAATTTTCCAAACTTATATTCTCTGCTTCCCTTATAAAACTTAATGCCTTTAACAGCATCCAAATCACCTCTTAAATGCTTTGCTGGTTACAAATTTCTTCTGCCACATACTCTAAATCATCTCTCTCAAGTTCAAAGTTCCACAAATCTCCAGGGCAGGGGCAAAATGCCACCAGTCTGTTTGCTAAAACATAACAAGAGTCACCTTTGCTCCAGTTCACAATGGGTTCCTCGTCTCCATCTGAGATTACCTCAGGCTAGACCTTATTGTACATATTGCTATCAGCATTTTGGGCCAAGTCATTCAACAAGCCTCAAGGAAGTTCCAAACTTTCCCACATTTTCCTGTCTTCTTCTGAGCACTCCAAACTTTTCCAAATGCCTATTACCCAATTTCAAAGTTGCTTCAACATTTTCAGGTATCTTTTCAACAAACCCCACTCTTGACACCAATTTACTGTATTAGTCCTTTTTCACACTGTTGATAAAGATGTAATTGATACTGGGAAGGAAAAGAGGTTTAGTTGGACTTACAGTTCCAAATAGCTGGTGAGGTCTTGGAATCATGGTTGGAGGTGAAATGCACTTCTTACATGGTGGTAGCAAGAGAAAACGAGGAGGAAGCAAAAGCAGAAACCCCTGATAAACCCATCAGATCTTGTGAGACTTATTCACTATCACAAGAACAGCACAGGAAAGACTGGCCCCCATGATTCAATTACCTCCCCCTTGGTCCCTCCCACAATACATGGGAATTCTGGGAGATACAATTCAAGTTGGGATTTGGGTGGGGACACAGCCAAACCATATCAGGCCACTATCTTAAGTGAGTTAACACAGGAACAGAAAACCAAATACCACATGAAGTCACTTATAAGTGGGAGCTAAACATTGAGTATATATGGACACAAAGAGGGAAAAAACAGACACCAGGGCCTACTTGAGAGTGGAGGTTGGGAGTACGGTAACGGTTGAAGAACTACCTATTGGGTACTATGCTTATTACCTGGGTTACAAAACAATCTCAATAAGAAACCTCCTCTACATGCAATTTACCTATATTACAGAACTGTACATGTAACCCTGAACCTAAAATAAAAATTTTTAATGAAAATTTAGAAAATTTTACTATGTAAAAATAATTCTGCATAGAATTTACTTTGGGACATACTTAAATATGATTATTTAATTATGATAATAAGCACATGAAAGTAATTATAAAATTTTCTCCGAGAAGTAAAGCAGAATTTCAAGTGAAGTTATCCATGAATTTTTCCTAACCTCCACCTCAAATTCTACCACTCATTTCCATTCTCTTCCTAGGTTTTGAAAATCAAATGTGTAAGAGATGTAATATATGTGTGGCTATTGAAAAGCACATGCAGAAACCATTTTCAGGATATGGTATGCTGTGCCCTTGGCTCCACTAAAGCATCCACCTTGTTATTTAGATCCCTTGCTCAATTTGGTTCTCTGATCTCTCTGTTGGTATGTATTCTAAGCATAGGCATCTCATCCCAAAGTGATGGATACAAACTTTGAAGAATTTTACCTGAATCTACACTGCAGTGCCATAAAGTTTAAACATCAGTATGTCAGAATCATGGAGTCCAGAACTACTCCTCAGTTCTAAATGCTGCCTAGAAAAAGAGAACAGAGTTTCAGGCACTGGAAACTCAGGGATTTTGCTGTTTTTATTGTTGTTGTTTTACTTATTGGAGGCATAAAAAAGAAGAAAAAATGGTAGAAAAGTTAGAACATGAGAGGGGAAGAGAATACCTATCCTCTGCTTTTCTTAGTAAATCAAATTGCTGTTATACACTGATTTTGTTCAAAGACTAAATTTTAAAGCTATTTACATTTCATGAATTGCTATTTTTCACTTTTTATAAAAAGTGTTTGTGTGTATGTGTGTATAATAAGTTTGTGATCTGAAAAAAAAACGTTTATTTTACCCTAAAAACAAAACTTTTTTCTGTTCTGTGTATGTGTGCATATTTTAGATAGACATCATTTTGCCCTCCACATTATTCACTCCAACATTGTCAACAGCATGTACTTTAGTTTTTGCAAAATTTGTTTAATAATCATGTTAATGGATTCACAATTTCTCTTCATGTATTTTTTTTTTCTTTTTACTTAAACATTTCCCATTGTTTGATTTGAGTTTCTTTCAGTATTTAAATTTTGGGATACTGATACTTTCTTCAGACTTAATTTTTTAACCTTGTTTTAAGGATCTGAAAATGAATATGAAATAGAGAAATTATGTTAATTTTTCTTTGTTTTATAAAATGTACGATAATCTAATTGAGACCTGATGTACTAATTTTCTAGAAAGCAATTTTCAAAATGGTCACACATGTCAGAACTTCTATAAGCAATTTTATTTTTATTATTGTCAAAATAAATATATTTAAGTGCCATGAATCATTTGATTGGAAATTTAATTACTAGTATAAAAATAACACTTGCCTGCATGTTCTGCACATGTATCCCAGAACTTAAAATAAAAAATAATAACATTTGAAATAATTTTTATATTAAAGCTGTAGTATATTAAAAATATGTATGTTAACATGCATATATTCGTTTCTTTAAGTACAGATATAGATATATATTATTGAATATTAAAGCTGCCCACACACATACACACATTTGTGTGTATGTGTTTTGATAGGAAAATCATTGTCACTGCTACTTAATGTTGCTTCTTATTCAATTGCGTGCCTCACTAAGTACATGGTACCTAAACATACACCAGAAATGCACATAAAATACATTAAATTCAAAAATCTATTGAAACATATATCTTAATACAAAAATCATTTTCTTCATATGGTTTTTACTAAGTACGAAACTTAAACATGAAATGATACAATTATTCCCCCATTTTCACACCTGCTTAAATTTTTTCTAAGTGTTTTTGTAACAATTTGGAAAATATTGCCCATTTACTTAGTCCAGGATAACTGCTTGTATTTTTATAAAACAAGCAGATATTAATGTGGAGAGGTTGATACCACTTTAGTGATATTCCTTGGGATAACCAAAGATAACAGTCAGATCATTAGCATGATGAGTTCCAATCAAGGAAAGTATGATTCATGTCACAAAAATCTGCTAACAAAATCCTCCACACAAGGTTAAAAAAACTTCTTTTTATAGCTGACTGGTAATTTTTAAAAATGTTACTGTGTTGCCTTATTCAACAAAAATATTTGCTAAAAGCTTATATGACTTCGTTGATAAGAAGAAATGCTAGATGTTAACCCCCAACTTTATTTTCACCACAGACATTGCTGTGGGCTGCAGAAGCTCATTTGCCCTGGAGTCCTTAAGGAAAGCTATCAACAATGTTGCAGTCCAAATGTAATTCACATAGTAGGTTCAAGTAAGACTGCAAAAGTGAAGTGAGTTCAGTTTCTGTTTCTTAGAAGCAAATGCTTCTTGGAACTGAATGGCACTAAAGAATATATGAGAAGCAAAGAGAAAATGAAAGCACATAGAGGCTTTAGACCTCATTAACCCTGGTTGTATAGGAAGAAGCCATTTTTGCTCAATCATATATATTCTAAATATTTATTTTCTATTTTGTAACTGTAACTCTCCAAGATACTTCACTCTATTTACTAAATAATGATTAATAGTAATCATATTAAAATATAACAGTCCTTGAGAATAAATTGGTTTCCTTCCAAAATTAATTATTCCTTAAAATTCCCTTCAGTTTAAAAAATTGATGTTTGATATAATTATTTAAATATTTTATATCTGATTTATTATATTCTATATCTGGTTCATTATATATTACATATTATATATAACATATAGATTATTTACACTGTAGTATATGTGTCAAATATATGTATTACATATTATACATCTATGTTATTCATATATTATACCCATTATATGTTGCACATAAACGCAGATACCTACACTTAATCAAGGAGGTTTTACACCATGGATACCACCATTGTGAGAACAAAAGATAAAATAGTGAGCAATACAACCACAATCTTGGTTTAGTTCCTCCATTTCCCACAATTAGATCTTGTATTAAAAATTCAAATTAATATAAGCCAGAAACCTTGTTTCTGCAGGCTTTGGAAATTTACCTTTCTTTAATGCCAAGCTGACGTTCTCCATAGGTCCCACTATGGTTGTCAGCAGGAAGTTTATTTTTCCTGCCCCCTGAACAAAGTATTGCAATGATTTCTAAAATATGGTTAAATATTTACAAAGCTGCCTGGATCGTTCTTTGTCACTTTAGTCTTGTCTATACTCTGGTTTTACTCCTGGCATCTGAACTCAGAGTATCTTCTTCAGACAGTTATGTCTTCCACTCCATTACATTATACCAATGTTGGCAGGGTGCTCTACAGAAGTCTTCTAAACTTAGTTAAAATCATAATGGAATGCTTAATAAAATTTTACTGCATTCTGCTATTTGGAAATAATAGAAAGAAATTACAGAGTAAAAAAGAAAAACTCAACATGTCTATTTGACATATTATTTCTGATGTTTACAGGTCTGTAGGAAACCACTGTTATTCTTTTTTTCTCAGCCTCCACTCTACTTGACAAAGGGTCCACTTTTTTCTCTGATTTCAAAGCACAGTCCTATGTTCTTTCTACCTAGACTCTAGGGTACTGAAACTAAATTAATGGAAAACATATTTTTTGTTTGCTAGTCTTGTCCATATTCTTTATATACCTAACAATCGACAAAGAATTAACTTTATCCAGTATTAACAATATTTACATTTTAAAGAGGAATAGTGTCTTTCTTAGTTATCTAAAAGCTCATTAATTTAAAATTATAAATTGACGTGACCTTGACCAAACCATTAGTCACATTGCAGTGTTTATCCTAAAAGAAAAAATTACGTGATATCAATATTTCTAGAAAAACCAAAACTGCTTGTATTAGAAAAATGTGCTCAAGTTGTGGAAATAACAGAAAGAAATTACAAGGAGAAAAACAAAAGACCTATTTGACAGTTTACTACTGAATTCTTTATACGTGGGTAACATAGGTTTTCTGCAGGAACTTGCCTTACTTCTCTTCATCAATGTTTATTTTATAATTATTAGTTTTGAAAACCAAAGCAACATTTCCACACTAATTTTGCTCTTTTCAATGAGATTCTATTACAAAGAATATTAATATGTCACATAGAAAGGAATTTTCTCTCAAATTTTTATCACCTAATAAATATTTGGTGAGAAAAGTGTTCCTAAAATACCAAACTTTGTTCAGTAATTTTAGCGGAGCCCAGCCCCATGGTGTGTCAGCAGTCAGAGTTAGAGAAAAACAAGGGTAATGTGCATTTTTTGGGTTGTTGAAAGACTGTGTGGGCTCAATGAGAAAGGGTGAGAAATGACAGAAGAGGAAAGATACCATTAGCATTTTTCGCTTCCACCTTCTATTCCTCACATTGTTGTGTTCTTTTTTTTTTTTTTTTTTTTTTATGGAGTCTTGCTCTGTTGCCTAGGCTGGAGTGCAGTGGCTCGATCTCGGCTTACTGCAACCTCCGCCTCCAAGGTTCAAGCGAACCTCCTGCCTCATCCCCCCAGTAGCTGGGATTACAGGCACGCGCCACCATGCCCGGCTAATTTTTGTATTTTTACAATATACAGGGTTTCGCCTGTTGGCCAGGCTGGTCTGGAACTCCTGATCTCAGGTGATCCACCCAGGCCAGCCTCCCAAAGTGCTGGGATTACAGGTGTGAGCCACTGCACTCAGCTGTGTTCTTTATTTGAAAGCAAATATACACACAAACCTGACGTCCTTACCTCATGTCTCTTTATCATAAGGGTGTTTTAATTCTGCCTGGTTGTATTTATGATTATATTTTGTTCATTATTGCCTGTGTTATAATCAATATTGATGGTTTCATTGTTTTTTCATAAAGAAAAATTATATAAAGGAAGGCTAGAGCCTAACTTTTGAGTTAAAAATAATATATCGTATTTTTCCACTGTAACTGGATAAACATTTATCACACCTAAAGTTTAGAAACACTCTGTAAAATATGCTGTGATAGTCACTTGAAGATATTTAATGTTTTATTTTCAATTTAATATATAAAACATTATCTACAAGTATATATTAAAATATTCTCATCCTAAAAATTAGAAAACATTATTATGTAAAAAGTAAACATATTTACCTGTTGATAATACTTTTTAAATGTGTTTGCTCCCTGATATATGAAAAATTTGGTAAGGTAACTTGATTTAGTATGAGTCCTAACCAACTTAGGACTCAAAGTAAATTGCTAATCGTTTATCTATTCAGTTGTTGTTTTAATGCTTAGATCATTATAGAAGTATTTCTTAATTTACACCCTAAATTTTCAAACACTGAGTTTATATGCTTGTAAGATTAATTTATTTTGTTGTAGAAGTATATCATATAATCATTTTTATTAAGTCAGCAAATTGCTAGGATCATTATATACATCAAATGTTAAATTTTCAAATGCAAGTATTTAAACTTTTATAAATTAAATTAGTCTCTCAGGGACTAAATTTCACCAATGAAAGATAAGAAAATAAAGATATTCTAAAATATTTCCTAATCTTATTACATTTTTATTTTAAAACTACTAATTAATAATGGATAACATGTTTTAGAATTCTATGTGGAGTACACAACATTTGAAAGGGTTGAATTGTTGATCATATATTGTATGAGTCTTCATAGACTTTGTGAAGATCATGTTTGAGATATCATTGATGAGAGTGTGCATCAATTCGTTGATATATACTGAACTTTTTGTGTTATATTGATGTCTTAGATATAGTTTCACTTTATTCCCTGGAGCAGTGTCTAATTGATACATGGTAACTGATTCTGTAACTCCATACTTTCAAGAGACTGGACGATCTTTAAATATAAGGAAGTAGTAGATTCAGAATGCCTAGCAAGTGCCCATAATGCTGTGCACATAAAATTCTTCTATAAATAAAATTGTCTAATCATAAAACCTTCCAATTTTTTATCATTTTTATGATACTCTGTTTGAGAACAACAATGCATTATTAATTACAAGAAGATCATGTTTTGATATTAACAAGGTGTTCCTAGATTTAAGATATGGAAAGGAAACAAAGCTTACCCCGTTTCAGTTACTGATGCTATAAATAATAAAATCAAAGGTAACAAAACACTGATGCTGCATTAAGCTTTACTCGGTGAAGGGGTATGCCAACCCACATGCCATTAAGAAAAATCAATACTGTTTGTTTAATATGTATTCATATTACTACATATACACCAATTTATTAAATTTAAATGCTACATGAAATTTTTCATATGAATATTTTGTCTCTGAGATGACTTGAATACATATATTTTAATCATTACTGATATATTTGTAGTCATTTTTACTATTAAAAATTTTTTTATTAACGTATTTTTATTGGCATACTTTTGCCCTTTTAATTCTGTTGGCTTGTTTTTATTTATCTCTCTACTACCCTTCCTTTTACTTTTTTGCTAGTTTCAAAAATCTAGATTACACTTTTATTAATTACCCTTGATCTCTAATACACATTTATATATTACTATATTGATAAAATTATTATATATTACACGTTAAGCGAATATACTTATCTTTGTGTATTTACTTAAGATATACTTAATATTCTTTTTTATTTGTTTTTGAGACAGTCTTGCTCTGTCGCCCAGGCTGGAGTTCAGTGGCGAGATCTGGGCTCACTGCAAGCTTCGCCTCCCAGGTTCACGCCGTTCCCCTGCCTCAGCCTCCGGAGTAGCTGGGAGTGCAGGTGCCCGACACCGCGCCCAGCTAATTTTTTGTATTTTTTTGTTTTTAGTAGAGGCGGGGTTTCACCGTGTTAGCCAGGATGGTCTCCATCTCCTGACTTCGTGATCCCCCCACGTCGGCCTCCAAGATTCTTAAGATATACGTAAAAATAGAAGGCTACGATGAAGTTCAAGATTATTTACTGTATCTATTTCCTTTGCCTTCAAATGAAGTACTTTACATCAGGTGCTTCAATGGCACATTGTGGAAATTCATACCAACCTTCTCTCTGTGTAACCTAGAATTTGAGTTCCATCTATTTATAATACACGAAACTACACAACTAGTGTTCTAGTCCAACAAGCTGAAGCATCGGTCTTTTTATGCTCGTGTGTGTGTGTGTTTGTGGGTGGGTGGGGGTGTGTGTGTGTGAGAGAGAGAGAGAGAGAAAATAATGTATTTTTTAACTTGCTATATTTTTTATTTCTATGTATTTTGGACAGAGGACAGGGACCTCAAAGCATGATTAAACAATAACTCAATAACTTAAATATGAATCTTTAAGAAGCATTTTAAGATGGAATTATTGTTATGAACAAAGTCAGCTCATGCTCTCTGATATGCAGATGTTCAAATGAATACTGAATCGTTAATAAAAGCAGAGAGAACACACACACACAAATCTGGCAACTAGGTGCTCATTAAAACAGAAACAGAAATACATAGCAAGCTGTGGTCATTCAAAGAGAATTGTGCTACTTTCTCACTCCATACTAGTCTGAAAACTCAGTTATAATTCTGTGCCTAATCTTTCCCAGAAGGCTCTCAAGTCACTTAATTAAAATGATTCTGAACTAAGAGAAGGAAATGTACTTGCAATTCTCAACTCTAGCAAAGAAATTCCATGGGATTTTACTTCAACCTTGATTTTCTTTTGTTTTCAAATTTAAAGTGTTTAGTAATTTCACTGTAAAAAAGTAAATTTGCAGTAAATCTAAAATGTAGTCTTTAGTTCAGCACTTGAACAAACTTTCTCTTCACAAAATGTATTGTTTTTGCTATGCATTTTAGTCTATGTGGGCATTGACTTTCATTTTAAAAATATATATAGTTCTCTATTCCTTCAGCATGTAATAAAGTTTAATTAGAAATATGTATGTTTTAACATAAAAACACATTGTGTTATTCATACTATAAACATATATGAATAAAATACTGAAATCTAGTTTATTAAAAACATGGAGACATTGTGTAATGTTATTTGCCACGTGTTTTTTTTCTGAAAATTTTTGAATGTTTGAAATAATAAACATGGCTGGATTCTCAAGCCAGACTCACACAAAACACGACCTACCTAGTATCAATCACCCCTAATAATTTCAGGATAATAAGTGAAGCAGTAAGAAATCTGGGGCCTCTAACAGAACTCCCAAGGTGCTCTAACTCCCTATCAGGATGCATTCATGTCCCAAATTTATATATGAAATCTAAATAATATGTGTGATTGGTATCATTTATACATAAAGAGCCACTCATGTCATGAAGCATCTTCATGTTATACTCAGATAGGGGTACAGTTTACCTGAAATTTTCCAGGGAGTCATGGCGCCATCAATCAATAGGTTCCTGCTTCATTTGTCATAGCTCATAGCCAATAGTGAATAATCAGTTTCATCCTGCCAAAAATTTTCTGTAAATAAAAGCTCTGGTATCTTGTTAGCAAATACCATTAGCCTGATTGCCAGGAGGTCTGTCATTAGCATGTTTATAATGAAATTTGACAGGATTGGCCTGAATTTTCTTATTTTGAAAACCTGTACCTTAGCTATTTTTCTCATATAGACAAAACACCATTGGTCAATATGGCAGTTTTAATTCTTTCTTTACAAGCAGTATATTTTTGTTTTCTTGTTTGCTAGATTAGTTTGTCAATACAGTTAAATGTAGAATAAAAGTCATCCTTACATATAAAAATAATAGATACATCGAAATTCAACATTACAAGTGGTATTTGCTGTGCATTTGGGTTTGATATTCTTTATCAGGCAAGCGAGTTATCTTCTATTCCTTTTGTGAATAGTTTTATTAGAAATATTTCATACATTTTATCTTAAGTTTATATGTGTGGATATGATTATTAATCTCACTTAACTTCTACTTGTGGTGGGTTTTATTGGTTGCTTAATGTTAATTCTGACTTGAATTCCTAGAATAGGTAAAATTTCTCATGTTGTACTATCTTTTTAATATGTGTTAGTAATTGTTAAGGATATTTGTAGTTATGTTTATACAAATGGGTAGTATTAGGTATTTTGTACAATGTCCCTCAACTGGGATTTGCTTAATGATTCTTATGATTAAAATGGGCTATGTTTTGGGGGGAAGAAAAACCACAGAGGAAAATACCAATTTTGTCACATAATATCAAGGGTACATACTATTATCACAAATTGTCATGATTGATTTTGACTTGATTGCCTGGACAAAGTAGTGTGTCAGGATTCCCCAGTGTTTTTTTCCCCTTTCCATACAGCAATTTTTTCCCCTTTCCATACAGCAATTAGTTACTGTTTTTTTTCCCCTTTCCATACAGCAATTTTTGGATTTTTCCCCCCCTTTTTTCCCCTTTCCATACAGCAATTTTTTCCCCTTTCCATACAGCATTTTTTTTCCTGTTTCCATACAGCAATTTTTGGATGGAGTCACTCATTATGTGTAGCTCATACTTAATAAGTAAAGTATTATGATCTACCTCCTCAAAGGAAAGTATCTAAATAAATAATTTGGAAATTGTCTTCCTAGGGAATTTGATCTTTCTCCAACACTTTTTTATTTCAATCATTAATTTATATTAGCATAGACATTCATCTTATACTTTGGTTTGCAATCTAATACTACCATATTTTCTTGCTCAAATTATTCCAGCTTTGGCCATTAGGAACTCTTTCCATTGTTTTTTGTATTCCTTTAACACACCCCCATACTTCCATCATTATAGTTTCTTTGTTTCTTTATTTGTTTTTAGAAGTTCCTTTCTTTAGGACGCTAGAGTATGGTCTAGGCTCTTTATTCCGTGCCTCAAACCAAGAATCAGCCATTTCTTCCAGGAGCCCTGATGACTTTTGCTGGAGAATGTTAGTACAAACCAAGATCTGGGCTCTAGGTCTGTTCCTTAACATTTCAGGGTTATTGCTAAGCTTTTCAGCTAAGACAGCTTTTTATTTTCTTACTGTAGAGGTTAAAGAGTTCATTGTATATTTGGGGTACAAATCATAAACCATTTAAATGTTTTGTTATTTTAATTTAACATCTAAACATGTCAGTTTTTATTCTTGAAAAGACACTATACTTAACCCTGTGTTATTAATGTATATACAGATAATAAAGAATGGTAGAGCATTAGAAATTTCTTGTATGGGCTTTTGTGATTCTATCTGCACATAAGTGAGTTATATTCTCATACTTTGTATAAACTGCAAAAACAATGTGAAGCTACTGTAATAGTGAATATAACAGTGATGAACAGTGAAGAAAAGAGTGTTTTTACTCTCCTTTCCAGTTCAATAGCTCTTTACTTGGAAGTCTGTGGTAAAAATTACATCACCTGCTTGTGGAATATAGAACACCAACTCCAAAGTAACAGTTTTCGTTATCTATATTCACTGCCTTTCCAGTTCATACCTATACTAAGCCTGGGGACGTGATAAAGCATTCCTGAATTCAACTGCAAATTGTTTACAAAGTATAAGAAATTGTTATAGATAGTAAGAAATAGAATAAAGGGTCTGAAGAAGAATTTGGAAAAACTCACTTTGTTTATATTTTACCTTTCTCTAGATTGAATATAAGTGGCTTATAAAGATAGAACTTGAAAATAATTAATAATTTACTTTTATACAGGACACAATCTTCTTAAGGACAGGATAATATATTAATTGTATTGTTTTCTCATCATCTAACTCTTCTTATTTCTTCCAAAGAAGAAATATCTATGAAAAGTACTTCCATGTTTAGTCATTTCTAGTTTTAAAAGTGTGAAAAATGTTGATTGTTTACAACATAAATTTTTTACATGCACATGAAATGGTAAAAGTTGTAATTGTGTAACTATTTTATGATAATATTTACAATTAGTGGTCATTATAATGTAATTAATAAGCCTTGTGTTTGTAAGTGTGGTTAAACATATTTTTGTACTAAATATGTGTTTGATTTTATATTCATTAAAATACTTATTCAGTGGTGGTAAGATTATTGAATTTTTTATATAATGACAATCACCATGTTCAAGGATTTGACTTAATATAAGATACATGGTTCGTATTAATCATCTTACATGGGCTTCTGTTTTCTATTCTAATTAGTCTACTAGAAGTTCTAACTTCTCAAAAGCCTATTTTATATGTATTTAAATATAAGATGTATATGTGTGACTATTTGCAGGCATCAAATCTTGGCTTTAGTAGTTTTAACAATAGGCAGATCACTCATTGAAGTTTGTGTCCCACAGACTTGAGAGGCATAGAAGTGCATTTATTGCTCCAAAATGTATTTTTAATAGGATAATTTTTTAAATGTATAGAATCTCTTTTTTACTTGCTAACTGATGAATGAAATTTGTGAATGAATTAGTCACACTCGTTTTTCAAAAGTGTGGTCTTTTTCATGGGTGTTCAAATGCAGATGGCATGGATTCTAGGGGATTTAAAAAGAAAAATTTTGTTTTTCTAAGTAGAAAATGTTAGTTGAAACCCTTTAGAAGAAGCTATGTTCTACAATAAGAAAGTAGAAAGAAAAATATACTTGCATATTTAATCCTCTTATAATAGTCTAGTTCATTCTAAAATAAATTGAAAAAGTAATACTTTCAAAGTTATGAGTAACATTTAAAATACATCTTTATACTTATTATTTTTTATTTTAAAATTTGAATCTTATTTGTTTCTGTTTAAGGTGAATATAAATAAATCAAATAATATATTGTTAATGAAAGTCAAGTGCAAATAATGCCTTGTGTTCTCACAAATTGATATAACTAAGCATTTAGATTGTCGTTTTTCTAATGTTGCAAAAGTAAAGTTTTTCTTTAAATAAAAGAAAATGAGATACATTTTTAAGATAAATACAATTATTTTTATTTATATTTGCTAGTTCAACCCATCTTCAAATAAAAGTAGCAAATACTAAAAAATGCTTGAGTAATTTAAGAAACTTTTGGAAATAATAAAAATTATAATTCAGTTTTAAAATAAATAGAATCTAAGAAAAATTTTTACATGAGAGAAAATGGCAAATGTGGTGGGTGAATGTCCAGCCCAGTTTAATCAGGACATCAGCTCTGATTCTCTGCAAATATCTCAGTCTTTTCATCTCTGCTATTTTATCCTGCTAGCTTTGCTCATGTCTGTTTTCTTATTCATCTCTGGTGGAAGATATTAGTTCCCTTCTCTTTGAAAACAAAATGTTTCACATTATGGGATATATTTAGGTACAGTGCCCCCCTTGAGTGTTATACCACAGAAATGCTGCGTATCAATGGTGCTACATATAAATCCCTGAATTTAAAACTACGCGAAGAAGAGTGAGGAGGCTAATTCGCTTAAATCAATCTAGTCATATTCCAAGTGTATAGACAGGGGTAGATCACCACAACACTACATACCTGTTATACAATTTGGCAGGGGAATAAATATTTCAGAAACAGCTGTAATATCAGTATTTTTTTCTTCTTTTTAAATAGTTCGAACAATTGCTTGCTATTTTCTCATGTCCTGGGTGTATTAATGTAGGTCCTAAAAAACAGAAGCCAAATAAGATTAAATATTCAAAAGATTTATTGGGGAAAATGTCATGAAGAATCTATATATAGGGCAGTTAGCCAGAGAAGACTGGGAATGCTTTGGGGACTGTGATACAGGACACAGATTTGACACTTGTAAAAGAGAGCGAAATGAAATGGAAGAAGAGTGGATTAGAAAAGTCCATCAGATCCTCCGCTGGTCAGTACTGCCAGTGCTCCCAAGGGGGGTAATACACATCTGTCTGTATCCAAACAAAAATGCATGTCTTTCATACTTAGCTTTTAACTCTTTGTTAATGACTCCCACTTTTTCACTGTCCCTTTGTAGGACTTCAATGCAACCTAGTCGTAACTGGCCAAAGGATGCTGTTCTTGTAGAGATTATTTATTATTTATCTCCATATGCTTGAACCATTTTGTTTGCAGGGGCATTCTCCTCTACCAGTATAGAATCCTTTAAAAATTAGCTCCCATTTTGAGCCAGGAAGTATCCATACATCCTACACTGCTTAAAATGGCATGTAGCAATAGAATCTCTTATAAAACTATCTTAATACCTGTTTCTTAGACCACTCTTGGCATAACTTGTATGTGTTTGCCTACCTCTAAGACTGGATGTGAATGGAAAAAAATACTTATTGGGATAAACGATTACAAAGGATAAAGAGGAGGGAACCAGGGAAGGCAGAGGAAACTTCAGATCATAATGCAGGTCTGAAACTTGTTTAGAAGAGAGTGAAGGGAAGGAAAGAGAATTGAAAGAAAGTTTTGGCCAGGCTTATATGGGACCTTTACATCAAAGTCATCCACTGCAAAAGTCCTGGCAGTACTTGTAGGAATGCTTCTACATTAGTAATGACATGAGAGAAGTTGGTGGGAAGCATGACTTCAGCATGAAAGTGGCAATAGTTCTTCAAGGCAAACATCTGGGGTCATAGGTAAATTATACTTTCCTCAGCAGGAGATCCAAATGGTGAATTTTCATTGCCATCATTCTTGGTAATAATCCCTAAGTGCATCAATAGTTTGTCATGATATGAAAGGCTTTTGTGATTTAATCAACCGTCATTGAATATTTTTGCTCTAAATATTATTGTAAATTCCAGAAAGCCATTCGTGTGTATTAATAATCTAGGAGGTAATGCATTTTCTTCTTTATTTCTCCTTTTATATGTTTTGCTAATTATAAACCTTGGTCTTAGAAATTGTTAGATAATAATAATATTTTTCAAAATATAAATGAGATTTGAAGTGACTTATCCATATGTATTTATATATATGAGTATATATATAATATCACATGACGCTTTCTTATTTTCCATTTGTATACATATTTTAACTTTTTTAAAATCTCCAAATTATACACAAATTTAGCTACCTTTTTCTTCAAATTATACTTAAAGACAGTGCCAGGATGCAGCTCATACAAGTTTTGTCATCAGGTGTTGGAAAATATTTTTTATGGTAAAAAAATATGTACTTAGAATTAGCTAGACTCAGTTTAGCTTATCCTAATTTTATTGGCAACATCCAAACAATCATTGTCAGGAGCCAGTTGAACATATGTATTCTCTTTTTTAGGCCTGATCAGGGTGTGGACCTTGGCCACATCAGTCTTATAGAGCTTCTTCATAGTCAGTTTGATCTTGTGCTTGTTGGCCTTGACATCCTCAATGAGCACAACTGTGTTGTTAGCTTCGCTCTTCATGGCAGAATCAGTGGTCAGGGGGAACTTGATGATGGCATAGTGGTCATACTGGTTTCTCCTGGTGCTCTTCTGAGATATTTGGGCTGCTTTGGAGCCTCAGTGTCCTGGGCCACCAGAAGGTGGGTGATGTGTGGATCATCTTTATGTGTGCCTGTAGATGCCTTCTAGCACTGCATTCTTGGCCTTCAAATTCTTTGCTTTCCTTTGACTTTGGCTTTGGGAGGACCAGGAGCCTCTTTCATGACCTTCCCCTTTTAGTGAAAAGGGTACTATTAAATCTAATATGCTGTGTCTCAGATGCATTTGATTATGTTACTTAGAGTGCTCTTAATGACAATAAAAAATTTTTAAAGAGTATTTCTGGTCTCAAGTTCTGGTTGAGTTGTGCTTCTGAATGTTTTCTTTTTTTTACCTTATAAAAACCATAAATCTTGTGACTGATGTTGTTTCTATTGTCACTGTTTTTGTAATAAGCTTAAGGCCAAATGTTATGAGTTCCATGAAATTCACTTGACATAATTTTGCTATTTTTGAACTGTTGTTTGTGCTAATACTTTGCCTAAGATACTGCCTACTAGGCTCAGCCAAGGAATGTACAGTTACAAGGTTTAAAATAATTATGTCAAATGGATCAAATAAAAAAGACTATACCTTAGGTGTCCCTCATTTAGTAAGCAGTTTCCCTAGAAAAAAATTCTGAGACAATACAGCAGGAACCATGTTCTTAAGAGAGTTTGTAGGTTTTCCACAGCTGCAGCTTTGTCTCAGTAACACAGTAGAAGGTTTGTTTCTCTGTAATACAGATCTATACTCTTCTAGTTTTATCAGTACTTTCTATTTTTCTTATTCTCCACTATCCCCCAACAATTCCTGTGTGTGATTCAATGCTCATCAAATCTGACTCAGTAGAAATCTCCACATATAGAATAAAGATTACTTCAAAAATACAGTCAAGCACCACATCATGACAGTGGACCACATATATAGCAATGACCCCATAAGGTTATACTAACTGTATTTTTACTGTACCGTTTCTATGTTTAAGTATGTTTAAATACACGTATACTTACCATTGTGTTACAATTGCCTACAATATTTAGTGCAGTAACATACTATATAGGCTTGTAGCCTAGGAGCAATAGGCTATACCATAGAGCCTAGGTGTGTAGTAGGTTATACCACCTAGGTTTGTGTAAGTACACTCTATTATGGTTGCACAGTGACAAAATCACCTAACAATGCATTCCTCGCCCAGTTGTTAAGGGGCACATGACTGTAGTATAAGAGTTTGTAACATTTCTGTGCTCCTACTCTAAACCAGAAACTGTGCTAAGTGTTTATAATACTTTAGTTTATTTCATTTTTATAACTTTTTCAGATTTTCTTTTTTAATCACTTCACTGAGGTATGATTGACATATGAAAAGCAGTACATAGTTAATGTATACAACTTGATGAGTTTGGACATATGTGTGCTTCATGTAGCCACCACGATTTATGCTATAAACATATCCATCACTGCCAGAAATCATTCCTACTTTTTTTCTTTATTACTTTTGTGCATGTGACCACTTTTCAAATATGATACATTCAAATATGACAGAAATAATTAAAATTGCCTCTGTTTGCAGATGATGATCTTAAATAAAGAAAACTCTAAAGATTCCCGAAAAAAACCCTGTTAGAGCTAATAAATTTATTCAGTAAACTTGCAGGATATAAAATCAACATATAAAAATTAGTTGTGTTTCTACATGCTAACAACAAACTACTCTAAAAGGAAGATTTTTAAAATTCAATTTGCAACACCATCAAAAAGAATGAAATACTTAGGAATAAACTTAAACTAGGAGGTGAATTACATGTATAATGAAAACTACAAAATACTGATAAAATAAATCAAACAAAAATAAGTGAAACAGCAAAGGAAACAACATTAATAGTTTACTTAATTTTTATTACAATTAAAAAATTTTTATTAATTTTGCATGTTACAGATAAGGAAACTAGTTAAACAGTTAAAGTGTTATAGAATGAGGGCTCTGAACAAAGCTTTGTTAGAACTTAGTCCCATACTGTCAACCATTGTCAGGTGGCATAATTTAGAGGTGCAGATAGAAGCTAAATAGTCGACTAAGTTGCTCAATTGTGGCATGGCATTAGACCTTAATTATACATTTAGTTTCACAGGCACAATTACCACATTATACTTGCCATGACAAAGTATTCTGGGTGTAAAATCTACTTCTTTGGGTAAATGAAGAAAAAATTTATCAACTTAGGAGGAGTTCAAATCTTCTAATACTGTATAACTACCTATAAAAGAAGGGTAAAATTAAGTCCTTAGTTTATTTCTAATCGATCATTAATTAATTTTGAGTCATGACTTAGTCTTGGTGCTACTCCTGTTATATAATCAAGAGAGAGGGCTTGCTTGTAGTCTATCAGTTTTCTTTGAAACTGAGAAATGATATGATTTTTATGAAATATACTATTATCCATTCATATGATATCCAGTCATTGTCTTTATAACTTGAGACAATGCTTTCTTCTGTCTCTATGGATTCACCAACATTAAGTATTATCTATTTACCCATTTATATGAAAGATAGAAATCTTAGTATGGCCTGCAATTTAAATTTTTCACTACTTAATAATTTTTACATTAATTTGAACATTTTAGAAGGACTTAGTGGAATTTATTCTGTTCTGCAACTATAATTATCAAGGCACTATTTCTATGTTGAATCATTTTACACCCAACACTAGATTAGAGTGTCTGTGTGTGTGTGTGTGTGTGTCATTATGATTAAGTCAGTGTTTTTTACAGAACCAAGTCAGTAACTGAACACATAAAAAAAGGAGTGTAATCCTTTGTCATTAAATCCTGCTGCTTAAAAGACACTATCCCTGCTGTCAAGATTCAAAGCACTTCCTTTTAACTTCTTGTAAGCTTTCTTTGATTCTTTTCGATAATACTCAACTACCACTGATTCTTATGTTTAATGTTTTCCTTTCCTTTCTATTTCTTTTTCTTTTACAGTGGTCCTTCCTGACAAGAAATTTCACATTTAGGATAATCATATAACAGCATTTTTTTTTAGATCTGGCATGTTTAAAAATATTATATTTGCTTTTAACATTTGTCTGAGTTTAGAATTCTGGATTCAAATCATTTTCCCTGAGAGATTTGCATGTGTCGCTTTTCTATCATTTAGTGTTACCGATTATCTCAGTTTCATTCTCATTTCTTTTAGGTGATGTGTTATTTTTTCTGTAGTAGAACCAGTATGATTAATACAGTCAGCTATAATATATGTTTGTTTCCAATGTTACTTTTCCTTGAACTGAATCTTCAAGAAAATGGCATAGAGACTCTGTGTTTATGAGTACAATGTGTCTACAGGCATGTTTCCATCTAGGGGGTGATTTTATGGTGAATCTAGAGAAAATGGTCACCTCTACTATTGCTAAATTAGAAGGCCTTTGTTTTTCTGGAAGAGAACCACTGTTCTAGCTGTTCCAATTTAAAATTGAATCATCTGATAATTACACCAAGGCTCATTCATCATTTGTGTACTTGGTGATATAGCTTGCAGATTCAGTGTTCTGGACTGCTATGTTCCTTAGCTGTATTTCTTGTCTATCCAATTTCATTGACCTTCAATGATCCATAGTTCTTCAAATATCAGGTTACCTTCTGGCCAATTCTCTTGGTTGGAAGAACAGTTATGGTTTTAACTTTTAAAAGTGTATTTTGTTGTCATATTTGATCATTGGAAATAAATGGAAAGGAGATATTTGATGTTATCAGACATTTTCAAGTCATTTGAAATTGCTGGTTTTCTCTAAAGGATTCATAAAATAATATACAGGAGGTTAAGTTGCCCCTGTTTTGTCTAACTATACAATATAATCTAAGCATTTGAACACAATATTCAAGCTTTTCTATCCTTATAAGAAATGCATTTCCATTTCTTTTTTCTTTGTTGTTTGTTTGTTTGAGGCAGGGTCTTGCTCTGTCACCCTGGATGGAGTGCAGTGATGCAATCACGGCTCACAGTACCCGCAACCTTCCAGGCTCAAGCAATTATTCCACCTCAGGTTCCCCGAGTGGCTGGGACTACAGGTGCACACAAACAGGCCTATCTAATTTTTTTATGTTTTTGTAGAGATGGGGTTTCGCCATATTGCCCACACTGGTCTCAAACTACTGGGCTGAAGAGATCCATCTGCCTCAGCCTCTCAGAGTGCTGGGATTATGGGCATGAGCCACCATGCCTGGAACATTTCCTTTTTAATGTCATCTTTACTTTATTCTCTGTGGTAGGTGGGATTCTAAGATGGCCATCAAGATTACCAGTACCCCTAATGTATACACCTCATCAATCAGACATTAATTTATTTTCTACTGTGAAGTAATTTTGCGATACAATTAAGATCTCAAATCAGCTAAGTTTAACATTGTCCCATTGGGGCTAATCTAATTCCCTGAGCTCTTTAAAAATGTGGAGTTTTCTGTGGCTGCTCTAAAAAGAGGAAGCCAGAGATTTGAAGCATGAGAAGAATTTGACACATGAGAAATTCCCCAGTGCTGGCTTTGAAGATGGAAGGAGCAACATAACAAAGAATGAGGCAGCATGCAGTAGATAAGGGAGATCTCTGACTGACAGCCAACAAGAAAACAGGTATCTCAGACCTCCAGCCATGAAGAACTGAATCCTGCCAACAACATGAGTAAGCTCAGAAACAGATATTTCTCCAGAGCTTCCAGATGAGAACCCAGTCTTTGATCCCAGTCATATATACCCTGAGGAGAGAACACAGCCACTGTGCCTCACTTTTCATCTATGAAACTGTGACAATCTATGAAACATGGATTATTTTAAGCCATTTAGTTTCTGTTAATTTTTTACACAGCAGTAGAAAACTAGCACATTCTCTCACCATCCTGTATTTGTTATGTTAAACTCTAAAAATTACTTCTACATTCTCATGTCATTGTTTCTGACTTGGAAATTACCTGTGATGGCTCTTCTTTCATCTATTAAAGATTGTTTTCTTCTTGTTTTTGACAATTACACAAAGCTTATTTACAATAATTCATAAATCATTTCTTGGGAATATGCCTCCCTCTTCTGAAAGAAGTATTACATATCCCATATACAGTATATTTTATTCTGTTAAATTTTTATTGCTGAGAGCATTCCTTTTTCCATCACTTCGCCTCTGTAGCACCTTTAATAGTGTTGTATACCCTGGAAATTGACAAATCATATGGTTGAATGAAGTTGTGTCTTGCCAGAAACAAGAACTGTAACAAGTTTAACATACTCCTTCAATGGAGGATAGATTTGAATAGAAACTATTACACTATTGACTCTAAAATAAGGGAATATGATAGAGATTTAGGCTTGCAGATACAAATCGTTAAAGGTTACATCATTTAAACAATAATAATAGCAATAATTATGCCATATAATTGCACATTTTGTAGTTTGAGAAACATTGTCATGTTTTTTATTTTGATTTTCCAAAAAATATAAAATATAGGAAGTTCACATTTGATAGGATACAGATTTCTTTATAATGTAATTTATAAAATCATACAGATATTTGTTAATGAATCCTAGACTGTAGATAAATATTGACACTTAAACCTATTCTCCTTCCAAAGCATCTGATACTGCCCGGTTGTGATATGTTTTTGCTAGAAAATAATTATATCTTGGGTACTATATTAGTTTCCAATTGCTTCTGTAATAATTCATTACAAATTTAGTGGCTTAAACAAAACATTTACCTTACAATTCTGGATGTCAGCAGTCCTAAAGGCAAGGTGTCAGCAGGATTATGTTTTTTTCTAGAGGTGCTAGAAGACAAACTGTTCCCTTGCCTTTGCCAGCTTTAAGGGGTGACCTTTATTCCTTGGATCATGGCCTCTTTCTCCATTTTAAAAGCCAGAAGCAGCCTACCATCATTGAATCTCTCTCTCTTTTTTCTCCCCCACCTCAAGCTCTGCTTCTGCCACCACATCTCCTTCTCTTGACTCAGACTCACTCGTTGATTATAAGGACCCTTTGATTGATTACATACAGCCCAGCATGTAATCTAAGACAATATTCTTCTTTTAAGGTTCTTAAATTAATCACATCTGCAAAGTTACTTTGCCATGTAAGGTAACATGTTTGCATGATCTGGGGATTAGGAAATGAACATTTAAGGGGAACATTATTCTGTCTACCACAGGCATCCATGGGTTAGAATTATAAGATAGCTAATTATCAATAGGTTTATTCAATATTAAGATTAGCAGACTTCTAAAAATCCAGCTCTTCATCAAAGCCACTAAATTTTAAACAGTTCCACATATTGTACTTAAAAGATGAAACAGTATATAAAATGTGCTTTAATGAATTCACTGTTATAATACATATTACTAATAAACAAACAACTCTACAATTTCTTCATGGTTTTACAAAACTGAGTTACGCTCAGAATGCAAATTGCTACTCTGTTATTTCAGTTTAATGTGAGTTATTCTTAAGCAAATATCCAGTAAAGGATTAAAGAACAGATTAGCACTGGAGTCCTAAAAATAAAGGTAAAAAGCATCACTCTCCCTTGCTCTGTGACTTTAAGCAAGTTAACAGCTAACTTCAGTTTTTGGAGGTGAAATGCCACCACTCTATTTTTTTCTTACAGTTTCATAAGTTGAAATTTGTGTACAATAGCTCCTTTGGAAACTGTTCAAACTCATAAGCTGATTAAGTTATGAACTGCTATTTTTTCACTAGGCCTTTTTAGAATTCATCTCTGGACTATTGTAATGTTCTGTTAGGAACAAGTCTGTTTTCAACAGACAGCAACAATGAAATGAGACTGGCTTTGTCCCAACTGGTTTTATCGAGGAAAATGTAGCAAAATTAACAGATGAGTTCAGAAGACAAGTTAAGTACTTTATTAGCTGCTGAGAGCATTTACTTATAATTATTTATATAAATAGGCAAAATTACATGCATTTTAAAATAATTTTAAGCTTATTACAACATAGATGTATGATCCATTGCTGCACAACACATAAATCCAATTGACAAACTAACACAAACAAAATATAAAGTTGTTTTTCTAAAGCATAAAGTGCATTCTAAAGATATCTACCTTCAGAAATTCACTTGACATCTATATTATACAAATGAAATGTCATCATATTTATTGATAAAGAAATATTCCAACTTTAAACTAGTTTAATTTAAAATGTTCATGGTATTTATTCCTTTAAACAATAATGCCACTTTCTTAAATCATAATTTTGAAAAACAGTTATTTTGTCTTAATTTACAAGATAAATTCACCTCTGGGTCAATTTTCTCAATCTCAAATGAGATTTGTATTCAATATGTAGAATTCTACCTTTTGTCTGCAGGGTCTGAATAAGGAAAAAAAAAGAAACTGATATTTAATAAGAAGACAACTGATACTGAGGAATAGGCAGTATATGTGTTTTACATATGTGCTATGCCAAGAGTTTATGTGATCCCTGCAATTGTTCAGATCAAAAGCAATCCTCTGGACTGTTCATGGTTTATTTTTTAAACAAAAGAGGAATAAAACAATGTAGTAGTTTTAGTCTCAATAATTTCATTTTCTATTTTTTTATTTTTAGAGTTTTTAATTTTTTATAATTTTGAATTTTACTTTAGATTCAGGGGGTAGATGTATTTAGATTTGTTACATGTATATATTGTTTGATGCTGAGATTTGATCCCATTACCCAGGTAGTGAACATAGCACCCAACAATTAGTTTCTCAATCCTTTCTTCCCCCTTTAGTAGTTCCCAGTGTCTACTATGCCATATTTTTGTGTATGAGCACCAAATATCTAGTTCCCATTTGTGAGAACATGTGGTATTTCCTTTTCTGTTGCTGCATTAATTTGCTCAGGATAATGGCCTCCAGCTGCATTCATGTTGCTGTAAAGGACATGATTTTGTTCTTCTTTATGGCTGTATAGTATTCCATGGTATAAATATGCCACATTTTCTCCATCCAGTTCACTGTTGATGGACAAATAGGTTGATTCCACATCTTTGCTATTGTGAATAGTGCTGCAATGACCATAACACATGCATGTGTCTTTATCGTAGAGGGATTTATATTCCTTTGGGAATATACCCAATAATGAAATTGCTGAGTCAAATGGTAATTGTGCTTTGAGTTATTTGAGAAATTGCCAAACTGTTTTCCACAGTAGCTGAGCTAATTTACATTTCCACCAACAGTGTAGAAGCATTCTCTTTTCTCCACAGCCTTGCCAGAGGCTATTATTTTTTGACTTTTAAGTAATAGCCATTCTGACTGGTACGAGATGGTATATCATTGTGGTTTTGATTTGCATTTCCCTAATGATTAGTAATGTTGGGCATTTTTCATGTGTTTGTTGGCCACTTGTATATCTTCTTTTGAGATGTGTCTGGATGTGTCTTTTGCACACTTTTTAATAAGATTATTTGCTTTTTGCTTGTTCAGGTGTTCAAGTTCCTAATAGATTCATGATATTAGACCTTTATCAGATGTATAATTTGTAAATATTTTCTCCCATTCTGCAGGTTCTCTGCTTACTTTTGTTGATAGTTTCTTTTGATGTGCAGAAGCTCTTTATTTTAATTAGGTCCACTTGTCAATTTTTGTTTTTATTGAAATTATTTTTGAGGACTTAGTCATAAATTCTTTCCCAACATCAATGTCCAGAATGGTGTTTACCAGGTTTTCTTCTACGATTCTTATAGTTTGAAGTCTTACATCTTTAATAAATCTTGAATTAATTTTTGTATTTGGTGAGAGTTAGGGGTCCAGATTCATTCTTCTGCATATAGCTAGCCAGCTATCTCAGCACTATTAATTGAATAGGGAGTCCTTTCCCCATTGTTTATTTTTGTCAACTTTGTCAAAGGTCAGATGACTGCAGGTGTGCAGCTTTATTCCTGGGTTTGCTCTTCGGTTCCATTTGTCTATGTGTTTGTTTTTGTACCAGTACCATGTTGTTTGGTTACTGAAGCCCTTACAGTATCGTTTGAAGTCTAGTAACATGATACTTCTGGCTTCATACATTTTGCTTAAGATTGTTTTGGCTATTCGGGCTCTTTTTTGGTTCCTTATCCATTTTAGAATAGTATTTCTAATTTTGCAAAGAATGACATTAGTAGGTAATTTGATAGTAATAGCATTTAATCTATAGATTACTTTGAGCAGTATGGTCATTTTACCCATATTGATTTTCTAATTCATGAGCATGGAATTTTTTTTTATTTGTTTGTGTAATCTGTGATTTATTTCAGTAGTGCTTTGTAGTTTTCCTTGTGGAGACCTTTCACCTCCTTGGTTAGACGTATTCTTGGATATTTTTGTGACTATTGTAAATGGAATTATATTCTTGTTTTGCTCTCAGCTTGAATGTTTATTCCTGTATATGAATGCTACAGTGAATAAATTAAAAAACAAATTGTTTTTGTTCTGCATTTTATTTCTTTCTCCCTTTCTTTTTTCCTTTTTTTCCTACAATTTTCCCTTTGAAAATTTTGTTTTATGGTCTGAAAAAATGCTTACACCTTTTGTTTTTACTGATTAAAAATACTTGGATAAAATTGAGATTTATTTAGAAAAGATGAGAAAATCAAAGCATTTGTAATTTTTTAGATGAAATTCACCAAAAAATTCACCATAATAAAGTGAACAAATCAGCGACAGTACATTTACATAGTGTGAACACCATCCTTTTCTAGTTCCAAACTTTCACCTTCACAAAAAACAACTCTCTAAACTTTATACAGTCACTCCCATTTCCCTATAGTCCTAGCACTAGGTGACCAATAATTTTTCTGTCTCTATTGATTTAGCTATTCTGAATATTGCATGTAAATTGAATTATACAGTATATGACCTTTTGTGTCTGGCTTATTTCCCATACAATACAATTTTTTTGTGGTGTATCCAAGTTGTATATTCCTTGGATATATCACAGTTTTGTCCATTTATTATTGATTGGAACTTAAGTTGTTTCCAAATATTGGCTGTTGCAGATAGTGTTGTTATGGTCATTTGTGTAAAATTTTTTGTTTGAATATCCATTTTTCAAACAATTTGGGCATATACCTAGAAATGGAACTGCTGGGTCATACAGTAATTATATGTTTAATTTTCAAGAATCTGCCAAACTATTTCAACAGTGGCTGCACCAATTTACATTGCCAACAGCAATTAACTAGCGTTTCAATTTCTCTACATCCTTGCCAACATGTATTATGTTCTATTCTTTTTTAAAATTAACAATCCTAGTGAGTGTGAAATGGTTTCTAATTGTGGCTTTGATTCACATTTCTCTAATTACTAATGACGTTGCACATCGTTTCACATGCTTACTTACCATTTGTAAATTTTCTGTGGAGAAATGTCTATTTAAGTCTTTTGCCTACTTTTAAAAATTTGGTTGTCTTTTTGTTTACATATTCTGGATACTTGGCCTTTATAAGATACATTATTTGCAAACAATCCACCTATTCTCTACATTGTATTCTCAAAGATCTTGATTTTATCTTTGATGCACACAATTGTTTAATTTTAATGAAGTCCCATTAATATATTTTTCTTTTGTTGCTCATGCTTTTGGTGCTGTATGTAAGAAACCATTGCTAAATCTGAGTCCATGAAGATTTAGCCCTATAATCACCTTTAAGACTTTTATAGATTTAGTTTTATATTTATGTTTTTAATCAATTTTGAGCTAAGTTTTTTAAATGGTGTGAGGTAGATGTTCAATACCATTCTTTTGCAAACTTAGCTTAACTTGTATTCCAAAACTTGCTTTGATATAGCTTTAGACCTCCTTCTTTATGTAGTTATTGTTATAAATTACATTATGTTTACATTGTGTATACATTGGCATAGATTTATAATTATTGGATAATGGCACATAGGAATGAAAGAAGAGTTAAAATACAATTATACTGACTTTTATTTATTTACCTATGTAGTTACCTTTACCAGTGTACTTTATTTCTTTGTATGACTTCAAGTTATTCTCTAGAGTCCATTATTTCAGCCTGAATGGCTTCTCTTGGCATTTCTTATAAAGCAAGTCCACTAGCAACAACTCCCTCAGCTCTTGTTTCTCTGTGAATGTCTTAATTTTTGCTTTATTTCTGAGTATAGTTCTGATAGATACGGTATTCTTGGTTGACAGTTCCTTTTCCTTTTTCCAGGTAGGGGATTGGGACGAGGAGAAAATAAAGTCTCACATGCTTGTTATCTTTTCCTCGATTCAGTGATCATTCAGTTCCTGTAAACCTTTGATTACTTTCCAGATAGATATCCAAGAAGTTGATTCTGATAGTTTTTGATTCTTTGTTTCAGTGTTTCTGTGAAGAGATAAGGCTTTGAAATTTCCTACTCTTCCATTTCCACCAAGGTCACTCAATAATAGTTTCTAAACATCTGAAAAGATGCTTAACCTCACTACTCATGTGCCTGCATGACTCTAGATTCTCAGGTCACATTCTTAAACAGCTTCCTCTGATCATCTTTTAATTATCACCAAGGCTTGTTTCTTGGATTATGGATTGTTTCCGTTCAGATTCCTCAGGCTTATTTGACCCCAGATGCTCAAGTACTACCTTTGGATTCATTCTTCTGTATCTGTGGATGCCTGTGTCAGAACATCTGTGTCCTCCCACGACGTAAACAGAATTTCATATGTCCTGTGGGATGCAGATCAGAGGCTGGATGCAGGTCAGAGGCTCTGGTCTCATTGCCTAGAAAACACAGCTTCTTGGCCTGGCCCATCCTGCCACACATGCATTTTTGAATGATTATTCAACATTAGATTCACTTAGAAGGATACAGGCCAGCATCTTACATGCTTTTCAGTAGGAGTCCTTGCATTCCCACAGTAATTCTAGGGCTCTTTTCTCTGGTATTCCAAGTTACAGTTTAATTGCAGAGAGATGAGATAATGTGGGTGGATGGCTTAGAAGCCCCTCAAGAACTAATACATGTTGTAAGAGGCTCTCTAGGTATAACTTCCATTGTTCTGGCAAGGGACAAACTTAGTTTGTATTTAGGAAAATCCCAGTTATGGCTTCCCACCAAATAATAAATTCTTCACATACTTCTGAGTCCAAAAGCAATTTGAAGTTATTTGTAAACATAACTTACAAATCTTAAGCCAAATTTCCTAATAACAGAAATTGATATTCCACCTTTATTCTGTGTCTAAGAGTTGGAAATCTAAAGTTACACCAGATTTAAATTCCTCCATAAAGAAGGAGAAAACACTTGCTAAACTGTTACAATTAATTTAGTATATATTAAGCAATATATCAATTGTAACTATATATACATAACATTTTTGAAAAAGATAAAAAGAATAAATGATATATTTACACGTATATAGCATAATATTATATTTCTCACAGACCACTACAACTGTGTCTATATATTATTTTCCCATTACATCAAATAAATGATTAAAATGTTAACTAACCCATATAGATTTCATGGTTTTAAAGATCATGTAAGCAATAATTCACTAGATTGATATTATTTGATATGTTGATTTACTTGTGAATGTTCAATGAATTGGGATTATTTGGAATAATCTAGTTATTTATTAAGTCATATATATGAAAATATAATTGGAGTAGTCATGCAGTAGTAATTTTTATTTTGGTTTTACAATAAATCTTATTTTTATATTTCAAATTTAAATTTAAGAAACTCTTATCTGTGTAAAACATGCTAGTCAGAAGAAAATGGGAAATAACATATGGCAGAAAATACAAGTAAAATTATTCCATATTTACTGTACAAAGAGAAATATAATTAACATCTTGTATATTTTCTGGCATTATTACTCTATTCCTATAGATGCAGATACTTTTATTACATTGTAAAAATATTTGCATTTAAAAAATAACATTTTAGTTCAAGAATATCTCAAATATTTTACAGCTATTAAAATTATTGGTAATAGCTGCAAGGTATATCTATATAAAGTTGAGCCATATCTCTTAACCATTCTTCAATCACTGGGCATTCAGTTGTTTGTATATATATTAAAAAATAATAGCATCAATGCCTCTTACACTTGAGTTTCTATTACTCTCACTGTACTATCCAATGTTTTCTTAGCAAATTTTGAAAGCCTCCTATTCTATTAAGAAGTTAATCACTGCCATCCTATGTGAATTCAATTTGAAAAGTATTCATGAGCACTTACAATGCATGAGACACTTCTGATCCAGCACTTAAGAAAATGAACTGAATGGTCAGAAAATCAGTTTTAGACATAACATGCACAGATTGCAAAGACTTTTATATTAGAACTAGAATGAGATTTTGTATACAAAGAGAAACTTGAGTTAATGGAATCTAAAGAACGAGAGGCCTTGGGGAAAGATATTGTTCAGATCTGATATGTCATTAAGAGATTACATGCTTTTAAAGCTGCCATGAGAAAAATCCAAATGATACACATTCATGGTAGTAATGGGAAAGGAAATTTTAAAGAGTCTTCCACAGGTTCATTCAGCATAATGCCATTGATTAAATAATGACTAGAACAAAATTACACATTAATGTGTGATACCATCCACTAGAATATCTTAACCTTCTCTGAAGAAGGATATTTGCTAACATTCTAATAGAATCTTTTGCATAGTGTCATTGAAGAGAGCTAAATTGATTCAGGAAATAGAGTTGGTGATTGAGTTGTAATTCTTTCATGGTATTACTTCTCTACAAGGTAAAAATCATACTTAGGTTTTTCAAAAGCTTGCAAAAAATAGTTCTTGACAGAAACAACTCTCTGGAATTCAAAGGAAGCTTTAAGCCTATGGAAACAGTAATAGTGGATAATATATTAACTCACTAAGAAGAATGAAATTATAACCAAAAATTTTGGAACAAGAGAGTAATGTATTTACTTGTGGTAGGGAAAACACTTAACAAGGTAATTCTTGTTATTAATCTAAATATATATTTTATTTCATACTAACTCACTCCAACTTGAAAGATGGCATTGGAAACATAGACCTTAGAATATAAAAACTTGAAGGGATTTTACATATCATATGAGGAGACAGAAGTCTAAAAATATAAAGAGAATTATCCAGGAACAATATCCAGTAAGTGAATATCTATGATAAGATTACATTCAACTGTAAATAAGAGAAATTTCAAAGTTGACTCTAAAAAGATTGGCCTGGCACGGTGGCTGACGCCTGCAATCCCAGCACTTTGGGAGGCCAAGGCGGGTGGATCATGAGGTCAAGAGATGGAGACCATCCTGGTCAACATGGTGAAACCCCGTCTCTATTGAAAATACAAAAATTAGCTGGGCATGGTGGCGTGTGCCTATAGTCACAGCTACTTGGGAGGCTGAGGCAGGAGAATCGCTTGAACCCAGGAGGCAGAGGCTCCAATGAGCTGAGATTACACCACTGCACTCCAGCCTGGGAGACAGAGTAAGACTCCATCTCAAACAAAAAAACAAAACAAAACAAAACAAAAACAGAAAAAGAAAAAAAAATGCATAGGTAATCTGTCAAAGGCTGATGCTGTAATTCAGTGATGCTATTAAGGACTAGGAATCTATTGATTTTTCTGCTCTGCTTCAATTGATTAAATGAGGCTCACCATATTATGGAGGGTAATCTACTTCACTCAAAGTCTACTGATTTAAATATCGATATTATCTAAAAAATATTTTCACAGTAAAATCTAGACTGGTGTTTGACCAATATATAGATACCATGGACTAGTCAAGTTGACACATGCAATTAACCATCACAAGTTCACCTCCTTCTAAGTTAACCTGGCACCCATACACATCCCTTTAACCCAAAATTAATCTCCAAATAAATGTAATAACAAGGTCACACTCTGTCTAACATGATACAGCTATCCTGCATACAACCCAAAAGATACCAATCCCTTCCCCAGAAGATAATTTAAAGTCATTGGGTAATGTTCACTTTTCTCCTTAATATCCTGTAACTTAAATACTATGATGTAAAATTAACAATACTTAGATACTATGATGTTATTCAATACATATTATGTCATATCATAAAAGGATAAAAAGAAAAACAAATATGTGTGTGTGTGTATACAGTTTATCCCCTTGCAGTTTTAGTTACTCATGGTCAACTGTGTTCTGAAAATAGATGAGTATAGTACAATCAGATATTCTGAAAAAAAGACCATATTCCCAAAACGTATATTACAGTATATTGTTATAATTGTTTATTATTAGTTATCGTTAATCTTACTGTGCCTAGTTTATAAATTAAACTATCATAGGTGTGTGTGTGTGTATATATATAGGAAAATACAGTAAATATAAGATTTGGTATTATATGTGGTTTTAGGCATCCACTGGGGCTTTTGGAATGTATCCCATGCAGATAAGGCATAACTAGCACATACACACACACACACACACACACACACACAAATACTTATATAAAATAAGGAAAATATTCTCATGTCAATTGAAGTCCTCATTTCTGTAACTGGCCACATGGTTATTGCCAGTATTTACAAATGCTTTCTTCTATTACCCACTCCCTTTATCCTCAACAAGCACCTCAATTGATAGTCATTCCTTGACTAGTGGGATGCCTCAAGACTTCATTTTTGAGGGTCTTGTCCATTATTAGTCATGCCTGAATTGTTGTATTTTTCCATTGATGTCAGTCACAGGAAATGGTAATACTAAGATATGCCCTATGGGATGTCCTGTATTCCAGATATGATCTTCCTTACCTCCATTGTGCAGTAGCAGTCCAATTTCCCCTTGGTAATCAAAATCAATCACCTCACCCAGCACAGTAACTCCCTCCTTTGCCTGTTGATTCAGAGACATAAGGAGCCCAAAGTGGATAGCTGTAGCTTAACCCACTCTGTCTTAACTTCCAGTTCAGTGGAATAATTAATATGTCTCTTGATGGAAGCATTCCTTCCTTTGGAACTAAGACTTCTAGACCAACAGAACATAAGGTGGCATAAATAGGAAGCCAAAAATTTGCTAGTAAGTAAATCAATAGTGGTAATAGGGAGTGTGCCTGTCCCATGTTCACCTCTTGATTCCTGGGCTGATGAATCCTGGCTGTAAGGAAAACATCATCATATATTGGATGCTAATTCAGAACATATACAGCTTTCTGGAGAGTCTTACCAAAACCCTGCCTGGTATTGCCACCTGGCTGGAGTTGAAACTGAATTTTCTTTTTTGGGGTGGATGAGGGTAATCAAACAGTATTTATTTTAAAATTTAAATTAAAAATCCATATATATGCTTTGTTCTAACAATTTTTCCTTTTAAGTAATTTATCCTTCAGAGATACTTGCACATATACAAAGGTTTATGTAAAAAGACTTTACTATACACTTATTTGTAATAATGGGAATCAGAAACAACCTAGACATCCACCAGTAGGGGAGGGGTATATATATTATGGTATTCCAAACTAG
The DNA here is from genome assembly GCF_000001405.40 of Homo sapiens. NCBI lineage: Eukaryota > Metazoa > Chordata > Mammalia > Primates > Hominidae > Homo > Homo sapiens. The sequence continues at coordinate 184,918,844 of NC_000002.12, forward strand.
AAACCACCATACCACATTAAACTAAGTGTTTAGTGTAAAGTGCCTGTTTCAACAAATAAGGAGAGAAAAATATCTTTTTTCACCCATTCTTTGGTTTTTTGAAGAATTTCCTATGTAATTAAACTTTCAAAAGGCCATTCTACCATTCTATCAAACCAGTTTCTTCAGGGTGGTAGAAAACATGGTAAGAGAAGTTAATTTCTTAAGCCTGGGCCCATTGCTATTCTTCATTTGTGAAGTGAGTACCTTGATTAGAGAAATGCTGTGTGTGGAATATCATAAATGCAGATAAGCTAATCCACAGATGATAGTTTTGTGAGAATCATTGAGTGCAGGGAGGGCAAATCCATACCCAGAGTAAATTTCTATTCCAGGAAGAAGGTAACACTGCCCCTTTCATGATGAAAGCCATCCAATGTACTCAACCTGCCACCAGGCAGCTGGCTGATCATTCCAGGGAATAGTGCTGTATCAGGGGTCAGTGGTGGTCTCTGTCGCTGCTGGCATTGGGCTGTCAATGATGGCCATAGCCAGGTCAACCTTGGTGAGTGGAAGTCCACATTGCTGAGCCCATGTATGACCCCTGTTCCTGCCACCATGGCCTCTTTGTTCATGAGTTCATTGGGCAGTGACACAGGCAGCCGGGGAAAGAGGCTATCTACCTGATTATTAAAATTCTTCTCTGCTGAGGTGACCTTTTGATGAGCATTTATGTGGGACACAAACGTCTTCCTGTTTTTCTCCCATTCACAGAAGTCTATCCACATACCCAATCCTTCTTGTTACCAATTTTTAAATCATGTTTCTTGCAAGTTTCTAACCATCCAGCCAACCCATTGGCCACAGCTCATGAACTGGTATATAATTTTACATCTCAGTATTTCTCCTTCCAAAAACAATGAACAACAAAATTCACTACTTGATGTTCTTCCCATTGTGAGAAATTCCTGTCATCAGTGCTCTTCAGGGTAGTTGCAAAAAAGAACTGTAGGCTGGTCATGGTGGCTTATGCCTGTAATCCCAGCACTTCGGGAGGCTGAGATGGGTGGATCACCTGAGGTCAGGAGTTAGAGATTAGCCTGGCTAACATGGTGAAATCCATCTCTACTAATAATATAAAAATTAGCTTGGCATGATGGCATGTGCATGTAGTTCCATCTACTCGGGAGGCTGAGGCAGGAGAATCAGTTGAACCTGGGAGGAGGAGGTTGCGGTGAGCCTAGATTGCACCACTGCACTCCAGCCTGGGAAACAGAGTGAGATTCCATCTAAAAAACAACAAACAAACAAACAAAAAACCTGTAGTGCTGCAGCTATCTATTTCAAATGGTGCCTGCATGTCATACAGGACCATCTATAAATCAGGCCTGAGTTTTCTTTTCCTCTGTCAAATGTCACTTGCCCAGTGTTGTGGTTCAGAGAATTCTTCTTTTCCCCACTCTTTTAAAACTTGCAGTTAAAGGGCATCTGTGCTACCATGCGACTATGAGCAGTGGTCAGAACAAAAATGACTTGCAAATTCTTTATTATTTCATTCTGAATGATCTCTCTGTCTGGAGAGTTTTCCCTGAGATATCTGTTTGGGTTACTTTACGTTTCTTAAATGTCTATTTTCAAATGTCACCTTCTCAATGCGGACCTCTATGGTTAACACACTCTAAAGTGCTTCCCAATGAGTCATGCCTTTATATAATTCCCTTCCCTTGTATGTGGATGGAAACTGTGACTTTTTTCTAACTGACAAAACACGAAAAATTGGTGAGATAACACTCCATTGACTAGGTTGCTTTATATACTTAGCAGAATGGAGAGAGAGAGAGACACTTCCTTGATAACTTTAAATAAGCTGTCATGATTTCAGTGGGTCTTATGAAAAACCCCAGGGACAAGAAACTGCTGGCAGCCTCTAGTTGCTTGGAATGGCCTTGGCTGACAGCCAATAAGAAGCCCAGGCTCTCAGTCCTACTACCACAAGGAAATGAATTCCACCAATAGCATTAGAAAGCTTGGAAGTGGACATTTTCCACAGACAATCCTCCCGATGAAAATACACCTTAGCCAACTTCTTGATTGATGAAAGGACAGGTATGCAGACCATGGAATAAATGTGGGCTAAGCTGCTAAATTTGTGGTAATTTGTTACACCAAAATAGAAAATTCATACACCTTCCCTAATCACTTTATTTGAAATTTTTGTATTTTTAATAGAAACGGAGTTTTACCATATTGGCCTGGTTGGTGGGACCACATTTCTATATGCAGTCCATCATTGACCAAAGTGTTATTATTTGGAGTGTAACTATACTTGATTTCTATTATTCACCTCTCAAAATTACTTTTCTAGATGTAAATATGACATGGAACTTTATTCTTGTTTCAGAAAAATATAAGAAAAAACATTAACACTGGTAAATTCTAGTTTTAAAACTCTACAAAGTATTTGGCCAGGTCTCAAAGCAGTTGAATATTATCAAAATATTAGGTGAGTTTTTTTTTACCTTGGTATCAGGAAGTCTGTCACAAAAATAAGAGAAGTATTTGTGCATAGAAGATCAAGATTAGTACAATCACCTGGATGTAGCATAGTGCTTTTGGACAGCCTCTACAATATTGACACATTTACATTTTGTTTATTTTTTAATTGTAATTTTTATTTTTGGTGGATACGTAGTAGGTATATATATTTATGGCTCACATAAGATATTTTGACACAGGCATGCAATGCATAAGAATTACATCAGAGTACATAGGGTATCCCTCACCTTAAGCATTTATCCTTTGTGTTTCAAGCAATCCAGTTACTTTTATTTTTAAATGTACAATTAAATTATTTTTCTGCTATAGTCACCTTTTTGTGCTCAAAAATACTAGGAGTTACTTATTCTAACCGTACTTTTGTACCCATTAAATATCCCCCACTTACCCTACCCCCAGCTACACTTTCCAGGTTCTGGTAACCATCCTTCTACTCTCCATCTCCGTGAGTTTAATTTTTATCTCCCATAGATAAGTGAGAATGTGTGGTGTTTGTCTTTCAGTGCCTGGCTTATTTCACTTAAGACAGTGATCTCCAGTTCCATCCATGTGGTTGCAAATGACAGGATCTCTGTATTTTCTATGGCTGAATGATAATTTATGTGTTTATGTACCATATTTTCTTTTTCCATTTATCTGCTGATGGAGACTTAGGCTGCTTCCAAATCTTTACTATTGTGAATAGTGCTGCAATAAACATGAGTGCACAGATATGTCTTCAATATACTGGTTTCCTTTCTTTTGTGTATAGTGAGATTGCTGGATTGTATGGTAGCTCTATTTTTAGTTTTTTAAGTTACTGTTCTCCAGAGTGGTTGTACAAATTTGCATTCTTCCTAACAGTGTACAAGGGTTCCTTTTCCTCCATGTCTTCACTAGCATTTTTTATTGCTTATCTTTTGGATAAAAACCATTTTAACTGGAGTGGGATGATGTCTCATTGCAGTTTTGATATACATTTCTCTAATAGTCAATGATGTTGAGCACATTTTCACTTCCTGTTTGTCATTTTTATGTCTTTTGGGAAATGTCTATTTAGATATTTTGCCTATTTTTTAATCTGATTATTTGATTTTTTTCTTATAGAGTTGTTTGAGCTCCTTTTATATTTTGGTTATTAATGCCTTGTCAGATGGGTAGTTTGCAAATGTTTTCTGCCATTCTGTGAGTTGTCTCTTCAGTTTGTTAATTGTTTTCTTTGCTGTGCAGAAGCTTTTTAATTTGATGTGGCCCTATTTGTCCATGTTTCCTTTGATTGTCTGGGTCTGTGAGTTATTGCTCAAGAAGTCTTTGCCTACTCCAATGTCCTGAAGAGTTTCCCCAGTGTTTTCTTTTAGTTTTATTTGGTGGGATTTTTGCATATGGCAAAAAATAGGAGTCTAATTTCTTTCTTCTGCATATGGATACCTAGTTTTCTCAGTGCAATTTATTGAAGAGACTGTCATTTCCCCAATGTATGTTCTTTGAAACTTTGTTGAAAGTGAGTTCACTGTAGATGTATGGATTTATTTCTGGGTTCCCCATTCTATTCCATTGGTCTGTCTTTTTTATGCCAATACCATGCCATTTTGGTTACTTTAGCTCTGTATTATAATTTAAGCCAAGTAATGTGATTCCTCCAGTTTTGTTCCTTTTGCTTTAGACAACTTTGGTTATTCTGGGTCTTTTGTGGTTCCATATACATTTTATGATTTTTATTTATGTGAATAATATCATTGGTATTTTAATATGAATTGCATTAAATCTGTAGATTACTTTGGGTAGTATGTACATTTTAACAATATTGGTTCTTTCAATCCATGAAAATGGAATACATTTCTACTTTTTGGAGTCCTCTTCAATTTCTTACATCAATGTTTTATAGTTTTTTATTGTATAAATCTTTTACTTCTTTGGTTAAGTCTGAGGTATTTTATTTTATTTGGAGCTATTGCAAATGAAATTACTTTCTTAATTTCTTTTTCTGAATTTTAATTGTTGGTATATAAAATTGCTACTGATTTTTGTATGTTGATTTTATATCCTGAAACTTTACTGAATTTGTTCATCAGCTCTAAAAGCTTTTTGGTGGCATCTTTAGTTTTTTCCAGGTATAAGATTATATCATCTGGAACAAAGATAACATGGCTTCTTCCTTTCCAATTTGGATGCCTTTTATTTCTTTCTCTTGTCTGATTGATTGCTCTAGCTAGGATTTCAGTACTCTGTTGAATAACAGTGATGACAGTGGTCATTCTTGTCGTGGTCCAGATCACAAAGAAAAGGTTTTCAGTTTTTTCCTCATTCAGTACGATACTAGCTGTGGGTCTGTGGTATATGGCTTTTATTATGTTGAGGTATGCTCCTTCTAAACCCAGTTTTTTGAGGGCTTTTGTCAGAAAGAGATGTTCAATTTTATCAAACACTTTTTCAGCATCATTTGAAACAATTATATGGTTTTTGTTCTTCATCCTGTTGATATGATGTATCACACTGATTGACTTGCCTGTGTTAAATCATCCTTGTCTCCCTGGGATACATTCCTCTTGGTCATGATGAATAACCATTTTAATGTGTTAATTCAGTTTGCTAGTATTTGTTGAGGATTTTTGTATCAGTAGTCATCAGTGATGTTGACATGTAGTTTTGTTTTGTGTGTGTGTGTGTGTGTGTGTGTATGTTTTCAGTGTGTCTTTTCCTGGTTTTGGTATCAGGGCAATACGGTCTTATAGGAGGAGTTTGGAAGTATTCCCTTCTTATTTATTTTTTCAGATAGTCTGAGTAGGATTGCTACTAGTTCTTTAAATGCTTGGTTCAATTCAGTAGTAAAGTCATCAGGTGCTGGGATTTTTCTTACTAGGAGGCTTTTTATTATGGCTTCCATCTCGTTACTTGTTACTGGTCTGTTTGAGTTTTGGAGTTCTTCATGGTTCAGTAGCTTGTATATGTCTAGGAATTTGTGCATTTCTTCTGGATTTTTCAATATATTTACATGTAGTTGCTCATAGTAGCCACTAATAGTCTTTTAAATTTATATGGTATCTGTTGCAATCTCTCCTTTTACATCTCTCATTTTATTTGGATCTTCTCTCTTTTTTTTCTTAGTCTGGCCAAAATTGTCAATTTTGTTTAACTTTTTAAAAAAACCTTCTTTTTATTTCATTGATGTTTTGTATTGTTTCCTTTACTTCATATTCATTTATTTCCACTCTAATCTTTATTTTTTTTTCTTCTACTAATTTTGGGTATGGCTTGCTTTTGTTTTCTAGTTATTTAAGATGAATTCTTAGGTTATTTGAAGTTGTCTTCTTTTTTAGTTTGCTGTAAACTTTCCTCTTAGTAGTGCTTTGGTTGTATCCCATAGATTTTTGTATGTTACGTTTCCGTTATCATTTGATTAAAGAAGTGTTTCAATTTCCTTCTTTATCTCTTTATTGACCTACTGATCATTAAGGAGCATATTGTTTCATTTTCCTTTATTTGTATAGTTTCCAAAATTCCTCCTTTTATTGATTTCTGGTTTTATTCCATTGTGTCAGAGAAGATGCTTGATATTATTTCAATTTTTTTTGATGTTTTAAGATTTGTTTTGTGATGTGACATATGGTCTACTCTTGAGAATGATCCATATAATGAAGAAAAGAATGTGTATTCTGTAGCTGTTGGATGAAATGTGTCGTAAATATCTATTAAGTTCATTTATAGTACAGGTTAAGTCCAAAGTTTCTTTGCTGATTTTCTCTCTGGAATATTCGTGCAATGCTGAAAGTGGATGTTAAAGTCTCTCCAGCTGTTATTGTACTGAGGTGTAGCTCTCTATTTAGCTCTAATGTTTGCTTTATAAATCTTGGTGCTTCAGTGTTGGGTGCATATATATTTACATTTGTTATATCTTCTTGTTGATTTGATCTTTTTGTCGTTATATAGTGACCTTCTTTGTCTTTTCTTATAGTTGTTGTCATCGAATCTGTTTATCTCATATAACTATAGCTACTCCTATCCTTTCTTGGTTTCCATTGTCATGGGATAACTTTTCCCATCCTTTCATTTTCACTCTGTGTGTGTTTTTATAGGTGAAGTGTGTTTCTTGTAGGTAACAGATTATTGGATCTCGGGTTTTTTTAAAAAAATTAATTTAGCCATTCTGTCTTTTGATTGGAGAGTTTAGTCCATGTATGCTTAATGTTATTATTGATAAGTAAGAACTTACTGCTGCCATTTTGTTAGTTGTTTTCTGGTTTTGTTGTAGTCTTCTCTTTCTTCTTTCTTTCCTTCCTGTCCTTCTTTCAGTAAAGGTAATTTTCTTGGGTGATGTGAATTAATTTCTTTATTTTTATTTGTTGTGTTTTAATTGTATATTTTTAAATTTGAGGTTAGTATAAGGCTTGCAAATAGTCTCTTATAACCCACTGTTTTAAGCTAACAACTTAACAGTTTTTACACAAACAAACGTGAGCAAACAAGCAAAAATAAAACTAATAAGAACCCTACGCTATAACTTTGTTCCCCTCCTATTTTATTTTTTGTTGTTTCTGTTTTAATCTTATCTATATCTTTTTTATTCTTTTCTTTTTGGAGATGGAGTCTCGCTCTATCTTATGTATATCTTTAAAAGTTGCTGTAGTTGTTGTTTTTGATTGTTTCATCATTTAACCTTTCTATTTAAGAGTAGTTTATACACCACTGTTACAGTGTTACAGTGTTACATGTTTTTCTGTGTACTTACTATTACCAGTGAATATTGTATCTTCAGATGATTTCTTATTGCTCATTAACAACCTTTTCTTTCTAACTGAAGCACTCCCTTTAACATTTCTTGTGGGACAATCTGCTATTGATGAAACCCCTCAGCTTTTGATTGGGAAAGTTGCTATTTCTCCTACCTGTTTGAAGGATATTTTAAGCAGGTTTACTATTCTAGGGTAAATTTTTTTTTTTTTCCTTAAGCACTTTAAATACATCATACCACTCTCTCCTAGCCTGTACAGTTTCCATTGAAATGGCTGCTACTGGACATGTTGGACCTCCATATTATATTATTTGTTTCTTCTTTCTTGCTGCTTTTAGGATCCTTTCTTTTTCCTTGATCTTTGGGAGTTTGATTATTAAATGCCTTGAGGTAGTCTTCTTTAGGTTAAATCTTCATGGTGTTCTATAACCTTCTTTTACTTGGATATTGGTAACTTTTTTTTAGGTTTGGGGAGTTCACTTTTATTATCCCTTTGGATAAACCTTGTATCCCCATCTCTTGCTTAAGATCCTATTTAAGGCCAAAAACTCTTAGATTGTCCCTTTTGAGGGTATTTTCCGGATCCTGTAGGTGTGATTTATTGTTTTTTAACCTTTTGCTTTTGTCTCCTCTGACTTCGTGTTTTTAAATAGCCTATCTTCAAGCTCACTAATTTTTTCTTCTGATAGATCAATTGTTTTTAAGAAACTCTGATGCATTCTTTAGTTTGCCAATTGCATTTTTCAGCTCCAGAATTTCTGCTTGCTTTAATTATGTCACTCTCTTTGTTAAATTTAGCTTGTAGAATTCTGAATTCCTTCTTTCTTATCATCAATATTTTTGAGTTTCCTCACAAGTGCCATTTTGAATTCTCTGTCTGAAGAGTCACATATGCCTGTTTCTTCAAGATTGGTCCATCATGTCTTATTTGGTTCCTTTGATGAGATCATGTTTTCCTGGTTGGTCTTAATACTTAGGAATATCTGTCCATGTCTGGTCATCGAAGAGTTAGGTATTTATTGTCTTCACAGTTTGGGCTTGTTTGTACTTATACTTTTAGAAGGTTTTTCCAGGTCCGAAAGGACTGTATGTTGTGAACTAAGCTGTATCTACATTAGGGGGCACCCCAAGCCCAGTAGTTCTGTGGCTCTTGTAGATTCAGAGATACCACCTCCAAGGTCTTGGACAAGATCCAAAAGAATTATCTGGATTACCAGACAAAGACTCCTGTTCTTTTCCCTTACTTTCTTCCAAACAAATGGAGTCTCTCTCTCTCTCAGTTCTGAGCTGGCTGGAGCTAGGGGTGGAGTGTCATAAACACCCCTGTGGCCACCACCACTGGGATTGCACTGGGTCAGACCTGAAGCCAGCACAGCATTGGGTCTTACCCAAAGCCTGCTGTAGCCACTACCTGGCTCCTCTTCACTCAAAGCCTTGGGGCTTTACTAATGGCTGGTGTCCTATGTCCTTCCCTTTAGGGAATCAAGTTCCTTCAGGCCCCAGGTGGGTCCAGAGGTTATGTCTTAAAGCCAGGGTCCAGAATCAAAAACTTTAGAAGTCTACCTGGTGTTCCATTGTACTGTCGCTGAGCTGGCACTCAAACCACAAGATGTAGTCCTTCCCATTTATGCCTCCCATTTCCTAAGGCAGAGGAGCCTCACCCCATGGCCACCACCATCACAGGCCCATAGGGAAAACTATCAGGCAACTGCTATTTCCTTAAGAGTCAAAAGCTCTTCGTTCAGTTTGTGGTGAATACTGCCTGGCCTGGGGCTCAACCTTCAGGGCAGTGGGCTCCCCTCTGGCCCAAGGCGGATCCAGAAATGCCATGCAAAAGCCAAATCCTGGATTCAGGGACCCCAAGAGATCATTTGGTGCTCTATCTCCCTGTGGCAGAGCTTGTAGCTAAGGTGCAAGACAAAGTCCCCTTTCCTTCTCTCTACTTTTCTCAAGCAGAGGAAGTCTCTCCCCATATCCACCACAACTGGGAATATGCTGAGTTTCACTGGGAGCCAGGAAGTCACAGAGTCTCACACGAGGCCCACGAAGTACTACCTGGGTATTGCTGCTGGTTATTCAGGACCCAAGGGCTCTTCAGTTAGCAAGTGATCAATTCTGCCAAAACTAGGTCCTTCCCTTCAAGACAGTAAGTTTCCTTCTAGCCCAGCGTGTGTTTAGAAATGTTTTCCTGAAGCTGGGACCTGGAAAGAGGGTTTCACAATTCTGACTGGTACTCTTTCCTGCGGTGAGTGAGATGGTATCTTAAGATGCAAGACAAAGTCCTCCCTGCTCTTCTCTCTCCTCTCCTCCTCTCCCCTCCCCTATCTCTCTTCAAGCAGAATGAAGGGATCTTTTAGGAGCCATGAGCTCTGCAGCCTGGGGTTAGGGGAGGGGGAGGAGTGGCATCAGCCCTCCCTTAGCCAAACTGTTATTCAGTTTGTTATGTGCCCCTCCAGACCACTGGCTCTGAGCCCAGTTCAGCAATAGCACTTGCCTAGGAGTTGCAGTCTAGACTGCCGCGAGTTGAATAAATAAAGCTGAAATAAATAAAGCTGAACTTTATTTAGAGCCCCAGAGCCCTCTGGCCCAAGGTGGCAAGGCTTGCAGGAACTCAAGTTCCAACTGCTGGGATGGTCCATTCCCCTCTGGCTAGGGCTGGTTTAAATACTACCTCCATAGGTGAGCATCAGTGGAGTTCAGTTCGATTTTGCTTTCTGTTGTGGCAGGAAAGCACTGAGTTCAACATAACGTCTCACAGTTGTTTCTCTCTCACTCTCTCAAGTGTGCAGATTTTTCTCTTCATGCAGAATGGCCACTTCTGGGGGTTGGGAGAAGGGAGGCATTGGCTATTCAAGACTGTTTATCTTACTTCTTCAGTGCCTCTTTAAGTGAAATGAAGTTAAACCCAGGTACTGTGAACACTCACTTCATTTTTAGTTCTTATGAAGGTGCCTTTTTTGTGTAGATAAATTGTTATCCTTGTGGGCGGGGGGAAGATGATTAGTGGAGCCTTCTATTCTACCATCTAGCCTCTCCTCTTTAAATTTACATTTTAAATAGGCACAGTTATCTAAATCTGGAGCTGCTTCCAGCCATGCCTGTCAGTCACTTATATTACAAATAACAACAGTATTGGCATTTAATAATTGACTGACTCCTCAATATTCAATGATTATGTCAATGAAACCAAATTATTTCTAAACCTCAATGGTTACTTTGAAACAGTAAATAGTGAAAGTCCTGGCATTTTGCATGCTTTCTTTGGAAAATACGGTTTGTTTTTCATTCATTTGTTTTTCATTAGAAGCATTGCACTTTTATCTTACCAATGAAATTTAAAACCACTATTTGTAATCATTGATTATTACATGTATTTTATGTATTATATATGTTTATATATATGTGTGTGTGTGTGTATGTGTGAGTATGTAATAACAATTAACTTTTATACTAAAGATTTTATTAAAAACAGTAAAGTCTATCTTTTTGGTTTGTTGACTAGAGCTTTTCTAAAGAACCAGTAGGAAATAAATTATCTGTACTTCTTGGAATAAAACTATTTATAACTAATAATCAAAGATTATCTGCTGATTAGCTCTGGTATTAAAACTCTTTCTTGCTTTATTTCACCTGGTATTTTACTTCTTTTACATCTTATTGTAGAAAACTTAGATTCTTGTGTTTGTACGAAGTTGTTCATGGTCCCTGATACACACTCTCATCCCCAACATCCAACCCTTTTTTTCTAGTTAATATTTGTATTCCTCAAAACCCAGCACAGATATCACTTTTACCAAGTAGCTGTATTTAGGATTTTCTTGAGCACTTCTCTCTCTTCACACATGGCACTGTAAGAATAATCCAACCAGTGATTGCTGTTATCTCTTAATGTGTATGTTCACTCCTTATTTCTGTAAAATACGCATAAATACACAACACTTGCCCACATATACACTCATAGAAACACACAATGAAAGTAAAAATATTTTCTTTAATTAAAAAAAATCTCAGCCTTTTAACAGAGTGACTGCTGCTAGTGCTCAATAATTATCTGTTGAATGAGTCTTGATATTACTTTAAGTTTTTAAGAAATAAAAGTGACCAAGACCCTGTATACCTAAAATTTATGAGCAAAATATTCTTGACCTATTATACTGTAATTCTACACCTGTTTTATGAAAAGCAATTAATAATTTGATGCATATGATAAAATTATAGCCATTTTAATAGTCATATTAAGGAAATGATTTCAAAGTTTTGCTTTCTGGGAAATATCTATACAATTGAGACATTTATGACATGATTTATCTTTCATCTAAATTCTACTCTGGAAAGTCTTATCCTACACAAATATGTCAGTGCAAATGAGCATTCTTGAAATATCTTTGTGTAAATTCAAAAATATATAGATATATACACATACAAGGACACTTTCTATAAATCATGTCAATTTAAATATTAGAGATCATTTTAAGCTTAAACTATGTCAGTGTTATATGTCATTTGAGCTACCTCATGCTATGTTGGGGAAATTCAGATTTACAATCCAGAATCATTAGGAGCCTACTGTTATTTATTCATAGTGATGAACTTTTTAAAATAGATGGAACATTTATAATTTGGAGGATCTAAATCAGTTACACAATAATTTAAAAATTTTTATGGAACAGAAATGTTATAAACCAGGTATTGTTCTAAGTTCCTGGTACACATAAGTGCATATGTATATGGTATTTATTAAAACTTTATCCAATTAGTTTTTTAAAATGTAACTAGTGGTATTAGTTCATTCTCATGCTGCTAATAAAGACATACCAGAAACTGGGAAATTTATAAAGTAAAGAGGTTTGACTCACAGTTCCACATGGCTGGGGAGTCCTCACAATCATGGTGGAAGGTGAAGGAGGAGCAAAGTCATGTCTTATGTGGTAGCAGGCAAGAGAGCATGTGCAGGGGATCTTCCCATTATAAAACCACTGGATCTCATGAGACTTGTTCACTATCACTAGAACAGCACGGGAAAGACCTCTTCCTGGCTGCTTTCACGAGCTGGTGTTGAGTGTCTGTGGTTTTTCCAGGCACATGGTATAAGCTGTTGGTGGATCTACCATTCTGCTGTCTGGAGGACAGTGGCCATCTTCTCACAGCTCCACTAAGCAGTGCCCAAGTGGGGACTCTATGTGGGGGATCCCACTCACATTTCCCTTCTGCACGGCCCTAGCAGAGGTTCTCCATGAGGGCTCTGCCCCACAGCACACCTCTTCCTGGACATCAGGCATTTTCACACATCCTGTGAAATCTAGGCAGAGGTTCCCAAACTTTGATTCTTGAATTGGGTGCAGCCACAGGCTCAACACCATGTGTAAGCCACCAAGACTTCGGGCTTGCACCCTCTGAAGCAATGGCCTGAGCTGTACATTGGCCCTTTTTATCCATGGCTAGGATGCAGGGCAGTAAGTCCTGAGACTGCACAAAGTGGCAAGGCTCTGGGTCTGGCCCACAAAACCATTTTTCCCTCCCAATCCTCTGGGCCTGTGACAGGACAGGCTGCTGTGAAGAAACCTGACATGCCTCGGAGATATTTTTCCCCAGTGTCTTGGTCATTAACATTTGACTTCTTGTTACTTATGCAAATTTCCGCAGCCAGCTTGAATTTCTCCTCAGAAAATGGGTTTTTCTTTTCTATCGCATCATCAGGCTGCAAATTTTCCACTTTTATGTTCTGCCTCCCTTTTAAACATAAGTTCTAATTCCAAAAAATAACTTTGTGAATACATAAAACCAAATGCTTTCAACAGCCCCTAACTCACCTCTTGCATGCTTTACTGCTTAGAAATTTCTTCCAAAAAGTTTCACAAATCTCTAGGGCAGGGGCAAAATGTCATCAGTCTTTTTGCTAAAGCATAACAAGAGTAACAGAGTAACATTTATTCCAGTTCCCAATAAGTTCCTCATCTCCATCTGAGACCACCTCAGCCTGGACTTTATTATCCATATCACTATCAGAATTTTGGTCTAAGCCATTTGACAAGTCTGTAGGAGGTTTCAAACTTTCTCATATCTTCCTGTCTTCTAAGCCCTCCACACTGTTCCAACCTCTGTCTGTTACCCAGTTCCAAAGTCACTTCCACATTTGCAGGTATCTTTACAGCAGCACCCCACTACCCAGCACCAATTTACCATATTAGTTCTCATGCTGCCAGTAAAGACACATCTGAGATTGGGTAATGTATAAAGGAAAGAGGTTTAATTGACTCACAGTTGCACATGGCTAGAAAGGCCTCACAATCTTGGTGGAAGGCAAAGGAGGAGCAAAGTCACGTCTTACATGGAGGCAGGAAAGAGAGCATGTGCAAGGAAACTCCTCTTTATAAAACCATCAGATCTCATGAGACTCATTCACTATCACAATAAAAGTATGGGAAAGACCCGCCCCCATGATTCAATTACCTCCCACTGGGTACTTCGCACCACACGTGGGAATTATGGATGCTACAATTCAAGATGAGATTTGGGTGGGGACACAGTCACATTATATCACTAGTATAAGTGAGTCCTACTCAAGATTCTGACATATTACAATTGCATAATAACATGAACCATTAGGGAAAATAGTACTTTTATTATTTTTAATAACTGTACACATCATGAAAGTACATAGTGAAAATATTTGTGGCACAAGATAACTTTGATGTCTCCAAAATTATACCACACACACGGCTATTTATCAATTATGTTCGAGTTGGCATGCTGTTTTTCTTGCCATCAACCCAGAAAATGAACTTCTTTAACACAGATGAAAGATAATACCCAAGGTAGTAAGAATTTCTAGAAAAACAATACCAATTTTCTTCCAATATCTTGAATTATTCTGGAAACGTGCCTGCTGTTTGAGAGAAGGGATTGTTTTAAACCACATCAGGAGAGATCATTTGTCTTATGGATTAACATAAATAATGTACTCTCAGAACACACAAAAAGGGCTGCTCTGCCTATGGAGTAGCCACTCTTTATTCATTTACTTTCCTAATAAACTTTTCACTTACACACACACACGCACACACACACACACACACACAGACACAAAGGACCAGATAACTTTCTAATATACTGTACATCAAAATATAAGAAAACATATTATATATAACAGAAATACATAAGCAATAAGCAAGTTGAATTTTTTTGTAAATTTGGGATTTATAAGGCACGAATCCTTCATCTGAATTACGCAGAGAAACAGCAGGAAATGATCAATAAGAAGAGATTAAAGTTTTCAATTAAAATTTGCCTAAGGCATAGATATAAATTTCACTATGATGTAATAATATGCTTTGGCTTTTTCACAAGCCAAAATGCGAGAAAATATTTTTGTTAGAAGTGGATTGTCATGAATGTTGTGTTTACCTCTCGACAAGGTCAAAGATGATGCATTGGAAAATTTCAACAATAACAATGAAACTTTAAAACTACTATAGACCAAAATACAATTAATCATTTTCCAACTTTTTTTTAACAGAGGCTCAAGGAACTGAAACAAAGGGAATTTGCTCGAAATGTAGCATCTAAATCCAGGAAAGATGAAAGAAAACAGGAAAAGGCACTCCAACGCCTGCACAAGCTGGCTGAGCTAAGAAAGGAAACTGTATGGTGAGTATCCAATGAAATTGTAAGTTTTCTTAAAACATGACCAAAAAAGGGGTATAGGGGGAGTCAGAAATAAAGGGCACAAATCTATTTATTACTGTACCCAGAATAAGGCACACATGTTTTCATGGCCTTCTGTAGGCTGTAAACAGTAATTTGAATTAGAATTTTATGCAAACACCTGTTTAATGCACATTTCAGTAAAAAGCCAAAATTACTGTAATTTTGGATTAAAAAATAAACTTTATGTTATTATTTAAGTTATCTTAGTTGAAAGCTACCCCATTTCTTGGTGATACTCAAACATTTGATTGAGGAAGACAGCAAGGCAGTATCTTATGACCCTTTTAACAAAAAGAGTTTTTAGAGATACTTTTTAAAATGAAAATTTGGAGAACTTCTATTTAAAATTATGTTTAAGATTCTTTTTCTAAAAAAGGATAAGAATTTTGCTTGAGAAGCAGACCAACATTAAGTGCGCTGTGAATAAATTCTAACTGGGCTGTTAGAGGTTCACAACTTTTAAACTTTGATCTGCTTCTAACAGTGAGCAGCTATTAGGTGTGAACAGTGTTGTAATTCAGACTTTACAATTCAAGCCAGGGCAAAGTTATTAAAAGAAGACTTTTTAAAAGTAGTCTTTGTTTCTCCAATCAATAAAGCCTCTCTTATTATTGTCTATATCAAAATTATTTCATTCCAAATCTACTTTTTGCTGAATAATGTTATGGGATACGTTGACATATCGAAACATTGTTAGGGATGCCAAATTTGTAAAAACCAAAATAAAATGTATATGTATTTGGAATCCTACATCCAACTGTTAAAAACAGATGTTACTGCTGTTCAGTTACACTAATCAGATATGTTTACTTTTTGTGGTAATGAATAAAAAATTATACAAATTTTAACTATAGAGAATCATGGAACCTATGTAACTTAACGCTCTACAAATAGCATTTGCAAATATAAATTATGATATATTAAGTGAACTAGAGCTAATAATGATATACACAAAAAGCAATACTGTTTATTTAAATTATTATCCTCAGTATAAAGCACATATTTTACATTATATGTACACACAGCCACACATACATGATTTTCCCATTAATTTTATGCTTCAAAAGATGGGAAAAGAAGTCATTCTGTTACTTAGCAGATAAAGCTAAATGAAGCAATACATTGTGTTAGTGGTTAGATAAAGGAAATATCCAACTAAAATTTTCTTGTCTACTTATAATATTTAAAACACTGAATTTTTAGAATAGCAGGAATTTTCTTCACACAGAGTTCTGCTAAGGATAAGGTTTAGGGTTTCTTATATTTATGTGTTTGTCAGTATAGTTCTTTTCATCAGAACTCACTACAGTGTAATGTAATTCCAAATAAGTTATATTTTAAGTGAATTGTCTTTTATCTTGCATTTACTGCATGTTATGATATAATGTATAACTTCAGGATAATTTTAAATATTGAGACTAACAATTTCAAAAGAGTCAAAGCTCTCATAAAGCTAGTACTATCTCTTAGTTACCTTTGCCCATACCAATTGGGCTATAGTAGACTCTTGGTGAATGCTGGGTGAATTGAATTGTTCAACTGAATTCCCAGCTTTTCTGCAGTCATGATTAAGGGTTTTGTTTAGAACTTTCATCATATTTACCATATAGCATCAATGATATTAAGTATGTGTGAATCAAAAGTAATTTTACTTTAGACAATACAACACTTCAAAATATCACAGAAGAGGCCATGAAGGTAGACAATTTTGGTCAGATAGAACTGGTTAAGAGCATATCCTCAACATTGCTCATAACAGCTATAAAAGCAACTTCAGGACAATATTTCCAAGTTATTCCAAACAGTAACCAACAAGTAAATGATATTGTGGCACCATGGAAAGTACTTACACCATATGAAGGCAATTCTGTCACAAAGATTTTAAAATTTGAAAAAATATTATAATGACTTTTTAAAGATGAAAATATTTGACTATTTTTTTTTCTCAAAAGTGTGCTATTTAACACATGCTTCTGTTTCTCTCTCTAGTGCTCCTGGAAGTGGCCCCATGTTCAAATCAACAACTGTTACTGTGAGAGAAAACTGTAATGAAATTTCCCAACGAGTTGTTGTGGATTCAGTTAATAACCAGCAAGATTTCAAATATACTTTGATTCATAGTGAAGAGAATACTAAAGATGCTACCACTGTTGCTGAAGATCCAGAAAGTGCAAATAATTATACAGCAAAAAATAACCAAGTTGGGGATCAAGCCCAGGGGATTCACAGACACAAAATCGGCTTTTCTTTTGCATTTCCAAAGAAAGCGTCCGTGAAGCTAGAGTCCTCAGCTGCAGCCTTCTCTGAATACAGTGATGATGCCTCAGTGGGAAAAGGATTTAGCAGAAAAAGTAGATTTGTCCCCAGTGCTTGTCATCTTCAACAATCTTCACCAACAGATGTGCTTTTGAGTTCTGAGGAGAAAACTAACTCTTTTCATCCACCAGAGGCAATGTGCAGAGACAAAGAAACTGTTCAAACTCAAGAGATAAAAGAAGTCTCTAGTGAAAAAGATGCATTATTATTACCTTCATTTTGCAAGTTTCAACTTCAGTTATCTTCTGATGCAGATAATTGTCAAAATTCAGTCCCATTAGCAGATCAAATACCACTAGAGAGTGTTGTTATTAATGAAGACATACCTGTTAGTGGTAACAGTTTTGAGTTGTTAGGAAATAAATCCACAGTTCTTGACATGTCTAATGATTGCATATCTGTGCAAGCTACCACAGAGGAAAATGTTAAGCATAACGAGGCATCCACAACTGAGGTTGAAAATAAAAATGGTCCCGAGACATTGGCCCCTTCAAATACTGAAGAGGTTAACATAACTATACATAAGAAAACAAATTTCTGCAAAAGACAATGTGAGCCATTTGTACCTGTCCTTAACAAACACAGATCTACAGTTCTTCAGTGGCCATCAGAAATGCTGGTTTATACAACTACGAAACCATCAATTTCCTATAGCTGTAATCCTCTATGTTTTGACTTCAAGTCTACTAAAGTAAATAATAATCTAGATAAAAATAAGCCAGACTTAAAAGATCTTTGTTCTCAGCAGAAGCAGGAAGACATTTGCATGGGACCACTTTCAGATTACAAGGATGTATCTACAGAAGGACTCACTGATTATGAAATTGGAAGTAGCAAAAATAAATGCAGCCAAGTCACTCCTCTTTTGGCTGATGATATTCTCTCCAGTAGTTGTGATTCTGGAAAAAATGAGAACACAGGTCAGAGGTATAAAAACATTTCCTGTAAGATCAGAGAAACAGAAAAGTATAATTTTACTAAAAGTCAAATAAAACAGGACACTCTAGATGAAAAATACAACAAAATAAGGTTGAAAGAGACCCATGAATACTGGTTCCATAAAAGTAGAAGAAAGAAAAAAAGAAAAAAGTTATGTCAGCATCATCATATGGAGAAAACCAAAGAATCAGAAACTCGCTGCAAAATGGAAGCAGAGAATAGTTACACTGAAAATGCTGGGAAATATCTATTGGAACCAATTTCAGAAAAGCAGTATTTAGCTGCAGAGCAATTATTAGACTCACATCAGTTACTTGATAAAAGGCCCAAATCAGAATCCATATCCTTAAGTGACAATGAAGAAATGTGTAAAACATGGAATACTGAATACAACACTTATGATACTATCAGTTCTAAAAACCACTGTAAAAAGAACACAATACTTTTAAATGGACAATCAAATGCAACAATGATACATTCTGGGAAACATAATTTAACATATTCTAGAACTTACTGTTGTTGGAAAACCAAAATGTCAAGCTGTAGTCAGGATCACAGAAGCTTAGTTCTTCAAAATGATATGAAACACATGAGTCAGAATCAGGCTGTTAAAAGAGGTTACAATTCTGTCATGAATGAATCAGAAAGATTCTATCGAAAACGTAGACAACATTCACATTCTTATTCTTCAGATGAAAGTTTAAATCGACAGAATCATTTACCAGAAGAATTTTTGAGGCCACCAAGTACTTCAGTTGCTCCCTGCAAGCCTAAAAAGAAACGGAGGCGAAAAAGAGGCAGATTCCACCCCGGATTTGAAACTTTAGAACTCAAAGAAAATACAGATTATCCCGTGAAAGACAATTCTTCCTTAAATCCTCTGGATAGGTTAATAAGTGAAGACAAAAAAGAGAAAATGAAACCACAAGAAGTTGCAAAAATCGAAAGGAACTCAGAACAAACAAACCAATTAAGAAACAAACTGTCTTTCCACCCTAACAATCTCCTTCCTTCTGAAACCAATGGTGAAACTGAGCATTTAGAAATGGAGACCACTTCTGGTGAATTGTCAGATGTTTCCAATGATCCCACCACATCTGTCTGTGTAGCTAGTGCCCCAACAAAAGAAGCAATTGACAATACCCTGCTTGAACACAAAGAAAGAAGTGAGAATATAAATCTTAATGAAAAGCAAATTCCTTTTCAGGTGCCTAATATTGAAAGGAACTTTAGACAGTCACAGCCTAAATCCTATCTTTGCCATTATGAACTGGCTGAGGCCCTTCCACAAGGAAAGATGAATGAGACACCAACTGAGTGGCTGCGTTATAATTCAGGAATCCTTAACACACAACCACCATTACCATTCAAAGAAGCACATGTCAGTGGTCATACTTTTGTAACAGCTGAGCAAATCCTGGCTCCATTAGCTTTACCAGAGCAAGCATTATTGATCCCACTAGAAAACCATGACAAATTCAAAAATGTACCATGTGAGGTCTACCAGCACATTCTGCAGCCAAACATGCTGGCCAACAAGGTTAAATTTACCTTTCCTCCAGCTGCCCTCCCACCCCCTAGCACACCTCTGCAGCCTTTGCCTTTGCAGCAGTCCTTATGTTCTACCTCTGTAACCACTATCCATCACACTGTTTTGCAGCAGCACGCTGCAGCTGCTGCAGCTGCAGCTGCAGCCGCAGCTGCAGGAACCTTTAAAGTGCTTCAGCCACACCAACAGTTTCTTTCCCAAATCCCAGCTCTCACCAGAACCTCATTACCTCAGCTCTCAGTAGGACCAGTAGGACCGAGGCTTTGTCCTGGGAACCAGCCAACTTTTGTTGCTCCTCCTCAGATGCCAATCATTCCAGCTTCCGTTCTTCATCCTAGCCATCTGGCTTTCCCATCTTTACCCCATGCACTCTTTCCTTCACTGCTTTCCCCACACCCTACTGTCATCCCTTTGCAACCTCTCTTCTAGTCATCACCATAATGGGAAAAAAATACTCTTGTGAAAACTATTGCTATATGCGTTAAGTGTTCATCTATGTGGGTACATGGCTATTTAACTGGTGGAAATAAACTGGCCGATACATGGCGTCATTGGTTTGAAATCATTTACTGTAAGTGCAATGATGCAAATAAATCCCTAAGTTTCTGATATATAATATTATTAAAGCACTGAATAGTTTGAAAATCAATACAATATATGCTATATATTAAAATGATGTCTTAAGAGTATGTATAATGTACATAAAATATATTTATAGTACTCTAATTTATGTTGTAAAGTATGCTCCCTTGGTTTTTCTTAATCTTTGTGTATTTGCACCTATTTAATGTTTAGACAAAGCTGATGGCACTATGTTTTGTATCATGTTCCTTGAAACTGTAAATTCAGTGAAAAATATCTCTTGCAATAAATTTTTGTTAACTATTTAAGTAAATCGAACTTTTGTTTTTAGTTGGTTTTCCCTGTTTTAGGAATGTATAGTAACAATAGGTGTTGGATTTATATCACTTTACTCATACACAGGAATCTCTGAATCTCCAAGGCCCATCAAAACATCCTTGGAGCTCTATCAATACTTTAACTATGATACTATCTTTTAGAATAGTGTAACAGAGGGTCGATTTGTTTTTCTGTTTTTCCAATGTTACTTATACTCAAAGTTTACTATATTTTCTAAACAATTGACCCCCTCTTTAGACAATAATCCATGGAAATTCACGTTAAAGTAATTTTAGTATTTGGGTGGGTAATAACTCAAAAATACGCAAAGTATGTAGTACTCTTTCTGGAACTCTAGAACAGGACTAATAGACAAGCAATGGTAAATAACCAATATAAGTGCTTATAATGTTTAAATTCCCAAATTTATTGTGTTTATTTTTAATTATTGTGGGAAATACGTGGAAATATTGGCATGAATTAAGGAATAGGTTTAACTTTAATAAACCACTGCCTGTTATATAACATCTTGGGATGAACGGCGTAAACACAATCTGTATAAGGATGTTACTCTTAATTGAGAATCTGGAAGTGGGATGGAGAGTAAATAAATAGTCCTTCTACCTGCAAATCTTTCTAGTAGTTATGCTTGTATTGTATTTTTAAATCGCTCAGGAACAATTAGAAAGTCCACATCACTCTTCCAGATTCTGCTTTATTTTATTTATTTATTTTTTTTGAGACAGAGTCTGCTGTGTTGCCCAGGTTGGAGTGCAGTGGCGTGATCTTGGCTCACTGCAACCTCTGCCTCCCGGGTTCAAGCCATTCTTCTGCCTCACCCTCACAAGTAGCTGGGATTACAGGTGCATGCCACCATGCCTGGCTAATTTTTGCATTTTTAGTAGAGACGGGGTTTTTCCATGTTGGTCAGGCTGGTCTTGAACTCCTGACCTCAAGTGATCCACCTGCCTCGGCTTCCCAAAGTGCTGGGATTACAGGCTCTGCTTTATTTTTAATGACCTCTGCATTACTGCTCACTCAAGTGCTTTTATGTGTACTTAAGAATATAATGAGTCAATAGAGAACTAGGAAATAGCACGCTTTCCCCAAGAATATTTCTTATACCTGTCCCAGTCCATACCATTGGCAAGACAAAGTATACATCCCTTTTAAAGTGGGTTGTCCTCACCATTTGCAATAAGAGCAGATTATAGTAGCCTGGCAATAAGTCCAGGGTTTCAGAGCCCAATTGAGTCACTTTAAATGGAAAGCAAGTTTTAAATGATGCTGTACTGAGGAAATATTGTATATGGCTAGCATAGGAACTGGATTACCCTAAATAATTAGGGACCTAAAAGTATTTTCCCATATAAAAATAATCAATATTTAATTATATCTTATGTAAGAAAAATAAGAAAGAAAATCTAGGCCATTTACTTTCATGATATTTGGCATAATAATCACTGGTTTATTTGAAGGTTCACCTGAAAAATGCTTGTGAAAGACTGAGTATACCATTTAATGATTGACTAATAAGTAGATAAAAATAATAAGGAAGCAATTCCATGTCAAATGCTGTAAGATAATATGTTCAAAAAACAGGAACTAAAATTGGAAAGGATGATTTTTTCCCCAGGCAAAATATTTGAAACTATCTTTGAAGATAAAATAGATGGAGATATCTACTGGGGAATGCTGACCCAGTTTGTTTTTAATCTGTCAAAGCAGAATTGCTGTTTTTGATGTTAAAAAATCAAACCAAGTGTTTGACTTTAAAACATGCATATTTTCCTCTTCTTTGTATCTTCTATCATCTTGGTTGTTCACCTCTTACCTCTTGTTTTAATCCTGCAATTGCTTTGTTTATTGATCTTTGTTGATGTTATTGCAGACATCATTTGTGTATTATGTGCCTCCTTTTCTTTCACCATGTTATCATTCATGTTTTTCAAATTCTGCTTCTCTCTTATTTATTTGTTAAATGATATGGTTAGGTATGGTTAACTTTTTAGTTGTAGGAGAATGTGCCTGATTGCTAGATATATGACAGGAATTTCTAGAAACTTTGAGGAGGAAAGTTCTCTATTAAGATTAATTAAAACTCAGCTTTACAGATAAAATAATTGGTTCTCATGGATACCAGGTCTGGACAAGAAACTTGAACCTAGTTAATCACTGTCAAAGTCAGTCTGATTATAAAAAATTCTTCTAGTTTTCTGATACATTGCTAAGATATTGCTTACATGGTCTGGGCATCTGTTATGTGTCAAGGACTCAAAATGAATGGATGGTGAGACACACATATTCAACTATTCTGACAACATCAACTCCAGAATCAAGGAAATCAGGCCAATAGGCTGAAGAACAACAATGAGCAGAGCAACCAGACAGGTAAGTCAGAGAGCTGTCATTAGGCAGTGAGGCTGTCAGAGGACCACCAGGCAAGCCCACATTAATGGCAGCAAGAGTCAAGCCATTCGGGCAGTCATACTCTGGAAGTAGTTTTGGATGCTGGCTGACAGTGTGCTATAAGGTGTATCCTGAAGAAAAAATTTCAGTCCTTTCCCAGCATGAATTGTTGTACATCCTATATACTTTGGAAATTTAAATGATTCTAACACTATCTCTTACCCACCATCTCTAGTCTGCTAGTTACAGGCATTGTCATACCATTTGTTATTGTAAGGATGAATGATTTGGAAAATAGAATGAAACCTGAATGTAGAAAGTAACTGTAGCCAATTAACAAAGGTTTTTACATTGGATAATAGGAAGGAAAGTCATCCACAACTTCAACTACTATGCATGTGTCAATTATACATTTTCACCAAGTTTTTTTTATAAGTCAAAGTCCTATATCAAACTATCCACAGGACATCTTAACCTGGATATCTTCCAAGTATTTTGAACTCAGAACTCAAACCCATCATCTTACTTTATACATACTACCAAAATCTGTTCTTTTCTCTGTTTCCAAACTTTGTGGATATCATTATAATAAAACCTGTTATTCAAGTTATAAGTTTATGCCCACATCAAAGCAATCAAGAACCATTTGGCTCTATTTCCTTAAATTTTTTTTCAATTCCATTTCTCCTGCTTTTAGTTGTCCATATGCTGAATTGCTGTTTTAAATCAATGTCTCCATCCTCCCAGTCTCCCTTTTCTGCAATTCATCTTCTAACACTGCTCTCACCAGGGCTACATTTTTAAAATGTAGTCTTATTATGACATGTCCTTACTTTAAAACTTATTCAGAGTTTTCAATTATTCTCAAGATAAACACCAAAGTCCTTAGTATGTCTTGGAAAATCTGTGCTGAAGTAGGTTCCAGCCTCTCAGGATCATTCCTTCCAGCTCTCCTCTGGGCCAACCATTCTAATGTACTGATCTAAATCTCCCTTGAGATTGTGTGAGCATGTTTTGCTGTCCTACAATGCCCTACTCTCTCTATATTTCTTCACTTGGATAACCACTAAAGAGCCAAAATTCAAGATGTCGATTTCTTTTAGGAATTCTCTCCCAGGTTCCCCCTCTCCCCTAATGAGATGGCTTCTTGTCTTCTCTCTTCCTGTAACATGCCGAGCACAAATTTTGTCATAGAGTATTCTCTGTGTCGAATATATTGCCTTGTTTGTCAAAATCACTAGACTGAGAGCTCCTTGAGTCTCTGTAGAATGTTAACACATAGTAAACATTTAACAAAATTTTGTTAAGTGAAGAATAAAATGAATTGAAAAAATATAATTAAAATCTATGAAGAGTGTACTAGGGTTCCAGAATTGTTACCTATTTTTACTCCAAATAAGTCCTAAATCCTTCTAAATAAAAAGATAATTTTTCAAAACTAAATACGGTTTCAACATGTTAAATATATAGAACTTTTTTTTAATGGAATTGTAGATCACTTAAAATAGAACTCTACCACCAAAAATCAAAGCACAACTTTAACCCTTTCTTCTGGCCCAAGAGGAATGCTCAAACTTTACTGTATTGATCTTGATCTCAATGTATTTATTTACCTACCTGCTTATCTATCTGTTTATTATTTATCTAATCTATCCTGCATCTATCATCTTTCTATCATTTTATTAATACTTGCTACCAAACATAACATATTATTATGTATCAGACACTAAACTAGTTTTCAGGGCCAGAGATATTAATAGAACATATTGCTATTCAGATATTTGAGTCTAGTATGGAAAGCAGACATGCAAAATCTTGTATTTAGCCATCCAAAGTTTGAGATTTCATTATTCATCAATTAAAATAGATTGAATTTATATTCAGCATTGCATTACACCACTGTCCTGTGTTCTTCATTCCTCATTGTTTTATCTACTTTTTTTTTTTTCTACTTATTCGTCTGCTAAGCCACTGTCACTTATGTGTCCTTGGGAGAGAATGTTGCCCCTGGGAAGTTTTCCAATAAGCTGTTTACCTTCTCTCACAAATAAAATTGGATAAAGGATTGAGACTTATTTATATCATGAGTTGATGCCCAAAGTCCTGCTTTAGAAGCAACAGTAGAAGCCTATGCAGTTAGTTCCAAAATGCTGATTTTGGCTGAAACATAGGCCACTGTCTACCACCCTTGTGGATTACATCCTTATCCCCCCAACCAAGATGGCAGGCATTGGTTCAGAGGAAGAGACCGCTTTTTGTTTTTTACACAAAGACATCATTGCCCACTAAGCCAAATGCCTATAGCAAGATACTTTTACTTATGGATACAAGCATTTTGTAGACTAGCAACTGCCCTGAGCTTTTGACCTTTAAGAATGTGAGCTCTGGAATCTACTTGAGCCTGGAAGTTCCTGGTAGAAAATTAAAAGTGTAACCAGCTTTCTTCTTATTTAATATCCTAAACTGTTATTTTTAAATAATCTCTTTTATTTTCTCCCTTAATCTCCTAAACTGTTATTTTAATCAGCTTAACGATAACCCACAACATTTGGACAAACTTGTTGTTTTTAAATTACTTCATTATTTTTATTGATAATTTATTGATAACTCTTATTTTGAATATATGTGTTTACATATTTAATTAATATTAATATTTTCAGTTTTAAAAATTCTGGTTTTAGGAGAGGTGCGGGGGGGCGCACACTTCTAATCCCAGCACTTTGGGAGGCCGAGGCAGGCAGATCACTTGAGGTCAGGAGTTTGAGATTAGCCTGGCTAACATGGTGAAAGCCCCTCTCTGCTAAAAATGCAAAAATTAGCCGGGCATGGTGGCAGGCACCTATAACGCCAGCTACTTGGCAGGCTGAGACAGAAAAATCGCCTGAACCCAGGAGGCAGAGGTTGCAATGAGTCAAAAAAAGCCAATTCACTCCAGGAACAGAGCAGGACTCTGTCTCAAAAAAAAAAAAAAAAGAAAGAAAAAAAATCTGGTTTCAACTGCTGCATTTTAATTTTTTACAAATTACTTCCTAACATTTTTCATGTGGTGATTTTCTATACTTTTATTATCTTCACAGTATTTAGAATATTTTATTATGTACTTCAGATTTTTTAAAAATAGATCTCATTATATTTCAATTGAACAAAGCATACTTTGTTTAGTATTATTACCTTTTGTATCTAGACTGTATTGATTAAGACTATTTTAATTATTTCATTTAATATTAATTTTCTTTCCTTTTTCAACATGTTTATTGATGGTATAGGCATAAAACATACATTCTTTGGGAAGGGCCCATGTATTAAGTAAAGGAGTTTTGATGACAGGCCTCACATTAAACCTTTAGTTTTTTCCAAAAATGTTCTATTATCTCTAATTCCATAACAAACAACTCTACCAGACCTGAATTTTTATCGGACCTTACAAAACTAAGATTCAATTAACTAGAAGCAAGACTTGAGTCATTGTGTAAAAGAATCATTTTCCTTTTGCTCCAGTAGCTTTGTGCAATTACTTAACCTCTAACTGGAAAACCCTCTCATAGCCTAAGCTCCCTCGTTACTCTGCTTAGTTCACATTCCCCTCGAGAACAAGACTAGACCCTATGCTCCTTCCTAGCTCCTGTTGGCACTGTATTGTGCTCTGCAGAATGTAACTGCTGCCTGGGGTTTGCTCCTGTTGTGTTTTCTAATTGATCCATCGTCTTGCTAGTGCCTAAGCTTGCAACCCAGACACTGTGTCTTGATTATTCTAGTTGAACTTGTTGCAACCAGCTTCTGTAACCGAGTAAATTATGTTTCTTCTGGATGCTTATTGACTTACATTGCACATTATCCTCCTTTTGAATAATTCCCCTTATATTTCTTGACTGAGGTTACCTAAGTTACAACATTTTAAAGTCAAGGAGACTTTAGTTTTTAAAAATCCAACATTTAAGGTGCCTTAATATGGAAGCCCATGTTTTCTGTGCATCTCTGAAAATAGCTATGCTTCAAATTAATGCTTTGAGTTTTGACTAATCTGCTTACCACATTCAACTTGTTTTTTAATCTAATGATTTTGCAAGTGACTATTACTTCAACTTATGACTGTTGGCAGAGAATCAATCTTCACATTAAAATGATAAGCCTCAAACAGATTATAGTTTTTATTAAATGGCTTTCATTCCCAGAACAGTTGTACTGAAATAAAACAATGATAGAAATATTAATAAGTTTTGAGATGTGAAATCTTTTATTTTCTATCCTGCATTACAACTTTTCAGACCATGACCTTTGTGAGCCCATACAATTTCTTAGGTAGTGTGAAGCATAATGTAATATTTTAAATAATTTTACACACTAGCAATTATAATTGCATTTTATAGTACCTAAGGATTAATTATGTGCTTGCCAATCCTCTGTGCTAATATATAACACTGTCTTGACACTATCTTTTAAAATTGCTAAACAAATATAATGTAACATTATTATTCCATATAGAAAAGCTTTGCCTAAACATGTTAGCATAGAAAAGACTCTACAGCAATGCATTTGTATATAAATAAATGTAGTACTGTTAGAGGTAGCTATTAAAGCTCATTGTGGTTATACTGTCAATTTGTTGGAGGTTCTGTCTATGTTAAGAACTGGTTTATCCATGTTGACTAAAATAAGACTTTACCAACAATGAAGTTTAAAAATTGGCTATAGATACAGAGTTTTAGATAGAGTACAAAAACAAAACCTTCTGTATGAAAAATAATTCATTATTTCAGCAAACAAATCTAAAATTAAATTACATGTGAGACCTGAACTTAGTGACAGAAAGTGGATTAAAAAAAAATCTCAAAATCTGTTACATGAAAGCTGCTTTGCAGTACTGAATGCTTTCTCTCTTCCTTCCCAGGAACCAGTGCCCATTGTACTACATGATAGTAACTGCCTGCAACTTCTGAACATTCTCCCCTTGGCAAAGCTACTCTTCCTTTACAATCACAGTCAAGAGGTTGAGTAAAGCAGGCCACAGTGTTCCTATATCACGTTGTCCCATAGTGCCTTTGGAAAGGAACACGTATGTGGCTTTCTTAATTAATGGGCTGGGACATTTTGAGGTAGGTGAAGGAATTACAAAGTGGGAGTATAAATGTTAAATCAGGCACTGAGTATGACTTTACCTGGTTAAACAAAAACAAAACCAAAAAAACCCTCATTCACAGGGAGGTAATGTTTTTGTTCCTGACCTGGCTCACTTGCCCTCAGGTATGCTGCATTTCTTTCAAAACGACTTCAAGTCTTCATCGTATTTTTTTTTTTTTGTAATATTCAGTTTATTTTTCATCCATTAAAGCATTACTACTAAATTTTTAGTTGCTTGAATACTTTCTATTAGTTTCAATGGCTTAGTTTTTTTTTTTTTTTTATTATACTCTAAGTTTTAGGGTACATGTGCACATTGTGCAGGTTAGTTACATATGTATACATGTGCCATGCTGGTGCGCTGCACCCACTAACGTGTCATCTAGCATTAGGTATATCTCCCAATGCTCTCCCTCCCCCCTCCCCCGACCCCACCACAGTCCCCAGAGTGTGATATTCCCCTTCCTGTGTCCATGTGATCTCATTGTTCAATTCCCACCTATGAGTGAGAATATGCGGTGTTTGGTTTTTTGTTCTTGCGATAGTTTACTGAGAATGATGGTTTCCAATTTCATCCATGTCCCTACAAAGGACATGAACTCATCATTTTTTATGGCTGCATAGTATTCCATGGTGTATATGTGCCACATTTTCTTAATCCAGTCTATCATTGTTGGACATTTGGGTTGGTTCCAAGTCTTTGCTATTGTGAATAGTGCCGCAATAAACATACGTGTGCATGTGTCTTTATAGCAGCATGATTTATAGTCCTTTGGGTATATACCCAGTAATGGGATGGCTGGGTCAAATGGTATTTCTAGTTCTAGATCCCTGAGGAATCGCCACACTGACTTCCACAATGGTTGAACTAGTTTACAGTCCCACCAACAGTGTAAAAGTGTTCCTATTTCTCCACATCCTCTCCAGCACCTGTTGTTTCCTGACTTTTTAATGATTGCCATTCTAACTGGTGTGAGATGATATCTCATAGTGGTTTTGATTTGCATTTCTCTGATGGCCAGTGATGATGAGCATTTCTTCATGTGTTTTTTGGCTGCATAAATGTCTTCTTTTGAGAAGTGTCTGTTCATGTCCTTCGCCCACTTTTTGATGGGGTTGTTTGTTTTTTTCTTGTAAATTTGTTTGAGTTCATTGTAGATTCTGGATATTAGCCCTTTGTCAGATGAGTAGGTTGCGAAAATTTTCTCCCATGTTGTAGGTTGCCTGTTCACTCTGATGGTAGTTTCTTTTGCTGTGCAGAAGCTCTTGAGTTTAATTAGATCCCATTTGTCAATTTTGGCTTTTGTTGCCATTGCTTTTGGTGTTTTGGACATGAAGTCCTTGCCCATGCCTATGTCCTGAATGGTAATGCCTAGGTTTTCTTCTAGGGTTTTTATGGTTTTAGGTCTAACGTTTAAATCTTTAATCCATCTTGAATTGATTTTTGTATAAGGTGTAAGGAAGGGATCCAGTTTCAGCTTTCTACATATGGCTAGCCAGTTTTCCCAGCACCATTTATTAAATAGGGAATCCTTTCCCCATTGCTTGTTTTTCTCAGGTTTGTCAAAGATCAGATAGTTGTAGATATGCGGCATTATTTCTGAGGGCTCTGTTCTGTTCCATTGATCTATATCTCTGTTTTGGTACCAGTACCATGCTGTTTTGGTTACTGTAGCCTTGTAGTATAGTTTGAAGTCAGGTAGTGTGATGCCTCCAGCTTTGTTCTTTTGGCTTAGGATTGACTTGGCGATGCGGGCTCTTTTTTGGTTCCATATGAACTTTAAAGTAGTTTTTTCCAATTCTGTGAAGAAAGTCATTGGTAGCTTGATGGGGATGGCATTGAATCTGTAAATTACCTTGGGCAGTATGGCCATTTTCACGATATTGATTCTTCCTACCCATGAGCATGGAATGTTCTTCCATTTGTTTGTATCCTCTTTTATTTCCTTGAGCAGTGGTTTGTAGTTCTCCTTGAAGAGGTCCTTCACATCCCTTGTAAGTTGGATTCCTAGGTATTTTATTCTCTTTGAAGCAATTGTGAATGGGAGTTCACTCATGATTTGGCTCTCTGTTTGTCTGTTGTTGGTGTATAAGAATGCTTGTGATTTTTGTACATTGATTTTGTATCCTGAGACTTTGCTGAAGTTGCTTATCAGCTTAAGGAGATTTTGGGCTGAGACGATGGGGTTTTCTAGATAAACAATCATGTCGTCTGCAAACAGGGACAATTTGACTTCCTCTTTTCCTAATTGAATACCCTTTATTTCCTTCTCCTGCCTGATTGCCCTGGCCAGAACTTCCAACACGATGTTGAATAGGAGCGGTGAGAGAGGGCATCCCTGTCTTGTGCCAGTTTTCAAAGGGAATGCTTCCAGTTTTTGCCCATTCAGTATGATATTGGCTGTGGGTTTGTCATAGATAGCTCTTATCATTTTGAAATACGTCCCATCAATACCTAATTTATTGAGAGTTTTTAGCATGAAGGGTTGTTGAATTTTGTCAAAGGCTTTTTCTGCATCTATTGAGATAATCATGTGGTTTTTGTCTTTGGCTCTGTTTATATGCTGGATTACATTTATTGATTTGCGTATATTGAACCAGCCTTGCATCCCAGGGATGAAGCCCACTTGATCGTGGTGGATAAGCTTTTTGATGTGCTGCTGGATTCAGTTTGCCAGTATTTTATTGAATGCTGAGAGATTTTGTCACCACCAGGCCTGCCCTAAAAGAGCTCCTGAAGGAAGCGCTAAACATGGAAAGGAACAACCGGTACCAGCCGCTGCAAAATCATGCCAAAATGTAAAGACCATCGAGACTAGGAAGAAACTGCATCAACTAATGAGCAAAATCACCAGCTAACATCATAATGACAGGATCAAATTCACACATAACAATATTAACTTTAAATATAAATGGACTAAATTCTGCAATTAAAAGACACAGACTGGCAAGTTGGATAAAGAGTCAAGACCCATCAGTGTGCTGTATTCAGGAAACCCATCTCACGTGCAGAGACACACATAGGCTCAAAATAAAAGGATGGAGGAAGATCTACCAAGCCAATGGAAAACAAAAAAAGGCAGGAGTTGCAATCCTAGTCTCTGATAAAACAGACTTTAAACCAACAAAGATCAAAAGAGACAAAGAAGGCCATTACATAATGGTAAAGGGATCAATTCAACAAGAGGAGCTAACTATCCTAAATATTTATGCACCCAATACAGGAGCACCCAGATTCATAAAGCAAGTCCTGAGTGACCTACAAAGAGACTTAGACTCCCACACATTAATAATGGGAGACTTTAACACCCCACTGTCAACATTAGACAGATCAACGAGACAGAAAGTCAACAAGGATACCCAGGAATTGAACTCAGCTCTGCACCAAGCAGACCTAATAGACATCTACAGAACTCTCCACCCCAAATCAACAGAATATACATTTTTTTCAGCACCACACCACACCTATTCCAAAATTGACCACATAGTTGGAAGTAAAGCTCTCCTCAGCAAATGTAAAAGAACAGAAATTATAACAAACTATCTCTCAGACCACAGTGCAATCAAACTAGAACTCAGGATTAAGAATCTCACTCAAAGCCGCTCAACTACATGGAAACTGAACAACCTGCTCCTGAATGACTACTGGGTACATAACGAAATGAAGGCAGAAATAAAGATGTTCTTTGAAACCAACGAGAACAAAGACACCACATACCAGAATCTCTGGGACGCATTCAAAGCAGTGTGTAGAGGGAAATTTATAGCACTAAATGCCTACAAGAGAAAGCAGGAAAGATCCAAAATTGGCACCCTAACATCACAATTAAAAGAACTAGAAAAGCAAGAGCAAACACATTCAAAAGCTAGCAGAAGGCAAGAAATAACTAAAATCAGAGCAGAACTGAAGGAAATAGAGACACAAAAAACCCTTCAAAAAATCAATGAATCCAGGAGCTGGTCTTCATCGTATTTTGAGAGATGTAAACTTTTACTGCTGCTTCAGCAAGTAACAAATTTTCCGAAGTCCAAATCATTCAGTTAGGACTAGCACACAGGGAGGGACCTGGCAGTCTACCCTCTACTGGTCATTATCACTTCTATTTTCACAAAAGTCCAGAGCTAGAGGCATTGGATTCCATGTCTGCAGGAAGTCTGGGATGAGTTTTGTCTCTCTAACCATACTTTATGGAACAAACATACACACAACACACACATGCACACCTCCCAAGGGCTGCCCGATCGTTGCTGCATGGAATTCCTGGACATTTTCTCCTTAATGAGATGCTAGCCTCTGTCTCTCTGCAGTCACAGTCAAGAAATGGAGTGGAATATACGCTCAGGTACATTATAATATAAGATGGGAAAAAAAAATTCCCAACTACTGGAAAACTGTAAGACACCTTCATTTTCTATGTCATCAATAAATCTCGTGTTTCCCTAGGTCTTCCAGAATAAGGGAGACAAACATAGTTATACCAGGAAAATGACATGATAACTATTCTAGTAAATTATTGAATAAATAATTCTTTAGCCAAGGTCACTTGTCCTCAGTTTTGATCAGTGCTCAGGAGAAGGAGATAAACTATGCCTAATGATATAACCATGCTATACCCCTGCTGGCTGTAACCATGCTATTGTCATATTTGAGGTGCCTCTTCAATTAAATGCCTTTATAGGCTAACCTGTCTCTGATGATCATTTATGTCTAATATGTTCCAGGCACTCTCCTAGGCTCTGGAGAGTAAACAGTGAATAGAAATAAAGTCTATCAACAAGGAATTTAGAGTCTAAAGGGGGAAGTTGAAAAACAAATAGCCATTTTCATAAGACGGCTGAGTAATATAATAAATTTAATAAACATAATATGTTGAGAAAGCATATAACATATTAAGAATAAAAGAAATTCTGATAAATGAGGGAAGAGAAAAGCAACACAAAAGCCAGAGAACTCATTAAGGAATTTATGTGTAAGATGATAGTCCCTAATAGTTTTTAAATAGCAAGGTAAATAACCCTCATTGAGAGTATCAGATTAGAATTATCAGTAGGATTCTATAAGAAAGAGTCGATTAGTATGTGTGTGTTCATTGGTGGGTGTTGAGGAGACAAGAAAAATAAAGGAAGTTTCAAGTACTAGCTAGCAAATAGAAATCATATTATTTGGATAATCAAAAAGTTAGATAATCTATAAGTCTTGTAGGGGTTTATGTTATAGGAGAAGTTTTGGAAGAGGGCAAAAGAGGATTTACAAATGAAATTTAAGTTTCTGGCCTGCATAATTAGGTTGATGTGGTTATTCATAAATAATGCAAGGAGAGAAGATAGAAATGAAAGTCAGTAAGCAAAAGTTGGAGAATGGAAGATAACATCTTCAAATACTGTAATTTTGTAAGATACGTCCTTTGGGGGAAACTGGGCCAAAGGTACATGGGATATCTTCATATTATTTCTTGCAACTGCATTTGAATCTACTATAATCTCAAAAAAAAGACAATTAAAAGAGAAATTTGAGGTACCTGGAATATGTCTAAGTAGGGCAGTCTTATAAATAGTTCAAGCTGTAGTAGAAACTCTCTTAACTGAAACAATAAAAATATGTTTGTTGTCTATCTCTTGCTTAAAGCGATGAAGTACACATTAAGGCACATATGCACACAGGCACAGTATAAGCATCGTGTACTAACTCACATTATCTTGTTGTACTTTAAATTTACCAACATTGTGCTATAGATCCAAGGTCTTTGCTTTGAATTTATTCAAAGTTATTAGTCACCTTTTCTTACATAATCCTTTGAAGTTATTGGTCATCTTTTTCTACATAATCCATACTCAAAATAAATCATCTATGGACTTCTAAGTTTTCTTATTTAAAATGTACTGAGGACTTAAATACATTTCTGAACAAATTAAAATTGTGTTTTTAAATTATTTATTTTTCTCCTATCTTATATAGCTATACTCACACCACAGTTAAAATAATTTAGTTAGCAACCACCTTAATTTAGAATTTCTAAAGCATGCTAAGGAATAAACTGTATCTGCTTATATTCACATTTCATCATTTCACTTAACACTGAATTAAATTATATAATTATAGTAACAAATGAAACATGAACAAAGTGATCTGAGAACAAACAAATCTGAATTTTGGTAAGCAAATTATCAACAGTAGTGATAGTAAGTGTAATGGTGTCCTACAGCATATCCTAACAGCTACTCATTATGCTTTGAGAATCAGTTTTAAAGGGAATTTAGAATTCAATTACTCTGAAAAGATACAAATGCAGATCATTTTAAAATAATCTATTATACAGGTATAAAGTTAAAAGGCACATATATACACATACACATATACTAAGGAAATGTATTTTGGAATCATCACCCTGTTCATTTTAATTAAAATATTATGAGATTTGAGATTACCCTCTGAAAAAATGTAAAGACTACAGAGAGAAGTCAATCCTGGAAATAGCAACCAGCATTTAAGCTTGGGAAGAAAAGGAAACAACTACAGAGGACACAAAGTATCCATAGAGCTTGAATATAAACTAGAAAATTATAGCACCATGAAAATGGTAGCAAGAGACAGTTTTAAGTAAAAGGGCATGTTTAAGAGTTGTCAATAGCTTTAAGTGTTTAAGTAAATGAGAAGCATGCATTCTTCGTTTCATGACCTAAGCCATTGCTGAGTCTGATATGGTAGTTTTAATAGAATGGTAAGCCTAGAAGCCATATTGCATTGACTTTAAAAGAGAATTGTGGGCAAGAAAATATACGCAAAGCTTTTTAGAATACCTACAAAGGGGTAGAAAGAAATAGAATTATGGTTATAAACACTATAAAAATAGGTTTAGATTTTATAATGATGTCCAGCTCTACTGCATGTATATGAAGATTTGACTAGGTATAAGATCATGTTTATCAATTAATTTATGTGCAACTTAGATTCCTTATATGTTAATATAGAGCTTGAATGTATGTTTATAATATCCTCTGGACTTAAATTCTGTAAAGCAGTTCCAAGTTGTTCACTGATGTTATTCATGTAAATTTTTTTGAAATTTCCTAGTAAAACAAATATAACTTATTGATTATTTTTCCTTAGTATCATTATTCATGTTTCCTTTTAGGATACAGTTGAATGTGAGGAAACCAAATTATATAAGGAAACCTGGATAAGACTAATACTATACGATATGAAAAATGACTGTAGGTATTCATATGTTCAAAAATATTAGTTGAATAATAGTGGAAGTAGGCATAAGGAAATCTGAGACATTTTTAAAGGCTTAATATTTTAACTTTATATGAGTCATCTGTTTTATATAATTCACATGTACATAAATATTAAGGTGTTGAATATATTTTACTTAATATCTTACTTTGAGAATCAAATGGTCCATATTCCTTATTATTTAACACACTTTCAATAGAGATAACTTATTTGATTAAAATCAGTCATAATTTTATTGACTCATAAAGTCAACACTTTTTTCATTTTCAAGTTTATATTATGTGACCTATTTCATTTAATAATATAATTTTTCCCTTTACTATTTAATTTATAAATCAAAATATTAAGGCAAATTCTATGCAAGATTAATTTTATGTATTATTTTTTAGAAAACAAAAAAGCTTCCTTTGTTCTCCTATGTCCTTGTTGCTGTTTTGATTTTTTTCTTTTAGTGAACTATATCTTAAGACATTTTTATAATTTGTAATCATTTGTAATGGTTTTTGGCCATTAAAAATAATATTAATTTTAAATAAGTTGGATTGGATGTGGCATGCACCCAAGCAGTTTGAACTTGTTGATTCCTTGTGGAATGGTTTCATCATTACTAGACTGGAAGTTTTCTATTCTTTTCTTATTCACAAGGGTACTATAAGAAAATAAAGGCAAATTCCTGTTCAGACTAGGAGGGAAGCTATAAGACTCTTTTATTCAAGAATTAATAAAGTTATTTTAGTTAGTTGCTGCTAATACAAAGACATTTCATTAAGAATTCTGCTTCTATGTCAATCAGCCCAATGAGTCAAAATTTAGCAAAATATCCAACTCGATAAGTTAACTCTCAAGATCCACAGGTGGATCAAGTCTCTAAGCACTGCCTCTGAAAATGTACTCTTTTCCTTGGAAATACTGTGTTTTTGGACACTTCAGAGTGGCTCATCTCAGTGACCTCTACTTACCTGAGATACACCTATTGCAGCAAATGCAGGAAAGCTAAGAAACTCATAAGAGGTTTTCAAATACGGGTTAGATAATCTAGCATTTAGGATCTGTCATGTACCTCCAACTAAAATATATCTATACCAATAATAACATGAAAACATTCTTCAGAGCTGCTCTTTTAGTAGAAAAGTACAGTTCAGAAGCCTAGAAGTTGAACTAGATTTCCTAAACTCTGCAGGAGGGAAAAAGACATACATTTCTCCCACAAACTTACATTAAATATTTAGGAGCACAGTTTTTAGGAGGCAGCTCTAGAACTGAGCTTCACCACTTCAATGGACTGAAAGTTTGTGGCCCTCTAGAATTGTTATGTTGAAACCCTGAGCCCCAGTGTGATGGTATTTGGAGATGGGACCTTTGGGAGGTAATTACTGTTAGATTATGTCATGAAAGTGGTGCCCTCATAATGGGATTAGTGTCCTTATAAGAAGAGGAAGAGTGAGAGATCTCTCTCCTTTTCCATGCCATATGAGGACACAGTGAGAAAGCAACCATCTGCAAGCCCGAAAGAGAGCCCTTACCAGAACCTGACCATGCTGGCTCCCTGATTTTCACTTCCGGCCTTCACACTGTGAGAAAATACATTCCTGCTTTTAAGCCTCTCAGTCTATGGCATTTTGTTACGGCAGCCTAAGCAGACTAAGACACTTACTAGCTCAGGACTTAGACAAGTTAGTTAGTTAAACCTCTCTGAACCTCGGCTTCTCATAAGTAAAATGGAATAATAATATTTATCTCAGCGTTGTTGTAAGAATGAAATAAAATTCTGACACACTACTGGTATATGGTAAGCACTAATGAAAAGGATTTAGCTATCCTTTTCATTTATCTTTCCCATTTGTCTTCGGATAGTTAACCAGAAGAGAATCTGAGACATGAATTTGTGTGTAAATGATTTATTAAAAAAGAGCTTCCAGAAGAAAACTAAGAACATAGGGAAAACCAGGAAAGGAAAGGGAAGAAATCAAGAAGAATATTATTTCCAGAAAATTCTGAAGGTAAATTCAGCCTGATTCCTCAGGAAAACATGGAAGTGTAGGCTCCATTTGAGTGTTGTCTTGATTAGAAGCATAGTGACCTTTCAATTCGAGCATCAATCTGTGATTGGCTAAAAGCAGCCATCAGGAAAAAAAACTGTCCACTGCTTTCAACTCTGCAAGTGTAGGCTAAGTGTCACCAGTATCCCAAGGGAAGTTCTGTGAAAAGACTTGCCAGTTCATGACCTTAGAAATAAAATTACAGGCCCTTAAGAAGAAAATAAAATAAAATAGAAGCTGGAGGAAGGGCACACACAAAGAGTAAAATTCCAGTGTCTGCTACAACTGCTTTATTTTCTACTATTCTTTTACAGTTTACCTTTCCTACCTCATTAGAATCATGTAGCACTCTTTTATTCTCAAATGATGTTGATTCGATGTTCTCTCCATCTTCAAATGTTTCCAATAATTACAAGCAGGTCCCAAGAAATCATCTTTGTAAATTAGAAGGTATTGAGAGGCAATTCTCCATGTGGCTTTTACATTGCTGCATCCCTTATAAGTGAGGCACTGAATTCATTTTGTTTTAAATTGTTCTTCTCAAGAATGTTAAAATAGTGAACGCACTTGGAGGAGAGTGATAGTTTCTTCTTCTGAAGAAAAGGTAGGCATGATTTATTACGCAAAAATAGAGAAAATATCAGAGGCCCTTAAATCAGTATTCCTCTGCTCTAATGCAACTGACTGTGTGCAGGTGTCACCTAGGTCTGTTTGACATTACTCTGTCAGAACTGAGGATCAGAGAACCTGCACAAAAATGCTGATACTGCTATAAGTAATAAGTACTTCCCTTCATTGCTAATTTGTCTCATACTTCTATCAACTACAGAATATTGTTCATGCTAACTTGTTAACTTTCAAGAAAGCTAAAAATCTCAGACTCTTTAAAATAATTTCACGTAAAATTGTTTATATCACTCACTTATTGTTGGTTCATGTTATTCTTATTTTTAAATTTTAGCTACTTTCTCTAACAGTCTTCAGTATCTTTTTCATGAATAAAGCACAAGGAAAAAATTAACCTTAAATATTTGAACCAAAAGTGTTTATATGTCTTAGAATACATAGTTTAATCCCAACAGAAAAAAATTGCAAAAATAATTATATCTGTTTAATGTATCTTTTTATTTAATTGCATGCAAATGTTTATAGACACAGACATAATAACTACAAGGGTGTCAAGAAATGATGAGACCATAGCAAAGGTGTTCACCTATATGGAGAAATAAGACTGGATGTCTATTACTACATAGAAGAGTACACAAATGTACAAGAATAGGTTGTGATCCTCTTTCCTAATCTGTTGAAATGTATTGGAGATCCCTCATTTATAAAATGCCAACAAAGATAATTAGAACAGAGAGAGATGGACAGACACACAGAGAAAACAGTTTATGAAAAATAGTGAAAAACAGAACTAAAGCCTTGTAAATGATAATTCTCTCAATTGACGAACAAAGTTTAGATCTTTAAAAAGTTTTTTTATAGGCCACTTACCACAAACTAACATTTTTTTTTGTTATTCATTTAGTAGAACAGTTGGTTATTCTTTTGTAGATACAGAGAAATAAACTAACCTGGGATTGAACCAGGAGCATAATTTTTATACTCTCAATATTATACCAACTAGGAATACAATCGTTAACAAACCAATCTACCTGTAATTCAGAGACTTCTCCCAAGGAAGCTGAATTAAATGATTTCTAATTGAATAAATGACCATATTTTACAAAGAATTACATTATTTTTTCTAAATTAGATCTCTATCCACCACTATGCATCCTGGTTCTGGAACAATTAATAAAAAATATAATAATTTCTGAAATACTGGGCATCAAATGAACATATCTCAAATACATAAACTCTCAGCCCAAATCGTACTAAATGGGAAATGTTAGAAGCATTCCCATTAAGAACTGGAAGAGGACAAGGGTGCCAACTTTCACTATTCATATTCAACATAGTACTGGAAGTCCTAGCCAGAGCAATCAGGCCAGAGAAACAAATAAAAGGCATCCAAATAGGAAAAGAAGTCAAATTGTCTCTCTTCATTGATGAGATTATTCTATACCTAGAAAACCCTAAAGACTCCACTAAAAGGTTCCTGGAGCTAATAAACAACTTCAGTAAAGATTCAGGACACAAAACCAATGTACAAAAATCAGTAGCATTCCCATACACCATAACATTCAAGCTGGGAGCCAAATCAAGAATACAATGCCATTTACAACACACAAACACACACACACACACACACACACACACACACACACCCCTAGGAATACATATAACCAGGGGGGTGAAAGGTCTCTATGAAGGGAACTATAAAACATTGCTGAAAGAAATCATAGATGACACAAACAAATAGAGAAGCACCCCATGCTCCTGGATTGGAAGAATCAATATCATGAACATGGCCATAATACGCAAAGCAATCAGTCTACAGATTCAATGCTATTCCTATCAAACTACCAATGTCATTTTTTACAGAATTATACAAAACAATTGTAAAATTCACATAGAACTGAAAAAGAGCCTGAAGAGCCAAAGCAAATATAAGCAAAAAGAACAAAGCCAGAGGTATCACATTACCCTGCTTCAAACTTTACTATATGGCTGCAGTAACCAGAACATCATGATACTAATACAAAAACAGACTCATAAACCTATGAAAGAGAAAAGAGAAATCAGAAATAAAGCCACACATCTACAACCATCTGACTTATAACGAAGTTGGCAAAAATAAACAATGGAGAAAAGACTACCTATTCTATAAATGGTGCTGGAATAGCTGGCTAGCTATATGAATCAATGCCCATCAATGGTAGAATGGATAAGAAAACTATGGTATATATATACCATGGACTACTATGCAGCCATAAAGAGGCACAAAATCATGCCCCTTACAGCAACGTAGATTCAACTGGAAGCTGTTATCCTAAGCGAATTAATGCAGGAACAGAAAACCAAATGCCACATGTTCTCACTTATAAGTGGGATCTAAGCATTGAGTGTGCATGGACATAAAGATGAGCACAATAGACACTGGAGACTACTAGAGGAGCAAGTGAGAGAGGACAGCAAGGGCTGTAAAGCTACCTATTGGGTACTATGCTCACTACCTGGCTGACGAGATCATTTGTAAACTAAACCTCAGTGTCACACGATACATGCATGCAATAAACCTGCACATGAACTTTCTACATCTAAAATAAAAGTTAAAATGATATTTAATAAAAATAAATGACAATAATTTTTAAAATCTTTCTTGAGTTAAAATAATTGGCTCAAGTCTTTTAAAAGAGGACATATGTCCAGAATAGTAACCGGTATAGAATACATGTTGCATTGTGGTACTCTCTTGACCCTAATGATAAGGGAACTTCAATGTTTTATACACTGATTGCCTTAGTAGGTATTAAGTGATTCTCTGTTGAAAATAACTTTATAAATAATAAGCTAGAAATATAGAATTAAAGGTGATTCTGTTCATTTGAAATATACGTTTTCCAAAATCCAAATTTATTAACTTTTACTTGAAGCAATTTCTTACCCTTAACAGTTTTTCTGGGGATAAAAATATATTCTGACTGAATACAGAATAACAGCATTGGTCATAATCGTTTAGAAAAAGAAATGTTTATAAGAAAAGCCATATAGCTTGTACTCTTTTTAGCTTCAGTCTCCTGATGCTCTTATAAAACTATAATGGATTTAATAATAGTGTTCTGACTTTGCTATAAATCTCTGGCAACCCCAACTGTGATACTGCAAGAAATAATATGATTGAAAATCAGGTACAACTGTGTGTCAACAAAAACACCATTGTTTCTCTGGAGGCAAAAATAGATGAAGACATTAAAATAAAAAGCATTATGGACACATAATTCCATAATTCTCTGTGATTCCACAAAGCTGTCTAGGAAGGGGCAAACATGTATTTATTATTAAGCTAGTTTTGAAACAAATTATAGCAATAAGAGTATATTTCACATAATACCAAAGTATTGGATAAGATGGAAATTATGGACACTTCCTGGATGTCTACCCAATAGTTGTTTTTTTCCAAGGCACCACTCTTACCCATATAACTCCTGCTGTATGAGATAATAATCTTCCTCATTGTTTATATCTTCTGAAATTGAGTTTTTCATTTTGGGCAAATTTTAGTTTGAAGAAACCCTCTTTGATAGGTCTGTATAATAAGGATAAGGACATGTTGTACGTAGTACACTGACATTAACTAAGGGTTAGAAATTTTATAAATCATGAATTATAATTTTATAATTTATAATTATAAATTAGTATTATGACATTTATACTATGATATATTTTAATAAGCCATTTTATTAATGAGCAAACTGATGTTAAGAGGTTAAGTAATTTTTCTAAAATCACATGCTCAATGAGTACAAAAGAGTATGTGTGTGTGTGTTTATTTAGCTGTAGTATATACATATAATGGAGTCCTATTCAGTGTTTAAAAAATAAAGCTACCAAGCTATAAAAATTACAGCAAGAAACTTAAATGCATATTGCTATGTGAGTAAGCCAGTATGAAAAGGATACTGTATGATTCTAATTATATATGACATTCTATAAAAGACAAAACTGTAGAGAAAGTAAAAAGATCAGTGGTTGTCAGTGGTTCAGGGGAGGGAGCTAACATGAATAGATGAATTATAAGGGATATTTTTAGAAAAGTGAAATGATTAGATACTATAATGGTATAGATAATATAGACACTGTAATGGATACATGGCATTATGCATTTGTAAAAACCCATAGAATTATAAAAGACAAAGAGTGAACTTTAATGTAATCTTTGGACTTTAGTTAATAATAATGCATCAATATTTGTTCCCTAATTTTAACAAGTATACTATATTAATGCAAAAGGTTAATAATAGGAAAAATTGTGCACTAGGAAAAGGGTGTATATAGAAACCCTCTGTAGGATATACTTATGATCAATTTATCTGTAAGTAAAAGGTCTGTGTATTCTCTTTTGCATATTGATGTCCAATTGTTCCAGACCCATTTTCAATATAAAGACAATTCGTCTTATATGGATTGCCGAAAATTCTCTGTCAAAGATCAGTTGATTGTATTTGCATGGATCTATTCCTGAGCTCTCTATTCTGTTTGGTTAATTTCTTTGTTTATTCTTTCACCAATACCACACTGACTTGACTACTGTAGTTTTATAGTAATTCTTAAAGTCAGGTATTGTTAATCCTTTAATTCTTCTTTTCTTCAGTATTGTGCTTCTTATTTGGAGTCTTTTGCTTTCCACATAAACTTTAGAATCAATTCATCAATATCCACAAACTAGCTTGCTGGGAGTTTGGAATTGGATTGAATCTATAGATCCAGGTGGGAAAATTGACATCTTAACAACATTTGGGTTTTCCTATCCATGAACATTTCTCCATTTATTCATATCATCTTTGGTTCTTCCAACAGGGTTTTGTAAATTCCTCTCATGGATCTTCTCTATAGCTTGTTGGATTTAAACATAAATATTTCATTTTTACTGTGCCAATGTAAGTGATTGTTATGGACTGATTTATCGACTCTCAAATTCACAGGTTGAAGACCTATTTGGCTGTATTTGAATATATAGCTTTTATGTAGGTAATTAAGGTTACCTGAGGTTATAACGGTGAAGCCCTAATCCAGTAGGACCTATGTCCTTATAAAAAGAGGAAGAGGCCAGGCACCATGACTCATTCCTGTAATCCCAGCATTTTGGTAGGCTGAGGCAGGCAGATTGCTTGAGCTCAGAAGTCCGGAACCAGTCTGGACAGCATGGTGAAATCCTGTCTACTAATAAAAAGTAAATAAATAGTTTTTTAAAAAATCAAAAAGAGGAAGAGATATCAAAAGTGTGTTCACACAGAAAAAAATTTATGTGAAAACACAATAAGAAGGCGGCCATCTGCAAGCACAAGGAGACTTCCTCAGGAGAAATCAAACCTGCCAGGACCTTGATTTTAAACTTTCAGCCTCTAGAACTGTAAGAAAATAAATTTATGTTGTTTAATCCACCTAATCTATGGTATTTTGTTATGGCAGTCCAAGAAGACTAACACAGTAATATTATGTTTTTAACTTCACATTCCAATTATTCATCGTTAGTATATAGAAAAGCAATTGAATTTTATATTGTAAACTTGTACCCTGCTACTTTTACCAGTTTGCTAAATTTTTCATTGGTTCTTTGGGATTTTCTACATAGACAAAATCATATAATGTGTGAACCAAGTTTATTTATTCTTTCCCAATATTTATACCTTTATTTTATTTTCTTGTCTTATTGCTGTAGCTAGAACTTCCAGTATAATGTTGGATAAGAGTGTTAAGGGGGGCTTCTTTGCATTGTTCCTGATCTTAAGGGAAAGCATCTATTTTTTCACTTTAAATATTATGTTAGCTGAAATATGATAGAATTTTTCTAAATTTTTAAGCTAATTTTTCTTCATTAGCCTGTTATCAACAAGTTTGCATTAATTAATTGCTGGATGCTGAGACATTATTTTGAAAATAGACATTATTATATTAAATATTTATTCTGCATCTTTTGCTTTTATTTATACCATTTCCATTACATGAATGTTATGCCTTTTGTAATTGTCCCACAGTTCTTGGCTATTCTTTTCCTTTTAAATAATATATCTCTTATCTGTTTGCTTTTCAGGTTGGATAATTTTTATTAACATGTCCTCAAGCTCATTGATACTTTCCTTAGTGATAACCACCTTGTTAATATACTCATCAAAATCATCCTTAATTTTGATTAAAGGGTTTTTTATTTCTAGCACTTCTTTCTGATTCTTGCTTACAATTTCAATCTCTCACATTACATCACCTATTTGGTCATGCATCCTTTCTACTTTTTTCATTAGCATGTAACATGTTAATTGTAGTGATTTTAAATTGCCTATATGATCATTCTAAAATAAATTTTATATTTGAGTCTTGTTCTAATGTTTGCATTGTGTCTTTGGATCAAGTTTTTTCTTGTCTTTTAGCATGCCTTATATCATATTATAGTTGATGAAAGCTGGATATCATGCATCAGGTAATAGAAATTCAGGTAATTAGGCTTTGAATGTCAGGTTTTTTTGTTTATCTGGCTAGTGCTGTGTTTAATATTTACTATAGATTTAGGTTCAGTTTCCTCATTTTTCCCTCCCCTGTTGTCTTTGTTTATCCCTATGAACTCCTTA
The DNA here is from genome assembly GCF_000001405.40 of Homo sapiens. Lineage (NCBI taxonomy): Eukaryota > Metazoa > Chordata > Mammalia > Primates > Hominidae > Homo > Homo sapiens. Next base: position 184,963,533 of record NC_000002.12, read on the forward strand.
AATTACCTATTTTGGCAATAATTCACCATTATCATTCTATAGGTGTGGTGTTAAGGTGTTGAGGAGGGGAAATGTTCTATATAATTCAATACTTCAAATATCAGTTTTAGTGAGCCTGGGTCACTGGACTGTGACTCAGAAGCATTTCAAGATTTTTTCCCCTATTGCATGATGCAGAATCTATAGAGGGGTCTAGAGTTGTTTAATTATTTTTTTCCCCAAGTATGACAACACTCTGATAAAAACGTTTCTCCTGGAGGGCAAATCTTTGCTATGGAGACAGCTCCGAACTTATTTTGAAATGGCTACTTTTTCTCTGGGTGTATTTCAGAATGGTTACTTTCCCTTTCCTCCTGACTAAAACATAAATGGATTTTTTTTCCCAATTTTCACAGTGAGCTGGTAGAATTGCTGGAACCCAAGCAAATCTGAGGATTGATACATTTTGGCTCTGTGTCCCCATGCAAATCTCATCTTGAATTGTAATCCTCACATGTTGAGGGAGGGACCTGGTGGGAGGTAATCGGATCATGAAGGTGGTTTCCCCCATGCTGTTCTCATGACAGTGAGTGAGTGCTCAGGAGATCTGACGGTTTTAAAGTGTGGGGCTGGCAGGGCACAGTGGCTCACAACTGTAATCCCAACACTTTAGGAGGCCGAGATGGGCGAATCACTTGAGGTCAGAGGTTTGAGACCAGCCTGGCCAACATGGTGAAACCCCTTCTCTACTAAAAATATAGAAATTAGCCGGGTATGGTAGTGCACGCCTGTAATCCCAGCTACTTGGGAGGCTGAGGCAGGAGAATCACTTGAACCCAGGAGGTGGAGGTTGCAGTGAGCCAAGATTACACCACTGTACTCCAGCCTAGGTGACAGAGTGAGACTCCATCTCAGAAAAAAAAAAAAGAATAAAGTGTGGGACTTCTCCTTTGCTCACTCTCTCGCCTGCCACCATGTATACATGTTTTGTTTCCCCTTTGCCTTCAGCCATAATTACAAGCTTCCTGAAGCCTCTCCAGCCATGTGAAACTGTGAGTCAATTAAACCTCTTTTGTTTATAAATTACTCAGTCCCTGGTAGTATCTTTACAGCGTGTGAAAAGGACTCATACAGCAATCCTCGTAACACTGAGCACCTAGAAGTTTTTCTCTGTCAAGCTAGTCCACACTCAGCCTAGAGCAATTCTCCAAAATTACCATTAAGTGTTCCTGCAAGTTACTGGCTCCAGCTACTTTTGTATCAGGTAAACTCATCATGGTTGTAATTGTCTTTGTCTAGCTTTCCAGATTTCAGGGAGGTAGTTTGTCCTGCGACCTCAATTCTCTGGAGAATCTTATAAAAGTCAGTGATTTTTGATTTTCTCAGTTTTTATCTTGGTGTATGGATAAGAGCAAAGATTTCCCACTCTTTATATAACTCAACTCAAACCAGAAGTCTGCAAAAGAGTGCATTAATTTCAGTTCTGTTTGATTGTGAATCACGACACTATACCAAACAGCTCATGAAGAAATTCCCTATAAAGAGAATGAGAGTCTCTAAATAATTACAATATAGAAAATATTAGACCTAAGAATTACTTATGAACTGTAATATATTCTTTATTTCTGCTTTTCAGATTTGTTTTTAAATAATATTTTGTACCAATCAGTACTTTTTCAGATACAAATTTCAGAAGGGCAACTCCATTTAGCTAGAGTCAAAGGTCCCAGGAACAAGCTAATATCAGACTTGGCTGTAGCTAGGGGATCAAAATTTGTGGTCAGGAATGCATTTCTGCTATGTCATTGAGGTGGGAGGTGAGGCATGATGTTTGGTAATTATATAGGATCATGTACATGCCTACTATCAATTTATAATATTATCTCTAAGCTTGAAATCTAGTTTGTTTACCTCGATCTGAAATAATAGAGCTAGACTGTAAGCATTTCTCTTTTGTAGACAGTGTGATGTTGAACTTCGTCAGTATCATGTCATATAGTTACATGGCTGGAGGAAAGAACATCTCTTCCTGAATCCTGTGTACTTCTATTTTGATTATTTTTATTTCTTTCTCACTGCTGACAGTGTTATATTTGGGAGATATCTGTTTACATTCTGCCCAGGGATAAGCCTAGAGAAAGCAGTCCCTCAGTGATCTAATAGTTTGGCTTTGGAGCAGTGACCACTTCAATGAGGAGGGCGTCTACAGAAACACCACAAACTAGAAGTATGTGCTATTCAGCTCCAAGAGCTGATGGAAAAAAAAATCCTGTCCTCTGTTTTCATAAATTGACTAAGTTAACAAATTATTTGATAAACAAAATTGAAATGGGAATTTGTAGACTTAAACAATGTTTAATATAAGCCCAATATTTTTAGTGGGCCTTAGAAAACTGACAATTTAAGAAACAAACAAGTTTATGGGTTTTCCGAAAAACAAGTGAACTCTGAAATAGGAACTATGCCAATGGGGCTTCTTCTAAGAATTGAAGACCTACTAGTAAAAATATTTGCAGAAACAGCTTTGGAATAGCCAATAATTCATATTAGCAAAAATAAAAACGTATAATGGCATAAAACCTACCCAATGGGCTGTATCTATTTATTTATTTATTTAATGGATAATTATATGATTAAATATATACACAAAATAATTATACATATTTATATATTAAAGTGATATGTTTCAACACATATATACATTGTGTAATAATCAAATCAGGGCATTTAGCATTTTTATTATATCAAAGATTCATCGTTTCTTTGTGGTGAGAACATTCAAAATCATCTCTTCTGGTTATTTTGAAATATACTACACTATTATTAATTTTAATTACCTTTATTCACAATAGCACGTCAGCACTTATTCCTTCTATCTAACTGTGACCCTATAACCATTAGCCAACGTCTCCCTCTTCCCCCTCCGCACTCAATTCCCCAGCCTCTGGTAATCACTATTCTACTCTCTACTTCTATAAGATCGACTTTTGGGTGCAGCACACTAGCATGGCACATGTATACATATGTAACTAACCTGCACATTGTGCACATGTACCCTAAAACTTAAAGTATAATAATAATAAAATTTAAAAAAAGATCGACTTTTTTAGATTCTGCATATGAGTGATATCATGCAGCATTTGTCTTTCTGTGCCTAGCTCACTTCGGTTAATTTCTTCTAGGTTCAACTACATTGGTGCAAATGACAATAATTCATTCATTTTTTATGGCTGAATAGTATTCAATATATACATATTTTCTTCCTCCATTCATCTGTTGATGAACACTTGAGTTGATTCCATATCTTGGCTATTGTAAATAGCACTGCAATAAACATGGTAGTCCATATATCTATTTGACATATTAATTTCATTTTTGGGGGGTATGTACCCAGTAGTGGAATTGCCTGGATCATATGGTAGTTATATTTTTTATTCTTTGGAGGAATCTGCATATTGTTTTCCACTTTACTAATCTACATTTGCAACAGTGTGTAAGAGTTCGCCTGTCTACACATCCTCACCAGCATCTGTAATCTTTTGTGTTTTTGGTAATTGTTATTCTAACTGAGGTAAAGTGACACCTCACTATAGTTTTGATTTGAATCTCCCTAATGATTAGTGATGTTGACTATTTTTACATATACCGTTGTAAACGGTATATGTATACGTATACGTTGTATATATACATATACATATATGTATACGTATACATATACGTTGTATATATACATATACGTATACATATACGTATACGTATATGTTGTAAACGGTATATGTATGTTGGTCATTGATATTTCTTCCTTTGACGGATGCCTGTTTAGGTCTTTGCCCATCTTTTAATTTGATTTTTTTTTTTTTTTTTTTTTTTTGCTATTGAGTTGGTTGAGTTCTTCCTATATTATTGGATGTTAACCCCTTGTCCCAATGGTGCTGTTTTAATGAAGAATCTATCATCCAAGTACTCACTGCCTTTTCACTAAATTTCCAAGATGAACTAATTATAAGCATATATGGATGACGATTAATTTTCGTCATGGAAATATTGTCACTATTTATTTTACAAACCTTGTTACTATAGAATAACAGCCTTCCTACAGCACTAAAGTTCCTTGGGTAATATAAATTTTTAACAGTCCTGGATTTCTTCAGTTTTCTTCCTGTAACTATTTCCTTGGGACCACTATCAACAGACCACTTCTTTCTTCTCTATGAAACTGCCTCAGCAAATATTAAATTTGTAAATTGAACAGCAGAGATTTGCTTTGTAAACAAACCATCAAAATAATTTGCAGCATTTGTTTGTAAAGGATTCATAAAATTCTCCTGTCATTAACAAAATTACATGTGATTTATATATTTGTATGCTTGTTTTAAATATGATTTAAGAAGAAACTAAGAGTGAGATGCTCTTCTGGAATCTTAATGGACTAAAAAAAATCTACTGAAATAGGTAAACACCAGAAACTGAGTTTATAGAAGCTTAGGTTTGACTCTTCCAAATAATTTTCTAAGATTACTGTGTTTTCTAAATACTGAAACCGGAGATCTTGTATCTTTGGGACTGACATTTAGAGAGAAGTACTAATTATTCCTTTCACTATTTCTTGAAATACTCCTCTGTTGTCTGTAGAATAGACAAACTAGTAAAAATAATAAATATATTCAAAATTTGCAACAGTTTAAGATCTTACTTTATGTTAGAGTCTAGCTCAAACACAACACCTGCTTTGTCTTTCCAGAAGTTAATTCTCGGTGATAGTTTTGTGTGAACCTGTTAGGTTTTTTGTTTTGTTTGTGTTTTTTTGGCATGCATCCCAACAGAACAATATAACAGATAAAAAGAAAAGATATTTGTTTGCCTTTACCTGGGAAAACATAATATACTAAAAAGTAATCCCTCAGGATTTACAGTCTCTGTCTTATTTCTCTCAATTTAAGATGTTTTTTCTTAATCTTTGTTAATCCAATATGTAGATTACTGATAGTCTATTATCTGTTGTTTTGGATATCTATAAATCAAACTCTGTCTATTCATCTATCTGGAAAGAAATGATCACTCTTTCTGTCTGTTTCTGTTTCTCTGTCTCTATAGCTGTGCATCTGTATAGCTATAGAGAGAAACTAAATTGGTTGGGAAGGAGTATAAAGTTTCTGAAAGTACAAAGCTGAAGTTTGTCATCTTGGAATGATTTGTCTGTCAAAGATAGTATATTAGCTAAGGAAAGATTATTGGCTATTCAAAATTACCCAGAACTGATAACAAAATGACAACAAAGAATTTCTAGAATTATGTATTGTAAACAACAGGTTCCCAATTTTTCTGAAATAGTAAATCCTTATATGACTTTACAAATTATTTTTTCACACTTTCCTCACTTAATTCTAACATGCAATAAGGATTGAGATCCCCTAGATTAGTATAAAATCAAAAGAGGACAAGTAAATGAGATGGTGACACTGGAGTTCATGAACACAGAATTTTTCCTCTTTATTTTGTTAAAACACAAAAACTGTTATAAGATGATTATACAGCAACCATCATCTGAATATTTTTCTATTTTTTTCTGTAAGACAAGATCTTTTATGTCTGGCTCTTGGCCTTAAGTCCAGTAGGTGGTTGTCTTACATTTGAAAGAATTTTAAGTAGGACTATTACATGAAATTTACCTTAATGAACTTCAGATTTTAATAGCAAACATCATCATGATGTTGGTCAGACTTATTGCTGAGGTAATGTCTGTTGACTTTTCAGAACTGGAATTTTTTCAGGTTATTTAAGAAATAGTATGATGCCCCAAATTTTGCTGCACACTTTTCCCCTAGTTTATATTGTGTAATTTTATTGGGACTCGGAAAAGAATACTCCAAAATGAAGGCTTCAGAGGCAAAAGCTTTTCTCTCACCTTCTCCCCTGCTCCTGTTAGAATCTCTTCTTCCCCAAAGCGGGTCCTAGAAACCAGAACCCCTTCTCCCCAAAGCTAGCCATAAAACCTGAAAATTGTTACTCTAATCGCCCTCACCTTTCTGTGTAAAAACTGGTCACAGAGAAGTTACCTAACTTACCTTGTTTGACTGTAGGTCAAAAAAGCCCCCCTACCCCACCCCCAAAAGGAAGGAATGCATACTTAGAAAGACCATGAAGAGTTTAGAGAGACAGGCCTTGCTGGATTTTCCCAGTCAATTAACATTAGATCATATCCTTTTTTTCCCAATCATATTTCTACCTGACTGCTGATCATCTGTTGAACCTAAGGATAAAATGGACAGTTTCTCCTGTATCTTTGGGTTTTCATTCTTAAGGCTCCCATGTATACATTACATAAATTTGAATTCCTTTTCTCCTATTAATCTGCCTCGTCAGTCATTTTTCAGCAAACCTTCAGAAGGCGAAGGGAAAATTTTCCCATGGCCCTGGCAATTGTAAAGGTTTTTAATGTTTTAAAAGTTTTTGCTAGTGATTGTATTAGCTATATAATAATAATAACCATAAGTAGAAGACCTCCAGACATATAAAATGTAGGTGAGTAACTTAGCTACAGTTTTTCAGATGTATATTTTGTTAATATGATTTTTAATGAATGAAAAATCATAAAATTAAGATATATTTTAACCTAAAATATAAAATAAAATGTGAAAGTCACTTCTCCTTATCAAAGCCTACCACATTGTCTGGTGTTTGAAATTATTTAGGTTGTTTTCTTGTCTATGAAAGCATGTATCTAGATCTGTATCTGTATACACATACAGAAACACATGTAGATATGTAGACTTTCCAAACACAAAAATATCCTTACTTAATTAAAAGTACATTGAACTATAAATGTTTATTCATCTTTGATTTTATAATTATATTTATCCTATACTTCATAGGTCAACTTTTTAATAACTAATTTATATTTTTAAATGTATTGACCAAATATGCCCATCTTATCCTTCATAAGCATTTATGTTTTATCTATATGTAGTTTTATCTCATTCTTTATCCTTATGTATATTTTGCTTCTTGCCTTTTCTTTCATAGGTAATGCTTTTTAAGAAATAATGTGTTTTTCAATGTATTCTTCATACCTTTTTATAACCACCTTTGAGGGACTCTATCTCTGTATTTTTGCCAGTTTTTCTATATTTTATAATTTGTTAATTTTCTTTTATATTTGTCAGTTTCTGAAACTTCATTTTTCTTGTTTCTTACATTTAAAATTTACTTAATTTATCTAAATGTTCTTGTTTAATAACAAAACTTACCTTTAGTAATAAAAATACAACTTTCCCTATATACAAATTTAAGGCACTTTTATTTCAAACTTTTATTTTGTATTTTGATTTGATTTACTCATACGGTAATTATTTTAGTACAATGGTAATTATTTAGTACAATTTTTCATAGGTTCTTAAATTGAATTTTACCTTTAGTTTTATTGCAATTTGATGAGAATGTGCTCTGCAGCTTGTCTATTTGGAATTAATTACCTGTGTCTTTGTGACAGTGTATCATCTTTATATTATAAATTAAATACTAAATTCAAGACTTGTACATAGATGATCAATTTCTGAAGCTGTAAAACACTCACTCCTAGACCAAGTCAGGCAAAATATTGTTGTGAAGGCACTGTATACTAAATGTGGGACTCACAACTTGCCTTCTATGGCTGTCTACGTTGGCTAACTAGAAATTTTCTTGTAAAAATGGGAGTGAAGAGGTGATGTTTTGTAAACGTTTGATCATTTTTGTGAGTATAATACATTCCCAAATCAGGTTGAATATCTAAAGACATAACTTTGCTCTAATTGTGGTTAAAATGTTAAACGTTTTTTTCTCTTCTGCTTCTATTTTTGAAATATGTTTCATCAGAGAGGGACTCACTAATAATACTATAGCTCTCACTTTTTTCTTTTTTTTTCTTTTGAAAGATAAAAGCAGTGATAATTAAGTTTAAGTTGTTCATCACCTCCCTTTATGTGTGCAACTTCTCAAGCACCCCATTACTGGTTAACCACTTAATGCTAGAGGATGGGGATTCCTGACACCAGGTTATATTTCATTAGCATGAACAGCTGGAGCCTGAAATGGAAGGCACCATAGGGACTAATTAACTGAAAATATTTAAATAGCAAATACCTACCAGAATCTTTTTCACAGAAAGCAAAGCTGTGTTAACAACCCACGTATAAAGCTGCTGCATACCTAAGACTAATATTTATTTGAAATATAAATGTTTTAAAGTCTCTCCACTGTAATACCGCTCTGTGATGAAATTTATCCAAGTCTCATTCACTGTGTCTTATCCTGTAGAATTATGTGCTTAACCTCACTGGTATATTTGATGTGGCAGATCTTACGGATATGTGTCAGTGGAGACCTCAGAGAAGCACATGCATTTTCTCATAACTGCTGTTGTGAGACTTAAGAAAGCCATTTGAATGTATTTGACTAGAAGATAATTAAACATTTGTCAGCTGTGTTTGAACAGGAGTTCTGATCCCAGGGTCCCTGGGCTCCAGAGAATATGAGAAGCACCTGAAATTAAACAATAGATTTTATATATATATATAGATGAGCAGTTTTTTAGAGGGAGTAAAGTCTCTTGTATTGTCATATGTATCCTAAAGTATTAAGAAGCCCCAAAGTATTATGGCTACATACCTTCCCCTACTCCAAGTATTACTCACCTAGATGCTTTTTATTCTCTAAAATTATAGTAAAAAATTTACTTGGATTGTCAAATAAATAAATAAATAAATGTGTTATATTTATTTATTTATTTATATTTATGAGAAGAGTTTGGCTCATCTTATGGAAAGGAGACATAGAGCGTATCAATCACATAAAGCAGAATTTACCAATACAGGTCAATATGCCACTGGGGGAATTTTTTAGCTACCTGCGATAAAAAAAGAAAATACAGTGTTCATAATTTTAATGATTTTCTTTTAATCCAACATCATATTGTGTCCAGAATTGGTTCCTTCTGGTGGGTTCTTGGTCTCGCTGACTTCAAGAATGAAGCCGCAGAACCTCACGGTGAGTGTTACAGTTATAAAGATGGTGTGTCTGGAGTTTGTTCTTTCAGATATTTAGATGTGTCCAGAGTTTCTTCCTTCTGGCGGGTTCGTGGTCTTGCTGACTACAGGAGTGAAGCTGCAAACCTTTGCAGTGAGTGTTACAGCTCTTAAAGGTGGTGCATCTGGAGTTGTTAATCCTCCCGGTGGGTTTGTGGTCTCACTGACTTCAGGAGTGAAGCCGCAGACCTTCACAGTGAGTGTTACAGCTCTTAAAGGTGGCGAGTCTGGAGTTGTTTCTTCCTCCTGGTGGGTTCATGGTCTTGCTGGCTTCAGGAGTGAAGCTGCAGACCTTCAAGGTGAGTGTTATGGCTCATAAAGGTAGTGCAGACCCAAAGAGTGAGCAGCAGCAAGATTTATTGTGAAGAGCAAAAGGGAAAAGCTTCCACAGCATGGAAGGGGACCCAACCAGGTTGCTGCTGCTGGCCCCGGTGGTCAGCTTTTGTTCCCTTATTTGGCTCTGCCCACATACTGCTGATTGGTCCATTTTACAGAGCGCTGATTGGTCCATTTTACAGAGTGCTGATTGGTCCGTTTTTAGAGTGCTGATTGGTCCATTTTACAGAGTGCTGATTGGTCCGTTTTTAGAGTGCTGATTGGTACATTTACAAACCTTTAGCTAGACACAGAGCACTGAGTGGTGCATTTTTAGAGTGCTGATTGGTACGTTTACAAACCTTTAGCTAGACACAGAGAGCTGATTGATGCATTTTTACAGAGTGCTGATTGGTGCGTTTACAAACCTTTAGCTAGACACAGAGAGCTGATTGATGTGTTTACAATCCTTTAGCTAGACAGAAAAGTTCTCCAAGTCCCCACCCGACCCAGAAGCCCAGCTGGCTTCACCGCTCAATATTTTGCCATCTTTAAATCTTAAACTCGGATTTCTTCTATTAACCGATAGTGATGATAGGAGTGTGGGTATTTGTTTTTGAATTCTTACATAGTAAAATGCTAAAGTAGGGCTGTGCCAAGTCGTTTCTTAATGAAAAGATATAAAACCTAAAAGTTTGGGTACTACAGCTGCATTTTCTCCCTACTTTTATTCATAAACTCTGCCCCCAATCCCCTGCCAACATTGAGAGTCACTATTTAATCAGTTACCGGTTCTAGTGTTATGAAATAGTTGGTTTGTCCAGGACTGAATGGTTTTCTGGAACACAGAACTTACAGTGCTGAGTGAAGTAAGTCTGAAAACAAATGAAATCCACTGTAAACAATAAAACCTAATGATTGAAAAAAAGTCATCTGGGAGTTTGGCATAAATGTTGACATATAAGAAATACATCTTGAAAGAACAGTATTAAGAATGATTTTTTAAAAACTTCTACATCATTAAGAAGGATTTTTTAATTTATTTTATTATTATTATACTTTAAGATTTAGGGTACAGGTGCACAATGTGCAGGTTAGTTACATATGTATACATGTGCCATGCTGGTGTGCTGCACCCATTAACTTGTCATTTAGCATTAGGTATCCTAAAACTATCCCTCCCCTCTCCCCCCACCCCACAACAGGCCCCAGAGTGTGATGTTCCCCTTCCTGTGTCCATGTGTTCTCATTGTTCAATTCCCACCTATGAGTGAGAATATACGGTGTTTGGTTTTTTGTTCTTGTGATAGTTTACTGAGAATGATGATTTCCAATTTCATCCATGTCCCTACAAAGGACATGAACTCATCCTTTTTTGTGGCTGCATAGTATTCCATGGTGTATATGTGCCATATTTTCTTAATCCAGTCTATCATTGTTGGACATTTGGGTTGGTTCCAAGTCTTTGCTATTGTGAATAGTGCCACAATAAACATACATGTGCATGTGTCTTTAAGGCAGCATGATCTATAGTCCTTTGGGTATATACCCAGTAATGGGATGGCTGGGTCAAATGGTATTTCTAGTTCTAGATCCCTGAGGAATCGCCACATTGACTTCCACAATGGTTGAACTAGTTTGCAGTCCCACCAACAGTGTAAAAGTGTTCCTGTTTCTCCACATCCTCTCCAGCACCTGTTGTTTCCTGACTTTTTAATGATTGCCATTCTAACTGGTGTGAGATGGTATCTCATTGTGGTTTTGATTTACATTTCTCTGATGGCCAGTGATGGTGAGCAATTTTTCATGTGTTTTTTGGCTGCATAAATGTCTTCTTTTGAGAAGTGTCTGTTCATGTCCTTCACCCACTTTTTGATGGGGTTGTTTGTTTTTTTCTTGTAAATTTGTTTGAATTCATTGTAGATTCTGGTTATTAGCCCTTTGTCAGATGAGTAGGTTGCGAAAATTTTCTCCCATTTTGTAGGTTGCCTGTTCACTCTGATGGTAGTTTCTTTTGCTGTGCAGAAGCTCCTTAGTTTAATTAGATCCCATTTGTCAATTTTGGTTTTTGTTGCCATTGCTTTTGGTGTTTTAGACATGAAGTCCTTGCCCATGCCTATGTCCTGAATGGTATTCCCTAGGTTTTCTTCTAGGGTTTTTATGGTTTTAGGTCTAACGTTTTAAGTCTTTAATCCATCTTGAATTAATTTTTGTACAAGATGTAAGGAAGGGATCCAGTTTCAGCTTTCTACATATGGTTAGCCAGTTTTCCCAGCACCATTTATTAAATAGGGAATCCTTTCCCCATTGCTTGTTTTTCTCAGGTTTGTCAAAGATCAGATAGTTGTAGATATGTGGCATTATTTCTGAGGGCTCTGTTCTGTTCCATTGATCTATATCTCTGTTTTGGTACCAGTACCACGCTGTTTTGGTTACTGTAGCCTTGTAGTATAGTTTGAAGTCAGGTAGCGTGATGCCTCCAGCTTTGTTCTTTTGACTTAGGATTGACTTGGCGATGAGGGCTCTTTTTTGGTTCCATATGAACTTTAAAGTAGTTTTTTCCAATTCTGGCTGGTTCAATATACGCAAATCAATAAATGTAATCCAGCATATAAACAGAAGCAAAGACAAAAACCACATGATTATCTCAATAGATGCAGAAAAGGCCTTTGACAAAATTCAACAACACTTCATGCTAAAAACTCTCAATAAATTAGGTACTGATGGGATGTATCTCAAAATAATAAGAGCTATCTATGACAAACCCACAGCCAATATCATACTGAATGGGCAAAAACTGGAAGCATTCCCTTTGAAAACTGGCACAAGACAGGGATGCCCTCTCTCACCACTCCTATTCAACATAGTGTTGGAAGTTCTGGCCAGGGCAGTTAGGCAGGAGAAGGAAATAAAGGGTATTCAATTAGGAAAAGAGGAAGTCAAATTGTCCCTGTTTGCAGATGACATGATTGTATATCTAGAAAATCCTGTTGTCTCATCCCCAAATCTCCTTAAGCTGATAAGCAACTTCAGCAAAGTCTCAGGATACAAAATCAATGCGCAAAAATCACAAGCATTCTTATACACCAATAACAGACAAACAGAGAGCCAAATCATGAGTGAACTCCCATTCACAACTGCTTCAAAGAGAATAAAATACCTAGGAATCCAACTTACAAGGGATGTGAAGGACCTCTTCAAGGAGAGCTACAAACCACTGCTCAATGAAATAAAAGAGGATACAAACAAATGGAAGAACATTCCATGCTCATGGGTAGGAAGAATCAATATTGTGAAAATGGCCATACTGCCCAAGGTAATTTATAGATTCAATGCCATCCCCATCAAGCTACCAATGACTTTCTTCACAGAATTGGAAAAAACTTTAAAGTTCATATGGAACCAAAAAAGAGCCTGCATTGCCAAGTCAATCCTAAGCCAAAAGAACAAAGGTGGAGGCATCATGCTACCTGACTTCAAACTATACTACAAGGCTACAGTAACCAAAACAGCATGGTACTGGTAACAAAACAGAGATATAGACTAATGGAACAGAACAGAGCCCTCAGAAATAATGCCGCATATCTACAACTATCTGATCTTTGACAAACCTGAGAAAAACAAGCAATGGGGAAAGGATTCCCTATTTAATAAATGGTGCTGGGAAAACTGGCTAGCCATATGTAGAAAGCTGAAATTGGATCCCTTCCTTACACCTTATACAAAAATGAATTCAAGATGGATTAAAGACTTAAATCTTAGACTTAAAACCATAAAAACCCTAGAAGAAAACCTAGGCAATACCATTCAGGACAGAGGCATGGGCAAGGACTTCATGTCTAAAACACCAAAAGCAATGGCAACAAAAGCCAAAATTGACAAATGGGATCTAATTAAACTAAGGAGCTTCTGCACAGCAAAAGAAACTACCATCAGAGTGAACAGGCAACCTACAGAATGGGAGAAAATTTCTGCAATCTACTCATCTGACAAAGGGCTAATATCCAGAATCTACAATGAATTCAAACAAATTTACAAGAAAAAAACAAACAACCCCATCAACAAGTGGGCAAAGGATATGAACAGACACTTCTCAAAAGAAGACATTTATGCAGCCAAAAGACACATGAAAAAGTGCTCATCATCACTGGCCATCAGAGAAATGCAAATCAAAACCACAATGAGATACCATCTCACACCTGTTAGAATGGCGATCATTAAAAAGTCAGGAAACAACAGGTGCTGGAGAGGATGTGGAGAAATATGAAGTATTTTATTTATAAGAAAGTTTAGTCGATATGCCAGATATATAATCAAAATGTAAAAGCCAATTTTATTATTTTTTACCTACAACTAAGTTATAAAATACTTTTAAAAAAGATTCCAGTAAGGGATATTTTGATCCCCTGCCCATAATCACCTTCTGGAATAAAGTACTTATTAAATACTTACAAGTAATGGGAGTTCTGTTCCTAAATAGTCCCTGCTGTCATCTCCCTTTAGAGATTGCTTCAGTCAAATAAAGTCACCTCCACCAATAACAGTATACAAGTCTCACTACTTGGGCCCTTGTTTCTCCTTGAGGAACATTCTTTGCTCCTTTTTATACCCCTGGATATGAAGCCTGTTGGATATCCTTAGGAGCTTGGAGATTGATAGACCTAAGAGTTATTCTGGTGCTCCGCAGATATGTGTCAGATCCAATAGGGTAGCCTGGTGAGTGGGATGCTTCCACTGACAGTATTTCTTTTGTGGAATCGTGTGCTATTGAGTAACCAGGAAGGAGCTGACACACTGGTTTTGCATTACTCTCAATGTTATACACAAGATTCATTCAGGACTCTGGGCTACTATTTGCCTACAATTTTATCTTGGGTTAGAGCTATGAGTATGAGGGGTTTGGTTGGCCTCTACTCACACATGTGTCCACTGCAGCGTCACCTCTGGTTTAAAATATCTGAGGGTTAAGGGGTCCTTAACCCTCTTTGTACAGTTTAACCAGTGATATCCACAACCCGTACATTGAGCAGGCTTCACGCCATGTGTCAGGTAGTTTTCAAGCATGGTGTCATTTATTCTGTGAGCTTTCAACACTCTTGTTCCACAAAGCCAACAGAGCCTTTACTGTGATATCCTTTCTTGACTTTGATATGTATGGGGGATATTCCGGCCTCCCTAGTCAGTCTTAAGCCATGGCAGAGAAGGGATAAATATTACTTCCTGAATGAGATCACTCTTTTTGCGTGCCCACAGCTACCCACCTGCCCTCCCTGATGATATGTGGAAGACTAGGGTGTGGTCCACTGAAAAAGATTGCATTCTAAAAATGAAGTGATTTTGTCCTAAAGAATTTAAGAGATAACATGGTTGGAAGATGTTTTGTTCTACATCATTATGAAATCTCAATGGTAAATTTAACACAGCAAGAATAGGAATTCTCAGTCACATGTTCTTTAATATTCTTGGTAAGACATCCATCTGTGACTATTACTAAGATTATGCAGTAACAACTTTTGAGAGAGTCATTGGAAACCAGCGTTTATGGGGGATGATGAAGCGCCATGAGTATTGATGTAATCAGCATTGGCAGTAAGTGAGTCCTGGAAGGAACTGAAAAGGCAAGAATATCTGTATTATAGTTTTAATACAAACAGGTTCACAAGAGCCATGGCATGAATTAATGAGTAATAACTGCATTGATATTCTTTGGTCATGGTGGGAGATACACACATTTAGTGAGAAAGAACATGAATACATGGTTCTTATATTTGGATGGTAAACAATAATTCCTGTACTTTACAGATAATCTTCACATGCATTAATTGGACAATAAACAAATTCTTAAATACCTCTATTCTATCTATCCAAATCTATATCATTAAACTACTCTACATCACATGAATGCATGCATTTTATACTCCAGTTGGAAAATAATTGTTTATATAGATAGGACTCCTGCAAACTCTATTTGCCTAGGGTCCTCATAAACTAGGATTGATCCTGTATGGTTGTAGGAAAGACATCTATATTAAAAGTAAGGAAAACACTTTTCTACTTCACATCCTGTAGAAAAAAATGTATTCCAAATAGATTATACATTTTACATTTTTGGAAACACACAAGACTATCTTTATGAATCTGAGACATGAAAAAACTTTTAAAAAATATAATGTGGTGTTTGGACCACTTCCATGAGAATCTCCTATAGGCTTACACTATTTTGTACATTATTTTAAAAATATTTACTTCTCCATATGCACAATGATATTTGTGTTGAAACTATAATATAGACCTTCTTACCTCTACAGTTTCCTTTACCATTTATGTAATGTTATGCTGATTACACATTTATTCCAAAGGCTGTGTCATCCACCATGAGTACCAGTTTCCAATGACTTTCTCAAAAGTTGTTATTGTGCTTTCTTAATAATTATTACATATGCATGTCTTACTCATCCAAGTGAATCAAAGGTTGACAGATATTATCTTGAATATACACTATTTTTAAGGTAAATGTGATTGATATGGATGCCCCATCCATATCCTCTAGTTAATTACTACATACTGTTGTTATTTTGTATTGATTTTTGCAGGCCTTCCTGACTACCAACAGCCAGCACTTGTGACTCTTTGTAAAGAGTTTACTCTTATAGAAGAAAAATGCACCAACAATGTGAATGAAAAGCCAGAAATTCTAGGAAATAGAGGTCTTTCTCCATCAGCACAACTAATGAATGACATAAACTGGTGTATAATTCATTACTTCTCCAGGAGAATGATTCTGAGATGTATGGTCTGCTTTACCTCCCAAATATAACTTCCTTGATAATATGCTTTTTGCTAAATTTTTCCCTTCTTACCTTAATTCCTCACTTTCTTATCATTATTTTCCTGAATAAACTACTAGCACTTAGATTATTGTCTCAGGTTCTGGTTTTTGTGAAACCATAGTAAGACACACAGTACCATATGTGATCCTGGGAAGCAAAGCCTCAGGATTGGGTTCTAGAATTTGATCACTTTTGGGCCAGGTATTTTATTTTAAAAAGGGCCATTTTATTAAAGGTAAGGGGTGGTAATAAACTCTGGCATGATGATGTGAGAAATAGTGCAGATGAAAGATGACACATTGCTTTACTCAGAATCTCTAACATTGGAGGTCTGCAGGGAGAAATAAAGTTGTAAGGAGGATAGAGCTTTTTGTTAACTGTTATTGAGTTCTTGAAAAGAAAAAAACAGCAACTACTGACCAAATATGAACTCAGAGCTCAGAGTCAAGGTCATAGGCTCTATAGAAAGGAGACCCTCATCTCCTGCAGCTGCAGGGAAATCTGCACAGAAAAATGCCTAAAATCTGTTTATGAAAAAAAAAGAAAAAAATGCATTTTTGGACCAATACATCTTCTATAGCAAAGCAATGGTCTTGATAGGGAAGGAGAGGTATCTGAAATAGAGACACCTCAGTGATTGCAATTGAAAATCTTGAACACCTCAGTTTCCATGACCTCTCTGGGCTGTCATAAGTGGCTTTCTTTCTTGTGCTAGGGGATATCAAAGTACCTTTGATTGGAGACTTCAAAAAAGCAATATCTGAAGCAATGACTTGTCTTCCTCTAGATATGACTCCAACCCTGACCACTGTTACTTCTGGAGCAACGATTAGTGCCAAATCCACCACAGAATGACATGGACATGTTAACCAAGGCTTCAGATTCCTTAGGGATGAAGATCTAGGTTACACTATAAGACAAGAAACAGACATTAACACCTGACTTTAAGAGGAGAAATATCTAGAATATGTGGTGGCAAAGGAGGAAGATAGTAAATATCAGTTGCATCCCCAGGACCAAAACAGCAACATTTTCTATGGCTTATTCTACTAAATCTCCTAATGTAAATACATTTTTCAGAGAATTTCAACAGCAGTCACCTAAAAAAAAAACAATCAGATAGAAATAACTTAATATGGGCTATGAATGCATCTGTGTAGTTTGAGGATTCTATAAGTGCCCCACCTATGTTCACTTTAAACCTCATTTCCATGTACATCAGCTCAATTTCCAATTGCCAGCAACTGCATCTTTGTCAAACGGATTATCAGTCAGAGTTCAACTACAGAAACATATATATATGTATACGTGTGTGTGTGTGTGTGTATAATTAGCATTGGCTTAGCTCACACAATTCCAGGCTTTGGCCAAGCAACTCTGAAATGCACAGGGCAGGCAAATTCAGCAAGGGAGAACATGGCAGGCTGGAGCACATGAGTGGGGTCAAAGCTCTTGCACAAGGGCAGAATTTCTTCTCTTTCAGGGAAGCTTTAGGCTCACAGGTAAAGCCTTCCAACAGATTTAGTCAGGATCAGCCTGATTATCCAGGATAATCTTTACTTAAAGTCAACTAAGAGTCTGTTAAATTACATCTGCAAAATCCCTTAACAGCAGTACGTATATTCATATTTGACTAAACAACTGGGAACTGTAGTCTAGTTAAGTCAACACATTAAAAAAATGACACTGGAGTTTTTCTGATGCAAAGAGGTCAGTATATCTATGCATGGGGCCAGGCTGGCAAAGTCAGATGGATAACCAGTCTCTCTCAAACAGCACTCAGACAATAATCAATTAGCCTTCTATCCCCATAGGCAGAATAACTCTAAAGTCAATATTCTGTACTGACTCTCAGAGATCCTGAGTGGGATAAAGTTCCAGCTGCCTAGTGTGGTACTTGCTTGATAATTTACTGCCCCTGTCCTCCTTATATTTCCTATTATTCTACTGAGTTTTCCTGTGGTCATCTTCTAAATAAACAACTTTCCCTGGAAACTCTGCCTCCAGGTGTCCTCTAAGGGAAGATAAACTAAGACAAAAGTAATACATTACAATATTGCTTAAGCACCATCAAGAAAATATTAACGTGTTTATTTTAAAATTTTATATAATTATATTTAATTACTGGTATCATTCTTAAATGAAAAGGTAGTTCAGCTATATAGAAATATCAAAAAGACATTCTTAAAAAATTTTTAAGTCTGAATGGTGTAAATTTTGAAGGCAAACATAATCATGCTTTATTCTTTTTCTTTTCATAATTAAATTAGTGATGTGGGTATACACATGTTGAACATCATTGATTTTTCAAGCTGCTGTACCCTGAATACATATGAGGAAAAGAGAAGGTCTTGAAAGTTAAACAGGACTTTTTACTGCAAATGCCATGTTTACATATTTACATGGGCAATTCAATTATAAATTGTTGCCATTTATTTACATATTTTTTAACTATCTGAAATATTGAGTTAGAAATAGAGTAGAATGAGAAGACGAGCAAAGGGATTGGTAATTTGATTTTGCTAGTTTGTAGAAATTGGTTTAATTTTCTATTAATAAGCAAAATATCCCCTAAAATACTTGCAAATAACTGATATTATTTTTCCTCTTTCAACAAGCAATTGTAGTCTTTAATGTGGATTTCATTTCAACAGCTTAAGTGTTCTTTTACTAAAAGCATTTTTAAGTTGCTGAAGATCCTATTGCATTATAAATACATTTGTATTCCCTTCAACTTGAAATCTAGACTAACTTCTCCAAAAATTGCCCTCATCCTTAATCTACTGCTTTGGTAAAATGTAATTTACTGCTCTGTATAAACTGAGGATTATAGAAAAATTCAAGACATCTTCTTAACTGTACTCTCATTATTTTGTCTGCTAAAGTAAAACTAAACCAGTATGACTACAGGTGAGGATATTAAAATAGTCATGTTCAAGATTATTAAAGTATTTGCAGTAAAATGTGGCAATTTTCCTGCATTACCTTAGTAAATTATGGGTTGTTTAATGGGTTGTTTCAGAGTAGAAAATGAAACTTATTTCTTGGAGCAATTTAATTTGTTCAATAGATTAGTATGCTTCGTGATATCGTCTTTAGGAAAGAAAAATATATTACAAAGAGAAAAGGTACCATAAACCATTATTACAGAATTTTAAAGACTTTTAAAAAGCAACTCTACAGCCTTTGAACCCTATGCAAATGTTCATATAGCTATGTATTTTTTATTAGGACATCTGTTTTTTGAAAATAATAACATGTTTGAAAATAATTCAATAGAATACTGGGTCTGAGAATCTTAAGGACAAGTGTGAAATTGTTTTATCTTCATTTTCTGGGAGCTCTGGACAGCTGATAGAGACAATGTAGAGAGCATCTGCTCTAGGGGTAACTCATGGGATACTTGTCAAATTGATTGTGCTCAGAAACAATTGAGACACAAAAGAAAGAGAGCTTCTAATCACATTTCATTTACAATGTTGCTCAAACCTAGAAACTGCAATTTAGAATTAAATAGCTTGGGCATTGTAGAATTTTTAATTAACAGATTATTCCAGTAATTCATATATTTCTCACCAGGTGACTGAAATGAATTTCCACCCAGGTTTTGTTTCCATATGTCACAAAATTTCTGACAAAATAAGCAACACATTGATGTACTAATTTTGTGATTAATTTTATAAGCACACTGCCATACCAAGGACAGGAAAATAAAAATCATTCTACTAGATTATATTCTCCTTTTAAAACTTCATTGTCAATGATATTGGGTTTTTTTCTGTATGATTACACTATTTTTAGTTGCAAAAAATCATGGATGCTTTAAAAGGTAATTGATGGTTTCAGTGAAAAATACAAGTCATTTAGACAGTATAAAGTTATTGATAATGGAAAGAATATTGCATTTCTCCAAGTACATGTATATTTGTCAGGATATACCATTGTCTATACTTTCTTCCATTGATTCAAACTCTTTCTTGACATAAGTGTTTGAAAATAAAAGTCCATAAGCTATTAGAAGGAACCTAAAGAGTGCTAGAATGTTACAGATTCTTGTTTTTGTTATTATTAGCTATGATTAATATATTTCCCCATTCATCTTTATTCACACAGTTTAAGTTGTTACCATTGGCAATAAGAAAAAATGACAAAGAGACCCAGAATATGCCATTGTGGCATAAAAACTATTTTGAGCTGAAGACATTTGAGAATGAGCAGATGCAGAAAGAGATTTTCTCTGACCCCTGTCCCCTCCCTTAGAACATCTGTCTAAAAACAGAAACTATCAGAAAAAAATTTGAACTGCCACAATAGGGTGATTATGGTTCACAAAAATATATTTTAAAATAACTAGAAGAAGGGAATTGAAATGCTCCTACCACAATGAAATGGTAAGTGCTTGAGGTGACGGACACCCCAATTACCCTACTTTGATCATTACACATTGTATGCTTGTAACAGAACATCACTTGTATCCCATAAATAGATACAACAATTATGTACCCATAATAATCTAAAATAAGAGTATTAAATTCAACTGTCTTAAATTTTCCTTCAATGGAGGCTTCCTGTACTCGGGCTGAGGAAGTTCACACCCATCACTGAAGAAAACTGGCACTCTGATGAGAAGTAGTATAAATAAACATAGTCACAAGAGTCATACCTTCCATCTACTCTCCTAAAGACCCTAATATTTTTTCCTAAAATTATTTGTTGTTCTGTAACTTCTCCTTTCCCCTCTCCTTCCCCATTAAGATTTTATACAAATTAAATTCTAGTTACTTCTTTCAGTCACCATCTTTGCAAGCTCCTACAAACATATATGAGTAAACTTTGTTCTTTCTCCTGTTAGTCTGTCTTCTGTCAGTTTAATTCTCAGATTTCAATGACAAAACCTAAGGGAGTAGAAGAATGTTTTCCCTCCCCAGTGATGACATTGACAACAAAATAATTAATCCTATATAAAACTCCAGCTTCTGTTTCTTCATTTTCTCTCCACTTCATGTTCCTTCTATTCTCTCAATTAAATATGCTTACAGACTAAACTCTTTTATCTTTTTTCTTTACACTTTGCTTGCTCCCTCATCATCCTAAAATCTGTCATAGCAATAATATCAAGTATTATAAATTATGAATTTAGTGACATCTCATAAGAGCTTTCATTTCACACACATCAACTGCAGTGAAATGAAGTACTTTGCAGGACTGTGTTTCCATGGATTGCTGAAGCAACAACATCCAGTGGCCAAACATGAAAATGATGAGGATGTAGGAAAATGTCATTGAAGTTCACTTGTATTCTCCTTTGGCTTTATTGTCATCTTTCCACAAACTTGAATGACTTAAAATATTTTATGGACACTTGGATTTGCATTCATAGTTTTCGTGTACAAACCCAAGGTGATATGCTCAATTTTAGGACCAGAGCTGGAGCAAATGATTTCTAAAACATCATCAGATATTTCTGAATAAACACAATATTTTGAACAGTATTCTATGCTTCATTACTTTAGTATTGAGAATGTATTCTCTCTTAATATACCTCATCATTAACATAACAAGAGAATTATGTCATCATATTTCACCTAATCAATCTTTTAGATTTATGAAATTAATGTTTTCACCTATCACTATCTAATCTATACTTGCAATGCCTGTGCAGTATTAATTGCTACAGCATTGATGCTACAACCCAGGATATCATACAATACAATTAGCTCGGATTTTCTTTGCAAATTTATGCCTCACTTCTTCTGAATAAAGAAAATAGCATGCATTGACAGTGTGGTTATGGTTGTTGTACTTATTACTTAAAGGCATCCTCTTTATAATTACTTCATTTTTTGTGTGTCCAGGTATGACATCAACTAGTCAGGATACTTCTGTGTGTGTGTGGGGGGGTGCGGGGCGTGGGGGGAATACTATATTTGCTGTTGTAACATACTACACATTATTTTGCTAGCCTTTCTTTTTCAAAGTGAGACATATAAATATTGGAAACAACAGTTAAATTGGTTTTTCATAAAAGTTGATTAGCAGTGAATGAGTAAGGCAAGTCTCAAAAGAACTTAGGGAAATAATAGCATCATTGAAACATTTTCAGTTGGAGGAGTCAAAATATCATATAACTTGAGTCTTAAAGTGATCATTTAGAATGATTTTTAAATTTTTTTAATTGACACATAATTATACATATTTTGGGGATACAAGATGGTGTTGGGATACATGCATACATTGTGGAATGATCAAATCAGGTTAATTAGCATATCCCTCACCTAGAACACTTGTCATTTCTTTGCACTAAAAACATATAAAATTCTCTCTTCTAGCTACTTTGAAATATATAACACGTTATTTGTAACTATAGTGAACTTGTTATGCCATAGAACACCAAAACTTATTGCTCCTAGGCAACTGTAACTTTGTACCCATTGGCCAACCTCTCCCCATCTCCCATCCTACAGTTCCCAGCCTCTGGTAACCACTATTATACCTTCTACTTCTATGATATTAACTTTTTAAGATCTAGAATGAGTGAGATCTTGTGATCTTCATCCTTTTTTTCTTGAACATAATGTTCTTTGGGTTTGTCCATGTTGTTGCAAATAACAGAATTTAATTTGTTTTTTTATAAGTGGATAGTATTCCATCATGTATATATACAACTTCTTTTTATCCATTTAATAATTGATGGATAATCCATTTAATAATTGATGTGTAATTGATTCCATATCTTGGCTACTGTTAATAGTGTTGCAATAATCATAGAACTGCAGATATGTCCTCAACATACTGACTTCATTTCCTTTGGATATATACCCACTACTGGGATTGTTGGATCATACGGTAGTTCTATTTTTAATTTTTTGAGGTATCTCTCAACTGTTGTTCATAATGGCTGTACTAATTTACATTCCCAATAACAACATATGCATACCATTTTTCTCCATGTTCCTCCCAGTATTTCTTATTTTTTTGTCTTTTTTATAGTAGTTACAAATTTTGTTAGGCCACAAAACTAGTCTCAAACATTTTAAAAATAATCAAAATCATATAAGTATCTTTTCTGACCACAATGAAACAAAGCAGAAATCAAAAACAAGAGGGACTTTGGAAGCTATACAAATACATAAAAATTAAATGATGTGTTCCTGAATAACCAATGGGTAAATAAACTAAAATGTAAATAAAAATTTTATTGAGACAGGTGAAAATGGAAACACAACATGCCAAAACCTGTGGAATACAGCAAAAGTAGCTGAAAGAGGGAAGATTATGGCAATAAACACCAACATCAAAAAAGTAGAAAGTTCTCAGATAAACAAACCTAAACCCTATAAAGGCTATAGGTGATAAACCCACAGCTAACATCACACAAACTAGGGAAAAGTTGAAAGGTTTTCCACTAAAATCTGAAACAAACAAGGATGCCCAGTGCTATGATTTGAATATGTGTCTTCTTCAAAACTCATGTTGAAATTTAATTGTCAAAGTGGTGGCATTGAGAGGTGGGACCTTTACGAGATGATTGCATCATGAGGGCTCTGCCTTCATGAATGTAAAAATATGTTCATGAGTTAGTGGGTTAATGGGTTATCATCAGAGTGGGACTGTTGGCTTTACAAGAAGTGAAAGGAAGACCTGAGCAAGCAAGTTAGCATACTCAGCCCACCACCTTGGGATTCTGTAGAGAGTCCTCACCAGCAAGAAGGCTCTCACTAGATGTAACCCTTAAGCCTTGGACTTCTCAGGCTCCAGAACTGTAAGAAATAAATTTATTTTCTACAAAGAACCCAGCTTCAGGTATTCTTTTATATGTAAAAGAAAAGAGATAAATTAAGAACATTTTGGTACAGAGAAGTGGTGCGCTGTGGATGTGAAAGTATGATTTAGCTGACAGACAAAATTGACTCCCTATGGCTAACTGAGGTGCTTTATATGAAAACACAATCAGGCAGTTATACTGGGTGAGGGAATGACCATGTACTACATGTCCTCAAGAAGATGTTGTTGTAAATGTTGTAAAAGTGTGACAGGACTTCCCTTTCTATAATCAAGCCAAACCAGTTCTTGTTTTTCGTGGCTGGATAAACTGTGGCTAGAAACCCCCAATGCCAGCAGCTATTAAAAATAAATATCTGACACAGACTTTTGATTTTGGGCTTGTAAACCACCAAATCACAGCTCAACTATTTAGACCAATCAGAACTGAACAACCTTAACTCCTTCATTTACATAAATTGAACTGATTAAAACCTGGGTGAGAAGTTTCCTTATTTAAGCCAGACTCTCCCTTTGTTCTTTAGTGGATGTGCTTTCACTTGTAATGAAGTCTGTGCCTCCTCAATCTGCAGATTGTATTTTTTCTCTACAGACCTTAAGGTCTTTTGTTAACACAGATAATAAGTACCTGAAAATACGGAAGCAGCTTTGGAACTGAGTAATGGGTAGGGGCTTGAAGAATTTGGAGGAGTAAGCTAGAAAAAGCTTAGATTCTGGTGAGGGCTTAGAAAACAAGAAGATTAATGTAAACTAAAGATAAAATTCTAAGCTTCACCCTCGAAGGACTGAAAGGACCCTCTGTTGGCCAAAAGAACCACAGAACAACCTTAAAAATTGAATTTCTAGCCATGATAGGAAGGTACCCCAAACATGCCTCATTATACCCCCTCCCTTTTGGGTGCAACTGACCAGAATTTAGGTTAAAATAGAGATAAAAAACTGACAAAATAAACTCTTTGTGGCAATAAGATAAATTATAAATAAGACATAAGGCCATTCAAGGCAAGGTTAAGTCACATCCAACAAACAAGATCTCTTTACGTGACTTTTATAAGAAGTTAACTGGGTATAATGTGACCTACTTTCCAACCTGAATTTGGTATAGCATCACATGGCAGATAGCAGACCCCCCATCTTAACTCAAGCATTCCTTTTTACTGACTTCAAGTCTTCAGACAAAGCTTAACTCTTTCAACCAATTGCCAACTGAAAATTTATAAAACCCACCTATGACTTGTAAGTCACCACTATGAGATGTTCTGCCTTTTTAGGTCAAACCAATAAGTACCTTCCATGTATTGTTTTATTGTTTTACGCACAATTCCTGTCTCCCTAACATGTATAAAACCACACTATAACCTGACCATTGCAGGTGCACTTTCTCAGGACCTCTTGACACCATGTTCTCTGAGCCATGATTTCTCATATTGGCTCAGAATAAGCCTCTTTAAAATATTTTAGTTTGCTTTTGCTGTTAACACTAGGGAAATAAATATGGACAGTAAAGACCATTCTTACAGGGTTTCAGATGGAACTGAAGAACAAGGTATTGGAAATTGGAGTAAAGGCTACCCTTGTTACAAATTGGCAAAGAGCATGGCTGAACTGTGTCTGTGCACAAGGGCTTTGTGGAAGGCTGAGCTTGAGAGAGAGGAATGAATGTATCTGGAAGAAATTACTAAGAAGCAAAGTGCTCAGGCTGCTGTGTGGTTACTTCTAATTGCATGTGGCGAACTGCTAGAGCAAAAAAAATTAGAAAATTAGTGGTCTGGCCATGTTCTAGAAAATGAAAGAGCATTTTCAAGAGAGTAATCCAAAGGTGTAGCTGAGTCACCACTTGTCAAAAAGCTTAGCATGGCTAAAAGGGAGTCAGGTGTAATAGTCATGACAATAGAAAAATGGACCCAAAGGCATTTTCAGAAATCTTCTAGGCTGCCTTTCCCATAACAGGCCCAGAGGCCAAAGAGCATTCTGAGGACAGGTACAGGACACCGTTGCCCTGACCACATTGGGACACTGCTCCTCACATGCTGATAGCTCAGGATGAAGGCCCCTTGGCTCAAGTGAACTCAGCTTCCAAAGGTACAAGTCACAAACATTGACAACCTCCACGTAATGCTAATTCTGCAGGCTTGCAGGAAGCAAGACTGTGAAGGCTTGGCAGCCTCCACAGATTTCAAACAATATTGTCAAAAGCTTTGAGGCCTAGGAAGAGACTTGTGGGGGCAGAACCACTTCATAGAATACCAGCCAGAGCAATGCCAAGTGGAAAATTGCCATTTTCCTCTGCAGAGGAGTCACCACCAAAGCAATGCTTATTGAAGCTGTGGGAGCAGGAACGCCACTGAGACCTCAGAGGTGTAGAACTGCCAGTGTGCAATTTCAACCTGAAAGAGGTGGGCAGATTGAGCCCAGCCAAGCCTAGAGGCATGGCTGCCCCAAACCTTGGGGGCCCAACCCTCACACCAGTGAGTAGAGGATGCCAGGTGTGGAGTCAAAGGAGATTATTATGGAGTCTGAATATCCAATATTTGCTCTGTTGGGTTTCAGACTTGCTTGGGCTATGTTGTCCCTTACCTTTTAGCCTATTTCTTTCTTTTTGAATGGGAATATGTACCCTATTCTTGTGTATCACTATTGTATCTTGAGAGAAGATAAATTGTTTTGATTTCACAGGCCCACAGGTGAGACTTTTAGAAACTGGGCTTTGAACTTAGACTTGAAATTGGTGCTGGAATAAGCTAAGATTTTGAGGCTATGAAAATAGAATAAATGTATTTGTATGTGAAAAGGAAATGTTGTGGGGAGCAGGCTTAAAATGTTATGATTTGAATATTTGTTCCCTTCAAAACACATGTTGAAATTTACTCCCCAGTGTGGCAGTATTGAGAGGGGAGGCCTTTAAGAGATGATTGGCTCATGAGGATTCTGCCTTCATGAATGGATTAGTTCATTCATAAATTACTAGATTAATGGGTTATAATGGGAGAAGACTTATGGCTTTATAAGGAAAGAAAGAGAGACCTGGGCAAACAAGTTAGCATGCTTAACTCCCTCACCATGTGATACCCTGCATCACTTTGGGACTCTGTAGAAAGTCCCCACCAGCAAAAACGCTCTCACCAGATTGGCTCCTCCACCTTGGACTTCTCAGTTACCAGAACTATAAGAAATAAATTCATTTTCTTTATAAACTTCTCAGGTTCAGGTATTCTGTTATAGGCAACAGAAAACAAACTAAACGACTTTCACCATTTCTATTCAACATGGTACTGGAAGTTTAGTTAGTGCAATTAGGCAACAGAAGTAAACAAAGGGCATCCAAATTGGAAAGGAAGATGTCAAATTTTCCCTGTTAGCATATAACATAATCTTGTATATAAAAAATCCTACAGAATCTATCATAAAACTGTTAGAACACACTCATTGCCCAAAGCAATCTACAGATTTAATGCAATCCTTATCAAAATATCAATGACTTTTCTCATAGAAACAGAAAAACAAAATCCTAAAGTTCATATGCAACCACAAAAGATCCTGAATATCCAAAGCAATCTGGAGCAAAAAGAACAAAGCTGGAGGAATTATATTTCCTGATTTTGAAATATACTACAAAGCAATAATAACCAAAACAGCATGGTACTGTCATAAAGCAGACACATGTGAATAGAACTGAATTAGAACTTAGAAACAAATCCATGCATTTGCAGCCAACTGATTTTTGATAAAAGTGCCAAGAACACACATTGGATAAAGGACAGTCTCTTCAATAAACAGTGCTAGGAAAA
This sequence comes from Homo sapiens, assembly GCF_000001405.40. Taxonomy (NCBI): domain Eukaryota; kingdom Metazoa; phylum Chordata; class Mammalia; order Primates; family Hominidae; genus Homo; species Homo sapiens. The sequence goes on from NC_000002.12 coordinate 184,991,289, forward strand.
CTGGATATCCACAGGCAGAATAATAAAATGAAATCTTTATTTCTCACTACTTACAAAAATCAATGCAAAATGGATTGAAGACTTTAGCATTAGACTTGAAACTATGAAACTACTAGAATAAAACATAGGAAAAATACTTCATGATAGTGGTCTGTGGAATAATTTTTTGTATAACAGAAGCATGGGTAACCAAAGCAAAAATAGACAAATGAGATTTCATCAAACTAAAAAGTTTCTGTACAACAAAGGACATAATCCATAGAGTGAAGAGAAAACCTACAGAGTAGGAGAAAATACTTAAAAACTCTGCATCTAACAAGAGGTTAATATCCAGAATATAAAAGAAACACAAACAACTCAGTGACAACTCCCCCCCACCCCAAAGAATCCAATTAAAAAATGTGCAAAGATTTGAATAGACGGTTTTCAAATGAAGACATACAAATCGCAAATGGGTATACAAAACATGCTCAACATCACAAATCATCGGAAATAAGTTTTATTTTTCTTTTTGGAACTGACAGAATGAGCATGAAGGACAGTGAAATGATATGGAGTGTTCCATTTGCAGCATGTGCCTAAAATAAATAATTTTAGACAAATATGTACAGACTTCTAATTAAAATTGTCCTATAATGAGAGTTTTCAGAAAGCACCTGAATGATGACAGTTATTTTCCACTTTCCATGGATCTTTGCTAGTTATGTTATGGTTATGTTACTACCTAATAGGACCTGTATTCAGAAAGAACTATAATTTGAAAACAAACAGCGAAACGAACACAAAATTCTAATTTTAATGCATATATCCTTTAAAGTGCTAATAAATATAAAATAAAGAAAATTTTTCTCTGTAGGAAAATAAGAATAAAAATAAGATATATAAATAATCATTCTATTTTGCAGATCAGTTTACCAAAATTACTTGAGAAGTTCCCTTTAAAAAGTTGTCAATTCTAGGGTTGGGGAATGGCAGAAGGCAAAGATTCTCAAGCTTTAATGTGCATAATAAACATATATAGAACATGTTAAAATATAAATTGCTAATTTCATAGCCAGACTTTCTAATTTTTCAGATCTGAGTGGAGGGCCATGAATATGCATTTCTAATTAGTTCACATGAAATGCTGAGGTTGCTGGACTGGAGACAACAATTTGAGAACTACTGGTAGAGAGTGAAATGAGTTTTACACATTTCTGATTCTATCATAAATTCCACAGGCAAGGTTAACTTAGATTTATAGAAAACAATGATGAATGAGCCAAAATTATATCCATCTATTTATCTATCTACCTATACATATATGTATATATGTGAGTATATATTTTTCCTATATCCAGTTTGAAATAATGCAACCAAGAAACCTTTTACAATTCTTAATATCCTAAAGCATTTAAAGAGGTCTGAGTATAATTAGCTTTTTTATGAAATCTGTCCTACACACATACATGTATGCTAAAACTTCACAATGGTTATTAAAATATTCCTGAATGGCTTCACAATGGTCAGGTTGACATTAACATTAAATATATGAAGTGACATATTTTAGTAGAGTCTATAAATAAAGATATCTGAAAAAGGAAGGTGGTAGGATCTACTTGATTATGACTCCACCATTGCAATGATTATATTGATATCTATTTAATAAAGCTGATTATACATTCCAAAATGGTTATGTAGGAAAAGCATATTAATGTTTAATTGATTTTGACTATATGGCACTAAAAAGAAAACCAAACTAATTTACAGTTGGTTAAAGTTTTCCAAATATTTGAGTCACAGGAAACACTGTATTTTCTGTAACTTGTTAGTAATCAGTTAAATATATTAACTATGCCTTTTTGTAGCTGAATATTTGTAAATAAAACTAAAAACCAACCAACAAAAGTTCTTATATCATAAGCATGTGGTAATAATAATATAAGCTCCTTTTCAAGTTTTCTTATTATAATTTTAGAATCATTAAATGTGACTTCTGACTAGTTACCAAATATGGCTAAAAATATATTGTCAACATTCTGATAGATATATTGGATAACCGTATTTTCTCCTTAGAGCAATAGTATTTCCTGTTTACTTCAAAAAACAGCAATTCAATGTGGGGCCCCTTATAGTAATGATTTACCTGTTGATTCCAACTAATCAGAAAAAAGTAGGTGGTAGAAAGAAATTAATGTACATATATCATTAAAATACAATGTTTTCATAAAGTTAAAAATGTGGCTCTTGTTTTAAGTTTTTATTTTTTCTACATCATTTTACTTTATTTGTCATTTCAACTTATTTGCTTTTGTTATTTGGGTAGATGTCCCATTTTTAGAGAACCATCAGGTTGCACTCTTTTGTTTGATTTATTATGGTCTTGCCATTTGAAATTTTATGTAGTTTTAATACTTTTATGTATATTTATAATTTGTTTTGGCAACCAAATCATGTCGTAAATCACATCTTTCTTTTTCCCCCACTCTAAGGCATCCTTTTTTCCAGAATCTGAAGATACATTCTAGTTTAAAAGAATAGCTTCAGCCATTTAAATGGGTGTAAAGCCTGTTTCAAAAACGTTATTCTTGGTTCCATGTAAACTGCCAAAATGTAAATCCATTTTGTTTAACATGTTATCAACTTAACAGATGGCATTCATGTGTGGGCATCCAAAAGACCACATATGAGCATCAAGTATGTACATCTGAGAGTGAAACTTTGGGCCAAAATACTGAGGTTGTTATCTTTCTTGGATTTCTGCACTTCATTGCCAATGAATTTGTCAAATCAGGAGCAGTAAAGAGGGGAACAAAGTTCTTCACAGTAAGCAGCGTAATATGGAAAATCCATAACTGATATCACATTCTTCACCAACATGTGTATTTTTTAAAAATCTTTTTTTAAAAAATATCTTAGTATAAAGACCTGTTTAGAGGTGGAATTTGTTCATAAAAGTCAAATGATTTTATTGAGAAGAAAATTGAATGTCTCCTACGTGGCACATAAGAGTTGTAAGACAGTTTTCAAATAATATATTAAAATGTCGGTTTTTGTTGCCTGTATATGACATTTTTAAAATATGAGTTTTATTTATAAAAACACAGCAGAAAGATCATAACTTAAGTATATACTTTAATGAAAATATATTTGACTTTAATAGATATTTTTAATATGGCTTGAAAGTAGAACTTTTTCACTTCTATTTTTTATAAATGAGGAAATTTGAGACTCAAAATGCTAAGAAAATGTTTCCAACCCTTTTGTGAAATAGGGAAAGTTTTAGGCTATTACACCTGGTTTAGGATTCCTAAAGTAATATATTTTCCACTATTATTTGAATGACTAAAACTTACTGGACCTCTACTTTGGAGGTTGCTGAGTACAGGCAGGCTGTAAACAATTCATTTTTATACAGACGACTAATACATGACACAAGAGGCACACTGTATCAATAGATAAAGACTGATGGCCATAGATTCAGAATGTCTTGGGTCATATCCCAGCTCTGTCATATAGTAGCTTTGTAACTTTACACAATTTAATTTGTTTCTATGTGCTTCCATTTCCTTATCTGTTCAAAAGAATTTTAGAAGCAATTGCTTCATAAAGTTATGAAAGCATTAAATAATCATATGTATTAGAATTATATACTGTACTGCCCAGAAAAAATAAACATTCAATCTATATTATCCATCATTATCATTTGCCATTGAGCTAACATGAAACCATTATTTCCAGTTCACAGAACAGGAAACTGAGGTTTGGAGTTTAAATGATTCATCCAGTGGCACACACACAGAACTATTAATTGCTGGAGCATAATTTTAACTATAAAATATCTGACTGCAGAGATTATTCTCTATCTGCCCCTTCAACTACAAGATTGGACTTCCCTGCAATCCACCTCAGTCTATTTGTATGGAGCCAGAGAAGCCAGTTAAGTACCAACTCACAAGTGATTCAAAGTGAATTTGCCTGGGTCTTGTCCCAGACTGTGATAGATGCAGAGGTTCAAGGTCAGAAGCCGCAAAAACGGGGATAAATATTTCTCAAATCATGCTGCTTTTGTTGCCTGTCACATTAAATCCATTCAGTTGTCTGCTCAAGGCCTAGATTAAGTAGTATACAATGAAGTTGACAATTTGGTATGCCTAAAATAGAAGATTCCATGCAAAAGACATGTGAGGATTAATAACCTTCTACTATTTTATAACCACAAAACTAGGATAATAAGGATTGTCAAAGATTATTTTTTCTAAATAGAAATTTTTATAATTGTATACAAAATTATAACAAAGTATTAAATTATAATGATTTCTGGCCAAATAAATATATAACTATATCTTACATAATACATACTAAATCATGTAAAAACTAAAAGAAATGCTCTAGTAAAGAGATTTCTGTAGAGATAAATGTATTGACTAATATAATTGCATAATCTAGAAAATTTTTATTGCAACCTTATGTGTAGTGGGAATCATCTGGAGGTACCTATCTACCAAGAAGAAAATGAATGCAGAATTTCATTATAATTTTCTGTAATAGTAAAATTAAATGTATCAATGTGCATGCAATACAAACAGAATATTAAGCCAAGAAAATTAATAATTTGACACTGCTCAATTAAAGTTATAAAATAAAAAATATTTTTATGAATATAGAAATAACGAATATAATGATATTATTGGGAATAATATATAACAAACTTCAAAGCAGTGGTTATGTTTGGGGGAAGTTAGTGAAATATAATGAGGGTAAAATACATTGTGAAGTAAACCTTATTCTTGATATTGTGTTCTGTAATATAAACTGATATAAAACAAATATGGCAAAATGTTAATATTAATACATCTAAATGTTTCATACATGTATATTTTTTGTCTTATATTCTGTAGCTTTGTTATAGGTTTGTGATACTACTAACAAAATATTAAAAATATTGCTTATAACCCAAGTGATACATAACTACACTTGGATATTTCAATAAATATGTTGGATATTATTTGGTTTCAGTGATTTCTTCTAAACTTGCTCTGATAAACTTTTCTTGTACACTTTCCCTGATTTTCTTCCTCTGAAAAAGGTAAAATGAATTTTGCATGAATCTTTTGAAGAACTGTATTTTTTTCAGAAGTCAGAATTCCTTTTAGCTTGAATTCCCCAGATGATTTCCCCCGCACTTGATTTTGTGTTTCCTGTGTACTAGTCATTTTTATAGCACCAGTATTCATTACGTTGATCCCTGACCATGTTATAGCACAGTTTTTTTTAAAGCAGGTTGTGTTGGCATTCATGCAAACAGAAAGAATTCCCTTGGGCTCTTCCCTCTATTCCCTTACAGCGCAAGAGAATAAAAAATTCCCACTTTTTAATAAATACTTTTATTAGAACCATATGGAAGAGAGATTATATTGTTTTCTTAATTCCAAAGGGCAGAATTAGGGCCAATGTTTATAACTTCCAGCAAAACAATTTTTTTGTTCATTATGAGAAAGAACTTTTTGCAATTATATAACTGAAGATTGTAATTGGTTTTATTTGAAGCATTGAAGTTTCTGTTATTAAGAAAGAGATGGAATGACAGCTCCTTCCTTCATTTCACTTCCTGCTCCCATACACACACACCACTCACAAAGACACACTTCTGGGATGCTGTAGAAGTCGCTCCTGTATTACAGACTAGGCACAATGATTTCTAAACTCCTTCTAAATATATAATCTATTTTACAACTACAGCTATTAGTTAATGGGGGCTTTTGCTATATACTATTTTGATTTAATTATAGAAAAATTTATAATCACTTTATATTACTGGACATGACATGTTTTCACTTCTTTAGCTTTGACAATATATATCTTTATCACCTCTATTTATTAAAAAAAATTGATGATCTCTTTTACAACAACTGTTACTCTATTATATAAGTTAATATTCTGAACACAGCCATACTTCAGAGATATTAGAGTCAGTTCCAGACCACCACGATACACCAAATATCACAATAAAGTGAGGCACAGAAATATTTTGGTTTTCTGATGCATATAAAAGTTATGTTCGTACTATACTGTAGTCTACAGTAGTTATGTTGAAAGACAGTGTTATGTTGAAAAATGTACACATAGTAATTTAAAAATATTTTATTGCTGAAAAATGCCAACAATCATCTCAGCCTTTAGCAAACTGTACATATTTTACTCATGGAGGGTCTTGTCTCAGTGTTGATGGCTGCTGACTGATCTTGCTGGTGGTTACAGAAGGTTGGGTGGCTGTGGTAATTTCTTAACGTAAGACAACTAGAAAATTTTTTACACCAATCGACTCTGCCCATCATGAAAGATTTCTCTGTAGCATGTAATGCTGGTTGATAGCATTTTACTCACAGTAAAAGTTCTTTCAAAATTAGAGTGAATTCTTCCCATTTTTGCTGCTGCTTTAGCAGCTAAGTTTAGGTAACAATCTAAAGTTTTTGTTGTCATTTCAACAATGTTCACAGTTTCTTTACCATCTTAAGAAACTTTTTGTTTGCACATCCAAAGTAAGCAATCCCTCCTGTTCAAGGTTGATCATGAGATTGCAACAATTCAGTCACATATTTAGGCTACACTTCTAAAGTGATATTTTGAAAGGAATTTTTTTTTTCTCTGAGAAGTAGATTTCCACAGTGGTTTTAAAATATTCAGTAAATTATGCTGTAAACAGATGTGCTGTCTTCCAAGCTTTGCTTTTCCATTTATATATCACATGCAGAGTAAACTTAGCAGAATTATTTAGAGGTTTGGAATTTGGGAGACTATTAGTGAGCATTGCATTCAACTTAAAGTCACCAGCTACATTACGCCCTAACAGAAAGTCAACGTGTCCTTTGAAGCTTTGAAGCCAGACATTGGCTTCTCCTCTTTAGCTATAAAAATCCTGGAAGACATCTTTTTCCAATATAAGGCTGTTTCATCGACATTGAAAATCAGTTGTTTTTTGTAGCCACCTTCATCAATGATCTTAGCTAGTTCTTCTAGATAACTTGCTGTAGCTTCTACATCAGCACTTGTTGTTTTATCTTACATTTTATGTTACGGAGATGGCTTCTTTCCTTAAATCTCACAAACCAACCCCTTCTAACTTCAAACTTTCCTTCTGCAGCTTTCTTACATCTCTCAGCCTTCACAGAATTGAAGAGAGTTAGAGCCTTTCTGTGGATTAGGCTTTGGCTTAAGGAAATATTGTGGCTGGTTTGATCTTCTATCCAGAGGATGAATTTTCTTCATATCAGCAATAAGTTTGTTTTATTTTCTTATTCTTGTGTTCCCTGAAGTAGCATTTTAAATTTCCTTCAAGAACTTTTCTTTTGCATTTACAACTTAGCTAACTGGTGTAAGAGCCCTAGCTTCCAGACTATCTTGACTTTCTACATCCCTTCTTCACTAAGCTTAGTCATTTCTGGGTTTTGATTTAAAGTGAGAAATGGGACTCTTCTTTTCACTGGAAGACTTAGAATCCATTGTAGGAGCCAAGTGTGGTGGCTCACACCTGTAATCCCAGCACTTTAGGAGGCCAAGGCAGGAGGGTCACTTAAGGCCAGGAGCTCCAGATCAGCCTGGACAACACAGCGAGACCTTGTCTCTATAAAGGATACAAAATAAGCCAGGCATGGTGGTGTGTGCCTGTAGTCCCAGCTACTTGGGAGGCTTAGGTGAGAGGATCGCTTGAGCCCAGAATGTTGAGGCTATAGTGAGCCATGATCGTGTCACTGCACTCAGCCTGGAGAACTGAGTTAGACCCATTCTGAGAAAAAAAAAAAAAAAAAAGAAAAGAAACCATTGTAGCATTATTAGTTGGTGTGTTTTCAATATTGTTGTGTCTCAGGAAATAGGGAAACCCAAAAAAAGGGAGAGGAGATAAGGGAATGGCTGATTGATGGAGCAGGCAGAAAACACCCAATATTTATGGATTAAGTTCTCCATCTTATTGGGTGTAGTTCATGGCACCCCAAGACAATTCCAATAGTAACATCAAAGATTATTGATCACAGATCACCATAACAGATATAATAATAATAATAGTTTAAAATATCACAAGAATTACCAAAATGTGACACATAGACACAAAATGGGCACATGCTGTTGGAAAAATGGAGACCATAGACTTGCCAGACATAGACTTGCCATAAATCTTCAATTTCTTAAAAATGCACTATTTGTGAAGCACAATGAAGTGAAGCACACTACATTGAGGTATGCCTGTATTAATCCCCAAAAACCAATTCTAAATCATTTTGTTATCAGACACATGGAAGAAAGACTGCCATAATGTTTCTTTTTTATTCCATGTCATTGAACACATCACATTTATCCTCAGTGAGTATTAATGTATTCCTTAGTATGTTTTTATTTCTAGTCTTGAACAATTTCTCATGTAATGTCTTTATTTGTAAGGCTTCCAGATGAATAAGTGAGTGAATGAATTAATAAATGGGCAACATGTCAAATATTAAGAACATAGTCACAAGGCTGACTTCAAATCCCAGATCTGCTACTGTTGATGGCTGTTGTGAAAACTTGGTTCTTGTCTTCTTAGTTTAAAAATTCCAAAGAATTTACACAAGAGACACACAGCATAGGAGATGAAGCATAGAACAATTTATTGCAAAGGAGAAAGAGTACTCTGAATGTTGGTTGCAGAATAGACAGTACACTCTGGGAGATAATTCAGAGTGGGCTACACATGAGGATGAGACAGTATTCACTGTTACTGGGGAAACTTCCCTGATGGGAGTCTTTTGTGATTATTCATGAGGGGATGGGAAGAGGTGTTACCAGTACGCATGCTCTGGGTTGTCATCTGGGTGTACATGTACAGTAACTTTCCATACTATTTCGTTAATGGCATGTCTCATTAGCATCTTGAATCTCCACTCAGGAGTATGTTTTTCATTATCATAATGAGCAAAGTGTCAATCTAAGGACAGGTAAAATTAAAATGCACATGCTCTCTACAAGGGAAGTTCCCTATGGAGATAGCTGTGCCTGAATGAGCTTGACTACAGTGCAAACGCTGGGGCTCATTGTGCCATGGTTGCCACATACCAAGTACATGGTTACTTCCTTGACTACCTATCCTGTTCCACTATTAGCTAGAACATATGCAAATTATTTAAGTTCTCTAATCCTCAGTGTCCTTAACTAAACATAACTAGTCCTTGTGCTTATCTTGTAGAACTGAGGAGTGCCTTAAATAAATATTATTAATACATGGATGAGAACTGAGTAGGATAGGCATGAAGTTTGGGAAATAAAGTTTATTTCACTCTTTCCTGGTCATCCATATAGGTTCATTAAGTCAAGTGCCTACAAAATGCAGGCTTTTACAACAGAGGTTAATATATTAAGAGTGCATAGCATAGAAGACAAAGTAGAGGCAGCAAACATACACTACTTAATCTACATCCCACATCTACAAATTGCAATATCCTTTTGCCCAGATGTCTTGTTTCTGAATATAGATAGTGCTGTATACATTATAGTAGTGCTTCTCTAGAATATGGAATATGTAGGGAACCATAGTCAAGTAGTCAAGTTGGGATGGAAAGCATCACCTCAACAAACAGAATGCTCACCAGATGATGCAATCGTGAATTCATCCAGATATAATGTTTGCTCTCTCTGTTATCATCAGAAGTTGAGACCTGTTCCATACTGCTCTTCATTTCTTCTTACTTGTATTATATATCATCAAGATTGCTTATTAGAAGCAGGGACATGGGCAAGAGGAGTATTGCTTGTTTGTTTGTTTTTATTGCTTTTGTCTTGCATAAAATACAAACTAATTAAATTTAAAAAGAAAACCCCTCCTTTTCACACACCAAGTTTTCAAAACTTCCTTCTTTGAAAACACTGCATTCCAGGTCTCCCTAAAGAGTTTCAAATTCCTTATGATTTATTCTCCTATTAAATATTAATTAGTAATAATGCCTGTAAAATAACCTAACATATAAATAGTCAAAAATAGTAACCTTCCATTATTACAACAAAAATTTCTGCTGTAGAACTTATTACAGCCTATGTTAAATTTACGAATTTCACTATGTACAACAATACCGAAATCTGTTTGTGGGATTCATCCATGGTGATCCAGAGTCCCCACATAATGAGATCCCATAAGCAAATCATGTAGTCAGACACATAGTATGGCATGATGCTCTTTAATTCCTTTGAATTAACAAGGCATCCTACTCTATCCCACACCCATTTGTTCCTCATTTAACATGGAGTTTAACAATGGCCCCAGCTCTTTGACATTTAGTAGCCTTCTGGCTCAAATTTGCTATTTCTACAATTACATAAATACTCTTGTTAGGACTTCCTTTAAAAAATACCTATCTAAGAGTCTTTACTAATGTAACTCTCCCCAAGCACCACAAAGAGCCTGATTTTCCCATATATCTTTACAAACTGCAAATCCCTATATATCTCAACCCCTTACTTCCCTGGTTTCACTTTGACACCTTAGGTCCTAGTTTTTGCTGTATCCTGTAGAATTTTCATAATATAAAGTTCAAGCTCAAACTCGCTGGTGTTTGAGCCTTCAGTTCCATCAGCACAGGTACTTGAACTAAGGACTTTAATGGTCTTTGGATCTCTTCCTCTTAACATCAGGTTACCTCTCCTTCTATGCCTTTGCCACATATTCTTAACTTTACCTCAGGTAGTGTGAAGTACATGCTTGTGTCATGAAATGACTATGTAGAGAGTCATGGTATAACCATATCAATTTCTTCCTGTCCAATATTCTTTTGCTTGGATGGTTGCAGATAAATCATATAGTTCAAGTAATGCATGCCATCAGCTAAAATAATCTCTTATTATACTTTATTGATATATGAATGTTTATTAAACACAAACATTATTACCTGCTAATTTACCACCTGCTGGTTGAAAGATGGCAAAAGTCTTACTGTTTATTTTGTAAGACTTCATTAAGCCATTAACCTTTCACTTCTTTAGGCCACTAGGAAAAATTTCCTTACTTTAATCACTCTTGTACTAACGCTCTAAAAGCGAATATAGTGATTTGTAATATGCCTCATGAAGAGTTTATGGTAAATTATTTCCTAATGCCTATGCTTTGCAAATGTTTACATAAATACGTCCATAAAATATATAAACACTGAATTTTTGCCAAAGGGTTTCTGTCTTTTGAATTGAAAATATATAAGTAAACCCTATACACAGACTGATTTTTGAAATATTTCAAGACCCTATTTTATCTTTGTTTTGCATAAATGCAGAAAGACAAGGAATAAATGAAACAAAAAAGTACTGAGATCTCAATACTCACCTCAATTAAAAAGAAAAAAAAAGAAAACCAAATCTCTTGATTATTGTGGTCATTTTAAAAATAATATCATTTGCAGGGTGTTAAGTGATGTTTCAAAGGTAGTTACCGTGGTGAGCAATTTGCTAATATTATGGTGATATGAACTACATATATACTATTTTGGGAAAATGATCCTATTTTTTAAACTGTTATGATTTTAGAAAATAAAATATAAAAGCTTATAATGATGGTACTGATTTAATTTGAGGAATAATAATCAAGGTCATGAATGATTTCCCTCAGATATTGAAATATTCATGTACTGTTTCATAGCTTGAGAATTAAAGTGATATACAGAATAAAAATTATAAAACCTTAAATTAAATATTATAAGTTATACAAATGGAGAAAGATTAAATGACTTTGGTTTTAAAAACAGCTTAACTATAGCCAGGCATAAAGGCACATGCCTGTAGTCTTAGCTATTCAGAGGGCTGAGATAGTAGGATGACTTGAGGTCAGAAGTTCCAGGCTGCTCTGTGATTACGCCTATGAATAGTCACTGAGCTCTAGCCTGGGCAACATAGTGAAACTTTGAATCAAAAAAGGAAAAAAAAAAAAGCCAGGCATGGTGATATACACTTGTAAACTCATCATTTTGGGAGGCCAAAGCAGAAGGATCACTTGAGGCAAGGAGGTTGAGACCAGACTGGGCAACATGGAGAGAACTCATCCCTATTAAAAATAAGAGAAATTAGCTGGGCAGGGTGGTACACATATATAGGCCCAGCTACTTGGGAGGCTGAGACAGGAGAATTGCTTGAGCCCAGGAGTTCGAGGTTGCAATGAGTTTTGATCACATCCTGTGTTTCAGCCTGGGCAACAGGGCATGACCTTATCTCTAAAAAAATAAAAATAAAAATAAATAAAAAACAAAAACCCAAATTTAACTAAAATTTTATTTACCACTTATTTAAAACATTTCAACTCATTATAAATAAAGAATATATACTTAACGTACCTTCTTCTTATTCTTGCACCAATTATTTATCTTATGACATATTTAAGAAAATAGACATCTCCATTAAGAGCTCTACATTGTTATTATAGAAGCATAATTTTGCAAAGAAGAATGATACATATATGGCCTCAATTAATTCTAATTCAATCTGCCTGAATTTCACACAATTTTTAATTACTTCATTTTTCTAATTGCAAAACAAATCAGGTTTACTACTAAACAAACCAGTGGAATAAAAAAGTATAAAAGATGAAAAAATTATATTCAGTGGTAATTCCACTACTGGGCATTTACAAAGGAAATAAAAATTTATTCTATCAAAGAGATACCTACATTCATATGTATATAACAGCACTACTTGTAATAACAAAGATATGGAATCAAACTAAGTGCCCATCAATAGATGGTTGGATAAGGAAAATATGCTATATATATATATTTTATGTATACAAAATATGTTATATACATAAAATATATATATATACATAAAACATATATATGTTATATATATAAAAAATGTATTATATACGTGTGTGTATATATACGCATATGTATGTAGCTATAGCATGAAATACAATTCAGCCATACAAAAGAACATGTGCACACATATATATGTGTATATATATGTGTATGTGTGTGTATGTGTGTGTATATATATGTATTGTGTATCTATACAATGAAATACTATTCAGCCATAAAAAGGATGAAATCATGTCTTTTGAAGTAACATGAATGGAACTGGAGGCCATTATCTTAAGTGAAAAACTACAGAAACAGAAAGTCAAATACTGCATGTTCTCACTTTTAAGTGGGAGATAGTGTGTACACATGGACCTGGAGAGTGGAATAATAGACAATGGAGACTCAGAAGGGTGGGAAGGTGGGAAGACATGGGGGATGAGGGATGAGAAATTACTTCATGTGTACAATGTATACTATTCTGATGATGGCTACATTAAAACCCAGTCTTCCCCATTATGTAAATGTCTATGTAAAACGCTCTTGTTCTCCCTAAATCTATTTAAAAATAAGAAAAAAAGTCTTTCCTGTCTTTTTTTTCTGACCACTCATATATTTTTCAGGCAAATTATATGGCAGTAAACATAAATGCTCTTTAAAAACATAGACAATATATCATAAACCTTACCACACAAAATTGATGCTAACAAATATATAGTATACTTGTATTTAACAGCTGCTTCACATCCTTCTCTTGGTCCTCAGATTTTTTTTTTTTTTTTTGCATATTTCTATTTTAAATAATACCTCAATGGAAATTCTTTACATACACCTTTGAGCAGTTTTGTATAATTCTTCATTGATTTTCTAAAGATAAATTCCTGGATTTGGAAATGCTGGGTGAAAAAAGATTGTAGACTTCTGAATTCATCCCCAGCACTTAAAGAGGGTAGAAGTCATCACTCCAATTCTTAGAAGAAAAAAAATTTTTTTTGAATGAACTTAAAAACATTTTTTTCTTGGATATCTCTTAGAAATGAGCTTTCAGAGCAAAGCACTGCCGTGAAATCAGGAGATACAGTTAAATTGACAGAATCACAGCTGATTTACCTATAGTCTAAGCCACCAAAACCATAAATTGGCACAAAAATTAAATGCTAGTTGTGAGGAGTTTCTGGGGGTTCATTGTGAACTGGCATGAGTGGGAAACTCCTGGGGCTGCAATCCTCAGTGCAGGAGGATATGGGACACACTTTCATGGTTTTCATGTACAGGGACCACATCTGGTCTCTTGGTGAAAATCTATAAAGGTCTCACGTCTCTGACAGAGTAAGAGAGAAAGTAATTGAAATAGGCCTAGAATGTTCTCCATAAAAAAGGCTTATCCTCTGGGTTGGCAGGGGCGGAACTTACCCAGAGCTTTATTTCACCGAAGGGAAAAACATTTTCCTGACTTCAGCATTTTCCAGTTTTACTAAAGGGAGAGAGAAAGCTACAAAATACTTCTAAGGTCACTGTCCAAGGATACGGTCTCATTTTAAAAATATGCTTTAGTCATGCGATAATAGAAGATTCTCCTCCCCTGCACCCTACCCCTCCCAAAAGTAGGATCCAATATAACAATGAAGTATAAAGTACTTCGAGACTCAGACTCTACCTAAGTAAGAGATCTTCAAGAAGGCCAAAAACAACAGGAGAGACAAAACCAAGGACAAAAGAGAAATTTGAAGTCTCCTGCACCTATAGCTAAAAAAAAAATGAACATTAACTCCTAGTCATATGTATATAAAATCTCATACTCATTCACCTCAATTCCTGTTACCAGTTCAGCATGTTTTGACTTTCAAACAAAACAAAACAAAATGAAAGACATGTTAAAAAGCAAGAAAAAACAATCTGAAAAGACAAAACATATATCAAAACCAGATATAGATGTGACACAGATTTTATAATTTTCAGAAAGGAAATTGAAAATAATTATAATTAATTTGTTAAAAGTTTAAGTTGAAAAGGTAGAAAGCATACAATAACACGTGTAATGTAAGCAGAGAGACTGAAACTCTAAAAATAAATCAAAATCAAACGATAAAAATTAAAAACATTTAACTGAAATAAAAAATGTCTTTGATGGTCTCATTGGTAGACTGGACATAAATGACAGTAGAATTAGTGAAGACAAAGAAATGTCAGTGGGAATTTCTGAAAATAAAATGCAAAGAATGAAACAGAACTATCGGGGGAACCAGCCCCCAATATTTCAACATAGGTTCTTTTCTATTTTCCCTAAGTGTAGGCTGGTCTGAGAAATAAAGAGAAAGAGTACAAAAGAGAGAAATTTTACAGCTGGGCCTCCGGGGGTGACATCATATGTCAGCAGGTTCCGTGATGCCCACCTGAACCGCAAAACCAGCAAGTTTTTATTAGGGATTTCAAAAGGGGAGGGGTGTACAAACAGGGAGTGGGTCGAAGAGATCACATGCTTCAAAGGGCAATAAAAGATCACAAGGGCAGAAGGGCAGAGCAAGCTCACAAGGCCAGGGTGAAATTAGAATTACTAATGAGGTTCCATGTCCCACTGTGCACGCATTGTCATTGATAAACATCTAAACAGGAAACAGGGTTCAAGAGCAGAGAACTGGTCTGACTAGAATTCGCCAGTCTGGAATTTCCTAATCCTAGCAAGCCTGTGGGCACTGCAGGAGACCTGGGCATATTTCATCATTTATCTTCAACTGCTTAAGGCAGACACCCCCAGAGTGGCCGTCCATAGGCCCCTTCTGGGAATGCATTCCCCTCCCAGGGTTATTCCTTACTGGGAAAAGATTTCAGCAATATTTCTCCTACTTGTTTTCTGCAATAAGAAAAATATGACTCTGTTCTGCCTGGCCCCGCAGGCAGTCAGACCTTATGGTTATCTCCCTTGTTCCCTGAACATTGCTGTTATCCTGTTCCTTTTCAGGGTGCACAGATTTCACATTGTTCAAACACACGTTTTACAAACAATTTGTGCAGTTAACACAATCATCACAGGGTCCTGAGGCGACATATATCCTCAGCTTATGAAGATGACAGGATTAAGAGATTAAAGACAGGCATAGGAAATTACAAGAGTATTGATTGGGGAAGTGATAAATGTCCATGAAATCTTCACAATTTATGTTCAGAGATTGCAGTAAAGACAGATGTAAGAAATCATATAAGTATTAATTTGGGGACTAATAAATGTCCATGAAATCTTCACAGTTTCTGTTCTTCTGCCACGGCTTCAGCAGGTCCCTCCGTTCAGGGTCCCTGACTTCCCGCAAGACAGAACAACAAAAATGTATGAAGCAATTTCAAAAAGCATAATGTGTACTAGGAATACAAAAAAGAAAAAAAAACAGAACATAATATAAAAGATATTTGACATAACGAAATGCCAAGAATCTTCTAAAATTAATGACAGACACCAAACCACAGATCCAGGAAGCTCTATTAATATGAACAACAAAGGTAGTATAAGCACCTAAAAATCTACACCTGGACATATCATATGCA
Source organism: Homo sapiens (assembly GCF_000001405.40). NCBI lineage: Eukaryota > Metazoa > Chordata > Mammalia > Primates > Hominidae > Homo > Homo sapiens. Next base: position 185,007,602 of record NC_000002.12, read on the forward strand.
AACTGTAGAAAGTCAGAGACAAAAAAGAAAATTTTGGAGGGAGGTAGTAAAAACAAATAAAACGTTTACCTACTGTGGAGGAGCAAGGATAATTACTTTGTATTTTATTGAATAATATTTTCTGAGAACTTTTTCAGTAAGTAATCATTTAAACTACTTATTCAGCCAAGATTTCTTTGATATTTTTGATAGTGGTAACTTTTTAGAATTGTTCTCTGTTGTTTCTTAGTTATCTTTACAAAAGTCTAAAATATTAGAATACTTTTTGATTCCTCACTTTCTCCAACACATTGCATTCAATCGACTGGCAACTCCCAGTGGCTCAAACTTCAGATGATATTCAGAATCTGACTTATTTGGACGATTTCCACTGCTATCAGCCTGCTCAATGCTCCCAAACTCACTCTAGCTCTCAGAGTACTTATCACCCTATAATCATATCATAATGGTGCACAAAGTTTTGATACCAATAGTGGCTGTCAAATTAAAGCTTGCAATTCAGAATACATATGTATTATGATAACATCAGGACATAATATAAGTGTTTTTATTTAAAGCTAATTGAATATATGCAAATATACCCTAAAACTACATAGTTGTATGAGACACACACACACACACACATACACACAGAAACCCATTGGTGAGAACACGTAATTGACACACCCAGACACAGACACAGGCAGGCAGAAGCCTATTGGTGAACATGCCATCATTATTGTTTGTGTGTGTGTGTGTGTGGTACGTGTGAATTGGTCTTCTCTTTCTGTTTTTCATCCTGTGCCACTTTTACCTTTTCCAGAATCTATCGTAAACTTATTCCATTAATTATACAAACAAATAAGTGAATGTGGAATGTTTTGGATAAGTTCACCTGCTACATTCAAAAAGTAATTATGCTCTCCATCAACAACAGGTCAGTTGCATAAAATTTAACAATAAGGGAAAAACTATCATATTAAGATGAATTATCTTTAGTAAACATATTTTCCAAATACTCACTGCACCAAACAGAATGTTTTTGCCTCAACTTTATGAAATTAGGAAGATTTCAAGAGGTTACCCTGTTCCTTATTAAATCTCAGCTTCTTCTGAAGCTGCTCTTCTGACTTCATCCCTCTATTGTTTCTATGCACATTTTTCTGATATTTCAGTTATTTTATGAGTAAAAATGTTCCAATACATGTCATTCTTTCTCTGATGGTAAAATTAATATAATCATCAATCTTCCTAAGAAATTATTATTCCTGTCACTCTACTCAATAATTTCCTATGACTTTAATGTTTGACTGACAGTAGCTACATGGAGACATTATTTGTGTGTCATATGAAACTTTGTCAGAAATTATGAAAATTCTAATGGGAGTAAATTCACCTTATTGGTGTATTTTTAAAACAAACATTTTAATATGTGATGCTCAGGAAAACATATATTTTTATTACTTCATGTCATTTATTAAAATTCATATCAGTGAAGATTAATTTTTTGTTACCAAGTAGAAATTTTTAACTACATTCTTGTTGTCAGTCACTGGTAAGCAAGAATACATATCACATGGTTACCTACATAGGTGGTAACATAGGAAAGTGAAAAAACAGAAATAGAATATTTTCTGGCTGGGCGTGGTGGTTCACTAATGTAATCCCAGCATTTTGGGAGGCTGAGGTGGGTGGATCACCTGAGGTCAGGAGTTTGAGACCAGCCCAGCCAACATGGTGAAACCCCATCTCTACTAAAAATACAAAAAATTAGCCAGGCATGGCGGTGGGCTCCTGTAGTTCCAGCTACTCAGGAGGCTGAGACAAGAGAATTGCTTGAACCTGGGAGGTGGAGGTTGCAGTGAGCGGAGATTGTACCACTGCACTCCAGCTTGGGCAACAAGAGCAAAACTCTGTCTCAAAAAAAAAAAAAAGAATATTTTCTAAAGAATCTTAATTCCTATAATAATCTGTCATTGAAAAGTCTTGGAACTCATATAGGACCTCAGAACTTGCACAATTAAGTCTGTTACCTTATGCAAAAACTATCTTTTATATATTTCTCACAGGCACTTATATATTATCTATTTAAATACCTTCATCAGTGGACTCACTTTATCACAGGACAGCTCAGTCCATGTGCGGACACATTCTAATTTTAAGAAAATATTTCTTTTTTATGAGTTAGCCATAGTTTAATTCTATTTTTTTTTTGTCACTCTCAACATTTTTCTCTCTCCTTCCTTCCTCTTTCCACACCTCCATTTTATTTTCTTTCTTTCTTTTTCTTTCTTCCTTTCTTCCTTTCTCCCCTTCCTGCCTTCCTTCTTCCTTTCCTGCCTTTATTTCTTTTTCTTTGTCTTTTTTCTTTTTCTTCTTTTTTGTTGTCCTCCTTTTTTTCTCTTTCCTTCTCTCCTTTTATTTCCTTAATTCTATCTTCTTTTGACTTTCTTTTGCAAATATATACTAAATACTTCCTAAGTTCTAGGCATCATGATAGATGCTCCAAATACTGTAATTAAAATAGAACATCTCTTTCCAAGAACATTAGCCAAATTAAGGAGATAGACAAGTGATCAATGAAATATAATGCATTTTACAACTGCTATGTAAACACACTGGAAAGACAGTAACTCAGTTGTGGAAAGGGAAATAGGAAAAATAGCAGTTGTGTCTATGCTAAGGGTTGATACTTATTCTGGACATATGTAGAAAAAGATGAAAATTTATTCTAGGAACAGAGCACATCTTGTGGAAAGCCACTAAGGAAAGGGACAAATATAGTTCCTAGATTTGCTTTTAGCAATGGATGTATGGTTCCATATTTCAGTCTTCAATAATCCTATAGGCTAATGGCAAATATATTGAGCTGAACATCATAGAAAGTCCTCTTGGATTGTTTCTCCCTAAAATTTATCATTGCAATCTCTATAATCCCAATTACCAATCAAGTTTCTCAATGTGCTTATACTATAATAGCCAACTTTCTTTCCATTACATTGTGACTTACAATACATTGATCTCCTTATATTTATGCAATCTCCAACTTCCCTCATGCCATCTCGTTTTTTTTTTACCTCAGTATAAACAGTATAGTTAATTAGACTCCCAACTCAAGTATTCCTTTAACTTCCTTGTGTCCATGTATTTCTTTTTTTCTTCCCATGTGTGCTTGACAAAATGACAATTGTGATTATACAACTCTCTGCTTATATGTACATTTGACCTATATAGTTGATCAAATTGGAGAAAACTATGAATCACACTAACTGCTTACACATTAATTCTGTGATTACTAATTTCAGGTGGATCTTTTATGATGGCTCATAATCATACTCAATTATTCTAGTTTGTTCACTTTCTCATTTTCTTAGATAACTACTTCATTTGTTTTCAAAATTTCTTCACATCGCTAGTACCTCTGATCTTATCTTGACTTCTTTCACTTTGAAAATTAAAAAAGAAAATTTGAAAGCTTCCTCTTCTGTCTACAGATCTACCAGCTTATAAGTTCTGCTTTCTCTTCTGTTACTAAGGATTGACTCTCTGTGTTCAAACCTGTTGCCAAGTATTCCCCTTTGTTACTGGATCCCACTCTTTATCACTTACTCAAAGATTTGGACAAAACTATTCTCACCTCTCTCTCTTTTGAATTGACAATCTTTTCCTCCACTTCAGGGCATTCACATCACTATATAGTGAAATCTTGTGCTTAAAAAAAAAGATCCACTTAGCTCCACCTTCCTCTAAAACTATGACTCCATTTCTCAATCCTGTTTCTAGTAAAACTCCTCAAAAAGATTGTCTACATTGACAGTTTTAAATTACTCTTTAATTTATCCCTAAATCCACTCCACACCACACTTACAAGGCTGCTGAAACTGTCGTGTTAATGTCTTCAAAAATCTGTTTTCAAATCCAATAATCAATTATTAGTACTCCAGTTAGTAGACCTCGTAAGAGTATTTGACACAGTTGAACAGTTTCTTTTTCTCTCTCTCTGAAATTTTGTTTATTTCCTTTGCCTCCAGAACAAAGTCATTAAGATTGTTTTTTCTTTCTAATGATTTCTTCATCTTCTTTGTGGGCTCTTCTTTATTTCTCACACCTTTAAGCTCTGCACCATGAAGATAGAAAAAAGGGATAAGATTAAAAATAGAAGTGAGCAGAAAATAGTAAGAAATCCAAATAAATAATTTATCAAGAATCTAAGAAAAACTATTGCTTAAAAGTGTAGGGATAAGAACACTTTCTTCAAAAAATAACTGGTAAAAGAAATAGAAAAGACAAAAAGTGAGAACCTGTAGATTAATACCAACTTAAGAGATAGATCAACAAATTGAAAAGTATGCCCTTTTTGGATTTGACTCTAAAAAATCTTAAACATTTAAGAGATAATTAGAGAATTTTGAAGTTATGTTTATAAAATGAGAGATACAGCCAGGCACGGTGGCTTACACCTGTAATTCCAGCACTTTGGGAGGCTGAGACAGGCAGCTCATGAGGTTAGGTGTTCGAGACCATCCCAGTCAACATAGTGAAACCCCATCTCTACTAAAAATACAAAAAAATTATCCAGGTGTGGTGTCAGGCACTTGTAATCCCAACTACTCGGGAGTCTGAGGCAGGAGAATCACTTGAACCTGGGAGGCAAAGGTTCAGTGAGCCAGCCAGGATCGTGCCACTGCATTCCACCCCGAGCCACAGTGTGAGACTCCATCTCAAAAAAAAAAAAAAAAAAAAAGAAAAGAAAAGAAAAGGAAAGAAAAGAGATGCATTGGAAAATATTTTCTGGTAAAATTATATAATGTCTGCAATTTACTTTAAAATAATTCAATGGAAGAAGATAGCATGTGAGGATATAAATTAAATAAGATTGATCATGAATTGGTAATTGTTGAAGGTTGGTAGTAGGGACATAAATATTTATTGAGACAGCCAAGTGGGAGTGGTTCCCTGGAGAAACTCCAAACATAGCCCCCCAATGAAGTGGAGTCTTGGGAAGTTCATGATGTTTGCAGCAGGAAGGAGCCTGGCACCTCCTCTTCATGTGTGGAAACTGAGATTCAGGCTGCAGGTGGGAAGTGCTCTAGCAGGGGAATCTGGCCTTGCAAGAGTATCTGTTTCTCCATTTTCTTCCTTTTCACCCAATAAAACCCTGCTTAACTCACCCTTTAAACCATCAGTAAGCCTAAATTTTGTGGCCATGGGACGGACAAAAACCCCATCTTCAGCTGAACTAAGGAAAAGTCCTGCAACATTTTTGGCGCCCAACATGGGGCTGGAAAAACAGTGAGTAAAATGGGTACTCAAAACCTCTCACTGCTGCTCCTAAGCATTTTTATTCTCACACTTCTGAGTGTGAGGGAAACATGCCCCTAAACCCCGGGGCTCCTGGGGGTCTGGGAAAAAGCCCTTTCCTTCCTATTTCAGGAAGGACAGGTGAGTGGGGGCTCCTTGTTCCCCCTCCCCTCTGTGTGGGGGCTAGGAGCATGCCCCAAGGGTCCTGGTTTCCAGCTACGCACTGCCACAACAGCCTTCCCCTTCCCCACCCAAGGGGTTCAGCCTCATCAGACAGTAAACTTTTCTCCCTGGTGGAGGAATCACTTGCATAAGAATAACAAGAGGTTCTTCCCTAGGAATTTTTAAATCTTTTTTCTTTCCTCTTCTCCACCCCATCAACAGTTAAGTTTCAGCAAGTTTATTTCTTTCTAGAAGACGTTTTATTTGGCTAGGAATAGTAAGAATTCCTGTTTATATTCTCTGTAAAGATTTAATTGTGGAAAAGGATTTGTGGGACTAGTCTTGGGCTGTGGCCAATCTGGTGTGCTTGGCATGTCTGTATGGTTTGTGCTGCAAGCCTCTATCTTGTTTTACTTCCTGAGGGCATGGCCTTCAACTGCTTGACAATGCTTTGTTTAGTAATCCTGCCTTATGGGATGAGCTCTCTCTCTGGTTCAATATCTGCATGTTTTCCCAGCCCTGTCTCTTAAAGAGCCCCACCCAGCAACTGGGATTTTTTCTGCCTGTATGTGTGTGTACTGTGTTTGATGTCTTTAAAAAGAACTCTAATTAATTTGGTCTAAAGAAAAACAAGCACTTGGATCAAATGTTTTTTAAAGGGAATATAAAAGCTGTAGTACCTTTCAGTTCATGTGAATTTAATCTTTGAGAAATAAAAACAGCCATAAAGATTATTGGTAAAATGCAGGTTAGATGCAAGGTTTGCTAAGTGTTTTAAGGTTACAAACTGCTTTTTGGGTTTTGAGAACTATTTGACTTGCTGGCTTCACAACTGGTAAGGATTGGGAACATATAAAACTAACCAGGCCCTTACCTAAGAAGGCAAACCTTGATGGCAGTTAGCACACAATTAAAGCAACTTACCAAGTTTTACCTTAAAGTTAAAAATTGTTAGGAGTTTCTAGTATAATACGTAATTGAAACTACCAAAAATAGATTTGCATGCAAGGGGTATAAGAACAGTAAAATGTGTTTTCATGCAAAAGGTTATAAGAATGCATAGAAATGTAAACTTTTGCCTAGGGTTAAAGAATTCTTTTGAGTTAAATAAGGAAAGCTGAAGGTTCAAACAAGTGGAGGAAAAGTTGTGGAAATTAATATTGCAGAAGAGGTTCTCTGTATGAGCATATTAACTACAATCAAAATGATTACAAAGGGTTTTTGCTTCTTTAAAATTTCTGAGTCATCATTTTGGGAAAATAAATAGTTTATGGTAATCTGGGACTCTGTTTCATAATATCAAGTGCTTTAAACATATTTAAAAGGCTCCCCAAAATCAAACTTAAGTTTCAAAATTGTCTTTCCTGACAACTGGCTTTTCAGGTGTTTCAGAAGGCCCCTGAAACATCCAGAAAATAAGAGGTAAAGAGGATTATCTGACACATTTAGGTACATGGGATTACCAAAATAATGCTCAATTTTCTTTAGGTTTATCTTGGTGAATAATGCTAATATGTGTTCCAAAATTTTATGGGATTTCTGAAATTCTAATGTCTGATTATATGCTATCAATTATAATTAAGGTCTTTATGTTGTTATTGTAAACCACAGAGATAACCAAACTTCTTTGTCAATCATGTTTCTAAGTGTATCTACCCTGGACATTTTGTTATTCGCAGATAATTGTTGGCTCTTTTTAATCCTTTTCAAAAGATGGTTTATAATAAGTTATAGAACTGTAACAAGTGCTCTCAAATACAAGCTTCTGATAACTTTAGAGATTGTAACATTGAAATAAAAAAAGTATAGGACTCATGAAGAGCTGAAATGTTCATGAATATCAAGCAAAATAAGAATTAACTAAATGGACTGAACTCAGGAAACTGAAGAAAACCTTTTTAACCTTTGCTTGGAATGAAATATTGCTGATCCATGTTTTGTTTCTCAGAGTCAAGGAAACACATTTGAACTATTTATGGCCTTTAATAATGAAGCAAGGTATACACCTGTAATCAAAATTTGGAACATGTTTGTTTCTCTCTGCCAGGTTCTTAAAGAATTTGGAAACTATCTGTGAGTATTCTTATGGCAATATAGTTATTTTTGTACATGTTAGAAATTTTCCATAATAAGATCAAAAATACAAAAGGGATGTTGATGAACATTTAACTGAAATGTACTGTTTTGTCATTTTTATAGCAGATAAGGGAACAGATATGGCTGCATTAAAGTTTATAAGGTGTGAGTGGTAAATTAAAAAAAAGAAAGCAGAGCACAAGACATACATTCACCATGTGAATGAGGTAGTAAGTACAGTCACTAAAGACTGGAACAAAAGAGATCTTAACATGTTGACTTTTGAAATGTAGACTGAATTGTTAATGAATTAAGTGACAAGCAATAGAAACTGGATCTTATGTGAACCAGAAAAATGCTATTCCCTACCCAATTGAAGGGAAAAAAAATGGTAAACAGAGGAGCACTTCGATTTTTTTTTACTCATCTACTTTCCAAAGTTTAGGGATTCTGGAGTAAGAGGAATCTCCCTGACCACCCGCCAAGCATTTTTAGGTTGCAGTTAGGAATGGTAACTATTATATGCATGTCACATTAATAGATATAGGGACAAGAAGAAAGATGCTGGCATGGTAGACTCAGATTTAAAAGGCTTTGGTGCCAAGAGAGTAATTATATACTCATCTACTCTTTCATTCCTGAATATAGAGCCTGGAACCTGAGGAAGAGAACAAAAATGGAAAGCTTTAAATAGACTGTGCCTAATTTTTACGTCTCAAATTGATTCATTAATCACTGGATTGAACTAAATTTAACTTAAAGCAATTAAGTTATCTGCCATTAAGCAGACTGGGTGGGTCAGAAATTAGAAGCCAGTTCTAAAAATAAAGAATAGCCCATTTTCCAAATCTGAATTAGTGATTGACAAGTTTACCTCCTTGAGACAACTGTAGGAACAGCTTTTGAATAGAAAGTAAGAAACAGGATGATATCTGTAAAGTAGGTTTGAGCTAGGGGTTGGATCAAGACAAATATTTTGCTTAAATCAGCAAAGAATTTATCATGTTTAAGAATAGCTGGAGGCCGGGTGCGGTGGCTCATGCTGGTAATCACAGCATTTTAGGAGGCTGAGGTGGGCAGATCCCTTAAGGTCCGGAGTTCAAGACCAGCCCGGCCAAGATGGCAAAACCCCTTCTCTATTAAAAATACAAAAATTAGCCAGGCATCTTGGTGCATGCCTATAATCCCAACTACTCAGGAGACTGATACAGGAGAATCACTTGAACCCTGGAGGTGGAGGTTGCAGTGAGCAAAGATTGTGCCATTGCACTCCAGCCTGGGCAACAGAGTGAGACTTCATCTCAAAAAAAAAAATGTAGCTGGAAAAGATCAAGTTGACAAGAGATCTTAAATATTCTGGAGAAATAAGGGATATTAGTTAATGTAAGGTCTGAGAAGCTATGAAAAAAATTACAGGAAACAGACATGAAGTTATTGCCCTTACAGGAAATGGAAGGGTGGGTTAAATCTAAGCCGTTTTGCAGAGTTGGTGGCCACGTTTGAGAGATTTCACATCTAGGGAAAATATTTGATTTGTGGTGTCCAGGAAATACAGAAGTCATCAAAGTCTATCTTAGGATACTTTAAATATCTTAGTAAAATATCTTAGATATTTTACTAATCTATCCTCTGAGAATATTTGCTGTTAATTCTCATTAGAATAACTTGAAGTCTAAAACAAGGGTTAAGGTATTATGTGTTACTAAAACATTTAAAAATGCATACTGACATCACAGTTTAGAGCAGTCACAATTAATATTTGTGTTTTTTCTATGTGTTTTTAATAGTACAAATAACTATCTTTATCAAAGGATAGCAAACTAGGTGGAGTGGGGCTAAATAAGATAAGGCCACTGATTGTTTCTGTTAATAAAGTTTCATTGAAATACAGCCACACTCGTTTGTTTATGTGTTAGTTTATATGGCAGAAGAACTGAATAGTTCCAAAGATATTGCATGGCCAGCAAAGCATAAAATATTTTCTATCTGGCATGTAAAAAGTTTGCCAACCACTGCTCTACATTCAATTTTTCTTGCTTTTTAATATAGATTTGTATCACTTACATTTTCATAAATATACTTTGACTGTATTAGATTTTATTATATATAGTTTAGATATTTTATGAATTTTAGGGATATAAGTTGTTTTAAATATTTTATAGTTTATCTATTTTTCATGATATTTGGTCTAACTTTTATATTTTCTCAGGAATAGTTCCTGAGAACAATAATCACTAAAACAAAGAGCATAATCATATAAAGTTTCTGGGTACATATTAATAAATTGATTCCTCATATATTGTACAAGTATGTGTATATCCATCAGCAATCATACAAATATTCAAAAGCCATATACATTGTTTTCAGCAATTAGTAATATTATAAATTCTTATAATATTTTAAATTATCTAAACCATATCATGTTTAATAAAATTAAACCTTAAAATTAAATAAAATTATTTTTATTAAGCATGACATGGTTCAAATAATGTAAAAATATCTAAAACAGAACATCATAAAATAAAATATTTATGTAACTTTAATGACTTTTTAAAATGTATTGGGTAACCATGTAGTATTCACTAATATTTTATTTTGGCTCATGCACTTTCCTGGTCTTTGATTATTATTTTATTTGGTTTATATCCTACAAAAATACTCAAAACATATTATGTATAATTTTCAGTTTTTATTTCTTTCCTCTGGAGTCAAAACTTGAATATAAATTTGAAGCAATCTTAATTTTAGAAAAACTTAAATTTTTATAATTTCATTGTACATTTTCCACAATTTTGTTAACCAAACCTTATTTGATGTCCTTAAAATAATGAATCAGAATGTTTTCTTGAGTCTTTCTATAGTATTCAACTCAGTTTCCATAAAAGCAAAACTTTTTAAACCTCAATGATATAAAATGGCTTACATATCATTTAATTACCATGTATAATTGTGTGTATATTTGAGATCAAATCTGACTCCTGAAAAACATACCGTTTAATGAAACATTCTATTGCTTAACCTATTTACCATGATTATTCTGCAGCACTGGGCATCAATAACTACGTTTTACAATTGAAACAGTAGGCTGTACATTGATTACTTTTTTATGTAAGGAAACAAAAAATGTATCACTTATACTAAGCTTCAATCTAATTGTATTGCTTTTATTGCCAAAAATTGTATATTTTGACTATTATTAGCTATTATTTAGTTATTTGTATGTATCTATGTATTCACTGTTCCCACTTTTATTAGGGCCTTAACTTAACATCAATTGTGTAATTTCCTCTATTTAAGCTCCTAGAATTACTAAAATGTGATATCCATGTTCCGATCTTTGAAAGTTTTCTGTCTTGAATTCTATTCTGTCTGATGCTAAAATTACTACTGTTCTATCAGATATTACAAATAGTGGAAAAAATAGAGTTTTAAAATATTCTATTTGATATTATAATTACTGCATTTTCTAGGTTATCTTTATTGCTTTAGTTTTCTGTTCACTTCAGAATTTCTTTTGAAAGTACTATATTAATTTTTAAATTTTATATTGGCTAAAATCCTATACTTTTAATAGACAAATTTAACTCATATGCATTTATTATGTTTACTGATACAATAAATTGAATTATATCACTTTTATGTTTTTATTTTGCTTGACTCCTTTTTTTGAGATATGTTTTACTAGATTTTTCTTGCTTTGTTTGTCTACATATTGTTCTTTTCCTCAAGTGGTTGTAGAAATGCATATTATTTCTCCTCTTTAGTTAGTTGTTTTTGGCAACTTAAGACATGCATTTTAACTTGTTTCTTTAGCAGTCTGTAGAATTAATGTGTCCTCCCTACATATAATACTAGTAAAGAACATTAGCAACATTTTTAGGAAAATATTGGCCTCTTTGTCCTACTCATTCCCATTTTGAGGTCATCTGGTATTTCATCATAAAATTATTGCTTTTATAAAAAAATTAACAATTAGGTAGGCTTAACAGCTTATTTTCTCAACATTATTTCTTGTACCTCAGGTTTTTTTTAATACTTTCTAAAGTATCTTACTTAATTATAATATGATACTGTGAAAAATATTATTACAGAAATGTTTATAAAATATGAAAATCGATGTATAATCACTCTTAGTCAAATGAAACTAAGAATCCATTGGGGTTGAGTATATGAGTAGTATACTAAACTGCATGTATTTGTATGTTTGCACACATTTATCTGTATTTTTAAATAATGTATGTACAGTAGTGTATACTTAAGAATAACAGTAAAATAACATTAGTTGTCAAATATGTTACACTAAAATCCTTGACTAAAAGATCTAGAGAAATGGAATAAATCCATGTTTCAATATTGTTCAAAACTCTTATAACTGTACTAGATAAATTTGATGTGTTTTCCTTTAACTTAATGCATTTGGGTATTGTCATACATATTTTAAATTTATTTGTAAAATATTAATTCTATACATGTTTATCTAAGATTATGTAATTTCTTGGGAATTTTTAAAACATAATCAATATTGACAGAGAGTTAATCTAAATATGTATCCAAATTCACTATTACATGTAACATAAAGTCACATTAGGTCAAGCACGTACTGTTGAAATTATACAAGAAACATGATAAAATGCCTATCTCTGGGAAATATTGGCAATACGTTATTTTAATTTCAATTTTTCATAGGAAAGATAAAACCACATTAAAAGGCAATTTAAATACAGTTTATTTTAAATTCTCTATAATTTTATTGAAAGTTAAGATATGAAACTTTCAACATCAAAAGCCCTCTCTCTTTACATGATTGTAAAACTTAATAGTTCAGATAAGATACCATTTTCTAAACATTTTTATCTTTCTGAGAAAGAAAATGAGTAAGGGAATTTCAATAAAGGAAATTGACTAAATAAGAGATAAATGACATAGACAAGAGAATATCTATAGACCTGGTTTAAAAGTAGGATCATTGGAAATCTTTAATATTCACATATATATTAAATCATATAATAATATTATTAAATAATTAAAATGACTACACTAGAATATTAAAAATGTTGTACATACATAATAGGATAGGAGCAGGAGACATTTATGCGATGTGTAACTTTTGTTAAAGGGTATTTTAGAATGAAGAATAAATCTCGATCGTTATCCATTCTGCACTGCTGAAAATCTGAGTGAGGTCTACCTCCTTTGTATGTTCATATCAATAGATGCAGAGAAAATGGGCTTACAAGCACTGGAAGTTGGTAAAGATTTCAACCAACACATAATGTGATATCATAAATTACTCGATAAGCACCCTAAAGTACATATAAATAGCCTAGGATTTCTTTTTATTCAGAAGAGAGGAGCTTCTATTCTATTCTATTCTTGAGAATATATCTATGTTCAGATATACAAGAACTTTGGTTAATCGACCTCTTTACTATCCAATGACATTGCCAAAGGAGATTTCAAAGTCATTAGAACAATGATGAAATAGACAGAATTACTTTTAATGATAGTGGCACTTTGTTGGTGTGCACATGATAAAAGAGCTTATGACACCAAATTTAGCGCCTAAATCACACGTGCAGTCTTTTGGTATTTAACAGCTATTGAGAGTTTAATTATGAAAACAATGTGAAATTGGTCTAGAGTTTCAGATAAATTTTAAATCATGTTCTCAAAATTCAATTGCAAACAGGAAGCCACTGATTATCCACCGGTGGCAATCAATCTTTTTGTTTTTGACACAATTTTCAATACAATAATTTTAATGGCATAATTGAAGAAATTAAGAGATTCAAAGGCAACTCAAAAAGAGTTAGCATTAATTACAGTAAAATTAACTACTAAAGTATAAAAATATATTATAATGTCTACCAACACATCTAAGTTAATGCACTATATGTACTTGGTTGTCCTTCAACATTTTTATGTCACTGCTTGAATTAAATCATTAACATGCCTTATTTCCTTAATGCAAAACTGGACTTCAGATTGAGAAACTTGTTTTCCTGATTAACCAGAATTTCTAAATGATCATGAACAAAGATAAAAATAACCAAAGTCAGTTGCCTTATTTATTCCTCACATTTTCTTGAACATTCTTTTGAGAGTTAATATAAATGTTAGTACAAGGAGCAGTACCCATCTAAATAGAGTGATTTGAAGTGAAGTGATACATCTGCCCAAAAACGTGTCCCAACTTTTGTTTTCTGATAGTTTAATTGCTTTTGAATACTTTGAAATGTGAGAAAACTACTATGAACTAGTTTCAAAGGTTAGATAGATCAGAAAAAAACATGGGTGAAGGAGGCAGGACTTAACTATTTTAACTGACATGATATGAAAAGAAAAAGTTACCTAATATCTGTTTTGCAAAACCCTGTATTTTATAACATTGGACACTGATAGTAATGACTTATGGAAAAAAAAGCATTAAATGCACACTGTTCCAAAATAATTAAACTTTTTAACTAGAGTGCTAATACAAGAAATAACAAGTCAAGTAAACTATTGGTAAAATATTGACTTCTTAAATTCTAATTAATTAATAGAAAATTAAGAACTTTACTTATTAAAGTTTAGGGAAAATGAGAAATGAAGACGGGGAAATAATAAAGAATTGAGGTTGCTCAATTACCGGGACAAGGATACATAGGCAAAATCAGCAAGAATTACACATTAAACATTTACAAAACAGAATAAACCAAGATGAAGGATATAGAGTGATTGGGCATTGTGTTTAATACTGGGTTTCTCTGGAGAGTGATGTGTTCAGCTACACTAGAGTATTTTGTCTTCAGCTGCTGGTTCCTGATTGCACAAAATGTTAACATGGTAGCATGTGAAACACCAGGACTTTTGTATTATTCTAATATTTTCTTAATATAAATTGAGTATGAGCAATTTAATGTTGACCTATATTAGAATAGATGATAGGATTTATTTTAAAAATTAGTCAAAGTCAAGAGGCATAGGTGCTTGTAATTCTGATAATGCCAAATTCCTTACTATTATTTTTGTATCAAGATTTCCTCTAGCAATATATGATAATGCCATTTTCAACCTTGACAAGAACGTACTATAAGCTTTCAATAGCTTTATTTTATTTTTTTTATTTTTATTTTTATTTTTTTTGAGAGAGAGCCTTGCTCTGTCATCCAAGTCTGGATTGCAGTGTCACAGTCTTGGCTCACTGCAACCTCTGCCTCTCGAGTTCAAGTGATTTTTCTGCCTCAGCCACTCAAGGAGTTGGGATTAAAGGTGCCCACCACCATGCCCATCTATTTTTTTTTTTTTTGTATTTTTAGTAGAGATGGGGTTTCATGATGTTGTCCAAGCTGGTCTCAAACTCCTGGCCTCAAGTGATCCGCCTGCCTCAAACTCCCAAAGTGCTGGGATTACAGGTGTGAGCCACCGCGCCTGGCCTCAAGCTTTCAACACCTTTATACTTTAAGAATGCTTTTGCTGAATATAAAATACAAAATCCTCAAGTTACGCTTTCTTTCTCTGATGATCTAGTAGATATTGCTACACTAATTTCTGAAGATAAATGATTTGTAGGAGAAAGCTGAAACCAGACTGCTTCCTTTTGTAGGTGATTTTTTATTCATATTAGTATAGCTATTCAAAATTTATTTGTTTACATTTGCTTTTGTGTCTATAAATGCCATCTGTGAATAGAGATAGCTATTGAATAAATGGTGCTGGAAAATATGGATAGGAACACTTTTGAAAAATCCTTAAGCATTTACAAAGAACATATTAGAACTTATAAGTGAGTTAATCAATGTGGCAAGATGTAAGATTAATATATAAAATTTAGTCATTCTATTTACTAGCAATACACATTTGAAAATTGAAATAAAAATAGGACACATAATAGAACCAAAAATATGCAATTTTATGGATAGACTTGTTTAACATCCTTAAAAAGGAAAAAAAGAAACACTAGGCTTCATACTGAGCTAATTTGTCTAATGTCCTCAATGCATTACTGTACTTCACATTGAGTAAGTTTTACCCTCCTAATTGGAAAAAAATTCTAGAGCATTGTAAAGAAGGGGAAATATAACCAAAAGTCAATTGTCATATTTTATTCTTATTTTTTTTTTTTAGTATAAAAGCAAACATCACTGCAAGGCACAGTAGCAAACAGGGTGATTGAAATGATGTCAATTGACAATACCTGAGAGATAAATATGCCTAGGCACATGTCTTAAACTTGATTTTTCTGATAGTCTTATTGCTGCTTAGTTTGTTGGTGAAGTTGATGAAGGCCTACGTTAAATAAGAATGTGCAATTTAGAAAGAATATTGTGAGAATTCTTTTTTTTGCAAACTAAGCTTGAGAGTAAAATAGAACAAAGACTTAAAAAGAGGAGATAGGACTTGATTTTTAGCAACGTGAGATTGAAAACAAACACAAAAACAAAAAAGTCTGTATTTTTAAGTAACATGAAAAGTCACAGTGCACTTGTCATATAGGAGAAGAGAGTGAAGATGATAATGATGCATACACAGTTGCTTTTCAGTGGAGCTTTTTTTCTCTGAAGTCTAGGAATACTTCCTTACGTCTTTTTCTCTATTAAACTTTAACCCTTATAAATAGACATATTATCTTGAGAGAGGGAGAGGAAGGCTGTGAAGATCCAGCACACTTTAATGTGATTACTTTCTGTTAATAAATTTGGCTTCTCAATTCTTTTTCTGGTTGTTCTCTAATGCCTTCAATAGGCAGGGCTTTTGTTCAGATAGTGCTTTATTTTTGTTGTTTTATTAGTTATTTGTTACTATTGTTATGGTAATTTATCAAGTTTCCTATAGTTCTTTTTGCAGGTGAGTCTAGTATCTGCCAACTTAGATATCACAGAAACATCATTCCATTAGCTATATTAAATTCATAGAAAAACATTTGATCATGACACTCATCTGTTACATGGGTGTATTTCTTCTGATAAACGTTCTTCATCTATTAATAGTCTTTGATATCTTTCAATTTACACTTTTGTGGTGAATCCTTGTATGATATGATGCTATACCAGTTCCTTTTGTTATTATTTTTAACTGAATTACTTGGATTTTTTTCTAAATCAATGATTTGCTAGAATATCCCAGTTTGGGAGGCAGCGAGGTATTAGGCACTGTCCTAAGATGATTTGTTTTCATCAAACAAATAAATCACTTATCTGGAGCCACAGACTTTACTGCTTTCTGCAAGTGAAACCAGTCTAATGGTCCCATAGACAGTTTTTTTTTTTAATAAACGTAGAAGTTGACCCTTTAGGTCTTAAAGCCATCAAAAAGTGGGCTGAAGACATGAATAGAAAATTCTCAAATGAAGATACACAAATGGCTAGCAAACATATGAAAAAATGCTGAACATCACTAATGATCAGGGAAATACAAGATATACAAATCAAAATCACAATGCAATACCACCTTACTCTTGCTAGAATGGCCATAATCAAAAAAACAAAAAATAATAGATGTTGGTGTGGATTTGGTGAAAAGAAAACACTTTTACACTGCTGGTGAGAATGTAAACTGGTACAGTCAATGAATGGATAAATGAACATATATATATATATATATATGTATATATATATATATGTATATATATATATATATATATATACACACACACACACACACACACACACACACAATGAAATACTACTCAGCCATAAAAAAGGATGAATTAATCCATTCACAGTAACCTGGATGGGATTGGAGACTATTATTACAATTGAAGTAACTCAGGAATGGAAAACCAAACATCATATGTTCCCACTCATAAGTGGGAGGGAAGCTATGAGGACCCAAGGGCAAAGAATAACACAATGGACTTTGGGGACTCAGGAGGAAAGGGCTGGAAGGGGGTGCGGGATAAAAGACTACAAATTAGGTCCAGTGTATACTGCTCAGGAGATAGGTGAACCAAAATCTTATAAATCACCACTAAAGAACTTACTCATGTAACCAAATACCACCTGTTTGCCCAAAAAACCTATGGAAATATTTTTTTAAAGAAATTTACATTTATTTTATCTGAGTTCCTTCTTCACGAAAGGTCCCCTAGTTTTCTCAGAAAGTGTCAAAGAACTGACACTCACCAGATCATCACATCCAGATAATGCAATGCAGGACCCCTCATTCATCATGTTTGCTTCCTTGCCCCTCTTGAGTTTCTGTTTTTCTACACATTGTTATATTTCTTCCCTCCTATATAAACCCCTAACTTTAGTTGGTCAGGGGGATGGATTTGAGACTCATCTCCCATCTTCACGGCTCCAGCACCCAATTAGTCTTCTTCCTTGGCAAAAATCATCATCTCAATGATTGGCATTCTTTGTGGCGAGCTGCCCGAACCCCTGGTATTTTGGTAACACAGTATGGTTTGTCTATATTCTTACATAAATTCGTTTCCTATAATAAATTGAATCCCATCAAGTTTGTGGAATACTCACATCAACCCTGTTCACCCTACTTCTAAAAATCAACTGTGGCAAAAAAGTTATGTGTCTTTCCACATTAGACAATGCAGTTTATTTAGGAAGTGTATCTGTTGCTGACTGGGAGGTCTTTGATATCTGCCACTGCATGACATTTTCATCAAGATTGTTCTGTGAGGTTACTTTCATTCCACTTACTATTTTATAATTTCTTCCTGATCTTGTATCTTTTTGATAGGATTTACATGTTGCAATCTCAAATTGTACCTCTTTCTAGTTTTGTTGAAAAAGCATGTTGAGGATGCTTGTTTATGTTCATGTAATAATTCCCTTTTTGGGCATAATTTCCATAAGAGATAGACCTGAATATTTATGCAACATGGACATTCTGGAGCCTGATATGTTCTGTTTCTGTTTTGATTTTCTTTTGTTATCTGCTTTGTTTTACATTTTTTTCATGCCATAAGTATAATTTAACACTCCCATCTCAATTTTTTTAGGGCAGGCTTTTTATTTATTTATTTATTTATTTATTTATTTATTTATTTATTTATTTAATTTTCGAGATGGGGTCTCACTCTGTCACTCAGGCTGGAGTGCAGTAGCATGATCTCGGCTCACCACAACCTCCACCTCCCGAGTTCAATAGATTCTCCTGCATCAGCCTCCCAAGTAGCTGGGACTACAGTTGCACACCACCACACCTGGCTAATTTTTGTATTTTTAGTAGAGACAGTTTCACCATGTTGGCCAGGCTGGTCTCCAACTCCTGACCTCAGGTGATCCACCCTCCTTGGCCTCCCAAAGGGCTGGGATTACAGGCGTGAGCCACCGTGCCTAGCCTTATTTTACTTTTTTATTAATTATTATTTAATTTACAGTGAAACATACTTATACATATTTATGGGGTAGAATGTGATACTTCAACGGATGTATACATTGCATAATGATCAACGTGGGGTAATTACCATATCTATCACTTTAAACATTTATCATTTCTTTGTGGTGACAGCATTCAAAATCTTGCCTTCAAGCTATCATGAAATGTGCACTACATTATTATTTTCTGTAGTTACCCTACTGTGTAACAGAACATCGGAAATTATTCTTCTTTTCTAGCTGTAACTTTGTACCAAAATTTCCTGGTAACCACTCTGCTCCTTGGTCCCTGGTAACCACTACTCTATAGATTCCACGTATGAAAGAGCTGATGTGGTGTTTGTCATTCTGTGCCTGGCTCACTTCTTTACACATAATGTCCTTCAGGTTCACCAACGTTGCTGTAAATGACAGAATTTCATTCTGTTTTGTGGCTCAATAATATTCGCATTTTCTTTCCCAATTCATCTGTAGATGGGTATTTAGGTTGATTCCATATCTTTGCTATTGTGAATAGTGCCGCATCAGTCTCTTCAATAAATGGTGCTGGAAAAACTAGATAGCCACATGCACAAGAATGAAACTTACATACAAAATGAACTCTAAATGCACTAAAGACTTAAATGTAAGACATAAAACTACCAGAAGAAAACATAGGAGAAGCACTTTGTGAAATTGTACTGGGCAAGAATTTTTTTAATAAGATCTCAAAAGTACAGGCAACAAAAACAAAAATAGACAAATGGGATTACATCAAACAAAAAGCTTCTGCACAACTAAATAAACAATAATGTAAAGAGACAACCTATGGATGGGGAGAAAGTATTTTCAAGCTATGCATCTGACAGCGGTTTAATGTCCAGATGATATAAAGAGCTCAAATAACTCTATAGGAAAGAGTCTAATAATCCAATCAAAATGGGCAAGAGACTTGAATAGACCTTTTCTAAAAGAAGACATAAAAATAACCAACAGATATATGAGAAATGTTCAACATCACTAATCATCAAGGGAATGAAAATAAAAATCATAACGGATTATTACCTCATCCAAGTTTGACTGGCCATTATCAAAAGGACAAAGAAAAAAAATGCTGGCAAGGATGCAGATGAAAGGGATCTCTCATACATTGTTTGTGGGAGTGCAAATTAGTGTAGCCACTATGAAGAACAGTATGGAGCTTCCTCAGCAAACTAAAAATAAGAGTACTGTGTGATCCAGAAATCCCATTCCTGGGTATATATGCAAAAGAAACAATTAGTGTTTCAAAGAGCTATTTCTATTTTTTAAACATGAGATATGTATTAGTCCGTTTTCATCCTGCTGATAAAGACATACCCAAGACTGGGCAATTTACAAGAGAAAGAGGTTTAATGGACTGACAGTTCCTTGTGGCTGGGGAGGCCTCACAATCATGGTGGAAAGTGAAAGGCATCTCTCACATGATGGCAGACAAGAGAAGAGTGAGAGCCAAGCAAAAAGGTTTTTCCCTTACAAAACCATCAGATCTCATGAGACTTACTCACTACCATGAGAACAGTTTGGGGGATCCGCCCCCATGATTCAATTATATCCCACTTGATCCCTCCCACAACATGAAGGAATTATGGGAGCTAAAATACAAGATGAGATTTGGGTGAGGACACAGAAAAACCATATCAAGATGCTTATTTGAGGCATTTTCCTTTTTTCACAATTGTAATTTTCCCAAACTGCAATAAATATTTTGCACATCTTTTATAATAAAATTTCTTAAAATAAAGCTTACAGAAGTAGAAATATTAAACTAAAATTTTAGACTTAAAGAACAAAATGCCTACCTAGAAACATTATGATGGTAATTAATTTCACTTACTGTATGAAACACCTTTAACATAAACACATGATATTTTTTGCATGTGATTTGACTCCAATTCTTGAAATAAATTTCTCAACTGTCCTTCAAAGACCTGCTCATTCTGTTCCCAAAATTGCAGAAATAGGTATGTATGAAAAAAATGATAACTTGCTTTTTAGTCTTCTCTGCTTAGGAACATTGACTAAATTTGATGCTTAATATAACTTTATATTAACTTTACTTATTTTCTATTTTTCAATCAGCCTGTTTTCTATTTTTAAACCATCTTCCTAATCTGTGGTCATGCTTAGTGCCAATATCCTAAGGCAATGAATATGTCTCAAATCCAAAACCAAGCAGCCACTCATTTTTGCAAACTTCTTACATGCACAAGTCATGTATACTCAGGAACCCCAGGGTTCATTGTCACTTGACAGATTTTCCTGCAGGACCATTTCAGTATTCTTGATTTTATACTCAATAAAGGTATTCTGACAAGAAGTAAAAAACACTTGAAGCATTCTTTTTTTTTTTTTTTTTTTTTTGAGACAGAGTCTCACTCTGTCGCCCAGGCTGGAGTGCAGTGGCACGATCTCGGCTCACTGCAAGCTCTGCCTCCCGGGTTCACACCATTCTCCTGCCTCAGCCTCCCGAGTAGCTGGGACTACAGGTGCCCGCCACCACGCCCGGCTAAT
The DNA here is from genome assembly GCF_000001405.40 of Homo sapiens. NCBI lineage: Eukaryota > Metazoa > Chordata > Mammalia > Primates > Hominidae > Homo > Homo sapiens. Next base: position 185,028,976 of record NC_000002.12, read on the forward strand.
TTTTGTATTTTTAGTAGAGATGGGGTTTCACCGTGTTAGCAAGGATGGTCTCAATCTCCTGACCTTGTGATCCACCCACCTCGGCCTCCCAAAGTGCTGGGATGAAGCATTCTTTTTTAAAAATGTACCATATACTAATATCATATTAAATGGAAAGTTGAGAAATACTTTCTTGGCACATGCTTATACATTTAAAATTTTTATTACACATTTACAAATTATAATTGTATATATTCCTGTGATACAAAATAATATGATTTTTGAATAAAATGTGGAATAATTTAGTTAAGTAAGCATCTATTACCACAAATATTTAACATTTTGTGACTAGAACATTTGAAATTTAGTTTCTTAGTGATTTTGAAGGTACAGTATTCAATTATCAACTATATTCACCAATTTTGCAATTGATCTAAAAAAAACACAGACTTCTTTCTCCCATTTAACTGAGGCCCTGTATCTTTTGAATATCATCTCCCCACTTTACCCATCCCTCATCCTCTGAAAACCATCAATGTACTCTCTGCTTTTATGAGTTTAATAGGATTGCTGAATCCTATGGTAATTCTACTTTTAGGTTTTTGATAAATCTTCATAGTGCCTTCCATAATGACTGTACTAATTTACATTCCCACCAACAGTGTACAAGGGCTCTCTATTCTGCAACCTTACCAACACTTGTCCTCTTTTTGATACTAGTCATTCTGACAGGTATGGGGTGGTATTTCATTGTGATTTTAGTTTGCATCTCCCTAACGATTAGTGATTTTGAGAATTTTTTCTTGTATCTGTCTTCTGATAAGAAGATTCTTTTTTTTTATTATACTTTAAGTTTTAGGGTACATGTGCACAACGTGCAGGTTTGTTACAGATGTATACATGTGCCATGTTGGTGTGCTGCACCCATTAACTCTTCATTTAACATTAGGTATATCTCCAATGCTATCTCTCCCCTCTCCCCCTACCCCACAATAGGCCCCGGTGTGTGATGTTCCCCTTCCTGTGTCCATTTTCTCTCATTGTTCAATTCCCACCTATGAGTGAGAACATGCGGTGTTTGGTTTTTTGTCCTTGCAATAGTTTGCTGAGAATGATGGTTTCCAGCTTCATCCATGTCCCTACAAAGGACATGAACTAATCATTTTTTATGGATGCATAGTATTCCATGGTGTATATGTGCCACATTTTCTTAGTCCAGTCTATCATTGTTGGACATTTGGCTTGGTTCCAAGTCCTTGCTACTGTGAATAGTGCCGCAATAAACATATGTGTGCATGTGTCTTTATAGCAGCATGATTTATAATCCTTTGGGTATATACCCACTAATGGGATGGTGGGGTCAAATGGTATTTCTAGTTCTAGATCCCTGAGGAAAAGCCACACTGTCTTCCACAATGGTTGAACTAGTTTACAGTCCCATCAACAGTGTAACAGTGTTCCTATTTCTCCACATCCTCTCCAGCACCTGTTGTTTCCTGACTTTTTAATGATCACCATTCTAACTGGTGTGAGATGGTATCTCATTGTGGTTTTGATTTGCATTTCTCTGATGGCCAGTGATGATGAGCAATTTTTCATGTGTCTTTTGGCTGCATAAATGTCTTCTTTTGAGAAGTGTCTGTTCATATCCTTTGCCCACTTGTTGATGGGGTTGTTTTTTTCTTGTAAATTTGTTTCAGTTCATTGTAGAATCTGGATATTAGCCCTTTGTCAGAAGAGTAGATTGCAAAAATTTTCTCCCATTCTGTAGGTTGCCTGTTCACTCTGATGGTAGTTTCTTTTGCTGTGCAGAAGCTCTTTAGTTTAATTAGATCCCATTTGTCAATTTTGGCTTTTGTTGCCATTGTTTTTGCTGTTTTAGACATGAAGTCCTTGCCCATGCCTCTGCTCTGAATGGTATTGCCTAGGTTTTCTTCTAGGGTTTTTATGGTTTTAGGTCTAACATTTAAGTCTTTAATCCATCTTGAATTAATTATTGTATAAGGTGTAAGGAAGGGATCCAGTTTCAGCTTTCTACATATGGCTAGCCAGTTTTCCCAGCAGCATTTATTAAATAGGGAATCCTTTCCCCATTTCTTGTTTTTGTCAGGTTTTTCAAAGATCAGATAGTTGTAGATATGCGGCATTATTTCTGAGGGCTCTGTTCTGTTACAAGGGACGTGAACGACCTCGTCAAGGAGAACTACAAACCACTGCTCAATGAAATAAAAGAGGATACAAACAAATGGAAGAACATTCCATGCTCATAGGTAGGAAGAATCAATATCGTGAAAATGGCCATACTGCCCAAGGTAATTTATAGATTCAATGCCATCCCCATCAAGCTACCAATGACTTTCTTCACAGAATTGGAAAAAAAAACTACTTTAAAGTTCATATGGAGCCAAAAAAAGAGCCCGCATTGCCAAGTCAATCCTAAGCTAAAAGAACAAAGCTGGAGGCATCATGCTACCTGACTTCAAACTATACTACAAGGCTGCAGTAACCAAAACAGCATGGTACTGTTACCAAAACAGAGATATAGACCAAGAAGATTCTTTTGAGAATTTTTTGAGAAATGTCTGTTCAGGTCTTTTGCCATTTCTTAATCAATTAGGATATTTGTTTTCTTTCTGCAGAGTTCTTTGAATTTCTTATATATCTTATATATTAATACTTTATCTTGTACATATTAGTACTTTAGTTTGCAAATATTTTCTCCCCACCTATAAGTTGTCTCCTCACCCTGTTACTTGTTTCCTTTGGTGTGCAGAATCCTTTTTATTTTGACGTAATTTCATTTGTCTATTTTGCTTTTGTTGCCTGCAGTTTTGGGATCTAAAAAAATTTTGCCTAAACCAATGTCATGTGGTTTTCCTCTGTTTTATTCTTATAGTTTTTATGCTTCAGATCTTATGTTTAAGTCTCCAATCCATTTTGATTTGATTTTTATATGGTATGAGATAGGGTTTCAATTTCATTCTTCTCTATTGAAATATCCCATTTTTCCAACTCCATTTATTGAAGAAACTGTCCTTTTCCCATTGCATATTCTTGACACATTTGTTTAAAATTAATTGACCATAGTTAGAATCTCACTTGTGGACTCTTTATTCTATTTTATTTGTCAATGTGTCTGTTTTTATGCCAGTACCATGCTGCTGTAATTACTATTACTTTGTAATATAGTTTGCAACAAAATAGTGTGATACCTCCAGCTTTGTTCTTTTTGAATGAGAGCCTTGGCTATTTGTTTTTGTGTGTGTGTGGATCCATATGAAATCAATCTATATCTATACCTATGAAAAATGATATATCTATACCTTTATATATGATATTTTTATATATGATTTATAAATGATATTTATATATGATATTTTCTATAGCTATGAAAAATGACATTGGAGTTTGAATAAAGATTGCATTGAATTTGTAGTAAGCTTTGGGTAGTATAGTCATTTTAACAATATTAATTGTTTTAATCCATAAACATACAATATTGTTTCACCTATGTATTTCTTCTTCAATTTATTTCATTAATGTTTTATAGATTTTAGTGTTTGTGTCTTTAAACTTTTTGGTTAAATTTATTTCTAAGTATTTTATTTTTTTTTTAGCTATTGTAAACGGGATTATTCTCTTGATTGATTTTTAAGAAAGCTCGTTTTTAGTGTATAAAAACACTGCTGATTTTTATGTTGATTTTATATCCTACAGCTTTATTAAATTTTTGTCAGTTCTAACATTCTTTTGATGGATTATTTTCAGTTTTCTTTATATAATATTTATTGTCAACAAATAGTAACAGTTTCACTTTTTCTTTTCCTATTTGGATGCATTTTATTTCTTTCTCTTGCTTTATTGCTCTGTCAAGGACTTCCAATACTATATTGAATAGAAGTGGCAATAATGGGCATCCTTGTTTTGTTCCTGATCTTAGAGAAAAGGGTTCCAGATTTTCACTGTTCAGTATAATATTAGTTGTGAGATTATTATATGTGGTCTTTATGGTGTTGAAGTACATTCCCTTTATACCTTGTTGAGTGTTTTTATCATGAAAGCATGCTGAATTTTGTCAAACACTTTTTCTGCATGTAGTGAAATGATCAAATGATGTTTCTCCTTTCATTCTGTTACTGTTCTGTATTACATTTATTAATTTACAAATTTTGAACCATCCTTGTTTTCTAGTAATAAATCCCACATGATAATGGTGAATGATCCTTTTAATCTGTTGTTGAATTTGGTTTGCTAGTATTTTGTTGATAATTTTTTGCATCTATATTCATCAAGTATATTGGCCTGTAGTTTTCTTTTCTTATGATGTCCTTGTGTGGTTTTGGTATGAAGTTAAGTTAATGCTAGCATTGCAAAAAATTTGAAGTATTCCCTCTTTTTTGATTTTTGAAAAGGTTTATGGAGAAATCGTATTAGTTCTTCCTTAAATGTTTGGCAGAATTCAGCAGTAAAAGTATCAGATCCTGAGGTTTTCTTTGATGGGAGACTTTTTATTACTGCTTCAATCTTCTTATTTATTGCTGGTCTACTGAGGTTTTCTGTTTTTTTTTTTTTCTTCATGATTCAGTCTTTGTCAGTTGTATGTGTCTAAATATTTATCCATTTCTATGAGATTATTCAACTTCTAGCATCAAGGTTATCCAATTTTTGACATATAATTGTCCAGAGTAGTCTTTTAGGATTCTTTGTATTTATGTGGTATCAGTTGTAATGCCGCCTCTTTTATCTCTGATTTTATTTATCTGAGTCTTTCCTCCTTTTCTCTTGGTAAGTCTAGCTAGTTTATTTCCAAACTGTGATGTTTCCACTCAAGACCACTGTAACTAGTTCATCAGTATTTTATACTGGAGCAGATGTCAAGATGATAGTCTTTTTCTAATTTAATATAAAGAACATTTGTCTTTGCTGTAATAGCCTTTCCTAGTATGATGATTTTGCTTATACTATTATTAAGATTGCCAAGACTATATTCCCCCTTTTAATTTTATTTTTTGTCTTATATTTTGAAAGTATCATTAAAATTTTGTTTTCTAATTTTTGTTCAATGTACAATAGTTTGACAAGATTCTTCAAGAATAAGGAGTCTAATGGTAAAATATTTAGAAAATGTTGTAGATTTTGGACTCACCTTAAATATCTGCAATGCTGTGTGAATGAAGCCTTTTTCAATTGGTTAAAATGATGACTTTTTATTTTCTAAGTTCAAAACTAAAACATTTGTTTTTTGTTGCATTTGCAATATGGAAAATAATAGGCTGAATATATTTGAAATTGATTAAAATGTTTAATAGAACCATAGTAAATTCCACACTACAGCATCTGAATGTCATAACTCTAAGTGATCACAAACTTGATACTTGTTTTAAGCAAATTGAGGTAATTAATATGTCTAAATTAGCTCATTACATTACTCTGTATGATTGAAACGTTTATAATTAAAAAATAGAATGGTAACATAATATTTATTGTAATGAAGAGAAAGGGCCAAAGATATTTTCAGAAATTTTGTTTTTGCAAATAAGAATTTGTTGGTTTCACTCACATTAAATAACTATTTGGACACTGTTATTTGTAAAAATTAATTTTTATATCCTCTTTTTTTTTAACCGATTATTTGAATTTCATTTTTTATTCTTAAGTACTAATTTATACTATACATTGTTTTCTATGTCCCTTACGAAACTCTTATGATGTCTCTTTCAATTGTTTCTTTGCACATCTTCACTTAGATATGTGTCCTGTCTCACTAATGTGTATTGAACTTCTAAAGAATAAGATCTATGTTTTATCATTTTGCTCTCACACAGGAATCTGCACAGAGAATAATGTAGAAATAATATGTAAATCATTAACCAACTAGCTATATATTTATATATTAGTAGTTCTTGCTAAAGAGCTCCAAGCTTACTCATATTGGCAGTTTGGCTTCATGGAGGAAAATTAAAAACTGCGACTACTTAAATGAAGGCTCCATTTACTAACTAGTCTCTATTTACTCACTGCTGCCTGTTGGTATGATTGTTCTAATGCTGAATGCATATAAATAGTAATGACCCTGCATGTGTTTTCAAAATTTGCTATTTTTCAGCACTCATTATTTTGTTTAGCTTGCAGTGAAATTGCAAATAATTATTTTAATGTATATATGTTAAATTTATTCTAGTTTTTACCCATTTTTGCCTTCAAACAGTCTTTTAAAACGTTGTCTTTTTGAAGCAATCCCAAATAACTTTGAAAGTGAGTTTGTGATTTAGACAGAGTGATATTTAGATGGAGTAGAATATTCTCTGCATTATAAAACAACTTTTCTCCTAAATTCATTAGAACATCATATTCCTTTTTTCTTTTTAAGAAAGGCCTCATGACAATAGTGGTTTTGCACCCAATGCCATTAACCATGCCAATCATCAAAACAGTAGTATTTTTAGCAGACTGATCCCCTTTTATATTAAAAAAACATTATAAATAAAGGTAGTGTCTATATGTACCAGTAACATAGACATTTAAAGCAAATGTGTGGTAGATTTTGTTTAGTTTCAATTGAAAATTGGTATCAGAATATAGGGCTACTAATTCTATTGATGTTTACTTGTCTTTCAGTTATTATTTTATGTTTCAGATAGTTGATGAAAAATAAACTAATTTCACAGTAAATCATAACTAAGGTTTCTTACATATCAAACTACTATTAAAAATAAATCTAATATAGTGCTTTATATTCATGAATTATAGATCATATCAGAAGTAATAATTTTGAAGCTATTGATGATCTTTTTTCTCTAAGGCAAGAAGTCTAATCATTTTGGTGGCGTGATCACCTTCTGGCCTAGTAGTATAAAATTTGTGGGTTAGAATTATACTTTATGTTTGAATTGATTAACTTTTGTAGATAAAATTTTGCCTTGTTGTTTGAAACAGGAAGCCCAACTCTTTATTTTTCATAAAAATACTCCTTTTTATAAAGCGGTTCTTATGGGAACGAAAAAAATTGTATTAGAACATAGTCTAATAAGTAGTGGGTTAGTGATGACACATTTTAAGAAGAGACTGACAGTCATTTGATTTTTTATGTCTGAAAATCCTGTCAACACCAGCATTTTTGGACTATACATGGTCTCTGGACTTCAGTCAGAGCCATCTGTCTGAATGGCAAACTGCCTATTCATAAATTAGTTGGACCATTTTATCAGGGCAGAAATGCCAGAGAATAATAACTACAAAAGAGCAGGTTATACATTTTACTAACTGTTGCCGCATCTATAGGAAACTCTTTCACTGTTATATTTTTTGTCGTAAACAAGGATGACACCTAATCTACCTAAAGTGAGGCCCTAAGGAAAGGCAGGATGAAGACATTTTAAATTACCTATGGTATTGAAACAAGTCATTTATCAATCTTGAGCTGAAAGTAATAAGCAGGGATGATTTGTGAAGTGTATATTCAGATGAACAAGTATAGGACATACTCAAAATAAATTTGTACATATAAAATAACTGTAAAGTGATGGTTATAATCTTAGTACAACAGCAATTTCTTTCCACATGGGACAACATTAAGAATTATAGAACATATTTTAAAAGTGAGTAGGAGGCTGGGTGTGAGGGCTCACACCTGTAATCCCACCACTCTGGGAAGCCAAGGTAGGCAGATCACCTGAGGTCAGGAGATCGAGACCATCCTGGCTAACAAGGTGAAACCCCGTCTCTACTAAAAATACAAAAAATTAGCCGGGCGCAGTGGCGGGCGCCTGTAGTCCCAGCTACTCGGGAGGCTGAGGCAGGAGAATGGCGTGAACCCGGGAAGCGGAGCTTGCAGTGAGCCGAGATTGCGCCACTGCAGTCCGCAGTCCGGCCTGGGCGACAGAGCGAGACTCCATCTCAAAAAAAAAAAAAAAAAAAAAAAAAAATATATATATATATATATATATATATAAAAATTAGTCAGGCGTGATGGCACATGCCTGTAATCCCAGCTACTCTGGAGGCTGAGGCAGGAGAATTGTTTGAACCTAGGCGGCAGAGGTTGCAGTGAGCCGAGATCATGCCATTGCACTCCAGCCTGGGCGACAGAGCAAGAATTCGTCTCAAAAACTAACTAAATAAATAAATACATAAATAAAAATAAAAGTGAGAAAGGGAAAAGGAAACTATGTGTGTGTGTGTGTGTGTGTGTGTGTGTGTGCATTTCTTTAGGACAAGAGTGTGTTTGGATTTTCATATCAATAACTTATTTGAAATAAATCACTCCATGTAGCATCAGTTAGATAAATTCTATAAATTAATATAACATGTATAATTTATAGTTTTTTTAAATTTTCTAACGATGAATTCACTTAAAAGATTATTTTTCTTTCATGTGTCTTCATAGTAAACAAAATTTGTTCATCTTTTATTACAAATAGTATGTATCCCACTTTCCTAATAGGTGAATTTATTTTACTTCCCAATAATACATTTAATTTTTCCAGGAAGTAAACAAAAATATATTGTGAAGTGTTCTATAAATTAACTGACTTCTTTAAATATTTTCCTTCTTGTGTTATTTTATAATGGATTTGATATTTTCATGCTTAAAATATTCTAAGCATCAAACTTTTTCTGTCAATTTACACACAGTGATAACATATTTAATACATTTCAAACTGTCACAATCTCTAAAAGCATAGAGCACATACCCAGTATAATAATGTAGGCTTTTAAAGGTGATTGGTGACAAAAGTATAAGTAGTTTTTGTACATTACAAAAATTCCTTCACTGATAATTAAAAAGTAAATTTTCTATATCATGAACAATGAAATAGCATATAAATGCTAATGGAAAAGAAGAAAGAGAAGAGACATCATTTTGTAATATATTATGTGCAATTCTGGCATTAGTCCATAATGAAAGTGCTCAACTGTTACTATTATGGGAGTTCTAGTACCCCTTCAATATCAATCAAATATTTGTACTATATCCTCTTTCGTCTTAATTGAAAAGTGCATCCTGTAAAGAAATAAAATGTAGTAGCATTGCAGATTCAGCAATATAATGTGAGGCTATCCCTTTTAAAAAATTAAATACCCTATCTAGAGTGACCCAGAAATTTTAATTTAATAAAATAATTAGCTTAACACATGAAGCTAATAACTTATGAAGGAAATTTATGATTCAATCTTCAGATCCCTTTTTATATATTTATTTTTATTATGCATTAAAATGTTCATTTTATAATGACTAGTATAAGCTACAAACTACTAATTGCTCTATGACAAATTTCCCAAATATGTATCACACATTAGATTATGTCAAAAGTGGTCTCATTTTGTAAGTATTTATTGATAACTGACTGTATTCACATACTTTAGGAATTGTAAGATATGTAGGAAAACAATGTAAGCACTTAAAGTCCCAATACCTTAAAGATTAGATAAAATTTATGCATGTTTATTACAAAATAAAACGTGGAACTTACCAAGGGGAGGATAAATTAAGTCCTATGAGATTCAAAAGAGGAAAAACAGACATCCAGCAGAAGAAAAGGAAAAAGAGATCTTCATGGAGGAGAATTTTATATTTGATTTTGATCTTGAATATATTATTTGGACAGAGAAACAAGGCCTGACTAAAAAGGAAAACGAAAAAATAACAGAAAATTTCAGCTACATTCCACCGTTTGATTATCAAGAACAGTCACAAGTGATTACATTTTACACCTGGAGAAGATCACAAGCATAGACAAATACAGACTCTGGGAAACAGGTACATATGGTACATATGAACACTGAGAGTAGAGAAGAAACAATAATTAATAAAAAATTAGCATCCCTAGCTATACAAGGTAATGTTAGAAGAATTTTATGCAGGTGATCAATTGTAAGAAATCATAGCAACAAAATCCCCAAATCCAGCTGAAATCTTGTCTAAATTGACTAAATCCCCACAATATCCATCAGGCAGAAAAAACAGTATGCCATTTTTCAGCACGATTGCTACTTACCTCAGATCAGTCTCTGCTGTTACATGTCCAGAATTCAGTGTTCAGCATTCAATATAAAATTACAAGAAACAGAGAAGTGCAAAAAAATTCCAACTCACTTTCAACATTTAAAAAACAAAATCAGACTCATAGAAGGATATAGATGTTGGAAATATAATACAGTGAATTTTAAGTAGCTATTATTAATATGTTAAAGGATCTAATGAAAAGGTTAGGAAATAGTCAGAATTTCATGAGAATTTTTAGAAAAACGGATATAATGAAAATCAAGTAGAAATGCTAGAAATCAAAGCTTGTAACAAGGATGAAGAATTATGTTAAAAGTTTCATAAGAGTACTCATCATATTTAAGGAAAGAATCAGGAAGCTTGAAGATAGGTCATTGATATGGTTTGCCCCTGTGTCCCTACCCAAATCTCACCTTGAATTGTAATCCCCATAATCCCCACATGTCAAAGGCAGGACCAGGTAATTGCACCAGGTAATTGTATCATGGGGGAGGTTTCCCCCCTTCTGTTCTCGTGCTAATGAGTGAGTCTCACAACATCTGATGGTTTTATATGCATCTGTCATTTCCCCTGCTTGTATTCACTCTGTCCTGCCACCCTGCGAAGAAGGTGTCTGCTTCTCCCTTGCCTTCTGCCATGATTTTAAGTTTCCTGAGACCTCCCCAGCCATGTGGATCTGTGAGTCAATTAAACCTCTTTCCTTTATAAATTACCCAGTCTAGGGTATTTCATAGCAGTGTAAGGATGGATTAATACAGTCATTAAACATTTTCTCTACTGAAATACACAGAGAAAAAGGAGTGAAGAAAACCAATAAAAGAGACATACAAAAGCTGTGGGACAATTAAGAAAAAAACTATTTTAACATGTATGTGATCAAAATTGCAAAAGTGAACGAAAATGGGAAGGAAGAAATATTTAAAAATATAATGACTGAGCATTTTCCAAAAATAATGAATAAAAAAACCCCCATCAAACTTTAGGTCCTAAAATCACAGTGAACCCCAAACAATATAAACAACAGACACATGCATGCATGTGCACACACACACACACACACACACAACACACCACCCAGACATTTCATTTTTAAGCTGCTGAAAATCAAAGATATAAAGAATATTGAAGGCAGCCAGACAAATATGACAGGTTACATACAGATAAACATAGGTTAAAAACACAGTAGGCTTTCATTGTAAAACCATACAAGCCCAAAGACAATAGAATGACCTTTAGCAAATACTTCAAGAAAAAATAATTTCTCAATTCAAAATTATGCTACGCAAAACGGCCTTGCAAAATGAAGGAAGGAAAGACTTTTCAGCCAAAGGAAAGCTGACAGAATTTACTGCCAGTTTATATGTGTTATAAGGAAGATTTTAAATATATATGATACTAAGTAGAAACAGATTTGCACCAAAATGATCTAAAAGGGTGCTAAAATATAAAAAAAAAATCCAAAAACTGGTTGCTTATACAACCCTAATGAAAATAACCACAGTATTCTAAAAGGAAACAAAGGGAAGAATGATGTGCCATTGTTTCTATGCAGAGAAAAAGTGGCCTCTGTCATTAAACAACTGTCATTCATTGGTAGATTTAGCATGTATGTTGGTTAAAAGATGAATTTCCATGTTCTTACTAAGACTTGAATGAGAAATGAAGAAAATGTAAGAAAGACTAGAACACGGAGAAATAAAGAAAGCATTGCAAAGGAAAAATATGGACAAACATAAAAAAAATACAAGGCAGTAGAGAAAACAGCTAATAGGATATCTTCATTAGCATGAGTGAAAAGACACAGAAAATAAGAAGTTAAAAAAACAAAACAAAACAGGTTTTATCCATACCATGAAAAGCCAAAAAAACAGACTAAGTTTACACTTCATTAGGAGGCACTTTGAAAGTCAATGAGGAAGAGGGCCACTTAAGTGATTGATTTGTAATCTTCATTCTTTTCAAATGTAGGTGTTTATCACTATAACATAAAGCTATAGGAAAAAATTCTTTCCCCTTAAAAGCCAATGGAGAAAACTGAAAGAAGTGACTCTTACATGGGGATACAAAGATATGAACATAAGAGCATAAGAAACATGATAATGCAAGAAAATGTAACAACTCCTAAGAAACACAATAATTCTCCAAGTAATAGATTCCAAAGGACACCTGTAAAATTTCTGAACAGAATTCAAAATAATGATATTAAAGAAGCTCAGTAGGATACAAGAAGCCATAGATAAATAATATAAACAAATTGGAAAAACAATTCAAGATGCAAATAAGAAATTCAACAAAGAGATAGTTATAATAATAAATAACCAAACTGAAATCATGGAACTGAATAATTTAATAAATAAAATAAAAAATATAATTGAGAGCTTCAATAATAGACTAGGTCAAGCAGAAAAAACAATTTCTGAATTTGAATATGGGTCTTTTAAAATAACCCAGTCAGAGCAAAAGGAATAAAAAAGAATGAAAAAAGCCAACATGACATACGAGACATAATAAAGTGACTAAATATTTTAATTTTGGGTGTTCTAGAAGGCAAAGAAGAGATCAATGGCATAGAAAATCTATTTAACCAAATAACTGAAAATGTTGTAATTCTTATGAGAGGTGTAGACTTTAGATGCAGGAAGCTCACATATCCCTGAATAGAAATGTATTCTTCAAGGTACATTACAGTTAAACTGTCAAAAGTCAAGAACAAGGAGTGAATTCTAAAATCAGCAAGAGAAAAGTGTCAAGCCATATATAAGGGAAACCTCATCAGAATAACAGCAGATTTATCAGTAGATATGCTACAGGCTAAAAGAGAATGGAATGATATATTCAAAGTGCTGAATGAAAAAAGCTGTCAGCCAAGAATACTGTACTCAGAAAAGCTATTCTTTGGGAATGAAGGAGAAATAAAATCTTTCTAAGACAACAAAAAACTGATGAAATTCATCACCACTATACCAGCCATACAAGAAATGCTTAAGGGTATCCTACACCCAGAAGTGAAAGGATGCTACCTACTATCAGAAAAACAGACAGAAGTGTAAAACTCACTGATACAACAGATACAAAAATGAGAAAGACAAAGGACTCAAATATTACCACTACAGAAAAATACCAAACTGTAATAATAAACAATAAGAGAAAGAGAAAGAAACAAAAGATACACAAAACAACAAGAAAACAATTTTTAAAATAACAGAAATAAGGCCTCACCTATCTATAATAATCTTGAATGTCAATGAATTATATTTCCCAATTCAAAGATAGAGACTGACCTAAAAAAAATGCATCACCCAACTATATGCTGCCTACAAGAATCTCACTTCATCTGTAAAGATATATAGAGACTGAAATTAAAGAGATAGAATGATATATTCCATGCAAACAAAACCAAAAATGAGCAGGAGTAGTTCTACTTGAATCAGATAAAACAGACTTTAAGTCAAAAACAGTAAAAGGAGAAAAAGAAGATTATTATATAGTGATAAATGGATATATTCTGCAAGAGGATAAAAAATTCTAAATATATATGCACCCAACACCAGAGCACTCAGGCATATTAGATCTAAAGAGAGAGATAGGCTCCAATACAATAATAATTGGAAACTTCCACATCCCATGCTCATCATTAAACAGATCATCTAGACAGAAATTCAATAAAGAAACATTTATCTTAAACTGAACATTAGACCAAATGGACCTAAAAAACAGAACATTCTATCTAGCAACTGTAGAATACAAATTCTTCTCATCAGCACATGGAATATTCTCTGGGATAGACGATATGTTAGGACAGAAAACAAGTCTCAACAAATTGAAAAAATTGAAATTCTATCAAGTGTCTTTTCAGACCACAACAAAATAAAACTAGAAACCAGTAACAAGAGGAACTTTGAAAACTGTACAATTACATAGAAAGTGAACAACATGCTTCTGAACAATCATTGGGTCAATGAAGAAATAAAGAAGAAAATAGGAAAAAATATTTTAACAAATGAAAATGTAAACACAAAATGCCAGAACCTATGGCACACAGGAAAAACAGTGCTAAGAGAAAAGTTTATAGCAATGCACACCTACATCAAAAAAGTAGAAAAATTTTAAACAACCACATGATGCACATCAGGAAATTAGACAAAACAAACCAAATTCAAAATGAATAGAAGGAAAGGAGTAATAAATATCAGAGCAGAACTAAATGAAATAGAGAACCAAGAAATAAATCTATGTATTTACAATCAACTGATTTTCAACAAAGACAGAGAATATGTGTTGAGAAAAGGAATTCCTCTTAAATAAATGGTGCTGAGAAAATTGAATATCCATATGCAGAAGAATGACAGCAAGCCTCTATTTCTCACCATACACAAAAATCAACTAAAAATGGTTTTAGGATTTCAACGTAAGACCCAAAATGATTAAACTAGTAGAAGAAAATATAGGGGGAAAAGCCTATGGACTTTGGGGTAGCAAATATTTTACAGCTAAGGACTGAAAAGTATAGGTAACAAAAATGAAAATAGGGAAATCAGACTATGTTAAACTAAAAAGCTACTGTCCAACAAAGGAAACAATCAAGGGAGTGAAGAGATATTGAATGGAAGACAATAGTTGACTGTAAATAATTTTGTGCCTTCTAAAGAAGCTAAGCAAAGGGAGTATATACTTACAGACTTAGTTGTAGCAACTTTCCTAATTACTATTGCTGATTGTATTAATTAATCTTGTGGATTTGATTTCTCAACTTGTGAAACTTTCTTTCACTCATGAAGCTCCCCCCCTCATCTCCTTTGTGATGTTATTCTCCAATACATTACAGCTTTACATATTTAGTCTCAACACTACAATTATATACATATTGGGTTTTTTTGTTTGTTTGTTTTGGGGTTTTTGTTTGTTTGTTCTTCCCAAGATGGAATCTTTCTCTGTCACCCAGGCTGGAGTACAGTGGTGTGATCTCAGCTCACTGCAACTTCTGCCTCTCATGTTCAAGCAATTCTCCTGCCTCAGCCTCCAGAGTTGCAGGGATTACAGGCATGCACCACCATGCCCAGCTGATTTTTGTATTTTTAGTAGAGACGGGATTTCACCAACTTGCCCAGGCTGGTCTCGAACTCCTGACCTCAGGTGGTCCTCCCACCTTGGCCTCCCAAAGTGCTGGGATTACAGGCATGAGCCACCACACCCAGCCTACATATTGTTTTTTAAATTGCTTTTAAATCAATAAATATGAAAAAGAAAAAATACAATTATATAATGTTTTATGTTTGTTGGCTGTTTGTATGTCTTTTTAAATATTTCTTCTAAAAAAATGGGATACATGTGCAGAATCTGCAAGTTTGTTACATAGATATACATGTGCCATTGTGGTTTGCTGCACCTATTAATCCATCCTCTAAGTTCCCTCCCCTCATCCCTCAACCCAGGCGCTCCAGCCTCCCTGGCTCCAGCAGGGGAAAAGCACAGCCTGGAGCTATAGAGATGGATGCTGCCCTTCCGCAACCCAAGGGGATTAGCATGTTAGGCAGTTGTGAGTCCTAGTGCTGGTTGCTGCCCCTCCTCCAAGGAGCTCAGATGGCTTAGACAGCAGTCAGCTACAGCCCAGGTGCTGGTTGCCCCTCCCACTGGGAGTTAGGTAAGCCTAAGCAGATCCCAGCAGAAAGGCTGTTAGGAGTCTGGACGTTCCGGGGTTGGGATACAAGGCCCAGGTGGTGTGGGTTCACGAGTGAGATCTTTAGATCCGTGGGTTGGTTGCACAGTTCCATGGAAAAAGCATGGCTTCCCCTGCTGGGTAGAACGCTCACTCACTGCCTCCTTTGGTTCTCATGTGTGGTCTTCAGGTGGACAGCTGCACCACACTGTTCCTCCTTCTCTCTGTGGGCCAGGCCAGCCTGGCTAGTCAGTTGTAATGAGAGGACCTGGATACCTTGATTGCTGGTGAAGAATTCACATGCTTATTATGGTTTTTTCAATGGGAGCCTCCAAACACTGCTGTTTCTACTCCACGTTTATATAACTTTTAATAATTACCTACAGTCACCTCTACAAGCACTGCATTTAGCAACACTAACATTTGCTTGGGCTGATGTAGGAAGATAGCACAGGCTGAGTGGCTTAAACATAGAAATTTATTTTCCATTCTGGAGTTTAAAAATATTTTTTCTACTCTGGAAATTAGAAGTCTAAGAATTTTTGCAAAGTTGATTTCTTCTAAGGACCATTTAAAAAAACACAACTGGGTCGGGCACAGTGGCTCATGCCTGTAATCCCAGCACTTTGGGAGGTAAAGGCGGGTGATCACAAGGTCAAGAGATTGAGACCATCCTGGACAACATGTTGAAACCCAGTCTCTACAAGAAATACAAAAATTAGCTGGGCATGGTAGCGTGAGCTTGTAGTCCCAGCTACTTGGAAGGCTGAGACAGGAGAATTGCTTGAACCTGGGAGGGTGAGGTTGCAGTGAGCTGAGATCGCCACTGCACTCCAGCCTGGTGACAGAGTGAGACTCCATCTCAAAAAAAAAGGGAGAACTCTTTCGGGTCCCTCTCCTTAGCTTTTCTCTGTATCTTTATATTGTCTTCCTCCTGTATATGTCTGTGTCCAAATTTTCTCTTTTAGTAAAGATAACAATTATATTTGATACGATGCACCTTAATGGCCTAATTTTAATTTTATTACCAGTTCAAAGACCTTTTCTCCAAATATCATTACATTCTGAGGCTAGGATTTCAACATATAAATTTTTGGAAGGCATGACATTTCAGACCTTAACAAGTACTCTGTATTTTCAGGTGTAATCACATTATTGTCTGGTGCTACTTCCTTTCTGCCTCAAAACATTCTTTTTTTTTTAATTTTTGTAAATTGGATCTGCTTTGCAATAAATCTGTGTTTTTACTCTACATGGAAAAGATTATTTTCTTGTACATAAAGTTCTTGGTGGACAGTCCACTGGCCCTAAACTCTTTAAACAGATTATCCCACTGCCTTCTGGTGTCCATTCTTTGTTTTGAGAAGTCATTCATTAATCTTATACATGATAATCTTACACATCATCCCTTTATGTGATTATTCATTTTTCTCTTGTTCCTTTCAAGATTTCATCATTGTCTTTCAACATTTTGATGATGATATGACTAAGCATGGATCTCTTTATATACACCAACCTGAGGTTGCTGAGTTTCCTACATGTCTAGAATAATGATTTTCATAAAATTTGAGGAAGTTTAAGGCATTATTTCCTGGAATATATTTTCTTCTCACTTGCTCTCCTCCTTCTTACACTCTCATCATTTACATGTTGTTTTACTTAACTACGTTGTACATTTCTTACATACTCTGTTCTTTTCTGTTTTTTTAAGTTTTTTTTTTACAGATTTGTCACTATGAATCTATCTTTGTGTTCACTGATTCTTTCCCCTGACAGCTTAAATCTGTTGTTGAGCTCCTGTCATAAATTTTCATTTTTGTTGGCATAAAACCTTCAACTCTAGAACTTCAGTTTAGTTCTTCTTAGAATTTCTATCTCTTTATAAGTATTCTCTATTTGATGAGTCAATGCCATCATACCTTTCTTAAATTAATTCTTTTTTTGTTTTTTGTGTTTTGCTTTGAGACAGGGTTTCACTCCTGTTGTCTAGGCTGCAGTATAGTGGTATGATCATGGCTCACTGCAACCTCAACTTCCCAGGCTCAGATGATCCTACCACCTCAGCCTCTTGAGTAGCCAGAATTAGAGGTGCATGCCGCCATGCCTGGTTAATTTCTTGTACTTTTAATACATATTAGGTTTCATCATTGTGCCCAGGCTCATCTCTAACTTGTAGGATCAGGTGATTCTCCCACCTTGCCCTCCCAAATTCTGGTATTACAGCCATGAGCCACCATGCCTAGCCCCCTTCTTAAGTTCTTTAAGCATGGTGATATTTCCTTCTTTGAACATTGTTATACTAGCTATTTTAACAATTTTGTCTGTTAAGTCGAGTATCTGGGCCTCCCTGAAGACAGATTCTATTCAGTGCTTTTTATTCTGAAAACAAATTACTCTTTTTTATTTTCTAAATATCTCATAATTTTTCATTTATAACTGAACATTTTAGATAATATATTAAATCAACTCTAAATACTGATTCAACTTACATTTATACAGCTTGTTATTATTTATTTAGTGGCTTTGCTCGACTTTATTTGTGAAATTTATTTCCTCCCACAGTGTGCCTCCTTTGATGTTCCCTATAGAGTCCAGTCTTGGCCTTGCACACAATTTCTCTTACCACCAGAGTGGGATTGATTTTAGTCTGGATCTCTTTAAGTGTTTTTCCCCCGGTCTCCCTGTTAAGCTTCTTGCTGGTCAGCCTCTATTGTTTCACATTCAGCTGGTAATCTCCACTAATAGCCAGCAGATGCTATACTGTTTTTGGCTACATTGTGAAGCATACATTTCTCCATAGTCTGATCCAGTAAAATGTGGGCAACTTTACAGAGCCAGGATGTCACTACACTTTGAGGTAGACCCCACAAACTTTCTTTTTAACTTTCTCTTTCCCTAGCATTTTCTGGTTTAAATATCTACATGCTCTATCATTTTTTTGGTATTTGCATCATAGAGCTACCAGTCACCTCTTTGTTGCCCTTACCAATGAACTTCCCCATACTCTGTTCCAAATAAAGGCAGTCTTAGTGTATTACTGTACTGTAGCTGAGGTTGAGGACAGCAGCCTACTTCTTCTCAGTGACATTATTGCTCTCTAAGCAGGGCACTGGCCAAAGATAGTAGTTCTTGATCTTCTTGGCTTGCCTCTCCCAATGTGGAACCTCTACCTCATGAGCAAACTGTAGTAGAGACAACTGGGCCTCAGCATTTCCAGCCTACTGCACTTGGGGTAGAACTTCTGCCCTGTGAGTGAAGTAATAAAACTAAAGTCTTTTTTGGCCACATCTATTTGAAATGGAGTTTCTACAACTTCAGAATTGAAGCTAAGAGATGTCAACAACCTGCCTCTCCCAGTGCGAAACTGAAGCCCTCAACTGAAAATATAGCCCTAAACTAGTAATTGGTGAGGAAAAACAGCCTGGTCTTTTAGTCTGACTAGTGAAGAGCTGAAGTAACAATGAGCTGGGAAAGGGAAGAGAAAATTGAAGTGGATTGTGGCTCAAATGCCACAGACTCTCACTCTCTCTTTTTTCTGAGTTTAAATGTATATTCTTGAATACATATTTCACTATTGGCTGTTTGTCCTTAGAAAAATGTCAGCAGACTACAGCTGTTTTTATAGTTTTCACCAGTCAAAAGACTGTTTTCACTGAGACAGTGTCCACTAAGCTCCTCTCCCAACCATTTGAGAGGCACCCCACACTAACTGTTGAGGTTTCCAAATTATGGTGTCCATTCTCAATTGTAACATTGTTATATAAGGGAAAATGATTGTGAAGACCTTTGTAGTAGAAAAATGTCCATCAGTTATAAATTTGAAATGTGAACTGAGCATATAAAGCATGAATGTGTGTAAGTAATCAGAAAGGACTAATGCATAATCATACATTAGCAGTGCTGAATTTCAGTCTATTTGTAAAATCTATTTATAGAAATAGAATTTCTCTATTAAATAGATGAACATTTGAATTTTGTGAGCTATTGACAAGTAGCTTAAAAAGAAGTTAGCTGTTTATTCTTAGGAATGTGAAAAGATGCTGATATTGGATTTAAGGATATCAGTCATTTTGATTAAAGCATGTGACTTAATATGTTAGCTTTCTCACAATTCAGCATGTTTTTGATGTAGTTATTTTGGCTATTTACACTATAATCACAAAGACAACTGTGATGTTTCTTTTCAGTATACATTCAGAAATAAAGACCAATCTATTGTTTTCTAGGTGTTATATGTGTTATTAAAATTTAGGGATTTTATTTATTTTGAATGCACTAAGTATATACATTGACTTATCCTTTTAAGAATAGTTCTGGCTTCAGTAATGTTTTGGAATGATATAGTTATTCAGAGTGAGTCAATATCAAATGTGAAATGACTGTGAAGAATAAGTGAATGTATGGTGAATTAGATAAATTAGCATCAAATGAACAGTATTTTCTCTGCTTCACTTTCCTGCACAACATTTTAAGGTTGATATTTTAGGAAATAATCTCAATCCATTAATTTTATGGAGTATCTTCTGCCACTGCTAACAGAACAGATGATCGTTTCTATGCCAGAATTAAATTCTATAAATAAGTTATAGATGAACACATAAAAAGTCATTGAGTGTGAGAAAATTGATATCTGTACCACTGTGTGATACCTTGTACTCTCCTACAGACTCCCAGAAAAAGTTGAAAGTGAAATTATAATTGAGAAATATTTAAGTACTTAGGATTCCTTCAATATGGTAAAATTGTATAATTTTTATGCCATTTTTAGAAGCCAAGGGAGAATAAAGGAAGTAGAGAATTTACCTGCAAAGTAGTATGTTCTAATGAAGTTTAGTACAAAGTCTGTAGAAAAAATACTGAAAATATAAAGTAAGTCATTTTGAAAAGATCAATTTGTGGGAGTATGTACATAAATGAATAAAACATACCATTTACAAGTTTTATAAAGAACCTTAGTTCATGCTGTTCCATTCTCTGTTAGTGATTTGTGTTAGTAATTTTATTCTAGTAAGATAATTTGACTTAATGGTTTTAAAATGACTTATTTCCTTACAGTTCTGGGCCTATACGGAGGCAAATTATTTGGCTATGTACATACACAATGGTTTTCATGATGGAAAACATGCCCCCTTCTGCCAATGCACTCCCCTCCTCAACATCTTCCAGAGAACTTTGATTACAGCATAATGTTGAAAAGCTCCACGAAAAGATTCACAAGAATTATTTGATCATGTCATGTATTACCAGCCCACACAAATGTATGATTAAATTAATGTGTGGATTATGTAAGACCTTCTTATGTAATTTTTTTCAGTCATTATGACTGAATTTTCTTCCTCTTCAACTTTATTAAAATATCTCTAAGTTTTGTAAAAGGTTTCTGTTACCTCGATCTAATCTCTTTTTAAGTAGGTATTTTCTATGCAGGTGACCACTACCTCATTTTTTAAAATCTCTGACCCAGTAAATGTTTCTGAAACTGGATTCTCTTTTCTAATCCTCTACTTAATATTTCTTCTTTGATATTTCAGTGTCATAAGCAGCTCAAGTCCTAGTTAGTTATATGCAGGTGGTTTTCCTAGGGAGAAAAGAGTACATTTCCTGCAGACTAGAATTAGTCAGGGGCAAGAGGGCACACAAGTGGCTCTGTTTTATAGCATTGATTCAATTTTATTTGTATTAGATTTATATATTTTTGAAACATTTGCTTCCTTTCTCAGAATGCAAAACTCTAGAAAATAAACTTGTCTCCTGCTGATGCTGTGCACTATGTCTTACACAAAATAAGGAGCCAAAAATTTAATGTTCACTCATTCTGTATGTATTCTGTTGTCAACCTGCCTTGTTTCATTTGCTTAGTTTTATAAGAGTTTTTTTATGTTTTTCCTTTCAGAGGATCACAATATAAGAAAGGAACAAAGAGGTTAACTCACAATCATGATAGACGGTGGTCCATGCCCTTGTGCCATGTGCTCTTCACATTCTAAACTCTATGGAAAACTCTGGTTTCTCCACTCACGCCTGCTAGAATTTAACATCTTGTGTGGTTCAAGGATGTGGGAACTCTATTGTACCATCAAATTTAGAAAGCAATATATTTATTCAAGAGATCAAGATATATCACTATGGTTTGAAAAACTTTGTTTTTCTTTTTGCTGGTTTTCATCTTTGGATCCATTCTTTCTTCTGTAACTTGTTCAACATATCTGATACAGTTAGAAAAATTCAGATCTCTTTCACTTCAAAAGAATGTATTAATAATCTCGGGCTACCATAACAAGATGCAACAGACAGGTTGGCTTCATTAAACACCAGGCATTTATTTTCTCACAGTTATAGAAACTGAAAGTCCAAGATCAAAATGCTTTAGGGTTGGTTTTTCATGAGGCATTTTCCTAGCTTCTTGCTGTGACCTCAGATGGCCTTTCTTCTGTCCTTCTACAACTGAGAGCGCTCTGGTGTCTTTCTCTCCTTATTAACAACACAAGTTTTAGCAGATTAGGGACCTACTCTTGTGAAACCATTTAACCTTAATTATTTCTATAAGGGTCCTATCTCCAAGTATACTGGCATTGGTGATTAGAATTTCAATGTATAAAATTTAGGGGAACACAAGTCAATCCATAACAAAAATATCTATAAAAGTTCCACCAGTGATGCTTGAGTGATCCAGTTTCTCCCCATCCTCATCAGCATTTGGTGCCATCATTATTTTATTTTTGAAAATAGTGTTTTTTATGATGAACAGAATATTAAAATTTTACTTTTTAATTATTATTTTTTATTTTGCTTTTAAGTGAAAATATAAATGTACATATTTATGGGGCACGATGTGATGTTTTGATGAATATATATGTTGTGGAATGGTCAGATAAGGGTAATTAGCCATCACCTCAAATATGTATCATTTCTTTATGGTGAGAACATTAAAAATCCTCTCTTTTAGCTATTTTAAAATGCACGATACATTATTATTAACTATAGTCACCTTACTGTGAAAAAAAATTTATTCCTCCTAACTGTAACTTTTTTTTCCATTGACCAAAGGCTTCCCTTTCCCTGTCTACCTCTTCTGCCTCTAGCCTCTGGTAACAACCATTCTACTCTAAACTTCTATGAGTTTGACTTTTTTAGTTTCCATGTATAAGTTACGTTATATAGTATTTGTCTCTCTGTTTGGCTTATTTTACTCAGCATGCTGTCCCCTAGGTTCATCCATGCTGTCATAAAGGCAGAATTGCCTGTTTGGTTTTTTTTTTCTTTTTAAGAATGGATCGTATTCTATTGTGTATGTACAGTATATCACATTTTTTATTCCACTCATCTGTTGATAGACACTCAAGTTGTTTTCATATCCTGGCCATTGTAAATAATGCTGCAATGAACAGGGGCATGCAGACACCTTTTTAGCATACCAATTTCAATTCCTTTGGGCATATACCCAATAGTGGGATTGCTGGATTATATGGTAATTCTGTTTTAGGTTTTTGAGGAGCTTCCAACAGTATTTTTCAAAATACTGTATAAATATTTTCAAAATATTGTATAATATTTTGTATAATACTGTATAAATATTTCAAAATATTGTATAAATTTACAATACCACCAATGATGTATAAGGATTCCCTTTTCTCCATATTCTTGCCAACTCTTGTTGTCTTTTATCTTTTTGATAATAGCCAATCTAACAGGTATAAAGTGGTATCTAATTGTGGTTTTAATTTACATTTCTGTGATGATTATAGGTGTTGAGCCGTTTTTATATATATGTTGTCAAGATATATATAGTTGGAAGCTATAAGTCACTGATGAAAGAAATTGAATGTAACAAAAATAAACGTAAAGATATCTCATGTTTATAGATTAGAAAAATTGAATTTTTGATGTTTACACTACCCAAAGCAATCTACAAATTCAATGCAATCTTTATCAAAATTCCAATGTCATTCTTTATAGAAACAGAAGTTACAAAAAAACCCTAATAGCTAAAGCAAACTTGAGAAAAAGAAATCTGAAGGCATCACACTATTAGATTACATTACAAAGATTTCAGTTTACATTACAAAGCTATATTTATCATAAAGCATAATATTCGCATAAAAACAGATAAATTGACCAATGGAACAGGACAGAGAGCCCAAAATAAACCCACATGCCTATAGTAAGTTGATTTTCAACAAAAGTGTGAGGAACACATGAGGAGAAAAGGACAGTCCCTCAATAAATGATGTTGGGAAAACTGAGTATCTAATACAAAAAAATAAAAATGGGCCTTTGTCTCAGTTCCTACACAAGAATCACCTTAAAATGAATTAAAAAGTTGAATGCAATAGGAGCAAAAGTCTACGACATTGGTCTGGAAAGAGTTTTAGGGAAAAAAGTGAAAATAGACAAATGGGATTTTATGAAACTATAATAAAAACGTTCTACGTAGCAAAGAAAACAATTAATTGAGAGACAGCCCATGGATTCGGATGAAATATTTGCAGATCACGTAACTGATAAGGAACAAATATCTAAAATATACAAGGAACCCAAACTACTCAATAACAAGAAAAAAAAATCTATGAAAAGTGAACAGAAGACTTGAACATAAATTTATACAAAAAAGACACTAAAAAATTTTAGACATTATTATAATTATAGGTATATGGAATGTCATTTAATTTGAAATTGCATTTAGTTTTGATTTGCATTTCTTTAATGGCTGATGATGTGAAACAGGCTTTATGTTCTTACTTGCCTTCTGTATATCCTTTTCAGTAAAATATGGGTTTCTGTCTTTTACCCATTTTTACTTGGCTTTTTAAAATTGTGAGTTTTGACAATTCTTTATATAGGAGTTTTTTTTTTTTTTTTTTTTTTTTTTTGAGACGGAGTCTCGCTCTGTCGCCCAGGCTGGAGTGCAGTGGCGGGATCTCGGCTCACTGCAAGCTCCGCCTCCCGGGTTCACGCCATTCTCCTGCCTCAGCCTCCCAAGTAGCTGGGACTACAGGCGCCCGCCACTACGCCCGGCTAATTTTTTGTATTTTTAGTAGAGACGGGGATTCACCGTTTTAGCCGGGATGGTCTCGATCTCCTGACCTCGTGATCCGCCCGCCTCGGCCTCCCAAAGTGCTGGGATTACAGGCGTGAGCCACCGCGCCCGGCCTATATAGGAGTTTTTTGTGAGATACATGGTTTGCAAAGATTTTCTCCTAGTCCATAGCTTGTATTTTCATCTTCTTATCAGGGTCTATCACAGAGCATAGGTTTTTAATTGTGATAAGGACCAACTTATCTATTTTTCTTTTATTTGATCATTCTTTTATTGTCAAGTCATTCTTTTACTGTCAAGTTTTAAGTTCCCAAAATTTTCTTCATTTATTTTAGTAGACTTATATGAATATAGACATTCTGGAGAATAGTTTGCAATTCCTTTTTAAACTAAAAATAGACATACCATATGACCCAGCAATTTCACTCTTGCATGTATCTCAGAAAAATGAATATCTATTTCCATGAAAAAAAGTTAAAAGAAATCGTCCTAATTAGTGGATGTTAAGTTTAAAAAATAAGTGACAATAGACTCCAAAAGACCTACTGTGAACTTTGCCTTTGTAACCTTTATGTCATTAGTCAGCCTTAAATATAAAAAACAGGGTTTTCGTCATCGTTGTTGTTATGTTAGTGCACACTCTGAACAATAAATGTAGTCTGAATGCCGCAGCTTTCAGCTTGTGGCAAGGTGTCTTCTAATATATTCCTTCATTTTTGCTGCTTTTGTTTTATCTCAACCCCCAATTACTCTAGCCTATCAAAACAATTAAGCTTTTAATTGATCTTTCTTTTCTGAGTCTACTATATATGAATTTATCATAAATATGCTTATTTTATTTATTAAATAATTCACTCAGTAAAATGAGAAAATTATTATTGAATAACTGTTTTACCTTGATTAAAGAGGCAAGCTGAAACTTGTATTACCAATCATACTGTGTATTTGATTACTCAAATCCTATACAGCAGTATACAGAAATTGTTCACATCAAAATAAAACCACATATTCTAAGAAACGACAATTGTTCCCCCAAATTTAGTAAAATTTCTATGTAGAGTTACGCACAGGTACACAGTTGGTCAATAAATCACATATACAGTGGTGGTCTCATAAAACTATAATGGAGCTAAAAAAATTTCATCACCTAGGGATGTTGTATCCATCAAAATGTTGTAGTGCAATGCATTACTCACATGTCTGTGGTAATCCTGGCATAAATAAACCTATTGCACTACAAGTCATATAAAAGTATAGCACATAAAACTATGTAGAGTATCTAACACTTGATAATAAAGAATTATGTTGCTGGTTTATGTATTTACTATATTCTTTTTTTGTAGAGTGTACTCCTTCTACTTATAAAAAATGTTAACTGTAGAACAGCCTGAGGTAGGTCCTTCAGGAGGTATTCCAGATGATGCATTGTGATGACAAGAGATGACAGTTCCGTGTGTGTTATTGCCCCTGAAATCCTTCAAGTGGGACAAGACATTGAGGTGGAAGACAGTGATATTGGTGATCCTGACCTTGTGTAGGCCTGGGGTAATGTGTATGTTTGTGTCTTAGTTTTCAAGAAAAAAGTTTGAAAAGTTAAAAAAATTATTTTAATAATGTTTATAGAATAATAATATAAAAATTGACATAGTTGTACAATGTGTTTGTGCTTTAAGTGAAATGTTTTTACAAAATAGCCAAAAAGCTAAAGAAATTAAGGTTAATTGATAAATGAAGAAAATTATTATTATAAATTTAGTACAACCTAAGTGTACAATGTTTATAAAGTCTATAGTAATGTACATTAATGTCCTCAGCCTTCACATTTAGTCACCTCTCACTGACTCACCCAATCCAACTTCCAATCCTACAAGCTTCGTTCATGGGAAGTGCCATATATAGGTGTACCTTTTTTCAATCTTTTAAAATTGAGAATGGACTGAAATTTTTCAGGATAAAGATTAGAATGCAATTATTTAAAAAAATTAGTTTCACATGAATATCACTTATCTAAATTGACAGTTATTCACTTGTTTATTAGAGCCAAGAGTTTGAAAAGGAAATATAAACTTGGGCATCATCAACATATAGTTGGCTCTCCATATCTGCACGTTCTCCATATGCAGATTCTACCAACTGCCTATCAAAAGTATTTGAAGGACAAAATAAAAATACAACAATAAAAATAATACAAATAAAATAAGTATAATAACTATTCACATATCATTTACATTGTATGGGGTGCTATATGAGGTGCTATAAGTAATCTAGAGATGATTTGAGGTTTGCAGGAAGATTTACCTAGGTTATATGCATAGATTACACCATTTTATGTAAGGGACTTGAACATTCACAAATCTTGGTACTCACGGGAGTCCTGGAGTCAATCTGCAGATTCCAAGTGATGACTGTAATGACTGAATTAAAACTGTGTGACTGGATGATATTGGCAAAGAAGTGAGAGTATATAGAAAAGTGAAGAGATCAAGAACTAAACTTGAGTTCTCCAAAATCAAGCGTTTTCACAAAAGAGAATGAACTAGAAATGGATAAAGAGGAGATATAAATAATATAGAAAACGTGCCAAAAATGTTTGTAGTCTCAGATATCAAGATTAAACTGACAATAACTATGACTATGTATTTAAGAGAAACAAACTCAGCCATTCTATCCATAATTTAACAGATTAAGGTCAATTGTATGTGGTGGAATTATCCATGTGATCTGCTCTGAGTGGTTTTATCCATGTGGCTTTATCTGAGTTCTAGTAATGACTTGGCTTCCTCAAGGCATTTTAATACTTACTAATAACTAGCCTTGGTAAATATCTCCCATACCTATTCAGCTTATAGTATTTCTCAACAGATGCAGGGTTTGAATTTGTCAATCTGAAATAACTGAAAGGATTAGAATCCAGTTTAAAAGTTTATTTAAGCACTAAGCTAAGAACGGCCATTGCGATAACACAAACTCCAAAGGAATGGTGTCGTGCCTTGAAGTTAAAAGTCAAGGTCTTCCTTACATAGGCAGAAAACAAATAAATGTAGTGGGACTGTAACAGTTTTTATATAAGGCTGGTTTGGTTTATGAGTGTAAGTAATTTAATTAGTTACAGTTTGTTCTCTTTCCTATCGCTTATTTTCTTTTCCTTTTGAATTTAAAAGAGTATATTTCATGGACAGAAAGATGGGAACAATATACACTGGGAATACTAGAAGAGGAGAGTGGAAGAGAAAGGACTGAATAACTACCTACTGGGTACTATGCTCACTAACTGGGTGATGGGGTCCTTCGTACCCCAAACCTTAGCAGAACGCAATATACCCTTATAACAAACCTGTACATACACCACCTTAATCTAAAACACATGTTGAAATTATAAAAATAAAATAAAATAGAAGAGTGTATTTAAACATGTTGCCTTGGACACTGTGATAGTCATGCAGTCCTCGCATGAGAAAGGAAAGAGGGAAGTTAATCTATAATACATAACAAAAGTTAAGATGGAAGGGGTCCTCCCTGGTGCCCTTTAGTCATTTATAACATTTTATAGAACAATGTAGATAAGGAAAAAGACTAGTCTATAATTAGAGAAACACAGTTCACAGCTTCCTAGGTTATGGCTGCCTATTTATGTGGCTCAGGTCTCATAATCACATTCCGTTAGAGCTCAAAATATTTTAAGGTTCCAACAGCTTAGATTGTGAATTATTTATTTTCACATACAACACATCTGCAACTCTAATATTGACCAGCATTTTAAACCCAACTCAATAACCAGGAATAGGGACTCACTGTGTTGAGTCCTTTCCAGAGACCACTGACAACCACAGAGTTCAAAGTTCAATGATTTTGTTTTCTTCTTGTTATTTGTTAAAAGCCTGGCTAAAGGTTCATATTAAAATTTTTAACAGCAAAACAATATAGAGACAAATTAGTTCAATACACAAAAATAGGCTCTGTGCACTTTTCTCTAAAAGGAAGCCCCACAAAATATTGTTGGTCTTATTTTTTATTTATTTTTTAATTTTTATTATATTTTATTTTATTTATTTATTTTTATTATACTTTAAGTTTTAGGGTACATGTGCACAATGTGCAGGTTGGTTACATATGTATACATCTGCCATGTTGGTGTGCTGCACCCATTAACTCATCATTTACATTAGGTGTATCTCCTAATGCTATCCCTCCCCACTCCCCCCAACCCATGACAGGCCCTGGTGTGTGATGTTTCCCTTCCTGTGTCCAAGTGTTCTCACTGTTCAATTCCCACCTCTAAGTGAGAATATGAGGTGTTTGGTTTTTTGTCCTTGCGATAGTTTGCTGAGAATGACGGTTTCCAGCTTCATCCATGTCCCTACAAAGGACTTGAACTCATCCTTTTTTATGGCTACATAGTATTCCATGGTGTATATGTGCCACGTTTTCTTAATCCAGTCTATCACTGATGGACATTTGGGTTGGTTCCAAGTCTTTGCTATTGTGAATAGTGCCGCAATAAACATATGTGTGCATGTGTCTTTATAGCAGCATGATTTATAATCCTTTGGGTATATACCCACTAATGGGATGGTGGGGTCAAATGGTATTTCTAGTTCTAGATCCCTGAGGAAAAGTGACCTGTCTTCCACAATGGTTGAACTAGTTTACAGTCCCACCAACAGTGTAACAGTGTTCCTATTTCTCCACATCCTCTCCAGCACCTGTTGTTTCCTGACTTTTTAATGATCACCGTTCTAACTGGTGTGAGATGGTGTCTCATTGTGGTTTTGGTTTGCATTTCTCTGATGGCCAGTGATGACGAGCATTTTTTCATGTGCCTTTTGGCTGCATAAATGTCTTCTTTTGAGAAGTGTCTGTTCATATCCTTTGCCCACTTTTTGATGGG
Organism: Homo sapiens; assembly: GCF_000001405.40. Taxonomy (NCBI): domain Eukaryota; kingdom Metazoa; phylum Chordata; class Mammalia; order Primates; family Hominidae; genus Homo; species Homo sapiens. The sequence goes on from NC_000002.12 coordinate 185,058,542, forward strand.
GTTGTTTGTTTTTTTCTTGTATATTTGTTTGAGTTCATTGTAGATTCTGGATATTAGCCCTTTGTCAGATAAGTAGATTGCAAAAATTTTCTCCCATTCTGTAGGTGGCCTGTTCACTCTGATGGTAGTTTCTTTTGCTGAGCAGAAGCTCTTTAGTTTAATGAGATCCCATTTGTCAATTTTGGCTTTTGTTGCCATTGCTTTTGGTGTTTTAGACATGAAGTCCTTGCCCATGCCTCTGTCTTGAATGGTATTGCCTAGGTTTTCTTCTAGAGTTTTTATGGTTTTAGGTCTAACATGTAAGTCTTTAATCCATCTTGGATTAATTATTGTATAAGGTGTAAGGAAGGGATCCAGTTTCAGCTTTCTACATACGGCTAGCCAGTTTTCCCAGCACCATTTATTAAATAGGGACTCCTTTCCCCATTTCTTGTTTTTGTCAGGTTTTTCAAAGATCAGATGGTTGTAGATGTGTGATATTATTTCTAAACTGGATCCAGCAGCACCTTAAAAAGCTTATCCACCATGATCAAGTGGGCTTCATCCCTGGGATGCAAGGCTGGTTCAACATACGCAAATCAATAAACGTAATCCAGCATATAAACAGAACCAAGGACAAATACCACATGATTATCTTCATAGATGCAGAAAAGGCCTTTCACAAAATTCAACAACCCTTCATGTTAAAAACTCTCAATCAATTAGGTATTGATGGGACATATCTCAAAATAATAAGAGCTATTTATGACAAACCCACAGCCAATATCATACCGAATGGGCAAAAATTGGAAGCATTCTCTTTGAAAACTGGCACAAGACAGGGATGCCCTCTCTCACCACTCCTATTCAACATAGTGTTGGAAGTTCTGACCAGGGCAATCAGGCAGGAGAAAGAAATAAAGGGTATTCAATTAGGGAGAGAGGAAGTCAAATTGTCTCTGTTTGCAGATGACAGGATTGTATATTTAGAAAACCCATCGTCTCAGTCCAAAATCTCCTTAAGCTGATAAGCAACTTCAGCAGTCTCAGGATAGAAAATCAATGTGCAAAAATCACAAGCATTCTTATACACCAATAACAGACAAACAGAGACCCAAATCATGAGTGAACTCCCATTCACAACTGCTTCAAAGAGAATAAAATACCTAGGAATCCAACTTACAAGGGATGTGAAGGACCTCTTCAAGGAGAACTACAAACCACTGCTCAATGAAATAAAAGAGGACACAAACAAATGGAAGAACATTCCATCGTCATGGATAGGAAGAATCAATATTGTGAAAATGGCCATACTTCCCAAAGTAATTTATAGATTCAATGGTATCCCCATCAAGCTACCAGTGACTTTCTTCACAGAATTAGAAAAAACTACTTTAAAGTTCATGTGGAACCAAAATAGAGCCCGCATTAGCAAGTCAATCCTAAGCCAAAAGAATAAAGCTGGAGGCATCACGCTACCTGACTTCAAACTACACTACAAGGCTAAAGTAACCAAAACAGCATGGTACTGGTACCAAAACAGAGATATAGACCAATGGAACAGAACAGAGCCCTCAGAAATAATACCACACATCTACAGCCATCTGATCTTTGTTGTTGTTTTTAAACATAGGAATCTGGAAGAAGTAAGAAAAGGTATAATTAAAATCTTCAAAAAATCAATCCCCTATGTATATTTTGGAATCAATCTTTGGAGGCTGATGACTGAAGCTAAGGACAATTAGTTTGTATATCTTGATCTGGCCACAGGTAATAAGGCTTCTAACTTTAGGCATTTCATCTTAAGCTGGTGGGGAATTTAGTATAGTACATATTTTTCTGACATTATTTTAATTGATTGTTAAAAATTTCACTCAATAGTTTTATTTTATACTTTGTTATTACAAAGTAATTTGATAATAAAAATGAATACAAAACCAGGCATGCTTATCTTAGTAAAAGGAGAAAAAGATAAATTACTGGCAGATTCTTTTTTCACTTAAATTAGTTATTGAATGTTAAATTAAAAAAAACACTCTAATGATGGGCTAAATAATTAATGCCCCTTAAAATAAATAAATGTAAACCACAGTTTCTTAAGGAGCCCTTTTAATCATTAATAAATAACATAAACAACTACCATAACCTAAAGAAAATCTAAATATTAACCCCTTTCATAATGCCTCTTCAAAGGACAAAGGAAGAAGAGATGGATGGGGCATAATTAAAAAAAACTCTTGAAGCTTACTATAGTCTTAAATATGGGCATAGAGGACCACCGAAGGTTTGGATAATCCATTTTAGTATCACCCACTGCCAAAACCACACAATCCAAACCCTTAGTTCAGGAATAATACACGTTAGTTTAGCAGAGAGAAGTTGTGTTGCTTGGGATCCTTGATTTTGAGTTATGCCAAGTAAAAGGTTGTTATGACAGTTTCTCAGATTTAATGATCATAAAATCCTAGGAGTGAGTGTATGTAATTTAAATGTTTGACCTTCTTTGACATCTCAAGCTCCTTAGTATCTTTACAATAATTCTCCATTTCTGAGGATACACTGGAACTGAACCAAAATGTGACCTACATGGCAGACTAGAAAAAACATACTGTAAAACACAAAGTATTTATGTAAATGGAATAATAATTGGAATTAAGGAAGTTAATTGGTAGCCATTGGCTCAAAGTTTGGATTATGAAGTATTAAGGTAACTAGGTAATAAATCTCTTACTACTACTGCTACTGCCACTACTACTACTGACAATATTAGAATCCTTTCTTCAAATTAAAACCATTTAAACAATAAATATATGAAACTGATAAAAGCAGCTCTGTTCCGTTTAAATTAGGGAATGAAGGCACTGTAGGTTTGCTTCCTCAGGCCCTGCTCTGCACCTCACCATAGGAAAATCCTTAGTCTCAGGGCCTTAAATATTACAGTTTGGAAGCTCTATATGATGACATTTAATGCCAAACAATTGAGTTATAAAACAAAAATAAAAATATTTTAGGAAATTAAAATGAGTGCTTTTGTAAGGCTGTATTATCCAAGAGAAAAAGAATGAACAAAATAAGTTACCTGATGATTGAAATAAAGTAGCTATTGGTTTAGTGGACATAGTAAAAAAGAAATTAAGAGGAAAACAAATTGCTAAAACAAACAAAAACAAGAATAGGGGTTGATGGCTGACTAGATAGTCATGACAAAATAAGTCATTACTTAAGAAAGATTGTATGTGCACATACTAATGTAATGTTTAAAAGCAAGTGCTTTTGAATGAGACTCATCTAGGTTTCATGGAAATGTAAGTGGGTCTTAGATTTCCAGCTCTGCTACTTATTAGATATTTGAAGGTGAGCAAAGAACTTAAACCTAATTAACCTCAGATTCTGCATTTGTAATAGAAACAATATCTTCCTCTTCCAAACATTAATTTATTTGCTCAACACAAGTTTATTGTCTAAATGCTATTAGACAGTCATATTATTGTGGATTTTCCCATGAATGTTAGATTCATGTCAAGAGGTTCTTTAACACGGAGCTTACAATTAAACGGAAAAAACAGAAATTGAATATATGCTTTCAAGAGTATTGAATATATGCTTTCAAGGGTAGTGAATATGAGAAAAGAGCAATAGAAGATACCATGCTAGCATACAATAGGATTACAGGATTGTTGTGAGGATTAATATGAGAGATAACATAGGTAAACCTTATAGTACAAGGCTGTACTATTGTGCATGCATTTATGTAACAAGGCTGTTGTTTTTGTTTGTGCTTTGGGGATAAATAGGACAGTGTCAAGTCTGAAAACTTTTGAGTGATTCCAAATTGGATGGAAACACAGGTCACCAACTCAACAAATCCACAAAGATAAATCTTTCAAAGAATAAACTAAGTTATGATTATCCATATTGCTTTTGAGAATATTATAAAACAAATCTTATTTTTTTAAGTAAAACACTGAAAACCTGGGAGATAGAAAATGGTGATTTTTCAAGAGGGATATTAATTGTAGTCATACACACATGGTGAAAAATTTTAAAAATAGCCCTAGAAATATCAATAGCAGCAAACTGGTATAACAGGAAAACATAAGTCCAGAGTAGTAGACAAAGTCAGATATTCTAGGGTTTATTAAAGTGGTTGAACCTTTTCATTTCAGAATGCTATTGTACTTTCTTGTTTCACCACAAGAATTTAAAGGAACACAGATTTGATAAAGTTGATCTGGTAAAGAAAGGTGAAATTCCTTTCTATAGCTCACTTAGTCAAACTATATGAATAGGTAATTTTAAAGCAAGTTTTTTCTAAATGAAAGGGAGTGTCAGAATTTGGGAATCAGATAATCCTTATTAAGTAATTTTTAAAAATTAGTACTTCTTTTTTTATTTTATTATTATTATACTTTAAGTTTTAGGGTACATGTGCACAACATGCAGGTTTGTTACAGATGTATACATGTGCCATGTTGGTGTGCCGCACCCATTAACTCATCATTTAGCATTAGGTATATCTCCTAATGCTATCCCTCCCCCCTCCCCCCACCCCACAACAGTCCCAGGTGTGTGATGTTCCCCTTCCTGTGTCCATGTGTTCTCATTGTTCAATTTCCACCTATGAGTGAGAACATGCGGTGTTTGGTTTTTTGTCCTTGCAATAGTTTGCTGAGAATGATGGTTTTCAGCTTCATCCATGTCCCTACAAAGGACATGAACTCATGATTTTTTATGGCTGCATAGTATTCCATGGTGTATATGTGCCACATTTTTCTTTTCTTATCTATTCATATGATAAAGGCACAACAGCTACTTTTTGTTTTATTGGGTGATTTTGACTAGTCATAAAATTATTCCAGTTTTTTATTTTCTTATAAATACATCTAGTGAGGAAATAAAGAAACTTACTAAAACAAAAAGTATGAAAATAGCTTTTTCTGTATTGTATATTTTTTGGTTACATCTGTCACTTATTTGGCCTATACACAGTTATTTTTATCAAAGTATATTGAGGAAATAGAAACCATTTTTAGATATTTGTAATTAGATAATAGAGGAAACATGTTATTTAAGCCAATGTAGATATTATTTAAATTTTAACTCAAAATGAGATAGAATCCTCAAAGTCATGTACATTCATGCTTCGATTGCTTCATATTTCTAGTTCTCCATACCCTTAGGGCACTAATAACCAAAAATCAGGCACAAAACAAATGAATAACCAAAATTATATTTCACTGTGGAGAATCAATGAAATAGAAACTTTGGATGTATTGTATTCTATAAAGCTAAAATAACTGTAAATCATTTGAACTGGATGTTTATTCCCTGATTGCTTCCTCTCATGCATGGAAAAATTATTTATGTAGGATCTACATTCCCCACAGGCAAGAAGGCATCACAGAGTGAAGAGTCAATATGCAAAGTGTCTCAGAATTGTTTGGCACATCTCTCAAGCCTTCTGCATTTTGTCCTCACACAGTTTCTTTTTAAACATCTGATCTATTCCTTTATGGAGTAGGGGAATCTTCTGATTAATATGCACTGGGGCACCACATGGTTGCCCATCTGTGTGGGTCAGTTTCGAATCACTGATCAGGGCTGAAATTGAGTTGAAATTTAGCCAAATAGCCAGCAACAATGACCTTCAAACCCGTGGTGGCTGGCTGATGGGCAGCTTTAGAGAATTTAATTTGCTTTAGAGCTTGTATCTCACATTCATTTCTGATATTTAAAATGAATTTATTTCTCATACTTATTGATCTTTGCTTTTCAGATATTTAAGTTTTGGAAAGTCTTCTTTCAGATTTCCAATAGCAAATTCATCTAAATACCATTTCCTAAAAGTATTAACTTAAAGAAATCAATAAATAAATTAAATAATGTACACATTTATACAATTTTTGGTAAGAGAAATACTGTTCTTTTATCCCTTTTTCAGGTAAAGGTAATTAATCTATGTCTTCCTCTAATATTAGCCAGCATATTCCAATTAATAGCTGGATACTTTTTATTATTCAAACAGACAAAAACAAGTAAAGAAAATTAATCCACTTAAGAACTGGGATAGATGACCTTTAGAAACTGAATTAAATATAGCAAAGTATATACATTTTGAAAGTAATCTATGAGTAAATTTTTCATATCCATTTATTTGCTTTCTAATCATCTATATTTGAGAAACAGAACTATAAAACATCCTAAGGCATAACAAAGCTAATTGTCTTTTCATGTTACTATAAAGAACATTTTAATTTTTGTAATTGAGAAAAATATTTCCATGTCCCTAAATTTCCCATGTACAACCAGGGTAAGTTTTATGTTACTAAGTTAAGCATCAGATTATCTGCATAACAGAGGAGATAATTCTAATACTTTCTTATATAGAAAGGTCATCAGAACCATCAATAACCTCTGTATTCCTTACCTCACTTTCTTTGCCTCAACTGAATGATATCTAGGATATGTTACTAACTCTTTGTCAAGAGGTTCAAGAACAATAGCAAAAACATGGTTTCCTCACCATGTATTCTCATTCCACAACACACAATGAAAAAATAGCTTCCTTTCTAGAACATGCTATTTTTTATGGTCTAGATGTTAAAGGAAAAAAAAAAAACTCTTCAATGATTCTTGTCAAAGCACGGTGAGAAAGATTTTATTCAGGACCAATGTGACAGGTATAGGAACCTCCGCAATGGGGTCTTGCAGTGCGGGAGATTGCACTCAACTCCAAATACATTGTGAGCAAGTGGAAATTTTTAGCCATGAAGGAGCATGGGGATCAGTAGGTAGAAAATTCCGAGAGCAAACTTCAGCGGTAAGTGGGGCTCTGGTTAAACCAACTTAACAGGATTCGTGCTGAAGGCAGGCCAGAGTGATCAGGTATTACCTGCGAAATGAGGAACCTGACCACATATTGAGGAAAATGAGATATGGATGATAGGGGGTTCTGGCTGAACTGACTTTGCAGGGTTCTTTGCTGAAAATGGATTTTACAAGGAAGTATACAGATAGGAGAAGGTCCAGAAGCCTGACCTAAGCTTGACCAAGCAAAGAATCTTCGTCATAGGCCAAATAGAGAACAAAGAGAAGCCAATTATGTTATCACTTATAAAGCTTGTGTTGCAATGTAGCATATATAATTTCCACTCACATTCCATTAGTTAAATAACCAAGCTCATAATTTAGTAGAGTGGGAAAGGATAATCCTCATACAAGGGTCATGGCAATGGACTGAGAAGCAAATAGTTGGGATCAAATATGAGATACCATACACATTTATCTTGATTACATGTGTTTGCATCACTCTCATAAGCTAAGCAAAATCCAAATGAGAACTGTTAAATTCTATGAATTAAATTGTGTTTTTTAAATTTCTAGAGGTGAAATTTCTTAATATTTTTGCACAACTACTTTTGGATCCTTATCTAAGAATTTACAACCTTTCTCTGTACATACATGAAGACCTACATTTGATTTGTTTTAATTATTTTTATTTCTAAAAGAACCTTGCCAAAGTATAATCATGCCAAATCCTGATATAAGCCCCCTTCTCTCACCTGGAAGACCACCCCGGCCTCCTAGCTGATCTCCTCATTTCTACTTTTTATCTCAGGGTCTATTGTCAACACACTCGACAGGGTGAGCCTGTCAAAATTAATCAGATCATGCCATTCTTCTAATCAAAACTCTCCCATTGCTGCTGCCCATTTAATGAAATTTACATTTTAATGTAAAGCACATGTAATTTACAGGTATGTATTTCTGAAAGAAATAACTTATTTTTAAAAAATGTTTAGTAAGCTGTTTTATCATCAAACTAATTTGTCAGTATGTAATTTCACACATTATCTTATTTTCATTATTTCATTATTTTTTATGACCTTTCACTTTACAATTATGCTGTCTTTCAACTCTGATTAGTCTATGAATCTCTAGACACTCTGATGCCCATCTCTATACTGACTTCATCTCTTGTTATTTCTGTATTCCCCCTCACTCTACTGCAGCCACATTCCTTTCTCATCTTTCACATAGCATGCTTCAGGGCTTTGGTACTGCCTGTTCCCTCTAGCAGCAAAACACTCTTTTACTAGATATCTGTAGGATTTCTTCCATTGTCTTCTTCAAGTATTTTCTCAAATACCAAATTCTCAATAAAATCTACCCTGGTCACCCCATTTAAATTGCAACCAATTCCACCTCTACCTTCACTCCTGTACACATTGCAGGTTTTATTGCATTTTTTTCATAACACTTATTACCTTCTTACATGTATACTGTTTATTTATCCCCACTAAAATATAAACTACACAAATGCAAAGGCATTTGTCCATGATATTTGGCATTTGGCATCTTGTAAGCACTCAATAAATACTTGTGGGATAATTGAATTTTTTGGAAATTTGTTCTTAATATATCAAAATTCATTGATTTTTTGAAATGTCAGTAAATAAAGTGTATTTTATATGTGTACTAATATATGAAATTAATGTAAAAACATTTATTATCCAGTATGTTAATATTTGTTTTTCTATTTTAATTATAGAAACTGGACTACAATTAAAATCTATGTACATGAATTCCTGTATATATCTGTATTTGTATGATATATTCCTAGGAGGTGAATATTTGAGTTAATATTTATATATGTATTTTGAATGTTGATAGATAACTTCCAAAAATTTCATACTTATTTATAATTGAACATTGCAAAGAGGGTAATATTTCTTTTTATCCATATCAAATTTGCTATTTTAATTCTTTTAAATTATTCTATTAGACATATAATATTTTCTCCTGTATACTTAGTACCTCTTAACTACTCTGAATACAAGTACGATGGAATTCTTTTTATATGTAGCTCGAACATTTTTGAATTTTTTTCTTTGAACTGCCTGTTTATATCATTTGCCTTCATCAGGGCCACTGTGAACCGCTGACTGGACACCTTTGTGCAACAAAGAAAGTGTGCCTCCAGGTGGACACACCCTCAGGCCAGGAAGGCTTGATGAACACGATGTAGACTAGATTTCAGTTCCTTTCTGCCAGTTAACAAACCCCCCTGTGCAAGGCACAACCTATGCATATTTATATGGTAATCTTTATTCAACATTTTGCATAACTTCTTTATATATTAATTATAAATATTCCTTTATGATATGATAGATACGATATATAATACATATATGTGTATATACATTTATGTAGCAGTTATTTTTTCACTTTGTTGCTTTCTTTTCATGTCTTATGTATTAAAATTTTAATATCTAAGGTGAAATGTTCTAATAGTCTCCTCTTTAATATATTCATTAGCTAGAAAGATATAGACATACATCATATACATTTTATAAGTGTTTATTCCTCATATTGCCATTAAAGTTTACTTTCTATCCACTGCCTTAAAATAACTTCATTATATATTATTTTATATATATATATATATATATAGGTATTTTTGTGATATTATATTATTATTTGTTCTATTCTGACATATTTTTCTGGCGACTTATGCCTCCATTATCAGATTTAGGGGGAACAGAAATCTTTAAAACGCTGAGTCTTTCTGTTCATTAACATGGCATTTCTATGAATATTTTTAGAGCTTATTTTTATTCTTCAATAAACTATTACCACTTTCTCCATAGAGATTTTGCACATATCTTGGTGACTTTATTCCTAAGTTTTGCTATCTGTGAACAAAGTATTCATCCATGAGATATTCTATCTCATTATTTTGATTAATTGGAGAACTTTTGATTTTTATATTGATTGTGAATTATATTGATTGCAATAGTGTTTTAGTTGACTTTTCTCTCTCACATGTTCTCTCAGTCTGAACATCTGTTTATTAAAATAACATGTCACATGCTGACTCCACACTTTGGTTTTACTTTTTTGAAGAAGCGAATAAAGAGAGCTGCCTAGTAATGAGCAGTTTATGATCTAAGTAAACCCACTAGTATACTATCCTCAGAAAGAATATCTATCATTATGTTACACACCTGGACCATGAGAATAAGCAGCCCTGAGACAACAGGTGAGAGTGAAGGGAAAATGGCAATTTGGTATTACTATTTATATTTGCCTTTATCTACTCCAACTATAAAGTAAGCCTTAAGAAAAAAGTGTCTAGAATCTAATGTTTAGAATCATCAATTTGATCATCTAATAATGGCTAAAGAATATAATACAGAGAAAAACCTTTTCAACTTACACTGAATTCTAACTCTAGTGCCAAGTAGAATTCACATTCTTGAGAATACCCACAGCATGTTGTGCACTCTAATATAAAATACTATAACTCTATTTAACTGAATAAACACTCTGAAACAAAAACATCCAACTGAAATTAAGTTGTATCTGGAATCGAAAAATACCTAATACATCACTAAGTTTACTATTATTTCATTCATTTTTCCTCCCATTTACTGACACTGGTTACTGAAAATTCTGTGTCAGAATTTCTTTGTTATCCCAGATGTCTAGATTTTCACTGGGTAAGCTGTTTGTCCCTGAAATCTATAAATGTAATGGATTCTATCTGGCATGCTTTTCCTATTCATTTTCCCAGATCTTACTTTATCAACATAATGTTCTGAGTTATTTAAGTAAATAAGAAAAAAATTAGTTATATTCATTCGAGTGGAAATATCTTTCTCTGAAGTCACCTACCCTTTCTTTTCATTCCTTGTCTTTTCCACCCAACACAACAAGCATGTGAGAAAATGAAATCTTTTTGTTCTTTGGTGTTTCAATTTACATTCTGTGTTTCAGTACCATGTCTCCAAAGAGAATGTCTGATTCTGAGTCACCCTGGGCCACCTGTGTTTAAAGGATGAGAACATATACGTTATGCCAAAAATAAAACTGTCATAACAAATTGATAAGGTAACATTTTATTAAAATCATTTGGAGCATTCAAAATATATATTCAGTAAAATGAGAAAAAAAGAAATTAGCCATTCTAATAATTACCTATTATCATTCAAAAATCAATTAAGTACATTATCAAGTACTCTGGAATATAAGGTGAGCATAATATAATCAGAGAGTTATAACAAATACCATGACCATCTAAAAAACATGTAACCATAAATATTGTGAAGGAGTCTTTGTAAGCATTAAAAATACTCAGTTTCTTTTTCAATAGCACATAGCACTATATTTTCATGTATGATCCCTTCTCGTACCACTTTCTCAGATAACTCTATGTGATCTATGTGTTGCCTCTTATACTCTGTTACAGTTTCCTGTGATGTATTACTACAACCATTTAAAATATTTATATATTTTATTGTTTACATCTTTACTTTCCTTCCTTAAGGGTAAACTTCTTGTTTCAACAGCTTTTAACACAATGACATATTAACAACTAAAATTTGGTGGATTGAAGAGGGAAGTTAATTTTTAAAATGCCTGTCTTGAGAAGTTGTTGAACTTAATAACATAGATTAGTCCCTTTTTGTTTATACTGTTCATTGTTATTATGCTTGGATAGTTCTGAAACATGAAATCCATGATGAGAACTATTTTTGTCTTTTTTAGTCTCCACCAAGTACAAAGAGTTTTCAAGTTCACAATAAATGAATATGTCAAGCTCTTATACTCTTGCATAGATAGAAACATTTTTCCCAATGGCAAGTCAGCTTCTAAAACCACCAATTCTTTAAATAAACAATTTTGTGAGCATCTAAAAAAGAACAAAAAATCGTAAAAGACATATTCCCAACAAGACATCTTTGAAAAAATACCTTGTGCCACAGCAAACTTTTAGCCTTTCATTTCAACCCACATTCTTCGGAGTGTAATAAATCAAGAATAGAGGAGACAATCAACAATATTAGAAAGCTGCTGAAGCACTGCATTGTTTGTGTGAGAGTAGGGAGAAATAATCATGAACTCTGCTCTAACAGATGAACATCAAAGAGAAGAGCATCATGGGACCAAAAGCTAAAATTCAAGTGAAAATGTGCCAGTGTGATTATTAAGAATGTGTGCATTTATAAGATTATTTTAAAGATTCTTGAAATCTAAGTTTGGTGTAACAAATAAGAGGTGCTGACTAAAAATAATCATCCCAATATAAAAATAACCTGTGTCAAGTCATGCTACGGTTTTAAAACTGTTGACAATGCATCATCACTGCTCAAACGTACATTGAAATGCACTAATAGAAAAAGGTGGTATCCATTTTACAAATCTTTTTTGTTTTGTTTTTTTGAGGTAGGGTCTCCCTCTGTTGCCCAGGCTGGAGCGCAGTGGTACAGTCATAGCTCATTACAGCCTCAAACTCCTGGGCTCAAGCGATTCTCCTGCCTCAGTCTCCTGAGCAGCAGGGACTGCAGGTGAGCACCACCATATCAAGCTAATTTTTTAATTTTGTAGAGCTAGGGTCTTGTTGTGTTGCCCAGGCTAGTCTCAAACTCCTAGCCTCAAGCAATCCTCTCGCCTCTGACTGAACCACGACACCTGGCCCAAATATGCTGGGTTTTTGTTTTTGTTTTTGTTTTTTGATAAATGTGTTCCCTTAAATCATTCAGAGTGGATAACTTAACACACAATGATTATTTATTCTTTCATCACACAATGAAATAATTGTTCTATTCAGTATATGTCATCTGCTACATATACATACATTTTATTTAGTGTTACTATACACAGTATTATATGTGTGTGCATTCATTGCAACTATTATATATATTACACATAATATATATTATCCCTATTACATTAAAATTTATATTATATTCAATATTTATATTTATATTATATGAATACTGAATATTGCATGTGTGTGCATAAAATATTTCTGTTGCAATGTACTCAAATATTTTTGCAAAAATTATATAAATTTATCAGCATGATTTATAAAATCATAAGGAGGACTAAATGTGATGCTGGTTTTTCATGATGGCATCATAAATACAGTGCTCCACTATATTTTACAAATATTGAAAATATAGAAAGGCTACATCTTTTATTTATAGTTACTAATTGTATAGTATTAGTATTACTAATTGTATTGTATATATACTGTATAATCACAAGTACAGTTCCAGCCATTCAGTTTAGAATGCATAATCTATTGCTTAAAAAATTGCATTGTTCCATATGGATATACATAAATTCAGAAATCCAGGTATATATATCTCCAGAAAGACTCTTGGAAATTAAAATATCTATGTAAATAAATTTGGCTAAAAGTATTTTATTTTCATTAAGGAATTTAAAATGATATTTGAAACAAAATTTTAATGAAAAGATCAAACAATAGAATGGCATATCATCTAAGCAAAAGAGGTCATCTAAGAGAAAGAGGTAAGGTCAAAATGTTTTACTTGTTTAACTCATTTATTTCATATGTTGAAAGCCTATTACTAAAGAAATCTTACTCTACAAAGGAAAAAAGATAATAAATGACTCAAAATACAAAGAATTTTTGATTGTGTAAGATAAAAGTGACCACCAAAATCTGAATCTCTCAGCATATCCCCCCAAACTATTGAGATCAAGAATAAATACCATTCACAATCCACCCTGACAGCTAATTATAATACAAAGAATACATACTGTAAACCTATAGTTAGTTAAAATTAGAATTAATGGTCCTGGAAGAAAAGAAAAGGAAATAAAACATTAGAAAACAAATCATTCATTCATCCAATACATGCACAAGTAAAAGGACTTTTCTAAAGCAGATACCAATAAGTAGGTTTGCTTGGTGATATTCTTCGCCCAGCTGTCTGCCTGCCTGCCTTCTTTCTTTCCTGCCTGTCTTCCTTTTTTCCTTCCCTCCTTCCCTTTCTATTTTCTCCCTTCTTCTTTCCTTCTTTGTACTTCAAAAGAGAGTGGCATTTTGTTTCATATATACAGTGACCCCTCTTGTTATAAATGCATAAGTATGCTATATTAAATATGTTTACAATATTAATAAAATTGACAGAAAATTTTAAAAGTGTAAATAAACAATAATAATCCTTTCAATATATAAGAAGGCACCCAAAAGAAAAATAGGCAGAATACAAGAACAGGCATTTCTCTTTAGAGAAAACATAAATGGTTACTTATCATAGAAAATTTAGCTAACTTTGTTGGTAAACAGGAAATACAAATTGAAACCAAAATGTGACATTTTACGTCTTCCTGAATGGATCAATTAAAAAGGCTCATAACATGCTGATCCCAGATTTTCATAATCAGTTTGTAAAATAATTTTGTATTACCTAGTAAGTTTTAGCAGATACACCCCTACAATGTGGTGGTTCTATTCATTGGTACAATTATAATGATTCCATAGATAATTAGCCAAATAGTGTATTGTTTAGGAAAGTGTATATTTCTAACAAAGCTATATAGTAAATCAATAGAATGTTTAACTCAACATTCAGTGGAAGAATTACCTCTTCCACTTCTTTTTCTATTTTTAATCTTCATTTTTCTTTGATTTTTTTAAATTGAAATTTTCACAGTACATGGAATAACGAAGGGTATTAATCAATATCCAACAGCACACTTTAAAAGTTTTCTCCATCTAGAGCTGTCATATTGACTGTGAATAGAGAGCTAATGCTTTCAATATGTGGAACTTGTATTGGGTCCATTAGCATAACAGGTTTTTATTAGAAGAGCTTGATGATTGTTTGGTAATTCATTCTACTGACTTTCTGTGCAGACAAACATTTTATGTACAATAATAGCAGCTTTAGTTATTTTCCCCTGACATTTATCTTTTTTTCTTATTGCATTATTCGGAATAGCCAGTAAAATATTTATTAGATTTACTTTCAGTGTGTATTTTAATTATGTCTTTAATAGGTATATTATACAGTTATTCATTTGAATTTACTTTTCTCCACCTGGGATTAAAATTCATGAAAATGGCTGGTTGCGGTGGCTTATGCTTGTAGTCCCAGCACTTTGAGAGGCCGAGGCAAGTGGATCTCTTGAGCCCGGGAGTTTTGAGATCAGCCTGGGCAACAAAGTGAGACCTCATGTATAGAAAAAATACAAAGATTAGCCAGGCATGGTAGATACTCAGGAGACTGAAGCAGGAGGATCATTTGAGCCCAAGAGGTAGAGGCTGCAGTGAGCTATGATGGCGCCACTGTACTCCACACTAGGCAACAGGGTGAGATCTTGTCTCAAATAAATAAATAAATAAATAAATAAATGAAATTCATTAAGATTATTTATTTTAAAAATTATTTTATTTTCCAATGCCTAGACAAGTCTTTTCATATTTTAAATACTGAAACATATACTTGTATTGAATTAGTAAATAAATTAAGGAAGAAATGAACTAAGAAATGCTAAAAACAAATTTATTCAAAAGACATGTTCTCTGTGAAGTTCTCTGTGCAGGCTTAGCTTTTCCAACTTCTCTTCCTTGAAGTCTTCCATTAGTTGAGAATTTTATCTACCCTGTTATGATTTATCTAGTTTGTTGATCCTTGAGAAATCAGAAACACTGATACCAAATCTAAGTGATACAGAACTGATGTCAAATGTACCTTGCAGTAGTGCAATATTTTCTTCTTTTAGTATCAACAAAAAGTAATGCAAAAACATGAAGTATTATGTCACTATAATGTATCTAATAAAGTTAACATTTATTTCCCCAAACTTTTTAGTTTTAATCATTAGTATAATAAAACATAGGAAGAGAATAAAATGAAGTAGTATTTTTTTCATTCTAAGTATCTTTTAAAAACTGGCTCAGTCTTCATAAGAATTCCATCAGTCCTCTTCAAAATGACCATAATAAAAATTCTCAAAAAGAAAATAGGTCAGGTTGCTGTGTGTATAGAAGGCACCATCTGTAGATAGTATTAGCACAGGAGGATCATTTGAGCCCAAGAGGTAGTGGCTGCAGTGAGCTATGATGGTGCCACTGCACTCCACAGTAGGCAACAGGGTGAGATCTTGTCTCAAATAAATAAATAAATGAAATGCATTAAGATTATTTATTTTAAAAATTATTTTATTTTCCAGTGCCTAGATAAGTCTTTTCATATTTTAAATACTGAAACATATACTTGTATTGAATGAGTAAATAAATTAAGGAAGAAATGAACTAAGAAATGCTAAAAACAAATTTATTCAAAATCCCCCAGGCTGTGAATTATGGGGGAAATTTTAAAAGTCTAGAAAGGCGCATGGTTACAATGACGTGGTGACACAGTGACATCGAGCAGCTTTGATCTTGCATATGACAAAATTAGTAATTTTCTCTAACCTAGTGCAAAGAACA
This sequence comes from Homo sapiens, assembly GCF_000001405.40. Classification (NCBI taxonomy): domain Eukaryota; kingdom Metazoa; phylum Chordata; class Mammalia; order Primates; family Hominidae; genus Homo; species Homo sapiens. The sequence continues at coordinate 185,074,776 of NC_000002.12, forward strand.
GTAGATCATCCAATGCACCCTTTGACAACTTATATTTACCTCAAAGGCAACAGTTAATTGGGCCCATGGAGTTGTACATCTGCCCATCTTTGCCTTTTTACAAATGAAGTTCACAGTCTTTGGGCTTATAGTCAAAGAATTGATGTTTAAAAGTTGCAATAATGTAAAGGGATATATGTAAATGTATATACACAAAAATAAATTATAATTTACATTTATGTCAGCCCAAATCAGTGTGATTTTGTTCACAAATATTAACAAAACTCATTTTCTTTTCCTAGGTACTATGGTAAGTACCATGAATAAAAAAGGTTATGTGCCTTTGAGGAGCACATATGTACAATCCAGTGATAGTTTTAACAAAATGGCTTCCAAACTATAGTAAAATATTACGCACAAAGATTTACTGGATAAGTGAAAGAACTGATTAATCCAGCCTCAAATGTGGGTGTTCGGCAATGCATACTTGTCAACTGTTAAAATATAACTAAATGATAATGAGATAAACATTGCAATCTAATCATTCCAAATTGCAGAGATGTGAAGGGGTACAGTGTGTAGCAAGGAAATGCATGCTGTTCAATGTTATTCAAAGATAAACTACAAAGTAAAGAGTTAGTAAAATATGAGGCAGAGAGACAGGATGGTTCCAGATATGCAGAATGTTGTAAATCTGGGGAAGTGTTAGAGCTCCTATTAAATATTTAAACAAGTATATGCTGTGATCAGATTTACATTTCAATCAGATTCTATGATGCTCATAGTGAAACACTGTTTAAGAAAGTCAAACAGGGAGATTATTTAGGAGAGATTTTATGTTTCTGAAATAATGCAATATGAAATGAATTGTTCTAATTAAAAATATTTAGCAATATGATTGGTGATAATTCATGATTATTAGATATAAATAATGTGAAAAAATCATTTATTTCAGCAGCACCACGAATGGCCTTTCTAACCTCAGCAATAGAAAACATCTTGAGGCAAGAAAATTCTGGATAAAAAAATGTAGAATGAGGAGGAGGAGGGCTTCTGGAACGACTGAGTAAGAGGCTTGGTTAATGCCATCCCCCAAAAGCAGAAACAACACTTAGCAAAGTTGTCAAAAGCAACCAGTTAAAGATTTAATAAATTGAGAAACATTCAAGAAGGCCTATTAAATCTTGGTAAAAGTGAGAGTCCAAGGCATTTCAGCCTGAGATTGCTCTCACCTCCTCAACATGCAGGACAGGAATCTCACCTCCCCAACATGTAGGACAGGACTCTCACCTCCCCAACGTATGGGGCAGGACTCTCACTTCCCCAACATGTAGGGCAGGACCCTCACCTCCCCAACATGTAGGGCAGGACCCTCACCTCCCCAACATGTAGGGCAGGACCCTCACCTCCCCAACATGTAGGGCAGTCCTGCTGTGCTTTCAGACAAGCTGATTTTATTAGGAGTACACTGTGGGAAAATTCGTGCCCAGCACTGTCAAAAACAATAGATAGCTCCTGGCAAAAATTAGGGAAGTCTAGCATGGGATAGCTGGAGGTGATCATACTGTTGGTAGCAAACAGCACAATGGCAGACCAGGTACTTAACAGGCATATCCAGTGAAAGGGACAGCCAGAGTGCCTTGCCAAAATCTCACTTATTCTTGGTGGTCTGGAAAGTTGTGCAAAAGTCTGAGCCTGTTCATAAAATTTAGAGAGGTCTCCAGTAAGTTACTTATATGTGACTGAACATGAGGCCTATAGAATACAGAAAGTAAAAACTGTGAGACAACCATAAATTTTCTGAATGTAAATAAAAGTAACCATTGAAGAAAGAGGGATCACTAACAAAGACAACCTTAACTTTTCCCTTAGCTTGATTAAACTTTAGACAGGTCTTTCTTCCTGCCCTAGGCCCCTGACCTCCCACTTCACCTTGGGACCCTTACAGAATGCAGATGGCTAACTACAGAAACATGGCCCTCCATTTTTCCAATTATTTCTATACACTAATATAATACTCTGCTGACTATCTTCTATTACTGTCTCAGTGACTTCACTGTATGAACTACATTCATCTGGCTTCCGGTCTTAAATGGCTTATCTTGATTTCGGCCAATGTTAACCCAGGAATGAGATTGAAGGGGGGGATCAGAATATGGGAAGGACATTTAATTCCCTGGATTCCTCTTTGCAAGTCCCCTTGGTTGGCCATGTCACTTTTAAAGGGGTTTTCTTCTTCAGTGTCTGGTAACACCTCTACTCTCAAATCTCTTTATTTCTCAATATATTAGTAACTTGTGGTTCCCATGTGATTTCCCCACACTTTCATAAATAGTTTTTTTTATTAAAGTTTCCTTGAATTATCTTAATTTGAGAGTGCCAATGGTTTTCTATAGTGACAATGGCAGATAAAACTGCTGAAAGTAAAATCTGGTAAAAGCCCACAATGAGATGTGGGACATAGAGCAATGAGGCATCAGAATAAACTGAAGAATAGTATTAGTTTCAAAATTATTTAATAAAATATAGGAATATTGAATCAACAGATATTTTATTGTAATTATGTTCTGAGATCATACATGTACTATTTGTTTGATTCTACAGGGTAAATTCTGTTAATATAATTAATTCTACTCCATTTGTTATAATGAATGAAGAGAAACGTGATCATTTAAATGAATATCAACAGTCATTCAATTAATTATCATTAAATAAAAACTTTTTAATAAAATGCAAATAGCAGAAAGGAGCAGTTTCAGTGTTAATTACAGTAACAGTTTAGGCATTATTTATTTTGTACCCAATTAAATATGGTGGAATAATATTTTTTTACTTTCTGTGTTTTTTGATATTATATTTTATATTTTTATATATAATTTTTATATTATTAAGTTTAGTAATATAAAAATTAAATATTAACTGCATGTCACAATGAGTCAAAGTTACAATCACAAGTAAATAACACATACCCAAAAAGTTTTAGTTTTAATTTACTCTGAAATGACAAACAGCATATACAATTCACATAAAATTTTATTTAAGATCCATTTTAAATCAAGTTTAATGTTCTCCCTGGAATTTATTATGAAACATCAATTATTTATTCATTGAATATACATTCACTGAATATAAATTTTCATTTGGAGACAAGGGTTTGGTACTTATTTAATGTTGCTGATGCTTATAAATAAAATGCAAGTAACAAATTTATAAACTTGTGTATTTTTATTTAAAAGATTGATTTTGTGCTTAACTGAGCATGAAATATGTATATACATAAATATACATACTCAGATATAATATTAGCCATCTGTTATTAATATAAATTATATTATTTTAAGTAATAACCTAAATAGATCTTGGTAAGTTCCCATTTTTATTCTTCAAATTATAATTTTCTAAAAAGATTCAAAAATCAATTTATCATTTATTAAAATACCTTCGAAAGACTCTTGTTTGTGAGAAAGTTAACTGTATACAATATTAAAAAGAAACATTTTGTCTTTTATAGACAAAATTCCATTCATCAATGCACTTTACTAAAATAGGTACATGCAAGTACTCTAATCCAAACTTAACATTGAAAACAATGCCATTTATGATAGCATGAAAAATTAAACACTTAGAAATAAATTTAACAAAGTAAATGAAAGATGTGTACATTTAAAACTATAAAACATTGATGAAGGAAATTGAAGAAGATACAAATAAATGGAAAGATATTATCTGCCCATGGGTTGAAATAATTGAGATTGTTAAAAATCCATCTATCCAAAGTCATCTATAGACTGTATGTAATCCCTATCAAAGTTAAACTAGCGTTTTTCATAGAAATTAACAATTTCAAAAGTTAAATGGGAAAAAAGGCCATGAATAGCCAAAACAATGTTGAGAAAAAAACACATATTTGGCTGAATCACAGTTCTTGATTTAAAATAGGTTAATTAGTAATCAAAACAGCACAGTACTGGCATGAAGTAGGAATGTAAGTAAATGCAACATAATAGAGCACCCAGAAATAAACTCCAACATGTAAAGTCAACCAATTTTCAACAAGCCTACCAAGGGGACACAATGGGGAAAGAATAGTCTCTTCAATTAATGATGTTAGGAAAACTGAATTTTCACATACAAAAGAATCAAATTGGGCCCATATCTTATGCCAACCCAAAAATCAGCTCAAAATGGATTAAATCCCTAAATGTAAGACCTGAAACTGTAAAACTTCTAGAAGAAAACATGGGACAAGCTTTTTGACATTGGCCTTGGCAATAATGTTTTTAGATATCAAAAAAAATTTGAGCAACAAAAGCAAAAACAAACAAATGGGACTACAGCAAACTAAAAGAAATCCACATAACAAAGGAAAAAATTAACAAAACGAAAAGGTAACCTGTAAATTGGAAGCAAATATTTGCAAACCATAAATCTGACAAGGTGTTAATATCCAAAATATACAAGGAACTCAAACAGCTCAATACAAAAAACAACAAATAACTTGATTAAAAAATGGTCAAAAGACCCGAACAGACATTTCTCTGAAGAAATGCTTAACAGGTATATGATTAGATGCTCAGTCTCACTAATCATCTGGAAATGCAAATCAAAACCACAATGAGATATTACCTCCCACCTTTTAGGATGGCAATCATGAAAAAGATAAGAGACCAATACCTTCTTTGGTCTCTTACCTGACAAGGTGTGGTGATAAGGACACCTTTATGAGAATGCAAATTGGTACAGCCATTATGAAAAACAGTATGGAGGTTCCTACATAAAAAATAGAACTATCATATGACCCAGGAACCCCTCTGTTGGGGCTCCTCTCCCAAAATGAAATCAGCATCTCATAGCGATATCTGCACTCCCAGGATCATTACACCATTATTCACAATAGCCAAGATATGTAAACTAAGTGACCATCCATGGATGAATGGATAAAAAATTATATATATCTATATAGATATAGTTATATATATAGTTATATAGTTATATATACATTTTAATATATATAGTTATTCCTTGATATATATAACTATATATAAATATAACTATATATATATACTTATTCCTTATAGTTATTCCTTGACATATGCAGGGGATTAGCTCTAGGAACCCTGCATATACACAAATCCAGGCATAGTCAAGTCCCTCAGTTAACGCTGCAGAACTTGCAAATAAAACGTCAGCCCTCTGTATACATGAGTTTTGCATCTCATCAACACTGTATTTCAATTTGCATTTGGTTGAAAAACATACATGTAGAAGTAGATTCATTCAGTTCAGAACCATGTTGTTCAAGGGTCAATTGTGTGTGTATGTGTCTGTGTGTGTGTGTGTATATATATGAATATCATAGGCTTGTGTGTATTATATATATAAGTATAAATATTATTTTTCAGCCTTGTTAAAGAAGGAGATACTGCCATTTACAACAATTAGATGGATCCTGAGTACCTTATGTTAAGTAAAATAAGCCAAACACACACACACAAAAAGACATAATCTCACTTATATGTGGAATCTAGAAAAAAAAAATGTTGAACCAATAGAAACAGTAGAAAGGTGGTTACCAGAGGCAGGGAGCAGGAGGAAATGGGAGAGAAGTAGGTCAAAGTGTACACATTTGCAGTTATGTAGGATGCATAAGTCTAGAGATGTAATGCAACCATGAAGACTAGAGTTAATATTATTATATTGTATATTAAAGATCTACTAAGAGAGAAGATTTTAGGCACTCACACAACAAAAAGTAACCATAGATGGTAGATATTTTAATGTGTTTGACTATAGTAATTATGTCACTTATGTATATGTCATAGTATGTTTGAAAACATCATGTTGTATGCCTTAAATGCACACAGTAAAAATAAACACTGAAAATAAATACTTCGATGAAGTTATTATCCTCTAGACATTTCAACTAATTACTTCATATTTTAGAGAACTGAATGTTCATTTCCTGAACTAATTAACTCATTGTTCTTTTGAACTTGAGCAAGGTGAAACAGAAAAAAATATGGATCTTCCATGCATGCATTTCTTGATTTTTTCCTGTGTTCTGAATGTCTTCTCGTGGTATCTGTTTTTCTTTGTCTGTACCCAGTATCAGTAGTATATGGAAAAATGGTCTCTCATAGGCTCTATATACAGAGCAGCAACCTCTAGTAACATGCTTTTTAGAACGTTTTCTCTGAAATTGATTTTATGGGAGAAAACCAGTGAAGATTGCTATCTTTTTGAAATATTTCTAAAGATCCAATTTCTTCATTAAGTCAGAGAGAATCAAACTTACTTTAAAAGTCATAATTTTTTAATCAATGAAGAGAATGCTTCAAGTTGACTCAGTTTGCCTTCACAGTATTTTCTAAATACATTTCTAATCTATGAAATATTATGTATAAGCTACATTAAGAGATTTAGCTTGTAATGAAAATTAGAATGTGATTCAGGCATAAAGGAAATCCACAACCTGGGATCTGATTTTAAATGCTTGTAATTAACTAGGATAATAAGTTGTAACATCGTTTATGTGAAAGTAGGTTATTTATAGAATACAATACAAAGCAGCAAACATAATACCTCATATAATAGAAATGCAGCTTATTGAAATTCCTAAGTAAAATTATTTGAAAGGAATGGCTTTTAAAATTATTAGAAACTATTAATCTATATCAACAAAATATGTTTCTTGAATCTACGAATACAATTAAATTGATTCAAAATGAAGTTGATTTTTTTAAGCAATTTGCATTTACTTACCACTTATTTCCAAGACAATTACTCCCAAAGAAAAAATTAAGTCGGTAGGTTTTACATATCTCTAGTCTTGGGGTAAAACATGGACAAGTCTACAGGAAACTATTTGAGGATGATGTTATATTTTCTTTTGACAAATTCTAGGAAAATTTATTTTGCATACCCATACAATGTTGCTCTTTTGTTTAAATTACAAAAAAAAGAGTCAGCACTTTAATTTTCCTACATTATTAAGATTAATAAATCATAGCTTTAATCCTTTATTAGACCTATATTATTCTTAAGGAGAAAGGAAGTACTTGTCCTGTTCTCCTTTTACTTAAATTCACTGAAATAAGGATCTTTTAATGAGAGTTTAAATTCAAAAAGCGAGGCTAAGCTTGACTCACTTGTAAATCTCTCTAGCATATAATTTATTTTATGTGGTTTGATTGTTTTTGCTAGCTATGATTAATTTGATTATAATCAAGTAATGATATTGAAAAATTGCTTTATTATTTTTAGTTTGGCTGTTTCAATGTGCCTATGTTCTGTAAAACAGTGAGCTTAAAACCACAGGCAATTCCTGGACTTCAGTGTCTTCTAATGAAAATACTTGCTAATAACTATTTCCTATATTCTTTTTCTGTTAGGACAGTGAGTAAGAATGTATGGTAAGTCACATTGTTTTTGAAACAGCATCTCACTCTGTAAATGCATCTTTAGTTTTCCTTACGCATCTATTTTTTCATTAATATGTTTATGTGGAATGACATTTTATATGCTGAATCTACTCTAATAAGGCATTTAAAATAATTTAGTTAGTTCTAGCAGATGGTTTTGATGCACTGGACATTTCCCAGCCCACGTAATTTAAGCACCTTATGTATCTGACATGGTTTGGTTCTGTGTCCCCACCCAAATCTTACGTCGACGTGTAATCCCCATGCGTTGAAGGAGGGTCCTGGTGGAAAATGATTGGATCATGGGGGCAGATTCTCCCCTTGCTGTTCTCATGATAGTGAATGAGTTCTCATGATATCTGGTTGTTTAAAAGTGCATACCACTTCCGCCTTCTCTCCTGCCACCATGTGATGATGTGCTTGCTTCCCCTTCCACCATGATTATAAGTTTACTGAGGCCTCACAGCCATGCCTCCTGTACAGCCTTTTGAACTGTGAGTCAATTAAACCTCTTATTTTAATAAGCTACCCAGTCTCAGGTAGTTCTTTATAGCCATGTGAGAATGGACTAATACAGTATCATACCCAGATTTTTAAAATGGTGCACAAAAGTACCACTGGCTAGTATTCACACCCTTGTGTAATTTCTTCCCTGTGTGTGTGCATTGAATGTAGTGACTCACATTTTAGAGAACAGAAAACAACAGAGACGACAGATTGCCATATCTGTAATTAGGTTACAAAATACATTTTCTTCCATAATTTTTGCTGACTATCGTTTCCTTAGCTTGGATGCTTTGATGAAACCAACTGCAATGTTGAAAAGGCTCTCATGGCAAGAAACCAAGGAAATCCTGCAACTATCAGTCAGGTACAAATTGAGGCCTTTTGTTCAATTACGCCTTTAGTTCAATTAGCTCACAAAGAACTGAACACTAACAACAGTCATGTGAGTCAGTTTAGAAGTGAGTCCTTCTCCATCTCAGCCTTAAAACGACTGAGGCCCTTGTTGATGTCTTGAGCACGACTTTTCAGACTTTGAAGCAGATGGCCCAGGTAGGCTATGTCCAAATTCCTAGCCCACAGAAATGATAAAGTAAATTTGTGTTGTTTTAAAAGTCACTACGTTTTGAAATAATTTGTTATATAGCAATTGTTAATTTTTACAGTACAGTTGACAGTTCCATGCACCACCAACTTCCTCAAGCTATAGGAAACCTCTAAGCTGCATGCAAATATATCCCAGAAGTATTTCCCTCAGCCAAATGTGTTTACTTGTGAATGGGCAAATGCCTCAGTCTTCTCATCCTCCTATGGGGCAATTTTGATGTATTGTTCTTTGTGACCTATCAGAAAGTCTACAATATGATTGAGTGTTCTTTTCTCATATGCCACAGATAAAGAAGATAACAGGACCTGGAGGAAATATGGTGTATTATGTTGCATGGAGTAAACAGGGTAACAAATAGCAATATAATCAATATTTTTGGATGGGATCTTAACAGTCGCTGGTATCCTGTTGCAAAAAAAAAAAAGATAAATATATTATCAACTGTGGTTATTTAACACCATAGGTTTACTGAGGGCTATGCTCTGTGTAGCCAGGTAGGTTCTGCCATTGAATATGTTAGGAGATTAGGGTGGTTGTGACCGATGAGAATGGATATAAAGTAAGAGAATAATAAGCTTAACTTTTCATACTTTTATCTTAAGATATAGGCCATAACTCTGAATTTCTATGTCATTGTTTAAGTTATCTCTGGGCTTACGTAACCAGAGTCTTACAATTCATTAAAAACAAGCTTGGGGCTTGATTCTCAGGGTTACTACACTGTAACACCAGTAAACGTCATAACTTTCTAGGTGTCATATGAGAAAATGAGGATATTGAAAAGGAAAAAAAATGCCTCTTTGAAAAAAATCCCTAATAATTTCTTTAGCCACTATTCTTCATGTCTCTAAGCCTAGGAATGCCACATTATGTCAAGGAATCCAGCTAGAAACTTGCTAGCAGGAATCTAGATTTGCTTTTATTCAGACATCTTGCCTTTGCAAGTACTGCCATTCATGTATTTAGTGACTGTTTTATATAACTTTATGATATTGTACCCCCAAAAAGCATTGCAACATGAATCTCATTCACAGTGAAGGATGTAAGGCAATGGATTAATGTTTAGGATGCAATAGTTTTATTATCTATCTCATCAGTCAGAAGCAGAAGATTTTCTTAAGCACTGGATGACCCAGTGTTTTAGCATAGTGTTGGGTGGAAGGCAATTCCTTATGAGTTGAAATGCTGTCCTGAAGAATGAGACTATAAACCACTGAACTATAGCATAGGGTCTCCTAAATCTTTGAATTATGTTCACTTTTTTTTTCTTACTATCCTAACCAGTATAGTTCAACTATATAATTTAGAGTTTAAGAAAGAAATGTTTCCAGTAGGGGTAACAATTATGATATGTTTCAATGGATTCGATGACAAGATGGTCATTGGGTTATTTGAATTACTCACATCACAAGTAATGAAGCAAAAAGATTAGTTATGCATTTATTATTGAAGTGATTGACCCTAACAGAGTTATGCTTGTGAAGCTGGGGAAGGAAATGATATGGATGAAAATTTAGGCAACTTTTATGTTTCACCTTATATTAACACATTCATTAGAGTCTTCAGGAAACAATCATCAGATTCTTCTTCAAATCTACTCAGATAATACAAACAGGCTCAGATTCACTAAGAATAAATATTTAGGTCACTCTATTCCACAAAGAAATTTCAATCTTCTGAGGTTTTAAATGAGAATATGCAGAATATCAAGGATATGACAAGTATCTGCTATATCTAGATGGTCAATTTCAGACATGAGCACTATAGTCTTAACCCATATTCACCATTTTCTGTGTCATTTATCTAGCCATGACATTTAACTAACTTATTTTCTCTTTGTTCCTATGCTCCCCCAATACACACACATACACCCCATTTCTATTGTGTATGTATGCTGTATTTTCATAGTTAAATTTGTCTCTTCTTTTTTTTTCGAGATGGAGTCTCGCTCTGTCGCCAGGCTGGAGTGCAGTGGTGTGATCTCAGCTCACTGCAACCTCAGCCTCCAGGGTTGAAGCGATTCTCCTGCTTCAGCCTCCCAAGTAGCTGGGACTACAGGCATGTGCCAACACGCCCAGCTAACTTTTGTATTTTTAGTAGAGATGGTGTTTCACCATTGTGGCCAGGATGGTCTTGATCTCTTGACCTCATGATCCGCTTGCCTCGGCCTCCCAAACTGCTGGGATTACAGGCATGCGCCACCACCCTGGCCTAAATTTGCCTTTTATTTTCCCTACTGCTTACTAGTTACGTGACTTGGGAAAACTTATTTTGAGAAATGTTTTGTTCTTATGATAATCCTGAATCTTATTTTACAGATATAAATTCTGAATCTTATTTTACAGATAGAAATTCTCTCATTATAAGCATCACATTACAATGCAGAAGAAGCCAATGGACTAAGATTAAAATTGCAGAAAACACAATAGCAAGCAGAAGCTTGAAGACTATGTGTCCTATATGGCAGCGGTTGTCAAAGTGTGGTCCCCAAACAAGAGGGATTAGTGTCACAAGGGAAATTCTTAGTAATGCAAATTATTAGGCCACCAACCTAAAGTCAAAAACCATGGAGATGATGTCCATCAATATGTCTGCTAAAAAGTCCTCCAAGTAATTTTAATCTGTGTTAAAGTCTAAGAAGCACTGCCTTATAGGAAAGTGGAAAAAGTTTGTCTTAAGAAGAGCACAAAGAGTGAGTAAAACTCACAGCCCATTTTATTAATGTCACACAATGTAGTATGGTTGGAGTGTAGTTCATGAAGGGGGGCTTTCAGGAGATGAAGTTGGTAAAGAGGGAAGAACCAGATTTTAAGGGACAATGTAAGCCAAACAAAGGAAGCAGGATGGCAATATATAAACAGAGAGAAACTGTGAAGCTAGACAAATCTCAGTTCAAGCCTTATCATTAGAACAGGTATTTTAACTTTCTGAATGTGTAAAAGTTAAGATCTTTCAGCTTAATATAAATAATTCTTCTCCAAGTATAAATTAACAATTTGAGTTATTGTTCTATCCCATATGATCTGTAGCTATGTATAATCCAACTTATTTGTGTAATTACTAATCCATCTGAACTATTTTATTCAACTATATTTTGCTTGAAATACATTTTTCATTATTTTATTTATTTTAGGATATTTCTTGATTATGTCATTGACAAGTTTCTTTTAGAACTCTTAGATTTAATAAATTTATAATAGCTTTACGTTATATAGTTTTAAAATAGTTTCTCAATTTGTTTGAATGTTAAGAAGATTAATAAAATGTAATTTCTTCCTACTGACTTATTCTCCAAAACATTCAGCTTAATTTTCCACTAATTTTATCTCTGTTTTGCTCTGCTGTAATCCTGGAATTAAGGAAAATAAAGTGTTAGCTAGTCATTTCATGCATATCTAGTTTTCTGTTCCTTTTCTTTTTTATCAAGTAACTGGATTCAGCCTAGATTATTAGGCATTTCTTGTGGGAAAGAGGCGGCAAATTATAGTCTGCCTTTCAGTTGCTTCTAATTTCATTAATACTCTCCATTGGTATAACAATCTGCAAATTTTGCTCAAGAAGGTGAGCTATAATTTCATGTCTGCACTTATATTTTTCTATTTTTGTCTTTTAATATTAAAATTAATGTCATCTACTAAAACCGAAAGATCAACAAAAGAAAATAAATTGAGGAGTCTGCGTCCCATCTTTTATCTGTGGGCTTACCTACATTGCAATATTTTATCAACTGTCTTCCTTGGTAATCATGATGGGTAGTCTTATGTGTCAACTTGCCTGAGCTATTGTACCCAGTTATTTAATCAAACATGAATCTAGGTGCTGCAGTTAAGGTGCTCTGTTGTCATTGTTATATCTTCATTCAGCTGATTTTAAGTAAAGATTAAATGCAATAATGTGGGCAGGCCTCATTCAGTCAGTTGAAGGCCTTAAAAGCAAAAACTCAGGTTTCCCTAAGAAGAAATTCTGCTCTGAGACCAGAGCATCAAATTCTGTCAAGTTTTCAGGCTGCCCTAATGATTTCAGACTTGGCAGGCCCCAAAATCATATGAGTCAGTTTCTTAAAATAAGTATCTCTCCCTCTCTGTATGTATGTATATATTCCTGCTTATTTATCTACCCATCTATCTATTGCTCTATCATCTGTCTATCTATCATCTATCTAATTTCCTATTTGTTCTGTTTCTCTAGAGAACTCTAATAATACAGTAATCTAACCATAGTGACTTCTATACAAATGTTTCTGTACCAGGTAGCTATTTATAAATTAATGTGCATTAAAACCATTTCAAAATTAAGTGGTATAAAACAAAAGGCATTTAATGCCATGATCACACATCTGTCATTTTGCTGAGGTTGGTTTATTTATCTTGGCAGAGATCAGCTGGTGTGTCTCCAAGCTTTGTATTGGGTCCATGTATCATCTAATTGTGTCTACTTGGAGAAAATAACTACTTTGGCTTCTTTTCTTCTCATTTTAATGGCAGAAACATAACAGATAGCTGAACAGAAAATAAGATGGTTCTTATATCCTTGGCTTGAAAATGTGATACCATAACTTCCACCTCATTCTCTTAGCCAAAGTAAGTCACAGAGTGAAGCAAGACACCTAGAGAATGGAAAGGTCACTCTATGTCTAATGGAAGGAACTTCAGTCCCAAGGCAAATATGCAGAAACAGAGAGAGGTAAAAACTTGGAACAATAGTGCAGTCTATTACAGGTATCACAGCAAAATGCATTTGGATAATGTTAAGCTCTGTAACTGCCTTTTTAGAAAGAGTGACAATTTATTTAGCATAGTAAGACACAAATCCTGTAAGAAACATAAATACTATTAACTTTATATAAAATAGAATTTCCCAGACATTGTTTTTAGAAAATATTTGTTAATATCCCACTGTACTTCTTGCTCTGCAGAAACCCTGTAGGAAACAATTGTTCTGCAATGCACACTCACAGTAAATTTGCTGTTTTAATAAGTTCTCAACATCAAGCTTGTGAAGAAAACCAACAGGTATAGAATTTACAAACAAAACTTTGTTGCTCATAAAATCTGCACTGCAAGAAGAAAAAATAGAAAAGAAACCATCACAATTTTTAACATGCCAAAATCACAGGTTTTTTTAATATCTAATTGTACTAAAATTGCTTTATTGTTAGCAGTGGAAGTGGGATCTCATTATGTGAAAGTAGGAAAGATAAGACCTTATAACTCTCAACAGAACAGGAGAAGGTATACCTTTTAGCTAAGAGTTATTAAACCTCAAAAAGCCTATTGCAAAGGAACACTGATCATGCACATATGAAAGTGGCCACAATATTTGTCAGCTAAACTATTGAGAACAATAAGAGATGTGTGGACATTTGTCAAGGAAACAAAATATTTAAGTTCTATGCAGCGATCAGAAATTTCATCTAGGGGAGTAAAATGTTAAATATATTTGTTAGCTGAGATATTTCAACCATTAGAATACATATGATGAACTTTTATTGATTATACAAAGGCTAATATTTTCATCAAACTTTAAGTACTAAAGTTATAAGTTGCAGGATATGAACTTAACATGCAAACAGCACAGCAAAAGAAACTATCAACACGGTTGGTATGGTTTGGCTGTGTCCCCACCCAAATCTCTTCTTAAATTACAACTACCACAATTTCCATGTGTCCTGGGAGGAAACAAGTGGGAGGTAATTGAATCACTGATTGCGGGGGGTGGGGGGTTGGGGGGATGGGGGCTCTTTCCCGTGCTCTCATGATAGTGATTAAGTCTCATGATATCTGATGGTTTATTTATTTATTTATTTATTTTTATTATTATTTTTTTTTTATGGAGTCTTGCTCTGTCGCCCAGGCTGGAGTGCAGTGGTGTGATCTCGGCTCACTGCAAGCTCCACCTTCGGACATCTGATGATTTGAAAAACAAGTTTCCCTGGACAAGCTCTCTCTCTTTGCCTGCTCCATCCATTTAAGACGTGACTCACTCCTCCTTGCCTTCCACCATGATTGTGAGGCTTCCCCAGCCATATGGAACCGTAAGTCCATTAAACCTCCTTCTTTGGTCAATTGCCCAGTCTTGAGTATGTCTTTATCAGCAGCATGAAAATAGACTAATATAGTAAATTGGTACCAGTAGAGTGGGCCACTGCTGAAAAGATACCTGAAAATGTGGAAGCAACTTTGGAACTGGTAACAGGCAGAGGTAGGAACAGTTTGGGGGGCTCAGAAAAAGACAGGAAAATCTGAGAAAGTTTGGAACCCCCAGAGACTTGTTGAATGGCTTTGACCAAAATGCTGATAATGGTATAGACAATGAAATCCAGGCTGAGGTGGTCTCAGATGGAGATGAGGAACTTGTTGGGAACTGGAGTAAAGGTGACACTTGTTATGTTTTAGCAAAAAGACCTGTGGCATTTTGCCCCTGCCCTAGAGATTTGTGGAACTTTGAACTTGAGAGAGATGATTTAGGGTATCTGAAAGAAGAAATATCTAAGCAGTGAAGCATTCAAGAGGTGACTTGGGTGCTGTTAATGGCATTCAGTTTTTTTGTTTTTGTTTTTTGTTTTGTTTTGTTTTGTTTTTTTGAGAGGGAGTCTCACTCTGTTGCCCAGGGTGGAGTGCAGTGGCCTGATCCCAGCTCACTGCAACTTCTGCCTCCCAGATTCAAGTGCTTCTCCGGCCTCAGCCTCCTGAGTAGCTGGGACTACAGGCACCTGCCACCATACCTGGCCCATTTTTGTATTTTTAGTAGAGACGGGGTTTCACCATATTGGCCAGGCTGGTCTAAACTCCTGACCTCAGGTGATCCATCCACCTCGGCCTCCCAAAGTGCTGGGATTATAGTCATGAGCCACCATGCCTGGCCGGCATTCAGTTTTATAAGGGAAACAGGAAATAAAAGTTCAGAAAATTTGCAGCCTGACAATCCAGTAGAAATTAAAATCCCATTTTCTGAGGAGAAATCCAAGCCTGCTGCAGAAATTTGCATAAGTAGTGAGGAGCCAAATGTTAATCCCCAAGACACTGGGGAAAATGTCTCCAGGGCATGTCAGAGGTCTTCACAATAGCCCCTCCCATCACAGGAGGAAAAAATGGTTTATTGGGTGGGGCCCAAGTTCCCCATGCTGTGTGCAGCCTAGGGACTTGGTGCCTTGCATCCCAGCAGCTCCAGCCATGTCTGAAAGGGGCCAATTTAGAGCTTGGGCCATGGTTTCAGAGGGTGCAAGCCCTCAGCCTTGGCAACTTCCACATGGTATTAAGCCTGTGAGTGCACAGAACTCAAGAATTGGAGGTTTTCAAACATCTGCCTAGATTTCAGAAGATGTTTGGAAATGCCTGGATGGTGAGGGAGAAGTTTGCTACAGTGGCAGGGCCCTCATGGAGAACTTCTGCTAGTGCAGTGCAGAAGGAAAATATGGGGTCACAGTCCCCACACAGAGTCCCTACTGGGGCACTGCCTAATGAAGCTGTGAAAAGAGGGCCACCATCCTCCAGACCTCAGAATGGTAGATCCACTGGCAGCTTGCACCATGCACCTGGAAAAGCTTACAGACACTAAACACCAGTCCATGAAGGCAGCCAGTAAAGAAGCTGTACCCTGCAAAGCCACAGGAGCAGAGCTGCCCAAGACCATGGGAACCTACCACTTGCATCGGTGTGACCTGGATGTGAGAAATGAAGTCAAAGGAGATCATTCTGGAGCTTTAGGATTTGACTGCCCCACTGGATTTTGGACATGTATGGGACCTTCAGCCCCTTCTTTTTGGTCAATTTCTCCACTGTGGGATGGGTGTAATTATCTTTAATTCCTGTACCCCCATTTTATCTAGGAAGTAACTAATTGTTTTTGATTTTACAGGCTCATAAGAGGAAGGGACTTGCCTTGTCTCAGATGAGACTTTGAACTATAGACTTTTGAGTTAATTCTGAAATGAGTTAAGACTTTGGGGGACTGTTGGGAAGGCATGACTGGATTTGAGATGTGAGGACAAGATCTGTGGGGAGCCAGGGGTGGAATGATATGGTATGGCTGTGTCCCCACCCAAATCTCATTTTGAATTGTAACTTCCACAATTCCCACATATTATGAGAGGAAACCAGTGGGAGGTAATTGAATCATGGGGGCAAGTCTTTCCTGTGCTGTTTTCTTGATAGTAAGTCTCATGAGAGTTGATGGTTTTAAAAAATGGGAGTTTCCCTGTAAAAGCTCCCTCTCTCTTTGCCTGCTGCCATCCATGTAAGAAGCGACTTGCTCCTCCTTGCATTCTGCCCTGATTGTGAGGCTTCCCCAGCCATGTGGAACTGTAACTCCATTAAACCTCTTTCTTTTGTAAATTGCCCAGTCTCAGCTATGTCTTTAAGAGCAGCATGAAAAGGGACCAATACAACAGTAAACAGACAACCTATAAAATAGGAGAAAATATTAGCAAACAATGCATCTGACAAAGGTCTAATATCCAGGTCTATAAGGAAGTTGAACAAATGAATAAGCAAAAAATAAATAAAAAATCGGCAAAGGTCATGACTACTTCTCAAAAGAAGACGAACAAGGAGCCAACAAACATATGAAAAAAATGCTCATCATCACTGGTCATCAAAGAAATCAAAGTCAAAACCACAATGAGATACTATCTCAAACCAATCACATTGACTATTATTAAAACAATTAAAAAAACAACAAAGGCTGGTGAAGGCTGAATGCTTATACATTCTTGGTGGGAATGTAAATTAGTTCAGCCAGTGTGAAAAGCAGTTGGAAATTTCTCAAGGAATTTAAAACAAAACTACCATTTGACCCAGCAATCCCATTTCTGGGTATATACCCAAAGGAAAATAAATCATTCTGTGAAAAAGATACATGCACTCATATATTCATCTCCAAACAATTCACAATAGCAAAGACATGGAATCAACTAGAGTGCCCATCAATGGTGGACTGGATAAAGTCAATGTGGTAATACACCTGATGGAGAAATAAGCAGCCATAAAAAAGAATGAAATCATGTCCTTTGCAGCGTCATGGATGTATCTGGAGGCCATTATCCTAAGCAAATTAATCCAGAAACAGAAAACCAAGTACCACAGGTTCTCACTTACAACTGAAACCTAAACATTGAGCATACATGGATATAAACGTGAAAAATAGACATTGCGGACTACTTTGGAGGAGGGAGAGTGGGAGGTGTGGATGGAAAAACTATCTATTTGGCACTATGCTTATTAAGTGGGTGATGGAATCTACACCCCAAAAATCTGCACTGCAAGAAGATCCCTTCTCAGTATCACATAAATACACATAACAATCCTGCAGATGTACCCCTGTTTCTAAGATTAAAATTAAAATTGAAAAAGTAAAAAAACCCAAAGCAGTAGCATTTTTATATGCAACTAGCAAACTACCTGAAAAGAAATCAAGAAAACAATCTCATTTAAAACAGCTACAAAAAAAAAAAAAGGCACCTAGGAATAAATTTAACCAAAAAGCTAAAGACCCCTACAATAGCAACTATGAAACACTGATGAAAGAAGTTGAAAATACACGATAAACAAAAAGATATACTATGGTCATTAATTGGAGGAACATATATTGTTAAAGTGTCTATACAACCCAAAGTGTATAGGTATTTCAGACTCAATGCAATCCCTGTCAAAACACCAATGGCACTCTTCACAGAAATAGAAAAAAAAATGCTAAAATTTGTATGGAACTGCCAAAGACCCTGAATAGTCAAAACAATTTTGAGGAAAAAGAACAAAGCTGAAGGCCAGGTGTGGTGGCTCACGCCTGTAATCCCAGCATTTGGGAGGCCAAGGTGGGTGGATCACAAGGTCAAGAGATTGAGACCATCCCGGCCAACATGGTGAAATCCTGTCTCTACTAAAAATAAAAAAATTAACTGGGCCTGGTGGTGCATGCCTGTAGCCCCAGCTACTCGGGAGGCTGAGGTAGGAGAAACGCTTGAACCCAGGAGGTGGAAGTTGCAGTGAGCTGACATCATGCCACTGCACTCCAGTCTGGTGACAGAGCAAGACTCCATCTCAAAAAAAAAAAAAAAAGGAGAAAACTGTAGGCATCATACTACCTGACTTCAAAATAAAAATATAGTAGACAATTATAGTAAACAAAATAGCATGATATTGGCATACAAACAGACATGTAGGCTGTTGGAAAATAAATAAATAAAGAGCCCAGAAATAAATCCACACATTTATGGCCAATGGATTTTTGACAAAGGTGCCAAGAGCATTCATTGGGGAAAGTATAATCTTTTCCACAAATGATGTTAGGAAAACTGCAACATCTACATAAAAAAAATTAAATTAGACCTTTATCTCTCACCCTATAAAAATCAGCTCAAAATTGATTAAAGACTTAAATATAAGAACCAAAACTGTAAAACCATTGGGATAAAACATAAAGGAAGTTCTTTATGACATTGGTAGGGATAAGGATTTTTTAGATAAGACCTTGAAAGCACAGGCCACAAAAGCCAAAATGGACCAATGGGATTACACTGAATTAAAACACTTCTGCACAGAAGAGGAAACAACCAACAGAGTGCAGAGACAACCTACAGAATGGAAAAAGATATTTGCAAATCATACATCTGCCAAGGGATTAGTATCCAAAATATATAAGAAACTCAAACAACTCAATAACAAAAAAAGCCCAAATAATTTGATTAAAAAGTGGGCAAACTACCAGAATTGATATTTCTTAAAAGAAGGCGTACAAATGGCCAACAGGTATACTAAAAAATGCTCAACATCACTAAACATTAGGGAAATGCAAATCAAAACCACAATAAAATATTCACCCAAAACCCAAAAGTATAAAAACCCTGGAAGACAACCTAGGCAATATCATTCATGACGTAGGCATGGGCAAATAATTCATGATTGAAGGTGCCAAAAGCTTTTGCAACAAAAATGAAAATTGACAAATGGTATCTAATTAAACTAAAGAGCTTTTGCACAGCAAAAGAAACTATCAACAGAGTAAACAGACAACCTCCAGAATGAGAGAAAATTTTTGAAAACTATATATCTGACAGGGGTCTAATATCCAGCATCTATAAAGAACTGAAACAAATTTACAAGATAAAAAACAAACAACCCCATCAAAAAGTGAGCAAAGAACATGAACAGACACTTTTCAGAAGAAGACATACATGTTGCCAACTATCATATGAAAAAAGCTCAATATCACTGATTAGAGCAATGTAAATCAAAAACACAATGAGATACTGATATGGTTTGGCTGTGTCCCCAACCAAATCTCATCTTGAATTGTGGTTCCCATAATCCCCACATGTTGTGGGAGGGGCCCAGTGGGAGGTAATTAAATCATGGGGGTGGTTACCCTCAGGCTGCTGGTCTCACGATAGTAAGTGAGTTCTCATGATACCTGATGGTTTTATAAGGGGCTTTCCCACTTTTGCTGGACACTATTCCTTGCTGCTGCCCTGTGAAGAAGGATGTGTTTGCTATGCCTTTGCCATGATTGTAAGCTTCCTGAGGGCTTTCCAGCCATGCTGAACTGTGAGTCAACTATACCTCTTTCCTTTATAAATTACACAGTCTTAGTTAGCTATGTCTTTATTAGCAGCATAAGAATGGACTAAAACAGATAGCATCACACTCCAGTCAGAATGACTATTATTAAAAAGCCAGAAAATAACAGATGCTGGTGAGGTTGTGGAGAAAAAGGAACACTGCTGGCCACAACTACTTTTGCAGTTTCAGGCCCTGGATCCTCAAAAAGCAAGCCTCTACTTCAGCTTGGGCACAAATGGGAGGATAAACCATGGCCTTGGATGAGAGCATGGAAAACTCTAAGAAAGCTTGACTCCAGGTGTTAGGGCATAGCAGCCGCTAGGCTCAAGACTGATGTACTCTCTAGTGGTCATGGTACAGTGGCAGCAAAGCCTCCAGGCTGCAATGGCTGCTAGCACCAGGAATAGGATGCACTCTAACAGTGACTCTGGTTTCAAGATGGCACAGAGCAGTAGCAGCATAGAAATTGGGGTAGGGCACAGTATTGTTCCTCCTCTAAGGTGTAGCACAGCATATGAACTCTTGAATCTTGGGAGCTCCCTCAACTTGGCACAGAGCCTGAGAGTACTGCAGCGTTTTCCAGTAGCAGACTCCAGGAGTCTATGTTGGTGATGGGGGCTGTTTGGGTCCTCTTGCTTACCATTTCACTTGAAGCTTCCCTTACAGGGTGGAGTTCCTCCTGGTTCTGAGCTGATCATGACTTGGAGTATGGGGTGGCAGAGGCAAGATATTTTTTTTTTTTTGTATACCTCCATATGGGTTTCTGTGCTCTAAAAATTTTCTGTTGCTTCTATGTTGTTCTCTGGTGCTCTTCGTTAGTTATTTTGTTTAAAATATAGTTGTTTATTTGTTGTTTTGTTTTGTTGGTGGGGGAGGAGAAAGACCACTAGAAGCTTCAAGTTGGCCATTGTATTGATGTCACCATTTCTCATGCCATTTAAAAAAATATGTTTCTGGAATCCATAGCATGATCTAATGAGCTTTTAGATATTTGGTTCTAGTACTAATAAAGATAAATTATCACAGATCTTCAGAGCAAGGAGTTGTCAGCTATAGTGAGGACTTCTTCAATTATCTCTTTTTTAAGTTTTTTTCTTCTCTTCTTGCTCTTACTTTCATTTCATGAAGATTTAAAATTTACATCTTTGTGCCTAATAATGAAAGTTCAAAATTATAAAGCCAAAATTTATAGGCTCAAATGTAATCTTCATGACAGATTTTAACACATATCTCAGTAACTGATAGGTGACCACAGATAACAAGCAAGAATATTGAACAATTCACAAATACATATAAAAATTGAATGCATGTCCATATATAAAATAACACAATAGAACTCTACACTCATGAAGAATACACGTTTTCAAGAGCACATAGGACACATACAGAAATTGATTATATTCTAAGACACAATGTGCCTTAGATTCACAATGCACAAGAAGTTTCAGAAATTTGAAGATAATATAGTTCTGTGATCACTCTGTGTTTAACGTAAAAAATCTACTTGAAATATGAATGGAAAAGTTCATATATTTGAAAATTAAGACCTATACTTCTAAGAAAAAATGAATGTAAAAATGGATTATGTCAAAAATTAGAAGTATTTTGAGTTAAAATATAAAGAAATATCAAAACTTGAGGGATATAGCTAAATCAGTGCTCAAAGGGAATTTTACAGTTATACATTTATATATTAAAAAAGAAGGTCTAAAAAACTGATAATCTATGGGGCTATCAAAGACAGAACAAGAAAATTTGATCTAAAGAGTGTGGAAGGAAAAACTCGTAAATTTGTGTGTGTGTGTGTGTATCTATCTCTCTATCTATCTATCTATCTATCTATCTATCTATCTATCTATCATCTATCTATCTATATATTTTTAGATGGAGTCTCACTCTGTCACCCAGGCTGGAGTGCTGTGGTGCGATCTCGGCTCACTGCAACCTCTGCCTCCCAGGTTCAAGCAATTCTCCTGCCTCAGCCTCCTGAGTAGCTGGATTACAGGCGCCTGCTACCATGCCCGACTAACTTTTTGTATTTTTAGTAAAGACAGGGTTTCACCATGTTGGCCAGGCTGGTCTTGAACTCCTGACCTCGTGATGCACCCACTTCGGCCTCCCAAACTGCTGGGATTATAGGCTCTGCTTTATTTTTAATGACCTCTGCATTACTGCTCACTCAAGTGCTTTTATGTGTACTTAAGAATATAATGAGTCAACAGAGAACTAGGAAGTAGCAAGCTTTCCCCAAGAACATTTCTTACACCTGTCCCAGTCCATACCATTGGCAAGACAATAATTAATATATGCATATATCTGCGAAGTCATCACCATACTTCTTGAATTGCATGGCATGCTTATTTCCTTTGTCTTAATTCCTTTTTTTTTTTTTTGAGATGGAATTTCACTTTTGTTGCCCAGGCTAGAGTGCAATGGTGCAATCTCAGC
Organism: Homo sapiens; assembly: GCF_000001405.40. NCBI lineage: Eukaryota > Metazoa > Chordata > Mammalia > Primates > Hominidae > Homo > Homo sapiens. The sequence goes on from NC_000002.12 coordinate 185,097,290, forward strand.
TGACTGCAACCTCCTGGCCTCCCAGGTTCAAGCAATTCTCCTGCCTCAGCCTCCCGAGTAGCTGGGATTACAGGCATGTGCCACCATGCCCGACCAATTTTTGTATTTTTAATAGAGATGGGGTTTCACCATGTTGGCCAGGCTGGTCTTGAACCCCTGACCACAGGTGATCCACCTGCCTCGAGCTCCGAAACTGCTGGGATTACAGGCTTGAGCTACTGCACCTGGCCCAAACTATTTTTTAACTAAAAAATTTACAATTGATGATCCAAAAATTTCAAATGTAGGTTACTTAAATGACTAATACAATTGATATACTTCTTGATAAATTTATTTAAAAAAAAGGAGAAGTCAAGTAATCTACACCAGGATTTAACAGAGGATTTACATTATAAAGCCCACAGACATTGTAAAGATCATAAAATATTGGTGTAAAATTCTGGTTACCAAACAACATGAAAAGATAAAGAAAACTACCTTACACACATAAATTCATTTGATCTTTAAGAAGAGGTAATATCATAAAGAAAACATGTAAGTACATAAACTGTAAGCTTTACAAGTAGCTAAAAATGAAAAAAAAATTGAATCTTATCTTCTATTTTAATAAAAATGGTAAACTCAATATAGAACAAATTTCAAGGACAAATAAAGTGACAGTATGGAATAATCATTTCCCACTATTACCAACAGTATTAAATTAAGCATTACTTTGACCTCAACTTCTAGGAATTTCTCCTAAGAAAACAATGCAAAGTGTTACCCATAATGCATGGTCAAAGATATTCAACCCTTCATTATAATAGGTCAAATTCACAATAATTCAAAAGCACAGGACAAAGGAAATGATGAAATAAATTAGGTAAATGTACACACTGGAATAATATGCAGCCATTGTAAATATAAAAAGTACAGTGGCAGAAAGATTTTTGTTTGTAGAGAGAGTAAAGCAAGATGTAAATTATTTACATAGAGTTGCCTTATGTACACAAATATATGTCTTTCTATTGCTCTGCTCATCTATTAATTGATATATAAAAATTCATGATTTAAGAGCTGTATAGCAATAAACAGAAATATATTAGCAGCTTATATGTAGTGTGATTACAGGTGTTGTAATTTTATTTTTTTGCTTTCTGTATTTTTCCTAATTAGCACATTTGTCTTTTAAAATCAGGAATCAATTGATGAGCACTAATGACCATAAGCGATGAATCTAAATATATAGCTAACATTAAGTAATACTGTTTTAACAATGTTTATTTCAAATTGAGTTTGCTAATTATCACACACTATAGATGTCATTTGTGTTTGAAGCTTTAGTGAAAAGCTGTATTTTTGTCTGTGCAAACAAAGCTTTCGAAGGCACACAGAAATGAAGACATAGACTATTGCATCTGTGGTTATTCTGGAGTACTCACAGGTCCCCATGTTGTTTTGGGTCATAGAGATTTTTAATAGATAGTAATGAACTCCAGGGATTAGGGTTGTGGGTGGTCATGAATACTCAGAGAGGGTAGCATAGTCTGTTTTGTGAGGATTACTAACTCCCACAGAGAGTGAAATTTCACTGGTCAGTGGAAAAAATTACTGCAATTAGCCAGTAACCTGAAGTACAGATTGCATAGTGTTTAAAACAAGTAGGTTTTGCTGTGTAGTCATTCAGCACAGCATCACTCACTTTAATAGCTATTATGTAAAAAAGTAGAAATGAGGCAGCATAGAAATTTCCAACAGACCTAGATCTTCTTAAAATAGTACCTTTTCCCAAAGGCCAACTGACTCCATTGGAGGTTACAGTATTTTAATAATGCTTCTGAAAAGATTAACTAAAAGGTTTCACACCAGAAACCCAACGTTAGCTGCTTTTGACTCCAGGCAAACTGTTACTCATGCACAAGGCTGAGCACATCAGGAAGAAGATTTAAAGATAATAAAATGTTAGAAAATAAAGTATTATTAGAAAAAAACTAATCTAAGATTTCCGAAGTATTTTTATTTTTAAAGTGAGATGAATTTTTATTTTGTTATTATAATACATTTAAGGATAAAATAATGTCATCTGGCAAGGTAGGTCTTATGACTTGAATGCCAAAATTATTGAAATCACATGTTTCAAAAGTAATCATAATCAGATGATTAATGATCACCTTTAATATGCTGAATCTAATAATTATCTTTAATATGTTGTTGTTTAATGTGTATACATTAGGTTTACTAATAACCATCATTTTTGAGAGTTTTATCATAGTGGGATACCAGGAAAATTTTAGTACAAATTACATTAAGTGAAAATTATCAGCTTCAGGGCATTTTAGCTTGTTCTATACCAATCTCTTTTGTTCCAGCTCTATGTCAGCCTTGAACGAAAGCTCTATTTCAAGAGAATTAGATGCTGAGTACTTTGAATAAATGTAGGCCAACAAATTGGATAACTTAGATGAAAAGAACACATTCCTAGAGAGATACAAAGTACTAAGGCTGACTCAAGAACAAACAGAATACCTGAATAGACCATGCAGGTAAATACATTGAATTAGTGAATGTAAAACTTCCCACAAAGAAAAGCCCAGCCCCCCACCCCAGCTTACACTGGTGAGTTCTACCAAATATGAAGGAAAATTAATTCAATTCTTCAGAAATGCTTCTATAAAATAGAAAAAAATGAAAATACCTCCTAACTCATTCTATGAGGTCAGTATTGCCCTGATATCAAAACCAAAGATATCTTGATTAGTTAATACTGCCGATTAATATTTCTTATGAGTATAGGCACAAAAATATTTATCAAAATAGTAGCAAACTGAATCCAGTAATGGTACTATGGTTAAGTGATATTTATCCCAATTATCTAAGGTTGGTTTAATACATAAAATAAATTTAATGCATTATATTAACAGAATAAACACATTATCATTTCAATGAATGCAGAAAAAGCAACACCAATTTATAATAAGAATATAGTAGAAATAAAAGGGAATTTTCTCGAGCTGTTAAAAGGTGTCTAGGAGACTGATTAATGGATCAACCAAATGTGATATATCCGTACAACAGAATATTATTTGGCAATTAAAAAAAGAGCACTAATACATGCTACAACATGGGCGAACCTTCAAAACATTATACTAAGTGAAAGAAGCTAGTGTCAATTAGCACATATTGTATGATTTTATTTATGTACTATTTCTAGAATAGGCAAATCTTAGAGACAAAAAATAGATTAATGGTTACTGTGAACTGAGGGTGGGGGTGGGAGTGAATGTGTGGGAATGACTGGTGATGCTTACGAAGTTTCTCTAGAAGTGAATAAAATGTTCTAAAATTAGAAAGTTAATAATAGTCACATAATTATGTGACTATCTAAAAGCAACATATTGCACACTTTTTTTAAAGAGGGAAAAATAAGCAGTTAGTACTTCCATGTTGGTATATAATAGCAAGAATTAGGGTATTATATTGCAGCACTTTGGGGTGCAAATACTAGGAACCTGTAATATTATAAAAATATGATGTTATTCTAAATGTATCCTAATGAAAAATGTTATATATAATTAATACAACATTAATTTTACTTAACAATAAATAGCAACTGTTTTTGATTTTAAGAGTCTCTTAATTGACCTGAGCAGAAAATGACAAACAGAATAACTTGAAAATTTTCTGAAATTTGTCTCTTTCCACTTACAAGTTCTAATTTAGGAGACCTGCTGATGAATATTAGAACTTTAGCATGTTATATACTTAACTTAGATTTTATTTGACTTACTCAAATCTGAATTTTTCAAAATTATGACTTTTTGGAAAATGAGTATGCCTTTAACATACAACGTCTCTTTCATGCTTTTTAAAGTTAAATTTAAGTTCTAAAACTTAAATCAAAATAATGTTATAAGAAATCTAATAAAAACATAAGAAATGAAATGAGAATAATCTATAGAGTTAATTTAGTAATATATTGCTACAAACACTTCTGTTACTGTTTAATATAGTAGAAGGAGCACTGATTTTAAATGCCAGGCCCCTGCGAGATTGGGTTCAAGTCCTAGCTTTACTGGTAATTTGTTGTCATAATCTTGGCTTAATATCAAGTATTCTCACTGTCCTTTAATTTCTCTGTCTGTAAAATGAGGGGATTGGGCTACATGATCATTAAAGCTACTTCCAACTCTAGATTCCTATTTTTCACAGTTTCTCTAGTTTGAAATGTTTATTGGTATTGTGTTAATACTGTTAAACTTCGAGTATATCTGTTTTAAAAAGCTCTATTATATATAAAGCACCCCAGAACACCCTTGAATAAGAAATATATTTTCAAAAGTTAAATAAAAATATTACTCTGCTATATAAGAAATAAATCTAAATATTTATAATTAAACTAATTTGAGATAAGGGGTTATATCAAAGAACAGATGCAGTAAACATATTCTAATATTTCTACTATAAACATTTTCTGTCATGTTTTCATCACTTCCAAGACAGTTTAAATAGGCTCTGTCTAATGCACATATATTCTACTTCTTATTTACACTTTGGCATAATTTTTTTTTAATTTTAGCTTCACTGTATGGCAAATGACTTGAAATATTTCAGTATAAATGTTTTATACTGATTACACAAATCTGTATTATTATATTATAAACCATACCAGCATAGCCAGAGGTAACTCTAGGGAAATATAGTCTTGATAGTAAATAAAAGGACTATTTAAGTAAAATATAATGTGCATGAATATATTTAAAAGATGTTCAAGAGATCATTTAAAATATGATTCTTAATTGTTTCAACATAAACATGAACAGAGAATTAGAAACTTTACTGCTGCCAAATACGTTCATAGCACCTTTTAAAATTGGAACTAAAACAGCTTTGGAAGAAAGAGAAGAATATAAAATGTCCTTAATACTAAGTATGGATCATGGAATATTTTTTTAATCTCCATTGTAAAGAATATACCATAATTAGAACAATAAATTTTACTCTGTATGCCAGTTATTTAGCTGAGAATGTATCAATTCCCTGATTCACACTTGCATTTCTACCTCTCTGATATTCTACTTGTTGTTACTACTTGATATTACCATATGGAAAATATTGCTGTGGCTACGAAGACTGTCTCCAATTCTTTGTTGCATTATTGGTGAAGAAAAATCACACTTGTCGAACTTTTGTTAAATAAGTTATAATCATTTTTTCACAATGCAAGTGGGCTCAAAGTATCCAAAAATTTTTTAAAAAGCTTTTGGAGGCTGGGTGCACTGGCTCATGCCTGTAATCCCAGCACTTTAGGAGGTGGAGGTGGATGGACTACCTGAGGTCAGGAGTTCGAGACCAGCCTAACCAACATGGTGAAACCCCGTCTCTACTAAAATACCAAAAAATTAGCTGGGCGTGGTGGCCAGTGCCTGTAATCTCAGCTAGTTGGGAGGCTAAGGCAGGAGAATCACGTGAACCCAGGAGGCAGAGGTTGTAATGAGCCAAGATCATGCCATTGCACTCCAGCCTGGGCAACAAGAGAGAAACTCTGTCTCAAAAAGCAAAACAAAACAAAACAAAACAAACAAACATAAACACGTTTGGAAAACTTGGCAGCAGCAATGGAAACTCCTGGGATAGCCCTGTTATAACACAATATAAGTCAGATAATAATGCTTCAGAATTTAATAAAGTATGAGGGGTTAAATAATGTAAAGAATTGATTTAGAACTATTTTATGGTAAAAATAAAAGGATTAGAAGATACTAATCAGCAACCAATTCTAATGCACCATAATTAATACAGATTTAAAGTAATAATGGTAGTAGGGGAAAGGTTTGATAACGTTAATACAAATTTTGCTTGTAGCTAAAGTTAGATTGCCAACCTTATTAGGAACTTGGTTATTCTGATTTCTATAATCTTTTAGTTTTTCATAAAGCTGTACATACACAGCACTACTTAGTAATTCCTTAGATGTTAAAATTCCATCAAGGCATTTTTCTACATATAAATTGAAATTCTCACTAGCTTATAGAAAGCCTGAAACATAACTTTCAACATCTAGATTTCAAGATAGTGGTTAATATATGAGTATTGCTGAAATACAAAGAATAAATTCAGTTAAGAAAGAAAATTTAAAATTTTTATTCCCCAAACAAGATTTAATCGAAATTCAGTTATAATTCCTTTTGCTTATTTATTTAATTATACATTATATATATACATATGTGTATATATATTATATAATATACATGTAAAATATATATTATATAAAATATATATATATTTTGCCTTTGCTTTTAATTAATTTAAAATTATCCACAAAATAATTATACACTGTTTGAATATACTTTTAATATTAATTTCATTGTGTGCTAGAATCTAAATTTTCTTATCTCATCAGTATCGACTTAATAATGTAGAGATATATCTAGTAAAAAAGAAAATGAGACAAGTAATATAGACTACAATACTTTCTAGTATGATACAAGATGTTTCAAAATGTTATTGATGTATTATGATTCTTTAATCATTATTCATAATTATAGCTTTGCTTCATACTGTCAGTTAGCATATAGTTATATACATCATAGGTAGAGAAAGTCATGTTCATGGTGAATTTTTCATATTGTTAGAAGAATTGGAAGCAGATTAAATACACATATTTTAAAATTTTTGGTCTTTAAATACATGAGTTCCTTGATAATCTTGTTGAATTGAACAGCTCTTTTACTTTCCCAAATAATAAACAATCCATAATACCAGAGGATTCTGTCCACTTTTTAATCCTCTGAGTAATATTGAAGTCTTTCTTTATTCATAAAAATATAGAGAGGAGTATGTTTGATATTTTTGAACACGTACACTACAGGTTTTATCTAGTTAGCAAATAAGATCATGTTCTTCGGGAAAGAGAGAGAGAGAGAAGCAGAAGAGTGGTGTGATGAGGTGAAAATTGCTATCTGACAGGGTCTGTGATTTTTGGTAGTGGGGCAGCCAGCTATCTGAGTCTGTCCTGAGAGATGCTGGGCAATATATAATCAACTTCTCTCCTTACCTTCTTACATCTTGCCAGTGCTTTTCATTGTGAAATACACCAGAAGCCAGTAGGTCAGTAACCTGTTGGTGCAGCCCAAATAGATTAGCCTCCCAGGACCTGAAGAGTTTAACTTGGATATGGATGCATAATCAGAAGATAGCCGAAAGACCAACCATAAAGAAAAAGTGCACCTCAGTATATACCATTTTTATTATATCAAATCATTTTTGTTTTGATTCTTATGAGGTTATGAATGCTGATCATTAATGTAATATTTGATAAACTGTCCAAAATGTTTTGTAAACTTTATAGACACAATTTAGTTGGATATAGACATAAATCCAGTTTACATCAATAAAGAAAAAAAGAAATCATACAAATAGCATAGTAATAACTTTTATATTCTCTAAACATACCCCTAGGCTTAGCATTAATAGGCAAACATATTAAACAAATGAAACACCCTAACATATTTTCTCTATTGTAAATAAATAATAATTCATAGAATAACCTGTTAAGAATAATGGTTGGAGTCAGGACAAGATGACTGACTAAATATAGACAAGAAGCACTGACCCAAGAAGACAGACCAAATTATCGACTAAACTATCATAATTTGAACAGATCTTTGGAGACAAAAATGCAACAGAGAGGTGACACTAAGGCCATCGTTGAAGAGGGAGGAAGCTTGGATCCCCATACAAGGTACCCAAATACTAGCGCTACTTCCAGTCCTGAATGGCTCCTGAGAAAGGGGTGCATGAAGGAACTGAGGGATATAGCTCACTCTTGCTTTATACTTCTGGGATCTAAGCTATAGGTGACCCCAAGGCATCCATGAACCTTTGAGCCGGCAAGATTTCCCCAGGGAGCAGACAGAGACAAGACTTGGGATGGCACAGAGCAACTTCAGTGGAGAGCAGCCATAGATGCCCATTCCTCAGGGATGCAGTGGAAGTGGGGCATGCATCCCTCTACAAGGCCAGTCCAGAATGGGTGTGACACATCTTTCTGCTGCAGCCTCTGCTCAATGCCCCCCCTTCCTCCCAGCAGCCTGGAACATCTAAACAAAGAAACACAAGAAACGACACAGTGCCAATGAACAGAGAGGGAACCAACATGGCCCAGGAGCAGATCTGGTGAGGGTTTCATCTCTTTATCCCCCCACAGTACACAGCATGCCTATGAATGTGAGAAAGTACAAGAGAGCGGTGTGGCTGGATATTAGTCTAGCTATTGGCCATTACTCTTAAGCACCATCTACTGCATCACAGCCCAAACCAAACCACCAAAAATTTTCCTGATGATATATACATATGGGAAGCAAAAACAAGAATTCAGCCACACAAAAATCCTATACAGAGGCCTGGCCCTCTGAAGGCATCCAGAAATGAAGTCAACTGACTATACTCAAATTATATCACAGTTAAAGAAACATCAATTCTCCAAAATGAGGAAGAATCAGTTCAAGAACTGTGGCAATTCAAAATCCCAGAGTCTCCCCATAATTCCCAATGAGTTCACTAGCTCCTCAGCAATGGTTCTTAACCACTCTGAAATGACAGAAATGACAGACACAAAATTCTGAATTTGGATGGCAATTTAGCACACTGAAATTCAGGAGAAAGTGGAAACCCCATCCAGGGAATCCAAAGAATACAGTAAAATGATCCAAGAACAGAAAGATGAAATAGCCATTTTAAGAGAACAAAACTGAACTTCTAGAGGTGAAAATTTTACTATAAGAATGTAATAATATAATTAGAAGTATTAACAGCAGAGTAGACCAAGCTTAGGGAAGAATATCAGAGTTTGACCACTGGTTTTTTGAATCAACTCAGTCAGAAAAAAATAAAGGAATTTTATAAAATTTAATAAACCCTCCAAGAAATATGATATTATGTGAAGAGACCAAGTATATGACTCATTGTCATTCCTGAGAGAGAAGGAGAGAGAATATGCAACTTGGAAAATATATTTGAGGATATAGTCCATGAAAATTTCCCTAATCTCATGAGAGAACTTGACATGTAAATCCAAGAAATGCAGAGAACCCTGGGTAGATACTATACAAGATGACCATCCCCAAGGCACATAGTATTCAGATTCACCAAAGTCAACACAAAAGGAGAAAAATCTTAAAGGCAGCTAGAGAGAAGGGTCAAGTTACATACAGAAGAAATCCCACAGTCTAGCAGCAGACATTTCAGCAGAATCCTTACAAGCCAGAAGAGACTTTCAGCATCCTTAAAGAAAAGAAATTCCAATCAAGAATTTCATATCCTGCCAAACTAAGCTTCACAAGTGAAGGAAAAATAGAATCCTTCTCCAGCAAGCAACTGCTGAGGGAATTCATTTCAACCAGGCCACAATTACAAGAGGTCTTTAAGGGACTGCTAAACATGGAATTGAAAAAAATGTCACATGCTACCACAAAAAAAAAAAAAAAGAAAAAAAAAAAACACTTAAGCGCATAGCTCACAGGCACTATAAAACAACTACTACGCAATCAAGACTACCTAACAACCAGCTAACAACATGATGACAAGATAAAAATCAACCATATCAATAGTAACTTTGAATGTAAATGGGCTAAACATCCCAATTTTGTCAATTGACACAGAATGGTCAGCTGGATACAAAGGCGGGACCCAACCACCTGTTTTCTTCAAGAGACCCATCTTCCATGTAAATGAATCACATGCTCAAAGTGAAACAATAGAGTAAGATCTGCTATGCAATCAGAAAACAAAAAAGAGCAGGAGTCACTATTATATTAGATGAAACAGACTGCAAACTAATAAAAATTTAGAAGAACATTATGTAATGATACAGGGTACAATCCAAAAAAAAAACAGAACTTAACTATCCCAAATATACATGTATAAACACCCAACTCTGGAGCACCGCCATTCATAAAACAAGTTTTTCCTGGCCCACAAAAAGATGTAGGCAACCACACAATAATAGTGTAGACTTCAACACCCCACTAACATCATTAGATAGATCATTGAGGAAGAAAACTCACAAAGAAACTGGACTTAAACTCAACACTTGACCAACTGAACTTAATATACATCTTCAGAACACTGCACCCAACAACTACAGAATATACGTTCTTCTTATCTGCACATGGAACATATTATAAGATAGACCACATGCTCAGCCATGAAGCCAGTCTCAGTAAATCTAAAAAAAAAAAAAAATTAAATCATACCAAGCACACTCTTAGACCACAGGGCAATAAAAATATAAATCAATACCAAGAAGAGCTCACAAAACTACACAAATACATGAAACTGAAACAACTTGCTCCTGTATAACTCCAGTGTGAACATTTAAATTGAGGCAAAAATCAAAAATGTATTTGAAATTATTAAAAATAGGTTCACAACCTACTAAAATGATGCAGCTAAAGCAATGTTAAGAGGATAGTTTACAGACCAAAAACCTTCATCAAAAAGTTAGAAAAGTCTCAAATTAATGATCTAACTTTGCAACTAAAGGAGCTGAAAAAAAAGACAAACCAATCCCCAAACTAGCAGAAGAAAAGGAATAACTAAAATGAGATGTGAACTCAGTGAAACTGAGATGCAAAAATCCATATAAAAGTTCAACAAAACCAAGAATTGGTTCTTCAAAAAGTTCAACAAGTTTGATAGACCACCAGCTAGATTAACATAGAAAAAAGGAGTATATCAAAATAAGTATAATCAGAAATGACAAAGATGGTATTACAACTGGTATCACAGAAATACACAGGATGCTCAGAGAACAATATGAACACATCTATGCAAACAAATTAGAAAATCTAGAGGAAATGGATAAATTCCTGGAAATATACAATCTCTCCAAACTGAATCATGAAGACACTGAAACTCTGAATAAACCAATATCAAACTCTGAAATTAAATCAATAATAAGAAAAAAAACTGCCAACCAAAAAAGCCCCAGACCAGATGGATTCGTTATGAATTATTCCAGATGTACAAAGAAGAAATTGTAACAATCCGGTGGAAAGTATTCCAAAAAAATGAAGAAGAGGGACTCCACCCTAACTTATTCTATGAGGCCATCAGCAGGCTAACAACAAAATCTAGCAGAGACATGACAAAGAAAGCGAATTTCAGGCCAATATCCCTGATGAATATAGAAGCAAAAATTCCTCAAGAAAATACTGGCAAATTGAATTCAGCAGCACATTAATTCATCATAATCAAGTAGACCTAATTCCAGGGATTCAAGGTTGAGTCAATATATGCAAAACAATAAAGATGATTGACCACCTAAACAGAATTAAAATAAAAAATCATATGATCATCTCAATAGATATAGAATAAGCTTTCGATAAATCCCAACATCTCTTCATAATAAAAACCATCAACACACTGGGCATTGAAGGAATATACCTTAAAATCATAAGAGCTATCTATGACAAACCCACAGCTCACATCACACTGAATGGGCAAAAGGTGGAGCCGTTTCCCTTAAGAAGTGGAACTCTCATCACTCTTATTCAACATAGCACTGGAAGTCCTAGTCAGAACAGCCAGGCAAGATGAATAAATAAAAGGCATCCAAACAGAAAAAGAAAAAGTCAAACTATCCTTCTTTGCTGACTGCATGATTCTGTACCTAGAAAACCCTAAAGACTCTGCCAAAAGGCTACAAGAATGGATAAATGATTTTAGCAAGATTTCAGGATACAAAAATCAATGTACAGAAATTGGTAGCATTTCTATACACCAATAATGCTCAGGTTGACAGTCAAATCAATAACAGATTCATGTTTATGATAATTACAAAAAAATGAAATACCTGGGAATACAGCTGACCAAGGAAGTGAAATATCTCTGCAAGGAGAACTACAAAACACTGGTGAAAGAAATCAGAGATGACACAAGTAAATTGAAAAACATGGATGGGAAGAATTGGTCATAAAAATAGCCATACTGCCCAAAGCCATTTACAAATTCAACACTACTCCTATCAAACTACCAATGTCATTTTTCACAGAAGTTCCAAAAACACTATTCTAAAATTCATATGGAACCAAAAAGAACCCAAATAACCACAGCAATTCTAAGTAAAAAGTACAAGGCTGAAGGCATCACAGTACCCAACTTAAAACTATACTATAAAGCTACAGTAACAGAAATAGCATGGTACTTGACACGGTATAAAAACAGACACATAAAACAATGAAACAGAGTAGAAAAATTCAGAAACATATCTGCACACCTACAACCATCTGATCTTTGATAAGGCCAACAAAAACAAAAAATGGGGAATGGACCCCCTGTTCAATAAGTGGTGCTAAGATAACTGGCAAGCCATATGGAGAAGAATGAAACTAAACCCTTACTTTTGAGCATATACAAAAATTAATTTAAGACGGATCAAAGGTTTAAACGTAAGACACCAAACTATCAAAATCCTGAAAGAAAACCTAGGAAATATCATTATCAACCTCAGCCTTAATAGAACTTTTGTCTAAATCCCCAAAAGCAATCACAACAAAACCAAAAATTGACAAGTGAGACCTAATTAAACTAAAGAGCTTCTGCACAGCAATAGAAACTATCAACAGAGTAAACAAGCAGCCTACAGAATGGGCAAAAATATTCACAAACTGTGCATCTGATAAAGGTCTAATATCCATATCCAGAACCTAGAAGGAACTTAAACAAATCAACAAGCAAAAAACAAATTACACGATTAAAAATAGTCAAAAGACACGAACAGATATTTCTCAAAAGAAGACATACAAGTGGTGAACAAACAAATGAAAAAATGCTCATCATCACTAATCAGCAGAGAAATGAAAATCAAAACCACAATTGAGATACCATCTCACACAAGTCAGAATAGCTATAATTAAAAAGTCAAAAAGCAGCAGATGCGGACAAGGCTGCAAAGAAAAGGGAATGCTTATACACTGTTGGTGAAAATGTAGACTAGTTCAGCCACCTTGGAAAGCAGTTCTCAAAGAATTTAAAACAGAACTACCCTTCAACCCAGTTATTCCATTACTGGATAAGTACACAAAGGAAAATAGATCATTGTACCAAAAAGACACGTGCACTCATTTGTTGTCATGCTTTCACAATAGAAAAGGCATGGAATCAACCTAGGTGCCCATCAATGGTGACTGAATAAAGAAATGTGGTACACATGCACTGTAGAATACTATGCAGCCATAAAAAATGAAACCATGTCCTTTGTAGCAACATGTTATGTTAATAAACATAAGTCTGGCCTATATATTCAAGTAGGTTGACTGAATTGAGAAATCATAAAGCAGTTTTGGTTTATTTGTGAAATTATTGTTCTTTTGGGGATAGATAACTGAATAATTCAAGGAAAATAATACTTCTCACGTATCCAATAAAATATTCTATTCTGTTTTGTTAAAAAGTTAATATTTGAGATATTTTGTTACTAGGGTTTCTTACAGAATTCTATTTTTAAATAGTTTAAATTTAATTTATCCATAGAAAATTAGGCAAACAAGCCTGAGGAATACATGCAATACCAGGCTTGAGTTCTCCTTAAGATATATTCATACTGCTAATTGAAAGAAGACAATTGGAAAGGGCTACATACTCTATGATTCAAATTATATGATATTCTGGAAAAGGCAAAACTATACAGACAGCTAACATATCGCTGATTACCACTGCCCTTCAGCCTTGGGAACAGAGTGAAACTCTGTCTCAAACAAACAAACACAACAAACAACAAAAAAAAAACCATGAACAGACAAGCAAACAAATAAATAAAACCATAATGGGAGTATTTCAAAAAGATACAGGAGTCAACTGAAAGTGTCCCAAATGACCATACTAGGAACAATTTGAACAATATAATAAATAAGTAGTATTAAATTCTACCCCAACATATGAAATAAATGTCCATGAGTCCATACTGATATAAGTCAATGCATGAATAATAAATGGGAGAGAAAAGACAAATCTATGCGGAATTTCAAATAATTTATTTTGATACTTTGTCCTTAAGGAGTTAGACAATAATTTCCTGCTTCTTAAGTGCGGACTGTGCAAAGTAACTTTCTTTCCAAAAGTGCAATATGGAAATGGGAAATAATAAAAGAGTACCTTTACAGCAGAGAAACCTGACGAACACTATCTCATGCCAGGTGATCAAGGCTAACATCACAGTAATAGGTCACATTGATAGAATGTACACTTAATAAGATGTGGTTAAAATGACACTGTATATCTATAGTTGTTCTCTCAAAACACATAACCTTACTCTAATCAGGGGAAAAACCTCATACAAACCTCAGTTGAGATACAGTCTTCAAAGCATCTCACTAGTTATACTCACAACTGTCAAGGTCATCAAAAGCAAGAAACACCTGAGAAACTCTTACAAGGAAACAAGCCGGAGACATGATTAATAAATGTAATGTGATAATCTGAAATGAACCCTGGAACAACAACAAAAATTAGAAAAAAATCCTGAGAAAACTGAAATAAATTATGAACTTTAGTTAATAATAATATATTAATGTGTTGATTCAATTGTGACAAATGTACTAAATTCATATAAATTTTAATAATAGAGACAACTGGGTATAGGGTATAAGGCAGTATCTTTGTGCTATCTTGATACAATAATTTTGTAAATCTAAAACTAATATAAAAATTATTTTAAAATATTACGTTTAAGTTTTGATAGGGTAACTGCTTTTCTACCCTCTTGTTCATTGGTTAGTTTGTTATTTTGTATAGTTTTTTGGTTATTTGCCTCAAGTGTCTGGTAATCATTGTTGGTTTGCTATTATACATGCATAACAAAATTACACAATGTGGATATGGGAACAAAAGTTTCTTGATAATTTTATAAGTGACTTTCCATGACCCCGATCCCTCCATAAAAAGATGTGAATGTAGGGATGTAAGGTTCTGCACAGGGGTGAGCAAGGTGTTCTGATTAACACACTTTTCATTAAGAAGCATATGTAGATAACAGGAAGATGAATGCCCTTAAATAGTTTAACTCAAATGCACTTTTTAAATTGCACTTTAATTTTGAAAATCAGACCTTTCCCCAGGCTTGGTTATAGTTCTTTCTCTTATATATATATATTTTTTTATTATACTTTAAGTTCTAGGGTACATGTGCACAACATGAAGGTTTGTTACATATGTATACATGTGCCATGTTGGTGTGCTGCACCCACTAACTGAGAGAAGAAGGCTTCAGACGATCAAACTTCTCCGGGTTATAGTTCTTTCTTAATGTCTATATTATTCCTCCTGCTATTGCCCAACACCTCTTCCTTCCTCTGCATTGCTTGTTTTAATTGGCGATCTGAGTTTGAAGAATAGGCATAGGCTACTCCCTGTTTTTCAGGCAGTCCAATTCTTTTCCAGAATATCATATAATTTGAATCATAGAGTATGTAGCCCTTTCCAATTGTCTTCTTTCAATTAGCAATATGAATATATCTTAAGGAGAACTCAAGCCTGGTATTGTATGTGTTCCTCAGGCTTGTTCTGCCTAATTTTCTATGGATAAATTAAATTTAAACTATTTATTTAAAAATAGAATTCTGTAAGAAACCCTACTAACAAAATATCTCTTAAGGCTGACTCTGTTCAACAGCTTCTTAACATCCTTTGGGCATCTCCTGGCAAGAAGCACTCTCTCCTCTGTGCTGGCCAATTTTGGTTATATTAATGGTTTCATTTGTCCTAATATCTTTTTCAATAAAGTGTTGTGTCTTTGCTATTTTACAGAAGTTCTTTAAATTTTCTCATCTACCAGTGGCATAATTACTTATTTTATTTTTTGGTGTTGTGTTACTAACTTAAATTTTTTTTTCATTCATGAGATTCTTGAAGGTGGTCAGGTAAACATGATGGTTCTGGTCAAGTTTTAAATGAGAAACTTCTATGAGAGTCACTTGTGAAATTGTTTGAAATATCATTTCCTTCTGTCTATTGTAATATGATCTCTAAGTAAAATTTCAATAAATATGATTTAGAATGAGATCTGTCACTCTGTTATATAACGCTGAGGAACAGAAGCTGCTTATGGAACAAATTGGTATAGCTTGCAACAAAACAAAACAAAATAAAAACAAATATTTTCATCTCAACTTAAGCATTATGTTAAATAGCAAAAGAATGCCATCAAGAAGTGCACATAAATAAAGTATAAATATAAAAAGCATTGGCATTGTTTTATTCTTCGAGACCATTTACTTACTTTTCTCCATTTATGTGGCCTCTAGAAAATCTCCAACATACATACAACCTTTTCACAAAAATGAGAACATTTGGTTGGATGTTGTGGGACTCAAATTAACAACTTAAATATATATATGTGTATATATGTATATATGTGTGTATACATACACATATATATGTATACACACACACATATATACACACACACAAACATATATATATACACACACACACAACTGAGGATGAGAATGAGATCAGAAAACATCCTCCCTTCTGTCTTTTTTAATCTTATTTTGTTTGTTGTTGTTTGTTGTTTTTGTTTTTTGAGGTTAAATTTTTTTCAGCTTTATTGAGGTATAATTGATAAATAAAATTGTACATATTTAAAGTGAACAATATGATAATTTTATATACACATACATTGTGAAATGATTGGCACAATCAGGTGAACTCATCTGTCACCCACCAAGGGCAAGGTCAAGTCTATTCATCATTCACTAAGCTATTCTGTGCTCAAATTTAGGTAAGCTACCTTCTTTGAGCAATATGTGTACTATACATTAGAGGGAAAGTATTTCATTGCTCTTCCAGTATTGCTTTAAATTATTTTCACTGTAGTATTTCTTGATTATAAAGAAATATAAAACTGAGGTTAATTTACTTAATATTAACACAAATTAATAAACCTAAAAATTTAAAATAACATCAATTTAACATGACTGAGGCTTTTAAACATGACTTTTCTCTATGCAAAGCACTGTAAAATCAAAATACTTGTTAAGTGAAATGTGACACTTTTTGGCCTTACTCATTTAAAATATATTGTTTACCTTAAAATATCACCTCTGTTCTTTTATCATCTATACTGGCATTAATATTTTACCATGTATACTAAGATGATAATAAAACCAATATAACTGTAAAGGAAAAAATAACAACAGAAATTTGTTTGTAGCACTTGATTTAAATTGGTCATTTAAATGACTCAAAAATGTTGACATGAATTTTTTGTACGATTATCAAAAGTAAAACAACTTATGTTACACACATATACACTCACACACATATATCTATATGTGTATATGTGTTTATGTTTGTATTTTTTTCTTCAAATATAACTTGTAAAATATGGGAAACCTTCCCTATCTTCTTCTCGAAGTCATCGGAGGATTGGAGAATGGAAAAATCAAAAATACCTTCTCAGGACCCTATCCTGTGTAACTGACAAAGTATACAATATTCTAACAGAGTTTTTCTATGAGTAATTATTTATTAGCAGTTGAATATATGGTGATGAAGTGAAAAGAATGATAAAATAATAATCTACAAAATATTTACCAATGACAAAGAAGTCACTAGGCATGGTTTTATATGTTGGTAATATCTAAGATATGACTCACATCAAAAATCTATCAGAATTACTTCTGTTGCTTGAAGGATGTTGAGTTATTATACCGAATGTCAAAGATCATTCATTTTATCTTTAGCTAAATATTGTCAATTAAATGTACCTCACCAGCCAAAAAGCTTGATTGGTTTGAGTTTCAGATGTGTACTGGGACAGAATTAATTTTATGTCATCCAATGCTATCTATAGTGATAGAATTAGGGGCAATTACATTTTCTTAATGAGATTCTTCCTAAGAGAGCTGAGCAGAATGCTTGTGATGAGAAACAAACTAGGAGATTTACCATGAATACATATTTTTGTAAATAGCCCTGGGGAAAATTTAATTCCTTCAAAAGTGTAAAATTAAAATAAACAAACAAAATTTTGCTTAGAAGTATCTCTTCTCTGCAATTCATTCTTAAATATTACATCAATTTTAATACAATAAATCAATAAAAATAATTGGGCTGATTTTCTCTTATATTAATTGGTTACTAAGCATACATTGTGATGACAATTATACATTTCTGTTTCATGTTAACCCAGATAATTGTGATTGGTTTAAAACTATTCATATGCATTAGTATATTATATGTATTGCTTAAGTACATATTATTTGTTTATATTTAATTATTAGTAGTCTAGCTTTGAACTCTTCATACCATTTGAAAATTTCAATAAAATGCCTTGATAAATCATAGAATACTCAAAATCATAACTGAAATCTTAGGTTAATGCTATCAAACACTGATTTATTTGTGATCAAATGGACTGTCTAGATTATATAAGTTAGCTTCTCAAAATACTATAATTTAGCATATTAAATTTAAATATATACAATTTACATTAGAGATAGAACAGTCATAGATAGATGATAGGTAGACAATGAAAAAAACCAAAGATAGTTATATGACTCTGAATATGACAATGTATGCAAGTACAGAAAGATAGGTGTGAAGAGTAACAGCAGAATATAAGGATCAATTAGTACCTGCAGCTACAGTAGAAAAAGAAAAAAAATGTCCATCAGAATCTGAGCTCAAGTAAATGCAGATATGTGAGAATGCACGGTAATTGGCAGATCAGAATTATTCTGTGTGTCAACGTTGAATCTTCAATCCATTTCAGTCTGTTTTCCATCTTCTCCCTTCCTTGAAATTTGTTATCAACATGCCATCAATGGCTTCCATATTGCAAAACTCAGCGGCATTTAAAATATTATCCACTCTTCTCTTGGTAAAAGTCATGCTTACATTTCAAGTCCAACTGAAGTAATTTTTTTCTAATGGTCCTGAATCTTCAAAATTTATTTGCAGCATATTAAATTAAAGACTCCTTTTTGCTTTAAACATGCTGTTTATGCAGGTATATAAAAATATATCATTTAATTAGTGTAACCTCAACTTTGTGTGTAAAAAAAAAGTGAAATTAAGTAATAGAAGATATCTAAATTGATTTTTTAGTCTTAAAAATGTTAGTTTTGTTGGAAGATGCTTTAAGAGAATAGTTGTCTTTAAGAATTTTCAGCACCAGCAACACTACAAGTTATGGATGTAAGCATGACCCTACTCACTGTCTGCCTATCTGTGTTTATGTTGAATAACTTAAAATATCTTGTCAGAAGGCTCAAAGAATATACCCAATAATTAAATAGCTTACACCTTTGTGTTTTAATTATTTTCTTCAAGTATTTAATTATCTTTATGATCTTGTTTGTTATTTTTATTCTTTTTCCTACTTTTTTAACTCAATCCCTCATCTTAGTTTAATTACTATTTTCACAAGCTAGTATCACAAACAAATATATTATTTGTCTTCCAACTGCACATGACTCTAGTGGTAATACCTTCACTCTAAAAATATTAATACATTGCTAAATAATTCTTTTTCTATGACACTAGCAAAAGTGAATCTATTTTTGCATAATCTCTTCCAAATATTATACATACATATTCATCTATTTGTCCAGGAAAAAAGCATGCAGTATCTACTATATGCCAAATTATTTTTAGCCACTGGAGCTATGGTTATATATGAACTAGATATTAATCTAATATCACGATAATGTTCTTTCCATTTTAGATCATGTATTCTAGTGGGAAAAGACAACAAAATATGTAAAAAAAACATATCAACATTCTAACTTCAGAGAGTAAATAAGTGCTCTTAAGAAACTTACTGATATAATAGAGTGACTTGATGAGTAGAATACCATCTAATGAGTGGCCAGAGAAAGACTGAAAATACTGCATGTGAGCCAAAGGATAAAATGTCCTGTGAAAGCCCAAATTTAATCAGTGGCTAAGTCATTGGTATCATGTAGCTTATAAAAAGGTGCTTACATTTTTCTTCATTTAGGAGACTTTATATCACAAAAGAAAAAAACATATTTTGATATGGTCCTTTTTAATACTATGGAAGAACAGACTGCAAAAGTACAGAAAGGAAGGCAGAGAATCTAATTAGGTGGCTATTACCCTAATACATGCAACTTAAATCAATAAGATGGCAGCGTGAGATGGAAGGAAGATGGGCTTCAGTTATACTTTGAGAGAACTGAAAGACTTGTGGTTACATAAGACAGAGCAGTTTAGTGAAAAGAAAAAAAAAAGAATGAAAATCCCTTGAGTTTTTTCTTCAGCATTTGTATTGATGGTGGAGCCATTTACTAAAATAAGAAGAATATGGGAAGAAGCATTTTTGAGGGATGGGCAATCAACAGTTTACTGTGATGCATGCCAGTATAAAAAACAATTGGAGATATTCAGAAAGTAGCTAGAAAAAACGATTTTGAAACACACGGCAGATGGCCTTATTAGATAGATATTTTGAAGACACATGCAAATTGCTTATTCTAAAATCACTGGTTGTATGCAAGTGGATTTAGATATGTATTCTGGGGCACCCTGACAGTAAGCTTTAGTTAGGAGATAGAGAATCCAGCAAAGAGGATTCATACGTGGTCACTGAGTAAAATAAAAAAGAAATAAGACACAATGCTGTCATGTCGACATGTCATATCAAGAAAGAAATATGTTTCAAGAGAGGAAATGCTAAATGAGGCAAGTGATACTAAGATTAAGGAGTATACCAAAAGAAAAACACAGAATTTGATATTAATGGCCCTGACAGGATTAATTTCATTGGAATGCTTGACAGGAAAGTAAATTGAGGCTAAATTAATATCACAAACAAGTCAAGGGAATGGCAACAAAGTTTCATCAGTCCTTCAAAATGCATAATTTGAAGGGAAATCCTATCATTTGTGACAACACGGATAAATCTGGAGTACATTATGTTAAGTGAAACAAGCCAGGCACAGAAAGAAAAATGCTGACTGATCTCACTTATATGTGGAATCTAAAAAAGCTGAATTCATACAAGAAAGAAGAATGGTGGCTACCAAGGGTTAAGAGGGGTGGAGTTGGGGAAACCGCTGGTAAAAGAATACAAAATTTCACTTAGGAGGAGAAAATTCATGACCTATTGTACAACATGGTGACTAAAATTAATAACAATGTACTATATTCTTAGAAACTGTTGAGTGTATTTTATGCTCTTACCACAAAAAAAGATAAGTATGTGAGATAATGCATACATTAAATAGCTCAGTTTAGTCATTCCACAATGTATATATATTTAAAATATATATACCATTGATACATACATACAATTTTTCTCAATTAAAAGTAAAGGTAAAAATATATAACTTAAGGAAATTTATTTTGGTAAATGCAGATGTTATGGTCATAACTTATTAGCACAGAAATTAATGATTCCACAGTAAAAATAAAATAATTGTAGGAGCAAAGCTCTTAAGTGAGTTAGGGCATATCTGAACTAAAACATGAACATAGGTTTGGAGTGGTAGGTTTAACTTATTTTAGAAGAAGAAAGGTTTAGGTTACTGTAGCCTTGTAGTATAGTTTGAAGTCAGGTAGCGTGACGCCTCCAGCTTTCTTCTTTTGGCTTAGGATTGACTTGGCAATGCGGGCTCTTTTTTGGTTCCATATGAACTTTAAAGTAGTTTTTTCCAATTCTGTGAAGAAAGTCATTGGTAGCTTGATGGGGATGGCATTGAATCTATAAATTACCTTGGGCAGTATGGCCATTTTCACGACATTGATTCTTCCTATCCATGAGCACAGAATGTTCTTCCATTTGTTTGTATCGTCTTTTATTTCATTGAGCACTGGTTTGTAGTTCTCCTTGAAGAGGTGCTTCACATCCCTTCTAAGTTGCATTCCTAGGTATTTTATTCTCTTTGAAGCAATTGTGAATGTCATGATTTGACTCTCTGTTTGTCTGTTACTGGTGTATAAGAATGCTTGTGACTTTTGCACATCAATTTTGTATCCTGAGACTTTGCTGAAGTTGCTTATCAGCTTAAGGAGATTTTGAGCTGAGATGACAGTAACCAAAACAGAGTATGCAAGTACTGGTAGCAAAACAGAGATATAGACCAATGGAACAGAACAGAGCCCTCAGAAATAATGCCACATATCTACAACTATCTGACTTTGAAAAACGTGACAAAAACCAGCAATGGGGAAAGGTTCCCTATTTAATAAATGGTGCTGTGAAAACTGGCTAGCCATATGTAGAAAGCTGAAACTGGATCCCTTCCTTACACCTTATACAAAAATTAATTCAAGATGCATTAAAGACTTACATGTTAGACCTAAAACCATAAAAACCCTAGAAGAAAACCTAGGCAATACCATTCAGGACAGAGGCATGGGCAAGGACTTCATGTCTAAAACACCAAAAGCAATGGCAACAAAAGCCAAAATTGACAAATGGGATCTAATTAAACTAAGGAGCTTCTGCACAGCAAAAGAAACTACCATCAGAGTGAACAGGCAACCTACAGAATGGGAGAAAATTTTTGCAATCTACTCATCTGACAAAGGGCTAATATCCAGAATCTACAATGAACTCAAACAAATTTACAAGAAAAAAACAAACAACCCCATCAACAAGTGGGCGAAGGATATGAACAGACTCTTCTCAAAAGAAGACATTTATGCAGCCAAAAAACACATGAAAAAATGCTCATCATCACTGGCCATCAGAGAAATGCAAATGAAAACTACAATGAGATACCATCTCACACCAGTTAGAATGGCAATCATTAAAAAGTCAGGAACCAACAGGTGCTGGAGAGGATGTGGAGATATAGGAACACTTTTACACTGTTGGTGGGACTGTAAACTAGTTCAACCATTGTGGAAGTCAGTGAGGCGACTCCTCAGGGATCTAGAACTAGAAATACCATTTGACCGAGCCATCCCATTACTGGGTATATACCCAAAGGATTATAAATCATGCAGCTATAAAGACACATGCACACATATGTTTACTGCGGCACTATTCACAATAGCAAAGACTTGGAACCAGCCCAAATGTCCATCAATGATAGACTGGATTAAGAAAATGTGGCACATATACACCATGGAATACTATGCAGCCATAAAAAATGATGAGTTCATGTCCTTTCTAGGGACATGGATGAAGCTAGAAACCATCATTCTCAGCAAACTATTGCAAGGACAAAAAAACCAAACACTGCATGATCTCATTCATAGGTGGGAATTGAAAAATGAGAACATATGGACACAGGAAGGGGAACATCACACACTGGGGCCTGTTGTGGGGTGGGGAATGGGGGAGGGATAGCATTAGGAGATATACCTAATGTAAATGATGGGTTAGTGGGTATAGCACACCAACATGGCACACGTATACATATGTAACAAACCTGCACATGTACCCTAAAACTTAAAGTATAATAAAAAAAAGAAAGGTGTTTATTCATTGTAATATAAACAAGGAAGATTACACAACTAAAAAGAAAAGAAGTTTTGTAGATTTGACATTATGTAGTACAAAGAATTTCTGCCTGATTGCTTCCATTTCATTAAGACTCAATATATGTAAAGCTCTTAGAATAGTATCTGGCCCTGAGAAGGTGCAACATAATTGTTAGTTATTAATATTTCTCAATGAAGTATGAAGCAAAGTCATCAGCTGAAAATAATGAGAGGGTGGAACAGTGTGAGAAAAAAACAACATAATCATAGTTTGGAAACAATATTTCTTTACTTCTGGAGGTTTTCTTTTTCTTGTAAAGAATGTTATTTTATGTGACTCCATTGGTGCTTCTCTGATCCTATACTCATTCTGCCCTTGAGAGGCACAGAATCATAGCTTACTTGCAAATTTTGAAGTAAATCACTGGACATGTATAGCTTAATTATGCTGGGGTTTCTTCTAGGCAGTGACCTCTTTGAATTTAGCAGGAAATCTCCTAATATAACTAGGGTAAGTTAACTTATATGGGCTAAGCTGTTTTAAACTTGAGATCTGCCCTGGTCCATCACTACTGTGCTAATATGTCTATATCTGCCCTACACTGGAATTTATTATGAGTAGGCTTTTGGTTTGTAAATATTAAGCTATGTCCTCCAACTTAGATTTCATCATGAACAAAGATGATGGGTTAGCTTTCATCTATTATTCCTTTGTCTTGTTGGTCACTTAGTTTAGAACCGAATCAAGGAACAAAGGAAATATTTAATTATTCTCCTTAGAGACTCCTATTATCCTCCTAAAGATTACTGATTATGTAGTCTTTGGCAAGTTAATTAATACATATTTAAATCAATTTCCACATCAATTAAATATGGATAATAAGAGAACTGATCTCATGAGGTGGTTTGGGGCACTTATAATAATGATTAAAAGTCTGCTTTCAAGTTAGTAAATGCTTTATAAATGTGAACTGTCTTTTGGAATGTAAATCAAAAATAAGAATAGCAGCTAACTGAGTGAAACCAAGGACCAAGGGCAGAAAATAATAACAAAGGAAACAGATCAAGGAAGAAGAAAAGTACATTATATATACTTACAGAATCTCAATTAGTTCATTGACATTTTTAGGCTCAATTGGGAAGTATTTCCTCAAGTGGCACATAAAAATTTAAAAGCTGTTCTCTACTTCATTTCCCAAGTTGTTTATAAGGATGATGACAAGTTAAATGTGAAAATACTATAAATACTTAGATTTTCAATCAAAGTTGGCAAGTTAACACCATCAAAATGACAAGATGATCTGCCAGGGTCCAAGTTGGACTCTATTGTGTTATTTGTTAAGCTTAGTGTTAAAAGTTCATTGATGCAAACATTCATTCAAATTTGTAGAAGTCTTTGACTTGTTTGCTAAGGGAGAAAGATTTAATTATGACAATGCCTATCACAATGTTTGAATGGTTCGAGAGTCATCAAAAGCACATTAAGTGCATTGGTTTTGGTTTTAAAATTTTTATCCTCACCTCCTCTCCCCTTGAAAAAAAACAAAAGTAGAGATAAGAGAAGATGGTATTTCAAGTAGAGGGAAAAATTACGCAAAATAATGAAGATAAAAGTAATGCAAATTATTTAAAATATAGAATTGAACATATGGGGCAGTGTCAACAGGTCAAAGTAAGTAAGCTTGAGGTTTAGTCCACAAAAGGAGTATGAATTTCATTCTTAAGGTGATGGAGGAAACAAAGTAAGATGTTAAATAGAGAGTGGTTGAAAGGTTTGTTTTCAGAAAGATGTTTAGTTGATTTTATTCTTTATTTTTGCCAGAATAGAATGAAAGCCCATAAGACTAAAGTAAAGGCAGGGGGGCCTACAAGAGGTTATTAGCATAAGTCAGATGAGGCTGGAATGGAGCCTTATTGTAGTAAGTTGTCTTATTCTTCAATCTAGGAAAATAACACATTCCTACTCATTGCCATGTGACTGGAAGTGATTCCCTGTAAGAGAAGTATACTTCCCTAGGTGGCTTACTGGGTTGGCCCTATTACTTGCTTGGACCTGTAACGTGTGAACGGTGTAACAGTGTGTTACTTCTGTGAACCCTTTAAGTGTCATTAGATATATCCTCCCTTCATCTTCTCATTTCCTTCAGTAACGAAAACAGCATGTCCCAAAGAAAGACTGATTCTTCCCTAAGTACCAAATGTGAAAACATGCAACAAAGATGCAGGCATCCACTAGCAGCTGCAGACATCTAACATGACAGAAAAAGAAATGCTTACTGTTGGAGGCCACTGAGATTTTTGATTACTTGTTACCTCCATAGTATATTGAGAAAATACACTTAAAGCTGCAGCAATAGGGGTGAAGAAAACCTGGATTAAAAGGCATATAAGCAGATGATTGACAGGAATAAATAAGAAAAATGAAAGATGATTCTCAATCATCCATGTGAGTAACTAACCACTATTAAAGTGCAGGCACTATACTCATTTTATTCTCAAAACATTGTTGTAATACAAATATTGTATTTACTCCACTTACAGGTAAAATAATTTACACTCAGTCAGTCTGTCATAGGTCAAACAAGTAGTTAGCAGGAAAAAAAGGAAGGCAATATGATACTCCATTATTAATGAAAGAGGAGGAACAAGTTTGTGCGTAATAATGAATAGTAGATAACACTAAATGAAATTTTCTCAGTTGCAGTAGCTGGATCCTCACTTTAAGCATACTCAATTGATTCATGCTGATATGGTTTGGTTCTGTGTCCCCACTCAAACGTCATCTCAAATTGTAATCTCCATGTGTCAAAGGAGGAACCTGTAATTCCCACATGTCGAGCAAGGGAGGCGATTGGTTCATGGAGGTGGTTTCCCCCATGCTATTCTCATGACAGTGAGTTCTCACAAGATCCAGTGGTTTTATAAGGGGCTCTTCTCCCTTCGCTCTCTTCTCTCTCTCCTGCCACCATATGAGGAAGATCTTTGCTTCCCCTTTCTGCCGTGATTTGTTTCCTGAGGTGCCGAGACCAGCTCGGTCGGGGAGACCCTAACCCAGCGGCGATAGCGGAATTAAAGACACACAAACAGAAATATAGAGGTGTGAAGTGGGAAATCAGGGGTCTCACAGCCTTCAGAGCTGAGAGCCCTGAACAGAGATTTACCCACATATTTATTAACAGCAAACCAGTCATTAGCATTGTTTCTATAGATGTTAAATTAACTAAAAGTATCCCTTATGGGAAACGAAGGGATGGGCCGAATTAATTGCAGCAGGAACACGCCCTTAAGACACAGATCGCTCATGTTTTGTTTGTGGCTTAAGAATGCCTTTAAGCGGTTTTCTGTCCTGGGCGGGTCAGGTGTTCCTTGCCCTCATTCCGTTAAACCCACAACCTTCCAGCTTGGGCGTTAGGGCCATTATGGACATGTTACAGTGCTGCAGAGATTTTATTTATGGCCAGTTTTGGGGCCAGTTTATGGCCGGATTTTGGGGGGCTTGCTCCCAACACTGAGGTCACATCAGCCATGCAGAACTGTGAGTCACTTAAATCTCTTTCCTTTATAAATTACTCACTCAGTCTCGGGTTTGTCTTTATAGCATTGTGAAAATGAACTAATACACATGCCTTTGGTACATCCAAGGATTTACTCAAACTATAGCCACTGCTACAACCAATAGCCCAACATTTAAAGTTGCTGTTTCTCCTTCTACATATCTTGGATCAAATTTATTTTTCTTGGTTTAATTATGTTTCCACTAATTGTTTAGAATATGGTTATTAGCAATTTAGAGATAATGATCACAGAGGAAGATATCTAAACTAAAACCTGTTGAAGATAATTTTATTGGCTCTATTTAGACCTGATGTTTATCTCCTGAACTAATTACTGTGGACTGAGGAATAACTGACAAGACCTGCACAGCTAGGGGATGTGCAAAATAATGAGATAGAGCATGCCTTAAGAACTAGTTAAAGTTATGAAAGGTTACTATGAAAAGCAAGCAGGAATTAGGAAAGATAAAGTACAAAAGGTGTCACTGTAGACAATCGTTGCTTGCAAATTATTGTGAACCTTATGTGGTATATCCAGTGACAAATATATTGTTGGGGCTCAGAAGAAAGCCCTGGATTCAAGCTATAGGTTTTTAAATTATGGGCAGATAGATGGCAATTAAAGACTTAAGTCTTTCTGTACTATTTTTATCATTTTTTCAGTAAATTTTAGACTTCTTTGATCTTCCAACTTATATTTCTGTAGTAATTATAATTTAAAAATTAATTTGAAGAAATAATCAGTAATTAAGAAATGATACTGATTTCAATTCCTTTGGATATGTACTCACAGTGGCATTTCTGGATCATATGGTAATTATCTTATTATTTTGTTGTGGAACCTCCATCAAATGTGTGTGTGTGTGTGTGTGTGTGTGTGTGTGTGTATGTGTGTACCTACATCAAAGAAAATGTGTAAATATTACACATTTAAAGTATTTCCCTTATTATTTTCATTAAATTGAACGTATCTGGATCTTTGCTCAAATGCTGTTTTTAGCTATTGTGAGGAAAAAAAAAAAAACTAAGAATAACCACCCACCTTTCATGGAATTCAGATCCTTAGTATGCATTTAAAAAAAATAGAAAAAACTGAAGTTTTACACCCAAACTACTTGACAAATGCCTTAACTGTGAGGTCTAGTACCATAAATGTTTGTTTCTTTTGAACCTAAATGACAAGGAGTGCCTTAGTATAATAACTGTATGCTGTTTTAAAGCAAAGTGATACTGTCTTGAAACATTTATACAGCATTAGAATTAGCACAAGTGAAGTTTCTTATACCAGGCTGGCATATGGCAGAAAAGAAAGGATTTAGTACTGTAAATACACTAAACAATATAAGTGTTCTAGAAAAGGCACATTTTAATAAATAGAATGTATTAGGTTCTGTGCAAAAGTAATTGCGGTTTTTGCCATTTAAAGTAATGGCAAAAACGGTAATTGCTTGTGCAGCAACCAAAATAGTATCTGTATACCAAATAGTATCTGTCAAGTTAGCAATTATTCTAAACTTTCTGAATGAATTCTAACAAAAATTCATTTTCCAAGAACCCTGTGAACAAATAATGTAAATATTAACTCAAAGTTGATAGAAGAATTTGCTCCAAAAGCTCTTTCAACATGAAACTTCCCTTGGAGTTTTGCAGAGCATACATGTGCAATGCCATGGCTTCTCTACTTACAATAAATACTCTCTTCATTCCTGCCAAGTCTCATTAATGTGCTTATATATCTAGCTTTCTTTCTTTACATATGCGCTTTTATTTCTGTTTACATCTCCTTTTAATTGTCTCCTGTAGCCATTCTTTCTAGAACCATCAATTTAAAATAACTAATATAAAAGATGATAAAAACATTAACAAGAACAAATTTATTGGCTTAAAGTATATAGCCATTATACATAGACTATTAGGTAACAATTATTATATACATTTGCAAAATCAATTATTTTCACAGAGTAGCATCTTTATTAATATTTTATCTGACAATTTGGTGAAATATATACTATCCTAACAATAATTATTTCTTGTTATTGTAGCATTTGCCTTTTAGTTTTTGTTATTATTAAAGGTTCAAGAGGAGACTGAGGAAAACTTGAAATTGTCATATTATTCACTAATATGAAACTTTAAAGAAAAGAATTGCATTATAAAACTTGGTAGCAGAGTGTTGAATTAGGAAAAAAAAAAAAGGTTTTGTGATATGACAGCCCACCCTGGAGAAGAGTAAGCATTTTAGGAAGACCTTTTTTCCATACTGAGATATAAACAGGCTAACAAATGTTGAATATGTAACATAAATATTTCAAGTATCTTAATTTTATTTTTCAAACAAATGTAATTCATGAATATCAGTCCCCATCAATTATTCCAGCTACAGGAACCTTAGGGTTTTTTAAAATTATTCTTTGCTTTCTAGATCTTCTTTATTATTTTCTAGTGTCTTATATGCTACAGTGTTTTGAACAGGATGCATAATACTGAGACCAACAGAAACACTACTTATCTGTAAATATCATTAGCATTGCTTTTCTCTTTTTTCTTTTTTCTTTTCTTTTTTTTTTTTTTTTTTTTTTTGAGACAGGGTCTCCCTCTTGTGACCCTGGAGTGCAAATGTACAGTGGTATGATCCTAGTAGCTCAACCTCAGCCTCCTGAGTAGCTAGGACTACATGTGTGCACCACCACATCCAGATAATACAATATGTATTTTTTTTTGTAGAGACAGGATATTGCTACGTTACCCAGGCTGGTCTGAAACTCCTGTCCTTAAGCGATCCTCCCATCTCAGCTTTTCTAAGGACTGAGATTAAAGGCAAGAGCCACTGTGCCTGGCTGATAATTATTTCTTAATAATTAAAACTCAGATTAAAACAGAATAACATTATTGAGAAGGTAATGAAAATATTACAAAACATCTAATTTTGATTATGCTATAAATCAATTATATTATGCCCCAATAAAAAGCTATAGGAAATAATACAAAAGATTATAAACTGTTTAGGAAACAATAGCTATTAGTTTAATATGTTACAGCCTAATGGCCTATAAGAAAATATACCTATGCAGATGCTCTATTTGACATTGATCTGCTTTAATATTTCCCTCTTCAAACAAAATTTATGCAGGGAGAAAGTCCAGATAAAGTTAGTTAAGTTCAGTTGTAGGATTAGATATAACTAGGCCTGACTGCTAAATTGGTACATCGCTCCAAGAAAATTGATATGATTAGTAAATGACTCACTTCAGGAAATAAGAATCTAGGCCCTATGAGTAAATCAGTAATTTAGGAACAAGGATTCTGGGAGAAATGAGTATGTAAACAAAACTTCAAATAAATCATCAAAGCAAAACAACTCTTAGCCACAAAGTACATTATGTTGGTACTGCCTAAGGAGAAAAAAAAGAGATACATTCCCTCTTATGTCACTGAAAACCAGCATTCAATATGGCCACTTCAATGCAATTGCTGTCAATGGACACTAAAATAACAGTAGAGACCAGGGAAAGACTTAATTGTCCATTAAGAGACAACAGTGGAGTTTCTATTCCGGATGGAGGAGTGTATTGTCAGGGGAACAAAAGAGAAAGGGAAGAGTAGGATATTAAAGGGAGAAGAAACGATGGGGAGGGGAAGAAAGAGAGAGAAAGAGAGAGAGAGAGAGAAAGAGAAAGAGAGGGAGAGACAGGAAGAGAGGGAGAGAATAGTCTAGAAAGGAATAACAATGATGTTTAACAAACGACTGTTGCACCTGCCAACAGGAACCACACCTGTGGCAAGAGTCCCAATAACAGATAATAAAGAAGCAAAATACCTCAATGAGTTACACAGGAGAATAGCAGAAATACCTAGTAAAAAAGACATTTATTTTTTCTTTTCGGTGTGCACAAGTTCACCTGGGCATTCCTAGATTTTTTTTTTTTTTTTTTTTTTTTATGGCTGGGGTAGAGTTGTGGTGAATTTAGTGGAAACCATAGATTTTATATCAGCATGTTTTGGCTACAGTGAATTTGAGTGATTAAAATTACTCATATTCAAATTGTACACATAGGTGCAAACAGGTTCAGTGTGAGCTGCTTACCAACTTGTCTGAGTTCAGTGAAACAGAACACCTACATACAAGTTACAGGAAACAGATTCATTACTTACAGATGGGCATCAAGGGATACAAGAGGCCTAGGATTTGTGAACAGTTGGTCTCCATGACTCAGAAAAGCCACTCAGGAGAGGAACAGAGCCCCACATGTGCCCCACTTGCACAGCAGCTGAGGGACCCTGGAAACCAGCTGCTCTGGGTTTTATAACCTGGAAAACTTTCCCACTAGGCTAAAGCATTGAAGGACATCCTGTTTCTAGGAGGAAATAGAATAGTTCCAGCCAGTCTCTCCTTGTCTCAGGATGTTGCATTCCCACCACAATCTACAGTTATTCTTGAGAACTACAAAGCAAGAAAGAGGAAAAAACTGGGTTGGTCTAAGGCCACACAGAGAATTTTCCCATGACGGGAAATAAAGTTCTGAGAAGCATGAATTATACTTCATTCCTGAAGAAAAATAATACGCATTCTCTATCATTGAATATGGAATTGGGGCTCTGTGAAATAGGAGAATTGGCATAAACTAAGATTATTTATAAAAGCTCCAAAATGATTGTCTTAAAAAGGACCTAAATGATTGTGGTAATAGTTGGTCTATAGGCAGTTGTCAGCAAAGACCCCAAATAGCATTTTCTCTAATAGTGTACTGAACAAAATACAAATTTATGGTCACAATAGTTTCTTGTATTATTCTGGTTCTATATTTATGTATTACCCAGAAAAGCTCATTTACAAAGATAGTCATATTTTTGGCATAGAAAGTATGTATGAGTTTCATAAGATACTTTGAAATGGCTCCAAGTTGGCTAAAAAGCATCCCAAATTATAAATTATTCTCTCATGCATTTTGAGTTAAAATTACAAAAAAAAAGTAAAAATAACATATGGTGAAATGACTTGCTTTCACAATTAAGCGAAAATGCTATGCTTCATTCTAAATCCATCCATAAAATTATAAGATACTTGCAAGCAATACACATATTTTTTTCATCTTTGTGTTGCTCACAACGCCTAGCATGGTAACTTACTTGAATTAGAGGTTCCTTAAATGTGAGTAAGTTCTTTTTGCTGTCATTGATTTATGTCTTTCTCTCTCTCCATATATATATATGAACATAAGACACTATCAGAGACTTATATATATATATGCAGAAACATATATATCCAGATATTCATATACATATATGTGTATGTATATATAATCATCACACATGTTTATATAATCACCACACATATGTGTATATATATCTCCACACATATATGTATATGAGATATATTACATATATATGTCTATATGTATATATACACACATATGTATAATTACATATATATGCATAATTACATATAGACATATATATGTAACATGTGTATGTATATACATACACATATATGTGTATATATCTCTCTCCACACATGTATATGTATATGTGTATGTATATGTGTGTGTGTATATATATGTGTGTGTGTATAGCCAAAATGCAAATAATATAGAGACCAGAAAGGTGTGGCTTATAATCTATATATTTAAAAATTAAAAATTAAAAAAAACAACTGAGTGAAAAAAATTCTAAAATAACATGAACATTAGCATTGAGACTCAAATGATTTGAATGATTACAAAGCTACAGGTCTGTATCCTGTGTTTTCTTGTCTTCACAAAACATTCATCTGTGATTTTCTTGATAAACCAAGTGCTACATTGTTAAGAAAATAAATGATAAAAGACTGCGATGCTTTCTTATGTTCAAATCAATAATTCCCAAGAAGTGCACCACTGAAAACTAAAGCATCTGGAGCTACTTTTGTATATAGGCTAAAGAAAGGATATACATAGAGGCAAATGTAGAACCCAAGAGAATAGGGATCACTTATTTCCAGTGTTACAGTAAATCAAACTATGTGGGCCAAGCCACTCCCCACAGAGTGTGTTTTAATTGGAATCATGTTAAAAGTGTACTTTGGGGATATTTAACGTCTTAAAGATATGTAGTCTTCCTATTCATGAACAAAAATGTGTCTGGTTTTAATGAAGCCCCTTTATCCCAACTCAATAATATTTTATACATTTTTAATACATACTTTTGGACTTAGTATATTTAATGTAATTTTAAGCATGCTGTCTGTTTCAATAGCACACCTAGCATATTTGACACTTTTCTAGAACCATTTTTAGCACTCCCTTCTATGTTAGAGAAATAATATATTTTAGTAATTTACTATGTTAAAATAATTTTCACGTTTTCCAAATTTAAATAAAAATGTTTTCAAATAAGGATATACTTACAATGTTAAATCTATATTTTAGAAAATTTCATGATGTGGGGAAGATAAAGCTGAGAAATAATTTTAAAACTCTCGTCCAAACATTTAAAGACACTACGAATATTTGAGTTATCCATTTAATTGAACTTGCCTTTATGTATGTGAATCCTGTTTGGAATAAATCATTTTCACCACTCAGTCTCACCACTTAAGAACTATGGAGCTGATACTAAAGCGGAGGAAGTGAAACTGTCATGGGTTTATTTACTTAAGCAGAAATATCTGAGTTGATAGTCTCACATCTCAAAACAAGAGGTCTTTTTAAATAGATCTATATCATAAATGCCCAGGAAGAAAATACACCAGCCCAGATTTTAAGAAAATGATACAAATAATTCCCAGATTAATTTAGAGCTTTATCGCTTGATGAGGTAATTGATGAATCTAGCAAAATAAAGTAGTGTGATATTAATCCTACTGGAAGAAGGCACAATAATGTTAGAATAAATATTTTGAAAAGCACAACAAAAAAAATTTAAACAAACATATTTGAAGCATACGTTTTAATAAAACTCTAGAAGTTCTAATAAAAATTGAAAGCGGCCACGGAGATGTTGGATTATCATCTGAGAGGATGAATCAAATGACATACATAGACTGAGTATTCAGTATCTTATTCTTTTTACTTTTGTATATTTTTGAAAATTTCTAAGCAATAAAAATAAATGCCTATCCCTCTCCATTTGAAAGAAATATAGTTACATTAAATAATGCAACCCCCTCTTAGATTTACCCCTTAAAAGTAAACGTGCAAAATAACTTTTTAGATGTATAAGAGTCATCTGATTGAACTGGAAACTTTTCCAGCATAGAAAGCCCGTGTTTATATATGTAGCTGCTAACTCTTAGCACACATTATTAAAGGAAACTCACCCTCTATGAAACATCTTCTAAAATATGAAGTTACTCGGCCAGGCTTGGTGGCTCACGCCTGTAATTCCAGCACTTTGGGAGCCCCAGGCGGTTGGATCACTTGAGGTCAAGAGTTCCAGACCAGCCTGGCCAACATGGTAAAACCCCGTCTCTACTAAAAAATCAAAAATTAGCTGGGCATGGTGGCACACCTCTGTAATCCCAGCTACTTGGGAGGCTAAAACACGAGAATCGCTTGAACCCAGGAAGCAGAGGTTGCAGTGAGCTGAGATCACACCAGTGTACTCCAGCCTGGGCAACAGAGCAAGACTCCACCTCAAAAAAAAAAAAGGCAAAATGAAATGTGAAGTTACTCTATTGGCATCATAGGAGATTATAAAATGACATCATGAATACAGGGGCTTTATTAAAACAGACATAATTCAAATATTTTTGTTCAAATGTTTTCAGTTGTGTTTTTCCAAAATATTTAATTCATGCAATGTTTTACGAAAAATATGTTGAAATATTCAACATGTACTTGAATGTTGTTATTGTAACAGATTTAAATTTTCTGACTCTTTAAATATTTCTTAACCCTTAGAATTACTTATTAACAATTATTTGTTGCATCATGAGATACTCTTCATTATTGTCATTATGGTTGTCTATATCTGGCTTAATTTGTCTACAATGAAAGTGTTTCATAGTATCAATTTTCTTTAATTTCAGTAGAGAAGTAATTTTTTTCTTATTATTACAGCATTAGTAGTAATTTCTTGAGAATAAAAAGGAAAATGTTTCTTTATAAATAATTTGTATACATAAAAGGTGGGTTTGAAGATAGGACTGAATTTCATTATCCTACCTCTCCTCTTCATAACAGGTGACAGCCTGCTGGCAGCCCTCGCTGGCTCTCGGTGCCTCCTCGGCCTTGGCACCCACTCTGGCCGCGCCTGAGGAGCCCTTCAGCCCACCGCTGCACTGTGGGAGCCCGTTTCTGGGCTGGCTGAGGCCGGAGCCAGCTCCCTCAGCTTGCGGGGAGGTGTGGAGGAAGAGGCGCGGGTGGGAACCGGGGCTGCGTGCGGCCCTTGCAGGTTCCGGGTGGGTGTGGACTCGACGGGCCCCGGACTCGGAGCAGCCGGCCTGCGCCGCTGGCCTCGGGCAGTGAGGGGCTTAGCACCGGCGCCAGCAGCTGCGGAGAGTGCGCCGGGTCCCCCAGCAGTGCCGGCCCCCCCAGCAGTGCCGGCCCGACAGTGCTTGAATTCTCGCGGGGCCTCAGCTGCCTCCCACGGGGCAGGGCTCAGGACCTGCAGCCCGCCATGCCTGAGCCCCCCTCCCCGACCCTGCACCGCCAGAGCCTCCCTGAGCAGCGCCGCCCCTGCTCCACAGCACTAGTCCCATCCACCGCCCAAGGGCTGAGGAGCGCAGGCATAAGGCACAGGACTGGCAGGTAGCTCCACCTGCGGCCCCTGATGTGGGAGCCACTGGATGAAGCCAGCTGGGTTCCTGAGTCTAATGGGGACTTGGAGAACCTTTATGTCTAGCTAAGGGATTGTAAATACACCAATCAGCACTCTGTATCTAGCTCAAGGTTTGTAAACACACCAATCAGCACTCTGTGTCTAGCTCAGGGTTAGTGGATGCACCAATC
Organism: Homo sapiens; assembly: GCF_000001405.40. Taxonomy (NCBI): domain Eukaryota; kingdom Metazoa; phylum Chordata; class Mammalia; order Primates; family Hominidae; genus Homo; species Homo sapiens. Next base: position 185,133,210 of record NC_000002.12, read on the forward strand.
AGCACTCTGTGTCTAGCTCAGGGTTTGTAAATACACCAATCAGCACTCTATATCTAGCTAATCTAGTGGGGACCTGGAGAACTTTTGTGTCTAGCTCAGGGATAGTAAACGCACCAATCAGCACCCTGTCAAAATGGATCAGTCAGCTCTCTGTAAAATGGACCAATCAGCAGGATGTGGGTGGGGCCAGATAAGGGAATAAAAGCAGGCTGCCCAAGCCAGCAGTGGTAACCCGTTTGGGCGTGCTTCCACCGTGTGGAAGTGTTGTTCTTTCGTTCTTTGCAATAAATTTTGCTGCTGCTCAGTCTTTGGGTCTGCACTGCCTTTATGAGCTGTAACACTCACTGTGAAGGTCTGCAGCTTCACTCCTGAGGCCAGCAAGAGCACGAACCCACCGGGACGAATGAACAACTCTGAACGGGAGGAACGAACAACTCTAGACGCACCGCCTTAAGAGCTGTAACACTCACCGCGAAGGTCTACGGCTTCACTCCTGAAGCCGGCGAGACCATGAACCTACCAGAAGGAAGAAACTCCGAACACATCCGAATATCAGAAGGAACAGACTCTGGACACACCGTCTTTAAGAACTATAACACTCACTGCGAGGGTCCGCAGCTTCATTCTTGAAGTCAGTGACACCAAGAACCCACCAATTCCAGACACATTTACTTCTAAGGCTCAGAATAAAATATAAACACAAATTTATTGATGGCTGGGTAGCACTCTAACACATTTTGAAGGAATGCAGAGCTCAGCTCACGATGCATAAGCAAGACCTCCAGTAGCCTTTCCCTGGAAATCAAGATTGAGAGCTTTGTAGAACAAACTGTAAGTTGAAGTAACCAATCAGCCACACACAGAGATGCTGGAAGAGAGTGACAGAATGTCTGAACTTTCCTCAGATGGCAAATCTTGTTAGTATTTATCACAGAAGGTGGAACAAAAGAGTGTGTTACACACACACACAAAGCAGCATGGAAAAGTCTGGAACATGGATTTCTGCCTTCAAGGCACAGTTAAAGCCACTTCATAAAATGTGCTGCCATTGAAATAACTTAGTTGCAAAATTTCTGTTTCTCTTTGGTAATTTTAATCTTTGATTCTCTATGCAATACCTTTAATTTGCATATACATGCCCATGGAGTTCAAAATCATCTATCTCCCATTGCCTAACCACCCCCCCCATCATAACAGTATTCCACAAGCTTCTCTTGAGCCCTAGTTTCCTGATTAATAATTCAAGTCACACAACAGCATCCTTTCCAAAACACTTTCCCTTCACATGTGCCCTTGTCAACAACAGCAAATCAACAATTCATTGAATGGCTATCAGACCCAGACAAATGTTCTAGGTACCTTGAAGAAGACGCTTAAAAACAAACAACAGCAACAACAAACCAAAACAAACGAAAAAATCAAACATTTGGCCCTCATGGAGTTTATGTCATTGTAGGAGGAGATAAGGAAAAGAGTCACTTTAGCAAAAAAATTAAAGGAAGTGATAAAAGAAATCACTGGAATAGCTAATGATGGGCACCCCAGGCAATTGTTCAAAGTTGTGGCATTACCACAGCAGCAGGGACAATGATGGCTGGGACAAAATGAAGGAGATGGAGAATAGTTGGAGAGAGATAATTAGTAATGTCTACTCAATTGCCATACCCTGTTCTACCTATCTAAATATTTGTTATACATGTCCCCTTTCCTAAATCTGTACAATCGTTCTACATAAACCTTCATCATCTTTTGGTTATTATTACCATTGTGTCTTTGTTCTGAACCCAAGCCTTACTGCAATAAATCTTCCATTGGAAACTTGCTAGAGCCTTTTAAATTTAAAAATTTTAAATCAACATCCATACTTGCTTCTATGGTTCTAGTGTTATTCTCCTAATTGATCTACAAAGATGAAGGTAGAAGACACTTTCAAATAACTATATCTGACTAATAGAAATGTCAGCTCAGAGAAAAACTTCAAGATTGCGTGTTATGGCCTCACCCTCTCTCTGCAGCCCTCTTCTGCTGTTACTCAAGCTGCTCCACCTTTTTCTCAGTATGCTTCAGCCACTCTTTTTTTCAGGGCCTTAGACTTCCTCATCTCTTCTTCCATTCTCAAGCATGAGACATTCTTTTGCATCATTCCCTCTATTGAATGGCTTCTTTGCACTGTATTCTATTTTTTTTTCAAAGCACTGTTTAAAAGGCCACCTACTAAAGATATTTTTTCTGATTTCTTCTTCCTCTGTAATCTAAATTAGGTATATCCTATTTCTTTTCAGAACACATTGTGTTTCTGTCACACAACTCAGCAGAATTTGTAATTTTGCATTCATTTTTATTTGTAGGGTAACTGGCCACTAAAATATATGTATTGAGGACACATCTTGTATATTTTCCTTACCCCTTTTTCTCCTAGCACCTAATATAGTATATACATAAAGTGCTCAATAAAAATTTGTTCAAGAATTACTGAATACTATATCACTAATAACACTTATTTCCTGATTACCTAATATGAGTAAGCAATGACTCACATACGTAGATACAGATATAGAAAACAATTGCACAAATCATATATTACAGTGCCAATTGTTAAATTCGTAAATTGTAAAATTCTGATTTAGAATCTTAAAAATTACCCTAAATCATAAAATTAATAAGATTCAGGTACTATTTGGCCGGGCATGGTGGCTCACGCCTGTGATGCCAGCACTTTGGGAGGCTGAGGCAAGTGGATCATGAGGTCAGGAGTTCGAGACCAGCCTGGCTGAGATGGTGAAACCTCGTCTCTACTAAAACATACAAAAATTATCCAGGCTTGGTGGCAGGTGCCTGTAATCCCATCTACGCAGGAGGCTGAGGCAGGAGAATCCCTTGAACACGAGAGGTGGAGTTTGCAGTGAGCCGAGATCGCGCCACTGCACTCTAGCCTGGGCCCTGGGCGACAGAGCAAGACTCCGTCTCAAAAAAAAAAAAAAAAGATTTAGGTACTATTTGAAAGTAGTAAGTCACACTTCTATACCGTTTCCTCACATTTCTCTCATTTCTCTGTCATTCTCTAAAATCACAATCTTTTTTCTTTTCATGGGATTGTAAGGATTTGTATTGATACCAAAATTAATAGAAAAATTTAAAAACACACCTGTACTGTTTTTAGTATTGTTCATATTTGATTTCATGCTAGTGTATTGTCTTCTTAGTTCTGTTCAAAATTTAAAGTGAGTGAGGTCTCCTGGTTTCTCCCAAGAGACACATGTCACAGAAAACACCAGGAATCTCATGTAAATAATTAAGTTGTCATTAAGATTTATTGGTTTCTTTAGTATCCTACCTATTGCTGACACTGACAACCTAGAGACAGGCTGCTTCTCCTAAAAATAATGACATATTTCTTTGCTTTCAAAACCCTTTTGGCTTATTTGACTGCAAAACTTTCCAAGACTCACTGGATATTGACAGTCCACACTACAGTATCTTCCTAAAATATACACTTTACTTAGTCCATCTTGTTTCCTCTAAGAGATCACTGTGCTTCCTTTTCCAAAAAATAAATAAAAATATTTACATTTATTAAAATTGAAAGTTTATTTTTATGTAATTCTGTTCTTTAAGCACTCTATCTTGTCTGAAAAGCCAATAATAGGCACTTTTGTTCCTTGTAGATTGATATATCCTTGATATTAATGGCGTGGTTTTTTTTTATAGAAAACAAAAGACATTTTAAACCTCCACTTTACGGCCTTCTTTTCTTGAATTTTCAGCTATACCACTACATTAACCTCTTTTACTCTTTATTTATTGAAGCTTTTATCATTTTTAACATTTTACTCATTAATCTTTTAACTATAAAATGATTAGCATTATCAATGAAACCAGTTTATTATCACTTTTTATGTTAGCTGTATTAAATGCCACAGCTTAAAATGTTTTAATATATATGCAGCTTCATAAGTAATATCCAGGTCTGACTTGTATATTTAGGCATCTTTATTAAATTGAGGTGTAGCCTTTGTCCTCATCATGTTTCAGTGGGTTCTGTTTGATGGAAATATACTTACTCTGGGGAAACGGTTTTTCTAAAGAAGTTCCCTGAGAGAAAGCATAATGATAAAAGAGTCATAAAATATGATGTCATTCTACATTACATACTTCTTTTTGCTTGAAATGATTTGTCAGTCTTCAGATGTGGACCAATACTGACTTAGCTCCCAACATTCTTCAGGTATTCAAACCCATCTTCTTCATGTTCGGATGCTTTGCCATGGTGGCAGAGTACCTGGCATAGATTCTTCCATGTGTGTTTAGCACAGACCTAAGAAAAGAATAAGATTAAGGATGGCTAGGAATCAGAAAACACCATTGTATTGTGAACTAAGTATAGGGAACAGAGGCTTTAATCTATGACAGTCACTGTCATCTCTACTTATCCTAGAATGTGCCTTAAGCTGACTGCAAGGAAAGGAGTGAGATATTAATGTTATCTCCCCCCCCAAAAATGTTGATAAAACTTCTTATCTGATTGTCCATCTTGACCACTATAATCTTTAATGCAGTAGTTAGGCAGAATCCAACTAGTTGAAATAGCTATTTGTAAGAAGGCCAAGAATTTAAAGCCAAATATAGCAGTTCTCAAGAGATGCTTAATTACTCACAGGTGATGTTTCTAGGCAACCACTTCACCTTCTGATTCCACTGCTTCACCTAAGTGTGGTGCTCAGTTTGCTCTATTGTTACTGAATGTTAAAAGAGATGGAAAAGTGCAGTATACAAAATTTATTTTAAACCAGTCAAAAATAGAGATTTAGAAAAAGAGACTTTAAAATTCAATTCTGAATTGGAAGATATGCAAGCACATTTTAAAAATCTTTTTCCCCATGGTTTAGGAAATTATTTTTAGTGAACAGAAATTTAGGATAAAATTTTAATAAGAATAGAAAGATTATTTGAAGGAAAGTGTTATGTTTGAAATCATAAATGCTTTAGAGCTGATGCTCCAGAGAGCAGGATCAAAAGGCTGTGCCACTGGACAGACACAGCAGTTCCCACAGTTGCAGGCCTCTGCTATTTCAATAGAATTGTCAAGGACAACGTCTCCTAAAAAATATTACTCAAACTTTCTGAAACAGAATTACTATTCCTACATTGCCTTTAATTTGCAATCATCAGTTCTTGACCTTAGATTTAGAACCTGGAAGTTTTCCTGCTAATAACTTGTTATCTTTTGCTCGAACTATGAATAATTTACCAATGCCCATGCTCCTGATTTGAATTTTATAGGCTACCTAATGTTTCAATACAATCTCTGGGCCGTTTCAGCATGCCCTTTCACACACTAGCTTTCTATATTCTCATATCTGTAAAGGAATTAAAATCCATATTGATACTGTTCTTTGAAGTGGCCTAGATGTAATGGGCTTCCCCACTATTTGATACCAAGGGGAAGGTCCATCCTCATGCTTTGCTGGATTGATAACTGCACTTGAATCCACCTCTAAAGCCCTTCCCTTAGGATAGCTAGCTCAGAGAATATAAAAGTCAGTTTGTTGTTGTTGTTCTTGTTGCTGGGTTTTTTTGTTTTTTGTTTTTTTTTTGGAATGAAGTACTTTAAAAATCTAATTTTTTTTTGAACGAAGTACTTTAAAAATCTAATTTATTTTTTATTTATTTATTTATTTTTTTTGAGACAGAGTCTCGCTCTGTCGCCCAGGCTGGAGTGCAGTAGCACGATCTCGGCTCACTGCACGCTCTGCCTCCCGGGTTCACGCCATTCTCCTGCCTCAGCCTCCCGAGTAGCTGGGACTACAGGCGCCCGCCACCACGCCCAGCTAATTCTGTTTTTGCATTTTTAGTAGAGACAGGGTTTCACCATGTTAGCCAGGATGGTCTCAATCTCCTGATAAAGGTCAGTTTTATACATGATGGGCATCTATCCTTTGTGCTAATAATATTCATATATTGCCAATATTAGTTGATTCATTCACTCATTAAGCCACTCAACAAATACTAATTATCTAGAGAGTGCCAATGGCCATCAGCATTCCACTCAGAGTTTATTATCCTACAAAGGGTACATCTGCCTTTATGTATTATATCCTGGAAGAGAATGTGCCTACTCCTTTATTGTTGATCTTTACATTCTTAGTCTTTAACCATGATGTAACAATATTTTTCTGTGCTAACTAAAGCAACATTGAATTAATGTAAAGGAGACTCTCTTTGAATTTCCAGCTAACTGGCTTGCCAGATATCTAGTGTTTCTATTTTATTGTAAGATATTCCATGCTATGTCCATCTCACACCAAAGGCTTACAGTTATTATTTTACTAGATGTATTCTGTATTTGACAATTCTCACGCAGCTATGAAGAAATACCTAAGACTGGGTAATTGCTAAAGGAAAGAGGTTTAATTGACTCACAGTTCTGTATGGCTGGGAAGGCCTCAGGAAACATACAATTATGGCAAAAGGGTAAACAAACACATCCTTCACATCCAGGTCATGCTTATGCAAAAGGCAGGCTCCCATGGCCTGGGAAAGCTCTGCCCCTGTGGCTTTGCAGGGTACAGCCCCACTCCTGGCTGCTTTCATGGGCTGGCATTGAGTGTCTGTGGCTTTTCCAGGAACATGGTATAAGCTGTCAGTTGATCTACCATTCTAGGGTCTGGAGGACAATGGTCCTCTTCTCACAGCTCTACCAGGCAGTGCTCCAGTGGGGACTCTGTGTGGGGGCTCTGACTCCGTATTTTCCTTCCACACTGCCCTAGCAAAAGTTCTCCATGTGGGCTCAGCCCCTGCAGCAAACTTCTGCCTGGACTTCAGGAGTTTCCATACATCCTTTGAAATCTAGGTAGAGGTTCCCAAACCTCAATTCTTGACTTCTGTGCTCCTGTAGGCCCAACACCAGTTGTAAACCATCAAGGCTTGTGACATGCACACTCTGAAGCAATGGCCTGAGCTGTCCATTGGCCTGTTTTAGCCACAGGTAGAGCTGAAGCAGCTGGGACACAGGGCACCATGTTCCAAAGCTGCATAGAACAGGGGGTGCCTGGCCCAAAATATTATTTTTTCCTTCAAGGCTTCCAGCCCTGTGATGAGAGGTGCTGCCATGAAAGTCTCTGACATGCCCTAGAGACAATTTCGCCATTGTTTTGGTGATTTACTTTGTACTCCTTGTTTCTTATGCAAATATCTGCATCTGGCTTGAATTTCACCCCATAAAATGGGGATTTCTTTTCTATCACATCAGGCTGCAAATTTTCAAAACTTTTATGCTTTGCCTCCTCTTGAATGTTTTACCACTTAGAAATTTCTTCTGCCACATACCCTACATCACCTCTCTCAAGTTCAAACTTCCACAGATCTCTAGGGCATGTGCAAAATGCTGCCAGTCTCTTTGCTAAAGCATAACAAGAGTCACCTTTGCTCCAGTTTCCAACAAGTTCCTCATCTTTATCCGAGACCACGTCAACCTGGACTTCATTGCCCACATCACTATCGGCTTTTTGGTCAAAGCCATTCAACAATTCTCTAGGATGCTCCTAACTTTCCCACCGCTTCCTGTCTTCTGAGCTCTCCAAGTCTCTAGGAAGTTCCAAACTTTCCCACATTTTCCTGTTTTCATCTGAGCCCTACAAACTATTCCAACCTCTGCCTGTTACCCAGTTCCACATTTTTGGGTGTCTTTATAGAAGCATCCCGCTCTCTGCAGTACCAATTTACTGTATTAGTCCATTCTCAAACTTCTGTGGAGAAATACCCAAGACTGGGTAATTTATAAAGAACAGAAGTTTAATTGACTCACAGTTCCACATGGCTGGGAAGGCCTCAGGAAACTTAATCATGGCAGAAGGTGAAGCAAACACATTATTCTTCACAAGGTGGCAGGAGAGAGGAGTGCTGAGCAAAGGTGGAAAGCCCCTTAAAAAACCATCAGAGCTTGTGAGTGCTCACTCACTATCATGAGAACAGCTTGAGGGTAACCGCCCCCATGATCTAATCACCTCTGACTAGGTCCCTCTCATAACATCTGGGGATTATGGGAACTACAGTTCAAGATGAGATTTGGGTGGGGACACATTCAAATCATATGATATATTTACACACATCTACAGCTACTCATTGAGATGTATGTTTACTAAAAATCTGTTTTTATTCATAATCTATTTATATCATTTTGATTTGATATTGAAATTACAGAATAGGATCAAATTTATTTAAAAATAAGAATAAAAAGCATAAAAGCAAGAATATCCTTACCTATGGAAGAAATTTATGATTACGATGTCATGATTTAAGATAAGCCCTATAAATAATTTCACATCTATAAAAGACTAAAACAAATTATCAACATCTTTAAAAAATTATCTTCAGAATTGTTTCTCAAATATTTCTGAATTTAAAACCCACAGTAAAGAAAAACATGCTGCTAATTTAAGACAATAAAATCTTTGTCATTTGTGTGTTTCCTGCAAGTCTTATATTACTGTAATTGAAAGTATAATATTAATTTTTAAATTAGTACATTAAACGTTGAAGTTCAATATCAAGAAAAACTATTTCTACATAATTTTTAATTCATCTCGACTATAAAAATAACATCCCTGGAAGGTACAATAGGTGGAGGAGTATATTTCAGACAATTTTAAGTAGACTTCTTGATCTGGTTAGAAAAGAAGGAAAAATAATGGTCAAATACATTTGAAAAATCTCACATGGGGCATTCTTCTCTTAGCTTTGCACCATACATATTAATTTTAGGAATAGTTCTAAAATAAAAAAACTGTTTAACTGACTTTGTTTATAACTCCGCATTCTCCATTATCTTTGACCATGGTTCCTGGTTCTACTTAGAAACTAATGTCCCATGAACCAGTGACTGTGAAACATAGTTTTAGAAATGCTGAGCTACAAAATACTTTATATAAATCTATAGATTTTAGTAGGCTGCATGAAACTCATCACTGCAGATTTCCATGCCAGTTGCAGATAAAAAATGTGTTACTAAAGTAATAATGTGAGAGTGGACCATATGCAATTTAGAATACTCTTCACAAAATGAGAATTTCCAAACTTCCCAGATTTCTCTATTTATGTTCACAAGTATAGTGCACAGGACACATATTTTATTAAAGCTTGATTTAAAATATTTGGTCTTATTTTTTATTTCTCAATTTTTGGTTTAAAACATATGGTAAATATACAGGTAAGAATAGAGAAAAAAAGATATATATATATATATAAATTCAAAGTATATATACTTTGAATTAATCTTACAAAGTGTAAATTTGGAAAGATTTTATTGTAAAAGGGCATGAAAATGAGTTAGGTTTTTTTCCTCCAGTGGCATAGAATGCCTTAGACAGGATTTAGAATGGAGAGAGTAAAGGTAGATGAGGCTTTAGTGTATAAAGCACTAAGAGAAGTATGTGGTGTAGTGTGTTCAGACAGGGATCAGCCACGTACATCAATCTTTGCACCCTTCTCTGCATGCAAATGTAATTAATAAATGTAATATGCACCAGAATAAAGGCATGTCTTTCACAACTATAAATATTATATTATCAGTATTCAACAAAAAGAATATAAATATGCCAACTCTTATGTCAGGCAGATCCAGGTTGATGTAAAGTGCTTGCCAGAATATGCATCCACATGAACATAACTACAGCTGTTGTCACATAATTCATATTCTTAATGCAGGACTTGGCACAGGTAGAAGTTTTTTTGATGGGAGGGCATATCAGAGCTTGCATTCTAGGCAATAGTTTTTTGATGGGTAGTATAAAATGGAACTACGTTTTGCATTATGGTGAACCATTTACATGTCCAGGAATGGACAGTCACTATCATCAGTATATAGACCACACTGTAGATGTTTTTTACTTATTCGGCAGCAAGCCCAAATAATATGATTAATCATATTGTTACATATATTTTAGGATAAAGCTAATTTTAAATGGAAAATATACACTCCCCTATCTTATTTTATATTATATTATGGTATAACATTAATATACATTCACCATCTTAAATTCTACCTTAAAAATTGGTAAAATAAGTATGCATATATTTATACATATATATGTGCATACATATATACATATATACACGTACGTATACCCACACACATATTCATATGACTCATGCCTTTTGCCTCACATTTAAGACCAATGTTTGAGTAGATATTTTACAAACAATATTCACAATCGCCTACCATAAACTATTAACACAGCTAAATTTAAGTTAAAAGTGATCTATATTGTAAAATCATCTATGTATAGGAAGCAACGGAAAGTCAAAGAACCACAGAGACTCTGAAACAGGAGAGGTGACTTGGATGTAAGGCAGTTGTAGAGGTCTTAGCAGAATGAGTCCATTGATTAAGCTTCAGTTTTGCATCACTGATATTAGTAATGTACTCTACATGTGTACATTTATCCAGTCTTCCTATCAATGATATATTCTCTTCTATGTTTATACACTTTTATTATTCATAGGCTGATATGGTTTGGCTCTGTGTCCTCATCCAAATCTATTCTTGAATTGTAATCTCTATAATCCCTACTTATAAAGGACTGGACCTGGCAGGAGGTGATTGGATCATGTGGGTGGTTTCCCCCGTGCTGTTATCATGATAGTAAGTGAGTTCTCATGAGATCTCATGGTTTAATAAAGGGCTCTTCCCCCTTCCCTCATTTGTTCTCTCTCATCTGCCACCAGGTAAGGCGTGTGTTTGCTTCTCTCTTGCCTTCCACCATGATATTAAGTTTCCTGAGGCCTCCCTAGTTATGCAGAACTGTGAGTCAATTAAACCTCTTTCCTTTATAAATTATCTGGCCTCAGGTATGTCCTTACAGCAGTGTGAGAATGAACTAATACAGTAGGCACTTACTGTTTTACTTAGTTTCTGTTTCTTCATAACTTCAGTTAAAATTGCCACACCATAGCATCTTCTAGCTTATGCATGTTTTAGTTTCAACTTCTGTTAATGCCTGATTAACTTCGTATTTCTCCATTCTTTTTCCTGAGAATAAAAAAGCTATTATATTTCTGTTTATGTGTTCACAAAATACAATACCCTAATGATGGTGGCAGTGACCTGTCTGGAGCAGCTGCTGTGGGGATGCCAGCTCAGCAGGGGAGGCACAGCTGGGGTTGTGCACTCCACTGAGCTGGTAGGAGCCAGCAGGACCTAGGAACACATGGGATCCCTGCCCCCTACAGAGTTGGCAGGGTGGGGGTCCCATGCTCCCAGGCATACCTGCAGCTGCCTAGCTGTGGCTCTGGATCCAGGCATCCCTGAACTCTCAGGGGCCCAGGAAGCCCCTGCCCTCATAGCCCCAGACGTCCCTGCTCCCACTCCTTGGACTCTCCCTGCTCCTAGTGCCTGCTCCGATTTCAGAGCAAAGTTGTGGCCAATCCTGGGCGCTGTTGTGACCCAGCCAGGTGTGCATGTACTCGGTGCAGTACTCACACACCAGCCCCCTGCTGTCTTGGCCGCTTCTGGATTTTGTGTGCCAATGAGCATGAGGGGGAGGCCAGGGGGCCCTGAGGCAGCTTGGCATCGGCCTGCAGGCACCTCTCAACACAAACAGCCTGGATGCCATGGACAGCATGTTGATGGCAGGGGGGAAGACAGGTTCCTGGGTGGAAAGGGCCAGGTCCCCAGTAAAACCTCACATTGAAGCCAGGGATAGCCTGAAGACTGGGGGCTGGGCTGCCAGTTCCAGGTGGATTCTTTAGCCCAAAGTGAGAACTTACGGTGCTTTTTCCAGGGCCACCCATGGCCACCCATGGACCAATCAGCACACACTTTCTCCCTTCTGAAACCATAAAAACCCCAGACTCAGCCAGACTCAGACAGATGTTGGGTTGACCTGCCTGTGGAAGGTCTTGTAGTGGTCTTGTCCCTGCTGAGAGATGGACACCCACTGAGACAACCTGTCTGTGGAAAGGAATTATCCACTTGGGTCTCCTCTCCTGAGAGCTGTTCTGTTGCTCAATGAAGCTCCTCTTCATCTTGCTTACCCTCCAGTTGTCCACATACCTCATGCTTTAGGATGCAAGACAAGAACTTGGGACCTGCCAAATGGCAGGACTGAAACATCTGAAACACAAACAGGGCTGAAACATGCCCCCAAACATGCCCCCAGCTCACTGTGTCATGAGTGACAAAAGGGAGAGAAGAGCTGTGGCCATTCTGGGAGCCTAGACCTCGGGATTCTCTGAGCTAAGGCTGTGACATGCTGTAACACCCTCTTTGGGGCTCTGTGGTTCCTGGCATCACTGAGCTTTTGGACAGTATCATGTTTCCCTAGTCCAGCTGCTGGTGCCTGCAGCAAAAGCCTCTCGTTGTAAGTCTGGTTTAGCTGCAGCATCACACGGAGCCAGCACCTGTGCCAGTGCATGGCGCTATCCACCCCACTGGAGCTGGCACACCTAACTGTGCACAGTGGCTGGACTCCACTATTACTCACTCACACGCCCCTTGCAGCTCTGCACCTGGATCACTTTTGGTAGGCATGGGATCCCAGCCAGTAGCACTGCCTGAACGCAGCCTGCCGGGCCGAGTGGGTAAAACGAGACCAGCAGATGCAAGCAAAACTCAAGAGGAGGCACTGCCTGCCACAGAGGTTTCTAGCAGGTGAAGCAACACTGTCAGGATCCCGTGACACTAATGCAGCTTGGGTCACCTGCATTCCCAATGTTCAGTCATCTTTGATTGTGAAATGGGGTCATGTGGCCTGTACACAATTACTCTAGACGAGGATCAACAATTGCACTGGTATCTCTGAGAAATCTTCATGATGTGTCAGCCTCCATAATTAGCAGGTGAACTATAAAATATAATTATTTTCTGCTATAATTATATTTTGAGTTAAGGTATCTATACAGTATTTACTATCTAAAATGTGATGACTCTGTGTAACTACATATTAGATACTACCTCTGTGAAATACGCATTTCAGTTAAACATTTAAGTCCTTGTAGCACAGACAAAAGAATTTAAGTCTCTGCACATATTTTCTTCTGAGATATTATTTTGCTATTACTACTATAATATTTAAAATTATTCATAGTAAATATGTTCTAGATGGAACAGAATTTTTATAAAATCTGTGTAGATTAAAGGGATTATAAATAAGTGGTACCTGTATATCCACCAACTTTATTTGTGTAAAGAAGGTATATCAATTATATTTGTAAGCTCTTTTGAGCTTTCCCTGCTTTCATTTCCCCTCTCTTACCTATAGAGCGATCAATATTCTGAGTTTTTTATATATAACAAGTATTTTTTCTCGCTTATCTTCACAGCTTTATCACATATTTAATGTACAAATACAATACAAAGTATTTTAGGTTTTTGTTCTTTGTAAAATTGTAACCATATTACACAAATATTTTTAAGCTTGGCTTTTTGCACATAGCATTAGGTGTCTGAAATATATTTATGTTGTTAAATGTAGTTGTAGTTAAATTTCTATTGCTGGTATTCCATGGAACAAATGCACCAAAAATTTATTCATCTATTCTGATGTTGATAGACATTTTAGTAAATTTCTGTACTTTGCTATCACAAAAAGTGCTGCTATAAATAATTTTGTATATATCTTTTCATGGATTTTTTGTAAGTTTTTCTCTAGGGCGTATATCTGTATATATATAACCTGAACTCTTTCAGATTACTTAAGACTTTCACTAGGAGTGGAATTGCTGTCTTAAGATATGAACATTGTGAACTTTACTATATAATGTGAATTTCTTTCCCAAAATGCTATGCTAATTTTTACTCATGCTATAGCCATAAGGCTTCCCATTTTCTACTTTATTGTAAACACTTGATCCTGTTGGGTTTTTATTTATGTATGTATTTATTTTTATGTATGTACATATGTATTTATTTATATTATGTATGTATGTATTTATTTATACTATGTATTTAGTCACCACTAAAATTGGTAAAAATAGTATTTTGTTTATTTTGTTTATGTTATTGTTGCATTTATCTGATTGCCAGCGTGACTGATAACCTTTATTTTTAGTGATTTTGCTGCTAGGTTTTTCTCAGAACTTTTGTTTATTTTTCCAATTTATTTGCCTTTGTTAATATTTGTTTAAAATATTTTCTAACATTTACTTATACCAATCTATTCTCAGCTCTATAACTAATTACTCCTTAGCATCTGTGGTTTGTCCTTTCATGTTTTATGTAATACTTTAATAAACATAATTTCTTAATTTTAGTGAATTAACATGCATCAGCCTTTTTTTGTGATTTGCTCTCTCTGCTTCTTGCTTAACACATGCTTTTTGAGATATCCTCTTACACCTGTCAGAATGGCTGCTATTAGAGTCAGAAAACCACAGACACTGGTGTGGACAGGGAAAAAAGGAAACACTTAGAGACTGTTGATGGGTATGTAAATTAATTCCTTGAGGAACTACAATTTTAAAATATCTCAAAGCTAAAGGGAAATTTCTTATTTCCAATTTTGTTTTTTCTTTCGCTTTTTTGGTAAGAAAATGCATCTTTAGTTGGACATTTAGCCTTGTAATACGAGTACAGTTTAAATTCTGAGCTTTTTAACTACAGAGAAGAATTATTTATAATCAGAAGTTATTAAAATTTGATACTTAAACCTCTGACTAGCTTTAAAATATCTAATATTTTATTTATTAATTAAATCATTCATTACTCTTTGTCAGTTTTTTAATAAATATTTATTAGTATCTACTGTATGCACAAGTTATGTATTTACCAGGGAATCAATAGTAAAACAGATAGATATGTGTCTTTTCTTGTGTAGTTTATATTTCATCAAAAAGGTAGAATTTGAACAACATTTTATTATGAGAATTGTGAAGGAAAAAATACATGGTATTAGTATATAATTTTTTATTTACAAATTGTAAATATGGTCAATTTTTTCTTTTCCCTTATGACTAGGAGAATATTTTGTACATAGTAGTATTTATGTAATTATTTACTTAGACTAGGTTGGACTTACATCTCCCCATTTTATTTTTCTGCAGTAAGGGGTTTGAATATATTTATGGACATTTGATTGAAGACATATATGAGAATCTTATTTTTCTAAATGTTCATTTTTAGTAATTCTTAAGTGATTATCTTAAGGATACATCTTAATGGTTATTTTCACCTGTATTATCAAATGCAAATTTTGTAAATGTGGATGAAATCTTAGTATAAAGTATTATAGTAGATCTACTAAGCTTTAATAGTTTTTCATAAAAACAATTATAAAATTAAAATAATTTGGAAGTTCTACTAACCTGCTAATATTTCATCAACCTTCATTTTGCCCCCCTCCTTATTATATTTTAATATTCTATTTCAATCTCATTTGAGAGAAGATAGGCTAAAATGATAGATGAATAGATTGAGAAATGTAAGTGTTGGGCTGGGCGCGGTGGCTCACGCCTGTAATACCAGCACTTTGGGAGGCTGAGGCGGTTGGATCACGAGGTCAGGAGTTCAAGACCAGCCTGGTCAAGACGGTGAAACCCCGTCTCTACTAAAAATACAAAAATTAGCTGGGTGCAGTGGCAGGCGCCTGCAATCCCAGCTACTTGGGAGGCTGAGGCAGGAGAATTGCTTGAACCCAGGTGACAGAGGTTGCAGTGAGCCGAGATCGTACCACTACACTCCACCCTGGGCGACAGACTGAGACTCCATCTCAAAAAAAAAAAGGTATTTGCTACTCATCATCTTCATCATCTTTATCATCATCCTGTCATCTAGTTTGTATTCAGACACTACCTATTTTGTTTTTCATCTTAAATGTCATCATGGCAGGGACAGAAAAGACCATTGATTGTATAACACACACTAGCTCATATTTATTGATGGATTACTCTGTTCTAAGAGAACATTTCTAGGAACTTTCTCTATATTTATTTTATAATTTTATCTTCTGAGCATTAATATGTCTATGAAGGAACTGAGTTACTAAGACATTATGTAAACTCTCAAGGACACACAAGTAATGAGAAGTGAAACTAGGATGCAAAACCGGACAATATTACCAGGAAGCAATTTTATCCACGTTCCTCTAGCCCATTGATTATTGGAGACATAGATACATTTAGACATAGAAAAACGTTTTGATGTTAGTTTATTTGCGGTCATGTCACACTATAGGCCTATTCCTGGGGAAGAAAATAATCACCTCAATGATGAGATTGCATTTAATAGCAGATTATAAATTATTTCTCAATTAAGAAGATAAAATAAATCTAATGAGCACTGCATAACTACTCTCTGTGTGCCTCATAAATTATTGCCTATTGATTTCCTTAAAAATGTAAAAGCTCACAATCCACTGTCTAATTCTTTACTACAGAAAAGGGATTCATAAAGGTAGGGAAGGCAATGGGTTCACACATATCTAAAATAGAAGACAAAAGTTGTTGCAGAACTAAAGCTGAATAAATAAGGACCCTTAGGTAGCCATTTCCCCCCTTCCTCTAGTTTTCCACCACCACCAATAACCACAAAAAGAACTCAACAGTGACATTAGTAGCTTAAATGTTGAAATAATTCCTGTCCTTTGAGGTTACATCAGTGGTAGAAAATTCAAGAATATCTTTTCAAACCTGTCAGTTAAAAGATAATTTTTCCTTCTTTGATGCCATGCCACTATTGTGACTATTTTTTTAATTGAAAATTATTATATCCTGCCTTGTCCTTTAGTTATCTATGCACATAACTGCCTATTCTAATAGACTTTAAAATGGCTGATATCTGAATGTAACTTGTGAATTTTGGGACCTAAAATTATACACAGAATCTTTAGAAATCCTTAATGAAATGCACTAAATATCATTAAACATTGGGATAATATAGTACAGCTATGTATTACACAAAGATATAATTTCCCTGGAAACTAGGTCAGAAAGGAAGTCTTTACAGGGCTTTTTCATGAAGCCAGCCATTTAAAAATTTCCCTTATAGCAACTACAAAATAGATAACTAAACAGCATGACTTTAAAACGTGAAAAAACAATCTTAGCAAGATTTCCAGAAAATATATGTAATATATACTTCAGAAATGGTAATACATAAGTATGTTGTTTTTTTGTTTGTTTGTTTTATTTTTTCAGTCCTAGGTTTTTAATGCTAAATGGAAAAGATTAAAACAAATGAAAATAGGCACTCTGTTTTTCTTCACTCATTTTTTTTACTGTTGTTTGGTTGATTGATTAAACCATTTTTAACTTCAGCAAATAACACATTCCATACATTTTCATACTTTTAAAATTACTGTGAAATTCTTCCAAATGATTGATGGTAATATGGCTGAGAAAACGGTTTATGTGTATATTTTTAAGTAGGCATTTTTACTTGTTTTTGTTTTCATGAAAAATAAAAGATATAAATGTATGGCAAATTTTAATTTTAGAAATAGTTGTACAAACTATACAAGTATGAGAACATTTACAATGAAATGTAGTATGTATCTTTTTTTTTCTATTGTACTACATAAAGAATCAAAAGTCTGGTTCTACCACTTATTACCTATATTACCCTGCCCCTCAATCTTAATTTATACAATGAAGAAAATAAGAAGATAACAATTTCTTTACATTCTTATACAAACTTAAATGAAAGTGTATCTGACTTTGATGATTCATTTAGGAACAAAATGCACATATAATTATTTAACTTTCATGTTTTCACCGCATTAAACATATATACTCTCCAGGCACCTAACAGGCTAAATTCTACAGTAGCAATACCATCGCTAAGATTTTTGTGAACTCTACATGTATTTAAGTACATCATCTTGCATAAATATTTCACTTTTATTTTCTCAGGGTTTATTATACTTAAAATTATTTTATAAATACTGTATTTATGAACCCTATATCACAATGGCTTGCCAATGGTCTGCCGTTACAACTAAGATACTACTTATTATTCTCCTTTGAAGAATACCTGTTCATCATCTGCAAAAACCTACTTTAAAACTTGTATTCAAACTGTGAGTTCAGGCATCTTATCCATTTAGTAGTCATGCTATTACTGAGTCATCCAGAAAGAATGGGAAATAAATAAGATACAAATATTTTTCTGCTTGCCAGTTTACTGTAGCTATGTATTACAGTACATATATTTATATGTATATTATAATAGTATGAAAAGTACTGTTATAAGAAGGATATATAATAAGCTCTACTTAGTCTCTTTACAAAGCTATAAGGTGTGTTAGTCTGCCTGGGTGTCATAACATATTACCACACACTGAGAAGCTTATACAACAGATATTTATTTGCTCATGGTCCTGGAATCAAGAAGTCCATGAGCAAAGTGTAGCAAATTTGGTTTCTGATACGGTTTGGCTGTGTCCCCACGCAAATTTCATCTTGAATTGTAGCTCCCATAATTCCCACGTATTGCAGGAGGGACCCAGCGGAAGGTAATTGAATCACGTTGGTGGATCTTTCCCGTGTTCTTCTCCTGGTAATGAAAAAGTCTCACAAGATCTGATGGTTTTATAAATGGGAGTTCCCTTGCACAAGCTTTCTTTCCTGCTTCCACGTAAGACACAACTTTGCTCCTCATTCACCTTCTGCCATAATTGTGAGGCCTCCCCAGCCATATGGAACTGTGAGTCAATTAAACCTCTTTCCTTTATAGATTGCCCAATTCGAGTATGCCTTTGTTCGCAACATGAGAACAGACTGATACAATATCCATTGATCTCGGGTAGTAACTGTTTAAGGCAATTGTACTTTTGCTTTTGTATACTGACTTGGTGGATCAAAAAGACACAATTCCCTGGATCTCAAAAAGAGTCAGTAAACATGATAATATTTGATTATTTGTCATTTAGAAAGTCATTAGATGATTCCAATGCATCTAAATGTTACAACCTTGGCATTTTGGCTCAATAGTTCCCATACAAACAATTTGTAGCTTTTTGAAGAAAATGAATCCTGGCAACTGACTATAATAAATTTAGCTTCTAAAGGATTAAATGTAATGGTTACATTCTTGATGTATAAACTGTTTGTATAATTTCTTTTTCTTTTACTTTACTTTTTTTTTTAATTGTTTATACCAGGGAAAACCTAATACGTTATTGTGAATTGTATTATCAGAGGATGATTTGGGCCATCCGGTTTTGTAGCAGATGGTAAATATTTAATAAGGGAATGCCCCACACAGTCTCTAGTTATTAAATATAAGCCATTACATGTTTTCAATATCCTCCATGCTTATTCTCAGTGTTAGTGTCTAGGTAGTGTGCTGTGACACAGACAAAAAAATTCTAATACTGTTATTTTCATGTAAAAGTCAGGAAGACGTATTCCAGGATAAGAAAATTTCATTAGCTAAACAAGATATTAAATTCAGAGTGACTTGACTTAGAAATTGGATTTTTTTTTGCATGTTAAAAACTTGTTCAAATCTGATCCACTATTTAAAATGAATATGGCTGAGTTCCAAATTATTTTTTTCTTTACTGTCAGCTTATCTGGAACATCCTGACAGTGGAGTGACCCAATTTATGAAAGCTCTATCAGTCTGAATAATAACTTAAATTATGATAAAACTTTTCTTAAGAAAAAAGTATATTTTAGCATTTAAATCTTCAGTACAATTAAGGGACACAATGGTTTATCTTGCTTTAAAGTTTTATTCTAATAATGAATTGACAAATGCTGATTAAACAAAACTTGGCCATGCTCCCAGCTGTGCTTGATCACTGGAAATAAGATTTTCCCATGAACAAATATCCATGAAGGGGGCTGACTTCTGTCTACTGTCAAAAGATTTAGCATATACATACATACATATATATATATATATATATATATATATATATATATATATATATATAATTTGGATGCTTTTATACTGCAATCAATACTATTAAAATGTTATTAAAATGTTCTTAACTATCAGAAGCACTACAAGAAATAAACAATGTTTAATAAAAATGATAAGGTGACAAATTGGCTATTTCATAGTATATTGGGCAGAATATTAGAGGATATATGAAGATATCGAGTTAGGGCTTGACCTTACTGAAGACTAGCCTTAGCGTCTCGGTTAATCACTGTATGTGAGTGAATGTTTCCTTAGGTGGAAAATTATGGAGAAGACAAGATGAAATTTTATAATTCCTTTCATTTATTCTATAAGCATTTTTAAACTGATTGTTTCTATCAGGAAGAAGTTATGTGTTTCTAGTACAAACTTATTTAATAAAATGCTATAAAATTGCTTCACTGTGGCCAAAATTAAGGATTTTTTGTTTTTGTTTTTGCTTGAGGAATAATGTGTTTTATGTTAATGTCACTCGCAATATTTCTAACCTCAAAAAATGTGTATCTCTGACTTATTAAAAAATAAGTTTTATTGAAAGTTGCATTCCTGATGTTTAACTGTGGTGCTATGGAAACTGTGGAGTTTTTAAGCACAGCACCTGCAGATTCTCACTTTCATGAATAAAACCTAAAGGAAACTGTGTTCATTCTCGCATAAAGTGTCACTTCTGGGAGTATATACATCACTCTAATTTCACTCCTTAACCTAATAAATAGTACTCAAGAAAATATGTGTCCAGTGAAAGTGTTTACTTTTCATATAATTACAGATTATTCTAAGTAATTTTATTTATTAATAATATAGAGGTAATATTTTATGACTTTCATTAGTATTTCAGAAGTTACCACTTCACATGAATTAAACTCCTCTTTGAGAATAAGGCATACTCATTCTAAAGTCTGAGAATGACGGGTTGTTTGACATATCACAAATTGATCATTCAAACCAACTTTTTAGGTCTTAGGAACTTGATAGTTATAACTTTGTTTTATTATGTATTCATAATTTATTTGCTATAGAAACAAATTAGGTTGGCATCAAAATGTTGTACGAAATGATGGAGATTCTATGTGAATAATACTGTGGAATAAACAATTCTGAGATGTTTACTTAATTACTTTTGCATATCTGCTCATTAAAAAATAAATCTCTTTACATGGTGTTCTTAAATTTTTCACATACCACAACAGGTGAATTCGCACTTTTCTTCCTTTATTTTCTTTGTATGATATGTTGAATATGACTCTAGAGTAACATGTGATAATAGATAAAATGTAATCTGTAGATAACCTGCCTTGAAAAATTTAGCAAGTTTGGCATCAACTCCCAAATCTTAATCATATCAATTAATTGCAATTAAAACTTTCTTTTATTGAGTTTTATTTAAAATACAATAAATCACGGTGGAAATCTCAACACAGTATAATCTGACATAGATACCTTGCAAATTAAAGCAACATAAAACTGGCCTAAAAATTATGATATTTCTCTTGGTCGCTGTGATTGACTATGACTTGGGGACAGTCTGTGGCAAAAGCAATAGAAACATCTCCAAGTGTCTGGTATTTAAATTTGTCCTTGAGATCAACCCTGTTATTTTTTGTAAACAAAAAACAAAATAGAAAATCTAGTCAGTCATGTAAGTAGTTAGTTGTTTTTAGTTCTGTGAAGAAAGATGGTAGTTTGATAGGAGTAACATTAAATCTGTAAATTGCTTTGGGCTGTATGGTCATTTTAATGGTACTAATTTTTCCAATCCATGAGCATGGAATGTTTTTCCATTGATTTGTGTCTCTGATTTCTTGTAGCAGAGTTTTGTAGTTCTCCTTGTAGAGGTATTTTACCTCCTTGGTTAGTTGTATTCCTAGGTATTTTATTTTCTTTGTGGCTGTTGTAAATGGGACTGTGTTCTTCATTTGACTCTCAGCCTGATCATTATTGGCATATAGAAATACTACAGATTTCTGTATATGATTTTGTATCCTGAAACCTTCCTAAAATGGTTTATCAGCTCTGTTAGCATTTTGGCAGTCTTTGGGGCTTTCTAGGTATAGAATCATATCATCAGTTAAGAGAGATATTTTGACTTCTTTTTTTCCTCTTTGGATGCTTTTTATTTTTTCTCTTGACTGATTCCTCTGGTTAGGACTTCCAGGACTATGTTTAATAGGAGTGGTAGACAGGACATCCTAAGTCATACAAGCAGCCATCAAACATATGAAAAATGCTCAACATCATTAATCATCAGACAAATGCAAATCAAATTCACAATGAGATACCATCTCACAACCAGTCAGAATGGCTATTATTAAAAAGTCAAAAAACAACGTGTACTGGAGAGGCTGCATATACACTAGAAATACTAGACAGCCATAAACAAGAATAAAATCATATCCTTTGAAGTAACATGGATGGAGCAAGAGGCCATAATCCTAAGCAAATTATCACAGGAACAGAAAACCAAATACCACATATTCTCACTTATAAGTAAGAGCTAAGCATTGAAGATACATGGACATATAGAAGCAATAGACACTCTGGAATACTAGACAAGGAGGTAGGAAGCGGGGAATGGGTTGAAAGATTATCTATGGTGTACTGTACTCACTATCTGGGTGGAATATACCCATGTAACAAACCTGCATATGTATCCCACTGAATCTAAAATAAAAGTTCAAATTAAAAAAAATAAACAAATAGAAATAAAACACATGCCAATCATTTTAAGACTATGAGTTCTGAAATCTATTGCAAAAAATAAAATTCCAGTGGAATTATTTCCATCATCATAAAAATTGTGAATATATTGCAGTTAGAGTATAAAGTGACGGTAAAAATTGTAAAAACAAAATGAAAATAGGTAGTTAATTAGGTATGTAGCTTCCCATAGCTCATTGTTCTATATTAATTTTCATTCTATCCTGGAGGAAGACCTCATCAATTTTTAATGTTATATGAGACATCCTATTTTTGTGTCTCTCTCTGACTTTTATATATTTAAATTAGATTTTTTTAAAGTTTCAGATATTTAATTTAAAATATTGTCTTTATACAAATTACACTTATAATAAGAAAAGTTGTTTAATTTTACAATATGTTAAAATATTAAACATTTTGAATTTATGCCAAAATTGGTGACCTGATTTCAGTGTGTTGTTTATTAGAACCAAATAGATTTAACCTCTCCTAAAGCATAATATAAAACTTTTGATATTTTATATGCTCAAAATAAGTACAATAGTTTTTTTTTAAGATCTAAAAATACAGAATTAACAAGACAACGGGCCAGAATATCGTGTAAAGTAGCAGTAAGTTTCAGCTTGTTAAAACTCTAATTACAACTTTTTGAGGCAGCAGTAGGTCTTATTTCATTCAGTACATTCAAAGGTGAGTGCTGGATATGCCAAAAAAGAAGACTTATTGTAAAAAGTATAAGCAAAATGTGGGAAACATAATTTTTAAATTTGGAAATAATATAGAAAAGTGATATTCACCTATTCATACATATCTTGCTAATTGTGCTGAGAAAAATAGTAAAGGAAATAACACAATACTGAAAAAAGAAACATGCAAACTGAATTTATTATCTCTTAATCTCTGGTTGGTTTAACTTTGGAATGTTAAAGGGTGGTTGGCATCTAAGAGAGTGTTAGAAAAATGAAAAAATAAGAGTGTAAGATATTTCTAACAAATATATATTGGAAGTAGAGCAGAAAATTCATTTTTTCTTCAGAAATTTAGTCTTCATTTACATGCATGAGTTTCACCATGGGACACATAATGTATTATACAGAATAATAGGGAACTGTAAAGCATGTAGAGAAGAGTTGAACTAAAGGCTACTAAATATAAGTATCTTGAATTATAAATAAAGGAGGAGGAAAAAATAAGAAATTAAAAACTAAAATAGTTCTGTGAAAAAAATCATTTTGCAAAAATCCTGCTAATTGTAAAGGAAAAGAATTAGAAATTTGATTAGGACTGGAAAGAAGATGTAGAGGAAAAAAAAAGAGCTTTAAAATGTTTAATAGTGAGCCTCCCAAGTTTAAAAAGAGAGGTGACATAGTACTCATGGAGTAGACCACTGATTTTAGAACAGAATAATCAAATATGTTTTGCATAGAATTGTATTGACAAGCTAGGAAATAAGTAATGACATGAAGATCTAGCATTAGAAGATTTAATACTAGATCTTCATGTCATTACTTATTTTCTAGCTTGATAGTGGTATCACATGGTAGTGGTATCATGCTGTTGTTTTAATTTTCTCTGATGACATATGATGTGAAACACTTTTCCGTATGCTTATTTTCCCTCTGTGTATCTTCCTTTGTGAAGTGTCTGTTAAGATCTTTGGTCCATTTACCTATTTGGAGTGTTTGTTATCTTATTGTTGAGTTTTAAGAGCTTTTGTATATTTTAAACAACAGTCTTTAAACAGATGTGTCTTTTGTAAATATTTTCTCTCAGCCTATGGCTTTTCTTCTCATTTTCTTAACATTGTCTTATATATTTATTAAATTTGTACCTAGATATTTCATTTTTGGGAGGTGTTAATGCAAATGATACTTTTTTATTTCAAATTACAATATTCTTTGGCGGTGTATAGGGAAGTGATTGACTTTTATATATTAATTTTGTATATTGCAACCTTGTTATAACTGCTTATTTAACCAAGGACTTTTTTGACTCTTGAATTTTCTATACAGACCATTGTAACCTCTACAAACAAAGACAGTTTTTCTTTCTTTCTTTCCAATGTGTATGCCCTTTATTTACTTTTCCTGTCTTATTGCATTAACTTGGAATTCCATTATGATGAAAAGGAATGGTGAGAGGGGACATCCTAGTCTTGTTCCTGATCTTAGTAGGAAAAGTTCAAGTTTATCGCCATTAAGTATGATATTAACTGTAGGTTTGTTGTTGATATTCTTTATCAAGCTGATGAGGTTATCTTCTAGTTTTAGTTTTCTGAGAGGTTTTTTTAGTCATTAATTAATGTTAGATTTTGTGAAATGCTTTTTCTGTATCTATTGATATTGATTTTCACTGTAATGTATCTGTTTGATATTTTTCGTTTTGTATTTTTCTTGCTTGAGATTTGCTGATCTTAAATTTGTGAGTTTATATTTTCATCATCTGTGAAAACTCTTAGCTATTATATTCCAATTTTTTTTTTCTGCTCCATTCTCTCTAACTTCTCCTGGAACTCCAATTGTACGTATGTTATGAGTAATATTTTATTGGTTATATAAATATATAAATTCGATATATATATATGTACACTAAAGGGCTTACTCCAAAACATAATGTGAACTTTTGTACTCAATGATAAGCAAAAGCAATCTAATCAAAAATTGACAAAATATTTGAAACAATATTTCACAAAATGATTAATAAATATTACATAGTATTACATAATTACCAATATAATTATCCTTCAGAAAATGCATATTAAAATTCCATGAGATACTTAGTTCATTAACAAAAACAATTCTGTGTTTTGAGTTGGATATGGAGTTACTAGAACACTCAGATATTGCTGATGGAAATAAAAAATGTACAAGTTTGGGGAG
This sequence comes from Homo sapiens, assembly GCF_000001405.40. Taxonomy (NCBI): domain Eukaryota; kingdom Metazoa; phylum Chordata; class Mammalia; order Primates; family Hominidae; genus Homo; species Homo sapiens. The sequence continues at coordinate 185,158,647 of NC_000002.12, forward strand.
CAATTTAACAGTTTTTCATACAGTTAGACACAAATATATTATAGGACTGAGTTATTCAAGTTCTAGATACTTGCCCAAGGAAAACAGAACATCTACATACACAAAGATCTATACACTAAAGTTCCTAGTAGCTTTATTCATACTAACCCCTAAAACTAGAAACAGCCATAATTTTCAACGCTCAATGGATTACAAATTGTATATGTATAAAATGAAATACACCTCAGAAATAAAAATGTATAAACTACATGAATTAATCTCAAAAACATTATGCTTAACAAAAAAAAACCAGATTCAAAAGAATATATGATTTACATAAAATTATAGATTAAACACAACTTATCTACAGTTAACAGAAACTATATTTGTGGTTTTCATGAGCGGGGGATAGAAGAATGACAGCAAAGAGAAACTTTTATGGTGATGGAAATGGTTGTGGTGGTATTTGTATGGATATTTATATTTTTCAAAACACTCTTGTACAAATAAGGTAGTTGCATTGTCGATGTAAATTTTACATCGATAGATATGAACAATAGGAGAATATATTTCTCTGTCACCTGTACAGCTACACAAATCAGTCACAGCAGGGTTAGAAGGTTAGAGGGACTGAAATATTTCAATACAGGAATATAGAAATGTGGTTCTAGACTTTTTATGCTTATGACACTGAACACACACACACACACACACACACACACACACACACACACACGTTAAAGCTCTTAGTGGTTTCTATTTACCCCCAGGCACAAAGGGCTTATCTCTTGTTAGCGTTAATATTTTGATTTTTTTTCCTTTAATTGGGTAAATTATCTTTCTTTGCATTCTTAGGTAGATTGCTTTTTAAGAATATATGATTTTTAGCAGGGCACAGTGGCTCACTCCTGTAATCCCAGCACTTTGGGAAGCCGAGGTGGGCAGATCGCGAGGTCAGGAGTTCGAGACCAGCTTGACCAACATGGTGAAACCCCATCTCTACTAAAAATACAAAAATTAGCCGGGTGTGGTAGCGCGTGCCTGTAATCCCAGCTACTCAGGAGGCTGAGGCTGGAGAATCCTTGAACCCAGGAGGTGGAGGGTGCAGTGAGTCGAGATTGTGCCATGGGCCACAGAGCGAGACTCCGTCTCAAAAAAAAAAAAAAAAAGAAGAAGAAGAAAGAAGAAGAATATATGATTTTTGTAGTGTGCCCAACCAGTCCTATTTGTTACATGTTGACCAACAGTCTCTTAAAGCTTTTTAGTTAGTGGAAGGATCCTCACAAATATTGCCTGTGCTATGTTCCCTTCTACCTCATAAGCATTTGTTCTTATGTTTGAAACAGAACATTAAACATGCATGTATCTTAGCAGTAGTGTTTCGTACACTTCAGCTTTAATTTACATAAATAATATTGTGTAATAAATATTATTCTAATTTTTCACATAAACTTATGTTTTTCTAATTTGTCCTTTCTTTCTTTTTTCACTATTCTCACAAAGCCAGGATTTCACAATTTGTTTTCTATAGAATAATAATTTCATGAATCTCTTTTAAAAATTGGTTCTTATAATAGTTTAGGAAACTCTATATACTATAGTATTTAGTATTTAGCATTTCTATATTGAGGGTTTAGCCACAATACTAAATTATTAATTTAATGAAGTATTTCAAAAATCTAATTTACTTAGGAATGTCCATGTGTACATGAATAAAAAATTTTTTCCTCCCACATTTATAAAGTTTCCATAGAACAAAAATTAGAAAATACATTGTATCTTACTTTGAAAATATTGCCTCAGTAAACTGTTTTTGAAATTTTATCAACTCTTCCTGTGCACAACCCATATCTCCTCTTTCCAAAGTAATCCAGATTTTAATATGTTGAAGTATTACCCTCTTCTTGTACTCCCACTCCACTTGATATCTATCCAATAATATGGAGGTTGTTTTGCTAACTAGAAGCTCATAAACCACACATAGGACTCATCAAATGAAAGGCTTAGCAGTTTTGTGGTTAGATAAGGACACATTTATTTAGGGGGGATTCCCACATGCCAGTATCTCAAGGTTATTTGGGTACTTTCCCAAGGTAGTTCTCCAAATTATTACCTTTGGGATATCTACTTTGCTTCATCTTTCAGGTCTAGAGATATCAAGATCTATCAAACATCTTTTTATTCTTATTTCCGTTTGTAACTGATATTTATAAATGTAACTAGTCACACTCACAAATTTTGCAAAAGATTAAGCTCCTTGCATCTGACAGAGTTGAAGAAGGATTAATTCACTAGAGAATTCAAATCCATTCATGTTTATTAGGCTTTGAGTAATGTTTTTCTTTCTTACTCTTAAATATAAAATTAAATAGACAAGCCAATGATCATCAGCTATTTGTGAAAAGTTCCAGTCACAAAGGACATAAAAACAAAAATAAACAAATAAACCAACAAAGAAAACAAGTTGAGTAGGATAAATTTTAAAAAGTAAAAAATAGCATAAGCATCAAGAGAAAGCGTTAAAACTAAACAAATTACTTAAAGTGATAAGGGAATATATTGTATTCATGAAGCAACAGAGGTGAATGTTTAAAAAGAATCAATTAAAACACTCTAAAAAGTTAAATATAATAACCAAAAAAGAAAAAAATAACCATCAGTAGAAATGATTGGGAAGAATTAAAATCGAAAAAGACAAAATGTAAGAAATTCACTGGATCAGTCCTAAAGTTGCTGGAACAGAAAATTGGAAACAAACATGGAAAATATTAAACAAATGAAACTTCTTTTTTATCTGTTAAAGAAGCCTTCCTTGTGCTCAGAGCAATGACTGGAAATTAGTATGAATGGAGACATCCATGTGCTCAGAACAATTACTATATAAAACCCTCATAAATATGCAATATCTTGAAATTTCAAAGGATGAACAGAAAAAGTCCAGTAGCTTAATGTGTGTGGATGAGAGGGAGGGTGCTCTTAATCGGGAAGAATTAAAATCTGATTTTAAAAATCAATTCCTGGTGCTAGAAGACAATGGAGAAACTATTTTCAAGTTTCTGAGGACAAATTTGCTCTACATTATAATTCAATTATCAACCAGATTGCTAATCATTTTTGAGAATAGGATAAACATATTTTCACCCATAGAAGGAAAATAGAACTTCCACGCCTTCTTTGAGAAGCTCATACAAATGTACTTCAGCAACAGTAACATCAACACCCCCACAGCCATCACCACTACCACCACCAACTATAGGGCACACAAAGAGAATAGAAGCCAGGAAATTGTGCAACCATCTTATGTTGAAATTGGAGGTCATTTGAAAATCATTCCTAAAATGCTAAGAGATTTAAAGGAAAGGGTGAGTATGAAATTGAAATGTCCAGGAAGAAAAGAAACTACGAAGCAAGAAGAGGGTTTTGAAAAGTAGTAAAGCTAAGTGGTTACTAAGAAATGCAAGTAAAAATTAACATTGTATGTGAAACAATAACAGTATGGAATTTAAATCATGGGATAATGTTTGGCATGACATTGACTAATAAATTCTAAGTCAGTGATATAAGCTCTAATTATTGACTCAAACTTTTGATACAGTTTTGTTACACATTGTTGTCATAGATTTCTTGTATTTAATATCTTTACTGACGTATAACTGTTATACAAAAACTGCACATATTTAATGTATAAAACTAATGAAGGTAGATATTACACATAAACCCATGAAACCATCACCACAATCAAGGTAATATACATATTCGTCACTTTCAAAAGTTTCTGTGTGCCTCTCCCTTTTTATCGTGGTAAGAACACATCATGAAATCTGCCCTCTTAAAAATATTTAAAGTTAACAATACAGTATTGCTAACTATAGGCACCATGTTGTACAGCAGAGCTCTAGAATTTATTCATCTGGCATAACTGAAACTTTGTGCCCCTTGACCAACATCTCTTCATCTCTCCCTTTCTCCAGCCCCTGGAAACCATGATTCTATTTTCTCCTTCAATGAGTTTGGCTATTTTAGATACCTGACATAAATGGAATAATTTAGAATTTGTTCCTATGTGACTGACTTATTTCACTTAGCATAATGTCTTCCAGGTTAATCGTGTTGTCACTAATGGCAAGATTTCTTTTTTTTTTTTTTAATGGCTGAATACCATTCCATTGCATGTACAAAGCACATTTATTTATCGATTCATCTGCTGATGGACAGATACAGGACAGATAATCTTGTTTCTACACCTGGTCTATTGTGAATAGTACTGCAATGAACATGAACATTATATCTCTTCGAAACACTGATTTTATAGATTTTGGATATATGCTTAGAAGTGAGATTGCTGAGTCACATAGTTCTATTTTAAATTTTTTTGAGGAATCTCTATACTATTTTCCTTAGCAGCTGCACCATTTTACATTTGTATCAACATTGTTGCAAGGGTTCCAGTTTCTCCACATCCTAGCCAATACTTGTTATCTTCTTTTAAAATTTGTTTTTTTATAATAGCCATTATGACAGGTGTGAGGTGATAGTTTATCAAGATTTTGATTTGTGTTTCCTTGATCATTAGTAACAATGAACACCTTTTCATATACCTGTTGGTCATTTGTATGTCTTTTTCAGAGAAATGTCTATTCAAGTCTTCTGTTCATTTTTTAATAAGGTTATTTTTAAAATTAAATTAGTTTTGATTTTGCGATTGCATTTTAGATGTCCTTATATATGTTTTTTATATCAACCACTTGTCAGATACATGGTTTGTAAATAATTTTCTCCCATTCCATAGGTTACCTTTTTATTGTTTATTATTTTCCTTTTTGTACTGAAGATTATTAGGATTTTACTTATTTTACTTGGCTTGGTTAATGAGACTCAAATTGAGACTCAAAGCCAGCAACAGAGTGCTTTCAAGTAACAAACATTTTTTTGTCCAGACATTTCCAGGATTAGTAAGAATAAATCAGTCCAAACCAGTTTTAATATCCAGAAACATCAACACAGCTGTCCATGTTTGAAAACATAAGGCTCAAGAAAAAGTGAATCCTCACGGTCTGGAATTATTCATTAAGGAGGTAATGCAGCCGCTTTTTACGTTCTATGGCCCAAGAAGAGGGCGTGGGCTTCCTCTCCCTCAAAACCAAGGAATATGGGAGCGGTATAAGAGTGTCAAATCGTAGAGGAAATGAAAACATCATATCTCAAGTTGATAAAATACTGCTCAGCACGATATTTAAAAACTGGGGCAGAACTAATTGTAGAGTGATTCAAAAGATATAAGTAGTTGCCTGGTGTTAGGGATGTAGAACTGAGGAGTAGGACTGTGGGGAGGTAGATTTATATACTTGTTTTTCATTTATGTCTTTCAATATTGCTTATATTGTTTACCTATATGTATGCATATATATGCATTGTTTTGACAAAACATGAGTTTTACATGTATATCTTTAAAAGAGTTGTATTTATGGAGCTTATGATAGAAGAATGAACTACTGATTAATGAAACAGAATCGTAGAGGTAAGCACATCTCTGAGAACGATTTTTTAGATTATGTTGACCTAGATTATTAGCTTTACAAAGTATAACTTCTGTTCCGAAGCTTTGCAGTGGCAGAAAGTAGAACTTCTTGGAATATCCATATGTAATCTGACTGTAGAGGACTCATTTTGACCAAGTTTGTAAAACAGTATGGTGCCTAAAGCAAATAATAATGTAGTGTATATTTCAAGATAGCTAGAAGAAAATATTCTGAATGTTGTCACCACAAAGAAATGATACATGTTTAAATGGGTATGATAATTACACCAATTTGATCATTATACAATGCATACATGCATTGAAAAGTCACACTATATCCCATAATATGTACAATTATAGTGTGTCCAATATAAATTTAAAAATTATTATTATTATTATTTTTTGAGACGGAGTCTCGCTCTGTCGCCCAGGCTGGAGTGCAGTGGCGCCATCTCAGCTCACTGCAAGCTCCGCCTCCCAGGTTCATGCCATTCTCCTGCCTCAGCCTCCCGTGTAGCTAGGACTATAGACGCCCGCCACCACGCCCTGCTAATTTTCTGTATTTTTTAGTAGAGACGGGTTTCACGGTGTTAGCCAGGATGGTCTCGATTTCCTGACCTCGTCATCCGCCCGCCTCGGCCTCCCGAAGTGCTGGGATTACAGGCGTGAGCCACCATGCTCAGCCAAAAATTAATTTAAAAAACACAGTAGTTCATAGAGACAATTGTCACATTGCACATTTTCTCATTGACAATTTAACAATATAATCAATCACCGTGTTTTTCTGTACATGTATAAACACAATATAGCCACATTCAGTTAGTATTTAATTTGAAATAATTGTATATTCACAAAATTCACAAGCATAGCCAAGAGCCGTATTTGAAGAGGAGACTGCAGAGAACGTTCTGTAGAAATAAAAGACCTCAAAAATGTCAGTGTTAGTCAACCAAGAAAGGAAAAGATGAACAAAACTCTATTAAATTGCTGTCTCATCTTCTATCAATCCAATTCAATGGATGAATCCTTCCCACTGTACTAAAATTTAGTTTCTGATTGGTACTTTGTTATTTTTTCATCATTTTAAACAATGCCAATTTAAATTATATGACACTGCAATGTAAGTACCTGATGTGTCTAAATGATGAAACACCAATCCTTGCCAAAAATGATAGAACAGCACATACTCAGTATTAATTGTGACAGCTATTGCGGTCCCTAGATTACAAACAGCTTTTCCTTAGTTAATCGAGTAGAGGTACATTTGGAGACCTGAATTTTCTTCATGATAATTTTTAAAAAGATTTTTCACAACCTGAAAACATAAAAAATGTAATTTTCGTTGTCATTTTAAAACAATATTTTTCTTTTATCTTGGAATTTTTGTATTTTTGCACAATGGCTTTCATGAATACTTTAAATCTCATCTCTAAAAGAACCGACAATTGCACAATCTGAAAAAATACTATAATTTATGAACAAACAGTTATTTAATCACTGAATATCTGATAGATATTCCAGTGCCAAGCCATAAGCTGACAAAGTACACGTATGTGACGATGTGGTAGTTTGATCTAACATGTAGCACTGTTAGATGCTAGATGATAGATAGATGCTATATTCATATGTTTTGTGACTACAATGAACAGAATTTGGTTTCAGTTAATATACTTTATAGTAGATAATTTAAGTTTCAATATTTCAAGCTAACATAGTATTATTAAATTTATCTATTATATTACAGCATACTTAAAAATATTTTGAATAAGGAATAGAAAAAAAAGGAATTGCTATTTAACCCAGTAGTATTGAGTGAATAAATATGGCCTGAAAAACGGGAGTCTTATTTTAAGGACTGGATAAAAGTAATTCTTAATATCTATTAATAGTAAGGGAATGTCCATGGAAATATAGTAAGATATGTTTTAATACAAATGGCATTAACAAATGAGAAAAATAAATGCTAAATTTTCTGGCCTGATTTAATGTAGAAAAATAAAATCTTGTAAATGACTATAATACTTGCCAATGTCATATCTATCTATCTATCTATCTATCTATCATCTATATATATATACATATATATATATATATATATATATATATATATATATATATATATATATATATGGGTCTCTGATGTTATTATCTGGTGCCCATTTTTCTGGTTTAAATTTTGGCTGGGCTAGGTGGCTCACACCTGTAATCCCAGCACTTTGGGAGGCCGAGGAGGGCGGATCACGAGATCAGGAGTTTGAGACCAACCTGGCCAATATGGTGAAACCCCGTCTGTACTAAAAATACAAAAATTAGCCAGGCGTGGTGGTGTGCGCCTGTAATCCCCGCTCCTCGGGAGGCTGAGGCAGGAGAATTCCTTGAACCTGGGAGGTGGAGGTTGCAGTGAGCCGAGATCACGCCACTGCACTGGAGCCTGGGCGACAGAGTGAGACTCTGTTTTAAGCAAACAAAACCCTAAAGTTTTTTGTGCCCATATTTCTGGTTATAAAAATGATACATTTGTTATTTGAAAAGCGATATATGAAAACTATGTATTTGAAAGTTTTCCAGTTTTTGGTAGGATGAAGTGTACCCTTTGTTCTCTCACAGAACGCAAGTATAGAACCTTGACAGAATATGTGGCACAGCTATTTGAGGACTCTGAAATGTAGACAGAAACAAACAGGTAGAACATTGTAAATTAATGTACCTCCAGAACAGCAGTGAGTCTGCCATTTTTGTATCCTTTAGTATCTCCTGGCCCAAACTTAATTCATTGGGGAACTTTACAGTGATCTGAGGAGCAAAACAAAACAAAACAAAAAAAACAAAACGTAAGGAAAAACTTAAAGCTCAGAGAGAGAAGGAAAATAATATTTTTGTCCTTTATTTTTATTTTCTCTCATACCATCGGCTTCTAGGCAACCCTGCAGTGGTAGTAGTGGTGACAGCAGCAGCGGCAATGATGGAAGCCTGCAGGAGCCAAGAGTGTAAGAAATGGAAACCGCTTTCTCTATTTTCTCTGGAGCTATAGATTCAGACGGTGAGGCGAAAGTCCTGTTGTCTTTCTCTCTCTCTCATTCATATCATATCTATATCTATATGTCTATCTATATCTAATCTATATGAATGTCTATATATCTATATTTACATATATCCTTATTCCTTTTGGAAGCAGACATGGCTCAATTACAGAAGTGGTTGCATTCTGCCTGTAGGATAAAAAAAAAAAAAAAAAGAGAACAGTGGGGAAAATTGTAGAAAGGTGGCAGAGCTAGAAAAACCAATCCCATTGAGTAGTTTGTGAACTACTGGGCTCACCTTTGGCCTATGCATGTAAAAATCTAATTCTAATTAGCATGCAAAAGACATTAAGAACTGAGCTAACAGACCTCTTCCCAAGTTCTTCACTAAGCTTTACTGCATACATGGCACATAGTTGTATAGCAAAGCAATGGGTTTGAAAAATGAACCAACATTGGAACCATAGACCAGAGAATGAGGGTTAGATCTTGCAGCCTGAACCTACCCAGGTAAATTTCATAATAAAACATGAATTTTAACATTCTTCACAGGACTTTGACAAGACCCAGTGTCTCATAATGTAAAATTCAGAATGTCAAGATATAATCCAAACTTACTCAATGTATGATGAATTATGATAATATCAACTTGTCAGAAGAAAATGATCAAAAGATGATAGAGATGTAGGAATTATCTGACAAATACATTCAAATAAGCAAATAAAAACACTTTTGAAACAAATGTTATAATACAAAGTGTAAAAAGCCTCTAAAATATGAAGAAGAAAGAAAGGGTAATTTTAGAACTGAAAACCCCACTGAACAAACTCAATGGAAGAATACAGATAAGATAGGAAAAAGTGAGAAAACTTGAAGATAGATCAATAGCTTTTACTCAGTCTGAACATGAGCCATAAAGAGACACAGAGAGAGAACAAACATTGAATAAATATAACAAACAGAGCTGTAGAGACTCGTGGAAAAAGGTCAAAAATTTTGAATTCCATAAGAACAGGGAAAAAGTATGATGCTGAAACAATAATAAAAGAAATAATAGATTGAAAGTCCTGCATTTGGTGAAAGACATAGATCTATAGACTTATGAGGCTGAATGAACTCCAAGCAGAATGAACACAAAGAAATATATGTTCAGATATATCATAAACAAACTGCTATAAACTTAAAACAAATATATATCTTGAAAGGAGCCAGAAAAAAACAGTTCATTATTTATAGGGGAGCAATGATTTGAATGACCACAGGCTCATCATTGAAAATCTTGGAGGCCAGAATAAAGGGGCCCAGCATTTTCTGAGTACTGAAAGAAAAGAGCTATCCATTCAGAACGTTAGTGAGTAAAAATATCCTTTATGTCAATGATGCAATAAAGACATTTTCATATGAAAGAAAACTAAAATAATTTTTAGGCTGCGAAATGCTCTAAAATAATTGCCCAAGAAAATTCTTCAGACAGAAGAAAAATTATACTGGAAGGAAACTTGCAAAATCCAGAATAAATTAGGAGAACCTAAAGTGTAAATATATGGTAAATATAATAGATATTTCCTCTCCTTTTGAGTTCTTTAAAATATGCTTGCAAGTTGAAAACAAAAAAATATAGCACTGCCTAATGGGGGTTTCAATATATACAGATGCAAAATATAAGACAACCAGGGTATAAAAGGAGGAAAGTAAAGTGGACTGTGTATGGTGGAAATACTTCTACATTCCAATGGAAGTGATAAAAATTTTAAATAAGCTGTGCAAAGCTATGAATTTATTTTATAATTTCTAAACAAAAAGATCATCAGTAGGTGAATAGGTGGAATGGGAGGACATTCATATGATGAAATACTAGTCATCAATACATGCAACAACTTGGCTAGATCTCAGAGATATTCTGCTGAATGAAAGAAGACATTCTCAGATTACATGCTATGTGATTCGATACCGGTGATGTTCTTGGGAAAAAAATTATAATAAGGAGAACTGATTGGTTGTTACCAGATATCACAGGAGGGTATGACTACAAAAGGATAGCATAAGGGAGTTTTTTGGGTGAAGGCAATGTTTTTTTATCAATATGATATTGACATGTGTTAAAATTCATATAATTATATGCCAAAAGTTCATCTTATTTAAAAAATAAGCCAAAAAATAAAACAATTTATTTTAATTTAAACTTTTATTTTAGAGTGGGGGGTACATGTACAGGTTTATTAAATGGGTATATGGTGTGAGACTGAGGTTTAGGGTATTAATAATCCCATCATCCAGGTAAGTCAGCATAATACCCAATAGGTAGCTTGTCAACCCTCACACCACTCCCCACCTCCCTGCTGTAGTAGTCCCCAGTGTCAATTGTTCCCATCTTTATATCCATGTGTATGTAATGTTTAGCTCCCACTTATAAATGAGAACATGTGGTACTTGGTTTTCTGTTCCATGTTAATCGGCTTAGGATAATGGCCTCCAGCCCCATCCATGCTGTTGCAAAGGACATGATTTTGTTCTTGTTTATGCCTACTTAATATTCCATGATGTATAGGTAGCACATTTGCTTTATCCAGTCCACCGTGGATGGGATCATAGGTTGATTGCATGTCTTTGCTATTGTGACTAGTGCTGCAATGAACATAGGAGTGCATGGATCTTTTTGGTAGAACGATTTATTTTCCTTCAGGTATATACCCAGTAATGGGATTGCTGGGTCAAATAGCAGTTCTGTGTTAAGCTCCTTGAGAAATCTCCAAACTGTTTTCCACAGTGGCTGAACTAATTTCCATTCCCACCAATAGTGCATAAGTGTTCCCTTTTCTCTGCAACCTAGCAGACATCTGTTATTTTTTGACTTTTTAGTAATATCTCGCTCCATCGCCCTGGCTGGTGTGCAGTGGCACCATCTCAGCTCACTGCAACCTCTGCTTCCTGGGTTCAAAGGATTCTCATGCCTCAGCATCCCAAGTAGCTGAGATTACAGGTGTGCGCCACCAAGCCCGGCTAACTTTTTATATTTTTAGTAGATACCAGGTTTTGCCATGTAGGCTAGGCTGATATCGAGCTCCTTGCCTCAAGTGATCTACCAGCCTCAGCCTCCCAAATTGCTGGGATTGCAGGCATGAGCCATTGCACTCCAAGTATCCTGTGGTTTTGTTCTGCATTTGTCTGATGATTAGTGATGTTGAGCATTTTTTCATATTTTTTTGGCTACTTGTATGGCTTCTTTTGAGAACTGTCTGTCCACGTCTTTTGCCCACTTTTTAATGGGATTATTTGTGTTTTGCTTCTTAAGTTCCTTATAGATTCTGGATATTAGAACTTTGTCAGATGCATAGTTTGTGAACATCTTCTCTCATCCGTAGCTTGTCTGTTTATTCTTTTGATAGTTTCTTTTGCTGTGCAGAAGCTCTTTAGTTTAATTAGGTCCCACTTGTTCAATTTTTGTTTTTGTTGCAATTTCTTTTGGGAATTTAGATTTTTCACATTGCTCTCTCTGTACTTTGAGTTAGCAAAAATATAGTAGTATTTTCAATCAGCCATATGTTATTGATGTAATTTCAATATAAAAATCAATCACATCAAAGGTCCTATTTTATTAAAAAATATTTTTTCCTTTTATTTACTAAAATACATAAATATATAATTTCAATTTATTTCACTGTTGATCACATGCATTTTTCCCTTTCACATTATTCCAAGAATAACTAGAACTATGCAGAAAATGAAAATGCCATTTCTAATATCTCTAAATTACACTAAAAATTTTTTTGCCTATTGACCAAACTTGTCTATTTTCATGTACAAAATATTGCAATTTGATCCAGTTTATTCTAAACAAATGGATCACATTAATGTATAATCTGATGTTATTACAGGAAACTTGAATTTTAATGAGCCCTGCTTGATTTGGATGAGTGAAGACAGGCATAACACAATTGAGTCAATTAGCAAGAATTTTGTAATCAATGTTGATTAAGAAAATGGGATGATGGTATGTGCAGAATTTGGAGGCATTCCCTGGCTTGAACATTAATATAATGGGATAAACATTGGCATTTTAATGGCAGCGCGTTGCTCTGAAATGAAATGATAGATGTTATGATACATGCAAATATTAATCTGTATGTATTTTATTACACATGACTGGAAATCCATTGAAAGCAGATCTAAGAATGAAGAATAAGTTGTTCTGGTTTCATCTTCCAGTAAATCATAATTATTAAATCTGCTATTGCTAAATATGTAATAAAATAAATTTAGAATACAGATATATAATTATCCTTATTATACTTTTGTCCTATACATCACTAATGAGTATATATCCTGGCTTTGGAGTTTTGTTTATTTCATGTCATTCGCACATTATGTACAGTTGCTGTTCTGTCACTGTTGCAGGCCTTTTTTCCCATGGAGAAACCAATGCACTTAACTGACTTATGTTTATAGATAAAATATATGCACATGTTTTCTATCAGTTCTTTATAGCATCAATTGTTTTCTCCTTCGTATGTTCACTTTCACTTTATAGGCTATATTGGAAATAATTGTATTTTGCTTTCTTTTAATGTTCTTTTAAATTATAGTTTCGTTAACCCATTATCCTATATCACTTAATATCCTTTTATTAATGATTTTGAAACACATGATCTCATGACATAGAGCTTAATATTGAATATAAATTTTCTTCAATAATAAAGACTTTGAAATAATAAAAGCATTGTCTTTATAATTGACTCATGCCAGACCTGAGAGCAACAATTCATATTAATTAACATGACATAAAGACTTAAGAAATTAAAATATGTCAGGATTATGTTACTGAGAATGATGTAACAATTAAATATGTAAAATTAAAAATATGTATACAGACCAGAATAGTAAACTTATTTTGAAGGAAGAATGAACTTCTATTAAATTTTGTATCTGAATAAACAACCTTCTCTTGAGTGATTGTGCCTGATCTGATTCCCTTTTTGCACGTAATTTAGAGTTCATCAACCAAAGGAACTGAAAATCAATTAAAATATTATCTCAAATAATAATTAGAAATAATATTATAATATTAAAATGTTATTTCTACTCATTATTTGAAATAACAATTTCTTTCTCAAGTATTATAAAATATTATAAATACAATTTTGAATATAATTATGGGCATTCTTCACATTAATTTCCAGAGTGACACTAGTATTATTTTGTTGTACAAAATGAAAAACATTACATTTTCTCAGATGTTTATTGATATGATTATAATTTTTTCTACTTATTTAATTATTCATTAAGTGAAGAATTTTTGTGTCCATTGTTAAATTTAAATAATTATTTTTGCAAAATAAATCAGAGTATCTAAATGCGACTTTAGTTCACATTTTTCCTAAGCTATTCTTGGAAAATCTCACCATATTATCGATGTTTATATGAATGTTGGGTAGAATTATGATTTGTTTAAAAACACTGAGAGTTTATAATAGACCATCTCGTCCAGCAATGTGATAGACACTGGAATTATTTTAGGAAAAAGGAGAACAATATTTCTAACATAGAGTAGAACATAGTCTCTCAGTAATTTGCATCATGCTGAGTATGACAAAAATGGAAGTACGGTGCTATTATGAAAATATATAAAAAAGAAGTTGAATACTATTCAGTGAAAGCCTCTCTGAAGGATGTTGTATAGGCAGCATAAAGCTAGGTCTTGTTTTCTTATCCTGACTATAAATCTGACAATTTATATGTTTAAACAGGTGTAGAGCATTCATATTTAAAATGATAGCTCATGTGGCTGGATTAAAATATATCACTTCCTTATCTGTTTTTGCTTTATTTGTTCTTTCCTTTTTTTCCTGCTTCCCTTGAGTTTAACAGGCATGTTTTATGATTTGCATTATATCCAAATTAGCCATAGCACCTTTAAAAAATGTTGTCCTTAGTTTTCTTATATATGTTAAAATAATATGAGTTTACCGTCAGAGAATTTTTTTTTTTTTTTTGAGGCAGGGTCTTGCTCTTTCTCAGGCTATAGTGCAGTGGTGCTATCATGGTTCACTGCAGCCTCCAATTCCCTGGCTCAAATGATCCTCCCACCTCAACCTCCTGAGTAGCTGGGACTACAGGCATGTACCACCTCGCCTGGCTAATTTTTGTACTTTTTGTAGAGACGGGGTTTTGCTATGTTGGCTAGGCTACCTTCAGAGAATATTATACCACTTCACGTACGTAAACATGTTATAACTATTATAATTTCCAATTATTCCTCTCTAGGCCCTTACCATCATTGTCATGTATTTTATTTTACATATATTATAAAGACAATAACTGTTACCATTCTGCTGTAAACATTCAATTATCTTTTAGAGTAATTAAAATCATAAAAATGGTTGTATTTCACCTTTATTTATTCCATTTTGCATACCTTTTAATTCTCAGTTTTGATCTCAGTTTCTGTGACCTATATCATATTTATTCTACTTGAAGAGCTTCCTTTAACATTTCTTGTAGAGTAGGTCAGCTGATAGCTCCTTCCCTCAGTTTTTGTTTATCTAAGTTTTATTTCTGTTTGACTTTTAAATATATTTTTGTAGAATATTCTTCAAATTTCTGCTTGACTCCATTCCTTTGTAGATAGGAGTCTTTTTCTCTTATTATCTTTAAGATTTCCTCTTTTACTTTGATTTTCAGAAATTTGAATATGATAGTTATGATTTCCTTTTTGATATTTATTCTGCTTTTTTGTTCTTTGAGTTTTGTGGGTTTGCAGTTTAATGTCTATCACAATTTTGAAAAATTTCCTGCCACTAATTCTTCAAATATTTCTTGTTTCCATTCTTCTTTCTTCTACTGTGGCTATACTGATTGCATTTATCTCAGACGATTTGATACTGTCATACATTTTTGTATATTATCTTCTGTTTTTTTCTTTTTTTTCTCTTTGCATTTCTATCTGGGTAATCTCTATTGACCTGCCTTCAAGTTTAATAATTTTTTTCTCTCTGCTCCATCAAGTCTACTGGTGAGCCTATTGAAGGCTTTATTTCTATTATGGTGTTTTGGTTTCTAACATTTCTACTTTCTTAATTTTTAATAATTTCCATTTCTCTGCTGGAAGTATCTATCTGATTGTGTATGATGCCACACTATTCGATTAGAGCGTTTAACGTATTTATCATTGTTGTTTTAAATTCTCTGTCTCATCATGCCAATATGTCTTTCATATCTGACTCTGGTCATTATGATAATTTTGTCTTTTCAGCCAATGTTTATTCTTACCTTTTTACATACCTCATAAATGTTTGTTTTAAGCAAGGCATGTTGTAAAATATACAGAGGTAAGTAAGTTTGAAAGTGAGTACACCTTTTCTTCTGTTAGGTCTTAGTGTAAGGGTATTGCACAACTCCTTAGTCAGAGGTTGGACTTGGTATAAAGTTTTTATTGTAATGATTACTCTCAGTGTACTAGAAGATTCAAATTCTGCTAGTCATTTCTGGTGTTTAAAGTTTGGGCAAATTTGCGATTTCTCCTCTCTGGTTTATTTAGTTATCCTCATTTTTTACTTTAGGTGTTCCTTTTATGTTGTTTCCAAGAGACAATCCGTTTCTTGCTCCTTCCCCAGTTGTATTCCACTGTTACTTTTATTCAATGCTTGCTTGAGTGATGGTGTGTGTGTGCACGTGTATGTGTGTGTGTGACATGGTGGCAGGCATGTTATCTGATGTTTTGATTAACCTTCAATCTTAGTTAGGATTATAAAAGTGGGTATCAGTGGTACAGCTCACAAAGTTGTTTCTTTCCCTTGATCAGAGGTAATGCTGAGCCTGACATCTATTATTATTCTTCACCTAAAAGTAGAGATTTTTGTTTGTTTGTTTTTGTTTTGTTTTTCTATCCACACCTCCCTCATTTGTACTCCTTTACTACCTTTGCTATCAGGCTACAAATTTTGTTACCCTTCCCTCTGTAGGGTAAGACTTTTAATTATTAGTAGAGACAGGTGAGATGGGTCTGGGTAGTTTTGGCAGGAGCTACTGCTCCCATCATCCAGCCAACACGATGGTGGAAGCTTTTACTTAATTCTTTCTGAGAGTGAATGGTGAGATATCTTGAGGAAAGTCTGTAAGATACTGCAAACCACCTATGTTAGTGGCCCTCAGGGCATCTTTACACTTTCACATAACCTACATCTAACATTTGGCCATTTGGTAACAAAGTCTAGCTGGATCTTCCTATTGGCTTATATGGCATTAAATGGCATATGTTTCAGGTAAGCACATGTTTGAGTAGTGTTTCTCCCTGTAAGCACTTACCTATTTCCAAGTTTTCAATTAGCTCTTTGAATTACAACTACAGATCTCTGATGGGCTGGAGAAACACCATTAACTGGCAGTTTTTCCAATGTTTTCTTCTGGTGGTATGAGCAAGAACAATGTTCTTTCTAGCTTTTCATTTTGAGCTGAAGCAAAATATGTATATTGTGGGAATTTTATTTCCTAATGTAATCATTTCCAACTGGATGTCAACTGTTCCCAAAAAACTTTTGAAGTGATAGAGAGGTTGTAAAAAAAAGTTCAATAACCTATAGTAATATTTACACTAGATGCACAGTGGTCCTTTCTAAACTTCATATGCAACTATTTAACTACATTTCCAATATATTGTCCTCAGTAGGTATTGTTTACTAAAAAAAGAATGTAATTACCATTCATCAGAAAAACATATAATATGCTTTAGTTGTTATAATGAATAATGTAACATTTTTGTTATTTGTTTTTAATCTTGTTTCACATATTCAGTCTTAGAGAAATAATTGCATACAGGAAAATTGTATCTGCTGTAGGTTAGATTTTATTAACATACCTTTAAACCTTTTAATCCATTTATATTTCATTTGAAAAAGTCAATAAATTAACTATAATCTATGGCTAATTTGCTTTTATTGAAATGCATATAACAATTATTGCAGCAAATATCAGTCACATTTTTAGAATCATAATGAAGAGATTTCAAATTACTTAGAATTCTTATTAGATTGAATGTGAGACCATATGAGAATATGCTATAAACTAAGATGATTCATTTTTAATTTAGCTTAATATGTTGCTAAACTTAAAGCACCAGGGCTTAACAATTAGTTTCAAAATTTTAAATATGCCTAAAAAGTTAAATTATATATAAAATCCTAGGAGATATTTATTTTATACTAAGATACTCACTTATTTATAATTGTACTTAATTTAACATTGAGAAGCAAAGGAACTTATTAGCAATGCCGTGGTAAATTGTGCAGTTTCCAAAGCTCAAGTGGTTTGGGTTCACATATTATATTTACCTCTCTATCTCTACCCCTATTCTTAACTATATCTATCTCTATACCTATGCCTATACCTATGGTATATCTAGCACTTAGCTACCCAAACATAGACAGGTTTCTTAAATATCCCTATCTCCATAAGGATAGTTAAATATCCCTCTCTCTATAGCTGTTTAATCTCTTTAGGGATATTTAAGAATCTTTTTCATGTTGGAGCAGTTATTAAGTGCTAGATATCTACTTTACAGTTTTGTGAGATTAAATAATTTAATTCATAATAAGCACTTATAAATGTCTTTGTTAGACAACTATCATACTATTTTTTATTAGTCACAATTTCTCAACTCCTTAGTATATGCGAAGTTCTATGGGAAAGTATTCAGTATCAAAAACAAGAATTAGAATTAATTGTGTTTTGTTGATATGCAAAACATATGATAAACACTTCATAAATTTTACCTTCTCTTTTCACAACCCTGATAGGCACCTTTGAGATGCCTAGTTGGAAGTAAGTGGTAGTGATTTGATTCAAACCTAGGTTCTCAAGAATTCAAAGATTTTTTTTAACATATCAGGTGGCTATGGGTGAAATGGTTGGCACTGAACATCACTATTTTTTACCTTTTCTTCCTCAAATAACTCAGCTACTGGAGTTCTATTAGTCTGGACATCTTACTGCAGGAGATTTGGCTGGTCTTTTATAGGGCTTCACCATATTTCCAAGATTCAATGACTATAATCTTGCTGTTTTCTCTCTACAAAGTAAATTAAGTGGGCAGTTTTAGTTTCCAAAAAAATTACTGCTGTGAATTACCTATCTATCTTGATTAAATACCCTAAGTATGCATGCTTAGTAAAGTATGCAAATAATTATTTTGGCCCATGATTCTTTGTTTATGTAACACCAGAATAGTTCTCTAAGTAATTAGCTAATGTATATTTGTTCATCCAAAGAAATTAATTGAGCAGTCACAATGCTGAGTGAGTTACACATTGTTGATTATGGAGAGAAACTGATAAAAGAGAAAAAGAATGATGCATCAACATTTTAATTTTGTAGAGTTCAATGAGTGGAGCTTTCTTTTTATTTTAAAATGCAAAAAAAGCACAGAAAAAATATCAAGCATGCACACAAACACAAATAAGGTTGAATATCTCATCTTGTTTTTTCTAATTACCAACACATTTGAAGAACCCCTTATTCCATAACTAGTCCCAATAGATAGGTATTGTTTCCTTTTATTATTTCAAAATTTTAAATGTTTTTATATATTACTTATATACCATCCTAAACCTTGTTTAACTTTATGTTTTTGAGAACTACCTTGATTGATATCCAGCCTTTGTTAATCTGTTGACGAGTATCTAAACCCCCAATTACTAAAACTTCTACTCTGGTTCCTTGAGATTGTATAGATTCAGCATCTTTCTCCTTTCTCCAACTTGGGCCCAGTCTCTGTACTATGGATTTTATTTATTTGTTTGTTTACTTTTTCAGCTATAAATTTAAATTTAAACATAGCACATTTATTGTTTCTATATACTTAGAACGGTTTGCATGTGGGAGGAGGAATTTTATCTATAATAATTCCCCCTTACTGCTTGGAATTGGGCATCATTTAAAAATATTTACTGTAGCACTATTGGGGGATACTGAATAAATGCATGGTCTCTGAACACAAGAGGTAAAATTGGTAGCTACGAAGATAAGAATTATCTACATATATTTTCCTTTCCAAATAAATCCATTTCATGATTCTTAGAAATCAATATAGTATTAGTAGGAGAAAATATAGGGGAAATCAGAGGCATTCTTAGGAAAAAGTATTGACTCAAACTCTGGAAGTGAAAGAAATTTGTTTTTCTTATATATGTATATATTATACACCAAAATGGAACCTTAGCTTACTTTGTAATTTTCATATAGCAGAAAATATTAAGCTCAACATAGCATATTAAAAAAATGTAAAAAGCATAAAACCTCAACTAATGTGCTTAATGTTAGACTCAATGACAAATATTTTTATAAAAATGTTTAAATTGTAAAATGGGTTATATATTTACATCTTTTAGAAAATGCTGGCTATATAAGGTAAGACAATATTAATTTTATACCTCAAGACACATTCTCTTCATAATATGATAGATTCGTAATTTAGAAATTGATTCGTAAAATAGAAGACACAGCTTTTATTTTGCACTTGGAATAATTTGCCATCTTGGAGTCCATATTTTTAGCTTGGGCAATATATAAATATACTAAGTTTGATATATTATACATGCATATTTAAATTATGAAGCTGAAGTATGCATTCACCATAAAATATCCATTAACAAGAATAAGAGGAAAGTATGTAATTCATTCTGCTTCACACTGAGCAATCTTTATCTTCATAATATTGACACTTTTTTATTTGTAATGCATAAAACACTTTTATCCTGAATTTTATTTGTTATTACACAGTTTTCATATATATAATTTTGGTTTTTATATTTATTTTATTTTTTGATAAAAATTCACAGAAATAAAATTACTGGCTGAAATTTTATTATTTTATATGTGGAAGAACTTGAATGACTGAAATACTTTTCTGAAAATCCTTTAGCAACTTATACTTTGACCAGCACTATAAAAGAAACAAATTTTGTTGCAGACTACATAAGTAAAATTTTATTTCATATTTCTTTGATTACTAGTAAGGTTGAACACTCTCACTATTTCTCTCCTATACTATTTCCTTTCTTAGAAACACAATGAGCTTCTAATTCATGTGATTATATAGGAAAACTCTTTTCTCACAGCTAGTTTATATTCCTCAAGATGATCTTTACCTGTGAATTTGGTAATTTTGCTGTGTAACGAATTGTATGGTTATAAAATTTAGATGTCAATCAAATGTACTAATTAAGAATGATATTCTCATATTTTGAAAAGAGTTCTCATGGGTCAACTAAGAATTTGCTTTAGCAGTTATTAATAATAAATATTCCCCTACAACACTGAAGATATCAAAATATTACACAATTTGTATATGGTATATATATATACACAACTGAAATAAAAGCTAACTTCATAGCTAGTTGTTCTTTATTGTAGGCTTTTAATACCTATTTCTTTATCTTGATATCGTTAGTTTGTTCTATAGTCTCATATTATTATTATTGCTTTAAGCTAATGACCAGACAACTATAATTTTGATAATGGAAAATAAAAGGCAAAAATAAAAGAAAAGCACGGGCCTGTACATTAGTTCAAATTGTATTACTTCACCATTCTGCAAATCGTATGACAATCTATCTTCTCTAAGAAATTGCTACTAGGTGTTTACTAATTATTAGCATAAAAGTCACTATAATTTTTCAGGTTATAATTAGTTATGGTGACTGATTCAGTTCAAGGACTCAGCCATCAGCTGTCTTAGATTATAAACGCAAGATATTATTTGCTCTCTTCCAGTCAAGGCAATTCATTAGTTATGCTGTTTGACAGCAGCTGTACCCTTTGAGATGTGATTTATTCAGATTCCCTCAATATTACTGCGGAAGCATGGGGAGATAAGTGATTTGATGAGGCTGTGTATTTACTGTCAAATGCCATTATGTTTTGAATGTGCATTAACATTGATAGGGAGTTTGTGTTTTAAAAGCAAAGGATTAAGTCAAATGAAGAAAATTCCAGAAAATCCAAGTGTACACAATCATGTCGTCTATAAGCATACATTTTTAAAGGATATTATGAAAATTATCAATTCCACTTTGCTAATTTGTTCATTTATTGTGAATAGTAGATACATTGTTTAAAATATAAACATAGAAGACACAGTCGTTACAAATATAAGTTGTCAAATCTTTATCCACTGAAAGTAACTGTAATTGTCCTATTTATATTGTAATGATTTAATTTATATTTATTTTATAAAAGAATATATAAAAAAGAAATTTGACTTGGAATAAACTATGTATACAGTAACTTGAATTTAAAATATTCTCTTGAAGTTTGAATGAACAAATCACATGCTTACAGTGTTTTTCCAACATTTATCTATAAAGTAACTGAAGAAAAATATTACCAGAATATATATCCTACTAATATATGTGTATATATATGTGTGTGTGTATATAGATATAGATATAGATATAGATATTCCAGTGGCTAGAGGCTTGAAACAAATGTATTGCAGTGATTTTCCAAATGTTTTGTCATTGTACTCTTTTTCATCAATTTAGATTTTTAATAATATATATAGTTTATACATAATATATACGTATACTTCTAAATATATGTATATGTATATATATACACGCATACATATACATATATACATATACATATACATATAAAGCTTACTTTGTTTAAGAGTGCTTCTGAGGTCCTCTTCTGCTTTTCTTCTTTCAACCCCTCCCACCTGTGAGGTCCCTCTGAGCCTCTAATGCCTAAATATCTATGTGACTACGTTTTTTCAAAAAAAAAAATTAAACACAATTTTATCGTCGTAAGAACACTTTACATAAGCTCTATCTTTTTCATAAACTTTAAGTGTACATTATTGCTGATTATGAGTACAATATTGTACAGCAGATCTTTTTTTAAACCATTGATCTAGCCTAGTGCTTATGTAACAGAAATGGAAATTTAGTGTTGGCTATTGCAGTCACATAGAACATGAAGCAGCCAGTGCTCAAATCTGAGCCTTTGGAGTCTATGCTCAAGGCTCATGACATTTTTACAGGCTCCTTCAAAAAGAAAAGAAATGTTCCAATGACCATATATTCAGTGTCCTATTAAGGTGTGCAAACTGAGGATTCAGCCATGGCTATAACTAAAAAATATTGCAGTTCTATGTAGAATAGTTATGAAAGTATATTTCCCTTATATTTATTAAGTTTATTTACAAATGATTTTCCTAGCATAATTCAGATTTTTTTTCTTTTCACAAGATAGACCACTGTCAGTTTCAAAAGATCTGGAGAAATGAGCCAAATGACAAAAGGTGAGGGGCAGAGGAAGCAGGAAGAAGCAAAGAGAGATAAAGAGAATTGCTTAGGCTAGGACTTAGAGTTTGGCAATACCAACAGCAACCACCACAAGACCGAAATCTAAAGTAAACTTCTACAAACATTAGTTATAGGCCTTTCTACATTCAAAGTGCTGAACTAAGAAATTTGAATGCAATATGGTCTTAAATGTGTACTTTCTGGAGGAGGAAACATACATAAATATTTACAATACAGTAATATGAGAACCTAAAATTTGGTAAGAGATATAGAAAACGGCAATTAATTCACCCGGAGGTTGGAAAGTAGGGCTATTTTTGAACTAGGCCTTGAAGAAGGAATAAACATTCCATAAAGAGAATAAGGATCATTCTCAATTAAATATTAAATATTTATCTTTCTAGAAGTCATAATTATAATAAAAGCTAACATGTAAATATTTAGTATGTGCCAAGCACATGTATAATATAACTTACAATTTTAATCATTTGCGAAGGACTGTTTTTTTATTGACTAACTCATACAAATTTTATTAACTCACTTAACCTCTCAACAACTCATGAGTTTGGAGTGGTTATTACACCATTTTATAGACAAGGAAACTGACACAGAGTTGCTAAGTAATTTCCCCACTACACCCATGACTAAGCAAATGGTAGAGCCAGTGAACACGTCCAATCAAAGTTACTTCAGAGCTAACATTTTTAACAGTATTTTACTCCGCCTCCTTTAGGGTCATACATAAAACTATGACTGTTAGTGAATATATATCATCTACACCTATCAATAGTAAGCAAAGAAAAATTTAAAACAGAGGTTTCTTAAGCCATCAACATGCTGTTATTCACAATTAGAAACTCAAGAATGTCAAATAAACTTTATGAAAAAAGTGGAACAAAATATTTTATAATCAAATTGCTTTCAAATCCAAACACAGTATTTTGCAAGTTCACTCACTTAAGAAGTAGAGGGTTTTTAGCAGTTGCTTATGTAAGATTAGTAAATCATTGTAAGAAGAAGAGTAGAAAATGCAGCTTGGTTATTATGCACAATTTTCTTTGATTGTATAGTTGAGGGAAAAACTTCCAAGTGAGTGATACATATATCATGTAAATATATGTATATTTTAAAACATAAACTTGAAAATTTGGAGTAACAACATTGAAAATAACACAAAAGTATTTTAGTGACGTGACAAAATATTTCCCATCTGTGGATTAAATCTAAGAATTCTGGTAATCCTATTTTAAATTGATAATTTTAATTATCTCATGATAGTTCTACATTCTAGAAGAGGAAAGGATCTTACAATAAACTGAGACCAATGCTTTTTCCTCATAATTTGTTTGAGAAAGCATAGATACCATTCTTTGATTAGTACAAAATCCATGAGTCTTTGTTGGGTATGGGCATAGAAGGTCGTTTCTCCCAAATTGTACCTAGTATCCTTCACTTCATTCATGGCGTATTTTAACAAACAAAAGGTCTTGATTTCAGCTGAATTACATGTATTTTAGTTTTCTCTTTGATTTATGCTCTTTGTGTCTTATTTAAAATATTTTTTCTAACCAAGATCACAAAGATATTTTCCTAATGTATATCATAAGTACTATATGATTTTATATTTCTATTTAGATTTATGACCCATCTGGAATAAATTTTTGTATATATAGTGAATTAATTGGAACAATACTAATACATTTTTCCAAATGGATATCCAACTGATATAGCACATTTTATTTTTATAGATATTATTTAAATAATTCATGGTACTGCATAGGGATCTTTTTATAAATCAGATGACTGCATATGAGTGGTCTTCTATGGGACAATCTATTTTGTTCCTCAAATCTATTTACTTACTATTGTGATGATACTACACTTTAAAAATTTGTATAAACTTAAATTTTAATTCCTCCAAACTTGTTCTGCTTAAAGTTTATAATTTTCTGTGCTGAAATGTTGCTTAATGTTATAAATCAATTTATTGGTATTATGTATTATTTTTAATGTTACTGTAAGCAATGTAAAATATTTACTATATTTATTGCTAATATATATATGTTTAATTAAATTTATTTAATAATGACATTGAACTCAACAAAACTTCTGGGTTGTTAATTCTAACAGTGTATCTTTTAATTTCAGACATCTTCAACATATATAATCTTGTCATTTGCAAATAATGATAATCACATTTCTTATTTTTTTTCCTGCTTGATTGCACTCTAAAGATCTTACAAAAAATGTTTAAAATAATGAATGATTATGGCAATCTTTTCTTGTTCTGGCACTCAGAGAACAAATCTTTATTATTTCACAATGAATCATAATATTGTGGTATTATTTTAAGATACCCTTATCACACTAAGGAATTATTATTCTATTCCTAGATTGCTCAGATTATTATTTTGTTTCATTTGATCATAAATATGTATTGATTGTATCAAATTCTCTTTATGCATTTATAGCAATGATTATATATATTATTTTAAATTTAAAAAATTTTAAATGTTGTGGGTACATAGTAGATGCATATATTTATAGGGGAACATGAGATGTTTTGATATAAGTATGTAATGTGTGGTAACTACATCATGGAGAATGGGGTATCTATCCCCTCAAGCATTTATCCTTTGTGTTACAAACAATCCAATTACACTTTTGTAGTTATTTTAAAATGCACAATTAAGTTATTATTAACTATAGTCATCCTGTTGTGCTATCACATAGTTGGCCTTATTCATTCTTTCTTACTTTTTTTGTGTGTGTATCCTCATTAACTATCCCCACCTTCCTCCATCTCCTACCCTCAATACTTTTCTTAGCCTCTAGTAACCATCCTTTTACTCTCTATGTCCATGTGTTCAATTTTGTTGATTTTTAGAGCCCACAAATGTGTGAGAATATGCAATATTTGCCTTTCTGTGCCTGGCTTATTTCACTAACATAATTATTTCCAGTTCCATTCATGTTGCTGCAAATGACAGGATCTCATCCTTTTTTATGACTGAATAGTAATCCATTATGTGTATGTACCACATTTGCTTTATCCATTTATCTGTTGATGGATGCCTAGGTAGCTTCTAAACCTTAGCTATTGTGAATAGTACTGCAATAAGCATGGGAGTGCAGATATGTCTTCAACACTGGTTTCTTTTCTTTGGGCTACATAACCAGCAGTGGGATTGTTGGATCATGTGATAGCTCTATTTCTAGTTTTTGAGGAAACTCCAAATTGTTTTCCACAGTGTTTGTATGAATTTACGTTTCCACCAACAGTGTATGAGGATTCCATTTACTCCACAACCTCACCAGCATTTGCCATTGATGGCAGCAGCAGCCCATCTGGAGTGGCTGCTGTGTAGACACCAGCTGCAATGAAAGAGGTGTGACTGGGGCTGTGGGCTCCATGGAGCCAGCAGGAACTGGGAACAGGTAGGGGGTGCTGGGTTCCCTTCTGAGTTGGTGGGGCAGGAGCCCCACCCTCCTGGGCACAGCTTCAGCTGCCCAGTTGCAGCTCTGGACCCAGGCATTGCTGTGGTCTTGGGGTCCAGGGAAACCCTCCTCCCACCGCAGACTCAGAAGTGCCTGCTCCCACTTCCTGGCCTCTCCCTGATCCTGGCACCCACTCCAATTTCAGAGCAAAGTTGTGGCTGAGCCCAGGTGCTGACACAACCTGGCCGGGTATGCATGTGCTTGGGGCAGTGCTGATATGCCAGCCCCTCGCCACCTCAGCCTGCTGTTGACTTTGGGCACGGATGAGCATGTAAGGGAGGCCAAAACGGGCCTGAGAGCAGCTCAGTGTGGGCCTGCAGGCAACCCTCAGCACAAACAGCCTGGGTGCTGTGGATGACATGTTGATGGTGGCAGGCAGTAGACAGGCTCCTGGGCAGAAAGGGACAGGTCCCCAGTGAAGCCCCTTCTTCAAGCCAGGTACAGTCTGAAGCATGGAGGCCAGGCTGTCAGTTCTTTTGGAGTCCACTGCCAGGAGTGAGAACTTATGGTGCTTTTTCTGGGCCCACCCATGGCCACCCATGGTTCAATCAGCATGGACTTCCTCCCTTCTAAAGCTCATAAAAACCCTGGACTCACACAGGCTCAGGCAGACATTGCGATGAACTGCCTGGAGATAGGAGCTACCCACTCTGGGTCCCCTCTCCACTGAGGGCTCCACATCCTGCCAGGCTGCATGGGCAAAATAAGCCCAGCGGGCATGAGCAATACTCAGGCAGAAGGTGCCACTGGTCACAGAGGATTCAGGCTGGCAAAGTGACACCTCTAAGATCCCATGATATTATTGCCTGTCTTTTGCATATAAACCATTTTAACTGGGGTGAAAGATATCTCATTGTAGTTTTGTTTCACATTTCTCTGACGATCAATGATATTGAGCACCTTATTATATGCCTCTTTGCTATTTGTATCCCTTCTTCTGAGAGTTGTCTATTCAAATATTTTGCCCACTTTTTGATTGGATTATTAGATTTTTCCTATAGAGTTGTTTGAGCTCTTTATATATTCTGGTTATGAATCCCTTGTCAGATGGGTAATTTGCAAATATTTTCTCCCATTCTGTGGCTTGTCTTTTCATTTTGTTGATTGCTTCCTTTGCTATGCAGAAACTTTTGAACTTGATGTAATCTGATTTGTTCATTTTTGCTTTGGTTGCCTGTGCTTGTATGGTATTGCTCAAGAAATTTTTGCCCAGACCAGTATCCTGGAGATTTTCCCCGGTGTTTTCTTATAGTACGTTCACAGTTTGAACCTTAGATTTAAGTCTTTAATCTATTTGAATTTTATTTTTGTATATGGCAAGAGATAAAGGGCTAGTTTCATTCTTCTTTAAATGGATATCCGGTTTTCCCAGAACCATTAATTGAAGAAACTGTCTTTTCCTCAGTGTATATTCTTTACACCTTTGTCAAAAATGAGTTCACTGGAGGTGTGCGGATTTGTTTCTGGGTTCTCTCTATTCAGTTACATTGTTCTACGTGTCTATTTTCATGCCAGTACCATCCTTGCTTCTCAGTTATTTTCCATTTGAATAAGCTTTCTACTCCTATCTCTTTCTTCACCTCCACATTAAGGCCAATATCTCTTCAATTTGCCCTATTGGGCTATTTTTTTGACCTCATAGGCCTGCTGCATTTTTAAAATTATTTTTTTCTTTTGTCTCCTCTGACTGTATATTTTCAAATAACCTAACCAAAGAATAAGCTTACTCATTCTTACTTCTGCATGATTAGTTCTGCTGTTAAAAGACTCTGATCCATTCTTCAGTATGCCAATTGCAATTTTCAGTTCCAGAATTTCTTTCAATTCTTTTAAAATAAATTTTAAATTTCAATTATTCTTTATTTTTTAAATTATGTAATTTCTTCATTAAATTCATCTGATATAATTCAGAATTCCTTCTCTTTGTTATACTGAATTTCTTCAACACAGCTAGTTTGAATTCTCTGTCTGAAAGGTCACATATCTTTGTCTCTCCGTGATTGGTCACAGGTGCCTTATTTGGTTTGTTTGGTAAGGTCATGTTTCTCTGGATGGTCTTGTAGCTATCGGTTGTTCATCTGTCTCTGGGCATTGAAGAGTTAGGTATTTATTGTAGTCTTCACAGTCTGGGCTTGTTTGTACCCATCCTTCTTGGGAAATCTTTCCAGATATTCAAAAGGACTTGGGTGTTGTGATCTAAGCTGTATCTGTTTTAGGGTTCACCCCAATCTCAGTAATGCTATGGTTCTTGCAGACTTGTAGAGATACTGCCTTGATTGTTTTGGACAAGATCTAGGAGACTTGTCTGGATTACCAGGAAGAAACTTTTCTTCTCTTCCCTTACTTTCTCCCAAACAGTCTCTCCTCTCTCTCTCTCTCTCTCTCTGTGTGTGTGTTTTGTGTGTGTGTGTGTGTGTGTGTGTGTGTGTGTGTGTTTTCTGAGCTACCTAAAGCTGAGGTTGGAGTGACACAAGCACCCCTGTGATCACAACCACTATGACTGTGCTGGGTCAGACCTGAGGCTAACATAGCACTGGGTCTTGCCCAAGGCTTACTATAAACACTACCTTGCTACTACTGTCTATGTTTGCTCAAGGCCCTGGGGCTCTACGATCATCAGATGGCAAAGCCAGCCAGGCCTTGTTCCTCCCTTCAGGGTGGTGAGTTACCCTAGTCCCTGCATGAGTTGAGTCATCCAGAAGTCAGGGACTAGAGTCAAAAATCTTAGAAGTCTACTCCGTGTTCTATTGTATGTGGCTGAACTGACGGTGAAACCACAAGACACAGTCCTTCCCACTCTTCCCTCCACTTTTCAAAAGCAGAGGAGCCTCATCCTGCATCCTCTGCCACCACAGGCTGTGAGGAGCACAGCCAGACTACTGCTGATGTTGCCTTAAGGCCCAGAGGTGTTTATGTCAGCTTGTGATGATGCTGTCTGGCCTGGGAGTCACCCTTTAGGGCAGTGGGCTCCCCTCTGACCCACAGCATGTCCATAAATTCTGTCCAAGAGTCAAGTCCTGGAATTGGGGATTTTAAGAGCCTACTTGTTGCTCTTCCCCTCTATGGCTGTACTGGTACCTAAGGTGCAAGACAAAGTCTCCTTTACTTATCTCTCTGCTTTTCTCAAGCAAAAAGAGTTTTGCCCCATAGTCACCACAGCTGTTAATGCACAGAGTCTCACCTGAAACCAGTAAGCCTCAGAGTCTCATCCAAGGCCCTCAATGTATTACCTAGGTATCATTGCTGGTTATTCGGGGCCCAAGACCTCTTCAATTAACAGGTGATGAATGCCTCCAGGACTAGTTCCTTCCCTTCAAGACAGCATGTTCCCTTCTCACCCAGGGTATGTCTAGAAATGTCATCCAGGAGCTAGGGCCTAGGAGGGGGCCTCATTACTCTGACCAGTGCCTTGTCTTGCTGTGGATTAGCTGGTATACAAGATGCAAAACAAAGTTCTCCCCACTCTTCCCTCTCTCTCCTCAAATGGAAGGAAGGGGTATTTTGAGTGTGATCTGTGTAGACTGAAGTTAGAGAAGGAGTGATTCCAGCACTGCCTTAGCTGCCCCAGCTGGTGTCTCAGTAGGTTGTGTACCTTCTCTCCACCCCCAAGTCCACCGTCTCTCAGCCTGGTTCAGCACTAAGACACATCAAGAGTTGCAGTCCTTATGGCCAAGACTGCCTTTAAAGTTAACTTAGAGACCCAGAGCACTGTAGCCCCCAGTAGTGAGGTTTGTAGGAACTCAAGTTTCAACTGCTAAGATTGGCAGTGATTCCCATCTGGCTAGGGCTAATTTTAAGTGTTCCTCTGTGGGCAGGCATCAGCTGAGTTTGGTCCAGTTTCCTTTTTGCTCTAACATGACAGCACTTAATTTAGTGCTTCACAATCTCTGTGTTCTTTCTGCTTCACTGCCCAGAGGAATTCTCCACACCATGCCCCTGCTGCCAGGAGGGTAGAGAAGGATAGCATCTGTGAATCCAGACTGTTATTCATTTATTTATTTATTTTACTACTTCAGTACCTCTTACAATTATATGGAATTTCCACAAGGTACAATGAGGGCTCACCTGATTTTTGGTTCTTATAAAAGTGTTTTGTGTGTGTGTCTGTGTAGATAGTTGTTAACTTGGTGTCCTTGGGTGGGGTGGGATGGGAGTTGGTGGAGCTTTCTCTTTCACCATCTTGCTCTGCCTCTCGATTATATAGCTTTAAACATTATTTTAATGTCTAGAATTTGGTTGATTTTTGTATTGTTAAGGAAATGTTTCACTGGTGAAATGAACTCCATTTTGTAATTATGTAGAATACTTTAAAAATCTTTCTCTGTTAATTTTTTTTTTTGTATTTTGCTTGAGATTTATTTCTTTTCCATTTGTAAGATAGAGTGGCTTAGAATTTTCCTTTCTTGTAATGTCCTTTTCGAGTTTGCTATTTAGTGAATTCTGGCCATATATGATAAGTTTGAAAGTGTTCCTCTATTTATTTGTTTTCTGATAATTTGTGTAAGATCTGTGTTTCATTTTCACAGAGATTAATCAATAAAGACTGGTGAGTCTGGTGTTTATGGGTAGATTTCAAATACTGATTCTCTTTCTTTAATGGCTACCGCATTACCCATTACTAGTACTTTTATTTTGTGTTAATCATACTCAATTTGCTGTATTTCCTTTTGTCTTTCTTTCTCTTTATGCCTGTCTAGGTATTTTCTACCAACTAATAATAGTAATCAGTTATAATACTTACTATAATAATTAGTAATTACTAATTATTAAGTATATTTTATAGTTTTGGAGTTTCTATTTGATTCTTCTGTATACTTTCTAGTTCGCTTGTGAAATGCTCCTTTTTATTTCTTTTCCTGAACACATTTATTCAGGTCACTTTAAAGTCATTGTAAACCACCTTCAGCAATTGGAGCACTGTTGATTGATTTCCATTTTTCCCTTGGTTCTGAATTTTGTATGATTATTGACTGGTGTACATTATGTGTGAAAATATGAAGGCTTTGAATGAGTTTATAATTCCTTTCTGCCCAACAGTTCAGAACAGAGATCAATCCCTGGCTTTAATCAGAGATTGAGTGGGTTCTAGGGAATTTCCAGGTTTGTAAAAGTTATTCTATATCTGGTTTTCCATATTTCTATATCCTGAGCTGCATTCTTAGGAAACAGCTCATTTTCAGAGTGAAAAAAAAAAAAAAAACTGAGAAAGTCCAGCTCACCTTACTTTGGTTTTCTGCTGTCTGTGATCTTGGCTTCCTAAGCTATGGCTGCCTTTCTGGCTCTCTGATGCTTTTAAATAGACCTTTTGCTCACTCATTTACTTACTACACAGCTTTTATATCCCATCAAAATCAAAACTTATTATTTTTTAAAAAGGTTTAGATTCAGGGGGTAAATGTGCAGGTTTGTTATATAGATATATTGAGTGACAGTGAGGTTTAGGCTTCTAGTGTGCCTATCAATGACATATTAAAAATTGCACCTAACTGTTGATTTTTTAATCCTCATCCCCTTCCCTCATCCCCGTTTTAGTCCCCAGTAGGTATCATTTCCATCTTTATGTCCATGTGTACACATTGTCTAGCTTCCACTTTTAACTGAGAAGGTGGGGTGTTTAAATTTTTGTTTTTGAGTTATTTCATTTAGCTTAATGGCTCCAACTCTACCCACATTGCTGCAAAATATATAAGTTTATTCCTCTTTAGCACTGCTTTGTATTCCATTGTGTATATATACAACATTTTCTTTATCCAATTTTCCATTGATGAAAACTTAAGTTAATTTCATGACTTTGCTAATGTAAACAGTGCTGAGATACACATACCAGTGCAGGCAGATATTTTTTGATATGATGATTTCTGTTTCTTGGGTAAATACATTGTGTTGGGATTGCTGGGTTAAATGGTAGTTCAATTTTTAGTTCTCGAGAAATCTCCATAATGTTTTCCAAAGAAGTTGTACTAATTTACATTCTTACCAATGTTCCCTTTCCTCCACATACTCCCTCACCAATATCTGTCATTTTTTGACTTCTTAAACAATAGCCATTCTAACCGGTGTAAGATAATATCTCATTGTGGTTTTAATTTGCATTTCTCTGATAATTAGTGACTTAGGCAGATTTTTATGTTTGTTGGCTGTTTGTGTGTCTTTTTTAAGCTTTGTTTTATATATGTATATATATATATTTGGCTTTGTAATACATTTTTATTTATATTTATTAATTTTATTATACTTTAAGTTCAGGGATACATGTACAGAACGTGCAGGATTGTCACATAGGTATACATGTGCCATGGTGGTTTGCTGCGCCCATCAGCCCATCATCTACATTAGGTATTTCTCCTAATGCTATTCCTCCCCTTGTCCCCCACCCACCGACAGGCCCCAGTGTGTGATGTTCCCCTCCCTGTGCCCATATGTTCTCATTTTTCAACTCCTGCTTATGAGTGAGAACATGGGGTGTTTGGTTTTCTGTTTCTGTATTAGTTTGCTGAGAATGATGGTTTTCAGCTTCATCCATGTCCCTGCAAAGGACATGAACTCATTCTTTTTTATGGCTGCCTGGTATTCCATGGTGTGTATGTGACACATTTACTTTATCCAGTCTAACATTGATGGGCATTTGGGTCAGGTCCAAGCCTTTGCTATTGTAAATAGTGTTGCAGTAAACATACGTGTGCATGTGTCTTTACAGTAGAATGATTTATAATCCTTTAGGTATATGCCCAGTAATGGGATTGCTGGGTCAAATGGTATTTCTGGTTCTAGATCCATGAGGAATCGCCACACTGTCTTCCACAATGGTTGAACTAATTTACACTCCCACCAACACTGTAAAAGCATTCCTATTTCTTCACATCCTCTCCAACATCTGTTGTTTCCTGACTTTTTAATGATAGCCATTCTAACTGGCATGAGATGGTGTCACATTGTGGTTTTGATTTGCATTTCTCTAATGAGCAGTGATAATGAGCTTTTTTTCATATGTTTGTTGGCCATATAAATGTCTCCTTTTGAGAAGTGTCTGTTCATGTCCTTCGCCCACTTTTTGATGGGGTTGTTTTTTTTTCTTGTAAATTTGTTTAAGTTCTTTGTAGATTCTGGATGTTAGCCCTTTGTCAGATGGATATATTGCAAAAATTTTCTTCCATTCTGTAGGTTGCATGTTCACTCTGATGATAGTTTCTTCTGCTGTGCAGGAGCTCTTTAGTTTAATTAGATTCCGTTTGTCAATTTTAGCTTTTGTTGCAATTGCTTTTGGTGTTTTAGTCATGAAGACTTTGCCCATGCCTATGTCCTGAAAGGTATTGCCTAGGTTTTCTTCTAAGGTTTTTATGGTTTCAGGTCTTATGCTGAAGTATTTAATCCATCTTGAATTAATTTTTGTATAAGGTGTAAGGAAGGGATCCAGTTTCAGTTTT
This sequence comes from Homo sapiens, assembly GCF_000001405.40. Classification (NCBI taxonomy): domain Eukaryota; kingdom Metazoa; phylum Chordata; class Mammalia; order Primates; family Hominidae; genus Homo; species Homo sapiens. Next base: position 185,192,386 of record NC_000002.12, read on the forward strand.
CTGCATAGGGCTAGCCAGTTTTCACACCACCATTTATTAAATACGGAATCCTTTCCCCATTGCTTGTTTTTGTCAGGTTTGTAAAAGATCAGATGGTTGTAGATGTGTAGTGTTATTTCTGAGGGCTCTGTTCTGTTCCATTGGTCTATACATCTGTTTTGGTACCAGTACCATGCTGTTTTGGTTACTGTAGCCTTGTAGTACAGTTTGAAGTCAGGTAGCACGATACCTCCAGCTTTGTTCTTTTTGCTTAGGAATGTCTTGGCTGTATGGGCTCTTTTTTGGTTCTATATTAAATTTAAAGTATTTTTTTTAATTCTGTGAAGAAAGTCAATTGTAGCTTTATGGGAATAGCATTGAATCTATAAATTACTTTGGGCAATATGGTCATTTTTATGATATTGATTCTTTCTATCCATGAGCATGGAATGTTTTTCCATTTGTTTGTGTGCTCTCTGATTTCCTTGAGCAGTGGTTTGTAGTTCTACTTGAAGAGGTCCTTCACATTCCTTGTAAATTGTATTCCTAGGTATTTTATTATCTTCGTAGCAATTGTGAATGGGAGTTTGCTCATGATTTGGCCCTCTGTTTGTCTATTATTGGAGTATAGGAATGCTTGTGATTTTTGCACATTGATTTTACTCCCACACAATAACACTGGGAGACTTTAACAACCCACTGTCAATATTAGACAGATCAATGAGACAGAAAATTAACAAGTATATTCAGGACTTGAACTCAGCTCTGGACCAAGCAGACCTAATAGAAATATACAGAACTCTCCACCCCAAATCAATAGAATATACATTCTACTCAGTACCACGTAGCACTTATTCTAAAATTGACCACGTCATTGGAAGTAAAACACTCCTCAGCAAATTCAAAAGAAGGGAAATCATAACAAACAGCTTTTCAGACCACAGTGCAATCAAATTAGAACTCAGGATTAAGACACTTGCTCAAAAACTGCACAACTACATGGAAACTGAACAACCTGCTCATTCATGACTACTGGGTAAATAGCAAAATTAAGGCAGAAATAAATAAGTTCTTTGAAACCAGTGAGAACAAAGACACAATGTACCAGAATCTCTGGGACACATCTAAAGCAGGATTAAGAGGGAAACTCTTAGCACTAAATGCCCACAGGAGAAAGCAGGAAAGATCTAAAATTGACACCCTAACATCACAGTTAAAACAAGTAGAGCAGCAACAGCAAACAAATTCAAAAACTAGCAGAAGACAAGAAATAACTAAGATCAGAGCAGAACTGAAGGAAATAGAGACAATCAAAAATCAATGAATCCAGGAGCTGTTTTTTTTGAAAAGAATAACAAAATAGATAGACTTGTAGCAAGACTAATAAAGAAGAAAAGAGAGAATAAAAAATGTTAAAGGTGAAATAACCACTGATCCCATAGAAATACAAACTACTATCAGAGAATACTATAAACACATCTACACAAATGAACTAGAAAATATAGAAAAAATGGATAAATTTCTGGACACATACACCCTCCCAAGACTAAACCAGGAAGAAGTCGAATCCCTGAATAGACCACTAACAAGCTCTGAATTTGAGGCAATAATTAACAGCCTACCAACCAAAAAGCCCAGGACCAGATGGATTCACAGCTGAATTCTACCAGAGGTACAAAGAGGAGCTGGTACCATTCCTTCTGAAACTATTCCAAACAATAGAAAAAGAGGGACTCCTCTCTAACTCATTTTATGAGGCCAGCTTCATCCTGGTACCAGAATCTGGCAGAGACACAACAAAAAAAGAAAATTTCAGGCCAATAGCCCTGATGAATATCCATGCAAAAATCCTCAATAAAATACTGGCAAATGAATTCAGCAGCACATTAAAAAGCTTATCCACCACAATCAAGTTGGCTTCATCCCTGGGATGCAAGGCTGGCTCAACATATGCAAATCAATAAATGTCATCCATCATATAAATAAAACTAATGACAAAAAACACATGATTATCTTAATAGATGCAGAAAAGGCCTTCGATGAAATTCAACACCCCTTCATGCTAAAAACACTCAATAAGCAAGGTATTGATGAAACATACCTCAAAATAATAAGAATTATTTATGACAAACCCACGGCCAATATCATACTGAATGGGCAAAAGCTGGAAACATTCCTTTTGAAAACCAGCACAAGACAAGGATGCCCTCTCTCATCACTCCTATTCAACATAGTATTGAAGTTCTGGCCAGCGCCATCAGGCAAGAGAGAGAAATAAATGGTATTCAAATAGGAAGAGAGAAAATCAAATTGTTTCTGTTAGCAGATGACATGATTGTATATTTAGAAAACCCCATTGTCTCAGCCCCTAAACCCTATAAGCTGATAAGCAACTTCAGCAAAGTCTCAGTATGTCTTCTTTTGAGAAATGTCTGTTCATGAGTTAACTTCTCTCTGTCAGGTATAAAGGATAAAAATTATTAATATTTAAATATGCTTTTTCTACAATATATAGTTATATTTGTTCCCCAAAATTGTACATAAATCTTTCTTATCAAGCCCTTTGATCCAATTTATTTTTATTATTTATATATGTTTGCGAGTGTAAATATTTTCAGAATGACATTAAATTTCATTCTTAAGTATTATGTAAGTAAATGTTCTACTTACTAATTACATTTTAAATCGCTCATATTAAATTTTAGGATTATGAAGTCATTTGTCAATATTTGTGTCAGAAAGTTTTGGAATCAATCACATAAAGCAAGAAGCTTAGATATAAAACCATCTGAAATATGCTAAAATAATTACATACAATCATATACCACATAATGACATTTTGGCCAGTGAGGGACCACATATCTGACAGTGGTTATATAAAATTATAATGGAACTAAAAAATTCATTTTTGCCTGTAGACTTTGTAGCCATCATAACCATATCGCAATTACTTTTTTTTCCTAAATGTAGGACAGTTTAAGTTTTTAGTGTTTATAAAGTGTATAGTAGTATATAATAATGTCCTAGGACTTCATATTCACTCAACACTCACTCACTGACTGATCCAGAGCCGCTTCCATTCCTGCAAGCTTCATTCACAGTAAATGCCCTATAGGTGTAAAATATTTTACATTTTATACCATATTTGCTCTTTCTCTGTTTAAATATGTTTAGATACACCAATATATACTATTGTGTTATAATTGTCTGTAGTATTCAGTACAGTAACATGCTGTACAGATTTGTAGACTAGGAGCAATAGGCTAGACCATATAGCCGAGGTGTGTAGTAGGCTATACCACCTAGATTGTGTAAGTACACTCTACAATGTTTGCATAATAACAAAATCGCTTAACAATGGATTTCTCAGAATGTGTCCCCATTGTTAAGTGACATATGAGTGTATGTGCACAGAAGTCTCAAAGTAATGGGTATGGTGTAAATTGGTTAAATGAGTAATGTATATTATCATTGCCATTAGCTATACCTGTATTACTGGAATAGGCCATTATATGGTAATCATATTACCTTTTAAAAACACAAATTATTTTCTTTGTAATTAAATTTGAGAGACAGAATGGACACATTCATAGCGAGTAAGATAAAGTTCTCTCAATCCTCAATAACTGATAGCATTTTTTAGTGTTTTCCATGTTCCAGGTATTGTTTTCAGAGCTTTATGCAGGTTTATTAATTAATTCTTATAACAACACTAGGGGTTAGATAATATAATTGCTTCATCTATTTCGCAGGTGGTGCAATATAGGCATAAACAGCTTAAATAGCCTGTCTGAAACCCAGCAGTAGCAAATTCAAAAGACAAAATTTTAACCTTGGCTTTCCCATGAAACAGACAATCTACTTTCATGTTGCCTTCATTAAGGAGTTTAAAGATACATGTGACTATGGAGTAGGGAGTGACCAGGTAGATATCAGTGATAATAAAGGAAATAAAAAGAGGGGAATCATCATTGTTGAAGCCACAAATTAAGTCATAAATTACATTCAACTGAGAGCAAACAGGGAACTCTAAACTAAGGAAATTCAATAAACGTGAATGTTATATCTCTAATAAGCAAATTAACCTGTGATTTTATCTTTTCATAACTTATGTTCTATCTTGGTCTAGTTTGTGTAATTAAAATACTAGTGATTTTTGCAGTTAGTTTAATGTGAAGATAAAATGTATAAATCCTGTTATGGGTGTGTGGCACGTAGTAAGCACTGAATAAATAATTATTTGATTTCCTAGGTTATCTTAACAGTCTGCAACAATATACTGAGAGAAGCACTAACGAAACTGCATTTCTCTGTCATGCTGTGCCAGCTGTAGTATGTGGGAAACCTTGTCTCTCCCAAGTACCTTCTGTCTCTGGCAGCTCCATGTAAACTTCAGGAATGGTCAGTGCTGAGCTTTTAGTTGCTGTATCCACCATCTCCACAGACCAAGACCCAGTGACTTGCATTTCTTGCCTCCATGTCCATGGCTTATTTTCTCCCTACTCAGTTATGTTATCCTACTTCATTCACCGATGTTGTAGACACTGTTCTGAATACTTTTGTTCTGAGCTGTGAGCTTAATCATTCCCATAGGGGTTCTCTTTTCTAAAAATGGTCATAATTGTCACAATAGTATCACCTGTGGATTGACTGAGGTATTATTAGAAACAACAAAAACTTTACCTGGCTTACTTACATAAAGCATGGGAGTAAACAAACTAAATTTATTAGAAGTGCATTGGAAATATTACAGAATCAAAAGAAACCTAGAGAAGCAGCATTTGTAGAACATCAGCAGAAAATACAATGGTGATAGCACCACAGAAATAGTCTGTTGGTATGCCCTGCTGCCACGACTGCATACTCATCATGCTCTTGCTGGACAATACACTTTACCCCTGCTCTAAATTACATCTGGCTTTCCTGGTTTTTTTGAGTCACTCCTTCCATGCTCTTAAGGTGAAAAGTCCTAACCTGCCAAGATTATCAATAATGTCTAAGCCTTGACTTTTAGGATAAAAGATGAAATGCTATAGTTTACTTTAGTACCAAAATTTGAGAAGGATTCTACATCTAACAAAGACTTATTCATGAAGTTTAATTGCTGCATTACTAAAATACCACAAATATGCTCTATACCTTCTCATTAAGCATAAATGCATACTGCATCAGAGGCCAGATTATAACATCTCCATTTACTCTGACAGGACCGTGTATTTTTCTTTCTGTTAGAGTTTGAGACATATATTCATGCCTCAACAACTACACCACTATAAAGGCAAACTAGCAGGTATTATTAGAGCCACCCCATTCAGACTAAAGAAAAATACCAAAATGTCTAAGAACAAGTTCTTATCTACAGGGCTGAACGTGTCTTTAGAGGCATATTAAGTGGTAGCAAACATAATGCAGAAAATCATGAGCACTACCTTATAACTAACTGTATCTGCTCTAATGTACTCAAGATACTTATTTTTAAAAGACTAATTTTCTTTTATTTTTTAACTCCTTTCTCTATAAGTTTTCTAATAGGTTATTCTACCTAAAATATTTATGCTAATATGATAGTATTTATTGAATAGTCAGTATATGCCAGATATTGTTCTAAATCTTTCATTGGTATTAAACTTAATACCAAAAATAATCATCAATTCTTATTATCTCCATTTTACAGATTAGGGAACTGAGCTAAAGAGAACTTAATTTACACATGCATGGACATGTGTGTATAGATATATATAGAGAGAGGAACAGAGACACAAAAAGAGATTAAGAGAAACTCAAACACATCTGTGTTTGTGATACAGTAAGGTTATAAAAGATTCTTGAGCTAAAATGACAGTTTGATATTGTCAAAGCCAAATTTGCTTTATAAAATACCAAATCATCTCTCTTAAGAAACCACTGTGAAAAGGTAGACAGGAAATATCTGCATGTGACAGCACATCAATGTTCAATTGTCTCAACCATAAAAAATTTAATAAACACAACCAAAAAATGGCAGTCTGACACTTTTTGAGTTTTACAACACAGAAGTAATTTTGTACAGAATGAATTAGATTCAGGGAAACTGTTGTTGTAGGAAATCATTGATCAATGGATTTTATACTAAGATGATTGGTTTCTCTGGCTTTTCTCAGGATGATTCATCGGTTGGCTGCCCACATTAGGTATTTTGGAGCACAGTGTTCTCTCGTTGGAAATCATTCTTTTTGTGAAAGCAGAAATGACAGACACTTAGCAAACAGTTTAAAATTTGCCTCTGTGCTTGCCACTGAAGTTGTGCTTGGTAGCAAGTTAAAAAAAAATGGATGCAGCTGTCTCACTGGGGTATTTGTCATTTCCTTGGAGTACATATTCCATGTATCTAGAGATCTCTCAGTAGAATGGCTGGATGATATACAGTTTACATATTGATAAGAAACTTATTTAATTTTTAATGTCTGTCATTCAAATACTAAAATACAAGTTTGCTTAATTCAGTTTGTCTTAGTTTTTCAAAGAACAGGGAATATCTTGCTAAATAGTGTTTTGAAATATAAAAAACAGAAGCAAATAGACAGCCAATACAAATTTAAAATATTATGATATATATTAAAAATTTTATTTGGTAGAAATATGTTAAAATAAAATATTCAATAAAAATAAAAATATTTCAATAAAAATATTTGATGATGTCTGATTTACACTAGAGATAACGGTTATCATATGTTTCTATAAAAGAAATTGTAAACTTATTTGTAAAGAAAATATTTGTAAATTATTGTATTTTAGTTGAACTGTTAACTAATATATTTAAATAATTTATTGTAAACCACCAAATGGTATAATTTTTATTACATATCTAGAAAGATATGACTAAATGATAGTAAGTTTTACTCTAAGAGCTGTCCATGCCAATTATGTAATTTAGCTTTTATGTTGAATCTAAGCTCTAGCATTTTTAAGAAGCTACAAACCAAAAAATTACATGTATAATACTTACAGGAATCATTTATTACTTTCCAGATATTAAAATATTTTTAAAACAGTAGACAGATTTCAAATACATCATTGAGGCATTTGTTGTCATCATAAACTCTGAAAAACTTTGTAATTTTGAGTTGGTCTGGTGATAATTTCCAGGCCTTCTCCCAGTAACTGTTTACGGAAATAAAAACTTTCTTCATCTCCCTGTATTTTGTTTTTGTTTTTGTTTTTAAATTTCTTTATTTGAATTTCTGCATTTTTATTAAAACGTGTTATTTATAATGGAAAAAATTAAATGATTTAAAAATTTCTGTAATGTAATATTATAGCAATTACTATTAGGAATAACTACAAATCAGATATGATACTCCGAAGAGATTGCAAAAAAAATAAAAAAATTAAAAAATAGGTTTGATGATAATAATATTAGCTATTATGTATGCTGAGAAGTTACTATGTATACTAATTCAATATTTTATGCTATTAACTGAATGGTGATACCCATTAATGCATTAGAGTTCCAAAAACCTTATTTACTCCAGATACAAATAACAAATAAATGCCGGTTATTCAGATAACTATGATTTGTACTTTTCTAGAGATTATTATTACTGTACTTTAAGTAAAAATGAAAATTCTTAAATAAAAGTTGGTCTGAAATTATACAACATTGTAATAGAAGGAATCAAACATACAGAAATATCCTGAGTAGCTTAATTCTAGCTTTAATAATACCATACAACTTCCTTGTTAATAAATTATAAAGATAGCACTTAAAAATACCTATATATCTATCATAATTTTGAACATATATGGAAATAGTTCAAGAAAAATACTAACCTATGGACTCTACTGGAATAAAAACAATAATACAGTGTGATAAGTAGAGAGATTCTAGTATTGAAAGTTGAAAGTTGTCCAGTTATAGAAAACAAGTTAATATAATTCATCTCAACAATTAAATGCAAAATATACCTTTGAAAAGCAATCCTCAAAAAGTATTCCATGTTAAATCTTAATAAATTTTTTTCAAAAATCTAAATGTATTAGTCAGTGTATAAATTTTACTAAACAATTAATCCCCAAATGTCATTTACCTAAGACCAAAATGAATTACTCCACATTTAACATTCTCATTGAGGTTAGTAATGGAGGTAGGGTAGGACCAAGTCAGATTTCGACTTCACAAGATCAATTTCTGCATTCCTGGTGAAAAAAAAGTTTATTATCACAACATATTTCAAGAAAAATGTTAAGAAATTGAGAGGAAATAAAGAATAATAAGTATTTTAATAAAATTATCATCATTTGTGCATAATACAATTATTTCAAAATCTCCAGAAAAACAGAAACTAGTAAAATTAACTTTAAAAAATTTATCAATTAAAACTGCTTACTTATTTAAATGGCAATACTTCTGAAAAGGCGATCTCCAAAAGATCCATATGAAAAAAGACATAAAGTAAAAAAAAATCTGCTCTATAGATGTACTGATTTATTATATTATATAATTTGAGTACAACATAATACTTTGATATACATATACATAGTGAAATAATTATTCCTGTTAAGCAAATTAACATATACCTCTCCTCACACATTTTCTCCATAATAAAAGCACTTGAAATTTGCTCTCTTAACAAATTCCCAGTGTATAAGATAGTATTTTATTAACTATAGCCCTCATGCTATACATTAGATCTCCAGACTTCTTCATTCTACATAACTGCAACTTTGTATTACAACTTTAACCCTACATCATTTATGGCCTGGTAACCACTCTCCTACTCTCTACTTCTTTGTATTAGACCTTTGTAGATTCCACATATAAGTGAGATTGTGAAGTATTTTTCTGTGTCTGGCTTATGTCACTTAGCAAATTGGTAGAGCCATTATAGAAAATAGTACAGCGGTTCCTCAAAAAATTAAAAGTAATCCTTTTTCTGGGCATATATCCAAAGAAAACAAAATAATTATTGTACTTTCAAGAGGCAATTTATGCACTCATGTTTATTGCAGCATTATTCAAAATTGCCAAGACATAAAAATAACTTGTTTTCATCCATCAATGAATGGATAAAGGAACTGTGGTGTGTGTATGTGTATGTGTGTGTATTTAAAAACTGTATATTATCCAGCCTTAGAGAAAAGGAAATTCTGCCATTTGCAACAAAATGGATGAAACTAGAAGACACTGTTGACTTTAGATTTGATGGAAAAAACATTGACTAAATGAGCAAAATGAGCAATGTGCCTTGTTCTTGAATAGCAAATCTTAATAGTTCCATAAGTTCAACAATATTTTATAAATTCTATACAGGCTTAAACACAACACAAGAACAATAAAAAATTTTAGGTGGAGTGATAAGAATTTGACAATATTGGTTCAAAGATTATCTAGAAAAAAATAACAGGTAACTGTGAAACTGAATAATCCTGATGCAGCATTTACCCTGAAAATATAAAATTAGCAGAAGAAAATATAATTATACCAAAATATTGGTCTCATCTTATGGGATAAATGTCATCAAAATGTTACAAAAGGCAGAAACTATAAACAAAGAAGGGGATAGTATTGACTTTTTTTTTTGTTTCGCTATTTTGCTAATATATTTAAAAACACTTGGTATTTTATTGACAACATGTTTGTATCTGTATTTTTGTGTGTATATATATTATATACATTTATGTATATGTGTATAGTCACAGTATCTGTATTTTATACACATGTTTTACAAGTCAATAAGAATATATGAAAACTTGGTTTAAATTAGGCAAGAAACAAAAATGCCTATTTGCTGTTCATGTATCTTTCATAGTAGGTAATAAATTTCCTTTTTGAAGTATCTTAATGTCATCTAGATCTGCGATCTCTCTATTCTTACAGAAAAAATAGTTTACAATACCTGAGAATTGCATTTTAAAGAAAAAAATCAAATCATATTGATTTGTAAGCTATAATTTTCTAATTAACACAATTTTGGAGATTTTGGAGCCTAAAAATTTTTGCCATTCAATATTTTAAAGAGTATTCCAAAGATACCCTCTATGTGTCAACTCATTTTTCAAAAACTTTAATGTTGGCTGCAATTCCAGCAGAGTTATTTTGAGTTGCTCAAGCTCAGCATTTTCATACCCTCTGTCTTTCAGACAACATACGTAATTTGTGTTTTAAATACCACAGGAGAAAAAATTATGAAAACTAGAACGAACTAATATATACAGAAATGCATTGTTAATTTTATCTACAAACAGGCCACTCCATCTGTTCAAACATAATGCTCCAAACCAAGGAATATGTTCCAAACCAAAGAGCATGATATTTGACAGATGGAGAGGTCTGTAAGCCTGTCTGGAGCATGGAATACTATAGAGTTTGTCAGAGGGTCCAATTTTCCACACTAAATGAAATCTAATAGAAATTTCTCCCTAATAAACATCAAAATCAACACCAATTTTACCAATTGCTATGCACCATAGACCAAATCATTTTATCTATTTTCTTCCCCATACAAAAGAAACTTGTGTCTACTTTCTGAGTTGATTTTCTACTTTCATGGCTGTTTTCCTACATAAATAATTACAAATGTCAAAAATATTTCATATATAACAAAAGGCAAGAATGTGTCAACCCTAGGATGCTTACTCTAGCATAAAAATATCATATGAGTCCTATTTTTGGAACAATTAATTATTTAAAGATTGTGTCAACAGTATAAAAGATCTGGAAAAAGCCTAAGATAGGTTTTGATAAATATCTTCACTTTATTGAATTAAACCAAAACAAGATGTCTAATTGCCTTCCCTAAAAGCATGCAGCCAGTGTGAGGCTAAATAAGATTTCTATGCTCTTGTCTAGGGATCAGTTCTAAAATCCATCATTCTGTTGTGTGATGAAGGACATGGGAGATTGTCTCATTATTAAAATTTCAATGCAATTAAATTAGACAAAAACTTCGCTGAAAATGTCTGTGTTATACGGGTTGCTAGGAACTGGGAATACTATTTCAATTTCTACAAATTAGTTGTAGTCTTACCAAATAGAGCATGAGGTCATCCAGTGAGAAATGTGTAGACAAAATATATTAACATTGATGGGTGTGACATTAAATCTCAGTAATTAAAGCGAGGACATAGTTCAGTATCTAATTTCAGTATTTCAAAACTCAGAGCCACTTAAGACTTTGCCTGTCAGTAAACTGGGCATAATTTAAACCTTGCTTCTAGCCCTGCTCAGTTCAAAACCTGGATAGTAATGACTTATGTCCTACCACCTAGGAGGATTTTTAGGGCGGCCAAGAGCAACCTTATAAGGAATTCAGAAATTTAGTCAAAATTTCCAGTGGGAAACCTTAGGGGGAGCCAACTTGTAGCTTCTTCAGAAGAACTTCATCATATATGAACTGCTGTTCTAAAGATACATCCTTTTACTCCACTTGAAAGAAATGGAATATTCAAGCAACTAGACTACAAATTTAAAGACTGAAGGACTTACTCTTCATTTCTTGGATATGAGAACCTTCATATTATGTAAAATTCATGTAAAACCAGTACTTCATAGCCATACTTGAACTTGAGCTAACCAAATGGGCCTTCTTTCTCTAGCCATGAAATAAATATTTCTAGATTTTTAAGTTGAATATTTCAGCCTTCAGTTGCTATATTATCATTTTGATGGTCATTTATTTCACCATATTATTCCTACATAAAATGCTCTAAATATTCTATCTCTCAAATTTACATGACTCTATTTGATAGTATTTTGTGTTAACATATACATTCTAATGATATACTTCCAAAATGCGGTTCTAAACTTATTTCCCGATTATAGTAAGTGTTACTGACCCTGCATCTCTTCATACCAATAAAATTAATTGGGAGGGTGTTTTCAGTACCCGAGCAGCAGTTCAGATACTTCTTTGAATATCAGGGTAATTTCATCCCCTCTTTTTAGTACTTGCCTATTAATATGTCTCCACACCTTTTATCCCCATTTCCTTTTATTTTTCTTTTGATTTCTAACCTAGCATATGACTTGTAACACTGATAACTGCTGATGGCAGATAGTGTGTGTGTATGTGTGTGTGCACACGTGCATGTGTATTGAACTTTACCCATGAGTTTGAGAAAATAAAACATACTTAGAAAAAGAAGTTAAACCTCTCTAAGCATTAGAAAGTTCTTATTTTCATCTGTGACACCAGATTGCCCCTACGCATTGCTCTTCTTCTAATTCCTACTTAACATATTCACTTTTCAATCTAATTAGCATTTTAGTGTTAATATATCCAAAATAAATTTTTGATTCCTCCATGCGAATAAAAAACTTAATGATGTTTTTCATTATTTCCCACCTCAAAAATCATGGCAAAACCAATTTAATTTTATTTTAAAATAAAGAACCATCATTATTTATACTCTTATACTGTCCTTCACATTTGATTCATTGACAAATTCTCTCAGTTTCATTTTTGAAATACATTTCTAATCACTCCAAAATTATGTATCACCAAGGTCTAGATACAGGCAATGATTTTCTCTTTTGGGAGCTAATGTAACATAATTTTTCCATTGCTGAAACTACAGTCTATTTTCCATACTGTCCTCAGAATATTAGTTTATTGTATATCTTCTTTATTGCTTCTTTCAGCTTTTTCCTTCCTTTCCTTGTTTATTCATTACTTTTTCCTCCCTCCCTCCCTTTGTTCCTTCCTTTCTTCCCTCTTTCCTTCCTTCTTCCTTTCTTCTTTCCCTCCTTCTCCTCTCAAATGAATCACATTGCAAGTCTCCTCTTCTTTAATCTTTTATATTAAGTTCCGTTATATGTACAGTAAAATCAAAATTCTACCATGGCCAACAATTTGACCCTACCTCACTCTCCAAGCTTAATCATGCACCAGTCTGTTCTTTCTCAATATATTCCAGGTATAGCTCAGTTACATCTCAGAGTCTCTGCATTTACTCTTTACCTTGTAAAAATCTTCCTCAGGTTCTGAGCATGACACTCCCAATTATCATTCAGTTTTTCAAATGTTACCATCTCTAGAGAAAGTGCTTGCCTGGCCACTCTATTTACAATTCTGTACTGCTCCACACACCCACAATTACCCTCAGTGATTGCTAATTTTATTGTCAACGTGACAACCACGGTGATATTTTCTGGTTGTGTTGCCACCCAAATCTCATCTTGCATTGTTGCTCCCATAATCCCCACATGTCATGGGAGAAACCCAGTGGGAGGTAACTGAATCATGGGGGCGGGTTTTTCCCATGCTGTTCTCATGATAGTAAGTCTCGAGATATGGTGGGTTTATAAAGGGCATTCCCCTGCACATCTCTTTTGTCTGCCGCCATGTAAGACATGCCTATGTTCCTCCTTTGCCTTCTGCCATGATCGTGAGGCTTCCCCAGAGTCCATTAAACCTCTTTCCTTTATGAATTGCCCAGTCTTGGGTATGTCTTTATTAGCAGTGTGAGAACAGACGAATACACATGGGGGTACCCAGATATTTGGTTAAATGTGATTCCTGGATGTGTTTATGAGGTTGTGTCTGGTTGAGATTAACATTTAAATTGATAAAGCAGATTGTCTTCCTTAATAGGGGTGGGCTTCATTCATTCCATTGAAGGCCTGGAGAGAATAAAAGGCTGAGAAAGAAAGAATTCACTCTCTCTGCTTGTCTTTGAGTTGGGACATTGTTACTCTCTCCTTCAGACTCAGACTCTGACTGGAACTTGCATCATCAGCTCCTGCTTTTCAGGCCTTTGGATTCAAACAGGAACTATATCACTGGCTCTCCTCCGCCTAGACTTCTCAGTCTACATAATCACATGAGCCATCCCTTCACGTCAATCTCAGCTTTCCAGCATGCACCTCAAAACCCTCTTGGTCCCTACCCATTACTCAGTTTCAAAGCCACTTCCACAATTTAGGTATTTGTTACAGTAGTGCCCCACCTCTCATTACCATAATCTTTATTAGTCTGCTTGAGCTACCAAAACAAAATAATATAGACTGGGTGGCCAAATAATAGACATTTATTTCTCACAGTTCCGGGGGCCATAAATCCAAGACAAAGTTGTCTGCAGTTTTGGTTCTTATTAAAAGCCCTCTTCCTGGCTCACTCTAATCGCCACCTTATCACTCTGTGGCATTTTTTTATGACAGCTAAAGTAGATGAATACACTCTTTATCCCCTTTAAATAATGAAACATCTGAATATTAATGGCATATATATATATATATAATTTGTCAGGAAACTTCTCCGTTTATATTCAAGCTAGTATTCACAGGTTCATTTATAGTTTCTGGCAGGTAGTCTTTTTCCAACCCAATGTTTTAATACAGTTCTAATATTAATCCTGCCCTCTTATTGTGGAGCCTATGACAAAAGTACAAATAAAAGCCTTCTTAATAAATGCCCAAATATTTTAAAAGTATAAATCAAGAAAATCAAGCATTACATAAAATATGTTCTATATCCTGTTTCAAGAAATATAACTATATTATTCAGGCTTCTCCAAAGAAATAGAACAAATGGAATCTCTCCCCAGCAAGCTGGAAATTCAGGTAAAAGTTGATGTCTCAGTTTTAAGTCTGAAGGTTGAAAACTCAGGCCAAATTTCTATGTAGACATCTGGAGGCAGAATTCCTTCTTCTGCAGGAAACCTCGATATTTGCTCTTAAGGCTTTCAACTGATTGGATGAAGCCTATTTGAAGTCTGATCAAGAAAGTAGGTACCATATTTTAGCAATTAATATGCAAAACTAACCATTACAATAAACATTATTATTAACTACAGCATTAAAATATATAAAGTTTGTCTTCAATAAAACTACATAAAGGCAACACATCAAGGATGAATGAATTGAATTATTATCCTACACACCTGGATGTTATGTTGATGGGACAATGAGATTTGGATGAGTATAGAAGACATGTAATTCATAAATATATTTTTGTAACAAAATATATTTGTATTGCCTTCTTTTTACAAAGTCATTATTTCTTATAAGAAATAATTTCACATAATGTGTATTTTATTCAGTTATGATCTTAAATCATAAATGATAAATAATTGTATTTAAAGTATCCAAAATTTGGATATCAAATTTTAAAATTAAAGTATATATATTTTCTAAGCAGTTATTTTTCTTTAAATATTAAATGTTATTTATTAAATTTAAATTAATAAAATGTAAAATGTATTCAAATAAATTTTATTTGTAAATTTAATTTAAAATTATGAAATATCTAAAAATGAATTTATTTACAATTCTACCATTAAATATTTTTCTATTTGGCAACATAATAATTGGTATCAGGCTTCATGTGTTACTTATAAATGTATGAATAAAATTTTAAGTTATATAAATAAATGTTTATCAATAGCCATGTAAAATGTTTATGAGTACTGTACTAAGTGATTGCCTTGAAAATTAGCAGTGGGACTTATGGCATTCAGATACAGTCAACTTTTGTTTTGAGGACATTGCTCAAAGGACACAGAGAAGCATGTTCCTGGGTCCTGGCATGTGCGAGGTAGGCATGAGAGTAGATGTTTAAGGTCACAGGGTGCACTGTATCAGTATCATGCAGCAGATTCCAAGTGACAAAAGTGCACATGTGTATTTTTTAGATTATGTTTTGTGTGGTTTCAGTATTAGAGACTTACTGAAGGGCAGGGCCCAGAGAAGAATCCCTTCTTGTCATGTTCTAAGGCTAGCACATTCTAACTTCAATACTTATTGTATCTATCTTCTACAGAAAGTCACCTGAGTTCTCTGAACCTCTTTATCTGTGAAAGCATTATAAAAATATGGGTCTTTCCTAACTACGAAGTTTGAGAGAATCAATGTTTGTGTACAATCTCTATGACACAAAAATGTTAGACATCGTTATTGATATTTCTTCATTTTTGCTGGATATTTTTCTCATGTTGTTGTCTGTAATAGGCATGATGGTGCTGCACAGGCTACACTTTAAGAAGGACTTTGTGTAGCAGTTGATAGAAGTACTGTCAGTAGATAACCTTCAGCTGTCAGCCTCTTCAGGGTTATCTCATCTTCAGAGTGGCCTCACCTTTCCTGAGGCAGCCCACTTGATGAGCCCTGTTAGTAGCAGGATTCCTCATGGGGGCAGCAGAGGATCATGTAGGGACTCGTTTCAACTTGACTTCTCCCTATTTCCTTCCTCTATCCAAACTCCACTGAAGGATTTGCTTCAGTGGAGTTTAATACCACAGTTGATGCTAAGAGAAGTCAGGTATATAGGTTAATAAGGTAATATTTGGCAGTAAGATCATGAACTATCATCTGGTGACATAGATTCTGTTTTACTGCTCAAAGCTCCTAGCAGAAAGGGATGGTGCAATTGGTTAACTTTCATGGGTGGAGCTTTAGGATGGTACACCAGTGGAAAGATAGTCAAGGTGGTACAATATATTAGGTATCTGAGAAACATAAAGTAAATAGTAACTTCAAGGACAATAAAATGCAGTGGCTACTACTAAGATCAACAGATGCTAAAAAGTAAATAGGGAAACGCTGAGATCAATTAACAGGCAATCAAAAGTTAAGTGTGAAAGCCAGTGGTTTCATTAGTAGTAAATAAAGAGGCTCACATCTGATTTGAGTTGGGTGGGGGACTATGTTGAGAAGACTAGTTGAGAAAACTCATCCAAATAATAGCATCAATTACAACCATTCATGTGTCAGACATTTTAGTCTTGCTACATAGGTCCTTTCCAAATGAAAGAGCTAGAAATGTGTTCTTGTAATAGGCATGTATTCCAGGTATGAATTTTCCTCTTCTGTTTGAAAGGCAGCAATTTCACAACTAGATGGCTTATGAAATGTCATAGGATCCAACATAACATTATGTCAGACCATGGAATCTCTATTAGAGAAGAGGAACTACAGATGTGTGCTCATGTCTGTTAGTTCTATTGATTGATTGTATCACATTCTCCATCAACTAGGAGCTACTAACCAGCTAAAACAATGCAACAATCTGCTGTGGGCACAGCTGAAGCGCCACCTGGAAGAAGATACCTTGAGAGGATAACAAGGATGAGCCACAAGACACTATATTGTATATAAAGCATATAATTTTAATCAAATATTCCTACTTCCCCAGGAGTCTTGGGAATAGGAAATTTAACTACACTTACTATCACTCCCAGTGACCTTCTCAGGGGATCTGTGCTTCCTATTCCTACAACTTTGGGCTCTACAATGTTAGAGGCCTGGGTCACTAAAGGCAGACCACCTTTTCCAGGAGACACAACAAGAACACTATTGAGCTACAGCCTATGCCTGCTGCAGGGGCACTTTGGGATCCTTCTGTCTGTGGTGCAGAAGATTAAAAAAGAGGAATCACCACATCGGTAAGAATAATTGAACCTGATTATCAGAAGGAGGAAGGGCTGCTTTCACAATGGAGGCGGGGAGAAATATGTTTTGAACCCAGGTGATCTGCTTGGATGTCTCTTGGTACTTATTTCCTTGAGCAAATGTAACTACAAATGAACAGGTACAGTACTCCTGGCCTGAGAAGAGGATGTTGACAAGGGACTTGGATCACTGATGGATAAGGATTTAGCTATGACAAGTAGAAGTGGTTGCCAAGGCTAAAGGTGATTTAGAACAAATAGTAAAGAGATGATGAGTATCAGTTATGTTCCCAAGACCATCTCCAGTGGTTCTTCCCAATAATCTTATTGCTACTTGCCAATAATCTAACTCTTCTAACATTCTCCCAGAAAGACAGGTCTGCCAGAATTTTGTAAGAACCCTGAAAAAGCTGCTTTATAAAGGTATAAAAGGAGTTGAATCCATGAGGCACAAGGGATGGCAGTGATGGGCATGGAGCTCTGACACCCAGATCATCCGGGTAGGAAAGAAGAGTTTCTCCAGCCCTTGGGCATACTGTCAGCAGAGAAGTTTCGGCTGTCAGTTCTTGGGACTGCCTCAACTGCAGAGTGGCCTCACCCAAGGGTATGCCTGTCTTAGTGTAGCTCAAATCCAATGACCAAAGAAGGTAAGGATATCAAAGTCTGGCCATTTAGCTCAACACAGGATAATGCTGGGCCCATATTTAGCTCCAGAGTTTTCTGTCAGATCAGTGAACTTTTCCCACCACCCATCTTGCCTTTTGTACCCTCCCTTCCACATTGGTTCGTTCTAAGAACACCCCAATAAACATCCCTACACTAAACTGTGTCTGTGTCTCAGAACCTACTTCCTGAATAACCCAATCTGCCACTCTGTATTGATCTTAACATTGGCTTGAGTTTGCCTTTACCTATGCCCGAGGGCATGCGTAATCACTTTGTACTCTAACAGAAAAACAGTGTAGTTCTAAAGTCTCTTTGTTTCTTGATTGTACCCTTTCTGTATGCCTAACATTAGAATTAATTCATCACACTTGTGTGAGCTGTGTCTGTTTTGAAGTCTTAGCCCTCTTTGCTTTTAATATCTAGCTTTGTTTGGAATTCATACTGCTTAATTTGCCTATTTCTAGCCTACTATGGTGCTAATTTATTTTTGTCACTACAAAGCATAAGCCAGATGAATAGAGAGAACAACATCACCTAAAGGGAACACAACTCCAAGAAAAGTTTGGTAACAACTGTAATCACAGTCTATTGATTTAAATATCTCCAAAATAATTTTGACAGTTATTCAAGTAAATCCATTCTCCAGTAAACATTGAATTTCTGCTACAACTATTTTTATACATCTGAAAATAAGGTGTCATATATCCATGGTGAAAGGGGACTATATTGAGATATTTCTAACATTTAAAATTCTCATTCATTCGCAAGTAGTAAAACTCAAGACTCTGTCCCCTCTATGCTTATAACTAAGAACTTTGTTTAGATTTGCTGAAAACCTGGAGGTATGGTAAATTTTTTTTTATTAGAAATTCAGTTTAATGTGTCCTCAATGTGCCAAAGTTGCTATAGTTACTCTATATTTTTTAAATTTTTGAACAGTATGTGCCTAATTTGTAATCCAGTACTAGCCTGTTTTACTTAAAGTAACTAATTTAGAATTTGCTTAACTGGATTATTTTGCACAGTAGAGTTATTGATTTTAGCTTGAGAGTTTTAGCCTCAACGTCTCACTCCCAAATTTTATATTTATTTTAAACATGTGCTTAGAATCCTCATCAACAATGTCTTCTATATCTACTTCACAAGCTTAGAAAGGTTTAAAAAAGTTAAAAAATTGAAAATACTTTGAAATCATAAATCTTTTTTACAGAATATTAATACTATTTGGCGATTGCCAAACAATTATTTAGTCAATGTTGAAAGTTTTACATTAAATACCTATCTATTAATAATTTGAATAATTTGTACTGAGCTCTTTTGAGATATATTCTATTCTGTGCAAACATATTAGTATTACAGTTCTCCAGGAGAACAGAATAAATAAGATGTCTATCTATCTATCTATCTATCTATCTATCTATCTATCTATCTACCTACCTGCCTGTCTATCTATGATCTATCTATCTGTATCTATCTATCTATCTTCTGAGAGAGAAAGAGAGAATGAGGTTTATGTTAAAGAAGTAGTTCACAGTAATTGTGGAGGCTGGCAAATTCAAAGTCTGCAGGATAGGCCAGCAGGCCGGAGACCTAGGGAAGAGCTGGTAATGTTGAAGTCTGAAAACAGTCTACTGGAAGAATTTTCTCTTCGTTATGGGGGGTCAGCCTTTTTCTTAAGGCCTTCAGCTGATTGGATGAGGTCCACCCACATTATGGAAGGTAATCTCTTCGTTTATAGTCTATTAATTTAAATACCAATCTCATCTAAGAAATACCTTTACAGCAGAATCCAGATGTGTTTGATCAAATATAAGGATACCGTGACCTAGCTAAATTGACATATGTAAGATTGACCATCAATACATACACACACAAATACATGGTGTCAGAAAATGATAAATGTATATGTCAAGGCTTACAGTTTAAATCAGGCAAGAAGTAGAATCTTACTTATGCAATATTACTCTCAGTAGCACAAGGCACATTATCCATGTTAATGGTAGGAATGTGGAAGAAAAGGAATTTGACATTTTTCCTATGTTATACATTTCAGCGTAGATATCAGTATCTGTCTACTTGTAATTGGATCTGCCTTTTTAAATCTAATTAATTACAAAATAAGATTAATGCAATTAGCTAAAACCTCAAAAATCTAAATTGCAGGCTTAGTAGCATGCAATAACTATTGGTATCAGTTATGTTGTTTGGAGCAAAACTAGTCACTCATAATGGTGTAAACAAAAAAGAACATTAGAATTACTTATGGAATATAAAATAGAGACTTTCCATAGACCTCACTCACATATTCTGATTTTGTAGGTTTGGAGGAAAGCCTTTCATATGCATTATTAAAATATTCAATAGATTGTTATATTTCACTACTGAATGAGAATCACCGGTACAGAGCATGCTGTAGAAGACAAACAATAACTAGCCTATAGAATTTAGAATAATCTGGAAAGTAAAAACACTTAGTGCTCATTTGGCAGGCCAATGAATCGGAATTTAAAAGGACATGGATTCCAGACACTACTACTAATGTAGTAGAGACAGAGCTTCAGGAAATGAGAAGTTATCCAGACAGACAACAACAGCATAATAGTTGGAAATACGATCAGCTAGGCACCAGGTTGGTAGATAAAACAGAAAATCTGTGTCCAGCAAAATTGGCAATTGATATTTATGAGAATATCTGACAAAAATAAATCCTAGTCAACCCACTGGTTATCTAGATAATTTCCAAAGAATAAGGCTTGAGAGAAGAGCTTCTGAACTTGAGAGATCAGGTGGAGATAGAGTAAAATTATAGTTTGGGACAAATGTAGGGGCCATGAGCAATTATAAGAAAGAAAGGAGGCATGTGTACTGAATTTTTGTTTCTTACTATTTCATGCTCTCCTCTATTCTTTGCTGTTATTGTTGCTTGGTTTTTGGTTTGTTGAGGTATAATTTATATAAAGTAAAATTCATTTTTTAGGAGTGCTGTTCTATGAGTTTTGACAAATTTACACAGTAAGTGTCAACATCACCATGATTAAGATATAAAATATTTCTTATTTTCTTCCCAAACTTCCCTAATACCCCTTTGTAGGAAATTACCTTGCATTACCCCCAGCCCTTAGCAAGAGTTGATCTGATTCCTGTCCCTGTATTTTCTGTCATTATAGTTTCAAAGTGTCATTTAAGTGGAACCCTTCCGTATATAGCCTTGGTTCATGGCTCATTCTGTTTCTGAGTTAATTGGCATTGTTTGCATGCATGACAATTTTCTCATCCATTCACCTGTCGATGAATATTTGGGTTGTTTCTAGCTTTTGATGATTTTGAATAAATCTGCTATAAATATTCACAAACATATGTTATTTAGCTATATCTTCATTTCTCTTTGGTAAATAACTACGAGTAGAAGTGTTAGGCCATATGGTAAGACTGTTATCTTTATATAAAACTGTCTTATTCTTTTCCAAAATGCCTGGGTCATTTGCAACCACAGCAAGAATATATGAACATTCCAGTTGCTCTGTATTATCAAGTCTTTTATTTGAAATAATCTGATAGGTGTATAAGAATATCTTATTGTGGTTTTCATTTCCATTTCCCACTTTGCGTCTTGTCTTTCCATTTTCTTCAAAGTAGATTTGAAAGAGCAGAAAATTTTAATTTTAATGAAGTACAATTTATCAATATTTTATTTATTTGTATTATTTAATTTGTCCTACATACTGATAATTGTTTGTGTCCTACATAATCTCTGCATAACCAAAGGATGCAATGTCCAAAAGATTTCCCTATGCTTTTTTCCTAGAAATTCCCTAGCTTTATGTCTATGATCCATTTTAAGCTAATTTTTGTATGTGATGCCATTAGGAGTAGAGAAACACATTTTTGTACATGGTTGTTCTATTGTTACCTATTTATTCATTAAAAAGACTATCCATTATTAACCCTTGACCACCTTACGAAGCAGGAAATAATCATTTACATAGATCTTTTTCTGCATTTTCTTTTCTGTTCCATTGATCTGTGGGTTTATACTTTTGGCAATGCCACACTATCTTGATTATTGTAGCTTTATAGTTATTGTTACAATGAAGCAGTGTAGATCTGCAAAATTTGCTCTTCATTTTCAAAATTATCTTTGCTATTCTATATGCCTTGTTTTCTATATAAATTATAGAATCAGCTTGTGAACACAAAATTGCTGATGAAGTTTGATTGAGATTACCCTGCATCTATACAGCATTTAGAGGTTAATTGATATTTGGACATTTTTTTCCAACCCAAGAACACATATATCTACCCATAATTTTAGGTCTTATTTGGTTTTTCTTACCAAATGTTTTATGATTTTCAGTATAAAAATCTTACAAATATTTTGGTGTACTTATTCATACATATTTCAAATTTATTGGTATTTATATATGTTTCTTTCCAAAATTTCAATTCTCAACTATGTAGAAATGCAATTGGCTTTTAAATAATGACCTTTCATCCTGTGAATTTACTAAATATGCTTATTCTGTTGAGCAGCTCTTTTTTGGATTCCTTGAGACTTTCCACATAGAGAGGACATCTGTGAAAAGAGACTGTTTCTTTCCAACATATATTCATTTCATTTTACTCTCTTTCCTGATTTGTTAACTAGAATCTTCATTACAACTTTGAAAAGGAATGGTGAGATCAGACTTTTTTCTTGTTTATTATCTTACAGGGAACACATTCAATCTTTGAGCATTTAGTATGATGTTAGTCATAGGTTTTCATGAGGTCTTTATCAAGTTGAGAAAGTGATCTTTCATTTGTGAGAAATTTTTATAACATATTATAGTGAATGCTTATAATTTTACGTTGCCTTGACATCCATTTTTGATGAAAGTTTAGCTTTCTCATGCCAGAGGCAGAGTTCAATCACCCTTGACATAGTTTCTCATTCTACATCACACTCAAATGTCTCAAGCCACAGACCAGAGATAGAACTTAGAGGCGTCTCTCTGGCCTAGTCTCTCAGAATAGCCTCCCCTCTTTCCTACTGCTTCCCTTTAATAAACCATTCCGGCATATGCACATAAGTGACCCACACCCTATTTCCTTATGTTTACCACTTCTGGCAATAGTCTCTTCTCCCTCCCTGCCTCAGTTTCTTGACCTCCAGGTGTGCCATGTACTCCTCAGTGTCTGTGGGTACTAAAAACTCTTAAGCTTTCACATTTCGTTGTGTCCTTGAAGCTGTGCCTGCAGTCTGAACCCTGATGGCAAGGCCATCCAAAGAGATGCAGTGGATCCCCTGGTGCTGTGCTTTCGTTCAGGCCTCTAGTGGCTGTTTGGGACAATAGCTAACGAATTGATAATGAAACTTGAAGAGTTTCATTCAAAACAAACATAGACCCTGGACTTTGCCAAATGCATGCTGCATCTCTCAAGAGGATCTTGTGTTATGGTTATTTATTATTATTTTTAGGTTACATTACATTCATTGATTTTTGAATGCTGAACAAACCTCTTAAAATAAATTCTACTCTGACATGACATTTATTTGAGAGAGAGAGAGGGAATGATTATGATAATGATGATAATAATGATGCTGATGCTTTTTTCCATTTCCATGAAGAATATTACTCTAGTTTTTCTTTTCATGTAAAAAGAGTTTTGGTTTTGGTATCAGTGTAATGTATGCCTCATAAAACAAATTGGAATGTGCCTCTTATTTTCTAGAAACATTTTTGTAAATTTAGTATTATTTATTACTAATTTTTGTAAAATTTGTATTATTTATTTTGATAAATCTTTCCGATGAAAACATCTGGCCTGGGGCTTAGGTTGTTGAAAGATGTTTAACAATGAATTCAATATCTTCAGTAGTTTTAGTACTAATTAGAGAGAGAGAGAGAGAAAGAAAGAAAAGGTAAAGAAAGAAAGAAAGAAAGAAAGGAAGAAAAAGAAAAAGAAAAGGAAAGAAAGAAAAAGAAAGAAAGAAAGAAAGAAAGAAAGAAAGAAAGAAAGAAAGAAAGAAAGAAAGAAAGAAAGAAAAAGAAAAAGAAAGAGAGAGAAAAGAAAGAAAGAAAGAAAGAGAAAGAAGGCAGGCAGGCAGGCAGGCAGGCATTTCTATAAACTCTATTGGTTCTGTTTTTTTTTGAAGAACCCTGACAAATACATACACTGTCAGATGTACGTATTTGGGATTTTTTTTTGAGCCATTTACACTTTATACCTAAAGGCATATAATCAATTTTTGTCAGTAAGTCAGTAGAAATATAGCTTTATTCTGGCCGGGCGCGGTGGCTCATGCCTGTAATCCCAGCACTTTGGGAAGCCGCGAGACAGGCGGATCACGCGGTCAGCAGATCGAGACCATCCTGGCTAACACGGTGAAACCCCGTCTCCACTAAAAATGCAAAAAATTAGCCAGGCATGGTGGCGGGTGCCTGTAGTCCCAGCTACTCGGGAGTACTCGGGAGGCTGAGGCAGGAGAATGGCGTGAACCCGGGAGGCGGAGCTTGCAGTGAGCTGAGATGGCGCCACTGCACTCCAGCCTGAGCGACAGAGCGAGACTCCGTCTCAAAAAAAAAAAAAAAAAAAAAAAAAAAGAAATATAGCTTTATTCTGAGGCAAAAATTAGGTGTTTCTGCATTTGTTAATTGACTCACGTGAAATAATACTGATCATTTTGCCATGATGTATAAATAAATAGCAGTAGTTGAGGAAGTCAGGAGCCAAACTGACTGCATCATATTTCTAAAAGCAAGTGAAAGGTAGACTAAAATAGTGTCTCACTTTGCAATTGCTAATTGAGAAGAACATGTAAAATAATCCTAGAAATTATTTCTTAAAAAGTAAATTTTAAGTACGATGGATTTTAAACTTGCAGTAACCATCCATGAAAAAACAAAATTCAGATAGATGAAATAGCATTTAAAAAATATAAATGTTTTTGAAATTTGAAAATTCATGAAGGAAATATTGACCTACTTGAAATAAGTACTTTTGAATAGTTAAAATAAGAAAATAAAGACATTTTATTCATTTTATTGATATTAAAAGCAAGTTATAATAACATGTAGTTTGAATTCTAAAATAATGTATCAGTTACTCCTTCCCAAAACCACTGAGACCAGATCATTAAGATTTTGCTTTTTTAATGTAAAATAAAAATGATGTAATGACTCTGGAGATGCTAAATAATAGAAGCTTAGAGAGGGAATAGATAACTGGTCTGTCCTGAAATTACAAATTATATTAGTTCTGAGCCTTACATTTTTTCTCAAATATGCACCCTAATTTAGATAAATAATATCTTATAATTTGATATTGTATTTTTAATACAAATACTTAGGCCAATTATCACATTATGGCAGGAATTGAAAAATATTATTTAAAGAATTAGGTTTGACTTTTAACATATAAGTTGAAAACATAAAAAGATGGTTTCAATAAGTCTACAACTTTACTCATGATGTTTACTAGATATCATTCAGTTTACATTTAGATATTTCTACACATAAAACTATCCATTGTATTTTCTGACCTCTCATTAATATTAGAGTATCATCTTTTTGCAATGCTTGTCATGAATTTTTTGACGTTTTCTTTAGGAAAAGAAGAAGCATTTCTATATGAGTAAATTTTTTCAGTTAAAGTTGAATGAGTGTTTGTGCATACACAGAAACTTTTTCTAAAGTGTCTCTTAAAAGTAAGTATAAACTAAAAAGATTACTATAAATGCCTTAATGAACATTTCTGCAAAACTTGAATCGCAAATTTCTGATTCAAGCTCAGTATTTCTCTATTGTTCAGACAAATTTGGTAAATACTTCTTAATATATTTCTGAAGGTGCATCTATCAGCTAAAATCATTAAAATTATATTCATTTAATCTAGTTTAATGTAATTCATTAGAACAATATAACATTAATATAATAAGGAATAAACAATAAAATATGAATTAACAATTCCACTACAAAATAATAATCAACATTACTTATTTTTTATTAACATGCTTAACTATTATATAAAACGACTCCATCCAAATTTAGCAAAAATAAACTTTATTGCATAATCAGAAAGGGATTAGGCACAAACCAGGAACTAGAATGCAACTTGGTGTCAGGTAAGTGCAACAATGAGATTGGAAATAGATCTGGATTCACTTTCTCATCTCTTTTTCTTTTTGCTTTCAGCTTCTTGTTTTTGCTCATTTTTCTTGCTCCTACCATCATCCTCATTTCTCAGTCTGCATAGCAGGATATGGTCACTCAGAGCTACCTTACAGTTCATCCACATATAGAAATATAAGAGGCTCTGTTACACAGTTGAGAATTCCAAATAAAAAAAAAATCAGATTGGCGCAGTCTAGATAAGGTTTCCACAACAGCATGAATCAATTCCGTCACAACATCAGTTGCAGAGGTGTGAAATTTGTCAAATCATTTATACTTGACAGTCTTCTTTCTGATTGATAAAATGGGTATCGTAATACATCTCACACAATTGTTGAGAAGACCTAATGAGATTATGCTTGTAGATGATCTAGCACAGTGCTTGCCACAGAATAAGCACTATTAACCCTTATTATTAATTTCACTGTGTCAATTACTATTGTTTTTAAAACTCTACATCCTGAAATTAGACAATATAAATTCACATTCCTCCATTATAATTTATACTTGCTAAAAATCACAGCATGATCTCGGGAAAGTTATGCACAATATCTAGTCTTTCACATTTATATCTACCAGCTGAGGGCAATAATAGTATTTTTTCATTGGTTAATTTACTATTATTTCTCTGATTATACTTTCTTGTCTTTTTTCTGATTAAATAAGATTTTTTATACTCCACACCTTAAATGCAAAGAACCATGTACCTATATAGATTGTGAGGGTTTCTGGTATTGTCAATTCCTAACTAACCTGGATTTATGAGGGTAGCAAACAAGGCAAATGGTGATGACACTCATCACAAAGTACCATCTGAGAGGTGGAATGGACAGTTGCTGTTTCTCTCTGTAGCATGTTCTGATTTGTTGAGTCAAAGTGCACAACTGGAAAAGGAAAAACGAAATTAACTCTCTTTATTCAGCCTATCTTTCTCATGATGTGAGCCCATAATTTGTTAACCGTGGTTAAGCTTTTCTCAAGTCCAGTTATGACTGCTTTAAAATTACCGTGAATTTTGGCATAATACTTTCTGCCAGTCTTAATTTACAGTACTATGAGTCTTTTGTTTGTGTTTCATTTTGTTTTTTTCTGTTTTTTCACTTTAGAAAGAAGTTGGAAGAGGAAACATTAGGAATTTCCTTTCAAACTCCAATCAAAACAGCCCATTTGAATATTTTTTTAAAGTCAGTATTACTTCATTCATGGGTTAAAAATAGACCAATACTACTGATAACCAAAATTTTAAAACTGTACCTAAAAATAATTCTATCTTATTGTGAATATATTTGAAATTCAACTGGGCTTGCATTTCTGCCATCAAACATATAGCCCAAATGTCTTAGTACAACCAATTTTTTAAGTAATAATATTTAAAGAAAAAATGATCATCAGTATTAAATAAAAAAATGACTAACGTTTATGCGGAAAAAATGTTTTTTGTTCATGATAAAGGAAGATGAAAAAAATCACTATAGTTCGTGATCTAGGCTTATTTTTATTCATAGAAAATTCCAAAAATTCTTCCTGTGAGGATGCATTGGCTAAAGCAGGTCAAAGTTGCTGAAGAGGACTAAGCGAGCCTCTTGGGGAAGATGATATCATCTGATCTGTACACATGTCACATTCAGAACATTCTGCATGGCTGCTGCTGAGCTCCCATCTGTCAGATCTCAACAGAGAGAACAAAGACTAGAGATGTGAGTAATTCAAGAAACATCCATTTACTAGCTGAAAAAACAAATAAAATTAGGAGGAGCCACTTTCTTCTTGTTACATGTTACTGATACGTGTTCTACCTGGCCATACCACACATTACATAAAATGTATTCAACTACTTTACTGTCATTTGCTTAAATTGTCTTATTTTTAGAAACTTGTTCATAATAACTACAATCTCTATAAGCATAGTACAAAATAACTACAAGCATAATCAATACAATTGTATTTAGACAATAAGAGATATTTTTATTTGGTACAGATCTTGGGAAATGCGGTATTGGTCTTCTACACTGCTTCAAATACAGAATAGGCTTTTCTTAATACATGAGTTAAATTTAATGTTTGCATATACATCACATAAAAATAAAATGTTTCACCCTGAAAATGCTATTAGAAAGAATTCAGCAAAGTAGATATCTGGGAAAATAAGCTGAAAAGAAATTTATTCATTTCCAAGAAGATTAATGATAATGTGCCACAGGTATTCATATTCCACATTTTATCTTCTAGTGTCAACTCATCTAACAGTGGGCCAATAAGTAATATATAAATCTTCTGCCTTTAATATATTTTTGCTTACTGAGAGCTAAAGTAACATCGATTTACTCCTATATATTATATGAGCACTTGAAATGTTTATACAATGCATACTTTATTTTAAGATTGAATATAGAAGAGATATTTTGACATAAATGGGAATAAAACCATAAAAATTTTTTACACTGAAAATTAATATACCTTTGAGTTACGGCTCATTGTGCTCTAAAAAGTGACTTTCTTAGATTGAATTACTCCTCTACATATGAGACACCAAGAAGTTAATGTTTTATTCAGTAAGAATGAACAATTTGCTATCTGTCAGATGCTTAGCCATGTGCTAGGACTACAAAAATAAATTAATAAATAAGATAGATACAGACTTTTTTCCCATCAAGGAGCTCAAAGTTAAGAAGAGGTAAAAGACACTTTGGGAGGCCGAGACGGGCGGATCACGAAGTCAGGAGATCGAGACCATCCTGGCTAACACGGTGAAACCCCGTCTCTACTAAAAATACAAAAATTAGCCGGGCATGGTGGCGCGCGCCTGTAGTCCCAGCTACTTGGGAGGCTGAGGCAGGAGAATGGCGTGAACCCGGGAGGCGGAGCTTGCAGTGAGCCGAGATCGCGCCACTGCACTCCAGCCTGGGCGACAGAGCGAAACTCCGTCTCAAAAAAAAAAAAAAAAAAGAAGAGGTAAAAGAAACAAGCACAAATAAATGTACTATAATAGATATATGGGAAAAATATATCACAATAGTAATAATATTGGAAAATAAAAAGAAGTATGTACCTCAGCCTGGGGGTTTCCAGCTTGGCTTCCTGGAAGAAGCAATTCTTCACTTGCATTATCAACAATGATTATTAGTCATTATTTTTATTATTGTAACACTTATAATTTATAATTACTAAAAGCTGAGACAACAGGATACTTCTGCTGAAAAAAAATGCTATTTATCTGAACCTCAAGTTTAACTAGGTATTCTGTATTTTAATTAATACTGGCAACCCATATATTTTACCTACCAGGGAGATAGTACCACAGAATATCATTTTAACAATTTATCTGTTCTGCAGCAGTTGAAGTAGTTAAGACTGAACTGTGTATTAAAATCAATACAGAATTAGTCTCCATGTCTAGGATGGCATATGTAGCATTTGAGAAGTGCGATAAAATGAAATGAATATTTTTAAAAATAGTCTAAGGAGAAGTAATTTGGGGGTATGCTTCTGAAGAACTGAAAAGACACCAACTTTATCTCCCAGTCTGCAAGAAAATGGTAGCTGAAGGATTTAGCATCCTCCATTATTCTGATAAAGAAATTCAAGATTGATTTGTTGTCAGATTTCCTTTGACTGGTTTGATATTCTACATGACTATTGAACCAAGGAATACAGTTTACAGAGAACCCAGTGGAAAAATATTGAAGGAAGCTAGTGGGAAAATTTGATGAGCAAAATAGTCTCAGAATAACATGCATATAACAGTAGAAATCAATGGGGCTTTTATTTATTTGGGCTGTTACAAAAAAAATGACAGGAACATTAAACAAGAGATGTTGTATGGACTTAAATTCCAAACAGAACCTGATAGAGTATCCCTGTTGGTGATGATGTAAACTGAGATCAGAACAGTTAGTATCTGCAATCTGGTGAAACTAGAAATTTTTGTTCTGTTCTCCTGTTACTATAAATTAGTCACAGAACCACATGATTGCAGACTTTGTCTGAAGGTGCTGAGGTAAGTGCATGGAAAGTTCCCAAATTTGCAGAAGCCATATCTGCATGTACTGTAATCTAGCCAGACTCCAACTTCATTACTCTGTTGGCAAAATCAGTGTGCCACGTACTAAAATATTTACTGAATTATTTCCAGCATTCTCTTAATGAATCATTAAAACTATTATTCTGTTTGTATATAAGCTTCTTTGACACTCATTTTCTCTTGTTTAGTGAATATACAAATCTGTGTATTTTGGTGACCCACTATATAAACCATTCCCTGATCCTATAGTGTCCCGATATCCTAGAATCATAAAAATGGAAAAATCTGAGAAACTTAGAGAATATCTAAGTTTAATATATTTAAACCTATATCTGAGTTTAAATATATTTAAAGAATATGCAATATCCTTTAAATTTCCAGATTAAAAAAAAAACAGAAACCCAAAACGTTAAGTAATTTGTTCAAAGTCCAACAAAGCTCCTAGATAATCTGATCTCCTAAATGCTAGTTCACTGAATCTCCAAAATATGCTTCCTTTTCTACCTATTGAATTCTATTCCTCCATCCCTACTTAGTAGTAAATGGCAGACAGATATGTGACTAAAACACACACTCTGGTGCAAGACTCTTGGGCTCTAATCCCAACCACACTTCATAGACTAAGAACCTTAGATGAATTACTTCAGTCTTCTGAGGGGAAAAAGCATTGCCACACAAATTAATCTCAATAAAGTACCTTGTAGGTGTACATGAATTCTGAAGCACAGGAAGAAGAATAATAAATCTAATAGAAAAGTTAGAGAAGATTTACACAGTAACAATTTAAGTGATGATTAGAAAATTGCTTAAGTCAGGAGTTAGCAAACTACTTTTTTAATGGCTCACAAGCTAAGAATACCTTTTACATATTTAAATGGTTGGGGAAAAATCAAAACAGTATTTTGTGACACGTGATCATTTATGATATTCAAATGCTAGTATTCATCAATAAAGTTTTAGTAGAACATAGTCATGTACATCCACTTACATAGGTGTTTTCATGCTAAATAGCAAACTATTGCAAAGAGAATCTACAATATTTAATATCTGGTCCTTTAAAGAAAATGTTTGCAGAACCCTGGTTTAGAGGAATGCTACTCAAAGTGCCAATGTGCAATGAGTTTATGAGCTTGTATCAGTATGTTAATTGATGTAAAACTTCTTACATCAAAAAGTCTTGCTATAAAAAGAAGTAGGGAGTTAGGGGAGCAAATTAACCCATGTGCTTTGTCATATGGTAGATGTACATTCTCTCTAAAGCTCCTTATCTTTTCACAGAGAGCTAACAGTTTGAGTGCCTCTTAGCAGTCCACAGGTGACTTATTGAATACCACTGTTTCAAAGCTTACCAATATAACAGCAGTGGATATCTGCCCCAGACAGATAGGATTGTATATAATAAAGATGTACATCTTAACATTAGTTGAGAAATGATGATAATTTTGTTCTTTGGTTTTACATGTAAATGGTTTTGGGTTTAAAATGTAGGAACAAACTAGAATATTTGAAAAATATCATATGGAAATATTAAGGTTTATAAGAAGCAGACTTATATAGAGGAAAATTTGGTAATATAATAAGTAAAAAAATCACCAAATGTCTATACACAGTTTCCTACAGGGTGTCAGTTGAAGAAAAAGCTAACTTTGGAGGGAGAAAAAGCAAACACACTGTGGGTTTCAAAATTAGCATAAAGGACTTGGTATAATCAATTATCTTCAGAGATTTAGCAGTTATGACCAGTAGCTTCAGCTTATTTTAACATGTCTTTTTAAATCATCTTTACAAGCTTTTGAAAATCAAAGATTGGCCCAGTTTGAAATAAGATACTGAATCTGTAAAATTTTGAATCTTTTGGCTTCAAAATTTCAGCAGCATTAATTCTATAAACACAATGATCTCTTTTTCTTTTGTTGATAGTACTTCTATTAACTCCTTATTTATTGAAAAGAGAAATAGAGTCAGCAAACGTTTAATTTTAGCTAGATATATTGCTAGGAACAGTTTGATGAAATTGGAAAGCAATTTCTTCAAAAATTACCCTTACTGTCTATAGGGTTCTCTAATTTTGAACCCCAAAGTCAGCAACATTAAATACCAATTTTTATATACTTAATTATGATTCTCCAACCTTGCTATTTTTTGAAAAGTCTTCATTAATTTCAATAAGTCTTTAAATTAAATTATCGTGTTTCTCCTTTAAATATTAAAAAGCCTTTTTCATTGTTGTTATTTTATTCTATCCTCTTGTAGACAAAATATGCAAAATGAATTCATTTATTTTCATGGTTTTTAATTGCCTGTCATTTTTGGGGGAATAAGATCCATATTATTTGCATCTTTTAAAGTAAAACATTCCCTGAAATGCACATTTTGAAATAATATTAGATACATTTCCATTATATTGTTGCCTGCTATTTCAGTATATCTGTTACTATTTTTTAAACAAAATACTTTAATCTTCTGTAGCAATAAGATGTCCTTAGAGCACAGAGGTCGTGTCATGAGTAAGACAAATAGTCTGGGGTCAGGTTAACAAATGTATGTATAAATATAGGATAGATATCAAAGATGATAAGGTATTGCTCTTCTGTAAGATACTGCTGTTCTGTCTGAAAGACTGTTGTAGACCTAATTCAAAGGTGAAAGAGGGGGAGTGAGTCAGTAGAAGCACTGTCTGCCTCAGGAGATACTTCTATAATGTAACTCCTGAAAGATAGTTAAAAAACATGACCTTTCACTAATATATTTTTGCATATATTTTGTTAATAATGCAACTTTTAAAATTGCATGTTAAAATATATGTCTGAGTGACAGAATACAGATACAGAAGAACACATACAGCATGATTCCACTTATCTGTGGTTCTAGAACAGAAAAAAATGAATCTACCATGAAATATATATACATAGATTTTTAATGGTTGCCTCTTGGGGGAATTGACTAGGGAACATGAGGAGATTTCTAAGGAGATAGAAATGGTCTATATATTAATGATTATATGGGTAAAAGGATGTATACATTTGTCAAAACACAACAAATTTGATTTTTAAGATCTGTTCATTTCACCACATGCACATTTTAGTTCAAAAATCAAACTGGAAATCAATATTGAACTCTAGTTAGAAGCTTTGCTTTCTTTGTTGTGATGTAATTTCATAACTCTTAAACTAGTATGTGCACATTGTAGACTTGAACAAATGAATCAATATATTAAGGAGAGTAAGAAACTGATTTCTCACTATGGTATAAGGTAGTTGCAAATATGGAAAGTGAAAAGTATAGGCTGTAGCACATGGTATTGGATCAGAATTGGATTAGAAGCAGTGACATACTGGTAGCAATGAGCACAAATAACACCAAGCTATTGGTTTCTAAGTACCATTCTCTAACAGAGACATTAGCTTTTGTGGTCAGGAAAAGACTCATTCCAGAGCTACAACAAAGAGTATATTCTTAAATTGAGTACCAAAGAGCACAGTTAGGAGGGGACATTTAATCTGAGAAATTAAAGATGAAAAAGAATTAGTCATATAAATATATAATAAGAATAACATGTGCCAAGGCCATAGGCAGTGGCATTCAAGGAATTTTTTTCCTGGATACTTACTTCCTATGAAATGAAGACTTCTGCTCTGGGATCCAGCTCTACTGAGTTAGAAGAGTGAGGTGGCAACCACTTTGTATCTAGAATACACTAAGATCGGAGTCTGATCCTTCTATCTTTTGAGTGGGTCATTTTATCATGTCTGTCTAAAGAAAAGTTTCAGCTGTTTACAGGTGTGTATTTCAATAAAACAAATATAATATTATTTATATTTATATAGTATTAACAATATACGAAGCACTGTTCTTAGCACGTTTTTTCTGTTAACGAATACTTGATTTTTACAATAACCCATAACTTAGGTACTATTATCCCCAATTTATTAATGAAAATTAGAGCACAGATAAATTAAATAGCTCATTCATAGTCACACAGTAAATGCTTTATTTAGGATTTGGATCCAGATGTTTAACAGAGAGGCTGTATTCTTAACCAATTCACTATATACTGCATCTATGTGCCATGTGAATTTACTCCACAGTATGGTCTTTGTTGCTATTGATTGGCAATTATAGAAAGACGTTGGTAGGTCATTAGTCCTCCTTTCTACTCTTATCTGCATTTCTCTACATATTCTGTACCTCCCAACTAGTTGAAACCCTCAATCAGCAGTGGTATCAACCAGTACCACTGTTGTGATTGCTGCCACTAGAAAAAAAGTAAAAAGTGTGAGATTACATGGCACAACTTCTTTTCTCGTCACAAAACTCTGTCTTTGTAGTACTATGAATGTGTAATTACTATTTTTGAAATATCAATAGACAAAAAAATCCCAAATGTAAATATTTATCAATTTTTTTTTCTTGTAAAAATGGAGCCACTTCCTGAATTATCTTTCTCTCCCTCTGCATGGCTCTTAATGATAAGTAAGATGCTACACATTTTCTTAATCTCTCTAGCACTGGTTTTAGAAATTGTTTTAAAAATATGGTCCAAAAAATACTCATTCCAAAGATATATAATTGTTATTTTTCCTTTATATGAATTATATGTACATATATATCAAAGATTGGCCCAGTTTGAAATAAGATACTCAGTCTATAAAATTTTGAATCTTTTGGCTTCAAAATTTCAGCAGCATTAATTCTGTAAATGCAATGATCTCTTTTTCTTTTGTTGATAGTACTTCTATTAACTCCTTTTTTATATACATATATGTGTGTGTGTGTGTATATATATGTGTGTACATATATATGTGTGTGTGTATATATATATATACATATATATACATACTGTTTATTTTGAGAAGAATGTTTTTTAGGTCTTTCCGTGAGTGTAATACTGCAGCAACATGTCAATGTTAAGAAACTAATTTTTCAGCCTATTTCCCATATGCGGTTTTTTGAGGGTGGTTAACTGATCACTTCTCAGCTGTAATTTTGAGCTCCACTGAACTGTTATGATGTTCCATTTTAAAACAGAACATATGTGAACAAAACTGTTCCCATTATGCTTGACTGATGCTCCTGATTGTGTTCTAAATTCACAACTATGCCTCTAGTTATGAACTAATAACTTTGATTATTTAGATAAAGTCCAATCTCCAAAACCAGTCCTGTTTGTTTGTAGAAATGCAAGCAAAAATGCATTTGCCACGATACAATGTAGTTTTCTTCCCCCTTCAGTTTAAAGAGATGCTATAGTTGAAGTTGAATGAAGTTTTTTACATTAACTCAAACTGCATTATACCCAGCTTTCTTATGAACACAAACACATTTAACTAATTCTGTCATATTTTAATGTATTTCATTGCTCCTGTTAAAGTAATGATTTGTATATATTATACAGAGGGATAATATAGTGTACATAATAAATACCTTAAATTCACCTTTTATCTTTATCAAAATATATATCCTGGCACAAACTAAAACTTTTTTCTTTAAATAAAAAATGTTTCCTCAATGAACAGAAACATATTTATGATACTGCATAAACATCCTTGTACTATTACACACATGGTTTTACTTTTTATTTTTTTTGCAAGGGAACACTGGTGTTAATGTAAGGTAAACGTATTTATACATCCTTCTTTAAACGTTTAATTGATGCCTACTCTATAATTTAAATCAGCAGAGAGATATTAAAATTATGTTGTCCAGATATATAAATATTAACTTATCAACAAATTTGAATAATACTTTAAAAATTGTTAAGCTACTCAAAGATCTGAAAATGACAGTTTAAAGCTGACCTGTTACCTCTTTATGATTTGTAAGGTAGAAAGAATTTCAAAAGATTAAACTCCTATAAAACATTTCCACTATTATAAATGTATTTGACTAAACATAATTTTATGTTTTTATATGTCTAAGCAATTTGTGTAATCAGTTACAACTTACCTACTCCTAAACTAATGTAAGAAATTTAGAAAGTTGATTGACAAAAAACAAACCTTAGCAAACTAAGATATTATACTGCTATTATTTTTAGGCTCTGGTAAAATCGAGGAAGAGATATAAATGTTTCCTAAAAGCTAACTAAGACACTATAAGATGTACAAATATTCATTTTGACAGATATTTTACATTTGCAAGCCTCTATAATTAAAATCAAATTTTAAAGCATCTTTAAATAATATTTCAAAACTCTTGAGTGCCTTGCTTTCCCCCTAACC
The DNA here is from genome assembly GCF_000001405.40 of Homo sapiens. NCBI lineage: Eukaryota > Metazoa > Chordata > Mammalia > Primates > Hominidae > Homo > Homo sapiens. Next base: position 185,228,790 of record NC_000002.12, read on the forward strand.
ATGTAATATAGGAAACAAGGTCAATGACATAGCAGCTTAATAATTTTTATTTTATAGAACTGTCTTCTTACAAAAAACAACAAATATAAGAATAAAAATCTATGTTTTTTTTTCTGTTGGAATTTCTTGATATCTCTAATTTCAAATACATGTGAACCTTTAACATATAAAATTGTTTGTTAAAAAAAAAACCTATTGAAGCAGTGGCTTATACTTAGGTAATAGGAAATGTTATTCTATAGTTTGTCCCCCTTTTGTGTTAGATCTATTTGTCTACAGTCAATAATCTTAGAATGTGTACATTTTTATGATGGACTGTTTACCAAAATGAAGGGAAAGAGAGAGGGAGAGGAAGAAAAGAAGTAGAAATTTGAGTGAGCCAGTTAGAGACAGACATGAAGATAATTAAAGTTCAATATTTGAGATTGATTTTTTCTTTCTTTGCATGATGACAAGAAGGCACATGGAAAGCAAAATTAATTTTGATGAGAGAGAAACAGAGAGAGAAGGAGAGAGAGACTGTAGCTGATTTAAACAATAATTTGGATCCTTCACAATTATGCAAAGGTTTCATGTTAAAAGTTGGTGCTTATTCATCTTCCCAGTAAAGAAAAAGAAAGAGGGAGGTCTTCCCTATTAAATCAAGTAATTTTTATTTTATGTTAACCAGACACATATGTCCCTATGGGTTTATTTTCTTCACATTTTGTTTTAAAGTATGTTTCAAATAAACAATTTTGGTTATATCAAAAAGTTCTAAGAAGTGGCTACTGCAAATTTAAATGTTCTTGGTGCAGTCATGCTGATTAGAAAGAAAAGTTCAAGAGTAATAACACAAAAGCAAGTGCTGGAAGGTAACACAAATTTATTAGCAGGTTATCCATTAGAGACTGGCTGACGACCAGTCAAAAGCAAAAGTATCTCTTGTGCCCATCTTTGATTCTCAATGTAAGGTCAAGCTGCCCCTGTCTGCTGACCTGAGAAATCGATGGTTCCCATGGCAAGTAGAATTTGTGGACAGAAAATATCTTTAAAAGCCAATCTTGCATACATAAACCAAACCAAGATAAGTGTTGATAACATGTTGATGAATAATACAACAAAATTTATCCTGAAAAGACAATGTGTAAGGAGAGCTTTCATTCTTCAGGCTCAGCTGGAAAGACATTTATTATAACTACATTTGTCTTGAACTTCCTCTAGTAAACAGGTCAGTACCAAAAAACAGAAACAAAAACAAAATACAGAGAGGATATTTAATGGCCAATCAATGATTTGTCAGTCAGGGAAAATTAATATAAACATATCATGTGGCTGAAGAGTCTTAGGACCTCTATTCATAAGGCAGAAATAGAAGAATTTTGAAGGGCTCAATAAGATATTTGGAGCACAGATTTGTATTAACTTGCCTTATTATCATTGTTGAGTTTGCCTCTAGTATGTGTACACACAAGTGAAAGTATTACTTCTGTATTAAGAATATTAGTCTGTGGCAGCAAAAAAATGTCTCAACAGTATCTCAATGGAAGCTCCAGGATTGTTAAAGTCCACCAGCAGAGACCAAGAACACACTTATATTTAGATAAAGAAAAAAGTTTGCATTTATTTAGCTTGCTGAACTAAGAAAGCACCCAAGGGGAACATCAGTGGCAGACGAGTCTGAGAGGTCTTCTCAAAAGTTTTGGGTGTGTACTAGAAGAATCTGAAAAGGGATTAGGAAAGTAGGGGCAAGTTCTGGATTGATTGCTATCAAGAAATGGTGGGAAATTTGGTGACTGAATATATCAATAATGTGATAGAGCTCCAATGCCCCTGGTATATCCCCATGTTTACCCTGTGTTTCATTATATCAGCATACCCCCCATGTTTTTATTTCAGTAACCTCCATAATATAAAGAAGCATCATATTACTTCTCTTTATTAACAAAGTAAATGAGCCTAACACTGAAATCAAATCATATAATTTGGTATTCACTTTCAAAATAAATGACTGAAAATAGAAATAAAAGTTCTTTATATTGTTGTTGCTTTTTTACAAGTTGCTTTTAATATGGACACAGCCACATCTTTGGGCCAAACCTTGCAGTTAGCAAGCCAGTGGTGGCCAACAAGTTGGGAAGTTTTATCCCTGCAGGAATGGGGTTTGCTTCTGGAAAGTATTGCCCTCCATCAATGTATCACATGAAGTCAAAGACCCATCTGAAGCAGGCATAGACGGGTAGAGAAAGGCCAGAAAAGTAACACAGTGGAGAAACACTTATAGAAGTCATTCTAAATTAGAAGGAAAAGCAAAAAGCATGGAGTGTTTTTCCCTCACCAATATCAAACTGAGTTTCTTGAAAAATATGACTGTAAAGAATAACATATATATATTTATATATATATATGACTTCTATAACTGAAGATGAAAATTCATCTACATGTTAACACAATATATTCCATCCTTTGAAAATCAGATTTTATATGATATAGCAATGTGGTATGTTTGTAACACATGAAATTTATATTAGACTGTTATGACTTCTAAAAAACTTCAGTAAATGTATACTGTGTAGATATGTTTGAAATATCTTATTTGAAGTTTATGTATTTAGGAACAGTCAAAATGTAAAATGGAGAAAAATAATCTGTTGAATTATGCTATTACAACCTTCTAATGTGGTTCCAGTGCTGATGTGAGAGAAAAAATAAAATTACCTACTGCATATGCTCAGCAATAAATTTTGATGTTTAAAAATATGAACAGATTTTAGAGGCACTTTTGCTTCAATATACCAACATTAAAAACTAAATACATACAAAATTGTGTTTTCCACAAACCAGGTCTTACCAAGAGGATACTAAAAAATCAACTAAAACCGTAAGATTTCACTTTACTGATCTTTAAATCAAAGTCAGATGTGTGAATTTAAATAATTTATAAATAAAATATGCATAAAAACTTAAGCCCCTGAGCCAAGTTTTACTCCGAAGCCATCTGAAACAAGCAAGATTACAGCCTCAAGGTTTCCTGTAAACAAAGTGTGGAAGAATATGTTACTTTAAACCCAAGATAACAATAGTGTACTATTGGTCTTAATAAAGATTTCCAAGTGATTTTGCATTAGCAGTTAATGGAATATATACACAATAAGAAATATTTACCTATCAGGAATATAACAGTTTTGAAATAAAATAATAAGATAATCTAATTTTCTCTTTATTTACTATCTTGGTCCAAAAGGTTTAAACACATTTTCTCTACATTAAGATGGTTATTTTCCATCACTTTGCTATGTGATGTTAAATAGAAAATATTAGAAATAAGTATATAATGATTTATATGTAATCTCTCCCATATAGATAATGTCACCTCCATATTACAAGAGTATATATGGTCAACCTAAATATGTAATGTGTCAATTGCTAAATCGAAAATAACCCTTATATTTAGGTTTATAATGCAATGCAACATGTGTTTACATCACAGTATTCGACATTACTGGATATATAAACAGTTGTAAATATATGTTGTTTTATCACAGACAAATAAATATGTGTACATATTAACATATATGTGTTAATATGTACATATACATGTTAATTTGTACATATAATATAAGTACATATTACAAATAAATGTATGTACATATTAACACATACATGTTATGTATAATATATATACATATGGTATGTACCTATAATATATAATATGTGTGCATGTACATACTAGCATATATATTTGCATATCTATTTGGTGATATATGTACTATATATGTAGATATTAACATATATATTTGTATACCTATATGAAGACAAACATATTTTATACAATCTAAAACACATTAAGAGATTCCCAAAGCATGTGTGATCAAACTTTTTGTTAGAGACAAAAAGGTGGAATATAGAAAGCATGTAGTATACTCTGAGGGACCATTAGAGGCAGATCTCAGCAAAGGCAGCAGGAGTTTAAAAACAATACAAATACCTTTTGTTCCCAAAAAGGGGTTTGGAAGTGATCTTAGAAGGGGTGGCAGGTATGTTTTCCCTAGATCTTGCCTAATTCAAAAAAGATGAACTATATTTGCATATTTGCATGAAGAAGTATACCTTTAAGTCAGTGGAGAGAAAGCTATTGGATGGGGAAATCAGGTGGTCTGGAAAACTATGATGTCCCTCATGACTACCAGAAATTTTCTTTAAACGTTAGGTCCTGAAAAATCCAGTTTATTTAAAAATAAATAAAAAGAAAAATGGGCATGGATCAAAAAAATAAGAAAAAATGTTGCCACAGAATAAGGAAGAATGGGTTCAAGCATTTTGTCATGAATTGAAATACTTAAAAAGATGATTGCCATCTTATAGAAAACACACACACAGAAACTGTAAGAATTCAGAAGAAACACATAAAAACTAAACATGAGATGATATCGTAAATAAATACAAGAATAAAAGAAAACAAAATTTAAAATCTGGGATTTCTATGGAGAACTAATTCTGTAGCATGTTATATATATATATAAATATATATAACATAATATATAAATATATATATGCATATATATAAACCTAAATTAATTTATTTTATATCACAAAATGCTATTTTCAAAAGTTAGCTACCCAAATAACATACTTCTAAATAAGCCTGGGATCAAAAAAGAAATCGAAAAGAAAATTAGGCCAGGAGTGATGGATCATGCTTGTAATCTCAGCACTTTGAGTTGCCCAAGTAGCAGGATTGCTTGAGGTCAGGAGTTTGAGACCAGCCTGGGTAACACAGCAAGACCATGTCTCTACAAAAACTCTGTAAAAGTTAGCTGGATGTGGTTGCATGCACTTGCATTCCTAGCCAATTGGGAGGCTTAGGCCTGAGGATAGCTTTTGCCCAGGAGGTCAAGACAGCAGTGAGCTATGGCAGAGCCATTGCACTCCAACCTGGGTGACACACTGAGACCCTGTCTCTAAAAAAAATAAGTAAATATAGCTGGGCATGGTGGCTCATGTGTGTACTCCTAAAAATTTGGGAGGCCAAGGTAGAATAATTGCTTGAGGCCATGAGTTTGGGACCAGCATGGGCAACATAGTGAGACCTTGCCTCTACAATTTTTTTTTTAATTAGTAGAGTATGGTGGTATGTGCCTGCAGTGCCAGCTACTCAGAAGGCAGAGGCAAGAGAATGACTTGAGCCTAGAAGTTCCAGGCTGCAGTGAGTTATGATCACACCACTGCACCACTACAGCAAGGGCGACAGAGAGAGAACATGTCTCTAGAAAACAAACAGCAAATGAAACCTAAACTAAGTATAAGTAAAAAAAAAAATAAAGTTCAGGATAGAAACAAATGATGTATAAAACAGAAAACCTACAAAAAAAAATCAGTGAAACAAAAGATGTCTTTGCAAAGAATAATAAAATTGATAAACCACTAGTTAGCATTCAGAAAAAAAATTAGAGAATGTAAATTACATATGTCAGGTAAAAGGTGACATCTCTGAAGATTCTATGGATATTAAAATAATAATATAGAAATATCATGAACAACCTCCTACCTATTTATTGGACAACTTAGATGAAATGAACATATTTCTTTAATTACCAAACTATCAATGTTCACTCAAGAAATAGATTACCTGATTAAAACTGTATCTATTAAAGAATTTGTATTTGTACTGAAAAACCTGCCCACAAAGAAGATTCCAGGACTAGACTGGTAGGCTACCAAATGTTTGAAAAAGAAATAATACTAATAATCAAACCTTCAGTAAATGGAAAACGAGGGAATGGTTCCCAACTCATTGATGGAGCCAACATGATCTTGATAACAAAACAAAATACTGCTTATAGTGATGTCAGAACGATGGCAGAATAGGAGTTTTCATCAGGGACACCCTCCTCAGCCAGTGACTTCTCCCATGTGAGAGCTTATTAAGCACCAGCTTTCCCAAGCACGCAAAGTGCTGCCCAAGAACCACTTTTCTTTGCACCACACTCAGAAGACTGAGGAAATCTGCAAGGCTGAATAGTCTGGGGACAACTAAGAAAAGGTAAAATGGGTTCATAACATGGAATTCAACAAAGAGCAATTGTTTCTAATAACTGCCTTTCAAATTCAACCAACAGGCCAGGCGCGGTGGCTCATGCCTGTAATCTCAGCACTTTGGGAGGCCGAGTTGGGTGGATCACCTGAGGTTAAGAGTTAGAGAACAGCCTGGCCAGCATAGTGAAACTCCGTCTCTACTGAAAATACAAAAACAACAACAACAACACCAACAAAAATTAGCCGACCCTGTAGTCCCAGCTACTTGGGAGGCTGAGGCAGGATAATAGCTTGAACCTGGGATGCAGAGGTTACAGTGAGCCTAGATCACACCACTGTACTCCAGCTGGGGCAACAGAGCAAGACTCTGTTTCAAAAAAGTAAATAAATAAAATAAAAAACAAATTTTACCAATAAAGCTGCACATGAACCTCATAGACCACATCACCTGCTGACCCGTCTTCACCCAATTTGCCCATGAGTGTCCCTAGCCCTCTGGCTACCATTCCCATGCACCACGAAAATAGGAGAACTTCTGAAAAATACAAAAATAAGTAGGAATTAAACAAAACATTTCTAAACAAACAATGGATCAAAATATAAATCAAAAGTAAAATAAAAAATACTTTGAGACAAATAAAAATGGAAACACATCATAACAAATCTTACGGGAGGCAGAAAAAGCCACTGTAAAAGGAAATTTATAGTGATAAGCATCTGCATTAAAATGAAAGAGTCCAAATAAACTTTCTGACTTTACACTTCAAGGAACTAGGCGAAAAAATTAACTAAACCTGAATTTAGCAGAAAAAGGAAATAATAAATATTAGAGCATAAATAAATAAAATAGAGATGATAACAATAAATAAGATAATCAAAATTGAGTGAGGTTTTTTGAAAGGATGATCAAAATTGACAGATCTTTAGAGAAGACTCAAATAAATAAAATTATAGATGAAAGATTATTACACCTAATACTACAGAAATACAAAGTATCATAAGAGACTACTATAAACAGCTATGCATCAACAAACTGGATAACCCAGAAGAAATAATTAAATTCCTTGAAATGGAAACTACCAAGATTGAATCATAAAAAATAGAAAATATGACATATCAATAAGGATATGTCAGAGATGACTGAATCATTTATCCAAAACTTCCCAATTAACAGGACTTGACAGCTTCACTAGAGAATTCTGCCAAACACTTTAAGAAGAATCAATGCCAATCCTCAAAGTCTTCTGAAAAATTGAAAAGGAAGGAACACTTTGAAACTAATTTTGAAGGGCAGTATTACTCTGATAACAAAGGCAGACAGAGAAACTACAAGAAAAGTAAATGCAGGACAATATCCCTGGTGAACATAGATGCAAAACTTCTCAGTAAAATACAAGCAAATTGAATTTAATAGCGCATTAAAAAGACCATATGCCATGATTTATTCCTAGGATGCAAGCATAGAACAACATAAGCAAATTAATAAATGTGACACACCACCTTAACAGAATGAAACATAAAATTTATATGATTATCTCAATAGATGCAGAAAAAGCATTTGACACAATTCAACATTCTTTCATGTTTAAAAGCTCTCAAAAATTAGGTGTATAAAGAATGTGTCTTAACATAATAAAAGCCATATATGACAAGCCCACATCATCAAAAGCCTATATGTGACAAGCTAACATCATACTCAATCATGAAAAGCTGAAGCCCTATGATCAGAGACGAGACCAAGATGGCCACTCTGACTACTTCTATTCAAATGATATTGAAAGTAGTAGCCATAGCAATTAGGCAAGAAAAAAAAAGGCATACAAATTATAAAGAAAGAAGTAAAATTGTTGTTTTAAGATGACATAATTTTATATATAGAAAGTTCTAAAAACTCAACAAAAAACTATTAGAACTAATAAACAAATGTAGTAAAGTTGCAAGATACAAAACCAATATACAAAAAGTCAGTTACACATCTATATACTAATAACAAACTATGGAAAAAATTAGGAAAACAATTCCATTTACAATAGCATGAAAAAGAATAAAATATTTAAGAGTAAATTTAACCAAGGAAGTGAAAAATCACTACACTGAAAACTGCAAAACATTGCTGAAAGAAAATGAAAAATAAATGAAAAGATATCCTGTTCTCATGGGTTGGAAGAATTAATATTGTTAAAATATCCATGTTTCCTAAAGCAATCTACAAACTCAATGCAATTTCTATCAATATTCCAGTGGTACTTTTCACAGAGATAGAAAAAAACAATCCTAACGTTTATGTGGAACTATAAAAGACTCTGAATTGTGAAAGCATCTTGATCAAGAGAACAAAGCTGGAGACATACATCTGTTGATTTCAAAAAATATTACAAAGCCACAGTAATAAAAACAGTATGGTACTTAAAAAAACAGACTAGTAGACAAATGGAACAGAATAGAGACCCTTGAAATAAACCCATGCATTTAAGGGCAGTTGGTTTTAATCGGGGTGCCAGGAACATACAGCAGGGAAAGAGTCTCTTCAATAAATGGTGTTGGTAAAACTCAGTATCCATATATCAAAGAGTCCAATTAGACTTTATCTCACACAATATAGAAAAGTCAACACAAATGGATTAAAGACCTAAATGTAACACCTGAAACTATTAAATTCCTAAAAAGAAGAATAAAAACCTTATTGACATTGGTATGGGAAATTATTATTTTGCTTATAATCCCAAAAGTACAGTCAAAAAAAGCAAAAATAGACAAGTAGGGGTATGTCAAATGTAAGGGCTCCTGCACTGCAAAGAAAATAATCAACAGAATAAAAAGACAACCTACAAAATGGGAAAAAACATTTTCAAACCATTTGTCTGATAAGGGGTTAATATCCAAGATACATGAAGAACTCAAAAACTTAAGAGCAAAAAACCAAATTACCCAATTAAAAAATGGGCAGTGGACCTAAACAGACATTTCTACAAAGCAGAAATACAGATGGTCAATAGGTGTATGAAAAGGTGCTCAACATTACTAATTATCACAGAAATGCAAATCAAAACAATGACATATCACTTCATGCCTTTTATATTGTCTATTATCATAAAAGACAAGATAATATGTTGATAAAGATGTGGAAAAAAGAGAGCCCTTGTACACTGTTAGTGGAAATGTAAATTAGTATAGCCATTATGGAAAACAGTATGAAGATTTTCAAACAATTAAAAATATCATATAACTCAGCAATCCTATCTCTAGGTACATAATCAAAGGAAACAAAATCAGTATCTCAAAACGGCATCTCTACTATGTTAATTTCAACATATGGAAACAAATGTCCATCAATACATGAATGTATGAAGAAAATCTGGTATATAAATACAATGGAATATTATTCAGCCTTAAGAAAGGAGAAAAATTCTTTCATTTGCACACGTGGGTGTACTTAAAGTTCATTTTTCTAAGTGAAATAAGCCAAAGAAAGACAAATACTGCAAGATCTCACTTATACGTGGAATCTAAAAAATTCAAACTCATAAAAACAAAGAATAGAACGGTAGTTTCTGGGGCTTAGGAGGTCAGGGAAATGGAGAGAGATGTTGATCAAAAGGTACAGAGTTTTAGTTATACAAGATTAGTAAGTTCTGGAGATTTAGTGTATAGCATGATTACTATAGCTAACAATACCAAATTGTATATAAAATTTTGCTAAGGGGGTAGAGCTTAAGTGTTCTACACACATACACACACACACACAGATGCACACACACAGAAATGGTAACTATGTGAGGTGATGGATATGTATATTAACTTGATCATAATAATAATTTTACAATGTACATGCATATCAAAAAATCATTTTGTACAACATAAGTAAATCCCTTATTTATTTGTCAAGTATACTTCAATAAAGTTAGAGAATTTCTTTTTTAAGTGGGTATTTTCAGAAGTGCTGGAAATGGTCTGTATCTGGGGTCCACAAGTTGCAGCCCATGATACAAGTTAGAAACACCACCCACTGTTTTATTGGAACACAGAAATGCCCATTCATTTACATATTGCCCATGGATACTTTTACACTACAACAGTGTTGAGTAGTTGCAACACGGATTGGTTGAACTAAAGAACAAACATATTTGGCCTTTGATAGAAAAAGTTTGTCAGTGCTTCATCAACATTTTTATCTGTGTTGTGAATATATGCATATGTGTATAGGGGTAAAAATTTATTGAGCTATACACATTTCTGCACCATATTGTGTGTAAGTTATAACCTGAAAAGGAGCAAATTAAAAAAATTCAAAAAGTAGGTAAATAAAACCAAATACTTCACAAGAAGATTAAACTATTGACCAATATCCTGCTTGAAGAGAGAAGCAAAATTTTTTTAAATATTGGCAAACTGAATCCCAAAATATATCCAAATGATCGTATATTGTGACCAATGATATTTCTACCAAGAGTGCAATTTGGTTTTATATTTGAAAATAAAGTAATGTAATTTACCACATTAACCAATAAAAAGAAAAACATAATTATCACAATAGATTTTTTTAAAAACCTTTTGTCAAACTTTAGCATACATCCTAGGGAAAAAAAAAGAAAAAAGTGCTCAGCAAACCACAGTTACTTTTGCGCCAATCTAATAGTGAAAAAGGAGAATCTTCAGCTTAATTATGATCATTTATGGAAAATCTACAGCTAAAATTATACTTAATTGTGAAAGACTGAATAATTTTTCCTAAATTCAAGAATAGACAAAGGCTTTGTGCTCTTTCCACTTAAATTTGACAATATGGTGAAGGTTCTAGAAAGTTCAATGAAAAAGGAAAACAAAACAAAACAAAAATGCCTAGTGTTTAAAAGGGAAAACTGTTCACTGATGACATCATTATGTACAAAATCAATACAATTTACTAAAAGCTACTAGAATGATACAAGATCAATGTACAAAAACAATTTTATTAGTATTTACAAGCAAAGAACAAATGTAACATGAATTTTACAAAATAATGTTGTATTATTATCAATATATTTTTTAAATTAGAGGTAAATCTGGCTAAGTATGCAAAAGACCTGTGCATTGAAAACGATGAAACATTACTGAGTGTAATTAAATAAGACCTAATAAAGTGATGAGCTATATCATGCTCCTGGGTTGAGATATTCAATATTGTTAAAATGCCAATTCTTCCCAATAGATTTATAGTTTTAACATGATCTCTATCAAAATCCCATCAGGCTTCATTATAGAAGTAGAAAAATTGATTGTAAAACTCACATGGAAATGCAAAGGATCTAGACCAGCCAAAACAACTTTGAAAAATAGCAGACTTGGAGGAGTATCACTGGTTTCTAGAATCACTCTCAAGCTACAATAATCAAGAAAAAGAGATGGTAGCATAACGATATACACTTTGATCAATCAATACAGCAGAGAATCCAGGAATAGGTCAACAAAGAAATGAAAAAATGCATGTTTTAGCACCTTTGTTGAAGAAGATCCTCTCTTCCCAGATCCTTCGCATCTTTAGAAAGGTTATTCTACAACAAAGGATGATAAAACAATTGGATACCCATATGTGAAAAAAAATTTGTTGTATACCTTACAACATTAAACAATCTTCTGAAACTGGCTTGTGGACCGAAATGTAAGATATAACACTATTTAACTTCTAAAAGAAAACACAGGAGAAAAACTTTGTGACCTTGGTCAGGTAGATATCTTAAATATTGTGCAAATATGCACCAAAAATATAGTCTATAAAAGACTAAGTTGTTAAATTAAATGTTAGCAGAATTAAAACCTTCTGCTCTTCAAAAGACACTCCTAAAAGAACAAAAAGATCAGCCACAGACTTGGAGAAAACACTTGAAAATAACATATCTGATAAAAGTCTTTTGTCCAGAACATATAAAAATATAATTTTCAAACTGAATAATTAAAAAAAAAGAAGTGGGAAAGGTTTTGAGCACTCACTTTACCAAAAAAGATATAAAGATGACAAATAGACACGATAATTCATTAGAAATACAAATTAAAACCACAATGCTATACTGCAACACATTTTAAGAATGGCTGAAATGAAAAAGACTAACTGTACCAAATGTTACAAGGATACGGAGGAAATGGATTTTTCAAATATTGTTGGTATGAATATAACATGGTATGACTGGAAGTGTTTGGCAGTTATTACAAAGTTAAACATGCACTTACCATATGGCCCAGCAATCCCATTTCTAGCAAAGTGTTAATTTATATTCACGCAAAGGCCTATATATGAATGCTAGATAGCAGTTTTGTTGATGATCACCAAAGTATGTAAATAAGCAAGATGAATATAATTGTGACATATCTATTTAATGGAATACTTGTCAGTAACAAAAAAAACGACATTTTGATACATACTACCACATGAATGAATCATTAAAAATTATGCTGAATAAAAGAAGCCAGACAAAAGTGAATATTTACTTTGTGATTTCATTTATATAAAATGTGATAAATTCCAAACCAATCTGTACCGGCATAATGCTGATCAGTGGTTGTGTAGGTTAGGAGGTAAGTGGGCAGGGGTGAAAGGAAGGATTTACAAAGAAACATGAAATCACTTTTGAGGGGGATTGATATGGCCGTTACGTTGATTGTACATGGGTTTCACAGATTGTATGTATATCAACATGTTTCACACTGTATACTTTAAATATATGTGATCTAGAATATATAAATTATACCCCATTAGAGTTTTTAAGCTTTTAGAAAAGATTTACAAAATGCTATTGCTTCAGTGACAAAATATAACTTTTGATTTAATTGTTCAGATGATTTTAAAAGTGTCTACAGCCAGGATACATACAGAGATTATTGAATTCTTTTTTTTTTAACCAAAACTGCCTGATGCAGTCCTTGAATATATTCTCTTAAAAGACAATTGCGGCCGGGCGCCGTGGCTCACGCCTGTCATCCTAGCAATTTGGGAGGCCGAGACGAGCGGATCACAAGTTCAAGAGATCGAGACTATCCTAGCCAGCAGGGTGAAACCCTGTCTCTACTAAAATACAAAAAATTAGCTGAGCGTGGTGGCGAGCACCTGTAGTCCCAGCTACTTGGGAGACTGAGGCAGGGGAACAGCTTGAACCCGGGATGGGGAATGGGAGGCGGAGCTTGCAGTGAGCCAAGATTGCGCCACTGCACTCCAGCCTGGCAACAGAGTGAGAATCCATCACAAAAAAAAAAAAAAAAAAGACAATTGCTAGGTTCTTACTGTGTGTTACTGGAGACTGACTACAGACATATGTCAGGTAAGCTCAGCCTAGAAATGACTATCATGTATTTGGTAATGCTAGAGAAACATACACATATAAAAGGGGCTGCTAGGTAGCTAACTAAATAAACATAAATGATATAAACTGGAGGGAGCAGTGTGAGACGTTCAGATGAGTTCAGGGAGTTCAACCCATACATATGCAGTATATTTCTCTGCCTGTAGGTTTGATGATAGATCCCTCCAATGGTCTTCCATGGCCATTGCCATATGCTTTGAATTACATAATTCTCTCCAAGCCAAAGAAAAACAAGAAGCATTTTTTAAAATTTTTGTTTCTTTGTTGTTGTTATTGTTTAAATTGAGGGTAGCTTTGTTGTTCAGAAATAGGATGTAGAATACCCTTCAGATTATAAAACCCTAGGGAAAGAAGGCATGTTTCCTGATGGGAGAGGATGATGGTAAATCTATGCCATCAAAAGAGCTGAGACCACCACTAAGTGGTACAGTAGAAATTAGGCTTGTGATCTCAGAGGAAAGTTTGGATAATTGCAGATTCTTGTGCCATCACCAAGATGGTGATATGGTCATGTGAATGAGCCCTAGATGATTGTGCAATAAATGCATCCCCATGTGTCTATGCTCAATTCTGGACATAGCTGTGGGAATTCAGAGTGAAAATTAAGGTTAATGGTGAAGATTCACATGAGCAAAACTGGGTAGCTAGCTTGGAAATAGAATGGAATAACCGTTGCCTAAGTCAGATCCCCAGAATACGTTACCCAGGTTCTTGAAACAAGTGAATTTAAGCAATGCAAAAATGGGTCACATTATCACATATTTGCTTCTACATGTTGAAGTAACAAATGTAATAAGTGACTGTACTTCTTTGCTAGTAGGAAAGAAGTTGCCTGAAAATGGTATAAGGTATAATTCCCAGAGGAAATGTTTGTTAATAGTTGGCAGGTAAATTATATTGGATCTGTCAGTAGCCAGGGGGTGGCGGCAGGAGTAGGCACAAATGGGTATTGAATAAAATTGACAATTATTCCATTCTAGGCTTTTTATATTTTGTAGCAGAACCAGACATAATGAACATAAATAAAGGATTGAAGGTAGAAAAATAACTTTTCAATTTGCTCACATGGATTTATTTCCTGTGATCAAAGTATTCACTAGTGCACAAAGACAAGTAGTGTGCACAGGAAAGGTAACATACTATTACATAAACATATCACAGACCTTATCACCCTTGGAACATTGGTCCCATTGTTTTTGTTGAATATACAATTGACAATTAAACGTTTTGATTTAAAATATGAGGTATGAAAAGGCTTGAAGGAATACTTAAATGGACTAAATATTTTCACAAAAGAAATTCAGTATAGGAGGGATTTAACTGTAAATATTTTTAAAATAAGAATTTGGAAACGAGGGGGTGGGGAATGTGAGATATGACATAACTACATAACTTTATAACTTTTCCACCTCCCACAATTTTTCTTTTATTTCACATATCAGGAGAGAGAGAGAGAGAGAGAGAGAGAGAGAGAGAGAGAGAGAGATAGAGAGAGAGAGAGAGATGCACAAGATATGGTATCCATACTAGAGAATTTGACTGAATGCATGTATTTCTGGAATATCATCAGGGTGGATTATAACTTCCTCATAGTAGTTAAATTAGGACTAAATGTGAATATCGTCTTGTTACCAAGTGACAGGATCAGACCTGTAGTTATTTTCCAATCACATGCTGTAACATTTTCCTGAAGTCAGGCTGAGGAAGAAACCCTGATGAAACAGATGCAGCTGTCGGTTCTCTGGAAAATCAGTATAATACTTCCAACAGCCAATACTACCAGGGCAGAATAGGTATGAGTTGTAAAAAGTAATAAGTAGTCATAAGAAAATATTGTGGTGAGTGAGAAGAGGGCACAAAAAGTGAGTAAGGACCACCAGGCACATGGAAAGGATGTTTAAGTTATTAAAGTGAGAGTATTTTAGGACATGAAAAAAATAGTCTTGGCTATTTCTCCCAGTCTGCTGCTATGGCCAGCTGATGCAGGTAGAAGGGAAATAGGGCTCCTGAAGATTGATGGGCTCTGCCTAAAGACTGTATCTGTTTAATTTGGACAAAAGGCTTGCAGAATCCCCTGAACACTGAACTAACAGGTAGCAACTTTAACCTACTATTTGGTTCATAATTTCTGGGGTATATTTACTAATTTATTTCTTTTTCTGGTAACCAGAGAGAGAGAAAAAAATGATCACCTTTTATTTGCAAGGGTGGAAATTCCTAAACAGCCAGGCATCTACAGTTTGTGTGACTATGAATCAAGATGACACATTGCTAAGACAGGTGTCTGAGTGTGATGGGAAGTGGATTTCCACCACATATCTGAAATATAATTTGTTTTACCCTTTCATCTACACTGAATATAAATCAGATAAAATGTTTTTATGGCAAGTGGCAATGAAATCTGAATAGCTGAGGAGAGTAAACATAGTAGTGATATGGTTACCTCATTCTTGCAATGTCTGTCCTTTGACACATCAGAGAAAACACTTTGAGAGGACTTATGGCACACTTAAACTGAGCTGAATTTAGAATAGAAAATGCCCAACCAATAGTCTCATAGAGCACACAATTTTTGGTGCCTATTGGATACCTAACCTGTACACGTGTGACAAATGCCCAATGGCAACAATATATAAAGTGGTTTGAATAGCACTGACACCACCATCTCAGATGTAAATTGGGAATTTTCTGAGCCAGTCTACAATTGCTCAGTTAAAAGAAATGACCATTTATATGGTTTGGATGTTTGTCCCTCTAAATCTCATGTTGAAATGTAACCCCGTGTTTGGAGGTGGGTCCTGCTGGGAGGTGTTTGGATCATGGTGTTGGGGGCCTCATGGATGGCTTAGCACCATCCCCTTGGTGATAAGTGAATTCTCATTCCGGTATTAGTTGTTTAAAAGAGTCTGAGCCCTCCCATTTTTCTCTCTCTTGCTCCTTCTCTCACCACGTGATGTCACTGCACCTGCTTCAACTTCTGCCAAGAGTAAAAGCTCCCTGAGGCCTCACCAGAAGCCAAGCAGATGCCAGCACCACACTTCCTGTACAGCCTGCAGGACTGTGAGCCAATAAAACCTCTCTTCTTTATAAATTACTCAGCCTCAGTTATCCCTTTATAGTAATGCAAGAATGGCCTTATACAACTATCATGATTTAAAAAAGATACTTGCTAACACTTATTTATGATACCATGGGAGAGACAATACCCTGAAAGATTAGCGTGCCAATTTAGCGTGCAGGCCATGGTGACTCATGCCTGTAATCCCAGCACTTTGAGAGGCTGGGGCAAGAGGATTGCCTGAGGCCTGGATTTCAAGACCGGCCTGACCAACAT
This sequence comes from Homo sapiens, assembly GCF_000001405.40. Classification (NCBI taxonomy): domain Eukaryota; kingdom Metazoa; phylum Chordata; class Mammalia; order Primates; family Hominidae; genus Homo; species Homo sapiens. Next base: position 185,245,470 of record NC_000002.12, read on the forward strand.
GGCATGACCCCTTCTCTAAAAAAAATAAACCTTTTACAATTAGCTGGGTGTGAAAAGATAAACAAATAAATTAGCCGAGCATGTTGGCTCCTCAGGAGGTTGAAGCAGGAGGATCACTTGAGCCCAGGAGTTTGAGGCTGCAGTGAGCTATGATTTTGCAATTGCACTCCAACCTGTGCAACAGAGCAAGACCCCATTTCTTTAAAAAACTTATAAATAAATAAATAATGTCCTATGCTTTGAACCAGTGACTACTATATATGGGCCTCATTTTCCTATAGTCATTGTAAATGGGCCTAGGAATCAAGGCATGGAAATGGTCCTTCTAACTAATACACCTAAAGATCACTGAAATACATGTTTTATTTCTCTTCCAGAAACTTTGGGTCTGACTGAGAAGAAAGTTTCCATCAAAGGACAGAATACTCACATTGAATTGGAAAGTGAAATTTACCTCTTGGCTATTTTGAGTGTCTCGTACTAGTGAAACAGGAAAGAGAAAGGGGTTATGGTAATAGCTGTGGTGATTGATTCCAAGCACCAAGTGGAAATTGGCTTGCTGCCTGCTACACAATGGGAACAGAGAATGCTATGCCTGGAACTCAGAGGATTTACTGGATGGTTTCAAATATCTAGCTCCCAGTTATCTCCAGTTTGGATAGAGGTGAGCTACTGATAAAAGGAGACTGAGAATCTTGCAACACTGGATGTTGGCATAGTAAATAAAAAGAAAAAAGAAACATTTTACTTCTATTTTTATCCCAAGGATAAGGATGGTTAAATGGGAGAAAACACATTCCTCATACTTAAATTTAAATTCTGAAGTACAATATGTCTTTAGAACAGAAGTAATGATTTCAGTACAGGGTAGTGTTTAAAGTCCTCGTCTTGAAATCAAACACAGATCTTTCAGATCTTGTACTTTTTATCTTATTGAACTCATTTCTTAAATTTTCATTCCAAAATTATCCAATTTGTATAATAGCTGATATAGTTGTTAAAAAGGTTGCATAGAATAATACCAAGTGTCTGGCAACTAAGTACTTAGTAAATAATAGCTTTTATGTATATTACTATAAAATATGATCAGGTGAGCATTAATTCGAATATGGAATCTGGAATGATAGATATGAAAGCTGACTTACTGACAATTCATTTCTACTCCTCAATTTTATAGGAGAGGAAATTGAGCAAGAAAAAGAAAAATAAAGAAATTTGTCTAAGATCAGAGTATTGAATAGAGATACAAAAGTATGTAAAATCAATTACTGTATAAAAGAATAAATATCAGCTTTATAAAATTTGTAATGTGGAAACTAGTAGTCAGAAACTTTTAGGCCAAAAACAAATATGCTAAGACCACAGTAATAATTTTAATTCCTAGCCACAAGTTTAACAATTTGGTAAATGCACATACTACAGTACATCATAAACCAGCTTAGTATGCAAAAATTAAGAATGAGATTATCTCTTGAACTAGAATCTATGAGTCTGAAGAATAGTCATTGGCTTGTTAGTTTACATTATTATCATACTTTCCATTAATGGGATCCTTAGGCAATAGTTGTTATGTGTACAGAAGTTTTGATACAGTATTTATCAAGAATTATTTATTTTAAATTGTGTTTTTATAAGCTTTTAAAGGTTTATAAATAACAGTGTGTGTGTGTGCTGGAGGGGGTGAAGGGTTTGTATTCTTCCTGAAAATGAGATGGAAAACTGTTTAGATATTTTTAAAGAATACAAGCAAATAATCCTGAAATGTAAATCAGAAAAAGGGATTGTATTTCTTTCTTGAAACAGCTTGAATCACTGACATTTTATTGATTTCCATTGAGCCCCTATATCCTACACAATCCTATGGTAATCCCTAGCTGATTAGAATGTTTTATCATTTTATTTAGAAACTAATGTAAGATTTGGGGAGAAATATAATTGGAACTGAACAAGAGAAACAGTCCCTGGCTTTAGATCTAAAAAAGAAATTTCAGACTCAGAAAATACTGAAACAACATAATATTCTGTGAGAATAATATTAGAATAAATTAATTAAAATTAACATGAAAATAAGGTAGCACTTATAGGTATAGGATTCAGTGCTTATAGTTAAAATAATTCCAAATACAGTACGAAATTCACATAATCTTGATCCAGGTTAAGATTGAGACTTATTAAAGCTCAAGATAGATTTTTGTTTGATTTTTCTTGCCTCAAGGACTGTTTTATCCAGGAAGTTATTCAAGCTTTTTGGCGTATGAGTATTGTCTGTTATTCCTTTTAAAGGAAAATTGACTTCCTTCTCTTCTTCCTCTGGAAACATCTTCATAATAGGCTGTAAGACCCACATTTTAATTGAGTCTTTGTAATAGGACTATTATTATCACATGGGGAAAGTCACAGGGTGATTTACTAAAGACTGTGGACTCTCTCTTTTCTCTCAAAAATTTTTAGCCCTTCAGTTTGAGTTTGAAAGTTTAAATATAATAGAACTGCTAATCTATGATTTTTGGTATTGGACTTCTGGAAATAGACTCTGCTTCTCATTACCAGTTGAGTTATTGATCCATTAAAGGGCATGTCTACAAGCCCTCTCTACTGAATTCAAAAGCCCGGTGCTGTTGCTTCTCTTTTGAAGTCAGACAAATCTTTGTTCAAGGAAGAGTCAATAAGGAGTCTTATACTTCTTTTGACTTGAATAAAATTTCTTTTACATTCACACTGAGAGCTCTTTCCTACAGAATGGTGACATACATTTATTTTTGAAAGCTTCTTTTCTCCAACTTCCATATGTAGATTTTTGTTGCCTCTATTGCACACAGATGAAGTCCTGATTTAGCTCTAGGTAGAAGTAATTTCATGTGATAAAATGTCTAGAATTCTTCTGTGAAGGCTTAAATTTTAAAATGTTAATCTCTGATCTTTTCTATTGGCTCTAAATGGGATGCCCTTCCTATTGCCTGTAGAAAGAGGCAAAACAAAAGTCTTAATACTAAATTCACTGAAAACTTAATAAATTCTACAGTTAAAAACAGTAGTAAAAAATCAAATGTCATTGATAAGTGACATAGTAACAATAATCAATGCTTATTAAATGTAAAGATTTCACATTAAATTGTATATTTCTGAAGGCCACTGCAGTAAGGCAAGAGAGAAATGAATAAATCTTGATCAAACATCAAAGTAATGGACAATGAGTATAGAGTTGTGAGAAATATTTAGAAGGTGGTAAAGACAGCAGGACTTGCCCAGCATTTTGGAAGTCCAAGGTGGTGCATCTCTTGAGTCCAGGAGTTTGAGATCAGCCTGGGCAACATGACAAAACCCCATCTCTACCAAAAAAAAAAAAAAAAAAAAAAAGAAAAGAAAAGAGAGAGAAAACATTGAGCCATGAATGGTGGTGTGCATCTGTGGTGTCAGCTACTCAGGAGGCTGAGGTGGGAGGATAATCTGAGCCTGGGGAGGTAGAGGTTACAGGGAGCCATGATCACACCACTGCACTCCAGCCTGGGTGACAGAGTGAGACCCTATCTCAAATAAATAAATAAATAAATAATATAATAAAATAAAATGATGCCATGCAAAGAGGTCACAGAGACACAGTCAGCACTAAGAAATGCTGATATAAAGTAGAGGTTATTAGAAAAACTTGCAATCAGATAACAGTAGAACATATGCAACCCTATAAACACTAATTATCCTACAGCATAGGTGGGTAGTTTGCATATAACATGGCCTAATTTTTTTTCTCTATTTCTGAAATTGCTAAGATTTGGTATTGGACACCTGAAGTGTTTTTAAAATTTAATTATATTATCTGTTTTATTTCCTGTATTTGTCTTCCCTTAATCAGGAATATTTTCAACTTCACAAAAAATTATTAAGTAAAAATATCTACTCTTATATGTATAACTTAAACAACTTCTGTTTTGTTCTCTGAGTGGTTTTTCATAGCACTATATCTTTTCTCATGTCTCTGAGGAAATTGTCTTTGGTCATCCAAGTTTGTTTTTCCTGCAGGCTTGTGTCAATATATGCCTTTCTTTTTCAGGGCTTTCTTCAAATATTTGGTAATCAATGCTTATGCACTCTTGTTTAAGAAGGCACCAAGAAATTGAGCAGAAGCTCAGAAGGCTTAACAGGTGAAGTTTTCACATGGATAATCTGAAAACATCTTTAGGGATTTAGTTTAGGCTGCTTATACTACTAAGATAAAAAATCTTTTTATTTTCTGCCCAGAGGACATCAGCCTGGCTGCCAATAATAAGCGATGAGGGCAGGAAGGGGCCTGGGTATTTTGTCGGTCACCATGTGGATTTTCAAGCCATCCTCTTGTTTTTAGTATTGCACTCCTACAGCTAGATGTTCCTGTTGGGCTCCATATATATGTCTCTGGATCACCTTTTAGGGAGACCAATTTTTAATTTTCTAATAGTATTAAAGTAGGACTCTAAATAATCTACCCATTTGGAAAAAAGGATTCAACAAATCCTTCTGTCTTCAAGCCAATATGCCACAGAATTTAGAGTCATCAATTTTTTTAAGGATTTTATGGTTTCTGCAGAGGAATCATGTTACTTTTGTGTTTCTCCTGCTGTATAGCTCAAATATGTTTCTCAAATTTGCTGAAGTGGTTTCCACTAATCCATAAGCTTCTAAACTTCCAAAATTGTGTTGCCATGTATTTTTCAAGATTGTATCACTTATGTCAATATTTTACTGTCATTTTAGTAAAATTTTAGAAGAAAGTTGGAGAAAACACATGTGCTTAACTTGCCATTTTTAACAGAAAGTCAATCCAATCATTTACTGGATTTTCAACCTCAACTTCAAAAAGTGACATTTGTACAAAATGAATATCTTCATGTCACCAAAACTTTGTCATGTTGCTTTTCTTTACCTGGTGAAATCCAGTGAATCATCTCTCAGAAGACATCTTAATAAATTACAGAAGTTATATGTTTGATGTTAGGCAGAATTTAATTTCAACATTTATTATTAGTACATGATAGCTGTATGACATTGGAGGGAATGGTTTCCTATCTGATAACATTGTTTCACATCTCTGTAAAACAGGTATATTCTTAGAAACTTAATTATTCTCATATTTATTCTATATTCTTAGAAACTTAATTAGAGGTTTAAAAAATAACCCTTTAAACTGCACAGTTTCTTGGTGAGCTTCAGATGAGAAAATTTGTTTATGTAAATCAACTATTTAAAGCCATAATCTTTAATCTTATGTTACAGTGATATATCTCACCATGTGATATTCTTACCAATCAGCAAAATACCTTACAAGCTTTGAGAGCAATTCTTTGAATATATGTCTATACTTACAGATATCTTTCTTTATCAGTGAAGCTAGAAATAATTGAAACATTTTGACTAAGGCTCTCTTTTTCTTCAAGAGTTTTAAGAAAATTGTCAAATTTGATTCTTCATATTTATCCAAGACAGGTTGAAAGTTACTCTATTAATATTTGATATCAGATTTGAATACAAACGTATTTAAATTTTAATCCTCTGTTCTTTCCAAAATAAAATGTTTTCTCTTATTTTTAGTTTATTTTGAAAAATTCAGTATCATCCTTTTCCTTTTGGAAATAATTCCTGAATATTCTTGTTACCATGTAATTTTTTTCTATGTAATTTTTTCTATATAGTTTTTTCTATATAATTAAGAGTATATTTAAGTTATATATTAAAATGAACTCCATACACACTGATGTACTACCAAATAACTGTTTAGCTTAAGCATAGTAACTGGAATAATTTTGTGTAGCTATGTTTAGAAAAAATAGCACTCTTCACATCTACAAATAATGTTAGACAGATAAGTAATTCACTTAGGGTATGAAAGACTATTTTCAAATTCCAAGTGTATAAAAATCGGTGAAGAAGAAATTGTTACATTTAGTTAACTATTACTTATTTGCAAAGATCTTTAAATTTATTAATAATAACAGTATAACTTTAAACATATAATTATTATAGATTCCAAAATGCAAATTAGACAGTGCAGGCACACAAGAAAAATAAGACTAAAAAGTGATACACAAAAATATTATGGTTATTTATATTAATTATTATTTGAAATCCCTGCTCAAATAAGTGCTATCAAACTGAACTCTGCTAATTCTCCTTTTACTTTCCTGAAATATTTTCTCTTTTTCTTTTATGAGAACCTCTTATTCTATCTACCTAGTAAATACAGAAAATTGACCAAAGTCTGTTTTTAATGAGAACACATGATCTGATTTCTCATGCTTAAATTGAGTAAGTACTCAAGTTATTAATAACTTATGATTGAAAAATATTATACGCAGTTTGATAAACAAGTTATTATCCAATAGAAATTTTTTTAATGTTTACCAAGTTTTTTTGGTAACCAATGCCTGTATGTAGTGCTTAATGTATAGTATTGTATTCACATTTCCTTAGAATATGACCCACATACTAGATAATAAGTACCCAAACTAACTTATTTAAACTTGTAATCTGCCCTCACTACAATGATCAATACTCTCAATAGCTCCAGCCCTATGGGGCCATTTTTCCCACTCTCCACAATTCTCTGACCTGCCTTGTGCTCTGGAAGGCTAATCTTCATAGCGTCTTCTTCAGGCTCCTTGACTCTGTGGCTTTAATTTGAAGTTTGTCATCTCATGACACTCTCAGGAAATTAGAATATACAAGAGACAGGTCAGAATTTTTATTCCCATGGTTTATTCTTTGTTAAGCATTTAGTTTGGCCATGATGGATTTCTTTATTTAAGACTACAGCTTCTGTAGGCCAACTGTATTCCCATGGGTACAGTGCCCACCATGTGCTGCTTTACAGCTCCCTTCCCTTGGCACTTCACATCTAGATGCAGTAACGGCTTTCTAGTGTTGCTAGTCCTTACATGCTTCCATAGCCATGTCCACCTCTTTCAGTAGCAGTCCATTTACTAATTTGCATTTAGTCATTTTTTTCTGAGTGTGCCATTTTTTTTTCCTTTTTAGGGGGGGCTGGAACCCTGGTAATATATCCTCCTCTGTGTTTTTTTTATTTTTTTTTTTAATTTCCATTACTAGCTTCTTAGATTTACACATTTATTGTGTACAACATTTATTGTTTATTTTTCCCCACTACAGTATGAGTGGTACATAAACAGTACCCCTGCCACCTATAACAGTGTCTAGCATATAGACATCTAGACACCTAAAATATTTGTTAAATGGATAATTGGAAAATTGCATTCAGAATTCCAACTTGGTATGCTAAGAACACATCCTATTTCATAGCTGATTTGACAAAAAGACCAGTAAGTCTTGTACTCTTTGCTGTTAGACTGTTGAAGCAGATATTATTTTGTATTCAAAACAATACTACCTACTTTTTGGTCAACAGAAGCAGCTCCAGCAGAGCAGATTGTGTTCACTAAAGCCGTGAAAGAATCTACTGGAGTTGTGTTGAAGGGGAAAATAGAGGTTTAGGATCCTCAGCTAGGGTAAATTCCCAGGTTGTCTTAATGATACTTTGAAAAGGGAAAGGATTTACATTTTTAATTGCCATACCTTCAGTTTTTAACTGTAACAACTTCAGTTTTAACTTAGCCCTTCATGTTTTACATCATAAGTATACCTCTTATTTCTATCCCCACTACCACATACTTAATAAAGAAAAGAAAACTAAATTAATTCATCAATAAAACCTGTATTCCACTTAGAAAAAAAGTGATTTATTTGGAACAAATACTTTGATCAATTTATTAAGTTAGCAATATTCATCATATAATGTATTGATTGTAAAAGGGCGCACAGCTTTAATCCCAAACTCCACGGGGCAAAGAAAGACATATGTTGTCATAGTAAGAAGGAACTTAGTTGCCAAGTGCCAACTGGGACACAGCAAAGAAAGAAAACACAATTGAAAGGAAGATAGAGAAGGAAACAAAAAAGACAACCTAATCGGTAAGTTTTTCTTTATGATCTTCATTGGGCACATCTTTTATAAATGTATGTCAAAACCCTTTTAGTAATGACAGCTTGCTTTAACTAACATGAGGCTATTTAATCATCAAATTTAGTTTCAATATTTATAAATTTCCATGCTTAAATGTGTTTAAAATGTAATAAAATATGCAATCTATATATGCAACTTACTATGTCATGAACCACTCCTCAGACTGAATGCTTAAACCTGTATGTCTGAAGGATTTCAAATTTGATATTACCATGTTATAGTTGCTGTTTTTCATTACAAATTGTGATGGTTAATTTTATGTGTCAACTTGTCTAGGCTATGTTGCCGAGATGTTTAGCCAAGCACCAGTCTAGAACTTGCTGTGAAGTAGTTTTTAGACATGATTAACAATTAAATCAGTAAAGCAGGTTGTCCTCCATAATGGCAGTGGGTTCCATTTAACCAGTTGAAAGCTTTAAGAGAAAAAGACTGGTGTCAACCAAGGAAGAAGAAATTATGGTCCAGACTGCGTGTAGCCTTAGGACTGCAATACCTGCTCTTCCCTGCGTCTCTAGACTACCAGCCTACTCCGCAAAATTCAGAATTCCCAGCACCCTAAATCGTATGAACTAAGACCTTAAAATCTCTCTCTCTGTGTATCTCTTCCTGTATCTCTCTCTCTCTCTCTCTCTCTCCCTCTCTCTCTCTGTTTTCTCTGGAGAACTGTGACAAATATGCTAACTTTTAAAACATAACTTACAAGTTTCTTTTAAAACTGGTTTCTCTGTATTTCCTGCAATTTCTTCTATTGTGCCTCTTGTTTTACATGCTGCAGCCAAGTTGTTGTTTTTTTTTTTTTTCCTTTCCATTTTCTAAAATGCATTGTACTCAATTCTACCTACAGGCTTTCTTAAAGCTCCTTTCTCTCTCAGGAGCATGCTTCACCTTACTGAACCCTGTTCCTGCTGTATTCAATGTACCACATATTTTAGCCTAATGAAAATATTCTCAGTGAAGTCTCCCAATCCTCCATGAAGAAGACTCCTTCCTCTGTCACAGAGTTCCATGGATTCTTAATATTTTCTTTATTGTACATATCACAGATTGTAATTTTAACAGGTTCTTACCAAATTTGAAAAACTTACTTTAAAGAGTTCACTTACTGTGAAACCTTTAATGCAGAAACAAAATGTTATAGTGTTGGGACTCAGAAAGTGACACCCCAAAGACTGGCACTTTGATATGCTGAGAGGCATTTGAAGATGCCTCAGAATCAAGGTTCCTCTAAATTTGTCTTGTCTCCCTCTCCCCAAGCACAAGAAGGGACTCTCTCTGGAATTTCCTTATCTGAGAAGCCTTTCCAAAAGAAATGCAATTGTCTTAAGAATCTCATCAAATAACCAGGAAGGATCAATTACCTGAGAAGAGAAGACACTAGGAGTTATTACCACATCCATATCGACTTTTCACCTGTTCTTCTGAGGGCGAGTCCAATAAATTACCTGGAGGTAATTATCTGCGGAATAAGGCAAGTTTTGTTTCTGTGCACTTCTGCACCTCAGCTTCCCAAAGATAATCATTTATTTGCTACTAGCCCTATCCATATCCCAGTTTCCCTTTTCCCCATGAAGAGGGTATTTAAGCCTTGATAATCAAGTCCCTCTCTGAGTTCTGTCTGAGTTCTTATTTTGTGTGACTCCAATGCACACATGTGCTTGTAACAAATTTATTATGCTTTTTCCTTGTTTACCTCTTTGTTTTTATTTAATGGTGTCAGCTGTGACCCTTTACAATGGGGAGGAACAGAATCATCCCCTTTTTGCCGGTACAGTTCTGTGGGTGAAGATGGAAAGATTGAGACACCTATTCATTCTGGAGCGTACAGATGAGGTACTGGGACCACTGACAAAAAGCCAACAAAGAAAGATAGAAATTTTTGCCAAGGTCTCTTCTCCTAGATCTCTGCATCTAGAACCTTGTAGAAAATGAAAGATAAACATTTCTCCTTATCTCTTTCTTTCCAAATTCACGTTAGCAGGAGAAAATAATTTGTTTGGATTGTGACTCTGGTGTAAATTTGGTTTTAGGATGTCCACTTATTTTTGAAATGCTCCCTTCCATAAACAGCTATTATTTTTCTGTGTGTCTTGTTTTGTATCCAGAGAACATAGCTTAGCTTGCCACCTGTTGAGGGTGCAGAAGGCCAACTGAAAAAGTTGGAGATTCCCATAAAACAATATAGTATTCTGATTGTTGCTAGCTCTTAAGCTGTTGTCTAAATCTTTCTTTCTTTTAGCTGTTTCTGAGTGCAGCTCTGGATCTTGTGAGTAGCACGTGTTTGCACCTTTTTGGAGATGACTCATGCATTCTTGGTTAATCAATAAACAGCATATGGATTCTGAGTCACTTAGTAGCTGCCTTTGGTTTTTTAAAAAGAAAGGAGGAAAAAAGTTCAAAAGCCAGAAGTATTGTCTGCTTGTCTCTGTTGACATTTGATAATAAGAGGTTTGAAAATGCCTTTTAATTTTAAGAGCTCTATGGTCAATAGTCAGTTTAATGTAGGCTGATATTCAGACTATATATATATATATATATATATATGTTTTTCTGTTCTATTTTCGATCATATTCCTCCAACGAGAACTTTTCATTTGCTGAATCTCTTTTTCTTGAACCCCTGCTAACTAGAACTTCATCGATCTTTTTGGGAAACTTAAGATCTTCCCAAAATGGCTCCTCTAAATTTGTCCTTCCATTTATTTCTGCCCCTCCTTGTGCCACATTCAATCTTCTACTCAGTTCCCTTCCGTCTTTGATCTCTTCCCCTTCGAGTCTCTACCTCCTCCATTTTGTGATCAATGGATAAAAATTTACTGAGAGAAAAACATCAGAGTTCTGGTTATACATAAAGGGATCTAAAAGACACTTTATGCGACTTTCTGAGGAACACAGCTAAGAGACCACTGACCCCCTTTTGGGTTCCCTGTCTTCCTTAAAGAGCCCCAGGAGTTCTAAGTGAATTTAAGCTATTTCTTGAGGGTCTTTGGTCTGAACTCAGTAATTCAGTTAAGAAATAGAAACAAAGTTAAAAAGCCACCTATCAAACTAAATTGGTTTCCAAAGTATAACTTTCTGATATTTAGCTGGCTATTTTTAAAGTCCTTGTAAAAGAAATTTACATCTATAAAGGAAATCTCCATTTGTAAGGACATATGTATGCACATATGTGTGCATATACATATTTTTATTTTGTATATATGTGTGCATATATATATATATACACACACACAGTCGTGTGCATATATATATATACACACACACAGTCGTGTGCTGTATAATGATGTTCCAGTCAATGATGAACCACATATACAACAGTAGTCCCATAAGATTATAATACTATATTTTACTGTACCTTTTTAATGTTTAAGTGTTTAAATACACAAATACCATTGTGTTACAATTGCCTGCAGTATTTAGTATGGCAACATGCTGTACAGATTTGTAGTCTTTAACTTATGTTTAGATGTGTAGTAGGCTATACCATCTATATTTGTGTAAATACACTGTATGTTGTTCACACAATGATGAAATCACCTGATACATTTCTCAGAATGTATGCCCATCTTTAAGCAAGGCATGAGTATATATTTGATTGCACACACCTATATCCTAAGAGTGAATTATGACAAAGGCATTGTAATAAAAAAATTATTTTCAGTAAGTAGAAAAGTGTCCTGATTCAACATATTTGTCTGGAACCTAATTTTCTAGTTTGAATACTGGGAAAATTTGAATGCAGTAAACCTGCTTATAAATACGGCGATTGGCCAGGTGCAGTGGCTCACACCTGTAATCCCAGCACTTCGGGAGGCCGAGGTGGGTGGATCACCTGAGGTCAGGAGTTTGAGACCAGCCTGGCCAACATGGTGAAACCCCGTATCTATCAAACATACAAAAAATTAGCTGGGCATGGTTGCAGGCACCTGCAATCCGAGCTACTCGGAGCTGAGGCAGGAGAATTGCTTGATCCCGGGAGGCGGAGGTTGCAGCGAGCCGAGATTGTGCCATTGCACTCCAGCTTGGAAAACAAGAGCGAAACTTCATGTTAAAATAAATAAATAAAGCGATTAACAATGAAACTTTTTAAAGTTTTACTTTTATTGTTGAGGACAATAATTTTTAAGGAATAAAATAATTTTAATAGAAGAACTAAAAGAAAGACATAAATTATGTTACTCTGAAGGTAGATTTGTATAGTAATTTCTATTTCAGAGTTGTGGGAATATATGAATTAGAAGCCAATAACACTTGCTCTTGTTTGAATGTGTCATCTCAAAAGCACGTGTTGGAAATTTAATCCGCAATGCGATAGTGTTGGAAAATGAGGTCTAATGGAACGTGTTTAGCCCATGAGAGTTCCACTTTTATGAACGGATAGGTGCTGATATCAAAAGGCTTGAGGCTGCCCGTCAATCCCTCATGTTTTCTCTCACCCTCTCACATTTCACTGTAGGATGACACAGTGAGAAGCCAGCACCTCAATATTGGACTTACCAGCCTCCAGAACTGTGAGAAATACATCTCTTTATAAATTATCCAGTCTGTGTTATTTTATATAGTAACATAAAATGGACTAAGACAACACTATTCACTTGTTGATCTTTGCATCAGGCCCTCATTGTATTCCTTTCAGGGGAAAAGAGTTAACAATGGAGAATGAATTGATTCACACGATTCAAAGATCAAAAACAGAAAGAGAAAGAACAACAGTTTTGAAGACAGGAGATTATGAAAAATATAAACTTGATTACCAAGCTTAATAGGTATACACCTATCTTAAAAAATATCCTCATAATAATGCAAGTGATTTTAACAAAATTTTTTACACAATATTTTTTAAATAGGAAGAGCCCGGTGTATCTGTTTAGCCATTGTCCCTTCTTATATTTAAACATGTTTACATTCTGTATTCTTTAAGAGAATATTCTGACACTAGTAAAGGAAAAATAAAAGTAAGTTTCTACTTTTGAGTATCAAATGGCTACATCTGAAGTGACATTTCAGGCTATTATCCTGAATCTGAGCAATGACTGGAAGCAAGTACCTGATGAGAGAAAACAATGCTTCCTTCGCTGCCCATCCTAAACCCAAAATTAAATAATACTGCTTTGGTGGGCTGGTGTAGGAAGACATTTTATGAGAGTTCAAATGTAAATACTTTCATGTTTGTTTTTTTTTTGTTTGTTTTTTGTTTTTTTTTAGAAAACAGCAAATCCCCTGTTTCCGGAATATTAAGCTCTGAGGTGTTTAGAAATGATAAAGAATTTGGAATTCTGAACACACGGGAAATGTGTGTCTTATTACCTAGGCAGAATCCAGCAAGTTGGTATAGCTATGGTTTAGAAAAAAATAACACTATATTGGCCGGGCACGGTGGCTCATGCCTGTAATCCCAGCACTTTGGAAGGCCAAGGCGGGCAGATCACAAGGTTAGGAGTTCAAGACCAGACTGGCCAAGATGGTGAAACCCCGTCTCTGTTAAAAATATAAAAAAATTAGCCCGGTGTGGTGGCAGGCACCTGTAGTCCCAGCCGCTCAGGAGGCTGAGGCAGAGAATTGCTTGAACCCGGGAGGCAGAGGTTGCAGTGAGCAGTGAGCTGAGATGGCATCACAGCATTCCAGCCTGGATGACAGTGTGAGACTCCGTCTCAAAAAAAAAAAAAAAAAAAAAAGAAGAAGAAAACTATGTCTATAAAGATTAGAAAATGATATAAATCCATGAGAAGAAAAACAATTAGAAAGGTAATGTATTGTTTCCTATTGCTGTTTTATAATCACCACCACAAACAACACAAACTTAGTGGCTTAAAATAATGCATTTATTATCTTATAATTCTCCAGATAAGAATCTAAAGTGGGTCTCACAGGGCTGAAATAAAGATGTTAACAAGGCTACATTGCTTTCTGGAGCCTGTAGTGGAAAACCCATCTTCTTGCCTCTTCCAGCATCTAGAGGCTCCCTTTATTCATTGGCTTTATAGCTCCTTTCCATTTTCAAAGCCAGCAGTGGCCACACAAGTATTTGTTAGATTCCATCACTCTGATTCTGACTCTTGTTTCCTCTTTCACATATAAGGAAAGAGTGACTAAATTGGCCACACACAGATAATGCATGAGAATCCTCCCACCTGGAGACTTCTAACTTGATCACAGTTGTAAAGTCTCTTTTACCATGTAAGGTAGCACATTTACAGGTTCCAGGGATTCGTATGTGGACACCTTGTGTGTTTGAGGGAGGGGGCATTTTCCTGTGAACCACATGCAAAGATGAAATTTTGATTATCTTCACATATAATAATTTGAATTTTAGAAAAAAAATTTAAAAACTCCATCTATGTCTCCAGCAACATTTCCAGTGGAAAAAAAAGCATTATAAAATAAATAGCATTGCTTTTCTCTGAAAGTTAATAAATAGATGATCAGAAGGCACTTCACCATTTTTTCACACAAGAAAAAAAGTCAAAATAGAGAGATTGCTTATCATGCACAGAATCTCATTAAAGCACGTCAGGAGAAGGAAAACCACCTCAGATGGATGAGTGATCTGAAATGCAGATGAGCAAATAAATTTATAAATATATGTGCAAATGTATTTGAACACTGCAGAACTACATGTGTAGAATGATTAAATAAATCTGTAAAAAGGGACTTAAAATACTAAGGATAATATGTAATTGGGAAATAAAGGTAAATTGTATTTTAAAATTTCTTCTATTATCTGACAGGAAGATCAAAGATAATCAAATTTTAAACTTAGATGAGTTAATTTGATACATTTTGTAATTTCTAAGGTAACCATTAAGAATTTTAAAAGCGTATAATTTATAATATGGTAGAGAGAAATATAATTATAAAAATAGTCAATTTAAAAATAACAAAAAGGAAAAAGAGATCTGATTGGACAAATAGTTTAAAATAAAATGTTTAAATCAAAAATAACTATACATTAATAATTATATTAACTGCGAAATGATTAAGGTAAAAGAGTATCTTTTTCTGCATAAAAATAGAAAATCTAATCTTTGCTATTTTTAAGGGACATATTTTAAATACAAAACACATAATGTTTGACTTAACAGAGCAGAAAATAATATTCTAATAGACAATTAGAGAAAACTGAAGTTGCTCTCAGATTTAACAAACGAGAATAGAATGCACTACTACAGATAAAGAGGATTCAACATATTGATAATAGGTTCAATTAATTTTGATACTTGAATTTGACAGTACTATTAGGAGAATATTGACAAATACACAGCCAAGAGAGACCTGAACATGCATCTCTTGGTTATCTATAGAGAACTTGAACAAAAGGTGAGAAAAGTTGAAAAAAAAGATATAGTTAAAATATTTGAATGTGATTAACAAATATGATCCCTAGACATGCACAAAATATTGTTCTTAAAAGTTGCATAGTACAAATTATTTTAGCACTCAAAATATTTTCAAAAAGTGGTTGATATATTGGGTTATAACCAAAATCTACACATTTCAAAATATTTAAGTAACATTAGAATATTCCATTTCCTTAATGTAAATAAGAATCATTCATAAAAGGTAATTATAAAATTCTCACATAATTTAGAATTTAAAAGCACCCTTTTAAATATCTCATGTTGAAAATCTTAAGGAAAATTACGTAGCATTTTGGACATATATGGGGATTTTGAGACAATTGTGATAAAATTAATTGTTTAAAGTTATAGCTCACATGAAAACATTAGAAAAAAAGATTAAAAGTTAGTCAATTCAGTACTCTTTTCAAAAATGCAACCTATTCAGGTTTGCAGAGTAGGATATTACCCAAGATATAGCAACATAGATTATAAATAAACAGACAATTTCTGGAGCAAAATAACATATTAAAACATATAAGAAAAAAAAATCTCAATTGCTCTGAAATGACTAAAGAAATTAAGAGAATTTTCATATAAAAAATTAAGAATATTATGAATAAATAAACAATTCATGGAAAGGTATAATTTTACAAAACTTGCATAGGAAGAAACAAATCATAATTTTAGATGTGGCTGTAGGACATGTTGCCAGTCCTAAAGATTTTGATGTACCAGCCTGTCTTTATCTCAAAATCCCTTTAAGTCTGTCTCTTTCACACCCTGCATTGTCTATGAAGTAGTTATGAATGTCAAAGAGTGTGTGAAGTCTTACATTCCTCGAGAAACCCACACTCCAAAGGGAAATATGAAAACATTGAGAAACAGTAAGGACCTAGGTGTTGCTACTTAGAAAACTAGATTACCTGCCCCAGTCCCCAACAGGAGGGACATAACCTGGAATTTCTCCCCTCCTTTAATGCAGTCCCAATATCTTCAAGAAAATCTTCTTATTATTCTGTACTTCATTTTTCACTTTTTGAAAAATATCCTAGAGGAGCTGCTGCACTACTTACATTTCCACATTTTTTTTAACCTCCTTTATTCATATCCTAAATGTCTTAACTTCATCTGTTAGTGCTCCCTGGCTGAAGACACTGCAGCTTATGTTCAACAGTGCTTTTCCTCATAAATCAAAGGCAAAATACACAAAGAATAACAATTTCTTTTGATTATAATTGGACAAACACTTAATATTCATCTCTTTGCTTTTACCTAATACTTTTGTCACAACTGTCAGCGTTATTCTTTAACAAAATACTCAAAGAGAATTGGGATACTTCAAATTCTTATTAATTTTTAAATAAATTAATATAATGTTAATTTTTATTATCATTTATAGAACTTATAAAATTTGCATAACAAAATTAATACTAAATTAATAATGAAAATAATAAAATTTACTAGTAATTATGTTATTCTAATTTTATGCTCTAAATCTTCAAAGAACATATCAAATTCTATAGAACTGACAAAAAAGTGAATTTCTATTGATGTATCAACTACTTTATTAAATATGCAAACGCTGTAAACAGCATTGAAGAGTATATATTTATTTATTTGAATGTTAATACATTGTGTGAAGGCAAAAAAGAAAGTTGTGTTTCAATAATGATTAGGTGAACTGATGATACATGTTAAAATGTAAGTTAAAATGAACTCAACTATATAATCTTTTACTTAGGGAACTCACCATTGACTATCATATGCTTAATTTTAGCACTTTGTTTAAAAGAGCTTGTTATCAAAATTTGCAAGCCAATGGGTTCACAATATCCAAAATATTTTATTACAGAATGAGTTTATTTATATGTTTTATTCTAAAATATTTATTATTTTAGCTTTAATCTTCAGGTTTATAAAACACTTTTCATTAATTTGGGGTGTATTCTGGTAGGACTCAAGGTTAATTCTTCCTTATACTTAATCAGTTGTTTCAGAACAAATTGTAGACTTTGTTCTTAATGTTGAAATTTCTGTGAGGGGTCTTTGTAAAAAATCAATTTGCTTTATGTGGGTAGATATATTTCTGAATTATCTACTGAGCTCTATTTATCAGTTTGCCACTCCTCATGACAATTTTATAGTCAGTTTTGAAAACTTTTAGTGTGAATCTTGAATATTTTATTTCTTAACAATATTATTTTGTCTCATAGGTCTTCTGCATTTCCATATAAAATTTAAAATTTTGATTTATTTTAACAAAAGATCTATTAGAATTTTGACTGGGATTTTTCTGACTCAAAATTGGAGAAAATATTGAATCTCACTTTTGTTTAATATGTTGTTCTAAAATCAGTTCTTATATTGCACTATATTCATAACCCATTGTTCATATAAACACTTCCTTGTATGAAATGCATCATTTTTTTTTGGCTAAGGTTTTCCCTTTATCTTGTCTTTTGCATTGTTCTTTGCAATTAAGCCTCCTTGTAATTTACTAGGATCTTGTAAGTTGATATCTTTTATAGATTTGAAAAATTCTCAAGCATTATTTCTTCAAATATTTTTCTGCCCCATTATTTCTCTCCTATCCTTCTGAGGAACTCTAATCTTATGTGTATTAGGCCACTTGCTGTCTGTCTCACAGCCACTGAGACTCGTTTTATTATTTCCAATATCTTTTACCCTCTGTTGCTCAGTTAGGGTAATTTTTATTCATCTACCTTGAAGTTCACTGACTGTTCTGACATTTTTCCATCTTCTCTGAAGCGTATCGATCAAAGATGGTGTTTTTGTTGTTGGTTTGTTTTTATTTTTTCAACTTGGTCAAGGTATAATAAATTGTATCTATTTAACATTACAATGTGATAAGTTTGTACATAAGCATAAAATTGTGTAATCATCACCAAAATCAAGATAAGCAACATTTCCATCTTCCTCAGAAGTTTTCTTATGTCATTGTATTAGTCTGTTCTCATACTGCTATGAAGGAATACCTGAGTGTGAGTAATTTATAAAGAAAAGAGGTTTAAGTGACTTGCAGGTCCAGATGGCTGGGGAGGCCTCAGGAAATTACAATCATGGCAAAAGGCACCTCTTCACAGAGTGGCAGAGGAGAGAATGAGAGTAAGTAGAGGAAATGCCAGATTCTTATAAAACCATCAGATTTTGTGAGACTGACTCATTATTACCAGAACAGCGTATGAGAAACTGCAGCTATGATTCAATTACCTCCACTTGGTCCCACCCTTGACACTTGGGGATTATGGGGATTACAATTCAGGGTGAGATTTGGGTGGAGACACAGAATCAAATCATATCATTCTGCCCCTAGCCCCTCTAAAATCTCATGTCCTCAAATTTTAAAACATAATCATGCCCTTCCAACAGTTCCCCAAGTCTTGTATCATTCTAGTATTAACCCAAAAGTCCAAGTCCAAAGTCTTATCTGAGACAAGGCAAATCCCTTCCATCTATGAGCCTGTAAAATCAAAAGTAAGTTAATTACTTCCTAGATACAATGGGGTACAGGCATTGGGTAAATACACCCATTCCAAGTGGAAGAAATTGGCTAAAACAAAGGGACTACAGGCCCCATGCAAGTCCAAAATCCAATAGGGCAGTCATTAAACCTTAAAGTTTCAAAATGATCTCCTTTGATTCCATGTCTCACATCCATATCACACTGATGCAAGAGGTGGGTTCCCGCAGACTTATGCACCTCCACCCCTGTGGCTTTGCAGAACAAAGACTCACTTCCAGCTACTTTCACAGGCTGGAAATGAGACTCTGCAGCTTTTCCAGAACACATGGTGCAAGCTGTCAGAGGATCTACAATTCTGGGGTCTGGAGAGTGGTGCCCCTCTTCACACAGCTCCACTAGGCAGTGCCCAGTGGGGACTCTTTGTTGAGGCTCCAACACCACATTTCCCTTCCACACTGCCCTAGCAGATGGTCTCCATGAGGGCTCCTCCCCTCTGCCTGGACATCCAGGCATTTCCATACATCCTCTGAAATCTAGGCAGATGTTCCCCAACCACAATTTTTGAATTCTCTGTACCTGCAGGCCCAACACCACGTAGAAGCTTCCAAGGCTTGGGGCTGGAGTTGCACCCTCTGAAGCAATGGCCTGAGCTGTACCTTGGCCCAATTTAGCTTCAGCTGGGATGCAGGACACCAAGCCCTGATACTGCACAAAGCAGCAAGGCCCAGGGGCCCACCCACAAAACCATTTTTTCCTCCTAGGTCTCTGTGCCTGTGATGGGAGGGGCTCCTGTGAAGACTTCTGACATGCCCTGGAGACATTTTCCCCATATTCTTGGTGATCAGCATTTGGCTCCTTGTTGCTTATGCAAATTTCTGCAGCCAGATTGAATTTCTCCTCAGAAAACTTTTTTCTATAGAATCATTAGACTGCAAATTTTCCAAACTTTTATGCTCTGCTTCCTTTTTAAACATAAGTTTCAATTCCAAATCATCTATTTGTGAATGAATAAAACTGAACACTTTTAAGAGCACCCAAGTAACCTCTTGAAAGCTTTACTGCTTAGAAATTTCTTCCACCAGATATGCTAAATCATCTCTCTCAAGTTCAAAGTTCCACAGATTGCTAGAGCAGGTGCAAAATGCCACCAGTCTCTTTGTGAAAGCATAGCAAGAGTCACTTTTATTCCAGCTTCCAACAAGTTTCTCATCTCCATCTGCGACCACATCAGTCTGGACTTCATTGTTCATATCACTAGTAGCATTTTGGGCAAAGACATTCAAGTCTCTAGGAAATTCCAAACTTTCCCACATCTTTCTGTCTTTTTCTGAGCCGTTCAAACTGTTCCAACCTCTGCCTCTTACCCAGTTCTAAAGTTGCTTGCACATTTTGGGGTACCTTTATAGTAGCAGCCCACTCCTGGCACCAATTTACTGTATTAATCTGTTCTCACACTGCTATGAAGAAATAGCCAATACTGGGTAATTTATAAAGAAAAGATGTTTAATTGAATCAAAGTTTCATATGGTTGGGGAAGCCTCAGGAAACTTACAATCATAGTGGAAGGCACCTTGTCACAGGATGTTAGGAGAGAGAATTAGCATAACCACGGGAAATGCCAGACACTTATAAAACCATCAGATCTCCTGAGACTCACTCATTACCATGAGAACAGCATGGAGGAAACTACTCCCATGATTCAATTACCTCCACCTGGTCCTGCCCTTGACACATGGGGATTATGGGGATGACAAATCAAGGTGGGATTTCAATGGGGACACAGAGCCAAAACATTTCAGTCATGTTGTAACCCATTCTTCTCTCCACTCTTATTCAGGAAAACACTGATGTGATTTTGGTCACTCTGAATTAGTTTTCATTTCCATGAGTTTTATATGAATGGAATCATGCAGTATGTATTTTTTTGGGGGAGGTCTGATTTATTTTACTCAACACAGTGATTTTTGAGAATCATACATTCTGTTGTCTGTATCAACAGATAATTCCTTTTAATTGCTGAAAATATTGCATCTTAATGATATAGCACAATTTGCTTATTCACTCACCTGCTAACGGATTTTAAAATTTTTTCCAATTTAGGACTCTTTCAGATAAAGCATCTCTGAAGATTTGTTTACAAATCTGTATGTAAATGAACTTTAATTTCTCTTTATTGTATATCTAGGAGTGGAAATGCTGAGTTGTATTTAACTTTTCAAAGAAAAACCTGACAAATTATTTTCTAAAAGTTGTACCAATTATTAACTTCTTATGAATATTAAATAAGAGTTTTAATTATTTCAAAACCTTGCTAACACTTAGCAGGATTAGTCTCTTTAATTTTCATTTCAGCTTTACAGTTTTTTTGTTTTAGGATTTGTATTTTATTTCTTTTCATAATTTTCATTTCTTTGCAAATATTACCATTTGTTCCACTCATTGTGTCAATATTTTTAGGTTCTTGAGCACATTTGAAATAGTTGTTTTAAAGTATTTATCTGCTAATCCCATCTAGTTCATTGCTAGTAACTTTTATTGTATAATCGATATTGTGAATGATTGCAAGGTGTCTGATACTGAGTTTTCTTCTGACAAACAGTCACATCGCTACTTTAACTTCTTGATCCCCCCCACCAAGAA
The DNA here is from genome assembly GCF_000001405.40 of Homo sapiens. Taxonomy (NCBI): domain Eukaryota; kingdom Metazoa; phylum Chordata; class Mammalia; order Primates; family Hominidae; genus Homo; species Homo sapiens. The sequence goes on from NC_000002.12 coordinate 185,266,938, forward strand.
GCTTGAATTCTTTGTTAAAGCTTTTGCCCTTTGTTGTAGATAATGGCAAAGTTTAGGAAGCACCTCAAATCGTGATCTGAGATATTAATTGAATGACTAAGTTGCTTAGTGAGAGATCTGTCCACGCTGACTGGACTACAATTCCGATGTCTTTCAACCTTGCACAACCTATGGAATCTCTGCTCAACTACTAGCCTCAAAGAAAACACTCTTTTCTAGGATTCTTGGAGCTTTTCTATGTGCATTTTCTTCCCAGGCCTTGGCCCAGGATATGCAGGACCCAACATGAAGACTCCTGGAAACTTTTTGCTTTACATCTATCTCCTTTCTAGTATCCTGAGCAGCCGCTTCAACCTGAAGTTCTGGTTTGTGCTCGCCCATATCAGTGAGTCTGCCAAACACTGCTTGGGCTCCAACTCCCTGCTCTGTTTCTGGAAAGTGCGCAGAAACCTGAGGTGAATATGGAGCTCATTTTTCTCTTTCTTTTTCTCAAGTATCACCTTCTTAACCTGCCTGAATACAAATGCTTAAAAATACTTGCTTCATATATGTTGTCCTGTGTTAAACTTGGTTATTTTGAGAGAACACATCCAAATACAGTTATTAATTACAGTTATTTCATTATGGCAGGACACAGAAATCCCTGAGCCATTGTCTTTCAAAGATTTCTCTACTGAGTTATTTCTATTTTCTCTCTGTGGAACTCCCATTACATATGTGATAGATGTTTACACTCTATCCTCTATGTCACAAAGGCCTGCATATGTACGCATACACATATATAAAAATTCAGGTATATATTCATATATGTATTCAATATTTGATGCCTCTGTTGCATTCTGCACAATTTCATCAAATCTATTTTCAAATCTTTGATACTATTTTTATCTACTCCTTAATTAATTTATTAGAATTTTACTCCTTATATTTCCATGAGTATATCTTCTATTTCTAAAATTACTATTTGACTCTTGTTTAAATAGGTTATAATTCTGTTCACTCACCTTAAAATACTAACTTTCCTTTTATATTTTTGAGAATTTAAAATTATTTGTTGTTTATACCTTTCAAATTTCTCAGTTATCTATAGTTCCATGTTGCAAAAATTGAAATAGATGTTTACATTTTTTGTCGTATGATGCTGCACAACATCCACTTACAGATTTCCAGTAAAAAATAAGATAAGTCTTTACTCTTAGTAATTCATGGACTATAGTTGTGTATTTGGAAATCATTACCCCATAAATAACAGTTTAAATTATCAATTAGATGAGTTTGTCAGGAGTGACTTTAAAAATGTTTAGCTTTCATTTTATTCTTTTTTACTGTGAAGCAAAAATGGGGCTAAAATCAAACCCTAAAAGATAATGATCATTCCAGGGATAGACTAATAATAAACAGCTTACAAAGAAGTTGAACAAAAAACGTTCAGAAGGAAAGAATAGATTTAAGTTGAATGAAATATGAAGGGCAATAAATTTAGATATTTCATTAAAGAAATTTGGCTATGAAATAGAGATATTGAGTTGTGGTATCAGGATAATAAAAATAACCCTGAAAAAATTAAATTAAGATTATAATTTTAATGCATATTTTCCAGTTATATTATCACAAAACTACATGAATAGCTACATTTGTATTCCCTTTTCAGCAAAAGTATCAGAGTCATGAAAATATTTGTGTTGTTCTTGAGTTGACACTCTCTAAAAAAAAAAACAGTTTTCTTTCTTCAAACCACATTATATTTCTTGTTCTAGGTTTCTTTCTTTTGTTTTTTCTTTCCATCCTTCCTCACTTCCTCCTACAGCTCCTGTTTTTCTCTCGCCTTCCTTCTTCCCTTACTTCCTTCTTTCCTTCCTTTTCTTTCTTTCCTTCTTTCTCTTTTTTCCTTCATTCCTTCTTCCTTCCTTTTCTTTTTTCTTTCTCCTCTCTCCCTCCTTCCCTCCCTCCCTCCTTCCTTCCTTCTTTCTTCCTTCCTTCCTTCCTTGCTTCCTTCCTTCCTTCTCTCTCTCTCTTTCTTTTGACGTCTTCATTACTTCACATAGTTACCTTTGCTTGTGTGTGCGATGAGAATATGTAAGATTTACTTTAAGTCTTTTTTTGAAAAAAAAAAAAAAAGCCTATGGAAGTCCTTTGCTCATTTAATAATCAAGTTGTTTTCTTGCTATTGAGTTGAATTCCCTATACATTTTGAATTTTAACTCTATCGGACATATGGTTTACAATATTTTTTTCTATTTTTGTAGGTTGCCTCTTTATTCAGTTGTTTCCTTGTTGTGTAGAAGTTTTGTGTCTTTTTTTTTAAGTGTAATTCAATTTGTCTATTTTTGCTTTTGTTGCTTATGCTTTTTGGACTATACCCCAAAACAATGATGAGACCGATGTCACAGAGATATTGCCTATATATTTCTAGTCATTTTATAATTTCAGATATTATGTCTTACATTTAAGGCATTAATCTACTTTGAGTTGATCTTTGTAAATTATATGATGTATTTGTCCAATGTTATTCTTCTGTATGTGCATATCCAGTTTGCCCAACATTATTTATTAAAGAAATTATTCTTTTCCTATTATGTACAAGTAAATATTGTATTCTATCAGAGAATGAGAATTTAACAACTTAACAACTTAATACAGTAGATGCATTGAACTTTCAGAATAATATACTGAATTTGATTTAAAAGGAGAGTTGATAGTCCGTTTCTCTTATCTGTTGGAATTATATTTTAAAGTTGAAAAAGCATGGGTTTATAAAATACTCCACATGATCTTTTTAACTTGATAGTAAAATGTTAAAATTTTCTCAGATAGGGCAAATACTGCAAATTAAGCACAAGAAATGTGTTTAAAAGTGGCTAGATGAGTATATTTTCTACTCCAGAGAATAAATAAATTCATATAGAGCTATATTATTTCTGTAAATATATATTACCATAACATTTAATTATTTTACATAAATTAAGAAGGAAATGTAATAAGCCTAATGTGCAAAATTTGCATTATGTCTCATTTTTCAAAATCAATTTTTGGTTTTGATTTCCTATGTTAATCATACATTGTCTGAGTTAAGATTTCTTCTTTTATTATTTTGATGAATTACCTTGGTTAGATTATCCATTCAAAGTTATATAGGATATTATTTGACAATGAAATTTATTGATTGGTAAAGTACTGAATGGCCTTTCAAAAATTATATTTTCTATTGTTTAACTAAATTATAAAAATATGAATGAATGTATAATGATAAAAATGTGTATATATACCATTTGGAGGGCAAATAATATTTTGTGAAATCATATTCTATATCTTTATTATAAGTAATAAAGAAGTGAAATTTTAATTCCCAATTTTATTTCCCTCCTATGGCTGAAAGGCATTTTATTTTACTTTTTTATTTATTAAATTTTATTCCCCTGTATGTGATTTTTAATATGAATTATACAGTGCAATATCACTTTTTGTTTTCCTTTTCCTTTTATTTTTTTTAAGATAGAATCTCACTGTGTCACCCAGGCTGTAGGGCAGTGGCATGATCTCAGCTGACCTGAGTTTATACCAAAACAAAGCAAAAGAAAATTAAAAAGTACTATTTGCTAAGTGAATAAAAGGTAAGTTTATCACATTAGAAAACTAGAACAACATAACAATAAAATGTTTTAAGGAACCTTACTATATTTCATATTTATTTGCCAGAACTTTATTAAAGTATATCATATAACAGGTATGATAGAGTGTAGATCTATGAACAAATTAACACATTGGATTTAAAATCTAGTAAAGATTACTTCTGTGCAGTCTGATCCTGCTGTGTTCAACAGGATATTGATTTCTTATTTCTATCCCAAGTTCAGCTGGGGCTGTTCACTGGCGAAATTTATAAAGAAACAACTGAAGAACATTTAACAGGTCTTTTATCAGAAGTATAATTGCTGTACAGAAGCGCTTTAGTTTAATTAGATCCCAATTAACAATTTTGGCTTTTGTTGCAGTTGCTTTTGGCAATTTCATCATGAAGTCTTTGCCCAGGCTTATGCCCTGAATGGTGTGTGATGGTTAATACTGAGTATTGATTGGATTGAGGGATACATAGTATTAATCCTGGGTGTGTCTGTGTGAGTGTTGCCAAAAGAGATTAACATTTGAGTCAGTGGGCAGGGAAAGGCAGATCCACCCTCAGTCTGGTGGGCACAATCTAATCAGCTTCCTGTGAATATAAAGCAGGCAGAAAAACATGAAAAAGGGAGGCGGACCTAGCCTCCCAGCCTACATCTTTCTCCCATGCTGGATGCTTCCTGCCCTCAACATCAGACTCCAAGTTCTTCAATTTTGCAACTCATGTTGGCTCCCCTTGCTCCTCAGCTTGCAGACAGCATATTGTGAGACCTTGAGATCATGTAAGTTAATACTTAATAAACTAATAGGATATATATATATATATATATATATATATATATATATATATATATAAACTAATAGGTCTCTCCTTCTAAGAGAACCCTGACTAATACACCCATGTTTCCTTCTAGTTTTTTATGGTTTTGGATTTTACATTTAGGTCTTTAATCCATATTGAGTTAATTTTTGTATAAGGTGTAAGGAAGGGGTCCAGTTTCAGTTTTCTTCATATGACTAGCCAGTTTTTCCAGCACCATTTATTGAATAGGAGATCCTTTCCCCATTGCTTGTTTTGTCAGGTTTGTTGATCAGAAACTATCGTCAGAGTGAGCAAGCAACCTACAGAATTGGAGAAAATTTTTGCAATCTACCCATCTGACAAAGGTCTAATATGCAGAATTTACAAGGACCTTAAACAAATTTACAAGAAAAAAACAAACAGCCCCATCAAAAAACGCGCAAATGATATAAACAGACACTTCTCTAAAGAAGACATTTACATGGCCAACAAACATATAAAAAAAAAGCTCCACATCATTAATCATTAGAGAAATGCAAATCAAAACCATCTCATTCCAGTCAGGATGATGATTATTAAAAAGTCAAGAAACAACAGATGCTGGCAAGGCTGTGGAAAAATAGGAAGGCTTTTACACTGTTGGTATGAATGTAAATTAGTTCAACCATTGTGGAAGACAGTGTGGCAATTCCTCATGGATCTAGAACCAGAACTACCATTTGACCCAGCAATCCCATTACTGGGTATATACCCAAAGGAATATTAATCATTCCACTATAAAGACACATGCCCACATATGTTTATTGCAGCAGTATTTACAATAACAAAGTCATGGAACCAACCTAAATGCTTATCAATGATAGACTGGATAAAGAAAAATGTGGTACATATACACCATGGAATACTATCAACCATAAAAATGAATGAGATCATGCCCTTTACAGAGACATGGATGAAGCTGGAAGCTGTCATCCTCAGCAAACTAACACAGGAGCAGAAAACCAAACACTGCATGTTCTCACTTATAAGTAGAGTTGTCAATGAGAACACGTGAGCACAGGGAGAGGAACAACACAGACCAGGGCCTGTTGTGGGGTGGAGGAGAGGAGAGAGAACTTAGAGGATAGATCAATAGGTGCAACCAACCACCATGGCACACGTATACCTATGTAACAAATGTGCATGTTCTGCATATGTATCCCAGAATTTAAGGAAAATTAAGAAAAATAAAAAGAAGCATAATTGAAAGCAAGCATGGTCCCAGGAAGGAAGTGGTATACTGTGGAATTAGGGAATAGAGGACAACATGTAAAGAAAATAGTAGATAATCATGAAAATCATGACAATAATCTGAAATATTTGAAGCCATTAGAGACTAGAAAGCTGAATTTAAAAAAAAAATAAGGAAAGATAGAAATGGAAAGGAAAGAAAGTAGGTAGCAAGCTGTGGCTCTGCTAAAAATTGAGCCAAATATTGTATGTAATTCCTCTATTTTTTTCTTGCCATTGTTCATTTTTATTTTAGATTTACCATATATCATGAGTGGGTAAAAACAAATTTAACTCTGTCAAATTTCTATGTAACTGGGTAGCTATGACAATCAGTAGTGCTCACCAAATAGTTTTTTTTTTTTTTTTTTGGATTTGGATTTCTCAGACCACCACTTGATTAGGCAGAGACACTTGACTAGTTCTGACTAGTGTCCTGGAGTCTAAACCCTTCCAAATTGATGCAGAAAAAGCATCAAGTATGGTTTTTCAGCCACCTTTTTCTGCTGCAAATACTAAGGAAGTTGTATGTTCCAATGTTCCAATGCAAAAATGTAATGTATATTGCAGTAATAAAATGGGTAAAGCCTATGTCACTCTGATCCCTGAGTAACTGTGGGTAGCAGAACCCATGCAAACCATAAGAAGGAATTTTGTTTTTTGGTAACAAGTCATAGAAAGTTTTTGTAAAAAAATAACCGGCATCACTTAGCATATCATGACTAAACATCACACCTATCCTAATCATACCATCTCTTTAGGATAGTTTTATAACTATTCATCTTTTCATTTATTCTAATATAATTTCTCTCCTGTCCTTTAATTTAAACCTCTCTATCAAAGGTCATTGATTACTTCTTAATAGTCTTCTCTGTTTTATTTGAATTGTTGATTCCTCTTCTGGAAATTTTTTTCTGTTTATATTCATAATGTTTTAATTCCTAGTTCTTTCTTACTTGTTAAACATCTATTGAGTACTCAAACCCTTGAAAGCCTTTCTGGGACATTATCGGCTAGTGAGAGAAGTAGACATGTATGAAAATACAATTGTTTTTCAACTGTGAAACATCATCCCTTTTGGTTATATTACAGTGAAAGAGAAAAATATCAACATTGGATTTGAATATGATAATGAACCTGATAAATTTACATACATGTTTCTTCCCTCAACCTCACATAGGCAAATAAAAAGAATGCATTCTAAATTTTTATTGGTCATTCGTTCTCTACACTTTCCAAATCATTCTTTTTGTATCAAAATGCTCATGGCTTGTTTTGGAAAATAGCAATTGCCTTTAATATGTCACCTTGTGCTGAAGCATTCATAATGTAAGCCTTATTTAAAATTAATAAGGACTTTTCCTTATTCTGTAAACATAGAAATTCTAATCACTTTACAACGAAAAAGGCAAAGGAATTACACACAGCATTTGTGTCTGCACGTAGACATGTGCATTCCACAGAGAAAGTAGGCTCAGATAAGAGGTTTAGTGCTCGGGTTAGTTTTAAGCATGTTGAGTGTATAGTCTATAGTGCCAATTGACTTACATGTGGAATTAAATAGGGCAAGCTTGGAGGTGCCACTTCAGCTGAGTGCAATCCATAGGGCTTTCCATTGTTGGGAACTAAAATTTGCACAATGTAATGTAGCTGGGAAAATAGAGATATAACCTGTGGTTAATTAAACACATGTGGTAACAATACTTTTTTCTTTAGCCATATACAGTCATATTAACATATGAAGAAACAGTTGTGAGTGAAACTATCCTGGTATCATTCTTCAGTTAAGTATGAGATACAACTCTTGCAGAATTCCAAGAAATACTAACACAAATAAAAGAAAGAAATAAAAACAATAAAATTGTGATACAAAATTTTATCAAAGAGGTTGAAAGAATACCTGAAGTTCCTAGGAAAGGGACCAATGAAGGAGAAAGTGATTAACATAATCACTTCTTTACAAGAAGTAAAGCAGAAGCACTGTAGTTTGTCCACTGTAGTTATTATAAGGAGCCATTGATTGGCAACCTTACCAAAGAGATCAAGGAGAAGAGAGAGAGCTAAGGCCAAATAGTATGAGTTAAAAAAATAAAAATAAATGAAGACAGTGAATAATATGTAATCTTTCAAGAAAGGTGGCTGTGAAACAGTAGGTAGAGATAGGCCTACACATGTTTGGCGGGGGTAGATATGAGGCATCATTTATTTCTGTATTTAAGATGGCAGATCCTTAATAATCTTAAAAGGTGTTAGAAATGAATCATAATAGGAGTGATTGAATACACAGGCGAGAGTGAGACAAATGAGAGAAAGTCCCCTGAAGTCACTTTATAGCTTTCCTTTCTTTCACTCTTATATATGCTTATTGTGAATTTTAGTCTTCAGTCTTAACCCTCCCAAGAGAGTTCATAGAGCGTAGTGCTTAACAATCACCTCTCTGAGACTGATCCTAAAATCCCATCTCTAGCTGTAATCCCTCTACTTTAAATTTCAATCCTGGATCTCTAATTGCCTGCTGGGCATTTCCATTTTAAATTCAACATATCTAAAAACTAACTCTTCATTCTTCTGAAAAATCAACTTTGCCTCTTGACTCCTTTGTAATTTGTGGTCTGACAGCTTTTCTCTGACTATTCCCACTTCCTTATTCGTTTATATTCAAATACTGTGTCTACCCTTAACCATACAGTGTTTGATTAATCACAAACCTCACAGAATGTTTCCTTATCTGTTTGGACTACATGACCTTTAAGTTCTCTCCCAAAACTAATTTTGCTTCATTCTAGAAGCTGCCATTAATATGAAGCTCACTTGCACTGCAGTAAAGATTGTCTAACTTCATAGACCTACTTTATGAATGGAAAAAGGTAATTAAACTGACAATTGCTTTCTCCCCAAGGGAACTTAAAAAACAATTTTCATTTTTTTAAAAAAATTTAGGTCTTCTAACTTCATCATGTATGGTAGTATACATATATATTACATTTTATATAACTAAAATATCTATTTAAGAATTTGTTTTTTCCAAAAAAAAATCACCAATAATTTAGCCAGGTTAGGTCAGAGAATATTCAGCAAATCATGAATGAGTTCCCTCAAGGATGATTTTCTGGTGGGAATAATTCATTTGATAAAATACTCAAAAGAGCAATTAAGTAGCTGTAAGGAGACCCCCTGAAACTATTGCTATGGAATAAAAGATGAAAGGCTCCTGATTATTGTAAATACAAAATTGCATGCAGGATTGTGTAAAGACAATGCCAGACTGGGCTGCCAGAATGAGCCAACAGCATGTGATGTGCTTCCCTCTGCAGAGAGCCTATGAATGGACATGAAGTCAGGGAGGTTTCACATCACCAAGATTCCTATCCCAGAAAAGCAGATGGTCATAGCTCTGGGAATGGAATGTGACCCTTGTGGAGAACCTATAAAAGGATGCATGAGGGGCGCCTGTCCATATGGACAAGATAGGGCTATAAATGCCCTCATCTTGCCACGGCTCTTCTAGGCCTCTTTAGGGTTAAGGCATAGTCCCTTCTGAGAATTTCTGGTCTAACCGGTTGTCCAGCTTCATGTCCTGTTTCTATTGATTGTTTGCTGCAACTGTTACTGCTGATTAATATCTTACTAATCATAGGTTATGGAAAGACTGTGTTTCTGTTTTAAGGCTCTGTTAGAAATTGCTGATGCACACACTATATTGTAAATTCTTATCTCTGTATACTGTACTTCTGCATACCAATATTATGTTAAAGAATTACTTCATCCCCATGTGACCATCTCACCTCATAATCAAATGACCCTAAATCCCTCACTAACCTACCCCCGCCCTCACTAAACTTAATAATAAATGCTGGTGTATCCAGTGCATTGGCGGCATTGCAGGACCAGAAGGAGGTGACTCCCCTGGACCCAGCTTTCACTATCTTGTGTGTGTCTATTATTTCTCGACCTGCCAATCTGCCTGGAAACAAAGAAAGAGCCCCGTTGCATTGTGGGCTGCTGGCCAAATCCCGCAATAAATATCAATATATTGAAATTAAAAAGTTAGTTGAGATTATGTCTAAAAATACTTCAAAGCTACTTTCATTTAATTAAAGAAAGACAGTATGTCTCATTATTGTGGTGATTGGGTAAGATGTACCTTGGCCTTCTCAGTTCATTCTAAAGATCTGTCAGTTACCTAAGACCCAGTGCTAAATATTCAGTTGCCAGCAATTTGAAAAAATATATAACATACATGCTTTTCATGAACTCATAATTAATTCTTTTGGGAACGTCAGTCAAAAATTACTAATTTTTATTTATTCTTGCATTTATTCATCCATTTACTGACCTAACTATACAGCATATATTCTTATTCATAAAATATATTCAGGTAGAATGTTTGATATAATAAGCTATCAATATATTTTCTAAGTTTTCTTTGAGGAGCAAAATAATATACGCAATGTTTTCTCAAAAGTTCTAAAAATAGTATACATTTACATAATTTTATGCATATATACTTTTTAATGAAATAAGGAAGCTTTTAATGAGTTTTTTATACTGCATCACACATTTCTCTAAGCAAGAGGGACAAAATTATAAGGAACTATTTTCTTGCCCTCATTGAGCTTATGTTTTGGTCACATGAGACAGAGCTATAAATATGTGAAGTAATTAATATATAAATAAATAAGATTCTGTAATATGTGAAGTGCATTTTACGTATGAACACACCATATGTAATAATTGCATATAATAGTCTGTCCATACACAATACTATTTTTTACAGTATAGAGAGCAATAAAGAGTCTTTGGTCTTTCCTCCAAAAGCCATTAAGTATTTGGAAGTATTAAATTATCTGGCTGAAAAACCACAAATAACAGTTTGTCTCACATAACAAGAACCATAGTTACGTTGCTGCTTTTCTTGTATCAGTGGCCCAATAAAGTCAGGACCAGGATACTGAAAGTTTCTAGCTATAAAAGTGAGGAAAATGAGTATTTAGCTTTTACGAATTAAAAAAATAAAAGAGAGAGAGAGAGAAGGAATTTGGCATTGAGCATTGTTTTAGATTGGGTTCCACAGAACCAGATCCTGAGATTTATTTTGAAAGTGACACGTTTTTAGGAAAATCTAGTAGAAATAGGGGGAAAAGACAAAAAAAAAAAAAAAGAAGGTAGAAAACTAAGAAAAGGTGCATCATCAAGTCTGGTACCAGGTGACAGTTTTGATTCAATCTCACAATGGAGCTTTAGAGTCAGGGGCAAGGTCACATCATTGCCTTGTTTGGAGCAGAACAGAAATACACCCATGGTCATTGGATCAGGGCAGCTTCCTGGAGGGAGTAGTTCCTTAATCGATTCTGTTACTCCATATGTGAGCTCTGGAAAATGGGGGGAAGCCCTTGGAAATGCAACATGCATGTGCTGGCTATCGGGAATCAAAGTGCACCATGAAAATGGTAAATGGATCCAAGGACACATTGTCAGGGCACTTACATCATCTTCTACCTGTGTTGAGTGAGCTAACCTACATTCTGCTACAGAGGGTCAAAGTACAAAGATATAAAATGTCAAATAATAGTGAAAAGTAATAATACTAGAGATAATATAACATTACTAAAATTGAGTCAATATATTACTCAGTCACACATATAGTGCAAAATTTCTGATAGGTTCATTAGGACAATTTTGATTATATATATATATATATATTTTTTTTTTTTTTGCCCTATCACTTTTAAAAATACATAAGGAAGAATGCAGTAAAAATTCTGTACAATCATTCTGAGAAATGGTAATTTACCCAGAACTCTGAGATAGAATCATCTTAGCAGAATGAAAAGAAGGTCTTTTCCTAGTGAACAACTAAAACCAATGTTTGGACTTAAGAGCATTCACTAATTATTTTTAAATAGGCACAAGTCTTTACAAGGGCTTTGATTATATTTTAGTGACTTTAGAAATTCCACCTGAGAAAATGAAAAATATATTTTTAGTTTAAAATGTCCCTTTATCACATATGTTTCTGCTTACGAAACTACAATGGAAGTAAACCTGAAAATATATCAACAAGGAGATTATTAATAATTTTTCCTATACAAGTTTAAGTTTAATAGATGATTTATTCTAATCTACTTATAAAGATAATCCTCAAATATATGCCTGATAATTCAATAGACACCACTTAAGAGAAGAGAGTGGTTCTTATGATGGCAGAAATTAGCTGCTTTATATAATCAGTTAATTTGTTCTCACTATTGACTTTTAAAGCCCTTTGAACAATTTTTAGTGCTGTCTTTCATCGTGTTAATCATGTTCACTTGAGATGAAAGAAGCAGTCTAAAATAATCTATTCAAGCAGAAAATTGCTGTAGCTATCTGCTGCACTGTGATGTTGTATTACCCAGTCAACACTGGCTACCATTTTACTCCAAAGAAATGTTTGCCAATGAAGGTCTCTATTTGGAGGAGAAAATTCTACCTGTAATTGAGCTTTCCCTTTTGCATCATTGCCTTTCATCCTGAACTTAATACGAGCAAATCATAATAATTAGATTTGATAACTCCTTGGGTTTTTTTTAAATGAGAAGGTTGTGTGTTTTGGCATTGCTTAGAATATTGCTTTTTAAATGAAGTAAATAAGACTCAGTCTAAATCCTCATATGAAGAAGCTAACACACGGTAGACCCTTTGCTTCACTTGAAATAAATTCCCATTACTTTCCAAGAAGCATTAATCAACTTTATAAATCAGATTGGTATTTATATGTGGATTGAAGGAAATTTTTTTGGTTTTCTTTATTATACTGTTTATTAACATGCTTAGTACATTTTAAGTTGTTAATAGGTTGAAATCTAATGAAAGAATTTTATCCTTAATCCTCTGTTAATAAGAATCTTATTTCTCACCATTCTCTTAACAAATATTATTGACCATAATGCATGGAGGGAGACATTGTGGGCAAACAAAATTAGATTTTCCCCAGTATCTTGGTTTCCAAATAATTCACAATCTATTAAAATATATTTTCAAAATAATTTCTCAGGAACTTTCACTAGAGAAAAAGTTGTTTTGTCTTTTTACTTCTTACTATTCAACGAGTATCATAGTTTCTTTTTAACTTTGCAGGAGCACCTAGCCTAAAGACAGTTTCTTCAGTCAGTTGTTTCCTTGACCATTATAAGTATGGCAATGCCCATGAAACAGAATTACTTTAAAAAATTCCATTTTGAAATATTTTATAAGTAAAATGTGAAATTGCAATTAAATTTCCATGATAATTATTTACTAAACTTATTTAAGTGTGTGCATTAGCATTATTTTACCTTATTCCTTGAATCAATTGTAAGACATATTCAGAAATCATGACAAAATGATTAGTGATTACAAGTTCCAATTTAAGCACTGTGTGTTTGAAATAATTTATACTTAAGAATTCAGCTATAATTCATGAAAACTAAATGCTTTGTATTGGCACTACAGTTATAATCAAATGCCATTTAATTAACTTTTGACCATTTTTTTCTGACTTGCAGTTGTCACTGAAGTAAATGTTAAAGTCTGATTAATTGCACTTTGAAAAATCTGTAGTAGAAAATGGAGACACCTAGTGTGTATCTGAAACATTGCAATAACAATTACCATGGGCTTGTTGAGTTTCTACTGTTTTAAATACTTTGTATATATTAGGTAAAATAATCTCACATCAACTCTCTAAATAGCCAGAGAAGTTAACTTTTATTTTCAGATGAGGAAATTGGATACACAGAGACACACAAAGATGGCAATGTCACGGCTAGTTACTGAACACCTCTCTGGAACCTAGCAATTAAGTTGTTTTACATATATGCTTTATATTTTAAAAAGCAGAAACATCTCTCAATTGCTTCAGTGGCAGAAAGTAAGAGACTGGTCAACTCTGTTTCAGAGATGCTTAGGCCTTGAAAGATACATTGGTATTCATCAGTAGCAAGTGGATTGCAGTCATTCCAAGCAGGTGTAGTGATAGGAAATATCTCACAAAATGAAAATAATATGATATTTTTAGGGAATTCTGAAGAGTCCGATATAAAAGAAGTATGCCATATTATTTGAAATTAAGAATAAAAATAAGGCTCAAATATCTTTGGAAAGCTGACACACACAGGATTATCAATTATTTAGCTCACATAAATCTTCAATCAGATATGTTCTGAGAGCAAACAGTATCTAAAATATTTCATCTTCAAAGGTGCTCAGAATCACTGGACGGTTTCTTTCAAAATTGTAGAAGAACCAATAATATTATGCTCCAACATATTACTTTCATAGAAATTACTCAAGATGGCAGACAACAAAACAAAGAAAAATTATCAATATTCAAAGGAGTAGTATTAAACTTAATTGAACTCAGTATCATTATTATTAACATGTTAAAAAGTATAAGATGTTTATTAATTTTTATTGCTTTTAAAATCAAGAAGTGGCTACCATAATTTTCTCACAAGCAATGCTAAGATACCTAGAAGTAATATGTATCATACTAATAGTATATTACACTATTGCATGATGATGCAAAAACGTGCTTACTTAAGAAAAAGTTAAATCACTTCGGTGTGTTGCACTAATTACTTATAAAGTTTTCCAGAATGAACATATTTAATTATCATTCTATTGATAATTGAAAAATACTATACTTACAAAATGTAACTGTTCTTTAATAGCTAATAATAACTAAAGATTATGGTTGTCCAATACTGAGGATCACAGTAAAAAATAAAATCATATTATTGAGATAGGTAACAAAATATTTTAGGAAACAGCTTCAATATTACTAAGCCAAGCATAGTGCTATAGGTACTAGAAGTTTTATTCATGGAAATTAATATGAAAACACTAAAAAGAAATATAGTATTTGCTGTTCATATTGCCAACTTTAGGCATTATTTTCTTTTTACCAGTCTAACCTTTTTTGTAAAACCTTAAACCTTGACAGATTATTGGAAGAAAGTTTTCTCAGAATTTGAAAAGTGAGCAGTGCAGGATTTTGATGCTTAAGGAGAAGAACACAGTGGAATAGCATACTTAAAGTACTGAAATAAAAATATATCAAATTACGATTTATTATTAGGCGAAATGAATTTGCTGGAAATAAAGACAAAGTAAAAGCCTTTAAAAATAAATAAAAACTTAGAGAATTTCACACTAGTATTTCTGGACTATAAAAATTGCTGAAGAATATTTTTCAAGCTAAATTAAGATGACACCAAAAGGAAATCAAAACTAGAGAGAACAAAAATACCCTGGAAATGCTAAGTATGTAAATAAATATTAAAAAACTATTTTATTATTTTTCTGATTTCTTTAAAAGATAACTAAAAGTTTAAAACAAAAAATAGGCACAGTGTATTTAAGAATGTGTAATGTAAGCAAAAGTATAAGCAGCAAAAGTACAAAAAAGGTCAAAATAAATAGACTTATTCTATAATATTACTCTAAGTTAAATTGTGCAATAATAATTTGAGGAAAATTGTGTGAAATTAATAATATAAATTGCAATCCCTAGAGAAATCACTAAAGAAAGATACATATGTAAAAAGCCAATAAATGAGATAAAACTAGATATTTTAAAACTACTAAATTAACCAAAATGTGAAAGAGGAAAGGGGAAAAAAAGGAACAAAAATTACATGAGGTACATAGAAAGCAACTCTCAAATGGTAGACTTGAATTTGACTGCAATTAGATTACATATAAATGGAATTAACACCCTTATGAAACAATTAGATACTGTCAAATTAGATAAAAAAGCAGGCACAGCTACTTATTGTTTATAGAAGATGCACTATAAATATAAAACAGGTAAATATTTTATAGTAGAATTCAGAGATAACCACATTTTATCAAAATTTCAAATCCTGATAATAAAGATACCATTAAGAAAATGAAAAGGGAAGTATAAATTATGTAGTAAGCATTCACAGTTCATATATTTAATACAAACTTGTATCTGTCATATACAAAGAACTTCTACAACTCAATAATAAGTTTAAAATAGACATCCAATTAAAAATGGGCAAGGTCTTTGAAGAGATACTTTGCAAAGGAAGAAATGATCAGTGAAGACATGAAAACTTACTATCATTAGTCATGAGAGAAATGCAAATTAATACGGCAGTAAGATATTACAGGAGGAGTCCAGCCCTTGATTAAAAACCTATCTGATTTTTCAGGTCTAAACATAGGCAATTACAAAGGCTTTATATGGCAAGCCTCATACCAGAAAATGCCTTTCTGACACCAGACTTAGTGCACGGCCACTGCATTGCAATCTCTGAAGGGAGTCACAGTCAAGGACTCAGGAGGCCCTGGTCAGTCATGTTCTTCACATATTCGCATTCTTAGGCCAAGCACCTTCTTTCCTAGGGTCTCTTTATTGGAGATCTTGGGCAGAGGAATGTCTGCAGATACACTCTTTTGGTGGTGGCAGGAGGTTGAGGGAGAGAGGAAACCTTGAAGATATTTTCCCCCTGACCCAGTACCCAGTATACTTTTCCACTCTTAGCCTTTCCTCCTCATTCTTCCATCAACACCTTCCCATTCTTAAAACTTCTGGAGAAGGGCAAAAAAGCAAAAGACCAACGACAGCAAAACCTGATGAGGATCTGTAGCAACAAGAACTCTTACAGGTTTTTGATGAATTGAGAAATGGTATCGCCAGTTTAGAAAATTGTTTAAAAAACTTTTTGGCAATGTTAAAGTTTTATTTTTAACAATTCTAATTTTTTATTATAATAACAGACAAATTGCAGCTGGCAGCAATTGCTTTTGAAAGGGATTCAAGAACACATTATTTCAAATATGAATATACATAGTTGAGCAATGATTAAATGGCTACACCAGTCCATCCGTTATAAAGATATTTACTGTAACCATCAAGCAAATAGAAATATACATATGCTAAATTTCTTAGGCTTACCTCTACTATTTGTTAGGTTTTCCAGTGATTGATTCAGATCTTTATTAAAGTTAAAATTCATTAAAATTCAAACTCTCAAAATACTGCACAGGCTTTTTTATGCAGAAATTGACAGTTGAATCTAAAACTTATCTCAAAAGGTCAAGAATATAGAGTAGCCAGAAAAATTTTTAAAAAGAAGAAGAAAACTTAAGAATTCACACTAGTTTATTTCAAGATTACTCTAAAGCTACACTAATCAAGACAGGCTGATATTGCTGAAGGCATAGTTATGCAAATCAATGAAACAATATATAGAATCCAAAAATACTCCTACATTGATACATTTTTTAAATTAATTAATTTTATTTTAGAATTATTTAGATGTATAGAAAAATTAAGCAGATGGTGTACAGTTCAGATATGCCTTTTATCCCCCACTAGTTTCCCTATTATCTTGCATATGTATGCAATATCTTGCACATGTATGTTATATTTGCTACCACCAGTGAATCAACAATGATACCTTAGTATTAAATAAAGTCCATGGTTTACATAAAGGCTACCCTTTGTATTGTACAGTTCCGTGGATTTTGACAAATACATAGTGTCTTGTGTCCACCATACAGTGCCATGCAGAACAGTTTCCTTGTTCTAAAAATCCCATATGCTTCACCTATTGCAGCCCTACTCTCCTTCAACCAACTCCTGGTATCCACTGATTATTGTACTATCTCCATAGCATTGCCTTTACCAGAATAGCATATATTTGGAAACACAGTATGTAGCCCCTTCAGAAAGAAGTGTGTAACTTCTTTCACACAGCAATATGCCTTTATGTTTCCTACATGTCTTTCAAGGCTTGATGGCTTATTTCTTTTTATTACTATATAATATTCCACCGTATGATAAACAAGTTTGTTCTTCCATTGACTCTTAAAAGCACCTCTTGGTTGCTTCCAGCTTTTGGCACTTATGAATAAAGCTGCTATAAATATTTATGTGCAGGTTTATGTAGATATACATTTTCAATTCAGTCTGGCATATACCTATTTACATGATTGATGAATGTAATGGTAAGATTTATTTTCAGCTTTGTAAGAAATTACCAACTGTATTCAAAAGTAGCCATATCATTTTACATCATTACACCAGCAGTGGTTGAGAGTTCCTATTGTTCCACATCTCCACCAGCATTTGGTGTTGTCAGGGTTTTAGATATTATCTATTGTAATATGTGTGTAGTGATATCTCACTTGTTTTAATTTGCAATTCCCTAGTGACATATGATCTTTAGCATATTTCCATGTGCATATTTGGCATCTGTATATCTTTTTGTGGTGAGGTGTTTTTTTAATATCCTTATCTATTGTTTTCACTGGGTTGCTTTCTTATTGTGGAATTTTAAGCACTCTTCCTATATTTTGGATACAACTCCCTTATCATATTGCCTTAACACTAAAATGAGATAAAAGCATTGCAAGAATGAAAAACTAGGATAACATTTACACATTCTTCTCAAATGCACATGGAATGTTAACCACAATTGACTATATATTAGGCCTTAAGACAAGTCTCAATGAAGTTAAAAAGTGAAATAATACGAAGTATACTCTTCAACCACAATTGTATGAAATTAGAAATCATTAATAGTTGGAAATTTTGGGACTTAATAAATATGTGAAAAGTAAAACATACTATAAATCCCACTAAAAAATACATGCTGCTTTGACCATGTGTCAAAGAAGAATTCAAAAGGGAAATTAGCAAATACTTGGAAATAAATGAAACTGAAAAATAACTATTCATCAACTATTCACCAAAACATGTGGAATTCACCAAAACAGCGCTGATAGAAAATTTTGGGCCTTAAATGGCTATCTTTACAATGAAGGGAGATCCGCTAGGCACGGTGGCTCACACCTGTAATACTAGCACTTTGGGCAGCTGAAGCAGGCTGATAACTCGAGGTCAGGAGTTAGAAACCAGTCTGGCCAACATGGTGAAACGCTGTCTCTACTAAAAATACAAAAGAATTAGCTGGGCATGGTGGCAGGTGCCTGTAATCCCAGCTACTTGGGAGGCCGAGGCAGGAGAATTGCTTGAACCCAGGAGGCAGGGTTGCAGTGAGCCAAGATTGTGCCACTGCACTCCAGCCTGGGTGACAGAGTGAGACTCTGTCTCAAAAAATAAAGGGAGATATCAAATTAATAATCTAACCGTCCACCTAATGATATTAAAAAGAAGCAAAATAAAGATAAAGCAATCCGAACAAAGGAAATCATAAAGATTTAATCATAAATTAATAAATGAATAACAGAAAAACAATAGAGAAAAATCAACAAGGCCAAAACGTAGTTCTTTGTAAAGATCAACAAACTTGACAAAACTTTAGCTCGGCAAACAAAGAAAGAAGAAAACTCTTATTACTAAAGCCAGAAACAGAATATATTACTCGTGACTTTAGATATAAAACAAAAAGACTGTAAGGAATATGGAAACAATTTTAGGTCAACAAAACAGATTCCTAGATGAAACAGATACACATCTTGAAAGACACAAATAACTGAAACTAACTCAAGAAAATTAGATATATAAATAGATTTTTGACAAATAAGAAGATTGAATTAGTAATCAAAAACCTTCTCAGAAAGAAAAGCCTAGGTGCAGATAGCCTCATTATTGAATTATCTCAGACATTATAAAAAGCATTAACACCAATCGCTAAGACTCTTCAGTAAAATAGCAGAAGAAGGAACACCACAAAAATCTGACTATGAGGCCAGTGTTACCCTAATAACAAAAGCATACAAAGACATTAGCAACAACAAAAACTAAAACCAATATTTTTGTAAATATATACATAACAAACAAACATAAAACACAAAAAATCAATGAAATATTACCAAATCAAATTCAGCAATGTATACAATGTGTAAAAGAATCAGATAACGTGACTAAGTGAGATGTGGAGTATGGAATTCAAGGAGGCACAACCTGAGAAGATCAATTAATGTAATATTATAACAATGTAATATACAATAATAAAATAAAGGGAAAACAATAATCTCAATTGATGCAGAAAAAAAGCATTTCAGAAAATTCAAGAATCTTTTATGATAAAAACACTAAAGCTAAAGAAACTAGAAATAGAAGGGAACTTCTTAAACCTGGCAAAGAACATTTCTGAAACATTTACAGCTAACATCGTATTTAATGGTGAAAGCCTGAAAGATTTCTCACTAAAATCGAAACAAGACATCTATATTCACTCTTGCTCCTCCTATTCAACGTTGCAGTGAAAGCTCTAGCCAGGGAAATTAGGTAACGACAACAAAAAAGGCATTTGATTAGACAGAAAAAAGTAAGTCTATATTTACAGATGATATCTTGTATATATTAATTTCTAAGGAACCCATCAGGAAAAAAAATTGAGATAATAAATACATTAAATAAGATTGAGAGATATAAGGTGAATATACCAAAATCAACTGTATTTCTCACACTAGCAATAAACAATCCAAAAATGAAATTCAGAAAATAGATCCATTTATAACAGCATCAAAAGCAGGAAAATTCTTGTGTATAAACTGAGCAATAGAAATGCAAGATTTGTACACTGAAGGCTATACAACATTATTGAAAGAAATTAATTACTTAAATAAATGGAAAGAAATATTGTCGTTGTAAACTGAAAGACTTATTAGTGTTAAGATGGCAATATACCCCATATTTTTCCACAGAGTCACAAACCATATCAAAACCCCAGCTTCCTTTTCTGCTGAAATTGACAAGCTGTTCTTAAAATTCATGCAGAATTGCTGGGGCCACTGTAAAGGCAAAAAAATTTTTTTCTTTCTTTGCTTTTTTTTTTTTTTTTTGTGGTGGTGTCTCACAAAAAGAGACAGTGGCACGATCTTGGCTCACTGCAACTTCTACCTCCCGGGTTCAAGCGATTCTCCTGCTTTAGCCTGTCGAGTAGCTGGGATTACAGGCAACAGCCACCATGCCCAACTAATTTTTTATTTTTAGTAGAGATGTAGTTTCACCTTGTTGGCCAGGCTGGTCTCGAACTCCTGACTTCAAGTGATCCACTTGCCTCAGCCTCCCAAAGTGCTGGGATTACAGGCACGAGCCACCATGCCTCGTAAAACAATCTTGAAAAAGAACAAAGTTGAAGGCGTCATACATCCTGATTTTAAACCTTAATACAAATCTACCATAAACAAAAGTTTGTGTTGTTGTCATATGGATAGGCATATAAATCAACAGAATGCAGTTGATATTTCATAAATACACCCTTATATTTATCATCACTTGACTTTAACTATGATGGGAAAACTATTCAAGGGGAAGTACAGACTTCTCAGTAAAAGGTACTGTGCCAACTAATAGTCACATGCAAAATAATCAATCTAGACCCATACTTCACAACATTCGTTAAGAGAAAAAAATCTCAAAACAAATTAAAGACATAAAGGTAAGATATAAATCTATAAAATTTGTATAAGAAAAAATAGGTCTAAGTATTTGTGACCTTAATTAGGCAACGATTTCGTGGATATAAAACCAAAAGCAGAGCAACAAAAAAATACATAAATTGGACTTAATAAAATTTGTCCTTTAAAGTATACTATCAAGAAAGCAAAATGTTAACCCATAGAGTGAAAAAAATTCCAATCACATATCTGATAAAGGACTTTTATTAAGAATGTATAAATACTTCTACTCCTCAATAATAAAATGATAAATATTTCAATCAGAATACACAAAGGGTTTGAATGAACATTACTCTAAAGAAGAGATATTAATAGAAATAGCCAATAAGCATATGAAAAGATGTTCAGTATCATTAGTCATAAGGACATTGAAAGTTAAAGTCACAAGGTACCACTATATACCTGGATGGTTCTAATTTTAAAAAGTCAGAAGATAATAAATATTTGCAGAAGATATGGAAAAATCAGGGCTCTCAAACATCCTTATAGAAACGTCAAATGGTACAGCCACTTTAGAACACAGTTTGTTCCTCAAGAATTTATACTTAGAGTTGCCATACAAAGTGACAATCCTACTCCTATGTATACACCAAAGATAACTGAAAATATACATCAGTATAAAAATATGCATGATATTCATAACATCATTATTGATAATAACCAAAAAGTGGAAACTATTAAAATGTCTCTCAATTGATGAATGTATTGTATAAAGACACGTAGTATATCTAGACAATGGGAAATTATCTAGCCATAAAAAGGAATCAGGTACTAATACATGCTACAAAGTAGGTGAACCTTGAAAAAAAAATGCTAAGTAAAACAAGTCACACAAAAAAGACCACATATTATATGTTTCTTCTTATATGAAATGTCCAGAGTAGACAAATCCATAAAGATACAAGTATACTAGTTTTTGACTGGGGCTTAAGGGAGGAGGGGACAATGAGTGATCATTAATTAGTTTGGGGTTTTATTTGAGTGATAAAAAATATTCTGAAATCAGATATTGGTGATGGTTACACAATTTTGTGAATATACTAAAAACCACTGAATTTGTACACTTTAAAAGAATGAATGTTATTGAATGTTATAGTACGTGAATTGTCTCCCAATTAACACATATATGCATACACACTCACACAGTTCCATTGAAATATGGCTACA
Organism: Homo sapiens; assembly: GCF_000001405.40. NCBI lineage: Eukaryota > Metazoa > Chordata > Mammalia > Primates > Hominidae > Homo > Homo sapiens. The sequence goes on from NC_000002.12 coordinate 185,289,217, forward strand.
CACCTATTAAAATGACTAACATTTTTAAAATATAAAAATGGACAATAAATATGACAGCAAAGAAGAAGAACAATGGAAATATTCATTTGTTGCTAGTTGGAAAATAACAAGATACGGCCATTCTTTAAATGCAGATTGGTGTTTCTTTTAAATCTAAATACAATCCCACTCCTAGGTATTTTCTCAAAAGAAATAAAAACTATGTTCATACAGAAAACTGTAAACAAATATTTATATAATCTTTATTCATAATCACCCCAGTTTGAAAGCAATCAAAATGCTGTTCAATTGGTGAATTGATAATCAAACAGTAATACAGCTATTTAATATTACTCAGCAATAAAAAAATGTGTTACTGACACCCACCACAATGCAGATAAATCTAAATGCAGTATGCTAAGGGAAAGAAATCAGACTCAAAAAACTGCTCTGTGATATTATTGAAATGATATTCTGGAATAGATCAGTGGGGATATGGTTTGACTAAAAGGACAAAAGATTTAAGGGGACATTGGAATTAGTCTATATCTTGACCTTGGTGATATTTAGACAAAAGTGTTTTTAACAACTCATAGAACTGACAAGGAGTTTGCATTTTACTGTATATAAAATATTGGTTAAGGTTTCAGTCGCTTCCAAGATGGCCGAATAGGAACAGCTCCGGTCTGCAGCTCCCAGCGAGATTGATGCAGAAGACAGGTGATTTCTGCATTTCCAACTAAGGTACCTAGCTCATCTCACTGGGACTGGTTGGACAGTGGATGCAGCCCACGGAGGGTAAGCCGAAGCAGGACGTGGTGTCGCCTCACCTGGGAAGCACAAGGAGTTGGGGGATTTCCCTTTCCTAGCCAAGGGAAGCCGTGACAAACTGTACCTGGAGAAACGATACACTCTCACCCAAATACTGTGCTTTTCGACTGTCTTAGCAACTAGCAGACCAGGATATTCCCTCCCGTGCCTGGCTTGGTGGGTCCCACACCCACAAAGCCTTGCTCACTGCTAGTGCAGCAGTCTGAGATTGACCTGCAATGCTGCAGCCTGGCTGGGGGAGGGGCGTCTGCCAATGCTGAAGCTTGAATAAGTAAACAAAGAGGCTGGGAAGCTCAAACTGGGTGGAGCCCACAGCAACTCAGCAAGGCCTACTGCCTCTATAGACTCCACCTCTGTGAGCAGGGCATAGCTGAACACAAGGCAGAAGACAACTTCTGCAGACTTAAACATCCCTGTCTGACAGCTCTGAAGACAGCAGTGTTTCTCTCAGCACAGTTTTTGAGCTCTGAGAATGGACAGACTGACTCCTCAACTGGGTCCCTGACACACGTGTAGCCTGACTGGGAGACACCTCCCAGTAGAGGTCAACAGACACCTCATACAGATGGGTTCCCCACTGGGACAAAACTTGCAGAAGAAGGACCAGGTAGCAATATTTACTGTTCTGCAATATTGGCTGTTTTGTAGCCTTCTCTGGTGATAGCCAGGCAAATAGGTTCTGGAGTGGACCTCCAGCACACTCCAACAGACTTGCAGCTGAGGGGCCTGACTGTTAGAAGGAAAACTAACAAACAAAAAGGAATAGCATCAACATCAACAAAAAGGACATCCACACCAAAACCCCATCTGTAAGTCACCAGCATCAAAGACCGATGTGGGCAGGAAGCCACCTAGGTGCCAAGGCAAGAGACTAAATTCACAAGCTGTTCCAGTATAATAAAGAGACTGAAGGCACAAGCTGTTCCAGTATAATAAAGTGACTGAAGGCACAAGCTGTTCCAGTATAATAAAGAAAATACTTAAGAATAGTTATATTAGACATAGAATATAGAGATGATTATATATGAATATTATCAATCATTAATTTGTAGCATTACTCTTTATTCCAATGTTATAATAATCTCTGTTCTACAATTATAACCTAGGAAAATCCAGGCCATACACAGATAGGAGCTGAAGGGACATGGTGAGAAGTGACCAGAAAAGAGCGTAAGCCCTCTGTCATGCCTGGACAGGGCCACTAGAGGTCTCCTTGGTCTAGCAGTAACGCCAGTGCCTGGGAAGGCACCCTTTACTTGGCAGACCTCGGTCTAGCAGTAGCACCAGTGTCTGGGAAGGTACCGGTTACTTAGCAGACCAGGAAAGGGAATCTCCCTTTCCCCAGGGGGAGTTAGAGAAGACTCTGCTCCATCACCTCTTGTGGAAGGCCTGATATCAGTCAAGCCCACCTGCAGCCATCCAGAGACCTAAACGTCTCCCTGTGATGCTGTGCTTCAGCGGTCACACTCCTTGTCCACTTTCATGTTCCGCCCTGTACACCTGGCTCTACCTTCTAGATAGTAGTAGCAGAATTAGCAAAAGCATTAAAGTCTTTGATCTCTCCAAGAAATGAATAGAAGAAATAATGACATAAGCTGTCCCCTCTCTCTCTCTGCCTCAGCTACCAAACAGGGAAGGGACTCTGTCTGGTGGACACGTGACTCGTGTGACCTTACCTATCATTGGAGATGACTCACAATCCTTACCCTGCCCCCTTGTCTTGTATCCAATAAATAACAACACAGCCAGGCATTCAGGGCTACTACTGGTCTCCGCATCTTGGTGGTAGTGGTCCCCCAGGCCCAGCTATCTTTTCTTCTATTTCTTTGTCTTGTGTCTTTATTTCTATGATCTCTCGTTGCCGCACATGAGGAGAAAAACCCACAGGCCCTGTAGGGCTGGTCCCTACAGATCAAAGGTAGATAAAAACACAAAGATAGGGAAAAATCAGAGCAGAAAAGCTGAAAATTCTAAAAGCCAGAGCACCTCTTCTCCTCCAAAGGATCGCAGCTGCTCGCCAGCAATGGAACAAAGCTGGACGGAGAACGACTTTGATGAGCTGACAGAAATAGGCTTCAGAAGGTCAGTACTAACAAACTTCTCTGAGCTAAAACAGCATGTTCTAACCCATCATGAGGAAGCTAAAAACCTTAAAAAAAGGTTAGACAAATGGCTAAAACTAGAATAAACAGTGTAGAGAAGACCTTAAATGACCTGATGGAGCTGAAAACCACAGCACAAGAACTTTGTGATGCATGGAAAGCTTCAATAGCCAATTCGATCAAGTGGAAGAAAGGGTATCAGTAATTGAAGATAAAATTAATGAAATAAAGTGAGAAGACAAGATTAGAGAAAAAAGAGTAAACAGAAATGACCAAAGCCTCCAGGAAATATGAGACTATGTGAAAAGATCAAATCTACGTCTGATTGGTGTATCTGAAAGTGATAGGGAGAATGGAACCAAGTTAGAAAACACCCTTCAGGATATTATCCAGGAGAACTTCCCCAACTTAGCAAGGCAAGCCAACATTCAAATTCAGGAAATACAGAAAACACCACAAAGATACTCCTTGAGAAGAACAACTCCAGGACACATAATTGTCAGATTCACCAAGGTTGAAATGAAGGAAAAAATGTTAAGGGCAGCCAGAGAGAAAGGTTGAGTTACCCACACAGGGAAGCCCATCAGACTAACAGTGGATCTCTTGGCAGAAACCCTACAAGCCAGAAGAGAGTGGGGGCCAATATTCAACATTCTTAAAAAAAAGAATTTTCAACACAGAATTGCATATCCGGCCAAACTAAGCTTCATAAGTGAAAGAGAAATAAAATCCTTTACAGACAAGCAAATGCTGAGAGATTTTGTCACCGTGAAGCCTGCTTTACAAGAGCTCCTGAAGGAAGCACTAAACATGCAAAGGAACAACCAGTACCAGCTAGTACAAAAACATGCCAAATTGTAAAGACCATTGATGCTAGGAAGAAACTGCATCAATTAACGGGCAAAATAACCAGCTATCATCATAATGAAAGGATCAAAATCACACATAACAATATTAACCTTAAATGTAAATGGGCTAAATGCCTCAATTAAAAGACACAGACTGGCAAATTGGATAAAGAGTCAAGACCCATCAGTGTGCTGTATTCAGGAGACACATCTCACGTGCAGAGACACACATAGGCTCAAAATAAAGGTATGGAGGAAGATCTACCAAGCAAATGGAAAGCAAAGAAAAGCAGGGTTTGCAATCCTAGTCTCTGATAAAACAGGCTTTAAACCAACAAAGATCAAAAGAGACAAAGAAGGTCGTTACATAATGGTAAAGGGACTGATTCAACCAGAAGAGCTAACTATCCTAAATATATATGCCCAATATAGGAGCACCCAGATTCATAAAGCAAGTCCTTAGAGATCTACAAAGAGACTTAGACTCCCACACAATAATTATGGGAGACTTTAACACCCCACTGTCAATATTATAGAGATCAAAGAGACAGAAAGTTAACAAGGATATCCAGGACTTGAACTCAGCTCTGGACCAAGTGTACCTAATAGACATCTGCAGCACTCTCCACCCCAAATCAACAGAATATACATTCTTCTCAGCACCACATCACACTTATTCTAAAATTGCCCACCTAATTGGAAGTAAAACACTCCTCAGCAAATGTAAAAGAACAGAAATCACAACAAACTGTCTCTCAGATCACAGTGGAATCAAATTAGAACTCAGGATTAAGAAGCTCACTCAAAACCACCCAAGTACATGGAAACAGAACAATCTGCTCCTGAATGAATATTGGGTAAATAATGAAATTAAGGCAGATATAAAGATGTTCTCTGAAACCAATGAGAACAAAGACACAATGTACCAGAGTCTCTGGGACGCACTTAGAGCAGTGTGTAGAGGGAAATTTATAGCACTAAATGCCCACAAGAGAAAGCAAGAAAAATCTAAAATTGACACTCTAACATCACAATTAAAAGAACTAGAGAAGCAAGAGCAAATAAATTCAAAAACTAGCAGAAGGCAAGAAATAACTAAGATGAGAGCAGAACTGAAGGAGATAGAGACACAAAAAATCCTTCAAAAAAATCAATGAATCCAAGAGCTGGTTTTGTGAAAAGATGAACAAAATAGATAGACTGCCAGCAAGACTAATAAAGAAGAAAAGAGAGAAGAATCAAATAGATGTAATAAAAATGATAAAGGGGATATCACCACCAATCCCACAAAAATACAAACTACCATCAGAGAATATTATAAACACCTCTACGCAAATAAACTAGAAAATCTAGAAGAAATGGATAAATTCCTGGACACATACACTCTCCCAAGACTAAACCAGGAAGAAGTTGAATCTCTGAATAGACCAATAACAGGCTCTGACATTGCGTCAATAATTAACGGCCTACCAACCAAAAAAAGTCCAGGATCAGAGGGATTCACAGCCGAATTCTACCAGTGGTACAAAGAGGAGCTGGTACCATTCCTTCTGAAATGATTCCAATCAATAGAAAGAGAGTGAATCCTCTGCAACTCATTTAATGATCCCAGCTTCATCCTGATACCAAAGCCTAGCAGAGACACACACAAAAAAAGAGAATTTTAGACCAATATCCCTGATGAACATCTATGTGATAATCCTCAGTAAAATACTGGCAAACCGAATCCAGCAACACATCAAAAAGCTTATCCACCACGATCAAGTTGGCTTCATCCCTGGGATGGCAGGCTGGTTTAACATACGCAAATCAATAAATGTAATCCATCACATAAAGAGAACCAATGACAAAAACAACATGATTATCTCAATAGACGCAGAAAAGGCCTTTGATAAAATTCAACAGCCTGTCATGCAAAAAAACTCTCAGTAAACTAGGTATTGATGGAACATATCTAAAAATAGTAAGAGCTATTTATGACAGACCCACAGCCAATATCATACTGAATGGGCAAAAACTGGAAGCATTCCCTTTGAAAACTGGCACAAGACAAGGATGCCCTCTCTCACCATTCCTATTCAACATAGTATTGGAAGTTCTGGCCAGGGCCATCAGTCAAGAGAAAGAAATAAAATGTACTCAGTTAGGAAAAGAGGAAGTCAAATTGTCCTTGTTTGCAGATGACATGATTGTATGTTTAGAAAACCCTGTTGTCTCAGACCATAATGTCCTTAAGCTGATAAGCAACTTCAGCAAAGTCTCAGTATACAAAATCAACGTGCAAAAATCACATGCATTCCTATACACCAATAACAGACAAACAGAGAGCCAAATCATGAGTGAACTCCCGTTCACAATTACTACAAAGAGAATAAAATACCTAGGAATCCAACTTACAAGGGCTGTGAAGGACTTCTTCAAGGAGAAATACAAACCACTGCTCAACGAAATAAAAAAGGACACAAACAAATGGAAGAACATTCCATGTTCATGCATAGGAAGAATCAATATCATGAAAATGGCCATAGTGCCCAAGGTAATTTATGGATTCAATGCCATCCCCATCAAGCTACCAAGGACTTTCTTCACAGAATTGGAAAAAACTACTCTAAAGTTCATATGGAAGAAAAAAGGAGCCAAAACAATCCTAAGCATAAAGAACAAAGCTGGAGGCATCATGCTACCTGACTTCAAACTATACTACAAGGCTACAGTAACCAAAATAGCATGGTACTGGTACCAAAACAGATATATAAACCAACGGAACAGAACAGAGACCTCAGAAATAACATCACACATCTACAACCATCTGATTTTGACAAACCTGACAAAAACAAGAAATGGGGAAAGGATTCCCTATTTAATAAATGGTGCTGGGAAAACTGGCTAGCCATATGTAGAAAGCTGAAACTGGATCCCTTCCTTCTCAAAATGGATTAAAGACTTAAGTGTAATACCTAAAACCATAAAAACCCTAGAAGAAAACATAGGAAATACCATTCAGGACATAGGCATGGGCAAAGACTTCATGACTAAAACACAAAAAGCAATGGCAAGAAAAGCCAAAATAGACACATGGGCTCTAATTAAACTAATGAGCTTCTACACAGCAAAAGAAACTACCATCAGAGTGAACAGGCAACCTACAGAATGGGAGAAAATTTTTGCAATCTACCCATCTGACAAAGGGCTAATATCCAGAATATACAAAGAACTTAAACAAATTTACAATAAAAAATCAAACAACCTCACCAAAAAGTGGGCAAAGGATATGAACAGACACTTCTCAAAAGAAGACATTTGTGCAGCCAACAGACATATGAAAAAAGGCTCATCATCACTGGTCATTACAGAAATGCAAATCAACACCACATTGAGATACCATCTCACACCTGTTATAATGGCAATCATTAAAAAGTCAGGAAACAACAGATGCTGGAAAGGATGTGGAGAAATAGGAATACTTTTACACTGTTGGGAGTGTAAATTAGTTCAACCATTGTGGAAGACAGTGTGGCAATTCCTCAAGGATCTAGAACATATTAAATATGTCCTCAATATTGTCCATGTCTTTTACATATGTCTTTTACATAAGTAAAAATGAAACACATTTTATAAGTTAATGACTGCATTGTAACAGGCTTGAAAGATAGAATAACATATGTCAAAACAGCTAACCTGAAAGATTTAGATTTACTCTCTTTGGTTAGAAAATATTACACTAAATAGACTTAATTAGGATTTGTTTCTATATTAATCCTTAAGAATATATGTTTTACTATAATTCTTTGGATTTTATTAGAATAAACTCTAATCATTCAGAATCTAAACTTACAATTAATAATCTGAGTCATTTTTATTGTTTAAGATATTCTTCACACTCTGATATTTAAAACTCTTTCCTAAAAAGTAAATTTATAGCCATATATGAGAAATAATAGATGAACAACAGACTTCTAAGTCATAAAATACTGTTCAAAATTGAATGATAATTTCTATTTTCAGTCAGATTTTTCCCTTTTAATATTGAGATTCTTAGGATTAAAGGGAGAAATATTAGTTTTCCTCAGTTTAGAAAATTTGCTGCATATTAGGCAGTAGGGAAATTATTAGTATACACATATTTTCTACCCATTGAACTGTAGCTTGAGGTCAGAAATATTTTATGAATAGTGTTAACACTGATAAAATAAATTTATATAATTAATTTATATGTTTACATATTCTCTCTAATATTTCTCCAGGTTTTAAGTTTTTCCAGCTCATGTAATATTTTGAAATATTCATTATCTTCAAAATTTTTTCTTTTCTATAAATTTAATTTACTTAACAACTGTACTATAATATCTAAGATTTATCCACATTGTCTACATCATTTTATAATATCCTTTTTGAATGTACCTTGTGTTTTTAATTGACTTTATTTTAAAATCACAATAAAATTTGGAGGAAGGTACAGAGTATACCCAATGCCCTCATACATAAACAGCCTCTCAATTATCAATATTCCCCACATTGTTATGTGGTACATTTGTTATGATACGTAAACTTACACAGACACATAATTATCACCAAGAGACTGCAGCTTACATTAGGATTCACTCTTGATGCTGAGTATTTTATGATTTGGGACAAATGTATGGCATCCATCCACCATTATGGTTTCACATAAAATAGTTTCACTGCTCTAAATATCATCTGTGCTCCACCTGATCATTAATCTCTCCTCCTTAGCCCTGGATGGCACTGGCCTTTTTACTGTCTCAATAGTTTGCTTTTTTTCAGATTGTCATATAGTTGGAATGATATAGCATGTAGTCTTTTCAGATTGGCTCCTTTCTTGTAGTAATGCATTTAGGCTTTTCTCCATTTCTTTTTATGGCTTGATAGCTCATTTCTTTTTAGCACTGTATATGCCATTGGATGTATCATAGTTCATCCATTCACCTACTGAAGGATATCTTGGTTGCCTCCGAGTTTTGGCAATTATGAATTATAAGCATTCATGTGCAGGTGTTTGTGTAGACATATTTTCAACTTTTTTGGTAAATACCAAATAGTGTGATTTGTATAGTATTGGAATAATAATAAGTTAATAAGTTGTGTAAGAAACTGCCAAACTGCCTTCCAAAGTGACTGTACCATTTTGAATCCCTACCACCAATGAATGAGAGTTTTTCTTGCTCCAAACCCTCATCAGCACTTAAAGTTGTCAGTGTTGTGCCAAGCTAATAGGTGTGTAGTCATATCTAATTGTTTTAATTTGCATTTCTTTGATGAGATACGATGTGGAGCAACTTTTCATATGCTTATTTGCCATCTGCATGTCTTCTTTGGCAGGTGTTTTTTAAGGTCTTTGGCTCTTTTATTTTCCATTGGATTGTTTCCTAGTTGTTGTGTTTTAAGAATTCTTTGTGATTTTGAACAACAGTTATTTATTAAAAAATACAATATATTGTGATTATAATAGTCATTCAATCCATTTTGAGTTCAATTTTGAGAAGTGTGTAAAGTTTGTGTCTAGATTAATTTTTTTTTGGATGTGGATGTCCAGTTGTTTCAGTAGCATCATTTCATACATTGTATTGTCTTTGCCCTTTTGTTAGAGATCGGTTGACTATATTTATGTGGAGCTATTTTGGGGTTCTCTATACTGTTCAACTGATCTATTTGTCCATTCTTTCACCAATATTACATTGTCTTTATTACTGTAGTTTTATAGTCATTTTTGAAGTTGAGTGGCATGAGTCCCTAAACACTGTTCTTCTCCTTCAATATTGTGTTGGCAACTGTGGGTCTCTTGTCTCTGTATAAACTCAATCAGTTTGTTGACATTTACAAAATAATTTGCTGAAATTTTTGACTGGGATTGCATTGAATCTATACATTAAGTTGAGAGGAAGGTCTTAGCAATATTAAGTCTGCCTATCCCTGAAAGTGGAATACCTCTTCATTTATTTCTAGCAAGATTGGAGAAACTTTTGTGGGTTATATATCCTCAGTTATGTTTTCCAAATTGTTTACTCTCTCTCCTCTCTCAGGAATGCCAATGAGTTATAGGTTTCGTTTTTTACATAATTTCATATTTCTCAGAGCTTTTGTACATTTTAAAAATTCTTTTTGTCTTTTTTTATGGCTGTCTGAATTGATTTGAAGTACCAGCCTTCAAGCTCTGAGATTCTTTCCATCAGCTATTCTGATGTCAATACTTCCAACTATATTTTAAAATTCCTGTAGCGAATGTTTTTCCAGAATTTCAATTGAGTTCTCTCTTAAAATGGCTATATTTTCTTTCAGCTCTTGGAGAGTTTTTCTAACTTCCTTGGATTGGGTTTTAACTTTCTTCTGAATCTCGTTAAGTTTTCTTGACATCCCATTTCTGAATTCTATATCTGTTATTTTAGCAATTTCAATCTGATTAGGAACAATTGCTGGGTAGTTAGTGTAATTGTTTGGGGATATGGGGACCCTCTAACTTTTTGATTGCCAGAGATCTTGTTCTGATTTTTTCTCACCTGAGAAGGATGGTTTTCCTTCATATTTTTGAAGTTTCTATCAATAAGGTGGGACATTTTATTTTTATATTTTTTATTTCCCTTGAGAGTTTGACCATGGTATAAGGTTAAGTATAATCTAATGGCTTTGTTTCTGAGTGTTTTCAGAGGGTCATATCTCTGTGTGGAATTTTTATTTGTGACCAGATTTCTGCATTAGGTTTCACCAGCAATCTATCCTGGAAGAATTTTTATTTGGTAGTGTCATTCAGGCTGTCATCCAGTAGACGATGCTTAAGAGTAAGGTCTGGCAGATATGCTCTTGCTCAGCTGTACTCATCACTCTTGTCTATTTTAGTGAGTTTGCAACTGTGTTCTGGGGTGGGTGAGATGGATGGGTATAGCGACACTCCCCTCACCAAGTTTATTCCTGGGTCTTGGGCGCCCCCTCCAATCACTGGTGCTATACCTGTGTCTCCTTACCCCTGAAGGAAGCCCTGACAGCCTGTGCCACTCCTTCCCGTAGAGGCTGCCTGAGCTGAAGGTGAGGTTGCCAGGTGCCCCACAGCTTCCCAGGGACCCGCGTGTCCTCATTGCTTGGCAGAGTCAGAGTGGGTTGTAGTGTATCTCTGCAGGTGGTTTGTTGATGCAATGGGTCAAGGGTGAGGGATCCTTGGACAGGGTGGTGTTGTTGTGGGTGTTGTGTAGTGCCTGTTGCCCAGGGCTTTTTGCTTAGCAGATGGCTGTGGGAACTTCCCAGCTCACACTCCTCTGACTGGGTCTCCTTCTGGGGTCTGTTCCAGTAGCTTTCCCGACCAGCTAGTTTTGTTTCAAGTTCACAGCACTCATCACTGGCCTGTTAGTTTTTCCAGGCTGTGGGGCTTACTCAGCAGAGGATGTAATCGGTACATAGGCTACACCCTTTTCAAACCAGTCTTGCCAAGTGAGGCACACCCACATCCTGCGTTGGTCCAAGAACTCACACCGTACTTTCTCAGTATTCTGAGAGTGGGGTCTTGTCTGCTTCTCAAGCTCCAGCCACAGAAGATTTCAGCTCAATATTCTTGAGCTGTGTGCTCAAACCCTGGGAGGTTGGGTCCCAGCCCACGTCTTTGTCCTCTGGACCCTTGGGGTTGAACACTGGCTATGCCAGTGGGGCTGAGGTGCTCCCAGGCCACTGGCAACATTTTCAGGTGGGGCAGTGGAGGCTGTGGTGTGTGAATGCTTTTACAGGAGTGACCAGGCAGGGATCTTTGGAGGGTATGGCAGATGGGCTGGGAGGTTGCGGAGATGCAGATCAGATGTGCGCTGGTCCTGTGGGATAGGCAGCCCTCAGAGCAAGATGGAAAGCTTTGGGGAATTGTTGCCTATGATTGCATTTTGCTGCAGCTGCCCTGCATGCAAAATCTTGGGCTCCAAGCAAGGCTCAAGTTGTGTCTCTGCTTATTCTCTTGTCATTCCCCCTGCCAATTCAAAGTTTATGGGGTCGTGGGACCCCATAGAGTTAGAGTTGGGATCCCAGAAGTTCACAGCAAAGCTGTGTTGCCCCAGTCTCTTCACTCACCCCTTTCTTAGGTCCTATTCATGGCCAGGAGCTGGTTCTGGCACTTGGCAACTCTTTGTAGGGTTCTCATCTTCTTCCCTCTTCCTTTTTGGTGTCTCCACTGCCTCTGTATTGACTTTCAGTGCTTTCTCTCAAAAGATCTGTTCAAAAGTTTGATGGCTTACTGAATATTTTGGTTTCTCATGGCAGGAGATGTGCTTCCGGAGCATCAATTTGGTCATCGTATCCCCCTTTATCCTGACTTTCTTTTGACTAAGGTTAACATCATATATTTTACTCCATTCATTTACTTTTAATCCATATATATATTTTTAATTTATAGTGGGTTTCCAGTAGGCAACAGGTAGCTGAATCTTATTTTTGATCCACTCATTCTTCATCTTTTAATGGGTGCATTTAAACTGTTGACATTGAAAATGATTATGATATATTTGGATTAAAACTATATTTGTTACTGTTTCTTATTTGCCATCCTTATTTTTATTTTTCTATTTTGTCTTGTACTCTTTTGCCTTTTGTGGTGTTAACTGAGCATTTTATATGATTTCTCTTTCCCTGCTGCCATCTATCTGCATACATTTTTCATTTGTGTTTTCATGCTGTCTACTTTATCAGTTAACACCCTTAGTATATTAACCATAGTTGTTTTAAATTCCCAGTCTGATAATCCCAACAATTCTACCTATCTGAGTCTGTCTCTGATGCCCATTCTTCCAATGGTATGTTTTGCTTTTTAGTATGCCTTGTAATTTTGTCTTGATAACCAGACACGTCATACTGGGTGACAGGAACTGCTGCAAGTAAGAATTTAGTAGTGAGTGGTAAGGTGTGTGGAGAGAGAGATACCTTTTATAGTCTTATGATTGGTTCTTAGACTTTTAGTACTCTTCTGGACTGTGAACTTCACAAGTGCTTCTAAGTTTCTCCTCAACCTGTCTTGGCTAGAAGGCTGGAATTGGTTATTTCCCTTCTATGTTAAAGCTTCCTATGTGTAAGGTCTGAGGAGGCCAGAGTGGGTTATTTCCTTCCCTTCAAGTCAGTTAAGCTCCGATAAATCCAAACAGATTAGGCTCTGGTTAAATAGTTCCTCCTGAGGGCATACCTTGTTAAGAAAAATAAAATGATCTGTTGTATTTCAAAATGGTTTGTCTTTTCCTCCCCTTGCTAGAAGCACAAGGAGATTTTTCTCTGATATTCACTTTGAGGACCACGTCAAGATCCTGAAGGTACAACTCACAAAAGTGTGGGAGCCCTTCTATAACTGGGTAACCTTGGATTTTAAAATTTTGGCGTTGTCCCTTGAACCCGGGAGGCAAAGTTTACAATGAGCTTAGATTGCACCACTGCACTCCAGTCTGGGCGACAGAGTATGACTCCATCTCAACAACAACAACAACAACAAAAATTCAGTGTTGTCCACAGTGAGCCTCCAGGAATTCATCAATTAAAGTTCAGGTTTTCTGACCTTGTCCCTGATTCTTCTGAAAGTTCCTGCTTGTAGTTTTCTGATCTGTTAGTTATGATTCTCCATATTTGCCTGCCTAGCTCTCCAATTTTGCGGGCAGTGGTTTTTCCTGTGAAATCACTTTTCTTATGAATATGAGAAGAGTTGATTTCTTCAGTTTGTTCAGTTTTATACTTGTTAGGATGGAGTGGTGGCTTCCAAACTTCTTACATGCCATACAGGAAACCAAACCTTGTTTTTAATTCCCTCTAGTGCTTGCTAATGATTTTACTTGGCATAGGTACTTCAAGAACTACCAACTGTTCTAACTGCAGAGATGTTTGTTGTTTTTATTTTTAAATGTGCAAGAAATTTCTCTCTTCAAAACAGCATGTGCACGCCAATGTCATACCATGAAAAATGTTATATTTATGAAAGTCCACTATAGAAACAATGTTGTACAGTCCTCTGAAAATTCGGAAGCTGATATTACAATCTCACTATCTAAGCAAATATCATAAAAATAGCACCATGTGAGATCACCAGGTCATTACTCTCAAAAAATGATAAATCAGAACACAATTTTAATAGTTTCCTTGCATAAAGAAAAATAGTCATATTGTGCCAGAAATAATTTTTTATTTGACTAGAAATACCTGTGGTTGTGTATATATGTACATGTATATAAGTATATGTATTTGTATATATGTGTGCATATCTATGCCCACATACCCACGTGCTACATTTTGCATCTGTGGATTTTACTGTATGCCAATAATAACTCAATAAATATGTTTTTAAATCATTATAGGAAATTACTAAAGAACTAAGTGAAATTTAAAATAATGGCAAATAATTTTTCTTTAAAAATACAGCATATGTAAACTTAGGAAGACCAATGTCAGGTAGACATATTCAGAAAAGAAGTTTTAAAGACAGAGGAGCTTTGAACAAGACCTTAAAGCAAATGAAAGATAGGATTTTATCTATGTGTGGTTGGGGAGTACACAATTTACAAAGGATAATGGAAATGCTTAGTTACATTTATATATTACCTAAAAAGGAGAAGCAAACCCATGTGTTTACTAGGTGCACATTATTATCAGTTGATGGCAGAAAAAAATAACAGTAACCTTGTAATTTCTGAAGGACCTTGATCAACTCACTCTACATAATGCAATGATTAAAAGCAAGGTGTCTGAAGTCTAGTGACTTGGTTTTAATTCATTGTCCCCAATTCCTTAGCTCTGTTATTTCAGAGAATATATTTAATATCTCAAAGCCTCAGTTTCTTATTTATAAAGTAGGAAAGACAGAAACATGCACTTTTGAAATCTGTGGTAAAGATTCAGTGACATAAAATATAGAAGCTCCTTAGCACTGTGTTTGCTGCAGAATAAGTCCTCACATTTTTAATGTAAATTAGACACTATTATGAGAAAAATGTTTTCTGGGATAGTCTGTGTGGTACTAAGATGAAGCTGTATTTTTTAACATATTACTTCATAATACTTTGCCATGCTAACAAATGACGAATTTAGCACTGGGAGAGAAAAGGTAAATAATTTCCTCATTAAGTAAAGTTCACATCAATGAAGAAAAAAATTTTTAAATAGAAACTCTGATAATGTTTCTGTGATATCTCAAATCTGTGTATGTGCTCAGTGGTGTGAAAGATTATTACTTGATTAATGATATCTAGGCCATGTTCATCAAAGTCCCTCTATTCATTAGCCCAGTCTTACAGTAATAAAAATAATTTCAACCTGTTATGAAAACTAAGAGTGATATGGTTTGACTCTGTGTCCCCACTCAAATCTCATGTTGAATTATGATCTTCACTTTTGGAGGAGAGGCCTCGTGGGATGTGACTGGATCATGGGGGCAGATTTCCCCCTTGCTGTTCTCGTGACAGTGAGTTTTCATGAGACTTAGTTGTTTAAAAGTGTGTAACACTTCCTTCCCTCTGTCTCCCCTGTCGCCATGTGAAAACTGGCTTGCTTCCCACTCACCTTTCTGCCATGATTGTAAGTTTCCTGAGGCCTTTCCAGACATGCCGCCTATATAGCCTGTGGAACTGTGAGTCAATTAAAATGCTTCTCTTCATAAATTATCCAGTGTCAGATAGTTCTTTATAGCAGTGTGAGAATGAACTAAAACAGAGGGTGATCAAGAAAATCTGAATATTAGGTGCACTAGGTTTTACTAAAAGGGCATATAGAAAATAATTTGACATTGACCTTTATATGTGGAAAACCAAAAGAGCCACATTATTAGCACAAAATTCAGAGACAGGGCTATTAGATTTAAACAATATTTTCCTTAAGAAATAATAGCACCAAAAGGAGGTTAAATCAAAGCAGAAACTGGTTATTTTTAGAAAGGACAACAAATAGTACAAATAAAGCCCATGGCAGACTGATGCTTCCTATACAGTAATGCTATTTAGATGTACAGGGTATCAACATCTTTGACATTAAGTAAGAAAGATAATCATTGCTTTAACTAAATAAATCTTCAGTGAAATCTAGGGCAATTTAGAGCTATTTCTTGTCACAAATTATTTAGAGGCATAGTTTGTCCAAATGGAACTTGCGTTTCTTCCAACTATTTTCATGTTGCTTCTCAAAAAAAGATTGTTGAATGGATTTACTCATTAACAGAAGTCTCAATAGGCCAACTCCAGAAAATAACAAATAGAGAGAGAAAAAATGGAAGAGTAAATTGAGTTTGAATTTTTAATGCTATGCATATCAAACTTAGGAGTAGTTAACCATATGCCAAAAAATCTGGTTTCTTGATAACATTAATAAAGTCACACTCAAATAACATTATCTCATCGAAATTATCACTTAAGCCTTTTTTCTTTGCATCATTATATTTCAGTGCCCACTAGGGACAACCTGAATGCCCTCATTACCAGCCACATAGCACATTTTATAGTGATGGTGAACAGGATATATAACCAGTAGAAGACAATGTACTGCATAACAGCATCTCTCTCCCTGCTTTATTAATAGATTGGACACTAGGCTATTTCTGATGTACTAGCAGGACCTCAGAAAAATCTAGGTTACTACACAAACTTAGAGACTCATAAAAATCCAGAGCTGCTTTTTATAGGCTTATTTATCCAAGTTCTTTCTCATAATCTATTTATGAAGCTCAACAGAAACGTTGATAAAAAATATAATGGTTGGGTTAGCTCTTTGACAGTATGAAAGTTAGGATGTGTGTGTGTATGTGTGTGTGTGCATGTGTGTCTGTGTAAAAATGCTCTGTCCTATACATTTCCCTAAATACTTTCACAAGTTTCACTACTCTACCCACACTACAGATTTTATGATATAAGTACTGCTCCTCCAGCCTGAGGCAGAGATTCTACCACTAGCACCCCTACTAAATCACTCCATAAATATGTCATCCCTGAGAAGGCCTAAGACCCTCACCAATAAATTCCAGGTTATTTGGAAGGCACCACAGGCTCCACATTATTTCTTGAGGATACACATCTTTTAAATAGTATGAGCAATGAATACCTTATCTGAGTAAATGAGTGCCATTTGTGTCCATTGACATTAGATATTTAGGGGCAGGTATAGGTAAAGTAGAGTTCATCTTTGATATGAGAGCAACAAATGGCACATACATCTGTAGTAGACCACTATTCCATAGTCTTCCAATAAATCCTCATATTGGTTTTCTTTCTTAGCTTGCTATTTTCTTCCTGTGAGTTACTTTTATTTCAGTAGACAAAATTTATGAACTCTATCTCTGTGCTTCTTCTTGCTCTGTTGGTTAAGTGGCCTAGGTCACCGGATATCTAAATTCACCAAACTCAACTTATGACTATCTTATTTGCTTACTAGCAACTCTGACACATCAGTTTCATCCAATTTACTTAGCATCTATCTTCTACAAATGTTGCTCAGTGTATTAGTCTGTTCTCAAGCTGCTATGAAGAAATACCAGAGACTGGGTAATTTATAAAGAAGAAGGGTTTAATTGACTCACAGTTCTGCACTGCTGGGGAGACCTCAGGAAACTTACAGTCATGGCAGAAGGAGGAGAAGCAGGAACCTTCTTCACAGGGTGACAGGATGAAGTAAGTGCCAGAAGGGGAAATGCCAGATGTTCATAAAACCATCAGATCTTGTGACAACTCACTCACTATCACAAGAACACATGGGGGAAACTGCCCTCAAGATTCAATTACCTCCCACTGGGTCCCACCCATAACACATAAAGATTATGGGGATTACAATTCAAGATGAGATGAGGGTGGGGATACAGCCAAACCATATCACTCAGTTTATCCATATTGTATCAGAAAGGTAGCAGATTATAATTCATGGGGGAAATATATGTGTAAAAGACTGTTCTCCTTCTAGCCCACTCAGGGATATTTGGAGTCTAAAAAGACTATGCTTCTGATCACAAATTTATTTATTTTCAACAAATGCCATGAAGCATACACTGGAGAAATTTAAAAATTTATGTTTATTCTTTCTCTGTGCAAGGATGCCTTGGAGGAACCAACACTGTGCTTACTCTAGGTCTTAATTTTAAACAAAGTCAGAGTTTCATTAAGAGAGTCACTAAGTTTCATTAAGAGTGTCACTAATGCTGTTTACAAAGAGGTACAAAACAGGTATCACAGGCTATCAGTTTTCCACCTCTCTATCCTTGGCTATGCCTGAGGTAATTTGCAAAGATATCTTATACATGCTGACAACTTCCTGCATCTCCACTCTAGGGATTTCTCTGGCCATGGGAGTCTGCTGGGCACAAGGCAAGTGCCAGTGCAATCAAGCCATTGCCCCTAGAGCCTCTAGGAATTGTAGATGAATTCTTCAATTCCCTGCTACTCACTGGAAAAATTCTGTGGCATGTTTTGTACAATGTTTCAGTGGATTCTGATGATATTAAGCCTAGTTACCCATGGTGAGAACTTATTTATTAATATTCTTTATTGTCTTTACTTCTTTTCTTTTCTCAATTCTCAACTGTCTCAGAGTGCTTCCAGTGCTCAATTCACAAATAAATGTATTGTATCCAAATTCCTGTCATGGTATCTATTTACATCAGAACCCAAATTAAAGCAAAACGAATAGATTTGTTTCCAGATTTGATCATATGTCCAGTACACATAGCACATTTGTTGCCTATTTACTTTATTATTTTGATCTCTGCTTCAGGACGTGATTAGAAAAGTAGTCCAAATGTTTTTATTGTTAAGTTACCATGGATATTATATCCATCATTTATATACATTTTGTTCAAAGACATTTGGTATTTCTTCTTAGCAGCTTAAAAATTAAATTAGGATGGTGTCACATTTTATAAATCCTTGAATTTTAATTAGACACAAAGGATATGATTGTCAAGTAATCCCTACACAAATCAGATATCTGTTGTTAGGGGTTCAATTGTGTGACCCCAGAAAATATATCCAAGTCATAACCTCTAGTTCTTTAGAATGTGAACTTATTTGGAAACAGGGTCATTGCTCATGTAATTTGTTAATATGAGGTCATACGGAAGTGTGGTGGACTGGTGTTTTCACGACAAAGTGGCCATATGAAGATAGACACTCACACAGGGAGAAGCCATATGACAAAGAAGGAAGAGACTGGCGTTATGCAGCTGCAAGCCAAGGAACACCCAAAATTGTCCACAAACCACTAGAAACTATGAAGAGGAAAGGAAAGAGTCTCATATGGTATTGCCTATGCCTTTATTTCAGACTTCTAGCCTCCAGAACTGTGAGAAAATAAATTTCTTTTGTTCTAAGTCACCCAATTTGTAGTACTTTGTTATGGCAGACCCATAACTAATCCACTTGGTATCAAGCTTTGTTAAAAATACATGGATACAAGTATTCAGAAGGAACAGGCAAACAGGGATAAATCCAGATCAGGAGTTGCAGCACCTCAGATCCTTCCTTCTTACATGAAACACACTTTGACCACATTAATATAAAAGTATCTAAAAAATGTCAGTAGCTACATTAATAACAGAGAAGGCAGCCACTCAGTCATCCCCATTTTATACTTAAATACTTAAGTAGTTGATAGTATATTTACCAGGGACCCATGCCATACAAATTTGTAAATCCCACGTGTCTTTACTACAATCATCTAGACAAATTAAGGTAAATCCTGCTAAAGCATTTCATAGATAAGAATTCTCCTACTGGCAACACTATTAAATACTTGACTTGGAGTTCTGTCATTAGCATGTTTTCAAGATTTGATAGGCTCTTTTTCCCAGGAAAGGGAGGGAATAGATTAAAGACCTAATGCTTAACCATTTTCTTCTTACCTAATAAAAGTATATTTATGACATCTCAAATGTATTGCCTAACTCTCCACAGATTTTAGGGATAAATCTTAATTGATTGAAGATAATTATGAGTTAGGTAATATCTGTTGTATTCACACTTTTTGTTATTGTATTATTTTAAATGTTTTGTTTTTAGTCTTAGAAACACATATGTTAGAGTTTTGCTGCTTCCTGGTTATGTTACCATGAGTGGGTCACTTAATCTTTCTCAAATCAAGTTACTCTTTTTTTTTTTTTTCTTGAGATGAAGTCTCGCTCTGTTGCCCAGGCTGGAGTACAGTGGCGTGATCTGCGCTCACCACAATCTCTGCCTCCCAGGTTCAAGCGATTCTCCTGCCTCAGCCTCCCAAGTAGCTAGGACTACAGGTGCGTGCCACCATTCCTGGCTAATTTTTGTATTTTTAGTAGAGACGGGGTTTCAATATGTTGGCCAGGCTGGTCTCGAACTCCTGACCTCGTGATCTGCCTGCCTTGGCCTCCCAAAGTGCTGGGATTACAGGCATGAGCCACCACGCCTGGCCTCAAGTTACTCTTTTATAAAACTTAAATGAGAATACCTAGTTCAAAATTAAATTTTAATTATTGAGTGCTATGAATCTTATTGTATATGCTCCATATGTTAGTTTCTTTTTTCTCACCTTGGTCTCATCTTTTTGATAATTTCTAGTGTGTCCATTCTACTTTTTAATTTTTTTTATCTTCATGCTGTTGTCTCAAGGTATAATTGTCAGGTTATACACAGTATTCTCAGAGTAGATGCTTCAAATTTTGGTAAAAGCATGTTGTTTCATTTTCAAGAATTAAGTTTCATAGTGCTTTAGATTTCAACAGGTGATTTTCAATGTATTGTTTTTATATTAGGTTAAAAAAGTGAGAAATGCTTTGGCAAATCTAGGTTTAAAATGATGTTTAATTCATGTTTAACTGTATATTACAAAGATGCAAAACAATATATCTCTTCCTTAATCTTAAGGAATGACTAATGCCTGTATGGTAGACATTTAATCCTGGGAAGAAAAAAGAAGGGCTTTCATTGTTAATATAAAACTACAATATATAGATATGTTGAAAAGTATCATGTACACTTAAAGTCTACAGTTTATAGTTCTATGTCAGAAGAGGGACATCAGTTCTTAACAAATGTTAACTCTTAGGAAAGAGTCTAAAATGTGAATAATACATCTATGTCATATGATTAATATAACTTTTAAACTTTACGTTACTGTCTATATATCATAGCATATGTATAAATATAATTTGTTTATATAATAACTATGTGATTCACAGAATTTTCACAAGCATATTATACCTGGACAGATCCCCCAGAAACCTTCCTTGGTCCCTTAGACCCCAGAAGCCTCTCTTTTACCATTATGCATCTCCACCCCTAAAAGTCCCCTTGAAGGCATGGAGGTCATCACTCTCCTGGCATCTAACAATGAAGATTAATATGTCTTCTTTGTACCTTACAAATAAAGAATTGTTTATCATTAGTCTTAGTACTTGGCTTTTTAAATCAAGGTTATATTTGTGAGGTCCCATCCATATTTTGGCAAATAGTCAATATTCTCAAGGTTCGAAATGCTTTTCAACAATCTTTTTATACCTGATTTTTCTTATCATTCAAGTTTCTCATTTTAAAAAATGCCATTTCCTCAAAGGAAATTTTTTTATGTTCCTTCTCCTTTTATTTAACTACTTTGATGTATCAGGTATACATATCAGGTATACTTACTTTCTATAAACAATTTGTTGGGGGTAAAATTGACATAAAATACACTTCATAGGTTTTAAGGTATAAGTTTTAACATAAATATATACCAAAATGACTCCATCCTTTTTGAGAGGCGCTAGGGACAGAAAGGGAACATGAGGGGAATTTCCACGATATGGGTAATCTTCTATCTCTTCACCTGGGCTCTGATCACACAGTTCAGTTGAACAATTTTGTTGAGCTGTACACTGATGATTTGTGCAAATTATCTAACGTATGTTATATTCAATAATTTAAAAATCCTCCATTCTGATGAGCATCAAATCCCCTCTGATTTTCTGTACTTGAAATTTAATGTCTCCATTGTGCAGTTCTTTTTCTCTACAAAAAACATTTTCTCAAATACATAAATAAAGACACAGATCTCTCAGGCATTATAACAGTCTATTGGCAATATATGTTCAACTAACTCAAGGTCCAGATTTTAATATTTGCATAACCATATTTGAGAGTATCAAGACATTTGAAAGATTTAAGCCTGACATAATCTGTAGATGCAATGTAAATAAAATTCATATAAAATTATCTAAATCTTAAAGAGTTTTTCTTTAAAGGACATACTAATTAGATCTCTAAAAAGAACTAAAATACTGCTTATATTTTTCTCATAAAATTCCTTATGTCTTGCGAAAATTAGCTTATGTTTCAGAATCCACTGAGTTCATAAACACTCCCTGAATGTTTTCACACTATGTAATTGTGTTGTGTGAGGAAAAAGTTTCTTTTTACCCTTAATTGTCTTCTAATGTATATTTCCCATATGGCAAGCTGCTGAGTGTAACAAAACAGTGATGCTAATGCTCTTTATGCTCTTCTATTTTATAGAAATTTCTTTGAAAGTAAAACAATAATCTAAAAAATTTTTAAAGTAATGGGGATGTCTACTACCATTTCTTCAGTAAGACTACCAAAATAACTCATTGATTAAATAAAGACAGGTTTATTGCTTACTGCAGTAAATTAGTGAACTACATTGACAGAGTCTTAGTGGTTTCTTGAAACAGGAAGATCAAGAATAAGATATTCACAAGATCTTGAGGGTTTGATCTCAGGTGATCCATTCAGTAAGAAGGCCTGTGTGAAACTGGGTCAAATTTGCCACTGGAGGATTCACTGAAGTGGGGTTTTTGCAATGAGATTTGGCAAGCCTGGTTGAGTAGTCTATGGTTGTGAGAAGTGGTAATTCTCCAGGAGAGATAGTTGAATATTCTATTCTTTGGATAACTGGGTTTTCATGAAGTTCCTGAAACAAAGTTATTTGTAACTTTATCTTCCTTGGTAAGCATTTTCTTGTAGAATAAGATGTTAGCACAGAATGTTGAACAGTAGAGTTATGTTAAAGCAGACATTAAGATTTCTGTTAGCAATAATTTTAAAGAACTTTACTATGAGAAATAACCTGATCAGTTATTATAAACACTTAAACTTATTATTAGTGATACATGAGTCTTTTCTGGAAATGCCATGTTTGCAATACTGAGGACTATATAAAATAGTAAGTTAGACAGTAATGTGAAAAAAATTAAATAACATAATAGTTAAAAGTATAAAAGCAGTACAAAGTGAATGTAATTTTAAAAACCACGAAATGGTTTCACAAAAATGTTTCTTGTAATGATTTTTACAATTTTTTCCAACATTTCAAAAATTTTGTAATATTTATTAATGTTTAAATCTAGATCAAGTCTACAGAAAGTCATTTCCCAAACCTACTTCTGATTACATATTATTCATGTTTATCACTTGTTGACACACAGTTTTTTCTCATTTATTTTCCCTAAAATAACAGCATTGCTATTTTACAAGTGATGGAAATATTAAAATTACCATAAACTCAGTGGCATGTATGAAACCTTCTATGTCCATCCAAGGTCATACCACCCTGAGGGTACCCAATCTCATCTGAAAATCTTTTATTCCAGCATCAGAGTCAATGATGTTAAATTTGTTAAAATATCAGTATAAAGGTATTTGCAATACTCAATAATTCAATAATCAACATTTTAGGTAAAATTTAAGATGATCAGTCAGGGAATATGAGACAAGTACTTTCAAATACAAGTTGGTAGTTATAATTTAAGTAGCGCAAAATATATTTTATTAGAATAAAATAAAAATTTAAAGGGGGTGATATTTTATTTGGGTATGAATGATTATCTTTTTTTGAGTAGAATATTTAGATCATAATCCCAAATGCCATAATCTCGAATATGGAAATCCGAAAAGGTCAATATCCCTAAAGTCTAAAATCTCTAAAATCTAAAATCCATAATGTCTAAAATCCTAAATCACAGTTCTGAAAGATTACAATCCTGAATGCTGAAATCCTGAAGGCCAAATTCTGGGGAAGACATTAGTGCACTGTCAGTTATACACAGGATAGTTGCATCATGTTAGGTGGATTTACTACCTTCTTAATGTCTTCATTTGGAAATGAAGTATGGCTTAAACAGATGTGTATGGCTACAAAGTTGACAAGAGGTAGATTTGTGGACTTAATATTAGGTGTCAATGTGACTGGATTAAGAAATACCTAGAAACTTGGTAAAGCATTATTTTGGGTGTGTCTCTGAGGATGTTTCCAGAGGAGATTAGTGTGTGAATATGAGTGGACTATGCGTTAAAGATCTGCCCTAAATGTTGGGGGATAGCATGGAATAGGCCAAGAACCCAGTGAGAACAAATACGGAAGGCAAACTGGTCTCTTTCTGAGAGCTGGGACCAAGTTCTGTTGCCTGGGACATCAGAACTCCATGCTCATCAGCCTTTGGAATCCAGAATTTACACCAATAATTTTTTTTTTATTTTTTTCCTCAGAATTACAATTTGGGGATATTGATCTTTTGGGATTGTGATTTTCAGAATTTTAAATCTCAGGAATTTTGATCTTTTGGTATTTCAACATTTATTATATGATTATGTCTTTCAGAATTATGGCCCAGTATCCTTTAAAAAAATCTTATCTCTTGTGGCCAGATCTAGATTTCTGAAAAGTGAACCTAAATTGTAATCCTGCAGGTGGCTGAATTGCAACACAAATGAATTCCCAATTTCACAAGGCCTCTTTTAATCAAAATTAGCATATTGATTGGGAAGGAATGAAATCCTAAGAGTTGGATTGGGCATAAGGCTGATTCTAATGAAGGTGTGTCATTTAATCCCTAAAGTCTTTCTTTGCCATTGGAAGCGGCTCTTTAGCCCTGCTTGAGCAGTTTAGTCTCCTTTTCAATAAAGACCTTAGTGGCCTCGCCTGAGGTAGCTACCTTACAAAGGACCGCTGATCCACCTCAGGACCTACCTCTGTCACCTCCCCTTCTTTCTTGGACCTATAACTAGAATCCAGACCTAGCGGATTTCAGGGGGTGAGATACAAAGTTCAATTCATGAGGAGGTGCTGTATATATATATATATATATATATATATATATATATATATATATATCAAAATGACTGTATGATTTTGCCAATTTACACATAGAAACTTTGGAAATATGGGTGACAGTGGATCACTTAATCACCAAAGACAAAATGGACAGGGTTACTGTTATGGACAATAGAGCTTAAGGAGGAGTCAGGATGGTCTATCTCACAGTCATCTTCAGGACTGGCTAGTTAATCATGGCGTCTCTAGAGATGAAATAGTTGGATAGCTTAATAAAGTTTTCCCTGATCTGTATAATTGAAAAAGCTGTAGGTTTCATGAACAGAAATTTGACTTGAATCACAGAGAGTAAAAGTACATCAATCAATTTTCAGACTTGAATCAGTTCACTGACCCAGAGCTTTGCAAATGAAGGAGTGGCCAGGTTCTACTACACTGCAAAAATGTACACTATTAATCTTCCATCTAGCCTCCCCAAAGGGACCTACAACCATTTACTATTAAGATGCCAGCTATTAAAATATGCTATTGGTGACTATATTATTTCTTAAAGCTGATCTTAAGTTGCTTCACAAATTATGTATATTACTAATTTTACCAACCTAATTTGATATGCATAAAGATGATATCATTATAATTATTTATATTTCTTCATTATATATACTGTACTATTGAGAATGGCAGTAGAAAAGTATCCGACTTATTAAGTAACTGAGAATTTACTTTTATATATGTTCACTATGCAATAATTATGAGGTAGAAGATTGATAATATTTTATGATTTGGTACGTAATTTGTGGTATAAACACAGAAGCAGAAAATGAATTGGATTTGTTTTATGGAATAATTATACAAAAATACAACATATTTATACATATGCAATATATATGTTTGTATATAATGCATACTATGAAGTGTAACTTACAAACAAAATGTGCATTTCCTAAAATTTTCTAATCTCATCAATTGTGTCTTTCTTTTCTCTGGTGTTTGCATAAGAATGTACTGGGAGTGAGAGAGATGGAGACTTGTAAGTAAGAATCAGTGTCTCTTGTTTTTAGTTCTCCTTTTTCTGTTTGTTTTATTTTTTAAGTTAATTCCTACCTGCTATTCGAAAGCAGGTCAGATACCTGAATTATTGCTTTGTTACATGATTATCTGTAAAGTCCTAGTTTTTCTTCATAATATTCACATTAAATCTAATGGTAAGGAATGAGGTGGGTTTTCTCAATAGGTAAAAAAATCTCCAATAGTGAATTTACCTAAGACATAGCGAATTATTTTATTATTGCAATAATCATTTTTGTCAATTGTGAATAAATAATGTCTTTCCATTTTCCTATCATTTTCACTGCCCTGACAGAAATAGGCTAAAATCAAAAATAGAGAAAATTACATATAGAAGTATTAAGTAAATATTAGTATACACACTTCATTATATTTTGATAAACTATTTTAAAACAGCATTAAATCATTGAAGTATTAGCTTTTCAAAAATAAGAAGATAAAATATTGGAGTAGGGGACTGCAATGGTGCATACATAATCCAACTTACATATTCAAAATGACAATGAGCTGACTAGTTATTTTTTTGTAGAAAAAAAATGACAATGAGCCAAACAGAACTGCTGTGAACAGATTGACCTGCTGAAATTTCACTTTTCCATTATTTGAAGCCTTAGTATTTTAGTATTTTTTAGATATATATAATGTCTCTCATTGTCTATACTTGGGAAAGAAATCCATTTTCTAACTATTAATTGAATAAATACTATATAAAAATAGTTAAGTAGTCACATACATCTTCCAAAGAAACACTATATTTTCCCTAAAATCTACAAAGGAAACTAAATTGTATTAGATGTTCACACTCAGTTGCAAAGTATTTATTTTTATAGATATAAAGGTAGTTATACTTTTCTCAATATTGACCTCTGAAATATTTTGTCTATAGCTGGTAATCTCAGTTGGTTATCAAGTATTGTACTAATTGTATTAACACAACAGATACATTTTCACTTTCTGAGCATGGTGAAAATACCATTAATATTAACCAACTAACCATCAAAAACAACTAATAATGTGTCAAAAACTAACAACCTTGAGGTGGGTATTGGAGATATTGGTATGACCACAATGTGAGCACAAACTAAAGATATATCTATGTAATATAAAAAGTGATGAAAATATGCAGCCCTTCTAGAACATCTTGAAATATCTAGAAAACTTCTCTCTGTACCTTGCCAATGGCACTGGATTAAAGGAAGGTATCAGTGGTGTATTAGTCCATTTTCACGCTGCTGATAAAGACATACCCAAGGCTGGGCAATTTACAGAAGAAAGAGTTTTATTGTACTTACGGCTCCACATGGCTGAAGAGACTTCACAATCATGGCAGATGGCAAGGAGCAGCAAGTCACATCTTACATGGATGGCAGCCGGCAAAGAGAGAGCTTGTGCAGGAAAACTCCCCCTTATAATAACCATCACATCTTGTGAGACTTACTGTCTTGAGAACAGCACAGGAAAGAACTTCCCCTATGATTCAATTACCTCCCACAGGGTCCCTCCTACAACATGTGAGAATTCAAGATGAGATGTGGGTGGGGACACAGCCAAACCACATCAAAGGGCTGAACCTTCTCTTCTACAGAAAGAGCAGGTTCATTGATAAGTGATAAGGATGAACCTAAAAAAGTACTCACAGTTTGGAGTAACAAGGTCCGACACTGTCACCAATTTCTTTGTGGTGAATTCACAGCATAATAAAGCAGTAAATTATTAATAGCCACTTGTGGGTAACAAGCATAAAAACTTTTCAGAGGTTGAAAATTGTTTTTGAGGAACAGGACACTGGCCTAGCAAAGAAGGTAGAAATTTATGGAACTTGTAACTATCCTGAATGTTGCAAGAAAAAAATAAGATTAGTTTACTTTAAAGTGGCTCAGAAAAAGCTCATTTCTCCTCTGTAGGTATTGCACATTCAATTGGCACTGTACCCCTCAGGTTATTCAGTGGCTGAGCTGGTAATGTTAATAACATTACCTACCTCCCATTTATTATCTGATGAGTCCAATAGAGATGTAATTGATAATTAGGGTCACTTGAAACCACAATAGTCAAAACTTAATTTATTTTGTTAAGTAAAGGTTTTTTAATTTTAAATAATTTTGTGTGTGAGACATTAAAAGTCTTTATAAAATGCCCTGTAGCTTTGCCTAGTCCAGCCTCTCTTTCAGTAGACAGTTCTGAATGGATATGATGCACTCACCTCTTTCAGCTCTTTGTGTGGTCTGAGTTATAAAATTCCTGTGAACATATGTCTGAAAATTAATACGGATGCAGATGCACACACCCATCCTTTTACATAATATGCACTAACATTCAGGCACTTGTACTCATCCTAAAATATTTTTATGCCTGTTACTTTACAATCTAGGACTACAACAATGAGTACCTCTGCCTTTTGCATTTGCATCACTAAAAAGCCACTGTGATGGTTGTCTTGGTTGAAAGGCACAGCTCGGATAAATTCTGGTAGTCAGCTCAAATCCTGCAAATTGCTAAATGACATAAAGTTTTGAAATTATTGTTTTTTTTGGACCTCAAATATAAATTGGTGATTTTCAAACCTGACTATTTTAGGGAGCTAGTGACCATCTGTGTGTGTGTATTTGTATGAGTGTGTTTGCAACTATTTCATGAGCATATATAATTTCCACCCCTCATTTTCTAGGCATGTACACACCAAAATATGTCCACTGTTTGAATAACATTCACAATATGAGGTGAAATCGGAACATCTCCCCACAAATATCACTTTTGTTGTCTTATGCCAGGAGTATATTTAGGAAGAGAATGTGGATTTTTGCCACTCAGAGCAAGATGTGTGTAGTTGGATTGAACAATATTGATCTCAAATGTGATTATAGCGTTCTTGTATAATGCAATTTCTCTTGATTCAAAATGCTAATTCTAAAAACATCTGTCTTCCTCTTAAAAGTTATCACAATATTATACTATTAAAGTAAATAATACAAAGTCTAATTAACTTTTCATTATGGTCTACAAAATATGTTTTCCAACTTTGAAACCTCTTATTAAATAAAGTTATACCTTCAAACCTTAAATACCTCAATGATTCATTGTAGAAAGAAAACTGAAACAGAGAGAACTAGAATAGCTGGAACAGAACAAATATTTTAAAATGTAATTTAACCAAGACTACTTTAGCTTTCACCTCAGCTTACTTTAGACAGCGCAGACTGCCTCTAGGCTCCTGAACCAGAACATTTACTTAGAGCATTTACTTTAGAAACCTTGTAATTGCACATTCTTTCTTTGCCTCTTTGAGATGTAAATGCTTTAGAAAGACTTTGTAACAGTTTTACAACCCAGGAATATATTTCTCTAAGACCTGGGAGTCATCCCTTTGGAATGTAATCATCATCGAGGATGGTACCCCTATCTCCCAGTTTCTCAGGGAAGGTAAAAGGCTAACTCCTGCCTGACACTTGCTGCAAGTTATAACATTACCTCCTGTCATGAAGATATGAGAAAGTTTACTTTTTCTTTGGGAAAAGCCAATTAGCAAACACAGATGACCTTCAATCACCAGATGCTAGCTCTTCAGAACTCTCCAATCCTTTTGTTTTAGTTGAATTGTGTTCCGATTGAGTTCTGACCTCTCTCCCCTATTGCAACTACCTTGAACAAAGTCTTCCTTATCTGTTTGCTTTTGACTGCTACAATGTTTGCTTTGATAAATTCAAGAACATTTTCCTGAAATCTCATAAATTATCTATGGAATATAAGAGTAAGTACTCCAGGGAAAGTTGACCCAGGTGGTCAATAAAATGACATATATTAATATAATTTTGCATTCTAAGGACAGAGAAATAATACTTTGATCAGAACACCTAAGATTGAGTGACTTCATCAGAGAAACAAAAACATGTTTTCATTGGACTTATTTACTCCACTGTTGAATATTTCAATATTGGCCCAATTCTTCACCTTTTCTGGTATCCATAAACCATGTCATGCGGCTTTGTAGTGTCAGTTGAAGAAAATGATGAGACAAGTCTCAATCATTTCAGAAAATTTATTTGCCAAAGTTAAGGCAAATTAACTTTTGCCCAGGAGGCAGATCTATGCCTTTCTTCAAATATGATTTTGAAAGCTCCAAATTTAAAGTGGAAAGAGAAGGGATATTGAGAAGCACACAGTTTTCACATAAACAAAAGGGGGCAGAGGAAAAATGTGGGGAATCTGCGTTTTATATTAGATACAGAGACAAGATGGGGTAGGGGAACAATGAGATATGCATTTGTGTCTGGCAGGCCATGTCTGATGTTATCTTCTAGATAAACCACTTAATCATTGTATTAGTCAGTTTGAATGCCATAACAGAATATTATAGACTGAGTAGCTTAAACTGCAAAACTTTATTTTCTTAGAGTTCTAGAGTCTGGAAGTCCAAGGTTAAGGTGCCAGCAGGGTTGGTTTTTGTGAGATCTCTCTCCTTGTAGATGGCCAGCTCCTTGCTGTATCCTCACATGGCCTTTCCTCTGTGTGTGCACTGAAAGATCTCTTGTGTCTCTTTCTCTTCTTATAAAGACACTGGTCCTATCAAATTAGGGCCCCACCTATATGATCTCATTTAACCTTAATTACCATGTTAAAGGACCTATCTCCAAGTAAAATCACATTGAGGGTTAGGACTTTAACATATAAATTTTGGGAAACATAATTTAGTCCATATTAACATATATACTCTGTAAACCTTATCTGCAAATTGAAGATGGTTTAGCCTTTTTCAAAATGTCTTGAAGATCAAATGAAAGTAGGTGTTTAATAGGGTGTTATTATTTATGAAAGATATTTCATGTAAGTGCACTGAGATAAGGGTAGAAGAGAATTATTTTACTGGTGAGATGAGAAATCTTCACATGAAGGAAATGAGGACGGAATTTGTAGTAACTGAGCAAGAAAGATGTGAATATATAACTCAGATTATAGACCAAGACCATGCTTCTGCCCTTCCTGCATTCAGAATCTCTCTCTCTCTCTCTCTCTCTCTCTCTCTTTATATCTCTCTCAGGAATTAGTACAATATTCAACGTAATAAATATCAAAATGTGTTTGTTACTGAGAGATGGTTAAATGTGGCTTAGGAGTGTTAACCAAGAGGGCTTAATAATATGAGCCCCACACATTGGAAAGACTTATATACCCAGTTACAGTCAAGTTCAGACAAAGAAAACTCTCCCAACTTCCCCAAGAAAGATTTAAAGTAGCCTAGAAAATGTCCCTGCTGGAAATAGATACCTTTCCCCCAAATAATGGGAGAAACTCAGTTCAGGCTAAGTTCTCTGACTATTTATCAATCAGAACAGTTGCTTTTTATCTCCTAAAAGTGATTCCATGAATAGAGCCCTCTTCACATGGAAGGAAAATGCAGAAGTGGAGAATAAGTACATCGTCTATTAAAAGATAAAAATTTTCCTGTCACTTCACATCTGTAAGAGTCAATTCGGCATTACAAAAGGAAATAAAACATACTGATACATATTAGATAGCAGAGTGAAACAGTAAATGAGACTGAAGAAAAAGAATTGGTAGGTCACATGTGTCATAAGCCAAAATCAACACAAAGCACAAGGTCATTATGTCAATCCAGTCATAGATAGAAGAAGAAGATAGGAAGATAGAAATTAAACTAAAGAAAGAGGTAAATTGTACAGATGGAGGATATGTGAACTCTTGGTATGATGGTGAGTTCCTTAATAAAAACGTAAATATAACACAATAAAATAAAATAAAACATAAAATAGCTATGGAAATAGTGATATCATTGTAATCCTAGTTGGTCATTGATTTTAGAATGCAAGAGGAGTTAGAAAATTATTAGAAACCAAATGTAGAATCTGGGAAAGGCATATAGCGGATTAGGAATCCAGACATTAGACACAAATGTCACAAATCCAGCCTCTGTGAGTTTAAAATGAACAAGTCAGATGAGATTAGCCGAAAATCTGCGTGAATTCAGTCAGAAAAGTATGAAGAAAGTCTCCTTTTAATTCTATTTCAGGAGATAGAGTTTGAGCCAGATATTTGTGGAGCTGGGGTTTTGTGTAAGGGTTAAATTGCTATACTTTTAAAGATAGGTTGAATAGAAGAAAACAGGCAGCTCTGATACTCAGTAACACTACATATATATTTGAAAATCAAAGAGCTTCAGGGTTGGAAGTGTCTTTAAAGGGCATATTCAATTCCTGCATTATGCAGGATTGACTCCAGGTTAAAAGAAGATCATTGTGAATTGAAGTCCAGAAGGAAGGCAAGAAATGACTTTTTAAAAATGAAAACCTTTAGCCACATTAAAATAGCTTTTGAGTTATTTTTATATTTTGCCTTAGCCAAAGAGTTTCTGAAGTCAATAAATGTGAAAGACTCAGGTTACCATCTAACTTTTTTTTAACCAGTTGAATATGCTATGATACATTTTCTTTGGATAAAAAGTTAATTTCTTAGATGTACTCCATTTTTCATGAAGTATAATCTTACCATTTACCTAAGTAGTACAACATTCTCATCAATCCGTGCCATTTAAAAAACGAGTTATCTCAACTGCTCTCTGATAAAGGGACTTTAATTAAATTTGTATTTGTATTTATTTTTATTTTTTGAGACAGTCTCCGTCATGCAGTGGCATGATCATGGCTCATTGCAGCCTCGACCTCCTCGGCTCAAGCAATCCTGCCACCTGAGCCTCTTAAGTAACTGGGACTATAGGCATGCCAAACCATGCCTGGCTAATTTTTGTACTTTTTGTAGAGATGGGGTTTTTTCATGTTGCCCAGGCTGTAAATTGGTATTTTCACAAACAGACAAAGGAAAATGAACAATCTTTAAATATAACATAATAAAATAAAATAAAACATTCAGATGAGTCTTGTGCATCTGAAAAATGTGTATATACAATTTAAAATAAGGTTTATTATAAAAACTTATATTCAAAGTTATTTTTCTTGAACTTTTGGTTTATTTAATAATTATCTTTTTTATCTGCTATTTTAGAGAGAAGATTGATGAAGTACAATTCTTGGTTTTTGTAGAATATGCATTTTTACTCTAGAACAGTTTTTTTAAGTTAGAATTTTTAAGAATTATCAACATCACACACCGGGGACTGTTGTGGGGTGGGGGGAGGGGGGAGGGATAGCATTAGGAGATATACCTAATGCAAAATGACGAGTTAATGGGTGCAGCACACCAACATGGCACATGTATACATATGTAACAAACCTGCACGTTGTACACATGTACAGGCTCATGCCTGTAATCCCATAACTTTGGGAGGCTGAGGCAGGAGGATCACTTGAGCCCAGGAGTTCAAGACCAGCCTGGGCAATATGGAGAAATGCCATCTCTACTAAATAGACAAAAACTAGCCAGGCCTGGTGGCACACGCCTGTAATTCCAGCTATTCGGGAGACTGAGGTGGAAGGATGGTTTGAGCCCAGGAGTCAGAGGTTGTAGTGAGCCGAGATCATGCCATTGGATTCCAACCTGGGTGACAGAGATAGACCCTGTCTCAAAAAAATAAATAAATAAATAAAAAGGATCTGAAAAGATAAATAGATAGTAATACAATAATAGTAGGATATGTCAAAAACCTCCTGTCCACAATGGATAGTTCATCCAGTCAGAAAAGTGAACAAGAAAACATTAGATTTGAACTGTCATTTAGAACAAATGGACCTAACAGGCATATTCAAAAACTTCTTTTCACAGCAGCAGAATACACATTCTTTTTAAGCACTCAGAGAAAATCCTCCAGGATAGATCATATGTTAGGCCAGAAAACAAGTCTTAACAAATTTAAGAAGATTAACATCATACCAAGTACCTTTTCCAACAATGGTAAAAAACTAGAAATCAATAATAAGAACAACATAGGAAAATTCACAAATATGTGGAAATTAAACAACATATTTCTAAACAGCCAAGGTCAAAGAAGAAATCAAAAAGGAAATTTAAAAATATATTGAGACCAATGAAAATGGAAACATACCATGCAAAAACTTATGCGATACAGCATAAAGAGTACTAAAAAGGACATTTCTAACAAAAAATGATTACAGAAGAAAAACATTTCAAACACCTTAACTTTATACCTCAAAAACTAGAAAAAGAAAAACAAACACCAAAGTTAGTAAAAGAAAGAAAATAACAGAAATCAGAGCAGACGTGAATTAGAGACTAGAAAAATAGTAGAAAAAAACTGAAGTGTTTTTTGAAGACTTCAATAATGACAAAATTTAAACTAGAATAACTAAGGAAAAGAAGACTCAAATAAGTAAACTCAGAAATGAAAGAGGAGACATAAGAACGAATATTTCAGAAATACAAAGGATCGTAGGAGACTACTATGATCCATTATATGCCAACAAATTGGATATCCTAGAAGAAATAAATAAATTCCTAGAAACTCACAACTTATCAAGCCTGAATAAGGAAGAAATAAATATCTGAATAGGACAATAACAAACAAGAATATTGAATCAATAATCACAAATCTCCCAATAAATAAAAGTTCAGCACCTGATAGCTTTACTAGTAAATTCTATATTTTTATTTTCACATTTTGGAAAAAAAATAGGCAAACATTGCTGTTGTTTTTATAGTTCTGCTAGGAGTTTCTAGTTGGTACTAATAATGTTCCTGTTTTATTGTCCATCAGGGCTATCCCTGAGCATAGCTATGGCATTGTCACACTTCCACATCTCTTCATATCTGAAGTATGCCATCATATTTACACAACTCTCTTCGAGCTAGGCTTCAATTTTTTTTTTTCCTCCAACAGATATTCATAGTGGGAATATTCCATGTGACTAGGGATAAATGTTGAAAAATTGGTAGTCATGTAACAGACTTGCCAATAGCTAATCGAAATGTTTGTATACCTTCTCTTGGCTTGGTCCTTTGTGCTGACATAATCTGCTTGTATATCTTACTTTGTAGCTTGGTGTTAAGAATGCATTAGTTTATAACGAAAAGCTTGAAATGTGGTTACCTGAGGTTCCATAATCACAACTTTGTTGATCAAGTGGAGCCAGAAGCAAGAACTATCCCTCAGATGAGGAGCAGTAAATTGATAAAGAGGGCATTATTTTGCCCCCAAACATAGGAGCTTCCGTTGGGATTATTTGGTGTTTGACACAGGCTGTATACAGTAGTCAGATCAACCACAACTAATTTCAACTTGCTTTCTGGCAATGTGACAGAAATATTTACAGTGCAGCCTGGAAACTAGGTAGCCTTCTCTTGTAACAAGCATCAGATAAAGCTGTTATCCTTTTGCGTTAACAATTGGGAAAGAAAAGCCCTCTCCATGTATGATGCCTACAAAAGCAGGAGAGACTACATAAAGCTGAGACAGGTGATAAAGTAGAATCACTGGATTAGCTAGTTTCAATACAATTTCTCACATTCTCAGATTTCAAAATACAAAAAAAGTGCATTGGCTAGATTGAACACCACTGAAAGACCAACTGAACATTAGCTATAATCATTGATAATATACTGTCATTCTCTAAGACTGATCTAATTTTTCTGCACTGGTAAAACTGGATTTTAAATAAGAAAGCTCTAGGAATCGTTACCCTTGAGGATTTGACATCTTTAACACTGATGGTAATATTTGTGATTTGCCTCTGTCCCTCCCTCAGTCTCACTCCTAGAATATGATAAACTTTTGACTTAAATTTTGGTGAAGAGGAAGCTTCAGATTCTTCTACTTGGCTCTTCACATAATAGTCTCTAAGGGTGATCTTGAGAGTTAGTATATTTACTCTAACTTTCTTAATCCCACCACTCTTTACATACAGCTTTCTTTTTTTCTGCTCTTTTGGGTAACAAAAACATTGGAAAATAATTTATTGATACATAACAAATGTACATATTTTCACAGTATATGTGATAATGTAGCACACATTTATATAATATTTAAAGATCAAATCAGTGTTGTTGGGATTCCATCACTTTAATATTTTTCTTTTTTTTAAAGGCTAGGAACATTCTAATTATTATCTTCTAGCTATTTTGAAATATACAATAAGTTATTGCAAACTATAGTCACCCTACTCATCTATCAAACACTCAGTCTTATTTTTTCTATCAAACTGTATTTTTTTTTTTTTTTTGAGACAGAGTCTCGCTCTGTCACCCAGGCTGGAGCGTGGTGGCCCGATCCTGGCTCCCTACAACGTCCACCTTCCAGGTTCAAACAATTCTCCTGCTTTAGCCTCCCGAGTAGCTGGAACTGCAGGCGCGTGCCACCATGCCCGGCTAATTTTTTGTATTTTTAGTAGAGATGGGGTTTCACCGTGTTCGCCAGAATGGTCTTGATCTCCTGACCTCGTGATCTGCCCGCCTTGGCCTCCCAAAGTGCTAGGATTAAAGGTGTGAGCCACTGTGCCTGGCCTTGTCAAACTGTATTTTTATACCCATTAATCAACTTCTCTTTATCCTCTCCTCTACCCTTTCCTGCCACTGATAACCACCAATCTACTCTCTCCGTTCATAAGATCTACTTTTTTAGCTCTCACGTGAGTGAAAACATGTGGTATTTGTCTTTCCTGTAACAAAACTTGAAGGATTTGTTTATGTTCACTGTTCCTAGTACATCTTCTTCCATGTTTTTTTGTAAATTCATTCTAATTTTTAAAAAGTAAACGTTAGGATTAAGAAATAATTACACACACCCATTTCAAAAATTTTAATCACTTAAATGTTAAAATACTGCAATGACCCCCATTAATTTAGGATTAAAACCAGACTTTTAAAAATGACTTTTCGATGCCCTTGAAGTTTACTTTCAAAATATGTATCAAAATAAATTTTTGATCATTCTTTAATTGTTGTATGAATTTGCTGTAAACACCTGCCATGTTATCACCACTTAAAACTGAACTTTATTACATTATGTTCCAGAATCATTACATGCTTTCTTACCTCCATTCTTTATCTCTCTAACTCTTACATAAAGTTATAATTTATATATTAAACTTATGGCATATGGATTCATAGAAGCCTATAGTAGCCCTAACATGAAGCTTGTAATTCTGCATTAATTATAAATTCTTATTACCATTTTATCTTCCTCCATAGCAACAATAGCAACTACAATAATACATAGAATCTGTAAGGAATAGATGTGAGGAGAATTTGACTGATTGATTCTTCTTTTGCAAATCTTTTCATACTGGTTTCTGGTAGCAGGCTATACACTACATACTAAAATAATAATTTATTAATACTGTAAAAATGAAATCTGTGTATATTTTGAAATGCCACCTTCTGGTGTGATATATGCATGTTTCTATGTATGCACATGTATATAATAATATAGAATGTGGTGACCCTCAAGGCAATGAAAGGCATTTTAAATCTGAATGAGAAATAGATGGTTTCTTCTTAATTCTATTGCATTCTGTTTCTTGTTCTGGAGAATTGTTGTTGTCAAAACTGATTAAGAATCCAATAGCATGGACATCTTATATTCAATAGATTTATCATTTGCAAAGTTCCATTCATGCATGCTGGTAGATAGGCACCACTGCCTCTCATGCTTCTCCCATAGATGAGTTTTCTCTTAATATTTTTGTTGTGGTCAGCTTTGCTTTTAGTAGGGCAAATCAGTAAGACCTAAAAAAAAAAAACTTACAAACTAAACAAGAAAAATGATAACTCTTAACAGCTATTACTAGTAGCCAGGCTCTGTGCTAAGCACTGAATATTAATGTTATGGTGAAAATAAAAGAGATAGTAAATGTGTTGTTTATATTTAGGTTTTAAAGATAAGGAAATTGAGGCTTTAGAGAGGTTGAGAAATTTTCCACAGATTACCATTTTAGGAAGTAGTAGAGAAAAACCTTTTTAAGCCAACCATTCTACCTTCTAAGTCTGCAAACAATATTAGATTGCCTGCTATAAGGAAAGACAGAGCATAGTTTAAGATGCTGGGAACAAGCCTGGGCATCCTTAATGAACAGTGAGCATCTAACAGCATGAAAGTGGAGGCATTTTCAATGGTGTTTCCAACTGAATGAATGCCATACAAAAATTTTCATGGCTCATTTGATAAGACATCCTAGCTAATTCAATTATCTCCTCCTTGATCATTTTTTCTTCAGTCAAGTTTTAACCAGAAGAGAATATATTTGATATGGGGTGAATTAACTATTTTATCAGTAGGATGCACAAAAGATGTAGGTTTAGTTGATCTAGAAATAGTGCATTTATTAGAGTGTTCACTTTTATCCAAGCTTATCTTCATTCAAAAACATGCTGAATGGGATTCCCAGATACTCTACAATCATTTCATTTGTGAGTTAATCTATCCAAAACGCTTGTACATGAAATGTTTCTTCTTTCAATTATCATATTTTACCCAATTTTCTAGGATATACTAGTGGAAACAGGACAGCATATTCTTCCACTCCATTTAAAGGAATTAGAAATATTAATACATAATTATAATATAGTGTACTGAGAACCACAACAGAATAAACACAAACAAATGAAGAACTAAACACACCTGCTGAAAAATAGAATTTGGGTCATTAGTCTATTTCACTCAATTGGTATACAATTTTTTTCCTTTAATTTTTAGTTTACACACAATAATCTTCCATATTCTGGGAGCATGGAGTAAAATTTCAATACATGTATACAATGTATAATAATGAAACAAGGATAATTACCATATCTATCACTTCAAATGTGTCATTTCTTTGTGCTGTGAACATTCAAAATCCTCTCTTCTAGCTTTTTAACAATATGAAATAATTTACTGTTAACCATATTTACTCTACAGTACTGCAGAACACCAGAAATCACTTCTGCTATTTGGCTGTAATTTTGTATCTCTCTCTCTCTCTTTTTTTAAAATTTTTATTATTTTTTAATTTTTGAGACAGAGTCTTGCTCTGTCACCCAGGCTGGAGTGCAGTGGCACGATCTCAGCTCACTACAACCTCTTCGTCTTGGGTTCAAGTGATTCTTATTCCTCAGCCTTCCAAGTAGCTGGGACTACAGGCAAACGCCACCATGCCCAGCTAAGTTTTGTATTTTTAGTAGAGATGGGGTTTCACCATATTGGCCAGGCTGGTCTCGAACTCCTGACCTTGTGATCCACCCACCTCGGCCTCCCAAAGTGCTGGTATTACAGGTGAGAGCTACCACGCCCAGCCAATTTTGTATCTCTTAACTAATCTCTCCCCATCTTCCTTCCACTGCACCCCTCCCAGCCTCTAATTTCCACAATTTTACTCTCTACTTCCATGAGATCAGAATTTTTTAAATACTCACATAAAAATAAGAACATGCAGTATTTATCATTCAGTTCCTGTCTTATTGCACTTAATATAATGTCCTCCAGGCTCATCCATGTTGCCATGAATGACAGAATTGCATTTTTTAATGGTTGAATAGTATTCTGTTGTGTATATTTGCCACATTTTCTTTATCCATTTATCTGTTGATGGTCATTTGGGTTGATTCGATATTTTAGCCATTGTGAATGGTAATGAAATAAACATGGGGTGCAGGTATCCCTTTGATATACTGATTTCCTTTCCTTTGGATAAATACCTATTAGTAGCATTGCTGGATCATATGGTAATTCTATTTTTTGGCTTTTAAGAAACTTCCACACTGTTTTCCACAGTGATTATACTAATTTACATTCCCATCAACAGTGTATAAGAGTTCTCTTTTATCCATATCTTTGCCAGCATTTGTTATTTTTGGTCTTTTATATAATAACTATCCCAACTGGGGTAAGATGATATGTCATTGTGGCTTTAATTTGAATTTTCCTGATGATTAGAAATGCTGAACATTTCTTCAAAGGTTTTTTGGCCATTTGTATGTCTTCATTTGAAAAATGTCTGTCTTTTGCCCATGTTTTACTGGGATTATTTGTCTTATTTTTCCTTTTACCATTAGATGCATGAATTCATGTATTTTCAGGTTAATAGTCCCTTGTCAGATGAATAGTTTGCAAATACTTTTTCTCATTCAACAGGCTGCTTTTCACTCTGCTAATTGTTTCTTCAATGTGCAGAAGCTTTTTAGTTTAATATAGTACCATTTGTCTATACATGCTTCACCTGTGCTTTTAAAGTCCTAGCTATACAATCTTTGCCTAGACCAATGTCCTGAAGAATTTCTCCATTTTTTTCTAGCAGCTTTAGAGTTTTTAGTCTTATGTTTATGCCTTTAATCCTTTTTGAGTTGATTTTTGTAAATGGTGAAAAATAGTGGTCTACTTTTATACTTCTGCATATAAATATCCAATTTTCCCAGCACCGTTTATTAAAGAGACTATTCCCTTTTGCAATATATGTTCTTGATGCCATTTAAAAAAATCAGTTGGATGTAAACTGTTGCTTTGTTTCTGGGTTCTCTCTTCTATTTTATTAGTCTGTGTGTCTTTACTTATACCAATACCATGCTGTTTTGTTTTGCAGTATATTTTTTGTCAGGTAGTCTGCCTCCAGTTTTCTTCTTTTTGCTCAGAATTGCTTTGACTATCCAGGGTCTTTTCTGGTTTTACACACATTTTAGGATACTTTTTAAAAATTTATGCAAGGATTGTCATTGGGATGTTGATAGAGATTGCGAGGAATCTATAGATTTCTTTGAGTAGTATAGCCATTTAAAAATATTAATTTCTCCAATCTATGAGCATGGGGTGTCTTTCAATTAGTTTGTGTCTTCTATTTCTTTCATCAATGTATTTTTGGTTTTCACTGTAGAAGTCTTTAGCCACTCTGGTTGAATTTATTTCTCATCATTTTATTTTATTCTTAGTAGAGATATTAAATGGGATTACTTTCTTGATTTCCCATTTTTTAATTTTAATGTTTAAAATTATTATGGATGTATAATAATTTTACATATTTTTGGGGTCAAATAAAATTAAAGTAATTGAAGTATTCATCATCTCAAGCATTTATCATTTCTTTGTGTTAGGAACATTCCCATTCTTCTCTTTTATTATTTTAAGGTATACAATAAATTATTATTAATTATAGTAAACCTATTGTCCTACCAAATAGTAGATTTTATTCATTCTAATTTTTTGTACTCATTAACTATATCCACTTTAATCTCACCCTCCATCCTGCTACCCTACCTCACCTCTGATAACTATCATTCTACTCTATACTTCTATGAGTTCAATTTAAAAATTAACTCCCAATTATGAGGGAGAAAATGCAAAATTGTTTTTTGTGCCTGGCTTATATTATTTAATGTCTTCAAGTTCCATTCATGTTGTTGCAAATGACATGATTTTATTTTATTTTATGGCTGAATAACATTCCATTGTGATTTCTTTTTTCAGCTAGTTCATTATTAGTGTATATTACTTTTTATGTTGATTTTGTATCCTGCAATTCCATTAAATTTATTTATCAATTCCAAGTGTTTTTTTTGGTGGAATCTTTACATTTTTCTACATAAAATACAATGTTATCTTCAAAGAATGACAACTTCACTGCTTCTCTTCCAATTTGGATGCTTTTTATATTTTTCTCATGTCTAATTGCTCTGTGTAGGACTTCCATTACTATATTGAATAAGAGTGCTGAGTGGGAGCATCCTTGTTTTTTCCATTTTTTAGAGCTTTCAGCTTTTCTCCATTAACTACGTTAGCTGTAGGTTTGTCATATGTGGCCTGTTTTATGCTGAGGTATTTTCCTTCTGTGTCTAATTTGTTGATAGTTCTAATCGTGAAGAGATATTAAATTGTGTTAAATGCTTTTTCAGCATCTATTGAGAAAATTATATGGTTTTTGTCCTCATTCTGTTTATGCAATGTGTCACATTTATTGAATATATATGTTGAAACATCCTTGCATCCTTGGGATTAATTTCACTTGATCATGGTGTATTATCTTTTTCATGTGTTCTTGTATTTCCTTTGTTAATATTTTGTTAAAGATTTTTGCTTCTATGTTCATCAGGAATATTTCCTTGTAGTTTTCTTTTCTCATTGTATCCTTGTCTGATTTTGATATCAGGGTAATTCTGGCCTCATTGAATTGGCTAGAAAACTTCCTTCCTCTTCAATTTTTTAGGGACTAGTTTGAGAAAAAGTGATACTAGTTCTTCTTTAAAAGTTTGGTAGAATTCAGCAGTAAGACTGTCAGGTCCTGGGTTTTTATTTGTTGGGAGACTTTATCACTGATTCACTCTGGTACTTAATATTGATCTGTTTAGATTTTTTATTTCTTCTTTAAATCTTGGTATGTGTGTTAGTCAGTTTTCATTGCTATAAAGGAGTATCAGGCACTGGGTAATTTATAA
Source organism: Homo sapiens (assembly GCF_000001405.40). NCBI lineage: Eukaryota > Metazoa > Chordata > Mammalia > Primates > Hominidae > Homo > Homo sapiens. The sequence continues at coordinate 185,331,365 of NC_000002.12, forward strand.
ATAAGAGAGTTTTAATTGGCTCATGGTTCTGCAGGTTGTATAAGCATGACACTGGCATCTGCTTCTGATGAGGGCCTCAGGAATCTTCTGATCATGGTTGAAGGTGAAAAGTGAGCAGGTGCATCACATGGTGAGAGTGGGAGCAAGAGAGAGAGAAGGAGGACGTCCTAACCTTGCCTCCTCCCTCCATTCCTTTTTGTGCTTTATTTATTAATTTTCTGGCTGGGTTCTTTCAAAAACTTTATCTTTGCGTTCACAAATTTTTTCTTCTGCTTCATCTTATATATTGTTGAAGTCCTTGAATATATTTTTATTTCGTTTCATTGAGTTATTTACTTCCAGAATTTCCGTTTGGTTATTTTTTAAGATATCTAGCTCTTTGTTAAATTTCTCATTCAGGTTATGGATTTTTTTTTCCCACCGACACCTTTGTTTGTTTATTTGTGTTCTCTTGAATCTCAGTGTTTTCCTAAGATAATTATTTTGAATTTCTTCAGGCATTTAATAGATTTTCTTTTCCTTGGGAACTGTTATTGGAGAATTATTATTCCTTTGGAAGTGTCATGTTTTCTTGTTTTTTAAATGTTTCTTGTGTCCTTATGTTCCTATCTGTGCAGCTGGTATAACAGTCACTTCTTACAATTTTTTGGATTAGTTTTCCTAGGAAAATATTTTTTTCTGTAGATGTATGTATAATGTTGGTGGTGTAAATTGCTTTGCCTTTGATTCTGGGTGGGTGCGTTAATGTAGTCTCCACATAATTTCTGTGGCTGTATTCAATGCTGGTGGTGTCTGTGAGTTCCTTAGTGGCCTAGGCTATGGCAATGCTTTGCTTGGCATAAGGATGGCAGCCAGACCAGTCTTTGGACAACAGTGATGTCTACAATGAGTGCTGTGTGCTGATTCTCAGGACTCAGGGTGTCATACAGTTGCACTGGCTGTGACTGTGGGAAACCAGAATGTGTCGTTTGGGCCTCCAGGTTGCATGGCAGTGGCAGCAGTGAACTGGTGAGACAGTTCTTAGGCTGCTGGATGGTATGCATAGCACTGCAAGTTGCAATAGCAGCAGCAGGCTGGACCTCAGGCCTCTGGATGTTAGGCATGTGCACAAGCAGTGGTAGCAGTAGGCTTTGCAGGCTGGAAAAAACAAATTCACAAATATGGTACACACCTATCAATATCCCAACTAACTCCCATTTGACCACAAATTCCTTGATAAAAATAAAATATCTGATAAATATAGAAATTATTCAAGAACATTTGAATAGGTAATATAGATTTATAAAGACTGCATTTGCTATTAACCCCGATTCATTTTCCCAAACTATTTATAAGACACTGTTAGAAAACAATAAGTTAAATTTAAACCTTCTATTCATTAAATACAAGTGGAAAAGTAGACTGAAGAAGGAAGTATTCATTTTGAGTATTTTGAAGACCTAATTAGAATAATTTTTTTGTTTGATGTATGACTTAGAAAAATATGTGAATGCATAAGTTCAAAGAAAAATGGCGTTTTAAGAGGACTGGCAATTGTCATTTATCTATACAATGAGATGATCAATGTACTGTTGTTGAAGTTAAAATAATGATTTGGCAGAAGCCAAGGGAAGTGAGTTACATAAGCTCTCTAATAAAATACTGAGTTTTTTGTGAAAGGAAATCCTTGACTTATATTTGAAAGCACTTGACTGAAAATAATGGACTATGCAATTTATCAATTATTACAAGGTCAGCATATATCAAATATAGAGGTTACTCCTGATTAATTTGCATTATAAATACAACTTTTGATTTGTATAGACTTTAAAAGGCCTTATAAGTCACTTTCTATTAAACACTCTGATATATACATGTTGCAGTTAAAATTACTTTGATGAGGTTTATGATATAATAACTAATAACATTAATATGACTATTACTAAATAATGACTGAATAATACTTCTTTGGAAGTCTAAGTTTACTAACACCACAACACACTTACTATTAAAATATTGTTTTAATACAACAAACTAATAGTTTGAAGAATAAATCAATATTGGTTTATTTTATAATTTTGATCAGTAGCTTTTTTTTTGCTTTTATTGATCATTTGTTGTTCTTTTAAGACATGTCTGTTAATATATTTTGTATATGATTTTATTAAAATATTAAAGGGTATTTAAATATTCTTCTTTAGTATTCATTATAAATATTTCCATGCATTTAATTATTTTGCCACTTTACTATTTATCATTTCAACAATCTACATATGATGATTAATTCAGAAATGTTCTTACTTAATGTACTTAATCTATCATCACTTATTTGGTAGTATTTTTAAATCCTTAGCAAGTAATTTCTCTTTCTATATTTATTTCTATTTTCACTGATATCATTTTCTTTCACAATTCTCAGTTTTAATTTTTATGGACACATGGTAGGTGTATATATTTATGGGATACAGGATATGTTTTGTTGCAGGAATACAATCAGTAATGGTCACAGTAGAGTATATGGGTTATCTATCACTTCAAGCATTTATCTTATCACTGTTTTTAAGATCAAATTGTTTTAAAATGTGTAATAAATTATTGTTGACTGTAGTCACCTGTTTTGTTACCAAATACTAGATCTTATTCATTCTACCTAACTATATTTTTGTACCCATTAACTATCCTAATTCTGCTCCCCTGACACACAGACACCCCCCCTCCTAGCCTTGGTAACCATCATTTTATTATCTATCTCCATGAGTTCAAATATTTTAATTTTTTTCTCCCACAGATGAGTGAGAACATGAAAAGTTTGTCTTTATATGCCTGCCTTATTTTACATAACATAAGGTCCCCCAGTTTCATCTCTGTTGTTGCAAATGATAAGATCTCATTCCTTTTTATGGCTGAGTAGTACTCCATTTTGTGTATATGTACTACATTTTCTTTGTTCATTCATCTGTTGATAGACATTTAGGCTGCTTCCAAATCTTGGCTATTTTAAATAGTGCTGCAATAAATGTGGAAATGCATAAACCTCCATACTGTTCTCCATAGCACTTTTACTAATTTACATTCTCACCAATAAGGTACCAGGGTTCCCTTTTCTTCACAGCCTCATGCACATTTGTTATTGCCTGTCTTTTGGATAAAAGTCGTTTTTACTGGAGTGAGATGACACCTCATTGTAGTTTTGATTTGTATTTTCTGATGATCAATGATTTTTGAGCACCTTTTCATATACTACTTGCAATTTGTATGTCTTCTTTTGATAAATGTTTACTCAGATATTTTGCCTATTTTTTAATTGGTTTACTAGATTTTTTATATATAGTTGTTTGAGCTCCTTATGTATTCAAGGGTTATTAATCCCTTGTCTGATGGTTAGTTAGCAAATATTTTCTCCCATTCTGTGAGTCGTCTCTTCATCTTGTTGATTTTATCCCTTGCTGTGCAGAAGCTTTTTAACTTGACATGATCCCATTTGTCCATTTTCGCTTTGGTACTTGTGCTCTTGGAGTATTGCTCAAGAAATCTTTACCCAGACCAATGTTCTGGAGACTTCCTCAGTGTTTTGTCTTAGTAACTTTATAGTTTGAAATTTTAGATTTAAGCATTTAATTCATGTAGATTTGATTTTTGTATATGGTGAAAAGCTTCTAGTTTCATTCTTCTGCATATGGATATCCAGTTTTCCCAACACTGTTCATTGCATGCCAGTAACATGCTGTTTTGGTTACTATAACACTGCAGTATAATTTGAAGTCAGGTGATATGATTCCTCTAGTTTTGTTCTTTTTGCTTAGGGTAACTGAGTATTCTGGTTCTTTTGTGGTTCCATATAATTTGAGGATTTTTTTTCTATTTCTGTAATTGTCATTGATATTGTGATAGGGATTGCATTGAATCTGTAGATTGCTTTGGGTAGTAGGACATTTTAATAATATTGATTCTTTCAATCCACGAACGTGGGATATCTATCTGTTTCCCCTCCAATTTCTTGCATCAATGTTTTATAGTGTTTATTGTAGAGATCTTTCACTTTTTTGGTTAAGTTAGTTCTTATGTATTTTATATTATTTGCGGCTCTTGTGAATGGGATTACTTTCTTGATTTCTTTTTCAGATTTTTCACTGTTGCTATATATAGACATGCTACTGATTTTTGTTTGTTGATTTTATATCCTGCAACTTTACTGAATTTGTTTTTCAGTTCTAATAGCTTTTTGGTAGAGATTTTCAGTTTTTCCAAATATAAAATTATATCATCTATATACAAGAATAATTTGACCTCTTCCTTTCCAATTTGGAAGCCCTTTATTTTTTTTTTCTATTGTCTGATAACTCTACCTGGGACTTCCAGTACTATCTTTATTCACAGTGGTTAAAGTGGACATCCTTGACTTGTTCTAAATCTTACAGGAAATACTTTCTGTTTTTTCCGATACAGTATGATGCTAGCTGTGGGTCTCTTTTATATGGCTTTTAGTGTGTTGATGTTTGTTTCTTCTCAGTTTCCTGAGGGTTTTTATCAGGAAAAGTCGTTGAATTGTATCGAGAGTTTTTCAGCATTAATTGAAATGATCATATGGTTTTGGAAGTATTCCACCCTATTCTATTTATAGTTCTTCTATAATGCTTGGTAAAATTCAGCAATAAAACCATTGAGTCCTGGGCATTTCCTTGCTGGGAAACACTTTATTATGTTTTCTTTGCTGAGAGATATTTTATTAGAGCTTTGATCTCTCAGGATATGAGTAATTTATACATCACAATTACAGTGTTGTAATATTCGGTGTCTGCCTGCATATTTACCAGTGAGTTTTTTACCATTAGATTTTTTTAAAAATTGCTTGTTAATGTCATTTTCTTTCATATTGAAGAACTCCCTTTGGCATTTCCTATAGGACAGGCCTACTGTTGATGAAATTTCCTAGCTTTTGTTTAATTGGAAAAGTATTTATTCCTCTTTCCTGTTTGAAAGGTTACAATGAATATACCATCCTAGGGTAATTTTTTTTTTCTTTCATCACTTTAATTATGTTATGTCACTCTCTCCGGGCCTGTAAAATTTTCACTAAGAAGTCTGATGCCTGATGGGTTGGAGTTCCTTGGAATGTTATTTGTTTCTTTTCTCTTCTGGTTTTACGATCTTCTTTTTCCTTGGCCTTCTGGAGTTTATTAAATGCCTTGAGGTAGTTTTATTTCGGTTAAATCTGCTTGGTTTCTATAACCTTGTTATACTTGAATGCTGATGTCTTTCTGCAGGTTTTGAGCATTTTCCATTATCCCTTTGAATAAACTTGCTACCCCTATGTCTCTTTACCTCCTCTTTGAGGCCAATAACTGTTGGATTTGCCCTTTTGAGGCTATTTTTTAGATCCTGTAGGTATGCTTTATTCTTTTTTATTTCTCTTCATTTTTCACCCTCCAACCATGTATTTTCAAATATCCTGTCTTCGAGCTCACTGATTCTTCTGCTTGATCAATTCTACCATTAATAGACTTAACGCATTCTTTAGTATGTCACTCACATTTTTCAGCTCTAGAATTACTGCTTGATTCTTTTTTCAATTATTTCATTCTCTTTGCTAAATTTATCTGATAGAATTCTAAATTCCTTCTTTGTGTTTGTCTGAAATTTCATTGATCTTCCTCAATACAGCTATTTCGAATTCTCTGTCTGAAAGGTCACTTGGTGAGGTCATGTTTTCCTGGATGTTCTTGATGTTCATGGATATTTGTTAATGTCTGGGCATTGAAGAGTTAGGTATTTATTATTGTCTTCACAGTCTGGGCTTCTTTGTACCCATCCTTCTTTGGAAGGTTTTCCGTGTATTCAAAGGGAATTGAGTATCTTTATCTACCTCTTTGGTCACTGCAGCTATATGGCCATTAGGGGGTACCCCCATCCCTGTAAAGCTGTGTTTCTTGCAGACTCTTAGAGGTACTATCTTGGTGGTATTGGATAAGATTCAGAATAATTGTCTGAATTACAGGCAGAGACTCTGGTTCTCTTACTTTATTTTCTCCCAAACAAACAAAGTCTCTATCTCTGTGTTGAGCTGCCTGGATCTAGTGGAGAGGTGACACAAGCACTTCTGTGGCCACCACTACTAGGACTGTACTGGGTAAGACCCAAAGACAGCACAGCACTAAGTGTTGTCCAAGGCTCACAGTGACCACTGCTTGTTTACAGCCAATGTTCACCTAAGGTACAAGAGCTCTTCAGTCAGCAGGTAGCGAACCCAGCCAGAATGTGTCCTTCCCTTCATGGTGGTAAACTCCCCTCAGGCCCACAGCAGGTCCAGAAATACCATCTGAGAGCTAAGGCCTTGAGTAAAAAACCTTAGGAATCTACTTGATGCTCTATACTACTGCAGCTGTTTTGTTCTGGCACTCAAGCTGCAAGACGGTTTTTCCCATTCTTTATTCTCCTTTCCTGAAGCAGAGGGAGTTTCTCCCCATGGCCATCACTGTCCCAGGCCCATGGTGAGTACTGCCTGGCTACCACCAATGTTCACTGAAACCCCAAGGGCTCTTCAGTCAGCTTGTGGTGAATGGTGCCAGGCCTGCTTCTCTTCTTTTAGGGGAGTGGCTTCCCCTCTGGTCCAGGGCAGGTCCAGAAATGCCATCTAGGAGCTAAAGCCTGGAAGTGGGAACCCCAAGAGCCTGATCGGTGCTCTAACCTGCTGTGACTGAGTTGGTACCCAAGCTGCAAGACAAAGTCCCTTTTAGCCTATCTTCTCCTTTGCTCAAGCAGAAAGAGTCTCTCCCATGGCCACAGCAGCTGAGAATACACTCTGTCATACTTGAAGCTAGCACGGTACTGGGTCTCATTAAAAGCCAGCCATGAATATTGCCTGGTAACCACTGATGTTTATTTAAGGTCCAAGGGATCTTTAGTCAGCAGGTGATGAATCCTGCCAGGACTAGGTTTTTCCCTTTCAGGTAGAGGGTTCTCTTCTGGCCCAAGGTGTGTCTAGAAGAATCATCTGGGAACTAAGACCTGAAATGCATGACTCAAGACTTTGTCTTTTGCTCTCTTCTACTGTGGTTGAGCTGGTATTCAAGTTGCAAAACAGAGTCCTCTTTACGCTCCCCTTTCTTCTCCTCAAGTGGAAGGAAGGAGTCTCTCCTGGAGCTGCAAGCTGTGCTAGTTGGGGTTGTGGGAGGGGTGATAAAAGCACTCCCTTGAGCACCCCAGCTGGTTTCTCATGAGATCACATACACCCCAAGATCACTGGCTCCAAACAAGCATAGCACCAGAACTTGCCCAGGAGTTGCAGTCCTGTGGCCTAGACTGCCTTTCAAGTTTATTTAAGACACCAGAGTACGTTAGCTTGTGGTCGTGGGGCTAGCTGGAACTCAGATTCTGACTGCTAAGATAGAGGATTCTCCTCTGTCTAGGGCTGGTCTAAGTGGTCTCTCTGTGAGAACAACCAACTCTTCCCTGTGTTGCTTTCCACTGTGACGAGGGAGCACTGCATTTGAATGCAAAGTCCCACAGTCACTGTGCTCTCTCTACTATAAGCACATAGATTCTCTCTCTGTGCCATGTGGTCACTGCCAGTGGCTGGGGCAGGGGTGTTGTTGGCAATTCAAGATTATCTTTTCCACCATCTTCAGTGCCTTTTTCCTTGATATGATGTTCAAACCAGCTACTGTGATTGATCGCTTGATTTTTGGTTCTTATGAAGGTGCTTCCTTGTTTGCATAGTTGTTCAATTCAATGGTCCTGCAGAAGTGATTATTGCTGGAGGGTTCCATTTAGCCATCTTGCTCTGTATTCTCCTAATATTATCCTCTTTTTTAAAATTTTACATTTATTTTAACTTTATGTTATACATTTCATCTTTAGTAACATTTTTAGTATATGGCATACTGATATCAACATATAAGTTTTCAGTCTTTAAATTTAGTACCTTAGAACTATTTCCACTATTTCTTCTCTTCTTTCCAACCCACTAATCCTTATGTTAGCTCTTTCTCATATCATTTCCCATTGGAAACTTGCTAACTGCTCTTTTGCTACCAATCTGTTTACACACATGTCCATTTTTCACACTGTCAGGAGTGTTAACTTTTTACAAAAGCAAATTTGATCATTTATTCATTTTTCCCATTTCCTCTGTGTCCAATAATGCCACTACTGGCTTTCCATAGGTGAAAGGATAAATATAAAAGTGCAAATTCCTTAATATAAAATGTAAATTCTTTCAAAGTATAAACACTGAATATTTCTTTGGAATAATAGATTATTACATTTCTTGTGCCATACACATATATATATATTATATATACATGTCATGGTATACATAACATCATTTTCAAAATGTATAATGCCATTTCATTTTTTTTTTTTACATTATACTTTAAGTTCTAGGGTACATGTGCACAATGTGCAGGTTTGTTACATATGTATACATGTGCCATGTTGGTTTGCTGCACCCATCAACTAGTCATTTACATTAGGTATTTCTCATAATGCTATCCCCCTCCAACCTCTCATCCCCTGACAGGCCCCGGTGTGTGATGTTTCCTGCCCTGTGTCCATGTGCTCTTGTTGTTCAACTCCCACTTATGAGTGTGAACATGCAGTGTTTGGTTTTCTGTCCTTGTGATAGTTTGCTGAGAATGATGGTTTCCAGCTTCATCCATGTCCCTGCAAAGGACATGAACTCATCCTTTTTTATGGCTGCATAGTATTCCATGATGTATATGTGCCACATTTTCTTAGTCCAGTGTATCATTGATGGACATTTGGGTTGGTTCCAAGTCTTTGTAATTGTGAATAGTGCCACAATAAACATACGTGTGCATGTGTCTTTATGGTAGCATGATTTATAATCCTTTGGGTATATATCCAGTAATGGGATCACTGGGTCAAATGGTACTTCTAGTTCTAGATCCTTGAAGAATCACTTAGAGAACCACTGCTCTCTTCAAAGCTCAGTTGGAAATGCAGAAATCACCTGTCTTCTGTTTCGATCTCGCTGGGAGCTGCAGACTGGAGCTGTTCCTATTCGGCCATCTTGGAAGCGACTCCCCATTTCATGTTTTCAAATATGTTCTTCCCTCTGCCTAATTTGTCCGCTTCACCCCACATATAGCTTTCTCTCTGATATGGATGATAATCCTAAAAGACACAATCCCAAATGCCATAATCATAAATATTGAAATTCTAGAAGCCCTTAAATTCAGAATCTCTGAGGTCCAAAATCTCTAACTTTTAAAATTCTGTAAGTCACAATTCTAAAAGATTGAAATCTCAAATGTTGAAACCCTTAAAGCTGGATTCTAAAAAATGTGTTAGTGTGTTTTTGGTTGTACGCAAGATGGTTGCATCATATTAGTTGCATTGTGTTAGATAGAACTTTTACCTTGTTATTGCCTTTATTTTGAAATTAAGTAAGGTTTAAGGAAGTACATATGGGTGCCAAGTTGACAAAGAATAGACTCGTGGACTGAATATTAGGTGTCAATTTGACTGGATTATAGAATACTGTATTAGTACATTTTCACACTGCTATAAAAAAACTACCTGATACTGGGTAATTTTTAAAGAAAACAGGTTTAATTGACTCATTATGGCATGGCTGAGAAGGCCTCAGGAAACTTACAATCATGGCAAAAGCCAAAGGCTAAGCAAGGCACGTCTTACATGGTGCCAGGAGAAAGAGAGAGCAGGGGAGATAATGCCACACACTTTTAAACAATCAGATCTCATGAGAACTCACTCACTATCATGAGAACAGCATCAGGGAAATCTGTTTCCATGATTCAGTCACCTTCCACCAGATCCCTCTCTTGAAACATGGGTATTACAATTTGAGATGAGATTTGGGTGGGGACACAGAGCCAAACCATATCAGAAATCTAGAAACCTGGTAAAGCATTATTTTGAGCGAATTTCTGAGGGTGTTTCCAGATTAGTGTGAGTCTGAGTGGACTAGATGAGGAACATCTGTCCTCAATGGTGAGGAACAGCATCAGATCAGCCAGGGGCCCAGATACAATGAATACAGAAGGCAAATTAGTCTCTCTCCAAGTGTTGGGACAGACTTTACCTCTCCTACCTCGGACTGAAGAACTCCGTGATCACCAGCCTTTGGACTCTAAGGCTTACACTAGTGGCTTCCTCAGTCCTGAAGCTTTCAGCCTTGGATTGAGAGTTATGCTATCAGCTTCCCTAGTTCTGTCACCTCTTTTGTTAAAACCAACACCAACTTTAATTTCTGAATTACTAAGTAGTGCCTATTTCCACTTTAAAATATCAACTAATAGTTGCTTAGCACACCTGATATGTATTCAGCATTTTGATTTAAAAATGTAACTTAAAAATAATATAATATTTAGCAATGACATATATAAAGTATATCTGATCATACTCTTTTCAAAAAATCTGTTGACCCATTTTTTTATGAGGTATTATTTTTACAGTATCAGTGAACATAATATACCTCTAGCTTCTATTAAAATAACACATTTATTTGTGAATGTAGAAACTGGTTATATAAACAAATTTTATAGAAAAACTTGGGGTGCTATTAGTCAATATTTATTTATGTATTTTATAATTTCAATGAACAGCAATGTTAGGTTTTTTCATTTTTATGTATTATTTGTGGATCTTTTAGGAATTTTCTCTTTAGATACTTTATACACCATTTTATTAGAGTATCTGAAGGGTATTTAATTGACTAGCCAATGTGATTCACCACATGAGCAGAAAGAAAGTAAAAATGACATGATTATCTCAATAGATACAAAAAAAGTATTTGACAAAATATAATACAGTTTATGGCAAAACTCTAAACAAACTAGGTGTAGAAGGAATTTATCTCAAAATAAGGAAGGCCATATATCACAAGCCCACAGCTATCATCATATTCAAGGGTAAAAATGGAAAACTTTTTCTCTAATATCAGAAACAAGGCAGAGATGCATACTCTGGCCACTTTTCTCAAAATAGTATAGGAAGTCCTAGTCAGGGCAAATATACAAGAAAAAAAAATAAAAGGCATCTAAATTGGAAAGGAAGATGTAAAGTTATCAGTAGTAGAAGATGATATGATGTCACATGTAGCAAACCCTAAAGATTCGAAAAAAAGCTTTTGGAACTAATGAATTAAACACAGTTACAGAATATAAGCATCAACATACAATAGTCAGTTGTTATTTTTATACTCAAACAGTGAACCATCAAAAAAGAAATTGATTAAACATTTCCATTTACCACAGCATTCAAATGAATAAATACTTATGAGTAAAGTTAACCAAGAACATGAAAAACTTGTACACTGAAGTCTATAAAACTTTGGTAAAAAATTAAAGACACAAATAAATAGGAATATATCCTGTGTTTATGGATTGGAAGACTTAACATTTTAAAGTGTCTGTATTACCCAAAGCCTATGTTGAAAGCCTGAGTTACTTAGAATCATAAATTTCAACTTCTCACAAAAATTCTACATCTCAAGAATTCACTTAGACTAGTGATCCACACAATTTTTCTTTATATGATGGCATGCAGGCAGTGTCCTCATAGGCTTATCTTTTTTCATAATGTTTTATTTTTGCCTGAGAATTCTGAAGACTGAAAATTCAGCAATCTCAAAACTGAATACAGTAATTTTAAATCTTGAACTATTTTTTTCTTCTTAGTATATTACCTCAGTGAATGATAAGATCATCTACCCTTGCAGATACTCAACCTTGAAATCTAGGGGTTATAGTTGATTCTTCATTTTCCCTTCCTTTCACCTTACAAAACATATTCAGTTAATAATTTCTTGACATTTCTTCTACTCAATCTTACCAGTGCTTTTCTTTCCCAGTGTGGATTTTTCCTCCTGTCTTCTAATTGTATCCTCCTAACTGGTGTTCCTGCTTTCAATCCCGCACCCTAACATAATTCTCCTCTGAATAACCATGGTTACTTTTATAAATGAATTATTCTACCAGTTCTCATTAATCTTAGTTAGGACTAGACATTTCTTTTCTCCCTGCGCACAGTACAGGACCTTCCCTTGAAATATTAATAGTTTCAAAGGGACATTGGACACATATTTAGTTATTAGAATAGTTCACCTTAGTAGTGCAGTTGGATAAGACAAACATTTTATGAAGATCAAGAACCAGCATGAACTCTCGGGACCTCTCAAAAATCTTGGCCGTTCGAAAGATAAAATTCACAGTGGGCAATCATCTATGTTTCCTTTCATTGTTAGATTTAGGAGGGATTTAGAATCACATTCCCAACTCTCTCCAAGGCCATAATATAATTGCAAATTAATCATTAAAAAATTATGTATTTCTTTAATTGTGGATCTAAATTAATTTTTGTTTAGTGATGCCTTCACTTCTTATCAAATATGGCATACAATAGTTTACTTGGTGGATTGCTTTTATTTACAAATCATTAGTATAGTCTGCTTTACATATTTCCTTTTGCATAAAATAATACATTTTAAAATTTTGATGGATTTTTCTTTATTTTGTTTGTTACATTTAGCTATATTTATAGGCCAATGGCAAATAAAACTAAGTTAAATTTGAAGGTTTCTCAGAAAAAGCCTTTGAAAGTGCTACTGGGGGAATTAATTCAACCTGTCTTTTGTTTCTCACTCTAGTTCTTTTATGTTTAAAAATATTAGAATAGCTAATGGATAAAAATTGCAGCTTAGCTTATGATTCCCAGACACTCACTGTGAGCTCTTTCATCTCCCTTTGATCCTTAAGAAAGCCAAATTTACTTAAATTGCTCTTTTAAAAAATTCATTTCATCCTTTTGGCTTATCTTTTATTCTTCAACATGTAAACCTTGTTTATAGACCTAAATATCTTCTAAAAATTAGACTCAAGGTGGTCAAGCTTGCAGTATAGTATTTCAATTGTAATTATGAATGCATGCAATTTTAGAATCTGTGCTATAAGCATAATTACTTTAAAAGTTTTCTCTGAATTTATGTTATGGTTTGTATTGCTTTTCCCTTCACATTTAATAGATTATTGGACAGGAACCACAAGCTTAGGAAAAAAAAATATACTAAGCCAAAGTTCAGATTCTATGATGAACCGTGTTTTTTTTTTTTTCTTTTTCCTCTACCCTATTTTTCTGTGAAGATATATCCATCAGAAGCAAAGCTGCCTTGTCAATGAGAAAATCCTTAATAGGCTGACCTTTAGCTTGTGGAGGGCCAAAACTGAAATCCAACAGGTTACTTTTAATTAGTTAAGATGTCACTTCAAGAAAAACATAGTGAAACAAAGTCATAATTCTGGTAGACATTTTGTTCAACTGGGATTTGGAAAAAGCTGACAGGAGGCAATGCTGTCAAGCTTTAATGACTTCTTGAGCCCGAGTGACAACACAACATTTCATTATAAGTAGGTCAAGGTTAGTTTGTCACTCAGTGGCTACACAGGTATCTATCATGATCCCTAGTGCACATATCAGAATAAAATCAGAAAAAAATGAAGGAGAACAAATTTATGTTATCGATTTATTTCTCTCCTGTCAACAATTATAAATTTATCAGAAGTATAGGATTTGTATAGTAAAAAAATTATAAAACAAAACAATAACATATTTATAACTTATGTATTTCTATATATACCATTTAAGCAAATGATTAAATTGACAAATTCAGATTAATCTATAGATTATTTTTTCAACTCTGGGAGAGAACTTAATAAGCTTACATTTATTGATAAATTTCATTACTTTGTGAATATATTAACTAATGAATAAAGTTTAATAGGGAATTTTAATTGGTGATGCACAAATAAAGCTAGCTTGTTTTTATTGCTGTAGTAATTAAAGATATGTTTTTCTCTCCTGGAATTCACTTTCCACCTTTCTACTAACACTAAATCTCTCATCTACTGAAGACTGAGAAGGAAATAATCAAATTTGCCTTTATCTTGCTTTTACTCAAAATTATTCTTCAAGCTCATTCTTGTTCAGCTTTGTTTTCCATTACACAATTTTTTTCTAACAATTTAAAACAAATCAAGAAACAAAAAATAGAAAGAACTGGAATCAAAGATGTGTATATATATAAGCATATATTGACATATATGCACATATACATATATGTATATAACTATCAAATAATGTAAAATGAAAATAAATCAACGTAAACTTCATTTCTTTTATTTTTGTACATCTAGTAGCATGGCTTCATTTTCAGCTTCTTGTGGTAGTTTTTAATTTGAAAAAAAGTAAATATTAGCTGGGCACGGTGGCTTATGCCTGTAATCCCAGCACTTTGGGAGGCTGAGGCAGGAGGATCACGAGATCAAGAGATCAAGACCATCCTGGCCAACAAGATGAAACCCCGTCTCTACTGAAAATACAAAAATTAGCTGGGTGTGGAGGTGTGCACCTTTAGTCTCAGCTACTCAGGAGTGTGAGGAGGGAGAATCACTTGAACCCAGGATGCAGGGGCTGCAGTTAGCCGAGATTGCGCCACTGCACTCCAGACTGGGCGACAGAGTGAGACTCCATCCCCCAAAAGAAAACAAAGTAAATATTATGTGTAGTTTATGACTAAATCACAGAAGTATAGGGGGAAGTGTAATCAGCTACAATCAAATCATTGTAAATATTTTGTTGCTTTCTGTCCAGCATTTGTCACACAACTTTCCCTGGATTCTGTGAAAATCCCCCTGATGCCAGTTTCCCCATACCTGGGCCTTATGGGTAAATTCAGCTTATTTACATTTGAGGTACACTATAGACCAAAGAGTATTAAGATATGAACTATTCATTTTACATAGGTTTTAGATGTGTGCTAATAGAGTGCCCCCATTTATTTTACTTCCAAATTAAGGTTTGCATCATCTCTGCTCAATTGATATGGCATCTATGAAATTACTTAAATAGAGTATAGAAGAGATACTTTCCCAAATAAAATCTTTAAGTGTCTCCTTAGAGCAATCCCAGCTTCTTCCCAACTCCTTAGCCAGTAGAATGTTTACTTCATGCCCCAACTATGAGAGCCCAGTGGTTCCTAGAGCTTTACTAGCATAAACATAGCTACATCCAATTTATCTTCCCCTTTTTTTCCTCCTCTATGTCCACACAAATTGGTGACCTACATTTGGTGACAGTAGAATGTAACAAGCTATTTTACTGCAAAATGATTTGTATGTTAACGTTTTACCCAATATGATAGGATTTGGCTGTGTCCCCACCCAAATCTCATCTTGATTTGTAGCTCCCATAATCCCCATAGGTCATAGGGAGGGACCTAAATGGGAGGTAACTGAATCATGTGGACAGGTTTTCCTCATGCTGTTCTCATGTTAGTGAATAAATCTCACAAGATCTGATAGTTTTATAAAAGGCAGGTCCCTTGCACACACTCTCTTTCCTGCAGCGATGTAAGAAGTGACTTTGCTCCTCCTTCACATTTCACCATGATTGTGAGGCCTCCCCAGCCACGTGGAACTGTGATGCCATTAAATCTCTTTTCATTATAAATTATCCAGTCTCAGTTATGTCTTTATTACCAGCATGAAAACAGACGAATACAGTAAATCGGTACTGATACATTGGGGTGCTGCTATAAGGATACCCAAAGATGTGGAAGTGACTTTGGAACTGGGTAACAAGCAAAGGCTGGAATAGTTTGGAGGACTCAAAAGAAGATGGGAAAATTTGGAACTTCCTAGAGACTTGGAGGGCTCAGGAGACAGGAAGATGGGAGAAAGTTTGGAACTTCCTAGAGTCTTGTTAAATGGCTTTGACCAATATGCTGATAGTGATTTGCAAAAGGTAGTTCAGGTTGAGGTGGTCTCAGATGGAGATGAGGAACTTTTTGGGAATGAGGCAGAGTAAAGGTGATTCTTGCTATACTTTAGTAAAGAGACTGACAGCATTTTGCTCCTGTCCTAGAAATCTGTGGAACTTTGAACTTGAGAGACATAGATGATTTAGGGTATCTGGCAGAAGAAATTTCTAAGCAGCAAAGAGTTCAAGAAAAAGCAGAGCATGAACGTTTGAAAAAATTGTCATCTGATAATGTAGTAGAAAAGAAAAACCCATTTCCTGGGGAGAAATTCAAGCCAGCTGCAGAAATTTGCATAAATAATGAGGAGCCAAATGCTAATCACCAAGAAAATGGGGAAAATGACTGCAGGGCATGTCAGAGACCTTTGTGGCAGTCCCTCCTATCACAGGCCTGGAGGCCTAGAAGGAAAAAGTGGTTTTGTAGGCCGTGTCCAGCCCCTACCAGCCTGCTGTGTGCAATCTCAGGACTTGGTGCCCTGTGTCCCAGCCATAACTGAAAGGGGCCAGCAGACAGCTCGGGCCATGGCTTCAGAGGGTGCAAGCCCCAAGCCTTGGCAGCTTCCACATGGCACTGAGCCTGCAGGTGCACAGAAGTCAACAATTGAGGTTTAGGAACCCCTGCCTAGATATCAGAGGGTATATGGAAATGCCTGGATGCCCATGCAGAAGTTTGCTGCAAGGGGTGTAGATCTCATGGGGAGCCTCTGCTAGGGCAGTGCAGAAGGCGAATGTAGGGTGAGAGCCCTCACACAGAATTCCCCCTGGAGGACTGCCTAGTGGAGCTCTGAGAAGAGGGCCACTGTCCTCCAGACCCCAGAATGGTAGATCCACTGATGGCTTGCACCATGCACCTGGAAAAGTCACAGGCACTCAATGCCAGCCTGTGAAGGCAGCCAAGAGGGGGACTGTACCCAGCAAACCCACAGAGATGGAGCTGCCCACGGCTGTGGAACCCCACCTCTTGCATCAGTGTGACCTGGATGTGAGACACAGAGTCAAAGGTGAAGATTTTGGAGCTTTAAGATTTGACTGCCCTTCTGCATTTTGAACTTGCATGGGGCCTGTAGCTCCTTCATTTTGTCTAATTTCTCCCATTTGGAATGGGTGTATTTACCCAGTGCCTGTACCCCCATTGTATCTAGGAAGTAACTTGCTTTAGATTTTACAGGCTCATAGGAAGAAGGGACTTGCCTTGCCTCACATGAGACTTTGGACTGTGGGCTTTTGAGTTAATGCTGAAATGAGTTAAGACATTGAGGGACTGTTGGGAAGGCATGACTGGTTTTCAAATGTGAGGGCATGAGATTTAGGAGGGGCCAGAAGCAGGATGATATGGTTTGGTCCTGTGTCCCCACCCAAATTTCCTCTTAAACTGTAGCTCCCATAATCCCCATATGTCATGGGAGAGACCCGGTGGGAGGTTATTGAATCATTAGGGTGGGTTTTTCCTGTGCTGTTCTCATGATAATGAATAAGTCTCAAAATGATGGTTTATGTAGGGCAGTTCCCCAGGTCTCTTGCCTGCTGCCTTGTAAGATGTGTCTTTGCTCATCCTTCACCTTCTGCCATGATTGTGAGACCTCTCCAGCCATGTGGAAATGTAAGTTCATTAAATCTTTTTTTTTTAATAAATTATGGAGTCTTGGGTATGTCTTTATTAGCAGCATGAGAATGGACTAATATGCAATATTGATAGAGTAATTCTAATTTTTATAAAGGTAAATAAGTGAGGAAATGAGCTCACTAGTTCAGTTAGAAGCATACATACCTACCTAGAGAAAAATAGACACTACCTTATAGATGGTTGTAACAGCATGATTATAGATAGAGGGAAGGGATTGTTGGCTGCCCTCCTTAAAGACAACCTGCCACACATTCTTTTAAAGCGCATGTACTGTGGATAGTTGTAAGTATGCTATAGATATTGATTAATTTAATCTTCTTGAAAACACTAGGTGGCAATTATTTTATTCATGAGACAAGAATATATACACAAAGTAAAAAATGGAAGTAATGTGGTAATTATGTATACCAGTCACTTTTCCACTCTCTCCCATCTTGAAATTGACTCCCCTATGTATAATTCCAGCACCATCCAAACATTAGTATTGGATATAGAGAAAGAAAGAGAAAGAAACATATGACAAAAGAGTCATGAAAGAAAAAATACATAGAGGCACTCACTTTTGAAATTTTATTTATAATTCTTCTCAAATAAAATTTAATTTTACTTGAGACGAGTCTCAAAGCTTTTTATTAAGACAAAATACAATCTTGATTAATCTGATATTCCTTAATTGAATGAATTATTATTTCTTGTTTTATAATAAAATTTCTCATTTTTGTCATAGGATTCTTTAACATTTCAAACTATGTGTTATCTATGTTACTAACTGTAGAGGTGCCAAGTACTAAATTTCCATGAAAGTTAACGATAATGTAATTTTAAATACATTCCTGTAATTTTTAAAGCTTTCCTTGTGTTGCCAACAATTAGAAAAAAGCACTAAATAGGCTTAATTTGCAGCATATTCCCACTACTATAAACACTAGCATTCTACTAAGCAAGTACAAAAACATGATAGAGTTATAATTATAGACATTTTATTTTGCTTTAGAAAAAATCCAGTTCATGTATTAAATATGTCATGTTTAAAGTACCATTTTTCACTTTGTGAAATTTACCCAATCATCAATTAGAATATTCAGTTTTAAAGATGAAATTCATATATAATTTAATTTATATTCTTTATTTCAACTCGCAAAATTATAAAAAACAAACTCTAAACTAAAATTGATTACTTTTACCATTATTTTACTCTATGCTGTTTTATAAACTTTTGCTTTCAAATATTTTAATAATGACTTTTAAAATTACATTATGCAGGACATCTATTAAAGTTCTAGAATTGGACTGCCTGGGTGAGAGCTCTGTCACAGCTTACAATTTGATAGACCTAGCAAAAGTTCTTAATACTTTTTTTAATCATATTTTTTCCAGTGGCTGATGCCATGCATTAATTCATCATACAAATTTTTCATTGAGTGCCTTCAAAGTGGTAGATAAGAATCTGGCCACTGTGGAAACAGAGGTGAGCAAAAACAAACATAGCTCTAGCATTCATACAACCTGTCTTTCTTCTTGAAATCAAATTCCTGACAATATGTAGCAAGAGACTTTTTTGGGAGGAATATGTATTTTTTATTAAGGTAAAATTTATATAATCAAAAACTAACCATTTGAAAACAATAAAATAAATGCTATTTAAAAAATAATAAATAAATGCTATTTCATATATTAATATTCACATTGTTTTTAGTACATTCACAAGTTGCACAATTGTCATCTCCCTCTAGTTTAAAAACATTTTCACTGCCCTCAAATCAAACTTCTTACCCATTAAGCAGCTGCTGTCAATTCCCCCTGTCCTCAGATTACCCAACCAAGCAGTCTCCTTCTGTTTGCATGGATTTATCTACTCTGGATATTTCACAGAAATGAAATGATATAATATAAAACGTATTGTAACTGTCTTCTTTCACCTAGCATTAAGTTTTCAAGTTCACTCACACTGTAGCAGATAATCTTTCATTCCTTTTTATGACTGAATAACATTCCATTCTATGGATATATCACATTCTGTTTATCCATTCATTTACTGAAGGACATTTGGGTTGTTTCCACATTTTGGCTATTATGAATAGGCTACTATGAACATTTGTGCCCAAGGATTTGCTTATTTTTAAAAAACATTTATAGATAATAATTGGGAGTCATGTGCTGTCCTGTAGTGGAGGAGCTGAACATATTCTTTTCTTTCCATCCGATCTCCTTCAAGACCTCCCCATTGACCAAACCCAATCAAAAGCCAAAGAGCACAGGAATACATTGGTATAGTTTATACATGTCAGCTTCCCCAGCAGAGAACAGAATGGAGTCAGAGGTTTCAGTGAGCAGAGAACATGCCACTGCATTTGGGAGACAGATTGAGACTTCGTCTCAAATAAAATAAAATAATATAGATCAATGTCTAACTGCAATGTTTTTGGTGGTTGAACCAGTGTACCACTCCTGGCTTTGCACTGTTCTGCATTTTAACTGGTGATCCAGATAAGCTCACCAATGCTGGAAATCTACTGGAGTCTCCAGATCTATTAAAACAGAAAAATGCAGTTAATATGAAACATATATTGGTGAAAACTTCTCTACATTCCTCTACATTGATGCCTCTTTCTTCTGTTACTGCTTTCAAAGATATTGTCACTCTGTTTCCTTTATTATTCACTGAGTTGAAACAAAAACAAAAACAAAACATATACTTTTTGTGGTGGCGCTCTCCAGCTGGTCAGGAGTCTGAGGCACGAGAATCACTCAAACCCGGGAGTCAGAGGTTGCAGTGAGCCGAGAACATGCCACTGCACTTTAGCCTGGGTGACAGACTGAGACTCCGTCTCAAATAAAATAAAATAAAATAAATAAAAAACATAGTTATGACGTATGTTTCCTGACACAAATTATTTATAATAATAGTAGCTATTCTTGACTGAACTTACGTAATTTGCACATCGCAGGGCTGATAAGGAGCTGTTCAGCTTGTCTATCTCAAGATCCCATGCTACATTATGCTACTTATGCTGCTAGAGAGAACTGCACATGTTCTCATCATCTCGATGTTCCATTTTTGCCTCATTTTCTTGAAGTGAACACCCTGCACCACTTTTTCTAGGACTACCAGAATCTGCAACCTCTCTAAAATGAACACCTACACTCATTGAAAGTGTAAAACAACCACCTCATTCTTGACAGAATATTTCCAACTTTCACTCCACAGTTAAAGTCTATGTCTAACAAAGCTGAGCTTCTTTGTTGGTTACAGATAGGCTACATTTTGACATCCATGACAAATTTTATATGTGGAAGTAAGACCCACTTGAATTTGACTTCAAATTCAAGTTAACATTCATCATGTTATATATAACATGCTAGATAGATAGATAGATTAGATAGATAGATAGATAGATAGATAGATAGATAGATAGATAGATGATAGATAGATAGATAGATAGTAGATAGATAGATAGTGGAGCAGAATACAAAGACATCCAAGAACGGCTTCTTAGTTTTTCCTTTCAATTTGACAATATTGATGTTTAGACTTTTATTTTGTCTTCCTCTGATGGATGAGCATTTTTCCAGTCATGCCAAGCCAGAGAGAGTCTAATATTGGTCTTATATCACAGCTATATGATGTGGCTGTGAGTGTGAGTGAGAGAGAGAGCAAGTGTGTGTGTGTGGATGTGTTTTCTACTTTGTTGCAGTGACTTCTAAGTGCAGTGATATACAGAGACAAATGAAATCAAGAAAGATTACTATGATTCCATAATTTAATATATTCAAACAAAAAGAAATCTTTGAATTTTGTAGCATATTATAAACTCTTTTATATAGTTTCGGCACTGACAAAAGACATCCCTCAATAAACATGTAAACATTTGCACACATATATACCCACACATATACTGGATTATTTACTGAAAAAAGTATTTAAACATATATTCTTACAATGGATATATACTAGATATAAATTAAAAAGAGCAAAAAATAATGTTTACTAGATATCAACTGAACACACCAAAAAACATGTTTAGGAGATGATATACGAACTCTGTCTTACTAACTATCCACCAGATTTTTAATTAGAGTTTTGGACTTCTATATTCAGTATAGAAATGTCTTAAAATAACTACAATGAACTGGAAGAAAATTCATAAAAATAAACACAACACAAATGATTTCATTTACTCTCAAGAATATAGGCCTTTGAAGTTTAATAATAGTTTTTATATTGTAACAAACCCCGCTTTTTAAAACATAACGGTGATAGATATTAATTGCCACAGGCATGTCAAAAACTTCTCTTTCCACATGCTATCTATTGTTATTTTTACATCATTCTATATAGTATAGTTTATTAAGTAACACATTTTTAATTTTATAGAAGTCAAATATCAGACTCAAACAGTCTGAAAAACCCAAAGTTGGTTAGATTCTGACCTCGTGAAAGGCCTTGCTTTTATTTTAACTTAATGAACTGTCTTCTTTACTAGGTAGCCAATTTAATAATCGAATGTACTCCAGCAGTAATAAGTACCTTTTATTCTCAAGTAAAATGGATTTTGTCTTCATCATGCTTAATCTTTTTTTTTTTTTTGAGACAGAGCCTGGCTCTGTCACCTAGGCTGGAGTGCAATGGTGCCATCTCTGCTCACTGCAAGCTCCACCTCCCGGGTTCACGCCATTCTCCTGCCTCAGCCTCCGAGTAGCTGGGACTACAGGTGCCTGCCACCACGCCCGGCTAATTTTTTGTACTTTTAGTAAAGATGGGGTTTCACCGTGTTAGCCAGGATGGTCTCGATCTCTTGATCTCGTGATCAACCCGCCTCGGCCTCCAAAAATGCAAGGATTACAGGTGTGAGCCACCACACCCAGCCTATCATGCTTAATTTTATGTGCCATCTTGACTGGTCAATTGTTTGATCAAATGCTAGTCTGGATGTTGCTGTGATGGTATTTTTTACATATGTTTAACATTTATTAGTAGGCTTTGAGTAAAGCAGATTAACCTCTACAATGTTGGTGGATCTCATCCAATCTATTGAAAGTCTTGAAAAAGATTGAGGTACTCTGAATCTCCAGCTTACTGTCCTGCCCTGCCCGGCAGATTTGCAGATTTTGGACTTGCCAGCCCCCACAGTCATGTGAACCAATTCTTTCAATTAAATCTCTTTTTCTTTCTCTCTCTCTACTACACACACACACAGACACACACACACTCTCTCTCTCTTTTATTGGTTCTCTTCCTCTTATGAATCCAAATACATTCTTTATAACTAAAAAGCATATACAGGTGCTCAGGCTCAGAAAATAGGGGTTGGCACTTCTAATTGGACTTCAGGATATGTTTTTAAGTGGCTGCCCAAATATCAGGTGAACAGGTTTTTAGTTCTGCCATGCTGCATACTAGCAAAAAAAAAAAAATTATATAAAATATTTTTACTCCTCTGAACCTTAACTTTATTAAATCCAAAATGGCTATGTTGAAGAGTAGAATATGTAATAAAGAGAAGAGACCAAAAATCTTAGTTTCCCACTAAACAACAAAGTATATAAAATTATTTTACATTATATTTGATATAGAAAGATGTCCTTTTTAAGTTAATAGGCATGCAAATAATTTACAAAGACTCACCATATATATGTATAACAAATTTTATTCACAACTCTTTTTGATCAACATGAGATCATAAAACTTTTTGTAGCAAGGATTTTATAAAATAGAAAGTAATTATTTAGACATTGAAATTGGAGGATAAAGAAAAATGCAATGGAGATATACATATGTAATTTATTAATTTCAATGAAATGCGTATCCACTGTTTTCTAAATTTAGGCAGTGTTTCATATGTCATCTGGCTAGTAAGTTAGCCTCTGCTATAACTATAAACTGTATAATATATTATTATTACATTCTTCAATAAGATAAATAGGTCTCTATGATTTTTAATTTTCAAGTCAATTGTATCTAAATTTTTGACCACTATATGAAAGCTTCTAATTCATTTTTTATTATAGAATGCAAACACCTCTTTCCCTACTTTGACCTTGCTGCTTGAGGAGCATATTTGTACAGTTATTTTAAGAAGGATACAAATCTTTGGTAAATCAATGACTGAAATTTGTCTTCATAGAATAGTAATAAACACATTTTTAATAATGTTAAAAGTATGTCACCATATGTTTCTCTAGAAGCCCTAATTTTGTCTTTTAATATTGTACATTTATTTTGAGTTGTGAATGACAAGGAGTGATGGCTTGTCACCATCAGTTCTCAATTGCATCTGAAATATAAAATAAAATGAACAAAAGTCACATTTAATGAAAATTTCGCTACAAGCAAGATAAGTTTTATTAGCTGTTTCTCAGTGAATAGTTTTTGTAATGTACTCCAGTTCATAGATTCTTATATTATCATAAACAAAATTTAAATATAACAAAGGATGAACTTTCTATTTCCTTTCAACATATTGACAAATTAAAATCCTCTATATGCACTTGTGTTACTTTTATATTATTTTTTAAAAATTTTTGTTTAATTTTATTCTGTTAGCTACATCAGATTTTGAGCTTCATCTACTGTTAGGTCAAATGCTACTTATCATAAAGTTGTAGTCTGTATATTTGTATCTTTTATATACAATATTGATAAATTCAGCTTATGATTTCCATCTCTGGATATCATATGGATTCTTGTATATGCATCCCTTCTAGAATCTCATCATCTGAAAATGTGGTAACTATTACCTTGAAGTCTTCTCCAAGTTACTCATAACACTCTACTCTGTGGTAGTTTATATATATATACATATATATAACTTTTTTTTTTTTTTTTGAGATGGAGTCTCTCTCTGTCGCCCAGGCTGGAGTGCAGTGGCGTGATCTCGGCTCACTGCAAGCTCTGCCTCCCAGGTTCACGCCATTCTCCTCCCTCAGCCTCCCGAGTAGCTGGGACTACAGGCGCCCGCCACCATGCCTGGCTAATTTTTCTGTATTTTTAGTAGAGACGGGGTTTCACTGTGCTGGTCAGGATGGTCTCAATCTCTTGACCTCATGATCCGCCTGCCTCAGCCTCCCAAAGTGCTGGGATTACAGGCGTGAGCCACCACACCCGGCCGGTAGTTATATTTTTAAAGCCATGCCTTCATATAGGTTGTCCTCAACTACAATAAACTTAATATAGTTTGAATGTGTGTCCCTGCCCAAATCTCACATTGAAATGTGACCCCCAGTGTTGAAGGTGGAGACTGGTGGGAGGTGATTGGGTCATGACAGTGGATTTCTAATGCGTAGTTTAGTACGTCCCCTTAGTACTGTCCTTGTGACAGTGAGTGAGTTCTCTTGAGATCTGGTAAATTTAAAATGTGTAGCGCCTGCCTCCCTCTCTTGCTCCTGCTCTAGCTATGTGATATGCTTGCTCCCCCTTTGCCTTCTGCCATGATTATAAATTTCCTGAGGCCTCCCCAAAAGCCATGCAGATGCAAGCATCATGCTTCCTGTATAGCCTGCAGAACCATGGGCCAATTAGATGGCTTTCCTTTATAAATTACCCAGTCTCAAGTATTTATTTATAGCAATATGAGAATGGACTAATACAAAACTTTAACATTTACTTAATGCTATTGCCATGTATCCCATGCATCCCATTTGTTACATGGATAGTCTTGATAAAAAATTAAATACCATGTTTTTAACTTTCCCCACTAAACAGGCTTTTTGCCACAAAAAAGGATCCCATATTATTATTTTTATCAAGACCATATGTCTAATGCTTGTGAAGTCTAGTTTTTCACATCTTTATCAATTTTGGAAGCATTTGGCCACTGCCATCTTTAACCTCTTCCCTAATATAATTTAATTTAATTAATATGATAGAATTTTTCAAAATTATATCATATTAAACTTCACCTATATTTCTTATAAATAACAATCTTGCTCTGGAAATTGGTATTATTTAAAGAAATTAAAGCCTCATGCTTCTATATCCTTTCACATCCATAGACCAATTAGAAATTACAAAAGCAACCATATAATTGGATAAGGAATTAAAAGTGAGTATTTCTTTTAGACTGCTTGTGTGGTTACCACAGTCCAGGTTCCTAACCTGTCCCTAGCAGGATATCATTTAAAAATTGACAATATTAAAAAATTGCATAGGTACAATGCCTGTACTTAAATTTGGAAACGTGATTCTCGTTATTTGTGGATGTAAGCAACTAAGATTCCCCTGTCTCTCATACCTATTACAGTATTCAACTTCCCTGTGCTAATTTTTTTTTTTTTGAGATTTTTTTTTTTTTTTTTTTTGAGATTTCTTTTGACTCTCGCTCTGTCGCCCAGGCTGGAGTGCAGTGGCACGATCTCTGCTCACCGGAAGCTCCGCCTCCCGGGTTTGCGCCATTCTCCTGCTTCAGCCTTCCCAGTAGCTGGGGCTACAGGGGCCCACCACCATGCCTGGCTAATTTTTTGTATTTTTAGTAGAGACGGGGTTTCACCATGTTAGCCAGGATGATTTCGATCTCCTGACCTCGTGATCTGCCCGCCTCGGCCTCCCAAAGTGCTGGGATTAGAGGCGTGCCCAGCCCCCTGTGCTAATTTTTAATGTATGCTTTGCTTCCTGTGGCAAGTCAAAAACTCTTTGAGGTCAGAAAAGATGACACATTCATCTATAACCTGAGCATAATAGGAGAAAAAAGTAGTTGTTCTCACTTTACTGCCTACTTATATTTTATTTTGTTCTAAATAAGTAGAATGATTTCTTTCTATATTAACAGCAGTCTTCTTAATAAAAGTTCTAAAATAAAATATCATAAATTCTCAAATTTAAACTCTCTAGCATTAACATTAAATTACCTGTCCAAATCAGTAGCTTAATAGCTTTATTTTTCTTAAAGTAATTTTATAGTTAATACCATTTTTTAAAGTCAACAATAATTTTTTTAAATATAGTTTATATGATTACTTACCTCAAATTATCATTTCAGACAGATAGTTCTAAAGTTCTAGAACATCTAGGAGCATTCATGTAGGCATACAAATTGACCTATATGTTTTCTGCTTTCTATCTTACGTATTATTATTATAATTATTTGCATAGTTACCATGTTTTATTTTCGAGATCCTACCTGGTCTGTTTAAAAGAGAGTAACAGATTTAAGTGGTTTACCAATATTAATATCTATAAATCACACACATTTAACTTTTGTAGATTTGAGGCTTCTGTCATTTGTTTAAACCTAGTTTATAATAAGAAATATATTGGCCAGTTGAAAATGTGTGAAGGCAAAATATCTGGAAGTATTAAATAACGATGCCTACCACCTTATTATAGATCTTAACATTAAGTATTTTCCAGTCAGAGGCATCTATTGATGTAAAAATGTTTGAAATTATTATTGTGGCAACATGGAAATGTATACACAAAAGAAATCAGTCCTTGGTTTATATTTTGCTGTTTGTTCTTGGGATATTTATTAGGAAGGTAGGTTAGATGCGTTATACAAACATTTTGTGAATTTTATAATAATATATGAATGTGTGTGTATATAAATACATGTACATGCAAGTATAAATATATAAACGTAAATCATATACTAGAACTCTACTTATTGGCTGTTATATACTGTATACCTTTCAGTTTGCTTGTATAGTAATATATATTCTTTTAATAAATCTTTTTGTCAAATAACAATAACTGAGTTACATTTCAAATAAACAAAGTATTTTTCAAAACAAGGAGTTTAGTGTCAATATATGTAATCAATGTAAAAAAATATCCAACATTACTTTAGTGTTTTGGCCTACTGCATATGGTCAGAGGCATCCATTGACATGGGGAAGAGTGAGATTACTATTGAGAACACAAGAGTTTATTTTTATGATATAATAAATTTTGTTGTATGTAATATATGGTTTAATATTTTTTTTCTTTTGAGCCAGGGTCCAACTCTGGTACCCAAGCTGGAGTGCAGGGATGTAATCATAGCTCACTGCAGTCTCGATTTCACAGGATCAGTCAAACTTTCTACCTCAGCCTCCCAAATATCTGGGATTATGGGCATACGCCACCATGTCCTGCTAATTTAAAAAACTTTTTGTAGAGATTGGGTCCTTTACGTTGCCCGGGCTGGTCTCAAACTCCTGGCCTCCAGCAATCCTCCTGCCTCAGCATTCCAAAGTGCTAGGATTATAGACATGAGGCACTGCACTCAAACCTTTGTTATAATTTATTTGTACAGTTCCTATTTTGCAACCATTTTGATTGATAAAATAGGAAATGAAATAAATTATCTTAAAATTTTTCCTCTAAATTTAATCAAATTTGAAAGTCAACCTATATTTTAGGTTGTAACTGAGAAATACAGAAAATAACAAACAATGAAAGAAAACCAATGAATCTGACCTATTTTATTAAAATGTAAATATATATTTGAAAATGACATTACAAAATGCACTTTATTTAATTGCAAGACAATCCGTGAGCACTTACAGGAAATTTTCTCAAGTGAAAGAATGCAATATCACAATTGATTAAATTGTTGTAAATATACATATGATTTTTCTGGAGCAACTGTGATAATTGAAACCTTTTAGCATTACACTAAATTAATTTGGAAAGAATGATTTTACAGATATGAAGATAATTTATTTCAAAGTGGGAATAAGCCATATTTACTTCAGCAAGTAAAATAATTTAGCTGAAATAACTAGATTGAGGCAGAAGCCAGTTTTGCTTTGATTAACCAAATAAATGCAGTGATTCCACCACTTATTTTCTATGTGTTTTTATCTAGATGTGTATGCATGTATGTTTGTATACAAATGCACTAGCAATGAATTTCATTGTCATGCACGAATGTCACTGAATCTTGATAAGAAAACAAAATTCAAGCAAATACTTTAATTTCTCCCCCACAGATTTACCAAGTCTTGAATGCAAATGAGTGATGCAAATTGTAAACAAATTATCTTTTGATGTTAGATGTTTATGATTTATATTGTCGTTGAAACCCATCTTGAGAAATCCTGTTTTAAATCATGAAATTATCCCTGCCTCTTCAGCATATACTTTTTGATAATCTTGAACACGTTTATATATTCCTTCTTCCATCCATTTTTTTCATCAGCTTTTGAGTGCCTATCATGTTACAGGCTTCTGAGAAGTATTATAGATAGCCAGGCGGTGTGGCTCACTCCTGTAATCCCAGCACTTTGGGAAGCTGAGGCGGGTGGATCACGAAGTCAAGAGATCAAGACCACCCTGGCCAACATGGTGAAACCCCGTTTCTACTAAAAATAAAAAAAAATTAGCTGGGCATAGTGGCACGTGCCTGTAGTCCCAGCTATTCAGGGGGCTGAGACATGAGAATCACTTGAACCCAGGAGGCAGAGGTTGCAGAATGAGCCAAGATTGTGCCACTACACTCCAGCCTGGTGACAGAGCAAGACTCTGTCAAAAAAAAGGGGGGAGGGCAATACAAATGACATATTTTAGTTACCTGATGTTGTATAATAAATTCTTCCAAAACTCAGTGTCATTAGAAAACAAAAATTCTATTACATTTAACAAATGTGTGGGCTGTCTGGACACAGTTGGATATTTCTTCTCTTTGATGCAATGTCAGTTGGTGCTGCAGCAATCTGCTTCAGGGCTTGAGAGAGCTGTTATATATATATATATAAAGGGGAGTTTATTAAATATTAACTCAGACCATGCCTGCTTATAGTCTAGCCATGCTAGCAGTTGATTAGATTGTGCCCACCCAAATTAAGAGTGGGTCTGCCTTTCCCAGCCCACTGACTCAAATGTTACTCTCCTTTGGCAACACCCTCACAAATACACCCAGGATCAATACTTTGTATCCTTTAATCCAATCAAGTTGACACTCAGTATTAACTATCACAAGTCCACCTCTTGTCAACTTGAATCCATAAACTTGAAGTCATATGTAATCTTCAAATAAGGACAATAATAAGGTCATAACTACCCCTAATATAATACAACTGTCTTTCATACAACTGGAAATGCACCAATCCGTAGCCCAAATATTATTATATAAAGTTAATAATACTTAAATGTTGATGTAGAGTCAATAAATCTTACGTCACATGATAAAGGAGAAAAGAAATAAATTGAAAATATTTTCTTAGTACAAGTGTATACATGCACATACATGTTTTTAACAAAAGAATGAGGAAATACAACAGTTACAGTCATTGTTTCTGCAGCTGCTCATGTAATTGCAGCTGGTGTCGATAACTACATTCTATTACCCATTCTGTATTCCCTTTGCCTTCAGCAAGCACCTCAACAGGTTGTGGTATTTTTCCTGGTGGAGTGACCCAAAACTTCATTCCAGAAGGGACTGGGTAACTTGTAGTCCTGCCTGGATTGGGCTGTTGTAGATTCCCATTGACCTTAATTACAGGGCATGGTAATACTAAGAGACACCCTAATGAATCTCCTGTATTCCATGCATACTCTTCCTTACCTCTGTTGGGGAGAGGTAGACTGATTTCATCTTGATAGTCCGGGTCAATAACCCCAACCAACACTGTAACTCCCTTCTTGGCCTATTGACTTAAAGGTAGGAGGAGGCCAAAGTGTCCAGGTTGCAATCTCAACTTCTAGTTTAATGGAATCGTTGTTGTGTCTCCTGGTGGCAGCATTCCTCCCTCTGGAACTAAGACCCCTAGGCCGGCAGAACGTAATGTCACAGGAACAGGAAGCAAAAAGTTTGCTAATGGATAAATAGGGGTGATGGTGAGTGGTGTCACTTCCACTTCCACCCCTCGATTGCTGGACCTGTGAATCCTGGCTATGGGAAAAACAGTACTATGTGTTGGACACTGATTCAGAACATACATGGCTTCTGGAGAACTTTGCCCCAGGCCTGCAAAAAATTGTCACCTACTTGGCATTGTAATTCTGACCCCAAGAGGCCATTCCACTGTTCTATCAATTCAGCTGCTTCAGGGTGATGGGAAACATGGTAAGACCAGTGAATCCCATGAGCATGAGCCCACTGCTGCACTTCTTTAGCCTTAAAGTGAGGGCCTTTGTCAGACGCAATGCTGTGTGGAATACCATGATGGCGGATAAGGCATTCCATGAGTCCACGGATGGCAGACTTGGCAGAAGCACTGCATTCAGGATAGGTAAACCAATACCCGTAGTAAGTGTTTATTCCAATGAGGACAAACCTCTGCCCTTTCCATGATGAAAAGTGTCCAATATAATCAACCTGCCACTAGGTAGCTGGCTGATCACCCTGAGGAATGGTGACATATCAAGGGCTCAGTATTGTTCTCTGCTGCTGGCAAATTCCTTTCATGAAAAGTTCACAACCAGATGCACTGCTCAAAGTTCTGCCAACTGGGAAGATTTCTCTTCACTGCTGCCTTCAGGGATGTCCTAGAAAGGGGCTGTACTGCTGTAGCTGTCCACTTTCGGGTGGTGCCTGCATATTGTGCAGAACCATCTGTGTACAAGGCCGTAGTCTTCTCTTCCTCTGTCAACTGTTCATAGGGAACTCCCCATGAAGCTATTGGTGCAGAATGGGGGAAAGAAGTGGCAGGAGTGGAGACCATGAGCATTTGAGCCACTTCCTCATGTAACTTACTTGTGCCTTCAGGACCTGCTCGAGCCCAACCATGTATATACCACTTCCATTCGATGATGGAATACTGCTGTGCATGACCTACTTTATGGTTAGATGGGTCAGAAAACACCCAGTTCGTGGTAGGCAGTTCAGGTCGCATGGTGACTTGATGACCCGTAGTCAAATGTTCAGTTTCCACCAAAGCCCAGTAACAGGCCAAGAGTTGTCTCTCAAAAGGAGAGTAGTTATCTGCAGAAGATGGCAGGGCCTTGTTCCAAAATCCTAGAGGTCTCCCCTGTGATTCACCACTAGGGTCCTGACAAAGGCTCCTAACAGCATCTCTATCTGCCACTGACACCTCAAGCATAATTGGATCTGCTGGGTCATATGACTCAAGTGGCAGAGCAGCTTACACAGCAGCCTGGACCTGTTGCTGAGCCTTCTCCTGTTCTGGACCCCACTCAAAACCGACAGCAACTTATCCTTCACCTTAGAAGAAATATCTCAACAGTTCCCACACCCTGGATAAGTAGAAATTCCAGTGAGGTAGAAAGTCCCTGAATTTTAGTCGAATTTATTTCCCATCCTCTTGCACACAAATATCTCACCAATAAGTCCAGTGTGTTTGCTAATTCTTGCTCATGGGACCCAATCAGTATAATTTCATCAATATAATGAACCAGTGTGATATCCCGTGGATGCAAAAAGCAATCAAGGTGTCTTCAAATATGATTATGACACAAAGCATGAGAATTGATATGCTCCCAAAGTAGGACAGTAAAGATTTGTTGCTGGCCTTACCAGCTGAGGGCAAATTGCTTCTGGTGGGCCTTATGGATAAGAATGGAGAAAAAGGCATTTGCCAAGTCAATGGCTGCATACCAGATACCAGGAGATGTGTTAATTTGTCAAGCAATGAAACCATATCTGGTAGAGCAGCTGCAATGGCAGTCACCACTTGGTTAAGCTTAAAATAATCCACTGTCATTCTCCATAATACATCAGTCTTCTGACAGGTCAAATAGGAGGGTTGAATAGAGATGTGGTGGGAATCACCACCCCTGTGTCTTTCAAGTCCTTGATGGGTCCACAGTATTGTGCAGAACCATCTGTGTACAAGGCCCTAGTCTTCTCTTCCTCTGTCAACTGTTGATAGGGAATTCCCCATGAAGCTATCGGTGCAGAATGGAGGAGAGAAGTAGCAGGAGTTGTCTCCAATTAGAGTGGCACTAATCTCTGCAACCCCTAAAGAGATACGATATGGTTTTTGATTTACTATTTTTCTGGGTAGATGCAGCTCTAATGACTTCCATTTGGCCTTTCCCACTGTAATAGCCCTCACCCTACCAGTCATGGAGCCAATGTGGGGATTCTGCCAGCTGCTAAGTATGTCTATGCCAATTACGCATTCTGGCATTGGGGAAATGACCACAGGATGAGTCTGGGACCCACTGGATGCACTGTAAGTCAGACCTGAGCTGAAACTCCATTAATTACCTGACCTCCATAAGCTTCTACTTTAACTGGAGGACCACAATAACGTTTAGGGTCCGCTGGTATCAACGTCAGCTCAGAGCCAGTGTCCAGTAGTCCCCCAAATGTCTGATCATTTCCCTTTCCTCAGTACACAGTTACCCTGGTAAAAGGCTGGAGATCTCCTTGGGGGAGGATGGGAGAAAGATTCACTGCATAAATTGTCGGTAGTGTAGTGGGGTCCTTCCTCCAGGGGAGCTGGACTCCCCTTCATTCAAGGGGTTCTGGATCTGTAAATTAGCTCAAGTCTGGAAATTGATTGAACAGCCATGATTCTCTGTTTTTATAATTCAAATTAGTTTTTTGTCCATTCAACCTAGAAATTTTCTGCTTGTATAAATTAAGTAGGAATGCAGTAGATTTCCTATTAATTTCACACTTAAGAACACCGTGATTGATTAGCCAATGCCAGAGCTCTACAGGAATCAGACTATTCTGATTGCTGCTTTGCCTCTGCTGTTCATTATGATAGTTATGCTCACCTTGCCTTTGACTGTTCAGTGCCACCACTTGGCCCCTGCCACCTTGGGATCCAATTATTCCTATTGTATTTAAACTTTGTAGTTGGCTGACTGCGGTTCCCACCATCAGATCTGACATACAGAGAAGAGCAATTACAGGACTCTTCAAAGATTCAGGTACTGCCCTCAAAAATCTATTTCACAAGGCATTGGTCAAGTGTATGTCTTCTGGACCCTCCCAGCTGGGATTATTAGGTCTAAAGTGACTAATCCACTCTACCTTCCCAATCTCCCTAAGCCTTTGGATCCCTTCCTCTATATTAAACCAAAGGAGATCGGGCATTTCTAGCTCGCTCACAGTGGGCCATCTTTTAATTCATATTTCAGCTAACCAAGCAAATAAACTATTAGAATCTTTTTTAACTCCCTGAGCTGCAACATTAAATGCAGCGTCCCTACTTAGTGGGCCGAAATCAATAAATTCAGCCTGACCCAACTCTTTATTCCTTCCACCATTATCCCACACCCTTAATTTCCATCCCCATGCCTTTTCTCCAGATTTCTGTTTATATAAATTAAAAAACACAAGGAGTTCTTTTTGAGTGTAGCACACCACCTCATGGGTCACACTCTCAACCACACCTCTAGGGGTCTGCAGGAACTTTAGTCTAGTTATAGATCTAGAAGCAAACATGGGTGTTAGGGGTGGCTCCTGAGGAGAATCAACATTATCTTGCCTGGCAACTGCCTCAGGGGAGGCCATCACTGTTGCCTCAGGCAGCGCAGGGTTTATCGCCTCAGACAAAGGTGGAAAGGCTGATGGCAGCATGGGTCGGGGAGGGAATGTTGCCACTACTGGGGATGGAGAAGCTCTTTCTTCTGGTAAAAAAGTTTCATCAGGGTTTACAAACTCAATGTCCCAGCTTCATCAGTGTCCTCCCACATATCCCCATTACAAGTTGCAGGGTCCCATTCTTTTCCAATCTATGCCCTCACTTTAACAGTAGACACTTGGCGAGGCTGTGCATGCACCTTTTGTTGCAGGTCAGTCACTCGCATGATAAAAGATTTTGCAGTGGCTCATGACTGTAATCCCAGAACTTTGGGAAGCCAAGGTGGGTGGATTACCTGAGGTCAGGAGTTCAAGAGCAACCTGGCCAACATGGCGAAACCCCATCTCTACTAGAAATACAAAAATGAACCAGGTGTGGTGGCAGGCGCCTATAATCCAAGCTACTGGGGAGGCTGAGGCAGGAGGATCACTTGAGCCCGGGAGGCGGAGGTTGCCATGAGCCAAGATCACACCACTGCACTCCAGGCTGGGTGACACAGTGAGACTCCGTCTCAAACAAAAAAAAAAGAAAAAAAAAAAGAAAAAAAAATAGCTTGTGTGTGTTTTTTCACAATTTCAGCTCTTTCTTTACAGGAGTTAAGACTTTCACTCAGGACAATCTTAGATTTCAGGCTCAGTATCTACTTCTGAAGCCGGGAGATAGAATCTCTGAGTTCATCATTTTCTCTCATCACTTTGTCCACTGAACTTAGGAGCAACCAACCAGTTTCATAATGTTCCTTGGTTCTCCACATATGGTCAAAGTTATTATGTATAGAGTCATTAAAATCCTTGCCTTTCCTGAGTGATGAATCAGGAGTGTTAAATGCATTTATTTTGGATAACTCTCTAAACAGTTCACATGAAGGACTATTTTCCATACTATTTTCCAGTGTTTTCCATACTATTAAAAGTAGAGTACTTAGAATTTTTTAGTCTAATCATATTAAGCAACCAACTCCAGAAACCCCAAAACCAATGAAAGAACTCCATCCTTAATATTCTGTTCCTCTGGAACCACTCCTGGTACCAAAATCTGTATTAGTCAGAGTTCTCTAGAGGGACAGAACTAATGGAATGGATACATATATGTATATCATACCAGAGGAATTAACAGAAGACAACATAACGGAGATATGGAGATGAATGCTTCCAAACCAGTGCCAGATCATGAGCAAGAAGACATAGAAGGAGCAGTGTTAAAAAAAAATTGACATTAGACAATCTGGCAAAAATATTCTAGTTACTCAAGATTGCTTTTGGCTTCTTTTATGACATGGGTCCTTCTATGATATGGGCACTGAAACCAAAGCAAATGATGGAAGAAGATTGGTACTGTATAGAAACATTTTTAGAGAAATTAAAAAGCAAAAACATCAGACAGAAACTACTATGTATTTCCATAAAGTCACAATAAATGTGCTTGGCTTGCCAGCCTCCCCTTCCACTTCTTCCACCTGTGCCACCCTAAGAAAACAAGGTGACCCTTCCTCTTCCTTATCCTCCTCATCTACTCAATGTAAAGGTGATGAGGATAAAGACTTTTATGACACATTTCCTTTTAATTAATAGTATATTCTCTTGTGCCTAATTTATAAATTGAACTTTATCATAGGAATGTATGTATTTTCTTTGTGCCTAATTTATAAATTAAACTTTATCATAGGGATGTATGTATAAAATAAAACACAGTATATATAATGTTTGGTATTATCTGTGGTTGCAGGCATCCATTGGAGGTCTTGGAATGTATCCCCCACGGATAAGAAGGGACTACTCTATACTGCTTTTTATAGAGAATGTGCATTTTTAAAATATTTTAATGTTAATTCTTTTATTTATTTTTCTTGCCGAATTACTCTGGCTAGGACTCCCAGAGTATTCTCTATTGAATGGATGTAGCAGGATTGGTCATTCTTGTCTTGTTGCTGATCTTAGAGGGAAAGCTGTTTGCTCATCAATGTCCACTGTGGGCTCATCACATATGGCCTTTATTATGTTGTGATGGTTAATACTGAGTGTCAACTAGATTGTATTGAAGGATACAAAATATTGATCCATGGTGTGTCTGTGAGGGTGTTGCCAAAGGAGGTTAACATTTGAGTCAGTGGGCTGGGAAAGGCAGTCTCAACTTTAATCTGGGTCGGCACAATCTAAGCAGCTGTCAGCATAGCTAGAATATAAGCAGACAGAAAATTGTGAAAAGAGACTGGCCTAGCCTCCTAGCCTACATCTTTCTCTTGTGCTGGATGCTTTCTGCCCTCGAACATCAAACTCCAAGTTCTTCAGTTTTGGAACTCGGACTGGCTCTCCTTACTTCTCAGCTTGCAGATGGCCTATTGTGGGACCTTGTGATCATGTGAGTTAACACTTAATAAATTCTGCATATATATATATATATATGTGTGTGTGTGTGATAAATTTGCATAAGAACCATGAGACATCACTTTTACTGTGATACACAATTTACTGAAAAGAGTAATTATTTTAAAGACATTTATTTACATTTTTAGAAGGGGATTTGAGAAACATAAAAACATGACAGAGCACTCCATAGGTCACTTTACACACTAAAATATATATAGTGAAACCCTTCACTATAAATATCTCTATTACCCACCCCCTCAACCCTTTTGCAGTATCCAAAATCTCTTTCGTGATTTCTTTGACTGGCTCTGTCATAAATCGTTTGAAGTCATACACAACATCTCGACACAGATTTTTCCAGCAGAAATTCATTGTTTCAGGCTTGATGAATATCACGGCTTGTTTTTTTTAAACAATGGTGGCATCTTCAATCATATAATCCATCAAGATTTTCATAATGCCCTCTCTATCAGGATTCTCTTCCATAACATTGACAATCTTATACATAGAATACTGTGCATAATGAGCCTGAAAAGTTCTTATGAGTCCTTGATCTACAGGCTGAATTAGACATGTTGTCTTTGGAGACAAGTAGACCACTTCAGTGCTTTCAGTGTTGAACTCATATGGGTTTCTTGGTAGCCAAGGGCATTGTCTGTTATCAAAATAACTTTAAAAGGAAGTCCCTTACTGGCAAGGTCCTTCCTGACTTCAGGGATAAACCATCAATGGAACTAAACCAGAAAATGAGTTCTCATTGTCCAAATCTTCTTTTTGTACAACTAAAAGACTGTAACCTGGTGTTTATCTTTTCCCTTCAATGCTCAGGTGTTTGAAGCTTTATAGATGAGGGTAGTCTTTATCATGAACCCCACTACATTTGCACAAAACAGCAGAGTTAGCCTATCCCTTCCTGCCTAAAATCCTAGTGCTTGCTTCACTTCCTTACTAAAAATGTCCTTTGTGTCATTATTTTTTTTTCAAGAATAGGGCACTTTCATCTACATTAAAAATCTATTCAGACAGATATTCTTTCTCCTCAATGATTTTTCTAACAGTGTCTGGGAACTCTTCTGCTGCCTCTTGGTCAGCAGAATATGCTTCTCCTGTTATCTTGATAATTTTAAAACTAAACTTCTTTTTAAAATTATCAAACCATTCTTTACCGGCATTAAATTCTCCAGCTTTAGCTAGTTCACCTTCCTTTTGCCTTAAGTTGTCAAATAATGACTTTGCTTTTTGTCAAATTATATTAGAGTCTATATGTATGCCTTTCCTATAACAATCCCGCACTCACACAAAAGCTATATTTTTAATACAAGATAAAAAGGTATTTAGCAAAAAGTGCAAGGTTTTTATGCCTGCTGGCATAGCTGTAGTGGTGGCTTCACGAATTTTCTTTTATTTCTTTACAATAGTCCTTATGCCAGATTCATTTATCTTGGAGTGGCGGGCAACCATAGTTGCAAAACTCAATCTAACGTCAACTCCTCCTTGTAATGTCATGAATCTTCTATTCTTCTTGGGAGCACTTCCATCCTTACTAGTGACACTTTGTGTAGGTCCTATGGTGTTATTCGAGGTTTACAGTATTGTGCTAAACATAATAAATTTGCATAAGTACCATGAGACATTACTTTTACTGTGATACACAATTTACTAAGGAGAGAAATTATTTTAAAGACATTTATTTACATTTTTAGAAGGGGATTTGAGAAACATAAAAACATGACAGAGCACTTCATAGGCCACTTTACATACTAAAATAGGTAATAATAATATACATAATTTTGCAAGCATAAACACTCAGGTATACTAATAGTTACATGGGTGGAACAGTTATGAGCAGATGTAACCATATACATACAGAAATATGTCTAAAAGTAAAATGCTCACACAGAGATGATTAGCTTCACATGACATGTTCAGTGGATACTTGCAACACTTGAGCTCACCGTAATAGTGTGAGGAGGTGGCTACAAAATTATTGTAGTAGTACAGTATATGCTATAATTGTATGCAGTTATGATTTAATACTGCATCTGTACATTTGTTTAAATTTCTCTAGGCTGTGAATGGTAACATGCATGCTTTGTAAGTGTATAAGTTTTAGTTTAACTTTTTATAATAGATTTGTGTATTTATGGTAGTAAGTTGTAGACTAGCAACTACTTATAATTTATGCATTCATGATACATCTAATTTTTAATTTTTTAATATTTTTATGCTACATGGTTCTTCTGTGAGTTTCTTCAAATTGCTGCAAATCTTCAAAATTAATCCAATATATGCATTGCAAAAAGTCCACCTATAAGTGGACACACACAATTCAAACCCATGTTGTTCAAGAGTCAACTATATACAGTAATAAAAGTTATGTGAATATGGTCATTCTTGCTTTCTTTCTCAACATATCTTATTGGATTGTAATCACCTATTTTCAAACCCTGGTTGGACACAGGTCACTAAGTTGCAGAAAGCAAATCTAAGGATAAGGAGGGAGTATTATATTGGAAAATTCCAAAGCCAAGAGGGAGCCAAAGACAAGTACGCTACAGAGATCTGAAGTCTGGTATTAACAGCTACAACAAGTGTTAAACACAGCCAAACACATAGCCATACTAACAGAAATCTTCACACTAAAGGCCTGTTTGCCTCAATTCCTATTGCTTAATACACGTCCAACTTAAAAAAAAGTATAAAGCATGTAGAAGGGCAAGAAGAAACACAGATAAAAAGGTGAATCAATCATCTGAACCAGACTCAGACATGATACAGATATTGGTCTTTAATGGAACAAGTAAACATACAGATGGTTAATGTAGACAGAGTGGTGGAAACACTAAGAAAGGGTCAATTAATATAAAGGACAGCTACATGAAATGAATGAAAAAATATCACGAGGAGCAGGAGGGATAAATTCAGAACACTCTCTTTTAAGATTCTTGTACTGACAGGTAAATGTGATTACAAAAACACACACATACACGTAACATTGGAAAAGGGGGACACAAAAAGCAAGAAAACTGTAAGAGACACCTGCAAAAAGGTATCTGCATTATATGAAATTGCATAGTGATACTTGAAGGTGAATTTAAATTATTAAAAATGGCATTGTAAACTCTGGGACAATTCCTGAAAAAAAGAGTAACAAGAAGTATAAATGAGACATATGCTTAGAAATGAAATAGAATAATATAAAATGCTCAATTAAAACTAGAGAAAGTCAAGAAAAGGGTGGAAAGAAAAAATAACAGATGCAACAAGCAGAAAATGACAGATTTTATTCCAACTATACCAATAATCACTTAAGATGTGTATTCAGTGAAAATATCAATTAAAATAAAAAGATTAGTTAAAAAATCAAGACCCAATGTAATGGTTAATGTTATGTCTCAGCTTGACTGGGCTTAGGGATGATCAGATCACTAGTAAAACATTATTCCAGGTTGTGTCTGTAGGGTGTTTCCAAAAGAGATCAGCATTTGAATCAGTAGACTGGGTAGACAAGATCACTGTTACCAATGTGCGTGGCATCATTCAATTTATTGAGGTCCCAAATAGAAGAAAAGGCAAATAAAGACCAAATTTATGCTCTGTGTTTTGAGTTGGGACATTCATATTCCTCTGCTCTTGGACACTTGCACTCTTGGTTCTCAGGCCCTCAGATTAATAAATTACCTCACTGGCTTTGCTGGTTCTCCAGCTTGTACATGGCATATCACGGAACTTCTCAGCCTCCAAAATCATTGCATGAGACAGTTCTCATAATGAATCTTTTCATACACACACACATATATGTATATACACAATCATATATAGCATAGCAATGTTTTGGTAACAAAGTATGACCATATATTGTGATCCCATAAGATTATAATGCTGTATTTTTATTTACTTTTCTGTATTTAGATATATTTAGGTATACAAATACCATGTGTTACAATTGCCTACAGTATTTAGCACTGTAACTTGCTGTGCAGGTTTGCAGCCTAGAAGCAATAGGCTACACCATATAGCGGGGTTTAAAAACACAATCCTGAATGACATAATCCTGAATGTGAAAATTTGAAAAGATCAAAACACCTAAAAGTCTAAAATCCTAAATATCACAATCTATAGAGTTCAAAATCCCAAAAATATAATTCATTTT
Organism: Homo sapiens; assembly: GCF_000001405.40. Taxonomy (NCBI): domain Eukaryota; kingdom Metazoa; phylum Chordata; class Mammalia; order Primates; family Hominidae; genus Homo; species Homo sapiens. Next base: position 185,371,704 of record NC_000002.12, read on the forward strand.
TATATTTAAAAGTACATTTTAAAATTATTTCAAAGGCACTTATTTACATTTTTAGAAGGGGATTTGAGAAACATGAAAACATGACAGAGTACTTCATAGGCCACTTTATACAATAAAATTGGTAATAATATACATATATATTTGCAAGCATAAACACTCAGGTACGCTAATAGTCATATGGGTATGAGAATTATGAGCAGATGTAACCATATATACAGAAATAGGTCAAAAAGTGAAATGTATAAACACATTTTACTATGGTCAGTAATTGTGTGCATCCAACTTTATAACTGTGGCTATCTGAAATACCATGATAGAAAAACTTAGTCTTTTATAAAGATTAATCAAAAACCATGATTGATCTCCACTGCATATGTACTTGTTCAAAGAGCCAAGATCTCAAAAAATTGTATCATTCACAAATGTGGAGGCACAAAAAGGACATATTTTTCATTTACTGAAGAAGTTCCAACAATTTTACATATAAACACAAATAAAGTCAACACTGTGACAATGCACTTTTTTGAAGTCAAATCTGTGGGGAAAAAAAATGCATGAAATGAATTAGAACTCTCCAGAAGTCTTTACACGATTTATACCGCCAATATTGCAAATGATGCAACAATGAAATACATAGCATAGCAGATTTTATTACAGGGAGATTGTAGGCAATCACACTGGGAGCTGGCCAACTTTCACAATCATTAACTTTATTTTGCAGTCTTGCATCACAATGAGTAATTGCCTTTTGCTTTTTAAAGCATGGTTTTCCTCAGAGAATTTGTTAGCATTCATTTTCTAAGAATATGGTGCTGTTCTTTTTGAAACCCTTCTATCATTTGATATACACCGACATGAGCATTCCCTATTACATTTTCTAATCTTCTGTGCCATGTTTCTGTTGTTTGGGTATGTGGAATTCCATTCTACATGTACTCATACCGAGACTACAAATTTGGTGGAAAAGATACTGGTGATTGAACAGCAACACCATTTCATTAGTATCTTCTTATTCTATCAAGCACATAATTATTTTTGAACCAGTCAGTAATTTCCTGGATTTTTCAAGCAAATGTGGCTTTAATTCATTAAAATCTCCTGGAATGTCATCATCTGGAAGGATGTCTGCCAATGCAGACAAATGACACATTTTTAAACTGAAGTTTTTGTCGTTGACTTATCCTGTGGCCATTTCATTCATCTAGATTTTCTGCCAGATGGAAATTAAGGCAGTAACAAGGTACTAGTTTCCTCTAACAGGATGCAACTAATATGAAGCAACTATGCTGCATACAACAAAAAAACACAGTAATCCCTTCTCTAGAATTTTGCTTTCAGGATTTCAACATTTGGGATTTAAATTTTGGGGATTATAATTTCTGGGATTTTAGACATTAGAAATTTTAGACTTTAGGGATTTTGATCTTTAGGAATTTTGATCTTTCAGGACATCAGCATTCAGGATTGTGGTGTTCATGACTGTGTTTTGCAGGACCATGATTGGCATCATGTATAGCCTATATGTGTAGTAGGCTACACACATAGCCTTCTACGCTTGTGAAAGTGCATTCTATGATGTTTGCACAACAATGAAATTTAATGATGCACTTCTCAGAACTTATCCCTGTCATTAACTGATGCATGACTGCATGACTGCATGACTGTATGACCGCATGATTGTATGACTGTATGACTGTGTGACTGCATGACTGCATGGCTGCATGACTGTATGACTGTGTGACTGCATGACTGTATGACTGTATGACTGTATGACTGCATGACTGCATGACTGCATGACATGATGCATGATCCTGCCTAATACACTCAATTATATCCACCCACAAGAAAGTCACTTCAATATAAAGATATATAAGTTAAAAATAAGAGGATGGAGAAAGATACACCATGGTAACACTAATCAAAGTAAAGCTAGAGTAGCTATGATGATTTCAGACAAAGCAGAACAAATAAATTTATTAAGGATAAAATAAGCTATTAAATAATCTTAAAGGAGTCAATTCTCCAATAAATATAACAATCCTAGACACATATTTATCTAAAAACAGTGTCAAAATGAGGAAACATTGATACATCAGAAAGGGGGAACAGGCAAATCTAATTTTGGAGACTTCAATACCCAGATCAGTACTTCTCAAAACTGTCAAAGTCATCTAAAACAAGAAGAGTCTGAGAAACTGTCACAATCAAAAGTTACCTAATGAAAAATGATTATTAACATAATAGGGTATATTTATTGGGATCCTTGAACAGAAATAGGACATTAAACAAAAACCAATAAATTGAAGTAATAGACTTTAATTAATAACAATTTATCAATATTTGCTCATTATTTATGACAAATGTACCACAGTAATGTAAGCTGTTAACAATAGGGGAAACTGTATGTAGAAACTGTCTGTGCAATTGTCACAACTTTTCTGCAAATCTAAAATGATTATAAAATTAAAAGTTTATTAAAAAATAAAGAGTGCAAATAAACATTTAGACATCTCTAACTTTGAAAAGAGAAAAGAGGGAGATCAAAGTTAAAGAGTTCAAATATTCTTACATTATTAAGAAGGCATTCAAATATTCTTGCATTATTAAGAAGGAAGCTGCAGGTAAAGATGGTAATTAAATGTATCTTTTGTTAAATTGAGTATGATACATTAGCCTCTATACTGACCTATTTTTTCACAATGGGCAAGGACATATATTGATGAAGATAGCAACTTCAGCAATTGTCTTCTGGAGTCCAGTGTTCCCTGTTCCCCTCAGTCATCCCTACTGACCTAAGAGCACTGTCCTTTATTGCCAACCCAAGCTGTCTATTTTGATAGGAAGACATAATTTTCACTCTTTCTTCCAGTAATAAAGAAACTTTGGTCAACGTTTGGAAATGAATTGCCTGAAAGCTCTATAGCAATTCCAAATCTCTCAATATATTGATTTTTCCTGCTTTGCTAACCATCACTTTGTGATACAGAGCACACTTTATAGGGCATCTACTTTCTGCAGCAGTTCTCTTTCATACCCATACTTTTATAGCTTTGCTTCTTCAATAATATTTTATTGTTCATAGATTCTATAGTTTCTGTTCATCAAGAATCAATCATGCATATTATCTTAAAGTGCTATTCTCTCTCTTTTTCTCTCTTCCTCTCTTTCCTCTTTCCATTTCTCTCTTTACCTATCTCCCTAGCTATTTTATCCATATATTATATTATTGATAATTTCCCTATGGTCTGGAGACATTTGTTGTCAGAGGAAAAGGCTGAGAGGAGGGTGGTGTATGCATCAATCATTTGAAAGAGAAATCTCCTCCACACCGTTACTCATGTTTCAGTCATTCTGTGTAGTGCCTGTGAAAGTTCTGCCCAATGAGGTATTTAGCTTAAATCAATATTTTTATAAGATGCCTTTGCAACACAAGTTGCATAAGCTTTAAAAGACAGAAAAACAGGAATCGACAGCTGGGCAATTTCACATAATAATGAGCATTACTAGTGCTCACCAAGTGACCTAGATAATATCACTATTTTGTTTTAGGGTTTTGATCTTTAACAGCAAATGACTCTACTAATGGATTGGAGTTGGTCATAGGCACCAAAAGGATACTTATTAAATTATTTATAAAATGCCTAGAAAATAGAAATCATATATGAATAACACATAAAGGCAAGATGTAATATTCTAGAAAGATTTTTAAATGACATTTATTTTTCTGTATTAGTAATTGTAAAAAAAGTATATATATGCTTAATATGTTAGCAGTAAAAACTCAGATTTAAAAATTGTTTAAATATATTCTATACTACATATTTTAAAAGATACAGTAAATAGTGTGTTTTATTCAAAAAAGTCACACTATGGTACTATGATATAGTATTGAAACTGTATGACTCACTAAGTATAACATTCTATGTACTGTATTTTCTAAATTAAGAAAATAGATAAGTAAATTATCCTTTTCTGGCAAATATCTATACTGTCTAGTGCTACAAAATGCTATAGAGCAATCAGTAGGATAGTTTATTTCAAAGTAAAAACTTTTCTTCTTTTGTTTTCACCAAGTAAATAAATTCATGTGGTTTATTCTTTATAACACCACAGTCGTGGCTGGGAATGCAAATATTTATTTGTTAATATGTCTCCTTTTTTAGTCAAAACTCTTATTTCTTTCTTCCATATATATTAGGAGAAGTTGATATCTTAATAAAATGCTGACGCTACCATTTCTTACTTGCCATTTTATTCATTTATTTAATCCAAAACCTTTACCTGTGCCTGCTTTTATAAGATTCTGATCGGAATCAATTCAAAATGCCTACTTGCTATCATATTAATCTTCAAGAAGAACAAATTTATCAATGACTACAAATTGATATAAATAACTTTAATTTTTAATCCTCACAATTTTTCAATTTGAATATTATTGTCGTCACAGTTTTCACATCTAAGACATGCCAGAATAAATGATTAAATAAAAATATAAACTTTTATGTTGACATTGTTGTTGCTGCTGTTTCTGTTTGTTAGTTTTTCTTCTAACAGCCAGGTCATACTTCTGCAGGTCTGCTGCAGTTTCCTGGTGGTCCACTCCAGACCCTGTTTGCCTGGGTATCACCAGTGGAGGCTGCAAAACAGCAAAGATTGCTGTTCACTCCTTCCTCTGGAAGCTTAGTCCCAGAGGGGCACCAGCCTGATGCCAGTAGGAGCTCTCCTGTATGAGGTGTCTGTCGACCCCTGTTGGGAGGTCTCTCCCAGTTACGAGGCACAGGGTCAGGGACCCACGTGAGGAGGCAGTCTGTCCCATAGCAGAGCTGGTGTGCTGTGCTGGGAGAATCTCCCTTGTGAAGATCCACTGCTCTCTTCAGAGCTGGCAGGCAGGAATGATTAAGTCTGCTGAAGCTGTGCCTGTGCCACCCCTCATCCCAGGTGCTCTGTCCCAGGGAAATGAGAGTTTTATCTGTAAGCCCCTGACTGGGGCTGCTTCATTTCCTTCAGAGATGCCCTGCCCAGTGAGGCAGAATCTAGAGAAGCAGTCTGGCCATAGCCTCTTTGCCGCCAAGTGGTGAATTCTGCTCAGTCCAAACCTCCCAGTCTCCTTAGCACTGTTAGGGGAAAACTGCCTACCAAAGCCTCAGTAATGGCGGATGTCCCTCCCCCAACCAAGCTTCATTATCCCAGGTCAACTCCAGACTGCTCTGCTGGTAGTGAGAATTTCAAGCCAAAATTTCTTAACTTGCTGGGCTCTGTGGGAGTGGGACCCACCGAGGGAGACCACTTGGCTCCCTGACTTCAGCCCCCTTTCCAGGGGATTGGACGTTTCTCCCAGTGTCTCACTGGGGTTCCAGGCACCACTAGGGTATGAACAAAACTCCTGCAGATAGCTCACAGCATGCCCAAACAGCTGCCCAGTTTTGTGCTTGAAACGCAGGGCCCTGGTGGTGTAGGCCCACGAGGGAATCTCCTGAACTGTGGATTGCAAAAATCCGTGGAAAAAGCATAGTACCCAGGACGGGTAGCGCAGTCTCTCACCACTTCCCTTGGCTGGGGGAGGGAGGTGCTCCCCGTCCCGCTCCTTGCACTTCCCGGGTAACCGATGCCCCACCCTGCTTCTGCTCACTCTCCATGGGTTGCACCCACTGCCAAACCAGTCCCAAGGAGATGAACTGGGTACCTCAGTTGGAAATGCAGAAATCACACGCCTTCTGCATTGGTCCCGCTGGGAACTGCAGACCGGAGCTGTTTCTATTGGGCCATCTTGACCCCTCCATCCATACCAGAATCTCTGGGAAACATCTAAAGCAGTGTTAAGAGGGAAATTTATGGCACGAACTGTCCGTGTCAGAAAGCAGGAAAGATCTCAAATCAACACCTTAACATCACAATTAAAAGAACTAGAGAAGCAAGAGGAAACAAATAAAAGCCAGCAGACAAGAAATAACTAAGAGCATAGCAGAACTGAAGGAGATAGAGACAAAAAAATCCCTTCAAAAATCAATGAATCAAGCAGCTGATTTTTTGAAAAATTTAACAAAATAGATAGACTACTAGCTAGACTAATTAAAGAAGAAAAGAGAAAAGAATCAAACAGACACAATAAAAAATGATAAAAGGGATATCACACTGATCGCACAGAAATACAAACTACCATCAGAAAATACTATAAAAACCTCTATGCAAATAAACTAGAAAATCTATAAGAAATGGATAAACTCCTGGACACATGTACCCTCCCAAAACTAAACCAGGAAGAAGTTGAATCCCTGAATAGACCAGTAACAAGTTCTGAAATTGAGGCAGTAATTAATAGCCTAACAACCCCCCCCCACAAAAAAAAAAAAAAAAAAGCCCAGGGCCAGATGGATTCACAGCCAAATTCTAACAGAGGTACAAAGAGGAGCTAGTCTCATTCCTTCTGAAACTATTCCAAACATTAGAAAAGGAGGGTCTCCTCCCTAATGCATTCTATGAGGCCAGCATCATCCTGACACCAAAACCCGGCAGAAACACAACAAAAAATAAAACTCCAGGCCAATACCCCTGATAACATTGATGCGAAAATCCTCAATAAAATATTGGCAAACCAAATCCAGCATCACATCCAAAAGTTTATCCACCACTATCAAGTTGGCTTCATCCCTAAGATGCAAATCAATAAATGTAATCCATCACATAAAAAGAACCAATGACAAAAACCACATGATTATCTCAATAGATGCAGAAAAGGCCTTCGATAAAATTCAACATCCCTTCATGTTAAAAACTCTCAATAAACTAGGTGTTGATGGAATATACCTCAAAATAATAAGCTTTTTTGACAAACCCACAGCCAATATTACACTGAATGGGCAAAAGCTGGAAGCATTCCCTTTGAAAACTGGCACAAACAAACATGCCCTCTTCTCATCACTCCTATTGGACATAGTATTGGAAGTTCTGGTCAGGCAATCAGTCAAGAGAAAGAAATAAAAGACATTCAAATAGGAAGAGAGGAAGTCAAATTGTCTCTGTTTACAGATGACTTGATTGTGTATATTTAGAAAACCCCACCGTCTCAGCCCAAAAACTCCTTTAGCTGATAAGCAACTTCAGCAAACTCTCAGGATAAAAAAATCAATCTGCAAAAATCACAAGCATTCCTTTATACCAGCAACAGACAAACAGAGAGCCAAATCATGAATGAACTCCCATTCACAATTGCTACAAAGAGAATAAAATACCTAGAATACAACTTACAAGGGACATGAAGGACCTCTTCAAGGAGAACTAGAAAGCACTGCCCAAGGAAATAATAAGAGAGAAATCAAACAAATGGAAAATTTATTCCATGCTCATGGATAAAAAGAATCAATATTGTGAAAACAGCCATACTGTCCAAAGTAATTTATAGATTCAATGCTATTCCTATCAAGTTACCATTGTACTTTCTTCTTAGAATTAGAAGAAACTACTTTAAATTTCATATGGAACCAAAAAAGAACCTGTATAGCCAAGACAGTCCTAAACAAAAAGAAAAAAGCTGGAGGCATCATCCTACCTTACTTCAAACTATACTACAAGGGTATAGTATCGAAAACAGCATGGTATCAAAACATACATTTAGACCAATGTAACAGAATAGAGACTTCAGAAATCAGACCACACATCTACAGCCATCTGATCTTTGACAAACCTGACAAAACCAAGCCATAGGGAAAGGATTCCCTACTTAATAAATGGTACTGGGAAAACTGGCTAGCCATAAGAAGAAAACTAAAACTGCACCTCTTCCTTATGCCTTACACAAAAATTAACTCAAGATGGTTTAAAGACTTGAATATAAAACCCAAAACCATAAGAACCCTAGAAAAAAACCTAGGCAATACCATTCAGGACATAGGCATGAGGAAAGACTTCATGACAAAAATGCCAAAAGCAATTACAATAAAAGCAAAATTGACAATTGGGATCTCATTAAACTAAAGGGCTTTTGCACAACAAAAGAAACTAGCATCAGAGTGAACAGGCAACTTATGGAATGGGAGAAAATTTTTACAACCTACCCATCTGACAAAGGTCGAATATCCAGAGTCAATAAGGAGCTTACACAAATTTACAAGAAAAAAACAAACAACCTCATCAAAAACTGGGCAAAGGATATGAATAGACACTTCTCAAGACATTTATGTGGCCAACAAAGATATGAAAAAAAACTTCATTATGACTGATCATTACAGAAATGCAAATCAAAACTGCAATGAGATACCATCTCACACCAGTCAGAATGGTGATTATTAAAAAGTCAGGAAACAATAGATGCTGGCAAGGCTATGGAGAAAGAGGAACACTATTACACTGCTGGTGGGAATGTAAATTAGTTCAACCATTGTGGAAGACGGTGTGGTGATTCCTCAAGAATCTAGAACCAGAAATACCATTTGACCCAGCAATCCCATTATTGGGTATATAAACAAAAGATTATAAGTCATTCTACTATAAAGACACATGCACATGTATGTTTATTGCAGCACTATTTACAATAGCAAAGACTTGGAACCAACCCAAAAACATATCAATGATAGACCGGATAATGAATGTGCTACACATACAGCATGGAATACCATTAAGCCATAAGAAAGAATGAGATCACGTCCTTTGCAGGAACATGGATGAAGCAGGAAGCCATCATTCTCAGCAAACTAACACAGGAACAGAAAACCAAACACCACATGTTCTTACTTATTAGTGGGAGTTGAACAATGTGAACACATGGACACAGGGAGGGAAACAACACACACCAGGGCCTGTCAGGGGGTTGGGGGCAAGGGGAGGGAGAGCATTAAGACAAATGCCTAATGCATGGGGGGCTTAAAACCTGGATGAGAAATTGATAGGTGCCCCAAACCATCATGGCACATGTATACCTATGAAACAAACCTGCATATTCTGCACATGTATCCCAGAATTAAAGTTATATACATATGTTTAATATCCTACTATTAATTCAATACACATATATAAGACTAGGTGTGAAAATTCACATCAGGTCATCTCCTTTTTCATCTAAAATGACCTAGTACTAATAATTATATTGCTTGAATCAATGAGATAATAAAGTCAAGGGTAAAATTTAACTCATAAATTAAATTTGGGAGCTAGTTTTCTGTTTATAGCCACAAATAATCCAAACAACCAACCACAGTATGTGGTAAAGTCTTTGTTTACATATCGACATCTATTTCAATAGCAGTCCATTTTCAGAAAAGGGTGTGTCAACATGTCAAGGATGATAGGAAGTGTTAGATATTAACACAAACGCATCATCTCCACACACAAAAAAAATCCACAAAAAAAAAGAACACTTGCACTATGTCCTCTAAATATTGAGTTGGCAAACTTACACCCCTAAACTTTCATCATGTTTTAACATTTCATTTTATTTTTTTCTATTCTACTATCCTCATTTAAAGATAAGTATATCTTACCTAGACTATAATAATTTATTTCTTAAACTACAACTTTTATTTGTGTAATGTTCCTTCAGACTTTCTCTGAAAATCCAATAACTCATTGTTTAATTAAACAGATATTTCTATCAACAATAAGTTTTGAATTATGTTACATTCCTTGTAAAAAGTTTGTAATGTGGCTCGTTCCTGAAAGCAGTGGTTGAACAATCTGGTTGCACTTTGTAAAATTGCCTGGGGAGCTTAAAAGTAACAATGACAAAAATAAAACAATAATGCCTTAGCCTTAGCTTACAAATTTTGGTTTATTTGGCCTGAGATGGAGCCCATGTATTAGTATTTTCTAAAATCTCCCTCATAAGGGAATAGACTTGAGAATGACTTGATTATAAGTTGAAGTAAAAAATCCTTAGAAATAGGATGTTATTCCTAACTCTTCTTTATGGTTTAATTGCATATTACACACTACAAAACTGCAAACTCTCAAACACGACAGACTACTCATGATTCTGAAGTCTGTTCTTATGCTTTCTTTGAACTGAACTGATCATTCTCTCAAATTTCTTCACTAACAACCCAAATCCTTCTAATTCCTAGCAGTCAAGTTTAAGACTCTTGGTGAAACATGAATGAATCACTTATAACTGCTTCTTTTAAAAGTCCCTTATTGTTAATTTTATCTTGCTTTTGTTGTGCATGTATTTCTCAGTCAATTGCCAACTCTGTTGTGACTAACATAACAGCTTAAGTGATTCAGCAAAATTCTAGTACTTCATTTTAATTTACAATATTGATTGGGTTAGCACACACTTGTCAGTGGCACATAAATCAGATCAGGCCTGAGTTTCTTTAATTTGTATCATACATACATATTGCCTTTTCAAGATATGCATTATGTGAGCAACAACTATAGCATAAAATATTTAATATTTGATTTATATTGATTTGTTTTTACTTAAACACATTTATTTAAAAAAAAAACTTTCTAATCCCACCATAAATGAAAACAAGTTTTTTCCCGCTATAAAAGTAAGCACAATGAGAAATATTATTTAGCTCTAACCCAATATCAGTTTTCATCTTTTTTGGATTGAAATTATCAAGTTTCATAAAATTACATTTGATGTGCTAACAGAATCTTGTTTTTCCTTGATTTAATCAGAAAAATTAAGAAAGATTTAAAAAGAAAATAATTTGTAATTTATTATTATTTTTTTTTTTTTTTTTGAGAAGGAGTTGCTCTTTTTGCCCAGGCTGGAGTACAATAGCATGATATCAGCTGACTGCAACCTCTGACTCCTGCCTTCAAGCGATTCTCCTGCCTCAGCCTCCCTTGTAGCTGGGATTACAGGCACGTGCCACCACATCCGGCTAATTTTGTATTTTTAGCAGAGACAAGGTTTCACCATGTTGGCCAGGCTGGTCTTAAACTCCTGACCTCAGGTGATCCACCCACCTTGGCCTCCCAAAGTGCTGGGATTACAGGCGCGAGCCACCGCTCCAGGCCCAATTCTTTGTAATTCTTTATAGTGTAACTTATATTTAACATTACTTAGTGATCTATCAATATGTTTTCTAAAATTACTTGATGTACCAAGAGGTCTACCATATGTTTTTAAACATTTACTTAAAAACTATTCAACTGATGGTAACTCAACCACATCTACACCCACCCTCTACACCCTCCCACCCCTTCCCACACACACAGTACATATTTTTAGATGGGAATTATTCTAGACTTGACTATATGTCGAACACCTGTGTTTATATAGAATGAATGTCTTTTAAAAAGACAAACTCAAGACTTCTTTCAGCAGCCCTGGATTATGCACTCAATTTTTTACCTTTTTATATCCTACCAAATCTGTGAATCATGCTTCCAGGGAGAAAAAGAAAAAGTAGTGAAATTTTAGAAATATGTTAGACTGAAATACATTTTATATTTGTTAAAAGTGTTCTCTGGGCACCTACAGATTTAAAGGAAATCTTTATTAAGGAAGCTGTTTGTCCACAATTGTTGAGTAATAGCATTTTATAGAATTTATGTATAAAGTCAACTCACTTTTTAAATAGCCAACATACAACATGTATTAGCTTCAGCTTGATGAGTTAATTAAAAGCAGTTGAGATAGTTTTAAAAATTCCAGGCTTTTAATGTAAAAGGAGAGGTTGAAAAATAATATTTGTAAAGAGCTCAAGAGATGATTTAAAATAGAACATGTTCAAAGAAATGATTGTTAATGCCATAGCTATGATCTTTTGGATATAAATATTTTGTCCTGTTTTCATAAATAGGTTTTTTTTTTTTTTGAGACAGAGTCTCGCTCTGTCACCCAGGCTGGAGTGCAGTGGCACAGGCTCGGTTCACTGCAAGCTCCACCTCCCGGGTTCACACCATTCTCCTGCCTCAGCCTCCTGAGTAGCTGGGACTACAGGCGCCCGCCACCATGCCTGGCTAATTTTTTGTATTTTTAGTAGAGACAGGGTTTCACCATGTTAGCCACGATGGTCTCGATCTCCTGACCTCGTGATCCGCCCACCTCGGCCTCCCAAATTGCCGGGATTACAAGCGTGAGCCACCGCACCTGGCCTCATAAACAGTTTTATCTTTGGACTAATTTTACAAAAACTTCTTTCCTGATCTAATCTCTTAGTATAACCAGTATTTTCTATTTGCTTAAAGGAAAAATATTTCATAAAACCTATGCATCTACATTCATTTTAATAGTCCTAGCTACCTAAAACCTTCCATACATAGAGAAATACACTTACATTATTATTGTCTGCTTCGAGAAATTGGAAGTTAAAAATGGAAGAATTTCTTCTTAGTGAAAAACTAAAATCAGTAGTTAATGGGTCAATATAATGTTATGCAACACTTTAAAGGAAATGAAATAATTATTTACCTATATGACCTGAAGGCAAGTTATTTGAAATTATTTGAAAAAATTTCACACTAAAATAAGGTGTTCAACTGAAATGGAAAAAAAAAATTATAAAAGGAATCGATATTTCCTAGCTTTCCTTGGATAGTGGAAAGGGGCCCTAACTCAAGAACAGGAATATTAGTTAAGTGTAACAAGCATACCCCTAATGGAGAGATAACTAACAAACAATTTTTGCTTTTTAAATTTAGGTATTAAGATTATTCATTTAATACCTGACTTATTTTACTTAGCCTAATGCCCTAAAGGTTAATTCCTATTGCCAAATATGACAGGATATGTAATTTTTATTTGTAACTTATACATCAATTTAAAAAATAATAAAATAAAATATTTCTTATAAAAAACATAATAATAAAAAAATCATTCATTCATTTAAATTTCCTATTCTTATTCCCCCATGTTTGGAAACTAAACTGTAATTAAAGCATGGCTCTTAATTTGTAGGTTGCTATATATTACCTACAGGAAGGTAGTGTGTGAGCTCTTATTTTATATTTTGCCAAATTCTTGCAATTTTAAGGCAATGGGTACTTGCAGTGGCAAATGTAGCATAACATCTTTAAAAAGAGCCGTATATCTCAAGTTAAAAATAAGTCAGAAACTTACCCAAGACCATGCTATACTCTCTTCTTCTGCCTCCAGGATCCTTGAACATGGCAATATTCTATAGGCTCTCAGAGTCAATATTAATGTTAATGGTGGAAAATTGGAAAATTAAACTAGTAAATACTATTGAGGATAAAAATATAAACAAGAACCTAAAGGACAAAAATTCAGGAAGTGAAGACAAATTCTGCATGGGAATAATCATTGCAATAATATCACTGGGTTACATCAGTGGAAAGACAAGACTGCACATGGCATACTCATGCGAGGAATGCCTTAATAAACATAAAGGATATGGAACAACAAGGAAAAGAAAACACAGGCAATAGCACAGAAGTCCAAAATCATTCACATGTAGTCCTCTAACATGCTTTCTTCATCTCGCAGGAAATACTTTGGTTTTAGATTATGAACCACCAAGGTATGTGCAATAGTTTTCAGTGACAGGGGAGCCCATATACAAGTTTACTGAGGGGTCTTTTATCCCATTTGTCACTTGGCTAAAGCCAGGCTTTTTCTCTATTAAGCCAGGAGCAAATGATTAATGTCTGTTTCTCTAAACAAGAGAGACAAGTTAGTACCATGTGTTCCATGAGAGTTTTGAATTTTAAACAACAGGTTATAAATCATTAGCTAGCACAGCTCATTCTTCCCTTTACTAATGGTCAGTAACAGGATTCTCAGCTTCCCTGGAGATAAACATAGTGCTGTGCCAGTGCAGATGTAAGATAACTCTACTCTTGCAAACTCATAAAAGGCTGAATGATGTGAAATTAAATGAATAACCTAAGTCTCAGGCTCAGTGTGCAAGTTATTTTATAGGCCCTATGGCCCCTGTCATGTCATGCTGAAGTATCTAAACAAATCAAAACCAAACTTTGTATTAGATATAATACAGCATGGCCAAGTAGTAATTATTCCAAAGTTAAAAAGAAACTTAGTATAACTAAATCTATTAAACTACTGACTAATGACCAAAGTAAGATATCAATAAATAATACCTACAATCCAGTACAAACCACCTCAAAACTCCTCAGACACATGTTTATAAAGCTACAGGATTAAATGGTGGTTTTATACCTCGACTAGGGGTCAGAGTCATGGCATTCCTACCAGAAAGGTGTGAAATACCCAATTGTTCCACATCCACACCATTACTAGACATTCTTTTATCTTTTAGATATTCTGAGTGTGTAATGTTACACTAGGGGTTTGTTTTTGACAGAGTTTTGCCTTGTCGCCCATGCTGGAATGCAGTGACACAATCATGGCTCACTGCAGCCTCCACCTCCTGGGCTCAAGTGATCCTTCTGCCTCAGCCTTCTGAGTAGCAAGAACTACAGGTGTGTGTCACCACACCCAGCTATAGCTTTTAATGTTTTGTAGAAGTGGGGTCTTGCCATATTGCCCAGGCTGGTCTTGAACTCCTGGCCTCAAGTGATCCTCCTGCCTTAGCCTCCCAAAGGTTGGGATTACAGGCATGAACCACTGTGCCTGCCTGTACATTAGTCTTAAGAATAAATTTCCAAGAAAGGTGACCCTATAAAGAGAGTTCATTTAGACTATATTTTACTTTGTTATTATGAATTTCACCAATTTCTTAATCATTATGCCTATAAATTTTCTGGAGTAAAATGCATAAAACTACATGTATTAAGACTGTAAGATTAAGTAGTAAAAGTAAAGCATTAATTTACATTATTGACTTTGAAACAATGTTTAAAAGATAATAAGTATGATTATATATGAGTTAAAGTTCCTCAGGAGAACTTTTGTGCCTGTGTGTGTGTGTGTGTGTGTGTGTGTGTGTGTGTTTATGGATGAGAGAGAGGGAGAAAGATAAAATATAAGTGAATATCAATATAATTGTTATTTTAGAAATACTTTAAGAAGTAATATATAGTCTGTTAAGTAATAGTCAAATAAGGAAATAAATTAAGCCTGAATTACTGTTGGTTTGTCAAAAAAAAAAGGTTAAACATGAACATCAAAACGGTACTGAGTAATTTCCTATTGCCTATGATTATTTTTATTATTTGAGAAATATGTTTCAATATAACCAACTTATAGTACCCCACAGCTACATATTAAAAATTGAAAATATGCCAAGCAAACTCTTAATTTAAGAGGATTAATGAGATTAGAAGTTGAATTGATTTTTTAAATATTAAATATATTTGTTTATTATAGAAAAATGAACATTTTATAAAATATTCTACCTATGGGCTGGGAGCAGTGGCTCACACTTGTAATCCCAGCACTTTGGGAGGCCAAGGAGGGCAGATCACCTGAGGTCAGCAGTTTGAGACCAGCCTGGCCAACATGGCGAAACCCCATCTCTACTAAAAATACAAAAATTAGCTGGGTGTGGTTGCAGGCACTGTAACCCCAAGCTACTCAGGAGGCTCAGTCAAGAGAATCACTTGAACCCAGGAGGCGGAGGTTGCAGTGAGCCGAGATTGAGCCACTGGACTCCAGCCTGGGTGACAGAATGGGACTCCATCTCAAAAATTAAAAAAAATAAATAAATAAAATAAAGAACGAAAAATAAAAAAAATTCTTCCTATGTTTTTATGAACACAAAAACTTCAGCATAGAGTGCACAAATATGTCTTTGCTTTCTCATGCTGTGGCCTCATTTTCAAATGCAATAGCTTTACATGGATCTACAGTGAAATATATTCTCAATCTATCATTTTGGGGGTTGGAGTGTTGGGAGGTGGGTACAAAGAATATCATACGCCTTCTTATACAACCAGATAAGTAAACGAGATGCGGAAGCAGGAAGACACAATTCATATTATATATAAATTTTAATTAATAGCTTTCCACAAAATTTGTTAATATAAAATATATTGAACTTACAATTATTTCCAGGTGATTTTGAGCTTATATTATCATTGATCATCACCTCCTTTATTTGGCACCTTGCAATCCATAAAATTAATTTAAAATAATTATATATTTGATATTTGGAGAGCCCTCTCTTTAAATCACACTTGGACGTCTTAGGAATCACTATTAGAAGAACTCATTTAAATTAAAAGTACTTATTAAGATGTATTTGCGAAGAAAAGGCTTAGTTACTTGGTGAAATAACACCCGCACATTTCAAAATTAGAAGGCAAAAACAATCCTAGTTAGCAATATACAAAAGATATGTTTTAAAAATAAAGTAATATTGGCAAAGTTTATTCCAACAGTTCTAGGCTTTATGATGTGACACATTTTTATTCCATTAATCTGACAATGTGGACTATCCAGACTCAGCCAACAAACTGGAAAGAAATCTCAGATTTTTTAAAAGTTGAATTATACGTTTAAAAGCCCATGAGCAAGAATTGTACACTTGAATAAAGTTACCAGGTTTCATACACCACAGCATAATAAAAATAGTGTCTTATAAAGGGTAAGAAGAGGCATACCTCTTGACAACAGCAAAATTGACACTTGATGATTGAAAAATAATTTTCATTTTGTTTTGTTTTGTTTTAATGGAAAACATATTAGAATCCCATGGCTAGGATACTCAGTTTAGCGAATAACTGGTATAAATATGGCTATTGTCAGAGTAAACATTTTTCCTTAAAAGCTTTAGTTATATGGAAACTGATGCATATAAAATATTACATTCACTGACCAGGTGTGCTGGCTCATGCTTGTAGTCCCAGCTACTCTGACTGTTGAGGTGGGAGGATTGCTTGAGCCCGGGAGGTTAAGGCTGCAGTGAGCTCTGACTACCACTGTGCTCCAGCCTGGGTGACAGAATGAGACCCTGCCAAAAAAATAAGAATAATAAAATAAAAGATTACATTCAGTATTACTGTTGTGTAACATTTTTCTAGAGTAATCATGCTACATTTTGTAATGCTTAAACTATAATTACAATATAAGCATAAATTGTTTCTTCCCTTTAAGAATGAAATAATTCAATTTTTTTTTACTCACCTAGGAACTAGCTGGCCATTCATGTAGGTAGAAGGATTTAATCTGCATAGATTTGCATTGTGAGTTTGGAAATAAGTTCTAAGATATTTTAAGACATTGAGAATGCTCACTACTGGAAAATACTCATATGAAGAATGCTTTCTTTCCATGTAAAGTCATGGGGCATGGTCTACTAGGGTAGGTGAGCCCACATACCTAAAAATATAAATATTTTAAATGAACAGATTTTTTTCCAGTGTGCAACAACTATGACAACTAAGACATTGTTTCTTGCCTCATCTCATATCTACTATTTTCATTCCTGATTCTAGTCTGATTATTTTGGGGCATTTAGAGAACATTTGGTATAATTGGCACATTTAAAAAATTATTTAATTCTCATAACTCTACAAGGTAGATATTTTAATTATTTCCATATCAAATATATGAAAGCTGAGGCACGTAGGTAAGTGACTGGACCAAGGCAGTACAGTTAGAAAATTGACTGGTCAGGATTAAAATACGGGTTGTTGCCTCCAGGGTTTGCACTCTTAACCTGAAAATATACGGATTCTATATTTAAAATATTTACAGACCATCTTAGAAATTTTACTCTTATTTACAAGGGAGATCACCTTCAAGTACACAAACAAACAAATAAAAAATAATTTGAGGGAGGAAAAAAACCTCACACATTTAGGAATTGGGATCATATTGTATAAATATCACTTATTTTCATCATTGTTCTATGAACTTAATTTTACATTATACATTAGCACACAAAATTTTTCAAATATTTTTCCAGTTTTCAATACTCTTACAATATTTAAAGGCTTCTCTGTTGTTTTGTTTTGGTCTCAATATGCCAGATAATATAAACAATGAAACTCTAATAGATGGTAGCGTGGCCTAGGAATCCAGAAATATGAAAATACTGACCAAAACCATAGCCTACTTTCTCCAGAAGGTCCTCAGTGGATTAAAAATCCACTTGAAAAGAATGGCAAGGAAAGTAAAAACACTACTGGGTTGTTGATTTTGAACCTTATGTGCAAAAAAATGTGGTAAAACAGACTGAAGTGTAACAATAAGGGGTCACACCCCCTGCTTCCCATACTCAAACATGAATCATAAAATGTTACACTTCAGTGATCCATATAGAGAGGAAGTACCGATGACATGAAAAGAGGAAGAATACAAATGTCCTCCTTAGCTATTTTCTGGGAGAGCCTGCAAACATTCTGTCTTCAGCGTCCTGAGATATGATTGGTTGGATTGGTTATCTTAAATGCCTGGAGGAAAACACAACACAACACAACACAACACACTTCTTTCTCCATCTTTGAGCATCTGAGATGGATCTCTTTTCACCCCTGAGCCAGGCCAACTACAATTTTGTGTCAGCCTCCACCTCTTGCTTGCACCGGGCCCACAGATCCACCAAGTCCATCTTTTCTGAGGAAAAGTTGCACTTTGTTTTCTCCTATATGCGTAGTTGCTGTTCTGAACTCTTACTCTCCCAAGGAATTTCGTCTTTGGCCTCTGTTTTCCCAGGCTTTTGGATCTGTCTTCTTCTTGCCCTGTATCCTGTCCCTTGCCCTAGGCAGGCATAGGCAATAAATGTCTTTAATCTTCCAGCAGATACCCAGAAAGCCCCTTCAGCCTAAAGAGGGAGAAACAAAGGTCATCCTCTGCATGTCCTTCAGGGAACCACCAGACAGCTCAAACGCATGAACTTATTTTTAAGACAAATCCATATTAGGGAGAGATAGCATTAGGAGATATACCTAATGTTAAATGAAGAGTTAATGGGTGCAGCCCACCAACATGGCACATGTATACATATGTATCAAACCTGCACGTTGTGCACATGTACCCTAAAACTTAAAGTATATATAAAAAAAAAATCTCTGTTACCAATGAGCCACACCAGGAATGCCAACCCTGTCCCCACGGATGCAGTTGCTGGCTGGGGAATGGAGGATGTTACGTTCGTAGGTGCGTTTTTACCAAAATTCCGCTGCCCCTTTTCTCCTTAAATGGCCCCTTGGATGCTGCAAAATTTAGAATAGATTCCAGGGTTTTGAAAGAGTTAATTCCACCAGTCTTTGCCAGCTGAGGTTTACTTTAATGAAGGGACTGATTATTTGCAGCTGAGTGCCCTACTTCACCATTTACTGTATGTCACAGTCTGTGGTCTACATTTATTTTTTGCTACTTTTATTGTCCTGTGAATATAGGTTTGTTTTTTACTCCAAAAGAGAATCTGTTTATATGATTGTTGAATGGGAAATCAAAAGAAAATAACATTATGCCTACAACTACACCTCCAAAATAAAATATATGTTTGCAAGTGTGTGTCCTCTGTTATTTTCATCATGATTCAAAAAGATTTTTTTAAATATTCACTGAGCATACAGTGGTGTGATTCCGTTTGAACTAATTATTTTCAATATACCACCTTGATATACAATTCAACACATTACTTTAATTTGTTTTTAATGTACTCTTTTAAAATATTGATTTAATTTTACTTTGATAAATCATTTTATTTTATTCCAATCAAGAAAACCAATAAAACCTGGGAGGTCTATGGGATTTTTTTTTTTTCTTTTTTTTTTTTTCAGCTTTGAGAGACTGCCTGCATTATTTAGCTCCTGCCTCTTTGTCTTGCATCACTCTAACTTTTTGCTTGTGTTGTCACATCTCCTATTGTCACATCTGCAAAGTCCTTTTTAGCATATAAGGTAACATTTGTAGTTTCTGGGGATTAGGACATGAATATCTTTGGGAGACATTAGTCAACCTACCACAGAAACAATTCTTAAAGAAATAAAATCCAAGAAAACAAGAATCATCAATAACAATAGAATATGCATCTTAAAAAAGTAATTATAAACCATACTATACATTTGTGGTGTTAGCAATTTTGTACTTCTGTTTAAATCCATACACTTGCTACTCTAAGATGTGTCACTATTACAATAGATGTTCCTAAACACCCTCCAGATGAAAGCAAATGCCTGCATTGTTCTTCTGTTTATTTGATTACATAGTGACAGAATTGCTAGCACCAGAAAAATTAAATTGCCCTAATTCAGCAGAGTCAGCCAGTTACATATAGTAAAATAATTTATGGGCATTCCAAGCTAATTTATTTGAGGGAAACATGATAACATACCTCAGGCAGATCCATTTAGTAAATGCACTCTGTGGCTAGGAGAAATGGAGTTTGATATTGACTAATCTGAGCCATTGAGTTGTCTGCTGAGAAGAAATTGGAAGATTACTTTTATATTTGGAGTATTTTGATGGGAATATGAATGCCCCAGATGTGAGGCCAAAAGAATTTGAGGTATAGAAATGAAAAAGTTTGTCATTAACATCACCATCTCAAACTATGTCTCAGGTGTGTACTGTTATGTTTTTCTTCCAATTTTCCTTTATTTCCCAGCTAGAATATAAACTCTATTAGAACAGGACACTTTTCTTTCTTCTTCATGACTTTAGTGCCTAACTAATATTAGGCATTCAATAAATAACCAGTTAATGCTTTCAGTTGATTTTTGTTAAATGTCAGTCAGTTTTGAATTACCACAAACTTGCTCATGAAAGCCTCATCGAAGCAAATAAAATTATCAATATATATGTCTCAATTGGTTTTCCTCACCCCAGAAATATATTTAAGAATATTAGATTATGGCAAAGTTTTTGTTTATTGTATACTTGTTACCAACAGTGATATTTGCTTTAATAATATAGATATTTTACTTAATTATTACTAACTGATCTCTAATTTTGTTCATGACAGCAGTCTCCAGTTAAAATTTCTCATCTCCCTAGGTTTCCTTGCGACTAGATATAGCCATATGACATCATTCTGACCAGTGTTATAAACAGAAATATACTAGTTGCAGATTACAGAAAGTTACTGTTTTTCTAACTTAAAAAAAACCATAATTAATATGTGCATATCTTTTTGTTTTTTATCTTACAATTTTATTTTTTACTAGAATTTGAACTCAGTGCCTAGGTGTGGAGAAGCCATTTTTAAACCAAAAGGCTAAAAGCTCCATCATAAAGAAAGTAAAGACAAAGCTAGTATGTGCCTGGGTCTTTGATGACTTTGTGGACTAGCTGCAGTAGCCATGGGATGTATACCTCTGTACTCCTTGCCGCTTGAAGAAAACTACCACCTATTCACTAAAGCAAGATTTCTGTTACATGCAGCAACACAGTCTTTATTATTATAAAGCTATTGAAATAATGTTGTTTTCTTAACCTAGTCTTGTCAGTTGAAATGACAGACAATATTATAAGTCAAGAAAACATCCAATTCTCAAAATAATTCCTATAAAATGATTTTTACTCTGAAGTGTCCAGATGACGATGAAGAAAATCTTACATGGTGGATAACCAGTTCACATAATTGTAAGAGTTAAAGAAAGAGGAAACAAACACGAAAAGTGGCTCAACAGTCAAAGACAGGCTTATTTTGGAGAATAAACCTGACAGGGGCTTCTGGCTGACTTTGGTCAGGAGTGATCTCTTTTACAGACTAAGGGCATTTATTGTTGTGAGAGCTTGGAATGTTTCTGTGTCTGGGAGAAGTTTCTGTTACGGCTGGAATGTCTTTGGTCAGAGGGGAGGTTATCTTGGGGCTGACATCTCTCTGTCTGGAGGGGAGGTTATCTCGGGCCTGGGATGTCTCTGGTCAGGGAGGGCTTTGGACTATTTCTGGTCAGAGATGTTATTTGTGGTTTACGGTCATGCTGACCTTAGCCATTAGGCTGATGCCCTTTGGATTTAGGTGGTTTTTGATCAAGGTGAAATTTAAAATGACGGTACTTGTCCAAGACAGCGATGCTCCTACTCTGTCAATAATGAGGGACTCTGCCAATAACCTGCTCAAAAACCTGACTCTAGGCTCAGGTTGTTTATTTTATCAAAATGGCTTCAATTAGAAAACTAATATTTATTAGCCTGTTAAATTCTCAATTTTCTGTAATTCAAACATATAATTAAAATAGCTCCCTATAACACCCACATAAAGCAATGGGACTATGGTCTGGTTAGAATATTGTGTTATTTTTCAAAAAAAATCTAGATTTATTAAATATTTAGACATGAGTGAATTATTAGAGTTGGGAGTAAAAATCTGACATGAAACATAATATTTGTTCACATTACTGTATTTGTTTTGTTTATTCTGAAAGCAGTGACTGGTTTGAATTTATAAATTTGAAGTTTTAATTCACTGATATATATTTAAATTTGAGTCTGGTTTGAATTTACAAATTTGAAGTTATAATTCACTGACATATATTTAAATTTGAATCTTTTTTTATTAATTATACATGATTCATGTGGTCCCTTTTAAGCTGATAATTCTTCCCTTCGGGTATATATATGTATATTTTTTCATTAGTTCTTTTTCTTCTCTATGTGCTGTATTATTTCTTTTAAAAGTAACATATGGTCACCTGAATAATTTATCTAAATATTTTATCTTTTCTTTAGTAAAGTGTTTGCATTTTTGTTCCAGATTCTGGTAAGATTTTTCAGCTTGATCTTCCAGTTCCCCAGTTCAATATTTGGTGAAGTGCATTATGTGTGTCTCACATATTTTATTGTGTTACTGTATTCACAATCTTGTTAATTTTTAGGAATTATTTAGCCATCTTCAACTTTCCTTTCACAGTAGAATTCTAGTAATATTTTATTTATGCAATTTTTTTCTTTTTTTTGAGACTGAGTTTTGCTCTATTGCCCAGGCTGGAGTGCAGTGATGCAATCTCGCTCACTGTAACCTCCACCTCCTGGGTTCAAGTGATACTACTGACTCAGCCTCCTGAGTAGCTGAGATTACAGGTGCTTGCCACCACGCCTGGCTAACTTTTGTATTTTTAGTAGAGGCAGAGTTTCATCATGTTTGCCAGACTGGTCTCGAACTCCTGACCTCAAGTGATTTGCCTGCCTCTGCCTCCCAAAGTGCTGGGATTACAGGCATGAGCCACTGCACCCAGCCTTATTTATTCAATATCTCCTTGAATAACTCTGAGATTTGGCTCCCCACATTAACTCATTCATTGAAATAATATGTTTGCATAATATGGTTTCTCTTTCAGGATCCATATTCTACTTATTCTACTATTATTTATTTTCTATATAGATTTATAAATTATCATGTAAATTGAAAACACCTAGAAGCTTGTTTGTATTTTCTTACTTACTTTGTATAATAATTGCTCAGCTCACTTTATAAGATTCTCTTGCATACATGTATCGACACGCTATACTCACATGCAGATAGATGATAGATATGTATATACTTTTTTCTGAAACATTTGCCCCATTACTTTGAAATAATTCAGTGTGTATGTGTAAAAACAAAGACATTCTTCTATAATCACAGTAATTTCAGACAAATGAAACTTTAACAAAATAGCACAAATATTTCTGTATACCTTTCTTTCAAATTCTCAAATGTTAACATTTTACCACACTTGCTTTAGAGCTTCTTTCTTTTTTGCGTAAGACTTTTGCATGCAGGCTGCAGATTGGATGTCAGTTTATCTCTAAATACACACTCTGACATGTGTATCTGCAAAATAAATTAGAATATTGTTTTGAGTAGCCATGGAAAATTATCAAAATTATCAAAAATTAACATAATAATGTTAATTAATATGAACATTATTAAAATATTATTATCTAATCTACACACCTAATTAATGAAGCCAATTGTGTCACAAGTATCATTTTTCTGGTCTAGAGTTTAATCCAGTATATGTGTGACTCCCTTCTTTCTGCTGATATTATGCAAGCAAAATTATGTTCCTGTGGGATTGGGAAGCTGTTCTCAATAGGGATTCCAATATGGATATTAAGGTGAATAAACAGAATGAAAAATGAGGTATGATAATTTGTAGGCTTACTTTAGGGTAAAGAAGCACTGAATCAGCCCTCTAGCTGTTGACACTCATATTAGGAAAAAAGAGAGAGAGAAAATGAAAGAACTAATAATTTGGGGGTACAACATTTATGCAAGAGAAAATATCCATTATTTCCACTGATTGTTTGCTTTATAGGTTCAAGTTTTCATGTCTTGCAGAGAAAAGGGGTGCTTACCAATACCTTCATACTGTATTTGGTTTGATTTAATCTAATTTAATTGCCTGATTTTGATCTATTTATTCCATCCATGTGACTGACATCTTATCGTGAAACTGAACCTAGAACTTCTACAAAATTCTACTGGAAAGAGTAGCTTCCACGGTATATATTCTTGGCTTTGTTTTCTTGCATACACTTCATCATGTACATTTTATTCCTCCAAGTAATTAATTCAAATATATTTTACTACTTATAATAATCCTCCCTGTACCCTGCTGTCTTCTCACTATTAAGCCTTTCTTTTTCACAGAATTTCTGTACTTTTACTTCAATGAAGCCTTCATAACAATAGAAGGAAAGTGTATGTGTCATTTCTAACAACGTGAGAGTGAGTTTACTCTATTTTTAAATAAAACAAAATAATATCTTATTAATTTTCATTTGATAACATTTAGTTTAAATACAGTGACTAAAATAGAAAATTGCTTTGGTATCATCTTTCAAGTCCTACAAATGGTATCTAAAATTATAAAAGAAAAAATACCAGTTATATAATAATAACATCAGAGTATTGATTTATAGAAAACACATGAACCAAAAATGCTAAGCCACTTAGCATACAGGGTACATTCTGACTCATTTTCACTGCCATACTTTAATTTTAGTCAGAAATATCTCAACAGGTATACAGAGCTGCAATTAAATAACCTTTTTTAAGCAGATCCTCAATTACATATCACACATGTTACAGGATTCTTTTGGTACTGCTTCGCCAGCTAGAAATCTCTGTGGCTGCCATGACCTCTGCCTGGGGACTCGTACAGGCCTACTGGGGTCACTCTGCCCACTAGGTCCAGCTGATTGTACTCAGCTTGCACTACCAGCCCAGATCCCATGCCCACCCTGGCTCCACACAGCCTGCAGCTGAACTGCGTGTGCCACAAGCAGCTTCTGCATTGGGCACGAGCATCTAGATAAGGGGAACATGGTGGTACTCCAAAATTAGGAGATGCCATCAATTGTGGAGCCCCAAGGGATGTTACAGCTCTTCTTCAGGGAGTCCTGAGGTCTGAGCCCCCAAGAAATGTTGCACCTTTTGTAGTTCAGCAAGCAGGAGGGAATGCCATTCAGCGGCTTTTTCTCACCCATTGCTCAGCAAGCAGTAGGGAGTGGTATCCAGTGGCTTCACTTCTTCATGCTGGCAGCATGGCAAACACGGGTATGTTACAGCTCTCTTGTTTCTGCCACCCACAGCTCAGCAAGGTCTGGGCTCTTGTCCCCTGACCAAGAGGAATAAGGTTCATGGAAACCAGAAAGTGAGTAAGGCAGATAATTTTATTGAGTGACACAGGAAAGCTCTCAAATATAAGAGGGGACCCTGAAAGTGGGTTGCCCTCAGCAGTAAGAGGGAGCCCAAAAGTGGGTAGCCATTGGCTGCAAGAGGGCCCTGAAAGTGGGTAGCCCCCTGAGGCTGAGTCCAGGGTTTTTATGGGCTCAGAATGGGGGAGTACATGCAGATTGGTCCATGGGTGGTCTTTGGAAAAAGAACCATTCAGTTGGCTGAAAGGCATCATCCAAAAGGAACCAATTGAGAGAGAATGGGTAAGACATTGATAGAAGTTCTCACTCTGGTTGTGGACTCTGTATTTCTTATTGACTTCACAGATATATCATCATTTAATAATTTTAGGTATTATTGCATAAAATCAAAACAAAATAGTAAAACAGTATGCATCTATGCATGTTTCTGTATTTCAAAGTCACACATTTAGGGCAATTTTAACATTAAAATGGACACATAGTGGTAATGGCACCCAGAAACTATTGTGTACCTATATATAATACACACACACATATGTGTTTTTTATTCATATAGATATATACACACACACACATAAACATATATTTATGCATATGGGCTAGAGAAAGAATTTGAAATATTGATATTCAGAAAAAACACCTGTAGTAGGCTAAATTATACAGTTACAATCTAACCTCACATAATTAATAAGTCTATGACCATAGGAAACTTACTCAATCTCCTTTTATCTCTTTTTTCTCACTGTTATTTAGGGAAAATGCTTATCCTATTGAATTAATATTTGAGGAGAAAAATGTTTGTAGACAGACTATGTATAAAAATGTACATTAATTTCATGTAAATTTGTGTCCCTTCTCTACCACAACTCCACTCTTTCCATCCTGCCCTGTACCCTGGGAAGCTCACCTGCATGGACTACATGAAGATTTCCTTGCCGTGTGGCTTCTCGTTAAGGTTAAGCAATGAGAGTACAAGCCCAACACTGAAATGTAAAGAGGGGAGAGATACTAGTGAGCTTTTTCTAGTCTTTCAGATTAACAAGGATCACCTGTGTTATTCTACTTAAAGACACAATTCCTGTCCTACAGCCATTCTCTCCATGAGTTTGAGTAATGACTCTCTCCCATTGACCTTAGTGTTCAACAGATGATAATGCCTCCCAAATTTTGCTCTGTGATACCACTACTCCATGTGTTGTTGATATTCTTAACTTTGACTATATATGTACTAATAGTTCCTTTGTTGAATTTTTTAAATCACTAGAGTGATTGTGCACATTGGCTTAATTACAGTTCCAGTTTATGCTTCTTGTTCTGGTGTACTTATTAATTTCAGATTAGCAGGGATTGGACAGTAGGTGATATGTTCAACTTATGAGTAATCTCACTCGAGTAGGCTATCTTTCCTGATGTAACCCTGACAGACAGAGACCATTCTAAAAATATTAGTATATTTAATAATCATTCAGTAAATAGTATACAAACATAATTATTTTAGCTCTTAATAAACAGATTTTTAATAAAATATGCATCCAGAAATCATTGAGAAATTAAACCTAAATAAAGTTTTATATCCACAGGTAAAAGTTATTTGGTATTAAAATGATGAGAGCTCAAACTTTTTTGTTGTTTAATTCAGACTTAGCTGCAGAAGTGGAAGTGTTCTCTAAATTACTTCATGTAGCTCATGAAGCAACCTTGTCACTACAGAGGATGCCTGATTAATGAGACTTTTTAATATACTTTTATAGGCAAATTTTCTCATAATATTCAGATATTATTAACATTTTCTCTGTGGCTTATTTTATGTTTTTGTCATAAAGTGTAGAATGGCCGGAAAATCTCATGACAATGTACCTAATTTCATGGTAAGGGATTCAAAGGTATTTGTTTAAAACTTCAGAATTTTGAAAAACCGAATCAATAGGCTCACTGGTGTTTCCACGTTATTAATCCAATTGTGTAGATGATTTGCCTAGGAAGAGCTAATAACATACTCTGTTTATTTGTTCTAGCTGTTAGGAGGCTCTGAAAAACTGACCTCAGCTTATTTTTACTAATACTTTTTGCTGATTTAGGCTGCTTACTGTGAAGTGGTTCCCTGAAGTTAATCTTTTCATATATCAGCAATTCATAACCTGCTAATTTTTAAAATATGACTGTTTCTACAATGAATTCATAAATTTTATTGTACATTTTCTTTTATATTACATTTACTTCTTTACCAGTTAATTTTGTCCCCTCAAAAAGATATGTTGAAATCCCAATCCCCAGTACCTCAAAATGTTACTTTCTATGAAGACAGGATCTTTACAGAGGTAATCATGTCAAATTTAGGTCATAAAGGTGGGCCCTAGTTCAATATCACTGGTGTCCTTTTAAAAGTTGGAAATTTGGACAAATATAGACACACACAGAGAGAGAATGATGTGAAGAGATACAGAGAGAAAACAGCCATCTACAAGCCAAGGACCAAGTCCTGAAACAGATCTTTTCCTCACAGCCCTGAGAAGGAGCCAAGCACACAGTCCAGAACTGTGATACAATACATTTCTGTGGTTTAAGCAACCTAGTTTGCGGTACTTTGTTAAGCAGCCCTAGAAAAATAGATCAGCCTGACCAACATGGAGAAACCCCGTCTCTACTAAAAATACAAAAAATTAGGCTGGGTGCAGTGGCTCACGCCTGTAATCCCAGCACTTTGGGAGGCTGAGGCGAGCGGATCATGAGGTCAGGAGATCGAGACCATCCTGGCTAACACAGTGAAACCCCATCTCTACTAAAAATACAAAAAATTAGCTGGGCGTGGTGGTGGAAGCCTGTAGTCCCAGCTACTTGGGAGGCTGAGGCAGGAGAATGGCGTGAACCCGGGAGGTGGAGCTTGCATTGAGCCGACATTGGCCACTGCACTCCAGCCTGGGCGACAGAGCAAGACTCCGTCTCAAAAAAAAAAATAAAAATAAAAATAAAAATTAGCCGGGCATGGTGGTGCATGCCTGTAATTCCAGCCACTTGGGAGGCTGAGGCAGGAGAATCGCTTCAACCCAGGAGGCAGAGGTTGCAGTGAGCCGAGATCGTGCCATTGCACTCCAGCCTGGGCAACAACAAACTCCGTCTCAAAAAAAAAAAAAACCACCAAAAAAACACAATACATTTCCAGAAAGGGATCAAATATTTTCACTAAGTCTGTGTATTCATCTGTTTTCATGCTGCAGATAAAGATATACCCAAGACTGGATAATGTATAAAGAAAAAGAGGTTTAATGGACTCACAGTTCCACATGGCTGGGGAGGCCTCACAATCATGGCAGAAGTCAAGGAGGAGCAAAGGCATGTCTCAATGGCAGCAGGCAAGAGAAGAATGAAAGCCAAGTGAAGACGAAAACCCCTTATAAAACCATGAGATCTCATGAGACTTATTCACTACCACGAAAACAGTATGGGGGAAAACGCCCCCATGATTAATTATCTCCACTGGGTCTCTCAAAAAATACGTGGGAATTATGGGAGCTATAATTCAAGATGACATTTGAGTGGGGACACAGCCAAAGCATATCAGTCTGTCTCTGATCTTTCAAGTAAACTAGGAAAGAAAGGAGCAAAATAGGTTACGGATCTCACCTTTTGTTAGAAGATGGATATGAACATTATGGATTGTTTCCAGTTACTCTATTCTACACAGACTAATTTTCAATATGACTGTGAAAATAAGGAACAGGCAATGCATTGACAAAAATCATATTGAAAATATACAACAGTTAATGTATTGACAAAAATCTTCAAGTGAAAATTGCAGGAATGTTCTTATATAAACACTTTATTAATATCTAAGTTCATTTTTCTACATCTGCTAATAGAAAAATAGATTATTGTTGTTCATGCTTGTTCTCACCAAAATCACCTGAAAATTTGGATAGCATTCAAAATAAACATCTGTTTGAAGATAGAGTAATGTTACCATGGAATCCACAACTTCAGAATCAAAGATCCTCCTGTGAAGGAAAATAAACTGAAGCAAGCCTGATTTTGCACAACACCTTTCTCCTTGAGACATTTGCTGATTCATAAGAGGCAGAGGATAGAGAGACCAAGAAATCAAGCAGAAAAAAGAACGCACAGTGTTTGAATGACAAATAAATAAATACATAAGAAAAATAAAAATTGGATTTCATTGTCTGCAAAGGAGAAGCAGCCTCGGTAAACATTCCAAACTTGCAGTTAAAATTTCAGAAGGGCTATACTCTAGAATGAGGTAAAGAAAGAGTCCTTAGGAATTATTAAATGTAGTCTCAAGCCAAGACAATTCCAGACTGACTGAAGAGACTTATTCCTACCAAAACTGCATCCCAGAGTCCATCCTTATTGGATAAACTCTTAAAGCACCATGCCCAAAGATTTACACGTGTGAATTCTATCAAGCTTTCAAAAACCAGATAATATCATGCCACATACTTTTCCCCAAACATAATAAATTTAGAATGTCTTTCAAATATTTTCTGCAGCAAGTATAATATTAATAACTAAAATGATTAAATAGCACAAAATAAAATTATAGCAACAAAAATTTTACATAACGATAATAAAGATGTGCAAAATCTATATAAAGAAAACTTAAATTCTACAAAGCATACCAAATGTCAACTTGAACAAAATGGAAAGCTATCTCCTGTTTTGAGGTAAAATGACTTAACATTGTAGGAGTTAATTATTCCTATGTTTATATAATCCCAATAAAAATATTAGTTAGGGTTTTTGTGTTGTTTTGTATTGATTTATTCCATGAAAGTACACATGTTTATACTAAAGTTGTGATGAAAAGTGAAATATGTACGAACATCTAGGAAATCACTGGATGGAAAAGGCTATGAGGATGAATAAGTCACTACCAAGTATTGAAACATACTTAAACATAGCTTCAATGTGATACTAGCTCAAAAATAAGCAAAGAGACAAGGGAATAGAATAGAAATTCAATAAATAGACTCAAATACAATGGAGTATTTAGTATATTACCAAAACTGACACCCCTAATCACTAGGAAATAGAATAATTTTCTGTTTGAATGAAAGGGGAAATAACTGTATAAGCCATTTTAAAAAGTGCACCTGTATCACATATAATATGGGTGTGCATTCATCATCACATGCAAGAGTGAACTCCAACCAGACTGGAGATCTAGATGTAAGAAATAAATCTTAAAAATATTAGAAAATAACATGGTGTGTTTCTCTATATCACCATAAGGAAAATTTAAAACAGATTAAAACTTTAAAAATGTAATATAAACATAGGTAAAAAAAAATCTCTCTAATATATAAGCATCTTTTAAGATGGAAAAAAATGAGGCCAAAATTTGATAGAAAAAATATACAAGCAGAAAATTCATAAAAAGAATGTTAAAAGATATATGAAAATGGCTTGTAAACATATAGAAGGGTCTTCATTTTCACTTAATACAAGAAAATAAAAGAAAGAAAACCAAAACTAGAATGAGATACAATATCTGATCTATCAGTTTGACAAAACAAAAAGTTGACAATATACTCTTTTGGCAAAACTGTAATAAAACATTGATATTCTCATACACTGATGTCGGGAATATAATGTTGTGCAACTCCTGAGGGAAATTAGTCAATATCTTTAAAAAATACATATGATTTTACCATTTGAACCAGCAATCCTACTGTCTAAGAATTTTCCCTGTGAGTAAATTTCCAGTAGTGTAGAAATACATCAGCACAGGGGTTATTTACTGTAGAATTATTTATGATACAAAAAATTAGATATAATTTAAATGCCCCCACACATGTTGAATACACTGTGGTCCATCCACACAACTGAGTACTAAGTAGCTATATAAAAGAATACGTAGATATTTATAAATTTATATGTATTAATTTCTCAGATACCTTGTCAAGTGAAAAAACACAGTACAAAAGAGTATCCATATTATGTTATATTTTTTATTAAAAGAGAGAGCATAAAAAATACACAGGTATTTGCTAAATTTTTGCAAAATGAAAATACAGAAAGGGCAAATCAGAAACTTATGAAATTTGTTACCTGTAGGGGTGCGTAGCCATGAGAAGGATGGAAGAGGGAATAACAAATCTGAGTTGTCTTCTTGAGTTACAGGTCTAACTAAGTCCAGCAAACAACTTCCTTTCCTTGCTCCTTCTGGCTTAGGTGTGTAGTAATCATTACCAGCCCCAGGTGCTTTCCTTTTCCTACTTGCACTTTTGCAAATGATCCCTTTATTAAACTTTCCTCAACCACTCCTTTCGAGTAGCCCATCAATTAATTGACAAAAACTAAATTGAACATAAATATCTTATCTTTAAAACACACACACTCACACCCACATACACATACCACACACATATAAGAGATGGAGTCTCACTCTATAACCTAGACTGGAGTGTCGTAGTGAGATCATACCTCACAGCAGCCTTAAACTCCTGGGTTCAAGCAATCCTCCTGCCTCAGCCTCATGGGTAGCTGGGTCTATAGGCATGCAAAACCACATCCAAATAATTTTTAACTTTTTCGTAGAGATGGGGTCCTTGCTATATTTCCCAGACTGGGTTCAACCTCCTGGCCTCAAGTGATCATCCTATCTTGGTCTCGCAAGGTGCTGGGATTACAAGCGTGAGCCACTGTATCCAGCTTACAAAAACATATTTAATTTATCAATTATTTCTATATAATTCTCATTTTTGAGTGTTTATAGTTTTGATCTTCCTATCACTCTGTGTAGGATTGGTTGAGAAAAAAAGGCTGAAACTTATGTATCCCTTTTCTAGGATATTCCAGGCTTTGTGTAGTTACTTTGATTAGATTTCATGTCTAAGTTATTGAAGACTGAGGTAATGATATGACAGTGAGATTCTATTCTGCACTTAGGGTTAGTATTTTTTATTTTAATTTTAAAAAATTATAGAAATCTAGGAATGCTAGGAAACACGGGAGGCATATGCATGGTAGAAAATACTCTTAATTAAGAGTTAACTTATAAATTAATTAACTTAAGCGTATTGGAACACAGAAACACAAAACAGCACTAACGAAAAATAGAAGAATAAAAGAAAATTTAAATAACCATATTTTCAATATTTCTTATATCTTCTGATCCCTGTCTGAATATTTTACTTATACTTTTAATGCTCTATAATAGTCACCACAATAAATTCACCAAATATATATATATATATATTTAAATTCACATAGTTTACTTCACATTTTCTGCTAAGCCATTCATTTTGTTTGGTTTTGTTTTATTTTAGATGAAATATTTTTAGTTTAATTGCTCCTGTGCATTGGTAGGGAATACATAATTTTCATACACAACCAATATAGAGTAAATGAACACATTAATCAGAAAACAGTATTCAAATCTATTTGGATATAAACCAATGTGATAAAAAATATAGATTTTCTAAAACTCATTCCCATTCTCATTTCCATTCTAATTTTTTAACACAAAAGTGAATGAAATAATCTATATAATATCAGAATTGATGGCAAATATCAGCTCAAATTTAATTATAAAATATTGTTAATAAATTGGTGCATAAGTTCAATTTTAGTCTTCAAATAAAAATTCCAGGTTTTGAAGGTTATTCTGGAGAAGGAGTTTGGCACATTGGTAGGATAATATTATTACAACAGTCTTTGCAAACAGCCAGTACCCTCTAGTGTACATTATTAATAAAACACTCAACAAAAATGAACAATATTGCCTTTCTCCTTAACGATTACCATTTATCTACACTGTGTGTTTGTTTTAGTATTTTCAAACATGTAATCAAGCAACGATTACCTAGTGAAATGATGAAACACACTGATTATAAATACTTCTTAACCATGGTGCAATCCATAGGAGTCCATTCCTTGGTACAGAGCTGTAATTCTTATTCATGTTCATGTCAGTTGCAAATTTATATTGATGGAAGAATTAGGCCTCAAAGTAGTTCTTATTCTAAAACTCTGTCACTGATTATTGATTTAACTGACATTTAAACCATCATAGCATGTCACAAACATACACAAATCCTTACATATTCTTGTCAAAGTCAATGAAAAATTAAGTACAGAAAGCAATTTAAAAAATATGAAGTAGAATATTACATTAAAGCAGCTGCTTCCAGGAATCATCTGGATTAACCAACATTCCTATTATTTCTGACATAAAGTCTGGAAGCCTAATTGTGCACTTTGGGACATCCTCAACACTACCCAGATGCTATAGCTAGTGAATAATGAAATATTTTTCTGATTTCAATATTAAGCAATTGCTCTCAAGTTCACACTGGCTGTCCTATATAAACTAGCACAAGACAATCAAATAACATACAGGATTTGCACATTTGGGACTGGAAAAGAGGCACATGCAATCCAACAAGAAATATCAGTTTCTTAATTTATTGTAAGAGTCAAGGAGCATTGGTCTTGAGATCATTATTTTACAAAACAAAAATCCCAACGGTGTCAAAGTAGTTTACCAGTTAATATGCTCAGCTATTTGCGCTTTACTGTAACAATTACATTTTCTGGTCATTATGTAGGAAGGGTAATATTTCAACAGCAAATTTGTTTTCAGAACAAATTAAGCAGTACTAAGAATGTAGATTTATCACCTGAAGGAAACGACTATTTATTTTTTTGCATTTAAACAGAAAACTGTACAGTGGAGTACTTTCATAAAAGAATGTAGCATATGCCCAATTTACATTTTTAGTTAAATAACTACAATTATTTTTAAGAAAAACTTGATAAGTTAGAAGCCATTGTTTAAATGCTTCTAACTGAGAAATAGATTTGAGAAAATAGATTGAGTAAAGAAAAATAAGAAAACTTCTTTGATAATAAAACTGTATCAATGCAGATTCCTGAACTTAAAGAGCAAAAAAAAATGCTAAAATTAAATGTTAAGATTGTATTGTGGTCCTTTGTTAAGTAATTTTCCTATGCAGCATAAGGACTTGGAAAAAAATATTAGATTTTAACAGTTGTTAGAGTGTGTGCTCAGAGCTGAAAGAAACACACACACACACACACACACACACACACACACACACACATATACACAAAGGTACCCACTTCTCCAGCTCTTAATCCTTAGGCTAGTCAGATAGGAATAATGCCTGTATGAAAAACAAACAGAAAAAGAGACAATTGGAGAATGAAAAATCTCAAAATAGTTTTCTGTGTAATTATGTCCTAGTAGTTTCTGGAAAGATGAGGGGAAAGGAAATCAAAATGAAATGAATCTTTAAGGTTAGATAAGACATTTTGGAGCTTGCTAAATAAATCAGAAAAATATTATAATATGAGTAATCATATCACTTTATGTAATAAAGGGATATTTTCATTTCACTTTGCTTCTATTTTTCACCTTCTTTAAATTTGTATTAAAAGTTACACATCTCTCAGAAATCAATGTAAAGAAATGACAAAATTATGTGAATATGAAATATATAATAGCAAATGTACAAGGGTAAATGTCCATTTCTGTCAGAAATGATTAGTAGCTTCCACTTTTTTTTATGATTGCAGACCTCTGTAAAATGATTCATGCAATGGCTTGAGGAAATTTTATTTCTCACTTCATATTGAAGAAATGGAAAAAAATAAAACTTTTGAAAGAAAAAAAGTAATGATATCTTCAAATAGTTACATCTCTATATTGGAGAAGAGAAGATTTGAATTAATAACCTTTGGTTTTATGATTGTTAAAAAATAATACTTTTTTCATTCTTTTTTTTTTTTTTTTTTGAGAGGGAGTCTCACTCTGTCGCCCAGGCTGGAGTGCAGTGGCACCATCTTGGCTCACTGCAAGCTCCACCTCCTGGGTTCATGCCACTCTCCTGCCTCAGACTCCCGAGTAGCTGGGACTACAGGCGCCCGCCGCCACACCCGGCTAATTTTTTGTGTTTTTAGTAGAGACGGGGTTTCACTGTGTTAGCCAGGATGGTCTCTATCTCCTGACCTTGTGATCCGCCCACCTTGGCCTTCCAAAGTGCTGGGATTACAGGCGTGAGCCACTGCGCCCAGCCAAAAAAATAATAATACTTTTTTGTATTTTCCTAATTATCATTTGGCTCACTGTAGAAAAGGGGTAAGGGCAGAATATTCTCTAAAACAGTTCCTTCAAAAAACCCACCAGGTTCTCATTTCAGTCTGTGAAATCAACTTAAGTTGATTTGAAATTGCTAATGTTCAATGTTTTTTTTAAAGCATTGCTGAGATAGTTTTATCTGGTATTACAAAAGGTTCATTTTTCAATTTTATCATTCTTGCTGCACTTGTTAGCTTTGATTCTTCTAAAACTAACTGACATTGTTTGGCTGTGTACCCACGGAAACCTCATCTTGAACTGTCTCTCCCATAATCCCCATGTCGTGGGAGGGACCTGATAGGAGGTAATTGAATCATGGGAGTGGATTTTTCCAGTGCGGTTTTTGTCATTGTAAATAAGTCTCACGAGAGATCTGATGGTTTCATAAAGGGCAGCCCCTCTGCGTACGCTCTCTTGCCTGAGGCCACATAAGATGTGCTGTTGCTCCTTTTTTAGCTATTGCCATGATTCTGAGGCCTCCCAGCCATGTGGAACTGTGAGTACATTAAACCTGTTTTTCTTTTTTCTTCTTTTTTTTTTTTTTTGAGACGGAGTCTCGCTCTGTCACCCAGGCTGGAGTACAGTGGCATGATCTCTGTTCACTGCAAGCTCTGCCTTCCGGGTTCATGCCTTTCTCCTGCCTCAGCATCCGGAGTAGCTGGGACTACAGGCGCCTGCAACCACGCCTGGCTAATTTTTTTGTATTTTTAGTAGAGACGGGTTTTCACCGTGTTAGCCGGGATGGTCTTGATCTCCTGACCTCGTGATCCGCCCGCCTCGGCCTCCCAAAATGCTGAGATTACAGGCATGAGCCACCGCGCCCGGCCAAACCTCTTTTTCTCTATAAATTATCCAGTCTTGGGTATTTCTTCATAGCAGTATGAAAACAGGCTAATACACTATTTTTCCCTCATAAGCTATTTGCTTATCCTGAAACATGATCTTTAGATGGGAGGAAAATAAATATTGTATTCTTTCCCTTTATGTATCAATTTTCAGGAAATGACCTTGTATTCTGGCAACCTCCAAAAGGGACTAGTAGTATCACTAGGAACTCACAGCTTATTATACTTTGCTATATTTCAATCCATTGTATCTATTCTTCTTTTTTAAGTTTATTTTTTATTTTAGATTTAGAAGGTACACGTGCAGATTTGTTACATGGGTGTACTACATGATGCTGAGGTTTGGGCTTCTAATGATCCTGTCACCTAAGTAGTGAACATAGTACCCAACAGGTAGTTTTTCAACCTGTGTTCCCCTCTGTCTTTCTCCCTTTTAGAATCTCCAATGTCATTTCTTCCCATCTTTGTTTCTGTGTATACCCAATGTTTAGCTCCCATTTACAAGTGAGAACTAATGTTCAATTTTTTGACCCTAAAAAAATAGCAGTTATATGGCTCAATCTAATAATTAATATATCATGCAAATATATAATATGACTAGAAAGTTGGTTTGTGTAGTGTTTTTGTATTTAGCAACTAAACTAAAAATTATAACTATTTACTGGAGAAATTCTATGAATTTAGTGCTAAAATATTCACATATAGAAAAAAATCAATCTTAGACCTTTTCTGCTGGTAGATAAAACTGCATAGATGCCTGTGGATGCTTCTGCATCATAACCTTTTCACTTGCCCAGACACAGGTCTTTACAACTACAGCTTATTTTGGAAATGAATTGACCTCTGGGAGTCAAGGGGTGAAGCAATATTTTGTTAGGAGTATTCTTCTTCCCAATGTCAGGCAAGATGACAATTTAAGAGCAAAAATAGATTATCTTTTAAAAAGATGTGTTATTTATAGCTATATCCTTTATCTTATTTTTTAAAGCTTTAAAAATGCCCTTTAAAATCTTCAACCATGTCTCATTGTAAATATTAAATGAGAAAATACTTAGTCTTATCATTTCAAATTACATTTTAACTGTTCTAATTCCAGATAATGACAAATGTGTTTCATCCTGAAGGAAGATTATGAGATCTTCCAAAAGACTATATGTTGCTTTTTGACAGGCTTTAAATGGTTTATAATCTATTTCTTCAAAACATGGAAAGAATCATTATTCTAGAACTTCACAGAACAAATAAAATGAAAATATAGGGTAAAGATAGTTAGACACAGTAAAACAAACAAATGTATTAAAAGTAAAAATTTGGATTAATATCTCTTAATATCATGATAAAAATTATATTTTTAATTCTAAAAACATTAAAACATTAATGAAGGAGGTAAAAATTTTTGAATGATTATTATATTACTGTGAATAAAAATATTGACTCCATGAGTTACAAAAAAACAAACCTGAAGTGGTTTTTTGTATAAGAGAAGTTTTCATCCTACAATTTCACTTAAGTTGCTAGCTTTTTACCTAACAAAGACCTGTATAACATCTTACT
Organism: Homo sapiens; assembly: GCF_000001405.40. NCBI lineage: Eukaryota > Metazoa > Chordata > Mammalia > Primates > Hominidae > Homo > Homo sapiens. The sequence continues at coordinate 185,409,592 of NC_000002.12, forward strand.
GCAAATTAAATAACCTTAATCATTTTATGTGGGACATCCTAACACCATGTGAGATATGTTTTGTTATTACTATTTATTTACTATTAAGAAAATATTTTTATGGTTGATATATGTAACCACATAAGTTAAAATGTATTTATTACCATCTATACATTAAACCAGGTTAAATAATAAGAGACATGTTTCAAAGAATTAGCATCATATAAAATAAAAAGCATAACATAGGTTTAGGGAAGGGGAAAAAAGCCATACCAATTAAATATCTATTTAGAGAAATATCCCATAGGTATGCAAAATATACACACAAGGGTATTTGTTGGTTTTGTAAATAACAGCAAAAATCATAAGTAAAATCATTGCCCACTAGTAGGCAAATAATACATAAAATATAATTTCATTAATACTATATAATATTATGGAGCCATTACATTGAATAGAATGCTGTCAGTAAAGAATCTTTAAGAATTAACGTCCAGTGAAAAGAACATGTAGCAAATAGTAGACATTCATCCAGCAAGTATTTATTGCACCTATATACTATGTTCCAAGTGCTGTTCTGGCCTCTAGTGTCTCATTTATTTTAGAACTGAAACAAAAACAAAATTAGTTTCTGTGTTCTTTTCTATGTATATACATAGATTTTAAATTGACTGTAAAAGAGTCTGGAAGAAAGCAAAAAGAAGTTATTTTTGAGAAGCAGAGAAAGTGAGATTGTGATGAGAGAGATCAAATGAAATTTTGTACAGCGGTGCTCCATATCCAGCAGTCCACATTGAAGATTCAACCAAAAGTGAATCAAAAATATTCAAAAAATTAAAAATAATGATATAACAATAAAAATAATACAAACCAAAACACAATACAGTACAACATCTGCTAACCTAGTATTTACATTGTATTAGGAATTATAAGTAATGTAGAGACAATTCAAACTACATATGGGAGGCTATGCATAGATTATTTGCAAATACTTCACCATTTTATATAAGGTTCTTGAACATGCACAGAATTTGGTATTTGTGGGAGTTCTGGAACCAATCACCTGTGGATACAAAGGGATGACTATTTCTGTATTGCTTAACTTTTGATTTTCAAGTTTTCTAACTTGTGTGAGTAGTTGCATAAAGCATAAAGTTTACTGCTAGATTGTCAGTCCCCAAATCATTATGTGGCAAACAGATGCACGTCAGGGTCAGTAACTAATCATGGCACTTCTTTCAAAGTGTGCCAGTGAATGGCCACTGCATCTGTTATTCAGTTCAGGCATACACAGCAAGACCTGTAGTTGTACTAACTCTTTGTCTGAAGTGATGAACCTGTATGGCAGTCACAAAAATGGATAATAGAATGAGACAATTGCCCCATAAAGACGAAAACACAGCAAATAAATGAAACTATAATGGTGTAAGAAACATGAATGAAATGTAAAGAAAGATACAGAAGAAAAAGCTGATCATGGGCATGTTGATGCTGCCACTGTTCTAGAGATTATATACATATCCAGCTAGAAGATCTTACTGAGAGCAAATTTAGAGACATAATAAGGAAAACGGTTGCAAAGAAAAGATAAAGATATTCCAGAGAAAGTAAAAATGCAAAGCAAAAATGTTCACGTTAAAGGAACCCTCAGAGATATGTTACAATATTAAAAAGGGCCAAATTCAACCCTGGGCCTGTTTTTATATGATCTGTAAGCCAAGAATTAAGAAAAAAAAAACTTACATTTTTGATGGATTGCACAAGATGAAAGAGGAGGAAGAGAAAGAGAAGAGCTAGAGATACAAAGATTGCATGTGGTCTGCAAATCTTAAAACATTTGCTATTTGGCCTTTTACAGAAAAATTTGGGGGGCCCTGCTTCAGAATAATGGACATCAATAATAAAGTAAAAAGGAGAAAAACTTGTTAATTGACTTGAGAATCATGTCACAAAAGGACTTAGATGGCAATGTAAATAATTTTTACGCTTCTTAAGCAGCAAGAGACGGTTGAATTATATTTAATAGCCTCTTGAAGGAAAGTTATGGAGGGTCTCTACAGAGTCACTGCATGATGAGACTCCTAGGTTTACATGCTTGTTGAGAGCATTTCAAACCCAGATATGTATGCCTATACTGTCCTTACAGATCTTCATGATCCTTGTAGTGGCCAGAAACATCACTCAGAGGTTCACATTCTAACATATTTCTGCCTAAAGCTAGATGTCTTTCTTAACTTGAAAATCCTTGATTTTATAAGGTGAATTCATTGCATTCATTGCCAATGTGATATATTATTTTCAAGGAAATGGACACTATATTTGGCAGTGGTGATGCCAAAGGCCCAGACACATACAATTTAGTCTGGTAAATTTTCACTTCTCTAGGAGTATATGTAAGTTTCAAAGATAACCAAAACAAAATCTTAAGTGGACTATTAAATAAGCCACACAGAAATGCGTTGTGCTCATAATATTTTATAAGATAAGTTTATCTTTAGAGCAGTTTTAGAGAAATTACATCAATTACAGGGGAAATCCCTAAGCTAACTTGACAGAAGAGGCATTGTAGAATATTGGATGTAGATTTTCATAGCAAAGTCACTAATTGTAAGAGAAAATACAGAATAGTATTTACATATTCTAACACCTTATATTTTTAGCCTTAAGATAATTTTCATGTTTTATATGGACAGCCTTCTAAAACAGATGTTTTCAACCTCTTTCAGAAAAGATAAGAGACTTGAAATTTTGAAGATGGTTTGATGTGGACAAGGGAATAATTTCAATCTTGTCCTGAGCAGTAGACTTTAAACACTGACCGACTGCTGCTCTGATTAACCTCTAGAGTATGACTCCATTCTCATAGAAGTAAATGTGGAGAGTTTAGGGTTTGTAAATTGGCAACATTTTTTTTCTGAAACAAAGAAATAAACCCCTGATTTTTTGATATTTTCTTACTGATTCCCCACATAAACCACTGTATTATGTGACTAAGGTTGCATTTTAAACATTTCAAACTGGTAGCAGATTATGGGTTAAGAAAGGAAGGTACAATGGGAATAGCACTGAATCTATAAATTACTCTGGGCAGTATGGCCATTTTCACGATATTGATTCTTCCTATCTATGAGCATGGAATGTTTTTCCATTTGTTTGTGTCCCCTATTTCCTTGAGCAGTGGTTTGTAGTTCTCCTTGAAGAGATCCTTCACATCCCTTGTTAGCTGTATTCCCAGGTATTTTATTCTCTTTGTAGCAATTGTGAATGGGAGTTCAATCATGATTTGGCTCTCTTTACACCATTGTTGGTGTAAAGAAATGCTTGTGATTTTTGCACATCAATTTTGAATCCTGAGACTTTGTTGAAGTTGCTTATCAGTTTAAGGAGTTTTTGGGCTCAGATGTTGGAGTTTCCTAAATATAGGATCATGTTGTCTGCAAACAGAGACAATTTGACGGCCTCTCTTCCTATTTGAATACCGTTTATTTCTTTCACTTGCCTAATTGCCCTGGCCAGAACTTCCAATACTATGTTGAATAGGAGTGGTGAGACAGGGCATCCTTCTCTTGTACCGGTTTTCAAAGAGAATGCTTCCAGCTTTTGCCCATTCAATATGATATTGGCTGTAGGCTTGTCATAAATACCTCTTACTATTTTGAGATATGTTCCATCAATATCTAGTTTATTCAGAGTTTTTAACATGAAAGGATATTGAATTTTATCAAAGGTCTTGTCTGTGTCTATTGAGATAATTATGTGATTTTTGTCTTTGGTTCTGTTTATGTGATGGATTATGTTTGTTGATTTGTGTATGTTAAACCAGCATTGCATCCCAGGGATGAAGCTGACTTGATCGTGGTGGATAAGTTTTTTGATGTGCTGCTGGATTCGGTTTGCCAGTATTTTATTGAGGATTTTTGAATCAATGTTCATCAGGGATATTGGCTTGAAGTTTTCTTTTTTTGTTATATCTCTTCCTAGTTTTGGTATCACAATGATGCTGTCCTCATAAAATGAGTTAGGGAGGAGTCCTTCTTTTACTACTGTTCGGAATAGTTTCAGAAGGAATGGCATCAGCTCCTCTTTGTACCTCTGGTAGAATTCGGCTGTGAATCCATCTGGTCCCAGGTTATTTTTGGTTCGTAGGCTATTAATTACTGCCTCAATTTCAGAACTTGTTATTGGTATATTCAGGAAGTCGACTTCTTCCTGGTTTGGTCTGGGGAGGGTGTATGTATCTAGGAATTTATCCATTTCTTATAGATTTTCTAGTTTATTACAGGCGTGAGCCACCGCACCTCCCCCCTTTTTTTTAGAAGAAATAAAATTTAAAAGGAAAAAAAGAGGCCGGGTGCAGTGGCTCATGCCTGTAATTCCAGCACTTTGGGAGGCCAAGGTGGGCATAACACCTGAGGTTAGGAGTTCAAGACCAGCCAGGCCAATATGGTGAAACTGTGTCTCTACTAAAAATACAAAAAATTAGCTGAGCGTGGTGGCAGGTGCCTGTAGTTCTAGCTACTCAGGATGCTGTGGCAGGAGATTCACTTGAACCCGGGAGGCAGAGGTTGAAGTGCTTGAACCTGGGAGGCAGAGGTTGAAATAAGCCGAGATCACGCCATTGCACTCTAGCCTGGGCAACAAGAGCAAAACTCCATCTCAAAAAAAAAAAAAAGAAAAAAGAAAGAAAGGTATGCAGGAGGCCATAACTCCAGAGATGAGGAGGCCTAAGCACCAATTATCTTGGAGTATAAAGTCCTAAACTATTATAAAAGGGAGGGTGTGAACCATAATAACATCAACAGTAATAATTCTGCCATATAGTTTGACTGTTAAGTAGACAGAAATTTTAATCAACTGATGTGGAATACATATATACCTGCAAACACACACATAAAGGGACAGAAATATTTTTAAATACCGTACAATTGACACTGCTTTGTCAGATTTGGGCATTATATGGGGAATGCCACATTATAAAAATTAGTATACCTTATTTCTCAGAGTATTGAATCTTTTTTATAGATAAACAACTTCTGTCACCCAGGCTGGATGATCTTTCAAAACTTACTGCAGCCTCATACTCCTTGGTTCAGGTGATCCTACTGCCTGAGCCTCCTGAGTAACTGAAACAACAGGGGCACATCACTATATCCGGCTAATTTTTTATTTTTATTTTTCTGTAAAGACAGATTGGGCTTTCCTTCCCAGGCTGTCAGAGTATTTGTATCTCAAGTTTTTGTTGTTGTTGTTGTTGTTGTTTATGTTTTGCAATTTTTGAGTTGAGTTTGTTTGCCTTCGAGATATCAAAACAGATAAAAACTTCCCCCTTTTAATAATTTAATCTTTGTAACATTTCACAAGCTGTAATAACTTCTCGTTACAATGGATATGATAGCATTTCTTTTGTGTTCCTGATATTGCTAAAGAGACACCTGATTGTTTCCAAAACTGAAGTGCTTTAAATGAGAAAATACTATAATAAAATGATCACTTTTCAACCCTAAAAGAAATAAAACTTCAGAAGATAATATGGGTTCAAAAAGAAAATATCAGAAGGAAATTAGTAAAATAACTATCAAGATATAGGAAAAATAATTCATCTGAAATTTTTATTCAAGCAAAATTAATACAAACATTTATATTCTAAAAATGTGTCCTGTCATTTAGGACAATCAAAGAAGATAAGAACCAGATATTCTTAGCTTGGTGGAGATTGTATGATTCAATGGAAACTCCTTTTGATTGCTAACCTAAACTGGAAATTTAGGGAGTGCCATATCAAAGTGATACAAAGGGATGACAACTTTTTGAGATAAGTGAGAAGTAATTCCTGAAAGGTTAGGCAAAGCAAAAGAAAATATACAAGTGGTAAATTTAAAGTTTTGTCAGTAAATGGATTAGAAAAGCCAGAAAAACTATAAATGTGAGAATGAAGGAAAGACACAGGTTCTATTGGGAAGAACATTGTATTCTGTGATTAGAGGAAGCAGTGTATCCAAACAACAAAATAGAATAAAGATCATAAGTGAGAAGCTAGTTGTCTCTTTTCCTAGACTCAGATATACAATTGTATATAAATAAATGCATAGCACACACAGTATATCAGGTACCTACTATAAACCAGATGATTATTTCATTGGTAGAATTCATGTTATCCACCACTAAATGACTCATTTAACATCAAATAGCCTAAATTCAGGCATCTCTTAAATCCCATATTAGTTTCATTGCAAGCAACAAAGATCCAAACCAAAATAATTTGATCATAAAGAATTTCATGTAATAAAAATAATAAAAAAGACAACTGCAGCTTGATGTAGATGGCCAATGAGGCTACTTATGTCTTGGCTTACAGACTCTCCCTTTGCAGAATGTTTGCAAGATCTCCAGCCCTTACTTGCCATCTAGTTCATATGTCATGGGGAAGAAGTTCTGACTCTGTTCCATAATTCCAAGCCAAATCTTGTAACTTTATGGCTCCAGTGAGAAACAGACCCTATACGGATATGATACACAGACGGGCTTAAGGTTGGGATGCATTCTTTCCACCTAAGCCAGGCCTCTCTCAGCTGAAATTCATTAACTTGGAGTTGAGCAGATAAAGATAAAAGGTCTCCAAATTAAACATACAGGTATTTTCCACATGAATAGGACAATACTATAGCTCACTGGTAGGCATGGGAATGGGAAATTAAAATTAACTCCAATTTTGCTTTTCAAAGTTGCCGTGTTTCTGTGGTTATTAGAGTTTACCTTAATGGAAGTATATATCAGTTAATTGTTCTGGTTGTGGTGCTAACCTCAACTACATTTGTCACTTTGTAATAATGGTTTAAATTTCAGCAGGTTGTTAACATCTAGATTTCCTTTCTGTAATATGAGGATCTTAAGAGTACCTATTTGATAAGGTTTTGTGATGCATAAATGAGGTATCATATGAAAACTCTTCACACGGAAACTAACATATAGCATTTTCTCAATAGGAGATGACATGGAGAAGGGATAATTTAAACTCAGATAACTGTAAAAACCTGGAAAGAGATAAAAAAAAGCGTAAGTAGTTTGAACAAGCATGAAAAATGAAAGCATCAGGCAAGAAATTCTGCTTATAAATGTCTTCATCACAAAATGATTAATAGTTAAAAAAAAAACCTAAAAGAAAAACTAAGTGGTTTGTTCATGTAAAAGTCCAATAGCAAGAAAACAAATGTCAGTCAAGCTTAGATAAACAAGAGTAAATTTTTTTTTCTGTTTATACTTAGTCCTGTCATTTCATACAATAGCTGCAAACGAACTAGATTCTAGTCATTTCATGATTAATTCATTATTTCAATAGTTTTTTTTTTTTTGGTGATTTGGGGGATTTACTAAATTGATCTATGATTGAACCTTTATCTACTAAAGAATCATTTCCATCAACCTCTATGCTATAGGAATGATATCTATGTTCACTGGGGAGGGTTGATTACATATGTGATGGGAACATCCAATGCTTATTTGGAATTAGTCCATGTTGAATTTCTTCTACTGTGGTATATAATTCCCACTGGGCCTGAGCTCGCGTCAATTCTTGAAGTTGAGTTACTGGTCACGCTATAGCACCTTCTCAATACATCTTCAAACCTGAACTCCTCTTGCCAGAAGTTTAGAGCTCTTTTTGGTCTAACTGTTTTCTCTTAAACCTTTCAGAACTTCCTGAAAACAATGGAAAACTTGGTTGACCTCTCTACACAACCCTGTGGTGCACAGGCCTGTGAGTCATCTCAGATCCTTTCTTCCCATACACTCTGGTAGCCATTGCTACTCTATTGCTTTTGTGCCACACTGAATGTCTCTACTAGGATTATAGCTTCCAAGCAGGTGACACTGGTAAGTGGTTGGATTCTGACCTATTTCAAGAATCTTCCTGTTACCTGATAGAGCACTCCAACAAAATTCTAATCGATGCAAAAACAGATACACAGTGTTTGTTAAGGTTCTTTTGAGCTCTGATATTTTCTGTTTTTTCACATCTTTTCCCTCATCTATCTTTTTGTAATTCCAATGCTGTGTGATATAACTTTGTTCATTTAATTCATTGTCAACTAAGTGTGATTAAGTCTTAATTGTTACAACTTTTCAACCTAGAGTATTTGAACCATAAAACATATATTTTGGCAATTTGGATTCTTTCTTAACTAACTTCATTAAATATTTTCAGAGTTTTTCCTATGTTCTAAACACACAGAAATGGTAGTACACCAAAAGAAGACAGCAATACAATGATTACTATCAACAATTCAAAGCACACACATATATATATAAGCACATGCATATATATATAAGCACATGTGTATATATATGCACATATATACATATATATGCATCTCAAGTTCAAGTAGAAAAGAGAAGTGCAACATTTTAAGATTAGATATTTATCACATGTAGCAGGTGCTATAAATCTAACCAGCCTAATAGAAGTCAGAAAATTATCAGGAAAGCTGTTTCCTCCTGCTTGTTGAAATTTAAGGCCACTTTCAATTTCTCTTAAATCATTTTGGTTGTTCAGCAAAATTTTCGTCTCCTAACACCTACCATTTTTCTCTTCTGCTGCTCCAGCTCATTTTACCTAACTGTAGATGCAATTCAAAGTTTGATTATGGACTGGGAGCATCAGTATCACATGGGAATATTTTTCAAATGCAGAATCTCCAATCCCACCCCTCAGCTGCTGAATCAGAATCTTTAATTTCGGTATGATCCCGAAGTGATTCATATGCATGTTATATTTATATGAAGGTGATTTATATTCACATGCCAAGAACTGCATTAGATGTCCGAAGTGGAATGGATATTGCCAATGACTAGTTATCATGCCAGCAGGGCTAGTGCATGCCACTAGTACCCCGTGCACTGGCTCCTGTCTATGTCCACACAGAAGCTGCTAATGTCCAGTGTCAATGGTGCTAATATTTGCTTCTAGGGCATTGTCCTGACATTGCTACAGCAACTGAACACCATCAGCTATCATATCTTAGAGGGTACTTTCAGCAATGCTGTTAATGCTGTATGTTAAAGTCAAATGTCAGTCAAATATAGTTAAAGTCGTGTTTGCTTATACTTTACCTTTCTATTCTAGGCCTGAAAACCATGAATCTAAAGTAGCTAGTTTCAACATAATCTGAGTGACAGACATTGTACTTTAATTTGAATTACTCACTCTCTCAGATATTGGCCAATTGTCTAATAAAACAAAAGTACTATCTTCCACAGATGATTTCTTTCTCTAGAAAGCTGTTGTTTAAAAAAACATTCCAAATAAATCTATGCCTACTACTGTGCCCAGTCATTTCTGAATCCTAAATTGACACATTTTACTCAAAATCTAAGGTCCTTAAGTATCTGAACTTTTTTGAAATAGGACTGAAAAAATCCCAATTCACCAAATTGGTTGTTTAGTCTCTATTTTGTTTTAAGGAGAGAGATTATTTTGACAGATTGATGGAGCATTTCAAGTTTCAGGATGACAGTGTATAATTTTCCACAATTTGAGTAAATGGACTTTTCTCTTTTTTTTGAGATGGAGTGTCGCTCTCACCCAGGCTGGAGTGCAGCAGCGCCATCTCGGCTCACTGCAAGCTCCGCCTCCCAGGTTCACGCCATTCTCCTGCCTCAGCCTCCGGAGTAGCTGGGACTACAGGCACTTGCTACCATGCCCGGCTAATTTTTTTGTAGAGACGGGGTTTCGCCATGTTAGCCAGGATGGTCTGGATCTCCTGACCTCGTGATCCGCCCGCCTCAGCCTCCCAAAGTGCTGGGATTACAGGCGTGAGCCACCGCGCCCGGCCAAATGGACTTTTCTTTCTTTTTTTTTTTTTTAATTAATTTTTTTTATTATTATACTTTAAGTTTTAGGGTACATGTGCCCATTGTGCAGGTTAGTTACATATGTATACATGTGCCATGCTGGTGTGCTGCACCCACTAACTCGTCATCTAGCATTAGGTATATCTCCCAATGCTATCCCTCCCCCCTCCCCCCACCCCACAACCGTCCCCAGAGTGTGATATTCCCCTTCCTGTGTCCATGTGATCTCATTGTTCAATTCCCACCTACGAGCGAGAATATGCGGTGTTTGGTTTTTTGTTCTTGCGATAGTTTACTGAGAATGATGATTTCCAATTTCATCCATGTCCCTACAAAGGACATGAACTCATCATTTTTTATGGCTGCATAGTATTCCATGGTGTATATGTGCCACATTTTCTTAATCCAGTCTATCATTGTTGGACATTTGGGTTGGTTCCAAGTCTTTGCTATTGTGAATAATGCCGCAATAAACATACGTGTGCATGTGTCTTTATAGCAGCATGATTTATAGTCCTTTGGGTATATACCCAGTAATGGGATGGCTGGGTCAAATGGTATTTCCAGTTCTAGATCCCTGAGGAATCGTCACACTGACTTCCACAATGGTTGAACTAGTTTACAGTTCCACCAACAGTGTAAAAGTGTTCCTATTTCTCCACATCCTCTCCAGCACCTGTTGTTTCCTGACTTGTTAATGATTGCCATTCTAACTGGTATGAGATGGTATCTCATTGTGGTTTTGAATTGCATTTCTCTGATGGCCAGTGATGATGAGCATTTTTCATGTGTTTTTTGGCTGCATAAATGTCTTCTTTTGAGAAGTGTCTGTTCATGTCCTTCGCCCACTTTTTGATGGGGTTGTTTGTTTTTTTCTTGTAAATTTGTTTGAGTTCATTGTAGATTCTGGATATTAGCCCTTTGTCAGATGAGTAGGTTGCGAAAATTTTCTCCCATTTTGTAGGTTGCCTGTTCATTCTGATGGTAGTTTCTTTTGCTGTGCAGAAGCTCTTTAGTTTAATTAGTTCCCATTTGTCAATTTTGTCTTTTGTTGCCATTGCTTTTGGTGTTTTAGACATGAAGTCCTTGCCCGTGCCTATGTCCTGAATGGTAATGCCTAGGTTTTCTTCTAGGGTTTTTATGGTTTTAGGTCTAACGTTTAAGTCTTTAATCCATCTTGAATTGATTTTTGTATAAGGTGTAAGGAAGGGATCCAGTTTCAGCTTTCTACATATGGCTAGCCAGTTTTCCCAGCACCATTTATTAAATAGGGAATCCTTTCCCCATTGCTTGTTTTTCTCAGGTTTGTCAAAGATCAGATAGTTGTAGATATGCGGCGTTATTTCTGAGGGCTCTGTTCTGTTCCATTGGTCTATATCTCTGTTTTGGTACCAGTACCATGCTGTTTTGGTTACTGTAGCCTTGTAGTATAGTTTGAAGTCAGGTAGTGTGATGCCTCCAGCTTTGTTCTTTTGGCTTAGGATTGACTTGGCGATGCGGGCTCTTTTTTGGTTCCATATGAACTTTAAAGTAGTTTTTTCCAATTCTGTGAAGAAAGTCATTGGTAGCTTGATGGGGATGGCATTGAATCTGTAAATTACCTTGGGCAGTATGGCCATTTTCACGATATTGATTCTTCCTACCCATGAGCATGGAATGTTCTTCCATTTGTTTGTATCCTCTTTTATTTCCTTGAGCAGTGGTTTGTAGTTCTCCTGGAAGGGGTCCTTCACATCCCTTGTAAGTTGGATTCCTAGGTATTTTATTCTCTTTGAAGCAATTGTGAATGGGAGTTCACTCATGATTTGGCTCTCTGTGTGTCTGTTGTTGGTGTATAAGAATGCCTGTGATTTTTGTACATTGATTTTGTATCCTGAGACTTTGCTGAAGTTGCTTATCAGCTTAAGGAGATTTTGGGCTGAGACAATGGGGTTTTCTAGATAAACAATCATGTCGTCTGCAAAGAGGGACAATTTGACTTCCTCTTTTCCTAATTGAATACCCTTTATGTCCTTCTCCTGTCTAATTGCCCTGGCCAGAACTTCCAATAGTATGTTGAATAGGAGTGGTGAGAGAGGGCATCCCTGTCTTGTACCAGTTTTTAAAGAGAATGCTTCCAGTTTTTGCCCATTCAGTATGATATTGGCTGTGGGTTTGTCATAGATAGCTCTTATTATTTTGAAATACGTCCCATCAATACCTAATTTATTGAGAGTTTTTAGCATGAAGGGTTGTTGAATTTTGTCAAAGGCTTTTTCTGCATCTACTGAGATAATCATGTGGTTTTTGTCTTTGGCTCTGTTTATATGCTGGATTACATTTATTGATTTGCGTATATTGAACCAGCCTTGCATCCCAGGGATGAAGCCCACTTGATCATGGTGGATAAGCTTTTTGATGTGCTGCTGGATTCGTTTTGCCAGTATTTTATTGAGGATTTTTGCATCAATGTTCATCAAGGATATTGGTCTAAAATTCTCTTTTTTGGTTGTGTCTCTGCCTGGCTTTGGTATCACAATGATGCTGGCCTCATAAAATGAGTTAGGGAGGATTCCCTCTTTTTCTTTTGATTGGAATAGTTTCAGAAGGAATGGTACCAGTTCCTCCTTGTACCTCTGGTAGAATTCGGCTGTGAATCCATCTGGTCCTGGACTCTGTTTGGTTGGTAAGCTATTGATTATTGCCACAATTTCAGCTCCTGTTATTGGTCTATTCAGAGATTCAACTTCTTCCTGGTTTAGTCTTGGGAGAGTGTATGTGTCAAGGAATTTATCCATTTCTTCTAGATTTTCTAGTTTATTTGCGTAGAGGTGTTTGTAGTATTCTCTGATGGTAGTTTGTATTTCTGTGGGATCGGTGGTGATATCCCCTTTATCATTTTTTATTGTGTCTATTTGATTCTTCTCTCTTTTTTTCTTTATTAGTCTTGCTAGCGGTCTATCAATTTTGTTGATCCTTTCAAAAAACCAGCTCCTGGATTCATTAATTTTTTGAAGAGTTTTTTGTGTCTCTATTTCCTTCAGTTCTGCTCTGATTTTAGTTATTTCTTGCCTTCTGCAAGCTTTGGAATGTGTTTGCTCTTGCTTTTCTAGTTCTTTTAATTGTGATGTTAGGGTGTCAATTTTGGATCTTTCCTGCTTTCTCTTGTGGGCATTTAGTGCTATAAATTTCCCTCTACACACTGCTTTGAATGTGTCCCAGAGATTCTGGTATGTTGTGTCTTTGTTCTCGTTGGTTTCAAAGAACATCTTTATTTCTGCCTTCATTTCGTTATGTACCCAGTAGTCATTCAGGAGCAGGTTGTTCAGTTTCCATGTAGTTGAGTGGTTTTGAGTGAGATTCTTAATCCTGAGTTGTAGTTTGATTTTGCTGTGGTCTGAGAGATAGTTTGTTATAATTTCTGTTCTTTTACATTTGCTGAGGAGAGCTTTACTTCCAAGTATGTGGTCAATTTTGGAATAGGTGTGGTGTGGTGCTGAAAAAAATGTATATTCTGTTGATTTGGGGTGGAGAGTTCTGTAGATGTCTATTAGGTCTGCTTGGTGCAGAGCTGAGTTCAATTCCTGGGTATCCTTGTTGACTTTCTGTCTCGTTGATCTGTCTAATGTTGACAGTGGGGTGTTAAAGTCTCCCATTATTAATGTGTGGGAGTCTAAGTCTCTTTGTAGGTCACTCAGGACTTGCTTTATGAATCTGGGTGCTCCTGTATTGGGTGCATATATATTTAGGATAGTTAGCTCTTCTTGCTGAATTGATCCCTTTACCATTATGTAATGGCCTTCTTTGTCTCTTTTGATCTTTGTTCGTTTAAAGTCTGTTTTAACAGAGACTAGGATTGCAACCCCTGCCTTTTTTTGTTTTCCATTGGCTTGGTAGATCTTCCTCCATCCTTTTATTTTGAGCCTATGTGTGTCTCTGCACGTGAGATGGGTTTCCCGAATACAGCACACTGATGGGTCTTGACTCTTTATCCAATTTGCCAGTCTGTGTCTTTTAATTGGAGCATTTAGTCCATTTACATTTAAAGTTAATATTGTTACGTGTGAATTTGATCCTGTCATTATGAAGTTACCTGGTTATTTTGCTCATTAGTTGATGCAGTTTCATCCTAGTCTCGATGGTCTTTACATTTTGGCATGATTTTGCAGTGGCTGGTACCGGTTGTTCCTTTCCATGTTTAGTGCTTCCTTCAGGAGCTCTTGTAAGGCAGGCCTGGTTGTGACAAAATCTCTCAGCATTTGCTTGTCTGTAAAGTATTTTATTTCTCCTTCACTTATGAAGCTTAGTTTGGCTGGATATGAAATTCTGGGTTGAAAATTCTTTTCTTTAAGAATGTTGAATATTGGCCCCCACTCTCTTCTGGCTTGTAGGGTTTCTGCCGAGAGATCCGCTGTTAGTCTGATGGGCTTCCCTTTGAGGGTAACCCGACCTTTCTCTCTGGCTGCCCTTAACACTTTTTCCTTCATTTCAACTTTGGTGAATCTGACAATTATGTGTCTTGGAGTTGCTCTTCTTGAGGAGTATCTTTGTGGCGTTCTCTATATTTCCTGAATCTGAACATTGGCCTGCCTTGCTAGATTGGGGAAGTTCTCCTGGATAATATCCTGCAGAGTGTTTTCCAACTTGGTTCCATTCTCCCCATCACTTTCAGGTACACCAATCAGACGTAGATTTGGTCTTTTCACATAGTCCCCTATTTCTTGGAGGCTTTGCTCATTTCTTTTTATTCTTTTTTCTCTAAACTTCCCTTCTCACTTCATTTCATTCATTTCATCTTCCATTGCTGATACCCTTTCTTCCAGTTGATCGCATCGGCTCCTGAGGCTTCTGCATTCTTCACGTAGTTCTCGAGCCTTGGTTTTCAGCTCCATCAGCTCCTTTAAGCACTTCTCTGTATTGGTTATTCTAGTTATACATTCTTCTAAATTTTTTTCAAAGTTTTCAACTTCTTTGCCTTTGGTTTGAATGTCCTCCCGTAGCTCAGAGTAATTTGATCGTCTGAAGCCTTCTTCTCTCAGCTCGTCAAAGTCATTCTCCATCCAGCTTTGTTCCGTTGCTGGTGAGGAACTGCGTTCCTTTGGAGGAGGAGAGGCGCTCTGCTTTTTAGAGTTTCCAGTTTTTCTGTTCTGTTTTTTCCCCATCTTTGTGGTTTTATCTACTTTTGGTCTTTGATGATGGTGATGTACAGATGGGTTTTCGGTGTGGATGTCCTTTCTGTTTGTTAGTTTTCCTTCTAACAGACAGGACCCTCAGCTGCAGGTCTGTTGGAGTACCCTGTTGTGTGAGGTGTCAGTGTGCCCCTTCTGGGGGGTGCCTCCCAGTTAGGCTGCTCGGGGGTCAGGGGTCAGGGACCCACTTGAGGAGGCAGTCTGCCTGTTCTCAGATCTCCAGCTGCATGCTGGGAGAACCACCGCTCTCTTCAAAGCTGTCAGACAGGGACATTTAAGTCTGCAGAGGTTACTGCTGTCTTTTTGTTTGTCTGTGCCCTGCCCCCAGAGGTGGAGCCTACAGAGGCAGGCAGGCCTCCTTGAGCTGTGGTGGGCTCCACCCAGTTCGAGCTTCCCAGCTGCTTTGTTTACCTAATCAAGCCTGGGCAATGGCGGGCGCCCCTCCCCCAGACTCGCTGACGCCTTGCAGTTTGATCTCAGACTGCTGTGCTAGCAATCAGCGAGACTCCGTGGGCGTAGGACCCTCTGAGCCAGGTGCGAGATATAATCTGGTGGTGCACCATTTTTTAAGCCCGTCGGAAAAGCGCAGTATTCAGGTGGGAGTGACCCGATTTTCCAGGTGCCCTCCGTTACCCCTTTCTTTGACTCGGAAAGGGAACTCCCTGACCCCTTGCGCTTCCCAAGTGAGGCAACGCCTCGCCCTGCTTCGGCTCGCGCACGGTGCGCGCACCCACTGACTTGCGCCCACTGTCTGGCACTCCCTAGTGAGATGAACCCAGTACCTCAGATGGAAATGCAGAAATCACCCGTCTTCTGCGTCGCTCACGCTGGGAGCTGTAGACCGGAGCTGTTCCTATTCGGCCATCTTGACTCCTCTCTGCCGGACTTTTCTTTAAGAAAATCTTCTGCCACTGTTATAAAAGGTAAATTTAAGTGGAAATCTTAAAACTGTTATGTTGGCAATTATATCAAAATAATGTAATAGATATTTCATATCTCAGCGCAAAGAAAAAGCTTATTACATTCTTTCAGTCAATTAATATGCACATTTAGATTTTGTAAAGAATGATGTGCCTTATATATTTACAGTGACTGAAATATTGAAAAAGAAGTATGTGCAATAAATTATTAGGCGATTATTGATCAGTTTTTAAATAGGGGCTTCAGTACCATTATTAGGGAAATGCAACGACCTTTGCAGTACAAAGAAGCTTTACATTTTTATTTTGGTGTTAGGCTTGTAAGGCCTTGGTTTATACAAAGCCTTGATTTCTTCTTCATTGTTTCATCCTTTTTAGATCCTCTCTTTGTCAACACACTGCTACAGCAGCAACTAATGATAGTTATTAAAATGTGTCCAAATTGTAGAATATCTGCTATAGTAATATGGTTCTAAAGGATTTTTAATAATTGAAGAGGCAACAACTTTCTCTGGCTCTTGGGATGATCTGGCTAAATTTCAAAGGGAAAATTACATTCTGTCTGTTGCATTCCCTAGTATTTTCATGTGTTTGGCAGGCTCTTTAAAAACAAAATAAAAACAAATGAAATAAAAATAAAACAGAAACCACAGATTCGCCATGTAATAGAGATTCACAAGAATGCTTTTGTACGGTATTATATTTGGCTTCACAAAAGATGTGTACACCTCTGCTGAACATGTGCATCTTAATGAAGGATTAAGAGTAGATTTCTTCGAGAATTTGGAAAAATTTTTTTATGTTATCTAAATAGTGCAATTGGGGTTCTATGAGTAAATGTATGAACAGCTATCTGTGTATATCCTTTTACTAAGACTTGAGAAAAAAAACAAACACTGAGTGAATTAGGTATGCCGTAAAATCATCAGTTCTGTACATAGGAAGAATTGGTAACTTGGATCCAGGAAACACACCCATCATCACCAATATCATTATCTCATCTTCCAACCTGCATTGCTCATATTATGCATTTTAGCATACGCATTATGAACAGAAAAAAAGCAAAGGTTACTTTCACTGAGCAACATTGAGATAGAGTTTCTTTTGGACACTTAATTTTGTATCTGTTTCTCTTTTTTTGAGCAGGCTCTATAATAACAAAACTGAAGTCACAGACAAATCCAAGCTTTTAATAGGAAGTAAAAAAGACATTTATTCTATATCTATATCAACATTCTATAGAATTCAAAAGTATTGTTTCTCTGTGTTCACCTCTAGCAAGAAATTTTCTTAAAACACTAAGGACAGTTAAAAAGATTCTATGTATAATATAACCATGAATATGAAAAGCTTTAAAGAAATCTAACCTCATTTGTTAATGCTTTCATGCTTTTATAAGTAATGGAATATCAGAAGATTATAAAGAATTATTTGGGAAGCCCTAAGGCATGGTGAGGGAATATTTCTCTATTAGGGAATATTAGCTCTAATGGGTCACACGTCATGTGGAAAAAGCAGGATGTAAAACTGCTTTTGCTTTATGACAATACCGTAGGGCATCTCTCCCATACTACTTTAGGAATACTTTTAAGAGATATTTCACTGGGCTTTGAGAAGTAAGCTATATTACCTCCCTGTTGAAAAGATGAGGGATAGTGAGATTGGAAGGTTAAATGGTTTGCTTACCATCTCATGCTGTTATTGGCAGACGAAATATAGGGGAATAGCCTCTGGACTTTAAATCTGTTGCTTAGCTACTGATCCACAATAGCTCCCAATTGACTTGAACTACAGAGTACTAGAGAATTTGAAGATTTGAAAAAGATCATACCTCAACAGAAATAAAAAGTGAAAAGTTCTATCAACAGATTGTTCTATACATAAATCACTTCATCACTCTCATCGAATAGATTCATGTATTAGTATATTCATTTTTTAAATTTTCATGACATCATAAATACATTGCTAGGTGATACTGTATTGTAAATATATATTAGAAAATACCTGCATAAGCTCTTCTCAATCTTTTTCACGTATATATAGAGAGGAAAATTATTAAGTAACCTTCATATTTACTTATCCTCAGTTGTGACAACAAAAGCCATGTCAACTGTCAGGTGATATATATTGTCATGCACCCCAATCTACCATATTAAAAAATTAAAGTGGAATTCGTACTTTTTTTATTTTTCAAAAAGGAAGTGTATCTTAATTTAAAGTAGTATATTTTAATTTAAAATATGCAACATCAGGTAAAATTTGGTTTGGGTTAAAACAGTCTGATCAGAAAAATGTTTTGATTTCTATTATTTCCCCTGCCCCCCAAAATACAGATGGTTTTAATGAATTCATGAATGTTTGCTTAATTATTTCACTGACCACATCTTAAAAATAAAGTCTCTACCCTTCTCATTTTGTTTTGATGAGTAAGAGTTGGTGGTAGAGAAGAGAGCAAAGATCTCTCCCACCTGCAAGTGTACATCTTGATTATACAGATGATATTTTGATCTCCACTATGACCTGTTTGACTTCCTTTAATTGCCCTATATTCTATTTCTCCACATGGAAAAACACAAACCTCCTTGGTGATGGTATGGAAAAGAGCCTTGTAAGATGCAGGCTGTTGGATTGCTCAGCTCCAAGACCAAGTTACACTGAGTACCAGAGGAGAGAGCTATGCTTTTCTGAGACCATGATCAGAAATAGCAGTCCCAGAACATTCAAGATTACTTGAATATGCAACTTTGCTGAATTGACTGTAGTCAGTGACTGAAGAATTCATTAGTACTCGGAAGCACTCTGGTGCTTGCAGACTTCAAGAACTATTTTTATACCCAAGCTACAATAATTTGTTTAGACCCTCAGTCTCCTCCCTAATACTGTCTCTAGGGTCACAATGTGTTTACTTTATTTGCAAGTGTGTTTCACAGTTGCACCTGAAAGCCCCATTTCTAGAGCATTCCCTCCTTAAAAAGAACCTACACTTTGTTTAAGCTCCTCCTGAGTTTCTCTCATCTTAAAGCAGTGTTTGCAAACATATAAATTATGTAATTTCTCCTTCTTCATGTATGTACATTTTTCATTAGGTCTTCATGAACTCTCTACATTTCATGAATTTGATGGCTTTTATTCATGTGTTTCTCCTAACTTAGCCTGATGATTTCCAGTGTTATATCCTCCACCCCTCATTTTTTTCTAGATTAAGTGGTGCCCTGTCGACATACCCCATAAGAATCATCATCAACAACAACATAACTAGAAATAAGACATTAATATTATACCCATACACAGTCAAAGCAATCGTAAAGAAATAAAATCTGTTGTAAACATCTTGTACTTTGGGGACAGGAGTTTAAGATTAAATATACTGATTTGTGACATTTATCTGATTTTAGTCTACAATAAGTTGTGCTCATTCTATTTTTAAAGTATCTATGTTATTTCACTTAATGAAAACATAAAGATGGGTATGATAGTTCATAGTGAGTGTCATCTTGATTGGATTGAAGGATACAAAGTATTGATCCTGGGTGTGTCTGTGAGGGTGTTGCCAAAGGAGATTACCATGTGAGTCAGTGGGCTGGGGAAGGCAGACCCACCCTTAATCTTGGTGGGCACCATCTAATCAGCTGCCAGCTCAGCTAGAAGATAAAGCAGGCAGAAAAATGAAAAGAGATGAGACAGGCCTAGCCTCCCAGCCTACATCTTTCCCCTGTGCTGGATGCTTTCTGCCCTCAAACATTAGACTCAAAGTTTTTCAGTTTTGGTACTCGAACTGGCTGTTCCTGCTCTTCAGCCTGAAGACTGTCTATTATGGGACCTTGTGATCATATAAGTTAATACTTAATAAACTGTCTTTTATATATATATATATTCCATTAGTTATGTCCCTCTACAGAACCCTGACTAATACAATGGGTTAGGTAAAATTATGTCTTAGCTGAAGAAGCAATTCTCATATAATCGAGACAGACATCTCTCTTTCTAAGTAATATAATTTTTGAAATTATAGTAAAATGATACACTGTTGAATTTTAAGAGTATACTGAAATAAATGACATTAGTATAATGAGTAAAATGACATCTATGATAAGTTTAGCAGAACACACTGCAAATTAGCACACTATTAAATTGTAATATTATCAAAATTCAAATAATTCAGAAATAATATATTTACAAAATTAGATAAATTTATCCAATCTCCGCATTTATATTTTTTATTTTTTAAATTTCTTATAATTGGATACAAGTAGATCTTATTCATGTACTTCTGTACATTTATTTTAAAAGTATAAATATCTGAAATAAATGAGAGGGTCAAAGCAGGTTGCCAAGATTATAATAGCACATGTAGGGAGCTAAAAACTCATTAAAATATGCCATTAACTTGCTGTTTCATCAATCAAAGGGTAAAATAGGCAAAAGGAAAATAAAACATATATGTGCCACTTTTTAAAATAAACAATCACATTTACTTTCATTAACAATTAGAGAAACACTATCATTCTATACCTCTCTCTCCTGTACTGTTTATGACTGGAGTTGGTAGGGCTTCATACAATATGGAGACACTCTCCTTTTTTGTTAAATTGGTTTTAGTTCCGAAGAATTGACACTTCTTAAACTCTCTCTAGTAATACATTTTTTTCTCCCTAGTGATCCGTCTTTCTCTTTTCCAGGGCTTACTTGCTGTCTAATACACTATAACCCCTGAGGATGAAATGGCCTAAAGACAAACAGTTTATTTTTATAGAACTGGGAGTCCTGGTGTGTTCATCCAAAAATTCTTGAGAAATAAAAACACAGTATAATTTATAGCCCCTACTTTAAGAGCAAATTAAGTTATCAAAAATATGTACCTTAGATAGCTTATATGTAAATAAAATTTTTATATTATATTATGGTTTTATTTGTAAAAACCTGTAAGCATAGAGTATTTCTAATTGTGGTAGAAAATAAAGAAGTGCTAAAACAACACTTAGTGTGTTTAAATATCTTGGTACACAGTCATCAATGTTTTATTTCTTTTTTTTTTTCAAAAACTACCAATTTATTTCAGAGAATGTCCTGATAATGCTAGAATGTAAAAATTTTTGAGAAACAGTGTTACAGCAGCTTAAATATCTTATAGTCAAAGATTATGCTATGAATACCTAAATCACATATTTGCCTCACTAGAATGGAAAAAAGAGAAAACAACCAAAATTAATTAAGTCATATGTAATAGGGGCTCATATCACCTAATACACACCAGTATGGATATTCTGGTTGAACGATTATTAAAATAAGTCTGAACAGTTTGGTAAATAACTGTGGCTCTGAGCAAGCTGTGTGTCCCTCTTTCCCCAGATATCTGTTTCTAATATTCCCCCATTTGATCCAGCAAAAGATGGGTTAATGACTGGCACAGTATGTGGTTCCTAGAACCAGGGCTCCCAGTGCAAGGCCAGTATCATTCTCTTTGGCATTTTGCCATACCACTTGATAGATATTGTCACTCTGTAATCAAGCAATGTAAAATCTGTCACAACGTAACTCTGTATAATTAGTACGATAAATCATTCTTTTGTTCATAATGAAGTTTACTTCATCTCACAACAATATCCCTACGTCCAAGTCTCATCCAAATTGTTACCAATCAACTTGGAGAAGCATGTCATGCAACAATGAATTAGGGGAGATGTTAGAGAGAAGTGAGAGTCTTTCTGAAAAACATTGTTGGAAGCTTTTTATAGGTAGTACATGGAGTACTGGGCACCCCTCAACTGGATTCCCTTAGAGCAGGAGTCCCCGAACCCCCAGCTGCGGACTGGTACCAGTCCATAGCCTGTTAGGAACCCATCCACAGAGCAGGAGGTGAGCTGCAAGTGAGCGAGCACTACTGCCTGAGGTCAGGCGAGGGATGTAGGTGGCCTACTCCTTATGAGAATCTATTGTCTGATGATCTGAGGTGGAACAGTTTCATCCCGAAAACATCCCCTTATACCACCACCTCCCCTTCTGTGGAAAAATTGTCTTCCACAAAACTGGTTCCTGGTGCCAAAAAGATTGGGGACTGCTGCCTTAAAGTCACATCTTAAATGAATGTAGTATAGTATCGAACCAGGAACATGACATTGTAAATGGCATTGTGTTTTAATTTGTTTCCACATATTCATGGCTAGTATAAAAATATGATGTCGTTTTTGTTTTGGACCTTGTATCTTGTGAACTTGAAAACTCACTTTTTATTTCTAGGTGTTTTCTTCCAGATTCCTTGGGATTTTCTATATATATCATCTATCTATCTATCTCACTTTAAAGTTGAGACAGATTTATTCCTTCCTTTCTAATAGGTATGTCTTTTTTTCTTGCCTTATTATGCTGGGTAAGAATTCCTCTACTGTGTTAAATAAAGTGGTGAGAGTGGACACCCTTGCCTTGTTTCCTATCTTAGGAGAAAATAATTCAGTCTTTCACCAGTACGTATGATGTTAAAGTGAATAAGGTGAATGAGCATAAGTGAGCTCTAAGTTTTTTTATAGATATTATTTATCAAATTGAAGAAATTTTACTCTGTTTCTAGTTTGCTGAGAAGTTTTATAATTAACAGCTGTTGGATTTTATCAAATTTTGTTTCGCAACAATTGATATGATCTTGTGCTTTTTCATTTATTATTTCATTGATATTATGGGTTACACTGATTAGTTTTCCAATATTGAAACAGCTTTGCATTCTTGGAATAAACTGCACTTGATAATGGTGTATAATTACATGCATATCCTGCTAATTTTGATTTGCTAGTATTTTGTTGAGAATTTTTGCATCTAAGTACATGAGAGGTATTGGTCTGTAGTTTTCTTTGTCCTGTGATGCCTTTGTCTGGTTCTGTCATCAGGGTAATAGGGTTCTCATAAAATGAGCTAGAAATGTTCCTTGTATTTTATTTTCTGGAATAGATTGTTTGGAATTGGTGACAATTCATCTCTAAAAGTTTTGTTCAGTTCTCTAGTGAAATCATATGGGCCTGTTTGTTTCCAATGATACTTTCTTGGCTTTTTAAAAGCTTTTTAATTGTGAGTTAAATTTCTATTTCATATGTATGAGTTTGATAGTTTGTAATTTTGAAAAAATTGGTTCATTTCACCTAAATTGCCAAATTCATAAGTGTAGAATTGTTCATTGCTTTTCATTATTACTTTTTTAGTGGCTGTAGAATTTGTAGCTATACCTTCTGTTTTTATTCCCGATATTAATAATTTGTATTTTTTAATCTTAGTCTCTCTAGAAATTTATTAATTGTATTGTCCTTTTCTGGAAACCATTTTTTTTGTTTAGGTGAGTGTATGGTTTTTCTCTTGAGGCATATTTTAAAATACAGTGTGTCTATTGATTACTTATGTATTGAGGAGATGGTGTTCTTTAACTTTTTTTCCATTATTTTGCCAGGTTATTGAATAGCTAACTCATTTTTTGTGGTTTTTTTTTTTTTCTAATTTTGACTTTTATCTTAGAATCAGGGAGTACATATGCAGGTTTGTTACATAGGTTTATCATGTGATGTTGAGGTTTGGGGTACAAATGATCCCATCACCCAGGTAGTGAGCACAATATCTAACACGTAGCTTTTCAGCTCTTGTCCTGCTCTCTCTCTCCCACCTCTAGTGGTCCCCAGTGTCTATTGTCCCCATCTGTTGTTTTTTTTTTGTTTTTTTGTTTTTGTTTTTTGAGACACAGTCTCCCTCTGTCACCCAGGCTGAAGTGCAGCGGCAAAATCTTGGCTCACTGCAACTTCCACCTCCCAGGTTAAAGCAATTCTCCTGCCTCAGCCTCCCAAGTAGCTGGGATTACAGGCATGTGCCGCAATTCCCACCCAATTTTTTTTGTATTTTTCATAGAGATGGAGTTTCACCAGTTGGCTAGGCTGGTCTCAAACTCCTGACCTCAAATGATTCACCCGCCTCGGCCTCCCAAAGTGCTAAGATTACAGACATGAGCCACTGAGCTCAGCCAAATGTTCCCATCTTTATGTCCATGTGCACCCAATGTTCACTTTCCATTTGTAAGTGAGAACATGTGGTATCTGGTTTTATGTTTCTTCATTAATTCACTTAGGATAATGTCCTCCAGCAGCATCCATGTTGCCACAAAGGACATGATTTTGTTCCTTTTTACGGAACATAGTATTCCACAATGTATATGAACCACTTTTTCTTTAATCCACTGTCAATGGGTACCTAAATTGATGCCATGTCTTTGCTATTGTGAATAGTGCTGCGATGAACACACAATTGCATGTGTCTTTTTTGTAGAATGATTTATTTTCTTTGGGTATATACCCAGTAATGGGATTGCTGGGTCAAATGGCAGTTCTGTTTTAAATTCTTGGTAAAATCTTCAAACTACTTTCCACAATGGCTGAAATAATTTGCATTCCTTCCAAAAATGTATGTGTTCCCTTTTCTCTGCAGCCCTGTCAGGGCCTGTTATCTTTTGTCTTTTTAATAACAGCCATTGTGACTGATATAAAGTGGAATGTAATTGTGGTTTTCATTTGCATTTCTCTGATGGTTAGTATACATGAATTTCCTCCTGCCTCTATCACCCCTCAGACAGCAAGATCAATCACTCCTCTTCCACATCCTCTTACTGTGAAGATAATAAGGTTGAAGACCTTGATGATGATCTACTTTCACTTGAACAGCAAGTATATTTTCTCTTTCTTATGATTTTCTTAATAACATTTTATTTTCTCTAGCTTACTTTATTGTAAGAATATGGCATAGAAATAAATGTACCATACAAAATATGTGTTAGTTGACTGTTTATATTATTGGTAAGGCTTACCATGAACAGTAGGCTATAAGTAGTTAAGTTTTGGGGGAGTCAAAAGTTATACTTGGATTTTTGACTACATTAGTTTTACGTGCCCATAACCTCTACATTGTTTAAGAGTGAACTGTATTTCATTTTATGGGTTCTCTGAAATTATTTATATGATTAGGTTTACTTATTTGAGCTGATAGGAATCTCAGAGTCAAAATTGTGCCCCATATTTAATAAAGTGTGCAAGATCTATGGCATGCATCTTGGAGATAACTTTATCCCTGCTTTATCTTTTCCCCATCTTCATTTCATGATTTTATCATAATTTTTTAATACTTGTATGAGAGTTCTCCAGAGAAACAGAACCATTAAGGTGTCTATATTTGCCTGTCTGTCCATCTATATCTATCTATATCTATATTATCTATCTATCTATCTAATCTATCATCTATTTATTTTAAAGAATTGGCTCATATAATTATGGAGGCTTGTAAGTCCAAAATCTGTAGGGTAGGCTGGCAGGCAGGAGACCCAGGAAACATTGGTGTTGTAGTTGGAGTCTGAATGCTGCCTGCTGGCAGAATTCCTTCTTCTTTGAGGGAAGTCAGTCTTTTCTTTTTGAAAAGGAAACCTTTTATTTTAGGTTCATAGGTACATGTGCAGGTTAGTTATATAGGTAAATTGGTGCCATGGGGCTTTGTTGTACTGATTATTTCATCATCCAGGTACTAAGCCTAGCACCCAATTGTTATTTTTTCTGATCCCCTTCCTCCTTTCTCCCTCTACCCTCAACTAAGCCCCAGTGTCTGTTGTTCCCTTCTCTGTGTCCATGTGTTCTCACTGTTTAGCTCCCACTTATAAGGGAAAACATGCACTATTTAGTTTTTTTGTTTCTGTGTTAGTTTGCTAAAGATAATGGCCTCCAGCTCTATCTATGTTCATGCAAAGAACATGATCTCATTTTTATGGCTACATAGTATTCCCAGTGTATCTCTTTCTATGGCTGCATAGTATTCCAGTGAATATGTAACACATTTTGTTTATTCAGATTACCATTAATGAACATTTAGGTTGAATCAATGTTTTGCTATTGTGAATAATGCTGCAATGAACATACATGTGCATGTGTCCTTATGATAGAATGATTTGTATTCCTTGGGGTATAGATCCATAATGGGATTGCTGGGTCAAGTGGTATTTCTGTGTTCAGCTCTTTGAAAAATCGCCACATTGCTTTCCACAATGGTTGAACTAATTTACACTACAACCAACAGTGTATAAGCATTCTTTTTTTCTCGACAACCTTGACAGCATCTGTTATTTTTAACTTTTAATTGTAGCCATTCTGACTGGTATGAGATGGTATCTCATTGTAGTTTTGAGTTGCATTTCTCAAATGATCAGTGATGTTGAGTTATTTTTCATATGCTTGGTAACCACATGTAGGTCTTCTTTTGAAAAGTTTCTATACATGTCTTTTGCCCACTTTTTAATGAGATTTTTTTCTTGTATTTTTTATGGTGTTTTGTTTTGTTTTTGAGACAGAGTCTTGCCCTGTCTCCCAGGCTGGAGCGCAGTTGCACAATCTCAGCTCACTGCAACATCTGCCTCCCGGGTTCAAGCGATTCTCCTAGCTCAGCCTCCTGGGGAGCTGGCATTATAGGTGACCATCACCGCATCTGGCTAATTTTTGTATTTTTAGTAGAGACTGGGTTTCACAATGTTGGCCAGGCTGATCTTGAACTTCTCACCTCATGATCTACCTGCTTCAGCCTCTCAAAATGCTGGGATTACAGGTGTGAGCCACCATGCCTGGCCTTATGTTTCTTATGGATACTGGATATTAGACCATTGTCAGATGCATATATCGCAAATATTTTCTCTCATTTCGTGGCTAATTCCTAATGGCCTAAGTTAAATTAGCCACATGCTATCAAGCTGTATAGAAGTTTAAAATGCTGACACTTAATAGAATATTTTTAATTAAAGGGTTGCAGTTTTCAATTCTGGCTTTTAATTCATGGACAATTTGATGTTATTGAGATGAAGGATAACCATTATAGAAGGGAGATGAAGCCCAACATATTAAAATTTCCAATGGAGAAGATATTCTATTTTTTAATTAGTCAACAAACTCTGTCACTGATAATCTTCTATTATACTCAAGCAGACCAATATTTGTCACATATATAAACGTGATTATTCCAATACAGAGTCACATGAGAAAAAAAACTACTCACATTAATTTTCAGGCTGATTAAAGAAATATAAGCGGCATTAATTCATTTAAAAATATTGATTGTTTACTATATGTCAGGCTTTAGAAAATGATTTGTTTGAGTCAATAAGCTAACTGTTCCAAGTGTACTATTAGTTTATAATAATTTTTACAAGTGCAAGATCGATGGAGTATGGGGTTTGTAGTTTCTTGGAGAAAATTTATATTTCTTGGAGGGTTCAGAAGAGTCCTAAACCCTCTTCAAACTGTTAATAATATCTAAGAAAACTATTATTGGGTTATATGTATATATAGAGAGAGTAAGAGTAAAAACAAGAGTGAGAGACAAAGAGAGAGAGAGAGACAGAGAGAGAGATGTTACAAATAATTGTCTTGTGCAACTATGGAGCCTGGTTAAGCAAGTCTGAAATTCAGAGGGAAGGTAGTCAGGAAGAGAAAATCAGAAGCAGCCTGTAACCCCATGTGTACAAACTATATAAAGTCTTTGAATACAGGAAAATCAAATCCTCTTTAAAAGGACCCACCCAAGATAATCTTCCTAAGATTAATTTAAAGTCAGATGATTCAGAGACTTTAATCACATCTGTAAAATCATTTCACAGCAGAACCTAGATTACTGTTTGTTTGAATTACCTGGCACTATAGTGGAGCTGAATCATGTTGACATGCCACAAAGCTGTGACACTATCAAAGGCTTCCCTTGCCATTTTTAAGAATGTGGGATTGGTTTAGAAAATGTAGTTATTCTAAACCAGGATGGACACCTGAGAAAATGTGTTATTTATTTTGATGGTTTATTTGGTAATTTTAAAAATTAATGTTTATGTACTAATTAATGTATTCGGCAATTTCCAAAGGATTTTACATATATTATTTAATGCAAAACAACTTTTTGAGGTAGATATTATTATCTCCATTTGGGGAAGTCATGATTTAGAGAGATTAAATAAATTGCTTATTTTGAAATAGCATAGCCATGTTTTGTAATCAGTGTCCTATACAGTGACATATGAAGTAGATAGAAGTGGGGAAAGAAAATGGTATCAGTTAGCAGGTGTCAGGTGACTTAGGTCTCAAATAGCATTCAGATGGTGACACAAACAGAATTAAATAGTATAAATGTGAGAAAATTACATTTAAATAAATACAATGAATAAATGAGAGTAATTAAAAGTCACTTCAGAATCAAGAGATTAGGAAACTATGAATACTATATGAGTATTGATATAAGTAAGAGAACTTCACAAGGAGACAGCATGATGTGGGTTTGCAGTTAGTTGAAGCTTAAATCTTTCTACAAAGTAAATTATGAAATATAACAAGGAGTGCTGGTGATTGTCTACTTAAAGACAGAGGAGTGGCACAAACAGGCAAGTAAACCACGGAACTAAGATAGGAGATTAGGAAGATAAAATTCATAGTACAATAAATGAGGAATGATTAATCATATCAAATGAATCTGAGATTTTAAGGATTTTCTTTGAATTGAGCTAGTAGAAAAACATTAATAATATCTAAGGAGAAGCTCAATAAAATAGATTAGAATGGTAGTTATGGAAAACAAGGTGCTAGGAATGAGAATATTAGATAAATTAATTATTCATGTGAGGATGATTGCTGTAAGAACAGAGATATGATTGTGTTACATCCAGAGGACTACTGGGTCAATTGAGTGCTTTGTCTGTTGTGTCATTTAAGGAAGGCAGATGAAAGGGTTGGTTAAAAAAAAAAAAAAAGTGTGGGAGAGATACATGTGAGAAAAAACACAGTGTTAAATACATTAACTGATTATATCTCTAAACACTAGTCAGATGTCAGACTCATAGCAAGGTCTTAAATATTTATTAAATCAGATATCATCAGATTTAATGTGGCACATGTAAATTTCAAAATAAATTAAGAATCAAGATCTTCTTAAGAAATTATTTTGAGACACAAAAGGATTTAAAGAAAATAAGTCATTTGAAGGAAGTCCCAGAATAATAAAAACACATTTCCAAACAGTGCTGAAAGTGTTTGAAGTTGAGAAAAGCTCACAATTCATTTTATATTAGGTTGGTACAAAAGTAATTGCTGTTTTTGTCATGACTCTTAATGGCAAAACTGCAGTTACTTTTGCACCAACCTAATAAATGCAAAGAAAATTGAGAAAATGAATTCTTCAAATTTCTCCTTAATCTGATTCCTCTTGTTTCCAAGTGATTGGGTCATTGGAGTTTGCATACAACACAGAAATGGCGGGCTTATGCTGATAAAAGTCTTATTGAGTGATAGTTTTTCTTCATCAATTACTAAGTTGCAGCTTTGAGGATATTGTTACAGCCTTTAATTATTCCAGCTTCTTGAGTTCAGACTCCAATCCCCAATAATAAGAAAAAGGATTGCAAAATACATTTTATATTTCACAAATCTTCCCAGGCATCTAAATGTCTATAGCCCCAATTTGCACTAAGAAAATGTCGTTCACGTGGAAATATAGTTAGTTCATGGTATAAAAGCCTCAAAAGATGCATTTTCCACAGACAAATTATTTTTGGGACACAATCTTACATTTTTCTCTAGCCTTGTATTCAGTGACACTTCTCTTGATTTAGTGATAGGTTATTTGCCAAACAGCTGTATTTTTTATTCAGGTTATTTTAACATGGAATTCTACATCAATGGACATCGCTGCATATGCACTGGATCAAAGACAAAGCTGAAAAAATAATACATTAAATAAGATATTAACAATGATATTGTAATATAATAAGTTCATGTGAAGTTGTGGGACTTTATCTGAGATTAAAAGATAGAAAATTTAGTGATGCTAGTATTTCATAAATGAATAATCTCAACTGTAAATTATAATGTTTACTTGTGGTTTGTTTTTGAAAAACAAAATCATAAAAAATGTTACATTTAAAAAAGTAATCAGCATTATTGGTTCCCATGAAACAATGCCAACTCCTACAAACTAGATGATGTACATTTCTTAAATAATAGAATGCTAATTAATCACTCTTCCTTTAATGTGATATAGTCACTAGAGTGCTAATATTATGGTGCAATTTTCAGATCTTTCATCCTGAGACTTAATTGTGAATCATAACACAGACTATGCATGTCAATAACAATTTTTAAAGAAATAAAAACAGTAGAGATAAGAATATGTTTAGAATATTCAAAGTAATTTTTGTGCAATATAGCAAATAACCCTATGATGTAGATGAATATTTTAGTTCTAGGTCAAAATAGGATATGTTTAGGAAGTGGGAATCTGGTAATTTTTTACTAATTAAATGATGTAGAATTCTGTTTATGCACATACAACTAACTGTACCTACTAACTGTTTTCATTTTACTGGAACTGAGGTCTAACGACATGACAGAAATCATACTCTTGGCTTTTTTTATGTTGTTAATGCTCATATGTAGTTAGTTTTCTATTCTTCCACATTTCTTCAGTTCCTCTATGAAGGTAATTTTTTCTATGCTATTGAAGATGCCTGTATAAAAACCTGACACACATGTGAATACTATTTGAGACAAAATCTTGCTTTTCTATGTTTATTATTACCAGAGTGGAATTTGAGAATGGAATTTGATAAAAATCGATGACCATCTCAGTGTAACTGGCTACTTGGTAATTAAATCTTGTATTAGAGTAAAACTTTTAGCAGCATCAATCAGGTGCCAATGTTATAAAAAGGACTGACAGCCATCCAGTACAGTCTTAACTGCATATTACTGTGGAGTTAATCTCACTTATTCCCTGATAATGTTCTCTCTTCTGGTTGCAGCTTATTTCTAATTTCTCATTAACCTCTCTATATTACTCCAGTGTTCTGTAGAAAAAACATGTTTCCCAGGCTGCATTATATAATTTGATTGGAAATGAACCCATACCTGTCACACTTGGAAATAAATGACAATCCCAAACCACAAGCAACCAACGCAATTTTTAAAAGTCTACTCTATTATAAATATACTCTTTCTTAACCTCACAAGAGCAACACTCTGGTAAACCCCATTTTTCCTGCCTCAGCTTCATGTAGTCATCAAATGTGTGCTCATATAGTACTAGCAGTCTTACACTAATATATTTTTTCATAAAATTCAGTTTTATATAGTGGTAAGCTAAAATAATATGGGAAAATATCCTTTATGTGTTACTTTTGTGAGAAATAATATGCTACTCGATAATTATAGAGGCATTTATGTCACATAAGTCACTTAGAAAGTACAGGTAAAGGCATTATACCCAACATCTATTCATAATAAAATCTTCTGACTAAAATTCCTTGAAATAAATTTATGTTAACTCCTCACTTGCTGATTTGCTCATAAATGGCATAATACTTTTATAACTTAATTGTTCATTAGCTAATACATTTTTACTGTAGGGAAAACCAAGGAGGTACCAAAATGGGAGAGATAATAAAACATAAACAGTTAGTTTAGCTATTAAAAGAAAAGTTGACATTGATTTCTTAAAGTGAAGATTGATATTTTCTAATTGAACTGAACTTAAATGTTCAATAATAGAAAAATTTTAACGTAAAATATTCTATATTCGTAGAATACTATGCAGAAATTAACCATAATATGTTTCACATTTATTGACATAAAAAATGAACAAAACATGATTAAATGAAAATTAAAACTATAACTATGTTACAGAAAAAAATATATGTGTGTATGTGCACATATGTGTATTTTTTTTAAACAGTGATTTCACTCAGGTATTGGTTTAAAGGATATTTTTCCTGTTACCTTTTTTGTATTTCCTAAATTTCCAATTTGAATATCATTCATGAGCATAAGAGTATAATACAAATTAAATTAAATTGACTTAAATATTTTTGTCAGTCTACTATGATGTATATTTAACCTTTGGCTTTTATTACTTAGCAATTGATGTGATTGCTCAGTACACAAATGAAGTGACATTTTATGACAATATGTATCTACTATGCACAACAATTTACAAATAAGTTTATGAGCCATAAATTTAACAGTGAAAAACTTGTTTTAATAGGCAGAGGCATTTTTTAGGACCCAACAAGGCATATTCTGTTTCACTTCAGTAGGAACAGAGAAACTGAGCAAG
This sequence comes from Homo sapiens, assembly GCF_000001405.40. NCBI lineage: Eukaryota > Metazoa > Chordata > Mammalia > Primates > Hominidae > Homo > Homo sapiens. Next base: position 185,441,642 of record NC_000002.12, read on the forward strand.
CTTTAGGCTTGGACAGAAACACTTAGAAGACAGAATGTTGCCAACACACCTGCAGGTCTTGGAAGGAAGAGCAGCCTGACAGTGACAATGTGTTATACTCAAAATGTGCTAACAGATAATATTAGTATTAGTCTATAGAAATGGACAGTGCTGCAGATTTGGGAAGAGGGTTTAAAAACTGATGCCAACAAGAAGTGATCAAGATGGCTGATATGTATAAGGAAAAAAAATGTTCCTCTAAGAGGCATCAATCTTTAAAAACATAATTAAGCTAGTTTTTGGCATTTTGGAAGTTTGTGTGGAAAGAAGAATCTTGCAAACAAGGTTTGACACAAGAAATTGGACTGCACTTTTTGGATGGAAGAGTTTATAAGACTGAAACAGCTATCAGGCAAGTTAACTAGAGAATGCTCAGATGCAGAAATAGGATGGATGCTAGAATGACAGAAAGCTGGATGCTAGGATAAAGCTTTTTTAGAAGAGCAGGGTAAAGTTAAAGTCAGATCAGAAGCAATGAGAACAAAGTTAATCAGTATAAATAATACTATACAGAAACCAAAAAGCAAGGGATTGGGAGTTTTAAATTGATTAATGCATTTTTGGAAGTACAGATAAAATTTATGCCTGCATAGTACTCTGTTACAGTAATAAAAATCAAAGTACAACATCTGTTTTGAGGCTTAATGTCTGCAATGTTTAAATTTTACATTTTTAAAAGAACTTCAAATGATCACACAAAAGGACAAAATTGAAGAGACATAGTGCTAATATTGGTAAATTCAAATTTACTGTTTAATTGCAAGAATAAATAGTGCCATAGGGGTTGGAGAAGCGAATTTTGTCCAAAGTGAACTCAAATTGTTCCAAACTGTTACAAATTTTCTGTTTAAATGAATATGTGTAGCTGAGTTGATGTGTATTTGCTGAATATTGGGAGTTCTTCAAATGATCTTCCATGTAAAGTACAATGTTACAAAAGATTGTAACCTTCCTAAATGGGTAACTAACTCTAGATATTAAGATTGTTAACGTTTGGCCCTTGCAAGAATTATATTTTCCAATAATTTGAGCAGGAAGTTGTGACAAAATGTAATTAAGGAAAATGCATGGAGAAAGGCCTACCTAGAAAAGATTAAGTCCAAATAGATAAATGAAAAAACATTTTTTAAGAAAAAGATTAATGAATAAGATCTCTAATTTGATGATTTTGGTATAATAAAGGCTCTCCTTCATGTGGTAGTCCAGAGAGTAAGAATAACCTTACAAGCTGAAATCAGGAAAAGTGATTGAAATATCAATTGGAAAAGTTACAATTGTTCCATTGACCATTACAATTTTTTGTCAAGGAATGCTCTTGCTGTTGATTGTAAATGTATAGGAAGATAAAAATAATAGTAAAAGTAATATGTACCCATATTTTAAAAATGTTGAAATTAAAGTATTTTATTTTTTAGTAAAAACAATAGACAGACTTGCCTTCTTGTTGTATAATTTATGACAGAGTGAGTGTCTTTTCTATGTATTGGGTATTTTCATATTCCATTCTAAATTTGGTTGCGCTTCCAGTATTTTTATCTTTGTGCTTTCAATATCAGGATATATCGATGAGGGTTCCTTCAATGTGGTGGTTTTGCTGATGCTACTTTCTCTAGGAATTTTTATCTTCATCCTTGCAACCATTTTTCCTCATTATGTCTCTAAATTTGATTTTAACTAAGATCCTCTGGCTGCATATCTAAAGTCTCTAGTATAGTGGCAGCATTAACATTCCCATAATCAGCTCTTTCTTCTATATTTCTATTTATATGTCTTTGATATTTTACTTTTTTATTTTTACATTATCACATTTCATGTATTTACATCTTTGTTAGGCAACTGCCTCATTCTGTTATCCATTTTTGTAACTGCCATGTGGGTTCATCACTTCATGACAAGGAGTTAGTACAACTACAGGCCTTGCTGTGTGTTCATGAACTGAAAAGCAGGTGCAGTGGTCAGTCATTGGCAGACTTGAAAGAAGTGGCATGACTGGTCACTGACTATGATATGCATGTATTATTCACATAATAATTTTTGGGTGAAAGAGCTAGGGATAAACTTTATAGTTCACACAACTACTCATATTTAGTATAGTGTAATAGCTAAAATTTGAACTGTGTTGTTTGGACACCGGTACTATTTTACTAAACTATGATAACTAATATGTGGATATAAGAAACATACAAAACAAGAACACCTTGTATTAAAAATCAGTAATTACAACAATTGTTTAGAATTTAGGTCACCAATTATTTTTCAGGAAGGGACATTTTAATCACTGACATTATTTAGAATTGTGAATACTTGCACTTTATTCACTTTATTAGGACTTTTAAAAGTTATTTAAAAATTCTTCACAGAAAATGCATTCCTTTATTGACTGCAGCCAGTGCAGACTATTCTCACCTCCCTACTGATAGTAAGCCATTTAGACAGGGAACAATATCATGACTGGGAGACCTTTGGAAACTAGAGCAGTCGCTCTCAACACAATGTGCAGAAAGAAACGGCCGGACACTGAGATTAAGCAGCAAGGTTGTAAATTCTATTAAAGATCCTCATATTAACTATGGAAAGGAGCACAAAAGAACTATTGGAGTTGTGGGAACAATTAGAAGCAATGGATGTCTCAGTGTGAACTTTGTCTTTTTCACATAGCTAAATATCTCACAGAAAACTCTGTGGAAGCATGTAAGAAAACTGCATTTGTACCCTCTAAATATATAAAAATTAAAAAATTTTAAAGGAGAAAACTCTGGAAAAAATTCTCAGTTCTTTATTTTCTTTCCATGCATTGAAAAGCAACCTCAACTAAATTAAATTTTGCAACATAGTATGTTGCTGTTATTACTAAGACATATCCAGAATTTTAAACTATGCTTTCTCTAGCTAGAGTGAGCTCTGCTGTTAATACCTTATTTAATGAGAAATTCATTCAATTTTTTCAAAGATCCTATTAAGACTGTAATTGGTACGCTTATTATTGAATCAGTTTTGCTCCAAGGCCATGTCCGTGTATTTTCATTACTATATATTTAATGTTTCCCCTCATCTTGGGGAAAAAAATGCTCAATTTAAAATCTATACTTTTCAAATGTTCTTCCTTTTCTTTCCACATAAATTTTTTTCCTTATATATTGGCCCTGCCTCTTCCCTCAATACTTTATTTTCTCTTTATATATAAGCTATGTGCTGTCTGCTTACTCTGAATCTCTGGAAAATGGCCTATTTTTTCACCGTGCTTATGCCTATAATTTCAGATTTCCTTCCTTAAATCTCAAACATTGAAAAAAATCTAAATAGTCACTTTCTCTGTTTTATAATAGAACCCATGGATATTTTGGACAAAATTGTCCAGATGGTGGTAGTGACACTACACAAAATCCATTGTCTCAAATCTCATGTAATGGCTAGACAATGTTCAGAAATCCCACTCGAGCATTTCACCATTTTCATAATAATCATTTAAAATAATTCCCTTTCTGAAAACTTCCACAAACTTCTAACATTCCCAATGGGTTTTAGCAAATGACCTTGCATTTTACTTCATAGTGAAAATATGCCATCAAATATTTCTAACACAGCTTCCATATACCAAATCTGAAAAAAAATTATATCTGCACCTATACACATAAACACACATACACATTATATACACTGTTTCTTGTTTTCTCATGTTATAAGAAAAATTCTATTACATTCTGAATGCTAATCTTCTAACTATTCACTCAATTCCAGCCTATTTATTTCCAGAAGAGATTTAATATCAATTATCTTCTCTCATTTATATCTCAAACATTTCCTCATATTAGCCTTTAAATATGGTCAAGTTTATTTTATAACCTCAAGCATTTTCTTATCATTTTCCCTTTTATTTACTGCTGTACCTTTTTCTTTTCTTTTTGATAATAATGTCATGTATGAATTGTCAATACACATTATCTATTTGTCCACCTCCAATTATTTCTCAAATGATTGTAATCTGGGATTTGCCTAAATCAGCCAATCGATATGATGACAAAGGAACAACATGTATCCAAAATCTGTAAGCATTTCTCTAAACACTTTGTTTGAAACTGATGGCGGCTATCTTTTCAAAGCACACAGTGGTCTTAAAATCTTTTTTTATGACAGAATATCATGGCCATACGCTGAGAAATAATCATATGCATATATATGTGTGTGTATTATATATGTATATGACAGAATATTGTGGCCATATCCTGAGAAATATTCATATACAGAAATATATATATATACACCCACACATATATATGTGTGTGTATATATATGAAGCTGAGAAAAACAAGATAAATTCAAAGAAAACCACAATAGTTACATTATAGTCAAATTACTGAGAATAAAGTAACATCAAATAAGTATATAAAAGTGTCCATAATGAAAAGATAAAGGGCTATAAACTATTAGCATTGGGAGCTGATTTTTTTCATGTTTTCAAAAGAGATAATCAAAGCCAAAAGTCAGTAGAATGACAAAATTTGACATAAGGAAAGAAACAAACAGGTAACAGAAAAACAACTTTCAATCTAGAATTTATATGTACAATTACTGTATTTCAATACAACAATAATAATTAAGCTAAGAACAAATTAAAGGAGGCAATTCTATTCAAAATAGCTACAAAAAAATATACCTAGGAATATATTTAACCAAGGAGGTGAAAGATCTCTACAAGGAAAACCATAAAACACTAATGAAAGAAATTGTCAATGACACAAACAAATGGAAAAGCATCTATGGAAAAATTAATATAGTTAATATGACTATACTGCCCAAAGCAATCTACATATTCAATGCAATCTTTATCAAAATACCAATGTCATCTTTCGTGGAATTAGAAAATAAAAAAAAACAGTCCTAAATTTCATATGGAACAAAAAAAGAGCCCAACTAGTCAAAGCAATCCTATGCAAAATGAACAAAGTTGGAGGTCACATTATCTGACGTTAAATTATGCTACAGGACTATCATAACCAAAACAGCATAGTACTAGCATAGAAATAGATTAAAGGAACAGATTAGAGAACCCAGAAATAAAGCCACATATCTATAATCAAATGATTTTTTAAAAAGCCAGCAAAAGCATACACTGTGGAAAGGACACCCTTTTCAACAAATGTTGCTGGAATTGGATTGGCATATGCAGAAGAATGAAACTGGACCCATATCTCTCACCCTATAAAGAAATAAACTAAAATGGATTAAAATCTCAAATTATTACCTAAAGCTATAAAAATCCTAGGATAAAACCTGGGAAATCTCTCTTGAAAATTGGTGTAGGTGAAGAATTTATGACTAAGACTTCAAAAGCAAGTGCAACAAAACCAAAAACAGACAAATAAGATTTAATTAAACTAAGAAGCTTCTGCACTGCCAAAGAAGTTGTCAACAGAGTGAACAGACAATCTAGAGAATAGGGAAAAATATTTGCAAACTATGCATTTGACATGGGACTAATATCAGAAGTTACAAGGAATTCAAACAACTCAACAACAACAAAAAAATCAAATAACCTAATTAAAAATTGGACAAAGTATATAAATAGGTATTTTTCAAAGAAGATATACAAATGACTAATAAGCATGCCAAAAAAATGCTCATCACTAATCATCAGAGAAATGCAAATTAAAATCACAATTAGATATCATCTTACACCAATCCGAATGGCTATTATAAAAAAACAAAAAAAACCCATATTAGAAGGATGCAGAGAAAAGGGAATGCTTATATACAGTGGTAGAAATATAAATTAGTACAACCTCTACAGAAAATATTATGGGTATTTCTCAAATAACTACAAATGGAACTACCATTCAATTCAGCAACCCCACTACTGGGTATCTAGCTAAAGGAAAATAAATTATGATATCAAAAAGATTCCTGCACTTGTATGTTTACTGCAGCACTATTCACAATAGCACATCTATGGAATCACCAGTGTCCATCAATGGATAATAGATCAAGAAAATGTGATTATATATATATATATATATATATATATATATACAGGTGTATATATATATATATATATATGCAGGTGTATATATATATTTATGCAGGTGTATATATATATGCAGGTATATATGTATATGCATGTGTATATATACACATATATACAGGTATATATATAAATACACATATATGTATATGTATACATATATACATGTATGTACATATGTGTGTGTATCTATCAATATATATACCTGCATACATATATACACACCTGCATATATATATATCCACCTGCATATATATATATATATATCCACCTGCATATATATATTGTATATATATATGTCACATTTTCTTGATCTATTATCCATTGATGGATACTGGACTACTGGAAATACACTGGAATACAATTCAGACAAAAGGAATATAATTATGTCTTCTGCAGCAACATGGATGGAACTGGAGGTCATTATCTTAAATGAAACAACTCAGAAACAGAGAGTCAAATACCTAGGCTCTCAGTTGTAAAGTAGAAGCTAAATAATGTGTACATATGGGGACACAGAGAGTGAAATAACAGAAAATAAAGACTTAGAGGGTAGAAGGGTGGGAGGTAGATGAGAGATGGGAAATTATTTAATGAGTACAATGTATATTATTTGGGCAATGGTTACACTAAAAGCCCAGACTCCGCTATGTAATATATTCATGTAACAAACATGCACATATACCTATTAAATTTATATAACTATAAACATTATAATAAAATATGTAGTCAATAACAATATAAGTAAATGGTCGCAATCTTGCACTAAAAGAAATTCCAAAGTGAATTTTTCATGGAGAAGAAAAATATTTTTAGGTGAAAACAAATTGAAGAGGGAAAGAAAAGCGCCAAAAAAAGAGGATGAGAAAAATAAGTTAATATTGAATGTACAAATAAGTAATTTTATTATCTTCTGGAGTTTAAAATATGTAAAACTAAATTGCATGAAAAATTACTAAAAAGGAAAATCATTATTAATACCAAAAATTTTGTTAGAATATATTGACAAACATCTGTTACAAATACTGAAAAAATACAAATAATTACATGGAACTAACAACTATTAGAGAAAAATAGAAAAAATATTAATACCTCTCAAAATAGAAAAAGGAAACATGATACAGGTGGGCTATGTAGAATTAAAATAGATGATAGATTTAAAGTCAGATATGTTATTAATTATATTATATGCAAATGAATAAAATGCTCCAAGCAAAAGAGTAAGAGCAATAATAGATATGTTAATCTACTGTATTACAGTAACTATTTTATTATATATATTAATCCTATATCATTATACTGTAAACTTCAAATATTCACAATACAATTTATTGTTTTTAGCTGTAAGATTTGCTTCCTTGTGAAAAAAAAGCAAAAACATTGTTTGAAATGAAAATGAATATTTCACAATGTTACATATATGCTCAGCAATTTATCATTCTCCTAAATCATAAACCCAAATGATCTAGCTATAAAATATATAAAGTTGTAACAGTCTAAAGGAGAATTATACATATCCAAAATAATAAATTTAGATAGTGCAGGCTGGGCTCCGTGGCTCATGCCTGTAATCCCAGCACTTTGGAAGGCCTAGGCAGGCAGATCACGAGATCAAGAAATCAAGACCATCCTGGCCAACATGGTGAAACCCCATCTCTACTAAAAATACAAAAATTAGCTGGACATGGTGGTACCTGCCTGTAGTCCCAGCTACTCACAAGGCTGAAGCAGGAGAATTGCTTGAAGCCGGGAGGTGGAGGTTGCAGTGAGCTGAGATCTTGCCATTGCACTCCAGCCTGGTGACAGAGCGAGACTCCATCTCAAAAAAAAAACAATAAAATAAAACTAACTAACTAACTAAATAAATAAATAAATAAAGATAGTGCATTTGGCAATATAGAAATAGAATTTCTCAAAAATCTATCAGGAAAAATAAAGAATAATAAAAAATATAAATTTCACCTGATATATATAGACTTCTGCATCTCAAAGAAAGTGCATTCACATTTTTTTCAAATGAATTTAGAACATTTACCAAAATATGTTCAGCTATGGAGAAATCCTTATCAATTTCAAGGAAACTGAAATTATGTATAGTGCAGTTTCCAAACAAAATGGAATTTGGCTAACAATCAATAAGAAGAAGAGAATTATCAACCTCATATTATTAGACAGTATATTTCTAAATGATCCAAAGCTGAAAGAATAAAAATGAATGTATGAATTAGAATATATTTTGAATGAAAAAATAAAAACGTGTTGTCCATTTTCTTTCTTTTTTTAATTTTTAAATTTTTTTTATCTTTTTATATTTTTTTTAGGCAGAGTCTCGCTCTGTCACCAGGCTGGAGTGCAGTGGCGCAATCTCGGCTCATTGCATTCTCTGCCTCCCAGATTCAAGTGATTCTCCTGCCTCAGCCTCCGGAGCAGCTGTGACCACAGGCCACACCACCACGCCCAGCTAGTTGTTGTATTTTCAGTAAAGACAGGGTATCACCATGTTGGCCAAGATAGTTTTGATCTCTTGACCTCGTGATCTGCCCGCCTTGGCCTCCCAAAGTGCTGGATTACAGGTGTGAGCCACCACGCCCAGCCGTATTAGAATATTTTCATGCACCTGACAAAGACATACCTGAGATGGGGTAATTTACAAAAAAAGAAGTTTACTGGACTTACAGTTCCATGTGGCTGGGGAGGTCTCACAATCATGGCAGAAGATGAAAGACATGTCTCACATGGTGGCAAAGAAGTAAAGCTTGTGCAGGGATACTCCCATTTTTAAAACCATCAGATCTCATGAGATTTATTCACTTCCAGGAGAACAGCATGGGAAAGACTCACCCTATGATTCAATTATCTCCTACTAGGTCCCTCCCACAACTCAAGGGAATTATGGAGCTAAAAAATGAGATTTGGGTGGGGACACAGAGCCAAACCATATTATCCTGCTCCTAACCCCTCCCAAATCTCATGTCTTCACATTTCAAAACAATCATGCCTTCCCAACAGTCCCCCAAACTCTTAACTCATTTCAGCATTAACTCAAAAGTCCACCATCCAGTGTCTCATCTGAGACAAGGCAAGTCCCTTCTGCCTATTAGCCTGTAAAATCAAAAGCAAGTTAGTTACTTCCTAGATACAATCGGGGTACAGGCATTGGGTAAATACAGCTTTTCCAAATGGGAGAAATTGGCCAATACAAAGAGGCTACAGGCCCCATGGAAGTCCAAAATCCAGTGGGCAGTCATATCTTAAAGCTCCAAAATGATCTCCTTTGATTCCATGGCTCCCATCCAGGTCACACTGATGCAAGAGATAAGTTCCCATGGTCTTGGGCAGCTCCGCCCCTGTGGCTTTGCAGGGTATAGTCTCCCTCCTGGATGCTTTCACCAGCTGGAATTGAGTGTCTGCAGCTTTTCCAGGTGCATAGTGCAAGCTGTCAGTGGACCTACCATCCTGGGGTCTGGAGGATGATGGCCCTCTTCACACAGATACACTAGGCAGTGTCCCAGTAGAGACTGTGTGGGAGCTAAACCATACATTTCCCTTCTGCACTGCTCTAGCAGAGGTTCTCCATGAGAGCCTCGCCCCTGCAGCAAAGTTCTGCCTGGGCATCCAGGCATTTCCATGTATCTTCTGAAATCCAAGCAGAGTTTCCCAAACCCCAATTCTTGACTTCTGTGTACTCGCAGGCTCAACACCACATGGAAGCTATCAAGGCTTGAAGCTTACACCCTCTGAAGCCACGGCCAAAACTCTACACTGACCTCTTTCCACCACAACTGGAGCTGCTGGAACACAGGACACCAAGTCCCTAGGCTGCACAAAGCACAGGGACCCTGGGCCTAGCCCACAGAATCACTTTTTTCTCCTACTCCTCTGGGCCTGTAATGGGAGGGGCAGCCTTGAAGATCTCTGACATGCCCTGGAGACATTTTCCACATTGTCTTGGGGATTAACGTTGGGCTCCTCATTACTTATGCAAATTTCAGTAGCCAGCTTGAATTTCTCCTCAGAAAATGGGTTTTTCTTTTCTATCACATTGTCAGGCTACAAATTTTCTGAACTTTTATGCTCTGCCTCCCCTATAAAACAATGCCTTTGACAGCACCCAAGTCACATCTTGAATGTTTTGCTGCTTAGAAATATCTTCTACCTGATACCCTAAATCATCTCTCTCAAGTTCAAAGTTCCACAAATCTCTAGGGCAGTGGCAAAATGCAGCCAGTCTCTTTACTAAAACATAGTAAGAGTCACGTTTGTTCCAGTTCCCAACAAGTTCCTCTTCTTCATCTGAGACCACCTCAGCCTGGATTTCATTGGTCCATATCATTATCAGCATTTTGGTCAAAGCCATTCAACATGTCTCTAGGGAGTTTCAAACTTTTCCACATTTTTCTGTGTTATTCTGAGCCCTCCAAACTGTTCCAACCTCTGCCTGTTACCCAGTTCCAAATTTATTTCCACATTTTCAGGTATCTTTTCAGCAGCACCACACTCTACCTCTACCAATGTACTGTATTAGTCCATTTTCACAGTGCTGATAAAGACATACCTGAGACTGGGTAATTTACAAAAGAAAGAGGTTTACTGGACTCACAGTTCCATGTGGCTGGAGAGGCCTCACAATCACTGCAGAAGGTGAAAGTCACATCTCACATGATGGCAGACAAGCAAAAGCTTGTGCAGGGAGACTCTCATTTTTAAAACTATCAGATCTCGTGAGATTTATTCACTATCAGGAAAACAGCATGGGAAAGACTCACCCCCATGATTCAATTATCTCCCACCAGGTTCCTCCCACAGAATGAGGGAACTATGGGAGCTACAAGATGAGAACTGGGTGGGAAGATAGAGCCAACCTATATCACATATTTATACAATACTTACAAAGAAAAGTATACATATAAATACTAATGTTACAGAGAATAATAACTAAATGTCATTTACTTTTCCATCTTGTATCCTCTCATCTGTAGTTTTTGTGGAGAAACTATTTTAAAAAAATCAATCCTAAGGATAATCAAAGAATAAAAACAATGTAGAAAAGAGCAGAATTTAATGAAATAGAAAATAAATGAGATAGAGAAATGCAACAAAGTCAAATTTGGTTATCTGAAATGATTTAAAAAGTTAAGAAGCTTGTAACAATCAATAAAAAAACAAAAAACAAAAAACCCCACAAACACATGTTTATTGCCAGGTAAGTAAATGAAAGTGATACATTAATATATTGCTAGATCATGCAGACAATAACAAGAAAAAAGATGACAAAAATAACTTCATGTTTATGTAAGTAAAAAATTGAATGACTTTCTTAATAAATACAATACTAAAGTTCACAAGAGAAAGTATAATTAGATATAAACTTTAAAATTTCTTATTTAAAAACCAATTAAATACCCACACACAAACACACACACAAATATCAAAATGGATTTTTAAAGGAAATGGAGACCAAAAATCAATACAAAAAAATCAACAAAGCTGTAAAAAAAAAAAAAGATTAAAAACTATACAAACTTTTAGCTAAACCATGAAGAGAAAAGCCTCAAACAAGTAAAATCTCATATAAAAAGGAAGATATTACAACTGGTACCACAGAAATATAAAACATCTTGAGACTATTACAAAAACTATACACCAAGAAATGGAAAAAGTAAGAAGAAATGAATAAATTCCTGGACATGTACAATTTACCAAGATTGAATAATGAAAAAATAAAACACCTAAACAGATCAATAATGAGTAAAGATTGAAGCAGTTATAAATAGTCTGATCATTAAAGAAAATCCCATGACCCGAGGGCTTCACTGCTCAGTTCTAGAAATTTTAAAAACTAATACTAATTGTACTCCAATACTTGCAAAAAATTAAGGAGGAGGGGGATACATCCAAACTCATTCTATGAGGCTGACATTACCTTGATACCAAAACCAGATAGAAATGTAACAATTAGAAAAATACAGGGAAATATACCTGATAAACACAGGCAAAAATGCTCAACAAAATTTAACAACACATATGAAAGATCTTTCACCATGACCAAGTGAAATTCATCTCAGACATTCAAGGATGGTTCAACATACGCAAGCAAAGAAATGTGATACATTAAATTAGCAGAATCAAGGACAACAACCATATGATCATTTCAATAGATGCTGAAAACCATGATAAAATAAGACATCATTTCATGATAAAAACTCTCAACATGCTGGGCATAAAAGGATCATATCTCAACATACTAAAGGCCATATATAACAAACCCATAGCTAACATTATACTATGAGGGGAAAAGTTGGAAGCTTTTCCTCTAAGCTCTGGAACAAGCCAAGAATGTCCAATTTCATCATTTTTTATTCAATAGAGTACTGGAAATTCTAGCCAGAGTTATTAGGTAAAAGAATGTTGGGAATCCAAATTGGAAAGGAGAAAGTCAAATAGTCCTTGGTTGCATATGACATGATTGCATTTCTAGAAAACTCTAAAGACTTTACCAAACTACTGTTAGTACTAATAAATGAATTCAGTACAGTTGAAAGACATAAAAGCAATGTGTAAAAATCAGCAGTGTTTCTATACACCAATAGTGAACTATCTGAAAAAAAATCAAGAAAGCAATTCAATTTACAATAGCTACAAAAAAAAAAAAAAAAAAAAAAAACCTAGGAATAACCTTAACCAAGAAGGTGAAAGATCTCTACAATATAAACTGTAAAACATTGATGAAAGAAATAGAAGAGGATACAAATAAAATTAAAGGTATCTCATGTTTATAGATTGGAAGAATTAATAGTGTTGAAATGTTGACATTACCCAAAGCAATTTACACATTCAATGCAGTCTCTGTTAAAATACTAATGACATTCCTCACAAAAATAGAAAAAAGAAATTCTAAGATTTGTATGGAAATGCAAAAAAAAAAAAAAAAAAAAAAAAAAAAAAAAAACCCAGATGGCCAAAGCAATATTGAGCAAAAAGGACAAAGTTTGGGATCATCACACTACTTGACTTTAAAATATACTACAAAGCTATAGCAACCAAAACAGCATGGTATCGGCATAAAAAAACAGACAAATAGACCAATGAAACAGAAAAGAGAATTCAGAAATAAATCTATTTATTTATAGTTAACTGATTTTTTACAAAGGTACCAAAAATTTACATTGAAGAAAGGACAGTCTCTTTGACAAATGGTGCCAGGAAAACTCGATATCCACATTCAGAAGATTGAAAGTAGACCCCTGTCTCTCATCATATACAAAAATAAACTCTAAGTTCATTAAAGACTTAAATGTAAGACCCCAAACTATGAAAGCATATTTGGCAACACAGAAAGAAAAACTCTCAAAGAAAGCTATCAGAAAATGTAAAACAATTAAAAAATACAAATTTGACCTGATTTTTAAAAAATGAAAATATTTCATCATATTGTACTGTTAAGAATCTTACACAATCTTTTCCAGATAATGGAAGAATAAAAAATTAGCTCCTAAAGCTTCTCATATTCTAGCAAAAAATAAGAAGAGTACCGGAAGAAAAAAAGAAACAATTTTCTCAGAAATATGAATGAAAGATGTTATATTTCCTTAAATTTTGATTACATTAGTTTTTTAAAAAATTTATTCCATTTTTTTCTGAGCCCCCAAAATTCAAGGATAAAGTTTTGCATATATTTGTTTTGCTAATATTTTTAACAATGTATACAGTTTTTAACAAATCTATGCAAAACTTTCTGCTGTTTTAGGCTTGAAGGTGGGATTTTGCCAAGGACCCTTGGCTGTCTACTCTCTCTATCACAACTTTATTATTTGTTTCTAACATTGACTTTGGTAGTCAACACTTTTGAAGGCTGAAAAACCAGACTGCTGGTCCCGATGAAACCCAGGATCCAGAGGGAGAACTGCTCCTGTTTGTCTGCCCTTTCTCAACTGATTCTTTCTGAATAATCCCCACATGCACACTGGGAGAATGGGGTGGAGCCACGGGAGGTTTGCACCTTGTGCAGAGGGGAGGAGCCTGACCTCTTAAGTTCATGTGTGTGGTGGTCTGGTATTCAATATGTGAGGTGGGAGCCTGTTAGCAGAACCTCTTCTTTTTTGGCTGAGAGCTTTCTTTTAATAAATTGCTCTCTCCTCAAATTACAATGTGTCTGTGTGCCTAATCTCTCCTGGTCGTGTGACAGGAACCCAATTTTAACTGAACTAAGGAGCAAAAATTCTGCATCAATTGGAGGAATTACTTTCTGGATATCAGTACCTATTATTAATTATATCAATCAAGACATGGCAGTACTATTTGAAGGAAACCCAGATAAACCAATGGAGCAGAATATCAAATCCAGAAAACAGTTCTCAAAAACACTGCCTCCTATACCATGACAGATGTGACATGCAGGACAGTAAGAAAAAATAATATTTTCAATAAGTTTGATGCCTTTCCTTTTGAGGAGTTTAATCTATTTCCCTTGCCTTGGTCAGGGAATACCTTGCAACTTGTTTTTACCAATAGAAAGTAACATATGTAGACCTCAATAGTTTTGAAACTTCTACCATGTGGAAGTGTTTCAATGTTGGGGGTATTTTGAGACCACCATATAAAAAAAAATCAAGCTTATCAGTGAATAAAGTGCCAAGTGGAGAAGAACTGAGGAACCTCAGGTGATAGGGAAGCCATCTAGGACATTCTCATATACTGAGTGATGCTGTATGAATGAGCCCAGCTGAAAACAGCCAAAATGCTACCCAAACAACCTACAGAATTATGAGACATAATAAATATTTTTAGAATACATGTAAGTTTTGTAGTGACTTATAGTGCAGCAATAGACAACTGATAGAATTAGTAACTAGGGGAAGAAAATAAAGTCACGAAGCAGTGCAAGCACACCAAAAGTAGAATGAATAAAATAAAGAAAAAAAGATGGAAAGTACAAAGTGTTGGTTGGCAGGAGTGTAAATTGTTGCAATCACTTTGGAAAAGTCTTTGGCAGATCTACTAAAGTTTTCCGTATGTGTATCCTGTGACTCATCCATTCCACTCTTAGGTTTAGACCTGCCAAAAAGGCATACATGTGTTTTCCAAAATGTGTGTAGTAGACTATTCATACAAACACTATTCACAATAAGAAAAAATTTAGGCCAAGCATGGTGGCTCATGCCTGTAATCCCAGAACTTTGGGAGGCTGAGGCATGCAGGTCCCTTGAGCCCAGGAGTTCAAGACCAGCCTGGGCAAGATGGTAAAACCCAATCTTTACAAAAAATTAGCCAGGTGTGGTGGCACATGTCTGTAGTCCCAGCCACTTGGGAGACTGAGGTGGGGGGATTGCTTGAGCCCTAGAGACAGGTTGCAGTGAGCCCAGATCACACCACTGTGCTCCAGCCTGGGCATCAGAGTGAGACTCTGTCCCAATAAAAATAAAATAAAATAAAATAAAATAAAATAAAATAAAATAAAATAAAATAAAATAAAATAAAATGCAAAACCCTAATTTATATCAACAGTATATAAATAACTATGTTGTACTTATACAAGGCATATGGAAATAAAAAAGAGTAACTGCTATGCTAAACAGAACAGATGAATCAATGTAATGTTAATGAAGCCGGATACAAAAGAGTGTATACTGTATGACAGACACTATTCATCAAAAGTACAAATACAAAATTAATGTATGCTATTGTAAGTTAGAATAGCTGTTAACTGTAGGATGGAATGGATAAGAAATGGATAAGAAAAGGGGGATTCTAGGTTACAGACATTTTTATCATTAGTTCTTGTTACTTTCTGAAATCGTAAAGATTCTAACAAGTGTGTAGTTTTAATGGACAGTTTCATGTTGACTCACGATGTTCACTATTTTTCATGTGCCTATTTTCCATAAATCTCTTTAGGTCTGTTCAAAGCTCATGCTCACTTCCAGTGGATTATTAGGTTCCTTATTGTTTATATTTAAGATTTTATTATATATTTTGGATATAAGTCCTTTATTAGATAAAATTCCTTAGCAGGTATTGTTTCTTAATCATTCTCTAGTTTGTTTTTTTTTCAAAAAGAAGTTCTTAAATCCTCCTCCTACCTGTTTTCAAAAATAAGGTTTTAATAGAACAAAGGCATACTTAAGTTACATATTATCTATGGCTGTTTGTGTGACACAGTAGCAGAGTTAAGTAGTTGCAACAAAGGCAATAGGACTAAAATATTTACTAGCTGGCCTGCTGGTTTACAACTCCTTGACAAGATACATTGTTATTATTTTTGCTTTATACAATTAATTATATTTTAGAGTAATTAAAAATTTAAAAATTAATATATTTATTTCCTTTTGAAATATTAATTATTGCACTGTAAAGATATGAAAAAGTACACATATGTGTACATGTGTGTGCGTATCTCTCATTTGCCTAAAGAACTTCTTTAACATTGTGGATTAGGTCTGCTGGCAATTAATTACTGTTTTTGTTTGCCTGAGAGTCATTAATTATTCTTTACTTTTGAGGATTATGTTTGCTGCTATTGATATCTTGGTTGGCAGATATATTTTCTTCCAGCCATATAAAAATATCATCCTTATTATCCATTTTATTCTTGTTTCATTGTTTCTGAGGAAAAATATACTTTCATACTGATCTTTACTCTATATAATGTGTCATTTTTCTCTGGCTTCCTTTAAGAATTTCTTTCCATCTTTGGTTTCTCAAGTGTGAATACAATAATCCCAGATGTGTGTGTCTATGCATGTGTGTACATGTGAATATGTGAATCTGTACATACATGCGCGCACACACACACACACTTTGGTTTGCTGTGCATTCTGACTGGTGTTCACAGAAATGTATTTGAATTTGTGGAAAACCATCTATTTTTGCCCATTCTTCATTTAAATGTAAATATTTAATGTAGTATTTTTTCTTAAATCTCTGTTTGCATTTCATTCCACCTATTTTTATATGTGATATTTTAATATAATCAAGTTGTAAATGTCATTAAAGTTCCATTATTTTTCATTTTTCCATTTTTTAATCTTTTATTAGTGAGATCATTTTGGGAGCATCACATCTGAAATAGTCTTCTACATTTATTATCAAACACAAGCATCAAGATATCAACATTATTTTTGTTATCATGAATAATAATCTCCAGTTACTGGTTTTTGTCATTTGTGAAACATTCTGTTTGTTTTATCCCCAATATTCATGTATGTTTCATGAAGGCAGGAATATGGCTGTCTTGTTGTCTGTTCTGTAACCCTCCCAGAAAAACCAACTCAGTACAGAATTCATTCTCAGTAATATTTTTTGGAATGAATGACTATAATACTAACACTTTTAATAATATTTGTATTTCTGGTCACATTAAATTTTATGAGCTCTCATTTTGTTTTCAGAAAAAGTAAACTGACTTGATCTGATATCAAATTTTATATCAATCTATAGACCTTTGAAAATTTTCCAAATTTACCATTCAACTTTCGTTATGTATTTCTATTCCATTTTGAATGTTGTTTCTGAGGTCAGGAATTATTATTTCCTAAATCCTGAGTATTTTTAGAAATAGACTTTATATTTTTAAATAATTTGAAATAATTATAAATGGATTATTGCTTACTTCTAAATTTGTGACATATTGTTTTAAACATACTGAGCTAAATATTTTATTCAAAGACAAATTAAATTTAGTATAAGCTCATCTTATTCTGTAATAATCTAAAATGTAGTAATAATACAAAT
The DNA here is from genome assembly GCF_000001405.40 of Homo sapiens. Taxonomy (NCBI): domain Eukaryota; kingdom Metazoa; phylum Chordata; class Mammalia; order Primates; family Hominidae; genus Homo; species Homo sapiens. Next base: position 185,459,430 of record NC_000002.12, read on the forward strand.
AAGGAAACAAATTTCTACCCTGTCTAATTATTATTAGCTATGCCTTCAGAATATTTTTTGTTGCTTATTAGTTTTTCATTCTATTAAAAACTATATGTCATAAATTATTTTTCTCTCCTTATGTAATTCAGGCTGAAATTAGAAACATATAAGTTTTTATTATGATACGTACATAATATATAAGTTTTAAAAATCCATTTAGCCCAAATTTCTGTCATAACAAAAGCATCATGTGTTTTTTATATTTTTGTTTACCAATTAAATATAACTAAATACATGTTTTATATATAATAAAACTTAATACACTGAAAAATACCCAAGATACATACTATTTACATAAATGATTATAAAACAAAGTCTTGAAAGCCTAAATATTTAAAGAGCTTCAATATGATTAACTAGGGTATTGAGCAACTTGTTCAGAATATTTTTGAAAACAATTAGATTACTCTGTGAGCATTATAGTATTAATAAAATGCTATCTTGAATGATGAATAAGTTTAGCAAAAAATATTGACTTTAATTAAGTAGTAGAATAACTCACTGTGTAGCTGTTAGAGAAGTTCAATAATGATACTGAGTAATTTTTGTTACTCTGTGATACACTTCAATAGAAATAAGCTCTAAATAGATTTCCATACAATTAATAGCTTATTTTAGCTTATTTTAATTTGAAACACAGTACTAAAAATTATTTTCTGATTTTATACATTTACCAAGGATTCTGAGATATATGTACATACAACTACATATCTTAAGGAACGTAGGTGAGCGATATTCATTATTGGCACCAAAATAACAAAATGGAGCCTAGTAGTGCAGAATTTAATTAAAAAATTAATGTTGATAGTAATAGAAATTTGATATATTAAAATATAAGTAAATAAATTTTAACTTAAACTGTGAATATTGCATATGGAGTCTTAAGAGCAGATCTGAACTCTTACCCAAGGAACACTTGTAGCATGAACGCGCAGGTACTTAAGTGGAACACCATTCACACGAAATTATTTTACTAATGTTATTTATTGACTTTATTAATAAGTCCTTTCAAATCATTCAATTCACTTTTTATCTGAAACTCTTTTCGTATTAATATAATTATTGCCTTAAAATAAGTTTAAATAAATTATGTGCATATAACAGTCAGTCAACTGGCATAAACAGCTTTGGGAAAAAATCCTGAATCTTGGCAACTCAAAAAGTGGAGGCAGAATTGATCAGGTGTTAACATTACTCATTCATTGGTCTTGTAAACTTTGTTTAAGTTAGGTTGGGCTGTAATTTCAGCGTAAGTAGTTTATATTGTCTCATGAAATGTTGGAAAGAGATTATTGAAGGGAAAAGGAAAGTAGCCACTAATGGATATACATTACCAAGGAAGTTACCAATGTAGGTTACTAGAATAGAATCCCACTGGAGCCTCAGAAGTGCAATGTAAAACATTCCTCTCAGAGCTATATCACCTGAGTAGTAAGAGGGTTGGGGTATTTTTTAATCATCTTCTGTCACTCATTGATTGTAGACTAATCACTATGAGTGCTAATTACAGTGCTTCAAACTTGGTTTAGTGGGACAACGTGAGACCTGAAAGAATGAGAAAGTCCTCCACAAAGGAATGCAGGTGATGGGAATTGGATGTCAGCACAGTGTTTATGGAAGTGCTAAGAGAAAAACATATGAGTAATTGCCCAACCTTTTCACTCATTTGTATTTTATTATCTCAAAATTACTTTAAACTTAAAAATATTGCAAGAATAATATAAATAGTCATATACCCTTTCTTCAGATTCACATATTAACCAATAAAATAAAGAGACTAAACTGTACCAAATTACAAGAAATTAAAGGTATCATAGATTATATAGCAGAGTCTAGATGATTTTTACTATGTATTACTCATAGAATTGGTTTAGAAAAACAATTATGACATGATAATTATATTTTCTGAATTAGAACACATAAACATTCATACATGAGAATAATGCAAATAAAATATTTCATCACCATCTCTATTGTATTTCATTCTCTGAATCTTATCCGGCTTTATGTCCTAAGGTTGAACTGGTTAGAGAACTAGGGAGAAAATGACTTTAATAAGAGATCCATTTTATAAGGCTGCCAAAGTTACAGCCCATTCATATGCTATCCAATTATAGTTATCAGCTATTAAATCTTACTGCCAATCAGAGAATGTTTAACACTTCAAGAAGTAATGAACATTTAATTCATGCTAAAGGGAAAAATGTGAAATTTTGGATGATAATAAAGGTTCCCAGTTAAAGTTATATAAAGGAGCCAGAACAAAATGAAACACAACAAAAACAACCTTGGTAGCAGGGAAAGCTGGGTTTCTATATAACATACCTGGTTAAAGATGATACATGAAATGCATTTATATATAAAATAAACAGAATTGCATTAGATAAATATCTACTTAGCAGAATTCAAGCTAAGGCCCTCACAAACCTGCCACATGTTTACAAAATACAAAAAGAAAGGATAGCGCAAAGTGGTGACTACACTCAACAATAATTTATAGTATATTTTAAAGTAACTGAAAGAGTATAATTGGAATGTTTGTAACACAAAGAAATGATAAATGCTTGAGGTGATGGATACCCCCATTTACTCTGATGTGATTATCACACATTGTACTTCATGTATCTCATAAATATATACACCTGCTATGTACCCATAAAAATTAAAAATTAAAAAATTATAAAAAATAAAAAAGAAAGAAGGAAGAAAAGAAAGAAATAAAGGAAGGAAAGATGAAGGAAGGAAGGAAGGAAGGAAGGGAACTGTATCTATAGAAATATATCCTCAGTAAGCCTGGCATGGTGGCTCACACCTGTAATCCCAGAACTTTGGGAGGTTGAGGCTGGATCATCACCTGAGGTCGCGAGTATGAGACCAGCCGGACCAACATGGAGAAACCCTGTCTCTACCAAAAATACAAAATTAGCTGGGCATGGTAGTGGGCACCTGTAATCCCAGCTACTTGGGAGGCTGAGGCAGGAGAATTGTTTAAACCTGGGAGGTGGAGGTTGCAGTGAGCTGAGATCGTGCCATTACACTACAACCTAGGCAACAAAAGCAAAGCTCCATTTCAAATATATATATATATATGTATACACACACACAGACACATATACACATATATACATATATATAAACACACATATTTTATATATATATTATATATATTATATATATTATATATATATATATATTATATATATAATATATATATAATATATATATATCTCCTCAGGCAAGAATAAATGAATATTGAATTCAGAAGTGAAATAAACTTTTATTTAAATCAAACATTCTGTTCTACTCTTGGAAATTTTAGACAAGAAAATTGTTTTCAGAACCATAAAATTTAGCAGATTTCCAAAATAGAAAAGAATGAATGAATGAACTGAGAACAAATCAAAACAAACAAATAGGTCTTTGAAAAAATTGTGTCACACAATGAAAGAGAAGAGTATTAAGCAAAGTATCACATGGGTTTTGCTTAGGAGTGAGGCAAAATTAGTCCTAAACTAAATGCTGCTGTGCTTCAGCCAAACAAAGTTTAGAGGCAAGAACTGATAGAATAAAACCAATTCCAAGTACTTACAAGTTTTGAAAAGTTCAAGAATATTTTTAGAAATATAAAATATCTAGCACACAACAATGAAAACTTAAAATGTCTAAAATCTGATAAGAATTACCTGACATAAAAATGGCAAGGGACCTGGTAGAGACATGGTGGTAGGGGGTGGGGGAAATATGTATACACACACAAATACAAACACAAAATATCTAGGGATGAAAAACTACATTGTCTAAAATGATAACGCATGGGATGGACAAAAAGCAAGGGCAATATATGGAAAGCAGTTAAAAATGTATTTATTCATCCAACCATATTAACAATCGCTTTTAATATGAAGGGTCTAAATATACTAGTTAAAAGAGAGACTGTCAATGGGATTAAAAAACACAAGACCAAACTGTGGGTTGTCTATATGAAACTTTAAATATAATGTCATAAAGTAAAAGGTTAGAGAAAATCATATCATATTAACAGAAATCAAAAGAAAGCTAGAATAGCTATATTAATCTCAAACAAAGCAGACTTCAGAGCAAAGAAAATTATCAGGGAGTGGCATTATATAATGATAAAAGGGTAAATTATTCAGAATGACACAAAAATCCTTAACGTGAGGTGATTAACAATGGAACATCAAAATATGTGATGCAATAACTAATAGAGCTGCAAGGAGAAATAGAAATATCTACTATTATAGTTGGATATTTCAGCACTCAACTATCAGTAACTGACAGATTCAGCAGGCAGAAAATCAGTAAGAACATAATTCAGTTGAACAGAAACATGAGTTGGTCGGGCACAGTAGCTCACGCCTGTAATCCTAGCACTTTGGGAGGCCAAGCCAGATGGATCATCTGAAGTCAGGAGTTCCAGACCAGCCTGGTCAACATGGTGACACCCTGTCCCTACTAAAAATACAAAAATTAGCTGGGCTTCCTGGCAGGTGCCTGTAATCTCAGCTACTCGGGAGCCTGAGGCATGAGAATCTCTTGAACCCAGGAGGTGGAGGTTGCAATGAGCGGAGACCACACCACTGCACTCCAGCCTGGGCGACAGAGAAAGACTCCATCACAGAAAAAAAAAAAAAAAAGAGAAAAAAAAAAAAAAAGAAACACGAGTCAACTAGATCTAACTGACTTCAGCCAAAAACAGCAGAATATTAATTTCTCTTAAATTCACATGAGACATCACTAAAATAGAGCACATTGTAATCATTAAAACACACTTTAACCCATTTAATAGATATCATACACAGTATGCTGTCAGACCACAGTAGAATTCAAATAGAAATCAATAACAGAAATAGAAACACACTTTAACCAATTTAATAGATGTCATACACAGTATGCTGTCAGACCACAGTAGAATTCAAATAGAAATCAATAACAGAACTAGAGCTGAAAAATCCCCAATATGTGGAGATTAAACAAAATAATTAAGTAACACATGGTTCAAATAATAAGGCTCAAAAAATTAATAAATATTTTGAAATAACGAAAATTATAACACAACTTTGTGTGGGATGTATTGTACAGAAATGCTTAGAGAAAATTTTGTACCACTGAATGCATCTGCTAGAAAAAAAAGAGATATAAAATTTAAAAACTTAAGTTTCCATGATAATAAATTAGAACAAGAGAGAAAATTAAATAAAAAATAAGCAAAAGAAAATATATAATAAAAATTAGGGCAGAAATCAATGAAATTGAGACTATGAAACAATAGAGAAAATAAACAACATCAAGCTGTTTTTTCTGAAAAGATCAGTAAAATTCAAAGCTCTAACAAGGCTACCAAACAAACAAAAAGACACAAATTTCTAATATCAGAAATGAAAGAAGGGTCATCACTACTGATTCCCTGAACATTAAAAGAATAATAAAAGAATTTTATGAAAACTATATGCCTACAAATTGATAACTTGTATGAAATAGCTTAATTTCTTGAAAAACACCAAACTACCAAAACTCACACAAAGAGAAGCAATCTAAATAGTCCTGTATCTATTAAATAAGTTAAATAAATAATTTATATCTTTTCAAAACAGAAAGAACCAGGCCCAGATGAGCTTATTGGTGAGTTCTACCAAACATTTAAGGAACTGTCTTAACTCATTCTAAAATCCTAATACCAAACTAAGCAAATAAATTACAAGAAAGAGAAAGTGTAGACAAATATCTATCTCTCTTGAACACAGATGCAAAAATCCTTAACAAAACATCATCAAATCAAATATAGCAATGTATAAAAAAATTATCCACCATATCTAAGTGAGATTTATTCTAGGTTGGCAAGGCTAGTTCAACACTCAAAAATTAATACAAGCAAACAGCAATAATGTGAGTTTAGTTCCAGGCTACCGAAATAAAGCAAACATCACAATATACCAACTAACATATTTCTAAAAATTTTCCAGTCCATGTAAAAGTTTTGTTTATGCTATACCATAGACTGTTAAGTGTGTAATAGCATTATGTCTAAACATTGTAATACCTTAATTAAAAATTGCATCATTGCAAAAATTGTGATTGATCATTTGAGCCTTCAGTGAGTCATAATATTTTGCTGGTGAAGGGTCTTGCTTCTGTGTTGATGGCTTTTAACTGATTAGGGTGGTGATTGCTGAAGGCTAGAGTAGCTGTGGCAATTTCTTAAAGAAAGACAGCAATAAAGTGTGCCACATCAATTGATTCTTTCTTCCATGAAAGATTTATCTGTAGCATGCAATGCTGTTTGATAGCATATCCACGGTAGAACTTATTTTAAAATTAAAGTCGATCCTTTCAAACCCTACTACAGCTCTATCAACTAAGTTTATTGAATATTTGGAATCCTTTGTTGGTATTTCAACAATGTTCACATTATCTTCACCGGGGTAGATTCAATCTCAAGAAATCACTTTCTTTGCCCATGTATAAAAGCAACTCCTCATCCATTCAAGTTTTCTTATGAGATTGCAGCAATTCAGTCCCTTCTTCCGGATCCTCTTTAATTCTAGTTGTCTGGCTATTTGCAACAGATCTGAAGTTACTGCCTGCAGTGAAGTCTTGAATCACTGAAAGTCATCCATGAGGGTTGGAATCAACTTCCTCCAAACTCTAATTCATGTTGATATTTTTACCTCCTCCCATTAATCACAAGTGTTCTTAATGGCATCTAAAATGATTATTTCTTTCCAGAATGTTTTTAATTTACTTTGCCCAGTTTCATCAGAAGAGTCACTATCTATGGCAACTACAGCTTTACAAAATATATTTCTCAATAACACTTGAAACTCAAAATTATTTTTTGGTCCATGGACTGTAGAATGGATGTTTTGTTAGCAGGTATGAAAACAACATGAATCTCTTTGTACCTCTCCACTGGTGCTTTTCGGTGACCAGGTGCATTGTCAGTGAGTAGTAATACTTTGAAGCGAATTTTTTTTTTTTTTTCTGAGCAGTAGGTCTTGACAGTGGGCTTAAAATATTTAGTAAACCATGCTGCAAACAGATGTGCTTTCTTTGTTTTTCCATTTATAGCACACAGGCAAAGTAGATTTAGCATCATTGCTAAGGGTCTTAGGATTTTCAGAATGGTAAGTAAGCTTTGGATTCAACTTAAAGTCACCAGTTGCTTTAGGTACTAGAAAAAAAGTCAGCCTGTCCTTTGAAACTCTGAAGTCAGACATTGACTTATCCTCTCTAGCTATGCAAGTCTTAGATCATATCTTCTTCCAATATAAAGCTGTTTTGTCTACATGGAAAATATGTTGTTTAGTATAACCATCTTCATTAATGATCTCAGCTACATCTTCTGGATAACTTGCTGCAGTTTCTGCATCAGCACTTGCTCATTCATCTTGCACTTTTTGTTTTATGAAAATAGTTTTTTTTTTTCCAAACTCATTAACTAATCTCTGCTAGCTTTCAACTTTTTCTCTTCAGCTTCCTCACTCTATAAGCCTTCATTGAAAAGAGTTAGGCTTTTGTTCTGAATTAGGCTTTGGCTTAAGGGAGTGTTGTGGCTGGTTTTATCTTTTATTCAGACCACTAATACTGTCTCCAAATCAACAATAAAGCTGTTTCACTTTCCTTTCATCATGTGCCCACTGGAGTAGCACTTTTAGTTTCCTTCAAGAACTTTTCATTTTCCTTCACAAGTTAGCTATTTGGCAAAAGAAGCCTAGCTTTCAGTTTGTCTTAACTTTCAACATGTCTTTCTCTTTATGCTTAATTATTTCTAGCTTTCAATTTAAAATGAGAGATATGCATCCCCTTCCTTCACTTGTGTACTTGGAGTTCATTATAGGGCAATTAATTGACCTAATTTAACATTGTTGTCTTTCAAAGAATAGGAAGGCCTGTGAAGAGGGACAGAGACAGGGGAATGGCTGGTGAGTTGACCAGTCAGAACACACACTCTTATCAATTAAGTTTGCTGTCTTAAAGGGGCATAGTTCATGGTGTCCCAAAACAATTAAAATGTTAACATCAAAGTTCAATGATCACAGATCACTGTAACAGATATACAGATAATAATAATGAGAAGGTTTGAAACATTGCAAGAATTACCAAAATGTTATACAGAGACACAAAATGAGCACATTTTTTTGAGGGGGAGGGTGGCAGGAAATTGGTATTGACAGACTTGCTTGACACCAGAATGCCACAAACCTTCAATTTGTTAAAAAAAAAAAGTAATATCTATGAAGTACAATAAAGGTAAGTACAATAAACTGAGGTATACCTATAAATATAATTCATCACATCAACAGGGTAAAGAGAAAAGATTATGTTGTCATATCAATAGATACACAGAAAGCATTTTCTAAAACCCAATACTCATTAATGATTTTTAAAAATGTATACAAATTGCAAATAGACGAATACTTCCTCAACTTGAAAAGAACATCAACAAAAATATTACCACTAACACCATACTGATGGTGAGAAGTTTAATGGTTTCTTTCTAATAATGGGAACAAGGAAATGATGTCTCCTTTCACAACTCCTGATGTACATCATACTGGAAGTCTAGCTAATGCAATAAGAAAATAAAAATAAATACAATATGTATCGATTGTGAAGGAAGAAATAAAACTGTATTTGATTACAGATGTTATGTTTGTCTATGTAGAATGTCCCAGAGAATCAACAATAACAAAACCTACTAGAACCAATAAACAATTTTAGAAACATTGCAGGATACCTGTTAACATACAACAGTTTACCATTTTTCTATATACCTGCTATGACCACTTGAAATTTTCAATTGAAAATACAACACCATGTACATTAACACCAAAATATGATGAGTATTTAGATATAAATATAACTAAATATATACCTGAACTGTATGAGGAAATCTACAAACCTCTGATAAAAGAAATTTTAAAAATCTAAGTAAATGGATAGATATTCTATGTTCACAGACAAGGAGACTAAACATTGTTAAGAAGTGTCTATTCTTTTCAAAGTGGTATACAGATGCAACACAACCTAATCAGTCATATTGTGGTAGCTGAAAACCTGATTTTAGAGTTTATACAGAAAGATATAAAACTTAGAATAGCCAGCACAATATTGAAGAAGAAGAACAAACTCAGAGGAGTAACACTAACTTAAGACTCTCTATAAAGATACGGTAATCCAAACAGTGTGACTTTGATAAAATAAATAGATTATTATAACAGAATAGAGTGCCTAGAAATAGCCACACACAAATAGCCAACTGACTTTGACAAAGGAGCAAAAACATTTTAATGGAGAAAGAATATTGTTTTCAACAAATGCTAATAGGACATTTAGATGGCCATATGCAAAAAAATGAATCTAGACACAGATCTTACATCTTTCACAATAATTAACTCTCAATCGGGATCATATACCTAAATATTAAACTTGAAACTATACAATTTCTAGAAGATAATATAGGAGAAAATCTAGGTGTCCTTAGGTTTAATGATGACCTTTTAAAATCTATTAAAATAGATTTTAATTTTAGAGCAGTTTTAGAGTTACAGTAAAATTAAGTGAAAAATACAGAGATTTCCCTTACCCCCTCTGATCCCCCACATGTACAGCCTCTACCACTATCAATATCCTACATAGAAGAAGTTCTTTTGTTACAGTCAATGAATCTATAATGACGTACTCACATCACTCAAAGTTTATTGTGTACATTAAGGATCACTCTTGGTACAGTATATTATATGGGTTTTGACAAATGTAAGGCAACATATATCCACCATTATAGTATTATACAGGATAGTTTCACTGCCCTAAATATCTTCTGAGATCAAACTATTTATCCCTTCCTCTACATCAACCCCTGGCAACTACTAATCTCCATAGTTCTGTCTTTTCTAGCATGCCATATGGTAGGAATCATACAGTATGTAGCCTTTTCAGATTGTCTGTTTTCATTTAGTAATATGCATTTAAGTTTTTTGCATGTCTTTTCATGGCTTAATAGCTCATCTCTTTTTGTTGTCTAATACTATTCCATTGTCTGGAAGTACAATTTATTTGCCCATTCACCTACTAAAGGGCATCTTTGTCGCTTCCAAATGTTGGCAATTATGAGCAATAATGTAAACATTTGTGTGTAGATTTCTGTGTATATGGAAATTTTCCACTCATTTAGGTAAATACTACGTAGCATATACATAGTTACATAGATACATAGGCACGCGCGCGCACACACACACACACACACACACACACACACAGAAGTAATACAAATTATAAAATTGAGATTAAAAAATAACTTCACCATAGCATCAAATAATCACAAATAATTAAGGATAAACCTGACAAAACATGTATAATACCTGTACATTTACTACTAAAAAACATTGCTGAAAGAAATTAAGGAAGAATTAATTGAGTAATAACACTGTTTTCATGCATGAGAAGCTTCAATATCATTAAATGTCAGTTATTAATTAACTTATCTATAGATTCAACAAATTACATATAAAATCCCAACAGATATTTTTGTACTAATTGTAAGCTTTAATTATCTAAATAAACATCATGTGGAATAATTGGGGTATATTTTAAGGTAATTCAATTTGTTTCTTTACCATCCTTCTTTCTAATACCAAGTTACTATTTTTTTAAGAACAATGTACTAAAAATATGATATTCTTTTTTTTCTTTTTAAAAATTGCTTGCAGTTCTTCAAAGGTAAATTTTGTAACTCATTTATTTAAAATTGCAAACAACTTTCAATCTCTCTTAACCATGCTATTATATTTTAATTCTGTAAAATGTTATTACTTTCCAATTATTTTATTTTTCTCTTCATTTTCTGGGGTTGAAAATATTCATAGAAAAATAAGATTTTTTTTTACAGTGGTCTTAGTTCCACTTCCCAAAGATTGCTCTCCTATTCTCTTATTTACTTCCAATTGTCTTACCTTCATCTTAGTTCCTTGCCCTTCACTTTTAACCTAGAAAAGAGGCTGGGAATAAAAGGGGATTGAATTCAGCAAAAATATATTATGTTGTTTATTTTTCTAACACTCAAACTATATCTAAAAAATGTATTACTCTTGTGCTATATCCATGTTCCCTTTTCTCATCTCCAAATTACTCTCTCTAAATCGAATACAGAAAGGGAATGTAAGCAAATAGCCTGTTTGGTCAGTATTAATTTGATATTACTAGTATTCAGAAAAATGGACAAAGTTTTTTTTTTAATCTTATGACTAAAATTTTCCAGACTGAAAAAAAATTAACTGTTTCATCCCCAAATCAGAATACTCCAAATCAGAATAGTAAAATTTAGCAGTAGAATTTTTGACAATTTTTTTCACTTGAAAAAAAACAATTACAATAAAATGTTCATATGATATAAGTCAATTATATTTTAGTCTTGATTTATTAATCTGCATTGGGCAGCTCAACTTTTACACATGTAGTATTGCCTCAGATAAAATACATTGATATCATAAATAAGACATGAAATTATTATAATGCTAATCTCATAATTGTGAGATTAAAAATTAAATTATTCTGAAATTAAATTAATTTATTTGAGAGATGTTTTTCAAAGATTTAAACAGATTGTTTCCAGCATTTTTGTCTCTAAAAGTGAGGTGAATTAGATGAGCCTTATAATTATTACCAGATATTTCAGAATATTAAATATAAAACACTCTTCCTGACTTAAGATCAAGTGCAATGTGAAGAGATAACTGAAACTAGAAGACAGTGAAAATCTGGATAAATAAATAGAAAGCTTACCGAATACATCTTTGTAGTAACCATTTATTTATTTGTCATGTGATACCTGTTGCTGAAATTTGTATTAAATACATATAATGTATAGGATACCACTGGATGCTGAAATCAATTTATTCTAGATTAAAAATATAATTTTTCAAACAAGGCCAATTTTAGTAAGAAGACATTTATATTCACCCCCTTAGGAGAGATGACAGGAAAGCAACTACAGAGGTGTATAATATGGTAATTTATGCAAATATATTGAATATGTGAAGAGCAAATAATTAAGTTTAGGCAACGAAAAGACAGGTAAAACTTAGACTTCTCAGTGATTTGTGCATTGGGAATTGTACACCTTCCTGATTACATTAATTGAGGACCAGATGAGGTAGCAATTGTGCAGATGTCATGATGAATGCTGCACAGATATGCACAGCTGTCAGCATCAGGTATGCCACTATTGTGTTTAATTTCAATGTTATATCCATGTGACAGCTACAGTAATGAGATGCTAGTGTAAGGTGGACAAGTACCAAAATTTACTCTTATCCTAGAAAATGTAAAGGGATTCTAAATCACCTATCAGAAGCCCATAGAATCAATCCTACATTTGCAACATGGGACGATCACCAAATAAAAGAATTTTCCAGAATAAAAAAGCAATAGATTATTTCTCATATTTTAAATTTTTTATGCTAAAGAAACTAGCTGGTATTTACATGTCACATTATATTTATCAATAGATAATTTATTATATTGATAAACTAATGGATAATATGGTGGCTTGAAACATTTTATTGCAGTAGAGAATTTTGTCAGAAACTCTAATTTAAAAACTAGTAGGGTGGATTATTTTCTTTCAAGAGGTTGAAATTATTCAATGACAAATATTTCCTTTGTGTGTGTTTCTGTTATTTTCTGCTCTTAGAAGGTCAGTAGGGAAAAAATTATATTTAAATGTGATATAAATATGATATAATTCCTGAGTGTTATTTAAATACCAATTTTCAATGGTGATAACAAAAGTGGATATTGAAATGTTAGCGTTTTGTTAACGAGAAATATTGTTAAATAACATAAATAAAACTTGACATCGTAATTGTGAAATATTTCTGACTTTGTAACCAAATGTTTATTTGAAATTACGTCTTTTTTCTTGCAATAAAAATATGAATTTTACCCACTCAAAAATCATATATTGTATAATTGTTTTGCAAAGATAACAGCAGACTTCCACTGATCAATTTTTATCATCTTTTTTCAGTTTTTATTGTCCAGGTTGTTTCACACTTGTAGATGTTGTGGGGGTTTTAGTGACGTTCTTGTTGATGTAGATAAAAAGAAAATTCCCTAACACAATCCACAAACCTCAAGTTTACCACTTATTGTTTAAATCATAAAAATTAAACAATTTGTGGTGGCAGCAGTGGCCTATCCAGTTTGGCCGCTGTGGGGACGGCAGCTGCTGTGGGGGAGGCGCAGCTGGGGCTGTGCAGTCAAGGGAGCAGGTGAGGGCTGGAAACAGGTGATCCCAGTAGGAGCTCAATGCCCCACTGAGTTGGTGTGTGGGAGGCTGCGCTTCTGGGTGCAGCTACAGCCACCCTGCAACAGCTTCAGACCTGGTCATCCCTTTGTTCTCAGGGGGCTGAGGAGCACCCTGCCCCCACAGGCTTGGAAGTGTGTGCTCCTGTTCCCTGGCTTCTCCTGGCTCCCAGCACCCGGCCTGGTGGAGCAAAAGTGTGGATGTGCCCCAGTAGCTGAGCCCAGGTGCTGTCATGACCTGACTGAGTGTGTGCATGCTTTGGGCCACGCTGACATGCCAGCCCCCTGTTGCCTCAGGCCCCTCTGGAAACTGTTTCTGAGGAGGAAACTTTGGGGATGAAGGACCACGGGAGGGAGGCCAGGGGGCTGAGGGAGGGCGGGCACAAGCCTGTGTCTGTCCCTTGGTGCACAGAGGCCTGTGGCTGCCTCTTGGTGCAGACATCGTGGATGCCGTGGAAGGCATGTTGACGGCAGCTGGAGGCAGACAGGTTCCTAGGCAGGAAGGGGCAGGTCCCTGGTGAAACCCCACCTTCAAACCAGGGATGGCCTGAAGCCTGGGTGGGAGACTGCCAGTTTGGGTGAAGTCATGACCCAGAGTGAGAACTTCTTTGACGCCTTTCAGCCAGTCAAGTGATGCTTTTTCTAGGCCCATCCAAGGACCAATCAGCATGCAGTTCCTCCTGCCCGTGGATCAATCAGCACACACTGACTCCATTCTGAGCCCATAAAACCCCCCAGACTGAGCCAGACTCAGACACTCCTTGGGACTACCTGCCTGTAAATAGGAGCTACCTGTTTTGGGTCTCCTCTCCACTGAGAGCTGTTCAGTTGCCCAATAAAGCTCTTCTCTGACCTGCTCACCCTTCAATGTCCGTGTAACTTATTCTTCCTGGACGCAGGACAAAAACTCAGGGTCTGCTGAATGGCAGGCTGGAAAGGAGCCAAAACAGCTTCCTGACTGGTACATCACTGAAACACTTTCCTAGCTGGCTTCTCAAGCTGCAAATGGGAGCTAAAGAGGCTGTAACGCTCCTGGTGGGCTCTCCTATCTGCAGACAGTGACATGCTCTCAGACTGTGGAAGTGAAGCCTGGTGACCCTTCTGAGGGCCCAGACCTCAGGATTCCCTGAGCCAGAGCTGTGAACATTACAGCCCTCCTGCCCTCCGTCAGCATTGGGTGGCTGCCCCACAAGACAAGAAGCACTGATAGGGTCAGGCCAGCCCACGAGCCACAGGCCGTAGCAGGGTGGCAGGACTGAGAGTTGTAACACAAACAGACTAAAACACATCTCCACGGAACACTCCCACCTACCGCTGCTCACCACACTGCTGGCGATGAGAGGGAGAGAAGAGCCCAGACCCCGGGACTCCCCAATCTAGGGCTGTGACACACTCTAACACCCACTTTGGGAGTCTGCAGTTACTGGCATCTTCGTGTTTTTGGACACCCCTCGTCCAGACGCTGGTGCTGGCAGCGGAAGCCGCTTGTGTTACCTCTGATCCAGCACAGTCTTACATGGAACCAGAGCCTGTGCTGGCACCTGGAGCTGCCCACCCCGCCACACAGCAGCCTGTGTGCCTGGCTATGTGTAGTGGCCAGACCCCATGCTGACTTGCTCGCTTACACATCACTCGCTGATGAGTGCCTGGCTCAACCTCGGCAGGTGTGGGAGCTGGGCAATAGCGTGAGCTGAGCACAGCCTGCCTGGTTGAGTGGGTAGAACAAGCCCACCAGGCAAGAGCAAAACTCAAACAGAGCCACTGCCAACCAGAGGTTTCCTGTGACACCGTCACTACTTCTGAGTGAGAACATGTATCTAACATAAAACAAATTGTTGTCTACAAATCTATAGAATTTTTGACAAGCATTATGACAGGATGAATAGATTATTTTGATGGTATTATGAAGATGATTTTGATATTGTTATGAAAATTTTCCATAAGAGGACACCAAATACTAATTTATTACAATTGTACTCTTTAATTTTATTTTTATTTTTTATAGTTTGTAACTTTTTTTTTAGACACAGTGTCTTGCTTTTTGCCCAGGCTGGTTCTTGAACTCTTGTTCTCAAGCAATTCTCCTGCCTCAGTCTCCCAAAGTTAAGATTACAGCATGAGCCACTGCACCCAGCCTTCCACTCTTTTAAATTTTAATAGACTAAATAGACACAGTGAAACTAATATATTACATCATTGTTTTGTCTAATTCAGCCAGTTATGCTGCTTGAAAGCTCTAAATAGATAATTAGATTGATCAATACATAATTCAAGAAATAGACTTTCAGTTAATAAATAAGGCCGGGGTGGCAGCTCATGCCTGTTATCTCAGCACTTTGGAAGGCCAAGGTGAGGACTGTTTGAGCCCAGGAGTTTGAACCAGACTGGGCAACATAGCGACACCTCATCTCTACAAAAAATCAGAAAATTAGCTGGGTGTGGTGCTCACACCTGTGGCCCCAGCTACTTAGGAGTCTGAGGCAGGAGGATTGCTTGAGCCAAGGATGTTGAGGCTGTAGTGAGCAGAGATCACAGTACTGTATTCCAGCCTGGCAACAAAGCAAGATTCTGTCTCAAAATAAATACATAAAAAAAAATTGTAAGAAAAATGAATTTATATGTGAATTCAATCCTTGATAACAATGAGAACTCCAATATATACATGCACGTTATAGTTTATTTAGGAAATATTATCATTTCACTTGAATTTATGGAATGACTGCAGAACTTCATTTAATGAACTCTGAACTAGTAGAAAAATCATCTGGGAAAATAGTCCTGAGTCCACCACTCAATGTCTAAACAAGAATTAATGAACTAAGTAAGTAAAATTATTTTTCCTCACAGATTAGCTGAATGTAATTATACCTGTGCATCCACTTCATCTGCTCGTCATACCAATAATGCAAAAGTGATATATTTGTCATAACTGTGCAAAATACAAATTTGTAACACATTAACTATTAACATTTTTTCTTACAATTTATAAATATAAAACTTTAAAAATATAACTTCACATCTTACCACAAATATAGATTACCAGTGACATCTGCAATCATTTAATATATTGCTAGAAAGGTAAAAGTTTTTAATGGCAAAATTTTGATTTTACTTTTTCATATTAATTCAGTTTAAATGGGTGTAAGCAGAAAATAAAAGTCATCTAAATTCTGTACCAACTTAAAGCAGGGAGCATCTGTCAGCATAATAGGCCCTTTAGCCTCCTGCTGGGCAAACTCAGCTAGCAGACATTTTTTAATTGACTGAGTTCTAGAAGAAGCAATTTTCATACAAAAGCTGGCAGTTAAGGAGGAAAAGTGTTTTTATCCTAATTGGATTGGATTTGGCCACTGGGATCTTTTCTATTCACCATCATAAATTTAGAAACCTTTTGTAAATTTATACCACTCAGGATGTTCATAGTTACCTGATAGGTTGCCTCATTCAGTTGCTGGTGCCGAGTCTGCTCTTTGCTTCTTGAATAGTTTGTTGCAGTCCTTCCCCAGTGGGTTCCTGAAGAATATAAGGAGGCATTTGGGTTTATTTAGCAGCTGGTTATCTCCTGCTAATGGCTGACAAATGGACATCCCTTGAAGATACTATTTGCTTTGCTTTCTTCTTAACTTATCCTGCCTATTTGAGGGTTTGGTTTGTTGTTCAAGCCTGTCAGGAAAATAACGTATGGTCAGACAGTTACAATTAACATCCATTATAACATTATGTCAATTGCTTATTCATTTTTTAAAGCAATTGCAGTAATGGGTTGCAAACGTTGATTGTGTTTTAGCAATCGAACATTATATTGTGATTAAATTAGTACTAGTAAGTAAATTAATATTTCT
Source organism: Homo sapiens (assembly GCF_000001405.40). Taxonomy (NCBI): domain Eukaryota; kingdom Metazoa; phylum Chordata; class Mammalia; order Primates; family Hominidae; genus Homo; species Homo sapiens. The sequence goes on from NC_000002.12 coordinate 185,476,637, forward strand.
TTTTAAGCCTGCAGTAAAAATGATGATACTTGAATACATGCATAGCTCAATCATTATGATGAACTGATTTTCCGTAAGTACAAACACACTTTCTCTTTCTCACACACACACACACACACAATCACATACATAAAAAATGATTATTTTCATTGGCTTAATTTTCTTTTTTTCTTTTAATACTAAGCCCATCCTTTTGCAGAACAATGTTCTAATTTAAATAATTAGCATAAGAATTAATTGAATATATTTAATGCTGATTTTCCATTGTTACTAATTATATTTTAAAACTTCAATTCATTATATATTCTCAAAAATAGTACTAAAATAATTTGAAAAATTCATTCTCTAACAATTATATTTCCACATAATTTTGAATCGTATTTTTCTATTAACATGGGTAGAAAACTAGCATTTGTTATATATATCAAAAAGAGGTTAAAGAAATTGACAGCCAGACCTCCTGAATGGATAAGAAGCAGTTAGGCCAACTCTGTTATCCAGAAATGCTCTCTCCATCTTCATACATCCTTCTACCATTGTATGCATAGAATTCTAGAGAAAGAAGGAGAGGAGAACATTTGGAGTTCTTCAAACGAGTAGGGTGCCAAATAAGCAAACAAACAAAAAACTCTCAAAGACACACAAACACACACACAAAAAAAATTGGAGGAATTGATGATAAGGGTGTATAATTTTGCTGTTCTTGAGTTACATGTGTGCCTACTTATGAAGCAAAATTACTGTCCAGCCATGTTCGTGTTAGATCAGGGAAAGGACGATTTGAGCGGAAATGGCAGGTTGGAGTTCAAGGGCTTCAGTGAGTCTGAGTTTATTTCCAGAATCTGCTTTGGCAAGATTGTATGTTTCCTTTGAATCAAGTAGGCAGAGTAGTTGGTAGCCAGGCATGAGCAACCTTGCTAAATCTCGGATAAATATGTAATATGTTGTCCTAAATGAGTCAATGTTATGAGTAAAATGGACTATTTATAATTACTTCAGACAAAGGTCATAAAGTGGTAGAGAGCTAACCAAACCACTAGTTCCATGTGCCTCACCACAATCTCACCTGACCAAATGCTCAAAGTCACTCATTTCCTACCCTCTGGTTTCTCTTAACCAAACTTTAGAATCAGGCTTCTCTGTCCCTACAGAATTCCTAACTCCGCTTGCCCCAAACTTGAACATGCACTAAAAAGCAGAACATATCACCTTATCAGCTGTCCTGAGAACTGACTGATGACAGCTGGAGACTTTTCCTGTCAGATGCCACTCATCATTTCCCCTCCTTTGCCTGACTACTTATTTATTGCTTATGCTTTCCTATAAAGAAAGTATTTTTCTGTTTGATTTTGAGATACTTCCCCTTCCCCTGAGTTCAAATGGTTCTCCCTATTGTAATGGTCTTTCTGATTAAACTCTGTTTATCTAAGTCCACATATATTTTTATTTTACACACCCAAAAATTGCTGTTGGCAAAGCTGCCTTCCTTGCAGTGGAGTGAAACCCCCTAAGGCACCCTGAAAAAAACATTCTTCCTCCCTAAAGGTTATTAACAGAGAGATGGTAGCATAAATGAATGCAGGGTCACATTTACAAACCCAGCTAAGGAAAAATATCTTTGCTCATTTAATAAAGTTCCTCTTCCAGGCCCCACCTCCAAACTGTTGGAAAGAGAAAAAGAGTGAAAGATCAGTCTATTTCACCGAACTCCCCATCACTAGTACTTCTCAAAGTCTGAACTGTATTTGGACTGGTGGATGAGGGAGATGAGGGTAGAATGAGATGAGTAGGTGTAAAGTAAATAGAAAATGGAAGTTTTATGCTGAACTCAACTGAACTTTGTAACTACTCTAAGTGACAGCAGAACTATCAATCTGCCTTAGATACTTCTAAAGGATATTAAACAGAGATTCAACACATTAGGGTTGAATGTAACATTTAGAAATCATTAATTTTTTTTTATTTATACTACACTGAGTTAAGGCTCCTTGGTGTTATGTTTACTTGCTGTATCAACTAGAATACTTTCAGCAAAAAGTTGAAAGAATGCCTGATTTGCAATGGCTTAACCAAGGATGACCTTGAGTTAGCCTATGTCTGCAGGAAGCCTACAAGTCTGCAGGAAGCATTTAAGGGATTAGATTAGAGGCTCAATGATACTCTCAAGGACAGAGTTCTCTTCTTTTTGTTTTGCCACCTATATAATAGTGTTCATATCTTTACTCATGAACTGTAAGGGGCTACAAAAGCTAGAAAATAATGTCCTTATATAATAATGTACAAAGGAGTAAAAGAAGGGTATAGCAAACTGTTGAGAGAGTTCTTAGGTGTCTGTTTTTATCTGAGAGGAAAATCTTTACCAGTAGTCTCCCTTACCCAACTCAGAGGATCATTACTTTTCATTGCCCAAAATCTCATGACTAACTTTGAAGAAAGAGATAATTAGAGAGTGAGTAGCTGGAAATTTTAGGTTCTGATTTTGGAGACGTGCTTTGCCAACCTAGAAAAGGCTGATAGGTAGTACTGTTAAGTAATGAACTGAGAGAATTTGCCCCACAAGCCTTTCTATTTTGCTAAAATCATTCTAACCTATTTGTAAACCAAGTGAGACACATAATGGCATCAATTTCTAGTAGATTTCATATGAAACAAGTTGTGTGTGTGTCTGTGATTATTAATTTAAATGAATAATTCATTTAACTGAATAAAGTAATTTTAAAATTATGATTGGTTATGTTTTCCTTACCATCTTGTGACCATGCAGTAGACATTACTATTACCAGTGTCTTCAAATTTCCCTAACAATAGCAATAGCATCATTCAGTCACCCAAGCTAAGAATGCAGACATCATTAATGTCACATCTTTTACTGTCTTTGCATGTAATAAGATATTTCTGAAAAATGTTATGCTCCAACTAGTTCTCTAATTTATTTGCCTTGTCCATATATCATTTATTGTTATCTTGATTTGAGACCTTATCTTCTATTTCCAGAGTTTCTGGAAATAATGCTTACTATGTGCTTCTGCCTTCAGTCAGACAACCTCCGTTCTATACGTCTTGCAATCACAAGCAATTCATTCTTATGCCCAAAATTTTGATGTCTCTTAATTGACTGTTAAGATAAAACCCAAGCTCTCTGCCATGACAACCCCTTTATACTAACCCCAGCAATTTTAGCTTTTGACTTCATACTACACACTACCTTGCAAGAATAAACTGCTGTGCCTTTAATCGTTTTTCATTTAATCATAATATTTTTCACTGAAATGAATGCTTTCCACTATTTCCTTTACTCAGTTAATTTCTTCTGGAAGTTTGTCTACAGTTTAGATTGAATTAATTGTCCTTACATATTTCTATTATTGTGTTTACTACATTTTATTGTAAAAGTGAGTTAGTTTCCTATTTAGCTGTGGGATTATTAAAATAAGTGACCACATTACCTGTATTGAATGAAGAATCAATGCATGGTTTAATAAATACTGTCCCAATGAACGAATGAGTAAATTACCAAAACTATGCAGAATTGCCTTTGCATTTGCAGCTAGTATAGTAGTATTGTAGAGATGATTCATTTAACCCAAAATAATTTGCAGGCAAAAGCTACAAAATAGTAAAAATATAAATAAAGAAATTTAATCATATCTTTTCCTTTGCTATCTTCTCTCCCTCTTTGTTAAAATAAGAAAGCTTTTGTAATGTAACACTCTGCTGGTGTTACCAGCTGCTCCTTTAAAGTTACCTTTTTTGAATCAACCTCCTCTACTCTGACTTCTAAATATTGCGGTGCTCCAGAGATTGTACTATCTTGGACTTTCTTATCCATTCAATGTTATCCCTAGGCAATCACAAACTATCCAATGCCATTCCATCATTACATGCCACATATGCATGTATGTGTGTGTGTGTGTGTGTGTGTGTGTGTGTGTATAAATGAATCATCAATATTTAAACCTTGACCAGAACTCTATTTTGAGTCTATTTGCATCTATTTACTACCTGCAGTTCATATAACATCAAACTTACCCATGTAAAATAATATTGTCATTCTCACACTGAACTTAAAAATGTTCTTTATCCAGTTTGCCCCACCTCAGTAAAAAAATACTGGCATCACTTGAATTAAATAAGACAAAAATCTTATCCATAGCCTTGATTCTTCCATTTTTCTCAAGTAAATCACTTCTGCTTTTCTCAGTAAATCACTGTATCATGTCAATTCTATCTTCAAAGTCCATTTTAGTCTTTCTACTTCAGTTTGTTTTCATGTCAGTTGCTATCACCCTAATAAAAGTTACCTTTTCTCTTTAATGCAAGAGTTCATCTCCTTGCTTCTTATTCCACCCCTAGTGAAATTCCATTCTACCCACAATCATAAAGGATTCTTTTTTAACCATAAATCAAGACACATAATTGCCTTGCTTAGAACATTTTACTAGTTTCTCAATGCACGTTGAATAAAATTTAATTTCTTTATCATAGCTTTTATGCCCTACATTATTGTTTCTACTGTCTACATATTTGACATCGAACCCTGGGATCTTTGTTCTCATGCACTCAGTGTACTGGTTTTCTTTGGATTCCTCAAACCAGCTAAGTCAGTTCCTTCTTCATAACCACTGTTTAGAACTCAGTCCAGTCAAAAATCACCTCTTCAAATAGAGTCTCTCTTGACTATCATAACTTATCTCACTCCAATCATTTTCACACTACAGGTTTTTTTTTAATTTTTTATTTATTATTTTGTACCTGTCTTCTCTATCTGGAATTGTCTTTTTAAATATTATTAATTATTTCTAAATTTTTCTTCTAATATGTAGGTTCCATGCCAATATGAACACTGTCTATCATATTTACCACTGAATGTCTAGTGTTTAGATATGCCCTCTCCATTTTAAAACAGTAATACGTAGCAGAATAACCATTGAAAATGGGTTTATGTACATAAAACTCCTGACTATATCCACACTCTAGTATTTATAATGAAAATGACCTTTAAAATGCATTTATTTATCTAGATCAATTAACACATTTGTAAACTAGTAGTTTACATGTGTTTACTTGAAATGATTGCAGTGAAAATTTAATAAAGTATGTATACAAGAATAACTCTCCCCAAATCTTAAAGTGCTATACAATTCCAAGTTTTATTCTGTGATATATATATATATATATATATATATATATATATATATATATATATATATATCTTTGAAGCTACAAAGCCAGAAGACAGATTTCTATAATTCATATACGAATTCTATCTTTTCTAACAAACCGAACTTGGATAGAAGCTTGGTCATCCAGAATCTCCATGTTCAAAAGTTGTACAGTAAATGACATGTGTTCTATGTTTTAAGAGTAACTTGTTTCTAAAAATGCATTTTTTAAAATGTTTCTAAAAATAAAAGACACTGATTGTCAGGAGGATTATTTAAACAAATGAACTTTAAAAAGCAGTGCCTTTAAATGTTGGCAACCATTTGAGCAACTATACACTGGTAGGTATTTATAAGGTTAATTTGCAGGCTGGGAAAAAGTGACAATATATTAGAAATCAGTGGCCACTGAAAATAACTGGAAAATGAAAATAAAGTGATTTTAAAATTAGAATATACATCAATGTGAACATATGAGTCAACTGATAGAAATTGAATTTTTAGAAGGCATCTGTTCCTGAGAGTATGCTGCAGTTGTGGATGTTTGGCTAATGAACCAGAGTACTAAAAAATATGCTGTAGCCAAATTCAGAAATGTTTAATTCTGCCCACAGAACTTATGGGGTGCGTGTGTGTGTGTGTGTGTGTGTGTGTGTTTATGTATGTGTAAATGTGCATGCTTATTTAGTTGCAGGCAAAAATAAATGATGATTTTAGAAGATGACAAAGGGAAAGAAAAATGCAATTAAAATAGTTTATTCACTTATCAAATAAAGGTTCTCTTTTAAATTATTTATTTTGTTGGGCATTCAGCCATTCAGAGACTCAATAGTTCCACAATAGTTGAGCAAGGGCCTTATGTGCTGAGAGTCATAACAGTGAATTGGTAGAAATAATCTCTGCCTTCTTGGGTCTTAAAATCTGTTGGAAGGGAGTGTAAGGATACAAAGAAATGAGGCAAATACAGTAAATAATAATAGGTGTTATGTTAGAAAAGTTGAAGGTAGGGGTCCTCAACCCCCAGGCCAGGGACCAGTGCTTCATCTGTATTTAACGCCACTCCCCATCACTCACATTACTGCTTGAGCTCCACCTCCTGTCAGATCAGAGGCAGCATTATATTCTCATAGGAGTGTAAACCGTACTGTGAACTACACATGTGAAAGATCTAGGCTGCACAATCCTTATGAGAATCTAATGGCTGATGATCTGTCACTGTCTCCTTTCATCCCCAGATTGGACCATCTAGTTGCAGGAAAACAAGTTCAGGGCTCCCACTGATTCTACATTATGGTGAGTTGTATAATTACTTCCTTGTATATGACAATGTAATAATAATAGAAATAGAGTGTGCAATAAATGTAATGAGCTTTAATCATACTGGAACAATCCCTCCGCTCCCCTCCACCCAGTCCATGGAAAAATTGTCTTCCATAAAACCAGTCCCTGCCAGGCTCAGTGGCTCATGTCTGTAATCCCAGGACTTTGGGAGGCCGAGGTGGGCGGATCAAGAGGTCAAGAGATCGAGACCATCCTGGCCAACATGGTGAAACCCCGTCTCTACTAAAAATACAAAAATTAGCTGGGCGTGGTGGTGCATGCCTGTAATTTCAGCTACTCAGGAAGCTGAGGCAGGAGAATTGATTGAACCTGGGAGGAGGAAGTTGCAGTGAACCGAGATTGCGCCACTGCATTCCAGCCTGGTGACAGAGCGAGACTCCATCTCAAACAAACAAATAAACAAACAAACAAAAAAAAACAGTCCCTGGTGCCCAAAAGGTTGGGAACTGCTGGTTTAAGGTATAAATGGATACCATGGGTGGGGCATTTAACTGAAACTTGAAACAATGGGAAGAGTAAGACAATAAAAGGTAGGTGGTGTACGATAAGGCAGTGACTAGATCTGGAAAGACTTTGACAGCAGGACTTAAGGATTTCGGCTTTATCCTAAGGCATGTGAAGCATGAGAGAAACGTAAGCCAGAGAAGGTCATAATTGGATTTTTGTCTTGTAATCTAATATGGTTTGGCTTTGTGTCCCCATCAAAATCTCATGTCAAATTGTAATCCTCACTTATCAAGGCGGGATCTGGTGGGAGTGATTGTATCATGGGGGTGGTTTCCTCCATGCTATTCTCATGACTGTGAGCAAGTTCTCATGAGATCTGATGTTGAAAGTATTTGGCACTTCCCCTGCTCTCACTGTCTCTCCTGCCACCATGTAAGATGTGCCTTGCTTCCCTTTCACCTTCCACCATGATTATAAGTTTCCCCAGCCACACAAAACTATGAGTCAATTAAATCTCTTTTCTTCATAAATTACACCAGGTAGTTCTTTATAGCAGTGTGAGAAAAATGGACTAATAAAGAAAATTGGCACCAAGAATGAGATACTTCTATAAAGATACTTGAAAATTTGGAAATGACTTCAGAACTGGGTAGCAGATTGGAAGAGTTTGGAGAGCTCAGAAGAAGACAGGAAGATGCGGGAAAGTTTGAAACTTCCTAGAGTCTTGTTTAATAATTTTGACCAAAATGCTGATAATGATATGAACAATGAAGTCCAGGCTGAGGAGGTCTTAGATGGAGATGAGGAACTTACTGGGAACTGGAGTAAAGGTGACTGTTGCTATCCTGTGGCAAAGAGACTGGTGGCATTTTGCTCCTGCCCTAGAGATCTATGGAACTTTGAATTTGAGGAGATGATTTAGGGTATGTGGCAAAATAAATTTCTAAGCAGTAAAGCTTTCAAGAGATGACCTGGCTTTTTCTGAAAGCATATGCATTCACAGAGAGATGATCTGAAATTGGAACTTAGGTTTAAAAGAAAAGTGAAGCTTAAAAGTTTGAAAAATTTGCAGCCTGATCATGAGGTAGAAAAGAAAAACCCATTTTCTGGGGAGAAATTCAAGCCAGCTGCAGAAATTTGCATAAGTAAAGAGGAGTGGAAAGTTTACTGCCAAGACAATGGGGAAAGTGTCTCCAGGGAATGTCAGAGGGTTTCACAGCAGCCCCTCCCATCACAGGCCAGGAAACCTAGAGAGTAAATGGTTTCAAGCTTGTCTTCTGTGCACCCACAGAGTTTTGGAAAAGCCTGGATGTCTGGCAGAAGTCTGCTGCAGGGACAGAGCTATCATACAGAACCTGTAGTAGGGCAGTGTGGAGGGGGAATGTGGGATTGAAGCTCCCCCGCTGACTCCCCACTGAGGCACTCTCTAGTGAAGCTGTGAGAAGAGGGTACTCTCCTCCAGACTTCAGAAAGGCAGATCCATCAACAGCTTGCACCATGCACCTGGAAAAGCCATAGGCACTCAACCCCAGCCCATGAAAGCAGCTGTTGGGGCTGTACCTGCAGAGCCACAGGGGCAGAGCAGCCCAAGGGCTAGGGAGCCCACCTCTTGCATAAGCATGACCTGGACATGAGACATGAAGTCAAAAGAGATTATTTAAGTGCTTTAAGATTTATTGAGTGCCTTGTGGAGTTTCGAACTTGCATGGTGCCTGTGGCCCCTTTGTTTTGGCCAATTTCTCCCAGTTGGAATAGGAGTACTTACCCACCTTTTCTACTCCTATTGTATCTTGGAAGTAAGTAACTTGTTTTTGATTTTACAGGCTCATAGGTATAAGGGACTTGCCTGGTCTCAGATGAGACTTTGGACTTGGACTTTTGGGTTAATGCTGGAATGAGTTAAGACTTTGGGGGACTGTTGGGAAGCCATGATTGTGTTTTGAGATGTGAAAAGGGCATGAGATTTGGGAGAGGCCAAGAGTGGAATGATATGGTTTGGCTCTGTGTCCCCACTCAAATCTCATGTCAAATTGTAATAATCCCGTGTCAATGGAGGGATCTGAGGGGAGTGACTGGATCATGGGGGTTGTTTTCCTGATCCTATTTTCATGATAGCAAGTGATTTCTCATGAGATCTGAGATCTCTTGCTTTCTCTCCTGTCTCTCCTGTCTTCCACCATGATTATAAGTTTCCTGAGGCCTCCTCGGCCATGTGGCCCTGTGAGTCAATAATTAAATATATTTTATTCATAAATTACCTAGTCTCAGATCGTTCTTTATAGCATTGTGAAAATAAACTAATACAGAAACAAATGTTGATAATAGGGTGGACAATGTACTGAAGAATAGAAATACTTGATGAGTTGAGGTTTTTTGTTGTTATTGTTTATGTATTATTTGGAGTATTTTTGCAGTAATCTAAGCAAGGAATACACTACTTGAGCTGGAGTATAAATTGTTGCTGGAGATAAGTAAAGGATTAAATAGGTATTTATGAAGGAAGCCTTGGAGAATGATTGAGAATTAACTGTGATAGAGATGTCAGAAATATGCCTCTGGATTCTGACTTACGATATTGAAAGCACTGAAAAAAGTTCCAATATCAGAGAAAAGGGAAAAAATTCAGCTTTAACATCATTAATTTATGGGTGGTATAATATTCTGAAGGTGATTTCTATAGGTATATTTTTAAAAATAATTCAAAATGCATTTTTACTTTTTGGAATACAATAAAAAATTCTCAGAAGTTCACAGAGAGCGGTTCACAGTGTGGTAGGTTCTGAATCCTCTATTTGTATAAAACGGTCAACAGCCTATTTCCCAGTTTACTAGTAGAGAAAATAAAATTTTAAAATACCTATTGATTAACTGATTAGGTATAACTGAGTGTTAATTTGCTGGAATTATTCCAAGAAATATGGTTGAACAAATACTTTTCTAATACAGAAAAAGGGCACTTCTGAACAGTCTTTTTAGAGTAGTATAGTCAAACAGTATTTTTAGAGTAGTATAGTCAAATAGCTAGGGATCAAAACAAGAGGTTAGAAACCTTGTTCTCTAGCTCCACCTTTTCGTTAGTGGAGTGATCTTGCACAGGATACTTTTACTCTGGGTTTTGTTCCCTTTATTCTTATAACTTGTAGAAAATAGTTACATGGCTTCTAATTAAAACTGATTTCTAATTTTAAAGCCAGTTTTAAACAAACACCTCTTAGACATAGGAAAGAAAAATATATAGATATGAATATGAATATTTAGAAACTAATAGAAACATTTACCAGAGACTTATGAGGAAACAACAGGAAACAGAAATAATTTATTAAAAATTTTCCCCCTTGCTGAACATCTCATACTTCTGAAATCCCTTTCTGCTTTTTATAAATTGCCCCTCAATTCTCTATAGTCTATAATTTTAGTCAATTCATTATCTAATCACCCAACTCTTTTTTCTGTGGAATGTATTCTTTTCTTCTTGAAATATCTTATCCTTCTTTTGTAGTATAAATTTTTATTATTTTTTAAATTATTTTGTTTACCTTTATGGATTTCGTTATCTATATAGAAAGCCCCATAAAACGTTGGGGTAAAAAGAAAATCAAAAACAAAAACACAACTCCTGGATTCTCATATGATTTATGGTCTATGTCAGCATTGGGGGTAGGGGAACTGTGGGAGTAAGGAAGTCAGAGGAAACAGAGACTGGTAGTCACATTGAGTGGGGGTGGACAGAGGCCCTAAATCTAAATTTTTATGGTAGCAAAAATGAACTCCAAGAATTCCTACAAGTCTGCCATATTAAACAATTTTATTTCCTACTACTATGCTAAATAATATATATGTATGGCAAATATTAATTAAATTACATATTCTGTCCAAACATAGGTAATTGATTTTACACATTGACATTTTATCTCAAGTGTAGTTTCAGTGTGTTCATTGTGTCAGATTTATTTAAAAACTATCAAATATATTTAAAGACTGTCTTGATTTCTTCCAGTTATTAAGATATTCGACAGATATTCTGTGAGTTCTTAAAATATAAAATCTAAGATATATTTTTCTTTTATTTGGCAATAGAAAAATAAAATATGCATGTATGCTGATGTTTGAAATATTAAACATCCAGTATAAATAAAATTGAACCCCTGTGATTTTTTTGTTAAATATATATTTATAATGTATTATTTTTACACACTATCATATCAAAAAGCTAAAAATACCTTGAAGTGTGCCCAAAATTTGAAGATGTAGTTAAGTTAAAAATATAAAGATGTATCTAAATTGAAAATAATAGGCTATAATATCCATTATGGTTGACAATGAATAGATCAAAATTAAATATGTCTGAAAATAGTATTAGAATATTTTAGTAATATTATTGAATATTAGAATAATATTTTAATATAATTTAATAATATTTTGTGACCATACCTTAACATAAATTACCTACAATAGGTATATCAGGACCAAAATGTTGTTAGAAGAGAAATCAATAAAATGAAAACTTTATAAGGTATTCTAAAAGCAAGGAAATTAGAATCAAATGAAAATTATAAGTAGATAGACTTAACTACACGTTTATGTGCTCACATATAAATATACTAAATCATGTGATTTATTCATTATACTGTTAATATGATCAATTGCTATGATTGATTTTCAGTTGGTAACAAACATTGTGTTCCTGAGATAACACAATATTAGTCGTTATGTATTATCCTTTTCTATTACCTGATTCTGTACAGAAATATTTTGCTAAGGACTTTCACATGCATTTCATAGTTTGTATAGGTCTATGGTTTTACTTATTTCTTGTAATATATTAGTCTATTTTTGGTAACAGGTGAATGTTGACTTTATAAAATGAATTAGGAAGGGTTTCATGTTCAGGTTTTTTATTTCATTTTGTTCTAATTAGGTAATGTATGTCTTTCCTGGAATGCATTTTTTTTGTCAAAGCCTTTATATTTATTGTTGCAAACTTATTCCTCTTTATTATCTTTTAGTGTTCATAGGATCTGTTGGGATCTCCTATCTTATATTCCTGATATTGGCACTTTGTATATTTTCTCTGTGCTTCTTAGTCTGGCTAGAAGGTTGTCAAATTCATTATTTATTTCAAAGAACTAACTATTGATTTCATAATTCCCTTTGTCTGTTTTTTATTTCTTTAGTCTCTGTTCTTGCTTTTATGATACATGTTTTCTTTCTAATTTGAGTTAGACTTGCTTTTTGTTTTCCAGCTTCTTAAATTGGAACGCTCTATATTATTGCTTTTTGTTTCCTAACATAAACGCTTAAAGCTATAAAATCTAACATGTTGATATGCTGAATTTTTAGTATAAATCATTTCAAAGTATTCTTAAGTTTCTCTGTTTATTTTCTTATTTGATGAATAACTTGTTTAGAAGTAAGCAGTTTAATTTTTAAATATCTATGGATTTTTCATAAGTGTTTTTGTCATTGGTTTCTAGTTGAAATACATTATGGTCAGAGAAAACACTTTGCATTGTTTCAATTCATCCATATTTTTTGGTTATTTGTTTTGTGGCCCAGTGTTTCTTCTTCCCATGTGTATTCTATTTCTGGTGAAAAGAATGTAATCGCAGCACTTTGAGAGGTCGAGGCGGGCAGATCACGAGGTCAGGAGTTCAAGACCAGCCTGGCCAACATAGTGAAACCTCGTCTCTATTAAAAATACAAAAATTAGCAGGGCATGGTGGCGCGTGCCTGTAGTCCCAGCAACTCTGGAGGCTGAGGGAGGAGAATCGTTCGAACCTGGGAGGTGGAGGTTGTGGTGAGCAGAGATGTGCCACTGCACTCCAGCCTGAGCAACAAAACGAGACTGTCTCAAAATATATATATATATATTATATATACATATATATATTCTACTGTTATCAGTTGATATAAAAAATAAATATTAGTATTCCATATATATATATTTTTCTTTTTTTTTTTTTTTGAGACGGAGTCTTGCTTTGTCACCCAGGCTGGAGTGCAGTGGCGCGATCTCGGCTCACTGCAAGCTCCGCCTCCCGGGTTCACGCCATTCTCCTGCCTCAGCCTGTCGAGTAGTGGGACTACAGGAGCTCGCCACCCCGCCCGGCTAATTTTGTTTTTGTATTTTTAGTAGAGACAGGGTTTCACCGTGTTAGCTAGGATGGTCTCCATCTCCTGACCTTGTGATCCGCCCGCCTCGGCCTCCCAAAGTGCTGGGATTACAGGCATGAGCCACCGCGCCCGAATAGTCTTCTACAAATTTTAATATGTACAAGGTAGTTAATAGTGTCATTTATATCTCTGATACATTTACTAATTTGGGGGCCTTTCATAACTCAGAGTGGAGTAGTGAAGAGTCTAAATCATATTGTGTAATTGTGTATTTATTTTTTAGTTCTGTCCATTTTTTTCATGTAATCTGAAACCTAACATATGGTTAGGTCCGCATATAGTTAGGTCTTGTTTTTATCCAGTCTGACAATCGCTACTTTTGCACTGAAATATTTAGAGCATTTTTAATAAAACTTTTAATATAGCTGGGCTTAATTTTACTACTATATATTTTCTATTTTCCTATCTACATTTTTTCCTATTTTTCCCTGGCTTCTTTTGAAGTGTAAAATGAAAAAAAAATACTTTAAAAAATATGTTTATATATGTTTTACATATTTTTATAAATATCCATAGAAAAAGTATACATATATCATTTATATGTGTTATATGTATTATATATATATATGTATGAAGAGGTAATAAAGATGGGTTTTCATTATATTTTATTCATTTTTTTCTGTATAATGCATTTTTTTTATAAAGGAGAAAAAAGTTTTAAAAAACTGTTGCTATAAATGTATTACAGGTACATAGGTAAATAGGCAAATGGATAGATATGATTTTCGGAGAATAGAGAAAGTTGTGGGGGAACAGAAAAACCATTATATCGTATTAGCTGCTTTTGTTACCTTACCAGTGTGCCAGTGGAGGAGGAACAAGGAGAAGCTGATAATATCCTTATCGTGTGCCACTGCATGTTTCTTTATTTACTTAGACACAGGGTCTCACTCCATCGCCCAGGCTGGAGAGCAGTGGCACGATCTCTGCTCACTACAACCTCCACCTCCCAGTTTCAAGCGATTCTTGTGCCTCAGCCTCCCACATAGCTGGGACTACAGGCGCATGCCACCACACCCGGCTAATTTTTTTAATGTATTTTTTGGTATAGATGGAGTTTCACCATGTTGGCCCGGCTGGTCTCAAACTCCTGACCTCAAGTGATCCGCCAGCCTTGGCATCCCAAATTGTTAGGATTACAGGCATGATTCACTGTGCCCGGCCTGCCATTGCATCTTTAAAAAATCATGTTTTCATTTAATTTTAAAGATAATAAAGATTTTTAACAGATACATCATTTTAAATTTTTAAAATTTAATATGAGCTTCTTAATTAGCTGTCATTTGTAAATATACTTAAATTGATTTATTTTTCTGTAGTACTAAAATTTATATTAGTCAAGTTGCAATTCAATTCATTTATATTGCTACTTTTATATTCACTCATTTGGTTTTTGCTACAGAGAAACTAACAATTAGTAAATTATAATTCTTATTGCATAACACTACAGAATCTACTTATGTAGAACTTAATGTAAAAAAAATTGCTAGTAATTTATGGAAAATAGTTTCACTAGGTATCTTAGATATGCATTATTAAAACAATTAGGTTATTAATATATCCTTTCCATATAAGAGAAATCTTGAGTGTATATCTAATATATCAATATATTCTCTTCTCACTATCAGTTTTCTAGCTAGTTGCCTAATACGTTCAATTATTATTTTGAAATTTAATTTTAAGCATAAATTTATTTTGTTTTATGGCAAAATCAAACAACATTAAAAATCAACATAATAAACTTTAGCTGTTTTTGCTTGACATTATTAGAACCTGTGTTAGAAGCATAATGTCCTCAAATTTCAAAACAAACATCACACAAATTCTTATTTAACTGAAATTTTATGTGCTATTTATACATTCAATATATGCCTTTTGGTGAGAGCAAATGAAGAAACTTTTTGAAAGTAGCATCCTTATCGTGTAGTTTTGTTCCTCTGCAACTTACTTTTGACTCTATGTAAATTTTGTTGCATCAGACAGAGAAAAAAGCTAATGAAAAAGAGATGCATAAAATTTGATTTTCTATAAACCTTTTTAACTTTACAAATTATAAATCCTATTCTGGGGAATCTTTCAGTACAAATAACCTTAAGGGCAGATAAATTGACTGTAGTTAAAGGCACTCTCTGTAAAACTCATCAGTTACAGCCTTTCCCTCAAAGTCTTGTGAGGCTTGTCTTTTCCTTCAGTGAAAATTTTGCCTGCTCATCTGTTTTATCAGTCTGAAGTACTAACCTCATGCCAAAATTGTTATTGCTGTGTAAACTAATGAGTTCAAGTTATTGTACAAAGTTCTCAAAACTTTATAATTGGACACATTGTGGAAAATAATCACAAAATATGTTTTAGAATGCTTGCTTTTCACACAAAACCTGAAAGTTGTTTAATATATTTCTGAAAATAACTAGATCTTATATTAAGCTTTATTTATTATGCTATTGTTTATTTTTTGTCAGTGGATCAGAATAGCTGTGTGTTAGTAACACTGGAGGAATTATGAATCAACTCTTAGTATACCTGTACCACAGATACATAGAGTAATAGATAAAATATCACCTATTGGCCTTTTTTTTTTTTTTTGAGATGGAGTTTTGCTCTGTCACCCAGGTGCTGGAGTGCACTGGTGTGATCTTGGCTCGCTGCAGCCTCTGCCTTCCATGTTCAAGCAATTCTCCTGCCTCAGCCTCCCAAGTAGCTGGGATTACAGGCACGTGGCGCCACACCCAGCTAATTTTTGTTCTTTTAGAAGATACGGGGTTTCACCATGTTGGCCAGGATGGTCTTGATCTCCTGACCTTGTGATCTGCCCACCTCGTCCTCCCAAAGTACTGGGATTACAGGCGTGAGCCACCGCTCCTGGCCTAGCCTTCATATTTTAAGAATATTAAAAAGGAAATAAGACATATCATATGCATTATCATAATTATATATTAACATATTAGATAAATTTGATATGATTCTAATTTCTGAAGCCCATCAAGATATTCTCAGGGTACTAACTGATCAATCTTAAACATTTACAAAATGATAGTAAACTCATGAGTATTGACATATTCTCAGACCAACTCAAGAGCTACCCATAACTTCAGAATCCACTGACTTCCATATTCAAGATGACTCCATTGATTTTCCTATTCAAGATCATAAAATAAGTACTCACTGAGCTTCAGATTGAAAGTATTTGCACTGTCTTGTTTATCACAACAAAGATATTTATTCTAAAAAAATTAAGTGTAAAAAAAAGCTGTCTCTCCTCCTTGGCCATGAAATGTACTCTTATGTTTGAAATAGGACAACAGCAATTATCTTCATAAATTTAGTCAGGGGTGCCAATTCATGACAAATCAGTGATCACCAGCTCTCTCTCAATTTTCTCTCTGGAATTTTTAATCAGGGATTAGAACTTCACGCTCTGTGTTTGGTGTCTCTTTTCATGTCTTTTGTTTATTCTACCTCTTTATTTCCTTGTGGTCCATTTTATTCAGCTTCTTAATATCTACTTTCAATTCACCGATTCTCAATTCAGTGTGCTATTAAATATAGAATTTTTAATATCTGCTATGTTTTCCTTTTACAGATATCCTAATTAATTTTTTACAGATGATACTTAATATACAAATATATATTTATTTAGCCATTTCTCAGAATTGCTGCTTAATTTACTGTATTCTCTTAATTCTGAGTAATTGGAAATTATTTTTATGTTTAGCCTTTATTTTTCAAGATATTGAATGCACTATCTTCTACATCTGAGAATTTAACATAAAATATTTGTAGAGCTGTAATTAATAATATTTCTGATGGTTCTTGCTCATATGCCTCATTTTCTTGTGCTGCTTTTATTTTAGTCCTATGAGCTTCTCATTTTCCTTAGAAAATTATTTGAAGAAATTATTTTAAGTTATCATGATGTTTATTTTGATGTTTCTCCAGAATAAATTGTACTTGCTTCTCCAAAAACTTGAGGACTCTACCAATCTTTGCCGACATTAAACAAAATTCAGTAAGGGAGAGGCAGGAGCCATGAAGAATGGGGCCAGACAAGGAAGGTCCTCCTGCAGATGCCCCGATCGCAGGCATAGCACCAGTGCCAAGGGTTTATTCATTGGGTGGCCACCAGTCACCCAGTAGTGAACCTAGGCATTGAGCTGGGAAACCTTCTTGCCTCCAACTTCTTTGCACAGGAATGAAGAACAACCTAAGTTTCTATTCCAGCAGAGTGGGTGCTTCAGATGCCTGGAGGTCTGCCTGGTTGTGGAGCAGAAATGGTCCCCTTGCACAAAGATCTCTGCACAGGAAGAGTGAGACAGGTCAGGCTGCTGATACCATTAGGCAGGTATTCCAAAAGCCTGGAGATCTTCTGGGCGTGAAGCAGAGAGAGTCCTACTACACCAAGATCTATGTCCAGGAATGTTGGGGCAACTCAGGCTGCTGTACCAGCAAATGAGTGCTTAAAATGCCTGGACATCTACCTGGGCATGGAGCAGAGAGAGCCTCACTGCACCATCATATATGTCCAGAAAAAGCAGGGCAGCTCAAGCTGTTGGTTCAGGCAAGCAGGTGCCCCAAACGCCTGGATTTCTAACTGGGGGTTGAGCAGAGAGGGCCCACCTGATCTCAGGGGAGCAGAGTGCAATGCCCAGAAATGGCACCAACGAGTCAGTTCCAGGTCGCCAAGCTAAATCCGACGTCAAGTCTTGCCTCCCATAGAAAACTACAGCTGTAGCAACTCTCCTCCCAGGCTTATGACAGAGGAGAGCACAATTCCAGCACATACTGCTGAGGTAATTTCCACAGTTTTAGCTGTGGAAACCCCTACCCTACACCAGAGCATACACTTCAATCCCTGGCCTGAGAGTAAAATGGCTGCACAGCCACACTGCCAGGTCTCCACAAATGATTGACTTTGTATGTACTTGGACTAAAAATGGCACCTTGCTTTCACTCCTGGGTCTGAGAAAATGTCTGCAGTTTTTCCTGGTCTCTTTTCATCATAGCACCTTCAAGTCTCTCTCCAAATTAACTCCAGGGTTTAAGAGAATCAAAGTGCTCTCCGTCAGCCTGGGTTGCTATGATCCCAAGTCAAAAGTTGAATCACGAGGGAAGCTCTCTGCCTTTCTCTCTCATACTGGGGCTCCACTCACTTTCATCAGCTGGATGCCATCACAGGGTTGTTTGCCGGTGTTCTCTCTGAGATACGGGGTGTTGTTCACAATTCTGGTGGATTCCCATTTTCCTTCTTGAATTAAAGCTCACACTGTTGATATTTATGTAGTATCTTTCTATTTCTGAGTGGCTGAGGCACTCTGAAAACCTTTAATCCTCCATCTTGGAAAAAAAAAGGTTTAGTATTTTTAAAGTTGTATCTGTTGAAATAGACATTTTAATTTTGATAAAGTTCAATATATTTATTTATTTTTCTCTTGTTCATCTTTTTCTGTCATATCTAAAAACTATTTCCCAATCTTAGATCATGAAGAGTCAACCATATGTTTTTTTCTAAGAATGTTACACTTTATACTTTTTTTTTTTTTTTTTTTGACACGGACTCTCACTCTGTCACCCGGGCTGGAGTGCAGTGGTGTGATCTCGGCTCACTGCAACCTCCGCCTCCCGGGTTCAAGCGATTCTCCTGCCTCAGTCTCCCAAGTAGCTGGGATTACAGGCCCGCCACCACGCCTGGTTAATTTTTGTATTTTTAGTAGAGACGGTGTTTCACCATGTTGGCCAGGCTGGTCTCGAACTACTAGTCTCAAGTGATCCTCCCACCTCAGCCTCCCAAAGTGCTGGGATTACAGGCGTGAGCCACCATGCCTGGCAACTTTTTACTCTTATATTTAGGTCTTTAATCCATTTTGAGGTTTTATTGGTACATACATGATTTGAAGAAAGTGTTAACAGTGGAAGAGATCCCAGTTACCATGAGTTGACAGTGGTGTATGTGTGCAGGTTTGCAGCAACTTCAGTCCTTGCCTCCTCAGAAGAAAGAATTAGACTGAGAGGAATAAACTAGAAAAAGACACCAATGCAAGTTTCAGAGCAGGAGTGGAAGTTCATTCAAAAAGGCTTTAGAACAGGAAAGAAAGGAAAATTCACTTGAAAGAGATCCAAGAGGGCACCTGAAGGTCAAAGAGAAGAGAGCCTTTAACCTTGATGCTAGGGCTTTATAGGCTCACCTCTTTCCCATTATTCTTCCCTTAGGGTGGGCCCCCCATTCGCAGTGCCCCCTTATCCTTAGGAATTGAGCACATGCAGTGTGTTTAGGAAGTTGTACTCACACCCATCTGAGACTTTCTTCCTTTTCTGGTGGAGTGCACCCTGAAGGTCATACTTTGCCATTTTGTCTCTTAGCGTGCATGCCCAGGAAGTTTTTTCTCCCTGGCATCTGGATTCAATTAACACTTTAATGTTAATAGCTGTGGATCATCAGGAAATGGCCCCTCCATGGCATCCTGGGTAGGCTGCCAAATTATCATTTTTAGAGAAGCAGTGTGATAACTGTCAAACCATCACCTGATAATTCTAGTGAGCAGGGGAGACCCCTCTCCTGGCCCGCTCATGCCCATCTTACTATTTGTTAACAGAAAGGATCCCACTTATTTACTTTGCAGGTGGTTATCCAGTTGCCTCGGATCTATCTGTGAAAAAGATTATTCTTTTCCCAATTTATGGTGTTCAGGATGAAGAAGGAAGTCCCCAACTTCAACTGAAGTTCCCTGGACTTATCCCAACCCACAAGCAGCTAGAAACTGTAAGAGAAATCCTAAAGTCTTGTTTCTTCTGGGAAGAAAGCTCTCCAGCAAGAATCCTGAGGAGAGAGGTCCCTGTGTTCCTTGTTGTAGCAATCTAGAGAGGAATTTCCTACTTACTGAGCTGGTAGAAGGAAGGGATAAAACTGACTTAATTCGCATTCCACAGACTCTGGCCTTTCTCAAGATATTTTCATAGATTTTCTTAAATTGTCATGTCTTCATTTGCTGTTTGCTCTTAGGGCTATTTCCAGAGGCTTTTAATAGAAGTGCACATGTGTGTTTAATAGTTTTCACCAGTTTCACTGAGGAGTGGGTCAATAGAACTCCTCACATGGTTACACAGAAAGTTGATCTTTCTCCTCTATTCGAAGAAGTGTTTTATTAGTATATTGAACAAGATGTTTCTAAAATTTTATATTGATTTAAATAACTTACAATGGCCAAATATTGTAGATGAAAATCAAGGCTGTAGATACCAAGATTTATTATGCAGTAAAACAATTAAAACAGGTGCTATTAAGACAGATGCGTACAATTAACCAACAAAACAACAAAATCCAGAAAAATCCCATATATAATTCATGACAAAAGAAAGAATTATTCTTTCTTTCAGTAGTGAAAGAAACTATGGGGAAAGAATAATTATCTTGGTAAATGATGGCGTGTCAGTTGGGTACCCATATCCAAAATAAATAAATAACTTGAATTCTGTATTATACCATGCAGAAAATAAATTCCATATGGACTACAAACCTAAACAAAAATTATAAAGCAATAATTTTTTAGAATGTGCTAGCCAAAAATGAAAATATATTTTTCGTATTGTATTAAATTTGAATTTCTATTTCTTAAAAACTTAATATTGTGAAAAAACAAGCTACAGAATGGGAAAAAATATCTGCAATACATACACAAGAGAGAGCACTCAATGAGAATGTATAAATGACTCGTACAAATCTCTAATAAAATAAAAGACAGCCCAATAATATGTGAGTAAAAGGTTTGAACAGGCACTTTACCAAAGAAGATACTCAAATGAGCAATAACGTATGAAAAGTTGCTAATTATTTTTTAACAAATAAATCCATATTTTAAATCACAATGTGATATGTTTATGACTCCACCAGAATAGCTAAATTTAATAGTAGGACAATATCAGATTTTGAAAAGAATGAAGAAGCAAAATTTTATATGTTGTTTGTGGAGTCGTTATTATTTATATCCATTTTGCAAGAATGTCTGGCTATAAGTATTTAAGCAAAAATGTATACACTCTCTAACCCAGGAGTTCAACTCTGAATATACTGATGGTATCCTGGTATATACTACCTCTTTAGGGTTGGGGATAGGGTGTTGCTTGATAACTCTGATGGGTTGTATAATATGGTGTAAATACTATTACAATAGCTGATTTCAAGCTATCCCCATGAGGCCACTAAACTTAGAGTTGAAAGGCAATGCCCATGATCAACTCCCACAAGTGAAAATGAGCTTCCCTTATCCACATAAGATGCTATATCATCATTAAAGAGTGAGAATTAACTGAATTCATTTGTCTTAAACAACAATGGAGTTTCCCACTAATACAGGTCCCTGTTGGATGCAATATTGAAGGGGATATTTTACAAAGAAATCCTCCTAAATCTTAACATCTCAGAAATATACCTGTTAATTGTGATCTACAGAGTCTATCATTACAGCTATGAAGTCCCAAACTCTTGGTAGGTTACTTACACAATAATGCCATTCTATTTGTCTCTATACAACTTACTAGTCAGTCTGAAGGACAAAAAACAGTCAATCAAATTGTATATTTATTAAATTAATTAAATTTGTAGAAAAATGTCTACATGTCATATTACATGTAGATTATATCTACAAGAAATATTTACATGTCATATAGGCACGTGTAATGTTTCTATATCTACTGGGAAAAAATTGTGCTGTGTAGACAAAGCCCCAATTTCTTTATCTTATTCTAGGGACAAGTTTATTCCTGTGTCTTCAATATTGATTATTATTAATTCCATGGAAAAACAAATTAAACACATTCTTTGAACTGTAAAACTCATTACACACTAGTTTTTTAAATTTTATTTTGTGATTTTGATCAAGGAGATCTATTAAAAATTATAGATAATAATTATAAATACATATATTATATTTAAGAAAACATGAAGCTATGACCAACCGAATTTTTTTTAAGATCACACTAAACTTGATTAGTCCTTTATAATAGAAGATCATATAGAATTTATAGTTACTAAGACGATACCTGCTGGGAATATGAATTTTAGATTCAGGTATTGGTGTTAAACGGTATCACGTAATTCAAGATATTGCAGAGCTGATAACCCTAGTTACTAAATAATAAAGTTTAAACCACATCAACCAGGATTGAATTTATTTATTCATAAACCTCATCCTTCATAATAACATTTAATTGCATGGATTCTGCAGTGAGAAGGGGTACCATCCAATGTGTCAGAAACCAAAAATATGTGACATAATTTTTATATTTAAAAAATCCAATGCATGGCACAGATACCAAGACAATAATGCCTTCATAATATCTTTTTAGTATTTTTTCTTGAAAATATGAACTACTGACTTTTAAATTTTGTGCTTTTACATATCAAAACATTTATTTTACAAGTTAATAAATTTAATTATGTTAATTTTGTTATAACCTCTAAAGACAGCAAATCCCACTCTTTTATTCTCTTTACTTTTATTCATTTATAAATTATTTTCTTAATAAATCAGAAAGGGCAGAGGAAAGTCACAAAGGTACAAAACGTACACATTTTTGTACCTTTTCCTTTTTTTAGGTAAGCAACATTATCTGGTAGGAAACACATATTCCTTTTATTTTCTCAAGGTCTTGAGATTATTTTAATCTTTTATATTTTCCCATTAAAAATTTTGAAATGGTAAAATGATTAATAGTGATTTTATTCATTTTGAATAAATAAACAATTAATAATAATGGGAATGGTGCCATAACAGAAACTGATATAGAGCTATACAGATATAGATGTGCAAAAAGAGAATAATTTTAAATTCACCTTTCATGTATTAATTTAAAAGAAAATACAACTTAAAATGTTATATTTTAATTTTTACAATAATGTAATTATGAATATAAACTAAAGTTTTCTGAACTGGGTAATGTGGGAGGTGATTCAGTCAGAAGTGTAGAATTATGAAGTGGTGATGACGCCATTGCTTAAACTGTGGAAGTTGATTACTCACTTCAGTCACATCAGTGTTGTTGGAAATTGACCCACAAAGCTCACTTTGCATTGCCTGGACAATGAGCTAACTAGTAGAGAAATCTTCTAACTTCTCCTTGTGAAGGAATTTTATTTAAATTCAGCTTTTCTTATGCATCGAATCTTTAAGTGCAGGGTCCCTGATGTTTTTAAGACAAATACCATAAATTGTTGGCATCTAAACCCAGATTGCCTGGTACCTGTGTAATGTTTTCTCTTCCCACTGGGAAGGTTGGGAAGGGACTGCAGGGCCCACCACTGGGACACATGTGTTCTCACTGCGTGCATCCACCACACTTCTCTGTGGGACATAGTGAGGATTGGGTGACTTCTGTGGTTGTATGCTGACTTTTGAATTTCAACTTTACCAATTAAAGACTATTTGTCAGTATTCTTAATGCTAAATGTGATATTGTGAAATTGACCCATGCCCACTTTGCATGGCAAGTGTCACAAGGTAGCAATGATTAGATTACTATATCTGATTTGTGACTAATAGCCACCTATTATGTATATCCTATTTATTACTTCTGTGCCACATTCTAGACCTACTCTGAACAAATCATACCATAATTTCTTAAAATAGTCAAAGGGGAAGACAGATCAATTAAAGTATTTTAAATGTTTATATTAGAGAATGCTATGCTATTCTCCTAAACTTTGTCTTTCATATCTCAGATGCCACATAATGACAGGCAACTACTTTGTAAAAAAGATAAATTCTATTTCTCCACAACCTCATCAGCTTCTATTATTTCTTGACTTTTTAATAATCACTATTCTGAATGGCATGAAATGGTATCTCATTGTGATTCTCATTTGCATTTCTCTAATGATCAGTGATGATGAGCTTTTTTTCATATTTGTTGGCCAAATAAAGATCTTCTTTTGAGAAGTGTCTGTTCCTAAACTTTACCCATTTTTTCATGGGGTTGTTTATTTTTTTTTCTTGTAAATTTGTTTAAGTCCTCGTAGATTCTGGATATTAGACCTTTGTTAGATGGGTAGATTTCAAAAATTTTCTTTTGACCCCGAAATCCAATTACTGAGTAATATACCCAAAGGAAGATAAATCATTCTACTATAAAGACACAAGAACATGTGTGTTTATTGCAGCATTATTTACAATAGCAAAGACTTGGAACAAACACAAATGCCCATCAATGATAGACTGAATAAAGAAAATGTGATACATATACACCATGAAATACTATGCAGTCATAAAAAGTAAAGAGATCATGTACCTTGCAGGGACATGGATGAAGCTTGAAGCCATCATCCTCAGCAAACTAACACAGGAACAGAAAACCAAACAACGCATGTTCTTACTCATAAGTGGTAGTTGAACAATGAGAAAACATGGAAACAGGGAGGGGAACAACAAATAATGGGGACAGTCGTGGGGTGGGGAGCACAGGGAAGGGAGAGCACTAGGACAAATACCTAATGCATGCGGTTTGACAGGTTGATGGGTGCAGCAAACCACCATGGCACATGTATACCTATGTAACAAACCTGCACATTCTGCACTTGTATCCAGAACTTAAAAATAAAAACAAAATTTTTTAAAAAAGATAAATTCTGTGTAGCCACCACTGATTGTGCCTATAATGATATCAAGAATTCCGTTTTGCTTGATTTAGGTTTTTAATTTTCTACTGAACGTCAAATTGGTTTGACATTGTATACGTAAAACTTCAGTTATCACAAATATGTCAGATGTATAGTAAGTCTATATATCTTTTAAATTATGTTTACTATATATAATCAATAGTAAATCTATTATTAAATTTATTGTAGTAAATCTATTACAGTAAATGTATAGTAAATTGTAAATCTATTATTAAAAGATATATAGTAAGTCTATATATCTTTTCTGGGTCAATTCCCAACATGACTGAAGTGAGTAATGAACTTATACATTTTAAGCAATGGCATCATCGCCAGTTCATAATTCTACACTTCTGATTGAACCATCTCCAACATTACCCAGTTTAGAAAACTTTAGTTTATGTTCATAACTACATTATTGTAAAAATTAAAATATGAAAAATTTACATTTTATTTTTTAAAAATTAAAACATAAAAGTTGAAATTAAAATGATTCTCTTTTTGCACATCTATATTTACTATCTACAATAGTAAACATATCTACTATCTACAATAGTAAATATAATTGAAAAGATATATAAATTATATATGATAGATTATATATATAAATGGATAATAAATATAATTTAAAAGATGAAGAGAGGTTTGAGTTGTTCCAAACTATGAAACAGTTCTCCATATTTCACTTTTTTATCACAGAAATGTATAATCACTCCTGAGTTCCAAACTGCTAACTATATACTACTCTTTCATTCTCATATTATAATAGCAACACACCCATTCCACTGTTTTTAAGAATTACCATTTACCAAGATTGGAGGCACTATAGGTAAAAATAGAAATCTAGAAGGAGGAAATCTACTTCAAGATATAATATAGGTGTAACAGCTATAGAAAATATTTTCATGTGGCATTCTACTGTAGATTATCCAACTTTTTTTAAACAATTGTCATAATTTTCAGGTAAATGGCTAGAGGTTAAAAATCTGAGGATATATATTAATTAGTTGAACTCATATGACTTATAGCTATTTAAGGTGTGCATTATCCCTCTGCCTTCTCAGAGGCTATTATTGCTTTAAGGGCTGAAGCCTACACAAGGCAGCCAAGAATGGGACAGAGACAGCAGGGGCCCACTCTAAAGCTGCTGAGTCCATCTGTCATAGCAAGGATGTTAGCATTTACTTTAAAATCGAATTTCCATTCCAAAATGTAATTTCACCAACCACTAACTCTTGCAACATTATATATTTTTACCCAGATGCTATTTCTGGAGCTGTTAGTCATGACTAGCTCTGCATTAAAATTTGACTGAAGCTGCATGTATGTATTAAATCAGTGAGTACCTTGAACTTTATGTTATTTAAGAAGATTGGGAAATATGATATTTCAGGGAATAATGTTAATATATAATTGACACACACATTCCAAATAATATGAAGGATATAGTTTTCTATAGAAATTTATACCAGTAACTTTGAATTTTCAGAGAGAGTGTCTAGTATGGATTTTATGATGCTTAAGCATTATTAATAGCAATATTTTTATATTAAAATGATAGTAATTTTCAGTTGATCAGAAATTAAAATCTAGTTAATTCTATTATTGAATGTGTTTGTATTTGTCTATGTGTAATAGCATGTGTGTACAGTACATGCATGCACATATACACACATTAACACATACACTATATATATTTACACACAGATGTATGTGGTGTACATATAAGAGGGGACTTCAAAAATTTCATAGAAAAATTGAATTAAAAGATAAAAATAGAAAAAATCTCTCAACATAAAGAAACATCTGATTAAAAAACTTAATGTTAAGAAAACATTCATGAAGAAAAGGAATTAAAAGATAAAAATTCAAAAAACATTTCTCAACATAAAGCTCCGTCAAGTTCAAAACACTTTTGTAGCAATGAAACCAGCCATTTAGTCTATCACTAAAGAACTGAGTTTCCTAGAAATTTAACCATGTAAATGCAATCTTTTTTACATTATCAACTGAAGAACAAGGGCTTCCTTTATGAATTTTTAAGATTAGGAAACAGAAAGAATTCAGAAATAGCCAAATCATGATTGCAAGGTAGGTACGTAATGATATCCCATCAAAATTCTTTCAAAATGGCCGTTGTTTGATGAAAGAAATGAGCAGGAGAATTGACATGGTGGAGAAGGACTCTCTAGTGAATGTTTCTCAGCCATTTTTCTGCTAAAGTTTTGGTTAACTTTCTTGAAGCACTCTCATAATAAGCATGTTATGATTGTTTGGCACTCCAGAAAGACCCAATGCATTTAGCATCCCCATAAAACTGTTGTTGCCAGGATCATTGCTCTTGACCAGTCCACTTATACTTTGACTGGACCACTTCCACCACTTGGTAGCCATTGCTTTGATTGTGCTTTGTCTTTAGGATTGTACTGGTAAAGCTGTGTTACATCTCTCAATATAATTCTTTGAAGAAATACTTCAGGATCTTGATCCCACTTGTTTAAAATTTCATTGAAATTCTGCTTTTGTCCTCAGCTGATCTGGGTGCAATGGTCTGACACTCATTGAATGGAAAGTTTGCTTAACTTTAAATTTCACTCAGAATTATGTAAGCTGAACAAATTGAAATGCCTATGGTGTTGACTATTGCTTCTGGTGTTATCAGTTCTTTTCAATTAGGGCATGAACAAGATGAACTTTTCCTCACAAATTGATGTGGATGATCTGTCGCTGCAGGCTTCATCTTCAACATTGTCTTGTCCCTTCTTAGAATGGATTATTCATTTGTATACTGCTAATTTGGGATAGAGGAGCATTTTCCCCGTAAAGCATTTCATAAAGTATCAATGATTTTACCATTTCTTCCACCCAACTACACCATAATTTGATATTTGTTCTTGGTCAATTTTAGCAGAATTCATGTTGCTCTGACAAGGGCTTTTGTCAAACTGATGTCTTACCCATCTTAGTGACTCAGACTAGATCTTGTTTATACATGTTTTAACAAGGTGTATGACTTTATTTTGGTGCAAAATCTTTTTGAAATCCATGAATAGTTTTTGTATAATATGCATTTTTATGATATCTTTGAAAACCCTCGTGTGTGTGTGTTTGTGTCTATGGCATGCCCTATATATGTGGAAGGATAAATCTGTAAATGCATGCACTAATATGGACTACAGATGTGAACTATATCTCCATGTACATATGTATCTCTATATACATGTGCATTTATGGATGAAATATTTATTGCCTACTGTGTGTTAAGTGACTGTGCTCTTAGCTATGCAAATGATTTCAACTGATGTTTTTTCCCTATCCCATCTATTTACTATCCTCTAACTTGTTCCAAAAAATAGGATACAGGATAAATAACTGAAATTGTTTTTTGAATGAGATTGCAGTCGATATATGATTTAGAGGACCAAGCAGGCAAAGAATTTGTATATTCAATCAATGCCTCTTAGTTGGTGATAGTTGTTTTTTTTTTTTTTATTTTTTTTTATTTTTTTTTTTTTTGAGACAGAGTCTCGCTCTGTCGCCCAGGCTGGAGTGCAGTGGCGCGATCTCGGCTCACTGCAAGCTCCGCCTCCTGGGTTCACGCCATTCTCCTGCCTCAGCCTCCCGAGTAGCTGGGACTACAGGCGCCCGCCACCACGCCCCGCTAATTTTTTTTTTTGTATTTTTAGTAGAGACGGGGTTTCACCGTGTTAGCCAGGAAGGTCTCGATCTCCTGACCTCGTGATCCGCCCGCCTCGGCCTCCCAAAGTGCTGGGATTACAGGCGTGAGCCACCGCGCCCGGCCGGTGATAGTTGTTTTTTAGAATTTTTTCCCCTTATCACAAGACTGAAATGAAAATTGATGCAATCACATGATGGAATATTTGTTCAATCTGACAGATTAATGGTCTAGGAAGAAAAAATTAATTTTGATTTCACCAAAGAAAAACAGTTTGTTGAAAATCAATCAGTTCTCATACATAGCTAAGAAAATATTCACTGCTTTTCAAGCCATCAAATGCTTTTAATAAATATCTAAAACAAGGTGGTTAAAATGTCAACTAGCACTTTTATTAAGTATTTTTCTGGATTTAAAAAGAGAAATGTCATAGCATATCCTATCTTCTAGATTTGTATTCTCTTGGTCAAGAGCAAGCATGAGCAAGCCTCTGAAGAGCTGCATCTCTAACTGCAAGCATCCCCACGTACTTATATATATATGAGCAGGCACTGGCCCTCTCTTTTCTGACATTCCCTGAAGTGTTCAATATTAACAAGCTGTTCATTGAACTAGGAACAAATTGGTTGGAATCATATTTGCTATGTTTTATTAAAGCATAGGCAAAATTACAATTTCAAAACTACAAGGGATCTGATTCCAAATGTTATTTTTGTATATGATGAATTTTAAAAAGTGTTAAAGGGTGATCCAAAGTTGCCTATCTATTCATTAGCATGTCTTGCTTTATGAAATCCAGAGGTTTTTTCTATTATGATATATGTTGCATACTGAATCTTAGGGTGCACATACCTGGCCTAGACATAAAGATCTGCTGTTACGTTATTTTCAAGTTGAGGTAGAGTTAATGTAAAGTAATATGCAACAATGTTCTTTTCAATGAGATTTACAATTATACCCACCATCTTTGTACCTGCAGCAAATAGAAATGCTATTGTCAAGGTAGTCTGTATGAAATGCTGAATTTGGCAAATTCCTCAAAATACTTATAAAATGTGTTATAATAAATAATATTTATATTTTTTTCTGGTAGTAATAACTAATTAATGCTAAATATATTTTTGAACTTCTACTATGTGCCAGAAAAACATTGGAAAAACAAATCTGAATGAACAGGCTATTTTCTCAAACCTATAAGTAAAGGTTGGAGATAAATCCACATTTACATTTTTTTTTTTAACTTGCTACGAAAACACTTAAAAGAACAACCTGAGGCATTTTGGCTAACCAGAGAAGCTGATGCTTCTATCCAGTATTGAAGAGTAGATCACATTTTGTTTGATAAAGATCTTAAAAGTCTCATGTTTCTACAGGCTTCTATGAATTTTCTTCTCTTAATTGGTTTAAGTGATTAATCAGTGATTACTAGATGGATCATTGATTGGTGTGACCAAGATTTAGGCAGAGGGTGTTAAAAGAGTGACTAGTATGGAGGGTAAAAATTTTAACAAGTCTAAATCATGAAGCACCTTGAATACCATTCTGATTTGTTTGATTTTCTATTAGCTATGTCAGGTCACCAAAAGATATTTTTATGAAAATAACATGGTCCTTTTGATTATTTCAGAAGACCATTTTGAAAATAACATAGAAACCCCATTGATAGGAGATTAGATTGAATTTAGAAAGAAAGACCATTGTGAAGTGTCTGAGAAAAAGAACTGTTGCTTAGAATGTAGTCATTAGCAACAATTTACAAACATTACTAAAATAATTGATATACATAAGAATAAGAAATATAACTGCAGAAAATATGGGATCTCAGGCAAAAGAAGTAAAATAGCTATCCTATGCTCAAAGAAAGAGAATATTTATCTCTTCTCACAAATGTTAATTCACACTGATTCACTCTCCTGGAAATGAAGAAGAATGGATAGAAAAAGTACCGATAAATTGGCTGTATTTTGTTTTACACACACACCATATTATACACCTCTGTAGTTGCTTTCCTGTCATCTCTCCTAAGGGGGTGAATTCTTTAGTAAGAATGTCTTCTTACTAAAATTGGCCATAAGTGTTTGTAAAAAATATATTTTTGATCCAGAATAAATTGATTTCAGCATCCAGTGGTATCCTACACATTATATATACTTAATAAAATATTTCAGTAACAGGTATCACATGACAAACAAATAAATGGTTACTACAAAGATGTATTCTGTGAGCTTTGTATTTATTCATCCAGGTTTTCACTGTCTTCTAGTTTCAGTTATCTCTTCATATTGCACTTGATCTTAAATCAGGAAGAGTGTTTTATATTTAATATTCTGAAATATCTGGTAATAATTATAAGGCTCATCTAATTCACCTCACTTTTAGAGACAAAAATGCTGGAAACAATCTGTTTAAATCTTTGAAAAATATCTCCAATAAATTAATTTAATTTTAAGAATAATTTTAAATCTCACAATCATGAGATTAGCGTTATAATGATTTTGTCTTATTTATGACATTAATGTATTTTATTTGCAACAATACTACATGTGTAAAAGTTGAGCTGCCCAATGCAGATTAATAAATCAAAACTAAAATATAATTGACTTTGCATCCCCTAGTACAAACAGCACAGAACAGTTTCTGATAGGTCTCCTCTGATTGTGAAGACAGCACATTCTACAGGAGAAATACTCCTTTAGCTCCTACATCAGCTGTCACAGAAGGCTAACAGCTTTGAATGAAGCTCAGAGGAGGAAACTGCCCTAGGGCAGACTTGCTACTTGAGTCATATACACTGGCTGGCCCTATTATTTAGAACATATCAGCGGTGGAAAAAGTGGGAGGTTTCTGTCAAGCTTCACTGGACAAATCACAATACAGTCCCCTGAGATTCTAGACGAAGACCACGCTGTCTACAGTAGAGAATTATGTGTGTTTAATAAGCAGCATTAGCTGTGCTACACGGAGCTGGTATGGTTTATTATCAACAGGCAGAAGAGCCTGCCAGTGGAATGAACTACAGGAGAAGTACTGAAGGTAATTTCAAAGTAATAGGCAGGGACAATGAGTAACCTAGTTCACAAACACTATTTTACTGTCTTCCCTTCTATAGCATTCCTAATATTGTTAATAGTACTCACAGAAAGAAAACACTGAGACAGAGCTACACTGAAGCCAGGCAGAAAGGGTAAAGCTGCATACAGTGGTAAAAGTGGTTGACATCTCCAAAAGATTTTTCAGTAAGAAGAATAGAGGATTAAACTCATTCCAAATTATATATTTAATCACAGATTAAGTATAATAACAAAATAAAAGAAAATACATAAAGAAATATAATATATGTAATTTCAAAAAAACTTAGTTCATCATAGTAACTTGCTGATTTTCACATTTAATCTGATTATCAATGCTTTGGAAAAATTTAATGTATCATGGGGAATGACAAAGAGGTGCTTTTGATTATTTTATTTATTGCTCCATAGAAATTTAATCTATATCAAATAAATTACCCATTATTATGTATTGAGATGATTATTGGTCTTTAATATTAATAATACATTTATCATATACCTAGCACATATTTTCTGTAGCAGTGCAATGAACTGAAATTAAGTAGCTCTAATAAGCCTTCAACAATATAGCAACATTCCTAGAATCCTACTAACTTCAACTCATGAATGGGTAGTAAATTTTATCAAATTTCTTATTGAAAGATTACATGGCAATGTGATTCATTATACTGTCTTATTTTCCAGTGTACTACAACTTTTAAACATGGGAGAAAAAATGAAACCACTCAGGGATTGTAAAAGATTTTGATGTTTAAATATTTTTAATTTTTTTTGGTAATGTCTGGGTAAGGGTGATACTGGCTTTATAAAAGACTTGGAAGATTTCCTTTTTTTCATTTCTCTTGAAATATTTGCATAAAGTTGGTGTTACTTTCTCTTTAAATGCTGGAAATAATTTGCCAGTGAAGCCATCTGTACCCAGGGGTATTTGTCAGAAAGTTCTAAAACATACTTAATATCATTAGTAGAAAAGGAAATATTTACATTTGAAAATTTATTCTTGTAGGTTTTTTTGGCAAATTATGTCTTTTGAGGAATTTGCCAGTTTTATATATCACATATATCAGAATGAAGTTGTGCCTTCTAATTATGGTTCAATGCATTGAAATATAGGAAATGCAATAATTTTCCATTTTCATATTTTTTAATTGCCAATTTATATTGTTATGTTTTGTTTTCTGCCTCCTTGATCATGCTGCTAGAAAGGGGTCAACTTTAGGCTTTTTATTCCCTATTATAGTTGGTTTTCTACCTGGTTGATTGTTAATCTTAATTATTTCCTTTCTTTTAATTATTTATATTAAATTTGCTGTTTTAACTTCTTGTAAATTGAGATAGAAGCTATGGGAATTATTTTATTTTAAATTTGCTTTTTTTTAATTGTATTTGCAATGACATAATTGTACATATTTATGGAGTACAGTGTGATGTTTCAATGCATGTATACATTCTATAATGATCAAATAAAGGCAATTAGCAGATTCATCGTTTTAAATATTTATCATTTCTTTGTGGCGATAACATTTTAAGTCATCTCTTCAAGCTATCTTGAAATATACACTATGTTATCTGCTATAGTCACCCTAGTTTGTAAGAGAGCACCAAACTTATGTTTTCTAACCGCAATTTTGTGCCCATTGACTAGCTTCTCCCAGTATCACATCTCCACTACCCTCCCCAGACTCTGATAACTATTATTCTATGCTCTACTTCTATGAAGTCAACCTTTTACAAATTCTACATATGAGTGAGATCATATGGTATTTGTCTCTCCGTGCCTGGCTTATTTCATTTAATATGATGTCCTTGATGTCCTTCAGCTTCATCCATGTTGCCTCAAAAGACAGGGTTTCATTTTGTTTTATGGCTGAAGAGTATTCCATTGTATAGAGACCACAACATTTTTATCTTTTCATCAATTGTTGGGCATTGGGTTAATTCCATATCGTGGCTATTGTGAATAGCACTGCAGTAAACATGGGAATGCAGATTTCTCTTTAACATATTGATTTCATTTCCTTTGGATATATAACCAGTAATGGGATTGATGCGTCATATGGTAGTTCTGTTTTTAATATTTTTAAGAACCTCCATGCTGTTTTGCTTAATGGCTGAACTAACTTATATTTCCGTCAACAGTATGAGTTCTCTTTTCTCTACATCCTCAAGAGAATTTGTTTTTTATGTTTTTATTAATAACCATTCTAACTGAAATAAGATGATATCTCATTGTGCTTTTGATTTGCATTACTCTGATGATTAAATCAAATTCAACAACATAAAAAGATATTTTACCATAATCAAGTGAAATTTATCCAAAGGATGCAGGATAGTTCAACACACACAAATTAATAAATGTGATACATCACATTAACAAAATCAAGAATAAGAACAAAAATCATATGGTTATTTCAATAAATACAGAAAAAAAATTGATAAAATTCAACATCCCTTTATGACAAAAACCCTCAGACAACTGGGTATAGAAGAAACGTACATCAACCTAATAAAAGTCGTACATAAGAAACCCACAGCTAACATCATACTAAACAGAGAAAACACTGAAATCTTTTCCTTTATAATCTGGAACAAGACAATAGTACCCACTTTTCCACTTTTATTTAACATAATACTGGAAGTCCTAGCCAGAGTAATTAGCCAAGATAAAGAAATAAAGTCACCCAAATTGGAAAGAAGGAAGTCAAATTGTCCTTGTTTGCAGATAACATAATTATATACATACAAAACCCTAAAGACTCAATCTAAAAACTGTTAGAAGTAATATTCGTTGCTGAGATCTTTCACGTCCTTGATTAAGTATAGTTGTAGGTATTTTATTTTATATTTTGCAGCTGTTGTAAAAGAGATTGAGTTCTTGATTTGATTCTCGGGTCTGTTATTGGTGTATAGCAGGGATACTGATTTGTGTACGTTGATTTTGTAACCTAAGACTTTACTGAATTTGCTTATCAAATCTAGAAGCCTTTTCGAGGAGTCTTTAGGATTTTCTAGATGTAGGGGCACATCATCTGCAAACAGTGATAGTTTGACTTCCTCTTTTCCGGTTTGAATGCCCTTTCTTTCTCTTGCCTAATTGCTCTGGCTAGGACTTCTAGAACTATGTTGAATAGGAGTGGCGAAAGTGGGAATCCTTTTCTTTTTTCCTGTTCTCAGGGGAAATGCTTTCAACTTTCCCCATTTAGTATGATACTGGCTGGGGTCTGTCATATATGGCTTTCATTATTTTGAGATGTAAGTCCCTTCTATGTCTAGTTTGTTGAGAGTTTTTATCACAAAGGGATGCTGAATTTGGTTGAATGCTTTTTCAGCATCTATGGAGATGATCATATGGTTTTTGTTTTTAATTCTGTTTATGTGATATATCACATTTACGGACTTGCGTATGTTAAACCATCCCTGCCTCCCTGGGACGAAATGCAAAATGAATTCAGTAAAGTTGTAGAATACAAAATCAATATACAAAAACCAGTAACATTTCTATATACTAATAGTGAAAGACCTGAAAAAGAAATCAAGAAAGTAATTTCTTTACAGTTTTTACATCTTTAAAATTATTTAATTTCTCTTAAAGAACTACTTCAGCTGTATCCTGTTAGTTTTTATATATTGTATAATTCAATTGAGAATATTTGCTTAATTTAATTGTGATTTTTTCTTTGATAGATAGAATAACAAATATATTTTTTTAATTTCCAGGAAGATAAGAATTATTAATTATTGTTTAAAAATTGTTTTATAGTTTATTATACTATAGTTGGCAAGCATATTTTAAATTATTCATCCTTTTTTACTTATTCTTACTTGACAAATATTATGAATATTCTATTTTCACATAAACAGAATATGGATTCTGTGATTGGTGATGTAATTTTGAATAGGTGATGTTTCATATAATTTATAGATCTATAGTTTATAGGTCTCATATATTATTACTGTTATTTTTACCCTGTCAGCAATTTAAAAATGTGTCTAGAATAATACAACTATGATTCTTAATTGTTGCTTTTTCCCTTTAGCTGTGTTTTTTGCTTTCCTTATTTTTGTGTCTTTATTATTAGGTGCATATCTATATATTTTACATGAGTCTATCTTCTAGTGAACTAAATAATTTATTGTTTAAAGTGAGCGTCTTTATCGGTAGTAAAAGAGTTTGTCTTACTGCTCAATTTGTCTAATGTTAATTTAATTTCTTTATTATTTTTGGCCATAATTTTCTTTAAGCTATTTTTTTAATCTGGATTTTTTCGGCTTGTTTGGCAATTGATATGTTGTAAAGCATTTCTTCCAACCTAGAGGTAGAAATTGCATATAATTTTAAGGCTTAATCATAAGTTATATCTTGTTTGTTTCATAATGATAGTTAAAAATTCTCCTACTATGTTTTTTATATTCTAAATATTGGCATATATAAGTCACATTGATTTACATTTGAAATATATACATTTATATTTATATTTTACCCAGTAATATTTGTAAAATATTTTTTCTATGAATTTTAGCAGTAACTTAAAAATTGTGTTGCTATTTTGATAGATTCTCATTTTATTTGTAAAGAAAGATGGTATTATCTCTTCCTTTGCAACTTTTGAATTTCTCAATTTTGTTTCTGCAATTTTGTATTAGATAAAAACTAGTTTACTGTTGAGTAAAAACAATGGCTGCCATTTCTTTCTTGTTACTATAGTATAACTGCTATTAAAAATTTCACAATTATATATAGTGTTTGCTACAAAGGTTGTTATCAGGATAAGACATTTATATTGGTAAATAACTGAGATTTTATCTCAAATAAATATTTATTCAATTAATTATATGTAAAAGTTGATTTTTTTCCTTCTCTCTTTGAGTATATATATTATAATAACAGATTACCTAAAGTTGAGCCATTTTGAAGTGCTGGGGATAAATAAACAACTTTTTTGAACATAGTATGTTTTGTGCCAAACTGCCAAGTTCAACTGGATAATATTTTATAATAATTTATAATTATATTCAGAAAGAGATTTGTTTTTTCTTTCTGCTTTCCTTGTGAAGAAAATGTTATAATCAAGTTTATAAGAGCTTTGTAAAATGATCTTTTTTTCTATTTTGTGAAACAATTTTAAACAGACTGATGACCTCTTCTATGGAATATTGGTCAAACTTAGTTTGGGCCTAGTGAATTTTATACTTGTTTCAAATTTATTTGCACTAATTTACTCAATGTATTAACAAATAACCTTTAAATCTTACTGTTTTTCATTATTTTGTTTATAATATTATCTTATTTTTTCCTCTTTTAAAGTTATCAGTCCTGGCTGGGCATGGTGGCTCATGCCTGTAATCCCAGCACTTTGGGAGGCCGACGCGGGCAGATTGCCTGAGGTCAGGAGTTCGCAACCAGCCTGGCTAACATGGTGAAAACCCGTCTCTACTAAAAATACAAAAAAATTAGCCAGGCGTGGTGGCACACGCCTGTAGTCCCAGCTACTTGGGATGCTGAGGCAGGAGAATCGCTTCCACCGGGGAGTCAGAGGTTGCAATGAACCGAGATCGTGCCACCACACTCCAGCCTGAGCAAGAGAGGGAGATTCCGTCTCAAAAACAAATCAGTCCCTCTAGTGTTTATTAATTATTACATTAGTTTTTTAAATGAATAAGTGCTTGGTTTTGTTGATCCCCTCTATTTTTCATTGTGTCTTGTTTCTTTTCAATTAATATCTTTACTTCTATGTATTTATTAATTTCCCTTGCTATATTCAAATATATCTGGTTACTTTTCCAGATTCTTGCACTGAAAAAAGTAACTTATTTATTTATAATTTGGACCCCAGGCACACAGAATTGTAATAATACAATTATTTGTTCATGACACATTCTTATCAGTGGTCCATACATGAACAACATGAATTAAAGCCGTAGTTTTCCACTTTAAAATGATTTGATCGCTAAAGATAGGAAAAGACCTTCATGTTTCCAATTCTTGTTAAAATATAAAGAAAATGTAACTGTTTGTGTGGATATAAATTGAGTATGTACATATTAAAATAATTTAGAAACAAATTACAAAATGAAAATATGTATATTTTAACAACCCACCAATTTCACCTCTAGATATAAATTTTGAGAAACTCTCACACAGGTCTACAGCAAGATGTGTATAATAATGTTCTAATTAGCGTTGTTATTGCAAAGGAAGGAAAACAGCACAAACTTCATTGGAGTCTCAAAATTTTCATCCATATCCATTAACTGCTCATTCATCCATTTCTTATCTTCTTTCTTAACTTCAAACATTACAGTGGTGTTCTTCAATTCCAGTTTTTCCTTAGATTTTATTAAATGTATTGCATTTTAAATTTCAGGGACTATTTCTTTTCTGTCTTATAAGTGGCTTCTTTGAATTCCTCATTTTCAGTACACTAGTTTTAACTTTTTTCAGGCTGATATCTAAAATGCACTTCATATCAGATCAGTTACTGTTCTAATCATTGATTTTGCTGGCTCTTTTTATTAAATTGTTAGACTCATTCCTGCATTTTGCAGACTTTTTATTCTGGGTTGACAATTCTCTCTCAAATTCTCTCTCTTCCCTCCCCCCTTTCACTTACTCCTCATTCTTTACTCATTTTGCCATTACTTCTACCTGTTCTTTTGGACTCTGAATTCAAAATCATGCCATTGATATCAATTAGGAATGACTCTTCCCATGGATAGTTAAAGGTATGGGGATACATGCAGGGAAGCAGTGAGTGAAGGTGCTTTTGCTTAATTGCTAGTAATAAGGTTGATTTTTTT
Organism: Homo sapiens; assembly: GCF_000001405.40. Lineage (NCBI taxonomy): Eukaryota > Metazoa > Chordata > Mammalia > Primates > Hominidae > Homo > Homo sapiens. The sequence goes on from NC_000002.12 coordinate 185,514,944, forward strand.
TCTGCCTTGTTGGTGAATAATTTTGAATTAAATTACAACCTGAATTAGTAGATAATAGTAATAAAAGGCAAAAACTAATAATAATATTTACCCTCTTTAATGAGGGTAACTCCATTCTTACCTCTAGCTTTTAACAATGAAACTTTCTCTTGTTTGCTGTCTAAAACAAATATTTGTATTTCTCCTTACACCAAAGTAGCCTTATTTTGGTCATAACTGCCTAGTTTCGACTCACATTGCAGCAAGTTTATTTTATCAACTGTGGTTTAACGTTTTATATTTGCTTTATGTTTCTAATCCATAGGTAAGTTACGGTGGTTTTACTCCCAGCAATGTCTACTTAGTTAACATTTTTTATATTTCATATACCATTGCTGTGTTTAGATAGAGGAGATTGTTTTTTCAAAAGCTAACCCCTTGGCTATATAAATCCATGTTAATGTTTATACATAAAGATTCTTTACACCACTAACAGAATACTTAGAAATCATTTTTGAAATGAAACTTTGAATATAATGCCAATGATTCATTGGATTTATTTCTTCATTGAATAGCCACATATATGTTTTATAAAATTGTCGTAAATGTTTCTTTCACTTTACTATGTATAGACTTAGTAAAGTCAATATGGAATGACATATATCCATCTGCTGTGACCAAAACATACTTTAATTTTCTTAGCAAGGGGTAACTATTGAATTTATTTCTATTTTTATTTCTCAAAATAGACAACTTTATTTCATTTTATTACATATATGTTTTTGAGAGATATTTTCATGTTAATTTATAAAGGAATTGAGTTTATTTTGAGATACTGATGTAATTTATTATTATTTTGTATGCAAAGTCATTTTAAATCTTCTACACATGATTAAGGAGATTTAAGCAGAGATTGTCTTTCTGTCCAAAGAACTCATTTTTTCTTCATCCTGTGTTTACTGATAGGCTGTATTTCCCAGCTTTCTTGGAGCTTGGGGTAACATTTGTTTTTGTTTTTGTTTTTTAATTGACCTAAGTTCTGGGATACATGTCCAGAACGTGCAGGTTTATTATACAGGTAAACGTGTGCCATCGTTGTTTGCTGCCCCTATCAACCAGTCACCCAGGTAATAAGCCCCACATGCATTAACTATTTGTCCTGATACTCTTCCTCCCTTCGGCTCAGCACAACAGGCCCTGGTGTGTGTTGTCCCCCTCCCTGTGTCCATGTGTTCTTACTGTTCAGTTCTCACTTACGATAAGTACATGCGGTGTTTGGTTTCCTGTTCCTGTGTTAGTTTGCTGAGGATGATGGCTTATACCTTCATCCATATCCCTTTAAAGAACATGATTGCATTCCTTTTTATGTCTGCCTAGTATATCACGGTGTGTATGTACCAAATTTTCTTTATTCAGTCTATCATTAGTAGGCATTTGAGTTGGTTCCATGTCTTTTATATTGTGAATATTGCTACAATAAACATATGTGTGCATGTATCTTTATAACAGAATGATTTCCATTCCTTTGGGTATTTACTCAGTACTGGGATTGCTGGGTCCAGTGGTATTTCTGGTTCTAGATCCTTGAGGAATTGCCACACTGTGTTCCACAATGGATGAACTAATTTACATTCCCACAAACAGTGTAAAAGCGCTCCTATTTCTTCACAGCTTCACCAGCATCAGTTGTTTCTTGACATTTTAATAATCACCATTCTGACTGGTGTGAGATGGTATCAGTTGATGATCACCATTCTAACTAGCATGAGGTGGTATCTCATTGTGGTTTTGATTTGCATTTCTCTAATGACAGTGATGATGAGCTTTTTTTCATATGTTTCTTGGCCACATAAATGTCTTATTTTGACAAATGTCTGTTCATATACTTCGTTCACTTTTTGATGGGATTCTTTGTTTTTTTCCTGTTAATTTATTTAAGTTCCTTGTATATTTTGGATATTAGACCTTTGTCAGATTGATAGATTGCAAAAATTGTCTCCCATTCTGTAGGTTGTCTGTTCACTCTGATGATTGTTTCTTTTGCTGAACAGAAGCTCTTCAGATTTATTATATCCCATTTGTCAATTGTGGCTTTTGTTGCAATTGCTTTTGGTGTTTTAACCATGAAGCCTTTGCCCATGCCTATGTCCTAAATGGTATTGCCTAGGTTTTCTTCTAGGGTTTTTATGGTTTTAGGTTTTACATTTAAGTCTTTAATCCATCTTGAGTTAATTTTTGTATAAAGTGTAAGGAAGAGGTCCAGTTTCTGTTTTTTGCATATGGCTAGCCAGTTTTCCCAGCACCATTTCTTAAATAGGGAATCCTTTCCCCGTTGCTTGTTTTTATCAGGTTTGTTGAAGATCAAATGGTTGTAAATGTGTGGTGTTATTTCTGAGGCCTCTGTTCTGTTCCATTGCTCTATATATTTGTTTTGGTACCAGTACCTTGTTGTTTTGATTACTGTAGGCTCGTAGTATAGTTCAAAGTCAGGTAGCATGATGCCTCCAGTTTTGTTCTTTTTGCCTAGGATTTTCTTGGTTATATGGGCCCTTTTTTGGTTGCATATGACATTTAAACTAGTTGTTTCTAGTTCTGTGAACAAAGTCAATGGCAGCTTGATGGGACTAGCATTAAATCTATAAATTACTTTGGGCAGTATGGCCATTTTCACAATATTGATTCTTCCTATCTATGAGAATGGAATGTTTTTCAATTCATTTGTGTCCTCTCTTATTTCCTTGAGTAGTGGTTTGTAGTTCTCCTTGAAGAGGTCCTTAATATCCCTTGTTAACTATATTCCTAGGTATTTTATTCTATCTGTAGCAATTGTGAATGGGAGTTCATTCATGATTTGACTTCCTGCTTGTCTGTTGTTGGTGTATAGGAATGCTTGTGATTTTTGCACTTTGATTTTGTATCCTCAGACTTTGCTGAAGTTGCTGATCAGCTTAAGGAGCTTTTGGGCTGAGATGATGGGGTTTTCTAAATATAGGATTATATAATCTGCAAACAGAGGCAATTTGACTTCCTCTCTTTCTATTCGAATACCCTTTCTTTCTTCCTCTTGCCTGACTGCCCTGGCAAGAACTTCCAATAGATTTAATGCTAGTCCCATCAAGCTGCCATTGACTTTGTTCACAGAACTAGAAACAACTAGTTTAAATGTCATATGCAACCAAAAAAGGGCCCATATAACCAAGAAAATCCTAGGCAAAAAGAACATGTTGTATAGGAGTGGTGAGAGAGGGCATCCTTATCTTGCACCGTTTTCAAAGCGAATGCTTCCAGCTTTTGCCCATTCAGTATGATATTGGCTATGAGTTTGTCATAAATTGCTCTTATTGTCTTGAGATATGTTCCTTCAATACTTAGTTTGATAGAAGTTTTTAAAATGAAGGGATGTTGAATTTTATCGACGGCCTTTTCTGCATCTATGGAGACAATCATGTGGATTTTTTTCACTGATTCTCTTTATGTAATGGATTATGTTTAATGATTTGCTTATGTTGAACCAGCCTTGCATCCCAGGGAAGAAACTGACTTGATAGCGGTGGATAAGCTTTTTGATATGCTGCTGGATTCCTCAGAGCTAGCAGGAGGAAAGACTAAGTCTGCCGGTCCATGGAGACTATGGCCACCCCTCCCACTAGGGGTTTAGACCCAGGGAGATCAGAGTTCTGACCCTGAGGCCCTGGCTGGAGTTGTTGGAGTTCCTATAGAGAGGCCTTGCCCAGTGAGGGGGCATGGGTCAGGGTCCAGCCTAAAGATGCAGTCTGGCTGCAGTCTGCCACAGCTGGTGTGCTGTGTTATGGGGAATACCTCTTGGGACCAGGCCGTCCAGGCTCCCTGGCTTCAGTAGGGTGAAATCTGGCCCTAGAGCCATAGTGAAGGCTGCTGCCCTTTCACCCTTGGAGTTTAGTGTCTTAGGCAGCTAGCAGCCACAGTGTTGGCTGTCGCCCATTCCCCGGGGAGCTCAGAGGGCCTAGACAGCAAGCAGCAGCAGCAGTGGTGATGGCCACTCCTCCTCCTGGGAACTCAGTAGGCTTAGGCATATTCCAGGTGAGTGGCTGTTGAGAATCTGTACAGTTCCATGGTTGGGACCCGAGGCCCTGGTGGCATGGGCTCATGAGTGGGATCTTCCGATCCATGGGTTACCCAGTTCTGTGGAAAAAGCATGGTTTCCCAGGCTGGGCAGCATGCTCACTCAATGCCTCCCTTGGCTGGGGTATGGGGCTCCTCTGCCCAGTGTGGCCCTCAGGTGAGCTGACGCACCAACCTACTCTTCCCTCCTCTCTCTGGGTTACGCCAGCCACCTAGTCAGTACTGATGACAGAATTTGGATACTTCGGTTGCCAGTGCAGAATTCATACTCTGTTTTGATTCTTTTTTGTGGGAGCCTCTGATTGCTGCTGCTTCTAGTCAGCCATCTTGTCCCTGTCCCCTGGGGTTCCATTTGACCAAACAAGACCTGCTTAAATGTGAGGGGAACTGGTATGCACCGGTCATTTCTAAACATTGGTGCAAAAACCACAATAACCTTTGCATCAATCTTATACTAAATTTTTAAATGAATGTTTGATTCTCCAAGTGCTTTCCCTCAGTACAAGTTTGATGTACATGAGAACACTTACCTTTAAAGCCAGCTGTAAATGTTGAAGCGGAAAAATGTAAAAAGTTTGGAAACTCAAAGCAGACCTTGGAGAAAAACTATGTGGTAATGCAGAATAACTATTTTGATCTTTTACCTAGAAAACAATTTCTATTACATTTGATCCATTATACATTGTGAAGGGTGTTTTTATTATTGACTCAAGCACTTAGTGAAATGGTAAGTAATAAAGTCATAGTTACTACAGAAAAAGTGATTAAATCTAGAATAATACAAAAGCTAAAAGCAGAAAAATTTTGACTGAATGAAGTGATACATGCTAACAAAGTCTAGAACTATTTTTAAATCTAATTTGGGTAGGAAGTATAGAATGAAGGAAAAAAAGAATTTATGACCATAAGAATTTTTTTGATTAAATGGTGACAATTTTTTAACAAATAGTTGAGAATATCCAGATATGTAGTAAGATATATTAAAATAAAACTCAGGACTAGAAAAAGAAATTTTAGATTCATCAGTATAGGTATTTTTTTGACAACCATAAGTTTCAGGTGACCAAACTGTCTATTGCAAGAATTTTGAAAATTAAACATTAGAAAAATATAAAATATAATGGAGGAACAAAATGAGAAGATTAGAAAGGATAAAGACCAAATTAGAATCAACTAAGTCAATAATCTCAACAAATGGTAACTGCAATAAGTAAGAATAGAAAGGTAGACAAATGTGTACAAGAGTTCAGTGCCCTAAGCACAAATCTAGGGTAAAAATCATACAGTTTACATATTTCTAAGTAAGATTTCACATTTCACCCCTAATTTCAATTTCAATATATTTTATGATTTTATTACTCTAAACAAGGAAACAAAATATATGGGGAGACAGAATATGGAGAGGATGGCCTAGGTTAATTCCTCATGCATAAAGGAGATGTAAAAGGGAGTATGATTCTAGTTATAGCTGAGTTCTCTTTCATGATGCAAAAGAGAATTTCAATAGAGATATAGGTACACTAGTTATTAACTCTACACTATTTGTGAAATGTTAAGAAAATATTATATACTCACATTTTCAAGGTGATAGCAGGCGAAAGTTTTTAAAAATCCTGTTCTGGTCAAACAGGAAGAGAATCAGGAAATAATTTGTCATATATATGTAAATATATATATTCATGAGCCTCCATATGTAAATGCAAATGATAATGACTATTAAAGAAATAACAAAACAAACATATATGTCAGAAGTAAATGGCTAGATAAGTTATGTCTTAAGTATTCTGCAACTATTCTGTTTCTACCTACAACCTAATGGGGTAACTTGGCTTTCCTATACCTTTTTTTCTTTTCTAATTATATGAATTCAACAAGCTAAACCAGTTGGCTCAGACACTTTTCATAGGAGAATTTGATGATTTATAGACTGCTATTGAAACCTGTCTAGAACTCTGATGTTTCTCCAGAGTTGGATAAATGTGTTCCAGAAAATAAAATTCTAGCAAATCCACTCATTTTTGTCAAAGACAAATATAAGCTGTTCAATTCCCATCAATATAAAGACTATTCATAAAAGGTATTTAAAAATTCAGCCCTGAAACCCAATAAATGAACTTCTGTTTATGATCTTCAATTTCAAGAGGTCTTTATCTGACCAGCATTATGTAGATTGAGGATGTGAGTTTTCAGTACTGACTGTGATATTTTAAACAAGGTTTATTGTCAGCTCTTCTCCCTCTTTCACCATAGCCCTCCCAATATGTCATATAATCAATAAAATCTCTCTCCAATGTGGTCATGTCTCCCCGACCGTTGCCCATTCAATTTTTCCTTCATACTCCCACACACATATCTTTCTCCCCTTCATTTACTGTGTTCTTTATTAAGACTATCATCTCACCCTGAGATCTCAAATCTCTATAATCTCTCCTTCTTCCATTTTGTCTTCTCTGCTTCCAAAAAAAGAAAGTTTTTCTTTTTAAGTTTGAATAATTTATCCCTTCTTTACTTTTCTCAAAAATTTTAATTAGCTCCCATCAGATATAATTTAAATGCAATGTCTCAACCTCCTGTAGAAAGTCCTCTTTCTTCCTTCTCTGTTTAACCATTACAGCTCTTCATTCTGTACACTCAGCCACATAGTGTTTGTACATGAAGAGATAGGCTTTGAGTCTGTTAGAGATCTGGAGGCAGAAGTATAATCTAGGAGGCATTAGTGCTGACTTCTTTTACATATCTCTCCATCCTCTCATCCATAATGAGTTTGCTTTGATGGGGCAGTAGAGGCTCATGGCTTAGAGAAAGTTAAAGGAGCCGTTGTTTGTTTATTCCAGTGATGGGTAAATTACCCAGAGTTTAAATGGGCAGGTCACAACAAGAAATTAGCTTCCTTCTCAATTCTAGCAGAAAAGTGTTGTGTACAGCATGGAAACTTTTATGGAAAACAACTCAAGAAAGTGTCTCACAAATATCTGTTGCATTATCATCTGTTCTGTATGACAGCATACATTCCATGTGTTCTATATCCTGCCCTAATAAACTTGAAACTTTGTAAGTGGTGTGTATGTGTATGGAGACAGTTGGGGGATTTTAGAAGGTCTTTTAAATCTATAACACTCTAATAAATTTTTAGCCCTTTACCCTTTTGTGCATTATTTCTTATGCTAATAATTCATCCCAGTAATTGTTTTGTAATTTTATAAAGTCTAAATGATAGTTTTTCTTCTAAGTACATCCCTGACCAATGTCTCCCTCATATCTCACTATATCTATCTAAACTATATGATATAGTTTGTCTGTGTCCTCACTGAAATCTCAACTTGAATTATATCTCCCAGAATTCCCATGTGTTGTGGGAAGGACCCAGGGGGACATAACTGAATCGTGGAGGTTAGTCTTTCCCATACTATTTTCATGATAGTGAATAAGTCTCACAAGATCTGATGGTTTAGCAGGGGTTTCCACTTTTGCTTCTGCCTAATTTGCTTGCCGCCGCTATGTAAGAAGTGCCTTTTGCCTTCTGCCATGATTCTGAGACCCCCCCAACTATGTGGAACTGTAAGTCCAATTAAACCTCTTTTTTTGTTCCGTTTTGGGTATGTCTTTATTAGCAGCATTAAAATGGACTAATACAGTAAATTGGTACCAGTAGAGGGCAACCTTGCTGAAAAGATACCCGAAAATGTGGAAGTGACTTTGGAACTGGGTAACAGGCAGAAGCTGGAACAATTTGGAGGGCTCAGAAGAAGACAGGAAAATGTGGGCAAGTTTGAAACCTCTTTGGGACTTGTTGATTGGCTTTGACAAAAATGCCGATAGTGATATGAAAACGTCCAGGCTGAGGTGGTCTCAGATGGAGATGAGGAAATTTTTGGGAACTGGAGCAAAGGTGACTCTTGTCATGTTTTAGCAAAGAGACTGGTGCCATTTTGCCCCTGCCCTAGAGATTTGTGGAACTTTGAACTTGAGAGAGGTGATTTAGGGTATCTGGTGGAAGAAATTTCTAAGCAGCAAAGCATTCAAGAGGTGACTTGGATGCTGTTAAAGGCATTCAGTTTTATAAGGGAAGCAGAGACTAAAAGTTTGGAGAATTTACAGCCTGACAATGCATTAGAAAAGAAAAACCCATTTTCTAGGGGAGAAATTCAAGCCAGCTGCAGAAATTTGCATAAGTAGCAAGGAGCCTAATGTTAATCCCCAAGATCATGGGAGAATGTCTCTAGGCCATGTCAGAGAACTTCCCAGCAGGCCCTCCCATCACAGGCACAGAGGCCCAGTAGGAAAAACTGGTTTTGTTCGATGGGCCCAGGGTTCTCATGCCATGAGCAGCCTAGGGACTTGGTGCCCTTTGTCCCAGCTACTCCAGCTGTGGCTGAAAGGGGCCAATGTACGGCTTGGGCTGTGGTTTCAGAGAGTGGAAGCCCCAAGCCCTGAGAGCTTCCATGTGATGTTGAGCATGTGGGTGCTCAGAAGTCAAGAACTGAGGTTTTGGAACCTCTGCCTAGATTTCAGAAGATGTATGGAAACAACTGGATGCCCAGGCAAAAATTTGCTGCAAGGGCAGGGCCCTCATGGAGAACCTCTGCTAGGGCAGTGTGGAAGGGAAATGTGGGATTGGAGCCCCCACACTGCATCTTACTGGGGAGGAGAGGGTCCCCTCATCTGAGAAGAGAGGGCAACCATCCTCCAGACCCCAGAATGGTAGATCCACCAACAGCTTGCACTGTGCACCCAGAAAAGCCACAGACACTCAATGCCAACCTGTGAAAGCAGACAGGAGGGAGGCTGTACCCTGCAAAGTCATAGGTTGGAGCTGCTAGAGACCATGGGAACCCACCTCTTGCATCAGTGTGACCTTGATGTGAGATCTGGAGTCAGAGGAGATCATTTTGGAGCTTTAAAATTTGACTGCCTTGTGGCCTGGTGCAGTGGCTTATGCCTGTAATCCCAGCAACTTGAGACGCCAAGGCAGGCAGATCATGAAGTCAGGAGATCGAGACCATTCTGGCTAACACGGTGAAACCCCGTCTCTACTAAAAATACAAAAAATTAGCCAGGCATGGTGGCAGGCGCCTGTAGTCCCAGCTACTCGGGAGGTGGAGGCAGGAAAATGGCATGAACCAGGGATGCAGAGCTTGCAGTGAGCCAAGATCACGCCACTGCACTCCAGCCTGGGTGACAGAGCAAGACTCCATCTCAAAAAAAAAAAAAAGAAAAAAAGAAAAAAAGAAAAAAATTGACTGCCCTGCTGGATTTTGGACTTTCATGGGCCCTGTAACCCCTTTGTTTTGGCCAATTTCTCCCATTTGGAATGGATATATTTACCCAATACCTGTACCCCCATTGTATCTAGGAAGTAACTACTAGCTTGCTTTCGTTTTACAGGCTCATAGGTGGAAGGACTGGCCTTGACTCAGATGAGACTTTGGACTGTGGACTTTTGGGTTAATGCTGAAATGAGTTAAGACTATGGGGAACTGTTGAGAAGGCATGATCGGTTTTGCAATGTGAGGACATGAGATTTGCAGGGCCCAGGGGCAGAATGATATGGTTTGACTGGAACCCACCAAAATCTCACTTGAATTGTATCTCCCAGAATTCCCAAGTGTTGTGGGAGGGACCCAGGGGGAGGTGGTTGAATCATGGGGCCAGTCTTTCCTGTGCTCTTCTCATGATAGTGAATAAATCTCACGAGGTCTGATGGGTTTTTCAGGGCTTTCTGCTTTTGCTTCTTCCTCATTTTTCTCTTGCCTCTGCCATGTAAGCAGTGCCTTTCACCTCCCGGCATGACTCTGTGGCCTTCCCAGCTATATGGAACTATAAGTCCATTTAAACCTCTTTTTGTTCCCAGTTTCAGGTATATCTTTATCTGCAGTGTGAAAATGAACTAATACACTATATCAATGTCTCTGTCTATATGACCAATATCTCATTCACATATCTATACCTACATCTATTCCCATGTCTATATCTACATCTAATCAATGTCTATGTCTGTTTATATCTATTTCTATGCCTATGTCTACATCAATATCTACATGCATATCCATACTGCATTCCTCTGCATCTCTGTAGACTCCTGTGTTTCTTACCCTAAACCCACACTGCACCTTATAAATTCATATTTTATTGCACTAATAATAATAGTAATAAAACTAATATTTATTGGCACTATATACTAGATAGCATTATCATTATAAGAAGGTAACCACTTGATAACTGCTAATAATTATATTAAAATGTCAAAAATTCAAGATGAAATTACCTACAGGCATATAAAAACAGTTAAAAAATTCGGAGATTCTGACATATTGTCACAAATGTAAATGAGGATATCAATAATATAAATCAATAAATATTGGTTCCTGGAATTTGAGACATTTACTGTATTAAAAACATAGTTTTTATTATTTAAAAGTAATTCTGTTACTAAGCATACAAATTTATTTATTTTTAAAAATTATTTCTTTTATTGATTTGGGGGTACAAGTACAGTTTTCTTACACAGATATATTGCATAGTGGTGATGTCTGGGCTTTTAGTGTAATCACCATCTGAATAATGCACATTGTATCCATTAGTTCATTTCTCATTCCTAACCCTCCTCTCACCCTCCCACCTTTCTGAGTCTCCGATGTCTACTATTCTGCTCTCTGTGTCCATATGTACACACTATTTAGCTCCCACTTATAAGCGAGAATATGCAGTATTTTGCTTTCTCTTCCTGAGTTATTTCACTCAAGATAATGGCTTTCAGTTCCATTCAGGTTGCTTCAAAAGACATGATTTCACCCTTTTTTGGCTGAATAGTATTCCACAGCACATATATATATATACACACACATATATGGCAACTATTTTCATTGTCCTTCTGCTTATAGTAAATTTAGTGTTCCTCTCTTGATTTATAAAAAGGTTTATGTAATTATTAAAATATGGGTTATTCCATTTATGTATATATATAAATATACACAAAAATATATTCATGATAAAACAGGATTTCTTAGAAAATAGGCAGCACATTTGTTTATATTCAAAGGTTAATTCTTTTTTAAAGCAAGGTACAACATACATTGGAGTGAGATAGTTGCACCACCTGAGGTGTCTTTCGACAGACTGACTTTAATTATTGTGATTAATCACTTGTCTACATATAGAGAATCTCCAATCCTCTTATATTCTATTTAGCAACCTCTAAAGTCAAGCCTTACTCAAATCCATATATAGAAGGTAAATTTTGAAGAATGTTGAACTAAAATATCTTACTTCAGAATATGTTCTTTTCTAGAAACATTTATGCTGTTAACTAGCTCCAGTGCTTTTGGCTGCAGCCCCCGCTGATTTTGCTGACAGCAAAGAAACTACTACTGAAGCTCTGGAGTTATCCTAGTCATGTTTTATACTTGGAAAATATGGCACTTTGCACCAATTTTATTCTGGATATGGAATATGGTGTCTGTTAATGCCAGAATAGAACAGTGGTATTTTGTTAGTGAAGAGCACATCTTTTTTTACTATTTCCTTATTTAGAATAAATCTTGCAACACCTATATTTTAACACTTTACTATAGTATACAATCTAATTAAGCCCTTATTATACAAGCATGCCATTATATTTCTACACAGCATACATTTTAAATATCTTTTTCAAAGGTAATAGTAAGCTTACCATCTCAAGAAGAGGTAAATTTGTTGTTTGTTTGCTATTATTTTTAAGTGTTTTATATAAACCAATAGTTTCCTTGGACACCTTACCGTAATGAAACACACATCATATTTACTAAATATACAAAGAATATATTGAAGTAATTACAGTAGAAGTTTTCAATAACTTTAAGCTTATTCAAAGCATGTTTTTATCCTTTGTGTTATTTGAAATAGATGACAAGCTTGAACATTGAGAAAAGCTAAAATAATTATTAGACATAGATTTTTTTCTATAAAATGAGATATAATTCATTAAAGAAAGAAACATTGTAGGCAGACCTAGTCTAATTATTCCTTTGAGTACATATATTGAAGGGATATGTACTCAAATAAGATATTCTTAATCTTCTTTGAAAACTTCCTAACTACCTTTGCTATATTCCATGTTTATATTTCCTACATCTCTCATAATATGTTTTAAAAAGCCTTTCCTTCTATTTTATTGTCTTTTTCTACTTCACTTTTTAAAATTATTTTCTATAGTGACTTATTATATCTGTTTTATTTCTTTCATATTTGGCCAAGGAGTTTTTTTCTCATAACTCTCTCTCTCTCTCTTTACATACATATATATGAAAATTATTTGTGTGTGTGTTTATATATATATATATATAAAAATAAAACTGAAAAGCTGAAATAAACATATAACTGGTTTGAAAGATATATGAGGACATTCTTGACAACTTTTGATATAGTTGATAAAACATATTATAAGGAAGAATTTTTTTAAATCTTTGCACTGTTTTCTATGATCTTTAACTTCATCTTAAGTCTGCTTCAATTTAGAGGCTTTTTTTTTCTTTTACATTCAGTGAGAGATATTTCTGGTGACTTCTATTAAGTGAGATTTTCTCACTCTCATTGGCCAGAATTGGCCACTGGCCCATAACTGAAATACTAATTATGGCCAGGGAATTGAAGAATTTATTGTTTTCTACCAATAGGGAACCACTAATGAAGATCCAGTACCTACTTTAACATTTCACATGGATACACCATTTTTCATGTTCTTTACTAATTTGATATACAGGCGTACCTCAAAGATATGGTTTCAGTACCACAACACTGCCATAAAAGGAATATCGCAATAAAGCAAGTCACACAGATTTTCTGATTTCTAAGTGCATATAGAAGTTATGTTTACATTGTACAGTAGTCTATATGTGCAATGCTATTTTGCGTACAAAACAATGTATATACTTAATTTTAAAATACTTTATTGCTAAGAAATTCTAGTGATCATCTGAACCTCCCACGAGTCCTAAACTTTTTGCTAGTGGAGGATCTTGCCTTAACATTTATGGCAGCTGACTGATCAGGCTGGTGTTTCCTGCAGGTTGGGTTGGCTATAGCAATCTATTAAGACAAGACAACAACAAAGTTTGCCACATTGGTTGACTCTTCCTTTCATGAAAGATTTCTCTGCAGCATCCAGTGCTGTTTGATAGCATTTTACTCAGAGTACAGCACTTTTCAAAGCTGGAATCAATCCTCTCAAACCCTCCCACAGCTTTGTCAACTAAGAGTATGGAATATTATAAGTCCTTTGTTATTATTTCAGCAATGTTCATAGCACCTTTACCGGGATTAGATTCTATCTCAAGAAACAACTTTCTTTGCTATTCATAAGAAGGAATTTCTCATCCATTCAGTTTTCTCATGAGATTGCAGCAGTTTAGTAACATCTCCAGGTTCTACTTCTAATTCTAGTTATCTTGCTTTGTCCGCCACTTCTACAGTTACTTTCTCCACTAAAGTCTTGAATCCCTCAGAGTTATCCATAAGGATTGGAGTCAACTTTTTCTAAGTTGTTGTTCATGTTGGTATTTTAACTTCCTCCCATGAATCATGAATGTTCTTAATGACATCTGGGATGGTGACTCTTTTCCACCAGATTTTCAGTTTACTTTGCCCAGAGCCATTAGAGGAATCTATCTATGGCAGCTATAGTCTTATTAAATGTATTTCTTAAATAATAAGACTTGAAAGTCAAAATTACTTCCTGATACATGGGCTGCAGAACCAATGTTGTATTAGCAGTCATGAAAATAGCATTAATCTCCCTGTCCATCTCCATCATAGCTCTTGGGTGACTAGGTGCATTGTTAATGAGCGGTAATATATTGAAAATAATGTTTTTTTTTCTAAGTAGTAGGTCTCAACACTGAGCTTAAAATATTCAATATACCATGCTGTAAACAGATGTGCTACCATTCCGGATTTATTCTCCCATTTATAAAGGACAGGAAGACAGATTTAGCATAATTTTTAAGGGTCTTAGAATTTTTGTAATCTCATGCGGATTGGGTGCAACTTAAAGTCTCCAGCTGCATTAGTTTCTAATAAGAGAGCCACTCCTTTGAAGCTTTGAAGGCAGGTATTAACATCTCTTAGGCATAAAAGTTCTAGAAGTCATCTTCTAACATAAGGCTGTTTTGTTTACATTGAAAATCTGTTGTTTAGTGTAGCCACCTTCATCAATTATCTTAGCTGGGTCTTCCTGACAACTTGCTACACCTTCTACATTAGCATTTGCTGCTTCACTTTGCACTTTTATGTTATGGAGACAGCTTCTTTCTTTCAACTTCATGAACCAACTCCTGCTAGCCTCACACATTATTTCCTGGAGCTTCCTTACTTCTCTCAGTCTTCATAGAAATGAAGAGAGTTAGTGCCTTGCTCTGAATTAAGCTTTGAATTAGGGGAATGTTATGGCTGATTTAACTTCTATTCAGACCACTAAAACTTTCTCCATATCAACAATAAGGCTCTTTTGCTCTTTTGTCATTCATGTATTCATCGGAATATCATTTTAAATTTTCTTCAAGAACTTTTTCTTTGCAGTCACAGCTTGGCTAACTGATGCAAGAGATCTACTTTTCAGCCTATCTCAGATTTTGAAGCACCTTCCTCACTAAGCTTAATCATGTCTAGCTTTTGATTTAAAATGAGAGACATGTGGCTCTTCCTTTCACTTGAACATTTGGAGGGTATTGTAGCGTTATTAGTTGGCTTAATTTCAATATCGTCGGTCCTAGGAAATAAAAAAAACATGATGAATGGGAGAGAGATGGGGAAATGACCAGCTGGTGGAGCAGTCAGAACACACAAATGTATTGATTAAGTTTGCCATCTAGTATGGGTATGGATCATAACAACCCAAAACAATTATAATAGGAACATCAAAGATAACTTATCACAGATCAGCATAACGGATATAATAATAATGAAAAAGTTTGAAATACTGCAAGAACTATCAAAATATAACAGAGACACCAAGTGAGCGCATGCTGTTGAAAAAATGGTACAGACATACTTGCTGGATGCAGGGTTGCCACAAATCTTCGATTTGTAAAACTCAGTATCTGCTACATGCAAGAAAGCAAATCACAGTAAAATGAGATATGCCTGTATAAGATCTTACTAATTTTTGTAATGTTCAACATATTAATATAATAAAAGTGTTCAGTTTATATACGTGTATATTCATGCCCCCAGAGCATTTAAAATTATATATAAAATAAATACTATTTAAAATGTTATTATTTACATAAGTTATATATAAAATAAATTCAATAAATACTATGACTAAAGATACATTTCTGATTATATCTTATTTATATTCAGTTATATTCATAAATGTTATGTTCATCCATTTGTTAAAAAATAACACTTTTTTGTTATTCTGGCTTTTAGTTCAAGAACTTCCATTTTTAATTCTTACCTGTAAATTATGGGATAGACTACTTTTAGGTATGAGTCTTCTAGTTTTGAGAGTCAATCTAGTTCCAGAGAAGATTGTTGTGACAAATGTTATAACTAACCATACCCTGATAAAATATATGAGCTCTTAATACAAAGTGAAAACCTAAGGAGCTTCCAGGCAAAAGAAAAAATTGTCTATAAATTTAAAACATGTTTGTGAGTTCCAGTGTCTTCAATATTAGAAGACAGAAGACAATGGAATAGCAGCTACAGACTATTAATATTAAAGGACTACAAGTCAGTCTTGTATCCTCCGTAATAAATGGCATCATCTGCCACAGTTTCTAGTCCCCAACCTAGGAGGTATTGTTGAATTATCTTTTTTCCTTAATACCCATATCTAAACTATACATTCATTCAACAAACTTTTATAAACTGTTATATTTTTTACTTTTATGGAGCTTATGTATTTCTTGTGTGTGTAAATTTTGGTCACTCTAAAACCAAAATTATAATTCAATCCCTATCCACAGCTACCATTCCAGCTATGTCACAATTCTCTTTGGTTTGGGTAACAGCAATAGCCTCTTCCATAGGCTTTTTATTCTTTCATTATTATAAAAATTCCTCTGTGTCATTTTTGGATCATGATACTCAACTGCTTGAAGTATTCTGCTAAATTTCTGTTTTACTTAAAATCTAAACTCTTTATTTAACTCTTCAGTGTCCTTTGTAATCTCACCCCTTACCTTTCCAAAAACACTTTGAACCTACCTCTGTCAACTTTAGTCACTGACCTGAAAGTTCACAGGCCCTTGCATTTCTAAAACAATTCAAAAAATTTATTTTTTCTGCCTTGACATTTGCGTTGGCAGTTCCCTCTGCCTGGATGCTTTGCTATATGGCTGGTTCTCTCTTGCATTTCACTTCTAAGCGAAAACGTTGATGATCCAATGAAGACTCCTTGACCAATTACCAGGCCTTCCATCCTCTCATATGTACTTTTTTCATAGCACTTAGCATTAAACTTAATTTTTAAAATAATACATGTATTTGTTGATTGTCTTCCCATCACCATCTCCCACCATATATATTAGAATACACATTCTACAAGATCAGAAACCTCGTTTTCTTGTTGCTGGATCCATATCTAGGACCTAGAAAAATGTCTGACATAGCATTATTGAAAGAATAAACACAACTTTCATTTTAGGATTGAATATTAAACTGATTCCATTTAGAAGTTTAGAGTCACAAGGATAATTTCAAGAGCACCTGGAAATGTACTAGTTCCTTTTCAATGTCAACTGAAGAAGAAAAGAATTCTGAAAGAATCTGACCTCATAAGCTTCCAAGTATTAGGTATTTTTTAAACACTTGAGACTCGTTAGTTGATATTCTTTTTCACATAATGGCTCTTTGTCTCTAAACTTTCTTGTAATTCCATCTCTCTTGAGGTCACTAGAGGACTTCAACCTAAGTAGGATATTATACTAACCTCAACCAAAACCCCACAATTTAATGTGGAAATTTCTAACCACAATAAACTATTTGGATAGAAAGAAACAAACTTGAACTTACTGTTAGATGATCTTATTTATCCTGTCTCAGGGAAGCAGCTATTTTTTTATGAGTTAAAGATAAAATGAATGTTAAAGTTACCACTTACGTATGAAAGTGGATAGCTTTTATTTTCAACTCACATTACCTGTCATTCACTAGTCATATATGATTTTAAGATGATGACTTTTGTGATAGTGTCCCTAATGCTTAAAACATTACAACTGTATGTTTCATAAATGCTAGCAAGAAAGTAAAGTTTAAATAAGTTAATGGGTGAAATGAGAAAAGCGACCTAACTTCAGAGGGGTTCAGAAAAATGAACACAGAGTAAGCACTAAATAGTTTGCAAAACCATATTGCCAAATGCATATTAGATAACATTTTGCTTCTCACTGATTTTGATGAGCAAACTTACTGGGCAAATAATTCAAATTCTAATCAATTCTGTGTAATCACCAAAAAGCATATGTCTTAAAATATATAAATATTGAACAACATAGGAAGACTCTGTCTCTAAGAAAGAAAAAAAAATAAATTGACCAGGCATGGTCGCACACGCCTGACTGTGTGTGTGTGTGTATGCACACACACGTATAGAATAATCAAAAGTAGAAATTCATCATTTTTCTTTCTTTTACTTTCACCATGTCATTTTTTGATAATAGAAAACAACCAAGATAGAATCTGGCTTAAATTAAATTAATCAAAGTCCTATTATAAAATGAAATTCAGAAATAACATAAAATACTTATAATTGCCTTTGCCTGTATGTGTAGGTGGGTGTGCATATGATTTCTTGACTGTTACATAAAGGAAAATAAAACAAGAGTAATTTAAAATAAAATAATAGTATATTAGAAGAAACAAAGAATATAATTTTATTCTTAAAAAAATTATAGTGAATGTGATACAGTTATAAATGCAGACTGCTGCAAGTACATTGTATTTGTAAATTGATTTCCATATGCAGTTTCTGATGAACAATTTTTAGTAATGACTCCTAATAACAGCAACAAAAAGGACTATTCTTAGTTTTATTCTTAGAAATTTTAATGAATTTTAAAATCTTGCAAACATAATTTGTGTTAATTTCTAAGATAAAGTTGTATTTTGATACATGTCACTATTATCAAATATTTCACTTTAATGACTGGCATTAGGATAACTCAAAGTCTTATTGGATATTCAATTATAATCTTTATTTTTTGAGATTGTTCTATTATTTGTAGGATGTCTGACGTGTTTGTCCCTTTGCCAATAAGTTTCCCTATCTTTATAATAACAACCAAAACCAAACATTGTGACACCATTGAACTGTAACAAGTGTTGGCAAACTACAGCCTGCTGTGCCAAATATGGCCTATAGCCTATTTTTTTGTGTGGCCCATGAACTAAGAATGGATTTTACATTTGTAAAGGGTTGAATAAAGAAAAGAAAAGAAGGGAAAAGAAGAAACGAACAAATGAAAAAGACTTTGCAACAGAGACACAGAAAATTATGTTTGTTTACCCCACACTTAAATGTATGTTCCATGATGGTATATACTTTATCCATCTTGTTCACCAGTATAGGGTTAGAAATAGTCCCAAAACATAAAAGGTACATAATAAATATTTGCATAAAGGAAGAAAGAGATGAGCTATCATGAGAGTCAAACTGTAAAATATTAACATTGAAAGGAAATTGGGGATCAAATTAAAGATGGCCAACAGGATCAAAATGATTAATTTATCAAAAATTCTTGGGACCAAAATGCTGTTACCTATTTTATGTGAAATTTTCAGTAACCTGTCTACTGAATTGCATACGTAAGACTGCCTATATAATTGAGCACATCTTAATTTATTTTACTTTTTCTAACTGACCATGTGATATGTTGAGATGCAAACTGTATTAGTCCATTTTCACACTGCTATAAAGAACTACCTGAGACTGGGTAATTTAAAAGAAAAGAGGTGTAATTGACTCCTCAGGAAACTTACAATTGTGGCAGAAGGGGAAACAAAATACATCTTACCATGGCAAGGCAGGAGAGAAAGAGAAGAAAGCTATACACTTTAAACCATCAGATCTTGTGAGAACTCACTCACTATCATGAGAACAGCATAGAGGAAACAGCCCCTGTGATCTAATCACCTCCTACTAGGTCCCTTCTTTGACACATGGGCTTACAATTTGAGGTAAGATTTGGTTGGGGACACATATCACAAACTATGTAAAAATCATGTGAGCAAGTAGCAGGTGGATTCATATTAAAATATTCAATTATTATTTTAAAGAAATACTCATGACAATACAACTCAAATATTTCTACTATCTCACCTTTATTGAACCCATTATGTTCCATTATAATTGACATTTTAAATATACAAATATAGTCATCACTAAATATTCAAAATGTATTAAATGGTAATGTGCAAGAAAGTTGCATTAATTGTGTGTGTGTATGTGCATGCATGTGTTTGTGTTTGAGTGATGTGTGTTTGTCAATGTATGTGTATTTGGCCAACAAAGTATTCTTTATATGTGTATGTGAAAGCAGAAACTCTTTTGGTTAAGACAAATGTATTTTAAATGGATCTTCAACTATTCTAAAACTTGCTTTTGTGATTTTATTGAACTCTATCATGTTTATTTACATATCCAACTCTGTATAGTAATTTTATATGCAGCTTTTAGTAGCTCATACATATTCTGAATAGTGAAAATTGTAGGGTGAGTTTATTTGGTATATTTATTCTTCCATTCTCCAAAAGAAGATAATGCTTGACTGTATAGAATTGTGGATTTATTTGGACATTATAAGTGAGTGTACCAAAGCAAGAGATTACTTAATAGAAAAAGTGTTTTTGAAATTATTTGCCCAGTGAATACCGAAGCAACTGTTTAATATTTTTTAATGTATTTAAAGTCTTTGGTGCCTAGTGAACAAATACGATATTGATTATGCCACTTACTGAAATTGCTGATCTTTAATTGTGTTGTTACATCCAGGAATAACCTTTATCAAAGACTATTTGCTTGCAGTGGTTTCCTAAACTCTTCTTCTTTCAAAGTATATCATACGTTATTCTTCATTTTTACTTTGCTTAGAAATGTTGCATATACAACTCTATTATCAGTAGACTGCACTATTATGATTGAAGTCCCCCATACAATAAAATTAACCCTTTCTTTACAGAGTTTTGTTGACTTGATCTAGCATTTACATCAAATAGAAACTGTGAAGACTAAACAATATGCTTTTATTTATTATTTTAACAAATGCCAAAACCCTCTGTTCTAACCTAAATTTTAGTATCATTTCATGAAAAACAAGCTATATTCGTTGCATTGTTTTTGTATTAATGTGATATAATATCATTAACATTTTTAACAGTATTAATATTATCACTGTTATTAACAATATTAACATTAGGAATAGGGTAATTTCAGTAACACTCATAGAAACTTTAACATTTTAAATTGATTGAAAAAAGTGTTTTAGGTATGTTACTGACATGGTCATTCAAAAATAACTTAATTTTCTCTTTATTTATTCACAAAATGTTGGAAGAGCCTTGGATGATATTGAAAACAAAAATATTCAAATATCACTAACCATGTTTTTCATAACTCAGATTCATACTGGCATGGGGTGAAACAAAAATAAAACTATTAGATATTCCACAAAAGAAAAGTTAGCAAGTGATTTAACACATTTGAGAAATATTGTAAGTATAGTCCCCTCACCGTTTTATTATTTAATTCTAAAGATACCTTTCTGTTTTCTGAATTACCTTAAAACCAAAAACCTAGCATTCACTTTAAGCAATCCTGGATAATTTGATAAAAATCATTTTCTCCGATATAACAAAATTACATAAATAAGTTACCATTGCAATTGATTTTTGTAGTATTTTAATAAAAACTTACCTGAAAATCTTATTGATAAAGCTATTTTCAGAAAATGAAACTGTTTGAAATAAACATTAAACATTTGTATGACTTAAGAAGTGAGAAGCCTTTGTATTTCATGTATTTTTTTCACACTTAAATTTGTATTCAGGAAAAGGAAATACATGGTAGCTTAGAATGGCCCAAATAACTGACATGTATTGATTTCTTTGTGAATTTTATTTTGAATATGATTGTCAATTAGCATTCTATATGTCATTGGACTGAATTCCATCTCATTGTTTAAGAATAATATGAGAAAGTTCTCACTAGTCTCTCTAGAAATTAGGAGTGGGGAATGAGGTACAGGAGATCAAATAAACAATTTTTTTTATTTATCTGCTCACATTTTTATTAATTTAATGTCTATATTTCCATTCGTTTATTTTCAATAAATTATCCAGATATAGTTCAGCCATCTCTTACCTTCTTTCCCTCTCTGTGGAACAAGTTCATTACAAATTCTGTTGACTGAAATGAGCAAAAAGTCTGCTTAATGTTTTCTTCCTTTGACATAAAGAAGTCTTTACATTTTTCACAAAATATTACTTTGAATCATAAAAATCTAAATATTACATATTTTATATATAGATATAATATCAAATAATTACTTCTATTTTACATACAGCAAAACACTATACTATTATGAATATTAGAAGTCAGAAATGTATTTGCAATTCATGCATTAAAACCAAATTATCAAGAGAGGGAAAACTTGAAACAACTTGAAACTAAAAAAATACAACAAAGAAATCTGCAACTATAAATGTTTAAATTCATAGTCTTGGGATATTTATAGCAAACAAGGAACTAATAGAATAAAAAGAGGCAATGGACCTTGTATAACTGACTGTGAAAATGCCTAATCAAAAAAATTCATCACTAATAAAATTGTGAAAATGAAACATTTCAATGTATACAAATGTAGAGATATACATATTATAGTAGCACAACTCTTTGACAAGCATGCAATTTTGGCATAGGATTATTCATAATACAGAGCCATTAAAATGAGTCATTTTAAATGACATTTAAAACATTAAAATTTTTTTCCCTAAAATAATACACAGGAAACATTGCATAGCATTATACTGCTAAAGAAATTACACTCCATCAGAAAAAAATGCCATGAGACAAAAATTGCAGAGCTAGTTGTCATTTGGTATTTCTAAAAGAGGGTACATAATGGAAATAGGTATTATATATAGATTAAAGAGCAAAGTGTTCTATTAATGTAAACCTCATAGTAATATACATACATAAAAGTATATTAAACTCATTTTGCTTTATATGATTATTTTTAAATATGCACATAATTTAGTGCATTATATTATTTATGATTCTTTCTACTCTTTGTTAGAATGAATAACTGTTTCCCATGGAACTATATTAAAATTAAATTATATATATATAATAAATACTATCACTGGAGAAGAGTAGCTGCTTTTGCCTTATAATTCTTCCAAAGAATATTGTGTTTGATTGACATTCTCTATAGCAATTGTTTTCAAGCACTGCAAATATTGAAATAATCAATTAATGTGATTTTGTGGTTAGCCACTGAAATAAATTTTAAATTATGAGGACATATTATTTAGACGATAAAAAAATTCGTTTGACAACCATTTGACCTCCAAAGGACATTACTTTAAGAAGCATATCATTTATTTGATAACTGGCAAAAGCACTTAATAAGAATAAGCTCTACCATGAAGAACTGCCAAATTGTTTAAAACACTATGCACCTAGAGAAAACTGAGCAATCTTATTGAACAGAATAGAAAACACATAAGTAAATCATTGAGTGTTTTAATAAAAATTTAAAAACAGAAAAACCAATGAGACAAATTATCTTCCCTACATTCTTCACCCGATTCAGATACAAATCAGCAATAGAGGCCTAATCACTAATTGTTTCCTCGAAGAGATGTAGGTCTTGTCTTCTTCTTTCTGTCTGTGTCAGCTAAAAAACAAACCAAACAACAACAAAGAAGAAGATGTGGTAAATAAGCCAAGACTCTGGCCATTGTAGATTCTATGAGATAATATATATTTTGTTGGATGCCTTATAATGACTTTTGGCAGGGTTTTCTATTTATTTATTATATCCTACCCACCTATACTTTGAAACTAATAAATATATCCAATATAAGTGCAAGTCAAGCAAACTAGAGAGGGATAAATGTTAAATTAATTTAAAAATACTGAAAAATCTCATTTTTTTCTGAAATTATTAAAATTAAAAGATCCACTACTGGGAAAACTGAATCGTATATTGGGCTTTGGAAAATACTTAAGTACAGTTATTTTCAAAATTATTTTCATGTGCATGATATATACCATATTATATCATACTCATTACATATGTCATCTCAAAATCTGAAAATGAAGCCTTCTCTGTTCTCTTTCTCACTCAAATTAATTGCTCCCTGTGTCTTAGTAGAGGCCTTTGTTGACAGCTGTTTTACAGCACTGAACAAAGACTTTCATATATTTGAGTCATTTATGTATATATGAGTCTCCCCAAATGCTTCTTCAACTATAGAGCCCTCAGTTTCTAGGACAGAGCTCAGCATCTAACAGATGCATTATGAATGTGAATTTAGTTAGATTCCAGCCACCTAAATTGAGTTGAAATCAGATAGTAAAAGGTTCCAAGTGCAGTGGGAAAATTTGCAGAGATTAAGCATTGGGACTGAATTTGAAGTAAAAAGCATAAAAGACATTTATAATACCAGCTGGAGATGAGAACTTATCACAGAAGAGATACTTAAGCACAGAGAAAAGAATATTAAATGACAAAGAAATATAATTGCTTCCTGGGCCTATTTATAAAGACAATAGCTCTATTATCATGAACAAATGAAAATTTTCAAATGTTTCACTCTTTTAAAATGGTAATAATATTTATCTTGTAAATATGAGTCCAAAATGTAAAAATTATATGTTAACATATTTATTGTGATATAAAGGGAATTCCCATGTGAAATGCTATTACTGTTGCCTATCTTAATGTAATGTATAATTAGAAATAGTTATAAAAATAGTATACTGAGAAAAATATTCATTCAATAAACACTATATGCCAGGCACTGTTGTAGATGATGAAGATTTAAGAGGGAAAGAAAGAGACAAGCATCTTTGCTCTTACTACTTTTTAGTTAATAATGTACACAATTCAGTACTCTTGCCTGTTTTTGAGCAAACACACAAAAAATTAAACTTTAGGTCTATAACAGCTTAATTCCACTCATATACATCTATTGAGAGGCATTCCTGAAAGATATTACTGTAATATTGAATGAGCAGAAAGGAGGTTCAGAAATAATTTTTTTTTTAAATATTCCTCCTGATAAAAACTTCTTTGTAGTCTAAGTAACCTTAGTTTCTCAATTCTAAATTGTTAAACTTTCCATTTGATCTTTCTCTAAATGACTATGCATGTCCTTTGTCTAAGGAGTAATCATTTCTAGCCTAGGCAAACATTGCCTTCTCAGTGCCATTTGATCATGCAAATCTGGCAGCAGAGGAATATTTATACTGAATATGCAGAAGACTTTCAAATCTTTGAAAAGTGAAAGTTTTGAAAATAAGTAAAAAATTTAAAATTAAAAAAAGGTAGCTAATGAATATTGGAGTGCAATTACAACTAAAAGACAATTTCAAATAGCCAAATATGAAACAATTAATAAAAGTCAATTATTTATCAAATAAGTACTATGTAATATTAATAGGTTTCAACATTCATACTGAATATTCTAAAGCATTCAAAAAAATTATGATGTGTTTAATCCTAACTCAAAAGACATAAACAATTTTCATAGATAGGAATAAAAACTATCTTACTTTAAAAAAATTTGCATAAATAACAATTTGAAATTAAATACATATGGATTGTCATAAAATATAACAAAGTTTTATTATATTTTCTAGAAGAGAAAAAGAAAAGATTGTTGTTGGTAGAGGAGAGCAGCTGTAAGGGAGTTATTCTTTGGAAGGACATTCTTTCTACAGCCCTTTTTTATTAATATTAAAAAACTTTGTAGACTTATTATTTTTCACTAAAATTATACTTAAAAAGTTACAGCACAAGAAAATAACCTGTTGCATAAAACAAAATCTAAAGATAAGCATGCTTTAAGCCGTGTGAACATGGCATAAATGCTATTTCACTCTGAAGTGTCGTATTACATTAGTATTTGCAGCTTGGATATGTACACAAAGCAACAAGCTGGAAAATCCAAATTTCTTCCCTATGATATATTCTGACTAAAAATTATGGTTGAGTGAAGTGGAGAGGATATCTTTGCCTAAAACAGTAATATCAAAACATCGCATATTTATTTATTTAGTGTTTTTACGTGAAAAACATTACACAAAGAAACGTTCTCATTATCTGAAAGTTGGCACAACTTTTCACGAACTGCAATGAATGAAAAGTCGTAACAGAGGAGTCAGTGTGTGCTCTAAGTCTTTAGTCCATGACCCTTGGGAAGAGCAGCATGTTTGGCCTGGGGACTGCCTGAGAAGTTAGAAAAAGACTTTGCAGGACATCTCTTGGAATGCCTTTTACCTTGGAGTTCCAGGAGCATAAATATTTATTACTTTTAGAAATTTTGTAATACCAGACAGAGAAACAACATAACTTATAGGTATATTACCAGCTAATTATTCACATCTACTACAAAAGGAAAAGCCCCTCATTAGGTAGATTATCACCTCATATTCTCCCCACTAGCTGCTGTTTGGCTTAACTGATCAAATGTAAAAGTATGTATTTAGGAAAACAAACTAAAGAAAAACTTTAGAGATAAGTTTTTCAAATTATTTATTATAATGTAAAATATAATATGAATGTACTTTTTTAGAATAAAGTAGTCTTGAATGAGAAAAAAATCTGCCATGACAATGATTGAGAAATTCTTAAAAGTAATTATCCTTAAATGTTTACAGCAAAATTTTAGACTTTAATACACATCCCATAAATTTTAAAACTTTCTGAAAAAAAATTACTTAAAATATAATCCCTAACACTTTCAGAATATAACACATTAAAACTGACTTGTACCTGAGAGAACTTACAACATTTCATTCAATTTTATTAATAGGCAAGACAACATCAACACTACATATGAAGCCTAAGTTTTAATCAAATATAAACTCATAGATCAAAATACATACAACTGGAGAATTAATATAATCTAGATAATAAAAGAAAACAAAACTCAGAAATAATTGGTTGAAAATATTAGCTTTCTGAACTGTCAAGTATCATTTTTGGTAAGAAATCTCTATTGCAAAACAAACTTAAAAAGAGAAAACTATCTGACTAGAACAATTGGTAAATTTTTGAAAAAATTTACCAACATTTTTACCTCAGAAATACTACATGGAATATAAGATTTGTTGGAGTTTCACTTGAATTTTCCAAAACACAAATTCAAAATTTATATAAATTATCTTGGAACACACTTTTTTTAAAGAAAACATGTTGGGGAAAAAACTGACAAAACTCCAGAGAAAAATAAAATTATTCTTCAACTTATTAAGGAGCATGATGTGATTATTTCAAGTAAATAATAATACATATAAATAAGCATTCAATAAATTTAAGTTATTGAACAAAAATCTTCAAAAGGCTACAGTTGATATGCACATCCTCTTAAGAAACCTAATAATATTATTAAGAAAGATAAGATTCATATTAAAATAGCTCAAGCAAAAACATCATAGTTCCAAAAACAGCCAAAGAGAAAGTTTCATTGTGCCAAGTCTTAGATCAGAGAAAAGATCAACCTAAGATATTGCTCTTCCAGAACTCTGCTCTTTCTAGGTTGTTGATAAAATGATAATTATAATAAGCAATGGATGTGTGTGATGGAAAGATGCCATTAGACACAAGCAAAGGTTACAGGTTTCTTCACATAGATGGCCAGAGGAAGCATAAGACAAAGCTGTGGCAGTGTTGATAGTTACTTGGTCAAGTCAATCTGTCCCACAGCTGCTGATATTACCAATTGATGGGGGCAAGATTCCCGTAAAATTCAGAGGGATTTTTAATATACCTAGCCTATGGTTCTGTTCAGATACTTTTAAATAACTGGCAAACATTCTAGCACATAGCAAAATGGTATTTGCACTGACACTGGCTAGATCAAAAGTCCATTTCCCAATTTCTCATTCATAGCAAGTACGTACCATATTCTGGCAAATCAACCTGGTCACACTTCCACTCCTATTGTGAGAAGCTGGGTTATCACGTAAGTTTACTTTCAGCATACTGTTACCAATATCAGATCTTCAAAGGAAAAAAAAAAAAGAAGGAGGAGGAGGAGAAGAATGAGAAAAAGGAAAAGAAACAGGAAATTATATTAAGAATGAAACTGTCAAAATAGCAAATGATTCTAAACTTTCTAAGATTACAAAAAGAGAATAAAATAAGAAGCAGAGTAAAAAAAAAAGAAAGCATAGTCAAAAAGGCAGAATACAAGTTAAATGCGGGTAAATGCAAGGTAATTCGTTAAGAAATAAATATTCAAAATATTATGAACAAAACATAAGTTTTTGAAATTTATTTATATCCCAAGATAAGAACATTAGAAACCATGTAAATCATTCCATAAAATTCTAAAACTTACATAAAATTGTCATGTCTTTAAAGATAACATGTAATGATTCTATTTTGTCAATTTGAAATTAAAAATGTTCTTTCATAGACTTTAACATATTTTATTGTCAAAAACAATTTATCACCCTTATCTCAGAGCTTACCTTCTCTATGTAAGACACAATTAGATGCTTTTTTAGACCAATGCTAATATACAGTTGTCAAAGAACTGCAAAATACAGTAGTCCCTGCTCATCCACAAGGGATACATTCTAAGATCCACAGTGGATGCCTGAAATCAGAGTTAGTACAAACTCAATATATACTGTACAATGTTTCCTAAACATATGTACCTATGATAAATTTTAATTTAGAAATTAGGCACAATAAGATATTAACAATAACCAATAATAAAATAGAACAATTATAACAACATACTCTAATAAAAATTATGTGAATGTGGCACCTCTCTCTCTCAAAATATCTTATTGTACTGTAGTCACCTTTTTTTGAAACACAGAAAGTGAAACTGCAGACTGGTGGCACTACTGTATACTGATTTTAACTGCTCTTTCTACCCAAATTTCATTTTATTTCACAAATATTGGCATTTTTTAAATTGCAACTAATTATACAGTTTTTATTACTTTGTGCTCCCTGAATCTCCAGAAAGTAATAATGAAGTCTCCCCACTTGCACTTTTCCCTCTCCCTCAATACACCATGGGAAATAATACAAAATGGGAAGTCTAAGTTTGAGAGATAATATAATCAAATTTTCACATTCAAACTGAAAACTACCCTGCAACATGTATTAGGAAGATGTGACCCGAATGCTAATGTCTTCTCCATCATTCCTTCTATCAAAAGACTTCTTGCACCTGAAGCAAACAGGTGCTGAGATTGAGAGGGTGCAAGTGAGGGCTTAGTGCCAGCTGAATACCAACACAATAAAGCAAGTCTCATCATATAGGAAAAAGTATCGGTGGAGAAAAAACTGCTGTTATTTTCAAATATGATAAGAGTCATATTTATTTGTAGGTCAGGAAAAATGTAACCATCTGTGGCACAGAAAATACAGAGGAACTTCCACATCAGTAGGCAGAAGGAGATAGATTGAATAGCAGCTTGTTTAAGCTTGCAAAAATAAGTGGGGAAAGTAAAGTTTAAAAAAAAGGGGGGGCAGTCAACATGGATAATAACTAAAGTGAGTCAAAAGAACTCAAATCAAGTATAGAAGTGTTCAGATTAATTGAGATTAGTAAAGGAGAGTAAATGAGACCAAGGAAATTTTCAGATTGAGTTAAGAAAAACAAACTGAGATATATGCATTTTTAGTAAAATCACACTAATGCAAAACGTCAAAATGATTGAAAATAAGTATTTAGACAAAGGTATCCATGGCAAATAAATACAAAACAAGAATGATAAGTTAATATCACATGTGTTAGAGTAAGGATAAATGTACTTAAAAAGCAAGTATAACAAGTGAAATTATGTAATGACTGAGATATAATTTATTAAAATTAATGAGTGATAAACCTTAAATTATGAGATTAGATACATGTTGAAATTTAATATATAATATATAAACCATATACAAAAACTACTAAAATGAAGAAAAATAGTTACATGGAAGATTACAATGTCTCCCCTAAATTGAAAATAAAATCTTCTGTCCATTGAACATGAACAAAACTTTATCTTGTACTTTTCCGTCTTAATAAATAATACTGAGATAGAGACAAAGAAGATAGAATAATGATGGATATATAAATGGTGATTGGTATGTAAATATATATTATTTAAATTCTTATTGATGGTTAGCATATATATAGAAACATGAAATAATGTCAATACTGTTTAGTAAACACCACACATGTAAAACTCCCCACATCAATATAGAACATTTCCAACATCCCAGAAAGGTCCCTTGTGTTGCTTCCCGTAAATACATACCCTCTATTTTAACTTGTATCACCATGAATTCTGCTTGTTGTTAAATTGAATTTCAACATATTTACAGAATAACACTCTATGGGCTTACGTGCGTCTGCATTCTGTCTCCCAATATATCATCTGTGAGGTTCATCCACATTCTTGAGTACATCAGTAGATTGTTTTTTTATCGTTGTGACCTAATCAATTGTTTTTGTATGCCAAAATTTAGTTACCCATTCTTCTATTAATAATCTCTGGGTTGTTTCCAGTTTTGGGCAACTACAAATGAAGTTGAAATGAATATGTATGTGCAATTCTCCTAAGTATATTCATAAGAGCAGGGTTCTTGAATCACAGGAATAGAAAGATGTTAAATTTTAGTAGAGTCTGACAAAAAGATGTTCTTTCAGAATGGTTGTAAAAATTTACCTCCCATGTATGAGTGTTTTAATTGCTTAATATCTTCACCATCACTTGCAGTTGTCACTCTTAGCGAGAGTATACTGTTATTTCATTGTAATTTTCATTTGCATTTCCCTGAAAATAATTCCATTAAACTTATGTTTTATAAGCTTATTGGCCACTTAGATATCATCTTTTGTGAAGTGGCTTTTTAATTATTTTGCTTATTTTTCATTAGTTTTTCCTTTCTTTATAATTTGTAAAACGATATACATACACATATGTATGTATATATACCTAAATACACAAACTTTCAGTGTATATAAATTTTGTATATAAAGAAGGTTTTGTGAGAGATGACAAATGGCTCGTATGAACTTGAGGATAATATATTTTGTATATTAGGTCTACATCAAATTGATAAATACTATTGTATAATTTTCTATATTTTAGATGAATATATGTTTGCTGCTCCATTAATTTATGATTATTATGTTAAAATCTTTAAATGTTAAGATAATTTGCATATTTCTCCTTTATTTTTATCTATTTTTGCTTTATATATTTTAAGATTGTTAGGCATTTCTGATTGACCAAATATTTTATCATTATAAAATGCCTCTTTCATCTTTAGTAATATTTATTGCATTAATTCTGCTCTGATGTTACTATAACCAAATTTATATTTCTTATTATTTTAATAACAATTTTTCTATTTATTTTACTTTCATCCTATCCATAACATTATTTTTTCAGTGGATCTCCTTTTAAAAGCAAATAATTGAGGTTTGTTCTTTGGTGTTTTTCTCCCAATCTGGCAATGTCTTTTTTTTTTTTAATTTCATTTCTATATTTCATAAAACCTACTTGAATACACTTTGAAACAAGAGTACAACAAAATAGAATATACTTCAAATGTTGAATATACAAACTATTATAGTTCAAATCTGAACACTGGTATTTCCCTCATAAACTTCAACTAAAAAAACAAAACAAAACAAAACAAAAAAACAAACAAACAAAGAAAACTCCAGGTATTAGAGCTACCTGACAAAAATTCATGCTGAGCCTGAACTTCCAAGTGACAGCAGAACTGAAAATGATATGTCTGCACAAATGCCACGGCTGAGTGACACAGGCATGTTATAGCAAAAGGCCAGAGCCAACTGTTAATTTGTCCACAATTAAGAAACTGACAGACTTAAACTACCATATAAAATGTTACATGTAAATTCTATAACAATACTGTTCTAGGTAAAAGATTTTTAAAATTTTTATTTTAATAAAAAAGCTTTACACAAACAAGCCATTAGCTTATTTCAAGAAAGAAAACCGAAAATTAGTCTAAGGCCTTTGTTTTAAATCAGCTTAAGCTATATGATATATATATGTGTGTGTGTGTATATATATATGTATACACACACATATATATGTATATATATGTACACACACATATATGTATATATATGTACACACATATATGTATATATATGTACACACATATATGTATATATATGTATTCACACGCATATATGTATATATGTATTCACACACGTATATATGTATATATGTATACACACGTATATATGTATATATGTATACACACGTATATGTATATATATGTATACACACATATATACACACATATATATATTTTATATGCATATATATGTGTATATATGCATATATATATATTTTTTAATTGCACTAGATCATTTTTTGCTATCCTCTTTCTGAAGTTTTTGGGATCCATTCTTCAATTCACATTCTAAAATACCTATATTAGCAGAGTTTTCACATAGCACCAGTTAAGTGAGAACTGTGCAAACACAGTAATAATTGCTGGTATGCATATAAAATGCATCAAAAATTGCTATATGTAACAATGAGATTACCCATCCCAACCCCTCCCACTGAAAACTATATAACCTCTTACAGAATGTTAGTGTTCCAAGCCTTAGTGTAACTTGATATCGTAGTGAGCTACTTGGTCCCTTTCAATCCTTTTTCTTATTGATGGGTTCAGTTGTTTCCTACTGTAAGAGGCAGTTTTCTGTCAGCATCTCAATATGTAGTTCATTTCCCACTGAAACATGGGATAGGTAATTTATTTCCAGTAAGTTTGATTGTTTTCGTATATGCATTAAAAATGTTTTAAAGTCTTCTTTGACTTTTCTTGATGACTTCCCTTGCAAAAGTTTATGTCAGTACTGCCACTAACAGCCTGAAGTCCATGGTGGAGCTGCTATTTTATTTCTCACATGTCACTAGTCCTTCTGTTTTCATAGTTACAGGAAGGGTAATAGCTGAAGGCGCACTGACAACCACTACGTGGGTCACTGTCTTATTTCCATCTGCCGGTTTTTCTTCTACTAGCTGCAAAGTTTTCACATCATGTTCTTGCTTTTTTGCCACTGCTTCCGATTTAACCTCTGGCACCTTTATGACTGCACTGATAACTCGAGGAGGAGTCTGGCCAGATGCCTGCTGAGTAGGCATTGATAGTCTCATCACAGATGTACCATGGGCTATTGAAACAGGGGTAAGTGCTCTCACAGCCAGTGGGGTCCCAACAATGTTAATGCTTCCTGATCCAGTCAGATTTGACTTTGTCTGCAGTTGGCACTGTGCAAGCTGTGTAGCTGGGATGGTAACAATTTTGGCAGGCTGCATGGTCATTTTGTCTCCATTTTCGGTAGAAGCTGGCATCACAGTAGGGATTGTCTGAATGACTACCTTTGGAGAGGTCGCTGTTGTTGGACTAGTGCTGGTTATTAATGGTGCACCTGCATTAACTGACTGAACTGCCACAGTTGAAATTTTCTAACCCAATGATGTCATTACAACAGATACCTGTATTGCCACACAAACTGTCCTTGGAGCTGCTGTTGCTGACACAGATGCAGTGGTAGTAGGAGACCTGGATGAAGCATCCAGTCTCTACTAAAAATACAAAAATTAGCCCAGCTTGGTGGCAGATGCCTCTAATCCCAGCTATTCCGGAGAATCACTTGAACCCAGGAGGTGGAGACTGCAGTGAGCCAAGATTGCACCACTGCACTCCAGCCTGGGCAACAGAGTGAAACTTTGTCTTAAAATAAATAAATTAAATAAATAAATATTTAATAGTCCATGTATTCCACTTAATATATTCCTCATGATTTTCATTGTTTTCCAGAATATCCATGCTTCCATCTGGGATGATTTTCATCTATTTGAGATTCTTTTAATTTATCCTGAAGAACTACATTAATTGATATTTACCTACCTGCTGCTAATAAAGTCTCTCAACATACTGTTTTTTTTTTTCTGAAAAAGAACCTTTATTTTGCCATATTTATAAGATATATCTGAGGGATATTTTTCAATAAGTATAGAATTTAAGGTTGGTGGTTTCTTTACTTTTTCCTATTTTTAAATAACATACATCAGCACTTTAAATATGTCATTTTATTGTATTCTGGTTATATACTTTCTGTTGAAAACTCATCTATCTGCCTTATTATTACTTTCCAGGAGGCAATGTGTTTTCTATTTGTGGCTGACTTCCAGAGTTTCTCTTTGCCTTTGGTTTTCACAGTTTTACCATGTTTTACATAGCTGTGGTTTTCTTTGTTTAATCTTATTTGGATATATTTATACAATGAAGTGTTATTCAGTAATTAAAAGAAAGGAATTATTAGTATTTACATGTAAAATGGGTTAATTTGAAAAATTTATATTTTGAATGAAAATTTTATACCAAATATACACATTCTTTTAGTTATGTAAAGCTCTAGAACAGATATAACTAGACTTTTGTAGGAAAACTTCACTCTGATGGGTGGGTCAGTAATTAGAAGAAAAGGAACATCCAGGGACTTTATAAAGTAATGATAATGTTTTATTTTTTGGTATGGATTTGGATTACAATACAAGCATTTGTGAAAACTCATTAAACAGTAAATTTAAAATTGGTGCATTTAATCCCACAGATTGGTATCTACTCAAAGGAAAAGAAATTATTATATAAAAAAGACACCTGCCCTCATATGTTTACCACACCATTATTCACAGTAGCAAAGCCATGGAATCAACCTAACTGTCCATCGACGATTGATTGGTTAATAAAAACAGGGTTCATATACACCATGAGATACTATGCTGCCATTAAAAAGAATGAAACCATATTATTTGCAGCAACATGGATGGAGCTGGAGGTCATTAAGTACAATAACTCAGAAACAGAAAATCGAATACCACATATTCTTACTTATAAGTGAGAGCAAAACAATGAGTACACATAGACATAAACATGGAAACAATAGACACTGGGGACTCCGAAAAGGAGAGAGGTTAGGGTGGGGATGAGGTTTTAGAAATCATCAATTGGTTACAATAATCACTATTTGTGTGATGGGTACACTAGATGTCCAAACCCCACCACTATGTAATATATCCATATTACAAACTTGCTCATGTATCCCCTGAATCTAAAATAAAATAAAAATTAAATATATGAAAAGGTGCATTTTACTTTATGTAAAATTTATCTTACAAATGTATAAACAATATTGAACTCCCAGTTATATTGATTTATGATGACATATTTAGAAGTAAAGTGTATTGGTAGCTAAAACTTTGAAATGAATAAAAAAAAGGAATTGATGTTTGGTTAGGTTTATAGAGAAATGGATATTGTGTAATATTTCATAGTTGGTACTCTTCAAAGTTAACAATATTAGCAATTGATGCTAAAATAATTATTCTTTTATATCATATTCAAATTTCTTATATTATAAAAGAATTACATTATCACCAATATCAGTAGATTCATTAAAGTTGCAATAACAAACACTTTATAGTTTGTTTATTTTGTGAGATGATCTTCCAGCGTTATGACCCAGTACATCCTGAATAGTTCAAGCTATGATTTCGCTAGAAAGTGATACTTGAATTATCTTATTTGCCACTGTTTTACCAAATATTTCTAAGTGAACATCTTTGATGCAATCTTTCAGATGCAATCTTTCACTATTATCTTAAAATTGCATATCGTTCTTTAGTCTTAGGAACCCAAAATACTGTTTATGAGAAGCAAAAAAAAGCTCACTAATATTAAAATATAAGCTATTAAACATTTGCTCCTCTAAGCTCCCTGGTTCAAGTGATTCTCCTGCCTCAGCCTCCCAAGTAACCTGGGACTACAGGAGCCCGCCACCACGTCTGGCTAATTTTTTGTGTGTATTTTTAGTAGAGACAGAGATTCACCATGTTGACCAGGCTGGTCAGGAACTCCTGACCTCAAATGATCCAGCCACCTTGGCCTCCCGAAATACTGGGATTACAGGCGTGAGCCACAGCGCCCGTCCTTTTAATGATTTTAATACTGCCATGCAAGGAAGAAATATCATGTTAGATTGAAAGAAAACAAAAATAATAAGCTTAGAAAAATAGAATGCCTATAGATTTTTTTGATATTTTCTATAATTTCATGACAATTACCAATGAAACAAGTAACAATTTATTTGTGGGTATTTTATTTAAAATATTTTATAAATTTGATTGCATTAAAGTATGTCCTTCAGCAAGAGATAAACACATAAGACTCCATTGTTTCATCCATTTGTTTTTTCAAAAGTTAATTTAAATTTAAATATTCATTCACAGATAAACTGTTATAACTGGTTACTGACAAAAAATTGAACATAAATTTTTAAAATACAGCTTAATTTTCTTAATTTTGAAGAAAAGACAAAAGTGAACATTATTTGCCTGCCAGAACTGCTTTAAATACCTTTTGTCATTCCCATAAGCGTACTTCCACAAGACCAGTTGCTCTACTGTGAGTTGTGATTGGTTAAAGAGAAAAAAAAAAACTGGATTTAACAGTGATTCTCCATATTAATCATCAATATGTGTCACTTTCAATGGACATAAACATATCAATTGAAAATTTTTAATTTAACAAGTGAGATCGCTTATTCCTTCTTAACCTACCTGTATCTTTATGACTAAGATCTTTATGACTAATATGACTCTAAGTGTTTGACTTGAGCAAATGCAAGGATGGAATAACCATTAACTAAGATAGGACTGTGACAGAAAAAACGTATTTTGTTTGTTTGTTTTGTGATTGGAGATGAGAAGCTCAGTTTTGGTTGCACCAAATTGTGATTTCTAGTATATATAGAAAGGAAGATTTGATTCATCAATTAGTTGGAATTTACAGAAGTATAAGCTGAAGAAGTAAATTATTATCAGTTTATAAAGGTAATTTCAAGTCATGCTAACAGAAGAGTTCTTTAAGTGAATATGTATAGCCAGAAATTGAAAGAAAGGCAGTAACTAAGGCCTCAAGAGAACTGGGAAGTAGGGGAAACCAGCGAATGAAAGTGAGGGAGGGACATTTTGCAAGAATTAGGGAAACCAGGGGAGTACAGTATCTTGGAAACCAGGTGAAGCAGGTGCTTTAAGGAGGAGGGAGAGGTTTACTATGGCAAATGTTCAAAATGATTTAAATAAAATGAAATCTGACTATTAAGCATTAGATGTAGCAAAAGTGATGTCATTGGTTATTTTGACAAGAGTAGTTTAAATGGAGTAGAGAAAAGAGCCAAAAGCTTTGGCTGAGTTTTGTGGAGAATGAGATGAGAAACATGGGAGCTGCCTGGCTAGTCTTTTAAGAATTTTAACTGTAAATAGGAGAATAGTACTGAGTTTATTGATAAGAAGTGAACTGAGTCCAAGATAAAGAACAACATACTTATACATACTGTACGGAATTGTTATTTTGCTTGTAAGGCATTCCACATTCTAAAAAACAAACATTAAAATATTTCTTAATAAGTAATTAAATTTTCAACACATACATTTTCTACCCTGATATTTATTTTTCCTAGTTGATACTCACAAAATAATCACAGAATAAAATTAGAATAATTTGAAGTGTCTACACTGAGACCACTAGTTCTGCCCTCATTTAATGAGATGACAATTTTTAAGAGAGACTATAAGCATAGCGTATATCTAAGTAGTTAGAAAAAAACTGCTGATTCCATTAGAAACAAGGATTTCTGCCTCCTAATGAAAATTTATTGTATATAATAACTATATCTATTATGTATCTACAGATTTTCATCCTATAGCAAAATATGGTTTCTCAAAACAGATTTCTGTTAAAAACATATGTATGTATAGTATATGAATATAAATATAAAAATAAGTTGTAAAATACACAACCAAATAATCATATAATATATATCATCTTATGCAAATCCATAAATTCTGACTCTCACCATTCTGTTAATAAATAAAAACTACATTGTTCAATTCCCACCTATGAGTGAGAACACTTGGACACAGGAAGGGGAACATCGCACACCGGGGCCTGTTGTGGGGTGGGGGGAGTGGGGAGGGATAGCATTAGGAGATATACCTAATGTAAATGACGAGTTAATGGGTGCAGCACACCAACATGGCACATGTACACATATGTAACAAACCTGCACGTTGTGCACATGTACCCTAGAACTTAAAGTATAATAAAAAAATAAAAATAAATAAATAAAAACTACAATATTATTTTTCTAAATCAAATACATTTTCCTCAAGGAAGGACTATATTGGTTAAGTGTTTATCATGCTCCTAACACAAAAGTCACTACATCGGATATTGAAAGGTTCTATCTCTATGAAGTAAAATGGTAGCACCTACAAACTTATCTTTGGATTTTCTTTTCTTCTGCTTCTCTTTATGATTTTTAAGTGTCTTAGACTCTTGAGTTCTTACTTGGTTAGCGGCCTGAACTGATAAACCAAAATCATTTAAGGAGCTATTTTTTCAAAAAGATATTTTCAGATGGAAAATTTTAAGTAATTATTGTACTAAAAGAGAATTTTTACATTTCAATAATTGTTTTATAGTGTAAAACTTTTGTTGAGGGCCTCAAAAAACATTTATTAATAATATTTTTGAGGCTTATGAAATGGTTATATGATTACCCCTTATTACACTGACTAGAGATGAAACTCTATGTAGCTATACTTGACATTGCACTAATCTAAGACATTAAAGAGAGAGAGAATACCTACATGGAAAACATTTGTTTCAGAATTATAGTTTCAGATCTGATTTAAAATTGCAATAAATTTTGTATCTCACTTGGATTATGGGGAAAGATACAATCTCCTGGCTGGAATCACTTTTTCCATTCTTGAGATCTGCAATCTATTCTCCACATATCTTAAAAGTACAAATCACACTATTTAAATTGCTTTTCACCTACAAAATTCCATCTCCATAGAGTGACCTACAATAGCCTTACATTATTTGCTTCTGCCGATTCTCATTTCACACTTCTAACCACTCATCCAATTGCTTGATGTGCTCTAATCGTACCAGCCTCCCTTTTACTTGTCTATGAACTAAGCTAGTTCCAGCCTCAGGGTCTTTTATTTTCTGTTCCCCCTACCTAAAACCTTTTCCTCAGATTTTTCGTTTTGTTATTCAGATTTTAGTACAAGTCAGCACTCCAGAGAGTTATTCATGATCAAAAATTGTTCCTTTTGAGTGAGATGATTTAAAGGCAAAAACAGATGCAAGTGAGAATATGCAAAAAGGGGAGCCCTCACACACTGTTGGTGGGAACGTACATTAGTACAGTCCCTGTGCAGAACAGCATGGAGGTTCCTCAAAGAAATAAAAATAGAACTACCATATGATTCAGCAATCCCACTGCTAGGTATGTGCCCGAAAGAAAAGAAATTGGTACATCGAGAAGACATCTGCACTCCCACCCACATTTATTACAGCACTATTCACAATAGCTAAAATATAAAATCAAACTATGTGTCCATCAATGAATAAATAGGTAAAGAAAATATGGTACACAACGTTATTCAGCCACTTAAAAAAACAATGGATGTTTTTCAGCCATTAAAAAAAAAGAATAAAACCTTGTCATTTGCTTCAACATAAACAGAACTGGAGGTCATTACGCTAAGTGAAATAAGCCAAGCACAGAAAGACAAATATTGCATGTTCTCACATTCTATATGAGGACTAAAGAAGTGGATTTCATGAAGATCAGTTGGTGGTTAGATTGAAGATAGATTGGTGGTTACCAGAGGCTGGGAAGAAAAAGGGGCATTTGTTCCTTAACAGGTACAAACACATGGTTTGATAGAAGAAATAAGATGAAGTGTTATATCATTAGAATGACTACATTTACTACATTGTACATTTCAAAATAGCTAGGAAAGAATAATTAGAATGCTTCTAACAGAAAGAAAGGACAAATATTTGAGGTGATTTATATCCCAAGTACAATAATTTGATCTTTACAAATTATCTGATTACATGAAATTATCACATGTACCTGAAAACTACATACATCTATTATACATAAATTAAAAAACAAATTATAAAAGAAACTCATTTATTGATGCGCCCCCCCAAAATGCCTGTATATCACAGTGCCCTGGTTTATTTTTTTTCCTGTCTTCTAATACAGGACTTTACACATAATAGACACTGAATATATATTTCATCAGTGAGCAAATATGATTCACTGGTAAATGTAATTGTTAATTTATGGATTTCCTAATTAGCATAAAATTGTGGAATGGAAAGCAGAATTCTGTAGAAGAAAAGATCTCCTATTAAAAACCAGAGTTCAAATATCATCCCCACCAATTACTCATTGCAGAAACAAAACATAAAACAAGCTGGATTTTCCCTACAAAATATTTTTTAAAAAACTAAAAATGCTATTTAGAAAATGAAATAAAATTGCATTTTATATGTGCAGCACTACTTAGAGGTTAATAAATAATAATTTATTTTCTTTTCCATATATGCATGCTTAAAAATAACTTCTTGAGATATCTGTATCTCAAGAGATATCTCATGCAAGGGAAGTTGTTCTGTAGCAAGTACATTCAGGATAAATAAATATATACTTAACTGGATTAAAGAATGATATGAAATTGAAAGATTTTTTCTAAAAATATTGTCACTAGGCAGTTATGAATATTCATCTTACAATACAAATAGAAACAATTTAGAAGCCTCCAAAACACCTCAGACACTTCTTTTTTTCTACATAGATATCATAAAATGTATTTGTTACTACTTACAGGTTAAGAACAATTCAATGTACAACATGTTTTATAAGAGATATGGAAATGAATAACTTTTCTTATTATATAAATGTGAGCCATACAACTTGCTACTTTTTTTGAACACACCCAATTGTTTCCAAAGATACATATATCCCAATAGTTCTAAGTTTTTAAGTTACAGAAAGAAATCTGTTCTCATACAGCAGACTTTGCATCTTCTTTCTCAGAGGGCATATCTTTTGTGTTCTGTATTGAAAAATTAATGTCATTAGAGAATAGAGAATTAATAGCTCTCATTAAAAACATCTGGAGAATTTCAGTACCACCATAACTGCTGCCAACTTCTTCTGCCCAAGTAGAAATCAAGGTTGTATTCTTAATTCTTGCTTTGAAATTGCCTTCAATGAGTTTATGAATTTCCAAAGGAAAACTATCATATCACAATAAGATTCCAACTTAGTTAATATTCAGGAGTACAATAAAACACTAGATTACTAATTTGGTTTAATGAGTAATAAAATTATCTTGACATAATATCAATTAGTATACAGAAGCCATTACTGTTTTTATTTTCTGTAATTAGAATAAGAGAATGTAAAATTCTTATTATTTCCAACATTCCTAAGGATATCAAGAGAAAGTGACTGATTTTTCCCTAACCATGGCTCATGCAGAACCATATAGCCTTAAAATG
The DNA here is from genome assembly GCF_000001405.40 of Homo sapiens. Lineage (NCBI taxonomy): Eukaryota > Metazoa > Chordata > Mammalia > Primates > Hominidae > Homo > Homo sapiens. Next base: position 185,555,683 of record NC_000002.12, read on the forward strand.
GTTACATCTGTACAAAGTTATGTAGTGGTGCTCTAATTCAGTAAGACAAAAGAAATAACATTTAAATAATAAGTTGTTTACATTGATTTTAAATTCTCAAATTGTTACTTTATTTAAAAAACCAAAGCATACGAAAGGGCATTTAAACAGAATATGTTTTTTTATACCAACTATTTTGTTAACTTTATTTTGTATTCTGCCTTGATTCTGCAGGTGCAGAAACATAGAGCTCAATAAATGTACTTTACTTATTTAATATATTTATTTTCATTTTTTTAAGAGACAAGGTCTCGCTATGTTGCCCATGTTGGTCTTGAACTCCTGGGCTCAAGTGATCCCCTCAGTCTCCCGAGTAGCTGGGATTATAGGAATGCACCACTGTGCCCTGCTTTGTTTTATAATTAATCAGGCATAGGATAAACTCTTCAAATTTAAAGGAGGCAAATGGTAAATCATATGATGAGAAAGTACTACAAGTGTAGTTCTGTTAACCTTATGATTCTAATACAAAACTATTAGTAAATACAGTAGGAATTTTCTGACACTGTAACAAGCTTTCCTTTTAAAAAAAATTTGTATTTGCTGTTTTCAATTTTAAAAATCTAAGTTTGATTCATCAGTTGTCTTGAGAACTGTAATTGCTTTTCAGCTATACTTTCAACTATAATTACTTTTCATTAAGTTCCTTTATTTATCTTTAACTTAAAATTTAGAGTCCTTTGGATTTTTTCCAGAAAATCTCACCAATTATATGACTTGCACGTAAAAAGATTATTTCACTATCCAAAGATAAATATATTTTTATAAATTATTGTAGGTTAAAAATTATTTTCAAATACTAACATGCACTGAGCCACTTCCCTATATGCCGTATCAGGTGTTTTTTTCAAATATTAATTTTTGCCTCTGGCCATAATTACATACATTAATGGTTTAGAGAAGTGTTTATTAAAAACTAAGTATTTGGTATTTCATTAAACATATTGGCTGACAAAAAGCAAAATAATTGTAAGAAAAGATCAGCATGCCCCCAAATAGCTCAGGATCCAAAGAAAAAGATAGAACATATGTTTGTGAAATCATTAGACAATCATGTACAGGTAGCATCCGTGGCTCTGCTTATCAGTTAATCTTGAAGGAGTTAAATGTGAGGTGACATTTTAAGAAAAAAATTTATAAATAATAATGTGCATTCTAACAATATGATCATTTTCCAAAGATTTCTTTAAAAAATGTGTTCTCATAAATAGTATTAAAGCAATAAACCTACCGTCTCAGTTCTAATATGTTGGTATCCTCACTTCTTTCTTGGATTTATAATTGAGATATCCTTCTGATTATTTAGTTTCTTTCCTTAAGTAATGTAGTCATAAAGGTTGACACTGTATATAAACATTCTTGTGGCCATTAGTATTTGTATGATATTTTACCTCTAAACTATCAAATATGATACACTGAAAGGCAAATGGCAGTGTAGAATATTGGTAAACAACATGAAATTTGAGTGGTGGGGTCACACAGTTTGAACTGATTCCTAGTTCAGCAATGTAACAACGTTACTTTTCTCACAATCTTATTGCAGGAATTAAATACATTAATATAAGTAAAAAATTTTGTAAGGCTCTCTAGGAGCATACGATATGTTAGCCATTAATATTATAAATCAAGTGGCATTGACCCCAAGCAGTAGATTGGGGTTCTAGACTAAACACACCCAAATATGTTATATTATTCCAAAGGAAAGAAATGTGGCTTTCTTCTGTGAGGCAAGATATTACATGATTGATACAGAAACGCAACCCATCACCTCAGCCATGTTAACATCATACTCTTAAGAGAACATTTCCCAAAATAGGCCCTACTAAATGCTAGTTATTTTAAGACATTCTGGGAGAAGGGTGCTGTACCCAAATACTTTTTGAAAATGTACATATGTATCACTTAGTTGGAGAATCACTAATCATTTAAAGTATAATAAATTCTGAGTAAAAACTACAGCCAAGAAAAGAAAATTAAATCCAGTAAATCACAAAAGTATATGTCTACACTCGTGTGTATGTGTAAGAGATAGTGATCTATAAATATACTATAGAATTACTGTGGAACACAGTTTGGAAAATTTTGCTCCAAGTCCACACAGATGTCTTTTTTACACAGGATCAAGGGGTGACAATGGGATATTGATAGTGATGAAAAACTCTCAATATGCAGAGAGTTTTATAAGTACCCAAAAGTTTGACTGCTTATTAAAATTCTCCAAACATCTTAGGTCTGCAAAATTTTCCTAGAAAACTCACCTCTTGAATACTAGTTTTATTATTAGATTGCTGATGATTGCTGCTCCCCTTCAGGCTAGAAAAATGCTTAGAACACCTTTCTAATGATTTCACTTCTTTTCCAGAACCTAGGAAATGCAGACATATAAAATATAAGTAACATTCAAATTGTAAAAGTTACCAAGTTTGGTGATACTTAAAGTTGTAATAGAAGTTCAAGTTCAAGATGTATACTTATTAATCTAAAACAATTTTCTCACTTTTAAAGTGTCTTTTCATTATTAAAAGCTGAATCAGCCACCAAAAATGCTTTTTATATAGTCAGTATATACAGAATCTATGAATGTTTTTAATTGTAATGTTATTATTCTGCCAATATAGCTGAAGAGAAAAATGCTTAAACAATTCATATTTGTTATTTTTAATTTATAATTTACCTGTATGTGTAAAGTTGAATTTATTAAGTTTATAAAACATGAGTTTTGCCTTAGTGTGATAGGAATACTAATTTGAGGGAAAGACGATTTGTACATTGAATTGCCCTTATAAAATCAGCACTCCAGTTTGCTTTAAGTTAGCAAACATTCTGCATTGTATGCAGTTCAAAACAGCTTGAATAAGTAGGATAGAAAATACAGAATCAGAATATAGGTTAAAAAATATCAAGCCTCCTTCACAAAGGTAATATGATAATGAAAACTGCAGACTAATAATATAAAGTTAACTGATTAAAATCACACATATTGGAATATAACAAACTCAAAATTGCTTCTATATATGTATTTGTATTTGTTTTATTCTTTCTAAATTTTAAAATCATTTCCGGCAGGGCACAGTGGCTCACGCCTGTAATCCCAGCACCTTGGGAGGTGGGTGGATCATTTGAGGTCAGGAGTTCAAGAGTAGCCTGACCAACATGGTGAAACCCCGTCTCTACTAAAAACACAAAAAAATTAGCCTGGCGTAGTGGCGGACGCCTGCAATCCCAGCTACTCGGGAGGCTGAGGCAGGAGAATCAGTTGAACCAGGCAGGGGCAGGTTGCAAGTGAGAGGAGATCACACCACTCCACACCAGCCTGGGTGACAGAGAGAGACTCTGCCTCAAAAAGATAAATAAATGAATCAATAATAAAATAATTTATTTGATATTTAACATAAGAAACAGCTAAAGAAATTCTATCACTGGAAGAGAATTGAAAAGCATTATCTCAAAATTATCTTCCATTGTATTAAAAAGTTTTATAAAACCTATCTAAAATATAATACCACTAAAACTTAATCAGTCCCCTGATAGTTTAGCTTATTCATAAGAATAAAATTGATAGAGGAGAAAAGTAAAAAGAAATTTTTACCTACCTTAGAGAGCTTTATGCTTTCCAGGCTTATCAAATATTTTAAGCCAACATTCTTTACGAGGAATTATGTATGAATGGTATGGTAGAGAAGAGAAAAAGAGTCTCTACCCTTTTCTTTCTTGACTGGTCCTATCATAACATGGTCATCATATCTAGTACTGACAGATGTTTAAAGTCAACTGTCTCTCTCATGAGACACTTTCATGGGTTCTCTCCAAAACCTTCACACACTGGGTGTCTTTCAACTTCTTTTATTTTTATTTTAATAACTTTCTATCAGATTTGCTGTTTACTTTTACATAATTTCACTACAATTCAATGTTTACACTTCAGCTTCAATCTTCCCATTCTCTGTCCAGATGGTTTTCTTAGAACAACAAAACAAAACAAGTCTGCACTAGTTTTCTTTCCCATGTATGGCTTATATTTTTCACCTTCAGGAATAACAAGGACAGCAAAATTGAGGAGTTAATGTGCTGAAAAAAAAAGAAAACTGAGAAAAAAATTTCATCTTCCTACAATTTTCTTTTGAGACATTTGTCATACACTTCAACTGAATAGAATAGGCTCTGATAATGCCATAGACTTTTACTTAAGACAAGTGAAGTTTACATTCTAGGAAACAAGGCATACTGGAAATAATCTAGGTCTCGTAAAGAATGGAGCAAAATTCCCGGTTGTCTCATTTTTAGAACAAGGTTAACCTGTACTTACTCTATCAACCTGTGAGACAAAAAGAAAATCCTTTGAAAGTGAAGATTTCAGAGAACTGAAAATTATAGTATAGAAATGAAGAATTAAATAACCCTAAATAATAATGCAACAGATGAAATTAAGAGATCATTTGTCATATAAGAGACAGTTAGCCATAATGAATACTAATATAAATATATAACTGAAGTGCAGACATAGAACAAAACAGAAAATCAGAAGAAAAGCAAAAGAGATAAATGGAACATGATGAAAAATTCTAGTGTATATGTAATAGTAGTCCTCAGAAGAGGAGAAAAAAAATAAGGAAAAGGCAATAGTTAAAGAAATGACTAAAAATGTTCTTAAAGTGACAAAAGACACAGAGTCACAGATTCAATAAGCTTTACAATTTGTAAGAATATAAATAAAGAATACCACCTGGTGTGGTGGCTCAGGCCTGTAATTTCAGCCCTTTGGGAGGCTGAAGCAGGCAGATAACCTGAGACCAGGAGTTTGACACCAGCCTAGCCAACATGATGAAACTCTGTCCCTACTAAAAATGCAAATAATTAGCCGGGCATTGTGGCAGGTGCCTGTAATCCCAGCTATTTTGGAGGCTGAGGCACTAGAATCACTTGTACGCAGGAGACAGAGGTAGAACTGAGCCACAATTGCACTACTGCACTCCAGCCTGGGCGAGAGAGTGAGACCCTGTCTCAAAAATAAAATTAAATAAATATATAAATAAATAAACAGATAAAGAATACCATACCAAGGAAACCTTGTTATACTGTGAAAACAAAAGAAAAAGTAAAAATATTAAAGCCATATAATTAAAACATACTTATTGACCTGGAAAATCTAACAACTGTTTCTTCAACTGAAAGATGTCACCAAAAAAACAATAAAATGATACTTTTAAATTCCTAATAAAAAATAATTTTCAAAATAAAATGTATACTGAAAAACAAAACTAAATCTATACAAAACATAATGTCTTTAATAACTGAAAATGAAATAATATTTTCAGAAAAACAAAATATTAGGGAATTTATCTCTATTACATCTATCCTAAAATAATTACTATAGGGAATTCTTTACGAAAAAGAAAATTTCATATGGAAGAATGGTAATGTGGGGAGGAATAAAAAGCATAAAAAAGTATAAATATAGTATAAATGTGTAGATTAATCTAAATCTAAATTATCTAAATAAATACTTAGTATTTAAAAAATAGTAATGTCTAAAGAATATTAAATATAATATGTGGATTTAAAATAGATAGCAGTAATGACACAGAAAGTAGGAAGAATATAAATGAAATTTATTAAAATAATAATACTAACTAATAATTGAGGAGGTCAACTTTAATCACTTAAGTACCCATAAATATAATGAAATGATTTATAAATAAGCTAATAGAGTACAAAGCTTGTATAGTAATTGTAGTGTGTAAACCACTTGTATTCTTAATGTTAATACTAAAAGACAAAACTATTAAAAAATTATTATAACTATAACAGTTTGTTAAGGGATAGGCAATATTTAAAGATGTAAATTGTGACATAAAAAATTCAGAATGTAGGGAAATGAAGTTAAAGTGTTGAATTTTATTCTGTTTATTTTTTTAAACGCTATTAAAGTTGTTACTATCAGTTTAGAATAACTTGTTATAACTATGTTTTATGTGAGCATCATGGTAGCCACAAAACAAAAACATATATAGATACAATGAAAATAAAAAGCGAGGAATCAAAACATACTACTGAAGAAAATCACTTAACCACAAAGTGCAAGGAAGAAATGATTTACAAAATACCCAGAAATTAAGTAACAAAATGAAAGCAAGTCATTACTTATGAGTAATTACTTTGAATGTAAATGGATAGAAATCTCCAGTTAAAAGACAAGAGTGGCTGAATGGATTTTTTTCAAAAAAAATCAAGACCCAGTTATAAGCTTCCTATAGAAAACTCAGTTTACCTATAAAGACAAGCATAGACTAAAAGTGGAACAATGAAAAAAAAATTCTATGAAAATGAAAAAAAAAATATGGAGGTAGCAAGATTTAGACAAAATAGACTTTCACTCAAAAACTGAAAAAAGAGATAAGGAAGTCCTTTATCTGATGATAAAGGTTCAATACAGCCAGATGATATGACAGTCTTAAATATACATACAGACAACAGTAGAGCATCTAAATATACAAAACAAATATTAGTATAACTAAAGGGAGAGATAGACAGCAATACCATAATAGTAAAAGATTTTAATTACTTTTTAATTAATTTACTCCACTTTCATCAATGAACAGCTCATCCAGTCAGAAAATCAACAAACCTCAGATTTCTGCATTCTAGACTAAATGGACCTAACAGATATTTACAGAAAATCTCCACCTAACAGCTGAAGATTACACATTCTTCTCAACAGCACAGAGAACATTTTTCAGGATAGATCATGTGTTGAGCCACAAAACCAGTCTCAGTGAATTTTCAAAAAATAAAAATCGTATCAAGTGTATTTTCTGATCACAACTAAATAAAACTGGAATCAATAACAAAACGAACATTGGAAACTGCAAATACATAGAAATTAAGAGACATAAACTTCTGAATGACCAGCAGGTAGATGAGGAAATTAAAAAGAAAATTAAAAAATATTGTGAGACAAAAGAAAATAAAAAAACAACACATATTCTAACCTATGTGACACAGAAAAGGCAGTGCTAAGATGGAAGTTCATAGCAATAAATACCTACATCAAAAAAGTAGAAGGATTTCAAATAAACAACCTAACAATGCACACCAAGGAACTACAAAAACAAGAACAAACTAAATTCAAAATCAGTAGAAAGAAAGAAATTAAAAAGATCGGAGCAGAAATATCTTTAATTGTATTTTTATTGTCTAAAAATATAATACCAAAAATCAATGTAATAATTGATTTTTCAAAGAACAAACAAAATTGACAAATCTTTAGCTAGATGAACTAAGAAAGTAAGAGAGATGACAAATAAATAAAATGAAATTAAATGGAAATATTACAAGTGATACTACAGAAGTAAAAAGGATAAGAGATTTTATACACAGCTATATACCAATTAAGAGGAAAATCTGGAAAAAATGGACAATTCCTGGACATATATAACCTACTAATATTGAATGAAGAAGAAATAAAAACGCTGAACAGAACAATAATGAATAATAAGATAAGTAATAATGTCTCCCATCAAATAGGAGCCCAGGGCCTGATGGCATCATGGCTGAATTCTACCAAACATTTAAAGAACTAACACCAATGTACTCAAACTATTCCAAAAAAGTGAACAGGAGGTAAATTTTTCAAACTCTTTCTATGAGGTCAGCATTACCCTAATACAAAAATGAGACAGTGGCACAACCATAATAGCAACAACAACAAAACTACAAACCAACATTTCTGATAAATAAGGATGAAAAAATTATCAGCAAAATGCTAGGAAACTAAAACCAACAGCATATTAAAAAGGTCATTTGCCATAATCAAGTTCATCTTAGAGATGCAAGATTGGTTCAACATATGCAAATTAACACGTGATACATCACATTAACAGAATCAAAGACAAAAACTACAGAATTATTTCATTTAATGCAGAAAAGCTATTCAGTAAAATTCAACATCCTTTCACAATAAAAACTCTCAACATACGGTTGTAGAAAAAATACATCAACATAATAAAGGCCATATATAAGAAAGCCACAGCTAGCATCATACTGAATAGGAAAAACTGAAAACATTTCCTTTGAGATCTGAGATCTGGAACAAGACAAGGCAACCCACTTTCACCACTTTTATTCAACCTAGTGCTAGAAAGTCCTGGCCAGAGCATAACACAAGAGAAAAAAATAAAGGGCATCCAAACTGGAAGGAAGGAAGGCAGATTGTCTCTGTTTGCAAAAGACCTGATTCTATATGTGTATATATATATATAAAACCCTAAGGACTCCACACAAACCCCAAAACACTGTTAGAAGAATAAACAAATTCAGTAAAATGGCAGGATACAAAATCAAGATGCTAAAATTAGTAGCATTGCTATATTCCAATAATAAACTATGTGAAAAATAAATCAAGGAACAATCCCATTTGAAATAGCTAGAGAAAAGTAAAAGATCTAGGAATAGTTTTAACTTAGGAGTTGAAAAAGCTCTACAAGAAAAACTATAAAACATTAACTAAACAAACTTAAGACAAACAAATAAATGGCAAGACATCCCATGTTCATAGATTGGAAGAATTAATGTTGTTAAAATGTCCCATACTACTCAACACAATTTACACAATTTACCTTATCAGAATACCAATGACATACTTCGCTAAAATAGAAAAAAAAAAACACTAAAATTTGTATGGAACCATGAAAGACACCAAAAGTGAAAGAAATATTGAGCAAAAAGAACAAAGCTAAAGGCATCACACTATTTTACATCAAAATATACTACAAAGCAATAGTAAACAAAACAGATTGATACTGGCATAAAAATAGACACATAGATCAATAAAAGAGAATACAGAACCCAGAAATAAACTTATGAACTTATAGACAAATGATTTTTGACAAAAGCACCAAGTATATATACTGGGGATATGACAGTCTCTTCCACAAATGATTCTGGGAAAACTGGATTTTTAACACATGTAGAAGAATGAGACTAGACCCCTATCTCTCACCATATAAAATAATTCAACTCAAGATAAAGACTTAAAGGTAAAACCTGAAACTATAAAACTACTAGAAGGAAACACAGGGGAAATCCTTCATGACATTGATCTGGGCAAGAATTTTTTGGATAAGAACTCAAAAGCACAGTCAACAAAAGCATATAGACGAAATGTTATCAAACTAAAATGCCTCTGCACAGCAAAGAAAATAATCAACAGAAGGAAGAGAACACTTACAGAATAGAAGATGTTTGCAAACTGTACATCTGACAAGGGTTAAATATCCAGAATCTATAACAAACCCAAAAAACTCAATAGCGAAAAAAAACAAGTAATCTGATTTAAAAATAAAATAAGGAGGCTGAGGTGGGTGGATCACAAGGTCAGGAGTTCAAGACCAGTCTGGCCAATATGGTGCAACCCTGTATCTATTAAAAATACAAAAAACACTAGCCAGGTGTGGTGGCACGCACCTATAGTCCCAGCTACTCAGGAGGCTGAGGCAGGAGAATCGCTTGAACCCAAGAGGCAGAGGTTACAGTGAGCTGAGATTGCACCACTGCACTCCAGCCTGGGAAATAGAGGGAGACTCTGTCTCCAAAATAAATAAATAAATAAAATATGATAAAATCTGAATAGACATTTCTCAAAAGTATACATACTAATGACTACTAAGTACATTTAAAAAATGTTTGACATCATTGATCATTAGAAAGATGCAAATCAAAATGATGATATCATCTCACCCAATTAGAATGGTGTGATGGTTAATATTGAATGTCAACTTGATTGGATTGATGGACGCAAAGTACTGTTCCTGAGTATGTCCTGAGTATGTTCCTGAGTATTGTTCCTTAGGGTGTTATCAAAGGAGATTAACATTGCAGTCAGTGGACTGGGAGAGGCAGACTAACCCTCAATCTGAGTGGGCACCATCTAATCAGCTGCCATTGCAACTAGGATAAAAGCAGGCAGGGGAATACAGAAGGACTAGACTGGCTAAATCTTCCAGGTTTATCTTTCTCCCATGCTGGATGCTTCCTGCCCTTGAACATCATACTCCAAGTTCTTCAGCTTGTGGACTCTTGGACTTACACCAGTGGTTTGCCAGGGGCATTTGCATCTTCAACCACAGAGTGAAGGCTGCACTGTTGGCTTCTCTACTTTTGAGGTTTTGTGACTGACTGGCTTCCTTGCTCCTCACTTTGCAGATGGTCTATTGTGGGACTTCACTTTGTGATAGTGTAAATCAATAATCCTAAATAACTCCCCTTTATATATACATCTATCCTGTTAGTTATATCCCTCTAGAGAACGCTGGTTATTATCAAAACCACAAAAGATAAATGCTGTTAGGATGAGGAGAAAGGAGAAGGCAGATTAGTATGGCAACAATAAAAACAGTGTGGAGATTCCTCAAAAAATTAAAAAATAGAACTACTATATGATTCAGCAATCCCACTCCTGGGTATATACCCAAAGGAAATAAAAACAGTTTATCAAATCCATATCTGCAGTCCCATGTTTATGGCAGCACTGTTCACGTAGTTAAGATATGGAACCAACATATAGTGTCAATTGATCGATGAGGGTTTTTATATGCACAGTAAAATATTATTCAGCTGTAAAAAAGGAATGAAATCTTGTCATTTGCAGCAACACGGATGAACATGGAAGGCATTTGTTAAGTGAAGTGAGCCAGTCACAGAATGGCAAATACTGCATGGTATCACTCAAACCAAAATGTAAAAATGTTGATATCATAGAAGAGAGTAGAATAATGCTTACAAGAGGCTGGGGCAAGGAGGAGTGAGGACGAATGTGAAGAGATTGGTTAATGAGGACAGGGTGACAATTATATAGGAGGACTATGTGCTGGTGTTCTGTTGTGCAGAAAAGAGATTATAGTTAACAATATTATTTAATATACTTCAAAATAGAAGAATGCTCTCATCATAAATTAAAGATGAATGTTTGACATAATAGAAATGCTAAATACCCTGATTTGATCATTACACATATATGTATGTATTGAAATATCTTACTATACCCCATAAATATATCCAATTATTATGTGTCAATTAAGAAAAGACCATGAACAGGATTATGAAATTATAATAATGATTTGGAGACAAATATGGCAATGGATTAAAATAGAGTACAGAAGCAGACACAAACTCATAAGGCCTCCTGAATTACACTACCACCAAAACGCACTGAGTAAAGGATGGTTTGCCCAATCAATGCTGTTCGTTAAATTAGATATACATATGGAAAAAAGATGATCACTTACAGATACACTGAAAATAATGTTTGATGAATTATATAATTAAACAATAAAGCTTTTAGAAGATAAATAATAAAACGAGGAAGCCAAGAATTTCTTAAACAAGACACAAAAAGTACTAATAATAAATTTGATAAATTAGTTTAAAATGAAAAATGTGTCTTCATCAAAAGTAAATAATAAGAGACTAAAAAGTCAAGCCAGGAAATTGAATATGTTTACAGTACATATGTTAAACAGACCACTCTTATCCAGAATATATAAATAACTGTTAAAGCAGTAAAAAAGTATAGAGAGAACATCTGGTGGGAAAAAATGGGCTAAAGACTTAAACAGGTATTTCAAAAAAGAGCTGTCTGGGTACGGTGACTCACTCCTGTAATCCAAGCACTTTGAGAGGCCAAGGCAGGTAGTTCACTTGAGGTAAGGAGTTTGAGAACAGCCTGGTTAACATGACAAAACCCTGTCTCTACAAAAAATACAAAAATTAGTAGGTGTGGGGGCTTGTGCCTGTAATCCCAGCTACTTGGGAGGCTGTGGCAGGAGAATAGCTTGAACCCCGGAGGCAGAGGTTGCAGTGAGCCATAATTGTGCCACTGCACACCAGCCTGGGCAACAGAGTGAGAAACTGTCCACCCCCCACCAAAAAAAAAAAAAAAAAAAAGAGCCAAACAAAGGAATAGATGGTCGGCATTATCAGTTATCAGGGAAATGAAAACAAAAATTATGAGATACCATTATCTACCCACGACAATGGCCAAAATTACAAAAACAAAATATTAAGAAACTAAAAACAACAAAGAAACCAGAACCAACATATGCGAGGCTGTGAATACTAACAATCACACACTGCCAGTGGAGATATAAATTAGTATTGCAGAATTTTGTTCCTTAGTTCAGCTAAAACCCAGGTTCTTGTCACATGATCAGAAAATTTAGGCACACACATTGAAGGATGAGTAGAGCAGGGTTTTATTTGGTGAAAAAGAAAAAAGAAAAAGTCTCAGCAAAACGACATGGTAGTCCTGTTAACAGGTCCTCGACCTCATAGACTGAATCCCAAGCCACCACAAAGGAACTAAAGCGATCAGACTCCCCGGAACTCCAAGGCGCGAAATTCCCTGTGGCTCCACCCACTTTCCCCAGTGCACATGTCGGGCTCCAGTCTGCTGTGGGCATGCCCAGACAAGCCCTGGGCAGGTTTCCTCATCTGCACAAAAGCACCTGATGTAAACCCTTGTGGAGCAGGTCGGAGATTCTCTGGGTACCCCCTTTTTATCTGCCTAGTCATTTGGCTGTCTCATTAGTATCATCACTTTGCTTAAAGACAGTGAAATACATTTTGATAGCAAATATAACAGAAAGAAGCAGAAGACCAATAACATTAAAAATATGTTCCTGCATGTAGAAAAATTTATTTACACATGTACTGTGAATGGATATTATCCATCATGTGATTTTTTTTTAAAAGGCTGCAAACATCATCTAGTTAACATCAAAAAATAATTTACTTCAGTTATAAACATCCAAATGCAGGAAATTTCAAGGTTTATTTATAATTGTTTTAATATTGAATTGCTGACATATGTTCAATGAAACACTTTTACTTGGATTGTATGTCCCGGAAATGATATTAAATATCCTCATGCAAATAAAAATAATAAAGAAAACCTAGTAAAAACCTGATTCTGTCCTCTAGTTTCAACCCAATGGGAAAAAAATACCTAGTGTTTATAATTACCAATAAATAATTCACAACAAAATGTATGTTTCCCATCAAATTGAACCATAAGCAGCACTTATGTGTAATGTTTCTAAATGTTAGGGGACATAATTATATATTTTGCGTGGATAGAAGTCAGGTGAATATTTTTTAACAGATCAGACTGTTAGGCTTCACTTGTTCCTGCACATTACAAGTAGCTGCATTAAGGAAGCACAGTTATCTTTTGAAGACCTGTACAATTGTTTGCATCAGAGGCTAGAGAGTTTATAAAAATCAGAAGTTTTGGAAAAGTTTGATAATTCCTGATATAATAATTGTGTCATTGTACTAAGGTTTCTTCATGTTTCTAATAGCAGACTGTGAAAGGAAAATAAATCTTGGGGGCACCAAATCACTAAGCTAAATGGAAAAGTCAAGCTGGGAGCTGCTTAGGGCCAACCTGCCTCCCATTCTATTCAAAGTCACCCCTCTGCTCACTGAGATAAATGCATATCTGACCACCTACTTTGGAGAGGCTAATCAGAAACTCCAAAGAATGCAACCATTTGTCTCTTATCTATCTATAACCAGGAAGCCGCTTCCCCACTTTGAGTCTTCCTGACTTTACTTCAAGTTTCACTGCCTTTCCAGACTGAACCAATGCTCATCTTGCATATGTTGATTGATGTCTTATGTCTCCCTAGAATGTATAAAACCAAACTGTGCTCTCACAACTTTGGGCACATGTCATCAGAACCTCCTGAGGCTTTGTTATAGGCATGCGTTGTCAACCTTAGCAAAATAAACTTTCTAAATTAACTGAGACCTGTCGCAGATTTTCAGGGTTCACAAGAAAAACTCTTGCAAAGAACTTTTGTAGCTAACTGCTTTGCAGGCAGTTGGCTTGGCCCATGGTATGAATAACCCACTTGCTTCCCATGTCTTTTTTCTTTGGCTACAGAAGTAGAGGTGCTGCTGGTACTTGAGAGTGACTGCCACCACAGAGGCAGCAGCTAAAAGTGTAGGTACAATCACTTCTAAAAGTGATTTGGCAACACAATCTAATGTTAATAACCAAACATGGTTTAGCAAAACCAATATGCAAAACTAGAAGCAATCCAAATGTCTACTCATCAGGAGAGTTGATAAAGTGTAGTGTATATACTACAAAGTGATACCATACAGCAATGAAAGAGAAGCATACTGTTGGTATATGTATCGTGTATTGATGGATGAATCCTGCAAGCATCAAGTTGAGTAGATGAAGCCAAACACAAGAGAGTATATCCTTTATTATTGCATTTAATTAAAGGTCAGAAATAGGTAAAATTAATCTTTATTTCAATTTGTTTTTCACTTTTAAAAACACTCACTGTTGTCTAATGTATTAGTATTCTATCCAATGGTACTAAAATGTTAAGCAGCTATTTTATGTGTGTTTGTAAAACGAAAGTGATCATCTGACCTAAAAAGGTGTTACAAATTTAACTTAATCTGCAGTTCTCTCAATATCAGCACAGCTAGAATGTTCTCTGTAATTTTCATTTTTTAAGTGTGATGTAAGCAGATATAAAAATATTTATTATTTCATAAAATAAATAGACACTTTTAAGTATTTTTGAAAACATTTTAAAACAGATATCAAATTTAAAAATAGAATCATTAAGGAGTGTACATCTGTCTTAGTGGTCAAAATGGCTTGTCTATTATAAGGTATTTGTTATCCAAACACAAAGATCATTTAATTATATTTCTACAAATTTAAAAAGCATATTATGAAGACTTTTGGAAAACTTATTTTCACTATTTAAATAACATTCACCCTTGATTTCAAATGGCAACAATGCTTAGCAGACAAGCAAAATAAAATAGTTCTGCTTATAAAATGATGACAAGAGAAAAAATATTAATTTATAAGGAAATAAATTATTTAGACATTTTAAAACAGTCTCAAAGATTTCTAGGTTGTGATCTTGTGGTAGTTTTCTTACTCCTTAGTTTGGCTAGATCCAAGTACTTGTCCCATGAGCAAGAAAAATAAGGCACATAGACACCGGAGAGTAAGTAAGGCAGAGTAGTTAAATGACAGAAAAGCTCTCAACAACCAGAGGGGACCCAATAGTGGGTTGCCAGAAATGGGGCTGAGCTCTGGGACTTCTATGTGACAAAAACAAGGAAGTCATCTGTGGGTTCTGCCCTAATGAGAGGGGTATAGTTCCCCCTTGGGGATGTTGCATCTGAGCATGTCTGGGGTTGGCCATAGGGACTCCATCTTGGTTATTATCCATGAGTGCCTAAGTGAAACCCACAGAGGTGGCAGGCAAAACTGTGGTGAACCAAATACTAATGATATTGCAATTAGCTCTGGATCAAGTTAAGGATATTTAGTTGATTTATTGTGCCTGTACTGAAGTTGGAACAGTCCCTTCTAAGCAAACATCCTGGCATAAGAGGAAGTTCTTAACTACATTTCCTCCCACTAGCTACCTAACAGGAATGGTGCAGGTGTGGTTCCATGGGTGTTTTTTCTCTTCCAAGGCCCTCCATTTCTATCTTCTTAGTTGGACTCTAAATGCCTCCTCTATCAAACTCAAAGATTCCATTTCTTTAGAACAATCTCATGTAGCAGTATGCTTTTACTTAAATGTTCTCAATTGAGTATTGTTTCTTTCATATTTATTAACTTCATTCAGAATTTTTTCTCATTACTTTGAAGAGCTTTCAGTTACATTTAAAAAATTACCGAAGGAATTTTCACCATTTTCACCATACAAGCATAACAAAAAAAATTTATAAAAGCTTACATGTGTATTCCAAAAAAACATACTCAATATTAAATAGTTTTGCAAACAATGGATTATCTATACTCATAAATAGCACCTTAAACATTGACTATAACTAATTGCTATTGATGTTTCTGAAATATTTTCTTAAAGATGTCTCCCAAAATTGTTTAGAATTTCTTAAAATCTGCTATTATTTCATTAGATAATTTTGCTTTTTCTATTCCTGAAAGGAGATGGGAGGCAGTAGATATTGAAATTTGTAGTCTCTTTTATAGTAAATCTTCTAAGAAAGTTGTTAAAGTATGAAATAGTGATTATATACTTCTTAAACCTTTCACATTTACAATACTATGATAGACTGATAAAGCGTTTTACTTTAGAGAAACTATCAAATATCAAGCTTATACAGCATTAATTTTGCAAAATTATATGCTCTCAATAATGAATTGTTGAAAGGTTACAATGTGCAAGGCAGTGTGTTAACACTAAAAGTAAAAAGCATAATGAGACATATTTAATGATCCTTAGGAACTTTCAATCTCATGGAAGGTACAGATGTATTAAAAAGTTATTATAATGTAGTCTTATAAAATCAATCCTGTAGAATGTTAAGAAAGGTAATGACACATAATATAATATGGAGTCAGAAAGTCTTCCTGGGAAAGAGAGCATACAAACAGAGATTTAAAAGGAAAGTAGGGTCTACGTAGGCAAATCACACAGACAATTGTAAGTAATTTTTAGCTGTGAGACAGAATAAGAAAAGATGCAGTGGCAACAAATTGATAGTATGTTGTGTAAAATATATAATTTGAGTTATTTCTGAAATTTAAACTAAAAACCAGGAAGTAGCAAGAGATTATACTGGAGCGATAGGTAGAAATCAAATCATGAAAGCTTTATGTTTCATATATAATATTTTGACTTTAATCTTGTAGACAATTCAGAGGCATTGAGTGTTTTACTAAACAATAGAAAAGATATAATCAGATTTAAATATTAAATGGATTGCTTTGATTGCTGAATAGATTGATTTGAGGAAAGTATTGCAGAATTAAGACACTTCTTAGGAAGCAGTTGAATTTGTCCAGATGGATGGAAACCTGATCTACAGTAGTAATTTGGCTGATAGAACACAGAGAATGCAATTAAAAAATAATTACAAAATGAACTTGTAGTGTTTTTTATTATTAGATTGTGGAAAGAAATTATCAAACTTTTAAACTTGATATCTGAAATGGCTTTGCAATATTTTTAGTTAAGAACATTATTATAGGCCGGGCACAGTGGCTCACGCTTGTAATCCCAGCACTTTGGGAGGCCGAGGCGGGCAGATCACAAGGTCAGGAGATCGAGACCATCCTGGCTAACATGGTGAAACCCCATCTCTACTAAAAATACAACAAATTAGCCGGGCGTGGGGGCAGGTGCCTGTAGTCCCAGCTACTTGGGAGGCTGAGGCAGGAGAATGGTGTGAACCTGGGAGGCAGAGCTTGCAGTGAGCCAAGATTGCACCACTGCACTCCAGCCTGGGCGACAGAGCAAGACTCCATCTCAAAAAAAAAAAAAAAAACAAAGAACATTATTATAAATTATGCTGTGAAGATAGAATGTAATCACCAATTCATTTGTCAAGACTTAAAATAATCAAAGTTCTAAAGACACTTTAGAGTCATTCTGAAATATTTTTCCATTACATTTTTCTGAAATCTGCTTGGGCATTGGGATGGTTATAATTCAACTATGTGAATGAAATAACTGACATAAGGCATATCGACAAATACATTTATAATAAATGTGTCAAAGTGGAGTGCCAATATATGCATGTATTCGTAAACCAAATTGCATTCATTTGCTCACTTATTAACAATTATTGATTAAATACTTAATGTAAGCAAGACATGTAAGTATTGTGCAGAACTTTGTGTTCTCAGATATGTTAAAATCTATATGAATCTATAAGAATATAAAATCAATACAAATATAAAAAGCAAATTTACCAATTAGGCTCATGAGATCAGTTTCACAGAGATGATTCTAAAACTATTTGCCGGCCAGGCGTGGTGGCTGACGCCTGTAATCTCAGCACTTTGGGAGGCCCAGGCAGGTGGATCACGAGGTCAGGAGATCGAGACCATCCTGGCTAACATGGTGAAACCCCGTCTCTACTAAAAATACAATAAATTAGCCAAGCATGGTGGCGGGCACCTGTAGTCCCAGCTACTCGGGAGGCTGAGGCAGGAGAATGGCATGAACCCGGGAGGCGGAGCTTGCAGTGAGTAGAGATGGCGGTGCCACTTCACTCCAGCCTGGGCAACGAGCGAGACTCCGTCTCAAAAAAAAAAAAAGAAAGAAAAAAAACTATTTGCTTATATTTTTACCTTTTCTACATTTTGTGGATTATGTCAGGTAAACACAGTCAATTTTATGCTGTATTTGAGCCAGCCATATGTTTATTTGATTTTTTTCACTTTAATCTGTTTTATTAAGATTCATAAGGGATTATTTAAAGAATTTATTGTAAATAACTTTTAAATGTATAATGCATATTTTGAAGCTATATTTAAATTTGTTAAGTGTAAATTTAAAATTATTCAATATTTCAATTATACTAACACTTTTCTGATTATAAAATGTCTCTATCTCTAGTAATGATTTTAACTCATATTTAATTTTGTTACATTATTAAGGTTATGGAATGTTATTTCCTTTACATTGACATGAAACATGAATATTAAAATTTTTTCACTTCCAACATTTCTTTGTCCTTATATTTTACATATCTCTCTTTTATGTAGCCTGCAGACAGACACTTTCCCCACAATTAAATGTGAGAAGCATAGTCTTTTTATTGTAGCATTTGGTTTACATCTCATCTAATCACTGATGTTATTTAACATTTATAATTCCACTTTTTACTTTAGATGACATCTGGAGTAGAAGTAGGTTGTGTAAAAGCAACCAATAATTAAAATGAGTAAACGATGATTCTTTGTGAGTTTTAGTTTACTCTTGTATCTTACTTTGAGTAGCCCCAGAAGCAGAACCTGAGACATTGTTGTAAGTACAAGTAATAAATTTTTTTAGGGTGGTGATTCCAGGAAATATGAGTAGGGTGATGGCATTGTGAGAGTGGTAAAGAAAATCTATGGAATATAATTTTGACAAAACCTAAATAACCCTGCCAGTCTCTGAATTTCTTGTTTATTGGGAAGATTATATGAGATAATTCCTTATTTTCCACAGTTTGAAGAATGTCTCTGATAAAAATTTATCCATGTAATTACCAGTTTTCACAGATTGAGCAGAAAAATGAATTTTAGCTACATTTGCCAGTCACCTTCTATTTGTTTATTATGATTTCAGTGTACATTCACACAAAATTGTGGCATGGAAACATATAGTCTACTGTAATACTACACAAAAGTTTCAGCTTGCTAGAATAATATTCCAATAATGTTAAGTAGATATTAGATTCAATAACCAAGAGCAAATGAGTACATCGCACAGATGATAAACTACTTCCTTAGAGGAGGAAAGTCAAGAGGAGTTAACTATATTGACACATATGCCTGGCTAGACTCCAAAATTGGAATGAAAAAGAAATTGGCCAGGTATACAATAGCATACCAATCTCTTTGACCTGTTAAACTTCCATGTCATGTATCTGATGCAATTAGAGGAGCCACCATGTTTAATCCTCAGGTGTCCATTGGCAACCTTTAGGAACCTCTGTTTAATACACTGGCCATGTAGAACAATTTTAAAAATGAAGTCAATTAACCTACTTTTATCATTTCCATAATCAAAGCAGTGATTTTTTTGGTAACCTTTTAAGATTACTGTATGTATAGTTGACTCCCTGGGAGTGAATGGTTAAGTCCACATTTAGCATAGTCAATTAAAATTGAGCAAAAGCAAGATTTAATCAATTTGCCTGGAATAGGGCAAAAGCAATCTTAAAAATGTCATAGAACACACAAGTCCACTTTACCTAAACCATTGCAAAAAAGACCAAGATCCCCAATAAGAGGTGAAGGTTGGAGAATGACTGAAGTGAGATTTTAGACTCTCGGTCAATATTTTTCACATTTTAAGCTTCAATAGAGATGGCAATTCCAGTTCCCTGTTCAAGTACTTTTGTTGTTACTATTCTAAATCTTGATCCTTGAAATTAAAACTAAAGGCATCCAGATTAGAGCAGATAAAATACATTTGTTCCTGGCTATAAAAAGTGGTTATATGGGCCAGGTGTAGTGGCTCACACCTGTAATCCCAGCACATTGGGAGGCCAAGGTGGGCAGATTGCCTGAGGTCAGGAGTTCGAGGCCAGCCTGGCCAACATGATAAAAACCCGTCTTTATTAAAAATACAAAAATTAGCCAGGCGTGGTGGCAGGCGCCTGTAGTCCCAGCTACTTGGGAGGCTGAGGCAGGAGAATTGCTTGAACCCGGGAGGTGGAGGTTACAGTGAGTCAAGATTGCACCACTGCACTCCAGCCTGAGCTACAGAGCAGACTCTGTCTAAAAAAAAAAAAAAAAAAAAAAAAAAGAAAGAAAGAAAAAGAAAGTGGTTATGTGCCAGAGTGTATTCTTCTTGGAGCAATAGTTCAGTATTCACTAGCTCATTGTTGGTGGTGACTTCATGGAAACTCTCTTTATTAACAAGAATTGACTGTACTTGGCAAAAAAAGCTTAGTCCAGTTAAATAATTATTCAGCTTCTTACAATGCTTTTAAAACTTTAGTTTTGCTAAAAATGACCAGGGGAATTTATTGGTATCATAGTTTCTCAGGACCCATTCTCAGATAATTTGATTTGATAGAACTAAGATGGAAATAAGAATCTATGTTTTGCTGACATAATGAGTAATTCAGGTGCAGGCAATCTACTCTTTGAGAAACACTACGTGACAATGGAAATGCCGCTATTCTCAATTTACTAAGGATATTTTTTATTTGTTATAAATCAAACCTGTTGAAACTACCAGTTAGATCAACATTTTGAAGCACCAATATTTCAAAAATATTCCTGAGTCACTCAGTCTACTTAGTCACAGTAAGACACAGATTTTCTCTCCCTAAATTCCATAGTCTTTTTGAAAAAATTTCAATAGTTTTTTGGGGAACATGTGCTGTATTGTTAGATGGATAAGTTCTTTAGTGGTGATTTCTAAGATTTTGGTGAGCCCATCACCCAAGCAGTGTATACTGTACACAATGTGTAGTCTTTTGTCCCTCAGCCCCCTCCCACCATTTACCTCAAGTCCCCAAAGACCACTGTATCATTCTTATGCCTTTGCATTCTCATAGCTTAGCTCCCATTACAAAAGAGAATATACAATATTTGGTTTTCCATTCCTGAGTTACTTTACACAGAATAATGGTCTCCGACTCCATCCAGGTTGCTGTGAATGCCATTATTTCAGTCCTCCTTATGGCTGAGTAGTATTCCATGGCATATAAATACCACATTTTCTTTATCCACTCATTGACTGATGGGCATTTGGGCTGGTTTTATATTTTTGCAATTGCAAATTGTGCTGCTATAAACATGCCCGTGAAAGTGTCTTTTTCATATAATGACTTCTTTTCCTCTAGGTAGATACCCAGTAGTGAAGTTGCTGGATTTTATGGTATATCTACATTTAGTTCTTTAAGGAATCTCCATGTTGTTTTCCATAGTGGTTGTAATAGTTTACATTACCACCAGCAATGTAAAAGCGTTCCCTTTTCAATATCACTAATTATCAGGGAAATGCAAACCGCAATGTGATACCATATTACTCCCACAAGAATGGCCACAATTTTAAAATAAAAAAAATAGTATTTTAAAAGACTGTAGTAACATACTGATCTCCTTTTCAAAAGCTGTGGTTGAAACGGATTAATTGCTCCTAACATGTTTGAAATGGTTATGGAAAGGGGATATGTTGATCAAAGGATACAAGTTTTAGTTAGACTGGAGGAATAGGTTTTAGTGATCTTTTGCACTTCATCATGACACAGTTAATAATGTAGTATGTATTTCAAAACTGCTGAATTAATAGATTTTTAATGTTCTCACCACACACAAAAAAATGTTAAATTGGTAAGGTGGTGGATGTGTTAATTAGCTTAATTTAATCTTTTTCTAATGTATACATAGATCAAAACATCACATTGTGCCCCATAAATATATATAACTATTATTTGTCAAATAAAAATAAATAAGCTTATTTTTAAAAATAAGTCTGGTAATTATTCAGCCATATCATTTTCTGAATTATTCCTTTTATGTAGGTAGCAACCTGACCAAGGATTGGTTTCAAGGCTGTGTATTAATTTCTCTGAATCAAAAGTAGAGAGACTTGTAAATTTAAATTGATATATGAATATATAAATAATATTATATATAAATTATTGGCTTTCTTATTTAGGTGATATTCATATGCAACTAAAGTTCCAATTATGGTTGAACAGTTTTATAGGATTAAAACAGTTTTATAAATTAACACAGCTTTATAGATGCTAATGTAAAGATGTTTAAAATGATACAGTTTTTTCTAAATGTTTTTATTGTTAGCTATATTTTTATGGATGAAATAAAATTAGTATGTTAATGTCAGCATCAATTAAAATACTTGGTTTTTATATATCTTTTTATTTAATGTAAGCATTCAGTTGGAGGTTAGTGCTCAATGTCATAATGTACACATGCTGGGATTTCAGTGATAGAATAAAATTGTGACTGTTTTGCTATATATATTTATATATGCTATATATATTATAGCATAATATTTTGATTGATTATCTAGGTTAGGGAGTAATTTAGTATTTTCCTTTGTCATGCATTTTGGATACAACTCGTTCACATTTGCTGATCACATTTCTGCAAGGACTTTCAACCATCTGTGCTCTGTAGTTGCTCAAAATGTTAAACCCAAAGGGAAATAAATGACAATAATCATTAACATGAAGCAACAATAAAGGATCTAAATTTGCAAGCTCAGGCTTTGCCTACAGTTTATGATTAATGAAGGCAAACACATACTGAAAGCTGATTATGTGTTTCATTTTATGTGACGCCTAAGGGGCTGTAGCTTAAGAGAAACAGTATTGGAATCCCTCAAATCTCAGTACAAGTTCAATTTGTTTTCCCACTCGCATTGATTTTTAGATAGTCCTCAGTAAACTGAATCAGCAATAACTCTTGCACTACAGTGTATGTTAAGCAATTTGAATATTTTCTGAGAAATGTGTCTATAGATGATTTCATTATTGTGCAAATGTCATAGAGTGTACTTACACAAAACACCTAGGCTATAGGGTATAGCCTATTGCTCTTAGGCTACAGGCCTGTACAGCATGTTACTGTACTGAATACTGTAGGCAACTGCAAATGCAAATGTAATGCAAAACATAATGTAAGTATTTGTGTATCTAAACATATATAAATATAGAAAAGGTATAGTAAAAATACACTATTATAATCTTATGGGGCTACTCTCATATATGTGATTTATCACTGACTGAAACATCATTATGTGGTGATACATATATATCACCTGGCTGGGTTGTGTTGTAATTTAACAATAGTTATTGATCTGTTGGCCAGTAGGGGTATAGGGCATAGATCCTAAACAGGCACACGTTCTCTTGCAAGACAGAGAACTCTGTATCAATTTTAAGCTAGGAAGAAAACACTGGCGTTTTAGGACAGAAATGAGTCACTTAGGAGGATTCATAGGATTAAGGAAAATATGAGAATTCAGGGTTGTTGAGTGCATGATTCCTGAATGCCCACACCCCAAATCTCAGGGATTTATTATTTCCAATCAGGGAAGGCATACTTGGCGTAGACTGCTGGGGATGATAAATTCACAACCTTCATTGGAGCATTGCTATAATTATAATGTGCCACAGGTCTTAGTGATTTCTAGCCTTTATCTAAATAAGATAAGAGTGCCTTTTGTACTGGCTTTGAGATTACCTGGTTTTCACATTTTGATTTAACTTGGTAATTAGTCATTCTTAGATATGCACCACTTTTCTTTAGTACATTAGCAACGTCTAACAATAGTCCTTATATTCATTTTTGAATAATAATTACTGTTGTTCTGAAACTCTCAGAAGTCTGAGATACCACACTTACCAGTGCATTTCCTTCAACCAGTATACCATACCAACCAGTTTATCACTGGTGAAAGTATTAACAGTTTCACCGTCAGTTTGAACCATGGTCTGTTTGTGCTTCACCTTTAACCAGTGAGTGATTGAGTCCTCACTGCAATTGATGATGCCTATGGCAATGTACTATGCCAAGTACCAGACACAAAAGATATACTTGGAAATATAAATAAGGTACATAATCTGAAGCATAGCACTCCTGGGGTTCAGGGCCCCAACAGGCAGTACTGCCTGCCCAGGTCTATGAGTGGTAACATATTCAGCTTTAGCCACACAAATACTTCCTCTTAATGTGTATTCCAATTTATATTCCTACCAGCAGTATTCAAACTGCTCAAAATACTTGCCAGCCTCTTTTTCATTTCAGGTATTATTTTAGATTTATAATAATATCAATTTTTAGTTCTGCTTTTTATTTTTCTAATGGCTAATAGTTTCACATGTTTTTCAAAAATTTTAACAATTTAAATGCCCTTTTGGGGAAACACTCAATTTTCTATTGAATTATTATTATTATTACTATTATTTTTTTGAGATTAAGTCTCACTCTTGTCCCCCAGGCTGGAGTGCAATGGCGTGATCTCGGCTCACTGTAACCTCCGCCTCCCAGATTCAAGCAATTCTCCTGCCTCAGCCTCTCAAGTAGCTGGGACTACAGGTGCCCAACCACACCTAGTTAATTTTTTGTATTTTTAGTAGAAACGGGGTTTCACCATGTTAGCCAGGATGGTCTCGATCTCCTGACCTCGTGATCTGCCCGCCTCAGCCTCCCAGGTGCTGGGATTACAGGCGTGAGCCACCACGCCCGGCCCCTTATTATTAATTTTTAGGAGTTTTATATTCCAGATGTAAATTTGAGTAAAATTACTTAATTCTAATGTATCCATTTTATATTTTCTTGAACTTTATCAATTGCATTTTTATATCTGATTGTAATATCATTGTCTATCCCAAATAATCAAGCTATATTACATATTTTTTCCCAAAAGCTTTATTGTTTTACCTTTCACCTTTGGGTCAACTGTATATCATTTCATTGTTTTCTGGCTTTCACTGCTTATTTTGAGAAAATAAAATTCCTGTTGTTCTTCCTCTGATGTTAAACTGCGAAGCCATATTGCTCTACACTTTAGGGTAATGTTAAGATACGCTTAGCATCGTAGTTCTTATAATTATCTCTTTTAGAATCTGTGTAGCTTTAGAATTTTTGTAATGTTTATAATGTTCTTTCTCAGTTCGGGAGTTTGGGTGTATTTTTAATCCTATTCTTTTTTAATATTGCTTCTAAAATCTCACAAGATTTTAAGAATATTTTATATAATTCTTTTTTTTTTCTTCAGGAGGTAAATTTTATGAAAAAAAAACTTTCTTCTCTCTCAAATACTATACTTTGAACTGTTCTTTTTTACAATTCTTTTTTCTCCTGAATGTCTTGTTATAATAATCCAACATAGGTCCAAGATTAATGTATGAGTGAATCACAGATATTAAGAAGCCATTGAATATTTTCAGCAGTGGAATCACATTCCCAGATGTACATCTTAAAAAGAATACTTTTTCTGTAATATTAAGAAAAAATAAACGTATATTAAGTACTAAAATCAGGAAAGACATTTAAATGTTTCCCACTAGTCAGATAAGTGATGAGAGTGATCAGAAGAGGAACCAGATGGGGAAAAATATTATGAACTGAAATGTTAATCCGAATTCAAAATAATTCTTTATTATTTGTGATGAGAATATAGTCAATCTATTTCATACTAAGATTAAGATGTGTCTAGGGTAAGTTCTTAAAATCCAAACTATTTCCAGTGAAATTATTACCATAACAATACAGAGGAGACAATTATTCTTACAAGTATTTCTTGCAGCAGCACACTGATTTGCCTGTTATGAGTTTCCACATTTAAACAGTATTGGTAATGTGAGAATATTATATACTCCACTTTATTTTAAACAGAGTAGTGCCAAATTGGTGTTCTTTCTGTCAAAATAGTGCAGATTATAACCAAAAGAAATAAACAAAAGAAAATAGAATAAATAACACATTCCCCAGGCACTAAGCAGTAAGCTGAAAGAGGAAAGTCTGTTTTCAGTGTATCATGACAGACCACAGCAGGCTTCTTCGTGGGAAATGCTACAAGGCATATTTCAATTGAAGAAATGAGCTTTAATAGGAATTCAATTTTACACATAAATGTATACTGTGTGATAATCTCAAGTCTATTCAACAGCTGGATCTCAGGATTAGAATGAAGATGACAGAAGCATAGAGAATTATGTTCCTACAGAGTGAGAAAAATCCCATTAACTTTTAATGACCTATTTTTGTTAGGCTTTTAGTTTAAAACTATGACATAACCTACTGGTTATTGTGTATTATTTTATGAGTTAGACTCAGAGTGTACAAAATAAGTTGCACATATTTTCTTAATAATAGTCATTTTAATTTAGGGAGTCAGTCAAAGGCCAAGGTAGGTGTTTAGAGACTATTTTAGAAGTGGCACAGAGAAACCTAAGGGATAACTTATGCAAAACAGGAAAGTTTTGAATGCCATCAAAATTCATAGTAGTATACATCTAGAAATTAAATCTCAGTGCTGTGGTAGTTCCTGTACCACTCAATACTTCCTTGGTTCATCTATCTGCACAGCTGTCATCTTACAACAACAACAAAGCCTTTTATGACCAGCTAATGGTTTATGTTATTAGTTTAATTATTGTCTGGCCACTTAGAGACTCAACTTATTGGAAAGAAAATGGTGATTACCACAACTGAAAACTCCCTCGTCTCACATTTTATTCAGGACACTACCTCATAGATTTATTACTTTGATGTTTTATAGAAAGGAAAGTTTAAACATTTTATTATTGAATTTTGTGTTATATACAATAACGCTTAAATATTTCTTTTGCAAGTTTTTAAATAGTGAGTCTCATAAATTTTCTCCACTTGATTACTTATCTGCATTAGATCATGTTACAATAAAAAAAAACAGTACTAACTGTGTTGCAGATACTGTGCTAAATATTTGATATGTGTATGTTTATATAAGACTTGGCTCATTCCTTAATAGGAGAGGGAGGCAGAGCAAGATGGCTGAATAGAACTCTGCTGCAATCATCCTCCCACAGAGACATCGAACTGAACAACTATGTACACAAGAAAGGACCTTCAGTAATAACCAAAAAAAATCAGACAAGCCATCACAGTACCTGATGTTAACATAATATCAAAGACAGAAGCATCAAAGAGGGCAGAAAACAATCTTGTAATGCCTACACCATCCTTCTCTCATCCCATATCAGCACCGTGGAGAAAAGCTTGTGCTCTTTGGGGAGGAAGAGTTGAGTGTGTGTCTATGCAATGTAACTCAGTGCTGACCTGTCATGGCGAAACAAAACATAGGGTAGAATTTTGTTGCAGCTCACAGAGGCAGCATTTAGACCAGCCCAGGGCCAGAGAGGAACTTTTCTCAGCCCCAGCTCATTAAACATAAGTCCTGGCTGGCTCCACCACTGGTGAACTAACATGGCCTATGGCCAAGAATAAATTTGGATGGTAGTCAGATCACAAGGACTGCAGTCCTTGGGCAAGCCTTGGTGCTGTGCTGGTCTCAGAAGCAGTGGCATTGGGGTGCACATTACAGTGCAACACTGCCTGTGGTGGCCAAGGTAGTATCTACTTCACCTGTCTACCAACTCCAGGAAGTAGAGGTCAAAGAGAGACTCTTTCTATTTGGGGAAAGGAGAGGGAAGAGTACAGAGAACTTTGTCCTTCAACTTAAGTACCAGGTCAATGACAGTAAAATAAAGCACCAAGTAGATTCCTAAAGTTTCCAATTCCAGGTCTTCCGCATAGCATTTCTACCCCCATCCTGGGCCAGAATGGAATGTGCTGCCAGGAAGGGAAGAACCCATTACAACAAGAATCACCACCTGCTGACTCACAGCCCTTGGGTCTTGAATAAACATCAGTGGTAGCCAGGTATTAGTCACCACAGGTCTTGTGCAAAATCTCAGGAATGACCCAGTGCCATGCCAGCTGTGGTGGCCACAAGACTGCCCATGTCACCCCTCTCCCAACTCCAGGCAGCACAGAATGTGGAGATTCTTATGCCGATTTGTGGGGGAAGAGTGGGAAGAGGGCAAGATACTTTGTCTGATAACTAAGTAAATTCTCTCTTATTTTACCCAGCCCTACTAAAGTGGTGCCTGTAGGAGTTGGCAAGAATTAGAGCATTCTTGGGCTTAGGGCACCCTTTAGTGCTGATATGGATGCAGTGACCACAGGTTTAGATCGCAACATTGAGTCTACTCTGAATACATAAAAAACCTGCTAAAGAAAGATGCCCAGACAAACAACCCCAGACAGCAAAGACTGGAATAAATACCTAACTCTTCAATGCCCAGACATCAACAAATGTTCACAGTCATCATGCATATCCAGGAAAACACAACCTCACCAAACTAAATAAGGTGTAAATGGAATGACTAAGAAATGTGATCTTTCAGAGAATTCAAAATAGTGGCCTTGAGCAAACTAAGTGAACTTCAAGATACCCAGAGGAGAAATTCTAAATTCTGTCATAGAAATTTAACATTAAGATTGAAACAGTTTTTTAAAATCAAGCTGAAATTCTGGAGCTGAAAAATTTAACTGGCAAATTGAAAATATGCATGAGTCTCTCAACAACAGAACCAATCAAGAAGAAGAAAAAAATAGTGAGTTTGAAGACAAGCTATATGAAAATGCAATCAGAAGAAAAAAAAATAAAGAAAAATAGAAAAAAAGTAAAACATACCTACAAGATCTAGAAAATAGCCTCAAAAAGGCAATTCTAAGAGTTATCGGCCATAAAGAAGACATAGAGAGAGTGATCTGAGTAGAAAGTTAATGCAAAGGAATAATAACAGTAATTTCCAAGCCTAGAGGAAGATATGAATAACCAGATACAAAAAGGTCATAGAACTCTAAGAAGATTCAACCCTAATAAGACTGGCTCAAGGCATACATTAGTTAAACTGTAAAGGTTAGAAATAAAGAAAGGGTCCTAAAAGCAGTAAGAGGAAAGAAGCAAATCACAAATAAAGGGGCTCCAATATGCCCGGCAACAGACTTCTCAAGAGAAACGTTTTAGGACAGAAGAGAGTAGGATAAAATATTCAGTGCTGAAGGAAAAGTACTGTCAACCTAGAATAACATATCCAGGAAAATTATCCTTCAAACATGAAAGAGAAATATTTTTCCTGACAAACAAAAGCTAAGGGATTTTTTTCAGCACAAGACCTGTCGTACGAGATATGCTAAAGGAAATTTTTCAGTTTGAAAGGAAAGGACACTAATGAACAACCAGAAATCACCTGCTAACGGTAAATACATAAATACAGAATTGCCAAGGCCAGCTTGGTCTTGGAGACCCTAACCCAACGGCACTAGAGGAATTAAAGACACACACACAGAAATATAGAGTGTGGAGTGGGAAATCAGGGGACTCACAGCCTTCAGAGCTAAGAGCCTGGAACAGAGTTTTACCCACATATTTATTGACAGCAAGCCAGTGATAAGCATTGTTTCTGTAGATTATAGATTAACTAAAAGTATTCCTTATGGGAAACAAAGGGATGGGCCAAAACAAAGGGATGTGCTCTGGCTAGTTATCTGCAGCAGGAACATGTCCTTAAGGCACAGATTGCTCATGCTATGGTTTGTGGTTTAGGAACCTTTAAGCAATTTTCCGCCCTGGGTGTGCCAGGTATTCCTTGACCTCATTCCGGTAAACCTACAACCTTCAGCGTGGGCGTCATGGCCATCACGAACATGTCACAGTGCTGCAGAGATTTTCTTTATGGCCAGTTTTGGGGCCAGTTTATGGCCAGATCTGGGGGCCTGTTCTCAACAGAGAATAGTGTGACACTGTAATTGCAATCTGGAAACCACTCATATCTTTAGTATAAGAAAGAAAGACAAACCTATCAAAAACAATAGCTACAACAATTTTTAAGAGATGGTTTAAAAAGATCTGAATAAAGACAACAGAAAGTAGAAAAGTTAGAGGATTGAAGTTAAAGTGTAGAGTTTTTATTTTTTATTATACTTTAAGTTCTAGGGTACATGTGCACAATGTGCAGATTTGTTACATATGTATACATGTGCCTTGTTGGTGTGCTGCACCCATTAACTCGTCATTTACATTAGGTATTTCTCCTTTTTTTAATTTAATTTTATTTATTTATTTTTTTATTATACTTTAAGTTTTAGGGTACATGTGCACATTGTGCAGGTTAGTTACATATGTATACATGTGCCATGCTGGTGCGCTGCACCCACTAACTCATCATCTAGCATTAGGTATATCTCCCAATGCTATCCCTCCCCGCTCCCCCCACCCCAAAACAGTCCCTAGAGTGTGATATTCCCCTTCCTGTGTCCATGTGATCTCATTGTTCAATTCCCACCTACGAGTGAGAATATGCGGTGTTTGGTTTTTTGTTCTTGCGATAGTTTACTGAGAATGATGATTTCCAATTTCATCCATGTCCCTACAAATGACATGAACTCATCATTTTTTATGGCTGCATAGTATTCCATGGTGTATATGTGCCACATTTTCTTAATCCAGTCTATCATTGTTGGACATTTGGGTTGGTTCCAAGACTTTGCTATTGTGAATAATGCCGCAATAAACATACGTGTGCATGTGTCTTTATAGCAGCATGATTTATAATCCTTTGGGTATATACCCAGTAATGGGATGGCTGGGTCAAATGGTATTTCTAGTTCTAGATCCCTGAGGAATCGCCACACTGACTTCCACAATGGTTGAACTAGTTTACAGTCCCACCAACAGTGTAAAAGTGTTCCTATTTCTCCACATCCTCTCCAGCACCTGTTGTTTCCTGAATTTTTAATGATTGCCATTCTAACTGGTGTGAGATGGTATCTCATTGTGGTTTTGATTTGCATTTCTCTGATGGCCAGTGATGGTGAGCATTTTTTCATGTGTTTTTTGGCTGCATAAATGTCTTCTTTTGAGAAGTGTCTGTTCATGTCCTTTGCCCACTTTTTGATGGGGTTGTTTGTTTTTCTCTTGTAAATTTGTTAGAGTTCATTGTAGATTCTGAATATTAGCCCTTTGTCAGATGAGTAGGTTGCGAAAATTTTCTCCCATTTTGTAGGTTGCCTGTTCACTCTGATGGCAGTTTCTTTTGCTGTGCAGAAGCTCTTTAGTTTAATTAGATCCCATTTGTCAATTTGTCTTTTGTTGCCATTGCTTTTGGTGTTTTAGACATGAAGTCCTTGCCCATGCCTATGTCCTGAATGGTAATGCCTAGATTTTCTTCTAGAGTTTTTATGGTTTTAGGTCTAATGTTTAAGTCTTTAATCCATCTTGAATTGATTTTTGTATAAGCTGTAAGGAAGGGATCCAGTTTCAGCTTTCTACATATGGCTAGCCAGTTTTCCCAGCACCATTTATTAAATAGGGAATCCTTTCCCCATTGCTTGTTTCTCTCAGGTTTGTCAAAGATCAGATAGTTGTAGATATGTGGCGTTATTTCTGAGGGCTCTGTTCTGTTCCATTGATCTATATCTCTGTTTTGGTACCAGTACCATGCTGTTTTGGTTACTGTAGCCTTGTAGTATAGTTTGAAGGCAGGCAGTGTGATGCCTCCAGCTTTGTTCTTTTGGCTTAGGATTGACTTGGTGATGTGGGCTCTTTTTTGGTTCCATATGAACTTTAAAGTAGTTTTTTCCAATTCTGTGAAGAAAGTCTTTGGTAGCTTGATGGGAATGGCATTGAATCTGTAAATTCCCTTGGGCAGTATGGCCATTTTCACGATATTGATTCTTCCTACCCATGAGCATGGAATGTTCTTCCATTTGTTTGTATCCTCTTTTATTTCCTTGAGCAGTGGTTTGTAGTTCTCCTTGAAGAGGTCCTTCACATTCCTTGTAAGTTGGATTCCTAGGTATTTTATTCTCTTTGAAGCAATTGTGAATGGGAGTTCACTCATGATTTGGCTCTCTGTTTGTCTGTTATTGGTGTATAAGAATGCTTGTGATTTTTGTACATTAATTTTGTATCCTGAGACTTTGCTGAAGTTGCTTATCAGCTTAAGGAGATTTTGGGCTGAGACAATGAGTTTTTCTAGATATACAATCATGTCATCAGCAAAGAGGGACAATTTGACTTCCTCTTTTCCTAATTGAATACCCTTTATTTCCTTCTCCTGCCTAATTGCCCTGGCCAGAACTTCCAACACTATATTGAATAGGAGTGGTGAGAGAGGGCATCCCTGTCTTGTGCCAGTTTTCAAAGGGAATGCTTCCAGTTTTTGCCCATTCAGTATGATATTGGCTGTGGGTTTGTCATAGATAGCTCTTATTATTTTGAAATACGTCCCAGCAGTACCTAATTTATTGAGAGTTTTTAGCATGAAGGGTTGTTGAATTTTGTCAAAGGCTTTTTCTGCATCTATTGAGATAATCATGTGGTTTTTGTCTTTGGCTCTGTTTATATGCTGGATTACATTTATTGATTTGCGTATATTGAACCAGCCTTGCATCCCAGAGATGAAGCCCACTTGATCATGGTGGATAAGCTTTTTGATGTGCTGCTGGATTCATTTTGCCAGTATTTTATTGAGGATTTTTGCTTCAATGTTCATCAAGGATATTGGTCTAAAATTCTCTTTTTTTGTTGTGTCTCTGCCTGGCTTTGGTATCAGAATGATGCTGGCTTCATAAAATGAGTTAGGGAGGATTCCCTCTTTTTCTATTGATTGGAATAGTTTCAGAAGGAATGGTACCAGTTCCTCCTTGTACCTCCGGTAGAATTCGGCTGTGAATCCATCTGGTCCTGGACTCTTTTTCGTTGGTAAGCTATTGATTATTGCCACAATTTCAGATCCTGTTACTGGTCTATTCAGAGATTCAAATTCTTCCTGGTTTAGTCTTGGGAGTGTGTATGTGTCGAGGAATTTATCCATTTCTTCTAGATTTTCTAGTTTATTTGCGTAGAGGTGTTTGTAGTATTCTCTGACGGTAGTTTGTATTTCTGTGGGATCGGTGGTGATATCCCCTTTATCATTTTTTATTGTGTCTATTTGATTCTTCTCTCTTTTTTTCTTTATTAGTCTTGCTAGTGGTCTATCAATTTTGTTGATCCTTTCAAAAAACCAGCTCCTGGATTCATTAATTTTTTGAAGGGTTTTTTGTGTCTCTATTTCCTTCAGTTCTGCTCTGATTTTAGTTATTTCTTGCCTTCTACTAGCTTTGGAATGTGTTTGCTCTTGCTTTTCTAGTTCTTTTAATTGTGATGTTAGGGTGTTGATTTTGGATCTTTCCTGCTTTCTCTTGTGGGCATTTAGTGCTAAGAATTTCCCTCTACACACTGCTTTGAATGTGTCCCAGAGATTCTGGCATGTTGCGTCTTTATTCTCATTGTTTTTAAAGAACATCTTTATTTCTGCCTTCATTTCGTTATGTACCCAGTAGTCATTCAGGAGCAGGTTGTTCAGTTTCCATGCAGTTGAGCGGATTTGAGTGAGTTTCTTAATCCTGAGTTCTAGTTTGATTGCACTGTGGTCTGAGAGATAGTTTGTTATAATTTCTGTTCTTTTACATTTGCTGAGGAGAGCTTTACTTCCAAGTATGTGGTCAATTTTGGAATAGGTGTGGTGTGGTGCTGAAAACAATGTATATTCTGTTGATTTGGGTTGGAGAGTTCTATAGATGTCTATTAGGTCCACTTGGTGCAGAGCTGAGTTCAATTCCTGGGTATCCTTGTTGACTTTCTGTCTCGTTAATCTGTCTAATGTTGACAGTGGGGTGTTAAAGTCTCCCATTATTAATGTGTGGGAGTCTAAGTCTCTTTGTAGGTCACTCAGGACTTGCATTATGAATCTGGGTGCTCCTGTGTTGGGTGCATATACATTTAGGATAGTTAGCTTTTCTTGTTGAATTGATCCCTTTACCATTATGTAATGGCCTTCTTTGTCTCTTTTGATCTTTGTTGGTTTAAAGTCTGTTTTATCAGAGATGTGGATTGCAACCCCTGCCTGTTTTTGTTTTCCATTGGCTTGGTAGATCTTCCTCCATCCTTTTATTTTGAGCCTATGTGTGTCTCTGCACGTGAGATGGGTTTCCGGAATATAGCACACTGATGGGTCTTGACTCTTTATCCAATTTGCCAGTCTGTGTCTTTTAATTGGAGCATTTAGTCCATTTACATTTAAAGTTAATATTGTTATGTGTGAATTTGATCCTGTCATTATGATGTTACCTGGTTATTTTGCTCATTAGTTGATGCAGTTTCTTCCTAGTCTTGATGGTCTTTACATTTTGGCATGATTTTGCAGCGGCTGGTACCGGTTGTTCCTTTCCATGTTTAGCTCTTCCTTCAGGAGCTCTTTTAGGGCGGGCCTGGTGGTGACAAAATCTCTCAGCATTTGCTTGTCTGTAAAGTATTTTATTTCTCCTTCACTTATGAAGCTTAGTTTGGCTGGATATGAAATTCTGGGTTGAAAATTCTTTTCTTTAAGAATGTTGAATATTGGCCCCCACTCTCTTCTGGCTTGTAGGCTTTCTGCCGAGAGATCCACTGTTAGTCTGATGGGCTTCCCTTTGAGGGTAACCCGACCTTTCTCTCTGGCTGCCCTTAACATTTTTTCCTTCATTTCAACTTTGGTGAATCTGACAATTACGTGTCTTGGAGTTGGTCTTCTCGAGGAGTATCTTTGTGGTGTTCTCTGTATTTCCCGAATCTGAACGTTGGCCTGCCTTCCTAGATTGGGGAAGTTCTCCTGGATAATATCCTGCAGAGTGTTTTCCAACTTGGTTCCATTCTCCCTATCACTTTCAGGTACACCAATCAGACGTAGATTTGGTCTTTTCACATAGTCCCATATTTCTTGGAGGCTTTGCTCATTTCTTTTTATTCTTTTTTCTCTAAACTTCCCTTATGGCTTCATTTCATTCATTTCATCTTCCATCGCTGATACCCTTTCTTCCAGTTGATCGCATCGGCTCCTGAGGCTTCTGCATTCTTCACGTAGGTCTCGAGCCTTGGTTTTCAGCTCCATCAGCTCCTTTAAGCACCTCTCTGTATTGGTTATTCTAGTTATACATTCTTCTAAATTTTTTTCAAAGTTTTCAACTTCTTTGCCTTTGGTTTGAATGTCCTCCCATAGCTCAGAGTAATTTGATCGTCTGTAGCCTTCTTCTCTCAGCTCGTCAAAGTCTTTCTCCATCCAGCTTTGTTCCGTTGCTGGTAAGGAACTGTGTTCCTTTGGAGGAGGAGAGGCGCTCTGCTTTTTAGAGTTTCCAGTTTTTCTGTTCTGTTTTTTCCCCATCTTTGTGGTTTTTATCTACTTTTGGTCTTTGATGATGGTGATGTACAGATGGGTTTTCGGTGTGGATGTCCTTTCTGTTTGTTAGTTTTCCTTCTAACAGACAGGACCCTCATCTGCAAGTCTGTTGGAATACCCTGACTTGTGAGATGTCAGTGTGCCCCTGCTGGGGGGTGCCTCCCAGTTAGGCTGCTCGCGGGTCAGACCCACTTGAGGAGGCAGTCTGCCGGTTCTCAGATCTCCAGCTGCGTGCTGGGAGAACCACTGCTCTCTTCAAAGCTGTCAGACAGGGACATTTAAGTCTGCAGAGGTTACTGCTGTCTTTTTGTTTGTCTGTGCCCTGCCCCCAGAGGTGGAGCCTACAGAGGCAGGTAGGCCTCCTTGAGCTGTGGTGGGCTCCACCCAGTTCAAGCTTCCCAGCTGCTTTGTTTACCTAATCAAGCCTGGGCAATGGCGGGCGCCCCTCCCCCAGCTTCACTGCCGCCTTGCAGTTTGATCTCAGACTGCTGTGCTAGCAATCAGCGAGACTCCGTGGGTGTAGGACCCTCCGAGCCAGGTATGGGAGATAATCTCGTGGTGCGCCGTTTTTTAAGCCCGTCGGAAAAGCGCAGTATTCAGGTGGGAGTGACCCGATTTTCCAGGTGCCGTCTGTCACCCCTTTCTTTGACTCGGAAAGGGAACTCCCTGACCCCTTGCACTTCCCAAGTGAGGCAGTGCCTCGCCCTGCTTCGGCTCGTGCACGGTGCGCACACCCACTGACCTGCACCCACTGTCTGGCACTCCCTAGTGAGATGAAGCCGGTACCTCAGATGGAAATGCAGAAATCACCATCTTCTGCGTTGCTCACGCTGGGAGCTGTAGACTGGAGCTGTTCCTATTCGGCCATCTTGGCTCCTCCTTCTAGGTATTTCTCCTAATGCTATCCCTCCCCGCTCCCCACACCCCATGACAGGCCCCAGTGTGTGATGTTCCCCACCCTGTGCCCAAGTGTCCTCATTGTTCAATTCCCACCTATGAGTGAGAACATGTGGTGTTTGGTTTCCTGTCCTTGTGATAGTTTGCTCAGAATGATGGTTTTTGGCTTCATCCATGTCCGTACAAAGGATATGAACTCATCCTTTTTTATGGCTGCATAGTATTCCATGGTGTATCTGTGCCACATTTTCTTAATACAGTCTATCATTGATGGACATTTGGGTTGATTCCAAGTATTTGTTATTGTGAATAGTGCCGCAGTAAACATATGTGTGCATGTGTCTTTATAGCAGCATGATTTATAATCCTTTGGGTATATACCCAGTAAAGGGATGGCTGGGTCAAATGGTATTTCTAGTTCTAGTTCCTTGAGAAATCGCCACACTGTCTTCCACAATGGTTGAACTAGATTACAGTCCCACCAACAGCATAAAAGTGTTCCTATTTCTTCACATCCTCCCCAGCACCTGTTTCCTGACTTTTTAATGATCGCCATTCTAACTGGTGTGATTTGGTATCTCATTGTGGTTTTGATTTGCATTTCTCTGATGGCCAGTGATGATGAGCATTTTTTCATGTGCCTGTTGGCTGCATAAATATCTTCTTTTGAGAAGTATCTGTTCATATCCTTTGCCCACTTTTTGATGGAATTG
This sequence comes from Homo sapiens, assembly GCF_000001405.40. NCBI lineage: Eukaryota > Metazoa > Chordata > Mammalia > Primates > Hominidae > Homo > Homo sapiens. The sequence goes on from NC_000002.12 coordinate 185,592,636, forward strand.
TATGATTTTTTTTTCTTGTAAATTTGTTTAAGTTATTTGTAGATTCTGGATATTAGCCCTGTCAGATGGGTAGATTGTAAAAATTTTCTCCCATTCTGTAGGTTGCCTGTTCACTCTGATGGTAGTTTTTTTTGTTGTTGTTTTGTTTTGTTTTGTTTGTTTGTTTTGCTGTGCAGAAGCTCTTTAGTTTAATTAGATCCCATTTGTCTATATTGCTTTTGTTGCCATTGTTTTTGTTGTTTTAATCATGAAGTACTTGCCCATGCCTATGTCCTAAATGGTATTGCCTAGATTTTCTTCTAGGGTTTTTATGGTTTTAGGTCTAACATTTAAGTCTTCAATCCATCTTGAATTAATTTTTGTATAAGCTGTAAGGAAGGGATCCAGTTTCAGCTTTCTACATATGGCTAGCCAGTTTTCCCAGCACCATTTATTAAATAGGGAATCCTTTCCCCAGTTTTGTTTTTGTCAGGTTTGTCAAAGATCAGATGGTTGTAGATGTGTGGTATTATTTCTGAGGGCTCTGTTCTGTTCCATTGGTCTATATCTCTGTTTTGGTACCAGTACCATGCTGTTTTGGTTACTGTATCCTTGTAGTATAGATTGAAGTCAGGTAGCATGATGCCTGCAGCTTTGTTCTTTTGGCTTAGGATTGTCTTGTCAATGTGGGCTCTCTTTTGGTTCCATATGAACTTTAAAGTAGTTCCTTCCAATTCTGTGAAGAAAGTCATCGGTAACTTGATGGGGATGGCATTGAATCTATAAATTACCTTGGGCAGTATGGCCATTTTCACGGTATTGATTCTTCCTATCCATAAGCATGGAATGTTCTTCCATTTGTTTGTGTCCTCTTTTATTTCATTGAGCAGTGGTTTGTAGTTCTCCTTGAAGAGGTCCTTCACTTCCCTTGTAAGTTGGATTCCTAGGTATTTTATTCTCTTTGAAGCTATTGTGAATGAGAGTTCACTCATGATTTGGCTCTCTGTCTGTTATTGGTGTACAGGAATGCTTGTGATTTTTGCATATTTATTTTGTATCCTGAGACTTTGCTGAAGTTGCTTACCAGCTTAAGGAGACTGTGGGCTGAGATGATGGGGTTTTCTAAATATACAATCATGTCATCTGCAAACAGGGACAATTTGGCTTCCTGTTTTCCTAATTGAATACCCTTTATTTCTTTCTTCCGCCTGATTGCCCTGGCCAGAATTTCCAACACTATATTGAATAGGAATGGTGAGACAGGGCATCCCTGTCTTGTGCCAGTTTTCAAAGGGAATACTTCTAGTTTTTGCCCATTCAGTATGATATTGGCTGTGGGTTTATCATAAATAGCTCTTATTATTTTGAGATATGTCCCATCAATACCTACTTTATTGAGAGTTTTTAGCATGAAGGGCTGTTGAATTTTGTTGAAGCCCTTTTCTTCATCAAAGTGTAGAGTTTTTAAATTTTCTCCTTGTTTGTTTGCTTTTATCATCATTATTTTTAATCAGAATTAAGCTGTCATCAGTTAAAAATAATTGGTTATAAGATGTTATTTACAAGCCTTTGGAACTGCAAAATAGGAACTGGTAACAGATGCACAGAAAACTAAAAGCAATAAATTAAAACATATTACAAAACAAAAATCATTTACACAAAAGAAAACAGTAAGAAAGGAAGAAAGAGAGAAATAGTCAGAAGACAAATTACATAATGGTAGTAGTAAGTTCATACCTATCAACATTAACATTGAATATAAATAAACTAAATTATAGGCCTAACAAACCACCATGGCACATGTATACCCATGTAACAAACCTGCACATTCAGCACATGTATCCCAGAGCTTAAAGTAAAATTAAAAAAAAGAAAAAATACGATACAAGAAACAATTCAATACAACACAAGAGACACACTTCACCTATAAAGACACACATAGACTGAAAGGAATGGAAATAGATATTCTATGAAAGTGGAAACCCAAAAAGAGCAGGACTAGCTATATTTATATCTGATAAAATATATTTCAAGAAAAAATTTTAGAAAGGTATAAATTCCCATTATACCATGATAGAGACAAATCCAGCAAGAAAATATAATAATTTTAAATATATATTCACCTGACACTTCAACACCCTACTTTCAGCATTGGACATATCAATTTTATCCAACAGCTGCAGAATACACAGTCGTCTCTTCAGAACACAAAACACTCTCAAAGATAGGCCATATGTTAGACCACGAAACAAGTCTCAAAAATTTTAAAAGAAAAAAGGAAATTTTATGAAGCATTTGTTCTGACCGCAGTATTAAAACTAAAAATTAATAGCAAGAATGTTGGAAAGTATACAAACCCATGGAGATTAAACAATATAATTTTGAATGACCATATGTTAATGAAGAAATTAATAGGGCAATTTAAAAATTTTCTTGAAACAAATGAAAATGAAAACACAAGTAGTATAACGTATGGGATAGAACAAAAGTAGCACAAAGAGGGAAATTTATGTTGATAAATGCCTATATCAAAATATCAGAAAAACTTCAAATGAAAACCTAATGATGCACCTTATAAAACTAGAGAAGCCAGACAAAACCAGATCCAAAATAAGTACAAAAAAATAGTAAAAATGCGAGCAGAAATAAATGCAATTGAGACCAAAAAAGTACCAAAGATCCAGAACAGGAAAAGTCATCTTTTAAAAGATAAGCAAAAATGATAAACCTAGCCAGACTAAGAAAAAAAAAGAGACACAAATAAATGAAATCCGAGATGAAAAATAAAACATTGCAACAAACATTACAGACATTCAAAGGATTATTAGAGGCTATTATGAGCAACTGCATGCCAATAAATTAGAAATCCTAGAGGAACTGATAAATTTCTAGATAAAAACAATGCACTAAGATTGAACCATGAAGATATCCAAAACCTAAATAGATGAAGAAACAAGTAACACAGTGACCAAAACAGCATGGTCCTGGTACAAAAACAGACAAATAGACCAAGAAAAACCAAATCGAAAGCCCAGAAATAAAGCCACATGCTTACAGCCATCTGATCTTTGACAATGTCAACAAAAAAAAGCAGTGGATAAACATCTGTAGATGACTAAAACAGGACACCGTACCTTTCACCATGTACAAAAATCAACTCAAGATAGATTAAGAGCTTAAAGATAAACCCTAATACCATAAAACTTCTTAAAGAAAACCTAGAAAATACCATTTTAGACATATGCCCTGGCAAAGATTTCATAATGAAGATCACAAAAGCACTTGCAACAACAACAAAAAAATGGACAAATGGGATTTACTTAAACTAAAGAGCTTCTGCACAGCAAAAGAAGCTACCAACAGAGTGAAAAAGACAACCTACAGAATGGGAAAAATATTTTCAAACTATGCATCTGACAAAAGTCTAATATTTAAACTATATTAGGCGTCTATAAGGAACATAAAAATTTTTCAAAAAAAAGCCCCCAAACAACCCCACTCAAAAATGGCCAAAGGACATGGACACTTTTCAAAAGAAAACATACATGGGGCCAGCAGCATATGAATAAAAGCTCAATATCACTGATGGATATGGTTTGGCTGTGTCTCTACCCAAATCTCATCTTGAATTTTAGCTCCCATAATCCCCACATGTGGGAGGGACCCAGTGGGAGGTAATTGAATCATGGGGGTAGGTTTTTCACATGCCATTCTCATGATAGTGAATAAATCTCATGAGATCTGATAGTTTTAAAAAGGGCATTTCCCCTGCACATGCTCTCCTGCCTGCCACCATGTAAGATGTGCCTTTACTCCTCCTTTGCCTTCCACCAGGATTGTGAGGCCTCCCCAGTTATGTGGAACTGTGAGTTTTTTAAACTTCTGTTTCTTTATAAGTTATCCAGTCTCAGGTATGTCTTTATTAGCCACATGAGAATAGACTAATACATTCTCTGATTACTAGAGAAATACAAATAAAAACCACAATGAGATACCATTCACACTAGTCAGAATGGCTACTATGAAAAAGTCAAAATAATAGATGCTGGCAAGGTTCTGGGGAAAAGGGAATGCGTATACACTGTTGGTGGGAGTGTAAATTAGTTCAACCATTATGGAAAGTAGTGTGACAATTTCTCTAAGAGCTAAAATCAGAACTGCCATTTGACCCAGCAATCCCATTACTGGCTATATACCCAAAGTAATAGAAATCATTCTATCATAAAGACACATGCACATGTATGTTCATTGCCATACTATTCACAATAGCAATGACATAAAAACAGACACATAGACCAATGAAACAGAATAGAGGACCCATAAATAAATCCACACATTTACAGTAAACTAATTTTTGATAAAAATGCCAAAAGACAAAAATGCCAAAATGCTACATTGGGGAAAGAACAATCTTCCATAAATGGTGCTGGGAAAACTGAATATCTACATGCAGAAGAATAAAACTAGACTCCTATTTCTCACCATATACAAAAACCAAACCAAAATGAATAAAATACTTACAAATACCTGAAACTATAAAACAGAAGGAAACTGTTAGAAAACACTCTAGGACATTGGTTTAGGCAGAGATTTCTTGAGTAAGACTACAAAAGCAAAAGCACAGGCAAATGAAGTAAAAATAGAATAACCGAACCATATCAAACTTAAAAGCTTCTGAACAGCAAAGTAAACAAGAAATTGAAAGACAACCCTCATATTGGGAAAAATATTTGCAAACAATCCATCTGAAATGAATTAATAATGAGAATATATAAAGTGCTCAAACAACTCAATAGGAAAAAATTTTGATTTAAAAATGTGCAAAACACACTTCTCAAAAGAGGACATACAAATGCCTAACAGATATACGAAAAAATAATAAACATCACTAATCATCAGAAAAATGCAAATCAAAACTACAATGAAACATTATCTCACCCCAGTTAAAATGTCTTTTCTTAAAAAGGCAGGCAATAATGAATGCTGGTGAGGATGTGGAGAAAGGGGAACACTTGTTCAGTGTTGATGAGAATAAAAATTGACACAGCTACTATGAAGAACAATATGGAGGTTCCTCAGAAAACTAAAAATAGGACTACCCTATGATCTAGCAATCCCATTGTTGTGTATCTATCCAAAAGAAAGGAAATCAGCATACTGAAGAGATGTCTGCACACCCATATATGTTGCAGCACTATTTACTATAGCAAAGGCATGGAATCAACTTAATTGTCCATAAACAAACTAATGGATAAAGAAAATGTGGTATGGATACACAATGGAATATATTAAGCCATAAAAACCAAATATTGTCATTTGCAGCAACATGGATTGAACTGGAAGACCTTATGCTAAGTGAAATAAGGCAGGGATAGAAAGACAAATGTGACATTTTCTTAGTGATATGTGGGAGTTAAAAAAATTGAACTAACTCAGAAAATAGAATTATGGTTACCAGAGGTTGAGAATAGTATTGAGGAGGGGAGGGTAAAGTGGGGATGGTTAATGGATACAAAACATAATAATAAGATCTAGTATTTGGTAGCACAATAGAGTGACTACAGTTTACAATAATTTATTGTATATTTTAAAAATAATTAAATGAGTGGAAGAAGAATGTTCTTAACACAAAGAAATGATAAATGCTTGAGATGTTGAATACCCCAGTTGCCCTGATTTGATCATTATACATTGCATGCCTATGCACAAGGATTATAAGAGATAACGATATTGGGAATCAAAAGGATTGGAGACAGGTCTAAATCAATTTGGAAGTTTATTTTGCCAAGGTTAAGGACACACCTGTGACATAGCCTCAGGAGGTCATAATGACATGTGTCCAAGGTGGTCCGGGCACTGCTTGGTTTTATACATTTTAGTGAGACATGAGAATCAGTATGTGTGAGATGTACATTGATTTGGTCCCAAAGGCAGGACAACTTGAAGCTGGGGTTGAGGGCATTCAAGATCATGTGTAGATAAAAGACAAAATGTTGCATTCTTTTGAGTCTTTGCTTAGACTTTCACTGAGTACACAATTTACATGTGAGAGGGAAATAGAGGAATAGTCACTATTGTCTTAGTCTGGCATAGTGAATCTGCAATTTTATGTAAACAATAGGAGCAGAGGAAGCAATCAGATATGCATTTGTCTCAGGTGAGCAGAGGGATGACTTTGAGTTCTGTCTCTCCTTTGTCTGGGACCTCTGAAAAGAAGCTATCATTTTGCATTGCCTGGGTAAAATTCAAGAGAACTGTTTTCAGGTAAGAAGTTTGAGGCTAACAAGGAATTTCCTTCTGGAAAAATTGTGAGGTAGATATGTAGTTTTTTTATCTTTGTATCTATTTTAGTTAGAAATAAAATGAAGGGCAGGTTTGTCTGACACAGTTCCCAGCTTGACTTTTCCCTTTGCTTTAGTGATTTTGGGGTGCTGAGATTTATTTTCCTTTCACAATATAAGTAGAAGGAGAAAATAAAAGTGTTTCCATATTTCAGAATAACTTCCTGAAAAAACTAATAGTAAAGAACAGTCACAGTAGTCCCTTCTTATCCATGGGTGAGACATTCCTAGATCCTCAGTAGGTGCCTGAAACCTCAAACCGTACCAAACTCTATAATACTTTGTTCCTGTACGTACATACTGTGAATCCCAAATATCTGGGACAGGTCTCAGTTAATTTAGAAAGTTTATTTTGCCAAGGTTGAGGACATGCACCCATGACACAGCCCAACGAGGCCCTGATGACATGTGCCCAAGGTGGTCAGAGCATGATTTGGTTTTATACATTTTAGGGTGACATGAGACATCAATCAACATATGTAAGATGAACATTGGTTCAGTCCAGAAGGAAGGACAACTGAAAGCAGGGTGGGGGCTTCCAGGTCATAGGTAGAAAAGAGACAAATGGTTGCATTTCTTTGAGTTTCTGATTAGCCTCTCCAAAAGAGGCAACCAGACATGCATTTATCTCAGTGAGCAGAGGGGTGACTGAATAGAACGGGAGGCAGGTTTGCCTTGAGGAGTTCCCAGCTTGATTTTTTCCTTTAGCTTAGTGATTTGGGGGCCCCAAGATTCACTTTCCTTTCACAATATCTATGATAAAGTTTAATTTACAAATTAGGTAGAGTTAGAGATTAATAACAATAATAATAAAATAGAACAATTGTAACTATATACTGTAATCAAGGTTACGTAAGTGTGATCTCTTTTTCTCTCTTTTCCTCTCTCAAAATATCTCATTTTACTACACTATGGGTAACTGAATCCTTAGAACATTCGACCTTGAATAAGGGAAAACTGCTATATTTCTTAATTTGATTAGATTAAACCTTCATTTTAATACTAAAATTGCCTTTGACTAATTGAAGGTGAAATTCAAATATAGAAGAAGAAAATTATAGTTTGAAAATTATCAATTTGTCATTGTCATAAATTGATATTAAGAACATATGAAGACTACTTAATTGAATACAACTGGACTTGCTTATAAAATATTATTCCAGCAAGAATTTATCATATCTTACATTGGAACATCTGGCAGGCTACATGACATTTATTAAATTTGGCTTTTTCTAATATAAGGCATGCCAAAGCTTCAACTTAATGAACATTGATGGCTCATGCCAATCATTTGTTTCCTAACAGTGCAGATATACATATTTATTTGAATGATTTGGGGCTATATGGCATCCAAAATAAAACAAGCAATGTCATTGGAGTCAAAACTGAATCAAATTACAAAGAAAAATAATATATGCACAATCTAATTTGCAAGAAAAGAAAGTCTATAGTCATTTGGAGCTGTTTTTCTGATATAACATTCCATATGTGATGGAAAATATCAGAAGAAAACAGGAAGCAAATACTTGATAGAAGCCTCTATATAATTAAAAACTGTGGAAACCTGGCCCTGGAACTGCTTGGCAGTCTTCAGACATTTTTACACAAAGCAAGAATGGACAAAATGACAATTCATTTCATTTGTGCCTTTTTTCTCTACCCAAAATGCAGTCATCTATGGCAAAACTATCTCCTTTGCCCTAATTATCATGCAGTAGTTTCCCACTTAGGTGTTAGCCTATGCTCCAAGACCCCCAGTGGATGCCTGAAACTACAAATAGTACCAAAGCCTATATACACTGTGTTTCTTCTTATATACATATACCTGTGATAAAGTTTATATATTAGGCACAGTAAGAGATTAACCACAATTATAATAAAATGGAATAATTATGACAATATACTGTAATAAAAGTTATGTTAATGGGGTTTCTCTCTCTCAAAATATCTTATTGGACTGTACTCATCCTTCTTTCTGTGATAATGAGAGATGATTAAATGTCTATGTGATAAGATAAGGTGAGGTGAATGGCATAGACATTGTGACATAATGTTAGGCTGCTACCGACCTTCTGATGATACGTCAGAAGGAGACACATCTGCTTTGGTTGATCTTGGATCATTGAACAATGATAATGTCTATGGTTGGCTGTCAGCAGCAGGCAATGTTTGGAATTTTTCACTTAATATTTTAAGATCAGTTGACTGCAGGTAACTGAAACTGTGGAAAGTGAATGAAGGGGGACTACTGTACTTATCTTTTTCACCATAAGATCTTTGTGCCCTTTATACTATTGGAATACTCTTTCTTGTATAAACAAATCTCTGCTTCTCTTTTCATGTTTTTTTATATTTACTTTTTATGGATACATAACAGCTGTACATATTTATAGGATACTTGTGATATTTGATAAAAGCATATAATTGTAATGATCAAATCAGAGTAATTGGGATATTCACACCTCAAACATTTCTCATTCTTTGTGTTGGTCCACCTCTTTGTATTTTCTCCGTAACGTTTCCTTCACTGAGAATGCATATGCTCTCTGAGGCCAATTTTGTTACAACCTCCAAGCAGGAAGATTGTACTGACCCGAGAACTCTTGATGTCTAAGGCATTCTTCCTTTGAAAATTCTACCTTACTTCATATCATACATGAAGAGTTATCTGGATCCCATATTAAATATAATGTTTTCTGTACACGTTAACAGAATTACAATTTTGTCTCTGATATTATATTTTTATATTTAAGATTTGGTAGGGCTTATTTTAGACAATTCTCTGGCATGTTCAGGAGTTCTTACAAAATTTAAAAATCTAACTTTCAATTCTTTTTTGTTTTTTACAAACATGGTATATTAGTCCATTCTCACACTGCTATAAAGACATTACCCGAGACTGGGTAATTTATAAACAAAGGAGGTTTAATTGACTCACAGTTCCACATGGCTGGTAAGGCCTCAGGAAATTTACAATCATGGCTGTTGGGGAAGCAGACACTTTCTTCACAAGATGGCTGGAGAGAGTGTGAGCGCAAGCAGGGAAAATGCCAGATGCTTATAAAACCGTCAGAACTCCTGAGAATTCACTCACTGTCATAAGAACAGCATGGGTGAAACCGCCCCCATAATCCAATCACTTCCCATCAGGTATCTCCCTAAAAACTGGGATTACAATTCAAGGTGAGATTTGGATCTGTACACAAAACCTAACCACATCATACAGTATTTAGCCTCTCAGCTACTATTTTCTGCTATGCTTTTAAGGATCTCCCCTCTGCATGGGCAGTTTATGAATCAGCCAAAAAAAAAAAAATGGGGCTATATTTTGAAGATCTTGTAGGACAATTTTCTGAGATCCTACTGCTTTTCAGCTCAAGCTCTGATCTCAGCCTCCTCAGTCCAAAAATATTGCCTTCTAATTCCTGAGCTCTTTTTCAGTAAACTTGGAACTGTAAAAAATTGTTCTAAGCAAAAAAAATCCAAAATGAGTGTGGCCTTCTTTTATGTTTCTCTTTTCTTAAGTAATGTAATCCCTCAACTCCTGCCTAAATTGGTGCTCTGTTAATGCCTTTCAAGGGTATTTCAGCAGTGTTAATATTCTATTTATTTATAATTGTTTCAGGAAGAGGATTAGTCCATTATAATCTATTTTGTCCTAGACAAAAGTAGAAGTCTTATTTAAGTATGGTGATGGTAGTGGTGGTGGTGGTGGTGGTGGTGGTGTGTGTGTGTGTGAGTGTGTTTCTACTTAAAGAACTTTCATCTTTACTTTATATCGGGGGTCTGCACCACCCCCCGATAACCCCAGCTGGGAGTCAGTACTGGTCCACGGCTTGTTAGGAACCAGGCTGCACAGCAGGAGGTGAGCAATGGGTGAGTAAGCATTACCACCGGAGCTCTGTCTACTGTCAGATCATCAGGCATTAGATTCTCATAGGAGCATGAACCCTATTGTGAACTGCACATGTGAGGGAGGGATCATGTGTGCTCCTTATTAGAATCTATCTAATGCCTGAGATGAAACTTTCTCCCTCCACCCCAACCCCATCCGTGTAAAAATTGTCTTCCATGAAACCAGTCTCTGGTGCCAAAAAGGTTGGGGACTGCTGCTTTATTTGATCATTGACTCATCTGCAACATTATGTACAAATCCCTCAGTAACCTCTACGGGGCAGCTTTGCATATGGTCTTATTTTGTTTATTTTATATGTTTTGCCACCTTCGTAGGATCTCCGATGCCAGATTATTTCTTATATATGTCTGTTCACTTGATTTTAGCCAACATATATTATTAACCTTTGTATCATTGGTAATTCACTAAGCTCCCAGCATATGGTAGACGACCAAAACAAATTTATATTTGTTACAATCATCAACATCTTGGGTTATTTGAGAGAAACTTCTTTTGCTTTCAACAAAATAATTGAGTAGTTTTTTATTTCATGATAACATGAATCACGAAAGATGTAAATAAGAGTTGTACTATTTGAAAACCTACTTGCAATTAAGTTACTATCTAAAAATACTTCATTTTAAGAGACTTACCCTATAAATTATGTTTATGTCATAAACTCAAAAATATTTCTTAAATATAGTCTTTTAAAGTTACCATAGGACATCACTTCACTAAACAGTTTGAGATCTAGTGTTTGATAGCACAACAGGGCAACTTCAGCCAAAAATGATTTATTGTACATTTGTAAATAACTAAAATAGGATGATCAGAATGTTTGTAACATAAATGATAAGTGCTTGAGGTGATGAATATACCACTTACCCTGATGTGATTATTTATGCATTGTAATGCCCTTATCAAAATATCCCATATACTCCATAAATATATACACCTACTATGTACCCATAAAATTTTTAAAAAATAAAAAGAATATAATAATATATAAGATAAATTATTGAATATTTTATACTCTTAGAGAAAATATAATTTCTATGTTGCTTTTAATACCAATAGCAGTATCTGAACATAACTATTTTTAACTTTACATATAAGTATGACATAAAGTTATTTAATTGTTTTAGTATTTAAATGAATAGCAGCATTCAGTTTTGGTATAGTAATGAACAATTCAAGTGCAGTTTTTAAGACTAAACCTATCCTAATGGAAAAACAAAAGTACATTTGAACATACATAACTGACTGGGCCTAAAGCAAAAGTAGATTATGAAAGAAAATGCTTAATGAAAGCTTCATATACACACACACACAAAGACATAGAAAACAGTATGAATTTATAAAATTTTTCCAGTAGGAAAAGGAGTAAATGAAATTATAGAAAAAGAAAAATGCATATAAGAATGCATAGAGTCATACTATTTGTAAGCACAAATATTTAAAAAGGAAGAGAGAAATAAAGCTGAAAGTTGGTATAAATTATATTTGTTATTCTAAAAGCCACATTTGTCATTTAAATAATTTTGATCTTTGAATTTTATACTGTTATGTAATGGAAGTTACTAAAGTATTTTTAACTAGGTGGCTGATATGATTGGATAGTCATTTAATATATACATTACTCTGACAATTGTGTGGAATAGTGATGGTACCAGGAGCAAAAGAAGAGAAAAGAAGTCAGATGTTATTTCAAAAATTCAGTACTATCAGTATGGATGAAAAAGAGTATGTGACAACAATAAATACCACTTGGTTTATTGCCCATGTAAGGGTAGAAGAAGAGAGAGACTTCAACAATGACTCAGTTTTTCTGTCTTGGGTAATTGGAGGCACAATGATATCAAGCATTAAAATAGAAAAATATTTGTAGCCATAGTTTTGAAATATAATAATCAGAACGTGGTTAATTAATTATTCATTACAGACCAACCAAAACTTTTGATCTTGGACTTGATCTTGGATGTCCCATCCTTCAGAACTGTGAGAAAGAAATTTCTGTTGTTTAAGCTACCCACTCTAGTGTATTTTGTTTTGATAGCTTGAGCTGACTAAGATTTTGGTAGAAGTGGGGTGCTGCTATAACAAATGCCTGAAAATATGGAAGCAGCTTTGGGACTGGCCAATGGGCAGAAACTGGAAGAGTTTTGAGGCACATCCTAGAAAAACAAATGTTAGGGGTAATTCTGGTGAGGCTCAGAAAGTAAAGAGGAAAGCTGGAAAGAAAAGGCTTCCATCTGCTTACAGAATATATGAACAGAGTATCTGATTCTATTTAACATCTATGGATGTTAAGGGCCACTATGCAAAATGTGAGATGGAAATAAAGAATGTGTTATCGGAAACTTGAAGGAAGGTGATACTTATTATCAAGTGACAAGTAACTTAGATAAATTGTGTTTGTATTCTACAATTTCATGGAAGGTAGAACTTTCAAGCAATGAAGGTATATATTTAGCTGAGGATATTTCTAAGTAAAGTGTTGAAGGAGTGACTTAGTTCCTCCTGACTGCTTGTAAGAAAATGCAAGAAAAGAGAGGGATGAATTGAAGAAGAAATTACTAAACAAAAGAAAAAAACAGAACTTGCAGATATTAAAAATTCTCAGCCTATCCAAATATATTTCTCATTTTCATAATATTTTCTCATTTCTCTGAAGAGAATACTAAGAGTATCATTAAAAAAAAATTGATAAAGTGGTCACAGGTGTGACTCATGAACTAAATCAATCATCTCAATAAAATCTAGAAATAGAGATGGGAATATGCCAGCAGAGACACTGCCAGTTTGAGCTAAGGGGACAGAGAAGGAAGGACAGAATAAAGGAAGCCTAATGACCTTAGATTTTACAGGACAAAACTATAGATCTACTTGACTGGAAAAGTACAATATCTTTCAAGAAAAGGGAAGAAATGTGCCATTATTCACAATAAGCAGTATATAGAAACAATCTAAGTGTTCAACAACAGATGAGTGGATAAATAATTATTTTGTATATATAGTACTCAGCCTTAGAAAAACAAGGACATTGCTATTTTTGACAACATGGATGAACCTTAAGAGAATTATGCTAAGTGAAGTAAGTTAGTCTCACAACTTACTTCACTTACCTTACTTCGCATTATCTCACATATATGTGAAATCTAAAAATACTGAACTCATAGAAACAGAGTAAAATGGGGACCTCAGGGGCAGAGTCAGTGGTGGGGAACAGGATTGGGGAGATGTTGGTCAAAAGTTACAAAACTTCAGTTAGACAGGAGGAATAACTTTAACAGATCTACTGAACAACATAATTACTATATTAATAACAATATGTGTATTCTTGAAAAGCGCTAAGAGAATGGATTGTAAGTGTTCTCACCACAAAAATCTGTGAGTTAATACATATGTTAATTAACTTGATTTAACCATTCCACAATGTACAGATATTTAAAAACATCATGTGGTACACAATAAACATACACAATTTTATCTGTCAATTAAAAACAGGGCTAGCTCAGTCTCTAATCAGTGAAACACTGTTTCACATTACATTTATCCTTTATATACTAAGCACAGAAAGCATAGCACTGGGGCATTTTTATTCTTAGGCCAGGGATTGACAGAAATAAAAGTCAAGATAGTAAACATTTTAGGTTTTGTGGGCCATCTAGTCTTGTGTCACAAGTACCCAACTCTGTCATGGCAGTGTGAAAGCAATTATAAACAAAAACAGGTGTTTGGCTGGCCAGATTTGGCCTGTCAACCATAGTGCATTGACCCTTGTTTTAGACTCAATGTTTGAGGATTACCATCAAAATAATTTGAATGACTTGCTCTGTGAAGCCTGACTAAAAATAATAACATTAATGGTATAGTGGGAATAAACGTGCATATGAACGTCCCCAAATCTCACAGTATAAAAGTTGATTCCTTCAGCAGCTTATAAAGAGGACAAGTACTTTGTTCAACCTTTCCCACACATACATAGAACTACAAACTGTTTATTATCTCATTATATTTATATAAAAATAATCATTATATATTTGAGAAAATCTACAGCATAAAAGATTAAAAAATAGTAAAAAATAGCCAGGTGCAGTGGCTCACACCTGTAACCCCATCACTTTGGGAGGCCAAGGTGCGCGGATTACCTGAGGTCGGGAGTTCGAGACCACTCTGACTAACATAGAGACACCCCATCTCTACTACAAATACAAAATTAGCCCGTTGTGGTGGTCCATGCCTGTAATCCCAGCTACTCAGGAGGCTGAGGCAGGAGAAGGGCTTGAACCCGGGAGGCGGAGGTTGCAGTTAACTGAGATCACACCATTGCACTCCAGCCTGGGCAATAAGAGCGAAACTCTTTAAAAAAAATTATATATATATATATAGTATATCATATATATATTTACTGTATATATTATATGTATATATAGTAAAAGATAAGAAAGCTTGACATCAAGGAAAGAGATACTTTGGCAACAGAGTGAAATTTAAAATAAATTTATTTGGCATTTTATTTTTTTATTTTTTTAAATCTGGCATTTTAAAGAACATATTGCAACCATAAAAAGTCAGAATTCTATAGTAATAAACTAGAAATAGAACAAAATACATTTGAGTATTACTAATTGTTGCTTAAGTTCAAAAAATAAACGTCTAAAATATAAAAATTTTTAAATTATCACAGAATTCACAAAAAGCACATATACTATGAAAGAAAATTTAAAAGACAGAAGATCCACTCAAAAAAAGAGAATAAAGAAAATGGAGTTAAACAAAATTTTAAATAGAAAATATGAGAAAATTAATCAAAGCTAGAGGAAACGTGTTTACATGGAGAGGGTTCACTGAATAACACTTAAATTTAAAAAATAAAATTATTTTAACCTTAGAATTCTGAGGTAAATTATCATTCAAGTGTGATGGTGAAATAAAGTTTCTGGGATTGAAAAATGTATTACCTATATAACCTCTATTAGGAAATTATTTTAAAATACACTTTTGAAAATAGGGAAGTAAACCAATGAGAGAAAACAGGGGATAGAACCTAACAGAGGTGACGTCCATGAAGGTCAACAAAACCAATGTGGGAGAAGAATTAGGGACTGCAATCTTTAAGAAGTATGGTGATTTAATAGAAGAGTCAAAATCACTTAGACCACGAAAGCTTTTCATAAATACAGTAAAAACAATTGATGGGGTCTGAAAAGAAAATAAAGTTTTACATAGAACCTTTTTTTAACAGGCATTGTTATAACAACAGTGCACTCATAGATAATTAAATCCTATGTCAGCAAATTCATTGTAAAGTAAGATTGTTGATAATAATTGCACAGAAGCTACATTTTGATTTTCAATGTTTAGTGCCATAATACAAATTATGGTAGACTTAAAGTATAATAATACAAAGTAGATTCCATGGAAGACATGATCCTATTTCACTGTAATATGGGAGAAATATTGTGGAAATTTAGTGACAAATTGAGATTATGGTTACTGTTTGTATTATATATGTGCAATATATGACTGTTGAGGCTTCCTGACAAATTAACATGCCTTTTGGCATATTCTGCTATGTGGTGAAATGCTTTTGACTCATAATTAAAGACTAGTGTCTACATATCTCCTTTGATAAAATCTACCTGACAAAGCATTACAGCAACAATATTAGTTGAAGTTTAAAGTGCTTATAAATCTCTTTAAATATTTTTTACACTTGTCCTATCAATAAACATAACTTTTTAGTTAAAAATACACATTTATATCCAAAGTATAGTCTTAAATCCTTCCCCAGTACATTCCTCTAATTACTGTAGTTTTCCTGCCTACATTTTGTTATCTATAAACTAATGATTGGTTTGTCATTAACAGGAGAGTAATTGCAACAGTGTTTTTTTTTGGCATTTCTTCTTCCAAGCATATCAGGATCAGCATACATGTTTTTTCATTAGCTCACAGCACAAATGGTTGACAGTTTAGGGATTTGTACAGCAGTTCTTGCTAAATTTCATTATTTGATCCGTCTTGATGAAGGAAAGGTTGTTATACGACTGTGCTGACAAACTGACAAACCTTGCTTCTGCTCTTACAACTTTTTAAACATCATGGTTAATATTCATCTAGTGTTCCTCAACTGTGTGCCACAGGAGGGCATACCATTCACATACAGTTAACTGAGAAATCATGGTGATGATTCAGACAAATATTGGAAGTGATATGCTGATGGTAGCAGTCTATGATTTGACCCAGATTAAGAAAAGTATATGTCGTTTTTCCTCTCATGCAATGTATGTTTATGGAGAAAGCATTTAGTTATTTGTCACAGTATTTTTCACTGTCTACTACATTTCTGTTGTATTTAATTTTATTTTTCTATTTTATCACTTTAAATATGCTATCATGGTAATTTCATATTGAAATACAAAAATAATGAAGCTTATTAAACAAAATCCTGGTAAAATATTTACATAACAGAAATGAAAATTGAATAATCCCATGATATTTGTTTAGATCCACCTATCCTACATATGCAAGTAGACATAACGAGGGGGTAAAATTTCTGCATTTAGATCTCAGCAACATTTGAATCATTTTTAAGTAATCATTTCATAAGATTGACAGTTTTCCTAAAGGTAGACTGTGTTGCCTTCATTGTGCTTTGAAAAAAAAGTATAAAAGTGAGGAAATAATAAATACTAAATGTCAATGCAAGATGAGTTATTGCAAAAGTTTTGCAAACTTTTGACCCTGATTATCATTAATTCTGATTTTGAATTTCAGTTTAAGTTTATTGTTCTTATTCTACCATTCTTTTTTTACAAGGGATTTTAAATAATAACATATAGCAACTCACTTTCTCATGTTTGTAGAAATCAAAAATTATTTACATATGTATTTACTCACTGAGGGTGGTTCTTCAAAATTTTAAACAATTAAATTTATAAATGTTCTAATACTGGTGTTTTTAATATATTATTTTTATTTTTTAATATTGGATTTCTTTTCATACATGGTTTTGTGTCAAAAAACAAACTTTATTTGAACTACAATGCTATAGTAAAAAGTTCATTTTTTTACTTTAGTCAGTTTTATTATCAATTTTGCATTTTTTTAATTGAGCTGAATCTTAAAAGGTAGGTTAAAAATTGTGCAGGAAGAGCAAAAGAGAAAAACCTTTCAGTGGAAAAAACAGATGAATGTCAAGTACAGATGTATATAAAGGATAAAACTGAATGAAACATATGTTCAGAATCGGAATAAGATTTTTTTCCATAATTTATCCATTTTCATATGTATATATGTATCATTTCTAATTCTATGTTGTTATCAGATTGGATGACTTATTTGCCTATTTCCCTTTTCTTTATAGCTATTTTTGTTACTCATACATAGCATAGCTCCTACTACACTAATTATATTTTAATTCTGAATTATTGGGAAGGCACTCTCCTAGGCACTAGAAAAATAGCACAAATGTAAAAGTCAAAAATACATTATTCTCATTTTCAAGTTGCTTACGATCTAACCAGTGGGGTAATTGGCTACTTTCTCTACTACTGATTCTTGGCACTTGCTGGGTTCTTCCAGTCCCATTTGTTCTTTAAAGCCAGTGATCTGTAGCCTCAGTTTGAATCAGAGAAGATCTTTAAAATAGATACTCAAAACAGTGATGATTGAATGGTACAACTATTTACAACAGGCATTTCCTCTCTTGTCAGAGTTAATGAAGGCATTGTGAGCAGCAGTTTTTGGACTGTCTACCAAGGATAATTTCATTCTTCTATAAATGTTTAAAATGTAACATAAAAAGTTAAAGCTAAGTAAGTGAATGAAACTAATGTTTTTGTATGGATTACACTTATTTTAATATATAATGAACACATTTTTGTTATATATAATTAATTAGCCACACATATCACTTTTATTTCAAGTCAAGGAAAAACAGGTAACTTCTTATTAAGGATTGGTTGTTTTATAGCCAATCATTCCACATGCAACCTGTTGGGGAGGCAAAATATTCTCAACCCAATATTGGAATAGCCAGATACATCATGAAAATATTATACTCTAAATAATTTGGAGAAAATATTTATAGGTCATTTTCAATTTTCCATGAGCTTTTGTTCCTCATAGAGCTCCGTCACATCTTTGTACACACAGCCTCTGTTGACCCAAAATAAGTGGGTTGCTTGCATCTGCTCTAGTCTCTTCTGTGCATATGCACAGTTTCTGGTCAACCCAGGATAATGGGCATGGCTTATCAATTTCTCTACACCTATCTCACTCCTAGAACTGCCTCTTAAATTCCTCAGCTAGTCCTTTGGTCTATTATTTGAGCCAACAGAACGACCCTAGCTGGCAGGGTCAGTAGCCCTCCCGTTTGCTTGCCACTAAGATCACCACTTCAAGTGATACTTCTCCAAATCAGGTAAACCTCTCCCGACAGCAGCAGCAAAACAGCTGGTTTCACACCCTGCCCTACCTTATGTAACTACCAGGTTGCCAAAGTCAGGTGGGGATGGGAGCCACTGTTTACGGGAATTTCATAAGTAACCTAGATTTCACTAGAGACTTAATAGGCAGCTAAATGGTACAGAAATCATGCAATCTATAGCTCCCCTTTGAAATTAGATGTAACTGTAAACATATTTCCATTTTATCCAAAGGCAAATGAAAATTAAAATTATATAAGAATAAGTAAATTTTCATAAAATGTGTGGAAATGAATCGGCCACTCACTAGCTATATGTTCTTAGCACAGAGTCCAACCTGCTATCTCTTTGTCTGTAAAATGGCATCAATGCAACCACATGGCTATACAATCCATTTAAGACAGTATTTATTTAAAGTATTCCATAATATCAAACTGGAAACTATAAAATCTTCACAGAGAGTGTCTTCTCCTAACTTTCGTTCTATCATCTTCACACTTTTCAAGTTGTGCATCATGACAATAAAACTTCAATAAAAGTCTGATCAATAGTATTTATAGTTCCTTGTAAATCCTATAAACTGTAGATTTACCTTACTTCTCTACATTGCTTTTTTATTTTTTAAAGAATTACCATTATTATTATTATTATTTGAGGGGCAGAGTTTCACTCTTGTTGCCCAGGCTGGAATGCAATGGTGCGATCTCGGCTCACTGCAACCTCCGCCTCTCAGGTTCAAGCAATTCTCCTGCCTCAGCCTCCTGAGTAGCTGGGATTACAGCCTCCTGCCACCACACCTGGCTTATTTTTTTGTTTGTTTGTTTGTTTGTTTTTTGTATTTCTAGCAGAGACAAGGTTTCTCCATATTGGCCAGGCTGGTCTCAAAACTCCTGACCTCAGATGAACCGCCCGCCTCAGCCTCCCAAAGCGTTGGGATTACAGGCATGAGCCACCGCGCCCAGCCTTAAAGAATTATTTTTTAAATGTATGAACTATATGCCAACAAATTTGAAAACCTAGAAGAAATGGATACAGTCTTTTATATTGTTTTTAATTAAATACGTAATATCACAGGAAGAAAATCTCAAAGATAAATAGAACTTCCATTATGTTCCAAAGGCCATTTTCCATCTATATTTTACTTAAAACATTTTCTCACTCATAGGTGGGAATTGAACAATGAGATCACATGGACACAGGAAGGGGAACATCACACTCTGGGGACTGTTGTGGGGTGGGGGGAGGGGGGAGGGGGGAGGGATAGCATTGGGAGATATACCTAATGCTAGATGACGAGTTAGTGGGTGCAGCGCACCAGCATGACACATGTATACATATGTAACTAACCTGCACAATGTGCACATGTACCCTAAAACTTAAAGTATAATAATAAAAGAAAAAAAAACATTTTCTGATTATGTAAAGAACAGATTTTTATAATAGAAAATTTGGAAACTGCAGAAAACAATTGAAAATAAATATCTAAAACAATACATCCAAAATAGCAATTATTAACATGAAGCCTTCTTCTATGGTGGTAAAACACACATAACATGATATCTACACTCTTAATAAATATTTAAAGAAACAGTGCAGTATCTTAACCATAAGCACAATGGTGTATAGCAGATCACTAGGAGATTTCATTCTGTATGACTGAAGTTTTATACATATTGAATAGCAACTCCCTATTTCTCCCTTTGCCAAGTCCTTGGCAACCACCATTCTACTTTCTGCTTCCATAAGTTTGAATAATTTAGATACTGTATATAAATAAAATCACTCAGTATTTGCACTTCTGTGATTGCCTTATTTCATTTGTGGTAATGTCCTCAAGATTTATCTATGTTGTAGTATATGACAGTATTTACTTGTTTTTATGACTGAATAACATCCAGTGTATGTGTAGAGCAGGACTTGAGATTCAGGCATCTTGGTTTTCCATGTTGTAGAGGGTATATGTCTTGGGTCTACTTGACTTCTATAATCCTGTGTATTCATCCATTTTCACACTGCTGATGAAGACATACCTGAAACTGGACAATTTACAAAAGAAAGAGGTTTACTGGACTTACAGTTTTATGTGACTGGGGAGACCTCACATATCATGGCAGAAGGTGAAAGGCATATTTCACATGGTGGCAGACAAGAGAAGAGAGCTTGTACAAGGAAACTCCCATTTTTAAAACCACCAGATCTCGTGAGACTCATTCACTATCACAAGAACAACACAGGAAAGACCCACCCCCGTAATTCAGTCACCTCCCATTGGGTACCTCCCATGACATGTGGGAATTGTGGGAGTTACAATTCAAGATGTGATTTAGGTGGGGACACAGGCAAACCATATCATCCTGTGAGCCTATTCCCATAATAAATCCCCTCACATATCTATAGATCTACATCTATCTATCTATCATTTATCTATCTATCTATCTATCTATCTATCTATCTATCTATCTATCTATCATCTATCTATCTATCATCTGTCTATTATCTATCTATATATCTATCTATATCCTATTTGTTCTGATTCTCTGGAGAACTCAAATATACTATACAAATTCTATTTTTAATTTTTTGAGAAAATTTCATATTGTTTTGCATAATGACTACACCAATTTACATTCTCTCCAACAGTGTATGAGAGTTCTGTTTTCCCCACATCCTTTACCTTAAGACTTACCTTTTTGGTTTTTATAATAGCTGTCTTATCAGGTGTGAGGCAATATGTCATTGCGGTTTTGATTTTCATCTTCCTGATGATTAGTAATGTTGAGCAACTTTTCATATACATGTTAACCATTTTTATGTCTTTTTGGAAAAATGTCTGTTCAGGTCCTTTGCCCATTTTTAATTAGATTTTTTCTTTTGCTATTCAGTTGTAGAAGTCCCTTATGTAATTTGGATATTAATACCTTACCAGATATATGTCTCACAAACAAATATTTTCTTCCATTTCATAGGATGCTTTTTTACTCTGTTGATTGTTTCCTTTACTTTTTAGTCTGATGTAGTCCAAACTTGTCTATTTTTGTCTTTTGTTGCCTCTGCTTTTGGTGTGATAGCCAAGAACATGTGATCGAGATTACCATAATGAAGTTTTTTCTATGTTTTCTTCCAGTAGCATTATAGTTTCTGAGGTCTTACATTTAAGTGCTTAATGCATTTTGAGTTGACTTTTGTGGATGGTCTAGGATAAGGGTCCAATTTTATTATTTGCATGTGGATATTCAGTTTTCCAAACACCATTTGTTGAAGAAGCTGCCTTTTCTTGACACTTGTGTTCTTGACACTTGTTAAAAACCAGTTGACCATACATGTGGGGGTTTATTTATGAGCTCCTTATTGTGTTCCATTTTTCTATATGTCTGTCTTTGTCAGCAGCATGCTGTTTTGATTACTGTAGCTTTGTAATATGCTTAAAAATTAGAGAAAATGATACCTCTAGATTTGTTCTTCTGTATAAAATTATTTTGATTCTTAGCAGTCCTTTGTGGTTTCATATGAATTTTAAGGGATTGTGCTAAATTTGTACACTGCTTTGGACATTTTTCCAATAACAAGTATTGCAATCCATAAACATGGGCTGGGTCTTTCAAGTCATCATTAATGCCTGGAGCTATTAGCCCATCAGAACCGGTGAACAGTATCTCTCTAGAAATTTTTTCTACTCCCTCAGAATCACTTATTCACAAAGAAAAAGATTCACTCAACTTTTCTTCTATCTGGAAGAAAATTTATCCTAAGTAGGTGCCTGTTATTTTTTTCTCCTGCCTGATTTTTCTGGCTAGCACTTCCAGTACTATGTTGAATAGCAGTGGTGAAAGTGGGCATTCTTGTCTTGTTCCGGTTCTCAAAGGGAATACTTCCAGTTCCGATTCACTATGATGTTGGCTGTGGATTTGTAATGGATGGCTCTTAATATTTTTACTTTATTATTTATTTTGATGTATTTTTTTTGAATCCTAGTTTCTTGAGGGTTTTTATAGTGAATAAATGTTGGATTTTATTAAATGCTTTTACCAAGCCTATTGAGATAATCACATGGTTTTTGCTTTTAATTCTGTTTATGTGGTCCATCACATTTATTGATATGTACATACTAAACCAATGTTGCAGCCTAGCAATGAAGCTTGCTTGATCATGGTGAATTAACTTTTTGATGTGTTGCTGGATTTGGTTAGCTAGTATTTCATTCAGAATTTTTGCATCTATATTCATCAGGGAATCATTGACCTGAAGTTTCCTTTTGTGTGTGTGTGTGCTTCTACCAGGCTTTGGTATCAAACTAATGCTGGCTTTATAGAGTGAGTTAGAGAGGAACTCATCCTCCTTGATTTTTTGGAATAGTTTCAGTAGGATCGTTACCAGCTCTTTTGTAGGTCTGGTAGAATCCATCAGGCCCAGGGTTGGTTTTTTTTCTGTTTTTTTTTTTTTTTTTTTTTTTTTGGTTTATAGTGTTTACTTTTTTACTGATTCAGTTTCAGAACTTATTATTGATTATTTTCAGGTTTTCAGTGTCTTCCAAGTTCAATCTCAGGATGATGTGTGTTTCCAGGAATTTATCCATTTCCTTTAGATAGTCTAATGTGCATGTGTAGCAGTGTTCAAATTAGTCTCTGAAGATCTTTGTATTTCTGTGGGATTGACTGTAATGTCATCTTTGTCATTTCTGTCATTTCTGATTGTGCTTATTTGGATCTTCTCTCTCTCTCTCTCTCTCTCTGTCTCTAATCTAGCCAGTCATGTATTAATGTTTTTTACTCTTTTGAAAAACCAACTCTTGGTTTCATTGATCTTTTGTATCTTTTTTTTGCATCTCAATTTTATTCAGTTATTTGATTTTTAAATTTATTTTTTTCTGATAGCTTGGGGGTTATTTTATTTTATTTTTCCTAATTCCTCTAGGTTCAAGGTTAGATTGTTAATTGACATCTTTCTAATTTTTTGATAAAGGCATTCGGTCTTATAAACTTTTCTATTAACACTACTTCAGCTGCATCCCAATGATTTTGGTAAGTTGTGTCTTTATTTTCATTAACTTCTTAATAACTTTTTGATTTCAGCAATAATTTTGTTCTTCACCCAAGAGTTACTCAGAAGCAAGTTGTTTAATTTCCATGTATTTGGATTTTTTTTTTTTTTTTTTCTTTTTGAGATGGAGTCTTGCTCTGTCGCCCAGGCTGGAGCACAGTGGCTTGATCTCGGCTCACTGCAAGCTCCGCCTCCCGGGTTCATGCCATTCTCCTACCTCAGGCACCCAAGTAGCTGGGACTACAGGAGCCTGTCACCAAGCCCAGCTAATTTTTTTGTATTTTTAGTAGAGACGGGGTTTCACCCAGTTAGCCAGGATGGTCTCAATCTCCTGACCTCCTGATCCACCTGCCTTGGCCTGCCAAAGTGCTGGAATTACAGGCGTGAGCCACCATGCCCAGGCATATTTGGAAATATTTGAGGAATCTTTCTCTTATTGATTTTTATATATATTGCACTGTAGTTTGAGAGTGTGTTTGGTATCACTTTGATGTTTTTGAATTTATTGGGACTTGCTTTATGCTGAGCACGTGTTGGGTCTTAGAATATTTTCTATGTGCACGTGAGAAGAATGTATATTCTGTGATTGATGGATGGGGTCTTCTCTGGATGTCTATTTGGTCCAATTGGTTTAGTGTAAAGTTTACATCCATAATTTCTTTGTTAGTTTTCTGCCTCAACAATCAGTCTAGTGTTGTCAGTGGAGTGTTGACGTGCCCTATTATTATTGGGTAGCTGTCTACATCTTTTCAGAGGTCAAGAAAAACTTCTTTTATAAATCTTCGTGCTCTAATGTTGGGTGATTATATATTTAGTAAAGTCTTCTTGTTCAGTTGAACTGTTTACCATTATGTAATGCCCTACTTTGTCCTACTTACTGGTTGTTTATTTAAAATCTGTTTTATCTGACAGAAGAACTCTGACTCCTTCTTTTATTTGTATTCTGTTTGCATGGTAGATCTTTCTTCATCCTTTTATGTTGAGTTCATAGATGTCATTATGTGTGAGATGGGTCCCTTGAAGACAGCAGATAATGGGTTTTTTCTATTTATCCAGCTTGTCACTCTATGCATTCTAAGTATGGCATATAGACCATTTACATTCAGGGTTAGTGTTAATATGAGAGCTTTTGATGCTGCCATGTTGTTAGCTGATTGTTGCGTAGACTTGATTGTGTAGTTGTTTTCTAGTGTTTGTGGGCTACTGTACTTAAGTGTGTTTTTGTGGTAGCAGCTATTGTTCTTTCATTTCCATGTTTAGCACTCTCTCAAGGACCTCTTATAAGACTGGACTAGTAATGAATCCCCTTAATATGTGGTTGTTTGAGAAGGATTTTATTTCTCCTTCACTTATTATGTTTATTTTGGCAGGGTTTGAAATTTTTAGTTGGAACTTCTTTTCCTTAAGGATGCTGAAAATAAGGTCCCAATTTCTTCTGGCTTGTAAGGTTTCTGTTGACAGGTCACTGCTAGCCTGATGGGGTTCCCTTTGTAAGTGACCTGACCCTTCTCTCTAGCTACCTGTAAGGTTTTTTCTTTCATATCGACATTCATTAATCTGATGACTATGTGACTTAGAGATGGTTATTTTACATAGTATCTCACTGAGGTGCTCTGTATTTCTTGAATTTGCATATCAACATCTCTAGCAAGACTGGGGTAACTGTAATGAACTATGTCCTCAAATATGTTTTCCAGGTTGCTTACGATCTCTTCTTCTCTCTCAGAAATGCCAATGAATCTTGTTTTATCTCTTTAAATAATCCTATATTCCTCCAAGTTTTTATGTATATTTTAAATTTTTTTCTTTATTTGTGTCTGACTGAGTTGATTTGAATAACTAGTCTTCAAGTTCTGGGACACTTTCCTTAGACTGGTCTATGCTGCTGTTAATGCTTCTGCCTGTATTATGAAATTCTTTTAGAAAATTTTTCAATTCCAGAAGTTTAGTCTGTTTTTTGTCTTTCGGCTCTTGGATCATTTTACTGGATTTCTTGGGCTGTTTGGATTGGGCTTCAACATTTTTCTGACTCTCAATGAGCTTCCTTGCCATTCAGATTCTGATTTCTATGTCTGTCATTTCAGTCATTTCAGACTGGTTCATAACCATGGCTGAGGGGCTAGTGGACTCATTTGGATTTATGAGGATACTCTGGCTTTTTAAGTTGTCACAGTTTTTGTGCTGATTATCTCTCATCTGGTGTTTCTTTAACAGTGGTGTAAGTTGAGTATAATCAGTTGGAATTTCTGGATATTTTCCGAGGGCTGAGGCTCTGTACAGGATTTTTATTTGTCACTGAATTCTCACCTCTGGCTTCACAGGGGGATTTATTGGCAAAATATTTTTGGTGTTATAGTTTGGCTGCAATCCAGTAGGTGTTGCTTATGAGTAATTGGCTGTAATATGCTCTTAGCCATGTGTCCTCTTTATTTTTTCACATTTGCAGTCATGCTCTGTGGTTCTGGGGGAAGGAATGTAGCTTTATCACCATGTCCATTCCTGGTCCTTGGGAGAGCTCCCTCCTATCATTGGTGGCAGTGTTCCAGACTGTAAAGCTCCCTCAAGCAGAGGCTATGGCTGGCAGGCAGGCTACACCCTTCCTGGACTAGCCCTGCAGAGGGAGGTATACCATGCTCCTGCACTGGCCCATGAGCTCGTGTGTCTCACCCTTTTTAGTCTTCTGAGAGGTGGGGGCTCCTCCCCAACTTGAGTTGAAGCTACAGATCTAGACTCAGGACTGAGTGCATGTTTAGGACTTAGCAGATATGATTGCATTAAGACTTTTGAGATGGGATGATTATTCTGGATTGCTCTAATGGACCCAGTGTAATCCCAAGGATTGTTATAACTGAAAGATAAAATCAGTAGGGTCAAATAGAGATTCGAATATTTCCTATTGCTAGATTTCAAAATGAAGAGGAGGCTATGAGCCAAATAATTCAGGCAGCCCCTAGAAGCTAGGAAAGGCAAAGAAATAGATTATTCTCTAAAACCTTCAGAGAAATGTAGGCCTTCTAACATTCTAAAGGTCACCCAGTAAAACTCATTTTGAACTTCTAATCTCCAGAATTATTAGATAATATGTTTGTGCTGTTTTAAGTCATTAAGTTTGTTGTAATTTGCTACAGTGACAACAGGAAAGAAATACACCCCACCTTCTCGTTGCAATTTAGGGTAGATTTCTCCACTATTTATTTAATTTCATCTCTGTACATACTTCTATCAGAGCACACATTTATCCCATAGATATATATTAAAAACATTTTTGTGTCAGTTTTATCCAATTGAATAAACACACAGAGGGTATTTTGCTGTATTTTGATCTCTTGAGTAGATTACTAGCTTCTATAGTTTGAGACTTATGTCTTTCAACTCTATGAACATAGTTACTTTATCTAATTATGAAGTTGGAATTAAATTGCAGCTGAATAACAGATATATGAATTTCTCAAGCCCTCCAACCTGGAAGTTACCTTTCATTCTTCCCTGTCCTTTATTCACTACAACTCATCATCAAACTTCTCTACCATTGAAAAAATAAAAAAACCTAGAATATGAAAACTTTTAGTTTCTTCACCACTATCACTCTGTTCCAAATCACCATGTTCCCCAATTGGAACTCATAACTTGCCAAAACTGTTGCAATAGCCTCATAATTAGTTTTCTTAACTATCTTCTTGCCTCTTTATAGGTTTATTCTTAATCTACTACTCTCAACCCAGAGTACTTTTGTTTAAAAAAATTCTGATTATTACATTCCTCTGCTCCAATGCCTCCAATGCTTTACAGTCTCACTCATAATAAAATCGAAAATGCTTTTGATATATCAATTGCTACATGATTTAGCGCAGTGATATTTTGATGAACTCATCACCTCCCTTATTCCACTGGATCATTTTGTCTTGCTATACTGGTCTTGTAAAACCAGCATAATTGTCTCATAGAACTGATGTTTATGGCTTCTTTTGAAGACACAAAATAATTGACCCTCCCAGTCTTAAAACTTGAGAAACTTAAACTTGTTTTATCTGAGTTTCTTTCTCAGGAAACAAACCATCAGTCATCCCAGATAGTATCAAGGAACTGAAACTTAGCAGATCACCACATTTGGACAATGAGGTGCTGGACTCTTCACCCATCATGATTGCCTATTCAACCACCTGCTTCCTATTGACCACCTCCCCTTCCTTACCTCTCCAAAATTCCTGTTTTTTCACATATAGTTACATTTCTTCCTTGCTATATAAACCCCTATATTTAATAGGTTGAGGAGATGGATTTGAGACTGATTTCCCAATTTCTCAGCTGAGGGACACAAATGAAGCCTTCTTCCTTGGAAATATTTGCTTTAGTGATTGGCTTTCTTTGTGGTAAGCAACAGGACCTAGACTTTACCTGGTGTTTCAGTAACACTTGCTATGCAAACAGTTAAGGCACTCTGAGATCCTTAGCACTAAAAACTGCCTATTCCTGGAATGCTCTTGCCCATTGTATGCTTTATTCATCTCCTCCTACTTCACTCAAGTCTCTGCTCAACAGTGCCTTATATAATTGTTCCTCTGAGACCACACTATATGTAATCACACATTCCGCTTATATTTATCCATCTTTCACGACTTTATTTTTCTTCCCAACCCTTATCATCACACGATACTTTATATACTTTTTGTATCCTATGTTTCTTCTCATTATAACATAAGGTCCATGAATGGAGACACATAGTCTACTGTTTTATATACAAGCACACCCCCTATACCTAGGCCAGTTTTTCAGAAGTGCTTAATAAATGTTTGTTGAATAAATAAGTAAATTACATTGTACAAAAGCACTTAGAATTACTAAATGTCAGCTTATATTGTTGAGGGGAAAAAGTAGGCCTTTCGAAAATATTTTTGTGTTATATGTTTATAAATATTTATATCAACCAGAACATGCATCACATTTTTATATAGTTGTTTCCAGTTTCAGATGCAAATATGTGTTATATTTGTGTATTGATATTTTATAATTACAAGGTATTAATATAATTGTGTAACTAAAAAGCCTATTAAATTATGACATACAAAATCATAGTGGTCTAATATTTCTGTACATATTCATTATTACTTATAACAAAAATAACCACTTATATACAAAATGTTAACATTGGCACTGTCTTAAAAAAACTTTGAAATTGTTTTAAAATATTTGATAATCTCTTTGCAGTAAAATAAAAATTAAAGAACAGGGATAAAGTATGACTTCATATAGTACGGACTTGCTTTTTATACTTTGTCATTATATATATAAGCATATTATTATGCAGTACTTGTTGCTAATAGTAGCACGTATACTATGTTGTAAAAATACTGCCATGGAGGTATTATCCAGAACTGTGCCTAATTTTATCATCTAAATAATCTAAAATGAAATTTCAAGTTAGTCAATAATAACACATCTAGTGAGATATCAAAAATGCAAATATAATATTATTCTGAGTATACAAATAGGTAAATGAATCAAGTAAAATAAATCTTTTGTTACTTGTATCTAAATTATTTCAAAGAGTCATACACCGTACTCATGAAGACAAGAAGAATCACTTCCCATGTAGTTTTAAACATACCATATGCTTAATATAAATATGGGTAAAAACTGAACATGAGACATGTCCTATAGGCATACCTAGTTAACTGCATATGCTCCATCAAGGCAAGTGAAACCTCCCCTACTGTCATATTGATTTCAGGTATTAAATGTTGTTAAAGACTCCAGCAGTCTTGACTGATCTAAAATTGGACCACTTTTAGATTTGAATTTGTGCCACAGTTTTCTTTGTAGTGTGATACCCTATTATTAACATGAAGTTTCCATAAACACAATCTTGTGTCATCTGATTACTGAAGGCACCACTATCTACAAGGTCACACTCTAGTGGAAATGAGTGTAATTATGGAGATGTGTAATATGATAATTTATCTTTTGGTCAAAGAGGACAAATGTAGAACAGCTGGATTTTCTGTTTTAAAATTCCCATCAGTCAATTATAGTACATTGATCTGAAAACAGATGGCACTGCAGTCAAGCAAATTTATCCAGCATTGAGCATTAACATGCAGGAATTTTATCAATAAAAGGTGTTCACTTCATAAAATATATTCTTTATGACATTTACCATTGACATATTACATAATTAAATGGCTTTTTATCTCTTAATAAAATTAACCTGATTTTCTATTATTGACTGATATGGCATTTTATTCTTAACTAATTCTCTATACTTAGTGGCTACTTTCCCTGGAGAGAAGCAATAGCCAAGTCCTCAGTGGCCTTTTTTTGACCAGATGGAAATTAAGTGGTAAGGTTTTTTAAAAATGAATACTGAAACATCCGTTCTCAATAATTCAGCTTGTTAGCAGGTAAAGTTCCCCTATCTATTAGATATCTCCCATAGTTAAGTACAGACTTCCAGGATTACGTTTTGTAGAAATAAAAAGAAAAAATTGGTAGCCCTCTTATGGAAAATATATAGATTTATTTTACAGAATGTTCACACCACACTATAGATGTTCATTTAATTGCATCTGTTTATATTAAAATAAAATAAATCATTTGAATTCCAACCAAATGTGAATGCCAAAATTTAGCATATTTTATTAATTGCAAGCAAATTAATTCTAAAATTGATATGCATCTCTACCACAGCAGAGCCTAAGAAAGCAGGTATACTGATTCTACTACTTAACAACTAAGTTCAATGTAAGAAAATACTCACTTATTGAGATACATATCATTAAGAAAGGAATATTGGCAAAACGCAACTCTTATAAGAAATATAACTCTCAATATTTCAGTGGCATAGGTACAAATAAATCAGAAAAACAAAACAAAAACATTTTAAAGAATACTGAAGGATTTCTAGTTCTAGCAAGATGGATTATTCCTTCCAGGGTCTCCCATGCACAGCTAAAACACCCTTGCCATAATCAACAAACAAGTATAGGAAGACCATGATAGGCTGTAGGAAGAAGAAAGTTAACCTGGGGGCCTCTGAACTTGATCAATGATACAATAGTGAGATCCTTATTGCTTCCCATGTATCCCATTAGTACATTTCAGAGCACCTACAACATACTAATAATACTTCTAGATGGTTACAGAGAAGAATATTTTCCTAAACATAGGGTAGACAAAGACTGCTTTCCAAATAGATCACAAAGTAAGTTATTTTTAAAAAACAAATAAAATTTTAAGTAATCAAGAACTAGCATGGAGAATGAAGGGACCACCTATAAACTTAGAAAAGACATTTACACATCATTCAAGGAATAAATAACTTATATTCTGAAAAAAAGTATATACAAATATTTTTTAAAAAATATGTACATACACTTTTTTAAAAAATGTATAAAAATGGAGTGAAACTTTGAATAGGTATGTCACAAAAGAAAATATTCAAATAACTAATATATGAAAGGGTGTTCAATCTCATGATACAGAAACACAAATTAAAACTTAATGAAATACCATCACATAGCCACCAGAATGATGGATGCAGAGCTGTCAAATTGAAAGTAGTTTTATTGGATTGAACTACATATCTAAATAATAATAAATTGGTTTTTACATGTGGAAATCACTTTTTATCATTATTTATGCCCAAAAAATGGGGTTTAAATGAGTTGTGATAAAACAGACTTTACTACAGCTAAAAAGGAAAACTTTGTTTTGAATTTAACACTTGGTAGAAGTCTTTAAAAACATCAGCATTTTCTTTTCCTAAGGAAATTGCAACTGAATATCTGTAGCTTTCAATTAATAATATAATTTCAAATAATAGAAAATTGATATTACAGATGAATTGTACTGAACTAAAAGTACCAATTGCCTAGTAGGTCTTACTGAACTTTTCTTTATGAAGGATGCCATATATAATTACATTTCACAGTCAAAGGAAAAACCGTTTTAAATGCTTGTATTAGCATGATAACTATACATTTTCAAATGGAATACAGTATTAAGCTTTGTAATAACATTTCTGTTTTTCCCACTCAGAATGGCATTGTCAAATTATAGTTAATGACCCATTTTGAATCCCTGAAATTATAGAGTGAATGATGTGGGTTAATGTGCTCCATTACCTTTTTAACATTTCTTAAGTAGTTTTTCTAAGTTTTTTAAAGAGAAAATATGTTTCAGTCACATGAAAACTTATGTTCAACTTTTCCACATATGAAGAGTTATTTTCTAACTTTATTTTTTATAATAGATTTAGAAGCACAAATAAAGCAACATCCATAAACACATCACTTGATTTCATTCAGTCAGGTGAATTACTTTTAAGAAAAAAAATCAAAATAACACATTTCAGAACCAGAATGTTTTATGACAGAAAGTAACATTGGTTTGAAATAGAGATTTTCCCCTCCATTATCCACTCTACTTAACTGAGCATTATGATTATAATAAGACAATACTTTTTTTGTCATAGTGACTTTTATTTCCTATTAGTAGGTCTTTCTGTATCTTCTGAACATTGTCTGCAACTTGACACAACGATGAAATCATGGGCACTAATTTATATTTAAAGGAAATGCCTTACAGGATAGAAGTTGACCATATTGTGATTAACTAATAGGAAGCTCCTCGTGGAAGTTTCTTCCTGGAAGTGCAACGGCAGCTTGAGCATATAAATTTTAAAAATTACAGCATGATGCCCTTATGTATGGTAGGAAGAAGGCATTGTTTAATAAACAATAAGTAGAATGGAATATTTTCATCATGCATTTTCAGCTGTAACAGCCACATAATCAGCATAATTATTTTAACCTCTAGGGTCATGGGGAATATACCTATGGTATTCTTTTTTCTTTTGTTCAATAAATGCTTATTGTCTACAATTGCCAAGGACTGAGCTAGGCATTTATGTTTATGTGAAGTGATTAAAAAATAAAATATTTTTCAAAGTTTGTAGGTAGAGTTTTAAAATAATGATTTATTACAATTGTTTCCTTTTCTTCTGTGAATTTAAACTGTGAAATGTCTCTTATGTGAACTGAGTAGAAAACTTTTCTGAACTGCTTAAAGAGATTGAGTTATAGAATATTTTGTGGTTATTGTAAGACAGTGGATTTAAGAAATCTAAATATTTTCCTGCCATAAACATTTAGAAATCCTACATAATACCTAACAAATCTATTTTAAATTCAAATCTGCTTTGGCCTTAAAGAAAAGTAAGTTTCCACTTCCAGAAATAATGTGAAAACTGAAACCTACTCAGAAAAGCTGATAAGCTTATCCTGTCATGCCCCAGGTGTCAGGGGATAATAATACACATTAGAAGGGGATTACATACCCCCAAGACCCATGAGATTAGTTCTTGTGCCCATCTAGGACAGAAGGTAGAAAATAAGATCACTGAATATAAGCCAGGAACCCCAAGTGTCTGTAAACCTTGAAAAGTAGGTAGACAGTAAGTGCACGGAAACTATAAGCTGCACTGTACCTGCATAGGCTGTAGGTGAGAACAAGCAAAAGTAGGCTTCTCAGAGAACTCTAAATTTCTGTTCAGCCTTTACTTCTTCAAGTTTGGCCTTGACATGTTTTGAACACATATAAGCCATGAAATTCACATGAAAATTGGTCATTGGCTTTTGAGCTCCTAAGATGTATGATGAAACTAAACCACAATCTACTGTGGAGATACATTCCAACTCTCAACCCACACCATCACAGGTTTCTCCCAGATAAAGTTTAATAGAAGGACTTCATAAGACAATACTACAAACATCTAAGATAACAAGGCCACATGAGCAAGAGACATCAGAAACAACTAAGAGCATAATTTTACTTTCAAGTATTATTATTCTTATATTAATCATTGACCAATCTGCTAGGAATAACAAAATGAATATTTAAGTACATACATATTACATAAAAACTTGTAATCAATGAAAAATAAGCAAAGGTATCGTGAAAGTGAATAAGCATTGTTCTGAAACACCTTTTTTTCCCTTTTGTTTTTCTTTTTTTTTTTTTTTTTAAATCTTATGAATTGTTTATTTTGGGAATTTTTTTTCTTTTTTTTTATTATTATACTTTAAGTTTTAGGGGACATGTGCACATTGTGCAGGTTAGTTACATACGTATACATGTGCCATGCTGGTGTGCTGCACCCACTAACTCGTCATCTAGCATTAGGTATATCTCCCAATGCTATCCCTTCCCCCTCCCCCCACCCCACAACAGTCCCCAGAGTGTGATGTTCCCCTTCCTGTGTCCATGCGTTCTCATTGTTCAATTCCCACCTATGAGTGAGAATATGCAGTGTTTGGTTTTTTGTTCCTGCGATAGTTTACTGAGAATGATGATTTCCAATTTCATCCATGTCCCTACAAAGGACATGAACTCATCCTTTTTTATGGCTGCATAGTATTCCATGGTGTATATGTGTCACATTTTCTTAATCCAGTCTATCATTGTTGGACATTTGGGTTGGTTCCAAGTCTTTGCTATTGTGAATAATGTCTCAATAAACATACGTGTGCATGTGTCTTTATAGCAGCATGATTTATAGTCCTTTGGGTATATACCCAGTAATGGGATGGCTGGGTCAAATGGTATTTCTAGTTCTAGATCCCTGAGGAATCGCCACACTGACTTCCACAATGGTTGAACTAGTTTGCAGTCCCACCAACAGTGTAAAAGTGTTCCTATTTCTCCACATCCTCTCCAGCACCTGTTGTTTCCTGACTTTTTAATGATTGCCATTCTAACTGGGGTGAGATGGTATCTCATTGTGGTTTTGATTTGCATTTCTCTGATGGCCAGCGATGGTGAGCATTTTTCATGTGTCTTTTGGCTGCATAAATGTCTTCTTTTGAGAAGTGTCTGTTCATGTCCTTCACCCACTTTTTGATGGGGTTGTTTGTTTTTTTCTTGTAAATTTGTTTGAGTTCATTGTAGATTCTGGATATTAGCCCTTTGTCAGATGAGTAGGTTGCGAAAATTTTCTCCCATTTTGTAGGTTGCCTGTTCACTCTGATGGTAGTTTCTTTTGCTGTGCAGAAGCTCTTTAGTTTAATTAGATCCCATTTGTCAATTTTCGCTTTTGTTGCTATTGCTTTTGATGTTTTAGACATGAAGTCCTTGCCCATGCCTATGTCCTGAATGGTAATGCCTAGATTTTCTTCTCGGGTTTTTATGGTTTTAGGTCTAACGTTTAAGTCTTTAATCCATCTTGAATTGATTTTTGTATAAGGTGTAAGGAAGGGATCCAGTTTCAGCTTTCTACATATGGCTAGCCAGTTTTCCCAGCACCATTTATTAAATAGGGAATCCTTTCCCCATTGCTTGTTTTTCTCAGGTTTGTCAAAGATCTTTTGTTTTTCTTTCTTTTTTTTTTTTTTTTTGAAACACCTTTTTAAAATTTATATGCTCAAGCTGCCATTGCACTTCTAGGAAGAAATTTCCATGAAGAGCTTCATATTAGTTAAGAACAATATGCCCAACTTCTATCCTATAAGACATTTTTTAAAATATAAATTAGTGCTCATGATTTCATAATTTTGTCAAGTTTCAGACAATGTTAGGAAGACAAAGAAAGACCTACTCATAGGAAATAGAAGTCACTATGACAAAAAAGAAGTCTTGTCTTATTATAGTCATAATACTCAGTTAAGTTGAGTGTATAATGGAGGGGAGAATCTCAAACTGAAATAAAGAATTTAAGTAAAAAGACAAAAATATTTTAAGGAAAGATTCAAAAATAAATACTGAATATAAATACATCTCAAATTACTTTCCAGAATAAAACCATGAGATGAAGTGATAGAAGACATAAAAACACAGGTTAACAGAAATAGTGGCTAGAATGATACAATTCTGCTATAGGTTGAATATAGTTTGTTTCTCTCCATCAAATCTCATGTAGAAATTTGTCTTCCTTAGTGTTGAAAGTGGGTTCTAATGGAAGGTGTTTAGATCCTGAGGGGAGATCCTACATTAATAGAGTAAAGCCCTCCCTGGAATAGGGGAAAGGGACAGTGTGTTCTCACTCTATTAGTTCCCATGACAGCAGTTGTTAAAAAGAAACTAGCATATCTTCTCTCTCTCTCTCTCTCTCTTGCTTCCTCTCTCACCATGTTATCTCTGTACACACTGAATCCCCTTTTCCTTCTGCCATAAATGGAAGGAGCCTGAGGCCCTCACCAGATGCAGATGAACAAACTTGAACTTCCCATCCATTTGAAATTATTTGCCAAAGAAACCTTTTTTTAAATAAATTGCCCAGCCTCAGGTGTTCCTTTATAGCAATACAAAATGAAATAGGACAAATCCAAATATATATATTTGATATGTCTTAGTTCAAAAAATATATAGTTATGTATATTAAATTTATTTAATAAAATATTTACAGTTATAGTAAAAAAAGAACAAAATTTTCAGAGATAATGACATAGAATTTACCAGAATTGAAGACTTTGCGATGTAAAAAAGCACAAAAACTACAAGTAGAATGAATGAATAAAAGTCAACATCTGAACATACTGTTGCGGGACTTTTCCTTAGTTCAGCTAAAGACGGGGTCATTGTCAGAGGGACACGAAAGACTAGGCTTGCAGACAATGTGAAGGGCGAGTAAGGCAGGTTTTCATTGGGTGAAAAGGGAAAGAAAGGGAAACAGAGACCCTCCACAAAGCCAAGGTCCCTGCTGGTGAGCTTCCCACCTCACAGTTTGAATCCCAGGTACCACCTAGGAAGAGGAGGGTCCAGGATCCTCCGTGCTGCAAACGGTGCAAATTTCTGTGGCTCCACCCCAGTGCACATTCCTCCTAGTGCGCAGGCTGGTTGGAGTTTCTCTGGGGACCCCCTCCCACCTGGCTATCTCATCCCTGCTCTAAAGAAGTACATCTAACTGCCCTTAGAATAAGGATTAAGGGTTAAGTACAAAGACAAATCTTAACTGCCTCCTGCTGACAGAGGGCGCTGTTTTGAGGAAAATGGCAATCGGAGCTCCCTCAGAGGCCTTTCTAAGGGTTCCCAGCAGAAGAGGCTATCATCAGAGGCTCTGGTTGCATTACCATTTGGCGTTTGATGGCCTGAAGGCAAGAAATGACAAACCAGGTTATTAGAAAACATGTTATCAAAATGAAACAAGGGAAGATGTAAGGACAGCTCAAAAATCCGGAGGCCTTTTGCACAGAGAGAGGAAGGCCAAAAGCCTGACTGGTAAAAAAAAAAAAAAAAAAAAAAACCTTTACCATTTTGCCAGCATGTTGGGCTTCTGGATTCCCTTCGCTGACCCTAACCTTAAGCCAACCAGTTTAAGGTTTGGGAAATTAACTATTTCCAGTTTGGAGGAGGCATCTGAGGAGTGTCCTGTAGTACAGAGACACAATTACCTATCTGTGAAGAGAGAACAGAGGAGGAGAAAGGAAAAATGAGACTGGCCTCATACCTTTGTCTACACAGTCCCTGTACAGGGCTCCTGACCTGTGGTCAGTAAAGAATGTCACTTTTCAACAAGCTCCAAGTTTATCTTGGGACCTTAAGAGGAGAGAATCACCCAACTCATAGGTATTTGAGGATACAGACCCATGGCTGGGCTCGCCTTGTAGAACAGAGTTCCATCAAAGCCAATCCAAAAGGCCTATATAGAAATAGTTACTCTATTTCTTGCTGCACTTTATTCAAATAATCAACCCAAGTATAAGACTGAAGTTTATTTTGCAAACAACTTGGTCCTGTTATGATCTGTTATTTTAATAAAAATAAGGACTGGAGAGAGAGAAATTATGTTTCAAACTTTATCATAGATTTGTCATTAAATTCTATATGGATTACTTGTTTTTAAGTTTTCGCCTACATTTTAGGCTAATCCTGCTTGTTCCTGTCAACCAACCAGCAGTCTCTGGCTGCAGCTCAGAAAGAACAAAAGGGATGGGTAATGTACAAATCTGGATCAATATTCTAGTTCTGAGCAATTATTCTGCAAATCCTCCCAGGTGATGGGAATGAGCAAGCCATAGAGACCGACGTCGACCTTCCTGACCCTCAGGAGTGATGGGGTGAAGGCATGGTTTCCCCTACCCTCAGAAGTCCAAGGATGAAAAGACTTAGAAGCAAGAGGGAAAAATATTGCTTGGTTTGTAGCTCAGTCACTGCTTCTCAACCCTATGTTGGGTACCAGGAATATTGCAGGACATTTTCTTAGTTCAGCTAAAGATGGGGTCCTTATCACAGGGCCACAAAAAATTAGGCTCACAGACAATTTGAAGGGTAAGGCAGGTTTTTATTGGGTGAAAGAGAAAAAAAAGGGAAATGGGGATCCTCCGCAAAGCCAGAGTGCCTGCTGGTGAGCTTCCTGCCTCGAAGTTTGAATCCCAGGTACCACCGAGGAAGAGGAGGGACCAGGCTCCTCCCCACTGCAAATGGCACAAACTTCCGTGGCATCACCCCAGTTTGCATTCTTCTCAGTGCACAAGCTAGTTGGAGTTTCCCTGGGGACCCCTTTCCACCTGGCTGTCTCAATGTCTTAGTGAAATTTTAGAATACTAAAAATAAAGATCTTAAAAACAATCATAGGTATGAAATAAAAATTAGGTATGTAACAAAGTTTCCACGAGTAGCAATTGGAATCCAACTGAATATCTTTAAAGCTCTAGGGAAAAAAAAAGGCAAAAATAAAATTTTTTTTCTATCAAAATGTGTTTATCACTGGTAACTTTCCAATTAAAAATTGTACGTGTACTTTAAAAAGTGGAGAATTAAATATAGAGGGAGGAGACTAAAGAAATTCCTAGAGTGTGGAGTGTATAAAACAATAATAAATATAAAAACATAAAAATTAGCACAAAGAAAACATTGTATAGCAGCAACATGTAAAATGTTTATCAGTGTTCTGATATTGTAAAATGTTTATCAGTTCTAATATTGTTTGGGATGAGACTATATCTCCTGATTATCTTTATAATTTTAAATTAAGTATATATAAGGACATTTTAAGAGCAAGCTCTAAAAGAAGAGAAAAAATGTATAGTTTCAGAGCACTAGAATTTAAAATGTCTAACCAATAGAAAACTAAAAATCAATAACATAGAAGCAAAGAAAAAGCATTCTGGACCATTTCTGATAGCAAGAATATGGTATATGTATTCCTCAAATCCCTGAAAAGAGGGATGAAGGCAGAATCAATCAGCATTAACACAGAAAATCCCACCAGCAGCATCCTCATTAAAACTTGGTAATAAGACAGCTCAACTTATTATATATATTCAGGCAAATTCAGAGTACATCAAGACTAGCCTATAGATTGCCACAGCATCAAGATTAATATGGAACCATAAAGTGTTAATGGCACAGGGTCTTGTGAATCACAGAACCCAAAAACCACCAACAAATATCCATAAAATTCATGCCACCACACTTTGTGCGAATCTGGACAAGCAAACCTGAGAACAACCAGTGAAATTATAAGAAGTCTTCTTAGGCTCTAAATTGTGGATGATTGCAAGAAGACCACCGCAGTAACCACTATGGGGCCTCAACACATACATACAGTTGTGAAGAACAGTTGTGAGAGACTTTAGGAGAACATTTTATTGTTATTTAAAAGCTGTAAAAATGGCCGGGCAAGGTGGCTCACGCCTGTAATCCCAGCACTTTGGGAGGCCGAGGTGGGTGGATCACGAGGTCAGGAGATTGAGACCATCCTGACTAACATGGTGAAACCCCGTCTCTACTAAAAATACAAAAAATTAGCCGGGCATGGTGGCGGCCACCTGTAGTCCCATCTATTCAGGAGGCTGAGGCAGGAGAATGGCGTGAACCCGGGAGGTGGAGCTTGCAGTGAGCCGAGTGAGCCACTGTGCACCAGCCTGGGTGACAGAGCAAGACTCCACCTCGAAAAAAAAAAAAACTGTAAAAACAAAAAAAATTAAGCAGGACAAACCCAACTAACTGTATGAAGCAAATAACTGTTGTCTATAGTCTATCTAAACTTCCAAGGTAGAAAAAGTTTTATTACCAATTTTATTTTCTATCTCATTGGAACATATTAATTTTTATATGTTTTTATCTTCTGTTTGAATACAGAGCAATTGCTCTTTCTCTCTCTATATATGTATATATATATAATATATATACATATATGTATATAAATATAATATATATACATATATGTATATAAT
Organism: Homo sapiens; assembly: GCF_000001405.40. Taxonomy (NCBI): domain Eukaryota; kingdom Metazoa; phylum Chordata; class Mammalia; order Primates; family Hominidae; genus Homo; species Homo sapiens. The sequence goes on from NC_000002.12 coordinate 185,632,492, forward strand.
TCCCTACTATACATTCGTTTACCAAAAAGCACACTATTCTTCAATTTTTTTTTTTTTGCCTTTGTCAAAGAGGAATTATAGTTCTGTATGATCCTACAATGAGAGTAAATTGTACCATTTGTCCATGGTTGCCAAGCAGATTCTATATTCTTGATGTGCTGGCATGTTTTGTTCATTTTAAGTGAAACTATTTCCTATTTTAGTTCTAAAATGTCCCCAGAGGCCAGGCACGGTGGGTCACGACTGTAATCCCAGTACTTTGGGAGGCCGAGGCGGGTGGATCGCCTGAGGTCTGGAGCTCAAGACCAGCCTGACCAACATGGAGAAACCTCGTCTCTACTAAAAATACAAAAAATTAGCCAGGTGTGGCAGCACACGCCTGTAATCCCAGCTACTTGGGAGGCTGGGGCAGGAGAATTGCTTGAACCCGGGAGGTGGAGGGTGCAGTGAGCCTAGATCATGCCATTGCACTCCAGCCTGGGCAACAGAGCAAGACTCTGTCTCAAAAACAAACAAAAAGTGCCCCCAGGTGACAATAATATAAGCAAAATTTTAAGGAAAAAAAACCTGCTTTTTGTAAAAGCCACAATGATTACACATAATAGTACAAAATGATATTATATGAAGCACTAGTGGTGTTAAACATCCTTTGGCTTTTAAATTGTATTCACACAGGGCTAGCCAATCAAATAAGAACCCAGAACTCATTCTCCTTTCTCCTGGGCTCTACAAAAATAAGAATTTTAACCATCTCACAAGTAACAATGAAAGAAGAAAATCTGTTATCATTGTTTGGTCATTAAAATTTTCCTTCTTAATTAATAAGCAAAAGCAGGAGAAAAAATAACTCCTTAAGAAAAAGTAAAAAGTGTTGTATGGAAAAGTACTTCTAATGCCCATAAGACAGCAGAGAACAATTTAGATAATTAAAAAACAAGAAAAACTATTTATTTAGATTAAAAATATAGTCTAAGTGTAGACAGGGTCAGTGTTTTTTATTTAAATATATAATGTGATAAAAGGGTCTTTGCCGAAGGATCTTTGTACACGAAAAGGCTCACTTTTGTAATTCCAGTCATCGGAATTATTTGAACTCTAACTGCTGCTAACCTGATCCTGGAATTTGAAGTGAATAAGGTTGTACCTTCTTTATAAATTATGGTATCTGGATTTTGATCCATTATTTCTAATTAGACAAAGGTAAATAACGTTTTCCTCTTATTCCTTTGATGCCAGGATAATGTTATGTTCTATTCTCTTTAGTATTAAAGGCCTAAAAAATAACAATGTAAGTGAATAGTGCTTTTCTTGCCCCAAACTTTGCTTGTGCCTTCTTTCTGTGTTGGCCAAGCTACTTAGAATTTAAAAAGAACAAAGAAGCATGGGCGGCTTACAGTAATAGGATTAAAATATGTTAATTACAAGTAGGAATGAATGTCAAGAGAAATTATTTGCAGTGGTCTCATTTTTTGGGTTCATAGACTTCTTAACTTCCCTTAGGACTGCACACATTATATGAGTGATGTGCCCATATGTTTGTTTCTTATAAACTTATTTTTTGTTGAGGAGATTTATGCGTTCATATAGTTTTTATAACATTTATTATGGTTCCAGTTTTAGAGAATCTCTCAAAGGAAGCTATGCAATAAAATTGTCCATTACAAATACTTCATTAAACCTTTTTTATTTTATAATTCATGATACTATTAAAAAGATATGTCAAAATATGTATTTAAAAATTATTGTTCTAAATATTAATTTTTAATTATTAAATCTCATACCTTTTATTTTTGCATATATCTTTAATAGAGGTGTAATCAAAGTGCATGTATGATATGCTTCCTATTTTTTGCATAGATTTAGACTTTTTCTAAAAATGTTTTAAATTGTTGCATAATTTGGTTATTTAATGAGTGCTTACTTGTTCATTGGTTCTTGTCCAAAAAAAGAGTATTTCTTTTGTGAGTCTGTATATTTATTTTCCTCCTATTCAGGTATCAGATAGCCGCATTTATTGTAATAATAAAAGGTGACATATGTAAGTATTAATAAAATGGGCACTTAGTCATTACCATAAATTCATGCTCATGCATGGACTTTCGATACGCTTGTGCTCAGATTTTTTTTTTTATTTTTGCCAAAAGTGGAAAATAAAAGTGTATATTGGGTACTCACTATATTTGACAAACTAACTTTTGAGGGAGAAAGAGAGAGAGATGACCAGGACCCATTCCAACAGAAGCTTATAGTCTAGTAAGGGTACAAAGAATACACAATTCATTTAATACAGTGTAAAAAATATACTGACTAGTATTTTTACTCATAGTTATCCTTGAAGAAAATTCAACAAATTATGTATTTCTTGGACATAAATAGGGAGGGAAGATGGATTAGTATGAGATGAGGATGGAGAATCAAACCATAGAAGGACAAGCTCAGGATATGCTAGAATCTTATCATTTATTCTGTAGGAGATGAAAAGTATGTAAGTTATGATAATAAGAGAAAGATTGCATTTGTTTATGTCACTCTCTTCACAAAATTTGCATTATTTTACTGATATATAATATAGTAGAATCATAAAATATGTATACACTTTATAAAAATATAGAGTGTCAGAGAGCTTAATATATTTTTACCAGTAAGATGAAGACTGAACATGAAGATATGCAATTAATTAAGTTTGGGGACTACATTGATTTAGAGGAAGAATTTGAGAAATAGAGATGAAAGAAGGCAGTTAGGAGGGTATTGCAAGAATCCGGAGATAATTACAGACTAAACTAAAAGAAAAACAAAAAACAATCTCCAGTTGAGTCATCCTGTAAGTCATCCTATGAGGCCTTGGACTCCAGGATCTTTCCTGGATGGCCCCAGCTATGATATAACTTATGACATCTGGTGGTTGAGCATCATGTCAGGGCACCTCTGCATTCATGCGTTAAACATCGTTACAGCTCTCCATGACTTTAGGTTATTTAGACAATGCATTTTGTTTTCTGCTGTCTCCAAGTCTGTCAGTCCACACAGAGACACTATTTTTGCTGCTTTCCTGTGCCCTATGGGCCAGCAGAAATCTGGAGAACTGCATAGCCCTTTGTTCCTATCAAGTTCATAATGTTGCCACAAGGTTACAGACAGTAAGCAGGAACAAGTTCTCTCTTCTTATATGTAGATATCTATTTGAAGGTTTTTGTCACTTCCCAGGTTTTGGTCTGAGAGGAATGAGGGTGAAGTTATCTAAGGGGAGCTAGCTCTCTTTAGTACAAGGATGCAAGATGGGTAGAGAAGGAATTGTCAACTGGCAGAGAAAAAGAAAGAAAAGAGAAAGTAATAAAGAAAAAAATAAAGCATCTAGTGCTCATTTTCAGGGACTCACAATTTCTTAAGTTGGATTCCAATTTCAACTTTAGAAAAACCCGTGACATGTGTGACCTGTGGCCTGTGGCAGTTGTGTCATTGCAGCAACCATAATCGTACAACAAATTACCTTTTAGCCTTTCCATAAACCTTTATGGATAAATGAAAGTATTCACTCTAATTTGATACACAAAGATAATGCTTAACTGTCCAGTAACCCAATGAAATCAGAGTCCATCACAAATTTCTCCATCATTGGAAGATTGAACTTGTCAAAAATGTTTCAATAGGTCACCGGGTCCATAATACATCCATAATAGAACCAGTTGTTTTATTTCTCAATTTTTCTTTACTGGTAGTAGTGTTTTGAGAATTTCAAGAAGTCATTTGGACTTTGACCATAAGGCCAAAGATATCAAGAGTGTTGTTATTTTTTTTTTCTGAGTTGCAGATAGTGCATTGGCATTTATATGTTTTAAAATAGAGTTCATCTTGCTATGCATATTTTCTATGAAGTAACAGCAGTAAATCAAAGTGCAGTAAAGAAGAGTAGATTTATTTGGTTAGTGGTAGTAAACCTATAGCTTTGAGAAAATATTTTTAAAGTCTATCAGTTACTAATCATTTTCAAAATTGCTTCACACCATAATAATTTGACCAAGCTTGATTATTACTATAAGTTCTTTCTAAAAAATGAAGGAAAGTAGAATGGGAAAAACACATTTTTAAATTACATTTTTAAGGTATTCCCAATATTTATTATATCCTAAGACAGAAATACCATTAGAGGGGGGCTTTGGAACCGCAATAGTTTATAATTCCCAATCTCTTTTGAAATTTATGCAAAATCAACAATATGATAACTAAGGATTAGCTAGTAAGCTATTTGTTGATTTAACAAATATTTATTGAATGTATTGCATATTAGGCTCTGTTTTCTTGTGCTAAAATACTGCAACAAATATAGTAGATAAAGCTCTGCCCTCAGTTGTTTAGACAGACAATGATTTGATCGGAGCGTGATATGTTAAACTTTCAAGTTAAAGCTAACGTGAATCAACTGCCTACAATGGGCAGGTTGAAATCATAGGTGCTCTCAACCACATACACAATAATGATATAAAGTGTAATTATTCCAAATTTACAATTGAAGAAACTGAGGTACAAATAGATTAAAAATATTATAAGGTTTGTATGTAACTGAGCCAGAGTTAAAACCTTCTTTCTTTCTCTAAGGCTCATGCTCCTACTCTTACATGATCCTCATGCCTCTATGCTCCAAAATTATTATTTTCTTTAAAAAAGCTAGCTGCCTATTGGATGTGGCAGCTATTTCTGTGTTATTTTCAGGTTGAGGCCTTTGTAAGTGGCCTGTAAAACAAATGAAACTGGTTAGCATTTTTCAGCAGCTATTAGAATTGTCTGTGCAAGATGTTTTGCTAAAAAATACCCTAAATTGCAAGAAATGAAACTTCTTTCTCATTGTGGTCTTTCATTTCCACTAAACAACACTCTTATCTGGATACCAGAAAGAAAACAGGCTAAAAAAAAAAATAGACTGATCCACTGGAATGTCATTTGTTTCATCAAAGAAGTTATACAGGTGTACCTCCATGATCAAACTACATCACATCTTAGAATGAGAGTTTGATCAACTACCAGAGTGAATGGTCCCTGGTAAAAACTAAAACTATCTCCTACAGCCAAGCATTGTAAGTGACTTTAATAACCTACTTTATGGAATATTAGTAGATATCTGATTCTATTCTATGCAGCATACAAAGAAAAGAAAGTTTAACTTCTTTCCCTTTCTTAAATCTCTTTATGAGACAGAGTTTATAAAAATGAGAAAAACATTGCTAATGAAATATGAACACAAGTGATACTGATTGTAGATGAGCGGTGATGACTGAAATATAATTCAGATGTTGTATTCACTGTATGGAATATTGCAGTGTAACAGCCAGAACAGCATATAGAATTTGTACTAAATCAATGACATATAAAGGTAAGTAAATTCAGTAGTTCTATATGATGGCCAAGTTCACCAATAAATAATCTAACCTAATAATAACTATGTTAAGAAAGCAAATAAACAGTGAAAAAAACCAACCTACCCTGAATACATATGCTATCACCTTCTACCTGCTGCATTTTATAGCAAACAGTCATAGAAAATATGTTTAGAAAAAGCCTGTTAAAAATAACATTTGAATGGTAAGAAAAAAGAAGTAAATATAATAGATTTCAATTTACCTAAACTCAATCTCATTTTTGGATTTCTAAAAAATGGGCTGGACTGCAGGATAGACATATGGAATGTCTAGGTCATATGGAAATTGAAGACAATATACAATGAGAAGAACTTCATTTTGATTAAATTTGCCTTTTTAAACAGAAAGGAAATATACTTTTCCATAGTGATTTATTTAGTTTGCCTAGTCCAGGAATAATTGTATTTCTACCAAACAGAAAGAAGAGGAAAAGCAGTGCATTAATTTCACATATCTGTTTATTGTAGACTTTAACTGTGTTACAAGACCTTTCAAATCTCAAATAGAGTGAGACAAATAAAACAAGGGTGCTGGGTTCATTAGCATTTAATGAATAACAAATTAGCTTGCCTGGGCTAGTAATCTGAATTAGTCTTTCTCCTGAGTTTTCATTTATGTTATCTTCTTTCATGCAAATTAAGGAACTACACAAACACAATTAGATGTGGCAGCTATATCTGTAGCAAGTAACAGGAAATGCGCTTTACAAAATGAATTATAGATATATTTCTTCTCTTACTAACAACAATCAAACACTGCACTTCAAGCGCATTTTAGACTTCTTTTCATCATCTCCTGTAAGTTGGAGGATAAGGTAATATAAAGTAAATGTTTTTAAGACAATGAATTTAGTTGTTTTCCCCATTCTATTTTCTCTTATGAATAGTTGATTTCATGAAGTCTTGGGGGAGTAGTACTTTCGAGCATTTCTGCTGAATCCAAGGTTGTACTCACCTAGAATCTACAACTCCCACCAAGCACAGCCCAGTAAGCACAACTGTATGGTTCCCACTTGCCCACATGATTTAGCTTTATGCCCTTGGCAACAAAAGTTGGGCTCTTTAAACAAAAATAAAACTTGTTTCAGTTCTTCAGCAATACACTTTTCAAACATAAATAAAAAGCAGCTGCATCGTGGCACAACTGGCTCCAGGTGAAACTGTAAAGTAAGCAAAACTTGTCTACAGCTGTTGTAATATTGTTCCACTTCTGTAAAAATGTTCCAGGCATTAAATTTACTTTACTTGAACGTTGACTCATTTTGCGTATGTTAAATAATTTAATTCTCTCCATAACTTTATGAAATAAGATCAGCTAAACCAGAAATTTTAATTCAGAAAAGTATGTGGTAACCTACTGCACAGTCAGTAAATGATAGACTCAGTGCTTAAACACAAATCTGAATAACTCCAAAAGATGTGTTCTTGCCTCTTTATCACACTGCCTGCCGGGAAACTGGGCTTTTCACAAATTTTTGGACGTGGTAATTTGTAGTGTGGCTTACCTCCTGGGTCCAGTTCTTTAACTAGGTTAATACTATTGACCCTACTTGTGTCTCTCCTCCTTTAAACCTAGAAGACCTATGTCAGCCAATATTAAAACCTACTTTGATGTACTGTAGTTGCTGATTTTTAAGCAGCTTCTATAAGTAGGGGGTTATTTTAGCATCAAAGGGCATGGTTTCTGTGCTAAAGTAGTTTGGAGTCTAGAGGGGTAACATATAGATGAAGAACTTCTGGAGAGTGTTATTAAGATGAAGGTAAAGGTATTCGGGGAAGGCTGTGGAAGAAAAGTCTAATCCTTTCTGCAGGTTTCTGCCAATGTCCAGGGAAAAAGTCTACTCATGGTCATCTCTGGCTCCAATGCCATGACTATTTCTTTGTTCAGCACCTTGACAACATTATTTTTTCCAATAACACAAATACGAAACCCAGCTTTATTTCTTTATGTAACTACACACAATAAAATACAACTGCCATCCTAATCCTGAATGTGTAACATTATAACTAAGTAAAGAGAAGAGTTAACTCAAAACAAAATGAGCAATGTTAATCAAGTATTACACATTTTTTTCTTAAAGATTCTTCAACCATTGTTCACTGGGTCCTTACTATACCCCACTCAGTCTTCTTTCCCTCTCTTCTTTCTTTAATTTTCCCCCAACATCCCTTTTTTCCTGTTTGTCGTGCCAATTTGAAATCTGATGAGCAGGCCAAAATGGGAGGATCACCTGAGCCCAGGAGTTAGAGAGCAGCCTGGGCAACATAGGGAGACCCCATCTTTACAAAGATTAATTGAAAAATATTAGCCAGACAAAGTTGTGCATGTAGTCCCAGCTGCTGAAGAAGCTGAAGTGGGAGGATGGCTTGAGCCCAGGAACTCAAGGCTGCAGTGAGGAGCTGATATCCTGCCACCGCACTCTAGCCTGGGTGACAGAGCAAGACCCTATCCCTGAAAAAAAAAAAGAAAAAAAGAAAAAAGAGAAAGAAAAGAAAAGAAATCCAACAAGCTAGTTTAGTGTGTTTGTGTGTGTATCTTCCAGTAGGACATTATATCATCATATTCTCCTAAGCACAAGCTCTTTCTCCCTAATAGAAACTTTGATGATAGCTCTTGAAGCTACATAAGTAGGTAGGGTCTCTCTAAGGAGAATATATATATAAAAAAGAAGACAAACAGCAAATTTATAGGAGTGGCCCATGTATGACAGAAAAGGATAAAAATGAGCTTATACAGATTGGTGAGTTTCACGGAGCCAAAAAAAAAGAAAAATTTTCAGGGAAGAAGACTGAGTAAACAGTGTCAACTGCAAGAGAGATGAAGGACAAGAGGGAAAACAGGACATTGCCTCTGGCAATGTGACAGGTATAGTTATTGCTGACTTCAGCATAAACAGTTTCAATATCATATGTAATGCTGACCAACTGTTATATAGATTTATCCTAAAGATAAATACTGTTCACAGTGAAAGAGTTTTTGTTTGTTTGTATATTTTAAGCTCAGGTTAAAATAAAACAGAGCTTGGATAATATCTTAGGTTAAGCACATTACTATTATTATTATTAATTATTATTTGGGACCAAGTCTCACTCTATCACCCAGGCTGGAGTGCAGTGGCATCATCTTTGCTCACTGCAGCCTCTGCCTCCCAGGTTCAAGCAATTCTCCAGCCTCACCCTCCCAAGTAGCTGGGACTACAGGCATGTGCCACCACACCTGGCTAATTTTTGTATTTTTAGTAGAGACGGGGTTTCACCACATTGGCTAGGCTGGTCTCGAACTCCTGACCTCAGGTGGTCCACCCGCCTTGTCCTCCCAGAATGCTGGGATTACAGGCCTAAGCCACTGCGACCAGCCTAGCATTTTTTTTTTTAAAGAACTCCAGGTATAACTATAGCTTTCACAAGATAAGTGCACACACACAATCCCCTTTATCTTGAATAAAATGAATAATTTTATTCCTGCATACAATTTCAATTGTCATATTTTTTTAGAATTTAAAAACATCTTTCTTATAATTGAAGCATGAAAAATGTAATAAAGACTTTAATCATAACAATTAATGAAAACAGAGGGCATTTATATATGTGAAAAATAAATTAGGAATATTATTCGCAATATAAACATAACATTCTTGATTCACTATTATACCTCTTTACTCTTGAAATGATTATGGATGATGAAGATGTGGAGATAACAGAAGCTCTGAGAAGCTGTCTACATATATATATATATATATATATATATATATATATATATATATATATATATATATGTAGCCAAATAGACTAATAGAAACTTTTATAATAGCTCTTGAAGCTACATAAGTAGGTAAGGTCTCTCTAAGAAGAATACAAAAAAAAAAAAAGAAAACAAATTTATAGGAGTGGTCCATGTATGACAGAAAAGGATAAAATACATATATAGTCTCTGTATATATAGACTATGTATGTATATATATATATATATATATATATATATATATATGGCCAAATTTGGCAGCCATTTTTATTTGGCAAATTGTCTATTCACATAGATTAACTTATATACCTTATTAAAATCCCTCCTTAATTCTTTATACATTTTTAAAATTTTATCTAATTGTTCCTTTTTCTCATTTTTATTTTCCTAAGTTAATCAAGTAGCTAATTAACTTTTTCTCTCTTTTGTTAAAATGAACTTCTGTTTCATGTATTTTAATTTTATTTCCAATGTCCTTCCCTTTCTTAGTATTTATAACCTAATACATTTCTCTTCCTTCATATTTTTTTCAATCCCTATCCCCCTGTATTAGTTCGCTAGAGATGCCAAAACAAAATTATGTAGACAGGGTGGCTGAAATAATATAAATTCATTTTCTCACATTTCTGGAGGCTGGAAGTCCATGATCAAGGTGCCAACACAGTTGATTCCTCCTGAGGCCTTTCTCCTTGGCTTGAAGAGGGCTGCATTTTCATGTCCTCCTGTAGCCTTTTCCCTGTATAAGTGCATCCCTGTTGTCTCTTTCCCTTTTTAGGACATCAGGCCTATTGGATTAGGACTCCCAGCCTTATCACCTCATTTAACCCTAATTACTACCTTAAAGTTTCTATCTCCAAATAAAGTCATATAATGGCTTCAAGTTATGTGCTTTGGGGTACACAATTTGATCCATAACATCTTATATATTCCATCTGTGAGATCTTCACAATGTTTTTACTTCTGCTATCTCTTACCCTGACTCTGGGGGTAAACTTGAAATACTTTAATTATCCACTTACTCTTACTTCACTTTTGATAAAATGGCTTAATCCTTTAAAATATTTTTTTGTTTAAGAATCCCTTTTATTTCAAGAATACTTAGGCTTCAACTTTGGCAGAGTCTGTTCAGTTACGTTTACATATTTGTATCTGCAAGGTTCACTGCTCAATACTTCTCCTTTCACTTCAATTGCCCATCTTAAAGACCTTTGTCTTTTGTTGTTTGGTTAAACCTTTTATTAGAGTACCCTTTTTGGATGGTGTAAATGGGAAATAGATTAACTGAAACCCTTTATCTAAGCAAATGTCTTCCATTCTAACCAGTGAATAATGATGTATATCGGTTAATAATCCTCACATTGATATTTTATTCTCTGGGTAATCTCTACATGTCATTCTACTGTGTTCTGTTTTCTAGTGTGGCAAGATGACAAGCTCAATGCTTTTTTTTTTTCTTTCTTTTAATGGCTAACTTTATTTCTGTTTGAGGCCTTGTTCACAAAGTTGGTTTTTGTATAACAGTACATAATTGCATTGTCAATGAGCAATTTGGGGAATTTCATTCCATTTGGCCTCCACAACATTTATTCATGTCTCAGTAATAACTCTTCTTTTCTTTAGATCATCTTCTAAAATTTTGAAAAATTATAAAATTTTTGAAGTTTTATAAAACAATGTGTTGATTTGGTGTTTTTGTTAGGCTGGTTGTGTATATTAATCTCCTTAAGGGCTCTTGCTATTTTTCCAAAATAGCAGCTCCCAATACATCTATTTAATTAGGGACCTTTTCTGATAGGTGTGCTCAATATTCTCTAGGTCACTACTGAGTGCCTTTTCTGTATCTGCTCATTGAGGTTTAATTTTAGTGGCTACTGTCGTTAAGGTACAGAAGTTCACAGAGTGATTGAGGCTCAGTGGACTCTGCTCCTAGGATAGCATTATAGCTGTGGGGAATTCCTCAGTGCCTACTAAATCACCAAAAGACTTCTTTGCTCCATGCTCTCCTCCCACCTTTCCAGCTGCAGGAAGTGAGATAACCCTTCACATTTTCTGGCAAATACCCAAGCTTTTGAGAATCAGGGAGAATGAATACATCTAAAGAAGCCACAGCTGACCTTTCCTAAAGTGTGCAAGATCTCTCTGGTCCTAGGAGGATTTACTACTTTCTTATCCTAGTCCTGTCAATCTTCTACCCTGTTCTCCAGTCTCTCATCAGGATCAGAGGGGAAAGTATCCTGCAGTGGCTCTCTTGGTTACATTCCCCAGATTTGACCTGACTACTGGAGACAAGAGTAGAGGATGGCTGAAAGAGAATTTGGGGGAGGAAGTGCAGGTAGGACATATTCAGGTTGCCAGTTTCTAGAATCCCTATACCTTTTGAAAGATCTAACTTTTACTATAACATCTACATGACTGCATTTGTTATTAGCATATATTGAAATTAGGTTATTCATAATTGTTCATTTGCTTATGCTTCATTGTATGCATTATTATTTCACAAGGAAAACACTGCTTGTTAAATGATGTTCTGGATATTCAGTATTACAAAAAAGAATATTATTGTTATGCTTGTTTCTCTTGTGTTTGGCCAAATGCCCACCAAATACCTGCTAACATAACTTGACAGAATCTTAATGAGGGTTCTCTCCTTTTCCCAGACCCCTGAACTTTGTCCCGTCCTTGAGCTTGAGCACTGAAAGGTAGAACAATGCCTTATTCACAGGCTCTGCTGAGAATCAGCTGACTGGAAAAAATAATTTGTCTCCAGTTCCTTTATCATGCCACCTGCTACCCCACTCCTCCATATGTAGTTCTTTCCTGTCTTGTTATTACTTATCTCTATAAAAGAGGTAAGTCCTTTTCTCCTTTACTTGAAGACACTTTGGGATATTATGGTTACAGCATTCTCCCTTTGTAATAGTCTTTTATATGGTGCCTTAGCTTATATAAGTCTAGACTTCTTTTTATTTTGATATATTAAAATTGTTTATATGCTGAGTTGACCTTGAATAAAGTTAGGAGAAACACTTTTGAGGAAATAAAAGATAGTTGTGTTGAAGAGAGATTTCAGTACTACACTGAAATCTTTAATTTAAAAAGATGAAGAATTTTAGAATGTAAACTAGCATTTTAATGTTGACAAAAAGCAGCTAAATAATTCAACTAACTATTATTGAGTATCTACAGTGAGACAGAAAATGTATTTTATGCTTCCAAATACTTTATCACCTTCAGGTTTCCCATTAACTCTATGAAATCTTAGCCCATTTTCTCTAAGAAGAAAATGAAGCTCGGAGATACAGTCATAATATGGTTTGACCGAGGTCATACAGCTAGCAGTAATGTGGACGGTTGCCATTTGAATGCAAGTCTCAGGATGACAAGCCAAATGCTGTTTACACACAACAGCTGCAGCACAAAATGTGTATACCAATTGCTTGTAAAAGGGGAGGGGTGAGCTGCTTTGTATAATATTGAAAGTTGAACACTTTCAAAGTCATCTGGGGATCTACAGGCTTAGAGAATGTTGTCATTAAATGAACAAACAAAATACATTAAGAACACTGAGGGAAGTTTTTCTCCACATACAAAAGATGACCCTACTTATGTATATTTTGCAGTTTTTCCATTTGCTGGTGGTATTTAAGAGAACCGAGAATCCTATTTTAAGCCTGTGAGGTATTTTGGAAGTTTGCCGCAGAATTATTCTTCCTTTACTTGTAACAACTTTTGCTTTATATCCTGCTATTATTTGAAAAAAAAGTATGAAATATTTCAAGTGTTTTGAAAACCGGTGCTGGTTACATCTGATTCTTACTCAAAACTAATTTGTGTAGAAATCAAGGACTAAAGAAAACCTTTTGTGTGTATGTTAACACCTCTTGGTGTTCTTAAGTCTTCCCTACTTTATAAAAGAAGCAATAAATTATTTAGATCTAGTCAACAAAAAGAGTAATCATTTATCTTGACAAGATTGTAAATAGGTAGTCTTACATTTCAAAGTCATGGGTGCTGTGGCTCAATGAGGCAATTTCTCCAGTCTGTGTTAGACTGAGAGGTAACCACCACAGCTAGAATACAGGCCTTGGACTTTGGATCTGTTGCAGTGATCAAGTCCAGTTCAAAGAAAAAAAAAATAGCTTCACAAAGACCACTTGTGGAGTAGTATACTTAGAATAATAAAATCATCTCTCTATTTCTTTCCTCCTCTTTCGTTCTTTTTATTAATACTTTCTTTATCATTTCTGGTTTGTTTTCAGTAATGTGCACATTCTATTTAAAACTTAGTTTTACATATGCAAGCCTTATTTTGAGGAAACATGATATGGAAATTTTCAAGTGCTAAGGCCCAAGTATTTTCATTGGCTGCACATTTCAATAAATTGATTCTGTGATATATTTAAGTAGAATACTATTTAGTCTTAGAGACTATATCTCTCCTAAGAGGATTCAATTGTTTTCATATTTCTACCCATTTACCATTTCATTGTGTCTTATTCATATTTTTATTTTATTTCAGTTTTAATGTTTTCCTTGAGTCATGTTAGGATGGCATCCTTTAAACTTTTCAGCAATTTCTTATGTCATGGAACAACCAAGGTCATTCATTCATTCACTCAATACATTTTTATTAAGCATTTACTATGTAACAAGAACTGTCATACCCACTAGAAATTAAATAGTGTGTGTGTGGTGGGTAGATAATGTACCTATTCTCTTGAAGCTTACACTCTCTTAAGGGAAAAAGACAAAAAATGAACAACAAATATACAATGTCCTATCAGCTGTAATGAATACTTTGCTGAAAAATATACAGGAGACAGAGATATCATGCTCAGGTGGCAATGAGGAAACAAATATTTTAGCTAAGGTAGTTAGGAAAAGCATCTTCAATAGGAAAATATTTGAGCCCAGACCTAAAGTGACAGAGGTGGAAAAAACAAATGAACAAAACAACAACAACAACAAAATGCATTCTAGACAGAGGGAACAGAAAAAGTGGGAAGGTTCTGAGGTGGGAATGTCCTTGGTTTAATCGGTGAATATCAGCCAGAGTGGAAAATGCTACAGCTAAGTGAGAAATGAAAAGACTAATGATTTCTTAAATAGGTAAGTAGCTCGCATTAGATCTTTGGTTAGAATTATACTGAGGTTAAGAATATGATCAATGAAAAACACGAACAGAGGACAGAAAGGTGATGAGACTTACTGAATCTAAGCCAGTGTGCTACTGCGGCAGATCTAAAATCAAGAATGTTCCATTAAAAAAATTAAGCGTGGGCCGGCACAGTGGCTCACACCTGTAATCCCAGCACTTTGGGAGGTTGAGGCAGGAGGATCACAAGGTCAAGAGTTCGTGACCAGCCTGACCAACATGGTGAAACCCTATCTCTAGTAAGAATACAAAATAATTAGCTGGGCATGGTGGCACGTGCCTATAATCCCAGCTACTCGAGAGGCTGAGCCAGGAGAATTGCTTGAACCCGGGAGGAGGAGGTTGCAGTGAGCCGAGATTGTGCCACTGCACTCCAGCCCAGGTGACAGAGCAAGATTCCATCTCAGGAAAAAAAAAAAAATTAAGCATGGATTTTGCCCTCGCTTTGATTAGGATTTTCGAGACTTCAATAAGATAAAATAGGTAGTATAAATACAAAAGCAGGCCATCTTTGACCATGCGTAAAAGGAGCATCTGAAAGTGTTGCCATAAAAACCCCTTTGTCATCAGAGAAGCAGAAATAAAATGGACAAAACTGAGGAGGCAAAGTCTGATTCTTGACAATTTTGAGCAAGGAATGATCAATAAAAATGTTCCATAAAATGGAATTGGTTCAGAATACCTTTATTATTTGCATTCAAAATAATAAATGTGTATAGGTGACCCTAAAAAATGTATTTTATTATGATATTTTTCTCCTTTTTTGTTCAAATTATTATGCATTTTATTACATTTAGAGTTATAAATGATTATTTTGATATAATTTAGGAAAACATAGGAGGTCATATTTTGGCATTTAAATGACATTTCCATGAACCCTTAATTTTCTGCTGTTTCTTATGAAGAATGTATCTTAATTAAATAATTCATAAATTTTTTTGGGAGAGCCAAGGCATCAGGAAATGGGTAGAGTGAATTCTCACAAGAATTACTGGGGAAATCACTATAAATACAGAAATATCATGTGTAAGATAAAAAAACTAGTGGAAACTTAAAATGTTGAACCAAAGTCACAAGCAATTAAGATGATTTTGCATACGAAATCCACATACTAAGTCCAAGGTTGAGGGGCTGCATCTGGTAAGCACTAGTGAGACTGTCTGCAGATTCCTGAGGTGGCACAGGCATCACAATGCAAGGGGACTCAGCCGACTGGCTCAGGTTTCTCTCCTCTTATAAGGCCACCAATGCCCTACCCTATGACCTCATCTAATTCTAGTTACCTCCCAAAGATCCAAGCTCTCAAATACCATAGTTGGATTTCCTACTCTCTTAATACTATTAACATAGGGATTAAGTTTCAACATGAGTTTCAGAGGGGACAAACATTCAAGCCATAGCAAAATCCAATATTGGTAATTTAATTAATATTTTCTCCTCTAATAAACTCATGAGTAAATGCATATGTGTCTTTTAACCTATCATTTTATTCACTACCCAGTGCTCACAGAGTAGTAGCCAAATAAATCTGTGCATTTGAATCTGGCCTCAGCAGAATCTAACTTCCCATGTCACTCTTTCAATAATTCATATAGTTTAGGCCTCTTCCATTTTTTTCTGTTTCATAACCCAGCAATAGGACCTCACATAGGTGTCTAAGTACTGGTTTAATCAGGCTTGCCTTGGACTTAGGTAAGAAAGAAATCTTATAATTTACCACAAAACCAAGATTCTAAGTCTGTTCTATTACTACCAAGTAAGAATCTAAAATGACAGAAAATATAAAAATAAAAATAAAAATCCCAAACCACTTTGAGACGGAAAAGATATAATAGAGAAACTTTGAGATTGCAGAGATCAAGCAGAAATTCTGGCAGTGCTTTAAAGTCTTTATACCACCAAAATAACATAGGAAAATAGTGAATAGCTGACAAACCCAGGGTTAAAGACTGAAAATTACGTTCTAATATAAAATATTTTCCTCTAATATTTAGCAATAGAACTCTCCAAGTTTTAGCCAAGCCCATGACCACCCACTTAAAGATTGTATCTCCCAGCCCCCTTGCGAGTCCATTTGGTTATATAATTAATTTATTACCAGTGGAACATAAGCAATGTATACAATGACTAAGTGTTAACCATTAAGTAATTGAAAGGGTAATCCTTCTCTCTTCTCACCTTCCCAAAGCTGCAATATTATAGAATATACTATTGATATAGATTCTAATCTTAACTGACTACGAAGCTGATGGAACAGGTACATAGTCCAGCAGAACTACCTATTGGTAGTTATTAGGTTCACCTAAATAACTTGGGTATTTAGGTGACCTTGTAGAGCAGAACTACCTATAAGTATATATACATGTACCTTCTCAATATCTCTGGTCAGTTAAGCAGAAAGGAAATAAGACACTAACTTGATAAAGACTTAAAATTTGGAATTTCAGTATAGTTGTTAAGATTACGAGGTACTTTAAGCATTACAGAGGTGTTTTGTATGATAAAGAACAAACACAGGAGCAGAATACCAACTTCCAATATTTATTTATTTTAAGCTGGTTGGGCATGAAATGCCAAAATAAGCACTAAGCACAAACAGTGTCAAGTCCAGAACACATTTTTCAAAATAAGGGGAAATAATCATATTTAATACTTGCTTCAACTGAGTCAAACAATTTGCAATACCTCAACTCATACAAAGGTTGAAAGTAACACCTCAATTAAGTGTTAGGGCCATTCTAATATGTCAGAAGACCTGGGTTGTGGAAGAGATAAAGGAACAACAACAATTTTTACATGTTTTTCAGACATTTACCTCAAATGAAGAGACCTTGGGAAGCAGTAGGAAAGCTAAGGCAATGGCATTTGATATAATCATTTAGACTGAAAATGTATGGATTAACTGTAATATACTGTAGTCCTAAGCACCCAATGTGACTGTATTGGGAGATGGGGCCTTTAAGGGGTATGGGGTAATCAGGGTTAGGTAAAGTCATGGGAATAGGGTTCTCTTGATAAGATTAGCAGCTTTATAAAAAGAAACTCTCTCTCTACCATATGACAAGACAGTGAAAATGTGGCTGTCTAACTCTTCTTAGGAAGTGGGCCCTCATCAGGAACTAAATTGACATCACCTTGGTCTTGGACTTCCCAGACTCAGGAACTGTGAGAAATAAATGTTTTTTTTTAAGCCACTCAGGCAAGGGTTTGCTATAGCAGTTGGAGCAGACTAACACAGTAGACCAATGGTCATACAAAATGCAACAGTAATATATACATTTTTAAGTCAATTTAAAGAAATCAGAGAACTGCTAAGATATCCAAGGCTTGAAGATCCAAATCTTGGAAGAAAGGAATTTCTTTGAGATGAATCTAATTATTTTGTGTACAGTTTTTCTTCAGGAATTTGTTGCCAGCAGACTGCACTAAAAGAAATACTTTAAAAGTCTCTGGGTGGGAGGATGGATGGGCTGAGCAACCAAGTGAAGGTTGAAGTCAAGGTAACCATGACATAAAAGGTCAAGATCTTCACACATCCCCCTACCCCGAAAGGATCCCTGAAAAAGAATGGAGGTAATTAGAGGTAAGGCTGTATGCAGCAATTTTCCCCTGGAGGTTTTTGCTGAATTCTAATCAAGCGGGGCAAGAGGCAAATAAATAAAAAATAAATAAATAAATAAAACAAACACTGAAATACAGACCAATGTTTGCACTCTTATAATATTAAGAAAGAAAACTGTAGTTTAGAATTCACCAAGAAATAAGGGTGCCAATAAACACTCAAAGTTTGCAGCCAATACGAATGGAGGCCTATGCCATAGGAATTACTGTTAACAAGAGATAATATCAGATTTCCAAAAGTGAAATCCCACTGGAGTCAGCTTAGACTGTAATGTGGGATAATCTCCCCTGTACAGCTCTTTGATGAAGGACAAAGTAAATGTTTTCTGACAGTAAATCAAATAAGTCATAGTCTCTAAAATTTGACGTGGACAATATTAAAATATTATTAAAATTATCATTTATATTAACAAAAACAAAAAAGGGAAACTAGCTTATAGAAGCAAACTCAGGGTGACATATACTTTGCACTAATTGGTAATAATTTTTTTAAACTGCGATTAAAACAATGAAGACAATAGTAAGCAATACATAGAATTTTACCAGGGAACTAAAGACTATAAGAATTGAATGGAGATTCTGAAATTTTTTTAAAGAATGGAAAATTTAGAATGAATGTATTCAATAACAAATTGGACATAACAGAAGACAGATTAAATTAACTAAATAGAGCAGTAGAAAATGATTCATCCAAGAAACAAAGATTTTAAAAAGGAAAATACAGAGGATATTAAACACATGGGGCTTGATTTAAATTACTAAATATATATATTATTAGGATCCCAGAAGAGGAAGAGAATGGAACAGAGAAACAACCTTCTAAAGAGGAAAAGGATAAGAATCTTCTAAATATAAAGACAAACATCAAAGTAAAATCTCATGAAAATCAAGCAAGATAAACATACAGAAAGACACAACTAGTCACAATGTACAAAAAGCTTCTGAAAATCAAAAGGTGTATAGTAAATTATAAAAGCAGCCAAATAAAAGATATACAGTTGCTCTCTGCTATTCATGGGGGATTGGTTCCAGGACCTCACAGAGACACCAACATCTATAGATGCTCAAATTCCTGATATAAAATGAAGTAGTATTTGCATATCACCTTTGCACATCCTCCTGTATACTTTGAATCACCTCTACATTGCTTATAACACCTAATACAATGCAAATGCTATGTAAATAGTTGTTATACTAATTCATTTAAGGAATAATAAAAAATAAAGTCTGTATGTGTTCAGTACAGATGCAAATTTTTCATAATTTTTCCATTTGCAGTTGATTGAATTCATGGATATAGAACCTGCAGATACAGATATAGAAGACCAAACATATGTCATGTTTAAAGATAAAATAATAAAATTTACAGTTTATTTCTAAAATAATTACATAAAAGAGAAGAAAATAAGTGATACCTTTAAAGTGATGAAGAAAATAACCAGCAAACCTAGAAATTATACTTCCATCAAAAATATCATTTAAAAGTAAAAACATTTCCAGACAAACAAAAACAAATATTGTTTCCAGCAGATTGTACTAAAAGAATTACTTTACAAAATTTCTTCTGACAGAAAAAACATAATCCCAGATGAAAGTAACAATATGCAGTAAGAAGTGAAGAATGACAAAAGGGGTGATTTTGTGGGTAAATGTTAATAAATATCTATTGTAGAAACAAGATCATTGATGCATATGAGTTTTTAAAATTTAGAACCATAAATGCATGAAAACAAAACAAAAAAATAGGAGGGAGAAATTGATTTAATGAGTTCTAATATATTATTATCCTACGAAGCAAAGTAATCAGTTATATTAACCCCTAATGATTCAACAATGCATGTAATTTCTAGTAGTAATGAAATGTGTATCTCTCTAGCTAGTAGAATGACAAAACAAAAACTAATAAATAAAAAGAAGACTAAAAGAGAAAAGAAAACAAGAACATACAACTGTTGGATCAAGTGGAAAACAAATAGAAAAATAGTAGGTACAAATCCCACTATAGCATTATATTTTCTACATATAAATAAACAGTATACTGATCTAAAAATGAGTGTGAGAAAATAAAACTACTCTTGATTTCTCAGTGTTCCTGTATAAAGCCCTGGGCTCCCAAGACAAGGAATATTCACAATATAAATATTAGACGTTTGTTTTCATTTCTTCTAGATTACTTTTCACATACCTTCAGAGTTAGATCTATAGCATCTAGCTATTTGTCTACTTAATTACCGTCATTCAAGAAGACCAAATATTACAGCCCAGAATAGGTCCCTAGCTTAATCCCTAGATGATAATATAACTAGATCACCAGCATCCTAGATATTTTCACTTCAAAATGTATGGAATCTACACCTTGGAGGTGGCTCTAGGTCAAAAAGCCAGAACCATTGGATCTACTTGCCCTTTGTAAAGACTCATTTAGATTCCTAACATTAGGCTAAGAACTCAGGATCCTTTCCATTCCATATCAATACAAAACAAAAAAAATGAGTTCCTTTCTTGTCCTTTTCTTTCTCTCTCTCTTTTGGGAAGGAAGGGGATAGTTATTTTTCTCCATCCTTTACCTGTAAAGCTACTCATGTTGGAAAGATTTTCATCTGATTTTCATCATGTTGCCCAGGGATATGGCAATTTCTAGGGCAATTTTATGCTGATTAAAAAGAAAACACATTTCCATTCTGCATACAGAGGATATCCATCCAATATAAGGACCCAGAGGGTTGAAGAAGAAAGAATAGAAAACATACCCTATATAATACATAATTTTTTAAAAAGCCAAATGAAGTCATACTAATGTATGATCAATTGTATCCAAATGCAAGGAGTGTTACTAGAGATAAAGAGGAACAGATAAAGCAAACAGGTCAACTCATAAAATAGATATAACAATGTATTTAGAAATAATGAAAATAGAGCATAGAGAATAGAAAACTTTACAATTATAGTGGGAGTAACTGATCAAACAACCAGACAAAAAATTCAGTAATGTGAACTCCGAAAATTTGAGACAGGTCTCAGTTAATTTAGAAAGTCTATTTTGCTGAGGTTGAGGATGCACCCCTGACACAGCCTCAAGAAGTCCTGAGGACATGTGCGCAAGGTGGTAGGGGCACAGCTTGGTTTTATACATTTTAGGGAGACATGAGACATCAATCAATATGTGGAAGAAGTACATTGGTTCCATCCAGAA
Organism: Homo sapiens; assembly: GCF_000001405.40. Lineage (NCBI taxonomy): Eukaryota > Metazoa > Chordata > Mammalia > Primates > Hominidae > Homo > Homo sapiens. Next base: position 185,653,616 of record NC_000002.12, read on the forward strand.
AGTCAGGGACAACTTGAAGCACAGAGGGGGCTTCCAGGACACAGGTAGGTGACAGACAAATGGTTGCATTCTTTTGAGTTTCTGGTAAACCATTCTAAATGAGGCGATCAGAATAAGCAACTATGTCAGTGAGCAGAGGGATGACTTAATAGAATGGGAAGCAGATTTTCTTTGAGCAGTTCCCAGCTTGAATTTTCCCTTCAGCTCAGTGATTTTGGAGGCCCAAGATATTTTCCTTTCACAGTAACTATTTAGAATACCTGAAAAATATTAACAAACTTGACTTAAATTGCATATACAAATAGGGGACTAAGAAGTAGACATTCTTTTAAACACGGAAATTTTATTTCATCGATGAAATACTAGAATACAAAACAATTCTTCACAACTTTCAAATTATTTAAATCAGGTATAGTACAACTACAAAAAATAAAAATATAAATATAACTAGAAAAGCCCCACTGTTTGGAATTTAAGAAAACACACTTATAAATAACCCATGCATAAATAAGTAGTTATAATAAAAACTAAAAAATATTTTTAAGTGAATGGGAAAAGCAATACAACATATAAAAATGCTGTTTATAAGAAAATTTATAGACTTAAACTACATATAAAATACATACATTAGAACAAAAAAGAATGAAATTAATGATTAAAGTATCTACCTTATTAAATTAGAAATATAATGTCAAATTAAACTTCTACAGTAGGAAAAAGAAAATAATAAAAATAAAATCAGAAATTAATCATATACCAAAAACTGTGATATAGAGTCACAAAATAAAATAAAATCAATTTCTTTGAGAAGGTTATTAAAGTTGATAAATACTAGCAAGACTGATAAAAAGAAAATTACCAATATAGGAATAGAAAAGATAACATTGCTGTAATACAGATCCTACAGGTACTGAAAACAATAAAAGGATATAATGGGCAATTTTATGGGAATAAGAAAATTACTAAACAAATTCCTAGAAAAACACAAGTTAAAAATGACTGCAGAAGAAATATAAACACCTGAAGCTTCTGGTGTTTATAAATAAAAGCCTTCTCACGAAGAGGTCAGCTTTAGATGGTCAAAGGTGAAGTCTCCCTAACATCTGAATATCAAAAAGCACCAATGTTGCAAAAAGTTTTCCAGATAACATAAAAAGAATGAACATTTACCATTTGGTCTTAGGCCGTTAACAGAACTTTTATTCTAAATTGTAACAAGAATGTTTCAGAAAAGAAAAATTACTGGCTAATCTCGCTTACGATCATAAATATAAAAATCTCTAACACCATTTTATTGAACAAAATTCAGCTATCTTTTAAAAGGGTAATACATTAAGACAAATGTGATTTATTTCATGATTGTAAGTTAGTTTAAATTGGGAAATTAATGATAAATAGAATAAACAGGAAATTATATGATCATATCAATAGATGTAGAAAATAGTTGATAAAATTCAACATACGTTTATATTAAAACTTTCAGTGACCTAGAAATAAAATAAAACTTATCTATGAAATTTATTCTTAAAAATCCAATTGTATATATCATATTAATATAAAATATTGAAAGTTTTCCCCTTAAGACTGAGAATGAGACAAGGATATTGTTGTCACTACTACTTAACATCACTCTTGAAGTGCTTGCTAATGCAAAAAGACAAAAGAAATAAAACGCGAAGATTAGAGACACAATGAACTTATTGATTTTATAGGCAGCATAATACCATATTTAGAAAATCCAAGAGAATCTACAAACAAGATTAATGAGTATTTAGATACATTGTTAAATACAAGGAAAACTTATAGTTTTAATTTATGCAGTGAAAATGGAAAACTAACAATCATTTGCAATTGCATCAAAAATCAACACATCATAGTCCAGTGAAATATGCACAGAAATTCTATGAAAAAAACTGGGAAGAACTGAAGAAGATTTATATAAAGTAGCATTTTAATCCATTTATAGATTGAAAGATACTATTGTGCAGATGTTGGTTTTATTTTTTACATGTATAAGCTAATTCTAAAATTTATGTGAACATTTAAAAAATAGAAAATAAGATATTGAAGAAAAGTTGTCAGAATTAGACTATTAGATGAAATTAAATATCTCACAGGATAGGGGAATAATTCCCTGATCTTGTAGCCAGGAAAAATTTCTTATGAAGGGAAACATTCTGATCTTAAAGAGAAAGATCAATACATTGAAATAAATTAAAATTTAAGAATTGTTGCCCATTTTCACATATATTAAAAGAGTGAAAATTCAACATGCACAGAGAAATAATATTTATAAATATAATTTTTAAAGTTTTTGAACAAATCAATATGAAACATAAAAACAGGTAAAAGATTTGAATAAATATTTTACATAAGAGGTGATAATAAACATATGAAAATGCACTCAAATCATTAGTTATAAAAACTTTAATTAAAATGGCAATGAAATACTATGACATGGAAACGACAAGTCTGAGACTTCTTACATTGTGGTACATCACCTTATTCCAAATTTTATCAGAACCAATGTCAGACAGCTAATGAGTGATAGACATTTAAAAAAATTAGGCTGTTCTTGTTTGAGATGCCATATAAATATCCATAGGAAGAGGGCCTAAATCAAATACATGTTTATAGAAAAAACGTAACTGTAAGCCAGAAAAACAGTTAAAATTACAGTTTTTATTTATTTTTTCAAACTTAAGAAAAAATTTGTCAGAGTTTCAACCTACAAAATAACACTACTACCCTGCATTTGTAAAATAATTTCACTTTTTGTTGTTTAATAAAAATTATTTTTATTAATTTTTATCAATTATTAAATATTTTAAAAATATTTCACAGGATAGGAGAATTATTCCCTGATCTTGCAGTCAGCAAAAATTTCTTATGAAGGGAAACATTTTGATCTTATATTATTTAGGAGAATAAGAGAATTATTTCTCTGTTTTAAGATCATTATTTTACTAAGCCTCACAATAATTGTATAAGTTTGTCAGAAAATAAGATAGTTTCATAATTGTATTAAAAACTGGTAATTAGGGAGATGAAAAGATCCCCAAAATGAGCCAATCTGTTAAAGTCTTTAATCAAGTGCTAGTTTCTGCCCTCAGCATAGAGTAATCTGTACAGTTTTTAATGCTATTTCAATTTCTTTCAGTAATGACATTATGTAATAGGCACAGAAGAATGAACATAATAACAACTAAGAGCCTTTTATTTCCATTGTTCCTTACTTTTCCTTAAGGATGTCTTGTCTTAGAATCTTCTAAAAGCTTATTCAAGTCAACACTAGTTGTCAACAAGACCAGCAGCAAAGTTTTCATTCTGAAAGCAACCAACATTGCCATTGATTTTTTTTTTCTATACTCTCCATTGGATTTTCTTTCTTCTTTCCTTTCTATTGGATTTCTTATTTCCTCTATCACCTGTATTTTCTTTTCTTAGGTAACCCCATTGTTTTATTAGAGTATATCACTCATTATTCACTGTTAGTTAGGCTGTAAAAATATTTCAGCAGAAAACACAACACAGGTTTATTTTTCACTCATATTAATGCTGGTGTGGATTAGGTGACTCATCAGGGCAGCAGTGACTTAGTGAATTGGGCTAATTTATTCTTGTGACTGTGTCCTCCCTTGTCACTTTGGAGGTAAAGTGGAAAGTGCAGAAATTCCCCATCAACTCTTCAATTCTTAGTCCACAAAGTGGTCCATGTTATTTCCACTCAGCTCAGAAAACTAGGTTCAGAATCTGTATGTTATCTATGCAACTGCAAGGAGGTAAAAAGTATAGTCCATCTAGGTTCCCAGTAAAAACAAGGGAATCTAACGTTGGTAGACAACTTAAATGTTTACAGCAAAAAAAATTTTGAAATTTTTGTATATCTGAAAACAACTTTATTCTACCATCTGTTTTTATTGGTAGTTGATGTTGATATTAAATTCTATGAAATTAATTTAACCAAAATATTGAATAAGTTTTTCATTGATTTATTTTTTCCAGTTGATGCTCTTGATAAATCTAATATCATCATGATTCTTGGACCCTTGAATTCTATAATTGTGTAGCAACATATCTCATGATAGACATTAAAGATGGCATAAAATATCACCCTGGAGATCAATTTCCTTCCATTCCAGAGATTTTTATTTCTTTGGATATTGTTCACAATTTTGTATTATTTCTGTAAATCTTAGTATTTATATTAGAGCAATAGATTGAGACCCTATACTAATTAATCAAAATATTTTAAATTTCTGAAAGCCTTTACTGTATCCCTGCCCTAAATATTTCATGTCTGACTGCTATTTAAAAAAGAAATGAAAGATAAAATAAATGTCTTAAATATTACTTGTCTCGCAGTTGATCAAACATCCTATCTATTTTTCTCCTCTCTCTGAGGCATAAACATCACTTCTGTCCAAATCTAATTACCTCACTCAACAATTTTGTTTCCATCTTCTAACTCTTTTACATGCTTGTTCCTCCATAAGATGAATTTTGAACTCTACCCCACCTTCCTAAGAAGCTGTATATTTGTTTTTTTTATTGAGGTACAATACACATAACATAAAATTAACCATGTTAATATAAACAATTTGGTAGTGTTTAGTATATTTACAATATTGTACAATCACCATTATCTGTCTAGTTCCAAAACATTTTTATCACATATCCCCCAAATTCATACATATAAATATTCATTCCCCATCCTCCACTCCCCCACTGTCCCTTCAGTCCCTGGAAACAAACTGCATTCTCTCTGTATGTATTTATTTAAATACTTTCTATAAATGTAATCATGTAATGGTAATAATCATGCAACTATAAAAATGACCTTTTATGTTTGGTTTATTTTACGAAGCATGTTTTTGAGGTTTATCTATGTTATAGCAAGCTTCAGTCCTTCATTATTTTATGGCTGAATATTATTATATCATATGGATATACCACATCTTGTTTGCCCATTTGTCGGTTGATAAACTTAGGTTGTTTCCACCTTTTGGCTATTGTGAATAGTGCTGCTGTTAACATCCATGTACAAGTTTTTGCTTGAGTATCTGTTTTTAATTTTTTTGGTAAATACCTACGAGGAGAATCCTGGGTCATATAATACTTTCAGATTTAATTTTTTGAGGTACTGACAAACTTTTTCCCACAATGGCTGAATAAATTACATTCCTTTCAGCAAGGTTTAAGAGTGTCTCCTTGTATCTTCACTAACACTTGTTATTTTCTGTTTTTTTGCTTATTTTTGCTTTGTGTGTAGTTATAGCCATTCTAATGGATATAAGATGGTATCTTATTGTGGTTTTGATTTGCATTAGTTACTATGGTGACTAACGATGTTGAGCAACTTTTCATGTACTTCTTGGGCATTTGTATATCTTTTGCTCATACTTAAATTGGTTTATTTCACTTTTTGTTGTTGCGTGGTGAGAATTATTTATATATTCTGCATATATCACCTTTATCTTATATGTGATTTTCAAATATTCACTCCCATTTTATAGGTTGTATTTTAACTTTCTTGATAATGCCTTTGAAGCAGAAAAGTATTTCATTTTAATGGGGTTTAATTTATCTGCTTGTTTTAGATTTTGTTACTTGCATTTTTGGTGTCATGTCTAAGAATCCATTGTCAAATTCAAGGTAATAAAGTTGTAATCATTTTCTTCTAAAAGCTTTATAGTATTAGCTCTTACATTTAGGTTATTTGATTGAGTTAATTTTTGTAAATAGTGTAAGGTAGGAGTCCAACATCAGTCTTTTACTCGGGGATACCAAGTGATCTCAATAGCATTTGTTGAAGACAATTTCCTTTCCACGTTGTGTATTCTTTCCACTCTTGTCAGGGATCAGGTCAAAACAACTGTCCATCAACAGATGAGTAGATTAAAAATGTGACAAATAAATACAATGGATCATCATTTTGCCTTAGAAAAAGAGAAGAATCCTGCCATTTGTAACATGGATGAAGTTGGAGGACATTATGCTAAGTAAAAGAAACTAGTCATAAACGGACAAATACTTCATAGTTCCACTTATATGAGATATTCATAATAGTCAAACTCATAGAAGCAGAGAATATTGATTGCCATGGGCTGGGAAATACGGGATATGGGAAATTGCCAAGCGTTACGATAGATGAATAACAGATCTTCTGTGCAACATAGTACCTATATTTAATATGGTATTGTGCACTTCAAAATCTGTTTAAAAAGGATATCTTGTGTTGTGTTCATATGCTCTCTACAAAAAAATGGACACAAGGAAACTTTAGGAGATATTGGACATGTCTATTATCTTGTTTGTGGTGATGTTCATATATGTGCAAATTCATGAAAGTGGACACATTAAATATGAGCAGGTTTTCTATATCAATAATACCTCAAAAAGCTGTTAAAATTGTGTGACATATAAGAATAATGAAGATATTAATTTAAATGTCATAGAATACTATCGGTGTATCAGTGTATTAAATAGCTCTAAATGCTCATAGTAACTAGAACAACGCCTACCACACAATCGACACTAAATCATTATCAATTTTCTTCTTTTTCTCTCCTTTTATGTTTTAGTTGGTCAATTTTAAAAACATGCATTAAAGAAGATTGACAGTTATTGTCATAATTATATTTTCTTTCAATTTTGTTGTGAAGTTAAATGTAGAGGATTTATATTTCCTTCCACATTAAGAAGAAGATAATCTATTATTAGTTGTCACTGTCATATAAGTACATATTCTTTATTTTTCACAGAATACTGAATCTTGTTCTAGTTAAGTATTTGAACACTTTTAATTCATGTGACTATATGATTATACTTCATATGTTAACTCATGTGACAGAATGAAAAAAATATTATTTCAACTTTTTAAAAAATTTTTTTCTTACAATAGTTTGCAATTATTGAGAAAAAATGAATATATTATTGTTATATATAAGGACACTGTCCTAGAAACTGACCACCATGCACATTAAAATAAATTATTAAAGAAAATAATCAACCTCATCACTATCACCTAACATTTATATTGTGCTTATTATACATGATACACTGTTCAAGTCCTTAAGATTTATTGTTATTCAATTCTCTCAACATTGTTATATTAAGTATTTTTCTTTTATAGATGCAAAAGCCTGAGGCACAAAAAGCTTTTAAAATCTTGCCCAATATTACAGAACTTGGAAGCGTTAGAACTTACAGCTCAACTCAGACAGTCTTCATTGTTTCTGCTCCTAATCACTTGACTGATAGGTATTTTTCAATTTGTGTCATTATTTAAGTTAATGTATTTTACTGATTCCTGAGTGGAATAAAATTTAAATGAGTACATGATTTTTCTAAACTTGTACTAATTTTATATTAAAATATACGTTCATTTGTTATAAATTCATGCAGTTCTGGATTCTGTGAATTACTAATTGTTTCTGGACAAAATTAACAGAGAGAAAATTGTTCTTATATTTTCTAAGGAACAGTTTTATCAGCAGTTTTTTATTTATTTATTTTTATTTATTTATTTTTTCCTGATTGCTTAAGTGTCATTTTGAGGAATAAACTAGATAATGACTTTAAGGAAAAAGTGAAACATTGAATTTCCTCTTAAATATTAACAAGTTTAATATGTAAATAAAATAGCATAAAATATTATATTCCAGAGGTAATTAAAAACGACAATACCATTAAAAGTGCCGTCTTCAAGTGAGATTTTTATATTTTTATTTTTTGTTGCATTTTATGTTTTATCTTTCCAATAGTGAATGAATAGTAAAATACCGTGACTAGTGATAGTAGTGTTCTGTTTATGTTATGTGGATTTCGACATCAAATATCTAGAGAGTGACAAAAAGTGGTGATTTTTAAGAGTATACTACAAAAACCAAATTTGCTAAAGGTTAAATGGTGCTAACAAAGAAATATTAACTGCAAAGAAAATGACATTTTTAAACCTGTCCTAGAATGCACTTTATATTAATATTTGTAAATTTATACATTATACATTGGTTCCTAAAAGGAGATCAGGGGCTATTTTATTTACATAAAATAAAGCAAACTATTACTATTGATATTACTATTTCTAAGTCCTACTTTGATATAGAAAGTGATCATATAAAGTCTGGAAATTATACTTCTTAAATATCACCAGATATTATCAGCTGGGATAATCTTTACCTGTTCCTTCTTTTGGAGGGCAAATTAGGACATGATTGGGGTTCACATAGTATGCGATTAACGTCTCTGAGTAATCAGGACTTCCAGTACCCTGATTGTGCCTATCTGATTCTTCCTGAAAAAAAATTACCAGGAATGATAAAGAGGTGATCACGTATATGGTTAATTATTTTTAAATGTCCATTTATTTATTTAATCTAATGGAGAAGTCAATATTAAAATTCTTGAAATTGTCCAGTTGGCAATAAGTAATATAAAATGCTTTTCTGTCTTAAACTACAGTTTCCAAATACTTCTGTGATGTGAATTCCACTACCTCTAAGCAGAGAAATTTGAGAAAAATACTTTGCAATATAAAAAATATTAACATTATTCACTAATATTTTCAACTTATAAATTTGAACTACATCTGCAATTATACTGAGTATTTTTATAGTGAATATAATTTCTATATATATGTTTGATCATTTTTGCTCTTATGAAAACACAATATACGTTTAGTTTGTATTGTAGAGACATGGAATTTAGTGAAAAATATGCTTCCTTCTATTCCTAACTAGATATTACCACTTGTGGTTTCAATAGGAACCTCACACTTACTGAAGCCATTTTCCAGAGAAGCCAAACCAATAGGATAAATATAGTTATACAATAAGTCCTCACTTAACTTTGTTGATAGGTTCTTTAAGCAAAACAATGTACAGCAGGTCTTCAAATAAGGTTGTTTCCTGTTTCTTTCAATGTTGGTTGTTTCATTATAATGTTGATGAGAAGAAAAACATTGGCTTTGTTATACATATTTTTGCTTAAGCTCATATTTTCCAAGAATTTACTAATGATATTAAATGAGAATTTACTGTAGATAAGAGAAGATATATTATGATAATTGAGTCATGCAATTATGGGGGCTGAGAAGTCCCACAACGTGCTGTCTGCAAGCTGGAGGCTCAGAAAACTTGATAGTATAATTCAGTCTGAGTCCAAAAGCCTGAGAACCAGGGAAGCTAATGATGCCTCTCCCAGTTTAAGGCCAAAGGCCTGAGAACCAGAAAGTGGGAGCAGGCACTGGTGTCCCCAAGTCTGAAGGCTGAAGGACCAGGTGCTCTGATGTCCAAGAGCAGAAGATGGATGTCCCAGCACAAGAAAACAGATGAAGCACTAGCCCTTTCTCTTTTTGTTCTATCCAAATTATTAGTGGATTGGGTGATGCCCACCAACATTGGTGAGAGCAGATCTTCTTTACTGAGTGTACTGATTCAAATACTAGTTTATTCCAAAACCATACTCACAGACACACCCAGAAATGTTTTTCCAGCTGTCTGGCATCCCTTAACCCAGTCACGTTGATAAAAAAGTCAGATATCACAATTATTATTTATATAATCTTCATCAAATTGTTCTCTCTCAAAATATGTTTTTACTTAGTATTCACAATATCATGGTAATATTCTTTCCTAACTAGTGATGCCAAACATCTGCGAATCAAATTACATGAATCTATTTTCCTAATATCCTCCTTCACATCTTAATATTAATGCAATCTTTTTTCCTTTTTTTTTTTTTTGAGACGGATTCTAGCTCTGTCGTCTAGACCAGAGTGCAGTGGTGCAATCTTGGCTCACTGCAACCTCCGCCTCCTGGGTTCCAGCTATTCTCCTGCCTCAGTCTTTTGAGTAACTGGGATTATAGGTGCACACCACCACCCCCAGCTAATTTTTTGTATTTTTAGTAGAGATAGGATTTCACCAAGTTGGCCAGGCTGGTCTTGAACTCCTGACCTCAAGTGATCCACCCACCTCAGTCTCCCAAAGTGCTGGGATTACAGGAGTGAGCCACCATGCCTGACCTTGTTTCCTTTTTTTGACTTTATTTGCAATAATTTATCTTTAGTGATATACTTTTTAAACACAGATTATCTCCAGCTCTTGTTTTTCAACTTTTATCTCTTTTTCATTTTCACATTAGGACAAGAGTGTTTTCTTTTTCTAAAATGCAAAACCAAAGTCATCTTTCAAGAAAAAAATTTTTCAAAAATTTCCTGTTGCATATAGACAAAAGATCAAAATTTTCTAGCCTAGGATGTAAGACCCACAGGCACAACATTCTGGCCTGGTCTACTAGCCTCTTTCACTTTATGTTAAAAATGTAATGAATTGTATCAGTTTCTTAGTCATGTCAAGTACTTTCATACTTTTTCCTAGGCTAAAGGAGAAGGCCATGTGGCTCTCTAGAAGAGACCTAGATAGATTTTGAAAACAACAACTTTGTGGCCTGGGTTAGGTCCTTGATACTGAAACCTAATTACGGGGACTGACAATCACTTTGTTTCTGGTAATTTCCTAAATACAGTTGGATGATGGGTTTTTATAAGAATCTTAAATCCTACCTCACAACCATTATCACATGAGTTGATCCAACAATTTATCCTATAACAAAAGGAACAGGACAGAACAACTTTAATCTAATCACAGTTAACATTTTCCATTTTCTGATCAATAGAATTCAGCAATAACACAAACCTGAATCACCAGATTGATATACTCTGCCCTTCCATAAAATGGGGCTGATTGCAAAAGAGAAAAAATTAATTAAAATAAATGTCCCTGGGAGCAGTTATTAACTAGGTTATAGTATTCTCTACTGGAAAATGCTCAAGAAAAATTAGACGAGGTCATTTTGTGACTGTGGTGGAACAAGATAAATGAAAGACCATTTTGTAATCATGCCCAAATATTATAGAAAAGAAGGACTCTATACCACCGTAAAATGATCAAACCATTTCTTCTTCTGGCTGAAATGAATTACTGCTTTTTCATTACCAATGAGAAACCTGGCTGCAAGTACTTACACCCACCTCTTAGACATAAATTATTTGGAGATCCAGTCATCAAATTGCCCTCACTTTCTGTCAGCACTGAATTCTTGAACTCTCTTCCAATCAGCTAATTAACACACTGTAATTTTTTCTTACCAAGAAGACCCTTTGTATGTAATTCCTCTTGGTGTAGATAATTAATATAGTTAACTCTGCTTAAACACAGTCAATATATTTGTGGCACTCTTTGCACATTGGAATTAAACAAATCTTCATTCCTTTTTCTTCTTTACTCCTATACCCAATCAATCATAGTTTCTTTCAATTGTTCTTAAATTTCAGATATTTCAGTTTTCCATCTCCATTAACTCATTGTAACCACCTGATTCATCCCATATCCATTTTTTTCTGATTTATTAATCCCTAAAAGATCTCCCTAAACTTGAGGTTTGACCCCTCTGCAATGCAGTGAAAATGAGTGTGATAGCTATTTTTTGTGTGTGTGTCAACTTTACCAGGATACTGAAAGAACTGGTAAAATCATTATTTCTGGCTGTGTCTGTGAGAATATTTCTGGAAAAGATGAATGTTTGAATCAGGAGACTGAGTACAGAACATCTTCCCTCATCAATATGGGCAGGCATCATCCAATCTGTTGAGGACAAAAAAAAAAAAACAAAAAAATTTGGAGGAAGTCTGAATTTGAAGTAGGAGATGGGACTCAACTCCAAAGGTGGGGCTTGAACATGGGACCAAATTGAGGACTAGCTAAAACAGGTCAGGAGTGGAAACAGCTTTCCTAAACACACGCCTACCAGTATGCCATGAGAGTTTACCATTGCCATGGCAACACCCAGAAGTTACCACCCCTTTCCATGACAATGACCCAACAATCTGGAAGTTACCACCCTTTTCCCAGAAATTTCTGTATAAACTGCCCCCTAATTTGCATATAATTAAAATTGGATATAAATACTGCAGAACTGCCTCTGTGCTGCTACTCTGGCCACACTGCCTACGGGGTATCCCTGCTCCACAAGGAGCAGTGCTTCTGCTGCTGCTTCAGTACACTGCTGCTTCAATAAAAGTTGCTTTTTAATACCACTGGCTTGCCCTTGAATTCTTTCCTGGGTTAAACCAAGAACTCTTCTGGGCTTAGCTGTCATTTTGGGGCTTGCCTGTCCTGCAGCAAATTCATTGTCTCTCCTTAAGCTGGAACATTCATCTTCTCTTGCCTTCACCCATGGGCAGTTCTTGATTATTAGGAGTTCAGCCTTAGACAGGGAGTTACGCCACTGACTCCTGTGATTCTCAGACCTTCAGACTTAGACTGAATTATGCCACTAGCTTTCCTGGGTCTCCAGCTTGCAGATGGCATATCATGGGGATTCTCAAGCCTCCATAATCACATGAGCCGATACAATCATGAATGGCTTAACAGCAAGGATACATTGTTAGGGAATTTCATCATTGTGGAAACATTACCAAATGTACTTACATAAACCTAGGTGGTATAGCATACTACACAGCAATAGATTCAGCCTATTGCTCCCAGGCTACAAATCTACACAGCACGTTACTGTACTGAATACTGTAAGCAATTGTAACACAAAGGTATTTGTGTATCTAAACAGACACAAACATAGAAAAGGTACAATAAAAATACAATATAAAAGTGAAAATGGGCCGGGCGCTGTGGCTCACGCTTGTAATCCCAGCACTTTGGGAGGCAGAGGCGGGCGGATCAAGAGGTCAGGAGATCGATACCATCCTGGCTAACACGGTGAAACCCCGTCTCTACTAAAAATACAAAAAATTAGCGGGGCATAGTGGCAGGTGCCTGTAGTCCCAGCTACTCGGGAGTACTCGGGAGGCTGAGGCAGGAGAATGGCGTGAACCCGGGAGGCGGAGCTTGCAGTGAGCCCAGATCGCGCCACTGCACTCCAGCCTGGGCGACAGAGCGAGACTCCGTCTCAAAAAAAAAAAAAAGTTAAAATGGTACACTTGTATAGCGCACTTACCATGAAGGGAGCTTGCAGGAATGCTTCTGAGTAAGGCAGTGAGTGGTGAAATGAATGTGAAGGCCTAGGACATAACTGTACATTATTGACACAACAGTAGACTTTATAAACACTGTATACTTAGTCTACACTAAATTTATTTTAAAAATTTTCTTTCATCTATAATAAGTTAACCTTAGCTTACTGTCATGTTTTTACATTAAAACCTCTTTATGTAACTTTTTTGACTCTTTGGTAGTAACATGTAGCTTAAAACACAAATACATTGTATAGTTGTAGAAAATATTTTCTTTATGTTGTTATTCTATATGCTTTTTTGTTTTTTTTAGTTTTTTTATTCTTTGTAAAATTTTTTGTTGAAACTAAGACACAAACATACACATGAGCCTGGACCTACGCAGGATCAGGGTTATTAACATTACTGCCTTCCATCTCCACATCTTGTCTTACTGAAGGTTTGTAGTGGCAAAACCATGTCTGGCGCTGTTGTCTCCTATGATAACAATGCCTTCTGTAAAACCTCCTGAAGGACCTGCCTAAGGCTCTTCTTAAGGAGGTGTCACACTTTTCAAAAATATGTCCATGGTGGTTTGCTTGGTTTCTTTGTTTCATGATATATTTACTTCTTGGCACAAAATGTACCATTTTTCTCTATTAATTACAACCTTTTGCTGTTGAAGTCCATGTTTTTAAACTTTTCAAGGAGATTGCTGAGGTCTAAGAAAAATTCTGCTAAACCATTCACTATGAATTTGGGGGGACTATCCTTTTACTTTTTCTTTTTCTTCTCTTGCAGTTTTCTTTTCTTTTGTCTATTCTTCAGCTATCCATTCCTGTTCCAGTTCCAACAACTCCTCATTAGTCAGTTTCTCAAGAACCACCTCTAAGAGCTCCTCAATTCATCCTCACCCACACCCAAGTTAAATTTGTCTGCCATCTCAATCATAGCCTTATTTCTTTTTGCAACCTCATCATCCTTGACAAATCCTTTGAAGTCATGAACAAACTTCTTGTGTGTCTTCTTCCACATGCCATTAATGCGATCTTTGGTGACGTCATCCTAAACCCAAGCAAGGTTCTCAGTCATAGATGTCCTTCCACAATTGCATTAGTGTCTTCTCAGTGTCTTCCTTAGTTGCAGCAATAGCCTGGTTAAAAATCTTCCTCAGGTAGTAATCTTTAAAAGCTGCTATAGCTTATTAATTCATTGGTTGGATCAAAGTGGTTTCTGCCTCCAAACACCATTTCGATGTTGGGATGAAGATTACCAATACAAGGAGGATATTCAGGAGCATTATCAACAATAAGCAAAATATTGAAAGCTATGTTATTCTCCAAAGAATACTTTTCCATTTTGCTGGCATAGCAATTCAAGAGGGCATCTTAGAAGAGGAGCTGACTCCCCTATGTCTTCTTATTGCTCCTGTGGTAAACTGGCAGTGAGTGCCTACTGATATGCTGGAAGGCCTGTTTTGTTTTTTTTCTTTTCTTTTCTTTTCTTTTTTTTTTTTTTTTTACTGTGCCAAATCATAAAGGGCTTCAATTTACAGCCAGCATCATTGCTCCCCAAATAAGACGTTATTTTGTCCTTAAAAGCCCTGAAACCTGGCATTGATTTGGTCTTCTTATAAATGAAAGTCTTTTCAGTCATCCACTTCCAGAACAGAGAATTTTCATTCTCATTGAAGATCTGGCAGGTAATTTTCCTCCACAATCAGTTTATCTAGTTTCCAAACATTCCTTACCTGCCTTCACATTTGAACTCACAGACTCACCACTCACTTTCAAATTATGTAATTAATAACAATTCTTGAATTGTTTAAGCCACCCAGAGCTAAGAATAAATTCAATATCATAGGTGGGTTCAGCTTTTTCTTTCAACATCGCAAAGAACCTTTCTGCTTTGGCTGTGATTGTAATCGTGCTGAGAGAGATACACTTCTATGTCTAGTCTTCAATCCAGGTGATTAGAAGTTTCTCCATATCTGATATAGGCCGTTCTCAAATTGTTGTTACTCTCATTGCCTTCAATAAAACAGATCCTTTAACAGCTTCTGTCATTTTGTTCTTGCTCTTCAAGATTATAGCCATTGTGGAAAGGGATGTGCCTGACTTGTGTGTAATAATCATCACTGATTTTTTTCACCTTTGTAGTTCTTAATCACCTTTTATTTTCAGGTCAATCACTCAATTGGGCCTCTTACTGGCAACATTAGCAGTGAGTTTTGCATGCTGGGAGGCCATGATAAACAAAACTACATGAGATTAAATCAAGCACAAGAGGAAATGATGCAATCAAGAGACACAGAAAACAAGATATGTATGAAGCCACTGCCAATGTAACATGGCATACTCTTTCTCAGTGAACTTGTTTTAATAAGAAAAAGGAGTGTACTCTAAAATAACAATAAAAAGTATAGTATAGTAAATATGTAAACCAGTAACATAGCTATTTATTATCCTTATCATTATCAAGCATTATGTATTTTACATAACAATATATGCTTATATTTTCATATAACTGGCAGTACAGTAGATTTATTTACACGAGTATCACCGCAAACACATTAGTAATGCATTGAGCTATGACATTGAACTACCACGTCATCGGAAGATAGGAGTTTTTTTAGCTTCATTATAATCTTATGGGACCACCACTATATATGCAGTATTTTATTGAACAAAATGTTATTATGCAGTGCATGACTGTATATATTCTACTGATTCTAACTCCAGAGAATCCTAATACAGTGCATTTCTATTCAAAATCCTCCTTAAAGCATATTCATGGTTTCCCCCTCCCCTCCAAATCTGATTTACAAAAAATGTTAAGATCTGGGCTGTAATCACTTCTCCAACCTTTTTACTGGGCATCCTACCTTTGCTCTGTATACTCTAATCTTACTGATTATTTATAATTCCCTGTTTTCCTCATGGTGTTGTTTACCTGTGGTCTATCTCTAAACTGTCCTCTCTCCATACCTTTCCTACCTATTTTTTAGATCTCAGTGTGTATATTACTGTCTTTAGAAAGATGTTCCAGAGTATATATGGATCCCTCAAAATAATTGCTATATATCTATACATTATGTTACAAGCTTCTTCCCCAACTCCCCTTTTCCTCAACTCTTGCAATTCTATGAGGGCAAAACTCTTGCTTTTCTTGATCACTTCAATGTTTACATCTGAAAGGATTCTTCTTTTAATGCTTCTAAGTCCTTTGGAAAATGAATTCCACATTTTATTATATGTAATGTTAGTTAAAGTGATTAACAAACCTTTGTGTGAAAATAACTGGGTAAATATCTGGGACGTCACTTACTTATGGTGTAAAATTTCACAAGTCATATAAATGTTGTAGGATTCTATTTACTTATCAAAAGAGATGAAAATATCTATCCCAGAGATATCATTTGAAATATTTAATTTAATATGTTAATTTTTGTACATGTATAATATAAAAATTTACAGTATATGTAAATATATGTATGCAGAAATATAA
Organism: Homo sapiens; assembly: GCF_000001405.40. Taxonomy (NCBI): domain Eukaryota; kingdom Metazoa; phylum Chordata; class Mammalia; order Primates; family Hominidae; genus Homo; species Homo sapiens. The sequence goes on from NC_000002.12 coordinate 185,670,135, forward strand.
AAGTGAGCTAGCTTAATCCTTTATTTTTTCTTATTGATATTCACATGCACTTTTTTCCTTTTAGACAATTTGTATATTTTAGATTAATAACTCCTAAATATCTCTTTTCATCCCTGAAATATTTTCAATGAAACTCCTCAATTCTCAAACTTTTTCTTTAAAAGATCCTTCTATTTTCATGAATATTATTGAGGACCGTAAAAGTATTTCGGGGTATGAGGAGAGAAATAACTAATGGGTATTGGGCTTAATACCTAGGTGATGAAATAATCTGTACAACAAACCCCCATGACACAAGTTTACCTATGTAACAAACCTGCATTTGTGCCCCTGCACTTAAAATAAAAGTCAAAGAAGTATTTCATTTGTGTGGCCTATATTTATTAATATGTAGTGCATTGGAAATATATATTAAACAGTTTAAAAGTATTTACTAATAGTTCATTCAAAAACTAGACTTACCCTTGAACCATATGTGTATGTAAATAACATTTTAAGAAAATAACTACCATGTGAAAAATAAAGAGGGGCTTTTTAATATTTTGAAAACTTTTTAAATATCTGGAATTGTGGAACAAAGCTGGAATTTCTATCTGCTCTGCATTCAACCTTTTGCAAATGCATCATTTCATTTAAAATATATCAAGAAAAACAGCCTTTAACAGATAGATAGTAGGGTTAAAGATGAGTATTTTCAATAGACTTTTCAGATTATGTGGATATAATTCTTTGATACTGTTCCAAAATTAACAAGCAGTGACTTCTTTGAGAGGCATGTTAAATATGATATCCATATCCATATTAATATTACATTAAAATCCATTGATCTGTCTTACAATTTGAATGGCCCCTTTTCTCATGCATGGTTTTGAAACATTATGCACTGGTCACTTGGGAAATATTGGTTCACTGAATAATAAAAATTTTCCAATTATTAACATATTTTATTACACAAGGTAAAACATTACATTCATTAATATCACTACTATTCCCTTCAGTAAAGTCTCTTTAAGTACTGGGAAACTGTGAATGCCATAGTAGTGAATATGTTTTCCAAAATTTTAATTTTAGCTTAAAAGCTTACAGTTTATCATTGGCAAAACAGCTTCATTTTTTAAATGACAGTCTCACTTCATGTGTGTTTGAGATCTAAATAACCATGACTTTCCAAGTAAAAATGGTGTTCTTAAAAAAAACTTGTTTAGCTCATAACTCAACAATCAAATACATTCTTCTCCTAGAGAAAACTACCATAGTTCTATATGAAGAAGCTGGCTTCATTTATATCTTTCACTTTGTCTTTTAGACTATTAGAAAGATCTGTACTCAAGGATCAGTATTTAATAAAATCAATTACTTTTATTGCTTTATCTAGAATGTTCTTAAGTAACAGTGACATTTTAAAAATTGCTATGATGTGATAGCAAAAAATACAATAATTATTAACAACTAGGATGTACAGAGCTTTTCACTTAACTGAAATTGTAGTAGGACTACTGCTGAATTTACAGGCAAATTTGAGCCAGTCTACAGTACTGTACTTAACAGCATAATAGTTGGCAAAGTGTGTTAAGTAGAAAGCCCATGGAAGAAGATAAATTAAGAATCAGATAAAATACTTGAAAAAGTGTCAACACAAAGAGAGGCAATAAGACAGAAAAAACCCAAATATTCAAAGCAATTGATCAATAATTATAGGTAGCATACTAATGTTGGAAGGCCATTTGAAAGTAGAACTGAAGAGATTCTCTATGTTACTAGCTAGAAGCAAGCAGCCACTTATGAAGCAGAGAAGGAATCAATGTTAGTTGCATTGGTTCCAGTTTGCTGACACAAAGCAAGTGTGTGGAGATACAAAAGATTTAGAATGTTGAGCATGCTGGCAAGAATGTGTTAACAGTGTTGCACCCTGGAATGTAGACTGCATAAACTAAAAATAAAGCAATAAGAAGACTGGTGGATGGAGTTAGAAGCACTGGTTTAATGAGAAAAAAATCCTATATCAAGGTTTATTAACTTTTATAAATTCAGTAAATAACCACATTAATAGGAGTGGAGGAATGAAGCAACATAAAGGGATAGTCTACAGGAGGTTTGCAGGGTGAATAAATGTTGTGGCTGAGCTGCTGGACAGGTAGGTCACTTACATAAATGTTACACTTTTCCAAAATTAAAACTTTACTTGGATTAGAGAGAAAAGCTATCAACTTAGTTCCAAAGCTATTCAATGCTGGTAAACATGGAGGGCAGAAAGCAAGCAGATAATATTAAAAAAATAAAGACAAAGATATAAACAAACATAAGTATAAAACAAAGAGAAGTTTTTATATTTATATTAGAGGAATGCGAAGAGTTTGAAACCCATAGTGGGAAATAAGGAGTGTGCAGATACTTGTTCTGTAGCCTAGGAACTGGGGTCAGTGAACAAGATCTACATGAGCATATTTATGAGAAAATGCTGTTCTGGGAGAGCCAGGTTCGTTATGGGAAGAAAGACTATATATAAGAGTGTATATATATATATATATATAGAGAGAGAGAGAGAGAGGGAGAGAGAGAGAGAGACTATCGGAATATATATAACAATGAAAGTTGCTTTGTGAAGAAATTATTTATAGAGGTATTAACTTACAGAAGGCACAAAAAATGAAATGTCATCTACAGACGAAGAAAGGGGGCATGTAGGAGAATATAGGAGCATACATAAAATTATGTGATAATATTGACTGGAATTGACTGGAGCAGTTTACATTTTGGAAAGTGGTTGATGTTTACAAGGATGAGTACGATCATGAATTTACCTGGCCCCAAGATGCATGCAGAGCCCAGGAAGGCAGGTGAGAATAATGAGTGTTCCAACTGCAATACTGGTGAAAAATTTTTTGGAAGCTCTTGAAGAAAACAATTATAGTGTGAAGTGACAAGGATAAACCTGTTCTTATATCATTTTTCTAGGTGTTTGTCAGATGAAATATACTAGTTCCAAGGAAACTCACTGTCCAGGGAATTAGTCACTTAAGTTCATAAGCAATAATAAACTCATGATAAAAAATTACTCAGATGCATTCTTGGTTCTGTTTTTAATTTCCTGGTCTCATTTATCTGGCTGTTGAGTATGATTTCATATTCAAGTGATAGTTTGGACTATCACTACAAAGATGGTGTTAAAATGAGACTAGGGCATTAGCACATACATGTTAAAATGTATTGACTAGTGATTAGTAAGCATAAATTACTGATTAATTCACAAATGGGCACACAGTTGGAATACTGGAAGAAGGAATCCATCAAAAGTGAGACAAAATTATCATTTCGGGGCTTAAAAATAATGTACTATTTTTAATCACCTTAATAAAACAAAAAATTCCACTGAGTTAAATAATGAAGTTAAATCTTTGGCCAAGTTAATAAAGTGACCTATAATAGTAGTTATATAATATGACTGTTACCCAATAAATTATTAACTAAATATTTATCTGTAAATTTCAGAAATGCAGTATCAGTATCTAACAGTTTTGTTTTAACACGAGTGCTTTCAGTGCTAAGTATATATTTCCCCCTTGCTTATAGAACTATTGATATATAAAAATTTTTAGATGAATCTCTCCTCCAGGAATTATAAAATAATATTAGCATAGCATATGAAAGGTCTTACAGCATTTTCCTCTATAGTCCTAAAAAATTTCTTGATTTCTTTTCTGTGCACTTCAAGCCTTTGCCTATTGATAAATTAAGAGTTTATAATAAAAATTAAAATATGTATCTGTAAAAAATTCCCATGGAGTTTACATTTTCATTAACTATAACATAACATCATTTCTAAGGGACCTCAATAACACTAAATTTGACCACAAGCTTTCATAAGGAGAAGAAATAATTTTTGATGTAATGTTTCTTTTTATTTGAAACCCATTTAGTTATTGCTCAGAGTGAGAAACTAAGTCCTTATCACTAGGAAATTGGTTTCCATAATCAGAATATGAATCAACAACATGGATTACATATTTATTATATAGTCTGAGAGAATAATTTAGTACTTAATTTATGCCCAGATGTCAGAATACTGTAAAATGTAAGAATGTAAATAATTTTTTAAAGTCAGCCTTTATTGTTATACATTCCACTTATTTCATTGTTCTTATGCCAGTTCCAGAACATGACATTTGACTCCTGGAGGGAGGACACATTATGAAATCAATGTGTTTTCTGAACAGTCACCATTTAACTTTCTCAGAATATATTATTTTTACTATCACTATAGGCAATCAAAATTAAATTTCCCGTGGGTATTTTTAACTGCCATATTAGAATATACAAGAGTAGTTTTCTGACAAGAGAGATTACAATAATGATATCTGAATTTCATTTTGATTATGACAGATGTTTCTGAGACAAAAGAGGAATGCTAAATGAGTCTTTGGATATTATCATTATAATTTCACCTATTGCAATATTTGAAGTGTCTGTAGTGCAGATACAGAAAGAGAGAATACATATTCACTACAAATATCTACATAGCATATTATTGTACTATCTTCCTAAAATGTACTTTACCCCTTGCTGGCTTGATTAAGCTTCCTAGCTGGCAATAACAATAAAATAGCATGGGTAAATACACATTAACATTTTCTTGTCAATTATTTATCAATCAATGTGAACTTATTTATTAATCAATATGGACTTATTAAATCCAATGCAAACAGTTATGCTGTTTTTAATCAAGACATGGCTTTTAATCTATGATTTGGTGCAAATTTAGAAAGGCAACGACTTGGCTTTTACATTTCTCTGAAGTATTATACAGTAACCCCCCCGCCGTTATCTGAGGTTTTGCTTTCCACTGTTTCAGTTACCTGCATTCAACTGTTGTCCAAAAATAGGTAAGTTTAGTACAATAAGATATTTTGAGAGAGACAAAAACCACATTTACATAACTTTTATTACAGTACATTGTATAATTGTTCCATTTTATTAATATTGTTTTTAATATCTTAATGTGTCTAATTTATAATTTAAACTTTATTATAGGTATATATGCACAGGAAAAAAGAAAACATATTATATATATCGTTCAGCACTATCAATGGTTCCAGGCATCCACTGAGAGTCTTGGAACATATCTCTTGTAGATAAGGGGGACTGCTATATTACAAAACTTGGCACTTTCTAAACGAAGTAGGTCTCAGATTTGGTTTAGTGTGAATTGTTTATCTCTCTTTCATCAAGAGTGCCTCTAATATAGTAATGTTCCAAATTTTCAAAGTTATAGTCTATTAAAATACATTTTTAACATGATTCTAATTACATGAATCACCTTTGAAAACAGGTTCCAAGGTGTTTTAGGCCACAATAAAAAAATTGTAGATAAATCTGAAAAACAGCTGAAATTTTTATCCTTTTACCTCTATTACTGCTGTTGCTTTAATTTGATTTTTTTTAGGAGGAATTATTCAGATGTTGCAGCCACAAATAAGACAGATGGCACAAAAATTGGTTTAAACAATAAATACAATGATGACTTAGTTTAAATGTAATACGTGTTGGTTATTCATCAAATTCTATTTAAAAAGTACCTGGGTTACAAAAGCATTATCTTTCTAGAACATGTAATAATAGGTATAGTATGACTAATACATTCATATGCAATTATTATAGAGTACAATTTTTACATTTAAACTGCTCCCAGATATAATAGCATACTTTTGTTACAGGCAAAATACTATTCATTCAAATGGTGTAATTCAACAATTCCCGAGGACCATCTAGACAACATGGCCCTATGCCTTAACAGCTTTCAATTTCCAGTGAAGATCTAAAATATACTGCTAATTTCCATAGATGTAAACCATTAACAACACACATGAAATAAAACAAAGTTAGATTTATTCATTTGCTGCAGGATGAGAGAATACCTAGCCATGAAACTGGATGGTGCCTCTGCAAGGAGCTAAGATGGTCTTGTTACAGGATGTGGCTTTAGCTGAGTGATTCTCGGGAGACATTCTCTGGAGAGATTCGCTGGAGTCTGTTGTGAATTGGGTGCTATTAGGAAGGGGAACAGTCTTCACAGTTTCCCTAAGCAGAAGCATGCTCCTCTTAATAAACCCAAACCTCTAAACTCTCACGATGTAAAAGTGCACAGACAGCATGCATTAAATTTCACACATTGGTGGTGTGGCTAAGGGTGATAGTGAGAGTTCCAATCCTATTTCTATCATCGACTACAAATCCTGTGCATTGTAACTATATGGTGCCTAGCCCTGTTTATATCAACTATAGGTTTAGTACATATACTACATTCTGGAAGACAGTACCCACAGGCTGTCATTCCTGAGCTGGCCACTTAGCCAAGGCCCTATTATTATACTATGTGGCTAGCTGCATCTGAATGATTCACTGTATGGAAATAGCCGTGGGTTGTTTGTTCATATGCCTATTGTCACACCTTCTTTGCAATGAAACCAGACATCTCACTGAAGGATGTCATACTGGTTTAGAGGCCATCTGTTAGCCTTCAGACAGTGGTACTGGCAGAATCACTCTAGGAAGAAGACAAAACTATGTCTGAAATATTTATCAGTTTCAGTAAGGATAAATTGCAGCCCCATTAGGGTGGAAGGAGATCAAATATAGTCAAACTTCCACCCAATGGCTGGCTAGTTCAGAAAATTTCATTGTTCTAACCAATTTTTTAGTGTACAAGTGTTTTTTTAATATCAAATTCAATCTCTAGATAAATCATTATAATTTCCCTTAAATTATAGACAACTTGATTGTATAAAAGTTTTTGCTTGTTTGTTCATTTTATAAATCCTCGTATTATGACTTATACAGACAATGCTTGACATGCTTGGACTTTCTGTTTTGTCCTGAACATCCCTCTTTATTAAATAACGAGTCATTTTATTCAAGGACAAAATTTACCATACAAGATTCTTTCTCATAGAATATTATTTATCTTTAAGCTTTCTTACCAAAAAATACCTCTTTATTTCTATAACTTTCTTTACATCTCTCTTATTTCCTGTTTCCTTTTACCTTGTTTTATGCATAACTTTTAAATAAGCTTTGAATTAGAAAAAAAAAATTCACTTTTTTAAAAGAACACTTTTTTTAGAAAGAATGTTTTCTTACAATATGTTTTTATTAAAAAATACCCAAATAATGAAGTATCAATTATTTAATTTAATATAACTTTAGATTCTAAATATGACAAGTTTCTCTACAAGTATTTATCCCATTATATTTACCTAATTATTTTATTTTAATTGTTTACCTAGATTTATGAAAACTGTGATAGTCATAATTTAAAGTTATGAAGCTGCCATAACAGAGACAGTGAAAAATATCTGACCTAACTGACTCCATCTTGCTTCTAACTTCCAAGCTGCCCTTTTTCATTCCTGGGAGTTGGCCCAACTAACTTTGGGAGGAACTTAGTTTATAGTTTACCTCTGAAACAAAGATGATAACAGTCCTTTCCCAAAACAAACCTCCTTCCTGCCTATGGACTAGACTGCTTAAAGCCACAAGATTAGAAGTTATGGTAATTTTACTAATTCAAGATGTAGCTATTGTCAGTAAACCAGTATCAATGTCTTATATGTTTAAAATTACACAAGCAAATATCATTCTGTTTTGGGCTGGGTTTATAGTTTTATAACCCCTATGCCAGATTTTGACACCTTATAGTATTTGGCGGGGATAAGTGTAAAATTTCTTGATAAATAAATGCAAACTAAAATGTATGTTGGCAATTCTTAAGACATTTCTAATATTACTTTACCAATAATTTTAAAGCTACCTTATTTAATAAAGATTTTACTTAAGACACATAGACTTAAAAAAGCATTTGACTAGTCTCCTTTTTTTCTGATAAAGTATTTAAGTGCTTTTATTTTTCTTTAAGCAAATTAAGTAGAGCTCTTTTATATATTTTTAGTAGTTGTGTATACAACACATAAATACATAGACGTATTAGGCATCCCGATAGAAGTACATCTTATAGATTTCTAAGATCCCCTTGTTTTTATTTTTCCTATCTTAGACTTGCAAACTCTTGATAACCTGTTTCATTACCCTGACAGTTGTCAGCTAAATAGCTCTAAATCTGCATATCGAAGGAAACAACTCTTAGATGAAAAATCAGGTAGCAAAATATACATCTCAAGGTATGGAGAGAAAAAGTCAGGTGGTGCTAGAGGGAGATTAAAGGTGGATACAAAATAAAACATAAAATTATAGAAACCTATTATAAGATTGAATAAGGAGGCCAATTTTATTTAGATAGGGACTACCAATCTTTTAACTGGATCTCTGAGGTCTGGGCAGAGACCACCCTGAATCCTGAGTCTTCAAAAGGGGAGAATTATTATGAGGCTAAATCACATGATGCTTTTACAGTGCACTTAAATTTTTATTTTTAAACAAAGACATTTCTAAATGTCTAAACTATACTCTTCCTTAAAAACCCAAGAGTAGCCTCTTTTGCAATAGCTATTTTAGTCAAAAATTCAGGTAACACAGTACAAAAGGAAGCACTTTAAGAGCTGAGACAAATTTGTCTGTTTACACTGTTGGGATTCCATAAGGAAAGACAGAGGTTTCTCCCCAAAAGGGAGCCTGGCGCCTTCTCCATTTTCTTTAAGGAACCTCAGGCTGTCATAAACTATTTGAGGTCCCTCATGCAGCAGAGGGTGCAAGAGAAAGGAGAGCCAGCAGAAGTAAATGAAGAAAACAGAATTCATTTAACTGGAAGAAAAAAAACTTTTGCTCAAAAAAAGACAAGGTCCTAGGAGAGAAAAAACAACAAACAACAACAAAAACATGAAGGCCTTTTAAATACAAACACACACAGGCATACATACAAACACACACACACACACACACACACACACATCTTGGATGTTAGCTTTTAATTAAGCTGACTTTTAACCATTGATCTCCTTTAACAAAAAATCTTTTAAAATTTCATTACCATATTTAAGCTAGGAAAAATTGCTGCTACTTCAGAAGTGTCAAGTATCAAACCATAAAGGACTTGACTTAGGAACTAAACCCAGGCTGTCATGGTGGAAAAAATGAAGGCAGAACCTTAGCTATGGAACTGCAGCATGGGGAGACTGCCATTGCTCTTTCAGTTTGGCCTGGCTAGCAGAAAGGTAGCCTTGTTATGTAAATAAAATAAAGCCCTTAAGGAGTCAAAATAAAAAAATATTTTCTTTTTTTTTGGCAATTTATCCACTTCAGAGGTCTTGTTTCCATAATTTGGAACTTTCCTTCATAATTGTTCAAATCAGATAAAGTTGGTCAAACCAGATGGGAAAAAGACCAAAAGAACAATAAAAACAGAAACAAAGGAACAACAACAACAAAAAGACCAGTTAAGCAAAACAAACAAATAATCACATAACTTATAGGATTATTGAACTCTCTAATGCTAAGGAGAACTTAATACCAGCTGATTATTAATCTTCACTTTAGCCAAGATAAACTCCAATTCAGTAACTTACCTACGGATGGGTCTCAGGCTGAAGTCTGCTCTCTACCATCCTAGAAGCAGGGAAAAACTTCAAACTGTCTTCCCTGTTGGGAGTGAGTTCAAACTCCTTAAAGAAGTTACCTGCCTTCCATCATCAGGAAAGCAGGAAAAACTTGCCTTCCTTGTGTTGGAAGCAAGTAAAACTCCAAAAAAAACAGAGTTGCACAGCAAAATAAACTTTAGATTTGGGCCAAATTTTGGGAGATCAGGGATTCTCTGGAAGGGTTGTGTCTAGGCCTCAGCAAATTGTCCTATTGGTTTGAGCCATAAAGACAGCTGAAGCTGGTACTAGCACCTATAGAAGATTTGTCAAAGGTTAGCACCTCCACTCAGAATCCCTTCATAGTTACGGAAATGTGAACCCCAAATATCTGAGACGTATCTCAGTTAACTTAGAAAGATTATGTTGCGAAAGCTGAGGACTCATGCCTGTGACACAGCCTTAGGAAGTCCTGACGACATGTGCCAAAGGTGGTTGGGGCCCAGCTTTGTTTTATACATTTTAGGGAGGCATGAGATATCAATCAATATATGTAAGATGTACATTGGTTCTGCCCAGAAAGGTGGGTCAATTTGAAGCAGGGAGGAGGCTTCTAGGTAGGCGAGAGACAAACAGTTGCATTCTTTTGAGTTTCTGATTAGCCCTTCCAAAGGAGACAATCATATATGCATTTATCTCAGTGAGCAGGGGGATAACTTTGAATAGAATGGGAGGCAGGTTTGCCCTAAGCAGTTCCCAGCTTGATTTTCCCGTTATCTTAGTGATTTTGGGTCCCCAAGATGTATTTTCCTTTCAAAGTATTTATCTTACATCTATTTCTCCTTCTCTAACAGGGATGGTAAAGCAAACATATTTTTGTTTTGATAGCATTTGATATCTATTCAACTTTTCCTTATTAGTAGTTTTGCAACTCTATCAACATAATTTAGTTATATATAATTTATTTTTTCTAGGTGTGAATAGATAGAACATATTTAATATAAAGTCTTAATATGAGTTCATATTTAAATGAATTTCTAAATTACCTGATTTAGAAAAATTGTTCAATGGAAACTATCTCCTTTTATTGCATTCTTTCTAATAACTCAGAGTGATAGCAAGTGAAAACGTGCTTTCATTCCTGTTTATTTTCATTCAAAAAAATCACAGGGGTATTATTCACAGATTTGCATTTTATTTTCTGATATAAATCTCAAATATGCACCTGGTATGTTTATATAACTGTGTTTTTTTATGTGGGGCATTAAAATTTACTCTAAACTTGGCATTTACTTCTAGCTTTTTCTCTGGCATGTTGTTTTAAAAATTAATAAATAAGATAGAAAATTTGAGAAATGGTAAAATTTGGGGCTAAGAAACAGAAGGGAGTAGAACAAATGGGATTTTTAAAATCAGAGGGGACGATTTGAACAGCACGCTAAAATGCATAGAAGTAAGCAAAATTTCAGTGCTTGAATAGAGGGACAAAATGGTAATAATTCTAGGGAAATACTATGTTAAGAAGTGGTTACCACTAACTCTCCAAAATGCATAAATAAAAAGGCTGAATATGAAAAACTCAGAAAAGCAAAGAATAAAGTGTAAACTTGCTATGATTGTTTCAAACCATAATGAAGGGATAGCCGATACTGCCATGTTAGCAATACTGTTGCAGAGAAGATGATCAGGCCTGTAGTTTTGAAATATCATCTATATGCTTCAGTCCAGACCCCTTGTCTGAATTTCAATTTCCTGTTGTCAACTTTCTACTCTACATCCTCAGCTGTATGTCTATTAGTATAGTTACAAATCAAACTCAGTATGTCTAAAAGTTAAATATACTCTAAACATTTACCATCTATGTGATGGTGTAATTTCATTTTTTAGTAGCTCTGGCCAGTAGCTAGATATTATTCTTAATTTCTGTATTTCTTTTACATCTTATATGAGATGATCACAAGATGCATTGATTTTAGCTAAACATATACTCAAAGATCCTATTACTTCTTCCCACCTTCAAAACTATCAGCTTGCTCAGCCACCATCACCCCTTACTTGGAATAAAAACATAGCATCTTAACATTCTTCCCTATGCTGTATTTGCTCCTATAGCATTGTATTTTAACAGAAAATAATTTTAAAATATGCCATTTCAATCCCTGCTTCACTTCAGTATAGCCCAAATCATTGCCATCTTCTAGATGATATAACCCCCTCCTCAGTCCCTTGATATAGCACACTCTCACATTCTCTATACTATCCATATTGCTGTTTGAGTACACCAGATATACTACAGCATATGTGATTTAGCTTTAGTGGTTTTCCATTGTCTGCAGCATCCCAGCTTCATATATTTGCACAGAAGTCCTTTACTTTTAATTACAGTTTCTCAATAGTCACCATCTCAAAAAGTTCTATTCTTATCCCAATAGATAATGCTATACCCTGCACTATCTCATTCCACACACTCACAATCCTATTTCCCTGATATCTTGCTTACTTTCTTTCACAAGACTTATCAATCACCTTATAACATGTGAGCTTATTATCTTTACTTTTTATTATATGCCTCTTCTTGTTAACCTTTAAGCTCCAGAAATGCAATAGTTTTTATTTGAATTATTCATTAGTGTATCCTAAGTGACTAAAAGAGTGCCTGGCACATATAGTATGTACTCAACCAATATTTGTTTTTTTCTCTAATAATCCCTTTTTTTTCTTTTTAAATTATTATTATACTTTAAGTTCTAGCATATGTGTGCACAACGTGCAGGTTTGTAACATAGGTATACATGTGCCACGTTGGTTTGCTGCACCCATCACCTCATCATTTACATTACATATTTCTTCTAATGCTACTCCTCCCACAGAGCCCCACCCCTCAACAGGCCCTGGTGTGTGACGTTCCCCTCCCTGTGTCCATGTGTTCTCCTTGTTCAATTCCCACTTATGAGTGAGAACATGCGGTGTTTGGTTTTCTGTCCTTGTGATAGTTTGCTCAGAATGATGGTTTCCAGCTTCATCCATGTCCCTACAAAGGACATGAACTCATCATTTTTTATGGCTGCATAGTATTCCATGGGTATATGTGCCACATTTTCTCAATACAGTCTATCACTGATGGACATTTGGGTTGGTTCAAAGTCTTTGCTATTGTGAATAGTGCTGCAATAAACATACATGTGCATGTATCTTTATAGTAGCATGATTTATAATCTGTTGGGTATATACCTAGTAATGGGATGGCTGGGTCAAATGGTATTTCTAGTTCTAGATCCTTGAGGAATCGCCACACTGCCTTCCACAATGGTTGAACTAGTTTACACTCCCACCAACAATGTAAAAGCGTTCCTATTTCTCCACATCCTCTCCAGCATCTGTTGTTTCCCGACTTTTTAATGATCGCCATTCTAACTGGCATGAGATGGTATCTCCTTGTGGTTTTGATTTGCATTTCTCTGATGACCAGGGATGATGAGCATTTTTTCATATGTCTGTTGGCTGCATAAATGTCCTCTTTTGAAAAGTGTCTGTTCATACCCTTTGCCCAATTTTGATGGGATTGTTTTTTTCCTGTAAATTTGTTTAAGTTATTTGTAGATTCTGGATATTAGCCTTTGTCAGATGGATAGATTGCAAAAATTTTCTCCCATTCTGTAGGTTGCCTGTTCACTCTGATGGTAGTTTCTTTTGCTGTGCAGAAGCTCTTTCGTTTAATTAGATCCCATTTGTCAATTTTGGCTTTTGTTGCCATTGCTTTTGGTGCTTTAGTCATAATGTCTTTGCCCATGCCTGTGTCCTGAAGAGTATTGCCTAGGTTTTCTTCTAGGGTTTTTATTGTTTTAGGTCTTTCATTTAAGTGTTTAATCCATCTTGAGTTAGTTTTTGTATATGGTATATGGAAGGGATCCAGTTTCAGCTTTCTGCATATGGCTAGCCAGTTTTCCCAGCACCATTTATTAAATAGGGAATCCTTTCTCCATTGCTTGTTTTTGTCAGGTTTGTCAAATATTAGATAGTTGTAGATGTGTTCTGAGGCCTCTGTTCTGTTCCATTTATATATCTGTTTTGGTACCAGTACCATGCTGTTTTGGTTACTATAGTCCTGTGGTATAGTTTGAAGTCAGGTAGCATGATGCCTCCAGCTTTGTTCTTTTTGGTTAGGATTGTCTTGGCTATGTGAGCTCTTTTTTGGTTCCATTAGAATTTAAAGTAGTTTTTTTCAATTCTGTGAAGAAAGTCAGTGGTAGCTTGATGGGGGTAGCATTGAATCTATAAATTACCTTGGGCAGTATGGCCATTTTCACGATATTGATTTTTCCTATTCATGAGCACAGAATGTTCTTCCATTTGTTTGTGTCCTCTTTTATTTCATTGAGCAGTGGTTTGTAGTTCTCCTTGAAGAGGTCCTTCGCATCCCTTTTAAGTTGGATTTCTATGTATTTTATTCTCTCTATAGTAATTGTGAATGGGAGTTCACTCATGATTTGGCTCTCTGTCTGTTCTTGATGTATAGGAACGCTTGTGATTTTTGCACATTGATTTTGTATCCTGAGACTGCTGAAGTTGCTTATCAGCGTGAGAAGATTTTGGACTGAGATGATGGGGTTTTCTAAATATAAAATCATGTCATCTGCAAACAGAGACAATTTGAATTCCTGTCTTCCTAATTGAATACTCTTTATTTCTTTATCTTGTCTGATTGCGCTGGCCAGAACTTACAATACTGTGTTGAATAGGAGTTGTGAGAGAGGGCATCCTTGTCTTTTGCCAGTTTTCAATGAGAATGCTTCCAGTTTTTGCCCATTCAGTATGATATTGGCTATGGGTTTGTCATAAATACCTCTTATTATTTTGAGATATATTCCATCAATACCTAGTTTATTGAGAGTTTTTAGCATGAAAGGCTGTTGGATTTTGTTGAAGGTCTTTTCAGCTTCTATCGAGATAATCATGTGGTTTTTGTCATTGGTTCTGTTTATGTGATGGATTACATTTATTGATTTGTGCATGTTGAACCAGCCTTGCATCCCAGGGATGAAGACGTCTTGATCATAGTGAATAAGCTTTTTGATGTGCTGCTGGATTCAGTTTGCCAGTGTTTTATTGAGGATTTTCACATTGATGTTCATCAGGGATATTTGCTTAAAATTCTCTTTTTGTTGTTGTGTCTCTGCTAGTCTTGGTATCAGGATGATGCTGGCCTCACAAAATGAGTTAGGGAGGATTCCCTCTTTTTTTATTGATTGGAATAGTTTCAGAAGGAATGGTACCAGCTCCTCTTTGTACCTCTGGTAGAATTCATCTGTAAATCCATCCGGTCCTGGACTTATTTTGGTTGGTAGGCTATTAATTATTGCCACAATTTCAGAGCGTGTTATTTGTCTATTCAAAGATTCAAATAATTCCTGGTTTAGACTTGGGAGGGTGTATGTGTCTAGGAATTTATCCATTTCTTCTAGATTTTCTAGTTTATTTGTGTAGAGGTGTTTATAGTATTCTCTGATGGTAGTTTGTATTTCAGTGGGATCTGTGGTGATATCCCCTTTATTATTGTTTACTACGTCTATTTGATTCTTCTCTCTTTTTTTCTTTATTAGTCTTGCTAGTGGTCTATCTCTTTTGTTGGTCTTTTAAAAAAAACAACTCCTGGATTCATTGATTTTTTGAAGGGTTTTTTTGTATGTGTGTCTCCTTCAGTTCTGCTCTGATCTTAGTTATTTCTTGTCTTCTGCTAGCTTTTGAATTTGTTTGCTCTTGCTTCTCTAGTTCTTTTAATTGTGATGTTAGGGTGTTGATTTTAGATCTTTCCTGCTTTCTCTTGTGGGCATTTAGTGCTATAAATTTCCCTCTACACATTGCTTTAAATATGTCCCAGAGATTCTTGTACGTTGTGTCTTTGTTCTCATTGGTTTCAAAAACATCTTTATTTCTGCCTTCGTTTCATTACTTACCCAGGTGTCATTCAGGAGCAGGTTGTTCAGTATCCATGTAGTTGTGCAGTTCTGAGCGAGTTTCTTAATCTTGAGTTCTAATTTGATTGCACTGCAGTCTGAGCGACAGTTTGTTGTGATTTCTGTACTTTTACATTTGCTAAGGAGTGTTTTACTTCCAATTATGTGGTCAATTTTAGAATAAGTGCAATGTGGTGCTAAGAAGAATGTATATTCTGTTGATTTGGAATGGAGAGTTCTGTAGATATCTATTAGGCCCGTTTGGTCCAGAGCTGAGTTCAAGTCCTGGATATCCTTGTTAATTTTCTGTCTCATTGACCTGTCTAATATTGACAGTGGGGTGTTAAAGTCTCCCATTATTATTGTGTGGGAGTCTAAGTCTCTTTGTAGGTCTCTAAGAACTTGCTTTATGAATCTGGGTGCTCCTGTATTGGGTACATATGTATTTAGGATGCCTAGCTCTTCTTGTTGAATTGATTCATTTACCACTATTAAATGGCCTTCTTTGTCTCTTTTGATCTTTGTTGGTGTAAAGTCTGTTTTATCAGAGACCAGGATTGCAATCCCTGCTTTTTTTTTTTTGCTTTCCATTTGCTTGGTAGGTCTTCCTCCATCTCTTTATTTTGAACCTATGTGTATCTTTGCACATGAAATGGGTTTCCTGAATACAGCACACCGATGTTTCTAGACTCTTTATCCAATTTGCCAGTCTGTGTCTTTTAATTGGGGCATTTAGCCCATTTACATTTAAGGTTAATATTGTTATGTGTGAATTTGATCCTGTCATTATGATGCTAGCTGGATATTTTGCCCGTTAATTGATGCAGTTTCTTCATAGCATCGATGGTCTTTACCATTTGGAATGTTTTTGCAGTGTCTGGTACTGGCTGTTCCTTTGAATGTTTAGTGCTTCCTTCAGGAGCTCTTGTAAGGTGGGCCTGGTGGTGACAATATCTCTCAGCATTTGCTTTTCTGTAAAGGATTTTATTTCTCCTTCACTCATGAGGCTTACTTTGGCTAGATAAGAAATTCTGGGTTGAAAACTCTTTTTTTAAGAATGCTGAATATTGGCCTCCACTCTCTTCTGGCTTGTAGGGCTTCTTCCGAGAGATCCACTCTTCGTCTGATGGGCTTCCTTTTGTGGGTAACCCGACCTTTCTCTCTGGCTGCCCTTAACATTTTTTCCTTCATTTCAACCTTGGTGAATCTGACAGTTATGTGTCTTGGAGTTGCTCTTCTCAAGGAATATCTGTGTAGTGTTCTCTGTATTTCCTGAATTTGAATGTTGGCCTGCCTTGCTAGATTGGGGAAGGAAGTTCTCCTGGATAGTACCTTGAAGAGTGTGTTCTAACTTGGTTCCATTCTCCTCGTCACTTTCAGGTACACCAATCAAATGTAGATTTGGTCTTTTCACATAGTCCCATATTTCTGGGAGGTTTTGTTCATTTCTTTTCACTCTTTTTTCTCTAATCTTGTCTTCTCGCTTTATTTCATTAATTTGATCATCAATCACTGATATCCTTTCTTCCACTTGATTGAATTGGCTACTGAAGCTTGTGCATGCTTCACAAAGTTGTCATACTGTGGTTTTCAGCTCTATCAGGTAATTTAAGGTCTTCTCTACACTGTTTATTTTACTTAGCCATTCATCTAACCTTTTTTCAAGGTTTTTAGCTTCCTTGCAATGGTTTAGAACATGCTTCTTTAGCTCGGAGAAGTTTGTTATTACCGACCTTCTGAAGGCTACTTCTGTCAACTTGTCAAACTCATTCTCCACCCAGTTTTGTTCACTTGCTGGCAAGGAGTTGTGTTCCTTTGGAGGAAAAGAGGCATTCTGGTTTTTGGAATTTTCAGCATTTCTTCTCTGGTTTCTCCCCATCTTCATGGTTTTATCTACCTTTGGTCTTTGATGTTGGTGACCTACAGATGGAGTTTTGGTGTGGATGTCCTTTTTGTTGATGTTGATGCTATTCTTTTCTGTTTGTTACTTTTCCTTCTAACAGTCAGGCCCCTCAGCTCCAGGTATGTTGGAGTTTGCTGGAGGTCCACTCCAGACCCTGTTTGCCTGGGTATCACCAGTGGAGGCTGCAGAACAGCAAACATTGCTGCCTGATCCTTCCTCTGGAAGCTTTGTCCCAGAGGGGTACCCACCTGTATGAGGTGTCTGTCAGCCCTTACTGGGAGGTGTCTCCCAGTCAGACTACACGGGGGTCAGGGACACACTTGAGGAGGCAGTCTGACCATTATCAGAGCTCGAACACCATGCTGGGAGAACCACTGCTCTCTTAGAGCTGTCAGGCAGGGATGTTTAAGTCTGCAGAAGCTGTCTGCTGCCTTTTGTTCAGATATGCCCTGCCCCCAGAGGTGGAATCTAGAGAGGCAGTAGGCCTTGCTGAGCTGCAGGGTACTCTGCCCAGTTCAAGTTTCCCTACCACTTTGTTTACACCGTGAGCATAGAACTGCCTACTCAAGCCTCAGCAGTGGCAGATGCCTCTCCCCCACCAAGCTCCAGCATCCCAGGTCGATCTCAGACTGCTGTGCTAGCAGCGAGCAAGGCTCCAGGGGCATGGGACCTGCGGAGCCAGCCGTGGGAGGGAATGTCCTGGTCTGCTGGTTGTGAAGACCATGGGAAAAGTGTAGTATTTGGGCAGTAGTGTACCGTTCCTCCAGTTACAGTCTTTCACAGCTTCCCTTGGTTAGGAAAGGGAAATTCACTGACACCTTGCACTTCCTAGGTGAGGCGATGCCCTGCCCTTCTTTGGCTTGCCTCCGGTTGCACCCACTGTCCAACCAGTCCCAATGAGACGCACCAGGTGCCTCAGTTGGAAATGCAGAAATCACCTGTCTTCTGTGTCAGTCTTGGTGGGAGCTGTTTGTTTACCATAAGCAATCAGTCCATAGGCAGTTAGACTAAAAACATTCCCTAAAAAAGAATTCTTCCAATAACAAAAATAATCAATTTTCCAAGTAATTGTTTATCAACATGTATATAAGAATATTAGACTGGGTTATCTGTCTTTTTCCCTTCCAAGGAACACACCCTCCCCTTAGCACAGGAGAGAAATAGTTTGCAAGCCATCTGCTTCATTCCTTCATTTTTAGTCTAATTCTTTAAATTTACATATATTATTTTTTTCACTATCATATGTTGACCACTTACCTTTTCTGTTCATTGAGTTAATATTTTAAGAAATAAATATAAATTACTATTCTATTCATTTTGATACATAAGAGAATTTTTCCACTTTATTTTACAATATTCTCTCAAAGTAAATAAACTTTTTTTTCCTCAGAATTTACTCCAAGAAGTGACAAAATTCTAGGAAACAAATTTGTTTTTTACCTTATGAACACTATTATGCTTTTAAGTTTCTATTTCCATGTTGCTGTGCTTTACATATCTGATAAAGTATTCAGTGTAATAATCCCAACTTGGCTTTAAATTGCCTTCTAACTTTCACTAGATTTTTCCAGATTCTCATAGAACTTATTTTTATTAGTTTAAAAAATTCTCACTGTTTCTAGGTATCCAATAACTATGAACAGTTCTCAACTAAGAGGTAACAAGAAAATAGGAACCTAAATCATATGGTCACAAGGAAATAAATCTTGCCAACAGGAGAGCTTGGAGGGGGATCTTGAGCTTCAGATACATTATAGTCCTGGCTCACATATTTGATTTCAGTCTGGTAAATTCCTAAGCAGAGGAATCAGCAAAATTGTATCTGGAGTGACCCTAAACATGTGTTAAGTGCTAGGTTTGTAGTAAGTTGTTACACAGAAATAAGAAAACTAATGCAAATTTTGGTGCTAAAAGTGGGATGGTGTTCTAGCAAATACCTAAAAATGTTGCAGTGGCTTTGAACTGGCAGTGGGTAGGAGCTGAAAGAATTTTGAGTAGTGTGATAGAAAACACCTAAATTGGCTTTAAAACCCTGTTAAAAATGTTGCTGGTAAGAACTAGAAGGAAGTGAAGAATGTGCTACGGGAAACTGGAGAAAGGGGGATACTTGTCATGTAGTGACAGTAAGCATAGTAAAATTGTGTCCTGCAATTACGTGCAAAGCAGAACTTGTAAGGAACAAATTTGATATATAGTTTAGGAGATTTTCAAGAAAACTGTTGAAGAAGCTGATTTTTTTCTTGCTGCTTATTATAACATGTGAGAGGAGAGAGATACATCGAGGAAAAATTTGTTGAACAAAACAGGGACCAAGACTAGGTGATTTTGAAATATGCAGCCCCTCTAGCTGGTAACAGATGCCAAAAGTCAGAAATGACTCCTGAACATGTGGCAAGGAGAAATGACAGAGAAACAACAAAATATACTATTTTGTTGAAATCCTAGGAAGATCAAAAGGTCATATATTCGGTATAGAAAACATTTTTAAGAAATAATGTGACTCATGGATTGCAACCAAACCAAAGAATTTCTAAAGCTTAAGGAAACTGACTCCCAGTCCTCTCTGCAGAAGGCTGTTATAGTAACGGCATTGCCTTTCAAAGATCTGTGGCTGTAACCTTTGCCTAGTGGAATAAATACCAGTGAAGTCTAAGAAGGTTCCCAAAATTCTTTAGAAAATTGTTTATACGGAGACACTCCCAACTTGTATCAAAGAAACAGGGAATGTATAAAATGGAAAGAGGCTGTCAGACCATCAAAATCTACTGGAGGGAAGTAAGTTGATAAAACTCAACTGCAAACATGTACTGACCTTTATGACAAAGGATGACTCAGAGAGCAAAACCAAGAACAAAGAAAGTAGAATGGAGAGCCAAGGAAAATTATTCTCAGACCTTAGAAGTCTAAAAAATGGAGTCCACACATTTGCCTAGCTTGATTTCAGAACTGCTGTGCACCAGTGACTCTTTTGTGTTTCCATTTGCCTCCCTCTTTGATGTGTTTGAATCAGTGTCTAAAGTTGTTTATTTTATGTCTGTCTTACAATGTACATTGGTAGTGTTGTTAAGTTTCACAGTCCCACAGATGGCTAAGAACTGTGTCTAGGAGTTGAATTTAGTAGCTTACACTTAGAAACCTCACTCACACCTAACTTACATTATTTAAATGATGCGATAGTAGATTTTGAGTTGATGCTATTATATAATAGTGTTAAACTCTTGGGTTTTGGGGAGGGTGTATGCTGCATGTGGGAGAAAGACAAATTTTTTAGGGCCATAAAAAAGGCTGTGCTAGGCAAAATTTTAAGAGATTCGGTTGAATTTTTATTCAATTTTTAAAATCAAATCTAATAATTTGTTCTTGATAAATAATTCTACCTCATTTACATGCATTTTCTAATTAACATTAAATTAAATTTTATTATCTATTGTTTGTTTATTATTACAGGATTCCTATATGAGCTTATAAGCCATGTTATTAAAAAATGCAATGCTCTTACTTATTATTTGTTTCTTTGAGCTAGAGAGTGCTAAGAGTAGTGTGTTAAAATCTCCAGTAATTGCTTATTTTTATATTTCTCCCTGTGGTTTTGTCAATTATTTTTAAGTGTTATATTTTTCACTTCACATATTTTCAAAATCATAACATTTTTAAAATTATGGATTATTTTACCAATATTCTCCACATTTCTTAGGATAATATATAGACAAATACTTTTAGATACTTATTAAGATTGCTACACCAGCTATGTTCTACCTCAGTTTTTATGGTTTTTAACAGCATTGAGGTTTTCTACATAATCATGTCATTCATTTTTTATGTATCTTTTATATAGCATGTATTATTTGATTTTTAAAATTGAATCTAATAATTTGTTCTTGATAAATAATTCTACCTCATTTACATGCATTTTCTAGTTAACATTAAATTGAATTTTATTATCTACTGTTTGTTTATTATTACAATGCCCACTAGAGAATCTTTACAGGCTTAACTAAACATTCAAACTCACAGTATTAAAAAGGTCACATTTGGCATCAGATTTGGTTAAAAGGATGTAGGAAAGAAAGTATCAGGTATTCTTTACCTTAGAAGTGGTCTTTGAGGCTGTTTACATAGCTATTCAGAATCTATTCTCCGATCTCTCAAGTAAGCTCAAGAGAAAAAAGACCAGAATTACACCCATGATGTGAGATTAATTTGGGTTTGGAAAGCCCTTACTATACATGAGCCAATATCTCCTGTGGCAACCAGAAGAATAGTTATTAGAAAGGCACGAGCTGCATCATCAGGAAAACACAAAATTCTGGCTACGTCATGATACTTGTAGTTTTCATAAGTTCAGTTGCAATTTACTAACCAGTGGCCAATTTTACTGTAAGTAATGCTGCCTTCTGATAGAGTTCCTATTCCAATTTTATCACGTTGACTGAGAGTAAAAGGTAGAAACTTAATAAGTTAAATTTCTTCTAAAGAATAGAAAGATTTCTTAAGCTTAACTAAAACCACATTTTCTTTTTCCCCTGCTTTCTCCTTTTCTCCCTCAAGTGCTTATGTCAAAATATTTATATAATATTTTTCTGGTTTGAAAAATTCTATATTATTATTTTGTGCTGATTACTCCTAATATAACCCATATTAAGTTATTTTTGCCTATTTATTTCCTAAGCTTAGCAATATTAACATTTCATCCAGAAACTAGAGAAGCATCCTTTCATTGCTTCTCTCTGCCCATTCTTTAGCACTATATCACTAAAACATTTTAGCTAGGAAAGATGTAGATATTTTATTCTCTTTCTTAATGTCATTGCTTATCTATCAATAAGCTCTGCTTATTGAATTACTTACTTTTTCTTCTCGTAATTCTATTGTTCTCCATGATTTATTTCTTCCTTTGCCATAATACTTACTCCAAGAATGTTTTCCTAGAGGACCTTCATGTAATAAATATTGTGAGGTTGTTTATGCCAGAGACTACTTTCATTTCTTCTGTTCATTTAATTAGCAGTTTACCTGGATGTACACATGATAGTCATATGTTTTCTTGAATAAGTGTTATACAAAGAATTCTAGAATGGTCTCCAATATTCCTGTTCCTTGGAGCACATAACCTGTGTAATTTCCTAACCTTGAGTGTGAGCAGTGCCTGTGAATGTGATAAGACATTACTTCTGTAATTAGGTTATATTACGTGTCAAAAGTAAAGACATGATTAGGTCTCCAGTCAATTCACTTAAGCTAATCAAAAAGAAAATTGTCTTGAGTGGTCCTGAGCTAATGAGGTGGCCATTTTCCAAGATGACTTGAAGGTCAGAAATTGGAAGAAGACAGAAAAATGTTTATGTTGGCCTTGAAGAAATAAGCTGCCATGTTGTAAGAGGGGCCAAATGGTAAAGATGAAGAGTGGCCTCTAGAGCTGCAAGCAATTCCTGGCCAGCAAGGAAATGGAGATCTTAGTTATGCAACTGCAAAGAACTTAATTCTACCAACAGGCTGAATGAGCTTGGAATAGAACTCTGAGCTTCAGGTGAAAAGACAGCCTGAATGACAACTTGATTTTAGCTTTGGGAGATCGTGAGCAGAAGGTCCAACCTACTCCTACACAGACCCCTGATCCATGAAAATTGCAAGATAATAAATTTGTGTTATTTTTTAAAGAAGATAGTCAGTGGTATGGATTGGATTTGGTCTTCCCAAAATATGTATTAAGTCCCACCTGCCAGTAGCTAGTATCTGTGAATATGACCTTATTTGGAAATAGGGCCTTTGCAGATGTAATCAAGTTAAGATAAGGTCACTAGGGTGAACCCTTTACCAATATGACTGGTGTCCTTGTAGGAGGAAAATTTGTACACAGACACTCATGGAAAGGAGGATGTCACGTGAGAAGACACTATGTGATGGTGGAAGCAAAGAACATTGAGGGTTGCTAGTATAGTAAGTCAGCAGAAGCTAGGAAGAGGCAAAGAAGGATTTTCCCCTACAGATTTCAAAGAGATAGCCCTATTAACACCTAGATTTCATATTTCTAGCTTTCAGAACTATGAGAAAATAAACTTATGTTGTTTTAAGCTACCCAGTTTGTGGTACTTTGTTAATCAGTGCTAGAAAACCAATACGGTAAGTTTGTGGCAATTCGACAAACAGCAGTAGAAAACAAGTACAGCAGATTTTGTGGAGTAGTCTGATGTCAAGTTCATTATTTTTTTATTACTTTTCTGAACATTTTAGAGTATCCTCACTTATATGTGGAATCCTTGGTATTTTTAACTTTAAAATATTGTTTCTCATTTGTTAACTTAATCATGTGTGACATTTGCAATTATTTTCAACAAAAGACTTTCTTTAATTCTTGGAAATGTTTGCTCATTATTTCTGTGAAATTGTGTGTATTTATTCTTTCACTGTGTATTTATGAAACATACAGACTTCTATTCATTATATATCACATTTCTGAAATTATATATTTTTATTTTGTTTATTTATTTATTTGAGATGGAATCTCGGTCTGTCACCCAGGCAGGAGTGCAGTGGTGTGTGCGATTTTGGCTCACTGCAACCTCTGTCTCTCAGGTTCTGCCTCAGCCTCCGGAGTAGCTGGGAGTACAGGCACATGCTACCATGCCCCGCTAATTTTTTGTATTTTTAGTAGAGACGGGGTTTCATCGTGTTAACCAGGATGGTCTTGATCTCCTGATCTGGTGATCCACCCACCTCGGCCTCCCAAAGTGCTGGGATTACAGGTGTGAGCCACCATGATACTGTATATCTGTGTGTGACTTGTGTGTGAATTTGTGTGTATGTGCGTAATTTATATCATGACAATAATATTAATAGTAAGATATTTATCTAACACCCAGTTTAAGATTTAGAATGCTAACAGCCTTAAAATAGCCTGTGTGCCCTTCCATAAATATTCATTCTATAGACTATCCAATGTTGATTATTTGAGAGGACACCTTTTGTACAAATACGCCATTTGTCAACAACTAGAGGTCCCCTATTTAATTTCATGGATTAATTTAAGCAATATATTTTCTCATTTAAAGATAGAATCCCTAATTAAATCTTGGCTGCTTCATATTCTAATTACTAGGGCTTCCCTCTAGGGTTGAAATGTTTGACTGGTTGAAATTAAAAAAAAAAGGAGGTACATTTTCTCTTCTCTATTTTTGTTTTTTTCTAATCTATTAAAAATCTTTTTAATGACAGTCTGAAATTATCTAAAGCTCTTACCTCATTGGCTTAAAATATCACCCCAGTACTCCATTTCAATAAAACATTTTCCTCGTTTTGACTGTCAATGGTTGCAAACTATTGACGAGGACCGAATTCAAACAATTAAAACTATAGATGGAATTTGTTTACTATGCATAAGAAGTTTAAAAATTAGGTTTGAATACCTTTATATACACATGAAACACAATCTCTAACAAACCTTGTCTCTTCCAATGCCCACTGTAGTCACTTGAATAATATGCTTTATTCATGAATATAATAAAATATATACTTTTTGGATTAGATAGCAATCTTGGAGGCTCAGTTTAGGATCAGCAAAGGCCTGGGGAAAAGCCAAGGTCTCTTAAGCCTTTATTGTGTATTTTGGTCATTTGATATAAATCATCATTTATATTATTCTCAAACCAATTAAGAATTAGATGGAATAAAAATCAGCAAGTGAACAAAACCTATACTATTCCTTTAAAATTCCATTTTGGTCTATATTTACACTCCCCTTTTTTATCCCTCTATACCTTTCATCCAGTGCAGACCTAGATACAACTAGTATTGTTTCTAATTGTATATAACTTATATATAATTATATATAATACATATAATCTTATGTATAATTTTTTATTTATAAACTATTTGAAAGATTTATCCATGTACTTCTGTGTCCATCGAATCCATTGTTTCTATTTGGGGCGTAGACTCCATGTGGTAGTTATTTCACACTCTCACCCAGTTATAACACTAATATTGTCTCCAGCTCCTTTGCACTAATGCTTAAACATTGTTATGCATGTCCCTTATAGGCCTATGTGAGAAGTTTGGTGCGAGAGAAAGATGGAATATATATACCCAGGAGCATAATAGGGAGGAAACAGAGTACCATTATAATTAATTGCACTGACTAGTGCCAGACTGTTCTCCAGAATGGAAGTGCCATTCTACATTCCCTAAGGGAGAGTATTGTTTTATATATTTTCACATCCCAGAACACTTGGTTAAGTTCTATATAAATGCTCTTATCCTCCTGCACCTGTGTCTCCTGAGTAAAAGGTCTGTGTATCAATAGGAGATAACTGGACAAAAGGTAAAGTTATAATTACTCTAATGCATGCAGATTCTGTGGATATATAGCAAAAGCAACAATCTGACAATGGAGAAGTGAAACCTTAAACCCTGAGATGAATCTAGGAGACAGAAACATCAATGGTTCTTTGCATTTTAGAACTGTCCCTGCAGCCTTCCACATAAAGGGAAATGCTGTGATGTGGCTCTCCTAATCTGCACTTCCAAACTGTTACAAGCATCATAAATTTAACTGACTGCTGGGTCTGCAGTACTTCTTTAGAGAGCTCTGCCGTGAATTGCTTGCAATTTCTTTTAACCTCACTGAGAGGTCTATCAAAAAATGCAAGGGATACCCCCAGTTTCTATGTCTCTCTGGCAAAACATTCCCAGATATCTTCCATATCTCCATTCTCAGTTATTCCACGGGAATGGGAGGAAGGCCATCTAACTGGGGTCATGGGTAGACGGGAAACATTAGATAAATTGTCCTCAAGCAGTCAGCCAAAACCAAAAATTAGACTCAATTATTTAAACTGAACTAGGTACCCTACAGTTTACCAGCCAGCTGCAAGGCTAATAAGAGACAATTTCCAGCAGTGACTCTATTTCATATAAGTCAGAAATCTCATATTAGTTAGATTAATCAGAGTGGCCAATAGAGTGGCTTACACGTGGGAAGACTTGCCAGGGGCCAAAAGAGTGTAGAACAGAAAGGTAGCTGTTATTGAGAGACATTTCTCTAGAAGTGTCTTGCATTTCTATATGGATTGTGAGCAGAGGCACTGACGGTTTTTGTTCAAACTATCTTTTCAATGATGTTTATATAGCAAACTACCTTGAAACATAGAGACTATATTGGTTAATTTTATGTATCAACTTGTCTGGGCTAAGGATATCCAGATAGCTGGTAAAACATTACAGTTGACCCTTGAACAACGAAGGTTAGAATTATATGGGCCCATTTACACACAGGTGTTTTTAAACCAAACCTGCATCAAAAATACAGTATTTGCAGGATGTACAACCTGCTATATGGAGGGACAAATTTTTCTCTATGTAGGTTCTGAGAGGACAAGCTGCAAGACTTGAGTAAGTACAGATTTTGGTGCACACAGGAATCCTAGAACAAATCCCCTTCATATACGGGGGACAACTGTATTTCTGGGTGTGTTACTCTGGTTCAATGGAGTCACCTAAGCTACTACTTTTGAGTGGAGCCCAGAACTAGAGAAGGCTCTGCAACAGGTTTAGGCTTCTCTGCAACAGGTTTAGGCTGCTAATTATTAGGCCATATGCTTTAGCAGATCTATGGTGCTTGAAGTGTCAGTGGCAGATAGGGATGTTGTTTGGGCCTGTGGAAGGTCCCTTCAGGTAAAATGCAATGTAGGCTTTTAGGATTTTGGAGAAAGGCCCTGCCATTATCCACAGATATCTACTGTCCTTTTAAAAGATAGTATTGGCCTGTTACTAGGCCTAAGTAGAAACTGAATGCTTGACCTTAGGCCGCCAAATTACCATGAGACCTGAGCTTCCCATCATTAATTTGTTGGGCATCCACAGCAACATTCCACCATCAAATGGAAGTTGTGCATGGGTGACTGGGCCTAAGCCCGTTGGTCTTTTATATAACTTGTCTTGAAGACACAAGTAAGTTATATAAAAGAGTGGCCTAAATGTCAGTGGAACCCACTTCTGCTACACTGCATTCTGTCTCCCAGCCTACATCTAAGGTCCTATGGGAAGTTACCTATAATCAATTGACAGAGAAAGAGAAGAATTGGGCCTATTTTACAGATGGTTTTATACTATATGCAGGCAGAACTCAAAAGTGGACAGCTCTCTCTGGGATACTTCTAAAGGACAGTAGTGAAAGGTAATTTTTGGTGGGAAAAACTTTAGGTAGTGCACATGATTGTAAACTTTGCTTGGAAAGAGAAATGACCAGATATGTGACTATATACTGATGCATGGTCTATAGCAAATAATTTGGCTAAATTGTCAGAAACTTCAAAGAAACCTGATTAAAAAATTAATGACAGAAACATCGGTGAAAAGATATGTGGATAGACCTGTATAAACGGGCAAAGAATGTGAAAACATTTGTGTCCCATGTGAATGCTCACCAAGAGGTGACCTGAGCAGAAAAGGATTTTAATTATCAAGTGGATAGAACAACCCGTTTTATGGATATTAATCAGCCTATTTTCCCAACCACTCCATCATTGCCCGTGGGGTCATAAATAAAGTGGCCATAGTGGCAACCATGGAGGTTATTCGTAGGTTCAGCAATGTGAAATTTCACTCACTATGGTCAACCTATTGAACTTCAACTCACCACTGCTTAGTGTCCAAAATGCCAGGACCAGAGACCAACATTGATACCTAACACAGCATGACTCCTAGGGGTCATTAGTGAGCTGCCTGGTGTCAGTTTGGTTACACTGGATCTCTACCATCATGGAACAGACCAGTTGTTGTCCTTATAGGAATAGATACTAACCCTGGATACGGATTTTCCTGTTGTACATGCAATACTGCTGCGAAAACTACTATCCATGGGTTTACAGCATGTCTTCTCCAATGTCATGATATTCCACACTGCATTGCTTCTGATCAAGGAACTCACTTCACAGGAAAGGAATTTCAACAACAAGCCCATGTTTATGAAATTAATTGGCCATGCCATGCCCTCCATTATCTTGTAGCAGCTGGCTTAATAGAATGGTGGAATTGCCTTTTGAAAATTCAGTTACAGTGCCAGGTAGATGGAAAACCTTGGGCTGTGGTAAGATTCTGTAGAAGGCTGTATATGCTCTGAATCAGTGTACAATATATGGTGATTTTTCTCCCATAGCCAGGATTCAGAGGTTCAGTGATTAAGGGATGGAAATGGGAGTGCACCACTCACTATTATTCCTAGTGACCCACAAGCAGAAATTTTGCTTCCTGTTTCAGCAACTTTATGCTCTGCTTGCCTAGAGGTCTCTGACCTAGAGGACAGAGGAAGAAGTGTTTCCAGCAGGAGATGCAATGATTATTCCATTGAACTGGAAGTTAAGACCGCCACCAGACCACTTTGGGCTCCTCGTGCCTCTTAATCAACAGGCTAAGAAAGGAGTTAATGTTTTCGCTGGGGCAACTGATCTGGAAGACCAAATGGAAATTGAACTACCACTTCACAATGAAGGCAAGAAAGAATGTGTTTCAACTAGAGATATTTATTGGAGCACCTCTTAGTATTACCATGCTCTGTGATTAAGGTCAATGGAAAACAGAAAGAACACCATCCAGGCAGGACTACTAATGGCCAGACTTTCAGGAATGAAGGTTTGACCAGGTAAAGAATCACAACCAGCTTTGGTTTATGCTGAAGGCAAAAAGAATACAGAATAGAATACAGAATAGGTGACAGTAGAAGGCAGTTACAAATACCAACCACAGAAACAAAGACGTTGTCACAAATATTTATTCCTTATATTTTATGAATACATTTGTGTGTATATATACATATATTAAGCAAATATCCTTGTTTTATCTACTGTCTTATTCCCATATTATAAAATATAAACTGTATTGACTTTATATCAGTACTATTTAAGTATTGTTAATTTTACATCATCATATTTAGGTAATATGATATTAAGAGAAGAGTAAGCAGCACTGAAGAAATTTACTTCCTGTGATGGGAAAGAAAATAGTGTGCTTTTGGTTGTATATAATATAGTCATATCATGATATGTGGAATTATGATTTTGTTATTGTCTTTTAGAGATTAAGTATGGTTTAAGGAGATCCATATGGGTGCCCAGTTGACAAAGGGTGGACTTGTGATGATTAATTTTGATGTGTCAACTTGACCGGGCTAAGGAATGCACAAATAGCTAGTAAAACATTATTTCTGTGTATGTCTATGGGGGCATTTCTGGAAGAAATTATTGTTTGAATCTGTAGACCGAGTAAAGAAGATTGCCCTCACCAGTATGGGTAACCATCATCCAATCTGTTGAGGGCACAATCAAACAAAAAGGTTAAGGAAGAGCAAATTTGCTTTATTTCAGCTGGAACAATCATCTTCTCATGCTCTCAGACATGGATGATCCTGGCTCTCAGGCCTTCAGACACAGACTGAATTATATCACTGCTTTTCCTGGTTTTCCAGCTTGCAGATAGCAGATTATAGGGTGTTGCAGCCCCGATAATTCCATGAGCCAAATCCCATAATAAATCTCCTCATAACCATACATACACATAAATATATAAAATATGTATGTATGTATATATATATATATACACATATATATATTTGTGTTTGTACATTTGAGGTAGGTGTGTGTGTGTGTGTGTCTGTATACATGTATATAATTGGTTCTGTTTCTCTGGAAAACCCTGACAAATATAGAGAGTATCACCTTCTTTAGTAAATGGTAGACTTGTTTCCTCACCAGTATACTGAAGAGAACATCTTTCTCCAAGGTAAAGTTAAGTAGGTTTGCTTGCAAGCCCTTATAGTAAATTTGGGTTTCCTAAGTTCAAGATTACTCAGTTGTAATGAAAACCTGCTGTGTACTCAGCATCTGCTTGTGTCCTCTTCTGCTTCATTTGGGGGATTGGGGGCCTGGGTAAACCAATACAAGCATAAAACTCACTGTCTTCTCTGCTGTGGTAATAAATCCTTTGTTACTGTAGAGACTTAAGCCATGTTTTAGCATCCATAAAGCTAAATTGTTAAGTTGCAAGTAGGGTAAACATTGCTATAGATTTAACAGATGCTCATGAAGAAATAATGCTTCCGTATCTATCCTTCTCACCTCTAGTATAGGATCTAGTTCATTTTTAAGTATAACCTGCATTGACAATCTCACAGAAGTACCTTGTATCTAATAATATCCAATCTAATATCAAATGATGCAACTCTCTGCATCAATATGGCTTTACCCTATTGGAAAGGTACATTCATGTACTACATTACAAAAATTAAAAAAAAGCTCTGATGTTTACGTTTTGCAAAACAGAGTATTATATTTTTACAATTATTTAATTGTATTTATTTCAATCTGCACTATGAATTTTACCAGTTTAATTAAATATTTTAGAAATAAGGTAGATGAAAGTTGATCATATTAATTAGGGCATTCTTGTCATACCCAACTAAAACAGAGTTGAGAGGCCAGTGGGGAAAAAAAACTCAGGATATATAACAGTACTCCAAGAATGTAATTCTCTGCCACCTTGCTGTTGAAACTGCCTGTTGTAACCTGAAACCAGTTTCATCTAATAGCCGCTGAAACAACTGACTGCCACTCAAAGACTGGTTCTACCCACTGCCATCGCTTATCATTCAGAGCCTGCCAGCCCCCCAAAACTTTAATAGTGCCAACGGACTTTCTTTTAAAACAGTATATGTAACTTTTCCCCTTTCTATAAATCCTCGAATCTTCTCTTTGTTTTATGGACATATCAAAGGCTACCTGGTTTGTATGTGTGCCCCAAATTGCAATTCTTGCTTCCCAAATAAAATGTTTTAAATTTAAAGATTAGTCTTTATATTTTATTTGTCGTCAACAGATACAAAAGCTATTGCAGGGATCTTGTAAGAACAGTAGAAAAAATACAACTTGGACTCAACGTTACAAAGTTTTATATTCTATATCAATTTATAGAATTGCTAAATATCCAACACACTCAGAATTATTACAAATATTACATTTTTTAGTCAATAAACAGTGATATCTGAGACAGAAGAGTGTTTTTTTCTGTGCTCATTTGCATATATTTTCTCGATTAATATTAAATTAACACAATATAGCTAATTTAGAGCTGTGCAAATGAACGGTATGTTTAAAGAATGATGATAGCCCACTTTTTAAAAAATCTTGTTATTTCTTACGTTCTTCTTTATGTCATTTTAGAAATTATTTAAAATTATGTTGAATAAGATGGCTGTCACACCACTTTGCTTGGTTGATATCTTGATAGATTGAACAGATTGAAACTAGTTGTCTTAAATACAGACAATGTTTTAGTTTTGAATTACAAATCATTCTATAAATATAGTCACATCATTCATTAGAGATGTCAGCACCCACACTTCAGAATACACAGTTGGAGTAACTTTGACCTTTCTCAAAGTGTAGTGATAGAAAGAAAACCAGTATTACCTTTTCTTATTACTCCAAGTTGATTATTAGCAAGCAATTATGTCTAAGCATAAAAACACTACATATATTCATTCTGGTGGCAGGCGCCTGTAGTCCCAGCTACTTGGGAGGCTGAAGCAGGAGAATCGCTTGAACCTGGGAGGCAGAGGTTGCAGTGAGCTGAGATCATGCCACTGCACTCCAGCCTGGGCGACAGAGCGAGACTCTATCTCGAAAACAAAAATAAAAACACTACATATATTCATTCTATAAATTTTTCATATTTATTTCTCAATTCAATTTTATTTTGTTAGACAAAGCTTAGATCAACCAAAACACAGGAAAAAAGTCTTATATACTATAAATGTGGAAAATGATTTAAGGCCAGTGATCTCTTTCTATCTGCCAATGAATGCAATAATTATTGCTCTCCTGTAAGGCAATGCCTGATGAACTTCTGGGCTAATTAGATCAATTAAAACATGTTTGAGATACACAGTCATGTTTACTAGATTTCATTAATTAGCAAATAGTAAACAGCTATTTTAAGCTTTTTAAGACAAAAACGATTTAATGGAGAAAAAATGAAAGATTAGCTCTGAAAGACAGTACAGCACATATATCTGTATTACTTTAGACTCTCTTCCATATCAAATAAATTATATAGAGCATGACAGTTTTTATATTTTCAATTTAGAATCTCTCTATATAGCTTCTGCTACTATGAGAAATGACTGTAAACAATGTAATAATCTTGAACTTAGAGGTTTAAAATGATTCATTATAAACATAATATGGCGTGCGAAAAATCAGAAAATTGTCTGTGATTTATTTTGCTCAGCTGTGTTCATACCACGTTTTAAAAAGATGGAAAATAGGAATAAAAATATAGTTTAAAATGATCTCACTCTAAATTTTAGGAAGAGTTATTCATTGTGAATTAAGAGAAAGACAACTGAGTCTCATAAACATCAAATTGTTTTAAGAAGGATGGATGGTTACAAACTTATCTATATTTCTAGTGTATTAAAAAAAGTGAAAGCAATGATAAAGGAAGTTTCCTGAATCTAATAATGCCTGCACTGGTAACTATGGGTTCCATCATAATTTTCTTTTTTTTTTCTGTTTGTGCTTGTGTAGAAACTGATGATAATCTTGTAAGAAACAATTTCAAACGTTGAATAGGACTATGAATTAATAGAAGTGTCACATTTAGATATGTATGACATCTTTTCAATTCTGTACAATATTTGTAAGGCCTATAGTAAACACATAACCTTAATTATCATT
Source organism: Homo sapiens (assembly GCF_000001405.40). Taxonomy (NCBI): domain Eukaryota; kingdom Metazoa; phylum Chordata; class Mammalia; order Primates; family Hominidae; genus Homo; species Homo sapiens. The sequence goes on from NC_000002.12 coordinate 185,703,238, forward strand.
ACAACTTCATCAATACCACTTTATTGATAGTGCTACAGGAACACAGCAAACCAGAGAGCCATTCAAAGGGACATCTACCCTTTAAATCCTATCCCTTAATAAAAAGATGAAGCTAACAAGGCAAAATATTATTTGTTAATTCTGGGTGGCAGATATTTGATGTTTTAATGCTTAAATATGTTAATAACTAAATTTTTTTTGTAAAATATTTAACACGTATTTTATTTTAAAAATCAAACAATATACCAATAAATACAACCTTTGCTTTCATGGAGAAAGCATTGTTCGAGAGTTCTATTTATACATGTAAACATGTATGAAAATTGATAGTAGATGACAGATGAAAAGATAGAATAAAACATTAATGTCAAGTCATATTGTGGGTGGCATTATATTAAATGCATTATATTGAACTTATTAGAATTTAAGAGAATAAAAACTGAAAAGAAAACAAGCTAATGAATTTTAAGTAATTATTTCTTTACAGAAGATATTTATTAAATAGTACTTCAGTGTTACTTTTATGTTTGAAGAATAATTAAGTTTGTAGAGTTTAAGCTTCCTTTTAATTACAGTTTTTATTTCAGAAAGTAAAGCAGATTTCTTCCTTTTTATAAGAAGTAACTATCTCATCTAGATACCTCTTACCTCACACTATATATTTTCTTTGTTGCAATAGTATATTTACTTTTTAAAGTTTTCTTAACAAAGTAACAACCATAATTACTAAATATATTTAGTTAAAATCCACTAGTTAATTGTATTTACATTTCACTAATGTTACCTTTATCAGTTATTTCAATTCCTTAGTTTTATGCTGAAACTTTTCTAACTTGGATAAATTTTTTGAACAAGTTTTTTTTGTCTTCAAGAAGGAATCATAACACTTCCCTGAGTTCCTGTATATTTAAGAATGTCTGCCTTTTGCCATTATCAGAAACGATATTATGACTAGATATAATTATCTTGGTTCACATTTATTTTGCCCCATTCCTTTGTAGACACTGCCTCACTATCTTCTGGTAATTATGGAAATATAGATAATTATTTCTCCCCCAAGTTGTGTATCGGCTATAGTTGCTCTACACCAATTTTTCTTGGAATGTGTTCTCCTTTGTTGTACAGCATAATTTATACCCTAATTTCATGGGAATTCTGTTACATCTTGATATATTCTTCTCCTGTTCAATTTTATTTTTTTGTCAATTTATTTGCTTATCTCTGTAGTATCACTTGGCCTTTGAGTTCTTAATTTATATTCAATTCAAAATCCACAGCAAAGTAATACAGCAAGTCAAGGAAAATATTAATCTATTCTTTTTTTCTCCAAAGTTTATTTTAGATAGTAGGATACATGTGCAGATTTGTTACATGGGTATATTGCACCCAGGTAATGAGCAGAGTCTCCAATAGGTAGTTTTTCATTGAGACTTCCTTCCTTTCCTCTCCACTCCAGTATGCCACAGTGTCTATTGTTCCCATGTTTATATCCATTTGTACTCAATGTTTAGCTTCCACTTATAAGTGAAAATATGTGCTATTTGGCATTGTGTTCCTGCATTAATCTGGTTAAAATAATGGCCTCTAGCTCCATCCATGTTGCTGTGAAAGGCATGATTTCATTCTTTTTATGGCTGCGTAGTATTCCAAGGAATGTATGTAGCAAATATTTTTTATTCAATTCGCCACTGATGGTCACCTAGGTTGAATACATGTCTTTGCTATTGTGAATACCATGGTGATGAGTACGTGTCTTTTTAATATAATGACCTGTTTTCCTATATAGACAGTATATAGACAGTAGTGAGATTGCTGGTCGAATGGTGGTTGTTTTAGTTCTTTGAGAAATCTCCAAACTTCTTTCCACGGTGGTTGAATGAATTTACATTAGTGCTCCCTTTTTGTCTGCAGTCTCACCAGCATCTGTTCTTTATTGACTTTCTAATAATTACCATTCTGACTGGTGTGAGACAGTATCCCATTGCAGGTTTTATTTGTATTTCTCTGATGATTAGTGATGATGACCATTTTTCATATGCTCGTTAGTTGCTTGTATATCTGCTTTTGACAAGTGTCTATTCATGTCCTTTGCCCATTTTATAATGGGGTTATTTGGTTTTTGCTTGTTGATCTGGATATTAGACCATTTTCAGATGCATAGTTTGTGAATATTTTCTTTCATTCTGTAAAATGTCTCTTTACTCTGTTGATACTTTCTTTTGCTGTGCACAAGGTTTTTAGTTTAATTAGGTTCCACTTATCCATTTTTTGGTTTTGTTGCAATTACTTTTGGGAACTTGGCCAGAAATTCTTTGCAATGGTCATTGCCAAGAAGGGTATTTCCTAGGGTTTCTTCTAGAGTTTTTATAGTTTTAGGTGTTACATTTAAGTCTTGAATCCACCTTGAGTTAATTTTTGTATATGGTTAACCAGTTATTGCAGCACCATTTATTGAATAGGAATTCTTTTCCCCATTGCTTGTTTTTGTTGGCCTTGTCAAAAATCAGATTGAAGGTGTGTGACTTTATTTCTTGGCTCTCTATTAAGTTCCATTGGTCTATATGTCTGTTTCTGAACCAACACTATGCTGTTTTGGTTACTGTAGCCTTTTAGTGTACTTTAAAGTTGGATAGTGTGATGCCTATGGTTTTGTTCTTTTTGCTTAAGATTGCCTTGGCTACTTGGGCTCCTTCTTCTTTCCATATGAATTTTTGCATAGTTTTTTTTTCCAGTTCTGTGAACATTATCACTGGTAATTTGACAGAAATAGCATTGTCTCTGTAAATTGCTTTAGGCAGTATGACCATTTTATTGATATTGACTTTTCCAATCTGTGAGCATGGAGTATTTTTCTATATATTTGTGTCATCTCTGATTTCTTTCAGCAGTGTTTTGTAGTTTTCCTTGAAGAGATATTTCACCTCCTTGGTTAGCTGTATTCCTAAGTATTTCATTTTATTTGTGGCTATTGTAAATGAGATTGTGTTCTTGATTTGACTCTCAGCCTAAGTGCAATTGATGTATGGTAATGCTACTGGTTTTTATACATTGATTTTGTATCCTAAAACCTTGCTAAAATCATTTATCAGCTCTAGTAGCCTTTTAGCAAAGTCCCTAGGGTTTTCTAAGTCCAGAATCTTAGTACCAGGGATGAGAGATATTTTGACTTCTTCTTTTTCTATTTGGATGCCTTTTATAGCAACAAAAATTAAAATGGACAATGAAGGGCATTGCATAATGACAAAAATTCCCAACAAACAAGAAGACTTAAGTATCCAAAATATATATGCACCTAGCATTGGAGCATCCAGATTCATAAAACCAGTTCCTCTTGACCTACAAAAAGACTTACACAACTAGACAATAATTGTGGGAGTCTTCAACACCTCACCAACAGCATTAAAGAGATCATCAAGTCAGAAAACTACAAAGAACTCGGGACTTAAACGTAACACTTGACCAGTAAGATCTAATAGACATCTACAAAACACCCCACCCAAAACGCACAACAATATACATTATTCTCATCTGCACATAAAACATGTGCTAAGATTGACCACTTGCTTGGTATAAAGCAAGTCTCAATTAATTAATAAATATTGAAATTATATCAAGTCCACTCGGACCACAGTGTAATAAAAATAGAAACCAACATCAAAAAAATCTCTCAAAACTACACAAATCCATGAATATTAAACAACTTAGTGCTGAATAACTTCTCGAAGAATATCAAAACTAAGGCAGAAATAAAAAAATTCTCTGAATTAATGAAACTAGGGATACCACTGACCAAAATGTTTAGAATGCAGTTAAAGCAGTGTTAAAAGGAGAGTTTATATCCCTTAATGCCTTCTGCAAAAAGTTAGAAATATCTCAAATTAATAATCTAACTTTGCATCTAAAGGAAATAGAAAAAAATTAACAAACCACACCAAAGCTATCAGAATTAAAGAAATAAATTAGAGTGGAACTTGATGAAATTAAGATGCAAAAATTCATACAAAAGATCAATGAAACCAAGAGCTCGTTCTTCAAAAAATAAAAGCAAGATTGGTAGACCACTAGCTAAATCAGCACAGACAAAAGATCCAAGTAAATACAATCAGAAATGACAAAGATGACATTACAACTGATCCATCAGAAATACAAAACATCCTCAGAGAATACTGTGAAAAACTGTATGCTCACCAATTAGAAAATCTAGCGGAAATGGGTGAATTCCTGGAAACGCACAATCTCCCAAGATTGAATAAGAAAGAGGATGAAACACTGAACAGATCAATATTCACCGCTGAAATTGAAACAGTAATAAAAACCCTGCCAACCAACAAAACCCCTGGACCAGAAGGATTCACAGCTAAATTCTATCAGATGTATAAAAAGAACTGATACCAATCCTACTGAAATATTTCACAAAAAATCGAGGAGTTGGGGCCCCTCCCTAATTCATTCTATGAAGCCAGCGTCAGCCTAATACCAAAAATGTGGCAGAGACCTGGTGAAAAAATAAAACTTCAGATCATTATCCTTCGTGAACATAGATGCAAAAATCCTCAACAAAATACTAGCAAACAGAGTCCAGAAGCACATCAAATTAATTCACATGATCAAGTAGGCATTATTCCTGGGATGCAAGATTGGTTCAACATATGCAAATCATAAATGTAATTCACTATATAAACAGAATTAAAAACAAAAGGCATATGATCATCTCAATAGACACAGAGAAAGCTTTTGATAAACTCCATTATCCCTTCATGATAAAACCCCTCAACAAACTAGGCATCAAGGAACATACCTCAAAATGAAAAGAGCTGTCTATAACAAACTGCAGCCAGTATTATGCTGAATGGGCAAGAGTTGTCAAAATTTTCCGTGAAAACTGAAATAAGACAAGGATGCCCACTCTCATCACTCATTCAACCTAGTACTGGAAGTCCTAGCTGAAGCAATCAGGCAAGAGAAAGAAATAACAGGCATCTATTTTCTCAGGATAACTTTTCTTCCACATAGAAGAAAAATGGAGTGAGGTTTTTATCTTTGTGAATAAGTGATTCTGGGGGAATAGAAAAGATCTTTAGAGAGATATTGTTGATTCATTCTGATGAGCTAATAGCTGCAGGCATCAAGATGCAATCCACCAGATGAAAGATCCATCTGAGTCTAAGATATTAACAACTAACAATATTCCCAGCTGATTTTTAGGCACACTAAAGTAGCACTGACTTGAGGATATGATCCAATAAAAACAAAAAAATTCTACCTCAGGTAGGTTATCTTAAACTGACTTCAGGAAGAGAGTGATTATTACACTTGATTCACAATCAGCTCTTAATTATTTCATCTTTAATCCTGAAATAAGAATACATTGAGTATCCTCACTTGTAAAAAGGCAAAAACATATTTTCTTCCACATAAATATTTAATAGAGAAATTGTTTCATAAACTTATTTTATTTCAAAAGTGTTTTTTATTTTACTTTATTTTATTATTTTATTTTGAGAGGGAGTCTCACTCTGTCGCCCAGGCTGGAGTGCAAGTGGTGCGATCTCGGCTCACAGCAAGCTCCACCTCCCCGGTTCACGTGATTCTTCTGCCTCAGCCTCCTGAGTAGCTGGGACTACAGGCGCCCGCCACCACGCCCGGCTAATTTTTTGTATTTTTAGTAGAGACGGGGTTTCACCGTGTTAGCCAGGATGGTCTCGATCTCCTGACCTCTTGATCTGCCAGCCTCGGCCTCCCAAAGTGCTGGGATTACAGGCGTGAGCCACTGCGCTGGGACATTTTATTTTTTAAATAACACAAGTAAGTTGGTTTCATATTTTAAAACATGGTAGTTTCTAAAAATTTAGTATTGAAATAAAATATACTTCATAATCAAATGCAGATATTTTATATCTGTAGACGATGGAAACATTGGTTTTAATGTACTTGCAGATACATTCTTTTCTCCTAGGAACTCTTTAATGGGCCTAAAAATATTGTTGTCCATGAAAGAGGTTTGATTATCAATTGCTTAAATAAGTCAACTTAAGTGATTAGTTACATTCTGAATCTAAGAGATTTTGATAGTTAAATAATTTGTAATAAATACTTATTAATTGCCTTCTACACATAAGTTACTGAATAACACAGACACTCTCTGTGGCTCATTAAATTTATCAGCCAACATGGGATTCTTGGACTTGGTTAAAATGAGGGGTTGGGGAACGAAAATTCACTCTTGTATTCTTTAGTATTAAGGTAGAAAATTATTATTGAAAATTGAATTATTTTGGAGTACATGAACCTATTTATCTTCTGAAGACACTTTGAATTTTGGTCATAGATGCTTAGAGCACATCTGGCATAAAAGATAAGTGAAATGATAAATCATTAGACAAACTGCAAAGGGTCACAATGGAGCATGTGCCCATGGATGAATTTGAGGACTGTACCCTGGGGAGTGTGGAGACATGTTTGGCCTGCTGCTTTAATTTGTCTGTACATGATTTGATAAGAAAACAAAAGGATATGGGAAGCTTGCTTGTCTAAGTGTGCCAAGGCTGCAATCAAGCCCTTCACCCATTCTTTCAAGCTGCCACCTTTGTGACAGCTGCAGATGCAGAAGAGCTGGCTGCTGTGCCAAGGTAAAAAGGGCACAGCAGCCAGAAAAAAAATATGAACTACAAGAATGTAAACCACAGATGCTGGGTTGGAAGAATACACAGAGATGCAAAAAAGAGAAACAAAAAACAAACAAAAGCACAAAATATTCCTAGAAAGCAAAAATTAAAACTCACCCTCTTACATATCTAGATAAGCAATGCTTATGACTTAAAATATACTACTGGTGGTTAATACAAATATTACTGTGAATTGTATGCTAATGATATAGAAACCCAAATATGATGGAAATTGAATTTAGAGGAGAAAAGTCTGTCACTTGTGAGGCAAAATAGTTTCCCAAGGCACATAATAAATTTGAAGCAGGGCTGAAATTATAACCTGCATTTTGTAATTCTTAGTTAATTATATTTTCACTGAAACATGCTGCCTTTCTCCCATCATCATAACATTTGTCTATATCAACAATATGACTCATATTAGTATCATTAAGAAAATGCTGCTGTTAGGTGTGTTGTTTAATAAATTTAAATTTTTACTTGATATTTCTTTTTTTTTAACATCAAAGCATACAAATTTTAATATAAAGAAGATAAGTAACCAATTAGGACATCTGAATTATTCATGAATCACCCCCCAACTCAGCTATAAAGTTTTCTTTTTTTTTTAAATTATACTTTAAGTTCTAGGGTACATGTGCACAACGTGCAGGTTTGTTACATAATATATGAAATAAACATGTAAAACTTTGTTAAATTTCTTATTTTATTGAACAAATAATAATAATATTAAAATATTTAAGTAATAATGTATATTATTATTTTTCCTGGAACAATATTCTTTCTATTTCTCAACCCTTTAGTTGTTTTTGGTCTTGTTTTTTAGTTTCTTAACAATCTGGTTATGATATATTCTTAATCCTTTTAAAGAATATTAATTGCATTTTATTCTTTGCATTATTTCCATATGCTTTAGGATCTGTGCTTTAGTTTTTATAGCCTGTTCTTTCTCTGGCTGCTACTGGTCCTCCTCAAACATCTGTTAGTCCTTGACTAGTATTCCATATTTATAAATGAAGGACTATGTTGGTTAGTATTGGCATTGGCATTGTATTCTTTTGCAATGTTGGGAGATTGTAAAACACTTAGTTTTCTCTGCATTATTGTGAGAGCTTTAGATGGATTATGTGCAGAATTAATCTAGATTTATCCTGAGTGTTTAGAGCGGCAGATAAATTATGTGCAGAATGAAAAAGTGGGCAGGTTCTAAGGAGACGAGGCAGGCTTCTATTTAAGGTATGTGATTAGGGAGATGTTTAAGACTCAAAATCTCTGTAATAATAACGATGCTACCCTGGGATTGGCAGATTAAGTGCAAGTGGCATACTTTCATGTTGAATGGCACTGAATTCTTTTTAAAAATGTCTTGTTAAATTTGGAAATTGAAATTATCTTAACCTCTGCTCTCCAATTTCCACAATAGGACACATCTGTAGAATGGTTATTCAGAAAGTATTTCTTGGGTTTATCTTAGGGAGAAATGCTACAGCCAGTTGCTGTTTGTACACAGAACATATAAATTGTCAGACAGTTCTTTAATTCATTACCATGATCTCTTCTCTAACAGCCTGTCACTGAACTCTATCTTTATTGCTATTTCTTCTGTGCAAAATGAGAGTTACACATTCTTCTTCTTAGGTATCTAAGTCAATACATCATCTGCTCTTTCTTCTCCAGAAATTTGTCAATGTTTCTATTCTGCTGATAGCACTACTTCTTATTATGGACTTATTATTTTGTTATTAATATTTTAATATATTTTGCATATATTAACTTTCTCTTCAGTTCTATTTTGTGAAGGAGAAAGGTAAATTTATGTGCTCTGCCATCTTGAAACAGATGTTTATTTGCTTTTTACAGTTATTTTTGATTGTTTGTTTTGACCACACAATTGTAAAAATTATGTAAATCTGCAACCATCTTTTGTTTTAGTTTCTGTGTTTATATTATTAAGAATATTTTAACCTCTCTAAAGCCATACAGTGTTTTTTTGTTATTAATTTTAGTTATTCCAAGGTTTTATCAAATTTTTGTCTTCCTACATGACAATGAGAAACACAATGGGCAAAAGACATACACAATAATTATGGGCATCAAGTTGTGATTTCATTGGCTCCACTTGGAGGAAGAATTAGGGTGGAGTTCTGGAGGATATTGTGTAAATTAACAAAAGATGAACCAAGATAGTGTGGACTTGGGTTTTAAATAGATTATACTATAAGGGGAATGCAATTAAATTATTTATGGGACATTAGAACCCTATTGTTCTCCTAATTGGTATTCATTATAATCAGTGTAAACAAATTGAATATATTAAAATCTATATGTTTAACATGCTGTATTCGGGAGAACTATTTCCTGGAAGAAACATGAATGGTGCTTATTTCCTGACTTCATCTGTGATCCAGCTTGGGCTATTATCATCTTGCTACCATCTTCCATTTTCTGATTTTTACCAAAATAGATCAAATAAATTCAAAAGGAGAATTACTAAATAGGATATATAGGATTTTTGCCTTACATTCTGACTCTGGACTTTGGGAGTCTGTTTAATATTTTTGTGGAAATATATTAAATATGTTCATTTAAACATATTTGCAACATGAATTTTTATTTGTCCAATACTGTGACTCCTTGAAATTGTCCTTCCATAAGTCTAGTTTTGAAAAATAAATTTTTAGTTTAACATTGTCTATGCATGACACATAAAAATTGCATGTTGTAGTTATTTTTTTAAAGCCTCCCTGAGAATTCTTATCCTTTCTCACCAGGGAATCTTCACTCAATTACATATGTAATGAGTGCTATATTTAGAATTGACATCTTGATTCATTGTTACTGTTTTTGGACTTTCATTCTTTTTGTCTTTATATATATATTTTTTATTACACTTTAAGTTCTAGGGTACATGTGCACAACCTGCAGGTTTGTTACATATGTATACATGTGCCATGTTGGTTTAAGAAAATATGGCAAATATACACCATGGAATACTATGCAGCCATAAAAAATGATGAGTTCATGTCCTTTGTAGGGACATGGATGAAGCTGGAAACCATCATTCTCAGCAAACTATTGCAAGGACAAAAAACCAAACACCGCATGTTCTCACTCATAGGTGGGAATTGAACAATGAGAGCACTTGGACACAGGAAGGGGAACATCACACACTGGGGCCTGTTGTGGGGTGGGGGGAGGGGGGAGGGATAGCATTAGGAGATATACCTAATGTAAATGACGAGTTAATGGGTGCATTCTTTTTGTCTTTATATGTTTCTATTTATAAACTATGTATCATTTTTGCAAAACACAGATTGTCTTTAAAACTTTACTAAATTCAAAAAAGCCTTTAGATTACTTAAGCCTATTTTAAAACTAAATTATACTAATAATTGATATCATAAATAAAACAAAATGTATAGACCAGTCATGCAAATAATCCCCTACTGCTTTCTGGAGTTTTATTATTTAATCTGAAATACTTATTACTAATGAATAGCAGTAAAATACTTCAGCTTACACTGTAAATTTTCTTTATCAAAAACAATAGCTTCTTTTGCTTGCCATTGATAATCTACAGTTGCAGAGACATTTAAATCTTCATTTTCCTTCAACTATTGTCAAAGTACATCATTTATATATTCTTCACTCTTCCCTCATTAACTTCTAACGAATGCTTTATCACAAATACTCTTCCTCTGCAGTCAACTCTTTCATGATCTCACCTACTAATCAGCTGTGTGAGCCAGAAATATGGAAACTATTTTTGAGTCCTTAGTTTTCCTAATTTTCAATATTTAATTAATTAATAGCCAACAGTTTCTATTATCCCCATGTTATCTCCATGTGTACTTGAGGTTTAGATCCCACATATAAGTGAGGAATTGTGATATGTGGTTTTCTTTTCCTGTGTTAATTTGCTTAGCATAATGGTCTCCAGTTACATCCATGTTGCTGCAAAGGACATGATTTCATTTTTTATGGCTGTGTAGTATTCCATGGTGTATGCGTACCACATTTTCTTTATCCAATCCATGAGTGATAGACACCTCGGTTGATTCTGTGTCTTTGCTATTGTAAATAGTGCTCTAATGAACATTCAAGTGCATGTGTCTTTTTGTCATAATGACCTCTTTTTCTTAAGGTATATTCCCAGTGATGGGATTGCTGAGTTGAATGATAGCTCTGTTTTAAGTTCTTTGAGAAATCTCCAAATTTCTTTCTACAGTTGCTGGACTAATTTACACTCCCACCAACAATGTACAAGCATTCCCTTTTCTCTGTACCCTTGAGGGATCTGTTGTTTTGACTTGTTAATAGTAGCCATTTTGACTGGTTTGATGTAGTATCTCATTGTGGTTTTGATTTGCATTTCTCTGATGATTAGTGATGTTGAGCATTTTTTCATATGCTTGTTGGCTACTTGTATGTCTTCTTCATCTTCTTCTTCTTTTTTTTTTTTATTTGGAGACAGAGTCTTGCTCTGTCATCTAGGCTGGAGTGCAGTGGCACGATCTTGGCTCCTCTGCCTCCTGGGTTCAAGCGACCCTCGTGACTAGCTTCCTGAGTAGCTGGGATTACAGGCATGTGTCACCCCACCTGGCTACTTTTTGCATTTTTAGTAGAGACAGGGTTTCATCATATTGGCCAGGCTGGTCTCGAACTCCTGGCCTCAAGTGATCTGTCCACCTTGACTTCCCAAAGCGCTGGGATTACAGACATGAGCCACCACACCTGGCCTTGTATGTCTTCTTTTGAGAAGGGTCTGTTTATGTCTTTTGCCCATTTTTAATGGGGTTATTTGTTGTTCTCTTTTTGATTTGTTTAAATTTCTTACAGATGTTAGATTTCTCTTAGATGCAGTTTGCAAATATTTTCTCCCATTTTGTAAGTTGTTTGTTTATTGATTGTTTCTTTTGCTGTGCAGAAGCTCTGTAATTTAATTAGGTCTTACTTGTCAATTTTTGGTTTTGTTACAGTTGCCTTTGGTGTCTTTGTCTTGAAATCTTTGCCAGGGTTGATGTCGAGAGAGATATTTCTTGGGTTTTCTTCTAGAGTTTTTATAGCTTTAGTGTTTACATTTAAGTCTGGAATCCTTCTTGAGTTAGTTTTCGTGTATAGTGAAAGATAGCAGTCTAGTTTCATTCTCTGCATATGGTTAGCCAGTTATCACTGCACCATTTATTGAATAGAGATGCCTTTACCCATTGCTTATTTTTGTTGATCTTGTTGAAAGTCAGATGGTTGTAAATGTGTAGCTTTATTTCTGAGTTTTCTATTCCTTTCCATTGGTCTATGTGTCTGTTTTTGTACCAGTCCCAAGTTGTTTTGGTTATGGTCGCTTTATAGTATAGTTTGAAGTTGGTTAGTGTGATGCCTCTGGCTTTATTCTTTTTGCTTACAATTGCTGTGGCTATTTGGCGTGTTTTTTGGTTCCATCTAAATTTTATTGGTCTATTCAGGTTTTCAATCTCTTCCTGATTCAATCTCAGTAGATTGTGCATTTCCAGGAATTTATTCATTTCCTCTAGATTTTCTAATTTGTGTACATAGAATTGTTCATAGTATTCTCTGAGGATATTTTCTATTTTTGTGGGATCAGTTGTAAAGTCATCTTTAGCATTTCTGACTATACTTATTTGGACCTTCTTGTTTTTCCTCTGTTAACCTAGCTGGTGGTCTATCAATCTTTTTATATAGTTTCTGAAGAACGAACTCAGTTTCATTGATTTTAAAATTACAGGCATGAGCCACCGTGCCCAGCCCGATTTTTTGTACGGTTTTTGGATTTGAACTTCATTAAGTTCCTCTCTACTTTTAGTTATTTCTTTTATTTTGCTAGCATTGGGGATGGTTTGTTTTTTATTTCTAACTCCTTTAGGTGCAAAGTTAGATTGCTAATTTGAAATCTAACTTCTTGATAAAGGTATTTAGTTCTGTAAACTCTCCTCTTAGCACTGCTTTAACTGCATCCCAGAGGTTTTGGTAAGTTGTGAACCAAGTTTCATTAATTACAAAGAATTTTTAAATTTCTGCCTTATTTTTGATGTTCGCTTAGGAGTTATTCAGCAGCAAGTTGTTTAATTTTCATTAATTTATGTAGTTTTGAGAGATCTTCTTCATATTGGTTTCTATTTTTATTGCACTATTGTCCAAGAGTGTGTTTGGTATAATTTCAATTTGTATTAATTGATCGAGCTTGCTTTATGACCAAGCATGTGGTCAATCTTAGAATGTGCTCCATGCGGAAATAAGAAAGATGTACATTCTGTGGTTGTTGCATGGAGTGTTCTGTTGACGTCTATTAGGTCTATTTGGTCAAGTGTCAAGTTTAATTCCAGAATTTTCTTAGTTTTCTGACTCAATAATCTGGCTAACACCGTCAGTGAGTTGTTGAAGTTTCCCAGAGTTATTGTGGTTCTCTAAGTCCTTTTTTAGACTTAGAAGTTATTTTATGAATATGGTGCACCACTATTGGATGTGTATATATTTAGTAGAGTTAAGACTTCTTGTTGGATTGTACCTTTTATCATTATCTAATGTCTGTCTTTGTCCTTCTTTTCAGTGATTTAAAATCTGTTTTATATGATATAAGAACAGTGACTTCTGCTCTTCTTTGGGTACCATTTGCATGGTAGGTCTCTACTGTATGCCTTTACTTTGAGCCTTGGTTGTTGTTATATGCAAGATGGATCTCTTGAAGACAGCAGATAGTTGAGTCTTATCTTTGTATTCAGAATGGTACTCTATGTCTTTTAAGTGATGTGTTTAGCTTATTTACATTCTGAATTAATTTTGATATGTGAGATTTTGATCCTGACATTGTGTTGTTAGGTGGTTATTATGTAGGCCTGATTATATGATTGCTTTATAGTACCTTGGGCTATGTGCTTAAGTGTGTTCTATGGTAGCAGGTGTCATTCGTTTAGTTCCATGTTTAGCACTCTCTTAAAAACCTCTTATAAATCTGGTCTAGTTGAAATGTATTCCCTCAATGTTCACTTGTCTGAGAATTTTATTTCTTCTTCCCTTAAGAAGCTTAGATTGATGGAATATAAAATTGTTGGTTGGAATTTTTTTTTCTTTAATGACACTGAAAATTGGCCCCCAACCTCTCCTGGCTTCTAAGGTTTCTGCTGAGAGGTCTGTTGCTTCCCTAATGAGGTTTCCTCTGTATGTGGCTTGACCCTTTTCTCTAGCTGCCTTTTAGAGTTTCCTTTTGTTTTGACCTTGGTGAGTGTGATGATTATGTGCCTTGGGGTGGTTGTCTTGCATAGTACCTCACCAGAGTTTTCCCCAGAATCAGACTTCTAAGGATATTTTACGCATCTTCATCCACAACTGTGATAAAATGGCCATAGTAGCTGCAGGAGAGGCTGAGTAGGTGAGTACTACTTCTCTCTACCAATTGCTGGTAGTAAAGAAGAAGGGGGACATCAGAAATTAGGAATGCAATTACAGAGTTTGCCAAAAGTCAAAAGATTCCTTCTATAATTTCTTTCTCTGTTCCTCAGTACAATCGCAACAATAGAATCTCTTTTTATCAATAGCTTATGCTTTCCAAAGTGTACAAAGCAATCAATTTCATATATACTCTGTTCTCTTGGAAAAACTCTTTGAGAGTTTACTCCAATATATCTGTCTTCTATCTGATGACATATGTAAAATCAGTAATCCTAAAACACTCTCCTTCTTCAAGAAATCTAAAGCTGATGTGAAATCAGAATCCAGATAAACTAATTTCCCTGGTTCTTTTTCTCCTCTAGACATATCACATTCTGTCTATTCCAGAGCCCTTCCTTACAGATCTGAGCTGTACAATCCCCTATCTGTATCTGCAATTTTTAAAATCCATTAGTCTGCTACATTATGAGAATTTACAAAACCATAATTTGCTTTCTATATAGACTTTTCTAGTATTCTAAAGTTGTGCCAAATTTAAAAGCCTCATGATATATTTTAGTAAATTATTCAAATTGTGTAATATTTGGTTATTATTTGATTGCTATTTATTATTCTCCATCAATCTGAAAACCTTACTCTTTTTTTTCTGTTCGGAGCTGACATAGCAAGCTTCATTAAGCTTTTGAATTAAATGGTTATACATTTTCCTGTCTATAATTTTTCTTTCTTTGGTTTCTTACTTTAGCCAGCTTTACTATTAATTTATTTTATCGTTTCCTGTAAATGCAAATATCAGTACATAAACCTCTGAATACAGTGATATAGACAGAGTTTAATATTTGTTCAAGTTTTTTGTTTTGTTGGTTAATATAATAGTGACATACAATAAAATGAACAAATTCTAGGTGTACACTGGCTGAGTTTTAACGAATGAATATTCCTAACTCGAATCTTATCAAGATAGAGACAACTATTGTCACCTCAGATATTGCCTTAATCTCACTTCCCACTCAATTGTTATTCACACCCCTTCAAAGGCAATCATTATTATGACTTTTTTTCCGATAAGCATTAGTTTCATCTGTTCCACAAATTCATATAAATGAAATCATGCAGCATGCACTCTGGACAAGGCTTATTTCACCAATAATTTTTTAAAAAATTTATCCATGCTGTTTTGTGTATCACTAATTTGTTCACTTTCATTGCTGAGTAGGAGTACATGGTATGAATTATCACATTTGTTTAACAATTCTCCTTTTGAAGGACACTTGGGCTGTTCACTTTCTTTGACTATTGTTAAAGTTGGTATGAACATCACACTTCTTTTTTGAAAACAAGTTTTCATGTCTTTTGAATAAAGCTGAGGAGGAGAAGGCTATGTCACAGATTGTTCATTTTTACTTAAAAAGGGGAAAACAACTCCCAGATTTTCTTCTAAAGTGGTTTTAACATTTTATCTTCAACCATGTATGATAGGCCATGTTATTCAATGTTTCTGTCAACATTTGTGGTTGACAGTCTTTTTTGCTGCAGCCATTCTGATGGATGTGTAGTAGTAATCTATTGTAGTTTTATTTGTGTTTCCCTGATGACTAATGAGGTTGATCTGTGCTGCCTAGACTTGGCCTCACATGGTTTTAGAGTCAGCTAGAGATTTTATCAGAATTTATACATAGAATTTGGAGTTCCTCATCCCTGTATTTTTTAATCTAACATTTCCTTTAAAATTTCTTTCATATTTTCTCTGAACCAGTATCAAATGTATTGGGGCACTTGCCTTGTATCTGCTGTAGGCAACTATTCCATGAGTCCAACTAGTCCAGCAATCCTATTCATTTCTGCAACTCTTTTACCTCTCAGTCAAGTAAGAAATTTTAAAGGAGGATATCTGACTCAGGTTGGGGGACTGGAGAAAAGAGTATTATGTTTACAATGTACTAAATGTTTGTTGGAGAAATGAACTCCGAACATTTGTTTTGCCTAAGCTTACCACAGTTACTGAATCCTTCCACATGGGTAGGATTAGTGAAATCTTGTATTTTGAATGCTCAAATATGACTTAAACTAGTGTAAGTAAAAAAAGAAAAAAAAATTACTACATGTTTAGAAACTTTTTAAATGTGCATGATAATTTAATATTTTAGATCAAAGTAAGTGGAAACTTTAATTTTAATTTAATTTTAAAATTCAGAATTTAAATAATTCTGGAGAGAGAATGGGGAACAAAATGGGTGCACATAAAATAAGTACAATATGAAAAATGATTTCCATCTGCAAAAAGAAAAGATTTGAGGAGATAAAATATTTTACATTTGTACGTATATGGCAACAAGAATAAATATGTCTTAAATTTTTATTCAAATTAATCTTTTATGAATCTTTGTTTAGCCTATGAATCTTTGTTTAGCCTATGATTAAAATCAATTTCAAAATCATATTTCTTGTTTCCATTTTCATATAAAATGGGCTTTATATCTTATGTATTAATGTTGGCACAGCTAATCCAGGTTTTAGAAATAATATACATTATTAAACTTAAATAATAAATAAATCTTAAATTGTGATTCTTTTACAGGTATATTGATTTTATTATATATGTAATTATTTTACAAGTATATCATTTTGATTATATATTTTACAATAGATTAAATGAAAAGAATGCAATTATATTTTCAACTTACTGCATTAGTATTTTAATACAATGAAAATCATATTAAACTTAATACCACAATGGAAAAAGGTCTTTCTGTTTAACAAAACCGAATCTTCCTTATGGTTCTGACTACTTTCATAAAGCTTTTCCCATATCCTCATCTCTTCTGATGATTTCATGACATGTCATTCACTGAGAATTAATTACATGTTATCTCGTGATCTCTCTTTTGTTTGTAGTATTATTTCTGTTTTTCATATAGATATGTCCTGTTCCCCTAAATGAACTTAATATTCTCAGAGAACTTATGTAGTAATTCAAGCTATTCCCACACAGGAACACATAAGAGACATACACATGTGATCTGTTGACTGCATATAAAAATGAAATATATCTCTGTTTAAAAACATAAAATACCTCTTCTAATATCATTTTAAGTGTTTAAATAAATTTTCAGCATTTAAATTTAAATTCAGCATTTAAATTAAAGTTGAATGTAAAAATGTCAACTTTTACATTGACAACCAAAAATTACGTTTTGTCAATGTAAAAGTTGAATTGATAGTAGGCTAAAACAAAGGTTTTATATGAAAGCCAGCCAATGTCAGATGAGGCATGTCACAGGGAAGAGAGCCAATATGTTATTTCTGGGAGAAAAGATTCAAGGAAGGCAAGAACTTCCATATTTTAAACCCTGAGATAGATGCTAGTGCTGTTCCGAAGTAGTACAGAAAGCTGAAGGCCCAGTAAATATTTCCCTAAAAAAGAACAGAGTATAAGGTGATTTTAAGGCTGTTGCCTTTTGAATATCTTACAACCTCAATTAATATTACTATTATTATTATTATTTCAAATGCGGGTCTTGTCATGTTGCTGAGGCTGGACTAAAACTCCTGGGCTCAAGGGATCCTCCTGTCTCAGCCTCCTGGATTGCTGGGACTACAGGCGCGTGCCACCATGCTCAGCCAAACTCAATTTTTATTTCCTGCTTCAGTGCTCATCACAAAAATTAATGATAATTCACAGCAAGTGGTACATAAAATTATACATAGTCATGCACCACATGATGATGTTTTCACTAATAATAAACTACATATATGATGGTAGCCCTATAAGATTATAATGAAGCTAAAAAAATCCTATCACCTAGTGATGCGGTAACCATCCTAAGTCATATCGCAACTCATTACTCACGTGTTTTTGGTAGTGCCGGTGTAAATGAACCTATTGTACTGCCAATCGAATAAAAGCATAGTACATACAATTATGTACAGTACATAATACTTCTCAATGATAATTAATAACTATGTTACTGGTTTCTGTATTTACTATGCTATAATTTTATCATTATTTAAAAGTGTACTCCTTGAACTATAAAAGAAAGGTGTTAACTGCAAAACATTCTCAAACAGTTCTTTCATGAGGTGTTCTAGAAGAAGGCATTATTATACTAGGAGATGACAGCTTCATGTGTGATTGCCCTTAAAGACCTTCCAGTGGGACAAGATATGGAGGTGGAAGACAGTGATATTGATGATCCTGATCCTGAGCAGTCCTAGGCTAACATGCGTGTTTGTGTCTTGGTTTTTAACACAAAAGTTTTATAAAAAAAAAAAATTAAAATGTTAAATATAGAAAAAAGCTTATAGAATAAGGACATAAAGCAAATGTTTTTGTACAGCTGTACAATGTGTTTGGGTTTTAAGCTGTGTTATTAGAAAAAAGTCAAGAAGTTTAAAAAGTTTTCAGTGATTTAAAATCTGTTTTATATGATATAAGGACTTCTGCTCTTCTTTGTTTCCCATTCAAATATAATTATATAATACATATGGAGAGCTATGCTTTTCCACCCACACAAAAACCTTGTTGATTCTCTAGAATATGTAAAAATAGCACATTAAATTCTGAACTATAAATATATTTAGTGCTAAGTATACATGACTTGCTTGTTTTTGAAAGTGCTGAGATGTTTAAATTCAGATATTATAAAATACAGATGTGTTATAAAAACCCTCACAGACTATAAGTTTTAATAAAAATATTAAATTTTTTCCTCATTATTGCTCATATCTTCTCATCCTCTCAAATTTGTGAGGGGAATCCCAGCATCCTTGAAGAGCTCTGTAGTCACTCTTTGCTGTAGGTCAGAAATTACAATGGTAACTGCTGCAATAAAACAGGAATCTCTAAATGCAATGAGGATAATAGGATCCTAAGTGGCGTGGTGCAAGTGGTGGCACTTAATTACTAAACACAAGGCAAGCATGATTACTGTAACAGACAGGAGATGCAAAACTGTGATCAGAATAGATTGACTCACAGAGATGTATGGTGTTGGCTAGTTAACCATTGGCTTCCCTAGAAAAAAATATAGATGGCAGTCTCTTAAATTCTTTTTTGATCGTGTAAATGAGAAGTTCTGGATCTACCGAACAGAAATATAACCTGTCACCAAAACAGACTCATGGCCCCTTAATTGTTTCCATTCTTGAGCAGTTTACATACCAAGAATCTCTTGATTGAAAAGGAGGCTGGGTCCCCTTGAGGCTGGGTCATATTGAGGAAGGACATAATTTTAGTATATATATTTTTTTATTTAAATAGCTTTTGAGGTACAAGTGGGTCTTAGTTACATGGATGAATTGTATAGTGATGAAGTCTAAGATTTTAGTGCAGTTTTAATGTGGTTTTTTCCAAAACTCCCACCCTCCCTACTTCTAAGTCTCCAATATCCATTGTACCACTCCACATGCCTTTGCATACCCAAAGCTTAGCTCCCACTTATAAGTGAGAACATACAGTATTTGGTTTTCCATTCCCTAGTTACTCCACTTAGGATAATGGCCTCCAGCTCTATCCAAATTGTGCAATAGATATTATTTTATTATTTTTTATGGTTGAGTAGTATCCCGTATTACACACATATATATAATATATATATTATATATATATATATAAAATGTATATATCGCATCTTCTTTATCCATTTATCAGCTGTTGGACACTTAGGTTGGTCCCATATGTTTGCAATTCTGAACTGGGCTGTAATAAATATATGTGTGCAGGTGTTTTTTTGATATAATGATGACTTTTTCTTTGGGTAGATACCCAGTAGTAGGATTGCTGGATCGAATGGTAGATCTACTTTTATTTCTTTATAAATATTCATACTGTTTTTCATAGAAGTTGTACTACTTTACATTCTCAGCATTGTATAAGCAGTCCCTTTTCACCACATCCATGCCAACATCTAATTTTTTTTTACTTTTTAATCATGGCCATTTTGGCTGCGTTAAGGTGGTATCTCATTGTGGTTTTAAGTTGCATTAGAGAAAGACATAATTTAATGAAGAAGATGCTAGATCCCTTAAAGAAGGACGTAATTATTTTCACATAATTAAGTACCTGCAAAAATAATGGTTACAGTGATTATCAAGGTTATGCAAAGTAAAACATGATAAATTTAAAATGAAAGCAAATCTAAAACATGTTCACAATATTAAACCTATTAGAGAATAATAAGATCATATTTGAAATGAGGCACCTTTGTAAATCAGGACAGATGGAATAATTTAATCCGTGAATTACAAACATTATCTGAATTTTCTCACTTAAATAAAACATTATATTTTGTATCTTCAAAATCACAGCAAGAAACAATAGTTCTGATAGTTCTGATGGTCTTTTATATTTGGCTAGAATTTTGAAAAATTACTCTGTTTTCAGTATGCAATTCCTGAGCCAAAATGAAAATATTATGAGCACCTTCTATGAGTCAGTAGCTGAAAATAACTTCACTACTTTTTGTATAAAGATCTGAAATAAATTTAAAAGAAATATTTATAAGTCAACTAAGACCCTTAACACAGTTAACCAAGAGGAGATAGACACCTAGTGAAACTTAGTAAATATGACATAAAATAATTACAGTAAGTAACATACAACATATTTATGTTAAGTGAAAATGGGTTAATTTGTTACATATAAAAAAAAATTTCAAATCACCCACAAAACAAAACCCAACAGTTTTCTGTATGTAAGAAACACATCTAAAACAAAGTGATTAAGAAGGATTTAAAATAGAGAAATAGGGAATAATGTGACAAACATACACAAATATAATATAATAGAAGTCAGTTACTCATATCAGACAAGGGAGAATTCAGAAAGAAAAGCCACAAATAAGGGAGGGAAGAATGGAAAGTTTTTTGTTTGTTTATGAAGTTTTCTTCTGTAGAATGCCTCCAAAGGTCTTTATTATTCCCACCTTCATTACTTTTGAAACCATACTAAAGATAAAGCTTTTCTCAAACTGTTCGCTAATTAGGTGAAAAAATTCAACCAAATAACACCAACAAAAACCGATAACTTGATAAGCAGTTTCCTAAAATAACACTGTGATCCCCTGCAATGTTAATATGAACAACCAGCTGGCAGAAGATGATAAGGATGCAATAATATTTTTAATTGGTGCTTGTTCTGGATACATATTAGAATAGTTATAACACCAACTACATGAACAATTATTCCAACGTTAACAAAAAAAATTATCTTAATTCATTATAATAAGGATAAAAAGTAAAATTATATAACCACAATTAGAGGCATCCTATTTAAATGAATATTTATTCTTTAAAATTGGAGAACAGTTTCTTTTTTGTGGTTATTGCACATAATGTAACAAATGTGTTTGCTTAAAAAATAATCTAAACTCAATGCCAGTTTCAGTTTACTAAATAGAACAGATCCAAAGTTACATGCTTGGACAGTTAGCATTATATTTTCATAGCTGTATGATTTGATGGAAAACTGATAGAAGACTTGAGTTTTAATATTAAATCTCCCACTAATCTAATTTATAATTTTAGAAGATAATTTCATTTTACTGAGCCCCTGTATTATTACTTATAAAATAAAAATGTTCAATTGAGTGATGTTCAATAGTAATTTCTGTTCTAATATTTTGAAGGGTTTTCACATTTTATAATATTTTATTGAAATATAAATACTCGTAATCAATCATCTTGTGTCACTTTCAAACTTTCCCTCCTTAAACTCATAATACACACATGACATATTTATATAAGCAAAGTATGTAAATTATATATCTATAATGAAAATAAATTTGCATAAGTTAATACTCTTACTAAATCTGAAAGACCCTATTCTGTTCTTTTCTCATTTGCTTTACTTTAAAAAATATTACCCTTGGCATAAGCTTCTCTTCTGCTGATCCTGCCCATTGCCTCCTCACAACATATTTCTCTACTTTCTCTAGCAAATCTGCCTTTCTTTATCTAAAAAAAAAAAATTACACTTGACTCACTCAGTTAATATCACAAATTCCTAACAGTTTGAGATCCTCCGTTTAACAAAATAACTTTCTCTTCATGAAGATCTGTAATCCCTATACTATGATTAATTTGTGGATACTGACAGATTTTATAAGCATCTGTGCTTGAAGGCTGAACAATCACAAAATCTTCTGTAAAGTATGTAACAAAGTTATTACTACAAATTTATGATGTACATACCATTAAGTAGATAAATGAATGAGAGAAGTAGATCAATAGCAAGCCTTAACACATTTTTACTATTCTATAGCTCATGTTCTTAACATTGAACATGAAAACAGCAATTTAGAAGCTAAAAATGTGGGATGTTATCTAAAAGAGGGCAGTGTCAATTAGAAGAATCAATGCTCATAAATGAATGCCCTCCTTCCCCCACAAAAAAAGGAAGAAAGGAAGAAAAGAAAACTGGAGATACCCTACTGTAAATACATGGGCAATGTCCATTTAAACAGTGACCCCAAAATAAATAATCAATGTGTTTACTCATTTGCTGAAGTGGCATTTATTGAATACCTACTAATGAGTCCTTTCTACTTAATAGTAATTAGTGGGCACTGTTCTAGTTATTGAAGAATGCACTAACAAGAAAGATTAAAATCTTCTTTAAAGATTTTTCATATTGTTGTGATGAGCCAGATAAAACAAGACAGAGAAGTACAACAATACACCAAATTTCATCTTCAGTTAAAAGGGGCACTGAATGCCTACTGACAATTCATATATGCAGGATTTCACCTAAATAGAGTATTTGTTAGCCAAATAATAAAAGTCTCTAAGTTTCAGAACTATTTATTGAAATATTATATTGGCGGGATCAGTGTTTCTGGAATCTCCAAGACCACCCACACCTCTGGTGATTCCTAGGACACATGGAACTCCATATAAAGTTGTATTCACTTCTAAGATTTATTACAGCATAAGAATACACAACAGGATCAGCAAAGGAAGGAGTCTGGAGAAATCCATACACAGTCTTAGAATGTTCTCCCCCTCCTCTTAGAAGACCACCTAGCATGCTCCTTTCATTGGCGGTGAAAAGTGCAGTAAAATGTATGCAATGTGTCTTCCACAAAGCCCATTAGACACTCAGAGCCTTTATTAGTTTCCTAGGGTTGCCATAACAAATTGCTGCATGGTGGATGGTTTACACATCAAAAACTTATTTTCTCACAATTTTGGAGGCTATCAAACTGAAATTAAGGTGTTGGCAGGTTTTCCCTATGTGTACGTCTGTCCTAATCTCCCCTTGTTGTAACAACACCAGTCATATTGGATTAGAGCCCACCCTCATGACCTCATTTTAACTTAATTGCCATTTAAAAGTCCCTATCTACAAATACTGTCATATCCTGAGGTACTTGGCATTACAATTTCAACATATAAAATTTGGGGGACATAATTCATCCCATAACAGAGTCAAGGGTTTTTATGGGGGCTGATCTTGTAAGCACGTGCTTCTAGCACATATCAAAATACCAAACTCCTAGAAAGAAGGCAGGCATTCAGCATAAACCGCATTGTTTTCACAAACCATACAGGGACAATGAACTAGTGTTATCAGTTTGTGAATGGTTTGATTGCCAAATTCCCAGGTGCCAGCCAAGTGTGAACCCTGCAAGTAGGTTTTTCTTTTTCTTCTTCTTATTATTATACATTAAGTTCTGGGATACATGTGCAGAACGTGCAGGTTTGTTACATAGGTATACATGTGCCATGGTGGTTTGCTGCACATATCAACCTGTCATCTAGGTTTTAAGCCTTGCATGCATTAGGTATTTGTCCTAATGCTCTCCCTCCCCTTGCCCCCAACCTCTGACAAGCCCCAGTGTGTGATGCTCCCCTCCCTGTGTCCATGTGTTCTCATTGTTCAACTCCCGCTTATGAGTGAGAACATGCGGTGTTTGGTTTTCTGTTACTGTGTTAGTTTGCTGAGACACATACACACGTATGTTTGTTGCAGCACTATTTACAATAGCAAAGACTTGCAACCAACCCAAATTCCCATCAATGATAGACTGGATAAGGAAAATGTGGCACATATACACCATGGAATGCTATGCAGCCATAAAAAAGAATGATTTCATGTCCTTTGTAGGGACATGGATGCAGCAAGTAGGTTTTTCTGAAAAATAGTGGTGTCCGGCCTACTGGGTTAAATCTCTTGTGCATAGTTAAGCTGACAAGTACAAACTTGTTTTCAATTTGTGGTACATTTTTATACCAAATATTATATATAATATATATATAATGTGTATTGTGATTTTTAAACTTTGTTTGATTTGTAAAAGATTCAAAAACTATAAAATTTTACAGTTGAGTCCATAATAAGTAACGTGGTCCATTTTACTCACTACTTTTGGCCTTTTTACTCATCACCTAAACCTATATTTTTAAAAATAACTGAGGCCGGGCGCGGCTCACGCCTGTAATCCCAGCACTTTGGGAGGCCAAGGTGGGTGGATCACAAGGTCAGGAGATCGAGACCACCCTGGGTAACACGGTGAAACCCCGTGTCTACTAAAAATACAAAAATTAGCCGGGTGCCGTGGCAGGCGCCTGTAATCTCAGCTACTCGGAAGGCTGAGGCAGGAGAATTGCCAGAAGCCAGGCAGCAGAGGTTGCAGTGAGCCAAGATCGCACCATTGCACTGCAGCCTGGGCAACAGAGCGAGACTCATCTCAAAAACAACAACAACAACAACAAAAACTGAAAATTATCTATGGACTTTGCTTAAAGGTGACAAAGTACAAGTTTCTTTAATAAAAAATGGAGAGTAAAAATTGGGGGAAAGGAGAGAGGAATCTCTGTTATCTCTGAAACAAAAGAAAATTATATATAGAGAAAAAATCGTTTTAGCCATTAGGTGAGACCACAATCTATGAAAAGGGTCTATCTAGTATAGAAAGAGAACACTAATTGCAGGCATATAGCTTCTCAGATGTCCATTTCCGGGAGGATAAATTATTGTAACTGCTTTGAGGAAAGCATGGCAATACCTCTAAGGAAAAAAACCAGTAGAAATGGGTATACCTTTTAATCCAGCAATCTATCTAAAAGGATGCTTATTGTAGAATATTTGTAATGTAAAAAATTGAACATTCATAAATAGAAGACTAGCTGAATAAATTTTGGTAATTACAGCATTAAATACCACATCCATATGGTTAAAAACTAAATTAAATCCTAGTGTGCTTACATGTAATGATCTTCAAAATACATTGCTCAGTTAAAAATGTACCAAGTGGAACTCTGAAAACTTAATATTTTATAAGATATTTTTGCATGTGTAAAATAATACACAAACTAATGTTTTTGCTTCTGGGTTGAGAGTATCAGAATCTAGAATGAAAGAGTGAATTATTTTTCTTTTTACTGTGTAGATTTTTGCCCACATGTGTATTATTTTACTAATATAGAATGTGCCTTTTGTGCCCCCAAGGGCTACTAAAATGATTAAACCAACTGATAGAACGATGAAGTTTAAGAAAAGCTATCATACAAATCAATACTTCTTGGAATTTAAAATAACAGAAAGGATCAGACTGATAATTCAGACTTATGCACTCAGAGATCTTATCCAGTATCAAGTTTTACTAACAATTTCAAAGTCACATGGAATCATGAGGCACAGGTAAGGAAAGGTGAGGTCAGAATGTCTGTGTTTATTTCAGTTCTCTAAGTCCTATCACACAATATCAAAGACATTTCTGGCCCAAGTGAACAGATAAGCTTTCTATGAGGTATGCAGGCACCTCACTTTCATGAAAGGAGACAGATATTTTCTACAGAAAGAGTTACATATATAATATAACATTTTCCAAGGAGCCATTATGCGTAAGTCCATATACTTCTGTTTGCTTACTATAAATAATTCTAGACAATTAAGCACATTCTACTAAAACTTCACATAGGAAAAGACTCTTTTGTTAGCAGAAGACCTTTATTGTTATTGTTGTTGTTTTACTGGGAGATTTATCATTAGTATGTTTATAAGAGGATTAGTTCAACTCACTTGCTTTCTTTATATTCCAGGAGCAGCTCAGGGAAGGGAGAGAATGTATTGCAGAAATGCAACTTAACTTTTTCCTTTCCAGATGGCATGGGTGAGTTTCACAGACATGCTGAAAATATAATTACATGATATAATCAAATATATTTACACTAGAATTTACACTAGAATAAGAAATTAGTAATTAGTATTTCATATACAATGTAGTTTATGTAATTCTTTGTTCATCACAGAAGATTGCTAAAATAGATGAAAATAATGATAAATTTTGATAATAAATTGGCAAATGGAATCAGTGGATTATTGAAGTGCATAAAATAGTTTAATGATTATATCTTTAACATGTGATATAGAATCAAGAAAAGAAATTGTTATATCAACCCTTTCATAACTTGCCCCTCATGCCTCTGCCAGGCTTTGTCAGGGTCATCGTGCAGAGTATGGATGATGAAGCTCTGCCCATGTGATGGTTTTAACGTTGGTTTTCTGTTATTTTTTATAATTATATGCTGGTGAAATCCAACATGAGAAGCAAACATATACATAGTTTTCAAGATTTAAGGTGTAAGAAATAATTTTACTTTAAAAAATCATGAGGAGAAAGGAGAACTGTTTGTTGGTTAAGAACGATCCCTTGTAACACAGCCCATTTCAAAGCTTTATGATAACAGGCAAATTATTTAATTTCTTCCAACCCAAAGTTCCTCTTTGAAAAATAGAGATTGTAATAACTGTCTCACAGTGTTAATGAAAGGATCACATACTTTGTCAGCTGACTGCAACAATGAATGATACATTGTAAAGATAGTTATCCCTTGCTATAAAATGAATTGTTCTAAAACCTAGCCACTCAAAACAGCAAACATTTAGTATCTCACAGTTTTTGCATCTCAGGAGTCTGGGCATAGCCTAGCTGTGTGCATCTGGCTCAAAGTGTCTTACAAGGCTGTGAACAAACTGTTGGCCAGGGCTGAGGTCTCATCTGAAGGCTGAACTAAGAGAGGATTTGATTCCTAGCCCCATCACATGAAGGTAGGCAGAATTCACTTCCTCAAAGGCTGCTGGACAAAGGACTCATGTTCATCCCTGGTTGTAGGCTAGAGGCCTGTCCCAGTTCCTTGCCATATGGACTTCTCCTTAGATAGCTTATAACCTGGCAGCTGGCTTCATTTATAGTAAGTAAATGAGAGAGTAGAATAAGGTGGGCAAGATGAAAGCAACATTTTGAAAGTCATCACCTTTGCCATATTATATTTGTTAGAAGCTAGTCACTAGGTCCAGTTCCCTTTTAAATGTTTGAGGTTACATAAGAGTATAAATATCACAAGGCAGGGATAATTTGAAACCGCTTTAAAGGCTTCTTAACTACAGTAGACTTATTGAGGAATAAGTGGGAGATATTATTATTTGTATTAACATAGTTTTACTGGAAATTGATTATATAACAGTAAATTGCTTACTCTTCACTTATATATAAAGTTAATAAGCAGGAAGACTTGTTTTATAATAATTTTGGATATGTGACAAATTTTAAAAACAAACTGCAGCCATTTGATTAATAAAACAAAAATACTCATTTTGCTGGATAATATTTTCTAGCTATTTTTCAAACTTTTTCCCCCAAACACCTAACATATGTAACAGTGGCTGAGATTGTAAGAGCAATTTATTCCAATAATTAAAATGAAAAAAAGCTATAAAAAACAGAAAGTCCAGCCCCTCAATGTCTTTCTGTGATTTTAAGCTAGATAACATGGTACAATGATCAGGACTACATAGAGATGGGGCAGACTGATCACTATAAATCATTGTCTGTATTGATGCTGCCCAATCAATGATATCATAAGATATGATAATTTTAGAGATGAGAAAAAAAGCAAAGAGTTGAAATAAATAGGGTTTAAACACGGGCAATCTTACACCTGAGTCTGTGCTATTAAAATTGCACTATATATTCTTAATGTCTCTTACTACCAAGAAATTTTCTCCACTTATGATGTGGTATATGTCTCATTACCTTACATTTTAAGCTTAAACTAAAAATGTATTTAGCATGACTTTATTTTATATTTCACTTGTGTGTGTGTGTGTGTATGTGTGTGCATAGAGAGACAGAAGAGACAGAGAGAGAGAGAATAGATGAGTAAGTTTTCCAACCAATATTTAATCTGGGCCCTTTATTTAAGGTCTGAACTATTTAACAGGTCAGAAATCTGTGTTAAGTATCAGTTTTTCAACACCACTAAGATAAATATATTACAAAGCAATGCAAAGTATAATGCAAAGTACTTTAAAGACTGAGATGTTGGCAAAGATATATACCTCATATTATCAAAAGGTACTGTGTGGTTCCTAACTATATTTTTAATGTAAGTTTTCATTTTCTCTTTCTTAACAGTGATAATTATTTGAAAAATACATAAAACATCATCAAAGAAGTTATTTTCCAAAAATAAAAAAAAAATAAGTACTCTTAGTGAATCAATTAAACGAGGCTTGGTGGTTTCATTCCATCTGCTCTTCTGCAGATTCTGGAATCCTTTAGAAACTGACATACATCATGAAGATTCTGATATCTATATTTTTGTTGTTACTAGACAGACTCTTGAGCCCTCTGTCAAATTGATATCCTTAACAAAGTATTTAATGACATGCCAATATACCAGTCTTACCTCATCAGCAAGATGTTCTCTCACCCTTTGTCCTTAGTTAAATGGGTACTCATAAAATTCATGTCCACTCAGAACCTCAAAATGTGAAGTTATTTGGAAATAGACTATTTACATATGTAATCTGGCCAAAATAAGGCCATATTGGATTAATATGAGCTCTAATCCTATGATTGGTATCCCTGTAAGAGATGATAAATGTGGACACATGGACACACACACAGAGAAGCAGCCATGTGAAGACAGAAGCGGAGATTGGAGTGATATAAGAAATGCCAAGGATTGCCAGCAATCACCAAAAGCAGGGAAGAAATAAGAAAAGATTCTTCAAGAGAGCCTTCAGAGAGACCATGGCCTTGTCAATACCTGGATTTTGGACTTCTAATCTCCAGAACTGTGAGGGAATAAATTTCAGTTATTTTCAGATACCCAGCTTGTGGTACTTTGTTACAGGAGCTCTAAGAAACTCATACACTCTTCTAATGTGGTGTTTACCTTTCTGTGTGGAATTTATGTTAATATGCCCTTTACTATATCTGCATATACCAACTTGATAGCATTGAACCTTAATCTAGTTAACATTCAGCCTTAATTACTATAGATTTATATATCTATTCTTCTTTTCCTGTTTATTTCTCAGGCTTTTTTTAGATTTCACATTGTAATCATTACTGTACATTTCTGGAAAAAATCCTTTAAAATCTTTGAAACTTTCTGTCATTTTAGAATGTTAATGTCAATTCCTCAAGTTTCTTAGTTTCAGTCTATTGTATTATGAGTAATTCTATTACATTACAATATACTAGCTACTTTTACTAGCAATTTTAGATATGCTTTATGGGCAGGCTACCTTTTTAACTGTTAAATGAATTATGATCACTGCAATGTATTATCAAAACATTTTATTATGTCTACTTTCTGATGAATTTATTAATATTAATTATTTTAAACTATCAGATTAAATTATTGAAGCTGGACAATATAAGATAAAGTAGACAAGACAAGTAATTTTCAACAAAAGTTTACTTTTTATTTTTAATTTAAAAATACCTTGCTTAGAAAAAAAGAGATAAGGTTATTGTGAGATATCAGTCAACCAAATATTAATTAAAAGGTGGCATTATTAAGAATATATGTCAAATATTAGATGAAAGCAAAAATAATCAAATGAACTCTTACATATTCAAGAAATTAAGGAAGTATATATAACTACATACAAATTAAAATAAATAGAAAAGTTTATGGCTAGATTGAATCCACGTAAGAGTTCATTAATTAACTATTGTGTTTTAAAGAGTATAACTTAAATTGGAATGCTTTTTCTAAACTAAAACGATCATTTCTATTTTTTAGATTCAGAAATTAGCTCAGCTTAATGAAATAGACAAAAAATGGGGATCTGTGATGTTTAATTCTACATATCATTGTGGCTGAGATCCAGCACCCAGATATTTGGTCTAACATTTGGAATGTTTCTACGAGGGTGTTTTCTGGATGAGATTAACGTTTAAAACAGTGGGCATTGAGTCAAGTAGATTGCCCTCCATAATATGAGTGGGTCTCATCCAATCAGTTGCAGGGCTTAACATAACAAGTACTAATTTCCCCCAACCAAGAAATTCTGCCAACAGACTGCCTTTGGATTCAAACAGCAACTCTTTCTCAGCTTGCTGGGCTACTGGCATATGTAGATAGCTCTCTGTATATATATAGAGGAAGATACACACACACACTAACACACATAAACACATATCCCCTGTTGGTTCTGTTTTGCTTGAAAATCCTGACCAACACAGGATCCTAAAGATCTTGTATTTTATTTCTCAATTTGACATAAGGAGGTGGTAAAACCCAAACATTTAAATATTCTGCTTATATAGTTACATTAAGAAATGATAAATAAAAATGAAGAAAACCTGCGAGTATAGTGATTATTATATAAGCTAGGGCTTTGGGTTGCAAATAATAGAAAACCAGCCTGGCTAACCTAGACAGAAAAGATTTGAGAAAGCTCAGAGAATATGTAAGAAAGTCTGAAATAATCCAAGTTGAGGAAAATGGAAACACAATATAAAACCACAGATGTCATTGGATTAAAATATTGTTGCTTGTGCTGTGACCAGACATTAACCCTGACTTCATGGTCCTTAGCCTACAAGAATCTTTGAATTAATTCCTTTTCAGAATACAAAGTCACATGCCCTTGACCCTCCTCCAAGGCATGCCAAATGAAAATATGTGACCCGTCTTAATTTCAGTAAAAAGTGGGATTGAACATCTACCAACATTCATATATGCGGGATTTTCCCCAAATAAAGTAATTGTTGTCTAAAGAATTAAAAACTCTACATCGATTATCACAAGTAAAATTGAGTTGTATTTCCTCTTAAGACAGAGTAACATGGAGAAGATATGCCCTGAAACAGCTAAAAAATAAACAGAATATAGGAAGCAACAATTTTCAAGACACTAGATCAGGGAATGGTCAATGATCTCTGAAAAACAATAAACAAAAGAGGCGAGGCATATTGATAAAACTTGAAAGAACTTTCAAACCACAGCAGAGGGAAGGAGAATCCAGATGGATCCCATCTGACTCCCTGAGTTCAGAAGACAGAACCCAGAGCCCAGGAAGGCAGATAGAGCTAGAGCATGCAAAAGAAAAGTAGAAAGAGGACAGCTGCATGGAACGAGAACTTTCAAGATGTGCAGAGAATTATCTTTGAGTATTTCCTGCATATTTGTCAGAATACTGTGAGAAAACTACCATATGCCATGGAAAATATTCACTCAAAAGAGATAGTGCTGGGCTTTCACAAACAGCTGTAAACATTACCTGTTCCCACCAGCTAGGTTGGAAAAGTTTCTGATGGATGAGTCACTGGGTAGAGTTTGGAGAATAAAGCAATAATTAACCCTAAACTGAGGTGTCTTCTGATCTTCTCTAATAGATCTCAAAAGTAAGACTCAGAAGGAGAAAATTTTATCCTATAACTTTAGAAGGAGCTGATTCCAGCTATTAGTCTTCAAGTCTGCCAGCTGAAGTTCCAAACATCATAGAACAGAGACCAACTGTCTCCTCTGTGCCTCATCTGAATCTCCAAACCCAAAGAGAAACCACTAGACACAATAAGCAATTAATGTTGCTTTAAGCCTAAGGTTTTGGATAAATTGCTTTTTCATACATAGATTATTAACCCAACTTGTTTTTTAGTTCATAGGTCTTTGAATTCATACAGGCAGTATTCAAATAGCTGTACATGGACATAATTATAGATTACAAAACACTAAATTTTTAAGCCTAATCACATTACTGAATGAGACTCTTGGTAGTCTTAGGAGAGGTAAGTGTGTTTTGAATATAGAAGGAATGTGAATCATTTGACTAGAGAGTGATCTTTGGCAGATTTCTGAGGCAATGAGCCCTATGGATGGGAGCCTTAGTGTATCTGTATCTTTATGTAGTTAGTTTCCTTCCATGCCAGACAATAACAAATGTGATGCGAGCAAATACTTGAGAAGCACATGAGCACATTAATGTTTACTCCCTCTTGATGCTGGAAGTCTTGAGACTAAAATGTAAAACCATATTGCCTAACCTCCTGGAGAATGAAAAAGAATACATATAGACAATGATCCAGCCATCTCAATCATTCTAGTTTATTTGTTTGTTTTTGTCTGAGAGCCCAGACATGTGAGTGAAGCCATCCTAGATGATCTAGCCCTAGCTAAGCAAGTGCAAACCAAGACAACACCAGCAAACCCAGAGAACTGTGAGGAGTAATAAATCATTGTTTAAAGTCACTAAATTTTGGAAATGGTTTGTTATGTAGAAAAGGACAATAAATAAAGTCTCCGAAAAGACCCCAATGTTCATAAAACTTCAGACACATACTCCTCTAACTTTTCCGAGAATACAACAAATTCTCCTTTACATATAAATGTCATAGATATTTTATCTACACTGTAGACTTCTTCTTTTCCATTTGCTTTCCTTATAAATAGAACTCACCTATTTGATGTGGATTTTTCTTTTTTTTTTTGAGAATTCATTTTTTCTGGCTTACCTATTTCCTCTGGAAATTCAAGCTTGTCATCCACCACTGTCAGCTTCTCACAGCAATGATTCCCTCCAACTCTGTTCTTTTAAAAGTAGGTGAGATGAGGAAGAGCTCAAAGTTTTGAAAATTTTCTTCTTAAATTTTTCTCAAATCCATTCTCTGCTTGTCTACAAATCATGAAGTTTCCCAGATCTTTATTCTCACCCCCACAAATCCACCTTCCAAATTGTTGCCAGGGTGTTCTTCTAGAATAAGAATTAGCTTAAAATTTTTCAGCGGGTTCTCATTCATGTCTGACTAGATCAGGAAACAAAATTTTACTTAGTGCTCACTAAGTGCTTGCTCAGCACTATGCTAGGTGCTGTGCATACAAGTCGAATAAACCAACCCCTGCTCTAAAAGAATTTACATTCTAGTAAAGGGAGACTGACAGGTAAACAGATATTCTTGCTGTAATGTGAAAAAGTTAAGATGGAGGAAAGCACAAAGGGAGAGAATTTGTCAAAAGCTTAGAAAGACAGAAAGACTTCCCAGAGGTGTAACACTTGAATTGTTTTAAAGGCTGATTGAAATTAGCCAAGCAGTGAATTGAAAGGGGCTGTCAGGCAGAGGGGACAGCATAAACAAAGATGCAGAATCACGCATGAATAAGCAGGCCCCATGTAGAGAACTAACCACAAACAGTTTGGTGTCATTTGAGGTTCAATTCTGAGAGGTGGTACAGGGGAGTTATGTCTCAGAGATGGACAAAAACAGGGCTGTGAGAGGTAGTATAATAGTACCCCAAAGATGTCTATGTCCTCATTTTCAAGACTGAGTATGTGAATATTTCATAGCAAAGAGGAATTAAGATTGCTAATGGAATTAAGGTTGCTAATCAGCTGATCTTAAGATAGATAAATTAGCATGGATAACCTAGATGGGCCCAATGTAATCACAATGATTCTTTAATTGTAGAAGAGAAGGAGCAGAGGTCTGAGTCAGAGAGAGGTTTGAAGATGTTACATTGCCAGATTTAACGTGTGAGGAAGAGGCAACTTCTAGAAGCTGGAAAGGGCAAGAACATAGGTTGTGATCTAGAGCTTCCAGAAAGAACACAGCACTTCCAATACACTGGTTTCTGCCCAGTGAGATTCTCTTTGGATTACTAACCTCCATCACTGTAAGGTAATATATTTGTGGTAATTTAAGCCACTAAGTTTGTGGTGATTTGCTGGCAATAAGAAACTGATACAGAGACCAAGTAACAGAGGCCATTACACACTTTGCGCTGAGGGCAGTTGGGAGTTTAAAGTGAGGAAGAGAAATGGTCAGTTTGCCATCAAAGATCAAATTGATACAAGATGGATTTTTGGGGTAGATGGTGGCAGGGAGATGTTATAAGGCTGTGGCAATGGTGCAAACAAACAAACAAACAAAAAATGATTAGCGGCTTAACCGGGAGAGTAAAGTAGGAGTAGATAGAATCGGGCAAATTAATTTTAGTGATAAAATTAGTGGGACTTGGGGACCAACTAAACATGGGAGATAAGGGGAAAAAGAAGTATCTAGAAGCATTCCTTAGTTTCTGGCTTGGGTAGACTTTGGTATTGTCACTGAGATAGGAAATGCAGGAAGAAGCCTTTGTTTTTTTTTCCTGTTTTGGTGAAAGTTGTGTGTTGAGATTTGAGTAGATTGAATTTAAGACAATTGTGGGATATCCATATGGAAGCTGGCAATAGACTATATCCCAAGCTTAGATTTCAAATTTAAGAGTCCTAAGCACATGTGTGGAATTACAACAAAGAGAGCAGAGTGCACTGATTAAGAAAACAGCCTCAGGAGCCACCATTTAACAGCAATTGTCAGTCTTCCTCAATCTTTGAAAAATAAAGAGTAATTATTGATAAGGCTACTAAAATAAATAAATGTTTAAAAGGGTGTTTGGCACAGTATATGGAAGTTAGTAGATTCTGAAGAAATGGTAACTGTTATTACTAGTCGGGCCAGAAATAAAAGAGAACAGCAGTGGACCAAAGAAAGTATGAAGTTAAGTCTAAACAACAGGTGGGTTAGACACATACTGTCTCTGCCCTCAGAATACTCCCAGTCTAGTTAGCTTCTTACAGTCAGGGGCCATATTTTACTCACGGCTGTGTCCTGCCCAGTGCTTAGCTCAATGACTGGCCCAGAAGCGTCAAGCACTTTATAAATTTCGGCTGGATGGTTGAGGAGAAAGAGGGAAATAGGATCAAGCTGCAGGAGCAGAGAGGAGGCAGTGGGAGAGTGGTAA
Source organism: Homo sapiens (assembly GCF_000001405.40). Taxonomy (NCBI): domain Eukaryota; kingdom Metazoa; phylum Chordata; class Mammalia; order Primates; family Hominidae; genus Homo; species Homo sapiens. Next base: position 185,738,328 of record NC_000002.12, read on the forward strand.
AGGGCGCTAGAAAGGAGAAGGAAACCTAGGGGACAGAAGAGGCAGGAGGAAGGCAATGAGCCCCTTAGGAAGCCAACGCGTCTGCCTTGTGGACCTGGTGTGGGAAGAAGCTGTGGGAGCCTGGGGATGGGGTGTGGTCTATATGGGGGAAGATGTAGAATGGGCAAAAACAATCACTCGGGAATTTTTATTGAACGGAACAGGGCTCCTTGGAAGCCAGGGGAAATTAACCAGTTACCCACCAACAAAGCTTATACGTTTTCGTTAGGATTGGCTAAGGCGTGATGGTTTCAGAGAAAGATGAAGTTTCAACTGTGGTCCTCTCAGATCAGGCCTCTCGGACCGATTTTCCCAGCTCTGCGGGCGCTCTACGCGCTGGCGCGAGCCGCCCCTCAGGAGGCCACCGCCCTTCTGGGGCCGCTACCATTGGAAGCCTGGAACGCGGGGGGCGGGGCTGAGGTCGTTGGGCTCTGGCCATTCCTGGTCAGGTCCGGACAGAGGGACAACGGGGTGCTAGAGAAGGAGAGCGGGGCGGGTGAGGAAGGGGCTGAGGGGGCTGTGCCGGCCATGGAGCTGTACCTCGGCGCCTGCTCCAAGCCTGCCAAAGTCGCCGTCACCAAGACGGTCGCCAGCGTCCTGGCCGCGGACACCCAGCAGTGCAGAGACGTGAGTGGCCGCAAGCTGGGCGGCGTCGCCCTCTGGCGGCCGCAGGCCTGCTGGGGAGCGGGGCAGGGATCGCCACACACGGGTCGCGAGGCTCCCAACTGTCCCCCGTCAGGAGGCTGCCCTCTTGCGGCGCCCGGGGGCGGTGGCGGTGGCTCGGACTGTACCGGCCGCAACTGGCAGGCGCGGGACGCCAGGAGAGCTGGTGACCAGGGAAAACGGGAGGACTTCAGGATGCCCCGAACCCTGATTGTATAATTCTTCGGAGTCTTTGGTTGCAATGGAAGTAGATTGGTCTAAACTAAACTAATACTGCCTAAAAGGAAAGACAAAACTCTCCAATTGTGTCTGACAGGGCGTGCACAAAACCCACTTTGCAGGGGTTGGACCGGCTCAGCTACTGGACCTACCTCTCGGGGTCAAGCTGCCTGTGATCCCAGGAAGCAATGCTGTATTCTATACTACGAATTTCGGTGAAAAGGTGAACAAGTTTTTATCGTCTTTCTTTCCTTTACCCTTTACTACTTGCTGTTTAACTCAAAGGCTGCATCATACAAAATTCATTAAAGGAATTTGCATCAACATTTACAGGAAAAAGAAAATCCCACATCTGACCGAAGGTATTGTTTAGAATGCATATGAAGCACTTTCATCTTAATGGTTTGGACATAATCATATTCCAGAAAGTTTAGATTCTTAGTCCTTAATTAACAATTCACGGTACCATATTAATATTCCTTATAATAAAACTTCATATATACTTATATAGTAAGATTTGATGTACTTAGAAACATGTTTAGAAGCTGAAAGGTTATTAGTGATAGCTGCCATTTAATGATATGTTACGATTTTAACTGACAGTATCTTGGACCAAACTCTCTTCACGGGAAACATTATTTTGTTTTGAGTTGAATTCTATTTTACACATAAAGAAAAAAAAAAGAACTGAAACAGTGGGACTTAAAATGAGTTAATATGTTTAGTACTTTAACCTTACTTTAATGAAAGAAAGCCCTGCCTCAATGAGGAAGAGACTCCATAATTTGCCCCAGCCTTTCCATCCAGCATTGTCTCCAACCAGAGAGGCTCAGCTTCTTCAAGTTGAGTCTTTCACACCTACCCATAAATACCATGCTAATACTTCAGTATTTTGTCAACTTTGCCCCCAAACCTGGCATACCTTGTCTTCTTCTCCCCAGTCTATGAATCTGAGCTATCAAGATTCTCTGAACTGTGATAGCCCCCCCGTTAGCTTATTTTTGCTTAGAGTTCACGTTGCCCTTGATTTGTGTGATCTCACTTACACAAACCATAGTTAATCATACTGGATTATAGTGTGTACTTCCCTTAAGCCTTTTCATGTTTTTAGTCCTTAACACCACACCTACCCCCAAACCTCCCCAGCCTTTGACTAAGTAGTCAATGCTGAAGGAGGTTTAGTACATTCTTGTTGACTGGTTGCTTTTATCAGTTTTGCAAAAAGTTCTACAAGAAAGAATTCTAAGTGGCCCACTTACCCTTCTAATGTCTATGATGTCATCAGAAATAAATAGAACCCCTTGGTATTTGATACTTGCTTAATGTCTTATACAGTTCAGGCTGTTATAACAATGTACCATAGACTGGGTGGCTTAGAAATAACGTAAATTTATTTATCATTGTTCTGGAGCTGGAAGTCCAAGATCAGGACACCAGCATGGTCAGATTCTCGTGGGGGTCCTTTGAAGTCCTTTCATTATTACCTCCCTGCATGGTAGAAAGAAGGCTGGAGAGTTCCCTGTGGTCTCTATAGGAACATTATCTCCCTTGATGAGGACTCCACCCTCATGACTTAATTATCCCCCAAGGCCCCAGCTCCTAATGCCATCACACTGAAGATTAGGATTGCATATGAATTTTGGGGGCATACAGTCAATCTAACACACTAAATAAACATGATTTCTTAAAACAAGTTTTGTTTCTGAAAAAAAGTATAATTGCTCTTTAAAAAAAACTAATCTGTTCTACTAGATTAGAGCAAGTGAACTACAAATATACCAACTTCACACAACTTGAGTCACATCCACACAAACTAACTTTGCAAAAACGTGCTTGAAATTTATTCCATTACAGGTGATATAATTCCTCTTTAGTGCATAAACTTAGAACTGTGGCTTTTGTCTCCTCCCTTAAATATATTATTTTACTCTATTGCCATTTTCTCTGTCGACCATTAATTCACTTGTCTACTACTTTTCAAAAAGATGTTCTATTTTTTATTACATTAATTCTCCCAAAATTTATTCATTTAATGAAATTAGTCACCATATAATTTCTCAGAAGAATTTTCTCTTTCAGTGTACTCTCCTTCATGAGGTAATGGTTAATAGTCACCTTTTAAGGGCAACCAGTTATTTTAATTGTCAATAGAAAAGTTACTCTGGCTCAAATGGGTGGATTTGTTTAAAAGTGTTCTTAGTTTACAGGTCAGGAGCTCAGGTTTGGTCTTGAGAAACATATGCCTGTCACAGCTAAAAGTTAACATTTTTTAAAAGTTTACAGCTAAATGTCAACATCTGAAAGAAATATTCAATCTACTCCTTGACTTATTATTATTGATCGTTTCCCTTCCAGGAAAGATCTGGGCTTCATATGTGGATTCACTGAATTCAAGACTCTCCCCTTTACGAGTTCTTTCTTTGCCTTCTCAGGAAAGCATTGGTAACCAGGGAATCTAGCTTTCTGATTAGGCTCCTTGGAAGGAATTAAAGTTTAATGTTAAACAAGAGGTCAGAAACTTAAAGAAGCTTTTAAATGCAAAGGAAGAGCTAGTATCTTATTTTGTTCCTCTCATCTACCTTTTACCCATATGCAAAGCATTCTCCTACCTACCTTTCGAGAGTTCTTATTAGGGTCCAACCCAGCCAGACTCCATAGTGTTCAGGAATTGGACTGCAACTGTGGTTACGGCCAGACTGGAAACAGAGGACCCAAATTGGTGCCTCTAGACATGTCGGGATTGGTGCTTAGTGTTGTTGTGGTAGTATAAATTGAATTTCATGCCTGCAAATAGGGCAGGTGCTCTCTGGTTTCCCATATTACCTACATACTCCAATTATCTGTCTCCTGAGCCAGTGCCTGATTTAACATATTTTGAGCTATTATAAAACTTAGTTTTTCTGGCCCAGCAAACTTAAAACAGAAAGAAGAGATGTAAAAACAGCCTTAACACAACTTCCTACTCTTATTCTCTACTTTTTCCATTTCAGAGGTCCCCCAATAAGCCATTATCACCATCTTGCTATTGAAAAACTGAGAACTCACACCAAAAAACTCACTTTGCTAATGTTTTAATTCATGGTGAGATTGAATAACTCAGCTGTTTTCTCTAATGCAGCAGATATAAGAAACATGACTAGAAACTGATTATCTTTTCCTCCTTTTATATGTTAATGGCTGTTGCCTAAAGGTGTATTTGGTCTTCACACAAATAGAAAAACTTCAATTTCTATAAATATTCTTTAAAATTGGTTCTTTAATAAGGTGAACTGCATAATATAGACCTCAGGTATTCTTCTTACTCTAGCACTCAGAGATTGTTGGTTCCTTGCATTAAAAACCTCAAGATGCAATGACTCTTTAACTCAAAATCGTTAACATCTAAGTTTTACTTCTACTATTTGTTAAAGTTATTTTCATAAATTTTGATGAAACATTTTGTTATTTTTGTTCATTTTAAGATGATTGAAATATAATCATAATTACTATTAATCCTTTTATCTTTTGAATAGAATATTTTGATTCGAGAGAGGGAGAAGGAAATGAGAGAATCCTAGCGTTGGCTTTGTACCTTAAAACAAACTATATGCTATTCCCTTTCTTTTCCTCTTCTCTTTTCTTATTTGGCTGAGAGTCAGGGGCTGAAGAGGATTAGAGGAGGAACTGATTGGGTTAAGGTGAGTCTTTGGGATAATTTATGCAGGTGAGGAGAGAGGAAAGGAAAGGCAGGAAAGCATGCCCAACTCCAATTTTTCTGTGGCTGTTTTTCCCCATTTCAGATTCTTTTGGCACATTTTATTTTCAATGAACATTCTAATCATTTTGATAGATTATTTAAAGTGAAAATGCATTAATTTTACATATTTTTGAATCTGTGTTTGCAGCTTTTTCGACCTTCTTATGGTTTTAACCTGACTGATCCCTATTGTCGACTTTTGGAAAACCAATATAAAAGCCTCCATGATCCACATTTAAAAGCATACTATAAGCGCAAAGATATTTTGAAGAGATTAAAGAAAGGTGGCTACATCACCAGCAATAATAAAGTGGGTTGAAAATTACTTCTTTTTTTAATCAATGAAACCCTTTAAAACTTGATATAAACTTGTTTCTGTACCTCACTCGGGGGGCCTGTGTCACTTTTAACTTGGTCATGAGACAATACTTAATAGGCAGTTCTATAAATTTCTCAGTATTTGAATCAAGAGAAATCAGACAACAGTTGTTGCTAAATGAAAGTACTTCTTCCTTCACCTTTTTTCTTTGTAATATAAAAAGATTATTGACAAATAATTTGAGAATACAAAGATATATTATTTTCCCACGTGTATTATAGCCTTCTTTCTCTGTCTTTAATGGCACTGTATACTTGTCAAGAATTATGTTCCATATACTTTTAAAAACTTGAGATGAAACAGAAACTTAGCAAAGTTCAATCTGTCAGAACCTTGATAGAGTATATTCTTATTGGAGTCGAACAATGTTATTACAATTATAATCCAATTACAGCTAATTGAAATTATTACTGTGATAACTAATTGTGTGCACTAAACTCCTTTTATGATATAAGTAATATTAATAAAGTAATATGTATATATTTTTTAGAGACAGGTTCTCACTTTGTTGCCTACACAGGAGTGCAATGGCGCAATCATGGCTCACTGCAGCCTGGACCTCCTGGGCTAAAGCTGTGTTCCTGCATCAGCATCCTGAGTAGCTGGGACTACAGGCACATGCCTCCCAGCTGGTTAATTTTTTTTTTTTAGAGATGGGGTCTTGCTATGTTGCCCAGGCTCATCTCAAACTCCTGGCCTCAAGAGATCCTCCTGCCTCAGCCTAAGTAATGTTTTTGGATAGAAATTTATTGCTGATTAACAAATGCAGAGAGATATTACTTACAAGATTGTTAGCAGTTTATTACTCTTTATGCCAAAATGTCATCAAATTTTATGTCACTGCTATTTTTTATTTTTAAATCAATTTAATGATTTAAAAATATATTTAAAATATTTATATAATATTAACATATCAAACATTTTTAAAATATCCATCTGTTTTCATTTTTGTTTGTAGGTTGTATGTACCTTGAGAGAATTGAATAAGTACAGGCAATATCTTACCAGTTTAAAATTAGACTTTGAGAGAAACTATATAAAAGAACAAGTAAGTTAAATACTTAAATTTGGTTTATTTACATAGAGTTTGGAAGAAATGCTTGATTATATGTAGAGTGTTCTTCTAATAATATTTTGATCCTTTATTATTGACAAAGTAATTGAATATTTTTTCCAAGTGAAAATTTACAGTAGGAATAAACAATATTTTAATTTTGCTATAGTTGGCCAAGAATGGGAAAGGGACTGGGTTATCTATCAACACACCAGTGGTAGCTGGCATAATTCAATAACTAAATTGCTAGTCAGATGTGTTGTTTCCCCCTGAGCTAATGCCAATAACAAACATCTCTTGTGGCAGAAAGATTCTTAAATTGAAACCTAAAACAGTTTGAGCCATAGGAAAAGAACAATAATTATCTGTAGTGTTCTACAGTGATTCAAGAATATGTACACTCTGTGTTTGTACTCATACACGTGCACCTGTAAAAATGTTGTTCTTGAATGTGAACAAAATGTTGTTCTTGAATGTGAAGTAGAATGATTGGGTGTAGAGTGAATGGTTATGGATAGTGACTTCCTTTTGATTTTTGACTTAAAGGTGTGTGTGTGTGGGGTGTGTGTGTGTGTGTGTGTTTGTGTGAATTCAGATTTTAGGGTCAAGAGGTTTGGATCAAAGTGAGAAAGGTATATTTACATGAGTGTTTGCAAATGTATGTCCTAACAATAAAAGGGTTAAATACAAACAAGAAAGACTTTAATATATTTCTAAGTATTCTGTATTTTCCCCACTTCATTCTGTGCCCAGTGTTTCTTCTCTACTTCCTGCATATTTTTATTTAACTTATTTAGAATAGGTAGACAAATAAACTGAAATGTTTACCTTTTATTTTCAGAGATAAATCTTAATTTTGGTTTACTTGTCTGTGTCTTTAATGGATTCAAAATAGATGTAAATGCAATTAAACAGAATTAAGCATTTATAAAATATATAAATTTAAATGGTTTTATTTCTGGGAAATGTAAAAAGCATTATATATATGTAATACACACATTTCTTAAATAGAGAATACTTGCAAAACAACTACATAACATACCGGAAAACAATCAAATCCCTCAACATTGTGATGTTGCACAAGTCCAAAACTGGTTGTTAAAGGAGGGCACTGAATCTATTAAGGACCAGGAGCGGCTGATGAGGCATAGGTAAGATTAAAGTTGAGGCATATTTTATGGGTATGTTGTGGACCCAAATAAGCTGGAAAATACTAGAAAGAATTGAAGACAATTTAAGTACTGGACACCATTCTCCTGGATCCCTCAGAGTGTAGAGGAAGGAAGTGAAACCAAGAGGTGGAAGAATTTTCTACCAGAGGGGTTAGGGTTGCTGGACGCCCAAGGGATAAGCCAAACTGGTTATTGAAAGAAAAATTAGATTCAAAATCTTTCTATATTAGAATATAGAAACAATATATTCAAACAATATATTCAAACAGTAACAGCTTTTTAAGATTCATCTTTAAGAACTGACAGCATTTTTTGAGGAAGTTAGTGCAAAGTCAAAAAAAGTAAGTTTGGAATAACTGATGCCAATATATAAATATGTGCTGTCTATAAAAAAGATTGTAAGCTCATTTAAATATGACTCAGTCATATTCAATCATGGCCATTCCATGGACAAGCCCATTTCTTAGGAAGTAAAGGATGTTATAGTTCTTTTTCCTTCACTAGGGATGCAGTAAGGAATTGGGCTGACTTTTATTACCTGACTTTTATATTCATTCCATGGTTTCATTATATGGTATTATTGCCATAATACATATTGATGTACCAGAGATCCAGACTACAGATGAGAGATTTGTTCAAGGACTTGTAAATTACAAGGAACCCAGTGCCCAGTTTTTCTTAGAGAATTCAAATGGACTGTTTTTTTTTTTCCACATTTGAAGTTACTGTTTCAGTTATTTCAGCCTTTTTTGCAAGGTCATATTCTTAAACCTACTGAGTTATGAATGCTTACTGTGCAAAATGTTTTGAGTAACTTTGCTCTGCTTTTTACCATTATCTTTGCCATTATATCAGATACTTGTGTAGTGGAGAGACCTTATAATAAGTAAAACATGGTGAGCTGGTGGGTTAGGCTGTTTTAAAGGTTTATAAACAGGACTGACAGAAAAACAGTAAAATTCTTGTAGTTCAAGAAATGAAAGGCAAGCAAGGAAGTGGTTTGGGAATGGCATAGCAGATGATGCCATCATAAAAGAAACAGCCAATTCACCTTTAGCAATATTTGCACTCTTACTCAGATATTTGGATATGATAAGTAGAAAACTAGAACAACTTGAACGCACAGCAGAAGAACAACGCCTATTCCTAATGGATAGAGAAGAAAGACGACAGCGGGAACACACAAGAAGAAAACTTACTCTTCGTAGAAAAATAGAAGAGGTGAGAGACAACAACTTTAAAATATTAACAGAAAAATTGTGTACAGTTGTTGCATTTGTAAATAATTTTAACTGTACATTGTGCTGCTTGAAGTCATTTCAGTTCAAAATAATTTGTTACCATTAAATTTTCTTCATAGCTATAATATACAAGTTGTTACATAAAATAATGAGGTGGATACCACAAAGTACGTATATAAGCCAATTTCTGCTCTTAAAGAACAGTTAGAAAGTTAACTAGACACTATTTAACTCTCTTAATGCCCTTATTGTGGAGACAAAATTTTTTTGAAATTTAGCTTTAGTAAAAAGTATCATATTTGCATTCCTAATAAGAGTGTAGTAAGAAAAGTATATTCTAAACCGAACGTATGCCTTTCATTATGCTTAACCTGATTTCTGTTAGGCCCTGACTTGTTTAATATACTTTTTGGTGGGACAAAATACAAAGATATTGTTGTGAAAGGCACACACACCAAGTGCAGTAACATTGTGATTTCTAGGAATGGAAGACAAAAGAGATGTTACTTCTGACAAGGATGGCAGAAGATGTTAAAAGAGAAGAGAGGATAGAAGAACAACAGCATAGAAACAGAGAAGAGAGTGACAGGAAGGTAGGGTGAGCTTTAACCTCTAACTTGAGCTGTTCGAAGAGAAGATTTTGTTTTGGTTTTTTGAAGTACAAATCACTTTGTGAGATGACTGTTGCCCAGTTACTCCAAATGATATGCATGATATAAAACTGCAAGTTATGGACATTTTTAGTATTTTTGACTATCATATAAAAAGTACTGCTCTATTATGTGATATAACTATTTTTGGCTTTATTTTTACACCATAAACCATACTTGTAATTACTATGAAAAAATTAAATGACTGATTAACTTTTTTTAGAACTAGCAGTTCTTTGTCAGATTTCTCAATTTTTCCTCACCAGTTAATTTTATTTAGCTTAACTTTTTATCTTTAATAATATATAAGATTTTGTGATTTAGAGTGTAAATCAATAAAAAGAAAGAGAAAAATCCTACCACCACCACCCTATCAACTTTTTAGTTCTCACATATACACATACACCCCCCAACAATGTTTCCAATAATATTTATTTTTTCCAATTAATAATTAAAAACAAGCATTGCAAGCTGTTCTGTAGGCTGTTTTTTTCATGTAATAAAATGCCATTGTCAACTTAGCATGTTGATAAATGTTGATCTAAAATTCTAAATGGCAATTTTAGGTAGGTTATTGTTAACAAACCTAGGTATGAATGTAAGATTTACACAATTTGGTTTGTATTGACATATACTGTTACATAGCAATTTTGTAAAAATATTGAAAGTTTAAATATGTATGCTTCTCTTTCATTCTGTTTGTTACCTGTACCTTTCAGTACCATCAGAGACTCACTGCTCATTTTGCAGGCTCAGCTTATTCCAATTTACCTGATTATTATTTTTCTTCTTTCTTTTTTGTTTTTCTTTCTTCTTTATTTTTATTTATTTATTTATTTTTTGTAGAGACAGGTTTTTGCTATGTTGCCCAGGCTGGTCTCAAACTCCTGAGCTCAAATGATTCTCCCACCTTGTCCTCCTGAAGGGCTGGGATTACAGGTGTCAGCCACCACGCCCAGCCATAATTATTATTAATATTTTCTAATACTCAGTTTTTCACTATTTTTCAATAAGAAGTCTCACCAAGTTGTCCTCTTCATTTTGCTCTAAAACTGCACATCTCTGGGCGGCAGAGCAAGACTCCATCTCAAAAAAAAAGAGAAAGTATCTTTGTTTTCCAGAAGCAATTGAATGCACTAGATTCTTCTCCTTTTGCCTAATGTCAATTACTACCCAAAGAATGTTGGTCAGTTTTAGTGAAGACTAATGCAACTGATCAAATCAGCCTGGGAGGAGTGCCCATTAGACGTGGTCACTGACTGTAAGCATGATAACACCACAGGCTGCCTAAGCTGTGCTAATGGCAGAGCCATTTGAACACTGATATTTCCAATGGAGTTATTTTACAATTGTCTTTTGTGAATCTTGTTTTACTGTAAGAAATTTTGAATTCCTTTGTGTTTCATTACATTATTATGTCATGATTTTCAGATTTGACATTATATATTTTTTCACTGCAAATTATGTCTTATCATAGTTTAGATTTTGCTCTTAATATCTTTGTCAAAAATTATTTGTATGGATCTATTTTTGGACTCTCTTCTATTCTTTGACCTATTTGTTTGATTGCTGTACCTTTAACAATTCTTTGAATCTGTCATGTCAGTCTTACACATTTTTCTATTTCAGTTGTTTTAGTTAATCCCAAGCCCTTTGTATTTCCATATAAATTATAGCATCAGCTTATTAATTTCTACCAAAACGTCTTGCTGAGTTTTTTTAATTGGATTTGCATTAACTCTATAGGTCAGTTTGGGCACAATTTACCTCTTTATAATATTGAGTTTTTCAACTCATGAACCACATATGTCGCTCCATTTATGTAGGTCTTCTTAATTTCTCTTAACAGTGCTATGTAGTTTGCAGTGTACTGTTCTTATATATCTTTTCATAAATTCATCCCTAGGTATTTCATACATTTTATGCTATTGTAATTTATATTTCTTAAATTTCAAACTTTGAATACTTAATGCTAGCATTTAGAAAAACATCTGATTTATTTATATTCATCTTGTGTCTTGCATTGTTAACAATCAATAATCAGTTCTAGTAGTTCTTTTTTCTAGATGCCAATTAATAGTTTACATAGATGATCATTTCTGTGAATAAAGGGAGTTTTATTTCTTCTGATGAGTTCCTTTAATTTTTTTTTCTTTCTTGATCACACTGCTTGAAACCTTCAGTATAATGCTGAATAGAAGCAGACATACTAGCTATTTTTGACTGGTGATTTGTTTGTTAGTGGCTCTCTTTGCTAGTGATCTCAAGGGGAAAGGATTAAGTCGTCGCCATTAATTTTAGGGTTAGGTATGGGTTTTTTTTACAGGTGTCATTCATTGGGATGAGGAAATTTTCTTATATTTCTAGTTTGCTGAACATTTCTATCAGAAATGGATGTAAGATTTTGTCAAACATTTTCTTCTGTGGTTTTATTGAATTCATATGTAGGTTTTCCTTTGTGGTTCATTGCTTAGTAGATAACATAAATTGATTTTTGAATGTTAAATGAATCCTGAACAAAAGATCATTAAACAAATATACTTGGTCTGATTGTATTATCATTTTACATATTGTTGTATTAAATTTGCCAACATTTTGTTTAGAATTTTGCACTAGAGATGTTAGTGCAAAATGTAGTTTTCTTGCACTACCCTTCTCTGATTTTGGTATCAGGGTAATGCTGGCCTTATACCATAAATCTCTATGTATTCCATCTTCAGATTTTTGAAAAAATTATTTTAGAATTGGTATTGTTTATTTTTTATATATTTTATGGAATTTATCAGTGAAGACATTTGGGTATGAGGTTTCTTTGTGGGGAGATACTTAACTACATACCTATTCAAAACATTCTTTTTAAAAGTTTTGATAGTGTATTCTAGGAATTGTTTCATTTCATCTGATTTGTGGGATTTATTGACAAAGTTGTTTATAACATTCCTTTGTTATCATTTGAGTATTTCTAGACTCTGGTGATGTCACCCACTTTCCTTACTGATATGGTAATTTGTAACTTCTTTTTTCCTTATCAGTCCTGGCTAGAGTTGCTTTTTCTTTTTCTTCTTATTTCTCTTTTTCTGATTTTCTCCAACTGCTAGTTTTTAGTTTTAATGCATTTCTCTGTTTTTTTTTTTTCTATTTTGTTGATTTCTGTTCTGATCTTTTTGTTAAATACCTTTTTTCTTTTTAGGTGGAAGTCATTAATTCAAGACCCTTCCTCTTTTCTAATACAGAAATTTAGTACTCTAAGTTTTTCCCTAACACTGGTCTATCAAGAGTCCCCAGATTTTTTTTGATATACGATGTTTTATATTTATTCAATTCAAAATACTTTAATTTCCCTTTTAATTTTATGTTTGATTCATTGGTTACTTAAAAATGTGTCATTTAGCTTCTAAATATTTGGAGTGTGTCCAAGATCTTTCTGTTATTGATTTCAAATTTGCTTTTATTGTAGTCAGAGAAAAGACTTTTATTTCCCAAATCTTTTTAAATATATTGAGATTATTTTATCATCCCAAACTCTGGTCATTTTGGGTAAATTACGAATGTACACCTGAAAAAAACTTCTTTCTACTGTTGTTGGGTGAAGTATTTTATAACTGTTCTCTAGATATCAAGTTCATTGATAGAATTGTTCAAATCCAAGTCCTAGCTCAATTTCTGTCTACTTGTTCTCTCAATTATTGAGAGAAAGAGTTATTAAAATCTCTGACTATATTTTTGGATTTGTCTAGTATCTCAGTTTTTGTTTTATTTGAAGCTCAGTATTAGGTAAAAAATGGCTAGAATTGTTATGTCTGTTGGTGATTTGATTTGTTTATTGTTATGAAAATATTTTATTTTCCTGTTATTATTCTTTGCTCTAATATTACATGTAATATTAACATTGCCACTTCAGCTTTACTTTGATTACTGTTAGCACGGCATATTATTTTCTTGTGTTTTACTTTTAAGACCAAATTTGGGTCTTTATTTTTCTGTGTGTGTGTGTGTGTGTGTGTGTGTGTGTGTGTGTGGTTACTACTCATATAGATGGGCTTTGGTTTCATATCAAATCTGACAACCGCCTGTAATTGAGGTGTTTGTAGCATTTACATTTAGTGCGATTATTAACATGATTAGTTTTATGTGTGTCATCTCATTATTTTTTTATTTGTCTCATCTATGTTCTTTTCTTCATTTTCTGCCTTTTTCTTTTGATTTTTAATGATCCCTTTGTATCTATTTTGTATATTGCTTCTTTGTTTGAAATTTACCAGTTGCTTTAAGGATTACAGTATATGTCTTTAATTTATTAGGGTAGCTCTTAAAGTGTTATTATACTGTATTATACCATTTCACATATAGTATAAGAGCTTTACAGTATTATGCTTTATTTTTTTCCCTTTGGCCTTTATGCTATTTTGGTCATTCATTTTATTTATATACATACACGTAATAATTCCCACAATACATTGCTAAGTTTGTCTAAACTATCATTTATCTTTTATCCTGATGTAAATAAGTCATATATTTGGCCAGATACTTAAAATTTTTTATGCTCTTCATTCTTTTTTTGTATACCCATATTTTCATCTGCTATCATTTTTTTTTCTGTCTGAAGGGCTTTCTTTAACATTGCTCCTAGTACAACTTACTTTTGTATGTCTGCAAAAGACTTATACTTTATTTTTGAAAACTTTTTTTTGAGTATATGTTGGTTAACATCAACTGGGTGTAGAATTCACCATTGACTTTTTTTTTTCTTTATTTTAGTACTTTAAAGATGCTGTTTAACTTTCTTCTCTACATTGATTCCAAGAAGAATTCTACTGTCTTTAAACTTTATTTTTCTCTATGTAACATGATTTGTTTTTCTGGAAACTTTAAAATTTTTCTTTTTATCCCTAGTTTTGAGAAATTTGATTATTATGACTTGGTGAAATTTTTCTTGTTTTCTACGCATTGGTGTTTTGGGCTTCTTGGACCTGTGGGTTTACGGTTTTCATCAAATTTGAAACATTTTAGGATATTATTATCTAATATTTATTTTATCTTTTCTCTCCTCTCTTCAGGCATATTAGGCTGCTTGAAGTTGTCCCATATCTCACTGAAATCTTTTCATTTATTCACTTCTCTATTAATGGATGTGCCATTAATACATCCATGGTATTGCTCATCTCACATATTTGAAAATTGCTTTTGGACCTTGTTATGTCTCCCATATCTCTTCTTCACTTTGTTTATATACAAATTGCAATCTTATGTTGCTGTATTGTTTCTTGTCTTTAATTCCAACATTTGTGTCATTTTTGAGTCCATTTCAGTTGATAGATCTACTTCTTTTATAAGTCATATTCCCCTGCTTCTTTACATGCCTAGTATTCTTTGATTGGATGCCAGACATGAATTTTACTTTGTATACTGAATATTTTTATCTTCTTATAAATATTATTTAGCTTTTTTGATGTAGATAATTTATTTGGAAACAATTTGATTGTACAGGTCTTGCCTTTTATGATTTGCTGGTGGGGTGAGAGCCATATTTTATCTGGGGCTAGTTGTTTCCTACTACTGAGTTAAGATCCATCTTAGTACTCTACTCAATGCCCTATGACTCATGAGGTTTTTCCAGTGAAATATTTCTAGGGGGAATAGGCATGTTTTCTATCCCTAGATAGGTTGCAGTGACTGTTTTCTCCAGTCCTTTAGGAAGATCTTTACTGTAGTCTTGGGTAGTTTTTTTTACATATGCTAATCCATTTTCTTGCTAAATACTGCAAGAACCCTCTAAGAATCTCTGGGGTTCATTCTGTATGGATTTATCTTGTTTCTAGTGCATTCAATACTAGCCCAGAAATTCACAAAGGGAAGTCACATTTTATGTACTATATTATGTTTACCTCTGGTAGACCTGAGTGATATTTGGTTAAGCCCTCAGGAATCTTCCAATTGAAGATGATTAAGAAATTACTTAAACTCACCAGGACAGGTATGAATAAGATACCCTGTCTGATCAGAAACTGAATTAGTTCTCTGATGGTATGTAGAGAGGTAAATTGCATACATGTTAAATATATTCTTTGTGTTTGATCACAAATGGAAATTTGCCCCTTACTACTCTCTTATTTTTGTACCATTACAAATCAAGACAGGACTGATTATCCATTTTCAAAATATTGTCACATTTTAAATGATTTGTTTTACATTTCTAAATGGCAAGTTAATATTAACCAATATATTTTCTTTAATATTGTAGAAACAAGATCTTCTAGAGAAAAAAATGGCTTATCATTTACAAAAAATGCAAGATACTGGCTTTAACGGAGAAGATATAGGAAAAAATACATTTAAATACAGAGGTCAAGATGGAACACATGGTGAATGTGAGAACATTAAAAGATGATGTAGCTAAGTAGAAAATGATTATCTATGTAAAAATCCTTGTGTAATACTCTGTGTATTTACACTTGTTTCTCCCTTTGTGCCAGACATTGTTCTAGGCATTTCTGTAGTATAGTTCAAGTTGAAAAGTAGGCATATATGTAACAATGATAACAAATTATAACAATCTCATCAATTGGCTCAGGAGACAGTCTTGCCTGTACTGCATTTGTAACCAACCTCCCTATATTTAAAGTAATTACTAAAATGATACAAACTTGTATCTAGGATAACCACTATTATATACCAACATGGTGTTCTATTATGTTGACAACCAGTAAGAAAGGGAGGTAGTACAGAATTAGGAAAAAAAAGAAGGAAGAAATAAATGAAGAAAGAAAAAATGAAGAAAGTTTCAAAGGAGGAATGGCTTTGTTATGCCCGGCCTCTACCAGCTTCCTTTATTTATAACATTATAAAATTACAATGGGTTTTTCGCTTCGATATTAGATAAAATTTCATGGCCAGAATGCAAAAATGTAGACTTGTTTTAACTATCTTTGACTGTGTAGTACCAGGAAAGAAACTGATTATTTTCCATGCAGCTATTGTCATAGTATCTCATCAATCCCATTTCTAGGTCAGAGCTTTCCTGTGTCACTCCAGTAGATTACCAACTAGCCTCTGTTGAGTCTTCTTTTTACCTGCCTCAAATCCATTTTGTACTGTCGCTTGCTACATTTAAAACTCTGTTCTCATGGTTTCTTCCTCCACCCTTAAAGCTATTACCTATTAAATGAAGCTCAGACTGCTTCAGCAAGCATTTATCAGCATCTAGAGTTCAGTCTTCACCTAACTTTTCAACTTTATTTTACACTACATCCTTGAAGATGGCAGCTATGATCTAGTGGTGATATGCACAGGCTCTGGAATTGGACTGTGGAAGTCCAATCCTGTTTCATCATTTTCTAGCGATGTTATGGCTTGGGCAAATTATTTAACCTCCCTAAGCCAGTTTCGTTATCTGCAAATGAAGATAATACTCCTAGATAATTCCTATAAAGAGTGTAAAAATTCTAGCATATAGTAAGAACTTAATTTATTTTGTTGTTTAGTTAAATTAGACTACTGATCATTCCTAAAACACATGTTACCTTTCCGACTTCTCTGCCTCTCTGTATCCAATTTTTCTCAATTTAGAATGACCTGATTACCGTCTCCATTTATCAAAATCCTACAGTTCTTTAAGCCCCACTGTAAATTACATGCCAAAAAGTCATTGTTGATAACCCTAACTGGAAGGTCCCTTTTCTGTGAATCTCTCAAGTAGTTTGCACCACTTTTAATTCACTTATTACATACTTCCCGCTGTCTTAATCATTTATAATAGTAAACTCCCACCTTTGTATTCAATAGAACACCATGCAAAGCATATACACTAAGTACACGTTTGCTAAATTGATTAATTCTATCTGTTTAGTTCATTGAGGCAATGACAGCAATATCATGCCTCAGATATGAAATCACTTCAGTAACTATAAAAATTCCTACATCTTCATTAACTTTCTCATATAGTAGGAATAATTTCTGTAGCTTAAACATTTGTTATTTAGATACACTGTTGAAGAAGAAGTAGTATGAAAATGAGTTTAATTTATATTATCAAAGAGTCAGAATAGAAAGAATATCCATGGCACAAATTAAATTGAATTATACCACTATGGTAATGTTGTTATCTTCCAACAAGTAAACAACTTCTAGTGGGACAGAGAAAGTAAAAGAAAGGAAGTATCAGAAGAATCTGCTCAGTGATCAGTGAATGGGGAAACAGATCACTCTTATAGTTTACATCTCTAATAACAGCCCCTTGAGCACACATGCAGTGAGGACCTTTTGCCACCTTAATAGTTAGAAAAGCAAAACTACAATTACATTTATTACAAAGAAGGGAATATATATGTGCATTTGCTTATGCCAGGCAGCAAGGCATATCCAAGAATTACAGCAGTCACTGTGGACTGCTGAGTCTTCAGCCCAGCCACTATGTTGTTATGCACCCAGATGGAAAATGACATGTTTCAGTTGAGCCAGGTGCAGATTTCCTTTTCTGCTAGAAAAACATTCTATCCCTCCAAATGTATCTTTTAATATTAAGGGATAATATTTCAAGAATTGTCTTTTCTCCCATTTCACATCACTGTATCTTCTCCAATTTTTCTCGCAATCCCACATACAGATTAGCATATAGTTCAGCTCCTCTTGGGCATAAAAGGATAAGTAGTCTATCTTGGGTAATTCTGTCATCATCATAAGTAAAAATAAATGTTTTATTATATTTCTTTAAGCTTCTCCAAAGAATAAAAAGAAGACTTCTGAAGATATAATGTTAGTTTATCCTGCTGGAGACCAGAATACATATAAAGAAACACATGGTAATTGAATATTGTGACAAGAAACACTAGATACTAAACAATAATTTGGGGGAAAGACAGTTTTGTAACAACTTTTTTCACTTAAGTGCAGACAAATCCTGTTTTCTTTTTATCAAATAACTGATTTTGAGTGACGCTTATCAAGAGCTATGTGGCCTTTATTGCTTTTAGAATTTGATAACCAGATAATTGATTTACTGTTTTGAACCTGACATTATATTATTATTTTAGAAAATTAAATGAAGGTTATGTTACTATTAAATATATAATACAGCATGCCTACCAACTTGCAGAAAATATTTTTGCTCAAAATAATCTCAGAAAACTCTGAAATATGTCAGAAATTAAGTATATTTACTCCAGATTCACTGTGGCCTTTAATGTAACATCACTTTATTATCTTTTAACTTATGTTATGTCACTTCATGTTGTTCATTAGAGCTCATTGAAAGATTATAAGCCCAAATTACAATATAAAAATCCTCCAAAAAATATTACCAGAGTATGACTGTTCAAAAACTGAACAGTATAACTAATCTCCCATTATTAAATTTCAAAGAAAAAATTAACATATAAATGTTAAATTTCTTGGCCTTATTGGTTAAAAAATAAAAGAAATACTGTTTAAAATCTTTTCTTCCCGAGTATGCAATTTGCTTAGTTTTCATCAAGAGTCTGAAATGTTGGAAGAGATAGGGTTGCCTTAGCCTAGGATGTCTTTCTGCCTCAGAATCACTGAGGTTCAGTTAATTTAACTCCAGAATTCATGGGTCCCATTTTTAAAGTTCAGCTTTTACAACATACCAAAGGATTATTTACAACTGGCAAATTTATGGCAATACCAGCTCTACATCTTATACTAAATGTAGACAATAAAACTAAGTTATCAATTTCTAAAGCAGTTATCTCAAGCAAACTGATCCTGTAAAAATCTGGTGTTTAATGCATCCCAGGCTGATCTTACTGTTGTCAAAGAACCTCAGTGACATTTCAGGAAAGGATGGTCAATGGAAAATATTGTTTTTAGCCTCACTGCAATACCAGTTTATCGTGACAATTGTCTGGAGAACAGACCTGTAAATTTAATTAAACATGGTTGGGAGAAATATCCTATTGAAAGATGAAATGTAAAGTAATGTGATTCATATCAGAATTGGGTGGAGGGGGTTATGTGTATCTACTCTCTTGTTTCAGTGAAGGGTATGTGAGTCATTGTAGGCTTTTTGTGAATTTTAAAAATACACAGTAGTGACATCACAAGTCATCATATGTTTTTAGAGGTGCTCCTCTTTCCCACTCACCATAATCAGGTCTTCCTGGTTTCCATTTCATCATTGAGTCATGAGTGTGAACTCTGTACAGTGTCACATCCTCTATACTCTTATGAGAAATTTGCCCCATACAGTTTTGCAGCTGGTGATTCTCCAAGCAGAGTTTGAAGTCAATTTCCTGCTCCAGCTTCTTAGCTTGTCTTTGTATTTTTTCATTCCCAGAAAAGATCTCAAGGCATTTATTTTGGTTTTTAGATTACCCTAAAGCAAAATGGAACATTTTGTACAATTACATGTATAAACAGATGTATAGATTTGTGTAACCAATATCACAATCATATGTAGAACAGTCCAGCATTCCAGAAATCTCCCTCATGCTGTTTATTTGCAGTCACACCCTCCTTCCTCCAACTAATAATCCCAGATTACCTCTGGGATTATTAGTTATGTTACCTCTGGGATTATTATCAAATAGTAATATGTTCTCATAACTATAGTTCATTTTCTGTTGGAGAGTGTCATATAAATGGAATCATACATTATGTAACTTTATAAAAATGGCTTCTTTTACTCAGCATAATACCCTGAAATTCATCCAAGTTACAGCATGTGTCAATAGTTTGTTCCTTTCCATTGTATGGATGCACCAGTTTGTTTTTTCATTCTTCAATCAAAAGAAATTTGAAATTTTGGGTTGTTTCCATGTTCGGGTGATTATGTATTGAATGACTAGAAGTACAGTTGATGTTTGAACATCAAGGGGTGATAGTTGAAGTACGGACCCCTTGCACAGTAAAAAAAAACTACATTTAACTTTTGGCTCCCCAGAAACTTACTAACAGCCCACCATTGACCTTACTGAAAACATAAAATGTCGAGTAACACATATTATGTATGTTATATGTATTATATACTATAATCTTACAATAAAGTAAACTATAGAAAAGAAAATGTTATTAAATTGAAAAAGTCATAGGAAGAGAAAATGTAATGTATTTACTATTAAGTGAAAATGGATCATCGTTAAGGTCTTCATCCTCATTGTCTTCATGTTGTAACACCTCTGGCCAGTGGAAGCACCTTTGTTATAGCTCTAGAGGTATTTTTGGCTTAACCCTAGTGGTCTTTGATATCTTCCTTGCTACCTGGGAAGACAGGAAGATCCTAGCTTATCTTGTACAAATCTAGTTGCTTTGGCAACTTTGAAAATATAAAGTGATCATCGATAGCTGGGCCTATTTCTAAACATTCTCTTCCATTCTATTGATGTATTTATCTGTCTTTATGCAAATACCTCAATTTTCTTCATTTTTGTGGCTTTATAATAAGTTTTGAAATTTGGCGGTTTGAGTTATCCAATGTTAGTTGTTATACTAGGTTGACTTGGTTATTCTAGAGCCTTTGCATTTCTATACAAATTTTAAAAACAACTTGCCAATTTTTACAAAATAGCTTGCTGCAATTTTGTTGGGATTCACTTTTCATTTATTTCTCTCTGTCTAGGACCTCCAGTACAATGTTGAACAGCAGTGGTGATTGTGTACATCTTAATATTGTTCCAAAACATAAGGGAAAGTGATACATATGAATTAGGATATCAGCTCTAGATATTTAAATATAGCCTTTGTTAGAAAAAGACATCCCCTTTTTTCTTAGTTCACTAAGAAGTTGTATCATTAATGGGTGTTGAATTGTATCATACTTTTTCTGTGACTTTGACATAATCACACGAATCTGCTCCTTTTTTCTGTTAATATTATAAATTACTTTGATTTTTGAATGAATCAAATTACTTTTGATTTTCTTCATTCCTTGGATAAACTCTACTTATTCATAATGCATAATTTTTATTACATATTATAATATATATTATTAACATATTTTAATATACTTATATTTATTAAAATTATATTATACAGAAATATATATTCACATATATTTATATTATATTATTTACAGTATATAATATATAAGATAATTAACTTTTTTATAATTATAAATAAGTATTAAAATTATAATTTACTATATTTATGATATAATTATGATTACTATATTATTAATATAATGGTCAGTATAATATTAATAATATTGTTATATATTATATATATTATATATTATACATAATATTTATTATTTGTTTTGTTTATAATTCTTGCATGTTTGCTCATGGGGGAATTGAACGAATTTTTAATTTATTATAATGCCTTGTATATTTTGTATAAAAGTGATTCTGATGTCAGTGTATGAGATAGAAAATGTTCACTCTTCTTCAATTTCCTGGAAGAGTTTGTGTAAAATTAGCATAATTTCTTGCTTAAATATTTAGCACAATTCAGAGGTGAGGTCACTTGAGTCTAGAGCTTTTTTGTGGAAAGGTTTAAACCTCATATTCAATTTCTTTGCTACAGGGCTCTTCATATTATCTATTTATTTGTGATGAGACATGATCATTTGGATTTTTCAGAGAATTTGTTCCTTGTATCTATTTTCAAATTTATTGGCATACATTTTTCATGTATTTCTTTATTATTTCATTTATTAATTATCTGTAAATTCTATTTTGCTGATTTGTGGCTTTATTTGTTTTTGGCTTATTACTTACTAAATATCTTAATTAGCCAGTTTTTTATTTCATTCTTTCTCTCTCTTTTTATGTTTTTAAAAAATTTTACTTTGATATTTATTTTTCTGCTAAGTGTTGGCAAGGATGTGAAAGAACTGAAACTCTGATGCACTGCTGATTGATATGTAAAATGGTACAACGACATTGAAAAACTGGTTTGGCTTTTTATTTAAGTTAAACCTATATTTACCATGTGACCAGTCACTCAGCTACTAGGTATTTACCCAGTAAAAATGAAAAAAAAATGTGTTCACACATGACCTGTACATGAAAGTTCAAAGAAATTTATTATTTATAAATTTTATTTATAATAAAATAAAATTTATATTTATTATAATAAAATAATATAAACAAGTAAACTAAATAAATATTTATTTATAAAAACTGGAAACAATCCAAATGTCCATCAACAGGTAAGTGGATAAAAAATTATAGCATAGCCATACAATAGAATTCTTCTCAGAAATGAAAAAGAAAAGCAATACCATTGATACATGCAACAACGTTGTCCTGAGTGAAAGAAGCCAGGGAAATATGAAATTCTAGAAAGCGCAAACTAATCTTGAGTTAGTGGTATAGATCAGTGTTGTTGGAGTATGAGAACAGAGAGATGGATAAATCACAAAGTTGCATTAGAAAACTTCTAGGGATAATAGACATGTTATCTTGAATGCAGTGATGGTTTCACAGTTGGATACATATTTCCAAGTCAATTAAATAATTAAATAGATACAATTTATTGTACTTTGATTGTACTTTCCTAAAGCTGTTAAAAAAAAAAAAAACTATAGAGTTTCTCTCTCGTTTTCTTTTAGGACATACAGCAAATGCTGCTCATCAGCGTCAAAATAGTTCAAATAATTTTACGAAAAAAAACTCAGCTTCTGTTGTTTATCAGGCAGATGTACAGGATAATGGTATAAATCAAAAGGTATACAATTATGCTTTAAAGTTTTGTGTTGTATTTATTAATTTATCTACTTAACTTTTATTTCTATGAACTCTCTCCTTCAGCAGCATAGTACTGATTGTTTAGGGATACTGAGTTTTATTCATGAAACATGATCCATTTTCCTGGCAGAAAAAGTGTTAAGTTAGCTTTGTGCTAAACACACTACGGATTTTAGCAGAAAATAACCCAAACAAACATTTGGCAGTAATAATAATAATGACAGCTTGCATTTATTGAGCATATACTATTGACTAGGTGTTGTACTAAGCTAGAATGAAGGAAAACAATAATTGGGTAATATAAGATAAATTAAATATAAGAAATTGGGTAATATAAGATAAAAAGAATAAGACATAATTGCTCCTCTAAAAGACTCATTGTCTAGTGAGGCAGCAGACACAGAAAGATACTATTCCAATAAAATTATCCTGGAATGATGAATTTTACTTTGGTTCTAAACAGTGTTTTTAATAAGCATTACACTGGTTTGGACTGGGTATGAATGGATTACATTGGATTTCTCTGAGACAAACTGAATGAATCTAAACTTTTTAGAACCAACCACAGCATGTATTACCATGCCTTTAGGCAAAGTAGGAAGACTGGAGAAGAAGTAAGTTTATACATTGCTACATATTGAACTCAGTTTTGGACTAGTTAAACTTGAGATTATATGAAAGGTATCCTAGGAGGTTGATGATATGTATTTTACCTAAACAGTTTTTATGAGTTACTGGTTAAAAGAGGGAAAACATCTGTATTCATTGGTTAATTGATAGAAGGCAGAATCTTTTTTGGAAGTACAGTTACTAATGTAATTTTTTCTCTTCAATGTGGTACCATGTAGAGAGATGGGATGGTATCTAAAAACTCAAGTATTTTCGATGATAGAGGTAAGAAAATAAACAATAGTCATAATTTTTCTGTTATTAGGCATGCAATTATAGTTTTATTATATATTTTAAGTTGTTTTATCTGATTATAAAAATATGCTTATTCTAAAAAATTAAGGCTGATATAAATTTTTTATGAATATAGATATTATAATTAGCCCATATATTTGAGTGATTGCTGGATGAGTGTGCCTTTTGGAATTTGCAAAGTGTGGAAAAGATAGGGTCCTTGCTGTAGCTGTTTGTAGTTACAGATAAAGACGCTGGCATAGTGGCTTCAGGAGATTGGAATACAAAGAACTATCCCCAAGATTGTTTCCATATTTCACTGCCATTAATTTCCAACAAATGATACATTTTGTTTCCCATTTGTCTTTAAATGAAATATTCATTACCCAATATCTGTGTGCCTTGTTATGTTTATGCAAGTCACTAAAAATACTCACATACATATCTGACATATGCATACAGAAAACATGAGACATCTTCCTCCAGTTGCTAAGGATCACCTCAAATTTAATACAAAACTCAATTCATCATCATCTTCCTGACCCTTTTATTTCACCCAGGCACAAAACCTAAGTTGCCTTGGACTCTTCCTTTTATATTTTGTATCTAAAAGTTCACATTTTCTGCCTATTCTACTTCCTTAATTTATTTTGATCTTCACTTTTTTCCATTCCCTTTGCTCCTACCCTTGTTTTCTCCATTCTTCACTATTGCAGTAATCTTCCTCCAATTTCATCTTCCTCTTTTTAACCCACTATACATTTTTCTATGAAACAATCTTCCTAAATCACAGCTTTGTTTATTTCACTATCCAGATGATTTTTCATTGCCTAATTACTCAAATGCAAAAAGTTAATTCTAGCGGTAGGCTGTGGTTATAGCAGAAGATTAAGCTGGCATAAAACATTAAATAAGGATTTCAGGCTTGTCTTTGAAGGCAATGGGAACCACTGGAAATTTGTAGGCAGTAAACATCAAAAAAGACGTGTTATTTTTGGAGATATTTCCTTGACTCAAATAAATCCCTGATTGTGGCAATTCTAGTCACTGTGGCAGCTGAGCAGGGAGAATGTTGGAGTAATGCTGTAAATTAATATTAACCCTTGTCCCAGCAATATCAGCTTCTCATATTTAAAGTTATCTCTTCTTTCTCTAGGAGGTATAAATATTTCAGGCCAAGGTTCAATTATTTCAGCGCAGGTATCACCCACGAGAAATTTTTCCAGAGTTTCACAGGCATTTTTGGATCCTTCAAAAGAAGAGGTATATAACAGTTCTTTTACCCCAAATACAAACACAATAAAAGGGATATGATCTTATGGTCATAATTGGTATAAAATGTCATGATTTATGTAACCATACAAAACAACTTTATTCCCTGAAATTAGTCATACAATAATAACGTTTTAATAGCCCTTGAACAGTCTGCTTAAATGTAAGCTACAAGATGTTAGTTCATGGTACGTATCTACAACTTTTAGAGGAAGTATAAAGTTGGACTTCTTTGACTGGGCTTGTACAGTAATGATTTAGTACTTTTTGACCAGTGATCAGTTACCTGCTGTTCGAGAGATACCAGCAAAGATTCAGGGTATAGCTTTTGGACATGAAATAGATTTTTTTCTGTGGGTTGCCAACTTGTTACAGGAATCAAACATGTATCTTTGGTTTCATCATTAGTATAGTATTAACTAGCTCAACTGCCCTAGGGAGTTAATGTGGTTTGAAATAGATTTCAATAAACTAGAAATGTACTAAATTATTTCCAAAAGAATTCTTCATAACTAGAGTAGAAAGTGGCATCATTTTCCATGTCCTAGAATGCATAATAATTGAGACACTAAATTATGTATAACTCCTAAAATGTAGTATGTTTACCACAATGCGATTTTCTGTAGTGCAGTTTTATAATAAACATTTGACAAATGTACATCAGGTTTAGTTCACTGTTCTACCATATCAATAGCCACATTAAATATGCTAAGAATAAAAAAAAATTTTTTAACAGCTTTGACATTGGGTGTCATATTGGCCAAAATATTATAAAGGCTATGCCCTTAACTTAAAAAAAATTCCTTTAAAAACAGTGTCTAAATTTTATTACTGACCTTTTTAGGGTAATGTGTGCACTATCAGCATTGCCATCCATATTAAATCTTAGATTGCCATCCATATTAAATCTTAGATGTGTTAGATGAAAGTACAACTATATGCTAAATCCCAAAGTCTCAGCAAATTACCAAATGTGTAGGTGGTTTTAAGTACAACTTTTGATACAACTATGAACTTTGAATTCTATAAATAATACCTGTAATATAAACATAATAAAAACGTGCATTTCTTATAAATTGACATTAAAGAGAAATTCTCAAAATCTTAAATTTCTGTACTATAAATATAGAAATAATAGTTGATGTTTGAGTCCTAAAATTTTTTTTTGTGGATCTATTTGTTTTGCTGTTGTGAATTATGTAGAAGGAGACAAATGCTGATTGGGATGGAAGACCAACCAAGAGATCAAGCTATCTCTGCGAATCAGGTAAATATCAGCAGTAATTATTGAGTAAATCTTGCATTCTATTTATTCTTTCAACTGACATTTACTGAGTTTTTGCTTCATGTTAGATATGGTGCTAAGTTTTAATCATTCAAGGAAAAATGGCACAATTTTTGCTCAGGGTTCTTACAGTATACTTGGAAAGATAGTCATGGCCCAATATGATAAGAGCAATAAAGGAAGTGGGTATGTGTAAAAGCTGGGAAAGTTATGGGAAAGAGAATGCATAGACCTATCTAGGGTCATCATAGAAGCCTTTATAATTTAGAAAGAGACTGCGTTGAGACATGAAGGATCAGAAGGAATTTCCTATTTTCTTTTTGTTATTTTTATTGTTTGTACTAATGTTGACAACCAAAATTTGCAAAAAAATTAAAGTTTTTGTACTCATATCCTTATACTTACTGTTTTCTGCTTTTACAGCAGCTTCTCTCCCACACCACAACTTTATTAAGGTATAGTGGATAATTTAAAACTGTATATATTGACGGTACAGATGGTCCCCAACTTGTAATGATTCAATTTAGGGTTTTTCAACTTTACTGTCGGTTTATTGGGGTATTAAATGCATTCTCAGCTTACAATATTTTTGACTTACAATTGGCTAATCAAGATGTAACACCATCATAAGACAAGGAGAATCATATACAACTTGATATGTGTATATACAGTAAAGTGTTCACCACAAGCAAGCCAATTAACATATCCTCACTTCATGTAGTTACTATTTGTGTGTGGTGGCAGAAGAACACTTAAGAGCTACTCTCTTTCTACATATGGCTAGCCAGTTTTCCCAGCACCATTTATTAAATAGGGAATCCTTTCCCCATTGCTTGTTTTTCTCAGGTTTGTCAAAGATCAGATAGTTGTAGATATGCGGCGTTATTTCTGAGGGCTCTGTTCTGTTCCATTGATCTATATCTTTGTTTTGGTACCAGTACCATGCTGTTTTGGTTACTGTAGCCTTGTAGTATAGTTTGAAGTCAGGTAGTGTGATGCCTCCAGCTTTGTTCTTTTGGCTTAGGATTGAATTGGTGATGCGGGCTCTTTTTTGGTTCCATATGAACTTTAAAGTAGTTTTTTCCAATTCTGTGAAGAAAGTCATCGGTAGCTTGATGGGGATGGCATTGAATCTATAAATTACCTTGGGCAGTATGGCCATTTTCACGATATTGATTCTTCCTACCCATGAGCATGGAATGTTCTTCTATTTGTTTGTATCCTCTTTTATTTCCTTGAGCAGCGGTTTGTAGTTCTCCTTGAAGAGGTCCTTCACATCCCTTGTAAGTTGGATTCCTAGGTATTTTATTCTCTTTGAAGCAATTGTGAATGGGAGTTCACTCATGATTTGGCTCTCTGTTTGTCTGTTGTTGGTGTATAAGAATGCTTGTGATTTTTGTACATTGATTTTGTATCCTGAGACTTTGCTGAAGTTGCTTATCAGCTTAAGGAGATTTTGGGCTGAGACAATGGGGTTTTCTAGATATACAGTCATGTCGTCTGCAAACAGGGACAATTTGACTTCCTCTTTTCCTAATTGAATAACCTGGATCCCTTCCTTACACCTTATACAAAAATCAATTCAAGATGGATTAAAGACTTAAACGTTAGACCTAAAACCATAAAAACCCTAGAAGAAAACCTAGGCATTACCATTCGGGACATAGGCATGGGCAAGGACTTCATGTCTAAAACACCAAAAGCAATGGCAACAAAAGCCAAAATTGACAAATGGGATCTAATTAAACTAAAGAGCTTCTGCACAGCAAAAGAAACTACCATCAGAGTGAACAGGCAACCTACAAAATGGGAGAAAATTTTCGCAACCTACTCATCTGACAAAGGGCTAATAACCAGAATCTACAATGAACTCAAACAAATTTACAAGAAAAAAACAAACAACCCCATCAAAAAGTGGGTGAAGGACATGAACAGACACTTCTCAAAAGAAGACATTTATGCAGCCAAAAAACACATGAAAAAATGCTCACCATCACTGGCCATCAGAGAAATGCAAATCAAAACCACAATGAGATACCATCTCACACCAGTTAGAATGGCAAGCATTAAAAAGTCAGGAAACAACAGGTGCTGGAAAGGATGTGGAGAAATAGGAACACTTTTACACTGTTGGTGGGACTGTAAACTAGTTCAACCATTGTGGAAGTCAGTGTGACGATTCCTCAGGGATCTAGAACTGGAAATACCATTTGACCCAGCCATCCCATTACTGGGTATATACCCAAAGGACTATAAATCATGCTGCTATAAAGACACACGCACACGTATGTTTATTGTGGCATTATTCACAATAGCAAAGACTTGGAACCAACCCAAATGTCCAACAATGATAGACTGGATTAAGAAAATGTGGCACATATACACCATGGAATACTATGCAGCCATAAAAAATGATGAGTTCATGTCCTTTGTAGGGACATGGATGAAATTGGAAATCATCATTCTCAGTAAACTATCGCAAGAACAAAAAACCAAACACCGCATATTCTCACTCATAGGTGGGAATTGAACAATGAGATCACATGGACACAGGAAGGGGAATATCACACTCTGGGGACTGTTGTGGGGTGGGGGCAGGGGGGAGGGATAGCATCGGGAGATATACCTAATGCTAGATGACGAGTTAGTGGGTGCAGCGCACCAGCATGGCACATGTATACATATGTAACTAACCTGCACAATGTGCACATGTACCCTAAAACTTAAAGTATAATAAAAAATAAAAATAAAAAAATAAAAAATAAAAAAAAGAGCTACTCTTAGCAGTTTTTAATGACACAATATTGTTAACTACAGTCACACTGTTGTACATTAGATCTTCCACACTTATTCATCTTATATATCCTCCTCCCCATAACTCCTGGTAACCACCATTCTATTCTCTGTTCCTATGAGCTTGACATTTTTATATAACACATATAAATCATGCCGTTTTTAGTCTTTCTGCATTTAGCTTATTACACTTAGCATGATGTTCTCCAAGTTCTTTGATGTTGTCACAAATGGCAGGATTTCCTTTGTTTGAAAGGCTAAATAGTATTGTATTATATCTGTCTGTCTGTCTGTCTGTCTGTGTATCTGTGTTTATTTATACATCTACTTAGACAGATAGATCTATCTCTTGGTATATATCAGATTTTCTTTATGCCCTCATCTGTTGATGTACATTTGTTTCTATATATTAGCTATTGTGAATAATGCTGCAGTAAACATGAGAGTGCAGATATCTCTTCAACATACTGAAAACATAACGAAAACATATGATTTCATTTCCTTTGGATATGTACCCAGAAGTTGAATTGCTAGATCGATCATAAGGTAATTGTTGAGGAACCTTCATACTGTTTTCTACAATGTCTGTACAAATTTACATTTCTACCAACTATGTGCAAGGATTTCTTTTTCTTCACAATCTTGCCAATACTTGTTGTCTTTTACTTTTTTGATAATAGGCATTCTAAGAGATGTGAAGTGGTATATCATTATGGTTTTGATTGTATTTTTATTTTTAATAATTTTTTTTTACTATTGAGTTGTTTCAGATTTTTATATGCTTGGGATAATAACACCTTATCAGATATATGGTTTACAAGTATTTTATACAATTCTGTAGGTTGCTTTCTCACTTTATTGTTTTACAGCAATGCAAAAACTTTTTAACTTGATGCAATCTCATTTTTCTATTTTTGCTTTTATTGCCTGTGCATTTAGTGCCATACCCAAACATTTATTGCCCAGATCAACATCAAGAAGCTTTGTATGTTCTCTCTTACACTTTTATGCCTTAAGGCCTTATGTTTATATCTTTAATTCATTTTTTGTTATTTTTTGTATATGATGTGAGGTAAGGGTCCAATTTAATTCTTCTGCCTGTGGACATACCGTTTTCCCAACAACATTTATTGAAAAAATTATCTTTCCCTATTGTTTCTTTTTTATGTTATTTTTAATTGGCATATAGTTATTTTCCATATTTATGTTGTTTTATTTTATTTTTAATGGGCAAATAGTTATTTTCTTTATTAAGAAAATCTTTATTTTAGGCTGAGTCATACATGTGCGGGTTTGTTTTACAGATAAACTTATGTCATGAGGGTTTGTTGTACAGATTATTTCATCACTCTGGTACTAAGCCTAATACTAGTACTCAATCATTATTTTTTCTGATCCTCTCCCTGCTCCAACCCTCTACCACAGTGTGGCCTCGGTGTCATTCCCCTCTTCGAGTCCATGTTTTCTCATCATTTAGCTCCCACTTATAAGTGAGAACATGCGGATTTGGTTTTCTGTTCCTGTGTTAGTTTGCTAAGGACAATGGCCTCCAGCTCCATCCATGTTCCTGCAAAGGACATGATCTAATTCTTTTCCATGGCTGCATAGTATTCTATGGTATATATGTGCCATATTTTTAAAAATCTAGTCTACCATTGGTGAACATTTAGGTTGATTCCATGTCTTTGCTATTGTGAGTAATGTGCTGCAATGAACATACACATGCGTGTGTCTTTATGATAGAATGGTGTATGGTTCCTTTGGGTATATAGCCAGTAATGGGATCTCAGGGTCAAATGGTAGTTCTGTTTTTAGCTCTTTGAGGAATCATCACACGACTTTCCACAGTGGTTGAATTAATTTACACTCCCACCAACAATGTATAAATGTTCCCTTTTCTCTGCAACCTTGCCAGCATCTATTATTTTCTTTTTAATACTAACCATCCTGACTGGTGCAAGATGGTATCTCATTGTGATTTTGATTTGCATTTATCTAATGATCAGTGATATTGGGCTTTTTTAAATATGCTGCTGACTGCATGTTTATCTTATTTTGAAAAGTGTCTGTTCATATCCTTTGCCCTCTTTTTAATGGAATTTTTTTTCTTATAAATTTAAGTTACTTACAGATGCTGAATATTAGACTCTTGCCAGATGCATAGTTTGCAAATATTTTTTCCCATTTTCTAGGTTGTCTGTTTACTGTATTACTAGTTTCTTTTGCTGTGCAGAAGCTCTTTAGTTTCAGTAGATCCCATTTGTCAATTTTTGCCTTTGTTGCAATTGCTTTTGGCATCTTCTTCATGAAACCTTCGTCAGTTCCTATGTCCTGAATGGTATTGCCTATGTTGTCTTCCAAGGTTTTTATAAATAGAGTTTTACATTTCAGTCTTTAATCCATCTTGTGTTGATTTCTGTATAGGAGGGGCCCAGTTTTGATCTTCCGCATATGGCTAGCCAGTTATTCCAGAACCATTTATTGAATAGGGAATCCTTTCCCCATTGCTTGTTTTTGTCAGCTTTGTCAAAGATCAGATGGTTGCAGGCCTATATATCTATTTTTGTACCAATACCATGCTGTTTGGTTACTGTAGACCTGTAGTATACTTTGAATTCAGGTAGCTTGATGCCTCCTGCTTTGTTCTTTTTGTTTAGGATTGCCTTGGCTATTCAGGCTCTTTCTTTTGGTTCCATACAAATTTTAAAATAATGTTTTCTTGTTGTGTGAAGAATGCCATTGGTAGTTTGATAGGAATGGCATTGAATCTGTAAATTGCTTTGGGCAGCATGGTCATTTTAACAATATTAATTCTTCCTATCTATGAGCATAGTACCTTTTTCTACTTGTTTGTGTCATCTCTGGTTTCTTTGAGCAGTGTTTTGTAATTCTCAGTGCAGAGATCTTGAACCTCCCTGGTTAGTGGTATTTCTTAAGTATTTCATTCATTTTCTGGTTGTTGTGAATCACATTGCAATCCTGATTTGGCTCCCAGTAGGCTATACACGCACGGCACCAGAATTGCTTCTGCTCAGGGCCTCAGGAAGCTTCCACTCATGGCAGAAGGTGAAGGGGAAGCAGGCATATCACATGGTGAGAAAGCAGCAGTGGGTGGGTGCCACGCTCTTAAACAATCAGAACTCAGAGTGAGAACTCACTGTTTACCATGAAGTGGGCACAAAGTCATTTATGGGGGATCCATTCCCATGACCAAAGCACCTCCCACCAGGCCCCACCCCCAACATTGGGAATTATACTTCAACATGAAATATTGAGGAGACAAAACATCCAAACCATATCATTCTGCCACTGGCCACCAAATCTCATGTATTTTTTATATTGCAAAATACAATCATCCCTTCCCAATAGTCCCCCCAAATCTTAACTTATTCCAGCATTAATTCAATAAAAAGTCCAAGGTCCAAAATTTAATTTGAGACTTAATGTATATTGCCTTCACTTATGAGCTTCTGAAATCAAAAACATGTTATTACATCCAAGATACTATGGTGGTACAGGCATTGGGTAGAATTTCCATTCTAAGAGGGAGAAAACAGTCAAAATAAAGGGGCAACATGCCCCATGCAAATCTAAAACCTAGCAGTGCCAACATTAAATCTCAAAGCTCCAAAATAATCTCCCTTGATTCCATGTCTCTCATCCTGGGAACACTAAAAAAAAGGGGTGGTCTCCCAAGGCATTAGGCAGCCCCACCACTGTGGCTTTTCAGGGTGGAACCCCCATGGCTTCTGTCACTGATTTGAGTCTAATGCCTGCTGCTTTCCCATGCTGAGGTGGCAAGCTGCTGGTGGCTGTACCATGCTGGGATCTGGAGTGCATTGGTCCTGTTCCCACAGTTCCACTAGGTAGTGCCCAGTGAGGACTCAGTGTGAGTTCTTCAATCCCACATTTCCCCTTGGCACTGCCCTACTAGAGTCTCTCTGCAGGGGCTTCAGCCCTGCAGCAGGCTTCTGCCTGGACATCCTGCCTTTCTCATACATACTCTGAAATCTATATGGAGCTGCCAGGCCTCCTTCACTTTTGCATTTTGTAAACCTGCAGACTAAACAGCACATAGAACCTGACAAGGCTTATGCCTTGCAATGTCCACAGTGGCATCCCAAATTGTACCTGGGCCCTTTGAGCTGAGGCTGGAGCTGGAGTGGCCAGGATGTGAGCAGCAGTGTCCTGAGGCTGAGCAGAGGATCAGTTTCCTGGGTCTGGCCCCTAAAACCATTCTTTCCTCCTAGGCCTCTGGGCCTGTGATGGGAGGGGCTTTCCCAAAGACTTCTGAAATGCCTTTGAGGGCTTTTTTTCCATTGTCTTGGTTGTTAACACTTGGCCCCCTTTTAGTCATGCTAATCTCTCTAGTAAGTGATTGCTCCACAACCTGCTTGTATTTCTGTCTTGAAAACACCCTTTCCTTTTCTATCACAAAGACAGCTTGTGAACCTTACAAATTTTTACACTTTGCTTCCCTTTTAAATATAAGTTCCAACTTTAAGTCATTTCTTTGCCCCAATATCTGATTATAGGTTGTTAGAAGCAGCCACATCATTTCTCGAATGCTTTGCTGCTTAGAAATTTGTTCTGCCAAATACTGTAAGACATCACTCTTTAAGTTCAACCTTCCACAAATGCCCAGGACATGGACACAATGCAGTCAAGCTCTTTGCTAAGGAATAACAAGTGTGACCTTTGGCTCAGTTCCTAATAACTTTCTCATTTCCATCTGAAATCTTATCAGCCTGGACTTTGCTGTCTATATTTCTATCAGCATTTCAGTCACCACCATTTAACCAGTCCCTAAGAAGTTCCAAACTTTTCCTCATTTTCCTGTGTTCTTCAGAGCCAGAGCCCTCAAACTTTTCTTATCTCTCTCCATTACCCATTTCCAAAGCTGCCTCCATGTTTTCATGTATCTTTATAGCAATGCCTTACTTCTTGGTACCAATTTTCTGTGTTTCATTTGTATTGCTATAAAGGAATACCTGAGGCTGGGTAGTTTATAAAGAAAATAGGTTATTTTTCTCACGGTTCTGCATGGCACCAGCGTTGCTTCTGGTGAGAGCTTCAGAAAGCTTCCACTCATGGCAGAAGGTGAAGTAGGGGAGCAGGCATATCACATGGTAAGAAAGCAGCAGTGGGTGGGTGTCAAACTCTTTTAAACAGCCAGTTCTCATGTGAACTCAGCACAAGAACTCACTCATTACTGCTGTAAGGAGGGCACCAAGTCATCCATGAGGGATCTGCACCTATGATCCAAACACTTCCCATCAGGCCTCACCTCCAACACTGGGAGATTACATTTCAAACTGATATTTGAAGGGGATAAAACATCCAAACCATGTCACTGATTTTGTACTTTTGTGTGTTTTCATAATGGTGAATATCACCTGAGTTTAGAATTTTTTTTAGCTTTTCTTTTCCTCCCCTCCCCTCCTCTCCTCTTCTCTTTTTCTTCTCCTTTCTTTTCTTTTGTTTTTGTTTTTTTCTTTTTCTTTTTTCAGATCTAGCTCTGTCACCCAGGCTGGAGTGCAGTGGCATGATCTCAGCTCACTGTAATCTCCACATCCTAGGCTCAAGCCATCTTCCCACCTCAGCTTCCCAAATAGCTGAGACTACAGACACATGCCACCATACCAGCTAGTTTTGTATTTTTTTAGTACAGATGGGGTTTTGTCATATTGCCCAGGCTGTTCTCAAACTCCTGGGCTCAAAGCAATCTATCTGCCTCAGCCTCCCAAAGTGCTGGGATTACAAGCATGATCCAACACGCCAGGCCCAGAGCATTTCTTATAGGACCAGTTTAGTGGTGATGAACTCCCTCGGTATTTGCTTGTTTGGGAAAAATTTATTTCTCCTGAATTTGTGAAGCTTAATCTTGTTAAACATAGAATTCTTGGTCAGCACTATTTTTCTTTCAAAACTTTGAATATTTTATGTCATTCTCTTCTGGCGTGTAAGGTTTCTGCTGAGAAATCTGCTGTTATTCTAATGAGGTTTTCTTTGTAAGTGACTAGATGCTTTTCTCTAGCTAATTTTATAATTTATTCTTTCACTTTGACTGTAGTCTGGGACCCCAATTCAAACATACATTAGATCACCTGATATTTTCCTGCAGGTTACTGAGCCTTTCTTAACTACTTACAAATCTTTTCAAAATACACGTGCTTCAGTTTGTATAGTTTCTAATGCTGTGTCTTTGAGATTATTTTATTTGTCTGTAGTGTCAAATCACACCAGTAAGTTTTTAATCTCAGATAATGAGTTATTTTACAAGTTCTATTGGCTGTTTTTATATCTTAACCTCTCTCCCCCTCATTAAATGTTTCCAAGGTCTTTCCTGTTAATTGTGTCATCTGTGCTATTTCTAAATCTATTTCTGTTGACTAATATTTTTCCTAGCTATATCTCTTCTTGTTTCTTTCCATGTATTACATATTTTATTGCATATCGGACAGTTTTACTGCTATGCTATTGTTGAGTTTTGTCTGCTTTTAAAGATTGGAGAATTTTGTTTTAACAAGTTTATGTATGATCATGATTTTTTAAGGCTTATATGTAAATGCTGTTATGGGACATATAATGTCAATTTTACTTTATGGATCCTTCAGTTCTCCTAAATGGAGATAAATTTTCTGGGGTCTCTGTAAGATGTGCTAGACATTCAACCAAGTCCCTCCTCTCTTACTAGTCAGTTAGAAAATATTTTCCAGTCTTGTGTGAAATTGAGACTTATTCTTTTCACACCTGCACAGTAATCTTTTTTTCTACAAGAAGTTGTCATTTGCCTGGGTATCACACTAGATTGTACAACTTAATATAGAGCTAAAAACTCAACAGGATGCCATTTTAGAAGCATGGACTTCTTCCTGTATATAATGCCATATTTTCCTGGTATTATTCTCTATAGTTTGTAGCTGCCTTAGCTTTTTAAAATCTTTGTATAATTTCTAACTCCTCAAATTAGTTAAACCACCATAGTATGTTATTGCCTGGAAAGTGTCTTTAGTTAATAATATGTGGTAATTTAAAACTTCACTTTATCTTTATCCCTTTGTGCAGAGAGTACATTATTGTGATTCCTGTTTTCCATAAGTAAAAAGATTATTCATATAGTCTTCTAATTTTCTGATTGATTATGGTAAGAAGGCTTGTCAAGTGTCAGTTATTCTCTTATGACTGCAAACCATCAAGCAGGATTTTTTTTTTTTACTATACTTTAAGTTTTAGGGTACATGTGCACATTGTGCAGGTTAGTTACATACGTATACATGTGCCATGCTGGTGTGCTGCACCCACTAACTCGTCATCTAGCATTAGGTATATCTCCCAATGCTATCCCTCCCCCCTCCCCCCACCCCACAACAGTCCCCAGAGTGTGATGTTCCCCTTCCTGTGTCCATGTGATCTCATTGTTCAATTCCCACCTATGAGTGAGAATATGCAGTGTTTGGTTTTTTGTTCCTGCGATAGTTTACTGAGAATGATGATTTCCAATTTCATCCATGTCCCTACAAAGGACATGAACTCATCATTTTTTATGGCTGCATAGTATTCCATGGTGTATATGTGTCACATTTTCTTAATCCAGTCTATCATTGTTGGACATTTGGGTTGGTTCCAAGTCTTTGCTATTGTGAATAATGCCGCAATAAACATACGTGTGCATGTGTCTTTATAGCAGCATGATTTATAGTCCTTTGGGTATATACCCAGTAATGGGATGGCTGGGTCAAATGGTATTTCTAGTTCTAGATCCCTGAGGAATCGCCACACTGACTTCCACAATGGTTGAACTAGTTTACAGTCCCACCAACAGTGTAAAAGCGTTCCTATTTCTCCACATCCTCTCCAGCACCTGTTGTTTCCTGACTTTTTAATGATTGCCATTCTAACTGGGGTGAGATGGTATCTCATTGTGGTTTTGATTTGCTTTTCTCTGATTGCCAGTGATGGTGAGCATTTTTTCATGTGTTTTTTGGCTGCATAAATGTCTTCTTTTGAGAAGTGTCTGTTCATATCCTTCGCCCACTTTTTGATGGGGTTGTTTTTTTCTTGTAAATTTGTTTGAGTTCATTGTAGATTCTGGATATTAGCCCTTTGTCAGATGAGTAGGTTGCGAAAATTTTCTCCCATTTTGTAGGTTGCCTGTTCACTCTGATGGTAGTTTCTTTTGTCAAGCAGGATTTTTTTATCTAAGCTTCCACAGAATTAAGGATAGAACACTCCCAGACCATCTGTTAACTCTATCTTCCAAAATTGTGGGTTTTTTGTTTTGTTTGTTTGTTTTTGTTTTGCTTTCATGGAGCCTCATTCTCTCACCCAGGCTGAAGTACAGTGGTGCAATCTCGGCTCACTGCAACCCCTGCCTCCTGGGTTCAAGCAGTTCTCCTGCCTCAGCCTCCCGAGTAGCTGAGATTACAGGTGTGCACCACCATACTCAGCTAATTTTTGTATTTTTAGTAGAGATGGAGTTTCTCCATGTTGGCCAGGCTGGTGTTGAATTCCTGACCTCAGGTGATCCACCCACTTTGCCTTCTAAAGTGTTGGGATTACAGGCGTGAGCCATCGCACCTGGCCAGGTTTTTATTTAAAAATTACATTGTGCTGGGTGCAGTGGTTCATGCCTGTAAACCCAGCACTTTGGGAGGCCGAGACGGGTGCATCGCTTGAGCTCAGCAGTTTGAAACCAGACTGGGCAAAATGGTGATACACTGTCTCTACCTAAAGTACAAAAACTTAGCCAGGCATGTTGGCACACAACTGTGGTCCCAGCTACTTGGAAAGCTGAGGTGGGATAATGACTTGACCTGGGAGGCAAAGGTTGCAGTGAGCCAAGATCATGCCAGGGCACTCCAGCCCAGGTGACAAAGTGAGACTCCATCTCAAAAATTAAATAAAATGAGAAAAATTAAAAATTATAATAATAATAGCTTTCATGCTCTATATTTTACTATGGATGTACAACTCAACACTGTACATTTTGATGTCAGTTGTCCTGCTTTTCATTGCTTTATACGTATTTTTTAACTTTCCCTCTTAGAATCCCTTTCAGTGTAATGGTTACCTGGGTGTATATTTCTTCTATTTCTAATTTTGATAACATTATTTATTTTTAATTTACTTGAATTGATATCAGAAAATTAAATCTCTATTGACATTAATTTTGATAACATTCCTATTATTCATTTTTAATTTATTTGAATTAGCATCAAAAAGCATAGGCTTTAAATCTGTTTTCATTGACATTAAATTTTCTTTATAGCAAAATATGTGATATGATATATGACATTTTTAAGTGTTTTATGGATATACAAAATAAGTCTATTTTCTGTCTGAGGGATGCAAGATTTTTATTATTATTATTTTGAGACAGAGTCTCGCTCTGTTGCCCAGGCTGGAGTTGCAATGGTGTGATCTCGGCTCACTGCAACTTCCGCCTCCCGGGTTCAAGTGACTCTCCTGCCTCAGCCTCCCGAGTAGTTGGGATTACACCATACCCAGCTAATTTTTGTATTTTTAGTAGAGACCAGGTTTCGCCATGTTGGTCAGGCTGGTCTCGGACTCCTCACCTCAGGTGATCTGCCCACCTCAGCCTCCCAAAGTGCTGTGATTACAGGCGTGAGCCACCGTGCCTGGCCAGGATGCAAGATTCTAATCCACATGTTGGCCAGGCATATGGTCTCTGTTGCAGCTACTCACTCTATCATAAGGAAATCAGCCAGAGATAATACATAATGAATAGGCATGGCTATACATTTTCCGTCAGTTTTGCTTCTGAGGATGACCATAACCTCCTCCCTGAAAATAACAGAGTGCTGTAAAGTACAGCTGAGGGAGGTTAGGGGTAGAGAGACCTTCTTTTTTTCTCAGCAGAGGGCTTAATATTTACTAATATATTAATCCTGTCCCCATAACACAGAAGTAACTGTGTTTTTATAAAAAAATCAAATTATATCTTCTGCGAATAATAAAATTTAGTTACTTCCTTTGCAATTCTTATAATTGTAGTTTTTTTTTTTTTTTTTTGCACTCTTCCCTTTCCTAAGACCTGAAGTGCAATGATTAATAAAGTGGTAAAAGTGGGCTCCTTGTCTTCTTTCTTAATTAAAAAAAAGTTTAAATAATTTCTCATTAAGTATGATATGTACTGTGATCTTTTGGTAGATAATAATGTCAGGTTAAGAAAGTATCTTTCTATTTCTAATATGCAAAACTTCCTTATTAGTGGTGAATTTTGACTTTTTAAAATATAATTTATGTATCTGTTAAGGCTATCATATTTTTTTGTTAAAATGGCCACACATCCTTGATTAAATCAATTCTATCTATCGTGTGTTTTTCTTCTTATACATGTGTAGATTAAATTTACCAGTAGTTTGTTTAGGATTTTAGCATCTAGGTTCTTGAGAGAGGTTGGGTTGTAATTTTCCTTTCTCATAGTATCCTGATACAGTTTTCGTGTCAAGATTATACTAGCCCCATGAGTTAATTATGTTGCCTGCTTTTACTATTTTATAAACGTTTACAAAGTTGAAATTATATATTCTTTGAATGTTCGGTAGAAGTCACTGTTAAAATAAATAACCTAGTTTTTGTTCTTTTAGTGAGAAAAAACTAAATTATGAATTCAATGACTTTAGTGATTCAAAACTATTTTTCTTCTTTTTGAGTGCTTTTAGCAAGTAACTGCTTTTTTTATAAATGTATTTAATTCATCTAAATTTTCAGATATATTTGCATAAAGTTATAATATATCCTATTTATTTAGATGAGATTGTTGAAAAGCAGTATGGCATAGTTGCTAAGCAGATGTACTCAGGTAACTAGGTTTAATCCATACTCCAGTACTTAAAATGCATGTTAGTTTGGCCAAGTTATTTAATGTCTCTGTTCTTTAGATTTTCCAACTATAAAATAAGTATAATAGTAGTAATACATATGATGATTGTTATGGGAATTCAATGAGCTAATATTTGAAACTTTTTAGAACAGTATGTGAAACTTAATTGGTGATATGTATGAAAATATAAAATGTATCAAAAAACTTGCAATATAATATTTCATTTTTTTCTAAATCATGTTTAATATCCAATTTTGTTTATTAGTTTGTACCCATGAGTTAGTTGTTAAATTTTGTGCTCCTGGCTTAGTTATTCTAATTTTTACTTTATTTTTGTTGGTGGTCATTTATAATTTAATTGCATTGTAGACTGAGAGTATGATCTTTATGATACCAACCATAAAGAGGAATCTAGAGCATGCTTTATGGCTTAGCAAACATGATTACTATTTAATAGTTTCTGTGTGGTTGAAAACAATGAATATTGCTCAATTTGGGATGTAATGTTCTAAATATGTCCATTCAATCAAGACGGTGAATTGTGTATTTCAAATATATAGCTTATTATATATTCAAATACACATATATACTTATTTTTTACTCCTTGTTCTAAAAATTATTGAAAATAATGATAGTGGGCTTGCAAACTCCTTAATGTAGCTCTGCCCATTTTAAAAAATATTTTTGATCTAGTGATTAGACCTATCCAAATTTTAGAATCATCATATC
This sequence comes from Homo sapiens, assembly GCF_000001405.40. Taxonomy (NCBI): domain Eukaryota; kingdom Metazoa; phylum Chordata; class Mammalia; order Primates; family Hominidae; genus Homo; species Homo sapiens. The sequence goes on from NC_000002.12 coordinate 185,778,955, forward strand.
TTCCAGGTGAATTGAATATTCCTATCATCATGCAGTGACCTTTACCATAAGTTATGTTTTTTGCCTTAAATGTGTCTAATATTAATATAGAGATGTCAGCTTCTAATCTTAGTGTTATTTGTTTAGATGCCTCTTGTAGACAATCTACAGCTGGATTTTGCTTTATTTTTATTGTCTTAGCATTTCTGAATTTTAACTGAACCCAATCAATTTGTATTTATGTAAATTACAAATCTTCGGAAGTTTTCTACTGCCTTATTTGTGGTTTCTTTGTCCTACTTTTTAATATATTTTTATTTATTCTTTATTGCATTCTCTTAGAGTGCTAAATTTAGTTTTTATCTAGTTTTTTTTTTACTGTTTTACAAATTGCATAACATATGTATATTTCTTTTAGCATTTACCCTAACATTTTTGTTTAAATTTTTATGGATACATAAAATCAGACATATTTCTGGGGTACATATGTATTTTGATATAAGCATACAATGTATAGTGATAAGTCTGGTTAATTGGGAGATCTATCAATCACTCAAACATTTGTTATTTCTTTGTGTTGAACGCTGTAAATTTACTCTTCTAGTTATGTTGAAGTATATTTAAAATAAAAGTTAAAATTGGATAATTTACTTCTAATCATAACTTTATATCATACTTATTATTGTCCAATAGTTTAAATTTTGACATTTTAAAGGTTTTATCAGTCAAATTGCTTTCTTATTATTGTTTTATACAGATTTTATTTATATTTGCCCACCTGTTTACCAGCTTATTTTGTTCTCCACTCATTCCTTCTTGCATTTAATACTTCTTGGGATTATTGCCATTTGTTCTAAAGTACTGCATTCTTTAGAAAGGTCTTTAGTGAACGTATTTTGGGAGTAAATTCTCAGATTTTATTTGATAAAATTGTCTTTATCCTTGTATTAGAATGTCATTATGTCCAAGGGTATGAGTAAGTTTCAGGGGACAGTTTTTTTTTTTTTCTTAGCACTTTAAAGATAATGGATTTTTAGGCTGAGGCATAAGAATCACTTGAACCTGGGAGGCAGAGGTTGCAGTGAGCCGAGAGCGTGCCACTGCACTCCAGCCTGGGTGACAGAGCAACACTCCATCTCAAAAAAAAAAAAAATTGTTTTGTTTAATTATTTTACTTTTTATTCTATGATGTAATTATTCCTGTGTAAGTGATTCTTCCGTCCCCCACCTCGGGCTGTTTTTAAGATGTTTTCTTTATTTTTTCTTTAGTATTATTATAAGGAGCAGTTCTGTACAAGCTTCAGCCATTTCCTCTTTCTATATTGCCTCTCTTCATTTTCGTTATTATCTTCTTCTGAGTATTAGACTACCTTCTTGTCTCATGTCCTTTAACAACTTTATTTTCCATTTCTCTCACTGCATTCCTGTTGTTAATTTCTTCAAATATGTTCTCTAGTTCGCTAATTCTCTCTTTAGTTATTTAGTTTTTCTATATAGTTTATTATTTCATAAATTAATTGCTTTGTAAAATTGAACTATGGTATATTATATATATAAAATACAATTTCTAAATAGATATTTTTAAATTTGGACTTCTTATAGGCTCTTTTTCTATTCTTATCCTTTCAAAACCCTTCTTTATATATTTAAACATATAAAGTCCTCTTATTTGCTATTTTATGTTTGCTAATTCAAATATTTGAAATCTTTGAGGTCTAATTTTAATATATTGTTTTTGTTTCTGTTAAAAGCCATGGTTTCTTGTTTTTCTTTTTTTATATTTCTGTGGAGAGTGGGAGGTTGTTACTGTTATATGTGAGCTCAGTTTTGACAGAAATTTATTGTTGGGGATTCAATAATATTTGGATAGGTTGTAATTCTCTAAAGAAAATTTACATACGCTGCTGCCAGTTATCTGTAAGAGCTGTGAACACAGATTCATTTTAAATTAAATTCTCATATGTAGTTTTAGGGACAATACAGTTTCTGTGGATTTGAAACTCAAGGTCATAGAAAACATAATCTGTGATTACGAATTCTTAGCATATAATTTTATCTTCTCCTCCTCCTTCTCCACCCACAGCCAAAAGCCAAGACATAATTTCTCTGCTTCCTCTGTGGCATGATTTTTTTTTTTTTGTAGATGACTAATTGAAGATGTAGCTCATTGGGATCCTAAACAGATGGCCCCTGACTTACTTACAGTGGTTGGACTTATGATTTTTCAACTTTAGGATTGTGTAAAAGCAATAAACATTCAATAGACACTGTATTTTAAGTACCTATACAACCATTCCGTTTTTCACTTTCAGTATAAGCAGTCAATAAATTATATAATAAATTCAACACTTTATTATAAAGTAGGCTTTGTGTTAGCTGATTTTGCCCAGCTGTAAGCTAATGTAAATGTTCAGAACAAATTTAAAGCATGCTAAGCTAAGCTATTATGTTCAGCAGGTTAGGTGTATTAAATGCATTTCCAACTTAACATATTTTCAGCTTATGATGGGTTTATTGTGATATGAACCCCACTGTAAGTCAAGAAGCATCTGTATATTTTTAGGAGCTCTTAGTTTTAATTCTCCATCTTTTGGGGGGGCCCAATGTCTTGTTTTAAATGCTCTGACCAGACACTAAATTCCAGATGTGGCCAATGTCCCTAGGGCAGGTATCAGCTTCAGCATTTGTTTACCACTATAGATTTGTGTTCTCACATTTGTCTTACCTTCAGAAAGTTCTCCTATCTCTTTGAAAGTTTAGCTATTTTTAACAGTATGGCTTTAATGCTCTATACTGAATGCTAGGCAAAATTAAAAATATTTGTTTAGCATATTGCTGGAAACCACAGAAGAGATTTTTTGTATTAAAAATAGTGTTGTCTTCACATTTAATTTTCAGGTATGGGCACTCTTTTTTTTTTTTGAGACGGAGTCTTGCTCTGTCACCCAGGCTGGAGTGCAGTGGCGCGATCTCGGCTCACTGCAAGCTCCGCCTCCCAGGTTCACGCCATTCTCCTGCCTCAGCATCCCCCAGCAGCTGGGACTACAGGCGCAGGCCGCGCCCGGCTAATCTTTTTGTATTTTTAATAGAGACGGGGTTTCACCGTGTTAGCCAGGATGGTCTCGATCTCCTGACCTCATGATCCGCCCTCCTGGGCCCCCCAAAGTGCTGGGATTACAGGCAATGTCAGTTCCTTTCTCTCTAAAATTGATCCACACCAAAACATGTTAAGTACTGAGGATATATGTGGGAAGTCATAATCAGGTGTACACAAGAGTAAACATAATTACTGTGTAGCATGATGAGTTTTATAATATAGACATGTTTAGAGTGCTTTGAGAGCACTGGGAAGGGTATTTATTCAGGTACGTATCAAGGAAGGCTTTCAAGAGTTAACATAAGCTGAACGAGACCTAAAATATGAGAAGTTAAAATACAGCACAGGGTGTTCTAGACAAAAGAAATTGCAAAACCACAGTCCAGAGAAGCATGAGAAACATGATATATTTAGGGAAGTGCAAAATATTCTGTCTCTGGACCATAGCATAAGTATGAAAGACTAGTCAGAGAAGACACTGGAGAGGTAGATAAGGACATCAGATCTTACAGTACAGGTCCTTGCTAAGGACTTTGGACTTCACTGTGGAGAGTCCCTGAAAGCCTGTAAACGAGGCAGTGATAACAGAAAATAAATACCTACTGGAGGATTACCATTTAGCAAGTTGCTGAGGATGGATACAAACTATGTAATTTTATTTTTCTGATAAATAGGACCTCAGGCTCATGCTACAGACCCGGGTATATTTTCTTCTCCTGTTTACACAAATATGTAAGTACCTAAGGAATTATATATAATCATAACTAATTTTAATGATTACATAAGAGTGCTGCTCATAAGCAAATGATTCCATGGAATCCTCCATTTTTATAGTTCTACTTGGATTTAGTGAAACTTAGTCTTTTGCAGACTTTCAGCACTAAGCTTAAATTGTAGACAAAGTGAATCATTGTCCTTTCCTTTCTCCTTCTCCTTATCTATAATCCAGCTATAGTCAGGGTCTCCATGCCACTTTCAAGTGTATCCGCATCATAGCCTTCTTCCGGTAGCTTCTCATGATCTGGCTTTATTTCTTTGCTTTTCTCTTCTTTGAAACAGCTACCATTTCTTATGTTTTTTGAGATTATTGGCTGTCTAAGGCTGGTAAAATAGTTTATAGTATAAATGACTTAATCGGTTATTCCCCCACCCCAAAGGCTATTTTGCAGTTTAATAAAAAATAATAATCTCTAGTAGTGGAAATTATGGCACTTAGAAGAGATAGTTGTTAAGCCCAGGGACTTTTCATTCTTCAAACCTTAGTGACCACCTATTTTGTTGATGTTTATATCTGTTTTTCTCAACTCAAGAAAAGAAAGAGAGGAAAACATGAATCTAAGTAATGGCAGTGAGCTTTGTATTATTTTACACCCAATGCCATCATCTTTTTTAAAAATGAACAAGCCAAATGAAGTCTAGGATAGACTTTACAAACCCCAAATTCCTATGAAGATGATTGAGTAAAATAAGTGGTGCATGATGGCAAATGATATTGACATGTTCAGACAAGGCTTCCTGAAATAATAATTTTTACTTTAAGACTGATAAATATCAGTTTGTTTGACTTATTGAGTATTCATATGATACATAACACTGTAAAAGATGCAGAAGGAAGGAAACTGGCTTGTCTAGTTCAAAGCAATAAAACTTGATGACCGTGTGTAGACCATATGTAAAATAACATTGTTTATTTTACTTATTTGATACAAACGTTTTTATTTATTAGAAATATAAATACCTACCTCTTTAAAGAAAAGGTTAGAAGAGGCTCATAATATAGTTGTAATAACTGCATTTTTTATCTTCTCCTACCCAAGAATGTAGAACTACAAAAATCACTTGAATCTTTCATAGCAAGCATTTTGGATATTGTTTCATTAAAAATCTTAGCTTGATGAAAAATAAAGAACTCTATACCTTACCTGGAGCTTCTTCGCCACTGCTCCAAGAGCATACACACAGATCCAAATAAAGAGCAAAGACACATATGTCACATTCCTCTTGCTCAGGTTTAACTGCAGGTTTTACAGGAGTTTGCTGTGGAAGCCTCACATCTATTCCATCATTTCTTTTCTCACTTATTGCTTAGTCTTCTTGTTCCTGATCATTTGTTTAATGTTACAAAAGATTTATAAAATTGAGAGGAAAATTCAGTACCAAGGGAATGAAAATAAAGTAAATATGACAGCAGTGGGAGTAAAGTTGCAGCAATTAAGGGTTGCACTCAGGTGATAAGTAACTTTGTATTACAGGGAAGGTATAAGGAGTAACAGTGAAGAAGGCAATAAATCTACTACCCTGAAGACTGTGGTTAAAACTTGTAGTTTATTTATTGGGTAATAGTCTGATGGTTTTTAGTGGGGGTGTAATGGTCAAATTAGCATACACAATGAATAACTTTGACACCAATATATAGGAAAAATTGAAAGAAAGAAACTCAGAACCAGCTCCCAAAAGCTATTAGTGGCCTGCAAAGGCTTCATTTGGGATTAGAGAGAAGTAGTCACAGATCCGAAAGACTTTAAATAGGAATTTATTTATCAAACATTTATTGAGAACCTACTATGTTCAAACTATAATGCTAGTTTTTAGGCAGATACCAAGATAAAACTATGTTGCTATGATTTCAGGGTATTATTTTTCAAGGATATTATGAAGCTGGAGAAAGTGGATGAAAATAAGACAAGTTAAAACACCAAAACCCACTGCTATTACCTAGATTCACTGTTTTTCCTAAATAAGTGCTCTCTGGAATGTTGCAAGCCTTTAATTAATTAGAGCCCCAGAAACTATAATTCTCATCATTTTTCTTTCGCCAGTTTACTTCTTACTTTTTTGGAGGAATGAATTTCTCAAGATACTTACCCTGCCATTTCTGCTGATGCCATGCTTTATCTGGTTAATAAAATTGTTTTCTAATAGTCATCAATGAAGCTTTTTCAGTTTCCTGACTAATTTTACCTGTAGGCCTTTGCACTTTCGTGCTGTTTGTATGCTTTTGGAGCAAAAAGTCTATTGGGAACTGCTACCAATGAATACATAGAACTCCTTGAGTTAGTTATGTTTTGTGCCAATGATATAACATGAAGAAAACAGAAAAGTGAATCTGAATGCATTAGGTTGCAGAATATCTAAGAGGAAAACCTGTGGAAACTTGAGTTGACCTAAGAAACCAGATCTTAGAAAAACAAATTAGGACAAATGATAGAGAACATGTCACTGACATCAGCTTTCATGCTCCTAGTTGAATACTGCCAAAAGGTACAAATCTAAGGGTAGACTATTGTCATGAAGCCCATTTTATGAACTGAACCCAGTGAAGTTTCTTTTCTTTTCTGCCAAAATACAGGATATAGTTTTCAGTCTGGCTATTTCTCAAAATTGAATTATATCCCTAGGGGGAAATGTAAATTTGATCATGTAGAGTGCAGGCCTAGAAAGGAGTGCCAATTTTCTTAAGAAAGTAGAAAGAAGAAAAGCAGCAGTACAAATCAGCAAAAATATACAAAAATAAATCAGACTTCAGTTTTAGATTTTAATATTTATTTTTCTATTATTTTTATGATTGAGCTATTCTTTTTTGCAATTTAGAAAACTGTGTTTTTATTTCATTAGTGTGTGACGGTAAATCTAACAACACATGATAGAATATTGTCATACACATAAAAGGAATGCATCTAAATTGGTATTAAATATAGCTAGAAACTTATGATTTTAACCCATAGTTACTGAATAAGCATTCACATATTTTCTTCCTACTGTGGAATATGGGGAGAGGACAGTGGAACTATGGCATTTGAACGAGTAAATAAAGGATTATCAGAAAGTCCTGGTCAGATGCCTTGCTACTCCATCAGGGCTTTTAGCAGTCAGAAGGGACTCATCTGCCCACTTCCTGCAAATCCTATATCCATTTTCAGAGAAACACAATGTAGGCATGGCTAAGGTGTGTTGGAAGTATAAGGATCAGAAAGATACACTGTTTATGCAGCAGCTATAATTCTGTACCCCTGGGTAATAAAGCACATTTCCGAAACTAGAGGCCAGTCTAAGGAGGAAGTGAAATAGGGGGGTTGGAAAAAACAGTGTATTCTTCATTTTGAATTTCTAGAGAAAAAATCTTAGATACAACAAAATGATTTCAATAATTAGAAATTTTGGGAAAAGTTTTATAAATTTTTGACTCTATGTAATAACTAAATGATCAACCTTTCTTTACAGGCAACAGAACTTGCTGCAAAATTGCTTGCAAGAAAAAGTATGTATCATAAAATCCACCGAGAAAGCAACATATTAGTCATACTTTCTGATGCATCATAATAGAAAACATTTTGTTAACTAAGTAATAGGAATCATCCATTGATATTTGTTAGGCTTCCTTTTTGCCCCTTTTTCTTCATTGAAGTCTACTTTCAGTTAATTCTTATACTTTTCTGTGGTCCAAAATTGTTATCAAAAGATAATATTGACCCTTCAAGACGAGGTCTCATGGGTATAGAATGGTGAGATATTAACGGATCTATAACCATCATAGGAAGAGAATCAAATACCACAAGCCTATTATATCATGGGAAGCCATTAATCAATAAGGCCTTTCAGATCTTGCTGGTGAACTCAGTAGTAGGTGAGTTGAGATGCTTGGATCTGTCTTCAGTAGTTTTGTGAAAAGGGACCTGGTCACCTATGAGCTGAGACTTGGAACAGGCAAAGATAAGATCGTGTATTTTTATGAGGCCTAACTCTGGATCTAGACCGAAAAGTCAGGAAAGAGAAAGCATTTGAGGAACAACACATGCTCTGAGACGCTATTTAACATGGAAACTTGCTCAATTCATAGAATATGCAGCAAATACAAAAGCTTTGACCCAAGGGAATTTTTTTCAGCTTAATGTTGTAATAGAAAGCAATTAAAAACTAGGATTCTATCTATCATATTTCACTACAAAGAAAACGTTAGAAATATATCCCTCTTTTATATATTGAGGTTGGAATCTCTTCGCCGTAACTAACCTAAGAGTAATAATGTAGGTTTTTGTTTATCATCTCCAGTAATAAGAAAAATGACATATTTTGAATGTCTTAGTTTATAATTTATATGTGTTGTAGTTGATTTAGAATAATTATCTTCCTATAAACATTTAGGTATGATTCTTAAGTATTTGATTTAGACTGTATTTATTTAAGACATGTATTTTACAACATAAGATTGTCATCTCAAAATATGTGTTTAATGCCACTAACCCATTGCTTATACAATAAGTTAAAAATATGTTTGTGTATTTGGGGATTACAGCTGAATAAAATGGCCTTTCCTGGGGTGCTCCTCAAATGCTTTCAAGTGAGTCAGAAGAGAGTGTGCTACATATATGTTAACTTTTCTTTGAATGTTTCTCTGAAATATGGATAATTTCAGACTAATTTAGGCAATATTTTGGGTGTTAGCAGCCTAGTTACAGGAATCATATTTACACTGAGACCTACATATCAGCCTTCTAAGCTTTTCTGCCAATTACTTGTGTTTACAAGCTCTATGTTTTAAGAATTTTAACAACTTAAAAATAGAGTACTACTTTATTATATGTAAGATGAGTTTTGTAAGCACAAAATATATTTGCAGTTGCTAAATAGAGGTTTATAGAATTCTACAGATGCATTTATTTCTACCCATGGTCCAGTTCAAATCTATGACAGCAACATTAGTCACTAAGGAAATGGTTATTCAAATCTGGTTCTTGGCTCCAGCTCAAACAAATTAATAGTCTAACTTTCTTAACCTTGCTCAGCCCTCCCTACTCTTTGATTCCCAAATCTAGCTTGGCTTTTATTTTCTATCTAAATTTTAATTTGTTACCTTACTTTAGTATCTGTTCTCAGCTTTCCTATCTAGGACAATTTGTATTTATTTGTATTATTTTATTTTATTTTTATTTTATTTGTATTATTTGTATTTATTTGTATTATCGCTTTTATTGGATACAAAGCCCGTCAATCTATATAAAGCATTAGCTTTTATTTTTGCCTATCAAATAATTCTTAACAATTAACTTTAGTCATTCCTATATATATAGACCACAGGCTCACCCTTTCAGCAGGGACTGGGAGAGAAAATGCTTTATGTTCCTTCCCCACATCTCAGCTAGGCAGATGTTTCTGAAAGCATCCAAATATTTTGACTGGATCTGTCTTGAGAAATGTTTTGTTAGAAATATTTAATGTATCTTTAAAAATTAGCTGGATCATAAACATCACATATTTTCTTTCCAAAATATTTGCATGTTGTGTGCCTAGACAGCAATTTAGTGATATTTTTAACAAAAAAAAAATCATTTATACTGATAATAAATGCCAGGGGAAAAAGAAACTTCTGAGAGACTGTGAATAAAATAAATCTTACACAAAAAAACACTTCACTGTAGTGCAGAATAAACTAACTAGAAATTCATCTTAAATTCTAAATTTCTAAACTGATATTTCTTTACTATTTTCTTTCATAAACCATAATGGTATTCCACCAATACATTGATATAAAAATTAAATGTTACCTTCTGTCTCCAAAACATAGAGTAAGTTGTTACATGACTTTATTTTCATCTCTGCTTACCTCCTTTCCAGGTAACTTCTGAAGAACTGAATATTATAATTCAGAATGTAATGACCTGGGTTGTGGCTACAGTGACCAGTATATTGTACCCAGCCATCACAAAGTATGAAAAAAGATTGCAAAATAATACATACCCAGTATCTGATGACTCCATCCTCTCTTCAGATAGTTCAAGTTTCTGTAGCACGTGCAGTGAAGACTTTACATATAGAAGCTACACATCTGCAACAACTAAAACATTTCAGGCAGAACCCTGTGCATTTGTAGTTGACACGTCAGTAAGGAGACCAACCACACCTATAAAACCTCCTCCTGCACATGTGGAAAAAACAGTTGTGGGGAAAACATGTCACATAAAAGGACAATCTATAATCTCTAAACATAAATATAATAAAACCAACTTGCTATATTCATACCCTAAGCTCAGAAGTTGTAAATCAGATAGTCACCTTTTAGCATCATTTGAAACAGGCACAAAAAAATCTAAGGATGCTACCACTGAAACAGATAGCTTAGGGAGTTCATTGCATTGTGATAAAACAGCAAAAGCCATGGATGAAATGAAGAATTTAAAAAATGTTTTTGTTAACTTTAAATGTTACTTGAAAGGGGAAACTGAAGTGATTTTAGAAAGCATTTTGCGAGAAATAATGTCTGATTTAACCCAGGCCATTCCCTCTCTCTCTTCTGTTACTGCTGAAGTTTTTGTTGAACAATGTGAACGTGAAAAAGAAATCTTGCTTTCCAATGCTCATATTCCCTCAGTTGCTTCTGAGATTGTGGAAAATATGCTTGAGAAGTTAGAGTCTGCAGTTGAGAAAAAATGTGTTGAGATGTTTTCACAAGATTTGTCAGTCGACATTAAACCAAGTTTAGCAGCCAGTGATGAACTTCTCACATCATCTAATGGAAAACCTTTGAAAAATTCAATGCCTCATACTTTGGACCCAATGTGTGATATTGCAGAGGACATGGTGCATGCCATTTTAGAAAAGCTAATGACTCTTGTTTCTTTTAAGCAAAATGAATTTCTTCATCTTAAAGACACAAATAAGCTTTCCTGCCAGCAACATAAGACAGACCCAATATGTATGTTCCTTCAAAGAGCTGGCAAAAATAAATCTAGTCTTGAATCTGATGAAGCTAGTTTAATTGTCAATGAAGAAGTACAAAATTTAATATCAAATATTTTTTCCCAGTCTTCTTTGGTTGCTTATATAGAGGAAGCAATCAATGCTATACTAGGTTATATACAAACTGAACTAAATAATGAGAGAATTATTGCATCTGAAGAAACCGTAGTACTCCTTCAGCTACTTGAGGACATCCTTTTTCAGCTCCATCAGGAACCAGTAAATGAAAGTTTTCAAAAAAGTAGGCAACCTAGAATAAGTAGTCCTTCTGACACCAAAGAAAAGTACAGACTCACTGGCACTAGATTATCAAATAGTCCTAGGTCTGGAAGACCATTTCCACCTATAAATGTTCCAGGCATGGTTCTTTATTCTGATGATGAAAATGAGGAAATAGACAATATTGTAAAAAATGTGCTTGATTCAACTTTCAAAGATGAAAAAGTAAAATCACAAGAACAGATTCCTAATCATTGGTTTACAAAGGGAAACACTTGTTTTGAATGCAAAAGAAATATCAAACCACCTACAAAGCCTGGTTCTAGAAGCAAAGCTGCATTTCATGATTGGGAATTAAAGACTGAGCCACCATCTACTAATCATGAAGATATTTTAAAGAAAAAACTTTCTTCGAATAAAGACATTTCAACTTTCAGCCAAGATCAAAAGCATCAAATAGAAAAGGCTTCAGAAAACATAGTCACAAGTATTTTAAAGGAAATGCTCAAGGACATATCTTCCGTTCCTTTTGGTCACTTAGACAGCAAAACTGGCAGTGAAGCTTCAGTTCTTGTTTCAGAAAAGCCTCAAGGACTGTCACATCAAGAATGGATAGACCAGATGTTTTCTGTTTCAGAAATCAGTACAGTGGCTCAAGAAATAACAGATTCTGTGTTAAACATACTTCATAAGGCATCAAACTACATTTCCAATACCACTAAAAGTTCCATTTCATCATCAGTTCATCAGATTTCCTTACATAATTCTGACACTGAACACATAGTCAAAGAAGCACCAAATAAATACCCATTAAAAACATGGTTTGACAGTGAAAAGAAAATGAAATATTTATCTTTATTTGACGTTGATCCTGAAAAGCCTCCCTGGTTAAAATCTGGAAAAAGTGAACCTAAACCTGTAGATGACATTAATGATAAGATCATTCGTACAATTTTTAAAAGACTGAAGTCATTTATTTGTCCAAAATTGCATATGGGCTTCAAATCTTCATTACGATCTCAACTTAGTAAGTACACAGCTAAAATAGTAAACATTGTTTTATGTGCTATCCAGAATGAACTGGAACTTCACAAGGAAAACCTAAATCTTAGGGAGATTGACCATACCAAATCCCTTACAGATAAAGGATTTTTTGCTAATACTGATAAAAAATTAGAATCTCTTGTCACGAGTATTGATGATGACATTTTGGCGAGTCCATTATTAACCTGTATTTATGATATGTTGTTATCAAGTGAAAATGCACATCAAAGAAGCATTTCACTCTCTTCTCGTAAGCCAAAGTCTGCAACTGACAGTGTTGATGTACAAAGCATTTTGCCAAATAGGCAAGATAAAAAATCTTTTCACAAATATTTGGCTACTCCTTGTACTCACCACAGTGTCAATGGTGGAAACCATATTAAAGAGAATGCAAAATTGCAAGTGTTAGAAAGAATTGGGGAAACACTACATGAAATGTTAAGCAAGCTCCTGGGGACCCATCTTCATTCTCAGCTATCTTGTAGTCAACAAAGCAGAGAGATGACCAATAAGAATCAGAAAATGGCTGCTGCATTGCAGTCTAATATTCAGTTAATTTCTAAAGCAATTTTGGATTATATCCTTGCAAAATTATGTGGTGTTGACATGGATACCAGTTTTGCAAGTTGTGGATTAAAAGCTATCTCAGAGTCTCTTGACATTGACAACCCATCATTTGCTTCAATTATTGAGAAAATGGCCAAATCCACCAAAATAATCTCCAGCATAGTTTCCAGAAGGGTTCAGGAGGACAATAAAGAAGAGACTAAAAGCAAGGCAAAACCTGTTGCTCCTGTGTCTTCCAAAACACCAAGCACAAAAGAAATGCATCCAAATAAACTAAAAGCTGTAGCTTCAGATATTCTTAATATGGTTTTTGCTAAACTGGAAGGGTTTGCCAACGGACATTTAGAAATTTTGGGTGCTATTAATGATGGAAATAAGAAAAGCAATAAGATAGGCTGGGAATATGAAAGCACCAATATTTCCAGAGACACACATGAAGCATCATTTCTGTCTGCTTTATATATGCATGCAAAGAAGGTATCAAGTGCTATTTTGAAGGTTATTCAAACAGAATTAAATGTGACCTCATCAGATTTGAAGACAAGTGTAGAAAACCCACCACCTGAGACTCAAATACTTAAGTATGTAGTCAAGTTAATTTTAGATGCAGTATCTTCCGATATGTTTAATGAAATGGAATCTGAAGGGGGAGGCATTGAAACTTATCGATACAGGCCAACATATGGAAGTCTTCCTGGAGGAGCTGAATCAGATTCATTTCTAGAAGATGATGCATATACAGCGAAAAAAATTATTGATGAGAGATCCCCACAAAGAGAAGAAGTGAAAACACGTTCTCTTAAACAATGGGCTCTCGAAAAAACCTTAAACAAAATTGAAGTAAAACTCAAAGAACCACATATATCTCCAATTGCTCCCATTATAAGAAATATTTTGAATGAAATTTTTCAAAGTACTTTAATCAATCAATTAAATGTCCTTTCTCTCTCCCACTCTAATTTTAATGGCATGCCTCACAATGTTGATGAGCCAACTCCCCAAACATCTGTTCAATTTATGGATAAAATGATGGATCCTTTACTTTCGGAAGCAGATATAACCATAGTAACAGATAATATTGTTAGGACTGTATTTCACAAACTTTATTCAGCTGCCATGACAGAAAGAAATGTAAGGGAAAATAGGTATAAAACTATCACTTTTTCAGCAAATGTTTCTTCTCATGAACACACCTATAAAGGAAAGTCCTCTGTCACGGCTTTGGATGAAAATCCATGTACTTTTCAGTCTAGATTCAGCGTTGCTGACAAGGAGACAAAGGTAAATCTAGCTGAAGATATTGTACAGGCAATATTAACAAATTTAGAAACTTTTGCTACTTCCAAAGTAAAATCTCTCTTTTATTCTCAAGTCAACTTTACAGTTCCAGTGGCTTTACCTATTCAGCAAGATCACAGTACATTGAGCAAAGCATTATCAGCCAAAGATTCATATTCTGATGAGCAATTTTCCTGTTGCTCAGTAGATCATACCAAGTCAGGAAAGACCAACTTGTGCCAACTGTCTTTGTCTAAATTAAATACTTATGCACTACAAGTGGCTAGAAGAAATTTACAAGGAATCAAACAGGAATTAGATAAAGAAAGGGAAAATCCTTTTTTAACTCATGACATTGGGATTTCTGAAAGTATTGCAAGTCAAATTGTTAACGCATTGTTAGACATTATATCACGTAAAGGCAAATGTGACAAAAACAGTTCTGACAAAGAGATCGATTTAGATCAGCAAAAAGGTGTTATTGAAAAGCTGCTCAATGAGACCAAATATCGAAAAGTACTTCAACTTCAAATACAAGATACCATTGAAGGTATCCTATGTGATATTTATGAAAAAACCCTGTTTCAGAATAATCTCTCATTTGCCACACCCACTCTGAAATGTAGCATAGCTGATAAACATTCAGAAGAAAATTCTGAAATGTTCATGGAGGGTGCAAATAAGATTATTCCTAAGCTTTCAGTTCCTAAATCAGATGTCATTTTGATATCCAATGATATAGTGAATATTGTTCTTCATAATCTCAGTTCTGCTGCCACGCTTGTCATAAATGCAAAGAATCCTACTTCTGCAAGATTGCCCCTGACATTTTGTGATACGTTTCCAAAAATAGACTGTCAACAGCCTCTTAAGGGGTCAAAAACTGAAAGAAAAACAGAGCGTTTTTCATATTCAAGAAATCAGAAATCAGCTTATGCTGATGATAATCAGATAACTGTAGTAGAGAAAGAAGACACTCAGAAATCTGCTACTGACTCATGTGAGGAAAATGCTAACTTCATTACTAAAACTATTTTTAAACGTTTGGAATCTTTTGCCACAGAAAGAATAGATTCATTAATTACCCTTGCTTTCCAAAGTAAAGAAAAGTCATTTGTTATCCCAGAATTGGAAAATTGTAAACAAAATGACAGCATCTTTTATGATTCAAGCCAAGTGGAATCAGATGTAAATGTCCTGAAAATATCAGCAACTGAAACCATTCTCAGCCAAGAGCTTACAGATTTCACTTTTGTTGGTCGCAGAGAAAAACTTGGATCCACAATTCACCTATCGCAAGCTAGGCTTAAGACATATGCTGACGTCATTGCCAGTGCCATTTTGAAGCTTATTAAAAATGACTTAGACTTAGAAATTCAAAAGATATATCCATATCAAAACAATATTTTGTTCCAAGAAAACATCATTGTGAGTGAAATTGTTGACAGTATGTTAAAGATGTTAGATGATAAAAGATCTGTAAAGGAAATTTGTTTTAATTCAAAAGAAAATTCTAACTTTTCACAATTAGCTTTATCAAATGAAATATTGCTGGGTCACAAAGAGAAGGAAAGAAGTACCAAACAATCTCTATTTACAAAGTATCCATTAGAGCAAAACCAAATGATATTGGAAAACAAAAGGCAGATAATTGTTTTGGAAGAAATATTTATGAGAAATGGAGAATCAAAAAACAAAGAAAAAGGTGAACTGCTCATTGCAGTGGAAGAACTTTTGAATAAGTTGTATCAAAGAGTAAGGGAAGTCACAGGCCATTTGCCTCCACTTAATGAAACTGCCAACTTTATATCTAATTCTAAGATTAAAACATCAGACACAACACAGAAAAACAGTTTTCAATCACATATTAACAGTGTAGCAAATGACATAGTTGAAAGTGTTTTGGGGAAAATGTACTTGGTAGTTGTGACATCATTATATGAAAATAATAAAAGTAGGACAGAAGTTGAAATATCTGACCACAATGATTCCTTACTAATGAAACCATTAAGGTTTAGAGAAACTAAACAAGCAGGAAAAATAAGTAATTCCCCTAGATATGCGATATCACAGGCTTATTCTTATGTCGACAGTCAAAATATCTCTGTGATGGAAAACACTCTTTTGCCATATTTACCATTGCAAGTGAAGAAAGACTTAATTCAAATGGTTCTCAATAAGATCACAAATTTTGTCTCACTTCCTTTAAAGGTGAGCCCTAAGGACAACCCTAAGCCATGCTTTAAAGCACATTTAAAAACAAGATCAAAAATTACCACTTTGCCTAAATTTACAAAAAAAACACACTTAGGACTGAGTGCTGCTAAGGCCAAAAGCAAAACCAAGTTAGGTCCTGGAGAGAAGACCCTAAAAGACAGCAGATCCAAGACTGCCATTGGGTTGTCACACATCATGTCAGCTGGAGATGCCAAAAATTTACTGGACACAAAATTGCCCACTTCAGAACTAAAAATATATGCCAAGGATATAATAATTAACATCCTAGAAACAATTGTGAAGGAATTTGGAAAGGTAAAGCAAACCAAAGCTTTACCATCTGATCAAATCATAGCAGCAGGTAAAATAGTTAATACAGTTTTGCAAGAATTATATGTTACCAATAACTGCAATTTGGCTTACCCGATGAAATCCTCACATCTCAGACTTTCACAGGGGAATATAGGCACAGGATCCCTTCCTAAACAACAAGCATGTTTTTACTTGGAGAATGTTTCTTCACAGCTAGAGCACATTTTTCCTAGAGAAGGTATATTTAAAAAATTGTTTGACAAGTGGCAAACAGAATCAAATGACAAGGAAAATGAAAAATGTAAGCTATTGATGATAGCTGAAAATGTTTTGACTGAAATTTCAATAAAAGCAAAAGAATTAGAATATTCTCTTTCACTTTTAAATTTGCCCCCTCTTGAGAATTGTGAAAGCAGGTTTTATAATCATTTTAAAGGAGCTTCTACTAGAGCCGAGGATACTAAAGCACAAATTAATATGTTTGGAAGGGAAATTGTTGAAATGCTACTTGAAAAACTACAGCTATGCTTTCTGTCCCAAATTCCCACTCCAGATAGTGAAGAAACTCTATCAAACAGTAAAGAACACATTACTGCTAAAAGTAAATATGGTTTTCCAAACAAGCATAGCCTCAGCAGTTTACCAATCTATAACACAAAGACAAAAGACCAAATTTCTGTGGGCTCCAGCAACCAAATTGTTCAAGAGATTGTAGAAACGGTTTTAAACATGTTAGAGTCATTTGTGGACTTGCAGTTTAAACATATCTCCAAATATGAGTTTTCTGAAATTGTGAAAATGCCTATAGAAAACCTTTCTTCTATCCAACAGAAACTGTTAAACAAAAAAATGTTGCCAAAATTACAACCACTGAAAATGTTTTCTGATAAATCCGAGTCAAATACTATTAATTTCAAGGAAAACATACAGAATATCCTTCTACGGGTTCATTCATTCCATTCACAATTACTTACATATGCTGTTAATATCATCAGTGACATGCTTGCTGTAATTAAGAACAAGCTAGACAACGAAATAAGCCAAATGGAACCATCTTCAATTAGCATATTGAAAGAGAACATTGTAGCAAGTGAGATCATTGGCACACTAATGGACCAGTGTACTTATTTCAATGAGTCTTTGATACAAAACCTTTCAAGAGAAAGTTTGTTCCAAGGAGCTGAAAATGCCTACACTGTTAATCAGGTTGAATTAGCAACTAATATGAAAATGTTCACATCAAAGTTAAAGGAAGGTAGTTTGGGGATTAATCCTTCACAAGTGAGTAAAACTGGGTTTGTGTTTTGTTCAGATGAAGATATGAAAGAAAAGTACAGGGTTTCATCAGATTTACCCACCTCTGTCAGATCCTCTGTAGAAGACACAGTTAAAAACTCAGAGCCAACGAAAAGGCCTGATTCAGAAACTATGCCATCGTGTTCTACTAGAAACAAAGTACAAGACCACAGACCAAGGGAATCTAACTTTGGTAGTTTTGATCAGACCATGAAAGGAAATAGCTACCTCCCTGAAGGCAGTTTCTTACAAAAGCTGCTTAGGAAAGCAAGTGACTCCACAGAAGCAGCATTAAAGCAAGTCTTGTCATTCATAGAAATGGGAAAAGGTGAAAATCTAAGAGTGTTTCATTATGAGAACCTAAAACCAGTTGTTGAACCAAACCAAATTCAGACAACCATTTCCCCTCTCAAAATATGTTTAGCTGCAGAAAATATTGTCAATACTGTGCTATCCAGCTGTGGCTTTCCAAGTCAACCACACACTAATGAGAACAGGGAAATAATGAAACCATTTTTCATATCAAAACAAAGCTCTTTATCTGAAGTATCTGGAGGGCAAAAGGATAACGAAAAAAGTTTGCTTAGAATGCAGGATAAAAAAATCAACTATATACCTGAGGAAGAAAATGAAAACCTTGAAGCCAGCCGGGAAGATTCTTCTTTTTTGCAAAAATTGAAAAAAAAGGAGTACCCAAAGATAGAGACTGTGAAGGAAGTTGAAGCCTTTACTTTTGCTGATCATGAAATGGGTTCCAATGAAGTTCATCTGATAGCAAGACATGTCACCACATCTGTGGTCACATATTTGAAGAACTTTGAAACTACAGGTAAGCAAGAGAGAACGTACCTAAAAATTTGCATGATTTAGGAAGAAAACCAGTAAAAGACATGTTTAAAAGATCTCCTGTCTAAAAAGCTGTATTCACTATTTTTCTGAAAATACCCTTGGAGGTAGATGACTACTGAGTTGCACTTTAATTTTATTTTAAATGTATTATTTTATTTTATTTAGAAATAGTGTCTCTGTCACTGAGGCTAGAGTACAGTGGCATGATCATTGCTTCCTGCAGCCTTGAACTCCTGGACTGAAGACATCCTCCCATCTCAGCCTTCCCCCAAAATAGCTGGGACCACAGGCATGCCACTGCACTCTAATTTTTAAAAATCTTTTTGTAGAGACAGGGTTTTGCTATGTTGCGCAGGCTGGTCTCAAACTCCTGGCCTCATGTGATCCTTCTTTCTCGGCCCCTCAAAGTGTTGGGATTACTGGCATGAGCCACTGTGCTCAGCCTCAATTGCTTTTTAATTCATCACAATGCAAAAAAATAAAAATAAATAAATGTTTTCAGGATTTGAATTTGAAGGATGTGTTGCTCAGTTTTCTCTATCTACAAATGAGAGAAAATGAGGCCATTTTAAAGCAGGAGATTTTGGTTGAGCATGAGGCATAAATTTGGAAGGGTTTTTAAAATTCTTATGCATAACTTCTTTATAATCATATGGGATGTGCAGTTAACTGATTAAAAGTCATTTAATTTTTGTATTCTTGAAGGCTTTGTTATTATTATTCAAAGTTTAAAAGAACAGTAGAATTGAATATCTTGTTTTATTTGCATTCCAGTATTCTGACTTAAATTCCTTTTAGATATAATACTCCAACTGTATCATTACAGGGATTATATTTGCATTATCTTTCTAAGTATACTCATGTGTATATATTAGGTGAAACAACATGTAATCGTCATTTTGTATATCAAAAACAGTTGATTATTGACAATTAATAAAATTCAGTTTAGTATTACTATAATACCCCAGATCTAGGTCAGTAGTTTCAGTTACCAATAATTACTTGCTACATCACCAGTCCAGATACATCACACATCATTCTAATTGGAGATATTAGCAGTCCTACCCACCTGCACGAGGAGGTTATTTTCCATCCTTAAAACCAGTATTCTCCCAAGATGGACGGTAATGTAGCTACAACTACAAACTCTTAAATAGACTTACTCCAGGCATGACTTAATTGATTTCAGAAAAATAAACAAAAGCAAAACAAGCAAGAGAAGATCCATGATTTCATCACATTGACACTTGGCTCTAACAATTCTATATTCCTATTCTCAGACATCTCCAAGGTCTTCCAGTGACTTCGCTCATGTTCCTTCTTCCACTAGGAATACCTTTTCCTCATTCCCTGTATCTTGACATGGCCAAAACCTGTGTAGCAGTCAAAGCTCAGCTTAAAGTCTTCTATCTGTGTAGAGTCTTGCCTGATAACACATGAAGATATATAATATATAATTAAGTTCTGAGGAAAAAAACTGTGTTGCTCTTGGCTGCCACACCCAGCAGTTGGCCATTGCAAATAGGTAATGATTTGTAACAAATAGAATTTTGGACAAAACAAATATAGAGTTCTTCACCTGGCTGGGCCAACCTTCCTTCTTTGTGACAAACTATAATCTAGGGACTAAAGTACTACTGCTATTGCAATCTATTACTAGCTTTTCTGGAGTTGCCACACTTTTATTTTAGTCAACTTGATATTGCAACACAACTCCTTAATGTCCTAAAAGTAAAACATAGCATAACATTAAATGTTTTGTCTAAAGCTATTTTAAAATAATTATATGGCACCTCTAGGTATCACTGGAGACATGGTAGGATGCATCGCTAAGCCTGGAAATTATTTCTCTGCCCCAAGCTTTCCAGCTTCTTAAGAGTTCATAACCATCCAACCAAGGCAGACATCAGCATTTGACTTAGAGGATTGAATTTTGGGGTGTTATTTTCTCAATTTATTGGCTAAAATTAAGATTTTGCAAGGTGAGAAAATAAATGTTTGAGGAAAATCTAATTTCTTTTTTTGTTTAGATTTTTCTTTAGTGAGTTGCTCAAAGGGTGAAATATATATGTAAATAATAATTTCAAATATATTGAATTTTCTATATTTTCTTTAATCCATGCTAAAATTACAATGTTTCCTTTTTTAAGTTTTTAGTGAGGAAAAGATGTCTGTTTCTACATGGTCAAGGAAAAAATATGAATCAAAACAGTTCCTAAGAAACATATACGATGATTCTTCAATTTATCAATGTTGTGAACATCTCACTGAGTCAGTACTTTACCATTTAACTTCGAGCATTTCTGATGGCACCAAAAAGGGTAGAGAAAAAGAGAAAGCATGGGAAATTCAAGAAGCAACATTTAGCAAGATTATTTCAATTCATTCTCAAGTGTTTGAGAGCAGGTCAATTTCCATTGGAGAACTTGCTTTATGTATTTCTGAAATCATTATTAAAATTCTTTTTAATAATAAAATTATACAGGCTGACATTGCACAGAAAATGGTTGCCATACCTACAAAATACACTTACTGTCCAGGAATAGTTTCTGGTGGCTTTGATGACCTCTTTCAGGATCTCTTAGTAGGAGTGATTCATGTACTGTCCAAAGAAATAGAAGTAGATTATCACTTTGAAAGCAATGTAAGAAACAAATCATTTTCTATGCATAGAAATAATAGTGTACCCCTTTGCAACAAAATCAATAGACAGGCAAGCCCCAGAGACTGGCAATTTTCTACTCAACAAATTGGTCAACTTTTTCAAAAAAATAAGTTAAGTTATCTTGCATGTAAGTTAAACAGCCTGGTTGGTAACCTAAAAACAAGTGAATCCAAAGAAGTAGTCAATAAAGTTTTTAATATTGTTTCAGATTTATTTTCACCAGATGAATGCCTAGATACGGGTATGGATTCTGGTAAAATACAAAGAACATATTTCTACTCCTCGAATAATGAGCAACCTAATAGCATACTTACCAATAACCTACAGCTCTCCTCAAAATCAGTTTTTCTTCTCAATGTTGTATGTGAGAAACTTATCAGAATACTTTTGGAAGAATGCACAAGCACTGCTTTTCCTGATAAAGGGTCTGTTTCAGAGGAAACATCAGCAGAAGAATGTCAACTTTTAAAAATGCTTCAAAGTGTAGAAGATGGAAAATCTGATTATCGTAAGGGAGGAATGGACTGTGAATGCCTTCAAGTAGATTACATGTCAGACCTTTTGGAGAATGTGGCAGAAATTGATCAAGACTTATTGACATCAGACTCTATGCTTACTATTATTTCCCACAGCTTGGTTAAATCATTGATGGACAAATTATCTCACAGCATACAACAAGCTCCGGAAAGTCTACCTTTTGCAAATAAGCATTTGAACTACAGAACAAGAGAAATACAGTCTAGTTTCATAAAAGCAAGAAAGTCAGAATTAATAGAATTAGGACAGAGTAAAAGTTCTTTAGAACTCAGGAGCTATGATAGTAATTCTTTGACAGTATCCCTGAATAATCCCAGTGTGGTTAGCTCCAAAATACAAGCACCATTTAACAAGCATTGTGCAGTAAAATCCTCTTCTGTGTCACCTTTTGAAAGACAGAGAACAAAGGAAATGGATAAGGTAGCCATTCATAATAAGCTACATCAGGAAGGTATATATGCTGGTGTTTATTCAGCCACATTTTTGGAAGGAATAATTTCAGAATTGTTTTTTAATCTCTCTATGTCATTGTGGGGCAAAAATAAAAACATCACTGTGTCCTGGCTCAATGAGATGAATACATTATTTGTCAACAATGTAGTGAATGAATTTAATAATGCTCAAGTCACTGTTCTACGGAATGCTGAAGAAAGGCTGTGTTTTCCACCAGTTCATACAGAAACTGTTAGCAAAATTGTTGACTCAGTTTATTATGATGTTTTACAGCAGTATGAATTAAAAGTGGCCTGTGGTAATAATCCGGTATACGACAATGCCTCAATAGCAGAACAAATAACAAATGGCATATTGTTAGAGATTTTAGACTACAAACTGCCATCTTGCTTCAAGGAACATCTCATACCCCATTCATATTACCCTCTCAAACCTGAAATTATATTGCAAAAGCTTCAAAGTAACCTAACAGAATTTACTTCTCTACCCAGGTCTTCATCAGACTATAGTACCATGTTATCACATTCATTTTTAGAAGATGTCATAAGAAGGCTTTTATCTCAGCTAATTCCTCCACCCATTACATGTTCCTCTTTAGGAAAAAAATATTTAATGAGTTCTGATTTTAATGAAATGTCCACTTGTATAATAAATAAGGTTATGTCAGCCATTTCAAAACATAAAATCTGGTTCACTATATATGATAATCAATATCTATATACTGGAAAAAACCTCCAAAAGATGGTGGATTCTGTATATTGTAATATTTTGCAAATGTCTGACTCTCTTGTTTCAATACAAAAAAGTATAGTAAGCCGAAGCCCAATTATGATTGACCAAATAGCCAGCTTTATCATCCAAGAGATTATCGAAAATCATCTTCAACCATTTTTGAGTGGAGAGGTTTTATGTCATCCAAGGACTCCACTGGATCCAGTGTCTACTATTGTTACACAGGTTCTGAGTGAAGTGATAGAGTCACACAGACCTCAGAAGCAATCACCTTTAGATATTCACCTTGATTCATTTGTAAGGGAGATTGTTGCCAGACTTTTGTCAAAGATTTTCAGCCCAAAGCATAACACTGAAATTGAGTTGAAAAACATGACCCAAAGAATAGTAAACTCCATAAATAGGCATTTCAATAAAGCTAAAATTCACATTCTCTATGATGACAAAGAACAGGCTTTCTTTTCTTTCAATACAGATATTGTGGATGAACTTGCCACCTCAGTTTATAGAAATGCTTTAAAGCAGCATGGGCTAGACCTTGCTGTTGATAAAGAGTCTGAAGACAGTGGCATTTTTGTGGAAAATATTACCAATTTAATTGTAGCAGCTATTTCAGATTACCTTCTTCATCCACTGTTTTCTGGGGATTTTTCAGCTTCTACCTATTCTAATTCAGTGGCTGAGAATATTGTTCAGGACATCCTTAGTAACATCAGTAAATCTACTGAGCCAAGCCAGAGTGTACCTCTATATAACACCTTGCTGCCATACACATTTTTAGAAGATATGATCAGAGTACTATTATCTAAATTATTTTCTTCTGCATCTAGCCTGGTTCTAAACAGAGACACCCAAAAAGATATATCAAGAGTGAATTTCAATGACATTGCTTCAAACCTAGTTAGTGATATTAGGATGAAAGTTTCCCAACATGAAATTCGATTTTCAAAAGAGGAAGAAGAAACCAAGTTTATTTATTCAGAAGATGATATTCAGCACCTTGTTGATTCAGTATTTGCAAATGTTGTGCAAACCTCTGGTTCTCAAGAATCAGCTGTGCAAAATATCACAAGCAGTAATGACATTCTTATAGATAGAATAGCAGGTTTCATCATTAAACATATCTGTCAAAAACATCTTCAGCCATTTGTGAGTGGAAAATCATTATCTTCATCAGACACATATTTTGATGATGAGAGAAGGCAGTTATTTTATACCAGTGTTTACTCTTCAACATTCTTGGAAGATGTAATCTCTGGGGTTTTAAGAAAAATATTCCACAGGGTAGTAGGCATTGTACAAACAAAATCCATAAGAGATTCAGAAGATGAACTGTTTGAGAAAGCTGAAGAACTCATACATTTGATTACAGGGGAATTCTCAAAAGCCCAAGTTAGCATTATAGATAATACTGAGGAAAGACTGTGTTTACCTCCAGTGGAGAGGGATGTAGTCAAAACAATTGTTGACATGGTGTACAGCAAAGTTTTGCAAGAATATGAAATGGAAGTCGTGCCCAATAAAGATTTTCTAAATGACACAAAGACATTGGCTGCAAGAATAACTAATATCATCCTGGCTGAAATTTTTGATTTCCAAATTCATCCAGATCTTATAGCAAATCTGCCTTTTAAATCACATTCCAAACTCAGTGCAAATGTTTTAATACAAAGAGTTCAATATGATATAAGTAAATCAAGATTCCAAAGACAAGCTTCAACAATGTATACCACTATGTTATCACATAGTCATTTGGAAAAAATAGTTACTCAGCTTACATCTCAGATAAGTCCATTGAACACCAGTGCAGAGCAGTCAGATACTACTAAATCAGACTTAAGTAATACAGTGATAAAACTGATAAATGAAATTATGTCAATAATTTCAAAACATGAAATATGTATTATTAAATATGGGAATAAAAAACAGAGTATGATTTCAGCAAAAGATATCCAGTCTATGGTTGATTCCATTTATGCTGATCTTTCTCATTCAAATATATACCAGTCCATTACAAAAGATAAAAAGAGCATAAGTGACATACCTGTTTCAAAAATAGCGAGTTTTATAATAAAAGAAATCTTTAACCATCATATTCAATCATTTTTATCTGAAGATAAAACTCTCCTTTTGGCAGCAGTTGATCAAACTTATAAATTGAAAGCAATAGATCCTAAACAAAGAGAATTATCTTTTATTGTGAACTCATCTGTCTTTTTGGAGGAAGTAATTTCTGAGCTCTTATGCAAAATTCTTTATGCATTTTCACATAACATGTTGGTTACTGAAAATCCAGATAGAGTGAAACTGAAACTTACCAGGATTGTTACAACATTGGTAAATTCAATTGTTCTGGAGTTCACCACATCAGAGATTTTAGTTGCAGATAACTTTGATAAAAATTTGTGTTTCTCAGAAAGATACAAAGAAATGGTTCAAAAAATAGTCAACTCAGTATATGGAAAAGTATTAGATCAATATAAATCTCTGATTCAAATACATAGGGTTATACAAAGTGACACAATATGTTTTGGTAGGAAAATATATTATTTGCTATTGGAAGAAATATATGATTATCAAGTGCAGTCATTAGTTTCAGGAGAATTAGAGTCTTCTTCTTATTCGTATCCCCAAGCTGATAATATCATCAGAAATGTGCTTAACATAATCACAAAGGATAGCCATGCCTTGCCACCATATATTACTGTGTTGCCTCATTCTCTTTTAGAAGATATGGTTTACAGGCTTCTAGGGCATGTCTTCCCTTCAACTCACACTGAAAATGAACTAAAAGAGAAAAAGTTTCCACCGGATGATGAATTTGTGGAGGCAGCTTCAAAATTGACTGATGAAATTATAAAAGAAATTTCTGAACATGAGATTCGACTTTCCATGGCAGAGGATAATGCAGAAAGTATGCAGTTAGAACCTATTGAAAATTTGGTCGACTCCATATGTAATAATATTTTGAAAACATCTGAATTCCAAGCTGAAGTACAAAAAGATGCAGACAAAAAAGGATGCTCATTCCTCAGTAAATTAGCTGGTTTTATTATGAAAGAAATCATGTATCATCATTTACAGCCATTTTTACATGGTGAAGAATCATCTTTCAGTGACTTATCTGATTATGACCATGTCTCTGAACTTGCTAAATCTGGTAAAGAAAAGACACAGCCTTCTCTCTATTCAGCTACATTTTTGGAAGACATAATCATTGACCTTGTTCACAAATTTTGTTCTCTCCTCATTATTACTGAAGATTCTAAGAAAAATGAAATGGCAGAGCTAGATATTATGGGCTTGGCTCTAAAACTTGCAAATTCTCTGATAAGGGAATTTAAGAAAAGTGATATTAAAGTTTTACCAAATGCTGAAAAAATGTTTTCTTTTCCACCAATTGATAAAGAGACAGTTGATAAAATATCCAATTTTGTATATGAACAGTTCATAGAAAAATGCACATCTCATGATATTCAAAAAGGTGATGAAAGTAACATTGCTATAGGGATGATTGCTGCTCTAACCCAGAAGGCAATATCTGCATTCAGGATTCAACCACTTTTTTCAGGAGACTGGTCTTCCACCTTCTTTTCATTTCTAAATCCAGATAATATCACCCAAAGGGTTCAACACCTACCACAAAACACCTTTACACAAATAAGCAGATGTGCAAAAGAGAACCAACTTTCTTTACCAGATCAATCATATAAAGATACTTCTTCCACCCCAGATTGCAAAAACATGATGAGCACTTTGGAAATAAATAGAGGTACAATGAATAGAAAGAAAAGTTTTAAAACCAAGGACACATCAGTGAAAAAAGGTGACATCCAAAATCCAGTACTTAGCTCTATAAATGCAATTATGAAAAGCGGCATGATTAACCTAACATCAGGGTTGGCTACAGGTGTGACAAATAAAAAGGAAGTGGATGAAAATAAAGTGGGAATTTGTACTCAAAAACATAGTGAGAATGTATCAAAAGTTACTTCAACTACCACTGTGAAAAGTAAAGATACTCAGGAGCCAAATTTGAGTGAAACATTTAATAATAATGAAATTGAGAAGAAAAGAAATTTAATTCCAACAGATAAAAAAGGGAAAGATGATGAGATATACACACATTTTTCATTAATAATTGATGATACAGAATATGAGAAGGAAGTACTTGGATCAGATTCTGAAATAGGCTATAAAAAGAAGATTGACAATGCAAGGGAAAGCTCATTTAAAAAAGATGACAAGCTCTTTCAGTTATCCTCCTTGAAGTCCAAGAGAAATCTAGGGACTACAACAGATACTTTGGAAATAAGAATTCGAACATCAAGCAATGAGGGGAGAAGAGACTCTCCAACACAAACGTGTAGGGATGAGGAACACCACTCAGATTATGAACATGTTCAAAATGTCATTGAAAATATTTTTGAAGATGTTTTAGAACTATCTTCTTCTCCAGAACCAGCATATTATTCGAAACTCAGTTATGACCAAAGCCCCCCAGGTGATAATGTATTAAATGTAATTCAAGAGATTAGCAGGGATTCGGCACAGTCTGTTACAACAAAAAAAGTATCCTCCTCAACTAACAAAAATATCTCTGCCAAAGAAAAAGAAGAGGAAGAGAGAGAAAAAGAGAAAGTAAGAGAGGAGATTAAAAGTGAACCCAGTAAACCAGATGATCCTCAAAACCAACGAGAAAGTAAACCTGGAATTTTTCCCGCTAAGTTTTTAGAAGATGTTATTACTGAGATGGTTAAACAATTGATCTTTTCTTCTATACCAGAAACACAAATACAAGATAGATGTCAAAATGTTAGTGATAAGCAAAATCAAGCCAAACTCTATGACACTGCTATGAAACTCATCAATTCACTGTTAAAGGAGTTCTCAGATGCTCAAATTAAGGTTTTCAGGCCAGATAAGGGAAATCAGTTCCCTGGGGGTAAAGTGTCTTCAGTTCCTAAAGTACCTCCAAGGTATAAAGAGCCAACTACAGATGAAGCACCATCCAGCATTAAGATAAAATCTGCAGATAAAATGCCACCTATGCATAAAATGATGAGAAAACCTTCTTCAGATAAGATACCATCAATTGACAAAACATTGGTCAATAAAGTTGTTCACTCCTCTGTTTGTAATATTTTAAATGACTATGGATCTCAAGACTCTATTTGGAAGAATATAAACAGTAATGGAGAAAATTTAGCAAGAAGACTAACTAGTGCAGTGATAAATGAAATTTTCCAACGTCAGGTTAACTTGATATTTTGTGATGAGGTTTCAGTTTCAGCATGTTTGCCTCTGGAATCTAAGGATGTTGTTAAAAAGGTCCAAAAGTTGGCCCAAACAGCCAGCAAAGAATGTCAAACTTCATCACCATATACAATAATATTACCTCATAAATTTTTGGAGAATGTGATTTCTGCTCTTTTCTCCAAAATTTTCTCAACAATATCCAGCACAAAAACAAAAGAACCTGAGGACAATTTGTCCACAGAACTGAATTTCCTTCAAATGAAGTTAGTAAGTGCAGTTGCAACAGAGATCTCCCAAGATAAATATATGACTATACAGTATGTAGAAACCTTACAATCTGATGATGATGAAATTATTCAATTAGTGGTTCAGTCTGTTTATAATAATCTCTTGCCACAGTTTGGATCACAAGAGATTATACAAAATTGTGTAACCAGTGGATGCAAAATCCTTTCAGAAAACATAGTTGACTTGGTTCTACGAGAAGTGGCTAGCAATCAGCTGCAGAGCTATTTTTGTGGAGAGCTAACTCCACATCAGTGTGTGGAAGTTGAAAACATCGTTGAAAAGATCCTTAAAGATGTTTTCCAAACTACTGATGTGCCCCTACCTAAACCTTCACATGCTGATAAGCTGTCTTATAACATAATAGAAGAAATTGCTGTGAAATTTTTATCAAAGCTTTTATCTATATTTCCAAAAGTACATAAAGAAAGAACAAAATCTCTAGAGACTGATATGCAAAAAATAACTTCAAAAGTACTAAATTCAGTCCAAGAATTTATCTCCAAAAGTAAGATTAAACTTGTACCACCCACCAAGGAATCACCTACTGTGCCTGTAGCTGATAATGCAACTATTGAAAACATAGTTAATTCTATTTATACCAGTGTTTTAAAGCACTCTGGCTCTTATACTTCTGTATTTAAAGATTTAATGGGTAAAAGCAATGTCCTCTCTGATACAATAGGCTTTTTAATGGTGAATGCAATTTCGAATTCTGAATTTCAACCTCAAGTAGAGGAAGAAGTATCAAATTCAGAATTAGTTCTGGAAGCTGTCAAAATTATGGAAAAAGTGATCAAAATTATTGATGAACTTAAGTCTAAGGAAAAGTCTTCATCCAGAAAAGGTTTGACATTAGATGCCAAACTTTTAGAAGAGGTGTTGGCCTTGTTCTTGGCTAAACTAATAAGGTTGCCAAGTTCCTCAAGCAAAGATGAAAAAAACTTATCAAAGACTGAGTTAAATAAAATTGCATCTCAACTGTCAAAATTGGTAACAGCTGAAATTTCCAGAAGTAGCATTAGTCTAATAGCTTCTGATCCTGAAGAGCACTGTTTAAATCCAGAAAATACAGAAAGGATTTATCAGGTTGTCGATTCCGTTTATAGTAACATACTGCAACAATCAGGAACCAACAAAGAATTTTATTATGATATAAAAGATACAAATACAGCCTTTCCTAAAAAAGTGGCTAGTTTAATTATTGATGGAGTTTCAAGTTTTCCATTAGATACAATTAACTCAACAATTTCAAATGCTGATCTCTCTGGAGAGCTAGACGTTAATAGAATTGTTCAAAAGGCCCAAGAACATGCTTTTAATGTGATTCCTGAATTAGAGCAAGAAAAGTTAGATCAAAATTTATCTGAAGAGGAATCTCCAATTAAAATAGTTCCACATGTTGGAAAAAAACCAGTCAAAATAGATCCAAAAATTATTTCAGAACACTTAGCAGTTATTTCTATAAAAACTCAACCTCTTGAGAAACTTAAGCAGGAGTGTTTGAAAAGAACTGGACATAGCATAGCAGAACTGAGAAGAGCATCAATAAGTGGGAGAAATTACTCCTTAGGATCACCTGATTTAGAAAAGAGAAAGACAGAAAGACGTACCTCATTGGATAAGACTGGAAGACTGGATGTAAAACCCCTAGAGGTAAGTGCAAAAGCAATGGCATGAAAATGAGTGAATAGTGAGACATGGTTCTTCTGTGATTTCCTTCCTCAAATAAGTATATGGAAATGCATTCATTGTTGTTGGTGTTTCTCAGCCCAATAGGAGAATTAGTTGCATCAGTTCATCCATACAGTCATATTATTTACTAGGATTTGTCATGTTAGTTCTGTGGCTCACTCTAAAAGTCTCAGGCTAGTTTCCTAAGACAATCCTTTTGAAAGTTTTTTTTTAAGAATGAGATTGTAAGCACATACCCTTCACAGTAAAACCAGACTGACAGAAGTTATAATTGTCATTTAAATATTTAAAAGCAGCAAACTTGTATAGTTCCTTAGTTCGTTATGGATATCTAAAGGTGTTCAAACAGGCCAGTTAAAAGAATATCAGGATATGTGGAATAATCTAAAATAGTTTTAATTTTCAAATTTAAAGCACCAGAGTAATACTCATTTCCTTTTAGTAACACTCATCAGCAAACGTTGGACTGCCAACTCTTAGATTACATTTGTTCTATTTTACTTCAATTATATTAGCCTTTCCCATTTGCCCTGGCCTCTCAAGATGTACCCATTTTCTTTCCACTTACACACTTGTTTTTTTTAAAACCAGCTGCAGTATTGCTGCTATTTTTATGAGCCTCTTCCCTATTGCTCTAGACCTAACTCTCCCCTGTAACCCCATACTCAGCTCCCAAATATTTTAACCGGGAATTTAAAATGCCAAAAATAATGTCCTTATTACAAGGAAACTATTACTGAGGACAAAAGATTTGTCTCGCCAACAGATAGGTTGCACTGATCCATCAGACATTTTGATTTTTATTAAAATCCCTTTAACTGATGGCATGCATTTGTGGGAGGGCTGAGTATGCTTAGGCATGTAGTCTGTAGCCCGGACAATTAGCAAAGTTTTATAGAACCATGCCTCCTGGAGCATAAGCTTAGAGTAAATTTTTTCAGCACTCTTCTGCAACCCACTAAACTGAATCTCAAGGCTAGTAAACATGCTAATTAATGCTTTAAGCTTTCACACCCTGATATAGTTTGATATTTATCCCTGCCCAAATCTCATGTTGAATTGTAATCCCCAATGCTGGAGGTGGATCCTGGTGGAAGGTGTCTGGGTCATGGGGACAGACCCTTCATGGCTTGGTGCTGTCTTTGCAATAGTGAATTCTTGCAAGATCTGGTCATTTAAAAGTGTGTGTCACTCCCCTGCACCCTGCCCAACACATACACATTATTTTTCTCCTGCCTTCACTTTGTGATGTGCCTGCACTTATTTTGCTTTCAATCATGATTGGAAGCTTCTTCAGGCCTTCCCAAAAACAGATGCCACTATGCTTCCTGTAAAGTCTGCAGAACCATGAGCCAGTTAAACCTCTTTTTTTTTTTTTTTTTTTTTTTTTTATAAATTACCTACTCTCAGGAATTTCTTTACAGCAGTGGAAGAATGTCCTAACACAGAAAATTGGTACCAAGGAGTGGGGCGTTATACCTGAAAATACGGAAGCACCTTTGGAACTAGTGCTGGAAGACACCAGTTCCACACAGAGGCTGAAGACAGAGCCTCTTTTTTGTGGACAGAGGCTAGAAGAGTTTAGAAGGCTCAGAAGAAGATAGGAAGATTAAGGAGAGTTTGGAACTTCTTAGAGATTGGTTAAATGGTTGTGACTAAAAGGCTGATGGACAATGGTAATATGGACTATGAAGGCCAGGCTGATGAGGTCTCAGATGGAAATGAGGAATTTACTGGGAACTAGAGCAAAGGTCACTTTTGTTATGCCTTACCAAAAACTTGGCTGCATTGTGTCCATGCCCTAGAGTTCTGTGGAGTTTGAACATGTGAGTGATGACCTAGGATAGCTGGCAGAAGAAATTTCTCATAAATGAAACATTCAAGATGTGACATCTTGACAGCCTATTCTCAGATGCTTCTAACAGCCTATTCTCAGATGCAGGAGGAAAGAAATGACTTAAATTTGGAATTTATATTTCAAAGAGAAGCAGAGCATAAAAGTTTGGAAAATTAGCTGAGCATGGTGGCTCACACTTGTAATCCCAGCACTTTGGGAGGCCAAGATGGGTGGGTCACTTGAGGTCAGGAGTTTGAGACCAGTCTGGCCAACATGATCTCCAACTCCATCTCCACTAAAAATACAAAAATTAGCTGGGCATGATGGCACACGCTTGTAGTCCCAGCTACTTCGGAGGCTGAGGCATGAGAATCACTTGAACCTGGGAGGCAGAGGTTGCAGTGAGCCAAGATCATGCCACTGCTCTCCAGCCTGGGTGACAAAGCGAGACTCCACCTCAAAAAAAAAAAAAAAAATCAACCTGGCCATGTGGCAAAGAAAAAAAAAAGGTTGTTTGTTTGTTTGTTTGTTTGTTTTTTGAGAGAAATTCAAGATGGATGTAAAACTACCAGTTCTTAGAGAAAGTTCCAAAACTGAAAGAGATCTAAGAGCTAATGTTCAAGACAATGGAGAAAAGGCTTCAAAAGCATTTCAGAGACCCTCACTGCACTCTGTTTGATTTCAGTTCTAGAGGCCTAGGAGCAAAGAATGGTTTCATGGGCTCCGCAGACTCAGAATAACATTCCTCACATTCCCACCGCAACTTTTCTAGCTGTGGCTCAAAGGGGCCCAGTTACAGCTTGGGCTGCAAAGCATAGCCTTGGTGGTTTCTATGTGGTGTTAAGCCTATAGGCACACAGAGTTAAAGAGCAAATGAGACTTCTCAGCCTCTGCCTAGATTTCAGAGGGTGTATGGAAAAACCTGCATGCCCAGGCAGAAGCCTGCTGCAGGAGTGGAGCCCTTACAGAGAACTTCTACCGGTAAATACAGAGGGGGCATGTTAAGGTTGGAGATCCCACACAGAGTCTCCACTGGGGCACTGCTTAGTGCAGTTGTTGGAAGAAAGTCTGCATTCTGCAGACCTCAGAATGGTAGATCCACTTGCATCCTACACCCTCAGCGTGGAAAAGCCTCAGGCACTCAGCAACCTCTAAGAGTATCCACCAGTGCTGCAAAAACCACAGGGGCAGGACTGCCCAAGGCCTTGAGAGCCCCACCCCTTCCATCACTGTGCCCTAGATGTGGGACATACAGTCTAAGGAAATTATTTTGGAGCTTTAAGATATAATGATTGCACTACTGGGTTTTGGACTTGTTTGAGGCCTGTAGCCCCTTCTGTCAGGCCAATTTCTCCCGTTTCAAACATGAATGTTTGCCCAATGCCTGTACCTCCATTGTATCCTAAAAATAAGCCATCCTAAAAATAAAACAATAAAGAAGCAGACATGTGGAACTCAGTTAAGGCATGTGATTGGCACCAATCGGGCTACCAATATTATCTATCTTCAACAAAAGGACACAGCAGTGAAGAGAAAGAAAGGTTAGGTTAGAAACCCTACACTCTTGTTGGTTCTGCCTCAAGACTTAATTCTCTGTTTTAAGGTACCATAGATTCTTAACACACTAGACATATGCATACTAAAACCACTGGTAGTAACATATCCCAAAATATAAAATGATTTTGGATTTTCTAAACCACTGTTTTCCTCCAATAGCACAGATAATCAAAATTTATTTTTAAAAAATTTTAAAGAGGTTCTTCTGATATTTTGTTATTGCAGATATTCCTTTGAGGCACCATTATCTGAAAAACTGGTTTATGATATTACAAAGGGAGGCTGAGAGCTAAGATTATTAACTTAATTTTGAGATTCTGTGACGTGGTCAAAAGCTAGAGAAATGGGGAAATTCTGTTATTTAATTATAATTGTCTTTTCTTTGATCTGTCTTTAACATTGACATTGGAAACTGAGATTTAACTTAGGAAGTGAGAAGACATGAAGATTTATATTTTGAAGAATCTTTTGGGAAATATGACCAAAAGATCAAAAGTGGAGGAATAGGGAGTAAAGATTTTAAAACCATTATTTGGGGTATTCATTACTTTTGAAAATCAAGATCAGTGAATATGTTGCCCTTTTTTCTTGAAAATATGTGTATTTAGATTTCTCTATAATTCCTTACCTAGGATTTTGGAAAATAGGTTATCCTGTCTACTTCTGTCACAAAACTTTCAAGGTACATGACTAAGAGGAAGTAATTAAATTAATTATGCTAAACCTTGCTCTGACTTTTGGACTAAGTTATATTAGATTAAGGTATGTAATAAATGTAAAAAAATGCATGCCAACAAATTTTTTTTGTTATTTGTCTTTATTTCTTTTAAAAATATTGCTAATATATAATTAAGTGATATTTGAAGATATTACTTAAATCAAAACTAGAAATTATAAGAAAATAGCTACATCATAATTGAACTATAGGAAAGTGATTTAGGCATTTGATTTTAATATTTGCTATACCTTTAATTTCAGGCCGTTGCTAGAAATTCATTTCAGAATATAAGAAAGCCTGATATTACAAAGGTGGAGCTCTTAAAAGATGTTCAAAGTAAAAATGATCTTATTGTTCGATTAGTAGCTCATGATATTGATCAAGTGTATTTGGAAAATTACATAAAAGAGGAACGAGATTCTGATGAAGATGAAGTTGTTTTAACACAGACTTTTGCAAAAGAAGAAGGCATCAAAGTATTTGAAGATCAAGTGAAAGAAGTCAAGAAGCCAATACAAAGCAAACTTTCTCCTAAGTCAACACTAAGCACGAGCAGCCTGAAAAAATTTTTGTCACTAAGTAAATGTTGTCAGACCACAGCCAGTGCAAATATTGAAAGTACTGAAGCAATCTCAAATCAGGTAATAGAATCCAAGGAGACACATGTTAAAAGAGCTGTTGCTGAGCTTGACATGGCCACACCAAAGACGATGCCTGAAACAGCCTCTTCATCTTGGGAGGAAAAGCCCCAGTGTAAGGTAAGTGATAAGCATGACTGTTAGTGACTAGAAAGGGGAGACATCTTCACAAATCTGGCCCAAGAATGTACCTTGATTAGTCAGAAAAGAATGCTAAAATGAATTCAATCTCAAGCCTGGTGATATTTACAGGATAAGGGAAATTATTACCAGGTACAGCTATGAAACTCAACTGTGGGAAAGCAGGTAATAGGGGAAAAACTAGATTAATTAGAATCCCAAAGAAAAGAGAAAATGGAAACCAGTTAAGAAAAATGTAAGCTAATTATTAAAAACAGTTGGTTTCCACCCTTTTGTATTTTGGCTGGTAAACACTCATTGAACATTTTGTGTGGAGAGCCTAATGCTACTAGAATAGCACCAGAAGACTGGCTGAGGTAGGAGGAACAAAATAAGATCCACGGAAATTCAGATTGTTTGGGTTTGAATCCTAACTCTCAGTAGCTAGCTGACCTTTTGGTAAGTTATATAACCAGCTTATCCAACCTTAACAAGTTAATTCATATATTTTAAATATCACCCTTACAATTAGCCCATAAACTCTGCTGTCAGCATGGTAAACATCTCTTGTTGATGGCTCCAAATTCTCAAATGATGGTCTGGGTCTCAATGACCTTTTGAGTTTGGTCCTGCAGTATAATCTACATTTTAATGGAAAAAAGTTTCAGAGATTAGTCAAAAGATGGATGAGCCCTGTAATTCTAATTAATTTTAGAATTAATTTTAATTATTTTCATCTACTGGATACATGAAATTCCATACCATAACATGTTTTTGGAGAATATACAACTTTTAATTTTCTGATGAGGCCATTCTCTTGATTATCCATTTGATGTGATTCCGAGGTTAACACAAAAGCTTAGATGAACCATAGAAAATAGCATAAATATAACTCTGGTCAATTCAGAAGCACACATGAGTTTGCAACAAATAGATCAAAGTATGTGTTAAGATGATTGACCTGGCAAGGTACCTAATTGACCAGAGTTGTATCTGTGTTCTTCCTCTTTTTGCCCTCAGTAATATATGATTTCAAATATTTTTAAAGTTTAGAAGAAAATTCGACTCTTTAAACATTGTTCCAGGTTTATGTTTAAAATTTGTTCAAAATCTAATGTCATAATTTAGGTAATCTTCACTGAACTATTTCAAGTTAATTATATTGGAAGACACCTTTTAATTAGAATTATAGGGCCCACACCCATCTTTTAACTAATCTCTGGAACTTTTTTCCATTAAAATGTAGATTATACTGCAAAAAATGCCATAAGGTAAGAAAATATATCCCAAACTCCATTTAGTGTAATAGCTGATTTGTCCTTTTCCAGAAAGAAGAAAAGAATCTTGTTACTGAACCAACACATTACTTCATACACAGAATTATGAGTTCATCTTCATACAACCAAGAAGATCTCATTTCATCTACTGGGTATATGAAATTAAAGCAGTAGAAATATAGAAATCTGATAAAGTAGAGCTTATGAGTAGAATGGGGCCCCTGGCAAAACTGTAATTGAGCAAGTATTTAGCTTCAGACCTTCCCCAACTTCTTCCCTTCAGTGGCACCCTACTGTGAATAATTCCAAAGCCACTTCTTGCTATCTGTTCCTTTATTTTTAGATACCTGGCCTCTATGTCCTAGTTTTCAAACCAGTTTCTAGTGTATCAGTGTCTTATATAAAGTATTTGCTAATGTATTAGGGTATTTTCTAACCTGAGAGAGAGAGGTAATGGCCCAGAAATGAAATATGCAGTATCAGTACAAAAGTGTTCATGCTTAGCTCTCTTAAGAAAGCTACTGTCATTGCCTATAAGAAGAATCCAAAGGAATGAGAAAGAAATATAAGTTTTAGCATTCAGAGATAAATGGTAGAAAGCAATGGAGTTTGACATGGCTCTTTAAGAATGGATAGGATACACAAGTGAAAGACAATCCAAGTTTGGATGACACTAGGGGCAAAGTATGGGCTATAACAGTTATAGGGGACAAAGAGGAACAAAGTGCACTGTAGACTTGAAATCTGATTCATAACTCTATCAAGAATAGTGAAAACATCTAAATTTGTGCTTGCATTTATAAAATTATACACAACTTGGAAGAGATAACATTTTTTATTTGGGGAGAAGTACTCATGTTATACACAGAAAAATCTAGTGATTTTTTTTTTTTCATTCAGCATGCTGGAATTGCATTTTTTTTTTGACATGGCCTTATTTTGGGATATCTGTTTTTGGCCCACCATTGTCTCTTTTCTCCTACATAATAGGTTATTTTAACATACATAGCTAGTAATGTTGGAACCTCTTTATTGGTTATATTAGTGAAGTAAAAAGCAGGCATAAATAATACTAAATAAAAATGATTTTAGAGCAAGATAATACCAGGAAGCTCAAGGTTCTGATTTCCCCATGGAAACAAAACATAAGCAACTACAATCTGACTAACACAATTTTATAACAGCTCTGGACAACGGTCTGCAGCAACCAAATGAATATTCAATCAAGAAAAAGCTGGCTGCTCATGATGGCTCACGTCTGTAATCCCACCACTTTGGGAGGCAGAGGCATGAAGATTGCTTGAGGCCAGGAGTTTGAAGCCAGCTTGGGCGACATAGCAAGACCCTAACTCTACTAAAATAAAATAAAATAAAATAAAATAATAAAAAATTAGCTGGAATGGTCATGTGCACCTAGTCCTAGCTACTCAGGAGGCTGAGGTGATAGAATTGCTTGAGCTCAGGAGTTCAAAGTTACAGTGAGCTATGATTTTGCCACTGCACTTTAGCCTAGGTAACAGAGCGAAACTCTGAGACAGAGAGAGAGAGAGAGAGAGAGAGAAGACGAAAGAAAGAGAAAGAAAAGAGAGAGAAAGAAAAAAGAGTAAATGAGAAAGAGAGAGAAGAGAGAGAAACAAAAGGAAGAAGGAAAGAAAAAAAGAAAAGGAAGGGAAGAAGGGGAGGGAGAGAGGGGTGAAGAAAGGGAAGGAGCAAGGGAGACAGAAAGGGAAAAAACACATTCAAAATAGTTAAAAAAAATCTGTGAAGTTTAACTTGCTCTTGGATCCAACTTCCTCCCAGCATAGTATAACACAGTTAAGAGAAAGGAGCCCAATTTACAGTTTCCTCCCTTTGGTGGAAAGAGCAGAGTAGATCTTGTTCTGACCTATCTATGGGCTTTCTTAAGAAATTATTTTTGTTTCACCTGACTAGGAACTCAGATAGGCAATGGTGTTATAGTTTGGTTCTAAGCCTGGAAACCACAGAAAGTAGTGGATAGGTGCCATAATGCATGAAAACTACAGAGGGACTGCAGAACCATAAACACCTTCGGCAGAAATTATGGGAAGAGAGAGATACAACAGCAGAATATCTAAGTTCTGAAGAAGGAGCAGGAAGTGACTCTTTGGGAAATTAAATCATTTAAAAAGCAGCTCAGAAAAACTGAGTTTGGGGAAGCACAAACACAGGCTTGAAAACTACATGCTCAGAAAAGATCTGAAAAAAACCTAAATCTTCACTTCGGACTGTTTCCAAGGCTCAAAGTCTCATTAATTAGTAAATATTTTCCACATCAATCAGCAAAAACTGGAAGAGGTGGCTTCTTTATTATTTCAAATACTCACATTTGAACAAAAGATTACTAAGCATACAAAAAATGGGGAAAATGAAATGGAAATAATAAAATACCCAGAAAATGTTCCTGAAGAAGCACATCAGTTGGACCTACATGGCAAAGACTTTAAGACAACTATCTAAAATATGTTCAAGAATTGTAGGTAGACAAAGAACTAAGGAAATTAGTAAAAATACGTATGAACAAAATTAAAATATTAACAGAAAAATTATAAAAAAGAACCAAACAGTAATTCTGCTTTTGGTAGCATATTAGGGCAACTAGAGTTAACAATAATTTATTGTATATGCCGAAATAACTAAAAGAGAAGAATTGGACTATCCTTAACACACAACACAAAAAGTAATAAATGCTTGAGGTGATGGATACCCCAATTACCCTGACTTGATAATCACACTTGCATGCCTGTATCAAAACATCACATGTAACCCATACAAATGTGCAAGTATTATGTGCTCATAAAAATTAAAAATTAATTCTGGAGCTGAAAAATATAACAACTGAATTGAAAAATTCATTGGAGAAGTTCAATAGCAAACTTGGAGAGACAGAAGAAACAATCAGTGAACTTGAATGCAAGTCATTTGAAGTTGCCAAGTCTAAAGACCAAAAGGAAAAAAGATTGAAAAAAAAGTAAGCAATGCCTAAGGGATTTTTGAAACACCATCAGGCAGAACAATATACACCTTATGTAAATTCCAGAAGAAGAAATTGAGAAAGAAACAGATAGATTATTTGAGGAAACAAGGGCTGAAACTTCCTAAATTTGAAGAAATACATACACAAATAAAAGAAGCTTGACAAACTTCAAGCAGAATGAACACAAAAATATCATATCAAGACACATAATAATCAAACTGTCAGAAGACAAAGATAATCTTTAAAGTAGAAGAAGGAAAGTGATTCATCATGTACAAATAACCCTCATAATATTATTAGTGATTTTCTCATTAGTAACCTTACAAGCCAAGAGGCAGTGAGATGATATATTTAAAGGACTGAAAGAAAAACAAATACTGTCAAACAAGAATTCTACATCCAGCAAAAAATGTTCTTCAAAAATGAGGCGAAATTAAGACATTCCAAGACAAGGAAAGGCTGAGGGAGTTCATTAACACTAGATCTACCTGACAAGAAATGCTAA
This sequence comes from Homo sapiens, assembly GCF_000001405.40. Lineage (NCBI taxonomy): Eukaryota > Metazoa > Chordata > Mammalia > Primates > Hominidae > Homo > Homo sapiens. The sequence goes on from NC_000002.12 coordinate 185,818,820, forward strand.
AGAAAGTTCTTCAAGTTAAAAAGAAAAATGAAATGATGCTAGACAGTAACTCAGAGCCATATGAAATTATGTAAATTTTAACAAATGTAAATACATTAACAAATATAAAAAATAGTATTATCATAATTTAGCTCATATATCCACTTTTTATTTTCTAAAGGATTTAAAAGACAAATGCATGAAACAGATAATAAATTTATGCTAATGGATACAGAATGTAAAAAGATATAATTTTGGAACCTCAATAACATAAAATGGGTAGGGGGCAAATGTGTTAAAAAGTAGAGTTTTTGTATGCAGTTAAGTTTACTTGGTATCAGTTAAAAATTAGAGTCACATAATCCTTGTAGTAAGCACAAAGAAAATATTCCTAAAATATGCATAAAGGAAATGAGAACTGAATCAAAATGTGTCACTAAAAAGTTCAACTAAATACAAAGGAAGACAGTAATGGAAGAAATGAAGGACAAAACAACTGTAAGATGCAGAAAACAACAAAATGGCAAAAGAACGTTCTTCTCTATTACTAATTACTTAAAGTATAAATGGGTTAAACACTTTAATCAAAAGAGATAGAATGACAAAATGGATTTTAAAAGCAGAATCCAACTGTATGTTATCCATAAGATATTCACTTTAGATCTAAGAATACATGTAGGTTGAAAGTGAAAGAATGGAAAAATATACCCCATGTAAACAGAAACCAAAAGAGAGGGGAAAAAATGACATTGTATGATGATAACGGCATCAATTTACCAGGAAGAGATAATAATTAAAAACATATACAAATGGTCTGCAGCTTAATGAAAATTTGACTTACAATTTTTTTAACTTTATGACAGTGTGAAAGCAATACACATTCAGTACCATATTCAATATATTATATGATATTTTTAATACTTTGTGTTAGATGATTTTGCCAAACTGTAGGCTAGTGTATGTGTTCTGAGCACATTTAAGGTAGGCTAGGCTAAGTTATGATGTTTGGTAGGTTAGATGTGTTAAATGCATTTTCAATGTATGATATTTTCCATTTAAAATGGGTTTCTTGAGACGTAACCCCATTGTAAATTGAGGAACATCTGCATGCACCAAACATCAGAGCTCCAAAATATATTAAATAAATACTAACAGATTGAAGAGGAAATAAACAGCTCTACAATAATAGTAAATGACTTCAGTATGCCATTTTCAATCATGGAGAGACAACTAAACAAAATTGGGAAATAGAGGATGTTGATATGGTTTGGCTATGTCCCCACCCAAATCTCATCTTCAATTGTTCTTCCCATAATCCCCACATGTCGTGAGAAGGACCAGGTGGAAGGTAATTGAATCATTGGGGTGATTACTCCTATGCTGCTTTTCTCATGATAGTGAGTGAGTTCTCATGAGATCTGATTGTTCTGTAAGGAGCTTTTCCCCCTTTTGCTTGGCACTTCTCCTTCCTGCCACCTGGTGAAGAAGGATATGTTTGCTTTCCCTCCACCATGATTGTAAGTTTCCTGAGGTCTCCCTAGGTATACAGAACTGTGACTCAATTAAACCTCTTTCCTTTATAAATTACCCAGTCTCAGGCAGACCTTTATAGCAGCATGAGAACAGACTAATATAGATGTGAATAAAACTATAGATTTATTTAACCTATCTATCTATAATTTATATACATATATTGTTTTATATATACATATATAAAACAATAGCAAAATACACAGTTTTCTCAAATGCACATAGCACACTCCCCAGGATAAATTATATCTTAGGCCACAAAATGAGTCTTAATAAATTTTAAAAGTCTGAATATATACAAAATATATTTTCAAATTACAATGGGATAAAACTAGAAATCAATAGCAGAAGGAAAAACAAAAACACCCTCAAATATGTGAAAATTAAACAATATACTATCAACTTATGGGTCAAAGAAGAAATAATGAGGGAACTTACCAAACTTCCCAAAACTTAAGGGATACAACAAAAACAATGTTAAGAGTAAAATTTATAGTTGTAAATTATTCATTAATAAATAAGAAAGATCTTATACCAACAACTTAACTTTACACCTTAGGGAACTAGAGAAAGAACAAACTGAAAGGTATTAAGTAGAAGGAAATAATAAAGATTAGACCAGGAATAAAATAGAGAATAAAAACAGTAGAGAAAATCAAGAAAACCAAGAGTTGGTTCGTTAAAAAAAAAAAAAAAAAAAAAAAAAAAAATCAACGAAATTGACAAGTCTTTAGCTAGATTGCCTAAGGAAAGAAAGACTCAGCTAAAATCATAAATGAAAGAGGTAAAATAGCAACTGAGTTTATAGAAATAAAAAGGATTATAAGAGGGTACTATGAATAATTGTATGTCAACAAATTGGATAATCTAGATGAAATGGATAAATTCCTAGAAATACACAGCTTGTCAAGACTGAATTATGCTAAACTATAGTGAACAAATTTAGAAACAGTAAAGAAATTGAACCAATAACTGAAAAACCTCCTAACAAATAAAAGCTTATGACCAGATACTTTCATTGGTGGATGTCACAAATTTCAAAGAATTAACACTAACCCCCCTCAGACTTTTCCAAAAAACTGAAAAGAGGAAACACTTCCAAAGCCATGATGCCAGCATTACATTATTACCAAGACCAAAGACTGCAAGAAAACACTACAGAACAATATTACTGATGAATATTGATGCAAAAACCTTCAACAAGATATTAGCTAACCAAATTCATCAGTATATTAAAAGGTTTATAGATCATGACCAAGTCGGTTTTATCCCGGGAATGCAAGCAAGTTTCAACATACAAAAATCAATCAATAGGCCAGGCACAGTGACTCATGCCTGTAATCCCAGCACTTTGAGAGGTTAAGATGGGCAGACTTCTCAAGCCCGACAATTTGAGACCAGCCTGGGCAACATGGCAAAACCCCATCTCTCCAAAAAAAATACAAAAAATAGCCAGACATGGTGGTGTGCACCTATGGTCCCAGCTACTAAGGAGGCTGAGGCAGGTGGATTTATTGAGCACAGGAAGTTGAGGCTGCAGTGAGCTGTGATCACACCACTTCGCTCCAGCCTGGGTGACAGAATGAGACCCTATCTCAAAAAAAAAAAAAAAAAATCGATGTAATACATCACATTAACAGAATGATCTGTCTCAAATGATGCAGGAAAACCATTTGACGAAAGTTAAATAGTTTACATGGATAAAAGGACTCAGCAGAGCAGGAAGAGAAGGAAATTACCTCAACATTGTTAAGGTCATATATGAAACATCTACAGCTAACATTGTCCTCAGTGGTGAAGAAATGAAGTATTTCCTCTGAGATCAGGGACAAACAAAAAAACAATGACTACTTTTGCCACTTCTATTTAACATAGTACTGAAAATGCTAGTCAGAAAAATTAGGCAAGAAAAAGGGGGAAAGGCATTCTAATTGGATGAGTAGAAAAATTGTTGTTTATAGATGACATGGTCATAATGTAGAAACCCCTGAAGAACACCAAAAAAATTGTTATAACTAATGAATTAATTCAGCAAAGTTGCCAGACATAAAATCAACACAGAAAAATAAGCTGCATTCTGTATAATTACACTGAACAATCTAAAAACAATTAAGGGGAAAATCCACTTACATTAATAACAAACAGAATAAAATACTTAGGAATACATTTAACCAAGGAATTGAAAGACTTGTACTTTGTCAGCTACAAAATATTGCTGTAAGAAATTAAAGAGAATGCAAAAAAGTAGAAAGACACCTCATGTTTATAGATTGGAAGACTTAATATTATTAAAATGTTAATTCTACTCAAAGTAATTCATAGAATCAATGGAATCCTTATCAAAATACCAATAATTTTTTTTTGCAGAAATAGAAAATTTATCCTAAAGTTCATTAGTTTCTCAAGAGACTCTTAATAGGAAAACAATCTTAAAATAGAATAAAAATGCAGATGTCTTATTTACTGATTTCAAATCTTACTACAAAGCTACCGTAATCAAACAGTGTGATACTGATATAAAGACAGACTTATAAAGCAAAGACATGGAATAAAGAGCCCAGAGATAAACTCTTCCATACATGATCAAATGATTTTTACCAAGGGTACCAAGACCATTTAATGAGGGAAGGGATGGCCTTTTCCACAAGTGGTGATGGGAATAGATACTCACATGCAAAAAACAAACAAAAATGAAGGTGAACCCTTACCTTACACCATATACAAAAATTAACTCAAAATGAGTCAGAGATCTAAACATAAGAACTAAAAAAACTTTTGTTGGAAGACATGGGAAAAAGGCTTCTTGACATTGGATTTAAAAATTTTTTTTGTTCTTGTTGTTATGATACCAAAGCACAAGCAAGAAAAGAAAAATAGATATATTGTGCTTCATTATAATTAAAAATTTTGTGCTTCAAAGGACGCCATCAACAAAGTGAAAAGTCAACCCATGGAATGGGAGAAAATATTTGCAAATTATACATCTAGTAAATAATTAATATTCAGAATATGTAAATAATTCTTATGACTCAACAATGATAAAACAACCCAATTAAAAATGTGCAAAGGACTTGAATAGGCAGTTCTCTAAGAAAATATACAAATGGCTAACAGGCACATAAAATGATTTTCAATCATTTCCCTAATCATTAGGGAAATGCAAATCACAATCACAAGATGCCACTTTCAACACATTAAGATAACTAAAGAAGGGAGGGAGGGACAGAAGGAAGGAGGGAAAAAAGAAGTAAAGAAAAAGAAAACAAGTACTGGTAGGGATGTCAAGAATTGAAACCCTTGTGCATCAATGGTGGGAACTTCAATAGTGCAGACATTGTGGAAAACAGTATTGGGGGTTTCTCAAAAATTAAACATAGACTTACCCTATGATCAAGCAATTCTACTTCTGTGTACATATTCAAAATAATTAAAAGCAGGGACTGAAACAGATATTTGTACACCATTATTCACCATAGACAAATGATGGAAGCAATCCCAATGTCCATCGATAGATGAATAAATATAAACAAGCAAAATGTGTTATAAATATTCAATGGAATGTTATTCAGCCTTAAAAAAGGAAGGATATTATGACACATACTACTAGATGTATGAACTTTGAAAGATGTTTTGCTAATTGGTATACGTCAGCAAAAAAGGCCAAATATTTCATGATTCTCATATGAAGTCCCTAGGATAGTCAAAATCATAGAGACAGAAACTAGAATAGTGGTTCCCAGGGGATGGGGAGAGAGGGAAATTAGGCTTTAATGTTTAATTGGTATACAGTTTCAGTTGGGAAAGATGAAAAAAGTTCTGGAGCTGGATGGTAGTGATGGTTGCACAACACTGCAAATGTACTTAATGCTACAGAACTGTACACTTAAAATGGTTAAAATTGTAAATTTAATGTATGTATAACCACAATTTTAAAAGTAGGGGAAAAAGTCAATCAGAAATCATTTTTATGTGATTTGGAATCTCAGTGAATAGTATACTATTTCAGGTTTCTTTCCATATGGAGAATAACTGTTCTTTTGCTTAACCAGTAACTTCTTCATTTATCAAATTCACCCTAAATGATGTTCTTTTTCTTTTGTTTTAGTGAGGCTGAAGATTGTCACTCAGACCCAAGTGCTAAAATATTAGAAGGTTGGACTCCTTTTTCTTAAATTAGAGAGTATTTTTTACTACTTTGATGTGTTTTTTTTTTAGTTATCAAACTTGAAGTTAATACAGGTTTTATGTTTTCTATGAGTTTATCTACTTTTGAAAATGATCCAGTATTACCTCATTCAGGTGTTAAAATGAGTCAAATACTTAGCCTTGCCTAAACTGCCATTAAGATTTCATCACTGATTGTGGTATCAAGTATATGGTTTGATATGAATTCACATTTACCATACTCCTGTGAAATATCTACAAAATAGAGTGTATTGTAACAGCAGTTTATATCTGAGCCAGAACCCATGCTACTAGGATTTAATTATTTCTTTGAAGGATTATGCCTCTTTTTAAAGCTAAATTTATTCCCTCATATTAAAATCGGCCTAGGATGTATCTCACTTTTTTTCATTTTTCTATATATTTTTTGTTTTGTTTATTCAATCTCTAATAGTCCTGGCTCCTTAGAAAATTTGTAATGACTTTTAGGTTCTCTAACTGTCAAGACCTTAGAGGGAGGATCGATGTGGTTCTAACAATGATAGCATATATAAGAGGTAGAGTGTCATGTTTACTATAAAGTCACATTAAAAGTCAAACCACAAGTTTATCATGACTATTTCAAACATGCAACCAATTCAACAAACATATTCTCCCAATTTGAGAGTGAAAATCATTTTTATCAAGATAATCCATAAAATAGCATTAAGTATGCCAGAATTCTGTGAACATATCATAGGTTTCACAAAAACCACTCCTATAATGTCTGAATTGTGGAATTATACTTTGTTAGATGCCAACAGAAACCGTTTCATACAACCATACTCATTTTATAGATGAGGAAACTCAAGCTGAGGGTAAGGCAGTGACCCATCCAACATTCCTCTGAGTCAAAAACAGAGTCCAGTACAGACCAATGTAACAGACATGGGACACCAGAAGGGAGGAGGGAGGTGAGCACTGAAAAATTACCTATTGGGTATAATATTCACTATTTGGGTGATAGGTACACTAGAAGTCCAAACCTCACCATTATGCAATATATCCATGTAATACTCCTGCACATGTACCCTGTGACTCTACATAAAAACAAAAGTTCCATCTGCATCCCACATCTCCTGCCTCTAAATTCAGTGTTTTAATATGCTTTATCCAACTTAATTTTGGTGATCTTGCTTAGTTCTTATATCTTTTAGTAATATCACAGGTGTTCAACTGAATCATTTGCTTACTCATTCATCCAAAGATTTGCTGAGTGTTTTCTTTGTATCCTGAGATCCCATGTCTGAACAAGACTGACAAAGTTTTTGCTCTCACAGAATTTACACTTTAACTCAGAGTAGGAAGTCCCATCCCAAGGGTAAGGACTTAAACAAGATAATTCCAGACATTGATAAGTAAAGTCATGTGTCACATAATGATGTTTTGGTCAATGATGGACCAGTATAAAATAGTGGTCCCATATGATTATAATACTGTATTTCTACTGTACTTTATCTATGTTAAGATACACGAATACTTACCATTGTGTTAGAGTTGCCTCCAGTATACAGTGTCATAACATTCTGTACAGGCTTGTAGCCTAAAAGACATACATAAAACATAACATATAGCTTAGGTGTGTAGTAGGTTATACCATTGAGGTTTGTGTAAGTACATCCTATGATGTTCACACAATGATGGAATCACTTAATGAGGCATTTCTCAGAATGTAACCTTGTTAAGCAAAGCATGGCTGTACTTCCCATCTCATTTAGAACCAAATCTCAAGTCATCACAATGGCTTACAAAACCCTAAATCATCTGGGCATCATCCTAACATCCTACTTCCTCTCTAAGGTACTCCTCTATTTCTTTCTGGCTCAATCCATTCCAATCACACTAACCTCCTTGCTGTTCCTCAAACATTTTATACATTAATGGCCCTTGGATTTGCTGATCCTCCTGTACTCTTTCCCCTATATCTGCATTGTTCATTCCTTACTTTCAGATCTTGGCTCAAATGTCACCTTCTCAGTGAGGTCTTCACTGGCCACACTCTGAAGTTGCAACTTAATTCTGATCAGGACGCTACCTATCCCAGTTCTTTGCTTTACTGGATAAAACTTTCTGTTATACTGTGTATTTTAACTGTTTTTTTGACTGTCTCTCTAGAATGTAAGCTTCATAAAGGTGGAGATTTATGTCTGTTAACAGCTATATCACCAAGAGCCTAAAACACTATTTTGTTTATAGTAGATACAGGGATTAATGAGATAGGAGAGACTATTGGAGCAACCAAAGGTGAAGGAGGAGCACAAGAATTCTTTTTTGGTTATGTTGAGATTGAGGTGTCCTTTAGACATTCAAGTTGAGATGTCACGTAAGCAATTGGATATTTAAGTCTGAAATTCAATGGAAAGATCAAGGCCAGATATATTCATTCCTAGTTCATATATACAATAAAATCTCAAGTAACTTAAATCCAAAAATCTGGGCACCATAAATATCAGGAATTTTTCTGTGCCTCTTCATCAAAACAACTTCCTAGTTTTTCTGGGGAGTTGGATGCACATATACCCTAGAAACTTAAAAACTTGTGTTTGGAATCATTGCCCTTGTAGTAAACCCAAATGTCCTCAATCATTTAAAATAAAGTATGTCAAATTATGTGCAATATAGATTTAGGCGCTTTTTAGGAATATTATCAGCCAACAATGAAATCTTACCAATTTTGTCAGTTACTTTAATCACTTCTCATATTTGAGCTGATTGAGATTTTACTATTACTTTTTTTTAGAACCCATATTGGCCCAAAGGGTACTTTATATAGTTATTGCTTGTGTTGGTTCTTGATGAGTGTAGCTATATAAAATGCATAGTTTTTTCTTATATGATATCTTGAGAAATAGCCAAGGAAGACAGTCTCATTCCTATACTATGCATGAGAAAACAGAGTCAGAGAAGTTAGATGTTCAATGTTCACACAGCTTTAAGCAATGAAGCTAAGATGTAAATACAGGGTTTCTGCCTTCTTAGCAGATTAGCTGCTTCCCTTGCAGTGGGTTCTTGTGAAGCTTCTCTCACAGTGTCATTTCTACCTCCTTGCCTGAATTTATTTCACGAATACACTGACCTCCCCTGGAATTCAGACAACTTTTGGTTCTGTAGACTCCACCAAATATCCTCTGAGCATTGCCTCAAAGCTCTCCTGATTCTCCCAGAAGTTACTATTTAATAATACCAGTACTCTCCTCTTTATTCTAATAAGCTGCTTTTAAGTAGGCATGTAAAGAAAGTGGTAGAGCTGGAAGGGCTATTAAGAATCATCTATAGAGTAATCCCTCATTGTACAGGTAAACAAACAGGCTTATAGGGAATGAATGGTTGTGCATAGATGTATAGCTACTAAGTTACAGAGCTTGCCTCTCCCACTATGTTACATTTCATCTGTCATAATTTCTAAATTTCTAACTGAAGGGCTAAGACGTCCCAATATTCTAGGGCTCTCACTTATTTCAGTGTTGTTCCCAATTGCTTATACATTTAAAATAACAACTTCTTCGACCTGCCTAAACTATATGATTCTTTGGTGAAAAATAAATAATATGATCAGATTTGTGTCAACAAATATACATGCCTCAGAAAGAGACTATTTTACTTTTTTTTTTTTAATCTCTACAGAAAGTTCTCAGGAACAAAAGCCAGAGCATGGAAACAGTGTTAAGGTAAGTATTTTTAACTAGCCTTAGTTGATATATATTAGGAGCTAGTTCAGAACAACTCAGTTTTCATAGTTCAGTCAGGGACTGTGTGGTATGATTTGAAGGATATCAGAAAGCATTCTCCTATTCACAATTTCTTACACCCTGTTCCCTCTTCCTAGCTGAGGCCTGTCCCTGGTATATTAAAATATGTTAACAAAATCCTTTGGGTTAAGTCAGCATTCCTTGTTTAGGGGCACAAAGTAATATACTCGTTCTCCCTAGCATCTAAGTACAATTCTGTTTATTAGCTCTGTTACTACAATCTCCAGAAAAACACTAGAGGGAGTGAATTACTTGGCCCTACCTAGGATGAGTAGACTCAAGTGAGCAACGTGGGGAGGTGGGGAGAAAACAGAAGCTTCAAACATGGGAGGTGCATGGCTTGCAGGATGTGAGTGCTAATTCTGTTTTTCTGTATTCCTAAACATTACTTCTTTACCGGCAGCTTTCCAAAAAGCCCACCTACTCCCCAGTGTGAGCCAAGAAAATTTCCTCTTTATAAATCTTTCTTATAAAGTTTCCAATGAGAAATGAAGCTACACATCTTCGTCTGTGTTTTTTAATCAGATTGTTTCTTTCTTGGTTCAGCTTAAACACCCTTCGAGTGGGTCCTTCCACCCCCACATACAACATAAGCTATCAGTTATGGAGTTACTTCTCAGTATCACAATATAGTACGATTTTCAGAACCAACTTTTAAAATCTTATAACTTACACTTAAGATATATTTTTTAAATGTTCAAAGATAATGGATTTGTCACCCACTCAACCTAATCCTCATTTATGAATATAAGTATTTGTTTAACTACCTCAGGCTCCACTTTGGCCACACTTTACAAACAGTAAAATTATATGGCAACAGAAGGGAAATGCTGAAGCTCTAATCTAAGAACCTATTGACACTCAGTGTGTCAAGTGGAATTTCTGGCTAATCTGGACTCCTTCTGCTTTTGTTCTTTCCCTCTTTGCTACCTTTTCCATGGTAAAATTATGGTTAAAGTTGTTATCTAATCCAGTTTCAAATAAGGTGGAGTAGGCAGGCTCCATCTTATCTCTCTCACTGATTACAACTAAACACTGTGGGTAACTACTGAGGATTCTGAAAAATAAATAACAAGAGTTAGGGCAGGGGAATCAAAACTCAAAGAATGGCCAATGCCATTGTGAGTTTCCTGGGTTTTCTTATTTTATTTGCATATCCTCTGGCTTAGACTCAGGAAAACTCAAATCCTGGCATTACATAGATCAACTGGATAGAACATAGCTCCTAGAGAAACCATTGTTTTCTGACCGGTTAGGAGATTCCTGTGAGATGGAGAATCTGGGGAGAATCCCCACTTTTTCTCCCTCCTTGGCCCTGCCTCAAGGCAAGGTGCCCTCATGAAGCTGCATGGCAGTAGCAGCAGAGTTACCACCTAAAACTCTGAAAGAAAATTCTTCTCTGACCAATAGGGAAAGGGTCCTCAGTAGACTGAGGATTATTGATTGAACTGGTTGTGCTTTTCTCTGCTTTCTTTTGTCACTTTACTCTTAGTGGTAGATGCAGACATAAACTAGAAACAGCACACACACAGAGGCTAAAGCCACAGCATTTTAGCCATAGAACTAGAAAAGGGGGCTAATGAGAGTTAGGCATTGAGGAAAATCACAGAAAGAGGAACCTCAAAAATCTGTTTATACTGTCCCCTCTGAGTTGTACATATTTGGAACTGACCTGAAGTTACATAGACAAAAGTCTTTGAGAACCTGAACTGCATTCTTAATAGTAGTGCACACATAAGGATACTGAACACTACAAAAATTTTAAAAACAGAAATTAAATTGAAACCATAGCCATGAGAGGCAGGGTAGGATGTATGATTTGAACATAATGAGTCAATTACCTACCAAAAACAAACAAACAAACGAAAAAAATCAATGTTCTCTACAGGATTTTGAAAGGACCAAATATCTGACTACCTATATAAAATGTGTAGGATACATTCCAAAATGACTCAACATACAAAGAACAAAGACAATATCTACAGCTTTCAAGGAAAAGGTCAAAAGATGCCAACTCTGACATAGCCAAGGTTTTGACATTTTTAGATAAAAACTTTAAAGTCATGATTTTAACAATGCTCCATTAAGTAAGGGCAAGAACTCTTGTGTCTAACAAACAGATACATGTTTTCACATAACTTAAGTACTGTCATCCCCTGATAGCTGTAGGGGATTGGTTCCAGGAATCCCCAAAGATATCAAAATTCAGGGGTGCTCAAGGTCTTTATATAAAATGGTGTAATATTTGCATATAACCTACACACATCCTCCCATATATTTTAAATTATTTCTAGATTACTTATCATAACTAGCACAATGTAAATATTATGTAAATAGTTCTTATGCTGTATTATTTATGGAATAATGACAAGAACAATAAGTCTATACATGTTCGGTATACATGCAACCATCCATTATTTTTCATATATTTTTGATCTCTGGTTGGTTAAACTTATGGATACACAACCCACAGAGAGAGAAGGCCAACTGTATGTCTACTCATCTCCTTTTAGATGAAGGATTCTCAGTCCTAATTCTCTCACATTAGAGTTTTGTGAGGCATTTAAAAAATATACATTAATGTCTGTCCTACACTTGTTATGGGCCTCAGGGATCCATACTTTTAAAAAAAGTTTCATGGATAACTCTATTGTACAGCTTAAGTTGAGAATCAGTACTTTACATTGTCTCTGCCCTATTTTATTCCTCAGTTATCTTGTTTCCAATAGCTTAATACATGAGCACCCTTAAGTCTTCTTGGAGGAACTATGGTAAAACTCTTGTAATAGTTATCTGTTGCTTTTTACCTGATATAGACACTGCACATTCCTCTTGTGTTACATGTATTTAAGCCTTGTTTTACTGATTTTTAACAGATGACATTTTAGAATAGCTACAGAATTCTGGTACCCTTCAAATCTACCATTTTAGAATAGCTTCAGAATAGCTGAAGCCCCAACACCTGTCCCAGGCTATTTTATGCTTCTCTGGGACAATTGCTGCTCTTGCATTCAAAATTGATAAGGGTCTACAGAGTAAAGCTAGTACCGGAGACACAATCCCAGCACAACCAGGTCTACAGAGCCACTTTATTGCTCCAGACTCTGCAGTGGCTAAGATTTCAATAGAAGAAAATTTGGGGTTACAAAGTAAACATTCTTTTTTCTCCCCTTATTATTACATCTTTTTTCAGAAAAGAATTTTTAACTTTTTTCAATTCAGTCAAAGGATAGAGGGGGCAGACAGAGCTCAGATTTTTCATGAGTTAATATGGCTGAACCATTGACCCTCACTTAGTGCTAGCCAAAGTCTGCATTCATAACAAGGGTCAATCTTAGGCATCTTACTTTGCAAAAATTATCAGCCTCAGTCTTACTGAACAATTCTTTGAGACTGCAGAGCACAGATATATTTTATGTAAGATGCTGTAGTGGTATTTATAGGTATATCTAGTGGATTTGAGGACTTATGGGTATATCTAGTGTTTGTGTCCAGTGAAAGACTCAGTTTGTATTTCAATTTACCTTGGCAGTTTATCACCATCTTTGAAAGATCCAAGGATGTTCTTGGCAGTGCAAATCCCTCAAAGGAAGTCATTTCAGGTACAAAATGTACTATTTTAACAACTGGTGTAATTAAACTGTCAATTGCATCATTTTGAATTTAGAATTTTTTATTACTTTCCTGGAAATGAGTGGCTCTCCCCTTGCATATTATCAAAATAGGAGTGAAATAATATTCTTACTGTTTGCATAAATACCAATTTTCAGTTAATTATGTAGCTCTCTATCTTTACACCAAAGGGACAATGGATCATATAACTAAAATATATCAGGCATTAGCTATTCACATTTTATTTAAAGAAAAAAGTGAGAATCATTAAAGAGAAAAATGACAATAGGTTATCCAAGGTTATCCCACAGCTAACAAGCAGCAGAGCTATGTTTCAAATCCCAATCTCATGCAACATCATCATTGTCTACACACACAAATAGTTATATGAGCAAGGTAGGTACCATAAACAACAGCAGCAGATTGAGCAGGGGTGTGTGGCTTATGGGAGATGGCATGCTGCCTTTGAAGGAGGCAGTTGCTACTCATCTACAATCACTGGCATGCTAGATTGTTCCCAGTTCTTCCAGTTTTTCAAAAGAAGCTGGGTATTAAAGTTTTATATTAAAATGTATAACTTTTGAGTTTCATGTACTACAATCAAGAAAACACAGGATTTTAGTGGCCCTATCGCAACTTATTAAGTATCAGAAAAGTATATAAATATTTCTTTATATATAAAATTATTTCTTTATGTATAAAATAATAATTTTGTTAAACTGAGATGATTATATTCTTTAAAGCCTCATGCTGAATAAGAGGTGCAAAAAAAATGCAAATAGGAACTCTTTTATTACCTACACAGTCCTATTTTCCATGACATAAATAATCACTTGGGGTCAGTCAATGGAAAATTTACTCAAAGTAGGTGAGAATTTATACTATTTTTTAATGTACTTCTACTTTCTCTTGAGCATTCTGAAATAGGTGTCCACACTGTATAGAGTTGAAAGTTAATTTCCCATTTAACTCATTAGACATTTTCAGAGAGTGTTCTGCTGAGAAAAGAGAAATGGACTTTGTATACGTGACTAAAGAAGCCTCATAGTACAGTAGGCATAATGATGCCATGAGAGTCAGAAAGTCTGGACCCTATTACCAGCTGGGCCACCTTTTACTCATATGACCTTAGGCAAGGTATTTTACCTCAGTGTTCAAAAATAAAGATATCATTCTTCTTGTTTACTTTGTCCACAGAAACTCCCAAGCCCGATGTCTCCAAACAAGGATCTAAAATGCTGACAAAAATGTCTTCAACTTTGTCAAAGGTGTTTTCTCAATGTAACACCAATATTTCCAGATCTTCCTCACCAGCTCACCAGGATGAACACTGAAGCTTTTGTACCTGATATAAGTATGCTTACTTCTTTTAGAAAATAAAATGGTTTTTAAAGCATAGTATAGCGTCTTATAAGATGATTCCTATACTACTGAAAATAAAAGCAAAAGGAAGTGTAGAAGGGACCAGGCAAAGAAGGGTTTAACAAATGCTTTGAATAAGCATTTTGATGTAAGAAATGTTAATAATTAGTATTACCTGTGTGCCATGAGAGTAAGTGACTAAACACATAATTATTAAACTAGACAACTCACAGTACCCACCAGAAAATGCACATTGATTGCTCCTGCTAAATTTTAGAGGATGTTGTTACCAGGACAGTTATTAAATTGAGATGAAAACCAAGCTGAAAATGAAACTATGTCACGGATAAGTTTATTGTTAAAGGCATATTTAGATACTCGAATAAAAGGATTTATAACAGATAAATTTTTCCCACCTGAAAGTAAAGTTAATTTAGTTTATGTCTCCCAGGCAAAATGATCCAACTGTAGACAAAGCACCATTTGAAAGTAAATGATAACTATATATAATTCCATATATGCATAAAATGGCCCCTGTGATAAAAAAAATCCTTGCAAGTAACGTACCTCTTATGGATAAAATATCAATCAAGAAATCATTGGTCAATAAAGTTATTAAATAATTTTCAGAAATATTATACACGAATATAGAGATCAAGATCCATTTGTAAAAACAAAAGTAATGGGAAAAATTTAATAATATGGCTAGCTAGTGCAGTGATAAAAGAAATTTTTCAAAATTAGCTGAACTTGCTACTTTGTGATAAAGTTCCAATGTCAGCATGTTTGCCTCTGGAATCCAAGGATGTTTTATAAAGAGATTCAACAGATGGACCAAGAAGCTGGGAAGGAATGTCAAATATCATCACCCAAAAAGGGTGACTCATGAATTTTTAGAGAATGTGTATTCTGTTTTATCTAAAATTTTCTTGACAATTGCCACTAATAAAGCAGAAACTTCTGAAAAAGTTTTGTTTTAAAACAACAAACTTCCTTTAATGAAGTTGATCTGTGCAGTAATGACAGGGAAGAAAAAAGTGATTACCTAGTCAAATTTTTACATATAAATAATAAAATTATTTAACTGGCAATTTAGTCTACTTATAATAATCTCTTAAAAACAGATTAATCCCAAAGATCATACAAAATTGCCGAACTTGTGGATGCAGACCTTTTAAAAAATGATGGTTGGTGAGAAATAGCTGGAAATTCATCTCTGAATTATTTTCAAAAGAGCTGACTCTACATCAGTTTGCATTAGTTGACAGTGTTGTTGAAAGCATTCTTACAGATGTCATCCAAACCAATGATGTTTCCCAAACTTAGATATTACGTGCTTATAAGCTGTCTTTCAACGTAACATTTCACTGTAAAAATTTAAAGCACTGTGATTCACATACTTATCAACTGAAAAATGTAATATATAAACATAAGATACTCTGAATTAAGAGGGTTTTTAATGGTGAAGGAAATTTCCTGTTTTCTCTGACTCAAGTAGAGGAAGCAACATCAAGTTCAGAATTAGTCCTTGAAGTTGACAACATTTTAGTAAGGAATGGTTAATGTTATTGAGAAATTTAAGTCCTAGGAAAAACCATCCAGAAATACTTCTGTGTTAGACATCATGTATGTGAAACATCATCTTTATTTTCAACAAAACTAGTAGGGTAAATGTGCTAAAAGTATCAAACACTGAATTGAAAAAATGTGTATTATTACCTGATAAAACCTGTAGTGGCTAAAATCTCTAAAAGTAACATTAGTCTTCTAGCTAATGACTAATGCTAAAGCAGAAGAAAGTTTTTAAGATTCATAAAATTTAAATTATTCCTTAGGTTGTTGATTCTTTCTATGTTTTACTAAAATGGACTGGAAAACATTTTGTGTGAAAGGCTAGAAAGTAGACATTTTAGGTTTGTAGATTCTCTGTCAAATCTACTCCATTATGCTATTGTAGCACAAAACCAACCATATACAACACATAAACAAATAAATAGATGTGGATGTGATTCAATAAAAATTTCTTTATAAACACTGAAATTTGAATTTCATTTAATGTTACATGTCATAACATAGAATTTTTCTTTTGATTTTTTTCAATAATTTGAAAATATAAAAATTATTCTTAGGTTTATTAAAGACAAGTGACAGGACAGATTTAGCCCATGCTGATTTCTGTACTATAATAATTTGGAACTCATGAATAAGCTTATTTTTATATGAAGGTACTGATTATTGACTTAAAATAATACTAGTAAAGGTTCAAATTCTGTTGCGGGAAGTCAGGGACCCTGAATGGAGGGACAAGCTGGAGCTGCGGCAGAGGAACATAAATTGTGAAGATTTCATTTTAATATGGACATTTATCAATTCCCAAATAATACTTTTATAATTTCTTACACCTGTCTTTAATCTCTTAATCCTGTTATCTTCATAAGCTGAGGATGTATGTCACCTCAGGACCACTGTGATAATTGTGTTAACTGTACAAATTGATTGTAAAATGTGTGTGTTTGAACAATATGAAGTCAGTGCACCTAGAAAAAGAACTAAATAACAGTGATTTTTAGGGAACAAGGGAAGACAACCATAAGGTCTGACTGCCTGCGGGGTTGGGCAAAAAGAGCCATATTTTTCTTCTTGCAGGGAGCCTATAAACAGACGTGCAAGTAGGAGAGATATCACTAAATTCTTTTCCTAGCAAGGAATATTAATATTAACACCCTGGGAAAGGAATGCGTTTCTGGGGGAGGTCTATAAACGGCTGCTCTGGGAGTGTCTCTCTTATGTGGTTGAGATAAGGACTGAGATACGCCCTGGTCTCCTGCAGTACCCTCAGGCTTACCAGGGCAGAGTTTTTCCCCACCCTAGTAAGCCTAGTAAAAGTAGTTCTCCTTTTTGCCCTTTGAAGCATATGATCTACTCCCTGTTCTTACACCTCTTCCCCTTTTGAAACCCATAATAAAAAACTTGTGGGTTTGAGGCTTAGGTGAGCATCACGGTCCTACCGATACGTGATGTCACCCCCGGTGGCCCAGCTGTAACGTTCCTCTCTTTGTACTCTTTCTGTTTATTTCTCAGCTGGCTGACACTTATGGAAAATAGAAAGAACTTATGTTGTAATATTGGGGGCAGGTTCCTCTGATAAAATTCCATTATAAAAATTAGTTTGCATAGTTCAAATGTTGATTTCTTTAGTGATTTACTTATTGAATATATTGTTGAAAAGGTATATGAGCATGCTGCTAAAATATACTTTGAGTTAGAAAAAGAAGAGTTAGGGCTGAGCATGGTGGCTCATGCCTGTAATCCCAGCACTTTGGGAGGCCAAGGAGAGTGGATCACTTGAGGTCAGTAGATCAAGACCAGCCTGGCCAACATGGTGAAACCCTGTCTCTACTAACAATACAAAAAAATTAGCTGCACATGTTGGCAGGTGCCTGTAATCCCAGCTACTCAGAAGGATGAGGCAGGAGAATCACTTGAACCCAGGAGGCAAAGGTTGCAGTGGGCTGAGATCACACCACTGCACTCCAGCCTGGGGACTCCATCTCAAAAAAAAAAAAAAAAAAAGATAAAGAAGAGTTAGATCAAGATTTAATTTGTAGGTAAATTTCTAGTTCAAAATTCTTTCTTACTTTGAGAGTAGCCAATCAAAATGGATGCAGACATAAAATCAGAAGACTTGGAAGTCATTGTTGTAAAAGAAATAAACAAACTAAAACCCCAGTTAATATTGCAGCAAAATGGTGGAGCAGGCAGCTCCAAGCTCTTATCATCCCACAGAAAAATAAGAAAAAATATGTCAGAAGCAACTTCTTCAGAACTCTGAAAAACAGTCAAAAGTTTACAGCTATTAATCAAACACTGAATCAAGAAACATAGGAAAGATTTGTGGTATATTTACTTGCCCTTGCCCAAACCCTTTTCTCAACCCAGTAGCAGTCTTGAACAAAGGAGTCTACATTCCAGTGTGGGGCCTTTTTGAGACAGCACAGCAGATCTTATTCTAAAATTACTGTGTATGTCTGTTCTCAACTTTCTGTGTGCCACATGTACAGCTGAAGCAAGGCACTTGTTTCTGTTTTATCTACCTGGGAACTCAGACTGGAAAAGCAGTGGACATTGCTCAAAAACACTGCAAACCAAATAACAACCTGGAGATGCTTGAGGCAAAAATTAACCAAAGAACCAGAAAAAAAAAACTGGGGAGAAAATCTTCTAAGAAATTAAGATGCCCACAGCTTCTATGTGGGGGAACTTAGAAAGCCATGCACATGTATACAGGAAGATCTATCTTCAGAAAAGAACAAAAATAATGTAAGATTTTTACCTCAGGTTTCTCCTTTGGCTCTGTGCAAGCTTAGTTAAGAATTGAAGGAGTTCCTTAGCACAGATCTGATAAGCACAGACTGGGAGATATATTTTTAGTTGTTTCCTTGTTTGCTTGTTTGTTTTGTTTTTGTTCTTTAAATACTGGAGTTCAAGGAAATCTCTGTGAAAACTCTAACTGAATACCAGGAATGGATACTTCAGTGATCACACAAGGAAGAGTCTTTACAAAAATACACTGTCAAATACACTGTCAAGACACTAAACAAATAAACCACTAAAGCCTTCAGCAGTCGAAAAACAACAACTCCAGGAAAAGAGGAATATCTGATTTCCATAGTTACCACATAGTATTATTATGCCCAATTTTGAAAAACAACTACAAAAATCACAGGAAATACAAAGAAGCAGGAAAGTATGGCTCATTTAAAGGAACAAAATAAATAACTAGAAGCCATGCCTAAGGAAGTTTATACTTTGGATTAATTATATGAAGACTATAAAACAACTATTTAAAAAATACTAAAAGAGCTAAAAAATACATAGACAAAGAATAAAATAAATCAAGAAAATAATACAAATATTAATAAAGAGAGAAAACTATAAAAAGAAAGTAAACATTCACTGTGGAAAAGTTTGGAGGTTCCTCAAAAAACTTAAACATGGAATGACCACATAATCTATTATTTTGTCTTCTCAGTATACACCCAAAATAATTGAATGCAGGGATTTAAACGTATAATAGTACACCAATGTTTACAGCACCATTTTCCACAAAGCTAAATGTGAAAGAAATCCAAATTTTTAATCAGTAGATGAATAGATAAACAAAATATAGTTGTGTGTGTGTGTGTGTGTGTGTGTGTGTGTGTGTGTGTGTAGAGAGAGAGAGAGAAACCCAATGGAGTCTTAAATTCAGTCTTAAAAAGCAATGAAATTCTGATACATTTTACAAAAAGGAAGAAGCTGGAAAACATTATGCTAAGTGAAAAGGAGATACAAAAGATAAAATGTTGTTCCACTTCTATGGAGTACATAGAGTAGACAAATTTATAGAAAAAGAAAGGAGAAATAAAAAGTAGAAAAGAAAGAAGTAGGAAAAAGTAGAAAGTACAGTTGGAGAGAGAGAGGAATGGGAAGTTATTGTGTAATGAGCACAGTGTTTCTGTTTGTAATGATAACTTCCGGTAATGAATAGAAATGATAATCACAAAACAGGTGAATGTACTTAATGTTAGGGAACTATACACTTAAAATCATTAAAATGATAAAAATGGAAAATTTTATGTATTATATATGTTACCACAATAGCAGAAAGGAAATCACATAGAAATTCTGAGGCTGAAAAATACCATAACTAAAAGAAAAAAATTACTAGAGGGATTCAATAGCAGAGTTTGAACACATAGAAGAAATAATCAGTGAACTTGAAGACAGAACAATTGAAATTATTTATTCTGAGAAATAGAAAGAAAAAATAATGAAGAAAAGTAAACAGCCTAAAGGACCTAAGAAAAACCATCAAGAGACCAAAGAATGTAAGGAGGAAAAATAATATAAGACGAAATAATTTTAAAAACTTATAAATTTGGCAAAAGACATAAATCTGTAAATCCAAACAGCTCCAAGAACTCAAAGTAGAATAAACTCAAAGATACTCACACCAAGACACACTATAATCAAAATGTCAAAAGCCAAAGATAAGATTCTGGGAAGGTAGAGTAGAAAGCACAAGAAGTCTCTCACCTTGACTAGACAACAATTTTACTGGCAGAATATGGCTGATGTAACTATTTTGGAACTCTGGCATTGACTGAAAGTTGATATATTTTAGAATAAGGCATGGATGCTAAATTGCAGTTAATTTCAATTTCTTAGCACAGTAGAAGCTACCTATTTGAATTCCCATTCTGGTGGCAGGCAGCTGTGCTCATGTTCTTGGAGGAATCTGCACACAACTTGAGGGAGCACAGGTTGGCAAGGAGGACCACTTCCTCCAAGTTTCATGAGTGTCATCTCTGATCACTGATTGCTGAATCTCATTAAAGAGGTACAGACAGAGGTGGGTGGTAATTGTTGCTGCACTTTCTTGCATTGTGAAAATGATTTCACTTCCAGCTAAAGTGATTTCCAAGATTTGAAGGACTGATGTGTCTTTCATCACCTTAAATTTTTCTCCCTTTTTGGGAGCTAGACATTAAACACTAGACATTAGAAAGCAATGCATATACAAAGAAAATAATAAAGTGATCATACATGCTCAGGAAAAGGTACAGTCTCAGAAAAGACCTGAGAAGACCTTAAGTTTACATCTCAGGCAGATCCTTGGGATACAGAAAGCCACAATTAAAAAAAAATAACTAAAAACAGCAAACTAGGAAGGGGATGATGTGATTTCCACAATTATCACATTTCTTAGATTCAAATGTCCAGTTCCAGTGAAAACTCACAAGGCATACAAAGAAACTTGAAAGTGTGGCTCATTCAAAGGAAAAAAAATAAATCAACAAAAATTGTTATTTAAAAAGGCCTGACAGCAAATATACTAGAAAAACACTTAAAAACAACATTCTTAAAGATGCTCAAAGATATAAAGTTAAAACTGTGTATGAACAAAATCAAAATATTAATGAAAGACATAGAAAACTAAACGGAAAACAAAAAGAAATTCTAGAGGCAAAAATTACAATAACCTAAATAACACATTTACTAGAGAGATTCAAAAGTGGGTTTGATGTTCCCCTTCCTGTGTCCATGTGTTCTCATTGTTCAATTCCCACCTATGAGTAAGAACATGCGGTGTTTGGTTTTTTGTCCTTGCTATAGTTTACTGAGAATGATGATTTCCAATTTCATCCATGTCCCTACAAAGGACATGAACTCATCATTTTTTACGGCTGCATAGTATTCCATGGTGTATATGTGCCACATTTTCTTAATCCAGTCTATCATTGTTGGACATTTGGGTTGGTACCAAGTCTTCGATATTGTGAAAAAAAAAAAAGAAAATGCTATCTGTGTAAAAAAATACTTACCATGGTATTTACTTGTAGTAGTGAAAAAAATTAAATACCTTAAATGTTCAAAGTAATAGTTAATTACAATGTATATGGAATAGTGTATATATATTAAAGATAATGGTTATGCAGATGAACTGTTGGAAATGGATACAATAATTGAGAAAGGATACACATGCCTATGTACAGCATGAGTATGTTAACGAAAAGTAACTATCAATTGATTGCTTTGGTACACATATATGTATATACCCATGTAAAAATCTTTCATCTCAATTCATTAGTGCTTTTGTTTGTAAGCAATACACATAGAAATGTATTTTCCTTTTAATTAACAATAAAGTTTAAGTTATAGAAAAAAAAGTGGGTTTGAGCAGGCAGAAGAAAAAACCACAAACTTGAAGATGGAACAATGAAAATTAATTAGTCTGAGGAATAGATTTAAAAAATTAAAGTGAAGTGAACCTAAGGAACCTGTAGGTCACCATCAAGTGGATCAATGTATGCATTTTGTGAGTCCCAAATGGAAAAGACAGGGAAAGGGGGAGAAGGAATATTTGAAGAATGTCTGAAGACTTCCCACATTTGATGACAGATGTGAATATAAACATCCAAAGTCAATAAACTCCAAGTAAGATGATCTCAAAAAGAACCACATTGAGACATGTTATAATTATATTTTCAAAAGACAATGAGAATTTTGAAACCAGTAAGAAAGTAGTGACATGTCACAGGAATTCTCAATAAGATTGTCAGCAGATTTCTCTTTTTTTAAAAAAAGCATAAGTTCTGAGGTACATGTGCATAACGTGCACGTTTGTTACATAGGTATACACGTGCCATGGTGGTTTGCTGCACCCATCAACACATCATCTACATTAGGTATTTCTCCTAATGCTATCCCTCCCCTATTCCCCCACCCCACGACAGGCCTGGTGTCTGTCCAAGTGTCCCCTCCCTGTGATCCTCTCCCTGTGTCCAAGTGTTTTCATTGTTCAACTCCCACTTATAAGTGAGAACATGCGGTGTTTGGATTTCTGTTCTCATGTTAAGTTTGCTAAGAATGATGGTTTCGAGCTTCATCCATGTCCCTGCAAAGGACATGAACTCATCCTTCTTTTTTTTTTTCATTATACTTTAAGTTTTAGGGTACATGTGCACATTGTGCAGGTTAGTTACATATGTATATATGTATACATGTGCCATGCTGGTGCGCTGCACCCACTAACTCGTCATCTAGCATTAGGTATATCTCCCAATGCTATCCCTGCCCCCTCCCCACACCCCAACACAGTCCCCAGAGTGTGATATTCCCCTTCCAGTGTCCATGTGATCTCATTGTTCAATTCCCACCTATGAGTGAGAATATGCAGTGTTTGGTTTTTTGTTCTTGCGATAGTTTACTGAGAATGATGATTTCCAATTTCATCCATGTCCCTACAAAGGACATGAACTCATCATTTTTTATGGCTGCATAGTATTCCATGGTGTATATGTGCCACATTTTCTTAATCCAGTCTATCATTGTTGGACATTTGGGTTGGTTCCAAGTCTTTGCTATTGTGAATAATGCCGCAATAAACATACGTGTGCATGTGTCTTTATAGCAGCATGATTTATAGTTATTTGGGTATATACCTAGTAATGGGATGGCTGCGTCAAATGGTATTTCTAGTTCTAGATCCCTGAGGAATCACCACACTGATTTCCACAATGGTTGAACTAGTTTACAGTCCCACCAACAGTGTAAAAGTGTTCCTATTTCTCCACATCCTCTCCAGCACCTGTTGTTTCCTGACTTTTTAATGATTGCCATTCTAACTGGTGTGAGATGGTATCTCATTGTGGTTTTGATTTGCATTTCTCTGATGGCCAGTGATGATGAGCATTTTTTCATGTGTTTTTTGGCTGCATAAATGTCTTCTTTTGAGAAATGTCTGTTCATGTCCTTCGCCCACTTTTTGATGGGGTTGTTTGTTTTTTTCTTGTAAATTTGTTTGAGTTCATTGTAGATTCTGGATATTAGCCCTTTGTCAGATGAGTGGGTTGTGAAAATTTTCTCCCATTTTGTAGGTTGCCTGTTCACTCTGATGGTAGTTTCTTTTGCTGTGCAGAAGCTCTTTAGTTTAATTAGATCCCATTTGTCAATTTTGGCTTTTGTTGCCATTGCTTTTGGTGTTTTGGACATGAAGTCCTTGCCCATGCCTGTATCCTGAATGGTAACGCCTAGGTTTTCTTCTAGGGTTTTTATGGTTTTAGGTCTAACGTTTAAATCTTTAATCCATCTTGAACTGATTTTTGTATAAGGTGTAAGGAAGGGATCCAGTTTCAGCTTTCTACATATGGCTAGTCAGTTTTCCCAGCACCATTTATTAAATAGGGAATCCTTTCCCCATTGCTTGTTTTTCTCAGGTTTGTCAAAGATCAGATAGCTGTAGATATGCGACGTTATTTCTGAGGGCTCTGTTATGTTCCATTGATCTATATCTCTGTTTTGGTACCAGTACCATGCTGTTTTGGTTACTGTAGCCTTGTAGTATAGTTTGAGGTCAGGTAGTGTGATGCCTCCAGCTTTGTTCTTTTGGCTTAGGATTGCCTTGGCGATGCGGGCTCTTTTTTGGTTCCATATGAACTTTAAAGTAGTTTTTTCCAGTTCTGTGAAGAAAGTCATTGGTAGCTTGATGAGGATGGCATTGAATCTATAAATTACAGTGGGCAGTATGGCCATTTTCACGATATTGATTCTTCCTACCCATGAGCATGGAATGTTCTTCCATTTGTTTGTATCCTCTTTTATTTCATTGAACAGTGGTTTGTAGTTCTCCTTGAAGAGGTCCTTCACATCCCTTGTAAGTTGGATTCCTAGGTATTTTATTCTCTTTGAAGCAATTGTGAATGGGAGTTCACTCATGATTTGGTTCTCTGTTTGTCTGTTGTTGGTGTATAAGAATGCTTGTGATTTTTTGTACATTGATTTTGTATCCTGAGACTTTGCTGAAGTTGCTTATCAGCTTAAGGAGGTTTTGGGCTGAGACAATGGGGTTTTCTAGATATACAATCATGTCGTCTGCAAACAGGGACAATTTGACTTCCTCTTTTCCTAATTGGATACCCTTTATTTCCTTCTCCTGCCTAATTGCCCTGGCCAGAACTTCCAACACTATGTTGAATTGGAGTGGTGAGAGAGGGCATCCCTGTCTTGTGCCAGTTTTCAAAGGGAATGCTTCCAGTTTTTGCCCATTCAGTATGATATTGGCTGTGGGTTTGTCATAGATAGCTCTTAATATTTTGAAATACGTCCCATCAATACGTAATTTATGGAGAGTTTTTAGCATGAAGGGTTGTTGAATTTTGTCAAAGGCTTTTTCTGCATCTATTGAGATAATCATGTCGTTTTTGTCTTTGGCTCTGTTTATATGCTGGATTACATTTATTGATTTGCGTATATTGAACCTGCCTTGCATCCCAGGGATGAAGTCCACTTGATCATGGTGGATAAGCTTTTTGATGTGCTGCTGGATTCGGTTTGCCAGTATTTTATTGAGGATTTTTGCATCAATGTTCATCAAGGATATTGGTCTAAAATTCTCTTTTTTGGTTGCGTCTCTGCCCGGCTTTGGTATCAGAATGATGCTGGCCTCATAAAATGAGTTAGGGAGGATTCCCTCTTTTTCTATTGATTGGAATAGTTTCAGAAGGAATGGTACCAGTTCCTCCTTGTACCTCTGGTAGAATTCGGCTGTGAATCCATCTGGTCCTGGACTCTTTTTGGTTGGTAAACTATTGATTATTGCCACAATTTCAGCTCCTGTTATTGGTCTATTCAGAGATTCAACTTCTTCCTGGTTTAGTCTTGGGAGAGTGTATGTGTCAAGGAATTTATCCATTTCTTCTAGACTTTCTAGTTTATTTGCATAGAGGTGTTTGTAGTATTCTCTGATGGTAGTTTGTATTTCTGTGAGATCGGTGGTGATATCCCCTTTATCATTTTTTATTGTGTCTATTTGATTCTTCTCTCTTTTTTTCTTTATTAGTCTTGCTAGCGGTCTATCAATTTTGTTGATCCTTTCAAAAAACCAGCTTGTGGATTCATTGATTTTTTGAAGGGTTTTTTGTGTCTCTATTTCCTTCAGTTCTGCTCTGATTTTAGTTATTTCTTGCCTTCTGCTAGCTTTTGAATGTGTTTGCTCTTGCTTCTCTAGTTTTTTAACTGTGATGTTAGGGTGTCAATTTTGGATCTTTCCTGCTTTCTCTTGTGGGCATTTAGTGCTATAAATTTCCCTCTACACACTGCTTTGAATGCATCCCAGAGATTCTGGTATGTTGTGTCTTTGTTCTCGTTGGTTTCAAAGAACATCTTTTTTTCTGCCTTCATTTCGTTATGTATCCAGTAGTCATTCAGGATCAGGTTGTTCAGTTTCCATGTAGTTGAGCGGCTTTGAGTGAGATTCTTACTTCTGAGTTCTAGTTTGATTGCACTGTGGTCTGAGAGATAGTTTGTTATAATTTCTGTTCTTTTACATTTGCTGAGGAGAGCTTTACTTCCAAGTATGTGGTCAATTTTGGAATAGGTGTGGTGTGGTGCTGAAAAAAATGTATATTCTCTTGATTTGGGGTGGAGAGTTCTGTAGATGTCTATTAGGTCCGCTTGGTGCAGAGCTGAGTTGAATTCCTGGGTATCCTTGTTGACTTTCTGTCTCGTTGATCTGTCTAATGTTGACAGTGGGGTGTTAAAGTCTCCAATTATTAATGTGTGGGAGTCTAAGTCTCTTTGTAGGTCACTCAGGACTTGCTTTATGAATCTGGGTGCTCCTGTGTTGGGTGCATATATATTTAGGATAGTTAGCTCTTCTTGTTGAATTGATCCCTTTACCATTATGTAATGGCCTTCTTTGTCTCTTTTGATCTTTGTTGGTTTAAAGTCTGTTTTATCAGAGACGAGAATTGCAACCCCTGCCTTTTTTTGTTTTCCATTGGCTTGGTAGATCTTCCTCCATCCTTTTATTTTGAGCCTATGTGTGTCTCTGCACATGAGATGGGTTTCCTGAATACAGCACACTGATGGGTCTTGACTCTTTATCCAATTTGCCAGTCTGTGTCTTTAAATTGGAGCATTTAGTCCATTTACATTTAAAGTTAATATTGTTATGTGTGAATTTGATCCTGTCATTATGATGTTAGCTGGTTATTTTGCTCGTTAGTTGATGCAGTTTCTTCCTAGTCTTGATGGTCTTTACATTTTGGCATGATTTTGCAGTGGCTGGTACCGGTTGTTCCTTTCCATGTTTAGCGCTTCCTTCAGGAACTCTTTTAGGGCAGGCCTGGTGGTGACAAAATCTCTCAGCATTTGCTTGTCTGTAAAGTATTTTATTTCTCCTTCACTTATGAAGCTTAGTTTGGCTGGATATGAAATTCTGGGTTGAAAATTCTTTTCTTTAAGAATGTTGAATATTGGCCCCCACTCTCTTCTGGCTTGTAGGCTTTCTGCCGAGAGATCCACTGTTAGGCTGATGGGCTTCCCTTTGAGGTTAACCCGACCTTTCTCTCTGGCTGCCCTTAACATTTTTTCCTTCATTTCAACTTTTGGTGAATCTGACAACTATGTGTCTTGGAGTTGCTCTTCTCGAGGAGTATCTTTGTGGCGTTCTCTATATTTCCTGAATCTGAACGTTGGCCTGCCTTGCTAGATTGGGGAAGTTCTCCTGGATAATATCCTGCAGAGTGTTTTCCAACTTGGTTCCATTCTCCCCATCACTTTCAGGTACACCAATCAGACATAGATTTGGTCTTTTCACATAGTCCCCTATTTCTTGGAGGCTTTGCTCATTTCTTTTTATTCTTTTTTCTCTAAACTTCCCTTATGGCTTCATTTCATTCATTTCATCTTCCATTGCTGATACCCTTTCTTCCAGTTGATCGCATCGGCTCCTGAGGCTTCTGCATTCTTCACGTAGTTCTCGAGCCTTGGTTTTCAGCTCCATCAGCTCCTTTAAGCACTTCTCTGTATTGGTTATTCTAGTTATACATTCTTCTAAATTTTTTTCAAAGTTTTCAACTTCTTTGCCTTTGGTTTGAATGTCCTCCCGTAGCTCAGAGTAATTTGATCGTCTGAAGCCTTCTTCTCTCAGCTCGTCAAAGTCATTCTCCATCCAGCTTTGTTCCGTTGCTGGTGAGGAACTGCATTCCTTTGGAGGAGGAGAGGCGCTCTGCGTTTTAGAGTTTCCCGTTTTTCTGTTCTGTTTTTTCCCCATCTTTGTGGTTTCATCTACTTTTGGTCTTTGATGATGGTGATGTACAGATGGGTTTTCGGTGTGGATGTCCTTTCTGTTTGTTAGTTTTCCTTCTAACAGACAGGACCCTCAGCTGCAGGTCTGTTGGAATACCCTGCAGTGTGAGGTGTCAGTGTGCCCCTGCTGGGGGGTGCCTCCCAGTTAGGCTGCTCGGGGGTCAGGGGTCAGGGACCCACTTGAGGAGGCAGTCTGCCGGGTCTCAGATCTCCAGCTGCGTGCTGGGAGAACCACTGCTCTCTTCAAAGCTGTCAGACAGGGACATTTAGGTCTGCAGAGGTTACTGCTGTCTTTTTGTTTGTCTGTGCCCTGCCCCCAGAGGTGGAGCCTACAAAGGCAGGCAGGCCTCCTTGAGCTGTGGTGGGCTCCACCCAGTTGGAGCTTCCCGGCTGCTTTGTTTACCTAAGCAAGCCTGGGCAATGGCGGACGCCCCTCCCCCAGCCTTGCTGCCGCCTTGCAGTTTGATCTCAGACTGCTGTGCTAGCAATCAGCGAGATTCCGTGGGCGTAGGACCCTCCGAGCCAGGTGCCGGATATAATCTCGTGGTGTGCCGTTTTTTAAGCCGGTCTGAAAAGCGCAATATTCGGGTGGGAGTGACCCGATTTTCCAGGTGCGTCTGTCACCCCTTTCTTTGACTCAGAAAGGGAACTCCCTGACCCCTGCACTTCCCAAGTGAGGCAATGCCTGGCCCTGCTTTGGCTCGCGCACGGTGCGCTCACCCACTGGCCTGTGCCCACTGTCTGGCACTCCCTAGTGAGATGAACCCGGTACCTCAGATGGAAATGCAGAAATCACCCGTCTTCTGCGTCGCTCACGCTGGGAGCTGTAGACCGGAGCTGTTCCTATTCGGCCATCTTGGCTCCTCCTGAACTCATCCTTCTTTATGGCTGCTTAGTATTCCATGGTATAGATGTGCCAAATTTTCTTTATCCAGGCTATCATTAATGCGCATTAGGGTTGGTTCCAAGTCTTTGCTATTGTCAACAGTGTCACAATAAACATACATGTGCATGTGTCTTTATATTAGAATGATTTATAATCCTTTGGGTATATACCCAGTATTGGGATTTCTGGGTCAAATTGTATTTCTAGTTCTAGATCCTTGAGGAATCGCCACACTGTCTTCCACAATGGTTGAACTAATTTGCACTCCCAACAGTGTAAAAGTATTCCTATTTCTCCACATCCTCTCCAGCATCTGTTGTTTCCTGACTTCTTAATGACTGCCATTATAACAGGTGTGAGATGGTATCTCAATGTGGTTTTGATTTGCATTTCTCTAATGACCAGTGATGATGAGCCTTTTTTCATGTCTGTTGGCTGCATAAATGTCTTCTTTTGAGGAGTGTCTGTTCATATCCTTCACCCACTTTTTGATAGGGGTGTTTCTTTTTTTCTTATAAATTTGTTTAAGTTCTTTGTAGATTCTAGATATTAGCCCTTTGTCAGATGGATAGACTGCAAAAAATTTCTCCCATTCTGTAAGCTGCATGTTCACTCTGATGATAGTTTCTTTTGCTATACAGAAGCTCTTTGGATTAATTAGATCCCATTTGTCTATCTTGGCATTTGTTGCCATTGCTTTCAGTGTTTTAGTCATGAAGTCTTTTCCCATGCCTATGTCCTGAATGGTATTGCCTAGGTTTTCTTCTAGGGTTTTTTGTGGTTTTAGGTCTTACATTTAAGTCTTTGATCCATCTTGAGTTAATTTTTGTATAAGGTGTAAGGAAGGGATCCAGTTTCAGCTTTCTGTATATGGCTAGCCAGTCTTCCCAACACCATTTATTAAATAGGAAATCCGTTCCCCATTGCTCGTTTTTGTCAGGTTTGTTAAAGATCAAATGGTTGTAGATGTGTGGTGTTATTTCTGAGGTCTCTGTTCTGTTCCATTGGTCTATATCTCTGTTTTGGTACCAGTACCATGCTGTTTTGGTTACTGTAGCCTTGTAGTATAGTTAGAAGTCAGGTAGCGTGATGCCTCCAGTTTTGCTCTTTTTGCTTAGGATTGTCTTGGCTATGCGGGCTCTTTTTTGGCTCTATATGAAATTTGAAGTGTCTTTTTCCAATTCGGTGAAGAAAGTCAATGGTAGCTTGATGGGGATAGCATTGAGTCTATAAATTACTTAGGGCAGTATAGCCATTTTCATGATGTTGCTTCTTCCTATCCATGAGCATGGAATGTTTTTCCATTTGTTTGTGTCCTCTCAAATTTCCTTGAGCAGTGGTTTGTAGTTCTCCTTGAAGAGGTCCTTCACATCCCTTGTAAGTTGTATCTCTAGGTAATTTATTGTCTTTGTGGCAAACATCAGAGCAGAACTGAAGGAGATAGAGACATAAAAAGCCCTTCAAAAAAAAATCAATGAATCCAGGATCTGTTTTTTTTAAAAGATCAACAAATAGACCACTAGCCAGACTAATAGAGATAAAAAGAGAGAAGAATCAAGTAGATACAGTAAAAAATGATAAAGGGGATATCACCCCCGGTCCCACAGAAATACAAACTACCATCAGAGAATACTATAAACACCACTATGCAAATAAACTAGAAAATCTAGAAGAAATGGATGAATTTCTGGACACATACACCCTCCCAAGACTAAACCAGGAAGAAGTTGAATCCCTGAATAGACCAATAACAAGTTCTGAAATTGAGGCAGCAATTAATAGCCTACCAACCAAAAAAAAAAGTCCAGGACCAGACAGATTCACAGCTGAATTCTACCAGAGGTACAAAGTGGAGCTGGTACCATTCCTTCTGAAACTATTCCAAACAATAGAAAAAGAGAGAATCCTCCCTGACTCATTTTATGAGGTCAGCATCATCCTGATACCAAAACCTGGCAGAGACATAACAAAAAAAGAAAATTTCAGTCCAATATCCCTGATGAATATCGATGTGAATATCCTCAATAAAATACTGGCAAACCAAATCCAGCAGCACATCAAAAAGCTTATCCACCATGGTCAAGTCGGCTTCATCCTTGGGATGCAAGGCTGGTTTAACATGCCCAAATCAATAAATATAATCCATCACATAAGCAGAACCAATGACAAACACCACATGATTATCTCAATAGATGCAGAAAAGGCCTTAGATAAAATTCAACAGCGCTTCATGCTAAAAACTCTCAATGAACTAGGTATTGATGGAACATAACTCAAAATAATAAGAGCTATTTAATGACAAACCCACAGCTAATATCATAGTGAATGGGCAAAAACTGGAAGCATTCCCTTTGAAAACCGGCACAAGACAAGGATGCCCTCTCTCACCACTCCTATTCAACATAGTATTGGAAGTTCCGGCCAGGGCAATCAGGCAAGAGAAAGAAATAAAAGGTATTTAATTAGGAAAAGAGGAAGTCAAATTGTCTCTGTTTGCAGATGACATGATTGTACATTTAGAAAACCCCATTGTCTCAGCCCAAAATCTCCTTAAGATTGTCAGCGGATTTTTCATTAAAACTTTGGAGGTCAGAGTGCAAGGGGTCAGTATATTGAAACTGCTAAAGGAGAAAAAAAAAAAAGCCAAGCAAAATTGTCCTTCAAATGTGACAAAGAAAATTAAGACATATTCATATGAACAAAAGCTAAAGAATTTTCTTACCACTAGACCTACTCTGCAAGAAATGCTCAAGGAAGTCCTGCAGGATGAAATGAAAAGACAATAGACAGTAATTCAAAGCCATATGAAGAAATAAAACGTACATAAACATAAATACATTGGAAATTATAAAAGCTAGTATTAATGTAACATTTATAATACCATCTTAGTTTTCTACATGATTTAAGGTACTAACGTATTTTAAAAACAATTGTCTAAAAGCTAGTACTATTGTAACTTTGGTTTATAACTTCACATTTATACTTTAAGAGAAGAATGCATTTAAAATATCACTTTATACTTTTAGACCCACAATGCATAAAGGTGTAACTTTGTGACAATAACTGAAAGTGATAGGGACAAAACAATGACAGAGCAGAGATTTTGTAAATCACTGAAGTTAAAATAGTATAATTCTAATTAAGTTATTGTAATTTTAGAATGTTAAATGTAATCTTTATGGTGACTAGAAAGAAAATACCTTAAAATACAAAAGTAAATGAAAAAGAAAGTTAAATATTTCATAACAAAAAATTAAACATAAAAAACAGGGATGCAGGAAATGAGGGACAAAGAAGTGATAAATCATATAGAAAACAAATAGCAAAATGACAGAAGTATGTCTTTCCTTATCAGTCACTACTTTAAGTGTAAATGAATCAAACTGTTTCAAATCAAAAGACAAAGACTGACAGACTAGATTTAAGAAAACATGATTCAATTTTATACTGTCTACAAGAGACTCCCTTTAGTATCAAAGACACAAATAGATTGAAAGTTGTGACATAGGTGACAACATGGATGAAGCTTGAGCACATTATGCAAAGTGAGGTAAGCCAGTCACACAAACACAAAAACTGTATGAATTCACATAAATGAGATACTTAGAGTCTTAGCTGAAATTATAGAGACAGAACGTAGAATGGTGGTTGGCAAGGGCTGGAGGGCTTAGCATGAAAAGATATTGTTTAATGGGTTAAGTTTCAGTTTTACAAGACAAAAAGTGTTAAGGAGATGGATGGTGGTTGTCTTAGTCCGTTTAGTGTTGCTATAACAGAAAACCTGAAGCTGGGAAATTTATAAAGAAAAGATTGTTTCACTCATGGTTCTTCATGTTGGGAAGTTTAAGCGCATAGTCCTGGCTTCTGGCAAGAGTCTTTCTGCTGCGTTATAACATGAGAAAGAAGATCACCTGGGAAGTGGACACATGCAAAGAGGCAAAATGCAAGGGGCATCCTGGGTTTGTTACAACCCATTCTCACAGGAACCAATCCATTATTGCAAGAACTAGTCCAGCCTCACCAGAATGTGAACATACTACCATAGGAATGGCACCAAGCCATTTATGAGGGATCTTCCCCCATGGCAAAAATACCTCCCAAGTGTCCCTACCTCCCAACACCATCATGTTGGGTATCAAATTTTAACAAAAATTGTGGTGACAACAAACCACATTTAAACCATAGCATTCTACCCCTGGCTGCCCAACACTCATGTTCTTCTCACATACAAAATACCCTCATGTTGCAGGTCTGCAGACAGCACCATGTGGAAATCTCCAAGACTTACCATCTGGGCCTCCAGAGCAGTGATCTGAGCTGTACTTGGGGCCATTTGAGCCACAGATGCTTCAGTCAGAATGGCCAGGATGCAAGGAGCACTGTTTTAGGCAGCACAGGGTGTTGGAACCATGGGCCTGTCCCCCAAAGTCATTCTGTCTTCCCAGACCCCTGTAATGGGGAGGGTAATCTCAAAGGCTTTTGAAATGCCTTTACTCCCTCTTATCTATTGCTTTGACTATTAACATCTGGTTCCCTTTTATTCATGAAATCTCTTAAGAAAGTGATTGCTCAGTTGTATCCTTTGATTTCTCCCCTGCAAATGCTCTTATTCTTTACCACATGGTCAGACTGAATTTCCCAAATCTTTATTTTCTGCTTCCCTTTTAATTATAAATTCTGCCTTTAGGTCATTTCTTTACTGCTGTAGCTGATCATAAGCCATTAAAAGTAGCAACTATATTGCTTATTGAGTACTTTGATATTTAGAAATTTCTTTCACCAGGTATTCTAGTTTGGTCTTTTACAAATCCTTAGGGCATGAACACAATGCAACCATGTTTTTTACAACTGTATAACAAGGATAACCTTTGCTCATTTTACAAATAACTACTTCTCATCTGGTCAAAATTTACCTCATATTTAGCCTTCTTCTGAGCCTGCTCCAGCATCACCCTTAATGCTTTATTCATAACAATACAGTCTTTTTTCTGGCCGGATCCTCCAAACTTTTCTAACCTCTACCCATTACCCAGTTCCTAAGACATTTCCACATTTTCAAGTTATCTGTATAGCAATACCCACTCCTTGGCACCAATTTTATGCTTTTGTCAATTTTGTGTTTCTATAGTAGAATGCTTAAAGCTGGGTAATTTATAAAGAAAACAGAATTATCTATCTCACAGTTCTGCAGGATGGGAAGTTCAAAGACATGGCCCTGGCTTCTGGTAAGAGCTTTTGTGCTATCTCATAACATGGCGGAGAAGATCAAAGGGGAAGTGGACACATGCAAAGAAGCAAAACACAAAAAGTGTCCTGGCTTTATAACAACCCACTCTCACAGAAATTACTCCATTTTTACAAGAACTAATCTAGTCTTGCCAGAGTAAGAATGCACTACCGGCCAGGTGCAGTGGCTCACGCCTGTAATCCCAGCACTGTAATCCCAGGCCGAGGCAGGTAGATCACTTGAGGTCAGGAGTTTGAGATCAGCCTGGGCAACATGGCGAAACCCCATCTCTACTAAAAATACAAAATAAAAAACATTAGCAGGGCATGGTGGCATGCACCTGTAATCCCAGCTACTCAGGAGGCTGAAGCAGGAGAATTCCTTGAACCTGGGAGGCAGAGGTTGCAGTGAGCCGAGATTGCACCACTACACTCCAGCCTGGGTGACAGAGTGAGACTTCATCTCAAAAAAAAAAAAAGAAAAATGCACATGAAAATAATAACAAGTCATTTATGAAGGACCAACTCCCATGACCCAAGCACCTTTTACTTGGCCTCACTTCCCATCACTACAACACTAGGGATAGAATTTTAACATGAATTTTGAGGGGAGAAATTTATTCAAAAACTATAGTAGTGGTGATAGCTGCACAATATTATGAATGTATTTAATACCACCGACATATAAACTTTTAATATGATTCCAATTGTACATTTTATGTTATGTGTATTTTACTACAATTTTATAAATTTGGAAAAAAAGGCAATCATAAAAGCAGTGTCAGAAGAGACTCCTCATGTTCATGTACAAGGATTCTCAATAATATTTAAAGTTGTTAAAAAATTGTCAACTAAGAATTCTATGCCTCATAATTTCTTATAAGATACGCTTAAAAGTTGAGGGAGCTTGTTAGCACTAGACTTCTCCTGTAAGAAATGACAAAGGGAGTCCTGCAAGTTAAAATGAAAGTCACTAGACAGTAAGTCAAAGCCACATGAATAAATAAAATTCTGGCAAAGGCAAATACATAAATAAATACATAAGTAATAAAATACTTTTATTTTATTAAAAATAAAAGATATTATATTTTTGATTTCTAATTACATTTTTCATTTTCTACAGAATTTAAAAGGCAAACTTATGAAAATAATTATAAATCTATGGTGTTGTCCACACAATATATTCAAAAGCCATTTGTGACAATATACAGGGAAATGGGGAAGATTAAGCTGTATAGGAGCAGAAATTCCCCATGCTACTGAAGTTAAATTGAGAGCAATTAAATTGTATGTTATAAATTATAATGTTAAATGTAATCTCCATAGTATACATTAAGACAATATTCAAAATAAATATATGAAAGAAAATGAGAAAGGAATCAAACTACAAAAAAATCAACTAAACACAAAAGAAGATAGTGTTCTTAGTTCATTTGGGCTGCTATAACAAAAATATTTTAGATGGGGTAATCTATAAACAAAAGATTTTTCCACAGTTCTGGAAAGCAGAAAGTCTGTGATCAAGGCACCAGCAGATTAGGTGTCTGGTGAGGGCTTGCTCTCTGCCTCAAAGTGGTACTCTCTTCTTGTATCCTCACATGGCAGAAGGGCCAAATGCTGTACCCTCAGATGGCAAAATGAGCAAAGCAGTCCATGAAATGTCTTTTATAAGAGCACAAATTTCATTCATAAAATTTGCTCTCTCGGGCATCCTTTAAAATTTAGGTGGAAGTAGCCACACCCCTAAAACTCTCCAACTCTGTGTATCTCCAGAATAAGCATTACACTGATGCCAGCATGGATTACTACAATGTGCCTTCCAAAGCGGAAGCCGCTGTGGCCTGCACTGCTCCTTGGTCTACTTGAGCCACATCTGGGACAACTAAGGAGCACTATACCAGAATGTGGGGAGCAGAGACTTACGTAAAGTACCAGGAGTACCCAAGACTCCCCTTTTGTCATTGTTTTGCCCGTAGGCCTTGGCACTCTGAGCCTGCGATGGGAGGGGCAGCATCAATTATCTGCAAAATGCCTTCAGGATCATTTTTTCACTGTCTTGATAAATAACTACTGGCTTCCTTCTGTTTATATTAATGTTATCAAATGTTTGTTCAGTCACACCCTTTAGAAGTCAATAAAAGTCATGCTACACCGTCAACACTATGCTTAGATGTATCTTTCACCAAATATCCTATTTCATCACTCACAAGTTCTACTTTCCATGAAACACCAGGGCATAAACAAAATTTAGCCAAGTTTTTGCCACATTAAAACAAGGATGTCCTTCTAGTTTCGAATGACATGTTTCCCATTGCCATACAAGACTTCATTACCTTCATTGTCCATATTCCTATCAAATTTTCCTCATAACCTTTCAGATAGTCTCTAAGATTCTGGCATTCTCCACAACTCTATTCTCCTGGGCCCTCACCAGAATCAACCTTAACACTCTGTTTTTTGCAAATGTACCACATAACTCTTCCAGAATTATTTATTATCCAGTTCTACGGCTGCTGGAACATTTTTAGGTATTTATTACAGCAGCACGCTGCTTCTTGGTACCCATTTTTGTCTCGGGTGTTGGCTACTGTAAAAAAAATACCTTTGACTAGAAAATTTATGAAAAACAGAAATTTATTGCTCATAGTTCTGGAGACTGGGAAGTCTAAGATAAAGGTGCCAGCAGATTTAGTGTCTGGCGAGGGCTTCATAGATGGAGACTTGTTAGTGTCCTCACATGGTAAAAAGGTCAGAAGGTTCTCTCAAGCCCCTTTTATAAGGGCACTAGACTCATTTATGAGAGCAGAGCATTTATGACTTAATTTTCTCCCAAAGGCCCCAGTTCTTAATGCTACCAAAATGGGGATTAAGTTTCACCATGAATTTTGGAAGGACATAAATATTCAGACAATATCACCAGTGTGTTAGGCCATTTTTGAGTTGCTATAAAAAAATGCCTGAGATTCAGGGTTTAATTTGTCATACATTTCTGCAGGCTGTACAAGTATAGGACCAACATCGGCTCAGCTCCTTGTGAGGGCTCAGGAAGCTGACCATCATGGCTGAAGGCAAAGGGAAGCCAGCATATCATGTGGCAAGAGCAGGAGCAAGAGAGAGAGAGAGAGTAGGAAGATACCACACTCTTTTAAATAACCGGATCTCATGTAACTGCCAGAGTGATAATTCACTGATCACCAAAGGGATAAGGCTAAGCCATTCATGAGAGATCTACCCCCATGACCCAAACACTTCCCACAAGGCCCCAACTGCAACACTGGGAATTACATTTCAACAAGATTTAGAGGTGACAACATCCAAATTATATCAAGCAGTAATGGGAAAAATTAGGGGGGGGAAGCTACCAGACATACAGAAAACAAATAGTAAAATGGTAAAAGTTCTTCTTTATTAGTAATTACTTCAAATGTAAATATATGAAAGTCTTCAATCAAAAGACAGAAATTAGCAGAATAACAAAAGACACACACAAAAAACATGATCCAACTATATGCTGCCTTACTCTGGATCCAAAGAAACAAATTTTTCAAAAAAGAATGGAATAACACATTCCACGAAAATATTAACCCAAAGAAACTTTGGGTGGCTATACTAATATCACACAAAATAGACTTTTGGTCACCTACTGTTCCAAGACCAAAGAATGACACTACATATTGATGAAATGGTCAGAATTCAGTGGATAAATAGTTCTTAAATAAGTTCAATATACCACTTTCAATAATGAATAAACATCTAGACTGACCAATAAGTAATTAGAGGATCTTGAACAAAACTATAAACCAATGAGACCTAGTAGATATATAGAACATTTCCCTCAACAACAGCAGAATACACAAGTGTACCTAGAACATTCTTCAGAATAGACCATATGTTATGTCACAAAACACACCTCCATAAATTTTAAAATGTAGAATTTTACAAAGTAGCATTTCTAAACAAAATGGAATGATGTTAGTTATCAATAAGTATAGGAAAAATGAAAAATTTAACAAATATTTGAAAGTTAAACAACACACTATTAATCAATAGAGTCAAAGAAGAGATCACAATGGGGGTCAGAAAATTCATATAAATTTTTAGAAAAATTATAATAAATAGTAACAAAACATAACAAAGCTTGTGGAATGCAGCAAAGGCAGTGCTCACTGGGAAATTTATAGCAGTAAACGTCTACATTAATTAATAATATATATAAAATCAATAACCTTAACATTACATGTTGAGGTAGAAAAATAAGAGCAAAATAAACTCAAAGCTATTCAAAAGAATGAAATAAGGGATTAGAGTAGAGATAAAGTAGAGAATAGACAAATAATAAAATCAATGAAGTAGAAAATTGTGTTTTTGAAAATATCAACACAATTGACAAACCTTTAGCTAGACTGACGAAATGTTGAGTAAACTTTATCACTAATGTGATGCTAGCTTCGGAATTTTTATAAATCTCCTTTATTATATTGATGAAGTTTCTTTATTTTTCTAGTTTCCTGATGGTTCCTGCCATGAAAGAGTAGTAGTTCTTGTCAAATGTCTTTTCTGCCTCAATTGAGATGACCATGTTGTTTTTCCTCTTAATTGTATTAATGTGGCGTGTATTAGTTTCCTAGGGCTATTATAACAAAGTACCACAAATTAAATGGGTGAAAAAATATAAATCTATTGTCCCAGTTCTAGAGACAAGAATGCTGAGATCAAAGTGCTGGTATGATTGTGCTCACTCTGGAGGCACAGGAAAGTATATGTTCCAGGCTTCTCTCCAAGCTTCTGGTAGCTGCTTGTCTTGACACAAGTATTCACATGGTATTTTCCTTTTGGTGTGTGTCTTTCTCTTCACATCACATTCCTTTTTAATAAGAACATCAGTTACATTGGTTTAGGGACCCACCTATTCCAGTGTGACTTCATCTTAACTAGTAATTACATCAACAAAGACTCCTATTTCCCAATAAAGCCACATTATAAGTTACTGGGGATTGAAACTTTAACTATTTTGAGGGAGTGCTATTAACCCCTACCATGGTGTGTTAAATTGATTGGTTTTCTTAATTTGAACAACCCTTGCATTTCTGGGATAAACCCCACTGAGTTGTAGTTTAAAATCTTTTTAATATGCTGTCAAATTTAGTTTTATAGCATTTTTGTTAGTTTTCTCCCTATCTATATTCACAAGAAATATCAGTGTTTAATTTTGTTTTCTTGTAATGTTTTTATATGGCTTAATATCTAGGTAATGCTGACCTCCTAGAATGAGTTAAGAAGTGTTCTTTCCTCTTTTATTTTCTTAAGATTTTGAGATGAATTGGTGTTAATTTTTTCTTAAATGTTTGGTATAACTCACCAGTGAATTCATCTCTTCCTGGACTTTTCTTTGTTGGAAAGTTTTAATGTTTAACCACAGCTATTCAACAACTTATTACAAATTTCAACCAGAACAATTAGACATTTACAAAAATGAAATGCATCGAAATTGGAGAGGAAGAAGTCAAACTGTGTCTATTTTCAGATGAGAAGAAAAATTCTGTGTATATAGCAAATCCAAAAGAATCCACAAAAAGGCTAAAAGAGCTAACAAACAAATTCAGCAAATGTCCATTATGCAAGATACACACACGCGCACACACACATACACACACACACAAATTATGTTTCTACGGACCTGAAATAAATATTTTTTAATGTAAGAATGTATATTAGTCTATTTTGCATTGTTGTAAAAGATACTGGGTAATTTATAAAGAAGAGAGTTTTATTTGGCTGAAGGTTCTGCAGGCTATACATGCATGGCACTAGCATCTCCTCAGCTTCTGGTGAGTTCTCAGGAAGGTTTGACTCATAGTAGAAGGCAAAGGGAGAGCAGGTGTGCCATATGGCATAAAAGGGAATGAGACATGCCAGCCTCATGTAAACAACAAAATCTCACATAAACTCATTACTGTGGGGAAGGTACCAAGCCATTCGTGAGGAATTCACCTCCATAACCCAAACACCTCCCACCAGGCCCTAGATCAAATGTCAATATGAGGTTTGGAGGGGACAAACATCCAAACTATACTAGAAAGTAATTCCATTTACAATAGCATCTAAAAAAATAAAATACATGGGAATAAATTTAAAGAGATGAAAGGCACTACAAAGAATACATCATTGCTGAAAGAAATTAAAGAAGAGCTAAATAAATGGAAAGACATCCTTAGTTCATGGGTAGGAAGATTCAATATTATTAAGATGTCAATATTACTCAAAGTGATCTACAGATTCAACATAATTCCTAGCAAAATTCCAATAGCTTTTTTATGCAGAAATAAAAAAGCTAATGCTTACATTCATAAGAAACTATACAGGGTCCCAAATAGCCAGACCTTGAAAAAGAAGGACATTGTGAGAGGAATCACACTTCCCAATCTCAAACCTTTTTACAAAGTTACAGTAATCAAAACTGTATAGTAATGGTATATCAAAGAACAATATCAAGAGAGTGAAAAGACAATTTACAGAATGGGTGAAAATATTTTCAAATCATACATCTGATAAAGGTATAAAATCCAAAATATATTGTAAAAACTCCTACAACTCAACAACAAAAAGGAAAAAACAACTGGGCAAAGGAGGTGAATAGACATTTTTCCAGAGGAAATATACAAATGAGCAAAAAGCACATGCTATGATGTTCAACACTATTGGGAAATTCAAATCAAAACCACAATGAGTCACCACTTCATGCAGACTAGAATAACTACTAAAAATAAATAAACAAAATAAAAATAAAAACAGAAAATAAGTTTTGTCAAGTATGTGGAGAAATTGGAACACATATATTGCTAAATGCAGGCTAAATGCAGAATTATTACATGACCTAGCAATTCCACTTCTAGGCATATACCAAAAAGAAGGGAAAATATAAACTCAATCAAATATTTATACATTAATGCTCCTTGGAGTATTATTTGCAATAGCCAAAAGGTGAAAACAACCCAAAAATCTATCATCAAGTGAATGGACAAAAAAAGTCATATATACATACAATGGAATATTATTTAGCCATCAAAAGGAATGAAGCCCTAATACATACTACGACATAGTTGAACCTTCTGAACATTATGCTAAGTAAAATAAGCCAGATGTAAATGATAAATATATAATTTCATTTAAATGAGATATCTAAAATAGCAAACTTGCAGACAGAAAGTTGATGAGAGGTTACCAGGGGCTAAGTTTGAGGGTAAGAACAGAAAGTTACTGCTTAATAGACAGAGTTTCTGTTTGGAATGATGAAAAAGTTTTGGAAGTGTTGATTGCTGCACAACACTATGAACATAATGCTACCGAATTTTACAATTAAATATGGTTAAAATGGCAAGTATTGCCACAATAAAATTAAAAAAAAATCCTCAACTTCTTGGGAAACTGAAGACAGTTGTATTTATTAAGGACAGGACATAACACAATTGAATTGAGAAGAGCATCACTAAATGGAAAGAGTTACTTATTAGGCTGAGTAATGCTGGCTCCTAGAATGAGTTAAGAAGAAAAGAAAACAAAAGACCTATCTCACTGAGTAATCTAGATAATTGGATGTAAAATTCTTAGAGGTAAATGAGAAAAGTAGTGATGAGAATAAATGAGTGTGTAGTGAGACATTATCAACTGCCTTCCTTAAACTGGGCTCTGGTAATGGGAATATAGTAAAACTGACTGACATTTTAATCCTCATTGGCTGTGTAGGAGAAATGTGATCTCTTGGTTTCTATAGCTCTTTGTCATGAAATTTATTATCATAGCACAGTAGGAGCGCAAAGGTGCTAGTAATCAGAATATCAGATAAATGAATCTTTACTATAGTTTTAAATCCTCAAAGTTAATGTTCCACAGTAATACTGTTCATATTTTAACATTAATTAGACTTTAAACTTTAGACTTCTTTCACTTTATCTTATTTTGCTTTTATTATATAAGCCCTACATTTTCACGTCCTCATTATGTACCCTATTTCTTTCCCCTATTACCTTGCCCCAAACTCAGCTGTCCAAATGCCAATTTCTTGCACAAGTTTATCTCATACTCTATTTTTCAAAAGCACAGATTCCATGACCAATTCCAATGTGCAGTTTCTTTCTGCAACATGGTCAGAAATGCTATTATATAAAAATACAAGTAAATTCTATGCTGTTTCCCCTAGATAATACCAGATTCTACTTTGTATAATACTGGACTTGTATTTATTTCCAAAAGAAGAAGACATTACTGAACCAACACATTGCTTTCTACACAGAATTGTGAATTCACCTTCATTTATCCATGAGGATCTGATTTGATCTGCTAGTTACATTCAGTTAAAGTAATTTAAAAATATAAATCTAAGATGTAAGTTATACATATGGCAAGACAGAGGTCTTGATAATACATTGAGGAAGCCAGTGTTCAGTCCCTCAATCTCTGCTGACTACTTTCTCATTTCTCCATTCCCTGACTCCCTACTATGGTCACTATCTATACCTCACCTTTTCATCTCCTCCCCCATTGCTGTTTACCTGAGTTGTACTTATTTTCTTGATACCTGTTTTTCTATGCATCAAATTTCTGCTAATGTGTTAGATTCTTTAATTGGGAGACAAGTGTTTGTTGAGTCAACTATACTAGAGTGCTTGCACTACTGGCCCCCAAATTCCCTGATTTATAGCTTGTATTTTGTCTTTAGTATTCAACTTATTCATTTTATAAATCTAAGTTCCCTCAAACTTGTAAACATAATTTACAATCTGGTATGGTCACTTGTAAATATACTAATTTGTGTTACAAGTGCTTACTTTTACTTGTATTCTTTGTTTCATGCTCAATTACCTTACCATTTGGACAGT
Source organism: Homo sapiens (assembly GCF_000001405.40). NCBI lineage: Eukaryota > Metazoa > Chordata > Mammalia > Primates > Hominidae > Homo > Homo sapiens. The sequence continues at coordinate 185,861,878 of NC_000002.12, forward strand.
GGAAAACTGCCTTAAACATTTACCATGGTTTAAAAATTTTATTAATTCCTTAAAACATTTCAGACTACATGAAAAAAACAGTCCATTTTTCTCAAGAATTCAATACATCTACATCTAAATCTAGTCAACATATGCTTCCTAACATTTACAAAACTCTTAAATCTAATATATCAGACTCTTAAATTTTAAAAATCATATAGTATAAAGTTTCAAAAAAAGCAAAAAATATAATAATTACAAATTAGCAATGCTAGGGATTTTGATAAACCTGCACTCATTTAAATGCACCTACACAAATATTAATATATACACATAAACATTATTATGAGTATAAGACAACTTTAAGCTTTGTGACCAAACCCAAAGATTTGGGTGAAGGATTTCATTGGTGGTTACCATTATGGTGTCTAAAATGATTAAAATTTGCCAGACACAACCCACTGGTCACCACTGTGAGAACCAGACCAATCTAGGAGCTATAATCTTGGAAGACACCCAATTGACTTAATATTTATTTAAATCAATAGGAATGTCTCCAAAAGACTATTTGCCTTCTGATTAGTTTTTTAATTGTCTGAATATATAACCAGAGACTACTTAAACAAGAAGAACCTAAAATGTAGTGAATTAAGAAATTTATTTTCCCATGAGCAGAGTGAGAGCCCATTAGAGGTCAAGGGAAATAATAAAACAACTAGAGAAAGACAAAGAGACCAATGTTTTCTCTATGAGTGCCAGAGTATTGTCTAAGTAAATTTACAAATGCTGTGGATAGATTCTTGACTAGAGCTTTCAGGAGTTTAATGAATCTTCTTCCCCCAAACAAGTATAAAATTGAACAAAATTATCAGAACAAATCTTATCAAGGATCCGGAAATAGACAAAGAGGAAACAAGGAAGTGAGAAGGGATTATTCATGATAACCTGCCAGAGCATCAGGTAAGAACAACGTCTGTTTTGTGTGAAGCTGCTTTCTTCCTTCTCTCTTGATCTTTGTCAGGTGGAAGGACAGTTTTCTCAGGGTATGGCTAACCACCATAACCAGAAGCTTTGCTGTCAAAAAGGGCACACTTTATTTGGGGCAAAATGCAGAAACCCACAGTGATTTTTTCATCAATAATAGCAAACTCAGCAGGAAATAAAGGGGAAAACCTACAACTCTGCTAGGACTAGTTTGCGGTCATAATTGGTGCACAGAAGGGACTAGCCACAAATTTACAAGGAGATCCTGGATATTGGAAACTGAGCTCTTTATCTGCGTTCACATGATACTTTTGTTTAAAAGCGTGTGGCACTTCCCCAATCCCCCAACATTGTCTCTCTCTTGCTCCTAATTTCACCATGCCGTACAGGCTCCCACTTCACCTTCTATCATGAGTCAAAGATCCCTGACACCTCCCCAGAAGCCAAGTAATGTCAGCACCTATAGAATCATCAGCCAATTAAACCTCTTTTCTTTGTAAATTATCCAGTCTCAGGTATTTCTTTATAGCAACGCAAGAATAGCCTAACACATCAGGGACAAATTTCACTTGTTCATAGCATGTAACACGTTTAATGTCCTACTGAATTTGGTTTGCTAGTATTTTATTGAGGACTTTTACATCTATGTTCATTAGCAATATTGGCCTGTAATTTCCAAGCATCTTTGCTGATCACAATGAAATAAAACTAGAATGATAACAACAGTAAGAAATAGGGTAAATTCATAAACACAAAGAAACTAAGTAAAACAATCAATAGGTCCAAAGAGGAAGTCAAAAGGGAATTTCAAAATACCTTCAGACGGATGAAAACAAACACAATATCCCAGAACTAATGAAATGCAGGAAAAGTATCTCTTAATTACTTGGAGGGAAGTGTATAGACATAAATGCCTACATTAAAAATGAAGAAAGGTCTTTTTTTCCTTAGCCTCCTCCCTCCAGGAAAGGTCTTAAATAAACCACCTAACTTTATGCCTTACTCTCTAATTCCTTATACCTCAAGAAATTAGAAAAAAAAAAAAAAAAAACAAATTAAACCCAATGTTAGCAGAAGGAATAAAATAATTAAGATCAGAGTAGAAATAAACCAAATAGAGAATATAAAAAGCTTTAGAAGAACATTAAAAAACTAAGAATTTTTTGAAAAACACAATCAACAAATTCTTCTACTAAGAAAAAAAGAAGATTCAAATAAACAAAATCAGAGATAAAACAGGCAACATTACAACAGATGCCAAAGAAATAAAAATAATCATAAGGAACTATTAGGAACACTTATATACAAACAAATTAGATAACCTATAAAAAAAGAATAAATTCCCAGAAACTTACAACCTACCAAAACTGAATTAAGATGAAATAGAAAGCCAAAACAGATAACAAGTGAATTTTAATTATTAATTAAAGACCTCCCAACAACATAAAAAACTCAGGACTTATGGCTTTATGGATGAATCCTGCAAAACATTCAAAGAATAATTAGCAACAATCATTCTTAAACTCTTTTTAAACTAGAAGAAGAACGAACACTTCCAAGCTCATTTTATGAGGCAGTATCAACCTGCTAGCCAAAGACAAAGTCATCTTTTAAAAACTGTTTCGAAATGTTTACATTGAAATATCATAGAAGTGTTTAACTGTGTCAAAGTCACTAATCTCTTCAAACTTCATAGAGATAACTTCTGAGCCTTTATTTGCATCAAACTAATTTAAATTGGTCATATAAAGTTTTTCGGGGAAGGAGCCAAGATGGCCGAATAGGAACAGCTCCGGTCTACAGCTCCCAGTGTGAGCGACGCAGAAGACGGGTGATTTCTGCATTTCCATCTGAGGTACCGGGTTCATCTCACTAGGGAATGCCAGACAGTGGGCGGAGGCCAGTGGGTGCGCGCACTGTGCGCGACCCGAAGCAGGGCGAGGCATTGCCTCACTTGGGAAGTGCAAGGGGTCAGGGAGTTCCCTTTCCAAGTCAAAGAAAGGGGTGACAGACTCACCTGGAAAATCGGGTCACTCCCACCCGAATATTGCGCTTTTCAGACCGGCTTAAAAAACGGCGCACCACGAGATTATATCCGGCACCTGGCTCGGAGGGTCCTACGCCCACGGAGTCTCACTGATTGCTAGCACAGCAGTCTGAGATCAAACTGCAAGGCGGCAGCAAGGCTGGGGGAGGGGCGTCCGCCATTGCCCAGGCTTGCTTAGGTAAACAAAGCAGCCCGGAAGCTCCAACTGGGTGGAGCCCACCACAGCTCAAGGAGGCCTGCCTGCCTTTGTAGGCTCCACCTCTGGGGGCAGGGCACAGACAAACAAAAAGACAGCAGTAACCTCCGCAGACTTAAATGTCCCTGTCTGACAGCTTTGAAGAGAGCAGTGGTTCTCCCAGCACGCAGCTGGAGATCTGAGACCCGGCAGACTGCCTCCTCAAGTGGGTCCCTGACCCCTGACCCCCGAGCAGCCTAACTGGGAGGCACCCCCCAGCAGGGGCACACTGACATCTCACACTGCAGGGTATTCCAACAGACCTGCAGCTGAGGGTCCTGTCTGTTAGAAGGAAAACTAACAAACAGAAAGGACATCCACACCGAAAACCCATCTGTACATCACCATCATCAAAGACCAAAAGTAGATAAAACCACAAAGATGGGGAAAAAACAGAACAGAAAAACGGGAAACTCTAAAACGCAGAGCGCCTCTCCTCCTCCAAAGGAATGCAGTTCCTCACCAGCAACGGAAAAAAGCTGGATGGAGAATGACTTTGACGAGCTGAGAGAAGAAGGCTTCAGACGATCAAATTACTCTGAGCTACGGGAGGACATTCAAACCAAAGGCAAAGAAGTTGAAAACTTTGAAAAAAATTTAGAAGAATGTATAACTAGAATAACCAATACAGAGAAGTGCTTAAAGGAGCTGATGGAGCTGAAAACCAAGGCTCGAGAACTACGTGAAGAATGCAGAAGCCTCAGGAGCCGATGCGATCAACTGGAAGAAAGGGTATCAGCAATGGAAGATGAAATGAATGAAATGAAGCCATAAGGGAAGTTTAGAGAAAAAAGAATAAAAAGAAATGAGCAAAGCCTCCAAGAAATAGGGGACTATGTGAAAAGACCAAATCTACGTCTGATTGGTGTACCTGAAAGTGATGGGGAGAATGGAACCAAGTTGGAAAACACTCTGCAGGATATTATCCAGGAGAACTTCCCCAATCTAGCAAGGCAGGCCAACGTTCAGATTCAGGAAATATAGAGAACGCCACAAAGATACTCCTCGAGAAGAGCAACTCCAAGACACATAATTGTCAGATTCACCAAAGTTGAAATGAAGGAAAAAATGTTAAGGGCAGCCAGAGAGAAAGGTCGGGTTACCCTCAAAGGGAAGCCCATCAGACTAACAGCGGATCTCTCGGCAGAAACCCTACAAGCCAGAAGAGAGTGGGGGCCAATATTCAACATTCTTAAAGAAAAGAATTTTCAACCCAGAATTTCATATCCAGCCAAACTAAGCTTCATAAGTGAAGGAGAAATAAAATACTTTACAGACAAGCAAATGCTGAGAGATTTTGTCACGACCAGGCCTGCCCTAAAAGAGCTCCTGAAGGAAGCGCTAAACATGGAAAGGAACAACCGGTACCAGCTGCCACAAAATCATGCCAAAATGTAAAGACCATCGAGACTAGGAAGAAACTGCATCAACTAACGAGCAAAATAACCAGCTAACATCATAATGACAGGATCAAATTCACACATAACAATATTAACTTTAAATGTAAATGGACTAAATGCTCCAATTAAAAGACACAGACTGGCAAATTGGATAAAGAGTCAAGATCCATCAGTGTGCTGTATTCAGGAAACCATCTCACGTGCAGAGACACACATAGGCTCAAAATAAAAGGATGGAGGAAGATCTACCAAGCCAATGGAAAACAAAAAAAGGCAGGGGTTGCAATTCTAGTCTCTGATAAAACAGACTTTAAACCAACAAAGATCAAAAGAGACAAAGAAGGCCATTACATAATGGTAAAGGGATCAATTCAACAAGAAGAGCTAACTATCCTAAATATATATGCACCCAATACAGGAGGACCCAGATTCATAAAGCAAGTCCTGAGTGACCTACAAAGAGACTTAGACTCCCACACATTAATAATGGGAGACTTTAACACCCCACTGTCAACATTAGACAGATCAACGAGACAGAAAGTCAACAAGGATACCCAGGAATTGAACTCAGCTCTGCACCAAGCGGACCTAATAGACATCTACAGAACTCTCCACCCCAAATCAAGAGAATATACATTTTTTTCAGCACCACACCACACCTATTCCAAAATTGACCACATACTTGGAAGTAAAGCTCTCCTCAGCAAATGTAAAAGAACAGAGATTATAACAAACTATCTCTCAGACCACAGTGCAATCAAACTAGAACTCAGAATTAAGAATCTCACTCAAAACTGCTCAACTACATGGAAACTGAACAACCTGCTCCTGAATGACTACTGGATACATAACGAAATGAAGGCAGAAATAAAGATGTTCTTTGAAACCAACGAGAACAAAGACACAACATACCAGAATCTCTGGGATGCATTCAAAGCAGTGTGTAGAGGGAATTTTATAGCACTAAATGCCCACAAGAGAAAGCAGGAAAGATCCAAAATTGACACCCTAACATCACAATTAAAAAACTAGAGAAGCAAGAGCAAACACATTCAAAAGCTAGCAGAAGGCAAGAAATAACTAAAATCAAAGCAGAACTGAAGGAAATAGAGACACAAAAAACACTTCACAAAATTAATGAATCCAGGAGCTGGTTTTTTGAAAGAATCAACAAAATTGATAGACCGCTAGCAAGACTAATAAAGAAAAAAAGAGAGAAGAATCAAATAGACACAATAAAAAATGATAAAGGGGATATCACCACCGATCTCACAGAAATACAAACTACCATCAGAGAATACTACAAACACCTCTACGCAAATAAACTAGAAAAACTAGAAGAAATGGATAAATTCCTCGACACATACACTCTCCCAAGACTAAACCAGGAAGAAGTTGAATCTCTGAATAGACCAATAACAGGAGCTGAAATTGTGGCAATAATCAATAGTTTACCAACCAAAAAGAGTCCAGGACCAGATGGATTCACAGCCGAATTCTACCAGAGGTACAAGGAGGAACTGGTACCATTCCTTCTGAAACTATTCCAATCAATAGAAAAAGAGGGAATCCTCCCTAACTCATTTTATGAGGCTAGCATCATTCTGATACCAAAGCCGGGCAGAGACACAACCAAAAAAGAGAATTTTAGACCAATATCCTTGATGAACATTGATGCAAAAATCCTCAATAAAATACTGGCAAAACGAATCCAGCAGCACATCAAAAAGCTTATCCACCATGATCAAGTGGGCTTCATCCCTGGGATGCAAGGCAGGTTCAATATACGCAAATCAATAAATGTAATCCAGCATATAAACAGAGCCAAAGACAAAAACCATATGATTATCTCAATAGATGCAGAAAAGGCCTTTGACAAAATTCAAAAAAGCTTCATGCTAAAAACTCTCAATAAATTAGGTATTGATGGGACGTATTTCAAAGTAATAAGAGCTATCTATGACAAACCCACAGCCAATATCATACTAAATGGGCAAAAACTGGAAGCATTCCCTTTGAAAACTGGCAGAAGACAGGGATGCCCTCTCTCACCACTCCTATTCAACATAGTGTTGGAAGTTCTGGCCAGGGCAATTAGGCAGGAGAAGGAAATAAAGGGTATTCAATTAGGAAAAGAGGAAGTCAAATTGTCCCTGTTTGCAGACGACATGACTGTATATCTAGAAAACCCCATTGTCTCAGCCCAAAATCTCCTTAAGCTGATAAGCAACTTCAGGAAAGTCTCAGGATACAAAATCAATGTACAAAAATCACAAGCATTCTTATACACCAATAACAGACAAACAGAGAGCCAAATCATGAGTGTACTCCCATTCACAATTGCTTCAAAGAGAATAAAATACCTAGGAATCCAACTTACAAGGGATGTGAAGGACCTCTTCAAGGAGAACTACAAACCACTGCTCAAGGAAATAAAAGAGTATAGAAACAAATGGAAGAACATTCTATGCTCATGGGAAGGAAGAATCAATATTGTGAAAATGGCCATACTGCCCAAGGTAATTTACAGATTCAATGCCATCCCCATCAAGCTACCAATGACTTTCTTCACAGAATTGGAAAAAACTACTTTAAAGTTCATATGGAACCAAAAAAGAGCCCGCATCGCCAAGGCAATCCTAAGCCAAAAGATTGAAGCTGGAGGCATCACACTACCTGACTTCAAACTATACTACAAGGCTATAGTAACCAAAACAGCATGGTACTGGTACCAAAACAGAGATATAGATCAATGGAACAGAACAGAGCCCTCAGAAATAACGCTGCTTACCTACAACTATCTGATCTTTGACAAACCTGAGAAAAACAAGAAATGGGGAAAGGATTCCCTATTTAATAAATGGTGCTGGGAAAACTGGCTAGCCATATGTAGAAAGCTGAAACTGGATCCCTTCCTTACACCTTATACAAAAATCAATTCAAGATGGATTAAAGACTTAAATGTTAGACCTAAAACCATAAAAACCCTAGAAGAAAACCTAGGCATCACCATTCAGGACATAGGCATGGACAAGGACTTCATGTCCAAAACACCAAAAGCAATGGCAACAAAAGCCAAAATTGACAAATGGGATCTAATTAAACTAAAGAGCTTCTGCACAGCAAAAGAAACTACCATCAGATTCAACAGGCAACCTACAAAATGGGAGAAAATTTTCGCAACCTACTCATCTGACAAAGGGCTAATATCCAGAATCTACAATGAACTCAAACAAATTTACAAGAAAAAAACAAACAACCCCATCAAAAAGTGGGCGAAGGACATGAACAGACACTTCTCAAAAGAAGACATTTATGCAGCCAAAAAACACATGAAAAAATGCTCATCATCACTGGCCATCAGAGAAATGCAAATCAAAACCACAATGAGATACCATCTCACACCAGTTAGAATGGCAATCATTAAAAAGTCAGGAAACAACAGGTGCTGGAGAGGATGTGGAGAAATAGGAACACTTTTACACTGTTGGTGGGACTGTAAACTAGTTCAACCATTGTGGAAGTCAGTGTGGCAACTCTTCAGGGATCTAGAACTAGAAATACCATTTGACCCAGCCATCCCATTACTGGGTATATACCCAAAGGACTATAAATCATGCTGCTATAAAGACACATGCACACGTATGTTTATTGCGGTATTATTCACAATAGCAAAGACTTGGAACCAACCCAAATGTCCAACAATGATAGACTGGATTAAGAAAATGTGGCACATATACACCATGGAATAGTATGCAGCCATAAAAAATGATGAGTTCATGTCCTTTGTAGGGACATGGATGAAATTGGAAATCATCATTCTCAGTAAACTATCGCAAGAACAAAAAACCAAACACCGCATATTCTCACTCATAGGTGGGAATTGAACAATGAGATCACATGGACATAGGAAGGGGAATATCATACTCTGGGGACAGTGGTGGGGTGGGGAGAGGGGGGAGGGATAGCATTGGGAGATATACCTAATGCTAGATGACGAGTTAGTGGGTGCAGCACACCAGCATGGCACATGTATATATATGTAACTAACCTGCACAATGTGCACATGTACCCTAAAACTTAAAGTATAATAAAAATAAGTAAATAAATAAATAAATAAAATAAATTAAAAAAAGTTTTTCTACATAAATCATAAATTTTCCAATATTATTTTAAAATACTGTTGTCTTAATTACATGTTTTTATGCTGTTGCACTTATAGGAATGCTAATTACGCCCCCAAAAGTTCAAAATTATAGTGAAATCTATTTTTGTGAGGGAGATTGTTTATGATAATACATAAGATAACTATCTTCTTTACTTTGGTGAAATAAAATCAACACATTTGGAATTTCTAAGAGACATCTTATTTCCAAAGTTCTTACTGAAATTTTAAGAAAGTGACAGCAGATAGGTCATTTGGGGAGGATGTAAGAGGTACATTGATAAAATGATTTAACGTGTATAAACCACTTACGAAAACCTGATACAAAGTAATCTTAAATTTGATCAAATAAAAGCATGACCTAAATTTCCATGCAACCTCACATGTCTCACTTCTCCTCTGGAGAATTCAAATAACCCATAATGTCACGTTGAAAGAAAATGAGGGTTCATGCGGGTTCATCTAAGACACCCAGGTCTCTTTAGATCAATAGGAGAATTAACAGATATGCAATTTTACGTTCAAAGGCACTTAATGACAGCTAAGGGAACTACTGCAGAAAAGTCTTATGATCTTTTCATGTGAGGTGAAACCTCAAATTTGGAGACTTGTAAGAGTTCTGGTGATAAAAGAAACAATAAATAAATACACTTAGGGAAGGGTCATATCATTTACACTTCGTTATTCATTTATGTCAGTTTATACGTAGCTAAAAGATTTAACCAGTTCTCTTCACTCCAGAAAACATAGAAAAGGGTTATGTTGATGGGATAAGTTACTCCCAGTGGGAACAGTGGCTTCCTTAAAGAATACTACCATTTGCACCTAGAAGGATCAGATGTGAGAGAGACAAGAGAGTGGTAATGACTTTTTAACTCCAGTACTTAAGAACTACAAGTGCTATGCTTATGATCTCAAAAACTAAGTTAAAAACTAAACAGAATCCCACATAGGATTTTGGACTTACATTTAATGTTATTTAATGTGCTGAAGGAGATTATGTGAAATATTTACTGAGTTTCTACTATGTCTCAGGCACTGTGCACAGTGAGGTGATACAAGAATAAGTAGAACACTTGTAGCTTTGGCTCACTATAATACACAAGAAAGACACATTAACTGATAATCACAATACTTTGTAAAAAGTGATATGACTAATGTAAGCAATGCATAATAGAAAGGTACATTAAAAGCATATCTAATGTACCAAACTAAATAATTTTTAAATATGAAACCAGTTCTGTAGAAATTACAATAACAAATTCTCAGAAAATGAAATATAAATGTTATATCTTTTATAATAAAAATATGGCTAAATACTAATGAAAATTGGAACATAAATGACTATTATATCAACATTGTTGAAACGAATCTGGAGGCCACATATCAAGATATATTAAGAAACATTTATAAATATGCCTGAAGTCTGAAATGAATTATGGGGAATCAAAACAATTATGTTAACTCTGAGTATCACTTATTTTTTTCTTTTGTAAAGTATTCGTGATTCTAAAATTAATAAATAAAATTAAATTTTTAGTAGAATGGAAATCATCATTCCTTATTTATCATTTATTTTCATATGGTTTTTAATGTTAAATAATATTATTTTTAAGGTTAAGTAATATCTTATGTTTTAATGCCAAAACTTTCAAACATCATTAACCACAGAAATGCTTGAAATTATGGTAAATTTAACAATTTTACTAAAAGAATTATATAACAATGCATACTTGCAAGTTGCATTTCTTTCAGTACATCACTTGCATTTGGGTAGGTAAATTCTGAAACAGGAATTTCATTTGTATTTCTAGCTCACACAGCTTTCTAGCTTCTTAGTTGCAATACTCCTTCAAACAATAGGTTATACAACCACATAAAGTGGGAACAATTTAGGAACTTTCTTTATAGATTTCTGGATTTACAGTCACGATTTTATAAATACATTTTCCAAGTGAAATAAACACGACAAAGAGAAAAATGAACAAAAAAACCTTTCATTTTCTGATGAATTTATTGGATAGTCTAAGTGTCTTTCATCGAATTGTCACATTCTAAACTGATGTGTGAATTGCTAAAGGTTATGCTTATATGCTATGTTTTGAATAAGCTGGAAGTCCATCTTTAATTATTAATACAGCATATTAGGTGATAAGTGCATTTCTCTGATGTTTACTACAGCACAATAATCAATATGGTTAACTCATTTACACAAACTAATTAAAATTTAATTGCATTTCACTGAAAGATTATTAATATTTAAACAAACAAAATTCTACATAAGAACAAAAAGACAATGTTAATAATTTATCCTCAGTTTCAAGACTTTCATAGATGCAAATCATGCTTTGAAACTCTCTTCTAATGAATTCATAATAAATATTCAAAGCCAACACATTTAAAAACCCTGTGACAAGTTAGAGTCTAATAAAATGTGAGATATACTAGCAACATATTCTCATTCAAGTTAGTCCACAAGCATTACATGAGGTAAGCACTAAATTAATAAAGGATAAATTCTGTTACTGTTAGCATATGTAGCTGTTACAATTTTCAGTTATTATATCAAGCCAAAAATAGATTAATATAAATGAAAATAGAATTTTGTATGACTAACAGTAGAACCTTTTAAAAATAGTATTTATGAAAGCTTTTTATAATACTGAATATGAAAGACTAGGAAAAGGTGTTAAGGAAGATTTGAAAATTTCCTGAATAATTTATCAGTAAGAGAGTACACACCAAATCGAGAAAAGAAGGCAATTCTAACTTGAATAGAGCTGTGAGTGAGAAAAAGAAACATTTACCACTCTCACACTGTTTTGGAAATGTGTAGAGCAAAGATGAAGTAAAAGAATACAAACACAAGGCTGCCTAACTGAGTTAATTTGGGGAGAATATTTTTTGGGGGGCGGGAGTCAGCCACTACATTATTATTCTGTGGTAATGGGAAGAAAAAAACTCAAAATTTGGAGCTCCTTTATTTGGAGCTACATTTGCCACTACATAGTTCAATACACTTCATAGTTCAATAGCTCATAGTTCAAATATCACAGGCTTTCAATCCCTGAGCAGTTTGCATCCTGGTGCCAGCATAGTTCAATAGTAGTCAGATATTTAATTAAGCCCACAGAAAAGTTGAGATAGTTAGCTAGTCATATATAGAAAACAAATATATCGATACCACAAAATTTACTCTTAAATTTATTCATATAAATATCAATATGGCCAAAAGAAACTGAATACCAACTCTTATCTTACATAATATATAAAACTTTACTCAAAATGGATCACAGATCTGAATGTAAAAGCTAAAACTAGAAAAGTTCTGGAAAAATATTAGAGAAATTCTTTGTCATCTAGTGTAAGAGAAACTTTCTTAGAAGTAGGCAAAATATTTTAACAGGCACTTTGCAAATAAAAGATTCATGAACGGCCAATAAGCATATAATAAAATGTTTAGCAGGAAAATGGGTTTAAAATGATGGTATGTCTATGTGATGATACACGACACAACAATAAAAAGGAAATTAACTACTATTGATAAATGCAACAACATGGATGAATCTCTAAATTATTTTCTTGTGTGAAATGAAATAGACAAAAGTAGTGCATACTCCATGGTTTCACTTATACAAAAATCCAGAAAATTAAAACATACATAGTGACAAGAGGCTTGTGTGCAGCCAGGAGCAGAGAAAGAAACAGGTTGCAAAGGTGTATAAGGAATGTTTGGCATGATAGAGATGTTTGTGGTAATGGTTCCACAGTTACATTATCACTCAGACTTCATAAAATTTTATCTTGTCCATGGTTTAAGTTTATATAAATTACAGCTCTAAAACTTAATAAGACGACTATATAAAGGATTTATACACAAGACTGTGTATCATGTTACAGATTTAAATAGAAAACAATTAATATATAATTTCCAATATGAGTTTAAGTAAATTATAATCCAGTTGCATAAGTCAGTTTCACTAAAAACTAAACCATTAAAATTGTTATATATTGTATATACATAATTAAATTTCTATGGTTAGCCTTTTATACATTTAATAACATATCATGATTCAAATATGAATATTATGAGCATTAGGTTTATGATATGTATGAATATGAAGAGTATTATAATTATTATACAAAAAAGAAACATAAAGATATCATATATTTTAATAACAGATCTGGAGAATTAGTATTGTAAGGGCTCTAGTAACAAAGTTACTTAAGTTTGGAGTAGGCTTCTTCTAAACCTATTTCTTCTAAAACACCTGTTAGTTTTAGTGCATGCTTTTGCAGAAAGCAAGGTTTCTGAGGAAAACATATAATTGGCAAAAATTACACATTCATTATACATTATAATTATAGTCTAATTATATCTTTCCAGGATGCTGTTTTTTAAAAGTCAATGAGGTATTTAAGATAGATGTGTAATTCAGTGTTATGTTTTTGATGTAAAATTGATGTGCATAAAAAGTTCAGAGACAGGAGAAACCAATGAATAAGAAAAAATTGTTCTGGTTCAAGATAGCTGACTGGAACAAGCTAGTGGGTACACTCTCACAGAGAGGAATCAAATTAGCAAGGAAATGTTAACACTTCAAGTTGATTTTCTGAGAGAGAAAACTGGAATTCATCAGAGAAACAACAGAAATCATGGGAAGCAGAGAAGAGTGAAGCCAAGCAGCGCGCTGAGTTGGAAGCAGCATCTAGCTAGGAGAGGCTCCCCAACACAGGGAAGGGCTGAATAAATGAGAGACTCCTGAGGCTCCGCACTCTGGCCAAAGACCTTTACAATTCTAGCTATGGGAGAGCCCCTTCTATCCCCGTGGGCCTCCAGACTAACACAGGAAGCTGCCTAGATACTGTGCAGAGGCATTGTTCAAGCCCACGAGAAATGCCACAGGCTTTGATCACAGCAGTTGCATCCTAGTGCCAGCTGCGCTGCCCTACCAGGAAGAGAGTGGAAAGGTGGGCATTTTCATGCACCCCAAAGATAGACACAACAGCCACTGCTGTGGGATGAACGAGTGGACAAAACACACACCCCACAGCTGTCTGCCTCCACTGCTCCCCTATCTAGTGGGCAGACCACATAAGCCATGGCTGCCTTCCTCAGCAGCTGCCTGGCCCCTACCTGAGTATTTTGGCTATGCCCCAGCATTATTCTGAGATCCCAGCCCCCAAAGGCTGGTAATCTGCCCTGGGGCTCCTAAAACAGTTGCCACCACCATTACCACCACAGTCTCTGCTATCCTTACCCCATTGTGCCAGGGAAGGAGCAACGAGACTGGGCACATTTGTGTGCCTCGAACAGTAAAATCTACCACTGCCTCTACAGGAGAGAAGTGCAAGTGAGCCGTGTGCCTGAAGCTTCCAAACTCCATGGCTCCCACTGAGGTGGACTGCCCTTCCCAATGGCAGGCCTACAGAGTAGCCACTCTGCCTTGGTCTAAGCATTTTGGCTATGGCACAGCACCCTTCTGAAATCCTAGCCCTTGGAGGCCTACATTCTGTTCTGTGGCCCCCACTGCCAATGCTGCTGCCACCACCATACTCACTGCCAGTCCAGGGAGGGAGCGGGAGACTGGGTACCTTCACATGTCCCAGCGAGGGATACCTGTTGCTGCTTCTGTGAGAGGGAGGCATGAGTGAGCCATGTACCCCACAAGTGCCTTCCTCTACTGCTACTGCTGAGGGGGCCCTGCCTTCCCCACTGACAGGCCCACAGAGTAGCCACCCTGCTCCTACCTGATCATTTCAGCTATGGCTCAGAGCTCTTCTGAGAGCCCAGCCGCCAGAGGCCTGTGATCTACCTTGGGGATCCCACCACCTGAGCATTTTGCTGACACCTGAGCATTCTGCCTGCCTCTGCCTGAGAGTTCTGCTGGTGACCTGTGGACCAGGCTGCCTCTCAGTATCACAGCCAGCACCTAGACACAGGAGACCTGAGGACAAGTTCGCTGGCTTGGCCTCAGTCCAGTCCCTCCAGAACTTGTGTATGCCATTCAGTGGGCCATCTAGGTATCTGGATTTTTTTCACTCCCTGCAGAATTTAGGTTGGGCTGAACCAACCAGCCTACCCCACCACAGCTGAAACCCACCTACATGTTCTGAAAGGCAGAGCTCTTCCCACGCTACATGACATGCATTATCTGAGGCTCTCAGCTACATTGTGGCCTTGAGATGGAGGATAGTGTGCATCTAAACTGAGAATCATGAGCTCTGGGATAGCAGTATGATAGAGAAACACATCATGTTCCTGTTTGTCTAGGATGTGGAGCTGGTGCAGTCCCCTCCTCCGCTGCAGACACCGCTACATTTCATCAGGAGTTCCCCGAGTCAGCCTCATCAGGGCTGCTGCCTGCGATTGTCATGGGGTATTCATGGCTGAGATTGTTGGTCTAGCTCTGCCCAGCTTTGTTTCCCATACCATTCAGCTGGACAAGGAACCCAGAGCACCAGGTATTTCACAGACTAGCCCATCACCTGAAACAACAGAGTGCACCTCTCAGTAAAGTGAGATGTTGAACTGCATAACCCAATACAAAACGTACTGACAGAACTGCACAGAGCTATAGAAGCAGAGCCAAAGGACCCTACCCAACATATGCTACATTCACACACTCAAGGAGAGAAAAAAAATCCAATTGAAAGTAAATTAAATAAATAAAAAAAACTCCAGGTAAGAAAGATCCAAATTAAGAATGCTGGCACCATGAAAAAACTGAGTGTTATGACACCACAAAAGGATCATATTAGCTCTCTAGCAATGGATCCTAACCAAAATAAAAGTTCTGAAATAACAAATAAAGTAATAAAAATATGAATTATCAGGAAGCCCAATGTGATCCAAAAGGTTGAAAACCAACACAAAGGAATCAGATAAAAACAATTCCAGTTATGAAAGAAGAGATAGATATTAAACAATAATAATCCAAACAGTACTTGGAAATGAAAAATTCACTTAAGGAATTTCAAACACAATTCAAACATTTAAGATTCAATCAGACCAAGCAAAAACAAACAAACAAAAAAACAAACAAAAAAAAAACACTTTCAGAGCTAAAAGACTGGTCATTTGAATTAACTCAGACAAAAATAAAGGCAGAATTTTATAAATGAACAAAGTCTTAGTGACCAAGCCTATGAGTTACAGGCAATCCTAAAGGAGAAGGAAAAAAGTTAAAAGTTTGAAAACCACCTTAGAAGGAATAATTTAAAAAATTGTCTGATCTTTCTAGAGATTAAGACATCCACATTTAAAAGAGCTCAGAGAATGCCTTGAAAATACTTTGCAAGACAAACTTCACCAAGGCATATAGTTATCAGACTAGCCATAGGCAATGTGGATGCAAAATTCTAAAAGCAGCTAGAGAGAAGCATCTACTTACCTATAAAGGAAATCCCATTGGACTAACAGATGACTTATCAGCAGAAAATGTACAAGTCAGACGAGATTTGGGACATATTTTCAGCCTTCTTCAAGAAAAAAATGCCAGCCAAGAATTTCATATCCTGCCAAATTAAGCTTCATCAATGAAGGAAAAATAGTCTTTCCCAGAGTAGTAAATTCCAAGGAAATTTAGTACCATTAGACTGTTCCTATGAGAAATGCTCAAAGGAGTTCTAAACATGGAATTGAAAGGATACTCACCATGATAAAAGCAAATGCAAATATTATACAAAGCTTACAGATTCTATAAAACAGTTATAAAATTGAGACTAGAAAGCAACTAGCTAACATTATGACTGGAACAAAATCTTACACATCAATATTAACCTTGAACATAAATGACCTAAATGTTCCATTTAAAGATATAGACTGACAAATTTGATAAAAACACAGGATCCAACCATCTGCTGCCTAGAAGAGATCGATGGAATGGGTAAAGACACCCACAGACTCAATGGAAAGGGGTGGAAAATGATATATCATACAAACAGAAAATAAAAATAAGCAGAAGTATCTATACTTATATGAGATATACCAGACTTTATATCAACAACAGTAAAAAGACAAAGATGGTCATTATAAAGGGCTCAATTCGACAAAAAGATATGACCATCCTAAATATATATGTGCCCAATGTCAGAGCTTCTAGAGTCATAAAAGAAATACTACTAGACCTACGAAAAGAGATTGACAGCAGTACAATAATGGTGGGAAACTTTAAAACCCCACTGATGACACAAAACAGATGACTGAGGCAGAAAATTCATAAAGAAACTCTAGACTTAAATTGGGTTCTAGATCAAACAGATCTGATAGACATTTACAAAATATTCTATTTAACAACAGAGAATATATTTTTTTTCATGCATACATGAAACATTTTCCAAAATAGATCACATGCTTGGCCATGAAACAAGTCAATAAATTAAAAAATAATAAAAATCATACCAAGTATTTTCTCAAACAACATTGGAATAAAAGTAGAAATTAATACCAACAGGAACTAGGGAAACGATACAAATACATGGAAACTGAACAACTTGCTCCTGAATGATCTTTTGGTAAACAATGAAATTAAGGCAGAAATCAATAATTTTTTGAAATAAAGGAAAACAGAGACAACTTATCAAAAGTTTTGGGACACAGCAAAAGCACTGCCAAGAGGGAAGTTAATACTATTAAATGTCTATATCGAAAAGATCAAAAGAGCTCAAATTAATAACCTAATATCTCACTGCAAGGAAATGGAAAAAAGAGAACAAACCAAACCCAAAGCTAGCAGAAGAAAGGAAATAACAAAGATCAGAGTTGAACTAAATAATATTAAGACCAAAACAAAATACAAAAAAAATCAATGAAACAAAAACCTGTTCTTTGAAATGATAAACAGAATTGACAGACCACTACATTAGCTAGATTAACCAAGAGAAAAGAGAAGATTGATTCAAATTAGCACAATCAGAAATGATTGTAAAGTTGACTTTACAACTGATACCAGAGAAATACAAAAGATCATCAGAGACTACTATAATATCTCTATGTGCACAAACTAGAAAACCTGGAGGAAAGGGGAAAATTCCTGGAAACATGCAACCTACCAAGATCAAGCCAGGAAAAAACAGAAACCCTGAACAAACCAATAATGACTAATTAGGTTGAATCAGTAATTTAAAATTTCCCATAACAAAAAAGCCCAGGACCAAATGGATTCACAGCTAAATTTTATCAGATGTGCAAATAAGAATTGGTACCAATCTTACTGAAACTATTCCATAAAATTGAGGAGGAGGGATTTTTCTTTAACTCATTCAACAAAAACATTGTCACTCTGATACCGCATCAGATAAGGACACAACAAAGAAATAAAACTATAGGCCAATATCCCTGATTAGCATAGATCCAAAAATCCTCAATAACACTAGCTACCCAAATCCAATAACACATCAAAAAGATACTACATCACTATCAAGTAAACACTATAAACCACTCATTAAAGTAGTTTTGTTGAAATGAATGTAATTGGAGAATACTTAAAAGGGGTAGGTAACGTCAAGGGAGAGCATTTTTTTTTTTTTTCAGAGTAAGGGAGAGATAACATGTTTAAATGCTGATAGAAATAATCTAGTAGATAAAAAGTTCTCGACTAAGTGGACAGAGAGAATTGCTGGAACTAAATTTCTGAAAAAGTAAAAGGGGATAAGACCTAGTACTAATGAGGAATGTTGACTGGGAACCTTGAAAGTCCATTTCAGCAATGAACAAAGGTCAAGATACATGAGTACATGTTTGGGAGGCTTATGGGAATATTATTTTGATTGCTATAGTTTTCTTAGGGCAGTGGTTCTAAGACCAGCAGATGTCAGAATTACGTAGATGGCTTGTTAAGATATAGATTGCTAGGTCTCAACTCCATAGTTTCTAATTTACTATGCCCGGGAATGGGCCAAAGAATTTGCTTTTCTTAAAAGTTCCTAGGTGGTGCTGTCATTCCAGGAACTATATGCTGAGAACTGCCTTAGGGGCAATGGGATCAAAGACCTCTGCCAAGGTTAAGACCAGGAGGATTGCTATATTGGATATTTGAAGAACTATCCAATCCAAATATTTATCCATTATATTTAGATGGAATATTCATCCAAAGGGGATGGTGAAAGGAAAAGGATGACTTCGTGACAGGACTAAGAACTAAAGTTTTGTGATCAGCAATTTAAAATAAAACCAGGCAACATGCTTCTGTGATTTGTTCCATAATATTTAGCTGCATCAATAGAGAATAGAGGCATGGAGTAGAAAGACAGTATTATGATTTAGTCAAGTGAAAGAAATGAAGTAATTGATAAGAAAGAAAAAAGAGGGCATTTTTATAGGGCATGATTACAACTTTTGACCAATAATTTAAACTGTTCAAGGAAAGGAGTGAGACATAGGTAAGAAGGCTGTGGCAGGGAAAAATAGGATAGTACAAAAAATTAAAAGATGTCTGGAGACAGTGTACCAAGGGAATAAAGTGGGAAAGTAGTGGCTTGGTAACAGACTTAGAAGTCTGAAATTAAGATGGTAATATAGGGACACATACATTCACACATAGAATATTGGTTACTCACCTATTGTTGTACAAACTGGCCATAGGGATGTTACTGCTTTGTCTAGTTTCTAGTAGATGACATACTTAAATGAATAAACATTTAAGTAGATAATTGGTGATCAAGATCATTGTGGAAGAAAGAGTCAAGAAACAGAGAGACAAGCGTGGTGACTCATGCCTGTGGTCCCGGTACTTTGGAAGGCAGAGGTGAGAGGTTGCTTGGGCCCAGGAGTTTGAGACCAGCCTGGGCAACATAGGGAGGTTCTATCTGTACGAAAAAAATATGTATTTTTGAAAATAAACTAGCTCTAGTGGCAGGCACCTGTGGTCCCAGATATTTGGGAAGCTGAAGTGGAAGGACTGCTGGAACCCAGGAGGTCGAGGCTGCAGTGAGCTATGCTTGCGCCACTGCACTCCAGCCTGGATGACAGAGTGAGACCTTTTCTGACAAAAAAAAAAAAAAGAGAGAGAGAGAAAGAAGTAAAAAAGGACAAGTGTATTGAAGTTATCATGTAGTTGGATATTGAAATCACCAATAATTACAATAGAAGCTATATTACAGTGAGTTACAATAATTCAGGGACTAAAATATTTATGAAATATTGAGAAATAAACTGAGGAATAGAAGATAATTACAAGAAGGGTAGTGAGGGATATGTTGAGATTACATGAGATTTAAATCTGGATGTTTATAGAGAACAGAGAAAAAGTAAAACTATTCTGGAAGCAACAATAAAGAAAAAAAAGTACCTACTTCTATAAGGCCTACTTTTCACTTTCACATCTTAAACCATATATAAAATAGAAGGCATATATTTTTTAAAACTCTACCGCTTGACAGGACTGAATGAAAACATTTCTTAGGGAATGGCTACATTTCAGAGTAAGAAAACAAACAAAACTCAAAAAATTTAGATTTTAAAAAACAGAGTGAAGAATTTCAGGAGGTAAGTAGGACTGGGAGGTGGGGGTGGGAAAGTATTGTATAGAGCTGTATGAGGATTAGAATTTTAGGAGGAAAGATTTGCCTAGAAGTCATGGGCTTCTTGTGGAGGCTGACATGAATGGCATGGAATCTGACAAAATTAGTATTCATAAACCCAACGCAGCCCAGTAGGTCAAATGTTCGAGGGAAAAAGGAAGAAACACAGCATTCTAGGAGTGCTATTTGATTACTCGTGATGGTCACATGAAAATCTGTAGAAAAGTGAATTTACCTGCTGTGGGCTCTTTATTTATTCCAGTGGAATTTTTTGAAAAAAAAATATTGCCTGGTTTTGGTTGGAAAGGGAGATGCAAGACATGAGATTTCACTCTCATAAATATCTCCACATTCTTTCCCAAAATTGATTACACCATCTTGATTCATTTTTCTTCCAGTTGGGGGATAATAGTGAAATTTTTTGCAGAATATGTTTCATTCATTTCTTTTACATATGTTTCTTTTTTTTGGCATTTTTATTTATTTATTTATTTTTATTATACATTAAGTTCTAGGGTACATATGCACAACATGCAGGTTACATATGTATACATGTGCCATGTTGGTGTGCTGCACCCATTAACTCATCATTTACATTAGGTATATTTCCTAATGCTATCCCTCCCCCTCCTCCCACCCCACGACAGGCCCCAGTGTGTGATGGTCCCCACCCTGTGTCCAAATGTTCTCTTTGTTCAATTCCCACCTGTGAGTGAGAACATGTGAGGTTTGGTGTTCTGTCCTTGTGATAGTTTGCTCAGAATGATGGTTTCCAGCTTCATCCATGTCCCTACAAAGGACATGAACTCATCCTTTTTTATGGCTGCATAGTATTCCATGGTGTATATGTGCCACATTTTCTTAATCCAGTCTATCATTGATGGACATTTGGGTTGGTTCCAAGTCTTTGCTATTGTGAGTAGTGCTGCAGTACAAAAAGGAGCTGGTATCATTCCTTCTGAAACTATTCTAATCAATAGAAAAAGAGGGAATACTCCCCAACTCATTTTGTGAGGCCAGCAACATCCTGATACCAAAGCCTGGCAGAGACACAACAAAAAAAGAAAATTTTAGACCAATATCCCTGATGAACATTGATGCAAAAATCCTCAGTAAAAAGCTGGCAAACCAAATCCAGCAGCACATCAAAAAGCTTATCCACCATGATTCAGTTGACTTCATCCCTGGGATGCAAGGCCGGTTCAATATATGCAAATCAATAAACGTAATCCATCATATAAACAGAACCAAAGACAAAAACCACATGATTATCTCAATAGATGCAGAAAAGGCCTTTGACAAAATTCAACAGCCCTTCATGCTAAAAACTCTCAATAATGAGAGTATTGAGGGAACGTATGTAAAAATAAGAGCTATTTATGACAAACCCACAGCCAATATACTGAATGGGCAAGAAATGGAAGTATTCCCTTTGAAAACTGGCATAAGACAGGGATGCCCTCTCTCACCACTCCTATTCAACATAGTATTGGAAGTTCTGGCCAGGGCAATCAGGCAGGAGAAAGAAATAAAGGGTATTCAATTAGGAAAAGAGGAAGTCAAATTGTCCCTGTTTGCAGATGACATGATTGTATATTTAGAAAACCCCATTGTCTCAGCCCAAAATCTCCTTAAGCTGATAAGCAACTTCAGCAAAGTCTCAGGATACAAAATCAATGCGCAAAAATCACAAGCATTCCTATACACCAATAACAGACAAACAGAGAGCCAAATCATGAGTGAACTCCTATTCACAATTGCTTCAAAGAGACTAAAACACCTAGGAATCCAACTTACAAGGGAAGTGAAGGACCTCTTCAAGGAGAACTACCAACCACTGCTCAATGAAATAAAAGAGGACACAAACAAATGGAAGAACATTCCATGCTCATGGGTAGGAAGAATCAATATTGTGAAAATGGCCATACTGCCCAACTTAATTTATAGATTCAATGCCATCCCCATCAAGCTACCAATGACTTTCTTCACAGAATTGGAAAAAACTACTTTGAAGTTCATACGGAACGAAAAAAGAGCCTGCATTGCCAAGACAATCCTAAGCCAAAAGAACAAAGCTGGAGGCATCACGCTACCTGACTTCTAACTATACTACAAGGCTACAGTAACCAAAACAGCATGGTACTGGTACCAAAACAGAGATATAGACCAATGGAACAGAACAGAGCCCTCAGAAATAATACCACACATCTATAACCATCTGATCTTTGACAAACCTGAGAAAAACAAGAAATGGGGAAAGGATTCCCTATTTAATAAATGGTGCTGGGAAAACTGGCTAGCCATAAGTAGAAAGCTGAAACTGGATCCCTTCCTTACACCTTACACAAAAATTAATTCAACATGGATTAAAGACTTAAATGTTAGACCTAAAACCATAAAAACCCTAGAAGAAAACCTAGGCAATACCATTCAGGCCATAGGCATGGGCAAGGACTTCATGTCTAAAACACCAAAAGCAATGGCAACAGAAGCCAAAATTGACAAATGGGATCTAACTAAACTAAAGAGCTTCTGCACAGCAGAGAAACTACCATCAGAGTGAAGAGGCAACCTACAGAATGGGAGAAAATTTTTACAATCTACCCATCTGACAAAGGGCTAATATCCAGAATCTACAAAAGAACTTAAACAAATTTACAAGAAAAAAATCAAACAACTCCATCAAAAAGTGGGCGAAGGACATGAACAGACACTTCTCAAAAGAAGACATTTATGCAGCCAACAGACACATGAAAAAACGCTCATCATCACTGGCCATCAGAGAAATGCAAATCAAAACCACAGTGAGATACCATCTCACACCAGTTAGAATGGCAATCATTAAAAAGTCAGGAAACAACAGGTGCTGGAGAGGATGTGGAGAAATAGGAACACTTTTACACTGTTGGTGGGACTGTAAACTAGTTCAACCATTGTGGAAGACAGTGTGGCGATTCCTCAAGGATCTAGAACTAGAAATACCATTTGACCCAGCCATCCCGTTACTGGGTATATACTCAAAGGATTATAAATCTTTTACATATGCTTCAATGGGCGCGGGATGTGCAATGGTGAACTGTAGCTAGCCAGTCAGTCATGGAAATCTCCATCGTACTTATTTTCTAATGTTTGTGACTGAGAGTGTGTCCTTCTTTTGTTGCTTTACTACTAATGTACTTAATTTCTTCATCTATTTTAAAGCATTTGTGGGATTTATACTATATTATAATCCATACATTTCTAGAATTGTTTTCTTAAAATTCACTTTTTGAATTATCAATTTTTCTTAATGATCAGCTTGACAATTCAGATGCTTATACAAATGTGCACATATACATGCACACAGAGTATTGGTTACTCACCTATTGTCATACAAACTGACCATAGGGATGTTACTGCTTTCTCTGGTTTTTAATAGGTGAGATACTTCAGAAACCTCTATTTGCTATTTCAGCTCTTCAAACCTTTATTGAATCCTTCTTTTTGAACTTAATGTCATTTTTATTTTCCTGACTGAAACTGCATGTTTTTAAAAGAAGTTGATTGTGCTAAAACATTTATAAAGTAAAACACCAGTACCTTTATATCTCCTCCACCAATAGAGAAAATTTACAACCATTTTAAACATTTAAGGTAAGTATACGTTTTGAGATTTGAGAGGTGGGCCAAAATAATTACTGCCCATTTCTTCAAAGTAAAGAAAATTTCACTTGGTGAAAATTGCCTTCATTGATTTTCATCATTATTGAGATCCTTATTCAAAATAACAACCAGAGGTTAAGAGTTACACAGATATCTACTGAATATTACAGAACTAGTAGACAGGTATATGAAGTAAGAATGAGGTGAATGGGAATAAGGTGAAAGACAAGCTTTTTAACTCTCCAGTAGAAACCTTTTTATTTTTCTTGGCAAAAACTTTCATAATGCATAAAACTAATCTTCTCTACCATTACCTAGACTATTTTAGATGTCCTAATGAGTAATTATATTGGAGAAAATACTTCGGAATTGATTGAATTAGAAAGAAAATGAATCACAATGTCAATTATTGACTAGAAAGAGTGAATGCCATTTTTGATAATTTTGATAATTTAATTCTGTAATTTTCCAAGACGCATTATATTTCTCCATATTCTTTGGGTTTGTAGGAGATTATTATCCTTTGTTAATATGGACCCCATTAAGTCTCCTTTTAACATTAGTAGAAAGTGAACTGTTTGAAGTTCATAAAAATTGTGTTTCACTCTCATAACTAATTAGAATATTAAGAAGATACTTTAGAAACTATATCTCTAGTACCTAACCAAATGCAAAAATTCAAGGTAAATATCTTTTTTAATCTTCATTTGTACTTGCATAACAATTTATAAATTAGAGTTCTGAATTTCTAGATAAGAAATATCTTTACAATAAATACTGGTAAATTTGTTTTTAATGGGTAAAGTTTAATAAGTAACATCACAAAAACTAAAGATAGTTTACTATCAAAATATCTTGGCCCAAGAAATTGAACTTCTTACTTTTTCTTTCTAGCATTTGGCTTTGTAAATACTTAAATTGGTCCCTAGGAGCAATACTGAGGTTGATCACAAATCATTTTTCTATTTTTTGTTTTATATTCATCATCTGTAACTATGTATTTTTCCTATTACTGAAATGTATGCCAAAAATACATGGTTTGTGGTTAATTCCTGTCTAAGCATTATAATGTGGCATGTAATAATAACATAGAGTTAGGAAACAAAATTTTCCCTCTCTGTTACCTACTAACTATTTACCTTGAACAAGTATGAATGGTTTGACATTTTCCCATGGTAATGAGTGAGATTTTACTGTAATAATTCATATGAGAGCTGGTTGTTTCACAGAGCCTGGCACCCCTACTCTCTCTTGATTCTTTCCTCTTACCCTCTAATGCCTACTCCCTTTCTTTCCCACTATGATTGAAAACTTCCTGAGATCCACCAGAAGCAGATTCTGGAACTATGCTTCTTGTACAGCCTGCAGAACTATAAGTCAAATAAACTTATTTTCTTTATAAATTACCTAGCCTCAGGTGTTCCTTCATACTAATGCAAAATAGACTAAGACACATATTAAGGTTAGGTAGTGATAAATGTGGACCAAAAGAGATGACAGGTGAATCGTGACTTTTAATATTTGTCCCTGTTTACTTAAACCTAAAAAAAGTTATATGAAATTTTTTGTTGTATCTTTTTTAAACTGGCATTTTCTAATTTAAGCAAAATTTAAACATGTTATAAGAATTAAATGCATTTTTTAGTTTTTTACAGAGATAAACTGTTAAAGAACATTTTTCTTTTAATCATGCAGAATTATATATTGTTCTTTCTTGATAATTGTGTGATCAAACTCATTAAATTATACAGCTGAGAAGAATGAGTGCTAATTATGTTTACAAGAAAATAATAATATGTCAATAAAATATGCTATCATGTTAATGAAAATTAAGAACATTAATAAGGGTGTATGCTATGCTTATTATAGCAAGTCCTGTTAATTTGGACCAACATTTTAATTTTCACCTGTAATCTAGTGAGAAATATATTTTAATGTAAATTTAGGTTGATACCAAAAAGGAATGAGAGAATATTGTATTTCTTATATTTAGGAATAATTACTGCTGGATTTATATATTTTAATGAAGAAAAATATTGATTAAAAACAATTGGCCAAATGTTTCTACATATTATTGTGTAAGGAATAATTTACATTTTCCTAGTTTAAACATCTTTGAAAGCTAAGATATTTTTGTATGTACACTATTAATATTTTGCAAACTGTTTGCAAACCTTACAAATACCAGATTCCAATCAAAATCTCAGTGGGAGCTTTCCTCAGAAGTTGACAAGCTGATTCAAAAATTAATAAAGAAATGTGAAAGACCTAGAAAAGGCAAAATAATTTCAAAAAACAAGAGTAAAACTGAAGGATTTACCCTACTTGCAAAGATGTATATAGTTTCATTTTAAAAATCTCCTTTTGTACAATTTAATATAGCTTAATTGTTTTCTCTGTAAAAGATTCCTGCTTTCTTTGTTAGGTTGATTATTAGATACTGTTGTTATTGTGCATGGTATTGTATTTTCCATTATATTTGCTGTTACTGGTATAGCATAATGCCATTACTAATACTTTTTAGTAAATTACCCATGTAGAGTAATACTATTCATTTTTCACAGATTTAAGAACTTTGCTGAACCTTCTTACTTGTTCTAATGTGCTATTGATTTATTTTAGTGTCGTACAGTTAGGATTATTGTATATTATATATTTATCTGAAAACATACCCCCAAATATACAAAGTGATAACTTTGGAATTACATGGAGAAATGTATAAGTCAACATAAATAGTTGGATATTTTAACATGCTACTCTCAGAAACTGTTAAACCAAGCAGACAAAGATAGTTATAGGAAAAATAATAATAACAACATTTATTATGTAGCATTTATACCAGATACTGTTCTAAGCAATTTGATTATATTAATTTATTTAAATTGCATAGGAAACATATGAGGTAGGTTTATTAGTCTGTTCTTACATGGCTATAAAGACATACCCGAAACTGAGTAATTTATAAAGGAAAGAGGCTTAATTGAATCACAGTTCTGCATGGCTGGGGAGGCCTCAGGAAACTTACGATCAAGGCAGAAGGTGAGAGAGAAGCAAAGGCAGGTCTTACGTGGCAGCAGGTGACAGACAGCAAATGAGTAAAGGGGAAAGAGCCCCTTTTAAAACCATCAGATCTCAGGAGAACCCATTCATTATCACGAGAATAGCATGGAGGAAACTGCCCCCTTGATCCAATCACCTCCAATCAGATCCCTCCCTCCACACATGGGGATTATAGGGATTACAATTCAAGATGAGTTGTGGGTGGGGACACAGAGCCAAACCCATATCAGCAGGTAATATTATTACTTCTGTTTTAAAGATAAGAAATATGTAATGCAGAGATAACATAATTTTATATAATATGCCCAAATATCAGCTCTTGAGTGTTAGAGCTGTGATTTAAATCCTGAGGATAGCCCCAATTTCCATGGTCTTTGTCTACTATTTTTCTTATCAATTTTAGTAACAAAAGCATAAAGTTTAAACTTATAATTTATACCTCACAAGTGGAATACATACATTCTGAGGCATAATAAGAGATTCCCAAAATTCATTCAATCATTTATTCCACTAAAGAAGCCTCAATGCACACACACAAAAAATTAAAATCAAACAGACTGTATTCTATGACCAGAAGGATTAAAATTAGAACTCACTAGCAAAAAGTAAAATAGGCCAGGTGTGGTGGCTCACACCTGTAATCCCAGCACTTTGGGGGTCCAAGTTGGGAGGATGGTTTCAGTCCAGGAGTTAGAGATCAGCCTGGGCAAAATGTGAGACCCTGTCTCTACAAAAAAACAGAAAAAAAATCAAAAAATTTGCCAGGCGTGGTGGCATATGCCTGTGGTCTCAGCTCCATACATGGGAGGCTAAGGTGGGAGGTTTGCTTGAGCCCAGAAGATTGAGGCTGTGCAGTGAGCCGTGTTCATGCCACTGCTCTCCAGCCTACGTGACAAAGCAAGACTCTATCCCAAAAAGAAGGAGAAGAAAAATGTGTCTATAAAATAAAAACAAATGTAATAGCTGCATATCCAAGGCACTATGCATACATACATACATCTAATTACTTTTAAAATAACTTTCAAAAATATTAATATTTTATTGTTACATTGACCACTTACTCTCGCCATCCTACATGTATCTGCAAATTCCATATGCTAAATTAATAACTTGGAATAAATAATCCAACATAATTGCCTAACTTATATACTGCTGTTCAATAAATCACCCCAAGACTTAGCTGCTGAACAAGAAACACTTATAATCTATAGTGCCTGTAAGTCAAGAATCTGGGAGCAGTTAGGTAGATTTTTCTACTTGAGTCTCTCATAAGACTGAATAAAAGCACAGACCAGTGTTGCAGTCATGCTACAGCTCAAATTGGAATGGATTAGCTTCCAAATTCACTTGCTGGTTGTTGGAAAGCCTCAGAAGATTAACTTGTAGACTCAATCACAAGGACCTCTCTTCATAGGGCTGCCTCGAGATATAGAAGATGAGTGACCACAGCAGAAACTTTCTCATAACTTAATCTCAGAATGACATTCCATCACCTCTGTCTTATTCTATTCATTAGAAGTAAGTCAGTATTTTCAGTCTTCACACAAAGTGAGGGTATTACACAAAGGTGTGAATACCAAGAGGCAAAGAATATTAGGGGCCAGCATACAGATACCTATCACAACAGTACTCAGTCTGGTTCCTGACAATTTATGTCTCACTCAGATGCAAAATACACAAGGCCCCAAAAAGTTTTATTCCATAACTGCATCAGCAAGTATTATCATCTCAATCAAGCCCATACATGAATGAAGCTTTGCAGGTAGTTTCCTGAGTACAGCGCCTCAAGTATAGTTGCTCTCAATCTGTAGAACAAGAAAACTCAAAATTCAGGTTGTCTTCTTTCAATGTACACAGCATGCAATGGTGAGACAGGCATAGGATAACTGCTATAGGCATTTCCATTTTAAAAGGGGGACATGATAGGCAGAAAGTAGTCACTTATCCATAATAATTCTAAAATCTAGCTAAAGGTTGGAAGCTGCTTGAGTCTCAAGGACCAACAATAATTCTACCCTTTTGGTGCCACCCTATGAATCTTTTTCCTTTTTCATGAAAGGTAGCACTCTTTTTGGAGGTAAGAAGATGTTATTAACCTGATTTGGCAAATAGAATTTTGGAGGTCCAAAGGCCTCTCTTCGGCTAATGCATTCTTAATTTTAGCATCATTTGCAGTCTAGAGAGGCTGAGGTATTTTTTTTACCCCCCATAGAGACAGGGTCTCACTCTGTTGCCCAAGCTGGAGTGCAGTGGCACAATCATAGTTTACTGCAGGTTTGAACTCAGGGGCTCAAGTGATCCTCCTGATTTGGCCTCCTAAAGTACTGGGATTACAGGCATGAGCTACTCCTCCTGGCTGAAGCTGAGGATTTTAAAACCATCATTTTCTGGTTCTTTAAAAGAAGCTTTATTTGGATTTATTTGTTTTCTCATGCATTTCACTATTAGCAGCATGAAGAACCTAGGCAGCATCTTCAAAACTTTTCTCAGACATCTCCTTAGGGAGATTACTCAGTCCATTGGGCACATGTTTCATTTTCTACACAACCCAGTTTAGTATCACTGATCTTTCTATCACTAAATAGCAAAGATCCTCCTTGTTCTAGTTTTCAAAGAGATTTTCTTCATCTTCCTGTAGGCTGTCACCCACAGTACATTCAAAGTCCAAAATTCCACAAACAGAATGTTCAAGGCACTTTAAATTTTCATTAACACTCTTCTCAAAGTCCATACTGCTCAATTTCAAAGCCACTCTCACATTTTAGGTTTGTATAATGGCAATGCTCACATTTAGGCACCAAAATCTGTATTAATAATCTATTTCTGCTTGATAAATTACCCCACATCTTAGTGATAAAAAATACAAACATTTATTATGTCACAGTTTCTGTGGGTCGGCAAGTCAGAAGCAGCTGTGCTGGGTATTTCTGCCTAATGTTTTGTCATGTGTCTGGAATCAAGGTGTCAGCTGAAATGGCAATCATCTCAATTTTAACTAGGGTAGGGTCTACTCCCAAGCTTATTCTCATGGCCCTGGCACCCCTCAGAAGGTCTGCTTCTAGGACAGCTATGTGAATTGCCTCATAACATGCCAGCTACTTCATGACATGCCAGCTCATCTCCCTCAGACTGGGTAATCCAAGACAGAGCAAGAAAGAGTGCCAAAGACAAAGCTACAATCTTTTTATGACCTAATGTCAGAGGTGACATTTCTTTATGTCTGCCATATTTTATTCACTGGAAATGAATCAATAAGTCCAGTGCATATTCCAGGGTAAACTATTACAAAAAAGCAAATAACAGCAGACAAAGATTACTGGTGTTGGAAGCTATGCGAGTGGAAGTTCATCTGCAAGGCTGTGCATTGTAGCAGTTTTTTATAAATATATACAAACTAGTTTGGAAGTGTCTGTAATATTGAGTTAATATGGTCTGCTATTTCAAGGCTGTGTTTTTTTTAAAAATATATATATATATTCTTTATCTTAAAATGGAAACCACAAACAAGTGAAGTCTGAAAGAGAATAAAACAGACACTGCGGGAACTAGGATTCATAGCTGTATAATCACTCACCACACTTTGAGTGGGAAATCCAAAGGGAAGAGATGGTATTATCTGAACCTAGAAGAGGGAACATCCTGCAGCAGCTACTTAGAACTTTGATGAGGAGCTACAGTTTGAATGTGCTCAAAGGGCAGAAGAGAAGTGGACACAGCTTTGTGCTTCTGAAACTCCTGACTTCTAAGTGCATATTTCTGGGCTGTTATTTATATCCCAGAAGCAGTGACACATGTCTGCTGCTGGATTCTGGACATAGCTCTCCTGACCAGACAGAGGTCACCAGACCAAAAAGATGGGAGTTTTTCTCACTTCCAGCCATCTAATCTTCCAATCTTCCACCAGTGACTACCATTAGGAGAGATGACTCTTCACTAGCAAGAAAGTTGGCTAGAAGACGAAAGGTAAGTGCCTCCTAACAGAACATTATAATGCTTTTAGGTTACTACAGACCTGACCACATAGAAAGTTCTGTGAAATCTTTAAAATGTCATACATATTTATTTTCAGGTTGACATTAAGAGCCTTGATTCAAACAGGTTCCCAATAAACAGGTGCTGAAAAAGAGTTGGGATACAAGATATTTACTAGGGGTGAACATCTGTAAAGGGAAGAGAGAAGAAAAAAAAATTGAGTAGATCAATGATTCTCAAACTTCAGCATCTATCAGAATCACCTAGAGAATTTGTTAAAACAGAAATTGCTGATACCCACTCCCAAAATATCTGATTCAGTAGCCTGGGATGAGCTCAATAATTTGCATATTTAAAAGTATCCTAGATGTTGTTGATGCTGCTAGTACAGGCTTTGTGTAGAGCAAGACTCAAACTGTAATGCAGGATCAAGAAAGTATCGGTCAACTTGGCAGGGAGCTCTCAGGAGAGCACTACTCATCAGACAATATCCTGTTGGGCCAAAAGTATCAAGTTCTTCTGTTATATCTTCATCTCTCTCAGTCACTGGACTCTGGTGGCCCTGTGAATGGCATTAAGTTGGGTGAAGCCAGCTCTCTGCAGCTGAGACCAGCTCTGAAGAAGTTAAAAGCTGAAGACTGTCTGCTCACCTCCCCCGCTGCTGTTGCATAGTAAGGCCTTCCCTGATGAGGAGAATCTGGGGTACATCTCCATATTTACCAAGAAGGTTGAAGTAGTTTCTTTACATGGACTGCTATGAATTTTTAAAAATCAATTAAATTAATGTGGCACCCAATATTCAAATAAAATATAATATACAGAATTACCATTCCCTATAAAATTATAAAACACAATGGAAAGAAAAATGTGCATACAAAACAAATGTGATATCTCTATGTTTTCATATTGTTCTGAAATAATTATGCCATAAACGTATAAAACAAAGCTATTTTACAAAAATAATGCAGGATGCAATTAAGGATGTTAGAGCTCTTCTGAAGGATAAAGATGTAAAGTTCAGGTACAATGGGAAAAATTAATGATTCAGTTATGTAAAATACTCACTTTCTTGGTTGCAAACATAAACTACATTCAAGCCAAGGTTGATCTAATTATGAATTTATACTGGAAACAAAATATAAATTTGTGGCTAAATTATAATTTATTTTAATGTTAATCTTAAAGTGTATTTAAATACTCTGTATCCTCAGATAAATTTCTGAAATATACATATATATAAAGCATTTAAACTTTATTTATATATATTATTATTATATTTATGCTGCAATTTATATGCATATGTTTTAATGCTTTAAAGCTAATTATATGTGTGTGTGTATATATATATATATATAAAATCTCCTTAACCACAAAAATTTTTTTATTCAAATGATAACTAGCAGGAGGTTTTTATTTTGAGAAATGAATCAGTAATTTATTACATAAAAAGATCTCTTCTATTTTAAAATATAATCCTGTTAATAGAATGAATTAACTTTTTCCTTCATTTTGCAAATCCCAATATTGCTGAGTATACAACTTGGGTGCTATTTCACTGGCCATCCTCAGCTAGCATTCCTGAGTCCATGACTTAGTAATAAGTTGCTTCAAAAATTGCAGCATAAATTCTGATGGCCAGATTAAAAGATATAAGCTTAAAATAATCATAGAAGTGTCTGAAACATATTCTATCCTTCACGATGTACACTTTGAGAATTATTCTTTGTATTTTAATTCGTTAAAAATTTGGAGCAAATATTCACTTAAAAAATGACACATTTTAAACAAAAGCTAATCAATAGAGTTGCCAATCCCACAAAAATTCTTACGTATTTTATATTGCAGCATTGAATTAAGCAGTTCAATTGTTATGAATATTTGGATATTATATATTATATTATTGTATTATATTATATGTGTATTTAAAGCTTCAGAATATATTAATATGGCAATATTGTTTTAGGATTAATATTATTCCAGTCATTTTTACAAGATAATTTAAGTTATATTAATATATGTATATGTAAATTTAAGTGTATATGTGCTTTTTAATATATAAGTCTATCTAGTCACATACAGATGGTTTGAATATGATGTAAGAGTGAGTGGTTATGGGAATGAGAGGAAATGGGGGTGTGTATAATTGGGGCTGGATCAGTGTTTAAGTAGACATATTTATATTCAATGGTGTCTCCTATACCTATAATTATCTAATATGTCTTTATGTGTGGGGAAACATGCATGTAAGCATGTTTATCAAAATCTCTAACGTAAATATTTTGGTTTAAATTGTATTTAACAGGTGTAGTGACAAGTTTTATAATTACTGGGCTTGTGCATGTTTATTTAAAATCCTCAGGGATTTAAAGAAAATTTGTCAGATTTAATAGATGTAAAGATTTCAAACATTAAGAAGCTGACTACATTTGGAAGTAGATATTTCAAATGATTCAGAGAAACAGACTAAATTTTCAGTTGTAGTTTGAAATGTCTTATGGAATTGACAAAGTAAGTTTGTAAACATTGCTAGATGTTTAGGAAAACTTACTCATCAAAATGAAAATTTATTGATTACTAAAGAAATCATAAATGAAAGTATTTAGTGGTAACATATTACTATATAATTGAATATATTTGATTGTAAGTTGTGTGGGAACTTCAAAGGAAAGCAAGTTTTAAAATTTCTAAACTGAAAAAATAGAGCAAAAGAAAATATTAGCAATCATAGATTTGTTTTTTAACAAACACAGAGGGCATGCCTCCCTCATAACAAAATCCAAAATAACAAATATGTACAAGGTCTGCCAAAATCCTCAACCACACCTGTGATGATGAAAGGTAATTTCTCTGTCTATAAATGATTTATTTTTGATTACAGGCCCTCTCCAACCTGTTTACAGAGTAGAAAGTAAAAGAAAATCAACAGAAAAACTAGATTTAGTGCATATAATAAATGATTTCAAGAATGTCTTAAGAAAATGTTGTCTCTCTAGATAAAAATGCCTACCCTATCACACTACTCAGAATTTATCTACAAATGATAATAAGTGTACAGAAGCCTGGCTATGAGATCTCTTGTTGAGAAGAGAAGAGGGTTCTATTTCCAGTTCCCTGGTCACTCTTTGCCAAATAGCTTTTGCAGGCAAAGTCCATGCCATGGTAACAAATAATCTTCTCCTTGTGTCTTTAGCATGGCTCAGTATTAGTCCTCGGCATGCTCAATTTTCCTTCGATCCTGTGTGGCAGAGTACACTTCTCTGCTTCTCTGTCAGATCTTCCTTCTGGCATCTGCTTTTAGGAATCTTGCTAGCTTAGGGTCCACAATTACCCAACTGGCTATAAACTAACTTTCTCCATATCACATGGTAAATACGGGAGTCTCCATTATAAAAATGCTACAATGATGACCTCGGCATATATGTTGTTTATTTCTATGCAGCAGGCTGAGATCCATTAGCTTATAAGCCCTTCAGAGCCAAATACAAAATTTTCCATATCCAATTGTTTTAAATATAGCCTACATTTTTAGCCACTTATAGCTTGTTTGCTTTGTGAAATTGCACTCAACAACTCTTGGCCATAGGTCAGGTAATCCTTGGATCTATAAAGACCTCAAACTGCTGCTGCCCTTCAGAGCTCTCTGAACTAGAGACTCCCTGCTGTATTGCTGAGCTAGGTTGCCTACACTAACAAAATTCTACGTGTAAAATTCAGAATTTAAAATATTTGTTTAAAGCCACATTGATATTTGACCAATTACACTACTTTTTCTTTCTTTTCTTTTTTCTTTCCTTCAATTATAGGAAGGAGAAGGAGGAGGAGGAGGAAGAAGAGGAAGAGGAGGAGGGGAAGAAGAAGAGGAAGAGGAAGAGAAGAGGAAGAAGACGGAGAAGGTGAAGAAGGAGAAGGAGAAGAAGAAGAAGAACAAGAAGAAGAAAAGGGAGGGGGAGGGGGAGGGGAAGGAAAAGGAGAGGAGGAAGAGAAGGAGAAGGAGGAAAAGGAGGAGAAGGAAGAAGAGGAGGGAGGGAGGGGGAGAGGAAGAGAGAGAGGGAGAGGAAGAAGGAGAAGGAGGAGAACAGGAAGAGGACATTATTCCACGTTTATTATACAGCAGGTATTTTCCTAAGCATTTACATATATTAATTCTCACCAAAAACCCCACAAAGTTTTTGCTGTAGGTACTAGCATTATTTTCACTTAAAGATGAAAAAAAAAATGAATTACAGGGACATTAAGTAATTTGCCAAAGGCCATAGAGGCAAGATGCAAACTCAGGCATACTTATCTTAGATTATTATACTTGCCTTCACTGAATTTCACTTTTCTGGGCCCTTAATTTGTATTAAAGTTATTTCAAGACCAAAAAACGTCTCTCAATACACTTTTTTTTTTTTTTTTTGAGGCAGGGTCTCACTCTGTTATCCTGGCCATAGTGAAGTGGCTCCAGCAGCTCACTACAGCCTCAACCTGCTGGGCTCAAGTGATCCTTCTTTTGAGTAGCTGGGACTACAGGTACATGCATCACACCTGGATAATTTTTTACTTTTTGTAGAGATAAGTTTCCAACTCCTGGGCTCAAGTAATCCTCCTGCATTGGCCTCCCAAAGTGTTGGGATTACTGGTGTAAGCCACTGTGCCCTCCATTTACTTTCATTTTTAAAAAGTATTCCAGGCCGGTGTGGTGGCTCACTCCTGTAACCCCAGAACTTTGGGAAGCTGAGGCGGGCAGATTACCTGAGGTCGGCAATCTGAGATCAGCCTGACCAACATGGAGAAACCCCGTCTCTACTAAAAATACAAAATTAGCTGGGCGTGGTGGCACGCACCTGTAATCCCAGCTACTCAGGAGGCTGAGGCAGTAGAATGGCTTGAACCTGGGAGGAGGAGGTTGCGATGAGCAGAGATCGCGCCATTGCACTCCAGCCTGGGCAACAAGAGTGAAACTTCGTCTCAGAAAAAAAAAAAAAAAAAAAGTCTTCCAAAGTTAGTCCTTGTAATATAACCTTAGATAGATAAGAGAAATGTAATAGTTTTTCTGCTGTTATCCATAATATATATACTTACATATGCTCTAGATAGCTATTGACAGAGATATATAAATAATAGATGAATAGATAGGTAGATAGATAGATAGATAGACAGATAGATAGATAGATAGATAGATAGAAAGAAAGATAGATAGATAGATACATAGATAGAAACAGGTAGACAGAGACAACGGTAATGGTCTTTTTTCTTCCATCTTTGTCCCTCTATAGTCCATACTTCAAAAAGCAGCCAGTGTAATCTTTCAAAATAAAATCAGGTCATTGCTTGGTTTAAAATACCTCGTAATTTCCCATCTTACTCTGAGTAAATTCCAAAGTTCTCACTGTGTCTCATAAGGCTGTATGTGTTCTTGCCCATCTATCTCTATGTCTCCTATCAGTCATCTCTTTCCTTGTTCTTTCCACCAAACTGGACTTGCTGTTTCTGGAGCATATTAAAAATGCATTGAAATGTAATGGATACTCCAAACTCCTTCTATCAAATACACTGTCTGCCTCTTCATGGGACTTTTTCCTCATTTACTTCATGTCTCTGCTCCAAGGTTGCTCTGTCAAAGAGATCCTTTTGGACCATTCTGTATAGAATGCACTTCTTTCCACTATCACTCTCTAGCTGTTATTTTGACCTAATCTTCTTTAAAACATTTATATTCTTCCAGAATGCAACCTCAATAAAACCAAGAACTCTGTTTATTTGGTTTACTATTGTATCCCCAATGTTTTAAATGGTGATTGTAAAGCATTAGGCACTCGGTACCTATTTCTCATGTAAATAACACGTTTATAGAAAACATTGAAGAGGTATTAACAACCTAGGTGATAGGTTTTATGTTAAGTGTTTCAAATGTATGATACATAATCATGACAAGAATCCCATGTCACAAAGAGAAAGTGCTAGCTTGTAAGTGGCAAAGATAGGATTTGACCTTGGGTAGTCTGATTTCAGAGACTATGCAATTAATCATAATACCAAACTATCAAACCATGAGAAATGTGCTTTAATGTTTAAAGTAAAACGTTACTATCTCTTCTCTGAGGTTTTGACATTTTTCATTCTTTCACATAAAAAGAGCAATGCAATTTACCTTTACTTTTACCCTAGCTGAGAGACAGCTGAAAGTTTGTTTGTTCTCTGATTGCTAATTTTATCAATACCTTGGAATATATGCCTTCTCTGACATGTTAAAACTTGCTATTCCACATATCTTTTCCCTGAAAACAGTATGATGAATTAAAAATTATAACTTATTAGGATCTCAGACTTGTCGATCTTGTATTTTGCCTTATTTATGATTTGCATTGCTATTCACTGTACTCCATGGAATTCCAGGCTCAGATTTTTCTTCCTTAGTATTTTTATGGTGTATTCATGCATATTGTACTTAATTTTGTGCTTTTTGAACATTTTTCTACTTTACAATGTAATTTTAATTCTAATTTTATAAGGCATGTTTCTATTGCTTTTCATTTCATGTATAAACTCTAGTTTCCAGGAAGAAAATGCAAAAGAATATTCATTAGCTGGGCTGTATTCAGCAACCGACAGTATAATTTGGTCATAAAGTCCTGAGCTAATATTGTACTGCTTTCTCTTTGAGAGACTGGATATACAAACAGACAATAGTCACACCATATATAAAAAGAGAACTCTGACTCTTATCCTGTAGCAACCAGTT
The DNA here is from genome assembly GCF_000001405.40 of Homo sapiens. Taxonomy (NCBI): domain Eukaryota; kingdom Metazoa; phylum Chordata; class Mammalia; order Primates; family Hominidae; genus Homo; species Homo sapiens. Next base: position 185,899,609 of record NC_000002.12, read on the forward strand.
CAGGAAGTGGAACAACAATCCCAGTAGCCACTGGCCCAAAGCAGCCAAGACATGATCAATAACTGACATCATCTCTAATTTTTGCCCCTACTTCCAACTTAGACCCAATGGGAGAAAGCCAAATATGCCTCCATAACTAATCATAGAGCATGCCCTTGATTGTAGTTAGCCTGCCTACAGCTTTTCCATGGCAACAGACTCCAATCAGAGCATACTTTTAGCCTTCCTTTTTTTCCATATAAAACTTAGCCACTTGTCTGCCTGCCTTTGAGTCTCTGCCAAACACAAGGAATGGTGTCTCACTCCATTGCTATATGGGAAGCTCTGAATCAATAGCCTCTGCTTGTTCTCATTTAGGTGGATTTTGTTTATTTCTACAGTTCCTTTATTAGTACACTGATAATTTAATTTTAATTACTTTTAGATTATTCATCCAGAATGTATTAAAAATGTGGACTTTCATTTATACATTGTATTTTTGATAGTTTAAATATAGAGGAAGTGTAGTCAAGGATGCAGCCCCCTAGTCCTGGGCCAGGCATGCTCATGCGCTTTTCAGCATTCCTAGCACAGGTGCCTCCATTCAGAGGCCTCATTATGAGGGGACAGAGGCTGGATATATTTTAGGTGCCCCTGCTGAAACCTTATCAGGGAACCTTGACTAAGATATTTTCTCCACTCTGACTTAATAGTTTCTACTCCTGGCACATTCCCCTCACCTTCCTCCTGGCTACCTGGGTCTATAAAAAGACAGAAAGGTTTTCGTTGTTGTTTTCAGGATTGTCAGCCATGAGATTATTCCTCCACCTGCCCTGCATATTAGCTGACTGACCCTTGCCCAACGCCATTTTGTAGAAGAAAATGGAACACTGGGAGCTGGCACTTTTTTTTCTCTCTTTGCCCCTCACCTTCACTGTTGAAGTATTATGGGCTGAATTGCATCTCCTCCCTCACCAATTTATATGTTGAAGTCCTAACCACCAGTAGCTCAGAATGTGATTGTCTTTAGAGACAGGGTCTTTAAAAAGGTAATTAAAGATAAATGAGATCATTGGGATGGGCCCTAATCTAATATGACTGGTATTCCTATAGGAAGAGGAAATTAGGGCAAAACACCCACAGAGGGAGGAGCATGAAAGACATAGGGAAAGACCATCTACAAGGCAAGGAGGCAGCCCTCAGAAGAAACAATCCTGCCAACACATTAATCTCAGAGGTATAGCTTCCATAACTGTGAAAAACCAAATTTCTGTTATTTAAGCCACTCAGTCTGTGGTGCTTTGTTATGACAGACCAAGCAAATGAATACATGTGGTAAGTGAATAAAGGTTTGATTGTGACTTTTGGTTTGGCTCACCCTAATTACCACCTCAACACCTGGCAGCTAAACTGCTTTTGTCTTAATTGTGTAAATGGTATCTTTGGAAGAGCATTTTTTGTGAAGTCATAATTTATGTTTTTACTTTTATATTTCAGGTTTTATTTAGCCTATCTAAAATTTCTTTGCAAGATCACAAATTTTTCCTGTCTTTTTCTTTTAGAAACTTTATAGTTCCTAGTTGCACATCTAGGAAAACTTTTCATTTGAAGTTAAACGTGTGCATGGTGTGAGATAGGGAGAATGCTAATTTTTTTTTTTTTTGTAAGACAGGATGTCACTCTTGCTCAGACTAGAGTACAGTGGTGGCATATGGCTTACTGCTTACTGCAGCCTCAACCTCCCAGGCTCAGGTGATTCTTCCATCCCAGCCTCCCATGTAGCTGGGACTACAGGTGGACACCCCCCATGCCCAGCTAATATTCGTATGTTTTGTAGAGACAGGGTTTCACCCTGTTGCCCAGGCTGGTCTTGAAATCCTGGGCAAGCAATCCGCCAGCCTCGACCTCCCAAAGTGCTGGGATTACACGCATGAGTCACTGTGCCCAGCCCTCAGTCTTTATCCATGCAAATTAAATTGAATAACTTTCGCACCTTTGTCAAAAATAAATTAACTTTACATGAGCAGGCCTATTTCTGTATGCTTCATTCTATTACATTGATCTACACATCTGCCTTTTTGCTAATAACAAATAGTTTTAATTTTTGTAGATTTATTCTTGAAATCAGGCAGAATGACGCTTTCAACTTTTTCTTCTTATTTAGTATCATTTTCAGAATCAACTAATCAATTTGTGTAAGTGGAATTACATTTACTATATAGTTCAGTTGAGATGGTTATCTTAACACTTGAGTGATTTAGTCCATGAATATTCTATATTACTCCGTTTACTTAGGTCATCTTTATTTTCTCTCATTTATGATTTGTAGTTTTCATTGTAGAGATCCTATACATTTTTCGTTAGGTTTCTTCCTGTTTAATTTATATTTTGTGTTGAAACAGTAAATAAACTTTTAAATACTTTATTTTACAATAGTTTGACACTAGTCAATAAAAATACAACTTTTTTTTGTATTTGACATTCTACCCTTGGACTTTGACACATTCCTTTATAAGTTCTAGCAGTTTTTTATTTGCTTATTTGTTTTTAGATTCCATATAATTTTTCTACTTAAATAATTATACCATCTATAAAAGGTTTACCTCTTCCTTTCCTGTTTCTATGTCTTTAATTTATTTTGCACTTTATTGTGAAAATTACAATCCTCACCCCAGAAACAATTTGAATAGGAGTGGTAAAAGTAGGCATCATTTCCATTTTCCTTATTTCCAAAGGAAATGAGTCAGGGTATCCCCACTAAAAAAATAAAGTCTGTAGGTGTTTCTCAGATTCATTTTATTAGGTTGAGGAAGAAGGTATCTATTATTGCTAATTTGTTGAGTGTGTATTGTAAATGAGTGTTGCCCTTTTTCTCAAATTTTATATATGTATTTATCTAACTGAACAAAGATTTTTATTCTTTATTTCATTAATATTGGTAATTAAATCAATTATATTTATTATTATTTCATTATTATAACAATATTATATTGTTACGATAACTATATACACAATATAATAATATAATAACAGTATATCATTAATATGTTAATTAAATCTATTAATTTGTTAATTAAATCAATTTTGAATATTAAGCTGATCTTGTATTCCAGAGATAAACTCTATATGGTCATGGTATATTATCCTTTTAAGCAGTGGTAATTTTTAATTTTGGTTTTCACGTGTTCATTGCTAATACAGTCATCCCTCAGTATCCATAGAGGACTGGTTCCAGGACCCCTTCAAAATCCACGGATGTTTTAAATCATCTCTAGATGGTACAATGTAAATGCTATGTAAGTAGTTGTTATACTGGATAGTTTAGACCAGTGTAAAGTACATTTCTGGCACCAGGAACTGGTTTCAGTTTCATGGAAGACAATTTTTCCATGGATGTGGGTCGGGGGTGGGGGTGGATGGTTTCTGGATGAAACTGTTCCACCTCAGATAATCAGATCATCAGGCATACTCTCATAGTTGTGACCTAACTGACATTTTGTAGGTTTTATAAAATCAAGAAGGAGCCTTTTAAGTTACCTTTTAAGTTATTTTAACTTTAAATTAAGCTTAAGTTTTACTTTGTTATAATCATTTATTGTACCACTTGGCAATTTTGGAAACATTCTTTAGTTTGCTCTCAAGTCTCAAACCTCTGGGGATATAAAACTTGTGGCAAATATGTATCTGCCAAGCATTTAGCAGCTCAGTCAAGTTGACAAGAATGCTGACACACCCATAATACAGAATTTCTCCAAATATAGGATAGTAAACATGTTTAAATTAACATAAATCAATTTTAGTTCATATTATAAAAAGATATGGGATGCAATATTGATGAGAACATGTAGGTTAATTGGGAAGTCCTATGTAATCATCTTCTTTCTCTATTAATTCTATTTATATGCTTTTCTTTTTTATTCTTTTTCCCTCTCCTTTCATTAACTCACTTCCCAAACATGGTGTATTAAGATAATAATAATGACTTTATTCTGACAGTTTTTCGTGTGCTTTACCCTTTTTCACAGTCTAGCAAAACAGAAAGATTCCAATTGATTAGATATATAGTATTAAACTATTATTATTATTCTGAAATTAATGGTGTCACATCTCATGGAATACTATTTTCTTTCCTATGTATCTTATATGGTTATTAAATATAGTGATATATATAATTATATATATAATATAATATAAACTGTTGAGTGGCACACAAATATAAGCTATAAGTATTTCAATGAAATATGGACACAATACTACTTAGGCCTTGATATATGTAAATTTAAGATACATGCCTCAATTCATAAATAAATGATGCCTTGATTTTTAATATCCAAATATTAGTGAAAGGATGTGATTCCAGGTTTGTAGTTAACATATCACTGTGGAATAACTGTGTAGTTTCTCCAGTATCACTTTTTTGCATCAACAGTATGAACTTATTACATTTCTTTCTCTATATCATTAAAGAATACCCTGGAATCTCTGCCTACCTTGGGAAGCAGAAATTAATTCCCTGCGGTAGCGGAAATGGACTGCATTTTGTCACTCACCTGCTGTCAGTGCTCTAAGTGAAATGAGATAGTTTCTTGGTAGTGAATTCAAAAGGAAAGCTCTTAAATGTTTTCCACAGAAATCTTAGTACACCCTTCTCAGTATAATATAGCTAATACGGTGGCAACCTAATTTCCCAGAGAGTATTCACTTTAGCCATACCAGCTGCTAGGCTCTACCAATAGCTACAGTTTTGATTTTAAATAGAGATAGTCATTTTTGTAAAGAAGTAAATTGCTTTATTTATTACTGATGTTGCTTTTCTCATTTATTGAAACACTTTATCACAGCTGGAGAATGCAGCTGCTTTTTTTTTTTCTTATATCACAATCAAACATAAATCATAGGAGAAACACATTAGAGAATAAATAGTTTATCAACTGTTTAAAATTGGCTGACAGCAAGTCAGAAATATATAATTTTCAAGAAATAAATATATAATTTAAATCAAGATATGCTGATAATGATTAATTATCCTAACTGTGTTATATTACTTTAAAACTTTTGTTATTTTGGTTAAAGACAAACAAAATACTCATATTTCAAACTTTTAAAGAAAGATGAAGATTGTCAATCTTGGAACTTTATTTGTAGTCATCTACAAAAGATGATCTGATGTAAAATTTATTTAAGCATACATAATTGTATCAAGCCTGGCACATAGTAGTGATTGGAAACTTGAAAACATAAAATACATTTGTTGTTGATTATATGATGAACCAGTTAGGAACATCAAAAAGTGATTTATCTAAACCTCACTTCTCAAGTCATTAAAAAACTAAACTCATATTATTTTGTTTTGTTTGTTTATTTATACATGTCATTTCAGTTGTTTTCTAAGGTCTGATATGTTTAGGTTTAGTGGGCTCCAGCTCAAAGGGAATTTATGCACAGAAGAAAAGTATACAATACCTCTTCCTCTTCTATCCATGACAGAGTAATGGGTTAAATTTACCTTCTCTCCTTATGCAAAAATAAGATCAAAAGACAGAAAAATATATATGAAATAATTATCTTCAGACATTGAACAGAATGCAGTTTAGGCCGATGATTCTTTGAGAAGAGTAAAACAAAGGTAAGTCCCGTAAATTTTTTCGAATTATTACCTGAAAATGGTTTTCTCACTGCAGTGCAAGAAAGGGAATGCAAATAAAGCCTGACACATCACTGAGTTAAGGAAACAGAGCTTGGTATTTTGAGTAGTAGAGTGCCAGAGAGCTGGGATTGGGAGAGATTGAGAGAGAGAATTCTAAGGATCTTCAAAGAGATCCCCTTGATGCTTTGACTGGCTGGATACTGATCTGTACAGATCTATGTATGCATGAAAGGATACCACCGAACACCAGGGAAAGAATCATTAGAAAACAGTAAGCCAAACAATTCCTGAATTCCACACACAAAGAATAGTTTTGGACCAGCCCAGCCAGAATGCAACGAATACACAAAGCACTGGGAATTCTCAGAAAGATACTGCTTTAGTATAGGGCAAATAAGTTCTACACAAGCAAGCCTAAAATAAAGAAAACTGACTCTAAGTAACCTAACTGTGTACCAGCACAGAGCCTAATACTATTTAAAAGCATAACAAAATCTAGCAACCATCAATATGAGGTTTATAATATCTGGCATCCAATCAAAATATGCCCAAAAAAAACCAAACAGGAAAATATAACGCACAGTCCATAGGTAATGCAATAAGTCAAAAGAAAACTAACAACACAGATGATAAAATCAGTATACAAGAGTTTTTAAAAAGCTGTTAAAATATGCTAAATATATTTGAAAAGACAGTAAAAATGTGATTATCATGAGAAGAATTAGAAAAAATATATTTCATAGATAAAAAAATACAACACCATAAAAAAATTCAGTAGACTTGAAGACATAGTAATAGAAACTATTCCAATGAAACATAAAAGAAAATTGAAAAAAATTATCATTGTATACCAGTGTCCTATGAGAATGCATCAACGGTATAACGGAAGTAAAATTAGACCCCTTGAAGAAAAGAGAATAGTTACAAAAATAAAATTAATAAAAATTAAAAGTTTGTCAAAGTTTTAAAAATAGTAAACTCCCAATATTAGAAAGGAGCTTCATGAATTCCAAAGAAAGAAAAATCACAAAAGACACATTATAATCAAATTCCTGGGCCAGTGGTAAGTAAAAAATTCCAAAAAGAGCCAGAGAAAAATAATATATTACATACAAAATAAACTGACAGCATGTTTCTTGTTAAAAATAATCCATAGAAGAGTAGCTTACAGTTATTGAGAGAAAAAAGTCTTCAAATTAATTCTGTATTCATCAAATATTTTTTGAAATAAAATATATTCTGCTTTTATCTGTATCTTCTCTAGTTTTGGAACTCTCCACTTCTTCCATTTTTCAATTTTTTCTTGAATATTTTCCCTCTAACTCTAATAATTTTTTTCATTTACAGTGTAAGTCTACTGGAAATAAATTCATATTTTGAATAAAATAAATTTTTACAATCTTCATTTTTGAAATGCATATTTAGTAGATATGGAAGTATACATAGATAAATAAGAACTCTTCTTTTAGAGCTTGAAAATTTGGTTTATTTTCTTCTACCTTGCATTGCTTTTGTGAGAATACTGTAGAAACTCTTGTATTTGTTCCCCAATATATGTCTTTTTTTTCTCGTTACTTTGAAAATGTTTGCTTTATCACTTCTGTTTTAAAATTTATGTTGTGCATGTGTGTGTCGGGGGGTCGGTGTTTATCTTGCTTGGGGATTATTGAGATCCTTAACTGTGTTTTTCTTTTTAAACATATTTTTTAAAAATTGGAAAAACTTTGGCTACTATTTCTTCAAATGTTTTTCTGTTTCACTATCTTCTCCTAGAACTCCAAATTCACTTACATCTAACCATTTGATATGGGCCACAGCTCAGTATGCATATATTCATTTTTTTCAGTCTTTCTTTTTTTAACTCTATGCTTCTGTTTAAATAGCTTCTGTTACCATGTCAAGTTCACCTATCTTTTCGAATAAGTCTAATCTGTTGTTAAGCATACCTAGCCAATTTTTTACTTCAAATATATTTTCCATTGATTCTTTTTTATATAATGCTCATTTTCATCTCATTTTTCCATTAAAAAAATCTACTTAATTACATTAGTTTCTTGCTTGTCTTTGCTAATTTAATCCTTGCTGTTATTTCTAGGTTTGTTTCTACTTCCATTTCTTCTCTTTATTATGTATTGAATTTCCTTGTTCTTTCACATGTCTGTTAATTTTTTATTGTATGCCCATCTATAAGATTGGCACATTGTTGAGTGTCTTTTTTTTTACTTCAAAAACGGTCAGAATTTTATTTCACAAGAAGGTACATTAATAGCTCTTCAATTGTTCTTGTTTTTCTGTAGGCATGTTTGTAATAATAGAAACTATTCCCATGAAGCATAGAAAAAAATTGAAAAAACTGTCATAGAATATCACTGCTCTATGAAAATACATCAAGTAGTGTAATGGAAATGTAATTAGAGCCACTGAAGGAGAGGAAAGAGAAGAGTTACAAAAATAATAACCGAAAATTTTTCAAAGTTGTTGAAAATAATAAACACCCAATATAAGAAAGGAGCTTAATAAATCTCAAGCATAGTAAATGCAAATAAAGTCAAAAAAAGACAGGTCTAGATCATCTTTTCCTCTGATTATGTTGAGAGTTGCCTCACTCTGGAAGTAGGAACTGAAATATCTCCTTGTCTTGGTTCTATTTGAGCTGTAGACAATTTATAAAATTATTGCTCCCCAATCATTGTTTACTTGTCTGGCATTATGTAGTTTTATCCTACACATGTACAGATTAGTATTTAGCCAGACTAAAGGACACTTCTAGGCAGATTTGTGAAGCTGGTTATTTTTATACGTTCTTCCTGTTTGATATTCAACCATGGTTACTTTGATGATAAAACAAGTAGGAAAATAAAATTAAATCATATCAAGATCAGTCTATTGATGATTGTGTCGTGAAACAAAGATTTAAATCATTTCCATTTTCTGCACTGAGACCAAGTATAGAATGCAATGCCCATTCATTATCAGCCAGATACTTTTGTGACTTGTGGCAGATTTTGTTTTCAAAATATGGCAGGAACAATTATTCTTGTCTTGCACACTCTTCTTACCATGTAACTTTTACATACTTTCTTTTGAGAGGTGGGAACTGTCTTCACGCCTATGGAATTTGAATAGACTCATGACTATGAATTCTAAGACTAGGTCTTGGAGATAACAGGCTTCTTTCTGGTTCTCCTGGGAACCTCATTCCTGACACTCAACCAACATGTTATGAGGAAGCCATGTATAGGCCCATCTACAGAAGAATCAAGACCCCTGGCTCAGAGCAGTAACTGTGCTCCCAATGGCACCAGTCATGAGTAAGCCCATCCCAACTAATACAACATGAATCTGAGGCAAGATGCCTTCTGAGCTTCACCCAAATAGAACATAAGTAATTATTGCTTTATACCACTATGGTTTTCCAGCTTGTGAGTTATTTTTACAAATGACTATTAGATGTCATTTAAACGGTATAGGAAACTTTGTGAAGGTACTACCGGGAACTTCCCAATTATCTACAATATCATTGGCCATTGAACACTTTCATATGGACTTCAAAGGCAAGAAAGCTTACCACTCTACTCAAGAATGCTAATGTGTCTCTGGCTATGTTCTTCCTTGTATGTTATAAATACATCATTTATCTCCATGTATCCTTTGCCAATGTCTATTGTTAAACTTCTGTCTAGCCCATAAACACAGATTCATGACAACTGTGTAAGGAAAATGATTTTACATAGAATGCTTGACAATAGATGTCACATTGAGGGGACTAAAGGTCACATTAGAAAATAGTCAAGTATCAGTCAAGTAGTCAGGGTACACTCCCATAAAACCTATCCAGAAATTATTATGGCTTAAGAGAAATTTATTTATTAGCCATACATATGCAAGGTAGGTCAGGAATGAGAACTTTTTTTCATAGTGTTCATTCAGGTATCTGGTTAAAGGAAATTCCATCTCAATATTTACTTTCAGAATTGCTGTAAGAAGAGCAAGGAGGCATAGTAAATCATATAATGGATTCCAAATAATCTGCCATAAAATGACAAACGTCATTTCTGCTCACATTTCATTGACCAAAGTAAGCCACATGGCCATAGTTAACTTCAAAAAGGAGGGCAAGGTGCCATTCTAACATGTTTCCCAGACTGAAAAATATAATATTGATAGCTAATCATTATCAAAGGTATTTACATTTGTATAATTTTTAAAGCTTTATTAGCTTGTAAACTATCAGTCAAGTCGTTTTTAAAAAGTTAGTTTCGGATTTCTTACATTAGTAGTACATATTTTGGTTTCTCTCTCAATGATTGATAAACTGCATTATTTTATTCATTAATTTGATATTTCTTTCAATTTATTTTAAAAAGTTTTAGCTATCAGTCTATATGACTTTAAGAGCTAGCAAATACAAGATTTGGAAGAGACAAATACCTAAACTATATCTATGTATTTAATCACGGGACATTTGCATCATTGTTGGCTTGAATAACAACAGGAAATTATGTAGAGTAGAACTTGGAGAAATATATTTAAGTATTCTGTCTTCTGGGGAGCAAAGTCTGTGAAATATCTCAGTCTACCACTGCTCCCACTGAATGAGCTGAAAAGCACAGGCAAAAGTCCCCTGGGAACTGGAAGGGTTCAATTGTTTATAGGTATGTTAGGTTATCTGTTGGTCTTTCCAGATGATCAGTGATATGGTTTAGCTCTGTGTCCCCACCCAAATCTCACCTCTAATTGTAATAATCCCCACATATTGTGGGAGGTACTCAGTGGGAGGTAATTGAATCATTGGGCAGTTGTTTTTTTTGTTTGTTTTCTTTTGTTTTGTTTTGTTTTTCAGACGGAGTCTCGCTGTGTCGCCCAGGCTGGAGTGCAGTGGGGCCATCTCGGCTCACTGTAAGCTCCGCCTCCTGGGTTCATGCCATTCTCCTGCCTCAGCCTCCCGAGTAGCTGGGACTACAGGCGCCAGCCACCGTGCCCGGCTAATTTTTTGTATTTTTTAGTAGAGACAGGGTTTCACCATGTTAGCCAAGGACGGTCTCCATCTCCTGACCTCATGATCCGCCCACCTCGGCCTCCCAAAGTGCTGGGATTACAGGCGTGAGCCACTGCGCCCTGCCATTGGGCAGGTTTTTACCATGCTGTTCTCATGACAGTGAATAAGTTTCACAAGAATTGATGGTTTTATAAAGGGGAGTTTCCCAGCATACCCCCTCTTGCCTGCCACCATGTAAGATGTGTCTTTGCTCCTCTTTCACCTTCCACCATGATTGTGAGGCCTCCTCAGCCAGGTGGAACTGTGAGTCCATTAAACCTCTTTTCCTTTACAAATTACTCAATCTCGGGTATATCTTTATTAGCAGTGTGAGAACAGACCAATACACACAGTCTGAGATAGCTAACTGGCTAATCATCTTATGTAGTTGCAGTGTGTCTAGACTGACCCATGTATCTAAAACTGCAACCACTTCTTACTGTATTCACTACAACTGACCTTTACTGCGATCATTTCTTAGCTACATCATCATAATAAATTTCTAAGTGGTCTTTCCTTGCATTTCTGCTGTTTGTTCTCTATGAAAAAAAAGTGAGCCTTTAAAATCATTATTCAGATCATCTCATTCTACTGTTCAAAACCATTCAATGTTTTAATCACAGCAATTTGGGAGGCCTAAGCAGGCAGATCACTTGAGGCCAGGCATTCAAGATCAGCCTGGCCAACACGGTGAAACCCCGTCTTTACTAAAAATACAAAAATTAGCCAGGTGTGGTGGCTCACACCTGTTATCCCAACTACATGGGTGGCTGAGGCACGATAATTCCTTGAACTCTGGAGACAGAGGTTGCAGTGAGACGAGATTGCGCCACTGCACTCCAACCTCGGCGACAGAGCAAAAGTCTGTCTCAAAAAAAGAAAATAAAATCTTCAATGGCTTTCCATTTCACTCAAAGCAAAAGCTAAAACTTCCCATAATGGCCTGCATTACTCCCTAAAATCTGTAATTCTTGATAATGCTGTGTCCTTGTTTCTTTTAAGACAGTATTAAAGGCCATAAAAATGGGTCAACACAACTGTAGATTCTGACACTTTTCTACTTAGTTCTTGAAACCTCCAACCCCTGTAGGTGTGTGATATGTGATCTTCTCCCACACACATACCCAAAGAGATTGTTTAACCAGCTGCTTCACTATCAAATATGGATTGTCCCCACTTGTTAGTGGAAGAGTATTCATATCCACCTAATGACACACAAAAAAGTCATACTTTAAAACCTGTGAGATATAATACCCTGCTTCCAAGTAACAGAATAAGCATTAAGTACTGCAGATGATATCAATGCATCTCAAACTAGTTCTAAGAAAAGAAAATATAGTGCTTATCAAAAAAGAACCTTAAGAGGGGACATGAATTCAGGGCTGTCTCCTTTTCTTTTGACTTTATGCTTCTTCCTATGTGAAGCTCCTTTTATGAGCTTTACAGATGAGGTTCCAACATTCAAACAGCTGAGAGGATCCAATGTCATGTCTTCACAGTATAGAGGTTTAGAGATTTTTTTTTCTTTTCCCCCTTTTCCTTATTCCTTAAAAATCAATATTAGAGAGTATACATCATTGGCACTCTAGTTTAAATGCCCAATTTTTGACAGACACTGTTGAAGAGGGAGAGAAAAACAATAACTGACCTGATCTGGGTCATTGTTCCCCTGAAACTTCTAAGTCAGGGCTCTTGGAGTGCCTTACCAGGGTGGCTCAGTATGTAAAAGTGACTCCTCAAAGGGAGAGATGCTGTAAACTACAACCAAGAGTGACTGAAAAGAGGAAAATTATCTGATTTTCTTGCTGTGATGTAGTATGTCTGCACTGCAAAGATAAGATATGGAAGAAAGTAACATTTGTCACCTAGCAAATTCTGCATCTTTGACTATAAAAAGGTTTTCACCCTGTACAAGAATGTGACATTTTCATAGAGAAAATTAGCAACAGACTCAGAATTGATGTTTTCTCTCAAGAAACTTGAGTAACCCATATCAATGAGAAACCCAGGGGTTAATGTTGTATGTCTGCAAATATGGTAATATGATAAGCTATACATGGGTAAGGCTTCAAAAAGGTTAAATTCTATGAAAAAAGTGGAAAAAAACTGTTATAATTAGAAGGAGGAATGTTGGATCTAAGAACATGTAAATTAATACTAGTTTTCAACATAAAAAACAACCAATTATAACATAGTAGCAAGAACTACCACAAAAATATATGGATTCCCCTAACAAAAAATATATGTCTTTTATAATTTCAAAACTTTGTTACAGAACATATTATAAAAGAATACCTATACAAATACAGCCATATATCATATTTATAGAGTGATAAAAAAGATCAGTATTGTAAAGATGCTCTTCTTTCCACATTATAAATAAGTTTAAATCAATACAAATCAAAATATAAAGTTATATATAAAGGTCCAAAATGTGCATAGGAAAATAGGTGCCTACAATGAGTAAAAAAAAAAAAGTTTAAAAGAACAGACATAAGAGAAGCCAAGGAAAGTTCACCCTAACAGATATTAAGCTATCTGAAGCCACTGCAATCAAAATAGCACGGAACTTGCAAAGACAAATAGACCTAATAGAGTCCAGAAATCCGTGTGAATTTATGTAGAGATATCATCATAAATAAAAGTGAAAATAATATAATAAATGACTTTGGAAAATTGTCTCAATTTATTAAAAATCATTTTATTATTATCACAAACTCACATCACATATGAAAATAAGCCCCAGATGGATTAAATATCTAGACATGAGAAGCAAAACTACAAAGCTAAAGAAGATGAAGCTAAAGAAGATTTTAAGGAATAGGAAAAATTTGTTATACAGGGCCTCAAAAACACAAACTCTAAAATAAAATGTGATGAATCAACTACAAAATATAATGATAAATGCATACTCATTTAGCTACTCTAACTTGTTCTAAACAATCTTCATAGTCAATATAAATTTACCAGTAATTATTAAGCATTATGTTAAAATCTAAAAAGTACTACTGAGAATGCAAAAAAAATCCCTGTTTTCAAGAAGTTGACATGCATGTTAAAAATAATTTCGATTCCAATTAGAATATAATACATATCTCAAAATAATTGCAAATCAGTGGTCATTTTTTCCACATTGTATATTTTAAAGAATAATATTCTGTATATATGTTAATTTGTCATAATTTCAGAGAAGCATAAAAGATAAATTCAATAATTTTATGTTTTCATTTATGATGCTATCAAGTAAGATTACTAATGTATTTTCAAAAAATGCTTTAAAACATCTATTCATTTCAAATTAACCTTAATCTAAATAGGAAAATGTATTAAATGTTGCAATAGACTGTTGGCTGACAAATCTGTTGCTTTAAACATCATTGATAAAAATGTATAGGCTTTTCCCCACACCATGATTATATTCTACAAAGTTCTACATAAGCCACACACCGTATGTGTCACACCAGAGGAAATTCATTTAACATGTTACAAAAGACTATTCTCTTCCCTTTTAATTAAGACTCTAATGCCAACAAATTAAATCACATTAACCACTGCATCCTAAGTTAGCCACAGAAATTATTAACATTATGCTTAGATTTAATTTAATATTTTATTATCCCTTTTAACCTAGTAAATGCTAAAAAGCTAACAAATTAGAATAAGATTTATAAGATTTATAATTTTTTTGAGATAGTGTCTTGCTCTCTTACCCAGGCTGGAATACAATGATGTGATCACTGCTCGCTGCAGCCTCGACCTCCTGGGCTCAAGTAATCCTCCCACTTCAGCCACCTAAGTAGCTGGGACTACAGGTGCATGCCACCATGCCCGACTAATTTTTGTATTATGTGTAGAAATGGGGTTTCTCCATGTTGCCCAGGCTGGACTCGAACTCCTGGGATCAAGCAATCCACTCACCTCAGCCTCCCAAAATGCTAGGATTACAGGCGTGAGCCACCATACCAGGCAAGACATAATAAAGATATATGTTTTATATTCAAAATATTAGATGTTTTGAATACACACTTTAACTTATTTGGAAATAACCTAAAAGTGATGTCAAGATCTAACGAGGTAATATTGTGGCCTCCATTCTATGTTTTATTCAAATGCAAACTGGTACTGATTTCTAAGTGACCAAAAGGTTCTAAAAACACCCTACATAATGTATCACATCCAGTAAATGTTTAATAAATATCTACTTATTTTTCTGTTGTCTTTTCTCCTAAGGCAAAGACAATATATACTCATATATATATATGAGTATATATATGTGTTGTGTTTTCTATTTTCTCATATTATTTAATATTTTATACATCTGTTTGCTTTACTGTAATTCATATGTATGTGTTCTGCCACAAAAGATATTCCCTTCAGCACAAAGACAAAATATGGAAATATGAATGTTATTGTTCCTGCTTTCTAAAGCTTATAAAACCAAAATAGCAGACCACCACTCCAATACCTTGTTCTACTACATGCCTCAATAGGCATCCAGTCTATCAATCAATCAATCCAGCTAGCTATCATCTACTTACCTATTTATCTATCTGTACACACATAATTTATGAAGTTCTTCTTCTTAATTTATTTACATATTCCTCTTTCATTCACTCTCCAACTGTTTTCAACTACTTTCCTACTCTTTGTTTTCTTTTAAAACCTTTAATATCTTTTTCTTCTTACTCGCTCTCTGCTTATGACCTTGGTTCCTATTTCATTGATTAAAACGCACACACACACGCACCACCACCACCACCTGGTCTACTAATCGACTCAGATTTGTTCCTATATAATCTGCCTTTCCTCCTTTTACTACGATTAACCTACTTTGGGTCTTATCTAAGGCCAAACACTCCACATGTGCCCTGTATCTAAGGTTATTATACATTCTCAATTTTTCAAGTATAGTCCTGATTTACAGAAGTATTTTGTGTGTATTTATGATAAAAATCTTTCACTAATGTGATTATATATATGAAGTTCAATAAAAGAAAATTTCATTGTTAATGTTTCTTTTCAGGCTATTATCAGTATTTGGGTTTTATTTTCATGGTAATAACTAAAAATGATTTTGTTGTATACAGGAGGGAAATGTCAAGAAATAATCTGCTCTTGGTGTCAAATCCATTAGATACGCCAGTATCTCCTTGTAGAAAAGTCCAGCAATCAATATCCTCTTTTCCATCTATCAGCATGTTTGGACATAGTTGATGTCTTCCTCCTCCTTGCACATTCTTTCCCTCAGAACATCAGTCCCTTAGTATTCTTCCCCATCACCAACCACTGCTGTTTAGTCCATTTTTCTGATGCCTTTTCATCAATCTGATGCCTAACTGCTAAAATGTTTATCTCAGATCTTATCTCTTTTATGTTAATATTTACTCCCAAAGTTATCTCAGGCAGAATCATAACCCTTATTAAGGTATAACTTTTAAAATGTTAAATTTATCACTCTGAATCATTATTAAAATAGACAAACTCCTAGTCAGACTGATCAAGGAAAAAAGGGACCAGACACAAATAGCAATGTTATCAATACAAACAACAGTTGAGAGAATCTTACTACAGATACTTATAGAAATTAAAGGATGATAGTTAAATATTATGAAGAAATGATTCCAGTAAATTTTATAATGTAAATGAAATGGACAGATTACTTGAAATATACAACCTATCAAAAGTCTGGGAAAGAATGCAATAATTTGTGCTTGCCTCAAGCAGCTCCTCTCGTATTCCAGCGCCAACCACTGAGCAAGGCTCCCTATTCTTTCTTATGAGCCCCCAGTGACAACACTGAAAAGAATTTGCCAAGTGATTATGAACTTTTCCTATGTCTGGAGCCCCAAGTCAGACTGAAATACTAACCCACACATAACATTTAAGAATCTGTTAAAATTATAATTTGAGGACTAAATTCTGACTTTTTTCTTTTTCTCTTGCCCAAATTCCTATATAAGGGGCCTGGGAGTCACACCCTACAAACCATAAAATCTCATTAGACAGATTTTCACTAACCTTTTATGATGTGTCTTATTTTCCAGCCTCACTCTTATTTAGTATCACGTGACAGCAGACCCTGAAGGAAATAAAAATAATTTCCCCAAAATATATTTTTGACATGTTTGAAAATGGCTGCCACAGGGCCAACAGATTGAAATGGTCCTGCAAAGCTGTCTTTTGTCGGGGGAATGTGCATCTGTAGAGCATCTATATTAATGTAGCTACATCTTTTCTCTCCTGGGCCTTTCCTGGATCTAAGAGAGATTAACTGAGAGCCTGATACCTTCAAAATCTTAAAAGAAACATTTACCATCTATTCTTTCGGAGGGCTGCTACCTATGAAGCCCCACCTACATAACAAGAACCTTGAGCTCCAAAATTCCCTTAACTCAGGCAATCTTTTTTTTTTTTTTTTGAGACAGGGTCTTGCTCTGTTGCCCAGGGTGGAGTCCAGTAGCATAATCGTGGCTAACTGCAGCTTCAACCTCTCAGGCTCAAGTAATCCTCCCACTTCAGCCTCCCAAGTAGTGGCATGTACCACAGGCATGTACCACCATGACTAATTTTTTAAATTTTCTGTAGAGATAGGGTCTCCCTATGTTGCCCAGGCTGGTCTGAAACTCCTGGGTTCAAGTGGTCCTCTCACACTGGCCTCCCAAAGTGCTGGGATTACAGGCATGAACCACCAGGCCCAGCCTCAGGTACTTCTTTCTACTGATTTCGTCTTTAGACAGTAGCTTAACACTCAACCAACTGTCAGCTAAAGAATTCCTAAAACCCACTTATGACTTGTAAGCCCCCACTTTTAGTTGTCCCACCTTTTCAGGCCAAACCAATGTATACTTTCCATGTATTGATTTATGGTTGTACCTGCAATTCCTATTTCTTTGAAATGTATAAAACCAAATTATAACACAAACACTTCAGGCACACTTTCTAAGGACCTCTTGAGATTGTGTAAGCCAGCCTCAGTCACTCATATTGATTCGTAATAAACCTCTTTAAATATATTTTGACAGAATTTGGTTTTTCCATTATCAAAAGAATTTTTCTCACCTGTTTTTATGACAGCCCAGTCTTTTTCACATGTTCTAACAAAGTTGAAATAATATGTTTGTCTTGTCTTTCTTTGGAGGGGCCTGCCATTCTGTGAAACTCAGATTACCTAGTGACATCAGATCTCTGATGGTTTTTAAAAACAAACAAACAACAACAACAACAAAAAAAAAAACAGAAAAAAACAAAACCCTCATCTCACTCTGTCACTCAGGCTGGAGTGCAGTGGCAGGATCACAGCTCACTGCAGCCTCAACCTTCCAGGCTCAAGGGTTCCTCACACATCAGCCTCCTGCATAGCTGGGACTACAGACACGTGCCACCACACCCAACTATTTTTCGTTTGTTTGTTTTTTGTAGAGATGGGGCTTAATGATATGATTTTTTACATTGTTTGGATATTTTTTCTCTTTGTTTAGGATGACAATGATGTTCTCTCACAGTTTTCTGTTATTGCAGCTCAGAAACTGATACCCAAAAATAGGGTGTTTTGACATATGGAACTACAGAAGCCTCAAGGTCCTTCTGAAGTTCTCACCCTAGTCTTTCCCAAAGCACAGAATAAAGTTGCTCTCTGAAGTTCTTTTATCTGCCTGAAATACAGACTCACCAAGAAAAACAATTATTTTTTTCTTCCCCTTTCTGTTATCTCATTATCTTTTGCAGAAAAGAAGACCAAGAATGTAACTACACCTTAACAGATCCTTTCTCAAGATAAGCCTGTCTCTCATATTCATTCAAATTCCCAAAGAATTATTTACCAATTAATCTCTGCTTCCCAATTCATTCATTCTTCCTAGTAATCACTTATTGCCCCCCAAAAGAATTCCTCTTCTTCCCCTTTCCATAACCTGTTAGCCAGGATGGTATATAAGCTTCTGAACTCCTTTGTGGAGGTAAGTAATCATTCTGTGATTCTTCCCCTGTAAACACATTAAATAAATTAACATGCCTTTTCTCCTATTAATCAATCTGCCTCACACCAGTAATTTTCAAACCTCCAGGGAACCAAGGGCCTTGGTTCCTACGCTATATTTAAGCACAAGTCAAAATCCTTCCAGAGTCTTTTTAAAATTATATAAATTTTATAAATGCTTGAATTGCTTAACATTTACATTTGCTCTTGTTTTAAAATTTGATTCTTTTTTCTTAAAGAATTTTCAAATAGAAATAGAAATACAGATTTGGTAGTCTCAAGTCGTTTCACTCTCTTGCATAAAACTTTTCAAAATACAAACTTCTCAACATATGTGTTGTCCCTGCACTGCCTATTGCTCTGTTGTTTCCCTCAAGACTCAGTAGATGCTGTTTCCTATACCTAAGTTCCTCCCTTGCATTCACACCAGCTAATTTTTTAATTGTTTTTTTTTCCTTTTCAAGTTTAATTTTAGATTGCAGAGGTACATGTGCAGGATTGTTTCAGAGGTATATTGCATGATGCTAAGTTTTGCAGTACAATCAAACCCATCACCCAGGAAGTGAGCATAGTACCCAATAGGTAGTTTTTCAACCCTTCATCCCCTCCCTCGTGCCCACTTCTTATATTCCCCAGCATCCATGTTCCACATGTTCATATGTACTCAGTGTTAAGCTCCCACTTGTAAGTAAAAACATGCCATATCCGATTTTCTGTTTCTGTGTTAGTTCACTTAGCATAATGACCTCCAGCTGCACCCATGTTGCTGCAAAGGACATGATTTTATTCTTTTTTATGGTTGCATAGTATTCCATGGTGTATATGTACCACATTTTCTTTACCCAGTCCACCACTGGTGGACACCTGGGTTGATTCTGTGCCTTCGCTATTGTGAATAGTACTGAAATCAACACATGGGTACCTGTGTATTTTTGGTAAAATGATTTATTTTCCTCTTGGTATACACCCAGTAATGGGATTGCTGGGTTAAATAGTAGTTAAACTCTTAGTTCTTTGAGAACTCCAAACTGCTCTCCATGGTGGCAGAACTAATTTACCTTCTTACCAACAGTGTAGAAGCATTCTATTTTCTCTGCAGCTCTGCCAACATCTGTTATTTTTGACTTTCTAACTACAGCCATTCTGACTCATATGAGATGGTATCTCATTGCAGTTTTGATCTGCATTTCTCTGAGGATTAGTGATGATGAGCGTTTTTTTCATATGTTTGTTGACTACTTGTATTTCTTCTTGTGAGAAGTATCTATTCATGTCCTTTGCCCACTTTTTAAGAGGGTCATTTGTTTTTTGTTGTTGATTTGTTTAAGTTTCTTATAGATTCTGGATATTAGGTCTTTGATAGATGCACAGTTTGCAAGTATACCTCAGATTAATTCTAATTATTTTAGGGTGCTTTCTCTGGCTATACTATCAAAATGATCACCCCACTCCCACTTTTGCTACTCATTCACCAAACATCTCCACTCTTCCATAAAAGCACCTATATAATTTTCTACTCCCTGGAATTTCTTTTATTGTCTACAGAAAGTCTACTGGTGATAGATTTATTTAAGAAAGTCTTTATTTTACCTTTCCTTCTGAACAATAATTTCACTGGACATGGAATCCTAGATAGGCATAATATTTTCTTTCAACACTTTATTTCACTTTCTTCATGTTTGCATGGTTTCTGATGAGAAATCTGTAATTCTTATCCTTATTCATCTGTACATAAGATCTCTTTTAAAAATTTTCAATTTTTAATTTTTGTGGATACATAATATTCATATATATATATTTATGGGGTATATGGGGTATTTTGATATAGGCATAAAATGTATAATAATCACATCAGGGTAAATGAGGTATCTATTACCTCAAGCATTTATCCTTTGTGTTACAAACAGTACCCTCTGACTTCTTTGAAAAGTTTGTCTTGTGTTTTCTGTATTATGAATATGCTATACCTAGGTGTAGAATTTCTGGTATTTATTCTGCTTAATTTATTCTGAGCTTCATGGAACTGTGCTTTGGTGTCTGTCATAAATTTTGGGAAATTCTCAGCCATTATTATTTCAAAATTTCTTCTATATTGTCTCATTCTCCTTTTTATATGTTATACCTTTTGTCATTTTCCACAGTTCTAAGACATTCTGGCTTGTGTTCGTTTTCATTCTTTTTTTTCTCTTTACTTTTCAGTTTGGGAAGTTTCTGTTGACCTATTCTCAAGCTCACTGACTCTTTCCTCATTCATGGTTAGTCTAATAATGAGTCCATTAAAGGCATTTTTAAATTTCTGCTACACTGTTTTTGAGTTCCAGCATTTTCTCTTTCTTTTCTTACAGTTTTCACTTCTCCACATAAAATAATAATTGTTCTTCAATGTTTTCTACTTTTCCCATTTGAGCCTTTAACATATTAATTATAGTTATTTTAAAGTCCATGTCTACTAATTCCAACATCCGTGTCATAGCTAAACTCAGTTCTTATATTTGCTTTATATTTTCAGATTACATTTTTTCTTGCCTTTAATATGCCTTGTAAATTTTTTGTTGAAGTCAGTCATGATATATTTGAGCAATATGAAGTATAGTAACTAAATGTTTAGTATGAGGTTTCCTGTTAATCTGGGACTTTGGCTTTGTTTAATGTGTTTGCTGTGATTACAATTTCAACTTCCTCTACTGTCCTCGTTTTTGTTTTCTTCCTTGGCTTTGGGCTTCCGTACATGTTCCTCTATCTTTCAGCTTTTTCAGCTGAAAGCCAATGTTGTAATACTGGAGCTCCGTTGGTGTGGTAGCAAGGTACGTGAGAGGAGATGTATTGTATAACTTATAAATCACTTTTGGTTTTTTAGTGGGTCCTTGAATCTAGTCTGTGATGCCCCCTCAAATGTTTGTTACTTCCTCCACTTTTTGGCAATGGGAAGGCTAGAAGGGGCTGAGTGGGAGAAATACGCTGTGAGATACCACTCTGGTAAGATCCTCTCCCCTGGAGAGTAGGTATTTGCTCCTCTCCCCTGGAGAATGCTCCAGGCACATTTCTCAATTGTTAATCTTCCCCAACCTCTATAAGAGTTAAGATGAGATCTTTCCTGGCTCTTCAGTGTAAAAACCTAGTGCAGTAGGAGAAGCCACACAAAAGTGTGGGCCACCTTGGAGACTATAGCTTCCAGGAGCTTCTCATTCTCACAGTAATCCACATTAAGCGTCAAGAAGTTTGTCAAAATTACTTAAGTGTTCCTACCAGTTTATGGCTCCAGCAGCTTCTCCCCCAGGTAAGGAGATCTCAGCTGTGACTCACTAGATTTGTGCATGTCTCCAGATTATGGGGTGGCAGTTTGCCATGAAATTTCAGTTCTCTCATAGGCCTTAGAAAAGCATTGGTATTCTGTTTGTTTAGCTTGTTTCTTGTTATAAGGATAAAAGTGACAACTTCCAAACTTTTTATTATTATTTTTATTATTATACTTTAAGTTTTAGGGTACATGTGCACAATGTGCAGGTTAGTTACATATGTATACATGTGCCATGCTGGTGTGCTGCACCCATTAACTCGTCATTTAGCATTAGGTGTATCTCCCAATGCTATCCCTCCCCCCTCCCCCCACCCCACAACAGTCCCCAGAGTGTGATGTTCCCCTTCCTGTGTCCATGTGTTCTCATTGTTCAATTCCAACCTATGTGTGAGAACATGCGGTGTTTGGTTTTTTGTCCTTGCGATAGTTTACTGAGAATGATGATTTCCAATTTCATCCATGTCCCTACAAAGGACATGAACTCATCATTTTTTATGGCTGCATAGCATTCCATGGTGTATATGTGCCACATTTTCTTAATCCAGTCTATCATTGTTGGACATTTGGGTTGGTTCCAAGTCTTTGCTATTGTGAATAGTGCCGCAATAAACATACGTGTGCACGTGTCTTTATAGCAGCATGATTTATAGTCCTTTGGGTATATACCCAACTTCCAAACTTTTAATGTTAGAGCTGAAACCAGAAGTCCTTATTATTTATTTGTACATTTATCATTTTTATATTTTCCCCTCCCCAAAGTATAAATTTCATGACCACAAATATTATTTGTCTTCAAATTAAACCTAAGTAGTAGCACAGTTTCTGGAATATGGTAGATAATTAATATTTTTGAATTAATAAAAATTTACTATTGCATTTTAAAAAAGCATTTCAGGAAGACAGTATATTCTCTATTGTTGTTATAACTTTGTAAAAAAATAAATATTTGGTCAAAATTACATTTATTGATTTAAAAAAACCCTAATTTCTTTCACTGCTGCCACAGTGATGATTCTTTTATATGTGTGTGCAGCAAACAATCTTGTAATTGGATATTATAAAGTAAAATGTAAAGCTTTAGAAAAAGGCATTATCTTATAAAAGTAACAATATTTGAAAATCAGCAATTAATATACAAGGAAATTAAAAATTAAATTGTTAATCTACTCCTTCAAAAATCAGAGTAAGCAACTATTATGGAAAAACCCCTCATGTTCTTTAATCATCTCTCATAGGATATTAAATGAAACAATTATAAAGGCTTTATTATAACAAATTATAAATGGTTTCAAAATGAACCAAAAAATGAAAGTTACAGGATTTTCCATATAAATCAAGGTCTTTTTATTTCTGAAGTAAATAGCTGGATCCACTCTAAATTTTAAACTATGTTTAATTCTACTTCACCGAACAATTATCTACTTTTGAGAGACAGTAAACCTCTATTTGTGGAATAAATTTTAAAGTGTATAATCCTAATTTCATACCTGATGTTCACTTCAGCTGACTGATTTACACAGATATTCTAATATCTTGAAGCTAAATTTTCTAAGTACAGTGAAATAAAATTCTACTCATCATTGGTGCCTTATGATGAACACTGCACTTCTACACTTTGCTTTCAATGTAAAAAAAAATCAAAAGATATTAAAGTGCTTCCTTTTATGACACAAATACAAAGAAAAATAAAGTACTATAAACTTCAATTACAAAATCAATTTTAAAAAGAAAACTCCCTTTTAATAAAGTTAAATACACATAACTACCTTGACATTTTTAAAATATATGGTTGTGATATTTTATAAGTCATCTCCATAAAGCCTATAGCTCTCAACAATCCTTTCATATCTCTGAAGAGTGCTGCAGGCAAGTATGCTCTGTGGGAGTCAAAAATGCCTTAATAGATATTATAATAGGTTATCTGAATATAATCTCAGTCAGGATGCTGACTCCAGTGTACCATTCTTTAGTACTTCAGTAAGGTACTGCACTAGAGGTATCAACATAACCTGGGAACTTGTTAGAAAGGTAAATGCTCTAGCCCCACTGAGACTTACTGGGTTAAAAATTCTGGTATGTGTTTTAATAAGCAAGCCCTCTATGCCTGTAATCCCAGCACTTTGGAAGGCCAAGGCGGGCAGACTGCCCAAGCCCAGGTGTTTGAGACCAACCTGGGCAACAAGGTAAAACCTCATCTCTACAAAAAATACATGGTGACACACATCTGTAGTCCCAGCTACTTGGGAGGCTGAGGTGGGAGGATCTCTTGAGCCTCATTGGGGCTGAGGCTGCAGTGAGCTGTGCTCATGCCTCAGCACTTCCAGGCTCGATGACAGAGTGAATAAATAAAATAAAATAAAAATAAGCAAGCCCTCCATGTGTCTCTGAAAAATGCTATCCTGTGAGAACCACTGCTCTAGACATCTGGCTTGCCCCATTAGCTGATTATCTCAACTAAAAGGATGAGAATCCTCCAACTTCAAAGCCAGCAACAGCAGGCCCCATCTTCTCATGCTTTAAGTCTGCCCCATACTCTCTCTCCCTGTTCTGTCTCTAGACACACCCTGGAAAGATTTTTCACTTTGGAGGACTCATGTTATCAGATGAGGCCTACCTAGATAGTCCAGAATAATCTCCCCATCTCAAGATATTTAACCTTAAGCATATCTACAAGATGTCTTTTGTCATGTGAGGTAACATATTCACAGGTTCTAGGGGTTAGAAGGTGAACATCTTTGGGCACAGAGGGCATTATTCTGCCTAATTAGGACTCTGAACCCTATAACCCAAGAACTGGGTTAGTTTTTCCAAGAGGATTTTATAAGCATGGGCTTCATAAAGTCAAATTTAGGAAAAACTGAAGTTTCCAATTATGCCTTGGTAACAAGGAATATAGATTCCTATTGAACCTATGCACATAATTACAAGGCTATGAGAATAAGAAAATGAGGGCTTTCAAAACCTGGAGAAGCCAAGCAGAGAATATAAGATATATTATGTTATTTCTCTTTACAAAAGCATGGTCTATTAGACTGTTATGAGTTATAGATATCTTAAGAGGAAAAATGTATTCCCTATATGTACAAAAAAGAGAACATTAAAACCCCAGCAATACTCCAAATAAAAACCAAGGTCATCCCTTGTCAACTCATTCATTTCATGTAATTAATTCTTTTTTGCTCTATTTTGAATTTAGTGGTCTCAGGAACCCATCTGCTTCTCAACTAGAAATCTGGAATTTGTGACTCAGTTTGAACGTAGAGTTTCAAATTTATTTAAATGATACCATCAGAAGCTGGTACCTAAAAATACCTGACATAGTCCTTTTCCACTGAACTCTGAGATAGTCCTTCTTTGTTTAAGACAAAGCACCATAGCTGGTAGCCGATGGCAATTGCTTTCAGGGAAACAGTGTAAAACAAAAGCTACTGGTAGATTACAAAAGACTTAAAATGGATGTTGTTAACTTATACCTGATAATTTTCAAAAGTGAAAGAACTGATAAGAGTTCATATGAAGACTAGTGCAACTTAAACAAAATCTGACTGTTCCTATTGCATGCAAAAATATATTAAAATCAATCCCAAATATTTTATTAAAAAATCTATATTTTTTATATATCTTCTTTTTTTTTTGAGACGGAGTCTCGCTCTGCCGCCCAGGCTGGAGTGCAGTGGCGCGATCTCGGCTCACTGCAAGCTCCACCTCCCGGGTTCACGCCATTCTCCTGCCTCAGCCTCCCGAGTAGCTGGGACTACAAGCGCCCACCGCTGCGCCCGGCTAATTTTTTTTTTGCATTTTTAGTAGAGACGGGGTTTCACCGTGTTAGCCAGGATGGTCTCGATCTCCTGACCTCGTGATCCGCCCGCCTTGGCCTCCCAAAGTGCTGGGATTACAGGCGTGAGCCACTACGCACGGGCTATTTTTTATATATCTATAAAAATAATGATAACTGTATTTTTAAAGAAAAGTATATATTACATCTAATTTATAAAAAAATGGATGAACAAAAAATTTTCAGGTATAATATTCCCAAGACATAATATGCCATGAATATACCATGCATATAGTTAGAATATACCAAGAATACATCAAGGATATCAGTTAACAAGATTCAGTGAGTCTAGAGTAAGTCCTAAATATCTGTATATTAATAAATCTAAACAGGTAAGTGACGTAAACTGGAGAATTGTGGAACACTGACCCAGAAGATGCAAAATTCAAATTAAAGAAGTAAAGTAGCATCCACGATAACATTAAAATAAACAGCTAAAATGACCAATAATATTATATTATTGATGTCTGATATCAGGTAATACATCCATCAGGAGTCCTATAAGTAGAAACATATCCTGGACAGCTAGAGTATTGACAAATATTTAGGCACTATTCATATAGCACAGTTTCTAAAATATTTATATTAGTAACATGTTACCCATAGAAATTTAACCTAAAGGATGTTAACCATGTCTTCTGATGTGATATTTCTTCCTATGCAACTCTTCAATAATAACATATCAAATAAACTTAATTATTTTCAGCATCTCCTTTTTGGTAAGATGAAAGCATACATATTTGTGATCTCTGGGGCATCTCAAAGATAGTTTCTGGTGTAAAGTGTATCCTGCAAGTTTTATATCATTTTACATTTAGAATTTAATTTCAGAAAAAAAGTAGGATGCAGGACGAAATAAAGTCATATGCCTAGGGAGAAAATCATATTAAATACTTGAAATTTATTTTCATTATTTATTTAACATTTAAAGAGAAATGTCGTATCTTTAGATTTACACTCTCTGTCTTCTGACATATCCTGATTAGAAAAAGTATTAAAAAATGAAATGAAACAAAACACTATAAATGCTCAGAAACCATAAGCACTTTGTGTCCACTTAAAGGTAAATAAGAAAATTAGTTAGGAACCATAAGTTTGACATCCACCTATAACTGAGTCACATGAAGAAAGTAAGATGGCAACCAGGAAATAAACTCTTTAGAGGAATAATCATATGTAGTCCAGGAGCAAAAATTATGATGATATTCAAGTGAAAAAAACAGGCTCAGAAGTTGCCTTTTGGCTCACAAATTTGTCTGTAGCGCTATGTCCCCAGTACTTAACATGGACTGTACTGTTTTATACTGGTAACAGATGGGGTTAATGAGGAGACCAAGTGCATGCCATCTCCTTCTTGACATAGTTAAGGATTCAGAAACATTGAAGCAGAGTTAAAAGCAACATACGTTGAGACCAATGGGACCTTTTTGGCCCTAATTCCCGACAGATGTGAAGCTGCTGGCAATGCTGTTCAAACATAAATGGGTCCAGCCAGATTTGAAAAGTTGGTAATTCATATCCCTAAGAAAGATTTCTTTCCCTCTGCAATACCACACTTGAATTTCAATCAATTAAATTGTGTTTCAATCATTCATTATAAAATCAATAACATTTTTAAGCATCTACCAACACTAGGCTGGGTACAAACAGTGATGATCAAAATAGATGTGTCTCCTGCCCTCATGACCCTTATATTTTGATGTTATCAGAAAGGAATAATAGTTGAGCACACATATTAGGTCCCATAGTGCTCAAAATAAATTTTGGAGGTGAGACTTGATGATTAAATGCTAATGGTTAGTGCATATTCAGTAGGAGTCATAGTTCTTTAAGACAATATCACAGATAGTCTTCATATTTTATTCTTAATGAGAATCGAGAAAATATTGCTGGCTAAAATGGTAACATGAACAAAGAAAAGAGCAACTGGCTGAAAAAAATCTTACATTGCTTTATTCTTTAAAAATATTTCGCATATCCACATAATGTAATTTCTAGAAATCACTGTAATTTAGTTCTTATTTTTCATCTTTTCTATCTAGGATAGGTGAGATATAAAAAGGTAATTGATGTGTTCAAGTTTAGTTAAGCTAAAAACTGCCTGAACTAGGACTAAACTATACATTTTCTTATTTTTAGTCCAGTGCTTTTATACCATAATGTTGTATAAATTACCACTCAGATACCACTTTCTGAAGCAAACAGTCACAGTAGATGCTATGCATAGTTTGTATGACAGAAATCAGATCTGGTAATAAGAATACTAATTCATAATTTTTCAAAATACATGCTAAATTAGTTTAAAGAAATGGATGGTTGCTTTTTTCCCCAAATTGTCAACAATATTGTACTTTTACCTCTTTACATTGAACATTTGCTGTAATAAATATTTTGAAATTTTTCAACATATTTAAATTATTATTATTTTCTTTTTTTCTTAAAAAAATAAGAGACGAGGCCTCACTATGTTGCCCACTCTGGTCTGGAACTCCTGGGCTCAAGTGATCCTCCTGTCTCAGTCTCCAAAGTGCTGGGATTTCAGGCATAGGTCATGATGCCCAGCCTCAAATTATGTAGCTGAAAGCTATATAAGATCTTATCTACATTTTTCTATTAAATAAGCACTTATTCACTAGGATAATGTAAGAAGGAATATATTTAAAGATGAGAAATAATCATAATTATAGAATATAGGAAAATTAGACTGTTATTATATAGAGTATCCTACACTGTTTAGTTTCTAATTCCTGTATTTAAGAAAAAAGGAACAGATAACATTATCTAATAAAAAATAAATGTATAAATAGGCAATATTGACACAAATTATAGTGTTATACAATAAATGGTAGAATTAATCAATTTTCCCTTTTTCATACTTATAGGTATGTACATTTAAGTATTCATATTTCCACTTATAGATCATCCATATATAATACCAGTAATTGAAAGCAAAATATATTCACTCTTTTCCTCTACTGAAAGGTGTGTAATGTTTTTATATATACCAGTAGCTAGTGAGTAGATAATGAAAATAAAAGAGAGGAGGTGAAAGCAAGAAAGGAAGGAAGGAGGAAGAGAAGAAGGGAGGAAGGGAGGAAGGGAAGAAGGGAGGGAGGAAGGGAAGAAGGGAGGGAGTGAGGAAGGCAGGAAGGTGAATGGGCAAGCATCACATTAACTTTAATTGTGAATTGGACTTATGGCCTTTTAAGTTTGAATTCTTTGATACTAAGTTACTAGTGTTTAGAATGTGCAAATGCAGAAAGCAGCAGAAATGTAGGGTTATTATTACATAATTGACATTCACAGCCCTATATTACTAAAATCCTTATATAAAGAGAGCCTGTACGTAACTAGTACATGTACAAAGCAAGAAGTAGTAGCTAATTTTTGTCCACTTTTATTATCAAGCTAATGGAGTACTTTATTGAAGCATTAACTAACATTTTTACTGCTGTATATTTATAATGTAATCTTAGAGCTTATAATTTATGTTTATAGAGTACCTTTTTATCATATGGACAGGTCCATTAGTAGATAAACATTTAGAGTTCTATTTTATAGATGAAATGAAGGTTTGGGTAGCTAAATGATTTTCTAAAGGCCGCTCAACTAATAAGCGGTAAACTCCAGACTTAACCATGTCTTATGAATTTAAAGGCTGTGTACTTTCCACTGCTAAACAATCCCTCTTGTAATGAGTTTTATTATCTAGTGGTCATAATCAAGGCACATGCTCATTAACAGCCATATGAATAGAAGTCAGAGCAACCAGATGACCATTGAATTAGCTCCTTTTCCTTTCATGCTAAAGATAATAACTTGAGCATGCTTAGAAAATTTAAACTTTCATCTTATTCTAGATATCAAAACACTACCTACTGGATAAATAGCTCTGTTTCCTCTGTAAAATTTTGCTTCTCATCTCAATTAGAATTCAAATTTCGTGCTACGGTGCATAAGGAGTTTATGTCCCCTTAAAATTCGTGTGTTGAAATTCTTAACTCCAAAGTTATATATAAGAAGGTGGAGCCTTTATAAAATGATTAGGTCATGGGGGCATTCGTCTCCCAAAGGGGATTAGCGCCCTTATAAAAGACATCCAAGAGAATCTCCTGGTCCCTCTGCCATGTGAGGTGGCAGTAAAAGAGGGTGATTTATGAGAAAGCAGGCCCTCACCAGATGTCAAATCTATTGGTGCCTTTATCTTTGACTTCAAGTCTTCCAGAACTGTGAGGAATAAATTTTATTTATTTATTTTTTTATTTTTTGAGATGGAGTCTCGCTCTGTTGCCTTGGCTGGAGTGCAGCAACAGGATCTTGGCTCACTGCAAGCTCCGCCTCCCGGGTTCACGCCATTCTCCTGCCTCAGCCTCCCCGGTAGCTGGGACCACAGGCGCCCGCCACCACGCCCAGCTAGTTTTTTGTATTTTTAGTAGAGATGGGGTTTCACCGTGTTAGCCAAGATGGTCTCGATCTCCTGACCTCGTGATCCGCCCGCCTCGCACTCCCAAAGTGCTGGGATTACAGGCGTGAGCCACCGCGCCGGGCCTAATTTTTTTTTTATAAGCTCCTAGTCTATAGCATTTTGTTATAGCAACTCAAACAGACTAAGATACCTAATGAGGAGAAGAAGCACTCACCATTTATTTATCTCATTGAAAATTTCTATTTTTTGCAGAGAGGAAAAACTCAAAGTGGAACGTTCCCTGAAATGACCCTCAGATTACAATAAGACATGATGTGCCACAGATGCCTGGCAAAGGTCGCTTAGACCCATTTGTTTTCACAAAGTGTGCCTTCTGATCTTAGGTCTGTACTACTTTATCACAAATTATGCTCCACTCCTGGTAGAATGAGTTTCTTTCCAGGTGTCCTAAATCCCTAACCCATTCTTGAAAATGGTTACTTTTTCTCCCAGGGCTAAATAAATACTTAACCTGAATGTAAAATGCTTTGTCACAAATAAATAAAAAATAACCCTCTTACTGAGGTCCTCAAGTTCTCTTCTGCATGTACCCACTGGGCCATCAATTTCCCAATGATCTAAACCACTTTGTAATTCAAATTGTTATATTTTCTCCCTTCCCCAAGCGTTCTCAGGTTATGTAAGTCTCAGAAACTTGTGAATATTTATTAGAGAAATCTTATTGGAGTTAACTAGAGTAATTTCTTCTAGGCCATTCCTTGATGCCTGCCACAACTGTGAGAAAAAAATATTTCCAAATTTAAACATTTATTTATCTTTATAGCCAACACTTCAGAAGAAGCCTTGAAAAATTATTGAGATTATATCAGATATAGACATTGGCATCAGTTTATGGATCTTTTTTCTTATTAATTCAATCTTTTTATTGACTACATACAATATGCTAAGTAAGATATTGAGATATAATGCTGTGAAAAATAAAACATGGCTCATTTATTCATGGATTTTAGGGTCTACTGTGATTGACAGTCAACCAATTACACAAATAAAAATAACCAAGCATTATAATTGCTATGAAATAATGGTCTAAGAAAAGATTAGCACATAAAACAGGAGAACTCCCCAAAGAATTTTCCTTAAGGATGTGATATTGAGTTGAGCTTTGAAGAGTAAGATTAAAAGAATGATAAAAATGCTTTGGGTAGAGAAAACAATGTAGACAAGGGCCCTCTGACTGAAAAAATATGACACATTCAAAAGAATAAAAAGAGTCTGCATGACTGGCACAGAGAAGGAGAACATGATGTATGCTGTGATAAACTTTTGACAGCCCTTCTCAATTCGGTTTCTCTGTTGCCTATCATATCTGCTTTTTGTAGCTTTTCTTTTCTATCCTTTTTATTTTCTTTCTTCTTTTTCTACTATCCCAGTCCTTTTCGTCTTTTTATTTTCCCTACAAAATGGTGAATGCTTATAACCCATCATCAGATAATAAGTAAATTTACTAGGCTTTCAAGATATGTGCTAACAAGTAAAAACTATATATAAAATAAAGCAGTTTCACATACTTTCTTTTGTTTTTGTATTAAGTACTGCAACATTTTAACCAACATACATATTTAGGCTATTACAAACTCTTTTAAAATTATGATTCTGAAAATGTAACAAGAACCTTTTATGTAGTAATTTTTCATAGTCCATAATTAGTACATATGCATTGAGTATAGACTAAATGGATTAGAAAATTAAAAATAGCTAGATAGTCATGTTTTTACCCCATGCTTCTCACTGAAATCAATTAGGAAGACAGAGAGAGTTAATATGTGAATAAGTGTCACATAGAAAATATTTTGATACCAATGATTGGAAAATAACAAAACTCGACATATAAATGCATTACAGATCTCAGGTACAGTGCAGAATTGTCTAAAAGAAATCAGCATGTCCCTAATCCATTCAAACAACAAAATCGTTTTGAAAATATAAGTTCTAGATGTTCAGGCTTGCTGCAGAAGAAAGTTGAGTGATTCTCACAGATTTCTCTTTTTATACTGCATTATAGCTAGGAAGGAAGTATAAAGTGGGATATATGCTTCTTAGCTTTTTGATACCTAGTTGTATAAACTAGAAATGTGGATGGAAATGTAATGGACAGGAAATAAAAGGTTGAGCAGAAAGCAGCTCTGTAGCCACTAACTCAAGTCTGTCGAGCCTAAAATAAAGTTCTACTCAAAAAAACTATGAGAGCAATGAAAACTACTTACACACGTAAAAATGGGGCATCAAATACCTAGGGGCAAATAGGGCACCCAGGGAAAAGGACCCAATAGATGAAGAGAGAAAGTATCTTATAAAGTATAAACCTAATCAAAACTTTCAGATGATTCACACCATTTTCCCCAGCTTTTCCCAACAACTTGTGATATAAAAATAGACAAAATTTTAAAAAGTTGTCAGTGGTATGAGCAACATAGCAGGTTAGATGTTCGATTTCCTATTCAATATATTGATGTGTGCACATAAAACAACAGTTAACAACAATCACACATTCACACACAAAAGAAATGTTTCTTTCTCAGGAAAAAAACACACTTGCACCTACGACCTGCTTAAAGGAAATCCTAAAATTCTCTCTGCCAGCAGCTACGATAGAGAACTTTGGAATTATTAAGAAGTGGTAATGACAGTGACAGAATAGAATGGGGAAAGACAATGAGGCACTGAATAGTAGATGTCTGAAATCAAAAGGAAACATGGGTTTGAGCCTTGTGTGGCATTTGCACAGCATCTAAGCACATATGAAGGTGTAGAAAGAAGGTATAAAATTAGCCCAGTAACACAAAGGCAACAGATCACAGGAAGTATGAGGACTAAATGTCTTCTAAAAGAGAGAGGGGCCAGCTGTGGTGACTCATGCCTATAATCCTTACACTTTTTGAGAGGCTGTGGAGGGAGGATTGCTTGAGCCCAGAGTTCAAGACCAGCCTGGGCAACATGGCAAAACCACATGTCTTTAAAAAAATGCAAAATTAATTATGTGTGCTGGCATGCACCTGTAGTCTCAGCTACTCAGGAGCCTGAGGTGGGAGGACCACTTGAGCCCTGGGAGGTTAAGGCTTCAGTGAGCAGTGATTACACCATTGTAGTCCAGCCTGGGTGACAGAGTGTATTAGTCTGTTCTTGCATTGCTATAAAGACATACCTGAGCCTGGATAATTTATAAAGAAATGAGGTTTAATTGGCTCATAGTTCCACAAGCTGTACAGGAAACATGACTGGAGAGACCTAAGGAAGCTTTCAATCATGGCAGAAGGCAAAGGGGGAGTGAGCATTTCACATGGCTGAAGCAGGGGGAAGGGAGGGAGTGGGGAGGTGCCACACACCTTTAAACAACGGGATGTCATGAGAACTCTTATCACTAGCACAGCACCGAAGGGATGGTGCTACACTGTTCATAGAAGATCCACCCCCATGATCAAATCACCTCCTACCAGACCCCACCTCCAACATTGGGGATTACAATTAAACATAAGATTTGGGTGGGGACACCCATATCACAGAATGATACTCTGTCTCAATAAATAAATAAATAAATAAATAAATAAATAAATAAATAAATAAATAAGCAAGAGATCTTACAAGGCAGGGGCTAGGAATTTTGGTGACAGCAGTCAGTGGAGGAACTAGAGAGTACTGGAAGCTCCCTGGAACATAACTGGGTTCAGACAGTCAAGCTTGGCTGTCTAGATGAACCATATTTAAAGAGAATAGTAGCCTCCACAAAGTTTCTGGGAGAGATTTACTTGCCTTCTCCCCTTATGCAAAAAGAAGCTGGTACAGGAAAATTGAACTTAGAAGCAGATAATACCAGTGAGTAAACTGTTAAGTGAGAAATAGGCAAAACTGTGTTTCTTAGAAAAATAAAACCTTCACAAAAATAAAGATAAATTTTTAAAGAACACAGGATATATAGACCTGGTAAATAGCAATATAGGGAACATAAAGGATAGAAATACTAAATTAGTAAACTGAAACAAAAATACAGATTAAAAACTACTGGTAAGAAATAAAACACCTCCTTTCATCATGATAACTGCATATATTTGTTTACAATCTTATGGAAATAAAAACATAAAAAATCAATGTATTTGCTCAATGTTTCCAGAGTCATCTTCAAAAAGACAACCTCTTGTTTTATGTATCAGGATCTAATCATGCAGCTCAGTGGCCTGCATCTACGCCTTCACTGCTTGAGAGTGAATTTTGCCCATAACTGTAACCAAAGGCCAAATTGGAGCACAAGTCAATCCATCATCTGTTTAAATTTTTTTCACTCATGATGACATTAATATTACTAGGTAGATAACATCTAACTCCTCTAAGACACCCATACTAATTCCCCTTCCTTCTAATAAAACATTTTTCTGATTTCTCTAAATTTTTTATTATATTCACATTTTAGGGAGAAAGGCAGAAATAGACTCCAACATAAATTGGAAAACCGTTGCTTGTCTCCCAAAAAGTGTGCACTAGGCCAGATGTCTGTGAGTCCTGTCTCTCCTTTGTGTTCCTTATCAATTGTATTACACAATTTTAGAGTCTTTGTTGTTAACCAGTCTACTTTCAACGCTCTCTAATTTGTTCCAGCACCCACTCCAGTGTTCATGTAATCTGATTAACATCCAGAAACTTACACTGTCTATTTGTAGTTGTAACACCAAGATAGAATTCACTAAATATGTGGTTTTTAATAATTTCTGGGCTCACAAATGCTTTTGAGAGTGTAACAAAAGTATGAACTAACTCTCCTGAGTAGATTGTATAGGTTTTTTTCTGGACACCAGATTGAGAGATCTTTCTACAAGCAGACCTCCACATTTGATTGTACCTACTTTGAACACTAGTGTTTTGGCAGCTTCAGATATCTCTATATATCATTATCTGAAATAGACTTTTATGCAAATTTTATAAGATTGGCAGGATTTTAAAATTGATTTTAATTAGACACATAATAATTGTACATGTTTACGAGGTACAATGTAATTTTAAAAATCTGAATACAATTTGTAATAAATTAAGGTAATTAGCATATCTATTATTTCAGGCATTTGTCATTTTTTGTGGTAAGAAGGTTCAAAATCATTTGTTCCAGTTATTTTGAAATATACAGTATAGTATTGTTAACTATGGTCAACCTACTGTGCAATGCAACACTGGAACTTATCCTATCTAACTAGAACTCTATAATTGTGTATACTTTGACCACCTTTGTACTTCTTCCCTTCATGCCTAACCTTCCCAGCCTCTGGTAACCATTATTTTTCTCTCTGTTTCTATCCGATCAACTTTTTAAGATTCCATATATGAGCGAGAACACACAATATTTGTCTTTCTGTTCCTGGTTTATTTAACTTGACATAATGTCCTCCAGGTTCATCCATGTTACTACAAATGGTAGAATTTTATTCTTTTTTGTGGACAAATGATATTCTGTTGTGAAAATACACCATTTTTTTTCTCCATTCACCCATCAGTGGATACTTCATTTGATTCCATATCTTGGTTATTGCAAATAATGCTGCAATAAACACAGAAGTGCAGATATCTATCTGACATATTGATTTCATTTCCTTTGGATATATACCCAGTAGTGGGATTGCTGAATTGTATTATAGTTCTATTTTTAATTTTTGAGGAACCATCATATTGTTTTCAAAAGTGGCTGTACTCACTTGTATTCCGAGAAACAGTGTATAAGAGTTACCCTTTTTCCACATCTCCAACAGTATTTATTACTTTTTGCCTTTTATATAGTAGCCATTCCAATTAGGGTGTGATGCTATCTCAATGTGGTTTTGACTTGCATTTCCCTGATTAGTGATGTTGAGCATTTTTTTAATATACGTGTTTGCCATTTGTATGTCTTCTTTTAAAAAGTGTCTATTCAGACCTTTTGTCAATTTTTAATCAAATTATGTGTGGGGTTTTTTTGCTATTGAGTTGTATAAGTTATTCACATATTTTAGATATTAACTCCTTGTCAGATGAATAGTTTGAAAATATTTTCTGCCATTATGTAGATTGTAGTTTCACTCCATTTATTGTTTCCTTT
This sequence comes from Homo sapiens, assembly GCF_000001405.40. Classification (NCBI taxonomy): domain Eukaryota; kingdom Metazoa; phylum Chordata; class Mammalia; order Primates; family Hominidae; genus Homo; species Homo sapiens. Next base: position 185,935,919 of record NC_000002.12, read on the forward strand.
GCTGTGGATAAGCTTTTTAGTTTGATATAATCTCATTTATCTGTTTTTGCTATGGTTACTTGTGCTTTTGAGGCCTTATCCAACAAAAATCTTTATCCAGACCTACATCATGATGCATTACCCCTATATTTTCTTCCAGTACTTTCATAGTTTTGGGTCTTAATTTTAACTCTTGAATACATTTCAAGTTAACTTTTAAGTAGTGAGGGGTAGGAGTCTAGTCTCATTTTTCTGTATGTGGTTATCAAGTTTTTCCAACACCGCTTATTCCCTTTACTGGTACATAATATTCTTACATATTTATAGGATACATACGTTTTATATGAATAGAATGTGTAATGATCAAGTCAGGGTATTTGAGGTTATCCATCACCTTGAGCATTTAGCAATTCTGTGTTGGTAACATTTTAAGTTCTTCTTGCTACATTGAAGTATACAATGCATTGTTGCTAACTACAGTCAATTCATTTCGCTACTGAACATGAGAGCTTACTTCTAAATTACTGTAAATTTATACCCATTCACCAACCTCTCTTCCTCTCTCCCTCCCATCTGCACACCCTTCCTAGTCTATAGTATCTATCATTCTATTCACTGTCTTCATGGGACCAAGTTTTTTAGCTCCCAAATGTGAGTGAGAACCTGTGGAATTTTTTTGTGCCTGGATTGTTTCACCTAACATAATAACCTCCAATTGGCATCCATTTTGTTGTAAATGACATGATTTCATTCTTTTTATTGTTGAATAGTATTCTTTTGTGTGTGTGTATATATATATATATATATATATATATATATATACACACATATACACAAAAACTTCTATATATAAAGTTCTATATATAAAAAAATTCTATTTTTACTTTTTTGGGAAATCTCTATGCCGTTTTTCATTTCCATTTCCATTTTTCATAGTGGTTGTATTGACTTACATTCCCATCAACAATGTACAAGGGTTCCCCTTTCTCCACATCCTTGTCCACATCTGTTTATTTTTGTATTTTTAATAATAGTTCAGCAAGTTAATACTAGTTAAATAAGTTAAAGACAATAATAATTTTTGTCTTTTTATTTCTACCTGGAATAAATTGATATCTCATTATGGTTTTGATTTGCATTTCTCTGATGCTTTGATATTGATCATTTTTTCATATACCGTTAAATATTTGTAATCCTCTTTTGAAAATTATCTATTCATTTTTTTGCCCACTTTTTAATGCAATTGTTTGCTTCTATACTGTCGAGTTGTTTGAGTTTCTTGTATATTCTGGATGTTAGTCTTTTGTCAGGATGAATAGTTTGCAGATATTTTCTCCTATTCAACAGGTTGCCTCTTCGCTCTGTTGGTTGTTTCATCTGCTATGTAGAAGCCTTTTAGTTTAATATAGAACTGTTTGTTTACTTTTGTTTTAGTTGTCTGTGCTTTTGAGGTCTTAACCATAAAATCGTTGCCCAGACCATCAGTTTTATTCTTCCGCATATGGATATCCAATGTTCCCAGCACCACTTGTTGGAGAAATGTGCTTTCCCCAGTGTATGTTCTTGGTGCCTTGCTGAAAAACAATTAACTATAACTATGTGGATTTATTCCTGGGTACTCTATTCTGTTCCCTCGGTCTGTGTTTCTATTTTCATACCAATACCATGCTGTTCTGGTTACTATAGCCTTGATATAGATAGATAGATAGATAGATAGATAGATAGATAGATAGATAGATAGATAGATAGATAGATATAGATATAGATATATATGTGTGTGTGTGTGTGTGTGCGCACTTGTGTGTGTGCTTGTGTGTGTTTGAGACAGGATCTCACTCTATCACAGAGGCTAGAGTACAGTGGCACAGTCTCAGCTCACTGTATCCTGGAGCTCCCAGGCTCAAGTGATCCACTTCAGCTTCTCAAGTAGCTGGGACTAAATGTGCATGCCACCACAAATGGCTAATTATTTTAAATTTTTTTGTAAAGAAGAGTTCCTACCATATTGCTTGATCACAAGCTCCCGGGCTCAAGCAATCCTGCCACTTCGGCCTCTCAAAGTGATAGGATTACAGGCATGGGCCACCATGCCCAGACCCTTGTAATATATATTGAAGTCAAGTAGTGTGATGCCTCCAGCTTTGTTCACTTTGCTTAGGATTAGATTGACTATTCTGACTCTTTTTTGGTTTCATATGAATTTTATGGTTTTTCTATTTTTGTGAAAAATAACACTGAAACTATGTAGAGATTTCATTCTATATATATTTATATTGCTTTCGGTAGTATGGTCATTATAATGATATTAATTCTTCTGATCTATGAGCATGAGATTTTTTTTCATTTGTTTGTGTCCTCTCCAATTTCTTTCATCAATGTTTTGTGGTTTTTCTTGTAGTGAGCTTTTACTCCCTTGGTTAAATGATTTCCTAAGTGTTTTTCTGTAGCTATTGTAAATTGAATTCCTTCTTAATTTCTTTATTGATACATAGAAATGTTATTGATTTTTGTATGTTGATTTCATATTCTGAAATTTTACCAAATTTGCTTATCAGCTCTAAGAGATTTTGGTGGGATCCTTTTCTAAATTTCAAATCATGTCATCTACAAAAGGGCACAATTCGACTTTCCTCTTTCCAATTTGGTTGTCTTTTATTTTTTTTCTTGCATGATTATTCTGGATAGGACTTCCAGTACTATGTTGAACAGGAGTGGTGAAAGTAGGCACCTTGTCTTGTTCCAGTTCTTAGAAGAAAAGCTTTCAACTTCTCCCCATTCAGTATAATGCTGTTTGGTTTGTCATATATGGCTTTTAATATGTTGACTATGATTAGTTTGTGGAGAGTATTTATCATGAAGGGACGTTAAATTTTATCTTTTTTCTGCATCTGTTGAGATAATCATATGGTGTTTGACCTTATTTTATTTATGTGATGTATCATGTTTATTGATTTGCATATGGTAAACCATTCTTGCATCCCTGGGATAAGTGCCACTTTATCATGGTGTACAGTCTTTTTGATGCGCTGCTAAATTCAGATTGCTAGTATTTCATTGAGAATTTTTGCATCTATGTGTATCAGGGATAGTCACCTGTAGTTTTTGTTGTTGTCATTGTTGCGTGCTTATCTGCTTTTGTTATTAAGGTTATGCTAGACTTGTAGAATGAGTTAGGAAGTATTTCCTCCTCTTCAATTTTATTGGAATAGTTTGCAGAAGATTTGTAATGGTTCTTTCTTATATATTTTGTAGGATTATGCAGTGAATTCATCAGATCCTACACTTTTCTTTGTTGGGAGACTTTTTTTTACAGATTCAGTCTTGTTACTTATTATTGGTATGTTTATGTTTCCTATTTCTTTTTCATTCAATCTTGGTAGGTTGTACATTTCCAGAAATTATTGCCTCTGGATTTTCAGTTTGTTAGCATATAGTTTTTCATATAGCATATAGCCTCTGATTCATAGCCTCATACCTACATTTAGTCTCTGATAATCTTTTGTAATTCTGTGGTATCAGTTGTAACGTCTTTTTAAAGTCTGATTTTGCTTATTTGGGTGCTCTCTCTTCTTTTCTTTGTTAATCTAGGAGGGAATTTATCAGTTTTGCTTATATTTTCAAAGAACCAACTTCTCATTTCCTTGATGCTTTGTACTGTTTTCTAGTCTATATTTCATTTAGGTCTGTTCTGATCTTTACAGTTTCTTTCCTTTTGATAATTTTAGGTTTTATGTATTCTCACTCTTCTAGTTCTTTTAGGGACATCATAAAATTGTTTATTTGAAATACTTCTACTTTTTTTGCTGTAGGTATTTGTTGCTATAAACTTCCACTTTAGTATTGCTTTTGTTGTATTCTACAGGTTTTGATCTGTTATGGTTTAATCTCATTTGTGTCAAGACTTATTTTTTTCCAAATTTTTATCTTAATTTCTCCATTGACCCAATGGTCATTCAGGAACACATTGTTTAATTTCTATGTATTTGTAAAGTTTTTGTGAGTTATTATTAGTATTTATTTCCAGTTCATCTTATTGTGGTTTGAGAAAATACTTAAGATACTTGATATGATTTTGATTTCTAACAATTTGTTGAGACTTGTTTTGTGGCCTAATATATGGTTTATCCTTGAGAATGTTCCATGTGCTGACAAGAAGAATGTGTATTCTGCAGCTGCTGAATATAATGCTCTATACATTTCTGTTAGGTTCACTTGGTCTAAAGTCCAGTTTAAATCCAATGTTTCTGTGTTTTGTATCTAGGTGATCTGTCTAGTGCTATGAGTGGGGTATTGAAATCCCCCATTATTATTGTATTGGAATCTCTCTATCTTTAAATTTAATAATATTTGCTTTATGAATCTCCATGCTCCATGTTGAGTGCATATACATCATATATATTTAGAATTCTCATATCCTCTTGCTAGATTAATCCCTTTAACATTATATAACAACCTTCTTTGTCTTTTTTTTTAACTGTTTTTGGATTAAATATGTTTTATCAGATATAAGCATCTCTACTTATGCTCATTTGTGTTTTCTGCTTGTGTGGAATATCTTTTTACATCCCTTTACTTTCTTTCTTTCTTTTTTTTTTTTTTTTTTTTTTTTTTTGAGACAGAGTCTCGCTTTGTCACCCAGGCTGAAGTGGAGTGGTGCGATCTCGGCTCACTGCAATTTCCGCCTCCTGGGTTCATGCCATTCTCCTGCCTCAGCCTCCCAAGTAGCTGGGACTACAGGCACCCACCACCATGCCTGACTAATTTTTTGCATTTTCTTTAGTAGAGACGGGGTTTCACCGTTAGCCAGGATGGTCTCGATCTCCTGACCTCCTGATCCACCCGCCTCGGCCTCCCAAAGTGCTGGGATTACAGGCATGAGCCACCGTGCCTGGCCTACATTCCTTTACTTTCAATCTATATGTATCTTTACGGGTAAAGTGCATTTCTTGTATGCAGCATATACTTGAATCATGTTTTTAAATTCATTCAGTCTCTATCTTTTAAATGGAGAATTTAATCCATGTACATTCAAAGTTATTACTGATATTATTGATATAACAGGTTTTGTTCCTGTCATATTGTTAATTGTTTTTTGGTTGTTTGGTGTATTCTTTGTTCCTTTTTCTGCCATTGTTTGTCATTGTGCTTTGGTAGTTTTCTCTGTAGTACCATTTGAATCCTCTCTTTCTCCTTTGTGTGTATGCTTTACCATTGAGTTTTATACCTTTGTGTGGTTTCATGATCATATTGCCGTCCTTTCACTTCTGGGTTTCTTGAGTATTTCTCATAGGACTGACCTAGTGTTGATGAATTCTCTCAGCTTTTGCATGTCTGGGAAAGAATTTATTTCTTTATTTATGAAGGCTAATTTTGATGCCTTCAAAAACCTGGGCTAGCAGGTTTTTATTTTCTTTCAGCACTTTGAATGTATTATTCCATTTCTACTGGCCTGTAAGATTTCTGCTGAGTAATTTTCCATTAGTCTAATGCAAGTTTCTTTATAGACATTATACTGTTCCAGTTTTTAAAATTCTCCCTTTGCCTTAGACTTTAGACAGTTTGACTGTAATGTGCCATGGAGAAGACCTTTTTGCATTATATCTGCTTGGTGATCTCAGAGCCTTCTGTATCTTGATGTCTAAATATTTGGCTCGACTTAGGAAGTTTCCACCTATTATTTGTTAAATGGGTTTTCTAAACTTTTCCTTTTCTTTTTGCTCTTTGGAACTGCAATAGTGCAAAAATTTGGTTGCTTTATGGTGTCCCATATATTACAAAGGCTTTATTCATTTTTTAAATTCTTTTATATTTGTCTGTCTTCAAGTTATGAGATTCTTAATTCTACTTGGTCTAGTCTATTCGTGAAGCCTTTAAATGTATTTATTTGCATTTATTCAATAAATTCTTTAGTTCCAGAAATTTTGTTTGGTTCTTTTTCTATGATATCTATCTTATTAATTTATTATTATATCCTGAATTGTTTTTTCAATTTATTTGAATTGCTTTTCAAAATTCTCTTGAATCTCCCTGAACTTCTTTAGAATCAATACTTTAAATTACTTTTCCCAGAATGTGTTAATTTCTTTTTGATTGGGATCTATTGCTGGATAATTATTGTATCCCTTAGGATGTGTCATATTTTCTTGCTTTTTTGTATTTCCTGTGTCCTTGCATTAATATCTGTACATCTGGTGTGTCAGTCACTTCTTCCAATATTTTGAATTTGTTTTCATAAAAGCTGTTGAGAAACTGTGAGAGAGATTTTGATAATATTAAGACCAGGGAAGCAGGAATATTTCTTCTTCTCCTTCACCAAACACAATAAAGAACTTTGGTCTTTCTCAATTTGAAGAAGCTTCTAGCCACTTCTCTACATAGACAGAAAGAGATCACCTTGTAGAAATATATCTTTGGTTTTTTGAGACTTTAGAGAAACTCAGTTTATACAAATTAAATATAGTAATAAACACTTTTAGAGAAAAAATTGTTTCAACATGGCATGACTGCACTATACCTTGTTTTTAATATTCAGAGATCTGGAAAGTATGGACCAATTTATTTAACTAGAGGTCTCTTTGGTGGTAGAGACCCAACTTTCTCTTCCTAAAGTTCAAAATTCTGGAAATTTGTCAGCTGAATCTGCGTATCCCTGATCAAGGGACATTACAAGCTAAATGATATTAATTGGCTGACCATGAGAGGAGAGTCAGGATCGATTACCTGAGCCTAACAAAAGGACACAAAGTTTCTTCCACAATTGATATTTCACGAAAATGACATGTGGACCTTGGAGTTTTGGGTTAGGGAATTAATAATGGTGTAAGTAGCAATCTCTATTATCCACTATTGGTTCCACTTCTCTGATTGAACCCTAAGTGACATGTAATTCAGCATTGGGAATGATTCCAGAAAAAGACTCTTAAGGATGAGTTCTCTAAATTGATTCTATGATTTATGAGATGATGTCTTAGTCCACTTTGTGCTAATGTAACAAAAAATATCATAAATTGGGTAGTTTATAAAGAAAAGAAATTGCTTTCTCACAGTTCTGGATCCTGAAAAGTCCGAGACAAAGGTGCTGACAGGTTCAGTTATTTGGTGAGGGCTTTACTCTCTGGATGGGGGGACACTGTGTCCTCACGTGGAAAGTGGAAGGGCAAGAGACTGAACACCGTGTGAAGCTTCTTTAGTAGAGGCTTTAATCACATATGTGAGGGAGGAGCTCTTACGGCTCAATTACCTCTTAAAGGTTCCACCTCAATACTATCTCACTAGCAACACATTAATTTTGGAGGGGACATATTCAAACCATAGAACATGAGTTCTCTAATCTGATTTGATATAAAAACATTGACTTTGCTTCCAATGGTAAAGAAAGCACTGAAAGTACATGGCATGCAGTGGCAAAACAGTTACTCAAATTATCATGCTAAGATGCTTCTAATATAGGCAAGGCTCTGGGTGATGATGCATTTGCCCTGACAGAATATTACAGTTAAAATAAGAGAATTATATGGTTGTTTGTTTAGTTGCATCTAACTGCACTGGAATGCTTAAGGAAAGACAATGATAAGCTTGTTACTTAAAATTCCTAGCTCAAGGCCTTACATAAGAGACATGAAAGCCTTTATGAATGACCTGGAGAAAAAGAGCTCTCTTCCTGAAGCCACAGGACCAATATTTCTAAAAATTAAAGTTTAATCTTTTGGGTGGCTGACCACAAGCACGATGAACTCTTAAACATGTTAGGCTCTCTTTTATTAAAGTTAGGACATTGATTAGGAAGAAATGAGATTCTAACAATTAGAATGGAAACAAATTCCAATGAATATTGGAAATGCGAAGCAGGCTGAGAGGACTGCTCAGCTGTGAATATGTGCCACATTTCATACAAAAGTAAACATGACTTAAAAGAGCCTAAAAGGTAGATTTCAGAGCCATGGAGATTTATTCCCAGGCCTTGAAACTATTTAAGAAACTCTCAACAGTAGTCCACTTGAATTTCAGGAATTCTACAGACCAGTGACTCACTTGAGCTTCCTAGTTTTAGGGTTTTTAATAGGAGTGTCTATAGTGGTTATCCTGTGTCTATCCCACCATTGTATGGCAGGTGTGTGGCAGGGAAACAGATAGTTTATATCTTCAATTTCACAGGTCAAGATAAACTGTGTTCAAATAGTTGTACTTAAGACATTACACCTGAGAAGCCTTATCAACACCTGGACCTCATTTAAAGAATAAGATTTTGGAGTTTGTGCTGATGCTATAGTAAAATGAGACTTTGAGTGGCCTTGGAAATGAGACAGTGTATCTCAAATGTCAGAGGGGTGTGAATCATTGGGAGTTACAGGGGACCCTGTAGAAGGCAGCCTCTGAGATGAACCCCAATCATCTCTACCTCTTGCTATCCAGGCCTGTATATAATTACCTTGTCTTGTGTGTGGGCTGGATTCAGTGACTCATTTCCAATGAAAATGATAAGTGTTAGTAAAGATGTAAAGAAATTGTAATTCTTTAGACACTATTAGGTGTAATGTAAACTGGTTTAGATAACATAGAAAATGGTATAGATATTTTCCAAAAAAAATTAAAAATAGAACTACCTTGTGATCCCAAAATTCTACTTCTGATTGTATATATATGAAATAATTGAAATCAGAATCTTGGAGAGATATCTGTACCCCCTTGTTAACTGCAGCATCATTCACAATAGCCAAGATATGGAAACAATTCAAATATCCATTGAAAGATAAATAAAGAAAATGTTGTATACATACAGTGGAATATTATTCAGCCTTAAAAAAGTAAATTCTATTTGAGACAACATGAATGGACCTAGAGGATATACCACTAAGTTAAATAAGCCAGTCATAGAAGGGCAAATGCTGCATAATCCCACGTATATGAGGTATCTAAAGTAGTCAAATTCATACAAGCAGAAATAGAATACTGGTTGTTAGTAGATGGGGGAGGAGGAAATGGGAAATTGTTGCTAAATGGATGTAAAGTTTCAGTTATGCAAGACAAATAAGGTATAGAAATATGTTGTACAGCATGGTAACTATAATTAACAATACAGTATTGTGCACTTTGAAATATGTTAAGGGGATAGGTCTCGTGTTAAGGTATTCTTATCACACACACACATATACACACACACAGAGACACATACAAGAAAACACAACAGAACACAAAGAAATTTCTGGAAGTAATGGGTATTTTTAGTACCTTGATTGTGGGGATGATATCAGTGGTGTATACATATGTTCAAACCATCAAAATGTATACATTAAATATTTGCAAATTTTGTAGATCATTTCAATAAAGCATCCTTAAAAATACATCAGAAGTAATATTACTTCTGAGATTAGGTCATATGTCTGAGGTGCACTCTTCCTCAATTTGTCTTAGATCATTTGCTCTGGGTGAAGCCAGCTACCATGTTGTGAGGTGTCTTACAGAAAGGTCCATAGAGCCAACAGCCAACAGTGAGTTGACATTATCAGTCCTACAGCCCACACGAAACTGATGTCTGCCAAAAATCTTGCAAGTGACTTTGGAAGCAAATTCTGCCCTAGCCAAGCCTTTAGAGGAGAATTCAGGCCCAGCTCACAGCTTGACTACACAGTTATGAGACCTTGAGCCAATACCAGCCATCTAAGCTGCTCCCAAACTGATGATCTACAGGATTTCTAAGATAATAAATGTTTGCAGTTTTAAGTTGCTAAATATTGGAGTAATTTACAACAATATATAATTAATATAGTACTTCTAAAATGAATGAACAAAATTATAAGAGATATAGACTGTGTTTCTGATGGCAGTATCCCAAATTTTCTTACAAAGCAACTGAAAACTTCAGCAGTTTCCAAATACATGGGTTCTATATACATGGATTTAAACAACCATATATTAAAAATTTTTTGGCTGGACGCAGTGGCTCACGCCTGTAGTCCCAGAACTTTGGGAGGCCATGGTGGGTGGATCATGAGGTCAAGAGTTCGAGACCAGCCTGGCCAACATGGTGAAACCCCGTCTCTACTAAAGATACAACAAATTAGCTGAGTGTAGTGGCATGCCTGTAATCCCAGCTACTCGGAAGGCTGAGGCAGGAGAATCGCTTGAACCCAGAAGGCAGAGGTTGCAGTGAGGCGAGATCGCGCCATTGCACTCCAGCCTGGGCAACAGGATGAGACTCTGTCTCAAAAAAAAAAAAAAAAAAAAAAAAAAGCCAGGCACGGTGGCTCACACCTGTAATTCCAGCACTTTGGGAGGCTGAGGTGGGCGGATCATGAGGTCAAGAGAACGAGACCATCCTGGCCAACATGGTGAAACCCTGTCTCTTCTAAAAATACAAAAAATTAGCCAGGCATGGTGGCGCATGCCTGTAGTCCCAGCTACTTGGGAGGCTGGGGCAGGAGAATCCTTAAACCGAGAGGCGGAGGTTGCAGTGAGCTGGGATGGCACCACTGCACTCCAGCCTGGGTGACAGAGCCAGACTCTGTCTAAAAAAAAAAAAAAAAAAAAAAAAATTTAATTGTGTTTATAGTGACCACACACAGACTTTTTTCCTTGTCATTATTCCCTAAAAATTACAACTATTTATACAGCACTTACATTGGATTAGGTATTATAAGTAATCTAGAGATAGTTTAAAGTATACAGGAGGATGTGCATAGGTTATATGCAAACACTAAAATATTTTATATGAGGAACTTGAGCATCCATGGACTTGGATATCTGTGTGAGGTCCTGAAATGAATTCCCCACAGATTCCAAGGGACCACCACAAATCTAGGAGACTTTTCAAGGGGTGGGTATATTTTCTGGGCTAGTTTCGATTTCATACCTTTTTCATTATTGCAGATTCTATTTTGAGGATCCAGCATTCCTTTATTTCTTTGTACCCCAAATACTAGAATTCAACTTCATTGTTTCAAAGTCTTTACTATTAAGTTAGCCTTTGTATATTCAATGCTACAAGTACGTCTTAACCACTGAATCTTTATCAGTTGATTTTCAGTTCAGGGTCTCCTTCTAATGTTTTCTACAAAGTGCCAGCTCTCTGCTTTAGCTGTGGCCCTTGAGAATGTTTATGTGTTTGTTTGGCCCTATAGGTCCTTCTGTAACTAATCAGGCTGCCTTGAATTCATATTTTTCAGTTAGCCATGTCACCTATGCATACTGAGTCAAATGCGAGGATGTTTATTCTAAAATTCTTACTCTTATTACAAGGAGTAGTAGAAGGTATGCAATCTTATATAGCTATCGAATAGCTCTTTTACCAAAAATTTATTTGTGGTGAGTCTACCTCCAACTTATTGTCCCAATTTATACCTACTGTCTAAACATAATGTTAGTACATTTTTTCACTCTGGGAAGTATTCAGAAGTAAATATTACAGTTTTGACAATCCCTTTTGTAACCAAAATTGCCCAATCAGGAGAAGCAGTGTTGGATTGTAATAAAGAATGCAAATTTTGTGAAAACTGGAATTGAAATCCTAACACTACCTTTTTCAGCTTTTTGCTCTTGGTCAAGTTACCTGATCTTTACTTTTAAAATAGATGAGAAAAAAATAATAACAATTCATAGGCTTATGAGTATTCAATAAACTACTATACATAAAGTCCTGAGAAAAGTGCGTCTCATAGAGTGATTACTCAATAGATATGAATATTGTAATGGGTAATTTTATAAGTAAACTGAATTGGCCATGAAGTACCTAGATATTTGTTCAAACATTATTCTGGGTATTTCTGTGAGTGTGTTTTTGGATAACATTAACATTTAAAGTGGCACACTGAGTAAAGCACATTGCCCTCCCCAATGTAAGTGGGCCTCATCCAATCAATTGAAGGCCTGAATAATGAGAAAAAGCTGATCTCTAAGTAAGAGAGAATTTCTTCTGCCTGACTGCCTTTAAGCTGAGACTTCAGCTTTTTCCTGCCTTCAGAATTGAACTGAAACATTGGCAATTCCTGTGTCTTGAGGCTGCAGGTCTTTAGGCTAGAATCACACCATCAGCAATTCTGAGACTCCAGCAATTCTGCTGACTCTCCCTGCAGATCTTAGGACATGTCGGTCTCCATAATCTTGTGAGCCAACTCTTTATAATAAACAAGTACACATGCACACGTCCTTAGTTTGTTTCTCTGAAGAGTCCTGAATAATAGAAGTATTAAAGAGGCTATAACAAAATTGCTTAATAACAATCATGTATGCTAGAGAAGAGGGATACATTCTTCAACTTTTCCACCTGTAACTTTCTTAGAAAAGGAGATTTCACACTGATCCTGTGCAAATCTATTAACAAAATATTCTGTAGGGAATGTGACACATTAGCTTAGCATTAAAAATATGGAATATTATCATTTAGGATTTGAGTTCTCAAACTTTTGATAATTATTCGGATGAGGATCATGATGATAATTATTATGGTTATGGAAATCAAAGCAATTGTTATAGACATCGTTTACTTTAATACAAAGCTACCATGATTTGAATTCAGCTGTAAGGTATAGAACATTAAAAAGTCAAAGAAAATATGTGATTCTTAGCATCAAAATACAAGTTATTCAACGTAAAATAATAAAGCACAATTTAATCTGTCAGAATAGCAAAGTGTTTCCTTTTTCAAGTAACTATTGGTTTTGAATACCGTTATGTTAAATAGCTGGTTTCCTAGGTTTTGAGCAGCTATAATCTTAGAACTACTTTAACTTAAAAAAAAACTTGTCTAAGCCAAGCGCTAACATCAAATTTAATGTTGAAAAACTAAAAGCTATGTCTAAGATCAACAACAAAATGAAGATGCTCAATGTCATCACTTGTTTAACATAGTACTAGAAGTCCTAGCCAGAGCAATTAGTCAAGAGAAAGAAATAAAACGCATCCCAATTAGAAAGTAGGTAGTGCAACTGTAGCTGTTTGCAGATGATATGATTTTATATATAAAAAGCCCTAAAGACGCCACAAAAAAACTGTTAGAACTAATAAAGAAGCTCAGTAAAGTTGCAGGATACAAAACAACATATCAGTAGTGTTTTTATATACTAAAAATGAACTTTCTAAAAAAAGAAATTTAAAAAAATCATATAGTAGCTAGAGAAATAAAATACAGTATTTTAAAGCATTACAGCATGGTGACTATAGTTAATAATATTGTATTGTACACTTGAAATTTGCTAATAAAGTAGATCTTAAGTGTTTCACTACACACATGCACACAAAAGTTAACTATATCAGGTGATAAATATGTTAATTAGCTTGATTGTGTACACATCCATCTAAATTATCCTGTTGTACACCTGAAACATATACAATTATTATTTGTCAATTATACCTCAATAAGTCTGGGGGAGCAAAACTTGCCTAGGAAAATAATCAGAAATGCACGCTAAGAAAAAACACAAATAAACAAAAATTACTTTTGCCTTATTTAAAAGGGGAATAATTGAGATAACAGAAATTACTCCAGTTATATTATACTACTTTAATAAATACTTGTGCACATGCTAAAATTAAGTTTATTAAAAATTACTAATGGCATGTCAAAATAATGTTAATTGACAAAAAATCAGGGTGCAATACAATTGCAACCAGATTTAAAATATTCTAGAAATAGAAAATATAGCATACTATAATCTTTACTTTTGAGTAAGAAGATCATAGTTTTTAAAAATGATAGTCCCAGCTACTCGGGAGGCTGAGGCAGGAGAATGGCATGAACCCGGGAGGTGGAGCTTGCAGTGAGCTGGGATCACATCACTGCACTCCAGCCTGGGGACAGAGAGAGACTCCGTCTCAAAAAAAAAATTATATTCTTTAAAATTTTAAAATATATTTTCTCTAATTTTCACCAATAAGCATAATACTTCAACTATATGGGGAAGATGAGAACCAACAAATACAAATAAATGAAGTATTTACTGAACAAAAATAAACATGGTCTTTGCCATGGTGATCTTTTTTTTCAGCCTTACATATCATATTTGTAGTGAGAACACTTAAAATCTCTTAGCAGTTTTCAAGTATAGAATGCGTTGTTATTGACTATAGTCACCATGTTGTACAACAGAGCTCTTGAACTAATCCCTTCTGTCTAAATAAAATTTGGTATCCTTTGACCAATATTTCCCCAATCCCTCCATCACCCCCAACCCCTGGTAGCCACCATTCTACTCTCCGCTTCTGAATTTGACTTTTTTCAGATTGCACATGTAAGTGAGATCATGCAGTATTTATCTTTCTGTGCATAACTTATTTCACCTAACATTAGTGTCCTCCAGATTTATTCATGTTGTCACAAACGACAGAATTTCCCCCTCTTTTAAGGCTGAATAGTATTTCATTGTGTATGTATACCACATTTTCTTTATTCATTTATCTGTTGATAGACGCTTAGGTTGATTCCATTTCTTGGCTATTGTTAATAATGTTGCAATAAACATGGGAGTACATATAACTATTTAACATACTGATTTCATATCCTTTGAATATATAGCCAGTAATGGGATTGTTAGATCATACAGTAATTTTATTTTTAATTGTTTGAGGAACCTCCATACTGTTTTCTCTAATGACGATACTAATTTACATTCCCAGGCATGTTGATTTTAAAGCACGATAGAGCTTAAGGAAATCTCTTGAATTATTTTGACGTGTGAGTCAGGATCAACTGTCACTTTGAATCCCAACTTTTTAGACAATGTAAGCTTCAAACTCTCAAGAACAAAGCAAGTACCTCAGTTGGAAATGCAGAAATCACCCGCCTTCTGGGTTGATCTCGCTGGGAGCTGCAGACCGAAGCTGTTTCTATTCCGCCATCTTGCCAGCCGCCTCAAAGTATGAATGTATATCTGCTACACAAAAGCATCCATAATGTGAACGCTGGGAGAATATGACTGATTGAGTATAGTAAAGTCTTAAGGTATTGTAAGTCTATTATTTCATAATCTCCATATTAATGAAGCCATTTCACTGAATTTTAAGATTTTAATTGTTTTTCCTGAATATAAATTAATAGAAGTACAAATTCTAACATTTTCAACCACTATATTGCTCTAAGTGAAAGTCCCCATTAAAATCACCCACAAAGAATAACTATAGTTAATTTTAATTATAGTTATAGTTAATTTTTAATTATAGTTATAGTTAATTAAAAATTAACTATAGTTAATTTTTAATTATAGTTATAGTTAATTAAAAATTAACTATAGTTAATTTTTAAAATATATATGTTTTTCTAGGCATCTATGACTGTCCTCTCTGTTTATATTATTTGGTCATACTACAAAAAGTATAAAATGACTTTTCCACCATATATATGTATACATATATTTCCACAATACGTATATGTGTACACATACACACACAATTTCTATACCAATGTAAAATTTTGTAAAATAGTCAATAGCATGGACTTGTTAATCATAAACACTGCATTCAAATTCTACCACATATTGGCTGTGTCACTTGAAGCAGAATTATGTAAACACCTCAAAAGTCCAATTTTCTAATATATGAACTGCAGATAATACTGTCTGAGTCATAGGATTCTAATAAAAATTCAAGGCAGTAATACACATAAAGCTTTTAGCACATTACCTAAGAGATGAATGTTAAATATCTTAAGTTGTTTTTGAGTTGTTGGTATTGTTTATTATTATTCCATATTTTATAACAAAATATTATTTTATATATTTCTCTAGGATTATCTCTTGTAAGTGAAATTGTAAGTTTTATTTATTTATTTATTTATTTATTTTTTAGAGACAGGGTGTCACTTGGTTGCCCAAGTTGCCCGGGTTGATCTCAAACTCCTGGGCTCATGTGATCCTCCCACCTCAGCCACCCAACGTCCTGAGCCCAGCCAAAATTATGGGTTTTAAATTTTTTCATCTTACTATTTTTAAGTAGTTTTGGATGATTTATTTTCCCTAAAACAATATGAAAGCTATTGGAATACTTCTTTTTTACACCTACTAAACAGTGAATATTTTCTGGAGTTTTTATTATTTTGCCAAAAAAGAGGCTTTTTTTTTTCTTTTTCTTTATTTTCCAGATCTTTATGTATTTCAGTTGATATCGCTTCATCTATTTCTTTTCTTTTCTTTTTAGAGACAGGGTCTCATTACGTCACTCAGACTGGAGTACAGTGGTGTGATCGTAGCTCACTGCAGCCTGAAACTCCTGGGCTCAAAGGGTCCTCCCATCTCAGCCTCCAAATTAGCTGAAATTATAGGTGTGCACCACCATGCCCAGCTAATTTTTAATATTTTTTTGTAGAGACAGGGTCTTTCTGTGTTGCCCAGGCTGCTCTCGCACTCCTGGACTCAAGCAATTCTTCCTCCTCTGCCTCTCAGAGTACTAGGATTAAAGGCATGACTAACCGCACCCCACCCATCTATTTCTTAATATGTGTGTATTTGATATTTGCATTAGACGTCATATAGCAGAGAACTCTCAGCACAGTGAAATAAACAAGTGAGGAATTTAGAGGTTGATTTATTTTCCATAAAAATCAGGAGATAAATAGCTTTATACATCAAGTTCCTCTTTCAGGTAGAATGATATTTTACATGTATATACATACATACATACATATATATATATAAAATGATAGGTTATATATATAAAATGATAGGTTATATATATATAAAAAATACAGATAGGTTCTATATATATACACACATATATATGTGTATATAAATGTGTATCTATATATATATACACACACATATATGTGTATATAAATGTGTATCTATATATATATACACACACATATATGTGTATATAAATGTGTATCTATATATATACACACACACACACACACACACACATATATATAGAACCTACCTGATAAAACTGAAGCTTTTCCCAAATGGCCAACATTTCTGCTTATGCCTGATGGACAAGAACTATCATAAGGCCATCCCTAATTTCAAGGGAACCTGAGAATCATATCCAGCTGGTGCCATCACTGTCCCAAACAACACAGTTTCTGTTATTAAGAAAAAAGTTAATTGACATTAGTTTATCAATCTCTATTTCATTAACCTTTTATAGTTCTTTTTTTTCTAACCTTTTTTTATTTTTTGGTCCATTTTTCTGTTCACCTGCTCTATTTTTTCCTCTTTATATTATTATACAGTTTGGTATAATGATGTGCTGGTAAATGTTTATTTAACAACTAGCTCTCATCACAAAATGAAAAAGCCTAATTTGTAGCATTTTTAAAATATTTATGGCATAAATACTCTTACTGTGGCCAATCTTACACTCCCAAAGTAATGTAATTAAATGTGGAGTTAGAAAGAAATGAGTAGTAATACACAATTATCTAGTAATTCCACCCCAAAGATACAATAAACATAAACTTGAAGGCATAGATAATAGTACAATGCAGTAAACTAATTAGAAAGTGATGTTTTTCCATTTTTATTACTTTTATTTTTTAAATTATTTATTTAGTTTTATGTTTTATAATTTTCATAGTAACAACTGTATTTAACAACTGACACAAAATTAATAAAACAGTTGGCTCTTACAAGCTATGAGCTGGCTCCAGCACACAAGTGGTTTGACATACGTGTCTGTTTCTGTATGTGAGAGAGCATGTTTATGCTAGAACAGTCTTACTAATCATATTTTATTCTTATATGCCAATAATTTATATTTATGTTTTTAATTTTGATAGAGGCATGTTAAGATCTCTTTATTGCTATTTTATTTCTGAATAATTCTAGTATTATATTATAATTAAATGAAATTTTATCTTGCATCATCAATGAGCATTAGATTTTCTTGTAACTTTTTGTTTATTTATTTATAAACTTCATAAGCTACTAAGTGCTAGGTGTAGTTTTAGGTACAGGAGATACAGAAGTGACGTCTCTGAAAGTACTTGCTCTGAAAAAGTGGGTTTGTGTTGGGAGATGGGGAGTGTATTTGGAGTAGGAAGAAAAGGGTTAGTAGCTGGCCTACAGCTTATCACCATTCCCATGAGGACATACATGCAGTCAGAAAAAGAAAAATGTTCAGGTCAAGTCATCTTGACAACATGTTATCAGACCCTCTGATGGTATTTACCAGAAGGAAATAGAGTCTTTATCTGTGGAATGCTTTTCTCAGGACCTGCTCTAGTTGCTTATAAAATATAAATTTGGAATTGATGGAATTATGGAGCAAAGTATGCTGGAAAATATTACATCTCATGTAATTATTGGGTATAAAATGGATATGTTTTATGACCAATACAGTTACTTTTGTATAAATGATGCTTCACATGCATTGCTTTAAACCTCGTATGTTAAATCTCAATCCAATGTCCCCAATGAAAGAAGACATATGAGATATGCTGATGGTTTTAGACTGTTTTAGACATGCTCTTCCTTGATCATGCGATTGCCTGCATCCATTGAATTTCTAGTAACCTTTCTTATTGGTCAGATCTCTCTGATCTTCATGAGTCTGACCTTTTTATTTTTTTATTTGAGGGATAGCAAATAATAATAAAGAAAATATAATAACTACTATGAAGATAATTAAAATGCTTTGAGTTTGAAGAAATTTAAAATGTGACTGATTTAGAGCTTGTGATCAGAGAAAGACTATTTGAGAAGACAATGTTTAATTTTGAACTGAAAGGTGAGTGATGCAACATTCCAGAAGAGCATTCCAGGCAGAGACCTGCAAAAGAGCCAAAGATGAAAATGAGCTAAGTTAACATAGAAAAAGTGAAGAAATTCCAGATGTCGAAAATGTCATGAGATTGGGTAAGAAAGGCAGAACATAAGTCCAGAAAGATGAAGAGATGCCAAGTAATTCAGGCCTCGTAGCCATAGGTGAAAAGTTTAATATTTATTTTAAGTCCCCAGTGAAGCCATTGAAAAGTGACAAAATATATTTATATGGCTGCTGTGTGAAGAATGAATCATAAAGAACCATGATTGAAAACAAAGAGAAATTGCTTTAATAGTTCATACAAGAGAAGACACTGACTTTGAACAGGGAGTTAGGAGTGGAATGGAAAAGAAATGGAAGGATTCAAAATAAAGAGGTAGGGTCTAATGCCATCATTTCAAATTGGTTTATTTTGTGCCTAGAGAACATCTGGCAATATATGGAGACCTTTTTGATTGTCACAACCAGGGATGGAGGTGGTACAACTGGCATCTAGATGGTAGATGCCAGGAATGATGTTAGCCATTCTACAAAGCACAAGACAACTCCTAATACAAAGAATCATCCAGCCCAAAATTTCAATGGTGTTGCGCTTGAGAAACCCTGGTCTAGCAAAATTGTTGCTAGACTAGGTATGTAGGTGTGACAGAAAGGGGGAGCCAAAGGCTGATTTCTAGATTTTTAGGTCTGAGACATTATTGATCTTCTTTTTCTTGTACACATTTTTTTCATTGATTTAATTTTCTTAAATGTTAGTAATTTAATGTTTATTTTATTTGTTTTGAATAAGTTTTATAAATTTTTGTGTACTCTTACATTTGACTCATTGGAACTTTTAATTTCTAACTTTATTATGGTTGTAAAACGTGGTCTAAATTAAAACATTGAATATTTATAATTTATTAAGATTTTCTTTGTGCCAAATGCAACCTCACATACTCCTTGCCCATATACCCCCTGCCCAATGATGTTTAATTGAAATGCTTAAGAATCTGGAAAGCAAAGAGAAGACAAAATAATCTTCACTTGATTTTTTGCAAAATGATAATTAAAAACATAGAAAATTCTTTTTGTTAATCAGTATGTATAAAAAAGAAGTGTTCCAATAAGTTCACTGCATTTATATTTCCATAGTTTAATTATAAGAAAATTTTCATTCATTTTTGAATTTTTGAGGTATAATATATAGAAAAGTTGAGAAATCATACGTGTATGGTTTGATGACTTTTTACAATTTAAATTCCCCCATGCAACCAGCACCTAGATCAAAAAGCAGAACATTGACAGCACTCCAGAAGTCCCTTTAATGCACCCTTTTATTCATTGTGCCTGAAGGGTAACCTCCATTCTCCTTTTAATGCCATATATTATATTAGATTTTCAAAAACATTTTATCCTGAGAAGCATACAAATAAAGATTGGATTTTATTGATTCAACCATATGTTGTGAGATACATTCATAATGTTGCTTGTAGTTGTAGTTCATTCACTTTCATTGTTCTACAGTATTCTAGTTGATAAAGAGTTGAAAATTTATTCCTATATTTTACCTATGGTAGTTGCCAATATTCTACCATTATGACTAAGACTATTACTTATATTCCTGTGCATGTCATTTGAACATGTATGTGCATTTCTGTTAGGAATATACTTAGAAGTTAAATGGCTGGTTATGGATATGCTCTCCTCTAGTAAACGCTGCCAAATGATAGAATAAATTACTGTACAACCAGCAGTGTGTGGATTTTTAGTTGCTCCATATGTCTACCTTTTTTCCTTTTCTCATTTTTTCATTTTAGCAATTGTGAATATGCAGCAGAATTGTAATGTGATTTGAATTTGCACTTACCTGATAAATAATAAAGTTGATCACCTTTTCTTACGTTTATTTCCCATTTGGATATTCCCTTGTAAAGGGCTTTTAAAGTGTTTTGTCTAGACATATATATTTTTCAGTTTGTTTGTTTATAGTCAAAAGGTCTTCTATTTTTTTTTACACCTATTATGCCATGAATTCACAGGAAATAGGTTCCAGCAGCTCAGGCTTTGCACTAGGTCTCAGAAAGTATACTTCTTTGGGTAGAGCAGGCTGGCACTTCAGTTGAACTCACATACCTTTCTCTTTTGCTTCCTTCTTTTTCTGATCATTTTCCTTCCTGCATTTCAAAAAGTTATCTCGGTTGTCAGAGCACTTAATATGCTCAACATGCACGTTAATTATCTTGGCAAGAATCTTGTTCTTAACTTGTTTATTTATAACAATGCCAACAGCATGCTGGGTACATTGTAGAATATTCCAGTTTTTCCCTGGTAACATTTGTGGGGCATTCCTTTTTGAACAGTATGCATTCTTTGATGTCTGCAGTATCACCATTCTTACAGGTTCACATGTATATGGCCAAAGGAGCACCTCCATATTTTCTAAAAAGCCTAGAGAACATATATTGGGTGCTTCTCCTCCTCTTTACCTTTGTGTTCATCACTTTGGTGGATTACTGGAAGAAGGAGGTTCTAACTGAAAGGCTAAATTTAAAGTGTGAATAATGTTTTAAATAGTACACAGTATTTTGTAACATTTCTTCAGCAATAATTTCTGCTATAAGTTTCATGTGTACTCTTTCAGTGATAACCTATGAAAATATAGTTTTTCATATATTTATATTTATATATTATTAGTATAGTATATATTATATCTATATAAATTATATCTATACAAATATAAAGTTATAACAAAAGGAAATTTGTTATGACTTTATATGGATGTATATAAATGTATTGTATATGTAAAAATTATTTTTAAAATGCAAATGGCAGGACTTGCACTTCTGGGAAGGTAGAGCAGAGGTAGTTTTTTCTGTTCCTTCCATTAAGTACAACAAACCCCCTGGGCATTATATATAACATAAATATAAGAATATATATAACATAAATATAGGAATATTTGGAAAAATAGAGAGAAGGCAGACTATACAGGTAACTTGGGACACAAGCAATGACATGGAGGGAATTTTACTGGAGTTTCTTTTTGCCTCATATACTCTAGACTGGGTACTGAAGAAACCAGAAAAAAAAAAAAATGAAATGCCAACAGAAGCAGACAAAAATGTCCCCAAGAAAAGCATACTGTCTCTAGTTAGAGAACCTGGAATGGAGCAATTTAGCACGATAGAAAACTTTTAGGTAATCACTGTATTCCAGCTAAACAGTGCAGAAATTATGAAAATTTTGGCCTCATTTTCATCCCTACCAGCAAATGTTGAGGGAAGAGTCTAGACTTCAACTCTTGCCTAGCTGTAACAACACAAATCCCTTACCCTGGCTGTCTAGTGTGGTATCAAAAAAAAACCATGCAGAATTAGGATTTTCTTATTCTCATAGACAGTAACAAGGTATTATCCTCATTCACTTACCAGAGTGATCTCAGAAGATATCTCATAAAATAAGATTTTTTAAAAATTATTTTTTTTATTTCAATAGGTTTTTAGGGAGCAGGTGTACACTGTACTCAATGTGTAGTCTTTTATCCCTCATCTCCTCCCACTATTTCCCCCAAGTACCCAAAGCCCTCTCTTATGCTTTTGTGTCCTCACTGCGTAGCTCCCACTTATGAGTGAGAACATGTGATGTTTGGTTTTTCGTTACTGAGTTACTTCACTTATAGTAATAGTCTCCAGTTCCATCCAGGTTGCTGCAAATGCCATTATTTCATTCCTTTTTATGGCTGAGTGGTATCCCTGTATATATATACACATATATGTATATGGATATATATATATGTATATGTGTATATGGATATATATGTGTATATGTATATATGGATATATATGTGTATATGTATATATGGATATATATATATGTATATGTATATATGGACATATATGGATATATATACATAGGGATACCACTCAGCCATATACTATATATATATATGGATATATATAGGGATATATATATATATGGATATATATATGATATACATATCTCTCATATTTTGTTATCCACTCATTGATTAATTGATGGGCATTTGGGCTGGTTCCATAATTTTGCAATTGTGAATTGTGCTGCTATCAACATGTATATGCAAATGTCCTTTTCGTATAATGACTTCTTTTCTTCCAAGTAGATACCTAGTAGTGGGATTGCTGGATCAAATGGTAGATCTACTTTTAATTCTCTAAGGAATCTCCACACTGTTTTCCACAGTGGTTGTACTAGTTTACATTCCTGCCAACAGTATAAAACTGTTCCCTTTTTACCACATTCATGCCAATATCTATTATTTTTTATTTTTTTTGTCATGGCCATTCTTGCAGGAGTAGGGTGGCATCTCACTGTGGTTTTGATTTGCATGTCCCTGATAATTAGTGATGTTGAGCATTTTTCCATATACTTGTTGCCCATTTGTATATCTTCTTTTGAGAATTGTCTATTCATGTCTTTAGTCTGCTTTTTGGTAGGATTGTTTAATTTTTTCCTGATGATTTGTTTGAGTTCTTGGTAGATTCTGGATGTTGTCCTTTGTTGGATGTGCAGATTGTGAAGATTTTCTCCCACTCTGTGTGTTGTCTGTTAACTCTGCTTATTATTTATTTTTCTGTGTAGAATTTTTTTAGTTTAATTAAGTCTCATCTATTTATCTTTGTTTTTGTTACATTTGCTTTTCGGTTCTTGGCCATGAAGTCTCTCCTTAAGCTAATATCTAGAAGGGCTTTTCTGATGTTATCTTCTAAAATTTTCATGGTTTCAGCTCTTAGATTTAAGTATTTGATCCATCTTGAGTTGATTTTTGTATAAGGTGGGAGATGAAGATCTAGTTTAATTCTTCTACATGTGGCTTGCCAATTACTCCAGCACCATTTGTTGAGTAAGGTGTCCTTTACCCACTTTATGTTTTTGTTTGCTTTGTTGAAGATCAGTTGACTCTAAGTATTTGGCTTTATTTCTAGGTTTCTCTATTCTGTTTCATTGGTCTATGTGTCTATTTTTTATACCAGTATCATGCTGTTTTGGTGACCAGGAAGATATAGAAACTCTAAACAGGCCAATAACAAGCAGTGAGATTAAAACGGTAAAAAAAAAAAAAAAAAAAAAAAAAAAAAATGCCAACAAAGAAAAGTTCAGGACCTGACGGATTCACAGCTGAATTCTATCAGACATTCAAAGAAGAATTGGTACCAATACTATTGACAATATTCCAAAAGATAAGGAAAGATAGAATCCTCCCTAAATCATTGTGTAAAGCTAGTATCGCCCTAATACCAAAACCAGGACATAACAAAAAATGAAATGTACAGACCAATAACACTGATTAACATAGATGCAAAAATCCTCAACAAAATACTTGCCAAAAGAATCCAACAGCATATAAGAAGGATAATCTACCATAATCAAGTGGGTTTTACACAAGGGAGGCAGGAATGGTTTAACACATACAAGTCAAAAAATGTCATACACCACATAAACAGAATTAAAATGTAAAAAATCCCGTAATTATCTCAATAGATGCAGAAAGAGCATTTGACAAACTCTAGCATCCCTTTATGATTAAAACCCTCAGCAAAATTAGCATATAAGGGACATACCTTAAAGTAATAAAAGCCATCTATGACAAACCCCCAGCCAACATTTTACTGAACAAGGAAAAGTTGAAAGCATTCCCCCTGAGAACTGGAACAAGATAGGGATGCCCACTTTCACCACTTCTATTCAACATAGCACTGAAAGTCCTAGCCAAAGCAATCAGACAAGAGAAAGAATAAAGGGCATTCAAATCAGTAAAGGGGAAGTCGAACTGTCGCTGTTTGCTGATGATATGATCATGTACCTAGAAAACCCTAAAAACGCATCCAGAAAGCTCCTAGAACTGGTAAATGAATTCAGAAAATTTTCAAGTTACAAAATTAAGGAGATGGAAGACCACTACAACAAAAATGAGGAAACACTGCTGAAATAAATCATAGGCGACACAAACAAACAGAAACTCATCCCATGCTCATGGATGGGTAGAATTAATATTGTGAAAATGACCATACTGCAAAAGCAATCTACACATTCAATGCAATCCCCATCAAAATGCCACCATCATTCTTCATATAACTAGAAAAAACAATCCTAAAATTCATGCAACCAAAAAAGAGCCTGCATAGTCAAAGAAAGACTAAGCAAAAAGAACAAATCTTGAGGCATCACATTACCTGACTTCAAACTATACTACAAGGCCATAGTCACTGAAACAGCATGGTACTGGTATAATATTATTTCAGATAAGTTCTACTAGAGTTTTATAATGCTTAACCAGTCCAGAATTTAATAAAAATATTATTGACTATGCTGAGAACCAAAAAAATCTAAAATCAATTGGGAAAATACAATAAAAAACATGAACATTAAGATGACCCAAATATTAGAGATATGTGGTAAGGATTTTATAGCAATCATCATAAAAATGCTTTAATCAATATATTAAAACAAATAAAAAATAGAAAGCCACAGCAAAAGAAACCCAGAAAATACAAAAAAGAATGAAATGGAAATTTTCAAAATAAAAATGTTATAACCAAAATAAAATATAAGTGATTCAATAGCAGAATGGAGAGGACAGAGAATGAAACAGTGAACTTGGAGACTGAACATAGAAATGGCCTATTATGAACAACAGAGAAAAAATAAACTGGGAAAAAAGAACAGAGCCTCAGGAATATGTGGTACTATAATATTACAAAAGATTAAGCATTGGGTAATCAATACGTAAAAGGAAAGAAAAAAGATTAAGGTTGAAAATTTTTGAAGAAATAATGGCAGAATATTTTCCAAATCTGACAACACACACACACACACACACACACACACACACACACACAGGGAAAGAGAGAGAGATAAACTCACAATTTCAAGAATCTGATCAAATCTTAAATAGGATAAACTGAAAGAAATCTATGACAAAACACATCATAGTTAATTATCTGAAATTTAAAAACAAAGAATATTTTAGAAAGCATACAGAGAAATTGATGCATTACCTTTAAGGGAAAAACGATTCCAATGACAGTGCATTTCTCATGAGAAATCAAAGGAGGCTGAAAGGAAATGACAAAGCCTAATTCAAGTACTGAAAAAAAAAAAACTACCAACCTAGAATTTTATAGACAGAAAAAATATCATTCAGAAATGAAAGGGAAATCAAAACATTTTAAGATGAATGAAAACCAAGATAATTTGATGCAAGTAGATCTACCCTAAAAGAATAAAGAGCGTTAATAAAACAGAAATTGGATGATACTAGGAGAAATAAAACAACAGAAAAGAAAAAAATGGCAGAAGCAAAATTATGGAAAATACAATAGTTTTTATGTTTGATGGTTGAAGCAAAATATATAACACTGTCTAAGATGGCTCTCAATATATGTAGAGGAATATTTCAGATAACTATATTATATGTTTAGAAGGAGTGTAATGGACAGTAAAGTTTCTATACTTCAACAGGTAAAATGTCAACACCAGTAGATTTTGATTAGTTATATATGTATATAATGTTATACCTAGAGCAACCACTAAAGATACTATACAAAAAGATATGCTCAAAAACACTATAGATCAATCAAAATAAAACTCTACAAAATGTTCATGTAATCCACAGGAAGGCAAGAAAAAATAAAACACAGGAACAAACAACAGTGAGAGCAAACAACGGTGAGAAAACAAAAAATAAAGTTACAGACTTAAGCCCTGACAATAATAACATTAAGTATCAATGCTACAAATACAATTAAATTACAGATGGGAAGACTGAACAAAAACCAGCCAATCAACCAAAATAAATATAACCCAACAATATGTTGTCTAAAGGAAACTACTTCAAATATAATTATATAGTTAGCTTGGAAGTAAAAGGATGGAAAAGACACACCATGTGTATTAAACCATTCTTACATCGCTCCAAAGAAATACCAGAGACTGGGTAATTTATAATGAAAACAGGTTTAATTGACTTCCAGTTCTATGGGCTGTATAGGAAGCAGAGCTCTGACATCAGCTTCTGGGAGGGCTTCAGGAAGCTTACAATTATAGTGGAAGGCAAGGGAGAGCAAGCACATCACATGGTGAAAGCAGGAGCAAAAGACAGTGGTGGGAAAGGTGCCACACAGCTTTAAACAACCAGATCTCATGAGAACTCACGCACTATTGCTACGAAAGCACCAAGGGGATGGTGTTGAACTATTCATGAGAAATCCACCCCCATGATCCAATTATCTCCCACCAGGCCCCACCTCCAACACTGAGAATTACAATTCAACATTAGATTTGTGCAGGGACAAATATCCAAAGTAGTTCATTCTTCCCCACCCCTCCCAGTTCTCATGACCTTCTCATATTGTAAAATACAATCATCGCTTCTTAATCGTCCCCACAAAGTCTTAAGTCATTCCAGCATTAACTCAGAAGTCCTAAGTCCCACATCCAAATTCTTACCTGCAAATGAGTTCCTTCTACCTATTGAAGTGGCTTTGTTGTCTGGGAAAATACCCGAAGTTCATTATCTCACACCAAGAAGATTAAGGACACGGATACACGTGGGTGGGTTAAGGAGAGGAAAGTTTAATAGGTAGAAAAGAAGAGAGCAGCTCCCCCATGCAGAGGGAGGAAGGCTCCGAATGGATTTCCCTGTGCGTGGCAGGAAATAGTTGGTTATATAAAGGTGTTTCAGAAGACAGTGTAAGGCAGTGTCTGATTTACAAAGGGCCCACAGGATTGGTTTGACCAAGTGTGCCACTTACATAGCCCACAAAGAAACTGGCCATGCCACCTTAATCTTTTATTATGCAGATGGGGTTTTTTTCCTGGCTTGCACCATGACATCTGCACATGTGGTGCCAAAGAGAAGGGAGAGAGGAATTGCCATGTTGGATGTACCTGGCTTTTAGGTACAGCTGCCAGCATTAATGCAAGCTTCCAGCTTGCTTGTCTATGCTTGCAGCCTGACTTTTCAGGCTGTTTTCTGCTAGAAAAGAAATGGTTTGGGGGCTGCTTTTTATTAAATGAAAAGCCTTACCAAGGACTCCTGTACCCTCACTATCTGCCTAAATAATTACTTTTTTACTCCTATATTATTCCCCCCTCAGGAGCTGTAACTCTAACTCCTGTTAGGGGGTCTTGGACGATGACTCCTTCTGGATACTTCCTGCTGAAAGGGGGTATTGAGTGAAGGACAGCTAGCGTTCCTCCTGGAGTTGATATAAGGGTCTTTGGAAGAATGGTGTGTCCATGTGTGGTTCTGTTTGCAGCACCATTTGGAGTTTGATTGCTTCTAGACAAGAGGAAACAATTCAAGTTATACTATTGAGGATACAAGGTTCAAACACTAATATATGACCTATAAGCAAGAAGGGGCTTCATAAAGGAGTTAACCAACTCCATAAAGAAGCCTGGAATTCATTAAAGAGAGCGTGTAGCCACCCTGGGCTTGAGCCCACATTTTCTCTTAGCTTGCCAATGATTTTAATCTGATCTTTAAGTACCTGTAGTTTTTCTTCTACTTGACTAGAGGTGTTGATCCAGAAGCAGCATGTTTGATTTAAAAGTGCACAGGTACTCCCTATTTCTGCTGTAAGGACATCTAAGTCCTGTCTATTTTGTGCTACTACTGAAGCTAAAAAGTTTATAGACTGTTGTGCTTCTATGGCTCCTACTATGTTGTCCTTCTATGGCTTTCCATCCTCATTGCATCATAATGGATATATTAAGTACTGATCTTTCAAGGAAAGGAATACCAGAAAACAAGAATAAGCCTCTGGCTATAGAATCTCCCATCCATGGTTTTTCTAAGATGAGATTGTCGTGTGCATGCCCTCCCCAGTCTTCCCTTTCAGTGAAATCTCCATATAAGAGCATGAAAAGTATAGATCTTTTTGTTCAGCATATCCAAGATAGTGCAGTTTTTAGAAAAGAGCCTAAATTGGGTATGTCCTTACATGATGTTGCATTGTCAGTAGAATTTAAAAATAATAGGTCAGGAACCACTGCTACTATAGTACAAGTTCCCTTCCAATGCCTAGGGAGGATTAAGTGTAGCCAAGAGCCACAAAGGCAATGTAGCCCTGGTCCTTGAAGGAACGGTTCTAAGTTGTGACTTGTGAGAGACAGATTTTTCTCATATCTTAAAAGTTTTTCCCTCTTATATATAATAGGAGCATCATTGGGATAGGGATATCTATAATCAGGATAGTCATTTACGATGCCTTTTGGAATTTTACATGCTAAGTGAGAAGGGTACACTTGATAGTTGGAGTTTTGAAAGATTAGGGACAGAATATGCCCTGGCCAATATATTAGATAATCCGCATGACAAGGGCTGTCAGTCCAGATGTCCCCGGTTCATCCACAAATTTGCAGGCCACCACTATTGGTGGGTCTCATTCAGGGATCTGGAATTCCATGAGGGGGCATGTTTGGAAAGGCCCATATGTTATTTTTAACATCATAGTATATTGTGTCAAAGGGGCTACCTAGAGCCTGCCATTCCCACTGAGACTTTCAACCAGGAGGAGAGGCCAGACTTTGAAAGCCTCCCCATAGGGCTTCTAACTTTCTTATATCATCCCTATTACATTTTTTCTCCAATTCTCTGAGCTTTCAGTGATTACAAGTGTGGTGTTATAATATTTGAGATCTCTCAGGTACGGTCCCTTTCCCCCACTTCTAAAACAAAGAGAGGCATTTGCTATTACCCAGTCAAGTTTCCCTAGCCTGAGAGTGTGAAGCTTATCTTTGGGGAAAATGTCTTCTGGCACCTTCTGGCACTGGAAGAGAAAGTGTCTTCCTGTGAGGAGTTAGTTATCCAGTTGAAAGTACTCCCATACCATGTTCCATTTATGCCTGACAAGTCTTTAATGGTTAAAGATAAGGCTAACAAAGGGAATCCTAAGACAGTAAGTTCCAGGTCATGGAGAGGTTCCTTAGTGTTATTGAACTAAGCAAACCACTCAGGACAGGCCCAGAAATTAGTCTTGGGCCTAATTTGGCCCAATTGGGTCATGACTGATACTGTAGTAGCTAAAGGGTGTGACGTATTACCAAATCCAATAAAAACCCCTAGCAGACTTAGTGATAGTAAAACATTCATGTTTACTTCCTGTCAGTAACTGTTATCCCTGCTAAAGGATAATAATTAAGCAAAATACTATAGTAATTGAGAATTTCTGTTTGATATTCCACCCTTGGGGTGCTACAGTATATAGTCCTACTGCAAACAGTAGAGTTAGTATAACAATTCCTGCAGGGTAATGTAGTAGATAATTTCCATCTAAAATTGTTATTCACCAAGATATAGAATTTCTCTTTGGAGGTCTATGAAGTTACAAACATAATTCCACGGATAATTAAAAATCTCCTAGTTGGGCTCTCAGCCTCCATTTAAAAATCAGATCAAACAAATAATGGGCACCCTTCAGCCATTTAAATACAATTTGCATGGCTGCTGTACTTTAAGCCTTGGATATGAAGCTTACTCTGGAGACTAGGATGAACCCCCCAATACCCATGGGACATTGGATATGTCTGCCATGCTTTGAACCAGTTTCAAAGACTAAGACAGCACTCACACAAAAAGGAAATTACAGACCAATTTCCCTCATGTACACAGTTGCAAAAATTCTTGACACATTTTATAGAATTCAGCAATGTGGGAAAATAACTGTACCTTATTAACAAAGAGTATTTATTTCCAGATATGCAAGACTGATTCAATATTCAAAAATCAATCAATGTAATCCATTATATTAACAAGCTAAAAAGGAAGTCACATCGTCATATTAATCACATGGGAAAAGGTTTTGGCATGATTCATTTCCATTCATAAAAAAAATTCAGAGACCAGAAATGGAAGAAAAGTTTGTCTATTTGAGAAAGAGAATCTACAAAAACCTAGTCTAAATTATATTAAAAGGTGAAATATTGAATGCTTACCCCTATGATCAGAAACAATGTAAGAATGTCAATCCTCACCACTACTAGTCCACACAGTACTGACATTTTTAGCCAGCATAGTAGGACAATAAAATAAGAGTTAAAAAAACATACAGCTTGGAGACAATTAATTAAAACTGCTTCTATTTTAAGATGACATGCTGTTTCACAAAGAAAATCACAAGGAATGTAAAATTAATAAGAGGGCTCAGCAAGGTGGCTATACATAAGATAACACATGAAATTATATTTCTATATACTAGCAATGAATACATGAACACAGAAATTAAAAATAGAGTTTTATGTATAGTCATTCATAAATAATGAAATGCAAGGGTTTTAATCCAACAAAACAATTACAAGGCTTGAATGCTGAAAACAAGAAAACTGTTGGAAAAAAATCAAATAAATTCTAAATAAGTGGAGAAATATTCTGTATTCATGGATTGGAAGATTCAACATAGTAAGGATGTCAGTATTCTCCAAAATAACATATATTTGATATGGAAAAGCAGAGGAACTAAAATAGCTAAAACAAATTCTGGGGGAGAAAAGTAGGAGGAAACATTTTACCTAATTTCAAGTCTTATCAACACCACAGTAATCAAGACTCTAAGGTGTTGGCAGAGGGATAGAAACATAGTCAATAGAATAAAATAGGGAACTCAGAAACAGTGCCACAAAAGTACAGCCAACAGATTTGTGACAAAGGTGCAAAATCAATTTAAAAGATTGAAACTGGCTCAATTGTCCCACAGGACTGATGTTTATCATTTCTTATGAATAAACATAGAAATAGACCCTTCCGGTCTAAAAAATTGAAAAAGTTAAATTTGTCTTAGCTGAGTTCCTTTCTCAGGAAAATCAACCATCAGGCCTCCCATCTGGGCATATCAATGAACTAAACTTATACATTTCTTTCCAGGTCACTGCATCTGTACCATAAGATGCCAGATCCCGCAACTATCATGATTGCCTAACCAACCACCTGCTTCCTGTTGACCAACTCTTCTCCTTACCTCTCTCTAATTTCTGTTTTCCCATACATGGTTACATTTCTTCCCTGCTATATAATAACCTCCAATTTTACCCAGTCAGGGAGATGGATTTGAGACTGATCTCTCATCTTCTCAGCTGCAACGTTGTCTCGTGATTAGGCTTCTGTCGGGTAGGCAGCAGGATCTGGACCAAACCCCTAGTTTTTCGGTAACAGGATCAAGGATAGTATTTTCAACAAATGGTGCTGGAGCAACTGAATAGCCATAGACAACAAAAAAAACAAACTAACAAAAAAACCCAAATTTTGATTTAGGTCTCACACTTTGTGCAAATATCAACTCAAAATAGATCATAGTCTTCAATGTAAAACAAAACTAAAATAACTTTGTAAGATAATGTAAGAAAAAATCTTTGAGACATAGGGCTTGGTGAAGAGTCCTTTAAAATGATATCAAAGTACAATTCTTTAAAAATATTGCTAAATTGAACTTCTTTTATATTAAAACTTTTGTTCCATGAAAAACCCTGTTAAAAGACAAACTACAGATTTGGAGCAAACATTTTTATATCTATATATTTAACAAAGAATTCATAAAAGAATATATAAATAATTCTCAAAACTCAACTGTGAAACAAAACTATTTAATTTTAAAATGTGTAAAGGATATAAAAAGACATTTCACAGAAGTGAATATGTGGATTGAAAACAAGCATAGGAAAAGATGTTCAACATTGCTAGCCATTAAGACCAAGATGAAATATCACTACATACTTACTAGAACATCTAAAATAAAAGTGATGTTTAAATATTATAACTATAGTGATTTCATTTAAATGCATTTAATAAATTTATGTTATTGAATAATAGTAACTATAAAAATAGTAATAACCAAAGGATACAAAGAATCTGGGTCTCTCACACGTTGCTAGCAGAAATGTAAAATGGTACAGTCTTTATGGAAAACTACTTTTGCAATATCTTTAAAAAAAAAACTAAACACACTTATCATGTGTACTACTCCTTGGGCATTC
Organism: Homo sapiens; assembly: GCF_000001405.40. Lineage (NCBI taxonomy): Eukaryota > Metazoa > Chordata > Mammalia > Primates > Hominidae > Homo > Homo sapiens. The sequence continues at coordinate 185,968,577 of NC_000002.12, forward strand.
ATGACAGAGAAATGAAGATCTATCCCCACACAAAAATGTTCCCATGATTGCTTATAGCAGTTTTGGGGGAACTTTTCCTTGGAAAGTATAGCCTAAAACTGGAAATAGCCAAAATGTCCCTTAATGAATGAACGGTTAAACAAACTTCAGTACATTCATACTGTAAAATACTACTCAATAATACAAAGAAGAGACTATTGATACACTCAGCACCTTGGATATATTCCAGCATGTCTGCTGAGTTAAAAAACAACAAAAAAGCTAATCTCAGAAAGTCACATACAGTATTATTTCATTCATAAATCACTCTTGAAATGCCAATATTATAGAATTAGAAAACATTTGATTTGTTTTCAGGGGTTAGGTATGGTGGGGAGGGGTGTGACTGTAAAGATGTAGCACGATGGAGATCTTTCAGGTGATAGAGTAATTTTGTCTCTATATGACTGTGGTGGTTACGTAAGTCTACCTATGTGAATGAATGGCATAGAACTACATATATAGTGTACCAATGTCAAGTTCCTGCTTTTGATATTATTACACTATAGTTATGTAGGATATAACCCTTATGGAAAATTCAGTGAAGAGTACATGGGGCCTCTCTCTGTACTATCTTTGTAACTATTTTTTATCTATAATTATGTTAAAATTAAAATATTTATAAAAAAGAAAATGTTAGCATAATGTACATGTTTATTTTCACCTGGAAAAAAATTAACAATTTGTCCTTGGGATTATACCATACTACCTAATTCTTTTTATGGCTGTGTATTATATCAATTTTTATTTGGTCCAGAATCCTTGGGTATTTTTTTTTCTGACTTTTTGGTATAATAAACATTGTTGCAATAAATGTAGTTTACAGAACTGATATCGGCAAGTGCTTATCGCAGAACATTCATAATAGGTGGCTACAGTGGTCATCTGTTCCAAAAGATTTGGAATACAATTTGATGAATCAGTTCCATTACAGTACTGGCTATAAAGGTTCTATATTTTGTGCTTATCTGTATGATAAATTTCTAAGAGTGAAATTACTGGATAAATCTATTTTTATTATAGCAAACTTTAAATTAGTTTTAATAATAGAAACAGTATTTCCTTATTTTATTTTATTTTGATAAAATTCCTTAAGAATATTCATTATTTATTTTAATGTAAATTTTAGAATAAACTTTGCTAACTACAAGTTCCCACTGACATATTGTTAGATATATGTTAAAATTATAGATTAAAATAGGGATAAACAGTATCTTTCTGATACTGAGTAGTCTCAAGATCACACTGTGAGTATAATATTCAGGTCTTCTTAGCTATTCCTTAATTTTTTATATAGATAAAACATTTCTAGTTAAATTATTTTTATTTTTGAGGCTTTTGTAAACTGGATTTGTTCTTCAAAGATATTTTCTAATTGTACTGAAATTTTTAATTAAGCAGTTTATTATTTGTGTATTTTAAAAGTTCTCTGCAGAACATGGCTTGATTTACTAGGTGCCTACAAATTTTTTGGTTTTAATCTTGAATATACAGAAAACACCACTTAGGCACAGTGCATTCTTAAAGGAGTGAATTTGCCTTGACTAAAATTTTTTAATAAGTAGAAATGGGTTTTCCAAGCTTATTATCATTTCATTTATAAGCAGTAAAAGTTTTATCCCTTTACTTATAGTTATTAAACTTTCTTCGTATTTAATTGTATTAGTTAGTACATCACACAGTGCACACACACACCACCTTGGAGTTAGGTAATCTATGTGATTAAGTTCTGACTAACAAATACAGGCAGAAGTGTTATGATACATTTTCAGGCCTTCGCCGGGAAAACTACTTGTATAGTCCTACACATTCTCTCTCTACCACCCCATTGTGGAGAGCTGTAGGAGACTGGTCAGTGTGGTGGGAGAAACTACAGGGAAAAGGAGCAGGCCTTCTGAAAGGTCAAAAGGCTCTGCAAAGCTCCAGGGGAGAACATCTGAAGTCAGCTGTTCTATAACCCTGAGCCAGAGGGCAAGGAGTAAGCATAAGGGAATGTAAGGGAATTAATCTTGATCAAACTTGTTTGTTAGAAGTTGTTCAGGAACTGACCTTTGAACATCCATGCATGTCACATTCCCTGAAAGGGGAACAATAAATGTTAATTATCTATAGATTGTGTTTGGTCCAGACTTTTGGCATTGTGCCTGCACTGAATTAAAGCAAGAAGCTCCAGCTTCTCAGGGCTGCACTCTGGACACTTGAGCTGGGCAGTCCCCTATCTGCTCTTACACTACACACCTGTGTCTGAGTACTCATTTCATCCATCAGCCAGGGTCTGGGGACAGACCTGGCAGAGAGTTTAACAAAGTTCTCTAAATCCAAAGGGTTAGCAGAGCCCAATTGTGGGCAGAAACTTGGTCCCTAAATCATCATTTGAAAGGCCATAAGGAAAGGTCAACTGTCAACATCAGTACTGAACATAGAAGAGAAATATAAGCCATAGAGATTATTCTTAAAGGAGTGAATTTGCCTTGACTAAAATTTTTTAGTAAGTAGAAATGGGTTTTCCAAGCTTATTATCACTTCATTTACAAGCAGTAAAAGTTTTATCCCCTTTACTTATAGTTATTAAACTTTCTTCATATTTAATTGTATTAGTTAGTACATCACAAATATCTGGAGATGACAGAGGGCATTTCCCAGTCCTGTAATTAATTTTGATTAGAATTATTTTAATGTTTTAGCTGTAAGCATCATTCTAGCTTTTCTTCATACACACACACATACACACACACACACACACACACACAAAGGAAGAACACACCTACTCCTATTTTATTTTAAAAGGAAAGTGAATTTTGCCAAATTTCTTTTCAACATTCACAAAGATTACTGATATCAAAGCAAATTATACTAATAATGTGTGAACATGGAATCATCCTTGCATTCCTAGTATAAACCCCACTTGTTTTGGTATATCAATATGTAATATGCTAATCGATTAAATTGACAAATTTTTTTTAATTTTTGTGTTGACATTACTTTTTATGTGTCATTAATCAATTATGTTCCTAAATTAAACTGTATTTTTGAAGCTTTTATATGAATAATATATGGCTTCATAAAATAAATTTGGAAGCTTTCATTTCTACTCTATGGTCCTGTATTAGTCAAGGTCCTCCAGAGAAACAGAACCAACAGAACGTGTGTAAATTGTGTGTATGTGTGTGTGTATATATAGGTCCTCCAGAGAAACAGAACCAACAGAACGTGTGTAAATTGTGTGTATGTGTGTGTGTATATATACATATATATATATATATATATATATATATATATATATATATATTTAAGACTGCAGAAATTTTGCATAAATAAAGAAAAGCCACTTATTAATAGCCAAGACTATAGGGAAAAATGCTACCAAGTCATTTCAAAGACCTTCATGGCAGCCTTTCCCATCATGGGCCTGGAGGGCATGGGGGAAAACTGCTTTTGTGGGCCAGGCCCAGGGCCCTGCTGCTCTGCACACCCTGCATCCCAGCTGCTCCAGCTCCAGCCATGGGTAAAAAGTCCTCAGATATGTCTCAGGCTACTGCTCCAGAGGCTGCAAGTCATAAGAAGACTTGGTGGTTTCCACGTGGTTCTAAGTACGTGGGTGTGCAGAGAGCAAGTGTTGAGGCTTGGGAGCCTCCACCCAGATTTCAGAGGATGTATGGAAATACCTGGGTGTCCAGGCAGAAGTCTGCTCCAGGGGTGAAGCCCTCATGGAGAACCTCTACTAGGGCAGTGCAAAGATAAAATGTGAAGTTGGAGCCCCCTCACAGAGTCTCCAATGGGGTACTGCCTAGTGGAGCTGTACAGCCAATTTCTCCCATTTGAAATGGAAGCATTTACCCAATGCCTATATCCCCATTTTATCTTGGAAGTAACTAGCTTGTTTTTGATTTTACAGTCTCATTGGTGGAAGGGACTTACCTTGTCTCAGACAAGACTTTGGACTTGGACTTTTGAGTTAATGCTGGAATGAGTTAAGAATTTGGGGGACTATTGGAAAGGCATGATTGTGTTTTGAAATATGAGAAGGACACAAAATTTGGGAGGGGCCAGGTGCAAAATGATAGAGTTTGGCTCTGGGTCCCCATTCAAATCTCATCCCAAATTGTACTTCCCAGAGCTGGAGGAGGGTTCTGGTGGGAGGCAATTGGATTATGGAGGTGGAGTTCTCCCTTTCTGTTCTTGTGATTATGAGTGAGTTCTCATGAGATCTTTTGGTTTAAATGTGTGTAGCATTTCCCCCTTCACGTTCTCTCTCTCTCCTCCTACCATGTGAAGATGTGCTTGCTTCTCCTTTGCCCTTCTGCCATGATTATAAATTTCCTGAGGCCTCCCCACTCATGTTTCCTGTACAGACTGTGGAACTGTGAGTGAATGAAACCTCTTTTCTTTATAAATTACCCAGGCTTAGGTAGTTCTTTATAGCAGTGTGAGAATGGACTAATATAAATATATACTTCTAATACATTTAGGCATAATTCTAAGTAAAACTGTTTTAAAATTTTTAAAAATATTTTCAATTGTTCTTTTCTACTTGAACTGGTGATGTCAAAATTTACTACATTTCCAGGAATAATCACATGTAATTTAAATTATTCTCTAATTTGAAATATTTAGGTATTGTAGAAATGGTGGAAAAATTACTCTTTTGACAGGTAGACATTTCTGACACTTCTCAAATCATTTAAGAAACTGACTTTCAATTGACTTAGATATAAGACTGGTTCCAAATAAATGAAAAAATGGTATAGTGGATTCATTACTGAAGGCATTTGGAGCCCTGTGAATTTGAAAATGTCAAAACATATCTAAAAATAATCTTGGGCTATAGCAATGACTAGATGACCCTAATTGCTTATTCAAAGGAAAAAGTTACTAGAAAATGTGTTTTGAACATCAGAGTAGTTCTATCATACCTAAAACTTTGCCTTGGTCTCAAGTATAATTAATTTATAAGAGTCAATTATTTAGTAAATTAAATGATTACACTTCTCATATATCCTTTTCTATATATAGTTATATGAATATTTTCTTACTATTTCAAATTAAGTTCCAGAATTTTAGAAAAGTCTCTTGAGTGTATATTTTTTCCCATTACCTCCCTCAATTATGACAGATTTTATATTGACTTTCAAAATTGTGACAATTAGGGCTGAGAGAAGTGTAGAAACATAGATAGCATTTAAAATTTTAAGCTCCTGTGTCGTGAACTGAAACTCATTTAATATAAGTGTGCCAAACATTCCTCTGTGTGTTTGTTTTTGTGTGCAACAGTTTTACTGTCCTTCAATTGCTATGGGCTTTGAAAATGTATTTTTACAAATATCAAAAAACAAACATTTACTTATGTTGTTTTTCATTTGAATTTAGAAGACTGTTGATATTTTAAATAAAATTATAAACTTGGTTTTAGAGACATCCAAAATTAAATTTTTAAACATACACAATACACAAAAAACACCATGGGTGAATGTGATAATGTGATTGCTAACATTATGTATCAATTTGACTGAACTAAGGGATGCCCAGATAGCCGGTGTATTTGTCCATTCCAACACTGCTATAAAGAACTAGTTGAGACTGGACAATTTATGAAGAAAAGTGGTTTAATTGACTCACGGTTCCACAGGCTATACAGGAAGTATGTGTGGAAGGCCTTAGGAAACTTACAGTCATGGCAGAGCGCAAAGGGAAAGCAAGCACATCTTACCATGATGAAGCAGGAGAGAGACAGAGAGAGAGAGAGAGAGACAAGGGAGAAGTGCTACATACTTTCGAACAATCAGATCTCATGAGAACTCCATCATGAGCACAACAAAGGAGAAGCCTGTACCCATGATTCAATCATTTCCACCAGGCCCTCCTTCAAACTTCAGGATTACAATACAACATCAGATTTGGGTGTGAACACAGAGCCAAACTGGTAAAACACCATTTCCAAGTGTATCCATGGGGGTGATTTTAGAAGATATTAACATTTGAATCTGTACTTTGAGTAAAAAAGATACCCTTGATTAGTGTGAACAGGCATCAGTCAATCTGTTGAGGGCATAAAATAGAATAAAATGATGGAAGAAGGTTGAATTCACTTACTCTATTTGAGTAAGGGCATCCATCTTCTGCCCACAGACTTGAACTAGGACATACACCATTGGCTTCCTTGATTCTCAAGCCTTTGAGCATGAACTGGAATTAAACCACTGATTTCTCTGGGCTTCCAGGTTATAGACAACAGATGAAGGGACTTTTTGGCCTGCATAATCATGTGAGCCAATTCTTCATAATAAATATATTTTTATCTCTCAATAGATAGACAGATGATAGATAGATAGATATCCTGTTGGTTCTTTTTCTCTGGAGAACCATGACAAACTCAGTGAGAATATTAAGAAATCCTTTGTCCAGTTAATATTTTGAAAATAATTCTGCCTATTATTGAAATATGACAATTTTAAATAAATGCTTCTGTGCATTATAAATTTTATTCAAATAATGTTTACATCCTATCTTGTCTCTTTGAGGGCATAGATACAGATATAGAGGCACAGAGACAGGTAAGTAGACGGATATAGATGTATAAATATATTGGTGTATATTATTATTATATACACAAGTTTGACTTCTCTAAGATTTTATAAACATTAAGTACCTAGACATTTTACATGGTTTCCAGAACACTAAGTTTATCCAAAATATAAATGCTTTTCCAGACAAGATGTATTATTTAAAGCCTTCTAATTTTTTGTAGCATAAGGATAAAATAATAAAAATTTTAAATACATTCCTACCTTGTTTTCTCTTACACATCATAAGCATTATGTAGTGTTCTTTATCTAAGTAAAAGAAGTATTAATTCCAAGCTAAATTAGAATTTCATAAATAAAAGTATAATTTCTTCTCATAATTCACATTTCTCACTTTCTCTTTTTTATGACATTTATTCTTACTTTAGAATGACTAAGATGATCTTTATTACATTGTTTTCTAAAAGCCTTTGGTAAACAGGCACCTGAGGTTACCTCATATTTTCCTTTGTGTAATGGATCAGCTTAAATCAGCCTGGAGGTTAATTCATCATTTTTAAGTTATTCTGTAAAACTCATTAACTCACATAGCTCAATACTGCCAGAATATCTTAAAATATTTATTTATAATTCCCACTTGGGTTTCTAGATCCATTGTTTTCTAATATTTTATATTATTTTCTATTAATATCTCTATATAATCCCCTTGAGATTGGCTGTGGGTTTGTCATAGATAGCTCTTATTATTTTGAGATACGTCCCATCAATACCTAATTTATTGAGAGTTTTTAGCATGAAGGGTTGTTGAATTTTGTCAAAGGCCTTTTCTGCATCTATTGAGATAATCATGTGGTTTTTGTCTTTGGTTCTGTTTATATGCTGGATTACATTTATTGATTTGCATATATTGAACCAGCCTTGCAAACCAGGGATGAAGCCCACTTGATCATGGTGGATAAGCTTTTTGATGTGCTGCTGGATTCGGTTTGCCAGTATTTTACTGAGGATTTCTGCATCGATCTTCATCAAGGATATTGGTCTAAAATTCTCTTTTTTGGTTGTGTCTCTGCCCGGCTTTGGTATCAGGATGATGCTGGCCTCATAAAAAGAGTTAGGGAGGATTCCCTCTTTTTCTATTGATTGGAATAGTTTCAGAAGGAATGGTACCAGTTCCTCCTTGTACCTCTGGTAGAATTTGGCTGTGAATCCATCTGGTCCTGGACTCTTTTTGGTTCAAAAATTAATTCAAGATGGATTAAAGACTTAAACGTTAGACCTAAAACCATAAAAACCCTAGAAGAAAACCTAGGCAATACCATTCAGGACATAGGCATGGGCAAGGACTTCATGTCTAAAACACCAAATGCAATGGCAACAAAAGACAAAATTGACAAATGGGATCTCATTAAACTAAAGAGCTTCTGCACAGCAAAAGAAACTACCATCAGAGTCAACAGGCAACCTACAAAATGGGAGAAAATTTTTGCAACCTACTCATCTGACAAAGGGCTAATATCCAGAATCTACAATGAACTCAAACAAATTCACAAGAAAAAAACAAACAACCCCATCAAAAAGTGGGCGAAGGATATGAACAGACACTTCTCAAAAGAAGTCATTTATGCAGCCAAAAAAAACATGAAAAAATACTCACCATCACTGGCCATCAGAGAAATGCAAATCAAAACCACAATGAGATACCATCTCACACCAGTTAGAATGGCAATCATTAAAAAGCCAGGAAACAACAGGTGCTGGAGAGGATGTGGAGAAATAGGAACACTTTTACACTGGTGGTGGGAATGTAAACTAGTTCAACCATTGTGGAAGACAGTGGGGCAATTCCTCAAGGATCTAGAACTAGAAATACCATTTGACCCAGCCATCCCATTACTGGTTATATACCCAAAGGACTATAAATCATGCTGCTATAAAGACACATGCACACGTATGTTTATTGAGGCATTATTCACAATAGCAAAGACTTGGAACCAACCCAAATGTCCAACAATGATAGACTGGATTAAGAATATGTGGCACATATAAACCATGGAATACTATGCAGCCATAAAAAATGATAAGTTCATGTCCTTTGTAGGGACATGGATGAAATTGGAAACCATCATTCTCAGTAAACTATCGCAAGGACAAAAAACCAAACACCGCATGTTCTCACTCATAGGTGGGAATTGAACAATGAGAACACATGGATACAGGAAGTGGAACATGGGGACTGTTGTGGGGTGGGGGGAGGGGGGAGGGATAGCATTAGGAGATATACCTAATGCTAGATGACGAGTTAGTGGGTGCAGCACACCAGCATGGCACATGTATACTTATGTAACTAACCTGCACATTGTGCACATGTACCCTAAACCTTAAAGTGTAATAAAAAAAAAATCCCCTTGAGAAAAACATAACATCCTTCTATATTATTTCTGGATATTTTTTCTGAGTGGGTTGCTTCAGTCTAATTGTAGTTTATTACTCATTTTCTTTCCTTTATGTTATAGTGTTTTTCTCAACTTCTGAAAATATTCTTCACTTGAATTTATCCCTGAATAGTTACATGTAGATATCTTTGTTCCTTTGAAACTTTTTTCTGTTTTAATAAACATAATATTAGTTATTAAGATGTGCTACATTTCTTTGACTCCTATTATCCATTCTTTATCTTGTTAACAATTAAGAGAAGAGGTATTGGTGTTTTTTGTATATGCAACTATAACTATTCTAACATTTACAAAACATTGGGAACAAGACATATAGTTCCTTTTTCTCTTTTGTGTTAAAATATGTGGGCTTTGCTTTTTAAAGGATTTTTAAAGTATTAATTGATTCATAAGAAATATTTGTAACATTTCATTAGTTTGATACTTTTAAGTCCTTGTTTGGAGTTAACATAAGTATTTATGTGTGTATGTGTGTGTATATCTGAGAGAGATAAATAGAGAGAGAAAGAAAGAGAGATTCTAAGTGTCTCTAACTTTGTTTTTAGTTTTCTTTTGCTATATTCTAGCTTTGTGTGTTATAGTCATAGAATAGTGTCTATACTGTGATTTATCAGAATTTTGGAGTGTCTAAAAATGAGATAATTTTTAAAGTGTTACACTTACATAACTTCAAAGAAAGGACAAAACAGAAGTTATAGAGAATGTTATGAAAACATGGGATACAACTACAGCACTGCAGTGGAAATTTGTTTTAAATATTTTCATTTCTAAAAACAAAAAATGAACGCAAATTAATTACATACTTAATTCAAGAAGATAGTTTTAAAAAAACAACCAAATGAACCTAAGAAAATTTGATGAAACTAATTACTAAAGAGAAATACAAACATTAAAAATTAGAAAATAATAAAAAGTTTACAAATAATAAATAAAACCAAATGTTGACTGTTGGCAATAAAAGCAAACCATAAGATTAAAAAAAAACCATTAGTTCACCTAATCAAAAAAACACAAAAAGCAAAAATATGCAAAATGAAAAGAAGCAACATTTTAATTTGATAGGAAAAGAACATTCTTAAATGTACTTATTCTTCATTCAGGGTGAATATGAGATGATAGTCTACTGAAAAGAAACACAATATTCTATAATTATCCAGAACATCAAATAAGATATCTTCTTAAACTCAGTTACATCAAATGCCTCACGTTCTGCAGTGTTTACTTGTATTCATGGCTTAAGGCAATATATAAAGTTGAGACTACAGAGAGAGTCTCAGGAAATGTAATAAAGTGTGGGTCAGATAATGCTAAAGTAAAAAAGTATTAATTTTCCTAAATGTGTAAGAGTCATGTGATTCAGCTGGGATATATCAAGGAAACAATGAACTTAATTATGGGCAGCACTAACCTCCTCACACTTTATCTAGATAGGCTCAGTCCTGGAAGCTGTCGTATGTCTTGAATTTATAATTGCCTTGAATAGGAAAAAACAGCTTTATTTCATTTAAAAATTAAAAGGATAGAAAACACCACTCTATGACTAAGAACAGGGCTCAGCCTGATCTTAACTTGTGTTCCAGAAACCTCCTGGTTTCAGAAGTGAAGAGCTGGAGTGTTGTCAGTGCTTCTGTGAATATATGACATTGCTGTAAATCATATGGCATTAAATACTCCAGAACCAATTGCTCAAGCCATTTAGAAGTCCACGTAATCTAAACAAACTTAGACTGATATTAAGCTGCCCATTTTTCTTCACCCTCTGCCTATAATGAAGAGACCACAAATTCCATTTTGCTGAGTCCCTCCCATGAGGCTGAGGCTGTGTCAGCAAACATCTGCACCTAAAAATAACAACAATAAATAGGTAAACCCTGAGAAATGCTGACAAAAAATTATAAAGCTCATAAAAAATTATCATTAAATGCTGATTTTATTAAAAAATTTAATGCTGATTTAAAAAATGATAATTTTTTAGCAGCAAAGAATGACTGCCCTCCAGTCAACACAAAACTATGCTCAACACATACACACCCACACACAGAGCTAATTAAGAGTAACAGCTTTCAGAACATTTTAGCCTGTGGCTCTATTAAGTATTGGCTACAGCAAGGCATGAGTGCAGAGTGCCTTTTACTTATTTCAGTCATGTAATCATCGGATGGGTTCTTCCTGCCCAGTGCACAGACAAATCAATCCACTGAGACTACAGCATTACAGTAGAGAACTGGTTTAATTGATGTGAGGCTGGCCCACATGAGAGAATTGAAGTTACCACTCATATCATAGCTAGGGAATGGGTGCTCTTTACTGACTGACGATGAAATCATAGGGGTGTGGAAAGTGGTACTCATATGCTGAGTACACCTCTGGGTGGGGCTACAGGATCAGTTGAGTCATGAATCTGGGTGGGAACAGTCTGAAAGGTATCTCAAAAAACCATTTTTAGCTTCTACAATAGTGATGTTATCAATAGGAGTAACTGGTCAAGCCACAAATCTTGTGACCTCTGGCCACATAACTCCTGAGCAGTAAAGGATTATAGACACTATGCCTACATCTTAGCAGAGTCCAGGCCCCTCCCATGATCCTATTCTTGCGACTTTTCATTAGTTTCACAAGGGTGGTTTTGGGTCTCTGAGCAAAGAGAAGAGTAGTTTTAGGAGGGGGTATTATTGTTGTTGTTTTCAAGTTAAACTGTAAACTAAATTCCTCCCAAAGTTAGCTTGGCCTATGCACAAGAATGACCAAGGACAGCTTGGGGGTCAGAAGCAAGATGGAGTCAACTATGTCAGATATCTCTCAGTAGAAAGTTCACAAAAGCAGCTTCACTAGACTGTGAACTTAGGAGAAATATTCCACATGTTGCAAAAGAAATGTTTCAGGTCAAAGCTGAGATAAATATTCAAAAAATAAGTTAATGAAGTCGCCTAGATGAATTCATGGAGCAGAATCAATAGAGGCCCCAAAACAAACAAACAAAAAAAAACAGGTAATACAAAACCTGGATGAATACTGCTGAAGAACTTCTGCCAAGGTGCTTCTGGTAACATTTATATGTTCGAGGTGCTAATGTGTTTATGGTGTTTGAACATTTTCAGTAAGCTACAGCTAAAAAAGTTATTTCTACTCCTGATGGCATGTTGGATCTTTAAAAAAATATTAGTAATGGGTATCAAATCACCACCTTCTGATTTAACTTATCTCCTTGTAGCCTGGGCATCACATTTTAAAATCTGATTTTTTAAAAGTGTCCCAGAGATTTCTAACATGCAGCAAATGTTGAAATTCACTGAGTGACAAAAACACACTTGAATAAATGTACATTCCTACCCATTCCATCCCCCAAAGATTGCAGCTTCTCATCTGTTGCTATACCAAACCAAGTATCAGGATGATAAAAATGGGATTCTTTTATGTTTTAATTATGCTCTAGAAAAGAGATTGGCCTGCCTGCATTTGTAAATAAAAATTTTACGGAACACAACTATGGTTTCTATTTTTCATCTATTGTACTACTATGTTGGAGTTGAGTAACTGCAACAAAGACTGTATGTCAGCAAAACTGATTGGCGCTTTACAGGAAGTTTGCTGACCCCTGACTGATGGGACTAACTGGGCCACTCTTGCTCCTTGCCTATTTTTTATTCATTATCTTCCCTCATCATTGCCAGTAAGCTACAGGAGGGGTAAGAAAAGTTAGATGGGCAGAGAATCTCTACAAATTCATATGTTGAAGCCCTAATCCGCAGTGTGGTTGAATTTGGAGATATGGCCTCTAAGGAAGTAATTATTGTTAAATGAAGTCACAAGAGTGTGGCCTTAATCCAGTAGGATTAGGAGACACCAGAGAAAGCATTCTTTTTCTTTTTTTAAAATTCTTCTCTTCTCCTACCACCCCTACTTCCACCCTCAGCTGCACAACTGCTTGTTACAGGACTGCCAGTTTTCTATGCCCACTGCACAGCAACAGACCAATACACTGACAGCAGGGTTGCAGTAGAGAAAGGGTTTAATAATCACAAGTCACCCAATGAGGAAATGGGAGGAATTCTCAAGCCTCAAATCTGTTCTGTCAAGGGGCTCTGGGCAAGGGTTTTCATGGGGATTTGTGGAGAGTGAGGGGCTGGAAAATTTGAGGTCATCGATTGCTTAGGATAAGGGACATGAAATCATCAAGAAACAGCAACTGCATTTCTTTATGAGTCAGGTTCTTACTAGGCCCTCCAGACCAGCTGGCATCTGTAGTTTTCTTAGTATGAAGAACTTAGGAAAGAAGCTCCAATAGAAGACTTATCATCTCACAATGTCTTAGACTTTATAGAATAGAAAATGAAAAGAGTCTTGTGACAAGGGCCACATTATACTGGAGTAGTGACTCTACAAGTAAGTGAGCCAGAAGGCAAGTTGGCATAATGATTGCTGCTGTGATTAGCTGGATTTTTTTTTCTTAATTGATTTTATAAAATCCTGAGGTGAGGTGGTTTCACACTGAGGTAAGAACTGAGGAAAGATAAGTGAGAAGGAAGCCAACTGCAAGCCAAGAAATGACCCCTCTCCAGAAACCAAATTGGTTTGATGTTGGACTTTCAGCCTCCAGAATTGTGAGAAAATAATATTTCTGTTGTTTAGACCACTCAGTCGATGTTACTTTGTTATGGAAACCTGAGTAGACTAAGACCCAAGTGAAAAGTTAAGAGATAAGCTATAGCCTTCTCAAATTTAAACCCAGAGAAAAAGGAAACATTAGCTTCAGCACAGTTTATTTTATTTTATTTTATTATTATTATACTTTAAGTTTTAGGGTACATGTGCACAATGTGCAGGTTAGTTACATATGTCCATGCTGGTGTGCTGCACCCATTAACTCATCATTTACCATTAGGTATATATCCTAATGCTATCCCTCCCCCCTCCCCTCACCCCACAACAGTCCCCAGAGTGTGATGTTCCCCTTCCTGTGTCCATGTGTTCTCATTGTTCAATTCCCACCTATGAGTGAGAATATGCGGTGTTTGGTTTTTTTGTCCTTGCGATAGTTTACTGAGAATGATGATTTCCAATTTCATCCATGTCCCTACTAAGGACATGAACTCATCATTTTTTATGGCTGCATAGTATTCCATGGTGTATATGTGCCACATTTTCTTAATCCAGTCTATCATTGTTGGACATTTGGCTTGGTTCCAAGTCTTTGCTATTGTGAATAGTGCCGCAATAAACATACGTGTGCATGTGTCTTTATAGCAGCATGATTTATAGTCCTTTGGGTATATACCCAGTAATGGGATGGCTGGGTCAAATGGTATTTCTAGTTCTAGATCCCTGAGGAATCGCCACACTGACTTCCACAATGGTTGAACTAGTTTACAGTCCCACCAACAGTGTAAAAGTGTTCAGTTTTTTTAAAAGGTCAATTTTGAGGGAGGCAGAATAAAGTGGTTTTCTAGTTGGAACTCACCATGGTTTACATTGTGGACATTTGCACAAAGCATTCTCATCACTGTGACACATTTTAAAAGTAATTTTGAACACAAGATAGAGGTTTCCTTTGATGATTACCTGCTTTGTTTCTTCTCCCTTTTTTTCTTTTGTTTTAGTTTTTGATGTCATTGTAGTTGTTTCTATACATTGGGGAAAATGCCTTAATTTACTTCTTAATGTAAATTTGTGACTTGTATATAAACATGTAAAATTTACTACTCATTCCCATTATCTTTGTTCAGTGTTGTAATAAAAACTTACTCCTCTTATGAAGGACTTCTCTTTTCTCTAATTCCCCGCCCTCATCCACATCACAAATTATCAGTAATATTTTACAGAAGTAGTAGAACAAAATATATAACACATACACACAAACACATATATATGTATATTCATAATTCTGAAAAGAAATTACCAAAGTTAATCTTCCCTAAAATTATTGTTCAAAGTTATATGCCTTGAAAAAATTAAAACAACGTGACAAGAAAAGTTTTTCTTTATTATATTCTACTTCTAACTGGGAAGAAAAAAGTCTTGAATTTTTTTAACAAAAATACTTGCTTTTGGGAGATGCTTCTTTTCACCCTTTTTATTATCTTGACTCTAATTAAAAGGAAATTTTACTTTAGCCCTTGGGAAAGTCTGGCTAGCTATGTTAAGAATTTCACATCTACTTATAAATGACTTTTGTCATTTCTTACTTTTTAAAATTCAAATATGTTACATATATTTTATCATGGAAATATTTTAAGTAGTTTGGAAATGAACTGCCACATGGAATTCAAAACCAAGAAGCTTCTGTTGCCTTTTCTTTTTTAAGTACTACAACAACATTTTCTCCAAGTACAATTTTTGTTTTCTGTTTATCTATAGACCAGTATGAGAAATTGTGTTACCAACATCCTTGCTCTCTCCAGAACAAAAGGTAAGCATGCTTACTGGCCGCTATGAAAGATTCAGGTTTCATAAGCTCAGAGTGCTCATATCACACAACTAGTGTTTGCATAGGCATTACTTGGTACACTCCGCATGGAGATTGGGGCTCAGAAAATCAGTAGGAAAAAAAATGATATTCTGGCTACTGCTAATTCTGTAAAAATTAAAATTCTTTATCTCTGACCCAGAAATCATGTCTCTGCTTTCAGCAACCACGAAATTGTGGCAAATTTACTTATCAGATTTCAAGTAGGGTAAACTTTCAGACCTTATACAATTTTTGACAATTTTTATCCTCCAATGAACTAGACTAGCTGTGACAGACAGACACTTAATGTGGCCTGCATTATTGCTGCCTCTTTTTGTTCACACCCTTGTGGAATACCCTTCACTCCATTGAGTATGGGCTCGACTTGGACTTGCTTCAAACTGATAGAATATGGCAAAAGTACATGATTACATATACAATACATAACATAAGATTGCAATATTCATCTTTTGAGTCTCTTCTTGGCTTCCTTTAAGGTAGCAAGGAGCCATATTGAGGAGCCAAAAAATAGCAAGGAATAGCAGTCAACCTCTGAGAGTGAAACATTGAATTTCTCCAACAACCTGAATGAGCCGTGAAGAACACCTTTACCCATCCAAATCTCAGATGAGACTGTGGCCCCAGCCAACCCTTTGATTGCAGTCCTGTGAGATCCTAATCAGAGAACTGCGATAAGCTGGGCCTGGACTCCTGAATCTCAAAAATGGTGATAAAACAAATGCATGTTGCTTTAAGCTGCTAAGCTTGTGGTAATACTGGTATGTAGCAATAGATAAATAATATACTATCTTACCCACAGCATGACCTCAGGGAGGCATTCTAAGGGCATAAAGTGAAAGCTGCATGATCTCTTAATGTCTGGACTCAGAAGTCAAATAACATCCTCCAATTGGTCAAAGCAAGCCAGAATGCCAGCTTATATGCAAGGAGTGAGGAAATAAATTTCAGCTCTTAATGGAAGGAACAGAAAATTACAACTCAGAGGATAGTGGGAGGAACCATTTTAAACATCTTTAAAAACTACTACAGTCTTTTCTGTGATCTCAATAATTCACATCCCTACCACATGCAGAATAAACTCATTCTCCCCTCTCAAGACAAGTCTTGCCAGAAATGGCTTCAGGCTCAACGTCCATCCATGAGATCCATATTAGACTCCTCAAAAAAATTTAAAACTAGGGTTTTTTGTTTTGTTTTATTCCATTTTTGTGGCTTAAAAATAGTGTAAAAGGAAACGTTCCCTGTTAATATAATAGTAGTTAAATACAATCAAAATGACAAAACCTAGATGAGAGCACACCTCTAAATGTAGAAAAACATTATCTCCTATTTCAGCTTTATTCTTTCCCCTTTCTCTCCAAAACTCTCAACTGAGTTTTACTTTGTCTTAAACCTTCCCCCTCAATGTATAACGGCTTTTCCTCTCAATGTATAACACTAGTTCACTCTCCTACTTGTCCTTTAGCCAATAAGAGTTTTTAATCCATCTTTCTTAAAAGTGGCAGCAGTGAAGTTAGCAGCAGGGATATGTAACAGGAGCATATTAGAGGAGAAAGGGATTATATGTTATCATTCTCGTTTGGGAGTATGAATTAACAAAGCATAGATTATTGAAGTTTTTGTTGATACTGTTATCCCTTGTTTCATTTTCTTTAAGTGACATAACTAACATTTTAGGCAGTGGAATTTGTATGTTTTAAATGATGGGCAGGCCTTCTTTACTAAGATATGCTTCCTTTCCACTTGTTAGCTCCCATTCTCACCCACTGATTTTCCTATTGAGGATACAGAAAAAAACTGAAGATTAAGGTTAAATAAGACTGCTAAGTTACTCTAAAGCAGGGGTTGCCAAACTTTTTCTGTAAAGACAGTAAATATTTTAGACTGTGGGCCAAATGTGGTCCACTGCAACTACGTAACTCTACCACTGCAACATGAAAGCAGCCATGAATAATATGGAAACAAATTGGTGGGTTGTTTTACAGAAATCGTATGCAGGCTGGATTTGATCTGCACACTGTAGTTTATAGACCCCTGACTTAGAACAGCACTGTCCTCTCTACCAGTATAATGTGATCCTGCATATCTAACTTTATATTTCATAGTGGCCTCATTTAAAAACTAAACAGAAATAGGTAAAATTAATTTTGAGACTGTTTTCTTTAACCCACTATATCTAAAATATTAACTTTTCAACTTGTAGTCAATAAAATTATTTTATAGTAATTTGTCTATGAGTACTATCTTTTACATGCTTTAAAAATATTTTAAACACTGTCTTTTTAAAAATCTCTACATTTGTTTTTCTTTCTTTTGTACTAACTTCAAAATGTAGTGTGAATTTTATACTTATAGTACATCTCAATTTGGACCAGCCAAACATCACATGTTTAATTACATGTGTCTGTTGGCTATCTTATTGGGCAGAACAACCTTAGACTATGAATAAAGTGAAAACAAATTCATATTACCCAAAACCTATGTCGTTTGCTTTTGCTAGTTTAATTTCTCCTATACCTAAATTAGAAGGTTTAAGTAGATACCTTGATATTCAACAACACTAAAAACCCATAAAGTGTTTTTTTTCTTTTTCCAAAACCACTGTCACCAACCTATAAGGGCATATAGAGAGAGAATATGTTAGTTAAATGATTGTCTTAACTTAGTGATTGGGTATTTTAATTAGATATCCAAGTTACACGGTCACAAAACATAATTTGGATTTCTTGTTGAACATGTAGATTTTCCCTATAGATTATATTTTACAGAACTAAATTTTGGCCTAAAATTTTATCATTAATAAATATTCCATGGTTTTCCTGGAACCCAGACTAGTTTATACAAAGTTGTCTAGTGAAGATAATATGGATATGTATATAAACTAATTTATGTAATAACTTGGAAACTAAAACTATTAACAATTACACAAACAAAAGTGAATAAGAAAAAAGCAGTCCCTGCAAATACAAGTAGCTTTTAGAAATTTTCATCATTTCTCACTCAACAAGCAATTCTCATTTATTTTCCATTTTATCTAATTTATTTTCTCATTTCTTCTTTCTTGGTTTTATTTTTCCCTTTGTTTTCCCATTATTTCTTACATGCTGAACTCTTTTCTTTATATGACCTTCCTCTCACCACCCTCAGAATTTTATTCTCAACTTTTACTCCCATCTTATCTTATTAATAGATTCAGTCTCTCTCTTTTATCCTCCTATTTCCACACGTGGTTCTTGTTCTCCTAGTGCCACTGTATTCCTTATAACATCCCTCCATTTATCTCCAACGATGTCCATAACATAAATCATGACTTCAATAGCCACTTTCAGTTTATCCAGCTCAAAATTCTTCAATAAAACTGACTGAAATAGAGCATGAGATCTCATCAATTTGTCATAGGCTGTTAAAAATGAAACAGACCTTAAAAATATTTCCTGCCCTTACAGATCCCTGATACAGTGCAAAGAATTTTTCACTTATGTGATACATTCCAGAATATTTCCAGTGGATGGGTGACTTGCTGTTTTTTATATCACTCTTCAACAGTTTTAGTGATTTGATGCAATATAAAGCTAAGTGACAAATGTGAAACACCATGGACGTTTTAATTGAAAAGCGGAAACGGACAGCAGTAGACAAAGAAACAGAGAAAAGTAAAGATACGGAGACAGGACCTGTGAGAGGAAAAGAGGAACAGAGACATGAACAAAGAAGCAGACAGAGGAAAATGAGAGGAAAGACACTCAGCAAGAGACAAAGAGAAAAAAACCTGAGAGGAAATACATTAAAATTATATGATTATCTTTGGATGACATGAATATAGGATAATTTCATTTTATAGCCTTCATTTTTCATGTTTTCTACAAATAAGCATACATTACTTTTATAACTAGTTTACACACAGTTCTGTTGACAACTTTGTGCTACAATCTAAAAAATCATATATAATTTTAAATATAATTTAATATTAAGACAAAATAATTTTACCCATACTTATGTAAAAATATGACATTTATCGACATTCTTGGTCTGAAAGATAGGTTCTGGAATCAAGTGTTTTAATATAAATATGAGTTTTAATCTCAAAGCTACTTCAATGAAGGCATAATTAAGCTTTTGCATTAAATCTGGGCTCTCAAATTTCTAAATAGTCTTATTTTCTAAAAGTGTTAGTTTTCACATCATTTCTCCAATAAGTTATCAGAGCCTCTAAATCTTTCCAGTGATGATCAAAATCAAACTTTAAATCTATTCTTCTGGAAAACTCTGAATGATTATTTAAAAAAAACTAGAAATTCTTCTTGAAATGAATTAACATTAACAGAAGGTTAATACTGAATTGCGTGAGGAATATGTGAACTCTCAATGTTGTATTCCAGTCATATTTTACTTCCAACATGCTCCCACTGGCCTTCCTGACTTCTCAGGCAGACTTTTTCAGGGCTGTCCTCTTCTGAACAACTGAATTACCTACATCAACTGTTTAGTCATTTGATAAATATTTTGTTAGCTTTCGCTGTATACCCAGAATTGCTCTAAAAATTTACTATAAAAAGATAATTTATAAGATCTCTGCCTTTAAGATATGCTATAATAATACTTACAATTTAGTGTGATAAAGCCTTTAGCAAAGATAGCAATGAAAGCCTATATCCAATATTACCATGAATCCAGATGAAAATTAATAAATAGTAGGTGTCCAAAAATACATATGCATCAAATTAATAGATAGCGGAGTATGTAATCAATATATTCAGAATATATGTAGAATTATTTCCCCTGTTTTTCACAAATTAAAATGAAATGTTGGCATGAATTAATTCCTTTGGAAATAACTTTATAATGCTATATGCATAAATAATATTGCGGAGATTATGTGAAGCAAAGGGAGAGGAACATTGTTGGGCAAATAATTTAGCAACAGGCAATCTGTAGAACAAATACAAGATTAGTATATCCTTTGAAGATTATGTTAGAATTCTTTCTTTTGGAATTTTATCTGCTCTTTACACCATTTTTTGTCTGTTTGTTTGTTTTCCCGAGATGGAGTCTTGCTCTGTCACCCAGGCTTGGAGTGCAATGGTGCAATCTCAGCTCACTGCAACCTCCGCCTCCAAAACAGCACGGTACTGGTACCAAAACAGAGATATAGACCAGTGGAACAGAACAGAGCCCTCAGAAATAATGCCGCATATCTACAACCATCTGATCTTTGACAAACCTGACAAAAACAAGATTCCCTATTTAATGAATGGTGCTGGGAAAACTGGCTAGCCATATGTAGAAAGCTGAAACTGGATCCCTTCCTTACACCTTATACAAAAATTAATTCAACATGGATTAAAGACTTAAATGTTAGACCTGAAACCATAAAAACCCTAGAAGAAAACCTAGGCATTACCATTCAGGACATAGGCATGGGCAAAGACTTCATGTCTAAAACACCAAATGCAATGGCAACAAAAGCCAAAATTGACAAATGGGATCTCATTAAACTAAAGAGCTTCTGCACAGCAAAAGAAACTACCATCAGAGTCAACAGGCAACCTACAAAATGGGAGAAAATTTTTGCAATCTACTCATCTGACAGAGGGCTAATATCCAGAATCTACAATGAACTCAAACAAATTTACAAGAAAAAAAATCAAACAACCCCATCAAAAAGTGGGCGAAGGATATGAACAGACACTTCTCAAAAGAAGATATTTATGCAGCCAAAAGACACATGAAAAAATGCTCATCATAACTGGCCATCAGAGAAATGCAAATCAAAACCACAATGAGATACCATCTCACACCAGTTAGAATGGCGATCATTAAAAAGTCAGGAAACAACAGGTGCTGGAGAGGATGTGGAGAAATAGGAACACTTTTACACTGTTGGTGGGACAGTAAACTAGGTTCAACCATTGTGGAAGTCAGTGTGGCTATTCCTCAGGGATCTAGAACTAGAAATACCATTTGACCCAGCCATCCCATTACTGGGTATATACCCAAAGGATTATAAATCATGCTGCTATAAAGACACATGCACACGTATGTTTATTGTGGCACTATTTACAATAGCAAAGACTTGGAACCAAGCCAAATGTCCAACAATGATAGACTGAATTAAGAAAATGTGGCACATATACACCATGGAATACTATGCAGCCATAAAAAATGATGAGTTCATGTCCTTTGTAGGGACATGGATGAAGGTGGAAACCATCATTCTCAGCAAACTATCGCAAGGACAAAAAACCAAACACTGCATGTTCTCACTCATAGGTGGGAATTGAACAATGAGAACACATGGACACAGGAAGGGGAACATCACACACCGGGGCCTGTTGTGGGGTGGGGGGAGGGGGGAGGGATAGCATTTGGAGATATACCTAATGTTAAATGACCCTAAAACTTAAAGTATAATAATAATAATAATAATATTTATTATTATTGTATTTATTATTATTATTATTATTATAAATATGAAGGTCTTCCACCAGCTATAAAATACTGCAGTCCAAAGCTACCTTCTTCTACAGTTTGTGGCAAGAACTAACCCTGTCATGGCCAGAACACTGTGAGAAGGGAAAGGAACCATAAATATACAATGTTTCTGGAAGTAAATAATAATCAAATAGGGTTGAACATATACCATTTTACATCATTTTTTGAGTTTCAACTTAATATTTTGTTCTATAATTGTATATAATATTTTACCTATATTCACAATATTATCACAGTCTTCATAATCAGTGTTTTTAGTGTCATAATATTTGATGGAATAGACCAACACCACCTCAAAAGCTATTCTCCAGTTGAGGTGTTTAGATTTTTTTCTGCTTTCTGTTGGCTTACATGTTACTTACGTCAGTAACAATCAGTGTTATGCTACAGTAAAAATATCCTAATGTCAGTAAGTTAAGGTAACAAAAATGTATTTCTTTTTCATACTATGTACATTATCAACATGGTTAGGCGTTAGGCTGTGGACTCTGCTCTACATCCTTCTCCCTCTGGAATCCAGGCTGACTGAGCAAATCTGTCTGGAATGTTGCTGATTGTCATGGTAAAATGAGAGGGAAAAGAAACTCTGAAAGTTTTAATACCAGTAATAAAAATCACAAAACAAGAAATGACATGACATACATCATTTCTGTTTATAACTCATTGGTCAGATTTAAACACTTGATAATATGCAAACAAATGAGCACTGGAATGTATGGTCTTACCACGTGCTTAGAATATTACAATGCTGAGACTTTAATGACCATAAAACTTCACAGCAGCCTGTTTCATCACAAGCCAGGAAGTGTAGGAGGAAAAAAAAAAATGGTTTTATGAGCCAGGCGCAAAGACTTGCTGCTTTGCGCAGTTTCAGGATTTGGTGTCCTGCGTCCCAGCCACTCCAGCTGTGGCTAAAGTGGGCCAAAGTACAGCCTGGGCCTTGGCTACAGAGGATGTCTCTCATGAGGTTGTGGTTAAGCTGTCAGCCATAAATATGGTCTCTGAAAATAAGACTGGGACTATAGGATCCAATCTAAACACCCTCACATGTGTCTTAGCAGGAAGTTATTTTTCTTCACACTATGGGTCATCCCGCAAGACTGTCCATGAACTGGCTTCTTCTAGAAAACTGGAGAAAGAGAAAGACACTGGGAGGAAAGTAATAACTTTCATGATTTGATCTTGTAAGTGACATACCACTACCCTGTATTCTATGGGTCACACAGAACATCCCTGGTACAATTTGAGCAGGGGTTACACAACGATGTATAAAGCCAATAGGTGGAATTATTGAGGGTCATCTTTGGAGGCTAACTACCTCAGCAAAATACGTGAGTTCCCATGAAGAAAGAAGAGTAGATATTGTTGTACAAAAAAGTGGTTTACCTTTTTTCTACACTATAAAGCAGAGTCATCAGCTGAGACTGAGGAAGGCAAGACACTCATTAGAATTTTGTGGCAAGGAAAGAATGTTTAAACGTAAAGCTTCTTAGAGACTGGGAAGAAAATAAAGATCTGTGGTAGGATTGCCATAATATGACCACTCATTCTTGGTCATAAATTAAGGTATGACCAGTTATCATAATGTGTTTTTCTCCAACCATGTTTTGTTGCTTGTTGGTAGGCTCAGTAAAAGTGAACTACTGAATTTAAACAAGGTACAGGTTTTGCAATGAAAATGCAATGGGAAAAAAAGTTATAAGGAAACCAACAGTATTTGCCAATAAACTATTAAATACAATCAAATAATATGTGTCATGGATAAATGCTAGGGAGTAGATATCAAACAACAGAATAATGATCAGAGGATGAGCTACTTGAAAGAAAAGATTTGTAAGCATCTTTACTCGTAAAGCAACTTGTAAGCATCAGTACTTTTTCAAAGAAAGCATTGATGATATATGACCTGTTAAAAGGTATTTGCTATTACACATTGAGGAATTGTTTTCTTTATTAAGGGAAAAAATTAATTTAAAAAAAATTTGTTTGTTTGAAAGGTTGTGACCAAGAAAGCTACTAGGTCCCAAAATAATTTTCACACAAAATTGGGTTAATGTATTGTTTATGTTATATATACACACTGGCCACAATAGACTATATTCTACTCATCATATAACTGATAAATCATAAACAATACAGATTTTATTATTTCAACTTAATCTACTGTTAATATGTACATCACAAATTCAAAAGACATACCTTACTTAATTTCCTATAAATTTATCCTTGACATTGACAAATGAATGTCGATTGGGAATGAAAAATTATGCCACACTAAGGTTATAAATTTTGGTATAATAACATTATACTTTCATCACTTAGTAAATTAAGTAGTCTAACCAAGCTTGAGAATATCTCTGAGAAAACATAGATTTTTATATTACCATATTTCATGTGTGAATGAGGAAGAGACTTTTTCCCTTGTCTTCATAATGATGGAAATTTCTTGACTGACTTCAACACAGAATAAGAAGTAGAATTGCTGGATTCTAGGAAATGCACACGTTTTGTATTGGTAGATACTGCCAAATCATTTTGTCTTTCACTAATTTTACTACTGAATATGGAAACATTAAGTGGTACATAAAAGAATGCCTTGAGTTCTAGTCATGGCTTTCCCTGCTTGCATTATGTAGCAGAGACCTAACTTCCACTTCAGTTCATTTAATCACTCCTTACTTTGTGGATTCAGTGACATGAGAACCCCAAATAGCCAGAGAGCCATATACCTTCAAGTTCATGCCAACCATTGTCGTGTTCCCTGATAAAAGCATTCATCCCTTGCAAAATATCACTATTAATCAAGCTTCAAGAAAGGGAATAAAATTGTTCAAGTGGTTTAATAAGTGAAACAGTAAAATGAATCTCTCCCACTTCCAACCCTTGATTCCAGACCCATATATTCTGACTAGATTTATCCAGTCAAATTTATCTAGTCGAATACAAATACTACAACCCGTAGGACAGAAGCCCAACTTTGCAGGATGCTGTCTCTGAATGGCATAATAAATATCTTCAGTTGGCCACTCTTATGTTATGCAATGCCAGCTGCTTTTAAGTGATAGAGTATAAGGCAGGACCAGTGAATTCTGTTAGCATAAGCTCATTATTTGGTGTACTTTGCTATAACAACCATGTTCAGAAGCAAAGCTGTATGAGGCAACATGATAGTGAATAAATATTTTATAAGTTATCAAGTAGCTGGAAGAAGCATGGTAACCCAAAGAAGTAATACCTTATCTAGATCAAGAGTCTATTTCATTGAAATAAACAACCACTCTTTTCAAATTAAGATGATTTCAATGACATTTAAATTCTATAAGTAGTAGTCAAATTTTGGGTTTAATCCTCAACTGTAACAGAGCTTTTGTTATCTGCTTATGCCTTAGCTGTATAAGACTGGCTACAATTTAAATACCTGACCTATTCATATTTCTTGTATACACTATTTAATAGAGTCAGAATATGATGATTGCTAAATGTCATGGAGGCTCCAAAGGAAGTCAGTGAGTGGCAGAGGGTAATTACTTACCTATGTAGGACAGAGTGTGAAAGCTAGCATACCTCTTTAGTGTCATAGAAAAAGATCTGATATTCAATGCTGCACGTTCTTAGACTCTCCCCCCATCCCTACTCTCCTGGCCACCACAGAAATAAGAGAATGAAGTCACAAATTAACCAATCCATGGGAGTGCTAGACTTTCTGAAGGAGGTAAGGAATTATATATCAGAGGAACTGAAGGATCCAGCCAAAATGTACCAGAAGAAGCTGGCAGAGCATGTGTGGGACTGGATCCTGAGAGTGCTGGATCAAGGAGAATACAACATAAGGCTCTAAAAACCTGATTAGGGAGAGTCTACTGATGTCAAAGCACTCTTCCATGATACAAATGTAAACATCCTGAAAAGTGCTAGCATGCAGCTAGGATGGATCTTGGAAGGTTGGACAAAGTAATGGTCCACAGGTGAATTGGAAATGCCAGTGTAGTCATAGGAGATGGTAGAAGAATGCATGAAAAGACTCAGAGAAGAGGATAAACTACATAAGACTGGAAACCTGATCAGATGGTTATGTTGTTCAAGAGAATTAGAAATTCAAGAAAAAACTTGTTTATCAAAGTAATAAAGAATGTGCTGGTGAGAAAGTCATCAGTACTGTCAAGAAAGTCAGTTGTGTACTCTTTGGACAAGGGATGACTATGAAAGATGCTGTTACCAGACTAGCCTATCTGAAAGCAGTGGAAGGAATAAACTCCTGAAATAACAGAAATCAGGTGACAGTACCTAAAATTCATAAACAAGTTGGGCATAATTACCATAATAGCACCAAAGTTTTGAATAGCAACAAGGGGACCTTATTGGTACGGCATCATGGAGACAGTTAATAGAACATAGCATCTCTAGAGAAAATGTAGATGAAAATCAACAGATGTAATTTTCACTGTGTACAACCAAAATAAATGCAGGATGAAAGATCAAAGGCTTAGTGTAGCCACCACAAAAGAAGTCACTATTCCTTGCCTAATTTCTGCATCTGAGCTAGCTTTCAAGTCCCAAAGTAGGAAGAATCTTACAAAACTGTAAAAAAGAGTATTTGATAAATATTTCCCCAGTCTTCTTCAAAGGGTAAATTTACTAAGAAGAAATGTACTAAGAGTATTTAAAGATCCTAAGGACTGTTGGAGTCCAAGTCAACATTAATATCTAGAACACAAATTTCAGTTACAACGGAAACTTTTGGTGGGCAAGTACTAAAGGTAATCCTGAGCCAGGATCAGTACAGAGTGGAACCACCAGGTCTTAGGACTCACCCAATAGACTTTTAATCAATTTACAAATGTGTAATTGAAATAGACATACTTAGTGCTTGGCAGAATCCCCATATTGTTACCTGGATTATGGGGTAAGTTCTCTCATAGTACAGAAGGCCAATCTGCAGCTTTGAAACTGCTCACCTGTCAAGTCAGTAAGCCAAAAACAATATCACTTCCTGGAGAAAATAGCAGAAATTAATGCAACTCTTAAAGATCTAAAAGGGTGCAGTGGTAGTAGCCCCCATTTTTATTCCCAATAAATTCATGAATTTGTCTACAACAAAAGCCCAGAGAGATCCTGAAGGATAACAATGGATTATCACAAATTCATCCAAGAAGCATTCTCAATTGCAGATTCTTTCTAGAATTACGGATCTTGCTATAGCCTATAACACAACACAAATGCATGGTAGCTCAAAGCTTTTAAGGATGAGGCTATGTATTACCCCACTAAGTAAGACAAATACACCAGCAGAGCTGTTCACATACGGAAAGTAGTAGTGGAAGACGATAATATGTGTCATCATGGCCCAGAAATCACTTGGCAGTGACAGGGCTATAGTTACTCCCACTAATATTATTTCTGTATGTTTCTGTAAGAAACCAGAATGATAAAGGAGATATTTCCAGAAAGAATGAAGTTAATATATAGATCTGAGTAGCGCAAAGGGGGATTGGAAATGTATGTTGCTGAGATGGTATGCTGCTTGGTATCCCTTAGAAGCAAGGTCCTAATTCACCTAGCTGCTAGAAGGATTGCTTTCCAATGGCTCATACCTAACAGCATCCCCAAAGAATTGTCCTTGCCCAAAGATTGCTGCCTTGCCCAAGGTTATGCCCCTTCTGCAAAGGCATCTCACATCCGAGGACTTGCTAATAAGTGAGTACAAACCCTGGCTCCTGCTTCAGAGCTTGCTATGAAATTGGCTGAGGCCTTTGTAGTAACAGTATAGCAGTTAAACTTATTCCTCTGCCTAATCTTACCTTCCTTACTTCCTAATAGAGATCATTCCCTGGAGAACTACTCAGTAAAGTCATACAAACAAATTTCCATTTTGGAGTCTCTTATCTCAGGAACCCAGCCTGAAATAAAGTCTGAGAAAACACCACTCTATTTGGCAGTTGTGAGCATATAGTGACAGTCAAAGGGGGACTCATCTGGTTCTGCTTCTCACAAAGAAAACTAGAGATTGTTAATTTCTCTAGTTTATCAACTGATATAGTCATAAAACTGGATGAATAAATAACAAAATGAAATTCAGGGGTAGGTATTTTTTCTTTCTACCTTAGAAACTATTTCTAAATTCAGGTAAGTTTATAATATTTCTCATATCTACTAAGATAAATTATTTTATTGTCTCCGCTTAGCAGCAACTTTTTAAAAATCAAACTGATAAATGATGCAACTTGTGATTAATCCCCAAAAGATGATCCCCAAAAGAACAGTTTTTTTTAATATTTCTATAGTTAATTCAAAAACTTTGTAACTGATTACTTAGCAAAGCAATTACAACACAAAAAATAAATGCACTTCAGTCTATTCCATCACTATTCACTTATCTTTCCTTTATAAATATGACTTACTGATTCTGAATTTGTCACTATCAAAACAATCCTATCTATATGTATTATATAAAATTGCTATTATATTGCAAAGACAAAATAATATGTTAAGGAGTAAAGTGGTTTTGAAGCAGCATATGAATCACATATTTCAGTTTCATTGAGATATATTCAGAATAAGTCAATGTTTACAATTGAAAGACTAGAAAGAGAAAGTGCAGGGATTTTTTTTTTCATTTTTAATGTACCAACACCATTCAGTTCAGAACAAACGGTTCTGACACAATTGCATATCCACATGCAAAAGAATGAAGATGGTCTCCAAGCACACTTGATACATAAAACTAAATCAAAATGGATCAGAGGCTAAACTTAAGTGCTAAAACTATAAAAACTCATAAAAGGAAGCAGAAGAGTAAATTTCATAACTTTGGATTCAACAATGATGTGTTGTTAGAAACAACACAAAAAAGACAAGCTACAAAATAAAAAGAGAGGTAAATTGAACTTTATCAAAATTAAAATGCTTTGGACTTCAAAGTACATCATCATGAAAGGGTATAGACAACCACGAATCGGAGAAAATATTTGCTCTATTAAAACTAAAGTAAAGGTACTTTGTAAACTTTTTTAAAAATTAAGAATTTGAATAGTATAAAAAGACTAAAAGGTCATTTTTTTACAGAAATACAATATAGGTTAATTTAAAATATGTACATACAAATGGCAAGGTTTCTATTATGTTTCAGCAGAGAGAAACCTAGAAAAAGTAAGAAAAAAAATTGTAGAAGGCTTTATTGAAAATTAGTTGCCTTAAAATTAAAACTCAATAATTTTAACCAACTTCATTGTGACATTTTATTTTAAGGGAATTTTACTTTTTTAGGAACAGAAACTCAGGACACATACCAGAGTGATAAAAAGATTGGCTTTGATCCTTCTCAGCATGCAAAGAAAATTGAAAGCATGTCAAAGTTAAATTGGAGAACATCTAATGAGAAAAAATGTTCTCTGAACTTTGAAAAAAAATCAAAAGTACTTCATATTCTTGTAGGTAGAAATGTTCTGTTTCTGAAAAGCTGATATGAGTGCATAATCTCATAAAGTAATACGAAGTATAAATTATGTCCTGTGAAAATACTGTTTAAAATGACAATTTGAAAATGTAATGAAGTATTAATATATGCTATGACAGAATATTGCTAAACTACAGGTATTCTCTTATATCTAGCTAAAGAACTCTATGACTAATGTACCAAGGAGAAAGTTCTGGCAACGTAATGTGTTCAAATCTCCTGCTTATAATTCCTCCATTGAAATCTGGGCTTGATTGGATACACAATTATAAATCTTATACCATTATCTAACCTTTGTTTTATTGTATCTCATGGTTTACAGAAAGTAGTAACAAAAATAACTCAATTTTCTACCTACAATGTATCTACTTTGTGAAATTTCCAATGATCTTCTTTTAAAATTCTAGTCTCTGGATTCATAAATTATAATATACTAACTGAATTAAAGACATTTAATATAGGAAAATTATCCCAAATCAAAAGGACTGTAGGTTGAAATATTGTAAAGGAAATAAAAAGGGTAATAATCTAAAATATTGTTCGAATATGCAAAACCAAGACATTCACACCTACAGTGTAATTGTACTACAATGTGCCTCTATAATATACTCTAGAAATTACACAAATACATGGCATATCCTGTGGTTCCTTGTAAACTCTGATTTCAATAGCAGGACTAAGATAACCAATTTACACACAGTGGAATGAGCATGAGCCTCACGTGGCTTTTTTTTCTCTCTCTATTAAATGGCACATGTTTATACAGGAATACCTCATGTTATAGTGCTTTACTTTATTGTATTTCACAGATATTGTGGTTGTTACAAATTGACAGGTTGTAGCAACAATGCATTGAGCAAGTCTATTGCATCATTTTTCCAATAGTATGTGCTCATTTCATGTCTCTGTGTCACATGATGGAAATTCTCGCAATTTTTTCATACATTTTCACTATTGTTGTATCTGTTATGGAGATCTGTGATAAATGATATTTGATGTTACTATTGTAGTTGTTTTGGAATGCCACACACTGTTCATGTAAGATAGCAAACTTAATTGATAAACATTTTGTGTGTTCTGACTGCTCTATCAGCCAGTCATTCCCATGTTTCTCTTTCTCTTTTTGGCCCTCCCTATTCCCTGTAACACAACCATATTTAAATTAAGGCAATTAATAACCCTATAATATCCTCTAAATGGTCAAGTAAAAGGAAGCATCTCACATCTTTCACTTTAAATCAAAAGCTAGAAATAGATTAAGCTTAATAATTTCTAGCTTTTCAAAGCTAGCTTTTCTAGCTCTAGAGAGACATATCAAAGCCAAGATAGGCTGAAAGCTAGGCCTTTTGTGCTGAAGAGTTAGGCAAGTTATGAAGGCAAAGGAAAAGTTCTTGAAGGAAAATAAGAGAGTTACTCCAGTGAACACGTGAATGAAAAAAGTAGAACAGTCTTATTGTTGATATGGAGAAAGTTTTAGTGGTATGAACAGATTATCAAACCAGTCACAATATTCTCTTAAGCCAAAGCCTAATCTAGAGCAAGGCCCTAACTCTTCAATTCTATGAAGGCTGAGGAAACTTCAGAAGAAAGTTTGAAGTTTATTCAAACTTTATTCTGCATAGATGGAGTAATTTCAAATTTCAACTCTTATTATTTCAGAATAAGATCTGTCTTGGTGTTTTCAACATGTATCTGGTGAATAATTTATCTTTAATAGTAGCTATGTTCAGAATAGAAGGAAATGGATCAAGGGTAGAGAATATAGAATAGTTAAGGAGAGTCTTCTACAATAGTTCAGGATGATGCCTTTAGACCAAAGTGGTAGCACTGGAAGTAATGAGAAGAAATTTTATTTTAGCAATATTGTGAAAGTAGAGCTAAAGGTGAATTTGGCCAATGGAGTTGAAGTATGAGAAGAAAAGAGGAGTAAAAAATGACCAAGCTTTAGGGTATGAGCAACTGTCACCTGAATAGGGAAAGGATATGGGAGATATAAGTTTGGGTGAGGGAGGATCAATATCAGCAGCTTAGTGTAAAAGATGATAAACCTTATTTGCCTTTTGATACCCAAAGATCATAAGCCACATTTAAGGTTCAAGGTATTAACCCTGAGCTAGTAACAAAATTTTGGTTAGGATCAGCATAGATAATATTTAAAATCTTAAGACTGGATAAGATCACATAGAGAGTGAGAATAGATCGAAAGACTAAGTTTGCAACAAAGCCCTGAACACTCCAGAAGTAATAAATGAGGAAGATGAAAGCAAGCATAACAAGCAAAGGAGACACAGAATAGTTGACCAAAAAAAAAAAAAAAAAAAAAAAATAGCAGGGAAATGAGGTCAGTATTATCAAAGCCAAGAAAGAATTACCAATTGTGTCAAGAGCTACTGAAAGGTCAAGTAAAAGGAGGACTGTGAATTTTCCATAGGAATTGTCAATATAGGAGCCATTGGTATCCCTAATAAGAGTAATTTATAGAGATATGAAGGTCATTTCCTGACTTAAGTGTGTTCAAGAGATTAGTGAGAGTAAGGAGGAAATAAAACTCTGTAAACAGACAAAATTCTTTCAAAAATTTTTTCTGTAATGGACAAGAGGGAAATTGAACCATAATTGGAGGCAAAGTAAAATAATTTATAAAGTTTTTCAGAAGGAAGAAATATCATTACGTTTATATGTTTATTGGAATGACTCAAAATGAAAGGAAAAATTAATGATGTAGGACAGAAAGAGAAGAAAATTCTTGGGGTAATGATCTTGAGTAGGCAAGACAGGATGAGATCCAGTACACAAGTGGAGTGTTTAACTTTAAACCGTAGATAGGAACAGGAAAAATTCGTCTCTGGTAAGAGCAGGAATACAGACACAGGTAGACGGGCAGTTTTGGTGCTGGCAGCTTATAGGAGATACTTTCTGATTCTTTTACTTTCTTCTTCTTTTCCTCCTCCTTATTCTCCTCCTTTTCCTCTGCCTTCTAGGTAGGAAGCATGGTCATTAGCAGAGAGTAAACATGGGGGAGATAGTGTTGGAAGTTTGAGGAGGTAAAGGTGAGAAGCAGGCCTCTTGGAGAATGGTAGAATTAATAATCTGGGAAATTATAGTCTGATTTCCAAGTAACATTACAACTTCACTTGAAATTTATGGTCATGAATCATACAACTAGACAGCATATTTGTGTGTTCCTTCCACGTTGAAGAAGGACAGTGAATTGGGAACTATTATTTTCAAGAAATTATTGGGAGTGCCTTGGGATTTACAAGTGAGATTGTTTAGGTGTAGTTTGATGATATGAGATTTAAAGCTGAACATTTCAGGAAGATGAAAATATGTTATGGAAGTCACAATAAAGAGCAGTTACCTACCATATGTTTAGACCCAGTAACAGAAGGACTATAGGAGAAAATGATTCACCACTTGAGAGCTGCAGGACAAACAATGGCATCATGAAAATGCTGGGTGTCAGAGAATGAATTTTTTAAAATACTATCCCAAAGTGATTGGTGATACAGGAAATTTTGCTGATGACTTATCTTGAGTTTCAGATGGCAGAATGAGAGTTAAGCAATGGGTCAGGATACAGGATGGATCAGAAAAGATTACATACAAGAGCCATATGGGAATGAGTGCCTAAGTTTGAGGAGCAACTTTGGAGTTCAGTGGCGAGCTGGAGTCAGCTCATAAAAGACTCATACTCTAGCAGCTCACAAGAGCCAAGTGTGAAATTTTCAGGAATCTCATGAACCAGTTACTAAATGTGGTCATTATTCAATGTTAACTTATGTAAACTTATAATTAAATAAACCATGTTAAGAGGAGAAAGAATATTCAAAAGTAATTACTTTCCAATAATGTTACTACATTTTACTGTTATCTATACTCTTGAGGGTTATTTACATCTATTTGATCTGTATGATAGGAATATTATACAGTGGTGAGCTACTGCACACTTCTTCCAAACTCTGTGTTCAGTGATGTCGGTTTGGTTGATTAAAACAGACAATAGCAAGAAATTGATAAATGCAACAGATAAGGCTTTATTCATTGTTTTGTTGATTTTCTAGACTTATAAAAATATGGAGTAAAATTTAATACAGGTGTCTTGTATAGTGCTGAAGTGAAAGAGGTTTCAGTTTAATCAACATAATATTTTTGAGGGTGAGAATTAGTTTAACAGTAGAACACATATGAAATACAAAGAAAATAAATTTATTGGATAATGAGTTAAAGGATTGGGAAGCAATTCCATTTGTGAAATCATGTTTGAATGTCAAACAGAGATAGGCTATATGAAAGCATTTGGCAATAATTGACAAAAGCATTCTATGAAAATCAATTAAGTATGTGGAACTTAAAAAGTATTGTGTTTTTATAATTATTTTTAAATTGTGTATTGCATCTCTTTCTTATTAGTAAAATTTTTATAAACTCTGATATCTATATATCAGATATATATACACACACATATGTGTATATATAATAAAGTATATACACTATTTCAGAGAGATTATATATCAGATATATATACACACATATGTGTATATATATAAGTATGTATATATGTATATGTATATATAGATGTATATATATATATATATATATATATACACACACACACACACACACACACACATACACACACACTATTTCAGAGGGCTTATTATGAAGCATTTACCAGCATACCACTGCCTGGAGCTAACATAAATAGGGGTGACTAATGGTACAACAAAATAGTCCTGGTGATTCAAAGCTAGATAGAGGTGACATGGCTATGAGGATGGAAGCTAGGAAATGTAACAAGAGTTTGGCAGGTATGTCAAGCCTTCTGGGGTTAATGATGCTAGTTGAGATTTGTGGTCCTGCAGGTATCAAATAGGGGGTCCTTACTCCTAAAACAGGGCCTTCTTTTGAATTCTGCAAATAATGGCATGCAGAGAGTCGGTCTTGCTCTGAGACAATTTTTTAAAATTAACATTGTAGATAATTTTGTTTTAGGTATTTATCTTCTTTTAGCATATTAATTGGGTTTTGCTTTGTGTTTCATTATAATAGTATGTTTTAAATAGATTTATTTCACCAATTTCTATTTATAAGTATAACATATATTCGGTTTCAGTTCTGTCATCATATTTTATGTTATACTTCATTTTTTATTGATTTTTTAAAAATCTTCCACTAAATGTTTGACATATTCTGTGTTTCTGTTGATATATTTATATTTTTGTTCCAGTGGCTACATTTAAGTATAACTTTTAGAATATATTATTTTGTTATTTTAGTAATATATATTAATTTACTAAGAACAAAGATAAAATTCATATATTTCCACATCTACATATTCTCATTCTCTCTACCACTCAGTTTTAGTTTATTTTTTATTTTAGTGGTTATACTATAAATACAGATAAATTTCTATAATTTGTTGTGTGAGTTTTAATACATATCTTCTAGTTTCTCCTTCTAAAACATGGAGAAATTAGCATATTTACACTGTCTCCCTGGTTCTCTTTCTCCTCCTGTTGATTTTTGTCCTTTTTATCTTTTTTACTCAGCACACACGTTAAAATATGCAACTATATTATAACCATAATACTTATATTAAGTTTTAGCCTTGTCCTATAGTTAAGTGAGTTAGATTATCACCCTCAGACCCTTCAGTGTAGTTTCTCAAGCCATTTCCTGCCTGAACCTCTCCTGCTAATTTAAGACAGGATTATGGAATCTTTATGTATTCGTTAGGATTCCCTAGAAAAATAGACAAAAGAATGAATGAAAGAAAGAAAGAAAGAGAAAGAAAGAGGAAAGAAAGAAAGAAAGAAAGAAAGAGGAAAGAAAGAAAGAAGGAAAGAGGAAAGAAAGAAAGAAGGAAAGAGAAAGAAAGAAAGAAAGAAAGAAAGAAAGAAAGAAAGAAAGAAAGAAAGAAAGAAAGAAAGAAAGAAAGAAAAAAGAAAAGAAAAGAAAGAAAGTAAGTAAGTACAGGAAATTGGCTCACATGATTATGGTAGATGGCAAGTCTAAGATCTGTAGAGCTCATGTCCCATTTAAGTATGAAGGTTGCTGTAGAACCAGGAGAAGCTGACATTCTGGTGCAAAGGCGTTCAGACAGGAGAATTCTCTCTTACTAGGAGGTGGGTCAAATTTTTATTCTACTTAGGCCTTTGATACGAAGAGACACACCCACATTGTAGAGGACAATTTGCCTCATTCAGTCGATTAATTTAAATGTTAATCTCTTATGCAAATAGGGCTAGGATGAAAAAATTTATTTTCTACCTTAGGTCAAATTAATAAAGAGATTGCAGAAAGCATTGAGGCATAACAGAAGTCTCTAAAATTCCTCAGCTTAAATAGTTTTAGCAAAATTCTTATGTTTTATATAGTTAATTGCTTCAAGTATATACCTAAGACCAAGACTACAGTAGGTTACTGCATAGAATTTATAGGTAACTCAATCTTGTAACCTTGCTTTTTGACTTTGGGTTTTGGCTGCTATGTTGCTTAACAGATTTTAAGGGTTGATTGGTGCCTGCTCACTTCCTTCCTGCTGGGTCTGGAACATTTAATTGGTTGTAAGTCTTTTGACTCTAAATCTCGTGGCCATATGGGTCCCACTGAGGAACAGGATGGACCCAGGGAAGGTAGCCACACTACCTCAACCAAAATATGGGACAAAATACAAGTTTGGTCATTGATGCTGCCTCTAACAAATCCAGGCCAATAGGAGGAAAATGACAAATGAAAATATTAATAAAATTAAGCCCTCCAACTGACTGAAAAAGCCTTCCCTTGGCCAAAGGGACCCCAGAGAAATTTTGAAAACTAAGTTCTCAGCCATGATAAGATAGGAGGTCAGGCATGCCTCATTATACCCTCTCCCTCACTAACTGCCATTAGACTTTCTTCTCTAAGGACTAAACAGAAACCAGCCCTTTCAAAAGACTTTCTGCACTGCTGATTTCAACCAACTACCTGATGCTGCTCCTCTCTTTTGTTACAACTGCACAGCATTTTTGCCTGATAAAAGACTACTAGACACAGAGTGGTTCTGGCCAGTCTATGGAGAATGCACAATAAGGATTTTCATGCCTCTGCTTAATCTTTTGACATCAGAGAGTCCAAAACTCCATGCTGGGATCATGCTAACTACCATTTTTTGTACATGGGACCCATGAAGGGGCATGAAGCTCAATTGCATATGAACCTTTCCTTTTTCATAAATATTCACGACTTCTCCTGTAGCTTATTACATATGTATATTTGGGCACCCCATTCTGAGATAAATTCCCAATCCCTTTGCCCCTTTATTGAAGTGTCTGTTTCTGTTTTCTGACTGGAGGCTATGCTTTCCAGCCTGTCAGAATGGCCACGCTGCAGGCTGTAACCCTTTAAGGGAAATAAAGCTCTATTTTCCAAATTTTTTAAAAATAGCTCTTTTAATAAAATAAATATTAATCTCATTCAAAATTACCCAAACAGAAACACCCAGAATTATGTTAGTCTAAATATTGGGGCATCCTGTGGCCCAGTCAAGTGACATATAAAATAAACCATCATAATACTATATTATCTGAATGTTTTCCTGTTCAAATTTTATTTTTGCTGCATTTAAACATTCTTGAATTGCACTGTAGTTCCTACAGGACTATATAAGTATTTGTCCACTTTTCTCTATCTTTGAAAATTATTCTTAGAAAGTATAAGTTCAGCTTGACATTTTCATTTATAAGTGACTTTGCATATTTTTTATGTATACCTCATTTTTTATCTGTAGTGTCCAATAAAATTTTGGCATTGACCACTGGATGCCAATTATTTTCTTAGTATTTTTTGATTCAAGTCTTATTTTATTCTTGCATATTTGTCTTGAGTTATAACTTCCAATACTTTTTTTTCTTATTTTGTTACTTGTTCAGAGATACCGATTTTTCCTATTAGATGGTCATTGTATATTTTCCTTTGATCTTAATCTCTTTTATTGTCTTAAATATATGTTCTCTTTTATTTCATTGTGCTTGAATTTATCAGTCCTGTGTTCTGTCCTGAGAATGAAAAAAACTGGTTCTATAACTGACAGCTAGTAACAGAGAACTAAATATGGTCTTCCCCATGCAACATAAAAAATGGCCATGACAATGACTGTGATAGAGAAAGATAAAAACAATACTATTTCATAATTATATCTGAATGCCAAGAAAACAAAAGGACACTCTAGTGGACTAAATAGTACCTTCTTATTCTAATCCCTATAACCTGTAAATGTTACTTTATTTGGAAAAGAAAAAAGGTCTTTGCAGATGAGATTAAGATAAGGATCTTGAGATGAGAAAATTATCATGGACTATCCAGATGAGTCTAAAATGTCATCTCGTGTATTTGTATAAGAGAGATAGAGGAGATTTGACACAGGAACACAGAGGAGAAGGCAGTGTGAAGATGATATTTGGTAGATATTTGAGTGTTGTGGCCACAAGCCAAGGACTGCCAGTAGCCACCATAAATTAGAAGAGGCAGAGCCTCTGGAGAGAGGAAGCACAATTCTACTGACATCTAGATTTTAGCTGAGTGAAACTGATTTTGGATTTGTGGCTACCAGAACTGTAGGAAAATAAATTTCTGTTGGTTTGAACTAACAAATCTGTTGCAGCAACCACAAGAAATGAATGCTGATCCTTCCCAAAACAAGACAAAAAAGCCAAAAAGCTCTCTCTCCTGGGTAAATTGAGTGACAACTGCTTCACTACTAATGATAACTGTGGCCTCACCTTCCTTTCTTCCACCCCCTAAATAAAAAATTAAGATACATTATTATCCTATAGTACCAAAACCCAGAACAATTGAGCCTCCAGGAACCCTCTCTAAAATCACTGAACATGAGCCCAAATTCTATAACAAGTACCCCCACACACA
This sequence comes from Homo sapiens, assembly GCF_000001405.40. Lineage (NCBI taxonomy): Eukaryota > Metazoa > Chordata > Mammalia > Primates > Hominidae > Homo > Homo sapiens. The sequence goes on from NC_000002.12 coordinate 186,006,908, forward strand.
CCTCATTCCATTCTGAGTTGCTCCAGTCTTTCCAGTTGTGTGCATACACTGCCTTGCTACAATGATTAACAAGAAGAACTTTGTTAGACTACATGACTATATTTGGTAGTTGTTGCATCTTTACTATGTTTTCACTGTATCTATAATTCTTTGATCATTTCTGTAACTGTCTCTGTTTCTCTCTGTTTCTCTCTTTCTCTCTCTCTCTCTCTCTCTCTCTCTCCCTCCCTCCCTCTCTCTGTTTTCACAGTTACAGGTACTTATTAGTCTTGTGGAAGAGTTAGTTTGATTTCTGTACTTTATTATTTTGTTTTCTTTTGAACAGGAATTTTTTAATAGTGAAGTGTGTAACTTCATCTTTATAACACCATGTAAAACCTGACAGTCCTAAGAAACATCTTGAGTAATTTCTCTTTCCTTTCAAATACCGTAACATGTTCTATATAGCAAACTACTTTTTACTGTTACTCTATTTACTCATATACATGCCCTCTTCTCCACTAAACAATAACCACCTTGAAGGCAGAGAACTTTTGTTTAATATTTATATAATATTCACTCCATATCTATCTATATAGTCACTTAGGATAGCAGTTGGAACTAAGTAAGCTCCCCTAAATTAATTAATTTCATCACCAATTCAGCAAATGTTTAATAAGTGTCAGACACTGTGCAGGATGCTATAAATAACAAAATGAAGTAGACATGCCTCAGTCTTTAAGGAACATAGTCTAATAAAATAACAAGGATATTAAAAGTGTGATACAATACTTCAGATGCTATGAAAGATGCATATATGAAATAGGTCTTCAAAGAAAAGTGGCAAACAGGTGGGACAGGTGTGGTGACTCATGCCTATAATCCCAGCATTTTTGGAGTCCAAGGCAGGAGGATTACTTGAGCTCAAGAGTTCTATACCAGCTAGGGCAACATAGTGAGACCCTGTCTCTCCAAAAAACAAAATGTAGTCAGGAGAGGTGGAGCATGCCTGTGGTCTTAGCTACTTAGGAGGCTGAGGCAGGAGGATCACTGTTGGGAACAAGCCCCCCAAAATCTGGCCATAAACTGGCCCCAAAACTGGCCATAAACAAAATCTCTGCAGCACTGTGACATGTTCATGATGGCCATAACGCCCATGCTGGAAGGTTGTGGGTTTACCGGAATGAGGGCAAGGAACACCTGGCCTGCCCAGGGTGGAAAACTGCTTAAAGGCATTCTTAAGCCACAGACAATTGCATGAGCAATTTGTGCCTTAAGGACACGCTCCTGCTGCAGTTAACTAGCCCAACCTATTCCTTTAATTCGGCCCATCCCTTCATTTCCCATAAGGGATACTTTTAGTTAATTTAATATCTATAGAAGCAATGCTAATGACTGGCTTGCTGTTAATAAATACGTGGCTAAATCTCTGTTCGGGGCTGTCAGCTCTGAAGGCTGTGAGAGCCCTGATTTCCCACTTCACACCTCTATATTTCTGTGTGTGTGTCTTTAATTCCTCTAGCACCACTGGGTTAGGGTCTCCCCGACCAAGTCGATCTCGGCAGATCACTTGAGCCCAGATGTTCAAGACCAGAGCAAGCTATGATTGTACCACTGCACCCCAGTCTAGGTGATGGAATGAGATGCTATACATATTTTAAAATATTAAAAATTAAGAAATTAAAAAGTTAGAGAAAGAAAAAAAACTATCAAGCTCTATAGGAACAAGAGATGAGACTTCATAGATGTGACACATGACCTAAGAACATAATGACATGTAGACATCTTTAAATAAAGAGGTTTTCCAAAGACAAAACACAAAGAAATAAAACCAAGGTACTTTGAGGAATTATTCTTTTATCAATAGAATTTTGTCATATGTTGCATGAGGGGCATTCTATGTGTTAGGCCATACAGTTAAGCAAAAAAAACAGACTGATGATGAAGGCCTTTATGTACCACACTATGCAATTTGTACCTCATTGAGAAGAACCATTGAAATGTTTGGCATGGAAGTAAATTATCAAGTTTAAATATTATGATCAATCCAAGGCACTTATGAGGACAGAATGGAAGAAATAAAGATTGTAGATCACTTTATAAACTTTCACATTATTCAAGCAAGAGACAGAAATAATCTTAAATAAGATGGTAGCAATAGCAATATTATCTTTACCAATATTCCTAGACCTGGTTTCCATCACAGACTGAATGTTTGTGTTCCCCTAGATTCAAATGTTTAAACTCTAAACTCCAGTTGACTGTATTTGGAGATGAGGCCTCTATAGGAGTAATTGAAGTTAAATGAGATCATAAGGTTGAGGCTCTGATCCAATAGGATTAATGTCCTTATAGGAAGAGACATCAAAGGGCATGCTTGCTCTCAGTAAGCACTAAAAGAAGTTTTGCAAGCACACAGCAATATGGCAGCAGTCTATAACACAAAAGAAGAGGCCTCAGAATGAAACCGACCTGGCTGGCACATTGACCTTGATCTTCCCAGCATCCCAAATTGTGAGAAACAAATATCTGTTGTATAACCCACCCAGACTGTGGCATTTTGCTATGAAGCCCAAGCTGACTAATACAGTCTTCCATTGGCTACAGAGATGGTGGGGAAGAGGGGGAAGGGAGAAGCAGGAAATGAAGACAAAAAGAAAAGAAGGAATTCCTCGACACAAAGATTGAATAACAATGCATTGCACCCTCAGGTGCAGGATGAACCCAGGTGAATAGGTTCTGGAGTGGACCCCCAGCAAACTTCAGCAGCCCTATGGAAGAGGGGCCTGATTGTTAAAAGAAAAACAATCAAACAGAAAGCAACAACAACAACAGCATCAACAAAAAAGTCCCCACAAAAACCCCATCCAAAGGTTAGCAACCTCGAAGATGAAGCTAGATAAACTCATTAAGATGAGAACGAATCAATGAAAAAAATGCTGAAAACTCAAAAGAACAGAGTGCCTCTTTTCCTCCAAATATTCACAACACCTCTCCAGCAAGAGCACAGAAGTGGGTGGAGGCTGAGATGGATGAATTGACAGAAGTAAGTTACAGAAGGTGGATAATAACAAATTTTGCTGAGCTACAGGAGCATGTTCTAACCCAATGCAAAGAAGTTAAGAACTTTATAAAACATTACAGGAGATTTTAACCAGAATAACCAGTTTAGAGAGGAACACAAATAACCTGATGGAGCTGAAAAACACAACATGAGAACTTCACAATGCAACCACAAGTATTAATAACCAAATCTACTAAGCAGAGTAAAGAATTTTATAGCTTGAAGATTATCTTGCTGAAATAAGACAGGCAGACAAGATTAGAGAAACAAGAATGAAAAGAAAAGAACGAAATCTCCAAGAACTATGGGATTATGTAAAAAGACCAAACCTATGACTGATTGCAGTACCTGAAAGAGATGGGGTGAATGGAACCAAGCTGGAAAACATACTTCAGGGTATCATCCAGGAGAACTTCCCCAACCTAACAAGACAGGCAGACATTCAAATTCAGGAAACCCAGAGGACCCCAATAAGATACTCCATGAGAAGATCAACCCAAAGACACATAATCTATCAGATTCTCCAAGGTTGAAATGAAGGAAAAAATGTTAAGGGCAGCCAGAAAGAAAGGCCAGGTCACCTACAAAGGGAAGCCCATAAGACTAACAGTGAAGCACTCAGCAGAAACTCGATAAGCCAGAAGAGATTGGAGGCTAATATTCAACATTCTTAAACAAAAGAATTTCCAGCCCAGAATTTCATATCTGGCCAAACTAAACTTCATAAGTGAAGGAGAAATAAAATCTTTTTCAGACAAGCACATGCTGAGGAAATTCATCACCAGCAATCCTGCCTTGCAAGAGCTTCTGAAGGAAGCACTTAATATGGAAAGAAAAAAAAAAAAAAAAGAAACCATTACCAGCCACTGCAAAAACACACTGAAGTACACAGATCAATGACACTATGAAGCAACTACATCAACAAGTTTGCAAAATAAATAGCTAGCATCATGATGACAGGATCAAATTCACACATAACAATATTAACCTTAAATGTAAATGAGTTAAATGCCTGAATTGAAAGGCACAGAGTGGCAAGTTGGATAAAGAGTCAAAATCCATCAGTGTGCTGTATTCAAGAGACCCATCTCAAATGCAAAGACACACACAGGCTCAAAATAAAGGGATGAAGAAAAATTTACCAAGATAATGGAAAGCAGAAAAAAGCAGGGGTTGCAATCCTAGTTTCTGAAAAAACAGGCTTTAAACCAACAAAGATTTAAAAAGACAAATAAATGCATTACATGATGGCAAAGGGATCAATTCAACAAGAAGAGCTAACTGTCTTACATATGCACCCAATATAGGAGCATCTAGATTCATAAAATAAGTTCTTAGAGACCTACGAGGAGACTTAGACTTCCACACAATAATAGTGGGAGACTTTAACACCCCACTGTCAATATTAGACAGATCATTGAGACAGAAAATTAACAAGGATATTCAGGACTTTAACTCAGCTCTGAATCAAGTGGACATGACAGATAGCTACAGAACTCTCCATCCCAAAACAACAGAACAAACAGACAGCTCAGTGCCACATGGCACTTACTCTAAAATCAACCACGTAATTGGAAGTAAAACACTTATCAGGTATGTAAAATAGCTGACATCATAGCAAACAGTCTCTCAGACCACAACACAATCAAATTAGAACTCAAAATTTTAAAACTCACCCAATACCACACAACTACACATAAATTGAACAATCTTCTCTTGAGTGCCTCCTGGGTAAATAATGAAATTAAGGCAGAAATCAAGTTTTTTGATACCAGTGAGAACAAAGAGACAACATACCAGAATCTCTGGGACACAGCTAAAGCAGTGTTCACAGGAAAATTTATTGCACTGGATACCAACATCAAAAAGCTAGACAGATCTCCAATTAACACCCTAACATCACAACTAAAAGAACTAGAGAACCAAGAGCAAACAAACCCCAAGGTTAGCAGAAGACAAGAAATACCCAAGATCAGAGCGTAATTGAAAGAGATAGAGACACGAAGAACCTTTCAAAAAATTAATGAATCCAAGAGCTGATTTTTTTTAAAAAATATAATAAAATATATAGTCTGCTAAAACAGATAGAATAAAGAAAAAAGAAAGAAGAATAAAATAGACACAACAAATGATATAGGGGATATAACCACTGACTCCACAGAAATATAAACAACCATCAGAGAATACTATAAACACGTCTATGCAAATAAACTAGAAAACTGAGAAGAAATGGATAAATTCCTGGGCACATACACCCTCTCAAGACTGAACCTGGAAGCAGTTGAATTCCTCAATAGAACAACAACGAGTTCTGAAATTGAGGCAGTAATAAATAACCTACCAACCAAAACAAAAGCCCAGGACCAGATGGATTGAGAGCTGAATTCTACCAGAGGTACAAAGAGAGCTGGTACCATTTCTTCTGAAACTATTCCAAGCAACTAAAAGGAGAGACTCCACCCTAACTAATTTTATGAGGCCAGCAACATCCTAATACCAAAAACTGGCAGAGATACAATGAAAAAAGAAAACTTCAAACCAATATCCCTGATGAACATCAATGTGAAAATATTCAATAAAATACTGGCAATGTGAATTCAGCAGCATATCAAAAAGCTTATCTATGATGATCAAATTGGCTTCATCTCAGGATGCAAGCCTGGTTCAACATACACAAATCAATAAATGTAAATCATCACATAAACAGAACTAAAGAAAAACCACATGATTATCTCAATAGAAGCAGAAAAGGCCTTTGATAAAATTCAACATACCTTCATGGTAAAAACTCTCAATAAATTAAATATTAATGGAACATACCTCAAAATAATTAGTGCCATTTATGGCAAACCCACAGCCAATATTATACTGAATGGACAAAAGTTGGAAGCATTCATCTTGAAAACCAGCACAAGAAAATGATGCCCTCTCTCACTACTCCTATTCAACATAGTATGGGAATTTCTGGCCAAAACAATCAGGCAAGAAAAAGAAATAAAGGATATTCAAATAGGAAGAGAGGAAGTCAAACCAGCTCTGTTCACAGGTGACATGATCCTGTATCTAGAAAACCCCATAATCTCAGCCCAAAAGCTTCTTAAGCTGATAAGCAACTTCAGCAAAGTCTCAGGATACAAAATCAATGTGCAAAAATTATAAACATTCCCATACACCAATGATAGACAAGCAGAGAGCCAAATCATGAATGAACTACCATTCGCAATTGCTACAAAGAGAATAAAATACCTAGAAATATAGCTAACAAAGGAAGTCAAGGATCTCATCAAGAAGAACTATAAATCACTGCTCACAGAAATAAGAGAGGACACAAACAAATGGTAAAACATTTCGTCTCATGGATAAGAAGAATAAATATCGTGAAAATGGCCATAGTGCCCAAGGTAATTTATAGATTCATTGCTATTCCCATTAAAATACCATTGACATTCTTCACAGAATTAGAAAAAAAATACTTTTAAATTCATGTAGAACCAAAAAAGACCCTTTATAGCCAAAACAATTCTAAGCAAAAAGAATAAAGCTGCAGGCATCACACTACCTGACTTCAAACTATACTACAAAGCTACAGTAACCAAACAGCATGGTACCAGTAAAAAAAAAACAGATACATAGACCAATGAAACAGAATAGAGATCTCAGAAATAAGACTGTGCATCTACAAGCATTTGATCTTCAACAAACCCGAAAAAAGCAAGCAATGGGGAAAGGATTCTCAAAACTGGAAAATTGAAACTGGATCCCTTCCTTACACCTTATACAAAAATTAACTCAAGATAGATTAAAGACTTAAATGTAAAACTCTAAACTATAAAAACCCTAGAAGAAAATCTAGGGAATATGATTTAGGAATAGGCACAGGCAAATATTTCATGACGAAAACACCCAAAGTGATTGCAAAAAAAGCAAAAATTTACAAATGGGATCTCATTAAACTAAAGAGCTTCTGGACAGAAAAACAAAACTATCATCAGAGTAAACAGACAATCTACAGAATGAGAGATAATTTTTGCAATCTATCCATCTGATAAAAGTCTAATATCCAGAATCTACAGGGAACTTAAACCAATTTACAAGAAAAATACAACCTCATTAAAAAGTGGACAAAGGACATGAACAGACACTTCTCAAAAGAAGACATTCATGTGGCCAACAAACATATGAAAAAAAGTTCAACATAACTGGTCATTAGAAAAATGCAAATCAAAACCACAATGAGATACCATCTCACACCAGTCAGAATAGTGATTATTAAAAAGTAAAGAAACAACAGATACCGGTGAGGCTATGGAGAGATAGAAACACTTTTACACTGTTGGTAGGAATGTAAATTAGTTCAACCATTGTGGAAGACAGTGTGATGATTCCTGAAAGACCTAGAACCAGAAATACCATTTGACCCAGCAATCCCATTATTGAGTATATGCCCAAGGGAATATAAATCATTCTATTATAAAGACACATGCATGTGTATGTTTATTGCGGCACTATTTACAATAGCAAAGGCATGGATTCAACACAAGTGCCCATCAATGATAGACTGGATAAAGAAAATGTGGTACATATACACCATGGAATACTATGCAGCCATAAAAAACAACAAGATCATGTTCTTTGCAGGGACATGGATGGAGCTGGAAGCCATTATCCTCAGTAAACTAAAACAGAAACAGAAAATCAAACACCACGTGTTCTCACTTATAACTGGGAGCTGAACAATGAGAACACATGGGCACAGAGAGGGGAACAACACACACTGGGCCCTGTTAGGGGTGTGGGGGGAGAGAGAGCATCAGGATAAATAGCTAATGCATGTGGGACTTAATACCTAGGTAATGGATTGATACGTGCAGCAAACCATCATGGTACACATTTACTTATGTAACAAACCTGCATATCCTGCACATGTATCCCAGAACTTAAAATAAAATATTTTAAAAAAAAATGCATTGAAAAAATTCAAAATATATTTGCAAGTGTCCCATGCCAATATAAAATACTTTGTAATGATAAGCTTGTATATGTCTTATGAAATCAGTTAGAATGAACATCCTAATATTCACATTTATATAATTTGATATAAAATAGTCACAGGATACATATTATTAATTTTGAAATTCTAGTTTTAAAATTTATGATCTGTTTAAAGTACTTCACTTTATTTCTGAGGTCTGGGATCTTATTTAGTTGATAATATCTCTGAATTATCTGAGTACCATGAGCCTGTGTAGCTTATTCTGCTGCCTCTAATGTTGCTGTTGCTGTTTTGAATATGGAATGAGTGTGGTGAGTGGATTTCTTCAACCATTTACTACCATAGAACCTCTAGATATTTCCACCAAATAAATAGTAGAGAACAAAATAAAATAAATCAAGTGTATTTTTACAGCTACATTCACATCTATTAGACAGAGTCTTTCATAGAAATTTTATGAAAGAGCATCATAATCCTCACACTTGTCACAACACACAGTCTAAACAGGCAACCTCTATTCACTCTAGGACAATATCTAAGGGACGGTGTGAAGGATATTGCAGGCATGCACACACACACACACACACACACACACACACACACACACACAAGTTTACAAATAGAGGTTTACCTTTTAGGTAGTTAGAGAGGGCCAGTAAAGAAGTCACACACTTTCAGCCTAATCAGTAATTAGTTCAAATCCAATAGAAATGACATCTGAAATTGTAATCTTAGAAACAAGATTCTTCTGAAAGATAACTTTGGAATGCACCAAAAATCAATTTTTCAATTTAGAAATGTTGCTTTTTCACTAACTCTTCAGTCATTACACATTGTATTTCTTTATGTCTATATCTGGAAAAACCTTTGTAGCCACAGGTAAAATTAAACGTGGAAATTGTCACTTTACCTTGATTTAATAAATGTATTCAATTGTTTTAATGACATAAAATAACGTGGTTTGTCTTCGACTACACAGTCTTGACAACAGGGAATTCATGTGTGTACTTAGCAAAATGAGGTACAGATAATGACAATGTGAAACCAACAATTTTCAAAATCCCTAGTGGTATTGACAAGAGTTATTATCTTTGTGGATTCTTAGAGTTTATGTCTCTAAACAGCTTTGGGAAGTGAGCAACCAAAATGTAGAAAAGAATCCTGCATCACCATAAGAACAAGTATGAAAATAAGGAGGTATTAGGAACGTTGAAGAATTTAGCAATGTATATAAAACCTCATCCTTTGTTTTCCCTTTCAGCTTTTCTCTCCCACCCTCACCCACTTTTATCTCCTTCTCTACCCGCCTTTTTCTGCCCCCCACCCCCCACCGCCACCATACACACACAGTGTGCAGTCTTTCTGTTATCATCATCTGCTCCTCACTGGCAGTAAAATAAAGAGGATAAAATTACTGGATTCTTACAGAGAACCCAGCCTTTGAAAATATCCCTTCTCAACATCTGGTTTCACTAGTTCTTCCGTCACTCAATCTATAAGTGAACATGATTTTCTGAAAAGTCATCAAGAATCAAACAGAATATTTTAAGCATCTTGCAACCAGGGACCACATTTATCCTGCTTAATTTTTATTCCCTGCCGAGTAGGACACCTGCTATGAGCTCAGTAAATGTTTGTTGTTTAACCAAATTATCCAGTGATTCTGAATCATAGCCATGCCTTTATAAAGGACATTGTAGATTTGTCTTCCCAGCTTCTTCACACCAATCCAGCCCCTTTGCCCTCATACCACCCATGGTAGGAGCAGTAATAATTGTAAAATATGGTTATATGCTAAGATTTGATACCTGATCCAAACTCAGCAAATGAGCTCTTCCCCTAAGTAACTTACAGTCAGAACTAAGGGATTCAGGCCAGGCACGGTGTAATCCCAGCACTCTGGGAGGCTGAGGTGGGTGGATTACTTGAGGTCAAGAGTTTGAGACAAGCCTGGCCAACAAAGTGAAACCCTGTGTCTACTAAAAATACAAAAATTAGCTGGGCGTGGTCGTGGGCACCTGTAATCCCAGGTACTCAGCAAGCTGAGGCAGGAGAATCGCCTGAACTCAGGAGGCAGAGGTTGCAGTGAGCCGAGATTGCGCCATTACACTCTAGCCTGGGAGACAGTAAAGGATTCAAGAGTAAGTCTGACTGCTTTATTGTGATGAGACCACGTAAACCCGGAAGCTGAGAAAGATAGGATGCTTACATTTAAAGGTAGAGAAGACTGAAGCTGGCTTGCAAAGACAGAAAGGGGACCAGAAAGGAGACTGCAAGAGAAGCCCTCTATGGAGCACCTTCAATGGACTCTGGCCACATCCCTACTCTGTTTCTATAAGAGACCTTTTTATGCTTAAAATAATTTCATCTTTTACAAGGTAGTGCATGATAAGTTTTTTATTTATAACCTAAAGAGTGTTAATTAATTCAGTCCCACTATCGTCTGTGAAGATTTTTCAAAATGAAAATGAGAGGCCACCCCAGGAGATTCAGACTCAGTTTGAAACTCAGTATGAATGGGTAAGGATGCTGGCCTCTCTCACCATACGTTTTAAAGCTTCATAGATCACTGAGATGCTTAACCAGGGTTGAAAACCACTGACCTGTATTACGTATGTAGGAAAATACAAAGAAAAGGAAGACAGTGGCTTGGTGCTCCAGAGATTTTGGATTTCATTAATTGTATTGGACATGCACGTGTAAATAACACTTAAGTAAGTTTTGAAAGAATGCATCAAATTTTTGAACAAGTTTTGTTTAGAAGTATTGAATAAATAGGGAAGAAACATGATATTGGAATTAGACCAAACTGCTTCCCTTGGAAAAGTGTGTTTATTTCCATTTCAAATGGATCTTTCAGTACAATATATTAGAAAACTTTAACCTCTTAAAAATGTAAAAATAATGTCAATTTAGGTTAAATGACACAATTTAATTAGGTTAAAAGAATGGTTCAAAACATTCAAATCATGAAAATAAATTGTAAATTAAGATTAGCTTCTTGAAACGTTAAGATTATAAAACTGAAAATTTCATTTGACTTATTACCAGATGAATTCATCCTATGTTAATTCCGTGTATCTGCTCTGGGCCATTTTTCTATGAATTATATGCTATTCATCATCCTGACATTACTAAAATAGCATAAACTTCTATTGATAAAGATACTGCATTTAAATGTCATTGCTGATATTCTCTTCATATTTCTATGTACATCAGAAGAGATGTACATAGTTCTGAATAGGTGAATATTCAGAATATTCATCTGAATATGTGAAAAGTTCTGAATATGTGAATAATACGTTGGCCAACGTACATTTGATCTCAGAGACAAAAATACAGATTATTTTTCCATTAGAGTAACTTATGTATTCCTCATAACAGATCTTGTTTATGAGAAAACATGCATAAAAATATTATTGACAAGCCTAGAACTATAGAGGGCTCTCAACTCTAGGCCACTCATTTTCACTTAAGCCTTTATTTAAACATTCATCTTTATTTTCCATAGTGGAAAACACACACATTCCTTCTAGTTGATAAGAAAAAGAGTCATTCTTTTGCTTTTCTTTAATTCTGCTTTATAGCTCTGAATTATAGTGTTTTAAATAAACTATGATCACTCAAAAAATTTCTCCTTCAGAAAGATGTTATAACAGTTTATACATTTCAATCAAGCTATAAAACCTGAATGTAAACCTAATTAACTACTATTAGCTGGGAAACAGAAGGTAGACGTATACCTTCCAAATTGAGGAGGAGTTACTGGTTTTCAGGACTTGGTCCTCACCTTTACAGTACAGAAATTAGATGTTCATTTGATGAGTATTTTTTTAAGTTTACCAGACAGATGCATTACTATTTTTCTGAACTGCCTATTCAGTTTTATTTTCTTGTCCCATTTTTCTATTGCAGTGGTCATCATTTTTATTGATGTATAATAATATTGTATCATAAATCTTCATAATATGTGCTTCCAAAGTTTTTTCTAATTTTTCACTAACCTTTGATTTGGTATTTAATTTTTAGTTGTCAGAAGTTTTTAATATTTGTATCATCAAAGCTATCAGGTTATTAAAATTGACTTCTCATTTAGACATACTACGATTTTTTTTTAGGTAACAGAAATAAATATGTATCAAAAAAAAACCAGAGCATAGCAAAGCTGGCTATGTCCAATGGCAATAGGATCGGTCACCTTTCTTAGCTCTTGACAGCATGTACATGTACCTTCATTCATGAAGTTCTCTCTTTAGCTTCCAGGATAATATCTTCCGGATTTCTTGTTTCCTCTTTTGCCCCTCTTTTTCTATCTGCTTCATAGGCCCATCATGCATTACTTGCATATTTGTTGCAATTCTTCAAGATTTAGTGATAATACCTCTTCTGATTTTATTTTTTACTCTCAACCTTGGATACCTCATTCATGCTAATAAATTTAACTGCTCTCTATAGTCCATTGGTTGCTCACATTTTTATATCCCCAACTTGGATCACTCCTCTGATCTCTGTGTATGTTCAACTGCCTACTTGACACATGTACTTGTAAACCACTAAGGTACCTGAAACTCAACATGTGCAAAACTAAGTGCCTTATTCCCTCTCTTCCTGCGTGATGCTCTTCTAATATTAACTAATACAATGATAACTATCAATATATCATGCAATTCTGAAATTTAGAAGCCATATTTGACATCACACTTTCCTTTATGTCTATATCCAATGCATTATGAAGTGGTGCATAACAAACCCAAGTGGTATGATTCTACCTCTTGGGTTCACCTATTTCCCTTGCTGTTGTAAATTGACAATTTATAATTATATGGATTTATGGGGCAAAAAGTGATGTCATGATTTACAAATATATTGAGAAATAATTAAATCAAGCTAGTTAACATATTCATCACTTCAAACAGTTAAAATTTTCTGGGATGAGAACATTAAAAATTTATTCTTTTAGCAGTTTTGAAATGTACTGCAATGTGTTATTAACTATATTCACCATGCTGTGCAATAGAACTCAAGAAGAAAAACATATCCTTTCTGTCTCTGAGATTCTGTGCCCTTTGACTACTATTTCTTCATTCTCCCATGCCCCTGCTTTGTGTAATCACCATTCTACTTTCTGCTTCTATGAGTTTAATTGTTTTAGATTCTACATATAAGTGAGATTATGTGGTATTTTCTTTTTGCCTGGCTTATTTCATTTAGTATAATGCTCTCCAATTCTGTTCATGTTGCTACGTATAACAGAATATTCTTTTTAAGCCTGAATAGCATTTTATTGTGTATATATACATTTTCTTTCTTCATTCATCTGTTGATGGACACGTAGATTGATTCCCTTTCTTGGCTGTAGTGAATAATGCTATAGAGAACATAGAGTGCAGACATCTCCATCTCTTTGACAAACTGATTTTAAAACTTGTGAGTAAATACCCAGAAGTGGGATTGCTGGATTATATGCCAATTCTATTTTTAGTTTTTTTGAAAAACCTCCATACACAGTTCTCCATAAGGCCCACACCAATTTACATTTCACCAAGCGTATGAGGCTTCCCTTTTCTCCACATCTTGCTAACACTTATTTTTCATCTTTTGTTAATAACCATTCTGACAAATGTGAGATGATATCTCATTGTGGTTTAAATTTGCATTTGCGTAGTGATTAGTGATGTTGAACATTTTTGTATATATTTGTTGGCCATTTGTATGTCTTCCTTTGAGAAATGTCTGTTCGAGTCTTTTGCCCCTTTCTTAATTGGGTTTTTTGTTTTTTGCTGTTGAGTTGAGTTACTTGCATTTTTTTGCACATTAACCCCTTATCATATGAATGGCTTACACATATTTTCTGACAATCCACAGGCTGTCTTTGAATGTTGTTGTTTCCTTTGGTGTGCAGAAATTTTAGTTTGATGTAATCCTATTTGTCTATTTATCCTTTTGTTGCATGCGTGTTTTGGGTGATATCCAAAAATAATTTCATGGCCCAAAGTTGTGTGAATTTTCACTGATGTTTTCCTCTATTAGCTTTAAAGGTTCCGGTGCCATGTTTAAGTGTTTAATCCATTTTGGTTTGTTTTTTGTATATGGTGTGAGATGAGGATCCAATTTTATTCTCCTGCATGTGGATATTTAGTGTTCCCAAGACCATTTATTGAAGAGACTGTCTTTTTCCCTTTGCATATTCTTGGCATCTTTGTTAAAAATTAATTGACTGTACATACATGGGTTTATTTCTGGGGTCACTATTTTGTTCAATTGGTTAATATATCTATTTTTTTTTTTTGCCAGTACCATGCTGTTTTAATTGCTTCAGCTTTGTAGTATAGTTTGAAATTAGATAGTGTAATGCCTCCAGCTTTGTTCTTCTTGCTCATGGTTGCCTTCTTTATTCACGGATTTTTAGTTCCATGTGAATTTTACGGTTGTTTTTTTCTATAGCTATGAAAAATTACACTGGAATTTGGATAAGCACTGCACTGAATCTGTAGATCTCTTTGGATTGTACAGACATTTTATTATAAAAATATGCAATTCTTCCAGTCCATGAGCATGAGATACTTTTCTGTTTATTTGCTTCTTATTGAATTTCCTTTATTGATATTTTATGGTTCAATGTACTAGTCTTTCACATTTTTGGTTACATTTATTCTTAACTATTTTATTTCTTTGTAGCTATTTTATAAATGAAATTGACCTTTGATTTTTTTCAGAAAATTTGCCATTAGTTTTTAGAAACACTGCTGACTTTTGTATGTTGATTTTGTATTCTGCAATTTTACAGTATTAATTTAGTTCTAACAGATTTGAGGTGAAACCTGTAGGGTGTTCTACATTTTCTATACATAAGATAATGTCCTCAGCAAAGGCAGTTTCACTTCTTTTCCTATTTGAGTGCCTTATTTCTTTCTCTTACATAAAATTGCTCTGGCAAGAACTTTTAATACTATGTTGAATAGAAGTGGCAAGAGTAAGCTTTCCTTGTTTCAGATTTTAGAGAAATCTAAAAAGAACTTCAACTTTTGAACATTGAGTATAATGTTAGCTGTTGGCTTCTCCTATATGGTCTTTATTGTATCACTGTATATTCCTTCTATACCTAATTTGGTGAGAGCTTTTATCACGCAAGGATGTTGAATTTTGTCAAAGCTTTTTATGCATCTAATTAGATGATCGTATGATTTTTGTTCTTCATTTTGTTATTGTGATGTATCACAATTACTGATTTGCATATATTTCAACAATCGTTGCATCACAGGGATAAATCCTACTCGATCATGGTGGAAGATCCTTCCACCATGTGTTGTTGAATTTGGTTTGCTAGTATTTTGTTAAGGATTTTTGTATCTATATTTATCACGAAGATTGGCCTACAGTTTTCTTTTTTTGTAATGTCCTTGTCTGGCTTTGGTATCAGGGTAATGCTGGCTTCATTAAAAAAGGTTGCAAGCATTCCTCCTCTTTGATATGTCAGAAAAATTTGAGGATTGGTATTCGTTCTTTTTTAAATGTTTGATAGAATTCTGCTGTGAAGGCATCAGGTCCTGGGCTTTTCTTTGAAGGTAGACATTTTATCACTGATTTAATTTCCTTGCTTGTTATGGGAAATCTCTATTGAGACCTACTTCTTCATGATTTAGTCTTAGTAGGTTATATGTGTCTAGAAATTTATTTCTTCTGGGTTATTTAATTTTTTAGTGCATAATTGTTCATAGTAGTCCACTATATTTTTTTGTATTTCTGTGGTATCAATTATAATGTTTCCTTTTCCATTTCTGATTTTGTGCCCACTTTAGTTTAGCTAAAGGTTTTCAATTTTGTTTATCTTTTCAAAAACCAATCAATCATTTTGAGAATCTTTTGTATTTTTTTCTAGTGTCTATTTCACATATTTCTGCTCTGATCTTTATTATTTCTTTCCTTCTGCTTATGTACGTTTGGTTTGTTCTTTTTCCAGTTCCTTGAGGTGTAACATTACGTTATTTATTTGAGATCTTCTTTTTCGATGGGTCCATGTATTCCTAAAGACTTTTCTCTTAGAGCTGCTTTTGCTGTATTTCATAGGTTTGGTATGCTGTGTTTCCATTTTCAATTGTTGCAAATATTTTAATTTTTCTTTTAATTTGTTCACTGACCAACTGGTTGTTCAGGAGCACGTTGTTTAATTTCTGGATATTTATGAATTTTCTGAAATTCCTCCTGATTGATTTCTAGTTTCAAACTGAAAATATATTTGATATAATTTCTATCTTTCTTAATTTTACTGAGGCTTGTTTTGTTTTCTAACATATGATCTATCCTGGAGAATATTCCATATGCAATTGAGAAAAATGTGCATTCTGTTGTTGGATTGAATATTCTGTATATATCTACAAGTCTTTTTAGAGTTAGATTACTACCTTTCTCTGTTCTCATCTTAACATCATCATGATGGACATTTTATTTCATGATCAATGTATTTCTCTCATCAATAATTTTTAATCAGTACTTCTTACCAATATAATTAATTCTTAATTTTTATGCACTGTATCACATATTTGAGATGATTACTAAGTATGTGTTAGAAAAAGGTTAGAGATAACTCTCTTATAAACTATTAATGGAAAATGGATTTCATAACTTTGCTTTCTTGCATCACAACTTACTTAGAAAATATATATTTTCTGGTTGTCAGCTCCTATGTGATAATTGTGCGATGCCACATAATTATAATCTCCAAGACAGTTTCTAACTCTATTTCATATACTTCAGAAAATCATGCTAAGCATCTAGCAATCATCACTGAAAATATTTAATAAGACCCTGTAGGAATTTACTTAGATGCATTCATTATGTGTAACAAAACAAAAATACTTATTACTCTGAATTAAATGTTGCTTTCTACATGCATTTTTACTGAATGTAATTTTTCAAATCAATTTATTTTAATGACTTTGAATAACCTATTACTGGCTTATGGACAATCATAAGCAAGTAAGTCAGAAATATGAGATTGTTATTACATTTGACATGTGACTCTGTTTGGGGCACTTTTAATAAAAGAAACTCACCTGCATTTTTATGCCTGTGCTGACATTCAATAGTGCCAATTAAATGGGCTGCCTATGCTAAAGCTTATGAATATTATCATAACATTAAATGGTAAAAATATGAATGATTATATGAAATAACTCTCTATGGTCAGAGTAATAATAATGACAACTAGACTTTTCCAATTAAAAATAATAATTCATTGTTCAAAGTAATTAGATGAAATCGGACTAAGTCTGGAAGTGATAAAATGTGATATCTCACAACAGCCATCTAAAAGGCTAGTAAAAAATTCAATACGAGAGATAGACAACTTAACAAAATTTAAAGAAAGAACTTAGAGCCAAAAGCACTAATCAATTGACCTCAGACAAGTCACTTAACCTCTCTGAGTCTGATATTTCACATGTAAATGAGCTAACAACGACAACCTTCTAAGATAATATCTATGAGATAATTATACACTAGTGTGTGTGCACAAATGTAAACGTTCTCATATACTTAAAAGTTATTATAATGCTCACCTTTCCATGGTAAATTTGCCTGCAAGATGAACCAGTCAACCTTTTACTACTGACTTGTTCTAAAATATTGAAGTATCTGATACAAGCTGAATATCACCTTCAAGGTGGGTCTATTCTGATCATTCTATTTTAAACAGCAACTCAATAAATGTATCCCATACCTCACACTCACAATGTACTTTGCTTTGCTTTGCTTTTTTATTCCATAGCACTTATTAGCATGCATCCATTTTTCTACATTTCATTTTTCTTTTCTCCTTCCTTCATTACAGTGTAAGTTCTGAATGATGAATGCAAAAACAATTGCCTATATTATGCAGACTTGGGAATAATATTTGCCACACAGTAGGCACTCAGCAAGTGTTTGTTAAATAAATGAATTAATAAACTTTATACTTGGACTCTTAAACGTCTTTATTCCCCTACTTTGCTCCAAAGAGTTACTTATAAAAGCCTCTAAAAGTAACCTCTCATTCCAGTTGCATGAAGTCCTATTGAACCAAAGGACATTCCTCTAAGGCTAGTTTATTTGTCTATTCCTTCCCATTCTTTCCATGTCTAATTTTAGTAAAGTTGGTAAGTCAGTTATTATATATCATTTCATTCTACTTTCCAAGAAAACAAACAGATGTTTTATCTAATCCTGTGGGAGTGATTTTGTGAATCAATGACTGATTTCTTTTTCTTAGAACTTTTTGTTGTAACAGAGAAATAGGTGGTCATAATGTCTGTTGAATTTAACAAGTACAAATCATGGAATAAAAATAGAGTAATTTAAATTATAGGATAAAATGGCATGCTGGGTTAATTATGGATGCTCTTATTCTAAAACTTATAATGACTTTATTTTTCATCTCCTATTCTTGGAAACATATATTTTGGTTAATTTGAGATGGAACAGAACAGAGCCCTCAGAAATAACGCCACATATCTACAACTATCTGATCTTTGACAAACCTGAGAAAAACAAGCATTGGGGAAAGGATTCCCTGTTTAATAAATGGTGCTGGGAAAACTGGCTAGCCATATGTAGAAAGCTGAAACTGGATCCCTTCCTTACACCTTATACAAAAATCAATTCAAGATGGATTAAAGACTTAAATGTTAGACCTAAAACCATAAAAACCCTAGAAGAAAACCTGGGCATTACCATTCAGGACATAGGCATGGGCAAGGACTTCATGTCTAAAACACCAAAAGCAATGGCAACAAAAGCCAAAATTGACAAATGGGATCTCATTAAACTAAAGAGCTTCTGCACAGCAAAAGAAACTACCATCAGAGTCAACAGGCAACCTACAGAATGGGAGAAAATTTTCACAACCTACTCATCTGACAAAGGGCTAATATCCAGAATCTACAATGAACTCAAACAAATTTATAAGAAAAAAACAACCCCATCAAAAAGTGGGCGAA
This sequence comes from Homo sapiens, assembly GCF_000001405.40. NCBI lineage: Eukaryota > Metazoa > Chordata > Mammalia > Primates > Hominidae > Homo > Homo sapiens. Next base: position 186,025,917 of record NC_000002.12, read on the forward strand.
GAACATGAACAGACATTTCTCAAAAGAAGACATTTATGCAGCCAAAAAACACATGAAAAAATGCTCACCATCGCTGGCCATCAGAGAAATGCAAATCAAAACCACAATGAGACACCATCTCACACCAGTTAGAATGGCAATCATTCAAAAGTCAGGAAACAACAGGTGCTGGAGAGGATGTGGAGAAATAGGAACACTTTTACACTGTTGGTGGGAATGTAAACTAGTTCAACCATTGTGAAAGTCAGTGTGGCGATTCCTCAGGGATCTAGAACTAGAAATACCATTTGACCCAGCCATCCCATTACTGGGCATATACCCAAAGGACTATAAATCACGCTGCTATAAAGACACATGCACACGTATGTTTATTGTGGCATTATTCACAATAGCAAAGACTTGGAACCAACCCAAATGTCCAACAATGATAGACTGGATTAAGAAAATGTGGCACATATACACCATGGAATACTATGCAGCCATAAAAAATGATGAGTTCATGTCCTTTGTAGGGACATGGATGAAATTGGAAATCATCATTCTCAGTAAACTATCGCAAGAACAAGAAACCAAACACCGCATATTCTCACTCACAGGTGGGAATTGAACAATGAGAACACATGGACACAGGAAGGGGAACATCACAATCAGGGGACTGTTGTGGGGTGGGGGGAGGGGGGAGGGATAGCATTGGGAGATATACCTAATGCTAGATGACGAGTTAGTGGGTGCAGCGCACCAGCATGGCACATATATACATATGTAACTAACTTGCACATTGTGCACATGTACCCTAAAACTTAAGGTATAATAATAATAAATTAATTTAAAAAAAAGAGATGGCTATTTTAGAGGATTTGAGGTAATATAAATTGGCATAGAAGAGTTCCTGGGACAAAAATTTAGTCTGTAAGTCATTTTGTGGGAGCTATTCAATGATAATGATAACATTAAAATAAGTTTATTCTGGGAATGTAAAAGTCTCTAGGTATAAAACAGATTGACTATAGACTATGATAGCTTTGGAGTGGCAATGAGCAAAAAAATATAGTCAGTTCCAAGCATATATTAACCACAAGTCAGTACTAAGCCTTCAAAATGCATCTGAAGACAGAAAAATCCTCAAACTTCCAAGGGTCTTCCAAAATCTTAATTGTCTCTGAAAGTAGGCCCAAAAGATGTTCTTAAAAACTATACATATGTACCCTCAGGATCTCTCTTCAGGCAGGTAAAAATATTTAAATAAAATGAAAATACATTTTTAATTAAAAAAAGAACACAAGTAATACAAGAAAAAAACAATTACAAAGAGAACCAAAGATCCGGCACTTAGCCTAGTCTTATATTAGAAATTGATTCAGATTACACTTTAAATAATTGTCTCAGAATATGACTAGTTTTTATTAAAAATTATTGAGTTAATTAATATGAATATTAATATAACAACTAAACTTAAAATTTATTTTAAATTAGATTAGTGCCTATCTTTTCTAAATGTTTCAATGTAAATACATATATTGTGATTGGGCAGCCAGAAGCTAGAATTCTAACTCAACTCGTTGGCAATAAGAAAGATCTGATACTCTGCATAGTGAAATATGATACCAGCAACTCAAGATTTTGTTAAAGATTTCAAAAATCCATGTTTTTTCTATTGTTCTCCTTAGCCACTCTCACAGTGTTTTCTCTGCTAGTTTTCTTCATGGCCATAGAAAAGCTTCCACATCCCCAAGTAGATTAGACAGCATACAGAAAATAAGACAGTTCTATATATTCCTTTATGTCCCTTACTAAGAGTTAGGAAATAATGCTTGGAAACCAGTCATTGCACATCACCTCATATCTTGTTCAGAGAAGTGTCATATGCCTATTCAAAATACAATTCTTGGCAAAGGGAATCAGGTTATATTTACATTAAGTATGGGGTCATACTATGTCTTTCAATAGTTGAATGTATAGTTAAATGGGGGTACATCCAGACAACTGAACATTATTCATCACTACCAAGAAAAGAACAATTTAGCCATAAAAAATACAGGGAGAAATCTTAATGACGTATTATTAAGTGAAAGAGGCCTATCTGAAAAGGGCCTCTTTCATACATACTGCACAAGACAGTCTGATAAAGATGCTAGGGACAAGGTAAAAAGATCAATGGTTGCCAGGGGTCAAGGGAAGGAGAAGTGAGTAGGCAGAGTTTAGAGGATTTTTAGGGTAGTGAAACTACTCTGTAGGATACTATAATACATGTCATTACACATTCATCAAAATCCACAGGAAGGACAACACCAAGGAGTGAACCTTAAACTATGGTCTTTGGGTAATAATAATGTGTCAATATAGGTTCATTGATTGCAACAAATGTACCACTCTGGCGCAGGATATTGATAGTGAGGGAGGGGAGCTGTGCATGTCTGAGGTTAATGGGTATACAGGATCTTTTGTACTTTCTGTTCAGTTTTGCTGTGAACCTAAAACTGCCCTAAAGAATGTACTGTTGTTTTAAAAAGCAAGTTGCACAGAGATATTTTAAAAATAAACTCTACAGACAGAGAACTACAATTTCAAATCATAAAGAGGAAGTCCGATCATGTAATACTTTGGGTAAATAAGTCAAAATCATCATTTAAAATTGATACAGAAAGTGAGACCTTAAAATGCTGATTAAAAAAATTATTTTCCAAGTCGAATTATCAGTAGATGTTTTCTGCTTTTTAAAAATATAGGCATCATAGTAAGTTCATCAACACTGGTTCCAATAGATTTGATCTTTCTTTTTCTCTTGTTCCTAAGAGGCTTGAAGTCTTTATATAAATTGGTTTTGTAAAATTTGGAAAGCTAATTCCTTTTGTATTGACTCTCAATGAACCTATTGTTGAAACCTGCAGATTCTGAAGAGTGTGCCCTTTTCTTTGCATGATGCATAACACTTCATTATTTCACCATATCAGATTTTTCTCATAAAGAGATAATTAATGAACAATGATATATGATTATACCAAATAATTCTAGATTTAAAAATTAAGAAAAATGACTAATAACTTAATTCCATGAAGTTGAATACATACAACATATTTAGTTAGTGAGACATTTATCTGACGTCTTGGAGGACAGGGCACTGTACTAGGGGCCGTTTGACAATGTAAGATGAAGAAAAGGTGTAAGCATCAGGAAACCGCACATATAAGGAAATAACATTTAGAAAATTTACTAACAACACTGTGCCTGTTCTTTAGCCACTAACAATTTAGAAAAAAAAGGTAGGAGGGGCTTTATATTTTTCATCTGTTTTTGACCACATGACAAGTATTGCTTTTTGTCTGCAGATATGTAATAAAGGGAAGCAAAAGGGGAAAGGGAACAATTTCAAAAGGATAATAAAAGACAAAATCAGTAATTGTTTATACAACTTTGGTAGATAAAGGGTTATGTATTTAGATTACTATTTATATCATCATGGTTAAAACTATTTGGATGTAAATATATAAATCAAGGCTAGTCATTAAATTACAGCAAACCCTCAGTGATACTTAGGATTTTTCATCACCTGGAACTAGAGAAAACCAATAAAGGATATTCATAACCAATGTGGAGAGATACCTTGCAATTTCTGTGATCCTTGCTAGCTAATATGTTGTAGCCATGCATAAAAATTACAAATTGGCCTTTGACCAAAACTGGGACTTAGTAAGCTTATTTTTGTTATAGTCTTAAGAAATCTTTTCTTTAATCTTTGTGAAATTATTTTTATTGCTGTATTTTCCATCACATCTAGTCAAATTATTTTGCTTGTAATATTATTTATCATTCTTTGCTACATCTTTTCCTATTATTTTTACTAAGTAAATTTGTTTCTCCTCAAAAGCTCAACAGAAATTATATTTATTTTCCATTTTTATTCTGATGTATCAAAATGCATTTTATATGTTTATAGTGATGATTCTGGGTTTCACACTTGAGTAATATTTCTGAATATTTAAGTATGTATTTATATAACATTTTAAAATGTGACATTAAATTAAAAACAATCCATGAGACATTTAATGGAATACTTCAACTAATATGCATACTAATGTAAATTGTAAACATTAAATTTAAATATAAAATTATTTATAGCAAAAAATAAGAAATAATATAAATCAATTTTCTCAGGGCTGAATAACCTTATTCTGAAAGAATAAACTTGTTTCCACAATATATAATTGACAATAAAGTATAGTATGTATACCTGAATACCATAAAAATGTACAATTACTTCAAAACAAATTTAAAAACTGGGAGTAGAAACATTGAAAACAGAATTTATTTATGGTGATTTACTTGTAATTATAATATTTATTACTGTATATTCATGGTTTTATATGGATATAACCAGGATTATTTATGTTAACCATGACTGTATCAAAATAGATATATTATCAATTTATTTATGTTGTTTTTGTTTTCGTTTTTGTTTTTTTTGAGACGGAGTCTCGCTCTGTCGCCCAGGCTGGAGTGCAGTGGCATGATCTCGGCTCACTGCAAGCTTCGCCTCCCGGGTTCACGCCATTCTCCTGCCTCAGCCTCCTGATTAGCTGGGACTACAGGCGCCCGCCACCACGCCTGGCTAATTTTGTTTTTGTGTTTTTAGTAGAGACGGGGTTTTACCGTGTTAGCCAGGATGGTCTCGATCTCCTGACCACGTGATCCGCCCACCTCGGCCTCCCAAAGTGCTGGGATTATAGGCGTGAGCCACTGCGCCAGGCCTACGTTCTTTTAAAAATACATACATACAAAAGAACAGGAAAATACTGTGTAAACCTCTCAGAAAGAATAACTACTACTATAGAGTAAATTTAATGTATTTCTTTTTGTATAGCTATTATTTTTGGTGCATTTGAAAGTAAATTTCAGATACCCAAATATTTGTAAATAATTTAGCACACATCTCCAATAAATAGGGATATTACATATTCTAAAAGAACATATCAAAAGAAAACATCAAAAATATTAACTTAATTCATAATATGTTTTAATTCATTCTATATTCAGAATTCTCTAATTCTTACCCAAATTTCCCTCATAGCTATTTTTGGTAAACCAAGATGAAATCCACTTTCAAGAATTATATTTGTTATTGTATTCTGGTCTTTCTGCATTTGAGATTAGCCCTTGCATGTACACACCCACACAAACTTTTTGTTTATTTGTTTTGTAAGGCCATCGTTTTTTGAAGGCTACAATCTATTATTTTTCTGATTGTTTACACATAGTATTGTTTACACATAGTATTGTTTAATATGTTCCTCTATCAGGTAACTTGAACTAGAATTTTGGTATAAAATCTTGCTTTGATTCAAGATAAATATTTTTTGTATGACTACTTCATCAGTGATGTGGAATAGTCCATATTGCATCAAATCAGGAGGCACAGTGTCAATCATATATTATCTGTTATGATTTGTTAAACACATTAAATAATATTGAGAACACTATAGTATGTGTGTGTCAGGTGAGATACAATGAGGAAGTGAAACCAAAATACATTAAAAAAAAAAAGAAGTTTATTATTCCCAGGTCCAGAGTGGGTACAGGTGTTGACAGGAGGCCAATGGGAAGTCTGGAGACAAGAGTGTACTTGACCAGTGTGTAGAGAGAGGGATAGAGAGCAAGAACCAGTAAGACGTCTTTATTATAATCCACAGGTACTATTCTTTAGGCTTTCCCATGGGGCTGTGGATAGGCTAGCTTAAAGAAAACACATGAAGGGACGTCTTATTCACATGACTGGTGTTGATCATTAGTTTTCACTGTGGCCAGCAGCTGTGGCATGTGTTGAATTTGGGGTCAGTGAGATGGGGAACAACAGGGCTATATCACAAATAACCACTAAAGGAGGGAAAATTTTAATAAAACCAAAGGTGACAGGGCATGACTGGTCACCTTGACCATGACAAGCCAAAACTGGATGCTGAAGCAGCAACTATATTAGACAAATTTATGACACAAAATAATGTTCATCCCTATGCCTAGAGTTTGACTGTTTTACACTTATTACCTTCTGAAATAAAAAACAGTCCCTAAAACATTAAATCTCTGCTAGATGTTCCTTGATTCCTCCACAGTTGTCTCCAATGTGCTTGGATATAATGCTCTGCTTTTGTTTCAGGTTTTCAAACTTCAGATCTTACATAATGTCTATGTTCTGAAAGTTACTGCGAAGAGCTACTTTGCTATCACCACTCCTACCCTCTGTGAAGGGGTGAACAGCTACCCACCCAGGTGTACCCATAACCATAACAGTTTCAGGTTACCACACTATACTTTAGTTCTCACTGCACTAACAAACCATGCCGCAGTGGCATAATGACCAAAGAAAATGTTCCACTCCCAGATTCTGTGTGGCTTGGTCACTGAAGTCATGCTGCTTATACATAAATCTCAAAGTGTTTTCAGGTATCTGTCTACTTTCATCCTCCCCATTAGACCAAGTTACTGGAACTAGGAAAGCAAATAAATAGCACTTCCCTGTGTTTTCTGGTCTTTCCTATCTTTCTAGTATGTGCTTCCTTCATCCAACATTCTCTCACATGTCATCACAATACCTCTTGTGAATAAATGCCTAGAGTGTCACCAGCCTCATAGTCAGTTTCAGTTCATCATGCTGGTTGGAGTCAGATTGATCTAGATTCAAAATTGAACTAAGCCACTTACTATAATCTTGGACAAGTTCCTTAACTTTTCTGAGTTTCAGTTCCTTATCTCAAGAAAAATGGAAATATCATTACATATACCACAGAATTTTGGGGGCTTAATACAAACAATGCACATAAATCATTTAGCTCAGTACCAGGCACATGAAATGTGTCAGTAAATATTACTAATTATTTATTGTGACATAAAAACCATTACCCACCCATGTAATTTCTTCCAGTGATTTCTTAATTCCTCCAAAATTATTTGACATATCATTAGGTACAATACTCTGTTTTTGCTTTTTTTTTTTTTTAACGTTCCAGATACCGCATAATGTCTAATTCTGAGGAAATTAAACTGCAGCTAGAACTAAAGAAAATGCTCAATTTCCTAAAAGCCAAACACTTGGTGGTATGTTATTTCTAGCCTCATTTAAGAAGAAAGACCTATGCAATTCAGCATAATATTATAGATATACTTTTGTCGCTTCCAGCAAAGTCTCAAAGTTGTCAATCATGGCCTCGTACATCAGTAAGACAGCTCTCCAGAGACATTACACAAGGCAAATCTTTTAATATTTTATCAGCTGCTGTTGATAGGAGGCAATTCAGCTTAGTGAGTCTTTTTATTACTTCCTTTCATTTATTCTTGAGAAGCTTTTATCTCTGTTTATTGATTGCCACCTTTTAAATTTTTATTTAACATCACTAAGCATAGAAATATGATTAATACATTTGATTAAAATTGTTAGTAGAAAATTACTTTAAATGAGCTTTCACAAATTTAATGTACTAATTTTCTCATAGACTTTTTTGCGTATATCTGTATCCACTCCTTTGTTATGGTAGTTCTCTGAAGACTGATACTCAAGTGAAGGAGAAAGTAGAATTGTAACTAAAGAGAAGCTCCACATCGAGGGGAAAATTCTTTTTTAGGCTATTTTTAGTAGAGCAATACACAAGGGGACACATGCCAAGGATCAATCATAAACCTCAAAAAAAAAGAAAATAACATTTACAAATATATAGAGAGATAATATTTATTCTCAAAATGACTTAGCTTTGCTTGTACTTCTTCCTGCTAGTATGGAACCCCAAATAACATCCAATTGTCGCAAGAGAAATTTGCTAAGCAGGCGGAAATATGATTCAAGAGCCTCTTTTAGCTTACAGCCAGAAACTTGCTGATTTCAATCTTTCCCATATTAGCAGCTGCAAAAGGAGCAAAGTGAGAGAGAGTTAGCAGAGCTAACAAAAATTCATTAGACTCAATAAATTTATAAAACTTATTAAGACGTCATTGCTGAGGTATCATGGTGCATCTCGAAAGGCTGCTGCATTAGCAAGCTTTACTATGGGTGCTCTCCTCAGCCCCTTTAATCTTATGCTGACCAGTTGTGTTTCTGAGACTAGCTGGGGTGAGGTGAAGGATCTGCTTTATGTTGTTGTTGTTATTATTATATAATTACCAGATAATTCTGTCAAGTATATGAAATTGGGAAACTTTGAACTAATCCTGACAAGGATGGTTGCTCACAGAACCTCAGAGAAAATGTTTTAAAGGTCAGCTCTACTATAAGGTTTTGGGGAAAAAAGAACCCTTGCTAACTTGCTTTTTCCACACATCCTTCATGTTCATAGTGGCAATGTCCACAAAGCCAAAGTGGTGGTATGAACCGAGGGAAAAGGCGTCCAAAGAGGCCACGACTTGCTTTCAAACTCCACTTAAGCCAATGGAGCAAAAAAAAAGAGTTTAAACTCATAATTTCTCCAAGGTAGCTAACTAATGTAAAATAATTCATTTTCTAGAAATGTCTTCTTTGCCCATAGCCCTTGTGAACTTTTTGAATCAGAAGCTGCCTAAATGAGCCAGGAAATAGAGGTCCTGGTGAAATCTTACTCATATTAGGAGACTCCATGAACATACATGAAATAGTGGCGTATTACTAGAACTGTTCTCAAACTCTCAACCTTGGCTGCACATTAGAATCACCTGGGAAGTTTCCATAAAGTCTTAATGCCCAGACCATCCCCCAAACCAACTAAATCAAAATCTCTGGGGGTAGACTGAGACATTCACTTTCTTAAGCTCCCTCAGGTACATAAAATATGGAGCCAAAATTGAGAACAAAATTGAGACGATATGTCCTGTACTTCAGCCAGGATTGATCTATTTTTTCAGTCCTTTAAAACCTATAAATGCATGCACACTCTCAACCTAAATAACAAACAGAGAGAGGCTCTCTAAAAGAAAATGACATTTGTTCGGGAATAGGGCATTGCAAAGGGGAACATGCATGCCATAGTAAACTATGTGAGTACTCAGGGAAGTAAAGGAAAACAAACATTTTTAAAGGAAAAAATGAGGAGAATTACAAAATTGTTTTGAGATAATTACCCTTTACTACAAGGACCAATAATAAGGGTGACACAATTCTGAGGTTTAACAGGCAATTGCCAGGTAAATATCCTCACAGACGGACTTTTAGTGTAATGTTTTAATGGCCTTTGGGCAAGGTTATAGTTTTTGCAGTCTTTTGTCATAGTTTTTGTTATCAGGCATTTACACATCTTATGGTTTTCTCTAACTCTATTTGTCAAGTTTTTTTTTTTTTCACAAGTTACTCCATTTTGATTCTGACAACTTTCACAATACAATCATGCACACATAATGATGTTTTGGTCAACAATGAACTGCATATACAATGGTGTCATAAGACTATAATACCATATTTTTCTGTACCTTTTCTATGTTTAGATACACAAATACAATTGTGTTAAAATGGCCTGCAGTATTTAGTACAGCAATATGCTGTACAGGTTTGTAGCTTAGGAGCAAGACTATACCCTATAGTCTAGGTGTGTAGTAGGCTACACCATCTAGTTTTGTGTAAGCACACTCTGTGATGTTCACACTAACAAAATTGCCTAACGACATTTCTTAGAGCATATCCCTATTGTTAAGTGATACATGACTGCAAACAAAAATTTATTAGTGTGGTCAACTATTTACTACTCGAAGGGTAAAAATAATTTACATGTAACACTTGTATGTGCTAGACACATGATGCATTTGCCCACATGGCGCAGAGAAATAAGTGCATCTATCTACCAGATTTTGATTTAATATAATTCTTCACTACCAGATTTTGATTTAATATAACTCTTTACTAAAGTAATTGGACCTCCTTGGAGAAATAGCTGACTGGGGCAGAGAAAGTAGGAAGTAGGTCTGGAAAATATTATTGTGCCAGAAAAATAATAAAGCACTTGAAGAATGATGGAGATATATCAAAAAGACAGAAAAGCTTGCTTGACAAGTGTTCCTTTGGCCAAATAGGGAACAATGTTGGCATTATAATAAATAAATTTACTGATCTAAACAAATAAATGAATATATTAAAAGTTTAGTAAAGAATAGAATGTTTACACAGTCTCAAAGTATCTCTCCACAAAATTCTTATTTATTACAAATGTAAAATGAATAGTTAGTTTTACAGTGAATTCTGACAGATATGCCTTTAACATAATCAAAACTAAGATCATAATAATGTGACAAATCAAAATCATATGCTTGCTCATAGAAACATAGCCTCACTTCTGTGATATTCCTTCCAAATGTGCATAACTAGAATTTAATCAATACGAAATATCAGACAAACTCAAATTCAGGAATAGTCTATAAAATAACAGGCCTGTTTATTCAGAAGCATCAAAGTTATGAAAGTTAAGGAAAGTGACACTACCCAGAACTTTCCAGACTATTGATTCAGTATGAAATAATACATTTTATACTCTCTGCCAAATGTTATAGATCATAAAATGCTTTCTAAAATCAAAGCATTTAAGCAATTTAAAAGTTATTTTTAGTTTAATGTTCATCTACTCATATTTGTAAATCAGAATTTTTTGTTGATGACCTAAAGCATTTTTTACTACTAGTAAATAACATGACCACAATCTATCAATAATCAAGGCTAAAGTGAATAGCTTTCTGTTAGAAAAGGAGGCTGTGTTTATTTTTTTTTTCCTAGTATACACTGGGAAGATAGAATAACAGCTATTTACTACTAATAACAATTCAAATATGGTTTTCATATAGCTAAAATAATCTAAGTTAAAAAATAAAATATTTTATTCTGTTAACATCTAAACTATAGATGTATACTTATCTTTGAATATTTGATTATTGCTAATTTGATTTTGAAAAGTATTTTCATCAAAATTGATTTTTTTTACCTCTATTATTACTAGCAACTTGAACTTTCATCAACTGAAAAGTAAGATAGTAACTGCTAACAACTGCGGTGCTTTAAATCTGTATGTTGCCAGACATTTGAATTATTTTCATATGGTTCAATAACTTTTTAAACAAACATAGAATTTATAGTCTTTGTCAGTTCCATTACAGTCCTCTTCTATAACATGGTTTAAAGTGAGAACTCTTTTCAAAATGATAAATGATATGAGAGCATGACCAATTATTTGTCATCACACAAGATAAGCTGATTGTATTCAGTATCTTCACTTGGGCTCTACTAGACCATATATAACCTCTTTGGGTTGTCTTATAGAGCACCTAAAAGCATTTTAGCCTGCTGGTTCAAGCAACCTATATGTCAAGCAGAAAAAATAAAGCCACCGTTCTCAGGTTTGTGTTTCCCCAAAGGAAGAAAACAGTTTGATGCAATTTGTCAAAAGCCTGAGTGGTACTTTAATGGGCAATTTACTTTAAATGGCTGCAGTTATTGCAGAACAAAGGTCCAAAGCTGGAGATAAAAAATCCTTTCCAAATGGTTTTACTCCAATAGATTTAATTCTCTAAGATTAACTAAGGATATCTAACTTCTTATACTCCCTATCTATCTAAAAGCAATAAAACTAATAGTAGAAATTTCTGAGTTTCTGGGATTTCTTCATCTTTAATATGTGAAACAAAATCAACTCCCTAAATCTGTCATTCTGTTAAGACATCTGAGATAAGAACCAAATCAACAAAAAGGACAGCAGCAGAATCCTAACTTCCCAAACTCAAGAGTGCTTCAGCTTTTGGGTAGAAGTTTCAAATAACCTAAACATTTTATTAATATATTTTATTAATATATACGTATATATGCACAAGTATGTGTGTTTGTGTGTATATATAGATATATTTGCACACATTTTTTGCTTCATAAATTTATTATTGAATAAACAGGAGATAATTTGAAAAGTTTTCACATTTTTGTATAAATGTAAGAGTATTTCTATTTTACCTTACATGCTGATTTGTAAACTACTGTAATTAATAATTTTCATGACAGTGATTTTAAGAAATGCCTACTAAGAAAAAAATTCATATTTTGTTCCTTTCATTTTTCTGTCATTTAATTCCATGTTAATATTTACAATATTTGAGATTTTTACTGGAAGCAGTACCATTATGATTCTGTATATTTTTATCTCCCTGCTCCAGCAATCTTGGTTCAAAAATTAATCCCAACCCGCAGAAGGCAGGAAGTGCTGAATGTGGATGTGTGTTTGCCTGAAGCTGACCAGAGTCCCACATATTCAGTTTCTATAGTATGGACTGATGCTAGAAAAGTGACCAGCCATCCTAGAGACACTGAGGACCAAAAAAAAAAAAAAAACAAACAAAAAAAAGAAGTGGTTCAGAACAAGAGACTGACATAGTAGACTAGAACAATTTGGGCTTCCTACCTGTCTTTCCATGTATTTCGTACATACTATAAAAACTAACCTTTTATGAAGGATCACATAAAGAAGAAAACTCCAGGAGAAACAAATCAGGACTGATTTTCTCAAAACTAGTCTCCGTTAATTCACAGTTGCCTTTAAGGACCTGCTAAGCAAATGAGTGTTAACTAGACTTGATAGATTAATTTTAGCTCATAGAAATACTGTATAAATTATTTATAATAAAATGTATGCATACTTTAACAGCCATATATAAAGTGATAACAGCTTGTAAAGTATTAAAAAGGTAAAATTTTATATTTATTACCAACTTCTATGCCCTACATAACAACACATAAGAACTTACATTTTATAATTTAATTTCTGTGTATATCCCATAGAGAAATGAATGCTTGGAAAGCCTCAACTTCAAAATGTAAACTTCCTCTTCATCAAAGGGAATTCTAAGCCATTGAAGAAAGAATGAACCACTAATATACATAATATAGATGAATCTCAAAATAACTTTGCTGAGTGAAAAATGCCGGAAAATAAAAGAACACATTGTGTATGATTTTAGTGATACAAAATTTCAGAAAAATGCTAACAAGACTATTACGACAAATCAGATCTGTAGTTTAATGGAGACAGGGATAACAGATTGACCCTACAAAACTTTTGGAATAGTCATTATTTTGATTATTGTTATGGTTTTACTGCTGTGTACATAAGCCAAGCTTATGAAATTGTATGCTTTAAACATGCACAATGTTTTGCATATCAATTTTCCTTCAATAAAGCTGTTAAATTAAAAGCAAAGAAAAGCATTTCTGAATCCTTAACATAGCTCAAATGTTAAAGGGAATTCATCTTTATTTTTTAAATTACTACTACAATTGATTATATCAAAGACTACACTACTGGCACTAATAGTGGTCTCATAAAACAGTCATATTTTACTTTGCACTTTTAAATTACACAATTTTCAAAGTATATACACACATATTTTTCAAAATCCCTATATACAAACCATTAAAGTTGTAAAAGAATTTTAAATTATTATATACAAACTTCACAAATATATCTGTATGCTTATAAATTTATCTTTACAGCACCAGAATGCTTACTTTTTACAGGGTTCTAAATTCTATTTTACTTTCTTAAAGTCTGATATTCTACAATTTTTCTTTGAATGGCATACCCCTTAAGCATAATGAAGGATGATATGAGTACCTCTTAACTTCTTGCAGAGTCTTGTCCAAACTTCTTATAGAACACTTCTTTTTCTCCTACATAAAAACAGGTAAAATAATTACAAAATAATGCTAAGGATTGGTTTTAAGTTTTAAATAACTCAACTATATGTTTATTCTAAAAATGTATGTGCATGCTACAATGACAAATAAACTAGATACTTAGTTATTTCTCTATAAAATTTTTCTTTGTTGTTTCTCTATCCAATTAAAAGTATTCTTTGAGATGCAAAGCATTTTTTAAAGCCACAGACTAGATATGCTTTTGCGAAACATATATCCGATAAAGGGTTTGTAACCAATTTATAAAGAACATTTATAATTTAATAAGACAACCCAATAAAATGGTAAACATTTTTGAAGAAATATTTCACAAAATAAGATATATGAATAACCAATAAACACATGATAATATGTTCAACATCACCAGTCATCAGAAAAAAGCAGACTAAAACCACAAGGAGATATTTTGAAGTATATTATTCAAAACATAAACATTTAGAACTGTTATAAAGATATATAATGGCATCATCTTTAAATTTGACTTGTTTCAAAAAATGTGAATATATTCTTCGAATAATATTTATTAGATTTTCTTGAATACCTTCTCTGTATATATATTTAGAATACATATGTGGTATGTGTCCTTTTTAAAAAGATTATACATATAATCTTTTATTCTTATAAAATCTAATAAAATATTCTATATAATCTTTTTAAAAATGTATATAATCTTATAAAACTTTTAAAAATAGCTTTTTCTTTTTTACTTTATATATAATCATTGTATATATGTACGGGTAAATAGTGATGTTTCAAGGCATGTAATATATAGTGAGCAAATCAGGGTAATCAGCATATTTATCATCTCAAATATTTATTATTTCTTTGTGTTGGAAACATTCAATATCTCCCTTGTAGCTATTTGAAAACATATATTATTGTTCACTATAGTCATCCCACTGCTATAGAACACTAGAACTTATTACTCCTATCTATCCCTTATTTTGTATCTTTTAACAAATTTATTTTCATTAGAGAAGACAGTTGACACTGGAGTGATAATTTATCTGAAAGAGACCCTTCCACTGGCACAGTCCAAAATCCTGTGTCATTCCTTATCAGACACTTATTGTTGTTAAAATAATCAGTACTACTAATACAACATTTATGTGGAGGCTCTTCCTGGTATATCTCTACTGATAAATTATTTCAAGTTGTAGTTCACCCTTAATATGCTCTCCAGCAGCTTCTTTAATTCTTGCTCGCTATTTACTAAAGAAATTTTATTAATCTTGATACTCTCTCAAATGCATAATTATCTTTTTATTAACTTTAATTTTTATATTAAAATAGAGTTCTTTTAAAACTTTAAAGTTTACTAAAAAATTGATATAATCAAAACAAGATTTTTAGCCAGGAGCATTTTAGACAAATTTGCCAACAGGCATTTTATTCTGCTATACTGTGTAGCAAGGTGACTAAGCAGGACAGCTGTGCAATCAGATTGCCTGTTAGTAAGGATGTGGAGCAATAGGAGCTTTAATTTATTGATAGTGGGAGTGCGAAATCCTATAGCCACAAAGCTGAACGTAAATTTACCATATAATCTGTTGCTTGTGTTCTTAGGTATTTACCCCAATGACACGAAAACTATGTCTACCCAAATACCTGCATATGAATCTTTATAACAGCTGTATTCATAATTACATTCACGTAGAGGCTTTCAATCTCTGGCTTTCTGATATTTTTTTAGCCATGAAATTCATTGCCAAGGTTCTGGCACCCTGAGTACTGGGGACAGCAGTGAATAAGAGAAGGCATGTTTTCATAAAGCTTACAATAGATTGAAGAAAGTACAATATGAAAAATATTGTAACAATGGAAACAAATAATATTAAAGGTGTACATTCAGCGTGCAGGGGAACATACAATGGGAGAGAACAGGAGGATGTATTATGCAGCATCTATCATGTACCACCTTGCTGCTAAAGTACTGCCTCTGCCTCCATGGTTCAAAACTGTCTTAGTGCCTTTTCTGTTGCTTATAGCAGAATATCTGAAACTGGTATTTTATGAAAAAAAATAATTCATTTCTTACAGTATAGAGGCTGAGAAGTCCAAGATCAAGAAGCTGCAACAGCTGAGGGCCTTGCTAGTAGGAAGACTCTGCAGAGTCCTGGGATGATGCAAGGCATCACATGGCAAGGGAGCTGAGTGTGCTAGCTCAGGTCTCTCTTCCTCTTCCTATAAGGCCACCAGTCCCACTCCATAACCCATGGATCCATTAACCCATTAATCCACCAATACATGAAACCACAAGTAGATTAATCCATTCATGAGGGCAGGGCCCTCATAACCCAATCACCTGTTAAAGGCCTCACTTCTTAATACTGTCACATGGGAGACTAAATTTCAACATGACTTCTGGAAGGGACGAATATTCAAACTAGAGCATTTTACCCCTGGCCCCCCAAAACTCATGTCTTTCTCACATACAAATCATTAATTCTAACCCAATAAGCTTAAAGTATTAACTTGTTCAGAATGAATTCAAAAGTTCAAAGTCCAGAGTCTCATCTGTGAGACTGTGCAATCACAAAATATTATCTCCTTTCAAGATAAAATGGTGGTACAGGCATAAGACAGATATTCCCACTCCAAAAGAAAGGGGTAACAGGCCCCAAACAAATCTGAAACCCAGCAAGGCAGATATTAGTCATAAAGCTGAAGAATAATTATTTTGTACTCCATGTGCCACCTATTAGACACACTGGAATAGGGGTTGGACCCCTGAGGCCTCAGGTAGCCCCACCCTTACTGCTTTGGTGGGTACAGACCAGGTGGCTGCTCGTGCAGGGTGGAATCCAGTGCCTGAAGATTTCCCATGTAGGCATAGCATGCTACCAGGGACTACACAGTTCTGGGGTCCCCAGGGCAGCCTTGTTCCCACGACTCCACTAGGCATTGCCCTAGTGGGGACTCACTGTTGTGGCCATGCATCTATAAATCTACTAAGCAAAGCCCTGCTGGGAACTATCTGCAGCAGCTGCAACCCCACATTTCCACTTGTCCTGCTCTAATAGGGGCTCCGTTGGCTCCTTCCCTGTGACAAGTCTCTGTTTGGGCCTCCAGGCTTTTGACATCATCCTTTGAAATCTGGGTGGATGCTGCCAAGCCTCCACAGCTACTATTTTCTCCAAGACTGTGGAATTAGCACCACGTGGATGCTGCTAAGATTTATGATCTGCACCTTCTGAAACTGCAACATGAGCCACACCTGGGGCTGCTTGTGCCATTGCTGGGACAGCTGAAAAGCACTGTGCTGGGGGTGCAGGGACCAGAGTCCCGAGGCAGCCCTGGGGAGTGAGCCTACAGAGAGTGCCCTGGGCCTGTCTCCTAAAATCATCTTCCTTCCTAGCCCTCTGGGCCAGTATGGGAGGAGCAGCTTCAAAGATCTCCAAGATTCATTTGATGTCTTACTTTCATTGTCTTGAGGAATAGCACCCAGCAACCTTCTATCCATGTTAGTCCCTTTAGCAAAGAGTTCCTGGGCTACATCTTTGGTTTTTCCTCTCTTAATCATGTTTTTTTTTTTTTTCACTCTTTAAGATGCCAGGAGGAAATTTTTCTAAATCTTTCTATACTGCTCCACTTTTAATTATAAACTCCGTCTTTAAATTTTTACTTTACTCCCAAATCTCAGTGAAAGTAACCAAAAGTAACTATGCAGCTCCTTTTATATTTTGTTTAGCTATTTCTTCTGCCAGATACCCTAGTTCTTCACTATCAAGTTCCACAAAGCCCTCAGGCATGGATACAGTTCAGACAAGTTATTTGCAAATTTATAACAAGGATGAGCTTTACTCCAATTTTCAAGACCCTGTTCCTCAATACCATCTGAAGCCTCATCAGAATGGCCTTTACTGTCCACATTTCTGCCAGCATTCCAGTCAAAACCACTTGAGCAATCTCTAAGGAGTTTCAAACTTTCCCTAGTCCTCTTGTCTTCTAAGCCCTCACCAGAATCTAGGCTTTTTTTAGTGGCTCCTCCAAATTCTTCCACCTTCTGCCCATTCTCAATGCTGCTTCCACATTTTCAGGTATCACCTGAAACAACTTCATCAGCAATCCCCAACTTCTTGGTGCCAATTTACTATATTAGTCTATTTTATGTTGCTTATAACAGAATACCCCAAATTGGGTATTTTATTTTTTAAAGGAACTTATTTCTTATAGTTATGGAGGCTGAGACACCTGAGGTTGAGGGGCTGCATCTATTGAGGGCTTTGTTGCTGATAAGAACTCTCTGCAGAGTCCGAAGGTAGTACAGGGCATCACATAGAGAGAGGGCTGAGCATGCTAGCTTAAGTCTCTCTTGCAGTTCTTATAGCCACCAGTCCTACTCTCATGATAACCCATTAATCCATTAACCCATTAATTTATGAATGGATTAATTCACCCATGAGGGTAGAACCTTCATGACCCAATTGTATCTTAAAGACCCCAGCTCTCAACACTGCCATATTAAGGATTAAATTTCAAATGAATTTTGGAAGGGAGAAATTTTCAAACCATAGCAAACAGTATTGCCATTACTGGTGTTTTTAAAAATGCAGGATCTCAGGCCCTATCTCAGACCTGTGATCCAAAATCTGTACTTTTGCAAGAAAGTATATATGCTCACTAAAATTTGAGAACTGCCTTAAAAGCAACTGAAATCCACAAGACAAGAAATAGCTAAAAGGAATCAAGTTTATTAACTTCAAAATAGCGTATGGCAATTCCTGGTTTATCATTTCCAAACAAAGAAACTTCAATTATTTTCTTGGTATATCAGATTATTTTTATCTGTCAGTTTATTAGAGAATATCAATACAAATTGAGATGTTTAGACACTCAGTAATGTAAAACAATCTCACAAAACTATTGACAGTTTTTTTTCCCTTTATTATGTATTATGTTCCAGGAAAGTTGTATTATATACAGTCGTAGTCTCATTTAATCTTCAATACAGATGATGAAAGTAAAGTTCTTCAATAGATAGGAAATTCATTTAAAACTCAGTTTTGCCTAAATTGAGATTTTAGACTGCCAAAATACTTTTAACATTCCTGATTTTGATACAGCGTAAGTATCAGAATATTGCAAGAAACAAAACTGCTCTTAAAACTGAAGCTCCTTTAACAGAAAAATTGGGGTCAGGCCCTTTAGTATGTACCAGATAAATCCAGAATTAGTTTAATATGTTCTCTGGTCTGAAAGCAAAACATAATTGATATCTGATCAATGACAGTGTTGAGAGCACAAAGGTTTTCAGGCATTCCAGCAGGAAATCGATATATAATAAAGTTTTTAACTTATCAGGCATAACAAATGGCAACAAACATAATGAAAACCATATGGTAGTGGTTAAAGAGCTTGAGCAGAACATAAAATTTATAATAAAGGAATCATATGGTACATTTAATGTCAGTGCTAACTCTATTTCTCCACAAATAATGGCTATAAATTAGTGCAGCATGGTTGAATGACTCATTTAATTCTATCAAGTGATTTTCTGCGTAGTAATAGGGCATTTTTCTTTACAGCTTAATTTTTGGAATTGGCATAGCTGCTGCACAGAACTCAAGTCAGTACCTACAAGATGAAAAACTATCTTTAACAATTGTACTGCAGCTATATTATAAGTATTCATAACATACACCAGCAACTGGGCCTTGTAAAGAGTATATCTGAGCTTTTTCAGTAACTTGCAAGTCTATTTGAAATCCACTGTTACATTGTTATACCAGATGTTACCACTATTTTAAACACAAAATTTATTTCATAAATTTTTAGAATGTAAAAATATATAAAATGTACTTTTACACTGTAAAAAATACATTTATATTGTAAAAATATATAGAGAAAATGTGGGGGGAAAATAATCTCTAAAGGGAAAAATAGAGTCATTCCTAAAATACTCAGTGAGACATGGACACTGCTAGTATTTTGGTATTCCCATTTTTTCTATGTATTAAGTATCCTTGTTTTAAAAAGTTATGCCTTCACTTAGAAAAAAAGCAAAACCATAAAGAAAAGTTCACTGTAAATGAATATAATCATATTTCAGTTTCTATTTTCCATTTCCTCTAGGGCACTTCTATAAAAAGAATAGCTTATAAGTTTCCTGATAAACCTTCTTTTTCCTAACCTTGCTGAAGATGTATTAGTTATAATTTGTACTTCTCCTCATGGCTGTATTTATAATATTAAATAATCTACTTAAACCTCTGCCTCTTACTCCATCACCATGAAGCTCAACTATTGGTTCTCTGTAGGTCAAATGAGAAAATGAGAGTACCTACTCTTTCTAACTCTTTCATCTTTCAGATTTCTGTTGGTTATACTATTAATTTTAATTTAGTAATTATGTTTTCTGTGTATTGTCAATAGAAAATCCTCATCATTTTGAAGCTGATAAAATACTTATTACAATATTGCAATTATTATGCACTACAGAAGCAAATAGTGTGATCAGACCCATAGGAAGGGAAACTTAGTTGTGTTTAATTTAACTCTAAAGTGTTTCTGCTTAAAGAAAAGTGCCTCAGGCATCAAGGTTCAGTGGATTTCCTGAATTGTTTTTTGATTCTATTTATTTATTTCAGATCATACTTAGCTGCTTTTCATTGTTATATCTGATGTTTAGCTACTTTTGGCTATAAACAGAATTACAGAACAAAATTCAATTTCCCTTAGCACTGAATTTTCAATCTGGCATTATTGACAAGTAATCTGAAGTCATTCTGAGTTTCATTCATTTGGCTGCATTTTTTTATGCATAACCTTAAATCATTTACTTTTAGATCCAGAATTCTGAAATCTTACCCAATGTGTCCAGATATGAGGTCTTTTATAATCACCTTTTCGCTGTTATTAGGTTCTTTCAACATAAAGAATTTGAGTAATTTTTAATTTCATTTTCTAAACTATTATCTTTTTTTTTTTTTTTTTTTTTTTTTTTGAGACGGAGTCTCGCTCTGTTGCCCAGGCTGGAGTGCAGTGGCGCGATCTCGGCTCACTGCAAGCTCCACCTCCCGGGTTCACGCCATTCTCCTGCCTCTCAGCCTCCCGAGTAGCTGGGACTACAGGCACCCGCCACCATGCCTGGCTAATTTTTTGTATTTTTCATAGAGACGGGGTTTCACCGTGTTAGCCAGGATGGTCTCGATTTCCTGACCTCGTGCTCCACCCGCCTCGGCCTCCCAAAGTGCTGGGATTACAGGCGTGAGCCACTGCGCCTGGCCAACTATTATTATTTTTAAACACCAAGGGATTTAGAGAGAAAGTCTTCATTGTTTACATTTGTCTTCCTAGCAATATGACCATAGCACCCTACATATACTTCTGTTATTGTATTTATCACATCGTATCAAAATTATACTTTAGGTCTCTCCAACTTGACTACAAACTCTGCTCAAACAGGAATGGATGGCTGCCTTACTCATTCCTGAATTCTAAAATGGGCTGAAATATAACAAGTAATCAATAATCATTTGTTCAACTGAAGTCAATTTAATATATGGCACGATGGCTTATGTTTGAAAAGGAAGAAATTCTACCATCACCTTAAAGGTGATGCCTAAATTTTATGTTAATAGGTATATTTCTTCTTAAGTAATACAAGATATATTCTTCTAACAGACGTCTACTGACTTTCCAAATGATAACTGATAACCATGGCAACCTGAACACTCCTGGTTGATAGGGCAATTCTCTAGGGCTTCAAGGCATGTTGGTTGCCTTCAGATGGAAATGCCTTCTCAAAATTGCTAATGTAGGTATGAGATACTCCCTTAACAAGATTACTCTCTTATCTGTTCATTATTTACTTTGATTAAGGCCACTAATTGAGTTTTTTGATCAACTCAGGCTTTATTGAAGAAGTGATGATGGAATGTCAAAGCTCTCTGTATTCTACTCCCTGACTTTGCCTGAAAATGAATTTGGAAAGGCAGACAGTAATTTTTGCATCCCATGCATCCATATTGTAAACAGAATCTATTGGAGGATTTTTAATTAAAGAGTGAAATGATCATATATATGTTTTGTAACCCTCTTTCAAGATGCTAATGGGATGATGATTGTTAAAGAATGAAGTTACAGTCTAGGAAACATAAGGCTATTTTTAAAAGCCCATCAAAAAATGATGATGGGGTGAAGGTGGAAATGACATGTCAGAGATTAAGGAAAGTGAAGAATCTGTGATTGTATTATTCTGTTCTTGCCTTGCTATAAAGAAATACCTGAGGCTGAGTCATTTATAAAGAAAAGAGGTTTTATTGGCTCTCCTTTATTCTGAGGACTGTACAAGAAGCATAGTGGCTTCTGCTTTTGGGAAGGCCTCAGGAAGCTTCCAACCATGACAGAGAGCAAAGGCGAAGCAGGGATCTTACATGGAAGGAGCAAGAAAGCAAGATGGGAAGCTGCTACACACTTGTAAAAAATCAGATCTTCACAAGAACTTACTCAGTAACCCAAGAAGAGCACAAAGGGAATGGTGTTAAACCATTCATGAGAAATCCATCCCCATCATCCAATCACCTCTCACCGTGCCCCACTTCCAACATCGAGGATTACAGTTCGACATGAGATTTAGGCAGGGACACATATCCAAACTATATCAGTGATATCTCTCAGATTTCTACCAATATATTTTCCAGTAGTTTACTTTCAGTCAAAGTATCTGGTAGTAGTGCTATTCACAGAGAAGGAAAGGCAGTTTCTAAAGAAGTACAAGTTTTTATACCTGTATTATGTGATCTCTTACAACAAGAATGAAATGAGATCAGAAGTACAGTAGTCCTTCTTATCTGAGGGACACATATTCCAAAACCCTCTTGGGTGCCTGAAACCAGTGATAGTACTAAACCCATAATACTGTTTTTCCTTAAACATACATTCCTATGATAAAGTTTAATTTATAAATTAAATGTGATTAAAAACAATAAATAATAATAAAATAGAACAATTATAACAACATGCCAGCTTCACTACTCTTGTGCTTTGGGGCTATTACTAAGTCAAATAAGGGTGACTTGAACACGAGCACTGAAATACATCAACAGTCAATCTGATAATCAGATGGCTGCTAAGTGACTAATGGGGGATATCATATACAATGTGAATATGCTAGATAAAGGGATGATATACACTACTCAGAATAGTGTGCAATTTAAAATGTATGAATTGTTTATTTCTAAAATTTTCTATTTAATATTTTTGGACCACAGATGACCACAGATAAATGAAACCACAGAAAGAAAAACCATAGACAAGGGAGGACTACTGTATTTTAAAAATCCTCCTGTCCTGGGGAAATATGTGACGTATGCATTATATTCTTAAGTCTTTTAGGAAAAAAGATGTATCGCTCTTGAGAGGTCACAAGGGATCAACTCCAAAGGGAACTAATTCTCCCCATTTAAATTTTACCCAAAAGGAAGGAATGTTGGATGAAGAAGAAATGATGAGAAGCTGCACTCAGAAAATGTGATCAAGTGATCTAAAAGCATTCATAATAATCAAAGCAGAGAAGGCTGATAAGAGCAAGACATCAAAAACAAGCAAATAAAAACAAAGCAAGGACATTTTTTTTTTTAAATCTAGAGCTTCTTTTACTATCTCCCCCAAGCTAATTCCTACTTATGATTTAGATTCCTAAACTCCTAAAATTGATATTGTCCACTGCCAAATGCTCTCACAGTAGCTTGCACCTACAGTTATTGTTCTGCGTATCAGCTCCATTTATCCTATGTACAGCCTTAGTCCATTCAGGCTGCTGTAGCAGAATGTCATAGACTGGGTGACTTAGGAATGACAGGAGTTTATTTCTTACAGTTCTGGGGCAGGGAAGATCTAAGTGTCAGCAGATTTGGTGTCTGGGGAGGACCCACTTTCTGGTTCATAGACAGCTATCTTCTCAATGTGCCCTCACATGGTGGAAGAGGTAAGGGAGCTCTCCACCGTCTCTTTGATTAGGGCACTAACCCAATAATAAGAGCTCTGCCCTCATGACCTAATCGCTTCCCAAAGGGCCCTGCCTCCAAATGCCATCACATGGAGAGTTAGGATTTCAACATTTCAGTTTTGGTGGGACACAAACATTCAGTCTGTGGCATGAACATCCTCCACAGATACTGTGAGTATCTTCTTATTCATAGCTGTGCCATCAGTATATATGAAAGACACCTAAAAGGCATTTAATAAATATTATTTAATTAATAAATAATGATTCCATGACTTATGACTCTGAAAGAGAAAATAACTAATATTAAATACTAAAAAAATTATACTACTAAAGGGCCAAGTGATTCTGATAAGATAGTTATCTGATTAGCAGGTTAATAACTCATAAAGAAAAAGAAAAAATATATAAAACCAATCTTTATTAGTACAAACAAATCTAATATTTATTACATATTTAGTTTGCTAAGATTGATGAGCATAATAAAAAATACTCTGTTAGGTACAGCATGACAAAAATATTTCAAGAAGTAGTCACAAAGTGCCACTATGTGCAAGGCATTGTGCTAGGTTCTGTAGAGACATCAATATAAGTGCAGTGTGTTCTCTAATCTTCAGATTATAATCAAATTGAAAGGAGTGTTACTTTTAGGGAAGAAATACACAGTGTAAAAAATGTATTTGTGAAATCACTCTATAGATAATATATACCACAGAAATACAAAGGAGAAATGTTACTAACAGCTGAAGAACTGAGAAGACTTCTGAGAGGTGAACTAAATTATGGATGTATTAGCCCATTCTCATGCTGCTAATAAAGACATGTCTGAGACTGGGTAATTTATAAAGGAAAGACGTTTAGTTGACTCATAGCTCAGCATGGCTGGAGAGACCTCACAATCATGGCAGAATATGAAGGAGGAACAAAGGCATGTCTTACATGTAGCAAGCAGGACAGCGTGCGCAGGGAAGCTGCCCTTTATAAAACCATCAGATCTCATGAGACTTATTCACTATCATGAGAACAGCATGGGGAAACCTGCCCCCATGATTCAATTACCTCCCACCTTGTCCCTCCCACTAACATGTGGGGATTATGGGAGCTACAGTTCAAGATGAGATTTGGGTGGGGACACAGCCAAACCATATAAGTGGGAGAATGAGGGGTTCTAATAAATACTTTTGTCAAATCAAAAGAAGACAATTCTACCTGCCATCAAAGCATAGAATTAGAAGGAAAAAATATTTTAATGTATTATTCTCACTTATATGTGTTTTTTTTAACTTGGGCAAGGAGAAGAAACAAAGAGATTGAACATAAATAAACTAAGGATACAACTGCTTTTCCTTTCAAGTTTAGTGTTCAAACACAGCTCAATACAATTCTTCCCCGCAGGAAACACTTTCATTTAGGGCCAATTGAGAGGTGACAAATTCAACTGCTTAAAATTAAGAGCATCTACAGCCCTAAAGTACTAAGTGAAAGAGATAGACTGAGAGCACATGATGAAGTAAATGAAGTGACCTCGGTGGGTCTAGTGAGGCTCTCTACAGGAAGCCTTCTGCTCCTGACATTTCTGGCATTTTTTGCCCTTGGATGTGTGGATCATTTTCACTCCAAAGATGAGAACTTTGACTCCCTGTCAGGCTTGTCAGGTCTTTTATTTTTCCTCAACTTCAAGCAAGAAGTTTATTCTTATTCGTGAGTGCCTCTATTTTTATTCCCTTTCAAAGGCCAATGCAAGGCCAAAATGCAAGAAGTATATAGTTTAATATAATTTCATCTTGCTTTGTCTAAAAGGAATAAAATATTTTTAAAATAGCATTCACGTTTTAGGATATATGATGATATCTATACATAAACCTCAGGGGGGAAGTACACAACTGTGTGGCTCCCATTTTATTAGATACTTTCATGTCAAAAGTAATGATAAAATTTTAGCTAAATGTTTTTTTGCATAAGCTGAAAAATATGCCAATTTAATGTTTGTTTGTTTTATTTTTACCTTTTGGTAAAATCAGTAAGCTTGAAACAGAGAAATGGAACTAAAGATTTCAATTCTCCGGTGCAAATTATATTAAGAAAAATATTCAGCGTGCTTTTAAATTGTTTAAAAAATAATCATTATCATAAACACATATCAATTATGGAATATTAATGAGGCCATGTGGTCCTTTCCTTAATTTTATTGTAGTTTAATCACAATAAGCTCATGACACCATGAATAAATTATAAAACACATTCTAATAACAAAAACTGAAGAAAATATTCCTTTGCTCACCCAGGGCCTCTTGCACCTGCAATTTTCTGTCCCTGGAATTCTTTTCTCTTTTCCTTCTTTCTCCTTCTGAACTGTGCAGAGCAGCCTTCTTCTCATCCTTCATCTTTAATATTATATTCTCAGAAAAACTTTCCAGATTATCCTATCCTCCACCCTCTAGTATTCCCTACCCAGAGCATTTCTAGAAAATACCACAGTTTAAAGTTATGTTACATCTTTTATCTCTTTTCTCCATTAGATCAAGCACCCTATCTTTCTTGTTTGCAATTGTAATCCCAGTACTTAGTAGAATGTTGAGAACATTTTTAAAATAGTTGTTGAATGACTGGAAAAATAAACTTAAATATTATTTAATATTACTTAAATAATATTAACGTAATATAAAAAAAGAAAACAGCAATATAAAAATTAGGTTGAAAAATCTAAAGTCAGAGTGAGTCTGAAATTTCATATGTAAATGTTATATTAATTTTTTAAAAATTCCATTTACTTGGCTGAGCAGGTGGATCACCTGAGGTCAGGAGTTCAAGACCAGCCTGGCCAACATGATGAAACCCTGTCTCTACTAAAAAATACAAAAAATTAGCCGGGCATGGTGGTGGGTTCCTGTAATCTCAGTTACTTGGGATGCTGAGGGAGGAGAATCGCTTGAACCCAGGAGGCAGAGGTTGCAGTGAGCCGAGATCGTGCCATTGCACTCCAGCCTGGGCAACAACAGCAAAAATCCATCTCAAAAAAAAAAAAAAATCGATTTACTCTGTATTGAGTTGAAATACATTGTGCTTAGTTTTAAACATGAGAATTATATTTAACTGATAGGACCTCAAGACTTTTTTTATAGAGGAATCATTTTTATAGTGCCTTTAAGAGTTATATGTGAGTGTATTAAAAAAATCTTGCTTTTATTTCAAGAAAAACACATGTAAGAATGTCAAGGTTATTAATAGTTTTATATAAAGGTTAACTTTAAAACTTAATGAAATTTTTTTTGAAAGTTACTATGCCTAATGCACCATGTTAGATGCTGTTAAAACCAGAAAATACATACACATGATGGTTAATTTGTTCCAAATTTGGAGGTTTTAGAGAAGTTACAATTTTAAAATCTTTTTCGGTGTTTTCAGGCAGTTGATAAGAATGACAACTTTCAAATACCATCTCCAAAATTTACTCTAGTGATATCCTATAGTCTTAACACTACTATATATTTATGCTAACCAAAAAAAAAACTAAAAAACATACTAAAGGTACATCATACACAACAATTATCTTTAATATTTCAAAAAGTATTGTAATTCTACAAATTAAGCTGAGTCATGATGTAGAATGCAGGAGCCATGAAAATAAATCTACAGGGAACTAAGCAGTACAACAGCAATGATAGTTTTGTTTTGTTTTATTCTAAAACATTGTTTTTTTTAAGTGCGTTTTTTGTCAAGTGTTGTTGCCCTACCAGCAATACTCCCAAAGCAGCAGCTCAGCACCTCAACATTACCCCAATACAGAGGAGTGTTTCAATGCAAAGGCTCTGTGCTCTGGAGTCAAAAACTACCTAGGCATGAAAACTGGCTCCTCCACCAATTTCATGATCCTGGATGAATACCTAAATTCCCTGCACCCCAATTTTTTCATCTGTAACAATTATCATAATAATAACTCCTTCATTTTCTTATGAAAATTAAATGAATTCATTTGCGTAAAGTACTAAAGAACAATGCTCAGCATGTAGTAAACCCTCCAAACAATGGCCATTATTTTTATCAGAAAAGACTATAAACATAGACAGGTGTGAGGTACATGGAAGGGGAAATAATAACCACCTTACCATGGAAACAGAAAACAATTCAAACACAAAGACTCAATTAAATTTATTCTTTATTGAACTGCTGCATGTACACAAAATTGTGGAAGAGAAAATGTATAAAATATGGCATCCCTCAAGGAATACAGGAGATAAAGCATTTATATAAATATCAAGCCCACATAGAATACTTGTCAGAGGATGTGTATCAATAAGAGTTGGTGAAATAACTTGGTTATTTTCATCAGCCAACTTTTATTTTATTTTTATTTTTATTTTGAGACAGGCTGTCACTCTGTCACCCAGGCTGAAGTTCAGTGGTGTGATCATAGCTGACTGCAACCTCAAACTTCTGGGATCAAGAGATCCTCCTGCCTCAGCCTCCCGAGTAGCTGGAAATACAGTTGTATACCACCATGCCCAGCTAATTTTTTTTTTTTTTTTTGTAGAGACAAATTCTCAGTATATTGCCCAGGCTAGTATCAAACTCCTGGGCTGAAGTGATCCTCCCACCTAGGCCACCCAAAGTGTTGAGATTACAGTCATAAGCCACCACGTCTGGCCAGTAAATTTTTATAAGGAAGGATTTGAGGTAGAACCTGAAATATTAATAGAATGTCCATAAGTAGACAACAGGAAGAAACCTCTAAGAAATGTAATGAAACAAACATCGAGGTGTAGGAAAGGAGAGCATATTGTGTAATCAGTACAAATAGTCCAGGTTATTGGTGATGTATGAAATACAGCAGTAATGGCAATGGCAAATGAGCCCCAAAGATAATATAAGGAAATGTCAATGAGTTTGTTAATCAGTATAGTTCTATAACAACATGTAATCCCTGTAAAAAATGTTTAGATAATACCATATTTGCTTACACTCAAGCAAAAGTATTCACTATTCTATTCACTTTGGTTTTTCTGGTTTGCAGCAAAATAATAATGGCAGCATTATCATAATAAAAGTATATAGTAATGGATAGCTTTTAAAGTAGAATTCATTGTGTTTGCTTATATTTTTATTTAGCAAGACAGTAAAATTAAAGGACAAAAATAAGTTGTAAGACTCAATAAATAATACTTGCGCAGATAATTCTCAGACTTAATGGGTTTTGTCATTACTGAGGAAGCAAAAAAAATGAAACACAGGAGGTAAATACAAGGTATAATGGTTGAAATTAATGAAATAGAACTTTTAAAATATTTTTTAAATAACTTTTCCCTTTCCTCTATAAATGTGTGCTGAAGATGAAACAGAATGACTATTCTTGGCAATAGGCTGTAATCATTAAAAAGACAAACATAGATACATTTTAGTTTTTTTTACATGACAGTTATTGGGTTATAGGTAAATATTTTGTGGTTAATTTTCTGACTTTGAAGGTTATGTCAATTAAAATAAGGAAAACATTTATATAAGCATAGGCAAAAAGGATATGAAAAAGATTGTAAGTAAAGATGTACAAGTTTCTTTCATCCTCAAAGAAAACCCTCATCTTGTCTCTTATAAACTGCTCAGGTTTAAGGGACACCAAAAGAAGCAAATTACTGAGTTTTAAGAGAATTCCACATGCCTCTTTTCTGTTGGCTATAATATATTTATTTTGCGCAGATCTAAAATGCTATATTGTGTATCATGTGCTTCTACTAAAAGTGGTATAAAGAAAATGGTGCCCTTTATTCAAATCACCTTCCAGATCTCCAAGTGCTTCTGAGAAACCCAATCCCACTCTACTGGCCCTGATCCTCCCCAGCAAGATTTATGGCAGGCCCCAGAATTCCATGTGCCCTTGTTGGTGTTTTCATCACCCAGCCGTGATACCACCTAATGCTCTCTTTAAATCAAATCTAGAAGCCCCTCAGAGACCTATAATTAAGGCTAGGACACCCAGAGATGCCTGTTCTAAAGCCACCCCTCCATCATTTGTGACTCTGCCCTCAACATAACATAAGGATGCACTCCATATGAGACTATCATTCCTCCATACTACAACACCGTTAGCCTCACCTCTGACAACTGACTAAAAGATCAATTCTAGGAAAAAGATATAATTAGAGCTGATTACCATTTCCCCTGGAAGACCAGCAATACCAATCCTGACTTCCTTGTTTATTTCAGATACTCCCAAAAGTGAAAATCTCCCCAAGCCCCCATCTAATTCTGTGTACAAATCTTACTCTACACCCATCAAGCTTTGACACAACTGACCATGCCCTCCTTGAAATTTCTTTTCTTTTTTGCAGACATCACAATCTTAAGATTCTCATTTCTCACTGGCTACTCTTATTCTTCATAGCTGGTTCCTCCTTATTTTTAGATCTTGAGACTTTGGAGTGACTCAGTTCTCAGTTATTAGCACTCTTTGCTCTCTATATTGTCTTTCCCTAGCTAACCTCATTTATTCTTACATTTTATAAATGATATTATTAATATATTGATGAATATCAAGTTTACATGCCCATGATATTATTAATATACTGATGAATATCAAGTTTACATGCCCCAAACTTTACCTTTAATTTCAAACTTATGTATCTAACTTTCCAGACAACATCAGCAATTGGATTTCTCATAATCTAATAGGCTTAGCATATATAAAAGAGAACTCTTGATTTGCCCCTCCAAAAAACAAGTCCAGCATCATCCTCAGGCTTACTTATCTCAGTAAATGATACTACCATTCTTCCAGTTGTTTAAGCCAGAAACACACACACACACACACACACACACACACCATTTTAACATTTCTTTCTTGCTCTTACCCCTCATTTCTTATTCGTCATTAAGTGCAGTCAACTCTATCTTCAAAATATAGACTGTATCCAACCAATAATCATCCCTTCCACAACTACTATCCTAGTTTAAGCTACCAACATCTCACGCAAGGACTACCAAAATTTTTTAATTGGCTTCCCAATTTACTCTCCATGCAGACTTTTTCTGTCTGTCTCTGCAGATCCTTACAGTGCTCACTTACCTATTCTTTGACTTCAATCTCTTGTTGCTCTCTTTACTCCACATTCCAAAGTAAACAAGCCTTTTTTTTTTTTAATTTCCTTAGAGGCGTATAGTGGAAGAAAGGGAACAAATCTTGCTTAAATTCACCATCTACTAGCTACCATTTCATTTCCTTCTCTCCTTTCACTAAAAAATACCTCAAATGAAAAATTAACATCCTAGTCAATGGTTTAACAAATATTAATTGTTCACCGATTTCTCAAGTATCATCAATTACCTCTTAGTTATGATATATAATGCTTTTTTCCCAGTTCACATTCGCCTTGTCCTCCCTATACTGCTCTCTCTCTCTATATATAAATACATACATACACACATATGTGTGTATATATGCATATGTATGTATATGCATATATACACATGTACACATGTACATACACAATGTACACATGTCTATACATATATGTATATGTGTGCATGCATATACACACATGTATATATATACACATATACACAGATATATGTATCTACATATATACACACATATATGTATATGTATATGAATATACACACATATGTATATCCGTATATGTGGGTATATATATGTGTGCATATACATGGCAATGTTTTTGTGTACCATCACTCAGACATATGTATATATGTGTATATACGTATATACATATGTGTGTATATATTCATATATATAAATATTTTCTTTTTCTTGAAATATGTCTGTTCTCTACTTACTGGCCACCCTTTCCTCACTAAATACTGTTCTTCTCAAAAAAGTTATTAATAATGTCCTCTACTTTCTTAACCAGACTTAATTTACACCTATGATTCTAGGTACTTTCTCTTTTTATTAGAAATTTGATAAAGATCTCGATTAGAAACATGCATATAATATATATTTCAATTTTCCATCTTTAAACATATTCTTGATTTTTATGTGTAACTATATTTTTTCAACATTACATGCCATGGAAGATATATATAAATTATTTTCCATTGCTAGATACCTATTCTAATCATCCTACTTCTGCTTTCTATCTCTGGAACCGTTGCTGTTAATTCAGGCTCCATTCATCTCTAATGATTACCTTTCTTAATGTTCCATATCCAATCAGTGATTTTTCCATTTCAGTGCCTCTTACAACTTCCCATTTCTTTCCATTTCTGTTCAGGCTCTTGTCACTTCTCATCTGAATTACTTCAATTGAATTATCATTCGTCTCAGATACTTCTCTTTACTCTCCATCTTGCTTACTATTGATAGATTAATCTTCCTAAAAGTTCTACAACACGTTTTCCATCATATCATTTCACTGTTCAGAAATCTTTAGTGAGAAGGAAGATGGAAAAACAGAAATAGGTGGTTTTCTTGGGAGGAGAATTTGAGGACAAGTTTTATAAAAATTATATTTCATTTTAAATTCTACATTATTTTTATAATGTTGCTTTGTGTAATTAGTATAATAAAATTAATTATCCAGAAGTTAAAATTCAAGTGATCTCTATAATATGCTTTCAACATTGTTTTTGCACTTCTTATTCCACTGTTCCATTAAATAAAATTTCTGCTATCTCTATATCCTCTCTATTTTCAAACTATGAAAATTACATCCTTGAATTATTTTAAACTTAAATTCCACTATTTTATAAATCTCCTGATTATATTCGCTGGAAATAATTCCCTTTTCCATATAACAACCCTAACTTCTTATGAGAACGAATCACTTAACCCACATCATTTAGGCTTTTCATTAGCATTTACGATTTTATTTTATTTTTCTTTTCTCCTCAAATTGAAACAAAAAAATCCTTAAAAACAAGACTCTCTCCTTTGAAGCAGAGGCCACAGTAGCTTGAAAACACACAGTAGTCATTTAATAAATATTTATTGTTTCATCAGATAGGTAATCATATGTTTCTAAAGCAACAAGATATTTTCTCACGGAGTAACTTTTGACTTTCTTTTAAAGTTAAAAGCATAAACAGAGATGTGTTGCCTTTAGAAACTCTTTTGAAAGAGCAAGCTTTATAGCAATTGTTTAATCTATTATTGATATATAATATAAATGTGACGTACCTACTACAGCAATTCATTTATTGAGTATAAATTAGAAGGTCTTTTCTTATTCAATTAAATTACAAGGTACCACTCAGCAGCTAGCTCTCCAACTTTACCTCAAGTTGCAGAGAATATGAGTAGTACTCCAAGTGTTCCTTTGTTAGGCGATGTTTTTGTGTTGCATCACTCAGAGATCAACACTCGCTTGAACTGCTGTCATTATGGAGCTTGAATAGGAGAAATTCACTGGAGCCATCATTAATGCTTTTTAATGAAATATTAAATTGCTGTAGCACAGAGTATATGGAGTGAGCCAGTTTAACAGCAGTCTAAGCAAAAAAGAAAACAAACTTGTAAACACATAAATAATTAGGACATCATTTTTCTTTTCCCTTCTTTCTCCAATGAGACAACTAAGCTGGATGAAAGAAAGCAAATGAATGTATCCAGCTTTTTGGACAGATTAACTGATATTTTTACTACACATTTAATAAATGTTTCACTGCAGTAAGCAATTCAGGCAAAGATCTGATTACTCAATTTATCATTTGATACTCTTTACAAAAGCTGAAGATTACACTCATTCTAAATCTTATGTTAGCTAGCAGTAAACAAAGCTCAAAGCTGGCCAAGGGATTGCTTATATAATGCTGGCAAATTGCCAGAGAATAAAAATAGCTCTTTGGATTTCTGCCTTCCACCCCGGCTGATGGCAAAGGAGAGAGGTGGCAGTACAAAATCACCACCTTAGCCACCAACTGGTGGCTACTTTTGTCAGTTTCCACCCTATAGGTAACATAACTAGAGCAACCACTTATTATTACTCTGCACTTAAGTGCAGAGTATGTACTGAACCTGAGGAAGTACAGGTTTCAGCCAATGGTGGTTGTAGAGACATCAATAACTGCAGTGATCATTGAATTATTTAAAGTAATTTTTTAAATGATTGGGACCAAATTAGTTTTGTAGGAAATAATTTTCTTTGTTAAAACTCAGACATAGTGAATGATGAATATATAAAATATTCTCTCTCTCTCTCTCTCTCTCTCTCTATATATATATATATATATATAGTATATATAGTTTGTGCTGACGTTGGGTAGATTACAAAATCCTAAGGGAAAGATTCTCTTAAGTGGGTAAATGAAAGTCAATATATTTTAAAATTCTACCATTATCTTTCGGTGCCAAATAAAATGTGATTTCTGTTACTCATAACCAGGAAATTATATTCAGTGCTTTGTTTTATTTTGTATTTCCTTGTCTTCCAACATGCTGCAAAATGGCAGGCCCTTGTATTGTCAGATTTTAGGCCTCAGGGTTCCAGGGACAAAAGAAAGTATATATAAGCTACCAAAACAAATTTAAATATATATCATCTTTAACGATTTTGTAAAATTGATACTATCTTTTTAACAATTGACTAAAAGCACATTTAAACAATTTTAAACCAATAAACTCTAATGCAGATTCTAGGCAAGTAGCTATAATTTCTTAACAGCTTCAATCTTGCTGAGTATCAGTATGAGTTCAGCAATACAGAAGTTGCTATAGCTTCTGAAATTCAGAGATTACCATTTCCAGATGATAGAATTACCTTGAGATTTAACCCTGAACCCAGTTAATTAAAAGTTTCAATGACCTAATTTGCCTTCTCTACAATCACAAAAGCTGCAAGATTTCTGCTGTGCTCAAGTAGGGCTTTCCCATTCAAATAACAGAGAAAATAATCTTTAAATTTCCTGTGTAAATATAGAAATTGGGCTGCAATTAAGGTTTATGTCACATATTCATCCATAATATATTTAAATCCTTTTAACAATCTCATTTCAAACCCTACTCATTTTATTTCTATACTGTAGCCAAAAAAAAAAAATCTTCTATCTAAATCTGACTTCTATCCTTCTCTCTCTTCTACTCCAATTGATCAGGATCTGTTCAATCCAGCCGAGAAACATGAATTATTAAGAGCTGATGGATTGGGAATCTACCAGAGTGGATCTCATTGGACACAGTATTGCTTCCACTGTGACCCTGCCTAAATATTCTTTATTGTGCCTGTCTCAAAAAACTCATTTCTGGTGAAGGCTAAAAAGAAATAATTCTCATATTCCAGCTGCAGATTTTCTATCTGGATAACTTTATTGAACTTATTTAATTTATATTTTAAAAATCCTCTGGTTGCCAGCTGGCAGCCATAAATTTCAAATAGCAGTTCAAATGACTACAATTTAATTTATTTTATGATTCATCATTCAACTGTCCTTACTCATCAAATTGTACTTTATAAAATGCTGTGTATGCTTCCTAGAGATGTATTAGAGTGATTATAGATGAATTAAACATTATTAATCCAAGATGGTAACTGGCTACTATCTGATGCTGCTTAGTGACTTAATTATGTTAGACAGACTAAATTGTTTCAAATGAACCTTCACAAAGGTCCTTAATAAAATAAAACAGTGATTTTATTTTGTGTTATCTACTTTCTCCCAGAAGGTTTTCTAGAGGCTTCTGCAGTTTTCTTTTCTTTCCTATTAGCTAGAAAGCACAATCTAGTAAGCCTGTGAACCTTGCAGGAGCTTACATGGAAGATATTTCTCTGTCTTTGACAAGCACTATGGTAAGATTTGGGGCTGCTGTGTAAGCAGTAAGATTTAGTGGTTTTCTCTTAAGGGAGCTGGTTACAAAAGTGATTTAGAATGCCTTAGGAAATAAAGAAGAACTTTCCTATTGATAGTGTGTAGAGGGGATAAGTTTATATAAAATTTTGAGTGGAGTGGATATTTGAAATAGAGAGGAAGTTTCTAAAGTAGAATTTAAAGTGTCAGCAGATTCATAGAGGAACTGCCTTAGACAGCAGGCTATAAAAGATATTAAATTTTAAAATAAGGGGTTACATTATTACTTCAGTTTGCTTTGTGCAATACCAGAAGTTTAGGAATGAGGGTAGACAATTCATCTATTATTTATAAGACAGAGCATATTAGCCACGACTACAGAGAAGGAGGCCCCCTCACTGTTGGGCAGTGTGATGAGGGGTTGAATGTGCACAAGCTATTTCTCATTTCCAAAGCAGTTTGACAGGCAAGTCAAGTATATGAAAAAGTACAATGGGATAATAAACTTACTACACTTCTGAGCAAGATGTGCAGTGTAGCAGCCAAAGTGTGGGTCTTTGTGAGAAAGTAGCAGACAAAAGTGGTTCTCGGCAACTAAGAACTGTTTGGGACAGTGGAAGCTTTCTAGACTAGTTGTTGCTATTCTTAGTCTTCCCTCAGTATGATGTCCATGCTCAGCACAGCCAGCCATTGTATAGAATTAGTTCTTTCTCCTTCCAGTGCACATTCCCAAGAAGAAAACAGTATATGCACACCAACAATACAGAACTCTTATATTTAGAAACTTTTCAATTTCCAACACTTCTCTTATTTATGGAGTACCAAATAACATTGGAATTTTCCAGATGTTTTAACACTTTTGTTTCAAAGTATCATCTTTCCTGTGTAGAGTACAATGAGGCTGACCACAAAAAAAAATAGAAAAAAGAATAAGAATTCTATGTATTGCTATCGAAATTTTCTGTCATTACAATGTGTGCCTTAGCTTCTAGCAGGTAGGTATCTATCAAAAATATATCTCTAGTTCTATATTAATATTTATAAATTTTACATGGGGAATATGGACAAAAATAAAGAGTATGTTAAATCTAAAAACATTTTAAAATTAGCCACATAAATAGTTTCAGTACAAGCCCAAATTTTGTATATCTTATTGGAGAAAGTAAAAAACAAATATGGTTTATTCCACACAGGTAAAGTAGGAAGACACAAATGAGGAAATAAATAGCTTCTTTCCTGACAGTGGGAAAAGCATTAACAAAGAGCTCACCAACCTCTAAACATTATTAGTGCTCAGAAAAGGCCTAGAAGGGATTCATAATTAAGCCCTTGGGGGAAACACAAGAAATAAGTATAAAGTTGAGGCAGTAGAAAGGAAAGCCTGTTTTCAAAAAAAAAAAAAAGTATTGCTGAAAGTAACAAGAACTAGTTTGGTTTTAAAATATGAGCTCCCCAGAAGTAATTCCTAATGTAGAATCTTTGAACATTCCAATTGAAAATACACTGGACCTTAAAAAAGAAAACAAACAAATAAACAAAAACTCCCACAACCTCAAAAAACACTCCTGCAACCTCAAAAACTAGGACTGATGGTCAACTTCTGACAATCATTTGAGAGAAATTTACACCATAATATGATAAATCGGACAGAGAATTAATCATTATTTTTGCCAGAAAATGAGTAAAATTGTTAGCCAAAATTAACATTAGAAATATATTTTATTGAGTACTCCAGCTTTTCCTGGACAGATAAATGAAAAATCTGTAAACATTAAAACTGGCCATCTCTTATTTCTTTCAAGCAACTTGGGAATGGGTTACCTACTTCCTCTATAATTACTTTTTTCTACGTTTTCTGCATCCATTCTGAGACGAAATGCTACCCATGGCAAGTAAGTACATAGGAGGAGGGGAATGGAGTTAGCATAGATCATCCTGTTAAAGTTTACATCTCAAACATAACATTTTTAACTGGAATGACCAAGAAGCGGGAGCTACAAAGCTCAGTGACCTCAATGCATTTTGAAGATTATAGTTTTTCATGTACCTTTTCTTATGTGAATGTCGTAAAACCAACCTAAGAATGCATTCATCTGGGTTAGTTGTATTAACTAACATTAACAACTAATAATAAAGTTGTGTTAGTTAATACAACCAACCCAGATGAATGCATTCTTAGGTTGGACTAAGAACAATGCACATTCACTTGTGTTTCTGGTATTTTTCTACAAAGAGGATTCAGTCCTTCCCCAGGTCAACTGACAACACTTCAGTTTTCAATTTTGGCAGACTTTTGGTCTAGAGAGCCCTTTCTCTCTATTGATTATTATTGATTTCTTCCATCAGAAAAGAGAAGCAAACGCAATACAAATACATAGGTGTCATAAAATAACTGTGTTTTTAGACCCAAAACATATCATGAAGCAAAGATATCTTTGTACGCGTAAACATTAACCAGCCAGAAGATTCTTATTTATTAAATATCACTTCCTAAAAATTTGTTAAAAGTTGTGGCAACTGTAATTACTACTCCACTGCTCTAACTGGCTGTTAAGAAAAAAATAATAAACCAAAGAAAATTAGATCCTCTTCCCCTGCTACCAGCATCCCTGTATTCCTCAATAGAGACACACATGTGCATGCATACACTCACACTATTCACACACATGCACATACACACACACCCCAAACATTGACAGTGAAGAAAGAAGCAGGGAAGTCCTAATCATGCTCTAGTAACAAAGTGCTATGGAGGTGGGCTGGGGGTAGGGTGTCATGTTATAAAATATCTTAAGCCTAAATACAGCCTCTTTCTACGGAAGTTGTTTTATATTCATTACTCAAATGGATAACGCTTTGAGAACGATCCACATTCTACTAAGTATATGAAAATTGGGAAGATGGGAAGCTAAGACACAGTCCAGGACAACCAATTAACACTATCATAGGCAGTAAGGTTCCCAGGAAAAACAATATTTAAACAATGAGGAAGAAAATAAGAATTAGATGATCTTTTATACTTCTGTGGAGGAAGAAAATAACAATTAGATGATCTTTTATACTTCTGTGTTTTCACATTTTATGAAATAACTGTACTTCCAAAGATATTTTTTCTTTTTAAGGTTTTTAAATATTTTATCTGATTGTTTCACAAATATAGATGAGATGAATTTTAAAAGGCCAATTGAGATTAGCCCAGGACCTATTTACTCATTGATGTGATGTGACCAAAGTGTTACTGATATGGTTTGGCTCCACATCCCCACCCAAATCTCATGTTGAACTGTGATCCCCAGTGTTGGAGGTCGGGCCTGGTGGGAGGTGATTGGATCATGGGGGTGGTTTCTAATGGTTTAGCACCATGCCCCTAGTGCTGTCTCGTGATACAGTTCTCACGAGACCTTGTTGTTTGGAAGTGTGTAGCACTTCCCCCATCACTCTCACTTCCTCCTGCTCCAGCCATGTAGGATGTACTGGCTTCACTTTCACCTCCTGCCATGATTGTAAGTTTCCTGAGGCCTCCCTAGCTATGTTTCCTATACAGTCTATAGAATGGTGAGCCAATTAAACCACTAGCAATGTGAGAATTGACTAATACAGTGAGAAATAAATTTCCCAGTTCTTCAAAATTTATAGTTTTTAAAATGTTTGAAACATAAATATATTTCATAAATTCACACCTAATAATCTTTCATTTAAAGATTTTATCTTAATTGTTAAAGTTAGATTGTCCTTTCCCTGTCAATGATCTCATAGTTGTTACATAGCATTTTCCAAAGGTTGCTAATATTTATTACTTTGTCCACATTGTCTAATAACTGTTTCTGAAAGCATTCTAGGCAGAGAGAATAGGCAGTGCAAAGGTCCTGAGGGAGGAATCTGTTTGTCTGATTAGGAAACAGCAAGGGGACAAGCATATCCAGGGAAGACTGTTAAAGAGAGAGTGATAGGAGATGAAACCTGAGAGGAGGACAGGCCAGAACTTGAAGGCTTCCTTCGACATGACCAGAGTTTTTTTCACCCAAGTACGATAGGAAGATATGGGAGGGTTCTGAGCGTGTAAATGGCATGATCTGATTTGTATTTTAAGAGTGCCTAGCCTGTTATGTGGATAGTTGATCAGAAGGGAGAAAAAAAATGAGGAGAATGAACATATGTTTCAAAGTTTCTTCATTAACCCAGGCAAAAAACAATGATGGCTTGGTTTAACATGGTAGCCAGTTGGGGGTATAGGGGTAGGCAGAAAAGGTTAGAATTCAGATATATTTTGAAGAAAGTAATATCAGGCTGATGAACTGATCTGAAATGTGAAAGCAAGAGGAAGATAGGAGTCTAGAATAACTTGAAGTTTTCAAGCTTGAACTACTGAGTGAATGATGATGCCATTTAATGAGATTCCAGGGTCAGTGGGGAGACTATGTGTCAAGAAATGAGTCAGCTTTCAATATCTGTTAGACATTCAGTGGAAATGGTAAACAATTAGATGGATATACAAGTCTGGACATTTAGTGAAGACACCTGGACTAGAGAAATAAACTAGGAAGTCATGGAAGGTGTTGTATCACATTCAAGAGTTTGAAAATTTTATCTTGTGGGTAATGGGTACACTATGCAAGAATTTCAGTCAGGGAGGAGATATGCCAACAACTCTTAACTGTAGCAATTTTGTCTCCAAGCTCCTTGGTTTCTGGAGTGTGGGAAATGAGCAGCCTACACCAGGATTCAAAGAAACCATGTCCTCCTTGTAATTAATATAGATAGGTTTTATAATAATAAATAAAATACAACCTAAATCAATGAAGTGATATACTATTTTATTGAGCAGAATAATCAATATCATCAAGACGACAGTTTTAGCCCAAATAACTTATAAATTCAATGCAACTCTGATCAAAATTCCAACACTGATTTAACAGAAATTAACTTTCACATAAATTTCATACATATGAGTAAAAAGCCCAAACGTTTTTAAGTAACCCTTAGGAGGGACTCACTCCATCAGATAAGAATTGCTGTTAAATTACAATAATTGAAATTTGAGTATTGTTGCAAAGAATTAATATATCAAGAAACAGAATAGAGAACCTAGAAATTAATCCATATATGTGTACATGAGGCACTCAACAGGTGAAGTAGGGGCTATTCAATAAATGGTGCTGAATAAGTCGTTAGGTCTATTAACGAATAAGTATAGGGTGATCATTATGTAGCAGGCATTGTAGTTTACACTATTATTTTATTTAATCTTCTAAATGATATACGAGGTAAAGACTATTATTAATCCCATCTCATCGATGAAGAAACTATTGTACACAGAAGGTAGGTAACTTGGACAAGGACACACTGCTAATAAGTGGCAGAATCAGCATATCTCTATGATACAGGATAAAATTAAATCTCTACCTAATGCCATAAAGAAAAATAAATTTTATGTCAATTAAAGATGCAAAAATGAAAAGCCCATTTTAGAA
Source organism: Homo sapiens (assembly GCF_000001405.40). NCBI lineage: Eukaryota > Metazoa > Chordata > Mammalia > Primates > Hominidae > Homo > Homo sapiens. The sequence goes on from NC_000002.12 coordinate 186,066,733, forward strand.
GAAAATATTAGAAAATATTTTGGTGATTTTTTTTTTTTTTTTTTTTTTAGAGATAGAGTCTCACTCTGTTGCCCAGGCTGGAGTGCAGTGGCGTGATCTCAGCTCACTGCAAGCTCCGCCTCCCGGGTTCACACCATTCTCCTGCCTCAGCCTCCCGAGTAGCTGAGACTTCAGGCGCCCACCACCATGCCCGGCTAATATTTTATATTTCTAGTAGAGACGGGGTTTCACTGTGTTAACCAGGATGGTCTCGATCTCCTGACCTCGTGATCTGCCCGCCTCGGCCTCCCAAAGTGCTGGGATTACAGGCGTGAGCCACCGCACCCAGCTGTGAACAATTTTTAAGAAAATATTTTGTTTCATCCATGTCCCTACATAGGACATGAACTCAAGGACAAAAAAACCAAACACCGCATGTTCTCACTCATAGGTGGGAATTGAACAATGAGAACACATGGACACAGGAAGGGGAATATCACACTCCGGGGACTGTTGTGGGGTGGGGGGAGGGGGGAGGGATAGCATTATGAGATATACCTAATGCTAAATGACGAGTTAATGGGTGCAGTACACCAACATGGCACATGTATACATATGTAACAAACTTGCACATTGTGCACATGTACCCTAAAACTTAAAGTATAATAATAATAAAATAAAAAAATTTAACAAAATTTAAAAAAAAGAAAATATTTTGTTCACAAAAGATTTCTTTACCAAGATACAAAAGGCACTGATCATTAAGAAAAAGATGGATTCATGTGATGGCATTAAATACAAAAGCTTCTATACACCAACATCAAAATAAATGTATCAAATACATCACTAACACAGTAAAAAGGCATCCACAAACTGGGAAAAGATATTTATATGATCCCAAATTAGTATATACTAGGAAAGTCATAGTCATATTTAAAAATAATTCAGTACCAGTTATAATTAATAATAATGACTCTTAACCCCCCTTAAAATTTTTCTTCCTAGTCTTCCCATCCCTTTCAGGAGCTCCCTGACTTCCCCACGATGCAGCAGAGGACACCAAATCACCCTTAGCAAAATAGTGTTAGCTATTTTGAATATTGTGAATAAATATATTTATCAGTCACTCATGTGACTAATAGAGAGAGGAGATACTAAAGGTAACTGCATGTATGATATTTTATTATGTCAAAAAACAATAGAGATTGTTATAAAGATAATGTCAAAATATTAACATGGTAGGTTCACATTTATTATGTTTTTGTACATTTGAAATCCATTTAGTTAAAAAGATTTAAAAATAAATGAGAATTACATATTACCTATCAAAAATTAATACATGTTTCTAGGTTTTAACCCTGTAATCGGATTACCAAGGCAAAAAAAAAAAAAAAAAAGCAACAAGCCATAGTTAAAACCCTGGTGTTCCAGAAAAGACTCCTCTCTTACTTTATTCCTCACCTCAGGGGCATCATTAACCTTTTTCTGCACAAACTCTTTTTCTCCTTTTTCCTTGAGTGAATTTACGTGTTTGGTTTTATGCCTGGCTTGTTTTCTCTGCTCACCCCTGGATAATTGATGTTTGAGACTGTCTTTGCTTCCTGAGGTTAACTCATCTACCTCTGGTATCCACTCTGTGCAATGTAGGCACAAATTCTGTGGTTCGCCCTTTTACTAATTTGGCCCAAAAGGTGAGTTTAGGCAGCTGTTTTTGTCAGTTTTCTATTGCTATCCCAAAAATGTAGCGGTGTAAACAACTACATTTTAGTAATATATAACTCTGGGTTAGCAATTTATTTTGTGGTCAACTGTGTGGTTTTCTGCTGTCTGTGTCAGGGTCACTTATGTAACTGCAATGATATGGTGGATCAACTGCACATGGATGGCCTGAGATACCCTCATGTCTGGAGGCTGCAGCTGGCTGTCAGGTGGGCCATGTGTCTCTGGCAGACTGGCCTGGACTTTCTCACAAAGTGGCAGCTTTTCAAGAGATTAAGCTTCAATGTGTAAGCATTTGTAAAGCCTGTGCTTGTATCACATTTACTGGTGTCCCATTTGCCAAAGTAAGTCATGTGGTCAAGCTCAGAGTCCCATATTAAGGGGTAATATAGCAGAACAAAGACACAGGAATTCATGTGTGAATTGGATCTATTAACCTTTTAAAAGACAGTTGATTAAAAGACAGTTTTTTATAAAGTCATTCCCTTTTCTGCTTTATTGTGCTAGTCGGTAAGATGAAGGGTAAAGATGAAAGTGGGTAAATGGGTAAATCTGAGTAAATCTTTGATTTTTCACATGCATCATATTTCATTTTATGGGAAGTTTATTTAACACCAGTCAAGACCACCGCAAATTTGAACAGATCACTAAGCTAATTAACCAGAACATTCAGCTCTTTTAAAATCCTCATGCATTTGCAGAAATATCTGAACTTCATCATAAATGTCAGCACATCTATAGTTGAAATTTCATATTTTTATCTGCAACTTGATACCCTATTTTAACTTTATTTTTATGTAATGAATAAGATGGTCAAGTTAAGTATTTAAATCTTTAAGCTATAAAGAATTGTTTTCATTTTGCCTTTTTTTGTGCTTTTAACCTGGAATAACATAGATATTTCTTTGAAACTATATTGGTACTTTTAAGTTTTCATTTTTCATTTAATGTGAGAAAACTAACAACTGGCTTTTCAGCATCATATGTTAAATTACTAGAGATTTGATAGTTATATATAGATTTTAAAGAATGATCCCATTCTTCATTATAAATAATTTCTCTTAAGAGATCTCACTTTAGAAGTCTGAATGGGTTTCTACAACTTAAATTTGTATTACTCTTTTAATGTTTTATCCCTAAAAAACACAAAAGGGTGGTTTTATCCCTAAGTTTAGCAAATGCTATTTTGGTAACAGACCATAAAATATAGCTTTTAAGTCCTCTAAAATCGATACTCCCATTCAACTGAAGAAGAAATTGTTTCTTTTTTATTTTTTTGAGTTGTTTTTTTCCTAACAACAGTGCCCTTAACTATTCAGCATTCACATCTGTGACTTAAACACAGCTTGCTATTTCACCTCACATAAAAAGAAAGCCAAAATGCTGAAATCAGACTGTTCAGGACTTTGAAGGAACACAAGCAGGTTACTTCTTTCTAAACAGAAAGGAACCTCAGCACAATAGCCTGACATTGCACATTGCCTGCTGATCTACAAGTTAGCCACATGTGAGGAACCAGTTGACCAAGACAAACTAAGGACACATACGGATGGATATGCTATACATCATGTGTCCGGAGAGATTTGTTGCCAGTTACAGCATTTCTTTTAAAACATATGATGCTGGAGGATGTTATTATTTCTTCTGCACATATCTTACAAATTACAATTTAAGCACTGAAAAAAGAGACCTGCATTGTAAATTTAATAGTTGATTTACATGTTCCAATGGAGAAATAAAAGAACACATTCACTGATGTCTTAAATTAGCAAAACATTTCAATATCAATCATATTTTACTTTGAATTTCATGAAATATATCTATCAAATAGCCACATGTATTAAGTGAACATTCATATCCACTGTGAAGGCTACTATAAGCATAATTTTCTGTTTCAAAGCACATAACAACTGACGGAGGGGAAAGTAGTACAGGCACCACCTCTTCCTTGGCAGGAGGCTAGCAACTTCCATCTAAAATTTGCTACAGAGATAATTGAAAGTTAATCCTAAGTACAAAACATTACCCCAAATTTAGGTATGTGGAAATAAGGATACAAATAACCTTTAGAATCTATTCTAAAGTTTACACAACCACAACAATATAAACATGGAATCTAGAGAAAGAAAAATAACATTACCCTTGTTCTGTTTTTATCAGATCACATAGGGTAGAGTGCTAAAGTGCAAAGAGAGGAGTGATGTAGATAGTGAAGGTGATGCTCAACAATCCACTTATCTTATGAGTTGGAAACATTTTAATAGACAACTAGAGATAGGGGCAGTAGCTCCAAAGGATATAACTCTAACCACCAAGTAAAAGTTAAAAATAGGAAGATTTTGAAGCTGTATAAAATAAAAACTTCAACTCAAAAGAGTTACTAATAAAGCAAGCTGCTTATATGGTAGTCAATCTTCCATCACTGAGAATTTTTTAAAAAGTGGAAAGATTATTTGTAGACAAGATTGCTACACTGAGCAGGAGTTTAGGGTATAGAACTATAAGTATATTTTTAATAACAAGAAAATATTGCAGGCATTTTTTTAAAGTGGAGTTACTTTTGTTTTATGTTTTCTGAATTTAACAAAGAATACTACTTTTACATCAACCCATATGTAATATGGGTAATCAAATGTACTGGCAAAATAAACAATAACTTTAAAACATATGAACAAAGCATGTGCTCATATTAAAGAAATGTCTCTTGGGAATACAAACAAAATTACATTATTAGAAATTATCTCCTGTTGCTGTTCCCTAATTTCTAGGTAACATTCCTCAGACCCTGAATCTCTCCTCAAGCTTAGCTCAACTTTGGACCTTAAACCAGCTTGGTTCAAATTGTCAGTTACCAATAAACCTTAGATTTTCTTTCGTGGATTAACTGCTTCTTCCTTTATTAACAGAGCAATCCTATTATGTCAAACCAGACTTGTTCCAGATGGAATGGTATATTCTAGATATCCTAAAAAGTCATAAATGGTAAAATGAAAACAATAAAATAAGTTGGACATCATCTGAAATGACCTCTTTATTTTACAGATACTTTTGGAGGAATCCAACATACCAGAGGTGACCATAGAAAGCTTATCCTCTGGGTAAGATTCTGAGATTGGATTACTCACCCACTGTATTAGTTTCCAGAAAAACAGAACCACATATATATATAAATTAAAGAAGAGAGAGAGAGAGAGAGACAGAGAGAGAGAGACCAACCTAAGTTTTACATATGGGGCAGAGAGACAGATTTATTATAAGGAATTGGTTCATGTGATTATGGAAACAGGCTAGTTCCAAGGATATGCAGAATAAGTCAGTAAGTTAGAGAACCAGGATAGCCAATGATTTAGTTCTAGTCTGAATCTGAAGACCTGAAAACCGGAGAGCCAATTTTGTAGTTTCCATCTGAAGGCTGGCAGGCTTGAGACCCAAGGAGAGTTGATATTTTAGTTAGAGTCCAAAGGCAGAAAAAAAAAAATTCCAGTTCTAAGGGCAGTCAGGCAGGAAGAATTCTGTCTTAATTGGGAAAGTATTATCCTTTTTGTTCTATCCGGGCCCTCAACTAATTGGAAAAGGCCTAAGCACACTACAGAGGATAATCTATTCTACTCAGTTTACAAATTTAAATGTTTATATACCATCTAAAAACACCTCCACAGAAACACTTAGAATAATGTTTAACCAAATATTTGGGCACCTCATGGCTTGGTAAAATTGACACATAAAAAGCATCACACCTGCCATATAGCAATAAGGAACCATTTTTTGTTTTGTTTTGTTTTAAGTGGAGTTGCAATCATTCCTGGAATATAGTAGCTTTAGAGTAAATAAGATTCTTGTTTTTGATGAATTGGGATGGCACACAGGTGGAAATGTGATAGCTTATCCAATATCCGTATTGTGTGACGGATATAGTGGCAATGATACTATCAGAAATGTGTAACTGTTAAGTGCAATTGATTCACTGAACAAAGAAACAGACAGCCTGAAATTAGCCAACCACCATCTAGGGTCAGGTTTGGAAGCCAAAAGTCCTCTATGGTGGTGTTTTTTTAAAAAAGCTTCATCTTCAGCAAGGAAACAGTAGATTAGTCTGAAAACTAGGCCAAGATTTGGTTGTAACTATAGCAGAATTGCAGAGAAATTTTAAATTAATAACCCTATCAACTTTCCTCTGCTGACATCAAAGCACTAATAAGAACTACTATAACATCTGGTTGATGCACTTAAGAGCTTTGATTCTCTGATTCCCTGGAACCCTCTGATCCAGGGGTTCTAGCCAACTATACTCTTGCTAGAAGATAGCACCCTCCCTCGCCTGGAAATAATATAGAAGCGTTAGTTAGAATACATTTTGCAAGAATATATTTGTCCTGCTTAAGAAGTATCCTTCATGGCTTCTAAGCATCTAACTAGGTCTTTTCCAGCTGAGAAAGAAAGGGCTGCCCCAGCTTTGAGAAAAAATAAATTATTTGCCAAAAAGCCCCAGTGAAAACAGCTAAGGATTAGAGCTTAGGAGTGATAGACTGGCTTAATAAAAGAGTGGATAAGACTTGGGTTTTTAAAAAATTGTTTCTTTATCCAGTATTAACTCTAAACAATTACTTGCAGACACTCCAATCTGAGAAGTATGGTAATGACAAGCTTAGACATTCACTGATGAGGATTCTGTTATCCAACCAAAGAAGGGAATCTAGAGCAGCCGAGCCATCTAAGCATGAGAGGATTCTAGATCAGGTGCTAGAGAAAGAAGATGAATTTCCATTGCAGCCTTAGTACCAATTACAGCAGGGTGACTGTAGTTTTTCTCACCAACCCTGTGATTTTAAATGTTTGTTTTTTTAAAAAAAGTAACCAGGTACCACTTTTAAGAAACAGTAATTAGATGTAGTTAATATAAGATGTAAATATGCAGAAAACAGAAACTGGACCCCTTCCTTACACCTTACACAAAAATTAATTCAAGATGGATTAAAGATTTAAATGTAAAACTTAAAACCATAATAACCCTAGAAGAAAACCTAGGTAATACCATTCAGGACATAGGCATGGGCAAAAACTTCATGACTAAAACACCAAAAGCAATTGCAACAAAAGCCAAAATTGACAAATGGGATTTAATCAAACTAAAGAGCTTCTGCATAGCAAAATAAACTATCATCAGAGTTGAACAGGCAACCTACAGCATGGTAGAAAATTTTCACAAGCTACCCATCCGACAAAGGTCTAATATCTAGAGTCTACAAGGAACTTAAACAAATTTACAAGAAAAAAAAACCATCAAAAAGTGGGAAAAGGATATGAATAGACACTTCTCAAAAGAAGATACTGATGTGGCTGACAAACATATGAATAAAAGCTCATCATCACTGATCATTAGAGAACTGCAAGTCAAAACCATAATGAGATACCATCTCACACCAGTTAGAATGGTGATCATTAAAAAATCAGGGAACGATAGATGCTGGCGAGGGTATGGAGAAATAAGAATGCTTTTACACTGTTGGTGGGAGTGTAAATTAGTTCAACCATTGTGGAAAACAGTGTGGTGATTCCTCAAGGATCTAGAACCAGAAATACCATTTGACCCAGCAATCTCATTACTGGGTATATACCCAAAGGATTATAAATCATTCTACTATAAAGACACATGCACACGTATGTTTACTGCAGCACTATTTACAATAGCAAAGACTTGGAACCAACTCAAATGCCCATCAATGATAGACTGGATAAAAAAATATGTGGCACATATACACCATGGAATACTATGCATCCATAAAAAAGGATGAGTTCATGTCCTTTGCAGGGATGTGGATGAAGCTGGAAGCCATCATTTTCAGCAAACTAACACAGGAACAGAAAACCAAACACTGCATGTTCTCACTCATAAGTGGGAGCTGAACAATGAGAACATATGGACACAGGGAGGGGAACATCACACACCAGGGCCTGTCAGTGGGTGGGGGTCAAGGAGAGGGAGAGCATTAGGACAAATACATAATGCATGTGGGGCTTAAAACCTAGATGACGGGTTGATAGGTGCAGCAAACCACCATGGCACATGTATACCTATGTAACAAACCTGCACGTTCTGCACATGTATCCCAGAACTTAAAGTAAAATTTGAAAAAAACAAAAGATGTAAATAGATCTGAGCAGTAGAAAGGCTAGACTATAGTCGATATTCTCAGGGGTCCACTTATCTCAAACCTTACCACAATCAGTGTGATCTGGACAAATTCTAGTTTAAAATGTCTGCATCTCTGTGATTAAGGCATGTTTCTGAAACTGGGGAAGGCCACTTTCTGGAAATGCAAAGGAATCACCACCACCAGAAGCAAACTCAATAAATGATTCTTGGGAGGTGGTTATAAATGTCTAATTATCCTCACCACTCAGGTGAGATATTCTTTTATTTTTTATAAGCTTTACTGAGGTGTAATTTACACAACTATTTTATATAGAAAGATATAAATCATCTATTTAAAGTATGCAGTTTAAAGTTTATAATTTGAAATTTTTTGTTATAATCACAGATGTGTTACCATCGCTATAGTCAATTTTAGGACATTTTCATCAACTCAAAAATAAACTCTCTACTAGTTAGCTGCCATTCTCCAATCTCCCAATCTACATGCCAGCTCTAAGAAATCACTAATTTACTTTCTGTCTCTATATATTTGCCTATTCTGGACATTTCCTATAAATTGAATCATATAATATGTCATTTTTGTGATTTACTTCTTTCACTTAGCATTAATGTCTCAAGATTCGTCCATGTTGTAGCATGTATCAGCACTTCATTCCTTATTATGGTTGGATAATATTTGTCTTTCATTTTACTTTTTGTTTCTATTTATCTCACGTCTTTTTGTTCGATGCTGCTTTCATTGTTTTATTTTGATTGTTAATATTTTCTAGTGCGATCATTAAATTTCTTTAATAACATCTTTAGGACAACTTTTGACTTATTTCTTTAGTGATTGTTCTACAGCTTATTATATACAGTTGAATTTTGAACATGGGTTTGAACTACACAAGTCCACTTATACAAGTATTTATGACTGCCTCTTCTACCTCCCCTTTCACCTCTTCCTTCTCTACCATCCCTGAGACAGCAAGAACAACCCCTCCTCTTCCTCCTTCTCCTTAGCCTACTCAATGTCAAAATGTCAAAGATGAAGACATTTATGATGATCCACTTCAACTTAATGAATAGTAATATTTTTCTTCCTTATAATTTTCTTAATAACATTTTCTTTTATCTAGTTTACTTAATTGTAAAAATATAGTACTGTTTATGTTATTAATAAGGCTTCCAGTCAACAGTAGGCTATTAGTTAAGTTTTCAGGGAGTAAAAATTATAGGGGATTTTTTTACTGCATGTGGAGTCAGCACCCCTAACCCCTACATTGTTCAAGGGTCAGCAGTACATGTTAATGTGTCTGAACCAGCTTCAGATGTGTACTAACTTAATTCCAGTGAGATATACAAATGTTACACCTACATAGCTCTATTCCCTTCTCCTGTCTTATAGTATTATTTGTTGTATATCTTACATCTATAAATATTACAAACCCAATGATAGAATGTTATAAATATTAATTTACATAACTTTATGTCTTTAAAAGAAACTAAAAGGAGACCAAGTATATATTTATAGCTTTTGTTATATCAACCTTTCTATTTATCATTTCTCCATTTGTTCTGGTAGATTCCAGTTACCATCTGTTAGCATTTATTACTCCAAAATGAATCCGTTCCCATTCACCATTTTTCTGCTGTTTTTATCAAATGTATTGCATTTCCGTACATTATAGGCGCAATAATAGATACATACATATTGTTTTATACAATTGCTTTCTAAGTAATGAAAAAGAAAAATATGCATTTATACTGTCTTTTGTAAGTGCATAATTATCTTCACTAATGCTTTTGTTTTTTCAAGTGACCATCTGAGGTCACTTACTTTCAAGCTAAAGAACTTCCTTTAGTACTTCTTGTAAGATGAGTCTGATAACAACAAATTCTCTCCATTTTGGTTTATCTCCAAATGTCTATTTTTTCTTAATTTTTGGAAGATAGCTGTGCTAAGTATAGGCTTCCTGGTTGATAGTCTTTTTCATCCAAGTGCTTTGAATATGTTATCCCACTTTCGGCTGGTCTTCATTTTTTTCTGATGAGAAGTTAGCTATTAATTTTAATGGTCTATCTTTGTAAGCGACAAATTGTTTTTCTCTTGCTGCCTTCAAGATTTCCTCCTTGCCTTTGGCTTCTAGCATTTTTACTGTCATATATCTGTTTGTAGCTCTCTGTGTTTATCCTGCTCAGAGTTCACTGAACTTCCTAGATGTGTGGATTCTTGTTGTTCAGTAAATTTTGGAAGTTTTAAGCTATTATTTTTTTGAATATTTTTTCCTTGTCTCCTGATATTCTTAATATGCATATATTGGTATGTTTAATAGTATTCAACCCTTCTCTGAGGATCTGTTTATTTTTCTTCATTTCTTTCCTCTGTGTTTTGAACTTGCATAATCTCTATCAATCTATCTTCAAGCTCAATTCTTTCTTCTGTCAATTTACGTCACCAAATTCAATGATACAATGTTATAAATATTAAGCACCACTAGTTAATTTTTCATTTCAGTTATTGTACTCTCAGCTCCAGCATTTTATTTCCATTTGGTTCTTTCTATAAATCATTTTTATCTCTTTATTTTTATTCTCTATTTTATACCACATTGTCTTCATAGCTTCTTCTATTTATCATTTTTTAAATTTCTTTGAACATATTCATAATGATTATTTTGAAATCTTTGTGTGTTAAAATCTGATATCTGGTTACTCTCGCAGGTAGTTTTAAATGCCTGCTTTTTTTGGTGTTTGAGTCATACTTTTCTGTCTCTTTTTATGTCTCAAATTTTTTTGTTGAAAACTGGGCATTTTAAATAAATTATAACAACACTAGGTACTGGCCATCCCTCTTCAGAACTTATTACTGCTATTTGCTTATTAATTTGTTTAATGACTGTCTAGATTATTTTTGTGAAGTATCCTGGAACATAAACTGTTCCACAGATAAAGATATTCAAATCTGGGCTCCTTTGAGAGGTAGTTCCGGAGGCCAGTGGTTAAGATTTTTTGTGACTCAGGTGGATTCCAGCTGCTATTTCCTAGGTTCTGTCAGGCAAACTAACTGGCCTGCAGTCTAACACATATGTCTGATGAATCTACCAACTCCTTCCAATTGCCTTTCACAATTACCTCCACTGTTTCTGAGAGCACTTTTAGGCTTGAATTTCTTCAGCCTGGGTTACACATAAAATGAGTTCCTTGGGGAAGAGATTAGTAGTTATTAGTTTTATGCTTTGCTTCTCTCCAGGCAAAATATCTGAGCTATGTCTCTGGATCTGGGAGTAGGGACAATGGTGCACTTCTCTATGAGTGACAGCCGCCACTTTAGGAGCTAAGTGCTTCATTAGGGTTGAGAAGGCACTCAGCAGCAGCCTCATATCTTGTCAGATTGCCTCTTCCATGGTGGGGCCACCACTTTATGAATCTGAGTCATGGAGACTGAGTCTTCAGTATTTTCAGTAGCTCCCTGCCTAAAGCATAACCTTTATACCATGAGTGGAGGTGGGCAGGAGAAGGGATTTCCTGCCTCTCAGGAACTCTCATCAAGAACTTAGGCTCAAGGGTAGGTAACTGGGGGAAGGATGAACCATCCTGCTTCCCCAGAGATGAAAGCCCTCTTACAGTCCCACCAACACTAGTTCAACCATTGTGGAAGACAGTGTGGTGATTCCTCAGGGCTCTAGAACTAGAAATACCACTTGACCCAGCAATCCCATTACTGGGTATATACCCAAAGGATTATAAGTCATGATGCTATAAAGACACATGCACACATATGTTTACTGTGGCACTATTCACAATAGCAAAGACTTGGAACCAACCCAAATGTCCAACAATGATAGACTGGATTAAGAAAATGTGGCACATATACGCCATGGAACACTATGCAGCCATAAAAAAGGATGAGTTCATGTCCTTTGTAGGGACATGGATAAAGTTGGAAACCATCATCCTCAGCAAACTATCGCAAGGAGAAAAAACCAAACACTGCATGTTCTCACTCATAGGTGGGAATTGAACAATGAGAACACTTGGACAAAGGAAGAGGAACATCACACACCAGGGCCTGTTGTGGGTGGGGGGAGTGGGGAGGGATAGCATTAGGAGATATACCTAATGTAAATGACGAGTTAATGGGTGCAGGACAGCAACATGGCACATGTATACATATGTAACAAACCTGCACGTGGTGCACAGGTACCCTAGAACTTAAAGTATAATTAAAAAAAAAAAAAAATATATATATATATATATATATATAAAAAGAAAGAAAGCCCTCTTACTGGGAGCTGAGAGGAGAAGGAGACCTGTGTTTTTGGCTGAAATAGTCTGGAGTAGTTTCTTTCTTGATGATTTGGGAGAAGGGAGGAAGAGAGTGAGTCTCTATGCAAATACCAGATTCTCACCATTCTTACCAATTTTTAGTAGATTTTAATTAGTAAATATTTATTTTCTCTATACCTTTGGGATCATTTCCCAAAGACTTAAAAGAGTGGGTTTTTAATAAATAATTTTTACCAGTTTCACTTGGGAACGGGTCCACAAAACTCACATTGTCATACTGGAAGTACACCCTCCAAGTGGTATACTTCTGAGGCATGTGTTCCATACCAATTTCTGATACAGGTCCAACTGACCACAGGGTTAGTACACTTTAACTGCCACCTTCTGTTAGCTGCTTTCCCTACCCAGCATCACTTCTGTACTCTTCTATTAATGTACTTTGAAACCCTCAAATAAACTCCTTGCTCCTGAATCCTTATCTCAGAATTGGCATTTGAATGATGCTAACCTGAGATCTCAAAAATAACCTTTAATCTTTTGACTTCTGCAATTAAACACTTAGAGATATAGAGATTGAATGAATAGTGGGTAGAATACAATATGAGAACCTGGAAAGAGGATGGGATCCAGAACACGGTGCTAAGATTAGGTTTATATAAGAGAAGGGATACTTCCTCCCTTAAAGCAGGACAGCAGGAGGAAGAAAGAGAGAATGGATGAAAATGCAAGCATATGTATGCATTTGGTAGCAAGATTTTCACTATTGAGATGACTTTCCACTAGAATCTTTATACTACCTAATGTCCTTTAGCTTCACAGAATGCCTAAACACCCTAAAGATATGCTTGCTTGCTAAAATACCCAAATGATGAGCCTAAGGCTTCCTTTCCTTTAAAGCCCCTTTGGATGCCACTGCTGAAGTTTGCCTGAAACTTCTCTTCATTATTGTACTCAAGTCTAATTTAGCATGAGTGTCTCATTTATTGTTTCAATATGTTAGTATACACAATAGGACTATGATCCAATCTTTTAGAACTGAGAACTCTTTCTCCTCCTTTGGATGCCCTTCTATCTCTGCACTGCTCCATTAGCATTGATTTTAAAGATGAACTCTCAAAGGACTAATTTACTTATATTTCTTAGTGAAGTTTCCTGCTGTAAATCTACATATTCACTGACAATCTGATGAAAAAGACAGGTCCTGGAGAGGTTAAGAAAAGGGAGAGCATATTCAGTTAGAGATGCTGAGTATACTCTTCCTTTTAAAAACCAAATATTTCTTTCTTCAAGAAAGATTCAATACATAAGATAGATTTGGACTTTAAAATGGACCTTGAATGATGAGCAAAGCAAGCAAAAAGCTGAAACGGTGGTTTGGGTAAAAGGAAATGACAAATCACAAAGCACTAAATATGTTTGAGGAATTACAAGTTTAACAAGATAGATTTCATAAAGTTTAAAGAGAAAATTCAGAGAGATAGGTTTGAAACATGTTATGAAAGGCCTTAACAAAACAGTGTGCTTAATTTGATAGACAATGGAGGAGTATAAAAAAGTTAATTTAGAAGTTTGTCTTATTTAAGCCAGGCTTTAACAAACGCTATACAAAATTATGTAGTTTTGTCTACATTCTTTGTAATACCTACTGTATCACTGTGACCATTAATTTAGACATGGGGTTTTTCATATAGTCATCTTGGAATCTGTGTATCTTTTTACTTCGTAATACCTCAAAACTAATTATGATAACAGGCAACACATTTTCAGATACTATTATCATTCTTGTTTCCTCACCATGCTTAGTTAGTCCTGAAAGCATGCCTGTCTATTTTATGTGAAGTGCTTTTCTTCCTTTTGCTATTCAGCCTCCAGTTCGGAACTCTGGTATTATCTTTCTGCTTGGATGAATATCCCTGTGTAGCTGCTTTAAAAAAAAGAGAGACAGAGAGAAACCATACTGATACCTAATGGAGAGACTGCATTCTTGAACTTCATTATTAGAGATATAACCACCAAATTGACTTTAAATGTGAGATGCAGATGTCCACAAATGTAACTTTCCAAGTTGTAATCAAAATTTTACATTTAACTTACTATTGCCTCTCTATAAAAAATTCATTTTTGTGGTTTTTATATATGCTTTATCCTCACAATAATTTGGTTAAAATATATAAAAATATATAATATTATACATATCCAACTATGTGAACATATATTTGGATATAATATTTGGTATGTATATTTAGTAAAAAATATGAAGATATATTTTGTAAATATATATATGTGTGGAGATATATATATATGGGGCTATACCTAATAAATACATTGTCCTGCCCATTTTACCAAAATAAACACAACATTTTATACACACACACACACACACACACACACACACATATATATATATAGAGAGAGAGAGAGAGAGAGAGACAGAGACAGAGACAGAGAGATCCTTGTAAAATAGTAGAAAATGCACCTGATTTGGAAGCTCAAAATCTGTGTTCAAATTTCAGTTCTTGAAGTTGAATAATTGATCTCTTGAGCTTTTAGAGTGTCTGTATGTCTGCAAAAGAAAGATATCATGAGAATTATATATAAGACATGCCAAGTATATGCATATGTTAAATATAATATATTGTATAATTACATATATAATTATATAATGGAAATAAAGATGTTTAGAATAATTCTTGTAATATTAGCAGGTAACTAAAGAATAATGATACTTTGACATTTTTGTCTTTAGCATAATTGCAATCATTTGAGTCTGCCACTATATTTTACCCATTTTAATTCTGAAACATAATAAATACTTCACATTCATCAAGAATACCAGACATACTAGATAAAAAACTATGGCCAGCAAAAAAGACCTTTCTCATATTTAAATGGCTATGAATACTTGGAGGTGTGAGATCTGCCATAAATTCTAATTTCAGTTCTGTCACTTGATTCATAATACATGCAATCTATATCAACACATAATATCTATATCAATCTACTTTCTACTTCAATATTTAAAAATCCGAAGTTAAAAGTTGGCCCTAAAATGAAAGTCATGTTTCATATAACCATAATATTACCTAATAGAAAACCATTACTAAGTTGAGGCATAGAAATAGTTGAATTCTGTTTCAGTCATTACAGTGATAAATTGTAAATGCAAACCATTTATTCTGTTTTTATCTGTAAAACAGAAAAGAGGACATCTACATATGCTCAAGGTCTAAAATTCTGTGGTTTTATAATCTTCTAATTCTATTAATTTCCTAATAAATAATTTAAAATATAAACTAGTTTCAAAATACTTATGTTTCAAATAATGCAGGAAGCATTTTCAGTTTTCTACGTTCATCAAAGATGAGGCTTACCTTTCTTGGGCTGGCATCATATTTCAGATATGGCATGTCATATTCAACAACTTAAAGATGGCTGGGCGTGATGGTTCACACCTGTAATCCCAGCACTTTGGGAAGCCAAGGAGGGCAGATCATGAGGTCAGGAGTTCGAGACCAGCCTGATCAACATGGCAAAACCCCATCGCTACTAAAAATACAAAAATTAGCCAGGTGTGGTGGGGTGTGCCTATAATCCCAGCTACTCAGGAGGCTGAGGCAGGAGAATCGCTTGAACCCAAGAGGTGTAGGTTGCAGTGAGTCGCGATCATGCCACTGCACTCTAGCCTGGGCAACAGAGCGAGACTCCATCTCAAAAAAACAAAAAACAAACAACAACAACAACAACAAAACTTAAAGACTAGAGGGGTTAAAATATGGAAGGAAATTATATGTTTTAAAGAAAAAGACAAAATAATAAACAAATGCATTTAATATCTACTTTATGAGTAGAAGAGAAGACTGGTCTATTTTCTAGTGAAGAAATGGTCACTGTGAGCAAAGCTTCTTTCATTCCACATTGCCTTTCTTAAGATTTGTATCATTACATGTTTGCAATGCACTGTAATGTCACAGTCATTGTTATGAATAATTACAAAGTGAGATGTGTATTTTATGAGACTGTTACAGAGAACGAATCAGTGGGGGAAATTAAAAATAAAAGAGCCTAGATGTCTTCACAGCAGAAAGTCAGTTACCTATGCTCCTCTTCAGCTTTTATTATAAAATGTTTTTAGTGCTCAGAACCTCAGCTTTAATGATGTTTATTTCTTTCTCCATTTTTCACAATGTGACCAAAAACTGCACCATCATTAACAAATCATCGATTCCACATCCCCTTCTCTGACTCACTCTTTTCTATTTTTCCAGCACACTTAATCAAACTTCTCAATTATAACACTTACCATTGAGAAGCTTCATGCACTTGCCCCTCTCCCATAATCCTCAGTGTGTTTTCAGCTTTCTTCTTTTCCTGCTTAAGTTCCAGAGACAATCATTAAAATCATTTTGTTATCAATGTCTTTAATTTCTATGTCCCTCTCTCCATCCCTTCTCGCATGTTGGTCAAGACCCTACTAATTTCCTTTGAGCTTACATCCTGCCAATTGAGGGTTGTTAGATAAAATCACATAGATTGGCATTATATATTCCTAACAGTATTAATTGAGTAGTCAACAATGTCCATCAATCTTACTCTATTTTCATATGGTGCTAAAATATTTATATCAATGACTTTTTAATGCATTTTCCACACTAATCAAACCTCTCACTCCCTTCATCTTTTCATCACACTTTTTAGCTGATGACCTCAATTACTATTTTGTAAAATCTTGAAGCCATCAGATAAGAACTCAACTCATCTCATCACCAAACTGTAAACTTAACCTGAACAGTCACCAATACTCTCTTTATTCACTCTTGTTATAATGGATGTCAGAGTTTGGTTTCCCTTCTTCTATAATCCT
Organism: Homo sapiens; assembly: GCF_000001405.40. Lineage (NCBI taxonomy): Eukaryota > Metazoa > Chordata > Mammalia > Primates > Hominidae > Homo > Homo sapiens. Next base: position 186,083,715 of record NC_000002.12, read on the forward strand.
AGCACTCTTATTGTATTTGGGATCCTATCTTACTCATTTTTTAGTCACATCCATTGACTATATCTTCCCTTTCTACACATTGTTGTACGTGAGTATTCAAACATTCTCTGGCATCTCCCATATTAAAGAAAAATAAATCTCTCCTTGAATCCCAAATTACTTTCCATATGCTATAATATTTTCTTTTTCATTTCAAGTCAAATTTATTGGGAAGAATCTTTATATATGCTACTTTATCTCCTAAGCCCATGTTGAATCTGAACTGACTCTCCATCTGGCTTCTACCTTTGCCATTATATCAAAACTGCTCCTACCAAAGACACCAAAAATATGTTCTGCCCACCCCAACCTTTCTTGAATAATTGGATAATTCCTATTCAAGTCTCATATTTTGTTTCCTCAATGATACCTTAATAATTAATTAAATTATGCTGTCATAGTACTCTGTATTTATTCTTCTTAGCATATATCTACATAGATTATAATTCAATACTTGTTGTTGCTCAAAGGCACATCACTCTATGGTGGTACAATTAAATAAAAATTCTGACCAAGAAGCATTACTGAGTACTGAGAGTAACACTATCAATACATAGCAAAACTTATCAAAAGAAATCTGCTTATTGCAACTCCTCCCCTAAAGATTCATTCAACAGTGTGATGGCTCTAATCCCTTTTTCACTTTTCTCTGCCTAAAACAATCTGAATTGTACCTCCACCTAATCAACTATCCTCTTCATTTCTTACTCAATTATCTCGCTACCTCTTTACTATATATAGAAATCTAGTCTTTTTCAGCAGCATTAAAAAAATGTCTTCTAAGAAGGATAGAGACCTTGTATCCTTCTATAAATGGGAAAGGGTTATAAACTCTTCAGTAATGTTTAATTTATAACCTTACTACTTACTTAGTCCCTATCTTTCTTAGATCTCTTACCTATAATTGAGGGAGTGAATGAGTGAATAAATATTTGAAAAAGAAATTGGTAATGACATCGTGATTCACTGACAATATGCCAAGAAAGAAGAATGAAAACTGTTAGAATTAAATATTTGTGTTATTTTAAGGTTTTGAAACTCTGCCCTTTCTTTTAGAGGTCTAAGTCATTAGATCCCAATATCTTTATTTAATTTTTATATGGTAGAGATCTAGGAAGAACATAATTGAGACATGTCATATAATTACTTCCTGATTTGATGTGCCATTTTAATTAATTTGGGGTTAAGTTCCCATACTATAGGATAAAATGGTGGGGTTCATGTTATCTCTTTAATTTTCCCATTACTCTGGGGAGGAGAAGGGAGAGTACTTAAGCTTTTCATATTAAAGTTTCTAAGCTGATAAAAATTCAAGGTTAGCACAGATTTTGTGTGGTTCAAGTAAGACACACACTATCTGAGGAATATTTAGGCGATCAAATATATTTTTAGAACTGTCTCAGAGTTTTTTTTTTCTCTGACAAAATAATACAGTTTCTAGGAAACCACTGAAAGACTATTTTTTAAGTTAGCTTCATGATGAGAATATTTTAAAAACCATCAGTACGTATTTTTTACTGAAACATTTCTCTATTCAAAACAAGCAGATGCACTCTGACTCAATATCAAACTCAAAATCATTACTGTTTATATCCAAGATTATCAAGTGGCTAAACTTATATCTGCCTGCTGTTTGTCAACACTTCCTCCTCAGCTGGCCAAGTGCACAGTGACTTTGTTTGACATCATTTGGCACACAAATTCTCCAAGTTTAATTCTTCAGGCCAGCACAGTTGCAAGTTTCTTTAGTCCTTCCCCTCCTCTGGATTATTCCAGAACACCTCCCCTTTTAAAAGGGGAACTGCTGCCCAATTATCTAGGGCACAGCTCTCTATGCATAAATCTCTAGTAAGGTACACATGGATTTTTCTCTCCCCAAAATAACTTCTTGAGAATTTCATGCCCCAGGGAATAATGAAGAAAATGTGATTCAGTTCCATTTCCACTTAATGACATATATTAACTTTGTAATGAATTCATAAACTTAAGTAACTAATTATTCTAAACCAGGAGTTAGCAAACTTTTTCCATAAAGAGCCAAATAGTAAACATTGTTGGCATTGTGAGCCATATGATCCCTTTCACAACTATTCAACTCTACCACTGTAGCTCAAGAACAGCCATAAACAATTCATAAAAGGATGAGTGTGACTGTGTAACAATAAACTCCATTTACAAAACAAATGGTGTGCCAGGTTTGACCCATAGGCCATAGTTTCCTGACCCCTCTTCAAAACTAACTATTAACATGTAGGGAGCATACTGGCATAAATGAAAAAACACGGTTATTGAAGTCAAGCCAACATGTATTCATATCCCGGCTCCAGCAATTTATATAATTTGGGATAAATGATAAGACCTATTTAAATCTTCTTTGTCATCTGTTAAAGGAAATTGTATCTCCCATCCCACACACGTTCTATGAATATTAGATGAGAAAAAATGTTTATAAAAAGTTTTAACAGAAATTTTTACAACAATGGACATAAAAATAACATTGCTATTTATGTGAATAATAACCATTATTTCAAATTCTATGAAACTTACCTCAGATTCAGTTTCATGCTTGACTGAGAATGGCTTGTCCTTATATACACTAGATACTTTAAAAACTGTGCTAGTAAGTGAAATGCAAGAAACACATGATTTTAGTTAACTATTTGAGCAGTAATTGTCAATCTGTAACTTGGGCATGACAAAAAAGTTTCATTTAAAAATCTATTATACTTTTTATTCTTCAAATCTAGACTCACAGGTTATTATCATTTTAATCTTGAAACCCCATCTTAATTAGTAATATAGTTGACATCCAATATAATTTTGCTAGATTTCAATAATATAATTAGTCATTGAGATAATCTTCATAGTGAACATATTTAAATTATTTACAAAATTAGTTTGGTTTACAATATTTGTAACAGTCTTCAAACGTGCATTTGGTTATTCTGACTACATACTAATGTCACGGTTTTATCACAGTTTTATCATGTTAACTTTTTCAAATTTCCTACTTTAAATTTTATAGGGAACCAAAAATGAGCCCATATAGCCAAGACAATCCTAAGCAAAAAGAACAAAGCTGGAGGCATCACACTGCCTGACTTCAAACTATACTACAAGGCTACAGTAACCAAAACAGCACAGTACTAGTAACAAAGCAGATATATAGACCACTGGAAGAGAACGGAGGCCCCAGAAATAACACCACACATCTACAGCCATCTGATCTTTGACAAACCTGACAAAAACAAGCAATGGGGAAAGGATTCTCTATTTAATAAATGGTGTAGGGAAAACTGTCTAGCCATATACCGAAAGCTGAAACTGGACGCCTTCCTTACACCTTATACAAAATTTAACTCAAGATGGATTAAAGATTTAAATGTAAAACTTAAAACCATAAAAACCCTAGAAGAAAACCTAGACAATACCATTTAGGACATTGGCATGGGCAAAGACTTCATGACTAAAACATCAAAAGCAATTGCAACAAAAGCCAAAATTGACAAATGGGATCTAATTAAACTCAAGAGCTTCTGTACAGCAAAAGAAACTATCATCAGAGGGAACAGGCAACCTATAGAATGGGAGAAAATTTTTGCAATCTATTTATCTGACAAAGGGCTAATATCCAGAATCTACAAGGAACTTAAACAAATTTACAAGGAAAAAAAAACACCATCAAAAAGTGGGCAAAGAATATGAACAGACACTTTTCAAAAGAATACATTTATGCGGCCAACAAACATGAAAAAAAGTTCATCATCATTGGTTTTTAGAGAAATGCAAATCAAAATCACAGTGAGATACCATCTCACGCCAGACAGAATGGCGATCATTTAAAAGTCAGGAAACAACAGATGCTGGAGAGGATGTGGAGAAATAGGAATGCTTTTACACTGTTGGTGGGAGTGTAAATTAATTCAACCATTGTGGATCACAGTGTGGCAATTCCTCAAGGATCTACAACCAGAAATACCATTTGACCCAGCAATCCCATTACTGGGTATATATACAAAGGATTATAAATCATTCTACTATAAAGGCATATGCACACATATGTTTATTGCAGCACTATTCACAATAGCAAAGACTTGGAACCAACCCAAATGCCTATCAATGATAGACTGGATAAAGAAAATGTGGCACATATACACCATGGAATACTATGCGGCCATAAAAAAGAATGAGTTCATGTCCTTTGCAGGGACATGAATGAAGTTGGAAACCATAATTCTCAACAAAGTAACACAGGAACAGAAAACCAAACACTGCATGTTCTCACTCATAACTGGGAGTTGAACAACGAGAACATATGGGCAGAAGGAGTGGAACATCACACACTGGGGTCTGTTGGGGAGTGGGGGGTTAGGGGAGGGATTGCATTAGGAGAAATGTCTAATGCAGATGACAGGTTGATAGGTGCAGCAAACCACCACGGCACTATGTAACAAACCTGCAAGTTCTACATATGTATCCCAGAACTTAACGTGTAATAAAAAAATTTAAAAATAAGAACAGTAATAGAAGCAATCATTAATAAAATCTATTTAGCCTGTATCTTAACAGCTAAGCAAAATGAGAACATTAATAAAAGTTGCTTACATTATGTTTTACATAAACATATGTAACTTACATTCGCTGAATTTTTTTCAGATAAACAACAACAACTCAAAGTAATTGTATGCATGCATAAAAGACAGACATCACAACAGGAAAATCTATACACATTCATGCATTGCTTAACAATGAGGATATATTCTGAGAAATGCATCATTAGGCAATTTTGTTATTGTGAGAACATCATAGAGTGTACTCACACAAACCTAGATGGGAGAGGCTACTACTGTATGTATAGCCTGTTGCTCCTAGGCTACAAACCTATACAGCATGTTACTATACCAAAACTGTAGGTAATTATAATAAAAAGGTAAGTATTTATGTTTCTAAACATAGAAAAGATACAGAAAAAATACAGTATAAAAGGTTTTAAAATGATACAACTGTATAGAGGGTTTACTATGAATGGAATTTGCAGGACTAGAAGTTGCTCTGGGTGGGTCTGTGAGTGAGTAAATGTGAAGGCCTAGGACATTACTGCACACTATCGTAGACTTTATAAACATTGTACACTTAGGCTACACTAAATTAATTTTTTAAATGTCTTCACAAAAATAAATTAACCTTAGCTTTCAGTAATTTTCTTTACTTTACAAACTTTTTAACTTTCTTAGCTTTTCTACTGTTTTTCATAACACTTAGAAGACAAACACATTGTACAGCTGTACAAAAAATTTTCTTTATATTTTTATTCTATAAGCTCTTTTCTATTTAAAAAATATTTTTAATTTTTAAACCTTATTTTAAACTAAGACACACACACTAGCCTAGGCTTGCACAGAGTCAGGATCATCGATATCACTCTCTTCCACCTCCACCTCTTGTTCCACTGGAAGGTCTTTAGGGGCAATAACACTCATGAAGTTGTCATCTCCTAGGATAATAATACTTTCTTCAGGATTACCTCCTGAAAGACCTGCCTGAGACTGTTTTACAGTTAACTTTTTAAAAATGTATTTACTATACTGTACTTTTTGTCATAATTTTAGAGTGTTCTCCTTACAATACGAGGGCACATTTGTTTCCTGCCTATGATAGTAAAGATAATGTCTTCCTCTGGAACAAAGATAGGACAGATTTTCTAGCAGTACCTTACATGATTTTGAGTTTCCTAAGCCCTGGATTCCACAGCTGTCCCACAAATCTATTGTGTGTCCACTTGAGTTCACTTCTGCATTGCCCCCTATGGGACTTGTCAGGAGAGGAAGCAAAGGAAGTGCAGTGAACATAAAGCTCTTTGCAGGCCACTGTTACATAAGTAATAAAGTTCTTTGTCTTTAACCCAGGAATGTCATGTCTTCTACTAGCATCTATGAAACTGTAAAACGCTAATTCATTAGTTTGAAAGCAGGGTAAAATCTGAAAATCATTTTTTTGACATAGGCAGATTATAGTCTTTCTTTAATGCCTGGTAATTTTGTATTAAATCCTAAATTAAGTAATACATTGTTCAGTGCTATATTAAAGTATTTCCTTTAAATAATTTTTGTTTGTGAAGTTTTCCAGTTAAATTTCTTGGAATGTGTTGTATTTGTACATCCATCAAGGTGATGCCCTTCAGAAGACTCTATAGAATACAGATTACAAACTCTTCTCTGGTTGATGGCAACTTTATGTCTAGCCCTGTGTGAGCTCTGGAAGTTGTGTAATCTACCTCTTACTATTAAATTTTTCACTTGAGTTCAGTGGTTTCCGCTGAAGTATGTGAATATTAGTACTCAGGAAAAGACTAAAAAGGATTCCTCTACATATCTCCAGAATCTCTCTGGGCAGCTACCATCTTTCTAGTCCCTTACCCATGAATTCTAGTCGTTTTCACTCAGGGATACCACCTGAGTGTTCTGTTTCTTCAACTCAGAGAGACCACCAGCCTATGTTTAGGCTCCCCTCCTCACTCTGTGACCCACAAACTTCTTCCAGGCAATACAAAATGGGGAGAATAACAAGGCTCATTTCTTTTGTTTCTTTTCTGTCAGGGATTATGATCCCTGTGCTTCTGGTTGTCCAATGTTTAAAATCCATTGTTTTGTATATTTTGCTCAGTTTTTTAGTTATATACAGCAGAAGAGTAAATTGAGTCTCCATTACACTATCATTACCAACAGTGGAAGTATACTTGCATTTTTAGAGTTTAAAAAACAATTTTGTTACTATAGAAATAGCTTTAGATATAGAAAATTGAATTATTTCCAAAAAATAAAGAATGGAAGACAGGATAAGGAAAAAAACACAATTCTATGTGGGTTTTTTTCTAATTTTTAATTGCCATTAAAATGGTAGGTGCTTTGTGGATAAATAGACTCAGTGATCACAACAGTGTAAATAATACAAGTAATCATAACAAAGTAACATTCTTCTATTATTATTATTATTTTTTTATTTTTTTATTTTTTTTATTATTATACTTTAAGTTTTAGGGTACATGTGCACAATGTGCAGGTTAGTTACATATGTATACATGTGCCATGCTGGTGGGCTGCACCCACTAACTCATCATCTAGCATTAGGTATATCTCCCAATGCTATCTCTCCCCCCGCCACCCCACAACAGTCCCCAGAGTGTGATGTTCCCCTTCCTGTGTCCACGTGTTCTCATTGTTCGATTCCCACCTATGAGTGAGAATATGTGGTGTTTGGTTTTTTGTTCTTGCGATAGTTTACTGAGAATGATGATTTCCAATTTCATCCATGTCCCTACAAAGGACATGAACTCATCATTTTTTATGGCTGCATAGTATTCCATGGTGTATATGTGCCACATTTTCTTTTTTTTTTTTTTTTTTTTTTTATGTGCCACATTTTCTTAATCCAGTCTATCATTGTTGGACATTTGGGTTGGTTCCAAGTCTTTGCTATTGTGAATAGTGCCTCAATAAACATACGTGTGCATGTGTCTTTATAGCAGCATGATTTATAGTCCTTTGGGTAGATACCCAGTAATGGGATGGCTGGGTCAAATGGTATTTCTAGTTCTAGATCCCTGAGGAATTGCCACACTGACTTCCACAATGGTTGAACTAGTTTACAGTCCCACCAACAGTGTAAAAGTGTTCCTATTTCTCCACATCCTCTCCAGCACCTGTTGTTTCCTGACTTTTTAATGATTGCCATTCTAACTGGGGTGAGATGGTATCTCATTGTGGTTTTGATTTGCATTTCTCTGATGGCCAGTGATGGTGAGCATTTTTTCATGTTTTTTTTTGGCTGCATAAATGTCTTTTTGTAAGAAGTGTTTGTTCACGTCCTTCGCCCACTTTTTGATGGGGTTGTTTGTTTTTTTCTTGTAAATTTGTTTCAGTTCATTGTAGATTCTGGATATTAGCCCTTTGTCAGATGAGTAGGTTGCAAAAATTTTCTCCCATTTTGTGGGTTGCCTGTTCACTCTGATGGTAGTTTCTTTTGCTGTGCAGAAGCTCTTGAGTTTAATTAGATCCCATTTGTCAATTTTGGCTTTTGTTGCCATTGCTTTTGGTGTTTTAGACATGAAGTCCTTGCCCATGCCTATGTCCTGAATGGTAATGTCTAGGTTTTCTTCTAGGGTTTTTATGGTTTTAGGTCTTATGTTTAAGTCTTTAATCCATCTTGAATTGATTTTTGTATAAGGTGTAAGGAAGGGATCCAGTTTCAGCTTTCTACATATGGCTAGCCAGTTTTCCCAGCACCATGTATTAAATAGGGAATCCTTTCCCCATTGCTTGTTTTTCTCAGGTTTGTCAAAGATCAGATAGTTGTAGATATACAGTGTTATTTCTGAGGGCTCTGTTCTGTTCCATTGATCTATATCTCTGTTTTGGTACCAGTACCATGCTGTTTTGGTTACTGTAGGCTTGCAGTATAGTTTGAAGTCAGGTACTGTGATGCCTCCAGCTTTGTTCTTTTGGCTTAGGATTGACTTGGCAATGCGGGCTCTTTTTTGGTTGCATATGAACTTTAAAGTAGTTTTTTCCAATTCTGTGAAGAAAGTCATTTATTATTTTTAAAATTTTCTAAGCTCGTAACCTCTTAACAGTAATTTTTAGTAACTTTTATCAGCAAACATTTTTAAGACATTTTGCTATGTGTGATATGGCATGTAAAGATGTGTAGGTCTGAGTTTTCTGATTCAAGAACTTCAAATCTAGTCATGGAAACAAGATAATTTCTGTCTGCTATACATTAGCTGTATGAATCTATGCCAATTACTTAATTTATCCAAGTGCAAATAAATAAAAAGTAGAAATAGATGATATTTAAATGTTTTCTTACATCAGAAAAGTTAGGCTCAATAAAACAGTACTTTAAAGGTTTATCTGTGTGTTTACCTATATGTTAGATAAGAGGGTGTCAGAAAAAAAATGACTCCATGACTTACCCTCAAGATGTTTAAAACTAACTGTAATTCAAAGGCTTTTATTTATTTTGTAAAAGAATGTTCCAATGACAAAACTGTGAAGTTGCTAAAATAGGCTCTATTAATAATGAATGAAATAATATTTATTGATGTGAGTTGAGAATTTCATTATTATTGCTCCCCAAATAACCAGAAGACAGAACGAAAGGGATATCACTTTTTTTAATTATGCTTTAGTTGGTAGCTTAATTTGGCTGTAAAAAGAGGGAGGAGTTCATCTCCCTGAGCATATTCTCACTAAGTAACACACTGTGTAGCACTTTTAAATGCAATACCTTGAGATCAGTATTTTAAATGTAATACTTTGAGAAGAAACCATGTCAAATAGGCAAATTCCAGTCAAAACAGTGTTATGTTTATGCTTTAAGGCACCTACTTCTACACTATATAAACAAAGTAATAATAGGTAAAATATAAAAATATAAAACTAAAGTGCTATGATTGGACTCAAATATAAGACAAATTACTGTGGTCCAGAAATACAACTTTCCTGCCTAATGGGACTGAATCAGCACGTGTGCTGCACTGTGGATCCAGAGACAGGCAACATCTCAAGTTTGGCTCTGGTGAGGTAATGGACATCAGTATTGCTCCAAAAGAAACATTAACTGGAAACAGGCACATGGCCTGATGTCAAGAGGTGGGAAGACTCATGACAGAACCAGCATAGTATTTAAGGAAGATGAATCCAAACTGTTTCCAATCTGCTGAATGTAACTATGACAGTTATAACAATATAGGCAAAAAGGCAGAAGGACAAAACTAAACTGCATGATCAGAACAGCTAAGAACACACCTTGCTCCCAAGACCCAGACTAGGAGATCTGGCTCTAAAGAGTTGGAGCGAAAAAACCCACAAAACTCACTAATTCAAAAAAAGAAAATACGAAAAATTCAATGCTAAGAAAGGCAGCAATTAAACATTAACATCAAAATAGGAGTGCAGTCCAGAAGATATTTAACTTCATAGAACAATCTATCAAAGACTTATATTGGATACTGTCTTAGTCTGTTCTGTGATCCTATAAAGAAATACCTGAGGGTGGGTAATTTATAAAGGAAAAAAGATTTATTTGGTCCACAATGTGGTGTCTGGAAAGTTCAAGATTGGGCATCTGCCTCTGGTAAGGGCCTCAGGCTGCTTCCACTCATCAAGAGGGCATGTGTAGATATCACATGGTGAGAGAAGAAGCACGAGCAGAGGGGAGAGGTGCCAGGCTCTTTTTAACAACCAACTCTCCGGGAACTAACAGAGCGAGAACCCACTCACCACCATAGAAGGGCATTAATCTATTCATGAGAGATCTGCCTCATGACCAAACACCTCCCATTCAGCCCCATCTTCAACACTGGAGTTCAAATTTCAACATGAGGTTTGGAGGAGACAAAAGAAACCATATCCAAACTATAGCAAAGGTTTATAATAAAACCTTATAAACTGTAAAAGTCACAAGAAACAGGAAATTATGAAATAAGATAGGAAGAAATGAAACAAAAAACATTGTTTCTAGGAAGAATTGTTCAAGTTGAAAAATATAATCACTGAAATAGCCCAATTTAAACATAAAATATGGACAGGATAATAAAGAATGTGTAGCAAAAATAGAGCTGAATAAATCACTTAAAACACAGCATAGAGAGACACAGATATAAATGTCATAAAGTAATTAAGAAAGAAGTAGATCAAATAAGCGTTACCAAAAATAATGAAGAAATTATGAATGGTTGAGAAATTTGCACAAATGTGTATGTGATAAGATCAAAAATAAACTTCCTTTATCAATCAGAATAAATAAATACAAGTTTACAGCTAGTCACATTCTAGCTAAACTGCAGCTGGAACAAATGTTATAAACTACCAGAGAGAAAAGACAGATTATTCTAAAAAATATAAGAATAAGTATGATAGAAAGCTTTTCACCTGCTATTAGAACCCATAAATCTATAAAGTAATATCTCCATATTTCTTCATAAAGGAAAAACCAGTCAGTGTAACATTTTATTCACAAATAACATATCATTTTAAAGCAAGAGCAAAATAATGATGCAAACTTTCATAAAAGAATGTTTAAACATGTGATTCTGCTGTAAGACAAGAGACCTCGGAAAATGTATTGAAGTTTTCATATCCAATAACTACAAAAACCCCCTTAAGGTATTTGCTTAATGTCACCTACTCAAATGAGACATAACCTGCCAAACACCAAATTAAGACTAGATTTTTTTTCTGAAGATGAAGAGGAAAGATACCAGAAAAGGTTTATATGATACTACAACTGTGTCTATAATGTTCTATTTCTTTAAAGCAAAGGAAAAAAACAAGAAAACAAACAAAAAACCCTTAAAAATCAAAATCAGAGGTCAATAATGAAAACATTACTAGACTCTGATAGAACTGAATGGTAAAAACATGGTGGTTGGTTATATTATTCTGTTTACTTTATTGTATACTTTTAAAAATATCTTAACCTAACAAAAAATGACAGTAGAAAAAGAAGTATAAAAGTAAAAGTTGTTGTTATTCACACATTATTGAAATATTAGTGGTCAATAGATGATATTTGTAGAGAAGGTGGTAAATGTTTTTATGCTCTAATTCCCCCATCAAACAGCACACATCTCACTCAACCCTCCACCAATCCCAACCCTAGCTCACTCTCCATAATGTTAGAATGTGTTTATGACAGAAATGTGGGTTCTCAAACTTTGAGTTTGTATAGTGGTTTCCAAAGATTGACAGCATATTAAGGTTGCAGCCCACAAGACATCAGAGAATGAAGAATGATAAAACGAGCAAGCAAGGAGCCTGAGCACCCCCATGCTCCCGTGTGGTTTCAGGTAGCAGTCCTTTAGTTTCCAGCATGGGTCAGACTTGAGTATAGTCATAGAAAAATTGTAACTTAAATAGTGAGATTAGAATAGAGTTTGATTTGTGGGCACTGTGAAGAAAATAGCTAAAGGAGTAAGATAGGGTCATTGGATGGAGATCTCTGAATTCCAGCTTGAGGATTTTTAGACTTGTATACTTTATTTTAGTAAATTAAGTTCATTGTATATAAGCATAATATAATTAAACAGCAAAGCTGAGGTTATTACAATCATTATAAAATATATCAACTGTAGAAATATGTCATACGGTTGTGAAAAGAATGAGAAAATAAAGTAGTAGTTAACTGATGAAATGATAGATGTTTTTATATTGTATTAATCTTCTAACTGAAACTTTTTTATTGAAGGTAAAGGAGGAGAAATAAAAGGATAAAAATGAATTTATTTTTAAATCAACATGTACAATGAGATCTCTGTGTGTTTCCTAGTTATGCAGGGAATTAATTCGGGGGACGAAAGATGAAAGGAAAAAGAAACAGATCAAAGTTTTCCTAGTTTTTCTGCCTTTAAGTTATCCTTCCAGTGAGTTACTTTAGAAGATTTGTTATTGTTATTTTGCCATCCACAAGTGTTAGCTTTATTCCAAATAAGGCAAGGGTTCTATTTCTAAATAAATAATATTATAGCAAAAGTTAAAAATTAAATATTAAGCAAAATAGTTTATCCATTTAAACTAACTTGGAACATTATTAGAATATTTTTAAAATCCTAAGAACCAATGCAATCTAACAAATTTTTTAATTGCATGTCTTCTAAGATTATACTCAAGGAGTTACATAATGAATAGTACTATGAAATACATGCTTATTTAGATGTTACTCTGTGAAGGAAGAGAGCTAATCATCCTTGGTATTTGGCAGCTAGACTAGGGCCATTTAATAGGAATCTATGTGATGGAGAAAATGTTCACTCTAAACTGTCCAATATGGTAGCCATTAGTCACTTGTGCTATTATGCACATGAAATGTGGCTAGTATAAGTGAAAAAATATATTTTTAAATTTTATTTAAAATAATTAAAATTTAAATATAGGCATACCTCATTTTATTGCACTTTGCTTTATTGTGCTTTGTAGATATTTCAATTTTTATAAATTTGAGGTTTGGGAAAACCCTCTAGAAAGGCTATTGTCATGTCATCATCTTTTTACTAGCATGTGCTCACTTCATGTCTCTGTGTAACATTTTGGTAATTCAGGCAATATTTCAAACTTTTTTATATTATTATATCTGTTATGGTGATCTGTGATCGGTGATCTTTGATGTTAATATTGTAACTGCTTTGGGGTGCCATGAAGCATACCCGCATAAGATGGAGAACTTAATCAGTAAATGTTGTGTGTCTTCTGACACCTACACTGACCAGTCATTCCCCCATCTGTCTCCCGGTCCTTGGGCCACCCTATTCCCTGAGACACAACAATATTAAATTTAGGCCAATAAATAACCTTACAGTGGCCTCTACTCATTCAAGTGAAAAGTGTCAGGTTTCTCACTTTCAATAAAAGGCTAGAAAATAATCAAGTTTAGTGAGAAAAGCATATCAAACATCTAGATAGGCTGAAAGCTAAGCCTCTTGCATCAGTTAGTCAAATTGTGAATTCAAAAAAAAATTCCTGAAGGAAATCAAAAGTTCTACTCAAGTGAATACATGAATGATAAGAAAAAGAAATAGCCTTATTTCTAATATGGAGAGAGTTTCAGTGGCCTAGATAGATCAGACCAGCCACATTTCTTTAAGCCAAAGCCCAATCCAAAGCAAGGACCTAAATCTTCAATTCTATAAATGCTAAGAGAAGTGAGGAAGCTGCAGAAGAAATGTTTGAAATTAGGAGAAGTTGGTTCATAGTGTTGAAGGAAAGAAGCCTTCTCCATTACATAAAAATGCAAGGTGAAGCAGCAAATGCTCATACAGAAGCTGCAGCAAGTTAACCAGAAGAGCTAACTAAGATTATTGATGAAGGTGGCTACACTAAAGAGATTTTCCATGTAGACAAAGCAGCCTTATATGGAACGAAGATGTCATCTAGGACTTTCATAGCTAGAGGAGAAAACAATGCGTGGCTTTAAAGCTTCAAAAGACAGGCTGACTCTCTTGTTAGAGGCTAATGTAGCTGATGAATTTAAGATTAAACTAATACTCATTTACCATCCTAGAAATCCTAGTACCTTGAAGGTTTATGCTGAATCTATTGTCTGTTCTCTATAAATGGAACAACAAATCCTAAATGACAGAACATATGTTTACAACACAGTTTACTGCATATGTTAATCCAGCCATAGAGTCCTACTTCTCAGATAAAAAAAAAAAAATCCTTTCAAAATATTACTTCCATTGGCAATGCACCTGGTCACCCAAGAGCTCTGATGGAGATGTAGAAAGGAGATAAATCTAGTTTTCATGCCTGCTAACACAGCATCCATTCTAAGCCTATGGATCAAGTAATTTTAACTCTGAAGTCTTATTATGTAAGAACTATCCCTCATAAGGCTATAGTTGCCACAGATAGTGATTTTTTCTGATAGATCTGGGGAAAGTAAATTGAAAGCCTTCTAAAAATGGTTCACCATTCTAGATGACATTAAGAAAATTTCTGATTCATGGGAGGAGGTCAAAATATCAACACTAAAAGGAGTTTGGAAGAAGTTGACTCCAACCCTCACAGATGACATAGAGTGGTTTAAAACTTCGGAGGAGAAAGTATAAAACTTGACAGATGAGTTGCTTCTTATGGATGCATAAAGTTGTTTATTGAGATGGAATCTATTCCTGGTGAAGATGCTTTGAACGTTATTGAAATAACTACAAAAGATTTAGAATATTACATAAACTTAGTTGATAAAGCAGTGGCAGGATTTGAGAGGATTGACTCCAATTTTGAAAGTTCTACTGTAGGTAAAATGCTGTCAAACAGCATTGCATGCTACAGAGAAATATTTTGAGAGGAAGAGTCAATAGATTTAGCAACCACCACCCTAATCCACAATATAGTCAAAAATAAACAAAGACAGAGGAATATGTAAAAACTAGTTGGTAAGAGTTAAACACTAGATATAATCAGGACTTGAAGAATTACGATTTTCATACTCCCCTAAATCTTATTGTACTCTGACCTAATGTCCATTCACCAACTTTTATGTGAACTATCCCGATTAGTAGTCAAACTGAAACCTAAATAATCATTTCAACTGAAAATCTTTGCTTCCATCACATTCCCTGTGAAATGTAAAGTTTGAAACTAGTCTCAGTATTGTGAAGAACTCTATAAAGACTCAAAAAATCATGTGTTTTACTGTGTGATACCCACATGCAACAGTGAGGGGGTGATGACTCAGAAAACCAAGTCCTTTGATGGAGTATGAACTTATGCTTAGATAAGAACAATTCAGGTCAGGATTAAAATTCATGTGGTAATGAGAACTTCAGTGTTCACTTCTCCCATTCTCATTACATACTGTTACCCTCCTTTCTAAAGCATTTTCTTTACAACATTCTTTTCCACTGGAAACAATTTCTTTGTTGGAGCCAAATGTCTAATTTATTTAAACGTTTAACACATTACCCCATTTTAAAGTACCTTGAGAGAGTGAGATGTTAAAGCCTAGAAATTGAGAGCAAAGTAGAAAATCCAAATTAAACAATCTGTTTAAGCCCAGTAGATTTATATATCTTTCTTTCAAATCTTTCTGGACTATTTTCTTTGAATATAAAGCTCTTCAAACATCCACAAATCTTACCTTCCACTATCTCAATATCTGTTAGAAATAACTCTCATAAAAAATTTGTGTCTTAAAAAACTCATAACAAATTGCTGTGATAAGTATATTAAGTATCAATTTAGTATATTATGGTTTTGTATCTATTTTAATTACCTTTGTTGTTATCTCTATGAATTACATGCAATTAAAGATTAGAAAGTAAATATTTGCACTTTGGCATATTATTCTATTTCAGGAAAAAACTCTAGTATTTATTTATTTGGTTGAATAAAAATGCACACCCCAAGCATTGCCTAATATTTTCAGAGGTCATGAAAAAATAACATCAGTGATAAACAACAACAACAAAAAACAGTGTTAGTGACTTTTACATAAGAATTAGTTTCAACCTAAATACCTGCTCCTCTAATTCATCTTGTTGTCTCAATTCTTTCATGCAAGTAGTTTTCATCTGAGTACCTGCAGCAAATCCAGAATTTGAAAATAATCAGATAGAACAGTGTGCAATTTAAGGTCCCAACGACAAGTACAGAAATGTTGTTTTATGCTTGAGGGAATTGTGCATAGACCATCTGCTGCCTTGGTGATTCCCATGATGCCTGTCAAAGCATGCATGCATGCATGAAGAAGCAGAGAATAAAAAGGGAGATATTCTCAGAGCAATTGGATCTGGCATCTAGGAAACCACAGCATCCACACTGGACATCAGTCAAACTAATAATTAAGCCCATGTGGTGTATTTTAGATCCACCTACTGAATCCAGATTCTAAGAGAAGAATGCCATTGAGAGTTTTTAATATTCTAACGTCACTGTGCATTTCATGCAGCTTGAAGTAAGAGAAAAATTGAATAGACCCTCTTGCCGTATTTGTACTGCATTATGAGACACAATGGAAATAACATGGAAAATGTAACTTTTACTAAAAGAGAAGGCTGTTTTACTAAGAGTCTGCAACACGATGGTCCCTGCTATCTTTGAACTTACTCCTAAAGCAGCACAAGATTTCTCTTTGCCTATTTATCATATAATAAAAGTACTTATGCTTAATAATACCTGCAAACATTCAGGGTTTGACATGTGAGTAAAAGGCAAAACAAAACAGAGTATGTGACAGATTCATAGAATAGACATACAGAATTGGAAATTCTCTACCCCCCAACAACAAAAAATAGTAAAAATTAGGAATTGCCAATTACATCTGTCCCCAATGGTATTTAGTAAGAGATTCTGGACTTGAACTACCTATGCAGGCCTTATTGTAAGTTATTTCTGGAAGTAGGTACAAAGGAAGAAAATAAAGTATTTACAAGTTTATCTACATGAGTTATTTGTCCCTAAAGAATGCCTTTTAAATGTAAGAGTAATACTTTTATTCCAGAGGGCAATAATTCTATTTTTTAAACAGATTGTACTTCATATGTCCAGAAATTGTATTCTTGGAAGCTACTCACTAGAACTTATAACTAGAAATGATTCCTATATGGAAAATGGAAGCATGACAGAATGTGATGGGCTGCTGTTAGAGTTAGTACAACCCTCATAAGAGCATGCCATTCTTATTAGTTGCATATTTGGTAGATATACATTAATTTATCTTTAAATAATAACCCAGGGTATTGATTCTTACAGTATTCATCCTTGAATTTAGCTATGAATTGAACACAACTCAATATTTTCAATACCTTATTGGAGAACCTGATATTTATGAGAAAGAGTGTGATTTAAGACACTTTGGTAGTAGTGCTGGAAAAACTAATACTCTATAAATAGATAGAATAGACAGGGCATGGTGGCTCATGCCTGTAATCCCAGTGTGTTGGGAGGCCAAGGTGGGTGGATCGCCTGAGGCCAGGAGTTCTAGATCAGCCTGGCCAACATGGTGAAACCCCGTCTCTACTAAAAATACGAAAATTAGCCAGGCATGGTGGCGCACGCCTGTGATCCCAGCTACTCTGGAAGCTGAGACAGAAGAATCGCTTAAGCTCCAAAGGCGGAGGTTGCAATGAGCAGAGATCACGCCACTGCACTGCCCTCCAGCCTGGGCAACAGAGTGAGACTCCGTCTCAATCAATCAATCAATCAATAGAATACATTCAAATATTATAACTACTGGAAATACTTATATTTCATGTCAAGGTACTGAACACCTTTACATAAACGCAATAAATACTTAGTGAATACTGATTTTGTAACACAATTTGGGTGGTGAAATTAGGAAAGCATATGACTGGGAGATTGTGGTAGATTCGATGATAGGTTTGATAACATTGTTATCTCTTCCTGGGCACATAGAAAGATTATATTTCCTAACTTCTTTTCCAGGAAGGTCGAGCCAGGGACTGAGTTCCAGCCATTGAGATTATAGGAGAAGTGAAGAGTGCCACTTCCAGACCTGGCAACTAAAAACATTCTCTGCAGTCTTATGACTTCCTCTTATTCTACTACAGTGACCTTGGAGTCCATGTGCTCCAGATGGCCTGGCTGCAAGATAAAGAAGGGCTAGCCAAAGTTCATTTGATTTTACAGGAGTGAGGATAAAAAATCTTTGTTTTATGAAAGCATTAGGGCTTGGTCTTCTTTTTCTTTCTGCAGCATAGACAAGCCTATTCTGAATAATTCAAAGAACTTTTCAAAATGCCGTAGAATCTTTTTAATACTGTCTCAAGCCCCTACTACAACTGTGATACTTTGGCTTCAATTATGAGTAATTCATGAATTTACAGGCTTTTCATGTCTAATGGTTCTCCATTTATCTCCTTAGGAATAAGATAGTTGTATAAAAAAGCTTATTTTTGCCTTTAGGGTTTACCTAACCCCTTTCAAAAAAAATGGCCACATGATGAAAGAGTAATGCTTATTAGTTGTCAAAAAATGCTATGAGATGGGCTTTTTGACGAAATTACCTAAGGAATTTTCCAGTTCTTCAAATTATTCCTCCATAGAAACACACAAAAGAATCACAGCTTAAGAATGGATGTGCACCTCAATGCCTGCCTAAATCATTTTTATTTATACTTGTAAATATTATTTGTTCATTTTTATCACAAGCTTAGTCCTATTCAAGAACTATGGAATTATTTCAGGTTAGTTATTTTTTATTTCTACCAAAGTAGAGTCATAGGACCTTCATCCTACGGAATCCACACTACATATGGAACAGTGGCATTGCCATGTAAATAATTTTCAAAGGCATTTCTAAAAGTATGACTATGAAACCATTAATATATAATTATTAGAAGTTTTCAAGATTTAAAATATATATAATGTAATGTATCTAATATTATATGCAGGTATTAGACAATACTTGAGAATATGATTTTAATCATTGTATGGTTTCATAATCATACTTTGAAAATATAAATTTTAATATATTAATATTACTTATATTAATTTTCAGCTAAAATAAAATTAGGAGTCACCTAATATTTAAATACCTACTAAAGTACCCAGGGACAACTTAACATAAGCTTCTCTGCTGATTAAAGGATTATGGTAGCTAAGGGAGCTGATATGTTATACATGCTGGGTAGTTTTGTTTCAAATAATAATGGATTTTGTTTCTTTTAGTTCTTCTAGTTGACTCCCAGGATAGGGAACAGTCAGAATTATTAGTCTTTGACCTTGCATTTCATCTGCTTCATATTGTCTGACTGAACTCTGGGAAAGGCTCTGGGAGAGAGTAAAAAATTATGTTAGTGGACTAGTACACCTGCATTCAACCATATCTCTTCATAATTTGCTGTGCAATCTTAGAGAAAACTCACCTATTCTATCTTTTCAGTTACCTTGGGGATAAAAAGATTTGTTTCAAATCTAAATTTTTCTAACTATAGATTATTAGCTATTGTTAGGTCAATGTATGTTAGGAGCATAAAGGAAAGGGTTTTAATCTCTGGCATGAAAAAATTAAAGTTAAATTTACTAGGAAATAGTATCTATGAATTGAGAAGTAGATTATGAAGGATATTTTGAAAATCCTTTTCTTGAATTATTTTTGAAAGAGCGGAAACTCCTGTTCTAGAATTGTTTACATATGATCTTGCTAAAGTTCGGGGACTATTAAAGGTACTTTTCCAATCTGATTTCATAACTCTAGCAAATAATTTGATTTCTTTCTTGAACTTTGGAGTACTATATTTTAAAGTCAACTTTGTCCCCAGCAGTACCAAACTAGGGGTTTTAGTTTGAGCCTACTTTTTCATACACATATTATTTTACTTATCAATTTATTTATACAATTTTTCACTAATTCTGTGCTGAATATATAGTATGTTCCATTCACTTATGAGGACACTCTCACCCTAGCTCTTAGGAAATCCAGGTGTCCTGACCACACGGGTCCTGACCATTTCCTTGTCTTAGAACACGTACTTTAGAAAACTTGTAATTGTTAATACTTTCTCTGCTCCCTTGAAATGTAAATCTTCTTAAAGGCTTCTTGCCAGTTTTGCAACCCAAGAATATCTTTCTCAAGTACCTGGAAGCCATCCCTTTGAAATGTAATCATCACGAATATAGAAAATAAGAGCCTAACTTAGGTGGAGGACTTGCTCCAAGTTTTAAAACTCTTGCCTGTCACAAAGATATGAGAAAGTTTACTCTTCCTTTGGGTAAAGTCAATTAGCAAACACTAAAAACTCTTCTGTCTTTTGTATCAATGGAATTGAGTTCATACTACCTTCTGGGCACTCTCCTCTATTGCAGTAGCTTTAAATAAAATTTTCCTTGCCTGTTTGACATTGTTCAGTGAAGTTTTTGCTTTCATAGGGTAGCCTAGATAGTCTCAAATAGACTTTTTCCAACTTTGGAACTTTATGTTTCTAGAAAAAGGGCCTTTTGCTTGAGTTGAATGCAAAGAAAGTAATACCTATTTTATGGGATATAAAAAAATCTAATGTGGTTTCAAATTTAGCAGAATTATAAGTTATTTGTCTTCATGCATTTACTAGTACTCATTCAGCAGACTAATCTCCTCCACTGACCTAACAGTTTTCTAAAACTACTCTAGCATTCTATAACACTTCAACATCCTTTCAAGATGAAAGTCAAAGTTTTGCTACCAGCATTGGCACCACTTTTTTTCTTCTATCTTACTATTTCAGAATCATTAGAATGATCAGATATAAGCAATTTAAATTCATATAAATATGTAGCTCACATCTTAAGAATGTAGTGAGGTTGTAGTCAATAAGCTACTTCTATATTCCTGAAAACACAATTTTTCTTTAGTTAAGGAAAAATATAATTGACTGCCATATCATCAACTGTGTTTCTTTCCTTCAAGATTTACTGCTGTGACTTTAACTGATGCTTTGTCTCAAATTTTAGCACTGCTATCATTATAGATTGTAAATATTTACTGAATTAATGTGAATGACTGAATTAAAGAATAAATGAATGAGAAATTTTGTAATTGTTTTCTCACATGGCATATCTTTCTGTAGTGATATATTCCAATATAAATATCTGATATTCTTAGTAAGTATGTACCTTGCATATTTTTAAATGGCTACAGACATGGAAGATTTTTATAAATACAACTATGATCTAAATTTTTGATGATGTACCATTCTTAAGTGTTATGGTTTCCATATAAATAATCTTTTACATTTTTCATTATATGAAAATATTCAAATCTAGAACAATATTAAACCTATAATCTTCACATATGAACAAAAAGAAATTCTGCATGAAAACATCAAATAGTTTCCTCATTATTAATCACCTTACATTTTCAATATTATGTAACAATGTCTCACTTAATAAGGAGGAAAAGAAATCATTTTTGTGATTCATAACAAGTAACCCTGCAGTTTCATCTAGTGATTATTCAGAGATCTGAAATTGCACTACATAACTTTGTGTCAGTGTAATATATGATTCACAATGTAGGACACAATACAGAAAGATTTCAGGAAACTTAATTGACTAGAACTGCAGGTGACTTAGCATGATGTTTTCTTAAAGTCCACCAAAAGCATTGTTTTCAGCTGCCTAAACATTCACAATGCAGTAATATAACTGATATAAAGAATGTGTTGGATGCCAAATGGTCTGAGGCTGCTTGCATATCACCTAGACAAAAATAAAGATCTTTCTAATTCTGCCTTGTTCCTCTAGGCTGTATGGCACAGTTACCATGGCTCCCAGGGCAAGAATGATAGGAGGGAAAGAGTGGTAGGAAATTGAAGCCACTGTTAGTGTTCTCAGAGTTTGTCTATTCTTCTCTCTCTCTCCAGCAGCAGAGAAAGAAGGGAAGCAGGCATTCTGTACAGCAGGAAAGGAATCCTTATGTACCTAAAAGAGCTCCAAAACAGGCCAGGCGCAGTGGCTCATGCCTGCAATCCTAGCACTTTGGGAGGCTGAGGCGAGTGGATCATAAGGTCAGGAGTTCAAGACCAGCCTGGCCAAGATGGTGAAACCCCATCTCTACTAAAAATACAAAAAAATTAGCTGGTGTGGTGGCAGGCACTTGTAATCCCAGCTACTTGGGAGGCTGAGGCAGGAGAATCACTTGAACTCGGAGGGCGGAGGTTGCAGTGAGCTGAGATCCTGCCACTGCACTCCAGCCTAGGCAACAGATCAAGACTCCGTCTCCAAAAAAAAAAAAAAAAAAAAATCGCCAAAACAACTTACTAAGAAATTTAAAATATGCAAACTACATCAAAATGGCAATGGCATGTTTACATTTGCTTGTTTCTTTATCCTAAATAACAATTTAATAGCAAAACATGGAGTAAAGATATAATTCTGGCCACAATCCTAATAGAGAATTCAAGAAAATAAATCTATGAGTTGAATAGTGGAAAATTTATAGTAAATTACTTGTACCCTGATCTAAAGGCTTTTGGTTTTTTGATTATTTTGCTACTATAATGGTAAATGTTGCAAAATTGAAGCCTTTAAATCTGTGGTCTCACAAACTGAGGTATTTTTCTGTTACTGTGAATTATCAGGGAAAAAATTTTCCTAAATCTTTAGGAATTCTAAAGCAATCTTCAGATCATCTGCTGCTACAGGACATTTAGAAAGTTTCTGTTGCAATTAAGTATAAACTGCTCCATAAACTACATGCATGATTATTACATCTCTTTTATTTAATCAGATTGAGTTGAAAGCAGCTTGATTCTTCACATGCCAGATAAGCAAAGATTTAAGTATTGTCTGTTTAAATATTTCAACTCTCTACAAAGTACCTTAATATCTGGAGTAGCTCACTCTATTCAACATTGAGCAGCTTGGGCAGGATTTCCCTCAGATTTCAACCTTGCTGCCTGCTTTCCCCACTGAGGAATATAGCCAATAGGGTTGTAATATTGCATCCATATTCCACCACCGTAGGTTTCTATATAGAGCCCAATCCCTAATGTACTTTGCTAGGGACTCTATATATCTCAGAACATTCCAAATACAAAAGGAGGATACTGAAAAGGAAACTTCAGAATATCATACTCTAAAATACTACACTTAATTTACACTAAATGAAGTGGTGGAATAATCTCCATTTCTGACCCTAAGCTTGTCCCATGATTGTAAACTCAACTCGACCAAACATTAAGGATAACTTGGTGGTGTTAACCAAGGAGATAAGAGATGAAATGGGTAATGCGATTGGGGAGGATCCAAAACAAAAAAAAGCTTTTTCACTCTTATCTATTTCATCTACTAAGCTTTTGAGTATTATTTTCAATATGGTGTTCTACATTTAAAAAAACAGTTGCAAAACCATTCTAGTATATGAATGTCTTCAAAAAGCTTGTGAAAATGCATATTTTGACAAAATACATGAATTTTAAATTATTTTTGCACCAAAATAAACTCATACTAACTTATTATGACATATATGAACAGGATCTAGTTTGAGGCACTAAGAAAGATAAGACATCAGCTTGAAAAGACTCCCTGAGTTCAGAGCGACATGAATTCTGCTAAAGTCAAAGCAAAAACAAACATCAAATTTATCGTGAAGCTTGGGAGGAAGAACAATGAAATCATTGATACTTTACAAAAAGTTTATGGAGACAATGCACTCTCCAAAATAAGCAGTTTACAAACGGATTACTCATTTCAAGAAGGGACCAGATAATGTTGAAGATGAAGCCCACAGTAGCATTGCATCTATACCAATTTCTTAGAAAAAATTAATTTTGTCTGTGCCCTAATGGAAGAGGACCTATGATTAACAGCAGAAACTGCGAACATCATCAACATCTCAATTGGTTCAGGTAGCACAATTATGACTGAAAAATTAAAGTTTAGCAAACTTTCTACCTGATGAGTGCCAAAAACCATTGCACCCAGATCAGCTGCAGTTAAGAGCAGAGCTTTCAATGCAAGTTTTAAACAAGTGGAATAAAGATCCTGAGGCATTTCTTTGAAGAACTGCAAGAGGAGATAAAACATGGTTTTACCAGTATGATCCTTAAGACAAAGCACAATCAAAGCAATGGCTACGAAGAGGTGGAAGTGTTTCAGTCAAAGCAAAAGTACCAGTCAAAAGCAAAGGTCCTGGCAGAGGGTTTTGGGATGCTCGAAGCATTTGCTTGTTGACTTTGTGGAGGGCCAAAGAACAATAACATCTGCTTATAATGAAAGTGTTTTGAGAAAGCCAACACTTTAGCAGAAAAACATGCAGGAAACCTTCAACAAAGAGTTCTTCACCACCACAATGCTCCTCTTCCTTCCTCTCATCAAACAAAGACAATTTTTGTAAGTGCTTATGTTGAAAAACAAAGCTAATTTTTTTATTTTCATCTTGTAATTCCATTCTTCCGTGAACTTTCTGAAGTCCCCTCATATAAAGAAAAAAATGTTAAATGAATTATATTGATATAATACTTAATGGTAATACATTGCACATTCACTATCCAAATGTCATTACAATATCTACTTTATAGCTATCCAGAATAAATTATGTTGTTCTAGTAATTTTTTTAACGTAGCTCACATTAACAAAGAGAATTCTATAAGTAGAAGATATAATTTATATTCTGATAAGGTTTTTATCTAAGTTTTAAATAAACTGATGATATGCTGCTGTAATTTTTAAATACATTTTAATTATCAATTTTTTTGGTTGAAAATTATAATTATATAAATTTATGGGTTCCATGTGATATTTTGGTATATGTATACAATGTGGAATCAAGTTAATTAACATACCTATCATCTCCTTCTATCTTTTTTTATGGGGAGGCATTTGAAATTTACTTTATGTTGAAATACGCAATACAGAATTATTGACTGCAGTTGCCCTGTTGTGCAATAGATGTCAAACCTATTCCTCCTGTGTACATGAAACTTTGTACCTTTTTTTTCTGAAATTATATTTTAGATTCCAGGGGTCATTTGTGCCTTTTGATCAATAACTCTCTATTCCCTTTGTCCCCACCTCCCACCCCCAGCCTACCACTATTGTATTCTCTGCTTCTGTGAGTTAAACTTTATTAGATTCTACATATGAGATCATGTCATATTTGTCTTTCAATGCCTGGCCTGTTTCATTTGGCATAATGTCCTCTAGATTCATCTATGCTGTTGAAAAATGATGAGATTTCCCCATTTTATAAGGCTGAATAGTATTGCATTGTGTATATCTACCACATTTTATTTATCCATTCCTCCACTGGTGGACATTTAGATTGGTTCCATATCCTGACTACTGCAATTATGGAAGTACGGGTATCTCTTTGACATAGCAATTTCAGTTCCTCTTCATATATACCCAGAAGTGGAATTACTGGATCATGTGTTCTATTTTTAATTTTTGAAGAACCTCCATACCATTTTCCATAATGGCTGTATAAATTTACATTCTCTCAAACAATATATAAAAGTTCCCTTTTCTGTGCGTCCTCTCCAACACTTGCTATCTTTTGTTGTTTTGATAAAAGCCATTCTAACAGGTATAAGGTGATATCTCATTATAGTTTTGATTTTCATTTCCCTAATGATTACTGATGCTCAGCATTTTCTCATGTACCTATTGGTCATTTGTATGTCTTCTCTGAGAAGTGTCTAGTCAGGTCCTTTGCTCATTTTTAAATCAGGTTATTTGTTTTCTTGCTATTTAATTGTTGGCATTTTTTTATTACTCACTTAACCCCTTATCAGATGTATGCTTTGCAAATATTTTCTCCCACTCCACGGTTGGTCTCTTCACTTTGTTAATTGCTTTCTTCACTGCACAGAAGTTTTGTAGTTTATCATCCAATTTGTCTATTTTTGATTTTGTTGGCTATGTTTTTACAGTCATATCCAAAAAAATCATTGCCCAGACCAGTGGAGTCACAGAGTATTTACCCTAAATTCTAGTTGTTTTACAGTTTCACGTCTTACATTCAAAATTTTATTTCATTTTGAGTGATATTTGTATATGGTGTAAGATAAGAGTCTAATTTAATTTTTCTGCATGTAAATATCCAATTTCCCAATAACATTTATTAAAGAAATTGTCCTTTTCTCATTGTGTGTTCTTGGCAACTTTGTCAAAAATCAATTGACCGTTAATGTATGGGTTTACCTCTGGGTCTTGTATTCTGTTTCATTGGTTAATATATCTAGTTTTATGCCGGTAACATGAAGCAGTTTTATTTACAGTTGCTTTATAATATGTTTTGAAATAAGGGAGTGTGATGCCTCCAGCTTTGTTCTTTTTGCCTAAGACTGTTTTGACTATTGGGGTCTTTTATGGTTCCATATGAATTTAAAGATCATTTTTCCTATTTCTGTGAAAAATGACATCGGAATTTTGATAGCGCTTGTATTGAGTTTGTGAATCACTTTGGTTTTACAATATGAATTCTTCCAATTCATGATTACAAAATAATGTTCCATTTATTTGTATTTTATTCAATTTTTTCTTCAATGTTTCATAGTTTTAATATACAAGTCTTTTACCTCCTTGTTAAGTTTATACCTGAGTATTTACTCCTAACATAATGAGATTTCTGAATTTTCTTTTCAGATAGTTTGTTATTAGCATATAAAAACACTAACTTCTGTATGTTAACTTTGTATCCTGTAACTTTACTGAACTTGTTTATTAGTTCTAACAGTTTTTAGATGGAGTCTGTAGGGTTGTCTATATAAGATCATGTCATCAGAAAACAGAGACAATTTCACTTCTTCCTTTCTTATTAAAATGCCTTTTAATTCTCTTTCTCGCCTAATTACTCTGGCTAGAATTTCCAGTACTATGCTGAAGATAAGTGGTAAGAGTCAGTAGACTTATCTTGTCCCTGATTATAGTGGAAACATTTTCAACTTTCACCATTGAGGATAAGTTAGCTACAGATTTTTCATATATGGCCTGTATCATGTTGAGATATAGTCCCTGTATACCTAATCTGCTGCTAATATTTTTTTTAATCACAAAAGGGTGTTGAATTTTGTCAAATGCTTTTTCTATACCGATTGAGATTATCATACAATATTTATTCATCTTTTTTTAATGTGGTGTATCACATTTGTTGATTTGCATATATGGAGTCATCCTTGTATCTCAGGGGTAAATAGTTGATCATGATTAATAATTAATGTGTTCTTTAATTTTATTTGCTAATATTTGTTGGGAATTTTTGCATCTATATTAATTATGGATATTGGCCTGTAATTTTCTTTTCTCATAGTGTCCCTGTCTGGTTTTGACATTAGAGTAATGCGGTCTCCTTGGATGAGTTTGTTAGTACTCTCTCCATTTCAATTTTTCCTTTTTTTTTTTTTTGAGACAGAGTCTTGCTCTCTCTCCCAGGCTGGAGTGCAGAGGCGTGATCTCGGCTCACTGCAAGCTCCGCCTCCTGGGTTCACGCCATTCTCCTGCCTCAGCCTCCCGATTAGCTGGGACTACAGGCGCCCGCCACCACGCCCGGCTAATTTTTTTGTATTTTTAGTAGAGACGGGGTTTCACCGTGTTAGCCATGATGGTCTCGATCTCCTGACCTCGTGATCTGCCTGCCTCGGCCTCCCAATCCACTTCAGTTTCTTAGAAGAGTTTGGGAAGAATTGATATTAGTTCTTTAAATGTTTGGTGGAATTCATCACTGACATAATCCACTCCTGGGTGCTTTTTGATGGGAGACTTTTTATTACTGATTCATCCTCCTTACTAATTACTGGTCTTCAGATTTTCTGTTTCTTTATTATTCAGTCTTGGTAGGTGTATGTGACTAGAAATTTAGCCACTTCTACATTATCAAATATTTTGGTGTATAATTGTTCATAGTGGCTTCTTATAATCTTTTGTATTCCTGTGGTATCAGTTGTAATTTCTCTTGATTCATTACTAATCTTATTTGAGTATTTTATTTTTTTCCTTGTTAGTGCAGCTAAGGGTTCATCAATTTTGTTGATCTTTTCAAAGATCTGACTCTTGGTTTTGTTGAGTTTTTTTCTCACTTTATTAGGGTCTGTTTCATTTATATTTGCTCTGATCTTTGCTATTTTCTTTCTTCTGATAACTTGGGGCCTAGCTTATTCTTCTTTTTCTAGTTCCTTAAGGTGTACCATTAAATTGCCTATTTGTATTATAGCATATTTTTGGTTATAGGCATTTGTCACTATAAATTTTCCTCTTAGGGCTGCTTTTGCTACATCTAATAAGTTTTGATATGTTACATTTTCCTTTTTGTTTGTCTCAAGGTATTTTTTCATTGATTCTGTGACCCATTAGTTGTTTAGGAGCATGTTAATTCCCACATATCTGTTTATTTTTCTCAATATCTCTTGGTATTGATTTCTAGTTTCATGCTGAAATTATCTCAAAACTCGGTTTCATATTATTTTAGGTCTTTTAAATTTGTTAAGATTTGTTTTGTGGCCTAACATGATCTATCCTAGAGAATGATCCCTCTGCACTTGAAAAGAAAGTGTATTCTACTGCTATTGGATGGAAGGATCTATGTATCTGTTAGGTCCATTTGGTCTAAAGTGTAACTTAACTCCAGTGTTTCCTTATTAATTTTCGGTCAAGATGGTCTGTCCATTGTTGACAGTGGTACCTTGAGGTTCCCTACTATTACAGTATTGCAGTCTATCTCTTTCTTGAGATCACTGAATAATTGCTTTGTGTATTTAAGTGCTCTGATAATGGGTGCATATATATTTACAATTATTTTGTTTTCTTGGTGAATTAATCCCTGTATCATTATGTAATGGCTTTTTTTTTCTCTACTTGGCTTAATGTCTATTTTGTCCAACATATATAGCATCAACTGCCCTTTTCAGGTTATTTCACAGAATATCTTTTTCCATCATTCACTTTCAGTCTATGTATGTTCTTACCAGTAAAGTCAATCTCTTGTACACAGAACATGGTTAGATTTTGTGGTATTTTTTTATTCAGCCACTCTATATCTTTTTATTCTAGAATTTAATCCATTTACCCTCAAAGTAATTATTGATAGGTGAGAACTTGCAACTTCCATTTTGTAACTATTTTTCTGATTGTTTTGTAGGTCCTTTGTTTCTTGCTCTCTTGCTATCTTCTTATGTGGCTTGATGATTTTCTGTGGTGGTATGCTTTGAATCCTTTTTATATTTGGTACAACTACTATACATTTTTGCTTTGTGGTTACAATGAGGCTTACATAAAATATCCTTGTAACAGAATTCTTTAAGCTGATAAGAGCTTGCCTTTAATTGCATGACTTTCACTTTCTAGCCTTTTTAAGATTTTGATGTGAAAATTTACATTTGTTTTTGTAATTTGTAATTCTATAACAATTTATTGTAGCTACAGTTGTTTTTAATGTTTTTTTTTAAATTCTCATAGTAGGAATAAAATTGCTTTACACACCATCTTTACAGTACTAAAAAGCACTGAGTATGACTAGGTATTACTTACGATATTTACAGTTTGTTTGTATTTTTACTTTCATATGTGTTTCGTTGTTAATTAGCAGCTTCTTTTCAGCTTAAATAACTTCTTTTAGCAACTCCTATAAGACAGGCCTAGTGGTGATAAACTCCTTTAGCTTTTGTTTGCTTGGGAAGGTTTTTATGCCCATTTCTAAAGAACAGCTTTGTTGGGCACAGTTGGCAGGGTTTTTTTTGTCCTTCAGCACTTTGAATATATCATCCCACTCTCTTCTGTCCTGCAGGGTTTCTGCTGAGAAAATCACCGAAAGCTATATTGGGGCTTTGTTGAATGTGATATATTTCTTATCTCTGGTTTTACTTTCAGTATTCTTTCTCTATTTTTGGTTTTTGATACTTTGATTATAATGTTTCTTGTTGAACTCATCGTTGGATTGAAATTGGTGACTTTTGAGCTTCCTGTACTTGGCTATTGTCATTTTTTTCTAAGACTTAGAAAACTTTAACTTCCAGCCATTAGTTTCTCAAGTATGTTTTCTAGGCCTTTTACTCTCTCTTATCCTTCAGAAAACCTGTTTGGTGAAAATTAGTTTGCTTGATGGTGCCTGATAATTCCCATAGGCCTTTTTTATTCTTTTCCTTTCTTCTTTTTTTTCTCTTCTGGGTGAATAATTTTAAATGTCCTATTTCTATGCTCACCGAGTCTTTCTTCTGCTTGACCAAGTATGTAGTTAAAGCTTGCTATTGAAATTTTCAGTTCGGGTATTGCATTCTTTATCTCTAGGATTTTTATTGTTATTGTTTCTATTTATTTGTTAAACTTCTACTTTTGTTTATAAAATGTTCTCCAAATTTTAATTATTTTTTAATCTGTATTTTCTTGGAGTTCCCTGAACTTCTTTAAGGAGATTATTTCGAGTTCCCTATCAGTCATGTCATAGGTCTGCATTTTCTCTGGGTCCATTTTTGGAGCTTTATTAGTTTCTTTTGGTGGTATCACATTTCCTTGATTCTTCATAATCTTTGTGTTCTTACACTGCTGGCTTCAAATTTGAAAAGGCAAACAAACACCTGTTACAGCCTTTGTAGGTGTTCTGTGGTGCTAATAGATCTTTACTATCTAATTTAGCCTGGGGTTCTGGATGAACGTTCTGGTAACACCACCAGACAGGCAGACCTTGGTATCAGGTTCTCTAGTTTGGCTTGGTTACTTCCCATGCTTTGAAGTAGATTGGTACTGCTTGCTGTGCTCTATGGTATGGTGAGACCACTAGCCAGAGTAAACTGTCAGGTGGTGCTACTACTGGATGGGCTCTATGATTAGTCTCTAATGAGGTAGGGTTGCAGGTTGTTTTTCCTGGCTGAGTGCTACTGTTGTTTAGAGTCTAGTTGGGCAGGGCCATGTGCTGGGCTCTGAGGCTGACGGAGATCTCTAGGGTTGTTGCTCAGCCATAATAGTGAGCTGAGCAAGAGGCTATGTTCCAGGTGACATGCTTGGACTTAAGCTTGTCACCTCACACCTTGGGTAGGCTTAAGTAGAGAACCAAGGTTTGTTGGAGTAATTGATCAGCAGCTAA
The DNA here is from genome assembly GCF_000001405.40 of Homo sapiens. Lineage (NCBI taxonomy): Eukaryota > Metazoa > Chordata > Mammalia > Primates > Hominidae > Homo > Homo sapiens. The sequence continues at coordinate 186,114,766 of NC_000002.12, forward strand.
GGTTGAGTTAGGCCAGATACTTTCTCTGTAGGTAATTGACTTGCAGTTGCCTTTTTGTGTCTGGAAGACTTAATGCAAAGACTATAACTTAGTTGGATTACCTCTTTGCCACTAGGGGTGGAGAGGTCAGATGCTCCCTCTGCAGTTAATCACTCACCTTCCATTGACTGTCGGCAAGGGGACAATTTAAGGAGAGCACCCAGCCCACATGAGAATGCTGGCTAGATATTCAGGTCTGGAAGTGGCATGATCTATGTTTCCTACAGTGTGATACTGTTGGCTACCCCCTTTGGAGTATCACCTGCATTGGTCAGAAGGTAAAGCAACCACCAGTATCTGCACACTAGTTGCTGTGAGTCCCACCCCATTCTTTGTTTCTAACTGACCCCAGGTAATCCAGCTGTGCAGGCATTTCCAATGTTTTCCATGGGATAAAACAAGAGTGAACCTCTTGCAAAGTGTTCCAGAATGGTGCGGAAGCTGAATATTTGCCTCCAACTCACTTTTCCCTTTGTAGAAACTGTGAGTCCAGGGGAATTCTGTGGGTATGGCATTCCTCTTATCATTGCATTGCAGCTTTTGTCAGTTCTGCAGTCCAAGAAAGCTGTCTCAGCCTCACTCCCAAGTTCTGGAATATTCAGGATGTTATTTTTGCTTGTGGATAGCAGCTAGTTGGATTTCAGTGAAGGGAAGTGAAACTGGAGAACTCCTATTCTGCCATCTTGCTGACATCACTCTGGAAATTATTTTTAAAAGAAATATTTAATTTGTATCTAATTAATAATATAAATGGGAGAATTCTTGGCATGTTATTAATAAACTATTTCTTTTGGAATAAAAACAATAGCACAGTAAGCAAATAATAATTCAATAATATTTTTAAGTCTCATGTTTTCAGGGAAATATTTTATAAGACTTGTACCATAGACAAGAACAGGTGGTAATAATTAGATTTTCCATCTGCAGATTGCAAAGTCATCTGCAGGTTGGCTTTCACAAGTATTATAGCCAATATGTGGAAACCTATCAATTTTCAAATTATGCCAAATGGACCTTGACCAAATTCAAAGAGCCATGTAGGACCAATGTTTGATGTTTTTTAAAGCTTAAAGCAGATGACCATACCATTTGCACAACAAAATAGGACGTATGAACAGCATGTGAGCAGCATTTATTTATTGAGTGGAAGAAGGGATCAGTTAATGACATCAGAGCACCTTTAAATCCCAGATTCTAAGTATCTAATTCCTCCGCAGATGTGACCCATTCAGAGTTAAGAGTGGTGCTTTTCTGTTTTTAACTGGAGCCTATTTCAACTTTTTCAGTTACCTATAGTTAAGTAGTATTATTCTCACATTGTGACTTGGATTGTTTTCTAGTATTATCACTCACCAGTTAGAACTGTGCTATATGCTAGCCTGATAATTTGCATTTTGTTTGGGAGTCTTTATGCCTTAGGGCTGCTTTGGCATAAAAGGGTCTCTATGCTCATCAAAAGAAGCATATCAATGAAACCACCCCCAACGAAATTTTATAAAATTGGTTAAGAAAATAAGATAAAATCTAACTAGGCTTACCCATTAAGCCAGCTTGCCCTTTGGCCCACTTTCTTCTAGTTAGTTGCTACTTACTACCCCATGATAGCAGAGCCCTTGTCACAATGTGTCCAGAATTGGTTCCTTCCAGTGGGTTCTTGGTCTTGCTGACTTCAAGAATGAAGCCGTGGACCCTCACGATGAGTGTTACAGCTCTTAAAGATGGTGTGTCCAGAGTTTGTTCCCTCAGATGTTCAGATGTGTCCGGAGTTTCTTCCTTCCGGTGGGTTTGTGGACTTGCTGACTTCAGAAGTGAAGCCGCAGACCTTCGCAGTGAGTGTTACAGCTCTTAAAGGTGGTGTGTCCGGAGTTGTTTGTTCCTCCCGGTGGGTTCGTGTTCTTGCTGACTTCGGGAATGAAGCCGCAGACCCTCGCGGTGAGTCTTACAGTTCATAAAGGTAGTGCAGACCCAAAGAGTGTGCACCATCAAGATTTATTATGAAGAGCGAAAGAACAAAGCTTCCACAGCATGGAAGAGGACCCGAACCAGTTGCCACTGCTGGCATGGGTGGCCAGCTTTTATTCCCTTATTTGGCCCCACCCACGTCCTGCTGATTGGTCCATTTTACAGAGTGCTGATTGATGCGTTTACAAACCTTTAGCTAGACACAGAGTGCTGATTGGTGTGTTTTTACAGAGTGCTGATTGGTGCATTTACAAACCTTTAGCTAGACACAGAGCGCTGACTGGTGTGTTTACAAACCTTTAGCTAGACACAGAGCACTGATTGTTGCATTTACAAACCTTTAGCTAGACAGAAAAGTTCTCCAAGTCCCCACTCACCTCAGAAGTCCAGCTGGCTTCACCTCTCAACAAGATCCTTTGTTCTTTTTCTGTTATATAGATAAAATCTAAGACATCATGAGATGGTAAGCTTTCTGTTTCAACTTCTTATTAAAGTTCTGCATACTAACAAAATTACAGACAGATGACAGCTAGTCTGGAGGGCCCAGTAAGAAACTGACTCATGGAGAAACACTGGCCAATTGACAATCTCAAATTTTTTAGCCCCTCACCCTCCACAAATCCCCTTAAAAATCCTTGCCCAGAGTCCTTCAAATAAACAGATTTGAGGCTTGAGAATTCCTCCCATTTCTTCACTCAGCATTTTGCTATTAATAAACTCTTTCTCTGCTGCAACCCCATGTAGTGTATTGGTCTGTTGCTGTGCAGCAGGCATAGAAAACTGGCAGTCCCGTAACACAGCAGTCCCTAATTGCCATGGAAGGCAATTTTTCCACAGACCGGAGGTGGGAGAGGGGGGATGGTTTCAGGATGAGACTGTTCCACCTCAGATCATCAGGCATTAGTTAGATTCTCATAAGGACTGTGCAACCTAGATCCCTCACATGCGCAGTTCACAATAAAGTTCATGTTCCTATGAGAATCTAAGGTCGCTGCTGATCTGACAGGAGGCAGCGCTCAGGCGGTTATGCTTGTTTGCCTGTCACTCACCTCCTGCTGTGCTGCCCAGTTCCTAATAGGCCATAGACGGGTACCTGTACATGACCATGGTGGTGGGGGACTCCTGCTGTAATATCAACATCATGTGGCTGCAGCATTCATTAGTGTTGTCTGCTAACTTTAATACAGTGATGCTATATCACTTTAATAATTATAAAATATGCAATATTGTAGGCTTTGCCTGCCTTCCCCTTTCTCATGTATTTGGGATAGAAATATTTTGTGGTCTTATATTCAAAGAAAGGAAAGGAAAAAAAGAAAGAAAGGAAGGAAGAGAGGGAAAGAAGGAAGTAAGGGAAGACAGACATTAAAAGAGATATTAGAAGAGCTGAATTTAGCCCCTCCAAAATTCAGAAATTGAATTTCTAACACCCAGCTCTTCGGAATATGACTGTATTTGGGGACAGGATTTTAAAAGAGGCAACTGTGTTAAAAATGAGGCTATTAGGGTGGTCCCTAACCCAATTTGACCAATGTCCTTATGAGAGGAGATTAGGAAGCTGTAGGGGAAGAAAACTAATTTTCACTCTACCCTACCGAGATTTTCTCTGGGACAGACCCCTGTAACAAAAGGCAGACTACCAAGAGAACAGCCAACAGAAGTTTATTGATGTGTATACTTCATAGATACCTGGTAAATGTCCACAGAAATGCATAAATCTCAAAGAGATGGCTTAGAGTTCAGGCTCACATATCATCTTCTGCTGAAGCAAATAAAGAGGATGTTAAGAGGCAAGTAATGGGGAAGTGACTAGGAAAGGCATGGTAAGCAGAGTAAGGTTTTCTATGCAGATTTATATTGGTGCCTTCTCCATTTATAAAAGTCTCTAGAGATTAGAATCTTTCTTCTCTTCTTGGTATAGAAGAGAGAGACACTCTTACAAATGGAGATTTCCTTACAAAAGGGTAACTTCTACTCTGCTTTCAGAGCTTCTCCTGTGTCTGCAGTTTCTCAAAGTAATCACCCCAAAATAATCTTTATGCCTAAGAGGCAGGACTTAAAATATCATATTCTCATCTAAAATGTACAGAGAAACACCAAGGGCACATGTACATGGAGGAACAAGCTCTTGTGAAGATGCAGCAAGTATGCAGCCCTCTGCAAGCCATGGAGAAAGACCTCATAGTAAACCAATTCTGCCAGCCCTAGATCTTGGACTGCCAGCCTGCAGAACTGGAAGAAAATACATTTCTATTGCTATTTTGTTGTAGCAGCCCTAGCAAACTAATAGAGATTTATAAATGTACTTTGCTCCAAATACCCTTAAAAGAGAGGGAAAAAAAGTTTTGTAGTTCAAGACGAAAAATTTATTAACACCAAAGAACAAATTTACCTAGAAAATGTTTATTTATGGGAGAATAGAAATGAATTAAAATGACCTCAAGTATCAGAATTAGTTTTCTTTTGAAAATTCTCCTTTCAATGTCCAGAGCTTTGGGATTACCTAATCATGAGGAATCTCTTTCTGATGAATTAGAAACTAGATGCTGTCTCTATGGAAAAAACAATAGTAGAGAACCCCTTCTAAATTTCCATTTTGGAAAGCAATAACCTAGTTGGTTACTTAAGGGAACATTTCTTGAAAAACTAAAATATGTATTTTTAAAGCAATATGTTCTAAAATTATCAAAATTATTCTAATATGTATGTCATATAATTGTATTAGTTATTAAATATTATAGAACATTTGTGAATACATAAAACAAGTTAAAATTGAATATAAAGCAAATGTATTGAATTCTTCATATCTTTTACTTGATTAGAATAAAAATGTTGTTTAACTTAAAAATAATCCAACAATCTAATGTAAAAAAATAAATAAACTATGAACTAAACTTGTAATAAATTCTTCACATGGCCAGGTGTGGTGGCTCATGCCTGCAATCCCAGTGGTTGGCAGTCCAAGTACTTTGGGAGGCCAAGGCAGGTAAATCAGTTGAGGTCAGGAGTTCAAGACCAACCTGGGCAACATAGTGAAACCCTGTCTCTACAAAAATACAAAACTGCTACTCGGGAGGCTGAGGCAGGAGAGTCACTTGAACCTGGGAGGTGAAGGGTTGCAGTGAGCTGAGATTGTGCCACTGCACTCCAGCTTGGGTGACAGAGCAAGGCTTTGTCTCAAAAAAAAAAAAAAATTCACATGAGAAATCTTACATATCTTGCAGGTGTACTAAATTATAATGGAAATTTAATAAGCTACATATATAAGGTATGTATATAAGTTTTTGAAAACATATTTGAAAAGTTCTGACATATCAATATATTTATGAAGCATGAAACCAGCACCACAAATCAAGATAATGAACAAACCGAAACATTTCACTCCCCTCCATTTCCTTCCCCAGGCAAACACTCATCCACTCATCTGCTTTCTGTCACTATAGATTAGTTTTCATTTTCTAGAATTTTATATAAATGAAAATGCACATTATATATTCTTTTTTTGGCTTGTTTGAATCAGTGTAATTATTTTGAGAGTCATTCTTGTTGTATAAATTAATAGCTCCTTTTGTTGTTGTTGACTAGTATTTCATCATAGGAATATACTACATTTTCTTTATTTAGTAGACATTTGAGCTGCTTTCACATTGGGGCTATTAAAAATAAAGCATCCATGAATAATTTTATACCATATGTTTACAATTCTCTTAGATAAACCAACCAAAAGGAAAATGGCTGGGCCATCTATAAAGTATATGTTTAAATATTTTTTAAATGTAAACTGTTTTCTGAAGCAATTGTAACATTTTACATTTCTTCCTGCCTTGTATCTGCCTTCTCATTAACATTTGACATGGGCCAAACTTTTAATTTTGGTGATTCTCTTAGGGTATGTAGTGATATCGAATTATGGTTTTAATTCTAATTACTAATGATATTGAGTGTCTTTTATATTCTTATTTTCCATCCATACATCTTTGTTAAAGTGTTTGTATAAAATTTTGACTCCTTTTTTTTTGTTTTGTTTTTGTTTTTGTTTTTTCTTGAGACAAGCTGTAGTACAGTGGCATGATCCTAGTTCACTGCAACCTCTGCTTCCCAGGCTCAAGCGATTCTCCCACCTCAGCCTCCCGAGTAGGTGGGATTACAGGCGCAAGCCACAAACACCCAGCTAATTTCTGTATTTTTTGTAGAGATGGGGTTTTGCCATGTTGCCCAGGCTGGTCTCGAATTCCTGAGCTCAAAGTAATCCACCTGCCTCGGCCTCCCACAGTGCTGGGATTACAGGCATGAGCCACCATGCCCAGCCTTTGGCTCATTATGAAGTAGTAATTAATAGGTAGTATTTATAAGTGGTATTATGTAGTATTTGTCCTTCTGTAACTGGCTTGTTTCACTTAGCATCATGTCCTCTGGGTTCATCCATGCTGTAGCCAATGACAGAATTTCATTTTTAAAGGCTGAATAATATTTTATTGTATGTATATACTACATTTTTTTCCATTCATCCATTGATGGACATTTAGGTTGCTTCCATGTCTTGGCTATTTTGAATGATGCTACAATGAACACCGTAGTATAAATATCTCTTTGATTTCAATTCCAGAAGTGGAATTATTGAATCATATGGGATTATTGAATCATATGAATGAAAAATCATATTTTTAATTATTTGCGGAACCTTCATACTGTTTTCCAAAGTGGCTGTTTCAATTTACAGTCCTATCAAGAGTGGACAAGTGTTGCTTTTTTTCTACATCCTCACCAACTCTTGTTATCTTTTGGGCTTTTTGCTAACAGCCATCATAACAGGTGAGAGGTGATATCTCATGGTGGTTTTGATTTGCATTTCCCTGATGATTAGTGATGTTGAGCAGCTTTTCATATACCTTTGGCCATGTGTATGTCTTCTTTACAAGTATGTTTATCAAGATCCTTTGGACATTTATTAATTGGATTATTTGGGGTTTTTGCTATTGATTTGTAAGAGTTCTTTATGTCCTTTGGATATTAACTCATTATCAGCTATATGGTTTGAAAATATTTTCTGCTATTCTGTAGATTGTCTTTTTGTTTATTGTTTCTTTTGCTGTGCAGAAGCTTTGTAGTTTAATATAGTCCCACTTGTCTATTTGTCTATTTTTTGCTTTTGTTTTCTCTGATTTTGATGTTGTATAGAAGAAATCCTTGTGAAGACCAATATAAAGAAGATTTTCTCCAATTTTTTTCTTCTTTTAAGTTTTGCCTATTTATTTCTAAGAATATAATTATGGGTAAAGAAGGGGGGTGGCTAATGGGTACAAAAATATAGTTAGATAGAATGAATAAGATCTAGTATTTGATAGCATAACAGGGTAACTACAGTCCACAATAATTTAGTGTACATAATAAAATAAAAGAATATAATTTATAATTGAGTTGTTTGTAACAAAAAGAAATGATAAATGCTTGAGGTGATGGATACCCCATTTACCCTAATGTGATTATTATGCATAGTATGCCTATACCAAAATATCTAATGTACCTAATAAAGATATATACCTACTATGCATTCCAAAAAATTATTTTTTTTAAAAAAGAATAGAATTATACAATATATCTGGCTTCTTTTGGTCAATGTTACATCTGTGATAGTCACCTATGTTATTACTTGTAAGAATAATTCATTATTTTTTGACAAAAAATTATGTATATTATATATATTTAAGGTGTAATACCTGATGATTTGTTATGTATGTGCATTGTGAAATAATCACCAAAATCAAGCTAATTAACGTATTTATCACCTCACATAGTTACCATCTTCTCCATCTTTTCTCTCTCTGTCTCTGTGTGTGTGTGTGTGTGTGTGTGAACACTTAAAATCTACCCTCTTGACAAATTTCAAGTATATAATATAGTATTAACTACTTTCAAATTATTGTACATTAGACTTCTAGTAGCTATTCATCTTATTTAAGTGAAACTTTGTACCCCTTGACTAACATAGCCTTATTTTTTCCCTCCCTCAGCCCCTATTACCACCATTCTACTTACTACTTCTATGAGTTTAAGTTCTTTGAATTCCACATGTAAGTAACAGTTATTTTCAGTAAAGCACTGGGAATCTTAGGTAGAGCAATTAGACATGAAAAAGAAATAAAAGCCATCCAAATTAGATAGAAAGAAGTAACATTATATCTATTTGCAGATAACATGATCACATACATAGAAAACTCTAAAGATATGACAAAAAATACCTGGTAGAACTATTAAAGGAATTCAATAAGTTGTAGGATTCAAAGTTAACAATACAAAATAGTCATGTCACAAACAACAAACTATCTGAAGAAAATTAAGAAAACAGTACCATTCATAATAGCAACAAAAAGAAAAATATATTTAGGAATAAACTTAATGAAAGAGATGAAAGAGTTGTACACTGAAAATTATAAAATACTGGTGAAGGAAGTTAGAGAAGACACAGATAAATGGAAAACATCCCAAGCTCACAGATTGAAAGAGTTAATATTGGTAAAATGATAATCCTACTGAAAATGATCTACAGATTTAATGTAACTGCTGTGCCCTATGTTTTTCCCAGAAGTTTTATGGTTTTAGGTCTTACATTTAAGTATTTATTTTGAGTTATTTTGTGTATGGTATGAGGATAAAATTTTAGTTTTTGCATGTGAGTCCAGTTTCTCACACTACTTATTGAAGAAACTATGCATTCCCTACTGTGTGCTCTTGGCACCTTTGTCAAAGATTCATTGATCATATATGAATAGGCTTATTTCAGAACTATTTATTCTGCTTCCATTTATCTATATGTCTGTTTTTATGCCAGTACAATACTGCTTTGATTATTGTTGCTTTGTACTATCTTTTGAAATCAGAAAGTGTGGCACTTCCCACTTTGCTTTTTTATTCAAAATTGCTTTGGCAATTCAGGGTCTTGTGATTCCATATGAATTTTATGATGTTTTTGACAATTTCTGTAAAAAAAAAATGGCATTCAGATTTTGATAGGGATTGAGTTGAGTATGTAATCGCATAAGGTAGTATGAACGTTTAAAAAAACGTTCATTCTTCCAATCCGTGAGCAAGGAATATCTTTCCACTTATTCGTGTTTGCTTTAATTTCTTTCATCAGTGTTTAATAGTCCACTGTATAGATTTTTTTATTTGGTTAAGTTTACTCCTAAGTACTTTTTATGCTACTGTTATAACTTTAGATACATTGTAGACAATAGTACTATATCCATATTTGTTTGGTGAAAATAAGTGAAGAAATCTCTGCTGTCTATTTATATGATGGGAATAAGTGAGGCAACCTCTGCTCTCTGTTCTTTAATTTGGCATTTTCATTTTCACTGGTGATAGTTACTTGAATTGCTGAGAATGTAATCAAATATAAATTAATCAGCCTCTTAAAGTACATGTCTAACCAATGAGACTACCTTGCCCTAAACAGAACCGTAAGAAATCTCTAGTTCACCTTTCCTCCCATTGCCTTGGGTTCACAGATTAGGGAGATGTTAGAATATTCCCTCACAGACTTCCACCACAGCCCTCTCCAATCAGTGTATAATTGGCCAGTTTTCTAGGAGTGCCAGTGAAAATGAACAACAAATTCACTAACATCTAGGCTTTTTTATGATCAAAAATTACCTTTTGGAACTGTAAAATTTTGCTGATCAATATATAAAGGAACTTGAGATATGCTATGGCTCCAACTTTCTTAAACTAAAGCCTCAAATGCAAACATCTATAGGAAGCTGCCTAATTATGCAGTCCAGATCCCTTCAGGTTTCTATCTTTGCTGTGATTTTAGATGGACTACTATATTTATGCTTTTCTATTGATATCTCAAATTTCCTATGATGGTTTCTCTGTAGGATAACAGAGATAATAGGAAAAGTAGATATGCTATCATGAAGAAAAAAAATGGTGCTATTGAATACAATTGTGCTGGACATACAACTTAGCATAGTCCTTGCCATCCCCAGCTAGGAAGAAAAAAATAACCTTTAACATTAGGAGTGCAGAAAGAAACCTGAAAGCAAAGTGGATTGGCTTTAAAATATTCTGGTTCAGCAGGTAAAGCACTCACTTCACTTAAGAATCACATTTTATGACCCATAAGGATGTTTAGGTCTATATTTTATTTAGAACATGGAGTATTTCTTTTAAATGCTTCTGTACTACAATGATGAGAAATTTAGACTCCTATTTGTCTTTTTATTAGAAATAGTTAGACATTAGTTAACTGATTACAAAACCACAATTAATGACAAAGATACATTTAGATCTTTTTTATTTCAATAAATAATGCAGAAAAATAATGTCACCTAAATATAGCTATAATATAGATTTAATCTCTCAATTATATAATCTTTTTCGTAAGAGAAAAATGTTGAGGTTAACAACTAATACCCTTTATGGGACTTGGCTTTTGTTAAAATAATATTTATGTGTTTTGTTCTGCTTTGTTTAAAAAAGCACACACACCACAAAATAAATCAAGACACAGAAACAAACCCACAAAAGAGAGAAAAAAACACAAAGATTTTACTTTATCTCTGGAATTCTAGATAAGTCTCAGGAATTCAAGCATAAGGACATGGATGAATTACAGTGAAACAGAATCTCCATCACAATAGCACTCAGGGAATTGAGAGTGGAGCAGAAGTTGTTCTTTACAGGCACTTTGCAATTTGTTAGTTCTTTTTAGATATATAGGCTTTCTATCAGACTTTTATGAGCTTTTCCTTATGTATAAAAACTTGGCAAACAGTTTCTGTGTGTGGGGGGGGGTGTACATTTCAATAAGTTTCAAAAGCAAAAAAAAATTCTACCAATAATACAATAACAAAGTTTAATATGAATCAGCATCATGAAAAAGTATCAACTCATTTACTGGGTCTGTTAACTTCAATTATTTATGATAGAACCATGACTCAAATGATGACAAAATAAGTATCCAAGTTCAGAGTGAGACAGACTACTAAAAGAACAGCTATCCTATAGCTAATAAAAGGAACGATGAAAGATATGTGGACTATATATTCATTACTTGATATGAGAACAAGACAACTTGTGTAAACCTTTCAGTGACTAAGAGCATGTCCTCTTGGCCATGAGTAGAACTGGTCTTGCCAGGTGTAAACAAAGGCAGAGTCTACAGATGGAGATTAGAATGTTAAGGGAGAAAAGAGTTTTGTGTTGATGTCTATTAACACAAAACTATCTTGATTATTTAACCTAAAAAATAAAAATCTATTATGGTTAGCAGAATAATATGTTTACAGAATAAGAAGTAAAGAAGTATAAATTCATTATACTATAGTACAATAGGAAGGAATTATAATCTAGAGACTATTAGTGTCACCAGTGGTATTCTCCAGAAGCAGGGGCTGAAATGGAGTTTGGAGTGAAAGATGAGTTTAGGGATCAACCTCTATAAAAGGAAGAGGAAGACAGTAGCATTGGGCACAGGAAAATGCTGAAATACAATTTATGTGTCACCCAGCTTTGGCCAACTCAGCTCCAGTTCTAGAGCAAGTATTGCTATCAAAGCATCCTATGACAGGCTGAAATGGCTGGGCCTTATACCCTGTCTTAGTCAAGGGATGTAGGCTGCCAAGAAAGTGTGTAGTGTTTGCCAAAGGCTGCCTCCTGAGTGCACTGCCTCAATCCAAGCAGATTTTATTTTGAAAAAGGATCTGGACAGTTTAGTCCTGCATCTGCCACATCAAGCCTAGAAATTCCCCAAAGGAATCCTGCACTCTAATATCTAGGTCTTAATATCACAAAAATAATTTATACTTATTTTTCCTTCTTAATAAAAAAAGAGAAAACTATATTTAATATGATTTTCCCCCCCAAGATGATCACAAATGAAATGTACCAAATAAGCCACATAAAACTGAACTCACATGTAAAAAAATCTATAAATTCCGAAGAATAATTAAGATGTTGAACGCTGAAAATATAGTATAAGGGAAATTGTTAAAGGAACAAAATATAATTTGGATGTCTTACTAACTATTAATATGTATGGTGAAATATCTATACAAGTAACAATGAAAAGTGATTTTAATGTCACAGAATTTTCTATTTCTAACACTATAGCCATAGAAACATAGATGATACATTGATTACTAATACATGTCCCTTGCCATGATCAACAGTTCATAGGCTAATGCAGTAAAGAGACACATTAGCAAATAATGACAATAATATGCAATAACTGCATCTGGGAACACGGGTGCTAAGGAGTCATCTAGCCTAGGTCTGGGTTAGGGCAGTGTGCAGACATCATGAAAGACCTAATGAGAAAGGCTCTCCCAGCTCTCAGAATTTCCACTCGCAGTCATCTACCACCAGGCAAAGAGCACAGGGTTTATCTTAAAGAAATGCAGAAAACTGTCTGAAGAACAATAAGGCTTCCAATACTAGCACCCCGACATAAAGCTCTACTTATTCTGGCATTTAGGAACCCATATTTCATCAACCTCAAAGCAATGCCTGATTGTTCTCACACCCCATTCAAGCCACATACACAGTTCACAGTCAAAATTCCACCTCAGGGGAAACAAACAAAAAAACCTAATTTGAATACTATATACAAAGTCTATGTATATGTGTGAGTGTGGATGTGTATACTCAATCTCTCTCTCATGCACACACACACACACAGAGAAACATATATATATATACATATACACACACCTATATACACACACACACACACACACACAGAGAGAGAGAGAGAGAGATCCCTACCCTCCTAAACTTCTTTCTTTTTAAAATATAAATGAACAAGGAAGGGTCATTAATATATGAGGAGAACCAAAAGAATTCAATACAGTGATAAACAAAGACAGACAAATGAAAACTCACCACAAGGTAAAGAGAGAGAGAAAGAGAGATAAAGAATATAGTATAACTAATATTCTTCAGAGAGGTTTGAGAAAATATTACTTCCATATATCAAGAATAGGATGCTAGGAAGAGGGAATAATTATATAATAAGAAAGAATCCAAAGACAGTAAAAGTTTAATACCTAAAATTTAAAATGTCAGAAGGGGCTAGAATAAAAGTCAAGTAAATCTCCCAGAGCATACATGAAAAAGCAAAGATAGGAAATATGAGAAAAACACATAAAGGATTAATCCAGGGAGTTCAACAATTTATCTTATAGGAGTTCCAAAAAGAGAAAAATGGACAGAAGAAAATAAAGGAATAATAAAGGATTATTTTCCAGCACTAAAGAAAGACAAGGCTTTAAACTAAAATGGACCATTCAAAAAGAACAAACCTTGATACGAGCTCATAAAATTTCAAATAACACTAAGAACAAAGAATAAAGAAAATATGTTAATAACTTCTTTTATATATATATATTTATTATACTTTAAGTTCTAGGGTACATGTGCACAATGTGCAGGTTTGTTACATATATATACATGTGCCATGTTGGTGTGCTGCACCCATTAACTCGTCATTTACATTAGGTATATCTCATAATGCTATCCCTCCCCCCTCCCCCCTCCCCCCACCCCAAAACAGGCCCTGGTGCATGATGTTCCCCTTCCTGTGTCCAAGGGTTCTCATTGTTCAATTCCCACCTATGAGTGAGAACATGCGGTATTTGGTTTTTTGTCCTTGAGATAGTTTGCTGTACGAAAGAATGAGAATAAGACTGACATCCACTATCTCATCAAAAATAGTATGTCAAGAAAAATGGAGAAATTAGCTATAAAATATAGCAGAAATTTAAAATTCAATATTTAGAAATTATATCAATCAACTGTAAAAGCATTTTTCGATGTACAAAAGCTCAAAAAGTTAATTTTTCATACACCTTCTCTTAGAAGTTCCTTATGAAGTATGGACATTACGGCTGCAATTGAAGTATGGGTTAAGGATCAACAGAAATAAACCACAAACATAGACCTGCTGTAAATGTCTCATTTCTGTGGCAAAGGAAACAATTTAACAGAAGTGTCCACACAGAGCAGATGTAGCATGTATCTTTGTGTGGCTTCTGAACCTTTATCCCTGTGGGGCACAGGGCTGCTGGTGAAACTCAGAATTCCTGCTAAGCTACTGTTCTTTTATACTATGATTTCATTTTCATACCAGAACTTAACCTCACCATCCATTGCACTTCTACTCAAAGAGGTCTTTAGAAAAATGATGCTTTCCCGGATTTTGAACCAAACTTAGTATAAGAATTTTTTTTCCTCAGAGACAAGCCGAGTAGGTGCCCAGGTATCCCTGAAAAATATTACTGCCCAACTTTCCAGAGTCTCAGGAAACCTGTCTTCTCATCATGTCACAGCCAAACAAAACAGAAGTAGTAAAAGACCAAAGACATAAAATAGGGGAAGCAGTGAATCTAATCAAGGAAAGCAGTGAAGGTGAAGTTCCAGGACAGCATGAGTGCAGGTGCTGGAAGGGCACCAGGTCCAGTTCTGAACAGAAAAATGCAGAGCCATGGAGAGTCCCAGAAGAAAGAGAATTCTATACCTGTTTATAGTTTTGGGTTTTTTTTTACCCTTCCCTTTTTTTATTTTCATTTTTTTTTTAGTTGTCTGATGAGGGTAGACGTAGGTGAAATTGGAGACAATTTTTTGGATTTCTTATTAAGGAACAAGAGTTTGGACTTTGAACTGCTATTATTTCTTCTATTTTGTTATTTAGAATTAAGCATTATTGCTATTTTTGGTGTTTCACTCAGTCTAAACAGTAAAAAGATTGCATGCTCAAAATGATATAACTCAAGAAGACTTTACTAAAACGGGACAAATTATAAAAGTGTGATGGGCTAAAAAAAAAAAAAAAAAATCCACAAGAGACAATAGAGACCTGGAGCTAGCAGTAGCAGAGCTTGGCCCAGGAGATGATGGTGGAAGAAGTTATCAAACTCAGGAAGAGGAGAAATGCGTGCACAACAGCACACTGGGAAAGGAACAGTAATCTTTATTTAAGGTATATGACTGACCTAAGGGAAAGGGTCAGGAGAATAAATGCTAAACTTCACTATTGCCCTTCTCTATTTCCTGCTGAAACTCACTACAGCCAAACCCAGCTGGAAGCCAGTAGCCAGGGAAGTACAAGTGACAGTCTCCCCAGGAAAGAGAGGGTGGGGTTTGTCTAGAAAGGAAATATTTGGCCCAAATGTCATCCTACATTTCTTATATTTTCAATGGGTGCTATGTCCTGTGTTCCTCTTATCTGAAAATGTTTCCTTTTGTAATTTATATGTAGAATTTTAGTAAGTAGGTTTAAATGTAATCCATTGATTCTAGGCAGGAGGAAACGCTCAAGAGGCATCTTTGGTGCCAAGGTAAACAGCTAAAGCTCAAATCTTTCCCTGGCCATGGCTAGTAGTTTCAAGTTACAAGAAACCAAAAACCTCTGAACTCTACAGGAAGAGATGTCTTTGAGTGCAAACATTTCTGAATTCAAAGTACACAACTTAGAGGTAAGCTGACTTTATGTTGGAAACACCTGTAGTTGTCTTGGTACTGGAAGGCTGATGCAACTGGGAGGGGAGTATGAAATATTGCAGTTAGTTAAGAGGGAGTCTGGAGTTCAAAGATTTCTGGTTATTATTTCTCTCCTTTTGTTTGTATGCCTTGGTTAAAATGAGCTATGTGTGAGACATCCATAACTAAGCCCCTTCAGTTTTTTGCAAACATAATAAATGATATCACCACTGGCTTCAAAGCACATAAAAACAATACCAGGGTTCATGTTATATATGTTGCCACAGGAGCACAGGACTCACTGAAAAGGAATCTGGGTGCTGGTTACAAGTTCATTCCAAAATTGCCATGAAAATACTGATAGCTGTATTTGCTACTGTTTTTCTTAGTTGCTTTAAACATATGATTATCCTTAACTGATAGGTTATGTAAAGTGGGTGCAAAGTGGGTCATTTGTGACTTTAAAAGATTGCAAAATTAAGCAAGATAATTATCAATGACCTGACAACTTCATATTACACATAGAAACCTGAACTTCATTAAATAGAAATGGATTTATGCCCAGAGAGTCTTATTGCTTTTGTTCTGCTTGACTGTTCACTACCTACCCTTTGCAATGGTGTAAACTACTCATTAATTTTGTATATTTGATTAGTGACAGTTTCCATTCTCAAAATCCTTGTGATGAATTACACGACACAGTGGAAACAGCTATAGAACAAAACAAAAACACCACATGTGGTCTGCTAACCAGTCTCCTGTCAAACAAAATTGGATGCTGCGTTCCCATGGTTTCCTTTGAGCAGTAAAAGAGAAAATGAATGCTCAGAAGCACCATTTCTGTAAATTGCTGAAAAATCTTCATATTAGTGTAGCCTAGAAAATATTTCAGTGGCAAAAAAGCTACAAGGAAACCAAGTTATACATTTTTTTTTTTTTTGGCTAACACAAAGAAATACATTCTTTACAAGAAAATGGAGCAGAAATAATAACAATAGGTCCATTATTCTCATTCAGTAATAAATCCCATTTAGGGAGAAGGTATTTTAATGAGCAAATGCTTTATTCTACCTTGTGGTTAAATAAGAATTTTTAAATGTCACATATACTGAGTAGAGAGCTAGAGTGAGTATCAAACAAAAAGAAAGGACCTGGCCCTTTGAGAGTTAACCTCCTGAAATTAATGCATAATGGATGAAATTAATCATCTTCAGGGGCCTCCTAACAAGAAGGGACGTTGCCTAGGACAAAGCAGGAAGACTAAAGCCTACAAATCTAATCATCTCCATTAGAATTTGAAAGACAACTTTTGTTTAATTAATGGGAGAAAGATACCTAAAAGAAAAAGAAAAAAGGTCACTTGTGACTAGGTGGATTCTACATAAGACCTTACAAAAGTGGGTTCAGGAAATAGGAATTTGGCAGGGTTTATCCCAGATTCTCTTTTTTTTTTTTGGTTCTTGAGATGGAATCTCTCACTGTCGCCTACCCTGGAGTGCAGTGGCATGATCTTGGCTCACTGCAACCTCCACTTCCCAGGTTCAAGCAATTCTCCTACCTCAGCTTCCTGAATAGCTGGGACTGTAGGCATGCACCACCATGTCTGGCTAATTTTTGTATTTTTAGTAGAGACAAGGTTTCAGCATGTTGGCCAGGCTGGTCTCGAACTCCTAAGCTCAGGTGATCCGCCCGCCTCAGCCTCCCAAAGTGCTGGGATTACAGGTGTAAGCCACCACATCCGGCCCTATCCCAGATTCTCTAAAACAGTAACAGCCTATATCTGGAAGGCTGAGAATCAGGTGACTGCTTAGAGAGGCCTTGATCGTTCTGCTTTGCTGCAGTCTATAGAATGCATTACAAAACTACCTTCTAATTAAATTGAGCTTCCCATGTTCCCATAGGCAGGGAAGGAAACATTCTGACAGGTAGCATTATCCCAATTATAAAAGTAAACACATAATTTCAAGGTCCATGTCAGTTACTCATCAGTCCTCAACCAATAAGTCAACTTTGGGAGCACTCACAAAACTATTTTTCTAGGTACAAAAGCTGGTGACCAGAACTTGAACCACTGTTACTTCAACTGGACACTGTGAGTAGCCACCGTTCTATCTTCTCTGATGTTGTTGCATCAATTCTTTAACACTTACACCACAAATACCACACATTTTTAATTTCTTTATTTATAAGTCTATTACTCTTTTTACTCTAACAATAATACAGCTTAATGGCAAAACATTGAAAAGCACAAAAGAAGATTTTTAAATGATCTGATACCTCACTATCAACATTGTGGTGTTATTACCTATAGTCTCTGTAAATTTTATTTCAGTTCTTGCATTTACATTGTGATATAAAATGTGCTTAAAGAAAAAAGTGCATAAAGCATATGCCTTGAGTTCTACTCCAAGATCTTGAACAATCAACTTCCTCTGCTATAGCCATAAATCACAATCAGGATTTATCTTCATCTTCACTAAATCCCTAACTGTTTTCCAAATTAGTGACAATTTTCAACCAAAGTTGGTATTGTAATTTTTGCCAATCAATTCGATGTGTAATAAAGATTCATGTGGTTTTAAAGTTCATTACATAACTGTGTATGTAGTTAGAGGGAGCCTAGGCCACATAAGACTGTTCCTACTTCTGACATCAACATAAGTTTGGAGGTTCCTCAAACCACCCTCAGGTTCAACAATTCTTTAGAAGGACTCACAGAACTCACTGAAAGCTGTTCTACTAGTATGGCTTATTACAGAGGAAGGATACAGATTAAGATCATCTAAGGGAGGAAGCACATAGGACAGAAAATCCATGGAAAAAGAATCAAACACAGAGCTTCTGCTCTCCTCTCCCCATGGAGTCAAGACAGTGTCACCGTCGTGGCATAGATGTGTGACAATACACATAGAATATTTCCAACTAAGGAAGCTCACCTGAGCCTGGGTGTCTAGTGTATATAATGGAGCTCCATCATGTAGAAGTGATGGACTTCTCATTTCCAGATTCTCCAAAGGTTGAGCTTCAAAGCCCTCACTCTAAGTCATATATTTACCATCTGGTTTGGCCCAGGATTCTCACCCTAAATCATACTGTTACTATTTGGTGTGGCCAGCTCTCACTGTAAATTACATTGTCAAACTATCCAATGTGACACAAGGTCCCCAGCCAAAGACACTCCTCTCAGGTATGACATTTCAGGAGCTTAGAGATTACCTCCCAGAAGCTGAGGGCAAATGCTAGGCTTCATTTGAGGCAAAGTTAAATTCTTTACTACACCCCTGATCGCTACCAAAGTTGAATATCTTTTCATGTATTTATTAAACATTTGATTTTCCTTTTCTGTGTAATATCAATTCTTGCACACATTTTTTCAATTAGGTAAACTGTCATTTTTTTTCAATTCTCATGACAATATTCCCTCTGTTATCTTCTGAAACTTTCATAGTTTTCCTTTTTACATTTAGGTTATTAATACCCTCACAATTGATTTTTTCTATCTGATGTGAGTTATGGATCCAATTTTCCCCCACATAGATAACTCATTGTGGCAGAATCATATATTTAAAGCATCTATTTTCCCTCATCTGTTACAGACAGATGTAGCTAGACAACTGTCTGACTATGCACGTGTCTGTTTCCAGCATTTTTATTCTGTTCCATTGGTACATTTATCTATTCTTTTTTTTTTTTTTTTTTTTTTTTTTGAGACAGAATCTCGCTCTGTCGCCTGGGCTGGAGTGCAGTGGCGCCATCTTGGCTCACTGCAAACTCCACCTCCTGGGTTCACACCATTCTTTGGCCTCAGCCTCCCAAGTAGCTGGGACTACAGGCACACGCCACCACGCCCAGCTAGTTTTTTGTATTTTTACTACAGACGGGGTATCACCGTGTTAGCCAGGATGGTCTTGATATCCTGACCTCGTGATCCGCCCACCTTGGCCTCCCAAAGTGCTGGGATTACAGGCGTGAGCCATGGCTCCTGGCCATATATATGTCTATTCTTGTGCCAATATCATAGCATTTTGACTAAAACTCTACCTTTATAATGACTATTCATATCTAGTAGGGAAAATTTACCACATTGTTTTCTAATTCAAGAATGTCTCTCTGCATTTGTATTTAAACTTTAGAATCAGCTTACCAATACCACCTTCCCTTCCCCTTCCCCCCCAAAAAAACTGAGATTTTTATTGGAAATTCTTTGACACAAGTGAAGTGAAAATGTTAACTCTACAAGATAGTATTCTTCTATCCATGGATAACATTTCCACAGGTCCATTTACAATATTATTTGCATTTTGGGTAGATAATTAATATTAGATTTTAAAAGTCTTCTGTTTCCTTTTAACCTCACAGGTATTGTCATATTGATTTATGGAGTCCATGTTTCTTTAGACTTATCCACATATTTACCATTTCATTTGCTTTTCACTCTTCTGGAAGCTTAGAATTTCTCTCAAGTACCATTCGACTTCTGTCATATATATGTGTATACATATATATATATATGTATATATACTTTGGAATTTTGATTAGTGACAGTCTTTTGGTAACAAACTCTGTGTTGGTATTTATGAAAAATGTATTTTGTCCTCATTCTGAAAAGAGATTTTTTCTTGGTATGTAATTCTAGGTTGGAAAATATTTTCATTCAGCATATAAAAGATTTTTAAAAGACTTTGTTTTGTTAAAAATTAAAAGCACAAAGATGAAAACAGAATTTTAAAAACTGCTTCAAATCAAACTGTCCAGAGATGATATTATTAATATTTTTGTGTATATCTGCCCAATCTTTTCAGGTATATACATGCAATTCATTTATAAAAGGTAGATCTTAGTGTTTAAAACTTGAATTTTTTAAACTTGACAACATATTGTTGTTATATATTGTTATTCTTTGCATAGTGTAATTTTTAGGAGTTGGGTCTGGGCCTGGTGCAGTGGCTCACACCTGTAATCGTAACACTTTAGAGGCTGAGGGGGGCAGATCTCTTGAACTTAGGAGTTTGAGACTAGTCTGGGCAACATGGTGAAGCCCATCTCTACAAAAAATATAAAAATTATCTGGATGTGGTGGCATGTACCTGTAGTTCTAGCTACTTGGGAAGCTGAGGCAGGTGGATCACTTAAGCCCAGGAGGTTGAGGCTACAGTGAGCTCTGTTTGCACCACTGCATTCCAGCCTGGGTGACAAAGTGAGACCCTGTCTCGATTGAAAAAAAAAAAAAAAAAAAAAAGGATCTAGAGTTTGAAGTCAGCCACCTAAGTTCAAATTCTGATTCAACTCCACACTAATTGTTTAACCTTGAGCACATTACTTAGCTGCTGTCCCTGAATTTCTTCATGTGTAATCCAGCTGAGCCTTCTGTTGTCTAGTGCCACAACTCAATGCATATCATCCAGGAAAAGCTAAAATCACTTTTCCACATTATAAGACTGCTTCTTTATCCCAATACAACTCACACTAGTACAACACAAACACTAAATAAATCTTAAAAGCTGGCTTCACTGCATTATTTCATTTTCGTAACCTCTTTAATTTGCTTTCTCCTTTGGCTCAATGCTAAGCTCCTGTTCACATGCCTAACCATCATCATAAATCTCTCAAGTGATGATCAGTATTTTCCCATTCTCCTCTTCCTTCCAGAGCCACAGATTATTTTATTCTGCTTACAGTCAAATGGGGTTATGTAACTCATGCTGGCTAATGAACTGAGTCATGAGAGGTATTTCTAGTTTACAGCACATAAAAAGCCAGTTGTAATTCTCAATATTCCCTTACTCTAACAGAATGTACTATAACCCTATTCCCCCATCTATTAAAATACAGTACTATAAAAAAGGAGCAGCTTGGAATTCTTTGCCACCACTTGGAAGAGGTTCTCCTCGATATTCCAGGATTTTTGAAGACAAAATAATGTTAATAATAAATAGGTAAGTGAAATGTCAGCTTCTAGCAACCTTCTGCCATATTTCTGAATATTGTTCTGCTATTTAAAAATCTTTTCCTTTGCTAATATTGGTTGGTGGTAGAGAACAAAGCTCAAAATTAAAATACATTACAAACTACTTGAGTTCTAAAATGTCATGAGAAAATCGAATCTAGTGAACATTTCTATAGAAAAGATATTTTATCTGTTTTAAAGTAAGAGAATATTTTATAATAAATTATCATAGTAAATTTGCGATTATAATTATGTTGATTCAAGCTTCAAGGTTCAATATTTTGATTTATAAAATTTATGAACAATTTATCATTGTAATTATCATCAAGAAATAAAACCTTTACTAATTTTAAAATTTGTTTTACTTTAAAAAAGGATTACATTGTCTAATTCTCACACAGGTTCCATGTGGTATAGAGCAAGCCTTATGTGTACCAATCCCTTGAAGTTCTTATTATAGTTATAAATTTGTATTTGTGTAACATCTCCTTAATGCATATCTTCTCCACCAGACTGTGATCTCTAAGAAAGCAGAGATCTTTGTGCTCATTTGAATGTATCATTCCACCAACAAATGTTATATAGATGCATGCCAGGTGTGTGGTAGGAGTTAAATAAAAATTATTTTCTGACCTCCTAAAGGAATAATGACATTAGACATTCAAATCCATTCAAATCACTAACTACATCCATTCTAAATCCATGCTCACCAAGTAACATTCTAAAGGTTAATTTCCCATCTTTAAGGCACTGCAGGACAGTGCATCTAATCCATTGATTGTTTAATTTTGATTGTTAATATTTCAAGAATTCTGGCTGCTTTTTAAAATATCTGTAGCTTGTGAAGATTTTAACATGAGTCATCATATGTGAGTTTCCAATTCTTTGACTTTATTACAAGGTTGTAAGTCTACAAGGTTAACAGCAGAGACTTGAGACTATGGCAAATTGATCATGTGATGCCAATCTTATGAAACTTATCCAAGGCCACCCAGCTAGTCTTCTGCAATCATCCTCTTTGTTGGTGACTTTTCTGGGTGGTATGTACCTTTCTGTTTAAACTTCTACATATAATCCTTCCTCCAATTAATCAAGAAATGTTCTTCTTACATTTGTTTAAGAAATTTGGGATATTGGTAATCATTACATCAAATCTTCTTTGATCAAATAGTGAATTCAACCTGGAAGCAGTGATGGATCAGCTCTCCTTGAGAGGGGCATATTGTCACATGCAAAGCCATTTCCTTTATTCAGGGGAGCTAGAACCTACATTCTGGTTAGTCCCAAAATTTTAAACTGAAATTAAAATATTTTCACCACTAATTCTATAGATACATGCTTACATATAGCTTTTACTCTAGAAATTCAGTTTTTTTAAATCACATGTTCTTTTACATAATTCTCTTTGCATATAAATATATCTATTTCCTCTGGGATCATTGTGGCTTTTAAAAACATTATGATCTTCCTAACATTTAGTTCAATAAACAAAAGTTGTTTTATTTAGATCAGTAAATTAGCTAATGATCTCCTGAAAATCAAAACTAATCAAACAAATTGACTCCTTACAACTCTGATTATAGATGGCAACCAAAGATGATTAAAAACAAATTAGGATAAAATCCAGAATTTTAAATTTAGCTGTTTTAGCCTATCCTTACTAACTTCTCCCCTAGGACCTTGTGTCTTAAAGCATTCTTTTCTCACTTTTTTTTTCATGTAAATCTTCTTAACTTACCTGGCTTCAACTGGTATCTATGCATTAAAATTTGAATATTTCTAACTCAATTTAAACTTATCCAAAGTTTTTCCTATGGTATAACCACAAACCTCAGGACATCTTTGTAGAACAAATCATGGCCAACTCATTCTTCCTCCTCTATATTTTTAATTTTCTTCATGTAGGAACTTTCATTGTGCCCAAAAAGAGGATCCTCAAAAAAGAATTTCCTGAACTTACATATACTCAAAAGATATAGGCAGGCATCCTATCATATGTCCTCATACCATATGTCTTTTCTTCCTAATCCTGACCTCAATTTTGATTTTATATGTGTTTATATAATTGTTTCAGTAATCTTTGACTTTCCTCCAGAATCTAAGCTCCTTGAAGGTAGAAACCATGTTTGTTTTTGCTCACCCTTACATTTCCATTGTATCTAGGACATGATAGGTAAGAGAAGAAGCAAGAACTGTGAATGATCTGGATTTGCTATATTTACCAACAATTTAACCTGACAAAAAAGCTTAAACTTAATTATGAATTGAGTGAAAGAGCAAATTTAACATACTTTTAAGTATTTGTTCAATATCTGTGTAACTCAAAAGACATGTGAGAGCAGAGTCTCTTTGTCTCATGTACCCTTGTATCTCTACTCCTACCACAGTGCTTGGCACATTAGTAGCTTTCAATAAAATATATGTTAGATCAATAAATGAGTAAATAGATTCCTGATATAAAATTAAAAATCAGTGTCTTCATTTCCCTCCTGCATTGACTCTAATTTATTCTTTGGTACAGGGATAGAGGTGTTGATAGCGTTTTAAAGAACACATCTGTAAGGTTCTTTTTTCCTACGTGACAGTTGACCTCAAGTTCTGCCTCTGTTTTTTCTACACAAGCTCTATTATCTATAGTTTCTCTATACGTTTCTCAAGAGAAGGAGTAATTCTTAATTACTTTACACACCAGTTGTTACCTTATGACCATTTTATTTTGTTTTAAAATACAGCACTAAGCATTGACTGCAGTATTTGAAGTATTTATAAACTGTAGCTCTTGGGGAGAAACACATAAGAAAGTATTTATTAGATGGCTGATCCAAAATACATAAAAGTAAAACAAACTGCAGCAATAAATGTTTACTGCGAGCAAAGATTTAAGTCTTGTGGGAAAAAGGAAGAAAACAAAGTCTAAGAAAGCTATATAGCTTTATAAACAATGGGAAAATGAAATATAAAGGGAGTGATCAGATATTAACTAGGTCTGCCGTGGGGATGGACATTCTGGGGTTGGAGGAGAATGACCTATGTTTTATGGTACTCCAGAAGCTGAGCTCTGTCCAATGAGTAAAATTTAAAATAAAGATATTATAGCTTAATATTTAGATTAAACTTAATATTAACCAATGCTTTTTATCAGTACAAAAAGTTACCTCTGAGGAAATAAAATAACTATTAGTTTTATTTTGAAGTCTTTCATGACCTTCCAATAAGAAGAAGGCATTCATCTTCTCTGTATCCCCTGGGACCTTATTTACACCTTGATTATTGTATTGTCACTGTGTGATGGATTGTATAAAATCTGTTCTAAGGATAGAGACCCTTGGAGTTTTAAATCTTGGTATTCCTGCTGACTAACACATTGCTTGACACAAGACAGGCTTTCTTTTATTCTTTGTTGAATAAATGGGTGAATGAATGCTTTAAAAACTATTCATGTATTTGAAAGAAGGCACCAGGCAAATCAGCTCTCAGGTTTTTTTACAACTCCAAGAAGGCAAGCATCCATAAAGCTATGATTAGTTTTCAAAGTTACAAATAGTTTGGATAGGACCGATGGCAATTAGTCTTTTCAGATACTGCCCACAAATATGGAAGTATCCATAATACAATTCTATCTGAAAAACAATTTAGGAGTATAAAAAAAGTTAGTCATGGCCAGTGTGTTTTCTACATCAGGATTTATCAGGATTACAAATTTTTATGTAAAAAATTTGGGGTACAAAATCATGAAACATTCCTTCCTCTCATGGATAAGATAATTACATAAGAAAGCATAATGATTTGAATATATTTAAATATAGCCAATATCTTTGATTTTCTCACTTAGAAATTATATATACAGTTGACCCTTGAACAACATGAGGGTTAAGGGCACCAACAGCCTACTTTTGACCAAAAGTCTTACTAATAGCAAAAACAGTCAGTTAAAACATATTTTATGTTATGTATGTTATATATTGTATCCTTACAATAAAGTAAGCTAGAGAAAATAAAATGTTAAGAAAATTATAAGGAAGAGAAAACATATTTACTATTCATTAAGTGGAAGCAAATCATCATAAAGGTTTTCATCCTTATCATCTTCATGTTGAGTAAGCTGAGAAGGAGGAAGAAGAGGAACGGTTGTTCTTGATATTTCAGGGGTGGCAGAGGCAGAAGAATATTTGTGTGCATATGAACCCACAGAGTTCAAACCCATTTTGGTCAAGGGTCAACTTTATACACATATATAATTCTGCAAATACATAAAGTTCTGGATATACATGTATATACATGTGTATATATATATACACACTATATATGTGTGTGATATAGATATCACTATATATATATATACACAATATAGTGTGTATATCAGAAATAGATTTGAGAAAATTTTATGATAAACATGTCAAATTTGAGAAACTGTAATTTCAAACCCACTACGCACATATATATGCATTTATTTTTTGAAAACAACTCCTCGTCTTACAGAAAATTAGCTAAAATTTTCTAGGCAGAGACTCATGTACTGGCATTTTAAATAATAACATGGCTGGAGAATCATTCAAGACCTAGACCTTGTCTACCTCTCTGATTTCCTCTTCTGCCACACTACTTCCATCTCACTATACTCTATCCACACTGGCCTTCTTTTCTTCACTTAAACATGCCAATGTCATGTATCTCTCTGTTACTTTTGCCTGGAAAGCTTTCAATTTAAATCATTACCTTGCTGTGACCTGTTAGAATGTAATTCTCTATGTGTTTCTCACAATGTCTTTCAAAGAGAAGCCCTGACAGGTTTTGTTTATGACTATTTTTTCATGGATGTTTACATAGTGTCTTCCTCCAAAGCAAAAGGAAGATTTGTTTACTGACCAGTATACTAAAGATAATGTTTCCTCTGGGGTACATGTTGGGTAGGTTTGTTTGCAGGTCATTATTAAAGATTGATTTGTTCTAAGCTTAGGTTCCTCAAGTGAGGTGCAAACCTACTGCCTGTGCAGCATCCACTGGAGCCAACTGGCACTGTCATATCGGATCAAAGGGGACTGGTACACACATGCAACTCATGTTGTTTGCTCTGTCATAACTAATAAAGTCTCTTATCTCTGACCCAAGAGTTTTATATCTTCTGCTAGCAATTATGAAACTACATCAATCTAATTTGCTAGCATGCAAGTAGTGTAAAATTTCACATCATTCCAGGTTCACGGCAGCTCTTTCATGTCATTCACATCTAATTTCAAAAGTCTACTTGTCTATTAGGAGTTCCATTAACACCCAATTTAAACTGATCATATACCAAGTCTATTTCTATTTCACTATACTTTATTATTCTGCCTTCAATATAAGTACCAGAAACAATACCTTACTTTTATGTATCATAATTATCTGTCTAACCCAACTAGATTGTATACTCAACTAGAGTAAGAACCTTGTCTGGTATCTTCACCATGGTATTTTCAATATGTTGATAACTGTCTGACACCTAAAAGACACTGAAGTGTATATATTGAATAAAAGAATAAATGATTTCCTTGAATCGTGATTACTCTTCCTTAGACTTTTTCTCTTTTTCTTCTGTTGTTACATAATTTTGTATTATTTACAGTGTATTCAAACGATCATATTGCACTCATTTAATCTTTAGTGTCAATGCCCCAGCTTCAGGATATTAAGAGATTACTTTCTACTTCTATCTCAGTCTTATGAATTTAGCAGCTCCTTGCTTCTGTGTCCTCTGTCCATGGATGGTATGTCACTGATGTGAATACTCTGCACATACTCATGATGTTCACAGGCTAGCACCTTTCCCTTTTGAATTGCTTTCACTGTGCTGGGTTAAGTTCTCATTACCCTTCATTTGCTTTTCTGATCCCAATAAAGGTTCTCTTTCTGTACTGCCTTCCATAAAATTATACCATCAGGAAAACCCTACAGGAAACTTCTCTGAAAAGGCAAGCTACTTGGTGTCCATTAAAGAGACCTCCAACTCATTACAGCTGTCTGTTTGATATCATTACAGAGCCCTTCCATGAATAAGGGATAGCATAAAGCCCCTAAAAAACAATGAAAGTTACACAATAATTGCCTCAGAAATGAAGAGATAGCAAGCAAAAAATTACTGAACAGTGTGGTAATACATTGATAGAATTATGAATGAGAGAGGATCCTAGAGAGAGTAGTTTAGGTTAAATTTAAGTATTGAAGTCAAAGCAGAATTGACTAAGCGGGAATGGACAGATAAACATTTCAGCAAGGGCAGTAGCAAGGAAATTAAGAAATGATTTGTTTGAATTTTAAAAGGGTGCTTTGGGTGTGGGGCTAGAGCTTGATTATCAACACACCTTTCTCACTTGGCAAATGATCAATTAAGTTATATATCTCTCAAAAATTATTATTTGGGAGGAAAACTATTGATTTTACCTCAGAATGCTGCTGGAAAATTGAAAAGGAAAAAATCGTAGCACATTTTAATGTTTATATTCTGAACTGTCTCTCCTCCACTTTAGGAATTTTATTTTAATTATTACATTTTATACATACATTATACTATAGTAACTGTGGTGGGCTGAATTCTGTCCCCCTAAAATTCATATATTGAAGCCCTAACCCCCAATGTGGCTATATTTGGAGCTAGGATCTTTAAAAAGGTAATTAAAGGTAAATAAAGTCATAAGAACAGGAACTTAATTCAATAGGACTGGCGTCCTTATAAGAAGCGGAAGGAATACCAGGGGTGCATGTGTAGAGAAAGGGCCATGTGAGGACACAGACTTCTTTCCTTAGCTTGCAGGTGGTTACCTTCTCTCTAGAAGTCTTAGGAGGAACCAAATCTGCCAATGCCTTGATCTTGGAGGTCCAGCCACCAGAATAGTGAGAACATATAATTTTGTTGTTTAAGCTACCCATGTATGGTATTTTGCTATGGCAGCCCTAGCAAGCTAATATAGGAACCCACGTAACAAAAACTAAGTTGCTCTTCAAAAATGATAAATTTTGGTGAGAGAATTTTTATCATGAAGGGAACAATGATTTTCACTTATATGCAATTTAATTCAATAGCTTTTAAGCACTTGGTTCCAGGAACTATGTTAGAAGTTGAAACAACGACCAATTTTAAAATTACTTATACAATGAAGGATTTCTGTAACTGTTTTCTCACAATTATCTGTGAAGAATTATAATCCTCACATTAGAAAAAAAAAAAACGGTAGGATGCAGAGCACTTAAAGAATGCAGCCAAGATTTCTCATTTGGGCCTGGAAAAGCTAGCCCCAAACACTGATTCTCTGGAAAAAAAAAAAAAAAAAACACACACACACACAAACCAAACACAAATTCTTACTGTTTTGCCACAGACACAAATTCTTACTGTTTTGCCACAGTTAAGTCTACCTCACATTAAGGAATTTTGTTTTCAAAGTAGAGAACCAGTCATGAAGTCAAGTTAAAGGCTGTAAACCAAATGTTTATTATAAGGTCATATAAATGGATGGAAAGCTTAAAGTTTCATAAATTTACCCTACTCTGTGTACTGGGATAACAAAACACATATTTTATTTGTTTTTGTCATTTTATTGTTTTGCTCAATATACTTCTGCACTTTACCTGTGAGAAATCAAAAGAGTTTTAGACAGATAATCTAACATGCAGAAGAAATCTAGATATATTGCCAGTCACTTTCATCTTCTCCTGTAATAAAATATTATTTCCTTCAAAAAAACACCATAAGTATTTTCCAAGTTCCACTAGATCCATTTTCAAAAACTTGTCTTATATATTATTTGCTATCCACTGGCCTTGACTCATCCCCATTTTCCCTCAATTTAGAGTTTATCAGTGTTATTAGCATTGCTTTACATTTATATTTCTTTATGAGATAGATTGTTTTAAAATAATTAAATGAAAGCAGAGCAGAGAAATGAGTTTAGTGGCAATAATTTAGAGAACTTTTCACTGTAAAGCGAATTCAATTCTTCAAAAAACATCACAAAATACGACCAAAATATGTGGAGATAAACTAGATAAATTCTGCAAAAACTCTAAGCATGTATTTATTCAAAAAAATCTCAGTGCTTATGGTAATGCACCAGGGAAATCCTTTCCACACAAGCAAATGCTGAGGGATTTCCTTACTACCCGGTCTGCCCTGCAAGAGCTCCTGAAAGCAACACTAAATATGGAAAAGAAAAACTGGTACAAGCCACTGCAAAAACACACCAAAATATAAAGATCAATGACACTACGAGGAAACTGCATCAACTAGTGTGCAAAATAACCAAAGAGCATCATGATGACAGGATCAAATTCACACTTAACAATACTAACCTTAAATGTAAATGGGCTAAATGCCCCAATTAAAGGACACAGACTGGCAAATTGGATAAGGAAACAAGACCCATTGGTGTGCTGTATTCACGATACCCATCTTATGTGCAAAGACACACACAGGCTCAAAATAAAGGGATGGAGGAAAATTTACCAAGCAAACGGAAAGCTGAAAGAAGGTCTCATAAAACAGACTTTAAGTGAACAAAGATCAAAAAAGACAAATAAGGGCATTACATAATGGTAAAGGGAACAATTCAACAAGAAGAGCTAACTATTCTAAATATATGCACCAAATACAGGAGCATCCAGATTCATAAAACAAGTTTTTGGAGACCTACAACGAGTCTTAGGCTCCCACACAATAATAGTGGAAGACTTCAACACACCACTGTCAGTATTAGACAATCAATGAGACAGAAAATTAACAAGGATATTCAGGACTTGAACTCAACTCTAGATCAGGTGAACCTAGTAGATGTCTACAGAACTCTCTCCCCAAAATCAACAAAATATACATTATTCTCAGTGCCACATGGCACTTATTCTAAATCCACCACATAATTTGAAGTAAAACACTCCTCAGAAAATGCATAAGAACTGAAATCATAACAATCAGTCTCTCAGACCACAGTGCAATCAAATTATAACTCAGAATTAAGAAACTCACTCAAAACCACACAATTTCATGGAAATTGAACAACCTGCTCCTGAATGACTCCTGGGTAAATAATGAAATTAAGGCAGAAATCAAGAAGTTCTTTGAAACCAATGAGAACAAGGAGACAATGTACTGGAATCCACGGGACACCACTAAAACAGTGTTAACAGGGAAATTTATAGCACTAAATGCTCACATCAGAAAGCTAGAAAAATCTCAAATCGACACCCTAACATCACAATTAAAAGAGTTAGAGAGGCAAGAGCAAACTAATCCAAAAGTCAGCAGAAGACATGAAATGACTAAGATCAGAGAAGAAAAGAAGGAGATAGAGACACAAGAAACACTCCAAAAAATCAACAAATCCAGGAGGTGGTTTTTTGAAAAAATTAACAAAATAGATAGACCACTGGCTAGACTAATAAAGAAGAGAGAGAAAAATCAATCAGACACAATAGAAAATGATAAAGGGAATATCACCACTGATCCTCCCAAAATACAAACTACCATCAGAGAATTCTATAAACACCTCTATGCAAATAAACTAGAGAATCTAGAGAAATGGATAAAGTCCTAGACTCACACATCCTACCAACACTACACCAGGAAGAAGTTGAATTCCTGAATAGACCAATAACAAGTTCTGAAATTGAGGTAGTAATTAATAGCCTACCAGTGGAAAAAAAAAGTCCAAGACCAGATGGATTCACAGCTGAATTCTACCAGAAATACATAAAGGAGATGGTACCATTCCTTCTGAAATTATTCCAAACAATTGAAAAGAAGGGACTCCTCCCTAACTCATTTTATGAAGCCAGCATCATCCCGTTACCAAAACCAGGAAGAGGCACAGTTAAAAAAAAGAAAACTTCAGGCCAATCTCCCTGATGAACACTGATGCAAAAATCCTAAATAAAATACTGGCAAACTGAATCCAGTAGCACATCATAAAACTTAACCACTACAATCAAGTCAGATTTATCCCTGGGATGCAAGGCTGGTTCAACATTCACAAACCAATAAACATAATCCATTGCATAAACAGAATCAAAACCAAAAACCACATGATTATCTCAGTAGATGCAGAAAAGGCCTTTGATAAAATTCAACATCCCTTCATGTTAAAAACTCTAAATAAACTAGGTATTGATGTAACATATCTCAAAATATTAAGAGCTATTTATGACAAACACACAGCTAATATACTGAATGGGTAAAATCTTCTCTCACCATTCCTATTCAACATAGTATTGGAAGTTCTGGCCAGGGCAATCAGGCAAGATAAAGAAATAAAGGATATTCAGATATGAAGAGAGATAGTCATGTTGTCTCTGTTTGCAGAACACATGATTTTATATTTAGAAAACCCCATCATCTCAGCCCAAAAACTTTTTGAATTCATAAACAACTTCAGCAAAGTCTCAGGATATAAAGTCATTGGACAAAAATCGCAAGCATTCCTTTACACCAACGATAGGCAAGCAGAGAGCTAAATCATGAATGAACCCCCGTTCACAATTGCTACAAAGAGAATAAAATACCTAGGAATACAACTAACAAGGGATATGAAGGTATGAAGGACCTCTTCAAGGAGGACTACAAACCACTCCACAGGGAAATAAGAGAGGACACAAACAAATGTAAAAACATTCCATGCTCATGGATGCAAAGAATCAATATCATGAAAATGGCCATACTGCCCAAAGTAATTTACAGATTCAATGCTATTCCCATCAAACTGCCATTGACTTCTTCACAGAATTAGAAAAAACTATTTTAAATTTCATATGGAATCAAAGAAGACCCTGTATAGCCAAGACAATTCTAAGCAAAAAACACAAAGCTAAAGGCATCATGCTACCTGACTTCAAACTATACTACAAGGCTACAGTAATCAAAACAGCATGGTACGGGCACCAAAATAGACATATAGATGAATGGAGCAGAACAGAGACTTCAGAAATAACATCATGCATCTACAACCATCTAATCATTGACAAATCTGACAAAAACAAGCAATGGGGAAAGGATCTCCTATCCAGTAAATGGTGCTGGGAAAACTGGCTAGCCATATGCAGAAAACTGAAACTGGACCCCTTCCTTACACCTTATACAAATATTAACTCAAGATGGATTAAAGACATAAATGTAAAACCCCAAACCATAAAAACCCTAGAAGAAAACCTAAGCAGTACAATTCAGGACATAGGTGTGGGCAAAGGCTTCATGACAAAAACGCCAAAAGCAATCGCAACAAAAGCCAAAATTGACAAATGGGAACTCATTAAACTAAAGAGCTTCTGCACAGCAAAAGAAACTATCATCAGAGTGAACAGGCAACCTACATTATGGGAGAAAATTTTTGCAATATACCCATCTGACAAAGGTCTAATATCCAGAATTTACAAAAAAACTTAAACATGTTTACAAGAAAAAAACAACCAACCACATCAAAAAGTGGGCAAAGGATATGAACAAACACTTATCAAAGGAAGACATTAAAGTGGCCAAAAAACATATAAGAAAAAGCCCAACATCATTGATCATTAGAGAAATGCAAATCAAAACCACAATGAGATACCATCTCACGCCAGTCAGAATGGTAATTATTAAATAGTCAGATCTATTAAACAATAGATGCTGGCAAGGCTGTGGAGAAATAGGAATGCTTTTACACTGTTGGTGGGAATGTAAATTAGTTAAACCATTGGGGAAGACAGCATGGCGATTCCTCAAGGACCTAGAACCAGAAATATCATTTGACCCAGGAATCCCATTACTAGGTATATACCCAAAAGAATATAAATCATCCTACTATAAAAACACATGCACATGTATTTTTATTGCAGCACTATTTGCAACAGCAAAAACACGGACTCAAACTAATTGTCTATCAATTATAGGCTGGATAAAGAAAATGTGGTATATATACACCATGGAATAATATGCAGCCATAAAAAGGAATAAGTTCGGGGACATGGATGAAGCCGGAAGCCATCATCCTCAGCAAACTAACACAGGAACAGAAAACCAGACACTTCACGTTCTCACTCATATGTGGGAGTCAAACATTGAGAACACGTGGACACAGAGAGGAGATCATCACACACAAGGGCCTGTTGGTGGGTGGGGTTTGAAGGGAGGGAACTTAGGGGATGGGTCAATAGGTGCCGCAAACCACCGTGGTACATATATACCTATGTAACAAACCTGTACATTCTGCACATGTAGCCCGTTTTGTTTTAGAAGAAAAAAATTAGAACTAGTAATAGCACTGACATAATGAGCTTATTGTGAAACTTAAATGAGAGAAAACATGTCAAGCTTTTAACTATAATTATTGTTTAGTATATATTTTATGTATTATCAATAATACTCTTGATAATTAATGTGAGCAACACAAAGACAATGACAGTAAGAATGGAGAGAGATCAAGAATATAGAATCAAAAAAGCTTGATTACTCTTTGGATATGATTGAGATGCGGTCCTGGATTACTATCAGTGTTTTGGTTTAGGTGGTTGGTACACCTTCACATCATTCACTAAGGCAGGGAGGAAAGAGGGATGACCAAGTTTAGAAGGAGATAATAAGTTCAGTTTGAAATACAGGAAATTTGAGACCCCTGTGGGATGATCACATGGAGATAATCAGAAAGTAGTTGGATGTAGGTCAAGTGTTCTGGACTGCAACATAATCAATATAACAGGAAGAGTATATAGATTCAAAGGCACATAACGCCTAGGGTAGAAGCCATAAGAATAAATACACTTGAAAGGTTAATTAAATAAAAATATACAAAGAAGACTATAAACAAATTATGACAAAAGTATTTTTTAAAGTTATGTTTATTAAAAAAAAAAAAAACCCTGAGGTAAAAGACAGTCTCAAAGAATTAGCAATAAAACATGTCAAATGCCATAGGACAATCTGGTAAGATAATGACAATCACTAATCTACTGTCTTTGGCAACATGGAAGTAATTGATGATTTCCTTCATAACGAATAAATTACTTTACAGTCTCTATTCTTACATTTGTTCCCCATATAAATTAAAAATTAAAAGTACTAACTTTTGGATATTTTCGGAGAATACTTTAAAAATGTATAAATCTGAACTGCTGAGAGATAGTTATTATATAATTTTAAAAATGTTTGCATTATTTACTGGTATTATTTATTTACTTTTAATTCACCACCACCTTCCCAAGGGCATTATAAAAGTGTCCCTGAATTTTTCAAGGGGCAGTTAAACATATAGCTCTTTTAAAATTGGGAAAGAGAAGCTTATATAGTTCATAAATCAAGACCACTGGTAATGACAACCATTTAAATGCAATAATTCAACTCAGATCAGAAAGTCACCTTAAAATAACACATTTTAAGCTTAGTCTATGAAGAACTGTGGGAGGTTGACTATTGGTGACTTCATCTGTAGAACTGAAAATGTCCTGATTAGATCACCAAAGAAACACATGCAAATTGATTTCCAATATCCCACTATTCAGCACTCCTAAAAGGGTATACAGAAAATAACAAACTAAAAATAAGACATTAGTTTTTCTCTAAATCCCTCTTAATTGTGCACTAGATCCCATCCCCTCTCACTTGCTCCAAGGATTCACTTCACAAACTCTACCCTCTTCTGAATCATTGATTTCACCCTTTCTGTTCTTCCATTAAAAATAAATGAAATTGAAATAAATATATTATTTTACTTGACTTGGTTTTATTTCTGTGCCAGTTCTTCCCTGTAGCCCTAATTTCTCTTCCTTCCTTTGCAGTAAAAATTATGTTTATATTTGCTGTCTCCAACTTCTTTCCTTACATTTTCTCTTAAACACACTGTAAGAAAGGTTTCTGCCTATCCCTCTACCAAATTGCTTTGTTAATATCTCCAATAATCTGCATGTTGCTAAATCTTTGTTGAGTTCAGTTATCATCTTCACTGACCTACCAGCACCGACCTTTGCCACAGTTGATATTTTCATTTTCCTTGATATACTTTCTTCACTTGGCCTCTCTCTACCACACTCAGGTTTTCTCCTCATCACTGCCTGCTGCTTTTGTTTCCTTTCTTGATTCCTTTTCTACCTGACCTCTCAAAGTTCTTCCATTGGCTTCTCCTTTCTTTCTACATTCTCTCTTCCTGTAACCTAAATCTCCACCATAACTTTAAAACCTATTTATATGTGGACAACCCTTAAAATTTTTTATTTAGTCCAAACATTTTTCCTGAACTTTAGATTTAATAATATAAATGTCTTCTGGACATTTCAAACTCAATATTTTAGAAATTGACTTTCTGACAGTTTCTCCAATCCTCTAGTCACAGACCAATTTTACCCCATCTCAATTGATCCAACCCTTCAGTTTCTCAGGCTAAAAATATCACAGTCATCCTGATACTATGTTTCTTTCATGCCCCACATCTACTTATTTAGCAAAATCTATTGGCTCTACCTTCAAATATATCCAGCATGTTACCACTTTTCACCATCCTTATTTTATTCCACCAATCTTTCTCATCTAGATTGCTGCAATTACCCCCAACTGCTCTACCAGCCTCTACCTTTGCAACCCCTACAATCTAGTCTCAATACAGAAATCAAATCATGTCATCACTTTCCTAAAACACTCCAAACAACTTCACACCTCAGAATAAAAAAGAAAACCCTTTCAATATCTGCAAGGGTATGCATATGTTTTTCTCCAACCCTTACCCTTCTGCTACTTCTCTAAGTGGTTCTTGCACTTTTGTCTCCCTGAATCTCTTGGCTGTATACACAGTAGTCACTAGTTCCTTAAACAAAGCATGCCCGCTCCTTACAGCACCCCTACATTGGCTCTTCACTCGGCCTTGAATGTTTTCCCTGCAAATAACTGCTTAGCTAACTCCCTCTTCTAT
This sequence comes from Homo sapiens, assembly GCF_000001405.40. Classification (NCBI taxonomy): domain Eukaryota; kingdom Metazoa; phylum Chordata; class Mammalia; order Primates; family Hominidae; genus Homo; species Homo sapiens. Next base: position 186,151,087 of record NC_000002.12, read on the forward strand.
CTCAAGATTTTGGCCAGATTTCAGATATAAATGAAGCCTACCCCAACCCCCATCTTTAAAATTGTACCCATCTCCAGATTCTCCCCCAGTCTCCTTTTTTTTTGTAACGTTTTTATTATTCTCTACTCTTATCAGCTTTCAAAATGCTGCATAATTTATTACTTACTATATTTCTCTTTGTTTTTTGTCTCCCATTACAAGCTAAGGGAGTTTGGTCTGTTTTGTTCAACGATATATTCCAAGCACCTAGAAGAGTGTGTGGCACACAGTAGTAGATACAGAATAAATAAATAAATATCTGTTTTTGAGTGACTGTTTGAAAAACAATCTTGACTAACTTAAAATGCACTTGTTGCCCCTCCATCATTCCAAATTAAAGGTCAAACTGGAGGTTTCACTGGATTACTTTTATATAGGTGCATAGCATTATAATCTGCGTTCATCCCTTTATAATTTGTCATTAAATAATACAACAAAAATGGGTAATGCTTAAAATTCCCTTATTCTTATTGTTCAGTATCTAAGCATCACTATCGTTTTGGCAATAAAGTCTTATTTGTCAGATCATTTAAGATTTGTATTAATTGCAATCAAAACAATCCTTTAAAATAAACCTCCATATTTATACATCTATCGTATATACATGTAAATACTACTTTTGCTTAAAGAGATCTGAAATAAGATTCAACTAATGGCAAAAATAGTAATTCAAAGATGATTACATTTGGGGTAAATTTTTTATGTTTAATATTTTTCTGTATTGCTGAAATCATGTATTTGGTATATATAATTTTATAAAAAACAAAAATGTAATATTCTTTAAAGGATTAAAAGTACCACTAGAGGAATAGAAATGAGATATGTAACTCCCAAACCACAAGAGGAGGATAAATGAGATATGAGGCAAAATCAAATAATTCAACAAAAGGCAGGCAGGGCTGAAAAAAAATAAAATTAAAATAGAATGTAAAACAAAAATAAGCTTTAAAAACACCAAAACATCATTTTACTAAATCATAAAAGGTTTAACTATGTTAAGTCCCTTAGAAAAGATAAAGACTATCAGGTTTAAATATAAAATTTCTAACTTTGCTATATGTTACTTAAGATGAGGAAAGGTGAAAACAAAGAGGAAATAAACTTCTTATTTCACAAAACAAGCAAAAGATGCTCCCTGTCAAAGCACCTCTTTCTTACAAATGATAGAGCATGTTCAAATCAACAAATCAAAGAAGAAAAATAATTTACAAGTATAAGAAAGAAGAATACTTTCATAATCATACAGTAATAAAAACAATTTATGTTGTAACATGTATTTTATTTGTATTACAATATAAACTATATTACCACTTATCATATGTACATTATTGTATAAAATTTTTACATATGATACTATAAAGACAAGATCAAGAGAATCAGATAATTCTTAGAATTAGCAAGGTTTCCAAATACAAAAATCAACGTATAAAAATCAATATATAGTAGCACATCAAAAATAACAAAAATAGAAATAAATATTTATAGTAGCAACAAAACTCTAAAGTAGCCAGGACATAATCAACCATGTACAAAATTATTATAGAATATATTTTTAAAGTCTATTAAATGATAAAAGGAAACTATTAAAAAAGACCTTTACAATATTGATGCCAATTTTTGCAAATTAATCTATATATTCAATGAAGTTTTAATGAATATTCCAGGAGGATTGGGGGAAGAAAATTGATAAACTAAGTTTTATCCAGGGGAAAAATAGGATCTACCAAAGCTAAGATGATTTGGAAAAAGAAAACAAAAAGAGGAGATGTTTCCTGCTTAATTTTAAGTTATATTACAAAGCCTTGGTGAGTTCAATGGTGTTAAACTGGTGTAGAAAAGATAAACAAAAAATAATAATAATAAGCCAAATGGAGAAACCCAAAACAATCTATGTGTATACAGAACTTAGTAATTGAGAATATATGAGAATACTCCCTCAGTAAGAAAATAATGGAATATGTATTGAATGTTATTGAGAAATTCTCCTTAATCTATGAAGAAAAATAAAGATGGATCTGTTCCTCTCATCATAATCTAAAATGAATTTGACATCACTGGAAGGTCAAAATATAAAAGGTATAAAGTTAACAGAAGACAATAGGAGATTATTTTGTGATTATGGCTAAGGAAAAATGTATTAAACAAGACCCAAAAAGGAACAACTTCACAAAGTGACAACTTGACAGATTTTATCCTTTTTTTTTTTTTTTTAAATTTTTTTTTTATTGATAATTCTTGGGTGTTTCTCACAGAGGGGGATTTGGCAGGGTCATGGGACAATAGTGGAGGGAAGGTCAGCAGATAAACAAGTGAACAAAGGTCTCTGGTTTTCCTAGGCAGAGGACCCTGCGGCCTTCCGCAGTGTTTGTGTCCCTGATTACTTGAGATTAGGGAGTGGTGATGACTCTTAACGAGCATGCTGCCTTCAAGCATCTGTTTAACAAAGCACATCTTACACCGCCCTTAATCCATTTAACCCTGAGTGGACACAGCACATGTTTCAGAGAGCACAGGGTTGGGGGTAAGGTCACAGATCAACAGGATCCCAAGGCAGAAGAATTTTTCTTAGTGCCTAACAAAATGAAAAGTCTCCCATGTCTACTTCTTTCTACACAGACACGGCAACCATCCGATTTCTCAATCTTTTCCCCACCTTTCCCGCCTTTCTATTCCACAAAGCTGCCATTGTCATCCTGGCCCGTTCTCAGTGAGCTGTTGGGCACACCTCCCAGACGGGGTGGTGGCCGGGCAGAGGGGCTCCTCACTTCCCAGTAGGGGCGGCCGGGCAGAGGCGCCCCTCACCTCCCGGACGGGGCGGCTGGCCGGGCGGGGGGCTGACCCCCCCCACCTCCCTCCCAGACGGGGCGGCTGGCCGGGCGGGGGGCTGATCCCCCCACCTCCCTCCCAGACGGCGCGGCTGGCCGGGCGGGGGGCTGATCCCCCCACCTCCCTCCCGGAAGGGGCGGCTGGCCGGGCGGGGGGCTGACCCCCCCCACCTCCCTCCCGGACGGGGTGGCTGCCGGGCGGAGACGCTCCTCACTTCCCAGATGGGGTGGCTGCCGGGCGGAGAGGCTCCTCACTTCTCACACGGGGCAGCTGCCAGGCGGAGGGGCTCCTCACTTCTCAGACGGGGTGGTTGCCAGGCAGAGGGTCTCCTCACTTCTCAGACGGGGCGGCCGGGCAGAGACTCTCCTCACCTCCCAGACGGGGTCGCGGCCGGGCAGAGGCGCTCCTCACATCCCAGATGGGGCGGCGGGGCAGAGGCGCTCCCCACATCTCAGACGATGGGTGGCCGGGCAGAGACACTCCTCACTTCCTAGATGTGATGGCGGCTGGGAAGAGGCGCTCCTCACTTCCTAGATGGGATGGCGGCCGGGCGGAGACGCTCCTCACTTTCCAGACTGGGCAGCCAGGCAGAGGGGCTCCTCACATTCCAGACGATGGGTGGCCAGGCAGAGACATTCCTCACTTCCCAGACGGGGTGGCGGCCAGGCAGAGGCTGCAATCTCGGCACTTTGGGAGGCCAAGGCAGGCAGCTGGGAGGTGTAGGTTGTAGCGAGCCAAGATCACGCCACTGCACTCCAGCCTGGGCACCATTGAGCACTGAGTGAACGAGACTCCGTCTGCAATCCCGGCACCTCAGGAGGCCGAGGCTGGCGGATCACTCGCGGTTAGGGGCTGGAGACCGGCCGGCCAACACAGCGAAACCCCGTCTCCACCAAAACCAGTCAGGCGTGGCGGCGCGTGCCTGCAATCGCAGGCACTCAGCAGGCTGAGGCAGGAGAATCAGGCAGGGAGGTTGCAGTGAGCCCAGATGGCAGCAGTACAGTCCAGCTTCGGCTCCGCATGAGAGGGAGACCATGGAAAGAGAGGGAGACCATGGGGAGAGGGAGAGGGAGAGGGAGAAGGAGAGGAGATTTTATCCTTTCAAAATAAAATATATTTGTTCGACACTAAAAACTAAATCAACAATTCTCAAAGTTCCATGATGAAACCTAGGGTAGAGATGGGGGTACCCAAGACCCCTTCATGGAGTTCATGAAGTTAAATTTATCTTTATAATACTCATACATCATTGCCTTTTTCACTGTGTTGATATTTTTCCTGATGGTGCACAAGCAATGATGGATAAAATTACTGGTGCCTTAGCTCAAATCATGGTTGCAATGCCAAGTTGTCCCAGTAGTCACTGAATTCTTCACTGCCACGCACTCACAGTTACTTAAAAATGCCATTTTCACTGAACTTTCCTTGATGAAGCAATACAAATTAATAAAATTTAAAAATCTTGATAGCTGAGGAGTACACTTCTCTTAAATAGTCCATGTGAATAGATGAGAAATATGTATAAAGCACTTCTGCTACACACTGAAGTACAACATTGGTCTCAAGCAAAAGTACTTGCATGATTGCTTAAATTTGGAGTTGAATTATTGTTCCTTTCATGGAAAAAATAACTACAGTTATTCAGACTCTACTATTTGGCAGATATCTTCAAAATGAATCAAGAAATTAACAGTATTTATTACCAATAATAAAATGCAAGAATTCAGGCAAAAGTTAGATTCCCAATTTTGTGATGAGATTAGTAGTAATATTAACAAAAACAGTTTGTGGGGATTTTATAATTAATGGGTCAACATTTGGAAAACCTACAGTAACTCAGTGTATCAAACATTTCTCAAGCGATCAATAAGTTACATTACATCATTTATGGGTAAAAGATTGATCCAAAGTGCAACATAAATTAATAGATTTTAATGAAATAGAGTAAAAATGTTCATTAGCCTGGGTATAGATGCTCACACCTATAATCTCAGTACTTTGGGAGGCCAAGACCGGAGGATCACTTGAACCCAGGAGTTCAAAATCAGCCTGAGCAATATAGTGAGACTTCATGTCTATAAAAAATTTAAAAATTAGCCAGGCATTGCAGCACTCACCTGTAATCCCAACTGCTCAGGAGGCTGAAGTAGGATCGCTTGAGTTTATGAAGCTTAGTTTGGCTGGATATATATTCAAGGATGTTAAAGAATAAAACTACGTAGGAGATGAAAAATGAAATGGCCATTTTAAGAAAGAGCTAAACTGATCTAATAGAGCTGAGAAGCTCACTTCAAGAATTTCAAAGTACAATTGCAAGTACTAACAGCAGAATTGACCAAGCTGAGGAAAGAATCTCAGAGCTCAAAGACCAGTCTTCCAAAATAACTCAGACAAAAATAAATTAAAAAACAATAAAGATGATTGAACAAAACCTCCAAGAAATATGGGATTATGGAAAGAGACCAAATCTAAGACTCATTGGTGTCTCTGAAAGAGAGAGAAAGCAAGTAACTTGGAAAACAATTTCAGGATATCATCCATGAAAATGTGGCCAACCTCACTAGAGAGGCCAACATTTAAATTCAGGAAATACAGAGAATGCCTGTGAAATACTACACAAGAAGATCATCCCCAAGACATATAGTCATCAGATTCTACAAGGTCAAAATAAAAGAAAAAATGTTAAAGACAGCTAGAGAAAACAGGCAGGTCACCAGCAAAGGGAACCCCACCAGGCTAACAGCAAACCTTTCAGCAGAAACCCTACAAGCCAGAAGAGACTGGAAACCTATATTCAGCATTCTTAAAGAAAAGAAATTCCAACCAAGAATCTTATGTCCAGCCAAACTAAGCTTCATAAGCAAAGGAGAAATAAGATCCTTTTCAGACAAGCAAATGCTAAGGGAATTCATTACCACCAGACCTTCCTTACAAGAGGTCTTGAAGGGAGTGCTAATTATGGAGAAGAAATATAGTTACCAGCCACTACAAAAGCACACTTAGGTAAATGGACCAAAGTCACATCATAAAGCAATCATACAAACTGGTGTATATAATAACTAGCTAACAACAGGATGACAGTACTAAATCTTCACATATCAATGCTAGCCTTGAATGTAAATGAGCTAAATGCCCCAATTAAAAGGCATTGAGTGGCAAGTTGGATAAAGAAATAAGACTCAATGGTATGATGTCTTCAAGAGACTCATCTTGTATGCAATGAAACCCGTAGGCTCAAAGTAAGAGAATAGAAAATAGATATATACAGAACTCTTCACCCAAAAAACAACAGAATATACATTCTTTTCATCTGCACATGGAACATACTCTAAAATCAACCACACAATCAGACATAAACAATACTCAGCAAATTCAAATAAAGAAAAAACAACAATTTGGGAGGCTGAGGTGAGTGGATCACCTGAGATTAGGAGTTTGAGGCCAGCCTGGCCAACACGGTGAAACCCCCTCTCTACTAAAAATACAAAAATTAGCTGGGAGCAATGGCAGGCACCTGTAATCCCAGCTACTCGGGAGGCTGAGGCAGGAGAATCACTTGAGCCAAGGAGGTGGAGGTTGCAGTGAGCTGAGATTGTGACATTGCACTCCAGCCTAGGCAACAAGAGTAAAACTCATCTCAAAAAAATAAAAAGAAAAAGAAAAGAAAAAGAAAAAACAATATCATATGAACCACTCTCTAAGATCACAGAGCAATAAAAATGAAATCAATATGAAGAAAATCACTCAAAACCATACAATTACATGGAAATTAAACAACCTTCTCCTGAATGACTTTTGGGTAAATAATGAAATTAAGGCAGAAATAAAGAAATTCTTTGACACTAATGAGAACAAAGATACAACATACCAGAATCACTGGGACACAGCTAAAGCAGTCTTAAGAGGGAAGTTTATAGCACTAAATATCCACTTCAAAAAGTTAGGCAAATCTTAAATTAATGACATTAACATCACAACTATAGGAACTAGAAAGGAACTAGAGAAACAAGAGCAAGCCGACCTCAAAGCTAGGAGAAGACAAGAAGTTACCCAAATCAGAGCTATACTGAAGGAAATTGAGATGCAAACAAACAAACAAACAAATAAAGATTAATTAATCTAGGATTTGGTTTTTTGAAAGAATTAATAAGATACAACAGACCACTAGCTAGACTAATAAAAAGAGAAAATCCAAATAAACACAATCAGAAATAACAAAGGGGACATTACCACTGACCCCACAAAAATACAAAAATCCCTCAGAGACTACTATGAATACCTTTATGCACACAAGCTAGAAAACCTAGAAGAATGGAAAAATTCCTGAAAACATATAACCTCCCCAGATTGAACTAAGAATAAATTAAATCCCTGAACAGACCACTACCAAGTTCTGAAGTTGAATCAATAATAAAGAGCCTAACAACCAGAAAAAGCCCAGGACCAAACAGTTTCACAACTGGATCCTACCAGTTGCATAAAGAAGAGCTGGTACCATTCCTATTGAAACTATTCCAAATAATTGTGGAGGAAGAACTCCTCCCTAACTCATTCTATGAGGCCAGCATCAACCTAATACCAAAACTTGGCAGAGACACACACAAAATAATAAAACTTCAGGCTAATATCATTGATGAACACAGATGCAAAAATCCTCAACAAAATACTAGCAAATGAAATCCAGCAGCTTATCAAAAAGCTAATTCACCCCAGAAATTAAGCAGGCTTTATGATCTGCATGCAAGATTGGTTTAACATACAAACACAAAAATCAATAAATGTGATTAATCATGTAAACATAACTAAAAACAAAAACCCAATGATTTCCTCAACTGATGCAGAAAAGGCTTTCAATAAAACATTCCTTCATGTTAAAAACCTTAACAAACTAGACATTGAAGAAACATACCCCAAAATAATAAGAGCCATCTATGCCAAACCCATAACTAACATCATACTAAATGTGCAAAAGCTGGAAGCATTCCCCTGGAAAATTGGCACAATATAAAGATTCTATCTCACACTCTGATTTAACATAGTATTGGAAGTCCTGACCCAGCAATCAGGCAAGAGAAAAAAATAAAGGGCATAAAAATAGGAAGAGAGGAAGTAAAACTATCCCTGTTTGCAGATGACATGATTCTGTATCTAGAAAACACCATAGTCTCTGACCAAAAGCTCCTAGATCTGATAAACAACTTTAGCAACTTTTCAAAATACAAAATTGCAAAATACTTTGCAAATATTTTCAGAATGGGAGAAAATATTTGCAAAATCAATGTACAAAAATTGCTAGCATTCCTATACACCAACAACAGCCAAGCTGAGAGTCAAATTAGGAATACAATTCCATTCACAATTGCCACAAGAAGAATGAAATTCCTAGGAATACAACTAACCAGGGAGATGAAAGATCTCTACAATGAAAATTACAAAATTGCTCAAATAAATCAGAGATGACACAAACAAACTGAAAAGCTTTCCATATTCATGGACAGAAAGAGTCAATATTGTTAAAATGATAATACTTCTCAAAGCAATTTATAGATTCAGTGGTATTCCTGTCAAGCTACCAATGACATACTTCACAGAATTAGAAAAAAAAAAACGATTTTAAAAGCCATATGGAACAAAAAAAGGCCTAAATAGCCAAAGAAATACTAAGCAAAAAGAACAAAGCTGGAGATATCACTTTGCCCAACTTCAAACTATGCTACAAGGCTATGGTAACCAAAACAGAATGATACGGATATAAAAACAGATACACAGATCAATGTAACAAAACAGCCCAGAAATAAGGCCACACACCTACAATAATCTGATCTTCAACAAAGACAACAAAAACCAGTGATATTGTTTTGATCTGTTTCCTGACCCAAATCTCATCTCAAATTGTAATCCTGATGTATTGGAGGGGATCCTGGCAGGAGACGATTAATTCATGGGGGTAGTTCCCCCATGCTGTTATGATAGTGAGTGAGCTCTCGCGATCTGATGGTTTAAAAGTGTTTAGCAGTTCCCCCCACCCTCCTGTTACCATGTGAAGAAGGTCCTTGCTTCCCCTTCACCTTCCACCATGATTGTAAGTTTCCTGAGGCCTCCCCAGCTATGCTGAACTGTGAGTCAATTAAACCTTTTTTCTTCATAAATTACACAGTCTCTGGTAGTCCTTTACAGCAATGTGAAAATTGACTAATACAGAAAATCGGTACCAAGAGTTTGGGGCACTGCTGTAAAGATACCTGACAGTATGAAAGCAACTTTGGAACTGGGTAACAGGTAGACATTGGAACAGTTTGGAGGGCTCAGAAGAAGACATGAAGATGTGGGAAAGTTGGAACTTCCTAGAGACTTGCTGAATGGTTTTGACCAAAATGCTGATAGTGATATAGACAATGAAGTTCAGGCTGAGGTGATCTCAGATAGAGATGAGGAACTTATTGGGAATTGGAGTAAAGGTCACGCTAGCTATGCTTTAGCAAAGAGACTGGTGGCATTTTGCCCCTGCCCTAGAGATCTGTAGAACTTTGTAATTGAAAGAGATGATTTAGAGTATCTGGTGGAAGAAATTTCTAAGCAACAAAGTATTCAAGAGGTGACCTGGCTTTTTCCAAATGTTTACTGTCATATGTTTTCATAAAGAGATTATGTGAAATTGGAACTTTTGTTTAAAAGGGAAGCAGAACATAAAAGTTCAGAAAATTTGTAACCTCACCATGCAAGAGAAAAGAAAAACCCATTTTCTGGGGAGAAATTCAAGCCTGCTGCAGAAATTTGCATAAGAAACAAGGAACCAAATGTTAATAACCAACACAATGGGGAAAATGTCCGCACGGCATTTCAGAGATCTTCATAGCAGCCTCACCCATCACAGACCCAGAGACACAGGACAGAAAAATGGTTTTATAGGCCGAGCCCAGGGCCCCACGGCTCTGTGCAGCCTCAGGATGTGGTGCCCAGCATACCAGCCACTCTAGCTCCAGCTATGGCTAAAAGGGGCCAAATTACAACTCAGGCTGTGGTTTCAGAGGTGCACATCCCAAGCCTTTGCAGTTGTCGTGTGGTGCTGGATCTGTGGATGCACAGAAGGCAAGAGTTTGGGAGCTTCCACCTAGATTTCAGAGGATGTATGGAAATGCCTGGATGTCCAGGCCAGGCAGAAGTCTGCTGCAGGGATGGAGCCCTCATGGAGAACCTCTACTAGGGCAGTGCAGAGGGGAAATGTGGGGTTGGAGCCCCCACACACAGTCCCCACTGGGGCACTGCATAGTGGAGCTGTGAGAAGAGGGCCACCATCCTCCAGACTCCAGAATGGTAGGTCTACTGACAGCTTACACCATGTGCCTGGAAAAGCTACAGGCACTCAATGCCAGCCCGTGAAAGCAGCCATGGAGGCTGTAGCCTGCATAGCCACAGGAAAGGGCTGCCCAAGGCCTTAGGAGCTTACCTCTTGGGTCAGCATTTCCTGGATGTGAGACATGCAGTCAAAGGAGATTACTTTTAGAGCTTTAAGATTTAATGAGTGCCTTGCTGGGTTTCCAAATTGCATGTGGCTTGTAGCCCCTTTGTTTTGGCTAATTTCTCCCATTTGTATGGGAACATTTACCCAATGCCTGGGCCCCACTGCATCTTATAAGTAACTAACTTATTTTTTTATTTTACAGGCTCACAGGAGGAAGGGACTTGCATTGTCTCAGGTGAGACTTTAGACTTGGACTTTTGGGTTAATGCTGGAATGAGTTAAGACTTTGGAGGACTGTTGGGAAGGCATAATTGGTTTTGAAATGCGAGAAGGACATGAGATTTGGGAGGGTCCAGGGGTGGAATAATATGGTTTGGCTCTGTGACCACACTCAAATCTCATCTTGAATTTTAATCCCCATATGTCAGAGAAGGGGCCTGTTGGGAGATTATTGAATCATGGGGGCGATTCATGCTGTTCTCATAATAGTGAGTGAGTGCTCACAAAATATGATAGTAAAAAGTGTTTAGCAATTTCCCCAAGCCCTGTCACCATGTGAAGCAGGTCCTCACTTCCCCTTCACCTTCCAACATGATTGTAAGTTTCCAGAGGCCTCCTCAGGCATACAGAACTGTGAGTCAATTAAGCCTTTTTTCTTTATAAATTTCCCAGACTCAGGTAGTCCTTCATTGCAGTGTAAAAATGAACTAATACAGCCAGCAACGGGGAAAGGAATCACCATTCAATAAATGGCGCTGGATAACTGGCTAACTGGCTATATGCAGAAGATTGAACCTGAACTCCTTCCTTACATCATACACAAAAATCAACTCGAGATAGATTAAAGACTTAAATGTAAAACCTAAAACTTGCAAAATCCCTGACAGATAACTTAGGAAATACCATTCTAGACATAGGAACTTGGTAAGATTTTACGATGAATATCCCAAAAGCAATTGCAACAAAAATAATAATTGACAAATGGGACTTAATTAAACTAAAGAGCTTCTGGACAGCATATCAACAGATTAAAGAGTGTACAGAATGAGAGAAAACATTTGCAAACTATGCATCTGACAAAAGTCTAATATCTGAAATCTATAAGGAAATTAAACAAATTAACAAAGAACAAACAACCCCATTAAAAAGTAGGCAAAGAACGTGAACAGACACTTTTCGAAGAGAAGATATACACACAGCCAACAAGAATATGAAACAATTCTCAGTGTCACTAATTATTAGAGAAATGCCAATCAAGACCACAATGAGAAACCATCTCTCACCAGCCAGAATGCATATCATTAAAAAGTAAAAAAATAACAGATCATGCTGAGGTTGCAAAGAAAAGGGAAGCTTATACGCTGTTGGTGGGAGTGTAAATTAGTTCAGCCATTGTGGAAAGCAGTTTGTTGATTTCTCAAAGAACTCAAAATAGAATTACCATTCAATCCAGCAATTCGAATATTGTGTATGTTCCCAAAGATAGAGAAATCATTCTACACAATGTGGACATAAACATGTTGCCCTAGCTTAGGTCAGCAATGTAGGCAAATAGATTGAGCTTGTAGCTGATGCCCTCAGGGGTCTTGACCTTGACCTCCTTGAGCTATATGAGGGCCCTGACAGCCTTGGCTAGTCCATTCATGTCCTTGGTGTTGTTGACCTGCATCTTTTTTAAGCCCTTCTTTTCCTTCATGGCAAAGCACACATTCCTCACGAACTTAGGGCCCACTCCCTTAAGAGATTCATATCCTTGTAATCAAGGTCTCTTGATGCCATTTCTGTGCCATTTTGGGGACTATTTGTGCATGGTGTTGTTCTTGAACTTGGCCATATCTGCACCATAAACTGCAGCTCCTCTACCTGTGCTTCTTTATGGTCATTCGCAGACATGTGCAGAGCAGCCAAAAATTCAGATCATCCAATGTGCATGTTGTGAGCTGAGGTCAAATCGAATGTTGCCCTGCCTTCTTTTTACAGCTCTCATACTGTAAACAAGTGAAATTTTCAGTCTATTTAGTGACACGTTTTTCATATTTTTGTTCATGCTTTCTGTTAGTGATTTTGCTATTTAAAATTGCCCCAAAGTATAGTGCTGAAGTGCTTGTCTAATGATCCTAAGCACATGAAGGCTGTGGTGTGCCTTATGGAAAATATGTATGTTAGATATGCTTCATTCAGGCATGAGTTATACTGCTATTGGCTGTGTGTTCAGTGTTAATGAAAATACAATATCTTTTAAATAAGGTGTTGAAACATAAAACAAGGTTATATATCAACCAATTTTTTTAAAAAAATGTTGTTGCTAGACACTCTCAGGAACCTAACTTTATATTTCCTGTAAGAATAGTGGTTCCGTATTTGCCAGTTCTATATTTGCAGTGACTTTATACCACATGGTGACTACGAATAATAAAAATTGGCTCTTCTTTTTTCCATTCCTTACACTATGAACAGCTATATACCCTGGATGTTGTGCATAAAACAAACAAGATTCAGAGAGGTGAGGAGAAAAAGGTAGATGGGCCAGGGACTTCAGGGCTCAAAGAGTAACATGACAGCAATTTTTCTGGAGTTTGTCATTTTTTTGCCTCATATATTCTGGATTAGTTGCAGAGGAAGCCAAGAACCCAGAATTGCCAATAGACACAGACCAACACAACCCCAAGAAAATCCTGTTCTACCAACCAAAGGACCGGGAAAGAGGCAGCCTAGCAAGAGAGAAAATGTTTAAACAATAGCCACTCTATTCCAGCCAAATAGCATGCGCGCATACGCGCGTGCACACACACACACACACACACACACACACACACACACACACAACTATGACCCCATCCACCCCTACACCAGGAAAGACCAAGTGAAGAATCTAGAATTGCACCTTTGTGAGGCTGTAAGGAGTCACCCTAACAACCCCACCACCACAGTGGTGTCCGAGAAGGGCAAGTAGGGAGCTGGGAGCAGCTCTGACCCCATGGCATCAGTGGAGAGATCCGAAGAAGATCATGGACATCCACCCCACACTATATAATGAGGTTCCCCTCTCCCTCCACACTGAGGTAGTGCCAAAGACTACCTAGTGGAGAGTCATGACTTTTACCACCACTCAGCAATAATGAGGCCACTGTCTACCACCACCACCACCACCATGTTGGTGTCAGTGGAGGCTATGTGGGGAAGAGTAACAAGGCATCCTGCCCTTCCCAGCAGGGGTAGTATCAGTTGAAGTCTATTGGAGAGCCTAAATTTCCACTGCCCCCAGTAATAATGAGCAGTTTCACCTTTGCCTCTCAAGTGTCAATTAGGTGAGGCAGGGAGCCTGGACTTCTAACCCCCACCTGGCAGTAATGAGGTACCACTCCTCTTCACCCATCGTTGTTAGAGCAATGTCTTCTATTAAGAAAAGATTGAAATAAGATCCAGAGTCTTGTAATTCAATACCCAAAATGAGTTTCTATCAAAAAAAAAAAAACTTGCCTTATCGAGAACATGAAAATTCTCAACCTGAGTGAGAAAAGGCAATCAGCAGATGCAAACAATACAGATGCTAGAATTATCTGAAAATGATTTTAAAACAGCCATCATAAAAAAAGGTTGAAGAAGCAATTACAAACAAGCTTGATACAACTAAAAAAATAGAAAATCTCAGCAAAGAATAAGAAATACAAACCAAAAAAATAAAATGAAAATTTTAGAATTCAAAAATACAAAACCAAAATAAAAAACTCAACAGATGGGTATAATGGCAGAAAACAAGAAACAAAGAAATAATATATGAACTCAAAGATGGAAAAATAAAAATTACCCTATGTGAACAACAGAGAAAAAATAAATGGGAAGATAAAATGAGCCTCAAGGACCTGTGAAGCTACAACAAAAGATCTAGCATTTCTGTTATCAGTGTACCAAAAGTAAAGGAGTAAAGGGGTGGGGATAAAATACAGTCAAGAAAATAGTATTTTTTGAAAAAATACATAAACCTACAGATTTAAGAAGCTGAGCAAAACCCAAACAGGGTAAACCCAAATAAATCTATACCAATGCATCTTATAGTCCACCTTTTGAAACCTAAATACAAAGGAAAAATTGTAAAGGCAATGAAAGATAAAAGACACCTTATCTATAGGAAAGCATAATTTCTCACTGGAAAAAATGAAAGCCAAAAGGAAGTGGCACAATATTTTCAAGTACTGAAAACAAAAGAACTATCAACCCCCAATTTGTAAAAAATGATAGTTAAAAATATGAGGATTTAAAAAAATAATTTTGAGATTGGTGCAAACCTTCCTTTCCAAGTAAGTCAGAAATCGAAGTCAGTTTTTTAAAAAGATTTACCAATTAGCTACAATAAAAATAAAATAATATAAAAAGTTAAAAGAGAGGCAGTAGCATAAAATGAATTGTTTGGAAATATGCAAAAGATGAATTAATTCTGTAATTTATAAATTTAAAATATACCACCACTCACCCATTATGATGGCTACTATAAAGAAAAACAGAAAATAACAAGTATTGATGAGGATGTGGAAAAAATTAAAACCATTTTTCACTGTTGTTGGGAATGTGAAATGGTGTAGCCAACTATGGAAAACAAAAATTAAAAATAGAATTACCAAAGGATCCAAAAATTTAATTTATATACCCCAAAGAATTGAAAGCAGGCTCTTGAAGAGAGATTTATGCACCCATGTTTATAGCAGCATTATTCAAAATAGCCAAAAGGTGCAAGAAACCCAAATGTCCATCAATGGATAAATGGATAAACAAAGTGTGGTATATACATACAGTGGAACATTATTCAGTCTTAAAAAAGGAAATTCTGACATACACTACAACAAGGATGAGACTTGCATACATTACGCTAAGTCACATAAGCCAGTACCAAGAATAACTGATAGCATTATGAATTTCCTTTCTAGGAAAGTTATTTTCATTTTAACTTGTGCCTGCCCAAATCATAGTTGGATACTAGTTAAGAAGACCTAGAAATATGTATGCTGGGAAATACCAGCCCCACATAATGACAAAAAAGCTGTCATCATTATTTTATACCTCTACATCCTTCCTAAGACAAGCAATGGTATCTGCTGGAGTTACAATTTTTTTCTTTTACTGAAGGGTCAAGAAGTTTTAAGAGAGGAAACATTATACAGGGAAAACAGAGGGAGGAAGTTACTCTTACAAACTCAGTCTCTAGTACAAACAGGGGGAAGGGAATTGCAGATTTTGGTTTTCTTTTGACTGCTCCCCCTCAAATGGCTTCATAATTTCCCCTGAATTCTCTTGTCAAGCCACCTAGTCTATCTTCACCTTCCACCACCGGAGGCCCTCTTCCTCTCAGGCTTTCCTTCTCTGAAAGGAGAGGAATGGTTTATATTCCTAGGCATGGGAAAAGTGGCAATTGTTTCTGGTCCTAGTTTAGCTGCCACACAAGTAAGAACCGTAGTGATCTTCCTTACTAATCACCTAGAAAGAAAGCACACCTCACCAAAATGATAAGAACTTTTTTTTAGAGACACCATAGACAATTCTGATATTAGGAAAGTGTCTTCCTCATATTCCTATAAATTATCCCTGTTCCTTTGAAGCAATAATCCTAACATTAATGTGCTGGAAACATCTGATTCCTTCCTGGTTGCAGTTTACTTTATTGGAGTCATAATTTGTAGCTGTGAATGGCTCCCTGTTATCTATCTTTGGTGGGTGGCATGAGCTGCAGATAGACTCTGTCTCATTCCCAACCCCATTCCTTGATAGAATTGGAATGATACAGAGTTTCAGTTCATATTGCTTTATATTTAGAAAATGATTATACAAGATATGGATTATAAAACTTTTATACAGAACACATTTGATAGACATCTGTATTGTCATTATGTTTACCTTCACAACTACCCATAAGCACCCAGCTGCTTTGGACTCCACGTACATTCAGACAATAGGAGGAGCTGATGAGCATAGAGAGCTTTGTATGTAAGGCAAGGTGATTTTCCTTCTACAGAGTTTCCTGATTCAATTATTCAAGTATCTCATCATTTTGAATAGTCAAGTTTTGCATAAAACATTCTTTTCTACTCCAATTTTTAAGTTAATTCTGCTCTGACCCAATGTATCAATAACACTGAATTCATATTTCTATGACAAGGAAATGATTATACATGCTTTGTAAAAATGTGAAGAGAAATAAATTATCTACATGTCTTATCAAAAAAAGCTGAATGTTCCTCTAGTTCTATTGATGAACACAGAATAACAAAAAATAAAAAATATAGAGATTAAATAAATTTAACACAAGACAAATTTCATATAATATTAGAATAATAAGAATTATTCTAACATAATTGAGTTTAACTATTAAGAAAAGCATAGAGGCGCAGAAAGCTTTACAATATTTCCAAAATATAGATCTCCAAAATGACAAATTGACTACATACAGCACAATAAAATGCCAATAGAATAAAAAATGACAACAGATATGCTAATGATTGTTATACAGATATTACACTTATACATTCATATTACACTAATTAGTGTAATATAAAGGAGAAGAAAAAAGAAGAGCAAAAGTAGAGAGAGGAATTAGAGAAGGAGGAGAAGACGAAAATGAGAGAAAAACAGGAGGAAAATATAAATTCATCTAAGGCATTAGGACAAGCTTCAAGAATTGAAATCAGTGTAAGAACGACTACAGAACAAGAATGCTCATCTTTGCATTAAAAAATGCTGCTGCTATTTACAATAGCAAAGACTTGGAACCAACCCAAATGCCCATCAATGACAGACTGGATAAAGAAAATGTGGCACATGTACACCATGAAATACTATGCAGCCATAAAAAAAGAATGAGTTCATGTCCTTTGCTGGGACATGGATGAAGCTGGAAACCATCACTCTCAGCAAATTAACACAGGTACAGAAAATCAAACACCGCATGTTCTCACTCATAAGTGGGAGTTAAACAATGAGAACACATGGACACAGGGAGGGGAACATGACACACTGGGGCCTGTCGGGAGGTGTGGGGCAAGAGGAGGGAGAGCATTAGGACAAATACCTAATGCATGCGAGCTTACAATGCTAGATGATGCCAGGCGCAGTGGCTCATGCCTGTAATCCCAGCACTTTGGGAGGCTGAGGCAGGCAGATCACAAGGTCAGGAGATTGAGACCATCCTGGCTAAAACGGTGAAACCCTGTCTCTACTAAAAATACAAAAAATGAGGCAGGAGAATCGCTTGAACCCAGGAGGCGGAGGTTGCAGTGAGCTGAGATCAAGCCACTGCTCTCCAGCCTGGGCAACAGAGCAAGACTCCATCTCAAACACAACAACAGCAACAGCAGCAACAAAAAACCCTAGATGATGGGTTGATGGGTGCACCAAACCACCATGGCACACGTATACCTATGTAACAAACCTGCACATTCTACACATGTATACTAGAACATAAAGTAAAATAAAAAAAATGTTTAATGCTTCTGCTTTAATTTTGCATATATTTAAATATGATCATTCCCTTGAGTCAAGGTGGGTGGGTTATAATCATGACAATAAATTTTTTTATGGTCTAAAACTGTAGAAAGACTTTCAAGTGCTTTTTCAAGGAAATTGCTCAAGGTCAATCACAATTACAAAAACAGACTAAAATTTGTCCTAAACATCTATGATATAATAGAATACAGATTAAAATGGTCCAAATCACTTCAAAAAGCCAGATACTTCGAAATATAAACTATTTAATAATATGTGACTTGCATTAACTAAATACTGTACTCCACCATTTTATATAAGAAACTTGAGCATCTGCTGATTGCGGTATCTGCTGGAGTCCTAGAACTAATTCTCTGAGGTTACAGAGGGCCAACTGCATTTCACTAAAATCGTTAACAGCTATAAGCTATGTGTGTTTTCAGACATCATAGCCAAATAATCTGAAAATTGAGCAGTTTAAATATATCTCAATTTTTCTAAGAGGCTGAGGTTGAAGGTGAGCATTTGAAGAATGAGGCGGGATATGATGACACTTTTGAAATTAGAGAACAGTTTGTTTTAACTTCAGTATCTTTCCTGATATTAGAACAAATCCCACAGCAAGCAATTTGCAAAGGCCTACTAAGTACAGGAGGCAGGGTGATAACCACCATAAATTCAGTGACAACAAATCACACCAGTACAATCAAATTCCTTTTTACCCAGTGACAGACTTATCAATGTAGAGGAAAAAATGAAGTCAGATATCTTGGTTTTACAAGGTTTTTGGCATGACCCTCATAATACTCATAACAAAATAGTAAAATAGGTTTAAACCATAACCTTGGGAGAGTGATTAGTGATTTTTCTTTGTTCAGCAATTACTCCATGAGGTGATGTATATCTGGGAAATTACCTAGATATTTTCCTAGAAAATATTTTTATTAATGACCCATATTAAAATAGATGGCATTTTTATAAAATGCAGCATATCTAAAGAAAAATTAGAATTTAAATGATTACATTTAGAACAGTAAGAAGCCATTTCCATTTGGTGGCCCTTGGAGTCTGTTTGTGAATCATTTGCACAGTATATAATGCTATTTGCACAGTATATATTTGCACAGTATATAATGCTATTATATAGTAGTATATAATGCTATTATATATAGCATTATATATATACTATTATATAGTAGTTTATAGTGCTATTATATAGTAGTATATAATGCTATTATATAGTATAGAATGTGCAGGTTTTCCCTCTTTCTTTTCCATCTCCACTGGAATTATACCACATATTGAAATTCAAGATAAGGGCATTGCTCTTGGATCAATGGGAAGCTGTGGAATTTCTTGCTAGGAGACAGTGTTTTCCCTTTGTTGTTACATGGCGCTTTTGTGTTATGCCTTCACATGCCATGCTTTTTATTATTAATTGACTGACCATAGGTAGTGCATT
The DNA here is from genome assembly GCF_000001405.40 of Homo sapiens. NCBI lineage: Eukaryota > Metazoa > Chordata > Mammalia > Primates > Hominidae > Homo > Homo sapiens. The sequence goes on from NC_000002.12 coordinate 186,170,346, forward strand.
GGCAGGCATCACTCAAAATCCAGATGGATAACATTTCTGAAATGTAAGCAGATGATCTGAAAACTAGAAATCTATTTTAATACAAAATAATAGCTAGTTTGTGTCAAGATACAATTTGGATAGAGGAAAGAAAGTTTGTTGATGGTACTGGCAAATAATTCATTTAAATGCAAAGTTGAACATAATTTGAAAGTATTTCATTTAGGATACTTGTGGCTCCATTTATGAAACAGTTTAACATTTTATGTCAGCTTTGACAATAGGATTATGACAACATTATAACATAAATTGTATATGTTTAGTTTATCATTGTATATCAGCTTTGACAATAGGAGTATGACAACATTATAACATAAAATGTATAGATGTCATTTGTAAAGATATTACATGTTTCCTATAACTCGCCATTAAAATCATCTGATCCTCTAGTATATTATCAAAGTAATACTTTGGTGATTTTTAATGTCCTCCACAATTATTAGTCTGTAGAAGTTTTCCCCTTCCTCTTGAATTGAATTTGGCAGTATAAATGATCTAAGAACATTTCTCCATTCATCAAGAATTTTAAATGTGCTTTTATTAAATTACACATAATAAAACATGGGCTCTATATCCAGGACTGCTACAGTTACTAAACTTTTTTCTTCAAAACCTTTGTCATCAGCAGTACTTACTTTATACTGCTTTTGACAAAAGCTAAAATAGTTAAAACATGCAAAGCTCTTAGACTAGCATGGTAACAATAACATGGACTCAAATAATCCTTGCTGCTGTTTTTGTTACTATTATTATTGCTGTTATTATCGTTTCCTAAGATACAAATGCCTCAACATCTATCAACTTTCTTATTTTTTTCTCTATTTTTTGTTGATTCATTGATTTACATTTTTGAAGATTTGTCTATTTCTCTTTTATTTCATAAGTAACAACTGTTAATCTCATCCTTTTATTTCACCCTTTTTTTGGTCATTTATATTAGCTGCGTCGATCGGTTAGAATGCTTTCTCCTGTAATTATCAGAAAACCTAACCCATACTAACTTAAACAATTAAGTGGATGTAGTGGCTCAGTTCCTGAAGTATTTGGAAGTAGGGGAGATTCGGGCATTCTTTGTCTAGGGCTCCAGCTCTATTTCCCTACAATTCCTTCAGCTCCACACTTGTCTCTTTTTTGGCTTCCTACTTAGGCTGGCTTTCCCTCATGATTTTGAGGTGTTCATGATCAGCAAACAAGGTTCCTCCGAGTAAAGACAGAGAAGCTTGTTTGCTGCAACCATCAAATGAAGTATTCAAAGTCACTTTTATTAAACCATATCTCAATCTACCATGACCAATGGGAAAACTATGCACTAATTGGCTTAGGCCTGAACCAATCACTGGCAAGAAAGATAGGCCCATCTATGGAAGCAAGCAAGGAAATAAGCCCCCAAAACAGAGTTACTACACCTGAGTGAGAAAGAAGTTAGTTTCAATTATCAGCCACGTGAATGAGCCTTCTTGGATGTTCCGCCCCAGTTAAGCCCCTAAATAATGTCAGGCCCAGAGAGCATACATGGAGCTAAGTCTAGTCAGCAATAGCTCAGGAGAGATAACAAAATAATTTTAAATTAAGAGTGTAAATCCATTTAGGTTAGGTAGGTTTTTACATAGCAAAGTAGTTGACAGTATTTTTCTATAGTTTCCATGATTTGTCTGTTTTTCTCCTTATGTGCCTTTGAATGAAGAGATTTCTATTCATATACAGAAGTTGCTAATGGAGAATGGGCACATTGTCTTTGGTCCTGATCATTGACAATTTAAGGACTGGTTGAAGGATACTCCACAATATCCCTAGCAGGTTGATATATCCAGCTTGCAACCTAAGTCTCACTATATCTTGAAGCATTCACCAGGAGTGGAGATGCAGCTACAATTTGGGATCCTTTCTTATATCTACCTAATGATTATTTAACACTTAGAATAAAATGAGTATATGAAAAGGTGCAATTCTAGATCTCAGCTTGCCACACATTAATTCCTTGAGGAGGCTATGAATCATTGCTGTTCTCATATATCTCTACTTTCTATAGTCTGTCCTGAAATGTTTGTGTCTCTGACAATATAGAGGGGAAAAAAACCATTAGTAGCAAATATGGTGCAACAATTTTTAGTTCTCTCAGAAAGGTTATATTCAGGCCAAGCATAATGGCTCATGCCTGTAATCCAAAGGCTTTTTTTTTTTTTTTGAGACAGAGTCTCGCTTTGTCACCCAGGCTGGAATGCAGTGAGAGATCTTGGCTCACTGCAAGCTCTGCCTCCCAGGTTCACGCCATTCTCCTGCCTCAGCCTCCCAAGTAGCTGGGACTACAGGCACCCACCACCATGCCTGGCTAATTTTTTTGTATTTTTAGTAGAGATGGGGTTTCACCGTGTTAGTCAGGATGGTCTGGATCTCCTGACCTTGTGACCCACCCGCCTTGGCCTCCCAAAGAACTGGGATTGCAGGTGTCAGCCACCATGCCCAGCCAATCCAAAAGCTTTGAGAGGCTGAGGGGAGGATTATTTGAGGCTGGGATTTGGAGACCAGCCTTGACAAAATAGCAAGTTGTCTCTACAAAAATAAATAAGAAAAGCTAGCCAGGCATGGTGGTGCCCATCTGCAGTCCCAGCTACTCAGCAGGCTGAGATGGGAGGATAACCTGAGCCCAGGAGTTTGAGGTTTCCGTGAGCTATGATCACGCCAGTGCACTCCAGCCTGGGCAACCAACCAAGCTGTTGGGGTGGCCAGACCCAACCAACACCAGGTCGTGGGGATGACAAAGTCCAGCAGAGTCAAATGATTGAGAAAAAGACAGTTTGAGAGAGAAAGGCGGGACACCAGGGGACCATCGCGATCATGGAGGCTGTGAAGGCCCTGAGCTCTAGGAGCCCATGCTATTTATTGGTAATCCAACAGAGAAACAGGTGGTGAGAATGTGGAGATCAAAAGGGCAGGCACATGATCTACAGCTGTGACAGTTTAGCATTTATATGGAACTTGTTCTGCTACTTGAGATAATGGGACTAGGAATCTAGGAGGGCTAGAAGCAAGAAGCCAGCAAGTCTAGACACATTCCAGAGGACATTATGCAAGCCCTGCCTCAGTTTCCCTCCCAACCCTCAGCTTTTTTCCCAACACAAGCAAAATCCTGTCCCTAAAAAAAAAGAAAAATAATATTCATGCAGGAGAAAGAAAATATCATTTGGCATAAACTTTGAATTTTTCTACCACTGCCAGAAAAAAATATAGAGATGAAACAATCATCTTCCCACCTTCTCTTGAACTAATAGATTTGTTGTGCTCTGGCAGTAAAGCACAGAGACTAGGGACAAATTCCAATGATGCCACTGGTGACAATTTCTCCCAAAATCTGGTCATAGGTTGACTAAGTTTTATTTTTTGTTGTTGAATGTTTAATATTATCTGTGACTTCTTAAATTCTTCCACTGAGGTTGGAATAACAGACAATCAGATTAGAATGTTGAATCATACTTCTTATAGGTACTATAATGGTTAATACTGAGTGTCAACTTGATTCGATTGAAGGATACAAAGTATTAATCCTGGGTGTGTCTGTGAGGGCATTGACAAAGGAGATTAACATTTGAGTCAGTAGGCTGGAGGAGGCAGACCCACCCTTAATCTGGTGGGCACCATCTAATCAGTTTCCAGTGAATATAAAGCAGGCAGAAAAACTTGAAAAGGCAAGACTGGCCTAGCCTCCCAGCCTACATCTTTCTCCTGTGCTGGATGCTTCCTGCCCTCCAACATCAGACTCCAAGTTCTTCAGTGTTGAGACTCGGACTGGCTCTCCTTGCTCCTCAAGCTTGCAGACAGCCTATGTGCAACCTCACAATTGTGTAAGTTAATACTTAATAAACTCCCCTTTATATATATATATATATATATATATATATATATATATATATATACACACATATATATATATATATGGGTGTGTGTGTATACATATATAATATGTATGTATGTGTGTGTGTGTGTGTGTGTGTGTGTGTGTGTGTGTGTATATATATCCTATAGTCCTGTCCCTCTAGAGAACCCTAATACAGGTATATAGCACTTTAAATTTTCTATTTGTCTCTATTTTTTATATAGAACAATTTAAAACTATATATGAATATATGTTAACTTAATAGATATTTTTAAAAATTTTTATCAATATATGTTGATATATATGTAAATATTAATTATGTTTCATTCATATTGATATATATGATATATTCATATACCAATGTGAATGAAAGAAAGAAGAGACAAAGAAGGATGGAGGGAGGGAGAAAGGAATAAAGAAGAAGAAATACAATAAGTAGTAGGTAGAGAGGAAGTTTTGAGGAAGACAATTTTCATATCATAAGTTCCAGTGGTTCATATTTCCTTGTATTCACTGTATCCTTCCCTGTATAAATGACTGCTTTGTGTATTTTTTAAACAGCTTTATTGAGTTATAATTGAGACACAAAAACTGCAAATATTTAATGTATATAATTTGATGAATTTCACATATGCATATATCCATGAAACCATCACCATATCCATCACTTTCAAAAGTTTTATTGTGGGCAGGGCACATTGTTTCATGCCTGTAATCCCAGCACTTTGGGAGGCCGAGGCGGGCGGATCACCTGAAGTCAGGAGTTTGAGATCAGCCTGGCCAATATGGGGAAACCTCATCCTACTAAAAATACAAAATTAGCCAGGCCTGGTGGCGCATGCCTGTAATCCCAGCTATTTGGGAGGCTGAGGCAGAAGAATCGCTTGAACCTGAGAGGCAGAGGTTGCAGTGAGCTGAGATCATGCCATTGCACTCCAGCCTGGGCAGCAAGAGCAAAACTCTGTCCCCCTCCCCACGAAAAAAAGTTTTATTGTGTCCCTTTATTTATTATTCTATTTATTTGTGCTAAGAACATTTAACATGAGATCTACCTTCTTAATTTTGTAAGTGCACAATACAGTATTGTTGACTACAGGCACCATGTTATACAGCAGATCTCTGGAACTAATAAAACTTTTACCAATAGAAAAACAATTCCCCATTTTTTTCTTCTCCCCAGCACCTGGAAACTACCCCTATATTCTCTGCTTCTGGGAGTTTGACTATTTTAGGTATATCATGTAAGTGAAATCATGCAGTATTTGTCCTTCTGTGACAAGTTTATTTCATTTAACATAATATCCTCCAGATTTTTTATGTTGTCACAAATGGCAAAAGTTCCTTCCTTGTTAAGACTGAAGAATATTTCATTGTGTATATAGACCATATCTAAATGATTATTTTGTTCTCATTAGGACTGGTTCTGGAAACAAATCTGATACAGATTTGTTTTCAATAATTCATGCTATTTTTATCTCCCACTCTTCGGTTTTTCTGAATCTCTGGAATTAACCCACTCCTTCAATGTTCTTCGGCCCCATAGTATATTGTTTTGGCCCCATCCTATGCTCCAGACATTTACTCCACCTCCTCTGGCTGCTTCCCAGGACAGCCTGTTTTCTGAGAGCTGATAGGAGCTTGTGAACATGCCAGTCTATGTGTTCCTCATGATCATATGTTAACAAGCTAATCCTGAACATGCTAATAAAATTATCTTCATTAGAAGGTACTTCAAAACGATTAATATGTGGAATTTAATAAAGTCAGGACTATTTGATAGAGCACCTTTTGAGAAAATATAACAAAGATGTCTTTTTTAATACTTTATTATATACTCTTTTTTTAGTAAGTTCCAAATTATAATACTCATAAAGTTGAGAGTTTTAAACAACGTGGGAAGACTATAGAAGGAGACATTTGCAGTTAAAACTGGCATTTTGATACTCTTCTAATTTTTGCAAAGTTGTTATAGCTGGGGCCAATCTAACTGCAGGCATTAATGACACAAAAATGAAACTGGAAATGTGATAAACTTCAAACTTCTTTAGTTTCTTCTTCACTTTTACTCTTCCTCCACTGTGTGTGTGTGTGTGTGTGTGTGTGTGTGTGTGTGTGTGTGTGTACATATGAGTTTAGAATATATGTGTATATATATGAATTTATAAACCCATATGTAAAATTTAAAAAGCTTTAAAGAGAATATATCTTGCCAATAGTATACATCAAAACTTCTCTTTTTTTTTTTGAGAAAAAAATAAAAATGTCTGTATGTGCCTTCTAATGGGTCAAATACTCGAAAAGAAAATAAATAATAAAGACAAAACAGTTGGTATTGAAGGAAGTCTACTACTAAAATGGAATCTGAAAAGAGAATTGTAGGCACGATCTAGAGAAACAAATCCACAGATAATATGTAATCTTATAAAATAACAATGTTGGCTTTATTGCTTCAGAAATCATAAGCTACCTCTTCCATTCTGGCACTTGCTTGAGGCAGAAATATGGTAGGGGCAACAAAATGTTAAGTGATGCTTTATTATAGGTGACTGTTGGCCCTCTAGGTATAGTCATTTTTATATTTTTCAACTTGCCCAAGGTGGGAAGATTCCTTGAGTCAGATAATTTTTAAAAATACTTTTCAAAGATATCAAACAAAATTTTTCATTTCTAAATTATTCTGGTAAAAAAAAATAGTCAAAATAAGAAATACTTAAAAATAAATAAAATCCTAAACTTTATAGCTTTTTATTTTTTAAGAGACAGGGTCTTGCTCTGTCATCCAGGCTGGAGTTCAGGGATGTTATCATAGCTTGCCAAATCCTCAAACTCCTTCTCAAGTGATCCTCCCCACCTCAGCCTCACAAGTAGCTGGGACTACAGGTGTGTATCACCACATCTGACTAATTTTTTTTGTTTTTTATTTTTTGTAGAGACAGGATCTCACTATGTTGCCTAGGCTGTTGTTGAACTCCTAGACTCAAGCCGTCCTCCCACCTCAGCCTCCCAAAGTGCTGGAATTATACGCATGAGCCCCTGAGTTCCGCCTCATAGCTTCTTTAAATACTATCTTACTTTGGGTTCCCAAAGCAGACCTTTAGACAAGATTTAAGTGCACATGGTTTATTTGGGTTGTGATCCCAATTAGTAAGGTATAAGAATGGCCAAGTAAGAAAGCAAAAGGAGAAAGTCAATAAAGAATGTTTGTTGCTAATATGGCAATTGGCCTTCAGTTCCAGAAGTAAACTCTCTGAGGGAACATACAAAGCATCTCAGAAGTTGCCTATTACAGTTCTGAGGCATTTATTTGCCAACTTTCATTTTTCATTGATTATGGGTCACATTTGCTCTCTACCTGCTAAGCAGAGGAATGCAATAGGGATCAGTGCTTAGCATGTTTGCTTGCATGTTACCTCTCAAGTGAGTTGAAGAGATATGAACAAGACACTTACCATGTCTGCTACAAATAGGCTTAATTCATTATGCTTTAAAATAGATCTGCTTTAGGTACATGCTTCATAATATAACAGTTTTTCAATTTTGATAAGAATATATGCTTATGTTACTGATGTTTCATGCAGGTCTTAATACATATTAAATAGTTTTTGATAGTTCTTGGATGATTAATATATCTTTTACACTTTTTGCCTGCTCTGTGCCTAAAAGGTTGACATTTTCTTCTAACCCCCATCAGGCAATTATCTCATTAAACTCTCCAGGTTCTGGTAACCCTTCCCTTCCCTGGTGCCTTCAGGCCTAGGTTTGGCAAAGCTTGCTGCTGTTACTAGCTTCAGCATGCTGCACATTGTTGTTTTTCATAACTCTTGCCCAAAACTTTGTAAATATTTTTATTATATTTTTCTCAGTTATCCAGCCCAAGTGTGGCATTTGTCTAAAACACAGTAATAAAATTCATACATACCATGAAATGCAAGATGTAGAGAACATAAAATAAATATTGCCCTCTCATTACTAGGGGCAACATATGTAGCTGACACAGGTTAGAAGCATATAATGCAAGATACACATATTTATGTTGCAGAACTCCCAGAATCAAATCTGGAAAAACCACCCCTATTCAGAGAAATGTTACATAAGCATGAATGAGTACTCTGGCAGGACTTAAAAAATATGTTTAAATCTACAAGTAGATCAGACTTTTTAAACACCAGATGAAAAGACTCTGAGATACTAAAGATTAATTTCACATCTGTAGAAATAAATCAATAATAAAATAAAAGTAATTATCTAATAATGAGCCACATCTCATTATGTCAAAGGATGGACACTCAAAAGGTGCTACTTGAGTAACTTTGTGCATCCTACTTGCTATATTTCTGCATTACCTTCATGGATGACAGAGAATTCCATCTTCATCTTTGCAAGTATTGTTAACTTGAAGAGCCTGAAAATCACAGGACTCCACCCTCAATCTGCAACTATATGAAAAAATGGCAGAAGGAATAACACATTTTGTCTTCTTTTAACCAATAACAAACTCCCCACTTAGCCCTACAACCACTACACCAGGAGATATAAATTTAATACCATCAATTACCAAAAAAAAAATACTGGTTAGGGACTTAACATTTTGTAATTGACAAAGCTAATTCCAAGCTGGCCTACACAATAAAGGACATATTTTGATCCACATAAATAAAACTCCAGTACCAGGTCTAGATTCAAGAAAGTTATACTCCAGTGGCGAAAACCATGTCACCATAAATCCAGCTTCTTTTTGACTTTGAACTCTCCCCCTCATTGGTGTCTTTAATCCTCAAGCCACACATTGCCTTTCATCCACCATCAGTACAAGATTGATATTATTCCCCTGTGATCAATAATGGCTGCTACAGTTCCAGCCCTCACATACTAACACTTCATTATCCTTGGAAATGGGGTCTCTTTTTCCTCTCATACAAAGTTCTGGAATTCACTAACCTCTCAGTATCTCCAAATGTGTCATGTACCCTGCCCTGATCTAATCAGTGTATGCAGTTGAATGTGACTTAATAATATGGTAAAAGCAGTGGAGATCTGTCTTTGAGCTAACTCATATAAATGAAAATCAAAGAAATGTTAATTCTGTAAAGGGAAATTGAGGCACTACTGGCGAGAAAGAAGGGAATAAGAACAGGGTAAAGAACGAACACATTTCTCCTACAAAGCAGAAAATATGAGAATTTGGAAAGAGTTCTAAGTATATAAATTAGTCAAGTATAACCAGAATAACCATTAACTTATTGTCCAAACAAACCCAAAGCATTTTTGAGAGTGAAAGTAGATGCTATTAATAATTAGGCCAGCAGAAAAGTTGTAAATCAGGACAGTCTCAGACAAACTGGGAAGCATGCCATCCTTGAAGCTCCAGATTCTTCTAACTGCTGCCATCTCTACTTCAATGTTTCACAGATACATAAAATTAAACGTGATACATAAAATTATCACGTTTATGTATCTGTATTAAACAGATACATAAAATCAATATATTCTCTTCCAAACTTAGTCCCCTTCTAGTCTTCCCTTTGTGAGTGATACCACCATCCATCCAGAAGCACAATGCAAACCTGGCAGAGTTAGCCTTGACACAACCTCCTTCCTGTTATTCTTCATCCAGTCCATCACATTTAGATTGTAAAATACTTTAAATCATCCAAACTCCCCATCTACACTGCAATGTTTCAAGGCCACTTTTTCATCACCTCGTAATGGGACTAGAGTAATAACCATCTAAGCGAGCTCTCAATATTTATTTTTGCCTTTATTCCAATCTAAATAAGTCATTTCAAAACACAAATGTCATCAAGTCAACTACTTGTTTAAAACATTCAATGATTTCTTATTGATCTTGGAAACCAATGCAATGTTCATATTGAGACACGATCTGGCTGTGCCTGCCTTTATTACCTGTCTCCCTCTACTGCCCCTGCTCCTTTTTATCCATCTCCAGCCACATTAGTTTTTGTTCATTTTCTCACACATGCTTTATTAGTTTGTCAGGGAAGCCATAACAAAGTACCAAAACCTGGGAGGCTTAAAACAGAAATTTATGATCCTCTGGTTCTGGAGGCTAGGGGTCTGAAATCAAGGTATCAGCAGAGCCATGATCCCTCTGAAACTCGTAGGGAAGAATTGCCTCTTTCTAGAGTCTGATGGTTGTTGGCAATCATTGATGTTACTGTTTTCAGCTTTAGCATTTCACTCTCTAACACCATCATAATATGACATTCTTTCTTCATGTGTCTCTGCTCCTGCATCTCTTCTCCTCTTCTTATGACACCAGTCAGTTTGGATTAAGGGTCCATCCTATTCCAGTATGACCTCATCTTAACAACTAATTACACCTGCACTGACCCCCTATTTCCAAATAGAGCACATTCTGAGGTACCTGCAGTTAGAACTTCAACATATCTTTTGGGGGGATAAAATTCAACCCATAAACACAGGCTCTATTTCCTTCAGCTACAGACTCTGCACACACTGTTCCTTCTGCAGGAAACATTCTTCTCTCACTGTTTGGTTGGTTGGTTTTTATTTATCCTTCAATCTCAACTCAAAAGTCACTTTGCTGGGGGAGATTTCTCTTACACAGCATGAAAGTCAACTTTCCCCACTGTATACTGTCTCTATACCCCATATCTATTCTTCATAAGAATTATCAAAATTATATTTGTACTTATTATTTATTATTTATGATATTTTTTATTTTTCCCCGAGACGGAGTCTCGCTCTGTCGCCCAGGCTGGAGTGCAGTGGCGCAATCTCGGCTCACTGCAAACTCCGCCGCCCGGGTTCACGCCATTCTCCTGACTCAGCCTCCCCACGCCAGCTAATTTTTTTTTTTTTTTTTTTTTTTTTGTATTTTTAGTAAAGACGCGGTTTAACCGTGTTATCCAGGATGGTCTCGATCTTCTGACTTTGTGATCTGCCCGCCTCGGCCTCCCAAAGTGCTGGGATTACAGGTATGAGCCACCACGCCCAGCCGATCTTATGTATTATTTACCCTAATGCCTAGCATAAGCGCAAAGCAGGCATTCAATGCATATTTATTGGTTTAAGTAAATGAACAAAGGCATAAAAATAAGAACTTGTTTTCTGATAGCACAAATTGGACTAGAAAAATTTACATTTTGGCAACATTTAGCTTAATGCTCCTGAACACAGGAAATTAGTAGTCTTTAAAGATTTCCTAAATTCTAAGATTTTATTATATTTTTGGCAATTTTATTCTTTTCCTCTTGATTCATCTCTTAGTGCCCTTGCCATGTTTAATACTCTGGAGTCTTGACACTGTAGTCTCTTTTTTCTGACATGATGTATTTTTATTTTGGTTTTAAATTCTTTAATACAAGAGGCAAAAATCAAAGAAAATGGTTATTTTTAACTCTATTGTAAGGTATATTGTACACTTATGAAGTGTCAAAATAAACTAAAACTCTGAAATTATATGAAGAGCTGCCAAAGCAATTTGTTTTCAATCTATCCATTGTGTTTAGTATGTTATCATTTTCTTTACTTGTGTTAAAACTTTCTTTTGTCAAGATTCTATGTTGACACAATTGAGTAATGCAGAGCACATCAGATTTTCCACTGAGAGTGCACAGTACACTTTCATCTTCACAGTCTTGTATTACCTCAGCATGTAACGGGGCAATTCTATTTAAACTAGAATACACATTCTTTCAGCTTTAGTTTGTCCTATGTATCACTGAAATATTTTACCATAGATCTTATGTTTTAGTTCTAAAACATAATCTGTTGAAATTTTTGTCTGATTCTTTTTATTTGTTGTTATACTAGTGCCAACTGACATGAACAACCCAGCTTACTGCAGCAAAACAGATCATATAGACGAGAAGGAAACCAAGAGACAAGGTGAAGAATATGTAATATTCTCAAGACCTAAGCCATGATGATGTTTCTGGGACTAAACTTAGATTAAAGAATCTACTTCTTCTTCATTTGTTTTCTGTATAATTTGTTATTCCTTTCAACTTAAATTATTTTCTAATGAAATGTTCTGCTTACATTTTTTACCCTCCTACAATGAGACAAATAATAAATTCATAAATATTGCTTGCATAATAGGGGACCAATATATATAATGCATATATTATATAATGTATATATAACGTCTTTTAAATGATAAAGGAAAAAATAATTTCTAAATGTATACACTTTCATTGAAAGCAACCTTAGAGATTAAAAAAATGCGGCCGGGCACAGTGGCTCATGCGTGTAATCCCAGCACTTTGGGAGGCTGAGGCGGGTGGATAACCTGAGGTCAGGAGTTCAACACCAGCTTGACACGTGGTGAAACCCTGTCTCCATTAAAAGTACAAAAAATTAGCCGGGCATGGTGGCATACGCCTATAATCCCAGCTACTCAGGTGGCTAAGGCGGGAGAATCACTTGAACCTGGGAGGCGGAGGTTGCAGTGAGCCAAGATTGCATCATTGCACTCCAGCCTGGGAGACAAGAGTGAAAGTCTGTCCCCCCCCCAAAAAATGCTATTTCTTTCAAGACTCCATTTCAGCTACATATTAAATGATAAAGAGTATTTCTGTCATGTCAAGGTATCATAGATTTATAAATCGGCTGACTTTGTCTTCAGATATCAGTATGCTGAAGTTTCTTCATAGAGTGAATTTCAGGATGCTGAAGGGATATATCTACCATCATTATGTCTATAACATACTTCAATATTTTATTCTGAAAACTGAACACAATAACACATGCCTATTATCTTATTTATTCCTATCATACTCTGAAGTTAAATGTTCATAAATATCTGGCCATTTTTATTTTTCTTTCTATTTTAGAATGTTTTCATCTTCATTTTATAACATACATAGTTTCTGTAGATTCTAATATATACACAAACTTGAATAAATATATACTGTTTATTAATTAATAGCCCACCTTGAGGTATTAACTTTAAGTTTAAATATATAGAATGTGCCAAAACAATGGTTTAAAGTTGAACATCTCTAGACTATTTTTAATTTGAGTTTGCATATTGCATATACCTCATAACTGTATTTGATTTCTGAATTTCACTTTTATTTCAATCGTATTATTTTCTTACGGGAAAAAAATTTCAATAATTTCTTACAGCCAACTAAGTTAAAAGTAAACCTTTCTGGCTAGTTTTCAATGCTCTCTAAATAACAGGCTTACTCCAAGCAGATATGCCATATGGTTTGGCTGTGACCCACCCAAATCTCATTTTGAATTGAAGTTTCTATAATCCCCCTATGTGTCGTGGGAGGGACCTAGTGGGAGGTAATTAAATCATGGGGACAGTTAACTCCATGCTGCGGTTCTCTTGATAGTGAGTTCTCACAAGAGCTTATGGTTTTATAAGGGGCTTTCCCCTCTTTTGCTCGGCACTTCTCCTTCCTGGCATCATGTGAATAAGGATGTGCTTGCTTCCCCTTTTGCCATGATTGTAAGTTTCCTGAGGCCTCCTCAGCCATATGAAACTGTGAATCAATTAAACTTCTTTCCTTTATAAATTACTCCATCTCAGGCAGTACTTTATAGCAGCATGAGAACAGACTAATACAGTAAATTGGCACTGGTAGAGTGGGGTGCTGATATTAAGATACCCAAAAATGTGGGAGTGACTTTGGATCTGGGTAACAGGCAGAGTAGGAACAGTTTCGAGGGCTCAGAAGAAAAACAGATGTGAGAAAGTTTGGAGCATCCTAGAAACTTGTTTGTTTTGACCAAAATGCTGATAGTGATATGGACAATGTCTGTGTACCAAAATGAAGTCCAGTACAATGAAGCCCAGGCTGAGGTGGTCTCAGATGAAGATGAGGAGCTTATCGGGAACTGAAGCAAAGGTGATCCTTGCTAGGCTTTAGCAAAGAGACTGGCTGATTTTTGGTACTACAATATTTTATAATATCAAAAGCAATAAAATCAATAACAAAAAAACAGAAAAAGTTGTGAAACAGGGAAAATCTTATTTCCAAATTACAACATAATTAGATTCAAATGTCTAGTTCTTAACCGAAAGCCAGAAGGCATACAAAGAAATAGAGGAAAGTATGGCCAATTCAAAGGGAAAAAAAGAACAACAGAGACTGTGTCTGTAGAAGACCTGTTGGCATATCTATTAGAAAAAGCCTTTAAAATAGCTATTTTAAAAATGGTCAAAGAACTAAAGGAAGATGTTAATATATTCAAGAAAACAATGTATGAACAAAATTGAAATATCAATGAAGATATAGAAAACTCAAAAGAAACCAAAAAATTCTGGAGCCGAAAATTACAATAACTGAAATTACAAATTTACTATGGGGATTCAAAGGTGGAATTGAGTAGGCAAAAGAACCCATGAGCTTGAAGATAGGACAATGAGAATTACTGATTCTGAAGTACAGAAAGAAAAAAATTTAAGAAAATTGGTCCTGTAGAATCTGGGGACACTATGAGCTGTCTAAAAGCTAGTATTATTGCAACTTTGGTTCAAAGCTTCAAATTGAGTCTTTCTACATAATTTAAGATACAAATACAATTAAAGGATTTAATAGTTTATGTTTTGGGTCATGTAATATATATAGATGAAATTTAGAGATATCAATAACTGAAAAAGATGGAGACAGAGGTAGTAAAGAAGCAGAGTTTTTGTGTGTTATTGAAGTTAAACTGGTATAAATTTAGATTACAGTGTTGTAACTTTAAGATAATTCCCATTGTAACAAAAAAAAATATAGAATTACAAAAGAAACTGAGAAAGGTATAAAAACAATGTACTACGTAAAAAGAACTAAACACAAAAAAAGTGCAGTTATGTCAAAAATAAGAGGCATGGAAGCTATAAGGCATAGAGAAAACAAATAGCAAATGACAAAAGTAAGTTATTCATTATTAATAAATATTTAAATGTAAATGAATTAAACTCTCCAATCAAAAAGAAAGATTGGCAGGATGGATAAGAAAAGAAAAACATGATCCAAGTATATGCCATCTATAAAAGACTCACTTGACCCAAAGACACAAATAGTTTGAAAATGGAAGGATGAAAAAAGATATACCATGCAAATAATTACCAAAGAAAGCAGGAGTGGCTATACTAATATCAGACAAAATAGACTTTAAATTTAAAAAAAAAGGTTGTAAGAGAAAAAGAAAGACATTAAATATTGATGAAAAACTTCAATACAGCAAGAAGATGTAAAAAATATAAACATTTACTCACCTAGTAACATACCATCAAAATATCTCAAGCAAAAACTGACAGAATTCAAACATGAAACAGTTTTACAATAATAGCTGGAGACTTCAATGTCTGATTATCAACACTGGATAGACAACAGAGCAGAAGATAAGCAACACAAAAGAGGACTTAAACAGTGCAATAATCAATTAGACTTAACAGAAATATACAGAACCCTCTCCGCAAAACAGCATATACCTTCTTCTCAAGTGCACATGTGATTTTTTTTTTAGAATAGACCATATGTTAGACCACAAATAAAATCTCAATAGATTTTTAAGAATAGATACCAGATAAACTATCTTCTCTAACTACAATGGGATGTAGTTAGAAATCAGTAACAGGATGGGGAACATCACACACCGGGGCCTGTCGCAGGGTAGGGGGAAGGGGGGAAGGATAGCATTAGGAGAGATATACCTAATGTAAATGACGAGTTAATGGGTGCAGAACACCAACATGGCAAATGTATACATATGTAACAAACCTGCATGTTGTGCACATTTACCCTAGAACTTAAAGTATAATAATAAAAAAAAATCAACAGAAGTAAAACTAGTAAAAGAAGTAAAAACCAGTAACACTGAAAAATGCACAAAATTGTGTAAATGAAATGACACACTCTTAAACAACCAATCAATGAATGAAGAAATCTCCAGAGAAATTAGAAAATAATTAGGGAGAAATGAAAATGAAAACACCACGTACCAAAACTTATTGCAGAACAGGAAATGTACTCCCTGATCCTTCCTCTGGAAGCTTCATCTCAGAGGGGGATCCGGCTGTATGAGGTGTCAGTCGGCCCCCACTGGGAGGTGTCTCCCAGTTAGGCTTCTCGGGGGTCAGGGACCCACTTGAGGAGGCAGTCTGTCCATTCTCAGATCTCAAAGTCCATGCTTGGAGAACCACTACTCTCCTCAAAGCTGTCAGAAAAGGATGTTTAAGTCTGCAGAAGCTTCTGCTGCCTTTTGTTCCGCTATGCCCTGCCCCCAGAGATGGAGTCTACAGAGGCGGGCAGTGGTGGGCTCCACTCAGTTCGAGTCTACAGAGGTGGGCTGCGGTGGGCTCCACCTAGTTCGAGCTTCCCGCCACTTTGTTTACCTAGTCAAGCCTCAGCAATGGTGGATGCCCCTCCCCCAGACTCACTGCCACCTTGCAATTCAATCTTGGACTGCTGTGCTAGCAGTGAGCAAGGCTCCATGGGCATGGGACCCTCCAAGTCATGCGTGGGATATAATCTCCTGGTGTGCTGTTTGCTAAGACCATTGGAAAAGCACAGTATTAGGGTGGGAGTGTCCCAATTTTCCAGGTACCATCTGTAACGGCTTCCCTTGGCTAGGAAAAGGAATTCCCCAACCCCTTGCACTTCCTGGGTGAAGCAATGCCCCTCCCTGCTTCCGCTCACGCTCCATGAGCTGCACCCACTGTCCAACAAGAAGGAAAGTCTTTTCAACAAATGATATTGGGAAAACTGGATATCCACATGCAAAATAAATAAATAAAGGTAGTCCCCTACCTAACATTATATGTAAAAATTAACTCAAAGAGATAACAAACCTAAATATAAGACCTAAAACTGTAAAGCATTTAGAAGAAAATACAGAACAAAGACTTCATGACATTGGATTTGACAATAGCTTCTTAGATATGACACCAAAGGCACAGGCAACAAAAGAAAAAATAGACAAACAGGATTTCATGAAAAAATATTTTAAGCTGTGCATCAAAGATAATATTAATAGAGTAAAAAGGCAACCCACAGAATGAGAGAAAAACATATGCAAATACTGCATCTGTTAAGGGATTAACATCTAGAATATACAGAAAACTCCTAACACTCAATGATAAAAAACAGCCCAATTCAAAAATACACTTGAATAGACATTTCTCCAAAGAAAATGTACAAATAGACAATAAACATATGAAAGTGTTCAAAATTTCTAATCATTATGGAAATGCAAATCAAAACTACAATTAGATACCACCTCACAGCCATTAGAATGGCTACTATAAAAAAAAAAACCCAGAAAGTAACAAGGGTTGGTAAGAATGTGGAGAAATTAGAACACTTGTACACTACTGCTAACAATGTAAAATGGTATAACAGCTGTGGAAAACAGTATGATAGTTCCTTAAAAAATTAAAAATAGAATTACTATACAATCTAACAATTCTACTTCTGAGTCTACACCCAAAAGAATTAAAAGCAGAGTCTCAAAGTGATATTTCTATTACCATGTTCATAGTAGCATTATTCACAATAACTAAAATGTGGAAACAAACCAAGTCCATTGAAGGATGAATGGATAAGCAAAATATGGTCTATACATACAGTGGGATATTACTTGGCCTTAAAAAGAAAGGGAATTCTGGCATATGCTACAATATGGATGAACCATGTGGACATTATGCTAAGTGAAATAATCTAGTAACAAAAAACAAATACTGTATAATTCCACTTATAAGAGATATTTAAAAGTAGTCAAAATCATAGAGATAGAAAGCAGAATGGTGGTTGCCATGGCAAAGAGAAGAATTGAAGGTGAGTTATTGTTTAATGGGTTTAAAGTTTCAGTTTTACAAGACAGAAAGGGTTATGGAGATGAATGGTAGTGATGGTTGCAGATCATGAATGTACACTCAACACCACTGAACTGTACACTTAAAATGGTCATTACATTAAATTTTGTTAAGTGTTTTTACCACAATTTTTAAAAATTGGATTAAAAAAAAACTGAAGTGATTGAAGCACTGAGAATTAATTAATTTTGGTTGTCCTCTCCATGAATATGCCCCTCCAACTCCCACTGAATACAATCTATGCCCAACCAATCTTAGTTATCTCAGCTCTCCCGTGTATCCCCACATTCCAGGCACTCTGTTTATTATTTCCAAACGTAAGCCAGTTTTCTTCCACTGTCTTTGTACCAGCTGGCCTCTCCTATATAAATGGTGACCATTGTTCAAAGACTTTCTCAAGTTCTTCCTCCCTAAAGTCTTTCCTGATGATATTTTTCCCTTTTCACTTTTTTCACTTCTTTTCTCTCAAATACCACTTTTTATCATTATAATATTATTTGTAATTACCCTCTCTCCTCCCTCCACCTCTACATGCCTAAAGGGCCACATTCAAGTACATTCTTTAAAGAGCTCACAAAGCACTTGGCCGTTAATAAGACCTTGTATTACATAAATACCATTTGCAACTTTAATCTGGAGAGTTATTGGAAGATAACTATGGGGAAATCACAAGGAGAACAATAAAACTACTGTGGTGGTTGGCAACTATAATGTTTCTTCCCCCTAACAACTACTTCTCAGTGTCCTGTTCTCAGTAGGGATGACAAAACCTCACTTCCACACCAGGGAAGAGCTGGGCTAGTGGCTGGAGTGAAGTGTTAAGGTGCAGTGCAGCCATTTACAAGGCAAGGATGCACATGAACTTCTGGAGTCTTGCCATGAACCTTTTATTCAGTGCGTGTGTGTAGGGTGTGTATAGGATCTGTGTGTGTGTGTGTGTTTGTTTCTTTTCTGCAAATGCAATCTACATTACTTTTTCCAATGTCATTATGCTTGGCCTAAAACTAAAAGGAACATTTCAATTGATAGCTGGACCTATAGGAAATTGCATAGGTGATGAGATTCTGTACATTATGAGAAGTCTATAGTACCTTGCACAAAAGGTTAGCAAAGTGTGTGTTTAAGGTACTTTGGTAGAGGTGGATGTTGTCATTTCTGAGGTTCTAGGTCTCCCTTTGCAAACTAGAATAAAAGTGAGACAATTTAAATAAATACTAGATTCTATCACCTAGGAATTTATTTACTTTATGAGCATCTGGAAATTACTTTCTTAAAGTCAGTAGTATATCAATAGATGCATTACAGGAAATCATAAAACCCTTGATTACATAAGATATACATACTTAAATGCAAAAGCTGATAAACACACTAATCCTGAGGGAGCTAGAACTATTGTATCCTCAGCAACAGCATATGAGGTAGCACATATTAGGTGCTCAATGAGCAGTGAATGAACGAATTAGTGATTAAATGGATGCCAGGGCTTTGCCTGATGTGTCTGACTTGTATCTTCTCAACGTGGGAACTTTTCAGGACATTGTTTTTATGATATTGTAAAGTTTCAAGAAAAAACAGTTATCTCAACATGTTCCTCATATGCACTACTCATGGGAGAAAACAATTTCATTCATTGTACTTGTCTTAAAGTCAGCATTTCACTCTCCAAAATTAGGGCAAAAGTAGTTACAGCTAAGATCAAATTCTGCCCTAGATAATAATCAAATCCCCAAATGAAGGACACTTTGGAGAAGAAAAAGATGGATATCTCAAAAAAATGAGACTGCCTTTATGATAAATGCCATAACCAAGTAAAATTGCTTTCTTCCTGTCAATAATGACCCTAGCATCCCTGATGTGTAACTTACATTTAACTGGCAACATTCTGGGCTACTCATATTAACTGCAACAGGCTGAACAGCTTGAACTTCAATAAAATGTGCATTAAGTGACTGAGTTAATTTAACCTCATTAATCCTCAACCCACTAGCACCATCTGAAGCCTTCCAAGCAGCCTGTGCTTCATCTGCAACAAACATGTCCCTGTAAGAAATCAACACCCAAAATGTGCTGAAGCTCTAGCTCCCAAGTTGTCACTGAGGGGTAAATGGCTGCATAATTGCCAGGACCAGGCTCCAATTGCATTATATGATTCACTCAACCTTATTATTCTTGTTAACAGCAAGATGAGTTCCCGAAAAATAAATTTCTCTCTGAAGTTTTTTTTGGAACTGCTTCTCTCTTGACTAAACATGCTCTAATTCATCAAAGAGCAGATTCTTATTCAAGATACTTTTTTGCCTTATAAGCGAAGAAACATATATATGGCAAACAAAAGACTGTGCTACATTAAAAGAAAAATTTAACCCATCTGCCTCCTATATCTTCCCCTGTGTGGGACTCTAGAAGTGGTAATAGCAGTTAATTTTCAGGACTTTACTTGTAAAGAGCCAAAGTTTCAAAGTACCATAAGCCATCAACATAATTTCAATATTTAGTCAAATATTTGCAGTGGTGTGTGTGACATTTTAATTTTTTGTAATAGTGTGGGACTTCTATGAAACTCATCTTGATCAACTTAAGAACGAGTCTAAATAAAGGCACGTGATATGTACCACCTTGAAATTTTATATTTAATGACATTGAGAACACCTTTTGGAGCCACACCAGACCAATCTGGTTCAACGTTTATGTAACAGAGTTGTGAGTTGCTTTTCAGTCAGTATGTACCCTTAGGTCACATAACCTGAGCATGCCCAGATGAACCAAGCGTGCAACCACTGAAGGAACCTAAGTGCTCAGAGAAGAAGGGACTGGGAAGAGCATGGTGGCTCATGCCTATAATCTCAGCACTTTGGGAGGCCAAGCAAGGTGTATCATTTGAGGTCAGCAGTTCATGGTCAGGAGTTCAACATGGTGAGACTCCATCTCTACTAAAAATACAAAAATTAGCTGGGCGTGGTGGCGTGCACCTGTAATCCCAGCTACTTGGGAGGCTGAGGTGGGAGAATCGCTTGAACTCAGGAGGTGGGGGTTGCCATGAGTCAAGATAGCACCACTGAATTCCAGCCTGGGTGACAGAGTGAGACTCCAGCTAAGGCAAGGAAGGAAGGAAGGAAGGAAGGAAGGAAGGAAGGAGGGAGGGAGGGAGGGAGGGAGGGAACGGAGGGAGGGAGGGAAGGGAGGGAGGGAGGGAGGGAGGAAGGGAGGGGAAGGCAGGAAAGAAAAGAAAAAGAGAGAAAAAGAAAGAAGGAAGGAAAAGGAAAAAGATGAATGAACTGAATTAAGAAGCAGATACTGGGCCAGGTCAGGTGTGGTGGCTCACACCTATAATCCCAGCACTTTGGGAGACTAAGGCAGGAGGATTGCTTGAGCCCAGGAGTTCCAGACCAGCCTGGGCAACATGGAGAATTCTTGTCTCTAAAAAAAAAAAAAAAAAAAAAAAAAAAAAAAAAAAAAAAAAAAAAAAAAAAAAAGCCAGACATGATGGAGTACCTGTATTCCCAGATACTTAAGAGGCTGAGGGGAGAGGATCACTTGAGCCTGGGAGACTGAGGCTGCAGTGATCAGTAATGGTGCCACTGCACTCCAGCCTGGGTGACAGAGTGGAACCCTGCCTCCAAAAACAAAACAAAAAAAAGAGGTAGGCATTGCATGGACTGCATGGCAGGATTCTGGATTAAATCAGATCAAGCCCTGGTGTCACCTCATGGCAAGATCCAATCAGATCATGCCTCCTGACATTATCTCATTGCAAGATCCAATCAGATCACACCTCATTACCCTATGCATATAAAACCTGACTCAACCCCCACCTCAGGGAGACACAGCTTTGGGAACTTTCCCCAGGGTTCTCCCTACTTGTTATAAGTAACAAAATCCCCTTGCTAAATACTCCTTGTTGTGGTCACCGTGTCGATATTCACCAAGCAAACTCACCAATTGTATGGGTAACACTTTGATTTTGGAGAGTCCTTGGTTCATCTTCTGTTTCCATTACTTTGTAGCCAAGAAAATAAGTAGTATTATATCTGAATGGGCCTTCATTCCTTGTAAAGAGACAGTGAATTCCAAACTCACTGGACATTGGATGTGAACTGACAACACAGTTTAGTCTAGTTTTGTGAGTATCACACAATTTAGGGGTAGATAATATAACTGTTCAATCTTCAGCTAGTGGGAATATACTGCCTACTATTAAGTTTTTGTAATGATCAAATCAGATAATTTATTCAAAGAACTTTATACCATACCATCTACACAAATATAGCCATTTTTTTCCTTTATAGTCAAAAATTGGTGGGAATAAAATCTGTAGCAAAAAGTGGGTAAAGCAAAATCCAAAGTAGATCCTACTCTTCACCAGCATTCCACAATACTTCTTAAAAGCTCCTGAGTTTTAAAAAATAATTTCATAACTTTATCACCAAGAAACATAATATAGCAAAAACTATATATGTAAAAACATCTTTATTTTGAAAAGGAACTATCTTTCCATAATTAGCCAATTGATTTAAAATATTATAAGCAAAAATCGGCCTGATGCATGCTATTTAAAAAATTATTAAAAATAGAATGTAAACCCTTAAGCCACTGGGTGATCAAATATCTCTCAAGCCAAATCTCAAATGTTTCACTTGGTAAAAAAGTGTTTTCGTAAGTCAAATAATTTTATTAAATTTTCTCATTACATAAGTTACAGAAATTTATTAGTTCCTTATCTTTTGACTGTTATATTTAGACAAGAATAAAAGCAAAAAAAATTATATTGTTATTCTAACACCTTTGTTAAGGCAGCAGTGTCCATAGCATATTTGTTTTTTATCTGGATGTTTTTATCAATTAACAGGTGATTTTAACAAGTTAATATATCGCTCTTTCTCAATTTTCATCAGTTACAGGGAATTAAATGGTCACAAAGTTTTGTAGTGTTAGGACCCTATAAAGTGAGAAGGTGACTCCAACTTTGGAGAAAGCAGTATAGAAAAGAAATATTCCTAAGAGAGAAAAACACATTTTTGTAGCTCTATTGAAATACAAACTAAAACACCTTCTTGTTTGGCTAGTTCCAGTATTTTTCTTACCAGTTAAACTCTCTACTGGCAAGCAATTTAAAGTTATTTCATTTAGAACTGCCAGTTCCAGAAATATGATAGTTCAAGTAAAACACACTTTTTAAAAATATGTCATGCCAGCACTGTTCTGCTATATTCATGAAGACAGATTTTAAATTACTATTTAACTGAGTACAATTTTATCCCAAGAAACAATTTATGAAAATAACATAAATCAGATATGATAAAATCAGTAATAAATATTGAGAATGAAGGATTTTAGAAAAGATAAGCTATCTTTAGAGGAGACAAAACAATTTACATTTTCAAACTACAGTGTAAAACATCCTTTAAATCATACCCAAGATGTTGAAAAATATAAATATATGCACATTCCTGGTATTACAGCCAAAATATATCTCTTGATAGCTGCTCACCTTTACATATATGTATGCATGTTTTAATAAAAGCCAGTTTGCGTTTTTTAAAAGTCTTTTTTGCAATATAAAGTAAAAAAAAATTTGCAACCTATTCTTGGAAGTATCCTAAATGCTACAGATCTGCTATTTTCAATTTCTGACTTTTGCAATTTAGGGAAAATAAATTACCCTTTCTGGATAATACTTTTAAAATTACACTAAGTCATGGTAATTCCCTGATGAAATAGAAAAGGAAAAATGGTCAGCCAACAACATTTCAAAATACCTCATCAACATCTTTAATATTTTCCTCACATATGTGTTATTGCTCTAATGTCCTTTCATCCAGACTTAGTGCCATTCTTAAATGAATATATATTCCTCATCATGTTGTGGCATTCCAAACATCTGCTAGAGGCTCACTTCAAAAATTGGTACACAGCACTTTCAAGGCTTGTTACAGAACAACTTCTCTGGAGCTTATTTTTAATAAAATAAAAATAATTTTTCTAATCTCTTGGACATCATGGCCACCATAAATGTATCAACTAGTAATATGACAGTACAGTATTAAAAGTGATAGATCCTAGTAAAGTTTTATGTCCATAATTTCATATTTCTTACCAAGAAAGTATTCAAAATAAGTATAAGAACAAAGCATATTTGTAAGACAAAATTGAATTATGTCATATTTATTATTACATGGATAGGTTAGGCAAGGAAAAGAGATCCATTTCATTTATTTCAACTAAAGGGTATTTGTTGTAATGATACAGAGACTGGACCAGAATCAGCTTCAAAGGCTAACATGTCAGCCAAATCAGCTTTCTTAATATCTCTGTTCTCTCTTCTTATCTACACCATTCATCTTTGCTATGTAGTTTCCTCTGTTTATCCAGTTTTTTGCTCCTTCATAGCTTCAGTTTGTACGTGACTTCAGTGTACCAACTACTTAACAGTATCCTTTGTGCTGCTATGCCTAATGCTAACAGATTCTGGGTTTTCCAGTTCAAATTCCTAAGAATTAGATTCTGACTGACCTACTTCACCTGTTTACTGCATAACAAGTCACAGGATGCTATTAAGCATTTTATTGGCTGCACTTTTCTTACCATCAATTTTCATTCCCAGTCCCTTGAACTGTGGCTGGGAGATAAAATATTGAGTACAAAAATAGCCACAATGGTAGAAGGACTGAGTGAAATATATTACCTAGAAAAGTTGTGTAAGTATTAACTGAAAACTTTATTTTGCCATATATAAAGACATTTACTTTGATTATTTTAACAAGGCATGCTACAACAAACTTTGCCTAGGAATCAAGTCAACCAGATTTCTGCAATACCAACATAAATCTTACAAAACTGGCTGGAACATCCACTTTGATTTTAGATATGTGAGAAATAAGCTAACTTACTATAGCTTTCCCAAATTTATCATTTGAGAAAAAAGAGAGACGATTCCTCCAGTGATTCTTGCATAGTATTTTTATCTGGATTAAATTTATAGTGCTGTCTAAATAAATGTATAGCAATTAGGGCTAAGAATTCAGAAGATTGCCTCTTTAGACATTGACAGCTATTTCAACAAAAGATTTACTGAATTTAGTAAGCAATTTTAGTATGTCTTGATGTAGTTTCATGTAGCATAAAATGATCACACTATCATATTTGGTGAAGAATCTCAGATTTATCCTGCCTGACCAAAAAGACCAGGTACACTCAGTATTTCTATGAATATAATTTCACAATTTTCAACACAATGTATGCTGTTTTTTCGGCATACTTTTTCTGTTGAGCACTGAAAGGGAATCCTAGTCAGTAATAAGCATATTTCACATTTATGTAATGCTTTATAAGTTGAAACATACTTTCACATGGATTAATTCATATATTACACATAGCAACAATTATTTTGTAAAGAAGAAAACCAGGACTTCAGAGGTTTCCTTAAGTAGGACTTAAGTAACATAGTCTATAAATGGCAAAACAGTATTCAATCCTATTAAATCATTTGTGAACTACTAGCACAGTACTATGCCTCTAGAGAGGCATGCTTGGGTCAACAGCATGAACAAAAAGAAAGAGCAAAATACAAAAAAGTCTGAAATCCAAAGGACTTCAGGCTGGGATCATGAGAATAGCATCATGATCCAAGAAAGAGATGGTAACTGGAATTTCATATGGAAATGATTGATTTCAAAGAGATTGGTATTAATTTTGAGTTTGATCTTTTTAAACTCATAAGACTAAATTCATTTTTATTTCACATACAAACCTCAAAAAATTGGCACAGTTTCTTGAACGCTGTGAAAAAGAATTCTGAGATCACATATAAGCTCAGTGAGAAGAGTGCCATGACGAATTAGGAATGTACGCCATAGACAGGAGAATTGGAAATGAATAAAAATGTGAATGTTGCATCATTGCCAACCCTGACTTTGACTTACCATTGTCTGGTTGATGTATACACATACCTCTCCTGCCACAGAGTTCTGTGTAGTATATAGGATTAGAAGCTATAAGGGTCCAAAGTGCCAATCCACAAATCATCAGCATATGTTTAGAGGTGTTTACAAGCTGTGAAGCATCCCGTCAATTCTATGCACATGGTTAAGGGATCATAACGAAAAAAGTTATTGAAGTAACATGAAGTCAAATCTTAGAGTCAACTCAATAGCAACTGTGTCTCCAGTATGGAACACTACCATGAAGACATACCCTACAAACCTCTGGCAAATTTATTCCCAGCAAATATTGTCCTTTCTCTGTCATCACTGGGAATGGAGCCAGGTGAAGGGAGATTTGGATGGGGAGGTGTGAGAAACTAGCCCCTCAGAAATAATTTCCAGATATTTCTGAAAGATTTAAATTTTAACATACATGTATGCTTCTTCTCAAATGTGCTTTGCTAACTCTTCAAAGGAATCAGCATTAGAGAAGCAAGGGCAGAAGAGACAGGGCCTTGGTCATCAGTCCCTTGCTCAGCCATGAACCCCAATCAAAAGACTGAGCTCTCCTGGATAATTTCAGAGTTTTCTCTGTGGATTTCCAGCATTTCCAACCACGGGATGGTGTACAGGTAGCATAACCACCTCCTTTGCCATTCATTTTTAGCTGTCAATATTTTATCCCCATCAGGAGTACAAGTCTTTGGCAAAATGAAAACGATACCTCTTCACAAAAATCTAGAGATATCCTGGTTTAAACCGTGGAATTATGTCAGTGCTCACACATCTAACAATTTCTTACTAGTTCATAGTGTAATAATTTCACCCAAAGCTCTCTCCCACATTTCATCAAAAAGTACACAAATATAAGATCTTATAATATTAAGGTAATAATTTTTAAGAAATATTATTCATATTCACTAGTTTGCTATTAAACAAATTCAGAAATGATTAAAATTAAGATATGCTTGTCAAAAGAGATAAATTACAGGCTCAGTGACAAATTTTATTAGGCATTTCTTTTACTCATTAGGGTGTAACATTTCTATAAATAAGAGTTTTATGGATATGGCTAGGAAATCAGATTCTATAATGTAAAATATTTTATTCCCCTCCACAGAATTCATTACCACCTATAATTCAAAGAACTATGAAATAAAGTTATGAAGAACTGTGTATGGTATTATTCTTTAGCATGTATAAATAAATTTATACATAGGTATTTTATATGCATAAAACTGAAAGGATGGGTTCCACACTGCCTAAATCACCCATATTGTTTGAATTTTTATAAGAATGTATTAATTTTAATATCAGAATAAATGATAAAGATACTACAAGAAAATAAAAAGCAATTTTGGTCATTTCTGCATGATATTTGCTGACAATATACCTCATAGTCACAAATTCCTCAGGACAAGTGTACAAATGAATGCATTTTAGTTTTTGTTTTTTCACATGCTAAGATAAAATATATAGTAATCCTTAACATGACTAATTAATATGTTGTTTATAAATATGTTAGAACAATCTATATTTTGTAAATGAATCTATGCTCTCTATTTCAGAAAAATTTAATAACTTTTTCAATGTCTTCTTCATGGTAATCTTATCACTTCTAATACTCCTTGAGACATAGAAAATTATGTGTTATGATTTGAAGCATTTAGAAAATAATTTTGAACCAGTAGAATTAATAATATTCCTACTATAAGAATGCCAAAACTCCTCAAATACTATGTAGAGGTGAATTTTTTACATTAACACAATGTGTTATTCACAATATTTTAAGCTGATAAAAATATATTGCAATTCAGAAGGTATTATTTATGAGCAAGAACCCAGAAGAATGATAGAAGGAAGAGACCCGGAACATAAAACCCTAAGTCATAAGGCAGAGAAGCTTTCAGTCAAAAGTCCTAGACTTGAGGAATAAGGAAGGCACTTATGTTTGTTTAAAATTAGGATAATGAAAATGAACTTCACCTACTTCACATTTTTTCCCAAGCCTGGCAATGAGCAACAGACTGTTATTTCTACTTCTCTAATTCATTGTATTATTAATATAAGTATTTCAAAGCATAAATTCAGATACTGAAAATTGGTGGAATGAACCTCTTAAAGATCTTACAAGTAGCAAATTGAACAGTAACAAGAATCCAAAGTCCAATCATTAATAATCAGAGTGAGCCAATGCAAAAGCAGTGATTAACTCACCCTCAGCAAACATTTTGAAGTATTATTCCAACCAAGTAACATAGGTTCAAGAAAACTAAGCAAATGAACAGCAACAAAAATGAGGTAATTCTCAAAGCAGAAAAAAAATGTAATAATTATTAGATGAAAAATAAAATGTACAAGAATCACGATGTAAATACTTTTTATATAATCTTACTAATTGAAAGAATGACTATGAAATTAACAAAAATATTTAATATCACCGTGCATAAGGAAGCAGGAAAGGAGACTATAAAAGGTAATATTATAATTACCACAAAAGGATGTCCATAGATAATGTCCAAAAATAATCAAGCAAAATATTGTACTATATAATTATATAGCCATATGGAGGCAAATGACAGAAGAAACAACCAAAAGAGTTTGATAACGGGGTGCCTGTGGTGAGCTAGAAGATAATTTGGGGAAGGTGACAGATATGACCATTTTTAATAACTTTCAGCATTGACATTTTAAACTATGAGTAGGTATTTATTTAATTAAAAATATTTTCAGTCAATTATAAAGGTAAATGCAACACCTTAACAGCAAAACCCACCACTTCCTGACTGAATGTAATAATCTCATAGAATTTGAAAACCTCTCCACATGTATATTCAAAAAAAATTAAAAGACTTTAGTTAACATCTCTTGAGAATTGTGATGACAGATATTGCCCTGAAGGCCTTTGAGAATTGTGAAAATACAGACTAAAATAAAATTCAGAAAATGCATTTATATATTCTCTTTAATGAGTTCCTGTGCTATAACTAATTCTATCATCTGAGGCTCCCAGATTGTCTTGATGCTGACATTCAGAATTTTTTGTATTGTAAAAAAAGTAAAGACTTATGTTTTTAGACACTAAGAAGTCCCAGGTGTGTTGAAACCTACAGCTTCATTTTACATTCCTTCTTGGCCCCTTTAATTCGATTTTGTGACTCAAAATGCTTCAAAATTTGATCTGTATGTTGTCCAAATGCTGCCTGTAGCCTAGTGAAAGATTCAATATTGTTTATTGCCAAATATGTCTCCAAAAGTTTTAATCCCCTTATCTCCCCATTACTGGTTTGTAAAGCAGGCTAATGCAATATTGGAGTCAGAGTGAGCCAATGCAGAAGCAATTCTAAATAAGAGGAAAGAAACTTGTCAGTTGCTGGAGTCTTAGCAGAATATTTCAAGTTACTTTTTGAAACTTTAAAGGATAGGAACACCTAAAGTATTTTTTCAATAACACTTGTAAACCAGATTCTTGTAGAAAATGTATTTACTGTGTCTAATTTGTTGGAGCTTAAATTTTACTTTTAAAGTAATTAGAATAGAGAAATAATAATTAAAAGAACTAAGATCCTAGTCCCAGTTCTATCATTTATTCAATAAACTATTAAACAAACACTGAATAAATACCTCAGAGCCCTGTCCTTAGATATAGATATGTCAAGTGGAAGGTATACAGGAAGATTTAACTCTCTAGAAAGTAAAATCAAATTATGTACCTTTTGAGTTTACAGATTTTCACAAAATTTTAAGCCCTGAATTCAAAGATAATGTCAGACATTAAGATTTTTCCTTTCAGAAAATGAGTCATAATTATAGAATGATTATTACAGAGTTTAAACTCTGCTTTATTTCAATCTTAGATTTTAACTATTACATTTAACCATATTGAAAACGCGAAATGCAGGGAAACAAAGAAATTAATGTTGCTCAGAGTTAGATCTGACCTTAGTCACCTGTGTCTTGTATAAACTAAACATTTGGAATGTCACTCCTATTTTGTTATTGCCCAAGGTGGAGGTGTTGATAAGTCAAAAAAGTGTGCTTTGAAATGTCTATGTTATAAAGGAATGATTTTATTTGTGTATCTCATTGTCCAGAACTGATGACAAAAGACATCCTCCTTCACTAATTCCTTGACTAGTCCCTTAATTCTTAGTCTCTGTACCATCTCATATCTCTAAGGCACTTTGCTAAATATTTGGCATGGAATTTGGTTTTAAAAAAATAAAAGCAATAAATATGGTAAGAAAGCAGGAACTTTAAGGTCTATAAGGAAAATCACTTAATATAGCCCTCTTTTAATCTATTAATAAAGACATAGAGCCGGGAAACAAGACATGTATTCATTAGCTCCTGGATATCCCTGGGATATTTTTATTCTGTTCTATTAAATTTTGCTCAGTTGAAGAGCATTGTGAAAGCTATAAAGTTTTAAAAACGATGACAGTCATAATAAGTAGGGATGGGTGAATTCAGTGGCTTAATTAAAGACATTTGAGTTAGGGAAATGGATAGCATCATAGTGGTTACAGTTACTTTATTTAAGATGGAAATTACAGTGCACAAAAATTAATTCAGTTTTTCAGGTAAAATCTCTCCCCTACTTAGCTAAAGTAATTACTCTGCTTTACCTCCACTAAGGCAAACATTATGTCCCTAATGTTTCTTTTATATGAATAAATATAGTATGCTTTCTCTCAAATCTGAATCATTCAATATCTCTTCAAAGTCTCTTGCACCCATATAGCACCCAAAATAACTAATAATCATTCATTTAATCCTAACAGGACTTTCCTTTCTGTACTCAAATATTCTTTTAATCTTCTAATTATTCTTGCAATTAGTTTTGTCTTAAAGCACATTCCACATTTTATTCCACCTACCATTCCTAAGCATGAGCACACAATGGCATAACCATTGAAGGAAAAATGTGAATTTCACTTCTTCTTCATTGGAATAGCTATCTTTTTTCCTTTGAAGCAATTGAGGAAAAGATTATCACAACGTTCAAGCTTTCCCTTTCTCATTTCTCCACAAATTGTTCTAGAAATTCATCCCAATCCCAAACGAAATCCCAGCAGTCCTTTATTTGGAAATTGACAAACAAATTCTAAAGTTTATATGGAATTTGAAAGAATCTAGAATAGTCAAAACAATTTTGATAAAGTATAACAAAGTTGGAAGATTAACACTTCCTGATTTTAAAATTTATTATAATGCTACAGTGTGTTATTGAGTTCAAGATCAACAAATCAATCAATGGAATATAATAGAGAATCCAAATATAAACCCATATGTAAATGGACAATTAATTTTTTTTTACAAAGGTACAATAATTCAGTGGAGAAATAATGATGTTTGATTTCTTAGATAAATGAGTTCTTAGATAAAACATTGAAAGTATGACCCATATAAGACAAAAATGATAAATTCAAAATCATCTGCTATGGTCTGAATGTTTATGTCTCCTCAAAAATTCACATGTTGAATTCTACACCCTAAGGTGATTATACTAGGAGGCAAGACATTTTGGGAGGGATTAGTGCCCTTGTAATGTAAGCCCAAAGGATCTGGTTCACTCTTTTCACTATGTGAGGACACAGTGAGAAGGCACTATCTATGAGTCAGCAAGCAAGCTGTCACCAAACACCAAATCTTCACTCATCTTTATCTTGAACTTTCCAGCTTCTAGAACTGTAAGTCAGCAATTTCTTTTGTTTATAAACTACTCAATTTATAGTATTTTGTTATAGCAACATGAATAAGACATTATCAAAATTAAAAACTTTTCCTTCACAAAAGACATTGTTAAGAAAATAAAAAGAGAAGCTATGTAAACTGAGAGAAAATGTCTGTAAGTCACATATTAAACAAAGAACTTATATTTAAAATATGTAAACAAACTCAAAATTCTATAAGAAGAAAATAAATAACCCTTCAAAACAATCAACAAATACAAAATGGCAGTTTTAAGTTAGTACTTAACAACAATATTGACAGCATGTAAAATGCACATGAACTAAGTAACATGTAAATAGACTAAATTATTCAATTAAAAGCAGAGTGGTTAAATGGATAGAGACCAGACCCAACTATATGGTGCATACAAGAAACCCTTATAAAGACAGACAAAGATTGAAGGTGAAGGGATGGGAAAATATATTTGATGCAAGTGGAAACAAAAACAGAGCAAAAGTAGCTACACTTACATCAGATAAAATAGACTAAATGTCAAAGACTGTAAAAAGTGAAAAAGAAAGGGGTTATTACATAATAATAAAGTGGTCAATTCAGCAAGAGGATATAACAATTATAAATACCTATACACCAAACATCAGAGCACCCATTTATAGAAAGCAAACATTAATAGACCTAAAAGGACATCTAGATTGCACTACAATAATAGTGGGGGATTTCAACACCCCAAGCTCAATAACGGACAGATCATCCAGACAGAAAATTAATAAATATTGGAATTAAACTACATGCTAGACAAAATAGGCCTAACTTACATTTACAGAAGATTTCACCCAAGGGTCACAGAATACCCATTCATTTCATCAGCACATGAAACATTCACCAAAAAAGACCATACGCTGGGCCACAAAACAAGTCTCAACAAATTCAAAAGAGTAGCTATTGTATCAAATATCTCTTCTGACCACAATGGAATACAACTAGAAATCAATACCAAGAGGGACCATGAAAACTACATAAAAATATAGAAATTAAACAACATGCTTCTGAACAACAAATAGGTGAATAAAGAAATTAAGAATAAAATTTTAAACTCTCTTGAAACAAATGAAAATGGAAATACAACATAACAAAAGCCATGGGATGTAGCAAAAGCAGTACTAAGAGAAAAGTTCATAGCAATAAGCCTCTACATCAAAAAGTTGAAGACTTCAAATAAGCAACCTAAAAAGGTACCTCAAGGAACTAGAAAAAAAAAAGTACAAAACCAATGGAATTCGTTTCACTGCTAAAATCTACCAAACACTTTTAAAAAATACCAATTCTACTCAAACTGCAAAAAAATTAAAGAGGAGGGGATACTTCCAAACTCACTCTATAAGGTCAAAATTTACCTGATACCAAAACCAGACAGGGACACAACTGAAAAAGAAAACTACAGGCCAATAGCACTGATGAATATAGATGCAAAAATCCTCAACAAAATACTAGCAAACCAAATTCAACGACATATCAAAATTTAAAAAATCATTCACCACGATCAAGTGAGACTCATCCCAGGCAGCTAAAAGTGGTTCAACACATGCAAATCAATGTGATACATCACATTAACACAACCAAGAACGAAAACAAAAATCATTTCAATAGATGCAGAAAAAGCATTAGATAAAATGTATAATAACATACCTTTATGATAAAAACTCCTGGCAAACTGGGTATAGAAGGAACATAATAAAGGTTAAATATGACAAACCCACAGCTAACACCATAATGAATAGGAAAAAAAATGAAAGTGTTTCCTCTAATATCTGGAACATGACAAGGATGCTCACTTTCATCACTTTTATACCACATAATACTGGAAGTCCTAGCCAGAGCAATCAAACAAGTGAAAGACAAATTGAAAAGGAAGAAGTCAAATGATCTTTGTTTTTAGATGACACCATCTTATATTTAGAAAACCTGAAAGATTATATCAAAAAACTGTTGAGCTGATAAATAAATTCAGTAAAGTTGCAGGATATAAAATTAACATACAAAAATTAGTAATATTTATATACACAAACAGCAAATGACCTGAAAAAAGAAATCAAGAAAGCAACCCATTTAAAATAGCTACAAAGAATATAAAATACATAGAATTAACTTAGCCAAAGAAGTAAAATATCTATGCAAGGAAAACTATAAAACAATGATAAAAAAAATCGACCAGGACACAAAAAGTGGAATGATATTCTATGCTTGTAGATTGAAAGAATATTGTTAAAATGAACAACACTAACAAAAGCAAAATATAGATTCAATGCAATCCCTATAAAATATTTCTTCACAGAAACAGAAATAACAATTTTAAAATTTATATGAAACCACAAAAGACTCCTAATAGTCAAGCAATCCTGAGCAAAAAGAACAAAGCTAGAGTCATCGCACTACCTGACTTCAAAATATACTACGAATCTATAGTAACCAGGTAAGCATGGCACTGGTACAAAAACAGACATGTGACCAATGGAACAGAATACAGAACTTAGATATAAATGCATGCATTTACAGCCAACGCATTTTTGACAAAGTTGCCAAGAACATACAATAGGAAAAGGACAATCTCTTCAATGAATTGTGCTAGCAAAACTGTATAACCATCTGCAGAAGAATAAAACCAGATGCCTACCTCTCATCATACATAAAAATCAAATCAAAATGAATTAAAAACTCAAATCTAAGATCTGAAAATACAAAGCCATAGGAGAAAATATTGAGTAAATGCTTGAGGACATTAGTCTGGGCAAAGATACTTTGTGTAAGACTTCAAAAGTACAGGCAACTACAGCAAAAATAGACAAATGGGATTATATTCAGCTAAAAAGCTTCTGCATAGCAAAGGAAACAATCAATGGAGTGAAGAGACAACCCACGAAATGAAAGAAAATATTTATAAACTATCTGACAATATTAATAACCAGAATATATAAGGAGCTCAAACAACTTAAAACAATAATCTGCTTTTAAAATGGGCAAAAGATCTGAATAGACATTTCTCAAGACAAATAGCCAACAGTGACATGAAAAACTGCTCAACATCACAAGCTGACTTTTAAAAAGGTAAATCTTTTTATATACCATTCTTCTACTTGTAACCCTTCTTTAATAGATTTGTATTGCTTTTCAGAGGAAATTTCAAACATTAGTATGGCTACATCTCTCTATAATCTCTATCTCCAGTCTTAACTCACATCATTCTCACTCCTCTCTATAGTTCATTCTTTGAAACTGTTGCACCTTTGCACATGCTGTTGCTGTTACTAAAATGCATTTACTCCTTCTTTCCTTCAATCCTTTTACAAATTATTTCCCATTTATTATTTCAATCTCAAATGAAACAGAACATCTTTTGAGAAGGTTTCAGTATTCTATTTAAATTACGTTATGATGTTATAATCTCTCATAATTATAATACTTTACTATGATTTTTCCTATTTGAAAATAATGGATTTATTTATTGCTATTCTACGTATTCATTTTCATCTCAATGCTATAATCTTCCATAGATAAACAATCATACCTGCTTTGTTTACCATTGTACTCCTGGAACCCACCTAGTGTCTGGTATATAAAAAAGGCTCAATAAATATTTATTTGAGTGATTAAAAACATTCTTCCATTATAGATATAAAAAGTGGAACTTAGAGATAACAAAACTTGCTTCTAAGTCACACTGCTAAAAAGAGGAAGAACAAGGATTAGAATCTAAGTATATAGTACTCTAATCTGTTCACTTATTCAACTGAGCCACTCCCTTCTTACAACTGTCCCAGCTACTCATTTACACAGAGGAACTTAAAATAGGTTTGCTCATCCTTTCCCTTTAGTTTTAGTTGCTTTAAGTGAGTTACAAATATTGGCTATTATCTCAATACAGTGCCAATTGTCTGAGCCAACAGCATCCATTCCACTTTACAGTGACAAAATTCTAGATGACAGCCAGATATGTCAGCACAACCAATGAACACAAATGTTTTTAGAGAGTTAAGTTTATTCTCCATTTTGTCATGCAGATGGCAAAACGACAGCTTGCAACTGTGATGAATTGTTTGCCACATGCAGATGGTAGAAAAGAAATAAATTACAAACACATGAAAATGTGGTTTTCAA
Source organism: Homo sapiens (assembly GCF_000001405.40). Classification (NCBI taxonomy): domain Eukaryota; kingdom Metazoa; phylum Chordata; class Mammalia; order Primates; family Hominidae; genus Homo; species Homo sapiens. The sequence goes on from NC_000002.12 coordinate 186,205,828, forward strand.
CTGTTCCATGGTGCTACTATGTTGGCCAGGAAAGAAGTGGAATTTCTATTGGCTTGAATTTCATGAGATTTTACATTTGAATCAAATGAGTTCATATTTGGGTCAAGACTTTAAAAAAATGTATAGCTTGTCCTTTTGTGTCTCCACTATTTCATTTCCAGACTTAGATTTATTGAGTTATATATGCACAACTTGGATAAAGTTAACTGCTGAGCATTAGTGCTTATTTTACTCTACTATTAAATGATTTTCTAATACAGCTTAATAACTTACTTTTTATTTCTTCATGAATTTTGACAAAAGTTTTGTCAGAATTTTGAAAATGAAAAATGCTGAAGTGATGTCTTCATCACATCAGTCATCTCTCAAGGAAATGTAAGCTTGCTATAAATACAAAAAAAAGATGTCTATAAATATCAAAGAGTTGATGTTTAATATGATATGGCTCTGTGATAAAAAATGTTAATGTTTTTTGTTATTTTATGATTTTTATTTTTCATATCCTATATTTATATTATGAGATTTTGTGTGGGTTTGCTAAGCAACTTTTGTTAAGTCTGTTGTTGGCCTTCCTATTTATTCCTACCCTGTGTTTCTGAAGAGAGAAAATCTATTAAAAAATGAATTATATAAGAAGAGATGAAATAAATCTAATTCCAAATTTATATATATAAAATGTAATACAATTAATGTTTTATAACACAATATAATACAAATGAAATGTATGAAAGAAATGAAGGTGTCGTTTTGCCTAGATGACATGTGGTCATAGATATTCCCTTACTTTAACTGGAAAAATTAAAAGAAAACAGAAAAAGCTCATCAAAATCTATCCTAGCCACGTCACACAGATTTAATTAAATCTTCACTCTTAATGCTATAAAGAGAACTCTTTCCCTTCCTCACAATTCTGTTACCCTTCATTGTGAGGCAGAGTATTCCCTTGGGATATTTTCTACCTTAAAATAAATACTACAAGAAAACGGTGAAATAATAGTGGCTTCTATCAGTCATGGGCTGCCAGCTCTTGCGCCTTAGCTTCTCTCACTTATTAAGGAGCTGAAACCCAAAGAATCAGTTCCAGGCCTCAATCTGATTCTTAAAATACTATATACAGCATATTGACAACACTCAGCCTGCCATGGTTATTATATCCCTTTCCTGTCACCAAGACTGGGATGGAGGGGGGTGGTTAACTCTATGACATTGAATATTGTTACGTCAGACACAAGGTTTTTTCATTTTCAAAAATCTTGAACATATCTGGTGTTCTAATGTCTCCTTTAATAGCTTACTGTATTCATCTATTTTCACACTGCTATAACCATAGACCTGACACTTGGTAATTTATAAAGAAAAGACTTTAATTGACTTGCAGTTCTGAATGTCTAGGGAGGTCTCAGGAAACTTACAGTAATGGCAAAAGGAGAAGAGGCACGTCATCTTCCACGCAAGAGCAGGAAAAATTACCTTATAAAACCATTAGATCTCATGAGAACTCACTCACTATCACGAGAACAGCATGGGGAAAAACGGCCCCATGATCCAATCACCTCCCACCTGGTTCCTCCCTGGACATGTGGGGATTAGGGGGATTACAATTTAAGATGATATTTGGGTTGAGACACTAAGTGAAACCATATCAGTTACCTACCATCCACTTTTCCCTTCCTTTCTAGGATGTTTTATTTGTTCATCAAACATTTACAGACCCCCTACTCTGTCCCAGACTCAGAACCACACATCTCTTATAGTGAAAAATGTAGAAACTGCCCTCCCCTTTTATGAACATCAACATAAGACAATTACAAGTTTGATTTGTGGTTTTCCACTTACCAGTCAAAACTTACACGCATGCTTCTTCCTGCATATGCCTCTTCAAAATATTTCAATAACTATATTTTTAATTTGTTAAGGAATAATAACTTTTACAAGTATATGCTACTAATAGTTTACAATACCTCCTGGAATGCCATAAAATGAATTTAAAAACTAATTCTCCTCACCGTCAGTGCAATTAGAGAGTCTATTCCAAAATTTCTTCCCTCTCTGGGTAAAACATAATGAAGCTTAGGAGGCATGAGGTGCATTATAGTTAAATTTTAGTATTTTTTTATTGTCTTCATTAATTCCAGTAATTTTGTAGAAGGTAATGTAAAAAGGCAATCTAGTAGTTTTAGGTCCCCCACAAAAAAAAAAAAAGAAATAATTTTGTGGACTAGTCATATACCAATGTGGTTCTCACCCTTATAAGATAATTTAAATCATTTGGGGAACAAACAAAACAAAGCTTGTCCAGGCCCCTTATTGGCACTGATATTACTTCATATTACTCCAAATAATTCTAATGTACAGTTACAATTAATTTGTAACCCACAAATCCAACATAACATTTACTTATCAATTTCTGCACTTTCTCTGTCAAACGCTCCTTCCCAACTTACTTTTTCTTAACAAAATTGATTTTTTAAAATAGTTTTAGGTTCACAGCAAACCTGAGCAGAAGGTATAGGGATTTCCTGAATCTCTCTGCCCCTAGACATGCATGGCTTCCCCCATATAAACATCCCCCACCAGAACGGTGCATGTTACAATTAATGAACCTACACTGACATATCATTATCACCTAGAACCACACTTTACATTAGGGGTCACTTTCATTGTTGTATATTCTAAGAGTTTGGACAAATTTATAATGGCATGTACTTTTTCACCATTATAGTATCATACACAGTACTTTCACTCCCCTAAAAATCCTCTCCACATCACCTATTATTGATTTCTCCTTTCCCCTTAACCTCAAGCAACCATAGATCTTTTTACTATCTCCATAGTTTTTCATTTGCAAAATGTTATATAGTTGAAATCATATATTATGTAGCCTTTTCACACTGGCTTCTTTCACTTAGTAATATGCATTTAACTTTCCTTCATGTCTTTTCATGCCTTAATAGCTCATTACTTTTTGTCTCTGAAGAATATTTCACTGTCTAACTATACCAGACTTTGCTTATACATTGACCTACTGAAGGGCATCTTGGTTGCTTTCAACTTTTAGCAATTATGAATAAAGCTGCTACAAACATCCTTGTTTAGGTATTTGTGTGGACATAAGTTTTCAACTCCTTTAGGTAAACACTACAGAGTTGTGATGGCTACATCATGTGGTAAGAATATGTAGTTTTGTAAGAAACTGACAAACTGTCCTCTGAAGTGACTGTGCCATTTTGCACTCACCAGCAATCAATAAATGAGAGTTCCCATTGTTCCATATCCTCATGAGCATTTGATGTTATCAGAGGTCTGGATCTTGGACCTTATAATAAGTATGTAATGGTGTCTCCTTCTTGTTGTAATTTGCTTTTCTCTGATGACATATAATTTTCAAATGCATATTTGTCATCTTTATATCTTCTTTGATGAGGTGTACATTAAGGTCTTTGACCAATTTTTTAAATCACATATTTTTCTTATTGTTGAATTTTAAAAGTTCTTTTTATATTTTAAATAACTGTCTTTTACCAGATATATCTTTTGCAAATATTTTCTCCCAGTCTGTTGCTTGTCTTTTCATTCTCTTGACAATGTATTTCCCAGCACAGATTTTTTTATTTTAATGATATCCAAATTATTTTTTCTTTCATTGATTATGCTTTTGCTATTGTAACTAGGAGGGTATAGTCAAACCCAAAGTCATCTAGATTTCCCCAATATTATATACTAAGTTTTTTTTTGTTTTAGTTTTGTTTTACATTTAGGTCTGTGATCCATTTTTGAGTAAGTTTTGTCAGGAGTGTAAAGTCTCTATCTAGATTCGTTTTGGGCAGGGAGTGAATGTCCGATTATTCCAACACAATTTATCGAAAAAACTGTCTTTGCTCCCTTGTAAGGCCTTTGCTCCTTTGTCAAAGATCAGTTGGTTATATTGATCTGGGCCTGTTTCTGGGCTCTCTGTTCTGTTCCACTGTTCTATTTTTGCATTCTTTCACCAATATCACGCGGCCTTGATTACTGTACCTTTATCATAAAAGTCCTATGCTGTCAGTCCTCCAACTTTTTTCTTCTCCTACATAATTGTGTTCATTATTCTGTGGCCTTTGCCTTTTTATACCAAACTTTAGAATCAGTTTGTCAATATCCATAAAATAACTCACTGAGATTTTGAATGGGATTGCATTGAATCTAGAAATCAAGTTGGAATTAACTGAAATCTTGATAAAATTGAGTCTTCCACTCCGTTAACATGTAATATCTCTCCATTTCTTTCACCAGAGTTTTTTTAAATTTTTCTCATATAGATGTCATACATATTTGGTTAGATTCATATCTGATATTTCATTTTGGGGGATGCTAATATAAATGATATTGTGTTTCTCATTCCAAATCCCACTGTCTTATTGCTGATATATAGAAAAGCAATTGACTTGTGTACATTGACTTTGTATTTTTCAAGCTTACTATAATTATTTCTCAGTTCCAGGAGTTTTTCTGTCAATTTTGGGGGGCTTTCTGTGTGGATAATCATGTCATTTTGAAAAGAGACAGTTTTATTTCTTCCAGATCAATATATATTTTATTTTAATTTTGTATTTTATTGTATTAGCTAAGACAGCCAGTACACTGTTGAAGAGCAGTGGTGAGATGGGCCATTCATGCCTTGTTTCTGAGCTTCTTGAGAAAGCTTCAAGTTTCTGTTAAGCATAATAATAGCTGCAGAATTTTTGCAGATATTCTTTAGAAAGCGGAAGAAGTTCCCTTCTATTCCTAGTTTACTGTAAGTTATTTGTTTTTTAACATGAATGAGTCTTGAATTTTGTCAAATGCATTTTTTCCACAGTTTTTGGATATTCTGTTCTGTTTTTTTTTTTTCTCAGTATTTTTCCTGTTGGCTTTTCAGGTTTGGAGGTTTCTATTGAGATATCCTCAAACTCAGAGTGTTTTGCCTGCAATATCCAGCTACTGATAAGCCTATCAAAGGTATCCTTTATTTCTACTATGGCATTTTTTTTAATGTATTAGGTTTCTCTAGAAGGATAGAACTAATAGGAGATGGGGATGAAGGGGAGCTTATTAAGGAGTATTGACTCACACGATCAAAGTGAAATCCCAAAATAGGCCATCTGCAAGCTGAGGAGCAAAGAAGCCAATCTGAGTCCCAAAACCTCAAAAGTAGGGAAGCTGACAGTGCAGCCTACAGACTGTGGCCAAAGGCCCGAGAGCCCCTGGAAAACCACTGGTGTAAGTCCAAGAGTCCAAAAGCTGAAGAACCTGGAGTCTGATATTCAAGGGCAGGAAGCATCCAGCACGGGAGAAAGAAGGATGGAAAGCTCTGTCAGTCAAGTTTTTCCAACTTCTGTCTGTTTTATTCTAGCTGCACTGGCAGCTGATTAGATGTGCCCACCCAGATTGAGGGTGGGTCTGCCTCTCCCAGTCCACTGACTCAAATGTGAATCTCCTTTGGCAACACCCTCACAGACACACCCAAGAACAATACTTTGCATCCTTCAATGCAATCAAGATAACACAGAATATTAACCATCACATCTTATAATCTCCATCTGTCTGCTTACATTGGCCATTTATTCTTTCATGTTCTTTGTTCTGGTTCTGATGTTGCTCTGTCTTTTCAAACTTTGTTTTCTGTCTTTTAATATGTCTTGTAATTTTTTTTTCAATAGCCAGATATAATATATTGAGTAAAAGAAACTGCCGTAAATAGGCCTTTAATAATGTGGTGGTCAGACGTAGGGGAAGCATTCTATAGCCCTTTGATTAAGTCTCAGTCTTCTCATGAGTCTGTGCCTCTGGACTATGAACAGCACATATTCTTCATAGGTTTTTTACACCCAATAGGTGGGATGAGATGGTTAGAGTAGGCTGGATGAAGTACTTCCCTTCTCCCATGTGGAAGTTTATAGGTGGCTGGAGTGGGGTATTTCCTTCCACCAAGTCAGGCTGTGATAGAACTCCAACAGGTTGGGCTTTGGTTGAATAGTTTCTCTTAAGTACAAATCTTGTTAAGAAGAACAGAATGCTCTGGCATATTTCAAAATTTTTTTTCTCCTCACCCTGCCAAAGCACAAGGGGATTTTTCTCTAATATTCACTGTGAGGACCTGGGAGAACTGCAGAAGGTAAAACTCACAAAAATGTGAGGGCCCCTAATGACCGGGTCCCCCTGGAATTTTTTTCTCAGACTTGTCCACATTGAACCTCCGAAAATTCTTTAATTACAGTTTAGGTTTCCCTACCCCAAAACTGGTCCCTGTGAAGGTTTCAGCTCATGAGTTTCTGCTTTTGTAAGTTGGGATTCTCTGTATTTGCTTGCAATCTCTCCAGTTTTTGAGTCAGTAGCTTCCCCTGTGACCGTACTTCTCTTACTGATCTAAGAGAAGTTGTTGCTTTTTAGTTTCTTCAACTTTTCACTTGTTAGGCCAGAGTGGCAACTTCAAGCTTTGTCCATACTTGACCAAAACCCAAAAGTCCTCTTTCCCAACATTTTAATTATTGCCTCATGTTCAAAATTTCATGTAGACTTTTTTACTGATAAAGTATATATTGCTTGATCATTTCAATTTGCCCTTTTGCCAAACACGTACAGAGACACTGTTCTGTTTCTGCTGATTACTACCAGATTACTGATTTCTCATTGTTCCCATTTTAGGTCCAAGCTGCTTAAAAAGCCCTACCTAGATCATTTCTGACTTTTGCTGTAATGCATTTCATTGCTGCCTTGACTTACAAAATGTTATCTCAGAGTCTAGTTGACAAGAAGTACAAGTTTCACTTTGATAACTCTACCAATCTGAAGGAAAGCCTTTCCACTGACTCAACACCATTGCTTGCAGGTTTTCTATGGCTTATAACAAATGACAGCACATTTGCTGTCAGGCAGAAAACTAGCCATTCTAGTAGTGTCAGTAGGTACAAAGAGGGAAAGTACTTTTTCTATAGAAAAAATCATTGTAAGAAACTTTTTTTTTTCCAGGAACATGTACAAAAGCATATTTACTTATGTGGATTTTGTGTGTTTAACAAAAGAATTGAACTTTCATTTATTTTTAGTAAGTAAATAAAAATCGAAAACTGTCTACCTGTTTCATATTATTCATAACAGAAGTCAAGATAAGAAGAGATTAAGAGATAAATGAGAAATAAAAAGAATAGAAATGAGAAAAGAAAGATATACCAAGATATTAAAGGAGAGAAAGAAACTCGCATCTAGAGAGAGGCTAAAGCCATCTCATCAGGTGATGCAGGGTGTATCCTGCCCAGGGCCCCTGGCAAGTAGGGACTGGAAATAAGCTTTTGGTTGGTTTGCTCACTAATTTCCTGCATCTTGCATGCCCATGGAATTGACATCTTAAAAATTTGTACAAAGATACCTATGAATTTTCAGAAGTTTAGAGAAAGGCACTAGAGAGACTAGAGAAGGAAAATTAAAAAGCAAAGCATATACAAGAGCCTGGGGGAAGGGGAGGAGGAAAGTGAGAAAAAAAAGAAGAGCGAAAAAAGAAGAGAGCTAGGCAAGATAATGCTACCTTTTTTTTGCAAGTACTTTGCCTTTCCCCTTAGACTCCCTTGGTCAACTTGTAAACACTCTTTCATTTAGTGTCAGTTGTAACCTCTTCTCTTCCAGGAAGTAAAGAATGAATCTCCAGGCAGAACTGATCCCTCCTACACACACACACACACACACACACACACACACACACACACACACACGTGCGCATGCGCACACACACACAACTCTATCTACTACAGTAAGTTGTCATGTATTCCACATATTGTCCATATTCCCATATACTATGATTTCCTTAATGATAGAAACAAAGCCTTTTTTATGACCTAGGCCTGATATGTTTAAATGTTTAATGCTTGCTTGATGGATAATTGAACCTATGAAAGCATTTTTAAACAGTATGGTATAAACTATAAGGTAGGTGCTGCATGCAAAAAAGAGCCTGGGTTTTTGGCAGATTCAGATTAAATGCCCTCTTCACCACCTCTAAGATGTGATTTTGAGTATATTAGCTAAGTATTTAATCCTAAGTTTTCTCATCTACTTCCCTTAAGATAGATGTAAAGCCTCATTCCTTAACAAATACAATGGTGGTAGGAATTAAGAATTAATGAAGGATGAATGAAGGAATAGGCCAAAGTCTTTCCAGCTGTCACTGAGCAGCATGGGTTAGTTGGAGGCTATTCTTATTTTGTTGCAATTATCTTTTATATTACCACAGACATCACTTTTTCTTTGGTATTAAACATTGTAAAGATGAAATTACCTTTTCCAGTGAAAATCCAACATAAATTTCAAACAAGTAGTAAAGGGTTCTGAAGACAGTAGCCATCAAGAACAAGAATTTTAACTTTTATTTTAGGTCCAGGGGTACACATGTAGGTTTGTTATATAAGTAAATGCATGTCATAGGAGTTTGTTGTACATATTGTTTAGTCACCCAAGTGCTAAGCCTAGTACTCAATAGTTATTTTAAGAAAAAGAATATTTACACTAACTTTTGCCTACCCCACTCCACGCAGTCTTGTACCAAAATCTAATCCTGAAATTGAATTTTTATAAATATCAATATATAATGTGAGTCACACATAAAAAGGTTATTACTATTTAACTCTCTCTTCCTCATTTTCCACATCCTATTGATGAGCATGCTCTATTAATTTTACCACTTAACGTTTCCATATCCTTGTCCTCTTCTCATCTACAAAAATGTTGCCTAAGTTCACATCACCTTTCATGAAGATGATTGAGATCATCTCCAACTGGTATTCTTATTTGCCTCTTTCCACATTCTTTCCATTAGTCATTCTCAATCTGTCTTTCTTCTGGGAAATATAATGGAAGATATTCACAAGTGCACAACCAGGTTTTAATGAAACCAAGAAAAAATGGTTGCAGGCAAAGTATTAAACTAATTTATTTGTAGCTATAACTATTAATAGTATCTCAATAGAGGTCACTTTCAATAGGATAAGCCATGAAAAGATAAGCCATGGCTTTTGTACAATTCCAGGCCAAGGAAACTGCTCTTCTCTATTAAAGCAAATTAGGAAACAAATGAGTAGCATTATTAATAAAGCACACCTCTGTATTAGTCCATTCTCACACTGCTAATAAAGACATACCCAAGACTGGATAATTCATAAAAGAAAGAGGTTTAATTGACTCACAGTTCAGCATGGCTAGGGAGGCCTCAGGAAACTTGCAATCATGGTGGAAAGGGAAGCAAACATGTCCTTCACCTGGAAGCAGGAAGGAGAAGAATGAGCAGAAGGGGGAAAAGGCCCTTATAAAATCATCAGATCTCGTGAGAACTCACGATCAAGAGAACAGAATGAGGGTAACCACCCCGTGATTAAATTACCTCCCATCAGGTCCGTCCCATGACACATGAGGATTATGGGAACTACAATTCAAGATGAGATTTGGGTGGAGACACAGCCAAACCATATCAAGTTCCAAATGCTGTGCTTCAGAAACAGTATCACATTGTTACCAGCAAATATAAAACACAAAGATGACTACATGGCTTTCAACTTAAACTTTTCTATGTCTCATTGTCTATAGAATAGACCACACACTCCAATAAAGTTTATAATTACCTCTCCACTCTATGACCTGGATATTCTCTCATCTGGATCCTGCCCATGTCTTCAATTTTGACTTGCCATGTTGCTATTCCAATTCTACACTCTAGCCATACTGAACCACTTGAACTTCCTTGAATTCTCGATTGTGTCTCACATTTTTAGAAGCCCAAGACTTGTTTATTGTATTTCTAAATGAATAAACTAAAAATTCATATAGTGCAAGTTGTTGGTGAATAAGTACAATGTTCTGCAAGATATATTACAAAATAATGGAATTCTGAGGAAATGCAGAGGCCTGATGATCATCCAGCTTATCCTAACTTTGGCTGTCTTTATCACAGCTAAAATAATTTCACATTTCTGCTAGTTCCTAATTTGCCTCTGAATCAAAAATTTGTACATTCAGACTTTAGCACACTTTAAACTATCTCATCCATAAGAATAAAATACACATGAAATAAATATTATACCATATACAATGTTTCATATCATGTGATACACTAGTTAGCAATGGTTACATTTTTTAAGAAATCCATGTGATTTTATCTAAATTGTATTTCAAAACTCCAAATTTCAAAAGATATTAAAATGATTTAAAAGATAAATATCTTTATAAAATTATTTAAGAAAACTAAAAAGAAGACAAAGAAAAAAGAGAAGAAGAAAAAACAGGAAAAAGAAGACAAGTTGCAATTATTGATTTTCTAATTGCTGGATCTAGGTATTTTGCTTTGTCAATATTTTGTGAAAAAAATGAGAACTTATTTAAAAAGCTAGTATTACTGAAAAAGAAGATTGCTATTTATGGTGCTGCAATCTAAGAATTAATAAATAAAAGGCATCATTCTTCTGATGAGCTTTTTGATGAGTCTGTATATGCAACATTTTGAAATTAGGGGATGAAAAGACATTAATTTATTTCCCTGCAAAAATGAGAGTAAGTTGGGTTTACTCAGGGCAATGCAGAAAAAGGAACAATGAAGAAAAGTAGAAACATGACAAAGGAGAAATATGTTAGCAAACCAGTGTGAGGCAGCAGTGATGTATGATGTGAGATGGCCAGTGAAAAATTACCACCTGTAGAAAGGCTAAAAACCTTCTAAGACAGAAATTTTAAAGTTGGTCACATTGTAAGAATATCATACCCCAAACTCATGCTAAGACATACATCCCACCTAATCTTAAGCAGGCAAATGGCTTGAGTGGGAGTTTTGCTTGTTAGTTAGTTTATACATTTACTTTATGTAAATCATAGAACAAGGATAAATTTCAGGCCTGAGTCAACAGAGACAGTAACCTGAGCAGCCTGTTCGGGCAGGTGAGATAATACCTAACCTGAAGCAAATTATCGGATGCAGAGGCTTAGAGCGAGTGACTTGTATTCTTTACTGAAGAATATAAGACCTGGGGGCTTCACTTAAACGCCAAAGAGGGCTGCGGACTACCAAAGGGTCTGAAATGTAGGGTCAGTCTCAGCCTACCCACCTCTGTGGTGGCAGGGAGATCCCAGCTGATAATCAGTCTACATTAGCTTTCTAAAAATTTCTCATAGCCACCAAATGCTAATGGGCCTACATGTGTATTTGCTACATATCGAAACACAACACATCATTTGATATTTAACTACGAGGCACCAGAGTGGGATCAGAATTTGATGGTTAATGGGCAAAATTCAACAGATTTGATGGTGACTAAGGAGATGCTCCAAGCAGACCTATATAGAGTTCTGTCAGTCAATGTGATAATTATAATTCTATGTATTCATATTGTAATTCTACAAATCCACTTATTATAGATTCAAAGAAATATGGCAGTATTAACTTAATTATCATGCAAAAAGATATTAAAAAGAAATACTGAGCGTTAATAAAATTTTCTCTGAAGAGAAGACAATAAGAAATGTTGTTTGGCTTCTTTTCTTCCACTCTGTATGGATGTTTTTCATAATATTTTTATTTTGTACTAGAAAAAAATCATTTTAATTGTTCATGAACATCTTATTTATTTGGATGTAGTTGGAGATAAAGTGCATACATACAATAGTTTTATGATTTTTCTAATTACTAAGGCTATGCTACTGTGAGCTTTTCTAAATAAGAAACTTACGTATATCAGTCCTCTTTTTAGTCTTACATTTTCTTACAACTATAAAGAAGACAAAGAAACTCTGGAAAGATAATCTGTTGACAATATAGTTTAGCTTTCTCCCGGGGCAAAACTTCTTAGTCGTTTACTGAAAATGTTATTGTGCGTTACTTATATCAATTGAAATTGGATCTTCCTTACCTTAGGTGATTCACAGTTTTAACTGCTTAGGCCTGCCAGGTTGCTACCATATTTCTCCACACATCAGTGTCAGAGATAGCCTGGGCAGTCACCATTTATTTGTAATTGTGTTCTTAAGAATGGAAATAAGTGAAAATGGTAGAAAACCTTAGTCACTCTGCTGAACAGAATCTGGACTCTAAACCGTTAGGGCTGTCCAATAAAGACCAAATTATTTTGCCGAACAGAAATGGAAAAAAAAGTGTCAAACTGTCAACAGTAGACAAAATGCAGGTGTCATTTCTTAGGAACTTAGGAGACTAGACCATATCTTTTCTCAGGTAGAGTGTGTGTGTGTGTGTGTGTGTTTGTGTGTGTGTGTGTGTGTGTGTGTGTGAAAATTGAGAGACAGAAAAGGAAAAAGATCTGTCAAAACTACAGGACTTACATTTTCAAGTCATTCTGCTTCCAAACCTTAATATCTATTACTTTTCTTTCTCAGATATACAGCACTCTCAGAAGAGTTAGTTTCACCCGCTGTTTCTTCGACCTCAGTACAAACCCCTGCTTTAGCAATTGCAAAATTCTCACTCATTCTACAAGATTCAGCTCAAATTCTACCTTCCTGGACTGCTCTAGGCAGACTTTCCTGCTCATACTTCTATTCACCCAGTTTATCCCCTTTATAACATCATCTTCTATTGAAACAGATTGGATATTTGTTGAGGATAGAGACAATATAGTTTGATGTTTGAATTCCAAAGACCAAGCAAAATAAATATTTCTGAACCAAAGATCTTAGCAGTGTAACTTTCTGATTCTAATACTCAAACATTTGCTAGCTTTGGGAACATCAACAAAAGAGTTATGCTTCTATTTGTTTAATCATGAAATTAAAATAATGATAAATCCTATCTTGTAGAAGATGCTGTGAAGGTTAACTCAGATAATATTTATACAACACTTTGGAAGGGGCCTGGAACATAATAAGCCCTCAATAAATACTAGCTTTTATTTCAATAACCAACATAAGTTTTGGTTTTGTGAAGTAAATTTCACCTATGCCAGATAGGATGGATGGATAGATAGATAAATAGATGATTGACTGATTGATTGATAGAACAAATAGACTAAATACAAATGAAATAATCTCATTTATTTAAACAGACACAGAAAAAATAAATTCACACTAAGTATTAGCATCCTCATTTATCCTACTCATTACATACCATTTTGACAAAATGAAAAGTTATTTTTGTCAAAAACTTTTGTTTTATGAATAAACTATTTCACTTACTTTTTGACATTATATGAAAAGCTTTTTTAAAAAAAGTGGAAAACAAAAGTATATCCTTTATCTGATTTCTAATGAGAAAACACAGATGTGATATATTTATTCTTAAAACTTCCTTCTGTATTATCAGTCACTTTTCCGAGATTCTCATTTACTGTAAGAAGGTTTTAACCTAAACTAGGTAAGTTTGAATTCCTAGCCAATTCTTCCAAGAGGTGATTAAAGTCATTGTTACAGATGACTGGATTTGTAGGTCTTTAATTTGACTTTTAACTTACCAATGGATCATTAAATACTTCACATGCCATTCTTTTAAATGTAGTCAATCTAGTTGAAATCTAAGTCATTAAATAGTAAGCCCAACTGGGACAAATTTAGGCTGCATTTGCACCAAGAAAATTTTTTCCAAACATTGTGATACAATTATTTCTTAAAGCTAAAATTTAAAAACTACTGAAGTATTTCAGGTATTGTATCACCTTAAAATGTATGTGATGCATGTAGGAAATCTGGATGTGAGTCAAAGAAGTACTATTTATTAAAAGATTAAAAACTAAATGTTTTGAGAACAGTTTACTACTCATATATATCCCTCCCATCCTTACCAGTCCTGTAGATCGTATTCCTTTGTCCAAAATTCAATTTAAGTAGTTTTAAGAAAATGCTTGATTTGAGCCACTTAGGATTCTTCTTCTACCTCTAAACTATCTTTAAATTAAGGAAATAAATGTAGTAATGACTTTCTCTGTTACCTGTTTTCCATAAAACACACACATGCACACAAAGTGGGAATGTACCTCAACCAGGTGCTTCAGGAATTTTAGGAATATTAGAGACAAATGGGTTTAGAGTAAGAGATGTGATAATGTGATACATCAGCCTAAGATTCAGCACAGGCAAAAAAGGGAACTGCCTGAAAAATTATGGTAGATTTCTCCAATACAACACATAGGAAGTTCCAGAACCAGAGAAACAGAGGCTTGGAAAAATAGCGCATAATTGAGCAATGTGGATGTAAATTAAAAACAAATTACTTAGAACCTCCCTAATGTCTGGGATAAGAAACAACTTGATTCGGCATTTCTTCCCAGGTCCTGAGTTAAGTAATCAGCCCTCAGCCCAGAGTCACACAGGCAGTAGTTTGAACCTGGGTCTCTGAACAGGTTCTCATCCACTATTATAAACTGATATCAATACAGAACATGAAGAAGTAGAGAGCCAAAGGACACTAATACTTTGGCTCCATCCTCCCAAAATCCCATTGGAATGACAGAAGAAATATTTAAAAATTAAGATATATAAAGAAAATCAGTGTCTTTAGAAATCATGAGAAGTGATACAGTTCAGATCAGTGATACAGTTCACAGCATGGCAGGTGGGGCCTTTGGTCATTTATGCTCCCTACAGCCAGAAATCTAATCGATGCATCTTCATGATCATTGCAGCTCTTACAGCCACTGTCCCCACTTCTTAAGAGAAAATAATATGTGGCAACTGTCTTCTTACTTTGGAGGAGATATGCTGGCATGCGCCTCTCATAAGCAGATGCCAAGTTGGAATTAGCTCTATAAGAGATTTATTAAAAGCAAGTCCAGTGAGACGTAAAGTTGGGAGGGAGCCAGAAGAGGCTGAGAGAACCATTGGACCATGGTGTAGGTTTGACTGATTGAAGGAAAGAGGAAAGAAGGAAGATTGGCCGGAACTGTCTTAGACCACAGTACAGGCATATAAAAGCACATCGTGGAGTCTTTGAGCCAAAATCATTATCTGTCAGAGGAGTCCCACACCTCCTAAGAATGGGCCTTCCTTAGTATCCCTGTTGGCCTCAGTCACCTACCCCAGGAGATATAGCTTCATTGCAAACATGATGATGAATTTCTGAGCACCACAATTGGGGGCATTAGTCAACAATGCTCTCTGCATATTCTCTGATATTGAGAAACACATCTTTTTGGCCACCACAATTATAGATAGATACAGGTCAAAGCTCAATATTGAACAAAGAAAAAATTACATGTTCCTTTAAAAGTAAACATAATTTTGAATGTTTGGAAATATAATGTACCGTGTATTTCAAAAAGCAAACCCAAACCTCTCATAAAATAAATTAAAAATTCTACCAGAGTCAAGAAAAATTCAAAATTAAAAGATATATTAACATGGTGACAATATGTCACAAATAGAACCAAGTATATTAATTGTCATTGAAAATAAAAATGGGTTATAAATAACCATAAAAATACAGAGGCCTTCCATTTTGCTACAAATCTAGAAATATGTGTTCCGGAGAAATGCACCTAAACTTTTACAAAACATTGAAATAAACAAATGGTCTGAGATACACTAGAGAAATCTTTATTAGGAAGAAGGAAGAAAATGAATGATGAAACAGATATAAATTTAGTTCACAAACTTAGATGATGCATTACTGTTTTTCTGTAAATTTATTTAACTCCAAGCCCACATCGTGTGAAGCTGTAATAAAATTCAGATCACAGCTATTCTTGGAAGGTCCCTTTAGGATTAAGGTAAGGTCTTAGATTTTATTCAGCACTAGGATATTAGGAGTGGGGGCTAATTTAGCTAATTATTTTTTCATAATGCTTATCATTTAGTTCCTCATTTTTCTACCCATATGGCTCTTTCAAATCTGTCATTTATTTCATCATTTTTGTGGCACACCTTGGGTCCTGAGTCTTCAATAATATTAGGGTTCTCTGGACTAGAATCCAGTTTCCTAGTGTATGCCATGGCCATTTCCTTTCATGACTGCCATATGTGAATATCACTGCCAGGGCACAGGGTGTAGCTCTCTGTGGTGGATGGCACAGACCATTCTTTCCTATCCCTAGCAAAAAAAGAAAAATCTTTATTGTCTGTAGAAAATCACTCTCTGTAGCCTTTGGAAATTCCATAGCCTTTGGACACGCTCTTCCATTGAGCCCTATTGTCTTAAATGAACTACAGTCTTTGGAAACAAAAGCCAGAAAACAAGAGAAATGTCTGGAACACAAAATGTACTTTTACCTTGCCAGAAAAATTCCAAGACAGAAAAATGACAGAATTAACTTATTCAATGGGATAAGGATAGTGGGAAAATACCAAAAGAAAATGCATATGAATATGCCAAAAATTTTTCTGCCACAAAAATATATTGCTGAGGTTACAGAACAATGTGTTTCAGAGACTCTTATTTCATAGAATGTATGTGCCCCTGTAGATTTTGATGGGTAAAACTGGAATAAGACACAGCATTTCCTAAAAGAAAGAATCCTGAATTTTTAATCAGAAAACCTTAATATAAGAGCTTTATTATTTTCATGGATCTGAGAAAAGTACTGAGTCTCTCTAGGCCACCATTTATTCATTCATGAAGTAAAGATTTCTCAAAGAAATATTGGGGAATTAGATAGATGCAAATCTAATGCAGCAATATTATTAGAATTTAGTATTTCTTCTACTCTATAGACTTTGAATACATAGAATGAACTGGTTTATATCCCAATGAAGCAAGGCTATAACCAGAGGTTCTTACTACTTAATATTTCTCAACATTTTGCCTTACTATGCAAAAGAAGAAAAATTAGTAAGTATTAGCATTATCCCTGAATGTCTTATTCAAACTACAGTGTGCCCAACCTCCCAAAATTCAATCATGAAGAAGCTGAAACCCTAAACAGACCAATATCGAGTTCTGAAATTGAACCAGTAATAAAAACGTACCAATTAACCAACAGGAAGGTGGAAGAAGAAGGCAAAATAGAAGCCTCCAGTGATTGTCACCTCCACAGGAATATCAAATTGAACAATTATCCATACAACAAAGCACCTTCATATGAACCAAAAATCAGGCAAGCAATCACAGGACCTAGTTTTCACATCATATCAAAGAAATAGGCATGAGGAGGGTAGGAAAGATAGTCTTGAATTGCTGACACCACGCCTCCCCTATCCCCCAGCAGTGGCTACATGACACAGAGATAAAATCTGTGTGCTTAGGGGAGAGAGAGCATTGTGATTGTGAGACTTTGCATTGGAACTCAGTGCTGTCCTGTCACACTAGAAAACAATACAGGGCAGAATCTGCAGGTGCCCATCCAGGGAGCATTTAGACCAGCCCTAGCCAGATGGGCATCATCAATCCCAGTAGAACCTGAGTTCTAGCTAGCCCTACCACAAGCTAAAGTACTCTGTGATCCTAAATAAACTTGAAAAGCAGCCTAGGCCACAAGGACTGTAATTTCTGGTCAAGTCCAGGGGCTGTGATGGGCTTGGAGCCAGTGGACTTGGGGTGCATGTGACCTAGTGAGACACCAGTTGGGGCAGCCAAGGGAGTGCTTGTGTTACCCCTCCCCTAACACCAGGTAGCTCACAGCTCCAGGAGAGCCTCTTTCCTTCTACTTGAGGAGAAGAGAGGAGAGAGTAAAGAGGACTTTGTCTTAACAAGCTGGATTCCAGTTCAGCCACAGTAAAATAGGGTACCAGTTTTGAGGCTCCCATTGTAGGAGTAGCTCCTAGTTGACATTGCTAGACCTACCTTGGGCCAGAAGAGAACCCACTGCCTTGATGGAAATGACCCAGTCCTGGCAGGGTTTATCATCTGCTGACTAAAGAACCCTTGGGTCTTAAATAAACATCAGTGGTACTCAGGCAGTTCTCACCACAGGCCCTGGGTGAGACCTAAGGCCATGCTGGCTTCAGGTGTTACCCAGTACATTCTCAGCTGTGGTGACCCTGGGGAGAGACTTCTTCTGCTCAAGGAAAGGAGAAGAAGAGTAAAGGAGACCTTGTTCCCTCTATAGCTTGGGTACCAGCTCAGCCACATTGAGAGAGAGCACCAAGCAGACTCCTAGGGTCATTGTTTCCAGGCCCTGGCTCCTGGATGGCACTTCTGGTCATACCCTGGGCCACACAGGAGCCCACTGACCTGAAGAGAGACCCAGGCCTGGCAGCATTCACCACAAGCTAACTGGGCCTTGAGTGAACATTGGCAATAGTCAGGTGGTAATTGCCAAAGGCCTGGGGCAGTGGTGGCCATGGAGAGATACTCTGTTGGCATGAGGAAAGGAGAGAAAGGAGTGGGAAGAACTTTGTCTTGTAGCTTGTGTGTTAACTCAGTCACAGTAAAATGAAGCACCAAGTAGGTTCCTAAGGTGCCTGACTCCAGGCCGTGGCTCCTGGATGGCATTCTGGGAACTGCCATGGACCAGTAGGGAGCTGAATTCCATGGAAAGTAGAACACTAGACTGGCTGAATTCACCACCTGCTGACTTAAGAGGTCTGGACCTTGAGTGAACATTGGTGGTAGTCAGGCAGTGGTCACTGCAGGGCAAGGAGTACAAGAAAGTTATAGAACACCAAGCAGATTGACCCAAAGAAGACTATCTCAAAGTATTTAATAATTAAGCTCCCAATGATAAAGAAAATATCCAAAAAGCTGTAAGAGAAAAGAAACAAATAACATAAAATGAGCTCCAATATGTCTGGCAGCAGAATTCTCAAGGAATCCTTACAGAGCAGGAGAGAGTGGCATGACACACTTAAAGTGCTAAAGGAAAACAAAATTTACCCAAGAACAGTATAACTGGCAAAAAACATCCTTCAAACAGAAAGAAGAAATAAAGACTTTCCCAGACAAAAGCTGAGAAATGTCATCAACACCAGACCTGTCCAACAAGAAATGCTAAAGGAAGTTCTTCAATCTGAAAGTAAAGGACATTAATGAACAATAAGAAATCACCTGAAGGTACAAACTCTCTGGTAATAATAAGTACACAGAAATACTCAGAATATTAGACCTCCGTAACTGTGGTGTGCAAACTACTTATACCTCAAGTAGAGCAACTAAAAGATAAACCTATCAAAAATAAAAGCTATAACAACTTTTCAAGACACAGACAGTATAATGAGATATAAATAAACCACAAAAAGTTAAAAAGCAGAGGTGATCAAGTTAAACTGTACAGTTTCTTTAGTTCTCTCCTTGCTTGTTAGTTTATTTGTTTTTGCAATCAGTATTAAGTTTGAATTTGTTTAAAATAATGTGTTATATTATTTGCAAACTTCATGGTAACCTCAAATGAAAAACCTACAATGGATACACAAAAAAATAAGAAGCAAGAAATTAAAAAATGCCACCAGAGAACACCATCTACACCAAAAAGAAAACAAGAAGGAAAGGATGGAAGAAAAGACCACAAAACAACCAAAATACAAATTACAAAATGGCAGTAATAAGTCCTTACTTATCGATAATAACATGGAATGTTAGCAGACTAAACTCTCCAAGCAAAAGAGGTAGCATGGCTAAATAGACAACAAAAACCAAGACCTTATGATCTGCTGTCTACCAGAAACACACTTTACCTACAAAGGCACACAGAGACTGAAAATAAAGGTATGGCAAAAGACATTCCATGACAATGAAAACCAAAAAAGAGCAGGAGTAGCTATAATTATATCAGAAAAAAAAATAGATTTCAAGATAAAAACTACAAGAAGTGACCAAGACGGTTACCATATAATGACAAAAGAGTCAAATTAGTAAGAAAATATAACAATTGTAAATATATATGTACCCAATATCAGAGCACCCAGATATAAAAAGCAAATATTAATGGAGCTAAAGAAAAAGACAGACCCCAATACAATAATAGCTGGAGATTTTAATAGCCCCACTTTCAATACTGTACAGATCTTTCAGGCAAAATATTAACAAAGACAACAGACTTAATCTGCACTATAGATCGAATGGGTCTAACAGATATTTACAGAATGTTTCATTCAAAGGTTGCAAAATATACTTTCTTCTCCTAAGCACATGGGTTATTCTCAAGAATAAACCATATGTTAGACCACAAAACAAGTCTTTAAAAATTCAAACAGGCCAGGCACGGTGGCTCACACCTGTAATCCCAGCACTTTGGGAGGCCGACGTGCGCAGATCATGTGGTCAAAAGATCAAGATGATCCTGGCCAACATGGTGAAACCCCGTCTCTACTAAAAATACAAAAATTAGCTGGATGTGGTGGCATGTGCCTGTAACCCCAGCTACTGGAGAGGCCGAGGCAGGAGAATTGCTTAAACCTGGGAGGCGGAGGTTGCAGTGAGCTGAGATCGTGCCACTGCACTCCAGCCTGGTGACACAGTGGAACTCCATCTCAAAAAATAAGAAAAAAACAAAAACAAAAACAAAAAAAAACACAAGCTGAAATTATATCAAGTACCTTATCTAATCACAATGGAATAAAACTAGAAATCAATAACAAGAGGAACTTTGGGAACTATATAAACACATAGAAATTAAACAATATGCTCCTGAATGACCAGTTGGTCAATGAAGTTAAGAAGGAAATTTAGAAACTTCTTGAAACAAATGAAAATGGAAATACAGAATACAAAAGCCTATGGAATAAGACAAAAACAGTGCCAAGAAAAGTTTATAGCAGTAAGTATCCACATCAAAAAAGTAGCAAAACATCAAATAAACAACCTAATGATGCATCTTAAAGAATTAGAAAAGCAAGAGCAAACCAAACCCAAAGTTAGAAGAAAAAGTCATAACAGAAATAAAATTGAAGTAAAAAATACAAAAGATTAATGAAACAAAAATTGGTATTTTGAAATGATAATATCAACAAAGTATTAGCCAAACTAAGAAAAAAAGAGAGAAGACCAAAGTAAATAAAATCAGAGATGAAAAGAAAGAAAATAGAACTGAAACTACAGAAATTCAAAGAATCATTCAAGACTACTATAAGCAATTATATGCCAAGAAATTAGAAAACCTAGAAGAAATGGATAAATTCTTAGGCACATACAAACCACCAAGATTGAACCATAAGAAATACAAAAGGTGAATAGACCAATACCAAGTAGTGAGACCAAGACCCCATCTCTACTAAAAATACAAAAATTAGCCAGGTGTAATGGTGCCTGCCTTTAACACTAGCTATGAAGGAGGCTGAAGCAGGAGAATCGCTTGAACCTGGGAGACAGAGGCAGCAATGAGCCGAGATCATGCCATTGCACTCCAGCCTGGGTGACAGAGTGAGACTCTGTCTCAAGGAAAAAAAAAAAAAAAGAAAGAAACTGTAGTAAAGCCTCCCACTGGCCGGGCGCGGTGGCTCACGCCTGTAATCCCAGCACTTTGGGAGGCCGAGGCAGGCGGATCATGAGGTCAGGAGATCAAGACCATCCCGGCTAAAACGGTGAAACCCCGTCTCTACTAAAAATACAAAAAATTAGCCAGGCGTAGTGGCGGGCGCCTGTAGTCCCAGCTACTTGGGAGGCTGAGGCAGGAGAATGGCGTGAACCCGGGAGGCAGAGCTTGCAGTGAGCCAAGATCCCGCCACTGCACTCCAGCCTGGGCGACAGAGCGAGACTCCGTCTCAAAAAAAAAAAAAAAAAAAAAGCCTCCCACTAAATAAAAGCCTAGGACCCAATGGCCTCACTGCTAAATTTTAACAAACATTTAAAGAGGCATTAATACCAATCTTACTCAAACTATTCTGAAAAATAGAGAAGGAGTGAATATTTTGAAATGCATTCCATGAGGCCAGTATTACTGATACCAAAACCAAAGACACATTAAAAAAAACAAAACTACAGAAAAATATCCCTGATGAATATTGATGCCAAAGTCCTCAAAAAAATACTAGCAAACTGAATTCAACAACGCATTAAGAACAGTCATCATAACCAACTGGGATTGCAAGAATGGTTCAACATATGCAAATCAATGTGATACATCATATCAACAGAATGAACAACAAAAACCATATGATCATTTCAATTGATGCTGAAAAAGCATTACATAAAATTCAACATTGCTTCATGATAAAATACTTCAAAAAAATGAGTATAGAAGGAACATAGTCCAACAGAATAAAAGTCATATATAACAGACCCACTGCTAGTATCATACAGAATGGAGAAAAACAAAGAGTATTTCCTCTAAGATATGGAAGAAGAAAAGGATGCCCACTTTCAGTACTTGTATTCAGCATACTATTGGAATTTCTAGATAGAGCCATCAGACAAGAGAAAGAAATAAAGGGCATGTAAATAGGAAAGGAAGAAGTCAACTTATCCTTGTATGCAGATGTAATGATCTTATTCTTGGAAAAACCTAAAGATTCCACTAAAGGACTATTAGAGCTGATAAATGAATTAAATGAAGTTGTAGGATACAAAATCAACATATAAAAATCAGCAGCATTCCTAAATGCCTTCAGTGAACAATCTGAAAAGAAAATCAAGAAATAATCCCATTTACAATAGCTAAAAATGAAACAAGATACATAGGAATAAGCTTAAACAAAGAAGTGAAAGATCTCTACAACAAAAACTATAAAACGATGAGCCAAAATAATTACAGGGCACACACAAATTAAAAAATATTTCATACTTATGGATTGGAAGAATCATCATTGTGAAAATGTCCATACTAACCAAAGACAGCAATAGATTCAATGCAATCTCTAGCAAAATACCAATGACATTCTTCACAGAAATAGAAAAAATAATCATATAATTTATATGGAACCACAAAAGACCCAGCCAGAATAGTCAAAGTCATCCTGAGTAAATAGAACAAAACTGGAGGAATCACATTACTGACTTCAGATTATACTACAAAGCTATAGTAACAAAAACAGCATAGTACTGTTACAAAGACAGACACATCGACTGATATGGTTTGGATCTGTGTCTTCAACCAAATCTCATGTTGAAATCTAATCTTTCATGCTGGAGGTGGGGCCTGATGGGATGTGATTGGATCAGGGAAGTAGATTCCCTTCTTGGCACTGTGTCAAAATAGTGAGTGAGTTCTCATAAGTGAGATCTGGTTGTTTAAAAATATGTAGTGTCTTCCCGTCTCTCTTCCTCCTGTTCCAGCCACGTAAGACATGCCTGCTTCCCATTTACCTTTTGCCATGATTGTAGGTTTTCTGAGGCCTCCCTGAAGCAAGTCCTGCCCTGCTTCCTGTACAGCCTGCAGAACTGTGAGCCATTTAAACTTCTTTTCTTTATAAATCACTGAGTCTTAGGTATTTCTTTATAACACTGTGAGAATGGACTAAGACAGAAAATTGGTACCCAGGAGTCAGGCATTGCTATAAAGATATCTGAAAATGTGGAAGCAGTTTTGGAACTGGGTAATGAGCAGATGAGGGAAAGTTTGAACCTTCCTAGAGACTTGATAAATTGTTGTGACCAAAATGCTGATACTGATATGGACAATGAAGTTCAGGCTGAGGAGGTCTCAGATGGAGATGAGGAACTTATTGGGAATTGGAGCAAAGGTCACTTTTGTTACACATTAGCAAAGAGATTGGGTGCATTGTGACTCTGCCCTCGGTATCTGTGGAACTTTGTACTTGAGAATGATGATTTAGAGTAACTGGCAGAAGAAATTTCTAAACAGCAGTGTTGAAGATGTGGCCTGGCTGCTTCTAACAGCATATGCTCCTATGCATAAGCAAAGAAATGACCTGAAACTGGAAGTTATATTTAAAAGGGAAACAGAGGATAAAAGTTTAGAAAATTTGCACCCTGGCCATGTGGTAGAAAAAAAAAAAGAGAAGTCAAATGCTAATATCACAGACAATGAGAAAAAAGGCCTTGAAGGCATTTAGAGATCTACAGGGATGCCCTTCCCATCACAGGTCCAGAGGTTTTGGAGGAAAGAATGGCTTCATGGGCAAAGCCAGGGGCCCCACTGTGCTGTGCAGCCTTGGGACACTGTTGCCTCCTTCCCAGTCACTCCAGCTCCAGCCCTAGCTAAAGGGGGGGCAGATGCATTTCACATTGCTGCTTTAGAGGTTGCAAGCCATAAGCCTTGGTGGCTTCCACATGGTGTTAAGCCTGCAGGCACACAGAGTGCAAGTGTTGAGGCTTGGGAGCCTCCACCTAGATTTCAGCAGATGTATTGAAAAGCCTGGATGTCTAGGCACAAGCGTGCTGCAAGGGCAGAGTCCTCATGGAGAACCTCTATTAGGACAGTGCAAAGGGGAAATGTGGGGTTGGAGCCCACACACAGAGTCCCCACTGGGGCACTGCCTAATGGAGCTATGAGCAGAAGGCCACAATCCTCTTGACTCCGTATGGTAGACCAACTGGCAGCTTGCATCCTACACCTGGAAAAGTCATAGGCATTCAAAGCCAGTCCATGAGAGCAGAAGTGGGGACTGAATCCTGGAAAGTCACAGGGGTAGAGCTGCCCAAGACCATGGGAGCCCACACTTTGAATCAGCATACCCTGGATGTGGGATATGGAGTCAAAGGAGATTATTTGGGACCTTTAAGATTTAATGACTGGGAGGGGAGGAGCCAAGATGGCCGAATAGGAACAGCTCCAGTCTACAGCTCCGAGCATGAGCAATGCAGAAGACGGGTGATTTCTGCATTTCCAACTGAGGTACCGGGTTCATCTCACTGTGGAGTGCCAGATAGTAGGTGCAGGACAGTGGGTGCAGTACACTGTGCATGAGCCGAAACAGGGTGAGGCATCGCCTCACCCAGGAAGCACAAGGGGTCAGGGAATTCCCTTTCCTAGTCAAAGAAAGCAGAGAGAGATGGCACCTGGAAAATTGGGTCACTCCCAACCTAATACTGCGATTTTCCTACAGGCTTAAAAAAACGGCACACCAGGAGATTATATCCCGCACATGGTTCAGAGGGTCCTACGCTGACGGAGTCTTGCTCATTGCTACCCCAGCAGTCTGAGATCAAACTGCAAGGTGGCAGCAAGGCTGGGGGAGGGGGGCCCGCCATTGCCGAGTTAGTTGTTTGATTAGGTAAACAAAGCAGCCGGGAAGCTCAAACTGGGTGGAGCCCACCACAGCTCAAGGAGGCCTGCTTGTCTCTTTAGGCTCCACCTCTGAAGGCAGGGCACAGACAAACAAAAAGACAGCAGTAACGTCTGCAGACTTAAATGTCCCTCTCTGACAGCTCTGAAGAGAGTAGTGGTTCTCCCAGCACGCAGCTTGAGATCTGAGAATGGGCAGACTGCCTCCTCAAGTGGGTCCCTAACCCCCAAGTAGCCTAACTGGGAGGCACACCCCAATAGGGGAGGACTGACAACTCACACGGCTGGGTACTCCTCTGAGACAAAACTTCCAGAGGAAGGATCAGGCAGCAGCATCTGCAGTTCACCAATATCTGCTGTTCTGCAGCCACCGCTGCTGATACCCAGGCAAACAGTGTCTGGAGTGGACCTCTAGCAAACTCCAACAGACCTGCAGCTGAGGGTCCTGTCTTTTAGAAGGAAAACTAACAAACAGGAAGGACATCCACACCAAAAACCCATTTGTACGTCACCATCATCAAAGACCAAAGGTAGATAAAACCACAAAGATGGGGAAAAAACAGAGCAGAAAAACTGGAAATTCTAAAAATCAGAGCACCTCTCCTCCTCCAAAGGAATGCAGCTCCTCACCAGTAATGGAACAAAGCTGGACAGACAATGACTTTGATGAGTTGAGAGGAGAAGGCTTCAGACGATCAAACTACCCCAAGCTACAGGAGGAAATTCGAACCAATGGCAAAGAAGTTAACAGCTTTGAAAAAAAATTAGATGAATGGATAACTAGAATAACCAATGCAAAGAAGTCCTTAAAGGACCTGATAGAGCCGAAACCAAGGCACGAGAGCTATGTGACGAATGCACAAGCCTCAGTAGCCAATGCAATCAACTGAAAGAAAGGGTATCAGTGATGGAAGATCAAATGAATGAATGAAGCGAGAAGAGAAGTTTAGAGAAAAAAGAATAAAAAGAAACAAAGCCTCCAAGAAATATGGGACTAAGTGAAAAGACCAAATCTACGTCTGATTGGTGTACCTGAAAGTGACAGGGAGAATGGAACCAAGTTGGAAAACACTCGGCAGGATATTATCCAGGAGAACTTCCCCAATCTAGCAAGGCAGGCCAACATTCAAATTCACGAAATACAGAGAATGCCACAAAGATACTCCTCGAGAAGAGCAACTCCAAGACACATAATTGTCAGATTCACCAAAGTTGAAATGAAGGAAAAAATGTTAAGGGCAGCCAGAGACAAAGATCAGGTTACCCACAAAGGGAAGCCCATCAGACTAACAGCTGATCTCTTGGCAGAAACTCTACAAGCCAGAAGAGAGGGGGGACCAATATTCAACATTCTTAAAGAAAAGAATTTTCAACCCAGAATTTCATATCCAGTCAAACTAAGCTTCATAAGTGAAGGAGAAATAAAATACTTTACAGACAAGCAAATGCTGAGAGATTTTGTCACCACCAGGCCTGCCCTAAAAGAGCTCCTGAAGGAAGCACTAAACATGGAAAGGAAAAACCAGTAACAGCCACTGCAAAAACATGCCAAATTGTAAAGACCATTGAGGCTAGGAAGAAACTGCATCAACTAACGAGCAAAATA
The DNA here is from genome assembly GCF_000001405.40 of Homo sapiens. Taxonomy (NCBI): domain Eukaryota; kingdom Metazoa; phylum Chordata; class Mammalia; order Primates; family Hominidae; genus Homo; species Homo sapiens. The sequence goes on from NC_000002.12 coordinate 186,232,417, forward strand.
ACCAGCTAACATCATAATGACAGGATCAAATTCACACATAACAATATTAACTTTAAATGTAAATGGGCTAAATGCTCCAATTAAAAGACACAGACTGGCAAATTGGATAAAGAGTCAAGACCCATCAGTGTGCTGTATTCAGGAAACCCATCTCACGTGCAGAGACACACATAGGCTCAAAATAAAAGGATGGAGGAAGATCTACCAAGCAAATGGAAAACAAAAAAAGGCAGGGGTTTCAATCCTAGTCTCTGATAAAACAGACTTTAAACCAACAAAGATCAAAAGAGACAAAGAAGGCCATTACATAATGGTAAAGGGATCAATTCAACAAGAAGAGCTAACTATCCCAAATATATATGAACCCAATACAGGAGCACCCAGATCCATAAAGCAAGTCCTTAGAGACCTACAAAGAGACTTAGACTCCCATCCAATAATAATGGGAGACTTTAACACCCCACTGTCAACATTAGACAGATCAACAAGACAGAAAGTTAACAAGGATACCCAGGAATTGAACTCAGCTCTGCACCAAGTGGACCTAATACACATCTACAGAACTCTTCACCCCAAATCAACAGAATATACATTCTTTTCAGCACCACACCACACCTACTTCAAAACTGACCACATAGTTGGAAGTAAAGCAAATGTAAAAGAATATAAATTATAACAAACTGTCTCTCAGACCACAATGCAATCAAACTAGAACTCAGGATTAAGAAACTCACTCAAAACCACTCAACTACATGGAAACTGAACAACCTGCTCCTGAATGACTACTGGGTACATAACGAAATAAAGGCAGAAATAAAGATGGTCTTTGAAACCAATGAGAACAAAGACACAACATACCAGAATCTCTGGGACACATTCAAAGCAGCGTGTAGAGGGAAATTTATAGCACTAAATGCTGACAAGACAAAGCAGGAAAGATCCAAAATTGACACCCTAAGATCACAATTAAAAGAACTAGAAAAGCAAGAGCAAACACATTCAAAAGCTAGCAGAAGGCAAGAAATAACTAAGATCAGAGCAGAACTGAAGGAGATAGACACAAAAAACCCTTCAAAAAATTAATGAATCTAGGAGCTGGTTTTTTGAAAAGATCAACAAAATTGACAGACCGCTAGCAAGACTAACAAAGAAGAAAAGAGAGAAGAATCAAATAGACACAATAAAAAATGATAAAGGAGATATCACCACCGATCCCACAGAAACACAAACTACCATCAGAGAATACTATAAACACCTCTACACAAATAAACTAGAAAATCTAGAAGAAATTGATAAATTCCTCGACACATACATCCTCCCAAGACTAAACCAGGAAGAAGTTGAATCTCTGAATAGACCAATAACAGGCTCTGGAATTGAGGCAATAATCAATAGCTTCCCAACCAAAAAAAGTCCAGGACCAGATGGATTCACAGCCGAATTCTACCAGAGGTACAAAGAGGAGCTGGTACCATTCCTTCTGAAACTATTCCAATTAAAAGAAAAAGAGGGAATCCTCCCTAACTCATTTTATGAGGCCAGCATCATCCTGATATCAAAGCTGGGCAGAGACACAACCAAAAAAGAGAATTTTAGACCAATATCCTTGATGAACATTGATGCGAAAATCCTCAATAAAATACTGGCAAACTGAATCCAGCAGCACATCAAAAAGCTTATCTACCATGATCAAGTGGGCTTCATGCCTGCAACGCAAGGCTGGTACAACATATGCAAATTCAGTAGATGTAATCCAACATATGAACAGAACCAAAGACAAAAATCACATGATTATCTCAATAGATGCAGAAAAGGCCTTTGACAAAATTCAACAACCCTTCATGCTAAAAACTCTCAATAAATTAGGTATTGATGGGACGTATCTTAAAATAATAAGAGCTATCTATGACAAACCCACAGCCAATATCATACTGAATGGGCAAAAAATGGAAGCATTCTCTTCGAAAATAGGCACAAGACAGGGATGCCCTCTCTCACCAATCCAATTCAACATAATGTTGGAAGTTCTGGCCAGGGAAATCAGGCAGAAGGAAATAAAGGGTATTCAATTAGGAAAAGAGGAAGTCAAATTGTCCCTGTTTGCGGATGACATGATTGTATATCTAGAAAACCCCATTGTCTCAGCCCAAAATCTCCTCAAGCTGATAAGCAACTTCAGCAAAGTCTCAGGATACAAAATCAATGTACAAAAATCACAAGCATTCTTATACACCAATAACAGACAAACAGAGAGCCAAATCATGAGTGAACTCCCATTCACAATTGCTTCAAAGAGAATAAAACACCTAGGAATCCAACTTACAAGGGATGTGAAGGACCTCTTCAAGGAGAACTACAAACCACTGCTCAACGAAATAAAAGAGGATACAAACAAATGGAAGAACACTCCATGCTCATGGGTAGGAAGAATCAATATCATGAAAATGGCCATACTGCCCAAGGTAATTTATAGATTCAATGCCATCCCCATCAAGTTACCAATGACTTTCTTCACAGAATTGGAAGAAACTACTTTAAAGTTCATATGGAACCAAAAAAGAGCCCACATCGCCAAGTCAATCCTAAGCCAAAAGAACAAAGCTGGAGGCATCACGCTACCTGACTTCAAAATATACTATAAGGCTACAGTAACCAAAACAGCATGGAACTGGCACCAAAACAGAGATATAGATTAATAGAACAGAAGAGAACCCTCAGAAATAATGCCACATATCTACAACTATCTGATCTTTGACAAACCTGAGAAAAACAAGCAACGGGGAAATGACTCCCTATTTAACAAATAGTGCTGGGAAAACTGGCTAGCCATATGTGGAAAGCTGAAACTGGATCCCTTCCTTACACCTTATACAAAAATTAATTCAAGATGGATTAAAGACTTAAATGTTAGACCTAAAACCATAAAAACCCTAGAAGAACACCTAGCCAATACCATTCAGGACATAGGCATGGGCAAGTACTTCATGTCTAAAACACCAAAAGCAATGGCAACAAAAGACAAAATTGACAAATGGGATCTAATTAAACCAAAGAGCTTCCGCACAGCAAAAGAAACTACCATCAGAGTCAACAGGCAACCTACAGAATGGGAGAAAATTTTTTGCAACCTACTCATCTGACAAAGGGCTAATATCCAGAATCTACAATGAACTCAAACAAATTTACAAGAAAACAACAAACAACCCCATCAAAAACTGGGTGAAGGATATGAACAGACACTTCTCACAAGAAGACATTTATGCAGCCAAAAAACACATGAAAAAATGCTCACCATCACTGGCCATCAGAGAAATGCAAATCAAAACCACAATGAGATACCATCTCACACCAGTTAGAATGGCAATCATTAAAAAGTCAGGAAACAACAGCTGCTGGAGAGGATGTGGAGAAACAGGAACACTTTTACACTGGTGGTGGGACTGTAAACTAGTTCAACTATTGTAGAAGACAGTGTGGCGATTCCTCAAGGATCTAGAACTAGAAATACCATTTGACCCAGCAATCCCATTACTGGGTATATACCCAAAGGATTATAAATCATGCTGCTGTAAAGACATATGCACACGTATGTTTATAGCGGCACTATTCACAATAGCAAAGACTTGGAACCAACCTAAATGTCCAACAACGATAGACTGGATTAAGAAAATGTGGCACATATATACAATGAAATACTATGCAGCCATAAAAAATGATGAGTTCATGTACTTTGTAGGGACATGGATGAAACTGGAAACCATCATTCTCAGCAAACTATCGCAAGGACAAAAAACCAAACACTGCATGTTCTCACTCATAGGTGGGAATTGAACAATGAGAACACATGGACACAGGAAGGGGAACATCACACACCGGGGACTGTTGTGGGGTGGGGGGAGGGGGGAGGGATAACATTAGGAGAGATACCTAATGGTAAATGATGAGTTAATGGGTGCAGCACACCAACATGGCACATGTAAACATATGTAACAAACTTGCACGTTGTGCACATGTACCCTAAAACTTAAAGTATAATAGTAATAAAATTTAAAAAAAAGATTTAATGACTGCCCTGCTGGGCTTCAGACTCGCATAGGACCTGTAGCTCATTTCTTTTGGCTGATTTCTCACTTTTGGAATGGGAGTATTTGCGCAATGCCTATATGCCCATTGCATCTTGGAAGTAACTAACTTTGTTGTTGTTGTTGTTGTTGTTGTTGTTGTTGTCGTCGTCATCGTTGTTGTTTGTACAGGCTCTTTGGCAGAAGGGACTATATTTCAGATAAGACTTTAGGCTGTGGACATTTTAGCTAACGCTGGAATGAGTTAAGACTTTGGAAGACTGTTGGGAAGGCATGATTATATTTTGAAATGTGAGAAGAACATGAGATTTAGGAGGGGCCACTACATCTGTGTCCCCATCTAAATCTCAAGTTGAAATTTAATCCCCAGTGCTGGAGATGGTGCCTGGTGGAATGTAATTGGATCATGGGGGTGGATTTTCCCTCGGTACTCTGTTGCAATAGTGAGTGAGCTCTTGTGTGATCTGGTTGTTTAAAATTGTATAGCACCTCTCCTCTCTCTCTCTCTTCCTCCTGCTCCAGCCAGGTAAGATGTGCCTGCTTCCCCTTGCCTTCTGCTGTGTTTGTAAGTCTCCTGAGGCCTCCATGAAGCAGATGCCATACTTCATGTACAGCATGTGGAACTGTGAGCCAGTTAAACCTCTTTTCTTTATAAATCACTGAATCTGAGATTTTTTTTATAGAAGTGCAAGAAAGAACTAACACAAAGACTGCTGGAATAAAGTAGAGAATCCAGAAATAAATCTGTACACCTATGACGAAATCATTTTTGACAAAGGTGCCAAAAACATACAATGAGGAAAAAACCATTTTTTCTATAAATTTTTCTGGGAAAACTAGATATCCATATGCAGAAGAATAAAACTAGACCCCTACATCTCACCATAAATATCAAATCAGAATGGATTGAAGACTAAAATCTAAGACCTCAAATTATGAAACTACTACAAGAAAACATTGTGAAGAATCTCCAGGACATTGGTTTGGGCAAAGATTTCTTGAGTAATACCTCACAACCACAGACAATCAAACCTGAAATGAACAAATGGGATCAAGTCAAGTTAAAAAACCTCATGCACAACAAAGAAAACAATCAACAAAATGAAGAGACAGCCAACATAATAGAAGAAAATATTAGCAAACTATCAATCTGACACTATTATATACATAAGGAGAATATATATATATAATATATATAAGGAGAATATATATGTTATATATATATTATATATATTATATATATAAGGAGAATATATATATTTTATATATATAATTATATATAATATATATAAGGAGAATATATATATTTTATATATATAATTATATATAATATATATAAGGAGAATATATATAATATATATATATATAAAACCAGAATATAGAAGGAGCTCAAACAATTCAATTTTTAAAAGTCCAGTAATCCTATTAAAAGATGGGCAAATATCTTAATAGACACTTCTCAAAAGAAGACTTACAAATGGCAAACAGGTATATCAAATGGTGCTCAACAGCATTGACAATCAGAGAAATGCAAATCAAAACTACAATGAGATATCATCTGACCCCAGTTAAAACTCTTTTTATGCAAAAGATAGGCAATAATGAATGCCAGTGAAGATGTGGAGAAACATGAGCCCTCATTCACTGTTGGTAGAAATGTAAATTAGTATAGCCACTACAGAGAGCACTATGAAAGTTCCTCAAAAAACTAAAACATAAACTGCCATATGCTCCAGGAATCCCACTACTAGGTTATGTCCCCAAAAGATCAGTACATCATATAGATACCTGTACTTGTATGTTTATTGCAGCACTATTCACATACGCCAAGATTTGGAATCAAAGTTAGTGTCTATCAACAGAAGAATAAATAAAATGTGGAGTACTATTCAGTTATTAAAATAATGAAAGCCTATCAACTGCAGTAATACAAATGGAATTTGACAAGATTATTTTAAGTGAAATTAGCCAGGCACAGAAAGATAATCCTTACAATTTTTCACTCATCTGTGGAACCTAAAAATTAAAACAATTAAACTCGTGGAGATAGAGAGTAGAATAAACGTTACCAGAGTCTAGGAAAGGTGGAGCAGGAGGAATGGGGATGGTTAATAGGTACAAAAATATACTTAGAATGAATAAGATCTAGCATTTGATAGCACAACAAGATGACTACAGTCAGCAGTAATTTGTTGTACATTTAAGAATAACTGAGGGAGGACAGTTGGAAAGTTCATAATACAAAGAAAGGATGAATGCTTGAGGTGATGGATACCCCATTTTCCCTGATGTGATTATTACACATTGTATACCTGCATCAAGATATTTCATGTACCCCATAAATATATACACCTACTGTATACCCATAAAAACTAAAATGAAAAGAAGTTAAAGAAAATAAATCCTGCAATTTGTGACAACATACATGAACCTAGAAGATATTATGCTAAGTAAAAGAAACAAAAAGATACTGCATAATTACACATATATGTGAAATCTTAAATACAGTCAAATTCATAGAAACAGAGAGTAGAATGGTGATTATGACAGTGAGGGTGGGGAAAAGGGAAGTGTTGACTAAAATCAACAATAATTTATTGTACATTTTGACATAAATAAAAGTATAATTGAAATGTTTATAACACAAAGAAATGATAAATGTATGAAGTGATGAATACCCCACTTAAAAAAAATGCTACCAACAAAAATATAAACCTCACACCAGGAGGATTCACAGCCAGATTCTATTAGATATATATAAAGAAAGACATGGTACCAAATCTAAGAAACTATTCCAAAAATCGAGGAGGAGGAATTAAAGATTTAAATGTAAGACTTTGAACTACAGGAATCATAGAGGAAAACCTAGGAAGCACCATTCTGGATATTGGCCTTAGGAAAGAAGTTAAAACTAAATCCTCAAAAGCAATTACCAAAAAAACAAAAAAAAAAAAACAAAAAAAAAAAAACGAGGGACCTAATTAAACTAAAGAGCTTCTGTACAGCAAAAGAAACTAACAGAGTAAACTGACAACCTACAGAATGGTAGAAAATTTTTGCCAACTACGAATTCAACAAAGTTCTATTATCCAGAATCTATAAGAATCTTAATTCAATAAGCAAAAAACAAAAATCCCATTAAAAAGTGGGCAAAAGATATAAACAGACACTTCTCAAAAGAAGACATACAAACCAGCAACAAAAATGTGAAAAAATGTGCATCATCGCTAACCATCAGAGAAATACAAATCAAAACCATAGTGAGATACATTCTCACACCTATCAGAATGGCTATTACTAAAAAGTCAAAAAAGCAACAGATGTTGACAAGGCAGCAGGGCACAAGGAACACTTCTACACTGTTGGTGGGAATGTAAAGCAGTTTAGCCACTGTGGAAAGCAGTTTAAATATTTTTCAAAGAACAGTACTGTTTGACCCAGCAATTCTATTACTGAGTATGTAGCCAAAGGAATATAAATCATTCTACCAAAAAGAAACATGCACTCATGTTCATCACAGCACTATTCACAATAGCAAAAACATGAAATCAACCTATGTACCCATCAATGGTGGATTAAATAAAGAAAATGTGGTCCATATACACTATGGAATACTATGCAGCCATTTAAAAAGTACAAAATCACATCCTTTGCAGCATTATGGATGCAGCTGGAGGCCATCATCTTAAGCAAATTAATGCAGAATCAGAAAACCAAATGCCACATGTTCTCACTTATAAGTGGGAGTTAACATTAGAACTCATGGACATAAAGATGGCAACAACAGACACTGGGGACCACAAGAGGTGGGAGGAAGGGAGGGGGACAAGAATTGAAAAACTTCTTGGGTACTATGCACATTACCTGGGTGATGCGATCAATACTACTCCAAACCTCAGCATCATGCAATATACCCAGATAACAAACCTGCACATGTACCCCAGAATCTAAAATAAAATTTGAAATTATAAAAAATAAATATAATAAAAAATGCAACATGTCATGCTCCTTGTTGGGTTATTCTATTTGCAAAGTTGAAGAGTTCCCAAGACTACTGTCATTCTGACACCAAATGCCAAGTTCAGTGTTCCCCAAATAATCCTCACTCTGGTGCCTATTATAAGTTCAGGGGTCCTCCAGACCACCCTTATTCTTGATAATTTGCTGGAATTCACTGTGAAAGCTGTTGTACTAATGGTCATGGATTATTACAGTGAAAGGATACAGATTAAAATCAGCCATGGGAGGTGGCACAAAAGACAGAGTCCAAACAAGTTCCACATGTGGAATTTCCAGGTGTTCTTTCGCAGTGAGGTTATGGATAGTGCTACCTTCTCCAGGCTATCACATGTGACCATACTCAAGGAGTATTGCCAATTAGAGAAGCTCAAGCAAGCCTTGATGTTCAGAGTTTCTATTGGCACTTGGTCACATAGATATGGTTGACACCACATGACTGACCTTTAGTCTCTAGCCCTTCCAGAAGTCGAGTTGATACTACATGGTCCAAAACCCACATTATATATCACATTGTGAGATTATCCAACGTGACCCAAGGCCTTTAACTAAACAGACACTCTTTTCAGGCAGGTCAATCCAAGGCTTAGCGATTACCTTCCAGGAACAAAAAACAAAGGTTACATATCTTTCTTTAGGTATGATTAATTCTTTACTAATGTTGTGGTTCAGGAACCAATACTCCAAAATATGACATGTTGACATGGTGAACGGAAGAAGCCTCAAGTTTTCTGATCTTCTTCCCACTACCATCTTTCCCAAAACCTTTATCTGCCTAAGCTCTAGACTCACGAAAAGAAATAATTGTTTCTTCTTCCCCTTCCTATACAACCAAGATTGTAACCACACCTGAACAGACCCTTTAACTGTCAAAGAGAACTATTTACAAGTTAATCTGTCTTCCAGGATCCATTCATTCTCCCCAGTAATCCTCTCAACAGAATTTTCTTCTCCTTACTACCATAACCTGTTTTACTAGGATGGTATAAAAGCTTCTGACCCGGCCGCGCGTGGTGGCTCACGCCTGTAATCCCAGCACTTTGGGAGGCCGAGGCAGGCAGATCACAAGGTCAGGAGATCGAGACCATCCTGGCTAACACAGCAAAACCCCGTCTCTACTAAAAATAAAAAATAAATAAATAAATAAAAAATTAGCCTGGCGTGGTGACGGGCGCCCGTAGTCCCAGCTACTTAGGAGGCTGAGGTGGGAGAATGGCGTGAACCCAGGAGGCGGAGCTTGCAGTGAGCCGAGATTGCACCACTGCACTCCAGCCTGGGCAACAGAGCGAGACTGTCTCAAAAAAAAAAAAAAAAAAAAGCTTCTGAACCGCTTAAGGATGGGCACTCACTCTATGATTCTCCCCAAGCACGCGTTGTGCACATATCTTAAATTTATATGCTTTTTCCTCTTATTAATCTGCCTCATGTCAGCGATTTTCACTGAATCTTCAGAGGGCCAAGGCTATTGACCCCTACACTACATAGCACCTTTCAAGTGATAGAGTACAAAACATAATCATCAGTAGTGTTGGCTGACAATTCCTCAAAAGACCACTAGGAAAAATGTTACCTGGCAAAGCTAAACTTATTAGACCTAACATAGTAAGGGACTATTGCACTGACCTAATATATACAGTTTTAGGGTCTGAGATCAAGTAGTTTAAGGCTGGTCTTTCAAGGCAGGAAACTGATTTGAATTGGGCGAAGTCCACTATGTAGTAGATTTGGATTTGTGGACACAGGAAGAGCACATTGTGAACATATGTGCTCTTCCTGTGAAGATGAAGCACATCTTCATAAGTCAACTAATTTTTTATTATGTTTGCTGTTTGCCCAAGCAGGCAATCTTTTCCTAGGCAGGAATTTTTTGAAACAAATATTTAGTCATGTTGACACATGTGATCTCACCTCTCACTTACAGATGTTTAGCTGCATGAATGCATATGGTCTCAATTTTCAATGGTAAGAACAGAATTTCTAAGCTTTTTCTTTTTTTTTTTTTTTTTTTTTTGAAACAGAGTCTCGCTCAGTCACCAGGCTGGAGTGCAGTGGTGTGATCTCAGCTCACTGCAACCTCCACCTCCCAGGTTCAAGCTATTCTCCTGCCTCAGCCTCCTGAGTAGCTAAGACTACAGGTGCATGCCACCATGCCCAGCTATTTCTTTTTTTTTTTTTTTTTTGTAGAGACAGGGTTTCACCACATTGGCCAGGATGGTCTTGATCTCTTGACCTTGTGATCCACCCACCTCGGCCTCCCAAAGTGCTGGGATTACAGACATGAGCCACAGCACCGAGCCTCTAAGCTCGTTTTTAAGTCTTATAGAAAACTAGTATTACAGAATACCATGTTAGGCTGCTGGTGTCTGTGACGTGTTTGAGTTGTCAGAGCCAGTTGAGGTTGTTTTCCTAAAACTTTTAGCTATTCTGTTAAAGCATAAATGGTTGAGACTTCTAAAGCTCCTGAGACTTGGTCTCCTTATCTTCAACATGGAAAAGCACTTCTATTGAAGTATTGTACAAAATCAAATAGCCACTAAGTGACAAAACTGTGCTGCAAACTCAATCTGTTGGACTACTAAGCCTTCCACCACACCACCTTGCCCTACATATTCTCAACTTTTTGTTGAAATAACTGAAATCTTAAATAAAATAATATATATGAAAGCACTTTCTAGAACATAGCACATTGTGGGTAATAGGCATCAGTATGTATTAATGTCCTTAATTTGTGAGGATTATTGTTCTCCTACATAATTTCAATGACAAAGAAAAAAGGATCTAAATAATAGAAGATATCTAAGTCAAACCCATCACAAACATTCTGAGTTCTTCTCTCCTCCTTGCAATTTAAATAATACACATCTATTATTAGTAGAGAGGTAGGAGTGGCAGTAAGGTATAAGGACACAAAATGTTCTTTGGAATCTAGGATTTAAAAGGCAAGAATTTAAGAACTTCTGCACATATGTTTAATGTTCAAATACTTTGATAAACTGTGAATACAGCTTTTGTGTTTCTATTAGTTGACTTTTGTTCCGTTATCACCCACAATTCCAGAAGAATTCTCTGTCACCAGCAAATGAGTTAAGTATTCTTTTGCAGTTAACTTACAAGTCAAACTCAAAGCTCTATGTTAAAGTAACAGTGAAAGCATTTGTCCTTGAACCTCTTATATTGGGTGACAGCAAGAAAGCATGGAAAGAGGATATAAAGTGAAACTGAAAACAAGCAAGATTGCTAATAGTGAATGGATAGATCCTGGCATTATCATTTATTTCAATGGCAACAGCCCAATGTTCTTACAATTTCATGTCTTACATAGAAAAAGCTTGGAAAAGTTGCTGTAAATAAGGCTAGATTGTTCATTAAATGTGCATTTATTTAAACAAATGTTCCCAAGCTCAGCTACTAAATTTACATATTTTTGCAGGAATACTTCACTATTTCACCAACTCACTACCAGGATTCGGAAAGTTGGCGCATTTTCTTTACCTGGAGAATATTAAAGCATCATCCTTAATAAGCTTGTTCTGGTCTTCAGGTACCTCCCATTCTTGTAAATATTGACTGCTCCTTTAACATGGCAGTAACATTTACGGAAGTGTCAAATTTAGACTGATGCTTGATGGGGGAATAAATAAAACTTTAGACTAAGTCAGTTAAGACTGCTGTCAGCTGCATTTAATAGGAACTTTACTGTGGTATTATTCATTTGTAACAAAAGGTTCATTGGTGAGCAATTCAGGACCAGTAAGGCTAAGGAGTCACTGAGGACCCAGTTCCTTATAACTTACTGTTATATCATCCTTACGATGAGGCTTCTATTCTTATGATTGTAAGATGGCTATTCCATTTTAAGATATCATATCACATCCCAAGCAGGAAGCAGGGGAAGGATGATGGGCAAAAAGCAAAAGGTACACACTAGCTGAGTATGGACCATTTCCAAATATTCCCTGACATTTCACCCAGCAGTTTTTCCTTATAGTCATAGCATCCAAACTCTGTGTCAAGTTACCTAATGGTACCCTAGCGAATTCACGGGGAAGGAGGGGTGGTGACAGGATATTTTAAATTTTTGAGGAAAACATGGTAATATTCAACATTTAATAAGACACTGCGTGAACTACTAGCTTGAGAAAATTCAGTTTTAACATTTGTTTTTACCAGGTTGAAATGAAGTATCTTAGGAAAACTGCATTTTTAGTGAATACTATTGTATAAAAAATGCAAGTACCATGTGAAAATCAATATAGAACAGGTTATGAGGATAGTGGCGTCCAATTTGATTCCAAGACTTGAAAAGTTGCACACCAAAGGACCATCTTTTCCAAAGATGACATACGTGTGGCCAAGAAACATATGAAAAAAGCTCTACATTACTGATCATGAAGAAATGCAAATCACACTAGTCAGAACAGCTATTATTAAAAAGTCAAAAGATAACATGCTGGTGAGGTTGTTGAGAAAAAGAATGCCTTATACACTCTTGGTGGGAGTGTAAATTAGGTCAACTATTGTGGAAGACAGTGTGGTGATTCCCCGAAGACATAAAGACAGAAATATCATTTGATCCAGCAATCCCATTACTGGGCCTAAACCCAAAGGAATATTAGACATTACATTATAAAGACACATGCACGTGTATGTTCATTGCAGCACTATTTACAATAGCAAAGACATAGAATCAACCTAAATGCCCATCAATGATAGAATGGATAAAGAAAATGTGGTACATATAATACACCATGGACTACCACACAGCCATAAAAAAGAATAAAACCATGTCCTTTGCAGGGACATAGATAGAGCTGGAGGCCATTATCCTTAGCAAACACAAGAACAGAAAACCAAACACCGCATGTTCTCATTTATAAGTGGGAGCTAATTGATGAGAACACACAAACACATAGAGAGAAACAACTTACACTGGGGCCTACTTGAAGGTAGAGAGAGGGAGGAGGCAGTGGATCGGAAAAATAGTAATGAGTACTAGGCTTAATACCTGCGTGATGAAATAATAAATACAACAAACCTCCATGACACAAGTTTACCTAGGTAACACACCTGCACATGTACCCCTGAACTTAAATTTTTTTAAAAAAAGAAAAGTTATGTCACATTCACGTCACTAACTTCTAATAGGTAATTTTGGTTGGTAAAGACTGAAATTAAAATAGGTTTTTGTCAATTTATATATATTAGTTCTTCAAATGGCTGCTGCTAGCTTGTTAGAATAGAGATAAGTATTAAGTGATTTGAATTAAACCACTTAATACAACTGTTAGGATTTCTTTTGGTTTAAGGGTGCCATAAAAAATTACTGAGGCACTAAAAGCAGTGACAAAGAAAGTTTGGTAAATGCTGCCTTATACCTTTAGCCATCTCTAGCTGCAGGAAAAGTGGGAAGGTTAGAACTTTTGTTAGACACAAAACCAGAGTTCTGCTAATAAGGAAAAAGGAGATAATTAATATTAAGCAGGCAGCAAGCAATGCCTGCCACACAGATCAAAATTTTAATGCTACAGTTAATTTTTTTATTTTTATAACATTTTATTTCCAAGTCCAAGCAAATGACAATTCAATAATTTGAAAAAATATGATAAATTAGCAGTCAATGCTCATGCTTGCTATTTACATATTTGAATACATTTTTTTCTGTATTTTCAAAAGTCAACATCACTTAATTAGTTTGTTATTATATATTAGTTAATATGTTATGATTCTTAAGTTATGTGAAGTATGTTAATTTTCACTATCACTTACAAAGGATCAAATAATTGAGGGTTAAATCAAGTGCATTTATGGAGTTTCATTAACATTTGCCAAAATTGCATCCCAATAATTAAGAGAGTCAGTTCAGCTTTCCAAACTCAACAAAGGAAGTAATTTAGAAATCAGAAATTTAAGATTCTATATCTAGTATTGAAAAAAGTTTAAGTGGTTAGTGAAAGAGCTTAAAATTGGCATTCATATATGTTAAATTCATTCTCTGTCAATAACCTGGGGCTATATTGAGTTAAGGGAGGCAATAACTACCAAGGAATAGAGTTCTTGAGGACTCTATGTTACCATACCATATATATTGTATAATGACAATTGTAATGCAAGTACATAAAAGAAATAACCAAGTAGTACTTAAGGAACTAAAACACCCATCCTAAATTTTACTTCGGCAAATTGATATTCATTTAGATTACAGAACATTAGTATAATGCGTTTCTTTGTAATCACACCCAGAATTACTTAGACTGTAAAATATACAATGACTACATCAGGCTGAAGACTACAGCCAAAACATAAAATACATAGAGTAACTAGCATATTTAAGAAAAAAAAATACCCTTGATAAATTTGACAGAAACTTTATTCCAAGCCAAAATTTGTTACCTAAGTCTATAAAAACTGATTGATGTATGGTACACTTTATGATGTGAATTGAATCTCCTCTCCTCCAAATATAAAAGAAAATTTAAAAAAGGTAAAAAGATAAACTCAGACTGGAAAACCCATTATATCTGGAAGGCTCTGATTATCCATATTGTTTGATTAATATAATGTGGAGTTATTAATACTAATAATCCACACCTTTAAATATCCAGCTTTCAGATTAAACCAACGTCACTGTGGTGAAAGACCTGAAATAAGTATTATGTGCCTCTCTGACATCTAAGCCTGGGAAGGACTAGCTACTCAGGAGGCTGAGGCAGGAGAATCATTTAAGCTCAGGAGTTTGAGGTTACAGTTATGATCATGCCACTGCACTCCAGCCTGGGTGACAGAGCAAGACTCTGTCTCTAAAAAAAATAAAAATAAAAATAATGAAATAATTAAAAAATAATGTCTTTATATGTTACTTGGTACAATGCAATTTTTGGACGCAAATTTAAAAGTCAGTCACTAAAATTGCATGGCAGGACTTACAGGTGAGATCCAGCTAGTGCAGAAACTGCATTTATTAAAATTTTTCATTATAAACATTTTGAAAACTATGCTGGGGGATGTACGGACACCTGGCTTAGCTCTTCCTAGTAATACTAGGAATCAAAAATTATTATCTCAACTTCAGTATGTACTAATAAAATAAAGTATAAAAACTACTAATCAAAACAAATTTAAAAATTAATATTAAAAACTGAACTTGAAAACAAATTCCATTTCAATTTGATATAAATTATACTAAAGCTTAATTATATATAAAACAAATTTCCTAAGTCTATTTAGCAAAATAACAAAAATAACTTAGCCACTTCCTCCAGAAAATACTTCTTCCAGTAAGATAAAATTGTAAGCCATCTAAAACAGCTTATTTATCAAGATTAACAGCTAGTTCATCAAGACTATTCTGATAACAGTTTGCTCATTAAGATATGCATCTAATCCCTCACCCTATTGTGCCTGCCAATTTAAAGCTATTAGATTGGTATATTATAAACTTTCCCAGTCTGACTCAGTTCCCCAAGTTGTAAAGCCTACCTTTTCAAATCACCCGATTCAGGCCCAAAGATTCTATGTTTTCTTTCCTAAATGACTCCCTTTTTATATGCTGCTAAGACCCTGTCAATGTAGTGTTGTCTGTGTTGCAATAAGTACAATAAACTTTTTCAACAGTTTTTTTTCTGGAGATCTTTATGGGGGCTTTTTGCATAATTTTACAAGAAAGGAAATTGAGACCCAAAGAGGTTACACATAATAAAAAGCAGAGTAAGATAACCTGTAAAGTTAAGCTCTTAAATAATTCTACTGTCCCTCTGAAATTAATGGGAACAACATTAAAGCATCTAAAGGCATGATTCCATGCATAAACTCCAGTAACTATGTACTTTGTTATTGGGGTGATCATATAATTAACCATCTCAGCTGGGACATTTTAAGAGTGAAGAGAATTGGTAATTCTATTGAGACATAGCATGTACCAGATCTGAAGCTAGCAAACTAAAATATATGGTCATCATCTCTCTCTCACACATTTTTAAGCCCAAAGAGAATGATTTCTAAAAATCTCTAGCCATGAGACAAATAAGGCAGAAGTGCAGAAAAGAAATAAAAAATATTTATAAAGCATGGAAAATATTTTGATACATCACAAATAGTTACTTTTCAATTTGTCCAAGGGCCAAAATATTTTTTGTAAAAATACATGCACACCCTTTGTTACAATTTGCGAGTTGAACTAAGTATTATATATAAAATAACATCCAAAATATTTAAATTACTTTTAATGAGTCATTCATTGTTCACTTGGTAATGAACATGACTAAAAGGTGATTTCTTTTGGAATTGCCTCATTCTCCTAGGCAAAACATTAGAGATTTTTTCATAGTTCTTCGTTTCTACTAAGTTAAACTTATTTAGAGCCAGGCAAAAAGTGCTGAGAGAACAAAATGTTTCCCCAGTCAGTTGAAAATGTAAGCGCTTGAGTGGTTATTGCGTGAAATAAAACAACAAAAAAAGGAGTATATTGTGATTGGGGAGATGTTAAGGAGTCAAATAAATAATACTTGTTTCTTCCCCTCCTAGGTCTGAAAGCAACTGAGAGATAGACTCAAGTTGCACTCAAAATATCTAGTGAAAAAGATAGGAAAATATGGTTTTGACTTGCACTTTCAGTTAGACCCCCTAATATTTCACCCTGAATAAGACAGACATATCTTGAGGCAAAGGCAGTACTGGGATGTTTTGGGTTTCACCCCCAAAGTCAGGCAGCAAGATCCAAATTCAAGCACCCTGCAGTGGTCAAGCTGAAGAACACAAGAAGCAGAGTGAGAAAAGGAATCAATTGCCCAGTTCTTCTTTTGAAACATAACAAGTAAGTCTCTCTTCCTCGGAGGAATGAATGAAATGGGGAGAAAGAAATGAAGATTAAGCTCCATGAAGTTCCTCCATGTGGAAGCAAAGGCCAGGGATACAGAGGTTTCCCTCTAACAAAATGATGTGTGCAGCCAGGTGCAGTGGCTCATGTCTGTAATCTCGGCACTTTGTGAGGCCAAGGTGGGAGGATCACTTGAGCCCAGGAGTTTGAGACCACTCTGGACAACATGGCGAAACCCTGTCTCTACAAAAAAATACAATAAAATTAGCCAGGAGTGGTGGTGCACACCTGTGGTCCCAGCTACTCGGGAGGCTGAGGTGGGAAGGCTGCTGGAGCCCAGGAAGTTGAGACTCCAGTGAGCCATGATCTGCCACTGAACTCCAGCCTGGATGACAGAGCAAGATCCTGTAAAAAAAAAAAAAAAAAAATAGATAAAAGAAAAGATGTGTGCTTCAATGTTCTTTATAATTTATATTTTACTATTAAGGAAATTCCTAGGAAACACCAACTTACACTAAAATTTGATATTTAAGTAGTTTTAATTTTTATTTCCAGACAAAATTTGGAAAATAATTTTACAAAGGAAATAAATGTTAGTCTACGTGTGTATATATTTTTGTTCTTCTAAGAAACCATTGGCAGAAAGTAAATTCAAGAACTTTCATTGAAACTCCTATAGACTATGAACATAAGAAAATAGCCATATGATTATGAAAAATAATTAAATGTGAAAACAGTATAGATTATATTTCCACAACCATCTGAATGTGGTAGAGAATAGAACTGATAGAATCAAATAAAAATTCCAGAAGATGTAGAATATTTGGCCAGGCCTTAAAATTATAGAGTTTTCAGTAAAGAGTAAAATAAGCTACTTTTGAGAGGAATGTGACCGTATTTACATAGACAGTAATGCTCATGCCTGTAGTACTACCACAGTGGACAAAATTCTGAATAACCTCTTTTGTATTGTTTAACAAATGGTGGTCTAATTTCCATTTCTGGTCCTACAAAGTCTCTCTTCATGTGACAGTTAAACATCAAGAAACTGTAATAGTCCCTGAAACATTGAAGGACACTTTCTGTAAGTGCCAGAATTACTAATGTTTTATGGCCATCATAACACCTTAAGTAGACTCTAGTTTGATTAAATTGGTTCTGTGACTTACCACAGCAATTAACTTAAAGCTAAGTATGATTTTAAGAATAACCTTCTGACTGAATATTGATAACAGGTTTTGAAAATTCAAATTTTTATCAATATTTGGTAAGTAAAATATATTTAAAATCATCCATGCTTGTAATTGTAATTAAATTGGGATAAACTATCCAAATTTCTCAAAATATGGCATTTTGTATAATCTTCATCCCAGGCTTCATCTAAGCATCAAAATAACTAAATTTTGTTGAGCACTAAAGGAAAAATATATTTTGTTAGAGTCTGTTTTTTAGATCCACACTTTTTTACTCCATTAAAGTAATTTCTTCTCAATTGTTGCAATTATTTTGACAAAAATTTGTATTGTATTATAATCACCCAAAGTCATTTCAATATATCAGCTGCTAACAAAAGTTAACGATAATTTAGTATGCACAACTGAACAGTAACAAGTACTGTGTGGTCACTTATTAAAATTACTTCAACATAGTCCTGCTTATGTAACTATGACATAATATTAGAATTATCCCTATAGCAGAAAGTAAGATAAATATCAAATTTCACATTGAAGTTAAAAACTTGTTTTCTACTTCTTAATTTCATTTTTATATCAGGATTGTTCCCTCATTCAGAGAATGATGTTATTTTGTTGCTATAGTAATTAGGAGAGGGTATTAGATTAATAGAGTTCCATTTTCAGTAATACTCCAAAAATGTCTCCACATTTTGTACTCTAATATCTCCTTCAGTTCCAAGAAGACACTGTTCAAACTGTATCCTTGATATAGAGGAAAAAACATTAGCTTTATCAATTTATAATCCATGATGGTTCCAGGAGATTCCATTTCAGAGCGAATTTTATCTCAAATTTGATCCCAGCAATATTGGAGCTATATACTATTGAACACACATATAAAATTAAATTACCAGTTTAATTTAATTGATTAGAAACATATATTCTTCTCCTATTGCAAAACATAATAAAAACAATTATTTTCTCTTCAGCAGTATCAAATTGGAATTAATATAAAATTCTTCAACCCAAAGCAATCATAATAGATTATAATTAATAGATCTGAATACAGTATGATGTATACTCTAAAGAGAATTTCTACTAATAGAAATTGGTTTGCATTTAATCAATCAAAAGTTATAAGTTATCTGACTTAACCAGAATTACCTAATACCATTCCTTCCTGAGCCCTGCCTCTTAACATCTGTCTCTTTCTAGAAATCACCTTTGGCTGTTCCTACTTTTCAAACCTTATCAAGTTTTCAAGACCCAGTTCAAGACCCATATCACCCATGAAGTTATCCCTGGTCTCCTCAGTCTAAGTAAGCTTTCTTTCTCCCCTGAAAGCATACAGATCCAATTATATAATTCACCTAGCTTTATCTTCTTTTTTCTTGAATTATTAGTTATATTTTCATAGATCTCTAGACACATAAATATATAGAGATATGGTTTGCTTCCCCAATTAGACCAAACACTCTGTAAGGAATCAGACTTCTTATCCAAGATTATCTACTCTATGGACAGAATGAAGCAATAAGAGGAATTATATACTCTATAAACTTTCAAGATAGAAATAAACACAGTTTTGCATTGATGTTCATCAGGAATATTGGTCTAAAATTCTCTTTTTTTTGTTGTGTCTCTGCCAGGCTTTGGTATCAAGATGATGCTGACCTCATAAAATGAATGAGGGAGGATTCCCTCTTTTTCTATTGATTGGAATAGTTTCAGAAGGAATGGTACCAGCTCCTCCTTGTACCTCTGGTAGAATTCGGCTGTGAATCCATCTGGTCCTGGATTTTTTTTGGTTGGTAAGCTATTAATTATTGCCTCAATTTCAGAGCCTGTTATTGTTCTATTCAGAGATTCAACTTCTTCCTGGTTTAGTCTTGGGAGGGTGTATGCGTTGAGAAATTTATCCATTCAAACTATACTACAAGGCTACAGTAACCAAAACAGCATGGTACTGGTACCAAAATAGAGATATAGACCAATGGAACAGAACAGAGCCCTCAGAAATAATGCCACATATCTACAACCATCTGATCTTTGACAAACCTGAGAAAAACAAGCAATGGGGAAATGACTCCCTATTTAACAAATAGTGCTGGGAAAACTGGCTAGCCATATGTGGAAAGCTGAAACTGGATCCCTTCCTTACACCTTATACAAAAATTCATTCAAGATGGATTAAAGACTTAAATGTTAGACCTAAAACCATAAAAACCCTAGAAGAACACCTAGCCAATACCATTCAGGACATAGGCATGGGCAAGGACTTCATGTCTAAAACACCAAAAGCAATGGCAACAAAAGTCAAAATTGACAAATGGGATCTAATTGAACTAAAGAGCAGAATTCTGCACAGCAAAAGAAACTACCATCAGAGTGAACAGGCAACCTACAAAATGGGAGAAAATTTTTGCAATCTACTCACCTGTCAAAGGGCTAATATCCAGAATCTACAATGAACTCAAACAAATTTACAAGAAAAAAACAACCCCATCAAAAAGTGGGTGAAGGATATGAACAGACACTTCTCAAAAGAAGACATTTATGCAGCCAAAAGACACATGAAAAAATGCTCATCAGAACTGGCCCTCAGAGAAATGCAAATCAAAACCACAATGAGATACCATCTCACACCAGTTAGAATGGCAATCATTAAAAAGTCAGGAAACAACAGGTGCTGGAGAGGATGTGGAGAAATAGGAACACTTTTACACTGTTGGTGGGACTGTAAACTAGTTCAACCATTGTGGAAGTCAGTGTGGCGATTCCTCAGGGATCTAGAACTAGAAATACCATTTGACCCAGCAATCCCATTACTGGGTATATGCCCAAAGGATTATAAATCATGCTGCTATAAAGACACATGCACACGTATGTTTATTGCGGCACTATTCACAATAGCGAAGACTTGGAACCTAGCCAAATGTCCAACAATGATAGACTGGATTAAGAAAATGTGGCACATATACACCATGGAATACTATGCAGCCATAAAAAATGATGAGTTCATGTCCTTTGTAGGGACATGGATGAAGCTAGAAACCATTATTCTCAGCAAACTCTCACAAGGACAAAAAACCAAACACTGCATGTTCTCACTCATAGGTGGGAATTGAACAATGAGGACACATGGACACAGGAAGGGGAACATCACACACTGGGGACTGTTGTGGGGTGGCGCGAGGGATAGCATTAGGAGATATACCTAATGTTAAATGATGAGTTAATGGGTGCAGCACACCAACATGGCACATGTATACATATGTAACTAATCTGCACATTGTGCACATGTACCGTAAAACTTAAAGTATAATAAAAAAAAGAAATAAACACAGTTTATAAGATGAGGACTTGTCCTATCATGTATCCATCACTAAGTTATTTTACTTGATACAAAGGTGACCAATAAATATTTGTTTAACAATCTACTTATTCAAAATGGCACTCATCTTTTAATGTATAAATTTCCTAAGAAATAAGGTATTCTGACTTGGTTTTTTCCTGCCATACATGTATGTTATACATCACTACAGCAAGTGGCTCAAGTGGACTGCCTAATAGTCTTATCATCTGAAAATCTCTGATTGTCACTAAAAAAACTACTGCATTGGAGTAATAAGTAATTCATCACCTCTAATCTCAATTAAGTAATCTAAATAGACTCTCAAGTTGTTGTTGGAATCAATAAGCCATAAAAATAATAACATGGATATTTACCTTAAGTTGTTTCTATTTTGTTTTACAGTAAAAATTCTTTGTAGAAATACATGTTAGAATTCATTGTTTAAAGTTCATCTTTAAACTGATCAAGTATCTACTTGTTACATTAGGTCCCAAGTAATATACTGTAAGCATATATAGGTCAATACACTTTGTAAATTTCTGCAGCCAAAATATTCACTCTAATCCAAGCCTTTCAAATGGATTCTATTGCTCACAAATCTAGAAAAGACAAGAAATCAAATTTCTTTTCTTCTTAAATGACATCACAACTCAAAGACCTCTACGTTCTAATAATTCTTCACTAACAATTTTCTTCTTTTTCTAAGAATAAGAAATTATATACCAAAGAAAGATTCAAAGTTCCCTGCTTCTTCTAAATATTCAAGACAAATAAAAATATGCAAGATGAATGGAAAAAATAAAATCAATACCAAGATTTAATAGTATCAATTCATTCAGTCCGTATTGGTAGGTAAGGAAGGACTGTGAAAACCTCTTTCCACTTGCTCTTAACTCTCAGCAGAAAATGGAAACAAATTTTACAATAGAGACGTAACCACAACCAAATGTATTTTATATATTTCAGAGAAGCAATATGGAATAGTTGGGTTAAATGTGTCTCTGATGTCAGACTTTCCGGGTTTGAATGCCAGCTCTGCCTCTCTTTAGCACAGTAATGCTGGATAATTTACTAACCCTATCTGTGTTTCAATTTCCTCATATGTAAGATAGGAATAATAACAGAACCTGCCTCATAGATATGTTAGGAGGAGGTACTCCATGTAAATCACTTGGCATAGTACCTGGTACATATTAAGCAACACTTGATAAGCATTAGCTAAATGTAAATTGCAATTGCCTTTTAAGTTTTAATATCCCTATTTAAAAAAAAATAGTTGATTGCTTTTACTAACTAAGCCAGAAAAGGGAGTACTTTTTAAAAATTTAAAAACCTATCATTTTCTCTCAATGAATCAATACATGGACAAAAGGTAGATGTCAAAATGAACCTAAATGAGGAGAAGGGCAAAATAACAAAACAGTTCATGAAAAAAAAATAAGTACTAGGCCAGTCAACGGTCGCTCACACCTGTAATCCCAGCACTTTGGGAGGCTGAGGCAGGCAGATTACCTGAGGTCAGGAGTTCGAGGGCAGTCTGGCCAATGTGGTAAAACTCCATTTCTATTAAAAATACAAAAATTAGGCCGGGTATGGAGGCTCACGCCTGTAATCCCAGCACTTTGGGAGGTCAAGGCAGGTGGATCACCTGAGGTTGGGGGTTCAAGACCAGCCTGACCAACATGGAGAAACCCTGTCTCTACTAAAAATACAAAATCAGCTGGGCATGGTGGCACATGCCTGTAATCCCAGCTACTTGGTAGGCTGAAGCAGGAGAATTGCTTGAACCAGGAAGGCAGAGGTTGCCTTGAGCCGAGATCATGCCATTGCACTCCACTCTGGGGAACAAAAGCAAAACTCTGTCTCAAAAAAAAAAAAAAAAACCCAGCCATGTTGGTGGCCGGCGCCTGTAATCCCAGCTACACAGGAGGCTGAGGCAGGAGAATCGCTTGAACCTGGGAGGCAGAGGTTGCAGTGAGCCGAGGTCACACCATTGCACTCTAGCCTGGGCAACAAGAGTGAAACTCTGTCTCCAAATAAATAAATACATACATACATACATACATACTAACTCACTGGGAAACATTCCTGATTCGGCCTAATTGCCTTGCCTTTGACATCCTACCGGTCAAACCAGTCAGTGACCTGAATTAAGCCCAGCTGTTTGGCCCACATTACCATGCTAATGGCACCTGGGATCTAATTTACATCTGCGTGTCTTCACTGTTTGCTTCTTAAGTAAATACATCTGGGAAAGTTCTATACCTACAAACAAGCTTCCCACCAATCTTGTTTCCTTGCCTATAAAGGATTTTGCAAAGATTGCAGTAAACTTCTCTTACAAAATGTCTCATAACAAGTACAGAGGTGTCAACAGCACTCTCATTATAAAAAGAACTCTGATTTAACAGATGAAAGTGTTAAGAAGGCATTCTATTAGTGACATCCATTAATCTTAGGTTAAAGTGTATATTTTGGCAGTTTATTTTCTCTGCTTTAAGTGAACAATTAGTTTAATCAAAGTCATTTGTGAAACAGTTTGATTTTTCTTAATTAATGTCTGCTAAATTTACTTATAATAGACACACTCTGTTGCTAGAACCAAAACAGATATATTGCATGGTTATTAATTTCCAGTTAGCACTGTACAAAATTATTGAGTTGGAATATTTTCTGCCAATGTAGTTTTATTATTTTTTTTTCAAATGAATAATGTGGGAATGTAACTGGCACACCCATCCAATGAATGTAGTAGTTTTTCAGTGCCTGTCAACTTGAAGACAGTGCTTCCTTCATGAGACTCCAGAGAAAATTTAGCAAGATTAGGAGACACACAATGTAACTACAGTATACTTTTTTCTTTTACACATTCTGTACACAATAGTGACATCTTCTGGTTGACTGGAATATAGATGTTTGGGCCAACGCTTTGAAACCATGTCTTAACTCCTTTTCTAATCAAAACATGCTTTGCTTGCCTAAAGATACTATGGGAAATATCCCTGAATCAGTAGTAAATCATCTTTTAATAGATACCATCAAAATTCCAATTTAAGTTTTTTAGAATAAAACATAATAAAAGAACATACTTATTTTTTTCAAAACAAATTTATGACTGGTTAATTGATGAAATTAACTGACCTTAAAAATTCACTTGACACAATAAACAAGTCTGGTTTTTAAGCATCTGCTATGGAAATTTCACTTTCTAGGAAATTTAGTGACCACTGAAATAAATAATAAAAAAGAGAAAATTTCACCAAAATGATATTTTCAAGTCATTTCTAGTGAGCAGTGAGAGAGATTTGGTGGTCTGGGAGGAGGATGAGCCTAATGCTAGTGATATTCCTTTCCTCTCTGACTTTTTTCATAAAATTCTATCTATTCCTATGCAGAGCATCGTGGTCCCTGGGGATGCTTTAAGGGTGCTGTTCTTAGTGCTAAACTCTCATTTCACCTATGCAACCCTCTCCTAGTACAGGCAGCCAACCCAGAGCAGCACTGCATTCAGACTGGTTGTGGTGATTTCAACCCCAGGGTCCCAGGATAGCAATCTCTTCCATGAGGACTGAGCCAGGCACTGGCAGCTAAATATAAAATACTTATCTTATGATCCCTTTCCCCAGACTATAGGGGAAGGGTGACCTCAGTAATTTCAAGGTGATTTTCTTGAACCTCTCTTACTACAAAAGATGGAGGGTACTACATATACTTGTCATAAATCAATTAAGTATAATAAATACCAGAGAATTCTAACCAAAGACTAATGCAAACTTAACTTCCTATTAGAAATTATTCGTTAAAAACAAGAGGAATATTTAAGAGAAATAGAATATTGTTCCATCAGTCATTAATACAATGAAACAATAAGCATTATAAATTCCCATAATGCAATTTTAAAAGATAATTTAATCTTATAGAAATATAATCTTGGCCGGGCTGATTATAAAAATATAATCAGCACTTTGGGAGGCTGAGGCAGGCAGATCACCTGAGGTCAGGAGTTAGAGACCAGCCTGACTAACATGGAGAAACCTCGTCTCTACTAAAAATATAAAATTAGCCAGGCATGGTGGCTCATGCCTGTAATTCCAGCTACTCAGGAGGCTGAGGCAGGAGGATCACTTGGATCCGGGAGGCAGAGGTTGCAGTGAGCTGAGATCACGACATTGCACTCCAGCCTGGGCAACAAGAGCAAAACTCCATCTCAAAATATATATATATAAAATCTTATAAAGAAAATATATGTTATTTAACTGGTTTAAATAACAATAAATCAGAGAAGCTTATAATTAAAATTATACTAACTATATTTATCCTATCTTGTGGATCAGCTAGTATCTCTTTTAGTAATGACAGCTCTTCACAATCTAGTTATTGTATGTCTAAATGGATATTTGTAAAGAACAAATCGTGAAGATTTTTAATATGAGAAAATATACTGAAGGGAGGAGGAGCACTGCTAGGAAATATATATATATATATATATAAAATATGTATGTGTAAGTATATACACTACATTCTTCTTTAGAGTTAGAAATTGAGGCATCTATGTTTTCTGAAATTACAAATCAAATTGACTAAAGAAACAAGCTATAAATGTTTAATTATCTTTTAAATAATGCATAAAGTATATGATTAATAAGAATTTACTATTACCTTTAAAATTATATACTGAATATGTTTCCAAATTTATAAAAAGTATTCACTCTCAAAAGTCATAGAGATAAGGGCTAAATACAGTGGCTCACACTTGTAATCTCAGCACTTTGGGAGGCCAAGGCAAGTGGATTGCTTGAGCTTTGGAGTTCAAGACCAGCCTAGGCAATATGGTGAAACCCGTCTCTACAAAAAACACAAAAATTAGCTGGGCATGGTAGTGTGCACCTGCAATCCCAGCTACTTGGGAAGCTGAAGTGGGAGGATGGCCTGAGATCGGGAGGTTGAGACTACTGTAAGCCGAGATCGGGCCACTGTGCTCCAGCCTGGGTGACAGAGTGAGAACCTGTCTTAAAATAAAAAGTAATAGAGATCAGCAATTTATTCATTTCCTTACCTAGTCTATAAAAGCAACACAAGTTGTTTCTGATATTGTTATTGCATTATTACTCAGATTTCTAATCTCAGTTTTTAAAAGATATTCTCAATGCAAAGAAATAAATAAGCCTCATAAAATAGCTGTGCCTACCATAGACATTTTTTCAAAAAGAAATTTAAAAAGTCCTCGACATGCATGGTAGTAAAATAAACAAACTATAAATTTATGAATCATTATCTGGTTGATAATAAAAATATCATTATGTACCATGTAAGAAATGCAGAAAATATAAGTTTTGCTTTTAGGTAAATGTATGCAGTCAATTAGCAATTTTACTAAAAAAAATAGGTAAAGGAAATACTAATATTGATTCATTTTATAATTTATAAGAGTTGGAATTAATCAATCAAAGCTACAACATTGAATTCACCTGTACCATGATCTACCTAAACAATTGTATCAACCAAAATAACACATAAGTGATCTAATATCATAAAAACCAAAAATAATCAATTTACATGATTATCAAGAATGCCATTCTAAGATAGCTTCTATGCACTATGATTTGCAATAGCTGTTTCTCTCAAAAGATTAAGTTTATTTTCAAAATAAGAATGCTAAATTTTAAAGATTTTTATACTTTCCAAGTTCTTTGCAAAGTTTAATGTAGTTCCAACCAAAACCACAATGGTATTTTATTTTACTTTATTTAAACATTATCACTCTGTTTTTTTAAATTAACGTTAAAAAATTAATTAATAAACTTTCTGAATATGTATAGTACTTTAGTAAATTTAAAACACTTACTAAAGTACAGTACATATAAAATGAACCAATCACAAGTATTTAACTGCTTTAGCTATACATTTTTAGCCTCACAATTCTAAGAATTTCATAACTCTTTTTCTTAGTTCTATTTTAAAGCAAAGATCATTTAATAGCATTGACCTTGAGACAGTATACTCCACATGGAATTAATTTGGGGGATTTATTGAACCTTTCTTTGTGACCTAGTTTATTATAAAATTTTATAAATATCACATGTGCTTGGAAAGAATATTTCTCCCTCTCCTTGCTGGGTATAAATTTATATATAAGCAAAAGCATGTTATCTGTATTAATTTCTTGCTTACTGCTCTTAGTATCAAATTCTGAGAGGAACATATTAAAATCTCCACCTATATTTGTTGTTTATTTAGTTCTTTCTATAGTTCTGTCAGTTTTTGCTTTACTTACTAGATTGTTGCCTGTGAATATGTTCACAACTATACAATATTTCTTTGTATATATGTAATGTTTTTGCCATGAATTCCATTTTGTCTGAAATTAAACTTACAACCCCTATTTTCTTGATGCAAATCGCCTGATTATTTTATTTTTAAATTTTGTTCATAATTTTGCAGTCATTGTATGCCTGCAAAATTTTTTAAATCCAATCTCAGATTTTCTTCTTGTTAGTTAAGCCCAGATCTAAGCAAAGGTGGCTGATAGAAGAAACTGGAGCAGACCAATGGGAACTTCCTATAGAGAGTGTTACCTTTTGTTTTCCCATGGATTAGTCACCTCTAGCATATAAATTTAATTTTCCCCTACCGACCCTGTAACACTCTTTAATTACACCAACCCTTCTGGCTAAACTGTTGAAAATAAATGTATAGTAAAGAGTTATAGAGTGGTATGTTACTGGATTATCAATGCTCACGATTTTTTTCTTAGTAACCAGCACAGTGTAAAGGTGGTTCCACAAGGAGATGATAGCTGTAGGAAAGACTATCTTACCATGAGGAAAGCCAAAAAGTGGGCAACTCAATAACACAATTAAAAACAAAAATTAAAAACTCAATGATCTGGTACATGTCAGTAGGATATAACTATTCAAATAGGAAAAAATTGACCATCGGTTTACATTTAGAAACACATGTCAGTTTACGTTCTCTAAATATAAAGTCAAAAACGAAGTCATTACTCTTGTTGCACCATATATAAGATGAAGTATTGCTGTGCTTTTACCACCTCAACCCTTTTTCTCTGTTAACTCTATTTGGAAACACAGACCCAGATTACTTTTATTACTATTACCTTTCAAAATACAATCTTCCTTTTAAAAAATTTCTGGAATATGCATTTAATTCTTCAACGATATTTCAAGTTCAAAATTTAACTGATCACAAGTCCTTTCATATCATAATTTCCAATTCTTGAGTTTTCTATTTTAATCCTTTACCTGTTACCTATACTGTTTCTTTAAAAAATCAAGTTTTGCTTTATTGCCCTTTTCTTTGTTGTATTTTTTACAAATTGAAGGCTTGTGGCAACCCTGCATCTAGTGAGTCTATCGGCATCATTTTTCCAACAGCATGTGCTCACTTCGTGTCTCTGTGTCACAGTTTGATAATTCTCCCAATATTTCAAACTTTTTCTTTATTATTATATTTGTTATGGTGATCCGTGATCAGTGATTTCTTTTTCTGATGGAAAAATATATATTATATCTATTTAGAATTATCCATCTGGGCTCAATTTAGATGATACCAATTTTATTGGCAACATCTGAAGCATCACAGTCAGGAGTTAGTGGAATATCTCTGTCTTCTCTCCATCAGGCCTGACCAGGGTGTGACCTCGGCCACATAAATTCACAGATTCTTCGTAGCCTCTTTGATCTGGTGCTTGTTGGCTTTAACATCCACAATGAACACAAGTGTGTTGTTGTCCTCTACCTTCTTCATGGCAGACTCAGTGATCAGATGGAAGATGATGATGGCATAGGCATAGTGAAGCTTGTTTCTCCTGAGGGTGCTCTTCCAAGGATATTTAAGACTATCTCTGGAGCTGCAGTGTCTTGGGCCGCCAGAAGGTGAATGACATGCAGATCGTTGTGTGTGTGTGTGTGTGTGTGTGTGTGTGTGTGTGTGTGTAGTGGCGGATGCCTTTCAGTACTACCTTCTTGACCTCAAAGACTTTGCTTTGGCTTTGAGTTTAGGAGGAGAAGGAGCTTCCTTCTTCACCTTCTGTGCCAACTTGTGAAAAGGAGCCACTATTTGAGGTCACTATTGTAATTGTTTGGGGGCATCAGGAAACACACTCATATAAGACAGCGAACTTAATTGGTAAATTTTGTGTTCTGGTTGCTTCACCGACCAACTATTCCAGTCTCTCTCCCTCTTTTCCGGCCTCCTTGCTTTGGCTCAAATAACAAACATGTATTTATCTTAGTTGTGGATGTAGGAAATCAAAGATCAAGGTCCCTGCAGAGCCCCTATCTGGTGAGTAGCGGCTTCCGGATTTGCATCATCAAGCTGTACCCTCAGAGGGTGGTGAGCACAGAGAGAAGTCCGTTCTTTATCCCTCAGGTAAAGACATGGAGATGGTCACAGAAACCTCCCAGCTATTCTCCAGAAAATCTTATTGTTTTGACTCAGAGGATGGAACTTTCTATCATGTTTCTTAAGCCATCTTCATCAATTTTAAAGAGTATCAAATTACCCTTTCCTTTCTTTCTTGCAGAAACTCTTACTTGCATTTTTCCACTTATTTATGGAGGTTTTATTTTCTATGTCATTGTTAGTGTTCCAGTCAGAGCTGAGAATGACAAATCAGCTCTTTATTAGGCCATCATCCTAAACTGGAAGTTTAACATTTCCAATCATCAGTATCACAGAATCCAATTTTTAATCTTAGTTTGTAGGCTGCTATTCAACTAACCAGCTCTAACTCCCAGATTAATGAAGAAACATCTGAATATTACCTCTCAATTTTTCAGTGATGTGATCATAATAGAATTACCCAATGTTGTAAAAAAAAAAATTAAGTTCAGTAACATCCCAAGCCTGGTTTTCCAGTTAATTTTTTTTTAATTATTAAGCCTGAAAGAAACAAAAAGTATCATAAATAGTTTATGTCTAGAAAAGCAAATACATGAATTCTCTAAGATGTGCTAGAATTATACTTAAATGATTAATTAGGTAGTTTATAAGTACAATATATGTTTATTATTATTCATAAGTAAATTAGTGTTTTGTTGCCAAAAGTAAGGAAGTATTTCTTAAACTGTTGGCTTATTATAAAGGATTAAGGAATGAGCCATGGGCATTATAAAGAACAAATTTGTTTACATTCTTATACCATTTTTAAGAACTAGAGCCTCTTAGAGTTTGAAAGAATTTTAGAGATCACCTAGTTCATCTTCTGTGCAGCATTCTTACTAGTCCCACCTCTATTCCTGACTCTCTTAACTTACTTATCACATTTTAATTTCTGTAAGATCCTCTAGGATGTGGTCTTCAAACCTATGAGAAGCAATAATGGGGCAAAATACAATGTTTACATTATGATATATATCTTGTACATAAAGCTGGATGAATATCTGTTAAAAGAAATAATGAAGCTGGGAGTGATGGCTCAGGCCTGTAATCTAAATGTTTGGGGAGTTTGAAGCTGAAAGACCGCTTGAGCCCAGGTGTTTGAGGTAACAGTGAGCTATGATCACACCATGGCAGTCCAGCCTGGGTGACAGAGTGAGACTGTCTGTGAAAAAGAGATAAAAATAAAAGACATAATTACTAGCTGAACACAGGCACTCATCTTTAAAAGCCCAAGCATATGTCTTCATCCTACCAAGGATTTCTATGTAAATGCATTTACTAAGTATTTAAAAAATCTATTTTGTGTTTGAGAAGCTCTAACTCTCCAAAGGTTTTGTTAAACACTAGACTGAAATTTGACTCTTTTCAAATTCTCACGTTAACTTTTTTCTCTAGCATTGAGTCAATCCATTTTTCCCTGTGTTCTGACTAAAACTGCAACATAAGCTCTTCCTGGGTCTCCAGGCTGCCCGCATTTGGATTGGAACTCCACCATTATCCTGTTCACCACACTCTGAGAGGATTAATCCTGAATCACCTGAGGAAACTGTAATGGTCTCCCTGAGGCAGTTGCAATGCAATACAGTGCTGAGTCTCCTCCTGAAACACCCCTACCACTCCTCTTTGCCTCTAGGCCTACAACTAGACTCAAGTCCCTGTAGGCCCCCAGTGGAAAAGTAGAAAATGTGACCCATAAGCAAGGTGCTACATTCCAAAAGGCCTACTTAAGTTTTCTAATATACAGATAGAAATCTGGGAAATGTGTGAAAATGGATATTAAGGGTGTGGACCAATGGATGAAAGGACATAAAGTTGGATCAGGCTGAATTTGTTGACACGGGCTCAGTAAGCAGAGATTCAGACTTTAATGTTTCAGCTCAGAGAGTTAGAAAGAGCTCTAACAGTTTGGTTGGTTCGTTGGTTGAAACATGGACCAAAAATTGGCCCACAGTGCCAGAGATTTAAAATGCCATACCTGCCTTGGTTTAGTGTAGAGTAAGGGATTCAAAACCTTAGGGAGATTGAAATGTCATAGTGGATTTGTCTATTAAGACCTGTGCAACCACACTGGGAGGGTCCAGAAGACATGCCTTTCACCAATATTATGAAAAATAAATTTGTGACGAGAGCTCTAGCATCCTTGAAGAGCTCTGTCATAGCTCTTCTCTGTAGGCCAGATGTCACAGTGGGAACTACAATCACTGGATTGGGAAACCTAAATACAATGGGAATAATAGGATCCCTAAGTGGCAGGGGCCAAGTGGCAGCATTCAACTACCAAAGGTGAGTGCCGCTTAATGGAGAGCTGAGTCAAAGCAATCCAAATAGTCTAACCCACACAGACCTGTGACATTGGCTAGTTGATCACAGCATTCTTAGAAATAAAGTAGATAGGAAGCCTACTAATTTCATACTTGATCTGTATAAGCAGAAAAATTCTAAGTCAAGTGAACAAAACCCTAACTTGAATTATAAAAAACAGGAAGAGTCATGCTCCCTCAATCAACTCTCAGGATTGAGCCAGTCTCTAGACACAGAAATCCTTGAATGAAGGGGAGGCCAGGTCTCCTTGAGGAAGGACTCCAGCATATTGCCAAAAATGTGTCCACTAATTTTTCCCCAAACCTTCCTAAAAACAACCTCTGGCATTTTACCACGGTAAATGTGCACTGGGGAAAAAGAAATGAGCAGACATTTCAGGAAGTGCTGGACACTGGCTCTGAATTAACATTAATTCCAAGAGACCCAAAACGTCACTGCAGCCCTCCAATCAGAATAGGCATTTATGGAGATGAGGTGATCAATGGAGTTTTAGCACAGGGACATCTCACAGTGATCTTATCCTGTGGTTATTTCCCCAGTTCCAGAATGCACAATTGGAATAGACATGCTCAGCAGCTGGCAGAATCACCAAAAGCTATCTTATCAATTTTTTGAAAAAATTATCACATTTTCTCAAAAGTATCTCTTCTCCAAGTCAAACATTCTCACTTTTTAAAATTCACTTAAATGAAATTATTTCTAGGGTCTTCATCATGCCTAACATTGTATCATTTTTGTAATTATACTTCAAGTTCTGGGATACATGTACAGAACATACAGGTTTATTACATAGGTATACATGTGCCATAGTGGTTTGCTGCACCCATCAACCTGTCATCTACGTTGGGTACTTCTCCTAATGCTATCCCTCACCTAGCCCCCCATCCCCTGAAAGCCTCAGTATGTGATGCTCCCTTCCCTGTGTCCATACGTTCTCATTATTCAACTCCCACTTCTGAGTGATAACATGCGGTGTTTGGTTTTCTGTTCTTGTGATAGTTTGCTGAGAACGATGGTTTCCAGCTTCATCTACGTCCCTGCAAAGGACATTAACTCATCCTTTTTTATGGCTGTGTAGTATTCCATGGTGTATACATGCCACATTTTCTTAATCCAGTCTATCATTGACGGGCATTTGGGTTGGTTCCAAGTATTTGCCATTGTGCATAGTGCTGCAATAAACATATATGTTCATGTGTCTTTATAGTAGAATGATTTATAATCCTTTGGATATATACCCAGTAATAGGATTGCTGGGTCAAAAGGTATTTCTGATTCTAGATCCTTGAGGAATCGCCACACTGTCTTCCACAATGGTTGAACTAATTTACACTCCCAAGAACAGTGTAAAAGCTTTCCTATTTCTCCACATCCTCTCCAGCATCTGTTGTTTCCTGACTTTTTAATGATTGCCATTCTAACTGGCATGAGATAGTATCTCACTGTAGTTTTGATTTGCATTCTCTAATGATCAGTGATGAGCTTTGTTTTCATATGTTTGTTGGCCGCATAAATGTCTTAACTTGAGAAGTGTCTGTTCACATCCTTTGCCCACTTTTTGATGGGGTTGTTTGTTTTATTCTTGTAAATTTAAGTTCCTTGTGGATTTTGGATATTACCCTTTTGTCAGATGGATAGATTGCAAAAAGTTTCTCCCATTCTGTAGGTTGCCCTTTCACTCTGATGATAGTTTCTTTTGCTGTGCAGAAGCTCTTTAGTTTAATGAGATCCAATTTGCCAATTTTGGCTTTTGTTGCCGTTGCTTTTCATATTTTTGTCATGAAGAGTTTGCCCACACCTATGTCCTGGATTGTATTGCCTAGGTTTTCCTCTAGGGTTTTTATGGTTTGGGGTTTTACATTTACGTCTTTAACCCATCTTGAGTTAATTTTTGTATAAGGTGTAAAGAAGGGGTTCAGTTTCAGTTTTCAGCATATGGCTAGCCAGTTTTCCCAACACCATTTTTTAAATGGGGAATCATTTCCCCATTGCTTGTTTTTGTCAGGTTTGTCAAAGATCAGATGGTTGTAGATGTATGCGTTATTTCTGAGGCCTCTGTTCTGTTCCATTGGTCTATACGTCTGTTTTGGTACCAGTACCATGCTGTTTTGGTTATTGTAGCCTTGTAGTATAATTTGAAGTCAGGTGGCATGATGCCTCCAGCTTTATTCTTTTTGCTTAGGATTGTCTTGGCTATATGGGCTCTTTTTTGGTTCCATATGAAATTTAAAGTAGTTTTTCTCTAATTCTGCGAAGAAAGTCAAGGGTAGCTTGATGGGAATAGCATCGAATCTATAAATTACTTTGGGCAGCATGACCATTTTCACAATATTGATTC
Source organism: Homo sapiens (assembly GCF_000001405.40). Lineage (NCBI taxonomy): Eukaryota > Metazoa > Chordata > Mammalia > Primates > Hominidae > Homo > Homo sapiens. The sequence goes on from NC_000002.12 coordinate 186,266,921, forward strand.
TTTTTATCCATTAGCATGGAATGTTTTTCCAACTCAGGATTAAGAAACTCACTCAAAATCACACAACTACATGGAAACTGAACAACCTGCTCCTGAATGACTATTGGGTAAATAAAGAAATTAAGGCAGAGATGAATAACCTTTTTGAAACCAATGAAAACAAAGACACAGTGTACCAGAATCTCTGGGACACAGCTAACACAGTGGTTAGAGGGAAATTTATAGCACTAAATGCCCACAGGAGAAAGCGGGAAAGATCTAAAATCAACACCCTAACATCACAATTAAAAGAACTAAAGAAGCAAGAGCAAACAAATTCAAAAGCTAGCAGAAGGCAAGAAATAACTAAGATCAGAGCAGAACTGAAGATTTACATGAAAAACCCTTCAAAAAAATCAGTGAATCCAGAGACTGGTTTTTTGAAAAGACTAACTAAATAGATAGAATTCTAGCCAGACTAATATGAAGAAAAGAGAGAAGAATCAAATAAACATGATAAAAACTGGTAAAGGAGATATCACCACTTATCCCACAGAAATACAAACTACCATTAGAGAATACTATAAATGCCTAAATGCAAATAAACTAGAAAATCTAGAAGAAATGGATAAATTCCTGGACACATATACCCTCCCAAGACTAAACCAGGAAGAAGTCAAATCTGTGAAAAGACCAATAACAAGTTCTGAAATTGAGGCAGCAATTAATAGCCTACCAACCAAAAAAAGTCCAAGACCAGACAGATTCACAGCCAAATTCTACTAGAAGTACAAAGAAGAACTGGTACCATTCCTTCTGAAACTATTCCAAACAATAGAAAAAGAGGGACTTCTCCCTAGCTCATTTTATGAGGCCAGCATTATCCTGATACCAAAACCTGGTAGAGACACAACAAAAACAGAAAATTTCAGGCCAATATCCCTGATGAACATTGATGCAAAAATCCTCAATAAAATACTGGCAAACCAAATCCAGCAGCACATCAAAAAGTTTATCCACCACGATCAAGTTGGCTTCATCCCTGGGATGCTAGGCTGGTTCAATATATGCAAATCAATAAACATAATCCATCACATAAACAGAACCAATGACAAAAAACACATGATTATCAATAGATGTAGAAAAGGCCTTCAATAAAATTCAACACCCCTTCATACTAAAAACTCTCAAACTAGGTATTGATGGAACGTATCTCAAAATAATAAGAGCTATTTATGACAAATCCACAGCCAATATCATACTGAATGGGCAAAAGCTGGAAGCATTCCCTTTGAAAAGTGGCACAAGACAGGGATGCCCTCTCTCAACACCCCCATTCAACATAGTATTGGAAGTTCTGGCCAGGGCAATCAGGAAAGAGAAAGAAATAAAGGGCATTCAAATAGGAACAGAGAAAGTCAAATTGTTTCTGTTTGCAGATGACATGATTGTATATTTAGAAAACCCCATTGTCTCAGCCCAAAATCTCCTTAAGCTGATAAGCAACTTCAGCAAAGTCTCAGGATACGAAATCAATTGCAAAAATCACAAGCATTCCTATACACCAATAACAGACAAACAGGGAGCCAAATCATGAGTGAACTCCCATTGACAATTTCTACAAAGAGAATAAAATACCTAGGAATCCAACTTACAAGGGATGTGAAGGGCTTCTTCAAGGAGAACTACAAACCACTGCTCAAGGAAGTAAGTGAGGACACTGTATCATATTTTTAAATGAATGGCTAATATTGATATTTCATTTACCAAAATCCCATGAGGCTTTTGACATGTCTTGCCAACAAGCAGAGTGATTCTTAAATTGCACTAAAGCAAATCATTTGAGCCTAAATAATGGAATTTAAATTTACTGCTGTTAATTTCATCTTTTGTTTCTAACCTACACTAAAAGCTATCAAGATTTTTTTGACTCATAAGTAATTCAATAGTCAAACATGTATTGATGGCCTACTCTAAGTCAAAACTGGTAATGGGGCTATAAAGATGAACAAGACACTATGTTTGACCTCCAGTTGCTTTGCCTAGTAAGGAATACAAAAAGCAAATCATATAAATAAGCAATGTGATAAGGACAATGGGAGCGCCATATGAAAAAAAAACTGAGTTAATGGAGCTGCTGGGAGAAAGACAATCAGCCTGAGCACAGCCTGAAGCTGCAGCTGCAAGAAAGCACAGACTGAGGACTGAGAGATGAGAGAAATAAACAGAAGAGATGGGCAATGAAGAGAGAGAAGTAGAAAGGGATACCAGTGGAGAAGGGCATAAAAAGGTAAAATTGAAGGTTGGGGCAAGAGTCTGAAGGCTCAAAAACTGTTAATGGTCCATTAAATGTAATGTAAACTTCAAAAACAAATAAGTTTTTGGTTAATTGGTAAATGTGGTAAACTAAAAAACAGGTCCTTTGGTGAACTGATCTTTCAACAACTAAGCTTTTGATAAATTGATCTGGAGCCTACTTGGTCATTAGATGAGAGAGCAAATTGATGAAAAGATTTGCTGGTTGTAGAAGATTGTATTTTCTGAAGATGGCTGTAAAAATATCTTTCATCTCCTCTGTCTTTCTGCAGTGTTACCTTGCCCCCATTGAGGAGCAGAATTTACTTTTCTGCTGTTTTGTGAATGCTTTAACCAAAATAATATGACAAAAATTCTGCTGTATCACTGGCAGGAATAAGCCTTACCCACCCTGTTGCTTTTGCTTCCTGCCTTTTGGAAAGCTTGCTTTGGAGAACTTCCCCTCAAAACTTAATTGCCATGTTGTGAGAAGTCCAAGTTACCAGAAGAAGCCACTTGCAGTGATCTGCCAAATGGCACAAACTGAGCATCAACTGTCAGCCATCTGACTAAGGCATTTTGAATATCTAGCCCAGTCAATCTTTCAGATGGCTTCAATCCAAATCCAAAATCTGATTGAAACTGTAAGAATGTCCAAGTAAGAACTTCCCAGCTGAGCCCATCAACCCAGAGGAATCGCAGTGAGAATAATATATTGTTTTAAAGCGTTAAGTTATGGATTTGTTTGTTAACACATTGTTGTGTCATTTAGGGCAGCTATAACAGAATACCATAGACTGACTGGCTTAAACAACAGAAATTTATTTCTCACAGTTCTGGAAAATGAGAAATCTGAAATAAGGGTACCAGCATGATTGGTTCTGTTAAAAGCCCTCTTCTTGATTTTTGGACAGATGTTTTCCCATTTTATCTTCACGTGGAAAGAACAAAGAAAAATATTCTATGTCCCCTTCTCTTTTTATAAAGGAATTCATCTTATTCATGAGGGCTCCACCCTCATTACCTAATCACCTCTCAACAGCCCCACCTCCCTCATACCATCTCGCTTACGATTTAAGTCCTGAGAGTCGGGAGAGTAGATAATCTATTCTCAAAAATTCAGATGTGGCCTGGCTATTTATTTCTGGAACACTGAATTTTCCTGCTTATGAAACTATGTGAGCAGCAATACCATTAACCAAATAGAATTAAAAGAACATGGCTGTGTGCAGTGGCTCATGCCTGTAATCCCAGCACTTTGGGAGGCTGAGGTGGGTGGATCACCTGAGGTCAGGAGTTTGAGACCAGCCTGGCCAACATGGTGAAACTACATCTCTACTAAAAATACAAAACTAGCCAGGTGTGGTGGCACGTGCCTGTAGTCCCAGCTACTTGGGAGGCTGAGGCAGGAGAATCGCTTGAACCCAGAAGGTGGAGTTCGCAGTGAGCTGAGATCGCACCATTGTACTCCAGCCTGGGCAACAAGAGTGAAACTCCGTTGTGAAAAAAAAAAGAAAGAAAGAAACAACAGTGAGTTTGGACAACAAACATAATAAGCAATTTTTAATATGTTTAAGTTGTTTATGATATATTTGTATAGTTATGATCAATAACTTATAGATTTCGAACTTGGGAAAGACATATGAACTATATTTACTAGCATCATTAGCACATGGATTTAGTGAAACCATGGGAGATGATGATATTACCTAGGAAAGAATGAAGAAAGTTTCCAAAAGACAGCCATGAAGAACACCAACAATTAAAAGATGGTCAGAGTGGAAAGGTACTTTTTGGCAGAATTCTATGAAACACCATCAGTTGCACTCCCAAACAACAGTCAATTTATCTTACCCCAGGAAATGAAAAGAAAAATTGTTCTCTTGATACGGCAATATTTTGCAAATTTTAGAATTTGGACAGAGAGTGAACAAGTGATGCTGTCACAAATGACTGAATTCAGGCTAAAATTGCAAGATGATGACATACTTTGTCAGCACTAAACTGTTTAGGATTTATATTGAATAAATAATGTATATGTATTTGAGTCTATAATTTCCCACAGAAAATAGGTATAACATCACAAATTAAAATAGAAATTACATGACCTATAAAACATTAGAAAATGAATTCCTTTCCCACAATGTTTACAAAACATTGACAGTTTTATCTTATTTTCATGACAACTTTAATCTCTGCACAGAGCTCACAGATCAAGTTGTAAAGTCAGATAGTTTGAGGGTAAAAATATACAGAAGTCCTCCCTTATCTGTAGGGGATATGTTCCAAGAACCCCAGTGGATGCCTGGAACTGCAGATAGTACCAAACCCTATATATACTATAATTTGTCCTATACGTACATACCTGTGATAAAGTATAATTTATAAATTGGCACAGTAAAAGATTAACAATAACTACTAATAAAATATAACCATATAACCATTATAATAATAAAAATCATGTGAATGTCATCTCCCTCTCTTAATATGTTACTATACTATACTTATCAATTTTCAGATCACAGTTGATCATGGGTAACTGAAACCATGAAAAGCAAAAGCTTGGATAAGGGGGGACTACTGTGTAATATGTATTTTAGTGAAAAAATTCTGATGAACATTATTTCAGGAAAAGAAAAATATTTCTTCCAAGAATCAACACAAAGAAATGTAAATCAAGATATTATTTATGAATATATAATTGGATTTTTCCCTGAATGTAAACTTTTGTTTGGTCACCAAAGCATACCAATTACATTTGTTGTAAGCCATGTAGCTATTAATTGACAGTCAAAGGGAAATGTGGTAGATTAGATGATGTTCAGCATATATTTATTCTTATCCTAAACCTTCAGGGAATACATTTCCCACCTCACTGATATAGGGCTTGGTCATATGACATGTTTTAGCCATTGGAATGTAATCAGTTCTGAGCACAAAACTATTGGCGTATCCATTTTGCACTCAAGCTTTGAGATTTCCACTCACGTTGGGGATTTTCTACCTCGCAGTTAAAAAAAAAAAAAAAAAGGCCCCAAGTACTGTGGGCCCAGAATGAGACATTTAGAGTAGTGCTTCCCTTGCTGGTTTACATGCCTGCAGCCAGAAGCACAGCCAGCAATTGCACTAAGCTATTACTGGAAGAATAAAATGTAATTTTAAACCATTTAGTTGAGACAGTGTTGTTGAGGTGATACCTGACTGAAACAGGTAGCTTGGAAAACGTTGGTAATGTATGAATTCATACAAAAATATCTCTTACCTTGAAATGTTTCACAAACAAATATTTAATTTGTGAGAAATAGGAAAAAATAGAGGTATGTCATATTTTTAATTAGACCTCATCTGTGATTAAAAAGTAGATGAGCATCACTTATCACATAGGTTATATAGTTAAGATAAAGTTAAAATAAACCAATTTCTGAATGAGTTATATCTACATTTATAAGCAAAGTAAAATCATACAAATTTTATAAGTGATGATGAATAATAAGCATTCAAAAATTATACATTTATATATTAATCAAATAGTAGGTTAATGTCTATTTCTCTAAAGAGGGAGATAAAAATAGTGGGATAAACATATACCATGGTAATAGGCATAATAGTTATAAAATAAATAATCTATTGAGTTGACTATAAAATTAATGTCCTATTATGACAAAGAAAGCATTTAACTTGACCTCAACTTTTGACTTCTGTATTAAATTATTATCTGCTCAAAAAAGTCATATGCTGTTCAAGCCTTTCATATATCAGGAATTTTTAAATCTCACTAAAACAAAGATAAATTAAATGTTGCATATGAGTAAATAACTCATTACTATGATTTGAATGTGTCTCCCAAAAAGCATGTATTGGAAACCTAATCCCCAGTGCAACAGTGTTGGGAGGTGGAGCGTATAAGAAGGTGATAAGACAGTGGGGGCTTGAGCTTTATAAATGGATTAATGCCACTATTGTAGGAGTGGGTTTGTTATCACTAGAGTAGGTTCATTATAAAAGGATGAATTCAGTCCTCTCTCTCTTCCCCCACTCCTTTCTCTGCCTCTCACCCAACCTCTTACCCTCCACTATGTGATGACACAGCAAGAAGGCCCTTGTAAGACGCCAACTCCTTGATCTTGGACTTTCCAACCACAACGGTAAGCCAAGACATTTCTGTCTTTGTAAGTAACCCAGACTCAGGTATTGTTACAGCAGCACAAAACTGATTAAGACACTCATTTTTCAGCCAGGTGGGTGGCTTGCACCTGTAATTCCAGCACTTTGGGAGGCCGAGGTGGGAGGATCACCTGAGGTTGGGAGTTCAAGGCCAGCCTGACAAACATGGAGAAACCCCATCTCTACTAAAAATGCAAAATTAGCCAGGCATGGTAGTGCATGCCTGTAATCCCAGCTACTCAGGAGGCTGAGGCAGGAGAATTGCTTGAACCGGGAGGTGGAGGTTGCGGTAAGCCAAGATTACACCATTGCACTCCAGCCTGGGCAACAAGAGAGAAACTGTCTCAAAATAATAATAATAATAATAATTCAAAGACACATTAGAAGATATGGAATTCATGTGATAAGCCATTTCTGAGTTTCAAAAATTGATCCCAAGCCTCCATACAAAAGAAAAAAGGAAACATACACCTAATGTATTGAAATAAAAATTTGTTAAAGACTTAAAAATCAACAGAGACACTAAGGAAAACCATATGTATTTTCCTCAGAAAACTAAAAATCAGAACTACCATATGATCCAGCAATTTCACTACTGGATGTATACCCAAAAGAAAGGAAATCAATATGTCAAAGAGATATCTGTACTCTTCTCTCATCTATATTGCAGCAGTATTCACATTAGCCAAAACATAGAATTCACATTAGCCAAAACATAGAATCAATCTAAGTCTCCATCAACAGATAAATGAACTTAAAAAATATGGTATATCTATACAATGGAATATTATTCAACCATAAAAAAGAATGAAAGTCTGTCATTTGCAGCAACATGAATGGAATTGTTGGTAATTATGTTAAATAAAATAAGCAAGGCACAGAAAGACAAATGTTACATATTCTCACTCATATGTGAGACCTAAAAAACTGGATCTCAGGAAGATAGAAAATAGTCTGATGGTTACCAAAGGCTGAGAAGGTACAGGGGAGGGGTGCATGAACAGTGGTTGATTTATGGGTTCAAAAATACAGTTAGATAGAAGAAATAAGACCTAGCGTTCAATAAATCAGTAAAGTAACTATAGTAAATAATATATTGTATATTTCCAAATAGCTAGAAGAGAATAATTTGAATGTTCCCAGCAAAAATAAAAGATAAATGTTTAAGGTGATTGATATCTCAATTATCTTGATTTGAAAATTCACATATTATATGACTGTATCAAAATATCACATGTACCCTGTAAATATATACATTATCTATCAATAAGTAATAATAACAATTACAACAGAGTTTCATTATGGGGAGATGAAAAATTTCTGAAATGAATGATTGTGATGGCTGTAAAACAATGTGAATGCACTTAATGCCACTGAACTGTATCCTTAAAATGGTTAAAATGGTAAATTTTACATTACGTATTTTTTTACCACGTAAAAATAAATTTTAAAATTTTAAAATCAAAAAATTATCTACAAAAGAGATAACTGGGGTGTGTGTGGATCCTTGATTTGCAACAAATGTGGCAAAACAAAGCAATAAGATGTGTTGTAAATCAAAAAAAAACAAAGGTGATTATCAACCAATTTAGAGGTTCATTCTGTCAAGATTGAAGGACACACTTGGGAAAGAGTAACACAAAATCACAGGAACATGTGTGATTCATGATTTCTCCAAAGACAGTTTTGAGTGCTTCAATATTTAAAGGGGAAAATGCAAGCAGGAGGGGAGGGAGGAAAGAAAAAAAAAAGCGGGAGTGTAGACAAATGAGACAAGAGGTTGCATTCTTTCGAGGCTATGAGTAATGTTCACTGAATCCACATGTTGCCTGTGGAAAGAAGGGGGTAGATGAATAGTCAGTTATGTATTCATCTCATGCTTAGTAAATCTGCACTTTACGTAAAATAAACATTGTGTAGAGGAATAAGTCAAACATGTATTTGTCTCAAGGTGGGCGATGGGATGATTTCTAGTCTCCTCTGATCCCATACCTATGAAGATAAGCCGTTATTTACGTTGTCAGGGTGAGGGAGGCCACCTGGGGAGACATCTGTTTAGGAAGAAAAGGGAAAGAAGTTTGTGTGTGTGTGACACAATTTCCAAGCTTAACTTTTTCTTTTAGCATAGTAAGTTTGAGGTTCTGAGATTTTATTTTCTTTCCACAGTGTCTTAATTCATTTAGGCTACTTTAGCAAAATACCACAGATACAGTGGCTTGTAAACAACAAAATTTATTTCTCACAGTGCTGGAGTTCAATATCGAGGTTCTGGCAGATTTCATGTCAGGTGAAGGCCCTCAGGTTTATAGAAGGCCATCTTTCTGCCATGTCCTCACATGGTCAAAGGGGCAAGAGAGCTCTTCAGGATCTCTTTTATAAGGACACTAATCCCATTTATGAGGACTTCACCCTAATGACATAATCACATCCTGAAGGTCTCACCTCCTAATACTATCACATTGTGGGTTAGAATTCAACATATGAATTTTTAGGGGGGGCACAAATATTTAGTTTATAGCAGGTATGGATGATTTTTTAAAATTACTTATATCACTAAACACACAAGGAAATAATTATAAACAAGAGTAGAGGCTGGGTGCAGTGGCTTACGCTAGTAATCCCAGCACTTTGGGAGGCCAAGGCCCACAGATAACTTGAGATCAGGAGTTTGAGACCAGCCTGGCCAACATGGTGAAACCCTGTCTCTCCTAAAAACACAAAAATTAGTAGCCAGGTGTGGTGGTGTGCACCTGTAGTCCCAGGTACTCAGGAGGCTAAGGCAGGAGAATCGCTTGAACCTGGGAGGCTGAGGTTGCAGTGAGCCGAGATGGTGCCACTGCATTCCAACCTGGGTGATGGAGCAAGACTCCATCTCAGAAAAAAAGAAAAAAAGTAAGAGTAGAAGCAGTATACAATTGCATATCCATATAAGACAAAAGGAAAGTTGGTCTCATATCAAAGACTAAACTAGATTCTTAGTAATTGTAAATCTGTATGTAAAAGGAAAAATAAAATAGAATTCCTAGAAGGTAATATAGGATAATAAATTTTGTGACTTGAGGTATCAAAAGTCTTTTTAAACAAGATTATAAAAGCATTAACCATAAAAAGTTGGTTTATAATTAGACCACATTAAAATTAAGAATATATTTTCATCAAAAATATCATTGAGAGAATTAAAAGAAAAGCCACAGAGTGAAGGATATGTATTAGTCTGTTCTCACACTGCTAAAAAAGACATACCCAAGACTGGGTACTTTATAAAGGAATGAGATTTAATCAACTCACAGTTCCACATGGCTGGGGAGGCCTCACAGTCATGGCAGAAGATGAATAAAGAGCAAAGTCACATCTTGCATGGCAGCAGGCAAGAGAGTTTGTGCAGGGTAACTCCCATTTATAAAACCGTAAGATCTCAAGAGGCTTATTCACTACCAGTAGAGCAGTATGGGAGAAACAACCCCCATGATTCAATTATCTCCACCTGGCCCTGCCCTTGACATGTGGAGATTATTACAATTCAAGGTGAGATTTGGGTGGGGGCACAGCCAAATTGTATCAAGATATTTGCTACAAATATAACTGAGATCATAAACTAAATTAGGCTCATATTTTGAACATATCTTAAAACCACACACACAAATCAGTAGAAAAATGACAAAGTATATGAAAAAAGTAAACAAAAAAAAGGAAACGTAAAACTGCTTGACCTTACTGACGGCCAGAGAAATTTAATGTAAAATCATAAGGAGTCAGCATTTTATCTCATTGGATTTCATTTTAAAAATTAAAATTTGACAATATCAAGTGTTAGAGAGGATATCAAGAATTCAGACTTTTGTCCTCTGCTGGTACATATGTAAATTGGTAGAGTTGCTTTGAAAAATGATTTTGTATCTCCTACTAAAGTTGGAGATGCATATGTCCTACATGCAACAATTCTCTAGACAAAGTCTTACATATATGCATCTGGGAACAAGTGCAAGTTTGTTCACAGCTGTATTTTTCTTTAGAGCAAAAAATGGGATGGGGGAGGAAATAATCAAGGATCAATCACTAATAGATCAGGTCAATAAATTGTGGTGTAGCAATGCAATAAAATAATATCTAGCAGAAAAAATACAAATATAAAATATTGAGGCAAAAAAGGAAGTCACAGAGGAATATATACTATGTGAATTCAATATATAATTTATAATTCAAAAAGAGGAAAACTAAACTATATTTGCAGCACATAAAATAACTAGAAAGAAGGTATATGGAATGCAAACATAAAATTCAGATGGGGAGAGCGTCAGGGGAATCCTATTACTAAGGAATAAGTAGGCTTCAGCGCTATTTGTTGATGTAGGCAACATTCTCTTTATTAAGCAGTAGATACACACTCTTTTGCATGCATGACATATTTCATAATGAAAAAATATATTAAACCCTCAGTGGAATTCCTTCTCATTGCCCTAAGAATAAAATTCAGAATCATAACTTTGATGTATAAAAATCAACATGATCTGGCCTCTGCCTTCCTAATCACCTGTATCTCATCCTGGGCTTTCCCAAGTTGACTGCACTCCAGTCCTGCAGACTTCTTTCAGTTCCTTTAACACTCTAAGTTCATTCTCAACTTCTATTTTCTCTTCCCTTGCTTATTACTGTTTCTTCCTGATCTTTGTAGGACTGGCTGCCTTTCACCATTCTCACCACTTAGGTCTCAACTCAAATGTCATCTCATTGGAGAGTCCCTTCCTAAACATCTTATAGCAGGTCAGGGGCAGAATTAGAAATGTATTTACTCTTAATGATAAAATTTCTGACAATAAAATTTATGATAATGCAACCTCTTTGTCAATACATGCCCCACTATTATATAAATATAGAAAAATTGAAGATTAAATTGCTTCAGTAGATTAAGCAATGTCAATTATAACTAACAGAGCTAGCAATGGAATGGAGAATGTAGACTGTAGAAATAACTGTATTTTTCTATTTTAAAAGTTGACTAAAGTGGATTAGATACAAATACAATTTGTATTATATTTGATACAATACAAATACAATTTGTATTATATTTGATACAATACAAATACAATTTGTATTATATTTGATACAATACAAATACAATTTGTATTATATTTGATACAATACAAATACAATTTGTATTATATTTGATACAATACAAATACAATTTGTATTATATTTGATACAATACAAATACTTGCTTGAGTTCATATGTTTCTGAATGATCATAGCTTGTTAATATAAACATTTTATTTACAGAGCTTAATTCAGGAGCTTGCTCTTCTTTCTCTAAACTTTTATTCCAAAGTCATCTGCACTATCATTAATACTCCTCCACTTTCCCCATTTTAATTCCGAGGGATTTTAAAACTGACTCCAGTCATTTGTACTTAACAATTGAATATTCTAAGAAGAAGAAAATGCTTGATTAATTTTGAGTTCAGATTAATTCATCAGAACTAAATAGCTTGCACATTTTCTTTTGGAAATGAAGGTGAAAAGGATACCACTCCCCACTTCAAAGGAACACAAGCAATTATCTACATTTCTATATTCTATCTTTAAACTACTTAAAAGCTCATTTGTTACTTAGACCGATTAGTTTTAGTTGCTGAAGATAATCAATATGTAGGAGAGTAATTGCTTTGCTGTAACATTATTATTCCTTTTTAAAATTTTTTATTAAAATTCAGCTTTGCACATTTTAATATATTCATTTTATTTCAAACATCAATTTCCTGTCTCCTTGCAGGCATGATATATCTCAAAAGAATTTAGTTTAATTCAAGATATGATTTCTTTTTTTAACTTTTATTTTAGGTTCAGGGGTACATAGGCAGGTATGTTATATAGGTAAACTCATTTCACGGGGGTTTGTTTTACAGATTATTTCATTACCCAGGTAGTAAGCCTATTTGTAATAGCTATTTTTTCTGATCCTCTCCCTCCTCCCAACCTCCGCCCTCAAGTAGGCCCCAGTGTCTGTTGCTCCCCTCTTTGTGTCCATGTATTCTCATCATTTCGCTACCACTTAAAAGTTAGAACATGCAGTGTTTGGTTTTCTGTTCCTGCATTAGTCTGCTAAGGATCATGGCCTCTAGTTCCATCCATGCTCCTGCAAAAGGGCATGATCTTCTTCTTTTTATGGCTGTGTAGTGTTACATGATGTATATGTATCACATTTTCTTTATCCAGTCTGCCATTGATGGGCATTTAGGTTGATTCCATGTCTTTGCTATTGTAAATAGTGCTGCAATGAACATACACATGCATGTCTTTATGGTAGAATGATTTCTATTATTTTGGGTATACACCCAGTAATGGGATTGCTGGGTCGAATGGTAGTTCTGTTTTTAGGTCTCTGAGGAATCACCACACTGCTTTCCACAATGGCTGAACTCATTTACACTCTCAGCAACAGTGTATAAGCATTCCCATTTCTTTGCAACTTCACCAGCATCTGTTATTTTTTGACTTTTTAATACTAGCCATTCTGGCTGATGTGAGATGGTATTTCATTGCAGTTTTTGATTCTCATTTCTCTAATGATTAGTGATATTGAGCTTTTTATCATATGTGTGTTGGATGCATGTGTGTCTTCTTTTAAAAAGTGTCTGTTCATGTCCTTTGCCCACTTTTTAATGTTTTTTTTTTCTTGTAAATTTGTTTAAGTTCCTTATAGAGGCTGGATATTAGACCTTTATCAGATGCATAGTTTGCAAAATTTTCTCCCATTCTATGGGTTTCTGACTGCTCTGTTGATAATTTATTTTGCTGAGCAGAAGTTCTTAAGTTTAATTAGATCCCATTTGTCAATTGTTGCTTTTGTTGGAATGGTTTTTGGTGCCTTTTCCATGAAATCTTTGCCCATTCCTATGTCCAGAATGGTATTGCCTAGGTTGTCTTCCAGGATTTTTATCACTTTGGGTTTTGCATGTAAGTCTTTAATTCATCTTGAATTGATTTTTGTATTTGGTGTAAGAAAGGGGTCCAGTTTCAATCTTCTGTTTATGGCTATCCAATTATCTCAGCACCATTTATTGCACAGGTCATCCTATTCAAAAGCTTGTTTTTGTCAGCTTTGTTGAAAATCAGATGGTTGTAGGTGTACAACCTTACTTATGAGCTATCTATTCTGTTCCATTGGTCCAGGTGTCTGTTTTTGTACCAATACCATGCTGTATTGGTTAGTGCAGCCTTGTAGTATAGTTTGAAGTCAGGTAACATGATGCCTCCAGCTTTGTTCTTTTTGTTTAGGATTGCCTTGGCTATTTGGGCTCTTCTTTGGTTCCCTATGAATTTTAAGGACATCCTTGTCTTGTGCTGATTTTCAACAGGAATACTTCCAACTTTTGCCCATTCAGTATAATGTTGACTGTGTGTCTGTCATAGATGGCTTTTATTATTTTGAGATATGTTCTTTCAATACCTAGTTTAAGAGTTTTTATCATGGAGCGATGTTGAATTTTATTGAAAGCTTTTTCTGCGTCTATTGAGATAATCATGAGATTTTTATCTTTGTTCTGTTGATGTGACGCATTGCATTTACAATTTGCATATGTTGAACCAAACTTGCTTCCCAGGGTTAAAGCCTACTTGATCCCTGCAGTGGTGCATTCAATTTGCAAATTGAATTGTTGAAGTTTTTGCATCAAAGTTCGTCAAGCATATGGGCCAGAAGTTTTCTTTTATTAGTTTTGTCTCTGACAGATTTTGGTATCAGGATGATGCTGGCCTCATAGAATGAGTTAGGGAGGAGTCCCTAGTCCTCGATTTTTTGGAATAGTTTCAGTAGGTATGGTGGCAGCTCTTCTTTGTTAATATATCTGGTAGAATTCAGCTGTGAAACTGTCTAGTTCTGGGCTTTCTTTGGTTGGTAGGCTATTATTACTTATTTCATTTTGGAAGTTATTGGTCTATTCAGGGAATCAATTCCTTCCTGGTTTAGTCTTGAGAGGTTGTATGTGTCCAGGAATTTATCCATCTCTTCTAGGTTTTCTAGTTTATGTGCATGGAGGTATCCACAGTAATTTCTCATGGTTATTTGTATTTCTGTGGGATCAGTGTAACATCCTCTTTGGTGTTTTTGATCATGTTTATTTAGATATTCTCTCTTTTCTTCTTTGTTAATCTAGCTAGGTGGCCTATCTTGCTTATTAATTTTTTCAAAAAGCCAGCTCCTGTACTCCTTGATCTTTGAATGGTTTTTTCTGTCTTGATCTTCTTCAGTTCAGCTCTCATTGAGTTATTTCTTGCAAGACATTATTTCTAATTTCTGGAAATACATGACATGCTTACTAAATGTCATTGCCACAAAAATTTAAGCCAATTGCTTGAAATTGACTGACATCTATTTAAAAAAACTTACATTTCTGGAAAATTGCTTAAATGTCATTTCAACATAATGCAAAAAATGCGATTTTTAAATAATCTTTGACTCATCTTTATTTTCACCGAGATGATTTTAAATGTGCTTCTGTTGATTCTATATTATCTAGTAATTAAAATATGTGGGATACTGAAAAACTTTGATAATGTGCCAAAGTAAAGTTTTGATTCAGGTTTTGTACAATGAAGAGTGAAAACACATATAGCCATCTTACATAATCCTATGTCTAAAAATTTGTGAAAGAAAAGGATGAATCACAGTCTAAATATATAACTTCCATTATAAAATGTGTAATAAGAAAGAAGTTCAACATTTTCAATTCTTACTAGAATGTAAGCATTTCTCAAACTCTCAAGAATTTATTTAGGCAGAATTATCCGTTGCTCCTTCATGTGCCGTTTTTTTGTCTTTGCCACCACTGATAAAGGACGTTTCTTATATTGTTTATAAAAAAATTATAAAATTTAGAAGTGAGGTTAATTAAAGCCTTAGTGAAACCATGTAAGCTTCAGTGTAAATGCTAGTTAAAAATAAGAAGCATTTAGATCAAAATTATAATTTGCATTATAGGTCACAAAATACAATAGGATCTGCATCATAAAATTAATGATTAATATAATAAATCATAATACCAAAATTTTGATATTTCACATAATTTTCATGTCTTACATTTGCTCTAGTGGAAATATAATTTGAAAAATTACAGAAAACTAGCTCTTCATTTATTAAAGTTATTTATTTTTAACAACACTTGGGAATTACTATTCGTTAATCTCACACTTTAAGAAACCTGCCAGTACTAACCACAAAATCTGTGAGTTGAAGCAGATATTAAAAAACAGTAGCACAGAGGTTAGAGGTACAAAGACTTCTCACTTGTTGCATTGCAGGGGTTCAATAATATGATATAAATTAATCCAGCCGGCCTAACAAGAGATGATACCTGGGTTCTCTGGCCCTCAGGAGTAGGTTTGAACTTATAAGATTTTTTTTTCTTTCTCTAATCTATTTCTTCTGACAGTACTTTTATCCCATTATAGAATTATTTTTGACTTATGTGAAAAGATTTCTGAAAGATTCACGTAAGATTTATATAGACTTGAAACTTTTTATTGCCTTTTCTTTGAAGTTTCTTCACTGTTGATTTACCAGGCCCTGAAACTGGCCAATAATACAAAACACAGGATTTTGACTTACTCATTTATTTTTTATTGTCTCAACCAACTTCACCATCAGTAAAAATAATTCTAGTTTAGAAAATGAAACTAAATCCTCTCCCTTCAAATAAATACTTCAAATAAAGAAAAGAAAAAATGTTTTCATGACTAGTCCACTTCATAATTTTTGTTTTTAAAAGCCAAAGCCTGGTATCACTTAAGAAGAAGCCAAGATGAACATAACATTTTTGTAGTGTCTTGTCTAACAATAAGAATTGTCCCCCAAATCACTCACTATCAAATGCCACTAAATTTTAAAGTCTAGTTTTACATATCTCCAAGGAAAATCTTGTCTATTTCAGTCTATGAATTTTGCTCTTCAACTATAATCAGTACTAACAATTTTCTCTAAAAGTTTTCAGATTTTATTAATTTTAATACTAGTTTATACCAGGTGATTTATTATGATTGACAAATGAGATTAACAACATTATATGTATTTCTAAATGCAGACACTATTTCACCACCCTTAAGTGACATGAGGTAAACTGCAGCTATCTTCTTCCCCAAATTTAATTCAGAAGATTAGAAACATACCTACTGCTAGCTAGCTGTGCAAGTTATTATCAGAAAATAGCTCTTTGAGTTACACAGCATTACGCAAAGGAGAGGAGAAACAAGGATTTTAGTTAATTAATGTTTGGAGGGTTTTTTATATTAGTTAAATTAAGGATGAGAACATAAATAACCTGGTAGTAGACAGAATTCTACGATAGCCCTAAGATTCCAACCCCCTGATATGCACATCCTATATAATCTCTTTTGCTCCATTGTTGGCAGAGCTTGTAAATATGATGGGATACTCACACCTTTAATTAGATTACATGATACAAGACTTCGGCTGGGTGCGGTGGCTCACGCCTGTAGACCCAGCATTTTGGGAGGACAAGGTAGGTGGACCATCTGAGGTCAAGAGTTTGACACCAGCTTGACCAACATGATGAAACCCCATCTCTACTAAAAATTAAGAAAAAAAAAAATTAGCTGAGCATTGTGGTGCATGCCCGTAACTCCAGCTACTCAGGAGGCTGAGGCAGGAGAATCACTTGAAGCTGGGAGGCAGAGGTTGCAGTGAATGGAGATCGTGCCACTGCACTCCAGCCTGGGCAACAATAGTGACACACCATCTCAAAAAAAAAGACTATCTTAGCAGACATAAGTCAGAATTTTCCTGTTGGCCTTGAAGAAACAAGCTGTCACAAGGCCTACAACTGCAATGAATTGAATTCTGCCAATAACCTGAATGAGCTTGGAAGAGGATCCTAAGCTCCACATGAACAATCCCGCCACAGCTGACACCCTGATTTCAGCCTTGTGAGATTCTGAGAAGAAGACCCAATAAAAATGTGTTGGTTTCCTGATCCACAGAAACTGTGACAGAGTAAATTTGTGTTGTTTTAAGCTCCTACACTTGTGGTAATTTGTTATGCAGCAACAGAAGACTAATACAATCCCTAATATATTTTGTAGTTAATTCAGATAAAATTTATACAACAGGCAAAATATAAACTGACAAAAACATACAAATTGCACTGAACATTTAGCCAGTTGAAGGAGAACCCTGGTCCCTCACAATGTATTTGCTGCACCTATAAGATACTTATGAAATATGACATTTATGTGTGAAGACTTTACCTTCAACCTGAAGAGACAAAAATGATACTGTGAATATCATTATCCATGGACTGTGTAATTATTACCCTAATTTTTTTCTATCTCCGCCAATATTTTGTTTACAAATATTAAAACAATCAAGATAACAGTAAAAAATGCATATTATATTGTTATTTGAATAGTGTTTACCTGCAATATCTAATATCTACATTTTTTAGATCAAGTTCTTTCAATCTAGAGAAATAGCTTTTAAAGAGAAAATTCATGAAGTAGATTTTATTATCCACTTCAGAGAAAATGGTTAGAAAGACAATTAACATCTCCATCTTACATACATATTTTATACTAAACAAAATATTATTTCACCTTCAATTTCTGAGTGAAAAGACAGAAGAAAAATTAATCTATTCATGGAATTACACTTCATAAGCTAACATCAGCCTACATAATTTATAATCTATGAATTGTAAAGTACTTCTCACATTTCAGTTTTATCTGCTAAATTCCCTTCAAAACATTTACCTGTTTCCAAATTTCAATATTTCTTATGTCTACTCAATATATAATTTAAAAGGTTATGTTTTAAATCAAAGAATAACTGGATAATCTTATCATTTCCTTAAAGTTGCTATTATACAATACATATATATTTGTTCTGTCAAAGTAAAGTTTACCATTTTAAAGGTACACCTTCCACATTCTTGTTCACCTTTAGCCTCAATTATACCTCACTAATAGAAAGAATGACCCAATTATAGAAGCAGTAAATTATTCTCTTTGTTCAGGATGCAATCCAAGATTAGTACATTCTTTATTTTGTTATTCTCAATGTTTCAAACGTATGGAAAAAAATGTTGTTATATTATGAAAAATTTATCATCGCTTGATCTATAATTTTATGTTAGATATTCTATCAGCCTAAAACCTTTTTAAGGAATAAAAAAGTATTAACTTAGTTGAAATAATCTGTATGCTTTTCCTTATATACCTTTGCATCCCTCTATCTCAGAGGTAACTACTCTCTAGAATTTGATGTCATCAAGATATTGTCCTGTATTTTTTTCAGAAATGCTAAAATCTAATATTCATATTGAGGTCTTTATTCCACCTCCAAAATTCTTTTGCTACAGCTTGAGATAAGTGTATCATTTTTTGTTTTTTAACACATATGATCAATCATCCAAGCACCGAATAATTATTAAAATGATCTTCTTTGCACTTAGGATTTCACTGTGCCATTATATCTGTATCTCTGACTGTTCTATCATCTATCTATCCATCTATCTATCATCTATCATATATATATATGATATATATATGTCTGTCTATCTATATGCATAATACTAATCCTGGTCTCTCGTCATTGGATTTTTATGATTTTGCCACAATCTTAATTTCTATAGTTGTAGATATCTTGATAACTATGAGTAAAAGGTTTCTGACTTCAGTCTTCTCAAGAAGCATGTTGTCTATTTTTGGACGTTTTTTCTTCCATGTCAACTTACAGGGAGAAAATTTTTATCATAATTGCATTCAGTTATAAATTGGGAAGGGATAACTTTTAAGATACTAGGTAAATGTAATTATTAGTTATCCTTTTTAACATCATTTAATATTATTCTATTAATTTATCCCTATAGATCTTGTGCATTGTTTGTTAGATTTAATCTTGGATACCTTATAAATTTTATGTTACTTTAAATAGGATTGTTTTGAACATTATATATTCTTGTTAGCAATTGTTAGTGCATAAGAACATTATTAATTCTTTAAATGTTTTTCTTCAGGAAATTGCTCAATTCTTATAGTTCTAATGGATTCTTTTGAGTTTTTATATAGATAATTATGGCATCTGAAGAAAAGAAGTGAACACATTCTCATTTCAACATTAAACCCCATTTGCTTTCCTTATTGTATTGGTTAGGACCTCCATTACAAAAAAAATGAAAATGACAGCCTTTTTTCTTGCTCTTGACTTTACTGAGAATGCTTGTACAGTTTCACCATTGGTAAGCTTGCCATCAAAATTTTTTGATATATTTTTTCAGGTTCATAAAGTTTCTTTCCACTCCTAATTTGTTAATGGTGTTCTTCTGGTGAGTGTTGAACTTACCAATTTCTTTGTCTGTATCTGCTAAAGTGACTCCACCCTCTTTAATCTATTGATGTTGAAAATTTCTTGTATATCTGGTATGTATCACTGGGTTGAGATGTATTATTGAGTTTTACACAATGGTGAAACTGATTTGAGAGTATGTAAACTAGGACCTGATTATTTTCTTTCTTAAACAAATTGGTCTATAATTTTCTTTTCTTGCACCATAGCTGTTTAGTTTTTTATCAAAATAATAGTAATTTCATAAAATGACCTGACTAGCTTTTGCTCTTTTTCTGCCCTCTGAAAAAAATACACATATTTATAATAAAGATGTTAGAAATATCTTTCTTCTGGGAAGTTTGGTAAAATTTATCTCTAAGACTTCCAAGGTATGGTATCTTTTGTTGAGCAAGATTTTGATTCAATTTATTTAATTTTTATTAATTTACTTGGATTCCTAATTTTTCTTCAAATTTCCTCACTTACATTTCTACAAATTATTTATTTCATCTAGGTTCTGGAATGTATTGGCATAAAATTGTTCATAGACTTCTCCTAGGTTATTTTTAATTTTAATATATGTCAGTTCATGTTACCTTTATTGTGTAAATATTATATAATATTTGTACTTTTTCTCTTCATTAATTATTATTGCTAAGGATTTATACACAATTTTTTTCTAATAACCATCTTTTGGTTTTTTTGAACTTACTGTTTTTAGTGTTTCCATTTAATTATTTTCTACTCATCTTTATTTTTCTTTATTCCTACTTTTTTGTTGGTTACTCTGTTCTTCTTTGCTAGTTTTTTAACTTCACACATAACTTTTTCCTGCTTTTTGATAAACGTAATTGAGGCTCTAAATTGACCGTTAGGCCCCATTTTAAAGTAATTTCACATGTAGTACTTTCATTTTGATTCAATGATTAATACTTTTAGTTTCCCTATGTTAATGATAATTCTGAGAACATTACATCAAACTTTGACAATATTTCGCTATGTCTGCATTGAATAGGGTGGAATCTACAATGCAAACTGAAGTTCTCCTCTCACTGAATGAACTGTCACAAGCTCATTTGAAGATAATCTATATGATCATGAGGAAGTAGATTTAATGGTCATTAGGGCAAAAGGGAGCATCTTAGGCCAAGACAATTAAGGCTCTTTGGTGAATTTGGCAAGCTTGCATTTTAGAATGCCATTTCCTTTTCATTTTTCTCAGAAGACCACAGAGGATAAGAACAATGTAGTTTTGGGGCTTAAGGATAAGACTCTGATTCTTTAATGACTGTGAAAATAAACCGCTTCCTCTATCACTAGAGAGGTCGATAGGGATTCTCCAGCTGAGAAGCTTAAGGCCAAGTAACATTTTACTGTTAAATGTCTACTGAAAGCTGTGACTTTCAGACAGGGAAAAGTTTTGATTCACCCTGAGAATAAGCATACAATAATGAAAACACTGATATATCTCAGTGCTGGAGGCAATTGTATAAAACCCATTTGGAGATACTCAACAGGCCTCCTCCAGGATTTAGCTCTGTTCCCCATACCACCTTCACAGCTTTGACAAGATTATGTTGTAGGCAAGTAAGACATGCACTAGAAACAAACACCTTTGGCTATGCCTTTAAAGTTTTCAAATCAATGCTGGTTTAGAAATTTAGTCAATTTACCCCTGCCATGGTAGTAAAACTAATAGCTCTGGCTAATGTGTTACGTTAATCAGCACTAGCAGAATGGAAGAGTTGAATCTTCTTTTAAGTTATAGCACACAATTGATTTATAAGGATATAGTCAAAGATTACCCTGGAAGTAAGAATAGTCTGACCCTGAAAAACCATTAGGTCTTTTGATGTATGTTATAAAGTATTATAATGATTCCTAATTTATGAAACATAGAAAGAAAATCACTTGATAGATATTATACCAGTATTTATGCATGAACTTGAATATACTTTCTTTAACCTGAAAAACACACAATCATTGAAGTATATATATAGTAATCTTTTCCTTTATACATAACTAAGCTAAAAATAAACTTTTCTTTTGATTCGTCAGTCTTTTATCGCAAAATCTATTATCACGATTGTTTTGAATTAATGAAATTTGGAAAATGTCAAAACAAACTTAATCTTGTTCTTCTTATTTATAAATGAAGGAGTGAAATTTTGTGTTACTTAGGGCCATTAAAAAAAACATACAAGATTCAAGCATAAAAGACATTGTGACTGTTTCATTATTCAGAATTTAGGGCCTGATAGTGAAAGAAAATAAGTGAAGTGAATTGTCAGTGAGGCAAGAAATAATTATAAATTGTAATTTTTCAACATATAATTATTATAAATATTATCTTAAAGCATAGCAATAACTGTGACTTTTAAAAACTGAACATTAAAAAATAATGAATGTTTCATAAATATGTCTTGAGAGTTTGCCAGAAGTACAGAATTTAATAGACTATATTGGCTATAAAAAGGAACTTTTGTTATATAGACATACAATAATTTGAGCATTTTATAATAGAAAAACCTAAATTTTAAATTTACTCATAATAGTCTTTATTAAAGACAGTATATGCCCTTTGTGTTAATATTTTCATTAACTTTGAATGTATCCTTAAATTTGTCTCTCTCATTTACAGAATTTTTAAAAATTAATATAACTTTATATGTATGCATTTAGAAATATATAAATACATAATCATGGGAATATATAATAAAGCTCTTATCTTTATTTTAAGAAATAATTAAACTTATCAGCATACTAAATTTAAAAATGTATAGATTACATTGAAGTTTCACTTTAATAAACTAAACATTTTCTTAAGGAATATACAATATCCATTATTTTGCATACATATGTATATTCTTCTGTAATTATTATATTAAACATAGACATAATCATTTTATTAATGAAATGGTTTAGCTGTGTCCCCACCCAAATCTCATCTCAAATTGTAATCCCCATGTGTTGAGGGAGGGACCTCGTGGAAGGTGACTGGATCACAGGGACGGGTTTCCCCATGCTGTTCTTGTGACAGTAAGTTCTCATGAGATCTGATCATTTAAAAGTGGCATTTCCCCCTTCACTCTTTCTGTTACCACCATGTAACACATATCTTGCTTCCCCTTCAACTTCCTTGTAAGTTTCCTGAGGCCTCCCCAGCCATGCTGAAATGTGAGTCAATAAAGCCTCTTTTCTTTATAAATTACTCAGTCTCGGGTAAAAGCAGTGTAAAAACAGTGGTAATTCAATTAATTACCACTTTTTACAAAGTAGCCAATTTGTTTTCTTTAGATGCAAACAACATTAGAAAACAGGAAATCATGGACTGTGTCATTTACTTTTTTTATGAGTACTCATTTTAGATTACAATTTTGGGGGAGTAAAATAAGCATATTTATAACTTCAAGATATTTATACATTTGGTTAATGCATACTCATGGTATAGTCAGTAAGAATATAGCTAAATAGTGACCAGAGTTTTATAGTTTTATATTTAGAAATTGCCTACAAATCCAAAGCTTTTTTGTCAATTAGTATAATTTTTTACATGTTTACATCTAGTTTGGGGGATTTTCAACTATAAAATATGAAAAGGTATTGCTGTACAATATGTTAGTCATGTACCAAATCTAATATACACAAGATCTTTCAAATGTCTGATAATTTGGAAATTTTTATTGCAAGAGTTTTAGTCAAACTAGAAATAGCAGTCTCAAAGCCTTGATTAATGTTTTTGTTTTACCGATTACAGTTCACAAGAAGGAAACTGATTATTTCAAAATGAAAAATGTCATGAGAGAACAGTTTATGAAGGCACTAAGTGATCCTTCTTTTTTTTTTTTTTTTTTTTTGAGACGGAGTCTCACTCTGTCGCCTAGGCTGGAGTGCAGTGGCGCCATCTCAGCTCACTGCAAGCTCCACCTCCCGGGTTCACGCCATTCTCCTGCCTCTGCCTCCCTAGTAGCTGGGACTACAGGCGCCCACCACCACGCCCAGCTAATTTTTTTGTATTTTTAGTATAGACAGGGTTTCACCATGTTAGCCAGGATGGTCTCGATCTCCTGACCTTGTGATGCCCCCGCCTTGGCCTCCCAAAGTGCTGGGATTACAGGCGTGAGCCACCGTGCCCGGCCAGCACTAGGTGATCCTTCTAAGACATAATTCACATATATTCAAACTATATAATTTCAAGACAAAAGAAATCAGTTAAAATTATTTATTATAATAAAAGTACTTTTTATGAGAAGCAAAATGAATTTGCAGTTTTATTTCTACTAATACACGCCTCATATAAAGAAGAAAATAAATCCAAGGCTAAAGGAATCCAGCACTTAAAATAGGTGTTAGAAAATCATGGAGAGCATCTGCAATGTAATTCCACAGGTTATCATCTCAAGCAAACCTTAGGACACATGAACAAATAATCAAGGAGTCTTAGGAAGAGTGGCAAAAAAAAAAAGCTACCAAATTCAGGCAAACTTGAAAACCCCTTCAGTTTGTCACCATGGCATATGGTTTCACTGTACACCATTATCTTTCACTCCTGGCTCTTTCTCTCTTAATGCAACTAATACCTTTAAGGTCTACCATCCCACCCCCTGCCAAGTAATGATGGTGGTAATTAAGATTGTCATTATAATAATGATAGCTGACCACATTCATCTAAGTGCTTGAGTACATTAACTCTGTAATCCTCACAACTGCCCATGAGGTGAGTGCTATTACTATCTATATTTTATAAATGAGTACACAGAGGCAGGGTTGGAGTAACTTGCCAAAGCCACACAGCTAGTAAGTAGAGGAGTAAATAATCACATCCTTGGTCATGTAATACAGCTAATACTCAGCAAGTTGATTTTTTTCCACTAGATGGAATCTTGGGATTCCTTTATAAGTTCTCCTAAAGTTTAAAGTCACACAGTTATTTAGCTGAAGAGCCAGGACAGAGCACCTATTTCTATACAAAGATGTAAATGACAGACGGCAAATTATTTTCCCCTGATTTACTTGTCCCTGAAAAAGAATAAAGCCTTATAAGAATAGGATTGAATTCTAGATTTGGACTTCCATGTATCAGGCAAAATGCAGATAATTGTTTTCTTTCTTGGACTACTAGAAAATTATAGCTCAACAGGCAATAAATACCCGACACTTAAGAAAGCCAATGGGTGGTTACAGCTTATGAGATGCATAGCATAGTTCAAGTAAAATGAATATATATCAAATCTTTGTGTAATCACTGAAGATATCTTACTATGAGAAAAATTTAAGCACCAGCCATTTGCCAAGATTTGTTTGACCTTCTAAAAAAACTTGTAAAAAAAATTTAAGGTTAATGTAATATTCTTAAAAGTATCATGCTAACATTAATGAAGATGTAAAACCTCAAATAACAAATATAGTAATTTGTTAAAAAGCCTTTTAAAAACTATATTTTTCTGTGGTTCCTCTCTAAACCCTCCAGGGTTAAAAAAGGAATACACTGTTCTGGTCTATGAAGTTTAAAAATCCATTGCAGAGAAGAATGCTAGAAAAATATATCTATTTGAAGTCAGGTGGGTTCAGCTACAGGACTGAGACACTGACCAAATCATTCGTTTATAAACATAACTTAGTAACTCATAGAAGCAGAGAATACAATAGTGACTATCAGAGGTTGGGGGTGAGGGAAATGGGAAGTTGTTGTTCAATGGATATAAAATTTCAGTTATGTTAAATGAATATATTACAGATGTCTGCTGTACAATATTGTGCCTATATTTAATGATACGTACAGTATTATGCACTTCAAACTTCGTTAAAAGGGTAGATCTAATGTTATGTGTTCTTACCAAAAAAAGAAAAAGGATGCAGGAAACTTTGGGAGGTATTGGATGTGTCTATTACCTTGACTGTGGTGATGGTATCTCCAGTGTTTGTATATGTCCAAACCCATCAAATTGTATATATTTAAATATGTATAGTTATTTGTATATTGATTATATTTTAATAAAGATGTTTCAGAAAGTGACTTAGTGGGTTGGGAAACTACTGATTATCCACCCCTGGAATCTTATCTAAAATATTCCTAAACCTTAATATTTTAAGTACCTATATTGTATTATTTTCTAAAGGAAAATCATAATTATCATAAATCATTATGAAATAATGGAATATAATTTATTATCAGAAGAAGCATTACTTTTCTATACATCCTATGTTTTGAGGGCTCCACTTGAAGCCTTTCCACTTGAAGGAGACTGCATTGATAGAAAGTCACTTGCAGAAAACTGATAACAGGTACAGACACAGTCTAAAGAAATATAAAAATACAAACTGTTGAATAATTTCTTTTACTTTACCTGTGTCTCAAAAATTTATATGGCTCATCATAAGATATATGCAATCATTTACCATTAATTAAGGAAGAGTAATATTTCATGTAAAAATTTAAAAAATTTTAAGACTTTTCTTCTTTATTGCTCCTTAAATTCTGAAATATTTTCTGAAGCTGGAAAGAAGGGAACGAAGTTAGAGTTAATGTGCTGGGAATTTTTTTTTACAGCACTGGGGCTATTTCTGAATTATTTCTCTATACATAGAATGTCACCACCCATCAAAACTCTTAGGAGACACAGGATTGAGAAGTACTGTTAGCTAATATACATATGGGCAGATTCTAAGCAGAAAAGTGACATTATCAGACAGTATTAAAAAAAAATAACCATGGAAGTAGTGTGGAAAATTACCTGTAATGGGAAAACTGGTTCAGAGGTAAATACAATAGTATAGAGGAAAGTTGAAGGGATTCTGAAACATTATATTGGCAACAGATTTAGAAAAAAGAGAACGATTTAAAAAGGAGAAAGTAAAAGAATAGATAGAAGGCTGAGATTCTATGAAACTTGTATTATAGGCCAGAAATGGACAATCATGCAAGGCATTTTTAACACGTTCATGCAATATAGGTGTTAGCCTATTTTATGAAGAATCTGAAGTTCAAAGAGTTACTTATGAAATGTCAAATATTACATTTAATTATCTATAAGCAATTAGAATAGGCTATAGTGGCAATCGATTGTGCTATTTTTCTTGTTACCTTGAGGGTAATTCCCTACTCCACATTGTCCTGGTGGGGCTATGATGCACACTGCTACTGGACAGTGAAGAGGTAGGCAAGTGGCTAATTCTACAGCCTTCTGAGGACACCAATTGGTTCAAAAATGAACACTTGACCCAAAAATAGATCCATGGGGAAATTAGTCTTTAGAGTTTGAGTATAGAAGAACAATAAAATGAAAAAAAGGTAGAAAAATAACAAAATGGATTAATCTTATGTGTGCCAAGAGTAGCAGTATAATCTATATTATTTTTTCATTTTCCTCCTTTTTTCTCCCCCACACTAGAGAATATCAGGAGGAAAATAGCAATAGTGTAAAAATAAAATATTTTCAGATTATGAAGTATAATATACATGTGTACTACATCTTAAGTAGATAGGCTCCATATAATGACTGGCAATTAACTATTGGATGATCTCAGTCTGTAAACTTCACTTGTGTTTTCTGCACACTGTGATGCCTTATCTCTCTTAGAGAGTAAAAGAACCCCTTGCATTGCTTTTGGATCTAACCAACCTTTACTCTCACAAGTGGGTGGGCAGAACACTGGACATACACTGGGCTTTAGTGTCCTTCGTGCTCTAAAGCAGGTATGAGGAAGGGGTGACACATATACAACACAGTGTAGAGTCAAAGGGAGGCAACCTCCAAGGGAGAGAACAGAATTAAATCAAGCAGCATGATGAATAAAATAACCAAACCACAATGAATTGGCAGGGCAGAAAAACCTAGATCCAGAGCTACAGCATGGAAACCCATAAACCGGGCAAAAGAAGATTTACAATGGAAGAGAAGAATTACATCCTGGTTTTAAGTATGTGCTTTCAGCCAGTCTATGCAGAGTGCCTGTGGCTTTAAAGAAAGTGTAAAACTCTCAAATGATGCCAAGATTAAGACTGAAAGTGTTCCTTACATCTGGCACTTAGGATATAATTAGAAGCAGTAGCAACATCAGTGGCAACAGAGTGACATCGATAGGTAGGTAGGTAGAAGAATAAAATAGAGCTGAAGAAGCAGAGAGGAAAAAATGTACTCCATAAACATTGCTGCAGAAGAAATGAGACAACAGAACATAGGGAGAGAGTTGTAGATTGAAAGAAATATAAACATGCTCAGATCTCAAGACATTGGAGAGAAATAAACAGAGAGCTACTGCAAAACACAAAGACACACACACATACACAGAGAAGAGACAGAAAAAGAAATTGATAGAGCAAGGACCTGAAAAAAAAACAATCAGAACATGGCATCAAAAGTACAAGGAAGGAAATGCCGTGAACAGAAGGACAAACATGTATTCCCCTGAGGATCACTAAGGGAAGGACAGGATTCTACATAGGAAGCCATATTGACCAATAGTGGACATTGATTTGAGAGAATTAGCTTTTCTGTGATGTAGGTCATTGCCTGAATATGATGGCATTCACCTTAGAGGGTTTGAGTAGGATGTACTTCTGAAATAAATACATGCAAAGGAATTCAGTAAACACAAGTAATGGGATTGGTAAAGGGTGCTTGGGAGTTCAAATGATGCAGAAACTGAACTTGTTGAGGGAACAGTATATCAACATGTAAATTTCTTTGCTGCACTGAGCACTCAAGATTAAGAGCAAAAAAAATTAGATTAGGTGAACTAAGAAGTAATTTATAAGAAGGACATGGAATTGAGGAGGTTAGGGACACAGGCAAGAGAATTGCTGAAGTAAACCTGAAAGGTTAAGTGTTTGAAGACCAAAAGAAAAAAAAACAATAAAAAGAGAATATGAGAAAAGGAATGAATATTCATACAGTTCTTGCAACAATCTTGCAACTTGGCCAAGTAATTTGCCTACATGATCTTAATCAGGTTTTACAATAACTCTATGTAACAGTGTCTATTTTACTGATGGTTAAAATGAGGTTCAAAGAATTAAAGTGATTTTGGCCTAGACTATCAACCTGGAAAGAAAGGGGATTGTGATGAAAGAAAGAGATAATCAAGTTTAAGATTTCAGGCATAGAACCAAAGAACTTCAGCATGTTTGAACATAATTTAGTGTCGTAATCAAATAAAACCTATAAGTAATAACTTGACAGATACTAATGATAGTCATCATAGCTGTTACACATAAGACAATTATCCATAGATGATAAGCAGTTTTTATTATTTTTATTGATGACCATTATAAGTATTAATTTTATACACCAAAGTCAAGTTTTTTTCTCTTAACTAGTTCTCTGACAACTGTAAAATTCCTCAGTGGTGACAGATATCTCTGATACCAAGGAGAGTGAAATCATTATCACATAGTGTTAGAAAATTGCTTCCAAGCCAACTTATTATTTTACTGTGCTCTTCTTTCATTTCTTTGTAGTTCACTCAATGATAGCAGACACTAAGAAGGAGAAAAGGCCTATTAATTGTGTGTAGTGAATAAAAAGACAAAGAGCAAAGAGAAATCAATTTCCCTGCCCCCTGATGAAATACTGCTAGCCTTAGGGTAGAAAATTCTTCCATAGGATGGATGTGTTAGCAAAAGGTTGATGTACAATGACAACTCTTTCTCAGACCAGGACAAAGTATCTGAAAAACTACCAGTTTTAATTGGTTTATTGTCTTCCCCAGAGAAGAATAAGCAGCAGGGTGTACAAAGAGGGTGGGAACTACAATCAGACTCCCTAGTTTCTAATTTCAGCTCTGCTACCTCTAGCTATGAGACTACCATAAGTTAGTGAATGGTATTGTAGAGAGGTAATCTGGAAGACAGGAATAGTAAGCATGCTAGTAACTATTTTGGGTATTAAAGTATCTTGTGATCCAACAAGATAATCTGCCACAGCAGTTAACCCCTAGTGAGGCTCTGTTCCTTTTATTATTATCTGACTTGGCAGAGAAAGGCTAATTCTTCACCAGTCCATTTCCCTTAGGCTATTGTATAAGAAGCAAAAGATTCTTTCATTATTTAGGCTTTTTTGCCAATGTGCTGATCAGTACAAAATTCACTTTAATAAATTTTACATTTTAAATGAAAATATGGTTATTAACTGAATATTTTACATTAATAAAGGACACATTTCTATATTGCAAGGGTAGGAAATAATAACTACATCCTGCAAAGAAAAATCCCCCAAATACAGGCTGACTCCTGCTGTCATCTCAACCCCTAAGATTACCTATCACAAGCAGAACCTTATTAACTGACTCTATATATCACACACACATTTAGTTTAAAGTACACGTTTTTGGTCCAACCCAACAGCCAAAGGTCTCGAGCTTCTCCCACATCTCCCACAGGAGCTCTGCTCTCCTATCTGAATGGTTTTAGAGTTCCACACCTAGGCAGCCTGTGATGCTCAAACTTTCTTTTGCAGAGCATCCTCTTGCATGACTCCAAGAAATCCTCATATCTCTCTGAGGATGTTTAACAGAGTGAGTTTTCTTTTTTACTTCTTTCCCCCTGAATTATTACTGTTTTTATAAGGTAATTTTTCCAGTGGGATTCTCTCTATTCTTGTGGATAAAGCTTTTCTCTATACCTACAGATCCTTGATTGAATGTTCATATTTAAGAATTAAGACCTAATAGACATTCTCCAAAGAAGGCATATGAGTGGCCAATCAGCATATGAAAAGATGCTCAACATTATTAATCATTAGAAAAATCAATCATAAAGTGATATCTCTTAACACCCATGAGGATGATTATTATCAAAAAGACAATAACACGTATTGAGGAGAATGTGGAAAAATTAGAATTTTTATACATTGCTAGTGGAAATGTAAAATGGAGCAGTCATTTTGGAAAACTGTTTTACAGTTCCTTGAAATATTAAGCACAGAGTTACCATATGACAACGTAATTCCACTCTTAAGTACCCAAAATAAATAAAAATGTATGGCCATACGAAAATGTGTGGGTCGGGTACAGTAGCTCATGCTTGTAATGCTAGCACTTTGGGAGGCCGAGGGGGTAGGATCACTTGAACCCAGGAGTCCAAGATTTGCCTGAGCAGCAGAGTGAGACCCCACCTCTTAAAAAATTTAAATATTAAAAAATGTATACAGAAATATTCATAACAGCATTATTCTTAATAGCAAAAAAGTGGAGTCAATCCAAAGGACCATCAACTGAAGAATGGATAAACAAAATGTGATAAATCCATACAATGGAATATTATTCAGCCATAAAAAGAAATTAAACTCTAATATGGACTACAACATGGATAAATCTTGATAACATAATGCTAAGTGAAAAAGCCTTCCACAAAAGATATGTGATATGGTTTGGCTCTGTGTCCCCACCAAAATATCATATTGAATTGTAATCCCCAGGTTTTGAGGGAGGGACCTAGTGGGAGGTGATTAGATCATTGGGGGCAGTTTCCCCCATGCTGTTCTTGTGATAGTGAAGGAGTTCCCATGAGTGTTGATGGTTTTAAAAGTGTTTGTCAGTTCCTCCTTCACTCTCTCTCTCTCTCCTTCCTCCTTGTGAGGAAAGTGCTTGCTTCTCCTTTATTTTACACCATGATTGTAAGTTTCCTGAAACTTCCCCAGCCATGCAGAACTGTGAGTCAATTAAACCTCTTTTATTTATAAATTACCCAGTCTTTGGAGTATCTTTATATCAATGTGAAAACAGACTAATGCACCACATATTATATGACTCCATACACGTGAAATGATGAGAACAGGCAAATCTATAGAGACAAAAAAAGTAGATTAATGATTGCCTAGCTTTATAGGACTGATGGGAAGGGAGAATGTGGAGTGACTGCTATGGGTACAGATTTCAATTTGGAGAGACATGGATCTTCTAAAATTAGATTTTTGTTATGGTTGCACAACTCTGTAAATACACTAAAAACCTTGAAATTGCATGCTTTAATTGGGCAAATTGCATGGTATGTAAATTACATTTCCATGAAGCTGTTAAAGAAGAAGGAAAAAAAAAAGTCAATACTTAGACAAGCAGTCTGCAAGCTCTATGTACCCATATAGGGTGTGTTGACTGTCAAGGAATAAAGTAATCAAACACAACAGAATCTTCAGGTAACAATGAAGGGAGAACCTCTACCAGTAACCATGACAAAGGCAAGGAAGGAAAACAATCCAACGTACTCCAGATGGGAATAGATCAGAAAAATTATTTCACTTCAGGAAGGTGAAACTGATAGAATACCAGACATGTCTGCACACCTTGAAAGAATATTTAGACGTTATGACAAGGGAAAACACAAGCTTCATGGCGAAAGAAAAATAAGCGTAGTTCACTCCTGGAACAGCAGTGCATTGTCCTGTAGGTCTGCAAGAAAGCATTTGTGCAGTGGGAGGGGAGTGGTCATGGAGTGCTAAGTGTGTATCTTTCACGGGAGCAATATAAGCAGCAACATAGTCATGTTATTTAGAGACCTGGAAGTAATCCCAAAATAATCCTCAAGAAAAGGTAGAAGTAGTTCCCTCCAAAAAAAGGGAAAATGAAAATGGCCAAAGACTGCTTGTTTTCATAAGAAACTTTTTTAAAAAAACTATTGGTCTTTTTAAACTATGTGTATGTATAATTATAATAAAAATTAAAACCAAACAAACAAAGGTCATTGAGGCAGTGGCAGTGATGGCTTCCTCATGCCAGGGTAGCAGCTATGGGGGATTGTCTCACAATTTTCCTATCTTCTCTGCTCCTGAGAGAGGTAAAAGAGTCACCTCTAGAAATCCAGCCCCGATAGGGCCTTCTCCTCCCACCCTTCTAGTAATTCTGTAAACATTAATTTCCTTCTTTGAGATTCTTTCTCTTTAAAGTAGTTTTTTTTTCCCTGCAAATGAACTCTGTCTTGTATAATGAAAACATAGACATAAGGAAAGTGCCAGTGCCTTATTCAACACCACAGAGTTATTTTTGTGGGAGAAATGAGACTGAAATTCAGGTTATCTGCTTTTCAGGCTGCTATACTGTCTTCTATAGAAGCTGTTTACATGATATTGAGTGTCTCATGTTTTAGTCACTGAACTAAGCAATGATGCTAAAGCACTGAAGGACGTTTAGAGAGGCCAGCCCTCAGGAAGCACATAGTCTAATGGGGAAGATAAATAGTAAGTATTGACATTATGGCAATAAAATTTTAACTGTACAAAGTTCAAAGAAGGAAATATAAATATACTATTACTGAATGTAACCAAAGGACTTGATGGTAGACTGGGAGTTCAGGAAAGCTCTCCAATGGACAAGAATGCTTGAAATAAAGCCAAAAAAATGAAATTACACATTGGTCACCCAAAAAAGGGGAAGACAATATATGGTGTATGCTTGTGGCTGACAGAAGAAAGCATGAAAATATGTCATTAGGTCAATGTTTAGTTGTTCAAAGCTAGAATGAAGACCAATGTAAATGAACCATGGCAAAGCAGGAAGCCATATCAGGTAAGGCATTGTAAGCCACAGAAAATATTTTAAGCTTTATACAAAGAGGATCAGAAGACACCGAAAGGTTTTAAGAGGTATCAACATCATCAGGTTTTTAAAAATAATACTCTATTCTGCAGAGAGTAGATTAGAGGGATACAAAGGCATATAAAGAGAGCTCAGGAGGCTATCACAGGAGTCTGTGCAAGATATTTGAATCTGGCCAATTACTGTGGAAACAGAGAGAAGTGGACAGGGTCAACTTGACATATAGAGTGTGAGAGGTGAGTGACAGAAAGGGGTTAAGGATGACAGAGATTTCTAGCATGAGCAAACAGATGGATGATGTTTTCATTTAAAGATAGGAAAAACTGGAGGAGACAGGGATTGTCGTAGAGACGATCAAGTGTGTAGCAATTGATACTGCACGGGGGAAAAAAAGACTTCTTTTCTCACCATGTTAAATTCATGGCTGAAATACATGTACGGCCTAGTGCTACATACTTTTATACAACCAGATCTCATAAGAACTCACTCACTATCACGAGAACAGCAAGAGGGGAAATCCACTCCCATGATCCAAACACCTGCCACCAAGTCCTCCCCCAACACTGGGAGTTAAAACTCGACATAAGATTTGGGTGGGGACACAGAACAGAACCCTATGAGCTCGTATATAATATTACATAGAATAAATAAAAATTAGATTTTAATATTGCATTTTCTGCTGGGGTAACATAAAAATACATTGTACATAATTGTCTGTGAAAGGAGAAAGTGAAAAGAAATGAAGCTTAAATAGTTTCCATTATTTCTAACCCATAACCAACGTTCACTTGTATAGTTATAGGGTAAAACTGGAATTACATGGCTGTTCAATTACTGTGAACTAATGTAATTGCTTTTAAGTTTGTTGTTTAAATATTGAAGCCAGTGGAAAAGGCCTTTTCTTCTTGACTTGTACAGAATTGAAATTCCCTTCACATTTGATCTAGATTTAAATGTCATTTCTCCACCAGGCGCGGAGGCTCATGTCTATAATCCCAGCACTTTGGGAGGCAAGGCAAGTGGATTGCTTGAGCTCAGAAGTTTGAGGCCACCCTTGGCAACATGGTGAAACCTCGTCTCTAAAAAAATAAAAATAAAAATAAATGAGCTGAGCATGGTAGCATGTGCCTATAGTCCCAGCTACAGGTGGGCTGTTCACACCACTGCACTCCAGCCTGGATGACAAAGTGAGAGACGCTGTTTAAAAAAATAAAAGAAAGAATAGTAATTACCATTTCTCCTTTAATCCTACAAGTATAGACAATGGGTATTCTCAATTTTTATTTTTTTCTTTTTATCACATAGCACATGTTTTCCTTTTAGTAATGGTAATAAAAATTACTCAAATTAATGATTTTATATCCTTTAAAAGAAAAAACTTTTCAAATTTGAATATTGCTTTCCACATTATATTTTAATTCATCTTATGTCACAGAACACTAGTCTTTCTTTTTTTTTTTGAGACTGATCCTCACTCTGTTGTCAGGCTGGAGTGCAGTGGCGCCTTCTCGGCTCACTGCAACCTCAGCTTTCCGGGTTCAAATGAGTCTCCTGCCTCAGCCCCCTGAGTAGCTGGGACTACAGGCACATGCCACCACACCCAGCTAATTTTTGTATTTTTAGTAGAGATGGGGTTTCACCATGTTGGCCAGGATGGTCTCAATCTCTTGACCTCATGATCCGCCCACCTCAGCCTCCCACAGTGCTGGGAATACAGGCCTGAGCCACCACGCCCAGCCCAGAACCCTATTTCTGAATTTAATATAAAAGCTTGGAAAGATAACTAGAATTTTCCCTTGTTAAGAATTTTTAAATGTAAGTTAATATGAAAAATTAACCTAATACTCTTTGTGGCTCTTTTCCCTCTCAGTTTTCTAAGCCAAAATTTGGAACTAGAGACTCATACTGCCAATGGCATGAGAATTACATAGTTGTTTTCTCTAAAGTGTTCAAAGCTATTGTGGAATCATTTTTTAACTGAATTAATATTCCAGTAAAAAAATAAAGGGGCCAAAATTCAAGTCTAAACAATTTCTCTGCAGATCAACACTCTGAAGATAGATAATTTATATAATTAAAGTGTTAGATTATTGCTTTTAAAAATCCAACTAAATAGTAGTAAATTAATTGCATCCAACCGAAGAATACCTCTCATTAAAAGAAAATGCTGAGAGCTGGATCATAGTCAGGCTGGCGAAGTAGCAACGGTTACCATGGAGGCAAATTGGAACAGATAGAAAAGACCGCAATATATCAAACTTAACACCTCAACTTGCGCCTCGGTAATTACTTCATACCAACATCCCATTGCTTTAAAGACATTCTGTGCTGGTTTGTTATAAGAGCACGCTGACATATCATTAGGCTTCAGATTTTCACAGCTCCTATAAAAGTTTTCATTGTGATTCTTTTTGTTAATCTTCCTTATGTTTTTGAATTGACCTCGGCAATCATAACTACAGATTTCTGACTTTTTTAAATATAGCATTTCTGATATTTTTCTCAAAATTAATGAAAATTATTCCAGTGACTATCCCAGTGGGTTCATAAGGAAAAGAGAAATATACTAGTTCCAAAATTAAAAGTAAACAAGACCATTTTTAGGAAAAAAAAATTGTATTTATCTTTTTACACCTGTAATACTCTAAACGATCTATTAAATAGTATTTGCAATAATTAAAAACAACAAAGTTTCTCTTATTTCTTATAAGTTGGCTCCCAGTATGAGAATGGAGCTCACTTACCTTCATATGCATATTTTGGATTGAAAAAAATGTCCCCACAGCCTAATATGTTGGGGTATGCATCATAGCCACAGTACATCAATAACACATTTTTTCAGCTGTTTTTTTAGCTAACTATCCATACTTTTCACAGTAAAGTTAAGATAAATTTAATTTATCCACTGCTTAGCAATCGTCATCAATGGCTAAAAGATGCCCAGTACACTACTGAAATATTGAAATGTACATAGAGGGCAAAATTACAATTGAAAACTTTTATTTATTTACTTCCCCCAATTGCATGATGTTAACTGAAACCTACACGCTCTGGCATGTTGGTTTATTTGAACATGAATTCTTCATATGACTAAATTGGCCCAATTTATTGAACACCTCATTATAAGTCATACCCCTTCTTATTTGGTAATTCCTAATGCCAGAAATTATGGCAATAAAAATGAATTAATATGTAGAAGTAATAACTTTGTTAATACAGGTATTTGTATACTTTTTCTTCATGTAAATAAGTAAATAACTCATGTATATGTTCATTTCTAATGAAAAATGCAAAATCAATGTTCTCATCTTCTCACTGTTCTAGTCATGAGCTGTCAATAATTAACTCCTTAGAAGATTTTATAGAGTCAATTTTTATAAATAGAGGTATTGGTAGTGACAGGAATCAATATAATATAAGTCCCCTCCCAACTTTCTCTACCCTGTCTTCCAGGGAAAAATAGCACTTTGTACTCAATAGACTGAACCAAATAGATCTAGATTTTCTCTTCCCTTTCATTCCCTCACCACAATCAGTCTCAAAATTCCCCTTCTTAAATGGGCCTGAATCTGTTCCTTTTCCAATATCCACACTGTCATTGCTTTAATTCAGAGTTACAATACTTTTCACTTGGATTATTGCAACTCTTTCAGCTGGCCCCTACCTAGCTTCCTCTGTCATCTTCTTACTCTCCATTCTCTATTGCCAGAGCTGTCTTTCTACACCTCAAAACTATTCATATTCGTGTCTTTAGGAAATTCACCAACAGCTCTCAATTGCTTTAAGGACAAAATCTGAACTTTTCAGCAGCTCTTCATGGCTTTCATGTGTGGTCCTTGCTTGCCTGTCCAGCCTCATCCACCATCACCTCATAAAAACTAATAATTTAACACCACTTGAAATTTGCAGGAGCAATAATCTCTTAGGCCCTCATGTGCCTCCAGGACTTAGCTCCCATTCCCACTCCTCCCAGGTCCTACCACCTCCCTTTCCTCCCAGGCTCAGTTAGGTGTATCTCCTTTGGACTCTGGTCTATTATATTTGTACACATCACCACAATGCTTGTGTGCTTGTCTTCTCCTCTAGATTCTGCCCTTATGACCATGAGCTCCCAAAGGGTAAAATGTTTCTTAATTTCTAGACAATGTGTTCAATGTATAGACACATGGATATTTTTTACAAAACTTGAACTTCTGAGGAAAGTCCTTACTTTATTATTCACTTTATTTCATTGTTCTCATAAGTACAGAATAATATTTTAGGTATGTCACTGATGGGGTTCAGGGCATAATACCCCCAAAATATTTTAGGCCAAAGGAATTTTATAAAACCACAGAAGCTTGAAGGTCACTCTTTGATCTGCCCTTCTCCCCTGAAACAGGTCATAAAACCTAGGAAGAATTTTCCGAACTTCCCCTGAAGGGGTCCTCAAGTGAGAAGTGCCCTTTCTATACCAGATGAAAAGAACATGCTTATCTCCAAAGATAGGGAAGAATCTGAACAAATAGGCCTTGCTATATTTCCTCCAGTTTAGTACTATTAAATCACACTTCTTTATCCAATCATACATCTCCATGACTCTATCTACTTCATCAAACCCGGCATAACAAATATACAGGTTTACCCATTTCTTTGCATCTTCATTTCGTTATGAAGGCTCTTGTATCACATGAAACTTATATTAAATAAACTTGTATGTTTTACTCTTGTTCATAAATCTTTTGTTATCAGGGCCTCAGCCATGAACCTAGGATCGGTAAGGAAAAGGTACTTCCTCTACCCTACCTCCTCATTTTTAGTATAAAAAATATTATAAACATAGATTTAATTGTGTAGGTCAAAGAGAAGGAAAAAAATAACATGCTGTGGCACTTTATGGTAAATAAAAATAATAACTTTCCCAGTTACTAAAAAGAAATAGAAATTTATCAATTTCTTACTGTTAGAAGTCTTCTGTCTATAGGCCAGAACTTGGGCAGTCTTCTCTCTCAGTTTATACTGAAAACATTCAATTTCCTTTTTATTATAATTGTCAATTAAAATTATCTTAAAAAAGACATTAATTTGCTCACTTTGCACTTCCGATTAGCTTAACAGAACTCAATTGTCAATTGCAGTTTCTACCTCTTCTTTTCAGTGATAACAGAGAAATACTAAACCACAGCAGTGATAACACAGCTTCAATCAGAGTAACTGTCATTCTCTTATTTTAAGACAAAATCCTGGACACTTAATTTGTATGTGTTTCATTCATAACTTCCAACTTTCCCATAGGTCATATCAACTTTAAACATTTTACTTAACTGAGCTCTGTGAGCATTTTACAACATATGATAATTATATATGTGTTATGTAAATATATAAAACATATATATGAGGCAATCAGAGTAAGAGCTGGAGTGATCATACTTCAGAAGTTAGTTGTCCTTAACATTAACCCGTCTCTCTTTTATCTCATGTGCCACAGTATCACAGTATCATCCTCTATGAGTGTCATAACATGAGAAAGTTTGGGAAGTTCTATCATACAGTTTCATCAGTAACAGCAAATCTTTAACGTACACATTATTTTCCTCATCTAAACTTGCTTTGATGCTTGTATTCTCTACGTCATTGGCTTGTGCCACCACCCAACCAGTCAACCAGATTAGAAATATGACTCCTGTCTCTCACCACCTTCTAATTACTGACAAGTTTAACTGCTGACTATTTCTCCAGATAGTCGATTCTACTCTCTATACTTCCACTATCCGTCCAATTCATCATGATCTGTCATATGAAATATGGCCTCCTAAATGGTCTCCTTTTAATTTGATCAATTTCAAAATTATGCTTCACAGAGCCACCTTTCCAACAATAAATGTGACCGCTCCATATACTAAAATGCTACAGTGGTTTTCCATTATTAGTAGAATAAACTCCTTGCTTCTCAAAACTGGATCACATAAAGCACTCCACGAAATGGCCAATACCCAATTCTTAGCTACTTCCAGCTAAAGTTCCAGAAAGATCACACTGCTTGTACTTCATCATATAAAACCAACATTTTTTCATCCTCATTCAGTAATATGCTGGTAAATTAGTCTCACAGTGGGGAGATATAGATAGAACCCAGATTTGTAACATTTGCCAACATTTATGTTGCAAATACTCCTACCGTGGCTAATAGTAAGCTACTAACATGGCATCACTGAATGTGAAGTTGAGTAGAGATACAGAGTAGTGTAAACTAAAAATAAAATTCCAGGCCCACCCCAACCATCTGAATGGACCCCTCCTCTCAACCACGGGCATTCTAAAGTTTACCTAAAAAACTAGTTGAGGCCATGATGGGAAGGGGGGTCAAATATGCCTCATTATACCCCGCTCCCTTTGGAATTCAGGCACAACTGACCAGCATTAACATTAAAATGGATATCTTAATACTTTTTGTAGCAATAAGACACCAAATTCCAGCCTGACACTAGTACAGCATCACATGAGAGACAGCAGCCCCAGAAAGAAATTGAAGTATTTTACCCCGAAATAGATTTCTTTGACATATTTTGAAATGGCCCTGCAAAGCTGTCTCTTGTGGCTTCAAAAAATCTACATTCTGCAGGAAATCCCCTTCCCTTTCCAGGTCTTTTCCTTGATCCAGGAGAGAATTAACATTAAGAGTCTGGTAGCTTTTCAAGTCTGATAAAAAACATTTACAATCTATTATCTCTGAAGCCTACTACCTAGAGGCTTCATCTGCATAATAATAACCTTGGTCTTAACTTCTTATCTTAACCCAGACACTCTCTTGTATGGATTCCAGGTCTTTAGACAAACTCTTTCAACCAATTGCCAGTCAGGAAATCTTTGAATCCACCTATAACCTGGAAGCCCCCACTTTGAGTTGTCTTACCTTTCTAGACCAAATCAATGTAAATCTTGCATGTACTGATTGATGTCTTAAGTCTCCCTAAAATGTATAATATAACACCAACCTTTAGCCTGATCACCTTGGGCATGTGTCATCAGGACCTTCTGAGGCTGTGGCGCAGGCATATCCTTAACCTTGGCAAAACAAACTTCTAAATTGATTGAGATTTGTCTCAGATACTTTTTGGTTTACAGTAGCACTTGATAATATAGTAATTTTACCACACAGTTAAAATAGACACATACTTAAGAGCATAGATGTGCCTAAGAGCATAGGTAATAGTAAAAGGTAGTTAAATAAATAGGAAGTAATAAGTTCTTTTATGTTTATTATTTTGCATTTAATATAATTTATTTAAGGGTCAGTTTATATAACCTATTTAATAATGGCTGTATTCAAAAATCAATCACAAAATCGCTGAAAATTTAACAACCATCTCCTGCACACCAATATAAGCTGCCTTTGCTCATGGTATTCCTACATGTGGAGTGCCATCTT
Source organism: Homo sapiens (assembly GCF_000001405.40). Taxonomy (NCBI): domain Eukaryota; kingdom Metazoa; phylum Chordata; class Mammalia; order Primates; family Hominidae; genus Homo; species Homo sapiens. The sequence goes on from NC_000002.12 coordinate 186,307,630, forward strand.
ATCCAATTCTTCAGCCTTCCTCCTTGCCACCCCAGGACTGCAAATCCTTTAAGCCCAATTTTCTCAAAGTATGATCACGGATACATGCTTCAAATCCCCTGGAGTTTCCAGAATGCATATTTTCTAGAATGCATGTTCCTGGGCTTCTCCTCCCAGACTTGCTGAATCTGTAATTCCCTTGTAGGGGACTAAAGAAAAGCTTCCAATTTGCCCTTTGAAGGTTTGCTGAAAAATCAATTCACAAAAAGAGATTAACTGGAGAAAAGGCATACACATTTATTAAAGTGCACATGAGGGAAAAACCACAGCATGATTACCCCCATGCCCCAGTGGGGTTCAAAAATTTATATACCCTCCTGTGGTTACAGAAAGAATGGCAGCTTGGATCATGGCAAAACAGGTTATGGTAGCAAAACAGGTTATGGGAGAGGGAGAAGAGGAAGCCTGGCTAGCAAATGTGGTCTTGTTATATAGATGAAACTCACATGTAGCAGCCCTCAGACAGAACAGATGGTGAATGTTTCTTTCAAACCTTTAAAGGTGTCAGACTCTCAGTTAATATTTCCTAGATCTGGACAAAGAAAGGCCTCAGAGAAAATCTGGCTGCATCATGCAGATTTTCTCTATAGATGCAAATCTCCCCCAACAAAAGACAACCTTGCAGGATTACTTCTGTTTGCAGGCCCTCTGAACAAACATCTCAAAATATGACAAAGAAGTATATTTTGGGGTGAAATATTTTTCTTTCCTTCACCCTGAAAGCCTAGGAATCTGCAATTTAGCAAGCTGGTTTGCTAGGAGAGTCTGAAGCACGTTAAAGTTTGAGAACCATTTGTTGAAACTATTCTTCTGCTAAGGTGTTGTAACACTCAGGAGGTTTTTCCTGTCTGACTCACTCCCATGAGGACAGGATAGGGAAAGAGCAAGGTCACAGGGGCTTGAAATGGTGTGGCATAGAAAACTATGATACTTCAGCAGGCCCACAGGGTGGAAGGTAAGAAGTGTAAATTGTAAAGTAAGGTCTATAGAGGCTGATAAGGGATGTCCCATGGAAGGCCCTTTATTGCAAATGTGGACTATGGTCTTTATGGCTAACACAGTGAAAAATAATTGAAGAGTCTGAAGCCAAAAAGTAACAACCAATATTTGAATAACACAGCTCAATCTTCCTTTTCCTTGTGGAAACAGTAATAACTCATTGAAAAGAACAAAACCATTTTAAACAAAATTATATAAATTTTTCTCAGCTTGACTAAAATCCTGCATCTGTTATCTATAGGAGAAATAACCTCCATTATAAACAAAAGGAAACAAATGAAAACAACACAAGTTCTAATTCTTTTATTCCTAGATGGACAGCCTCTCTTTGAGCAAAGCAGTTGACAAAAGGCAATGATTCCTGTTCCTTCAATTAAATCTTCCCTTTCAGATTGCCTTTCCCTAATTAGTACCACCTGTCAGGGAAGAAAAACTTTTCCTCTACCCTTTTATGTTTAGTAATTGAGGACCTGAAAATTAAACAGACAAAAGCAAATCAGCAAAAGAAAGAAACAGATTTAATTACATGTGTATATACAAGCATTCACAAAGAAATGTGGTTCAAGGAAGTGGTTAGAATAGGGGTTTATATGCCAGTTGAATAAGTGATCAGGAGGGGCAGAGGGGCTCTCCTGGAAGAACAAATGACTTCTTAGAAAGTAAGTAGAGGCCGGGCGCGGTGGCTCACCCCTGTAATCACAGCACTTTAGGAGGCTGAAATGGGCGGATCACGTGAGGTGAGGAGTTCGATACCAGCCTCACCAACATGGAGAAACCCCGTCTCTACTAAAAATACAAAAATTAGCCGGGCGTGGTGGCATATGCCTCTAATCCCAGCCACTTGGGAGGCCGAGGCAGGAGAATCGCTTGAACCTGGGAGGCAGAGGTTGCAGTGAGCCAAGATCATATCATTGATTGCACTCCAGCCTGGGCAACAACAGTGAAACTCTGTCTCAAAAAAAAAAAAAAAAGAAAGTGAGTAGAAAGGACACTTATAGGATGAAGCAAGATGGTGGAATAGAGGGTTTTACTAATTGTCCCCATCCCCAGCAAGGACACCAAGTTAATAACTATCTATACAGACAAAAACAACTTCATAAGAATCAAAAATCAGGTGAGCACTCACAGTACCTGGTTTTAACTTTATATCACTGAAAAAGGTGTTGAAGAGATAGAAAAAAACTGTCTAGAATGCTGACACCATCCCTCTCCCAGCCTTGGCAGCAAGGGCATGGTGCTGAGAGCATTTCTGGGCACTGGAGAAGGGAGAACACAGCAACTGTGAGGCACTGAACTCAGCACTGTCCTGTTAATGCAGAAAGAAAAACCAGACCAAACTCAGCTGACATCTGCCCACAGAGGGAGCATTTAAACCAGCCCTAGCCAGAGAGGAATTGAGGATCCCAGCAGTCAGAACTTGAGTGCCTGCCAACTTCACCAACGAAGGCTACAGTACTCTGTGTCTCCAAGTAAATCTGAAAGGCAGTCAAGGCCATAAGCACTGCAACTCTTAGGCAAGTCCTAGTACTGAACTAGGCCCAGATACAGTGGACTTGGGGAGTGCTGGGGAGTGGCACGTGACACACTGAGACACCAGCTGGGGCAGCCAAGGGAGTACTGGCATCACCCCTCCCCTAACCCTAGGCTGCACAGCTCATGACTCCAAAAGAGACCTCTTCCTTCTGCTTGAGAAGAGGACAGGGAAGAGTGGGGAGGACTTTGTCTTCCATCTTAGATACTAGCTCAGCTACAGCAGGATAGGGTACTGGGCAGCATCGTGAGGTCCCCGTTCTAGGGCTTAGCGCCCAGTCAATATATCTAGGCACACCCTGGGCCAGAAAGGAACCCACTGCCTTGAAGGAAAGGACCAAGTGCTGAAAGCATTCATCACCTGCTAATTGAATAGCCCTTGCAAACAGAACAACCAGCGGTGATACCCAGGTAACTATGTCAAGGTTCTTGAGTGAGCCTCTGAGATTTGCTGGCTTCAGTTGAGACTCAGCACATTACCAGCTGTGGTGGCAATGGGGAAAAACTCCTTCTGTTTGAGAAAAGCAGAGGGAAAAGTAAAGAAAACTTTGTCCTACCCTTATGCATCAGCATCGCCATAGGAGGAAATAGTACCAACCAGGCTCTTGGGGTCTCCAGTTCTAGGACTTGATTCTTGGACAGCATTTCTGGATCTGCCCGGGGCCAGAGGGGAGCCCACTACCCTGAAGGGTGAATCCCAGACCAGGCAGCATTCACCACAAGCTGAGTTAAGAACTCTTGTGCCTTAGGGAAAGATTGGCTGGTAGTCTGGCAGTATTCCTCATGGCCAGGGCTGGTGGTAGCTACAGGGTAAGTCTCCTCTGCTTTTGAAAGGGGAAAGAACAGCAGGAAGAACTGGGTCTTGTAGTTTGAGCGCCAGCTCAGCTGAAATACAATAGAACACCAGGTCAACTTCTAAGGTTTTTTACTCTAGTTACTGACTCCTGGATAGCACTTCTGGACCCACATAGGGCCTAGGAGACCTTGTTGCCCTGAAGGGAAGGACATATACCAGGCTGGCTTTGCTACCTTCTGATTCTAGAGCCCCAGGGCCTTGAGAGAACACAGGCAAAAGCCAGGGAGTGGTTACAGCAGGCCTTGGATAAAACTCAGTGATATGCTGGCTTCAGGTCTGACCCATTGCAATCACAGTGGCAGTGATTGCACACTGTGATGGCCACAGAGATGCCAGTGTCACTCCACCCCCAGGTTGAGATGGCTCAGAACAGAGAGAGAAATTCCACTTGTTTGGGACAAAGTAAGGAAAAGAACAAGAGTCTCTACCTGGTAATCCAGAGAATTCTCCCAGGTCTTGTCCTAGACTATCAACATAGTACATCTGCAAGTCTGTAAGAACCAAAGCATTCCTGGACTATGGGTGCCCCCTAAAGTAGATACAGCTTAGATCACAAAACCCAAGTCCTTTCAAATATCTGGAAAGCCTTCCTGAGAAGGATGGCTACAAATAATCCTTGACAGTGAAGACTACAATAAATACCAAATTCTTCAATGCCCAGACACTGAAGAACATCCACTAAAATCAACATCCAGGAAAGCATGACCTCACCAAATAAACTAAATAATTCACCAGGAACCAATCCTGGAGAAATAGAGATATGTGACCTTCTAGAAGAGAATTTAAAATAGCTGTGTTGAAGAAACTCAAAGAAATTCAAGATAACACAGAGAAGGAACTTATAATTCTATGACATAAATTTAACAAAGAGATTGAAATAATTTAAAAAAAGACGCAGAACTTCTAAAGCTAAAAAATAAAATTAGTATACTGAAGAATGCATCAGAATCCTTTAATTGCAGAATTTATCAAACAGAAGAATTTGTGAGCTTGAAGATAGGCTGTTTGAAAACACACAGTCAGAGGAGACAAAAGAAAAAAAGAATAAAAAACAATAAAGCCTGCCTACAGGATCTAGAAAATAGCTCAAAAGGGCAAATATAAGAGTTATTAGCCTTAAATAGGAGATAGAGAAAGAGATAAGATTAGAAAGTTTATTCAAAGAAATAATAACCAAGAACTTCCCAAACCTAAAGAAAGATATCAATATCTAAGCACAAGAAGGTTATACATCAAGCAGATTTAACCAAAAAAAGACTACTTCAAGGCATTTAATAATTAAACTCCCAACAGTCAAGGATAAAGAAAGGGTCCAAAAAGAAGCAAGAGAAAAGAAACAAATAACTTACAATGGAGCTCCAATATATCTGGTAGCAGACTTCTCAGTGGAAACATTACAAGCCACGAAAGAGAGGCATGACATATTTAAAGTATTGAAGAAAAATAAAATTTTTTCCTAGAGAAGTATATCTGGTAAAAATACCCTTCAAACATGAAGGAAAAAAAAGATTCTTCCAGACAAACAAAAGCTGAGGGATTTCATGTATACCACATCTTTTCTACAAAAATTCACTAAAGGGAGTATTTCAATGAGAAAGAAAAGGACATTAATGAGCAATAAGTAATCATCTGAAGGTACAAAAATCACTGGTAACAGTAACTACACAGAAAAACACAGAATATTATAACACTGTGGCTCTGGAGTAAATTACTCTTATCCTAAATAGAAAGACTCAATGATGAACCAATCAAAAATAATAAATACAACTAAATTTTCAAGACATAGTCAGTACAATAAGATATAAATAGAAACAACTGAAAGTTAAAAAGTTGGGGGATGAAGTTAAGGCATAGGGATTTTATTAGCCTTCTTTTTACTTGTTTGTTTTTTTATGCAAATACTGTTAAGCTTTAACCATTTAAAATAATGAGTTACAGAGGGGGCGGAGCCAAGATGGCCAAATAGGAAGAGCTCCAGTCGACAGCTCCCAGTGTGAGCGACGCAGAAGATGGGTGATTTCTGCATTTCCAACTGAGCAAACGGCACACCAGGAGATTATATCCCGCACATGGCTCAGAGAGTCCTATGCTGACAGAGCCTCGCTTATTGCTAGCACAGCAGTCTCAGATAAAACTGCATGGTGGCAGCAAGGCTGGGGGAGGAGCACCCACCATTGCCGAGGATTCAGTGGTAAACAAAGCAGCTGGGAAGCTCGAACTGGGTGAAGCCCTCCGCAGCTCAAGGAGGCCTGCCTGCCTCTGTAGACGCCACCTCTGGGGGCAGGGCATAGCCAAACAAAAGGCAGCAGAAACCTCTGCAGACTTAAATGTCCCTGTCTGGCAGCTTTGAAGAGAGTAGTGGTTCTCCCAGCATGCAGCTGGAGATCTGAGAATGGACAGACTGCCTCCTCAAGTGGGTCACTGACCCCCAAGTAGCCTAACTGGGAGGCACCCCCAAGTAGGGGCAGACTGACACCTCACATGGCCGGGTACTCCTCTGAGACAAAACTTCCGGAGGAATGATCAGGCAGCAACAGCTGCTGTTCACCAACATCCAGTGTTCTGCAGGCCCCACTGCTGATACCCAGGCAAACAGGGTCTGGAGTGGACCTCTAGCAAACTCCAACAGACCTGCAGCTGAGGGTCCTGATGGTTAGAAGAAAAACTAACAAACAGAAAGGACATCCACTCCAAAATCCCATCTGTGCATCACCATCATCAAAGACCAAAGGTAGATAAAACCACAAAGATGGGGAAAAAACTGAGCAGAAAAACTGGAAACTCTAAAAATCAGAGTGCCTCTCCTCCTCCAAAGGAACACAGCTCCTCACCAGCAATGGAACAAAGGTGGATGGAGAATGACTTTGACAAGTTCAAAGAAGAAGGCTTCAGACGATTAAACTACTCCAAGCTAAAGGAGGAAGTTCGAACCCATGGCAAAGAAGTTAAAACCTTGAAAAAAAATTAGACGAATGGCTAACTAGAATAACCAATGCAGAGAAGTCCTTAAAGGACCTGATGGAGATGAAAACCATGGCACAACAACTACGTGATGAATGCACAAGCTTCAGTAGCCAATGCAATCAACTGGAAGAAAGGGTATCAGCAATGGAAGATCAAATGAATGAAATGAAGCAAGAAGAGAAGTTTAGAGAAAAAAGAATAAAAGGAAATGAACAAAGGCTCCAAGAAAGATGGGACTATGTGAAAAGACCAAATCTACGTCTGATTGGTGTACCTGAAAATGACGGGGAGAATGGAACCAAGTTGGGAAACACTCTACAGGATATTATCCAGGAGAACTTCCCCAATCTAGCAAGGCAGGCCAACATTCAAACTCAGGAAATACAGAGAATGCCACAAAGATACTCCTCGAGAAGAGCAACTCCAAGACACATAATTGTCAGATTCACCAAAGTTGAAATGAAGGAAAAAATGTTAAGGGCAGCCAGAGAGAAAGGTCGGGTTACCCACAAAGGGAAGCCCATCAGACTAACAGCTGATCTCTTGGCAGAAACTCTACAAGCCAGAAGAGAGTGGGGGCCAATATTCAACAATCTTAAAGAAAAGAATTTCCAACCCAGAATTTCATATCCAGCCAAACTAAGCTTCATAAGTGAAGGAGAAATAAAATACTTTACAGACAAGGAAATGCTGAGAGATTTTCGTCACCACCAAGCCTGCCCTACAAGAGCTCCTGAAGGAAGCACTAAACATGGAAAGCAACAACCGGTACCAGCCACTGCAAAAACATGCCAAATTATAAAGACCATCGAGGCTAGGAAGAAACTGCATCAACTAACGAGTAAAATAATCAGCTAACAACATAATGACAGGATTAAATATACACAAAACAATATTAACCTTAAATGTAAATGGGCTAAATGCTCCAATTAAAAGACACAGACTGGCAAATTGGATAAAGAGTCAAGACCCATCAGTGTGCTGTATTCAGGAAACCCATCTCACATGCAGAGACACACATAGGCTCAAAATAAAGGGATGGAGGAAGATCTCCCAAGCAAATGGAAAACAAAAAAAGGCAGGGGATGCAATCCTAGTCTCGGATAAAACAGACTTTAAACCAACAAAGATCAAAAGAGACAAAGAAGGCCATTACATAATGGTAAAGGGATCAATTCAACAAGAAGAGCTAACTATCCTAAATATATATGCACGCAATACAGGAGCACCCAGATTCATAAAGCAAGTCCTTAGAGACCTACAAAGAGACTTAGACTCCTATCCAATAATTATGGGAGACTTTAACACCCCTAACACCCCACAGTCAACATTAGACAGATCAATGAGACAGAAAGTTAGCAAGGATATCCAGGAATTGAAATCGGCTCTGCACCAAGCGGACCTAATAGACATCTACAGAACTCTCCACCCCAAATCAACAGAATATACATTCTTCTCAGCACCACACAACACCTATTCCAAAATCGACCACATATTTGGAAGTAAAGCACTCCTCAGCAAATGTAAAAGAACAGAAATTATAACAAACTGTCTCTCAGACCACAGTATAACCAAACTAGAACTCAGGATTAAGAAACTCACTCAAAACCACACAACTACATGGAAACTGAACAACCTGCTCCTGAATGACTACTGGATACATAACAAAATGAAGGCAGAAATAAAGATGTTCTTTAAAACCAATGAGAACAAAGACACAACATACCAGAATCTCTGGGACACATTCAAAGCAGTGTGTAGAGGGAAATTTATAGCACTAAATGCCCACAAGAGAAAGCAGGAAATATCTAAAATTGACACCCTAACATCACAATTAAAAGAACTAGAGAAGCAAGAGCAAACACATTGAAAAGCTAAGAGAAGGCAAGAAATAACTAAGATCAGAGCAGAACTGAAGGAAATAGAGACACAAAAAACTCTTCAAAAAATCAATGAATCCAGGAGCTGGTTTTTTGAAACGATCAACAAAATTGATAGACCACTAGCAAGACTAATAAAGAAGAAAGGAGAGAAGAATCAAATAGAAGCAATAAAAAATGATAAAGGGGATATCACCACCAATCCCACAGAAATAAAAACCACCATCAGAGAATACTACAAACACCTCTACGCAAATAAACTTGAAAATCTAGGACAAATGCATAAATTACTTGACACATACACCCTCCCAAGACTAAACCAGGAAGAATTTGAATCTCTGAATAGACCAAAAACAGGCTCTGAAATTGAGGCAATAATTAATATCTTACCAAAAAAAGTCCAGGACCAGATGGATTCACAGCCGAATTCTACCAGAGGTACATGGAGGAGATGGTACCATTCCTTCTGAAACTATTCCAATCAATAGAAAGAGGGAATCCTCCCTAACTCATTTTGTGAGGCCAGCATCATCCTGATACCAAAGCCTGGCAGAGACACAACAAAAAAAGAGAATTTTAGACCAATATCCCTGAGGAACACAGATGCAAAAGTCCTCAATAAAATACTAGCAAACCGAATCTAGCAGCACATCAAAAAGCTTATCCACCATGATCAAGTGGGCTTCATGCCTGCGATGCAAGGCTGGTTCAACATATGCAAATCAATAAACATAATCCAGCATAGAAACAGAACCAAAGACAAAAACCACATGATTATCTCAATAGATGCAGAAAAGGCCTTTGACAAAATTCAACAACACTTCATGCTAAAAACTCTCAATAAATTAGGTATTGATGGGACGTATCTCAAAATAATAAGAGCTATCTATGACAAACCCACAGCCAATATCATATTGAATGGGCAAAAACTGGAAGCATTCCCTTTGGAAACTGGCACAAGACAGGGATGCCCTCTCTCACCACTCCTATTCAACACAGTGTTGGAAGTTCAGGCCAGGGCAATTAGGCAGGAGAAAGAAATAAAGGGTATTCAATTAGGAAAAGCGGAAGTCAAACTGTCCCTGTTTGCAGATGACATTGTTGTATATCTAGAAAACCCCATTGTCTCAGCCCAAAATCTCCTTAAGCTGATAGGCAAACCTGTGTTTGCCTATAGGCAAATCTTCAGCAAAGTCTCAGGATACAAAATCAATGTGCAAAAATCACAAGCATTCTTATACACCAATAACAGACAAACAGAGAGCCAAATCATGAATGAACTCCCATTCACAATTGCTTCAAAGAGAATAAAATACCTAGGAATCCAACTTACAAGGGACATGAAGGACCTCTTCAAGGAGAACTACAAACCACTGCTCAATGAAATAAAAGAGGATAGAAACAAATGGAAGAACATTCCATGCTCATAGGTAGGAAGAATCAATATCGTGAAAATGGCCATACTGCCCAAGGTAATTTATACATTCAATGCCATCCCCATCAAGCTACCAATGACTTTCTTCACAGAATTGGAAAAAACTACTTTAAAGTTCATATGGAATCAAAAAAGAGCCTGCATTGCCAAGTCAATCCTAAGCCAAAAGAACAAAGCTGGAGGCATCATGCTACCTGACTTCAAACTATACTGCAAGGCTACAGTAACCAAAACAGCATGGTACTGGTACCAAAACAGAGATATGGACGAATGGAACAGAACAGAGCCCTCAGAAATAATGCCACATATATACAACTACCTGATCTTTGACAAACCTGACAAAAACAAGCAATGGGGAAAGGATTCCCTATTTAATAAATGGTGCTGGGAAAACTGGCTAGCCATATGTAGAAAGCTGAAACTGGATCCCTTCTTTACACCCTATACAAAAACTAATTCAAGATGGATTAAAGACTTAAATGTTAGACCTAAAACCATAAAAACCCTAGAAGAACACCTAGGCAATACCATTCAGGACATAGGCATGGGCAAGAACTTCATGTCTAAAACACCAAAAGCAATGGCAACAAAAGCCAAAATTAACAAATGGGATCTAATTAAACTAAAGAGCTTCTGCAGAGCAAAAGAAACTACCATCAGAGTGAACAGGCAACCTACAAAATGGGAGAAAATTTTTGCAATCTACTCATCTGACAAAGGGCTAATATCCAGAATCTACAATGAACTCAAACAAATTTACAAGAAAAAAACAACTCCATCAAAAAGTGTGCAAATGATATGAACAGACACTTCTCAAAAGAAGACATTTATGCAGCCAAAAGACACATGAAAAAATGCTCATCATCACTGGCCATCAGAGAAATGCAAATCAAAACCACAATGAGATACCATCTCACACCAGTTAGAATGGCGATCATTAAAAAGTCAGGAAACAACAGGTGCTGGAGAGGATGTGGAGAAATAGGAACACTTTTACACTGTTGGTGGGACTGTAAACTAATTCAACCATTGTGGAAGTCAGTGTGGCGATTCCTCAGGGATCTAGAACTAGAAATACCACTTGACCCAGCCATCCCATTACTGGGTATATGCCCAAAGGATTATAAAACATGCTGTTATAAAGACACATGCACACGTATGTTTATTGCGGCACTATTCACAATAGCAAAAACTTGGAACCTAGCCAAATGTCCAACAATGATAGACTGGATTAAGAAAATGTGGCACATATATGCCATGGAATACTATGCAGCCATAAAAAAGGATGAGTTCATGTCCTTTCTAAGGATATGGATGAAGCTGGAAACCATCATTCTCAGCAAACTATCGCCAAGGACAAAAAACCAAACACTGCATGTTCTCACTCATAGGTGGGAATTGAACAATGAGAACACAAGGACACAGAAAGGGGAATATCACACACCGGGGCCTGTTGTGGGGTGGGGGGATGGGGGGAGGCATAGCATTAGGAGATATACCTAATGTTAAATGATGAGTTAATGGGTGCACACAGCAACATGGCACATGTATACATATGTAACTAACCTGCACGTTGTGCACACGTGCCCTAAAATTTAAAGTATAATAAAAACAAAAATGAAAAGAATAAAAATATGCATGAATTAAATATCAATGCTATCAAAACAGTTGCAAAATAAATGAGAGACAAAAATAAAAAAATTAAAAAATTAAAAATTAATGGGTTATAAGACAATATTCACAAGCCTTATGGCAACCTCAAACCAAAATGCAAACAATGGATACACACAACATTAACAGCAAGAAACCAAATTATATCACGTGAAAAAATTACCTTCACTAGAAGAAGACAGGAAGGAAAGAAAGAAGAAAGAGAAGACCACAAAACAACCAGAAAATAAACAAAATGGCAGGATAAAGTCCTTACTAATCAACAATAACATTAAATGTAAATAGACTAAACTCTCCAATCAAAAGATGTAGACTGGCTAAATGGATGGAAAAAAACAAGACCTATTGATCTGTTGCCTACAAGAAACACATTTTACCTATAAAGACAAAGACTGAAAATAAAGGGATGGAAAAAGATATTCCATGCTAGTGGAAACCAGTAAGGACCAGGAGTCACTAAACTTACATAAGACGAAATAGATTTCAAAACAAAACTATAACAAGAGACAAAGAAGGTCCCTATATAATGATAAAGGAGTCAATTCAGCAAGAGGATATAACGATTTTAAATACCTATGTACCTAACATTGGAGCTCCCATATATATAAAGCAAATATTACTATAGCTAAAGGGAGATATAGACCTCAACACAATAATAGCTGCAGAATTCAACACCCCACATTCAGCATTAGACAAATCTTCCAGAAAGAAAATCAACAAAGAAACACACACTTAATCTGCACTATAGACCAATGGCTCTAACAGATATTTCCAGAACATTTCATCTAAGAGCTACAGAACACAAAATCTTTTCATCAGCACATGGATCATTCTCAAGAATAGGTCTTCAGAATGTTAGGTCACAAAACAAGTCTTTAAACATTTTTTAAAATTGAAATAATATCAAGCATCTTCTCTGACCACAATGGAATAAAACCAGAAATTCATAACAAGATGAATTTTGTAAACTATACAAACACATGAAATTAAACATCATGCTCCTGAATGACCTGTGGGTTCATTAAAAAATTTACAAGAAAAAAACAAACAACCCCATCAAAAAGTGGGCAAACGATATGAACAGACACTTCTCAAAAGAAGACATTTATGCAGCCAACAGACACATGAAAAAAATTCTCATCAGCACTGGCCATCAGAGAAATGCACATCAAAACCACACCAGTTAGAATGGCGATCATTAAAAAGTCAGGAAACAGGTGCTGGAGAGGATGTGGAGAAATAGGAACACTTTTACACTGTTGGTGGGACTGTAAACTAGTTCAACCATTGTGGAAGACAGTGTGGCGATTCCTCAGGGATCTAGAACTAGAAATACCATTTGACCCAGCAATCCCATTACTGGGTATATACCCAAAGGATTATAAATCATGCTGCTATAAAGACACATGCACACATATGTTTATTGTGGCACTACTCACAATAGCAAAGACTTGGAACCAACCCAAATGTCCAAAAATGATAGACTAGATTAAGAAAATGTGGCACATATACACCATGGAATACTATGCAGCCATAAAAATGATGAGTTCATGTCCTTTGTAGGGACATGGATGAAGCTGGAAACCATCATTCTCAGCAAACTATCTCAAGGACAAAAAACCAAACACCGCATGTTCTCACTCATAGGTGGGAATTGAACAATGAGAACACTTGGACACAGGAAGGGGAATATCACACACCGGGGCTTGTTGTGGGGTGGGGGGAGGGGGGAGGGATAGCATTAGGAGATACACCTAATGTAAATGACGAGTTAATGGGTGCAGCACACCAACATGGCACATGTACACATATGTAAAAAACCTGCACGTTGTGTACATGTACCCTAGAACTTGAAGTATAATAAAAAAAAATTTAAAAAAAAAGAAGAGATCAAGACCATCCTGGCTAACACAGTGAAACTCCATCTCTACTAAAAATACGAAAACAAAAAATTAGCCAGGCGTGGTGGTGGGCACCTGTAGTTCTAGCTACTCAGGAGGCTGAAGCAAGAGAATGACGTGAACTTGGGAGGCAGAGCTTGCAGCGAGCCAAGATTGCACCACTGCACTCCAGCCTGGGCGACAGAGCAAGACTCCATATCAAAAAAAAAAAAAAAAAAAAAATTAAGAAGAAAATTTTTTAAATTCTTGAAACAAAGGATAATGGAAACCCAATATACAAAAACCTATAGGATACTGCAAAAGTAGTACTAAGAAAGAAGTTTATAGCTATAAGTGCCTTTATCAAAGGGGAGATAAAATTTTAAATAAACACTACAACAATGCATCTTTATGAACTAGAAAGGCAGGAGCAAGCCAAGCCCGAAGTTATTAGAAGAAAAGAAATAATAAAGATCAGAGCAGAAATAAATGCAAATGAAATAAAAAATACAAAAGGTCAATGAAACAAAAAGTTGGTATTTTGGGAAAAGTTAAACAAAACTGACAAACCTTTGCCCAGGCTAGAAAAAGAGAGAAAATCCAAATAAATAAAATTGGAAATGAAAAATGAGACATTATAACTGGTACCTCAGAAATTCAAAGGGTTATTAGTGGTTACTATGAGCAACTAACTATATGCCAATAAATCAGAAAATCCAGAAGAAATGGACAAATTCTTAGATACATACAAACTACCAAAACTGAAACAGGAAAAAAATCCAAAACCCAAAGAGACCAAAAACAAGTAATAAGATTGAAGCCATAATAAAAATCTCCCAATAAAGAAGTGTCAGATCTGGTGGCTTCACTGCTGAATTCTACCAAACATATTAAAAAAAAAAAAAAAAAAAAAACTAAATATGAACCTAGTCAAACTATTCTGAAAAATAGAGAAGGGAATGCTTCCAAACTCATTCTACAAGGCCAGTGTTACCTTGATATCAAAACCAAAGGCACATCAAAAAAAAGAAAACTACAGACCAATATCTCCTGAATATTGATGCAAAAATCTTCAACAAAATATTAGCAAACCAAATTCAAGAATACATCAGAAAGATCATTCATCATGACGAAGTGGGATTTATCCTTGGGGTGCAAGGATGGTCAACATATGCAAACCAATCAATGTGATACATTATATCAACAAAATGAAAGATAAAATCCATATGATCATTTTAATTCATGCTGAAAATGCATTTGATATCATTCAACATCCCTTCACAATAAAAACCTTCGAAAAACCGGATAATGGAAAAACATACCTCAGCATAATAAAAGCCACAGGTAGTATCATACTGAATAGGTAAAAACTGAAAGGCTCTCCTCTAAGATCTGGAAGACAACAAAGATGCCCACTGTCACCACAGTTATTAAACAGAGTACTGGAAGTCATAGCTAGAGCAATCAGACAAGAGAAAGATATACACCAATTTGGAAAGGAAGGAGTCAAACTGGACTCCAAATAGGAAAGGAAGGAGTCAAATTATCCTTGTTTGAAGATGATATGGTGTTATATTTAGAAAAAACTAAAGATGCTACATACAAAAAAACCTCTTAGAACTGATAAGCAAATTCAGTACATTTGCAGAATACAAAACAAGCATACAAAAATCAGTAGCATTTCTTTTTTTTCTTTCTTTTCTTTTCTTTTCTTTTTTTTTTTTTTTGAGGCGGAGTTTCGCTCTTGTTGCCCAGGCTGGAGTGCAATGGTGCGATCTTGGCTCACCGCAACCTCCACCTCCTGGGTTCAAGCGATTCTCCTGCCTCAGCCTCCCGAGTAGCTGGGATTACAGGTCTGCACCACACCACACCTGGCTAATTTTGTATTTTTAGAAGAGACAGAGTTTCACCATGTTGGCCAGGATGGTCTTGATCTCTTGACCTCGTGATCCTCCCTCCTCAGCCTCCCAAAGTGTTGGGATTACAGTTGTGAGCCACTGAGCCAGGCCAAAAATCAGTAGCATTT
Organism: Homo sapiens; assembly: GCF_000001405.40. Taxonomy (NCBI): domain Eukaryota; kingdom Metazoa; phylum Chordata; class Mammalia; order Primates; family Hominidae; genus Homo; species Homo sapiens. The sequence continues at coordinate 186,322,910 of NC_000002.12, forward strand.
CTATATGCCAACAGTGAACAATATGTAAAAGAAACAAGAAAAGCAATCCCATTTGCAGTAGCCACACATAAAATCAAATACCTAGGAATTAACCAAAGAGGTGAATTAGCTCTATAATTAAAACGATAAAATACTGATAAAAGAAATTGAAGAGAATACAAAAAAATGGGAAAAAAGTTCCATGTTCACAGACTGGAAGAATCAATAGTGTTAAAATGTCCATACTACCCAAAGCAACCTACAGATGATACAATCCCTATCAAAGTGCCAATAACATGCTTTACAGAAATAGAAAAAATAATCCTAAAATTTATATGGAACCACGGAAGACCCACAATAGCCAAAGCTATCCTAAGCAAAAAGAACAAAACTGGAGGAATACATTATCTGACTTCAAATTACACTACAGCACTATAGTAACCAAAACAGCATGGTACTGGCATAAAAACAGACACAGAGACCAATGGAACAGAATGGAGCCCAGAAACTAAAGCACACATGTACAGTGAACTCATTTTCAACGAAGGTGCCAAGAACACACTCAGGAAAAGAGAGTCTCTTCAATAGATGGTGCTGGGAAAAAGACGGATACCCATATACAGAAGAGTGAAACTAAACCCCTATCTCTTGCCATATACAAAAATCCAACCAAAATGGATTAAAGACTTAAATCTAAGACCTCACACTAAACCACTACTACAAGAAAATCTGGAGAAAATCTCTAGGACATTGGTCTGGGCAAAAGTTTCTTGAGCAATATCCCACAATCACAGGCATCCAAAGCAAAATTGGACAAATGGGATCACATCAAGTTAAAGAGCTTCTGCACAGCAAAGGATACACTCAACAAAGTGAAGGGACAGCCCACAAAGTGGGAGAAAATATTTGCAAACTACCCATCTGACAAAGGATTAATAACCAGAATATATAAAGAGCTCAAATAACTCTACAGGAGAAAATCTAGTAATCCAATCAAAAAATGGGCAAAGGATTTGAATAGACACTTCTGGAAAGAAGACATACAAATGGCAAACAGGCATATGAAGAGCAGTTCAACATCATTGATCATCAGAGAAATGCAAATCAAAACTACAATTAGCTATCTTCCTACCCCAGTTATAATGGTTTATATCCAAAAGACAGGCAATAACAAATGTTGGCAAGGATATGGAGAAAAGGGAACTCTCATACACTGTTGGTGGGAATGTAAATTAGTATAACCACTATGGAGAACAGTTTAGAGATTCCTCACAAAACTAAAAATTTAGCTACTATATGATCCAGCAACGACGCTGCTGGATATATATCCAAAAGAAAGGAAATAAGTATATTAAGGGGAAATCTGGGGCTGGGCATGGTGGCTCCCACCTGTAATCCCAGCACTTCGGAAGGCTGAGGTGGGCAGATCACGAGGTCAGGAGTTGGAGACCAGCATGGCCAACATAGTGAAACCCCGTCTGTACTAAAAATACAAAAATTAGTTGGGTGTGGTGGCAGGCGCCTGTAATTTCCTACTCGGAAGGCTGAGGCAGGAGAATTGCTTGAACTCGGGTGGCAGTGGTTGCAGTAAGCCAAGATCGCACCACTGCACTCCAGCCTGGGTGACAGAGCAAGAAAAACAAAAAGAGATATCTGCACTCCTATGTTTGTTGCAGCACTGTTTACAGTAGCTAAGATTTGGAAGCAACCTAAGTGTCCATCAATAGATGAATGGATAAAGAAAATGTGGTACACATACACAATCGAGTACTCTTCAGCTATAAGAAAGAATAAGAGCCTGTCATTTGCAATAACATGGGTAGAAACAGAGATTACTATGTTAAGTGAAATAAGCCAGGCACAGAAAGACAAACATCACACATTCTTACTTATTTGTGGGATCTAAACATCAAAACAGTTTAACTCATGGACACAGAGAATAGAAGGATGGTTACCAGAGGCTAGGAATAGCAGTGAGAGGGTGGGGGAGAGGTGGTAATTGTTAATGGGTACAAAAACAAACAGAAAAAATAAATAAAACTCACTAGTTGATAGCACAATAGGGTGATAATAGTAAATAACTTAATTGTATATTTTTAAATAACTTAAAGAGTATAATTGGACTGTTTGTAACTCAGAGGATGAATGCTTGAAAGGAGGGATACCCCATTCCGCATGATGTGATAATTTCATAATGCATGCCCATATCAAAACATCTCATCTACCCCATAAATATATACACTTACTATGTATCCACAAAACATAAAGATTTTAAAAATAACTTTTAAAAATCACTTATGAAAAAACAAACAACTTTTTGGAAAGTTAGATGGATCCTCAGAATAGATGAGTGATACGAGAGTTTTGTGACAATGTCTGATTGGGTGTGGTACTGACTTCTCATCTGTAAGAAGCAAAGATTACAGTTGCTCCCAGGGAGAGGATTTATGACAATTGAGTTATTTTGAGAGACTCTGCTTTTAGGCAGATAAAGACCTTCAGAAACTCAAGTGCCTTTAGCTTAAAATAATTTTTATGCCATAATGGCTTGTTCTAGACCCCTTTACAGCAGTACCATTGTTACTCTTCACACCATTCTCTCATTAAAGCTTTTACAGCTTTGAATCATCAACAGTCTCAAAATCAAAAAATACTTCAATGGGCATTCTGATCCCTGCACTCCTAGTCTTTAAATTTTCAAAAAGGCTTTATAATAATGCTAATTGAAAACAAAAATGAAGCAATGAACCATAAAAAGCATTAAAAATATCTCAGCTTACAAAATGATATATTTAAAGTTCTCTTAAATATGTTGATGGGGTTCAGGACACACTACTCCAAAACACGGCACTTTGGCATTTGAGAAAACAGTGGGAGCAGGAAGATCACTCTCACCTTCCCCTCATACTTTGTCCCTTGAAACAGGCCATAAAATCTAACTGACAGTCCCCTGAAGAAGGTTATAAGACCTTCATGTGAAGGATGCCCACCCTAAACCTAGAAGAAACAAACATTCTTAACTCTGAAGACACAGGGACACAGAGAACAATCTGAACAAACAGGCCTTGCCAAAGTTCCCTGTAGTTCATTCTCTTTAGATCATATCCCATGTATCCAGTGTCAGGCTTCAGAACATAATACTTCAAGTATAGTGCCTTGGCATGCTGAGTATGCTGAGCTGAAGAAAACCAAAAGGGCCTCAGAAGAAACATCTGACTTTCTCCTGCCCTCCTTTCTCCTGCTCCTCTTTCTCCCTGAAGAAATGCCGTAAAAACTAGAATTCCTCTTCCCCAAAGCAAGCCATAAAACCTAGAAATGTTACCTTAACTTTCCCTCACCTTTTTGTCTAACAGTTGGCCATAAAGAAATGTTCTGACATACCTTACCTGATAGATCATAACACCTCATTCCTGAAGGGGTCCTGCCTAACCCAGGAAGAAGGAATGTTCCAGAGAGAAACCAAGAAGAATCTGAACAGACAGGTCTTGCTAGCTTCCCACCTCTCAGTCTATTACCATTTGTCCAATCACATTTCTACATGATTGTTCATTCTTCATCAAATCTAAACGTAAATTTAGGGCCTGTTTCTTTGGCTCTAAATTTCTGGAGGCTAATTTGTCATTTAAATTTTTGATTAAATAAATTTGCATGTTTTCTCCTATTAATCTATCTTCTTCTCAGGTTTATTGCAGACCTAGACAGGAACCCTGGGAAAACTGAGGAAACTTTTTTTCATAACTTTCTACTTCATCAAACTTAGCATAAAAATGCACAGGTTTCTGTTTCTTTGGGTCTTCATTTCCTTATGAAGGCTCACATGCTATGTACAACTTATATTAATTTGTTAATTTGTCTTTTGTTGTAGGGTCTCAATCATGGGCCTAGTGATGGGTGGGATTTCTTCTCCCCCAGAGTGTAAACAATGAATATAAATTTTCCCCAAGTTCAAAAACTAAATATCTTCACAAGAATTATTACATATAAACTTAACAACAAGTACAGAATTACAGAGTCGTATTGTAATGTTGCTTTGTGGTACTAGCTTACTTCAGCTACTAGGTAATTTACTTGTTCTGGCTCTCTTGCTTTGCAGCACCTTAAATTCAAATCTGTGCCTCAGCCACATTGCAAATGATCACCTCAGAGAGACAGATGTAGAAAGTTGAAACAGAAATACCTTAAAATATGAAAATGTATGAATATCTATTAACATATTTTCTAAAGAAATGCATATTTTCAATACATTATATAAATGTAAATATTATTTTTCTTCATGACTCCTTGAACATTCTAAGATAATGAAAAATATTAGCACCTTTAAACACCTAGTCTTGTTTATTAACTCTTTGTTCAGGCCCAGAATACTGATTTACACATAGTAGATCCTAAATAAATATTCTTTGAATGAATGCAAGAATGCATTTTAGGACTCAAAATAAATTTTGTTTTAAAGACATGTGCCCACTAGAACTTTTCCATTTCATAAATAAGAGGCGAGACTTTGAAACACTAGCTCTGTAATTTGTGTACAGATAGAATATAGAGAGCTCTAGGCAAATAAATGTTCTCACCATTAATGACTTTCTGAGTCACTTTAAATCACTACAAGATTACAGAACTGTACCTAATTCCTATTACTGTGTTTCAAAGAAACACGTTTTGTAAGGTTTTTAAAATAATTCTGATAAAATGTTAAGGTGTTCTCACTAATTCACAGAGGATACCTTTAGTCACAAAACCACTTGTTTAGGGGTTTTGTCTGCTGCACTTGTTAAAATATGGTTAAATATATCACTTTCAGTTCTATTTAAAATGGTGTAAAAGTGGTAGAAACTAGTTTCAAAGAATGTTGCACAGATTATGAGAGTAAATACAAATCTAAACAATTTAAATTGAAATTTTTCCACAGTGCGAAAAAAAAAACTTACCTACTCCTGCCTTTTCTTTGGTATTTCCTTCAGAAAACTTGAAATTGTAAATGCTTTCTCTGTCTCCTGAAAAAGTATGTAAATACTTAAAAAACTAAATGAGTCTATTGGCTTTTTTACATGACAGGAATGTCTTTCCTGGGGGTCTTGGAGCCATTTCTTGCAGTGTAAACACCAAGGAGGTTGGTGCCCTGTCTCTGGATGTTTAGCCCTGGCACCAGGCTCCAAGTTGTACATTTTTGCTTGTCAAAAAGAGACAGGAAGTTTCATTTTTCCTTTGAATAAAAACAATTAACACGTATGTCATGGATTATATCTGTTTTGTTATATAAAAAGGGTAGAATTTCTTTTTGTCTTTGTAGTCCATTTAGCATACTGCCTATGATGCACATTGCAATCTGGTTTAATGACTATGCAATAATAAAATGTTTATCAAGCAAATGGGCTCGCTGCCTGATGCACATAGGAGCCAGTACCAAGGCACTGGCTTCTGAGAAAAGAAAGGCTTTATTGCAAGGTCAACCAGCAAGGAGAGGAGGTGGGTCAAATCTGTCTCCCCAGTTTGGGATCTGGGGCAAGTTTTAAAGGGGTCAGAGGTCAATGGAAAGGATTCAGGAATGTTAGCGTGGCAGGGTCTGATTGGAGGGCTCTAAATTTGACCATTTTTAGTAAGGGGTGTTGCGGCGGATTTTAGCTCCAGATCTTCTAGGCCATTGGACTCCTTGCTTCTGAAACGGTTCTGGCATTCAGATTCTGGTCATGTCCTCTTCTTGGTTCCATGGAGATGAATAAGTTCCGGTGTTATTAGAGGTAAAAGCTTTTTCTATTGTGCATTCAGGGTACATGACTTGTACTCTTGGCTCTGTTATGCCTGCAAGGTACTTTGACATTCTGTTATCAACAGAGTAGGCCCAGTTTGGGTTTGTCCAGCAGTTACAAAACTGTTTCATTATTTTCTATATTCACTGAGTTAAAAGGAGAGTTTTTTAAAAGACTTCTCCAGTGAGATTCAGACACACTATTTTTTAATAATTAATTTTTGCTATAAATTTGGTTTGGAAAAGAAAGAAAAAGCTAAATTAAAACAAAAAGAGTAAAATAAAACAAAGACTGGAACTAAGGCATTAAAAATGTTTCTTGTCTATTACAAATGAAGTAGATCCCATGTACTTTCCTGGCAACAACAAAGATTATAGAACTAATGTGCTATAAACCAGATGTTGGGAAGTAGAGGTTGCAAGCTCACAGAATGCAGAGCATTTGGTTTTAGTTAAATCCATCTGTGTAAGGTTAGTAAAAATAAATTAAATCATTCTCACATCAAAACAACCCATTTATTTCAAAGACAATTATAAAATAATTCAACTACATGCTAATAAAAATATTTAATTGATGAAAGTTGAAAAAAAAAGAAAGGCAATGAAATACTTTCATCAATTAATACATCAAACCCCATTGTAGGAGTGGTCTTAAAAAATAAATTACAAAGAAAGCTCACAGAAAGTGAACTATTATCTTTATTATCACTAATTATTACTTGATTACATTCTATGTCATCTAGCCTAACAGGAAAACAAAAGGCACTGAAGATCAAAATGCCAGTTCTACACTTCTTCAATATCAAAATATTATCTGAACTTCAGGCTTATAAGTAAAGAGTTCTGATTAAAAAAAAAAAAAAAATGACCAAGGCAGCCTTAACATCCCCTTCAGCTTGATTAAACTTTTTTTTTTTTTTGAGATGGAGTTTCTCTCTTGTTGCCCAGGCTTGAATGCAATGGCACGACCTTGGCTCACTGCAACCTCAGCTTTCCAGGTTCAAGCTATTCTCCTGCCTCAGCCTCCCGAGTAGCTGGGATTACAGGCATGCGCCACCATACCCGGCTAATTTTGTATTTTTAGTAGAGACGGGGTTTCTCCATGTTGGTCAGGCTGGTCCCGAACTCCTGACCTCAGGTGATCCGCCAGCCTCAGCCTCCAAAAGTGCTGGGATTACAGGCATGAGCCACCGCGCCCGGCAGCTTGATTAAACTTTATACAGACTTCTGACCTCCCTTTTCTTACAGCAGTTTCCTTAGAAAACTTGTAATTGTAAATTCTTTCTCTGCCCCTTTGAGCTGTAAAGCTTTGCAAAAGCTTCTTGCCAGCTTACAATGCAGGAATATTTTTCTTAAGGACCTTGAAGCCATCCCTTTGAAATGTAATCACCAAGACTGATAAGGCTCCTATCTTCTAGATCCTATGAAAGAAGTCTAACTTCTTCAATAAGCATAAGTGCCAACAAGCAAACATGAATAACCTAATCACAGAGAAAAATACCTGCAAACCCAGAAATAATTCAATTAGATCCACATACCCCATTGATCAGCTGCCTACCTCCCCCAGACCCCAGTATCCTTTAATACTCTTCCACTAACTCACCTCAGTGCTTAAAAGCCCTCCTGCCCTTTGTTTCATTGCAGTTGAGCTCAGATGTTCTACTCTCTCCCCTATTACAATAGCCTTGCATAATATCTTCCTTGCCTGCTTAACTAAGCAACTTTGTTCAGTACAATTTTTGCTTTGACGAAACCTAAGCTTTGTCAAAAGAAAAGAAGCTTGAAGAGAATGAGAACTATTTAATCCCTTATTTATTTTTCAGAAAGTACTTTGTTTATTGTAGATAGTATAGATATATATGTAGATTATACTGTAGATGTAAATGTATAAATATGTAGACTATATTATAGATGTAAATGTAAAAATAAATTAAAATGTATAAATATATATTTATATGTAAATATACATAATTTACACTATAAATGAAACATTCTTCATAATTCTCTATTGGCAACATAGGAACAAAATACTGTGAAGATAGTTTTGGAATACTGGTTTATTTAATTTCTTACAACCGAAAATTCTCTATCTTGCCTTTTTATCACCTGTAGATAGTAAACTTTTTCTACTATTTCTATCTAAATGCCTAGCTATCATAAGAAAATCCTTAAAAGTTCATTGTTTCTAAAACTAATATAATCTTCAAAAAGAAAATCAAAGGATTTTCATTCTGACAAATGAGTAATAATAGTAGATTGTCACATTACTCTTACAGAAAGTAAAGCAATTTATTGACCTATTTCTAAGGAAGGACAATAAACTCACTATATATTAAATATATTTATTTTTTCCATTAAAATATATACCACAAATTTAATTTCATGTTTTATAATCATAATAACCAGGAAGATACGTAGATGAGACACAATAGAAAAATGTCTTGCTAGAAATTGACCACAGATGCAAATACAGTATGACAGAATGGTGCAAAATGTATCACTACCCCTTTTACTAAATTTGCCTGTCATAGAGTCCATACAGATGGTCATCTAGGTGTTGATTTATTTTCTCCACATTTTATTCTCCCATGATTCTTTGATTCTTTTTCTGCTTCTCAGTTATACTACCAGGATCCCAGTTCCATTTTGAATAAGTAATGACAGATCCTAGGGGTCTGGAAATCCAAAGAGAAGGCTGAACAAATTTTTCAGAGATAGAAATCAATAAAATAAATTTACTTTTGCTATTACCAACAGCCTTCGGAATATACTCTTGATACTCTTTAAGCTATCAAAATATATCTCTTGACTTTGTATTACCACATATTTTCCCTCATGAAAGTTAAAGGTAGTAGATGAAGGTGAGTTGAAAATAAAATGAAGTCAAAACACATAGTTACTTAGAATAAAAGTTGTTCCCTTTGGCTATATGTCTTTACATGTGTACTTCCTACTACTTGGGAGGCTCTCATCCAATTATCTCCAGCTTGCTAAAACTTTATATTGTTGAAATTTCACCTCAAAAATCATTCCCTCTAGAAAACCATCCATGATTTCCCATTCTAAGCCAGGTTTTCTCAATTTTGAGCTACCATAGTGCTATAAATTTTGCCTTCATAATCCTTAACACACACAATGATATTTTCATGTGTGCGAATAATTGCTGTCAATAGGTCTCACTAATCACTAAGCTCCTTGGGTGCAGGGACTGTGGCAATTCTTGCTCAACACTGTATTCCCAGAAATTAGTACTGTTCCTAAAACAAAGTAATGCTTAATAAATGCCTGTCGAATTAATAAATTATTTAATTAAAGTCCTCAGTCTGGTTTTAAGTGTACACTCTACTGCCTACTAGCTATCTGACCTAGAGCATATCTATATACATAATATTTTAAATAAAATAAAAATAAAATTATTTAGCTTACTAGTATATAATAATTTTTACTGAGACACGGTAAAGGTACAGAATTAGAGCATATTTAGCTAGAGGATAATTTTGAGATAGTGCTGCCCTCTTTGCTATAAACAGAGACAAAGCCTGAGTTTATTGAGCAGATTATGCTAGTAATGAAACAGTTTTACTAAGCTCTTAATGTTCTACTGAGAAAAAAATCAAAAAATTTAGTTTTAAAATCATTGTAACCCATGTAATGAAGGATTTCATGTTTTCTATTTTCTAAAGGTTTTTGACATGTAAACTTTTGTTTGTTCGCTTGTTTTTGTGTGAGGCACTGAGCATTAGGTTATTTGATGAGGAAAAATTAAGAATGATGAAATAGATGATTTCATATTTTATTTAATAATCATAAATATTTTATTTTATAACAAGAAAATAAAAATCCCAAGAAAGAGACCTTTTATTATATTCTTACTCTTCCTCCCGGAATGATCCAAGGGGAAAAGAGAAAAAGCTTGCCAAGATGCTGCAGTTTATCTTTTTAGTTCTTTAATACTTAGGCACTAAATCCGCTTTCCTTCATAAATGAAGCAATATTCTAAATTCTGTGTTTTCAAAGATTAATTCATACAAAAGGTAGTCCTCCATTTTATTGTTTGATAGCTTAATCAAAGTTAGAGGACTTTTATTCCAGAATCTGATCAGAGTTAGACTTCTTTTTGGGCATCTTCAGCCTGAAAAGGTTTCCAATGAGAGCATCAGAGTTCTACCCAGTCTAGGCACTGATCTTTCACTCTAAATATTGATTCCAGACCTAAGTCAAATGAGAGTGAAACTCTTAACCTGTTGTCCTCTATCTGCCCAATTTTTAAATTCCTGGGATAGATAATTGATATCAAGGCACAAATGACAATAGTGGATTTATAATTAGAGTATCAATCAAAGTAAAAATACAACCAAATCCAGGAGCCAAATGAACACTGCAACATTTACAAATTACATACCAACTCCCTTGTGCAATAACAGACTGTTTCATCGACTGATCACAGATTCGATTTAATCGGCAAAAATTAAAAAAAAAAGAGAAAAACGCATCATGGTGTTAGGTTTTTCTGGGTCTTGAAACACTTCTTTTCAATTGTTTGGACCTTCTCAGCTTAAAATTTGATTAGGTCCTGCCACTGGAAACCCTTAAGTACATTGAAACTATTGACATTTTTGTAATGATGGTTCCTATAATCCCCAGGTCTCCAACTCTGAGCAGAACTCCCAACTTCTATTTCTATGTTTCAGGGATTTTCTCCATGCCGTGCATTACTCCTACATTCTTGTACCTCAATTCTGAATTACATGGGCTCAGTCAAAGGACAGCTTCTGCTCTTTTTCTGAGAAAGCTACTTCACAATAATAATAGGTGTGATATTGTGAAATATATATTTGGTTTTCATCTCCTTTGTTTCCTGACATACAGCCCCTAGAATCCTTGGAATCTCCTGATCAATAAGTGTGAATTTTTGTATGCTAAACAGTAGACTGATGGCTGGGCTAGGGGCTCCTAAGTAGCTTCAGGATGGGGACTGGTCACTGAAACAAGCAAAGCATTATAAAAAGGTTGGAACATTCAGCCCCATCTACCAATCTCTGGTGGAGTAGAGAGACTGAGGTTAAGTTGGTCACCAATGGCCAATGATTTAATCAATTGTGCCAGTGTAATGAAGCTTCCATAATAACCCAAAAAGACTAGGTTTTGAGAGCTTCTGGAGAGCTGAATACGTGGAGGTTTCTGGAGGGTAAGGCACCTGGAGAAGGCATGGAAGCTTCTCTCCTTCCCCCATACCTCATCATATCCAATTCTTCATCTGATGTTCATCTGTATCCTTTGCCGTATCCTTTATAATAAACTGTTAAATGTAAGTAAAGTATTTCCCGACTTCTGTGAGCCATCCTAGCAAGTTAATTGAATTCAAGGGAGGGGATCATGGGAACCCTGATTTATAGCCAGTTAGTTAGAGGTATAGGTGGCAACCTACTTATAACTTGCAACCGGCCTCTGAACTAGGAGGCAGTTTTGTAAACTAAGCCCTCAATCTGTGGGATCTGACACTACCTCCAGCTAGATAGTGTCAGAATTGAACTGAATTAGATGACACTCAGGTAGTGTTCCCTGTAGAATTGATTGCTTGGTGCCTGGTAAGGAGACATCCCCACACTTCTTGGTGACCAGAGGTAAGATTTTCTGCTTTGAGAATTAAGAGTAGGAAAAAAAAACACCGATCTTTTCTATATCAAAATAGTCAATGGTCTGAAAAACATTCATAGGATACCCCTGCTCACACTTACTATTGCCCTCTGATATGGTCTGGCTCTGTGTCTCCACCCAAATCTCATCTTCAATTGTAAACCAAATTGTAATCCTCAGTGTTTGGGGAGGGACCTCGTGGGAGATGATTAGATCATGGCGGGGAGTTCCCCTATGCAGTTCTCGTGACATTGAGTGAGGTCTCACGAGATCTGGTGGTTTTATAAGGGGCTTTCCCCCACTTTAGTGTGCACTTCTCTCTCCTGCCACCATATGAAGAAGGACGTGTTTGCTTCCCTTTCTGCCATGATTGTAAGTTTCCTGAGTCCTCCCCAGCCATTTGGAACAGGCTGGGGAGGACTGTTTATAAACTTCTTTCCTTTATAAATTATCCAGTCTTGGGTATGTCCTTATAACAACATGAAAACAGATGAATATACCTCCTCTTAATTTTGTGTTTGCCAAGTTTTTATATTTTAGTTTTCCCTGTCACCCTCATTGATGTCATTTGTTGCCTGTTTGAGAATTTCTTCCTCCTCTAGCTCCTGATTCCTGCAGAAGACTTCTTCTGGTTCTTACACTTGCACATAACATTGGCTCCTGAATAGTTGAATTAGACTTGTTTTTAAAATGCTAACTTAAAAGTCTTTGCCTCCCTTTCCATATTCTGGAGTATCTTTTCATCTTTTCCTTTTCCCTGCCTTTGGTATACATGCTATTCTGATGATTCTCCAAATGTCTTCTGCGACCATCATAAAGACCTAGATCTCCTTTTCCCAAGTTTTGCCTTGCTGCCTGAACTTTATGTAAGCTCAGCTGGGTTTGGAAATTATCAAAATGTCCCCAAATTTGTTCTCACTATGCAATTACTATGTCTTCTATTTCCCACAGTTTCTACTTCTATTTCTATTTTATGCAGTTTCTTTCTTATATACAAGATTTTTTAACCTGGGTTTAAAAAAAATAGTTTTAAAAGGTTTCTCAAAAAGAGTCAAAATTAGACCCTGATTTTTAATTTTTACCTTCCATGCTGTAAGAATTGCTAAAAACACACTATATTCTGAAGATTTCCATTTAAACAATGTTTTCCTAATATCTCTAAGCAAATATGGCTTTCAGACCAAAATGTTGCAGGAAAAAACCTTTACATATTCCTTCCAGATCCAGTAGATTTTCCTTCAGTTTGAGCTAACTTAGTTTCTTTTTTAATTACCTACATAACAAAGGGTCTTATTTTTTACTGAAGGATTTTAACCTCCAACACACTTGGTTGGAGATATTTACTGCCATAATGAAGTTCTATTTAAAGTCAAGTAGAGGTCTGAAGGTCCCCAAGCAAAGAAAAAAATAAAATAAGGGAGACCATGGGCACCCAGCAAACAAGCCATGCAAGTAATCACAAAATGATATATTTTCATGTGAACATATGTACTCATACAATGTATGAACTCCATTGAACCACTGAATGTTCTCAAGCATTCAGCACTGAAATGCCGAACAAATGAGGCTGAACAGAATACAGAGAGGCCAAGGACAATCATGTAGTCCTGCCCCTTCTCCCTAGTTGACTCTCAAAACAGTGAAGAAGGACATTGGAAAACCTAGGAAATGCAGTACTTGATGCCTCTTAAAAGCTTCCTAAGAAACAGTGAAAAAGGAAAAAAAAAAACTTGAAGCCAATATTCCGAAATGGCATAAACTAACAATTTTTAAAAAGGGTGATAGACCAAGCAAGTGAATATGAGCAAAAAAAAAACTCCCATGTCTACAAAAACATCAGAGATGATGGAAAAGTAACAGAAAGCAGAGCATCTCTAACAGACCTCTCCTGAGACCTAGAAATTCTAGAAGTGAATAAAAAAATTTTTAATCCAAATATTTAATATATCATGAACTTTCAATCTTGAATTAAAATATGTAAATCAATGCTGTATTTTTCCAGCCAATAAATTTATTGTGAATCTGATTAAAATTGTTCCAATATTTTGGTATTTTATGAATTATTACTACTAAATATATTTGTACATTATTGCCTACAGTTAAACCATTACAATGTGTGTGTCCTAAATAGAATCCTATGCCTGCAAGAGATAGATTAAAAGTTATTAATGACTCTCTTAGTTGAGTATTATCATTTACTATAATTGAATTACTTTAAGAATTTGGCCCAGTAATATACTATTATTAAATATACACAGAACAGTACAAGTAAAACATGCCAGGGAAACAATGTCTTTGACCTTCAAAAACTCAGTTTAATTACTCAACCAGTCGAATTTATGGTCAACAATGCAGAACAGCTTTTCACTGAAGGATTCAAATATATGCCATTTGTGCTGCATTTGGAATTCTTCCAGACCAATTCTGCAATCTATTGTATATCAGGTTATATCCAATATCTCTTATTGCTATACATTTTAATTTTGGATGATATTTATACCCAATTATAATAGTTTTTCTCAAAATGGCCTATTTTCAGAATTAACAGATTACTATATCTTTGCCATTGTTTATTTGGAATGGGAAGGGAAGTCTTCATTTAATGTAGTTCCAGTTTTGAAAAGCTTTTTTCAGTTAACTAAAAAAAACTTATTCATACTGTAAAGTCATAGAGTATATAATATAATTGAATGAATTATTCTAAGATAAAATTATTTAGGTTTGTGATTTACAAAGATTTACAAGATTGAATTACCCTAACTGGAGATACAATTCATTTTTTCTCTCAAATCTGAAAGGTTTTTGTGTTTTAACACGGGTTTTACTTTGTGCATTCATTTTTTATTGATACATAATACTTTACATATTTATCGGGTACATGTGATATTTTGTTCCATGCATAGAATGTGTAATGCTCAAGTCAGGGTATTTAGGGTATCCACCACCTTGAGAATTTATCATTTCTACGTGTTGGAATGCATTCATTTTTTAAACAACTTTTTTTTTATTATTTTTACATTTTTTATTAAAAATTATTTAACAGAATATATTCAAAATATTGCCATTTAAACATACAGTCAATCTTTTCAAAATTGGAATTTTTTTTTGCTTTCATTTTGAAGGGTTTTTGGTAATTTTTAAACATTCATTTTAGGTTCAGCAGTACATATGTAGGTTGGTTTATAGGTAAATTGCATGTCACAGAGGTTTGGTGTGCAAATTATTTCATTACCCAGCCTAGTACCCAATAGGTAGTTTTTCAATCTTTCCCTCCTCCCACCCTCCACCCTCAAGTAGGCCTCAGTGTCTGTTGTTTTCGTCTTTGTGTCCAGGTGTTCTCAATGTTTAGCTCCCACTTATAACTAAGAACATGCAGTATTTACTTTTCTGTTTCTGCTTTAGTTTGCTTAGGATAATGACTTTCAGCTCCATACATGTTACTGTGAAGGACATTATCTTATTCTTTTTATGGCTGTATAGTATTCCACAATGCTTGTGTCTTTATGGTACAATGATTTATATTCCTTTGGGTATATACAAGCAGTCCAATAATAGGATTGCTGAGTCAAATGGTAATTCTGTTTTAAATTCTTTAAGAAATTGCCACCCTGCTTTCCACAATGGCTAAACTAATTGACATTCCCACAAGCAGTGTATAAGTGCTCCCTTATTCCACAACCTCACAGCCATCTGTTATTTTTTGACTTTTTAATAATAGCCATTCTGATTGGTGTGAGATGGTATCTCATTGTGGCACTGATTTGCATTTTTCTAATGATTAATAATATTAAGCATTTTTTTCATATGCTTGTCATCCATGTACATATATGTCTTCTCTTGAAAAGTGTCTGTTTCTGTCCTTTGCCCACTTTTTAATGAGGCTGGGTTTTTTTTGCTTGTTGAATTAAGTTTCTTATAGATTCTGTATATTCTACCTTTGTCAGATGCATAGTTTGCAAATATTTTCTCCCATTCTACAGGTTTTCTGTTGACTCTGTTGAAGTTCTTTTGTTGTGCAGAAGCTTTTGTTTAGTTAGGTCTAATTTGTCAATTTTTGGTTTTGTTGCTGTTGCTTTTGGTGCCTTCATCATGAAATCTTTGCCAGGGCTTATGTCCAGAATGGTATTTCCTAGATTATCTTCCAGAATTGTTTTAGGTTTTATATTTAAGTCTACAATCCATCTTGAATTGGTTTTTATATGGTAAAAGGAAGGAGTCCAGTTTTTTTGTCAACTTTGTTGAAGTTCAGATGGTTGGAGGTTTGCAGCATTACTGCTGGGCTCTCTATTCTGTTCCATTAATCTATGTGTCTCTTTTTGTACCAGTACCATGCTGTTTTGGTTACTGTAGCCTTGCAGTATAGTTTGAAGTCAGGTAACATGTTGCCTCCTGCTTTGTTCTCTTTGCTTAGGCTAATCTTGGCTACTGGGGCTCTTTTTTGGTTCCATACGAATTTTAAAATAATTTTTTTTCTAATTCTGTGAAGAATGTCATTGGTAGTTTGATAGGAATAGCATTGAATTTGTATTTTGCTTTGGGCAGTATGGCCATTTTAACAATATTGATTCTTCTTATCCATGAGCATGGAGTGTTTTTCCATTTGTTTGTGTCATCTCTGATTTCTTCGTGCAGTATTTTATGATTCTCATTGTAGAGGTTTTTCACCTCCCTAGTTAGCTATATTCCTAGGTATTATATTCTTTCTGTGGCTATTGTGAATTCAATTGTGTTCTTGGTTAGCCACTCAGCTTGGACATTGTTGGTGTATAGAAATGTTCATGATTTTTGTACATTTATTTTGTATCCTGAAACTTTGCTGAAGTTGTTTCTCACTTCTAGGAGCTTTTGGGCAGAAATTATGAGCTCTTCTAAATATAAAATCATATCACCTGCAAACAGAGATGTTTGACTTCCTCTCCTCCTATTTGGATGCCTTTTATTTTTTCTCTTGCCTAATTGCTCTGGCTAAGATTTCCAGTACTATATTAAAAAGGAGTGGTGAGAGAGGGTATACTTGTTCTGTTTGGTTCTTAAGAAGAATGCTTCCAGCTTTTGCCTATTCAGTATGATGTCGGCTGCAGGTTTGTCATAGATAGCTCTTATTATTTTGAGGTATGGTCTTCCAATGCCTAGTTTGTTAAGGCTTTTTAACATGAAGGGATGTTGAATTTTATCAAAAGCCTTTTTTGCATCTTTTGAGATGATCCTGTGGTTTTTGTTTTTAGTTTTGTCTATATGATGAATCCATTTATTGATTTGCATGTGTTGAACCAATCTTGTATCCCAGGGATAAGGCCTATGTGATCATGGCGGATCAGCTTTTTGATGTGCTGCTGGAATTGATTTGCTAGTATTTTGGTTGAGCGTTTTTGCATCTATGTTCATCCTGGATTTTGTCCTGAAGTTTTCTTTTTTTGTTGTATCTTTGCCAGGTTTTGGTATCAGGATATTGCTGGCCTCAGAATGAATTAGGAAGGAGTCTATCCTACTCAATTTTTTTGGAATAGTTAAATAACTTTCTAAAGGTATGTGGTACATGTGGTAAAATCCACCAATTTCAAGTATACAATTTAGTGGTTTTTAGTAACTTTACCAAGTGGTTGTTCCATCTTTATGAATCACTTTTAGAACATTTCATTCCTCTCATATTATCTCATGCCCACGGACAGTTAATCCTTGTTCTCATCCCCAACTGCAGGCAGCCACTTACTTACATTGTCTTAAAAGCTTACCATTTCTGGACATTTAACATAATAATATAAACTAGATGTTAGGTATTAAACTTAATCTATTGGAGAGAAAGAAATTAAAGCAATGGGACTGTGATTTCTTCCCCTCCTTATTTAGTGAAAAAGAAATGTGACTCTCCTGGGAATAAAAGAAGGCATGCAAATGATCTAATCTCCATATAAAATATCATAACTGGACCTCATGATAAAATAGCATTTGATAGCTGTTATCTGTGGAATGGTTTCAGAAGAATGTACATGATTATTTAATGATAATCAAACATACGGTTTATAGACTTATAGGATAAAATGTCACACAAGCAAGGTGACTATCAGAGTATAAAATGGATATATCTCATAACCTAAATGCTATGTTCTTTCCAGAAAGCCTGCAGCCAAAGATATATTACAGTAGGGGTACTACAGTCTGGTTGTCTCTTCCCAATTTAGGGCCCTAATGAGCAAGCATTTTCTTCAAAATTCTCCATTGAGGGTACAGTATTCTAGTGATCTAGGCATATCAAAGTTGTCTATGCAAGTAATGGGTGGGATGCCAAGGAACAAAAAATCTTTTTACAAAAAATTATATTCTAAAGATCCTCCATAATGGCAAAATTTTAAAAACTGGCAACACAAAATTTTGAAAAGAATATATAACATCCAGAACTCTCTTAAACTGTTGGTTGGCATGCAATGTGGCACAGTCTCTTTTGAAAAACATCTGACAGTTTCTTAGAAAACTAAATGTATACCCATTCTATGACCCAGCTATTCTACTCATTGGAATTTATTCAAGAGAAATGAAAAGATGTTCAAAGACTTGTACAAGAATGTTCATTATAGCTTCATTAACAATAGCCCTACTGCAAACAGCCTAAGTGTTCATACAAAGAAGAATGAATAAGCAAAATGTGGTGTATCCATATAACAGAAAATAGAAATATCAGGAAGAAATTACTGATACACACAACATAGATGGATTTCCAAAACATTATGCTGAGTAGAAGAAGCCTTATTCAAAAGAGTACAGAATATATTATTCTATTTATGTGAAGCTCTATAAAAGGCAAATTAATCTATAATGAAAAAAAATTGTAATAGCGATTGCCTCTTGGGTGGGGAAGAAGGTGCAGGGATTGACTGGGAATAGACCTTAAAAATATTCTAGAGTAAAGTTAATGGTGTATATCTTGATAGAAATTTGGTTTACATAGTCTTATGCATTTCTCAAGCTCAGAAAACATAATTTAAGTTTTAAGTTTTATTCATTTCGTTAATATACATTTTACCTCTAGGAGGAAAAAATATTTAAAATATTGAACTGTAGTTAGTTATATGCATGCTAAAGTGCTTATGAGGAAGCATACTGATGTCTGTAATATATAGTCATGCATTGCATAATGGCATTTCTGTCAATGACAGTCTGCATATACCAGTTATCCTATAAGATTATAATATCATAGTTTCATTGTATCTTTTCTGTGTTTAGCTACCCAAATACTTACCATTCTGTTACAATTGCCTGCGGTATTCAGTACAGTAACATGCTGTACAGGTTTGTAGCCTAGGAGTAATAGGCCAGACAATATAGCCTACATGTATAGTAGGCTATACCACCTAGCTTTGTGTAAATACTCTCTGTGATGTTCACACAATGACGAAATTGCCTAATGACATGTTTATTAGAACTTCTCTTTATCATTAAGTGACACATGACTGTGCTTCAAAACACATCAAAAAAGGTGGATTGGTGATAGAGGGATGAATGTAATATATGATCAACAGTATTCAAAGGAAAATGGTATAATCTAGGTATTGTGTATACTAGCATTAACTCTAGAATTCTTTCAGCTTGTTGTATATTTGAAACAACATAAGAAAGCATTGAAAATGTGTGTGTGTGTAAAGGCCAAATGCATTCTTATTTTTCAAACACAGTATCAACCCTAGAGGAGTAGAAACTTTACCTTTATTCATCATAGTTCTTAGGTTTGGACAGACTCCTTTAATACAAGACAGATTAATGACAGACAAACAAACAAACAAGTGTATTAATGCATGCCACACACACCACACTGGAGAAATCTCAATGGAAATACCTCAAAAAGATGACTTAGCTCCACTTATAGAACATCTTCAATAAAGAACAATACACTTGTAAAGGAATGACAGACAAAGAAAAACAGTTTTAAACTTCCAAGGGCACGCAACTGTGGGAAGGTAAATATTGGGGATGAAACTAATGGAGTAAAGTTTGTTTGCAGATTCCTCTGGTGTCATCTCTGGGCTGATGAGTCTAGAGTTGTCATCTATAAAGAATTTATTTTCCTATCTTTAGGCAGAAAGAGAAGAGGGTAGAGATAGCTTCCTCTCAATTTGCAGTTTCTTATTGCCTTTAGCTCAAAAATAACTTATATCTCAAGGAGGCATTTTGGAGTGACATGCTGGCTTACTTCAACATCTCATTGAAACTACTGTATTATATCCAGTTGCACCTGCCAGCATCTAATACCTTCTTATCCAACATTATCAATACTTATAGCTGATAAGTTAGCAAAATGTCAGTTAAAAAGGTAAATAAATATTGATGCATGCCTATCTTAAACATTTTGTTTTTAACTCTAAACATACAAAGATATAAAATATTTTTCAATGTTTTGTTGTAGGTCCACTTTTTTATTATTGTTCTAATGAGCACAAAGTTGTATGTTGCTTTTTTTCCATAAACCCTCCCATAATGCATTTTCTTTTATTGATTCTTCAAATTAGAGAGAAAACCTACATCTAATTGGACAAAATATCTTTGAAATGCACCTTTATAGAGTCTTCTTAAAGCATTCATTTTAAATTTTGCTTTTTTTCTCATATTCCATTTTAGATACCATGTGTTAAATTGTTTGATAAATCATTACCTATCTATCATAGCAAACATACTTGGCATAAAGAGGTCCGTGTAGATCCAAAACATAATTGCAGCTACATAATCAAAATTCTATTATAACACAATTTCCATCTGATTTTAGTATTTTTAAAACATTAGTTAAAAAGGAAGATAAACTAATACTTTCTAGTCTCAGTCAAAGACTATTTTTTATGTTGTAGTTCTAAATTCCCTTCTGCACAGTCCCATGTGATTCCTGTTGAAAATTTCTCTCCTGATAAATTATCCAAAATGTTACTGCCTGTTTCACTTATTTCCGCTCCCCATGTGTTTCTTTATCCTTTAGCTAGTCCCTGTCTCTCTCTCTTTCACCTATTCACTCTCTCTTGTGCATATGTCCTCCATCATTATCAGTATGGAAGATGCTCTACACTGGCTCAATCAACATCTATTCAAAATAATAAAATTTCCAGCCCACCTTGCACCTATGTGTGGCCACATGCACATGACATAGCTCTAGACATTGAATTATAAGTAGAAGTTCTTAGGGAGTGCTTACTTTCTTTTCTGAATAAAATAAAATGGAGATCTTAAGGGACTTCAGTTTTCATGGGTTTTTTTTTTTCTGGTTTGCTTTTTGTTTTCTTGTTTTGGTTTTCGGGTTTTTTTGGTGTTTGGGGTTTTTTGTTTTTTGTTTTTTGTTTTTTTTTGAGACAGGGACTCATCCTGTAGCCCAGGCTGGAGTGCAGTGGCGTGATATCAGCTCACTGCAACCTACGCCTCCCAGGCTCAAGTGATCCTCCCACCTCAGCCTCCCAAGTAGCTGGGATTAAAGTCATGTGCCACTGTGCCCAGCTAATTTTTATATTTTTTATAGAGACAGGGTTTCACCATGTTGCCCAGGCTGGTCTCGAACTCCTGAGCTCAAGTGATCCACCTGCCTTGGCCCCCCAAAGTGCTGGGAGCATGAGCCATTAACACCACGCCCAGTCTGGAACTTCAGTTTCAATCAAGCAAAAAAATATTCAATTACTTTATGCATCCAATATTTTGTAAGTCAAGAAAATATTTCAAAAGCAACTTTCGCAAGGTTTAAAATTAAAATGGGGCTTTCTACTTAACAAATAGCTAACTAATTTTATGTCAGCTAAATACCCTATTCCACAGTTGGTTGGTTTGTTCATACATAATGAATGAATAGAGAAAAAAAGTGGCCATTTTGAGTAGATACCATAAGCTCATGCTTCTTAAAGTAGGGTAAGTATATTTAATACTATCCTAAAGAGTATATGAAAGAACAGGATAAAAATGTCACGTTTAGCAAAGTATTCATTTTCTTTGAAAGCAGGTCATTTTAAACATTATATGAATATTAAGATAACATGAGTATTATATGGAATAGAATGAAAAAAAACTTGCACTAATATAGACTTTATAAGAGCCAAATTTTGAATGATATCATGAAGAATATTAAAAGTTGGCCAGGTGCGGTGCCTCACGCCTGAAATCCCAACACTTTGGGAGGCCGAGGTGGGCAGATCACTTGAGGTCAGGAGTTTGAGACCAGCCTGATCAACATGGTGAAACCCTGTCTCTACTAAAAGTACAAAAATTAGCTGGGCATGGTGGCGGGCGCCTGTAATCCCAGCCGCTTGGGAGGCTGAGGCAGGAGAATGGTTTGAACCCAGGAGGTGGAGGTTGCAGTGAGCTGAGATTGTGCCACTGTACACCAGCCTGGACAACACAGCAAGGCTCTTTCTGGAAAAAAAAAAAAAAAAGAATATTAAAAGTTGGGTTTCTGAGTACAGATGACCTTTTTCTACTGACTTTGTACAAATCAATGTGAATAATAAATTATATTATTGATATCTATGCTGTCTCATCAGTATCACTACAGGAAATAAAAAAACAGAGATCAGGAAGTCTCTGCTGCCTTATGTAAAAATTCAAAACAGTCTATGAAATCTGCTTTTAGGATTTCTCTCCCTGTCTTATTACCAGCAAAGTCTCTGCTGCCTTATGTAAAAATTCAAAACAGTCTATGAAATCTGCTTTTAGGGTTTCTATCCCTGTCTTATTACCAGCCACAAGTGGGAAAGGCAATGAAGAGTAAATACTCTCCCCCAGAATTAGACTCTTGAGCAAGTGAGACAGTGATGTTTGCTGTGATGGACTTGTCCCTGGCATGGCCAGTGACAGCAAGATGTGACCCAAACTCTTCCTGCAGCATAACCTCAGAGGCGGCTCTTCCTGCCAGATTCCCCCAGCCCCATGCACAACCATCTTAAGTCCCATTTCTTTTCCAACCAACTGTTCTGTGAGCCTGGAAAAAAATTTCAAGTAGAATTATTTTCTTGCTTAAGTTCATCACAGTTGATTCTTGTTTCTAAGCAGCAAGGACAGATCCTTCACCCCTCATTCAAACAATAGGAATAGCAAAATGACTCAAACATCACAGCATCAAAGTTAGGCCAAGCAGGCTGGGCGTGGTGGCTCAGGCCTGTAATCCCAGCACTTTGGAAGGCCGAGATGGATGGGTCACCTGAGGTCAAGAGCTCGAGACCAGCCTGGCCAACATAGTGAAACCCTGTCTCTACTAAAAATACAAAAAATTAGCTGGGCATGGTGGCAGGTGCCTATAATCCCAGCTACTCAGGAGGCTGAGGAAGGAAAATCGCTTGAACCCAGGAGGCGGAGGTTGCAGTGAGCCAAGATCGTGCCATTGCACTCCGGCCTGGGCAACAAGAGCAAAACTCCATTTCAAAAAACAAACAAACAAAAAAGTTAGGCCAAGCAATCACAACACCAAGATTTAATAGCAATGGGAGAGACAGCATTAAACTCTAAATTGATATTATTTTATGGTGCAGTAATTACTTTTATTTTGTTAAGAATAACTGTCCCGACGAAATTCTGGTAGGACTCAAAGAAAGAATGTGCCAACCTAAATGCCTTCTAGTCCTTCATCACTCATCAACATCAGAATTTCATGGGGTGTTAGGTTAAAATGCAGTTTCTGCAGCCAATCCCAGAAGTGAAACAGGTTCTTCAAAAGGAGCCTAAGAATCTGAATCGTAAGCAGCTTTGTACTGACTGATATGCAAATTAAAGTTTGAGAACAACGGGCCTAGGTGAATTTTTTAAGATGTACTAAAACAGACATTACACATGTTTTATTGATAGCAGTTAAAATTTCTTCCTGAATCTTTGGTTAAAACAGTGTTCTTAACAGAGTCACGGTGCTGTAATATAAAGAGCTAATGCTTGAATATCCCCCTTCCTGCTCTATAAATAACAAAGTGTTATCCTCTGAAACCAAACATAAAGTTTTGCTTCCTTATTTCTTTTCTCTATATTTTCTCTTTTTCCTAGTATCTGCCCTTGAGAATTACCCTGATTAAAACTAAAAAGAAATAAATAAAAAGAAGGCAGCAGCACATCCTTTACAAACTCTTTACCTGTTTTGGCATGTATCATATAAGTGATGAATTGCATATGCTTGTTAGTGGCTCAACAACTTGGTTATTTAGTTTTGGAGCTTGCAGTCAGCTTCCTTGATTTATTGCCCTGGGAAATAATAATACATTCCAAGAACAGAGAGATATCTCTGTATGTATCTAATACAGAAGATAAATTTTATTCTAGAATCTAGAGCACAAAAGAAACCACTAGAGATTAATATGAACAATGCAAGATTTTCTCATTTTTATAATACCAAAAAGTAAGGGAATAAGTAAAAAGAAATACAATATTCAGAAGGAGATAAGCAACTAATCTAATTTTACTTTTTCTCATTAAATGGTTTATCTTTAGTAATAAAGTCTCAACAAGCTCACTTTTATACATCAAAGCCATGGTGATAAATGCATATCAAATATAACATTAAACTTTTAAAAAGAGCATTTAGAGAGGAATCTCTTCTTAAAACATTGGTTTATAGAGTTACAAAACAAAAAGAATACATATAAAGATGTCAAAAACTTATTGATCACAGGAAGAATTTTAGGACTGTCTCTTTCCTCATTCCCTTCCTTGGTCCCCTCTCCAGGAAAGGTCAGGGTTAATAGGCAAACTCATTTTCATGGCTCTCAGTGCCACAGTTTGTAATATTCACAGTCTTGAGCACAGAAGTTAAAGGCCTGGGCCTGTCTGGGTGTTCTCTTCCCAGCTCCCTTTCTGAGCCTCTAAATCTCTATTCCCATGTGGCTGCAAGAGAAGAATCAACCACTACTCAGGAGCTGTACCACCCTAAAAAGGTCTCTGGTAAAGTTATCTAAGCAAATTCTGCTCCCAGTCTTAGAAGCAACACAGTAGCACTACTTATGCTACCTGGTCATTACACTACTGGTCAGCGTGGGCTTTTCTCATCATGTAAGGGTAAATTTTTATAATACCAAAAAATAAGGGAATAATCATCTCCTAGTAAAGTTCCTGTTACGTAATACAACTATTCTCAGATCTATATTAATATGAAATCAGTATCATATATCTTTTGCAATGGGAAAAAACATAAAACTTGTTAAAATCCCAGATGACACACCTGCTACAGAATTTTAAGAGCACTCCTTCATCAGAATAAAGAATAATTAGGTATTTGTCAGTCAAGAAATACTGGTACTAGACAGTAACCTGGTGTGGGCAGTTGAAAACAAAAAGGACAATTCAATTTGAGAAAATTCATGCTGAATCCAATGAAGTGGAAAAGTAGAACAGGCCAAACATGAGTCATCACCATAATTGAATGACTGAATAGATGTCCTGTCAGCAATATCATCTCAGAACATATTAGATAATAGACACACAGAGAAAAGAGACTAATTATAATTACTGCTTAACAGTACACCTACTGAGTCTCCTGCATGCTCAGTAATAATAGTTTGAGTGCTTTCTGCATGGGTCTGCATTGTATTTAGTAAGAGGTAATAATAATACCTGACAGTTAATAAGTGTTTAGCAGTACCAGGCACTATGTTAAATGCTTTACATGAATTATCTGATTTAATGCTCAGAAGAGGCCCACAAAGTACTATTAACCCCATTTTCACCAATGTGATAACTGAGTCTTAGATTAAGTAGAACAAGCAAAATCACACAGCTCTTAAAGATTGGAGCCCAAAGTCTGCCTGGTTTAGGAGTCTTCTCTCATAAGTACTATGGCTTCTT
Source organism: Homo sapiens (assembly GCF_000001405.40). Classification (NCBI taxonomy): domain Eukaryota; kingdom Metazoa; phylum Chordata; class Mammalia; order Primates; family Hominidae; genus Homo; species Homo sapiens. Next base: position 186,348,045 of record NC_000002.12, read on the forward strand.
TCAAAAATATTACATAAATTACAAAATTTTACAAAGGTGGAAAATAAGTCCAAGACTTTTAAATAATTTTCCAAAAACTAATAGGCAGTTAGGGTTTCATGATGGACTCAAAGCTGCTTATGTTTTTTTACTATGCCATATGCTACTGCTTTGTCAACAAACAGAATCAGAAAAAAATTAAGCTTCTGGAACAAATATTGAGTTTAAAAACAATAATCCTTAAAATGAGGTGCAGATTTCACCATTTTTATTAATCCTTCTTTTATTTACAATTACAGTGCACTTTGGAAGCAATGCAACAACAGGAAGCAACATGCCCAACTTTTATCACTCACCAGGCAGGAAAGAACACCAGTTTCCAGACTAAACATTATTTTGAAATCACGTTATACTAAGATTGCCAGAAGAAGCTGTCACAGCTTTTCAGTAAAGAAACAAACACAAGACTCCTGTTGGGTATAATATGCAGTCCTGTAATCAGCAAAGAATTAAAAGAGTCCAATTCTAAGCTGGTATCTAAGACAAATAACAGTGGCTGCTAAACTCAGATAATTAATGGAACTTTTAAAGTGTTATTTTCTAAAGATGACTTAATGACATGTAATTTTCAATCATTTAAAATGGTTTATAACTAATTGTTTGTGTCAGTCTGCTGGCATCTCTAAAGTAATCTTAAAGTGGTTGCTAGCACATAGTGTTAATATCCAACAGTTTGGATAAACTCAGAATGAATATCATTACCACTAAGAAAAATTTACTCTGAGCATAGGTTAAAGAAATACAGTAGTTTGGACCTTAAAGACTATCTAGTCTGATAGTTTTTACCTAGTAGGAGAAATTTAGACACATGGATTCAATTTTCTGAGTAAGATAACATCTAACTAGAGAACTCTAACATAGTTTTCTCCACATAAAACATCTAGAATAGCAATACCCAATATTTTCACTGAAATAGTTATGAAAATACAGAATACATATAAAAACAACACTGCCAGTGCATAGCACACATCTATAATCCCAGCACTTTTAAAGGATCAGGTAGGCAGGTCCCTTGAGCTCAGGAGTTCAAGACCAGCCAAGGCAATATGGTGAAACCCTATCTCTACAGAAAATACGAAAATTAAGTGGGCATGGTGGTGCACACCTGTAGTCCCAGCTACTCAGGAGGCTAAGGTGGGAGGATCACTTGAACCCAGGAAGTCAAGGCTACAGTGACCCGAGATCATGTGACTACTTTCTAGCCTAGGCAAGAGAGTGAGACCCTATCTCAAAAAGCAAAAACAAAAACAATAAAAACAATAAAACTCTACATTGTAAAAACTTTTACTTAATAATCCTAATCAAAGCTTGACACATGCTTTATCATTGCTAACAAAGAAAACAAGCACAATGCATTGCACTAATAGTTGGCAGGAGATACTTTGTCCTCCTAGTTTTTCCCCTTGCTAAAGATCACAAGATTTTCACAGACTATAAAGTGAGGTTATTGTTTTATGAGACACTAGATTGCCTCCTTTACTTCAATTAGTATTTCATCTTCCTCAAATATTCAGAAATGGCCACCAATAGTGGAAACTGAAACAGGTTAACCACGAATTCAAAACATCTGCCCTAACTAACTTCCTGCTAGACACTGTAAATCGGGCCAAGGAGGCTTATCCTTTCTGCATCTGGAAACTTAAGAAACTACATATATCCAAGTGAACTGGGATCACAGCCAAATATGAATCATGATTCTGTTGGCAAAGTTGACTCTAGAGATATCTCATCTTATTCTATAACAAAGTAATTCTTTTAAGGGCTGCTAAGACCAAAAACTGTAGCAAGTTGATGAAAATGAAATAATATTTGAAGACCAAGAAGATAAGCATATTAGTGATTATGAGATATATCATTTCATAATATATATTTTTAAAAACTATTTGGTCTTTTTAATAGATTTTAAATCAAGACAAACCCTACGCAAGAAATGTAGAGACTTCTGCTTAAATATCATGGATTGAATACCCATATTTATATCCACTCACTTTTAAAATACCACTGAAATACAATAAAGAATTATTTAGATATAAATGTAAAACGACAAAATGAAATATAGGGAAGATAATAAAAAGATGAGAAATATAAAAAAAATTAGGAAAAATCTTACTGGAAAATTGATGGGTGGATAATAATTGAATTTTCAAAATACTATACAGAAAACTGATACCTTAATGTCTACAAAAAAAAGCCCAAGTGGATTATATGCAATGTATTTACAATTAAATGATATCAGACTTCTCAAAAGCAAAATTAGAAGCTAAAAAAGTGAAGAAATTCCTGAGAGGAAAGCATTTGTTTAACCATTAGTTCTATATCTAGCCAAAATATCAAATCAAATTCAAGGGTGGGATAAAAACCTTTCTAGACACAGAGTGTCTCAAAATAATTCTCTCTCATCCACATCCTCTCATCAATCTCCTGAAGAATGTGCTCCATTGAAATAAAATAATAAACTCAGAGAAATTGATGGGAGCAACATAATTAGGGAAAACATAAACAAAATCATCAGGACAAAGGAAATTCCCAAAACAACAGCACTTTATCAAGCTGAGAATGCAACACATCTAGAATTGATTAGGGGAAAAATATGGGGTGGATATCTGAAGAAAAAACACTTGGACTGACAGATCTCCTAAAGGCTTATATATTCTATAGAGTATTTAAAGAAAGATTAGTTCTATGTATGCAAAACAGCATAGAATACTAAAAAAAAGTAACTATTAAATCCAGGAAAAACAAAAAGTCACAATAGAAAGAAAATATAATCATATTACACATGCCACTGAAAAATATTTATGTAAAGAGAATGATATAAACAGTAAAAGTTAACTAGGAAAAGCAATATAACTGTTGATAAGATACAAGAGGAAATATGTGAACATGAGGGAAGCGATGGCAAGAGAGAGAAATCCTCATTTTTCATGGTAGAAAGTTAAGATAATGTCAAATTTAAAATCAATAAATTGTAATATAAACATATTTTGTAGAAATATAGCAATATCACTTGAAGAATTAGCCAAAATGTTTTACAGTGGCTGCCTGCAGTGAAAAGACCTAGGTGAGTTAAAGAAGATTATGAGGAAATAAAAAGTAAATTAACAGAATTAAAAATTAAGCAGCAGATTACATACTTGAGATCAAAATAAATGAATCAGTGACACTGAGAAGAAATTTGAGAAGTAGAAATACATACCATACTCATGGACTGTAACACACAATACTGTGATGTTCTCTGTAAATGTATTCATAGAATGAATGTGTTCCCAAGTACCCCAAAAGATTTTAGGGAAAAGAAATTGGCAAATTTATTTTTAAATATGAATGATGGTGCAAAGAGCCAAGAATAGCCAATACACAATTGAAGAATAATAAGATGGTATAGTACTTATTACCAAGTTAAAATAATTAGAAGAATGTGGTATTAGCAAAAAAAAAAAACTAGACATGGATCAATAGAACAGAACAGAAGGCTAGAACCCCCCACACATATTGACCCTTGATTTATGGCTGTTGCAGGTGCTGTTAACAGCTTACACCTAAAAGTTTTCCCAGGAGCATGTCCTTAGGTGATTGGAACAACCTGATGCAGGAGTGTCTGAAACTTATGCCTCTAATCCAGGGATTCCCAAAGCCAGTTACGGACATGTTGTGGCATAAAAGTCCCGCTCCTTTGCCTCAGTACAGACTCTGCAGCACAGTGCAAGTTATGTTTCAGAACTCTCTGTGGGATCAGCTAAGGCTAGGCTTCCCCTCTAGCCATGTATTTCTTTGGCTTTCCTCTCTCTTTCCAACAATGTTTCCTTCTCCTGCCTACAGATTTCTTTTAAAAGTACTTCTGTAGTAAGTCTCTTGCCTTAGAAAACTCACTGGAAGTTCCACATCTGTGGAACCCAAAAGAAGACACAACTGAATGCAAATTAAATATTACTGATATATTCTTATCTACTAAATAAGTTGCCATCACCTATTAGATGAATAGATGAGAAAGAGATGCATTTTACATACTGTATATATAAATCTTCATAATGAATGTGTATGGTATGTTGTGTGTTCTCCATCCAACAAAGTGATAGTGACTTAGTGAATGAATAAGTTAAAATTATTATGGGAAAAAACTTCATAATATGTGTAAAGAAGTTTAAAAGTTATTAAATAGGGTTTACTTATGATATGGTTTGGCTGTGTCCCCACCCAAATCTCATCTTCAATTGTAACTCTCACAATTCCCATGTGTCATGGGAGGAACCTGATGAGAGGTAGTTGAATTATGGAGGTGGGTCTTTTCTGTGCTGTTCTCATGATAGTGAATGAGTCTCATGAGATCTGATGGTTTTAAAAACAGGAGTTTCCCTGCACAAGTTCTCTTTTTACCTGTTGCCATCCACGTAAGATGTGACTTGCTCCTTCTTGCCTTCTACCATGATTGTGAGGCCTCCCCAGCCATGTGGAACTGTAAGTACAATTAAACCTCTTTTTCTTGTAAATTGCCCAGTCTTGGGTATGTCTTTATCAGCAATGTGAAAATGGACTAATACAGTAAATTCATAAGGATAGAGTGGGGCATTGCTGAAAGGATACTCAAAAATGTGGAAGTGACTTTGGAACTACTTAACAGGCAGAGGCTGGAACAGTTTGGAGGGCTCAGAAGAAAGGAAAATGTGCAAAAGTGTGGAACTTCCTATAGACTTGTTGAGTGGCTTTGACAAAAATGTTGATAATGATATGAGCAACAATGTCCAGGCTGAGGTGGTCTCAGATGGAGATGAGGAACTTGGGAATTGGAGCAAAGGTGACTCTTATGTTTTAGCAAAGAGGCTGGTGGCATTTTGCCCCTGCCCTAGAGATTTGTGGTACTTTGAACTTGAAAGAGATGATTTAGGGTTTTTGGTAGAAGAAATTTCTAAGCAGCAAGGCTTTCAAGAGGTAACTTGGATGCTGTCAAAGGCATTTCATTTTATAAGAAAAACAGAGCATAAATTTTGGAAAGTTTGCAGCCTGAAAATGCAATAGAAAAGAAAATCCCATTTTCTGAGGAGAAATTCAAGTCACCTGCAGAAATCTGCATAAGTAACAAGGAGCCAAATGTTAATCCCCAAGATAATGGGGAAAATGTCTCCATGGCATGTCAGAGATCTTCATGGCAGCCCTTCCCATCACAGGCCTGGAGGTTTAGGAGAAAAAAATGGTTTTGTGGACGAGGCTGAGGGTCCCTCTGCTGTGTGCAGTCTAGGGACTTGGTGCTCTGTGTCCCTGTTGCTCCAGCCATGACTAAAAGGGGCCAAGGTACAGCTTGGGCTGTTGATTCAGAGAGTGTAAGCCCCAAGCATTGGCAGCTTCCACATGGTACTGAGCCTGTGTGTGCACAGAAGTCAGGAATTGAGGTTTGGGGACCTCCGCCTACATTTCAGAAGATGTATGGAAATGCCTGGACACCCAGGCAGAAGTTTGCTGCAGGGGCAAGGTCCTCATGGAGAACCTCTGCTAGAGCAGTGTGGAAGGGAAATGTGGGGTTGGAGCCCACACACAGAGTCCTACTGGGGCACCACCTAGAGGAGCTGTGAGAAAAGGGCCACCATCCTCCAGACCCCAGAATGGTAGATCCCCTGAAAGCTTGCACCCTGCACATGGAAAAGCCACAGACACTTAAGCTAGCCCATGAAAGCAGCCAGGATGGAGGTTATACCCTGCAAAGACACAGGGGCAGAGCTACCCAAAACCATGGGAACCCATCTTTTGCATCAGTGTGACCCAGATGCGAGACACAGAGTCAAAGAAGGTCATTTTGGAGTCTTAAGATTTGACTGTCCTGTTGGATTTTGGACTTGCATGGGGACTGTAGCCCCTTGGTTTTGGCCAATTTCCTCCATTTGGAACAGCTGTATTTACCCAATGCCTGTACCCCCATTGTATCTAGGAAGCAACTAACTTGCTTTTGACTTTACAGTCTCATAGGCAGAAGGGACTTTCCTTGTCTCAGATGAGACCTTGGATTGTGAACTTTGGAGTTAATGCTGAAACGAGTTAAGACTTTGGGAGACTGTTGGGAAGGCATGAGTGGTTTTGAAATGTGAGGACATGAGATTTGAGAGGGCCCAGGGCCGGAATGAGATGGTTTGGCTGTGTTCCCACCCAAATCTCATCTTCAATTGTAACTCCCACAATTCCCATGTGTCGTGTTATGGGGGCGGATCTTTCCTGTGCTGTTCATCATACTGAATGAGCTTCATGACATCTGATGGTTCTAAAAACAGGAGTTTCCCTGCACAAGTTCTCTTTTTGCTTGCTGCCATCCATGTAAGATGTGATTTGCTCCTCCTTGCCTTCCACCATGATTGTGAGGCCTCCCCAGCCATGTGGAACTTTAAGTCCATTAAACCTCTTTTTCTTCCCAGTCTCAGCTATGTCTTTAGCAGCAGAGGATGGATAAAACAGACTAATGGAACTTGTATGAATTCACATTTATGAAATAAACAGAAAAAGATATTTTATATGCAAGGATCTTTATTGTAGCAGTATTTATAATCATTAAAAGCTGGCAAGATATTTGAATGGTCAAAACAAGGGAATATTATGTAGCAATTAGAGACATTTTTCTATAATCATATAAGGATATGAGTGGGAAGGGGAGGAATCAAAAACTGTATATACAATATAATCCCACTGACACTTAAAGTGAAAATATTTTTGTTGGTGTGAATGGAAAAAGAAAAAAGTACAGAAAAATGGGAGCAGCAGTTATCTCCAGATGATGAAACTGATAAATTTATTTTTCTTTATACTTTCCTGTAAATTATAAAATTTCTATGATTAGCATGAATTATTTTTATAATCTAAAAGATATATTTTGAAAGTCCAGGGCTTGTGTCTAATCTTTGAAACCCATTAATTTAAATACATTCATTTACTTTTTCATGATGATCATCTAATAGAAGATAAAGTTATTCATTACCATATGCAAATTTTTCAAAAATCTTTAATTTCTAAATAAATACTGCTTTTTTAAAATTAAACTGTTTAATTTCAGGTAATTCATGGGACAAATAGCCACTATAATTTAAAACATGTACTTCTGGAACCTAGAGAAATCATCAGAGCAAATAAACTAATTGTCTGAATTACCACCAACTCCATCTTTCCTGGTCCATGACTTCCACTGAATCTTCTGAACATTTCCAGTCTGTGTTTAAAACTACAATGTGCCTTGGTCTGCAGGACAAACCCGGGGAAGTACTACAGGGCTTCAGAGATGCAATGTGGTTCTTGTCACAGAAATATGATCACTGATGTGTTGAGGTTGGACACTCAGTTACACTTGTTTTATTTCACAAAACCACTTAAAGCTTAAGTTAAAGGAAGTCAACATATTTTTTATTTACTTATTTTCATTTCATACTTCTTTTCAAAGATATTTTTATTTTTCAAAGTCAATGTATTTTGTTTGAACAATGTTTTAAAATTGCTGCAATGCAACTTGATATAGGAACACTCAAGAGGGCACTGATATTTTCAATATAGCTCAGTTAGGAACAAAGGTTTTACAAATAGAAGGCACTTAGTGACCTGCTAGTTTAATCCCATCATTTTTCAAATGAAACTGAGGCTCACAGGGCTAAGAAACTTGTCAAAGTTCAAATCCAATTATGACAGAGCTACTATGTGTCTAATTCCAGTATTTTTTTAACACCCAATACTGCTCAACTACCTGAGATCAGATGGTCAAGTTTGCAATTTTCTGATACTTGAAAACAAAAAAAAAACAGAGGTCACATGAAGAAAACAGCTGCAAATTGCGTTATCAGTAATTATCTCTATTTTGGAGGGGGAAAAATCATGTTTTTCTTTTTCCTAAATGGTAAAAATGTTGTATTTGCATGAAGTTTGTTTACATTCATCATTAATTTTTCTACTAAAATTCTGTGAGTGAATATAGTGGGGCATTTTTTCTTCTTTTAATGAGGCAAGGTGCAAGTATTACCTATAGTTAATTAATCTTAACAAACAAGCCAGTATTTCAACTTGGATTTTGATGTGTGAAAAATAGCACTTTTAGGACCTGATCCTGGCAGATCTGACTTAACAGCCTGTAATTTAAAAAATAGCAAACTAGGAGTCACTCACCTCATGGCCTCACTATATTAGAACACACAATTTCAGTAGTACCAAAGCAAAGCAAAACAATTTTTTCTACTGCTTATTAATGGTAAATTGAAGACACAACAATTTATAGAGATTTATTAGTGTAGAGGTAAATACGGATTTAAAGAGACTTCTGGGCTGCTTTAAAGCGTGCTTTCAATAGTGAATACAGAACTAGAAGTAACCATTACACATACTATTGCATACCAAAAAATTACTGGTAAATCATAAATCAGAATTATCAAAATTTTAAATTATAATAACTTCTAGTATGTTTATCTATGATTTATTTATATTCTGCCATGTTCCTATTATAAACTAAGGATGGCTTAACATATCATAAAATATAGCAAAATAGCAGAAATTAAAAGTTTTTAAGAAAAATAAGGCAAAAATAAAATTAGTTCAGGAAAACATGAAGGAACTAAGTATAAGGGAGGTGGGGAGAACGAGGAATAGTCTAAGTATGCTAACGTCCTTATTCATAGTTAAAAATCTGTAACCGTATTTAAAAAAATGTAGTTAAAATGACCTCAATCTCTTAAATTTTTAGATTTTTTTAATTTTAGAGAAATATTCCAGTGACTTATATTGCTTTGTGATTAAAAAAACAAATATTTAGGCCAGGCACAATGGCTCACACCTGTAATCGCAACAATTTAGGAGGCAAAGGCAAGAGAATAGCTTGAAGCCAGGAGTTCAAGACAATTCTAGGCAACAAAACTAGACTCCATTTCTACAAAAACAATATAAAAATTAGTCAAGTGTGGTTGTGCACACCTGTAGTCCTAGCTACTTAGGGATAAGGTGGAAGGATCACTTGAGGTAGAGTTCAAATAAGTAGCAGGCTATGATTGCACCAGTGTACTCCAGCCTGGTCGACAGAGGAAAACCGTTTCAAAAAAAATAAATCAGCCTGAAGTTACTTCATTTTCTGGTGGGTTTTTGTTGTTGTTGTTGTTTGTTTGTTTTTGTTTTTTTGTTTTGTTTTTTGAGATGGAGTCTTTCTCTATCACTTAGGCTGGAGTACAGTGGTGTGATCTCCGCTCACTGCAACCTCTGCCTCCCAGGGTCAAGCAATTCTCCTGTCTCAGCCTCCTGAGTAGCTGGGATTAGAGGCGCCTGCCACTATGCCCAGCTAATTTTTGTATTTTTAGTAGAGAGATGGGTTTCACCATGTTGGCCAGGCTGGTCTCAAACTCCTGACCTCAGGTGATCCACCTGCCTCAGCCTCCCAAAGTGCTGGGATTACAGGTATGAGCCACCGCACCGGGCCTGTTTTTTTTTAATGCATATTAAATGTTATATTTTAATTAAAAATTACATGTAGAGTACTATCATACCTGCTTCAAAATTATTGTTACCTACCTATTGTCTCTCTGTATATATACACAAAGAGACACAATAAATTCTATTTAACAAATATTTACAATATTTCTGTTACGTAGACTTTGGCTTATTTTTTACTTTCTTCTTAGTAACTTTCCATATTTAATTATTTTATGTAAATAATAAATACATTATTCTTTTCAATAAAACCTAAGAGCTGTGATTTTTAAAATATTTTAATGCAAGTATTGGGCATTTGAATGAGTTTGTGTGCAGTGCAATTTAATCCATTAGTAACCTTGCTCCCAAGTTATACTCTATATTGGAACAATCAAGAGCTCAGGTGTAATTACAATCACATCGGGCTCCAAATCCCAGCCCAGTTTAATGAATAAGACCACTACCACAACCACCACGACCACACACACACACACACACACACACACACACACCCTCCTCGCCATTTGGGACTGGTATTCACTCAGTGATTTCTGCAGCCCGAGAAGAAAAAAAATACTGCTCCTTCATTTCTGGGAGGCCTTACATTATTGTTATTTCTCACTGTTACGTTTCTGCTACAACTAACGAAAGGAGAATTCTCTCACTTCTTTCAAAAAATCTTCAATAATCCAACCACCAAGGATTTAGAAGTTCGCCTCATTTTTTCAGGGTCCTTTTGGTAAGGAAACCATTGAGGTTCCCAAGGTCGGCACTATAGGGCCATTTAAATCAAGATACAGTTAGAATACAGGACCTACTAAGAAGCATTAAATTTTCAAGGCCACCCTTACCAGCCTTGAACTATCATTCTGAGACACATTTAATGTACCTTTCCTTCTGCCCAGGAAGAGATACGAAGTCTAGGTATGAATCCTACTCCTGACATTTACTGAGTATGTGACTTGGGCACATGGCTTAACTTCAGTGCATCTTATTTCCTCACCTGTAAAATGGAAATATGTTCTGGAATGGTGAGGATTAAATGAGATAACTGAAAATGACTAGCACAATATCTTACCCCTAACAAGTAGGAATTTATTCAATCTTTCCAGGCCTAACTTTCCTACCTTATCATTCTGAGTTCCTTCCTTACTTTCCTTAAATACCTTAAATACTGTCCTTGCTATTCTATTATTTCCTCTGTTCTACCACTTGTTTTCTTTTCTTTGCTCTCTCTCTTTGTTTATTCCGCTCCCAGATCATCAGGTAGCCTTCTTGTCACACTAATTTCCTAGTGAATTCTAATCCTGAGCTCCTGAGGAACTGACCTATCTGTTACCAACTCCTTCCAACAATTTTCCCAGGAAGTATAGGAAATCCAATAGAAATATAAAACAGGAAGTCTAGATCTGGTATTCTATGGGGCCTGAGATAAATAACTGCATTAAACACCATAAATCATAGTTATCTGCACAAAGTTAAAGGAAAAGCTGCCAATATTTTGATTCTGTTCAAGAGCTAACAAAGAAAAAATAAAATCTGTAAAATATTTGATATAAAATTAATATCAAATCTGAGCTAGTTAACATGGAAATATTAGCAATATAATTAATACATATCTGCAAATAATTAATGACTGATTGATGTGTTTACAATTAATGTAATGCCTGTAGCCCTAGATATTCAGGAGGCTGAGGTGGGAGGACCACTTAAGCTCAGGAGTTCAAGGCTGCAGTGACCTATGATTGAGCCACTGAACCCCAGCTTGAGTGACACAGCAAGATCCTGTCTCTAAAAATATAAATTTTAAAATTAAAAAAAGGAGGAAAAGGTAAAAAAAAATTTAATATAATGCCAGTCTTGATTCCTCATGGTTCACAGGGTATCATCTTCTGCTGCAACTTAAAACAATTGGAAGAAATTTTAGTTACAATGTCTGACCTCTATCCTGGCTCTAACAGTAGCTCTTCTTTGTCACCTGGAATTAGCACTTTAATGTATTTGGCCTTCAATTCCCTCATTTATAAAAGGACGAGATTGAGTTTACAATCCAAATAGACCTTTATGCCCATGAATTCAATAGAATCATTCGTTCTTGCTTCTTATTTGTAAGAATAAAATAATGACAGTGTGTGCTACACAGCATTTCATTAAAGAATCATTGATCCACGTGGCCCTTGCTTGTAATTATTGGGCACGTAATGACAGTCTAGTGTCTCTTCTTATTTCAAAGTATCCACATGATAGCATAAAACATCAACATCAATTACTCCCTGGAAACTCCACCTGCCTTCTTAGTGCTCATTATCCACACCCAAATGAAAATCAATGATATCTGTGAGTAAACATCTGTTTGGTTTATTGCTAATTTCTATCAAAATAGATATAATATATATAAAAGAGAGGTAAAGTAGATAGCTATTTGATATTCAACCTTCTGTCAGAAATTATTCATGCCAATTAACTAGAATGCTGAGGTGTTCCATTTATTTTAAAACATTCATTTGCTAGCCCAGTAGGCTTAGAATGTCAGGAAACATGTTTGTATTTTACTAAGCTCAAGTCAAATTATACTTTTTCCAATCTCTCTAAGAAATGTTATTTAAAGTAACCATTTGTTCACTTGTTCAGTGCTTAATGATTATCTATGACTGTGTTAAGAGTTAATAACACCTAGATGATAAAGACAAATTGTCTGCCCTCTGGAAGCACACGGTTCAGTAAAAGAAGCAGATACATATGCAAATCCTGACAGTTCAATTTGATAACAGATATGTGAACAAAGCAGAATGAGAAGTGTCTGAGTGTCTAGAAATTATTCACGAAGAACTGGCTAGCACAGTGCCTGGCACATTAAGTTGGGGTTTAATAAGAATTTGCTTAATGTTAAATAATTGACTTTTCAGCTGACAGTTTAAAAGACGTGTAGAGATTAAAGACAAGATGGGGAAGGACATGATAAATAGAGAAAACGATTTCTGCAAAAAAGGTTTAATGTTGCACTCTGATATATGCAGTAGTTTAGTGAGACCGATGAGGCCGAAGCCTCAGGCAAGTCTTGACTCCTAGAGGCCTTGTACATCAAGTGAGGATTTTGAGTTTTACCCTGACATATATGGAGATCATATCTGTATTTTAGAAAATGACTCTGGAATAATTTGCAGAAGGAAAAGATGGAATCATTTGTGAACCTGTCAGAAGGATACAATAATAATCTATGCAAAGAAAGCCTGAACTGTGGCCATTTCAGAAAGAAGTGAGGCATATTGGAAACAATTTAGGAGGTGACAATTTATCTATAACAGAATATAAGACAGAGGAAAGTGTCTAGACACATTTTTAGGATACTGTCATGAAAAAGTCAGTTGATAATGACACCATTTGCTGAAAATTTAAGAGGAAATTGCACAAGAAAGTGGCTGTAGAGTATTTGTGTCCCCCCAAATTCATATGTTAAAACCTAATTCCCAATGTGTTGGTATTTGGAGGTGTGGCCCTTTAGGAGGTGATTAGGTCATGAGGATGGAGCCCTCATGAAAAAGATTAGTGCCCTAATAAAAGAGAACCCAGGGAACTTTCCTGCCCCTTCTGACATGTGAGGACAATGAGAAGACAGCCCTCCATCTATGAACCAGGAAGCAGGCCCTCACCAGACACTGAATCTGCAGGCACCTGGATCTTGGAATTCCCAATCTCCAAAACTCTGACGAAAGAAATTAGTGTTTATAAGCTGTCCTGTTTTTAATATTTTGTTGTAGCAGCTTAGGACTAGGACAAAAAGGAAACAAACTAAGATGATATGTTTAGCCTTAAATATTTGTATAGTATCTAGGAGTATATGTTTAGCTGGCCATAGGAAAAACTGATATGAGACAGATTCTATTAAATCTAAAAACTTGAAACCATCATTTTTTCATATAGTGTTTGAAATTGTGGTTATTAGACAGATTACTTAAGAAGAGTACAAAGGAAAAAGGGCAGAGAATAGGACTCTAGAAAAAGTCAATTTATAAGAAAAGGAAATGCTAATGAAACAAAAAAGTATGCAGAGGGAAAGAGGGGTGTGAGAAGAACCAGAAAAGTAGATGTTATTGAAGAGGAGAGACGGAGGTAAGTTTGAAGAAAGAAATTGTCAATAATGCCAAGTTCTGCAAAAGGTCAATTATAATGAGGAGGAAAGCCAGTATTATTTGTTGATTACCCATATAAGCAAGTCAGTAAGCTAGATTCTTTACATAATTTATCTCACTGACAATCTTAAACACCTTGAGTTATGTATTCTTTCACTTATCTTGCACCAGGAAAAGTGGCCTCCAAGAATTGTGACTTTCATAATATGCATGAGAAAGAGAAATCAAACACAAGTTAACCAGTCCTAAGGCCTTTGTTCTTATAAAAATAAAATAAAAAATAAAACACTAAGCTTCCCAGAAAGTTAAAATTTTTATTCACTAGTCTAAAATTCTAAATGGGGATGATAAGCTTTCTGGCTTGGACAGTATAAGGCTAGAAACCAATGATGACTGTGTTTGTTTGCCATGAACAAGAATTTAGACATGCACAAAGAGCAATAATTTGTCTCTGATTGGCCCCACAGTTCCAGGCTTCACATGGGAAACGGGAGGCTCAGGTCTGGGCAAATTATAGCCATTTCTACCATGTGGAATGCAACAATGCCATGGTACCTTCTTCACATACAGACTACTACCACAAGGAAACCAATTATCCACCTCCTCCCTCTCCAGCCACCAGTGAATTTTGTGCACCACTGTCAGATTATATTTTCTAAAATTTGTGCCCCTTCATTTTCCAGGCAACTATAAAACAACGTTATGGTTGTTCACTGTCTCTGGAAGTTCACATTTCAGAGCTAGGTATTCAAGTCTATTCACAATATTTTCTCAGGTTTATCTTCACCTTTATCATACCCATAGATATTCAGTGAAATTGAATGTGTCTCAGATTTATGCAGACATCCTGAGTTTTCACCTCAATGATCACTCAGTTTCCCTGTAGCTTCTTATGTAACTCCTACAAATGCTTCAAAGGCCTCCTAAATAACACTTCCTCCTTAAAACAGTTTTTATTTATTTAAAACTGCTACTTATTAACAAAAATAATTTGCATAATCATTATCCAGGTAACATTAACTAAGCGCTTGAGGTGAATATAATTAATTAGTTACAATCATAATCATTGCTTTAATTGCTATATACATATGTATACATTATGGTTTCTTACAGGAAAACACAGTGAAAACAGTGTATCCTAAATACCCAGTGTTCCCATTCCAAACTATATTTCTACTCTGGTATTAACTGTATTATCTCTAATTAAAATTCATACTGATAATTTAGTTTTGGATTATTAATGTCTTCTTGAATATTTGATTAATGACTCTAAACAAGCATGCTTTCTACATAGCTCTCAGCATTTGGCAGGACTAAAAGATTCCTACTAACAATTGTTTTCCATTTAAACATTAAAGTTCTAAAACATAACGTTTCAAAGGAGTTTCTATTTCTACAAAATTTATTCTGACCCTGGAAAAACTTCCAGCTATACAAAAAACATAATCTTTATGATAGCTTACTTTCTTCATCTTAAGAAAAGTGTGGAGGAAGAGCAGAGTTGCAACAGGCTGCTTACAGGCTATCCAAGTGAAAGGGTTGATATGAAAGTTGGAGATGTAAGTGCAGAACTTGGAAGTGAACGTGAATCGAGATTTAACTAGATGAATCACTCATACTGAAGGATCATTGAAGCCATAAGTCAGTAGGACAATTAGTATGGAAGAAAGTATAAATGCTGAAGGAAAATAAAAATTGTCAATACTTGTGGGAGGGAAGAAGAGAGATGACCCATAGAATAACATGATAAAAAGGAGAAACAATGTAATAGAAGGTCATGGCTGACAAGGGAGGAGTCCTGACTGTAATTAGTACACTATTTTCCCCTTTATCTGCAGTTTTGCTTTCTGCATTTTCAGTTACCCACTGCCAACCACAGTTCAGTACAATAAGTGTGTATAGCACAGTAAGATATTTGGGGAGAGAGAGACTATAATCACATAACTTTTATTATAGTATATTGTTATAATATTTTGATTTTATTATTAGTTATTGTGGTTAACCTCTTATTGTGTCTAATTTATAAGTTAAACTTTATCATAGGTATGATGTATAAAAAATAGTATAGATAAGGTTCACTTCTTTTTGTGGTTTCAGGCATATAATGAATGTCTTGGAACATATCCCTTATAAGTAAGGAGGGATTACTGTATTTCAAGGACTTCAGAGAAGTGCAGAGAATAAAGTCTCATTGTGCAGTCATCAGTGACAGTGGAGAGAGTTTACAGGAGCAGTGGAAGTGGAATCTAGAGCAGCACAGGCGTAAAGCTGAGTGAGTGGAATACAGGTTACTGTTTGAGGAAGATAAGTGGCAAAAAAATTTTTTAAACATAGCTCAAAGGGAATCTAAAGATAGTTTGGGGGCTTTGTTGTTTTGATGTTTTATTTGCTAAATTATGTTTTTGTTTCATTGCTCTTGTTGTTGGGTTGTTGTATATTCCATTTTTGTTTTGATTAAGCTCTATTTATCTCTTTAAATTCCTTTTATTTTCTTCTTAACTTGCACTTGTCCCCACCACTTTCATATTTATAACATCTCCAAGACTCTTCTTGTTAAGGTTGCTATAATTTCCATGCTATGAAATATCAGAAATCACTTCTCTGTCCCTACCATATTTGAAATTTAAACTGCATTTAAAATAATTGATTATTTCCTCCTTCTTTAAATGCTTTCTTTTCTTGGCTTCTATGACTCAACTTTTTCCTGCTTTCCTTCTACCTTCTTCAACAGACTTCTTTCCTGTCTCTTCCTCCTAGGCTTAACCTCCAACTGTTGATAGTACTCCAGATTTGAACATAAATCATCTCACCTCTGTGTTTTCCTTATCTCTGTGAAATCCTGGCTTTAATACCTTCTCTTGGTCAATAACTCTCAAATATGTATTTGTTCTGGACTACTCTCTTGAATGTCAGATTCATATTCAACTGCCTAGTTAACATCTCCACTGACTCTTTAAAAGAAATCTCATTCAAGATATGGCAGCTCCACCAGGTGTTATGTTCCCTGTGGAGCCACTGGGTCCCCCACCACCCCCACTGGAACTCCCAAGCTAGGCTTTGCTTCTTCAGGAAGCTCCAGGTTCTCTAAGACCTTATGACAGTACCTTGATGGAAAAGTTGAAGTCATATTTTCAGGCTTGCTTTGCTTCTCTGGTGAGTCAGAAGTATGTCAATGGCACCAATCAGGAAGAAATTCAAACTGGTGTTGATCAGTGTATCCAGGAGTTTCTGGATATTGCAAGACAGATAGGATGTTTTTTTCTTCAAAAAGATTGCAATTATCTGTCCAGAAACCAGATAATGCTATCAAAGAGGATTTCTTCGAACTAAGGAATGAATTATAGTGGAAAGACATGCTGGTCCAGAAGAACTTGACATAGTTGCGGCATTCATGGCAGGTGCTGGAGGACATCAATGTGCAGCACAGAAAGCTAGCCGACATCCCTCAGGGTTCCTTGGCCTATCTTGAGTAGGCATCTGCCAATATACTTGCACCTCTGAAGCCAACCTGAGCAAAAGGCAAAGCCTGTCAGCATGAGAGTGGCTGGTGTCTGAGACAACTCTATGCAGACACTTTTTGCCACACATCCCTTCTTGTGGACTTGACATTTTGGAAGAACTCTGCCAGAAAATGAGTTGATTTTAGTTTTAGGCTCCCATCTAAAATTTTTTCACTATTTTTATAGCTGTTAATTTCTTGGGTATCTTATAAAAATGTCTGTGGCTTGGGCAACCCAGTAAATTTTTTTATCTTTAGCAAAGTTTTAGAGTATTAGTGTGATATCACTTATACATTATTTTTTATACTTTTTCTACATGTTTTAAATAACTTTTTAATGACTTTTCATCTTTTTATATATGTTCTCAATTGTTACATTAGTCTGATCTGATGTAAAAATTATAATAGCCTGAGGATGAGGACAACGGATACCCAGTGGAATTTGGGAGCCTTTAACTCAGAACCATCCAAGAAAGTGCATTCTTGAAAATCCAGTTTCCAGCCTTGGAATGCAGTGGTGATAGTACTGAGTTGACAACAGACATCTACCATGAATGTAATAGAAAATAACTTATTGCATAATTTTCAATATTATGCACAATGGTAAGATGAGATATGCCTCAAACTTTGTCCCCCTCTCCAACTCATACCTAATTTGAATTTCATTTATGGGTGTAAGCAAAATTAGAACTTTGTCTTGTGTTAAAATGGAAATTTAAAAAGTTTAATAAAATGTCTATGCTACTTTGAATGAATCAATAAGATGTTTTCTTGAGATCAGGTTTTAAAGAAGGGATAAAGAAACAGAAAATATGAAACTTTAGTTTCCTGAGAGGGATCTATACCACAAAATAAAAACAAGAGGAGATAAAAGAAAAACAAGATTTTGGGAAGATGAACTACAGTTTTGCCCAACGGTAGCCTGAATGGAGTACAGGGAAAATTTTGTCCTACTTCCAAGGTAAAACAAATACAATAATTTAAAGGTATCCTTATTACACTGTCACAATAAACTCATAAGTTTAAAAATGGGTCATTTACAGAGAAATTAAGATTTTGTTTTATAATTAAATTTTTAATCCTTGCAGCATAAAGATAAATTTTACATGATGCTCATGCTGTAAAAGATAATTATGTCTCTATCAGACAAATTTGAATTCCACTTTGCTTTTCTTAACGGTTGGTAGGATTTATTGTTTTATTTAGAGAAACTTTAAATTGATTTTTATTGATTTTTAATGGTTCCCTCCTCCTCAAAAATAAAAAGCAGTATGATGTTTCTTTCTCAGTTAACTCATTTACCAGCTATTGATTACTTTGAGTCAATAATCTGGCAAGTGATCATGCAATTGGGAAAGCTGAATTTCTTCATGTGTTTATTAGGAATATGAAAAAACTGCTGCTAGATTGGACTAGCACACACATAAATCAACAATGTTGAAGTCCCTAATTCCTTTCCACTAGTTATTAGAAGAGATCCCCGGATGTACAAAAGAAATTGTAATCCCCAAAGAAGATACCTAGGCAAAATTGCCTAAATGATACAAAAAAGATATGTTGGTAAGGAAAAAGAGAAAAGATTAAGATAAACACCAGAGTTTGCAGAGCAAAATGAGAAGAGCTGAGACTAGTAATCCCCTGTTGATATATGATAGGAAGCACTGGTGCACAGTGCCTTTCAAGATACTGGCACTATGAACTGAATTCATTACAGAACATTATTTACCTGTGCTCTGTCTGTGAAGGTACTATGTCAAAAATAATAATGGAGATAAAAATTTCAATCTTACTGACAGTGCCTAGGGATGATGCCATAAGACTGTGCTGGCAACTTCATCTTAAAGTTCTGTTTTCTATTATTATAAATTTTCTAAAAAAAAATACTTTAGTGCTGTTATTTTTCAACTGGTCTCTTGGTGATATTGTAAGAAAGATTGAGTAAAATCTATTCAACTGTTTTGTGTATTTCATCTAGTAAATATTTATTATTCCATGATATTAATCCATAAACATGTCACAGTATTGTTCCCTGTACTGATCAAAATACATTCCCTGGGATTTAGGATTAGATATATTTTGTAAGCACAATAAATAGTAAATTAAAGTTTTAACACAACAAAAAATGAAAAATAGAAGAGTGGTCAAGAAATATACAGTATAAACATGATAAAGTGTATTAACCTAAGTCACACTCTTAGGTAAAACATCTTTGTTATAAGTATATTTTCACCCCAATTTAATAATGTCACATCAAGAAGACCCCAAAGCCTGCCTAAGGAGCAAGTTTACTTGAATGATTTCTAATGTGTCCCCCAACCTTCCCTAATTGACATCTTACCTAATGTCTAAAATTTAATATTTGAAATTTTCTTTTTCGGACTAAAACACTCAAGTTGGTTGTTGAAAATGGTACAGTAAGCTTTTTCAGACCTTTCTCCTTTAATGTAGAGCATGTATATGATTCCTGAGTATGGAATAAGTGGAGATTTCTCAGAAACAATATTAAATAAGGAAAAGACATGTCTCATAATGATGCCTACAAGTATGATATCATCTAAATAAAGTTTTAAAACACACAGACACACGAACAGCACATGCTGGTTACAGACATATGTAAATGTAATAGCATGTAAAATCAGGAAAAAATACTATTTTTAAAAAGTGAATTTCTCTAAAAAGGAAAGAAAAATACCTATAATGAAGAAATTCAAACAATATAAATAAGACAAATATATTTGAATTTAGTTATCTTTAAATATTCTCTGCTTTAAAATAACAATATATCTGTCTTAAATAATCTACAAGACTTAAGATTCTCTCTTTGCTGTTAATATCAAGGTGTCTTAAGATTTACCTAGTTCTTTCTATAATGTCAAAAATTGCTCTATTTTTCAACAAATATCACTATTGTATTCCATGATACATCTTGTCTTTATTTCGGATATTTAAAAATTCTGAACACTGAGAATTCTGAACACTCAGTACTTGCGTGAGTGTTGAGCACAGAGAGATGCAATCAAATTTCTCATCATTAGTTGACATTCTCTTCTAATGTTTTGAGGAAATGAAAGCCTATCTATAAGCACTGGCTGATGAAAGGGAATTATAGCAAGTATTAGGAGATAATTGTGTAAACCATGAGATGCTTATTAATTATCTGATGATGACTTAATACTAACACATATTAGTCTATTTGTATTTAGAAAAAAAGCAGATATAATAAAAACAGCTGCTAACAAGAAAAAATGTGTTCATTATGAGTTTCAGTAACTTGTAAATGTCTATCTGGCAATCTATTAAAATTATATATGTATAACATACATATATATATAAAATAACAAAAGTATTCAAAATACTTAACCAGTATAACATGGGTTTCAGGCAATTAAAAAAGCAGATTGACCAATCAGAACAGAAGCTGACTATAAACAAAAGGCAAATCACACCCTTCTCTTAAGGGACTAAGAAAAGGTAAAAATAATTATCATTTCCTTACTATATATAGCCCTGCTTTCTCATTTAATAGCAATGCTTCTCAAATTTTGATGTGCATATGAATCAACTAGGAATCTTGGGAAAACGTAGATTCTGATTCATTACATCTGGAGTGGGTTATAAAACACTGTTATCCAAAGTGTGGTCCTCAGACTATTAAAATAGGTGTCATCTGGGAGTTTGTTGGAAACATACAATGTCACGGCCTTTCCCAAACCTACTGAAGAATAATCTACATTTTAATACAATCCCTGAATAATTCATATTTCAAATATTAAAATTAAGAAGCACTGTTCTGACATATAACCTGGTGCTTTTAATTGATCAAAGGCAAATAAGGGAATGGGGAAAATTTTAGAGAATAAGAAAGACTCAAGAAATGTAAATCAAATACAACATATGAAACTTGGTATATGGAGTTTGTTGATAGTAAAGAACTATTGTTAATTCTGTTAAATGTAATAATTGCATGTAATTATGTAGGAAAAATAAAGCAAAATATTAACAATTGCTCAAACTAACCAATGGGTATATGAAGGGTCATACATAAATCTCTCTATTTTGTGTATGTTTGAATTTCCTCATAATAAAACTTAAACAGTCCCCAAAGATTATTAATTAAATATTGCAGCTTCTGTGAGTCAGGAATTCTGACACACAGCAGCTTAGGGTCTCTCATGAGGTTGTAGTCAGATATTGCTGAGACCTGCAATTATGAAAGCTTGACTGGGATGGTAGGATCCACTCATCACATGGCTACATGACTAGAAAGTTGGTGCTGGCAAGTTGGTTCCTCTCCACTTGGGCCTCTCCAGGAACTGTTTGAATGTCCTCATGACCTAGTGGCTGGTTTTCTCCAGAGCAAGTAATCTAAGAGATCAAGGCGGGAATTTTAATGTCTTTTATGATCTAACCTTAAAAATCACATCCCATCTCTTCCATTGTATTCTATTGGTCACTTTCTTTCAGAGTGTTCCAATTACTGCAAAGGAGAATAAATTAGAGAGGAGCAAGATTTGAGGCAAGGACACCAATTTTGATAATTTTTTCTACATTTTTTATCGCACTCAAAGATTTTTGGCAAATTACAGAATTTAAAACTAGAAGAATACTTGTCCATCAGATTGGTGACACAGGGTAATTGCTCTAATAATCTCAAATTTTCATTGGCTTAATACAATAAAAATTTCTTTTTTACTCAGGCAATATCCATCCAGGTCAGCAAAAGCTGCTTTGTGACCCACAGCTTTATAGTCTTCTCGGTTCAGCAAATAGAGGAAGGAAGATATATTTACCTGTGGGAATTTTTAAGGGCCAGGACTGAAAGTGGCGTATGTTACTTATACCAGATGTCGTTGGCCATAATTCAGTCACATGGACACTTCTAAATGCAAAGAGGCTGTATGACCAGGAAGAAGAAGTTCATTTGTTAAACAACTATCCAGTTTATGTCTTAGGAATCTTCTAATCTGTATGTTTTAATTTATAATGGAAGGATATTGGGATCCAGGGAGATAAAGGTCACATAACGAGTGTCAGTCTGGAACGAGAATTTACATAATTTGACTCCCATTTCGGTTATCTTGTCTTTCTATCAAATGGTGACAATTTGTTCTCACTCCTATTCTATGTTCATGATTTCTTGTTTGTTCTTTAATTGAATTTATTTTAAATTCAAATATGATTTTAGTCAATTTGGGCTACTATAACAAAATGCCATAAACTGAGTAGCTTATAAACAGCAAAAATTTATTTCTCAGTGTTTTGAATGTTGGGAAGTTTCAGATCAAGGGGCTAGCAGATTTGATGTCTGGCAAGGGCCCACTTCCTCACTGACAGCTGTCCTCTCACACTAACTACACATAGTGCAAATAACAGACAAACAGAGAGCCAATTCATGAATGAACTCCCATTCACAATTGCTTAAAAGAGAATAAAATACCTAGGAATCCAACTTACAAGGGATGTGAAGGACCTCTTCAAGGAGAACTACAAACCACTGCTCAATGAAAGAAAAGAGGACACAAACAAATGGAAGAACATTCCATGCTCATGGGTAGGAAGAATCAATATCATGAAAATGGCCATACTGTCCAATGTAATTTATAGATTCAATGCCATCCCCATCAAGCTACCAATGACTTTCTTCACAGAACTGGAAAAAACTAAGTTCATATGGAACCAAAAAAGAGCCCGCATCGCCAAGTCAATCCTAAGCCAAAAGAACAAAGCTGGAGGCATCATGCTACCAGACTTCAAACTATACTAGGAGGCTACGGTAACCAAAACAGCATGGTACTGGTACCAAAATAGAGATATAGACCAATGGAACGGAACAGAGCTCTCAGAAATAATGCCGCATATCTACAACTATCTGATCTTTGACAAACCTGACAAAAACAAGCAATGGGGAAAGGATTCCCTATTTAATAAATGGTGCTGGGAAAACTGGCTAGCCATATGTAGAAAGCTGAAACTGGATCCCTTCCTTACACCTTATACAAAAATTAATTCAAGATGGATTAAAGACTTAAATGTTAGACCTAAAACCATAAAAACCCTGGAAGAAAACCTAGGCAATACCATTCAGGACATAGGCATGGGCAAGGACTTCATGTCTAAAACATCAAAAGCAATGGCAACAAAAGACAAAATTGACATATGGGATCTAATTAAACTAAAGAGCTTCTGCAGAGCAAAAGATACCACCATCAGAGTGAACAGGCAACCTAGAGAATGGGAGAAAATTTTCGCAACCTACTCATCTGACAAAGGGCTAATATCCAGAATCTACAATGAACTCAAACAAATTTACAAGAAAAAAACAAACAACCCCATCAAAAAGTGGGCAAAGGACATGAACAGACACTTCTCAAAAGAAGACATTTATGCAGGCAAAAAAACACATGAAAAAATGCTCATCATCACTGGTCATCAGAGAAATGCAAATCAAAACCACAATGAGATACCATCTCACACCAGTTAGAATGGCGATCATTAAAAAGTCAGGAAACAACAGGTGCTGGAGAGGATGTGGAGAAATAGGAACACTTTTACACTGTTGGTGGGACTGTAAACTAGTTCAACCATTGTGGAAGACAGTGTGGCGATTCCTCAGGGTTCTAGAACTAGAAATACCATTTGACCTAGCCATCCCATTACTGGGTATATACCCAAAGGACTGTAAATCATGCTGCTATAAAGACACATGCACACGTATGTTTATTGCGGCACTATTCACAATAGCAAAGACTTGGAACCAACCCAAATGTCCAACAATAATAGACTGGATTAAGAAAATGTGGCACATATACACCATGGAATACTATGCAGCCATAAAAAATGATGAGTTCATGTCCCTTGTAGGGACATGGATGAAGCTGGAAACCATCATTCTCAGCAAACTATCGCAAGGACAAAAAACCAAACACCGCATGTTCTCACTCATAGGTGGGAATTGAACAATGAGAACACATGGACACAGGAAGGGGAACATCACACACTGGGGACTATTGTGGGGTGGGGAGAGGGGGGAGGGATAGCATTGGGAGATATACCTAATGCTAAATGACGAGTTGATAGGTGAAGCACACCAACATGGCACATGTATACATATGTAACAAACCTGCACGTTGTGCACATGTACCCTACAACTCAAAGTACAATAATAATAAAAAAAAGAACATTTTAGGGACAAATGAGTATATTTTTAATTAAATTTCCTGAGTGTGATAATACTGCAATTTTGTAGGGGCATGTCTTTTTTCAAATATGCTGATATATTTAGGGGTAAAGTGTCATAACATCTCCAACTTTCACATAGTTCAGGGGTGGAAGTATTAATATATGTAGATAAAAAGCAGATGTGGGAAAATGATAATAGTTGTTGAATTTAGTTGAAGGGTACATAATTGTTCATTATATAGTTTTTGCTATTTTCTCTGGTTTATAACTTTTCAAAATTAAATTAAAAAAATAAAATTATATTTTAAAAAAAAGAGTGAGGGAGTCTCTCTCAAGTCTCTTTTATAAGGGCACTAGTCCCATTCATGAGAGTTCTGGCTCTACTAGCTAATCACCTCCTAAAGTCCCCGTCTCCTAATACATCACCTTGAGGATGAGGATTTCAACATATGAGGTTTGGGGGAACATAAACATTCAGATAATACCAAATACTAAAATGGATTCAAAGCTGAAAAATAAAAATTAAGCTGTTGCCAAATTATACAACCAAACATTACTTGAAAGTCAAATTTATTAGGGGTTCAGATGGATACCATGTAAACTATAACTTCACAAAACATACAAAGTGTCTTAAACTATTTCCCTTAAATAAGAAGTGATAAATTAATGGTTTTTAATTTTATGTGCAAAGACAATTCAGTCATGAAAAACTTAGCCTTTGGTATTGACTTGTATGCCACTGCTATACATTTTCTTATTTTCTCACAAACATCAGACTTTCTTAATTAAACAAATATATCATCTCTACCTTGTGATTACAATTCAACAATTAAAACCATGGAATTAAAAGAAACAACATTTATTTTAGAGCTTGTAGAGTTGTTTATCTTGCCAAATAACTAGAGAAAAGGGGCTCCCCACAGTTCATATGCTGTTTATGAAGGTAATATTGTATAATTTATCACTAGATAAAACACGACAGGCAAGTTCAAAGAAAGTAATGGCATTTTCACTTTGAGCTTGATGAAGCATATATAACAGCAAAACATTATCCTTGTCTCTATTTCATGGTACGGGAACATGCACTTTCTCTCACCTTAGGCCCCAGTTAACTTTACTGTTAATAACTTCAGTATATACCTAACATTGTTTTTGTTTATTTTCCCACATCACCTATATACATATAAATCTACTTCATATTTTCTTCTACTGCCTTTGCTTAAATATGTATCACTGTGTGGTTTACCATTCTTTCAACTTTTCTTTTGCAGTTCCCATTCTTAGACTTCATAACACATGGTAGATATAGTCTATGTTCTGCTTAAGAAGATTTATCCCCTTCTTTCATATTTAAGATTTTGCCTTGTCCTCATGAAATAAACAGATTTCTACCCTGAATGAAGTTAAATGCTCATAATTCAAAGATAAATTGTCTGTGCTGGCCTACAAATTGACCATGTACACAAAATGTACCTGTTCACAACTCTGATCATCCAGATATATAACTAAAGATGAGTTGATCATAATCTCCAGGAAGTTACAATTTTATATAAAAGCCCTACCCTAAACCCAGCCTTCTGGAGATAACAAAGGCTTTGAAAGTTAAGTCTAACATTTCTCATTATTTCCTGTGACTTGGAGACCAACTCAGTATAATATTTGGGTTTGATTCACCAATACCTTACATTTCAAAAGGCATAATAAATAGCTGAAATTGCCTTGAATTCTGGAAAAGTCCAGAAACATAAATTATAAGGCAAAGGCTATTTAGAAAACTTAGGAGGTAATATGATGAGGGGTAAATAGAGCATATAGATCGGTTCAAATTCAAACAATATCTTAGAAATAAGTAGATTTAATCATCTGAGGAAGAACAATCTTGTATCAAAAATAGAACCAAAGAACAAAGACACTGGCAAATAGATACACTAATTTTATGCTAATTGATGTCTGTAAAAAAAATCTTAAATAGCTTGGAGTTTTTGTTTATTTGTTTTGCACAATTAAGACTACAGAAACAAATTACTATTTCCACATTTGGAAGGAAACAAAGGAGAATTAGAATTACCACTGGGAAAAGACTGCACAGTTCTCAAACAAGATAGCTTAGGACTCCATACCTCTTCCCAAATTATACTGACAAAACAGTACAGAAAAGTAGATTCTAAGTCTAATAGTGGCACAAAATAAGTAGCACTTTGAGTACTATCCAAGAAGTGGTACATAATGTTCCTAGGCTAGAACTGGGGGAGTTGGGGGGACTGGGTCGGGGGGGAACTTATTAAGTCAAAACAGGACAAAAGAAAAACAGAGTGATTTGTATTTGTAAAAATATGTAAATCCAGCTATGATTATTTTGAATATCTCAGGGATGCAGACCTGTCCATTCTGCCACTAACCCAGAAGCCAGTCAGTGTAAATAAATTAGAATTATAGAAGGTTCCCAACCTATGATGATATGATTTATAATTTTTGTCTTTACAATGGTGCAAAAGCAATACACATTTAGTAGAAACCATACTTAGAGTCCACATACAACCAATCTGTTTTTCACTTCCAGTACTTTATTCAATAAATTACATGACATATTACCACTTTATTATAAAATAGGCTTTGTGTTAGGTGGTTTTGCCCAACTATAGGCTAAGTGAGTGTTTTGAGCACATTTAAAGTAGGCTAGGCTAAGCTATGATGTTTGGTAGTTAAGGGATAATAAGTATATTTTCAACTTATGATATTTTCAACTTAAATGCCAGGGTTCATTGGCATGTAACCTGCTCATAAGTCAAGGAACATCTGTATTATGATTCATGTTACTTCTTCTCTGCCCATTGATGTAGGGAGACCCCCTGAAACTATTGTGATGGAATAAAAGATGAAATGCTCCTGATTATTGTAAATACAAAATTGCATGCAGGATTGTGTAAAGACAATGCCAGGTTGGACTGCCAGAACGAGCCAACAGCAAGTGATGTGCTTCCCCCTGCAGAGGGCCTATGAATGGATGTGCAGTCAGGGAGGTTTCACATCACCAAGATTCCTATCCCAGAAGAGCAGATGTTCATAGCTCTGGGAATGGAATGCGACCCTTGTGGAGAGCCTATAAACGGACGCATGGGGGGGTGCCTGTCCATATGGATAAGATAGGGCTATAAACGCTCTCATCTTGCCACGGCTCTTCTAGGCCTCTTTAGGGTTAAGGCATACTCCCTTCTGAGAATTTCTGGTCTAACTGGTTGTCTAGCTTCATGTCCTGTTTCCATGGATTGTTTGTAACCAGCTTTTGTTGCAATTGTTACTGCTGATTAATATCTTGCTAATCATAGGTTATGGAAAGATTGTGTTTCTGTTTTAAGGCTCTGTTAGAAATTACTGATGCACACACTATATTGTAAATCTTTATCTCTGTATACTGTACTTCTACATACAAATGTACTGTACTTCTACATACAAATGTTGTGTTAAAGAATTACTTCATCCCCATGTGACCATCTCACCTCATAATCAAATGACCCTAAATCCCTCACTAACCTACCCCCGCCCTCACTAAACTTAATAATAAATGCTGGTATATCCAGTGCATTGTTGGCACTGCGGGACCAGAAGGCAGTGACCCCCTGGACCCAGCTTTCACTATCTTGTGTGTGTCTATTATTTCTCAACCTGCCGATCCACCTAGGAGCAAAGAGAGCCCCATTGTATTGCGGGCTGCTGGCCAGATCCTGCAATACATTGGTATCTTTACAAATTTCTTAGACTAGGAGTAGGATGCAGTAACTCCCTAAGCCATACTTTGGAGTTGAAAAGGCTTTGTAGCAATCCTTGCAGCCATGGAACTTTTCTTACATTCCTTACAGCTGCCAGGGAAGAATGAGATTGCCTAGATTAAGAAAAGAAAAGAGATGCAGTCAATAAAAGAATATAAAGATAGCTGGGCACAGTGGCTCGCGCCTGTAATCCCAGCACTTTGGGAGGCTGTGGTTGGTGGATCACCTGAGGTCGGGAGTTCGAGATCAGCCTTGCCAACATGGTGAAACCCTGTCTCTACTAAAAATACAAAAATCAGCTGGGCATATTGGCAGGCACCTGTAATCCCAGCTACTTGTAGGGAGGCTGAGGCAGGAGAATTGTTTGAACCCGGGAGGCATAGGTTGCAGTGAGCCAAGATCACACCATTGCACTCCAGTCTGCGTGACAGGGTGAGACTCCGTCTCAAAAACAAAACAAAACAAAAGAATATAAAGATAGAATACAGAAGCCTTAACAAAACTAAGTGCTAGCTAAGAATTGGAGTAGACACTGAGAGAAAGTAATAGCCAACATAACTCAATCAGAAAAACCATAATTTAGATAAACTGTAAATCAGTTTATCTCACATATTATACTTGATTATTGTGTCTATTAATTATAGTCAAGTAAAAATCAGGCAAAAAATCCAACTTTCAGTGCCTGAATCCATGGTAAGTTCATGCACCAGGTGTCTGAAAACATGCTTTTTTTAACCAAGGATGTATTACTAAGTAGCTATGTTAACGTGACAAAAATAGCCATTTGGATCTTAATTTCCTTATCTTGAAAATTGTCATTTTTGTTAGATTACCTCTTTTAACATAAAAATTCTATAACTAGACTAAGATTAAACATATGAGATTTTTATCACCAAAATAAATTTAGGGTTAAGTTCATGAATCCTTAATTCTTAGCCCTACACTTCACTCAGCCCTTAACTTCAGCTAACATTAGACTCTCTGACATCAAAGGCCATGACAACATTATATGCTGCATGTTTTCAGTATTTCTTCCCCATTTTTCTTCCTTCTTGATTGCTTTCTTGCCAAGCTGTCTAACATTGCACATTGATTAACATCTAGCAGTCATTGAAGACTGACTTACTGATCAGCACACAGTAGCCTATGAATCTTTTCAGAATCTATTCTGAATCCCCAGTTTTTGGAAATGGCCAAGGACCACAAGTCTAATATATTCCAAATTAAGAATACAGAAAAAGCAATCTGTTCTCACAGATTAAACGGAGAAAACCAATACATCTCAGATAGCAATTTTATGGTGTTATATACGTTCCTATATAAAATAATTTTTAAATGTTTGTCCTTTTCCATACACACAAACAGATACACACATTCACATTCACAATAACCCACGGAGCTCGCCTACTCTATATTCTCCAGCAAATAGAAGTGCAATCTTCCCTACAGAATCTTTTGAATCTAAAAAAAGACAAAAACATTTCATGGAGAAAAAAGCCTTTAAAGGTGGTTAACAAAAAGTAATTTGTACTTTCCATGCAATCACTTGTAGGTTCCTCAGTATAAATCTATATGAATATATTCAATAATTCTAGAAAACAACATTCATTCCCACTTCCAATTTGTCTACCACTGAATAAAAAGGCTACTGAAAATAAAGGAAATGTTTAAACCATAATTTTAAAAGACAGAAAATGAAGTAACAGAATCTAGTGGATTAATTTTCTATCCCACTGCTATCTTACACAACAATCTTTTCCATTCCCCTGAAAATACGTAGAAAGCATTTCTATGTAAAGCACACATGAAAAAGGGACATGAAGGCAAAATGTTACTTCAGTTAGCAGTTACTGAGAGTAACTTAATAAATAAATGGCTAAGAATTTTGTTATAATCACACAAAATAGCTCAGATCTCCTTATATTAAAGCATAGTATGTGATAACTCCCAAACATCTCATTTGGAGAATAAGCAGATAATAACCAAATAAAAAGTCACATTACTGTATTATCCTCTCTTTTAGAAAATTTCAGAGCATCAAACATTCTGGCTGGATTGATTGTTTTATAATTCTTCAACAAAGCAATTTTCCTTTGCTCCAATTCCTACTCCTGGGTTGAGATCTCTCAATGACCCTTAAACATGTACCTTCCTATATGTAAACACACACAGCCAAATGCAAAGTTTCAGAACAAATATTTATTCAAATGTATAGGTATACTCAAGGTATATATTTGAGTAAATATATATATATATTTTTTTCTTTTCTGAGACGGAGTCTCACTCTGTTGCCTAGGCTGGAGTGCAGTGGTATGATCACGGTTCACTGCAACCTCCGCTTCCCGAGTTCAAGCCATTCTCCTGCCTCGACCTCCCAAGTAGCCAGGATTACAGGTGTGTGCAAGCCATCCTCCTGCCTCAACCTCCCAAGTAGCCAGGATTACAGGCGTGTGCCACCACACGTGGCTAATTTTTTGTATTTTTAGTAGAGATGGGGTTTCACCATGTTGGCCAGGCTGGTCTCGAACTCCCGACCTCAAGCGATCTGTCTGCCTTGGTCTCCCAAAGTGCTGGGATTACAGGTCTGAGCCACCGCGCCTGGCCTGAGTAAATATTCTGAATGAAATATTTGTTATTTCATGCTTAGGAATTTATTTCTAGGAAAAAGTTATTATATACATTTTATATGTCTTAAAGGAGCGGGATGTTCCACAAAGATAGTGGGCCAGATATTGAATCTGCAACAAATATAAAATCAATTCAACTGGATTTCTGCCAGTAACAACACAGTAAGATCTCACCAGACCAACTAATGCAGAGAAAGAAAAAACCCTAAAGTATCTGAATACAATCCAAAAACAGCTACCTGAATGTATTTGTGCATTTGTTATCCCCGATATGTAAAATCAGTTTCTTCAAGGAATAGTACTCATTTTTTCCTTATGCCCTGAATTATTTAGTTTACTATAGTGTTTTTCCCATAATAATTGTTCAATATATTTATTTGTTAAACTGAATACTCTGAGCTCAATAAGGTTGATTAACTGTAACTGACTTTAGCAGAGGTACTGAAATGACTCTTGCCCTGGCCAGATCCTACACACTGGTTATATAAAAGTGTACTTCAAAAGATACAGGTCTGTAGGCATGGTCTGACACGTTACAGTGGACAAGAAAATAGCTGAATCACCTTTCCCAGAATTCTCTCTTTCATCATAAATGTAGCAACACTTACTACGAAGTGGGTTATCTCCTCACAGTGTTTAAGATTCTTCTTGCTCGGGGCCAGATGCAAGATAATAGGTCAGTCCCTACTACACAGACATAACAGGAATGTTTTCAGGGCATTATTTGCTGTGTCAATGAGTACCTTTGAGGTCTATGGGAAAAAATTATCTTAGGTTTAAATACAAGAAATAAAAAAAGTACTTTATGAAGCTATAGGAAAGTTCAAAAGAGATCATGTACATTGAAGTATTTAGCACACTGTCCAGCCCATGATCAGTATATAAGTGGTATCATTACTATTATTACTATTATCCAAAACGACTGCCTTATTCATAGTTATAAATGCACAGTTCATATAACTTATTTGTTCACAGCTACTAGAAAATGAAAAAGTAATACTTATCCCAGACATTTATTGACTTCCTATAATGTCCCAGGATCCTGCCTTTTTGATAGAATTATTTTACATAATTTTGGTAATATGTTGCCAATACCTTATGATCCCCAGAGAGAAAATAATTTTAGTAAACTTGTGCCCCTAGATGATATAGTTTGAGCCTGGGAGAACACACTCTTAATAGCAATTGAAGTAATACATCAGTCATTCATCATGGATCAATGCTAACAGTTTATGCTTTTTTGTGACTGTTTTGTTTCTGTTTCTTGTGTGCTTGTTTTCATGGTTGGATGATTTTATAGTTAAGATATCATGAAGTAAGAGGAGTTCTAGTGAAGGCACAAAGAATATATATCTAAAAATAGTCAGTGCAGTGAAATTAACCCAATTCAACCAGGACAATGTCTTCCTTTGGCTGGTTACTGTAAAATCAGCAAAATGTGATAAAGGAGTAAACCGAGAATAAAGTCCCTGCTGTTAATATTCAGAGTGCTTTAGGATAAAAACAAAACCATTGGGGGTAATAAACAGATAATACCAAATCAAAGGAGCATGGATAAGGTAATAAATACATAAGGTAGAAGC
This sequence comes from Homo sapiens, assembly GCF_000001405.40. Lineage (NCBI taxonomy): Eukaryota > Metazoa > Chordata > Mammalia > Primates > Hominidae > Homo > Homo sapiens. The sequence continues at coordinate 186,380,277 of NC_000002.12, forward strand.
AATTTGGGAACTGGGCAGATAGACTGCATGATAGAGTAGGCCACTGAGGAGCAAATGTTTACCTAAGAATGCAAATGACTTTAAGACCTCAGAGGACAGAGACATAAATGTTCAATTTATTTCAGTAAACATATATTGCCACTGTTGTAGATAATAATGCATCTATGGAGAAAATAAAACAAAAACAAAGCAAAAATCCTAACAAATGTACATGTATGAATATCCCTTAATAAGTGCAGCGGCAAGTGAACTGAAAGCTAAAATGCCCAATTCAATTACCATCATTACTGCTGTCAAAGCATACAAACAAATATGTTACCAATAGGAATGTGTTCTTTTTTCCTTTGGATACACTGGGTATAACATCCTGCATGTGAACAAAATCACCAAATTATTCAGGATAATAGCATTAACTAGGTTCTGGGTATCACCCAAGGCTGAAAGAAATTGTGTCATTAACAAAACATAATCTAACAGGTAAAGGAAAAGATGCTCAATATCTAACTTAATCAAAAACCACAATGAGATGTTACTTCACACCTAGTAAAATCATTATTGTCAAAAAACCAAAAACCCTAAGAGATATCATGTGTTGACCTAGATGTGGAGAAATTGGAACCCTTGTATACTGTTTGTGAAAATGTAAAATAGTACTGTGGAAATTAACATGGATATTCCTCAACAAATTTAAAAAAGAACTACTATATGATCCAGCAACTCCATTTATTGGCATGCATCCAAAATAATTGAAATCAGGATTTCAAAGAGATAGCTGCACTCCCTTCGTCATTGTACCATTATTCACAATAGTCGAGATATGGAAATAACTTAAATATGCATTAATGGACAAATGGATAAAGAAAATGTGTTTTATACATAAAATGAAATAATATTCAGCCTTAAAAATGAAGGAAATCCTGCCATAGGTGCCAAGGTAAGTTAACTTGGAGGACATTATACCAAGTAAAATAAACCGGTTACAGAACAAATACTATGTGATTCTGCGTTTATCTAAAATAGTCAAACTCATAGAAACAGAGTAGAATGGTGGTTGTCAGGGACATAAAATTTACTAGAAAAAAATTTGCCATAGAACAGATAAAAAACAAACAAATATTTCCTTATAAATTAAAAAACAAAGAAATCTCCTTTATGAAATAAGAATGCAAAAGAGAAATACAAGATTTCAGGAAAGAGAAAAACAGCAGGAGGATATAAAATATAAAATGATGGAACTCAGAAAATAACAGAATTTTACAAGAATCACCAACATGAAGATGAAACTGGGTGAGTTAAGGGTCTTCAGAATGTACAACAAAGTACATAGAAAACAAAAATAGTAAATTACATAAAAAACAAAAAAAAGATTTTTTAGAAGACTTTAAAATGCAAGGAGTAGAAGAACTTTTTTTTTTCTTTTTTTTTGAGACAGAGTCTCCCTCTGTCGCCCAAGCGGGAGTGCGGTGGTGCAATCTCGGCTCACTGCAACCTCCGTCTTCCGGGTTCAAGCAATTGTCCTGCCTCGGCCTCCCGAGTAGCTGGGAATACAAGCGCATGCCTCCACGCCTGGCTAATTTTTTTGTGTTTTAGTAGAGGGGTTTTCACGGTGTTGCCAAGGCTGGTATGAGACCCCTGAGCTCAGGCAATCCTCCCGCCTTGGCCTTCCAAAGTGCTAGGATTACAGGCGTGAGCCACCGCGCCCGGCCACAACTATTTAATTCAGGAAATTTACTCTGAACAAAAAGAAGACTTTTTAACAACACTTGCCATGCATCAGAGAACATGGTCCCAGAAGAGTCAGCAAAAGACATATCCTAATGAAATTCTGAACTGCAAAGATGAAGAAAAAATTCTGTAATAAATCAGTCGAAAAAAATAGGTCAACTATAATGGGGGAGGGTGAAAATTACACTTACATTGGATTTCTTCACAACAATCACCAGTGCCAAAAGATAATGGTGCAACATTTTATAAGATGAATTTTATATTCATCTAAATGATTCTCTAAGTATGAAAACTGAAGAAAAACAGTTTTAAACATTCAGGAACTCCAAAATATTGTTTCCGTGCATTTTTCTTGAAGAAAATTCTGGAGCTCAAACTTCAACTAAACCAGACATGACAGAAAATTGTGGTAAAAGGTTTGGTAGTGGGAGCTGAATATATTGGACAGAAAAATTAAAAGCAAAACAAATATGGGGATCAGAAGAAAATATCAGATGTAAAATCGATACACTCTGAAAATGCAGAAAAAAAACAGTATAACCACCATAAAAGTGAGAAATGGAAAGGATAGAGGAAATGCAAACATATATATTGCCTTGCCTATAATACATTTGCTATGAAGTTAAAGAACATCATTTAAAGCTGAGGAAAATCATGTATATTTAATATTACAAAGGTAAACATTAAGAAGATAATACTGTTTGTTAAAATCATGCGGTAGAGGAGACAGGAAGAACAGAAAGTAAGAGGAAATCTCTTATTTTAAAACCCCTTATAGTAGTAAAGAGATATTATCTGAAGAAATAAGAGAGTAATATGTTACATAAAATTCCAAATCCAAAAGAAATCACTAGAAAAAAATGTAAATATTCCTAAGTATTAAAATAACCATACACTCTTTTAGAAAAAAGCAAGTAGGCAAGATATTGGTATACAATTTTCCATGGGTCTTTTGTTTCACGTGTTTCTGCATGTCCTCCAAGAAAAAGCATTGACTGACCTTGCTCCAGACTACATTTTCATGGATGTTTGCATAGCAAACAACCTTGGAAAATAAAAATAATGTCTCCTTTCATATCAAAAGGAATGTTTGCTTACTCTCTACCACAGTAAACATAATGTCTCCCTCCAGCTCAAAAGTCAGACAGGAATTATGAAAGATTCAGGTCCCCAAAGTTCAGGATTCCTTGCCTGTCATGCATTCTGCCATGTGTGCAGGTATCATCTGGCTCCCTTGGTATCACACTCTGGGAATTGAGCATCACACAGCTGGCACAAATGTTGATACTCTAGTTACTATTATTGCTGTGAGTAATAAACTCTCTTTTGTCTTTGACTAAGGATTCTCATGTGTTTTGCCAGTATCTATGAAACTGTGGCAGGCTACATTGTTAGCTTGCATGGAAAATAAAATCTCGACTCTTAATAGTTCTTTAGACCATTACATGCAAAAGGAAAATTATTAGAAAAACTATTAATAGGGAAGACACAATAAAGTAATGTGACAAATCTAAGACCAAATAAATCAGTAATATTAATAAACATAAAATGGTAGACACATCTATTAAAAAAGATGTTTATATTGGATATAAAAGCAAAACCAACTATGGCACATTGAATATTTGTCATCAATTCTAGCCTCCTTACCTGAATTAAATTATACATCCGTATTTCAGTCATGTGTTTTTGTAACATCTCCCACAAAAAAGAGTATATTTTCCCGTCTTGTTGATGTTGGCTTTGTCATGTTACTCGTTTTGGCCAAGACAATGTTAGTGAATATGAAATAAACAGAGGCATTAAAAACATGCTGTGTAGTTCGGCTTGTCCTCATCTGCTCTTGTGATTTATTAGAAGAAAATGTCCCAGGTATCGGCTGATACAAAAGGAGAATTAGAAAACAATTGGAACAGATCTGAACCTAATTCAGGTTCTAGGTTGTGAACTTAGAACGAAGCCCTTCTGGTCCCACTTAGCACTAGAGAACTGCAAGTGACAGTCTTGAGAGCAAGAAAAATAATGTTTGCTGTTATAAATTCTGAGATCTGTGAGAAAAACAAGAACTACTCAATAAATTGGGAATAATTGTGTAGCTACCTGAAAAAAAATTAGATTCTTACCTCATAACATTCATCAGTATACATTCCAAATGGATCAATCTTTACAAAAAAAAAAAACTAGACAGCTTAGGAGAAATTACTTATAACGTCGGAATTGAAGACTGTTAAACTATATTTTAATTTTAAAACCATAAAAGAAATGATCAGTATATTTAGCTACAAAAAACAACCCTAAATATCAAAACAATCATAAGCAAAGTTAAAAGAAAAATGATAATCTGGAAAAAGATTTACAACTACCAGAGACAGAAAACTCTTTCCTAGTAACTAAAATTTTCCTCTCAATTGATTGGTAAAAGATCAACCAATACAAAAACAGCCAAAGGATAAGAATTGCAAGTTCATAGAAAAAGAAACACAAGTGGCTCTTAAATATTTGTTTTGCCTCTTTCACTATGAGAGAAATACAAACAATACTTGGATGCATTTTTCATCTATCAGAATAACAAAACTCAAAAATTTGATAATCCAGTGTCAAACATAGGATTTGTATAACAAAGAAAAGAAAAACAATATAATTGTATACTTGAAAACTGCTAAGAGAGTAGATCTCAAAAGTTCTCACCACATGCACACAAAATGATAACTATGTGAGGTGATGGATATGTTAATTAGCTTAATTGTGGTAATCATTTCATACTGTATATATGAAAACATCACATTGTACAAGCTACATTTATACAATTTTATTTCTCAGTTATACCTCAATAAAGCTGGAAAAAATAAATAAAATTTTAAAAAGAAAAAATGCATATATTTACCTTGGATTGCATGTGCATAGAAATTACCTGGACAATAAATGGAAAATAAGAGTGGTTACCTATTGTGAGAATGAGAAGTGAGGGATGGAGGACAGAGATAAAAGAGATGTGTATTAGTCTGTTTTCACACTGCTATAAAGAAATACCTGAGGTTGGGTAATTTAAAAAGAAAAGAGTTTTAATTGACTCACAGACTGCATGGCTGGGGAGGTCCCAGGAAACATAATCATGGCAGAAGGCAAAGGGAAAGCAAAGCACGTCTTATGTGGGGGCAGGTGAGAGCGTGAAAGGCCAGGGAAACTGTCACTTATAAAATCATCAGATCTCGTGAGAACTTATGCACTGTCACAAGAACAGCATCTGGGGGGAGCCACCCCCATGATCTAATCACCTCCCACCAGATACCTCCTTTGACATGTGAGAATTACAAGAGTTGAGCCAAACCATATTATTCCATCCCTGACCACTCCCAAATCCCATGTCCTTTTCACATTCAAAACTATTCATGCCTTCCCAACAGTCCCCCAAAGTCTTAACTCATTCCAGCATTAATCCAAAACGCCAAGTCCAAAGTGTCACCTGAGACAAGTCAAGTTCCTTCCACCTATGAGCCTCTAAAATCAAAAACAAGTTAGTTACTTCCAAGATATAATGAGGACACATGCATTGGGTAAATGTTCCCATTCCAAATGGGAGAAATTGGCCGAAACAAAGGGGACAGAAGCCACATGCAAGTCTGAAACCCAGCAAGGCACTCATTAAATCTTAAAGTTCCAAAATAATCTCCTTTGACTCCATGTCTCACATCCAGGGCATGCTGATGCAAGATGTGGGCTCCCACAGCCTTGGACAGCTCTGTCCCTCTGGTTCTACAGGGTACAGTCCCTGTGGCTGCTTTCCCAGGCTGGCAATGAGTGCCTGCAGATTTTCCAGGCGCACGGTGCAAGCCATTGTTGGATCTAAATTTCTGGGGTCTGGAGGACGGTGGCCCTCTTCTCACAACTCCACTAGGCAGTGCCCCAGTGGGGACTCTGTGTGGAGGCTCCAATCCAACATTTCCCTTCTGCACTGCCCTAGCAGAGGTTCTTCATGAGGGCTCTGCCCCTGCAGCAGACTTCTGCCTGGACATCCAGGGATTTCTACACATCCTCATCCTCTGAAATTTAGGCAGAGGTTCCCAAAGCTCAATTCTTGTCCTCTGCACACCTGCAGACCCAACACCACAAGGAAGGCACCAAGGCTTGGGGCTTGCCCCCTCGGAAGTCATGGCCCAAGATGTACCTTGGTGTCTTTTAGTCATGGCTGGAGCTGGAGTGCCTGGGAAGCAGTCTCAAGACTGCATAGAGCACCAAGGCCCTGGACCCAGCCCACAGAAACATTTTTCCTCCTAGGCCTCTGGGACTGTGATGGGAGGGGCTGCTGTGAAGGTCTCTAACATGCCCTGGGGACATTTTCCCCATTGTCTTGGCTTTCAATAGTCAGTTCATTACTCATGCAAATTTGTGTAGCTAGCTTGAATTCCTCCCCAGAAAAATGGTTTTCCTTTTCCACTACATAGTCAGGCTGCAAATTTTCTGAACTTTTATGCTCTGCTTCCCTTTTAAACATAAGTTCCAATATCAAACCACCTCTTTGTGAGCACATATAACTGAACGCTTTCAGAATTATCCAGGTCACCTCTTGAATGCTTTGCTGCTTAGAAATTTCTTCCACCAGATACACTACATCATCTCTCTCAAGTTAAAAGTTCCACAAATCTCTAGGGCAGAAATAAAATCCTGCCAGCCTCTTTGCTAAAGCCTAGCAAGAGTCACCTTTGCTCCAGTTCCCAGAAAGTTCCTCATCTCCATATGAGAACACCTCAGCCTGGACTTCATTGGCCACATCACTATCAGCATTTTGGTCAAATGATTCAACAAGTCTCTAGGAAGCTCCAAACTTTTGGACATCTTTCCATCTTCTTCTGAGCCCTCCAATTGTTCCAAACTCTCCCTGTTACCCAGTACCAAAGTTGCCTCTGCGTTTTCAGTTTATCTTTATTACAGTGTCCCACTACATCAGTATTAATTCTCTTTTCACACTGCTATAAAGAAATACCTGAGACTGGGTAATTTATTAAAAAAAGAGGTTAATTGATTCACAGTTTCCCATGACTAGGGAGGCCTCAGGAAACTTACAATCATGGAGGAAGGCAAAGGGGAATCAAGACACATCTTCCATGGCAGCAGGCGATAGAGTGGGCATGAAGGCCAAACTGCCACTTATAAAACCATCAGATCTCATGTGAACTCCCTCACTATCATGAGAACAGCATGGGGGAAACCACTCCCGTGATCTAATCACCTCCCACCAGAACCCTCCCTCAACACATGGGGATTACAATTTGAGATGAGATTTGGATGGGGATGCAGAGGCAAACCATATCAAGATGCTTACTCAATATCTTTTAATATTTTTTGATGTTTGAACCAAAACACTGTGTTATCAATTCAGATGCATGCTATGACATGGATTATCTTTGAAGACATTATGCTAAGTGAAATAAGCCAGTCACAAAAAGACAAACACTGCATGATTCCACTTGTATGAGGCACCTAGAATAGTCAAATTCATAAGAGACTGAAAGTAGAATGATGGCCACCATGGGTTAAGGGGGAACAACAAATGGGGTGTTGTTTAATGGCTTACAGAGTTTCATTTTCAAAAGATGAAAAAGTTCTAGATATCTGTTGCACACAGTGTAAATATAGTTAACACTACTGTTAAGTACTATTAAGGTTAACAGTACACTTAAAAACTTACATTTTAAGTGTACTGTTAACTAAAAACTATAAGTGCACACTTAAAAATGGTTAGTCATGATGGTAAAATTTATGTTATGCATATGTTACCACAATCTTTTAAAAAGACTTTATGACTGTATTATCTATTTTTAAAAAATAATTTAAAAAATGAATGCAGAATCACACTTTGCTACGACACTTCCAAATCACTAAATCTCATTCCCTGTATAGCATATTCTATGCATAGTTTTAATTTCCAAGATTTCTACCCAATTCTTTTTAATATTCACACTTTGTTTCACAATTTATTTTTAATGGAGGATTTTCCCTCATTTGTCATTTAAAGATTCCAAATCTACATAAACAACAAACTTTTTAAAATTAATTTTATCTAAATGATTTAATGATTTCATTGTTAGTTTTGTTGGCTCTCCTAGCATTAGCTTTCTTTCTGTATTACAGAAGTTGGTTAATGGACTCATTTGTGTAGGAGGATTTTGTTTTGTTTTCTTTTGTTTTTGTATACCTTTTTCTTTCTTGCTCTACCTTTCTGCTCATTCTTCCCTGACCAGTGATTTTGTAGTTGCCTCCACCTAACTTTAAGCTGTACAAAATCAAGTCTTATGAAATATAGTTTAAAATGCTTGTCCCTCAGTGATATTGAGGATATTGAAGATTCTCAATAAACAAAATGAGATGTAATGCAATGATATATTTGAAATGAGTTCCTTTGTCTTTCTACCTCCTTAAATCCAGAGCACCATGTGAACCCTTTCCAGGACATTTTTTCAGCTTCCTTTTATAACTCTCTGAACTCCACCCCAGATACTGAGTCTTATCTGATCTCAGTAAATTCGAGGAACAATTTTAGACCCTATTACTCTTTAGGAACAAAATTTCCAGTCCGTATTATTTTATAGCCACAAATCCAATACCTTCTAGCTCTAGTCCCACTCACTGCTTTATATTTCTGCTCAAATTCTGGTCTACTAAACAATTATACTGTTTACGAGGCAAAAAGTGATTCTGAGTTTCTCCTTTAATATTTTATCTATAAATGATTAAATTGATATAGAGAGGTTACATCAAAACCAACTTTTTGAATAATATTTACCGGGATTCAGGTGAAAATATTAGGAAGTTCAAAGAAACCAAAAAAAAAATTATATGAAAATAAACTGAATTTAAAATAAGATGTAGAGAACATGTAGATATAATAGAAGGATAAGAGCAAAAAGGAAATAATATGCAACTCTGTAGACAATAAAATTCTCAATAGTTTTCGCATTGAGGCTACAATTTTGGTATGCATTTTCTTGCTGTCAAAGCAAAAAGGTAAATAAAATCAGTCAAATTAGCCAGATATGGTGGCTTGCACATGTACTCCCAGCTACTTGGGAGGCTGAGGCAGAAGGATCCCTTGAGCCCAAGATTTCAAGGCTACAGTAAACTATGATTATGCCACTGTACCCCAACCTGGGTGACAGAGTAAGAGCCTGTCTTAAAATAAATAAGTAGATAAATAAAACCCTTCACAAATTTTACATTAACTATCCTAAATATGTATTCACCCAATATTAGAGCACTCATATTCATTAAACAAGTTCTGGAAATCAGAAGAGATGTAGATGACCACGTAATATAATAATAATGGGAGACTTCAACACCCCACTGACAGTGTCAGATATCATTGAGGCAGAAAACAACAAAGATGTTTGGGACCTAAACTCAACACTTGACCAAATGGACCTAACATACATCTACAAAATACTCTACCCAACAACAGAATATACATGTTCTCATCTCTACATGCCACATACTCTGAGATTAACCACACACTTGGCCATAAAGCAATTATCAACAAATTCAAAAACAACACAATCATACCAACCATATTCTTGGACCACAGCACAATGAAAATTAGAAATCAATACAAATAAGATCTCTCAAAACCATATGCTTACATAGAAATTAAACAATCTGCTCCTGAATGACTTTTGGACAAAGAATGAAATCAAGGCAGAAGTTTTTAAAAAAATGAAACTAATGAAAATGAACACACAACATACCAGAATGTCTGGGACACAGCAAAAGAAGTGTTAAGAGGCAAGTTTATAGTGCTAAATTCCCACATTAAGAAGTTAGAAATATCTCAAATTAATAACCTAACATCACACCTAGAGGTACTAGACAAAGAAGGGCAAACCAACCCCAAAGCTAGCAGAAGACAAGAAATAACTAAAATCAGAGACTAACTGAATGAAATTGAGACGCAAGATTCCATACAAAAGATAAATGAAACAAAAAATTGGCTCTTCAAAAATTAAACAATATTGATAGACTGCTAGCTAGATTAAGAAAGAAAAAAGAGAGAAGATTCAAATAAACACAATCAGAAATGACAAAGGTGACATTACCACCACCATCACAGAAATACCAAAAAACAAAAACAAAAAACTCTCAGAGACCATTATGAACAACTGTATGCACACAAACTAGAAAACCTAGAAGAAATGAATAAATTCCTGGAAACATACAAACTCCTAAGACAGAACCAAAAATAAATTAAAATCCAGAAAAGACCAATAATGAGTTCTGAAATTGAATCAGTAATTTTAAAAATCCACCAACCAGAAAAAGTACTGGACCAGGTGGATTTACAGCTGAATTCCACCAGACTTACAAAGAGCTGGTACAAATCCTACTGAAATTATTCCAAAAATCAAGGAGAAGGGACTTCTCCCTAACTCGTTCTATGAGGCCAGCATCATCTTGATACCAAAATATATTTGAGACACAATAAAAAAAGAAAACTTCAGGCTAATATCCCCAATGAAAAGAGACTAAAAATTCCTCAACAAAATACTAGCAAATCAAATCCAGCAGCACATCAAAAAGCTAGTCCACCATAATCAAGTAGGCTTTATTCTTGGGATGCAAGGTTGGTTCAATATACACAAATCAATAAATGTGATTCATCACAAAAACATAACTAAAAGCAAAAACCACATGATTATCTCAAAAGACACAGAAAAAGCCTTTGATAAAATTCAGCATCTCCTCATGTTAAAACCCTCATGTCAACCTTCAATGTCAACAAACTTGTCGTCAAAGAGGCATACCTCAAAATAATAAGAGCCATCTATGACATACCCACAGCCAACATCATACTGAACAGGCAAAAGCTGAAAGCGTTCCTCCTTTCGATGACCAGAACAAGGATGCCCACTCTCACCACTCCCATTCGACATAGTACTGGAAGTCCTAGCCACGGCAATCAAGCAAGATAAAGAAAAAAAAGACATCCATATTAAAAGGAAGGAACTCGAACTATCTCTGTTTGCAGACAATATGATTTTATATCTAGAAAACCCCATAGTCTCTTCCCAAAGCCTCCTAGAACTGACAAACAACTTCAGTAAAGTTTCAGGATACAAAATCAATGTACAAAAATCAGTAGCATTTCTATACACCAGTGATGTCCAAGCTAAGAGCCAAAGCAAGAAGCAATCCTATTCACAATAGCCACAAAAGAATAAAATACCTAGGAATATATCTAACCAGGGAGGTGAAATATCTCTGCAATGAGAATTACAAAACACTTCTCAAAGAAATCAGAGATGACACAAACAAATGGAGAAAACATTCCATGCTCATAGATAGGAAGAATCAATATTGTTAATGTGGCCATACTGCCCAAAGCAATTTAGAGATTAAATATTATACTTATCAAACTACCAACATCATTTTTCACAGACTTAGAAAAAACTATGCTAAAATTCATATGGAACCAAAACAGAGTCCAAATAAACAAAGCCATCTTAAGTACAATGAGCAAGGCCAGATGTATCATACTACCTGATTTCAAACTATACCACAAGGATACAGTAACCAAAACAACATGTTACTCATACAAAAACAGACACATAGACTGAAGGAACAAGTTAGAGAACACAGAAATAAAGCTGCACACCTAAAACCATCTGATCTTCAACAAAGTTTACAAAAACAAGCAATGCGGAAAGAACTCCCTATTTAATAAATGGTGCTGGAATAACTGGCTAGCCATATGCAGAAGATTGAAACTGGACTCCTTCCTTTCACCATATACAAAAATTAACTCAAATGAATTAAAGACTTAAATGTAAAACATAAAACTATAAAAACACTAGAAAAAAACCTAGGAAATATCATTCCGTACACAGGCTTTGGCAAAGATTTCACGATGAAGTCCCCAAAGGCAATGGCAACCAAAACAAAAATAGAAGAGTGAGACTTAATTAAACTAGAGATCTTTTGCACAGAAAAACAAAACAAAACAAAAAAACATTAACAGAGTAAACAGAGAACCTACAGAATGGGAAAAAATATTTGCAAACTATGCATCCAACAAAGGTCAAATATTCAGAATCTACAAGGAACTTAAATCAACATGCAAAAAACAAACAACCTCATTAAAAAATGTGCAAAGTAGTTGAACAGACACTTCTCAAAAGAAGCCATTCATGTGGCCAATGAGCATATGAAAAAAATGCTCATCACTAATTATTAGACAAATGCAAAGCAAAACCAAAATGAGATACCATCTCATACCAGTCAAAACGTCTATTACTAAAAAGTCAAAAAAAATGACAGATATTGGCAAGATTGTGGAGAAAAGGAACACTTATACGCTGATGGTGGGAATGTAAATTAGTTCAGCCACTGTGGAAAGCACTTTAGAGATTTCTCAAAGAACTTAAAACAACTACCATTTGACTCAGCAATCCCATTACTAGCTTTATACTCAAAGAAATATAAATCATTCTACCACAAAGGCACCTGCACTTGTGTGTTCATTGCAACACTATTCACAATAGCAAAGGCAAAAAGCCAACCTAGTTGCCAGTCAACAGTAGACTGGATTTTAAAAATCTTTGGTACATAAATGCCATGGAATGCCATGCAGTCATAAAAAATGAAACCATGTTCTTCGCAGCAATATGGATACAGCTGGAGGCCCTTATCCTAAGGAAATTAACCCAGGTACAGAAAACCAAATACCACATGTTCTAACTTATAAGTGGGAGTCAAACACTGAGTACACATGGACACAACTATGGGAACAATAGGCACCAGGGCCTACTTGAAGGGGAAGGATGGAAGGAGGGGAGGGTCAAAAAACTACCTCTCAGGTACTAAACTCACTACCTGAGTGATGAAGTCATTGTACACCAAACCTCAGTAACACGCAATTTACCCATATAACAAACCTGCACATGTACCCCGAGCCTAAAATAAAAGTTGAAAAAATAAAAGAAAATAATGTGGTTTACAATTCTTTACCTTCAACAGTATTAAGGGGGAAACTCAGTAATTGTTTATGATAATTATATAAAGTTTTTTATGATAAATCACTCATTATTTTGGCTTATACCAGAAAAATTCAAAAACTTGATTGTCATTGCTATAATAAAATTCATTTAATTTACAAAAAACAACACAAATGTTAGGTCGTTAAGAAAAAAAGAACATAGCTATGCTTCCATAGAATAACTTCTCCTGACACTTAAACTGAGATGAAGTTTTGTCTTCATATAGAGATCACTGAATATGGGAAAGGTTAATTTCTTCAAGAACATTTCTAAGGAAATGCAGTGATAGATATACAGGAAGGAATTTTATTGTAGTTTTTAGTATATCTGAGAGTATGACATCCAAGTATTAATTTCGTAAAGACAATTCTGTTGAAGAGTGTTGTCTAAATACACAAATTTCTGATGATCTTGCTCCGTAATAGAGATAAGATCTAGAATATCTGGCAAAATTATTGAATTCAGGATGTTAAGACCATCTTTATGTTTTGCACTTTTTTTTCAACCATCCTTTTGGCATAAAAAAACTGACAGGTAAAATGTTTAATATGGCAATCTGTATCTGAAATGCATATAACTTGTGTATAAATATGCCAAAAATTTTACACTAGAACAAAATAAGGCTGACATTCTTTTGTGAAAGGTAACTTAAAACAAAGACTGTCTGCCATTATCAATACAGTAAAGACAGCAGTCTTCTGACTTTTAGTCTCAAGATGCTTGAAGACTTTAAAAATGGAGAACTCCAAAGATCATTCACTTATATAGATTATGGCATTTAGTATTTGCCACATTAGAAATTAAAACTAAGAAATATTTAAAACATGTACTTATTTAAAGCAACAATAATAAACCCATTAAATGTTAATATGAATGACATGTTTTAAAAAAAAAGAAACAGAAAAGAAAAAACAAAACAATGAAGAAATTTAGTAAGAAGAGTGGCTTTGTTTTCTATTTTTCCAACTTTCTTTAATGTTTGGTTTAGTACAAAACAACTGTATCCCCACATCTGCTTCTACATTCAATCTTTTGCAATGTTATTTTAATTAAAAAAGCATGAAAAAAGTCTAGCCTCACACAAATATGTAATTGGAAATGAGAGGAATAATTTAATAATATTTTCGAATATTGGGGAAATTGTTTTTTGATACTAAATCAAAACTCGACAAGTAGGTATATCTTAAAGGTTAATTGCAATGTTGAATCTGCAACTCTAATAACCTTTCATACTCTGTTTTATTATAATCCAATGATCCATCTTATATTTTGAATGAATCTTTTACCCATGTATGATTTGATATACATTCATCACTTAAAAACATTAGTTAAGTAACTGTATTATAGAGATGTTCCAAAAGCTGACACATTTCACTATATAATGTCAAAAAATCACATTTTTCAATGTCACCACCCATCACGTCAATAAAGCCTTTAATTATTGAGAAGCTGTTAAGTTCACAATGGCAGATACAAATTTTCCAAATTTCTAGTTACAACTTTCACTTGAAAGTTCAAATTTTATCATTGACAATAAATACTACTGGCTGTGAAATGACAGGCTCATTTTATTAATTTTTGAGAAAATACCTCCAAAATCCTAAATCTGAATAATCAGTTTGTCTGCAGTCATTCTTTGAAGAAAACTGGTGTTCCAGGTAAATCACAGATGTGCTTTTACTTGAGACAAACATCATAGCTTAGTAAGTGGCAGAAAAGCTTTATGTGTACTTCCCGATTCCTCACACAGAATAAATGAAGTGTACTCATGTGTCAGGTTCTAATAATTATGCAGCTTTCTTAAAAACATTTTTAAGGAAAGCTGGCAATTTTTTGAATGGTAGTGCATGGCAGTGAATAATACAATGACTATTAGTACACTTTGGTACCACTGCCTTGATTTGTGATGAGGTGCCAGTGATTTCATACAGCACAGCTTTGTCAAAACTATGAAATAGGCGAACAACATACGAGTATTATTAGAGAAATAATTTTGACCTCTTGGACCCCATGAAAGGATCACAAGAGTACTCAGGGGTCCATAATCATGCTTGGAGAATGGCAGTCTAAACTTTTTCTTTATTTCATGCTTCTAGAGAGGATAAAATATAACCAGTATTTTTGTGTCACGCAAGCTGGAGTGCAATGGCGCGATCTCAGCTCACTGCAACCTCTGCCTCCCAGGTTCAAGTGATTCTCCTGCCTCAGCCTCCCGATTACAAGCACCCACCACTGCGCCCAGCTAATTTTTTTTTTTTTTCTTAGTAGAGATAGGGTTTCACCATGTTGGCCAGGCTGGTTTCAAACTGCTGACCTCAGATGATCCACCCACTTTGGCCTCCCAAAGTTCTGGGATTATAGGCGTAAGCCACAGTGCCCAGCTGGTATTTTCATTCAAAGCCACTTCAAGACAAAGGTCTTAGATTTATATGCTTAAATAGATTTATTTGCCTATGAGGACCACTTTGGGACAAGTTCTACTGAAGTACCTTTTGTTACTGAGGCAAAATTCACATAACAGAAAATTTACCACTTAAACCATTTTAAATGAGTACAATTCAGTGACTTTTAGTACATTCACAATGTTTCACAACTATCACTGTATCTAATTCTATCACATTTTTGTCATTCCAAAAAGAAACCCCATACTCATTACGCAGTCACTCCCTATTCCTCCTTCCCACAGCCCCTTGCAACCATGAATATGCTTCTGTGGATTTGCCTATTCTAGATCTATTTTTGTCTTTATCATACTTTAAGTTCTAGGGGACATGTGCACAATGTGCAGGTTTGTTACATATGTATACATGCACCATGTTGGCGTGCTGCACCCATTAACTCGTCATTTACATTAGGTATATCTCCTAATGCTATCCCTTCCCCTCCCCCGACCCCATGACAGACCCTGGTGTGTGATGTTCCCCCTCCTGTGTCCATGTGTTCTCATTGTTCAGTTCCCACCTATGAGTGAGAACATGCGGTGTTTGGTTTTTTGTCCTTGCGATAGTTTGCTGAGAATGATGGTTTCCAGCTTCATCCATGTCCCTACAAAGGACATGAACTCATCCGTTTTCATGGCTGCATAGTATTCCATGGTGTATATGTGCCACATTTTCTTAATCCAGTCTATCATTGTTGGACATTTGGTTTGGTTCCAAGTCTTTGCTATTGCGAATAATGCCGCAATAAACATACATGTGCATGTGTCTCTATAACAGCATGATTTATAATCCGTTGGGTATATAGCCAGTAATGGGATGGCTGGGTCAAATGGTATTTCTAGTTCTAGATCCCTGAGGAATCGCCAAACTGTCTTCCACAATGGTTGAACTAGTTTACAGTCCCACCAACAGTGTAAAAGTGTTCCTATTTCTCCACATCCTCTCCAGCACCTGTTGTTTCCTGACTTTTTAATGATTGCCATTCTAACTGGTGTGAGATGGTATCTCATTGTGGTTTTGATTTGCATTTCTCTGATGGCCAGTGATGATGAGCATTTTTTCATGTGTCTTTTGGCTGCACAAATATCTTCTTTTGAGAAGTGTCTGTTCATATCCTTTGCCCACTTATTGATGGGGTTGTTTGACTTTTTCTTGTAAATTTGAGTTCATTGTAGATTCTGGATATTAGCCCTTTGTCAGATAGGTAGATTGCAAAAATTTTCTCCCATTCTGTAGGTTGCCTGTTCATTCTGATGGTAGTTTCTTTTGCTGTGCAGAAGCTCTTTAGTTTAATTAGATCCCATTTGTCAATTTTGGCTTTTGTTGCCATTGCTTTTGGTGTTTTAGACATGAAGTCCTTGCCCATGCCTATGTCCTGAATGGTATTGCCTAGGTTTTCTTTTAGGGTTTTTATGGTTTTAGGTCTAACGTTTAAGTCTTTAATCCATCTTGAATTAATTTTTGAATAAGGTGTAAGGAAGGGATCCAGTTTCAGCTTTCTACATATGGCTAGCCAGTTTTCCCAGCACCATTTATTAAATAGGGAATCCTTTCCCCATTGCTTGTTTTTCTCAGGTTTGTCAAAGATCAGATGGTCGTAGATGTGCGGTATTATTTCTGAGGGCTCTGTTCTGTTCCATTGGTCTATATCTCTGTTTTGATACCAGTACTATGCTGTTTTGGTTACTGTAGCCTCGTAGTATAGTTTGAAGTCAGGTAGCGTGACGCCTCCAGCTTTGTTCTTTTGGCTTAGGATTGTCTTGGTGATGCGGGCTCTTTTTTGGTTCCATATGAACTTTAAAGTAGTTTTTTCCAATTCTGTGAAGAAAGTCATTGGTAGCTTGATGGGGATGGCATTGAATCTATAAATTACCTTGGGCAGTATGGCCATTTTCACGATATTGATTCTTCCTACCCATGAGCAAGGAATGTTCTTCCATTTGTTTGTGTCCTCTTTTATTTCGTTAAGCAGTGGTTTGTAGTTCTCCTTGAAGAGTTCCTTCACATCCCTTGTAAGTTGGATTCCTAGGTATTTTATTCTCTTTGAAGCAATTGTGAATGGGAGTTCACTCATGAATTGGCTCTCTGTTTGTATGTTATTGGTGTATAAGAATGCTTGTGATTTTTGCACATTGATTTTGTATACTGAGACTGCTGAAGTTGCTTATCAGCTTAAGGAGATTTTGGGCTGAGACAATGGGGTTTTCTAGATATACAATCATGTCATCTGCAAACAGGGACAATTTGACTTCCTCTTTTCCCAATTGAATACCCTTTATTTCTTTCTCCTGCCTGATTGCCCTGGCCAGAACTTCCAACACTATGTTGAATAGGAGTGGTGAGAGAGGGCATGCCTGTCTTGTGCCAGTTTTCAAAGGGAATGCTTCCAGTTTTTGCCCATTCAGTATGATATTGGCTGTGGGTTTGTCATAAATAGCTCTTATTATTTTGAGATACGTCCCATCAATACCTAATTTATTGAGAGTTTTTAGCATGAAGGGCTGTTGAATTTTGTCAAAGGCCTTTTCTGCATCTATTGAGACAATCATGTGGTTTTTGTCTTTGGTTCTGTTTATACACTGGATTACGTTTATTGATTTGCATATGTTGAACCAGCCTTGCATCCCAGGGATGAAGCCCACTTGATCATGGTGGATAAGCTTTTTGATGTGTGGCTGTATTCGGTTTGCCAGTATTTTATTGAGGATTTTTGCATCAATGTTCATCAGGGATATTGGTCTAAAATTCTCTTTTTTTGTTGTGTCTGTCAGGCTTTGGTATCAGGATGATGCTGGCCTCATAAAATGAGTTAGGGAGGATTCCCTCTTTTTCTATTAATTGGAATAGTTTCAGAAGGAATGGTGCCAGCTCCTCCTTGTACCTCTGGTAGAATTTGGCTGTGAATCTGTCTGGTCCTGGACTTTTTTTGGTTGGTAGGCTATTAATTATTGCCTCAATTTCAGAGCCTGTTATTGGTCTATTCAGGGATTCAACTTCTTCCTGGTTTAGTCTTGGGAGGGTGTATGTGTCCAGGAATGTATCCATTTCTTCTAGATTTTCTAGTTTATTTGCGTAGAGGTGTTTATAGTATTCTCTGATGGTAGTTTGTATGTCTTTGGGAACTGTGGTAATATCGCCTGTATCATTTTTTATTGTGTCTATTTGATTCTTCCCTCTTTTCTTCTTTATTAGTCTTGCTAGCAGTCTATCAATTTTGTTGATCTTTTCAAAAAACCAGCTCCTGGATTCGTTGATTTTTTGAAGGGTTTTTTGTGTCTCTATCTCCCTCAGTTCTGCTCTGATCTTAGTTATTTCTTGCCTTCTGCTAGATTTTCAGTGTGTTTGCTCGTGCTTCTCTAGTTCTTTTAATTGTGATGTTAGAGTGTCAATTTTAGATATTTCCTGCTTTCTCTTGTGGGCATTTAGTGCTATAAATTTCCCTCTACGCACTGCTTCAAATGTGTCCCAGAGATTCTGGTATGTTCACAACATAATGTTTCTAAGTTTTATCCATGTTGTAGCATAAATCAGTACTTATTACATTTTATGACTAAACAGTATTCCATTGTATGGATATACCATATTTCGGTTATCCATTCATTTGTTGATGGGCATTTTGGTTCCTTCCCCCGTTGGTTGGGACAAATGATGTTGTTATGAACACTAGTGTACACGTTTTTGTTTGAACACCTGTTTTTAATTCTTTGAGTATATATCTAGGAGAAAACTTGCCAGATCACACCATAATTCTATATATAACTTTTTGAGCACCCGCCAAACAGTTCTGCATGACGGCTTCCCCACTTTCCATTCTCATCAGCAATGTACAAGAGCTTTGCCTTTTTCACATCCTTTCCAACATTTTTTTTCTTTTTTCTTTTTCTCTTTTTTTTTTTTTTTTTTTTTGGTTATAGTTGTCCTAAAGGTGGGAAGTGGTATCTTATTGAGGTTTGGTTTGCATTTATTTAATGATTAATGATGTTGAGCATGTTTTCACATGCTTATTAGCCATTTGTATATCTTCTCTGGAGAAATGTGAGCTCTGATCCTTGGCCCATTTTTCAATTGGGTCATTTATTTTGTTATTGTTGAGTGGGAAGAATTCTTTATATATTCTGGATACTGGACTCTTATCAGACATATGCTTTGCAAATATTTCTTTCATTCTGTGAGGTATTTTTTAAACTTTATTGATAATGTCCTTTGTTGAAATAAAAAATAATAATTTTGGTAAAGTTCAATTTCTCTATTTTGAAATATTACATTTGCTAAATAAAATAATATTAATTTTGTCCAACAGAATATAAACAAAGATATTTAACTGATCAAAAAAATTGAAATTATCCATAGCAATGCATATTACTGAAAAGTTCCCATATGAGTTATGTCTGAGCATGTTTATTTATATCAAATCTTCTTTCAATGCTGGCTAATTTAAACTTGACATTTGGCTGCTATCATGCTTTAAATTAATTATTTGGATTAATAATAATTTACATAATGGAGACATTTCTATTATATGCGAAGTTTCCATTTCATTAAAAATAATTTTTTTTTCTGTAAATACCCAATAAGCTTATTTTTTAAGCTAAATGCTTAGGTTTAAGACAAGATTTCTCTCTGAACCCCATTAACAATTTTTTTTCAAAAATGCATTACAAAGCTATTATTTTATGTTAAAGACTACCTATGCCAGTGAGTAGTTGTTCCTCACTACCTCATCATAAAGCTAGTCATAAAATCTGAATTTTATCTAGACCCACAAACACTCAGAAGAAAGAAGATTTTCACAAACTCCATTGCAGTTAAAGGTAGCTGTGTGAATAAGAAGTGGCCAAATAATATAAAGTGTTCTTAGCAAATCATTCTTAATAGAAATTAAGAATCATTCTCAATAGAAAGCTACACATGTTCTTTATCCCTTCTTTCTCACTTTACCCCTCCTGTTGTCTAGAATGCAGATGAGATATCTGGAGCTGGGGTAATATTATTCAATCATGGGGGGATATTGGAAATGCAGAAAGGACACAATATTGAAGGGAAATATAGAAAAAACACAATATCAACTCCAACATTATGAGACGACTACACCAATCCTGTATCATCTACTTCCAGACATTTGTGTGAGACAGAAATACATAATATCTTGTTTAAGCCACGATTATTTTGGATTTTTCTGCTGACTGCAAATGAATATAAAATACACTTCCATTTCTGGCTACCACTCAGCCCCATCCCACCATCAATAACAATTTACTTATAAAGTTCCAAGCCAGTACAAGTTTTTTTTTTTTTTGGCCAGTACAAATTTAAACTCTGAAACAATTCTACTTGGAAAGTAAACTTTCCAGAGGTACTTGTATTCCTGTGTACAATATTTTATTTCTGATAATTGAATGTTAATAACTATAAGAATGTAAATAGTGATCATTTTTTATCCTTCATTAACAAAAGTAATCAACATGCAGTTGTTAATAAAATATAGTCTAACCTTAATTTTAGTTTTCCTAAGCTTCAATACCTATGAAACATTTTGTAATCAGAATATGTCTTCAGGAATTTGAATGGGACAAGATTTTCTCATAATGCTGGCAGATGGTTTTATATGATTAACTGCAGCAAATATAGCCTACTGGTTTGAAGGCTTACCAATGGAGAAATGGTCTCACAGGAAGCTTTTTGATAAGTGAAATATAGTCTCTATGATGTGACAATTTAGGAGAATACAAAAACTTTTCTTACAAATTCAGTCCTGAAGAAAAATGAAGAAAAGATTAGTAGTTACTATTCATAGACATAGCTCTAAAATGTGACAAATGCAAGCACATTTATCAGTCCTGTAAATAATTTTTTATAGTTCCATCTGTTTGTTCATTTACTTACCTATCAAAAGCAACAAAAATCAGTTATATTCCTAAGGACTAAGAAGGAATAAGAAATATTCCTTTGAAATAAGGAAGTTCTAATATCAGTTATGATGTAGAAAACAGGATAAAAGTTAATCAAGAAAATTTATAGTAGAGTTTTTTATTATAAGGAAATATTATACTTCTTCATCTCTGAATATAGTATCGCTATTACTAAGAGCCTTAAATATGAATTTTAGAAGCAATAATGCTACTTATGCTTTTATAATCCAGAACAGAAACTTAAACTTTTGGAAGAAGAATCTTACTTATATGTTTCTAGTAGTAATGCTATGTAGTAAGTATTAGTACACTTAGAAGCTTGTGATCAGACTTTATTTAGAAATGCCACTGTTTCCATGTGATCTCATTGTTCAATTCCCACCTATGAGTGAGAATATGCGGTGTTTGATTGTTTGTTCTTGCGATAGTTTACTGAGAATGATGATTTCCACTTTCATCCATGTCCCTACAAAGGACATGAACTCATCATTTTTTATGGCTGCATAGTATTCCATGGTGTATATGTGCCACATTTTCTTAATCCAGTCTATCATTGTTGGACATTTGGGTTGGTTCCAAGTCTTTGCTATTGTGAATAATGCCGCAATAAACATACGTGTGCATGTGTCTTTATAGCAGTATGATTTATAGTCCTTTGGGTATATACCCAGTAATGGGATGGCTGGGTCAAATGGTATTTCTAGTTCTAGATCCCTGAGGAATCGCCACACTGACTTCCACAATGGTTGAACTAGTTTACAGTCCCACCAACAGTGTAAAAGTGTTCCTATTTCTCCACGTCCTCTCCAGCACCTGTTGTTTCCTGACTTTTTAATGATTGCCATTCTAACTGGGGTGAGATGGTATCTCATTGTGGTTTTGATTTGCATTTCTCTGATGGCCAGGGATGATGAGCATTTTTTCATGTGTTTTTTGGCTGCATAAATGTCTTCTTTTGAGAAGTGTCTGTTCATGTCCTTTGCCCACTTTTTGATGGGGTTGTTTGTTTTTTTCTTGTAAATTTGTTTGAGTTCATTGTAGATTCTGGATATTAGCCCTTTGTCAGATGAGTAGGTTGCGAAAATTTTCTCCCATTTTGTAGGTTGCCTGTCCACTCTGATGGTAGTTTCTTTTGCTCTGCAGAAGCTCTTTAGTTAAATTAGATCCCATTTGTCAATTTTGTCTTTCGTTGCCATTGCTTTTGGTGTTTTAGACATGAAGTCCTTGCCCATGCCTATGTCCTGAATGGTAATGCCTAGGTTTTCTTCTAGGGTTTTTATGGTTTTAGGTCTAACGTTTAAGTCTTTAATCCATCTTGAATTGATTTTTGTATAAGGTGTAAGGAAGGGATCCAGTTTCAGCTTTCTACATATGGCTAGCCAGTTTTCCCAGCACCATTTATTAAATAGGGAATCCTTTCCCCATTGCTTGTTTTTCTCAGGTTTGTCAAAGATCAGATAGTTGTAGATATGCGGCGTTATTTCTGAGGGCTCTGTTCTGTTCCATTGATCTATATCTCTGTTTTGGTACCAGTACCATGCTGTTTTGGTTACTGTAGCCTTGTAGTATAGTTTGAAGTCAGGTAGTGTGATGCCTCCAGAAGGGGAATATCACACTCTGGGGACTGTTATGGGGTGGGGGGAGGGGGGAGGGATAGCATCGGGAGATATACCTAATGCTAGATGACGAGTTAGTGGGTTCAGCGCACCAGCATGGCACATGTATACATATATAACTAACCTGCACAAGGTGCACATGTACCCTAAAACTTAAAGTATAAAAAAAAAAAATTTTTTTCTAGTCTACAGAAAAAAAAAAAAAAAAGAAATGCCACTGTTACAGATGTCAATGCTTAGATTCCCCCAGACTCCAACTATGCTTCTTCAGTGCTGTGGTAACTCAGCAGAATAGCTGTCTCAATTGAGTAAGCTCTTTAAAGGTAAAGAATCATTAACATTTCCAGTTTCAAGTTGTTAACTTGCCAAATTTTATTTACAACTAATATTTGAATGGTGTGATATACGGTAGATATGCATGAGAGTTTTAGTTTCTAGTTGCAAACTTCCATTAGTAATATGACCTTGAATAAATTATATTCCATCCACGGTCTTTAGTTTTCTTACTGATAGACGAGGTGATTTGAGTTGAATTCTAGGGTCACTTCCAGGTAGAAAATGCTTTGAAATCATAAGGCTATAACCTAGAACATTCTCCAAATTAAAGATAAGACACTAATTGAGACAACGTAAATGTGAGACAGAGACACTAATTGCAGAAGAGATAGGACTACAAGATGTGATGTGTTTATTGCTTTTATCTGGGGTCAATTTAGCATATTATTTTTTGCAGTTTTCAAATAATTTATTTCAAAATGTAGAGATGATAGAGATAGCTTTAATGCTTCATAGTTAATATTTGTATTTGTACTTCACTATTGTCTGTTTTAAAATATTATTGTGGTAAAAACACTTAACATGAGATCTACTCACTAAATTTTTATGTGTATAATAGAAGTTTTGTTAACTGTAGACACATGTTAACCATAAACACAGATCTCTAGAACTTATTGATCTTTCACAAGGAAGAATCTTTGAATCTTTGTGCCTGTCGATTAGCAATTTCCTGTTTCCCTTCCTCTCCGGCCCCTGATAACCACCATTCTAGTCCTGATTCTATGAGTTTGATGACTTCAGAAACTTCATATAAGTGGAATCATACAGTATTTGCCTTCTGTGACTGGCTTATTTTGCTTAGCATAATGTCTTTACTCATGTTCATTCATGTTCTTGCATATGGTAGAATTTCATTAATTTTTAAGGTTAATTGAATAGCATTGACTTGTGTTTATATACCACATTCTCTTTATTTGTTCATCTATGATGAACATTTAGGTTCTTCCCACAATTTGATGATTGTGAATACTACTGCAATAAATCCTGGGATACTAATATCTTTTGAGATATTTGACTTTTACAGAAATAGAAAAGACAATTTTAAAAATCATATGGAAACACACAAGAAAACTTCAAATAGCCAAAATACTCTTGGGAAAGGATAAAGGTATAGGCATCATAATATTTTCTTATTTAAAAACATATTACAAAACAACAGTAATGAAAACAGTGCAATATTGGCATAAAGAAAAACATACATTACTGTTCAGATTATAATATCTAATTCTAAAAATAAATGTTTATATTTTCATGTGTATGATTCACTTAGTTTATAAGAAAAATCAGGTAAATTTGAAATACATCCATTTAGAATGGCAAAAAAAAAATTGTTAGCAGAACTTCCTCTCAAATAAGTGTTAGACCTTTTCTACTTTTTTGACTAGAGAATTCTGAAATGTTTTGGGGTTTAAAAGGTGATGGTTGATCATAAAGATGGGGGAACCACGAGGGGATGTGCCTGCCAAACATTTCTAATATCTACACCTGAGCAATTAGAAGATCTCTGTCATTCTTCAGCAAAATGTAGCTTATGAGCAGCCATTTTAAGTTTATTTTTCCAGTGAAAACTATCCTATAAAATAAAGACACTGGTTCTTCTATTCTAATTTCTATGTACTTTGAATGTTCAATTAAAACACAATATGATCTTACTGTAATTAAGATATAGTCACTATCATTTTCTCTAACACTATTGTTTTCATATTCTTGGTGATTTCACTATCCAAGTTCCTTGACCTCTATGCTTTCAATAATGTTGCTTTCACCCCACTTAAGCCACATATTTATACAGATCTGCTCTAAACTGTACCCCTTCACAATCTTAATTTTAAACATTACTCTCTTAACTACCACCCATCTCCCGCAAGTGTTTCTTCATTCCATCTAGTATAAAATGTTTAGTATTTCTTTTACCCACTAGGACTTACTGACTTTTGTTTTTTTTATAGTTTACTATTCCCATTATGTTCTAGCCTCCTTCATGCAGCTTAGATTCTATGGGCCATCTTTGTAATCACATCTTTGTAATCACATCCTCAATTATCTTGCCCACCCTGATTAAACCCAGTCCCATACTTCCTCTGCAGCTGAATTCATGCAGGTACAAGTGGCTGGGAAGAAACACACAATCATGCTGGCTACTCTTAAATTCAAAATGATTAACCTCAAGAAGGTTCTTCATGCTGCCAAGGAATGATGGTATATTTTTCTAAAATATTCTTTGGCTTTCCTTGTAACTATTTCATGGCTTCTCCACTTTCCTCAATCTTTAACACCTCCACCTCCAGACAATGATCTGGCTTCCATTTCACTGAAATAGCTGAAGCAATTAGAAAATAACTGTCACAAGTTTCCTTCACCATGCCTACACAGCAACATGCATCTGTACCAAAATGGTCCTCTTTCTCTCTACATATCTTTAAATGACCTCCACTCATACCCTAGATCCCTTAATCCTCCACCTTCTCAAGAGCATCATTCCAGGAATCCTCTTCTCTTTAAGGCATTGTCAGATTTCCCCATCTCTTCTGGGCCATCCCCCATTAGCACACAAATGTGTAGTAACATAATTCATCTTATAAATAACTTCATGTTACTATTCATCACTTTCACTCTGTTCATCTTTATGGTTAAACTCATCAAAAAGTTTATTGTGCTCTTTGATTCTTTTTTTTTTTCTGTTGAATGCAATCCAGTTGGACTTTAGTCACAATTACTTCACTTAAACAACCTTGTCAAGGTCCTCCTTCTCAGATCTCCTCTTTCTTAACATAGCCATAGTATATGATGACCCAGTTCATCACTTACTCCTCATCAAAATCTTTTCTTCAGTTAGCTTCCATGCTCTTTCTGTTGATTCTACTTCTATATCACAAACCATAACTTCTAGTCTCCTTCATTGGTTTCTTTCTATAACCCCTTTTTCTTAATATTGGAATGCTCAGCATTTTGCCTCTTATTAATATTTTTATAAGCTACACTCACCCTGGGTGTTAGCTTTAAATACAAACATCTATATGCTGATTCATTCCAAATTAATAATCAACCTAGAGTTCTCACCTGAACTCAAGATTCATATATTCAACTACCTACTCAATATTCACCTGGATATTTAATAAGCATATGTTCAAAGCATAGCTCTGGATTATCTAACTTTAAATTTTTCTCCTGTGGGAGTATTTTCCAAGTCACCAAATGGCAACGCCATCATTCCAATTGCCCATCTGAAAGACTTGAAATCATTCTTGATTCCTCTCTTTCTCACACACTACATATCTAATTCATCAATAAATCCTGTTGGCTCCGTCTTCAAAATAAATCCAGAAACTAACAACTTGTCAACATTACACCTATCATTACCTTAGTTCAAGCTATCACACATCTTACACAGGTTGTCTCATTAACCTTCAAGTTGATCTCCCTTTTCCCATACTTGCCTTCTTGAAAGCTATCGTCAACACAATAGACAGGAAAATCCATTTTATAATATATTACATTAAACCCCCCCCCCCCCAGTGATTTCCCACCTCATTTGGAGTAAAATCTAAAACATTTACAATGGCCTACAAGTTCTGCATGAGTCGTATCCTCTCTTTATTCTCTGATTGTTGGAGATCTCTGTGGTATTTTCTGCTACCACTCCTCTTTGCCCAGTCTATCTGAGTTACATCGGCTTCTCTGCTGGTTATGGACACACCAAGCAGGTTTCTACCACAGGGTCTCTATATTCCCTGTTTCCTCTTAAATGACTACTTTCCTAGCTACCTTATATAAAATAACAATATATTCTCCAGAAGCCCCATCCCCCTAACCATTTTTCTTTGCAGTACTTATTTATTTTTTATTTATTTATTTCTTTGTAGTACTTATTTATTTTTCTTTGTAGTACTTTTATCATCTTTGTAGTACTTTTATTATCACTTTTGTAAATGACACATTTATTTATTTTTCTATTTGTCACTTTTAAATGTAAGTTCCATGATTGGAAGAATATTTGTTCGTTCAATTCTCTATCTCTTACACCTAAACAATGCCTGGTACATAGCAGTAGCTCAATGAGTATCAGTTGAGTAAATGAATAATTTTATGTAATTCAAAAAGGAAATCTCATCCAAAGAAAGCTTGTTATTATTTAAAAGCACAGAATCTCAAAGCATCAGATCTGGACAGAACCTTAGAGACTATCTAACAAAAATGAAATATGTTTATCGTGTTTTGTGGTAACCCCTTATGGGCCTTGGAGCTTGAGTAAGGACTAGGGAAATGTAACTGCCCATTACCATCCTGTCCGACTCCCATCCAAAGCAGCCCTAATTTTATTTGCTTTATATTTTAGTCTTAGACGTAGTGTTTTCATAAATATTTTGAAGAAAGTTCCAAAACCTAAAAACTATGGAACTGATGTAAATCTTCATTCACAGATGAGGAGATTGAGTCCTGGAAAATAAAGTAAGCTAACCCAGGGCACACCGCCAGAAGATGAGAAAACCAGGGCTGGAACTCATGATTCCTCTTTCCTATGCATGTTCTCTCCACTCCAGGCCAAGGTTTCTCCCTAGAAAGCTGTCTGTTAATGGCATAATGCTTTAAGATTTGTGTTGTCCTTTCCAAAGATTCAATTACATTTCTGATTGAATAACTATCATATTCTCATTCTTTATAAAATGTTTTCAATTTTACATTCAATAGTATTCTGTCAAATTGCTGAAAATAATACACAGAGTCAAAGTTTGCATAATTTTGCATGAAGAAAACTAATCTATATTCACATGACTAGAGCACTACAGAAGGCTTGATTACAATGTGCTACATTTAAGTAGTTCCCTAAATAGATTATATAATCTAAATGTTCTACACACTATTTCTCAATTTCTCTTCATGCTTCCATGGACAGACTCTTCAGTACACCACCCAGAAAGCAGAATTTGTTTGTGATTGGAAGAAATGAGAAGGAAAATGTATGACCCATGTGCATTCTCGTGAGCTAACACAGTTCCTGTGTTTCTCTGCCAGGTTTAGATTAACCACTGATTTGATGCACCAACTGGCCCATTTCTTGTAAATGGGTTTTCTTCTATTCAGCGTTTAGTAAGCCCCTTGTCAATGAGATAACTCTCTAGGCTGAATAAAAGTCCCCTTAGGCCTTGACAGCCTTAGAGGATTATTTGTTCACCAGTGATTTTTAGAGCCCTCTGACAACTCCATTTTGATATCTTTTCAAAGAAAGTATATTACCAAAGACTCCAAACATTTAAGCATTTGCACTTTTAAAGTCTTAATGCTCAGAGAAAAATGAGAATCCTACCAGGATTTTTGATGGCTATTTAGAAGATGGGATACCTAATCCATTCCCTCATTTATTACAAAGAAAGCAAATTCAAGGCAGAAGTAATTCGCTTGATCAAAAAACATTTTCAGCCCCAATGGGCTGCCTGTGGTTCCCATAATCGGTCCTAAAAAACAAAAAGAGTCTGAGGGCAAAGAGTTGTCCCAGCGTGGACTCCACGCACCAACTATGTTTTCAGGATTCTATTTGTTGATGTTAAATGTCAAAAACTAAAAAAAGATTATGTCTATAGTTGACTATTATAGACCATAAAATATTAACAAAAACACAGATATATAATGGGTATTTACTTACAATACAATAGAATTTGCCTTCTTCCTTTAAATAGTCAGTGATCGTTCTTACTTAAAATTACTTGATATATAAATTCAGTATAGTCAGACCTTGAAATCTATCTTTGTCATTAATTAGCAGTATGACTTTGATCTTGGCCTTATAGGTATATGAAGATTAAGTAGGATAATATATTAACAGTACCTAGTAGAGTGCATAGAGCATAATGCTTGTTAAGCAATGTTAATTTTGTTGCTTCCTCCTTTCTCCCTTTTCAGGTTTATACAACCTTGCTACATACAACATCAAAATTTCATTCAGACATTTATTTTTTAAAAACATTTATTGAGTACACATTATATACCAGTTTCTCTGCAAGGCCTTGGGCATAGAGCTGTATACAAACCCAATGAAGTCCCTGTTCTCATGGCATTTACACTTTAGTGGGAGACAAGAGTTGTGTTTTACCTTCAGTGTATTGGTCAGGAAAGTCTTCTCTAATGAGGTAAAGCTACGAGTCATGTGAAATTCTGGAAAGGAGCTTTCCAAAGAGAATGGCTAATGCATAGGCCTGAAGAGCACACTGGAGCATCAGAACTTAATACTAAGTAGGGTAGTGTATTAGCCAGGGCCCCCTAGAGGGACAGAACTAATAAGATAGGTAGATTACATAAAGGAGAGTTTATTAAGTAGTATTAACTCACACAATTACAAGGTCTCACAATACGTCATCTGCAAGCTGAGGAGCAAGGAAGCCAGCCCAAGTCCCAAAGCTGAAGAAGTTGGGGTCCAGTGTTTAAGGGCAGGAATCATCCAGCACGGTAGAAAGATGTAAGCTAGGAGGCCAGGACAGTCCAGCCTTTTTGCGTTTTTCTGCCTGCTTTATATCCTGGCCACATTGGCAACTGATTCAATGGTGCCCACCCAGATTAAGGGTGGGTCTGCCTTTCCCAGCCTACTTACTCAAATGTTAATTTCCTTTGGCAACACTCTCACAGACACACCCAGGATCAATACTTTGCATCCTTCAATCCAATCAAGTTGACAGTCAGTATTAACTATCACAAGTCCACCCCTTGTCAACTTGAACCCATACACATCTCCTGAGATCATACATGATCTTCAAATAAAGACAGTAATAAGGTCGTAATTACACCTAACATAATACAACTATCCTTTATACAACTAGAAATGCACCAATCCCCCAACCCAAATGCAATTACATAAAGTTAACAATACTTCAATGCTGATGTGAAGTCAATAAATCTTACGTCACATGATAAAGGAAAAAGGAAATAAAATGAAGATATTTTCTTAGTACAAGTGTATACGTGCACAAACATGTTTTTAACAAAAGAAAGGGAAAATACTCATGACAATTACAGTCCTCATTTCTGCAACTGGCAACATAGTCGTAGCTGGTATTGATGACTACCTCCTTCTACTACCAATTATGTACTCCCTTTGCCTTGTGGTTTTTTTCCTGGTGGAGTGACCAAAACCTTCATTCCTGAAGGGTCTGGGCCATTTGTCTTCCTGCGTGGATTGGGCTGTGGAACTTTCCCACTGACCTTAATCACAGGGCATGGTAATACTAAGAGATGCCCTAATGGATATCCTGTATTCCACACATATTCTTCCTTACCTCCACTGTGGCATAGTAGACTGATTTCATCTTGACAGTCTGGGTCAATCTCCCCAGCCAACATTGTAAGTCTCTTCTTAGCCTGTTGACTTAAAGGTAGGAGAAGCCCAGTGTCCGGGTGGCAATCTTAACTTCCAGTTTAATGGAATCATTGTTGTGTCTCCTGGTGGCAGTGTTCCTCCCTCTGAAACTAAGACCTCTAGGCCAGCAGAACATAATGTCAAGGGAACAGTATGCAAAAATTTTGCGGGAGGATCATTAGGGGCAATGGTGAGTGGTGCCACTTCCACTTCCATGTGTTTTGATTCCTGGACCTGTGAATCCTGGCTATGGGAAAAACAGTACCACATATTGCATGCTGATTCAGAGCATACATGGCCTTCTGGAGAACTTTGCCCCAGCCCTGCAAACTATTGCCTAGTTGGCATTGTAATCATGACTTCAAAAGGCCATTCTACTGTTCTATCAATCCAGCTGCTTCAGGATGATGGGGAACATGGTAAGACCAGTGAATTCTATGAGCATGAGTCCACTGCGGCCATTGTTTAGCAATAAAGTGAGTGCCTTGGTCAGAGGCAATGCTGTGTGGAATAGTATGATGGTAGATAAGGCATTCCATGAGTCCACAAACAGTAGTCTTGGCAGAAGCACTGCATGCAGGATAAGCAAACTCATATCTGAAGTAAGTGTCTATTTCAGTGAGGACAAACCTCTGCACTTTCCATGATGGAAGAGGACCAATATAATCAACCTGCCACAAGGTAGCTTGCTGATCACCCCAAGGAATGGTGCCATATCAAGGGCTCATTGTTGATCTCTGCTGTTGGGTACTCAGCAGTGGCTGTAGCCAGGTCAGCCTTAGTGAGTGGAAGTCCATGTTGCTTAGCCCATGCATAACCTCCATCCCTGCCACCATGGCCAATTTGTTCATGGGCCCATTGGGCAATGATAGGGGTGGCTGGGGAAAGAGGCTGAGTGGTGTCCACAGAATGGGTCATCCTATCCACTTGATTATTAAAATCTTCCTCTGCTGAGGTCACTCATTGGTGAGCACTCACATGGGATACAAATATCTTCACAGTTTTTGACCCATCAGAGAGGTCCACCCACATACCTCTTCCCCAAATTTCTTAGTCACCAATTTTCCAATCATGCTTCTTCCAAGTCCCTGATCATCCAGCCAAACCATTGGCTACAGCCCATGAATCAGTATATAATCACACATCTGGCCATTTCTCCTTACATGCAAAGTGCACAACCAGGTGCACTGCTCAAAGTTCTGCCCACTGGGAAGATTTCCCTTCACCACTGTCCTTCAGGGATGTCCTAGAAAGAGACTATAGTGCTGCAGCTATCCAATTTAGGGTGGTGCCTGCATATTGTGCAGAACCATCTGTGAACCAGGCCCTAGTCTCTCTTCCTCTGTCAACTGATCATGGGGAACTCCCCCTGAGGCCAACGGTGCAGGCTCGGGAAGAGAAAGCAGGGTGGCAGGCGTGGAGACAATGGGCATTTGAGCCACTTCCTCATGTAACTCACTTGTGCCTTTGGGACCTGCTCAAGTCCAATCACTTATATACCACTTCTAGTTAATGATGGAATGCTGCTATGCATGACCCATTTTATGGCTAGATGGGTCAGAAAGCACCCAGTTCATGATAGGCAATTCAGGTCGCATGGTGACTTGATGAACCATAGTCAAACGTTCAGTTTCCACCAAAGCCCAGTAACAGACCAAGAGCTGTCTCTCAAACCTCTGAGACAGGACAGTAAAGATATATTGCTGGCCTTGCCAGCTGAAGAGAAATTGCTTCTGCTGGGCCTTATGGACAGGAATGGAGAAAAAGGCATTGGCCAAGTCAATGGCTGCCTATCAGGTACCAGGAGATGTGTTAATTTTCTTAAGCAATGAAACCACATCTGGTACAGCAGCTGCAATTGTAGTCACCACTTGGTTAAGCTTACGATAATCCACTGTCATTCTCCAAGATCCATCTGTCTTCTGCATAGGCTAAATAGGAGAGTTGAATGGGGATGTGGTGGGAATCACCACCCCTGCGTCTTTCAAGTCCTTGATGGCGGCACTAATCTCCACAATCCCTCCAGGGATGCAATATTGATTATTTTTCTAGGTAGAAGCATCTCTAATGGCTTCCATTTGGCCTTTCCCACCACAGTAGCCCTCACTCTACCAGTCAGGGACCCAATGTGGGGGTTCTGCCAGCTGCTAAGTATGTCTATGCCAACTATACATTCTGGCACTGGAGAAATGACCAGAGGATGAGTCTGGGGATCCACTGTAGGTTGGACCTGAGCTAAAACTCCTTTATACCTGACCTCCATAAGCCCCAACTTTAACTGGAGGACCACAATGATGTTTTGGGTCCTCTGGAATCAACGTCAGCTCAGAGACAATGTCCAGTAGTCCCCCAAATGTCTGATCATTTCCCTTTCCCCATTGCACAGTTAACCTGGTAAAAGGCCAGAGGTCTCCTTGGGGAAGGCTGGAAGAAAGTTAACAGCATAAATTGTCGGTAGTAGAGTGTGATCCTTCCTCAAGGGGACCTGGCCTCCCTTTCATTCAAGGGGTTCTGAGTCTACAAACTGTCTCAAGTCTGGAAATTGATTGAGGGACCATGATTCTCTGTTTTATAACTCAAATTGGTCTTTTGTCTATGTGACCTGGAAGTTTTCTGCTTATATAAGTTAAGCAGGAATGCAATAGGCTTCCTATCAGTTTCACTTCTAGGAACACTGCGATTAATTAGCCAATGCCAGAGCTCTACATAAGTCAGACTATTTTGATCACTGCTTTGCCTCTGGTGTCCATTACAGTAGCTATGCCCACCTTGCCTTTGACAGTTGAGTGCCGCCACTTGACCGCTACCACCTTGGGATCCAATTATTCCCACTGTATTTAAATTTTATAGTTGAATGACTGTGGTTCCCACTGTTAGATCTGACATACAGTGAAGAGCAATTACAGAGCTCTTCAAAAATGCAGGTGCTGCCCTTACAAATCTATTTCACCAAACACTGGTCAGAGTATATCTTCTGGACCCTCCCAGCTGGGATAAGTAGGTCTAAAGTGACTAAGCCACTCCACCATCCCAATCTCCCTGAGCCTTTGGATTCCTTCATCTACATTAAACCAAGGGAGATCAGGTATTTCCAGCTTGCTCACAGTGGGCTATCTTTTAAGCCGTATTTCAGCTAACCAAGCAAATTAGAACCTTTTTTTAACTCCTCAAGCTGCAACATTAAATGCAGAGTCCCTACTTAGTGGGCCCAAATCAATAAATTCAGCCTGATTCAACTTTATGTTCCTTCCACTATTATCCCACACCCTTAATATCCATTCCTATGCCTGTTCTCCAGATTTCTGCTTATATGAATTAGAAAACTCAAGCAGTTATTTTCAAGTGTAGCACACCTCCTCCTGGGTCACACTGTGAACCTCACCTCTAAGGGTCTGCCAGGACTTCAGTCTAGTCATAGGTCTAGAAGCAAACAGGGGTACTGGTGGTGTCTCCTGAGGAGAATCAACATTAACTTGCCTGGCAACTGCCTCAGGGGAGGCCATCACTGTTGCCTCAGGCAGTGCAGGGTTTATCTCCTCAGACAAAGGTGGAAAGGCTGATGGCAGCGTAGGTCAGGGGTAGGTCAGGGAGGGGATATTACCACTACTGGGGATGGGGAAGCTGTTTCTTCTGGCAAAAAAAGGTTCATCAGAATTTACAAACTCAGTGTCCCAGCTTCATCAGGGTCCTCCCACACGTCCCCATTCCAAGTTGCAGGGTCCCATTCTTTTCCAATCAATACCATCACTTTAACAGTAGACACCTGGCGAGGCTGTGCATGCTTCTTTCGTTGCAGGTCAACCACTCACATGATGAGAACTTGTGTCTGTTTTTCCACAATTTCAGCTCTTTCTCTACAGGAGATAAGACTCTCACTCAGGGAAATCTTAGCAGATTTGAGGCTCAGGATCTGCTTCTGAAGCCAGGAGTTACAATCCCTGAATTCATCATTTTCTTTTATCACTTTGTCCAGTGAACTTAGGAGCAACCAACCAACTTCATTATGTTTCTGGGTTCTCCAACTTGGCCAAAGTTATTGTGCATGGAGTCACTAAACTCTTTGCCTCTCATGAGCAGTGAATCAGGAGTGTCAAATGCATTTATTTTGCATAACTCTCTCAACAGTTCATGTCAAGGACTATCAGTGCCTCCATACTATTAGAAGTAGAATCCTTAAGATTTTGGGGTCTAGTCATATTAAGCAGCCAACTCCAGAAAGCCCAAAACCAATGAAAGAATTCCATCCTTAATATTCTGTTCCTCTGGAACCACTCCTGGTACCAAAATCTGTATTAGTCAGGGTTCTCTAGAGGGACACAACTAATAGGATATATATATATATATATATCAGTTTACATATGGGATATATATATATATATATATGGGAGTTTATTAAGTAGTATTAATTCACACAATCACAAGGTCTTACAATAGGCCATCTGCAAGCTGCGGACAAGGAAGCCAGCCCAAGTCCCAAAGCTGAAAAACTTGGTGTTTGATGTTCAAGGGCAGGAAGCATCCAGCAAAGGAGAAAGATGTAGGCTCAGAGGCTAAGCCAGTCTAGCATTTTCACGTTTTTCTGCCTGCTTTATATTCTAGACATGCTGGCAGTTGATTAAATGGTGCCCACCCAAATCAAGGGTGGGTCTGCCTTTCCCAGCTCACTGACTCAAATGTTAATCTCCTTTGGCAACACCCTCACAGACACACCCAGGATCAATACTTTGCATCCTTCAATCCAATCAAGTTGACACTCAGCATTAACCATCACAGGTGGTATAGCCAAAATCCCCAGTGGAAGACAGAGACTTAGATGAGAATTCCTTATTCATAAAATAAGGCTTCAAAAAGTTGCTTTAAATTACTGCCTGAACCTATGCCTTACAAGAGACTGTTGGCTTAGGATGAGGATTGCCTAGTGACTACTGGTAAGTCAAGCCACTCACTGGTTGTGTGACTGATTTGCAATATCCCCAATGTTATAATAGAAAAGTAGCTCTAGGCTGCTAATATCAATCTCCTTCTTTTGGGCTTAAGGATGCAGGGAGAAGCATTTGCAAATCTCTCTGCAAAAAGTTGGTGAACACATAGGAAAAAACAGAGAAAGTCCGGGCACCGTGGCTCACGCCTGCAATCCCAGCACTTTGGGAGGCCAAGGTGGGTGGATCACAAGATCCAGGAGATCAAGACCATCCTGGCCAACATGGTGAAACCCCGTCCCTACTAAAAATACAAAAATTAGCTGGGCATGGCAGCACATGCCTGTAGTCCCAGCTACTTGGGAGGGTGAGGCAGGAGAATTGCTTGAACCCGCGAGGCAGAGGCTGCAGTGAGCCCAGATCGCACCACTGCACTCCAGCCTGAGCGACAGAGCAAGACTCCGTCAAAAAAAAAAAAAAAAAAAAAAACACAGAGAAAATATCTTTAAAAATCTCCTACAGCAGCAAAGGCAGGTTGTGGGGAGCCTGCTGCCACATTGTGAGAAGCCATGTGCAAAGGTTGGCATGCTGAGGAGCTAAGACCTCCTGACAACAGGAATGTGAGGGAGCCTTTTTAGAAGCAGACAGGCCAACTTCAGCAAAGCTTTAAAGACTGCAGCCTTGCCACCAGATTCCTGACCCTCAGAAACTGTGAACAAAACTCTAACAGTCTTTCCAGCTGTGGCAGGACATCTTCTTCTGGTAAAAATATTTCCTCAGGGTTGTAAACACTCACAAGTGAAATATGTTTGTCACTTAGTGAAAGGACCAGAGGAGGAACTGCCAGGGAACAGGCGGGAAAGTGAGGTCCTGAGAGAGATGGGTGTGAACTCTGGGACAGAAGATGCTACCAGAATCTCCCCAGTTCCAGAGTCAGATCATTCTCCCAGACACAGAGTAATGGCTAAATTATAAATACCCACCCATACTTAAAAGTCTTCACTGGCCCAGATAAATGAGCTTGACCTTCAGTATTCTGGGTGACCCACCTCAGGGCCCTCTTTGAGCCTCACCTCAGGTCACACTCTTGCCCTCATGCTTACTCTAAATATTTATAAATCTAGCCCAAAGGACTCTGGGCCCAAAACAAGGTCAAGAACCATAGTCACCTCAAACACAAATGTTTATGGAGCCACCTTCAGAAGAATGGCCATGCACATCAGACATTTCTTCTCATTAACTGTGAGTTTTTCCTCCTTGTCTGCCTCGCACAGGGGCTTCCACTTCAGAAAAACATACATATTTCAACTACTCCTCATATCCATGTCTCAGTTGCAAGCTCTGTGATAAAAACACACACACACACACAAAACAAAACAAAACAAAACAAAACAAACCTGAGCAAGTTACTCTGCCTCTCTGAGTTGCAAAGTTTCATCTGCAAAATGAGAACTTATTTTAAATAGAGGAATATTCTTTTTCTCTCTTCTATCTGCTTGATAGTCACTAACATTTAAATGCAACTGTCTTTGCAAGCTAATTTATTGACAGCAGTGTGCCACATAGCACTCTCCTTTCACCTCATGACATCTCTCCGAGGTAGCTTCATTATCACCATTTTAAGGATGGAGAAACTGAGCCTAAAAGAGGTTAAGTACTTAGCCCCAAATAATACAGCAACTAAATGACAGAGGTGGTATTTGAATCCACAACTCTCTAACCCCAAGCTTTTAAGCTGAGACTCTTTTCTACAAGCTTAGTGGCCAAGATCATTCCAGCCATGACTTCAGCCCACTTGCTCTCCACTGCACTTCCAATTACAAAACAAAGCATAGAGCAGAAATAACAAAGTTAAACTTCGGATATTGATGTAAATTGGTTCACTCTGATGACCATAACAGCTACCATTTTTAGAGCCATGTGCTGGCCCTATGTTGAAAACTTTGCTAACTTTATCTTACTCCATCCCAGCCATAACCTGTGGAGGAAGGTACCACTAGACTCTTCACAGTAAAAAGAAACTTAGACTCTTTGAAATGAACTAGGAATACAGGTTTCTGTTGAATTAGAGCTGAAGCTTTAAACAGCACCAAAGCAAGCAGGTAACCAAGATCACCATGTTCTACAAAATTCTTCTTCAAGGCATTAACAATTGTTACATATTTCACAATGGCCACCTTTTCTGCCAGTGCAGTTAGTTAGACAATCTGTTAAAAGAGCAAAGAAAAACAATGAGCCCAAAGGAGCCCATTGAAGGTAAAATCTCACTCTAGCTACTCTGGCTCTGCCAGTGAGAAACCAGCTTGATGTGAAGCCTGGCCAGGCAGCTGTCCAACACCTGGCACAGCTCTGTATAGCAGTTCATGGCAAGGCAATGCCCAGCAGCCCCCCAAAGCAGGGCCATGGCATCAGGATCCCAGATGGAGCATTGGCAGTAGTCAGTTCATATGTAGTGAGAGACAGAAGAGACATGGATGATTGTTGGAATAAAAGGAAGATAAATAAAGACAGATAGCTTCTTCTGGCCTTCTTTCCAAAAGAATTTAAAGTGGCTTAAATTTATAAAACACAGCAAGATAATATGAAACAGAAAAAAGTGAAAAGAAGAAAGAAGAACAACGCTACCAACAGACCAGAGTCAGACATCAGAATAATGTAAAAATGCATCAATTTCTGAGCAATTTTTGCAAGGTCACAGATGTGGCTCTAAGCTTTCTGGAACAAGGCAAAGAAGAAAATCCGATTCATGCCTCAATTCATCATTTCTCAGATAAAAACAGGTGCAGTGCATGTGAATAATTTGAGCAACAAAATTAAGTAATATTGGATTATAACCCAAACTCTAAAATAAATATCATGCTGACATAAGTGCTGATATAAATATAAATGCTTGGATAAATAAATAAATAAATAAAAAGAGACAAATCTCTCATAGAGAAGAGCTCCAAATTATTTACATAGATACTCCGCAATCCAGGAGATGGAGCACAACTCTTCACTGTGTGGAATGCAAATAGTTACTTCCTTTCAAGTTAAAAAAGAATTTTAGAAACTTGGCAAAAACTACCACAGCCAGGAGATAAAGGTCAACATCAATGGTAATAATTATGTTGATAATATGTACCCTTGACATGAAGTGATTAAAATGGCACTTTACCTCTGTGATCTTCCTCCCAAAACAACCCCAGTGTAATTATGAACAAAAATCAAACAACTTCCAATTAAGCCAGATAGGGTGGCTCACACCTGTTATCCCAACACTTTGGGAGGCTGAGTCAGGAGAATCATGTGAGCCCAGGAGTTCAAGACCAGCCTGGACAACATAGCAAGACCCTGTCTCTACAAAACAGTAAAAAAAATTACCTGGGCACAGTGGCATGCTCTTGCAGTTCCAGCTACTTGGGAGGCTGAGGCGGAGAACTGCTTAAGCTCAGTAGTTCGAGGATGCAGTGAGCTATGACCACGCCACTGTATTCCAGCCTAGGCAACAGAGGTAAACCCTGTCTCAAAACAAAACAAAACAAAAATTCCAATTGAGAGGCATTCTACAAAATAGCTAAACAGTACTCCTCAAAACTGCAATAGACATCAAAAGAGTTTGAACAACTGTCATACTTCAAAAGTTAACAAGTGTTTTCAAGGGCATGGAGAAAAGGGAACCCTGGGCACTGTTGGCCGAAATGTAAAATACAGCCATTATGGAAAATAGTTTGGAGGTTTCTCAGAAAACTAAAAATAGAATGATCATGTGATCCGTAATCCCATTTCTGGGTATATATCCAAAGGAATTAAAATCGGTATGCTGAGGAGACATTTCCACTTCCATGTTCACTGCAGCATTATTCAAAATAGCTAAGATATAGAACCAACTAGGTGTCAATCATCAGATAAATTGATTTTTAAAATGTGGTATATATACACAATGGAATACTATTCAACCTTAAAAGAAGGGGGTAAATCTTTTTATTTGCAACAATGTGGATGAACCTGAGGGACATTATGCTAAGTAAAATAAACCAGGCACAGAAAGACAAACACCACATGATCTCCCTTATATGTGAAATCTAAAAAAGTTAAACTCACAGGGGTAGAAAGTAGAATGGTGGCTATGAGAGGCTGGGGGAAGAGGTGAATGGTGAAAGGAAAGATGTTGATCGAAGGGTTAAAAAGTTTCAGTCAGACAGGAGGAAAAAGCTATAGTGATCTACTGCATAGAACGGTGACTATAATAAATAATGATGTATATTTCAAAATTGCTGAAAGAGTAGATTTTAAATGTTTTCACCACAAAACATAAGTATATGAGGTGATTTGTAAATTAGCCTGATTTAATTATTTCACATTGTAAACATATATTAAAACTTTGTATTGTACTCAATAAATATATGCATTATTTGTCAATTAAAAATAAAATTAAAATGAGGAAATCAATTAATCTTCAAAAAAAACTGTCACAGCCAAGAGGAACCTAAAGGACAGGATGACAAACTATAATGTGGTATATACTGCATGGGATTCTGGAGCAAAGTAAAGGCATTAGGTAAAAACCTAACTAGGACATTTGAATAAAGTATGGACTTCAGTTTATATGTATATATCAATGTTGTGTCATTAATTGTAACAAATGTACCATACTAATGTAAGATGTTAGTAACCCTGGAAACTGGATATGGCATATATGGGATTCTGTATCAATCTTCATATATTTTATGTAAATCTAGAACTGTTCTTAAATAACAGTTTATTGCAGGGAAAAACCCTACTATGCCCCACAATTCCACTCCCAGGTGTAAACTAGGTATTTACCCAAGAATTGAAAACAGGTACTCAAGTGCATGCACATGTTTATTCACAGAAGCACTATTTGCAGTAGCCAAAAGGTGGAAACAGCTCAGATGTCCATCATCAGATGAATGGATAAACAAACTGTGGTCTGTACATACAATGGAATACTACCCATACATAAAAAGAAATGAAGTACTGATACATACTATAACGTTGATGAACCTCAAAAACATAATGCTAAGTGAAAGAAGCCAGACACAAAAGGTCACATTTTGTAATGCCTTTGTTTGCATGAAATATTCAGAATAGCTGTATGTATAGAGACAGAATGCAAACTGATGATTGTCAGGGACTCAGAGGAGAGGAAACGGGGATAAAATGCTTAATGGATATGAGATTATCTTTTGGAGAGGTGGAAATGTTATATAACTAGATGGAGGTGGTGATTATAAAACATGGTGAATGTACTAAATACCACTGGATTGCTCACGTTAAAATGGTTGATTTTGTTAGGTGAACTTCAATGAATTTTAAAAAGAGAAAGAGGAACAAATACTTTCTATCTCAAAAAAAAAACCTCAAAATATTCTAAAACATATGAAGAAATATTTAAGGAAAATAGAAAACAAAATCCACAATTGCAAAATAAATTATTGCAAGGAAAATAAATTCTTAGAACCTTTATCTGTGAAACAATGCATTCACAGAGATTAACACAGAAATAATCTCATACAAAAATAACAAATTATAAAACAAAATAAGATACAGCTGAAACAACCAAATAGATATGAAAAAGAATTAATTAAATGCTTTCAAAGTTGAAATATAGTCATTGAAATAAAAAATGCAATCAAACTTAAAAATAAACTCAGACAAAGAGACAATTAGTAGTGGGGAATTCACCCAGAACTTGGAAAGATAATGAAAATAAAGAGCAAACAAGGAACAAGAAAAACAGATTTGAGAGTGACCTCAGGTGTGTTTAGTGAGAGGTTCAGAAAAAAAAAAAAAAAAACGGAAGGAATGGTGAAGAGGCAATGATTAAGAATATTCAAGAATTAAAAACTGAAACTCCCAGATCAAAAATTAAATTCAAATATGATGTTAAAAAATAGATGTATTATAGTGAAATTTCAGAACTTCCTGATAAAGAAAAACCTCAGAATAAGTTAAAGACTATCTACAAAGGAATGACAGTTCAGCTAAAAGCTGACTTATCCACAGCAATTATAGCTACCAGAAGTTTGTAAAGTAATATCAGCAAAACATTTTAGAAAAATAACTGAATGCTATACACATCATTCAAAGGTAAAGGCGAAATAAAGACATTTTCATATGCAAAAGAGTTTAATGGAGCGTATTATCTACAGACCTTCGCATACACATGTAATAAACACTGTTAAAAGAGTATGCACCTCATCCAGATCAATGATGAGCTCAGAGGGAAAAGCCTTTTAAATAAGGGGCTGGAATAAAACAACACTAAATACAGAAAACAATTTTTTAACAATAAGCTAACAAATTGTACCAACTACTGACTATAATATCAAATGACAGCTAATGATGGTTGTTTTTTAAAAATTGGAACTAAAATCTTGATAATAATAAAACCACAGAAACAAGTCTAAGTAAATCTATTAGTAATTCCAAAAATGTAAATGGATTAAAATACCTAAAAGAAGAAAAAAACTATTAGATTTGATTTTTAAGATACACCCAGCTATAGCCTAGTTACAAGTCTTAAATAAAACGAAGGTTGAAAATAATGGGATGATCAAAAATTATCAAGTAAAATATGAGGCAAAGGGTTTAACAAGGATAAATTATTAAAGGAACACAATAACATCAGCATAAAATAACATGAACTTGTATTTTTCTACATCAGACAGAATATTGTAGGCTATGCTACATAATAAGTTATACTGGCTTCACAAACAAAGGCTTTATTTCTCACTCACATGAAGTCCTAGCCAAATTTTATAACTCTGCAGACGAGCAGTTTTCCATGTGGTGACTCAGAAGTCCTGGCAGTTTCAAACTTGTGGCTCAATCATCTCAACATACAGTTCCTTGGTTGCCAACTGCCAACCAGTTGGCCAGAACTTGTCACATGGCATGACCCAACTGCTAGGGAGCTGACAGATGTGATGACGCACATGCTTATTCAGTAATATTAAATGTCTCTGTCACAGCAACTAACAAAATGTTAAAATTCATAATGTAAAACTGGACGATGATACAAAAAAAATTAACAGGAAACAATGATAATGAAAGCATTTTAATCTATTTCTAATAGAGGAGAAATCAAACAGAAATAAATGATATTATATGTTGCTTTTAGACATACATACATATAGCGAATTTCTGTTCTAAAAATGCACATAAATGCTAATCAACACCTTCATTACAGTGGGTTGCATCTCAGGAAGAATTAAGGAAAGCAGAATTAGAAAAGGCTATACAACAACTTTCAACATTACTTGTAATACCCTATTTCTTCATACTGGATACATGATACTATTTATACTATTCTTTACTACTTTCTATATATTTGAAATAGTTCATATTAATTTTTAAAAGAATAACAAATGGCTGCAATAGTTGTCTATGATGTAAGAAATTATCCCAAACGTCATAGCTTAAAACAATATACATTTATTATCGCACAGTTTCCGTGGGTCAGGAGTCAGGGCAAGGCTTAGTTGGATGGTCATTCTCACAAGGCTTCAAAGTGTTGGCCAGGCTGGGGTCTCATCTGAGGCTCAGGAACCTCTTCCAAAGTCACTTGATTGTTGACAGAATTTATTTCTTTGCACCTGTTGAATTCATGGTGACTTGCTTTTTCTTTTTTTTTTTTTTTGATTTTATTATTATTATACTGAAGGGTGACTTGCTTTTTCAAGGTCAGCAGGGGAATCTCTGACTTTAGTCAGCTAAATTGTGTATAAAGTAACAATCATTATCTTTGCCATATATTGTAGCCTAATCAAAAGAGTGACTATATCATATTCAAAAGTCCTTCTCACACTCAAGGGGAGATTATTCAGAGCATGTGTACCAGGAAGCAGGAATCTTAGGAGCCATCTAAAATTCTACCTACTATAGTCCCTTAGGAGTCTCATAATCTAGTGGAAGACATAGACATAAGCACAAAGGTTTAAAGCAATGTGAGATAAGCTATATTAGATATGTGTCTTCTTTTGGGTCCCCCAAAAGCTGACCTAGATAGAAGACCTTAGGTGCAGTTTATTTGATGTGATTCCAGGAAGTATATGTGAGATGGGGAATGGAGAAAGGCCAATATAAACAGTACGTTAACGAGCAGAGTACTGTGGGCACTGGGGCTAAATCCCACTGTGAACCCTCTGAGAACCATATGAAACATGCTTCATATTTATCTCACTGGTAGATGGAAAGCCTCAAGCATCTTATCCACTGACTCTGGTCCCCTGTTGGCTGAGGCTCTCTCTCACTCTTCTAGGTTGTCACTGTGCATGGTAAGTTTCTATGGTGCCAGATAAATCCTTCATACAGTGAGGCACAGAGGCACAGAGGCACAGATGCTTAAAGTGGGAATTGATCAGCATGCCAGAAACTCTACCCCACATGCAGGGATCTCAAAGCTGGACATGTAACAATATGGGGTGGGACATTAAGAACATCTGTCACAATGTGTGTATTAGGTAAATTAAGACTTGCTGCTATAACAGATAAACATACAAATCCCAGTGGCTTAATATGATGACATTTTATTTCTCACATACAATTCAATCAGTAGGACAGTGAAGCTTTGGCAGGGTGAAAGAGTGACTGATGTCTTCCTTGCAAACGTTCAGGAACACTGCTACCTGCATCTTCAATACATGGCCCCTAAAGATTCCTTGTCTGTATAAGCAAACAACTAACAGACAGGAGAAGAGAGAGAAGTAGATTGTGTGGAAGAAAAGTGTGAGATGGCATGGCTTCACCAAAGCACAAGGGAGCTTG
Organism: Homo sapiens; assembly: GCF_000001405.40. Classification (NCBI taxonomy): domain Eukaryota; kingdom Metazoa; phylum Chordata; class Mammalia; order Primates; family Hominidae; genus Homo; species Homo sapiens. Next base: position 186,424,358 of record NC_000002.12, read on the forward strand.
AGTAACGTAGTCTAGTTGTATGCCCTTTCAAAAAAGAAATAGATCAGTTGAACAGGGTAGCATGCTACCCTGTTCAACAGGGTGTGAGAGGCAATTAAGTTAGCCTGGAATGCTCAGGAAAGGCTGTAAAGCATAGGTGACCTTTAGGTTAAATCTTGAAGAAAGATGTGGTGATTAATTTTATGTATCAACTTGGCTGGGTCATGGGGTATCCATATATTTGGTTAAACATTATTCTGGGTTTGTCTGTGAGAGTGATTCTGAATGAGATTAACGTTTGAATCAGTAAACTAAATAAAGCAGATGGCCCTTCCCAATGTGGGAGGGCCTTATCCAGCCCACTGAAGGCCTGAGTACAACAAAGAGGCAGAGTAAGAAAGAATTTACTCTTTACCCAACTATCTTTGAGTTGAGACATCAGTCTTCTCCCTTGACACTTGACTTAGACAGAAACTTACACTCCATCAGCCCTCCTGGGTCTCAAGTCTTCAGACTCAGACTATATCTATCATTTGCAACTTGTTGACTGCAGATCCTAGAACTTCTCAGCCTCCAAAACCATGTGAGCCAATTCCTTATAGTAAATCTATATATCTATATCTATCAATATACATAAATCCTACTGATTTTGTTTCTCTGGAGAACCCAGATTAATACAGAAGGTTAAAAATGTGTCATAGAATTAACAAGGAATAAAAGCATTTCAGTCAGAGCAAAAAACAATATGGACAGAAGAACAGCTTAGAAGAACACAGGCAAGTTCAGAGAACTGAAGTAGATTTGTTTTGACAGGACCCATAGCAGGTGTGGTTATATGGAAGAAGAATCTGGAAATGTGGGCAGGAACCTGACAATAAGACTCCTCATTTTACACTGTGAAGGAAATAAAAGGCTAGAGAATTTAAAACAAAAGTATAAAGCATTTTATGATACTACTTTAGCAACCTCAAGAAAGATGCTGTATAAGAGCAAGCAAAAGGATTTTCTGCTAAATATTGTTAAGTATCACCTGTCTTGAGCTCTAGGACATTTAACGAGGAAAGATGATGCATTCAGTCAAAAGTGCCTGAGCTTGAAGTCAGGCAAGCTTGAGTTTAATGGTACCTGGCAAGTTTGCTATGAGAATCAAAGGGTTTGCATGTAAAGCTTTTAGCACAATGTATGACAAAGAGCATGCGCTCAAAGAAAAAAAATTAGTTCCTTTCTTCTCTAAGCAACAAAATAAATAGCATGAGTTTATCTGAGAACCAGAGAAAAAAATTTGAATTAGTAGAAACTCTGACTTTTGGACACTGCTTGATATTGCTAATACTGTTTGTGAATAATTATGCCCTGTAAAAGGAATAACCAAAAAACTTTGAATGTGTAGACGAGATATGCAGACTCAGTAATCCCAGCCCAAGTGCTTACTGGTATATACCAGCTGGGTGTCAGAAATGTGCAACAGACTATCTAAAGAAGGGTAATAATACTGAGCCCTAACATTAGTATTGAGAAACATTGACAATTCATAATAGTCAAAGTAAAACACAGCAAGGAAATGCTGTCACATTGAAATTATTTAACTCTACATTAACCAGCTGCCTAAATATATTTCTTATGTTCTATTAACTTTTTAATTAAATGTTTGTCTCTTAATAAGTTTGCATTTCATAATTAGATATATAATATTCATGCCTTGTGATTTCCCACAGAGAATTTTCAATTTATTAATTACGATTTATAAAAACCAATGTATTCTGTGTGTTTAGTTTCTAAATATATGTTTAAAAATGTATTTAAGGCATGAACAAACTTCCATACAGTGAAAATCTGTAGGAGAAGATAAACTTTATTTGATAATTCACAACCCAAATGAATAAAGGCTATTTGTTAAAAAAAAAAAAAAAAGAAAAGCTAACACAAACATTTACAATGAATAGCGTCTTTTTTGTATAAATCACTTTTGTGTTACTAGTATGCCACATCCTTGTTTACTTTTACTCTGCTTACGAAATATTAGATAATATAGTTTCTTTAAAAGCTTCCAATCCCTGGAGCAGTGGAGCCCTGGTTCTCAACCTTGGCTGCACCTTTGGAATCATTAGGGGACCTTTTTAAAAATACTCATTACCTAAGTTTCACCTCAGATCCATTGTAAAAATTAAAAAAAAAATTGAGAGTGGAACCTAAGCACAAGAATTACTTTTAAAATCTCCAGAGATTGTAGAGAAATGTGCAGCTTGCATCAATCCCCATTCACACTGCCACTATACCATTCAGGCCTTCAGTATCACATACCTGGACTCTTGCAAGAGCCACCTAACAAGTCTTCTCACTATCCTACTTCACCATTGCCAGATTAAAAGCACCCTTAAAATGCACTTATCAAACTTAACATGCTTACTGAGGGTCTTGTTAAGATTTTAAGATGAAGGCGCTAATTAAGTTGATCTTGAGTGCAGGTTGAGATTCTACACTTCTTTCAAGTTCCCAGGTGATGTTTATGCTGCCAAGCCAAAAACCACAAACCACACTGATTTATGTTTTCCAGTCATAAAGAAAACTACTGGTACCACTTCCTAATTCTAGATACTTTTTCAGCTTTTTTTTCTTGGCTTTATTTCACTTGGCATTTTACATTTAAAAAGTGGAATTTTTCTCTTGCTTTTTAGGGAATATCCATGTTAATTAATATGTTTAAGTAAAGACATAACATCCTTGAAGGCTTTAAGCCCTTTGACAGCTCATAGGACAAGTTAGGTGTATAGTAAAGAAATCTGTTCCCCTATGGACACACACAGTAAGATTTAGTATTTTGACCCCTAGTAATGAGAACACTTGGACACAGGAAGGGGAACATCACACACCGGGGACTGTTGTGGGGTGGGGGGTGGGGGGAGGGATAGCATTAGGAGATATACCTAATGTAAATGACAAGTTAATGGGTGCAGCACACCAACATGGCACATGTATACATACGTAACAAACCTGCACGTTGTGCACATGTACCCTAGAACTTAAAGTATAATAAATATATATATATAGAGAGAGAGAGAGTCATATAAACTAAATATATGCCAAAGGTTGACAAATACACCACTAAAATATTTATTTAAAACTATAATTTATGGTGGGTATGAGAAAAAAAGGAGCTATTACAGAAATAGAATTGCAAGATTAGAAAAACACATTCTAGTTGACTTAATCTGAATTCTATAATCTTCTAAGCCATCTATAATTTAAATTTTTAAAAGAATTTCTCATAATAGTCTAGAAATTAGCCATGCTATCTAATAATACATTGCCAGTATTGTGTACTTATTTTAAACATATAGACTATGTTTAACATAGACTATGTTAACTATGGTTAACAATACTGTACAGTACCCTTAAAATGTATTAGGGGGATAAGTCTCCTGTTTTGTGATATTTATATATATACTTATTTGCATGCCTGAAACTTTATACCCATTGAGCAACATATTAGGGGTCTCCAGAGAAACAGAACCAACAGTACACACACACACACACACACACACACACACACACACACACACACACACACAGAGCTCAATGTATTAGTCAGTTTTGGAGAAATATAGATCATGTTGTGTTCCATTTAAAACCTATTTATTGATGTAGAACATGGAATGTGTCAAAAGTGTTTAATTGCTCCCACTCCCTCCTTTGTATTTTATGTATCATTATTATGAAGAAGGGGTGGTAGAAAAAAGAAGGGGGAGGAGAAGAACTGTTGGATATATTACAAAGTCAATGTGTGTGTGTATACGTGTGTACTATTGGTTCTGTTTCTCTGGGAGAACCCTAATATGTTGCTCAATGGGTATAAAGTTTCAGTTATGCAAGATGAAACAGTTCTAGAGATCTGCTGTACAATATTGTGCTTATGGTTAACAACACTGTACAGTACCCTTAAAATGTATTAGGGGGATAGGTCTTGTGCTTTGTGATTTTCACCACAATAATTAAAAGTAGGGGTCTTTACCCATAGGCAAAGCCCATAGACGAGGCCAATATATTTGAACAATGGCAGAGTCACTGAAATAAGCATAAAAACTCCTAAAATAACACCCTTTTAAAAGACAACCCTTACTTAAATATAGAAGTTCCAATGTTTCTAGATTACCCTATTACAGTCATGCATCGCTAAATTATAGGGATATGTTCTGAGAAATGAATCATTAAATGATTTCATCTTTGTGTGAACATCATAGAGTGTACTTACAGAAACATAGATGGTATAGCCTACTACACACCTAGGCTACATGGTATACACAATTGCTCCCAGGCTACAAACCTGTACAGCATGTTATTATGTGGCGCATGACTGTACTTTGTTGGTATTTAAGTTGTACTTTACTATTTGTAGGTTTCATCACTAGAAACTAAGGAGCTTTACATGGACTTTCAAAAGTTTTAAGATTGGATTTTTAAAATGGATATTAACTACTAAATCGTAGGAAGTGCTGTTGTAAGCAGGCAACCACTCTCTATTTTAGGTAACAGTGCCAGATCCAGTATAAATATCATGAGACTTGAAGTTTTAATATTTAGAGTTATCACCAGAATCACAAATACATCATAAGCTGTTACACCTGGGAAACCCTGAAAGTGTAACCTGAGTCTTTCCAGCTTGAAATGAATTACAAGAAATGAAGTAAATTACAAATATATCCCCAGTCTAAGGTTAGAAAACTCATGAATTACTACACCAAAAGAACCCTCAAGCCCTAGATATTATTTGTAAACCTCATCTATTTTGACATTATGCATAAAACTATTTATAATATCAAAATAATATGATATTTGGGATTTCCCCTTGTAATTCCAGTATTCATAGTAGTTAAAATTTGCTTCTTAAACTACCCTTGAGTAAAAACACACATTAACATGATCATAATGAAGTCACTGGAGGACTGCTGTTGCTTAGGAACATTAAAAAATCTGGCATAGATTGAGTTTATTGTCATATGAGTCACTGAAATTAGCAATTGGGTGCTTTTCCTTTGACTAGATGTTATATATCAATCTGGCACCTCTAATACTTCCCAGTTACACTGATAAATGAAATCAATTTTACATTACATTATTCAGTATCTGCTGCTTTGCTGCTTATTTTGGAAATAAAATTGTGCCCTTATAAACCTGAAAATACAAACTATGGAAATGTAAAGACAACATACCAAGTGATTGGTTTTCTGTTGTAAATATTTTTACCACATTCTAAGCTTTGCTAACTTTTGTATTGTTTTTATTTCTGTATTTCAAATTTTTCAACTTGAAATAATTATAGAATAACAAAAAGTTGCCAAAGTAGTACAGGTCTCTTGTACCTATCATCCAGATCTCTCTGATGGCAACACCTTACATTACCCCAGTGCATTTTCAGAACCAGGAAATTGATGGCCCAATACAGTGAACTAGACTACAGATCTTACTCAAGTATCACTGGTTTTTGCATGCACTCATTTTTTTGTTGGTTTTATGTACAATTCTAAGACATTTTATTAAATGTGTTTATTTGTCCAAATGGCCATGTGCTTCTAGTTCTCTTTGTCACCTTTCCTCCTTATCAGGGAAAACAAGGAATTGATACATTTTTCAAAGGCTATTGATGCAAGAGCCCTTACTCAAAGAAAAATATGTTGGTGATTTCTGATCACTAACATATTATATGTCCTAGCAATTTACATTTACAGTTGTAGACATAAATGGCTTGCATTTCAGATTTTCATGAAAAAGATAAGTCTAACTCAGAAATTTATTATGTGTAGCATTAGTTTGAAATATGACATCTTAATGTGAAAAATAAAAAAAAACTATATCAACTATTTGTTTTGTCAGCTAACCTTTAAAGTTGTGTACCACATCATTTTTCTCAGATTAGCTTAATGTATTAGTCAGTTTTAGAGAAATACAGATCATCTTGTATTCCATTTAAAACCTATTTATTGATGTAGAACACGGAATGTGTCAAAAGTGTCTAATTGTTCCCACTCCCTATTTTGTATTTTATGTATCATTATTATGATAAAGGGGTGGTAGAAAAAAGGAGGAGAAGAAGAACTGTTGGGTATATTACAAACTGAAACTCAGAAAACAAAGCGAAAATAATGTTTCCTATTTGATTTCAAATACTAGATTAATTATTAGAATAAGATAAAGAACAATTTGACATATTGCTTGGAAGTTTATCTAAGAGGGCAAATCAAATATAACTCCAGATGTAAGTGTAAAAATGACGTTCTCATATTATACTTTAAAGCTTTTATAATAATCCAGAGAATATATCATATTATTATGACATAAAATGATTCATTCTTATCTCAGGAGAGTATAACATCATAAACAATTTATTTGCTCAGTCAGTGTATTAGTTTGTTTTCATACTGCTAATAAAGACATACCCAAGACTAGGTAATCTAGAAAGGGAAGAGGTTGGATCGACTCACAGTTCAGCATGGCTGGGGACACCTCAGGAAACTTACAAATCATGGCAGAAGGGGAAGCAAACACACCCTTCTTCAAATGGTGGCAGGAAGAAGTGCTGAGCAAAAGCGGGAAAAGCCCCTTATAAAGCCATCAGATTTATTGAGAACTCACTCACTATCACAAGAAAAGCATGAGGGTAACTACCCCCATGATTAACTTACCTCCCACCAGGTCCCTCCCATGACATGTGGGGATTATAGGAACTACTAATTCAAGATGAGATTTGGGTGCGGACACAGCCAAACCAGATCAATGTCCTAAGACTGGATAAAATGACCTGGTGAATAAGTAACTAGAGAAAGAATGAGGGGCAATAGCCAGGTGCGGTGGCTCCCGCCTGTAATCCCAACACTTTGGGAGGCCAAAGCAGGCAGATCACTTGAGGCCAGGAGTTCAGGACCAGCCTGGCCAACATGGAGAAACTCCATCTCTACTAAAAATACTAAAATTAACTGGGTGTGATGTCACATGCCTGTAATCCCAGCTACTCAGGAGGCTGAGGGGTGAGAATCGCTTGAACCTGGGAGGCAGAGTGTAAGGGAAATGGCTGTGCTTTAGTCAGGAGTAGGCTGAGGCAGCCTTCTGGTGCAGCATGATTCAGTGGGTTTGGAGCACAGGTGCACAACCCTGCACATTATGTAACGACACCACGTGAGGCACATTAGGCGATCACCCACGTGAACTCGTGCTTGGCTCAGAGCCACTATTGTCTGTAAAAGATATAACTACCCTGCTGATGTTGTACACACACCTTGCTCACACCCAGAGGAAGAGTAAAGCCATGTTGAAACTATCTACAATTCCTCAAGTGTTTTTCCAGCTACCCACCACTTGCCCACCAACTTCACACAGACCTCAGTTAGAATCTGACAATTGGCATCACAAACGGGATCCTGAGGTGAGTGAGCCTTCAGTCCCTGCTGCCTCTGGCTGGGTCATGTGGCCACAACATGGGCTGTGGTACCCAGTGGCAGCTGTGCTGCTCAGATGGGCTCTGGTAGAAACCTGGGTGTTGGTAGCTGGGTCCCTCATGAGCATGGAGAAGGCACTGAAGCAGCTGGAAGTGCAGAGCACCAAGAAGCAGTGAGCTTTTGCTGGCAGAGTTGGATGGGCATTTTTGACTGCACTACAAGAAGTACACACCAAGTCCCTGAGGGATGCAGCACAGGTAAGGGCCCTCCAGGTGCAGGCACAGAGCCTGGAGGCCTGGCTACACAGCTCAGAAAAAGAGTTAAAAGCTGCCATGAATGGGGATTTCCAGATGCAGACAGGGCACCTGGAGACCTGGCTACAGAGCTTGGAAAAGGAATTAGAGGCTGCTGTGAATGCAGGCCTGGGTCCCTGGTCTCAGCCAGAGATTCCCACTCTGATACGGATGAGGAAGAACCCCCATTGTGAGCTCACCCAGTGGTCTGTCAGAAGGTAGATCATGAACAGCCATTGAGGCCCCAAGGGCAGGCTCAGGGACGTGACACTGTAATGCAACATACTTCATATACTGCCTTTACCCCAACTGAGTTGTGGGAATTAGGAAAGCAGTGCCTCCAGGGTCTAGGGCAACCTCTGCCTGCATGGATGCTTCATTTATGGGAAGAGGGAGCAGATAGTATTTTCTGTTCCACCTCTGAGATGGAAAAGCTAGCCTCAATCACGACTCACCCCTCCCTCCATCAGCAATTACAGGTGAGCAGGAGGTTGGCACAAGGGCAAGGTGACCACACCCTGATTGAATGGCTATGGGAAGCCACACAAACTGTGGAATTACACTGGTGAAATACCCAAAACCGTGACTAAACGGCAGTCATATGCCAGTTTGGTGCAAATCATTGGGCAGATGGGTATGTGGCAGGCTATGTTTGACCTGAACACCCAGGGGCCAGATGATGAACATTTCACCTCCCACATGAGGGATCTCATGTTGGGTTCCATTCCCCCGAGTGCCTTTGGCTCCCTAGCTGCTGTCCTCACCCCATATGTAGGGTGCTGCCTACATGAAGTGACCACTGCTATGGCAGCTCTCCGGGAAGTAGAAGGCCATCGGTGGGACCGAGAGGTCTGTGCAGTAAAGAAGGGGAAGATGTTCCGCTTGCGGGGCCCCCCCATCCCATGGGAGAAAAGGGGACCCCAACAAGTGACATACTTACAGATGTGGATAGATGTGATTCTGGCCAGAGCTGACCAAGAGAAAATCAATAAGCAGCCCAATGATGTACTCTTAACTTTGTGGACAAAGTTGTCCCTGGAGCACCAATTCCAGAAAATGCCCAAGGGGAAGGACATTTCTGTGTGACCCGGTCCCACCTGGGAGCTTCAGCTGAAAGACAACTTCCTGCAGCCAGCCGGAAATGTAGAGCCTTTCCTGTTTGATTACGGAGCTGGCCAAGGTACCCAGCTTGGGAGGACACTGGATGACTAGAGGCCACATGTGGAATTAGCAATCGACTGGTTCCCCACCAATGTACAGTGGGTGTTGCTGCTGGTGGACACTGGCGCAGATCACAGCCTTGTTTATGGGGAACCAGATAAGTTTCTGGGCAAACCTGCTTACACTGACGGTTATGGAGGCTGGTTAGTAACAGTAAAACCAGTATCTCTGCACCTTGGTATCTGCCATTTGGCTCCCCATTTAAATACTCTGTGTGTCTATCTCATACCAGAATACATTCTGGGGGTGGACCATTTCCATGGCCTGGTGTTACAAACCATGGCTGGGGAATTCAGACTCTGAGTGCATGTGATGAAGTTGGTGCTGTGTGGACATGCACATCACCAGCCTCAGGTCTTGCCACAACCCCAACGAGTTATGTCCACCCAACAGTATCGTTTGCCAGATGGGCATACAGAGATAACTGAGACAATTAAAAAGGTGGAGAAGGTGCAGATAGTGCGAGGAACCCACATCCTATATGATTCTGCAATGTTGCCAGCTAGAAAGCCTGATGGAACTTGGTGGATGATGGCAGACTATCAGGAACTGAATAAAGTAACACCCCCTTTGCAAGCAACTGTACCATCAGTCATGGATTTGATGAACTGTATGACAACGGAACTGGGACCTTACCACTATGTAGTGGACTTGGCCAATGCATTTTTCTCCATTAACATTGCTTCAGAGAGCCAGAACAGTTCACCTTCACATGGGACAGGCGACAATGGACTTTTACAATGTTGCCACAGCACTCTGTGCTTGGCCCCACCATATGTCATGGTCTCGTTGCCACGGATTTAGCCACCTGGCAATGTCCAGAAGGGGCCTGCCTATTCCAATATATTGATGATATTATGTTAATCTCTGATTCTCTTGCAGATTTAGAAGGAGCAGCGCCCCTCTTGCAGCAACATTTGGCAGCATGTGGTTGGACTGTCAATAAATCCAAGGTCCAAGGACCTGGATTATCTGCCAAATTTTTGGAAGTTATCTGGTCGGGTAAGACAAAGGCCATCCGAGAGGCTATCATTTATAAGGTTCAGACATACCTCCAGCCCTCTATGGTGAAGCAGTTGCAAACTTTTCTGGGCCTCCTGGGATACTGATGGACATTTGTGCCCCATTTAGCTCAAATGATAAAAAACCATTGCATCTGTTAACAAAGAAGGACTCTACCTGGGATTCAGATGATGCAGCTGAGACCACCTTCCTGGCAGCCAAGTGGGCTATTCAGCAGGCACAAATCCTATGGGTAGTTGACCAGGGGTGCCTGTTTGAGCTGGATGTGCATGTGACCACAGATGGTTTTGGTTGGGGCCTATGGCAGTGCACAGAGTGGCTGAGAATGCAAGTAGGCTTTTGGCCCCAACTATGGAAGGAAGCTGAGCTGCAGTTTACCTTGACAGAGAAACAGCTAGCAGCTGTATATGCCTCCCTTCAGGCTTGTGAGAGTGTGACAGGATGGGCTGCAGTTGTCATGCAGATGACTTACCTGATAGCGGGATGGGTGTGTTCATGGGTAATGACCTCCTGGACTGGGATGGCACAGACATCCACTTTGGTGAAGTGGGCACCTACTTGGAGCAGTGGAGTACAAGTCCCTTAGCAGCAGAGTTGTAAGAGATCTTGGGACCTGTAGTCCTAATGCAAGATAAGACCATGGGGCCTGAGCCGCATCTAGACTCTGAGCCTTCACCATTTAAGGAAGGGCATCCCCCCTTCCTGATAGGGCATGGTACACAGATGGGTCTAGCCGAGGTGCTACTGCTGCTTGAAGGTGCAGTCCAACCAAGTGCTGACATCATATGGTTTGAAACCAGGTATGGACAAAGTAGCCAATGGGTTGAACTTAGAGCAACAGATGCAATGGTTATTATTATTTGAGCTAAATGGGGCACAAATGTCCATCAGTATCCCAGGAGGCCCAGAATGGCCCAGTATGGATGGTGATCACCAAGGAGGTGACACCTATGGTAATCTGTACCGATAGCTAGGTGGTCTATCAAGGCTTAACCTTGTTGTTAACTACCTGGAAAATACAGAAGTGGCTAGTCAGCCACCAACCCATTTAGGGCCAAGCCATGTGGCAAGACCTCTGGGAAATGGGTCATCATAAAGATAACTATTTATCATGTGTCAGGCCGTATACCTTTGGGCACCCCCGGCAATGATGAGGCAGATGTCTCAGCCAAGGTCCGATGGTTAGAGTCAGTACCTACACGAGATGTGGCCTTGTGACTACACCGGAAACTTGGACATGCCAGGGGTAAACTGATGCAACAGGTCAATAAATGTTGGGGTCTGTCCCTGCCCACACAAGATATTTGGGAGGCTTGTCAGAAATGCCCAGCTCAGGCATACCCTAAATGGAGGCAGATGCTCAGTGTTACACAAGTGATGATAGGGCAAGTGCCCTAGACTAGATGGCAAGTATACTACATAGGGCCACTGCCGAAGTCACAAGGGTATACCTGTGCACTAACAGCTGTGGACACAGCCACAGGCCTATTGTTCCCCTACCCTTGTAGGGCGGCCAACCAGCAGAGCACCATCCAGGCCCTGCAACATTTATGTGCTATGTATGTTCGCCCTCTGGCTGTTGAGAGTGATAGGGGAACACATTTCACTGGACAACAGTACAACAATGGGCACAACAAATGGACATAAAGTGCGGATTCCGTGTGCCATACAACCTGCAAGCTGTGGGTATGATTGAGTGATATAATGAGCTCTTGAAGAATGGGTTATGCTTGCACGTCATAACCCTATCTTTGTGGGGCTGGAGTTCCAGACTGGACCCAGTGCTCCAAACCTTGAATGAACGGGCATGGAAAGGCAGCCTTGGCCCTGCCCCCATTCAGTTGCAGGTAAGTACCAATGATGACCTCCTCCGATCAGGTAGGGGGACAAATGGTAACCTGTTGTTGCCTGTCCCAATGCCCCTGAAGGTAGGAGAACAGAAAACCTGGCTGTGGCCATGGACCCTGCAACCACCACCCCCGCCTCCACCAATGCCGGTGGTTGGCCATTGTATCTCCCTGGAGAAGGGCTTACAGTATGACTTGCATGTCACTCCTTGGGTGTTTAAAATAAGGCCCCCACAGTTGACTGTTCATAGGGGAACGGCCAGGGAAGGAACCCTCCTCCAGGGGATATATGTACTGTCTGTGTGGCCTATTATGAGCTCCCCCTGTGACTCTGGTGCAGATACAGGACTCAAAGGAACCATGGCAAGCTGAGAAGGTGTGGTACCATCGCCCAGGGCAAAAGCCCTGGGTGGTTGCATGTTATTCAGGGATGAAAGGTTAGCCTGTATTTTGCCTGAGAGACGTGATTTACCTCTGTTAGTATCTGTGCCTGCTGTGTCATCTTGACCATAAGTTAACATGATCCAACTGCATTGTGGACTGGGCCCACACTTATGCTGAGGTGACCAATGTTTCCAACAGATGGATCTGCACTGCCCTTCCAGAAGCAGCTGCTGTGGATGGCTTACCTTGGCACACACAATCAGGGCCTGCAGATAACTCAACACAGCTGGAGACTTGGGGTCTGATGGCTGACACCTGGAATACAATGCAGCAAGCTTTGGACAAAGGATGCCGCAAAACCCATGGTGCACCTGCCCCCCTTGCTGGCCCATAGTGTTTATGATGGGTGAGGCTGGCTAGTGGGGGAACATGTAGTATCCCTGGCCCAGGCACCATGGTGCATAGAGTAACACTGGGGTAATACAAATGTGGGATGGGTACCCATCACAGCCTGTGAAAAAATAACACGTATCACCACACCAAAGGTGTGGTAGAACAAGCAGCCCCACTAAGGTCAGCTCCAGTGGACTTTGTGCCCCCTGGGGGTTTATGGGTCTGTGGGGACACAAGGTGGCCTTACCTATCAGCAGACTGAACTAGACGTTGTACCTGGGGGTGGCCTTATGTACCTGCCATTGTTCTCCCCACATTGCCCAGACACCCACATAACCAGGAAGCACTACACTCTCAGTTTTTGCAAGTTTGATGAGCCCCCTGGTGGTTCTACTCCTTGGCAATGACTATCTCTGGAGTGGGTGTCATAAGCACAAGTTACTGCTCTTGCAGAGCACACCACCCAGGCTCTGAATTACACCCAAGTGGCCCTCCTCCTGTTAACACCTTACTGATCAGATCAGTAAGGTGGCGTTGCAAAACCAAATGGCCTTAGACATAATAACTACTGCCCGAGGAGGCACCTGTTCTCTTTTAGGAATATAATGTTGTACCTTTATCGCTGACAATCGGCAGAACATGACAGCAGCCCTGCAACATTTCTCACAAGAGATTAATGGAGTCGAGAGCCTTACTGATGACCCCCTGCAGAGATGGTGGGCATCCTTAGGCTCTGGCCAATGATGGGCCCTAATAGTCGTAAGTAGCATATCTGGTGTCCTAGTAGTGAGCTGTTGCTCTCTGTATTGTTGTTGTGGGTTATGGATTCAGGGCTCTACCCTATGGGCATGTGCCCCTGCCCAGAGGATGCCCTCAGCCTAGGGGGTGGAGTGTAAGGGAAATGGCTGTGCTTTAGTCAGGAGTAGACTGAGGCGGCCTTCTGGCACAGCATGACTCAGCAGGTTTGGAGTACAGGTGCACAACCCCACACATTATGTAACCATGCCACGTGAGGTGCCTTAGGTGATCACCCAGATGAGCTCATGCTTGACTCGGCACCACTATTGTCTCTAAAACGTATAACTACGTTGCTGATGCTGTACATAGAGCTTGCTCATGCCCAGAGAAAGGGTAAAGCCATGTCAAAACTGTCTACTATTCCTCGAGTGGTTTTCCAGCTACCTCCATTTGCCCCGCTGACTCCCCTCAGACATCAGTTAGAACCTGACACAGAGGTTGCAGTGAGCCAAGATCATGTCACTGTACTCCAGCCTAGGTGACAGACTGCTGGTGTATTTACCAGTACTTGTCTATGGTTAATCAGTTAAATCAGCCCATTCATTCATGCAAGTCAGCCTGAGGGTGTGATCAACAACCTTCTATGAATAATTGATAGTCTCTTTTGCATGGCTACAAACTATATCCCATGTAAGAGAGATGCCCTTTCCAAATGCAAACCATAGTTCTCGTTATGTAATCCTATAAAAGAAGTCAATGGGTCAGTGAGAATCTACCACTATCAATCTCCATATGCCTCCATGTTTGAATAATGATAGCCTATTCTCTATATGCTCAGCTGTGTCCATGCCATGAATCACAGAAAGTCTTGTTTAAGCAATCATGTGTAGGAGTTTCTTCTCCAATAGCAAATTGGATTTAGAAATAGGTGTATGGTTCCTCTCCATATTCAGACTGATGTACAGGAGATGTGGGGGAAATGCAGAGTAGAGAGCATGAAGAGATATGGAAACATGGATTTCAATCCCTGAGTATTAAAGTAAGCAATAAGTAGCAACCTCACTATCTACTCCTCAGCCCAGGTGATTCTCCATGCCTGAAAACTGAGCGCAGATCCCTCCAGTCAGGTAACAGAGGATATGCACCTTCTTATCTAGTTCCTTCTACCCTATTTTCCAGCCCCCCCAATCCACACCATGAGATTCACAAAATGAAACACTCATTCTAAGTCTAGTTTTAATACTGAATATCAAACCTGACCTACCTCAATCAAAAATTGTCTTACCCCATTCCCCAACCCATCCTTCTTCCTTTGATCATTTCATCTTCTGGCTCCTTCCATGGGGTGCTAGCCTATCCACTTTGGTTTTACATTTCTTCCTCACAGCCAGCCACTTCTACTGTTCCATGTCTCTTTTTCTATTCCTTTCTCACTACACTAAACTCACTTCCTTTTTCCTGTGCCCACCTTGTTGCTATGACAATCATTTATATTGGAAATAAATAGGTCAAAGTCCTTGAAGATTAGTTTTTTGCCTACCCTTCCCTCAAACCTTACACATTCTATTCACTGTCTTTCCTTTTACCATACTGAATAACTTGTGAGTTGCCTAAATTTGTCATGTTGTTTTTTAGTCTTTTGACTCTTTAAAAAGATACCCTTTCTTCCTATTATGACATTCTCTGCTTCTTCATACTTCTAAAAAGAAAACCTCAAGACTCAACTCTCCTGGGAATTCATATTTCAATATCCAGACTGGTGGTTCTCAAACTTGGTCTCACATTGGAATCACTTAGAAAGCTTTAAAAATAATATTGGGTCCTGAGCCCCACCCTCTGAGATTCAGATTTAACTGGTATTGGGTAGCGCCTGGAGATAGAGATTTTAGCACCTCCCCAGGTGATTACAATGTGCGACCAAGATTGAGAACCACCACTGCCCTAAGTGATATGAATGCCCATCTTCTGTAACCTGTATCACTTTACTCGTCATTATCAGCACTTTTTACCTTGCACATTGAATTGTCTTGTAGCAGGACAAGCTGCAGGCAAAACCCCTCAGACAATGGGTTAAAGAAGGAAGAGGCTTTATTCAGACAGGAGCATCAGCAGACTTGCATCTCAAGAACCAAGCTCCCCGAAGAAAGAGTTCCTGGCCCTTTTAAGGGCTTACAGCTCTAAGGGGTCCACGTGACAGGGTCGTGATAGATTGAGCAAGCATGGGGTGCATGACTAGGTGGGGGTGGTGAGCAAGGCAAGTATTTCTCCATACCATTGTCTGTGATCTATAGATAGCACAAGTGGTTAGGGTGGGGGTTAATCTTTAACCGACAGACCTGGCCAGTGGCGCTGATCAGTCTGTTATTTTTCAGTTTTTACTTCCTCCATTTCTTTGGAGACAGAGGACAGCAGAAGAAATGGCCACTCTCCTCAGTCTATGTACCATATTTTATTAGGTTTTATACCCCAGTGCCTGCATTAGAAAATAAAGGAATCTGGGGTGGGGGAAGCGGGGAGGGATAGCATTAGGAGATATACCTAATGTTAAATGACGAGTTAATGGGTGCAGCACACCAACATGGCACATGTATACATATGTAACAAACCTGCATGTTGTGCACATGTACCCCAAAACTTGAAGTATAATTAAAAAAAAGAAAAGAAACACAAGTAAACCCAAGTGTTCATTTATAGATGAATGGGTAAACAAAATATGGTATATACACATAATGGAGTATTATAAAAAGAAAATAAAGGAATCTTCAACACATGGCTTTTGATGAAATGAAGGAACAAAATTATTTCCTGTTTATACATGAATGTGAATGTTGTTGCTGCTTAATGAGATAAAATACTGAAGTATCTTGAAAAAAGTCACATAAATTGAGAAGAAAGGAAATAGTACAGTTAGAGATAGGCACAGGATGCCAGGGCGATGACGTGATGCTTAGAGCCAGGAAAAACTTGAAATGACACCAGAGCTATACCCAAAGAATCAGCAGATCTTTTACAAAAGTAACAAAATGAGATAACTGACAGCCACACTCTCTCCCTTGTGTCCTAAAAGTGTCAACATAAATGAATATCTAGAACGGCTCTGGTACCTGCTGTTTCATAATGCTGATGATTTGATAACATGTCAGCACTTTTCAACTTTATCTTCCCCATTTGATCTCAAATCACAAACTTTTTTTTTTAAGTAGTGGAATGTCCTTCATATTAATGAAACACCTGGACTCCTCTCATTTTATCACCCACACTCCATCTTCTTACTCATTTGAAGGCAAACATGAGAAGATTAAAAAGGCAAAAAAAAAAATAGAAAAGCAAGTATAGTAAAATAAGCATGAGAATAAATCCTGATGAGCATTGAGAGACTGGATATAATACCTAACACTATTTTATTAGGACACTGTCCAATTAAGATATGTTTAACTTTGGGTAAAGAGTAAGTATAAATTCAATGATCAGATTGTTGGGGAACTTACACCACTTTTGCAAAAAAACAAACCAAGACAGTCTGAATTTGAGGTTCATAGTTAGGTGTTATAATAATAAAATTTAGTTTTCATTAACTGTATGATGGCAATTATAATAAGAAACCAAAGCATTTGTAGTAAATATTATTTTCAAATTAAAGGAAAGGAAAAATTTGTAAGAAAAGCTGGCCCTACCATCAAAAGTACAATCCCCAAAGCTGTCGGTAAAAATTCAGAAGAATTATATGAGCTTTCAGAAGACCTGGAACTGAAACTGCTGATTTCTAAGATCCCTGTTTTATATGAGTATTGGTATATTAGAAAATTGGCCATGTTGAAAATAATGCTATTTATGGTAGGGCTTTAGGAAGCATGCTATCATTCTGAAGCTAAAAAAGAGGGAGGATTATTTTTCTCTATTTAGGTCAAAGTTGATTTGTTTTGCTCTTTTCTGTTTTGGTATAATCAGGTATTGTTTTTGTTGTTGTTACTGTTTCTTTGGGCTTTTGAAAATAGTAGATGAAGACAGGTATATGAATTTGTGTTACTATTGCTGACTCTCTAGCAGGCAATTTCCACTTAGGAAAAGGAAATTATCTTGCCAAAGATAAATCCTTAGGATGGAAGCTTATTCTGATGCTTGAAATCACAAACAACAAATATTTACATGAACCATTAAGGTAATACAAAGGAGAAAAGGTGGCCACTAAGACAATAGGAAATGTTGGGAGCTGAAGACAATTGCCAATCTCGTCTCATATAAAGGAATTCAGATTTATTATTAATATTATCATTATAATCTTGTTGGCCGCCATGTGGATCCTACTTTAAATATTTTATATAAGATTCTTCCATAAAATAAATAATTCTTATAATAAAATTGTTCAAAATAGCTCACAGGATAAACTTTTGTTTAGTCCTAAGCAAATTACATCTACTGGCAAAATTAGTTCCTCAGCTGAAATAACTGAGCACACACAATTACACAAAATTTTTTTCTTGTTGCAACATGTTTTCTTAGATTTACCCATTATCTAATATACTTTTCAACTAGAAGGCAAGAATGAAGAAAATTTAGAAACAGAAATAAATATTTATCACATGCTAATATTTCTAGGCTGTATACTAAAATTATTTCATATATTAGCTCATTTAATCCTCACAATGATTATAAAGTACATTTATTAATCTCAAGACACACAGGATAGAACTGAAAGTAAAGATGTAAAATGACTTACTTAAAAACCACACTAACAAATAATGAATTTAGGACTGAAAGTGTTTTTCTCATCGTTTTTGTGTCTTATCCAGTCTCTTTCTACAACATCACTTTAAAAAGCTATCCTTAATAAACTGTTGTAATTTTCATGATGACATTCACGTTGTTTGAAAAAGGTACATACATATATTCTAAACTTTATTGCCCAAAACAGTCTTCACTGGCATTGTTTTATTTGATAATTTCTGTGTGGAAACACTAACCAGTGAAATACTTTTACAATATATCAATAAACTTCATTTTTCAACTGCATTGACAGAAAGCAAGCCAACTTTAATCAAAAATGTGAAATAATTTTAGTGATGTAAAATCATAATTATGCTCTCTTGTGGAAAATAAGAGCAACATTTGGCATCACAGACACTCTGTCATAAAAAATTTGCATTAAAACGTTATTCTAGAAAAATGGGTATTTGTCAATCTCATCCAAATATCAAACACAGGAATAATCTTCAAATCAATTAAATGCTGCTGACTTAAAAAAATAATTGCAGCACATTGCCAACTCAGAATAAGATCCCAATGTCATTGCAATTATGCCTGAAAGCATCTGGACAATGCACATTTCAATGTGTTTAAAAGCCTATTAACATTTTTATTGCAGGATGGCATGACCTCAATTATTCAGTTAGGTTTTTGTGTAACCGTTAAGAGATGTCTCTAGAACATGTGATATGGTTTGGCTTTGTGTCCCAACCCAAATCTTCTCTTGAATTGCAATCCCATAATCCCTATGTGTTGTGGGAGGGACCTGGTAGGACATAATTGATTAATGGGGGCAGATTTCCCCCAGTGCTGTTCTCGTGATAGTGAGTGAGTTCTCACGAGATCTGAAGGTTTTATAAAGGGCTCTCCCCTTCAGTAGGCACTCATTTTCTCTCCTGCTACCCTGTGAAGAGGTGCCTTCCACCATGATTCTAAGTTTCCTGAGGCCTCTCCAGCCATGCAGAACTGTGAGTCAATTAAAACTCTTTTCTTTGTAAATTACCCAGTCTCAGGTATTTCTTCATAACAGTGTGAAAATGGACTCATATAATAGGTTCTATTTCACATTTGAAAATAAATATTTTTAAAACTCTGTCTCACTATTTTCTCTGTAAGAATGACTGAGTGTCCAAGAGGTATTCCTAAATGAGAATTTAAGGGCATGGAAAGAGAAAGTACATATATATATACATACAACTCTTAAATGCAGGAGTGGAAAATGATCTCCAAATAGCTTTAAATAGATAAAATATGCATGTTAGGAGAGCAAGAGTAAAGAGTGAGCACTATATCACTTGTTTCCTGGATTTTAAATACTTAAAACACATAAGAAGAGTGTTTAAAATACTTCAAGCGCATGCATAAACACATACACATTCTAAAAGCCTAGAATGACACCTTCATCCTGTCCTTTGCCATAAGAAACTGACCTTTGCACCAATCTAGGTTCCTAGCCCAGAGACAGAAGGGAAAGATATCTCAGCAAAAGATCAAAGTAGCATGTATTTTCCCCTATAGATACTCTTGTTACTTGGATGTTGCTTAAAATGAATCTCTCTCCCACTTACTCTGTTGTCTAGGGCTAACAAGCTTTGTGACAATGACAGCGGCCAATCCCATTCTCCCTGCTGCCTGAAGTCTGGACAATAGCTAAATTCACCGCACCTTTCTCACTTGCTAGAAATTACAGAAGCATTTATTATGCATTCATGAATAGACCAGTGCAATAAGAGTAGTTGCTATTGTGAGTAGCAATTCCTGCCTTTATGAAAAAACTATAGAACTGACTCACACAAAGAGACAGATTGACATGTTCAGGATAAAGTTGTGGGAGCCAAGCCCCACGACTGCTCCCAGTGAACCTCAGCACTGGAATTCACACCCCTGTGTTTTTCCCTACACTAGGTAGAACTGAATTGTGATACCAATAGAATATTGCAGAAATCACAGAGTGCGATGTCCGAGGCCAAGTCACGAAAGCCTTCTTTCTCCTGCATTACTCACTTTGAGAGAAGCTGCTCATCATGCATTTGGGGGAAACTCCAATAGCCCTATGGAGAGGTCCTTGGAGCAAAGAACCTAAGCCTCTTGCCAATTTCCAGCACCAACTTTTCTGCTATATGATTGAGCCATCTTAAAAGAGAATCCTCTAGCCCTAGTCAAGCTGTTAAATGACTGCAGCTTGGCTGACATGTAACAGCAACCACATGAAGAAACTGAAGCCAGGACCAACCAGCTAAGCTGCTCCTGAATTCCTGCCTCATAGGAAGGGTGTGAGAACATAAAGATTTCTTGTCATTTTAAGCCATTTAGAGGTCATTATTTTTGCAGCAATAGGTAACTACTTTCAAATTGTATTTTAAATCTATCCTATGCCTTACCCATTTCCCCATCATTTCTTGCTCCACTATCTTGCCTATACTATTAATCATCCCTAACCTATCCTACCCCTAAAGTTATTAATGAAAGTATAACTCTGTTCCTGTTACTCCCCTTTTAGAAATCTCTCATGATTGTCAGTAACTTACAAGGTAAAATTCAAACATTTTTACATTATTGCAACCTGGTCACAATTTAGCTTTTCAGTTTCATCCTCCATGACTCCTTCAACATATTCTTTAAATTTGTTTATACCAAATGATTTCCCTTTTTCCAACTATGCCTTGCACTTCACACCTTTTACATTGCTCCCTCCATTCTTTACCTGAACCATCTTTGCCACATATCTCTCCTTAGAAAGATCATTTTTTAATATTAAAGACAATTGTTACATCTTCTCTAGAGTCTTCCCAAATACTTTCCCCAATATAATTAGTTGTTCACTCATTTGTCTTCCCTCAGTACATTAAATATAATGGTGGCAGAGTAAAAGCTTAATATATCACATTGTGTTATAGTTGACTGGATGTGTTTTTACCTCCTCTATCAGACTGTGACCTTCCTAGGGAAAAGAATCCTGTTTCAGTCATCTTTTATTCCCAGAGCTTTGACATGCTAAATGAGACATAGTACAAACTCAATCAATGTTTGTTAAGTAAATGAATAAACAAATAGGTGAAAGTTAGAATGTACTATCTCTTCTCTTCTTTTTTTTATTCATTTCCTCAACATTAAATTGAGGGAATTTAAAATTCACGAGGTCCTATTTAATTTGGCCACAAGGACCTATTTATTTTACTTTCAAATTTTCTCCTAAACCCATTATCTTCGTGCTCTCATATTTCCCATTCCCTTGCTGGAACCATTGGCTGTAAAGGAGCACAAAATTGTATATGATCGCAATGAGAAAAAGATTTTCAATATTGCGTAACTCTGTATGGGAGTTAGGTCAGGGAGGGAAAGAGTCAATGCCTTAACACTGACATGTAGGTGGATCCATAGTTAGCTGCCAAAACTAAACAAAGAATAAAATAACCATTAGAATGTCAGAATAATACTTTTGTGGCCCATAGAAGTTCTGGATTATTTAGTAACTCAATAAACAATTGTAGTTTATGTTTAGTTATTCTAATATATTTAAGTTTCTTTATTTCCCTAAGTTGACAATATTATGATTTCTTCAGAAACTATCAAAAAACACTTTTGATCATACTTCAAGCCAAATCAACTGACTTGCCACACTTTAATAAACTTAACATTTGACAGTTCTTCATAATTCTTTGCGTGTTTTTGTAAATTTGTGTGTGTGTCTAAGACCTTTAAATATATTGTGTATTGATAAAAATAAGGTCATAGGCTGGGCGTGATGGCTCAAAGGTATAATCCCAGCACTTTAGGAGGCTGAGGTGGGAGGATTGCTTGATGCCAGGAGTTCCAAACCTGCCTGGGCAACATAGCAAGACCTCATCTCTACAAAAATATTTTTAAATTAGCTGGGCATGGTGGCACACACTTGTAGTTCTAGCTACTTGGGAGGCTGGGAGTATCCCTTGTACCCAGGAGTTGGAGGCTGTGGTGAGCTATGATCACGCCACTCCACTCCAGCCTGAGCAACAGAGCAAGACCCTGTCTCTACAAAAACAAAGAAAATAAAGTCATAAATACTTAAGTAAAGGCAAATCCTTGCATACTCTACATACTTTTTTTAGAAATTAGACGATTTTAACTGATGCATAGGAAATATCTAATCTCATGGCTTCAAATAATGGAATTAAATTTCTGTCTCAAGTGAGAGATATTTTCCCCATAATTACACAGGTATAGTACACACTGAAATCCAGCTGGGCCATCCACTACATTCTCAAACTGTTGGACCCATTGAATAATGGCCTGTTGCAATTGGTACTAAAGACACACAAACACAAAAAAAGAGCATTTACGTAAAGCAGATTTAAAACAGACTTTTCATCAAAATGCCACACTCATTTCTAAAGTTTCCCAAAAGAGTTAATTGTCCACCTTTAATTAATTAAGAAAATTAAAGAGAAATTGTTCAAATGACAACCTAAGTGGTCAATAAACAAAAAATAAAATTCTGATCAGGCAAAACAATATCCATTTATTCAACCAAAAATTCACTTGATGTTTTTAAACTTCTGTGTTAAATAGCACTTTCTGTTTACATAGTATTATATTATCATAGTTCCAATCTACATTTCTGAACTGTTGAAGAAAAACATAAGAACAAGTCATATTTCCTATATAATATTCTCCTACATTTTGTATAGAATTCTGGGTGTAAAATTCTATGTATAATTTCTGTTTCCAACTATGACTGAATAACTGGCACTGTATTAACTATCCAGCTTGAAACAACTATAAAACTTTACAAAATATATGAAGCATCAAAGTGAGATGTTTGACAACAGGTATCAGAGAACTATAACCTGTGACATAAGGGTACACCATAAGGTGAGTCCCACAATCACCAGTGGTTCAATCTGGAGGCACCTTCCAAATCATTGCACAAAGATGTGGAGCCCCAGCAGAGCACAGCAGTTTCCTTTTTGTGCAAACTGACAAAACACTTTGTAAAATCTATATGAAAATACAAAGAACTCAAAATAGCCAAAATTATCTTGAAAAATAAGAACAAAATTGGAGTATTCACATTACCTGATGTCAAAACTTATTCTAAAAGTTATAGTATCCAAGACACAGTAA
Source organism: Homo sapiens (assembly GCF_000001405.40). Lineage (NCBI taxonomy): Eukaryota > Metazoa > Chordata > Mammalia > Primates > Hominidae > Homo > Homo sapiens. The sequence continues at coordinate 186,447,509 of NC_000002.12, forward strand.
TGTTGCATAAGGATAGACAAATAGGTCAGTGGAATAGAATTAAGAGTCCAGAAATAGACACACAATTATATAGTCACTTTTTACAAAGACACCAAAAGGAAAGTCATTTCAACAAAAGGTATTGAAACAACTGGATATCCATATGAGGGGAAAAAACAACTTCAAATACATCTCTCACAATACTCAAACATAATTTGAAAAAGACCATAGGTTTAAACACAAAAGCTATTACTGAGTTTTAGAAATTATTTAAATATTCTGATAAAATCCTTTTTAAAATCTATGTATGGTATATGTTTTCTCAAGAATATAAATGCCTACTTATTTTCTTAATGGTGTTTCTTTGATGAGCATAAGTTTTCAACTTTTATGAAGTCTAACTTATCATCTTATCCTTTTATGGTTTGTGCTTTCTGTGCCTTGTGTAAGAAATATTTGACCCCAAAATTGCAAAAATATTTTCCTATATTTTCTACATTATAGAGGCTCAAAACAGATGGCTATGTGTAAAGACTACTCTGGTACCTTCTTCAGAGGGTATTTTTGAAAATGAAGAGTTTATCAAAGGTTGCTGAGAATATTGACCTCCATGTCTAGACCAGACCACATACACAGGGGCACAAAAGACAGCTACAAATGTCAGTTTTCTATTACTTTAAGTATTATGCTTTAAAGTTTAATCCAAAGGGGAAAATAAACCTTGTAATATCTTGCTCAATTTCTTTATATACCATGAAATAAGCAATATAGAATATTCAAAATAAACGTAAAAACAATCGAAAACAAAAAAATTTATTTGACTCACATGGCATTATGTTGGCGAAGAAAATTGTGTTAAGGTTTATCAAATTTTCCCACCAATATTGTATTTTCAATCCAGTACCATCCTCAAGTTATGGTAGATCCTTATGTTCCAGATGTGCCCTTTATCTAATTATTTAAATTACATTAAAAATGCCCAAATCTATTCAGTCATACAAACTATATCTTCTGTGAGTTTTAAGGAAAGTATAAACATTTACAACTTTACAATCACATCAAATTTCAATCAACTAAGATGTAATCAAAAGTATAATTTCAGTTAATCAAAACGACATGTACTTAAAACCAAAAAAGCCAGGCATGGTGGCTCAAGCCTGTAATCCCAGCACTTTGGGAGGCAAGACAGGCTGATCACTTGAGATCAGGAGTTCGAGACCAGCCTGGCCGACATGGCAAAACACCGTCTCTACTAAAAATATAAAAGTTAGCTAGGCATGGCCTGGCTACAGGCCAGCCTGTAGTCCCAGCTACTCAGGAGGCTGTGGCAGGACAATCGCTTGAACCCAGGAGGTGGAGGTTGCAGTGAGCCAGGGTTATGCCACTGCACTCGAGCCTTGGCAACAGAGCAAGATGCTGTCGCAAAAACACACACACACACACACACACACACACACACACACACAAACAATAAAGTATGCACTTTATTTCCCCAATGAAGAGTATTTATTAATGACTAGTATCCATAAGAAATGCCTTCTTTAAAATCATAAACACTAAACTGTTACATATAGTATTAATGTATACATGCACACTATTACATGTACTCATTGTATGTACAGTATTACATATGTTTACTAGTAAAAGTATGGAAAATTCATTCTGATTATAGAATAAGGAATAAAAAGTTTGAATTCACTGAACATATACTGTGTGTCTCTTTCAAGTTATGATGTGTTATATCCTGATTAACCTAATAGTGATAGACTAAGGGCACATCTCCATGAGAAACTATGGAAATATGGAGGAGCTTATTCATTCATGTATATCCAACTGGTGGTATATAACCTTTGTATTCTTGATTGCTGACTCAGAAGAAAATTAGAGTGTTACTTAAGCCAAATTAGAGTCACCACATGTACCAATCCATAAACTTGGACTGGCCTTTGAAATATGATCCAGCTAGTAAGCACCCAGATTTCTATTAGATCTGGGGAACACAAAGATAAATAAGACACAACTTAAACCCCTCTAAATGAAATGGTTCTCAAATATTCTGAAACCAATTAAACTGGGACAATCACCCACAGCTAATTTATCTGAAATTTGATTTACAAACAAATTTTGGGAGCATTATGTACATTCTTCAGCAAGAGAGCTATAAATAATTCATTTTACACAAGAATCGATTTGTGCTTTTAAGTCTAACTATTGCAATATTATGGATCAAAATTCTTGCTAATGCTCGTATGCATTGCTGCATTCTATTGGATTAGGTAAACCACTGAAAATTGGTAAGTCATTGATAAAATGACAATAAAATATCAATGATTTATAATTTAAACCCAAAAATAGTATTAATTTAAAAACTACAACTAAGTGATGATAAAATGGTAAAAGTATCCTTTCTGGAATTACTGAGAATCACAACTAACAAGCACGTCTTGAGAAAAATATAATTCTAAGATAAGGTAATATGTAATAATAACATCATACAGTTTATGATGCAAATGTCAGTAATCCTTATAATTCTTTTCATAAAATATCCTTTGCATTTATCCATTTAACAAATTTATTGAGATTCTTACATGTACTAGACACTATACACTATACTCAGTGCTGGGGGTATAATAGCAAAAATATAACAAATATAAATGATCATGTTATCAAGGTACATATGATGAGAAGAAAAATAATCAACCAACCAATCATGAAGAAGTACAAAATGAAACATTATGAAATTATATATATATATATATATATATATATATATATATGCTGAGAGAGAGAGAGATGCTTTATGTATATGTATGCATACATATATATGTATGTAAACACACACATTAAGGGACTTTGGCTTAATCACAGGGTCAGATGAAGCCTCCTGAGGAAATGGTCCTTGTGATAAGATGTAAAAGTTAATTGAAGAAGAAGATGGGGCCAGGCACAGTGTCTCAAGCCTGTAATCCCAGCACTTTGAGAGGCTGAGGCAGGCAAATCACTTGAGGCCAGGAGTCTAACACCAGCCTGACCAACATGGCGAAACCCTGTCTCCACTAAAAGTACAAAAATTAGCTTGGCATGGTGGCACACGCCTGTAGTCCCAGCTACTTGGGAGGCTGAAGGACGAGAATTCCTTGGACCCAGGAGGCACAGGTTGCAATGAGCTGAGATTGCACTACTGCACTCCAGCCTGGGCGACAAAGAGAGATTGTCTCGAAAAAAAAAAAAAAAAAAAAAAAAAGGTTACATTCACTTAGAACATCAGAAAGAGCATGTGCAACGTCTGGGGTAGAGCCAGCTTGGGGAACACAATAAAGTCAAGGAAAGCCTGCATGGCTGCAGGAAGCAGTGAGAGGCAAAGCACAGTGTGGAATGAGAATGGAAAACTGGGTTAGAAAGACAATATGCAAGGTTTGTAGGCTTTTTTAAGGATTAACATCTAACAAAATGAATTGTTTCAATTTAGCATTTAGTTTACAGAATATCCTGGTGACATTGTGAGTAAGCTAGAAGAGAAATTAGCACCTACAAGAAATGCTTTGTGTCTCCTTTTTGGGGAGATGGTGAGTATATTTTTACATTTAAGATATAGTTGCATTATGCTGCATGACATAGTTATTATTGCCTAAATGTGTATAGTTCAAATTTGGATGATGTGGGCTCTGCTAGATAATGTGTGTTGATACTCAATGGGATAATATATAATCCCAAGGGCCATATAAATATAATACATATTGCATGTTTTAAAATATACATTGATGGTGTCATGAATATGTCATCAAAGATATTCAAAGTCATCCTTGCCTTTCTAAGTAAATACTTCCCTCTATCACAAGAATTAAGAGCCTAAAAACTGTATTTGCCAGACACTTGCAAGAAATTTTCTGAGTTAAATTCTGCCAAGAAGATGCACTCTCATAAAATGTGGAAGTTTGAAAAGAAAGAGAAGCATTGTCCTCCTCCAAAAGCAATGCATAAATCATATCTTAAACTATGAACAAGACTTGAGAGCAGGTAGCTTATTTTGGAGTTCATCCAGAAGCAGAAGAGGTGGAAAAGTGACACAAGGAAGGGAAGAAAGCCAATAAAATGACATCGACATATGGATTACAGCTGTAGTCAACTGAGGCTCAATCCTGCTGGAAACCCTTGGAGGGATTATATAGACTAGACTTCAGAATTGTTCCACTGAGGGTAAGGAGGTGCCATGTTCATTCACCAACTTCTGATCCTCAGTGGTTGAAGGTTGTTCCTGGGGCATTCATTTTCTGATACTCATGTCCTGCCCCACATGCAGCATGTCTGTACAGCCAGATAAAGCCCTCAGACAGACAGACATAGCTTCTGAATGTATAGGAATTGATCCCACAAAGCTTCAAGGGGTATTTTAGAGGGACCAAGATCTATAATGAGTACAGAGCTCTTAGAACTCACTTCATCCTGCAGGAGGTTGAGATTATTGGCATCAACTTTATGATTCCTGCATTTCTGGGTTCTCTAAATACCAGACCACTTTCTTCTGATGTTTCCTGCCTCTGATTTCCAACCATGTTGTTTCTAATTTCCTGTATTAAATACCTTCTACCTAAAGTGGTTTCTGTTTTCCTGGCCATACTAGCTGATATGGGCAGGATAGGAATAAAGATGTGGAGATATTCAAGAAATATTTAATATCTAAAAAAATCACCTCAGTCAATAATTACATGAGAGAAAGGTGAAAGAGGAAAAATCTATAATGATTAAAGTAGCATAGAAGAAATACATTTGTTCATATTAGAGTGAGGGGCAAGGTGAGGGAAATAACTATTTTTCAGATATGTAGAGTTTGATGAAACTTCAATACACTTAATGGGAATTATATTTAGGAGGGAGTTTGATAGATGTATGAATCTGCATTTCAAAAGAGATGTTGTGTTGGTGTCATAGATTTAGAAATCTGAGTTCCAACAATATTTGAAACTAGGTAAGATTTCCTATGAAGACTATTTAAAACAAGAATAGACACAAAAATTGAAGGTGCAAGTGAGGAAGTACCTGGGGAGAAAATTGAGGAACTATCAGTAAAATGTAAAAAAAAAAAAAAAAAAAATAGAAAAGAAGCCAAGGAAGAAGAAAATTTCAAGACTGACCACAGTATCAAAGAGAACAGATCTGGGGGAAAAAAAAAAAAACAGAGAGAGAGAGAGATTATAAAGTATCCTTTGAAATGGACAACGATTAGATCATTGGTAATTGAAGCAAAAGCATTCTCAGTCATATAATTGGAACAAAGCTTGACAGAAATAGGTTGAAATTTTTAAATTTAGCTGTAACAGCAAGAGAACAAGGGAGGTTACTAGAAAAAATACATATATATGTAAATATATGTATTATGAGTTCCATAACAAATTTTTATGGTATTAATTTACCTATCTGTATATTCAACTTCATAAAAACACTATAAATACAAATACTTATTAACTTTTTAAATATTTATTCAATATTGTTTCAGGTTTTTTTGAAGACTTTGTTATTTCTTTTACAAAAGAATCATTTTGTCTTGATTTATATCTGGGTAGTCATTTTAAATGTACAAGTTTTCCTTATGTTTAAGTAATATTAAATAAAAGTTTGTTCTTTCTTACATACTCTAATTATTTAGCTTGTATGCTACTTCCATGTTGAAAGTGATAAAGCTTTTAATACACGAGAGCTGCCTACTAGAAGCTCAGAAATGCTTGTGTTAATTGAGAATCTGTCAGTATGTTACTCCTGGATGCACGTGGATAAATCATACTGGTATTAGTAGGATTACAATAATGCAATGCAATAAGGCTTTACAGCTCTTTATTTTTAACACAATTTATGGCTTGTGGCACACAATAGTACTTAAAATGTGAATTTAGAAAATCCTATGCTAAGCACAGTGGAAGCAGCATTTTTTTTCCTGTTTTAGAATTTACGTCTGCAGTACTCAAAAAGCTCTACGCATCTGTCATCAATAAACAGTACTAGATTATATGCTAAACACCAGAGATACAAGGATCAGAGAGATATGCCTTAGGACTTTTTTTTCAAACCACAGCTTGACACCAATTAGAAATTTGTTAAATCAGTATCTTAGGTTGCACCGATGTTTCTAATGGGATGGAAAGGAAGGAATGACAATGGAATGGGATGGAAAATATCTGCATACATTACCTATTACAAATATAAATATTATTTCATGAAATTGAATTTCAGTTTTATACATTACTCATATAAGGATGTGTTTGGTGATAGACATGCAAATAGAGCATTTCAAAGTAATAATATAAGTGCTATGATAAAAGGATATTCCAGTCATATATAAGCTAGAGAAAAGGGATTTAACCCAGCCTGCAGAGACACAGGAATCTTTAAGAAGGAAATAAATGCAGTATTCACCAGTTATACTAATCAACATCAGGTTATTCATTAAATAAAATCCTAAATGTACTGTGGAAGAACAATTTGAAGTGGTGCTATTGGAAATATTTTTATGCCTTATAAAATTCTGTAAAATACTGCTTAGATATTGAGACTTCACAAGCTACAATGACATGACCGTTAACCCCACTGAAAAATAGTTATTGCCAGTTATGGTGGCTTGTGCCTGTAAATCTTAACACTTTGGGAGGCTGAGGTGGGAGGATGGCTTGAGACCAGGAGTTCAAGACCACCCTGGGCAACATAGTGAGATCCTATCTAATCAAAAATAAAATAAAATTAGCCAGGCATGGTGGCTCAAGCCTGTAGTCTTTACTACTCAAGAGGCTAAGGCAGAGGATTGCTTGAGCCCAGGAGTTCAAGGCTGCAGTGAGCTATGATCACAGCCCAGATGACAGACCAAGACTTTGTCTCTAAAAGAAAAAAAAAATTAAACAAAATACTAATATAATAATTTTTTCCACAATTTTCATTTTACAGTTCACTTTTCTTTTTTTTTTTTTGTTTTCTTTTTTTTTCTTTTTTTGAGACACAGTCTATGTCACCCAGGCTGGAGTACAGTGGCACGATCTCAGCTCAATACAACCTCGACCTCCCAGGGTCAAGCGATTCTTCTGCCTCAGCCTCCTAAGTAGCTGGGATTGCACCTGGCTAATTTTTGTATTTTTAGTAGAGACAGAATTTCACCATGTTGGCCAGGCTGGTCTCAAAACTCCTGACCCCGGGTGATCGCCCATCTCAGCCTCCCAAAGTGTTGGGATTACAGGCGTGAGCCACCACACCTGGCCTAGAGTATACTTTTCAATTTATAGTTAAAAATATGTTTTGAAAGAAATAATATGTTACTCCTATTTGGATTTTTTTCAAATTAACTTTTTTACTATTTAAAGTCGGTAGCTCCATATTAAGAAGAGGAAGCATAAATACTGAATGAAGCATACATATTTGAAACATTTACATTAGGCTTCAGAACATTTTCACCAATGTTCTATGGAACAATGGACATATTCTATGTTCAATGGACACACTCACCTTGATTCTATCTTTGATTTGTTTTACAATTCTGCAAGGCCTCTAAGTAATGGAACGTTACAGGTTTCAATAACCAGTTACATGGTGATGATACTCAAGTCTATATTCAGTTCCAGGTCTGTATTTTCCAGTATTGAACAGCTCCTTTTGTATATTCCACAAATACCTCAAAATCAGCCATCTTCTAAATAAATTTATTATTTTATACCAAAAATAAGATTCCCTATGTACAGTAGAGTATATAACCAGCTACGTGGTTAGTAGCACCATCATCTAACTAGTCACTTGAGCAAGAAAGCTAGTAGTTATCTGAGATTCCCTCCTCGCCATTATATTACCATTTTCAATTAGTTAATGAGACTAGAGGATTTTCCAAACTCAATTTACCTCTCCTTCCCTCCCTCTTCTTTATTCACCTTCCACTGCTTTAGTTCAACTCCTCACTTACACAAATTTAGTATCCTCCCTACCTCCCATCTTCTTCTCTAACTCAACCTCTTCTCTGCTGTCAGAGTAATGTTTCTGTAACAGAAATTAAACTACGTCATTCCTCTACTTAAAATTCTGTAATGGCTCCTTATTTCTGATAAAATAAGATCCTTAGTATATAAGGCCCTTCTACTACCTACTACCTTGTCCTCAAAGACAGTAATTCTATCTTAACATTATTATATCTGCAGCCCAACTCTTTAACAAGGTTACTGTTAGGTAAGCCCATTTCTTTAACAAGCTTACTGTTGGTACCTGCTTTCTAGCCACAACTCCCATCACCCTTTCTGCCTCACATGATGCACATCATTTTTCTAGCAGGACTAAATCATCTGCCAGTGCCAGAGTACATAAATCTATCTCAAGCTGTGACTTTTCACAGGCTGGTCCTTTTCCTGCTGTTACAGGTTTCTTTTTACAATTCATGCTCCAAGACTCAGTAAAATGTTCCTACATGGTTTCATGCCTTATTTCCTATTTTTTTGGATTTTTTTCCAAAATTTCCAACTTTTCAAGACAAAATTAACTATTGCCTCTTCTGTATTCCTGTTGCCCTTTGTAGATTTATTATTATTATATTTGTTATAAGTATTTTATCAACATAATTCATTTGATTATGATAACACTTATAATATTGCTGTAACTGCTCAGGTTTTTAACACCACTCCTAGATATTGAACCTTCAAAGTTCAGGGTTCTATTCATTTTTATATCTCCAGCATCCATCACAGTCTGGCTCCCAGGAAGTGAACTTAATAAAGGTCTGTTGAATAAATATATCAACATGAGACAAAAATAATATCATTAAGTAATTGGTTGTTACTTTAAATGTTCTCCTCTGAAAAGACATTATGATTAGGGTGTGTGATCATTAGGCTACATCCAAATTAATCTTGGAGATGATCATTGTTGTCATATGTTTATATGCAATCAAAACATTATGGTTATTAAGTTGCTTTTGTCTTTTTCATATCGGAGAGACAAATTTCAACTTTGTCAGGATTTTTTTGTACACCACACCATGCACTTTGCAGCATGGAATATTCTTTTTCAACCTCTAATAGCAAGGGGTAAGGAGGTGGACATAAGAAAGGCTAACTTGGTATGAATGGATCTTGGGACAATTATGCCTCTCTGCATGGCTTCGTTAACAGGACCCTCGACATTTTGCTCATGATCCATTTATCAGACTGTAATTTCTAGTATTCACTTTCTTCCTTCATGAAAATCCAAACTGTTTATCTTTAGGTGCTTACCTTAAAAACAAAAGTTGCTCAGGCTGGGTGTGGCGGCACACTCCTTTTTTGGAGGAGCATTTTGGGAGGCAAGGTGGGCAGATTGCTTGAGTCCAGGAGTTTGAGACCAGCCTGGGAAACATGGAGAAACCCCGTCCCTACAAAAAAAAAAAAAAAAAAAAAAGTTAGTCAGCCTGGTGGCATGCATCTGTGATCCCAGCTACTCAGGAGCCTGATGTGGAAGAAACACCTGAGCCTGGGAAGTCGAGGCTGCAGTGAATCGTGATTGCACCACTGCACCTCCAGCCTGGGCGATGGAGTAAGACCCTATCACTAAATAAATAAATAAACTAAATTTTTTTTAAGTTGCTAATCAAATAGGATTGGACCACAAACCCATGAGTGAGCCCAGCTAGCATTAAGTAGACCCAACCAGCCTACGCATACATTCATAAGCAAAAAATCACTGCATATTTTATGTCATTTTGTGGTTTTATGTTATTTTGTGGTTGCTTATTTCATAGCATTATTGTGGCAATGGATAGCTGAAACAGAATTCTAGTTCAGAAAGTCTCCAATTAAAATATACCAGTAACAGGTAGTTGTGAGAGTTTGCCAGCCCTTTAGTATCCATTTATAGCAATCTTTGGAGAGATGTAGATTTGCCTTCTCTTCTCCCACTGATGGGAGACCAGGCACAGTAGGCAATATAAAAAGAATTAGACCTGAATGTCTGGAAACCAAAGTTTTAGCTGTGGCTGTACTACTAGGTAATAGGGGCCTCAGACAAGTTAAAATAAGATAATATTAAGATTACAGTTGTTCCCAAATCTGACTATAAAAGTACTGGAGAAATTTTCCGGTGACATTGTTTTTGACATAAATTCCCAGTAGTTCCGAGGTGGTACTAGAAAAAAGCTTTTAAAAGTTGGTTATCTGCAAGATTAGGGGTCTCAAATCCTCAGTTGTATTTGCAAGTTATTTTTACGGGTCATTCCAGATTATTTTTTATCATTCTTTTCTTTGGTGAGCTATTGGTATGAATAAAATTACTTAGAAAATAAGTGGTGCATTAACACCAAAAAATGAATAAAGCCCCTCTCTAATGATGAATTAACCACTCCAATGTGAAAAGGTCTATGTATTTTCTAAGTAAAATGGTGTTTACAATCTACAGTCTGGTTGTGGTAGGCAGAATTCTAAGATTTCCAGTCCCTGGTGTATACAAACACCTTCTCTCATTCAATCAAACACTAATCTAGGTGCTAGTGTGAAAGCATTTTATAGATGTAATTAAGCTCCCAAATCAGTTGACCTTAAAGTAGAAAGATTACAATCGCAGAGAGTCTGGCCTAATCACACGAGCCCTAAAAAGGAAACAGGTTCTTCCTGATAAAAGAGATTCAAAGCATCAGAGGACTCCACGTCAGGGAGATTATCTGATGCTGGCTTTGAATATAGAGGGGGCCACAGGGCAAAGAATGCAGGTGGCCTCTAGGAGTGGAAAGCAGCCCCTAGATGACTGTCAGCAAGGAAATGTGGACCTCAGTACTACAACCACAAGAAATTAAATCTTGCCACAACCACATGAGCTCCAGACAAGAAGACAGCTAAAAAAAATCTTGATTTTAGCTTTCTGGGACCTTCAGCTAAGCCATGGTCAGACTTCTGACCTATAGCAGTGTGGGATAATAAAATGGCTGTTTCTTCAAGCAGTAAAGTTTGTGGAAATTTGTTGTACAACATTACAAACCTAACACACTAATATAAAGGGTTCTGTATTTGAATTTTGGAATTTAGGAAAGCTGAGTTCCTGGATCCATTACTGTAATTGATTAGATAGCCTAAAACAAGGCAATGGCTTTCCTTAATGCCTTCCCTTAGCCTGTAGAATCCCATAACAAAGCAGCTTAATATTACACAAAGTAATATATTCAGAATTTAAATACGTCCTTAAAACAAATGTAGAAATAAAATATTCACTTTGCTTTGCTTTTCTTACATTGTGAAGAATCCCTCCTATCTGTCATAAAAATGACTTGATTTTAATTAGGAGTCTAACAAAAAAAGTAACTATGATATTCCAAAAAAAACTCAGTCATCAGTTCTGGCAAACATTCTGTTAATAAATGATGTTATTAGTATTTTATGTATTTAATTTTAATGATTCTGAAATAATTATCGATATTATAATTTATTATTTAAGTCTACTATTCTATAAGTAAATCTAGGTTAATCTGGCAGAAACCACTGCTCTGAACTCAGTGGAAAAAAAGGAGAGAGAGAAATCTATTCAGTTTACCTTGAAAAATTCTCTGAGCAATCTCTTTAAAGCACACGTACAAAAATTAGAATTTAGAATTTAACAATTCAGAATTTCAGCGATTTTCATTTAGAATTTCAGCAATTTACATTCTTTTAATAATTGCTTCAGTGATGATGTTATTAAAATAAAGTACCTGCATTTGCCATGATGAAGTATCAACACAAGTCATTTGTTTTACAAAAGGTATTGGCTGCCATCTCTTGGACTGTGTGAGCATTGTGCTTCAAAAAGAATAAACAAACCCTCAGCCTTTGAAAAAATTTCTTCACAAAAGAAATCAAAAAAAGGTGTGAATAGTTGAGCAGCAAACAAATATTAATTGTATGTATTTGATTATTTCACTTAGAAACATGACTTACATATGTGGTTAATTTTTCTTGGATGTGTTTTTAAAAGGTGTATTCAAACAGGAGGCAAATAAATGTATACATTATCCTAATTTTAGATTTTATGTTTTTATTTAAAACATTATTTGCACAGTTTCACTTAATGATTTTTCCATCTTATTCTATAGTTATGGCTACAACACTAGTCACTTCTCTCTTTAATATATGAGTTAAGATGCCAAGTCTGATTCCTTTCTTCTGAACCTAATTGACAGTACAAATCCTTCAGAGATAAATAATTATGGTTTCTCACTAGAATCAAGTTTATTTTCATCTTACAGATATCATGTGGTTGAAACTAATAGGACAAAGAGAACGCTTAATTATTGATATAAAACTAAACTACACTCATTTTACGGAAGTTAGTGATAAAAACTCACATTTCAATCTTCTCTCCATTCATGATTGATTCTGTATGGCATCTGTACATACTTTTTAAAATTCTATAAATTAATGATTTTCTAAAAGAAGAAAGTATTTGAGAAGACTCAGTCTCTAAATATATATTTAATTTTACCTATAAGATACCTAACGTGAAAGACTATAAAAGTAAAAACCAAAAAAATTAAAAACAAAGGCAGTTTTTCTGTCATATAAAAGGAAATTGTATCACAACCTACAAATAACCAAATGTAAATTAAATAAGTCTGTTTTTATAGTAATAACTGTGAATAAATGCAAACATCATACTCCCATCAGAGCTCACTATGTATGTGAGAAGTAGAAACCTCCCTTGGCAATTAGTAGATTGCAGTAATAGTGTGCAGTTTTGTAATAGAACATTTTGTTACTTTTTAAAACTTTGGGTTTCTATTTTTAATATGTTCTATTAAACAATTTGAGATAGTAAAAAGAAAACCATTTAATTGCTTCTGAGGTTGTGAAAACTCCTTGGGTATTTGAAATGATCTAACTTTAAAATAATTATTATTATGTTGTTAAGAATTGAGTGTTCATGTAATTCACAATTATTTGCCTTCTCACCAGGCAGATCATCTAGGATGAAATTACAGAAAAATTAAGGAATGGTGTGTCAGATATACAAGTAGTTTTGAATTCAAATTTGATTATTTAAGTAGTAAAATTCACATTGCTTAATTTCTTAATTATCTAGGCAAAAACTTCAAGTGAAATACCAAATATGTGGAAAGTAGAAAATATGTGAATACAAAGAGAATCCTAACTCTTGTCACCAAGAAAAGAACAGTGTTGATGTTGCTGGTTTAGAGCTGTAAAGTTGTGACACCTGGTGGATATTGTTGAAAAGGCACGTGATACAGCAAAAGAAACTATTGACAAAGTAAACAGACAACCTACAGAGTAGGAGAAAATATTTGCAAACTATGCATCTGACAAATCTATAAGTAACTTAAAACAAATTTAGAAGAGAAAAATAACCCCTTAAATAGTGGGCAAAGGACATGAACAGACACTTCTCAAAAGAAGACATACATGCAGCCAATGAGCACATGAAGAAAAGCTCAACATCACTGGTCATTAGAGAAATACAAATCAAAACCACAATGAGATACCATCTCATACCGGTCAGATGGCTATTATTAAAAAGTCAAAAAATAACAGATGCTGGCAAGGTTGTGGAGAAAAGGGAACATTTATACACTGTTGGTGGGAGTGTAAATTAATTCAACCATTGTGGAAAACAGTATGGCAATTCCTTAAGAGCTAAAAGGAGAACTACCATTCCACCCAGCAATCCCATTACTGGGTATATACCAGAGGAATATAAATCATTCTATCATAAAGACACACGCTCATTAATGTTCACTGCAGCACTATTCACAATAGCAAAGACATGCAATCAACCTAAATGCCCATCAATCACAGATTGGATAAAGAAAATATGGTATATACACACCTTGGAATACTATGCAGCCATAAAAAAGAATGAGATAATGTCTTTTGTGGGAAAATAGATGGAGCTGGAGGCTATTATCCTTAGCAAACTAATGCAGAAACAGAAAACCAAATACTGCATGTTCTCACTTATAAGTGGGAGCTAAATGATAAGGACTTATGAACACAAAGAAAGAAACAACAGACACTGGGATCTACTTGATGGGAGAGGGTGTAAGAAGGGGAAGGAGCAGAAAAGATAACTACTGGGTACTGGTTTAATACCCGAGTGATGAAGTAATATGCACAACAAACCCCTGTGACACATGTTTACCTATGTAACAAACCTTCACTTGTATCCCAAAACCTAAAATAAAAGTTAAAAAAAGAGAAAAGGCATGTGATAGCCATGTGCAGTTAAATTCAGCAGCCAAGAGCCCCCTGTGGCCATTGAGCACTTGAGGTGCAGCCAGCCAAAATGGAGATGTGGTATTCAAAGACCTTGTATTAAAAATATATATATATAATATCTAATAATGTTTTATATTGGTTACATGTTGAGATGATAATATTCTGGCTATATTTATTAAATAAAATATATTAAAATTGATTTCACCTGTTGCTCTCTTACTTTTTCTTATTTGGCTACTAAAAATTTTAAAGTTATATATGTGGTTCACATTTGTGGTTTATATTTCTATTGGATAGTGCTGTGATAAAATCTAAGGCTTAAATACTATTAAGGTATAAAATTTCTCAGCGTCTTTGTTAGAATAGGAAAAAATGTATGTAATGTATGATTAACATATGGTAGACAACATTTTAACATGGCTTCCACTGGTCCACATCCTTTTATACCTCCCCACTGGGGTAGGCAGTTTCTGTGAATAGAATGGGATATCATTCCCTTCAATCAGGGTATATTGTATGGCAAAGATAAAGGGATTTCTGCAGATGTAATTAAGGTTTCTAATTAGTTGACTTTGAGTTAATCAAAAGGGAGATTATGCTGGATGGCCTGGCCTAATCAGATGATTTCTTAAAAGACACTCAAAGCAGCAGCAGACACTCACCTATTGGCCTATAAGAAGCAAACTGCCATGTTGTAGGGAAAGCCACGGCCTCCCAAAATGCTGGTGGTAGTACAGGTTTGAGCCGTCTAACCCAGCTGGTTTCTTCTCTTGACCAGGGATTGCAAAGATGCACACCTAGGCTTCCCTCAATTGCGTATTGTAATTATAGGGTGTTACACATCTCATTTTTGTTATACCTGCCTGTGTCTGCTGATATTAGGTCAATTGATCTGTTTTCTCATATCCTTGCATTTTGGATTCTTATTTTTGGAAGAGGCCTTTTTTCCCTTAAATTAGTTTTTACTATGTCAACACATTTCCAAAATACTATAAGACCTACTTTTCTTTAAATTAATTTCTTGTTACCCTAAAGCAGAGTTAGTTGTTCTTGGCACTATAGTTTCAGAACACTTTGCAGAGTTCTGTTACAGAATTTACCATGTTGTATAGTAACTACTTCATGTCTAGATCTACCATTAAATTAAGAATAGAGGCCACACCTTATTCAACATTGCATCCCTAATCTGTAGCAGGCAATAAAATAAAACAAAATAGAATATACTATCGACTTGAATTAAAACCTCAGTGAGCTTCATCAAAACATTTAAAACAAACCTGCATTATTTCCAGTAGTAAACTTCCTTCCCTCTGCAATAAGCTGATTATTTCATTGGTTGAACTAGATCTACAATGGGGTGGTGTGACAAATGGGAAATTGGGGAAGGGGAGGGAGGAGTGGGCGTGAGGTTACAATTGTTTTGTGTCGTCTTCCCCCTGCCCTCCACACCCTTATGCCTAATCAACTAACCACTATCATTATCTAAGGTTTCAGGGCCAGAACCTCTTAAACAAGTTGTTTAAGAAGTTGTCAAAAACATGACTTTCCTGCAGGTGAATTTGATATTTTAGATTACAGAAATTGAAAGTGAGAGTAGGTAAAAAGAAGAATATAGTTCTTAAGGGAAAGAAAAGATTAAAACTATGCTCCTATTTTCCACAGTGAAGGTCGTAAGTGTCCTTGAGGTATTTTGGTTAGCTTCACTTCTCATAACTGGTGATATTTATTTTGATAATTACAGTGTAGAAAGATTTTTTTAAAAGGGAACATTTTCTGACTCCTATATTTATCTGAGTTATTATCTTTCTATGAGATTAGCTATTGTTTGAGCCCGTCTCAGCCAAGTTTATTGGCAATTCCAGTCTATTTGCCAACAACTTAAGAAGCACTTATTTTAAACTAAAGTACACCCCAATCCTTAGATGAAATCCTGCCTCAGGTTCACAATGCCAAATCAATAGAATCATTCAAATCCAAGGTTAACTCTTATCTCGGAACCAAGCTCATTCCTATTGATTAAACTTTTATTTTTGTCTTATTATGAAGAACAGAAGGACCTTGGAAGCGGCTGCAGAAAGAAAGGTGCAATACACAATCCATTTATGTCCCTTTGTAACATCCATTGATTCATATAATTTTTGCTTTCAATTTTATTCCAAATATAATAGCATGTCTCCTTGTCTATAAGAATTATTTTTTCCTGATTGATGGAGTTTTTCAAATACCAACTATTATCAGTGTTTTTTTAAAAAAATGCTAGGGGAATAAGAGGAATGAGAATAAAACAGACATGTAGCACATGAAACAGTCACAGCAGATTTCTGTAAAATTAGAGAAAAAAAAGTTTGTGAATGCTTAAAGAATTAATCTGTTTTTCTGTATGGAGAGTCCTTAAATAGCTAAAAGTAGATCAATCATTCAATCTGGCAATCCCCCTATTGGGTATCTACCCAAAGGAAAAGTCATTATATGAAAAACACACTTGCACACATATGTTTATAGCAGCACAATTCACAATTGCAAAGATGTGGAACCAACCTAAATGTCCATTCACTAATGAGTGGATAAAGAAAATGTGGTATATATGCATGATGGAATACCACTCAGCCATTAAAAGGAACGAAATAATGTCTTTTGCAACAACTTGGATGGAGCTGTAGGCCATTATTCTAAGTGAAGTAACACAGGAGTGGAAAATCAAAAACCATATGCCTTCACTTATAAGTGGGATCTAAGCTATGAGTAAATAAAGGCATACAGAGTGATATAATGGACTTTAGAGACTCAGAAGTAGGAGGGTGGGAAGGGGGCTAGGGATAAAAAACCACACTTTAGGTATAATGTGCACTACTCTGATGATGGGTACACTAAAATCTCAGAATTCACCACCATATAGTTCATCCATGTAACAAAAAGCCAGTTGTACCCCAAAAGCTATTGAAATAAAAAAAAAAACACGCTGTATACCTTAAGTAAATACAATTTTGTTTTTGAAAAAATCTGTTTTTAAAAGAATTTTAGTTTACAAAACTTGGCACTAGCAAATGCTTGATGTTTTTATTCTCCCTATTTTTCCCTTGTAGACATTTTGATATCCTTTTTATTTTGTCTATGATGACAAAAGCAAATATACAGGTAACCATAATAATAAAAGATTTATAGAGCAAAACTAAAGTTTTTCAGAGAAGAAGAAATTCTGCCTCAAGACTGCAGTATCAACTGTTGCCTGAATTTCCATCCTTCTGCCCTGCCCTACAAATTTTCAGACTCATCAGCCTCCAAAAACACATGAACCAATTCAAAAATAAAGAAACTAATTAATTAATTTTATTTCCCTGGAGAACCCTCACGGATAAAATAGGTATGAATGGTATTTTCTCCTACAAACAGGTATGCAAGAAATATCAAATTTCTTTTATTTTATTTAAATCAAATTAATTCCAACTCCAAGTGTCCATCACACAGGCCAGCAGGAAATTCAACCTAGGTCCTAAGAGGTCACAAGCACCCTTTCATCTTTCACTATCATTTTCTCCTTTGATATCTCATTTTCCAAGGTCACTTAGTCCCTGCTATAATTTCAATAGTTGTACCCTCCAAAATTCATGTTGAAATTTAATCCACAATGTGGCAGTGTTGAGAGGTGGGTCCTTTAAGAGGTGAATGGGTCATGAGGGCTCTGCCTTCATAAATACATTAATATATTCATGAATCAATGGGTTAAAAGGTAAATGGATTACTAGGTTATCATGGGATTGGAACTTGTGGCCTTATAAGAAAAGGAAAAAAGACCTGAGCTACCATGTTAGCACATTCAGCCCCCTCACCCTGTGCCACTTTGAGACTCTGCAGAGAGCCCCCACCAGTAAGAAAACCCTCACCAGATGCAGCCCCTCAACCTTGGACTTCTCAGCCTCCACAACCATAAGAAATAAATTCCTTTTCTTTACAAATTATCCAGTTTCAAGTATTCTGTTATAAGCAACATAAAACAGAGTAATATAGTCAGTCCCTAAAGGAAGACAGCTCTGCTCATCCTATGTCAAACCTCAGTGCAGGAATATTTGTCAAAGCAGACAGTCCCGTTGCCCTGGGCCCAGGAGAAACACAAAGTAAAACCACTCAAATGTCTTGCCAGTTCCTGCGGTTACTGTCAGGGAATATAGTGTAGATCACCACTATTCTTGGGAGTCATAAACCTCTAGTCTCAGTTTTGGAGAATTAATCTTCCCTCACTCATTTCCATCAAAGGAATTCAGCTTTCTCCTCTATCCTGAATATTTTTCAGAAGCTCTCTCCATTAAACAAAATCCAAGAAGGCAAGCTATTGACAAGCAACATCTCCTTTCTATCAAGTAATAAAAATTCGTCTTGAGAAAGAACAAAGACAAAATTTTCTACCAGTAATGGAGTATAAACATTAGAGGAACAAAATTCAATGTATCAAAAAATGATCATATTCAGTGATATGTTAACCAACAAGTTCTGTGGGAAAGAGGAGGGAAAAAGAACTCTAATTTGTAGGATTTGCCTGCTTCCATGTTGTAAATGTTCCCATTGCAGTTGATTTCAAGCTAACCATGTGACATCACTGAACACAGAGTTGGAAAGAGATGTTCAGTAGCACATAATTATGTAATATACCTACTACATAGATACAATAGACATAACCTCAAGAGCATGGATATGCTGATATGTATTACCTTTGTTAACAATACAAATTATTTTCTTGTACATTTGAATAATTTTAGTTTTTTAATAATGGCTTTTTCATGGCTGGGGCACACAATTTCTGAAAATTTATCAATCCACTTTTATGAACCAATACTAGCTACAAAAAATGTCAAAAGTCAAATGGCAAGCTGCAGTACAACACTGATCTTAACCACACAATGAAAGACCACAAGCATGACTTTGATAAGAACACTGTTGCTGTGCTGTGAATGTCTGTATTCCTCATTCACATTGAATTCACACTGAATTCACAAAAATTCACCTTGAAACTTAAACCCCAAGTTGATGGTATTTAGAGGTTGGGCCTTTTGGGCAATGATTAAGTCATGAGGTCTCTGCCATCATGAATGGGATTAATGCCCTTATAAAAGAGACTTCACAGAGTTGCCTGGCCCTTCCATCTGTTTTGCAATGTGAGAACACAGCATTGTCTCTTCTGCCATGTGAGGACACAACAACAAGCAAAGAGCACCAGAGGCTGGTGCCTTGACCTTGGACTTCCCAGCCTCCAGAACTGTGAGAAATAAATTTCTGTTATAGTCTATTATTTATAAATTATCTGTCTGTGGTGTTTTGTTATAGCAGCAGGAATAGACTAAGACTACCTGTGTAATGAAAATTGGCTCAGCCTCTGCAAACAAGGGAAGTAGACCTAAAGTTTTTTTTCACCTCTTCAGGACAGACAGACAAATCTAGCCTGCTCAAATGAGAACAGCCACCCAGGCCATGAGATCAACTTGTTGCTTACTATTTATAACAGCTGCACTCAAACTTCTTGCTCTCATGACCATTTTGAACTCTTAAAAATATTGGGAAACCAAAGAGCTTCTGTTTATGAGAGTTAATCTCTCAATACTTGCCATATTAGAAATTAATTCTGAAATGTTTCATTAATATTTATTCATTTTTAAATAACAGTAGTAAACCTATTAAATAGGTTGACATGTTTAGTACATTTATATTTACATAAGAGCATATTTTATGAAAAATAACTATATTTTCCAGAAAAATAAAGTAATAAGAAAGGTAGCATTGTTACACAATTTTTCAAATCTCTTTAATGTCTCTCTTAATAGAAAACAGCTGGAAAATGGATTAAGATAGTCTAATAGTCCATGAGGATCTGAATATTTTCAACAACCACTTAAGTGAACTTAGAAGTGGATCTTCCCCTATTCAAGTCTTCAGATAAGATCACAGCCCTGGCAACCCCTTGATTGCAGCCGGAAAGCCAGAAGTCACAGTAAGCCAAGACCAGACTTCTTTTTTTCTTTTTTTTTTTTTTTTTTTGAGAGAGAGTCTTTCTGTGTCACCCAGGCTGGAGTGCAGTGGGGCAATCTCAGCTTACTGCAAGCTCCGCCTCCTAGATTCACACCATTCTCCTGCCTCAGCCTCCCAAGTAGCTGGGAATACAGGCACCCACCACCATGCCCGGCTACTTTTTTGTGTGTATTTTTAGTAGGGACAGGGTTTCACCATGTTAGCCAGGATGGTCTCCATCTCCTGACCTTGTGATCCACACACCTCGGCCTCCCAAAGTGCTGGGATTACAGGCATGAGCCACCACCTGTGGCCAAAGACCAGATTTCTGACAGACAAAAAGTAGAAGATGATAGATGTTTGTTGTTTTAAACCAATGAGTTTCGGGGAATTCATTACATTGCCATTGAGAACTAATACAAATGGAATAGTTGCTCAACACTCATTTATTTATTCAGTGAATGTATATGTTGAATGTGTGTGTACCAGTTACTTTAAGAGGAGAGGAGAAGCAGATGTGACTCTGACATGGGCCCTCTACCCTTAAGGAACCAGTCTGATGAGGGAGATAAATAGGAAAACAGATGGCATACAATATCTATAATGCAAATATAGGAACATAAGACTATAAAAAGGAAAATAACTAACTCTATTTGAGAAGGTTTCACTAACTACCATTTGGAATAGTTAATAAAGGTTGAGCACGTTTAAGACTCTGGCAAGTGGCACTGATTCAATAGGAGCTGCTACTTCAGGAATCAAACCAAGGAGTCTACATGTAATCATTTCTGAACCACCTACATGCAGTTATTAGATAAAGCCATGAGAGGAAATAAGATTTCTTCAAAAAAAAGCATATGGAGAAAACCCAAAACTTAAAGACTCATGCAGGTGAAATATGAGAAGACAATACTTGATTGATTTGATAATAAATATGATGTCACGCAGTGTTTGCCAGAGACGACTTTGAGGGGAAAAAAAAAAGGCAATTGAAAAAGCTTGCTGAAGGAGATCATTTTAAGAATTGTTTAAATTATGTATAGAAGATGTTTGCCCATACAAATAAGAAGGAAAATTACTCCCCATCCCCTATGGTAAAAATGGTGAATCACAGTTTTTACATAGTAAAAATGATGTTTTTAATATTAAGAAATTTAACATCTGAAATCAGCAAAATTGACTGTTATATCTTGTTAATATCTCAAGTTAATATCATATGCAAAAACTGGAGTTGTTTTTTTAAATAAACTTTATGGACAGAAAAATGTATAATTTTCTAAGTTAATTTAAAACTACAAAACAAAAATTTTTGCAGTTATAAGTTAATCACTTTTTAAGAAAACAATTTCACTAAGGTATATCAAGCAGAGTATCAAGAAGAAAGTTGATAAATACTGGTCAAACTGAAAACCAAACACTAGCAAAGTCTGTGCTACCTAATGAGTTAAAAACCTGGACTTTGAAGTAGGAAGAGGGTCCTGGCTCTTCTACTTAAAAAGTGACTCTAGACAATTAATGTAAGCCTCAGTTTTCTAACAAAAACAGAGATTATCATAACTATACCTTCAAAACCAAGTTTTCAGAACTCATACTAGGTAAGATGTGTGAATACACCTTGAAACATTTAACTCATTATATGATTCTTGTAGTTATCCAGGAAACGATATCACAAATAGCCATTAAAACTAATTTTCTTATTACAGCAATTTAAAAACTTACTTTCTATTTAACCAACAAAAAGGGTATCTTGAGTTTTAGCCTTGATATATGGCAGTAAAACACAAATTACAAATTGGATTTGCAAATAAATGTCAGAAAAACTTCCCTGATTTTTCATCTGAAATTATTTTATTTGGAGGATCTGGTACATTTCCATAGGAAATTAATAACTTGATCAAAGCCATGAAATAAGGTTTGTTGCATTTATTTAGTCTCCTTTTACACAATGGCTTTTCCAAATCTGTGTGTGCTACTTTTGCCCCACAATGTGAAAAGGAGACCATTAACTGCAGGATACCATTTGCTGTGTAGATTTTTGGGTCTTGTTTGCACTTGACATTTGAATTAATATATCCCAATTCTCCCTCCAATTTACTTGTACATTTATTGTAGTTGGTTAAAAGAAAAAAAACTGCAGGTAAGTCAGGCAATAAACTCTGAGTTAGTAGGCCATTTATCTTCTGTAATAAATAGGAGTCAGAAAGTCGCACAGAAAATTGGGCTATAGCATTCAATAAGGCATTCAGTAATGAATCAACGTGTTACTTCCTCCACCCTATTCTGTAGGCCTCAATGAAGTAACAAAAATGTTTTTCCTCTAACAAAAGTTAGTAGTATATTCCTTTTTTAAAAAGTCCTTTCCTCACAAGAACACATAGAAAAGGATATATTTAAATATATTAAAAACACCAATTAGGATGATTTTCTCTAGCAGTACTCAATAGGAGATGAAAGGAAAGGAGAGAAAAGGTAGACTGTGGAAAGATAGATCAAAAGGAGGGAAAGATGACTTTACATGGGCTCAGAATGCATCCCAGTAAGTTTGTAAGTTACTACAATCCCTGCCCCCTTACTTTTGGCCAATGACCACTTCAAAAAAAACAGTCAACTATTGAAAGAAACTCACCTCTGCTTACATCTACCTACAAATACCTATATTTTTGTCCATTCATACTCCATTTCCTCTTATCTCACAGAGACTGGTACTTTCTTCACTTTCCTAACGAGAACACCTCTCTCTATGTTCTCTATCTTTTCTTCTCCCTCCCTGATTGTGCTTTGTCAATAATTCAGTTATAATTTCTGCATCTAGGCTACCTTCAACTTCTCAATCTATAAACACATTCAAGCTCCCCACAATCTTAAATATATCTTTTCTTACTTTTTGTCATTCCCACAATCTACTTTAACAGCCAATATCCTTAAGTCATTTATATTTACTGTTCCCACATTCTATTTGATTGTTCCACCCATTATAATACGGCTTCCATCACCATCAACTCCAATCAAGTTCATCTCATTTAAGCCACCCAGTGTCCTTCTAACCACACCCAAAGGGCTTCTTCAATTGTATCATGATCATTTTCCTATAGGATTTGACACCATTTCTCTTCTGAAAACTCTTCCTTCTTGGTTTTCTCAACACAACTCTTTCCTTATCTCCCTTCTACTTCTTTGTTAACTCCTTGTCTTTTCTTCTTCAATGTCTTCTTCAATGTCTTTGTGTTAATTATCTATTACTGTGTAACAAATTATCCTAAGACTTAGTGGCTTGACACAAAAAGAATCAAATACCTAGGAATACAGCTAACCAGAGAGGTAAAAAGTCTGTACAATAAAAATTATAAAACACTGCTCAAAGAAATCAGATGTGATACAAATATATAGGAAAACATTCCATGCTCATGGATAAGAAGAATCAATATCATCAAAATGGCCATACTGCACAAGCCAATATATAGATTCAATGCTATTCCTATTAAACTACCAATGACATTCTTCATGGAACTAGAAAAAAACTATTTTAAAATTCATATGGAATCAAAAAAGGGAAAAAATAGCCAAGGTGATCCTAAGCAAAAAGAACAAAGCTGGAGGAATGATGTTACCCAACTTCAGACTATACTACAAGGCTACAGTAACCAAAACAGCATGGTACTGGTACAAAAACAGACACACAGACCAATGGAATAGAACAGAGAGCCCAGAAATGAGGGTGCATGCCTACAACCATCTGATCTTCAACAAAGCTGACAAAAACAAGCAATGGGGAAAGGATTTCCTATTCAATAAATGGTGCTGGGATAGCTGGCTAGCTATATGCAGAAGATTAAAACTGGACCCCCTCCTTACACCATATACAGAAATTAACTCACGATGGATTAAAGACTTAAATGTAAAACCCAAAATTATAAAAACCCTAGAAGACAACAGTATTAGTCTGTTCTCATGCTGCTAATAAAGACAGTTTATAAAGGTAGTTTATAAGGGAAAGAGGTTTAATTGACTCAGTTCCACATGGCTGGGGTGGCCTTACAATCATGGTAGAAGGTGAATGGGGAGCAAAGTCACATTTTACATGGCAGCAGGCAAGAGAGCTTGCGCAGGGGAACTCCCCTTTATAAAACCATCATGTGAGACTTATTCACTACCATGAGAACAGTATGGGGTAAACCATCCCCATGATTCAATTATCTCCACTTGGCCCCACCCTTGACACTTGGCTATTATTATAATTCAAGGTGAGATTTGGGTGGGGACATAGCTGAACCATATTAACAACCTAGGCAATACTGCTCTGGACATAGGACCTACAAAGATTTCATGACAAAGACATCAAAAGCAATTGCAACAAAAGCAAAAATTGACAAATGGGATCTAATTAAACTTAAGTGCTTCTTCACAGCAAAATAAACTATAAACAGAGTAAACAGACAACCTACAGAATGGGTGAAAATATTTACAAACTATGCATTTGACATAAGTCTAATATTCAGCATCTATAAGGAACTTAAACAAATTTACAAGCAAAAAACCACCACATTAAAAAGTAGACAAAGGCTCCCTCTCCCTCTCCCTCTCCCTCTCCCCATGGTCTCCCTCTCCCTCTTTCCACGGTCTCCCTCTCATGCCGAGCCGAAGCTGGACTATACTGCTGCCACCTCGGCTCACTGCAACCTCCCTGCCTGATTCTCCTGCCTCAGACTGCAGAGTGCCTGCAATTGCAGGCGCACGCCACCACGCCTGACTGGTTTTCGTATTTTTTTGGTGGAGACGGGGTTTTGCTGTGTTGGCCGGGCTGGTCTCCAGCTCCTAACCGCAAGTGATCCGCCAGCCTCGGCCTCCCGAGGTGCTGGGATTGCAGACGGAGTCTCGTTCACTCAGTGCTCAATGGCGCCCAGGCTGGAGTGCAGTGGCGTGATCTTGGCTCACTACAACCTCCACCTCCCAGCCGCCTGCCTTGGCCTCCCAAAGTGCCGAGATTGCAGCCTCTGCCCGGCCGCCACCCCGTCTGGGAAGTGGGGAGCGTCTCTGCCTGGCCGCCCATCGTCTGGGATGTGAGGAGCCCCTCTGCCTGGCTGCCCAGTCTGGAAAGTGAGGAGCGTCTCTGCCCGGCCGCCATCCCATCTGGGAAGTGAGGAGCGCCTCTTCCCGGCCACCATCACATCTAGGAAGTGAGGAGCGTCTCTGCCCGGCTGCCCATCATCTGGGATGTGGGGAGCGCCTCTGCCCCACCGCCCTGTCTGGGATGTGAGGAGCACCTCTGCCCGGCCGCCACCCCATCTGGGAGGTGAGGAGCGTCTCTGCCTGGCCGCCCCGTATGAGAAGTGAGGAGCCTCTCCGCCCGGCAGCCGCCCCGTCTGAGAAGTGAGGAGCCTCTGTGCCCGGCAGCCACCCCGTCTGGGAAGTGAGGAGCGTCTCCGCCCGGCAGCCACCCCATCCGGGAGGGAGGTGGGGGGGGTCAGCCCCCTGCCAGGCCAGCCGCCCCGTCCGGGAGGGAGGTGGGGGGGGGTCAGCCCCCCACCCGGCCAGCCGCCCCGTCCGGGAGGTGAGGGGCGCCTCTACCTGGCCGCCCCTACTGGGAAGTGAGGAGCCCCTCTGCCCGGCCAGTCGCCCCGTATGGGAGGGAGGTGGGGGGGTCAGCCCCCCGCCCGGCCAGCTGCCCCATCCTGAAGGGAGGTGGGGGGGTCAGCCCCCCACCCGGCCAGCCGCCCCGTCCGGGAGGGAGGTGGGGGTGTCAGCCCCCCGCCCGGCCAGCCGCCCCGTCCAGGAGGTGAGGGGCGCCTCTGCCCGGCCGCCCCTACTGGGAAGTGAGGAGCCCCTCTGCCCGGCCAGCCGCCCCGTCCAGGAGGGAGGTGGGGGGGTCAGCCCCCCGCCCGGCCAGCCGCCCAGTCCGGGAGGGAGGTGGGGGGGATCAGCCCCCTGCCCGGCCAGCTGCCCCGTCCGGGAGGTGAGGGATGCCTCTGCCCAGCCGCCCCTACTGGGAAGTGAGGAGCCCCTCTGCCCGGCCACCACCCCGTCTGGGAGGTGTACCCAACAGCTCATTGAGAACGGGCCATGATGACAATGGCAGTTTTGTGGAATAGAAAGGGGGGAAAGGTGGGGAAAAGATTGAGAAATCGGATGGTTGCCGTGTCTGTGTAGAAAGAAGTAGACATGGGAGACTTTTCATTTTGTTCTGTACTAAGAAAAATTCTTCTGCCTTGGGATCTTGTTGATCTGTGACCTTACCCCCAACCCTGTGCTCTCTGAAACATGTGCTGTGTCCACTCAGAGTTAAATGGATTAAGGGCGGTGCAAGATGTGCTTTGTTAAACAGATGCTTGAAGGCAGCATGCTCATTAAGAGTCATCACCACTCCCTAATCTCAAGTACCCAGGGACACAAATGCTGCGGAAGGCCGCAGGGTCCTCTGCCTAGGAAAACCAGAGATCTTTGTTCACTTGTTTATCTGCTGACCTTCCCTCCACTATTGTCCTATGACCCTGCCAAATCCCCCTCTGTGAGAAACACCCAAGAATGATCAATTAAAAAAAAAAAAAAAGACCATGTCATCTGTGAATAAAGAATAAAGATAGTGTTACTTCCTTTAAAAAAAAAAAAAAGTATACAAAGGACATGAGCAGACACTTTTCAAAAGAAGACATACATGTGGCAAACAAGCATATGAACAAAAGCTCAACATCACTGATCATTAGAGAAATGCAAATCAAAACCACAATGAGGTACGAAGTCACACAGGTCAGAAGGGCTTTTATTAAAAAGTCAAAAAAAAAATGCTGGTGAGGTTGCAGAGACAAGGAAATGCTTATACACTGTTGGTGGGAGTGTAAATTAGTTCCATTGTGGAAAGCAGTGTGATGATTCCTCAAAGAGCTATAAGCAGAACTATCATTCAACCCAGCAATCCCATTACTGGGTATACACCCAAAGGAATATAAATTGTTCTACCACAAAGACACATGCCCATTAATGTTCATTGAAGCATTGTTCACAATAGCAAAGATGTGGAATCAACCTAAAAGCCCATCAACAGCAGACAGTATAAAGAACATGTGGTACATATACACCATAGAATACCATGCAGCCATAAAAAAGAACAAGATCATGTCCTTTACAGGAACATGGATGGAGTTGGAGGCCACTATGTTTAGCAAACTAATGCAGGAACAGTAAATCAGATATTGCATGTTTTCACTTGTAAGTGGGAGCTAAATAATGAGAACCAATAGAAATAGAGGGGAACGACAGACACTGGGCCTACTTGACGGTAGAGGGTGGGAGGAGGGAGAGGATCCGGAGAAGTGACTATCAGATACTATGCTTAGTACCTGGATGACAAAAAATCTATACATCAAACCCTCATGACACGAGTTTACCTGTATAACAAACCTGCCCATGTACCCCTGAACCTAAATAAAAGTTAAAATAATTTAATAGGGCCAGGTGCTATGGCTCATGCCTGTAATCTCAGCACTTTGGGAAGCCGAGGTGGGTGGATTACCTGAGGTCAAAAGTTCAAGACCAGCCTGGCCAACATGGCGAAACCCCGTATCTACTAAAAATATAAAAATTACCTGGGCTTGGTGGCTCACGCCTTTAATCCCAGCCACTTGGGAGGCTGAGGCAGGAGAATCGCTTGAACCCAGAAGGTGGAGGTTGCAGTGAACGGAGATTGCACCACTGCACTCCAGCCTCGGCAACAAGCACAAAACTCCATCTCAAAAAATAATAATAACAATTAAATAGACAATAACTTACTGGCTTGAAACAGCAAACATTAATTACCTCAAAGTTTCTGTTGGTCAGGAATTTAGAAATGTCTTGGGGGAAAAGACAAAAACCACATGATTATATCAATAGATGCAGAAAAGGCCTTTGACAAAATTCAACAACACTTCATGCTAAAAACTCTCAATAAATTAGGTACTGATGGGACGTATCTCAAAATAATAAGAGCTATTTATGACAAACCCACAGCCAATATCATACTGAATGGGCAAAAACTGGAAGCATTCCCTTTGAAAACTGGCACAAGACAGGGATACCCTTTCTCACCACTCCTATTCAACATAGTGCTGAAAGTTCTGGCCAGGGCAATTAGGCAGGAGAAGGAAATAAAGGGTATTCAATTAGGAAAAAAGGAAGTCAAATTGTCCCTGTTTGCAGACGACATGATTGTATATCTAGAAAACCCCATTGTCTCAGCCCAAAATCTCCTTAAGCTGATAAGCAACTTCAGCAAAGTCTCAGGATACAAAATCAATGTACAAAAATCACAAGCATTCTTATACACCAATAACAGACAAACAGAGAGCCAAATCATGAGTGAATTCCCATTCACAATTGCTTCAAAGAGAATAAAATACCTAGGAATCCAACTTACAAGGGATGTGAAGGACCTCTTCAAGGAGAACTACAAACCACTGTTCAATGAAATAAAAGAGGATACAAACAAATGGAAGAACATTCCATGCTCATGGGTAGGAAGAATCAATATCGTGAAAATGGCCATACTGCCCAAGGTAATTTATAGATTCAATGCCATCCTCATCAAGCTACCAATGACTTTCTTCACAGAACTGGAAAAAACTACTTTAAAGTTCATATGGAACTAAAAAAAGAGCCCGCATTGCCAAGTCAATCCTAAGCCAAAAGAACAAAGCTGGAGGCATCATGCTACCTAACTTCAAACTATACTAGGAGGCTACGGTAACCAAAACAGCATGGTAGTGGTACCAAAACAGAGATATAGATCAATGCAACAGAACAGAGCCCTCAGAAATAAAGCCGCATATCTACAACTATCTGATCTTTGACAAACCTGAGAAAAACAAGCAATGGGGAAAGGATTCCCTATTTAATAAATGGTGCTGGGAGAACTGGCTAGCCATATGTAGAAAGCTGAAACTGGATCCCTTCCTCACACCTTATACAAAAATTAATTCAAGATGGATTAAAGACTTAAATGTTAGACCTAAAACCATAAAAACCCTAGAAGAAAACCTAGGCATTACCATTCAGGACATAGGCATGGGCAAGGACTTCATGTCTAAAACACAAAAAGCAATGGCAACAAAAGCCAAAATTGACAAATGGGATCTAATTAAACTAAAGAGCTTCTGCACAGCAAAAGAAACTACCATCAGAGTGAACAGGCAACCTACAAAATGGGAGAAAATTTTCACAACCTACTCATCTGACAAAGGGCTAATATCTGGAATCTACAATGAACTCAAACAAATTTACAAGAAAAAAACAACCCCATCAAAAAGTGGGCAAAGGACATGAACAGACACTTCTCAAAAGAAGACATTTATGCAGCCAAAAAACACATGAAAAAATGCTCACCATCACTGGCCATCAGAGAAATGCAAATCAAAACCACAATGAGATACCATCTCACACCAGTTAGAATGGCAATCATTAAAAAGTCAGGAAACAACAGGTGCTGGAGAGGATGTGGAGAAATAGGAACACTTTTACACTGTTGGTGGGACTGTAAACTAGTTCAACCATTGTGGAAGACAGTGTGGCGATTCCTCAGGGATCTAGAACTAGAAATACCATTTGACCCAGCCATCCCATTACTGGGTATATACCCAAAGGACTATAAATCATACTGCTATAAAGACACATGCACACGTATGTTTATTGCAGCACTATTCACAATAGCAAAGACTTGGAACCAACCCAAATGTCCAACAATGATAGACTGGATTAAGAAAATGTGGCACATATACACCATGGAATACTATGCAGCCATAAAAAATGATGAGTTCATGTCCTTTGTGGGGACATGAATGAAACTGGAAATCATCATTCTCAGTAAACTATCGCAAGGACAAAAAACCAAACACCGCATGTTCTCACTCATAGATGGGAATTGAACAATGAGAACACATGGACCACAGGAAGGGGAACATCACACTCTCGGGACTGTTGTGGGGTGGGGGGAGGGGGGAGGGATAGCATTAGGAGATATACCTAATGCTAAATGACGAGTTAATGGGTGCAGCACACCAGCATGGCACATGTATACATATGTAACTAACCTGCACATTGTGCACATGTACCCTAAAACTTGAAGTATAATAATAATAAAAAAATAAATAAATAAAATAAAATAAAATAAAGAAATGTCTTGCGGGAAAGGGAAAACACCCTTCTGGCTTAGAGTCTCTCATGAGGTTACAGTCAAATATTGACTGGGGCTACAGTAATCTAAAGGCTTGAGTGGGACTAGAGGATTCATTTCCACAATGGTTCACCCATGTGGCTGTTGGTAAAGGTCTTAGTCTGTCGCTAGCTTTTTACAGATGTCTCAGTTCCTCACTGGCTATTAGCAAGAAGCCTTTATTCCTCACCACATGGATCTCTTCACAGGCTGCTTGAGTGTTTTCACAACATTACAAATAGATTTCACCAGATCAAACAATGAGGAAGAGAGAGAGGGAGACAGAAAGAGTCAGAGAGTGAGCGAGTGAGCCAGAGAGACACAGAGAAAGCTACAGTACTTTTTATGCCATAGAAATTATACACTGTTACTTCTGCTTTAATTTTATTTATTGGGAGTAAGCCATTAAATCCAGCCCAACACTAAAAAAGAGGGGAATTAAGCTCCACCTCTTAAGAGTATCAATTAATTTATGAATGTATTTTATACTACCACAGACTTCTACATTTTATTTCCTGAATGTTGCTGCTACTTAAGGGTCTTACCTCTGCCCTCTTATCATCATATTCACCCTCCCTGAGTGATCTCAACTATTCCCATTGTTTCAATTGTCATCTATATTATAGAGGAATCTAAAATCAGTTTCTAGCCTCGATACATTTCCCAAACCCATATTTGTATTTTCAACTACCAATTATCCTACATCTCCACCTAGAAAGCCAATACAATCTGTCCAAAACTAAACTTCTGTTTTTCTTCCCCATTGCTCCAATTTGGCTCTTTATATCTTCAATCCAATTACCCACGTTAGAAAACATGAATCATCCTCAATTCCTACTTCTCCTTCTTACCTCTCATATCCTTTGATATGGATTTATCCCTACTGTTTATGCCTTCTAAATAACTCTCTATTTATTTTCTTCTCATCATCATTACCATCTTTGTACAGGCTGTCATCATTCTTCTCCAAGTCTACTGCAGTAGCCTAATAACTGATTTCTCTACGTCTAGTCTCTCCCCATTCTAATTTACTTTTTGTCATATTTATCTTGGCTAAAATATAGATGTGAGCTCATATATCTCTATAAAAGCCTTGAATGGCTCACCAATAACCAGTTTAAAGAGCCCAAGCTCTTTAAAATGATATATAAGGCCCTTTAAAATCTGATCCTAATATGTTTTAGCTTCATCTCATCACTGTCTCAACAAACCTTCACCAAATAATTGTCATTCCCTGAAAATGACATGTACTTGCACACATTCACATATTTGCACATGCTATTTCCTCTGCCCGCAATACCCACTACTCTCTGCTCTGCTAGGGAAACTCCTGTTTCCAGAGTTCAAATAGCACCTCTTTCACGAAGCTCTCTCTGACTTCCCTAGGTGGGAAGTCATTTCATCTACTATGGTTCCACATTATCTTCCATATACTGATGGCATATCTTTGTTAACCTATACTTTGTGAATGACTTTAGGACTGATTCAGTTTCAAACGTTTTGTCCTTTTGTCTTTGTATGAACATGAATAAATGTTTCAGACTGTTTTCCATTATTTAATTCAGAAAATATAATTGCTAGTGACAATTGCTGGCCCCCTCCAGGACTTCCAGAATAATCTGCTGCTGGAAAAGACCTCTCTCACAGAATTTTTGAAATCTTTTCTCATTTTGTGTTGTTAATCTGCATCATTGAAGAAGACGAAGTGCTATTTCGCGTCCAGAGCACAAGTAAATATATTAGCAACGTTTTCCTTTCCACATTGCCCATTTCCCATTCCCCACTATTACAAACCCACATTCCATGACAAGCAGCTGAGGCATCATCAGGGGAACTCAAAAGAAAAGGCACCTACAAATGTATGCATACACCTAGTTAAAGACATTTATCCTTGTAAGTGCCATCTATTAATTTTGTTCCTTTATTGTGTAATCTTGGACTTAGGGACAAATAGCACATCACCATTATTATTGGAAAAATCCCCAGATGTATCAGGGTGATCATAACATCTTGGCACAGAAGATTTTGTTAAATTCATATTCAAAAGATAAGATAAATACCAAAACTAAATATACTCTTATAGCACAAATGGGGCAAGAACTCTCAGCCAGCTCTAGTTCTCGCTCATCATCTTTTTTTATTCCAAGACCAAGTCTCGCTCCTTGCGCAGGCTGGAGTGCAGTGGCACAATCTCTGCTCACTGCAACCTCCCCCTCCTAGGTTCAAGCTACTCTCGTGCCTCAGCCTTCCAAGTAGCTGGGATTACAGGCATGTGCCACCACGCCCAGCTAATTTTTGTGTTTTTAGTAGATACGGGGTATTGCCATGTTGCCAAACTAGTCTCGAACTCCTGGGCTCAAGTGATTCACATTTGGCCCCCCAAAGTGCTGAGATTACAGGCGTGAGCCACTGCACCCGGCCACCATCGCTCATTTTTAAAAGCACATTTATTGAGCTCTTTCTAAGAGACAGGTTGCATTAGGCACCTGATGGGAGCCAAGGTTCCTGCTCCCATGAAGCTTATATTCTGGGACAAGAGATACCCAAGTAAGAAATGAAGACATAAAAACACAAAGTAATTACAAATTAAGATAAATCTAAAATTAAAGGAGTGAAACACATGATGACATAGATATTAACTAGGAGCAGAGGGTAGAAGTTGTTTAGATGTAGTGGTCAGGGATAACTGTTTAGAAGAATTGCCACCTGAGCTGCTATCTGTAGGATGAAAATGAGTCAGCCATGTGGAGACCTGTGGGAAGAATATATCCAAAAAGGGAACAAGGGAAACGATACCTTAAATACAATGTCATAATTACAAAAAAGACCCCTCAAAAATGCCAGTTATCAGCAGATGGCAGTATCCATATATGTAAGAAAAGAAATATAGGTCAATAGAGTTGGAAATATACACTTGTTTCAGATAGCCATGTCTTAAATTGGATGTCCAGTATGATTCATCCTAATGTGGAATGAGTAAGTAGCCGTATTTAAGCCAACTCAAGGCAAAATTACCAGGCCCTGTTGATACTCTACTACCCAAAAAGTTCTTCTCCCTAGGGTCCCTGCCACAGTTGCCTCTTTTCACTTTCCTCCCTAAACTTCTTTTTCTGTATTTACCTTTTAAACATTGTTCCTCACATTTTTATTCTTTTTTGGCTCTCTACAATCTTTTTCAAAGTAATCCATTCCCATTGGCCACCATGTTCTAAACTCTCTTCTGAGTTTACAAGTCAAATATATACCATTGGATTTTGCCACATAAATGACGCACTAGGACCATAAATTCAGCAGAGCCAAAACTGGATATGTTATTTCTTGCCCTGGCCACACATTCCAATCATTGCCTATGTAACCTCCCTGGCACCCACATTGATCACTTGCCCATGCTTGCCACCTGGATCCTCTTCTACTTTCTGACTTCTTCCCCTCAGCTCCCACATTCAGTCACCCAATCTCCTGATTTTATATTCTCCATATTTACTGGAGTAAGCTCATTTAGAAATTAATGTATCAATGCTGAATTCCTTACTTCTTTACACTATGACCTGAATTATATAGTAGTATCCACTAATTATGTGTTTACATGTGCCAAGTACTCTAATAAGTGACTGACATGCATTATATCATTTCGTCCTTCCAATAGCCCTATGAGCTAGGAACAGTATTATTCCTCTTTTATATATAAGAAGAGTAAAGCTTACCAGTGTCCAACAATTTGCCTAAAGTCACCTATATAAGTGGAAGGGAAGAAATTTAACCCACATATTTTGACTATAAAACATGACCTTTTATACAGTGTGTCATAAAAGAGAAATGGAAAATTAGCTTTCATAAGAAGAATCTAATTTGATAGTTCTTTTAGGAACAACTTTCCCACTTCAAAGGTTTTAGGATTCAAGGATAAATGACACTAAATCCAGCTATAAGGTGAGATGGTATTCAATCCATTAAAACAGTGGTTCTGAAATGTTTTCAGGTAGCAAATACCTGGAACTTGTGGTGTTATATGGAAAAATTTAAAATATATTAATAAATTTAATTTCACCAAAAAGACTGTAACATAAGACCATATTTTACATAAATGTCCCCACATTATTTTGAATATATAGGTTTTCCAGTCACATGAAATATTTGATCCATTACTGTTTCTTTTTTTTTTTAATCTGCTAGGTGAAAAATGCTAGCAATCTACTAATTTTTTAAGAATGACTATGAGGGAAAAAAGCTTAAAATTGAAAAAAAATATTTTTCTGTTAATTAGAAATACATCATCATTCAATTTAGTAGATCATCTTAGTCCAACCTACTGAACTCTTTCATATGAGCATAATTTGAGAACCACTAAAATATACATTTATTAAGCACCTATATTTAAGAAAATATGCAATGCGTTATGGGAAAACAATAAAATATCATGTCTCAGTTTACAAACTTACCGAGAAGAAAAAAAAATTCCTTACAGGGTTTTGATTTTGTCTTCTAAGACTATATAAATGTATGAAAAATGTTTACGCTTATTACAAGAAAATTAACTATTGTAGCTATGGAATAATCATCAATGCAAATTAAAACCTGTATATATGTATATGGGAGGTCTTCAAAGAAGTTATGAAATAGGGTGACACTATCAAATTCATACATTTGAAAATTTACTTTTGGAGTAATGCATTGTGAAGAAATTAGATCAAGAGAAACAGTTGCAATAGTCCAAGTAAAAATGTGGCCCTGAAATAGGATAGTAAAGTAGGAAGGAAATAATTTGAAAGAGGTTCCTTAAGATATAGAATCACTATGAATTGACTTGACTGGATTTGGAGGTTGAAAAAAGAATCAAAGATGACTCACCAAAGTTTCTAGTTATGATACCTAGATGGAAGGTAGATAGGTTTTTTTTTGGGAGGGGGGAGGTATACACATAAGACTATGAAAAGTTCGAAGGCACATAAGAGTAGAGAGGGAATATGAAGGTGGGGAATAGGAAAAGCTGGCCTAAAATGAGGAGTAAGAACTGAAATAACAGAAGATAAAAAGCAGATGTTATAGGCTGAGGAAGATGTGGAATCCCTTACACTCCCTTTAGAAAGACATAAGAAGCCATTAAAAAACTATTACTAGGGAAATGACATGGTTGATTTAAATCATTGGAAATGATTTAAGTGTCAACGAGGCAAAAAATATTTGGAAATCGTACATCTTGGTTTCTTGACAAATGCCATAATAACTATTATCATAATGGTACCAAGAAATATTTCAAATAGAAACAGAGAATTCACCCACTTAAGTCACCTACTTTAAGAAAATTTTACATCAGTGTAGGCTGGAGTGAAAGTTTACAGTATTGAAATTCAAACTGACAAGGTAAAAGACATTTTATATGCTTTACTGAAACACTAGCAAATCTTTTGTAATATCTTAATTCAGAGGGAAAAAAGTCTTAAAGGAGACTGACTATATGTCAGAATTTTGAAGCATTCACTATTTAAATCAAAATACTTCCTAATATGTACTGCCTTAACCCATAAAACAGATCAGCAATTTATATGGCCAAATGAGTCCTATCTTTATGACAAAAATTTACTTAGATAAACTAGTAGTCTTGTCTCTGCCCACCACCCCATAGCACAGTTTGGTCTATTATCAATCAGAGTCTGTCTTAGTTTACTAGGGCTGCAATAACAAAGTACCACAGACTGGGTGGCTTAAAAAACAGAAATTTATTTTCTCATAGTTTTGGGTGCTAGTAGGCTGAGATCAAGGTGTCAGCATGTTTGGTTTCTTCCAAGGCTTCTCTCTTGGCTTGCAGATGGCCACCTTCTAGCTATGTCTTCAAATATGTTTATGGAAATATTGTTCACAGAATCTATAGGAAGCCTGGAAAATCAGGCTTGGGAAATAAAAGAAGCAAGAAATAATAGCAAAGAATGAAGTAAGGACTTGTATGGATCTTGCCACACTGGCCTGCCGCCACTGGACTGGTAATACCATACATGCACTCTAATGCCCTGAAAAATTCCTACACTTTGAGTCTTTGTCTTGTTTTCTTGAGATTAAAAGCCTGAGACATAGGGCTTCCTTCCTATACAGAAGGACATTAGAATGCTGGATAGCAAACAATAATTTCTATTCAGTACAAAATCTACTGCCTTAATCTATTACATCTGATACATTCCAATAAATGTAAAGTTATCCAAATGGCTATATCCAAGGCAGTAAATTCACAGCCTGTCTACCAAATCGAAGCAGTCAGGTTTGACAGTTTTTCTTTTAGTTCTTTTACGGTGGGCATTTACCTCAGGTTTAACACTGTTCCCACAACTTCCTAATGTATTTCACTCATCCTGACGCTCAAGTTTATAGCCCTGCTTTCTTGGGTATATGAATTGTAACCCTTGGACTATGCCTTCTAAGCACTGTTTTGTGAAAGTTTCGTTTGAATTGTAAGGTCAATAAAAATAGCAGTAGAAGACATAAAAGTCCCAGCCCTGCTACCATTTGCTATTTGAGACCAGGAAAAACCATGTACCTTATTTCAAAAAGTAGTGAATTCAATGAGTTGGACTTCCTTATTTCTAAAATGTATGAAGAAATAGTGTACGAGGGAGAGTGCTATAAGAGCATGTACTATATTCAGAAATGTGTATTTTCCACTTGAGGCAAGAAAGGATCTTTGTTCTCTACCTGGGCTACACTTCAGAGGAAAAAACCGAAAGCAAAGGTCAGGAGACAGAAGAAGTTATGAACCATGAAACTGGAGCCATTATCATAACATTATGAGACTCTAGATTCTTTGTAACTTCCCCATATTTGTTACTTATAATTCATTTGCCTCATAATAATAATCAGTAAAATTACTCAAAATCAAAGGCCCAAAGGGCATCTTTGGGGCACTAAAAGTAGGAAGTTAAGACAACTACATTCCATATGCAAACAAAGTCTCAAAGGAGACGATCCCCAAATAATCAAATGGATAATAATACTGAGTAAAGAGGGGGCTGGCTGCATCCCTCCATCCTCTGACAAGAACTATGACAATTACAAAAAATAAAGATGAAAATATGTAAAAGGGGGGGAGCCCATTAACCTGCCAATATGAGCCCAAATGAAAAAAAGTGTGTCAACATACACCTGCCATTCTCGACACAATTCTTTTTAGTAGCTATCACATTTCTTCTACACACACACATACACACACAAAACATACTTGGGGTTCCTTGACATTATCTTACGTAGAAAATTACTAAGCAAATAATCAATTTGACTAAGTAGGGGGGCTTATCGTTTTCTCCCTATTCAAATTAATGAAAAAGATAAAAAAACTTTTATCTATAAAGATGATTCTTGGTTCCACAATGCTTCTTAACAGAAATAGTTTAAACAATAATCATTTTAAAAAATAACAGCTAAGCATTGTACATTTTTAAAAAATAGTATTTTCGTTTGTACAAATATCAATGGGTCCCATTCATCATTCAAGTACCTTTTCAAACAGGATCTAAGTTTGTAATGTTAGGTAATAGGCATATAGGCTGAAGCCGGACTGCCAAGATTACAATTGCTGGCTCTGTCCTTAATATAACTTTGGGCATCTTTCTTCCTTTCTCTGCTTCATCTATAAAACGAAAACAGTAACAACTCCCACCTAAGTGTCGTTGTGATAACTAAATGAAATAGTGTGTGTAATGTGCCAAGGAATTTCTGGAGCTACCAAGCACTTAAACTAAGTTCTAACTAAGTTTGGTTACTTTCACGTTATAAAGGAATTTTTAGGAATCACCTAGGCACTCTCCTAAAGTCTCAAAATAACTTAATACAGTACTTCTAAGGAGTTCAAGTGCCTCCTTATCTGGGACGCCATCTCAGATGCTCTTCAAATGAAAGGGACCCTGCAAATGAAAGTTAACTTTTTCCATTTTTTAAATAATCCTTCGCAGGAATCTGAAGCACGCGACACTCACGGGCCATTCAGCTCCGCCTCTCCAGGGAACAAGAAGGTTAACTGAGTAACGTGGTCACGGAGCAACCCCGAGTCGCTGCGGCTGCTTAGTAGTCACTCAGGATGGGGATGGTACAGGGGACCATTAACTGGCCCGGCAGGAAAAGTTTCCCGGTGAGGTGACGATGGACAAGAGTCGCCCCATCGTAAGCGAAAGTGGACTGAGAGGAAGCACAAACGCATGGACTCAACCAGCTCGCCCAGATTCACCCTCAGGCCTTTTGCCATCTGAAAAGGGCCTATCGGATGCGCGACATCACGAGTGACGCGTAGTCATTTTCCCACGTCCCGTCCCTGCCCCCTCCTAGTGGGACGCAGTGGGCGCGCACGCGCAGCTCCGCTTCCGGGAGCCGCTCCTCGCTACCCACTATGCTCTGCGACATCGACCTGTCGCAAAGGCCGCGTTTGCGGGGCCAATGAGCGACTCGCTTTCCGTGCGGTGCGGCGAGTGAGGCCCCGGTCTTCCTCCTCGTCCTGCCGCAGGGCCAGAACCCCTGACGGTATTCAGCTGCGCGTAAGTCTGGCCGGTGCCATCTGTCTCCGCAATGCCCCCCAAGAAACAGGCTCAGGCCGGGGGCAGCAAAAAGGCGGAGCAAAAAAAGAAGGAGAAGATTATCGAAGTGAGTACCCACCCCTCCCCCACTCACGCCGCGAGCCCTCCGGAAAGCCACTTCCCCGCTCCGGGCTTCCCTGGGAGCCGGCTCGCTTCCTCGGGCCACGTGTTCCTCCCTTAGGCCTGTGTGGCCCACTGCCCCTTCTCCAGCCCCTGATGACGCTAGCTCTCTCATTACTATAGTGACGCTGCTGGCGCCCCCGCACCTGGGCTTTGCCTCTCCGCCCACACGCCCGTGTTCACCCACCCATGCACCCGGGTGCGAAATGACCCCTCGGGACTGGCACAGGGTTTTATCCTTCGCTAGTCCTCTCAGAATTGAGGAGATTTTCCAAGGTTATGTGTGAAGAAATACGCTGAACGGTCTCGGGCCAGCGTCTTTCTGGAAGACCGACTCATGACGAGTCTTTGTGTTCGTTATTTCTTTACCCGTCACCCAGGGATGGTACTGTTAGTTCTTTTGAACCAACAAATTACGACTTGGTGGCTTTTTCGATCCACCTCTGAAATGTTTAAAGTCCCATAAAGAATGGAAGGACTTTCCGTCACAACCCAGGGTCTTGAACGCAGAGCTTGGTACTTACATTCTGAAGTGGATTAAATAGGATAACGCCTTAAAAGAGATTAGGTTTCAGTGTCACTAATTGTGTGAAGTCCCGTAACCCAGTTTGAGATATATGTGTGTGTGTGCGCGTGTATATATGTATACATCTATGTGTGTGTATATGTGTATATATGTGTGTGTATATATATTCGTTTAACACATTGAGCCTGTAGCCCTTTAATGGCCAAGGAACGCTATTGACGTTCTTACATGTTGTGCACTTGTTTTCCAACAACTGAATTGAGTTTCCTTAAAAGATGAACCATATTTGACATTACGTAAACATACCATACAGACCCCAACGAGGTATTTCTTCCCTCGATTTCTGCTATTAATCCTCCTCATAATTAAATAGGACCTCTTGTACTTTGGATATAATTAGAAAAAGCCATGACCATTTTACCGCATAAGGTGTAAAGTCTGCTCATTGGATTTAAGAAAATGCTTAAGAATTTTGCTATACTTGGCCAGGTTCCAACTTTGGAGGAGAACTGGTATTCTTATTGCCAATTTGTACAGTTTAAAACTGTCATGAAGTACTATAGCCAGACACTTAAAAACAAAATATTACCTTCACATCTGTGTTTTCTATTACCTTATTTGAACAATCTGGATTCGTGGCACTTAGGTAAATTTCAGGGGTTGCTGATCGGATGGCATTCACTTTTATGAAAACCAAGGACATTTTAGGGATGTCGTTTTCCTCGAGATTGGACCCTGATACGAAGTAAAACTCCCATTGAAATTAAATGTTATGTAATAATTTAGACAATTTAAATTATACTTCATGCATTGTAGAGCTTTCTCTATATCTAATTGTTTTATTTTTAATTAGTAGGACTAGTATTCTTATTTTAAGGAATTATGTGTGAAAGTTGTTTATAGTATCCATCAACTTTTAAAATGATGCATATGTTATGATTCTAGTCATCTTGTGACGAAATTATTTTTTAGCTAAAGAGAAAGCAATTTTAGTTTCAATAATGAAGGTATCTCCAAAGAAAAATGCAAAATAAGACAACTGCACTTTTTAACTAAAAATATTAACAACAACAAAGTGGTGAAATTAAGCCCGATTTTGTGTTTTCTACATTTAATATATATTATTTTTTTAATTTATTTTTTGTTGAGGTATAACTTATGTAAAATAAAATGTACAGGTTCTAGATGTATAGTTCTATGTGTTTTGAGGAATTTATTCACCCAGGTAGCTGCCACCCTAATTAAGACTTGAAACATTTCTATCACCCCACTAAATTTGTTTTGTGCCTCTTTCTATTTAATTCTTTCCACACGTGCAGCCACTAATTTTTTTGACAGGATAGATTAGTTTTTACCACTCTAGGAACTCATATAAATTATACAGTAGGTAGCCTTTGTGTCCTTCTTCTTGCTTTCACACCATGCAGTGTTTTTGAGATCCATGCATGTTGTGTATATTTCTAGTATGTTCCTTATTGCTGAAAAGTATTCTCTTGTATGGGAACCATTACAATATGTCACCTTTTGTGTTTAGTGTCTCTCTCTACTTGGAGGAACCAAAAGACGTTATAATTGACGCTTGAAAAACAAACTTAGGATTCCAAAATGGGTTAGAGGCGGTGTTTGTTAAAATCTCGGCAGCCAGAATGGATTATTTTGTGGCTAATGGAGTCATCTGTAGGGACCTTAACCTTGGGGCATACGCTGAGTTGGCATGAGAGTGTCCAATCATCTGTATACATTAGAGCTACAGGATAGGCATCATTAGGGGATCTGGGTGGTGTGTCTATTTCTCTGGGAAGGACTGGTCTTGACTACACCCTCAGTTAATTGCAGTTGTTGAGCTTCTTGCTTTTGCTGAATATGCTTGCATTTTGCTTTCTTGTGTTTTGTGCTATCATTCTTTAACCTAACCTGCAGTACCGTTGGATGTATGTCTTTGAGGCCATTTCTTTCTGAAGACTGAGGTTTGGGTA
Organism: Homo sapiens; assembly: GCF_000001405.40. Taxonomy (NCBI): domain Eukaryota; kingdom Metazoa; phylum Chordata; class Mammalia; order Primates; family Hominidae; genus Homo; species Homo sapiens. Next base: position 186,489,013 of record NC_000002.12, read on the forward strand.
TGGGTTCTTAGTGAACAAGATGTTCAAATATTCCATTTGTTTCTCAGTGATCATAGTTTGTTTCCTTTGAAATGTGTCCACTTGCCTTTAAGAAGGTCCTCCTAGCCTGACATCTTGTAATCTAGATGTTCTTTTATGTTCTGGTCCAGGGACCTGATGAGCTTTTTCAAAAAATACTGCAACAAAGTTTGTCAGACTCATGTGCAACATTGATATTTGCTACTACTGGAGAGGTACAACAATATTTTGAATTGTAGTGTTAAGTTACAGCATTTGTGAAATTAGATTTATAGAGACTATTCTGTTATTCAGCCTGGTTAGGAAATGATATAGTCTGCTTCATTATATAGGCAACTTTTTTTTTAAACTTCCCTAAAAGCCTAGCACGTCTCAGTGACTATTCCAAGAAGATAATTGATCTCTGTGACTGTTATAATTTTGGAGGGGGAAATACTACTTTTTTATAGTCTATTTTGACATATAAAGACTGATACTTATTTCAGAATCTGGTTAACTTTGGGAGGTTTTATAGCTGTATGACCTGAAATTCTAAATTGCTCAAAATTAATAGTTAACTAAAACATGTATTTTTAAGCAGCACGTTTCAATAGACTTGAAAATAATGGTTGTCCTACCTACCTCTTTCCTCTTCTGTACCTGTTCTGCTGCCACCTCTATGGACCTTCACTGTGGAAAAATCAACATGCAGGTTTTGGGAACTCTAAGGAAGTAAAAGAGACATCAGATAGCATAAATTAATGAAAGGAACACTAGCTTTGGAGTCAGAGACCTGGGTTTGAGTCCCATGTTTCAAATTACTAGCTCTATAGTTTTAGACAAGTTACAAAATCTAGCTGGAATGCAATTCTCATCTGCAAAATGCAGCTAGTTCCCGTGAGTTAAATGAGATAATACATGTAAAGTGCCTGCCATATGGTGTATATATTCAGTAAATGGCAGCTATTGTTATTGCCTATTTTGATAGTGTATTATAAATAAAAACTAGGGGACATCAGACTGATCTGCACAGTCTATACAGTGCTTAGTTCCTGCCCATTTTTTAATATTGCCTCCATTTTTTAATATTGCCTCCATTTTTTTTATTTGCCTCTTCAAATGCCCCAAAACTTTATGAATTCATTTGTATTAATACTTTCCGAAATGAATATGTCAAACAGGATTATGGTTCTGTTAGAAATTAACACATTAGTCTGAAATGGCATATACCATTTGCTTTCTTACAACTAAAATTTAGTGACAAATGGAGTCAGTATTGAGCAATAGAAAGTTTGAATATGGAAAGAAGGAAATAATCTTGGACTTAGGGCAAGCAAATAAAAGATACCCAGCTAAGAACTTGTATCAGCAAGGAAATAGTAATAGGGACCTATAGAGACAGGATCCAGGTGTCGTGAAAGATGGAGCAAGAGAAATTGGTTGCCAGTGTAGAACAGCTACCAATAGCCAAAATCAAATGTTGATTACTTGAAGCTGGATTAACCAGTTGCATAATATATATTGCATGGATGGACAACAAGAATACATTAGTGCATTTGGGAGAAAACTAATGAGGGAAAACCGTGACAGCTTCTGCCTACCCGAATGTCCCAAGAGGGTAGACTCCATTATCTTGGAGCACTATTCAGTGTTGACCTGCCCTTCCGCTGCTTCCCTTTTTCCAAACATCTTATTTAAGCAGTGGAGGCTGGCCCGTAAAAGGAATGGGATTACGTACGGATGGGAGGGAAGTTTTAAGTGAAGCCTGGAATTTACTGAGTGTTAAGGCTCTTGGAGCCTCAGGAAGTCATCCTTTTCTTTCGAGACTCCTCTGTATTCATGTCCCAAGTTGTCTTCTGAAACACACATAAACACGCAGTTCCTTTACTATCATGTTAACTTTTGGGACCTTATTAATCCAATGAGGACCATTATTCTCCTAGTTTTATTTTAACTGTGGTTTGGGGTTGACTGTAACCTCCTTTTTTTCTACCTTGTAATTCAGGTTAATCTTTAGGTAGGGCTCTGTCCTAAACTCAGGAAGAAGCCTTTTTGAACTTCTCCAAATTGCAAATCATTCTGTTTTCAAGAGGTGCTATTGGTATCTCAGATCTGCAGTGTGATATTTAGAAAGGTTATTGCGCACCAACCAGCCCAATAACTTAATGAGGTTTCTCTGGGAAGTAGTTTATTAAAAACTGTAGAAGGAATTTGCTTGGAGTCAAATATACCTAGGTTCAAATATCATCTGTCACTTAATAGTTAACATTTACTGGCCCAGACAAGGTTCTCAGTGTTTTGGGGAGAAGGAGAGAAGAGAGACAAGCCAACTACAAGTGATAAATATACTAGCTCCTTTGATTCTCTCAGTGGGATATGTATTATTACCCTTTTTGCAGTTTTGAAAACAGGCATAGATATTAAATAACTTGCCCAAGTTTACTAACCTGGCAAGTAACTGTGCCAGGGATTCTAACACAGGAAGTCTGCCTCTAGAGTCCTTGCTGTCCACCACTGTCTCTCTGAGGTAAATCTTTTAACTTTCACAACAACCCTAAGTGAGACTCACTTTACAAATAAGAAACTGTGGCAAAGAGGGTAATTTACCCAGCTCTGTTTGGGATTAAAATTTGGGCAGTCTGGCTCCAGAGTTTATGCTTCTAAATGCTTGCACTATACAGCCAGCCCCTTATTAATGACTTAACTTCAAATGAATTTATCATTTCTGAGTTTCTGTGTATCATAGAATTGTTGAGAGGATTCAATAAAGTATATATTCAGGGGTTATGTTTATGTTTAGTGAATACTAGATAAATAAGTGTCCCCTTTCTCTGTGGAAAAATGTTAATTTCTGAGCTCTAACTTAGAGGTGAACACAACTCACTTATTATCTCTTTAAACTGGTTATTTATGTGCCAGAGCAGTGTAATGAAACCTGATTTTTTTTTTCTTCTTCTGGGATCGGGAGTTTATACACCTTTACCAGAAACTGCCATTGTGAGTGCTTTCTTTTCTTACTGGCCAGGTCCCCTTAGGGGACATTTTTCTTTCCTAAGTCTATCTGGCAGTATCTGCTTTGCTATTTGGCCTTATTTATTCATTGTTTCTTCTCTGTAGTTACAGATGGAGCATGGGTTGAACCGCAGTTTATTTTCTCTGGCAGAGCACCTGTAGATGCTGTTTAATCCTGATCATATTTTTTTCTAGAGCCTCCTCTCCCTCCCGTGAGAGCTCACTTTTTGTAAAGGAAAAGTATGGCATTTTATACTTAGTTGCTGCACTGTGTTCATCTGTATGTATCACATTATGTTGACCATCTTTCTTCAAATTGAATTGAGTGTTAAACTTTCTTTATAGAAACAAGGGAAGCCATCCGTAAAAGGCTCAGTGCAGAAACATCCAGCTTGTTTGTGCTTCTTACCTTTTTTCATACACATAGGCTGTAGAAAATTCATGTAGAATTTTGTATAATACCATGTTGGGATGTTAAATCATGAAACAAGCATTTAAGTAGAGGAAAGCAAAGTTTTGGTATATGGATATAGATGTCATGAATAAAGAGATATTTCCCAATGAGAGATAACCATTTAGAAGCAAAACCCTCTGTACTTTTTTGTCTTAAGACTATTGAAAGATCTTTTACTGATTTTGAGGTTGCTGTAAACATTATGTCATGTTGTATGTTTTTAAATACTAATTGTTTCAGTACTATTGTTTTCTTTTTCTAGCTTGTCCACGTGGTGGTATTTTGTATCTATTATTCTTTCTACTCATTATTACTTTTCCTTTCCCTTAGAAATAATAGCAAAATAAAGGCTATAAAATGGCCACTTGTTTCATACTAAATGCCACTCAGAGGGTCTCAAATTACTTTGAGAAGACCTTTTTGCCTCTTCTTCCTCTCTAAAACCACCCATAAACAAGAGAATGAGAAAGAAATACAAATTCTATTTTGAAATTAGAAGACATCTGTAATCTTGGACCTCAGCATATGAAGATTGGCAGTAGATGGATGAGTTGGTAACTGACTTAGAGCAGAGCGGTTATGTCTGAGTGCCTGTCTAGGAGTGTGCCTGTAAGAAGCAAGTGCATTTCCTCTGCAAAATTATGAAAAAAAAAAAAAACTCAACAATGGGAAGCACTAGGTAATACAGAAGGCAAGAGGCTGAAAACTAGAAGTTAAAAGTGTTAGGAGTAATTAATAATTCTTATCTACTACAGCTCAGCCAGGTGACTACCTCTGCAAGAAACAGGAGGGGTCTTCTTGGAGGTGGGAGGTGGCAGAGAACAGGCCTCTCTGCTTCTGGAACACTAAGCACAGAGGAGGTGGGATGTGAGCCTGAAAATGGAAGCTAGTAAGTCTGTACAGTAAACTGAGACCCCTTCTACCTGCTCTTTTCTCTTGTTTACAGTTAGACTTATTGCCCTCCCAGCTGGAGGATCTTTCTCCAGAGAACCAGAAAAGACCCAGAAAAAATATTTCAGATATTAGCATTTGGTTTCTTGTCAGGCTTGTCACACATTCACCTTAGGGAGAAGCTCACTAGTCAAGCCTGCTATATGAGTTTCTTAGAACTGCTGTAACATGACTACAAACTGGGTCACTTAAAACAACAGAAATTTATTCTCTCAGAGATCTGGAGGCTAGAAGTCTGAAATTAGTGTCAGCAGGGCCATGCTCCCTCCCTCTGAAGACTGTAGGGAAGAATTCTTCCTTGCCTTGTCCTAGTTTCTGGTGGCATCTGTCAATCCTTGGCATTCTTTGGCTTATATAGCAGTGTCACTCTGTCTTCACATTTCCTTCACTTTGTGCCTGTGTGGTCCTTATTAAGGCACCAGTTATTGGATCTAGGGCCTACCTTAATCTAGTATGATGTCATCTTAACTCATTACATCTGTGAAGACCTACGTCCAAATAAAGTCAAATTTATGGTCAGGTGGACTTGAATTTTGGGGGACATTCCAAAATTCAGCCCACTACAGACCACTGCTCCCCTCCACACACACGCTTGCTCATACTTGTGCAATGGCTTCTATATGTTTTTGTACTGCATACTTATTTTTTTTAATGTTTTTCTCCCCCCAACCCCATACTGCATACTTACTAAATATGAGTAGATAGCCAAGGATCACCATTAGTGCTTAGCACATAATGAGCATTCCATAAGTGATAGCTGCTGTTATATTGAATATTACCAAGTTACTGTATTAATATTCCAGATTTAAAGAAAATGTTGCTTTTAATTTACATACTTTTAGTATTTCCATCTTAGCAATAACTAGGAATGTATACATTTCAGTAGTTTGATTTCTTTATTAAATTTAATTGTTTTTGAGAGGATAACATTTATTAACTAAAAAACCAGTCCAGAACTGAATGTATCTTCCTCTTCTTATGTAGTAGTCCCAAAAATGTGTTCAGTATCGTATAACCTCTCAAGATACTCTGAGTAAAAATGGATTCTGCTACAAAGGATGATTTGGAGGTGCTGCATATTATTATATTCCCTCTGATAAGGGCTGTAAGATACCTTGTGCTTAAGAATTAAGAATCCTTTTAATCAAGCATTTTCCTAAATGTATTTAACTACAGGACTTCTTATCCCAATATAAGAACTTTGCACATCCCATAGAACTGATATCCAAAATATGCTTTAGAAAAAGCTTCATAGAAACTGGAAACCATCATTCTTAGCAAACTATCGCAAGGACAAAAAACCAAACACCTCATGTTCTCACTCATAGGTGGGAATCGAACAATGAGAACACTTGGACACAGGAAGGGGAACATCACACACCGGGGCCTGTTGTGGGGTGGCGGAGGGGAGGGATAGCATTAGGAGATGTACCTAATGTAAATGACGAGTTAATGGGTGCAGCACACCAACATGGCACATGTATACATATGTAACAAACCTGCACGTTGTACACATGTACCCTAGAACTTAAAGTATAATAAAAAATATATATAAAAATAATAAAATTTAAAAAGCTTCATAGAATAACAGGTTTAATGATGATAATGTTGAGTACATATTGAATTGTAAAGAATCTGGGTGATGATTTAAGGTCATATATTGCCTTGACTTGATGTTTAGTGTTTTGCATGTTTTTATATTAGTAAAGAATAATTATCAATAAAAATAATGATTTTTAGATATCATTGGAGGATATATATGGTAACATAAATTGCTAAGATATTTCTGTGCTCTTTCTCATGTAGGACAAAACTTTCGGTTTGAAGAATAAGAAAGGAGCAAAGCAACAGAAGTTTATCAAGGCTGTCACACATCAAGTTAAATTTGGTCAACAAAATCCACGTCAGGTAAGTAATTTAAATGTCCATATCTTTTTATAAATGTAATATTAATATAGCCTCTGTTTCAGATAAAATGTCTGGTATTATTATATAATTGTATTTCAAAACAGAATCCTACTTGAAATGTTTTTGCACCTTGGCCTTCCTTACCAGCAGTACCTCTTGGATATTGTCCAAGCCATTTTGATATAACTCTCATTTATTCTAATAATGATTGCATGCCGTTCTACAGTACAGGTGTGTTATATTCATCTATTTCACTGTTCATAAGTGATCACTTTGTTTCCAGCTTTCTGACACTAAGACCACCTGTAGAAATACAGGAGTTCTTACATGTGTTTATGCTTTTATTTCTGTGGCATAAATTAGCTGGTAACAGACTCCAGATCAAGGGAAATGGATTTCTAATTTTAACATTATAAATTTGCCAGATCACTTTCCATAGAGGCTGTAGTACTTCACATTTTCATTTGTAGTACATGAGCAATAGATACTAAAGTTCTTTTTAATGTGTTACAATCTGATAAGTATAAAGTGATATCTTATTGTTACATTGTTTCCCTCGCTACTGGAGAGTATCTTTTGTATACTTGTTAGCTGTTTGGGTTTGCACTTCTATGACTTCCCTATTGAAATTATTTGCTTTATTGGTTGTCTTTTTCTTGTCAATTTATGAGATACCTTTTGTCTGCATTGCAGATAATTGGTGATATTTCAGTTATGTTTTGCCATGCACCAATTTTTAACTTACATGTATATATAGAGTTTAATATTGCTAGATATGTTGCTAGCTTTTTAAAAATATGGTTATAAGGTCTCCCCTGCCACTGGATTCTGCATGTTTTTCCTAGATCATTTGTAATTATTTTATTTTTATAGTCTATGTCATATGAATTTATTTTATATATCTTAAAGTTCTCACTCTGTTGCCCAGGCAGGAATACAATGGTGTGATCTTGGCTCACTGCGGCCTCTGCCTCCTGGGTTCAAGCCATCCACCTGCCTCATCCTCCTAAGTAGCTGGGACTACAGGCGCATGACACCACACCTAGCTAATTTTTGTATTTTTTGTAGAGACGGGATTTCGCCGTGTCACCCAGGGTGGCCTCACAATCCGCCTGCCTTGGCCTCCCAAAGTGCTAGGATTACACACGTGAGCCACCATGCCCAGACTAAGTTTGTTTTCTTTTAAATGAATAGCTGCTTACACCAGCATCATTTATCCAACTGAAATACCACTATTATCCTACAGTCATAGTCATACATTGTTTAGTGATGTGGATACAATCTGAGAAATGTGTCGTTAGGCGATTTAGTCATTGTGCAAATATCATAGAGTGTACTTACACAAACCTAGATATTACAGCCTACTACACACCTAGGCTATATGGTATAGCCTATTGATCCAAGGCTTCTAACTTATACAGCATGTTACTGTACTGAATACTGTAGGCAGTTGTAACACATTAGTAATGATTTGTGTCTGAACATAGAAAAGATAGAGTAAAAATATGGTATTATAACCTTACAGGATTACTGTCATATGTGGTCCCTCATTGACCTAAATGTCATTAATTCTGTGCTTGACTGTACATTAAAGTCTCAAGGCAAGTCTTTTCCCCAAAATGGTATACCTTTTCTATTTTTCCTGGTTGTTCTTAGGCATTTATTCTTTCATACGAATTTTAAAATGAGTTTATCCATTGGCAACTCATTTGAAAAAAATGTAGCCCCTTTTTTTTTCAGGTTCTTTAGACCTCTCACTTGTAAAGATTTCATAGACATGGATCTTTATTTTTAAAGTACATTTTTCCACCATTTTTATCTCCTTTTCATTAACTTCTGGAAACACATTTTTGTAATGTAGGAGAGAAGAAAGAATTTCTCATGTGTTTACAGATTTTTTAAAAATCTGCTAATATGTATTTGTGAGATAAGTAAATTTCTCTTGCTCATGCTGTCTGCAAATCAGTGACCCAACACTTTCCTTTCACATCCATTTTCCCAGCTTGATTCTAGAATCTAAAACTATTGCTCTTCCAAACTGCTAACTTAATAGCCCGGTTTAATAAAAATTAATGTTTAGAGCTCACGCCTGTAATCCCAGCACTTTGGGAGGCCGGGGCGGGCAGATCAGCTGAGACCTTGCAGTGAGATAGACTTGGGTGTGAATCTTCCTATCTTTTTTGTTACATGATCCTTAAATAGCAACCCTGGTCTTTATCTGTACTGTGGAAGTGCAGTTATTCTTTGTTGGATTCTTCTGGTGGTTAAATAAGAAAATAATGTAAATTTTCTGGTGAATATAGATATCAATATGTAAGAAGAACTCACTTTCTTCACTTAGCCCCTTTTTCAATCCTGCTTTCTCTTCCCCAACTTTTTCTTCTAGTGGAAAGTGTTTTGAGTGGTGATATCAGAATTCATAAACCTGGGAAAGTTATGAAATGTGTGTGCTGGTAGTTAGCTTTGATAGTATATTTAATACTATATTTTTGATACTTGCGTGGATAACTGGACTTATCTGTGAACATGGGGTACCTACCCATCATATATAACATCGGAAATGAGCAGTAGTGCTGCTCTTAGAGCTGGACAGGGGGTATCCTGGTCTAGGCCCTGCGATACATGTGTCTTCTCCAGACTGCTGTCTCCCCTCAGGTAAGGAGTCACTGAAGCCAAGGGGATGTACCCACCCAGATTTTGCAACATCTCTTCCTACAACATTCTGACCCTGGTTTATCTGCCTACAAAGGCCTCTCCACCATGCCCATCTCTGTCCATTGTGCTACCAATATGTCTGAGGTAGCCAAGAGAACAGTGTACGCTAAGGGTTTGAACAGAGCCTGCATCCATACCCTTTCCTTCCTTCTTGCACCTTTACCTCCCCCTACACCCAAAATGGAATGAAACGGGGTGGGAAGAGGAGAAAAAAGAGCCCAGGGCTAACTCTTGTGTTGCTGCCATGCTTCAGTGTGGAACTCCATGGAGTCTGAGCATTTTAAATTTGAACCTGTCCTTCCAGGTCATAAGGTATATTTGTCGAGTAGGGTTACAGACCATATTTTATTCATCATGAACTTGATTTCTAATTTTAAATATTTAGATAAATGGCTTGTAGACCTCCATTGTATTCTTGCTCAAACATTGCCCCACAAATGTTTGAGATGGGCCTGATGAGCAAAGGATACTTCTATTAAAAATTAAGCGACTTAAATTTTTTCTTTCAAAACATTTTTTGTGTTTAAACACATCCACCATATAGAGTCATATTCAGGATTTGGGATGTCTTTGACCTAATTATAGCATTTGGCCATTCCTTTCCTAAAATTTCCTCTTTCTTGAACACATTTTGTCCTGGTTTTCTACCTGCTTCTTTGATGTTTCTAGGTCTTTTTATTGGACTTTTTAGGTTCTTTTGTCCCATTTTATGTTGATTTTCTTCAAGGAAGTGTCCTTTACTCTTGCCACTTTTTTATGCTCTCCTTAAGTACCATATACCCAAAGTTTTAATTGTTACCTGTAAGCTGCTATTTCTAAAGTCTTTATCTCAAAGCAGACCCTCTCTGATTTCAGTGGAATCAATATGCATGTCTATCTGCCTTCAAAAGAGCTCTACCCAGATGCTTTGTAAGCATCTTGCACTCTGTATGTCTAAAACTAAGCTCATCTTCACCTCTTACCCTGAAACCTGTTCCTCCTGTATTCCCTGTCTTGTTTAACGGCACTAACCATATACATGATAATCCTAGATTCCTCCCCCTTTATACTTCATGTTCAGTCAGTCCTATCAGCTCTGTCTCCTTTTCTCCATCCTTACCAGTAATGCTCATTTTAAGCTCTTGTGTTTTATTGTGTACAGCAGTTGCAGCAGCCTCTTGCCTTTATTCTTGGATTCCCAATCCATCCTCTACAAAACTTGCCCTCTTGATATTTTATAAAATGTGACCTGACCTTGTTATTGGGTTACTTTAAACAGTTGAGAGAACTCTGTTCAAGCTACTGATGCAATCTAAGCATCTTACTGATGTTTCTCATACTTTATTCCTCTAGTCCCTGTAACTTTGCATTGGCTGGCTCTTTCTGTATTTCTTTTCTTGCCCATCAAGAAAAACTCATCCATAAGGTTATTGGCTCAATTTAGTTTTCTCAGGTATATGGGCATTCTTTGTTCCCAGAGCACTATGTACTATGTTACAGTTGTTGACATGTCTGTCATCCTGCTAGATTCTGAGCTTCTTTAAATAAGCATCTTTGTCTTTTCATTGTATTCTCTGTCATCTAACATAGGACCTGACGTATAAATGTTTGGATGAATCCTCTAATCATATTAGGTATGTAAATCGTGTGCCTGGAACTATGTTATATGTCATGTTTTGTTTTGAATTGTTTTGTTTAATATCCTACATTGACCTAACCCAGTGTTTTTCCATGAGGGCACTATATAGGTTTTTGGGGTGGTATAATTCATTATCATGTGGGACTGTACATTTCAGGATGTTTGCTTGTCTCATCTTCAAAATGAACCTGTACGTTTCTGGGGAGTGGGTTGTTTTCACAGAAGAATATTGCAGGTGAAAACTATTTGCTAAAAATGCTGAGCATGTAGTAAGTGCTTAATAAATGCTTGTTGCTGTAAGCTTTTGCTTTTAACTAGGCATGGTACCATCATTACAATTTTGTTTAATAGTTTAACCACAACATTGAATAGACTCTGTAAGGCCATTATAACACTGATGTTAAAAGGTAAGGACTGTAAATATGCAAGTGTCTTGTTATGGTAATGCTAACTTTGTAGTAAAAACAATTTTGTAAACAATCAAATTTACATTTTAAACCTGGGAATATTATAGGTAGCACAGAGTGAAGCTGAAAAGAAATTGAAGAAGGATGACAAGAAGAAAGAATTGCAGGAGCTAAATGAGCTGTTCAAACCTGTAGTTGCTGCTCAAAAAATAAGTAAAGGTAAACTTAAAATTTCAGAAGTGTGATTTTTTATCAAATGTAGTTTATGCTAAAAACTATTTATTTTGATGTTTATTTTCTTTAGATAATGAGACAGTTATGTCTGAATGAAAATGTTACTCCATCAAAATTACCTATGTCAGTGGGTTGCTTATGATTCCTCTGTATATGTTCACATCTGTGTCATTGTACAGCTGAACTGCAGCCATGCACCCCACACTTAAGGCAAAATTAGTAATTTAATAGACTGCTAATTGATTTATAACATTCAGTCTTTGGTAGTAGGTAAGCAAAGCCATAGTTGAATAAACTGTACGTCCCAAGTTTTTGGCACTGTTCTGTCATGTATGTTCATTTCTTTTTTGCCTTTTTTTGTTTTTGTTTTTGTTTTTGTTTTTTTGAGATGGATTGTTGCTCTGTCACCAGGCTGGAGTGCAGTGGCACCATCTCAGCTCACTGCAACCTCCGACTGTCTGGTTCAAGCCATTGTCCTGCCTCAGCCTCCCAGGTAGCTGGGATTACAGGCACGCACTACCACGCCCAGCTAGTTTTTGTATTTTTAATAGAGACGGGATTTCATCATGTTGGCCAGGATGGGCTCGATCTCCTGACCTCGTTATCTGTCTGCCTCGGCCTCCCAGAGTGCTGGAATTACAGGTGTGAGCCACCATGCCTGGCCTCCTTTTTGCCTCTTGCCCTATTGACATCAACTAGACAAAGCCTGTGAAATAGCCTATGTTCTTGTTTGGTTTCCCACTCTCTGCCACCTTTCATAGTCAGAATAAAAGAAACAAAAGTAGACATAAATGCTACAAAAAGAACTTTAAAGAAATGTCTTGCTAATCACCCATAAGTGCCGTTTTCCTCTCACATCAGTGAATGGAAAATAAGTTAACCAAAATTCATCATATTTCAGGTAGAATCTATACTTTACAGCCTGGCAGATTATAATACAAATACCATATGCCATTTGACATAGGTGCAGATCCCAAGTCTGTAGTATGTGCATTCTTCAAGCAAGGACAGTGTACTAAAGGAGATAAGTGTAAGTTCTCCCATGACTTGACTCTGGAGAGAAAATGTGAAAAGCGAAGTGTTTACATTGATGCAAGAGATGAAGAACTTGAAAAAGGTAATTTTTTTAAAAACACTCTCTTAAAAATAAATGTTGAATACTTTCGGTTTGCTACTAAGATATTTATTAAATTGAAGAACATTTCAATCTTAATAGACTGTTTATAAAAAATAATTAATTGGGTTTATTATTTTTTATAAAATCTGAAAATTACCATAATATGCCCTTTAAGTAAATGAAGATACTTTAAAAAACAGTGATTTATTTTGGAATTGTCTGTCACCCTTTCCTTCAGTACTACCTGCTCATTTATCCAAAGTACTTAGGAAGCTTTGGTGAATAATTTTCTTTTTTTTTTTTGAGACGGAGTCTTGGCTCTGTCGCCCAGACTGGAGTGCAGTGGCACGATCTCAGCTCACTGCAGTCTCCATCTCCCAGGTTCAAGCAATTCTCCTGCCTCAGCCTCCCAAGTAGCTGGGTCTACAGGGTCGTGCCGCCACGCCCAGCTCATTTTTGTATTTTTAGTAGAGATGGGGTTTCACCATGTTGGCCAGGATGGTCTTGATCTCCTGACTTCGTGATCTGCCCACGCTGGCCTCTCAAAGTGCTGGGATTACAGGCATGAGCCACTGCTCCGGCCTTGGTGAATAATCTTAAAACTATTTATTTCTGCCTTTGGTGTTTTAAGAAAACCGTGAGGCCAGGAGCAGTGGCTCATGCCTATAATCCCAGCACTTTGGGAGGCCAAGGCAGGAAGAATCACTTGAGCCCAAGAGTTCAAGACCAGCATAGGCAACATAATGAGACCCCATCTCTACAAAAAAATAGAAAAATTAGCCAGGCATTGTGTTGCATACCTGTAGACCCAGCTGCTTGGGAGGCTAAGGCAGGAGGAATTGATCGAGCTCAGTCAATCAAGGCTGATTGAGGGAGGTTAGGGCTTCAGTAGGCCGTGATCATGCTATCACACTCCATCCTGAGCAACAGTGAGACCCCGTCTCAACAAAAAGAAAAAGAAAAATGTGTTAAGCCATGAGTCTTATAACACAGCATTAGTGTCTAAGGAGATATGTGTTGTGGGAGTAGTAGATAAGATTACAGTATTTAATCTTCATTTCTTTATTTAGATACTATGGATAATTGGGATGAGAAAAAGCTGGAAGAAGTAGTGAACAAGAAGCACGGTGAGGCGGAAAAGAAAAAACCAAAAACTCAAATAGTATGTCCTTTTCTTGAATTGAGTTGCTGTGATATTTATCATTAGGGAGAATTATGTGGCAAGGTATTTGCTGCTATTTTCTATTAGATTATTCTGTAAGTTACTGGAAAATTTGATTTCATCAAGATAAGGTACACGAAGCTTTATTTTTGGAATTTACAAGTTAGATTTTATAGATTCTTGTTCAGAAATAGCTGAACAAGAATAAAACTATGTTACTGAAGTCCTTTAAATGCCATTTTCTGAGGTGAACGTTCTCAAATATGGATAAACAAAATTACATATCCAGACAAAAATCCCTATTTTTTTGCACAGAGTGGAAGGAGGCCTGTTAAACTAACCCACTTAATAATGTATTTAGTTTTAATAGGGATAGATTTTTAAATTTTAAGGTTTAAAATATTTCTACATATGAATTCCAAAATGAATTTTTGGTAGGTAGTGGCTCTAATTCCAGGAAATGTACCTTTAAAAATTGGTTCTTGATGTCTCAAACTTTGCATTTATGTCTATATTTATAGTGAAGTTACAGTAAAAAGTCTTGCTGTGCTAGAATAATTCTAAATACTACATTCATACACATCTGTTATGTTTGTTTTTGGGGGCGGATACTGTTTGTTAATTTTCTCTTACTTGCAAAGCTTAATACTTGAGGCTTAAATACAATTGTATCTTCTATCCATGTTGTGAAGGGTCACTCTCTTTGTGTTCCTTTTGTACCTTGCTCCTGTATACTGCTTGTGATTCATTTTTATTTAGGAAAGATCAAACCAAAGAAAATCATTTATTCTATTTATTTTATTTTTGAGGCGGAGTTTTGCTCTTGTTGCCCAAGCTGGAGTGCAGTGGCGCAATCTTAGCTCACTGCAACCTCTGCTTTCCGGGTTCAAGAGATTCTCCTGCGTCAGCCTCCCAAGTAGCTGGGGTTACAGGCATGTGCCACCACGGCCAGCTAATTTTTTGTATTTTTAGTAGAAGTGGAGGTTCACCATGTTAGCCAGGCTGGTCTTGAACTCCTGACCTCAGCAGGTGATCCGCCCGCCTCGGCCTCCCAAAGTGCTGGGATTATAGGTGTAAGCCACAACGCCTGGCCTGATTTTATTTTTTATAGCTAATTGTATATTCTGATTCGGGGGCGTACATTTACAAAGGGTAACTGAAACAAGTAAGTCATTTTCGTATGATTTAGAATTTAGAACAAATGAAAACTGTATAGATTCCCCTTTAAGGGAATTTGCCATTGTTCTACATATTTTAAGATAAACTTCTGTTGCATTTCTGCACAGAATAGAGGCTAGACAGAGCACCCTTATGTGCAGAAATGAATAGAATGTACTTGTGTAATATAACGTACTTGTGTGTATACTTGTTCCATATACTCAGGCATTTACCTTGGAAATGGCCTACACTGAGCCACCGCTTGTGAATAATATTGTCTCTATAGGTGTGCAAGCATTTCCTGGAAGCTATTGAAAACAACAAGTATGGCTGGTTTTGGGTATGCCCTGGAGGGGGTGATATTTGCATGTATCGTCATGCACTTCCTCCTGGATTTGTGTTGAAAAAAGATAAAAAGAAAGAAGAGAAAGAAGATGAAATTTCATTAGAAGATCTAATTGAGAGAGAGGTAACTGGTATCCTTTTCCTACCATAAAAACTGAAAGCAGTATTTATTGTGAAATTCTAATACTTACCACTTGGGGCAATAGCCTTTTATGAAAGGAAAAAAAAAATATTGTGATCTATTCCCAAAGTTGCCCTACTTTAATTATTCTTGTATGTGTAAAATGTTAACCTAGCCATAAACATTAGCCAATCATGACATTAATTTTAGGATTGTGAAACAGTCTTTTAAGTACTAGCTAATGGCTTATCAAATTATTTCTGTAAGATTGAGTTACTAAAAATGCTTAGTTCTCAGATTGGTTGAATTTTTATAGTTTTAGATTTTTCGCCCTGATATCTTTTTTCACTAGTATATTAGTTATTAGCATATGTACGGAAGAAGACAACACTCTAGTTTTTAAATTATATGTTTTATCAGCTCTGGACTCAAAACACTCACTCTGCTTATAGAAGGGAATGAGTCTGAAGAGGATATTCAGCTACTTGTCTTTGGCTCCGTACAAAACACAGTTTTATTCTATGAAAATTTTGAGATTATTAGAAACATTAGATTTAGGGTTGCATATTAAAAACTATATCCATTTTGCCTTATTATTTAGTGTCTCACTCAGGATATAACACACTATAATAGAAAATGTAGACTTCAGAATCAGGTATATTTGAGATGGTTTGTATACTGGTTCTGACACTTGTTAGCTATTCATCTTTGGTAAATTCCCCATTACCCTTTGTTCACCTATTTGTGGGGATCAGTGCATAGTGTGTGTAAAGCATTTAATACCTGGCAAGTGTTCAGCAAATTTTTTGTTCTATATATTTATTATTTGATTATTGGCCCTGAGGAGTAGGTGTTTGTTTGTTTGTTTGTTTGTTTAGTTTTATTTCTCATCTTCTCAGGAACACAAATGAAACTTGGATATTGTTATGGTGCTTTTTATAATATATTTATTATTTTCAGCAATTGATTCATGTTAAAACAATTTCTTATGACAAGTTACTCATCTTCAATGGTGAGAAGAAATCTAGCTCAGAATAATATATTTTTAGTGTTTGTATCTCTGGATACTCATTTTGCTCATTGCCACGTAAAGTAAAAAAATACATAAATTAGCTTATTCCAATGTAATATCTTCAGGATAGTCATGGGCAAGGAATTAATCACATTAAGAGATAACTGCAACTAAGCACTATTTGAGGTGACTTCTGTGGAAAAAAAATTAATTCTTTACCATTGCAGCGTTCTGCCCTAGGTCCAAATGTTACCAAAATCACTCTAGAATCTTTTCTTGCCTGGAAGAAAAGGAAAAGACAAGAAAAGATTGATAAACTTGAACAAGATATGGAAAGAAGGAAAGCTGACTTCAAAGCAGGGAAAGCACTAGTGGTATGTCTCAGGCTCACCCAAACTGATTCTTTATTCTTCCATTTTCAATTTCTGTGTCATGCAAGATTTTGTTTCTATTTCATCAGTGACAAGGAATGTTTAGATTTTTGTCCTGAGTTGATATATTTGTGTGTCTCAATAGATCAGTGGTCGTGAAGTGTTTGAATTTCGTCCTGAACTGGTCAATGATGATGATGAGGAAGCAGATGATACCCGCTACACCCAGGGAACAGGTGGTGATGAGGTAAGAGGAAGCTTTGTGCCTCATCTCCTTATGTTAATTGAAAGAAACAATAGAAAATACCACAACATGGTTAAGAGCCACCAACATCAGAGCCACAGTGCCTGGGTTCAAATCCTTACTCCAACCATGGGAAATTAATCTAGGCCTCCACCCTCATCTAATATGGACATAATGATTATCTCTACATCATAGTTTGTGAGAATTAATCGAGTTCATGAATTAGTAGTTCTTTATACAGCTTAGGACAGTGCCTAGTATGTGGTTGAGTGCTATATGTATTACCTGTAAAAAGTATGTTTTGTCCTCCCTCTAAAAGAGAGAGTTATTTTTTGGTTAATATTTTATGCTTAAAAGTTATGGGACAAGTGCACTAATTTAAAACTGCAGTGTAGGGAGCATGAGACAATAGCACAGTCATTTGGTTGTTGACAGATTTAGTAATAACAGATAACTTACTGTTGATTTTTTGTGTACTTACAAAATTCTGGCCTCTGGGTTGAAAGAAAAAAATTGTACTCTATATATAAAAATGTGATGGCAGAGGAAGAAGTTTCATATACCACCTTGCTATTCTTTTTAAACGAAGTTTAGAAAAAATAATTTTGAAAATAGATCTTTTGTTTTTGTTTTTTATAGAGACAAGGTCTGGCTTTGTTGCTCAGGCTGGTCTCAAACTCCTAAGCCCAGGTGATCCTCCACCTCGACCTCCCAAAGTGTTGGGATTACAGGTGTGAGCCTCCACACCTGGCCAGTAATTGGTCTTTTGTTTTCACTTGGATCAGTGATAATTTTGGCTCATTAAGATAAATGTCAGGAGTAAAAGAAAACTGTTCTTATTTGTAACAACTTTCTTTTCTATATGTTGTTAAAGGTTGATGATTCAGTGAGTGTAAATGACATAGATTTAAGCCTGTACATCCCAAGAGATGTAGATGAAACAGGTATTACTGTAGCCAGTCTTGAAAGATTCAGCACATATACTTCAGATAAAGATGGTAAGTATGCTAACTTTTGCCTAATTTTAAGAACTAGGAAGTTATCTAAAGGGGGTTATACCAGGCTTGGCAAACTTAGATGTGTGCAGGTACCAGATTGGTAACATAAATGTGTGGTTTGACCATAAATAAAAGCAGTAATAAATAGTGAAAGGCTGTAGACATGAGCAGCTGGGTGTATATTAAAATCATTAATGGAAACTAGAAGGAGACAAAAATGAGCTTGGAGTTAAAGTCAATGAGTTCACTTCGGGACCTCATGAGTTTGAGATTTTTTGATTATCAAAAGTGCACTGTCTAGGATATTGTGTAGACATGAACACCCTACAGAACATCAGTGTTATGGGGTAAGTAAAAGAAGAAATGCTTAGGAAAGACATTGAGAAGGTCAGAGAAAAATCAAGAAACAAGTTTCCAAAGAAGCAAGTAGGATGAAAAAGAATATAAATAAGTTACTGGTTGTAATTGGTTATAGGAATAGGGTGCCAGTTTCATTGAGACTGCAATGATAACGGTGAGAAGAAAAATGAATACAGTCCTCTCTCTCTTAATGTTTAGAGGGAAGACATGGTCATGGGAAGGGCTTTTTAGGATATGGAAAACCTAAATGTATCTGTAGCTCAGAGGAAGAGGATCTGGTAAGGAGGAGAAGTTGATGATAAAAGATTAGTTATAGAAGCAATACATGAAAGTATAAATAATGAGTTAGGTATGAGAATGGAGGGAAGGCTGTCTAGGATTGTTGGTATAATTTATGTCTAATTGTGCCTTGAGTTAGGTACTTGAAGAAAGGGGTAAAAGTTTGGCATGCTTGCTCTGGGAGAAAACAGCAGAAGAAATGCCCATTAAGGCAAAAGCTGAGACAGAAAAGGCTGAACATTATTTTTACAATAAAAGCACACAAGCTGTAACTTGAAAAACCAGCTTGCCCTCCCAAGATCTGAGAGTGTTAGCAAACCACTATCTTGCCAGTATTCAGATTGACTTGCTCTTTGTAGAAGTAGGGGCTTTGGTGACAATAGGCACAACTGCAAATAATTCAGAGATTATAAAATTCCCAAGACTTTGTCATCAGAGATGTTTGAAATAACTAAAATCTAAATTAGGCTGTTAAAAAATGTCTGTGTAATTGTCAATGGCATTGAACAAGAAAAGGCAGCATTTTTTTTCTCTCAGTTATTTATAACCTATAAGAAAAAGTAGCTGTATAGCACTATGTTTTTTTTTAACAATTTGATTACATGATGAAGATTTTCTGCTGTCACAATCACAGCATTACAACAGCATGATTTAAATACTATTTGCAAAACCAAAAGCCAAGTAGCTGCTTATATTACAAACATTTTTTTGGTTTCCATAACCATTTAGTCAAATAAAATATTATATGGAAATTGACTATTTAAAATCTAATTGCTAGGTCATGTAGGGAACACAGAGGTGTAGAAGATTGATCCTGCCCTCAAATGTATAAACCATTAAGTAGTCAAATGGCTACAGTGAAAAACAGTATTTTATAGTAGGTATAGATAATTGGCACAGATAAGCTCAGAAAAGAATGATCAGTTCTTGCTGGAGTAATTCTGGGGAAATGGCTTTCATGGAGAAAAGGAAAAGAGGAAGTGTAGTATCAGTCTATGTTGTCTATTGCTAATGTGGAATGGTGTTTTCTGCTTCTACGCCTTACTGATTCCAGTTTTTATATTTAGAAAACAAATTAAGTGAAGCTTCTGGAGGTAGGGCTGAAAATGGTGAAAGAAGTGACTTGGAAGAGGACAACGAGAGGGAGGGAACGGAAAATGGAGCCATTGATGCTGTTCCTGTTGATGAAAATCTTTTCACTGGAGAGGATTTGGATGAACTAGAAGAAGAATTAAATACACTTGATTTAGAAGAATGACACCAAACACATCGCTGAAAAAATTAAGTCAGCTCAGCACGAGTTGAAATTGACTACATTAATTTCTTTCCACCTAGAATCAACAGGATGTTTATTTCCTATGCTGATTCTGGAGGAGTTAACCTCCTGCAAAAAAGGCATCTTGTCCCTACATCTTCTCTTCTGACTTTGGCTACATCTCATAGTAAGTTCAGAGTAGTTCATGATAAATTGAAAATATAATGGTCATTGCAGAAAATGATTGATGTTGTAACTGTCCACCCAAGTAAGAAGTGTATCTGCCTTTCCATCTTTTGGTTTTCATTTGGGCATGTGCTATTACCAGAAACAACAAACTTATATTTAAAATACCCTTCATTTGACACAGTTTTTAATGAGTGATTTAATTTCCTCTGTATTTGTATGTTTAGAAGACTGCCTAAAACATGAGCACTGTACTTCATAAAGGAAACTGCGTATGCAGATTCAGTATTGTGTATCTTTGGACAATTAGATGGACATTTAAAATGGAACTTCTTTTATCTGACAGGATCAGCTACAATGCCCTGTGTTAAATTGTTTAAAAGTTTCCCTTTTCTTTTTTGCCAATAAAGTTGTAAATAAAGACCATCATACATTAAAATCCAAATATGGGCCTTTTTTTAAGTTTTTCTATGAAAAATTTAACATTTCTAGCTTGAGAATTTTAAATACCTGTTATAATATCACATAGGCATGTTTTCTTAATATTTACTACAGAAGCATCTAGAGTACTTGACAGTACTACAATGAGTTTAATAACACAAATACTAAGCTTCCAAAAAGAGACTTTAGGAGATGTTATATAAAAGAGTAACTTCTGAATTGATACAACATCAACCAAATTAAATATCACCTGCAGTTGAATCAAGTAATGCTTAAGAATTGTTTGTTGAGATTCATGGTGTTAAAATAGTACATACTACTGTAAGTATAAACAAATTCACCAGAAAACTTTGGGCTGAGGGTCTTTGGCACTAAGAGCCCCTGAAAAATTAGGGTGATAATACATTTAAAATGGACACAATTTGCTAATGACATATTTAGTACTAGCTACACCTTTTTTATTGTTATGTTTTGTATTTTCAAATAATATGTTGCTTTTGTTATTTGCGAATATAAATGGATTTTAAGGCAACTAAGATAACAGCACTAAAATGTCAGGTGAGCTGGACCCTAATCTCATTTCTGCCTCCGATAAATTATATGATTTTTAAATCTCTGAATCTTAGTTTCTTTATTTGCGTATTAAGGTTAAGACTCAATGATCTGGCCGGGCATGGTGGCTCACACCTGTAATCCCAGCACTTTGGGAGGCCAAGGCAGGCGGATCACTTGAGGTCAGGAGTTCAAGACCAGCCTGGCCAACATGGCAAAACCCCATCTCTACTAAAAATACAAAAATTATCCGGGCATGGTGGTGCATGCCTGTAATCCCAGCTACTCAAGAGGCTGAGGCAAGGGAATCGCCTGAACCCAGGAGGCAGAGGTTGCAGTGAGCCAAGATCATGCCACTGCACTCCAGCCTGGGCGACAGAGCAAGACTCTATCTCAAAAAAAAAAAAAAAAGACTGAATGATCACTAACGTACTTCTAAGTTGTAAAGCCTAAGAAATTTATGATTGCAAATCTTGTCAAATGATAACATCAAAGTTGATAAAGAAATTGACTTCCTAGCTGTTTAGTACTAGTACTATACAACTGACAGTTTTTAAATATAGAACATCAGGAGCCAAGTTTATTTCCAGCTACAATGAAAGTGTACTTAAATACTTCCTATATATACTTTATATATTTTTTTAAAAAGCTTGAGTTTTAAAGTTTATTCATGAAAGATTTGTTCCATTTTTTTGTGAAAGTTTAAATGGTACTTACTGCATTATTTAATAATGAAACATTTTCAGAATAGTCTAAAGAGCTTAAACCTTTTTTCTATTTTGAAGTCATCTAAAACATTTTCTAAGAATTTATCTTATAAATAAAAGTTAGAATTCATTTACTTCAGACCAAGCTTTTCCAACCTGAGGCCCGTGTGCCACATACCACCCAGAATGACTTTGAATGTGGCCCAACACAAATTTGTAAACTTAATTAAAACATGAGATATTTTTTTTTTGCAATTTTTTTTTTAATCTCAGCTATCGCTAGTGTTAGTATATTTTATGTGTGGCCCAAGACAGTTCTTCCAGTGTGGCCCAGGGAAGTCAAAAGATTGGACACCCTTGCTTTCGACCTTAAGTTTGGGGGCTTTTTTTTTTATCCTGTATATAAAGTAGGGCCATATAAACAAAAGGATGCTGAAAGACTTTAGGTGTGTTTAAAACAGTATTATCTTACAGCAAATAATGTGATCTCAAAAGTCAAGGTGTTTTTTAGTAAGTGTATAGATATAAAGCAAAATGGTTCAATGTGGAGGTAATTTTTTATACCTGCAAGTCTTTAATTACTGGGTGGCCTTCCTCTACCTTGCCCTGAAATTTCTTCCATTATTAAGACAATACGTGCACAGAGAATGCAAAAGTATTTTAATCTGAGACAATCAAAGTACAAAAATAAATCTGCTTCTAAAATTATAGTACATTTCAGAGGTTTAAAGAAATAATTTTTGTATTCTCAGTATAGTTACTCAGTATTGGTACAGTTAATCTGAAATTGGCTCTACTTTTCCAAACCCATTTATATATAAATAACCATTACAGCCTATAGTGATCCCATGTTTGCCAGAATCTTTCTAAATTTAAAATACAGTCATGTGTCACGTAACGAAGTTTCAGTTGCCTCTGAACTACATATACAAAGGGGTCCCATAAGATTATAGTACCTGTATTTTTACCTTACCTTTTCTATGTTTAGATGCACAAATACCATTGTGTCATAATTGCCTGCAGTATTCAGTACAGTAACATGCTGTACAGGTTTGCAGCCTAGGAAAATAGGTTATTTCATATATTTCATATAGTGGTAGATGGTAGGCTTTACCATCTAGGTTTATGTAACTATGATGTTCACACAACTGAAATCACCTAACAATGTGTTTCTCAGAACATATCCCTTAGTTAAGCGGTGCATGACTGAAGTTACATTGTGAATTTTACCTTATTTTTGCACAGATGGTATATCAGATGCTGTAAGCCCATCATACTGATATAAATGGACTGATATAAATTGTATAATGGTACAATATATTTCTAATGTGTATTATTCAGCGCTGACCGTTAAGTGATTCAGAATGTGATAGCAGTGAGATTACAGGATCAGATCATTGAGAAAGCATTGCATCTATCAGGTTTTAACACATAAAGTGGACAAAGGGAACTTACGGCAGACGTTCATACAGATAATTAGTAGAATTATTATATGAGTTCTCTTCTTGTTCTGGGTAGTTAACTTTGTATAAAGAACTTTCAGAATCACAGAAGAGATTTCTACCTAAGTATAAGACTGTGATGCTGATACATATATATATCCACATACAATATTATGTTAATGCTTCTAGGTACTTAGCACACCATTCATATCATATGAACTCAGGTATATGTTGTAATAAATTCGTTTCAAGGCATACCAGATGAGAGGATAAACTCCCAAAATCTTGTGTTTTGGGTTTTTGTCTCTATTTTTAAGCATATATCTTACTGATGATAGGTGTTCTCTGAGAATAAAGATAACACTTTACTTTTCAATTAGTAGAAATTACGAGAAGCTGAACTCTAACTAGAATCTGACAACATCTGCAAAATTTTATAGTACTTTAGAAACAAACCCAAATGAAATAATAGTACAAAATGTATTTTCACATTTTCTCCTTTTAATGTTGTATTTTTTGATTGTTACTCTTTGTTAATGTCGAAAGAAAAGGAGATTCGTTTTCATTAATTTCATTAATATTGTGTGCTTTGCCACATGTACAGCACTTGTATTGGGCACTATAGATTGCATGAACTATATGACAGTTTAAGACATGGTCTCAGCCTGATTTGAGTATACATGTTAGAATGAGAAAATCACAACTATATAAGGCAGAACTAGTAAGTTCCTGACCATTAACAAAGATGCCTTTTCAATTAGACTTTCCAGTATTTTACATTCAGTTTCATTGAGTGAGTTTTTTTTTTAATAAAGATTTTCTTTGTGAAGATAATATGATGGACATTTTTCAGACAAAGGTGGTTATTTTGTACTCAGTCCCCAGAGGCATACATTTCTGTTACAGCTGATCTGGTTTTCAAACAGATACATGTAAAATTAACTAGTCCTTATGGGACTTAAGCATCAGGACTTAGTTTCCTGATTCCTATGTAGTTAGCCTTATATTATAAACCAAAAGACAATGAAATACTAACTACTTTTTTTTGCCAATTAATCTCTAGGGTGTTTTCAAAGGACCGTATATCAGCTTCATTCCAAATGTGTTTCATTTCACCTGTGACTCCTTTAAACTATATTTTTATCTAAGTCTTAGGAAACTGTATATTTCAGTGACAAAGATCATCAATATGACTTAAGAATTTTTTTATGTTACCATATTTAACTGATGATTACGTATTTTGAATTACCTTGTTTTTACAGCATGTATGGAAATATATCAAAGAATTTATAATTAAAAGTATTTAAAACCTCTCAAGTTAGAAGTATAGTATATAATATAGTAATTATATGGATCACTTCATGATTGTGCATTATTGTATATATTGGACATATTTCACTTAAAAGAGAAATGTAATGCATGAGAAGTAGAATCCAATGTGTTAGGAATCTTCATTCCTGAATTTTTACACGGTGCTGAATAGGTACTGAAAGTAAAAATTTTAGTAACTAAATCTGCCAGGTGCAATCACATGTGCTTGTAGTTCCAGGTATTCTGGATTCAAAGGCGGGAGGATCACTTGGTCCCAGGAGTTTGAGCCTGCAGTGCACTGTGATTGCATCTGTGACCAGCCACTGCACTCCAACCTGGGCACATAGTTGAGACCTTATCTCTTTAAAAAAAAGCAGGGAAGGGGATGATTAAATCTTCTTTGATAAATTGATTTTGAGAATATTTCATTGAAAAACTAGATAATTTGTGGAGATACATTGTCAGTTGTATACAGACTAATTAACTACATTGGTGATTCACTCCATGGACCATTTTCTTCAGATATGTTTGGAATTATTATCTATTCCTACACTTATTGCACTAATGACTCACCTTAGAAGGAAAAGAAAAATTTTAATTTACTTAAAAAAAATTTTTTTTGATTGAATAGATAATTGTGTATATTTGTGGTTAATTATTATTTTACACTCCAGACCTATTTCTACACCTGTAGGGAAGAAACTTAATCACTGATATCGTCAGCCTGTCAGATACCACTGATATCTTCAGTCTAGTTTTAAGAAAAACTAGGACTAAGAAGAAGTATATAATCAAGTTCAAGCTAATCATGGCCATTTTTAAATTACTTGGTCTTTTTTAATACTTTTTCCCAGAGCAACCTTCTAAATGGAAGGGCAAAGCCTCAACTATCTAAAATGCAGCTTTTAAGGACTCTTAGATGTATGATATGCCTTATGTACAGGAGATTCCATCTATACCTTGACACCCACACCACTCCCACCCCTGTTCTCTCTTCCAAGAAGGTTTTTGGCAGCAAATAGTTCTCTTTAATTATTATATTTAAATATTTGTATATATTTAATTCACATTAGGGATAACAACTAAGAATTATTTAATTGGCAGGTTTATTAGGTAGTTGTTGATTGATGACATGTATAACAATCCAAATGGTATGATAGGTGAAGCCAATGCAGTGGCACATGCCTGTAATCCCAGCACTTTGGGATTGCTTGAGCCCAAGAGTTCGAGGTTGCAGTGAGCCATGATTGCATCACTGCACTCCAGCCTGGGTGACAGTGTGAGACTCCATCTCAAAAAAAAAGAAAAAAAAAAAATTTGGCCGGGCGCCCTGGCTCACGCCTGTAATCCCAGCACTTTGGGAGGCCGAGGCGGGTGGATCATGAGGTCAGGAGATCGAGACCATCCTGGCTAACAAGGTGAAACCCCGTCTCTACTAAAAATACAAAAAATTAGCCGGGCGCGGTGGCGGGCGCCTGTAGTCCCAGCTACTCGGGAGGCTGAGGCAGGAGAATGGCGTGAACCCAGGAAGTGGAGCTTGCAGTGAGCCGAGATTGCGCCACTGCAGTCCGCAGTCCGGCCTGGGCGACAGAGCGAGACTCCGTCTCAAAAAAAAAAAAAAAAAAAAAAAATTTGTATAAAGGGTGAAGGTTTACCCTTTATTAAAAAAACGAAAGCAGAATCAATATTAGAAGAGACAGAAGTATTAACACATATGAGTTGTCTATAAGAAGATGAGAAAAAGTGAACTACCACCTCATAATGTTTAAAAGGCTGTGGGGGGATTCACAGTAACATAGTTCTATAGCATGCTAATGATTATATACCTCTGTGTTCATATACAGCATGCTACTGTACAAAAATAATACTATCTAAAAATACAGGAATGCAAGGAACAAGTGAATATCATTTAAAGAATCAGTTCTCTTGATAATCCATTTGCACAAAATCAAAGGTTTCTTCTGGGCAAGTACATAAATGTACTTTTCACTCTTTACATGTGAGTGTCATGTGCATGTAAAAGAAAGGGAGAATCTCAAAGACTTCTATAGCTAGAGATAACAAAATATTCTTGATATTGAATAATCATGTTGAATGCCTTTTAAATCACTCTGAATGCATTAATGTAAAATATAACACTTTTAAAAGGTAGCACAGTTCCCTTCCACACAGAGTTAGCTGACCTCCCTATTTCAAAATTGCGGAATATGACTCACCAGAGAGGCATTTGGCAATTAATTTCAATCAACTATCGCTAATAAGGGATAAACTACAATAAAATCCTAAAAATTAAGAGCCAAATATTCCTTGTTCAGATGTCATCCCCCCCCCCAGTTTGATTATGTAATCTGTACAATTATACGAAGAAATACAAGATTAAATAAGGTGAACTTCTGTTGAAGAGAGAATACCAGATAGTGTACTTCTTTTGCTGATTTTTTAGAAATACTGAGTTTGAATTTTCAAAGGAAAGAATTTTAGCATAGGATAGCCATACCAAAGTGCTTTGTCATTTCAGCAAGCACCCTGAAATTTTTCATGTTAAACTAGAAGTGCTATGAAAGTACAGTGTAGAATATAATTTTTATTACATTTAGAAAAGTATACTTATTAAGTCATTTTTAATCTTTTTACTGAATAGTTAAATGTTCCAAAAATGATTTTCAGAGCATTACTGGACATTTTAATTAAAAAGAATTAGTATGAGGAGGTAGAGACAATGGCAACTATCTACTGCTACTCCCTGCCCCCAGCAAAAAAAGTGCCATTCAGGGAGTAAGAAACAGCAAAAGTAGAATTTAAGTTTTCCTGAATGGATTTAACCTGTTAGCATTTAAAAATAGTATTTTGTGGTCAGTCATCTTAAGCTTGTCTCTATTTTATCTATATTTACATAGTTTTTATTAGAAATAACACCCATTAAAATTTAACAGAAACTTTGTATGCTGCCTAGAACGCTAACTAGTTTATTGGAAGTCAAATAAAAATATAATTTTTTTAAGGTTTCAATAAGATTCTTAAATGTATAATGTAATGTATTACTGCTCATTCTTAAACAGAATTGCCTACTGCTAACAGTTTTGAAAAGATTGTCCATCTTTTTCATCTCTTCCCTTTGATAGTTGAAGATCAGAAGACCAAACATAAAATTCACTGCCAGAACTTGTCCAGAGGCAAACAGTAAAAGCATAGGAAAAATATTAAAGTGAGCCAATAGGATTTCAGAGGCCTAGATAACAAACTTAAGGGCGGCTAACAGGTTTATACTTGCACCTACATTTTTATATCTGGCTTAATTGCATAAGTAAATGAGCATCAACATACTTGACTGTAGAAATGAGAATGAGCCCTCTATGAGAAACAGAACAATATTTTGGATTTGTTTTGCAATGGTTTTTACATGGAAATTTTGGCCACAGTTTTAAGTGAAATATATTTTTCTTTTTCAAAATGGGAGCTTATATAGTGACTTATTAACATCTAAAAGTGTAAAACCAAATTTCAAAGAGGTAAATTGAGAGATATGTTTGATTAATTCCTCTGGTGAAACAAAATAGCTTTTCATAGATCTTTACTAAACTTTTTAAACAGCTTTAAGGTATATTTGACACAATAAACTATACATATTCAAAGTGTACAATTTGGTGTTTGACAAATATATTTATTGTGAAATCGTAACAAGATATAATCTACATATTCATCCCTCCCAAAAGATGCTCCTTTGTAATCCTTTCCTCCCCAAACACCAACCACCCACCAACTCCAGACAAGCACTGGTCACCATAGATTAGTTTATAGTTTTTTAATGATTTTATATAAATGGAATCATATAATATGTACTTTTCATTTTACTTCTACTCAGCATAATTATTTGGAGATGTATCTATGTTATTGCAGATATCAGTACATTCCTGTAAATTGCTTAGTAGTAGTATTTTGTATGGATCTGACACTGTCCATTCACTTGTTGATGGACTTGTGTTGTTTCCAATTTGGAGCTACTACAAATAAAGTTAATATGAATATTCACATACAAATCTTTGTATGAACATATGGTTTCATTTCTTTTGGGTAAATTACAGGAGTGGAATGTCTGATTCATATGTTTTAAGTTTTTAAGAAATTTCTAGTGTTCTACAAAGTGGTTGTGCTATTTTATATTCCCAGTGGCAGTTTGTAAGAGTTCCAGGCTGGGTGCAGTGGCTCACGCCTGTAATCTCAGCACTTTGGGAGGCCAAGGTGAGTGGATCACATGAAGCCAGGAGTTCGAGACCCGCCTGGCCAACATGGCAAAACCCCATCTCTACCAAAAATACAAAAAATTAGCCAAGTGTGGTGGTGCACCTGTAATCCCAGCTACTCCGGGTGGGGCTGAGGCACAGCAATTGAATTAGGAGGTGGAGATTGCAGTGAGACAAGATTGCACCACTGCACTCCAGCCTGAGCAACAGAGTGAGACCCTGTGTCAAAAAAAGTTCCAATTGTTCCACACCCTCAGTGGATGTGGTCAGTTTTAATTTAGATCTGTAATCCATTGGGGTTAAATTTTGTATGTAATCAAAGTTTGGATCAAAGTTCACTTTTTTCCTTGTGGTAAAAATCCAATTGTTCTAGAACCATTTGTTGAAAGGACTATCCTACATTATCTTTGCACCTTTGTCAAAAACCAACTGATTATCAGTCAATGGTGCTTTGTTTTTTTAATTCTGTTTTGATTCATTTTTCTATTTGTCCATCTTTACACTAACACCATACTGTCTTAATGGCTACAACCTTATAATAATTAAGTCTTGAAATCTGACAGAATGAGTCCTCAACTTTCTTAATCTTTTTCAGAGTGACTTTGGCTATTCTGGATTCTTTGCATTTCAGTGTACATTTTAGAATCAGCTATTGATTTCTACCAAAAGAAACTGCAGGAATTTTTATTGAGTTTGCATTAAATCTGTAGATCAGATTTATGGAGTTGACATCTGATGTAGTTTGGCTGTGTTGCCACCCAAAATCTCATCTTGAATTGTAATCTCCATAATCCCCACGTGTCAAGGGAGAGAACAGATGGAGGTAATTGAATAATGGGGCAGTTTCCTCCATGCTGTTCTTGTGATAGTGAGTGAGTTCTCGTGAGCTCTGGTGGTTTTATAAGGGGCCCTTCCCTCATCACTGGGCACTTCTCCTTCCTGCCGCCCTGTGAAGAAGGTTTCCCCTTTGCCGTCTGCCAGAATTGTAAGTTTCCTAAGGCCCCCAAGCCTTGCTGAACTGTGAGTCAATTAAATCTCTCCTTTATAAATTACCCAGTCTGAGGCAGTTCTTTATAGCAGTATGAAAACGGACTAATACAATGTCTCAATGTTAATATTGAGCCTTCTGACCCATATGTATATTCATGTATTTAGGTCTTTTAAAATCACTTCAGCAATAAATGGTTTTTTAAATTTCAGTTCACAATTGTTTGTTGTTAGTATATAGAAATACAGCTGACTTTTGCATTTTAATTTTATCATGCTACCTTGCTAAACTCACTTATTCTAGTAGCTTTTTTGTTGATTTCACAACATTGTCTTCTACATAGACAAACTCCTCTGTAAATGAAGATGATTTTCTTTCTTTCCAATCTGAATACATTTTATTTCTTTGTCTTATGTTATTGCATGAGTCAGCGAACTTATAGACAGTTTTATTCTTTATGCACTGTCTATACCTGCTTTCATGCTACAATGGCAGAGTTGTGTAGTTGCCACAGAGACTGACAGAAAAAGTTGGTCAAATTCTGCCGTACTGTGCTGGTGATGAGAGCAAACATTCTTGCCTTGTTTGTGATCTTAAGTGGAAAGCATTCAGTCTTGCATGATTAAGTAATGACGTTAGCTGTATATCATAAATGCACTGAGGAAGTTTTTTTTCTGTTCCTAGTTTACTGAGACTTAGTGGGGGGTTGCTTTGTATTTTGTTTTAATCAAGAATGGATTTTGGATTTTGTCAAATCTTTTTCTCAATCTACTGAGATGATCAAATGGCTTTTTTAAAAACTTATTAATATGGTGAAAACAGCCTGAATTCCTAGGATAAACCCCACTTGATCCTGATACATTTTCTTTTTATATATTGTTGGATTTGATTTGATAAAACTTAGCGTACTTGTTTCTATGTTCATAATTGATGAATTAATCTGTAGTTTTTGTATCAGGATAATGCTGTTGAAACCAGCTCAATAGTCCCATAGACAGTTATTTTTGATTAAACATAGAAATTGACCCTTCTGCTGTTAAAGCTTGAAATTTATATAGGTTGGTGCAAAAGTAATTGTCAACTTTCGATCAACCCAAAGAACCAGCTTATGGTTTCACTGATTTTTCTCTATAAATTTGCTGTTTCACTGATTTCCCCTCTGATCTTTATTTCTTTTCTTCTGCTTACATGGGGTTTAATTTGCTTTTGTTCCTTAACCTAGCAGTTGAGGTTATTGATTGGATCCTTTTTCTAAAATAGGCATTGAGTACTACAGAACCCCCAGCTAATTCCTCACAGCTAGATCCTCATGTTTACCCAGGTAGCTTATGTTTTTAATCAACATTACTCTACTTTTGACAGAAATAGCTTTGCTAATATTGAGAAACTTAAGGTTTAAGACAACCTGAAAAGAATAATCTGATTTTTCTAATAAGATTCTTTTTTAATGGCCAACATGAATGATACTTTAAGCATTTGAGTAGAAATTCTTTATATATGAATGGAGTATGAAATATTAAAATCTCACTAAAATAACAGATGTAATATAAACGTCAAGAACTGTAGGAGAAATTAATAAAGAGGTCTATTGAATTGCATAAAGAGTGTTTTTGTTGTAATACATGTTTCCTTTGACTTCACTGTTTAAAGTGATTCCCCTAAATATGTTGCTTTTATGTTGAAGCCACAGTAACTACTAACAAATCATTTAAAACCCTATAGAACTTTATAGGAGCTGAAATATTCAGTGGATGACCTCAGAAAAGATACAGATATATCATTATGTCTCATTTTTATTTTCAGGTGTTCAGATTAAAACTATTGCTTTAAATTGGATATTAGAGCTCAAGAAATATTGAGACACGTTTGACCACTTTTGTTTCCTTGGTTCATTTACTTGTCCACATACTGAAGACTACTGTAAAAACAGGGAAAACATTTTTAAATGACAACTTGTTCAAAATCTAAACTTTAAAAACTAAGCTCTAGAAATTCAAGGAAAATAATAAGATGACATTTTGTTTTGCCTCAAGCCCTGAACACATCATTGGTATAATCATTTAGCTAATGTCAAACAACATAGTGTCTGGCAAGATTTTAGCTAGAGTCAACTATCAACTCTCCACAGCTTATCACTGAAATAACAAGCTTCGTGTGACCATATTAAAAATTATCAGTTTTACATTTGAAAGGCCCAGTGCCAACCTGGAAAAAATTGCTTGCATTGATGAGTAATAAATTCTACATTTTGCATATTCTCACAACTGCATGAATTCATTTCACAATGTTGGCAAATAATCTGAATTCTTGGTGGCACGGGTCCTCCGTATGCTGAGCGCCGGTCCCCTGGGCCCACTTTTCTTTCTCTATACTTTGTGTCTCTTTCTTTTCTCAGTCTCTCGTCCCACCCGACTGGAAACACCCACAGGTGTGGAGGGGCAGGCCACCCCTTCATCTGGTGCCCAACGTGGGTGCTTTTCTCTAGGTTGAAGGTATGCTCGAGCATGATCATTGAGGACAAGTCGACGAGATTCCCGAGTACGTCTACAGTCAGCCTTGTGACATTTGAAGTTCTACAATGAACCCGTCGGAGATGCAAAGAAAAGCACCTCCACGGAGACAGAGACACCGCAGTCGAGCACCATCGGCTCACAAGATGAACAGAATGGTGATGTCAGAAGAACAGATGAAGTTGCCATCCACCAAGAAGGCGGAGCCGCCGACATGGGCACAATTAAAGAAGCTGACACAGTTAGCTAAAAAAAAGCCTAGAGAACACAAAGGTGACACAAACTCCAGAGAACATGCTGCTTGCAGCTTTGAAGACTGTATCAACAGTGTCTGCAGGTGTACCCAGCAGCTCCGAAGAGAGCGACCATCGAGAACGAGCCATGATGACAACGGTGGTTTTGTCGAAAAGAAGGGGGAAATGTGGGGAAAAGAAAGAGATATCAGACTGTTACTGTGTCTATGTAGAAAGAAGTAAACATAAGAGACTCCATTTTGTTCTGTACCAAGTAAAATTTTGTCTTGAGATGCTGTTAATCTGTAACCCTACCCCCAACCCTGTGCTCGCAGAAACATGTGCTGTGTCAAGATTTAATGGATTTAGGGCTGTGCAGGATGTGCTTTGTTAAACAAATGCTTGAAGGCAGTATGCTCGTTAAAAGTCATCACCACTCCCTAATCTCAAGTACCCAGGGACACAAAACACAGTGGAAGGCCGAAGGGACCTCTGCCTAGGAAAGCCAGGTATTGTCCAAGGTTTCTCTCCATGTGATAGTCTGAAATATGGCCTCCTGGGAAGGAAAAGACCTGACCGTCCCCAAGCCCAACACCCGTAAAGGGTCTGTGCTGAGGAGGATTAGTAAAAGAGGAAGACATCTGTCTCCTGCTCATCCCCTGGGCAATGGAATGTCTCAGTGTAAAACCCGATTGTATGTTCCATCTACTGAGATAGGAGAAAACCGCCTTAGGGCTGGAGGTGAGACATGCTGGCAGCAATATTGCTCTTTAATGCACCGAGATGTTTATGTATGTGCGTATCAAAGCACAGCACCTTTTTCTTAACCTTGTTTATGACACAGAGACATTTGTTCACTTGTTTTCCTGCTGACCCTGTCCCCACTATTACCCTACTGTCCTGCCACATCCCCCTCTCCGAGATGGTCGAGATAATGATCAATAAATACTGAGGGAACTCAGAGACCGGTGCCGGTGCGGGTCCTCCCTATGCTGAGCACCGGTCCCCTGGGCCCACTTTTCTTTCTCTATTAAAAAAAAGAATCTGATTTCTTAACTGTAGTATACATACATATTTCTCTTCCAAGCAGGTATTAAAAACACATTGTCTGCTTCTCAGAGAGTTATAGTTGAGTTACTGCACTATGTCTTTTTGACAGTAGTTTTAAGGTTTGGAACGTATTGGAGTTGCTTGAAAAGATTCATTATACTGCTTTATTAATGTAACCCCAGTGGGCTGAACCATTTGTATTCAGATACATGGGGAAATATGTAGTCTACTTTAAAACTGTTTTTCCACTGAAAAAAAAGAATTTTGTTAAATGAGGGGAAAAAAATAGGTAAATAATTGCAAAGTCAGTGTTTTCTGTTGGACTGTAGTAAATTATGGATGTTACTGGTACTTACTGAAGCATCAAAGTTATTTTAAAAAGAGAGACAAGCACAGAAGGCATGCCAGTACTCCTACTGCTTAATTTCAACTTCCCGGACAGTTAAGTGAAGTTT
The DNA here is from genome assembly GCF_000001405.40 of Homo sapiens. Lineage (NCBI taxonomy): Eukaryota > Metazoa > Chordata > Mammalia > Primates > Hominidae > Homo > Homo sapiens. Next base: position 186,522,847 of record NC_000002.12, read on the forward strand.
TGTTTTGGATGTGCTTCCATATGGCTTTGTTTTCTGAGCAAAAGTATATGAATTTGCCTTATACAATTTTAATTTTTTTTTCTTTAGATGGAGTCTTGCTCTGTCACCCAGGCTGGAGTGCAGTGGCGGAGTCTTCGGCTCACTGCAACCTCTGCCTCCTGGGTTCAAGCGATTCTCGTTCCTCAGCCTTCCAAGTAGCTGGGACTACAGGCATGCGGCCCCACTTGACTAATTTTTGCATTTTTAGTAAAGATGGGGTTTCGCCACGTTGGCCAGGCTAGTTTCGAACTCCTGGCCTCAAGTGCTCTGCCTGCCTCAGCTTCCCAAAGTGCTGGCATGAGCCACCGAGCCTGGCCTGAATTTTTTAAATGCACTTTTTTCTCATTCACAGCAGCCATTAAATTCAAAATACTTTTATAGATCAATTCCATATAGTAATTTTAAGGTGTACTTTGCCTTTCCTGGGTGAGAGTTACATCTCTATATAAATGAAACAGTAAGTCATGGGCTTTCTCGTGTGAACACTAAGTGACTTGGCAATGTACCGTGTTGTTGTGAGTACATTGATAATACCGAGATAAATTCTGTTTTTCAGTCTTCATGTCATCACTGATGAGGGAGAACCCTCAGCTTGACAGTCTAAGGTAAGTTATGTGGGAAACGATAATATTATTACAGATGTGCTAATGTACAGGAAAGTGACAGAAAATGTAGACACTTGAGTGGCCCACATCAATTACTGCTGTATTTACCTTCTTGTATCAATCCATCTAGTCTTGAACTAAGAATACATTTATAACATGACCCTCAGGAGTTCACATTCACAAGAAAAATGGTGATGAAAATGTCATGAAATGATAAGCAGGAAGCACACTGTGAAGTTGCCCTTTGGTATCCCGGCCAGCTCCTTTCAAACACAGCATTCCATGTGGGCCGTTGGTAATTTTCACTGGGCTCAAGATGATTAAGTAATTATAGAACTGTCTTTAACCTCATTTGGTATTTACACTTTGAGGGTTTTTCTAAAGAAGTGTTCCTTTCCCATCTTTGATTATTCTCTATCCCTTGGCAATCTCATTCACTTTCATGATTTAAATAATTGCTTCCATATGAACAACTGTATCTTCAGCCTCACATGTCCAGTAAGCTACTTACTGCACAGCTCAACGTGAATATCCTGCCAGTTCTTCACATTCCATACTAAAGTTGTTGTTTTCTTTCCTAAATCTTTTCCTCCTTTTTCTTTCTTTTTTTCCCCCTGTTATTAAGATTTTATTATCCAGCCAAGTGGACTAAAAAATATCTATTGGTTATTTTGCCAAACCAAGATTTCTCCTACATTCATCCTCTTTTCTATTCACATGGCCACTATCCTGTATTACTCAGGCTCTCATCTCCTTTCATAATTAGTCACATGTAATTTATCTTCCAAACTGAAACATTTTTTGAGTGTGGAAGGGACACTATGGAGAGTGAAGAAAACTCTTTTAGTACTTACATTAGACAACTGGTATACATTGGAACTGTCCTCTGCAAACTTGGGCATATGTTCACTGTACTTGTAATTAATTTAACCTGTTTCCTTTCCTTCCCTTCCTGTAACCGATCCATCCAAAGCATTGCTGGATTTATCTTCTTAAGCATAGTTTTAATCATGAGGTCTCCCACTTCATAATTCTTTAATGGCTCTAAATTGCCTACCAAATACAATCTAAATATTTAGGCCTAATCTTCAAACTCTCCTCTGGTGGCCCCAGCTTCCCTCTCCTACTTTCTTATTTCTTTAGTCAAGTAACTCACAATGTAATGCTTAACTTTTTTGATCCTGAGTTACCTCATTAGTAAGGTAGGGATTAAAATGTCTCTTCCTCAGTTGTGAAGCTGTAATGGGGTATTATATGTAAAGAAAGTAGGCTGGTATATAAGTACTTAGCAGCAAGTACTTAGTACATAGGCACTGAGGTATTAGTAGCTATTATCACATACACTGTAGGGTTGTTTGTTTTGCTTTGTTTTGTTTTCTGAGACAGACTCATTCCGTCACCCATGCTGGAGTGCAGTGGCACAATCACAGCTCAGTGCAACCCCCAACTCCCGGATTCAAGCAATTCTTGTGCCTCAGCCTCCCAAGTAGCTGGGATTACAGGCACTTGCCACCACAGCCAGCTAATATTTGTATTTTTAGTAGAGATATGGTTTTCGCTGTGTTGGTCAGGCTGGTCTCAAACTCCTGGCCTCAAGTCATCCGCCCTCCTCGGCCTCCCAAAGTGCTGAGATTACAGGCATGAACCACCACGCCAAGCCCATACACTGTAGTTTTCTATGTCTATGTGTTCCTACTTTATGAAATATTCTCTCTCACATCCCTTTTGACAGTGTTCACATTCCTAAATCCTTCCTATCCTTGAATGTTTTGAAGATGTATTCCCATGAAGACTTTGATTCCCCAAAACGGGATTCAAAATTCACATGGCAATTAAGAATCTGTTTCTACCTTGTTTATGTGTGTATCTTGGCTCTTGTAATAAGAATGTTGTTTCCTCAAGGGCAGGCATTCTGTCATTCTTTGATGGTGCCCTCTCCCTTAGTGCTGTACATTTAAGCAAAGAATATTCGTTAACTTAATTTTTTAATTAATATTTTTAATATTTGTTAAAATTTTTTCATCAAAGGGACCATTCCTTTGGAAATATTAAGACTCTGAGACTTACAGTACTGCCTTTGCCAAATATAGTACATCCATACAGTAAAATACTACACAGCCGTTTACAAGAATGAGAAAAGATTTTTCCATGTACTGACATGGAAAGATGACCATGATGTTCTGTTGAGCGTTTCTTTTTTTTTTTTTTTTTTTTGGAGACGAAGTCTCGCTCTGTCGCCCAGGGTGGAGTGCAGTGGCACGATCTCGGCTCACTGCAACCTCCGCCTCCGGGTTCAAGCAATTCTCCTGCCTCAGCCTCCTGAGTAACTGGGACTACAGGTGCACGTCACCACACTCAGCTAATTTTTTTGTATTTTGGTAGAGAGGGTTTCACCGTGTTGCCCAGGCTGTTCTCAAACTCCTGAACTCAGGCAATCCGCCCGCCTCAGCCTCCCAAAGTGCTAGGATTACAGGTGTGAGCCACTGTGTCTGGCCTTTTTTTTTTTTTTAAGACAAGTATGGCTGTGTGTGGTAGCTCACACCCATAATCCCAGCACTTCGGGAGGCCACGGCAAGAGGATCACTTGAGGCCAGAAGTTTGAGACCAGCCTGGGTAACGTAGTGAGACCTTGTCTCTACAAAAAAAAAAAAAAAAAAAAAAAAAAGCCAGATGTGGTGTTTCATGCCTGTGGTCCCAGCTACTTGGGAGGCTGAGGCAGGAGAGTCACTTGAGTCCAGGAATTTAAGGTTACAGTGTGTTGATTGCATCTCTGCACTCCAGCCTTGGCAACAGAGTAATATCCCAGCACTTTGGAGGCTGAAGCAGGAGGTTCACTAGAGCTTAGGAGGTCAAGACCTGCCTGGGCAACATAGTGAGTTCATCCCTACAAAAAATAAACAAAATAAGCCAGCTTATTTTGGTCCCAGCTACTCAGGAAGCTGAGGTTGGAGGATCGTTTAGCCTGGGAGGTTCAAGCTACACTGAGCCAAGAATGTGCCACTGCATTCAAGCCAGGTGAGTGTATAGTGTGTATGTGTGTCTGGTATGTTCTTTTTTTCTGAAGATCTAGAAGTTACAGGCCTGTTAACAGTAGTCGTCTTTGGTGTTTATAGGGCAGAAGAGGTCTAACTATAGAGAATTTGATTGTCATGTTTTTGTTGTTGTTTTCAGGTTTTTCTATTGTAAAAGACATCTAACAAATTTACCACCTTAACCATTTCTAAATGTACTGTTCAGTAGTGTTAAGTATATTCACGTTGTTGTGCAACAGATCTCTAAAACTTTTTCGTCTTACAAAATTGAAACTCCAAACTCATAAAACCCTAATTTTTCTCCTCCCCGCAATCCCTTAGCAACTACGTTTCTACTTTTCATTTCTATGATTTTGACTACATTAGATATTTCACATAAGTGGAGTAATACAGTATTTGTCCTTTTGTGACTGGCTTGTTTTGCCAGTATAATGTCCTTGAGATTCATCCACGTTGTTCTATGTGACAGTATTTCCTTCTTTTTTAAGGCTGCATAGTATTTCATTGCTTGTATATACCATGTTTTCTCTATCCACTCATCTCTCCAACATTTGGATTGCTTCCACCTCTTGGCTATTGTGAATAATGCTGCAGTGAACATGGGTGTGCAAATTTCTCTTCCAGAGCCTGCTTTGAATTCTTTTTGATATATACCCACAAGTGGATTTGCTGGATCACATTCTATTTTTCATTTTTTGAGGATTCTATTTTTAATTTTTTATTGTTTTTTATAATGGCTGTACCACTTTACGCTCCCTACAACAGTGCACAAGGGCTCCAATTTCTCCACATCCTCCCCAACACTTGTTATTTTCTGTTGATAGTGACCATCCTAAGGGGTGTGAGGTTATATCTCAGTGTGGTTTTGATTTGCATTTCTCTCAATTAGTGATGTCAAGCATATTTTCATATGCTTGTTGGTCATTTATATATCTTTAGAGAATTGCCTATTCAAGTCTTTTGCCCATGTTTTAATTGAGTTATTTGGTTTTTGTTGTTGAGTTGTAAACATTCCTTTTATTTTCTGTATATCAGCCCATTATCCAATATATGATTTGCAATATTTTCTCCCATTCCATAGCTTGCCTTTTTGCTCTCAGTTATTTCCTTTGATGCACAATTTTTTTACATTTGATATAGACACATTTGTCTGTTTTTGGTTTTTTTATGTATGCTTTGGATGTCATATCCAAGAAATCTTTGCCAAATCCAGTGTCCTGAAGCTTCTCACCTATGTTTTCTTCTAGGAGTTGTATAGTTTTAGGTCTTATGTAGGTCTTTAATCGCTTTTGAATTAATTTTTGCATATAGTGTAAGGTAAGGGTCCAACTTCATTCTTTGCATATGGTTATCCAGTCCTCCCAACACCATTTGTTGAAGAGACTGTCCTTTCCCCATTATGTAGTCTTGGCACCGTTGTCAAAAATCATTTGGCCATATACACAAGGGTTTATTTCTGGGCTATTATGTTCCATTGGTCTATATATCTGTTTATGCCAGTACCACATCATCTTGATTACTGTTGCTTTGAAGTAGGTTTTAAAATCTGGAAGTGGGATCCTCCAAATTTGTTCTTTTTCAAGATTATTTTGGCTATTTGGGGTCCCTTGAGATTCCATATGAATTTTAAGATTTTTTTTTTCTGTTTCTTCAAAAATATTCCTTTGGGATTTTTTTGGTTTTTAGTGGCAGGATTTCACTCTGTTCCCCAGGCTGGCCTCGAACTCGGGCTTGAGTGATCCTCCCACTTCAGCCTTCCAAGAATTTAGGACTAAGGCAAATGCTACAACACCCAACTTGCCACTGGGATTATGATAAATACTGCATTGAATCTGTAAATGGCTTTGGATAGTATGGACATTTTAACAAAATTAAAGTTTTTCAATCCACGTGCATGGATGTCTCTCCATTTATTTGTATCTTTTTGCTTTCTTTTAGCTATATTTTATAACTTTGAGTGTTCAAGTCTTTCACCTCCTTGGTTAAGTTTATTCCTTAGTATTCTATACTTTTTGATGATACAGCAAATGGGATTTGTTTTTAAATTTCCTCTTTGGACTGGTTATTATTAGAGTATAGAATTGCAGCTGGCAGGCCGGGCATGGTGGCTCATGCCTGTAATCCCAGCACTTTGGGAGGCCGAGGCGGGCGAATCACCTGAGATGGGGAGTTCGAGACCAACCTGACCAACATGGAGAAACCCCATCTCTACTAAAAACACAAAATTAGCTGGGCGTGGTGGCGCATGCCTGTAATCCCAGCTACTCGGGAGGCTGAGGCAGGAGAATCACTTGAACCTGGGAGGCAGAGGTTGCGATGAGCCGAGATCATGCCATTGCACTCCAGCCTGGGCAAAAAGAGCGAAACTTTGTCTCAAAAAATAAAAAAAAAAAAGGAAGAAAGAAAGAAAGAAATGTAGCTGGCTTTTATATGTTGATTTTATATCCTGCAAATTTGCTGAAATTATTAACAGGTCTTTCTGGTGGTGTCTTTATGGTTTTCTAAATACAAGAGCATGTCATCTGTGAATAGAAATAATTTTACTTCTTCCTTTCCAATATGGATGCCTTTTATTTCTTTTTCTTGTCTAACTGCTGTGGCTATAATTTTCAGTACTGTGTTTCACCTATTCCTATTTTGTTGACTATTTTTATCATTAAAGGGTATTGAATTTGATCAAAATTTTTCTCTTTGCTTGAGCCCAGGAGTTTGAGGTTACAGCGAGCTGACAGCGTCACTGCACCCCAGCCTGAGTGACAAAGTGATACCCTATCTCAAAAAAAAAAATTTTAAGGCTTCTGCATCAATCAAGATGATCATGTGGTTTTTATCCTTCATTCTGTTAACGTGTGGTGTATTACACTGATTGATTTTCATATGTTGAATTGTTGAATTAACTTTCTGTTTTACACATGCCTATTTGGTTCATACCATTTTTATAAGGAGTATGTATTCTAAAATACAAAATTATATTTGTGTAATATTTGCATATATATGCGAAAAGATGAATATGTTTACTGCCTAAAAATGTATTAAAAGCTTAAAATGTTTTGTTATATAAAATTTGAAAAATATAGAGTATAAAAAAGAAAAGTCACCAAATCCCACAACTCATAAACACTCAGTTAATATTTTTTCTCCATTGTGATTGGGAATTTTTTTGTTCTACATTATAGCATTACTTTCCTATCTTAAAAACTGTATTGACATCATTTTAATAAGTTGAATGGCAGAAACATTCATGGGACTATGCCTAAATTTCTAAAATATTTATATAGCATGAATATAAGGAATATATATTTAAATTTGCATTTTATTGTAAATATAATTATACAAATGAGATATTATAATTAATTACTGGATATTTAAAGTACTTTGAGGGCTTTTTTAAATTTGGATTTTGTTAATTATTAAGTTTAGATTTGATTTTCCTTTACTTGGAGCTCAAACCCAATGGAATTGAGGAAAAATAACAGTCATATAAGGAGCAGTAGTAGTGATGACGTGGAGGAGGAGGAAGAAGAGAGGAGGAGAGCAATTTATGTCTATTGAGCACTTACTGTGTCCCAGGCATCATGCTAAATTCTTTACGTGATAATCTCATGTATTCCTCACAATAACCCTATGATCTGAGTACTGTTATGCCCATTTTACATAAAAGGTAAATGAGGCCCAGAAAAGTTAAGAAGATTACCCAAGGTGCAGAGCCAGTAAGCATCAGAAGCAGAATTCCAATCCTGATTTGTCTTAAGAGCTTTGCTAAGGGCATTATTTATGAGTAGCTCTTTATCCCTAACCTAAGCTTGAATACAGTGAGGCTAGTATAATTACCAATATAAAAATCAACATTACGGTGATTTAGTTAGAAGAATATTTGAGTCTATTCAGCAACTCATTTTTGGGCAATGGATCTGCAAGATGAATTAATTGGACCAAGGCATAACAGATCCATTCAAAATGAATACCAAACTCTGTGACAAAAAGGATTGTGCAATGACACCAGTGAACTTCTAAAGCAGGCCGCTTAGCCATTAAATGAATTTGTTACATTCCTATATGTACTCATTCCTTCTTTCTCAGTGTGACATCCTTACAGCAGTTCTAATAACTAGAACTTTTTAATTAGAATGATCAAAGTGCCCCATCAATAATGTACTGCCATTATACATAACGTTAATGGTGTGAAGCTAGCGTGCTTGCTTCACATGGAGAACTTGTTGCTACAGAGAGTAATTTACTTGAAATAATTTTAGGAGCAGAGATCAGTATGGAAACTGGCCATTTGAGTGCTGTGTCTACTTAGCAATGACTCTAGTTTGTTTTTGTTGTTGTTGTTGTTGTTTTCAAACATGGAAGGAAAAAGTAGTCAAATCTCTACAGTTTTGTTCCTTTGTTAAGATCTCAACTTATTTCTTTCATTTATTCAACAAACTCTTGTGCAGCTATTATATGCCAAGCACTGTGCTGGGTACTGGGGATAACGGGGGGAAAAAAATCCTGTCTCCAGGAAGCCCTGGCCTAATGAGGAAGACAGAAAACCAAATGGTTTTAATACTGTGCGATAGAGATATGCATGTGTGCTATGAGAGCATGTGAGAGGAGCATCTAAGCAAAGCAGGAGCAAGATGGAATAACACTAACTAAAACTTGAAGTGCAAGTTAAAATTGCCCAAATGAGTAAGTGAAGGTTGGTGTTTGAGCAGCATTAGCAGAGGTACAGGAGTGTGAGCTCAGCTATGTAAAGGCCCTGAAACTAGTTCAGTATAGTTGGAACATGAAGCTAAGAAGGAGTGGTAAGAGATTTCTGATTTAGTAGTTGTAAACATTCTAGACCTAAGGAAACAATAATTAAGAGTTTCAAAACTCCAAGCTTTCACAGTCAAATAATTATTGCTAAAATTAAAGGAATGTTTTTGGCTTGGCATTCTTCCAAAATGATCAAATTATTAGATGCTGCTAAGGCTTTTAAAGATAAATAAATGTCATACAGTTTTCCTTTAGATAAAGCTAGAGAGTAAGATAAGAGGTTCTGAGGTGGATTGTGCAGGGGAATGAAGACTATAGTAGAGCTCATTCCTGAGCTATTTCAAGAAATAGCTCACACAACAAAGCTAGTCAGCTCCTGCTTCTTAAAATATGATAGTGGCTAAGAAGCCCCTGCCATTACTGAGTCCTCAATGTTGCCAGAAATGGTGATCTTTAGCAATCAATTTCATCAAACCCAAGCAATAACTGAGTTAATTTTATTGACTATTATGCCATCAAAAAGGCCCAGATTTTTAACCCCAAAATGATGTTCTCCTTGCTTATATATCCCACCTTCCCTAGCTTCCTCTGAATCTGAATGAATTGCTCATCAATAACTTTCAAATATAATAGTTATTAATAATGTCTTGGTCTAATATGCTTATAATTTGATAGGCATTAGCCAAACATAGAACAAAAGTTAGATTTAACTACATTGACCAAATTATCTTATATTTATTGACTTAGATAACCCAGAGGAAAGAATTAAACAATACTGTCTAATTTACATGATAAATGAAAAATTTAAAACAACAGAGTAAGCTATACATGTCCAGTATTAACGTAGAAAATGGTGTGTGTGTGTGTGTGTGTGTGTGTGTGTGTGTGTGTGTGTGTGTGTGTGAGAGAGAGAGAGAGAGAGAGAGACAGAGAGAGAGAGAGAGGCTGTCTTGCTGTCACCAAGGCCGGAGTGGCATGATTACAGTTCACTGCAGCCTCAACCCTCAACCTCCTGGGCTCAGGTGATCCTCCCACCTTAGCCTCCTAAGTAGCTGGGACTTACAGGCTTGTGCCACCACACCTGGCTAATTTTTGTATTTTTTTGTAGAAACAGCATTTCACCATGTTGTCCAGGTTGGTCTTGATCTCCTGGGTTCAAGTGATCTGCCACCTCGGCCTCCCAAAGTGCTGGGATTACAGGTGTGAGCCACCACACCTGGCCTAGAAAATTTACTATTTAATCATTTCATATATTCAACATGAAAATGAAAAAACATATTTCCAGTGTTTACCTCAATTCCAAATTAATTTCTATCAACTGTCTAGGTCTTTCAACCATTACCTTAGGCTTTTCTTTCTGAAGAATAGCAAAATAATATTGGAGCTTAATATTTCCCACTCGAGTGGAAGATGTTCCCATAAATATGTTTTGGGGTTACATGTTTGAAAATGTATCGCAACATATTGTATGTAAGGAGAGAGAAACATTTTTTCTTGCTCTTTATACTCTTCCATGGATGCTGCCCAACTTATGCACAGACCACAAACTGACAAAAGTAGTATGCCCCATAACTGTTAAAGAATAAAATTATGTAGTAGTCATAATTCCTTGCTTATTAGAGTCCCTGAAAATTGCCTCACATTCACAACAAGCATAGATGCCCCACCCAAACTCCAGAAACCATACAAGCAAGGCAAGGCTGCCAGAACTGATAAGGGTTTCTTGAACCTGGACCCTCAAAAGCCCAAAGTGGATTGGAGAGTATAAAAGTGCAGGCAGAAGGGCCCTTTTGGCCTCAGAAGTAAGAATTCATAGCCAGTGTGTCATCTTCCTTCTCCTGCAAGAGTACTGTAGTCTTGTTTTCCAAGTCTTTTTCCCATCTACGTACAGACACTGCTGTATGTGTGTATTGAAAGGTGTGGTTGATTTGGAATTGAATAAACCTTTTCTTGGAAACTCCTAACTGTATGATACAACACCATGAACAACTTCCTTATTATATGAAAGGGTAGCACAGTAACACACTAATGGCCCCAAATGGAGAGTAATTATTATTGCAAATTCTTGAGAGAACAGAAACAAAAGGCAAAAGATATATATAGATTACAACATGTTCTTGACACAGCACAAAAATTGAATGGAGGTGAGGACAGTTTCAGCAACAAATGACTTAAACATTGAATCTAAAAGGAAAACATGGCTATCAAACTTAAAGTAACTAGAATGTCAACAATAAACCTTACAGATCACCTGTCCCAATAAAAAAACAGAATGTTGACTTTTTAAACACACATGTATCCAGAAGAATTATTGGGAAATTATTGTATCCATTTCTAAGTATCTCTAAGTACTGGAAATATGTATTTTGATATAGATTCAAAAAATAATTAATGTGTAAGACAAACTATTTTAGAAGATATTTAAAGGATTATATTTAGGTTGGTTAGGCAAAGAACTGAAAAAGAACACCCTGCCCTTATTTCAATTCTATTTGCTCTGTGAAGGAGTGGAGCTGGCCAACTTAAGTTACTTCTTTGTGCCCAGGATATAACTCATCCCAAGTAGCTTTTGAATTGCCTGGGAGCTCACAAAAGGAGAGGGGTCCCTGAAGGATTTCTAGGACTATGAAATAGTTTGAGTACACCATGCTCTCTTTGTACATAGTATCCAGCTGAGTTCAAAGTACAAATAGGCACTTAGTAAACAATGTTGACTTGAATGAATTAACTAGATTTTTTTTCCTGTAGCTTAAGGTTAATCTCTCCAGAGACAATATCACATTGTTTTTCTTGAAATATTTCTAATATGATACAGTTTAAGCCAAAATCTGAATCATAATACAGTGAATAATCATAGTTTCTTAGACATACACTATTTCAAAATTCTTTGCCCACTGAAAAGTAAGTTCAGGGAGACCCTTAAACCTCCCCTTACCCTAGATACTAAATTTCACTGCTTCTGGCAAGAACAGATGAGTTAATGCATTCTATTTATAGTTGATTCATATACTTCTCCATCATAGAATGGATTCCAGGAAAGAGGTGGGATATTGTAACTGTGTGCAGTAACATTTCATAGTTCTTTAATACATTCTAAGTGCTGATGAAAAATTTCTTCCCTTCCTCATATTTTTATGAAAGCCTAAGTTGCAAGATTTTAAGCTGGATGGTAAGAACACAGCTACATATTATCACCCTTGACATTTGCAGACTGAAAAGAACTCTTTTTTCGTCTTGGTTTCTTTCACTCACTGACTCAATAAACAATACTTATTTATTGTAGGAAAATTTAAAGACCAAACCCAGGATGGTAAAATGGCAAGAGGATGGGTTTTGGAGTAACACAACCCTAGTCACAAATCCTGACTCTTCCCCCTTAATAGCTGGATGACCGTAACCTTCTGACCATCCTCATCTGTAAAATGAGGAGAAAAAGACTCGCCCTGGGGATGCTGAGTTTTGAAGAAGAAAATGTATTTGAAGCACTTAGCACAAAGCCTGATTGTTCATAACTTTCTGCACCCTTTTCTTTATCTCCTTCCCTTCTCTTCTTTCACTTCTTTTGATGTTGTACAATATAATCATGTTTCCAGAAGAAAAGATTAAGCCATGAATTTCTCTATCCTCTATTTACACAAATTACATGTTTCTTTCTAATATGAATCATTATACAATTCTACCACATTAAAATAACAATAAATTATGATTAAAATATACTACTAATAATGATATTTTTCATGTATATGACCTCCCAAGTTTGAAGAACTTGCTGAATATTATAATAAACTCTAAAGGGCATGATTGCCTCCTGTAACTGAATCTATCAATAGGCAAGTCTTGATCTATGCTCAGAAGATCTCATTAAGAACCTGATTTTGTAGTTTTTGCTTAGTGCACAGGCTGGGTTGTCCCCTCGTGGCCCTTATGATGCAGGAGAGAGAGGAAAATTCTTCGAGAGAGACACTGGAGAAAGCAAGAGAGGATGAGCAGATATTTGGGCAGATTATCTTGTGGGAAGAACAATCAAATGCAAAGGTAATGGAGGAAGGAGTATACTTGATATGATATATTACACACTAATATAATATTTTTGCCATTAAAAGTGATGGCAAGAAGAGCAATTACTTTTGCACCAACCTAATATAACACACTAGTGGCAAATACACTAGCAAGAAGGCTAGTGTGACAGAAGCAGAGTGATCACACAGAGTGGCAGGACATGAGATCAGAGAAAGATCAAAAGGCCAGTTAACATAGGGCCCTATAGGGCATTGCATGGATATTGGCTATGGCCCTGAGTAAGATTTGAGGATTTTGGAAAAGGAGTCACATGATTTCACATTTTATAAGAATTACTCTGGGTACCATGTTAAACTGGACCACAGAAAAACAAGAGAAAGCAGGGAGACTTGTTAGTACATTTGCAATAAAACAGGTGGAAAATAGTTATACCTTGGATAAGGATGTAGTAATGAAGTTATTGGGAAGAATTTGAATTCCGTGTATATTTTGAAAGTAGAACCACTAGGATTTTCTCATAGACTAGATGTGGAATATGATGGGAAGCAATAATAAGGTATGTGAGAAAAGTCTGCAGGAGGGGGAGTTTAAGGGAGAACAATTGGAAGCTTGATTTTGTACTTGTGACACTTGCGGTGCCTATTAGACAGCTTACAAGTTTATAGCTGATTATATAAAGTACTTACTCTGTTCCAGGCAGTTTTAAGTGCCTAATCAACATTAATTCATTTAATCTTCACTACAACCCAGTAAATGAGGTATTTGGAATTTATGTGTCCTCAGTTCTTAATAGGATTTAAAACCACGAGACTGAATGAGATCACCAAGAAAGTAAGTGTAGATGGAGAAAAGAAGACCAAGGACTGAGGTAGAAGCACTCTGATACTTAGCATTTAGGGACATCACGGGACACCAACAAAGGAAATTGAGAAAGAGTGGCCCATAATGGAGGAGGTAAATGAGTGTCCCAGGAATCAAGTGAAGTTAAGTGGATCAGGAAAGATGAAGCATCATGGTGTCAAAGCTACTGACATTTCAAGTAAAATGAGGACTGAGAATTGCCCACATTTCAGTGGAATCGTGAGGGCAAAAGCCTGGTGGGAACAGACTCAAGAGGGAATGGGAAGAGAGGAAATAAAGACAACTAGTTAGCATAGGCAACTCTTGAATTTTTCTGTAAGATGGAGCAGAAAAATGAGATGGTGACTGGAAGGGATGTGAGGTCCAGGAAGGCTCTTTGTTTTGTTTTGTTTGTTTCTGGTTTTGTTTTATTTTTAACAGACCTTATTTTTCAGATCAGTTCTAGATTTACAGCAAAATTAAGTGGAAGCTACAGAGATTTCTCATATACCTCCCTGCTAAGCCCACATATGTGCAGCCTTCTCCACTATCAAAACCCTGCACCAGAGTGGTACATATGTTACAATCCATGAAGCTATATCGACATATTATCACCCCAAAGTCCATAGGTTACATTAGGGTCCACACTTGGTGTATATTCTATGGGTTTGAACAAATGTATAATTACATGGGGTTTTGGGGGGGTTGTCTGTTTTTGAAACGGTATTTTTCTTTCACCCACCCTGCAGTGCAGTGGCACAATCGTGGCTCACTGCCGCTTTGAACTCTTGAGCTCAAGAGATCCACCTCAGCCTCCCGAGTAACTGGGACTACAGGCACATGCCACCATGCCCAGATAACTTTTTTTTTCCATTTTTTGTAGAGATGGGGTCGTGTCACCATGTTGCTGAAGCTGGTCTTGAACTCCTGGCCTCAAGGGATCCTCCCACCTTGACCTCTCAAAGTACAGGCATAAGCCACCATGCCCAGCCAAGTGTATAATGACATGTATCCATCATTATTGTATCACACAGAGTAGTTTTACTTCCCTAAAAATCCTCTGCGCTTCTCCTATTTATCCGTCTTTCTCACCTAACTCCTGGCAACCACTGATCCTTTTATTGTTTTCATAGTTTTGCCTTTCCCAGAATGTCATATACTTGGAATCATAAAGTACGTAACCTTTTTAGATTGACTTCTTTCACTTAGTAATACACATTTAAGTTTCCTTCATGTCATTTTATAACTTGATAGCTCATTTCTTTTTGGCATTGAATAATATTCCATTGTCTGGATGCACCACAGGTTATTCATCCATTCACCTACTGAGGGACATTGTGGTTCCAATGTCAAAATTCCAAGTTTTGGGAATTAAGAATGACGCTACTATAAACATCCATGTGCAAGTTTCTGTGTGCACATAAGTTTCTGTTTTTGTTTTTTTTTTTTTTTTTTTTTGAGACGGAGTCTCACTCTGTCACCCAGGCTGGAAGGCAGTGGCGACATCTCGGCTCACTGCAAGCTCCGCCTCCCAGGTTCACGCCATTCTCCTGCCTCAGCCTCCCACATAAGTTTTTAACTCATTTGGGTAAATACAAAGGAACACAATTGCTGGATCATATGATATGTTTAGTTTTATAAGAAATTGCCAAGCTGTCTTCAAAGTGGATGTACCATTTTTCATTCTCACCAGCAGCGAATGGGAGTTCCTGTTGCTCCACATTCTTGTGGCTTCTCTTCTCATTCTCTTGACAGTGTATTTCATAAAGCAGAAGATTTTTGTGCCGTCCAGCTTACCATTCTCTTTTCATGGATTGTACCTTTAGTGTTGCATCTAAAAAGTTATTACCATACCCAAGGTAATCTAGGTTTTCTCTTACATTATCATCTAAGACTTTTATAGTTTCACATTTTATGTTTGGCATATGATCTACTTTGATCTAACTTTTGTGAAGGGTTAAAGGTCAGTGTGTGTATATATATATATATATACACATATATATGTATATATTTGCATGTGGCTCTCCAGATATTTTATTTATGTATTAAATAAAATAAATTTATTGAACCATTTATTGCACCATTTATTGAAAAGACTATCTTTGCGCTATTTACTGCCTTTGCTTCTTTGTCAAAAACTAGTTGGCAATGTAAAAATATGTATGTGGGTCTATTTCTGGACTTTCTCTTCCATCTCAATGATCTATTTATCTATTCTTTCACCAGTACCACACTGCCTAGATTACTCTAGGTTTGTAGTAAATCTTGAAGTCGTTTATAATCAGTGCTCTTTGTTCTTCTCCTTTAACATTATGTTGGCCATTCTGGGTCTTTTGCCTCTTCATATAACTCTAGGGTCAGTTTATCAATATCCAGAAAATCTTCTGCTGGGATTTTGATTGGCATTGCATTTAACTTATAGATTAAGTTGAGAAGAATTGACATCTTGGCATATTGAATCTTCCTTTCTGTGAACATGGAATGTCTATTTATTTAGTTCTTTGATTTCATCAAAGTTTTATAGCTTTCCTTATACAGATCTTGTGCATATTTTGTTAGATATATTCCTACGTGTTTCATTTTTGGGGTGCCAATGTAAATGGTATTGTGTTTTTATTTTATTTTGTTTCTATTTTTATTTTGTTGTTGTTGTTGTTGCACAGGCTGGAGTGCAGTGGTGCGATCTCAGCTTACTGCCACCTCTGTCTCCTGCGTTCAAGCAATTCTCCTGCCCTCAGCCTCCCTAGTAGCTGGGTTTACAGGTGCCTGCCACCTCATCTGGCTAATTTTTGTATTTTAGTAGAGACAGGCTTTCACCATGTTGGCCAGGCTGGTCTCAAACTCCTGACCTCAGGCAATCCACCCACCCTGGCCTCCCAAACTGCTGGGATTACAGGCATGAGCCATTGTGCCCAGCTGGTATTGTGTTCTTCATTTCAAATTCCACTTATTAATTACTGTTATGTAGGAAACTAATTGACTTTTATATATTAACCTTTTGTCCTGCAACATTGCTATAATTACCTATTAGTTCCAGGAGTAGGGAGGAGGTTTGTTGATTCTTTTGGATTTTCTCCCTAGACATTCATGTCATCTGCAAACAAAGACAGTTTTATTTCTTCCTTTTAATCATAATACCTTTTGTTTCCTCTTCCTGTCTTATTGTTTTGGTAGAACCTTCCAGTATGGTACTGAAAAGGAATGGTGAGAGGGGACATCTTTACCTTGTTTCTGATCTTAGTGGGAAAGCTTCTAGTTTCTCACTATTAAGTATGATGTTAACTATAAGTGTTTTGTAGATAGTCTTATCAATTTGAGGAAGCTCCTCTCTGTTGCCTTTTTGCTAAAAGTTTTTTTGTTTGTTTGTTTTGTTTTGTTTTGAGATGAAGTCTCATTCTCTTGCCCAGGCTGGAGTGCAGTGGCATGATCTCAGCTCACTGCAACCTCTGCCTCCTGGGTTCAAGCAATTCTCCTGCCTCAGCCTCCTGAGTAGCTGGGATTACAGGCACATGCCACCATGCCTGGCTAATTTTTGTATGTTTAGTAGAGACGGAGTTTCACCATGTTGGTCAGGTTGGTCTCAAACTCCTGACCTCGTGATCTGCCCACCTCGGCCTCCCAAAGTGCTGGGATTACAGGCGTGAGCCACCACGCCCAGCCTTAAAAGTTTTTATTATGAGTGAGTGTTGAATTTTGTCAAATGCTTTTTCAGCATCTACTGATATAATCACGTGACTTTTCTTCCTTAGTATGTTGATGTAATGGATTATATTAATTGATTTCCAAATGTTGAACCAGCCTTGTATTTCTAGGATAAATTCTCTTTGGTTATGGTCTATAATTTCCTTTAATACATTGTTGGATTTGATTTGCTACATAATTGAATACATTATTACTATTGTTATTTTGAACAAACCATATTTGTTAGCTCAATTAAGAATAAGGAAAATGAAAGTTTTAACTATATTTATTCCTTCTTGATGTTTTTTTCTTTTTCTTTTTCTTTTTTTTTTTTTTTTTGAGATGGAGTCTCACTGTCACCCAGGCTAGAGTGCAATGATGTGAACTCAGCTCACTGCAACCTCTGCTTCCCGGGTTCAAGCGATTTTCCCACCTCAGCCTCCCAAGTAGCTGGGATTACAGGCATCCGCCATCATGCCCAGCTAAATTTTGTATTTTTGTAGAGACGGGGTTTCTCCATATTGGCCAGGCTGGTCTTGAACTCCTGACCTCAGGTGATCCGCCTGCCTTGACCTCCCAAAGTGCTGGAATTACAGGCATGAGTCACTGCACCCGGCTTTCTTGATGTTCTTTTCTTTATTTATATCTCAGCTTCTGACATATCATTTTCCTTCTTTTCTAAATAACTTCTTTTAACATTTCTTGCATGGCAGAGCTTCTAGCAACAAATTCCCTCAACTCTGTTTGTCTGAGACAGTATTTCTCCTTCACTTTTGGAGAATAATTTTGCAGAGTATTCAGTTCTAGGTCAGTGAGGTTTTTTTTCTCTCAACACTTTAAATATTTACTCCACTCTGCTTGCATGGTTTTTGAGCAGTCAGATGTAGCTCTTATCTTTGCTCCTCTATAAGTAAGGTAATTTTTTCCTCTGGCTTATTTCAAGACTTCTTTTTAAACTTTTGATTTTCTGCAGTTTGAATATGATATGTCTAGTTATAGTTTTTTGGTTTTTGCTTCTTTGGTGAATGATGAACTGCAAGTCTGCTTCTTTAGATCTCAATAAAAGTGGAGGAAACTCCTTTTAACTTTAGGGAACCCCCTTCATCCAAAAGAACACTGTGGAATTTTATTCAAACCCAAATGAGAAAGAGGCAGACTTTAAACACATAATCTCTCATACTTCAATGATGAAAGGAGAAACATGCCAAGAAAATGACAAACACTTAATGCAAATCAGAAAATTCTGCAACTTTGTTGAAAATAGTCTCGGTTTTTTCTGCTGTAATTGGTTTAGTGTTGCAGGATTGACTATAATCCCTGCTCAAAATCAGCCTTAGAGCTGTTTTCGTACTACCAGTTTCAGAAGTCTAGAGTTACATGGCGGCTTGCTGCATAACTTAAGTGTTCCGTGTTCACTGGCCACAAAATTACTTCCATATTCTTATTTGCAATCTTTTGTCAAAGAAAGTGCAGTTTCAGTGTGTGCTGCTTTTACAGAGTTCCATCAGAGTTTCTCTATTTTCTTGTTAATTCAGTGACTCTCATATTTGTCAAGAAGATCTTCATTTCCTAAAATATCATAAGGCCCTCTTTTAGAGAAGAGAGAAGATAATCTTTTTATGAGGTAACAAGGCATTTTTTGGTCATACAAATGAGCAAACGAAGTCTAGTGCTTAAAAGCATGGTTCTGCAGCCAGACTATTCAGAATCAGCTCCCACCTTTCTTCACTACCACTAGCTGTGCATCCTTGGAATTTTCTCTTGGTTTCTCCTTTGTAAAATTGGCATAATAGGTTTGGGTGTCAGGATTAACCAAACATACACATTATAAGATTTTTAGGACCATACTTGACAGAATATACACTCAAATATTATACATCACAATTAAATAAATAACACATGAATGGATTATAGTATTTTTGTAGTTTTCTTCCTAAGTGTAGCTTGCCTTGGGATTCAGCATGACTAAAACACATTTGCATACCTACATCCTTTTTTACCTTTTTTTTTCTTTTTTTTCTTGTGTGGGTTTTTTTTGGCCTTCTCGCAAATAATCCTGGGCTTGTCCCTACAAAAACTAAATGCCTTGGGTTTGTCCCTATAGAAACTCTCTTGTTATCTTAAGGATAGCTCAGTGTTTGAGGGGTGAAAAAGACAAAGCAGAGATGCCTCAGGTAAGATCTTGAGTTCATATTCTCTGACATATACTGGTTGGTTTGTGTTGAGTTAGGGTTGAGTTAATATGTATAAAGTGCTTAAAACAATGCCTGGCTGAAGTGTTTGTTTTCCGTTAGGAGAGAGGGAGAGACAGGAAGAAAGTAGCAAAGAATCTGAGAGGGAACTATCTCCAGTTATCCGAGTCATTACCAAATCCTCCTAACTACCTTGGGGTTGCATCACCCTTTCTCCAAGTTACCTGAACACACTATGCTGTCTCCTGTATCAGGAGCCCTATGAATGCTTGTTGTTCTGCCTGGAATGCTCTTGCCATTGCCAACTCACCCACTCTTTCACCCTTTTTTTTTTCTTTTTTTTGAGACAGAGTTTTGCTCTCACCCAGGCTGGAGTTAAGTGGCGAGATCTCGACTCACTGCAACCTCTGCCTCCCGGGCTCAAGCAATTCTCCTACCTCAACCTCCCAAGTAGCTGGGATTACAGGCATGCACCACCACACCCATCTAATTTTTGTATTTTTAGTAGAGACGGGGTTTCACCATGTTGGGCAGGCTAGTCTTGAACTCCTAACCTCAAGTGATCCACCCGCCTTGGCCTCCCAAAGTGCTGGGATTACAGGTGTAAGCCACGGCGCCTGGCCTACTCTTTCATTTTTTAACCCCTGCTCCTCCTTCAGATCTTAGCACAGATGTTGGTCCTTCCTGAGAGAAGGTTTTCTTTGACTCCTAAGTCCTTTGTTATAAGGACACTTCATAGTACTTAACTTTGTCTGAGATTGTGTTTATGATTATTTGGTTAGTCTGTCCACCTGTGGTTAGTCTCAGACATGCTAACCAATCTGTAAATATTTATTAAATAATAAATCAATATTTCTCTCACACTCACAATTTGAAAATTTTCTTCTTCTCCCTAACTTCTTCACTGTGAATGTCTGAACAGTGACTTAAAGAAGTAGCCGCAGGAGAAAAGAGTTGGGGGCTATTTCATCATGTGGCTACATCATCTCATGGTTACATCATTTCATGGCTACATAACTAGGGCAAAAGGAAAAAAGGCATAAATCTTTTTTTTTTTTCTTTTTTGAGACGGAGTGTCGCTCTGCCACCCAGGCTGGAGTGCAGTGGCGCGATCTCGGCTCACTGCAACATCCGCCTTCTGGATTCATTCCATTCTCCTGCCTCCTCCCAAGCAGCTGGGACTACAGGTGCCCGCCACCACACCCGGCTAATTTTTTGTATTTTTAGTAGAGACGGGGTTTCACCGTGTTAGCCAGGATGGTCTCGATCTTCTGACCTTGTGATCTGCCCGCCTTGGCCTCCCAAAGTTCTGGGATTACAGGCATAAGCCACCGTATCCGGCTCTTTTTTTTTTTTTTCTTTTAATTTGAGACAGAGTTTTGCTCTTGTTGCCCAGGCTGGAGTTCAGTGGCGCAATCTCGGGTCACTGCAACCTCCGCCTCTCGGGTTCAAGCGATTCTCCTGCCTCAGCCTCCCAAGTAGCTGGGATTATAGGCATGCACCACCACCCTTGGCTAATTTTGTAATTTTAGTAGAGACAGGATTTCACTACGTTGGACGGGCTAGTCTTGAACTCCTGACTTCAGGTAATCCATCTGCCTTGGCCTCCCACAGTGCTGGGATTACAGGCATGAGTTACCGCGCCCAGCCATAAATCTCCTTTGACAAAGTGTAGGATACAAGATTTGGAAGTGTTCCTACAGACTCTCTAGTCCAACTTCTTTGGTACTGACAACACAAGAAAATTCATCATTTAGTGTGTGGGTTGAGGACTTTATCCAGCCACCTTCCAAGCAACAACTCCATATACAAAAAAAAAAAATGTGTTTTAAACTATAAGAGCTTAAATGTGACTCATCAACATCTGCTTTCATTAAATATTTTTCTCTCAGAGACTAAAACCACTTACAAAGTTAGAATAATACTTGCAACTTAACACATGGCAAAGGACAAGTCTTTTATGCCACTTTCTTTGTAATTCTCTCATTTTAAATCTTAAATGACTTTCCTCTATCACAGGACTTTTGTGAGGAATGTTTGAAAGGATCTGTTGACTCATAGCTGCAGAACTGCTTAAGTTTGCTTTAATAAGGGAATAATCAAACGCACATCTAATTTAAGTGGAAAACCACTATATTTTGATATTGTAACCTGAGTATTAGAGGATTAAAAGAATTCCAGGCTGAGGGGAGAAAACTCAAAGTTTATTTTGGTCATCTTTCTTTTTAGTCTCCCTTCTTTCTTCCTAAAACAGAGAAATTTTGCCCTGAAACTGCCTCCTCATTGCCCAGAGCCTTCCGTAATAGTTCTTCAAATAACAGGGCCCTGTGCTGTGTTTCAAACTTTGCTTACTTTATCTGTACATCTCATTCCTGCTCTGTTCTTTCTCTACTCAGTTAAAAAAAAAAGGAAAAACATTTCATTGAAGAACATAATCATTGTTAATGTGTTGATAGGCTAACATCCTGTTTCAACAAGATAATAATACCCTTCACCCAGTTAAAATCTCACATTCCAGAAAGTCCCTCAGGAATGACTAATCTGGGGAATTCCAGTCATGGCATCAGACTCCTGGGTTGAAGTATATTTTAGCAGTTCAGGCTTTCTCTCCTTATCCTTTAAATGACACTGTATAAAGAGCTTCCTGTAATTGACTTTGAGCAAAGTAGACTCTGGAAATCAAACAACCAGTTACTGCCAGTTAAACAGCCTAAGAATCCAAGAGGACAAAAAGTTTTGTGCAAATTAAAAGTTGTTTCCTACTTGTAAATTAAAAGTTGTTTCCCTTCTTGGAGACATCTTCAACAAAGCTAAAGCAAAGGATAGACGAAAATAGCAATCAAAGGATTAGTATTCAGACTATATGAAGAATTTCTACAAATTAAGAAAACGTAAGCAATCCAATAGAAAAACAAGCAAAAGTGATGAAGAGGAAATTCATTAAAAATTAAATGCAAATGATCCACAAACATTTGAAAAGATACTCAGCCCCATTTGTAACCAGAAAAATGCGCATTGAAAAAACAATGAGACATGGTTTTTTGTGTACCAGATTAGCAAATATTTAAAAGTTTGATATTATCAAAATATGAGTAGGAAGTGGGTAATCCTTAGTTTTTTTAATATACTGCTAGTGAGAGTGTAAAGTGATAATGCCATTTGTAAGTATCTACAATGTTTAAAATGTGTGCTCTTTGGAAGCAATTCTATGTCTTCCTATTCATCCTAGAAAATACTTCACATATGCATAATGAAGTATTTATAAGGCTGCTAACTGCAGCATCATTTGTATAACAAAATATGGAATAATACTTCTCTGCTGCTTTATTCTCCAAACTGAAATAAATAAATAGGTGCTAGCACCCTCACATTCTAGAGGAATCCACTAATGATCCCCAAAACTTGTTCCCTAAGGATATCTAAAACTGCAGGCATAATATGGAGAGCGTGACGGAACATAGCCTTAAGAGGACCAGCAAACAAGCAGAGAAAGAATCTGAGTCTTTCAGGATATCATTAATCCAATGGCACTAAACTTGGGAGCCGTTCTACTCTGTTCTACCTAAAAAGGATTTCCTTTTTTAAGGTCATCAATGTCTGTTGCAGGCATTTTTATTAGGTTTCTAGCCTTCTTTGCCCAGTCATCCACTAACCTCTAAACCTGATACCTTCTTCATAGACTTTTATGCCCCATTCACAGTCTTCCTCTGCACCTTAATCCATGTCACTCTCCCTTGGATAAACACTGACATATGAATCATGAAGATACTGAAAGTAACACTAGATAATAAAAACTATATTTTGAGCCCTTATTAGGTGTCAAATGTGAGACGCTTTACATACATTATCCCATTTAATCCTCACATCAGTTCTAAAAGCCAGGAAATAATGTGACCTTCATTGTATGGATGAGGATCAGACATGGAAAAGTTTCGGAACTTGCACAGAGTCACCCAACTAGAAAGTGGTAGAGCTGGGATTCTGACTGCAAAGCTGATGTCTGTAAGCACTGGGTCGTATTCCTAACAGTCTTTCCTCACTGCTTTCTGGACTTCCTGAAGCAGACTTACACCTGTAGGCAAGACCTACCCAGACTCACTTGATGTGGTTTCACTTCCAAGATTTTGATCTCTGGAAATCCACAGGCTGACTTCAACTTCAAATCCTCCATTTCTTCATCATCACTGAACTTGTTTTTAATCCTAATGGTGTTTGTTTGTGTCTTGAACTCTCTCTTTTCTTCAGCTTATCCTCCCTTCTCTGAGTTTATTTTTAATGTAAATAATATGCTAATTCCTGACAGTAATACACTCTTCACCGCCTCACAGCATCCCTTGCCATTTTTCTTTTCTCTCATTCCTGTCTTAGCATTTTTAAGCTCAATATAAAGAAAATATGCTTTCTCTACTGTCACTTTCTGGACATTTAACATTCTTAGGGAAAATGAATATGCTGCGTCTACAGCAATTAATATGTCTAATTTTAACTAAGCTCTCATTACTGCCCAGAAATTATTATATTCAGGTACAGTCAACTCTCAACCTTCCATGTAGCCCTCCTGTCCTTCAGCTCCCACCCTATTTCTGGTAATTTCTCAGAATATACCAATCACTTTCTCATTTCCCAGTAAGATTCAAGATATCAGATGTAGACTTTGTGCAGCTTCATTCTCTCCATCTCAGTATATCTTGTTAATTTTAGTCTGTTCGCCCCTTTCCTTTACTCATGCCTCTAATGATGATGGAAGTCCTCCCTTTACGAGGTTCAACCTGGGCTCTGTTCCCATTCTTCTTCACTTCCTTTAGGATCTTATTCCACCAAGGGCCTCTCTTGATGGTGTTTTAATTTGCTCTCTGTTTGAGTTTCTAAAAATATTCTCTCTCCTTATAAATATCCTTCCTTTGACTTGCTGCCCTCTCAAGTTACTGCCCTCTGTTGTTTCTTCTCTTCTTTGGAAAACATCTTTAAAAAGTAGGCTACCATCATAGCTTCCATTTTTCCTACCACCCACTCATTCCTCAGATCCTTGGAATTTTAACTCCACCCTTGGTTCTCTTTCTAAAACTATTCTCTCAAAGGTCACCAATTACCCCATAATTGGCAAAGCCTACAGTTTTTCTCAGGCCTTTGTGTACCACTCAGCATTGTTGAACACTCCCCTGTTTCTTTTAATTTCTTCCTTCCTTGGTACTGTGACTGGTATCATTCCGGATCTACTTCTGGATCACTAATCTTTCCTTATGTGTTCTTTCCTGTCTTCTCTTCCTTCTTCCATCTGCAAAGCACAGACATCAAGTAAGGCTCATCAGTGCACCTTTCCCCCTATACGCCCTCAAGATTCTTAAGTATCTATATGCATACCATTCTAAATGTACCTAAGGTTGTGTGCAGGGGCTCATGTCTGTAATCCCAGCACTTTGGAAGGCCAAGGTATGTGATTTGCTTAAGCCCAGCAGTCTAAGACCAGCCTGGGCAACACAGTGAGACCCTGTATCTACAAGAAATAAATTAAATTCATTTAAACTAAATTTGAAATATAGATATACTTAAAACCCAGACACCCCTAAGTTCCTGATACACATGGAAAACTACCCTCTATATATCTTCAGTTTATATTTTAAAATAGCTATATCTAGCTATCTAATATCCAGTTTTCTAGGTGAGATAGGTACTGACAAGATTCTTTAAAGAACCCATAGTGAATGGAGAAGTGACAGTCAATTATCTATCTAATATAATTGTAGTAGTAGTAATTATAGCAATGATAGCTAACATTTATTGAATCTTGGAATATATGCCAGCCATCAGGCTAAATGCTTTATATTTAAGAATTTATTAAATCTTCACAACAATTTTATGTGGGAGTTACTTGTACTAGCCTTTTAAGAGGTTCTATACAAAGATTTCTCACAAAGCGTTACAACAACCATTGTAGTAGTTATTCTTATTATCCTAATTTTGAAGATGAGCAAGCCAATGTTTAGAGAGATTAAATATCACATAGCTAGTAAGTGATGGAGACAGTATTTGAACCTGTCTCAGTAAGGATGATGACGATGGTCATAGTTACCATTTCTTAGCACCTACCGCATTCCAGGACCTGTACAAGGTAAGTACATGTGTTATCTAACCTTCAGAAATCTATGAGGTTTTCCTTTTGACACAGTAGGAAACTCAGGCTAAGAAAGGTTAAATTAAATGTTCTAGGTTGTAGAGCAAATAAATCGCAGAATTTGTGTGGTAGATATTAAAAATGGCAAAAAGAAATTATTTGCAATTCTTGCCACAAAGAGTTACAGTCTATTTCTCCACCACTAGAAGGATAGAATGGAGCCAGAAGTGTCTAGAGTTATTCATTTGAATGTCCCATTGGCATTTCAAACTCAATATCCAAGTCTGAGCTAATTGTCTTATCACTTGTGTTGGTTAAGTTTATATGTCATCCTGACTGGCCATAGGATGCACAGAGGAGGCATTACTTCTGGATGTGTTTGTGAAAGAGTTTCCAGATTAAATTACCATTTAAATCGGCAGACTCAGTAAAGTAGATTGCCCTTCCCAATGTGGCTGTGCATCATCCAATCCACTGAGAGTCTGAATAGAACAAAATGTGGAGGAAGGAGGAATTTTCTCTTTTGCTTCCTGCCGGTCTGCTTGAGCTGGACATCTCATGTTCTGTGGTCCTTGGACTAGGATTTACACCATCAACTCTCCTGGTTCTCAGACTTCCAGACTTGGACTGAATTATACCACCAGTTTTCCTGAGTCTTCAGTTTTTGGACCTTCTCAGCCTCCATAATTATGTGTGTATAAATGTGTGAGAAAGAAGTAGGAGACATATATCTGTAAACAGATAGATAGATAGACACATATCCTACTGGTTGTGTTGTTTTTCTGGAGAACACTGACTAATATATTCCTCTAAAATAAATCTTTTTTATGTGCTTTATTCTGATATATCATGGTTTAGAATTAGGGAACTGAATCTCTACTTTACACCAATTACTCTCATCACCCAACCTTTTAATTGAATCTGTGTCATATACCATTCCCTGGTTAGTATCCATTAAACGCAACTCTAAAGTTAGTTCCCTGTTCAAAATCTTTCTGTGGCTTTCTATTATATGGCCCAAAAATGTCCAGCCTCTTCCTTACTGCCTTACTTATATTCTAAATTTCAGCCAGAATAAACTGTTTCTCCACAACTATCTCCCCACTACCCTCCCTCCCCTAACATATATACTCATGCTTTTCTGCCTTCGTGGCATTGCACTTTGCTTCTCCCACCCCATATTAAATATTATCTGTTTTAGTCTGTTCTGTGCTGCTATAACAATACCACAAATTGGGTCATTTATAATGAATATAAATTTATTGGATCATGGTTGCAGAGGCTGGGAAGTCCTAGATTCAGGGGCTGGCATCTTGAGAGGACTTTCTTGCTGTATCATCCCATGGCAGAAAGGCAAAGAGAGGGCCAGAAAGACAAAGAGGGGATTGAACTTACTTTTATAGTAAGCCCACACTTCCAGGATAATGACATTAATTCATTCCTGAGGGCAGATCCCTCATGACCTAATTACTTTTAAAAGCCCCAACTCTCAGTACTGCTGCATTGGGGTTTAAGTTTCCAACACATAAACTTTGGGGGACACATTCAAACCATAGCATCATCTCTTCCATGAGTTTTTTTCTTTTTTCAAATTGATACCTAATAGATGTACATACTTTCAAGGTATATATGATATTTAGATACATCCATATAATTTGTAATAATTGAATGAGGGTAATTGGGATATCCATTACCTTAAACTTCTATCTTCTCTTTATGCTGGGAAAATTCAAATTATTCTCTGCTAGCTATTTTGAAATATACAGTAGATTATTGTTGACTATCACCACTCTACTTACTTATCAAACACTAGGTCTTATTTTTTCTATCTACCTGTATTTTTTTCTTTTTTCTTGAGACAAGTTCTCACTGTCACCCAGGCAGTGGCACAATCATGGCTCACTGCAGCCTCAACCTCCTGGGCTCAAGGGATCCTCCTGCCTCAGCCTCCCAAAGCAGCTGGGACTGTACTCATGCACCACCATGCCTGGCTAATTTTTTTTTTAACTCTTTGTAGAGATGGGATCTCGCTATGTTGACCAGGCTGGTCCCGAATTCCTGGCCGCAAGTGATCCTCCCTGTTTGGCCACCCAAAGTGCTGAGATTACAGGAGTGAGCCACCCCACCGAACCACTACTGTAATTTTGTACCCATTAATCAACCTCTCTTCATCCCCTCTTTAGTTTTTTCTTGATGCCTCTGCATGGCAGTCATTTCTCCTCTCTTTGAATTTTTCATAACACTTTGTTTTGCTTTTCTTGTTTTAATTATTCATCTTGTGTTATAGGTATTTATGAAAAGTCATCATACATTTTACTAGATAGCAACCTCTATAAGCAAGAGATGATGTCTTAGTCATTAGTGTATTATCTGTAGTAACCTCTCAGAACCTTACACACAATAGGTTTTGAAAATTTGGAAACCCAATAAATAAAATATTATTTTTCTTCTAGGTCAAACCCAACTGAGGAAAACATATTGAAGTCAGATTTATAGAGAAATATCAGCTTTATTATTGATAAAAAAAGACTCAGTTGGAAAATGTGATTAAATGACTTGATATTGTAACTCTAAAATAGTAGGCTTATCATCCACCCTGTCACGGAAGAGCTAGACAGGCCAAAGTCTTCCCCAAGGACCAGGCCTGACTGCCTAGTGGAGACCCAGACCAGAATGTACCTGATCGGCACAATGACAGATCCACTGACCACACAGCCCAGTTCCTTCTCCCAAACCCACCAATCAAATAAGTCACCCCTCTTCCAGAAGAGAAGTGAGTGACAGGGAAGAGAGATCTGAGGTATTGGTCCAGCTGAAGTCCCTCCATATAGAAACATGAGGATTGGCCTTGATGAAGATGGTGAAAGCTGAAAGGACAGCCTATCTTCAACTAACACCCAACCAGATTTATGGAACAAGGAATAGATAAAAAGTGATTTAATCTAGAGATGTACATTAATATAATAATGCTGAGAGTGACGGTGGCAACATAATTTTACAGTGAGTTAGGGCATCTTTCTAAGCCTTTTCATTGTATTAACTCAATTATCACACCTATAAAGACGAAACATGTACTATATTATTATATCTTCACTTTACAGCAAAATAAACTTTGATAAAGACTTTAAAATTTATCCAAGTTCACACAGCTAGTAAGTGTGAATTCAAAAACAGTCTTCCTCTAGAACCATTGTAAGCTGAAAAATATTAATGACCCTTTTCAAATGTCTGTGCTGTATAAACCTCCCCAGCCCACACACCTCTTACCTGCCCCCAGAAATTTCAATAACTCAAGGTTTCTCTTTGTCATAAATAGGTTATTATTGCTTTGACAGTTTTCAGATTAAGAATGTCTGTTATTGTGCGGTCAAACCTTAGACAGTTGCATCATTAATGAAAACCCCAGATTGCTTTCCAGAATCTAGATAGCCTTCTGCAAGTAACAAATAGTATCCTCCAGTTCTATTTTTCATTGACTGTTTTTCCATCATAAAATGTGTATTTATTTTAAGTGATAAAATTCTCTTGTCTACAGATGCCTCGCTCATTCCCCAACCCATGTAGTGTTGGTTTTATTTTCTAAAAAGTTCAGTTTACTACTAAGACTCTTTGCTTAGCTAAGAAAACATGGTAGAGGCTGTGTGGAATGAAGGTATTAACACAGGAATTTTAAAAATCCCTTGATGATTAAATTCAGGCCTGGAAGACTGAAATGATTGTCTCTTGGGACACACTGAGTCAGCACTAATCAAAAGCGACGTATTATGAAAAGAAATAGGTACATGCGATAGTCAGTTACTGAGGGCGGTTGCTAAGTACGTTAGCTACTACCAGTACAAAGCTCCAGAAATTCACCCTCACACATGTCTAACATGAGATAATAAATCCCCCCAGCACTGGTGCAAGTTGACGATATGTGATTACATGCACTTTAGAAATCCCAGAGTACCCTGACTAGGGTAGGGTAGGGTAGGGTGGGGTAGAGTAGGGGAAGCAGGATAGGGTGGGGAGAGCAACACACACAGACATTTTTATAGTGCCACAGTCATTCAGTTGCATTTTGATAGCTACTTTAATGAAAAGTTTAAATTATCTTTGGAATTTGGATAAAATCGGGGCAGAATCCAATATGCCTTGCTACACTTTAAGAGCCCCTCCTCAGCCACAGCCAGGGCCTTGGACACCCCATAAAAAGTTAGGAATTTTACTTGGCTGCTCAGGGAATGTCTCCTGGTCTGCCCCCAACCCTTCATCCCTTGTTCCATTCACTTTATTTTGGCAAATCCCGTGTCATTATTATTCATGCATATTTATTGAACAAGGGACCTACATAAAATAATTATAGTTTCTACCTTCATTAAAGCTGTAGTCTTAAAAAGAAAGAGAATACATTTTTCTTTATAACGCACTTATATAGTGCTTAGTGCATGGTAATTGTTATATAGATATTAGTAATAATAATAATAATAATGTTTCCTATTTTACTTGCCGGTTCAGCCTCTCTGCTTATTTCTCTTAAACTCATGCCTGGGTTGGACCCTGGTTTTTGCCCCTTGGCACTTTCTTGTATCCCCCAAATTCCATGTTTTTCAGACAGCTGGCCAATTTTCGTCGTTCTGTCTCTCTGTGTTCTCTCTCCCTGTCAAACACACACACACACACACACACACACACACACACACACACACACACCTGCCTTCAGGATCAGAGCTCAGGTTCAGTGCCTCAGATTTAAATAGATACTTCTCAACATTTAAATTGGTGAGTTCACAAGAGGGATAAAAGACTTCAATGCAACCCCCAACACTGTAGAAACCCTAGAAGACAACCTAGGCAACACCATTTTGGACATAGGTCCTGGCACAGATTTCATGACAAAGACACCAAAAGCAATTGAAACAAGAGCAAAACTTGACAAATAGAATCTAATTAAACTTAAGAGCTTCTGCACAGCAAAAAAAACTACCAATAGAGTAAGCAGACAATCTACAGAATGGGAGAAAATGTGTGCAAACTATGCATCTGACATAGGTCTAATATCAAGCATCTATAAGGAACTTAGACAAATTTACAAGCAAAAAATAAACAACCCCATTAAAAAGTGGGCAAAGGACATGAACAGACATTTCTCAAAAGAACACATACATGCAACCAACAAGCATATGAAAAAAAAAAGCTCAACATCACTGATCACTAGAGAAACGCAAATCAAAGCCACAATGAGGTACCATCTCACACCAGTGGGAAGGGCTTTTATTTAAAAGTCAAAAAATAACAGATGCTGGCAAGGTTTTGGAGAAAAGGGAACACTTATACACTGCCAGTGGGAGTATAAGTTAGTTCAATCATTGTGGAAGACTGTGGTGATTCCTCAAAGACCTAAAGACAGAAATGCCCTTTGACCCAGAAATCCCATTACTAGGTATACACCCACAGGTATATAAATCATTCTACCATAAAGATACATGCACGTGAATGTTCATTGCAACACTATTCACAATAGCCAAGACATATAATCAACCTAAATGCCCATCAATGACAGATAGGATAAGGAAAATGTGGTACATATACACCATGGAATCCTATGCAGCCACAAAAAAGAATGAGATCATGTCTTTTGCAGGAACGTAGATGGAACTGGAGGCCATTATCCTCAGCAAAATAATGGAGGAACAGAAACCTAAATACCACATGTTCTCACTTACAAGTGGGAGCTAAATGATGAGAACACATGGACACAAGGAGGGGAACAACAGACACTGTTGGGGGGTGCTCCTTGAAGGAAGGAGAGTATCAGAAAAAAAAATAACTATCGGGTACTGGGCTTAGTACCTGGGTGACAAAATAATCTGTACAGCAAACCCCATAACACAAGTTTACCTATGTAACAAACCTACATATATACCCCTGAACTTAAAATAAAAGTTTAAAAAATAAATTTAATGGAATTTTGTTTTTGTAACACAGATTAATTTCATAAAGATTAGGTAATGATCTATCACCATAGAATGTTTTAGGTTTGTAAAATCATGCTATTGATTTGAACTATTCATTTTTGTATAATTTTTAAAGGTAGATAAATCACCACTAGCGTAATTGACAGATTTTCCCCTTGTATATGATTTTATTCCTATGTTCAAAGATTTTGTTTACAAGCTAAAATAAAACATTTAAACTTAAAAAATAAAAATGAAAGAAAAAAATATTTTCCTGTTCTGAAAATATTGTCTGTGTTCAAAAGTGTAATAGCATAGGCCTATCTGCTAAAAACACACTGGTAAACAGTCAAACTTAATTACTTGAAATTTGGTTTCCATGTAAAATGTCAGTGTTGAATGAGCAATTGCTCTGTTGAGGGATTATATACATGTTTCCAGTCAGCAGGATGTTGTTCAAAATATGTTTCTAAAGAACATGAGTTATGATGATTTCACACTTGCCAAAAAGAATTATAATTCCTGTTTGAAAGCTACTGGAAGCTCAAATGTTTCTGACTGTGTCAGATCTGACTGGAAACAGAGCCCTTAAGTGAATGAATCATTGAACAAAATCACTTATTCATACTGACATTTCATGAGGAACCCAGCTAGACCCTTGCCTTACAGCAGCTTGCAGTATAATGAGGCACTAGGACAAATGTATATATAAAGATGAACGCTAAAAATCAGTCTGGGTTATGTACAAAATAAGTAGCATAGCCCAGTACTGCAGAGATATCTAAACTGGAGTGTGGAACAATTACTAGCACCGTTTTACCCATAAGGGAATTTCACACCTAATGGCAAAGCAAGGGTATGTTTTCTCAAGATTCCCACTGTGTAATGTAGCAGCATTTCAGTGATGCCTGCAATGCATGGCAAGATAAAATAATGGGAAGTGCAGTAAACTTATCCAATATCTGCGTACAACTTATGCGTGGGAATTAACTCCCTATGCACTCTCAGTCTATGCAGCTAATTTCCTAGGCAGCTAATTCCACTTCTAGCTCTGAAGCATATTATGTGATACAGACATGGCCAAACAGAGTATCATTTTATACGGTGCTCATTACTAACTCACAAGCAGGCCAATCATAGTAACGAGACTCACACTGTTAGAGGCATCAAGGTAGCAGACTCCTTTCCTGCTGGACTCAAACCAGAAAGATTGTGAATATGAGGCTTTTGCAGCTCTCTCATCACCACAAGGAGTCGTAGAATGAAGCCTGAGCATATCTCACATAGATGGTAATATGGAGATTAAAGTTGAGTCAAGAGATAGACAGAAGCCAAGCCCTTCCTGCTTCTGCATTTTTCAGTTACGTAAGCCAAGAAATTTCTTTCTTAAGCTTGTTTGTGTTTGAGGGGTTTTGTTTTTGTTTTTGTTTTTCTGTTTTGTTTTTGTCTCACATAACTTGTAAGTGTGGTAAATTTTATCTTAGGCAAACAGAGGCTAACTCAGGAGCTAGACGTTAAGGAATTTCCCTTTCTCTCCAATCATTGAGTCAATGCTCTTTCTTCTCAAGAACCCATGAGTCAGGTGCCTGCAGCCTCACTGGCAAAAAAGATCAGTGTGCCTGCCTTAATGGAACTTATACTATTAAAGTATATATTATACAAAGGAGTGTTGATTTACAATTGAGACAAGTGTTTCAAAAGAGAGACTGATGGTCCTATCTATAAGGACCTGAGAGAGAAGAAGTAGCCCAGTGAGGGAGGCCAGGGCAGCTTTCCTTGAAGGGTAGACCTGCAGGAGTTTAGACATTTCCTAGATGAGGAGGGGCCCTGTGAGAGAAGAGGACACAGCAAAGTCGAGGTTCTAGAGAAGGACAGTGTGGCTATGACACAGGCATCAAGGTTTGTAGGATCGTGTAGGACATCAAAAACTATGTTTAGGATTTCAACATTTTAAGAATGAAATGGAATTAATTTGATTTCTGTTTTAAAGAAATAGGTCTCATTTATGTCCCTGTTTCTGATCTTACTGTAACACCCCTGAAGCAAGGCATATGTTTGTTTCAACTAAGATTATCCAGTTCTTCATTCTATATTTGATGTAATATATATATCATATAAAATTCTGATATATTCTACATTCTATAATATATCTGATATATATATTCTATAATATATATATGAAACATATATCTTTTTCTCCTTCCTTCTTTCTTTTCTCCTTCCTTCCTTTCTTCCTTCCTTCCATTCCTTCCTCCCTCCCTCTATTCCTTCTTCCCTCCCTTTCTCCCTCCCTCTGTCTCCCCCACTGCCTCCCTCCCTCCTTCCTTCCTCTCTTTCTCCCTCCCTCCCTCTGCCCCACCCTTTTCTTTCTTTCTTTCTGTTAAATTATTTTGCAGGATATATATATATATATATATATATATATATATATATATATATATATATATATATACATACATACATATATATCTTGGTTCCATCTCAAGAAACCACTTTCTTTACTCATTCATAAGAAGCAACTCCTCATCCATTCAAGTTTTATCATGAGATTGTAGTATTTCAGTCATATCTTCAGGCTTCACTTCAAATTTCTTCTATTTTTACCACATCTGCAGTTACTTCCTCTACTGAAGTCTTGAACCCCTCAAAGTCATACATGAAGGATAGAATCAACTTCTTCCAAAATGCTGTTAATGTTGATATCTTGCTCTCCTCCCATGAATCATAAATGTTCTTAATGGCATCTAGAATGGTGACTCCTTTCCAGAAGGTTTTCAATTTACTTTACCCAGATCTATTAGAGGAATCACTACTTATGGCAGCTATAGCCTTACAAAATGTATTTCTTAAATAATAAGACTTGAAAGTAAAAATTACTCCTTGATCCATGGGTTACAGAATGTATGTTGTGTCAGCAGGCATGAAAATAACATTCATCTCCTTGTACATCTCCATCAGAGCCCTTGGATAACTGATCGCATTGTCACTGAGCAGTAATCTTTTGAAAGATACCCTTTCTGAGCAGTATGTGTTAACAATAGGCTTTAAATATTCGGTAAACCATGCCATAAACAGATGTGCTGTCATCCAGGCTTTGTTCTTCCATTTACAGAACACAGGCAGAGTAGATTTAACATAATTTTTATGGGCCTTGGGATTTTTGATATAGTAAATGAGCATTAGCTTCAACTTGAAGTCACTAGCTGCAATCACACCTACAAGACAGTCAGCCAGTTCTTTGAAGCCAGTAATTAATTTCTTCTCTTTAGATAATAGCTATAATAAGTCCTAGATGACATAATAAGTCCCAGATGGCATCTTCTTCCAATATAAGGCTGTTTCTTCTACATGGAAAATCTGTTGTTTAGTGTGGCCACCTTCCTCAATCATCTTAGCTAGATCTTCTGGATAACTTGCCATAGCTTCTACATCAGCACTCGTTGCTTCACCTTGCACTTTATGTTATGGAGATGGCTTCTTTCCTTAAACCTCATGAACCAACCTGTGC
Organism: Homo sapiens; assembly: GCF_000001405.40. Lineage (NCBI taxonomy): Eukaryota > Metazoa > Chordata > Mammalia > Primates > Hominidae > Homo > Homo sapiens. The sequence goes on from NC_000002.12 coordinate 186,557,558, forward strand.
TAGCTTCAAATTTTCTTCTGCAGTTTCCTCACTTCTCTCAGCCTTCATATAATTGAAGAGAGTTGGTACCTTCTTCTGTATTAGACTTGGTTTAAGGAAATAGTATGGCTGTTTGGTCTTCCATCCAGATGATGAAAACTTTCTCAATATCAGCAATAAGGCTGTTTCACTTTATCATTTATGTGTTCACTGGAGTAGCACTTCTTATTTTCTCCAATAACGTTTCCTTTGCATTCACAACTTGGCTAACTGTTCAGCAAGAGTCCTAGTTTTCGGCCTGTCTCAGCTTTTGTCATGCCTCCCTCACTAAGCTTAATCATGTCTACCTTTTGATTTAAAGTGAAAGACATGGGACTCTACCTTTCACTTGAACGCTTGAAGGCCACTGTAGGGTTATTAATTGGCCTGATTTCAATATTGTTGTGTCTCAGGAAATAGGGAGGCCCTAGCAGAGGGAAAGAGGTGGGGAAATGGCCAGTTGGTGGAGTAGTCAGAACACACACAGTGTTATATGGTCAGGGTTCTTAGTCCCTCTAAACATTTATGATAGTACCATCAAAGATCACTTATATGGGCAGGGTTCTTAGTGCCTCTAAACAATCATGATAGTAGCATCAAAGATCACTGATCACAGATCATCATAACTGATATAATAATAATGGAAAGGTTTGAAATTTTGCAAGAATATTGCAAAATGAACAAATGCTGTTGGAAAAGTAGCACTGATAGACTTGCTGGATGCAGGGTTGCCACAAACCTTAAATTTGTAAAAAATGCAATATATGTGAAGTGCAATAAATGAAGCCCAATAAGATGAGATATTCCTATATAACATCAGGTATTCTCCCTAAGAATTCATGTGGTGTGTTTTATTTACTTGGATAAATTTTGCTTGGGTGTCTTAGGTACCTGAAGTTCCTGGACTTCCAGGTATCTAACTCTAGGCATCATCCTTTGCAGGGAGCTTTCACTGTTGTCATATTTTGGAAGTCCATATCCCACTTTTCCTACTTGTTCAAAACTACTTCTCAGGGGCTATCCCCATTTCACACTCTACTTTGCCTTGTTTCCAGATGAAATTCCTTTAGTACTTAAGCTGCGTGTCCTATTAGGCCATCATTTATACTTCATACTTTGAAAGCTTCTTCCTCTACTCCCTAAGTATGACTCAGCTTTGATTCTGGGCTTTGGATAACTGGCCTTCATTAGACAAAGTTTGCAGTATCCAACTTTAGCTTCTGATATCTGTCCCTTTATTCTGGAAACTAAAAACTGGCCCTAATTAGCAATGAATCTTACTAGTTTTTTACTAACTCTCCTCCATCTCTTAGTGATTAGTTTTGCTTATTCTCAATTTGTCACCTTTACAAGGTGAGGCATACTGGTAGATCCTAACCCTCCAGGTCTCTCCAGTTTGCTAAGAGCCAACCATGACAACCAGAATTCCTGTTACATCTAGTAGAGAGATCATTGCCAAGTTAATTTGGTGAGTCGTAGCAGACCCAACAAATTGTTGATCTAATAAAATATTAAGAGCTGTGTCAGAGATGAGTTCCAAGAGAACCCTAACAATACCAGTGATAGCATCCAGACAATAAAGACTGACATTTATTATGCAGTTAATTATGTACTTGACATTTCCCTAAGCATGTAAATCTCTATCTTATTTAACCTTACCAAAACTATGTGTGGTACATGCCATCATATTCTGTATTTCATATATGCAGAGATAAGAAAATGGTTCTGGGGGTGTGGTGGCCTAAACTAATAAAGAACCCTTCCTACCATTACTTAGAACTGTTAAACAAGATAAAATAAATTATATTGTAAATACCAAGGTGAGCTTGCAAAAAGGAATGGGAAACTTCTGGGCATTAAGAAGAAATAGGCCTTAACATTTAGGGATTTGGACTTTAAAACTCAAAAGAAACAAGAGACAAGTTAAAGATTTGAAACTGAGACCTGTATATAAACCAAGTCTCACAAAGGTCCCCACCATCAGTGAAAGGAGAACTAGAAAAAGTCTGCATATAGGTCCCCAGAAGGGAGCAAGGAAACATCTCTGCCTGAACTATTGAGTTGTGGAGCAGTGATTATCAGGGATGCCTGGTAGAAACAAATGAAAGAGCATTCTGAAAATCACTTCTATAAATAAGGCAACAAGAATTTCTTCTAAGAGAAGCAAAACCCTGATGAATTCTAAGACACACAAGGAAATAATGTGTCATAAGCAAGAGCCAGCAGATACTGTAACTGGGGGAAATTAGTACATCCAAGAATGTAGAAAACAGAATAATATGAAATAAGTTATTAAATAAATATTTTGAAAATATGTAAACACATGAATGAAGGAAGAGAAACATATGGAACATAATTACAATGAAAAAAGAGCAGGTGGATTTTAAAAAGGACCAGATAGAACAACCGAAAAAGAAAACCATAATCACTGAAAGGTTGAGTAACTTGCTTGAGGTCATTCAACTAGAAAGTGACAGAACTAGAGCTCTAAACTCAGCTTTGTCAGTCACATGCTGTATTTTCTGAACATCAAGACACACTAGCTTCCTACTGATCAAAATCTAGGCTGGGGGTAGTGGCTCACGCCTGTAATCCCACCACTTTGGGAGGCTGAGGTGGGAGACTACTCGAGCCCAGGATTTCAAGACCAGTCTGGGCAACATGGATCTCATCTCTACAAAACTTTAAAAAAATTAACCAGGCTTGGTGGCACATACCTGTGGTCCCAGCTACTCCAGAGGCTGAGGTGGGAGGAATGCTTGAGCCAGGAGGTCGAAGCTGCAGTGAGCTGTATTTGTACCACTGCACTCCAGCCTGGGCAACAGAGTGAGACCCTGTCTCAAAAAATAAAAATAAATAAATAAATAAATAAATAAATAAATAAATAATAAAATAAAACCTGAACTAATGAATTCCATAGGAAAACGTCACCCTTTTGATGTGGTGAAGTCTCTTTGGAGGGAGCATATCACTAAAAATCACATGTTGAGGTAAAATAAAATCCTTGCTTTTCTATGGGAAATTAACAAGTTATAACCAAAAACGTGTTGAAATTGGTAAGGTCAACAGAAAGATTTTTTGTGAATTATTAAGTGAACAGATCCATCAGTGGCTGTGACAATGAATGACACATGTCTTGTTTTTCAATTAAACTTCTGATCTATTTGTCATTTGTTTTGTATGGTTATTTGCATGACTGGAGTAGGAGTCTGGGTTGGAGATGGAACATTGAGACATGGAGGTGATGTTTAAGAAGAGAACTGAAGGTATTTACTGCTTTAAAAAATGGGGATCCTGCTCCAGTTAGCTCTCTTCTTTTCCTCCCTAACTATTCTACCATTTCTGACAAACAGGCAATTTATAGATGATTAGTGCAAACCAAACAATGATGGAGAATGAGAAAGCATTTGGTCAGGTTTATTGCTCTATGGTATTGTCAATAACCACATCACAGAAACACCATTACTTTGGACCAAATTCATGTCATGGAGCTAGATTTTTAATTTCAAACATTTTTATGAGGTTTGCTGTATTGGACATTTAGTAACTATATCATTTTCAAATAATATAGTTTCCAGTGCAAGGAACCACAAAGGTTGTTATTAATGACAAATTTGTTGTTTTGCCCTTCTCACAGATTAGCATTATTTTACAGGTACTTATCTCTTCGTTCACAGAATCTCCATGCATTTAATTCTACATGTTGTTCTTCCCACACTTTTCATTATGTTCCCTTATGGGTCTTCCATAATGTATTCAAAATGTTACTGAACACATAGAATAATAAAATGTGGGAATTATGTGGTTGATGCCGGGTAGTAAGATGTGATCAAATGAGTGTGCTGTATCTCTAAGTGTTTCCTAGTCAGGGCAGATTGTGTCTCCTCTCCTCCAAATATGATACAGCACTCAAAGAGGTCATTATTAAAACTGAATTATCTCAGTGCTGTGTGTGGAAACTTAGATTTTGAAAAAAGATAACTGAATTGTGACATGTGCAGATTAAAGACCCCTAGGGCCTTGAATAAACATCAGTGGTAGCCAGGCAATAGTTACCACAGCCCTTGGGCGAGACCCAGTACTGTGCTGGCTTCAGGTATGACCCAGCACAGACACAGCAGTGATGGCCACAGGAATGATTGTGTTACCCCTCCCCCGACTCCAGGAAGTTCAGCCCAGAGAGACTGTTTATTTAGGGGAAAGTAAGGGAAGTGAACAAGGGTCTCTGCCTGGTAATTAAGAGAATTTTCATGGGTTTTACCCAAGACCACTAAGGCAATATTTTTGCAAGCTTACAAGAGTCAGGGTGTTACTAGCTTTGGGGTGTGTCCTAATGCACATACGGCTGCAGTGACTAAAGACTTACGTTACAACATTCAATTCTCTGTGAATACTTCAAAAGCCTTCACAAGAAAGACAGGAGCAAATAAGCCCAGACTGCGAAGATTAGAGTAAATACCTAACTCTTCAATGCTCACACACTGAAGAACATCCACGAGCATCAAGACCATACAGGAAAACATGACCTCACCAAACAAACTAAACAAGGCACCAGTGACAAACCCCAGAGAGCCAGAAATATGTGACCTTTCACAGAGAGAATTCAAAATAGGTGTTTTGAGGAAGCTCAGTGAAATTCAAGATAACACAGAGAAGGAATTCAGAGTTCTAGCAGATAAATTTAACCAAGAGATTGGAATAACTTTAAAAAATGAAGCAGAAATTCTGAAGCTGAAAAATTCAGTTGACAAATAAGAATGCATCAACTGTTGAGGTCAGTCTTTCAACAGTGGGATTGATCAAGCGGAAGAGAGAATTACTGAACTTGAAGACAGGCTATTTGAAAATACAGTCAGAGGAGACAATAGAATAAAGAATAAAAAAGAATGAAGCATGCCTAGAGGATCAAGAAAATAGCCTCTAAAGGGCAATCTAAGAGATATTAGCCTTAAAGAGGAGGTAGAGAGAAATTAGAGTAGAAAGTTTATTAAAAGAAATAATAACAGGGGGCATTCTGAACCTAGAGAAAGACATCAATATTCAAGTACCTGAAGGTTGTAGAACACCAAGCAGATTTAACCCACATAGGATTATCTCAAGAAATTTAATAATTATACTCTGAAAGATCAAGGATAAAGAAAGGATTTTAGGCGGGGCGAGGTGGCTCATGCCTGTAATCCAACACTTTGGGGGGCCAAGATGAGTGGATCACCTGAAGTCAGGAGTTTGAGACCAGCCTGGCCAACATGGTGAAACCCCATTTCTACTACAAATACAAAAAACTAGCCAGGTATGGTGGCAGGTACCTATAATCCCAGCCACTTGGGAGGCTGAGGCAGGAGAATCACTTGAACCAGGGAGGCAGAGGTTGCAGTGAGCCAAGATTGTGCCACAGCACTCCAGCCTGAGCAAGAAGAGTGAAGCCCCATATCAAAAAAAAAAAGAAAAAGAAAAAAAAAAAAGAAAGAAAAAACAAGGATTTTAAAAGCAGCAAGAGAAAAGAAGCAAATAACATACCAAAAAACTCCAATAGTTGTGGCAGCACACTTCTCAGTGAAAACCTTACAGGCCAGGAGAGAGTGGCATGACATATTAAAAGTGCTGAAGGAAAAAAAAACTTTTATTCTAGGTTATTATATCCAGCAAAAATATGCTTCAAACATAAAGGAGAAATAAAGACTTTCTCAGACAAACAAAAGCTGAGGGATTTTCTCAATACCAGACCTATCCTACAAGAAAAGCTAAAGAGAGTTCTTCAATCTGAAAGAAAAAGACATTAGCAACTAATAAGAAATTATCTGAAGATACAACACTTACTGGTAACAGTAAGCCTTCAGGCAAATACAGAATATTATAACACTGTAATTGTGATGTGTAAACTGCTCATACCTTGAGTAGGAAGACTCAAATATGAACCTATAAAAATATAATAACTACAAAAACATTTAAATACATAGATAGTATAATAAGATGCAAAGAGAAACAACAAAAAGTTTAAAAATGGGAGGACAAAGGTAAAGTGTTTTCTCTTTGCTTGTTATTTTGTTTGTTTATGTAATCAAGGTTAAGTTGTCAACAGTTTAAAATAACGGGTTACAAGACATTTGCAAGCCTCATGATAACCTCAAATCAAAAAACATACAACAAATACCAAGCAAGAAATTAGAACATACCAACAGAGAAACTCACCTTCACCAAAAGGAAGATGGGAAAGAGCAAAAGAAGGAAGAAGAGAAGACCACAAAACAACCAAAATAACAAATAACAAAATGGCAACAGTAAGGCCTTACTTATCAATAATAACATTTAATATACATGGACTACACTCTCCAGTCACAAGATATAGAGTGGCTGAATGGATGAAAAAACAAAACTCAATGACCTGTTGCCAAAAGAAACACACTTCACCTATAAAAACATAATAGATTGAAAATAAAGGGATGGAAAAAGATATTCCATGCAAATGGAAACCAAAAAAGAGCAGAAGTCACTGTATTTATATAAGACAAAATAGATTTCAAGACAAAGACCATAAAAAGAGACAAGGTATTACAATAATGATAAAAGGGTTGATTCAGCCAGAGGATATAACAATTGTAAATATATATGCACCCAACACTGGAGCACCCAGATATATAAAGCAAATATTATTAGAGCTTAAGAGAGAGATGACACCCATACAATAATAGCTGAAGACCTCAACACCTCACTTTAACATTGGACAGATCATCCAGACAGAAAATCAACAAAGAATCATTGGACTTAATCTGCTCTATAGACCAAATGGACCTAATAGATATTTACAGAACATTTCATCCAATGGCTGCAGAATACACATTTTTCTCCTGAACATATGGATCATCCTCAAGGATAGACCATACTTTAAGTCACAAAACAAGCCTTAAAAAATTTTAAAAAGTGAAATTATATCAAATATTTTATACCACAATGAAATAAAACTAGAAGTCCATAACAATATTAATTTGGGAAACTATACAAACACATGGAAATTAAACAATATGCTTCCAAATGATCAGTGGGTCAGTGAAGAAATTAAGAAGGAAATTAAAAAATTTCTTGAAGGCTGGGCAACATACCGAGGCCTCACCTCTACTAAAATAAAATAAATTAGGTGGGCATGCTGGTTTGTTCCTGTAGTCCCAGCTACTTGGGAGGCTGGGGAGGGAGGATCACTTGAGCTCAGGAGAGTGAGACTGCAGTGAACCATGATCTTGCCACTCACTGCATTCCAGCATGGGCAAGATCCTGTCTCAAATTTTTTTTCCTTGAAAAAATGATAATGCTAATAGAGTATACAAAAACCTATGGGATACAGTGAAAGCAGTACTAAGAGGAAAGTTTATAGCTATAAGCACCCACATCAAAAAAGTAGAAAAATGTCAAATAAACAACCTCACTATGCATCTTAAAGAATGAAAAATGCAAGAGCAAACCAAACCCTAAAAGTAGAAGAAAAAAAAAATAAAGATCAGAGCAGAAATAAATGAAATTGAAATGAAGAAAACAATGGAAAATGTCGATGAAGTGAACAGTTGGTTTTTTGAAAAGATAAACAAAGTTGACAAACCTTTATCCAGACTGAGAAAAAGAGAGAGAAGACCCAAATACATACATTCAGAGAAGAAAAAGAAGATACTACAACTAATACCGCAGAAATTCAAAGAATCGTTAGAAGCTACTATGAACAGCTATATGCCAATGAAATGGAAAACCTAAAAGAAATGGATAAATTTCTAGACACACACAACCTACCAATATTGAACCATGAAGAAATCCAAAATCTGAACAAAACGGTAACAAGTAATGAGATTGAAGCTGTAATAAAAGTCTCCTAGCAAAGAAAAGTCCAGGATCCAGTGGCTTCACTGCTGAATTTTACCAAACATTTAAAGAAGAACTAATACCAATACTACTCAAACTATCCTAAAAATATAGAGGAGGAGGGAATATTTCCAAATTCACTTATGAGGCCATTGTTACTATGATACCAAAACCAAACACACAACCAAAAAAGGAAACCTACAAGCCAATATCTTTATGAACATTAATGCAAAAATCCTCAGCAAACTACTAGCAAACTGAATTCAACAACACATTAAAAAAGATCGTTCATCATGACCAAATGGGAATTATTCCAGGGATCCAAGGATGGTTCAACATATACAAATCAATCAATGCGATGCATCAAATCAACAGAATGAAGGACAAAAATCACATGATCATTTCAATTGATGCTGAAAAAGCATTTGATAAAATTCAGCATCTCTTCATGATAAAAACCCTCAAAAAGCTGGTTATAGAAGAACATACTTCAACACAATAAAAGCTATATATGACAGACCCACAACTAATATTATACTAATTGGGGAAAAAATTAAAAGCTTTTCCTCTAAAACCTGGAACAAGAAAAGGGTGCCTACTGTCACCATTGTTATTCAACACTGGAAGCCCTAACTAGAACAATCAGACAAGAAAAAGATATAAAGGGCATCCAAATTGGAAAGCAAGAAGTCAAATTATCCTTGTTTGTAGATGATATGATCTTAATATTTGGAAAAACCTAAAGACTCCACCAAAAACTATTAGAATTCATAAACAAATTTAGGAAAGTTGCAGGACACAAAATCAACATACAAAAATCAGTAGCATTTCTATATGCCAACAGCAAACATTCTGAAAAAGAAATCAAGAAAATAATCTCATTTATAATAGCTACAAATAAAATAAAATACCTAAGAATAAACTTAACCAAAGAAGTTAAAGATTTCTACAATAAAAACCATAAAACATGGACGTGAAGAGGACCCATAAAAATTGGAAAGATATTCCATATTCATGAATTGGAAGAATCAATATTATGAAAATGTCCATACTACCTAAAACAATCTACAGATTCAGTGCAATCCCTATCAAATTACCAATGATAGTCTTCATAAAAATAGAAAAAATCATTCTAAAATTTATATGGAACCACAAAAGACCCAGAATAGCCAAAGCCATCCTGAGCAAAAGGAAAAAAACTGGAGGAATCACATTACCTGGCTTCAAATTATATTACATAGCAACCCAAACAGCATAATACTGACATAGTAGCAGACATACAGACCAATACAACAGGATAGAGAAAAAAAAGAACCCAGAAATAAGTCCATTCATCTACACTGAACTCATTTTCAACAAAGGTACCAAGAACATACATTGGGGAAAAGACAGTCTCTTCAATAAATGGTGCTGGAAAAACTGGATATCCTTATGCAGAAGAATTAAACTAGACCCCTATTTCTCACCATATAAAAAATCAAATCAAAATGGATTAACGATTTAAATCTTTTTTTTTTTTTTGAGATGGAGTCTCTCTCTGTCGCCCAGGGTGGAGTGCAGTGGCGCGATCTCGGCTCACTGAAACTTCCACCTCTGGGTTCAAGTGATTCTCCTGCCTCAGCCTCCAGAGTAGCTGAATCACAGGTGCCCACCACCATGCCTGGCTAATTTTTTTTGTATTTTTAGTAGAGATGGTGTTTCACCATGTTGGCCAGGCTGGTCTCAAACTCCTGACCACAAATGATCCACCTGCCTTGGTCTCCCAAAGTGCTGGGATTACAGGCGTGAGCCACCGTGCCCGGCCTAAAGACTTAAATCTAAGACCTCAAACTATAAAGCCACTAAAAGAAAACATTGAGGAAAGTCTCCAGGACATTGGTCTGGGCAAAGATTTTTTGAGTAATACTCCCCAAATACAGGCAACTAAAGCACAATTGGGCAAGTGGGATCACATCAAGTTGAAAAGCTTCTGCACGGCAAAGGAAAGAATAAAGTGAAGAGAAAACACACAGAATAGGAAAAAAAATTTGCAAGCTACTCATCGTTCCAGGAATTAATAACGAGAATATATAAGGAGATTAAACAACTCTATAGGGAAAAAAATCTATTAATTCTGTTAAAAATAGACAAAACATCTAAATAGACATTTCTCAAAAGAAGACATACAAATGGCAAACAGGTATATAAAAAGGTGCTCAATATCTTTAATCATCAGAGAAATGAAAAACAAAACTACAATGAGATATCATTTCACCCCAGTTAAAGTGGTTTTTATCCAAAAGACAGGTAACAACGAATGCTGATGAGGTCGTGGAGAAAAAGGAACCCTCGTACACTGTTGGTAGGGGTGAAAATTAACATAGCCACTACGGAGAACAGTTTGGAGGTTCCTCAGAAAATTAAAAATAAAATACCATATGATCCAGCAATTTCACTACTACCTATATACACAGAAGAAAGCAAATATATTAAAGAGATATCTGCACTCCCACGTTTATTGAAGCACTATTCACAATAGCCAAGATTTGGAAGCAACCTAAGTGTCCATCAATAGATAAGCAGATAAAGAAAATGAGGCACATACACAATGGAGTACTATTCAGCCATAATAAAGAATAAGATCCTGTCATTTGCGGCAACATGAATAGAACTGGAGGACATTATGTTAAGTGAACGAATCCAGGCACAGAAAGACAAATTTTGCATGTTTCCATTGATTTGTGGGAGCTAAAAATTAAAACATTTGAACTCATGGAGATAGATTGATGGTTACCAGAGGCTGGGAAGGATAATGTGTATGGTGGGGGTAGTGGGGATGGTTAATGGGTACAAAAATATTGTTAGAATTAATAAGGTCTAGTATTTGATAGCACAAAAGAGTGACTAAAGTCCACAATAATTTATTGTACATTTTTAAATCACTAAAGGAGAGTATAATTGGAATGATTATAATACAAGGAAATGATAGATGATTGAGGGGATAAATGCCCCATTTATCCTGATGTGATTATTACATATTGTATGCCTATATCAAAATATCTCACATATCACATAAGTATATACACTTACTATGTACTCATGAAAATTGAAAATTAAAAAAAAATTTAAGTAAATGTGAGAAAAAAAATTACATGAATGTCTTCTTTTGAGAAGTGTCTGTTCATGTCGTTTACCCACTTTTTAATGGGGTTGTTTTTTTCTTGAAAATTTGTTTAAGTTCCTTGTAGATTCTGGATATTAGAACTTTGTGAGATGGATAGATTACAAAAATTTTCTCCCACTCTGTAGGTTGCCTGTTCATTCTGATGATAGTTTCTTTTGCTGTGCAGAAGCTCTTTAGTTTAATTAGATCCCATTTGTCAATGTTTGCTTTTGTTGCAATTGCTTTGGGTGATTTCATCATGAAATCTTTGCCCATTCTTATGTCCTGAACGGCATTCCTAGATTTTCTTCTAGGGTTTTCAGAAACAAAGCTCAACATCACTGATGATTAGAGAAATGCAAATCAAAACCACAATGAGATACTATCTCATGCCAGTCAGAATGGTGATTATTAAAAGTCAAGAAATAATAGATGCTGGCAAGGTTGTGGAGAAATGGGAACACTTACACACTGCTGGTGGGAGTGTAAATTAGTTCAATCATTGTGGAAGATGGTGTGGTGATTCCTCAGAGATCTAGAACCGGAAATACCATTTGACTCAACAGTCCCATTACTGGGTATATAACCAAAGGAATAGAAATCATTCTATTACAAAGATACATGCATGTGTATGTTCATTGCAGCACTATTCACAATTGCAGTGACATGAAATCAACCCAAATGCCCATCAATGATAGACTGGATAAAGAAAATATAGTACATATACACCTGGAATACTATGCAGCCATAAAAAAGAACAAGATCATGTCTTTGCAGGAACATGGATGGAGCTGGAAGTCATTATCCTCAGCAAACTAATTCAGGAACAGAAAACCAAACACCACATGTTCTTGCTTATATGTGGGAGATAAGCAATGATAACATATGGACACAAGGAAGGGAACAACAAACACTGGGGCCTCTCGGGGGGTGGGGTGGGGGGAGGGAGAGCATTAGGAAAAATAGCTAATGGATGCTGGGCTTAATACCTAGGTGATGGGTTGATAGGTGCAGCAAACCACCATGTCACACGTTTACCTATGTAACAATCCTGCACGTCCTGCACAGGTACCCCCAAACTTAAAATAAAAATTAAAATTACAAAAAAAAAAAAGAAAACCACGAAACTAGGATTTTAAATGATCTTATACAGCAAACGAAACCTGTGGTCTTGTGTTTTCTGCTTCTGTGTTTTCACAGTCTAATTTAGTTTTCCTTTTTGTGAAGCAACCAGATCCAGGAAAATTTAAGAACACTAACTAAAAGTGGGCCATCTATTTATCCAGGCTATGCTCAGCAATAGCGCTGAGCTGATCATGCACTCAAGCAGCTTTGGAAAAGGGTCTCTGCAGTTATGGTCACTCAACAAGAGAAAGCAGTTTGGTCATCCTTTCAGGCCGTAATTATATTCTAGTTCAGTGAGCAGTGGTAATTAATTGTACTTTGTGCCCAATGTTAAAGCAAACAAACAAACACAATGGGGAAGTGCAGTGTCGGGTAAATGGCCACAGCCATCCTTGGAATTTAAGCTAGTTTCTTTGAATGGTGGAAAGGAAGTTAATGTCTCACTTTCTCCCAGAATAGAACCAGGTTTTAATAGGCAGCAGACCTGTAACAGCACTTTCACCCCACCCCCAAGGGAGACTTCAAATTTGATAGCTTTTGATAACAAAACAGAAGCTTTACAAAAGAAAGCATTAGCATTGTTTATATTCTCTCAAAACATAAGTTATTTGTACAGATCTATACAAAGCTTCTCCTAGGTAAGCACTTTGGAAGAAAGGCAAATAAATGGAAATAGATGCAGATTTTTTTTTTAACTCTAAGGGAGAAGATTGTCAAAGGAGATTTAACCCACACAGTTCCATACTGATGTGGCTAGGAAAAAATGTACAAACCATTGAGGATACATTGAGTGTGGAATCATAGACTAAACGGCAGAAGAAACTATTTAATTTGTTTTTTGTTTTTTTGTTGTTGTTTTTTGAGACAGGGTCTGACTTTGTCACCCAGGCTGGAGTGCAGTGGCACAGTTACAGCTCACTGCAGCCACAACCTTCTGGGCTCAAGCAATCCTCTCACTTCAGCTTCCAGAGTAGCTGGGACTACAGGCGTGTACCACCATGGCTGGCTAATTTTTGTATTTTCTGTAGAGAAGGGGTTTCACCATGTTGCCCCAGGCTGATCTTGAACTCCTGGGCTTAAGCAAACCACCCACCTCAGCCTCCTAGAGAGCTGGGATTACAGGCATGAGTCACCGAGCCGGGCCAGAAACTAATTTATCTTTATTTCTTGATAGAGAAACTGAATTCAAGGAATGTATGAGAACCTGCCTAGGGTTAGTCAGTGGCAGAGTTAGGATCCGACCTTTAGCTTGTGAAATTGTGTCAACACTTTCGCTCTTTCTACAACATAATAATGCCTCACAGGAGGGAATGAGGAGTAATTGTTTTATACTCTATAAGTCCTAGAACAGAATTCAATAGCAGCTAATATTCTGTTCTCTTCAGGATTAAACTTTTTATTTCTTTCTTAATTCCAACATTTTCACGCAGCTAGTAGAAATAGGACTGCAAAGTCTTTTTGTTTTGTTCTTGTTGTTGTGTTGTTTAAAGTAGTCTAGACTGCAACCATTGGCATGTTACTGGCATGATTTTTGACACATCTGCATATCAACTCTACCATGTACTTTTTAAAAAAAGGTTATGTACATGTAAATTTTATTTAAAGAGGACGTATATTCACGCCTAAATAAATAAACCAAAATCATTTGGCATAAATGGAAAAAATCTTAGAAATGAACACAAAATAATGTTACTCTTGCCTACTAAAACCCCTCAGCATAAGGCCTGCCTTTCTTTGTTAAAAGATTAGCAAGTATGAGTAGAGCTGCTAACATAAGTTGGCACCAATCTGAGCCTTTTTTTTTTTTTTTTTCTTGAGACGGAGTTTTTGCTCTTGTTGCCCAGGCTCTCGGCTCACTGCAACCTCCACCTCCCAGGTTCAAGTGATTCTCCTGTCTTGGCCTCCCAAGTAGCTGGGATTACAGGCATGCGCCTCCACACCTGGCTAATTTTGTATTTTTAGTAGAGACGGGGTTTCTCCACATTGGTAAGGCTGTCGAACTCCCAACCTCAGGTGATCCGCCCACCTTGGCCTCCCAAAGTGCTGGGATTACAGGCGTGAGCCATCACACCCGCCCAATCTGACCCTTTTGTAGTAATCAGAAAGACTAAAACAATAATGAAAAGGGAATAAAATTCTTACTATGATTAACCGTTATGTAATATCAGGCTTGTGTAACACTTCAAATAATCTTTTTAATCAGTTTGGAGAAAACTACTGCAGTTAATGCATTTACCATCATTAACATCTAAAATCATCATCCTTTAGAATCCTGTTATTCTCCAAGAGAACTATAAAAGGCAATATAGCATAGTGGAGGCCCTAGGTATATTCAAATGTACAGCAGGTAAGCTCTCTAACTCGATTTGTTTGGATTCACATCCTGTCTTTACCACCTGATTACCTGTGTGACCATGGGCAACTCATTATTCTCTAACCCTCATTTTCTAAAATGGGGGTTGTTTTCAAGACTTAAAGGTCTAATTGCATATAAAAATTTACAATGTTGAATAAACATTAGTTTAGTTACTATTTTGTCACCATATTGTACACTGTTCTGAGTTTTAAGAAACTGTGTATGATGGGCATGGTGGCACGCGCCTGTAGTCCCAGCTGCTACTTGGGAGGCTGAGATGGGAGAATCGCTTGAGGCTGGAAGGTTGAGGCTGCAGTGAGCGGTGACTGTGTTGATGCACTCCAGCTGCTTGAGTGCATGATCAGCTCAGCGCTATTGCTGAGCATAGCCTGGATAAATAGATGGCCCACTTTTAGTTAGTGTTCTTAAATTTTCCTGGATCTGGTTGCTTCACAAAAAGGAAAACTAAATTAGACTGTGAAAACACAGAAGCAGAAAACACAAGACCACAGGTTTCGTTTGCTGTATAAGATCATTTATACAAGACTCTGTTTCAAAATAAAATAAAATAAAATAAAGAAACTGTGTATGAGCCTCCCATGATGGCAGGAAAAGTAAACTACCATTATTTAGAACAAAAACATTTTTAGGCAGCTGACTTTGTGTGAAGCTTAACTTTTCCTCCTCATTTTGGGAGACTCATGTGGCATAAGAGATGCATCCCACTTTGCCCTAGCTCACCTCCAAGCCAAAAATTTTCCGAAAGGGCGCACTAAGGAAAGGACAAATAGTTAAATGTTTGCAAAACAATTTGCCACCCACCCTCTTCTGAGTCACCTCTTCAAGTTGGCAACCTTTCAACCAGCTGATGGTGCCACCCAGTATCAGGGGCATGTATGGACTCCTTAAGGTGGTTTCCCAAGGCATGGTAGCAGCTGCTGGAGCTGGTGAGGGGGATAGGTCAAGTAAAATATCTGGTCACAAATTCTAGATTGTTTGGATACTGAAGTAGAAGACTGGCCAGCCGCAGTGGCTCGCGCCTGTAATCCCAGCACTCTGGAAGGCCAAAGCAAGTGGATCACTTGAGGCCAGGAGTTTGAGATCAGCCTGGACAATATGGTAAAACCCCATCTCCACAAAAATACAAAAATTAACCAGGTGTGGTGGTGTGCGTGCACACACACCGCCCCCCACCAAACAAACAATGTAGAAACTTAATAAAAAAAAGAAAGTACAGGACTGAGGGGAGAAGAGATAGAGGGAGTAGGCTAAGCACACATGACAGAAGAGAATATATGATTAAGCGGACAAAGTAAACCAAGGTAAATAAAAAAGAAAAGAAAGAAGACGATTCCATGGGACAGCACTCCAGCATAAAGTACAAGATACCCTAAAGGCATTTCTCAGTCAAACAAGACTACAAAAAGAAGACAGTGATTTAGGGAAGATGATAAAAAAATGGATGGCACCAAAGTGACAACAATTAAGAGGAAAAATGAGGAAGGTGTTTGGTTAAGAAACAAGGCTTTTATAGACATTTCTATTTATATTTTGTGTAAGTATGTGTTATATATACGTTATGTTCATATCAGTAGCTTTGAAAGCATACTTTTATGTTATCGACATGTCTGTGAAAAACAACAAGACTTAAAGATTTGATTTTCTTCCGTAAGCCACATTCCTTGACTCCAGTCAAGCCTCCCAGAGTAACAGACAATAAATACCAGTCTTTTCCAAGCCAGTCTAACTCTGAGGTGGTGGCTGTTTGGTTTCTATTAGAAACATTAAGAAAAATAAATTATTTTAGAATCATGGAAAAAGTACTTTCCAACAATCTTGGTGTCACAGATATAAAATTTCTGAATTTGGAAAATATTTAGTGAAAAATATTTATTATAACAGTTGAAATAATAAAAATCTATTGCTTTCTTGCCACTGAGCTTAAGCAAAGAAAAAAAAATCTATTGCTTTTCTCAATTGCTTAGAAAGCATAACTGAAAGTGGACACACTGAAAAGACTTGCAGTGGAGATCCTTCAACTTCAGCCTCTGGAGATTATAGTTACTTATCCCATAAATATATATATATACTATGTATCCACGAAAGTTAAAAATAAAAAAAATTAAAACAAAGATTACAGTTACTATGTAACAACCAGAGTGCTCTTTTTTTTTTTTTTTAAGGGATTGCCTCCCACTAAGGAGATAACAATAAATATTAACCAGTGTTGCAGTGAACTGGTTGGCCAAAGATAGCAGGTCTTTGTTCTTTGTTTTTTGTTTTTTGTTTTTTTGAGACGGAGTCTCACTCTGTGGCCCAGGCTGGAGTGCAGTGGCGCGATCTCAGCTCACTGCAAGCTCCACCTCCCAAGTTCACGCCATTCTCCTGCCTCAGCCTCCCGAGTAGCTAGGACTACAGGCGCCCGCCACCACGCCCAGCTAATTTTTTGTATTTTCAGTAGAGATGGGGTTTCACTGTGTTAGCCAGGATGGTCTTGATCTCCTGACCTCGTGATCTGCCTGCCTTGGCCTCCCAAAGTGCTGGGATTACAGGCGTGAGCCACCTTGCCCAGCCAAAGATAGCAGGTCTTAACATTGGTTGTGCATAGGAAACAACTGAGGTGCTTTAAAAAAAAAATTACTGACACCTGGCTCCCACTCCCAGAGATTTGGATTTTATTAGGTGAGATGCAGCCTGGGCATCAAGAGTTTTAAAAGCTCCCCAGATTTTTCTAATGTACAGCGAAATGTGAGAAACACTAAAACCCTCGCTACTGACCAGTATGGTCCATGGACCAGCGGCATTGTTATTACCTGAGAGCTTTTTACAGATGCAGAATGTCAGGCCTCACCTCGGGCTGATGAATTAGAATCTGGATTTTTCCAAGGTTCCCATGTGGTTTGGTTTATATGTACATTCATGTCTGAGAAGCATGGCTCTAAGGAATTCTTGTCACTGATCATTTTTTCTTTCTCTGATGTTAGATAGTAATTCCATAGTTAATAAAAGATGAAAGAAAAATAACTCAACTTTCATTCTCTAAAACGCAGGAGAAAAGACTTTCATCTGTGACATTCTGTAGCATGATAAAAGGTGATTGATGTGAGATGAGATCCAAATATGTAGGGTTGCCAGATAAAATATAGGCTAGTCAATTACATGTGAATTTCAGATAAGTGATTTTTTTTTTTATTTTTAGTGAAAGTATGTTCCAAATATTGCACAGGGCATATGTATACTAAAAAAGTATTCATTGTTGATTTGAAATACAAATTTAACTGGACATCCTGTATTTTTATCTGCTAAATTTGGCAACCCTACATATATTCCCAGGAGCCTCTCTTTGCTCTCTAGGCTCTCCTAGTTGAAAAAAAAAAAGGAAATGATACCATAAATGGCCAAGTGGCTGCCCCTAAGCTGTCTAGACTGATTGCCTGTAATGTTGTTTCTCATCTAGCCCAGACACAGGACTCTGACTTAGGGAAGCCAGGCTGGTGACTCATCTAAGTGGGAAATTTACTTGCTGACTCAGGAGGACATAGTTCTTGGCAAACTTTTGCCTTAGAATAAACCAAAAGGGAAAAAAATATATAAGCAAACGTTAAATACAGGAGAATGTATTAAAACACTTCAACTTAAGGCAACAGGCAAATTAATTGTATATTTTCTTTCAGTTGATTAAATGAGATTTTCGTGGTTTCCTCTTTTACCATAGCTTGTCCTAAAAAGTGATTTTTGATAAGAGCAAAAGGTTTTATTTAAATATGAAAATGGTAGAGAGAATAAAGATGGATTGAAGTCAGTTGGGTACAGAGTATAAAATTCAACGCTCACTTTAGGAGGAAAGACTGAGATAGCTGACTTGCCCATGGTGGCACTCAGGGTTTGGCATTTTTCTGAAGAATTAACTGCTATTTAAGTCCTCTCAGAGGCCACTTTCCAAGAATACATTTTAAATCAGTTTTCTCAATATTCCATGTAGCTTGTGTATACAGTAGCAAATTCTTGGAGCAGAGATGTAGGTGTGGCTTGGGTGGAAGCCCTCCCTTTGCAAGCCTGGTAGAAGAGGAAACTAAATTTACTTAGCCAATTCTGATTTTTTCATATTTGAAAAGGTTTTGATGGGAAAAACCTGAACAAAATAATTGTGGATATGTGCAATTCTGTTGTATTAATAATTTTTTTCTTAAATAAGTCCATAGTTGTTTTTGAGTAGGTCCAAAATGGAAGTTAGATACCAACTCTTTTTTTTTTTTTTTCTTTTGAGCTTCTGAATCTTTTCGACGGAGGTTGGACCCTTATATTTAATAACTATTAGCCATGATATTAACAATCCTGGTTTTAGGACTGGAAAGCAAAACAACCTGTTTCTAGCAAATACTGACAGAAATTTTCATTTCAAAGCAAAGCCCATAAAAAGCATATCCCAGAAGTTTCATAAACACAACAATCCCTGCAGACATGATGGAGAAGGGACTAAGTATTAAGAACTATGGTGTACAGGAAAAATAAATACAGCCACAAAATGCTTTGTGACTGAATCTATCAAGAAATGAAATCTATTTTTTCTCTGCTTTGAACTTGGTCTGGCCATCTCGCTTGCTCTGACCCAACAAAATGTGGCAGAAATGATGTTGTACAAGCAAGCCTAGGCCTCAGGAAAGCTTGCAGCTTCCACCTTTGCTGTCTTGGAGCATTGCCCTGAGAAGCTGCTTCAGCTGACTGGAGGATGAGAGGTCACAAGAAGAACTGAGATGCTCTGCTGCTAACAGCCAGCAGCATTGCCAAATACATGTATGAGGCTATTTTGGACCTTCCAGTCTAGCCGTGCCTTTACCAGAATGATGATGCTTGAGTGAGCCCAGGAGATGCCAAAAGAGAAACTGCTAGTGAACCCACACAGAATCATGATAAATAAGAAATCATTGTCTAAAGCTACTGGGGTTGTCGGGGGGAGGAGTTGATATGTAGCAATAGGTAACTAAAAAGATGGAATGCTCAAACTTCACTAAGTTTAGTTTCACTAAAACGCCCCAAAATAAATTCTAAAAAAAAAAAACTCAGGTCTCGTCTCCACCCCAGAAATCCTGATTTAGCTAGGCCTGGCAACCCACTTTTTATACAAAGACCCCAGATGGCAGTGGTCCTCAGACCACCTTTTGAGATACACCCCCTAGCAAGATTTTCTTCAGCACAGAGGAGGCTTGAGGTAGGTGGCCACATAGCTGTGCATTACTCCTGCAAATGATGCTGCTGGAGCAAGTGCACATTTGTATCATCGTCACCATACGCAGTGTCCCAGGTACCAACAGAGCATTTTTGTTTATATATATATCTTATTATAAAATGGAAATTGAAAAGATTATTTCTATTCTTCCTCACTTATCTAACATGGATTATTGGAGAGGGAGTTGATTGGGGAGCAAAATAGCACAGCCCTCTGCGGAAATGGGCTTGGTGGAGACTTTGACTGGAATTGATATGGGTTAAAGTCTTGATATTGGCTACATAGCAAAAATGCAGCTGAGTTGAGGCAGAAGTGGGATAAAAAGTGTGCAGATGTTTTTTGAGCATTATGAAAGGAAGGGAAAGGAGAATAGGGAAGGCAGATGCTCGGGGAGGTTTATTTGAGTGGAGAACCATATAAATTGTAGGTGAATATGCTGAAACCACTATAGAAAGATGAAAATGAATGTGTCTGAGGGAAATGACCAAGTCTTTTATTTATTTGTATGCCCTCATCATAGCTGCAGCATAATAGGTGTATCATAAAACAAAGGTGGTGTGAAGTGTTGAAAGCTGTAGTTTTCAGTTGTACTTGACGGTGGTCCTCTGGCAGCATCTGGGTTCTGCTTTTTCTTAGTCTTATATATGTGAATTCTGCTAGTGTGCCATTTGAAGGGTTCCACTGCTAAGAAACGTTTGAAAACCAATGAGTTAAAGCATGAAGGAAATGCTATTTAATTGAAGAGAAGGATTGATTATTAGACAAGTGATATTGACATTTCTGAGATGTCTGCTTTCCAGTGGTAGGTGAAAGATTCAAACTTAATCCTCCTGGGGTTCTCTTTTACCCTCAGGAGGTGAGGAGAACCCAAGAAAACTCTCAATAGTAGCCACTTCCCAAGGACTTTTAGGGAGATCAACTTGCATTTCTTTTGCTACAGTTAAAGTGAAAGAACTTGTGGTGAAAACACACATTTCTAGTATAGTAACAGAACTTCTACTCAGAATTTTTTTAAAAACTTATTTTTGAAATTTTAGTTGCTGAAATAAAGAGTAAGATGAAATCATAGATATGTACAGATAGTTGGCATAGGAGATCCCTTCTGACTCTTCTGAGCTTGAACTCACCAGAGAAATATTTTGAACCCTGATACTCACTAAATGAAGATTGTTTTCTCTTTCTCTTGGGAAAACGGTGAAATCAACTGTTATTTGTAGGTAAATCACACAAATATATGTATGTTTTTTGTCTAGAATAGAAATTATACATACTGTAGTAAGGGAAAATATATAACATTTCATAATTACCATGAGAATCCTTTTTGTTTATAAATTATGCCTACTTGTAATTTAATGTATCTGTATTCCTCAGGATTGACTAGGCGGTATTATAGTATCAAATTAACACAGAGATCTTGGCAGCTTAATGCAATAAAAGCTGTATTTCACCCTATTGCATGTGAGACACATTTAGTAAAAATATGTAATGCAAACATCAGGCATTTAATTTCATTCCATATACCCAGGCAGCATGAGTATAAAATAATACAAATGATGCTTTCTAGCAAATGAAATTTCTCTAAAAATAATGGTAAGTTTTGTTGTCAAGGCGAAAATAAATTGTTTCCAAATACAGTACCAACCAAGGTGTAGCAAGGTTAAGAAACAGTTTTCAAATCATCACAACCACAGAAGTGGGGTTAACTGAGGAAATGGCTTGTTAGTTGACATAGTTCCCACAATATCTAAAGATAAATGTATAATTTATGATACAGACAAAAAGTTTTAAGCCAACATTGCATTTTGACCACAAAAATATTATGCCAATGATTATATAATTTTCATAGTTGGTTTAAAACTAACAAAAATAGATTTAATTAACAGTAGGAAGGCCTAGGGGAATATTTTTCAAGTTTCATAATCGGGATAACTGATTAATATTGAAATAAAAAATTCAGGGCACATGAGGGAATTCTTTTTCTCCTATATAAGTACCAAGAGTTATATGTGGAAAACTCCTTGAGAACAAGACATGTTACTTATAAGTCTGTATTAGCCAAATATTATATTTGTATGCCTAGTTACATCTCTATCTTTGTGGAACTGCCCTTCCTCCATCTTAAGTAATAACAACATTCATCAACCACAGTGCTGTGCCACATTATTCCCATAGGAGTTTATCACCTGACCTGTGGCCAACCATAATATCTCACTCTCTGAATACAGTGATTGGTTCAGGGGTGAGCAATTATTATAAACACAGTCAATATAAATCATTGCCTTGAGTTGAGATACTTATTTGAGAAGAGGGTAGCTTTATCATCTATGGATTGCTAAAGTAGGACCTATAACTGTTTTCTCTGGTCAACTGTACAGCCTGATGCAGTTGGAGAGGGTAAGGCCAACATAAAGTAGAAAGCAGAGCTGGAAAAAGAATTGTGTTGTGTTTGAAGACAGAACCAACACTGCACTTCTGGGTTATGTGAATCAATCCATTCTCTTTTTCACTTTAGCTAATATGAATTGGGATATTATCACTTGTAACTGAAAGAGTCCTGACAAATACTTCATTTCATTCCCTTTTTTTTTTTTTAAGAGAGAGGGTCTCACTCTGTTGCCCAGGCTAGAGTGCAGTGACATGATCGTAGCTCACTGCATCTTCAAACTCTTGGGCTCCTGCTTAAGTCTCCTGAGTGGCTAGGACTACAGGCATGTGCCACCACTCCTGACTAACATTTTTTATTTTTTGTAGAGACTGAGTCTCGCTGTGTTGCCCAGGCTGGTCTTCAGCTCCTGGCCTCTAGCAGTCCACCTGCCTCAGCCTCTTCATTCTTGAAAGTGCTGTAGCATCTACCACAATATGCCATAGCATCTTGTATGTAGCCCTGAGTCAGTAAAAGTTTTATAATTCAATAAGCATTGATAAATCTATCTTCTGGCATCCTCAAAAGGTATTGTTGGTGATCAAGGCATAATTTTGTCAAAATAATTATTATCTACTTGCTTCTCTAACTCAATTACAACAGGAAAAAATTTTCTATCTCTCTCTCTTTTTTTTTTCTTTTTGGTTAAAAGTTCCACTTCCTATATGTAACACTGGATTTTCAAAGTATTGGCTGAATTCTTAACTAATGTACCCATGTGAAATACCATTTAAAAATACATATATGCATCAAGTTATGTTCAATAACTTTTTTACCTATGCATTTTTCATTTTTATATGACTTACTTTTCAAAAGTTTGTTATGCCATTTTTGGTAGTCAAGAAAGATTTCCTATTGGAGATAATATGTAAGTAAGTATAAGATTCTCAGACATGTTTATAAAATCTTTTTAACTCATATTGTTTACAGTGATAATATAATAGAAAGATAAATGCCTTTCAAGAGACCTGTATACTAATCCCAGTAACACCTTTTATTGATTTTATGACAATGGCCAAGTCCTCTCTGAGGCATCTTTTTCTCATAACAATATATACTTACATAGCATATATAGTTATATGAAAAAGAGAAAATTTTATTTCAAACTCTGGAGCCAGAATCCTTTTTAGAATAAGAACATTTTAAACTTAAGTTTTTCATTCAAAATTTTGAGTCTTGCAATGTAAGTTCCAAACATGGTCTGAAAAAAAAAGGCCAAAACAAAGAGAAGTCTTAGTTGCTCAGTATGAAATCTGAGAAAGATGTAGACATGACATTGGCCCAGAAGGAAGACACAGGGGCCTAGGAATGAGGACATCAAAGAAAAGAAGGTCTGGTGGCAAGGAGTGCACACAACACAATGACAGGCCAGGAGGCTGAGAAGGAGATACAGTCAACGCAATGTTCCCATGGTAGGAATGGCTGAGGGCTGTAAATATGTCTACTATTCAACCGTAAGTGGTTAGCTGGCCTCCGCTGCATTACTCTGAAATATTACCCTCCACCATCACCATCAGACTTTCTACAGAATTCTGTTACATGCAACCACCATGCATTCAGGTTCCTTTGTGGAATAAATGTAAAAGGGGCCATATTCCATTTTTTCAGTTTGGATGAAGTATGTGCAAGGTTGAGTAAATAAACCGGATGCAGAAGGTGAGGTGCCAGTGAGATTGGGAACTTAATTTTGGCTTAAGCCCCTTTGAGAATTCTTGGAACACTGGCAAGAATCCTGGCAATAGTGGGAATTATGTACAGCCCACACGCAATCTCAGATGTGCAAGTAACATCACATTATTTACACTAAAATCAATTTGATCTGACTCAGTATCCTTATTATTCCTGCATGACCCCATACATTTCTGTGGGTTTGCTCCTTCCAAGCAGAGAAATATCTGCTCAATCTGGAAGCCCCTGCATTTAGGGTTTTGTGTCCATAGCCTGCTACCTTGCTATCACATTTGACAATGAGACATGTGTCCCAGAGGAGAAGAGATATTGAAGGCAGTGAAAGAGAAAAGCAAGGTCAAAAATGTTGATGCCAGAGCAGCTTCTTTTTTTTTCCACTGCACTTGGCACACTAATTCTATGATGATTAAATTAATGAATAAATGAATTCCTAATATTAAAAACAGAAAAATTTGGTTCAGAGTGGAGCAGTAACGGAGAAAAAGTTTCACCATTTATTTTTGCAGCTATGGCAATACAAAGTTGGAAGAGACTTTAGAATCTATCAAATCTGATTCTTTAACCTCGGTATCAATACCATCTATAACTATGCTGTCCAATTTGGAAGCCATTAGATACATGTGACAATGAAAAATATTTTTAAGTTGAAATTTAATTTTTCCATCATACTAGTCACATTTCAAGAGCTCAAGAGCCACATATGGGTAATGCAAGTGTTCAGACAATATAAATATCGAACATTTTCATCATTGAAGAAAGTTATAGTAGACAACACATATTTATTACATCCCTATCAAATGATCATCTAGCCTTAGTTTTCATTCTTCTTAATAAATGTCCTTTACTACTGCATTTCAGGTCAGCCATATTGTTAGGTTGTCCTTGAAGTTTCTTCCATATATTTATCCTTGATATTTTAGACATGTGAACAAGATTTATTCTGTATAGAGAGTACTTCATTAAAGTAACTGTTTAGAAATTTTCTTAATAATAAAGATAGTCTAAACTGAAATAGTTAGAACAACTAGACAGAATAAAAAAGTTTTTTAAGGACTCTCTTATAACCAAAGAATAGAATTAATTCATGTAACCATCTCCATACTAGTAATTTAGTCAAAACTCAGAAGAAAAGAAATCCAACTGTAGAATGGTTTATGCTTCACAAAATGCTGAAATGCATAAAACCTTTAATTTTTTGTCTCTATGTGCTAAATCTAATGCTATTATGCAATTAAGAGTTCTGTATCTAACATCTTAGTGAACATCATCATTTTCTATTAAACCCAAATATATCCATAAAGACTGAAAGGTGAAAATCTTTAGTCTTCAAGTTTTAGAGGAAGTAAAGGTGGAGATTTTAGAAAACCTCCCAGAAGGAACAAAATTAGTGATGGCACCAGACCATCTGAAAATTAGAGTATTGCTCACAATGACTTAATTCATACTTGTTTTATTAATGTCAACAATTGGAGGAGCTTCCATGGAGCATATAAACTTTTAAAGACCCAAAACAGTGAACTGACTCATCTTTCTGTACATAATAATAACCTTGTATCATCAAGAAAACTACCTGACAATGTTTCTCTTTTAGCTACTCTTCTCTTTTAGAGTGGTCAGTATATTTAGCATAATTTCTATCCAAATAGGTTAAGAATAAAAATTTTTGGCACTCAAAATTTAAATCTCTGTTTGAGGAATTAAGGTGAGTATATCAGCTAAGATTAGGTTAGTCAAGGTATAACCGAAAATCCAAGTCATAACAGCTTAACAAAGATAAAGGTATATTTTTCTACTGCATAATACAGGTTTACAGTTCAAAACTGTTATGATGGGTCCATGGTTATGAGAAACACAAACTTTCTGTTCTATAATTCTTAGTTCATGACCTATATTACCAAGTATAGCTTCATGTCCACAATGTGGCTTCTGCAGTTCTGACTATCACATCCATGTCTTAGGCAGCAGTTATACAGAAATTGAAGAACAAAAAAGGTTCCTTGTGATAGTTAAGATAGCCCCCACAAAAGAACTTTCCTACAAGCTCCACCTGACAACTTCTACTGACATATCTTGTCCATCTGTAGGAAGCTGGAAATGGTTTCTTTTTTTCCAGCTAGACCACTGTTGCCACCACACAATATAGGGGTTTTATTACCAAACAAGAAGCAGGCAATGAATATTGGATAGCTAGCTAGCAGTCTCTGTCTGAATAAATGAATTATCCTTTCTTTGTGCTAAACTTACATTGTTGCACAGGCCATACTGTATATACTTACTTATACTGAAAACAGAATTGTGTAGCAATAGAGAGCATAGGATGTAATTAGGGTGATCCTATGTTCCAATTTGCCCTGGAGAGTTCCAGTATATAGCTGTTGTATCAATATAGTTATTATTAGTGTTTCTATTACTCTCTAAAGTGTCTCAGTTCGACAATAAATTGCATGGTCACCTTTGCTATTATAAACTGGCTAGAACATCTCTAATACTTCCTAGCTCTGTGACCTTAGCAAATTACTAACTTTTATAAACTCATTGTATTAGTTATCTATTGCTGAATAACAAATTTTAAACCCCAAACATATTGGCTCAAAACAACAAACATTATCTCAGTTTCCATGGGTCAGTAATTAAAGAGCTACTTAGATGGATGGTCCTGGCTCAGGGTCTCACTTGAGATTGAGGCTGGCAGGAGCTGCTATCATCTAAGGGCCTAATTGGGAGGCAGGATCCACTCTGAAAATTGTTCGCTCACATGGTGGTTGGGAAGAGGCCTCAGGTCCTCACCATGTGGGTTTCTCTATAAGGCAGCTTGTGTGTCCTCATAACATGGCAGCTGGCTTCCCCTCCAAGAGAGAACAAAAGGAAGCTTCAGTGTCTTTTATGCCCTAGTCAACAAAGTCCCACAGTCACTTTCTCTTTATTCTATTCACTAAAAGCAGTTTACTAAGTCCAGCTCACACTCCAGGGGTGACTATAGGCACATGGCAACATGCCTGGGTAATTTTTTTATTTTTTGTAGAGATGGGGATTTGCCATATTGACCAGGCTGGTCTCAAACTCCTTGGCTCAAGCAATCTGCCCACCTTGGCCTCCCAAAGGGCTGGATTACAGGTGTGAGCCAACACACCCGGTCATGATTTCTATTTTGGTGCTTTGAATCTCAGTTTTATATATCTTCTATCATAGATTGTATCAACTCTGAAAGATAAGTTTGAAAAAGGAGTCTTATGGAAATAGGACCACAAGGAAGGTGCTCAATAAATGTATAACTCCAGGTGGAAATACGACTGGATATTTAAAATGTAAGTTTGACTCTAGTAGAAACAATAAGTTTTAATATATATTTATGACATATATATGTATATGTATACATATATGTATACAGAGATAGCAAGAGAGAGACAGAGTATTGCTCTATTGCCTAGGCTGGAGTGCAGTGATGTGATCACAGTTCACTGTAACCTCAAGCTTCTGGGCTCAAGTGATCCTCCTGCCTCAGCCTCCCAAGTTTGTAGAAATGGGGTCTCGTTATGTTGCCCTGGCTGGTCTCAAACATTTGGCCTCATGCCATCCTCTTGTCATGGCTTCCTAGAGTGTTGTGATTACATGCATGATCTTCCTTGCTTGGCCAATGTATGTTTTCTTAATCTACTCATTAACTTTCTCTTCACACTTGAATTTATATAGTGATGTCACTGAGCTCTTGCTATGCTGCCCAGGCTGGTCTCAATCTCCTGGGCTCAGGTGATCCCCCCACTTCAACCTTGCAAAGAACTGGAAATATGTTAGTTATTATTAAGTCTCTGGACAATGGAATTAATTTCTAAGGTCCTGTAAGCTCCGAGAATACAAAGACAGTAAGGTATGGTTCCCAATGAGTCTTCCTAGGAGACATGGGTTTTTGCTATGCTGCCCAGGCTGGTCCCAGTCTCCTGGGCTCAGGTGATTCTCCCACTTCAGCCTTGCAAAACAGTGGGGATATGTTAGTTATTATTAAGTTCGTGGACAATGGAATTAATTCCTAAGGTCTGTAAGCTCTGAGGATACAAAGACAATAAGGTGTAGTTCCTAAGAGAAGTCTTTCTTGGAGACAGGCTGACGCCTAATACAAGCAATGAAAGAAGAATAGGAAACAGCCACTTTAAGGACATTGTGTATGTTTGTATATAACAGAAGGATGGAGGCTTGTGGAAAATGGTTACAGGCAGAACTAATGTTGCCCAGGAAGATGGAGCCCTTTGAGCAAAGATAGCACTCTGGAGAAAAGTTAAGTTATTTAATATGGCTAAAGCTCCTTTGTGAGGTGGGAAGTGTTAAGAAATGAGAGTTGAGAGCATGACAATGCATAAGATCACCCTGAGGAGAACTGCAGTGATTCAAGAACAGAGACTTAGGGAATCCTAGCATTGAAGGGGTAGTTTAGGAAACATGGCCCAGAAAGGTAACAAGTTTACTGCCTGCCTTCTCTTCTTTCCCATTCACCCAAAGAGCAGAAGTGCTGGCCAGAATCTTTTCTGATACAGATCAGATAGGAAAGGGCAGCACTGGGAGTGGAAGTGGTTATGGGGGTGAAGAGAGAACAAGTCAGTCTCCCTAATAAACAGCCAAGAGAGGAGTGACAGGAGTGAGTTAGACAAGCAAACAGCAACAAAAATTCCAGGGCAGGGTTTAGTGGGTTAAAGTCTCCAGAGAAATTGAGAGTAGAAGAAGCAGATTTCTGAAGTTCCCATGGGTTATTAACTGAATCTCCTTTGAGGTTCTTTGAGAGAGATAAAATTTGAAATTCCTCTTAAATTATGGACTAAGTTCCTTTGTTTGCAGAGACAGAGCTGCGTGAAGCCCTGGTTTGATTATGGTTATTGAAGGACCTGTTGGACAGACACTAGGGGAACTAAGAGAGTGAAATAATAGTCATAAAAATTTACGGCAGGAGAATTGCTTGAACCCAGGACGCGGAGGTTGCAGTGAGCTGACATGGCGCCACTGCACTCCAGCCTGGTGACAGAGTGACACTTTGTTTCAAAAAAAAAAATTTATTATTGCTACCATGCTAAACTATTAGTCTTAAAAGTATTAATGGCAACAAGAACTGTTCAATTCTAAGAGATAGACATAGTATTACTCCCCTTTCCCTTTCATAGATAAGAAAACTGAGGCACAGATTGGTTGGATTGATTTCCCCAGGGTCATACAACTAGTAGTTGGCAAAGCCAGGAATGGAACCCAGGTGCTTTATTTTACAGAAACCACTGGAATCAAGATTTTTACTAAAGTATAGGGTAGTAGAGGATAAAATTCAAAGTACAAATTCTTTTTACTATCTAATATTTTATTTTCTAAGAAAAGGATTATATTCAATGAATACTTAATGTATACACAGAAGTTCTCCTTTTAAGTTGGAAAACTGTTATAATGTAGTTCAAAGAGTAGTGTCATGGGGGTAGGGGAGGGGCACCACCATTCTTTCGTAGACTAAAACATTCTTTTCTCTGTCCCATGCACATAGTACCAGGTGCAATGTGGATTTTGAATCAGCACTAGCTGAATTGACATGTTCTACAATACAATTTGCAAGGCACTGTGTGAGTGGCTGCTCGAGCATGGTCACACAAAGAGATGCCTGCATTTATAACCCCAAGTTTCTAAAGCCACTGGGTTAGTCTGCTTCATAGTTTCCTAATTGAAATGTATGTTTGCTTTTTTTTGTTGTTAGACAGTCTCGCTCTGTCACCCAGGCTGGAGCACAGTGGCCCACAATACCACAATATCTCGGCTCACTGTAGCCTCTGCCTTCCGGGTTCAAGCAATTCTCCTGCCTCAGTCTCCTGAGTAGCTGAGATTACAGGCACACACCACCATGCCTGGCTACTGTTTTTTCTTTTTTGAGATGGAGTCTCATTCTGTCATCCAGGCTGAAGTGCAGTGGCACGATCTTGGCTCACTGAAACCTCTGCTTCCCAGGTTCAAGTGATTCTCCTGCCTCAGCCTCCCAAGTAGCTGGGATTACAGGTGCCTGCCACTGCACCCAGCTAATTTTTGTATTTTTAGTAGAGATAGGCTTTCACCATCTTGGCCAGGCTGGTCTTGAACTCCTGACATCGTGATCCACCCACTTTGGACTCCCAAAGTGCTGGGATTACAGGTGTGAGTGAGCCACTGCGCCCGGCCAATTTTTGTATTTTTAGTAGAGACGGGGTTTCACTGTGTTGGCCAGGCTGGTCTTGAACTCCTGACCTCAGGTGATCCACCCACCTCGGCCTCCCAAAATGCTGGGATTACAGGCATGAGCCACAGTGCCTGGACTATTTGCTTTTTTAAAAAAAACAAATTCCTTGATTTTCAAGACTGCTCATTCAAAATAAACTCATAAAGAATGGCTCAACAGTAAGTGCTTTCAGTAAGTTGTAGCCCTATTTGGGGGTGTGTTGTTCACCCAAGTTTTGGTGGGTGTACATGTGTTGTCATTTCGTGGGCTTCTTCTTTTCCCTGGTCCTCTCACATTTCTTCACTCCACCTTGGTCTGTCGGACCCCTGTCCTGCGATCAGAAGTTGAGGAGTGGGAGACTTACTGGATCTAGCCAGAGTTTAAACTCTTCTGTCTTCCTTACCTGGATGGATTTCCAGGTAGACTGGTTGTCATGTTTTTAAGATATAAAAGACCCTTTGGGTTTATGCATACATATCAATAGCCTCTTTGGTGTATTAGGAAAGAAGGTGAGAAATAAGCTGTATTTGCATTTATGTGTAAGGATTTGTGTAGGATTTCTTCTCTCAATCAGTAATTTCTTTCAGGCAGATGCTAGACCATGCCTTGTAAAACATGCCAAAGGTTTTGCTGCATATCTTTTAGTCAAATTTAAAAATGGAAATATTTAATGCATTTTTTTTTTGAGATGGAGTCTCACTCTGTGGCCCAGGCTGGAGTGCAGTGGCACCATCTCAGCTTACTGCAGCCTCCGCCTTCCGGGTTCAAGCAATTCTCCTGCCTCAGCCTCCTGAGTAGCTGGGACTGCAGGCGCATGCCGCCACGCCCGGCTAATTTTTTGTATTTTAGTAGAGACGGGATTTCACTGTGTTGCCCAGGCTGGTCTCGAACTCCCGAGCTCAGGCAATTTGCCGGCCTCAGCCTCCCAAAGTGCTAGGACTACAGGCATGAGCCACCTCGCCCGGCCTTTTTTTTTTTTAAACACAGGGTCTTGTTCTGTCACTCAGGCTGGAGTGCAGTGGCAGGCTCATGACTTATCATAACCTGGAACTCCTGAGCCTAAGCGATCTATCTACCTGCCTTAGCCTCCGGCATAGCTGGGACTACAGGCATGCACCACACTCCCAGCTAATTTTTAAATTTTTGTAGAGATGAGGTCTCCCTATGTTCCCCTGGAACTCCCGGTCTCAAGCAATCCTCCTGCCTCAGTCTCCCAAAGTGCTGAGATTGCCAGCATGAGCACCTGGACCTGGTCCAATAAATATTACAAATTCGAATTAGGCATTTCACTTTCATTTATATACATATCCTTTCACAGGATTATTTGATAGTTATTAATGTATATTATGATTGAGTTTTAATAGTTACTTTGGGAAAACAGAAATTACTGTTCCAGTACTTACTTGTAAGTTGTAAGTCCACACAATGCACTTAAACTTCACCTTGTTCAACAGATTCTGTAGCACATGAAACACTTGAAATATGGAAGAGTCACTTCTCTGGGCACTTTGCTCATTTCGTCTGCTATTCATTCACTGATTGGACATTTTATTGATCGACTACTATCTGCTTGGCAAGGTGCTAGAAATAAGAACACTAAGAAAAAGGTCAAGGTTCCTGTCCTCAAGGCCCTCTCTCTCAGTCCAGTGTTGTCAAGGCTTGATGAAACACACCAGTGGCAAACAAGCACGCGGGGCCTTATTTCACCGGTGTGCGGTCCTTCTTCCAGCTCTGAAATTATGTCTATCCAAACATCCTAAATCAACAAATCAGTGTTTCTAAATCATACAACCGCAGCTAACAAACTGGGAATAAGGCTTCGATTATTCTGACTTGATTTAAAACGATCACTGCCAATTCTTTGCCCTGCGAATCCTTTCTTTGACTACTAAGTTAAGCTTTACATACCTCACTTGCAAGAGGCTATGCTGGCTTTCTGGAAATCCGTAATTAAGTTCAGTGTTTGTGGAATGGAGTGTAATTAACGACCATTAATTAACAGGGTTTCGTTCGTGAGAGCCTGCCAGGCTAAGCAGCAGAAACACGAGAAACTGATAAAAAGCTTTCCTCATTTTTAAACAACAGTCGCACGGAAGTTCCCGGCGGGACAAGGGAACGTGGGTGCCCTTGCTACTCCCGTGGACGCGGGTAGATTGGGACGCTGGACCGTATCTCCCCGCCCCCGCCCCCACGCCTCCTCAGGTGCTCAGCCTGAGGCCTTCGTCCAGGAGCGCTGCCGCTGACCCAGGCTCAGGAGCTGGGGGCCCCTGCACAGACGCCCAGGTCTCGGGACAGGCGGCGACTGCACTCACGGAAGTACGCTGAGCTCTCCCCTGTAGAAGGGCGCCTCTCCTCCCCCACTTCCTCCTCCAGCTCCACAGCAGCCTCCCGGGCCGGCTCCTCCTCCTTCCAGGTCTCCTCCCAGTGCCGCCGCGGCTCTCAGGCCTGAGGTGCGGCGCTCACCCCGGCAGTCCCCAGCCTCAGACGCTGCGTGGAGCGGCGGAGCCGGAGGGAAGCAAAGGACCGTCTGCGCTGCTGTCCCCGCCCCGCGCGCTCTGCGCCCCTCGTCCCTGGCGGTCGCTCCGAAGCTCAGCCCTCTTGCCTGCCCCGGAGCTGTCCCGGGCTAGCCGAGAAGAGAGCGGCCGGCAAGTTTGGGCGCGCGCAGGCGGCGGGCCGCGGGCACTGGGCGCCTCGCTGGGGCGGGGGGAGGTGGCTACCGCTCCCGGCTTGGCGTCCCGCGCGCACTTCGGCGATGGCTTTTCCGCCGCGGCGACGGCTGCGCCTCGGTCCCCGCGGCCTCCCGCTTCTTCTCTCGGGACTCCTGCTACCTCTGTGCCGCGCCTTCAACCTAGACGTGGACAGTCCTGCCGAGTACTCTGGCCCCGAGGGAAGTTACTTCGGCTTCGCCGTGGATTTCTTCGTGCCCAGCGCGTCTTCGTAAGTGGCCGCACTTGGAACTGGAGCCGGCCCCCTCCCCCACCGCGCGCACCCACCCAGCGTTTCTCCATTGGGATTGATTTCCGAGAGATCCCGGCGTCTGTCTGTCTCACCCATCCTACCTCTCAGAGTGGTTTATATCCTGGGTGGAGGAAATATTTGGGGAAATGAACTCCCTTTGGTACCCATCACCCAGTTACACCCCGCTTCTCACCTCTTAAAATTGGTTAGGGGCAGCGGGAGAGCTTTGAAGCAGACCTGTGCTTAAAAATCGGGGAAAGTGGGAAATCAACAAAGGCTGGTCTTGCCGGACTCCCCGCCTCCTGTGCCAGTGTCGAGGATTTGGTCAATATCATCCCCGAACTTCTTTTTCTCCTCTACCAGTTAGGCTTCTTGGTAGCCTTTTTCTGCTTTACAGGCTTAACGCCCGTCCTTTTCAGTCTCCCTAAACAAGCCCTCCCCCACTCTTTCCGCCTCTGTCTGATTCTGTTTCTCCTTACTCCTTTTGCAGACATTCTGATGACTTAAAATGACCATACTGTCCTATTGAATTCATTGTGTCTTATCTCTGGGACTGTCAGACATTTGCACATTTGAGGTTGAACAGATGAATTGAATGTGTCATCTGTTCTTTTTATAGTGATTCACTATTTAGGTCATTGTTCAGAAGGAACAAGGGTGTTTGCTGAGTTTTCACTCGCTGCAGGTCATTTGAATACTGCAGTATTTAATAATTCAGTTATGTTTTCAAGTTGCCAACGTTCCGCGTTGCAAGGGCCGTCAGGATTTATAACAGTTATTGCCATTATTGTGTTAGAAATTGTCTCCGACTTTACTGAATGCTGACATCATTCTCACCACCCCACCCCCATGTTAGCGTTAGGAGTACTGTTTTAATGAATGTTGACTGTTTTTTTAATGATGTTTAAATCTTGTTTTCAAGAGAGAAACTGTTCTTAGGGTGCCTTCTAAACGCTTAGACCTTGTAACAACATATTTTTGTTTCCATATTTTCTGTATAAGATATCCCTTCGGGGTGAAGTGGAGGAAAATTTTGACGGTTAGTACGTGGATAGGACCATCTTCTACTACACACATGCCTAATTTGAGGGTGGTCTCAATGGTTTTCTATGACTGTTAGGACACTCAGCAGAATTTAGTCTTAGTGTTTTTCTGAATGTTACTGAGTATCATTCATTTTGGTAACAACCTTTGCAGCAATACATAGATTAGATGCAGTTAATGGAAACTTTGTTAGTGGAGACATTATTTTATGTAGCAAGCTTAGTTTTATTTGTTGTTAGCAGTTACAGTGCTTTCTGTGAGACCTGGAGCACAGATTTTCCAACATGATAAAAATAATCATTATTTAGGCAACATTTACCAATTTCACATTCCATTTAGTCATTTTAGTCAGCATTATCTTTTTATTTATTGTTTTTAACCACAGGGGTGAATACCAAACGTTATCTTTAAACATTTTTGTTTCCAGATACTTTCAAGTGTATACCTTCATGAGACAGAACATTTTAGTTGCTCCCAAGGGTTCAATGTGAGATATAATTTGTAGAGAAATTCTAATGATTTTGAAAATATATGTCTTCAGTCAAAAATTAGCATTTAAATACTTCAGGCCAGGCACAGTGGCTCACACCTGTAATCCCAGCACCTTGGGAGGCCAAGATGGGCAGATTGTCTGAGCTCAGGAATTTGAGACCAACCTGGGCAACATGGTGAAACCCTGTCACTACAAAAAAATACAAAAATTAACCGGGCATGGTGGTGCACACCTGTAATCCTCGCTCTGCGGGAGGCTGAGATGAGAGGATTGCTTGGAAAGTTGAGGTTGCAGTGAATGGAGATTGTGCCACCACACTGTGGCCTGGGCGATAGAGAGAGACTGTCTCAGAAACAAAAACAAAATCAAAAACAACAAACAATAACAACAACAAAATAAAGTTGATGGCAGTGTTTTACAATGTTACTGTTAATTCTTCAGCAGTGCTCTGAGTTTAGTGTAAGATAAATGAGAGGCTGATAAACTTTAAGTGTTTTTTTTTTTTCCATGAAAAATGCAGTGATGTTGAACTCTTCATGATATTTGCTACTGCTGATTACAAACCAGGGTGACTAATCTTTGGCCAGTCATTATAATCAATGAATGTGTTATGACCTCACAGGTTTACATGACTTCACTCATAGACCTTTAATGATAAAGTAAAATTGAACTTGGGTTTGGTTGC
Source organism: Homo sapiens (assembly GCF_000001405.40). Classification (NCBI taxonomy): domain Eukaryota; kingdom Metazoa; phylum Chordata; class Mammalia; order Primates; family Hominidae; genus Homo; species Homo sapiens. The sequence goes on from NC_000002.12 coordinate 186,592,767, forward strand.
ATATAATATTTTGAAATATTCATCAGCAACTTTGTTACCGATAGACTACAGAGCTCTAGGTATAGGTAACTTAAAAAATGGAAACCAACCTTGAATTTTTTTCTTTTTTCTTTTTAAACAAAACGTATATAAACACAGGTTTTTACTTACTGAGCTTTTCAGATTTAACAAAAATTTATGTAAAATTTTGCTGAATTTTCTAGAAGGGCACTTTAAATTTAACAAGCATTGGAATCCAAGGTACTTGGGATGCCATTTCCAATATTACCAGTTGGATTTATTGTTATTTGGTATTACCATAAACTTTTAAAAGAAAAAAAGCCACATAATGAAAAAGTATTTGTCAATTCAAGAGCGCCTTTCTTCTGAGGGGAGAAGGATTTGTGAGGAGCAGTGGTTGTGACGTCCACTCCTGTTGCTTTTTCCAGTTTTGGTGTCCACATACCTTGGGGAAGCTGTAGAATTATTTTATGCCTAATTTTTCTCTTTATAGAAAATTATTATTGAATTATCTGCATAGTTCATAGTTTTGTTGTGAAAATTAATGAATCAATATTTATTAAAGGGAAGGACAAAGTACTAAGCAAAATGTTAAGGCGGCCCCTCAAAAAATCACTCCAGAAATGAGTCAGGTTCGAAGTAAAAATTCACAAATATAGTGATTTTCAAAATTATGAAAAAACATTCGCATTCTGTTTTTTTTTCTATAAGCATTTATTTATGCTATGTTGTAAAACTTACATAAAATTTAAAGATTGTATGCAGGCTAATAATTAGAGTCATACTTTTCTTGTGGAGACTAATTGGAAAAATTAAAAATTACATCCTAGGTTTAATTATAATGATGACATCTTATTTTGGTAAACATATTTTATAATTTGCTAAGCACTTATATCTCATTTCATTCTATAGCCCACACCACCGGGGGGAAGTAAGGGGAAGCAGATATACTCATTCTTACAGATGAGGAGGAAATGGAGGCAGAACCGTTTGCAGTCTAGTTATTTGAGTAGGTTGGTGTGAGTAGAGGGTAAGGAAGGGAAGGATCCGAAGACAGGGTGTAAAATTCAAATCCCACTTTTATTAATTCAAATATTGAATTTTTAAAGAAAATAACTGAACAATTTTAAAATTCATTCTTCAAATATATGTTATACAGTTCTCATTTTATGTATTTCTTTATTTTAAAATAATGCTATAATGAATGACACTGGATTCTTGCCTTTCCCCCCATTAAACGCTAATGGAGCCTTATCTTACAGTTGGCAATGTGTAGATGTGTATGCCTTAGAAGCAGAAGGTCCTTCAATGGTTCTCAGTCCTAACTTCATGTTTGCAATATCTGGAAAGCCTTTTAAATAAAACTCTTGCCCTGGCTGTATCTTAAATCTAAAAGTAGATCTCTGACTTGATATTCCAGTGGCCTGGCCTGTGAATCATTTCTCGTTGACTAGCCTGTCTTAACTCAATTTGACTAAAAAGTCTTCACCAAGAGATGTTAGTTGCACCTCTGTTTCTATTAATGCTGGCATCATTTTCTCTGTCACCTTGGAAATACTTTCATATTCCTCCCTCTCATGTTCTATTTTTCTGTGTTTCTCCTACTTCACCACCTTAATATCAGTCAGTGATTAGTCAACAGGCAGAAGCTCCTAGAAATTCTTCCTTTTTAAGGTTTTCTTGATTCCATCTCTGCTTTCTACTCCTTATTTCAGTGTAGTTATGACAAGCATAGTCAGTGGCACTCAGGTCCTCCCCCATCCCTCTGCCCATCATTTGGCTCTTAAACGTGCAGAACATCTTGTCTGTTTCTATTCATTTTATCTTTCTGTAACATCCTTTTTCATCCTGGTATTCTGTTGCAAAAATTTTCATAATAAAGCTTCCATTGCCAGCAAGAAAGTCCAAACCGCTTAACATGGATTAAGGTCACTTGCAATCTGTCCCAACCTGTGTGTATTTTTAAAACTTCATGTACCATTTCTACTCTTACCATTTTAACCCTTTTCACAACACTTTACAAAATGATGCCAGCTCATTTTTTATAAACTTCAGAGTAGCTCTGATTATATTGGCTGATTTTTCTCATCATAAATAATATACATGTATATTAGGGGACATAAAACTAGGCTATAATTTTGTTATTTAGAAAGCAAATCCTATATTACTTCTGATTAAGGACATATGATGTTTCATAGAGCATTATGAAAGACAAGGGAAAATATGTGGAAATTGTAGTTACTGCTTCTGTTTTACAGTAGTTGTTGACTGGCATTTTTGTTTTTCTTTTGATTCAAAAAAGCATTTTTTAAAAAATGAAAAGTAAATCTGAAACTGGAATTGTAGCTTTGAAATAACATTCAGTACTATTTCATACACATTTATTTCTATATACATGTATGATAGTTTTTCAGAAGTTCCTTTTGGTGAAGGCTCATTGGTCAACTCAGAGTCAGCTAAATATATTAAACATGCTTTATCTTAGAAAGGTCAGTGCTGAAAGCAGACAAACAAGTTAGTTTATTTGGAGGGTTTGAAAAATGGACTTGTCATTGTTTGGCAGGTTGCCCCTCCTTGGTTGTCAAGGTCACATTCCGTGAATCAACTGCCCTTCAAGTACAGTTTGGATAGGGAGTGCATCCAAAGGCCATCCTCCTGATTGGTTCCTCTGAGCCTCTTGTCTGTCTCCCTCTCACTGCCTCCTCTGATACCTCTCCCTCTGTATCGCTCTCTCTTTTTTCTTTTTCTGTCTCTTGTCCTTCCTCTCTTTTTCCTTTCCTCTATCTCTTTTCTTCCTTTCCATCCATCTTTCTGTCCTCTCTCCCAAACTCAATCCTTTATATTTTAGCACTTCTTGGCATGGATGTAAACCTTAATTTTGAAGTCCCAGAGAGTTATTTAATGGCAGTGTTTCCAGTCATTAAAAAAAAAAATGTTGAGGATGGGGATTCTGATGATGTTCTTGGACATACTTTTTGGAGGGAAATGGAGTCTATCAGGAGAGAGTTGCGGGCATAGGAAATTAAGTCACTCAGCTTCAGATTTACACTGCTAATCAGTGAAAACTCTTGTCAACCTTACCTCACCCTGTGTATTCTCCCCACCTCGCCACCATTGATAAGAAATGTTTAAGCTGGCTTTTCTACCCTTCTTTCTCTTTTTCTTCTTCATTTGAGTTAATCACTTGACCATTAATGGCCCTTTGAAAACACTGAGGAAAGAAAAGCCCTTTTAAAGACAGAATTTAAGTTTTACATTTTCTACTCTTCTAGGGAATAACTTATTAATGGCATCAATTGTTTTCAGGACGAAGATGATAATTAAATCCCATCATCTTGTATTTTCGTGGTGTTTCAGATTTTCTAAGTTTGCATTTATTTATTATCACCTTCAGAAAGTTTCTTTTTAAAGTAATTACAGTGGGCATTGTTATTGCCATTCGATAGAAGGGAACAGAGATTCAAAGTTACTGCTTCAATTGATTTGCAGTGTTTGTAAATTTTAATTCCAAACTGTTTCCATTAGATAGTGCTGCTTAGATCACAAACATTTTTTTTCTGGTCTGTCAGTTCTCTTACCCTAATTAAGCTGTTGTACACTTTCATTAGTCATTCTTAGATGAAATTCAAGTAACAATTATTTTTATGGAGTGTTTTATTAACTTTGTTTTTTGTAGTATGTGTTGCTTTTTTTTTTTTTTTGAGATGGAGTCTTGCTCTGTTGCCCAGGCTAGAGTGCAGTGGCACAATCTTGGCTTGCTGCAACCTTCGCCTCCTGGATTCAAGCAATTTCTGGCTAACTTTTGTATTTTTAGTAGAGATGGGGTTTCACCATGTTGGCCAGGCTGGTTTTGAACCCCTGACCTTAAGTGATCCTCCTGCCTTGGCCTCCCAAAGTGCTAGGATTACAGGCATGAGCCACCGTGCCTGGCCTGTGTTGCTTTTTATTCCTTAATTTTTTTATATAGCATCTTTTATCACCTTGTACCCAGTTTTCTATGCAAGTATTTCTTTTTCACTACACAGCTTCCTCGTAAGACTTTAACATATGTCTAAGGTCATTTTACTTTCTCTATCTCTTCATTGTTCTCTTTAAAAAACTTAAATATCTTAATGATAACTTTAATATCGAGATGGCATTTTGGATGAAAAACTTCATCAGCTTTTTTCCCTCACAAATTTAGCATGTAGATATTGACACATTCCTTTTATATTATTCTGCCATTTCTGTAGCATTTCACCAGTATGCAAGTCTGCACATGAAGGTATGCTTAGGAAAACTTAATGAACATCCATTTGTACACCTGATTACCATCATTTCATGCCTATAATGTGCAGATAGCCTGATGAAAAGCAACAGGCTTGTTCCTGGTATTATTCAAGGAACTCATGCTATGTGCTGCCAATAGAGTGGTGTTTTCATTCAGAGAATGCTCCTACTGGGCTCTTTTTCTCTGTCTTTGTTGAAGGCCTTCTCCTAATAACTTCCGAGCTCTCTCTGTCTTATAGTGCCAAGTAAAGAAAGTATCTGAAACCCAAAATTAAGTAGAGATGTTACACAAGGAAATTGTTTTAAGGGTAATTTAAATAATTGGATGTTTAATAGAGGATGCTTTCTGCATTCTTGAGGGGTTCAGACGTAGTGGAAATGACTTATTTATATATGGCTACTTTAAGATTGAGACATAGCTATTGAATTTACTTTGTTACTCCACTGTCCATTTAAACTTTTCTTGAGTTCTTATAATGTGGCAGGTGCAAAAGATGAATTAGAGTACCCTACATTCAAAGAAGCAATTTATCATAAGGTAGGCAGAATAGTTTTGACCAAAAAGTTATAAAATATATTGTAAGACAGGGGTCCCCAACCCTCGGGCCATGGACCAGTACCAGTCCATAGCCTGTTAGGGACCATGCTGCACATCAGGAAGTGAGCAGCAGGAGAGTGAGCATTACCACCTGAGCTCTGCCTCCTGTCAGATCAGTGGTGGCATTAGATTCTCATAGGAGCAAACCCTATTGTGTGAACCCTGCTGTGAAGTGTGCATGCAAGGGATCTAGGTTACATGCTTCTTATGAGAACCTAATACCTGGTGATCCGAGTTGGACAGTTTCATCCCGAAAGCATCCCCCTCTATGTCCAGGGAAGGAAAGGTTGGGGACCACTGCTGTGAGCTACTATTTGAAGACAACCCAGAAGTGATTTTTGCTTGTAGGTTTCCAGGCAAAGCTTGAGAACCAGTTCTCCTATCCTGATGTAGAACCTGGTATGATCTACAACACTAAGAACGTGTACATACCTGTGCTTGTATTACTCTCATTAGGACTACTGTGGCAATGTCCCAAGCAAGCACTATTCAAGATATTGACCCTCAAAAGCAAACTTACCTGAACTGTTCTTTTGTTCTAGTATGCACTCAAAAATCATTTAATTCTGATGAAAAGGGGTAGTTGTGTGATTTTGGGGTCAAATTTTAGACCCGTAGAAAAAAAATTGTATATGTAATAAATTTACATATTATAATTTATACACACACACACACACACACACACACACACACACAGAGTTTCACTGTGTTAACCAACTCTGCTCTAGAAAAAGAACCGATGGGGTTTTGATGACGAGCTGCTCTCTTAGTTATGGGAGGTGGGGACTCTCTTACTCATAGCATTTTTTTTTTTTTTTTTTTGAGACAGAGTTTTCCTCTGTTGCCCAGGCTGGACTGCAGTGGCGCAATCTTGGCTCACTGCAATCTCCACCTCCCAGGTTCAAGTGATTCTCCTGCCTCAGCCTCCCGAGTAGCTGGGATTACAGGCTCATGCCACCACGCCTGGCTAATTTTTATATTTTTAGTAGAGATGGGGTTTTGCCATGTTGGTCTCAAACTCCTGACCTCAAGTGATCTGTCTGCCTCAGCCGCCCAAAGTGTTGGGATTGCAGGCATGAGCCACTGTGCCCAACCTCTTTTTTTCTTATGAAAGACTTTTGCTGAATGAAAACTAAGTTCATTTTCTACCCAGAATCATTTTGCCGTGATGGGAGAGAGCCAACATTGGTGTTTTACTGATGCCAGATATGACTGCATGGAGCTCTATTAAATAGGGCGTGGTTTGGTTGGGAGTTACGTCTTTATTTTGAATTTGTGGATTTTTAAGATAAGTGTCAGAAAGCAGGATTCTTTGTAACCCTGCAATTCGTACAGCCAGCTTTTGTCTACTGTAGATGAGATTTGGCAGCTACTACCCAGAATAAGAAATTGATTTTAAAAGTTCAAGTGAATGCATTCCATATTTAAGATGTACATTCGTTCTAATTTCACAAAAAGGTGAAAAGCAATTGTAAATGTTTCCTTTGCCAGAATAATTTAAGTGACTTAGTATTTAATGAAACAAAATGATTATGGTGATAGCATTTTAGGACTGTTTTTGTCTGCCTGTATCCTGCTTTATTTCCTCCTATATTTCAATCAGTTTCTTGAGATTAAAGACAAAAATCTTTTTTACTTTATCTTCTTTCTCTTCTTGACTCCTAAATGTTGTTGTCCCTGAGAACTCACTCATTGCCCCTCCTCTTTCGACGCTTCCCCTGGCTGAATAACCCCAACTGTGTTCTGATACAGCATACTGTCTCAGGCAGGGCTTCAGACTACAACTGGATGACTCACAGATATCTCAAACAAACATATTAATAATTGAATTCATGGTTTTTCTGTAAATACTAATTTTATTTTATTTCTTGAGACAGGGACTCATTGTTTCACCCAGGCTGTTTGCTTACTTTGTAGCACTTGTAATCACAGCTCACTGCAGCCTCAACCTCCTGGGCTCAAGCCATCCTCCTGTCTCAGGACCCCAGCTCCACCCCCAAAGTTGGGACCACAGGCGCATGCCACCACACCCAGTGAATTGTTTTATTCTTTGTAGAGATGGGGGTCTTACTATGTTGCCTAGGCTAGTCTTGAACTCCTGTAAGTACTTAATCTGCCTTCTGCTTCTCTGCTCTCTAGGCTTTTCTCCCATCAATGCACTCAAGAAGGAAATCTAGGTGGCATTCTTGAATGTCTTTTCTCTCATATTCAGGCCTCCAGCGATTGCTGTTGTACTCCAGATGTTTTTTTCCATCTGTCACCTATCTTTCCACCCACCCTCTTACTGCAGATCACACTCACCTGCTCCCTGAGCTGCGGCCAGTCCTTTGCTTTCCTTGTTCCATTTTTTTCTCCCTCTCCCTTAATGCTTTCCCCATAGGGCATAACATTTAGTTTTCTTTAGTAGATGATTTCATTCTTCTTAAAAAACTCAGTGGCTTCAAATGAACCTTGGGATAAAATACAAAGTTTAACCATGGCCAAAAGGCCCTATTTGACTTAGTTATTGCCAGGCTCCTTGACCTTATCTTGTGCCACTCCCGGCTTGTCCCCTCCTTCAGCCATACCTTTCTTTGTAGCTCCTGGAGATTCAATTCTTTCTTGCCAGGGTCTTTCTACCTCTGCCTCACATATTCCCTCCATCTCTTCATTCCACTTCCCTCATCCCCACCCCCCACTCCCCTCCATCCTCAATACACAAATGCTCCTAGGCACCCTCCTTCTGATCCTGTACATCTTAATGTTGTGGTGAGTTCCTTAGAAATAACTTCTCTGTCTACTTTATCTAAAAGAGAACTTTCTTCCCCATTCTTTAAAGATGATTTCCTTAGAGAGACTTTCCTTTACCTAGAGGAAATCTTTCCCCTCTCATCCTTAGAGATAACTGCTCTGTCTAAAGAAGGTCTCCTCTCCCTATTCCCAAAAATCTCTCTCAGCTAATTGTTTGCTTACTTGGTAGGACTTGTAATAGTAATTTATTTATTGGCTAGTTTCTTGCCTCTAAGGGAATGTAAGCTAAATTCCTCCATTAAGAGCAGGAATCAGCCAAGCACAGTGGCTCACGCCTGTAATCCCAGCACTTTGGGAGGCCAAGGCAGGCAGATCACCTGAGGTCAGGAGTTAGAGACCAGCCTGACCAATATGGTGAAACCCTGTCTCTACTAAAAATATAAAAATTAGCCAGGCGTGGTGGTGGGCGGCTGTAATCACAGTTACTCAGGAGACTGAGGCAGGAGAATCGCTTGAACTGGGGAGGTGGAGGATACAGTGAGCCAAGATCATGCCATTGCATTCTAGCCTGGGTGGCAAGAGCAAGACTCTGTCTCAAAAAAAAAAAAAAAGGCAGAAACCAAGGTTGTTTTAGTCATCTGGTATCTCTAGCACTTAGGACCTTGCTTTATGTAGAGGAAGCACTCACTTCATATCTTTTATGAATGAATAGAAAACAACAAAAGAAAACATCTCTTTAAAATTAAAAATTTTACTCCTGATTATTGTGTCTTTGGTTTATTTTACCTTAATGACAAAGAAATTGAATAGTGGTCCTAATCTTTGACCAAGAATTGATTAGATTAATCTTGTGATAAGAAATTTTTTATTAAATAGTCAACTATTAAAAAAAATTAAGCCTAGGCAATGTGGCGAGACCCCACCCCTACAGAAAATTTAAAAAAAAAATTAGCTTAGCATGGTGGCATATGCCTGTAGTTCTACCTGCTCAGGAGGCTGAGGTAGGAGGATCGCTTGAGCCAGGAGTTGGAGGTTGCAGTGAGTTATGATTGTACCACTGCACTCCAGCCTGGGTGACAAAGCAAAACTGTGTCTCTTAAAAAAAAAAAATAGAATAAAATAAAAATTACAGCAATATTTCTAATGCAAGATAATTTTTCTAAATGGGAAAATCATATTTATAATTATACTTTGGAATAATTTACTTAGAATATTTTTTTTTTTGCTCAACATTCAGAATATAGAAAATGCATAGTAATTCTCTCACACACGCACATGCACACACACACACACCAGAACACCAAAACAAAACTTTCCTGCCTCTAGGCAGCATACATTTTTAAGAGCTTTACTGAGATATGTGACATACAATAAACTGTACATATTTAAAGTGTATGATTGACCTGCATAAATTCCTAAATGAATGTAACCCTGAACTTGCCTTATAAAGTTATCAGGAAAAATAAACTATATCAAATAATGTATGCATGCAAGAGACTACCAAATGAATAATGAAGATTATGCCCTCAGTGAATAGCAAATGGTTTTAAAAAATATTTATAGATAATATCAAGAGAATGATTGCTCCTCATAAATCAGAAGATATTGCTTACACTTTGTTTCATTTAAACTTTGGTCTGCCGCTTTTGTATTTTAGCCGGATGTTTCTTCTCGTGGGAGCTCCCAAAGCAAACACCACCCAGCCTGGGATTGTGGAAGGAGGGCAGGTCCTCAAATGTGACTGGTCTTCTACCCGCCGGTGCCAGCCAATTGAATTTGATGCAACAGGTAAATTTTGATGCACAATTTTCTTTTCATTGATTTCATTTGATTTTTTTTTTGCAATTGGTTTAGTTTAAATGTAGCCATTTAATACAATTATATAGATAAGCACCTCAGCTTCACAGGGAAAATTATATAAAGACAAACGATTTATTATATGATTTTTTCCTACAATTTTTGTGGTAGATGAAAGTATTAAAAGTACGTTGTGTTTCCATTGGTTCAGATGTCTTCTGCCGTAAACTGATAATATCAACCCACAGAAATTTGGGGTAAACCTGTTAGGATGTTTTTGTACCTTTTCTGAGAATAGGGAGCTCATAGGCACAGAAAGGCATTCTGCTGCTTCTCTGTCAACCAAATTGAAGCATGACTCACTATTGTAGAAGATCAAATCTCTGATCATGAATATATCCAAGCCTTAGGCTGTGCTATAAAAAGCAGTTGAGGAGGCTGGGCATAGTGGCTCACGCCTGTAATCCCAGCACTTTGGGAGGCTGAGGCAGGCAGATCACGAGGTCAGGAGTTCCGGACCAGCCTGACCAACATGGTGAAACCCCATCTCTACTAAAAATACAAAAATTTGCTGGGTGTGGTGGCGCCTGCCTGTAATCCCAGCTACTTAGGAGGCTGAGGCAGGAGAATCTCTTGAACCTGGGAGGTGGAGGTTGCAGTGAGCTGAGATTGCGCCACTGCACTCTAGCCTGGGTGACAGAGGGAGACTCCATCTTAAAAAAAAAAAAAAAAAAAGCAGTGGAGGAATCTTTTGCATTCAGGTGGACTTAGGTGACGTAAACATTTATCAAGACTTTGTTGGGAAAATTATATATTATGGTTCTGATAACAGGAGAATTTTAGGGATAATTTTCAGTGTCAGAATTGTGGTAGCAAGGAGAAAAATAGCATGTGTAAGATGAGAAATAAGCTTTACATTTTTGCCAGTGAAATAAAATATGCAGAATTCTGTACGCATTTATATTGGTATATTTATATATATTTGTGAAATCTTAGATAGTCCTTAAGGAAATAGTGTGACATTCTTCTAGTACAATAGTCTTACAAAATTTTTTATTGATTCTGATTTGCTGGCTTTGACAGAGTGCTTTAAGATAAACCTGCAGAAAATTAATCCTTTTTTCCATATTGTTATTTCCTGCCAGTACTAAAATATATTGATTCTGGGAAATATGTCAGTGAAACAGGAATCATGATGTGGACTGTTCCATTTGACATTGTGATCAGTGCCAAAATGATTGTTAGTCATTAAGCCAGCTGTTAATGGGAACCAGATCACATGCACATGTTTTCAGGGTTTTTTTTTTCCATTTGAAATTATCTACATTAAACTCTGTTGTTGTATTTTTCCATATATGGCTAATACTTGGAAAACTCCAAGAGTTTGTAAAAAGGCCCAATTTTACCATAAATGGAGAAATACCTGTGACTCAGAATATGATAGTTTTAGGGCATTTATTGTCTAACAAAATATGAGAACTAATAAAAGGAAACCACAGTTTAGATTTTGATAGGTCGAACTCTTCAGATGTTTCTGTACTTAACACTGTAGGTTTTTGTGCATTGCAAGATAATTTATTGCTTCAGATAATTTTTTGTTTATTGAAAATAACATTTGCACATGGTAAAACAAATTTTAAAGAGTCTCAAAGGGTGTACAATGAAACATACAACTCACATCAGTCTTCTCAGAAGCAATCACTTTTTTTTTTTTTTCTTTTTGAGATAGGGTCTCGCTCTGTCACTCGGGCTGGAGTGCAGTGATGTGATCATGGCTCATTGCAGCCTCCACCTCCCAGACTCAAGTGATCTTCCCACCTCAGCCCCACGAGGAGTTGGGACTACAGAGGTGTGCCACCAGCCCGGCTAGTTTTTATGTATTTTTTTTTTTAAAGAGATGGGGTTTTGCCATATTGCCCAGGCTGGTCTCAAAACATCTGGGCTCAAGCAGTCTGCCCCCCTCAGTCTCCTGAAGTCCTGAGACTACAGGTTTGGCCCACTGTGCCCAGCATGAGGCAATTACTCTTAACAATTTCTTTTATCCTTCTAGAATTTTCTTACTTCTATATATGTATGCATCCTTGAAAAAAAGGCAACTCAAAAATCTGATGCCTCCCTGCACCGTTCTAACAATAGAAATCTCTTGTAGATATTTCCTTATCGGCATATGAATTTACCTCATTTTTTGTAAATCACTGATACTATTCTATTGTATATGTGTACTTAATTTGCTTAAATTATATTTTCTACTAGTGGATACTTTGGTTATTTCCAGTCTTTTATTATGAACACTGCTGTAGTGAAAAGGTTATACACAAGTATTTGTACAAATATGTGAATATATCTGTATGATAAAGGAGATTTTTGGATCAAAATGTATGTATATTTAAAGTTTTGTTAGGTATTGTATACTTTCCCTCACAGAAGTTTACACCCCTCCAGTTGTGTTTTGAAACCCATGGCAACCTCATTTATTAGCATATTTTTAAATCTTCGTCAGTTTTATAGGAGGAGATAGTATCTGTTATGTTAATTTGCATTTCTTTAATTAACAGTAAGACTGAGTGTCTTCATATTTGTTTGTAAGCCTTCAGTATCCCTTTTCCTGTGAGCTACTTTTAGTATATTTGCACATATTTTCTGTTAATTTGTGATTTTTAAAAAATGAATCTCAGTTTATGGCACTCCATCCTTTCAGTGTTTAGGCCAGAATCTGGAGCTGTGTTTGACATTGAATCTGTCAGTAGGTCAAAATTTAACTGCTTCTTATCAGTCCACTGCTAATATCCTGGTCCAAGCCACCACTGTCTCCCACCTGGACTATTGCCCTAGATTTCTGAATTAGGGCATTGCCAGGAACGAGATGGCACACTTAAATTGAGGTATTTTGACTATTTACAGAGGTCTGTGCAGGTACCTGGGGATTGATCGTATATCAGCACTAGTTAAAATGTGACCTCTAGGCCTGAAGGCAGCGATTACCAGAATCTGAAGACAGAATACTAGGTGTAGAGAGCCACGTGACAGGAGCTGTGGCTTTTTTCAGAGGGCAGGAGCCAGCCCAAAATGACCAGGGGATTAAAACAATGAGCTCACTCTGCTTCCTCCCTTTGATTCTCTGTGCTGTGCCTCATAAACAGTAGGCACATTCCCACTTCACCCTTGCCTGGGCTGTGTTTCCTGCCTGGAACATTCTTTCCCTAAATATCCACTGAGTATCTGCTTCACCATCATTTTGAGAATTGCTCAGATATTATCTTCTCAGTGATGACCATCTCATTTAAAATTCCAACTCCCTCTTCTCACCTTGTACTTCCATCCTCTTCTCTATTTTTCCCAGTAATACTTACATTGTTACATGTTATTTATTTGTTTTTAGTGAATGTCTCTTTCCCTCAATTAGAATGTAAGTTCCATGAGGACCGTTTTTTATCTTTGTTCATTGCTGAGACTCCAGGGCCTAAACATTGTCTGGTGCCCAGCACAAGTTAGTGCTGAATAAATTGAAGAGATGAATGTACGATAAGAGGTTTTTATATAGTAAGGAAATAACTAAAGTCCTTTAGTGGTTGTAGATGTGTATATATATATATATATATTTATATGTATAATACATATATTCTTATGTATATGTATAATATATTCTTATGTATATGTATAATACATATATTCTTATGTATATGTATAATACATATATTCTTATGTATATGTATAATACATATATTCTTATGTATATGTATATCTTTTGTCCCTGTTTATGATATTTCTGTAATCCTTTTGTATAACTTCTGAGACCTCCCCAGTGGAAAAACAATTAAGACTTCATTTTTTTACATTAGTATTTTTATTCAAATGGTGTTTATTTGAATGTAAGAGGACAACATAGATTTAAATAATCCAGTCAAGAAAATGTATATCTAAAATAGCCACATTAAACTATATGGTATTGAGTTTCAAGGAAGAAATGCTTATAGCTTATCGCATCCTGCTAAACTTTCTTTATGTCTCTCTCCCAAGGAACTCTTCATCCCATCTTAGCCCAAACATATAAGCATCCCTACAATACAAATGCCTTCTCTCTTTTTTATTATCTCAAGGGAGACAGAAGCTGAGCAGATATGTGGGGTTTCTGAAGGCAGCCTCCCTGGGGCTCAAACCCTGGTTCTGCCAGTTACCAGCTGTTGACGTTGCACGGGTTACTGTTAGGTTACCCTCATCTCCCTAGTGCAGTATTCTCATCAACCTGCTCCATGGGTGTGGATTACATCGCATGAGTTAATTTACATATAGGTGAAGACTTCTAAAGTGCTTAGGACAGGGATTGGCATGTTGAAATGGCTCAGTAAACATGAGCTGTTTCATGTCGCTATTCCTCCCTTTTGCCTTCTTAGAGACCCTCCCTATTCCTTCATTTGCTTCTGTATCCCTGCTACATTCTCCCTTTTCCTTTCTTCCCCAACTTTGAAGTGTGTTTAAAGTTTTTTCCCTGAAAAACTAATCAAAAACTGTTTTCCCTTGAACATGTATCTTTTCTTAGTCAGTCACATCTTTCTCTCTTCTTTCCTTTACATCCATGATTTTTGAATACATATTGTGTCTTCATCACTTGTCATGCTTCAATCCAATAGAATCACTGTTGGGTTGTGGCACCGACCCAACCCAGCAGTGATTCTAACTGCGATTGTTGACAGCAGCCTATTTGCCAGCTTCAGGGGATGCTTATGGTTCCTCATCTTTTTGGACTGCTCTTTTACAATTCACCCCATTGGCCATTCCCTCCTTAAAGTTTCTGCTCTTCGTCTGCTTGAAATGATCACATCCTTTTATCCCTCCTAAACTTGATACTATTGTTAAACCTCATGGTGTCATGAAAAGGAATAGGCCTTGTAGTTAGACAGACATGGGCTCAAATCTAGCCTCTGTCATTTTTTCTAACATTACCTTGGGAAAATTACCTGCCATTCTACATTGTATAATACATTCCAGGGGTGATCACGAAGAGTATAAATTGGTTAGTTTATTTACTTTATTGTGTTTCTGAGCCCAGAACAGATTTTAGTGCTTAAAAGTGCCCTGTCCTCATGTTTTTAATATTTGGGAAGTAATTTAGTTTATGAAACAGTCTCAAGAAAATTAGCTGTAATTATATGATGTGGGAGATATTACAACACTTTGTCATTATTCACATTTTTTTAAACTTCTGGGAAGACCTTTGGTATGCCCATGTGACTTTTTCTGGCCCATAAAACATAAGGAGAATTGTGTCATTTCTGGGTGGCAGGGTTTAAGAGCTGGGGCATTATTCTGCCCCTTCCCAGATGTCACAGGGAGTAGTGATAGTTGAAATGGTAGAACTTCTGTCAACCTGAGGCCTGTGGTAAGGAAGACATAAAGCTTAGACTCTTACTCATATGTGTGTGGACAAAAAAAAATCTATTGTTCTTTTTAACTACTTGAGATTTGGGGGATGCTTGTTACTATAGCATAATGGGAACTAAACTGAATAACACATATAGGGATATTAAAATGGAATATTATCAATAATCATCTGCTGGAAAATGGTTATTAAAACCACTTTCTATTCTGCATGCCAGTTTGGTCTTCCTTTAAGTTTCTAGTCTGACTTACTGAGTATCTGAGTGACTAAGTGACTAGGTATCATTGCTTATGCTAAAAATGGCCCCTGACGTTAAGTTGCATTTGGATTGGGAGAAACTATAAATAGACTAAGTACCTGATAGGGATGTCATAGCTTTGGGGTTCCTTGAGTATAGTGACACAAAACTGGCATGTGTTTTGTGGCGACTCTGGAAGCTATGGCTATGGAGTTGTTGCAAAAGATATCATTTCTGGGGGGCAAGAGGCTTTGAAGCCAGAATGACTCCTGCGTCTACCAGGTTTTGTTTCTTCATATCTGAGCCGTCACCTGGCGGGGCAAAGAGAAGTACTCTGGACAGCTGGGTGGACAGTTGTATAGGAAAGTTCATGTAAGGATTCTCACCAAAGAGGTATGTCTGGTTCTGTCCTGCTGGAAAGCTGTGGTTGTGTCCTATATCCTTGCAAGTAGATTGGTGCTTCATATGGCCTTTGATAGTTTTGTGAGTTTGAAAGTTTAGTTGAGCCTTAGGAAGCCGCAGATGATGTTGCATCAACATTTGAAGTCTGTAATTGTATGAAATATTCTAGGCTGGTTGCTGCATAGTCTGTTTCTCCTTTGAAAAAATAGAATAGTAACTATATTCCTTCCTACAAAAAAGAACAAACCTCAGCTAGCTCTAGAATCACAACAAAAATTTTACAGTAAAGTGCTTGGAGATACTACAAATGCTTGGCATTAAGTAATATTTTGTAAAATGGTCCTTTCCTCTCCCATTCACCTTTTAAGTCAGGTTCTGCCATACTGGTAGTCTTAGTGCACTGAGTACAGTTCTCTTTCTTATTAAGCTGAATTTTTTGTTGATTTTTTTTTTCTTACTGATGTTATAGTATGTTTGTTTTCCTGAGTAGACTATAAGCTATCTAAAGGCAGGGAACACATTTATTTCCACTCACCATTTATTCCACTTCCATATGGTGGGTTGCCTGTGTGTATGTTCCATGCAAGTTTTGGGCTCTTCATGAAAAGTAATAGAAATAGACTCTAGCTAAATTTAACAGAACAAGAATTTATTGGAAGGATGTTGGTAACTTAACAGTTATCTGAAAAAATAAGCAGGAACCAAGAGAAGCTAACAAAAGAACAACCAGTGGATTTTATTGTTGCTGGTACTGCTATTGCTGAATGTGGAGTAACACCATGAGAATAATTTCTTGTCCATCATGCCTCTTTGCATCATTTTATAGAGATTTAAAACTTTTATAGTAGTGTCTGTTTGGGTGAGTCTAAGTCTCATATCTGTGAAAGACCTGGAAAGCCTGTCTTATCTTACACAACTAAGAAGATTATGAGCTTGTAGAGGGAACTAAAAGGTATAGGATTAAAAGGGTGCCTTTTTCTCCTTTTGACTGGAAAACAGGGTAATAGGAAGGAAACATCCTTTGCAAATAACCCTTTTTATCTGTTGGGCTAATTAGTAATTCATGAACTAATTTTACTTTGTGTTTACCAGTGACGTCCCTGGATGTTAGATAGTATATCATTTATTAAAAGGCCATGTAACTGTTGCTTGTCACGTGCATTAAGACATACACTAGTAGCTAATTAAGAAAATCTGGATTTTGCTTTTAAGGTATCATAACACAACTTTCTTAGCTTTTAAAGAAGACAGATGGACACTTTAGATGTGCTTTCCTATCCTGTAACATGATTTTGGTGGTTTGAGTTGGGGGTAAGAGAGAGGCTTTCAAAAATGTATTTGAGAGATCAGTCTAAAAGTTATTTTACTGTAATTCTGAAAAGTAGACATAAATAGATTCATACCAAAATAAAGGAGGCATAACTGGAAAGTATCTAACTTTGCCTGGGGACTTTGAAGAAGGCTTCCTAGATTAGTTGGTGACATTTGAGCTAGCTAATGAAAAATGAGATGAAATTCCTTAGATGTCGAAGAGGGTTCTAGCTTGAGAAAACAGTATGTGTATGCTGAGTAAAAGAAGTTAGGGACTGATAATCAAGTAATTCCATGTGCCCTACATATATATATATGTATGTGGGCATAAGGGTTATACGTGTGTGGTGGTGGGGTTATGGTGTTGAGGGCACGATGAGGAATAAAACTGGAAGTAGCTGAGGAAAGATATAAATGAGTTTTTAAAAACATACTCTAAAGGTCTAGCCAAATAAATTTACCATTAAATCTTAATGCATATAGAGTATTATATTAGAGATAGAAGGATCTAGAGCCCCATAGGGACATCTTGGACTCCTGGTTCCTTGTAGATTTCACATGAACATTGCAGATGAACTAATACTTTCAGTACCCGTCTTATTAATTTTCCTAGTCACTTTTTTGGTAAAATGATAGAAGTTACATGAAATAATGAATATTATCATATACATATATTCAAAATATTATAGACACGACTTTAAAAAATGTGGAGTTTCATGATACAAAGTTTAATTTAGTAGAAGGTACAATCCAGGATAGAAAAGTTACTCGCTGCTTTGATTTTTGAATAATATTTATGCTTTAGTGAGCCTTCAGGAGTAAAAAGGAAACCTTAGTCCAAAATTTAGATTTGCAAAAGTTATCTCCAAAATGTGCTGCCCTGTTAATGTTCTTTCAAGATCTTGACTCTGGCTTGTCATCTTTATTTTTCTTTTTCCCCCAGATTTGCCTGATAGAATGTATAAACAAAGCCACAACTAAGATGTTTTAAAAAGTTTCTTATTTTATATGTTTATGCAATGATTGAAATATTACAACTTGCTTTTGCTTTTGAAATAGCAGTTGCCCTCTTGGATTTGTAAACCTTTTCATCCAGTGACTCTTCATAATTTATAGATTTTAAGCAAGGTCTGCATAATGACGGAATAGTTTTTTTCCCCTAAATTGAAAGAATAATGTGAACTTTGATATGTTGTGGAATTAGTGAAAATGAAACAGTTATTTTGGGTATGATTTCTTTGTTTTAGTCTAAGATGATTGATAGGTAGAAAACTCACAAGTGGATGATTTAGTTTAGGGATTAATGATCTATGTATTTTCAGTAGTAAAGTTATTCCAAACTATAATAGATTGCGATGCAAAACAATATTGAGACTATTCATGTAGCAAACCTAGACTGCTCATGTAGTCTGTTATCTGTTTTGCCTTCATGGCTGCATTCGTTTCCTGTTGCTATTGTCGTAAGTTACCAAAGATAACACATCTGTTATCTTTAGTTCTGGAGGTCAGATGTCCAAAATGGATTCACTGGGCCAAATCAAGGTGAGAAACTGTTTCCTTTCCATTTCCAGCTTGTAGAGCCATTGGCATTCTTTGTCTTGTGGTTCCTTCCCTTATCTTCAAAGCCAGCAATAGCTACCGGGGTCGTTCTCATGCTGCATTACTCGAACATTGACCCTACTGCCCCCCGACCCTTGTGATTATAATGAGTCCACCCAGCTAATCCAGACTTACCTCTTATTTCAAGGTCCTTAATTTGATCACTTCTGCAAAGTCCTTTTTGCCTTACAAGGGTCACATATTTATGTGTCAGTTTCTGGGAATTAGAAGTTGAATATCTCAGGGATATTATTCGCCTACCACAGTGCCCTTTTATGTATTTTCTTTTTTAATTATTTGTTATTTTTTTCTTTAAAAAAGAGAGTTGGGGTCTTGCTATGTTAGACCAGGCTGGTCTCAAACTCCTGGCCTCAAGTGATCCTCCCATCTCAGCCTCCCAAAGTGCTAGGAGTACAGGTGTAAGCCACAATTGATATTGGTTATACTGCAAGCTATGCTGAGGCAAGAACCATGCTTATATAAGTAGGCATTGCTGTCTCTCTTGTTCTTTTTCCCTTGGCAGCTTTGGTTATAAAGAATGCAAACTAGATTTAGAAGATGCAGGCTCAGATTCAGACTCTGATACTTATTAACTGTGACGTTGGGCAAGCACCATCCACAATTTCCCCATCTGTCAAATAAGCATAATACCTACCTCTCAGGGTTGCCATGTAGATCAAATGAGGTAATGTCAGTCAGGCATGGTGGCCTGGTGGCTCATGCCTGTAATCCCAGCACTTCGGGAGGCAGAGGCAGGAGGATTGCTTGAGTCCAGGAATTTGAGACCAGCCTGGGCAACATAATGAGATCCCATATCTGATTTTTTTTAAAAAAGGTAATGTCTATGAAGGTATTAGGTTGGTGCAAAAGTAATTGCGATTTTTGCCATTACTTTCAATGCTTTGTAAACAAGAAAGCATTATACCGGTGAAGAAAGGATTGTTTATGTTGTGCCCATACTAGAACTGTAGGGAACTAAATAAATACGGAAAAGGAAAGAAATAAAGATAATTGTGGATATTCTTAAATTGATTATAGCTTGATTTGCATTTTAACTTCTGTTATTGTGACATTTGAGAAAATCCTCTTCTTATAACATGTTTTCCTTTTCTAGGGAAGCAGATGCTACTGACAGTCTGAGCCTTGGCCATGTTTCTTAGTAATGTGTTTTTTTTTCCACCCAAAAAGATAGACTGCTAATGTACATTGAGAAAAGAGACCATGTATCACTGCCCTACGAAAGTCTCTTTGCTTAGAAATGAAGGCTTACCTACCTGTTTAATTTTTTTTTTTTTTTAAAGGAGAAGCTCCTACCTTTATATTCCAAATACAGTGAATGGATGTCACCTACCACTAACTGTTTCTGTCATACAGAAGGGCAGAGGTCAGATTACTCTTCTTCCTACCCAGAACAGCTTGCTGGAATGCTTGCCATTTGTTCCTAGAAGGGCCTGGCTGTAGGTTGAGAGCAAACCTTGGCTATGCCAGTTCTGTGGTCAAGAAAAATGCTGTGGAGTATTTTCTGGGTATAACTAGGCTTTGTATTTAATAGAGAATATAAAACATTTAGCTGTTTTCTAGCTTCTGCAGTACAATTTCCATCTCGTTGCAATTAAAACACTCAGGCAGACCCTAAACTAACTTCCTTTAAGTTTTACTTCCTCCTATTGATGAATTTTCTGTCTTCCAGAGTTGTGTCTAGGTATCTCTACAGTTGCAACTGTCCTGTAAACTAAAAAGTTAAAAAGAAAAGTAGTTTCCCTTCCCTTGTTAATACAAAACAAATTTATACTAAGGATTTTTTAAAAATAAAAATGTTTCTCCTGATATAATCTGTTATCCCCTGTTACAGAATTACACAGAGAGCTGGTAAGCAATTTAGAAATCTTTTAGTCTAATTCCTTTACTACTAACTGACTGACAGTCATACAGTTAGTCAGTATTTTAATGTTTTCAGTATTTTACTGAAACCAAACTCACAAGCTCTTTTAAAGTTTCTTCCTTTCCCTGCTCACTTTGACCTGACTCAACCCATTCTTTAGGACTTAACATGGGATTGGCTTTTTTTTTTTTTTTTTAATCCCCAGTAAAGAGGTTTTGTCTTAAAATGTTAGATGCTTTCAGGATCATTTCCTTTTCATGGCTAGAAGGAAACAAACCAGCATTGATAAAGCAGTGAGTATTTTCAAAAGGCCTGTATTCTTTGTGCTGCACTCCAGCAGGACCACTGGAATTGCTCATGGAAGAAGAGGGAGATTTTGATTCTTTATTCGCTGTGGTAGTAATAACTAACTAACTCAATGAATACCAATCCCAGTGAAATGAGCTTCATTCCTGTTTTCCTCTGGTTCTGCTTTTCTGACTCTTTTTGTTTATTTTTGGGAAACAGCTGTATCTTATTTTATGTAAAAGATGTTTCTGGATAGTTCTATATAAATTAATAACACTTTTGCATGTCCATGGATTATGGTTGCAGAACTTATTTTTGTATATATAAATGATTTATTTTTCAAATACTTTGGATTTAGGGAACTTGGTCTCTTGGCCATTTTAAGTCAATACAGGTAAGTTTCAAGAGACATCTGAAGACACTTTGGAAGTTTATAAAGCAAATTGTCCTTTCGTTAATAGTACTAGTTCTAATATCTTACCACTACTTATTATTTGTCAGAGTTTCTTAAATCAATTAACAAACTGTATTTCCTTACTAAGTCAACGAAATCATTAACCACCAGTTTAGTCTTCAGGAGTATCTAGAATTTTTATTTTTTAATTAGTTATTTTATGCAATATTCTACTCTAATAGTTTAATTCTATAACATAGAATAGAGGTTCCTAGGAAGGTCAGTGCTTAAAAAAAGAAGGAAGAGGTTCCTAGGAACGCTAATGCTTAAAGAAAGAAGAGCTTGTGTGATTAAAATTTTTTCTTGAATTTTATGAACTAAAACTCCTTTACATGTAAGAGATGAAAATGTAAACAAAGTTAATTAAGAGGGGATGTGGGAGCTTCAAACTAAGCTTTTGTATATGAGGATTGAAGGATATTTATCCACACTACTTTTTAAAAAACCTTTAAAACATTTTATAAATAATGCATGTCCATTGATGAAAATATGAGAAAACCAGACCTACTTAAATCTCACCACTCAGGAAACCAAGGGCCATAGGATATACTTTTGTGTGTGTATTTGTGCATGTACCTTATGGCCTGTGTATATTCTCTGTGTGTGTGTGTCTGTGTGTAAATATACAAAATACATAAAGTTATAATTTACTCTGTCTCCTGTTGGACATTCTGTTTGACATGCTTATTAGTCTTAGTTCATATTACAAAAAGTTTTTTTAGTTAATTTTTAAAAATTAAACTTAGAAGTCATAGGAATGTGTGTTTCAAGATTTCTGATACATATTTGCCAAATAGGAAAATACTGACACAAGCAGTCTTTGAACGAAATTTGATACTATCTTCCTTTGCCTGACAGGTGAAACATATATCTTGTTTTAATTTACATTTCTGTCATTTCTGGTAAGCTTGAGTCTTTTTTCATATGCTTATTAGCTCTTTCTGGGTTTTTAAATTTTGTTTTCTATTATCCGTTTTCATTCTTGATCTATTATATTATTCATTTTTATTCTTGGTCTATTACTCTTCTGACACATCTATTTTTAATTAATTTTGAAAAAGTCATTTTTTATATATATATACATTTCTGTTCAATGCTACAGCTACTTTTTCTCCTGACAAATCTGTCCTTTTTAAAAACAGTTTTATTGAGATATAATTTACCATAACATTGACCTGTTTTAAGTGTACAATTCAATGAATTTTTACTATATTTATAGAGTTTTGTAACTATTACTACAGTCTAATTCCAGAGCATCTCCATTTACCCTAAAAAGAAATGTGTCCAACATCAGTCTCTCCCCATTTGTACCTCCAGCCCTAAGCAGCTATTAATTTACTTTCTGTGTCTACATATTTTTGGTTTTGGATATTTTATATAAACAGAATTATATGATACATAGTCATTCCTATTGTAGCATGTATCAGTGCTACATTCCATTTTTATTGCCTAACAGTATTCAACGGAATGAATAAACATTTTGTTTATACCAGTAGATGCACATTTGAGTGTTTTCTGCTTCTTGGCTATTATGAATAATGCTACTATGAACATTCATGTGCAAATCTTTGTGGGGACATATGTTTTCCTTTCTCTTGTATAGATGTCTAGGAGTGGAATTGCTGCGTCATATGGTAATCTATATTTACCTTTTTTAAAAACTGTCAAACTATTTTCAAAAGTGGCTGTACCATTTTACATTTCTATTAGTAATGTATGAGGGTTTCAGTGTCTCCGTATCCTTGTGGACACTCATATTCTGTCTTTTTTATATTATAATAACCATCCTAATGAGTGTGAAGCCATATTTTATTGTGGTTTTGATTTGCATTTACCCGATGATGAATAATGTTGAACATCTTTTCTTGTGCTTACTGGCTGTTATTTCTTCTTTGGAGAAACATCTATTCAAATTCTTTGCTCATTTTTCATTTGGTTGTTTGTCTTACTGAGTTGTAGGAGTTTTTCGTTTTTTTTTTCATATTATTTAGGATACAAGTTTTTAATCCAGTATTTGATAAGCAAGTAATTTCCCCAGTTTTGAGGGTTGTCTTTCCACTTTTTAAATGGTGTTTTTGTAGCACAAAAGTTTTTAATTTTAATTGGCTAATATATCTACTCTTTTATCATTATGCTTTTGGTTTTCTAAATCATTGCCTAACCCAAGTTCATGAAGATTTATTTCCTTGTTTTCTTTTAAGAGTTTTATAGTTTTAGCTCTTACGTGTAAAAATGTCTGTGATCTATTTTGAGTTAATTTTCTGGTACAGTTTGAGGTATGGTTCCAAATTATTTTTTTTGCATATGGGTATCTAGTTGTCCCAGCATCATTTGTTGAAAAGACTATTTCTTTGCCACTGAATTTGCTTGGCATCTTTGTCAAAAATCAGTTGACTGTGAATGTACAGGTGCCTTTGATGTTAAAATGTACTGTTTATGTACTACTAAAAATACTAAAAGTGTCACCATTATAAATATATCACTGTTGACTATTGTACACATTCAGATTTTAGGCATACTAATATCTGAATATTTGCAGCTCTGAGTCAATGATATACCTTATTTTTTTTTTTTTTTTTTTTTTTGAGACGGAGTCTCGCTCTGTCGCCCAGGCTGGAGTGCAGTGGCACGATCTCGGCTCACTGCAAGCTCCGCCTCCCGGGTTCACGCCATTCTCCTGCCTCAGCCTCCCAAGCAGCTGGGACTACAGGCGCCCGCCAGCACGCCCGGCTAATTTTTTGCATTTTTAGTAGAGACGGGGTTTCACCGTGTTAGCCAGGATGGTCTCGATCTCCTGACCTCGTGATCCGCCCGCCTCGGCCTCCCAAAGTGCTGGGATTACAGGCGCGAGCCACCGCGCCCGGCCGATATACCTTATTTCAAAATAGCATTGGGTTACAAATAAATGCATGATAACAGTAGTTGTCTGACCTCCAAATCATTTTCTCTCAAATTTCCCTTATAGTATTTATTGCTCTCTGAAAATATTTTATATAATTATATATTACTTTTCTCCTTGAAAAGCAAGGACTTATCTGTCTCGTTTAATGCTATATTACTAGCATATAGACATAGGAGGTACCCATGATTTATGATTTATTTAAATAAATTAATGGATAATCTAAGATATTTCTTCCACTAACCTGTCCATTTTTACCTAATAAATAAGCATACTTTATTGGATATTTTTTTTCAAGCAAATTTGTTATAGGAAGTACAACTAAACAAGTGATGTTTGAAGTAAAAAGCTGCTTAAGAAAGTCTGTGAATTGTCTATGAATGCAGGGTGGTATTGTTTTGATAGACATTTTTTCTTTCTTTTTTTGTTTTTTTTTTTAGCAAAAAGTAAGTTAAGGACCTGAATTATTTCATTATTCATAAAAGTCATAGTGATAAATAGGAACCAAGTGACTAAAACCACATTTAGCTTCAAAATGGAAGTTTACTCTCTTGCTTTTCTAATGATTTAGCATTCTTGTTCACTTTGGCCATTTCACAAAAAGGTGACATAATCTTGTTCCAAGGGATATTCTTTTGGCATGAAAAGAAGAAACAAAACATTTTGCTTAGGGTAAGAAGGTAATTGTATCTTAAAAATAAGCACTGCCCATAATTGTCCAGCAAGTTGAGTGCCAAATGTGTTGACAATGCCTTTGGAAACACCGGGGAAAAGAGTTGGCTGCTAATAAGGAGTAGAGTCGAAAGCTACGACAATCCGGTTTTCTCATTTGCTTCTGTCCTCAAGCATGCAGTCATGGGAGTTTGATAAAATGCAAATGACAAGTTTCCAAACCTGGCAAAATAAACATGAAATTTTCAAGTCTCTAGTGATTTACTTGCTTATTAACTTCAAGTTTCTCTAGCAAAGTTTTCCTCTGTATTTTTGAAAGTGGTAGCATAGAGCCTTATGTTAATTTATATAATACAGAGCAATTTCTTCTCAACTTTATTAGAGAAAGAGATTTAAAGATTATGAAATAAAATAATATTTAAGATTTAAGTTATTTAAATACTTTATTTCGATAATTAAATAAAATTATTTTATTGTGTGAGATACTCTTTTTTTCTTTTTTATTTATCTGGGTGAACAGAGCTAATCTTCCAATGGGGTTTGTGACTATGGACAGAAATCTTTCTATTCTTGGCTGTTGCCGGAGAAAGCATTTCTTCCAGCCCTTGAGTTTCTGCAGTTGTCTGTGTCCTGTTTCCTTTTCAAGTGTGTCAGCATAGTCCAGGCTATCTGAGGAGGTCCAACATCATCCTAAATGCTGACTTCAGGGCTGTGATTCAAAATATTTACTTCACTCATGTGCCTCAGGATAGCTGCCAGTTTCACCCAGGTCATGAATGAACTTCTTGTCAGTTTGTCTGGAGAGCAGGCTTTCTTTTGCATTCTCTTCACCCAGTCTATTTACACTTCCTCTGGGTGAAACTTCTATGTAATGTTGAATCAAAGATTTTAAGACTTGGTCTCCAAAAAAACAATTTTGATTAGTAAAGACAAACTTCCTAATGAGCAAACTTCTTAAAAAGATGGTAACATGAGGTTGTAACTCTGTTGCAGGTGAAGGCATTGAAAGCACTGGATGATGTTATTCTTTTTGAAGACCATTGACTAAGTTTTGGGTGCCAATATACGCCAATGCATTATATCCAGTTATACTGGACTACTTTGGTTTCCAAAAAGATATGTCAAATTTGTACTGATTTTGCATGAATTTTCTAGCTTAAGCTAACCCTGATGTCCACAAAGACAGATATCCATAACTGTTAAGGCAAGGGATGTTTTTGATACTTTTTTAAAGAAATAGGAAACAGAACATGGTAGCTTTGCAAGCCTATGCTGCTTGACAGTGCCCAGCAGCATGTTGTGCCACCGTATACAAATTTAAAGAAAAGTAACGTTTGTTAAGAAAAACATTCATGGAGGTAAATTTTCAAAGTGGTACGGAGAGATTGGATAACCTTTCACAAAGAAGAAATTTCACTTTTCAGGAATATAATAATTGAGAAAAAATGCTTAGCATAGAAGGCAACTCAAAAATCCCATCAAGCCCAGTCTTAGCATGGCATAAAAGCTCTTGACAAAAGTGGGAATGTAAATTAATACAGCTACTATGGAGTACAGTACGGAGGTTCCTCCAAAACTACAAATGGAACTACCATATGATCTGGCAATCCCACTACTAGGCATTTATCCAAAGGAAAGGAAATCAGTATATCAAAGAGACATCTGTGTCCCCATATTTATTGGAACACTATTCACAATCACCAAGATATGGAATCAGTTCAGGTGTCTAACAACAGATGAATGGATAAAGAAAACATGGTGTGTGTATATGTATGTATGTGTATATATATATATGTACATGCATTATATACATTATATATAGTATATTTTATATATATATATATATTTAGTGTGTACATATATTCCTGTCTCCTGTCTGTGTTCAGGAATATGTATACACACTGGAAAAATGTGGTGTGTGTACGTGTCTGTGTTCAGCCATAAAAAGAATGAAGTCCTGTCATTTATGGCAACACGGATGGAACTGGAGGATATTATGTTAAGTGAAATAAGCCAGGAACAGAAAATTAAACACTGCATGTTTTCAGTCATAGGTGGAAGCTAAGAAAAAGTTGATGTCATAGAAGTAAAATGTAGAAGATACTAGAGGCTGGGAAAGGTAGGGAGAATGGGAAAATAGAGATTTGTTTAAAGACACAAAATTACAGCTAGACAGGAGGAGTAAGTTCTAGTGTTTTCTACCACTGTAGGGTTATTATAGTTAAAAATAATGTATTGTCTAATTTCAAATAGGTAGAAGGAAGGAATCGAATGTTCCCAACACAAAAAAACGTGCTAAATGTTCAAGGTGATGAACGTGCTTATTACCCTGACCTGATAAGTATACATTATATGTATTGAAACATCCCTATGTACCCCATGAATATGTAAAATTATTATATTTCAATTAAGAAAAAAGGGCTCTTGGCCAGGCAGGGTGGCCCACACCTGTAATCCCAGCACTTTGGGAGGCTGAGGTGGGCAGATCACCTGAGGTCACGAGTTCAAGACCAGCCTGGCCAACATGGTGAAACCCTGTCTCTACTGAAAGTACAAAAAATTAGCTGGGCGTGGTGGCGTGTGCCTGTAATCCCAGCTACTTGGGAGGCTGAGGCAGGAGAATCGCTTGAACTCGGGAGGTGGAGGTTGCAGTGAGCTGAGATCGCGCCACTGTACTCCAGCCTGGGCGACAGAGCAAGACTCCATCTCAAAAAAAAAAGAAAAAGAAAAGAAAAGGCTCTTGATAACCACTCCCTTCCTGACCATTCTCTCTAGTTATAGTGAACAACTCACAATTCTCTTAAAAAATTCAAGATTACCCACTCTTCTGCCTCTTTGCACAAGGTTTTCTTTTGGCCCAGAAAACATTTCCTCACTTGTACTGTACCCTTACTTTCCTATAACTCTTTACGGGTGCCTATACTATTTTCCACCATAATTGCTTGTTCCTATGATTATCTCTTGTGTTAGAGAAATGTTCCCATAAGAGGCAGACTACCATTTCATCATGGGTTAGCATCATGAACAGACAAACACACCTGAATTTTCAGTTAGGATTTGAATCCAGAGTGGAGGGAATAAAGTTTCCGGGCAAGAGGACCTTGGACACAAATGCCTGCAGGTGGAAATAAGCATGACTTGTTTCAGAGACTAGGGACGAAGGATAAGAGAACTCTTCCGCATAAAAATAAGTATATCAGCCAGGCATGGTGGCTTACACCTGTAATCTCAGCACTTTGGGAAGCTGAGGCAGGTTGATCCCTTGAGCTCAGGAGGTCAAGACTAGCCTGGACAACATGATGAAACCCTGTTTCTACAGAAAATACAAAAATTAGCCAGGCATGGTGGCATGCATCTGTAGACCCAGCTACTGTGGCGGCTGAAGTGGGAGGATCGCTTCAGTATAGGAGGTTGAGGCCACAGTGAGCTGTGATCACACTACTGCCCTCCAAAAATAGAAATATTCCTAAATTTGAAATTGAGGGAGATGTAGGGGATTGATTAAATAAAGTATTCTATGGCTGTATAATGGGATACTACACAACAATGAAAATGATACTATAGGTCTGCCTTTATAAGTGCCATATTAAGGGAGAAAAACGTACATATATTTATAAAATGATAATTTTAATGTTATCTTAAATATTGACTTAATATCAATTTTACATATAAAAAACATGCATGTATTCATGAAACAAGTCTTTAGGATAGATACTAATGTGTTAACAGAGGTCATTTCTTTATGGTGGGGTTGTGGTATTTAGATCTGTCTTTATGGCTTTGTTTTATGTTTTGGTTTGTTTTGTAATGAATAAGACATCTATAATTAGAGTAAATACAATAAAGTGTTAAAAGGGTAAGAAGGTACCATTGGTCTTGTACATATATTTTGTACTTATTGATTGCTGTGTCTTAAAAATTATTGTGAAAATTTTCAAACTTATAGAAAATTTCAATTTCAGTAATACAATGAACAACGAACAACACACTTGTTCACCTAGCTTCACCCATTGTTGCAGACATTGTTACACTTATCCCTAAATACTTGAGCATGTATCTCCTAAAAACTAGGACATTTTCTTATGTAAGTACAATATAGTCATCACATGTTAGAAATGAATCATTATTATGAAGAATATTAACAGTAACAATGTAATTATTGCTGAATTAAACATTATTACTGTTACCTACTCTAGTTCACAATTCAAATTTCCACATTTATCCCAATAAAGTCCTTTGTAACTTTGAAAAAAAATTGTCTGGACATAAAATTCAATCAAAGATCACATCTTGCATTCGGTCGACATGTCTTAGTGGTCTCTTTTAATCTAGAAGTGTTTCCTACTCTTTTTGTCTTTCATGATATTGACAATTTTGAGGACTCTATCCCAGGTGTCCTGTAGGCAAGTAAACTTATATTGGTAAGAATATAGTGATGTTCGATCTATCCCAATGCATCATTTTGTTTTTGACACTGGAATTTTAGTGTACAGAAATAATTTTCTCAATAGTGAGGGCTGAAGTAATAAAAATAAATGTTTGATTGTAGTGTGCCGTATTGAATTCTTTTTTCTACCAACCAAATCAAGTTTCCTGGATTCTAATTCTTGCATTGTTATGTCTTAGGCACACGTCTCAGTCTTGTCTTTTATAGCATTTTACACAAAGGTGTTTCATAGCATTTAATTTTCATAATTATCTTTATGCCCCACCGAAAGATCTTCTGGGAATAGGCGATCATACGTATTTGTTTAATAGTTAATTATCTAACAGTTGAGCAACTGGAAAACTTTATTTACAATTGCTTTTTCAATCATGTGTATTATGATAATGGGGCTAATAATAACACTGAGACACTTCTGGGTCATCATGTATCCTATGTTTCTGATTACTTGAAAGTCTCTAATGTATATAAACTGTATATGAGAAAAATAACCAGTGGAATATTTGATTAATCAAAGGTGTACTATTTCTCAACCTAGCTGGGGATAAAAATAAACTGTTATATTAAGAATAGTATATTTTGTGTCTTACCACTCACAATATTCTTTTTTAGGCAATAGAGATTATGCCAAGGATGATCCATTGGAATTTAAGTCCCATCAGTGGTTTGGAGCATCTGTGAGGTCGAAACAGGATAAAATTTTGGTGAGTCTTCTGGATATTTACTTACAGGTGATTTTAGTCAGTTTATGTGGAGACACAGAAGGTTTTATATTTTCAGGCTGATAGTAAAATTCAGTATGCTCAAGGGCACAGGGTATAACAACATAAGATAGCTCTGATCAAAGGCCACTCTGTCCAAGGAGGCCATCTCTCTTGCCCTTCTTGAACAGGCTTTCACATTTTTTCACCCTTATTCCTACTTTGTTTTACCTGCCCCACTTGACAGTTCCTATCAGTTTATTTCCACCTAGCCAAGTATAGGAATAGTGTGGCTTTGGCTAACAAGTGCTTTAATACTTCCTCTCTCTCTCTCTCTTTTTTTTTCTTTCCCTGAGACGGAGTCTTGCTCTGTCACCCAGGCTGGAGTGCAGTGGTGCGATCTCGGCTGACTGCAACCTCCGCCTCCCAGGGTCAAGCAATTCTCCTGCTGCAGCCTCCCGAGTAGCTGGGATTACAGGCACCTGCCACCAGGCCTGGCTAATTTTTGTAGTTTTTAGTAGAGACAGGGTTTCGCCATGTTGGCCAGGCTGGTCTCTAACTCCTGACCTCAGGTGAGCCACCGAGCCTGGCCACTTCCTCTCTTTGAAAATACGACACGATGTTGAAGTGGAATACAGAACAAAGAAAAAAAAATAACAACCTTCCTTCACCTCATCTCCCCCTATGCCACTGTCCATTCCTCTGCTCCTCTTCTCAGTTTCTGAAATGTTTTCTATGGTAACCATCGTAGTTCTTTACTTCACATTCCCTTTCCTATGTCATCATTGACTTTCAGGTCACTGAAATCCACTAGCATTTATACATATGTGCATACATACACACCATTATGTTTTGTTTTCTCTGCTGGTATTTATTTTTATCTTTCTTGCACTGTCAGCATTATTCAGAATGGTCAACATCCCTTTTTTTTTTAGAACTAAATTTTTCTTCTCTTGGTTTCTGTGAACTGTATTTTCCTGGTTTTTCTCCTATCTTACTGGCTGCTCTTTTGTAGTCTCCTTTAATGGCTGCTCTTAACGTTCAGTTTCCAAATATTGGGGTATCCTTGATCTCTATTTAGCTTCCTTTGCTTCCTCTAACTACAACTTTTACCTAGAGGTTCCTAGCCTAACCCATGGCTGTAAGTATAATCCCCAAATCTATACCTCTAGCTTTTAATTCTCCCTGGATCCTTAAAGGCATATTTCCAGGCTACCTATTTGGCTTCCAAATGAACATGGCCAAAATAGGACTCTTGTTTCCTTCCATCAAAGAAGAAAAACAAATAAAAAACTATTATTATATATATTTCCCAATTTTTTAGGAGGCCTGGGTTTCCACCCTATTCACTAGTGAGCACTCACAATCTGCCTCAAAAATATATCTCAACATTTATCAGTAGATCTACATGTCCGCTATTTCTACCCTGCAACAAGCCACCATCATTACCCCCTTGGACCACTGCAACGGCTCTTCTCATCCTGCTGCTGCTTCTCTTACCCTAACTGCAAGAAGGACCAGAGTGAACCAGAGCATTTTACCTTCTTGATTAAAACAGTCAAGTGGCTTTCTGTCACTCTCTGCATAAGTATGACAAGCTCATACTGCCTTAAAAACATCTCCAAAAACAAGTCACTGGCTATGTCTTTGGCCTCCTCTCACTCCATCTCACATACTAAAGCCAGGCTTATCTTTATTTCTTATACATTCCAAATTATTTCAGTTAGTACCTTAGTGTTTGTGTTTCCTCTGCTTGTATAAGTTGTCTTTATGATTTCTACTTGGCTAGCCCTTTGTCATTCAGATTTCAGCTGTCACTCAGATTTCAGAGACTGCTCCGCCTATTTTAATTATTTACGTAGTATTTATTGTTGCCTTTATTTTTTCATCTAATTATGCTGCATAGGGAAGGATTTGCTTAGGAGGTGAAGTTTTAGCAGACTTTAAAGGATGTGCCACATTTCAGCAATTGGAGGTGAAGGATGGGGTTAAGAGTGGGGATGTTCTAGGCAGAAGGAGGTGCAAAGAAGCAGGAGTAAGGAAAAGGAGCAAGCCACCCACTCTGGAGCGTCAAGTACGTGTAGAGAAGTAGCTGCTATGACCTACTTTCACTGTTTTCAGGGTATATATACAATAAGTCAGTATTGATGTTCTGCAGTGCTTATGTTAGCACTTTGCTTCAAAAAGTATTATAGAAAATCAATTAAACCTTTTTCACTAAATGAATTGTTACACATTTGGTAGATTACTATGTTGTTAAAGCATTCATTACTCTACTGCTCTATGTGGTATTACAGTCTAGAATGCTGAAAACAAAAAGGTCATGGTTTATTTGGAAAGTAAATAAAATAAGTACTGCGCATTATTTTACTCTCTTAATAAACTATTTGCTGTATAATTTAGGGGGTATATTCCATATGCATGAGTGTTACTTAGTTCAAAAGCTAGTTTGGTCTCTACCTTTAGCATAGCATATTACATCAAGAAATATACTACCTGAAATAACAATTTTGCTAACTATTTTGAAAAAAAAAATTGGACTACAAATATGGCCTTCAG
The DNA here is from genome assembly GCF_000001405.40 of Homo sapiens. Classification (NCBI taxonomy): domain Eukaryota; kingdom Metazoa; phylum Chordata; class Mammalia; order Primates; family Hominidae; genus Homo; species Homo sapiens. The sequence goes on from NC_000002.12 coordinate 186,624,987, forward strand.
AATAATGTGAGAAAAAGACTTCACTTAATATCTTTATTTACCACTATGATAAGAAATTTAAGGTATAGGATAGGTTTGATTAATTTCTATGAATGCTTTGAAAGTTGGCCAGGTGTGGTAGGTATGGTGGCTCACAATTAGCGCTTTGGGAGGCTGAGGCAGGAGGATTGCTTGAGTTCAGTTAGAGACCAGCCTGGGAAACATAGTGAGACCCCGTTTCTATAAAAAAATTTTTAAAAATTAGCCAGGCATGGTGGCATGCGCATGTGGTGCCAGCTACTCAAGAGGGTAAGGCCAATTATTTGAGCTCAGGAGTTCAAGGCTGCAGTGAGCCATGATCACGTCACTGCACTCCAGCCTGGGCAACAGACTGAGACCCCATCTCAAAAAAGAGAAAGTGGTATTATATTCTGAAGTAGTATAGAGCATCTGAAACACTAAATTTTTAGAAAATCTTCGTGTCGTGGACTAAACCTTTGATTTTAGGCCTGTGCCCCATTGTACCATTGGAGAACTGAGATGAAACAGGAGCGAGAGCCTGTTGGAACATGCTTTCTTCAAGATGGAACAAAGACTGTTGAGTATGCTCCATGTAGATCACGTATGTATAGGATATTGTACCAGCTTTTAAGAAGAGGGGTGGGAAGCCTAGTTTGTTAAAAATATGTGTGTGTGGGTGTGTGTGTGTGTGTGAGAGAGAGAGATATTAAAAGATATAGACATATTATGATGATAACAAAATGAAAACAATCCTACTAATGTAAAGATATTACAAATGTGAAGTAAACAGGTTTACTTTTTCTAAGAACTCATTTTCATCTTCCTTCGTTAGTATAATAATAGTTACTACCTGATTTTAAGAATCTGTATTTTTGATGACTAACAGTCAAAAGATGCTTAGTTGAACTTCTCTTAACAGAGAAGATGTAGACCCCACAACTAAAGATTCTGATTCAGTAGGTCTAGGTCAGGCCTGGGTACCTGCACTTTTAACAGACTCTACAAGGCAATTCTGATAGATACCAAAGTTTGAGAACTCCTGCTTTATATTAATAATGATGTTGAAAATAAAGAATATTATGTCTTAAAGAGCCAAAGTTTATATAGGAAGATGAACATTGAACTCAGGAGTCTTGACTCTGAATTTTCCTGCTCTTAATCAGAATTTCTTTGTTAACCTGCTACCAAGCCCACCCCTTTTTGGTGATCCAGAGGATTTTATGCTCTTTGCTAATATTACTTGAAATTTCAAAAGGAATTAATATCATGGCTAAAGATGACTTCAAGCAATTATAATTTTGATTATGCTTTTCCAAAATCTCTACATCCTCTTCTCTTTGGAGATTCCAGTCCTTTTGTGCCCCGCTACCCTTTGTTGAATTGGCTACTGCTTTAGATCTTCCTTGTACCAGAAGCATAAAAATAGGTTACTGAAATGCAGTATAGTGTTTATGCCTAGAGCCCTTAGGCCATTATTTTTTGTGTTCCACTGGTCACCACATAGTTTATTAGAGAAAATTAGTAACAAAAGCACAACATGTAAGACTCTTACTCCTACATTTGTTTTGTCCATGTTAGGTGACCTGTGACACCAGGTCAAAGGAACTATTCTGTCCTCCAGATTCTAAGTAGTTGAACCTACAGGAAACTGCAGATTATTTCAATAAACACTTATTTTCTTAGCCCAACACTTTGATCCTACCTGTTATAAGTGGGAAGTGAACATTAAAAGAGTGATACCTACTCAGATCTGTATTGTGTGTTAGGAAAGAGAAAAAATCAGGTTAGAAAGCATACACTGCACAGGATGAGGGAAATTGAGGCTTTATCCTCAGTGCTTGGATGCCATCTGTACTGCCATCTTTATGTTGGTATTTTGGTTATGGTACTGTCATCTTCGGTGGTATGTAGAGAATCTGAAGATTAAATTTGTATTTTTAATTTCTATATTGCAAAAATGTTCCTATTTGAAAAGATAATTTTATAGCTACGAAGAATGAGTTAACCCTTGTTTGCCAAGTTTGTTACTTATTAATTATATGATGTACACACACACGCAGTACACTCTTATTTTCATTTGATGCATGTGGGAACTGAGGTTCACATAGTTGAAGCAATCTTATTTCCACATCTCATGGGGTTGAGAGTGGGGATATTCTAGGCAGAAAGAGGTGCAAGAAAGCAGGAGTAAGCAAAAGGAGCAAGCCACCCACTCTGGAGCATCAAGTACGTGTAGAGAAGTAGCTGCTATGACCTACTTTCACTGTTTTCAGGATACATATAGAGTAAGTCAGTGTTGATGTTCTGAATGGTCAAATGAGGATTTAAACCCAAGTTGTTCTATTCCAAAAGAACCTTTCCTCTACATTATTCACAATAGAAAATGTTTTCCATTTCAGTTGCTTCTGTATTAAGCACAGCTTTTCTACAAAGAATACCTCCTGCTTTCATGACCTAGGTTTGGATAATTCCTGATATGTAAGAATACATGGAACTCTCCTGAAAACATGCGTTCTAACAATGATTCCCTTGTTCACAGAATGCTTTTATTTGGTTTAGGCACAGAAATTATAAAGTCATTTAAAGCCATATTTTCTAAGGTATTTAACATCCAAATCAGGTCAATGAACTGTGGCTTGTGGGCCTCTTTTTGTGAATAAAGTTTTATTGGAATACAGCCACACCCATTTGTTGATGTGTTATCTATAATCATCTAGTACAGTTGTGAGAGTTGAGTTGCCACACTGTGTGGCTCCTGAGCCTAAAATATTTACTGTTCGGCTTTTTACAGAAAAAGTTTGCTGAACCCTAATCTAAATAATAAAACCTCAAATCTTAGGAAAAGCTTAAAGAACAGTCTCAAAAAACAGAAAAGCAAAGTGCATGCCTTTGTTTCTAATAGGCCTGACACTTTCAGTAACCCTTGATTATTGTACATGCTTTTTGATTCAACCTTTGAAATGTTAAGCCACCTATAATAGGCCTAAATTGTGAGGGGCATCTTGTTCAGAGAAGAAGACTCAGGAGCGGAAGTCTGAGAACCTGGGTTATATTCTGACTTTGTGCTGACAATCCACCTATAGCTATGGGTAATTCACCTAACCACTCTGGGCCTTTGTTTCATCATTGGTAAAACACCAATTCACACAAAAAACTTCTGAGGTATAAATTCAGTGTTTTTTATCTGTTTCATACTTCAATAAATTATGCAAACGAATAATTGGTTTTATGAGATGATGTCTGTTTTGTAAGACTACACTGCTAACTTTTTAATAACTTTGCTTGTCTTGTGGGTTATTTTATTTATTTGTTTGCTTTTGAGTTTTTGTTGTTGTTGTTGTTGGTTAGTTAGTTTGGTTAATTGGTTTGTTCTGTTTTTAACCTGACTTATATGGACACCGTGGACAAGGAACTTCACTGTCTGTCACTAACTTACCTTATTACTGATTACATTTGCTTTCAGCTTTTCATAACTGCATGATAAAACCTCAGACCTTAGGAGAAGAGCATAAAAAACAACCTCAAACAACAAAAAAGCAAAATTACTTGGGGAAATTAAGTAACTTGACCGTGGCTAACCAGCTAGTAAATAAGAGAGTATAGACCTGACACCACATGTGTCTACACCACTACACTGCACTATGTCAAATCAACAATATACTTATCATTTCCTGAGTAATGACAAAGGACATTATGCAGTAGACCAGATGTTCTTCTGTTCTAAATTGCCTAGCCACTTTTGTTCCTTCTGTCTGCTTTCTGATGCTAATATTATTTGAACATAGATTTTTCTCAGTAATGATTTCTAGTTGGCTTTTCCTTTCCTTTTGTCATTACTCAGGGAATGATAAAGATATTATTGATTTGAAACAGTACAGTGTAGTGTTATAGACACACCTGGGTTCAGGTCCTACTCTCTTATTTACTAGCTGGTTGGCCATGGTCAAGTTACCTAATTTCCCTAAGCATCAGTTTCCCTATCTGTACAAATTATTGAGTAATAATAGTATCTCTTATAGGATTGGTATAAAGACTTAAAAAGTTAATGTCATGTAAAATGCTTTAGCATAATACCTGACTCAGAGTAAAGGCTTAATAAACCCTAGCTGATCTTACTGTCAGAATCAATAATATTACTATTTGTAATATAATTACCAGACTTAACAAATGGGAGAAGTATTAACCATCTGCAGGAATAAGTACCAGAGCCTGCATCAAAATAGTTTATATTCAACATGAAGTCTTTAAATTGGCAAAAGCACTCAGTTTAATATATACCTGTTAAGAAAATTTTAAGAGACAGTCATGGTTTTTAGCTGGATACTCTGGGAAACCAAATAAAGCAGATAATTGTACAGTATGATAATCAAAAAAAGGATGTCTTTATAAATAGCTTGAAATAGTTCCCCAGATGCAACTTGAATAAAGGAAATAAATAGCCGACTTGCTCTAACTTGAGGTTAGAGCAGAATTCCTTAGTCTGATTCACTGGATGCTGGAAACCCCTGCCCCACATTTTCCCACTCCCTCTTGGTTAGAAAAATTTACATTGGTTTAGCATTATACTCTTGAGGCTATTTTCTTTCAAAAAAAAAAAACTTTAAAAAAATTTAGATATTAAGTGTGTAATCTTTGGGCAGTTTCCAGGCTTTAAAAATGGGTTCAAAATTTCTGATGGGATTATTTAGCAGAAGTTCTTAGAAGTTTGTCCTTGTGACTGAAAACAGATATTTTTGGTTCCTGTATTTGGGTGGCAAACAAAGTAACAGTACAGCTTTAATGTATTTGTAACATTGGCCACAGTGAGTCTTTGATAACTGAAGGATAGTGTTTTCCATTGTTCTCTGTTATCCTCAAAGTAAAATAAGGGGAAAGTGTTCAGATTCATCCTTACATGTGTTCTAGGTACTGTATTGCTCATGATTAAAATTAATTTAAATTAATTGGCTAATTGTTCAGAATTAATCCCTTTCTATGAGAACAACTAAAAAGGGAACAACTACAAAAGAGTACAACTATTGAGCCTACTATGGTTGGAAAATACTTGAAAGTATCATTTAAAGATGGTTACTTTAATTAGATCTCCGTACTAAACGTGGGAGGATAGCTTTATATTTTACTTTTTGAAGAGCATTAAGTTCTGGTCTGTCCATTTCCTGAAATTCTGAGCTATGTTATTCATCTCTGTTGTTGGCTCTATAATGTATGTATCTGTTTGCTGCTATTCATAATAACAAAGGTCTTAGCGAAGACCTAGCAATCTTAGGGTAATAGGAAGACAGAGGAATTTCATATTGGAATTTTTAACTTGCAGATCACAACTTGTTAGTGTTTTATGAAATCAGTGTAGTGGGTCAAAACCACTATAGTTTTTCTAAAAAAAAAAAAGAATGAAATAAAATAGAAAATGTCAGAGAGTATTCTATATAATAATACAAATATTGTTTGGTAAGATTTTAAGTTGTATCTATATATTTTATACACACAATGGGTGTTGGGTTGTGATATAAATTATAATCTTTTTGTGGATTGTGGTTAACTAAAGGGTTTAAAATTTATCATTTTAGTTGGTTTCTTTGTTCTCTGGTGACTGGTTCAGGTATTTAATCTTCGTTTCCGTATCTGAGTAAATGGTGCTGATAAACATGCATACTCTCTTGGAATGTGGTAATAACTAAGTGCCCGAGTGAATGACCACTCTCAAAAATTGGTACATTATCTTATGATTCTAGTGATATCAGATTTTCTCATGTTTTGTTTTGTGTTGTTTGTTTTTGGGTTTGTGTATATTTCCAATCTTTTTATTTTAGAAGATATTGATGCTGATGGACAGGGATTTTGTCAAGGAGGATTCAGCATTGATTTTACTAAAGTAAGTTCTTATTTAAGACTGAATGAGATTCACATCTACCTTATTGACTAGACTGTGGTTAAAAATAAACTGGTCAATACCTCAACTCCTTTACAGCTGTTAGCTCTTTAATGAAAACAGTTAATAAAACGATCCATTCATTTTGACATTCTTTGTCTTATATTATTCCCTCCCTAGTAAACATTGCTTATTTGAAATAGGGAGACATCCCCCATCACTCTGGGAATGGAGGAAAGTAGACACTCTCCTCAGTAAATGATAGGTAACTATTATGACTTAATATTAAAATTTCCAGTTATATGAATTTATAGCATATTAAAGTTTTCTATTTTTAATTAAAGTTGTTTTTCTTACAAAAGCTATCAATGAGAGCTTTATTACAAAATTAGAGTTACATAAAAGCTGGGAAACATGTATGTTTGCCATCTATTATGTGCCTATAGGCACTAAGTGAAGCTGACTTCACTTATGTAATGTGTAATAATTGTAAGAAATCTCATAGGCAGGGCTCTATGTATTTTTAACTAAATTAATATTCTCTTCAGAATTGATATTTTTAATCTATTTTTTGAAAATAAGACTTCCATTTAAATGTTCAAAGGTAAATTTTCTGAAGTACTTTTCTTTATTTACTTTTCTTTTGTGTGTTTATTTATTTTGGTGGTGGGGGAGTATGCACATTTTGAATATCAAATTGAGAATATTCTTTCTAGAGAAGTCTAAAAACTATGTTGATGGATTATATGTAGACCTTCCTTAGAAAGCTTATATGTACGCTTTCTTAGAAATGTGAGCAAAGAGGAGTGCCTTAAATGTATGAAAACAACTGAAATTGAAATAATATGATGCATAAGAACTAATAAAGCATTTTCTTATTTTTTAAAAATTTGTAGGCTGGGTGCAGTGGCTCATGCCTGTAGTCCCAGCACTTTGGGAGGCTGAGGTAGGAGGATCACTGTAGCCCAGGAGACCAGCCTGAGCAACATAGTGGGACACCATCTCTACAAAGAATTAAAAATTAGCCAGGCATGGGTGACATGTGCTTGTGGTCCTAGCTATTCGGGAGGCTAAGGCATGAGGATTGCTTGAACTGCAGTGAGTGAGGCTGCATTGAGCCATGTTCATGCCACTGCATTCCAGCCTGGGCAACAGAGCAAGACCCAGTCTCAATGTTTTTTTAAAAATTTTATTTTATCTGTATTTGTATTTTATTAATTTTTTTTCTAGACTAGGTACTGATAATTATAGTTAACTCTTCTTACTAGGTAACTTGTTTTTAATACTCTAAATTTCATACTATATTACTCAAAATTCAGAATGTAAGCCAAAGAGAGATAAAGTATATTAATAAATGTTAGGTTTAAACTTGTATGATACATTTCCAAATAGGTATTATATATTTTTAAAATATATAATGTCCATCTTTTCTGTATTGATGCCTATACAACCATAACCCCAGAAGTACTCTCATACTGTGAAAGTCATTGCTAAATTAGGTATTCACTTTCTTAAACACATTTCTGAGAAAAGGGTGTCTTTTTAGGGCAGATGACTTAGAAGTTCTTTTACGTAGCCAAGGCAAAAGATTGTCTATTGAAAGCTTGGAAGGGCTATATGTACATTTGGAGGGGAAAAAAAATTTATCTTACCTCCAGCAAGAAGAGATTTCTAAAATATTGTGCTGAAACACAATATACCTAGGATTAGACACTTTTAGATAGTTAAATATAAGAAATGCTAGGCAAGCATAATTTGTATATGTATAATACACCCTGAAAATTTTATTCTCAACTTCACTTCTGTTTAGATCTGAGACACTAAAAATATTTCCTTTAGCAGAAAATTCTTCAATGATTATAGAAAGAAAATTTGCTGTATAGTCACAAATTTAATATACAAAATTAAGAAGTGCCTTAAAAAAATTGTAACCTGATAATACTTCGCATTAGTCCTCATTTCAAATATGTGAAGCAGCCAAGATCCACAAAAGTGTGTATTTTCATGTATTGAATGAATATATTAAAATGTTTCTTTTAAATTTTATTTTAGAAAAGATACAGTGAAAACCACTGAAACTGAGTTAGATGAATTTGAGATTTGACTTTGTTTGCTTTAATATATACTAGATAGATAGATAGATAGATACATAGACAGATAGATACATAGACAGACAGACAGATAGATATAAATCTCAGCACTTTAAGAGGCTGAGCTGGGAAGATAGCTTAAAGCCAGGAGTTTGACCAGCTTACCAGCCTGGATAAGGGAAGACTTTGTCTCTACAAAAAAAAAAAAAAGTCTTATTAAATTTTAAAAAATATAATTAACCTGGTAATGATATAAAGATACAATACTGTATTGTTCAGTCATGTATACATATACATATATATCTTATGTTTTTCATTGATTTCTATTTTGAGAGATATTTGTTCTTTAAATATATATCTTTTTGTTGTGTGATTTCATCTAGGCTGACAGAGTACTTCTTGGTGGTCCTGGTAGCTTTTATTGGCAAGGTAGGTTAATATTTTTTAAATTACAATTGGTGACTATGTGTCGCTGATTCACCTGGCTAATTGTATGCCTATGACATTTTACAAATTATTTTAAAGAAAGAAATGGAAATACAATTAAAGTATATAAACACTCCATTTTACACAGTGTTTTTTAAAAGAATATATATAATATATATTAAATATGTGTATATTCCTAGAAGAAAATAAACTGAATATTTAAAAAGTAAATACATACTTTTATGTTAAATATATTTTAAAAGTAATTATATAAAGTAATTTATTTTTATTGTGTGTGATATATACTTCTCCATGTCTGTACTCTAGGGGCCATGACATAGTCATTAGGCAGTGTGCGAAACCAATCTGTATAGGCCAACTGTGGCATTCTAAAAGTTGAAGGTTTTGAAAGTATTTTGAAGTTGCTCATTAGGATATTTAAGTCATTATTTTATTATTACTGATATTGAGAATGATCTCTAAGTGTTTGGGGACTTCTTAAAAATTGAAGCTGGGCATGGTGGCGTGGGCCTGTAATCCCAGCTACTCGGGAGGTTGAGGCAGGAGAATCACTTGAACCCAGGAGGAGGAAGTTGTAGTGAGCCAAGATCATACGACTGTACTCCAGTCTGGGTAGCAGAGTGACACTCTCTCTCAAAAAATATATATAAAATAAAATAAAATTGGAGGATCTTAATAGGTTTTTAAAAAATATTAAACTGGCATTGATATAAAGATGCATTATTATATTATTCAGTCATTCTGGGAGGCCTAATTAAATTACCATTTGAACATATGTACAATAGATTATTGTTGACAGTGTGAATATAGATAACTAAAACTTTATTTGCTTTATGTTTCTTTATGTATCATTAGAGATACACAATTATTTATCTCATCAATATATTGACATGTTTAGTTTCTGCTAAAAAGTGCCATTTATGAGGTGAACTATTTTGTATTAGCATTCTGATATTCAAGCATTGTCAGTGTTTGGAAGAATTAGAAAACCTTTGACTGGATTGATTTGAAAGTTTCAAATTTTACTCTATTTTCTACACTATGCTTTCCTGACTTGCTTCTTTGTAGAAAACATGCTTGCTTTTGCCTTGTGGAGAGGGAAGCTAAAGAAAGAGATTTGCTGGAGGATGACAGGATGGAAGGAGAATAAGAAGAAAAGAAAACTAGGAATAAGTGAAATATTGAAAGGGAAGGCAAAGGAGGGAATAAAAAAATAGAAAATTCAGGCATCACAGACAGGGATCAGAATGTGAGACATAGCAAAGCTGAAAAATTGGAATTTCTATGCATTATACATCTATTGGGAAATAAAATGATTTAGAAAAATTATAATTGAGTTTTACTGTTTTAAAACAAAAATAGCAGTTCTAAAGTACATATGAGAAAATAGGGGATATTAACACTTTATAGTTAGATATAGAAATATGGATTTATTTTTCTTCTTTATTGCTGATTATGTCATTCAGTGGAGGGGAAGGAAGTATCTGATGAGCATGCCTGGGAACCAAAACTGTCAAGGAAGCTAAATTTTGTGATTCTCAGTTAGGACTACTTGTTAACTCTGTCTTTTTAAGAGATACAGCTGTGAAAATGTATGACCTTTTTTTTTAATGCCATGGGTATTGCATAAATAGGAATAATAATAAATAGGAATGTGTAATAATTAGGACACAGTAATAAATTAGGACAGAGAGGTACTATTAATATTATATTTATTAGAATTTTATTACAAGTTGTCTGTAATATATAGCTAGCAGACTCAGTGAATTGGCAAATAGTATTTTGTTTTAATAAGATTAAAATCAGCAGATGTCACCCTGGATAAGTACGTTAGAATGAATTTTTTCACAGATCTCAGAATTGTCGTTGTTAGAATGGAGAAAAGAATAATGTTTTATTCAGAAGAAATAATGAATTTTCCTCTGTTCTTCAATTCAGGAAATGTTTATTGAATTTCATATGTTCTTGGTACCGCTGAAGCCCAGATGATAAAGTAGTGACCTGGACAGAGAAAGTGCTTCTGTGCTGTAGATCCAGTCTCTGTGACTGAACAGATGGGAACAGGACTGAAAATGTTAGCTGTTACACATTTCTTTCTAAAACAGCAGAAATGATAAGAGATTACTGTGTCCATATTGTGGAGACAACACTTGATAAACCAGCTATCCTTTCTTGGCATGGAGGGCAGGCTGATTTTTGTGTAGTCATCTAGATTTCTTGTCTGCTTAATAACAAGGTTGTGAACAAAGGTGAACTCATCCATTCAGGTTGTTTCCTAAAGATGTTTAAATTACTAGTTAAAAAATATCAATTGAACCAATTATTCTGATTATAAAAGTAACAGTATTGTTTCAGTAAATTTTTCATGTTTTAATGGATTAGTTGGGTGATAGCCTTTGATTTTATTATTCCGTGTATTTAACATTGCTTTCTAGTGATTTAAGACAAGTCCTGTTTTCTTAAATTTTTATTAGCAGAGACTACTTTTAAGTACTGGCTTAAACAGAAATAATTTTAAGTTAAGAATATCCATTTTCAAATTGAGTATGATCAAGGAGAGTTATGTACGGCTAATAATTAGAAGTACTAATATCTAATATTGTTTTCCTTCATGCAGGTACCATACATTATCTGTATCATAAAGTTTCCATTTGAAGGTTATTTATTTTATATATACACCCTTTTTTAGGTCAGCTTATTTCGGATCAAGTGGCAGAAATCGTATCTAAATACGACCCCAATGTTTACAGCATCAAGTATAATAACCAATTAGCAACTCGGACTGCACAAGCTATTTTTGATGACAGCTATTTGGGTAGGTAAAACCAAAATTTACTCATTTTTGGAACTGTGGTACATATATCTTATATCTGAGTATGGTCTTTTAAGTAGAAAAATATTTTATGTGAAATAGATTAGGATTTTTTGAAACATACAGAATATACAATTTCAAATTGTTAATGAGTACTTTGGTTATGTTACGTTTCAGTAATTGAAATTGAAGACAGTGATTATTTGTGCAGTGATAATAATAATAGCTAGCCTTTAAGATATGCTTACTGTGTTCTGGGCATTGTTCAAGGTGACTTGGTTTGTATTCACTCATTTAATCCTCACAAGTCAAGCATACTGTATTATTCTCATTTTGTAGGTGAAAACACTGAGGCACTGAGACGCAAAATAACTTGCCCAAAGTCACTCGCTTGTAACTTGCTGTTCAGAGATTCAAATGGAGACAGTCTAACTCCTGAAGTTTTCTTCATGATGTTAAATAAAAGTTTTGGTCTTTAGGACTTATTAACATGTGTTCTCTCTTTCAATTTCTTTATGATATATTAAAACAAGTCATATATGACAGAAATAGTACTTGCTGATTGAGAGAATTTATTTGTTCTTTATGATGAGTTGTAAATTTGGTGTTTTTAACAGACTCCTTTGTAAAGTTAATAAGACAATTGTAGTTTTGTAATAAAAATAGACTATTTGAGTATTTAACTCAGTTTCATTTAAAATTCATATGTCATATATATATGAATCTGTTATGACTAGGGGACAAAATATTGCATAAGTAAAGGAGTTTCTTGAAAATATTTTCAAGGAATGCTTACTCAGCAAGCCTGCTGAAGATAACGTCCTTGTCCTGATGGTTCTCCCCTTTGGTTTCCTGTTTAGGTTATTCTGTGGCTGTCGGAGATTTCAATGGTGATGGCATAGATGGTATGAAGTACTTGAACTATATCTAATCTTTAAAAAAATTAGATTAAGTATTTGAAACATGTGGCATTGAAAATTTTAAGCAGTTTGAGTGGCTGGGTGCTGTGGCTGCAGCCTGTAATCTCAGCACTTTGGGAGGCTGAGGCGGGTGGATCCCTTGAGCCCTGGAGTTCAAGAACAGTCTGGACAACATGGCAAAACCCTGCCTCTAGAAAAAACACAAAAATTAGCCGGGCGCGGTGATGCACACCAGTGTCTAGCTTCTCAGGAGGCTGAGGTGGGAGGATCTCCAGAGCCCAGGGAGGTTGAGGCTGCTGTGAGTTGTGATTGCGCCACTGCACTCCCGCCCGGGCGACAGAGCCGAGACCCTGTCTCAAAAAAAAAAAAAAAAAAGGAAAAGAAAATAAAATTTTAAGCAATTTTAAACCATTGTTATGGAATATAACAGAAGAAATGAGGAAGATGTTAGCACACTGGTGAGAGTCCAGGCTAGGTCTGTGCTGAACTTCCTCTAGTGGCTGCTGAAATTGAGACAGCTACACTTGGCTTCAGTGCCTTTCCTTTCTGCTTCTTTTTAGCCCCCAACACTGTTAGTGATTTCCTTAGCATTTTCCTCCTTGTCTTCAGCAAATTCATTCCTCTGGGAGGAAGAATTAGTGTCTTCTTTCTTTAGGCATCCTTTGTTACCTTCTGGGCCATCTCTGTACGGTTATTACCCCATCCTCTCATTGTCCATCCATCTTCCTTCAGAGCTCCGTTTAGGAATCACAGTCTTTACCTGATTTTGATCACATTTTTGTGCCACAGCCACTTCTACCCCACTTCAGTTTGCTCTGTATTATTTTTCATTACTGTACTACTAAACTAAATGTAGTTTTTCTTCATTCTTAGGTTACTTTATCTTGTCTATTCTTGTTTAACAATATTACAAATGACTTGAGGGCTTATTTGCATATGTTTGAGAGCCCTCCAGAATTTGTATTTTGTAAATTTTGATTTTATAGTTTAAAAATGCTGGGCTATTTATTACGGAGTACCAATTTTTCTAAATTGATTGTTTGTTTTGAACTGAAGTAGTAAAACTTAAAGCTTGCTGACATAGTCACTTCTGGTCTGCAACTTCCAGTGTTGTCCTAAAAAATGAATAATTTGTTTGTTTGTTTGTTTCAGACTTTGTTTCAGGAGTTCCAAGAGCAGCAAGGACTTTGGGAATGGTAGGACAGTTAAAAGGTATTTTTTAAAAAATCTCTAAGTTATCTTCTATTTTACCAGATTTCACATACTTCTATTTTTCCTTCACAGGTTTATATTTATGATGGGAAGAACATGTCCTCCTTATACAATTTTACTGGCGAGCAGGTATGCTTCCAAAATATGATCGTCCTCTCCCACTATAAAAGCAGTATGTACTCATTGGAGAAAATTTGCGAAATAAAACTGTAAAAATGAACTATAATCTCATCAAATAGATAATTCTTCCAACTCTTACCATTTTGGTCAAACTATTATCATTTCTCTTTTGAGCGTGTGTGTGTGTGTGTGTGTGTGTGTGTGTGTGTGTGTGTAGTATATAAACAAAAATTGGTTTACTCTGTATTTTTCATTTTGTCTTGCCTTTTTCACTCAATATTTTATCATCAGAGTTTCTAATTTCTTAAAACTTTCCTTGGCAGTATCAGAATGGTTTAATGATTCCATAATATTCAATATTCTAGATATAAGATGGGCTTTAAATATTTCATCTTTGTTTTAACCAAAGTAATTTGGATATTTTGGCTTGTTTTTGTTTCCTTTTTTTTTTTTTTTTAGGAAATGCAAAATCACATGCATACAAAACCACAAAGACTTCCTTTTTCTTTACTGAAAAGAAAAAAGAGAAAAGAATTCTTTAAATTCTTTTTTAAGGATGATCAATGCCTTATAATTTTATTAGATGCAACAGAAAGCATGGCACAGATATGTGTATTATAGATATTATAAGCGAACTTCATTTTTACTACATGAAATAAGATATTTCTCAGCTAAAAAAATGCTAGTACTTTTTAAGTATTAGACATTTCTCTGCGAGTACAGGCATTTTATAATATTCTCTGTTGTATGTCTCAAAGAATTATACCATAAGTTGGTAATGATGAATAAACATTTAAACAGTAGGTAGAGAAAAATCTTTCTCAAAGTTTGCAGATCTGGGATTCAAGCCTTTTTGTTCAGTTGAGATTGTTGGGCTTTGGGATAGGATTGACAGGCTGACTGACTAGACTCATGGTCCCCAGAAACCTCCTCCCATTTGTATGGCAGTCAAGATTGATGCACAACCTGGAGGGCCCTGCAGTTGACAGGCAGTTAGGGTTGCTGCAGGGGTGGTCCCTTTGTTCCGTTTTGACTTCTCCAGCTCAAGCAGCTTCTCCTGTCTGGTGACCATGTATGAGTCTGGATCCTACTGCATGCACTCAATGATACTTGCTTTATTCCTCCTTCCACTATTGGGAAGTGGGGGTGGCTAGAGAGGAGTGGGAAGCGTGGCTTTTAGATGAGGACAAACCTGGGTTTTCCATGCTCAATCTGTTATTGCATTGGATAAGGTATTTGCTGCTGAAAATCTGTTTCTTATTTATAAAAATAGGGATGCTGACAACTTCCTCATGGGACAGTTGTGAGAATCAAAAGAAAACATTCGAATCATAGTGCCCGGGACAAAGTGTGTCTCAGTAAATGCCATCCTTTCTTTACACTTCCAAGCCAAACACCATAGGTGACTAAGGCCCATGAATATTATTCTGTTACATAGTCGGCACATCAACCTTGTACCCCAAACACAGTATATTTTATTTCACAAGCTCTGAACTTGTTATTTAATACAGAACACACCTTTCATTTTCCCAATTACACTGTATCAACCCAAAATAGATAATGCAGGAATCTCCCTTATCATTCTCCCTTGATATCTGAGCCAATCAAATTTGAGAAGCATTGCTAACTTTCCTTTTTTGGTTTGTTGACTCATTTTTCACCTTACTTTATATTTAATCTGTCATCTCTTTTAGTTTTGTTTTGCACTTTCAGCTCTCTTTAGAGCTTTCCTTTTTCACATTTATTTACAGCTAAGCTGCTCATCCTATGCAAGCCTGTGGTCTCCTGTGGTAGGGAAGAGGACATTTCTGCTCCCTGTGCATTATAAGCTCATAATAAACCCAAACACATTTGTACTGTGTGTGATTCAAAAGCAAAATCATGTGGCAAGTAATCTATAGAGATATGACACAAAAATGAGCTCCTTTCCATATCTTTCCAAACAGTAATTTTTAAACAGTAGTAGTAGTTACACATAGGGGAGCCAATTATTATCTGTTATTAATAATTATTATCTATTATCCTCATGACATAGGCATCCATATAAAACTTGTTGGGTTCAATCACAACATTTGTCTGTGACTATATATCTTTGTTAGTGTGCTTGTGTCTGGTATGTTTTGGGAAGTGGAGAGAAAGGGAGATAGTAGGGTAGGCCTGAGAAGGAGAATTGATAGTCCTTAGACTTAAATGTCATATATCAACAACACTGGAAGGATATACATGTAATATATTGTGTATATACATGTAATATATTGTGTCCATGATCTAGGAAAACAACAAGCCTCATTACCTGATTGTCATTGTGTTGGTAGAATAAACAAAAGACAAGACATTTAGATTGAAGCACTATATGCAGAGAAAAAAAATAACCCTATTTGGTACATATATTACAAATGTTAATTGTCTAAACTAATTGGATGAAATATAAACATTTCATTTTCATCTTTTTATCCAGATGGCTGCATATTTCGGATTTTCTGTAGCTGCCACTGACATTAATGGAGATGAGTAAGTTTAAAAAAAAATGTTTCCAGAAAGTTATCTTCTCATGTTTACGAATACTTTACTCAAACTAAACATTTTTTTCTTCTGTTTTTGTATTCCTTTTCTGCTAATCTTTCTGTTTAAGGAAACAATTTGAAGCAACCTTAATCATGAATTCTAGAAAACCTCATATGTTTGTTCTGTTTTTTTTCAGTAGCTTTTATAACATGAACAAATAAAGTAATTTTATGAATTATTCATAGTTTCTTAAAAGAATTAAAGGAAGTTTCAAATTTGAAATGAGTGCTCTGGTAATCATTTTGTGTTTCACTGTGGGTGTGAGAGATGCAGAAAGAGGAAAAGTGAGTTGTAGTAAGAAAGAAAATGCCTACTAAGACATGAAATTTGTTCTTGCTTTGGTGAGAAGTTTCTGTTCTTCTAGTTATGCAGATGTGTTTATTGGAGCACCTCTCTTCATGGATCGTGGCTCTGATGGCAAACTCCAAGAGGTGGGGCAGGTCTCAGTGTCTCTACAGAGAGCTTCAGGAGACTTCCAGACGACAAAGCTGAATGGATTTGAGGTCTTTGCACGGTTTGGCAGTGCCATAGCTCCTTTGGGAGATCTGGACCAGGATGGTTTCAATGGTAAGATCAAAGTTTAGCAGCTACAGGTCCCTGATTATCTGTGTCCACCTGGAAAAGTTCTGTAAGTCCATCTGTAGAAGTCTACACGAGCAAATCTCCTTCCTGGAAAGGTGGATTGTGTGTAAGTGAGTAACACACCAAATTTAAAGACAGTTTGCTATTTTTCTTTAAAAATCAGAGCAAAGATTTCAATAATGGACTCTCATGAGTTATTATTCACTTGGCCTCAAATTAGAAGGTCAGAATGATTACTTTCTGAAAGGAACCTTCATTACCCTGGTGCCTACTGCTAGCTGGTATGTGTTTCTGCATCCTGCTTAGCAGCAGTGCCCTCTTCTGTTCATTTGGCTACAAGTGTTAAAAAAAAATGCTTCCAGGCACATTGTCAAGGCAATGCTGACTAATGCATACCTCAAAGGTATGATTTGCCATTAATATTTTTAAAGCCATAACTTTGTTGTAGCTGTCCAAAATGTTCTAAGGGATGTTATATCTCCCTTTATGGTGGCATATTAAAAGTATAAGCCTATTCGTTTATAATAGTACCATTTTAATAGTTGTCGATATCTTTAAAAAGCAAAGTTAGCTTTTACTTTAGAACTCTTTTCAGAAACCTGAAATATAGGTTACAAATTACCAAGATTTTTTTTTTAATCTGTTAAAAACCTTTCTAGAGATCACAGAATGGATAGTTGAACTAGTTTGTGTAATCAACAGTATAGTAAGCCTATGCCCCCTTAAAACCTAAAGGAAAGGTATACATTAAGAAGAAAACTTTAAAAATACAGATGACTTGTTGTATGTCTCAAACAGTAGTGGAAAGGTAAATGTTGTTTGCCCTCAAGATTTCACACCTGTCTTGTGGGTAGGTGCTGTCATTTACTAGATGTGTCATCTGGAAGATTAACCGTAGTCATTTCTTTTTCTTTGTTTCTTTCTTTTTTTTCTTTTTTTTTTTTTTTTTGAGGCAGGGTCTCACTCTGTCACCCAGGCTAGAATGCAGTGGTGCAATCATGGCTCACTGCAGCCTCAACCTCCCAGGGTCAAGAGATCCTCCCACTTCAGCCTCCTGAGTAGCTGGGACTACAGGCTCCCACCACCTAGCCCAGCTTATTTTTTTTAGTAGAGCTGAGGTCTTCCCATGTTACCCAGGCTGGTCTCTAACTCCTGAGCTCAAGTGATCCTCCTGCCTTGGCTGTGCGAAGTGCTGGAATTACAGATGTGAGCCACTGTGCCTGGCCAACAGGAGAAGTTTCAGTGGTAGGGAACATCTACTCAGAGGTACATCTGCTACCTAAAATAGAGGCTTAAAGATTTTTACCACAAAGAGAACTTAGCATAAATCAAATGGAGCTATGGTATGAAGTTCATAATAAAATGTGAAAAGAACACTATATAACAGACCAAATCATTACTTAATCATAACAAAAGCTACATAGGAAATACAGGGCTAAGTTTGAGGTTCCATCATGAATAAAGTTAATGAATTCTTTGCTATGTAGCTGGGCCTCTGTCTCCCAGGTTTTCTGGGAAGCCTGGTCATGTGTGATCTTCACCTTGTCTTGATGTTATTCCAGTTACTTTAAAGAAAGTTTTCTCATTACTGTGATCTAGCCAACATCTCTTCCAGCTTTCTAAGTTTTTGTTATAATGTGTCGTCTGTCAGTAGAACAAATATAGACAACAGCTTTAAAAAATGTGAAGTTTTACAATGATTTTACAAAGGGCTAAAATATAGATAAAATCATCCATAGAGGATGATTATGGTCTCCCAAGGTTTCTCCTTGGGTCTTACTGTAGCAAATAGTAGATTGTGAATGATAATGTCTTTAGTGAAAAATTATCTGAGCTGTATTTATGTATAGTATTTAGTACATATGTGCAAATATAGTTACATTATACATGTATATGTTCTATTAGTTATGTTAGATCTTTTGTTGTTGTTCATACATGAAGACATTAAGTGTCATTGTTCCTGTATTCCTATATTCCTCTCTTTCCACCTACCCCCACCCTAGGCATCATCAAGAGGGATATTGAAAACAAAACAATAAAGTTATGTTCCAAAATTTTATATAGCCCCAAGGTAATTATGTGCAGTTTTTTATCAGTACTTTTCCAGAAAAAGCAGAGGAAAAAAAAGAAAAGCAGGAAAGAGCATCTAAAATGATCAAAGGAAGAAATCAATTGCATGAATGTGTAGGATTTTCCAGACTCGACAGATGATAGCGAAGAGAGAAGATGATTAACATGTATAAAATAATGAAACGTTTAGGAAAGTTACAGATAATTTTTATTAAACAGTCACTCAACGTTGGAGCCATCTTTTGTTGCAAAATTATGTTTTAATGAATACTTTATTTATTATTTGTTGAGACAGGGTATTGCTCTGTCACCCAGGCTGGAGTGCAGTGGTACAATCACAGCTCACTGCAGACTCGACTTCCCAGGCTCAAGCAATTCTCATACCTCACCCTCCCAAGTAGCTGGGACTACCAATGTGCACCTCTGTGCATGGCTGATTTTTGTATTTTTTGTAGAGATGGGGCTTTGCCATGTTGCCAAAACTGGTCTCAAACTCCTGGGCTTAAGTGATCTGCCTGCCTCGGCCTCCAAAGGTGATAGGATTACAAGCATGAGCTACCGTGGCCAGCCTGTTTTAATAACTACTTTATTAATGCATATGTCAGTAGAGAAGTTATGCTTATCTTTGGTTTTTTTGTTTGTTTGTTTTGTTTTGTTTTTTGTTTTTTTTTTAGACTGAGTCTCATTCTGTCGCCAGGCTGGAGTGCAGTGGCACGATATCGGCTCACTGCAACCTCCGCCTCCTGGGTTCAAGCGATTCCCCTGCCTCAGCCTCCTGAGTAGCTGGGACTACAGGCACCCACCACCATGCCTGGCTAATTTTTGTATTTTTAGTAGAGATGGAGTTTCACCATGTTGGCCAGGATGGTCTCAATCTCTTGACCTCGTGACCCACCCGCCTCGGCCTCTGAAAGTGCTGGGAATACAGGCGTGAGCCACCGTGCCCAGCCGATTTACCTTTAAGGCTTAAAAAAGGATAAAAAGAATACTTTTACATAAGTTAGGTACTCATTTTTAAGGATAACAAATTCTTAGTTGGTGTTTACTGCAGGCCAGGCACTCTTCTAGGTGGTGAAAATGAGCATAAATCAGAGTCTACTCATGTCTTTAAGAAACTCAGCATCCAATGGGGGCAGCATATATGTTTAAAAAAAAAAAAGTACCTCAATGTGATCATCACAGTGTTTGAGATCCCAGGCTTAATGGTCTCATATAAAGGATGAGTGATCAAGGCATCGTTGATGTTTCAGGGGAGCCAGGAGATGATGAGGCATGGCTTATTAAGGAGCTATGAGACAGCTCGTGTACATTAAGGAAATTGAGGCAATTTGTTATGACTGGTACGTAGGGTCTGTGATAGGCAAGATACGACATGTCCTTGGTCTCATGAAGCTTATGTTCTATAGCTTACTTACTTTGTGTAGTCATAGAATAAGTAAACAATGGGGAAATCCAGATAGTGATAAAGATGATGGATTTTTTAGAAGGCAAGGTAATATAATAGAGTTTCGGGATAGAGAGGGTGATAGAGAAAGTAGGGGGTCGAGAGGGGTGGTGCACTGCTGCGTAGGGTGGCTAGGGAATAGCTTGCTGACAGAATGACAGCTGATCTAATGACAGAACGACATTGATCTATCATTTGGACAAATAGAAGGAATAGAGTTGTAAAAGCTCTGGAGCAAAAGGCAGAGAGAATAGCAAATACAAGCCCATAGTTGGAAGCTAGCTTGGTGTGTTTAATAAACAGAAAAAAAGGCCAGGATTGCTGGAAAGAGTAAATAAGGGTAAAAAACTGGATGGCGTGGGGGTGGGGATGGGGAGAGGAATGAGATTTGCATGGTAAACAATGGAAATACCAGGTAGGGTTTAGAACTTACTCTAAATGCTTTGGGAACTAATTGAAGGATTTTAAGATGGGGATGGGTGTGACATGATATGGTGAATGTTTGGCCCTTTTGAAGAGAAAGTTACAGGCAAGAGTAGAAGTGGGAGGCCACTTAAAAGGCTGTTTAAGGCCGGGCGCGTGGTTCACGCCTGTAATCCCCCCACTTTGGGAGGCCGAGGTGTGTGGATCACGAGGTCAGGAGATCGAGACCATCCTGGCTAACACCGTGAAACCCCGTCTCTACTGAAAAAAAAACAAAAAAAATTAGCCGGGCATGGTGGCGGGCGCCTGTAGTCCTAGCTAATCGGGAGGCTAAGGCAGGAGAATGGTGTGAACCCAGGAGGTGGAGCTTGCAGTGAGCCAAGATTGTGCCACTGCACTCCAGCCTGGGGAAAAGAGCGGGACTCTGTCTCAAACAAACAAAAATTAAAAAGAAAAGAAAAAAAGGCTGTTTAAGTGCAAAATGCGGCAATGACTTGTCTAGGGTGGCAGCAGCAGAGAGAGAAGTGGGCAGATTGGTAATACATTTTAGAGGTAGAAAAGATAATTTGGTGTTTGGGGTTTTTTAAAGATTTAAAATGTTATTCATTTATCTTCTTTCAGTGTAAGTTGAGCAAGATCAAGATGAAGTCACAACTTACGAATTTCTGAGCAGATTGGCTTCTGTTCAGAAAAAACAATACCATCCATAAATAAATTATCTAGAATTTTGAGAGTGAAAATAAACTTTAGATGAATCTTTTGATGTGTCCTCCTCCATCCCCTACCCCTAGTTTTAATGAGGAAGCATTTGTGGTCCAGAAAGTTTAAGTGATTGGTTTAAGGTCAGAGCCAGATTATCTGGCCCTAAATTAATGTCTTTTCTGTACAGTTTTGCTTGAGTTTCCTTGAATTAGATTATTGCTTATGGATAAAGAGTACCCTACTGAACTTTGAATTAGTATTTATCATGATGAATGGGTTCTATAAATATTAAGATCTGTACAAATAATTACAAGTACTGAAACTTTCTTCTCTTCATCCTTGCCCTCTTCCCCCCTTCTCTCGTTCCTTCCTCATTCTTCCCTTTCTTTTCCTCCTCCTTACTTCTGTCATTCTCCTTCCCCCTCCTCTTTTTTTCCCCACAGATATTGCAATTGCTGCTCCATATGGGGGTGAAGATAAAAAAGGAATTGTTTATATCTTCAATGGAAGATCAACAGGCTTGAACGCAGTCCCATCTCAAATCCTTGAAGGGCAGTGGGCTGCTCGAAGCATGCCACCAAGCTTTGGCTATTCAATGAAAGGAGCCACAGATATAGACAAAAATGGATATCCAGGTGCTTTCTTATCAACACATAGAGCCCTTAGATTTTTCAGTCCTAATAGCAAATAGTATTAGTTACTGTTCTTGATTTATGTTATAAATTATTGCAATTCAGTATTTCATATGTTGATCAAACCTCTAAAATATTCAAGGCATCATTCCCGTCACCTAAGGGTATATGAAGAAAAGTCAGCTCTCTTTCCTGGGAGTGTACAGTGTACTCTGAGTTTCTCCTGTAGTCTTTAATGAAATGAGAAGAGTATTACAGAAGTTATAAACAAAAGTTAAATGCTCATTCTAAGCTGTTTTAATGTTAGCTATCTTTTTTATTTTTTTAATTATGTAGAATATATGTACTTGACTAATAGTTGTGATTTTTTTTTTTTTTTAAGACAAGGTATGTCTCTATTGCCCAGGCTGGAGTACAGTGGCACAATCTTGGCTCATTGCAGCCTCCACCTCCTGGGCTCAAGCCATCCTCCCACCTCAGCCTCCTTAGTAGCTGGGACTACAGGCAAGCACCACCATGCCTGGCTAATTTTTGCATGGTTTGTAAAGAGTGGTTTTTGCCATGTTGCCCAGGCTGGTCTTGAACTCATGAGCTCAAGCGATCCAACTGCCGTGGCCTCCCAAAGTGTTGGGAATACAGGCGTGAGCCACCGCACCCGGCCTTCATTGTGATTTTTTTTTCAAGTATATTATTTTATTTAATTCTCCCATTAATACATGAGTTAATATAAGCTCATTTTTATAGCTCATTATTATACCATTTCTGAATGTAAAAAGAGACTGAGAAAGGCAGTTTACCCAAGGTTGCCCACTGCATAGGTCCAGTAGAGCAAGCAAGACCTTTTTCTGGTTCTTATACACTTTGGAGCATTATAAATGGATCTAGGATCAAAACAGATCTTTTCTTTAAATGAAATACAGTGTAGAAAATTTAGATGACCTTTGTGTTGAAACACTTAATATGAGCTCAATATACAAGTGTGTTGGTCTGTTTCCAGAAATAAGACATGAAGTGGATTCTCATAAATTAGTAGTATTTTAGAGTTTTTTTGTTATAAATGCAATATATTTGTTATAGAACTTTTAGAAAATACATCAAAGCATATCTTTTCAATGTTTTTCCTGTGCAGTCACACACATTTTTTTAAAAAGGAAATCATGCTTTTATATGCTATTCATAGTGTTTTATTCAACGTTTCAGAAACATTTCTTTATTATTCTTCTAAAACATGAATTTTCTGTTTCCCTTTGTAACAAATAGCTGCATCATATCTTATTTACCTTTTTTTGTGGCATTTTTATCTTTCTTTATAATTCTTTTGCATATCTCTGATTATGTCATTAGGACAAAATTCAAGAATCACTGTGTCAAGTGTGTGCACTTCTTTTTTTAAGGTTATTAATACACATGGTCAAGTTACCATCCCACTCCCTCCACAGGAAGGTTTTTGTCAACTTTTTAAAGCACTCACCAGCAGTAAATGAGTCATTGTTTTCCCATACTTGTGCTTCTTTTAAAATAATTTTTAACTGTATAACAGGTGGACAGTGTATTTTAACTAACAGTTTGTGATTCTAGAAATAAGGCATGAGTTTGATTCTTTTTTTTGAGATGAAGTCTCGCTCTGTTACCCAGGCTGGAGTGCAGTGGCGTGATCTCAGCTCACTGCAAACTTCACCGCCCGGGTTCAAGAGAGTCTCCTGCCTCAGCCTCCTGAGTAGCTGGGATTACAGGCAGGCACCACCACGCACAGCTAATTTTTGTATTTTTAGTAGAGATGGGGTTTCACCATGTTGATCAGGCTGGTCTTGGTCAGGCTGGTCTCAGTCAGGCTGGTCTCGAACTCCTGACTTCGTGATCTGCCTGCCTCAACCTCCCAAAGTGCTGGGATTACAGGCATGAGCCACCACACCCGGCCATCAGGTTGATTCTTAACTATACATAAATAAAAATGATTATTTTTACTAATAATCTAATGTATAGTTATGAGGTTGATTCTTAACTATAGATTATTAGTAAAAATAATCATTTTCATTTGTGTGTATATATATATACATTTGTATATATATACATTTGTGTGTATATATATATACATTTGTATATATATACATTTGTGTGTATATATATACACATTTGTGTGTATATATATACACATTTGTGTGTATATATATACACACATTTACTTCTGTGAATTTCCTTTTTGTGTCTCTTTTTTCTTCTTTGCTACTGGGATTGTATTTTGCTTTTCTTTCATTCATTCATTTTTTTTAAACTTTCACAGTGCCTTAAATGTTGCAAATATTAACTTCTTAACTCTTTTATGTATTTTCTAGTTTGTCAGATTTGCATTTTGAGCATAAAGTTTTAAACTTTTATGTTATTTAATCTGTTTTTATTTTTTTTTTCATGTGATTTTCTGTTTAGAAAAGACTTCCTCAAATTTAGCTTGGGTATACTGTGAGATAGAGCTCTCATTTGACTTTTTCTGAATCGTGAACCAGTTGAACCTGTGGCATATGAAAACTAATGCATTTCATTCTTGCTGATTCGAGTGCTATCTGCTATAGTATTTTATATATATACACACACACACATTATATATAGAAAATAGAAAGGAAATTTTACAGTAAGATTGTAAAATCCACAGGCGTCTATAAAGCTTTTTCCTTTGGCAGTATGTATGTTTGGCAGGTGTATGATTATCATTGCTACTTTTTACTAAATATTCATTTAAAAGATTTATATCCACCTAGATGAAAGTCTACTTTATGATAAGCATTTTCCACTGGTGGTAGTTTGTTTACAGTTTTCATATATTTTAGCCTTTTATATGATGTCTTACAACCTCTTAATAGTTTTGAGAATTTGTTCAAACCTTTTTATATTCATTGAAAATTTTATAGAATGGTATATACATTTTAAAAACCATTATCATTATTAACATGTTTTTCCACTCTTTCTTAAGACTTAATTGTAGGAGCTTTTGGTGTAGATCGAGCTATCTTATACAGGTGAGCATTTTCTGTATCCTGCGGTATAGGAATATTCTGAATTATTTGAACGTTTTTTAATTAAGTGTCAGTGTTTGAATTTTAGTTTAATTTTCTTGAAATAATGATAAAATTTGCTCTTTCTATTCATGATTTGCTATGGGCAAATAGTATTATTTTTATTGGTACATAATAATTGTACATATTTATGGGGTACATGTGATATTTTGATATATTCATACAATGTAATTATCAAATCAGAGTAATTAGGATATTCATCATCTCAAACATTGATCATTTATTTGTGTTGGGAACATTCAGAATCCTGTCTTCCAGCCTCTCTTCTAGTTATTTTGATCTTTTGTTTTCTTTGGAGACAGAGTTTCAGTGCAGTGGGACCATCTCGGCTCCCTGAAACCTCTGCCCCCTGGGTTCAAACAATTCTCATGCCTCAGCCTCCCAAGTAGGTGGGGTTACAGGCACATGCTACCACACCGGCTAATTTTTGTATTTTTAGTAGAGACAGGGTTTTGCCATGTTGGCCAAGCTGGTCCTGAACTCCTGGCCTGAAGTGATACACCCGTCTCAGCCTCCCAAAATGCTGGGATTACTGTTATGAGCCACTGTGCCCAGCCAGCTATTTTGAAATGTACAATAAATTATTATTAACTATAGTCAATCTACGGTGTTATTGAACACTAGAACTTCTTTTTTTTTTTTGCCCAATCTGGAGTACAGTGGTGCAATCTTGGCTCATTGCAACCTTTGCTTCCCAGGTCCTAGTGATTCTCGTGCCTCAGCCTCCCGAGTAGCTGGGACTACAGGCATGTGCCACTACCACACCTGGCTAATTTTATGTATTTTTGGTAGAGACAGGGTCTTGCCATGTTATCTGGGCTGGTCTTGAGCTCCTGGGCTCAAGTGATCCACCAGCCTCAGCCTCCCAAAGTGCTGGGATTACAGGTGTGAGCCACTATGCCCGCCCCTTCTTTGTCTTTTAAATTATGTTCAGAGGTATTCTCCTGTAGTTTTAATCTCTCTAAAAATTGTCTGGGTTTACATTTTCCTATAAGAAGCAGGAAATTAACCTCATGCTTATGTCTTGGTATTCTCTGACCACAAGGTCAGTATGTAATGAAACCCCAAATGAATATTTTTATTAGAGCAATATGTATGAATTTATATATTTCTATTTCCCAATTTCTTATATATCCCCAGTTATTCTCTGTATTTCATCAATTCCTCATGACGTAGAATATCAGTTGGCATCCCAAGTAGTTAAGATGTTTATATATCTATGATCTGAGTTTATACATGGCAGGAACACTAACATTAGTGCTATGTAGCGGAGTTTGCGATGGGTCAATTTAATTGTAGCTATACAATACTTAACAGATTTCAGATCTTTATCATTTTGAGACAGGCACATTGACTTGAGCCAGCTGTATTTTTGTATAGGATTTAAACCTGTGTATCTGAACTCAGGAAAACTGTATTTATTTTAATTTATTGTTTTTAGTTTTTAAAATTGCTGTTAATTGTATAATGTACGTGGTAAAAATGCAAACACTATAAGAAGGGTATATAAAAAAAAGTTTTCCCTCACACCAGCTAATAATTTATTTGTTTCTTCTATTAGAAATATTCTATGCATTAAAAAATCATATTATGTATGTATGTATGTATATCAGTAGACATTCTTTGTACTTTTTGGGTTTTTTTTTCTCTCCCACTAAAACTATATGTTGGTTATGTCTTAGAGGTCATCCCACTCATTTTCTCCACGGTAGTGCAGCGAATTCGGTAGATATCTCACAACTTATTTAGCCATTCTGCTTTAGTGACTGAATTCATATAGGCCAGCCATTGTCCCACTTTGTCTGGAACTGAGCGATTTCCCAGGATGCAGGAGTTTCTGTGCTAAAATTAGGACAGTTCTGGGCAACTAAGACAGTTGATCACCTACGGTTATGTTGTTCCTGTTCCTTTTACTATTACAAACAATGCTTTTAGTAGACATGGTACTATATATGTAGTGAATATGAACCAAAAATATTTCAATCAACCTAACTTTTTAAATAATTTTTTACTTCATCTTCTTTTCCCTCCCCCGCTAGGGCCAGACCAGTTATCACTGTAAATGCTGGTCTTGAAGTGTACCCTAGCATTTTAAATCAAGACAATAAAACCTGCTCACTGCCTGGAACAGCTCTCAAAGTTTCCTGGTAAGGGTATTTGTTTAATAATAGTTATTATTGTGATTATTGTTCAGGCATTGTAAGAACAATTGAAAATGAAGGTGGTAGGGCTGAAATATTGCTAAAACAGTTTCTGTGAGTATACTGTTTTTTCTATTCTTTTTTTATTTGAAGCAAGGTCTGCCTCTGTTGCCCAGGCTGGTGTGCAGTGGCACAACCATGGCTTAAGTGATCCTTCCACCTTGGCCTTTATAGTAGCTGGGACTACAGGTGTGTGGCACCATACCCAGCTAATTTTTTAAATTTTTTTAGAGATGGGGTCTCCCTATATTGCTCAGGTTGGTCTCGAAGACCGCTGTGCTCAAGCAGTCATCCTGCCTCAGCCTCCTAAAGTGCTAGGATTTACAGGCATGAGCCATTGCACCTGGCCTTATACTCTATTTTCATGTTATAAATTGGATTATAGAAATAGTGCTCCAAAAAGGATATCTAAAGGCTGTAAAGATACTCTATAAATTAGTATGAAATTAATTTTTAAAGAATTATGCGTGGTCAATGAATATTTTCAAAAAGAAAGAAAAGCTAATAAGATCTCAGTTCATTTATATGTAATTCCAAACAGGCCCATGAACACTTACATTTTTAAAAGATATCTTGTTTTTCTGATTTAATATCTATGAACAGTTGTATGAAAAAAATTATTTTGCTCTAATATATTAATTTTCTGCTTATTCCTTTACTAGTTTCCAAAGAAAAATATAATAATTTTTCATAAGTTAAATGTCTGAATTCTTCTCTACTCCATTCTTTCTCTCATCTTTGTCATTTGTATGCTACTTCAGTAATTTTTGCTCTATTTTCATTATAGATTTTTTTTTTTTTTTTTTTTTTTTTGAGACGGAGTCTCGCTCTGTCGCCCAGGCCGGACTGCAGACTGCAGTGGCGCAATCTCGGCTCACTGCAAGCTCCGCTTCCCGGGTTCACGCCATTCTCCTGCCTCAGCCTCCCGAGTAGCTGGGACTACAGGCGCCCACCAACACGCCCGGCTAATTTTTTGTATTTTTAGTAGAGACGGGGTTTCACCTTGTTAGCCAGGATGGTCTCGATCTCCTGACCTCATGATCCACCCGCCTCGGCCTCCCAAAGTGCTCATTATAGATATTTTTTTAAGTTGTCTCGTGCTTTACTTCACAGTATTTAAAAGCAAAATGTAGAAACCAGTATCTTTCTCATACATATCAATATAAATATAAAACTAATGAAAAATCTTGACCCATATACTACCAAAATCACCATGAGTAGTCATTCATGAGTTCCCACTTTGGGAAACACTATTCATGTTCCTTACTTACACAGACGAGTTGCAGAGAACTTATGATCAAGGAGAAAATGATTGGTGCCTAAAAAAGTTTTACTTCAAAAGAGCCAATTAAAGATATTGTTCCTGAATTTGTTTTTGAATATTTTTGAATTATTGTTATAGTTATTAAAATTTTGAAACTTTCATTTCTTTAATTGGATTACATTTAAAAATTCAGTAATATTTGGTCTTCATTTTTATTGAACTGGCAATGAAGTTGTTTTCAAGATTTTGCTGTAAGTTTTACTGCTTTTCTACCCTGCATACCTCTGTGAAGTTGCCAATAATCTGCTTCTAATTATGTTAGTAATTCAAAGGCTTCAAATGCACTAACTAGAGCAGTAACATCATATGATTTTTGAGTATGGCACATAGAAATACATTTTGCATTATAAACACATAAAAGTAATTAAATCAAGCATTTCAGAAAATCGTACTTACCTTTGATACCTAAATCAGTTTTATTTATTTATTAAAAAATTTTTCTTAAGATGCTGAACACAACCCATTAAACTGGTTTCACAACCTGCTAATAAATTGTGAAGAACACTGCTGTAAAGGAGGTTGCTAATTAAAGAAAGTTTTGGTGGGTCCTTTTATCAATGAGACAGTTTTTAAAATCTGAACCGTTGGCTAGGCACAGTGGCTCACTGTAATCCCAGCACTTTGGGAGACCAAGGCGGGCGAATCACCAGAGGTCAGGAGTTTGAGACCAGCCTGGCCAACGTGGTGAAACACTGTCTCTACTAAAAATACAAAAATTAGCCGGGTGTGGTGGTGCATGCCTGTAATCCCAGCTACTTGGGAGGCTGAGGCAGGAGAATTGCTTGAATCCAGGAGGCAGAGGTTGCAGTGAGCCGAGATCGTGCCACTGTACTCCAGCCTGGGCAACAGAGTGAGACTCTGTCTCAAAAAAAAAAAAAAAAATCTGAACTGTCATACCCCTCATTTAGATTTATCAATAGGTTCTATAAGCTTGAGAGAAAGTTAGGACATTATTTTTCTTTTTTTCATCAAGGTACCATGAAAGGAAATGTGCTTAAATTACTGAAGGATGAGTTAGGTTAGTGTATATAGTTTCATGTTTTTAGAATAATATTAAGACATGAAGAAAGATGTAAGGCTTCACAATACAAACTATGTAGTAGAAAGATGAGATGTGGGTGATAATAAAAATATGTCTAAACTGAATTATAGAATTTATGTATGTTTTTTATTTTTCCACAGTTTTAATGTTAGGTTCTGCTTAAAGGCAGATGGCAAAGGAGTACTTCCCAGGAAACTTAGTAAGTGTTCTATGAAAAATCATATTATTTTAATGATACTGCATACACAGCACTTAAAAAATATTTTAAGATATTCAAATAGTTACTTGAATTGTTATTATAATTTTTTATTTGAATGTTTATGCTTAAAGACATTTAAGATTTCAACATAATTATATTCTTTGGTAACCCTTAAGCTAATTCAAAAATAATACACTTATTTATGGACATTATGAGCTAAATAGCCCACAGAATGGTAAATATGACCTTTAGAAGTTTAAGCAGTTACGAATGTGACATAATGAACTCTGGGGAAATATGAATATTATGGTTTATAAGTAGATGATCTGCTGAGAAGTCTGTATTTTATGTCTTTGAGCAGCCCCAAGCAATCTCAGGAGTAGAGGTGGTTTAGAAATAGTGAGAAGGAGGAGAAAAAGTTTTGGTCATGCAATTTAATTCACACAGCAAACTCTACTCTTCTTTTCCTAAAATGGTTGATGTGGTCCTGAGAGCAAGATAGGCAAGATAGGAGTGTTAAATAATTATTGCCAGGGTTTGTCAGTATGTTAATGGCAAGTGGTAAGGAATAATAGTAAAGCAGAGAAGAAACTGAAACTGTTGGGTGTGTGTTTGTGTGTGAAAGTTTACATAGGGCAGCCAAGTAAGGTCTCCCTAGGAGAAAACTTTTCAGTAGAGACCTGAAGGAAATAAGGGAGCTATGGGATGTGTGGAGGAGTGTTTGCCACAGAGGAACTGGCAGTTTCAGCAGGCCTGAAGCGGAAAATGTGCTCAGTGGTTGAGAAACGGCATGGAGGTCAATATGGCCTAGTAGAACAGAACATGAAGCAAAATAACCCCGGGTATTCACCCAAATTTGAAATAAAGGTCACCTTTTAGAGAAACTTGCGACGCGAATTCTGGTTTTAAAGATTTGCACTCTCTTAAACTATTTAAAGAACTGAATCTTACAAGGCAGTAATCCTAATTGCTACATCCTTTTACAATGATTCTTGATGCATTTAACTCTGTTTGATCACTTGCTTCCTGAAGGCATATTCATCTGACAGTTTGATATGATAGCTTCACTGGAAGCAGGAGTTTCAAGTGGGGCAAACTGTTCATTCATCATAGTGTTTAATATGATGGTATGAGTACATATGAGCAAATACTTCTTAATCAAAATCAGCAAGACTCTTGCTACTTGAATTTATGATGGAAGTCTTAATTCACATGTTTCATCCTCTGGATTTCCTCCTCTCAGCTTAAATTAAAAGATAGCATTTCTCCTGTCTGATAATTGGCTTACTACTATCATTTTTTTGGGAATTATTTATGACATTACTTTAGGGAAAGTTTGATTAATTATTTAATTATTATTAAATATTTTTTCAGAATTAATATGTTGTAGTCTCATTACAATGTAATGACATTTTAAATTAATTAGAAGCAATTTACTTCTTAAGGAATAAAGATCTCTGTTTACATGAAAACTCTAGAGTAGGATAGATAGATGTCCATAAAGAATATGTTGGTTATAAATCCTTTGGTTTACATAGATTTCCAGGTGGAACTTCTTTTGGATAAACTCAAGCAAAAGGGAGCAATTCGACGAGCACTGTTTCTCTACAGCAGGTCCCCAAGTCACTCCAAGAACATGACTATTTCAAGGGGGGGACTGATGCAGTGTGAGGAATTGATAGCGTATCTGCGGGTAAGAGCTAACTTTTCTGCTACCTTGTTGTTCCTTTTTAGTCATTAGTTTTTTATCTAAATGATTTTCACTTTCTGTAAATTAGTGTTAGATCAAAAGGAAAAACAGAAAAATACACAAAGGAAATTTAGCTTTGTAAAGTGTCATACCTGAATGATGGACTTCTACTTCTGGCAGATTGGATATTCCAAATGGCCTTTCCACAACAATACTACTGAACAAATTATGATAAACATATTTCTTAAATGCAACTGAACTTTCAAGACAGTAAAAGAAATCACCAGAGTCCAAAAAAAAAATGAGCAATCAACTAAAAAACTCCAGTGGCAAAAATCTGAATTGTGAGTTATAAGCAAATATATGAGCGAGAGTTGCTGGCAAAGGATGAAGCCTAAGGAGAGGGCAGGTGGTAATTGCAGACACCAGCACAGGAATTCCGACAGTTGTATAAGGCTAAGTGTTCTTACGACAGAGGTGCATTCTGATTCCAGCAAGAGCCAAATGTAAAACCTTGCTGAAGGGGAGCAATCCAGTATGGGCCCCAGGATTTCCATAGGTTAAGTTTGATCAAATATGAATTCATTAAACACACACACACACACACACACACACACACACACACAGAAGCCACTAGAAGAAGCATCAGATTTTAGACCCACAAAGACCAGCTACAGAGCACAAATTTGTATAAAATGTTTAAAGAAATAAAGGGCCTGGGCACAGTGGCTCAAGCTTATAATCTTGGCACTTTGGGAGGCCAAAGCAGGAGGATCACTTGAGGCCAAGAGTTTGAGACCAGCCTGGGTGAGACTCTATTTTATTTAAAGGAAAAAACAAAACAAGACAAAAACATCAGTAAATATTTAGACAACAACATAATTAATGAACTTGATTTAACAGACTTATATAGAACCTACACCTAACAACTAAAGAATATGAAAACTGACCATGCATAGGCCATAAAGGAAGTCTAAACAAATTTCAAAAAGTAATTTTATAGAATACATACTATCACAGTGCAGTTGTTAGAAATCCATAACAAAAAGATCAACTGGGAATTGGGAAGTGTGATTTTTAAATAACTTATGGGTCAAAAACAAGATCATAATGGAAATTTACTTGCAACCGTATTACAATGAAAATGTGACATCAAAATGTATAGGCTATCACAACAGTAGAATGTAAAGATAAATGTATAGCCTTAAATGCTATTTAATTTAAATGAAAGTTAAGAAAAAATGAAGGTAAGAAAGAAACACCACAAAATTAAGAATTGAGATGGGACATTACAGATAAGGGAGGAATTAACAGAATATTTTGAATAACCTTGGGCCAGTACATAGGAAAACTTTTAGACAAATCATGGAAATTCTTAGAAAAACAATACAACTGTCAAAAGAAGAAACAGAAAACCTGAATAATCCTCTAAACACTTAACAAATAGAATTGGCCATTAATCTTTACAAAACGACAAAGCCCAGATGGTTTTATAGGCAATATCTATCAAACATTCAAGAACAAGACTTCTCAATTTTAAATAGCTCTTTGAAAGAAAAAAAAAACCAAAATATTTCAAAGTCAATCTGTGAAACTAGTGTAATTGGTTCCTGGAGTGGTCAAGGATAGTACCAGAAGGGAGAATTTCATTCTAGTCTTACAATAGATGTAAAATGACTAAGCCATTATAAGCAAATAAGTCTTAGCAGTTTGTAAAAAAAGATACATAAACCAAGTTGGATTTATCCTAGAGTGGGTTAATATTAAGTCTAAAAATGTAATTTACCACATGAATAGATTAAAGAAGAAATATGTGACTGTCTTTTTTAAGTGCAAAAAAGGTTTTAGAGTAAATTTTAAAAACTTCAAGATTTAAGAAGCAAGACAAATACCCCAAGTTATGACTATGAAGAAATAGAATCTTACATTTAAACAAAGTCCACCAATACCTATTAATTGGTCAAGATGTGAATTAAGAATTCTTATACATTGCGGACGGCAGTGTGAATTGTTTTGAAGACTGGAAAATAATGTGGTACTACAGAACTGACAAATATACTTGTCACTATATATAAGAATAATCACAGCAATTTCTGTAATAGCAAAAACAAAACCCATAAACAATCAAAATAGCCTTTGACAGAATGGATAACTGAATGTATATTTACATGATGAAATAGTACTCAACAGTACAAAATTAACGTAGGCTACATGCAATAGAATGGATGGATCTTAAGAGTGTAGGACAGAAAGCAAGTCACAGAAGACTACATGTAATCCTATTGAGAAGGAATGCAGAGGGAGGAAGAGAAAGAAGTATTTGGGTAGCTTAAGCAGTATCAATAATGTTCTTATTATGTTGGGTGTGTGTGTTTGAGTGCTCATGTTGTTAACATGTCTCGTACTTTCGTGTGAATCAAATAGTACATTGTAAAACAAAAATTGACTAAAGGCTCTTACTTGATAAGGATAATCTTCTTTTGGATATTCTATTTCTACATAAGTATAATTTTCCAGAGAATGTTGTTAGAATTGAAGGCTCAGGGATGAATACAGCTGGCTTTGTAATGTGCACTTATGGATTTCTCCAGATAATTTAGGTTGACGTTATCATTAATTCAAAGCGTTTCCATTTCTAGGATGAATCTGAATTTAGAGACAAACTCACTCCAATTACTATTTTTATGGAATATCGGTTGGATTATAGAACAGCTGCTGATACAACAGGCTTGCAACCCATTCTTAACCAGTTCACGCCTGCTAACATTAGTCGACAGGTACTGTACTCAGTTTACCACTAATGTGATATTTTGTTATTTTTTTTTACAATTCATATTTTTAAATATTAGAGGAGATTTCCTTTATCATATTGATAGATGTTTAGTCAAAGTCAGAAGTTTAGGAATCTGAATTTTCTATTTTTTTTTCTTTTTGGTTTTTATTTTTTTGGGAATCTGAATTTTCAAGTCAGAGATATTTAAAGCCACTCAACATGGAGATATACAGAGAAAGACATTTCATATACATGAAATAGGAAAATAATTCAAGAACAGCAAAGTGCCAGTTTGTTTACATAGTATTTTAGTATTTTGCTAAATATATTTGATATCTGTTATTTTTGATATTTTAATTTTAAAAAGTGCATATATAGTAAATAAATAATTCTTTTCAGAAAACCAAAGAAAGCAACAAAATTTGATAGGTGGTATTCTAGTTTTAGAAAATCTTATGTGTAATGTATTTAAATATTGTTAATTCTAGTTACTATTTCTCCTTTTTAAATTACATGTTCATGTTTTTACATTAATATTTCTTCCTTCATAACTCTTTGCCCTAAATTTAGTTTATCATTTTTTTTTTGTCTTTCTGAGATCCCATAAGCTCTTTTTTTTTTGGTTTGTTTTCTGTATATGTGACAGTAGCAAAAGGCAAATTAAAATATTTTTAAAAGTCTTTTCTAATTTTTATATTTTAACAATTTCATATTTCATCCTGTACATTAATAATCATAGTATATGTGCCATTTTCTAGTATTCATTAACATAGAACTTATAACCATACTTCTGTGTTTATATTCTTTACATTTTTTATTTTTAATGAATGCACAATATTATGTTGATTAATAGTTTAATAATGACCATCTGAGCCTCTTAATGTCTGTCATTCAGTATTATACTTTCTTTGAAAGTTAATTGTTACTTGTCACTTTATATTATGTGCTTTCATATATGGGTTATGGTTATTTTCTGTTTATAGTTTTATAATTTTTTAGAAATCTTTTATTATCATTGTTATCACTACTTTTGATTAATTTTCCAAACTCCCCATCCAATTTCTTTAATGCCAATACCATGTTAAAACCAGCTAATCAAGTAGGCTAACTTTTGAAACCCTTGGAGGGCAAGAATAACTGCAGTAATATTTGACTTCCTTTTTTTCCCACCTATTCTCATTCTTCATTGTTTGAAAAAAATTTGTTTTGGTCTCCTCTGTGTCCTACATTTGTTCCATCAGTGACATTATTAAGTTTTAGGTATGTTTCTTTCTGCGTTCTTAGCTTTGTTATTCGCTCTTGTTTTTATGTTAATTACTTACCCCACCATTTTCATCATTTCCTTTTCTCTAAAATGGATGCTTCATTTCACTGGTTACGTTACAAACTCTTCCATGCACTCTCTCTTTGCTGTCAAATAGAAATACAAAGTTTTAATTGTAATTTTTAATTTGTAATTTTTAATTTGCTGGTTAGCAACATTTTTTTAAAAGGTAGAAAAGGTATAGGTGAAATTTATTTTAAAAATATATCTATATTAGTTTTCTAGGGCTGTCATAACAAAGTACCACAGAATGGGTGGCTTAAACAACAGAAATTGATTCTCTCCTAATTTTGGAGCCTAGAAGTCTGAGATCCAGAGTCAGCAGGGCTAATTTCTTCTGAGGCCTCTCTTCTTGGCTTGTAGACAGTCACCAGTCACCTTCTTGTGTCTTCACATGGTCTTCCTTTTGTGTGTGTGTCTGTGTCCTAATCTCTTTTTAAGCATCAGTCATTGGATTAGGGCCCACCTTAAAGACGTTTTAACTTAATAACTTCTTGAAAGACCATATTGCCAAATACAGTTCCATTCTAAGATACTGGGGATTAAGGCTTCAACTTATACATTTTGGGGGGACACAGTTCAGCCCTTAATGATATTTAAAATATTGTCATTTTTACATGGAATCACTTAAAAATTATCAGTGGAATATTTTGCATTCTGTTTTTTACTGTCTTCAAAATCCAGAATGTATTATATACTTTTAACACATCTAAATTCAAATATTTAGGTTTTATTAGAAATTTTTTTTGTATTTAGAATCCATGTAATTCACAGTTGAAAAAGTAGATTCAAATACTCAAGTTGTTCTAAACATACTAAAAGTTTTGTAGTAAGAGAATTAAGCATCAGCTTTTAACATTAAACTAATTTAAATTAAATAAAATTTAAAAATCAGTTCCTCAGTGACACTAAGCCCATTTCAAGTGCTCAGAAGCCACATGAGGCTTGCGAGCGGTTACTATATTGGACAATGCAGTTCTAGTGTTTCCCTTTCTGCTCCCTAATCCTTTGGTGTTAGAGATTTAGTGCTTTCTGCAGAAAGAGTTGGGTTTTTTTCTCTCATTTTTTTCATTCAAATACACATTAAGTTTTTTTTGTTTTTGTTTTTTTTTTTTTTTTTGAGACGGAATCTTGCTCTGTTGCCAGGCTGAAGTGCAGTGGCGCAATCTTGGCTCACTGCAACCTCCGCCTCCTGTGTTCAAGCGATTACCCTGCCTCAGCCTCCTGAGTAGCTGGGACTACAGGAACCCACCACCACGCCCGGCTAATTTTTTGTATTTCAGGAGAGATGAGATTTCACCATGTTGTCCAGGACAGTCTTGATCTCCTGACCTCGTGATCCACCCACCTTGGCCTCCCAAAGTGCTGAGATTACAGGCATGAGCCACCGTACCCAGCCTCAAATACATACTAATTTCTTACTTTGTGCAAGATGTAATATATATAACTGTAGAGACTTGGTTTTCTGAGCATGGAAGACATTGCTTTTCCATTTCTGAAACTATCTTTCCTGACAGCATATTTTAATACTATGGCTGCTTCAATGCCAGCTAAGTCCTTTTTTTCCCCTATAGAGTGATATCAGCCAAATATCTCTATATTACAGTTTTATTAATATTTTATACATATGTCTCATTGCAAACTTAAGATACTCATCTAACATTCTAACTGGGAATGTTATACATACCTTATCACTAGTTAATTTGTTATCTGTAAAGTCCACACTTTGATCTAATCAAGCGTTGATTTATATTTGGCATGATGTAAAGAATCACCATATAGTTCTTCTAATAGTCCTTTTTTAAAAAGGCTTATAGCAACTGCTTATATCTAGGTAATTGAATTAATTCACGTATATTTTTGTGTTTCCTTCAAATTAAAACGACAGTTACGAATCTTTGTCCAATATATAGCCACTTGCAAGCCTCATGTGGCTTCTGAGCACTTGAAATGGGCTTAGTGTCACTGAGGAACTGATTTTTAAATTTTATTTAATTTTAATTAATTTAACGTTAAAAGCTGATGCTTAATTCTCTTACTGCAAAACTTTTAGTAAGTTTAGAACAACTTGAGTATTTGAATCTACATTTTCAACTGTGAATTATATGAATTGTAAATGCAAAGAAAATTTCTAATAAAACCTAAGTATTTGAATTTAGATGTGCTAAAAGTATATAATACATTCTGGATTTTGAAGACAGTAAGAAACAGAATGCAAAATATTCCACTGATAATTTTTAAGTGATTCCATGTAAAAATGACAATATTTTAAATATTGTTAAGGGCTGAACTGAGTTCCCCCAAAATGTGTATGTTGAAGCCTTAATTCCGGACATTCCTTGTGACTTGGAAGTTTACAATCATCATCCTTTTTTTAAAGGACTCTATCTTTCTTTTCCTTTAAATCCTTTTCTCTCTTCTTTTTGTCTGCTTCTGTGCTTGAAGCCCTTTGGATGTTACCAGTAGGCAAAGCAAAAATGGCCTCATCTTTATTTTCCATTCTTTTCTTAATTTTTATGTTTCTTCTTTCACATCCTATCCAGCTCCTCTGCTTTTTTCCCACTGTTTCTCTCTTTTGGGTGTTTCCATTTTGCTCTAGCTGGAACATTCTCCTGGCCAGATCTAGTGGGGAAAAAGTTCAGGTCTTTGTTTTTTTCACCTACCCTGATTGGTTAACTATAATGCTTCAAGTTCCTTTTCCTTCATCTTTTTCCAAATGACCATGCAATGCTGGACTCATTTTATCCAGTTTCTTTTGCCCCTTGGTCTCTCTGCCTGTCTGAATTGCTGCTGAATATCTACAGCTCCTTATTCTTTTATCCTCTGCAGCCCTATTTCCTGATATTGGTAGAGGCACAGTCCATAATGAGAAACTCTAGAAGGGAGTCTATTTTGCCCAACATCTCACAACTTAACTAGCAGCAGGGTAAAAATGAAGCCTCATTTCTTGGCTATTACTTTCTTTTCTACACCAGTCTTCATTCAAATATGATAACAGCTTAATCTGAGATAAAACTGAAAGGTTCCAAGGAACTGTATCATATCCTATGAATCTTTTTCTTCTTTCTCTTTCTTGACTGGCTACACTGACCTGCTTAAAAATAAGTGGCCATGGTCTCTTTTGCATTCAGGTATACAACAAACAAGCTGATGAGTATCTGAAAATATATACATGTGTACATATAGGCTTAACCACATAGATATTGATAAACACTGCTTATGCCACCTGCATTGGTATTTTTCATGTAGAAAAATAAAATGTTTTTTTCTAGGCTCACATTCTACTTGACTGTGGTGAAGACAATGTCTGTAAACCCAAGCTGGAAGTTTCTGTAGATAGGTAAGTTTTGCTTGAAATAATAATGTAGTAAGAAATTTAAATGGAAGGGCACATTTTTCTATTCAAAGGACTAACATATTTTAACGAGAATTAGTTATCCTGGAGGGTAATGCCTGATTTTCTATAACACTAAAACTATCAATATTGAGCTTCTAAAGAAAATATCCACTGTGTTTTCACTAGTTGCCTAGGTTG
This sequence comes from Homo sapiens, assembly GCF_000001405.40. Lineage (NCBI taxonomy): Eukaryota > Metazoa > Chordata > Mammalia > Primates > Hominidae > Homo > Homo sapiens. The sequence continues at coordinate 186,664,031 of NC_000002.12, forward strand.
AAAGAGTTATTACCATTCAACTTTGGGTAATATCACAAAATAATATTGTATCATTTTAAAGATACACTTCATCATAAACATTCTTTGAACTCAAGGAATATCCTTACCATTTTGTAAGGCATATGAATTATAAAGAATATTGTGAGAATTATGACACGTGATTAATTTAGCTTTTAGAAAAATATTGGGGAATTACAAAGTACATGTAATTCACTTCAGTAATAGATATGAATGATAGTGATATATTAGTGGCATCAATGTTTATTTTTATTGAGAGAAGCATTCGATTTGCACCCAGTGTGCTATTTTCTGTTTTCTATCAAGCTGTGAAGTAGTCTTAAAATACCTTGAGACACTGTTGAACATGTCAGTGCTGTGTATTTATCTCTTCTTTCTTTGAACAGTCATACTTTCCCCATGTAGTCTTTTTTTCTCAGTCTGGATTTGTATTGTTAACTTGTAGTGATCAAAAGAAGATCTATATTGGGGATGACAACCCTCTGACATTGATTGTTAAGGCTCAGAATCAAGGAGAAGGTGCCTACGAAGCTGAGCTCATCGTTTCCATTCCACTGCAGGCTGATTTCATCGGGGTTGTCCGAAACAATGAAGTAAGCAGGCTGCCTCTTTAAAAATTGAAATGCACTCACGGATCTTATTAACATTAATGAGCTGTTCCCCTATTTAGTGAAGCACAAGCTTAGCTATTCTACCTAAGGCTAAATTGATAGACAATGGAGTGCCTATCTTACATAATTCCTTTTAAGCCTAATACTTTGCATAATGCATTGATATGACATTTTTAGAATTGCAAGCTAAGTGCCTGGAAACAAGGTTAGATAGATAAAGTGTCTAAGCCTGTCCATCAAATTATTTGTCAGAGGCTGTATGGTTTTGTATGGTAGTCCTCTAGGGATCTTTCAGAAACACTTCTGCATTTCCATGTGGCAATTGTACCCAATTCTGGCTTTTTCCTTACCTCCTGGTTTGCTCAACTAGATTTATTTGCTTAGGACAAGAAACTGAAATATCCAACTGCGTGATACTTTATTTCCTTTCATATCCATTTTTTTTTTTTTTTTTGGTCTATCAAAGGCCTTAGCAAGACTTTCCTGTGCATTTAAGACAGAAAACCAAACTCGCCAGGTGGTATGTGACCTTGGAAACCCAATGAAGGCTGGAACTCAAGTAAGACAATTTAATTAAACGGATTTTTCTCCCTGGCAAATAGAAAAGCATATTGTTGTCTGGGCTCATAGTAATTTTTAAAAATAAACACTTCAAAACAATGTCCTTAAATTGGTTTCGATATAATAGTTAAATGATTAGCAGAGTTTTGCTTAGTTTTAACTAAGATACGAAAACAATTGGTTGTGCTCCTACACGGTTTGCAATCAGCTGCTCTTTATGCCTCCTTCACTTTAGTGAATGGATGAGAACGTGGTTTAAACTAAGGACTGAAATAATAATTTTTGCTATTTTACACTGATGCCTTAATGGATCCTGAAAAGCTACTCTGGCAACTACCAAGACTGTCAATCCTAGGTGAGCTAGATTCCATCACAGGCCCCACACAGAGGATCAAAGTGAAGGTCAGTTAAATCAGGCTCCCCTTCAGATGGTGGAGCAGGGTGCCCAGGAGCTTGAAAAGAAGCAGCCAATGGCTTGCTTTCCGAATCCTCTAAAAAGTAAACAAAATATACCTTGTAGAATTTCTAGTAGCAAGGACAAAATGGCAGCATATGCTGTGTGACTTTTTCAATAGAATTTATTTAATGACTTATTGATACTGGTACTTTGAAGATCTGTGGTAATACAGGTCTAAATATTCCATATTTCTTTAGTATGTTTTCTATTACAAGTCATTAGTATTTCTAGATGTATGGTATCTTAGGGATGAGAACTTGAACAAATTACCCTAAGTTCAGTTTTTCACGTGTATTCAATGTTTTATTAACAATGAGCATGCCTTTTATTTTCTCATATTCTCATTCTCTCTAACTTTCTGGTTATTATATAGTTTCTGCTTATTACAAGTAGCCAGCTCCAGGTTTTGTGGAGTGGGAGGCAGAACCCAGGAAGTACTGTTTTTATATGTCATTTGTGTGATCCCCAAGAAGCCTTCTTTTTTGTACCTGGTGGTTCAATTGTTTTATTTAAAATCTACCAATTTTCTGCCTGCAGGAATTAGGATATTTGGTGTTGGGAGTGTTATGAGAGGTGTGTGGAGAAATTCTGGTTGTGGCCCTACTCATGCCTTCTTTAGCCATGTTCCCTTACTCTAGTAAACCATCCATTTCTTCTTTCCTGGCCTATGAACACAGCACATACTTTGGTGGTTAGCTTCGTGTTATCAAATTATTGTACCCAGTTGCTAGACTTTCACTGGATCAACAAACATTTACTTTTGCACTTTTTAGAAAGATGGTTAGTATTATAAGGAGGTATAATTATGATTAATAATTGTTGTTAAATAGGCTCTCTTATGGATTGGTCCAGGTATATTAAGTAAAATAGGTTTGATAGAAAATAAGATTTAGTTATCTTTGTTCAGTTTTATTGTAAGCTCAGAAAAACCCCATTTTAGAACATTATTTTTTATTTAGACATTGGATTTGAAATTTTGCTAATTAGACATTGACTAGCATTACTATCTTTTCCTCTCTCCTTTAGCTCTTAGCTGGTCTTCGTTTCAGTGTGCACCAGCAGTCAGAGATGGATACTTCTGTGAAATTTGACTTACAAATCCAAAGGTATGAAAACAACTTATATTCACTTATAACTATCAAATAAATATTATTTGTTGTAAATATACTATGTAATATACTTTAAATATAAAGTAGCAGATTAAATTTTATTGCTTGACTATAGCATTTTAAAATCAATATTTACATTATAAGAATAATTTTATTGTCAGATTTGAGTTTGTAAAACAAAATTTAAAATCCAGAAAGAAAATGTTCATCTTCTTGGAATTAAGTGTTAATGAAAATAACTATTTTGAGGTATAAGCTTTACACTTGTTTCGTTTGTTAATTTTTAGTTTCACTGGGTTTGCCTCTGTATGTTCTTGGTTGTTATGCATAATTCATTTTTAAGTTTTTTTTTTTCTTTTTCAGCTCAAATCTATTTGACAAAGTAAGCCCAGTTGTATCTCACAAAGTTGATCTTGCTGTTTTAGCTGCAGTTGAGATAAGAGGGTCAGTATGAATACTTAGTTGAGTATCTCATTCTCATGATTGCTTTTTAAAGGTAACTGTCAGGCCTTAGCCTTTTCTGGACAATAGACCCTGCATGTTTAGTGGTGGTTTTACTAGGGCATTAGCTTCTGTAGAAATAAAATCCTAGGTATGTTCCAAACCCCCAATACTGGGTGATCCTCAAAAGGAACAAGACATGGCAACAACATGCACAAAATAATTTTGTTGAACTTTTACACAAATTGTCAATTCACCTGTTACGTGTACATTTCATAAGAGCAGTTTTTGTGCATGTGTGTGTTCATTAGTTTTCTTTTAAAGTATTTTTTAAAATTAAATCTAATTTTATTTATTTGAGTAATGAATATGGGGTACTTTTGAAAATGAACTGACTATATCATTTTGATATTCATGGTAGGTTTTCTTTGGTCATTGTTTAGAGTCTCGAGTCCTGATCATGTCTTTCTTCCGATTCCAAACTGGGAGCACAAGGAGAACCCTGAGACTGAAGAAGATGTTGGGCCAGTTGTTCAGCACATCTATGAGGTTTGCAGTTGTTAGATTTTACTCAAACCTCGTGAGCAAGCCAACGAAGAGAGGAACAACTAAGCTACTTTAAAAAAAAAATTCTATGTAATTTTTATGTAAACTCTACATTGGTTAAGTATGTGTCAGAGATTTCTTTGAATATTTTCCCTATACATAAATTCATTTTTATTTGACAAATAGACTTGTTTAAATAAAGCAGTTTATATAATTTGTTGTTTAAAATAAATTAGTTCTACTTGAATAAAGAAATGTCATTGGTACTTTCTCATGGGCATTTTGTAGTTCTGGCTAAAAATTGAAAATACCTATGGCAAATAATCAAAACTATTTCTATAGGAAGAAATTTTCTTTGTCATCCTTCATTAATAACTTTTAAATATTTTGCCTTTTGTTTATACATACATACATATATATATATATATATATATATATATATATTTTTTTTTTTTTTTTTTTTTTTTTTTGAGGTGAAGTCTTGCTCTGTCGCCCAGGCTGGAGTGCAGTGGCGCGATCTCAGCTCACTGCAAACTCCACCTCCCGGGTTCAAGCGATTCTCCTGCCTCAGCTTGCTGAGTAGCTGGGATTACACGTGTGCACCACCATGCCCGGCTAATTTTTGTATTTTTAGTAGGGACAGGGTTTCACCGACAGGTTTCACCACGTTGGCCAGGCTGGACATGAACTCCTGACCTCAAGAGATCCGCCCGCCTCGGCCTCCCAAAGTGCTGGGATTACAGGCATGAGCCACTGTGCCCAACCTTGTTTATATTTTTATCCTGACACATATTACTCTGTGTTAGAGACAAATGTTGAGTTTGATCATTTTTGCATAAAAATGGTCACATTGTAATTAGAGGTTAACTGTGGAAATTGCTGTTATTTAAAACCTATTGCTAACATGATTTCTAAAGTTGATGTAGGGGAAGGATTATGGAACAGATTTTTGCCCAAGGTGTAGATACATTTTCTTTTTTCTCCTTAGCTGAGAAACAATGGTCCAAGTTCATTCAGCAAGGCAATGCTCCATCTTCAGTGGCCTTACAAATATAATAATAACACTCTGTTGTATATCCTTCATTATGATATTGATGGACCAATGAACTGCACTTCAGATATGGAGATCAACCCTTTGAGAATTAAGGTAATATGCTTAATAGCAGCTCTTCATTACAATGATATTTCATTGCCTTCTTTCTAAACCTGTAAAAGAAATTCATAAAATAAAACAACTATTTTAATATAAAACCCACTCTGCAAAAAATGGTTTAGTTCATAAGCAGTACACTTAGGATAAGTTCATTTGTATAATGGGTAAGAATTGATTCTGTGATGTCTAGTGAACCACATCTTCATAGAGTGCTTACTGAGCCTCATGAGATGTGTCCTTCAGTGACTCAGTTTGACCTTGGCTCCATCACGTTGTTGTTTCTTCAGGGCATAATATCACATCAAGGGTGTTTTGTTGTTAAAATTTCTACCTTTGGGATAAGCTATACCATTTTACTCATGATTATCTTGACTTTTGGATATAGTCATCTCCATCATAGATTTGCACTAGAAACTATTACACAATATGATCTAAGGAAAGGTGAAGAAACAAAATAAAAGATATACCCATGATTGACATCACAAATGTACTGTGGAATTTCAGGCCATTTCTGTATGTTTCATCAGTTTCCACTCTAGCTAAGCAAGGGCTGAAAATAATGGTTAGGGAGAGCTAACTTTTTTGGTACATATTAAAGACTCTAATCTTTATTTTCTGTCCTTACTGCTCACTATATACTGAGTGGTAAATATTCTGTCATACTAAATTTTCATTCACTATTTTTTAATCATATCTAAGAGTTTATATCAAAATGCTGATGTAAAATGTTTTTCATTATCATTTACCACCATTTTATTAATGTGATTGCATTAGATCTCATCTTTGCAAACAACTGAAAAGAATGACACGGTTGCCGGGCAAGGTGAGCGGGACCATCTCATCACTAAGCGGGATCTTGCCCTCAGTGAAGGAGATATTCACACTTTGGTAAGTGCCATTTCAAATATGTGCACCATAGACATTTAAAAATATGTGACTATAGAACTGACGCCAAAGAACATTTCAAAAATAACAACAGCTGTGCTTGAACAACTACATTTATTTTTATACCATGCATTCCTCTCACTTTCCTTTTTCCTAGTCAGATTAATGCCATATTTTCTTCAAATGAGCTATTTTTGTAGATGGCTAATAAAACTAGTTTATGTCCCAACTTTGATTCTCCTACTCTAGTTCTTTAACTGTCCTCTTTCTGGGCCTCCTCCTAATCTCTGAGGCTTTAGTACGATACTAAAAAATCCAGAAGGTCCCAACAAAAATACATTGGAATAATAATTAGCACTTGATTAACCTTTGTTGAGTTAGCCTATATAATGGCTATAATGTTTTTAAAGGCAATTGTTTTTCTTTTTTCTTTTAATTAACAAATCTCCAGATCTCTAGTAGAGAACCTGGTATAGTGTTTTTTGTTTGTTTGTTTGTTTGTTTTTTGACACAGAGCCTCACTTTGTCACCCAGGCTGGAGTGCAATGACACAAACACAGCTCACTGAGGCCTTGACCTCCCAGGCTCAAGCAATCCTCCCCTATCAGTCCCCCAAGTAGCTAGGACTATAGGCGCTCTCCCCCATGCCCAGCTAAGTTTTGTATTTTTTGTTGAGATGAGGTTTCACCATGTTGCCCAGGCTGGTCTCAAATTCCTGAGCTCAAGCGATCTGCCCACCTCAGCCTCCTAAAGTGCTGGGATGACAGGCATGAACCACCATGCCCAGCACTGTTTATGTTCAATAGTGATCACTAGTTACTTTTACATCACCAAATTCTGTGGTTCTTGTTAGTCCTCAACCATTCAATTGCCTAGTGGCTTTGGTTCACTTAATCACTTCCTTCTGTTGACTCTCATGGCTGTAAATACCATGTGGTGTAGATGCTTTGATTTATATTTCCAGTCTGATCTTCTGCATTGAACTTCAGATTCCAATATCCAACTGCCTACTAGAAACTGCTTTTAAATATCTAATAGGAATCTCAAACAATTCTAAATATATACCCTTGGGTTTTCCCAAGTCTGCTCTTTCCATAAAGTTCTTAGTTGATTTTAGTAAATACCAACTTCATTCTCTAACACCTGGACCTCATGCTTGACTCCTCTCTTTCTCTCAAATCTCACGTCTTGTATTTCAGCAAATTGCATCAGTATTTTCTTTCAAAATACCTAGAATCTGGCCCCTTCTCACCAGTTTCATCACTAACACAACCTAACCCAGGCTCCTTTCCCTTCTCGATTGGACTATTGCCAGACCCCTGGTTGGCCTCTGTATTTCTGCCTTTCTCCCCACTATACTTTGTATGCTATAGAAGCCCCAGTGATCCTTTTAAATATAGGTCAGGTTGTGTCACTCCAGTGCCTTCCCATCTAACTCAATGAGAAAGCAAGAGGCTACAATGACCTTTAAGCCCAACATCAACAGGCCCTTCCTGCCTCTCTGCTTGCATCTCCTCTCCTTACTATTCTCTTTCTCAAATTTTCCACCTTGCTTTCATTGAACAGATAGCCCCAAGCATGTTTATTCCTCCATGCTTTGAAAATTGCTCTTCCATCTGCCTGGAATTCTTTGTCCAGATATCCTTGTGGCTTATTTTCCCATATCCTTCTCATGTCCTTAAAAGTAAAATTATGTCAGAGATCTTCCCTGACCAACCCATGTGAAATAGAAACTGCCTTCTACCTCCCAACCCCACTTTTGATCTTGCACTTTCTGTCCTCCTTCAGAATCTGTTTTCTTTAATTGAGACAAAACTTACACAAAATTAACCATTTTAATGATTTTAAAGTGCATAATTTAGTGTTTTTTAGTATAATTACAACATTGAACCACCATTACCACTATAATTGTAAACATTTTTGTCACCCCAAAAAGAAATGCTGTACCCATTAAGCAGTTTATCCATTCTCCCCTATCACCAGCCCCTGGTGACCACTAATCTGCATTCCTACTGATTTGCCTATTCTGGACATTTCATACATATAGTATCATACAACATATGGCCTTTTGTGTCTAGCCTTCTTTCATGTAGCATGTTTTCAAGATCTATGTTGTGGTGTGCCTTAGTACTCCTTTTTTTTTTTTTTTTCTTTTTTTGAGACAGAGTCTCGCTCTGTCACCCAGGCTGGAGTCCAGTGGCGAAATCTCGGATCACTGCAAGCTCCACCTCCCGGGTTCACGCCATTCTCCTGCCTCAGCCTCCCGAGTAGCTGGGACTACAGGCACCCACCACCACACCCGGCTAATTTTTTTGTGTTTTTAGTAGAGACGGGGTTTCACCATGTTAGCCAGGATGCTTGATCTCCTGACCTCGTGATCCGCCCGCCTCGGCCTCCCAAAGTGTTGGGATTACAGGCGTGAACTACCATGCCCAGCCAGTACTTCATTTTTATGCCTGAATAATACTCCATTGTGTGGACATACCACCTTTTGTTTATCTATTTATCAGTTGATCAACATTTCGATTATTTCTACTTTTTGTCTGTTTTGAATGTGTTGCTATGAACATTGATGCATAAATTTCCATGTAAACATGTTTTTCAGTTTTATTGAGAATAAACATAAGAGTGCAATTGCTAGGTCATGTGGAAACTCTATGTTTAACTTTTGGAGGAACTGCCAAACTATTTTCCAAAGTTGCTGCAGCATTTTGCAATCCCAACCAGCAATATATGAGGGTCCTATTTTCTCCACATCTTTGTCAACACTTATTATTTTCTGCTTTTGTTTGTTTTAAAATTTTTATAATCATCCTGGTTGGTGTGAAGAAGTAACTCATTGTGGTTTTGATATGCATTTCCCTGTAGACTGATGATATTCAGCATCTTTTCAGTTGTGTATCTTTTTTAGACAAATGTCTATTCAAATTTTTTGCCCATTTTTAAATTGGGTTATTTGCCTTTTATTGTTGAGTTGCAAAGAGTTATTTATATATTCTGGATACTACCTTCATTAGATATATGATTGCACAGGTTTTGTCTCATTCTGTGTGAACTGTCTTTTTACTTTCTTGATGGTGTCCTTTAATGCACAAAAATTTTTAAATCTGAAGTTCAATTTATCTATGTCTTCTTTTGTTGCTTGTAATTTTGTCATCATATTTTTAAAACCATTGCCCAATACAAGGTCATGAAGATTCATACCTAGGCTTTTTGGTTTTATAAGTTTTACACTTACAGCTCTTACATTTACATCCCTGATTCATTTTGGGTTAATTTATGTGTATGGTGTGAGGTAGGGGTCCAGATTGATTCTTTTGTGTGTGGCTATCCACCTGTCTGAGCAACATTTGTTGAAGAAATTATTCTTTCCCCTTAAATGGTCTTGGCAGTCTTGTTGGAGATGAATTGATTATAAATATATGGATTTATTTCTAGACATTCAGTTCTATTCAGTTGACCTATATGTATATCCTTAATACAAGTAACAAATTGTTTTGATTACCATAGCTCTGGAGTTCAGGTTTTGAAATAGGGAAATATGAATACATTTTATTCCTTTTAAGATTATTTTGGTTAGAGTCCCTTGCGATTCCATGTGGATTTTAGGATCAGCTTGTCCATTTCTGCAGACAAGGTAGTTGGAATTTTGGTAGCAATTTTCTTGAGCAACCTAGGGAGTATTGCTATCTTAACATTACATAGTTCAGTTCATGAACATGGTATGTCTTTCTGTTTATTTATTCTACCATTTTTTCAACAATATTTTGTCACTTTTAGTGTACTTGTCTTGCACATCCTTGATTATGTGATTTCTGTGTATTCTTTTCAATGCTTTTTATTATTATTATTATTTTATTTTATTTCTTTTTCAGAAGGAGTTTTTGCTCTTGTTGTCCAGGCTGGAGTGCAATGGTGTGATCTCGACTCATTGCAACCTCCACCTCCCAGGCTCAAGCAATTCTTCTGCCTTGGCCTACCGAGTAGCTGGGATTACAGGTGCCCACGACCAGGACTGGCTAATTTTTTGTATTTTTTTAGTAGAGACAGGTTTCACCATGTTGGTCAGTCTGGTCTCGAACTCCTGACCTCAGGTGATCCACCCACCTTGGCCTCCCGAAAGTTCTAGAATTACAAATGTGAGCCACTGTGCCTGGTCTATTTTTATTTTTATTTTGTAGAGACAGGGTCTTATTCTCTCATCCATGCTGGAGGACAGTAGCATAGTTATAGCTTACTGCAACCTCGAAATCCTGGGCTCAAGCAATCCTCCTGCCTCAGCCTCCTGAGTAGCTAGGATTATAGGTGCACCCACCACACCTGGCTAATTTTTAAATTTCATTTTGTAGAAATAGAATCTCACTACGTTGCCTAGGCTGGTCTTGAACTACTGGCCTCAAGTGACTTTCCCACTTTGGTTTCCTAAAGTGTTGAAGTTACAGGTGTGAGCCACTGCTCTTGACCTCAGTGCTGTTTTAAAGGAAGTTGTTTTCTTAATTTCTTTTTTGGATTTCTTATTGATAGTATACTGAAATATGACTCATATTTGCATATTGATCTTGTGTCCTGTACCTCTTCTGTACTTGTTTTTTTAGCTTAAATAGTTTTAATTTGGATTATTTAGTGTTTTCTATATGTAAGATCCTGTCATCTACAAAGAGATAGCTTTACTTTATCATTTCTAATCTGGATACCTTTTACTTTTTTTTTTCTTTTTGAAGAAAGAGTCTAGCTCTGTCACCGAGGCTGGAGTGCAGTGACATGATCTTGGCTTACTGCAACTTCTGCCCCCCAGGTTCAAGCGATTCTCCTGCCTTAGCCTCCCAAGTAGCTGGGATTACAGGTGCCCACCATCACGCCTGGCTAATTTTTGTATTTTGAGTAGAGATGGCATTTCACCATGTTGGCCAGGCTGGTCTCGAACTCCTGACCTCAAGCGATACGCCTGCCTCAGCCTCCCAAAGTGCTTTGATTACAGGAGTGAGCCACTGCACCTGGCCTTAATTTTTCTTACCTAATTGCACTGGCTAGAACCTTCCGTACAATATTGAGTAGAAATGGCTTGATTGCTATTGTCTTATTTCTGACATTAGGGAGAAAGAAGGATGAAGTATGATATTAGCTGTGGGCTTTTTATCAATGCCCTTTCTCAGGTCAAGGAAACTCTTTTCTACTCCTAATCGTCAACAAATGGTACCACTACTGGATAACATTGTCATGAGGTGTATATATGTGATATGTCTAATACAGTGTGATCAGCATATAGAAGGTGGTGAATATTTATTTCTTTTGGCTGCCAACCTCGAAGTTACTGATTAAAACATTAAATGTGTCAGAGGCCATCAGCATGCGATTTGATTTCTGTAGGCCCTCCATGGAAAAACCATTAAAAATTCTGTTTTCTTTTCCATGGGGATGTTGAGATCTGGTTATTATATCTTACAAATATCACCATGTTATGGGTTTGCCTAAAGAATATTGAGTTCTAGTCATAGAGTGAATCTTTTAATATTATGGATCTTATCTTTCTATAACAAATCACGATAAAACCAACCCTTTCATTTACAAGGAACTACATGTGTGGCAAAAGAAGAAAAAGAAAAGAAACATACCAACCCCTTCACAATAAAAAGCATTCATAGACTCAACTATTAGCCTGTTTATTTTCAAGACAGAAGAATCTGGATAATCTCTTTGGCCATCACACAAAAAGAAAAAAAATGGCAAATTTTCAAATGTTGAAGAGATGATAGAATGACCTTTTCTTATAAGTAAAGGATTTGTTTTGGCAGGGTTGTGGAGTTGCTCAGTGCTTGAAGATTGTCTGCCAAGTTGGGAGATTAGACAGAGGAAAGAGTGCAATCTTGTACGTAAAGTCATTACTGTGGACTGAGACTTTTATGAATGTAAGTAGACAGGTGCAGCATTTAGCAAACATACCCAGTGTTTTCAAATAAATATAAAAGGCCTGATATCTGGGAAATCATCTAATTGTTATTTCCAAACAGAAAGAAAATCAGAATCATTCCTATTCTCTGAAGTCGTCTGCTTCATTTAATGTCATAGAGTTTCCTTATAAGAATCTTCCAATTGAGGATATCACCAACTCCACATTGGTAAGTCATTGGTTTAGGCAAATAGAATAAATTTACTCAATTCAAATGCTGTACATGTTTTTATTTTGTTTTTTAAAGAACGACAGCTTAACTTTTTTGATAATTTAAACTAATGAAGTTATATGATAGCATTATAACCTAGTTTAATATTATCATTTTACTCCTTACCCCGAAGTGATTAAAGCTAGACCTTTTAGTTTAGCATCTTGTCCAGTGTAAGAGATTTCTTAGTATATACTAAATTATATTGGAGAAATTTTAGGAATTTTCGTTTACAAAGTTAGAAAGTTGGAAATTAACTGCAACAAGTGAGGCATTTTGAAGATATTTAAGGAGTAAAAATGGGATCAGCACATAGTAAACTGGATTGGATTATTTAAAAATCATTTCAAGCTGGGTGTGGTTGCCTCACACCTGTAATCCCAGCATTTTGGGAGGCTGAGACAGGTGGATCATTTGAGGCCAGGATTTCAAGACCAGCCTGGCCAACATGGTGAAACCCCTTCTCTACGAAAAATACAGAAAAATTAGCTGGGTATAGTGGCGCAGGCCTGTAATTCCAACTACTGGGGAGGCTGAAGCATGGAGGTTGCAGTGAGCCGAGTTCATGCCCCTGCATTCCAGCTTGGCCTACATACTGGGCGAGACTCTGTCAAAAAAAAGGAAAACAAATCATGTCAGATGCAATCAGAAGTCAGCCTATCATTGGGAGTTTCATGTGTGTATGTGCATGCTCTTGATATCAAATGTGAAACCACTAAATTATCATATGCAGGAAAAGAATATACTGTGAATTCCATTAAAATAAAATATAATATTTACTCAGATATTTGTTGATTAAGTCAATGGACTGTTTTTAAAACTAAAAGCTTTTTTCCTCGATAGGTTACCACTAATGTCACCTGGGGCATTCAGCCAGCGCCCATGCCTGTGCCTGTGTGGGTGATCATTTTAGCAGTTCTAGCAGGATTGTTGCTACTGGCTGTTTTGGTATTTGTAATGTACAGGGTAAGTAACGGACTTAGAAAGAAGGAGAGAGGGAAAGCAGAAGAAAAGGGAAAGGGAAGAAGGAAAAGAAGAATGAAAAGTAAGGGAAGGAAGAAAGGGACTGTAATGATGATACTTGATGAGCATTACTTATTATATGAGGGAAGATAAATTTTATGAAATACAATTTAAATGTTCTTAGTGGTAATATAGTCACCCAAAAAATACTTTTCGTATTCTACACTGATGTGACAGTAATAATGGTTTTTCTTCAACTGACAGATGGGCTTTTTTAAACGGGTCCGGCCACCTCAAGAAGAACAAGAAAGGGAGCAGCTTCAACCTCATGAAAATGGTGAAGGAAACTCAGAAACTTAACTGCAGTTTTTAAGTTATGCTACATCTTGACCCACTAGAATTAGCAACTTTATTATAGATTTAAACTTTCTTCATGAGGAGTAAAAATCCAAGGCTTTACTGCTGATAGTGCTAATTGGCATTAACCACAAAATGAGAATTATATTTGTCAACCTTCTCCTTATAAATAAGTTCAGACATACATTTAATAACATAGGGTGACTTGTGTTTTTAGGTATTTAAATAATAAAATTTCAAGGGATAGTTTTTATTCAATGTATATAAGACAGGTAGTGCCTGATTTACTACTTTATATAAAATAGTACCTCCTTCAGTTACTGTTTCTGATTTAATGTACGGAACTTTATTTGTTGTTGTTGTTGTTGTTGTTGTTGTTGTTTTAAAGCAGTCCAAATTTGGACCTTAGCAATCATGTCTTTTGTATAGGTACTTAATGTTAATACATATTACACTACAGTTTACTTTTCAGAATACTAAAGACTTTATAACTGCATGAACTTGGATTTTTTTAATCACTCATATGGTAGAATTTTATAAACACATACATGATACCATCCAAATTCTTGCTTTTAATAACAAAGGTACAATATTTTGTTTTAGTATGAAAATCTGGTAGATCCTATTACACTTCTGTTTATATTAAATCCACAATATTTTATTACATTTTTAACTTGTATAAATTTTAGGTCAAATCCTTCAAGCCAACCTATACTAAAAATTAGTTCCATAATCACAAATGGCTCTTTTGTGTAATTGTTTAATTTCACCTGAATATCATAATGCTTAAAGCCATATGGAGTTGGAAATTATTTCCAAAGCATATTTATTCCATTGTTTTAGTCTGGCTATTTACAGTATAAAAAAAGCATTTTTATTAAAATACTGTGTAGTTCTTTGAGATAGTTGCTTATGCATATAGTAAGTATTACATTCTTAGAGTAGAGCAGAGTTTTTAGTTAGTATTAATTTATTTTCCTCCATTCATGTACTTTTCCTTATATTTCCAAAACTGTTACTGAGAATGGGTCAAGATCAGTGAGAAATCTTTACAGTTGACAGGAACCTGGACCCCTTACCCCAACTTTATGAGTAATGCTTGGAATAAAAACTCTTAAGGCAACTCACTGATTTACTTCTAGCAATAGCATGATGTTACAGGAATATTACCTCTGTTTAAGCAAGGTAATGTGTAAAATCAGTCTCGGCTGTCAGAATAACTTCTAAAAGGTATTTTTATAAGCAGTTCAAGTTACTGAAAACCTTTTAAACCTTTCTGAAGTTCGTTAGTATAAATTACTTTTCTAGGATTATTAATAAAAGCCACATAGGTGGCAAGTTGTAGTTTTATATGGCTCTGTAGAGTGGTGAACCTTCTAGAGGAATATATGATTTATTCACAGTTCCTCAAGGCCTGGGGATGATGATCAGTTATACCTATTTTTGTGCAATTACATCATGTTGTACATTAGAAATGGAGAGTTTAATAGCTCTTTAACTGCTGTCCTCATTAGGTAATGATAAATATTTCCCTTAAATAATTGACTATTTTGCTGTGTTTTAAAAATGATTGAAATTTATCTTGCCATATCTCATAATTTCATGCACAAGTTGACTGAGCTAATCTTGAGAATATATTCGTAAAATAGGAGCACATTTAGTTGAGGTATACAAGGTAGGACTCTAGACAAAACCTTCTATTTTAGCTTTAGTGAATTTCAAAAGTAATGGGTCTTGGAGTATAGATTTTTATTAGTAGCTTGAAAGAGCTTAATCATATGCAGTAAGTATTTTTATTACCAATAAATTTAAAATTTTTTAAGAAAAATATTTTTATCCTAGGGCCAAGTGTTGCCTGCCACCAATCAGTAAGTTAGTCTATAACAAATTTTACCCTAACAGTTTTACCACCTAGTAACAGTCATTTCTGAAAATATGTTGGATAGAAAGTCACTCTTTGGCAAAAGTGTTAGAATTTGCTTTTGTGCCATCTATTCCTTTTATGGCATCTATCTTGAAAGTAATCTTGTATTGGAGATTGAAAGATGCTGTAATTTAGAAATTAACATGATATCTTAAATTACCTTTATGAAATATAGTTTTGTATAATAGCATAGATTTTCCTTCAAAAAATGAACATTTATATATCTACAAAAATATGGAGAAGAGTAATTTGAAAGCCTACTTTCTGAAGAAAATGGTGGGATTTTTTTTTATCATGATTAAATATCAAAAAATTGCCCTATGAAAACTTTAAATCTCTAAAACATTTGAAATACTACCATATTTGTGATTTATTGAGAATAAAAATCCATTTTGAAATGTAAAATTTTTATGATCTGATTCAGTTTTAAGAAAACATGAATGAACTAGAAGATATTAAAAACATTTGACATTGGTAAGAAATATTGATACTGATATTGATTTTTATATAGGTATTTATTTCAGAATTGATATTTTGAGAAAAATACATGTGAGTCATTTTTTCTGTTTCTCTTTTCTCTTAACGATTATCACTGTAATTCTGAATCTGAAAGGTAAAACAATTAGTCAAAATATTATTGCCATCATTCTACCTGTGTTATGAAACTACTTATTCATAGTTAATTCTCATTAACACTTACATTTCCATAAAGAAAACTCAAGTATTAATAAAAGAGACTTTACTGGCTTAAGAGGGCTGTGAAAGATTTTTGATAGTGAATCATGACCCTAAGGGAGAGATTTGTGTGATAAAAGTATTGTATATAATAGATCAGCGATTTTTGTAAGGCAAACAGAATTTGTAAGTTGGCAGATCTTCCTAAGTTGCAAAATGTAATGATGAGCTTGGTGGAGAAGAATGAGTCGTTCTTGGAATACCTATGTGCAGCCACTACCCATCTCAATGTCACCTTGTTTGCATTCTTGGATAGCTTGTATATGTAGTAGTTTGATGAATAATTTAAAGAAAAACACCTAAAATTTGAAAAATGATTGTAGGATCAAAAAAGGCAGATGAAATTACTTAATACTCAGTGTTTTGGAGAGTATTCCTTTTAGTTTGTTGGTTGGCTGGTTTGAACGATAGAAATATGCAGCATGCAATATATGCTTATATTTCATTTTAATTTCTGATATATAATGAACTTCTTGGGAGAGGTACTGAATCTTTGATGTTTTTTGTCATTGTTCTCAAGTGCAATATAACAATGTAACCAAATCTAGATAATTTCAAAGTTGTCATTAATTTAGTAAGCCTAATATAAACAAATATTTGTATTATTTTTGTTAGCAGGAAAGAGTGATTAAGTGAGGTTATTTACCCCTAAATGGTCCATTCTGCATTGTATTTCAGGCTGGAAATGAATTATTCTTTACCAGTTTTGAAACACTTTGAAATATCCTAAGGTAACTTGGAAGCTGTGTAGTATATCAAATTAATTTGCTACCTAATAACATAGAAAGTAAATATCTTTGTGGTCACCCACATTGGGTGAGACAGAAAATGAATCTGTTCTAAAATTTGTAATTTGCTAACTTGATTTGAGTTAGTGAAAACTGGTACAGTGTTCTGCTTGATTTACAACATGTAACTTGTGACTGTACAATAAACATAAGCATATGGTACCACTTTTGTGTATGGGGTTTATCCTTTCTGTGACGTGTTTTTGTTTTTTGATTACATGAGCTAGCAATAATGCACTAAAAGGATGACCTCAGAGGTAACTTTCTGTAAAACTTCAAATCTTGAATGTCAGTTATTTGATGAAAAGAAACACAAAAAGAGCAAAATGTACCACATTAAAATTCATCCTTAGAAAGGCAAATATGTATTTGCCTGAAATATAAGAATTATTTTATTTCTAAACAAACATTTCTAAATTCATTATGCTAACCTTTATTATTTTTACATTATCAGATTCCTTTTAAAATGCACATTTACATCTTTTATAATTTTTAATTATAGTGTATATATGTCATTGCATATATGCAGTTGCAATATACATATGCAATTCTAGTATAAAAATACCTATTTTTATAAATGAAAAGTACCAAGAAGAAAATTAAGTGTTGAGATGCTTGGGAAATTATACTGAAGTAGCATAATACACCACCGTAAATTCCTATGGAAATAAGATAGAGTATTGCCAGCATCCACAAGCCCCCTTCTGTCTCTTTCTAATCATATCTCACCCTGCCCTGCAAAAGTAACCACTGTCCTTACTTCTAACACTATATGCTTAGTTAGATGTGATATTTCCCCTGGACCAGCAAGTCATAACTACCCCTATCCTGACCACCATACTTGATATTTTGGCTCCAATTAAGATGTAAAATGTACAGCACCTACACATGGAAGTATTTTGAGTGTGAGAATTAGAAAATGGGCAGAGCCTTTCTGTCCTGCCTGACTTACTAGTTGCTCTTTAGGATCAAATAAGATAACACATATGAAAGGATTTTATTTTTTTGAGATGGGGTCTTGCCATGTTGCCCAAGCTGGTCTCAAACTCCTGAGCTCAAGTGATCGCCTGCCTTGTCCCCCCAGAGTGCTGGGATTACAGGTGTGAGCCACCATGCCCTTCCTGAAATCATTTTGAAAACCGTTGAAACCACTTGGGTTCAAAGCTCTTCCCAGTCACTTACAAATTTACCCTCTGTGGAAGTATCTTGGTCCACAGAGGGTAAATTTGTGAGGACTTTGTGAAAATGCAAGAAAAGGGGTTATCAAACGCATATGTTAAGTGCTTATCCAGTAAGTCTCTTCCATCATTCACTTGACTGGTCCAAGAAGAAAATTTTGAGCCGTGGAATTCTCTTTTCCAAGATTAATTTTAAACATCCTTCGAACCTTATAATGGTGATAAATCATTAATGAGGCAAGCCATTATAGAGAGTTGTATTAGTCTGTTTCACACTGCTATAAAAGAACTGCCTGAGACTGGGTAATTTATAAAGGAAAGAGTTTTAATTGACTCACAATTCAGCATGGCTGGGGAGGCCTCAGGAAACATAATCATGGCTAAAGGCAAAGGGGAAACAAGGCACCTTCTTCACAAGGCAGCATGATGAAAAATGAATGCAGGCGGAACTACCAAACACTTATAAACCGTCAGATCTCGTGAGAACTCACTATCAATAGAACAGCATGGGGGAAACTGCCCCCATGATTAAGTTACCTCCATCTGGTCTCTTCTTTGACATGTAGGGATTGTAGGGATTATGGGAATTACAATTTGAGATGAGATTTTGGGTGGGGACACAGCCAAACCATATGAAGAAACATTCTTGAACAGGCCTGAAATACGATAAAATTCAACCACCGGCAGCCATGTTGGCAAAAAGTGACAGAACTGTATGCGTTTTAGAAAAAGAAATTATACTACTTATTTCTAAGAAGTAGCTTTGGTATTTTGCTTTGGTGATATGTCTATTTATTATGAATAATTTATATAATAGCTAATATTATAGATACTATATTGATACCCATTTTATTGATTTGAAATCAGCTCAGAGAATGATTATCAAAGCTCTCACACTAGCGTGTGGTAGAGCTTTGTTATGTCCCCAGGATGTTCTCTCTTAATGTGTTCTACAGTAGTGTCTTTCCTTGCAGAAACCACCTAGCCCCTCCATACCTTTTTATTATATCCTATATGATGGACATCGTAATAGCTACCTCATCATGTAGTGTTATCTTTGGAAATATTAAATATATGCAAAGTACTTATGTATATTAGTATATTAACATATTAGAAGACAGAATGATGGCTGGCAATATTTTCATATTACTGCCAAGAAGAGGTGATAAGGGCTTAAATAAACCAGGCCAGTAACAATGGGAATGGAAAGAAGGAGACATATTTAGGATAATGTATGATGTAGAATCCATAGGTTTCTGGGTTGGGTGATTGGCTGGACTGAGAACTGAGGCAGGAAATAGGAAAGGGGCAGAGATTTGGGGAAGAGCAGAGAGTTTAGGAGAGGAAAAGGTACATTACATTTGAGGTACTTATGGCATATCCAGATGGAAATTTCCAGCAGGTTCTTGTAAACATAAGCCTTGGTATTCAGGAGAAAGATCAAAGCCAGAGAAATAATATGGGTATTAATAGAAGCTAATGGATGAGATTGTTCAAGAGAAATGTGTAAAGTAAGGAGACAGGAAGAAGGCAGTGCAGTAAATTTTTACATTTAAAAGGAGGATGGGATGGCCAGGATCCAGGAGGCTTGGCTATAGAAGTAAAAAAAAAAAAGTCAAGAGAGACTGTGACGCAAGACCATAGAGAAACAAAGTAACCATAGAGAAACAAAGTAAGAGAAGAGTGGGTTATTCGTGACCTTACAGAAAGCCATTTCAGTGGTGTGGTCAAGCACTAAACCCGGATTACAGTGGGTCAAGCAGTGGATAGGCATTAGGCTTGGCTAGGCTTAGAAAGGAAGAGAACGGGCTGTAGTTTGAGGTGAAAGCAAAAGTAGGAAAGTTTGTTTTACAGATGGAAAATTCTTGAGCAGTTTTGTACATTAAGGGGCAAAACACATTTTAAAGGATATGATGTAGATAAGGAAAGAAGGAAAACTTGAGGAGAGCAGATCTAGAACATATTGGGAGAAGGAGGGTCAGGATTAGCATCAAGAGATGAGATAGAACAATCCCAGGGAATATCTTGGATCAGGAGCAAAATCACAAAGTTGCAAACAGTGGCCTGATGTTGTTTTGTTTGGCCTCAAGGTATTTTAAAAATAAATGAACTAGTTGGCACCATTAATGTATTATAAATACCCCAAAGACAGAGATTCTGAATTCTAAGAGCCACGGTATTCTTGAGGATAGGAGCCTGTGTTCTTGCTTGGATACAGCATTGGAACTGAGTAAGGTCTGCACTAAGATGGTCAAGCAATTTTGGGGTTACCATAAATCCTAGAGAGACTTCCGTTTATTTCACGAGACTAAGTTCTCATTACTCATTTGCCTAGCCATTGTAGGAATTTGAGTTTGTAACTCCTGATGAAGAGCCTGCTGAAATCATGAATGGATCAGAATTACCTGCTGAGTTTACCATACCACTCTTTGGCTAGGTTATACCCCAAATACCCTTTGCATTTGTTCAGTCTGTTGCTTGTACATAAGCTAAATCTAAAGGCAACCAGCTGGGCACAGTGGCTCATGTCTGTAATCTTGACATTTTGGGAGGCCAAGGTAGGAGGTTTGCTTGAGGCCAGGAGTTCTAGACCAGTCTGGGCAAGACAGTGAGACCCCCATCTCTACAAAAAAAATTTTTTTTAATTAAAAACTTTCTTGTAAACAAAGCAACTTGATCATAGATATCATAATACTTTGACATGCTTGATTAAAAAAAAGATTATAAATAATTTTAGTGACCAAGAACAGAATCATAGGCATTTAAAGTTTAATAGGGGTTTCCAATTTCAATAATGGCAGGATAGCTTTTATCAGATAACAATGATAAATTCTTAACAAAATAGGGTGGAAAACAATCCTTTGAAGACATTGAAGTTACTGAAAGCAGGCAGAAATTGGAGGGGATTTAACTGTTAAAGAAGGCAGCTACATTTACCCCTGAGGTTACTCCCTATGGAACGGATAGAATACAACAGAAAGCTGTCTTTCTTTCTGGAATGATGAGACTGCCACTATGGCTAGAAATTGAGGAGAAAAATCCAGGAAAGGAAGCAGTCACAGGGTGGGAGGTGGGAAATATTTCCCTCAAATCCTTGGCTGAACCCAGCACTGAGTGAGGCTATAAGGGGCCCAGAGGAAAACAACAGAGGGAAGGCTGAAAGAATGGAGCAGTTATTCCAGCTACTACTGTCCACTGCACAAGAAACAAGAGATGAAAGTTCAAGTCTTACTAGTTACAGGGCTTCAAAAAACCCATTTTTCCATTGAAACCCCATTGGATCTATGCCTTAGGAATAAGTAGTACATCCAAAGATTAATTAATTCACCCTAGGATGAAGGAAAAAGCCAAAACAGGCCCACCCTAACAAACTGTAAAACCAAGCTTCCCCAAGTTTATGATACACCTGTAATTTAACTGACTGCTGGTAAAGACTTACTTTCAGAGGAAGATGACACAACATAGAGACTCTGCAATGTATCATCCACAATGTCATGGAGGGGAGGAGGGTGGGGAAGAATGGGAAGAAACAGGAAAATGTGAGAAAATATAACCCAGAGTTTTGAGAAAAATCAGTCAATAGAAACAGACCCACAAACAATTTAGCAGACATGACTTTATTTTTTCTGTTATTTTTATATTTAAAAATATTTTATCTTTCAATTTGTTTTTTTTTATTTCAATAGCTTTTGGTGTACAAGTGGTTTTTGGATACATGGATGAACTGTATAGTGGTGAAGTCTGAGATATCAGTGTACCCTTCACCCGAGCAGTGTACATCTTACCCAATGTGTAGTTTGCTATCCCTCACTCCCTCTCACCCTCCCCACTTCTGAGTCTCCAGTGTCCATTCTGTATGCCTTTGTGTACCCATAGCTGACATGACTTCAAATAACTACGATGAAAATCCTCAAAGGTCTATAGGAAAACATGAATATTATGGATGAAGAGATGGGCATTTCAGGAAAGATTGGGAAACTAATTAAATACACTTGAATGAATATTTTAGGATTAAAAGTAGTATCTGAAATCAGAAATCCATTGGAGGGGGATCAAAAGTAGAGTGAGGTAGCATAGAATAAAAGATCAATGAATTTAGATCAACAGAATTTATCCAAACTGAAGCACAGAGCAGAAAAAAAAAATTAATAAACAGCCTCAGTGACTTGTGGGACAATCTAACTAGGTGGAAAAACAGTCTCAGAGAAAGAATGGGGCAGACAAATTATTTGAAGTCAAAAACTGCAAATTTGATTTAAAAAATAGCAACCTACAATTCTGGAAGCTCAGTGAACCCTAAACAGGACATCTTTTAGGCACATCAAGGTCAAACTCCTAAAAGCCATAAGCTAGAAGAAGTTTGCCTCAACCCCTTCTTAATGTTAACAATCCCCAGAAAATTCATTACTTGGCCAAGGCAGTTACTAGCAGGATTAGGACTAATGCTTACACATTCAAACTCCTGGTCCAGTATGCTTTCTGCTGTGCAACATTACCTAGATTACTAAACATAGCTCATAAAATAGAATTGCTGTTATCTAGTGAATAGGTTGCAATGCCCGAATATCAATTTGTGCAACAACAATATTT
This sequence comes from Homo sapiens, assembly GCF_000001405.40. Taxonomy (NCBI): domain Eukaryota; kingdom Metazoa; phylum Chordata; class Mammalia; order Primates; family Hominidae; genus Homo; species Homo sapiens. The sequence continues at coordinate 186,686,505 of NC_000002.12, forward strand.
TTCCAAGTAATGTTTTATTCACTTTCTAAAGTGTTCTGACTTTCCTAGAAAGTTATTTGGTTATGGTCCCTTTCATACCATTTCCTTGTCAACCCCATTTTCCTGAAGCATAGCAAATATATTATCAGTTTTAATAAAAGTAGTGTTTAGGTTTTGACTTTGGTCATTACACAGTAATTTACCTTCACGTTATTTAAAAATACCTACTTTGTTTCAAAGTAATTAATCTTAAAGTTATTTTACTTCCTTTCTCAGATATTAGGGTGTTAAAATGGACCCTTTAGGGGTTACTCTTTAGTTAATCCTGTATTCAGAATATTAATTAGTTATCACTAAGTTATTCAAAAAGTGTCAACTGATCTACATTATTAGTAGTAGTTTTCAATTTGGAGAATTATGCTCTTCACCAGAGTAATAGAAATTATTTTTGATCTTGTGTATGGTACATGATAGGTTTTTCATAGAAAATTCTGGTGGCTTATACTTTTTTTCATCTTTGAACAATGTAGATAAAGTTGTTTTTGAGATTATAACAGACATAAACATCTTTAAAATTCAGGGATATTATTACCTAGTCTGCAGACAAATCAGTAATTTTGAATTTTTCAGTATACTTTAGTGAGGAAATAAAAAGGAAAAAATTATTAAATAAGTAAATTTCCTGTTTGATAGTAATACCAATTTTGACTTTCTGACTTGCACCTTGACTATTAAACCAGACCCAAGCACTTCACCTGGTGCTAAATTACTAGCACAAACTGAAACAGAAAGGTCTTCTCTCAATCATCCCACAGGTATTTAATGATTCCCAACAAATAGAGATGACACACCAGTAACTAATTTTACTTTCTTTCCAATGGACAGCCCTAGCCTTTCAAGGGAACCCTAAAGCAGCTGCAGTATAGCAGTGATTTAATGACAGAACTGAGAATCTGGTTTATTTACCATACAGAAATAATCCTGTCTTCTCACTTTTAATTCTCCAAATCCAGCTCTTCTCCCTACCGATTCTCTATCCTCTCCTAGTTGCATGCAGTCTTGTCACTGGATAAGCTTCATTACTTTATCATGTATTGAATGATAAATTAGTTTTACATTGCTGCCAAATCTTTTTAAGGCACTTTGGATTTTAAAGTCCAAACTATGTGTAAGGTAACATATTCACAGCTCCTATGAATTACCTCATGGACATCTTTGGGAGGCATTTTTATTTCTACTGAAACCAGGCCAATTGTCCCATAGAACTGATATTTATGGTTTATTTTTAATAAACATAGAAATAGACCCTACCAGTCTTAAAACTTGAAAAATTTACACTTGTGTTATCTGAGTTCCTTTCTCAGGAAAGCACCAGCAGGCCTCCCAGAGAGTATCAAGGAACTGAAACTTAACAGATCATGGCATCTGGACAATGAGATCTCAGACTTCTTACTTGTCATGATTGCCTAACCAACCACCTGTTTCCTGTTGATGAACTCCTCTTTCTTACTCTTCCCTAATCCCCGTTTTCCAACACATAGTTCCATTTCTTCCCTGCTATATAACCCTTAATTTTAGTCTAGTTTTTGAGGAACTGCCAAATTGTTTCCAAATGTAAACAGCAGCTGCACCAGTTTACATTTCCACCAGCAATGTATGAGGGTTCCAATTTCTCCATGTCCTTGCCAACACGTGTTTTCCATTAAAAAAAATTATAGCCATCCTAATGAGTGTAAAGTTGTATCTCATTGTGATTGATTTGCATTTTACTAATGACTGTTGATGTTCAGCATCTTTTCATGTGCTTATTGGCCATTTTTATATCTTCTTTGAAAAAAATGACTATTCAAGTCCTTTGCCCATTTTAAATATTGTTGTGTTGTCTGTCATTTTGCTTTAAGTTGTAAGAGTTCTTTTTATATTCTGTAGGTTGTCTTTTCACTTTCACGATAGTGTCCTTTGATGCATAAATGTTTTAATTTTGATAAAATTCAATATATATATATATTTCTTTCTTTTGTTGCTTGCCCTTTGGTGTCATATCTAAGAAATTATTGCTGAATCCAACATCACGAAAATGTATCCCTATACTTCTTTTAAGAGTTCTATAATGTTAGTTCTTATATTTATGTCCTTGATCCAATTTTAGTTAATTTTTGTAAATGATGTGAAGTAAGGGTCTAACTTCATTCTGTTGCATGCAGCTATGGAGTTGCCCAACATGAACATTCCCAGCTGAGGTCAAATGAGAAGATGCTCTTCCTTCTTGTTCAGCTCTTAAAATGGAAATGTGTCCTTTCTGTGGTCTATTTAGCACCATATTTTTCACAGTTGTGTGCTTTTTTCCTGGTGATTTTGTTGTTTAAAATGGCTCTCCAGTATAATACTGGAGTGCTGTCTAGCACTTCTTAGTACCAGAAGGCTGTGATGAGCCTTGGAGGCAAAATACAAGTGTTAGGTAAGCTTTGTTTAGACATGAGTTACAGTGCTATTGTCTGTGATTTCAATGTTGTTGAACCAATAATATATAAAATAAACATGGTGTCTTTAAACAGAAACACACATAAAACAAGTTTTATATTGATCTGTTGACAAAAATCTTGTGATGAGAGGTTCACAGGAACCTAACTTGTATTTCCTCTAGGAGGAATGGTTCAGTATTTGCTAATTCAACGTTTACGGTTACTTAATGGAACATTCACTACCGAGAAAAATGAGAAGTGATTGCATATAACATGCATTTTGTTTTGTTTTTAATTTTTTTCTTTTTATCTTCAGATGAGCATCATGATCTAGAAATTTTATATACATATAAGATACATATAAACAAAACAGAACAATCATATACAAGTTTAACAAAATAAATAACAGTTAACATTTACCGAAGACTTCCTCTGGGCTGAAATTCAAAGTATTTCACATGTTATTTTATTTTGTTAGCTCCTTTAGGTTCTACTATTTCTCCCCCTATACAGTTGAGGAAACTGAGGCCTAGAATCTCATGTAAATTACATCACTCGTGAGGGGTTGATACCAGAGCAGTCTGATACCATGGTCCTCCACCCTTAAGCAACAGTTCTGCCTCTTAAAATTGTTTTATTGATTTAATCAGCCAAGTAATCAATCAAACAAGCAATGCCAGGTATCATGGTAGGAGCTGCTGACACAGCTGTGAGCATAATGGTCCTGGCTCTTGTGGGGCTAGTAAGTGAGGATACAGAAAAGTAAATGCCCATTTTAAATAATAAGATCAAAACAGGAAATATGGGTTGCCACGCAAGCTCATAACAGAGGCACCTAATCAAACTAAGGGTGTTAGGGAATGAATCCTGGAGGAAGTAATATCTAACCTGAACTCTTCGGGCTCTAGGGGAACTTGCCAGTTAAACGGGTAAAGGAGTAGACTTCTAGGCAGGGAAAATCACATATTTAAAGGTCTAGGGGCAACTCAAATCTAGTTCAAAGGAATAGAAGAAACTCCCGTGTGTGTGTGTGTGTGTGTGTGTGTGTGTGTGTGTGTATGCAGGAAAATTTTTAAAATGAACCTGAACCTAGGTAGTCAGGGGACATATTGCAAACGGCTTTGTAAATCATGTTAGGAATTTTGGATTTGTGCTAAGAGTAATGAGGAGGTACCAGTAGGTTTTAAGTGGGGAAGAATTATATGTGTATAGTATTGTGCTTTGCTTTCTGATGGCTCTTGGGGCATTTTTCTAAAAATGATGAATTTCTAACCTTAACGATTACATTGTGTTTAGCATAAACTTTATCATGGACTATGTACCTGAAAATAACTTGCTGGATTAACTGGCATTTTTCATTCCTTTGTAAAACACACAGACAAACATTTAGGGCAAATGTAGTTATCAGCTTACATCTTCCTGAATGTCTGCCTATGTTTACTCCTGTCATTTGGTTGTGCCTGTGCCAAAAGTCAGTTATATTTTTCACAAACTTTTTCTTTTTTGCCAGTTATATGTGTGATAAGGAATATATACAATATGGATTTGAGATAAGTAAATTTTTCCTATTAAAACTAAGTTTAGGCCAGGTGTGGTGGCTCACGCCTGTAATCCCAGCATTTTCGGAGGCTGAGGCGGGCGATCACCTGAGGTCAGGAGTTCAAGACCAGTCTGGCCAACATGGCGAAACCCTGTCTCTACTAAAAATACAAAAATTAGCCAGGCGTGGTGGCATGCACCAGTAATCCCAGCTACTCAGGAGGCTGAGGCAGGAGAATCGCTTGAACCCAGGAGGTGGAGGTTGCAGTGAGCCAAGATTTTTCCATTGCACTCTAGCCTGGAAGACAAGAGCGAGACTCTGTTTCAAAAAATAAAATAAAATAAAATATAAGTTTAATACTAAGTATATGAGAAAATTCTACAAGCTTGGGAAAAAAATTGAACATAGAATGACTTGGCACTCTAATTGTGTGGCAAGGGTCTTTGAGAACTTCCACTTAAACTAAACCTGCAAATCATAGTGGTATATCATAACTGTGGTTTATGACTTCAAACTCTAGGATGTGGTTGAAATTCTTGGCCCTACATCAAAAGATTTGTGAACAAATATATATTTATTTATTCTAGGGTAAAATATGTGGCTTAAGATATATTTAGGATGTATTGACTTTGGTCTTTTGATGAACTTTTTTCATTTGCCAAGTACTATCCCCAATTGAATCGGATAATATGGCTTTTTTATATTGCACAGAAATTAAGCATGAACTACACGAATAATGAAGCACTTAAAAACTATTTAAATACTCTTGATTGACAACACTTACCTCTTAAAACAGTCCATAGTATTGAAAGATTTGAGGTCCACCCTCTACCAGGGTCCATGACCCAGTGGCTTTGCCTCCAGAAGGTCTGCTTCTACTATATTAAAAATAACTTGGCTACCCCAAGGCAGGATGACAGAAATCCTGGCTGCATTCCTTTCCTTCTGATCCACCAGTCAGGTTTTTGGAGCCATTTCCATTTTCTCCTTTCTTCTCTCCAGGAGCAGAGGTAACTTGGAAGAGATTGCCATAAAAACAGCTTGATGAAACTAATGGAAACTTGCTGCCTTCAGCTCTGGAGCCCCCTCCCCCAATGGCTCCTGCCTCACACAGACCAGGGAAAGAAAGTCCTGATGGAAGAATGATGTTTAGTGTGAGGGGCCTCACTTTAGTATCTATTTTCCCCAAAATTATGTGGTCCACATACCTTATTTTTGTTTTAAAATCACTAAAAAAGCAATACAAACTCATAGCAGAAGTCTCAAACGGTGCAGAAAGGTAAAGTCACACACTGTAAATGTAGCCTCTGGCAAGACATGGAGCCTCTCTGATCTCCAGTGTTTCCATTTGCTAAATAGGATAATGAGAGCTAATTTGTAGAGATGCTCTGAAGATATAATGAGATAATAGATGCAAAATACCTACTGTTATTTTATTTATGGTTATTGTGTCAGTCCATTTGCATTGCAGTAAACTTCGGGTGACATAAAGAAAAGCGGTTTACTTTAGGTCAGTTCTGCTGGCTGTACAACGCAAGTGTGGTGCTGGCATCTGCTCTGGTGAGACCTTAGAAAGCTTACAATCATGGTGGATGGTGAAAGGGAGACAGCGTGTCACATGACAGGAGAGGGAGCAAGCGAGAGAGAGAAGGGAGTTGCCACACTTTTAAACAACCAGATCTCTTGTGAGCTCAGAGCAAGAATTCAGTCATTACCATGAAGAGGGCACCAAGCCATTCATGAGGGATTCTCCTCTATGAACCAAAGACCTTCCACTAGGCCCCACCTCCAACATTGGAGGTCACATTTCAATATGAGATTTGGAAAGGACAAAACATCTAAACCATTAGTTATATATACACTATTTTCATTTGCTTAACCAAAAAATACTTTTCCAGTACTGAGAAGTTTGTTGTTTTCCAGCATATTGAAAACACTGGGAGGGACAAGGTAAGAATGATAAGGGTGGAAAAGGACAATGAACTACAATGGTAAATGGGGTGATGTCACAGCAGGTGACATTTATATTGCACTATGAGATGTCCCACAGTTACTCCAAATACAAAGAGACCACAACTGAACAAGGCAGGGCTCATTACTCTAGGCCAGTTAATGTTGATAAGGTCATAAGCAGCCACCTAAGATCTCAATTTGTCAATTTAGGTGTCACACTAGGCATATCTCCTCCTCTTCCAATTAACCGTATCTGTTTATTGTAGTCTTATATACTGTGTCTCCTACTCTTTTCTTCTCCTTTTCAGTTTCAATGACCTTTGGCATCTCCTATGGGTTTTGGCAAACACCTCTAAACTGGCATCTTCTCTTCCAATTTATCCCCCTTTAATCCATCTGCCATACTGAGAGCAAAGTGATCCTCCTAAAATGCACAACTGGTAGCAAGTTTCTTCCCTGATTAATTTCTTTCATTATCATCTACTGTGTGAATTTCAATTTCTGTATACAGCATCTAAGTTTATTACAGAAGTTAACAAATGTGAAGTACTTGAGCACACAGTAAGTACTATAGAAATGCTTGTTATTATTATTTTTTTAATGACCTGGTCTCCACTCTCCTTTTCAATCTAAAACACTGTCATTCCTCCATTAGAATAATTGCTCACACTTTTGCAAGCCCACTGTGCTTACACACATCTGGGCTTCACACACACACACACACACACACACACACACACACACACACTCTTCCACGTTCCTGATTTCTCCTGTGTGGAAGTCTTACTCTTTTTTATATTCTACCTCTCCTGGTGTTTCATAGCCCCTACATACACAAGATATTTTCTTCCAATTCTGAGACCTCTGGACTTGTATTGCTTTTCTGTTTGTAGCCACCACATTGGGTTCTAATTTGTTCCTGTGTTCCTCTCCCCTAATAGATGTTGAGCTCCTGGAATGCAGGGATTGTATTTTACTTATTCCAAGCACCTGAAGAAATGCTGGCACATGGTAAGCAACTAGTATTTAGTAAGATTTTTTTGAACAAATGAAAAGGATAGGCTAGAATTAGATAAAATGTAATTAAGAATATTTAATGATATGGAAAGAAATTCCCACTAGGGCAGAGAAAAGAAGTTTAGTCAAAATCTGGCGCGCTGCAGTTTAACTTCTAGCTAAGCAATGATGGCGGTGATGCAGCAAAGCCTATTTGTTTGAGATCCTGGCTTTTTGATCCGTTGGTGCCACCCACGCTATGTGCTGGATGGGGGTAATCAATATACCACCTTCTCTGCTACTTTGGGCTCAGGTGGAAGGAATTTTATTCCACTCTCTGCAAATCTTCCCGGTGCCTCAGTGGGAAGTGGACGCTGTGAGGGTCTACCAGCTCCCAGAAGGCCTCCCCTTTCTGTTTCCCCTAGGGCCCTCCACCCGGGCTGCAGCCCCAGCATCGCGTCCTCTCGGAGCAGCCTGGCCCCAGGTGGCTGCGGGGCGCGGGACCGCGGGCCCCGGCTCGCCCCTCCCCGCGCGTCACATGCGCGAGGATGCGAACTCCCCTTCCCTCCTCCTCCGCCCCCTCCGCCTCCCGGGCCTCTTCCTCCTGCCGGTGAGGGAGTGCTTGGCAGATTGCGCGAGGGGGAGCGAGCGAGCGGGCGCTGCCAGGAGCCCGCAGCCCTGGCGCCCGCCGCCGCCCGGAGCCCCGCAATATGCCGCCGCGGCCCTCTGGCTCTAGGCCATGGCGAGGCTCTGCCGGCGTGTCCCCTGCACCCTGCTTCTCGGCCTGGCCGTGGTGCTGCTGAAAGCGCGGCTGGTCCCCGCGGCCGCCAGAGCGGAACTCAGCCGCTCCGACCTCAGCCTCATCCAACAGCAGCAGCAGCAGCAGCAACAACAACAACAACAGCAAAAGCAGCTGGAGGAGGCTGAGGAGGAGAGGACAGAGGTGCCTGGGGCAACCTCCACCTTGACGGTTCCAGGTAGGTCCTGGCTGCCCAGCCCGGTCTTTCAGTCTCGGCCGGCGATCTCTTAGGGCCTCGCCGGCTTCCTCGCCCCTTCCCTATCCATTCCTATCCTCGTTCGTTCCTGTCACCATCCCTCCCGATCTCTCTCCCCAGACTGGCTGCCCAGCCTTTGGTCCCTTGATCTGGTGTCGGGAATCTGCCCTCCGGGTAATGAGCTTTCTGAGCAGCTCAGAGCACTGCGGTGGGTTGGAGAGGGGTCGGGAAGGCTGGGGGTGGGTGACTGCCTGGATTGATCTTTTTCTTTTCCCTCCCTTCTTCCTGAATTCTACCCTCTGCCCTGGGAATGACTGTAACACACACACACACACACACACACACACACACACACACACACACACCGTTCTTAAATCCCTTAAACATTTTGTTCTCTATCCTTTTCTCTCCTAGAGACTGAGAAATCTTGCCATGGACACCCACACACCCCTTTTCACCATTTCTCCATGCCTGCTATATTTAAATTTAGCCATGAAGAGAGAAATCTTTATATATTTTATTATTTATTTCTCTTTCTCTTTACCCCAGGAAGGGTTTAAGGGTTCATCTTATTGCAAAGAACTCTTTTAGTACAATAAGATGAAGCAAAACAAAACAGGAGTTTGTAATTGAAGGAAAGGGAAAAGGAGAGGGGGACACATAAGGTGAAGTCTGGAGTGGTGTTAGAACAGCAAAAGCCTATCCCTAGAGAGAGAAATCTCCTTACTTGTTAGTAGAACTTAAATGAGGCAGATTCTTGACACTGTTCAGTGAAGGTGTAGAAATACGGCTGTAGTATAGGTGGCTGTAACAGTTCCGCAGTTCCTCCCTCTTTCCCCCCATTAAAGCTCCATCGGTAAGCAAATAGCTAGATTATCCATGTATATTGCATCTCCCTACCCCGCAACCCACTTCGCTTCATGGCTGTAGATTCTTGTCTGCTATTTGGAAAGAAAAAAAGCCTCCAATTTTCTGGCACGAGGGCTTAGGTTTTGTGAAACCAAAGTGAATTTTATTATGACGTTTGTTTTTGTTTTAAAATCCTGCCTGGTAACACTATATGAGTGCTGAAAATGAGATTTGAAAGAGTGGAATCAGCATCACATTTTGTATTGCTTGCTCATCGTCAAAAAGCAGTACACAGGCATGCCAGCTGCGATTCATGACACAGCCAGGATGATTTAATTTATCAGAGTGCTCTGAGCATAGGATGAAATCACCAAAGTGTGCAGGAAAGCATGTGTTTCTGACACCCTCTTAAACCAATTAATAACACTCAAGTGTGGCTAAAAGTCTTGAAAGGTATACAGTGTATGGTGGTTTTCCTACCCAGCTTTTAATAACTGAAAGTGATAATATGGTTTGGGTGAGGCTGCTGTTAGACATACTGTTCGCTAAAGTTAAGGAAATTGGATATATCAGATTGATTGGCCTCATTAATAGAGATATTTCATAAATTCACTATGAAGCCGAAGTCTGGGAGAGTGTTGGTGGGTTTTATGGTTTGCAGTATATTTTTATTTCAATGGACCTTTCAGGAATATTAAATGAATTTTGACTACTGTAATATATATATATATGTTGTGATTAGGGTTATGAACTACTGCAATAATATGAAACCTGAATCCAGCATGCAAATTAAAATGTTTGCTTTCTGATATTTGTGAGGGAATATTCTGAAAAAGCTGATTGTCTGGGAAATTAGCAGTTTTTGTTTTATTTACCTATTAGATTGAGATAAAGGAACCACACTCTTCGATAGATCAAACTAGAACCTGAGAAGTAACCTATGATGATTCTTCTTCCTCAAAAACTCTAATTACCCAAGCCAGTGGCAAACAAGGGAGTAATTCAATTGATTGCTGTTTTAGTTATTGGAATATTGAGTCTTATAATGCAACACAGCTTATAGACAAATGAAGTTAAAATATTCCTTTGAATGCATTGTGATCTCTCCATTGAACTGGTCTTCCTGTTTCAACCTTTGTTTCCCTACTGTCTGTTCTCCTCACACAGCTAGCGATCTTTAAAAAAAAAAAAAACATTAAATAGGATCATTTCTGCCCACACTCCTCCAATGGCTTCCCGTCTCTCTCATACTAGATGCCCAGATCGTGAAAATGGCCTACCAAGGTCTAGATCCTTTGTATCCTCCTTTTCCTCCCGTCTCCTTTAGCCCTTACCCTAACTCTCTCCACTGTAGCCACACTAGCTCTATTTTCTTTAGCTTGCAAGTGGACCCAAGTGTTTGGCCTTTGCACTTGCCATTTTCTCTGCCTGGAATTCTGGAACTTCACATTTTTCAGGTTTGCTCAAGTGTCTCAGTAACTGACAGACCTTTTCCTGACCAGGTGTTTAAAATAGTAATCTGCACATCCTTTTTGCTCTTACCCAGATTCATTCTCCTCCATGGTACTCATTATTCTCAGCTGTTCTAATAAGCCTGTTTTTCCCTTGATAGAACATAAGCTCTGTGAAAACATGGACTTTGTTTTGTTCACTGCTATATTTCTAGTATCTCGAAGAGCACCTGGTTGGTACCCATAGACATTCAACCATTTGTTGAATGGATGGACGGATGGATGGATGGATGGATGGATGGATGGATGGATGAATGAATGAATGAATTCACTTTCTCAGCATTTGTTCGTCTTCATTGGATAAATTCTCCATTGGAGTTTAGCAGGGGATTTATAAAGATAAACGTTATGTAGGAAAGTTTGTAAGTAGAAGTTATAAAGTATGTAAATTTTGGATCTTTAATTTTAGTTAATTTCAGTGTTTATCTTATGCTGACTACAGAAAACTGATTGATACCTATACTTGGGCCTACTTATTGGGTTTTGTGAAGAATTTGGGGTTTTTTTTGAGACAGGGTTGAGTGCAGTGGCGTGATCATGGCTCAAGTCAGTCTCAACCTCCTGGGCACAGCCTCCTGAATAGCTGAACTACAGATGCGTGCCGCTGGGCCCAGCTAATTTTTAATTTTTTTCTTTTTGTAGAGATAGGGTCCTGCTTTGTTGCTCAGGCTAGCCTCAAACTCTGGAACTCTGGGCTCAAGCAATCCTCCCATCTCAGCCTCCCAAAATGTTGGTTTACAAGCATGAACCATAATTCTTTACCTGAGTATACTTAATCTTCTTATGACCTAGGAGGATTTTAACATATATACCTTTAAATAGCTGTGATTGAGCTTGCATTCATTCTTTACCGCTGTATGATGCTTCTGATTCTTTGGACATGCCACATGAAAAACTGTAGGACTTTTCTCAGGCAAAATTTAGAAAACAAATATGACACATTCAATGACTGATATATGACTAAGCCTTATCAGTCCATAGTAGAGAAACTCACCATTGCCTTTGCTTAGTATTCTCTGGATTTTATTATTCTAAAAATTTATGTCTCTTTGTATTGCTGAGAAACAAGAAAGCAAGATTAAAAAAAAACTTGAATGTGAACATTTTTTAAAAATCAGGATTTAAAAAAGTACATTTCCATTTTCTCATTAACTTATAAAAACTCCATCTTCAGAGAGCAGTGAAAATAAAGACTAAGGTTGGTATCCATCAAATCAATTGTTTTCTCCAGTGTATACAACAGCTCTTATTTCTCCATCTGTACCAGTATTTGTTAGAAATATTTGAGGGTCCTGAGAAGAATTAATCTGGGAGCTAGTGGTAGTTGGGACAACCATATTATATTAATTCTGATGGCCCATTAGATGGGAGGCATGCTGGGGTTGGGGGAGAGAGGAGCTGGAGAAAAATAATGAGCTCCATTTAAAATTCTCCATGTGAAGCAGAGACACAGGGGATCTCCAGGGATCATAGAAATGTCTTTTCAGTACAGAGAAAGCTTCTTGAGAGGTATATTTTCATGGTGTGAAAATTTTTGATTGCATATTTCAGTGATATCTATTTTTAAACTTTTTATTTCGCAAGATGTTAAATATATAGAAAGTAAACAGGATAGTGTAATAAAAGCCTATACCTGTCACCTAGCTTTAACAATGGTCAAAATTCTGCCATTGTTTTTTCACCCATACTTCTACCTGTTTCCACTACGTGGGATTTGTTTTTAATTTTTAATTTTTATGGGAACACAGTAGGTGTATATATTTATGGGCTACATGAGATATTTTGATACAGGCATAAAATGTATAATTATCACATCAGGGTAAACATTTATCATTTGTGTTACAAACATTCCAGTTATACTTTCAGTTATGTTAAAATGTACAATAAGTTATTGTTTACTATATTTACCCTGTTGTGCTATCAAGTAGTAGATCTTATTCGTTCTACCTGACTATATTTTTATACTCATTGACCATCCCCACTTCTTCCCCACTCCCAATACCCTTCCCAGACTCTGGTAACCATCATTCTAATCTCTATCTCCGTGAGTTTAATGGTTTTACATTTTAGTTCCCACAAATGAGTGAGAATATGCAAAGTTTGTCTGTGCCTGGCTTATTTTACTTAATGTCCTCCTGTTCCATTCATGTTGTTGCAAATGAGAGGATCTGATCCTTGTTAATGGTTGAATAGTACTCCATTGTGTATATGTATCACATTTGCTTTATCCACTATCTGTTAATGGACACTTAGGTTGCTTCCAAATATTGGCGATTGTGAATAGTGCTGCAATAAACATGGCAGTACAGATATCCCTTCAATATACTGATTTACTTTCTTTTGGGTATATACCTAACAGCTGTATTGCTGGATCATATGGTACCTCTATTTTTAGTTTTTTGAGGAACCTCCTACTGTTCTCCATAGTGGTTGTACTAATTTACATTCCCACCAGTGGTGTACAAGGGTTTCTTTTTCTCCACATCCTCATCAGCATTTCTTATTGCCTGTCTTTGGATAAAAGCCATTTTAACTGGGATGAGATGAGATCTCATTGTAGTTTTGATTTGCATTTCTCTGATGATCAGTGATGTTGAGACCTTTTCATATACCTGTTTGCCATTTGTGTGTTTTCTTTTGAGAAATATCTATGCAGATCTTTTGCCTACTTTTAAATAGGATTATTGGGTTTTTTTGCCTATTGAATTGTTTGAGTTCCTTATATATTCTGGTTATTAATCCCTTGTCAGATGGATAGTTGGCAGATACTTTCTCCCATTCTATGGGTTATCTCTTCACTTTGTTGATTGTTTCCTTTGCTCTGCAGATGCTTTTGATGTGATCCCATTTAACCATTTTTGCTTTGGTTGCCTGTGCTTGTAGGGTATTACTCAATAAATCTTTGTGCAGACCAATGTCCTGGAAAATTTCCCCAGTGTTTTTTTGTGGTAGTTTCATAGTTTGAGGTCTTAGATTTAAATCTTTAATCCATTTTGATTTGATTTTTGTATATGGTGAGGGATAGGGGTCTAGTTTTATTCTTCTGCATAAGGATATCCAGTTTTCCCAGCACTATTTATTGAATAGACTGTCCTTCCCCTAATGTATGTTCTTGGCAACTTGGTTGAAAATGAGTTCACTGTAGATGAATAGATTTATTTTTGGGTTCTCTATTCTGTTCCATTGGTCTCTTTGTCTGTTTTTATGCCAGTTACAATGCTGTTTTGGTTACTATGGCTCTGCAGTATAATGTCAAGTCAGGTAATTTGATTTCTCCAATTTTGTTGTTTTTTTTTTAGCTCAGGGTGGCTTTGGCTATTTGGAGCCTTTTGTGGTTCCATGTAAATTTTAGGTTATTTTTTTCTATTTCTGTGAAGTATGCCATTGGTATTTTGATAGAGATTCCATTGAATCTGTAAACTGCTTCGGGTAGTATGGACTGAGTTTTGTTTTTTTTTTCTTAATAGGTCCTTTTAGAGGTAAAATGTACATATGTGAAATGTACATATTTTAGTGTACACTCTTGACAAAAAGATATACCCATATAAACATCACCCTATTGAGATATAGATGTTTATATCACCTTAGAAAGTTTCTTCATAGCCCCTTCCCAGGCAATTCCTGTCCCTCACCTGGAGACATCTGATGTGTTGATTTCATTTTCATCATAGATTAATTTTGCATTTTATAGAACTTCACAAAATGGAATCCATGGCGTGTGTCCAGCTTCTTCAGCTTAGTATAATTTCCACAGATTTTATTCATTTTGTAGCACATTTAGTAGTTTATTCCTTTTTATTGCTGAATAAATTGTATGAATTACCACAGATCAGTTTATTGATTCTTCTGTTGAGGGGTATTTGGGTTGTTTCCAGTTTTAGCTATTCTGAATGAAGCTGCTATATTCTTATACAAATCTTTGTGTGAATATGTTTTCATATCTGTTGGATAAATGCCTAGGAGTGGAATTGCTTGGCCAACTGATACACTTTTGCGGTGAAAAATGTTTTTGTTCCCCAATATTCTATGTAGCAGGAACTTACCTCTCTTAAGATGATTACTTTAAAAATAATGAAATTTAATGTGTAGTATTACTGTATACTTTTTCTTAAAATAATTTAAACTTCTCTTTAACTTTTTTTTTTCATACGGACTCTTGCTCTGTTGCCCAGACTGGAGTGTAGTGGCACAATCTCAGCACTCTGCAACCTCTGCGTCCCAGGCTCAAGTGATTCTCCTGCCTTAATCTCCTAAGTAGCTGGGATTACAAGTGCCTGCCACCATGCCTGGCTAAGTTTTGTATTTTTTTTTAGTAGAGACGGGGTTTCACCATGTTGACCAAGCTGTTCTCAAACTCCTGACCTCAGGTGATCTGCCCACCTCAGCCTCCCAAAATGCTAGGATTACAGATGTGAGCTACTGCACCTGGCTAACTTTATTTTTAAATTGTACATATTATATTATAACAACATGATATTTTAATAGGCTTATACATAGTGAAATAGTTAACTATAGTCAAACAAATTAACATATCCATCCTCTTATGTAGTTACCTTTTTTGGTGTGGTAACAACACCAAAACCTACTCTCACCAAATTTCCAGTATACAGTACAATATTCTAACTATAGTCCTCATGCTGTACCTTAGGTCTTTAGACTTACTCATCTTACATATCTGCTACTTTGTACTTTTTGTCCTACATCTCACCATTTTCTCTTGCCCTTTGTAGCCACTTAAATCTCCCATCCATGAAAGCACTTATTTACTTACTTTTTTCTGTTCAAGGAATTTGAAAAATCAATAGGAAAAGTGGGATTTGAAATTAACCAAGTAATCATGCCTCAAAGGCCATATTCCCAGATGGGGTAATTATGATTTCTTTCCAGGATTTTAATAACCAAAAGGAGTTATTTCTTGGTATTGATAACAGGTTGAAAAACATATGCCATTGTGTTGAATTTGAGTCCAGTTTGTTTTAGTAGCAGTTTTATAGTGTTCTTAATGTGAGTAAGTAGAAACTGTACCAATTATTTTTCTGAAACAAAGCTCTTCCCCCAAGTATATAAATATTGAACTTGATTCTCTTTCAATGTTCTGTCTGACTAGGTTAGCTCTGGTATTGTTGTCATTCATTTACTTGGCTTAGTGTAATGTTTCTTAATTTCCTTTTGTCCAAGTTGCCTTAGCTAGGAAATGGATACACTATTTTGTATGTGCTATTGGTAAAGTTTGCTTTGAAATACTTACCTGGAAGAGTCTAAAACCATGAAAGCTATGTGTGGTCATGAAATGCAGTCCTGCATTATTGAACAACAAGGACATTTTCTGAGAAATGCGTCATTAGGTGATTTTGTCATTCTGTGAACATCATAGAGTGTACTTACACAAGCCTAAATGGTACAGCTGACTACACGCCTATTCTGTATAGCATAGCCTATCACTCCTAGGCAACAAATCTGTACAGCATGTGACTATACTGAATACTGTAGGCACTTGTAACACAATTTTAAGTACTTGTGTATCTAAACATAGAAAAGGCAAAGTAAAAATGGTATTATACTCTTATGAGACCACCATTGTCATATATGTGGTCTGTTGACCAAAACATTAATTGCTATATAACTGTGTGAGCGTAAGAAAACAGCTCTGTTTGCTTTGAAGATTCTGTTTGGAGATGCCTCTTTAATTGGCGTTTTGCATCAGCACAATTCACATGTCCAAGACATATCAGATTCTGTGCCATTTAATTTTTTTTCTTTTATGATTGTTCGTGTCACAATGACTAGGCTGTATTTTTACATACTTGTTAATAATGTCTGTGAATATAAGGCCAGTTTATTTGGGCCTAAAATGAGTGAGTGATTCAGAGTGCCATTTCAGGTAGGGCAGCGAGTGTCAGGGAAATGGTAATCACTTTCCATCATTATTAATGTGTCAAATATGCCTCAGGGACCTAGTGAACCAGAACTGTAACATGCCTCAGTAATGTATTACTCTTCAAACCTTGAGTTAATAATGCCAAAGTTCTCCATATTAAGGTTCTATATCTTACACCAAAAGTAAGATTTAAAATTAATTTCATTTATATGTGACATTTCAACTTCTATTTAATATGCTTTTTCTTCCTCAAGCAGATTTCTATATCATCATAATTTAGGGAATAATTTAAAATTTAAGTAAATATTTCATTTGCCAGTATAATCACTTCTTGTTCAGTTTTGTTCCTGTTCAGTAAAGAAATATCATTTATAAATTATATAATATGTGTGTGTGTATATATATATATACACACACACACACACACACACACAAAAGATCTCACTCTGTCCCCCAGGCTGGAGTGCAGTGGTGCAGTCTCAGCTCACTGCAACCTCTGCCTCCTGGGTTCAAGCGATTCTCATGCCTCAGCCTCCCAAGTAGCTGGGATTACAGGCGTGAGCCACTGTGCCTGGACAAATTATGTATTTTTAATTCACTTGTTAGCTCTGCTGAGATGTAGAACGTTTACTTGGCTGAACCAACAGCAATTCGTATGTGTGGATCCAAATGCTAGCTGGGCTTTATGTGAGCAGTTGACCAGTCAACCAGTAGAAATGTTCACTTTCAACTCATAGCTCATGCTGTGAGGACCCTGAGCTCCGAACACATTATAAAATTCCATATCCTTTGTCCTTTCTGAAATAAAATAAAACCAGTGTTCATGCTTTTATTCCCACTGACCGATTCCTCTGCTTTTTAATAATAGGAACATGACACAAACAGAAACAGGATGGGTAGGTAGGTGATTTGTTTTTCCTAATGGATTAGCTATAACCAGGAGTTAGCGACAGCAGATGTCCTGGAGTTTGTGACCCATTCCACTCTTGCCTCCTTTCCTGTGTTTTGGGAAAGGGTAAAAATTAAGATGTCAAATTATGGCTCAGTATAATTAAATGAATTATGTTTCTTTAAAACTTGAAACATGCTGCTAATGTTCTTTGACATTTGCATGAGTAGGGTTTTTTTTTTAATAAATGTCTGGGTGACTGAAACAAGATTACCAGAAAAATATCCATTTACTGTAAGAATGAAATAGATGAAGAACATGCTTTTGTGTAAGGGGAAAAAATATCACCAAAATAATGGGCATAGTAGAATTTATTTAACTATTTAAGTAAAACGAACCATTCATGGAGCAATGATAAGGGTGTGTCATGCAAGGGATTATGGTTAATTCGGTTTGTATACCTGAAGTTAAAAAACCCATTTACTTATTTATATTTAAATGAACTGGTACTTTCAAAGTATTTGTATTTAAAGACAAATAACTTCTCTTCATAAAATAAGTACTTCCTGAAGTATATTTTTCAATATATTTGTGCTGTTTGATTCTGGAGGTTTAGCAGAAAACCTATGACTTAATACTTCTAAAAATTTCACTTTCTTTATATTAATCAGATTTTGACTATAAACATTATTTTTATAGTATTGTATGAAACAACTAATCTGATCTAATGCTATTTACAATAAAGCAATGCCTAATGTTGATTAAAATATGTAATAATTTTTTTAAAAAAACAGAAGTATTCCCTTCCCGGGTTATACTAATATCTATGCTTTATAATAAACTTTCTTGGAATCATAGGCTCTTAGAACTAGAAGGAGGTAAAAATGACCTTCTCTTATGTTCTTTGCACTGGCAGTGTTTGAAAAGTGTAAGACACGAGCTAGAAACTCTTAAAAGACATTCTTTTAAGGTAGACACCCTTAAAAGAAATTTTTCATTTTTCATTCCAGTGTGGTAACACTGGAAATTACAAAGTCTCATAAAACTGTTAGTTAAAGATAATTTGCTGATTTCCTTCATAGCAAGTTTGATAAGGGTTGAGCTTGTTCATAATCTAAAACTTTCACTACCAACTGCTTCAAGTTTGTGAATCAGAGGAGTCAAAAGAATGTGTATTTTAAAATTGCTTCTGTACCATAGTATAATATTTCAAATAGGAGAGAAGTCTATGCATCGATAAAGCTTGGCAAATGTAGGATGTAAAGATGTTGGAAGTGAAGATTTGGAGGCTCAAGAGAAGAGAGAGGGAGTCAGGTAAGTCAACAGTCTGTGGAGGAGGAAGGACCTCCCAAGTAGTGAATCTTTTTGCCCCCATGTATATGTAAGGGACTCTCATTCCTTTATACTTTATTGATGCAGAACAGGCGAGCCCCAAAGTGGGGCTTAGCCTGTGAAGGTTCTTGGCTTCGCCCAGGAAGGAATTCAATGGTGAGTCAGTGGTAGAGTAGAAGACAGCAGCTTGATTAAACCATCAGTGTTACAGCTCCTATGGTGTTATAACTTCGTGACTGCTCCTGCAGCACAGGGCTACCCCATAGGCAGAGAGTAGCAGCTCTGGGCAGTTTTGCAGTCATATTTATACTTACTTTTAACTACATATACATTAAAGGATGGTTTATGCAGATATTTCTAGGGAAGAGGTAGTAGCTTTTGGGTTGTTGGGTCTTTGCCATGGAAAGGGGTGGTAACTCCAGGCTGTTGCCATGGCACACTGGTGGACATGTCTTATGGAAAGCTGCTTCTGCCCTGTCCCTGTTTTAGCTAGTCCTCTGTTTGGTCTGTTGTCTGAGTCCTGCCTCCTACCTCATGGCAACGCAGAGGTTCAAGGGAGCCAATAGAAGGGTGTAGGGGGTTCCTGGGAACCCTGAAACTAATTAGACAATCTGCAATTATCTAACGTTCAATGTGCTTTGAGATTTTCAAAGGCATCTCTGACCCCTGAAAGGGGTCAGAAAACCTACCATGGTTAATTAAGCCTTTGTAAGTGGACTCAGTAAGAGAACAAAGATAACATTCAGACTCAAATAACATTTAGACTCAAAAAACATTGTGTTTTCTTAACCTGTGAAGGTTTTTTGTTGTTGTTATTGTGCAGATATGATGGGTAAAATTAGCAAGCATGACAGCCATATAACCAATCCAACCAGAAGGCTCTAAACCCTTAAAAGATGTGATTGCTTAGAACGCATGTATCTCCGTCACTTCTTTCAGCATTAGTTTCTCCATTCTGTTGGTGGAATGGTTGCCAATATGTAATAAATATCTTCTGATAAATCGCATGACTTGAAATTGATTCATATCTAGGTTTTGTTATGTAATAAACGGGTGGGATACCTTATACCTGAAAAAACCCTTTGTTCAGAATTCATTGGCAGTCAATCCAGAAACTCTCTGCATTTTGGCTCATGGCTGTTCCACTGAAAGATAGTCACTGAGATTGAGTTAATCTTAATATGGGCTCTGATGATTTTCCAGTCATCTAATCCCTCCAGGCCTGATTATAAACCTCAATCAGTTTTAGCAGATGAGGGCTTACTCTGGTTGTTAGTAATTCCCAAAGAAGGCATTTATAAAAACCTAAACCTTTTCCTCTCTCCTGAGATAAGTATTAATCTTTGGTCTCTAAGCTGTTTTGGGGTCAAAATAGTAATTTCAGTCTACAGTGATTTAAATCTGTAATTTAACTTGCTATTTTTATCACCAATGCTGTTCCAGGCTTTTGGAATTAATATCATCTCTAAACTCAGTGAAACCCATATTTTTCTTTTTTTGATTCACACTTCTCATGATATCATTAATAACTGATTACACTGGAAATGCAAGAGACTATGAAGAGTGAATGGCAGGGAGAATTTCTGTACTTTGAGCACTAGCTCTATCTTAACAGAATTTATCTTTCACTTGGAAATCCAAAAGGAGAAATTTGTATCTCGGCACATTCTGGTGTTCCAAAGATAAATAATAGCATGTGTTGAGTTTGGAAAGCTGCAGCTTTAGAGAACAAGCTAGGGCATAGAAATAAAGGTGAAAAAGATATAGACACCCCTGACAAATCCCAGTCCTGTTGTGGTGATTGTGCTTTCTGTTTATAAGGAGTGGCTTAAAGATCAGGATGCTATGCAGCGACTGTACATGTTCCTATCATGGCTCTAACAACCTTGGCCCAATTTACTCCCCTTTCTTCTTTATCAATACTCCTTATCAATAGTACAGTAGAAAGTCTATAACTCAAATAATTTGTTCTCTAATAATTACATTATATTGAAAATTATATATTAATATTATAATCATAACATTTGAAACTAATATACAGATCATTAAAATATCCTTACATTCTAAAACATGAAAGTGGAAACAAAATTTATTTTTCTGTTTAACATTCTGTGACTGTCTTCTCAGCCTCCTCTCCCCGAGGTGGTCATATCCACTCCAGTTGCTTTAAATATCATCTATATTCTAAGACTCCCCAGAGCTCACTTCTGAATATATCTACCAATTATTTTGATATCTTTATGTGGATATATCACAGGTATCACAGTTTAATAATAAAACTAGACTTTTGATTTCCTAGCATGCCAGCCAAAATAAATATTTCCTTCCTAATTGTTACTAAAAACCAATAAAGTGCTCCAGCAGCCAGTGAGTGAGTGTAGTTGATGCTGTGCTTGCTACTAGCTCTACACTCCTCTTCATCTATCAGCAAACTCCGTTTAGGAGTCTACTTTCTAAATATATTCCTCATCTGTTAATTTTTCCCCATCTTTACTGCCTCTGCTCTGGCTCAGGTTACTCTTAGCACTAGCTCATATTAGCACATCAACCGGCCTCCTTATGTCCATTCTTGATGCTCTGAAATCCAAATTTCCTATTGAAGCCTTGGGGATCGTTCCCAACCCTGCCCTTCTATGCTGATTACTATGCTGATTATTTTTAAGTACACATTAGTTACATTGAGAACCAAGTCAAAAATCGTAATGTGACCTGTAAGGCTTTGCATGATTCATTACTGCAGTCTCAACTCCAGCTTCTTTCCTACTTCATCATTGCTTCAGTTCTCTGTACCTCGGGAGTGACAGGTTTTGTGCCTCAGTGCCTTAACACAGGTTGCTTCTCTGTTTTTAACACTACCCACATCCAACACAGGCAGTGCCCATCCTCCACCCCAATCACCTGGATAATTACATTCAAACTTCAGATATTAGCTTAAATACCACTTTTTTTTTTTAAAAAAAAAAAAAGGTTTTTCATTGACTTTCCTGTCTGAGCTAGGTTCCTCTGTTATGCACTCTCAGAGGCATCTCCTACTTGTGAAAGGTCTGTAATTAATTGGTGGCTAGGCATCTGTTCCATATTTCCATATTTATCTTTTCCTTTAGTTTGGAAGCCAGATCAGGCCAGGTACAATAATTGCTTTGCTTGGGGCTATATCCCTGTATAAATATTTATTGAATGAATAAATGAAGGTCTCGGTATAGATAATTATTTGGGTAATTGAATATGTTCTTTCATTCACATGCTTGAGCTGGCTTCTCCAGAGTATATAACAAAAGGATCTTATGTAGGGAAAAGGCTGTAGGACCTTGGGACTGAAGTGGTCAAAGTATACAGGTTTTGGATGAAGAGCAATACCTGCTTCGAAAAGCAAAATTTGGCATTTATGCAAATTTAACACATCATATGCCAGTTTATCCATAGGGTTGGTGAGAATATACAAGATTCCTACAAGACTGATTTCACTATTTTTTTTTCTTTTTAAACAAAACTCATTGAATGTCTATGTGCCAGATACCATGCATGGTGCCAAATATATAGAAATAAAATACATCATCATTGCTTGCAGAGAACACTCAGTTGAGACATAGATAAAAAGACCACACATAATAATAGTGTGATAAGTATATTTGAGGTGTGTATAGCTACTGTGGAAACAGGTATGGGGGAAAGTAATTTGGCCTGAGTTTCCCAGAAGAAAGCACACTTAAAGTGAGTCTAGAAATTATGTAGAAAGGAAGAAAAAGGAAATTATTTTAATTTTTGACTGAGATCTATTTTATCTTTCTGTGGCAATAATAAAGTGGCAGACTTAAGCTCTGACATATTAACAATTATATTAAGTATGAGTGATCCAAATGCAGCACTTAAATTACAGATTGGAAGAATGGACAAAAACCAACCAACCAAAAGAAATGTAACCCAGCAATACGTTGTCTAAAGGAAACTACTTCAAATATCACGATATACTTAGGTTGAAAGTAAAAGGATGGAAAAAGATACACCATGTATATTAAGCCATTCTTGCACTGCTATAAATACCTGAGACTTGGTAATTTTTAAGAAAGGAGGTTTAATTGGCTTATGGTTCTACAGGCTGTACAGGAAATATAGCAGCATCTGCTTCTGAGGAGGCCTCAGGGAGCTTCCAGTCATAGTAGAAGGCAAAGAGGGAGCAGGCTCATCACACAGAGAAAGAAGGACCGAGAGAGAGAGAGTGGGAGGTGCCGCTTTTAAACGACCAGATCTTGTGAGTACTGACTATTGCAAGGACAGCACCCAGGGCATGGTGCTACATGAGAAATCTGCCCCCATGATCCAGTCACCTCCCACCAGGCCCCATCTCCGACACTGAGGATTACATTTCAACAAGAGATTTGGGCAGGGACATACATCCAAACTTCATCCAGTAGTCTCTAGAATTTTACATTTTATTTCCTATTTTTAGGGCTTATCATTCCCTATTAGAAAAGAAAAATAAATATAGCTTCTTCCATAGTGCCCACATTTCTTGAAGAAACCAGACTGGTAATGCATCTTCCTTTCTTAAATAAGGAAACTGAATTCAGAATTCAAACATAAGCCCCATTTCTATCAATTTATTGGGATCTACTATGAGCTAGCAATTGGTACTTTTTGCCTTTACACTGATATATAATAGAAATACTTTCCCCTGCCACAAAAACAGTGGGAGTGTCACCATCTTGACCAGATTGTGCTGTTTTCTGAACATGTCAATCCTCCACACGAATACAACACAGACCAGTTGTGTGTTGATGTCTCCTATAACCTCTCTTTCCCACCTGCACCAGCCTCCTGGCCATTTCCCCTAATGTATCATGAAACGACTTCTCTTCTTTCCCCTTCAGTGACCTCAAATTTCATTTCCACACCCCACCACAAGGCAGTGAGTGATTTAAAATATATTCTGTTAATTATTGTGGTTGCAGTATCTAAATTGAGACTTTTAAAAAATGTAATTGCACATAGCAGTTGCCTGGGCTTCTGTTAAATTGGAAAGTTCATGAAAACTAATAAATATCAAGAATTTTAAATATTCATGAAATTTTCTTTTTTTCGGGTTAGCCTAGAGATTCACTCATAGCAAGAGGCCACTTAGCTGGAAATTACTGAAGCAGAAGAAAGGGCATCACATTTATTTTAAGCTATATGCATTGATGTATTTTGTGGATACAACTGAAGTTTGTTCTTATCACATAAAGCACCTGTCATGCAGTTTTTGCATTTTTAAAAATCCCTGAAATTCTGTAACTGTTCCAGGCTGGGGGAACTGAGACACTGAGACAGGTGGCTTAAGAGGAGAAGCATATGGGCTGACTATGGCTGTTCTCCCTCGGGCTCTAGCCCAGTGTTCTCAGGGTACTTGTGTGGTGTGTTGTCTTTTTGGGCTTTTAGAG
The DNA here is from genome assembly GCF_000001405.40 of Homo sapiens. Classification (NCBI taxonomy): domain Eukaryota; kingdom Metazoa; phylum Chordata; class Mammalia; order Primates; family Hominidae; genus Homo; species Homo sapiens. Next base: position 186,710,306 of record NC_000002.12, read on the forward strand.
ACTAAGCGGGAGATTATGCCACTTGCACCACCATTCAGAGGGTGAATTGTGAAGAGGCAATGTATAAATCTGTTTAACGAAAGATACTGTCTTAACCCAACAGATTTGCTTCCTCTTTAGACCTTATTTATTTCCACCACTTCTATACTCATCCAACTTGGAGGGCATGGAATCTTCATTGATTCTGTCTTCTCCCTCTTTTTTAAGTGTCCAATGACAGTGTTTTTAGTATCTGTTCCTGCTGTTTGATTTTTATGGCCACTTTCCCTGTCTAGGCCCCAACACCGTCTGTTTGGATGATTACACTGTTAGGGCTCCTCATTTTTTCTTCCCTGTAACTCAAACCATACCCTTGCTGCATCATCTTGCTGAAACATTGTTGTCTTTCCTAAATTTTCATTTTATTGTCATTTAAATTTGAAGTTTCCATGAGGCTTCTATCTGCCTCCAATTGTTTATAATGAATACTTGGAAATACACTGAAACATTGGAATTGGGTAATGAATATCCATACACCCTCCACCAAGATAAAACAGTTGTTAAAATTTCATATTTGCTTTATCTCTATTACTGTCTTTACACACACACACACACATACACACAATATTGCAGAACCAACTGAAGCTTACTTATATACACAGGGAGTTTTCATCTCTAAAAGCTTCAGGATGCCTTCCTTAAGATCTGGATAATTTTCAGTGTACAAGTCATACTTTTTAAAAAAAATGGTAATGGTAAAACAATTACTAAAAACTTTTAAATAAGTGATGTAAAAATGAGGAAAAAGTATAGAATTTCAAGTAATGAATAAATGAATCTTATAGACTGGTCTGTGGCAAAAAGGTTTACTTTGGCCTGTTTTTATTTGTGCAAATAGCATACTTTACTTATATTAATATTATATGTAAGTCCAAGTGTTGTATGAAGGTAACAATTTAGCTACATACTCTCTTCCAGGCTTTCCATTTATTTTGTTGTTTGGTCATTTCCTACCAACCTGGGGTCATTTTCCACTGGTCAACTCTGCTCTTTGGCTGTAACTTTTATGGTGAATCTATACAGCATTGGCTGTCTGCTACTTCTTCCCAACTTTATTCTGGTTATACCACCATCATCCTTCCATATTTGATGATGGAAATGGCAAGATGTAAAAACTGGGAGTTGTCATCTGCCACAGTCCCCACCCTGAGGAGAAAACCAGCCAGGCTATTAATGGAAAGGATGAAGCCAGTACACAGAAATGGAGTTCCTGGTTCCAGTCATTCCCAAGATCTGGATGGATAGTTAACTTCCCCTGGCCTGCTTATATAACCCTTCCTTGTATTCCATGACTTAATAAATTATTATTTTTTTTTGCCTCAGCAAATTCTGGTTGGATTTCCATAACTTTAAACCAAAAGTCTTAACTAACTCTATATGTTATTTCTTACACTAAGCCCTAACTTCAAGCAAATTTTAAATCTGTTGACACTTTTTTCTCATTGACACTGCCCTGCCTCTTTTATAGTCCAAACTCCAGCAGAAACCAACTTAGCTGTACTTTCTCCATGAGGCTTTTTTGGTCCGTGATTATCTTTATCTAATTGTATCACTTATAATCTCTGTTTGGTGAGTCAATATTTGATAATAGGTCATTTTTAAATTAGTTTCTAATTGTTTCTGGTGTGTTTATCTTGTCTTTCTCTTGAGCTTATGAATTTCTTTAAGGCATAGGTACTGTATTCACCCATTTTATGTCGCAGAATGCCTTGTGCTCAGTAAGTGCTCTATAAAAGCATGTTGGTTCATAATATGTTATGAATATATATATTAAGGGAAGTATCCGAGGAATTAAGTATCTTTTGTTATTTATGTATTTGCTCCCAAAATGTTCAGGATAATTTAAACAATATTTACTTGACTTGTTATTATCTTCTTTTTTTTGCTAATTTTCCTAGAGTTTTATAATGTTTAATTATCTAAGTGCATTGCTATGAAACATAATCTCTCATTCTGCCTTTTTCTTTGTGCCCATAGTATGTCCCAACATATGTTTAAATGGGACTAATGGATAGTTGTCTGTCTCCTTGTGAGAGTAAGCTCCATGGACTGTATCTCTTTGTTCTTCTGCTGTGTCCTCATGCCTCTCACAGTGCTAGACACATAATAGGTATTCCAACATTCTTTTTCATTAAAAAATATTTAAGATATATGAGTTTGGGGTAAATGCTGATGGTGTTCAAATGAATAGGAAGATGATGACTTGAGTAATACCATAAGATGCTTTGAGTTGGAGAACTGTCAGTCGATCATATTAATATACTGAAGTACAATTCTTAAACCTGGGGCACTTTTCAGAGTCACTTTCTTTCCCTGTTCTGTACTTTTGTTTCTTTCCATTTCTGCCTTTATTTTTGTCTCTTATTAGCACTGAGTTTTGTCACTTTTTGGTCCATGATGATAATCTTATGCCTTCTCACTCCTGCTCACATTCTTTTTCTCACTTTCGTTTATTTGTTCACTTCGCAGTACTAATTTAAATGTCCTTGGATTCTGTCTTCCCAACATGAATCCTTCTTTTTCCTCCTCAAAATACTGCCCAAGGGCCTCTGACTTATAAAAACACATTTCTAAATCTATATTGCAAACAAGTACATTTAATTATTCAGTCTTCAATAATTATCAAATGAAAGTTCTATTTTTCACAAATAGCATAACAAATGAGGGCAATCAATCAACTGCTTTTTGGTACTTAAAAAAACTGGGTGACCATCTAAACCTCAGTTCATGGTTGTGATGTTGGACAAGAAAGACCTTGGTGAGTCTGAGACTTGAAGGAAGGCCTGTGCGGCTGCCCTGGAGAGCATGAAGTGAGAGGGTGGTGGTCTGAGGGGTGGTTAAGGGAGGCGGGACTCAGGGATGGTCAGGGTTCTGTGTACTCACACGGGCATCTGCCTTTCATGTAACCAGTAAGACTCATTCTAGGGCTGCATGGTTTGGTGGCTAGAGCATGGACTTTAGTGTGATGGCAACTGTAATTTAAAATCTATTCTTCCCCTTCTGGGGGGTGATCTTGGGGAAACTCATTAAACTTCCTCTGGGATAGAATTACACCCTTTAGAGTTATTGTAAGTATTAGAGATAATATGTGTAAAATACCTAATTCAACAGATACTTATCAATAATTATTAGAGATTACTTTTAGTAAATTAAATCAGAAGTACAAACCTTTTATTTCATTGATTTATATACTATGAGTAAGGGTTGAATAGGTAGGGCGAGAGAAAAAGTATATACCCATTTTATAACTTTCTAATAAATGAGGCCAGATTTGTTTTTTAATGAAAACAAATTGTGCTTCCTGTAAATTCACTTTAAAAAGTACATATGTTTCTGTAGTAAGAAGTATTAAAGCATATTGTGCAATAAAATTACTGTTTTTCTTTTAAAACAACCTAGAAACAATATTGTCTTTGGAACATTACCTAAAGCAAGAAAGCAAGAAAAATATATTTGAAAGCCAAAAATCAGTGAGGTATTCATCTGAGCTTTGACTTTTCACTATCTTTGATGCTTTTTGTTTTGAATTCAAACAACAGTTTTTATTCTTCTGTTCAGAAAATCTTAACATGAGCTAGAATATTCCCAGCATACTAATAAGCCAACAAATACTGGCTGTGGTCCTGTGGAAAACTTTTTATTGAAAAGATAATGTTCTTCTTTATGCGAAAAACAAGAATATTTTACAGCTCTCTTTTTCCTTTGCTAGCCTTGGCATTGTGTTGGACAGTGTGACTTTGAACAGTCTTTTTAGAATTCTGCTGTCAGCAGATGAAATTTTTTTTTTTTTAATACTTACCTCAAAGGAGTAGTAAATTATGTTTGTCTCTAGTATTGCAGTTACCACTCCACAACAGAGAAGGGCATTAACATTATAATGGAGGCAGCGGATTGATTAATATATTGATTAGATCTGGAAGATTGTGTTCTGTGAAATTTGAGGCTGGTTGAGTTCTCAAATTGGTAGGGCATTTCCATCTAAATAGCTAAAAAATTTTCTGATGTTAACAATATTCACAAGTAAAACAACACTTTACGTGACTTTTGTTAAAAGATGAGATGAAAGAAACTACACATTAAGAGAAAAGTGTCTGGAAATTATTTACTATTTATTCTCTGTCTACAAGCAGGAAGCAGAAGAAAGTCATGAATTATAAAGGCCAAACAGGATCCATCAGGAGTTTACTAAAAATTCCTAGTCATGATATAAATTGTGTCCAAATTAAAGTAATACATCAAATGAAAGTTTAGAATTGGTGGGACAAAAATAAATCAGAGTGTTATATAGGAATTATTTTTAGTCCACTTTGGTTGTAACTGAAAATAAAAGATTCAGTCACATTAAAATGATCTTTTTTCTCTGTGCTTTCCGAGCCTAGCTAATGGCAGGAAGGCATCACCCCTGGACTTGTATTGAGTTCACAGTAATTGCTTCCTGAATAGTTAGGCCAATGGATAAATGTTTGCTTCTTGATCAGTTAGGTGGAACTGATTGACAAGTGTGGCAAAGGCTAATAAGGCAGCCGTGTCTAGATAGCCAGCTAAATAAAAGATTTGAAGATTGCTCAGTTCTTAACCCAAAGCAGTTTGTGTTATTCTCTCAGGCTTTGTCAGAAGAGCAAGAATTAGAAAAATTTACTTCAGAGGTGGTAATTCCTTAAAGTCTATAACATCCAATAATTTAAAAAATATGATATGCTGAACTGCAAAATGGAAAATTATTCAATAGTCAAATAGAGAGATGGGCATAGAATACAACTCTCACATTCAGTACAACAAGGGCAGGTAAACATTTACTACGCCCAGAATCTCTTTGGCTTGCTTTTTGAAGGAACTGAGGGGTTTTGTGTGTGTGTGTGTGTTTTGTTTGTTTTGAGACTTGAGTTTTGCTCTGTCAACCAGGTTGAAGTGTAAGTGGCACAATCACAGCTCACTGCAGCCTCGACCTCCTGCACTCAAGCCATCCTCTCACCTCAGCTTCCCAGGTAGCTGGGACTACAGGCACACGCCACCATGCCTGGCTAATTTTTAAATTTTTTGTAGAGACAGGGACTCATTATGTTGCCTAGGCTGGTCTTGAACTCCTGGGCTCAAGCAATCCTCAGGCCTCCCCCTCACAGAATGCTAGGATTACAAGCATGAGCCACCACACCTAGCTGGGACTAATTTGGTTTCAAGGTACTGTTTATAGGCAGAGAGGACATAAACATAAAAATATAAGGCAGGATGTCATAATATGCTCTGTTAACATTTAAAAGTGCTGTGGGAACTCAGGGAAGGAGAGACAAACTTTCAATTATAAAGGGACTGATTTCCCAACAATTTACTATGTAATTACCTGCTTTTTGATTACCGTATTTTGATTGCCTACATAACAGAGGGTGGCTGGAAAGTAATAGAAATTTTCTTTGCTATTTGTCTCTAGATAGAGGTGTAGCTAGTAGAGTTTAAGCAGGAAATAGGAACTAAGATTGGGTTTGTATTTTTATATTTACATGTTCAGCATAGTAATGAATTCTTCCACTTCTATTTTGTTTTTATTTTTAAATCTTTAAGATTTCAAACATAGAAACAAAGTCGATATGTAATGGGTACCCATGTGCTCACCACTGAGATTAATCAAATATTAGCTTTTTGCTCTGTTTGCTTCACATTTGTCTCTCCCTCTTTTTAAAATCAGAAGTTTATATTTAAATTGTTTTTTAGAGATAGTCTCGATCTGTCTCTCAGGTTGGAGGGCTCACTGCAGCCTCAAACTCCTGGGATCAAGGGATCTTCCCACCTCAGCATCCTCAGTAGCTGGGACTATAGGTGTGCACCACCACACCCAGCTGATTTTTAAATTGTTTTGTAGAGATAGGGTCTCACTGTATTGCCCAGGCTGGTCTTGAACTCCTGGCTTTAAGTGATCATCCTGCCTCAGCCTCCCAAAGCACTGGGATTACAGGTGTAAGCCACCTTGCCTGGCCTCTCTCTCTTTTAAGAAATAAAAATCAGAGATAGAATCAAGCCTCATTTTCATCCCTTTTCCTTCCTTACCCAGAATTAATCACTGTCTTGAATTGGTGTCAGTCATTTTCTGTTTAAAATACTGTAATAGATGTATATACATATTATACATATCCTATTGCAGTTTTCTTCACTTAACATCATGTTTGAAGGACTTTCCTTATTGATATATTTGCATCTCATTAACTTACTATGATTACTGCATAATATTGCATTGTATATATAAGCCACACTGATTGTCAGGTAGGCTTTATCTTTGGCTTTGTAGTATGCTGGGTGCAATGATCTGTTTAGTAGGTATGTCGTTTTAGAGGCATATAACAATTTATATAGGGTTCAGACAAAGAAATGGAATTGCTGAATTATATGGTATGTACATTTTCAACATTTCTAGGTCTGTTTAAGTTCCCCTCAAAAGCAGTTGTACAGTTTGCATTTTCATAGTTAATAGTGCAATATTTTTCATGTTTTTCCTCTTCTATTTTTCTTTTCTGGGAGTTTGTGGTTGTTGTTGTACTTACTGTAGTAATACTTCAGGACCAGTTACTGTTCTAAGCACATTGAGTATATTATTTTATGCAATCCTCTGATAACCCTGTGAGGTATATCTGTTAGGCAGGTGCTGTCATTGTCCTCATTTCATAGAATGAAATTCAGGCAGACAGGTAGTGTAACTTGCCACGATGATGTGGGTAGTGAGAAATGGAGCCGGGATTAGAACCCTGTCTGTTTGGCTCTTAAAATAGACTATACAGCCTCTCTGGGAAAAGGGCCCATCCTTACTCATGAAGTCAGAGCACATTTTTGAAAATAGCAGTGGTAACTGAAACAATTACTCTTCTTTTAAAAAATGTGAAGAAGAGAGCATGATTAAAAATAAATAAAATAAAAGTAAATATTTAAAACCTTAGTTTATGGGAATCTCTGAGCCCAAAGAAATTGCATGAAGAATTTTTGTGTATTTATGAGTGCATGCTTTTCTTTGTTGGGGGCGCAGTTGAGATGGGAGTGAGGAGAGATCCATACATAAATAAGATTCTCAAAGGGATTAAAGAATTACTGTTCTGGTATTAAGAGGAGAGATCTTTTACATGGAGTTGCATCACTGAATCACCAAGATGGACTGACTTTAAAAGTTCATTTATGTTTCCTTCCAGGAGGACGGTAGATGAGTCTACTGTAATGGATGCTTCTGATCAGATGCCCCTCCCACTTCTCTGTCTCCTTCTCTCTTGTATTCCATGCTCTAGTCAGGCTTTCCTCTCTGCAGTTTCTGCCAGCTGCTACCTTAGGCCTCAGTATTTTTTCTCTCTCTGCCTGGAAGTCTCTTCTCTCTGGACAGCTTCTGCTTGCTAAGGTGAAGAGAGACTTTCTGGTGTCACCTTTCACTTCTATCAGGAATCTTTCTGGACTTTCCCAGTCTGGGCTTTGTGTCTTGCTGTGTGTTTCCAAAGCACATGACTTATTAATGCAAGCTTTCTTCATGCTTAGTTGTAATGACATACGGATTTGTCTGCAACCTCCTGCTAGACTTTCCAGTCCTATGGAGTATGGTCCATTGCTATTTTGCTGTTTGGCTGATGGTCAGTGCCTATCACCTTGATTGACAATTATTAGGTGCTCAATAAATGTTATTATAAATAAATGAATATTATTTATGTTTACCTGGTTATTGAAACTCAAAAATCTCAGTATCATTTAAAAATTTCCCCATCTCAATATTGTGTCATTTGCCAGATCCGAAATGCTTTTGCTTCTGATCCTCCTTTGTCATTGCCTCTGCTCTAATTTTGGTTTTCTTTTCTTGCTCCTAAACTATTTCAATAGCTAATCCAGTTTCTGACTGTCTAAGGCCATTTTACAAATTGCTCCCAGAGAGGTCTTTCTGTACCAAAAAGGTCTTGTCACACACGGCTCAACCTTCCTTACATCAGCAGCGGAATGAAATCCAGTCATTTCCATTGTTCCCAGGCTTTTTTCTTGCTACAGCTGACTGTCATTCCCTTAACATGGCATTTATTTTTCTAAAACTTTTGTGCTTTTTCTCACGCTATTCCTTCTTTCTGATGTACCCTTGACTCAACTCTAGGTTTTCAAATCTACTCTTTCAAATTCAGTCTCAATTATTTCCTACTTGAAAATATCCCATATTCCCTCATTTAGAATTCATATTTCCCTCTTCTCTATCCCTGTAATACTTTGTTTGTATAATTTTGTATGCCTTTCCCATTAGATTTTGAATTAATTCAGGTTGAAATTGGGGAATATTAAATATACTTACATACACATCTAACATAGCTAGCTACTAACTCAAAGAAGGTGTTGAATAAATAGAAGCTGTTATGCCGTATACTCCTACTGGACCTGGCATTTTACTTAATTCCTGGTCAGTATTCATGTTTACTGAGGCAAATTTAATTGATATCTTAATTTTTAAAAAATATTGAGATGCTACCTACGGACTTTTCTTTTGTACGAAATGTGTATTGCACATGTGTTGTGTCATATCTGCTTTTTCCTTTAAGATATTTCAATTTAATATTTTTCTTATTTTGCTTAAAACTTCCAGGCCTTCCTGGCAATATAGTTGCTGTCTGCTAATGCTGTAGACTGTGTCTCATTCATGCTCTGCTATTCATGCTGTGCTATTCGTGCTGTGCTATTCTTTAAGGCACTCAATGTTCTCATAGCACCTGAATTTGTATTTACCGGTCAGTATTCCTTTCAGATGTTAAATTACAGGGAAAACCGTACAATTTACTAAGGTGTCAGAGAAACATTGGAGAAAATGCTCCATCTAATTCTGTTTAAATCTAACCACTTTCCCCACTCTCCCAGCATGGTGTGTCTCATCTACTTAAATGAAATGCTGACAGAAGGTTTCAAACCCTTTCTAAAAGACATGCCGAAGCTTGTATCTTGCAGTTTCTGAGTTCCATTTTTTTCTTCATTGATCTAAACATACTTTGCGCATTGATAGAACAAGGAGAGAAAGGCTTCTGTAAAAGGGAAAAATGGATATTTCATTAAGTTTTCCCCACTTTATTTCACTGTAAATAAATTATGTGAGTTTACCAATGGAATCCCAAAACAACAAAATAGTATATGGACTGTTGTTGCTCTCTATCAGGCTATTGTTTGTGTGTTTAGTTTTCTTTATAAGAAGCTCTCTTAATCTATCAAGAGACTGTTGTGAGAAAAAAACAAATAAAACAACAATCTTGGGAATGAAAGCTAAGTTAACGGAAAATATAATTATTTCAAAGCATACTGAGCATTAATTTCCCTGTTAACTCCCTGCGGAGACAGGAGCAGTCACATTGATATATTGACTACAGTAAAATAACATAGGAATACTCTCCTGTTTACATTATAAATTGGCATCACATTCTGGAAAGCATTTTAGCAATGCACATCAAGAAGCTATGAACAGTTCACAGCTTTGACCTATTATTTCTCCTCCCCAGGAAACAATTGTAAATTTAGACAAAGGTATATGAAAATATATTTTGATTAAAGCATTGTTTCCAAATGTGAAAAATTAGGTCTAAACATACAGTAATAAGAAAATAGTTAATAATAACCCATAGAATTTTCTTAAATAAGAAACAAGATAATTTTAGAAATATTTAGTACCATGGTTGTGTGTTTGCAGTATAATCTTAACTGAAAAACACAGCATATAATATTCTTTTTTCTGTTGAGACGGAGTCTCGCTCTGTCGCCCAGGCTGGAATGCAATGGCGCTATCTCAGCTCACTGTAACCTCCACCTCCTGGGTTCGAGTGATTCTCCTGCCTCAGCCTCCTGAGTAGCTGGGATTACAGGCACCCACCACTATACCTGGCTAATCTTTGTATTTTTAGAAGAGATGGGGTTTCACCATGTTGGCCAGGCTGATCTCGAACTTCTGACCTCAGGTGATCTGCCCACCTTGGCCTCCCAAAGTGCTGGGATTACAGACGTGAGCCACCACACCTGGCCATAATATTATTTATTGGCTAATTTTCTTTTTCCCCTCCTACTTAATACATGCTCACTGTAGTTGTCATGTCATACATTTTGGTGAGTCACATAGTATCCCCTCTCCAGAATGGCTCCTACTGATACAGTCAATATTAACAATTTGGTGAGTTTCTTGAATACATTACCGTGCTTATACAAATGTAGACACAAGTAATCACAGGGACACAATATGATCTGAATTTTGTAGGTCTGCTTTTTTCAGTGTGCTTTTAAAAGTGCTGGATGGAAATCAAGTTAACTCTGAAAAATGGGATTAGGAAATATTTTTATTTTTCTCTATAGTTTTTTGTATTTTCCAAATTTTCTGTGTAGATCATGTACAAAAAAAAAAAAAAAAGAAAAGAAAACAAAACAAAACAAAAACTCTCTAATTAAACGTATTAAATGTACCCAAACCCTGAGTTAACCAGACATTTCTAATACGGGAAGGACACAGAAATAAATGAGCAGAAAATTGAAGATAACAGTAATTTGTTTAAAATAATAATAGTAACTATCAGCAGATCTGGTAGCCATCAAAGGTCAGCTTTCATTTTTGTCAGTATCTTACCTCTCTGATTCTCTGGGGTGCTTGTGCCTCTAGGGGTATGCATCAGGATTTGGGAGTAAGCCATAAAATATCAATGATATTGAAGATAAGCAATTTCAATTCTTACTGTTTTAGTAAGAGAAACAGAACAATTAAATATGAACCGAAGAAGATGGCTTTAGGTCATATCCCTATCCCTTCAGGATATTACCTATTTATCATTTTAGGTCAGTGGTTCTCAATCTTGGCTGTGCACTAGAATCATCTGGAACCTTTCAAAAATATGCTTCTCTGGACTCCATCCATCTGCAGTGATTTTGACTTAATTGGGGCTGGGGTGGGGCCTGGGAATGTGGCAAAAGGTTAGTCTCCTAGGTAAGTCTAATGTGTAGCCAGGGTTGAGAATTGCTGTTCTGAGCCAAGAGAGTTAAGCATTCTAGAGAAGGTTAACAATAGTAACACATTATGAAAATTGATAATCTTGAGGTTATATAAGATTCTCATTCAACATTTCATTTATTCAAGCAATCAGTCATGCATTCAGAAAATAAACGTGTATTTAGAATACTAAATGTTTTTTTCAAAGAAAACACGTTTTCTAGAATGTTCTTACTAAGACAATAAAGTGAACAAGCACCTTTTAGATATACACTAAGAGTTCATAAATGACTGATTTCTTGCTTAACATTGTTAGCCAGAATAATTTAATTATACAATTCTCTAAACTCTCACTTTACCTGTAATTTTCTTGGTACTATCACTCTCTCCTTCTGACTTGTAAACATATTAAAGGCTACTAATTTATTTGTGTCTCTCTCAGTGCCTAGTACAGATCTTGCATATAGTAGGTGCTTAATAAAGTATGTAGCATTAAGACTGCACAAAACAAAGGCTCTAAAACTTTCTTGGTTCACAGTCCCCTCAGTGTCTCAGTAGTATTTTGGTAACAAGACAACTTGATGTCTAACTTAGTAGTCATTTGAAAAAAAAAAAAACCATATTTGCTAATTGCTTAATGGGGTATGTGTGCACAACTTTGCCAACGTTGGAATAAGATTGAACATTTCCACCTTCATTTTCTGCTCAAATTTATTTTCATGAAGTATTTACTTTCTATCAGAGCAGTTACTGAAAACACAGCTTTACAAAGAACAATGTCATTTAATTGAACATAGTATGATCTAATGCTGAAATTGTAAACTCCCTGGAGTTTATGATGTCTAACAGATGTTAGTATTATTGTGCTTGCATGGAAAATTTAAAATGTCTTCTGGCACCCCTGTGAGTTTGTTATATCACCTTTGGTAGCTTTGAGCATAGTTTGGGACCTGCCCCAAATCTCAGGCTTTTGATGATTTTCTGTTCTAGGTATGACACAGAGTTTATTTACTAAGTTTTTGTCCATTATGTTGTTCATTTTAGATGTTCAACTGACAAGCCTGTATACATTCTAAGAAAAGATTGATCACACTGTTTCTTTTCGGCATTAAAGATATGGAACCACTAAAAATAGGTACTTAAAAAAAAGGGACTTAACTAGATTCAAGGCACTGTGCTCATATGTGCTTTACAGTACCATTTTTTTATTCTGTGATCAACTGTTTCACATTTTAATGTTTTTGAAACTTGAATGCATGATACAGTGATCAAGTTTTGAATGCATGAAACACCATGCATTCATGTAGTAAATGAATGTTTATCATGCAGTAAAGAAAACTTCTCTGCTGCAGGATAGAGAGGACTGGGTTGTCCGGTGGCATAGGGCATAGATAGAGATGATGGCCTTTGGGCTGTACTAAACAGTTCTCTTGGCAGGAGGTGGAGGTCACTGGCCATCCCAGTTGGTACAGACAGTTAACCCTATCTTAAAGCTCATTCTATTGAAAAGTGTTAACATGGACTCCAATCATGAGTTCAGTCTTACCCCATTTCCCCTGGCTTGGAGTTGTGCAGCTCAAAATAGTAATCACACTTTACAATTATTTGGTGTTGAGGATATTGCATCCTTTTTAGGAACTTTGGGGGAATATTTTTTTGTGGGCATTTTCAGTTTTGGACGATAAATCCTTTTCAGGGTATTAATTATATAAATAGTAATAGCTTGATTCTCCTTTTGGCCTGGAGATGATATAGTCGTCTCCAGACTTCATTCATCAATTATACTAAATTGGGAATACTTAGGGGCATTGAGTCATTAAGTTGCAAAGGAGGCTAGGGTACTCTGTATCCAATTCAAGTAATTCACACTTAATTCATCCCCAAGGGGGTATTGTACCCTAGCAAATGGATCTAACCAGATTTCCACTGTTACATTCATGAGAGGGAACATTCAGTAATTGTTGATTCCCCAAAGGTCCTTTTGTCTCTCTCATATAGTTTTATCAATAATTTGAAACACCTGGAGGATGAACAATACTGTTAAAAGATTCCCAACAAATGACTCTTTTAAATAGTAATTTATTAGAAATAGTCTGTGTGAAATAGATTTGGTAATTCTATATTCAAAAATTTGTTTTCTCAAATGAGACTTTCCCCCTTATGTCTTTTTTTTATTATTATTTTCAACTGTATTATTTATTCTCATTTTTATTGCCAACTTCAAATTTGGTTCTAGTATTTTTCCAATTAATTACTTAAAATTGGGTAACAGATAAATGATGAATTTAATCTTCATATGTTTGTTTTTCTAAGGCAAAGCAACAATGTTGGTCCTAATCTTGCATTTTAAATCCTTTTTTAACCTCAAAAGAATTAGTATATTTACTGAAGAAGTTGCTGAAGGAAGAAATGTTAAAGAATTAAAGAATTTGTACTTTGCTTAAAGTATAAAACTTACAAATGTTCTGTGCCAGAAATGATTGCTTACCCATCTTCTTGTCCCACCCTCTACTTCAAGGCCGTCTACCTCATTTCACACATTTGCATCTCTCCTTGCAATTATTAAGTGGTTTTGAGCCAGTAGTCCCATCTATTGGTATAAAAGTAAGGATTAATTCTTTCATTAATTCAAATATTCGTTCATTCAGAAATAAGTATTGGTATTTGAGGATACAGTAAATAAAATGAGAATGTCCATGACCTTATAGAGTTAACATTCTAGTTGGGGAAACAGAAAATGAACCTAATGAGTAAGTTATATATGTGTTAAGAAGGTAGTATGGAAAAATATTATGGAAAAAATAGATCAAAGTTGAGAAGTGGGTTAGCACAGCAAGTTTGGTTGCTCTATCCTTGCTTGTCATGAAGCCTGGAGCTATGATTGTCCTTGGCCGGCTTCTGGGAATGTGGCCCTCAGAGTGTTCTTTATTTTACTGATTGATGATGATATTTTATATATCTGGAGCAACGGGGTATGCTGTTCCAGCTTGTCAAGACTTCTTAGGATCATTTAGCAGGATCATGATATACACACGATTTATGCTGGGGGTCCTGTGTTTTTGCTGCCCTGGCTAGTTATGTTACAGGAATGTGTCCACATGACCAATGCCTTGACAGCTTTGGACCCTAAGACTCAATTGGCCTTCCCTATGTAGAGACACTTTGCCTGTGTCCCTGCAGCTCACAGCTAGAAGAAATATGTTTTTCGTGTTGTTTTACTCTTCATCCTTTACTATAATAAAGCATAATTGTGAGTATAACCTATCAAAGGACATTTGATTCCTTTTGGTGAATCACCAGGCTTAAGGTGGTCTTGGGACCCCTGAAACACGGGAAAGTCAGATTGGGAGGACAGGAGTCATGAGAAGTGTCATTTTGACAAAGACTTTTAGAAAGTGAGGGAGTATGCCATTTGGATTTCAGAGAGAAGACAATTCTAGGAGGAAGGAATTACCTATGCAAAGACCTGGAGGTGAGAGCGTGCCTGGAGTGTTCAAGGAAGTGTAAGAAGGCCATTGTGGATCAGAATGGATGAAGATGAAGGAGGGGAAATGAGCTCAGAGATGCAGTGGGCTCAGAAAAGGACATTGAGTGCAGAGGATGATGTCAGTTAGCACATGCTTGCTGAATGAATTGCTAAATTCTCGTCTTTCCTCTAAGGAGGAATATCTTCTTATGTTTCATCAGCTTATGTATTTCTATTTTTGGCAGAGCCTTTACATATTCTTCTTAACCTCTTTGTTCTTTCCTCAGTTTTTAAGAATTTTTGCTGAGTAGGCCAGGCGCGATGGCTCACGCCTGTAATCCCATCACTTTGGGAGGCCGAGGCAGGCAGATCACGAGGTCAGGAGATTGAGACCATCTTGGCTAACACGGTGAAACCCTGTCTCTACTAAAAATACAAAAAATTAGCCGGGCGTGGTGGCAGGCACCTGTAGTCCCAGCTACTTGGGAGGCTGAAGCAGGAGAATGGTGTTAACCCGGGAGGCGGAGCTTGCAGTGAGCCGAGACCACGCCACTGCACTCCAACCTGGGCGACAGAGCGAGACTCTGTCTCAAAAAAAAAAAAAAAGAATTTTACTTTCTCTGTCTTCTTTTCATCTGTTACGCCAAACATGACCCTGATCTTAGGTGATAACTCAGTTTGTGCTGTTTCGATTCAAAGGACGGGGAAATCAGTCATACCATGCCTCAGCGCAGAGGGGATATCTGAGCTGAGTCTCAAGGATAAGTATCTGTGATTGAATTCCCAGGTTCAGGGAGCTGTGCTATTCACTCCTTCCCCTCACACCCCATTTTCAAAACTCAATTCTGATTTTGTCTTCACAGAGGAGCGCTCTCACATTAGTCTGAGTTAGGTGCTCAGTACTTACATGGCAGTGGTGACCAGTGTTTTTTCAAACACTTAAAATTATCTTGAGCTTTCCTCACTGGGCTGAAGGCTCTTCTGTCTCTCTCTACCTAGTGCCATCACATGAAGTATCCTTAATAAATGTTGAATAAGTGTCTGAGTGAGTGAATAAATGCTTGTGATTCTAAGGAAGGATGAAAAATTGGGAAGAAAAAACAAGTCAGGATGACAAATGCCTGTGGAGTGAGCTTGGACAATCTGTTTTAGGAGCTTGGGACAGTTGATTGATTTCCATTGAGGAAAATGGTCCTTTAGGTAGGCAAGAAGGACCGGAGTCCAAATAGTAATGGCTCAGCTCTCTCATTTGTTCTCTGTTGAGTTGTCTATTGTGTGCTAGTTCTTAAGTTGTAAAGGCTCTTTTTATGTTATCCATTTCATTAGCTTTGGTGAATCACACTTATTTAAGCCTTCAGTCCTAATGGATAAAAAGTATATTTTATTTGCTCCATAACATTTTATACCTTTGGAGATCATGTCTTTATTCTCTCTCATTAATTTCTTCTTAGAATTGACATTTTCTCTGTAATAAATATTAGTTTACTGCAAGTAAATTTGTTTTTTATTCAAACACGCACATATTTTTTTCTTTTTCTTTTAAACCTCAAAGCCAATAAGAGTTTGGATCCAATCTGGGGCTTAAGCAATGAAAAGGAGGCTTTTCTATTTTACTGATTTTTTTTAATTCAGCACCCTTTTGTTTCTTTAAAAGAAGGAGGCTTGTGTGTCCATATTTGAAATGCTGCAGAGAGTAAACTGATTAAACCCTTTCCACCCCACTTTTCAGAATGCATAATAATATGGTCCTTTTTCTTTATAACCTCCTTCGTTGTCCTCTACTCTTTTCTGAACTTTCAGCCCTCATTCCAATTAAATAGGGAAATCGTGCTAGTACCCTGGGAGAAAGACTCGTAAAACTACTTTGATGATTTTTTTATAGTAGTAAAAATAAAATTTTTAATTTACTCTTTGCCAGGATACATTTGCCTTATATTTATTTAGGAAGTTTTTCTACTCCCTAGTATCATTCTTTAGTCAAAACTGTTTTTTCTAGTCAAAATTTCCAGGTTAAATATTCTTATGAAAAAAATTAGTATTAATTTGTGAAAGGAAGAGGAATCTTATTATTTACTTCTTGCTGTAATTATTATAGTAATGTAAAATATTTTTCAATGTCAACTGTGGGATTAAGCTTAAAATTTTTTACCCAATACTGGGGCTGGAGAGCTGGCTGTAATTTCTGGTGGCCCCTGCCGAAATCCTGCAATTATCATTCCTTTTATCAGGTGCTTGGCCACTTCTGATCTCTTTCTCCTTTTTCTACCTCTCTCCCTTTATTCCTTCTCTCTCTGCAACGCCTCCTCTTCCCTCTCTCCCCCCACCCCCTTCATTTAGTAAGTATCCACATGCTAACTCTTATTTAGCTCAAGCTTTAGCATGACTCATGGCTGAGTTGGAAATAATAGGGGCTGTCAAGAACCTGACTTTTGCAGAGAGAAGATGCACAGAAAAGGAAAACATACCGGAATATATCATGTATCATTAATCTGGTCAGTACAGAAGAGGAGATCCCATTTGGTTGGGCTAAGGGGACATTTATTTGAAAAGGGGGCATTTGACCATACTTTGAAGGATAGGTTAGGATTTTGACAGGTAGAGATTTTTAAAAGGGCATTTCAGATGGAAGAAAGAGATGAATAATTATGTTGTAGCAGGCAAATGGGTTGTCTTGGTTAGTGACCAATGACCCATTTATGAGACAGTGTAGAACAGGGTTCTGCAAACTTTTTCTGTAGAGTGCCAGATAGCATTGTAGCAAACTTTGCCATTGTAGCAAGTGTAGCCATAGGTAATGTATAAATGAATTAGCATGACTGCGTTCCAGTAAAAGTTTATTTACAAAATCAGAGTGGGTCAGAGTTGGCAGGCAGACTATAATTTGCCCATATCTGATATGAGTATGATGAGTGGGGAAAAACGACTGGAAAGGGAGGTGACGGTCAGATCTCAGAGGATTTTGAATGCTAGCCTAAAACGTTAGAAAACAATTGATATTATGTTTAGTGAAACCATGATGGTTATGTTTCTACTAATGGTTTAAATACATGGACATTTAAATTTGGAATTAAATTTGGAACCAGATTTCTTCAGATATTTATATATGTAGTTATATGTATCTATATTATATTTATATAGATATAGTTTACAGGTATACCTACCTCTAAACTAAGATTTCTTGGTAGCTGAATATTTTGTGTGAAAATGGTGGGTAGAGAGCAAACTAGGCCTCTGAATAGACCCCAAAGAAGCCTGATTTGGGAGATAAGCAGAAGCCTGGTATCTTTTGGGTTCCTACCACAACATCTCCACAGAAAAGTCAGATCATGAAAAATAGGTGAGAATTCATGGGCAGGCCCTCAGATGATCTGGACTCAAAATGTTGACATTCTTTCTGTTAAAAAAATGATAGTGTAAACTGATAGCAAAGTAGATATTAGTGTCATTTTTTGATACTTAGAGGAATTTTTATACATATTCTAAATTAATTTCTACATAATTTCTAGAAAATTGTGTTAGATACTATAGGAAGTTCTCTTGTCTGTTTCAATATTGCTTTTCTACCTCCTTTATTGTAATATCAGAAATTCTGTATTTTTCTTCACGTGTTGTTTCCTCTCAGAATTATACATCAAGGAAAGTCTGTTTTCTATTGCTGTCTGTATCCCCAATCCCCATCTCGTGCAGATCTGAGGAAAAGTAGGTAATCAGTAAACATTTGTTGAATGGATTCATGTAAATGAACATTTCTATTGTTTCCAACCAACTATTTTATTCCACTATATTTTTGTGTTCTTCATTTTTCCTAGTTCTCAGGATACATAAAACTCAATAAAAATTTTGAATTTATCCCATTAAAATATTGTTTTAAAAATTTGACCTATAGTCTGTTTATAAAATCTTTTTATTTTAGCAATGTATTCCTATAGGAGATTAAGTTGTAGCATATGAAATGAAATTATTATAGATACTTGCTTTTGAAACATAATGGAAACGAAGTAGGTGAGTTTTTGTACTGGATAAATCTGAAAATGAGGTGGCTTCTCCATGTGTATAGTTGTAACCTACATAATGGTGACAACATAATAGGATGATGTCAGAGTCTCTTGAAAAGAAGTGGGATTGTGATATTTTCAGCCCACCTACATAAAGACGTAAATGTCACCCAAATATATATAGTTAGCAGTATTTTTAAAGCCCTTTTGGACTTTTAGTTACCTATTTGTATTCCATAGGAAAACCATAATATAGTATTGGTTTTAATATTTTTTTCTAGAATATTCCTTTATACCTATTTATTATTATTTGAATTTTAGTGATTCTCACTACTTAACGATGCTTGTAACCATCTGCTAAATAGTTAAATCTTCTCCAGCAACCTCAGGACCTAGCTCACTGATACGTATTTTATTTTTACTTGGTTTTTCTCAACATTTAGATTATATGTTTTCTAAGGGTGCAGTTGAATCATTTAATACTGAACCATTTTAAAACGAATAGTGATATGTTGAAAAGATGATTATGTGGGCAAGACATAATGATTATAATTAAGTGACAGAGAAAATAAATATGCTCATTGAAAGCTAAAAAAATACACTGGAGAAGGGTAGGTAGACAAAAGCACCTCCGGCTGAAAATCAGATATTTAATCATGGAATCTGCCCTGTCTAAATGCCAAAGTATTTTTTTTTTTCTGGAGGAGAGAACTGGTAGAGGATTATTAGGGATATATATTGCTTCTGGCTGACTGTGCTGCTTGCTTGATCAAGCTGTTGACACCATGGAAATCAGAAGCATCCCGTTTAAGTCATAAGCAGCTAATTCTTTATAACTTTTCCTTTTACTTGAAATAGAAAAGAGTTGTTCATACCTCATTAATTACTTTGACCAGGCTTTCAGCTGAGGTTTTTTTTGTTTTGTTTTGTTTTGTTTTTTAAATGCTGCTTTTGCTGTGGCTTGTGCTAGGGTGAGAGACAAACCAAGTTTGAGGATGGGGAGAAGAGGCTCAGAGAGTCAGTGAATGAGAATTTCCTTCTGAGCATTGGTTGTGAGAAAATAAGTTAGTAAATATGATGAAAACCAAATCCCTAATGCTTTTCAATAAGAGTTAATGTGGTACATGGGACTTGGTGTCAGAGGGACTTGCCTGTGAATCCTGGCTATAACCTTATTAGCTGTGCAGTTTTTCGTTTTTTGTTTTTTGTTTTGTCTTGTTTGTTTTTGAGACAGAGTCTCTCTCTCTCACTCTAGCCAGGCTGGAGTACAGTGGCACGATCTCACCTCACTGCAACCTCCGCCTCTGGGTTCAAGCAATTCCCCCGCCTCAGCCTCCTGAGTAGCTGGGACTACAGGCACGTGCCACCACACCTAGCTAATTTTTGTATTTTTAATAGAGACAGGGTTTTACCATGTTGGCCAGGATGGTCTCAATCTCTTGACCTCGTGATCCACCTGCCTTGGCCTCCCAGAGTGCTGGGATTACAGGCGTGAGCCACCACACCTGGCCAGCTGTGCAGTTTTAATCTCAATTTCCTTGCCTTAAAATTGGGAAATGTCTTACAGGTGTGTATTAGGATGAAATTGGACAATATGTGTAAAGTTTCCAGCACTGGGCTGTATATGTGTGTGTGTCACACAAGTAAACATGTATGTATGTATGTATAAAACCTGTAATTTATTATGTCAGCTCTAACTGAGTGGCATTAAGGAGGAAACAACTGCAAGTCAGTTGTTTCCATTTTGAGCTAGAGAGGACCCTGTTAGTCAGGCCTGTATTATGCACTAAGTCTACTAAGCACTTTAAGATATAGATATAGGTGATCTCATCAGAGAGGGAGATTATGATTTGGATCATCAAGACTTGACCTTTGCAAATCTATTTTTTTCTAAATATGATATTTTCTTATCAGATTTATATTAACATTATTGCATGTGAAAAAAATAAAATCATCCATTCTGGATTAGAAAACGTTTTAGAAAACATTTTATAAATCAAATCCAGCTTCAGAATGTCAGGAGGGTTTTTAGTGTGTCTTATTTTGGCAACTGTACTTTTACAAGGATGAAACAGATGGAATATGCAGTTTTTTTTTTCTTTTGCGAATTTAGCTTAAGATCTTACCACACATTGAGATTTATCTGTAAATCCAAAGGCTCTGAGAATCTCTGAAATTGAACTTTGAAACAAATGAATTAATAAAAATTCCCTATTGAATATGCTGTTGAAGGAGCCATTGTAGGTACATTTGGTTTGAATAAGATCTGTTATTGAATTGGAATAGAGATCCTAATTCCCTTATGAGTTAGTTATGTTCAGTTTGTCTCTCATGCGGTTTATCATGTTTTTGGTACTCAACATTATCCTTAATTCCTTCACATTCTGTAACAGGTATCAATGTCTATAAAATAGTGGCCTAGTAAATAGTATCCTTTATTTACAGTTGTACATATTTAATGTGCTTACTTAAGGAGCAAGCAACAGAAACAAACTCTGGCTACAAGAAATGAAAGGGCTTTCTAGGAAAGATTATTATGTAGTTCACAGATCAGCTGGAAGGGCTGCACAACCCAGCTTCTGGAAGGAGAGGGACTAGGGAAGCACTAGAAAGCACAATGGTAAGGCCTCATAGACTTTCCAAGGTAATTCAGTTCCAGCAACCATTAGCATCTCTGTAACTGTATTCACATTTTGAGGTCCTGATAGAATCTATCTGGCTTATATTAGTTGGGTGCTTTATGCTAGTGGCTCGGTAAATTTTGACTGAAGGATTAGGGGCTGGGTGGCTGAGAGAATTATTTCAAATTGAGCAGCAGCTACTTTTTCTCTACACTTATAGTTTTTTATACTATCCAACTACTTATCCAAGAAAGCCCATCATGTCATATATATCGGGTCTGAAACCCCTGGGACACAGACAGATACAGATACTGAGACCTATCGGGAACTGGGCCTCACAGCAGAATGTGAGCGGCGGGTGAGTCAGTGAAGCTTCATCTATGTTTACAGCCATTCCCCATCACTCACATTATGGCCTGGGCTCCACCTCTTGTCAGATCAGTGGCAGCATTAGTTTCTCATAGGAGCATGAACCCTATTTTGAACTGAGCATGTGAGGGATCTAGGTTGCATGCTCCTTATGAAAATCTAATTCCTGATGATCTGTCACTCTCTCCCATCACCCTGAGATGGGACCATCTAGATGCAAGAAAACAAGCTCAGGGCTCCCGCTGAGGGGAGTTGTATAATTATTGCATTATATATTACAATGTAATAATAATAAAGTACACAATAAATGTAATGCATTTGAATCATCCTGAAACTATCCCCTAATGTGGTCCATGAAAAAATTGTCTTCTCTGAAACCAGAGTCTGGTGCCAAAAAGGTTGGGAGGCACTGATATATCTTACTATTATAACTTTTTTTTGTTGTTTTTTAAACCCAAGTGTTATATTTTCCATTTGAGTTTGAGGACATGGTTTGGCATGAGTATGTGTGTATATGGCCAGGGGGTGCTTTTTCTTTTTAATTGATGTTTTATAAGAATTTAAGTTCTCAATGATGATTGCAATCATATATTACTTGAGTTAATTTAGTAGTGTCACCCCAAGCCCCACTGTTCCATAGTTCCAAGATGGCTTTGGAGTCCTTCGTGGTGTTGGCAGTGGTGAATCCACATGGGTCTGCAGCCACCTCAGTTCTTGCCTTCCTAGAAGAAAGAATTCAACTGACGGGTGTAAGGCAGAGAGACACCAAGGCAAGTTTTAGAGCAGGCATGAAAGTTTATTAAAAGGTTTTAGAGCAGGAACAAAAGTAAAGTGCATGTGGAAGAGGGTCAAGCAGGCAACTTGAGATTCAAATGCACGGTTTGATTTTTGACTTGGGGTCTTATGTGTTGGCAGCTTCCAGGGTTGCTTTACTTCTGTGATTCTTCCTGCGGAGTGGGCTGTCTGCATGTGCAGTGGCCTGCTAGCACTTGGGAGCGGCTGCATGTGCAGTGTGTTTATTGAAGTTGTACACATGCTCACTTGAGGCATTTTCCCTTACCAGTTAAGTGTTCCTAGAGGAAGGTCATATTTCAGTTAAACTCTGCTATTTTACCTTTTAGTGCACATGCTTGGGCCCACTCACCCAACTCCTGAGATCTCATCAGGAAGCTGCTGATCACCAGTTTCAGATTTTCTATCTATTGAGAGACAGCCCTTCCCTGGTGCTGGTTGTGACCAATTATTATTATAGAGAGACAGTTTAACAACTGCCTGAACATTGCCTGATGTTTGCCTGACATTCCTGGTGAGGGTGGGTCCTCTCCTGCCTTGCTCATATCTGATTACCGACTGTAACAGTGCGTGTATTTGAAGGCTGACATGGCCTCTTACCATCTGTGAGACTTTGGTCAATTTTCATGACCTATCTGAATCTTCGTTTTTTGAAATCAATAAAATGGATTTGATGTTACAAATTTTACAAAGGTATATTGAGATTTTTGTGATCTATACATAGAATACTTGGGATATAACTGACCAATGGGTTCTTCTTGCCTACTTCCCAGTTAGAGCCAATTTATCAAGGCAGGGGAATTGCAATGAAGAAAGAGTTTAGTTCACACAGAGCCAGCTGAACAGAAGATCAGTTTATTTATTACTCAAATCAGTCTCCCCCAAGAATTTGGAGGTTTTTCAAAGATCATTTTGTCACAGGAGCCTTGGGGTGTCACTTTGCCAGCCAGAAACCTTTGTGGCTGGTGGCTCCTTTGCCCAAGTTTTGCTCAGGCCCACTGGGCTTGTTCTTCCCACTTGGCCCAGGAGGCTGCATTCAGCTCACACTACTGGCCTGGATCCCATGCCTGCCAAGGGTGAGCCAGGCACAGAACATTGAGGGGTGCATGAGTGAGTGAGTGTGGGTGAGTGGGGGGTGTGTGAATGAGTGAACAGCCACTGCACACAGCCAGACATACCAACTGTGACAGGGCAGGCAGCTCCAGGCACTGGCATGGGTGCTAACTCCCTGCAAGGCTGTGGCTGGAACAGGTGTACCTCAAGTGGCTTCCGCTACAGGCACTGGGGAACGCAGTGGCACCCGGGAGCTTGGAGATTCCAGGAACCACAGAACCTCAAAGAGGGTATCTCAGTCTTGGCTCAGGGAGCTCCTAGGTCTGGGCTCCCTGAAGGACTGCAGCTCTTCTCTTTCCTTCTTGTCACCAGCAATGTGGTGAGTAGAGGGGCATATTTCAGCCCTGTATGTGTTACAGCTCTTTCAGTCCCACCATTCAATGGGGACTGAGCTTTTATCCCACATCCAGGAAAAATGAAATACACAGACAACTGGAGGGTGAGCAAGGTGAAGAGTGCATTATTGAGTGAAAGTAGAGCTCTCAGGAGACTGTAGGATGGGTGTTATCAGTGTAGGTATAAATGATACCCCGAAGTGGGTAGCTCCTTCCCACAAGCAGGTCATCCCAATGAGTACAGCCCTCAGCAGAGAGGAGACCTAGAGTGGGTAGCTCCTATCCAGAGGCAGGTTGTCTCAATGTCTGTAGCCCTCAGCAGAGAGGAGACCCAGAGCGGGTAGGTAGCTCTTATCCACAGGCAGGTCATCCCGATGAGTACAGCTCTCAGCCTAGAGGAGGACTGGGGTGGGTAGCTTCTATCTGCTGGTAGGTCGTCTCAAAGAGCGTGCAGCCCTCAATGGAGAGAGGATACCTGGAGTGGGTAGCTCCTATCCATAAGCAGGTCATCACAACATCTCTGTGGCCCTCAGGTGAGAGGCGATCCAGAGTGGGTAGCTCCTATCCGCAGGCAGGTCATCCTGTCCTCTGCCTGAGTCTGGCTGAGTCCAGGGTTTTTATGGGCTTCAGATGGGCGGAAGTACATGCTGATTGGTCCATGAGTGGGCCAGGAAGATGCACCAGAAGTTCTCATTCTGGTCTGTGGAACTGGCAACCTGGCCCCCGTGCTTCAGGCCATACCTGAGGGGTGCTGAGGGGTACCCGCAATCCTGTGTGGAGCCACCCTCAGCCTCTGCTGTTTCCCACCTGTGGCCATGAGTGCCCAAAGTCCGGAAGGGGCCTAGGCGACAGGGGGCTGGCCTATCATTGCTGCCCCCAAGTGTGTGCACATCCAGCTGGGTTGCAAAAGTGCCTGTTCTTGACCACAACTTTGCTTTGCCCCAGGGCTGGCACCGGGAGCAGGGAAAGGCCAGACAGTGGAAGCAGGCACTTTCAAGCCTGTGAGGGAAGGGAGCTTCCTGGGCCCCTGAGAGCAGAGGGATGCTGGGGTCTGCAGCTGCAGCTGACAGGCTGCAGCTGTGCCCAGGAGTGTGGGCTCCTGCCCCACCAACTCGGTAGGGGCAGGGCTCCCTCTGGCCTTGTGGATTGTGCAGCCCCAGCTGTGCCTCCCCTGCTGCAGCTGGCATCCTCACAGTGGCTGCTCCACACGGGCTGTCACTGCCATCAGTTTGGGGGAAGCAGGGGACAGGGTGGCAGTGGCTAGGCAATGGGTGCTTTCTGCTGATTGGTTGGGTTGGAGATGAAATCATAGGGAGTCAAAGCTGTCCTCTTGAGCTGAGTTGCTTCTGGGTGCTGCCACTGGAGTGGTGGAGCCATCAATTCAGACATTAAAAAACCTGAAAAGACATCTCAAATGGCCAATCCTTAGGTTCTACAATAGTGATGTTATTTGCAGGAGTAATTGGGGAAATTGCATATCTTGTGACCTCCAGAAGAATGGCTGGCAATCTACACCTTAGAATTCAGGCTCCTCACATCCTCCTAACCCGATGATCTCATTAGCTTTATAAAGGCAGTTACATTTTGAGGAAGGGCTATTATTATTTAAACTATAAACTAAATGTCTCTCAATGCTAGCCCAGCCTTAGCCCAGGAATAATTAAGGCAGCTTGAAGGCAACAGGCAAGAGGAAGGGGGTTGGCCAGATCAGATCTCACTAACTGTTATAATTGTGTTATAATTTTCATAAAGGCAATCTCAGGCACATTTATTTATTCTTTACCTTCATCTTTTGATTTTAAATTGTTACAACCATATTTATTTTATAACAAAATACTATTAATGGGCTGAATTTATGATACGATGGAAAAATAGTTTGAGGAACAGCTTAAGACTCAAAGCTTATTTGGCCTTTTATTACTGAATGTTCTTCAATTTATCTCTTAAAAGTAGTGATACTAATGACTACTCAAAGTAATTTGACCTCTCACAAGGTTTTCTATTATCATTAAAGATGCAAAGCAGATGTGTGGATAAACTTTACTTATCTCTGTATCACCTTGGAATCTCTTCCTCATATTTACATTTGAATATATATGAGATTGTTGTTCAGGAAATTCAGTGTTTCAGACAGACTAATGGAACCTCATTTTAAGGTATGATTTGATATAATCTTCTCTTTGCTTTTCTCAATCAATTCTTCCCATCTTCACACTCTAAACTGAGATGATAATTGCTTTTAAGAGAGTAACCAGGCAGATGTAGGGCAATGGTTTACAAGCATAAACATTGATGAGAGATGTCCTGAGTTTATGTCCTGTTTCCTCCATTTACTGAGGGTTAGCCATGGTTCACTTTCAAACCTCTGCAACTCTCAGTTACCAATATGTATAAAATAAAGAAAACAACATTATCTCTTCCATGAGGTTTTTTTTGAAGAGTAAGTAGAATAACGCACTTAAAAACTAACACAACGCATGGCTTATTACCCTCAGCACATTTTAGTTCTTATTATGGTTAAAATTTTTATAAGAGGAGGTATACTGAAATATGTTTGTGGCTGTGTGTGTGTGTGTGTGTGTGTGTGTGGGAGAGAGAGAGAGAGAGAGAGAATGAGAATAGTGTTTGGATAACATTTAACGTTTTAGACTCTGGAAGGGATCAGAGCTTTTTTTTTTTTTTTTTTTTTTTTTTAGTTTGGTGGATTGAACCTTCCCTAGGACTGGGTGATTATTACAAAGGTTATATTTGTATTTGAAATGTCTTTGTTATGATCCAGAAGCAATTTAAGGTCCAGTTTAACAAAGAACGGACAAGGTATAACAATATTTTGATAGCAATATTGAGGCTCAGTCAACATTGACAAGAATTTTTTATCTGATTTGCTGTTCTTGATACAAATTTTGGGTAAAAATAGGTTTATGCAAATGTATTGCAGCATAATCTTTATATTTCTTATCAGTGTACTCTAATTTTTGTGAAGTGCTCTCTTATAGTGGAATAATAATTTTTATTACCAATCACATTAAGTGATACACAAGCTCTGTACTGGACACATTATTTCATTTTATTATCTCAAAGTAGCTAACTATTTTCCTGATTTTACATATGACCAAATGGACTTTGAGAGCTAACTTGCCCAAGGTCACATGTCTAGGGAATGGCAGAGGTGGATGGTGACTGACTCCAGAACCCGTTTACAGGGGAAGAGAAAGCATCTTTCACAGAGATGTGATACATGCTTACAAAGGCACTTTCATGGTGGTACAAGCTCTTTCTTAGGCAGACGTTATCAAGATCTGTACTTAAGGAGTAAGACCAGAGGTTAAAGTAAAAACAGGCTTTAGTTTTCATTTTCCTCAACATATGTTAGTTTCTTTTCTTTCTCTTTTTTTAGGAGACAGGGTCATGCTGTGTTGCCCAGGCTGGAGTGCAGTGGTGTGATCATGGCTCACTGCAGCCTTGACCTCCTGGGCTAAATCATCCTTCCTTCTCACCCTCCCAAGCAGCTGGCATGTGCCAGTACACCCAGCTAATTTCAAGTTTTTTGTAGAGACAGGGTCTATGTTGCCTAGGCTGGTCTTGAACTCCTGGCCTCAAGCAATCCTCCTGCCTCAGCCTTTTAAAGTGCTGGGATTACAGGCATGAGCCATCAAGCTCAGCCTTGTTTTCTTATATACCTAATGGATAAGGCTTTTTGATATTTTAGAGAAGGATTTTTGATATTTTGTATATTTGGCACTGAAAAACATCTTCTGCTTTCCAGACAACAGAAAAAAATAAAAGAGCTAGCCATGCAGTAGTGGCATTTTATTCTAAGAACTTTGACTACATTTGGAATGTGTTAAATCTATGTAACTTGAAAGTGTTACAAGATTTCCTACAGTGCTGCTTTGACAACCAGAAATCTCTGCAGCTGCCTCCGTCTGGGTGTTGCACAGCCCAGCAGGCTGTGCTCGGCTCGCGCCTGCTCAGATCCCACACCCGCTGTGGCTCCACGCTCAGCCTGTGGCTGGACTGGGCATGCCACAAGCGGCTTCTGTGTTGGGTGCTGGCATCTAGACTAGGGGAACATGGTGATCCATGTTTAGAGATGCCAGTGATCACGGAGCCCCAAGGGATGTTACAGCTCTTGCTTGGGGAGTCCTGAGGTCTGAGCTTCCAGAAATTTTGCAGCTTTCCACTCCCATAGCTTGGAGAGTGGGAGCATATTGCAGCTATTTTATTCCCACCGTCCACAGCCCACGGGGCAGAAGTTAGGGTTACAGCTTGTTTGTTTCTGCTGCCCGCAGTTTGGTGAGTTCCAGGTTCTTGTCCCATGCCCAAGAAGAATAAGGTACACAGACACTGGAGAATATGTAGGGCAGAGAAGAATTTTATTGAGCAACAAAAGGAAGGCTCTCGGTGGAGAGGGGACCCTGAAAGCAGGGTAGCCATCTGTGAGGCTGAGTCTGGAGTTTTTGTGGGCTTAGAATGGGGGAGTGCATGCAGAATAGTCCATGGGTCTTCTTGGAAAAAGAACCGTTCAGTTGGTTAAAAGGCATCATCCAAAAGGAACCAATCAAGAGACAGAGGGTAAGACAAAGATAGAAGTTCTCACTCTGGTCGTGGACTCTGTCCAGAACTGGCAGTTCAGTTTTTAGGTTTCAGGCTTTCTTTGGCTTGAAGGTTGGCACTGAAAGGGAACCCATTTTTGACTGTCTAGGAATTTGTCTGTCTCCTGTTGCTATTGATAGCATTAGAGTTAGTGAAACACAATAAAAATGTATTTTCCTTAAGAGAGAACCTCAGTCTTCACATTATTCACTGCTGTCCTTTCTTCTTTTTTAATTGATAGGAAAAAATGGAGTAATATTGTGCCTTAATAACAAATACAGCCATGTGTAACTTAACAATGACAATACACTATGAGAAATGCATTGTTAGGTGATTTTATTGTTTTGTGAACATCATAATGTACCTATACAAACCTAGATGGTATAGCCTACTGCACACCTAGGTTATATGGTATAGGCTATTGCTCCTAAGCTGCAAGTCTGTACAGCATATTACTGTACTGGATACTGCAGGCAATTGTAACACAATTTTAAGTGTCAGTGCATCTAAACTGACACTTATCTAAGCGTACAAAAGGCACAACAGAAAGACCATACAAAAGATTTTTTTTTAAAATAGTACACTTGTAAAGGGCACTTACCATGCATACAGCTTGCAGGACTGGAAGTTGCTATGGGTGTGTGAATGTGAAGCCCTAGGACATTACCGTATACTACTGTAGACTCTGCAAACACTCCATGGTGGTATACTTAGGTTATATTAAATTTAGAAAAAAATATTTTTCTTTCTTCAATAAGTTAACCTTAGCTTACTATAAGTTCATAAACTTACTGAAACTTAAACTTTTTGATTCTTTTGTAATAACACTTAGCTTAAAAGAAACACATTGTACAACTGTACAAATTTTTTTCTATCCTTATTTGATAAGCTTTTTTCTATTTTAAAAATTTTTTACTTTTTACTTTTTAAACTTTTTTTGTTAAAAACTAAGACACAAATATAAACATTAGCCCAGGCCTACACAGGGCAGGATCATCAATATTATTGTCTTCCACCTCCACATCTTGTCCTACTGGAAGGTCTTCAGGGGCAGCAGCATGCATGGAAGTGTCATCTCCCAAGATAACAATGCCTTTATTTTTTTTGGAATACCTCCTGAAGGACCTGCCTGAGTCTTTTTTACAATTAACTTTTATTTTTGTATGTAGAAGGACTGCATTGTAAAATAATGATTAAAAAGTATAGTAAATTCATAAACCAGTAACGTAATCTATTATCAAGTTTTATATGCTGTACCTAATTATATATGCTATACTTTCATACAACTGGCAGCACAGGTTTGTTTACACCAGTATTACCATTAACACGTGAGTAACACATTGCACTGCAACACTATGATGGCCATGACGTCACTAGGCAATGGGAATTTTTTAGTGCCATCATAATCTTCTGGAAGATTATATATGTGGTCCATCATTGACTGAAATGTTGCTATGGAGCACTTAACTGTATTGAAATTTATTTCGTTTTACAAAGAATAATGAATTCTTCATTATTATATGTATTTATGTGTAGTTCCTAAGTTTAACAACAGTTTTGTACTGTTATTTAGATATGTTGAATGACATTTAAAGACTATGACATATGCATTCTAGGATACGACATGCTGCAATTTCTACCTTTTTCTCTCCAGTGTCTGTATTTATGTTGAAAGTCCAGGTGAATGACATCATCAGTCGTCAGTACCTGAGCCAAGCAGTTGTAGAAGTGTTTGTAAACTACACGAAGACAAATTCCACAGTAACTAAAAGCAATGGAGCAGTGCTGATAAAAGTACCCTACAAATTAGGACTTAGTTTAACTATTATTGCTTACAAAGATGGCTACGTGTTGACCCCTCTGCCTTGGAAAACCAGAAGAATGCCAAGTAAGCACTTAAACAGTTTTTTTTTGTTTGTTTTTGCTAAATGTAAATGAATTATTTTCTCTGTTTGGGGGATATCTTGTTCTGGTAAGCTGAAAATGAAAATGCTTAAGTCAACATAAGGAGGTTACAAGGGAGTGCTACTTTGAAGAAAACATTGTCTTAGTCTTTTCAGGCTGCTATAATGAAATACCCTGAGCCGGGTAGCTTGTAAACAAGAGAAATTTATTTCTTGCAGTTCTGGAGTCTGGGAAGTCTAAGATCAAGGTGCCAGCAGATTCTGTGTCTGGTGAGGGCATTTTTGTTTATAGATGACATCTTCTGT
Organism: Homo sapiens; assembly: GCF_000001405.40. Classification (NCBI taxonomy): domain Eukaryota; kingdom Metazoa; phylum Chordata; class Mammalia; order Primates; family Hominidae; genus Homo; species Homo sapiens. Next base: position 186,740,784 of record NC_000002.12, read on the forward strand.
GTCCTCACATGGTAGAATGGGCAAACAAGTTCTCTTGGGCCTGTTTTAGTTCTGAGAAGCTGCTTGCAAGCAAGGGTCTTGTGTCCCAACAGGTAAACTATCTGAAACCTCCCTAACATATTATTATAGATTTATTTTTAAGAATTGGCAAAAATAATCTTTAAAGAATAAATGTGTAAAGATACATGGGAATCTTTTAAAAATACATCTCCTAGGGGCAATTTGCCATTACAGACAACTAACATATTATATATCTACAAAATTAAGAGTGAGTGATATTATGCTATAAGTTGTATTATGGTACAAATTGGACACTTAGTATTTATAAAATGTTATCTATGATAAGATGCCATTAGAAATCATTGAGAAAAGGTTGAATAGTCATTAAATGATAGATATATTTTGGTTAACTATTTGGAATAAATTAATTGGATCCATATGTGAAAATATATTGCTTAGAGAGATCAAATGTGGAAAATAATTATATTAAATATAAGAAAATAAACTATCTGACCTTTCAGTTAGGATGGTCTGTTTAAACTTAAAAGCAATAAAAGATGCCATAAGCTATATATGAACATATTATTTTAATAAAGTCCTGTATGTCATAAACATAAAAAGCAACTGAGGTTGGAAAAATATTTGAAACAGTAAGGCATAAAGTCCTTAATATGTAAAGAATTCATACAAATCAATAAGAAAATGCCAAGACCCTAACTAAATAAGGTAAATGGACAAAATCATGGCCTATCAATTTTCAAAACAGGAAATACAAATGGTTAGTACATATGACAACATGCTTTAATAATCTAAGATTAGTACACCAAAGAAATACACACTTAGATTTTTTTACCTTAAAAAAGTTGTTAAATGATTATCTTTAATATTGTCAAACAAGATAGGATCAGATTCTCAAACATTCTTGGTAGAAGTACAAACTGGCAAAATTACCTCGGTAACAATTTTTGAAATGTATGTGTCAAAGTCTTCAAAATCTTCATAAACTTTGACCCAGTATTCACTTTATGAATCTGCACAAATAAACGTATGTTAAAATATTAAATACAGTGGACAGGCGTTCATGCACCAGGAAGCTGATGCAATATTTTTGTAATAATAGTGAAATGGAAGCATTCCAAATCTATTGGATTAATGCAGTAAATAAGTAAATCTTGATACCTTAATAAATGAAATATGTGGGTTAAAAATGTTATGAAAAGTATCTTTTGAGAGAAATACTTATGTTATTAAATGAAAAAGGCAGGGTAACAGTATTCTGTAACAATATCATAATTCACTATTTTAAAAAATCACAGGAATACCCAACAAAGAGCTATAATAAAATATTATTAATGATTGTTCCTATGGTGGTGTTGCAGTGATCATCACTTTCATCTTATTTTCTGTGTTCAAGTTTTTCACCATGGGTATTACATCCCATTTATAATAGGAAACAATTTTCACGTGAAAAGAAATCTGAATGTGTTTGAAGTTCAGAAAGATTCTCCTCATGTTTAACAGAGGTGTGACTGAGAAAGTATCCAAATATGGAATAATGCCTTACTTATAATCACCTTGAGGTTCAAACTGTGACCCTCCCACCTCTCCAATTTAATCCATTAATCAGTCTAAATGTTAATATATTCTGAAATTGAAATTACATTTTTATTTGGTAGTTCTCTTTTCCTATGGAAGGAGAAAAGTATATTTCCTTTTACTTCCACCCATCATTGTATACTTTTTGTATTTTACTTTTTTCCATATTTTCTTTAAATTCTTTGAAATATCTCAAAATAATAAAAGTATTTCCATGCAACTGTGTTTTCTCTTAAGAGATTTGAGGATGCCATGCTATTTCTATTAATTTTAAATACACAGCATAGAGGAAAGATATCAAACGAGAACTCGTGCTTTGGGAGCTCCTCAAAACTGATTTTTCTTTTGGAGGATTGAGAACTCCTCAAAACTGATTTTTCTTTTGAAGGATTGATAAGTTTGATTTGATCTTGCTTATAAAATGGTCTTTTGTCCCAGCTTCTTGCTCCAATCTTGAAATAATATCTTTCAGGTAATCTGCATTTAACTCATCCCAACAGGTAGTTCAGCTGCCTATGCTTGTAGGCAGGTTCATCTCCATCCTGCATTACTACTAAAGGTTGCCTTTGAATCATTTTGTGCATTAAATTGTTTCCTTCTCTGCCAACTCAGGATCCTTTTGGCAAACCACACTGTTTGCAGAAGAGCATTGTGCTCTTATGTGGGAAGGTAAAAGTGAAAAGTGGATATAGTTTATATCTAGAGAAGCTTGAATCATGGAGCCAAGAAAAAAAATTTTTAAATCTTAATAAGTAAAAATTAGAGAAAATATATCAGGGAGTTATTCAAGCATTTAACTTGATCATTTATATCTGGGGTTACAGAACATCATTCATCACCTTGGTATAGACTACTACCATCAAATAGAAAAGATTAGTAAAATAAATAGTGATAACCAATGTTTTCTTCTCACTTTATTGTGACCTTTTTTCCTCCATCATATTTTACATTCATTCTTCCTTTGTTTTGAATTGCTCTTCCCATCAAGCATTTGTTCCCCCCCACAACACACTTTTTGAGACTTGCTGTTACAGAACTATATTTGTCCTAGTTTTTTTCCCCTCACATTAAGTAAAATATTCTAATTGTGCTATATTTCACAGTATATTCATCAGTTACACTTTCACTGTTCCCGCAAAGCCAAGCAAATATATGGCTATTTGAAGACACTGTTTTAATTACTGGAAAATTAGCTGGTAAGTACCATACTTCTTACTAAGTAAACACTTAAAGTTATTGTCGTATAACTGTACTTCTTCACTAAGAATCAGTGTGAATTATAACTTGAGAAAAATCTAAATTGATCAGTATGATTAGCACTGACTATAAGTTGATCTGAACTGATATTTTACTGTCAAATGAATGGTGTGGGCTTTTTTGTATAGCAGGAGTCATTTTTTCCTTTACTATTTTAGCCCCTCAAACAGGCACACTGTAGAGAACTTCTGTTCTTCTTTCCAAATCACATTTCTTACTGGGGCTTCCATGGTGGGAGAAATTGAGGAAAGGGCAGGACACATATTGCTCAGGCCTTTGGGGCTAATTTACAGATTGCCTCCTTCCTGCCTCCAGCATTAAATTTGTCGCTTTTTGGGAGATGCCTAAGACTTGGTAGTTAAGTATCTGCTCTGTAGACGTGATTTGCCTCACTTGTGTATCCCAAGGAGAAGAGTGCAGAAATCATGTTTTGGGTACTGATTCAAACTGTGTCCTCCAATTCTGCTTTACCAACCATGAAGATGATTGTTTCATCCTAACTCCCCGCACGCCTTAGAAACCTCAGAATTCTGTGACTCTTTTATTGCATATTTTAGGAAACCTCTATAAATGACAACAATTTGCTTGTTTGTTTTGTATTGGTAAATTCATATTTAGGTCTAAAGTATAACAGGAATGACTGATAAAGTGAGAAAGCCCTCAAGGTGGAGTCCAGTAAGAGCGTCATGGTAAAAAGAACTCTCTGTGAAAGTTCTTTTCATTTTTAGATGCTGCCTTATCTATTCCTAAAATATTCAACCAGAAAATTTACTATTATTTGGGAAAAAAATAAACTAGGGCTTGATGAATCTTGAAGCAATTTACTGAGTGAGGCTGTAGAATCTCTTACTTATGAAATACCAAGACATTTGAAATACCAAGATATTTGCCAGATTTTTTTTATCTTTGAGACAGAGTTTCGCTCTTGTTGCCCAGGCTGGAGTACAATGGCACAATCTCAGCTCACTGCAACCTCTGCCTCCCGGGTTCAAGTGATTTTCTTGCCTCAGCCTCCCAAGTAGCTGGGATTAAAGGCATGTGCCACCACACCCAGCTAGTTTTGTATTTTTAGTAGAGATGGGGTTTCTCCATATTGGTCAGGGTGGTCTTGAACTCCTGACCTCTGGTGATCCACTCGCCTCAGCCTCCCAAAGTGCTAGGATTACAGGCATGAGCCACCGTGCCTGACCAGCATTTTTTTTTTTTTTTTTTGAGACAGTGTCTGGCTCTGTCACCCAGGTTGGAGTGCAGTGGTGCAATCTCGGCTCACTGCAACTTCTACCTCCTGGACTCAAGTGATCCTTCCACCTCAGCCTCCCAAGTAGCTGAGACCACAGGCGTGTACCACCACGCCTGGCTAATTTCTTATTTTTCGTAGAGATGGGGTTTCACCATGTTGGCCAGGCTGGTCTCAAACTCCTGACCTCAAGCGATCCGCCCATCTCAGCCTCCCAAAGTGCTGGGAGCTGCCATGACTGGCCTTGCCAGAATTTTGAGCTAGTGATTTTTGCTGTGTATGGCAGAATGGTGGATGTGGAGCTGTGTGTGAAAGAATGGAAAGTAAATAAGAATTACAAGTATACAGAGAGGCTCTGTTTAATGCTATTGGGGCCTTAATGAAATTAGCTTCTTCACAGTCCCTCTTCAGTGTTTGTTTTGATGCATCTCTGCCCCTCACTGGCATCTTCAAACCCCATTAACAATCATAGTTTCTGCTGGAATACATGAAATGGATCTGTGTGACCATGTCCCGTACCAATCCTTTGCCACTGTACCAAGCAGTGGTAAGCACTCATTTGTCTGGAAAGTACTGGCCATGCCTTGGCAGGTTTCCGTGAGAACACTGTGAGTCCTCTTGAATTCTCAGATCACTTCCTTTTACTGTCTCATTTTCCTAAAAGGTGACCCATTTGTAAGGCCAGGCAGGAAAGTATGAATGTTTCATAATGATGTTAAATCTTTCTGTAAAAAATACATATCCTTACTGCTGAACTTCCATAACATGTTTCATTAGGTTTGTACAGTGGAAATTAAGCCTGTGTGTTTATGTATTTATGGCAAAAGGAGAAACTAGAAAATTTAGGAATGTACAAAACCTTACAGAAGCTCAGCTAGACATTTTGTTTAGTGTGCATGTGTTCAGTTGTAAGAAATGTGGTCTTCAAAATAATTAAGCCACGTATTTTAAAAGAGCAAGTCATAGGTAGTACCTGTGAGTGATCAGAAGGCTTTAGATTGTATCCTCAACAACCAAACAGCATATAATTATGTTACTTTTCTTAACTGTTTTCCAGGTATTATTTTTCTAGCTTCACACACACAAAAACTATAAACTGAGAAGTCTTACATTGTTTCATTTATCATTTATTGTCATGTAGCTCTTTAAAAACTGATGTCTTTTCTATTCTAATAATTTAATTGATTGCTTCTGTCTTCATCAGTGACCTTACTAAAGTTCAAAGCAAAAGCTGATGTTTCTGATAATTTTCAGGTGTAAGAGTTGATCTTTGAATTATTAAATTCAAAATCTGTTGATTACAGAAATATCAATATTGTCACTGAATTATCACTTGATAAATAATGTTAGAAGATACTGAGATATTTATACTTAGGAAAAATTCAGTTACTGAGATATTTATAAATTGAGTACCTGGCATTTGAAAGGCTTTTAATGCATGGTTAGTTAACTGATAGAGAAACTTACCCACTTAAGTATGTGGCTGAATATCATCAGAGACACTTTTCTGTTGCAAGTTACTGAAAACCCAGTCCTAATCTGGCTTAAGCCCAAAATAAGCATTTATTTATTTCTCTTATAGATGTTAAGTGTAGGAATAGGACGAACTTTAGACATGGCTCGATCACGACTTCAGTAGAAATAATTGAAAACTGGTTCTCTATTACTCAACTCTCCACTATTTGAATGCTGCCTCGATTTTTAAACAAGCTTTCATTTTTGATTGCAAGATGGCTGTTACAACTCCTGGATGTATACCTGCTCACATTAAATCCAGTCCAAGCAAAACACACATTGTATCTCATTAACTGTGCTTGGGACAGGGCCCATCATTGAACAAATCACTGTGGCCAAGAGAATGAGATGCTTTTAATTGGTTTCAGCCCATTCTGGCATGCACCATCAACTCCACTACCGTTACAGAAATGAGACCCCAAATGAAACACATGGGCTAAAAATGGTCAGTTTGGGGTTCCCCAGAGTGGAAAGAAAAGGGTGAGGAAATTCTGGGCAGCAGAATCAATCAGTACAAAGGTGCCTTGTGTCATCTAAAGAAATGAAAATTTCTTAGTTCTGCATTTAAAATAATTACATGAGAAGATGCTAATGATGTTTAGCAATAATTATAATTGCTTCTTTTAAAGTAAGACATCCTGACCAATGCTGCTATGCTTAACATGCCTTTATCTCTTTGTTAATGAGGTTTCCTTTTTTCCAGATGCCAAGTCTCAACCAAGTGTTCAGTTTTCAAAAGCCTTAATTAAACTTCCTGACAACCATCATATTAGCAACGTTACTGGCTATCTTACAGTTCTACAACAGTTTTTGAAAGTGGACAATTTTCTGCATACAACTGGAATTACTCTCAATAAACCAGGTATTATCTACTTTTTGTATAATATAGTTATAAGAAACATTAGTACACAAATCTTTCATCAAATATTTAGCTATCTATAATAGCTTATAATATATAAGCTATGGATAATACACATCATTTGAGACATAAATCTAGTTATTAAAATGTATATAATAAAAAATTCCCTTTAATGAAATATATCTTATTCAATGAAAGAAAAATTCAGCATACATTATTTCAAATGCATGGAAATTTTGATTTCTTTTAAATTTATTAAATTTTATTTGATCCAAAGCAGGTAAGGTATAGAAAATAGTTATGATTATTGTATAGCTTTGAAAATTTAATACATTCAAAAATTAAAATTCAGTTTGTATTTTTTTCATAATTTGATGTATTCATTTTTATCCAACTGATGAGAAGTGTCAATAATTGAGATAGAAAAAAGTTTATAGATTGGAGTAAGCTATTGTAAATATTTGCTATTCTCTGTGTAAAATATAAATATTGAAAATATATGTATTCTAGAGTCAACAGCACTCATATATTTCTATAAGGCTGTCATAATATAATTTCTATAAGGCTGTCATAATATAAAAGTTAGTGGAACAATGGAATTTTACATTTAAAAATACATTCATAAATAAACCCTTTACAAACATCATTTCCCTCTGTACATCCACACTTGTTCCACCATTTTTTTTTTCTTTTGAGACAGGGTCTTGCTCTGTTTCCCAAGCTGGAGTGCAGTGGCATGATTTTGGTTCACTGCAGCCTTAACCACCAAGGTTCGAGTGATCTTCCTACCTAAGCCTCCCAAGTAGCTGGGACTACAGGCATGCACCACCACACCCAGCTAATCTTTTTTATTTTTTGTAGGGATGGGGTTTCGCCATGTTGCCTAGGCTGGTCTTTAACTCCTGTGCTCAACAATCCGCCCACCTCAGCCTCCCAAGGTGCTGGGATTACAGGCATGAGCCACCTCGCCAGGCCTGTTCTACCATTTTTACCACTCATTGTAACCTAACTGAAAATCCACTGTTTAAAATCACCTCAAACAGTCTATAATTCTGATAGTTTCTTTTTTTTTTTTTTCAGATATTTTGTTCATTTCATTTGAGGAACAGCCAGCAATGAGTGATAACAGGAAATAAGTATTTTGGTTAGATAGAGTTTTGTTTTGCCTGTTGGAGTTGATGCTATCAGTGCCCCAGCCAGATGACACTTATTATTCTGTTACAAACCTGCTTTTCCTACTGCACACATCTGTGACTGCCTGAGGGCATTCCTTGGTTCCAAGAAGCAGACTTGGCCATCACATGGGGCAAGCTGTCAACCAATGACAGACAAAAGTTGGTGTGGCTAGGACAACTCTGAGCCAGTGTATGTCCCCAGTGGAACTGAGCTGGAGTTACCACAGTGATAACCTGCTTGTTAACACATCCTGTACTGGCTCCCTTCCTTCCTGCTGAATTACGCTTCTGTTAGTGATAGGTGCTTCCTGGGATTACTTACCAAATAAACTATTTGCCCTCAAATTATTATCTCAGGGTCTGCTGCTTGAGGAAGCCAAACTAAGACATCAGCCAAGATTTTCCAGATGTAACCTACAGGATGGTGTAAATAAAAGCATTTACTAGAATGGTATCTGTACACACTATCACAAATGAAGCTCATGGCGCTGGAGGATGTTCATGGACAAGACTCACTAGATTCAGTGGGAAAGGGTCAGAATGAACTGTTTCCCAACACTCTATTACCTGCTTTTGAGAGTATTCATTAATAGTTTTGATTATCCTGAGAATGCTGCTATCATTTAAAAAGTTCTAGAGCAGTGCTGCCAAATGGAAATATTCTTCTCTGTCCAACATGTGGCTGTTGTGCTCTTGAAACATGACCAGTGCACTGAGGAAGTTAAATAGCCACATGCAGTTAGTGGTCACTTTATTAGATTACACAGTTCTAGAGTTCCATGAGGATAAAAATGTCCTTTCATAAAAGTTCTGTTCTCCTTCTCATTGTTTTTTTCAGTCTTTTTTCCCTTGCACCATTCTTTTCTCCTCTGACTTGACTTTATCTTAAATGCTGGTGTGTCAGTTTCAACAGTTTGTAAAGCCACTGACTGCACGGAGCTGAGGGGTGAGGTTGAAGCAGGTACTTCAGAAAGCCAGCCAACTGGTTTTACTGAGTAGTTTGATGTAGTTACTTAACAATTTATATAACATTTGATTTGTGCTTGCAGTGGATGGCTTACAAGCATGCCAGCCTATAAAATATGTATGGCACTGCTTTGCTCATTTAATATTTGTCTTTCAGGTAATTTAGTACAGTTAATTCTTATATTTAATTGAAAATTTTCAGTAAGCCACTACTTGGCCTGTTTGACGGCTGAAGCCATTCCAGATGATAAGCAGTCATGATAATGAGGACTCTTTCTGTGGCTGCCAAGACCCTCCACTCTTGCCTGTCTCCCCTGCTGCCCTCTAGCCCTGTGGCCACCTTTCTTTCCTGCACCTGCCAAGATCACTTCTAATTTGGAGGCTTTGGACTTGTTTATTCTGCCTGGAAAGTTCTTGAAGGTTCTTCCCATTTGGCTGCAGCTCAGATGTGCCCTCCTCAGAGAGGAGGCCTTTCTTGACCGCCTAATTATGTGCCTTTTCTAGATTATCATGCACTTACATTTGGGTGGGGGAAAAAACTGATGAGGAGTAAATACATGGGGGCAAAAAAGGATATTTGATAGGAATTATTATGAAAAAATATTGCAGACAATATCAGAAATATATTTACTGTGTCTTTGGGGCCCATATGAGTACATGGTGCTGGTAGGGACTTTGTAAATATTTGTTAAATGAATGAACAAATTTCTAGTTTTGAAGCCAAAGATTCAAAAGTGTAGACCAAAAGCAAATAGATAAAAAGTATACTTTCTCCCATCTATTTGTAGAAATACTGTAATTTTAACATCTGTAATAGTTTTATTCTTCATAAATATTCTGGTATATATTATAACTTTGTTTGGCATTGCTAATATTTCAAAAGCAAAAGAAAGGCACTTTCTGCTCCCTCTCTCCGCCCAGAGTAACAGACATCTATAGATAGTTCCTGATATTTAAGAAAGCGTACTGTAAATTGTATTAGTAAATCTTTAAAACCTTAGGCAAAACAATATAACCAATTCTGTTATCTCCCTTTCTCCTGCTTTTCAAGCTTTGAAGTCTAGTATTATATTTAAAATCTAAGTTTATATTCTTTCAGTTGTATGAATAATCAAGTATATTAACACAATTTTTATCAAGTAATATTACAGTGATTTTGTTTCATGTTTAATTGCCAAACCTATCCATTAAAAATTGTACTTTTAATCTGAATGCTTTTTATGTAAGAAGTGCAACTTTTAATCTGAATGCTTTTTATGTAAGAAGTGCAACTTTTAATCTGAATGCTTTTTATGTAAGAAGTGCAGCTAGATCTGTGGGTTCTAGCACTCCTTGAAACAGATGGTCTTGGAAAAGAGAGGGTGAGATATTTCAAATCTACATCTGCATTGATGGTGTATGATAGAGCCTTTATGGAATATGGTACTATAGTGAGATGGGGTTTTTTTGGTTGTTGCTTTTTAGATTTATAAAAAATATTGAATTGGATTCTAGTGCCCCTTACATCAGATGACTTAGATAACTTAGGCTCATATTGATTTGTCAGTGTTACATTGCATAGCCTATATTTAGACAATATTTTAAAATTACATTTAAAAAATCCTTAATGTGTATTCAGTATCTATTTGATATTAAAATAGATAACCCTTGGTGAAATAGAGGAACTATTTATTTTAGACCTATAATAATTAGGTAACTACCACCTCTGTTTACATATGATTTTAATAAACTGTCTTCTTTTATAGGTTTTGAAAACATTGAATTGACTCCTCTTGCTGCAATATGTGTGAAAATATATTCTGGAGGAAAAGAACTAAAGGTCAATGGCTCTATTCAAGTTTCTCTTCCTCTTCTACGTCTGAATGATATAAGTGCAGGGGATCGCATACCTGCTTGGACATTTGATATGAACACAGGTATGTGAGCTAGGTTAAAATAGTCTGAATATTTTACATATTTGTCAATTGACTAGCTGGATGTTTTATCTTAGAACTTGATACAGCTCTAGTTTTTTAGTAACATCACAAATGTATTTGTTAGTGACCAAAATTGACTTCACTTTGATTAATATAATACAACCATTGGGCAAATGATGGGAATACACATGTCAAAAAAATAGCATTATTTATTCATTCCCTTACCTTTTTGTAGCACCACCATTTTGAGGTAGAAATAATTTTTTAAAATTATCTCTCTTCTTAGAAGTTTGTTTTTGTTTTGATAAGCTCATAATACCTATCTAAAAGCGTGGTTTAAGGCCATAGGGAAATGTATGCTAGTTTCATGAAAATAAGTAACATTATGTTATTAAGAGATAGAAAAAGTAATTGTTTTTCCAAAGAAACCCCTTAGATACTAGTTTTGTTTTCTGGGTTTCGCCTCCTAAATAGCAGCTGGAAATATATGTATATTTTCATCCTCAGCTTCCCTTTGTTTTTGTTCATGGGTTCCCATGTAAATAAGGTAGGAGTGTAAGTTACCAAAAAAAGACAGAAAAAGGAAAATGATCAGCCCACAACTGAAAAGTTTACAGGTAGGACTTCCTTGGGTGAGTCATGCTACAGTCTAGATAGTTTCACAGGGCTTGGGCTTGGTTTCTCTCCTCCTTCACTCTCATCTGTTTGCTCTGTATTAGCACCTTTCTAGGATGGGATTTCCCTTCAGACTGACAAGAAGGCTGTAGGTGCTCTAACGTTATACTTTGCCAGGTTGAAGGCCAGTAGAGATTTTCTTAGGAGCTATATATAGCAGAAGCCCTTGGACTCACTGTAGTTGTAGAGTGGAGTTTGCATGCCCATCTTAGAACCTGTCTTTGTGACCTGCAAATTGAATGCACAGATTTATTTAGACTTTAGGTCACATGTTGAAGCTGGATGGGACCCTAAACTGATCATGTTGGCTGAGAATAGGGCGCAATAGATCCTCAAAACTTGAAATGGGATTTCCTGTTAGGTAATAAGGCCCCCAAAACACATACGTTTTCACTATAGAGAATATAAGCAGTAATATATCTATGTTTTAAAGAAAGAGTGGAAACTATATAACCACGGTAGTATGCTACTGAAATCATTAGATTAAGAACTCTAAGATTTGGAATCTAGTCTGTTTACCAGCAGTACTACTTGGAATAAGTCATTTAACTTATTTGGGCCTCAATTTCCTGATTTGTTGAATGAGGAAGTCGTGTTAAGGCACTTAAAAAAAGAATATCTGCTGTTTGAGTCCTAGTTGCTGATTGTTCTTTCTGGCCAAGGCATCTATCTCTAATGTACCTTTCAGTGACAACATTTTTTGAATTGATTTATCACTGATGTAACACTTGTGGACTATTTAAAAGCAATAGATTAAATTATTCTCATTTTCCAGTTTCTCTACCTTATTAAAATACTTTTTTACATGTTATAGATAATTCACTATAATAAATCAATAAACCATAATACAAATATACACCAAACTCAAATAGCTTTGTTATGCTATTTATAAATAAAACTTCATAAAAGGTACAGGTTTTACTGAATTCTTTTTTCTTTTGACAGCAAATTTTACTGGATGAGGTAACATTTATTGAAAGTTTAGAAGATCTAGTTCTATAAGAACAATACCAACAGTACTAGACCGAGACAATATTTAGTAAAAAATTAAGGCCATAAAACAGTATATTTAATCAGAATATCAGATAAGAGCTATCTTAATATCCACAGTTTAAATAGAATCTGGAGAGTCATGATTTTTCTAAGTATGTCTGTGTCCTTAGTTTATTTTATTATTATTTTTTTTCAAGACAGAGTCTTGCCCTGTCACCCAGGCTGGAGTGCAGTGGCGCACTCTCAGCTCACTGCAACCTCCACCTCCCAGGCTCAAGCGATTCTCCTGCCTCAGCCTCCTGAGTATGTGGGATTACAGGCATGTGCTACCACGCCTGGCTAATTTTTGTGTTTTTAATAACTATTTTGTTTTAATATAAAATGACAACTTTTTTGGAATGACAATTCTTAATTAGTATGCCAAAAACATGTATTAATATCAAGAAATGTGAAAATTTAGTACTTTTTAATTTTAAAACTCACAAAATTAATAGATAAGTTTTTCATGAATTCCATGATTAAGGCTTTGTGATCCACTTATTTGAAGGTCTGATTCTAAGGTGAGTTTATTTCAGTACCTATTACAATAATAGGTGTCATAATTGATAATTTTTGTGTTTTTAATAGAGACGGGGTTTCACCATGTTGGCCAGACTGGTCTTGAACACCTGATCTTGTGATCCGCCTGCCTTGGCCTCCCAAAGTGCTGGGATTACCAGCTTGAGCCACCGCACCTGGCCATCCTTAGTTTATTTACAGTGTTTTTTGGTCACAACAAATCATTCTAATTATTCTATTACAGTATATACTATATTATAATATGATGTGATATATATTAGCCTATGATTATATATTGCCACAGTTTTCATAATCTTTGAAAAAGTCCCATAATGTATTCTGTGCATGACCATCAGTTCTTAAGATATAACTGTAACAAGTATTTTTTACATACCTTTTTAGGTGCTTGGGTAAATCATGGTCGGGGAATGGTCAAGGAACATAACAATCATTTAATCTGGACATATGATGCACCACATTTGGGGTACTGGATAGCAGCTCCACTTCCAGGAACTAGAGGTATTGTAAAAAATGAAAGTAATTAAAACATGTAATTCAAATAGTCTTGCTGGAACGGATAGCAGCAGACCTCAGTTTTATTCTAAGCACTGCCACTTACCAGCTATATGACAATGGGAAAGGAACTTGATCTCAGCTTATTTTTTTTTCATGTGTATCAGATTAAGCGCCATGAACTCTAAGGTCTCTTATAGTTATATCTGATGAATCTGTGAAGAATGAAGTTTGTTCAAATCAAGTATTTTCTTAGTTTACTTCTTTTTATGAATAAATTCTGCCCAAATCAGTTAGAGCTTTTGGTTGCAAGCAACAGAAAAAGATTTTGACTAATTTAAAAATATGCTATATTAGAAGGATGTAGGGAGTTCATAGGATCCTAGGAAAGGCTGAAGAACCAGATGCTGAAAGGCAGGACTCCTTGCCGTGCCAGATGGCCTAGTTAGCAGGCCTGCTTGACTACCTTTGCCAGGTTGCTGCTGTGTGGTGGCTGACTCTAACCCTTTCCAGTATTTTCCTTGTACTGTTCCTGATCATTCTAGAGCTGAAGAATGATCATCCTATTGGCCCACTTTTGGGTCTCAAGCACACATGTTACTTGGTGGGGATTGAGGAGGAGAGGAAGGGCTCTTGGAAGTCTGCAGACACTATCATTCAAGAAAAGACTGAGGATGTATTAAATCAAGCTTGTCCAACCCCCAGTCCACAGGCTGTATGCAACCTAAGACAGCTTTGAATGAGACCCAACACAAATTTGTAAATTTCCTAAAAACATTGAGTTTTTTAAATGATTTTTTTTAAGTTCATGAGCTATCAATGTATTTTATGTGTGGCCCAAGGCAGCCAAAAGATTGGACACCCCTGTACTAAATGAAAATTGGTCTGACATTTTGAACAGAAGGAAGATGGAGGCTGGGGAGCAAAACCATGAATTGTCCACTAGGGAAGATCTGTTCATAGTCTAGGAAAAATGAGCATTTTATTTCCTTATATTTAACATGTTGTCAAATTATCTAGATAATTTGTACCTCAGGAAACCCTACATTGATCTCAAGTTGTGTACATTCCTCAAAATATTCAAACATTGCATATTTTAGCCATTAAATTTTGAAAAAAGAAAAATTCTCTAACCTGCGGTAGTCTAGACCGGTTGCACTGTCAGCCTGCTACCACTTCCTGGGCCTTTTCAGTATGTGTTGGCATAAAATCAAATTGCTTCTTGGCTTTCCCTACCACCAGCCTTGGTGAGTCAATTATGATAGCTTATTTTCCTTTATTCTTGTAGGTTTGTGTTTTTACAGAATAAAAACAAAGCAAAACATTTAGTGTTATTTTAGTGAAGATTTTAGAGTAAAAGTTGAATGCATGTATATCATCATCTTCAGTCATTTTTCAGAGATAATTCTTTTGGTTTATCAAGTGTTTTGGCTCACAGCTGAGGGGTAGTTGCTACCTGGGTATTTCATACTGATTAGGAATAGTCCTAGTACTTACCCTGATCCAGAACATGGATGACATTTTACATATGTTTATCTGCAGCATTTTGTCATCTAACATTATTATGACTGTCTGTTATTTTGAAGGCTATCAGTTTTCTCTAGTTTTTAAAATCAAGTTTGATTTTTATTTTCATTCTGTGTTGGCAAGTTTCAATTTTCTTTTTTGATTGGGTCTTGCTATGTTGCCTGCTCAGGCTGGGCTCAAACTCTGGATCCTCCCACCTCAGCCTCTTAAGAAGCTGGGACTAATTAGCCATATATGATCAAGAGAAATGTTATTTTTATTTCTATTTGAACTTAGTGCTTACAGGATTATTTATTCAGAAAT
Organism: Homo sapiens; assembly: GCF_000001405.40. Classification (NCBI taxonomy): domain Eukaryota; kingdom Metazoa; phylum Chordata; class Mammalia; order Primates; family Hominidae; genus Homo; species Homo sapiens. The sequence goes on from NC_000002.12 coordinate 186,755,874, forward strand.
CAGAGGGTGGTTACTTTTGCTTTTCATGATGCAAAATATCATACAATCTTGCCAGCTGTCTGGCTTTATCCCATTCTATATTTGCAACTATAATGAAATATTGATGAAAAACAATATTTAATTTCATACAACTCACTTCATTTTTAATAAAAATAACCTAAGGAGCATTTGAGTTTTATAGAGAAATGTACTTACACTAAAAATATATCTAAAATAACTGAATTATATAAGATAGCTTTATGAATTACAAAAGCCAAAATTATTTTCTAAAACCACATGGAAGTTCTGTTCCAGATTATTTGTTGGAAAAGATGTTGTTTGGATGAGTACTAAAATAAAAGTATGGGATTCTTGTTTAGTTTGAATTAGAGACCTTCTATAGTGATGCTTTTGAAGAATTTATTCTGCAAGCCTATCAGTCAAAGCAATACTACATTAGAAGTATGGATAACTTGATGATAGCCCTTACTTTGTAATTAACTGAGTAAGCTTGAAATAGGTACTTACCCAACTGAACATTAGTTTTCTTGTTTTTAAATTGGGAGAGTTGGATATTGTGTTAGTCTGCTCAGGCAGCCATAACAAAATAACTGCAGAGTAGTAACTGGCTATTAACAGAAATTTACGTTTTCACAGTCTGGAGGCTACTGTCCAAGGTCAAGGTGCTGTCAGGGTTGGTGAGGCCTCTTCCTGGCTTCTAGATGGCCACTTTCTCAAGATGTCTCCACATGGCCTTTCCAGACACCAACCAGTTCTCCAATTTTCAGTGGACGTTGATTATATCCTATAATTCAATTCAATCCTGACATTATCTACCTACAGTTTGCGTCAGACCCCTCAGGTTAAGGGTTTAATCCCATAGGACTGCCCCCATTTCAGGTGCCCATTGCAAGCAGCAGGTTCTCAGTTTACCCATACCATCTGATTTGGCTTCAAATGGGGGGTTTGCACAATTCTCTCCTCAGGTTTGATAATTTGCTATGATGGCTCACAGAAATCAGGGGAACACTTACTTACACTTACCAGCTTGTAATAAAGGATACAGATAAAGAGCAGATGAAGAGGTACATAGGGCAAGGTCTGTAAAGGTCCTGTGTACAGGAGCTTTTTCCCCCATAGAGTTGGGGTATATCACCCTTCTGGCCCATGGATGTGTTCATCAACCTGGAGGCTTTACAAACCCTATACTTGAGGAATGTTGATGGAGGCTTCCTCGTGCAGGCATGATCAATTATTAACTTAATCTCCAGCCATTCTCCTTCCTGGAGTATGAGGGGTGGTGCTGAAAGCTACAGGCTTCTAAGCATGGCTTGTTGGTCACCAGCCCCCAAGCATGAGCCTGCCCAGAGTCAAGTTAGAACAAAAGATAATCCCAACACCCAGAAAATTCCAAGGGATTTAGGAGCTCTATGTTAGGAAACAGGATCAAAGACCACATAATAGAACAAAAGACACTCCTAGACTCCCTGTTGCTCAGGAAATTCCAAGTGTTTTAGAAGCTCTGTGCCAGTAACTAGGGACAGAGACCAAATATATATATATATATGTTGATTATGACACAATCCCTAATGTCCCTAAATATTTTAGGATGTATTACTATAAAATCAAAATTGTTCCTATGATCAGCTAGTGTTTGCAGAGCTGCTTTAGTTACAAATATGGTTAATTTGTTTTTTAAAGTTTAAATAGAATTCTAGAATTCCTTGGAAAAAATATTAAGTGCAAGAGATTAATTTTTCAGATTGCTGTAGGAGAGTAGGTGGTTGAGTACAGAGTTTAATAAACAAGTGTTTTAAATGTGCATTTTAAATATACTTCAATGAAAAGAATGCTTTTCTACCTAACTCCTTCTAGACATGCATGCACACACATGCACACGGATACAGATACACTCTCTTGCTACTGCCATACATATAGGATTTGGGGCAAACTCAATATGTCAACATCCTGTTTCCAAATGTGAGTTTTGTTGGATTCCTGTGGAGTGAACATTGTTAGCATTACTCCATTCTGGAAGCAAACTCATTTATGCCTAGTTATAATCAAACCAATCCTCCATACAGATCTACAGCTAGCAGAAAGTTACTCTCATTTCTTTTTTGTTTGACAAAACTTCATATTGTACAGTGCTGTGCTTGTTTGTCTATTAAATAAGAGAACAGTCACCATCTGTGAAATCATGGCCAATATTAGAGTGCCCATTTTAATATAACCTTAAAGCTTCATTCAACAATAGTGTGGTATAGCGAAAACTGAGTGCTTATCGTGAGCCAAGGACTGGTGTCAGTGTTTCACAAGTATTTACTCATTTAATCGTCAGCAGCTCACATGGGTTAGATATAACTGTTACTGCTCTGCAGATAAGGGAACTAGATACAAAAGAAATGAAACTTTCCCAAGACTACATAAAAATAAATGGTGAGGTGAGAGTTCCAATTCAGGCACTTTGGCTGTAAAGTCTACATGCATAACTGCAATACTGTTTCTCCAAATCTTTTATCAAATTAGTGCAAAATTTGAAAGATAAAATTAAAGAACTGGTGGTCCCTCAATTTCTTCAGTGTCCTCAGTGCAGGTGGGAGCCTTATGCTGGATGTTTTCTCATGGTAAAGATGACCAGAAACCAGCTGCCCCACCACTCACTCTTCTTACCCTATCTCCCTGAATACATATTAGAATGTAATTGATACTGATAAGTAGATTTATTATATAGCTTTTTGAGCACAATGAAGTCTTTGTGATATTGAAACAGATTACCTCAAGATTAGCTGCCCAATAGCATTCACTTTTATCATGTTTTTAAATTTTTTATCTTTATGGGTACATGATTGATAGGTGTTTATATTTCTGGGGTACATGAGCTATTTTGATACAGGCATACAGTGCATAATAATCATGCATAATAATCACATCAACATAAATGGGGTATTACCTCAAGCATTGTTATAAATGTTTTAATCATACTCTTTATTTTTAAATGTACAATTAGTACATTGTCTGTGTTCACTCTGTTGTACTATGAAAATACTAGATCTTATTCATTCTAACTAACTAACCATGCCTACTCTCCCCCAACCCCACACTACCCTTCCCAGCCTCTGGTAAACCATCATTCTACCCTCAATTTCCAGCTGTTTCAATGTTTAGCTCCCACAAAGGAATGAGAACATGCAAAGTCTGTTTTTCTATGCCTGGCTTATTTCATTTAACACAATGTCCTCAACTCCCATTCATGTTGTTGCAGATGACGGGATCACATCCTTTTTTATGGTTGAATAGTACTCCATTATGTACATATATCACATTTTGTTTATCCATTCATCTGTTGATAGACACTTAGATCACTTTCAAATCTTGGCTATTGTGAACCGTGCTGCAATGAACATGGGCATGCAGATATCTCTTTGATATTCCTCTAGCGCTGCTGGGTTAGGGTCTTCCCGACTGAGCTGGTCTCAGCAACTGAGTTCCTTTCTTTTGGGTATATATCTAGCAGTGGGGTTGATGGGTCATATGGTAGCTCTGTTCTTTTGAGGAACATCCTAATTGTTCTCCATAGTGACTATGTTAATTTACATTCTCACCAACAGTGTATGAGGGTTCCCTTTTCTCTACATCCTCACCAGCATTCATTATTGACTGTCTTTTGGATAAAAGTCATGTGAACGGGGATAAGATGATCTTATAGTAGTTTTGACTTGCAGTTCTCTGATCAAATATGTTGAGCCTCTTTTCATATTCCTGTTTGCCATTTGTTTGTCTTTTTTTGAGAAATGTTCTATTCAAGTCTTTTGCTCATTTTTTAATGGGATTATTAGAATTTTTCCTCTGGAGTTGAGTTCCTTATATATTCTGGTTATTTTCTCCCATTCTGTGGGTTGTCTCTTCCCTTTGTTGATTGTTTGCTTTGCTCTACAGAAGCTTTTGATGTTATCCCATTTTTGCTTTGGTTGCCTGTGCTTGCAGGGTATTACTCAATAAATCTTTGCCAAGATTTATTGGAGAGTTTCCTCAATGTTTTCTTTCAGTGATTTCATAGTTTGAGGTCTTAGATTTAAGTCTTTAATCTATTTTGATTTGATTTTTGTATATGGTGAGAGATAAGAGTGTAGTTTCATTCTTCTGCATAAGGATATCCAGTTTTCCCAGCACTATGTATTGAAGAGACTGTCCTTTCCCCAATATATGTTCTTGGCACCTTTGTTGAAAATGAATTCACTGTAGATGTATGGATTTATTTATAGGTTCTCTGTTCTGTTCCATTGGTCTATATGTATGTTTTTACCAGTAGCATTCATTTTTATGTTGAAATCATCCTAGTCAGCTTTTACTGCAGTAAAGCTTATCACAATGGCATTCGTATACGTATGTTCTCATAGCAGGAGGATAGTTGGTCAGTTGTGCTCTGTTCACTCTAGAGCCCAGGTAGAAGGAGCTGCAACTCTTAATGCTTCAAGTTTTAGAATTTTTGTATTCTATTTCTTTAGACCCCTGCTTAATTTGGTAAATCCTTTTTTTGAATTTGTCTTTAAAATATTTAAAGATTAAATATCTAGATAAAAAATAAATGCAGCTGATAATCAACATTCTATCTTAAAATCTCTTTGCACAAAGCTCAAGTTAGTTAAAAATATTTTCGCCCAGTTTATTTTACCAATTTTTTTGTTACTTGGGTCACCAGTTTTACGGCCTCTTGAAACAGTTTTCTCACTGCCTGGCCTAGAAGCCAATGTCATATGTTTTAAGCTTTCTATAGCAGCATCTCAGCATCTTCTGTCATATCCATTGCTGCAGTAACAAACAACCCTGCTGTCTCGGTGGCTAACAGTATCAAACGCTTATTTGCTACTTAACATTTCATGAGTGTTTCAGGATTGTCTGCTGCGCTGTTGGACTTGGCTTCATTCAGTTCAACAGATATTCTCATTCTAGACCCCAGGTTGAAGGAATAACAACTCTCTGGGCTATGCTATTCACATATTAGAAGTCTTGAGCAAGAGGGCAGAGCCACACCATGCAAACTCATTTAATATGCTCACATTTCATTGGTTAAAGCGAGTCAGTCAATTAAGCCAAAGGATAGGGAAGGTTTACTTCACCCATAGGGAAATCTGTCATAGGAGGGGGGCAAACAAATAAAAGTATGTACACTTATTCAATTTGCCTCACCCAGGATGTGACATAGTTGAGAATTTGATCTAAAATAACATTTTCTCTTTGTTTATATTGAACCATGTAGGTTCAGGTATAAATGAAGATTCCAAGGACATAACTGCCTACCACACAGTGTTTCTTACAGCCATATTAGGAGGAACAATAGTCATTGTCATTGGATTTTTTGCTGTACTACTTTGTTATTGCAGGTAAGAAAATGGCTATAAACACAGAAAACTATCAAGTTATGGTATCATTTCAGTATATTCTGTACATTGAAAAGTTTATTTGTAGAAATAAATTTAATCTTATAATATATCCTTTTTTATTTTTAATCTACATATCTCACAATAGCATTGCATGTATGATATGTAGATTGGGAGTGATTTTTAATAAATGAACCATTTGTGTCATAACTTTTAAATATTTTTTGCCTTCTCTTCTACTCTAGGGACAAGTGTGGTACTCCACAGAAAAGAGAAAGAAATATCACTAAACTTGAGGTCCTCAAGAGAGACCAGACAACTTCAACAACACACATAAATCATATCAGTACAGTTAAAGTTGCATTAAAAGCTGAGGACAAGTCGCAGTTATTCAATGCCAAAAACTCCTCATATAGTCCTCAGAAAAAGGAACCATCAAAGGCAGAAACAGAAGAAAGAGTTTCCATGGTAAAAACTCGGGACGATTTTAAAATCTACAATGAAGATGTTTCATTTCTATCAGTCAATCAAAATAATTACTCAAGAAACCCAACACAGTCTTTGGAGCCCAATGTAGGGTCCAAACAACCTAAACATATTAACAACAATCTATCTTCATCTCTAGGTGATGCTCAAGATGAAAAGAGGTATCTCACAGGTAATGAGGAGGCGTATGGGCGTTCCCATATTCCTGAACAGCTTATGCATATTTACAGCCAACCCATTGCCATCCTTCAAACATCTGACCTTTTCTCCACACCGGAACAATTACATACTGCTAAGTCAGCTACTTTGCCAAGAAAGGGACAGTTAGTCTATGGCCAATTGATGGAACCAGTAAATCGAGAGAACTTTACGCAGACCTTGCCCAAAATGCCAATTCATTCTCATGCACAGCCCCCAGATGCCAGGGAAGAGGATATCATACTTGAAGGTCAACAGAGCCTGCCATCCCAGGCTTCAGATTGGAGCCGATACTCAAGCAGCTTACTGGAATCCGTCTCTGTTCCTGGAACACTAAATGAGGCTGTTGTAATGACTCCATTTTCATCGGAACTTCAAGGAATTTCAGAACAGACCCTCCTGGAGCTGTCCAAAGGAAAGCCCTCCCCGCATCCCAGAGCCTGGTTTGTGTCTCTTGATGGAAAGCCAGTTGCACAAGTGAGGCACTCCTTTATAGACCTGAAAAAGGGCAAGAGAACCCAGAGCAATGACACCAGTCTGGACTCTGGGGTGGACATGAATGAGCTTCACTCAAGTAGAAAGCTCGAGAGGGAGAAAACATTCATCAAAAGCATGCATCAGCCCAAGATCCTTTACTTAGAAGATTTAGACCTAAGCAGCAGTGAGAGTGGAACCACCGTCTGTTCCCCTGAGGACCCAGCTTTAAGGCACATCCTAGATGGAGGGAGTGGAGTGATCATGGAGCACCCTGGAGAAGAGTCGCCAGGAAGGAAAAGCACTGTTGAAGATTTTGAAGCTAATACATCCCCCACTAAAAGAAGGGGCAGACCACCACTAGCCAAAAGAGATAGCAAGACTAACATCTGGAAGAAGCGAGAGGAACGCCCACTGATTCCCATAAATTAACTCCAATGGGGATTGTGTGTCTGCTGTCTCGTGCTGTTTATTCTTGCTTCTTGTTGTAAATTGCAGTACGAACTTAAGAAAATGAGACTGAGCAATCTCATGGTTCTTGGACATGTCTCAAGCAGAGTAAATGGTAATTCAGTAATCAGAGAGAAAGATACCAAGGAATGCTTTTTCTGGCCTATTCATTTATTTTTGGGTGATGAATTTACAGTATCTAAGTTTTCAAAATGTAAAATAGCTTCAAGATGTTAGTTATCTGAAAATGTTGCTCAGCCAGCCAGTTTGGCCTTGACTCTCTTAAGAATAACAGTGAAATATATACTCCTCAAGTTGCCTCCAAAAATGTTGCCTCTACCATGGTGACTACCCCATGGAACATTTAGAAACAAAACTGACTTCAGGCATCATATTATTTTAAATGTTACTATTACGTCTTCTTCTGCCTATACTTAAAAATAACTTGATAAATGACTTGGACTGATGTTACTCTGGAGTTATCACAAAGAAAATGTTGTTTGGTCTTTAAAGAGCATGTGTATTGTATCATCCCAAACGTAAATCCTACATTTATATAAGATGGGCAAGAAGCTACTTGGTCATTAGAGAGGGAGACACCAGCTCTTTGGTTGTTTTTGGATATAACTTTACAAAATAAGTAAGATGTTAATTTAGAAATTTGAGAAATTAATGCTCTAATACTGAGTTTTTATTTAAAAATTATTTTTTCTTCCCCTCAACAATGAAGCAAGCTTAGCTGTCAAGGGAAACTTTTTACAAATCTGAAAAAAACAATCTATGACTTTGGTTTAAGGCTCACTGATACTTTTAGGCTAAATTGGTTTTAATATATTTCTTCTATTCTAAAAACCTGAACTCAGTCACTTAAAGGCTATGAAATTTAAAAAAAAAGTCGATGTGAAAGTTTCTTTTGAACACTAAAATAAAATATGTGCAGATAAAATATACATTGATTTGTTTTTCTTAAATGTTGATGAGAAGAAAAAGAGATGCCATTTTCCTGAGGCTCAAAAATACCTTCAGGATAGTTGTATATCCAGTTATTGATTTTCTTAAAAGATGTGTAAGGAAAACAGTTTCAATTTCAGGGGAAAAGTAAAAGTTTTTCCCTAAGTCACTTAAAGCCTTTGCAACTTCTTTTTTCAGTTTTGTAAGTAATATATCTATGTTCTTTTCATTATAGCAAGCATTCAATGTGAACAACTTTTTAATTAACTCTGAATTACCATTCATACATCCTAAAAATAAAAGCTCGTTATTCATTAAAATCAACTGATCCCATTTTTCTTAAAATTTCCCTGAAGGCAAATGTCTGAAGCACCTTTCCCTTGTGGGGGTAAAAATCCTAAATTGCTTTATTTTTCATTCCCTCCTATTCAACATGGGAGCAGCATAGAGACCCAAACCATGTAAACAAGTTCAGTGAACCAAAACAGCCACATTAGCTTCAGTAAAATTATAGCTAGATGTGCAATTTTTTCCTCCAACTTCTAACGTGTCAAATAACCTTCCTACTGTTCTGTGTTAACTGAAAGAACATAAAGACCCTAGGCAAATATTTGCTATATATTACCCCAATCCATAGAAGAAATAATGTTTTGGGTAATACCTAGGCTTCCTTTTTTTTTTTTTTTTTTTTTTTTTAGTGATAAGGCTCATAACAATTAATTAGAGAAGGCTTCTTATTGGTCTTACACAGAAAGATACATCAAAAGCAGCATGACTCAAAATGATTTGGAAAAGGTTAAAGTTAGTGCTCTGCTGAAGTGCCTTTGATATAGACTTGCATTATTAGAAGGATATAACATCTTTTTTAAGTGTGCATTTTCTTTCAGTTAACCAAATTAAACAGATGTGCAGTTTTATTAAAAATATAGACCTAGTGTTTCATGTTGGAACAATAAATATTGCATGTGAGTAGTATTTCTTGTTTTTTGAATACAGTATATATTGATAAATTGTTTATGTTGGAATGAAGTTAGAAACTATATAGCAAAACATTATATTTTAAGTGTTTATTTTTCCCACCTTTAAATAAAAATGTTTCATCTCAGCTTGGTAATGAAATACACATATTGGTATAAGGGTATACCATTCAGGTATGCCACTTATTTTATTCATTTTTGTGTAAGGGAAATGAGATGATGTATCCCAAGGGCTTTTCTAGAACTACTTGTTTGCTTTCAGAATAAAACCTTATTATTTTTTACACTGCACATGCTGTTCTCAATTGGTAATTATAGGCAATTTATCTTTTCTAATGATCAAAAGAGTGTGACTTCTCATTTGTGAGTAGTTCACAAATTTCCTGTTAAAAAGCTGAAACCATCTACTTTTTCTTAACCCAAGTGATAATAAACAATATTCACAACTTTCTTAAATTTTTAAATTGAAAACCAAGGTTTTTTCAAATATAAACCTAGATGATTTTGGTCACAAATTGTTAACATTTGTCGATCCTTTGTATATACTTTGGATATATATTAAAGGCAAAACTATCTCTTGACTAACTGATGGATTCATTTACTAAAGCACAGCTGTATGTATTTTTGAATACATATTATGATCTTGAGACTTTATAAATCAATTTTTATGACTTTATGCAGTTGTATAGGGATTATGCCCTTTCAGTTCTATAGGGATTATGCCCTTTTATAATACATAATATACCACAGAGATTACAAATGTTGAGGAATGAAAGCACTTCTTTGCTTTGGCAATCATTTTCAGACCACTATGTGTTTGAATCCTCTGGTATCAATACGTATTATAGGGTTTTAGAGATCTGTGGGTCAAATGATGTCCCTCAAAACTTCCTAAAAAGGTGAAGCTCAAAGTCACACATTCTTATAAGGCGCATGAGTTTCTCATTTTCCCATGTACGAGCATTGTAAAGGAATTCAGCTGTATTAATTTCTATTTCAGATCTAGAATTGACATTTTGCCTTCTTGTTTCCAGGTGTTTCTATTTTTTGTATTCTTTCAGAGAAATCTCATATTTCGGTGTATTTATTGCTGTTACTACTATATTTACTGCTGAAAACTGTAACAACCTGAAGATTTGTAAAATGTTAAACATAGTTCATTAAAAATAATAAAATAAATCTAAAATGTACTTGGAGCATTGTTTAATTTTTGGTGAACTAGAAAACATTCCTCCCTACATTGCCATTTAATCTAGTAAATATTCAATTATTACTTTTTACTTATTACATCTCCTACAGTAAAATAAACCCTTTTATTTATATAATGAACTCGATATTTCTTTATATTTCATGTCTACAAAGTCCCAATTTTTACTATTAGAGCTGAGTGTGGACAAATTGTTTTCCATCCACTGAGGAGATTTAAGACAATCTGATTGAATCTAAAATAAATTACAAATCCCAAAACACCTAAGTGAGAAAATGATACAGTAAACCCTCAACCCCCTTTTAAAATATTCTTTGAACTCTAAACCTGAGTCTAAATGATAACACAAAGGCTATTTATACTTAAAAGAGTTAGCTCTTCAATAACCTTTCTGCTTAATCAATTGAACAATATTTAAGTTCATGCAGTTTGTATTAGGGGACTTTAGAATACTTTCTAGAATTATCTTGACTGCCATGTTTTTAGACATGTAACTTTTATACATTAATAAGGTACTAAAAATAGCTTTGGTCAGTTCTAATAGGAATTGGACTCTGAATCCACTCACCAGTAGACATTGTAATTCCCAGCACTGGCTGTATGATAAATACTTCCACTTGGATCCCTGCATGTGCCAGCCAAGCTATGGCTACCTTTGTTAGGGAGCCTGGTCTCCATCCAAGAGAGTCTTAGTCTTACCAGAAATTATATGGCCCCTGGAGGAGCCATAGGGGACGCTAACTCACATGGTACTGGTTTGTAACAAAACTATTCATCAATCAGAAACAGCTGGCAAACATGATGGTCATGAACTGATCATCACATTCTCATCTCAGAAGAGAAACTAATATGGGAAGACTGAGATGTAAGAACTGTAAGAAAAGTAGTTGGATATAATTAAGAGACATTTTAATCAGTTTATCAAAAGTGATTCACCTTTTGGTACTTAATAACTGGCAGATAATCAGGGATCCTTTCCTTGAAGTAAATGTTGGAAAAATATTTAAACTACACCACAGTGTTTGTTTACCTAGACCCCATGAAATCACCCTGTGGACCTCTTTTTATAGGTGGATTTCTTGACAGATGGATACACAGTGAGACAGCTTACTTATATCGGTAAGCTCTCTCTAAATCAACTAGAGGGCTAATTTCTTCTAGGAAAAATTGCCTTATTTTCTTAGTTTTGAATTTGTTTGCTCCATCAAAATAAATATTCTTTCTTTGACTTGTCTTTATCTTTTCATTTTGAGCTTCAGTTTATTTGGGGACTAGATTTCTGCCTATTAAGATTTTTAAAACATAACATCTTCAGAGTTTGACTAGAAGAAAATAGTCTAGAAGTCAACCATAATTTGCCATATTAAATGCTGAAAGCTAATAATCTCAATGACAAATGATGGAAAAACATTTTCATCAAGTATATAATGGTACGTGCCTTAGAAAAAAATAACTATTTTCTTTCCAAAATAGCTAAGCTTAAAGATTACATTTTAAAACTACCTGTGATGTTTGTTAAAATATTGCAATAACACGTTCCTGCACTTTGTTAGCTATAGTAGATGAATAGCTTCCTATTTCTTTTGGGAAAGTTTACATGATGATGTAAACCCACAGATTATTTTTAAAAAAGAAAGTTCACATCTTTAGAAGCATATGCTATTTTATCCCCCTAGGTAACAAAACCTTTCTTAGTTGAAACCTATTATTTCCTGGTTTTCAAGCCTACCTCTGCTATGGTTCTGAATGGTATTCCACAGTCTTGCAAGAGTACCAGATTTTCCCCATGGATTGATTTTTTTTCTGTTCTTCAGGTTGACTGGGGGTTTCATAATTCATATGTTGACTAGTTCTAATCCTTGTAGACCTTATTAAAACACTAGACTAACTGCAGACAGTCTGATTCAAAACAAATAAGACAATTACATTCCCAAGAGTCTCTGGACTTATTACACTTGAACAGCTTAGTTAGAAACTTTTTCTAAATGGGGGCTATCCGGAAAGGGTAATAGTGGCTATTAAGCAATGTAGAGTAAATATCTCAGAATTTTTATTTTACATATTTCCATATTTCAATCCAATAATGTAGATTCTTTTGTTTTTCATAGAAAAATACTTTAAAAAATTCAGCTTAAAAAATTAGCTTATCAGTATCCAAAATTTTATAATAAAGACTATTTCAAAACCCTGATTTCTGATTTAGATAATTTCTGAAAGGTTTGTGTCCATAAAATACAAAAAAGGATAATTATTAACATACTTTTGCAGATATTTTCTCATTGTTACTTTTAAAAATTTAGTATTTCTGATTTTTAAAAGAGTTGCTTGTCATTATTCCATGTATTATTTAACAAAACACTATTGATGTGAATATTGACCATTGAAGAGGTTGTTAATGACAAGTAGATGAGATCTATAATTAAGGAGTTTACCAATTATTTCTAAGGAGTGCTTATACTTATAAAAGGAAGGGAAAAATTATTTCTCTGAATAAGTTTTTTTCCTTAATGTTTAAATAAAATGACAAGAAAAGAATCTTGAAAGTGAATTTCATGCTAACAATCTTTAACACATACCTGTTTTCTGAAACTCTGGTTTCTCAAAAAGTAATGCTTGCCACTGTTCTATTATTTTCTTTTTTCACAATGAGACATAAGAGCAAGCTGTAATGAATCAGTGATAAGAGAATTGTACTTACTCTTCTTGAAATTGGGACCTGTCTTTCCTGCCTTTTTTTTTTTTAAGTGAAGATGAGATTTGATACTATTAAAATTAGCCTTAGTAAGAAATTAATCTGAATCAGGAAATTTTGAAAATTCCATCTGCCCCAAGATGAGCTCATTTCACTTCTAAAGAAAATACTGCCTGATTGCATGTACAAAATTGTTATGTTGATATCTTATGTTTGTCTTCTTAGACCATAAGATCCTTATGGACAGAAACCATGCTTTACAATTCCTCCAATTCTTAACAGTACAGTATGTATTCAATAAATATTGATTAATGGAGTTATGAATTAGATGAATGATAATGGATTTTGTTCAATGGAATAATTGGAAATGTTTTGAGAAGAGGAGAGAGTGACATCAGCAAGATGGTAAAATAGGAGCTCCCCTGCTTGTATCCTCTCAAGCAACAAAGGCAAAAGTGGCTTTGTGGGAGCTCTGGAATTCAGATAGGAGTTTGTGAAAACCTCCTGGAGCTCAAGACCTAGTAAGGCCATTCTAGAGGGTAGAACTATGCCCATGTAGAAAGCTCACAGGCTATGGTCCCAGTTCCAGACCTGGAAATGGCCCTGTCATCCTGAGGACTCAGTTGCAGCCATGTTTGGCCTTGATCCTGCTACCACAATCACCCACCAAGGAACCCAGGTAGAGTCACACCATTTATGCCTTCAGTGACAGGCCTGCTGACTTTGTTTCTTCCTGTGGACCCTGAAATGGCTAAGAGACTTGTCTTCAGCTCTGTCAGCTGCAGACTGCAAGCAGTCCTGCCCCATGAGGTCCCCAGGGGGAGACATACTTGTCTCTCAGTTCCTAGAGGCAGGCCTGTCAACCTTAGTCTCAGCTGTGGAACCTGAAGCAGCCCTGCAACTGTTTAAGTCCCTCACATCTGTGGGCTGGGGACAACACTGCCTGTCCAGAGAACTACTCAGTGACCCAGGGGGAGCCTTCCCAGAAACCCACATGAAGCCACACCAGTCTGTGCAGCTGGTGATAGGCTAGTTGTCTGAGCGAACTTGAAGACAGGTAAGTTGAAATTACCCAATTATAGAAAGAAAAAGAATGAAGGAAGCATAAGGGACTTATGGGACACCATCAAATACAAATATATTATTAATTATGGGAGTTTCTGAAACAAGAGAGAGAGAGAAAGCTAAAGAAAGCTTATTTCAAGAAATAGTAGCTGAAAATTTCTCAAATATTGAGAGGATCCAGATTCATGGAGCTCAGAAAACCCTAAGCAAGACTGACCCTGTATTAGGCTGTTCATACATTGCTATAAATACTTGAGACTGTGTAATTTATAAAGAAGAGACTTAATTGGCCAATGGTTCTGCAGGCTTTACAGGAAGCATGGCGCTGGCATCTGCTCAGCTTCCAGTGAAGCTCCTCAAGGAACTTTCAATCACGCCAGAAGGTGAAGGGGGAACAGGCCTGTCACATGGTGAAAGTAGGAGAAAGAAAGAAAGAGAGAGAAAATGGAGGCGATGCGGGGAGGGTGCGGGCGTGGGTGCCATATACTTTTAAGTGACCAGACCTTGTGAGAACACACTCACTCTCATAAAAACAGCACCAAGCCACAAGGGATTCACCTCCATGATCCAAACACCTCCCACCAGGCTAAGAATTACAATTCGACATGAGATTTAGGCAGGGACAAATATCCAAACTCTATCAGACCCAAAGAAGAATATTCTGAGACATATTATGATCAAATTGTCAAAAATCAAAGATAGAATCTTGACAGCACCAAGAGAAAAGTGCCTTATTACACACAAGGGAACCTTCATAAGACTATCAGCAGACTTTTCAACAAAACCCTTGCAAGCCAGGAGGAAGTAAGATAACATATTCAAAGTGCAAAACAAAAAAAACAAACTGTCAATAAGTAATACTATAACTGGCAAAGCTGTCCTTCACATATGAAGGACAGAGAGACATTCCCTGACAAAGAAAACCTGAGAGACATCATCACCAGTAGACCTGCCTTACAAGAAATAATGAAGTTCTTAGAGTTGAAACAAAAGGATGCTAAATAGCAACATGAAAACATATGAAAGTACAAATGTTTCTCAACTTATAATGGGGAAACATCCTGATAAACCCATCATAAAGTCACAAAATTATAAGTCAAACCAATGTAAGTTGGGGACCATCTGTACAAAATTCACTGGTAAAGGTAAATATTTAGTGAAATCCAGTATACTCTAATACTGTAATAATGGTGTGTAAATGACTTTTAATTCTAGTACAAAAGTTAAAAGACCAAAGTATTAAAAATAACTGTAACTACAATTTGCTGATAAATAAACAAAATAGAAAGATGTAAAATATAACATCAATAGCCTAAAATGTGGTGAGGAGCGAAATAGAAGTGTGGGTTTTGTATGCTATTGAACTTAAGCTTTTAGTTCAAAATAGAATGTTATAACAATAAGATGTTTCGTAAAAGTCCTGTGGTGAACACAAAGAAAAAATAAACCTCTAGTGAATACACAAAGATAACAACAAAAAAAAACCAAAGCATGCACTTCAAAAATCTAACAAATTACAAAGGAGGAAGAAAAGAATGGTATAATGGAAAAAAGGAATGATGAAACAATTAGTAAACAACAAAATGGCAAAAGTTCTTACATATTGATTATTACTTTACATGCAAATGAATATATTTTCCAATCAAAAGACACAGTGTTTAAATGGATTAAAAAATATGATCTCAGTTGGAAAAAAAATGGCAGATAGGAGACAGGACTAACTTCAGCTCCCACTCAGAGCAGTGTGTGGAGGCTCACACTGTGAACTTTTGCTCCAAGGATTAGTGCAGTAACATACCAAGAAAGCCAGAGACTCCACAAGCCCTTTGAAGGAAGCGGCTTGCTGTTGCAGGTTCTGTGAGACAGCCAAAAGAATGTGAGTATTCAAAGTGTAAAAGAGGGAACATCCACCCCCAAACACACATCCTCACTGGGAAACCTAAAGGTTCAGATCACAGGAGAAGAATTTGACCTTACCTGGCGCTGAGACAAATTTAGAGAGCTGAGAAAAATATGGGGGTAGAAGAAGCACAGGGAAGAGTCCTGTGGGCACTCTCAGTCCCCAGGGAAGCCATTTCTGACTTTATTTCATAGGGGTCCTTGGGGAGGGCTGGCAGTGGAACTGGGGAAAGATGAAAGATTCAGGAAACATTCAGCTGAACTTTGTAACAATTTCAACTCAAGGTGAAGGTTCCTGGACAGAAACTGGGGGAGGGAGTGACCTGGAGTACAAATATGAACACAGAAGCTGCAGAAGGTAGGGAGGCATGAAACCTGAAAGCCCTGTTTACTTTCTCAGCAGGGAGGCTTGTAGCCTGGGGCAAGTTCTCAGCCCTGCTCACTGGCTGCCTGGAAATAAACTCAGTGTGGTTAGGGGGACACAGTGGGAGTGAGACTAGCCTTTCCAGCTGCATGGGAGCTGTGTGAGTCCTGTCACTGCTGGCTTTCCTGCACTTCTCTGGTGACCTGTATGATATGACAGAGGCAGCCATAATCTCCCTGGGAATGTAACTTCATCAGCCTGAGAACCACACTCCAATCCTCCACAACAGCCTAAGCATGCCCTGCCCAAGGAGAGTCTGAGCTCAGACACACCAGACCCTGCTCCCACCTGATGGTCTTTCTCTACCCGCTCTGGTAGCTGAAGACAAAGGACATAATTTCTTGGAAGCTCTGTGGCCCCACCCACCACCTGAGACACCCAAATACTTACCCAGGTGACCTTAGGGCAAGCTTGTATACTCCCTGTAATACTGCAGCTGATACTCTCTTGAAAGCACCACCTCCTTGCTGGAGGCCAACCAACACAAAACCAGTGCACTAAGCAAAAATACAACCAAGGACTCTCACAGAGTCCACTTCACTCCCCTGCTACATGCGCTGGAACAGGTTCTGGTATCCACGACTGAGAGACCTGAAGATGGATCACATCACATGACTCTTTGCAGACACTCCACAGAACCAGCCCAGAGCCCACTAGCTCTGCTGTGTGGCTGGATCCAGAAGAGAAACAACAATCACTATAGTTGAGCTCTCAGAAACCCCCATCCCCAGGGGAATGGGGAGAGTACCACATCCCCATAAGACAAAAGAATTCAAACAGCAGCTCTTGAGCACCGTATCTTCCTTCTGACATAGTCTACCCAAATGAGAAGAAACCAGAAAAACAATTCTGGTAATATGAAAAAACAAGGTTATTTAACACCCCCAAAAGATCACAATAACTCAGTAGCAATGGATCCAAACTGAAAAGAAATCTCTGAATTGCTAGAAGAATTCAGAAGGTTGATTTTTAAGCTACTCAAGAAGGCACCAGAGAAAGGTGAATACAAACTTAAAGAAATTTTAAAAATGTCACAGGATATGAATAGAAAAATAGATAAACAGCATAAATAAAAAATAATCACAACTTCTGGAAATGAAGGACATACTTAGAGAAATGCAAAATCCACTGGAAAGTCTCAGCAATAGAATTGAACAAGCAGAAAAAAGAACATCAGAGCTTGAAGACAAGGCTTTTGAATTAACCCAACCCAATAAAGACAAAGAAAAAAATTAAAACGGAGCAAAACCTTCAGGAAGTTTGGGATTATGTTAAAAGACCAAACCTAAGAATAATTGGTGTTCTTGAGGAGGAGAAATCTAAACATATTTGAGGGAATAATCATTCCACTATGGAAAACAGTGTGGAGATTGCTTAAAGAACTAAAAGTAGAACTACCATTTGATCCAGCAATCCCACTCCTGGGTGTCTACCCAGAGGAAAAGAAGGTATTATACAAAACATATACTTGCATATGCATGTGTATAGCAGCACAATTCACAATTGCAAAAATATGAAACTAGCCTAAATGCTCATCAATGAGTGGATAAATTGTGGTGTATATATGCATTAGTCCCTTTTCACGCTGCTGATAAAAACACACTGAGACTGGACGATTCACAAAAGAAAGAGATTTAATGGACTTACAGTTCCACATGGCTGGGGAGGCCTCACAATCATGGTGGAAGGCAAAGAGGAGCAAGTCATATCTTACATGGATGGCAGCAGGCAAAGAAAGAGAGCTTGTGCAGGAAACCTCTCATTTTTTAAAATCATCAGATCTTGTGAAACTTATTCACTATCACAAGAATGGCATGGGAAAACCTGCTCTCCATGATTCAATTACCTTCCACCGGGTCCCTCCCACAACACGTGGGAATTCAAGATAAGATTTGGGTGGAGACACAGCCAAATCATATCAATATATACCATGGAATGCTACTCAGCCATAAAAAGGAATGAAATAATGGCATTTGCAGAAATCTAGATGGAACTGGAGACCATTATTCTAAGTGAAGCAACTCAGGAATGGAAAAGGAAACATTTTATGTTCTCAATCATAAGTGGGAACTAAGCTATGAGGATGCAAAGGTGTGGAAATGGGACTTTCGGGACCTAAGGAAAGGATGGGAGCAGGGAGAGGGGTAAAAGACTACACATTGGTACAGTGTACATTGCTTGGATGTTTTGGTTTACCAAAATCTCAGAAATCATCACTGAAGAAGTTATTCATATAACCAAACACCACCTGCTCTCCAAAAACCTATTGAAATAAAAAAATTAATAAGTCAAAAAATATGATCCAATAATATTCTATGTACAAAATACTCACTTTAGGCTTGAGGACACATAGAAAGTACATGAATGAAAAAAGATATTCTATGCAAGTTATAACCAAAGAGAGCAGGGGTGCCTATACTTATAAAAGAAAAAAACAGACTAAGTCAAAAACTGTAAAGCTGTAAAATTCTAGTGTAGTAGTAAATGCCTGCATTAGACAAAAGTGTTAATATATAATAAAGATGTCAATTTATCAAGAGGTTATAACAATTGTAAATATATAGGCACCCACCATCAGATCATCTGAATATAACAGGCAGATATTAACACAAAGGAGAAATACACAGCAATGTAACAGTGGCGGACTTTAATATTCCACTTTCAACAATGGATATATTATCCATACCAAAAAGGAAAAAAGTCAATAAGGATGAAGTGGACTTGAATGATAAACCAAAGGAACCTAGCAGACATATAGAGAGAGCATTCCATCTAACAGCAGCAGAATACATATCCTTCTCAAATACACATGAAACATTCTCCAGGATTGATCATATGTTGTGTCATAAAACAAAACAAATTTAAGAAGATTGAAATCATCTCAAATATCTCTTCTGACCACAATAATATGAAACTAAAAAGCAATGATAGGAAGATTGAAAAATTCATAAATATGTGGAAATTAAGCAATAGGTTTCTGATCAACTAATGGATCAAAAAAGAAATTAAGGCCGGACGCGGTGGCTCATGCCTGTAATCCCAGAACTTTGGGAGGCTGAGGTGGGCAGATCATGAGATCAGGAGATCGAGACCTTCCTGGCTAACATGGGGAAACCCCGTCTCTGCTAAAAATACAAAAAATTAGCTGGACGTGGTGGCAGGCACCTGTAGTCCCAGCTACTCGGGAGGCTGAGGCAGGAGAATGACATTAACCTGGAAGGCGGAGCTTGCAGTGAGCCAAGATTGTGCCACTGCACTCCAGCCTGGGTGACAGAGCGAGACTCCATCTCAAAAAAAAAAAATAAATAAATAAAATAAAAAAGAAATTAAACTAGAAATTAAAAAATATATTAATACAAAAGAAAATGGAAACAAAACATATGAAAGCTTGTGGAATGCAGCGAAAGCAGTAAATGCCTACATTATAAAGGAAAAAAATCCAAATATGCAAGCTAACATTACACCAAAAGGGTCTGAAAAAAGAAGAACAAACCAAGAAAAAGTTTGTATAAGGAAGCTAATAAAGATCAGGCCAGGAAAAAATAGAAATTAGGAAAACAATGGAAGAGATTAATAAACCTAAGAGTTGTTATATTTTAAAAGATAAGTTGATATACCTTTCACTAGAAAAAAACAGAAGACTCAAAATCAGAAATAAAAGAGGAGCTATTACAACTAAAGACACAGAAATAAAAAGGTTAATAAAAAGACTATTACCAATTATACACCAACAAATTGGATAACCTAGAAGGAATGGATAAATTTCTAGATACACATAACCTACTAAGACTGAATTATGAAGTAGAAAATCTGAGCAGATCAATAACAAGCAAGGAGATTGAATTAATAATTTTAAAAAAATCACTCACCAAAAAAAGCCCAGGATCCGATGGCTTCACTGCTGAATTCTATGAAACATTTAAAGAAGAACTAATACCAATCCTTCTGAAAGTCCTCCAAAAATCAAAGAAAAAGAAATAACTTTCAAGTGAATTATATGAGGCCCTGATACCAAAGCCAGACAATACCATTACAAGAAAATTACAATCCAATATCTCTGATGCACACAGATGCAAAAATCCTCATCAAAACACTAGTGAACCAAACTTAACAGCACATTAAAATGATTATTCACTGTGATAAAGTGGGATTTATTAATGGGATGTAAGGATGGTTCAATATATGCAAATCAATAAATTGATATGCCACATTAACAGAATATAGGACAAAAATCATATTATCAATGCATCAAGAAAAATTATCTAACAAAATTCAACATCCTTTCATGATAAAAACTACCAATAAATTAGTTACAGAAGGAATGCACCTCAACATCATAAAAGCCGTATGTGACAAGCCCACAGCTTACATCATACTCAATGATGAAAAGTTGAAAGCGTTTCCTTTAAGATCTGGAACAATATTCACTCTCACAACTTCTATTCAAGTAGTACTGGAAGCCCTAACTAGAGCAATTACGCAAGAGAAAAAAAAAAGTATTAAAATCACAAAGGAAGTAAATTGTCTCTGCAGATGACATAATCTTATATATTAAAAGCTTTAAAGGCTTCAAAGAACTTTTAGAACTAATAAATGAATTCAATAAAGTTGCAGGATACAAAATCAATGTACAAAAATGAGTTGCCTTTCTAAACACTAACAATGAATTATCTGAAAAAGAAATCAAGAAAACAATCCCAATTACAGTAGCTACAAAGAAAATAAAATGCTTAGAATTAAATTTAACCAAGGAGGTAAAAGATCTGTACACTGAAAACTATGTAAGATAATGAAAAAAGAAGACACAAATGGAAAGATATCTATGTACAGGGATTCGGAAAATATTGTTATAATGTCTATATCACCCAAAGAAATCTACAAATTCAATACAATCCTTATCAAAATTCCAATAACATTTTTTACCAAAATTTTAAAAATTCTAAAATTTGTAAAGAAGCACAAAAGACCCTGAATAGCCAAAGCAATTCTGAGCAAAAACAAAGCTGAAGCCACATACTACCCAACTTCAAAATATACTGCAAAGCTGTGGTAATCAATAGAGCATGGTGCCAGCATAAATACACAGACAAATGGAAAAAAAATGAAAAGTTCAGAGATAAATCCAATATTTACAGTCAACTGATTTTTTACAAAGGCACCAAGAATAAACAGTGAGGAAAGACAGTTTCTTCAGTAAGTGGTGTTGGGACTACTGGATAGAAACATGCAGAAGAATAAAATTAGATGCTATTTTATATCAGAAAAAATTAACTCAAGATTAATTAAAGACTTAAATGTAAGATCTGCAACTGTAAAATTACTAGAGGAAAATATAGGAGAAAAACTCTATGACATTGGTCTTGGCAATGATTTTTTGGATGACTCCAAAAGCACAGGCATCAATAGCAAAAATAGACAAATGGGATTGCATCAAACTAAAAGGCTTCTAACAGTAAGCAATCAACACAGTAAAGAAATAACTTATGTTAATGGGGAAAATATTTGCAAACCACACATCTTACAAGGGGTTAATATCTAAATACATAAGGGATACAAAGAACTCAATAGTGAGTAAACAAATAACCAGATTTGAAAACTGGGCAAATGACCTGAAGAGAAGTTTTTCTCAAGAAGACATACAATTGCCAAAAGGTATATAAAAATACTCAGCATAAATAATCATCAGAGAAATGCAAATTGAAATTACATTGAGATATTACCTCAAACCTGTTAGAATGGCTGTTATCAAAAAGATGAAAGATAAATGTTAGAGAGGATGTGGGGAAAAGAGAAGCCTTGCACATTGTTGGAAGGAACGTAAATTGGTAAGCTATTATGTAAACCAGTATGGAGTTTCCTCAAATTAATAATAGAACTATCATATAATCCACCAAGTATTATTCTGAGTTTATAATCAAAAGAAATGAGTACATTGAAGAGATATCTGCACTCCCATGCTCATTGCAGCATTATGCACAGTAGCCAAATTATAAAGTCATCCTAAGTGTTCATCGGTGGATGAATGGATTAAAAAATATGGTATATATACAAAATAAACACTATTCATCCTTAAAAAAAAAAAAGGAAATCCTGCCATTTGTGACAACATAGATGAATCTGGAGGACATTTTGCTAAGTGAAAAAAGTCTGGCACAGAAAGACAAATACTGTGAGACCTCACTTATACATGGACTCTAAAATGAAACTCATAGAAATAAAGAGTAGATGGTGGTTATTAAGGGCTGGAGAGTGGGAGTGGGGATTGGGACATGTTGGTCAAGGTACAAAATGGGAGTGACATCAGCAAGATGGCTGACTGGAGATGGTTGGTGCTCATTCCCCCTGCAAGAAAAGATCAAGACAATAGAAATACAGCTAAGAATTGACTTGGGTGTTGAAGGGAGAACACTGGAGTGCAGCAGGGGAGTGGAGATGTATCTATGGTGATTGAAGCTCAGGAAGGCGGTATGGAGGCACCCGGCCTCCGAAGTCCTGTCTCCCCCACCCAGATCAGACTGGTCCAGACAAGAGGGACTTCCCCTTGTAGGGGCAGAAGAGGTGAGGGAGAAAGGTAAGCAGAATAATCCCATCAGCCCCTACTGCCACCGTAAATACCTGAAGTTCTTAGTACAGGAGTATCACAAGTTCTCTCAAAGCCCTGTGCCCAAATGAAAGAGCTGTTAGGGCTTCACATAGGTGCATTGCTCCAGATTAGGAGCACAAGATGTGTATTCCCTACCCTACACCCAGTCAAGCTGCTGCAGCACTGTGCCATCTTGAGACCAGGGCCACCTCTGGAGTGTGCCTTCCTCTGGGGGCAAGTAGCCACTGCACTTCTGATGCACTAGGGCTCCATTTTCATTGCATCAAGCCCACACTGGGTGGTGGTGGTGGGTGGGGGGCACTGACCACCACAAACCCAGCTATGTAGAGCTTGGGCCTAGGATCAGCTGTGACTCCAGTCCTGCAAAGCAGGGAAACAAACCAACCACCACCACCTTTACTTCCAGTTAGAAAAAAGTCTTGCAGACTCACCCAGGGTGAACTTACTCTTGAGCCAGCAGACTGCTGTGTGCCTCACTCCTTATCCCCGCAAAGGTCCCCCACTGAGCAGGTGCCATAGCCCTAGGCTGGCAGAGTGGCTACATGTTCATGCCCAGTGCTTGAGAAACAGCCCTAAGGCATGCCTAACCCCCATAGAAATGCCCCTGCCCTGGCTTGCCCAAAAACTCTGCCTGCAATTCACACCTGAGAAACAGCCCCTGGCAGAAATGTCCTCAAGTTGACCAGTGAGCTATGCACCTGTGTTCTGGGCCTGAAAAACAGCTCCACATGCCACCCCTGACAGACATGCACTCAAGCCAGTTGAGTAGCTGTGCACTGACATCTTGGGCTTGAGAAACAGTCCTGAGGGCCACCCCCAAAACACACACCATTCAGGCCAGCTAAGCAGCTGGGTGGTCATGTCCCAGGCTTGAGAAACAAACACATAGGCTACACCTGACAGACATGTCCCCAGGCTGGCTAAGCAACTGCATGCTTATGCCCCAGCCAGAGTAACAGACCCTCAACCCCAGTAAGCCAGACCCCTTGGCTGACCCATCATGTGCCCTGACCTGAGAAACAGCCCGGCAAGCCTATTTCTGGCAAAGCTGCACTGCTACCACTATGTTTCTCAGCTTAAGCCACAGACACACTTGCAAACATTACTAATATAGATTATAGCTGAAGAAACTATATAGAGCCTACACTACTGTGTCCAACTAGAACCGAAGCCAACACACCTCACCAAACCAATAGCCCAATAACCGTCTAAATGAATAAGTCTTTTCTACAACATCTACTTCATAAACTGGAAAAGGTGACCTTTCTGCCAGATGCATAGAAATCAATGGAAGGACACATAAAACATGAAAAAGTAAGGAAACATGACACCTTTGAGGGACCACAATAATTCTCCAGTAACAGATCCCAATCATAAGGAAATATGCAAAATGTCACAAAAATTCAGAATAATAATCTTAAGGAAATTTAGTGAAGATACAAAATAATACAGATAGACAATTCGATAAAATCAGAAAAACAATTCATGAATTGAATGAGAAATTCAACAACAAAGTAGATATTGGATAAAAAGATACAAGTATGAATTCCACAACTGAAGAACTCAATGAGATGAAAAATATAATCGAGAGCTTCAAAAACAGACTAGATCAAGCAGAAGAATAAAGTCTCTGAACTAGAAGACAGTTATTTTGAAATAACAGAGAGACCAAAGAAAAAGAGATAAAGAAAAAAGAATGATGAAAGCCTACAAATTTATGTATAGGACACCATTAAACAAACAAATATTCACATTGTGGGCATTCCAGAAGGAGAAGAGGAGGGAAAAGGTAAAGAAAACGTATTTAATAAAATAATAAATTAGAAAGAATTTGAGTTCCAAATTGCTGTGCTAGCTGAAGCACTGCCTACCCTCTCTCTCTCCCAACCAACAGAAAAACAAAAATACGTATATGCAGCACTGAGATTATCACCAGAAATATCCCAGAACTCAAATATGAAGATGAGACAGTTTCTGGAACCATAATAAAGTGAAAAAACTGAGCAATTCATTAAGAGAATTGAATTTCCACATCTATCATGCCCCTCCCGCAATTTTGCTGGTTGTCTACCTGATTCTCACTTTTTCCAAGTATGCAGAAAATTTTTTCCCAACTGTGGTTTCTAAATTGGAAAAAGTGAGATTGAGGTAGACAACCAGCTTCCCCATCATCTTGGGTTTCCTGGCAGGAGACCTGCCTTGTCTTAACTCACAGGAAGCATCAAGGGAAAAATACCCCTGAGGACAGAGACAAGGGGAAGCAGGAATATCATCCCCAGCCTTGGAAACTCTGCCCTATAACTCAGCCAAAGAAGCTGTGAAATCGGAGTGGCTGTTCAGCAGCACTATGAAAGTTCATCCCACAGTTTCTCTGGGCACAAACCCCTAGCCAACCTTCTCATA
The DNA here is from genome assembly GCF_000001405.40 of Homo sapiens. NCBI lineage: Eukaryota > Metazoa > Chordata > Mammalia > Primates > Hominidae > Homo > Homo sapiens. The sequence goes on from NC_000002.12 coordinate 186,781,064, forward strand.
CTGCTAGGATATCAGGGACCTCCCTCATTCAGGAGGGGCAGAGCTCCACCTGAGGCAAACCTTAGCCTAAGATGCCACCTAGAGCCAAAAAGGAGTCAGAGACCTAGTGGTAAAGTATGTCTAAGTAAATACATCGAATAAAAACCAACACAAACTAGAGATGACTGGAATAAATAATGAATCATTCAATGTGAAGACATAGGCATACAAGCATAAGAAACAACAGCAAACAGGGAATCACAATCGTTCCAAATTAACAAAGTAAGGAACCAGTAATTGACCCTAACAAGATGAGTTTGTTTTTTGATTTTTTTTTTTTTTTAACGCTCATCAGCTATCGCTAGTGTTTGTGTATTTTATGTGTGGCCCAAGACAATTCTTCTTTCAATGTGGCCAGGGAAGCCAAAAGACTGAATACCCCTGGTCAAAAGTCAAAGATAGGCTGGGCGTAGTAGCTCACACCTGTAATCCCAGCACTGTGGGAGGCTGAGGTAGGCAGATCAAGAGATTGAGACCATCCTGGCCAACATGGTGAAACTCCGTCTCTATAAAAGTACAAAAATTAGCTGGGCATGGTGGCATGCGCCTGTAGTCCCAGCTACACGGGAGACTGAGGCAGGAAAATCGCTTGAACCCGGGAGGTGGAGATTTCAGTGAGCTGAGATCACGCCACTGTACTCCAGCCTGGCAACAGAGCAAGACTCCGTCTCAAAAAAAAAAAAAAAAAAAAAAGAAAAAAAAAGTCAAAGATAAATGTTTGGTGTACTGATATGAAGATGAGACAGTTTCTGGAACCACAGCAAAGTGAAAAAATGGAGCAACTCATAAGAGAATTAGATTTCCACATCCATCATGCCCCTTCATCAATTTTGCTGATTATCCACCTAATTCTCACTTTATCTAAGTATGCAGAAAAATTGTCCCCAACTTATCGTTTCTAAACTGGAAAAAGTGAGATTGAGGTAGACAACCAGCTTCCCCATCATCTTGAATTCCCTGGCAGGAGGGAATTGACCACATGTGAGAACACAAAACAAGTCTCAAAAAATTTTAAAAACTGAAATCATATCAAAAATCTTATCTGACCACAGTGGAATAAAACTAGAAATCAATACCAAAAGGGACATTCGAAATCATACAAATACATGGAAATTAAACAACATGCTCCTGAACAATCCATGAGTAAGAAGAAATTAAGAAACAAATTTTAAAATTCCTTGAAAGAAATGAAAATAGAACACAACATACCGAATCCTACGGGATACAGCAAAAGCAGTATTAAGAGGTAAGTCTAGGCCAGGCGCGGTGGCTCACATCTGTAATCCCAGCACTTTGGGAGGCCGAGGCGGGTGGATCACGAGGTCAGGAAATTGAGACCATCCTGGCTAACATGGTGAAACCCTGTCTACTAAAAATACAAAAAATTAGCCTGGCATGGTGGTGGGCGACTGTAGTCCCAGCTACTTGGGAGGCTGAGGCAGGAGAATGGCATGAACCTGGGAGGCGGAGCCTGCAGTGAGCTAAGATTGTGTCACTGCACTCCAGCCTGGGTGACAGAGCAAGACTCTGGCTCAAAAAAAAAAAAAAAAAAGGTAAGTCTATAGCAATAAATGCCTATATCAGAAAACTAAAAAGATTTCAAATAAACAACTTAATAATGCATCTCAATGAGCTAAAAAAGCAAAAAAAAAAATCAGTATATTTGACAAATATTAATAAAAGAAATTAAGACCAGAGAAAAAATGAACAAAATTGATAAAAAAATACAAAAGATCAATGAAACAAAAAGTTAGTTTTTGAAAAAGATAAACAAAATTGACAAACCATTAGCTAGACTAAAAAAAAAACCAGAGAGAAGATCCAAATAAGGAAAGTTAGAAATGAACAAGCAGATTTCACAACTGATACCACAGAAATACAAAGGACCATTAGAGAGTATTACAAACTATATGCCAATAAATTTGAAAGCCTAGAGGAAATGAATAAATCTTTGACACACTCAACCTACCAAGATTAAACCAAGAAGAAATAGAAAAGTTGAATAGACCAATAACAAGTAATGAGGTTGAATTAGTAATTAAAAGTCTTCCAATAATAAAAAGTTCAGGACCAGGACCAGATGGCTTCACCACTGAATTCTACCAAACTTTTAAAGAAGAATTAACACCATTTCTTCTCAAACTATTCCAAAAATTGAAGTAAAGGGAATGCTTTCTAATTCATTCTATGAGGCCAGCATAACTCTGATACCAAAACAGATAAAGACACAACAAAAAAGAAAACTACAGGTTGATATTCCTGATGAACATAGACACAAAAATCCTAAGACAATATAGCAAACTAAATCCAACAACACATCAAAAAGATACACCATGATAAAGTGGGATTTATCTCAGGAATGCAAGGATGGTTCAACATACAGAAATCAATGAACATCCTCATTACATAAACAGAATGAAGAATAAAAATCATATGATCATCTCAATAGAATAAGTGTTTTATAAAACCCAATATCATTTATGATATAAACTGTCAATAAATTAGATATACAAGGAAATTAGATATACAATGTCAATAAATTAGATATATAATAAAGGCCATATATGAAAACCCTACAGCTAACAGCATACTGAATGGAGGAAAGCTGAAAGCTCTTTCTCTAAAAACTAGAAAACAAGGATGTCCACTCATACCACTCTTATTCAAGATAGTACTGGAAGTCCTAGTCAGAGCAACTAGGCAGGAGGAAGAAACCTAAATATATCTAAATTGGGAAAGACAGAAATCAGATTGTTCCTGTTTGAACAATCTGTACATACAATAGTATGTACATGTTATAGTGCTGTACATACAATAGTATGGTCTTATATATAGAAAAACCTAAAGGCTCTCTCAAAAATTCTTCAAATTAATTAATAAATACAGTGAAGTTACAGGCTACAAAATCAACATACAAAAATCAGTAGTGTTTCAATACATGAATAATGAACTAGTTGAAAAAGAAATAAAAAAGGCAATCCCATTTACAATAGTTACCAAAAAAAAACCCTAAAATACCTAGAAATAAATTTAACCAAAGAGGTGAAGGACCTATACAATGAAAACTACAGAAATAGAAAAATAATCTTAAAGTTTGTGTGGAACCGCACATTTTTAATTGGCACATAATATACATATTTATGGGGTACATAGTGATGTCTTGAGACATATAATGTATAGTAATCAGGTTAGGGTAATTAACATATTTATCATCTCAAACATTTGTTATGTCTTTGTGTTAAGGACATTCAATATCCTTCTAGCCATTTGAAACTATATATGTTATATATATGTTATATTAACTATATATGTTTTCTATATAAGTTATTATTTATATATATGGTATTAACTATAGTCATCTTATAGTGCTATTAATCCCAGCACTTTGGGAGACCAAGGCAGGTGGATCACGAGGTCAGGTGATTGAGACCATCCTGGCTAACACAATGAAACCCCATCTCTACTAAAAATACAAAAAAAAAAAGTTAGCCAGGCATGGTGGCAGGCACCTCTTAGTCCCAGTTACTCGGGAGGCTAAGGCAGGAGAATGGCATGAACCTGGAAGGAGGAGCTTGCAGTGAGCCAAGATAGTGCCACTGCACTCCAGCCTGGGTGACAGAGCAAGATTCCGTCTCAAAAAAAAAAAGAAGAAGAAAATAATTAAGGTGATAAAATGTGCTTAGATCACTCTGACAGTAGTGTCAAGAATGCATGGGAGGGAAGGGAAGATCCAGATTTTGTCTAGCAGAGAACCAACTTATACAATTTTAGGGGTTCTTTTTAAATAAACAACATTCCAAATGTAGATATAAAATATAGGATGACAGAAGGTGGTCAACTAGAAGCAGCTGCAGTCTGCAGCTCTCATGAAGAAAAATGAAAACAGTAAGTGAATTCCACATCTACGACCGAAATTTCCAGGTTCTCACATTGGGACTGACTAGGCAGATGGCTCAACCCACGGAGACTGGCAAGAAGCAAGGTGGAGTGATGGCCCACCTGGGAGCAGCAAGGAGCCAAAGGAACCCCCACTGCCAGCCAAGAAAAGTGGTGAGTAATTGTGTGGCTCCACCTGGGAAACCATGCTTCTCCCATGGATCTTTTCAATCCATGGATCAGGAGATTCCCTTGTGAGCCCACACCACCAGGGCCTTGGGTCTGACACACAGAGCTGTACAGAGTTGTGGCAGAACTGCCGTTCAAGCTCATATAGAAACCCAGGAGTTTTACACACTCTGGCCCCAAGAATCCTGGCAAGGTGGGAGATCTATTCATATACTCCCCTAGGAAGAGGGCTTAATCCAGAAGCCAAGCAGCAATGTTCTGTGGGCCCCACTTCCATGGCACCTCATGAGTTAAGACCTACTGGCCTGGAATTCCAGACAGCCAGTGCAACAGGATGGAAACTGCGTGAGATGGATGAGTTCTCAGGGGAAGGATGGCCATCGTTTCTAAGGTTAGGTCAATTCAGCCATTCTAGCTTGCTGGCTCTGGGGAGTCCAGGCAGTCTGGATGAGAAGGGATCCCCTACAGTGCAGCACAGCTACTGTGCCAGATTGTGGCCAGACTGCTTTTTTTTAAGTGGGACCCCATTTGATTTCTCCTCACTGGGCAGGGCCTCCCTGTGGGAATTTTAGCAACTCCAGTTAGGGTTATATAGACAGAACTCTGATCTCTCCCTTGGAAGAAGCCTGCAGGGAGAGGGCCAGCTGACATCTCCATGGTTTAGTCAACTCAGCCTTTCCAGTTTGCTGGCTGTGAAGATTCAGGTGGTCCAGATGAGGAAGGGTTCTCCCAATGCAGCACACCTGCTCTACCAAAAAGCAGCCAGACTGCTTCTTTAAGCAGGTCCTTGATCCCATTCTTCCTGACTGGGTGAGAATTCCTAACAGAGGTCTCCAGGCAACTCCTACAGGAGCATGTGGGCCAGCAACAGGTCAGTACTCCACCTGGGATGGAGCTCCCAGAGAAAGGAGCAGGCTGCCATCTTTGCTGTTTTGCAGGCTTCACTGGTGATACCTCCAAGTAAGGGAAAAACCAAGGCAAGTAGTGTTTGAAGCCACCCACCAGCAAATCACAGTGGCCGTACAGAAATGGGGCCTGACTGTTAAAAGAAAAACAAACAGAAAGCAACAACAACAACAATAACATCAACAAAAAAAGACCCTGCAAAACCCTCAAAGGTTAGCAACCTCAAAAATCGAAGGTAAATAAGCCCACAAATATGAGAAAGAATCAATGCAAAAATGCAGAAAACTCAAAAAGCCAGAGTGCTTCTTCTCCTCCGAATGACCACAACACCTCTCCAGCAAGGGCAAAGAACTTGGCTGAGGCTGAGATGGCTGAACTGACAGAAGTAGGCTTCAGAAAGTGGGTAATAATGAACTTCACTGAGCCAAAGGAGCATGTTCTAACCCAATGCAAAGAAGCTAAGAATCATGGTAAAACATTACAGGAGCTAATAACCAGAATAGCCAGTTTAAAGAGGAATATAAGTAACCTGATGGAGGTGTAAAACACAATACAAGAACTTCACAATGCAATCACAAGTATCAATAGCAAAACAGACTAACAGGAGGGAAGAATCTCAGAGCATGAAGACTATCTTTCTGAAATAAGACCAACAAAAATAGAGAAAAAAGAATGAAAAGAAATGAACAAATTCTCTGAGAAATATGAGACTATGTATAAAGTCTGAATCTACAACTGATTGGGGTACCTAAAATAGACAGGGAGAATGGAACCAAGTTGGAAAACATACTTCAGGATATCATCAAGAAGAATTTCCCCAACCTAGCAAGACAGGCCAACATTCAAATTCAGGAAATCCAGGGAACCTCAGTAAGATACTCCATAAGAAATTCAACCCCAAGACACATAATCATTAGATTTGCTAAGGTTGAAATGAAAGAAAAAATGTTAAGGGCAGCCAGAGAGAAAGACCAGATTACCTACAAAGGGAAACCCATAAGACTAACAGTGGATCTCTGTGGAAATCCTACAAGCCAGAAGAGACTGATTTCAAGTCTCTTCTTAGGTGAATATTCAAGATTCTTAAAGAAAATAATTTCTAACCCAAAATTTCATATGTAGCCAAACTAAGCTTCATAAATGAAGGACAAAGAAGATCTTTTTCAGACAAGCAAATGCTGAGAGAATTCATCACTACCAGACCTGCTTTGCAAGAGGTCCTGAAGGAAGCACTAAATATGAAAAGAAACCTTATGAGCCACTACAAAAGCACACTGAAGTACACAGACCAATGACACCATGAAGCAAGCACATAAACAAGTCTTCAAAATAACCAGCTAGTATCATGATGACAGGATCAAATCCACACATATCAATATTAAACTTAAATGTAAATGGGCTAAATGCCCCAATTAAAAGACACCGAATGGCAAGCTGGATAGAGTCTAGACTCATCAGTATGCTGTCTTCAAGAGACCCATCTCATGCACAAAGACACACAAGCTCAAAATAAAGGGATGGAGGAACACTTACCAAGCAAATGGAAAACGAAAAGAAGAGGGGTCACAACCTTAGTTTCTGACAAAACAGACTTTAAACCAACAAAGATCAAAAAGACAAAGAAGAGTATACATAATAGTAAAGGGTTTAATTCAACAAGAAGACCTAACTATACTAAATATATATGCACCCAATACAGGAGCACCCAGATTTATATAGCAAGTTCTTAGAGACAGGCAAAGAGACTTAGACTTCCACAAAATAATAGTGGGAGACTTTAACAACCCACTGACAATATTAGATCATTGAGACAGAAAATTAACAAAGATATTCAGGATGTGAACTCAACTCTGGATCAAGTGGATCTGATAGATATCTACAGAACTCCCCTCACCAAAGCAACAGAATATACATTCTTATCACCACATGGCACTTACTCTAAATTTGATCACATAATTGAAAATAAAACACACCTCAGCAAATGCAAAGGAAATGAAATCATAACAAACAGTCTCTCAGACCACAGTGCAATCAAACTAGAACTCAAGACTATGAAATTCACTGAAAACCACACAACTACATGGAAATTGAATGACCTGCTCTTGAATGACTCCTGGGTAAATAATGAAATTAAGGCAGAAATCAAGAAGTTCTTTGAAACGAATGAAAGCAAAGGAACAATGAACCAGAATCTCTCAGATATGGCTAAAGTAGTGTTAAGAGGGAAATTTATGGCAGTAAATTCCCAAATCAAAAAGCTAGAAAGATATCAAATTAACAACCTAACATCACGACTAAAAGAACCAGAGAACAAGATCAAACAAACCCCAAAGCTAGAAGGCAAGAAATAACCTAGATCAGAGCAAAACTGAAGGAGATAGAAACACAAAAATGCTTCAAAAAAATCAATGAATCCAGGAGCTAGGTTTAAAAAAAATCAATTAATAGACTACTAGCTACATTAATAAAGAAAAGAGAGAAAAATCAAATAGACACAATCAGAAATGATAAGGGGGATATCACCACTGACCTCAGAGAAATACAACCAACCATCAAAGAATACTAAAAACACCTCTATGCACATAAACTAAAAAATCTAGAAGAAATGGATAAATTCTTGGACACATACACCGGGAAGAAACTGAATTCCTGAATAGACCAATAATGAGTTCTAAAATTAAGGCAGTAACAAATAGCCTACCAACAAAAAAAACCCAGGACCAGATGGATTTACAGCTGAATTCCACCACAGGTACAAAGAAGAGGTGGTACCATTTATTTCTTTTTGTTTTTTGAAAAATTTTACTTTAAGTTCTGGGATACAAGGGCAGAATGTGATAGTACCATTTTTGCTGAAATTATTCCAAACAATTGAAAAGGAGGGACTCCTTCCTAACTCATTTCATGAGGCCAGCATCATCCTAAGACCAAAACCTGGCACAGTTACAACAAAAAAAAACTTCAGGCCAATATCCCTGATGAACATTATGCAAAAATCCTCCAAAAATACTGGCAAATGAAATCCAGCAGCACATCAAAAAGCTTATCCACTACAATCAAGTTGGCTTCATCCCCGGGATGCAAGGTTGGTTCAACATATGCAAATTAATAAATGTGATTCATCACATGAACAGAATTAAAGACAAAAGCCACATGATTATCTCAATAGATGCAGAAAAGGCCTTCATGTTAAAAACTCTCAGTAACTAGGTATTGAAGGAACATACCTCAAAATAATAAGGTCATATATGGCAAACCCATAGCCAATATTATGCTAAAGGCAAAAGCTGGAAGCATTCCCCTTGAAAACCAGCGCAAGGCAAAGATGTCCTCTCTTACCACTCCTATTTAACATAGTATTGGAAGTCCTGGCCAGGGCAATTAGGCAAGAGAAAGAATTAAAGGGTATTTAAATAGGGAGAAAGGAATTCAAATTATCTTTGTTTGTGGATGGCATGGTCCTATATCTAGAAAAAAATCCCATCATCTCAGCCCAAAAACTTCTTAAGCTGATAAGCAACTTCAGCAAAGTCTCACGATAAAAAATTAAATGTGCAAAGATCACTAGCATTCCTATACACCAACAACAGGCAAGCAGAGAGCCAAATTGTGAATAACCTCCCATTTACAATTGCTATAAAAAGAATAAAACATCTAGGAATACAGCTAATAAGGGAAGTGAAGAACCTCTTCAAACAGAACTACAAATCACTGCTCAAGGAAATCAAACAGAAATACAAATCACTGCTCAAGGAGAGGACACAAATGAAAAAACATTCTATGCTCACAGATAGAAAGAATCAACATTGTAAAAATGGCCATACTGCCCAAAGTAATTTATAGATTCAATTCTATTCCTATTAAACTACCATTGAAATTCTTCACAGAATTAGAAAAAACTATTTTAAAATTCATATGGAACAAAAAAAGAGCTCAAATAGCTAAGGCAATCCTAAGCAAAAAGAACAAAGCTGAAGGCGTTACACTACCTGACTTCAATCTATACTACAAGGCTACAGTTATCAAAACAGCATGGTACAGACACACAGACATTGGAACAGAATAGAGAACTCAGAAATAAGATCACACACCTACAACCATCTGATCTTCAATAAACCTGACAAAAAATAGCAATGGGAAAAGGATTCTCTATTTAATAAATGGTGCTGGGAGAACTGGCTAGCCAAATGCAGAAAATTGAAACTGGACTCCTTCCTTACGCCTTATAAAAAAATTAACTGAAGAGGAATTAAACACTTAAATGTAAAACCCCAAACTATAAAAACCCTAAAAGAAAATCTAGCAGTACCATTCAGGACACAGGCACGGGAAAAGATTTCATGATGAAAATGCCGAAAGTAATTGTGCCAAAAATCAAAATTGACAAATGAATTATAGTTAAACTAAAGAGCTACTGCACAGCGAAAGAAACTATCATTAGAGTGAACAAAAAAATCTACAGAATGGGAGAAAAATTTTGCAATCTGTTCATCTGACAAAGGTCTAATATCCAGGTTTTACAAGAAATTTAAATTTATAAGAAAAAACCCCATTAAAAAGTGGGCAAAGGAATAAATAGACCCTTCTCAAAAGAAGACATTCGTGTGGCCAATAAACAGATGAAAAAAAGCTAAACATCACTGATCATTAGAAAAATGCAAATCAAAACCACAATGAGATACCATCACACGCCAGTCAGAATGGTGATTATTAAAAAGTCTAGAAACAATAGATGCTGGTGATGTTGTGGAGAAAAACTAACACTTTTACGCTGTTGGTGGGAGTGTAAATTAGTTCAACTGTTAGGGAAGACAGTGTGGTGATTCCTCAGAGATCTAGAGGCAGAAATACCATTTGACCTAGCAATTCCATTACTGGGTATATATGCAAAGGAATATAAATTATTCCATTATAAATACACATGCATGTAAATGTTCATTATAGCACTGTTCACAATGGCAAACACATGGAATCAACCCAAACACCCATCAATGATAGACTGGATAAAGAAAATGTGGCACATATATACCAAGGAATATTATGCAGCCATAAAAAGGAGCAGGATCATGTTCTTTGCAGGGATATGGATGGAGCTGGAAGGCATTATCCTCAGCAAACTAACACAGGAACAGAAAACCAAACGCTGCATGCTCTCACTTGTAAGTGGGAGCTGAATGATGAGAACACATGAATGCCTGGTGGGAAACAACACACGCTGGGACCTGTCAGGGGGAGGGGTGGGGGAAGGGAAAGCATCAGGAAGAATAACTAATGGATGCTGGGCTTACTATCAAAGTGATGGGTTGATCTGTGCAGCAAACCACCATGGCACAAGTTTACCTATGTAACAAACCTGCACATCCTGCACATGTATCCTGGAACTCAAATGTTGAAGAAGAAAAAAAAAAAGAATGAGAAAGGAAATCACAATATATTACAAAATTTAAAATCTAACACATAACACAAACATCACAAGTTCCAGAAAAACAATATTAAATTCCTGACCACATACACTCTCTACCCCTCTATATTTTTTCCCTTGGCCACACCACACAAGTGTTGGTTTTTTGTGTTTGTTTTGTTTTGTTTTTTTCAGAATTTTCCAAGTATCTTTTTCATGTCTATTTTTAAAACATTGCTGGGTGTGGTGGCTCATGCCTATAATCCCAGCACTTTGGGAGGCTGAGGTGGGCGGATCACAAGGTCAGGAGATCGAGACCATCCTGGCTAACATGGTGAAACCCCATCTCTACTAAAAATACAAAAATTAGCTGGGTGTGGTGGCACGTGCTTGTAATTCCAGCTACTTGGGAGGCTGAGGCAAGAGAATCACTTGAACCCGGGAGGCAGAGATTGCAGTGAGCCTAGATCACACCACTGCACTTTAGTCTGGTGACAGAGGAAGACTCCCTCTCAAAAAAAAAAAAAAAAAAAAAAAAAAAAAAGAAAAAGAAAAAGAAAAAAAAAGGAATCCATGCACAGTGGCTCACGCCTGTAATCCCAGCACTTTGGGAGGCTGAGGCAGGCAGATCACGAGGTCAGGAGTTTGAGACCAGCCTGACCAACATGGTGAAACCCCATCTCTACTAAAAATACAAAAATTAGCCAGGCATGGTGGTGCATGCCTGCAATCCCAGCTACTTGGAAGGCTGAGGCAGGAGAACTGCTTGAACCCAGGAGGCGGAGGTTGCAGTGAGCCAAGATTGCACCACTGCACTCCAGCCTGGGTGACAGAGTGAGATTCCATCTAAAAAAAAATTTAGTAATGTTTTATTTATGCCAACAGACTCAAAATATTACCATTTCAGCATACAATCGATATAACAATTATGAGTTATTTTACATTCTTTTTTCTTGTGTACTATATTTTCAATACTTGATGTGAATTTTACACTTATAGCTCATCTTGATTTGACCTGGTGACATTTCAAATGTTCAACAACCATTGGTGGCAAGTGACTTCTATAGTGCACATTGCTGCTCCAGAGCATGGCCTACTGGGCCAGCTGGTCTCCCCATAAATATAATCAAGTGTTTTATGTTTTAAAAACTGTACTGCTGAACAACAATAACCACAAAAACTACTGCCCCCACTGAAAAAAAAAAAGCAGACAACCAAATAAAAAACAAATAAAGATGCATTGCTGGCAAGATGGCCAAACAGGAAGAGCTCTGGTCTGCAGCTCTCAGCAAGAGCAACACAGAAGGCAGGTGATTTCTGCATTTCCAACTGAGGGACCCAGTTCATCTCATACGGACTAGCTGGACAGTAGGTGCAGCCCATGGTGGGCGAGCCGAAGCAGGGTGGGGTGTCGCCTCACCTGGGAAGTACAAAGGGTCAGGGAATTCCCTGCCCTAGCCAAAGGAAGCTGTGAGGGACTGTGAACGGTGCACTCCAGCCCAGATAGTTTACTGTCCCCATGGTCTCCACAACCTGCAGACTAGAAGATTCTCTCCAGTGCCTATGCCACCAGAGCCCTGGGTTTCAAACACAAAACTGGGCAGCCATTTGGGCAGACACTGAGCTAGCTGCAGGAGTTTTTCATGCCTCAGTGGCACCTCAAACACCAGTGAGACAGAACTGTTCGCTCCCCTGGAAAGGGGGCTGAAGCCAGGAAGCCAAGTGGTCTGGCTCAGCAGGTCCCACCCCCACAGAGCCCAGCAAGCTAAGATCCACTGGCTTGAAATTCTTGCTGCCAGCACAGCAGTCTGAAGTCTACCTGGGACACTTGAGTTTGGTGGGGGGAGGGGCGTCTGCCATTGCTGAGGCTTGAGTAGGTGGTTTTACTCTCACGGTGTACACAAAGCCTCTGGGAAGTTTGAACTGGGTGGAGCCCACCACAGCTCAGCAAGGCTGCTGTGGCCAGACTGCCTCTCTAGATTCCTCCTCTCTGGGCAGGGCATCTCTGAAAAAAAGGCAGCAGCTCCAGTCAGGAGCTTATAGGTAAAACCCCCATCTCCCTGAGAAAGAGCACCTGGGAGAAGGGACGGCTGTGGGCACAGCTTCAGCAGAATTAAATGTCCCTGCCTGACAGCTATGAAGAGAGCAGCAGATCTCTCAGGACAGTGTTTGAGCTCTGCTAAGGGTCAGACTACCTCAAGTGGGTCCCTGACCCCCATGTCTCCTGACTGGGAGACACCTCCCAGTAGGGGCTGACGGACACCTCATACAGGAGAGCTTTGGCTGGCATCTGGCAGGTGCCCCTCTGGGATGAAGCTTCCAGAGGAAGAAACAGGAAACAATTTTTGCTGTTCTACATCCTCAGGGAAACAGGGTCTGGTGTGGACCTCCAGCAAACTCCAGCAGATCTGCAGCAGAGGGGACCTGACTGTTAGAAGGAAAACTAACAAACAGAAAGGAAGCATCAACATCAATAAAAAGGACATCCACTCAGAGACCTTATCCAAAGTTCACCAAGAAAAATCCAGAGTTCATCAAGAAAAATCCATGAAATGGGGAGAAACCAGCTCAAAAAGGCTCAAAATTCCAAAAACCAGAACACCTTTTCTCCTCCAAAGGATCACAACTCCTCACTAACAAGGGAACAAAACTGCATGGGGAATGAGTTTGATGAATTGACAGAAGTAGGCTTCAGAAGGTGGGTAATAACAAACTCCTCCGAGCTAAAGGAGCATGTTCTAACCAAACGCGAGGAAGCTAAGAACGTTGAAAAAAAGTGAGATGAATTGCTAACTAGATTAACCAGTTTAGAAAAGAACATAAATGACCAGATGGAGCTGAAACAGCATGAGAACTTTGTGAAGGATACACAGGTATCAATAGCCAAATCGATCAAGCAGAAGAAAGGATATCAGATATTGAAGGTCAACTTAATTAAATAAAGCAAGAAGACCAGATTAGAGAAAAAAGAATAAAAAGGAATGAACAAAGCCTCTAAGAAATATAAGACTATGTGAAAACACCAAATCTACATTTGATTGGTGTATCTGAAAGAGATGGGGAGGATAGAACCGAGTTGGAAAACATTCTTCAGGAGATTATCCAGGATAATTTCCCCAACTTACCAAGACAGGCCAACATTCAAATTTAGGAAATACAGAGAACACCACAAAGATAATCCTCGAGAAGAGCAACCCCAAGACACATAATTGTCAGATTCACCAAGGCTGGAATGAAGAAAAAAATGTTAAAGGCAGCCAGAGAGAAAAGTCAGGTTACGCACAAAGAGAAGCCCATGAGACTAACAGCAGATCTCCCTGCAGAAACCTACATGCCAGAAGAGAGTGGGGGCCAATATTCAACATTCTTAAAGAAAAGAATTTTCAACCCAGAATTTCATATCCAGCCATACTAAACTTTATAAGTGAAGGAGAAATAAAATCCTTTACAGATAAGCAAATGCGGAGAGATTTTGTCACCACCAGGCCTGCCTTACAAGAACTCCTGAAGAAAGCACTCAACGTGGAAAGGAACAACTGGTACTACCCACTGCAAAAGCATACCAAATTGTAAAGGCCATTGACACTATGAAGAAACTGCATCAAGTAACAGGCAAAATAACCAGCTAGCATCATAATGACAGGATCAAATTCACACATAACAATATTAACCTTAAATTTAAACAGGCTAAATGCCCCAAGAAAAAGACACAGACTGGAAAGTTAGATAAAGGGTCAAGACCCATCAGTGTGCTGTATTCAGGAGACCCATCTCACATGCAAAAACACACATAGGCTCAAAATAAAGGGTTGGAGGAAGATCTACCAAGGAAATGGAAAGCAAAAAAAGCAGGGGTTGCAATTCTAGTCTCCGATAAAACAAAATTTAAACCAACAAAGATCAAAAAAGACAAAGAAGGGAATGGTAAGGGATCAATGAAACATGAGCTAACTATCCTAAATATATATGCACCCAATACAGGAGCACTTAGATTCATAAAGCAAGTTCTTACAGACCTAGAAAGAGACTTAGACTCCTACACAATAGTGGGAGACTTTAACACTCCACTGTCAATATTAGACAGATCAACGAGACAGAAAATTGACAAGGATATTCAGGACTTGAACTCAGTTCTGGACGAAGTGCACCTAACAGAAATCTACAGAGCTCTCCACCCCAAATCAACAGACTATTCATTCTTCTCAGTACCACATCACACTTATTCTAAAATTGACCATATCATTGGAAGTAAAACACTCCTCAGCAAATGCAAAAGAATGGAAATCATAACAAAGCCTCTCAGACCACAGTGCAATCATATTAAAACTCAGAATTAAGAAACTCACTCAAAATCACACAACTACATGGAAACTGAACAACCTGCTCCTGAATGACTACTGGGTAAATAACAAAATTAAAGCAGAAACAAAGATATTCTTTGAAACCAATGAGAACAAAGACACAACATACCACAATGTCTCTGGGACACATTTAAAGCAGTGTTTAGAGGGAAATTTATACCACTAAATGCCCATAAGAGTAAGCAGAAAAGATCAAAAATCAGCACCCTTATATCGCAATTAAAAGAACTGGAGAAGCAAGAGCAAACAAATTCAAAACCCAGCAGAAGACAAGAAATAACTAAGATCAGAGGAGAATTGAAGGAGATAGAGACACGAAAAACCCTTTTAAAAATTATTGAATACAGGAGCTGGTTTTTTGAAAAGATCAACAAAATAGATATACCACTAGCCAGACTAATAAAGAAGAAAAGAGAGAAGAATCCTAATAGACACAATAAAAAATGATAAAGGGAATCTTACCACTGATCCCACAGAAATACAAATTACCATCAGAGAATACTGTAAACACCTCTACACAAATAAACTACAAAATCTAGAAGAAATGGATAAATTCCTGGACACATACACCCTCCGAAGTCTAAACCAGGAAGAAGTCGAATCCCTGAATAGACCAATAACAAATTCTGAAATTAAGGCAGTAATTAATAGTCTACCAACCAGAAAAAAGTCCAGGACCAGACAGACTCACAGCTGAATTCTACCAGAGGTATAAAGAGGAGCTGGTACCATTCCTTCTGAAATTATTCCAAACAATAGAAAAAGAGGGAATCCTCTCTAACTGATTTTATGAGGTCAGCATCATCCTGATAACAAAACCTGGCAGAGATGAAACAAAAAAAGAAAATTTCAGGCCAATATCCCTATGAACATTGGGGCAAAAATTCTCAATAAAATACTGGCAAACTGAATCCAGCCGCACATCAAAAAGCTTATCCACTCCATCAAGTCGACTTCATCCCTGGGATGCAAGCCTGGTTCAACATATACTAATCAATAAATGTAATCCATCACATAAACAGAACCAATGACAAAAATGACATAATTATCTCAATAGATGCAGAAAAGGCCTCCAGCAAAATTCAACAGCCCTTCATGTTAAAAACTCTCAATAAACTAGGTATTGATGGAATGTATCTCAAAATAATAGGAGCTATTTATGACAAACCCACAGCCAATATTATACTGTGGGCAAAAACTGGAAGCATTCCCTTTGAAAACCCGCACAAGACAAGGATGCCCTTGCTCACCACTCCTATTCAACATAGTATTAGAAGTTCTGGCCAGGGCAATCAGGCAAGGGAAAGAAATAAAAGGTATTTAAATAGGAAGAGAGGAAGTCAAATTGTCTCTGTTTGCAGATGACATGACTGCATACTTAGAAAACCCCATCATCTCAGCCCCAAATCTCCTTAAGCTGATAAGCAACTTCAGTGAAGTCTCAGGATACAAAATCAATGTGTAAAAATCACAAGCATTCCTATACACCAATAACAGACAAACAGCCAAATCATGAGTGAACTCCCATTCACAACTGCTACAAAGAGAATAAAATACATAGGCATATAACTTACAAGCAATATGAAGGACCTCTTCAAGCAGAACTACAAACCACTGCTCAAGGAAATAAGAGAGGACACAAATAAATGGAAAAACATTCCATGCTCATGGACAGGAAAAATCAGTACATGAAAACGGCCATACTCTTCAAAGTAATTTACAGATTCAATGATGTCCCCATTAAGCTAACATTGACTTTCTTCACAGAATTAGAAAAAACTACTTTAAACTTCATACAGAATGAAAAAAGAGCCCACATATCCAAGAAAATCCTACGAAAAAAGAACAATGGTGGAGGCATCATGCTACCTGACTTCAAACTATACTACAAGGCTGCAGTAACCGAAACAGCATGGTACTGGTACCAAAACAGATATATAGACTGATGGAACAGAACAGAGGCCTCAGAAATAACACCACACATCTACAACCATCTGATCTTTGATAAACCTGACAAAAACAAGCAATGGGGAAAGGATCCCCTATTTAATAAATAATGTTGGGAAAACTGGCTAGCCATATGCAGAAAACTGAAACTGGCCCCTTCCTTACACCTTATACAAAAATTAACTCAATATGGATTAAATACTTAAACATAAGACCTAAAACCATAAAAACCCTAGAAGAAAACTTAGGCAACACCATTCAGGACATAGGCATGAGCAAAGACTTCATGACTAAAACACCAAAGCAATGGCAACAAAAGCCAAAATTAACAAATGGAATCTAATTAAACTAAAGAGCTTCTGCACAGCAAAAGATACCATCAACAGAGTGAACAGGCAGCCTACAGAATGGGAGAAAATTTTTGCAATCTATCCATTTGACAAAGGGCTAATATCCAGAATCTACAAAGAACTTAATTAAATTTACAACAAAAAAAACCAAACCACATCAAAAAGTGGGCAAATGATATGAACAGGCACTTCTCAAAAGAAGACGTTTATACAGCTAACAAATATATGAAAAAAAGCTCATCATCACTGGCCATTAGAGAAATGCAAATCAAAACCACAATGAGATACCGTCTCACACCAGTTAGAATGGTGATCATTAAAAAGTCAGGAAACAACAGATGCTGGAGAGGATGTGGAGACAGGAAAGCTTTTACACTGTTGGTGGGACTGTAAATTAATTCAACCATTGTGGAAGACCGTGTGGCAATTCCTCAAAGATCTAGAACCAGGTATACCATTTGAACTAGCCATCCCATTATCAGGTATATACACAAAGTATTATAAATCATTTTACTATAAAGACACATACACACATGTTTACTGTGGCACTATTCACAATAGCAAAGACTTGGAACCAACCCAAATGCCCATCCATGATAGACTGGATAAAGAAAATGTGGCACATGGAATACTATGCAGCCATAAAAAGGATGAGTTCATGTCCTTTTCAGGGATGTGGATGGGGCTGGAAACCATCATTCTCAGCAAACTAACACAAGAACAGAAAACCAAACACTGTATGTTCTCACTCATGGGTGGGAGCTGAAGAGTGAGAACACGTGGACACAGGGAGGGAAACATCACACACCAGGGCCTTTCAGGGGGCAGGGGGCTAGGGGAAGGATAGCATTAGGAGAAATACCTAATGTAATGACAGTTTGATAGTTGCAGCAAGCCACAATAGCACATGTATACCTATGTAACAAACCTGCACATTCTGCCCATGTACCCCAGAACTTAAAGTATATATATAATTATATATATAATAATATATATAATTATTTTAATTATATATTATATATTTATTATATTATTTATTATATATATTAATTATATATAATATTAATTATATATAATATTAATTATATATATATATATATAAAGGCAGAGTGTGTCAGGCCAGATTGTGTGAGTCTAGGGACACATCAGCTAGCCCAGAAGGAAGTAACCACAGCAGGTGCCTAAATGAGGTAGGACAGGCTGGGAGCAGGTGCCAACGCCAGTGAGAACCCGGGCCCTGAGCCAGGCAGGAAAAAAACAAAAACAAAAAACAAAAGACAAGCAAACAAACCAACAAAAAGTAATACAGTTGGCTTGATTTTCACCAAACTTGAATTCAGTACAATGGGGCCCAGAGGTGGGCCTTGATGATAATGGCAATCTTCACAAAAGCTTTAGTAAGGATTTTGTGACTAACTGCACTAACCAGTTTAACTCTCTGTGTATGCTCCAGGTTAACAAGAGCAATGCACTAATTTATTGCTGGTTAGAATTCCAGTAAGTGCGGTAGGAAAAGCCAGTTAGTGTTTTCATATACCAGCAGCCACATAGATCCCTCACAGTGGGACAGACAAGTGGAAGAAGAGCTAATTAATTTTATTTTATTTATTAAATTAACCTTTAGTTTCAGGGTACATGCACAAGTGTGTTCTACAATAAATTGCGTGTCATGGGGGTTTGGCGTACATATTATTTCATCACTCAGGTAATTACATAGTATTCAATAGGTAGTTTTTCACTCTTCACCCTTCTCCCATCCTCTACCCTCAAGTAAGCCCTGGTGTCTATTGTTTCCTTCTTTGTGCATATGTGTACTCAATGTTTACCTCTGACTTATAAGTGAACATGTGGTGCTTGTTCTTCTGTTTCTGCATTAGTTTTCTTAGGAGAGTGGTCTCTAGCTCCATCCATGTTGCTGCAAAAAACATTATCTCATTCCTTTCTATGGATGCATAGTATTCCATAGTGTATATGTACCACATTTTCTTTCTCCATTTTACTGTTGATGGGCATTTAGGTTGATTTCATGTCTTTATTATGTCAGTAGTGCTGCAATAAACATATGTATGCATGTGTCTTCACAGTGGAACAATTAAGATTCCTTTGAGTATACACCCAATGATGGGACTCCTGAGTCTAATGTTAGGTCTGTTTTAAGTTTTTTGATAAATCACTAAACTGAGTTCTGTAGTGCTTGAATGAATTTACATTTCCACCAGCAATGTATAAGGATTCTCTTTTATCTGTAGACTTGCCAGTATCTGTTTTTTTTGTGACTTTTAATAATAGCCATTTTGCCTGGTGTGAGATGATGTCTCATTGTGGTTTTGATTTGCATTTCTCTAATGATTAGTGATGATAAACATTTTTTTCATATGCTTTTAGGTCACATGTATATCTTCTTTGAAAAGTGTCTGTTCATATACTTTGCCCCCTTTTTAATATTTTTTTTTGCTTAAGTTCCTTATAGATTCTGGATATTAGACTTTTGTCAGATGCATGGTTTGCAAATACTTTCTCTAATTCTGTGGATTGTCTGTTTAGTCTGTTGATAGTTTCTTTTGCTGTGCTGAAGCTCTTTAGCTTAATTAGGTTCCATTTGTCAACTTTTTTTTGTAGCAATTGCTTTTGGAGTTTTTGCAACAAAATCTTTGCCAGGGCCTATGTCTAGAATAATATTTCCTAGGCTTTCTTCAAGGATTTTTAAAGTTTTAGGTTTTACATTTAAGTCTTCAATTCATCTTGAGTTGATTTTTGTATATGGTATAAAGAATGGGTCCAGTTTCAATCTTGTGCATATGGCTAGCCAGTTATCCCAGCACCATTTGTTGAATAGGAAGTCCTTTCCCAATTGTTTGTTTTTTTTTGTCTACTTTTCAAAAATCACAAAGTTGTAGCTGTGTAGCTTTATTTCTGGCTCTCCATTCTGTTCCATTTGTCTATGTGTCTATTTTTGTGCCACTACCATGCCGTTTGGTTACTGTATCCTTGTAGTATAAAGTCAGGTAATGTAATGCCTCTAGCTTTGTTCTTTTTGCTTAGGATTGTTTTGGTTGTTTGGGCTCTTTTATTGGTTTCATATGAAATTTTAGAATAGTGTTTTTCTAATTCTGTGAAGAATGTCATTGGTAGTTTGATAGAAATAGCATTGGGTCTGTACGTTGCTTTGGGCAGCATGGCCATTTTAATGATGTCAATTATTCCTATCCATGAACATGAAATGTTTTTCCAATTGTGTCATCTCTGCTTTCTTTCAGCAGTGTTTTGTAATTCTTGTTGTGGAGGTCTTTCACTTGCCTGGTTGTATTTCTAGGTATTTTATTTTTTGTGTGTGGCTATTTTGGATTTTATTGTATTCTTTATTTGGCACTCTGCTTGGGTGCTATTGGTATATAGAAATGCTACTGATTTTCATGCACTGATGTTGTATACAGAAACTTTGCTGAAGTTATCAGATCTAAGAGTATTTGGGCTGAGATTATGGGTTTTTCTAGGTACAAAATCACATCATCTGCAAACAAATAATTTGACTTCCTCTCTTCCTATTTGGATTCCTTTTATTTCTTTCTCTTTCCTGATTGCCTTGACTAGGACTTCCAGTACTATGTTAAATAGGAATGGTGAGAGTGGCCATTCTTATCTTGTGCCAGTTTTCAAGAGGAATCCTTCCAGCTTTTGTCTATTAAGTATGATGTTGGTTATGGGTTTGTCATAGATGGCTCTTATTATTTTGAGGTATGTTCCTTCAATTCCCGGTTTGTTGAGGGTTTTTAGCATGAAGGGATGCTGAATTTTATTGAAAGCTTTGTCTGCATCTATTGAGATAATCATGTGCTTTTTGTTTTTAGTTTTGTTTATATGATGAATCACATTTATTGATTTACATACGTTGAACCAACATTGCATCCCAGAAATAAAGCCTGCTTGATTGTGGTGGATTAACTTTTTGATGTGCTATTGTATATTTGCTAGTATTTTGTTGAGGATTGTTGTATCTATATTCATCAAGGATATTGGCCTAAAGTTTTCTTTTTTTGTTTTTGCTGTGTGTATCTTTACCCAGTTTTGGTATCAGAATGATGTTGGCCTCATAAAATCAAAGAGCAAGGAATCCCTCCTCCTTCATTTTTTGGAATAGTTTCAGTAGGAATTGTACCAGCTCTTCTTTATATGCCTCGTAAAATTTGACTGTGAATCTGTCTGCTCCTGGGCTTTTTTCTGGTTGGCAGGCTTTTCATTACTGATTCAATTTCAGAACTCATTACTGGTATGTTTGGGGTATAAATTTCTTCCTGTTTCAGTCTTGGGAGGTTGTATGTTTCCAGAAATTTGTCCATTTTTTGTAGGTTTTCTAGTTTGTGTGCATAGAGGTGTTCATCATAGTCTCTGAGGGTTTTTTATATTTATGTGCATTGGTAGTAATGTACCCTTTTTCATTTCTGATGTTTACCTGGATCTTCTTTTTTTTTAATTAGTCTAGCTAGTGGTATCTTATTCTTTTAAAAAAAATTCTGGTTTTATTCATCTTTTTTATGTTTTTTTTCATGTCTTAATTTCATTCATTTTGGCTTTGATTTTGGTTATTCTTTTTTTTTTTTTTTTTTTTTTTTTTTGAGATGGAGTCTCGCTCTATTGCCCAGGCTGGAGTGCAGTGGCACAATCTCAGCTCACTGCAAGCTCCGCCTCCTGGGTTCATGCCATTCTCCTGCCTCAGCCTCCTGAGTAGCTGGGACTACAGGTGCCCACCACCACGCCTGGCTAATTTTTTTGTATTTTTAGTATAGACAGGGTTTCACCATGTTAGCCAGGATGGTCTTGGTCTCCTGACCTCATGATCTGCCCGCCTCAGCCTCCCAAAGTGCTGGGATTACCGGAGTGAGCCACCATGCCCAGCCGGTTATTTCTTCTCTTATTCTAGCTTTGGGGTTGATTTTCTCTTGTTTTATCCTAGTTCCTCAAGGTGTGATGGTAGGCTGTTAATTTGAGATCTAAATTTTTGATATGAGCACTTACGACTATAAACTTTTCTCTCAATATGGTTTTAGCTGTGTCCCAGACATTCTGGTATGTTGTATCTTTGTTCACATTAGTTCTATTTTTTTTTTAAATTTCTACCTTAATTTCATTATTTACCCAAAAGCCATTCAGGAGCAGGTTGTTTAATTTCCTTGCAGTTGTATGGTTTTGAGTGATCTTCTTGTCATTGATTTCTGATTTTATTGCACTGTGGTCTGAGAGTGTGATTGGTATGATTTTTTTCAATTTGCTGAGAATTATTTTATGCCTGATTGTATAGTCAATTTTAGAGTATGTGCCATGTGCAGATGAGAAGGATGTATATTCTATTGTTTATGGGTAGAGAGTTCTGTAGATGTCTGTTAGATCTATTTGGGCAAATGTAGAGTTTAGATGTCAAATATCTTTGTTTTCTGCCTCGATGATCTAATATTGTCAGTGGGGTGTTGGAAATCTCCCATTATTATCATAAAGTTATCTAAGTCTCTTCATAGGTCTCTAAGAACTTGTTTTATGAACGTGGGTGCTTCTGTGTTTGGTGCATATATATTTAGCATAGTTAGGTTATCTTGCTGAACTGAACCCTTTACCGCTATATAATACTCTTGTCTTATTTGAGCGTTTTGGTTTAAAGTCTGTCTTGTCTGAAATTAGAATAGCAACCTGTTCCCATGTTTTTTTTTTTTTTTTCCTTCTGTTTGCTTTGTAGATTTTTCTTTGGTATTATTGCATGTGAGATGGGTCTCTTGAAGACAGCATACAGTTGGGTCTTGCTTCTTTATCCAACCTGGCACTGTGTGCCTTTTAATTGGGGGCATTTAGTCTGTTTGCATTCAAGGTTAACATTGATATGTACAGATTTGATCCTATCATCATGTTGTTAGCTGGTTATTATGCAGACTTGGTTGTGTAGTTGCTTTATGGTGTCAATGGTCTATACATTTAAGTGTGTTTTTGTAGTGGCTGCTAAGGTTTTTCCTTTCCATAATTAGCACTCCTTTAAGGACCTCTTGTAAGGCAGGTCTGTTGGTAATGAATTCCCTTAAGCATTTGCTTATCTGAAAAGAATCTTATTTCTCTTTTGCTTATGAAACTTAGTTTGGCTGGATATGAGATTATTGGGGTTTCTTTTCTTTAAGAATGCTGAGTATAGACCTCCAATCTCTTCTGGTTTGTAGGATTTCTGCTGAAAGGTCCAGTGTTAGCCTGATGGGGTTCCCTTTGTAGGTGATCTGTCCCTTCTCTACAACTGCCTTTAATATTTTTTTCTTTCATATTGACCTTGGAGAATCTGATGAATGTGTGTCTTGGGCATGGTCATCTTGTATGGTATCTCACTGGGGTTCTCTGCATTTCCTAAATTTGAATGTTGACCCCGCTAGCGAGGTTGGGGAAATTTTTGTGGATGATAACCTCAAATATGTTTTCCAAATTGCTTGTTTTCTCTCCTCTTTCAGGGATGCTAATGAGTCATAGATATGGTCTCTTTACATAATCCCATGTTTCTCAGAGGTTTTGTTCATTCTGTTTTACTGATTTTCTTTATTTTTGTCTGAGTTAGTGCAGAGCACCAGTTTTTGAGCTCTGAGTTTCTTTCCTCAGAATCTTTTGTGCTCAGAGTCTATTCTGCTGTTAATTCTTGTGATTGTATTATGAAATTCTTGTAGTATGCTTTTCAGCTCTATCAGTTTGGTTCCTTCTTAAAATGGCCATTTGGTATTTCAGTCCCTGTACTGTTTATTGCAATGCTTAGATTCTTTGGATTGGGTTTTCACTTTCTCTTGAATCTCAATGATCTTTGTTCCTATTTGTATTCTGAATTCTATGTCATTTCAGCCTGGTTAAGAACCATTCCTGGGGAACTAGTAGGGCTGGAGGAAAGACGACACTCTTGCTTTTTGAGTTGCCAGAGTTCTTGCACTAGTTCTTTCTCATTTGTATGGGCTGATGTTCCTTTAACTGTCGTGTCATTTGAGTAAAGTCAGTTGGGCTCATTTCTGGATGTTTTCAGGGAGCCAAGGCTTGGTGCAGGGTCTTTATTTGTAGCTGAATTCTTGTCCTTGGTTTCAAGGGGTTGTATATTAGCAAAGTATTTTTGGCATTTAAGTTTGGGCTGTGATCCAGTATGTGGCACTTAAGTGTAATCACTGGTAGATAGGCTCTTGCTCAGCTGTGATTCTTTTCTATTTCCTAGAATTTGCAATTGTGCTCCTTCTCAGTGCTCTGAGACTGTGGGCTCCTCTCCCACTTCAGTGCTGGTTGCACTCTTGGACTGCACACTGCATCCCTGGGGTGAGCTCAGGCTTGTTACCTCCACAGAGGCAGGGACCTTAGCAGTGGCAATGGCAGAAGGCCTTTCACTTGTCTCTTGGAACTCCACCCCAGAGAAATGCTGAGCCGCTACCAAATGGAGTGACCAGCATAGGGTGGGGGCTGCTGTGTTGTGGACCCAGGCTGGAGGGCCCTGCCTGTTGATGAGCAGGGGGATTGTAGGGGGTTTGCAGGGAAGACAGACTGGTCTCTTCTCCTTGGGGTGGCTGCAGTGTGCTAGAGGTATGAATAAAGCACTCAGGGTCTTTGTTCCTTCCCCAGTCTAAGGGCAGCAAGGACAGAACCACTACAATGGCAGAGGGGCTGTCAGTTGCCTCTGGGAGCTCCATCCTAGGGAAACACAGAGCCACTACCAGTGGCTATGGTCAGTGGGAGGTGGGACAGCTGCCTGCAGTCCCCAGCCAGGGGCCCTATCTGGTGAAGGGTAGGGGGTGGGCACTCACAGGAAAATGAGACTGGATTCCTCTCTATATGGTGGCTGCAGTGTGCTGGAGGTGCCAGAAATGCAACCAGGCCCTTGTTCCTTCCCTAGCGGAAAGGCAGTAACAGTGGTACCACTGCAGCTGCACTGGGAGAGGTACTGTGGGTTGTCTCTGAGATATCCTTCCTAGGGAAATGCAGAGCTGCCTCTGGACTCAAGTGTTCAGGCAAGGGCAGAGTGGTTGTGCTGGGGGCCCAAGTCAAGAGGCCCTGCCCTGTGAGGAGTAACAGGGGCAGGTAACTGTGGAAAAGTCTGGCTGCTTTTCTGTAAGGCAGCTAGCTGCACTGTGCTGGGGGCCTGTGTTAGTCCTTAATCACATTTCTCCCTCCTGAATCTGAGGGCAGCAGGGGCAGAAGCCGCAGGGCAGCAAAATGGTGGGCCTGCCTGCTACCACTGGGAGCTCCGTCTCAGGGAAGTGCAGAACTGCTACCAGCTAGAGAGCTCAAGTAGGGCTGGGGTGGCCATGCTAGGGTCCCAGGCCAGCTGGCCTCCTACTGAAATGCAGGGGAGGTGAAGACTGCAGTCCGTCCACTCCTCAGCCCTGTCATTTCAGCCCTTATCCTGGGATGTGTGAGGGAGTCTGGCCTCCCCTGTTGCTGCAGCTGCAGTCGCTGGTGCCTAGGGGTCCAAGGCCCCTGGGATTTCACATGTACCTGAGTGGTGGTTGTGCCCAGACTCCACATAGCTCTCCATGGCAGTCTGGAGGTCCTGGTTGGAGGGGAGTTCACACAAGATCTCCTGAGCTCAGGGTTGCAAAGGTCCATGGCAGAACTGTAGGTCCCTGGGGGCTCTCATTCATTCATCATTTCCCCATGCTGGGGAGCCTCCACTGGCTCCACGCCAATCCCTGGTGGGCAGCTGTCCTGTCTTGCTTGTCTCTGATCTCCATGGGTTGTATTGCTTTCTTGATGAATCCCATTATGTTCATCTGGATAATCTAGTTCAAGAGCTAGTGTTTACTCACCACTCCTTCTCCTCTCCATGAAAGCAGCACACACTAGCTGCTTCTAGGCAGCCATCTTGGCCAGGAAATCCACTCTATATTTTTTTTCTTAATTTTAGCTGTGCTTTTCCTATGAAAATTTTGTAATACATTCTACAGATAGAATAGGAAGATAATCCAGTGTTTCTTCTAGTATGACTGCTCAAAATTTATTAGTGGTAATTGTGATTCATAAAGCATGATTTCAAACACATGTTCTCACACTTTGTATTACTGATACTGAGTTATATTCTATCAACACATGCATTCCATTAAACATTATTGTTGTCTGCTAATCCACTCTCACCCAAAAGTAATGTGTTTATAAATGTATGTGATGTATTTTTGAATATATTACTGAGAGGACACCTTCTGACTAGCCATTGTTTAGTACAGAATCCTCTGCTTACAATTATATATGGCTCAAAATTGGGGGAATTTTCCACAGAATAGCTTTTTGGCTTAGTATGTTTAAATTCTTTTGTTTCTTCCTCTAAACAGGCCCTTCTGAGATGAGGCACAGAACAACAGATTCAGACCATGCTATCACCTCTGGATATGAAATTTGATGTCACAAACTTGGGTGAGTCAGCACTGGGGTGGCTGGCAATACAACTCAACCTCCACTTACCTGGATCCCAAAAGTACCTTCAGCCAACTCCAGTGCCTCTGACGCTGGATTAAGTATGAAGAGTGAAAGTCAGAGTGGAGATAGTAGTCTTATCACACTCAAAATATTTTTGCAACTTTTCTAAAATCTATTACTATGTGAACAGAACAGTGCCCTCCACAATGTTGGAAGTGGTTTCTGCAAATGGAGGGCCCTGAACCTATATATCATTTGCTTCACAACAAACACCCCTGAGGAGGGAAGGGATCAGGGAAGCAAGTCAAGACCATTTAGGAATCTCCTGAAATAACCTAAGAAGTGATGCTAGGTTCCTAAAGGAATGTCAGTGACAATGGCAAAGGTATATCAATTAAAATTTCTTCAGGGAGCTCCAACTTTCAGGACTGGATGTATTTTATGAAGTTAGTAGAGACAGGAGTCACAGATGACTTCCATTTTGTCCCTGAGGGTAACTGGGTGAATGGGGAAGGAGCTGATTGACTGTGGGGGAGAGCTTTCACTTTCTTTTGAATATTTCAAGTTAAAAGTAGCAGTGGGGATTCTAGGAAATTTTCTCTGAATCTCTGAATCAATCTTGAGTTTAGATGTTATGTGTGATGCAGGCAATAGAAATTTGGGAAATTCCAGGCAGTTCTTGAAGTTACAGGTAAAGAGTATGTAAGTGATAAAATATTTCTGTTGATATCATTATTTGTTAATAACTTAAAATATTACTAAAATAGCAATTCTATTTAAGAGTATTGAGTTTTACAAACTGATATGTATTTGAGTTGAAAAAAAGTGACTTCACTGTCTCCTTTTAAATTTCATAAATATGACCATTTCACCTTACATCTCAAGTTCAATTTTTTTAAGTAGACTCTTACCTAAAAATAAGTGGTAAATAATTTTTATGTTAATTTCTCCCCTCATTATTCGTTACTCAATTTTGATTTTTTTCTATATTGCATTTTCACAGCTTTAGCACAGTGTAGAGCTTCAATAAATATTTGACAAACAGGGGAGCAAGTTAGGAGATCTTAGTCTAAGTTGTGGTACTTCATCTCTCTAGTAAACCTCAGTTTCCGCCTCTGCTATATGGGTTTGACATTGGTCATGATAGTAACACCTCCCTTATGTGGCTGATGTGATACATAAGATGGTACAAAAAAAAAAAAAAGCATGGGCTACATAAATATTAGTGATTGTTCTATAATACTAAACTTGCTTACATTACAAGGAGTCACTCATATGATTCAACATTATTAACCAATGGGGAAATCTTCAATGAAGATCTAATTATCGTTATTGCTATCAAACATCTATATCAGTGATAGTTATCAGAGTGTAGGCTTCAGATGCCAGATCATTCCTCACAGCCTCTTATGTTACACTTTTTAATCAGAAATGAGAACTATTAAAAATATTTAGAGGATTTATCAGGATTGAGATAAGTGTTGCTTAGCTGCTCTCATGCATAGTTTGTCTCCCCCCGCTCACATTACGTGTCATATAACAACAACTGCATGGTTTTCTAATGATTTAGCAGCAACTGTATAAGAAGCATAAAGAAGAGGGTTTTTACACCCTGTTATCAATGGCTCATAAATCAAATGAACTGGAGTTATCCTTAAATCATGCCCCTGTAGCAGTTTTGCTCTAAATTTTAAAAATTGAAAGTTTTAAAATTATACAATTTTTTTTAGGAAAAAAAAAATGTTTCCAGAAAACTTTTCTTAATTTCTTCACTGATACTTTGGATGTAATAAAAAACTTGTAAGAGAGCAGACCAAAACATGAGTAGGAGCTTTCCTGTTATCTTGGAGACTCAAGTCCATGGAAGAAAAGTCTAGAGAACCTTCAATTATCAGGACAGCCACCTCCTCAAAAAGTTTGCGGAGAGGTGCCTTTTCAGCAGAATTGGTGCTAATCACTCACAGCACCCCAACCCCATTAATGTAAGAGGGGGACTGGGAAGCAGATGATGTGCCCTCTGGAGAGGGGGTGTTGATGGAGGAAAGCTATCACCTCCCCTCACTTCCCAGGTGGTAAGTGAAGAATGAGCTTTATGGGTATCACCTAGAAAGTTGTTACAATTATAGACTCTTAACTGCTGCGCCAGACATATTTAATTCATGTTTGCATTTTAGCAAGTTCCCCTAGGTGATTTGTAAGCACAGTACGGTTTGAGACGCACAACTCTAACAGTCCATCTCTGCTAAGCAATATCTTTTAGGATCTCAACTACATGCTATGGGAACTCGATTAATTATCTAGAAAAGGAATTGACTTTCCACGTGAGCTCCACGGTCCTTTCTCTCCTTGGCCCATGAGAAAACCTTTCTTTCTACCACTGTTTCCTTCACTGGAACATTATTCTAGGCTCACAGTTTTTTCTGATCCTTGAAACTTCCAAGACTTTTCTAGCCTTGAGATGTTGCTTTTTTTGTGTGTGCTTCCCTTTCTTGCCATGCTCCTGTTTCCGGTCTTTGTTATTTAGATCTTTGTTGAGTTCCTGAGACCTTCTCTCACCCCATCTAAATTGGTTTCTGATCCTCAATCCTTAGGTACTTCCTAACATATTATGTCCTTATTTTTTTCTGTTTTCTTTCACTATCTGAAATTAGCTTGTCTATTTTTCACCCTTCCTCACTGGTAAGGTCCTTGAGGATAAGGATACTTTCTGTCCCTTGGAATAGAGGTTCAATGATATGGTAGACAGCAAATTTGTCTCCTGAACATTTGTATCTTCTTATTCCTGTAGTTACTTATTTACTTCTTTAATACTTTCTTGAGAACGCAAGGAAAAGTTTCAAAATATATGTGTATACACACACAGTCTCTTGAATTAAAAGTGTAAGAAGCATGGAACCTCAGTGTAATATACTCAATGAAAATTATTTCAGAAAAGAAATAGTTCTTATTTTTTCCAAGAAAAAAAGGACATGTCTTCAATGGAATAATATTCATAGAAATGAACTACTATGTAAACTTTCTGGAAATTTATAATAGGCCTCCATCCACAACAAAGATGTTGTAAAATTTAAACTAAAATAACTTCATACAACCCATTTTGTAATTAAAATAATCCTTTGAAATCTTGTATAAAGAGAAAGTTAATCTTCAGTGCATTGTATGGAAAGCTACTAGGAATCATACAGCTAAATTACCATACAGTACATTAGAGGTATGTTCCTTCATATTCCTTTGGTCACTTTTCCTCCAGAAAACACTTTTAAAAAATTAAATTATATAATTGTCATTGAAATGTAGGACTCTCTGGCTCCTGGTTAATCAGGTACTGTCAGTTTTATATTATCCTTTAAAATGATGAAGATATTTGGATAGCTAGAGAATAAATGTAGATATGATGAATTTCAGATTTTATATATACATATACACACATATATACACACATATTCATATATACACCTATGTAGAAATACACACATATATACACATACACACACACACACACACACACACACACACACACACACACACATTTTAATTTGTAGAGATGTGATCTTGCTGTGTTTCCTAGGATGGTCTCAAACTCCTGGCTTCAAAGGACCTACCTGCTTCAGATTCCCAAAGTGTTGGGATTAGAGGCGTAAGTTACCATACCCGGCCAAGATTTAATTTTAAAACATGTTAAACATCAGATAAAAGACCACTTATCCAGAAGAAATTTGGGTGAATTTTACACTGTTTATAACATAAGTAATATAATTTAAATTTTCCTATTGTCAAAATAATCAATTGAAGGTAAAAAAAATTACAGTTGAGAATTATCACTATCATATTCATACACCTTATTTTTTTGCTTACAATTTCTTAGCACTCTACAGTCTACAATAAAATCAGGAAGTAGAATGTTTTTAATTATGATTTTGAAAGGAGTTTTTTGCAAAAAATTATTATAAATCAGTGTTGGTGTCATATTTTCAAAATTCATGCCACATTTACAATGGTTTATTTTATTTGAAAGTAACTACATAATTACCTTGATCCAGATTATTTCAATAGATTTTGAGTGCTGTTTTAATAATTTACATTTTTTAAAAAATAATTTGTTTTATGAAATTTCACATTTGAGAACCATGACCGTTAGATTCTTATTCTATTTCTTCTGTAATGGACCTTTAAAATTTTAGCATCTTCTAAATCATTAGTTTTGTTATCCATATATTGAGAAAAAACTCATAAGACTCAAGCTGTGAAGACGTCCAAATAGGAACAGCTCTGGTCTGCAGCTCCCAGCAAGATCAATGCAGAAGGCAGGTGATTCCTGCATTTCCAACTGAGGTACCCGGTTCATCTCACTGGGACTGGCTAGACAGTGGGTGCAGCCCATGGAGGGTGAGCTGAAGCAGGGCGGTTGCATCACCTCACCCGGGAAGTGCAAGGGGTTGGGAAACTCCCTCCCCTAGCCGAGGGAAGCCATGAGGGACTGTGCCATGAGGAATGGTGCACCCAGGCCCAGATACTATGCTTTTCCCAAGGTCTTCACAACCCACAGACCAGGAGATTCCCTAGGATGCCTACACCACCAGGGCCCTGGGTTTCAAGCACAAAACTGGGCAGCCGTTTAGGCAAACACTGAGCTAGCTGCAGGAGTTTGTTTGTTTGTTTGTTTTTTTTTTATCATATCCCAGTAGTGCCTGGAATGCCAGCGAGACAGAACCGTTCACTCCCCTGGAAAGGGGGCTAAAGCCAGGGAGCCAAGTGGTCTAGCTCAGCAGATCCCATGTCCACAGAGCCCAGCAAGCTAATATCCACTGGCTTGAAATTCTTGCTACCAGCACAGCAGTCTGAAGTTGACCTGGGACGCTGGAGCTTGGTTAGGAGAGGGGCGTCTGCCATTACTGAGGCTTGAGTAGGCGGTTTTACCCTCACAGTGAAAACAAAGCCACTCAACTGGGCAGAGCCCTCCACAACTTAGCAAAGCCACTGTAGCCACTGTAGCCTCTCTAGATTCCTCCTCGCTGGGCAGGGAATCTCTGAAAAGAAAAGGCACCAGCACCAGTCAGGGACTTATAGATAAAACTCAGGAAAGCTCCAGGTGGCATCTGGTGGGTGCCCCTCTGGGACAAAACTTCCAGAGGAAGGAACAGGCAGCAATCTTTGCTGTTCTGCAGCCTCCCCTGGTGACACCCAGGCAAACAGGGTCTGGAGTGGACCTCCAGCAAACTCCAGCAGACCTGCAGCAGAGGGACCTACTAGAAGGAGAGCTAACAAACAGAAAGCCATAGCATGAACATCAACAAAAAGGACGTCCACACAGAACCCCATCTGAAGGTCACCAACATCAAAGACCAAAGGTAGATAAATTCACAAAGATGGGGAGAAACCAGCACAAAAAGGCTGAAAATTCCAAAAACCAGAATGCCTCTTTCTCTTCCAAAGAGTCACAACTCCTCGCCAGCAAGGGAACAAAACTAGACAGAGAATGAGTTAGACGAATTGAAAGAAGTAGGCTTCGGATGGTGGGTAATAACAAACTCCGCTGAGCTAAAGGAGCATGTTCTAACCTAGTGCAAGGAAGCTAAGAACATTGAAAAAAGGTTAGACGAATTGCTAACTAGAATAACAAGTTTAGAGAAGAACATAAATGACCTGATGGAGCTGAAAAACACAGCATGAGAACTATCGTGAAGGATACAGAAGTATCAATAGCCGAATTGATCAAGCAGAAGAAAGGATATCAGAGATTGAAGATCAACTTAATGAAATAAGGTGTGAAGACAAGATTAGAGAAAAAAGAATGAAAAAGAATGAACAAAAACTCCAAGAAATATAGGACTATGTGGAAAGACCAAACCTACATTTTATTGGTGTACCTGAAAGTGACAGGGAGAATGAAACCAAGTTGGAAAACACTCTTCAGGATATTATCCAGGAGAACTTCCCCAACATAGCAAGACAGGGAACATTCAAATTCAGGAAATACAGAAAACACCACAAAGATACTCCGCGAGAAGGGCAACCCAAAGACACATAATTGTCAGATTCGCCAGGGTTGAAATGAAGGAAAAAATGTTAAGGGCAGCCAGAGAGAAAGGTTGGGTTATGCACAAAGGGAAGCCCATCAGACTAACAGCAGAACCCTCTGCAGAAACCCTACAAGCCAGAAGAGAGTGGGGGCCAATACTGTATATTCTTAAAGAATTTTCAACCCAGAGTTTCATATCCAGCCAAACTAAGCTTCAAAAGTGAAGGAGAAATAAAATCCTTTACAGATAAGCAAATGCTGAGAGATTTGCTCACCACCAGACCTGCCTTACAAGAGCTCCTGAAGGAAGCACTAAACATGGAAAGGAACAACTGGTACCAGCCACTGCAGAAACATACCAAACTGTGAAGAACATTGACACTATAAAGAAACTGCATCAACTAATGGACAAAATAACCAGCTAGCATCATAATGTCGGATGAAATTCACACGTAACAATATTAACCTTAAATGTAAACAGGTTAAATGCCCCCAATTAAAAGACACAGATGGGCAAATTGGATAGTCAAGACCCGTTGGTGTGTTGTACTCAGAAGACCCATCTCACGTGCAAAGACACACATAGACTCAAAACAAAGGGATGCAGGAATATTTACCAAGCACATGGAAAGCAAAAAAAGCAGGAGTTGCAATCCTAGTCTCTGCTAAAACAGAATTTAAAACAACAAAGATCAAAAAAGAGAAAGGGCATTACATAATGGTAAAGGGATCAATGCAACAAGAAGAGCTAACTATCCTAAATATGTATGCACCCAATACAGGAGCACTGAAATTCATAATGCAAGTTATTAGAGACCTACAAAGAGACTTAGACTTCCACACAATAATAGTGGCAGACTTTAACACCCAACTGTCAATATTAGATCAATGAGACAGAAAATCAATAAGAATATTCAGGAATTGAACTCAGCTCTGGACCAAGCGGTCCTGATAGACATCTACGGGATTCTCCACCCCAAATCAACAGAATATACATTCTTCTCAGAATCACATCACACTCATTCTAAAATTGACCACATCATTGGAAGTAAAACACTCCTGAGCAAATGCAAAAGAGCAGTAATCATAACAAATAGTCTCTCAGACCACAGTGCAATCAAATTAGAACTCAGAATCAAGAAACTCACCCCAAACTGCACAACTATATGGAAACTGAACAAGCTGCACCTGCTCCGTTATTTACTGGGTAAATAACGAAAATAAGGCAGAAATAAATAAGTTCTTTGAAACCGATGAGAACAAAGACACAACATACTAGAATCTCTGGGGCACAGCTAAAGCAGTGTTAGGAGGAAATTTATGTCACTAAATGCCCACAAGAGAAAGCAGAAAAGATCTAAAATCAACACCCTAACATCACAATTAAAAGAACTAGAGAAGCAAGAGCAAACAAATTCAAAAGCTAGGAGAAGACAAGAAATAACTAAGATCAGAGCAGAACTGAAGGAGATAGAGATATGAAAAACCCTTCTAAAAATCAATGAATCCAGGAGCGGTTTTTCTTTTTAAAGATCAACAAAATACATAGGCCACTAGCCAGACTAATAAAGAAGAAAAGAGAGAAGAATCAAATAGATGCAATCAAAAATGATAAAGGGGATATCACCACTGACCTCACAGAAATGCAAATTACCATCAGAGAATACTATAAACACCTCTATGCAAATAAACTAGAAAATCTAGAAGAAATTGATAAATTCTTGGAAACATACACCCTCTCAAGTCTAAACCAGGAAGACAAGTTCTGAAATTGAGGCAGTAATAGCCTACCAGCAAAAAAAGTCCAGGACCAGACATATTCACAGCCGAATTCTACCAGAAGTACAAAGAGGAGTTGGTACCATTCCTTCTGAAACTATTCCAAACAATAGAAAAAGAGGGAATCCTCCCTAACTCATTTTATGAGGCCAGCATCATCCTGATAACAAAACCTGGCAGAGACACAACAAAAAAAGAAAATTTCAGGCCAATATCCCTGATGAACAATTGATGCAATAATATTCAATAAAATACTGGCAAATTGAATCCAGCAGCACATCAAAAAGCTTATCTACTACAATCAAGATGGCTTCATCCCTGGGATGCAAGGCTGGTTCAATATATGCAAATCAGTAAATGTAATCCATCACATAAACAGAACCAATGACAAAAACCAGATGCTTATCTCAATAGATGCAGAAAAGGCTCTTGACAAAATTCAACAGTGCTTTATGCTAAAAACTCTCAATAAACTAGATATTGATGGAATGTATCTCAAAATAATAAGAGCTATTTATGACAAACCCACAGCCAATATCATACTGAATGGGCAAAAACTGGAGGCATTACCTTTGAAAACCTGCACAAGACAAGGATGCCCTCTCCTCACCACTCCTATTCAACACAGTATTGGAAGTTCTGGCCAGGGCAATCAGGCAAGAGAAAGAAATAAAAGGTATTCACATAGGAAGAGAGGAAGTCAAATTGTCTCTGTTTGCAGGTGACATGATTGTATATTTAGAAAACCCATTATCTCAACCCAAAATCTCCTTAAGCTGATGAGCAACTTCAGCATTCTCAGGATACAAAATCAATGTGCAAAAATCACAAGCATTCCTATACGCCAATAACAGACAAACAGCCAAATCATGAGTGAACTCCCATTCACAATTGCTACAAAGAGAATATAATACTAGGAACACAATTTACAAGTGATGTGAAGGACCTCTTCAAGGAGAACTACAAACCACTGCTCAAGGAAATAAGACAGGACAGAAATAAATGGAAAAACATTCCATGCTCATGGACAGGAAGAATCAGTACGTGAAAATGGCCATACTGCCCAAACTAATTTACAGATTCAATGCTATCCCCATCAAGCTACCATTGACTTTCTTCACAGAATTAGAAAAAACTACTTTAAATTTCATATGGAACCAAAAAAGAGCCCACACAGCCAAGAAAATCCTAAGCAAAAAGTACAAAGCTGGAGGCATCACACTGACTTCAAACTATACTACAAGGCTACAGTAACCAAAACGGTATGGTACTGGTACCAAAACAGATATATAGACCAATGGAACAGAACAGAGGTCTCAGAAATAGCACCACACACCTACAACCATCTGATCTTTGACAAACCTGACAAAAACAAGCAATAGGGAAAGGATCCCCTATTTAATAAATGGTGTTGGGAAAACTGGCTAGCCATATGCAGAAAACTGAAACTAGACCCTTCCTTACACCTTATACAAAAATTAACTTGATATGGATTAAAGACTTAAACATAAGACATAAAACCATAGAAACTCTAGAAGAAATCCTGGCAATACCATTCAGGACATAGGCATGAGCAAAGGCTTCATGACTAAAACACCAAAAGCAATGGCAACAAAAGCCAAAATTGACAAATGGGATCTCATTAAACTAAAGAGCTTCTGCACAGCAAAAGATACTATCATCAGAGTGAACAGAATGGGAGAAAATTTTTGCAATCTATCCATCCGAGAAGGGGCTAATATCCAGAATCTACAAAGAACTTAAACAAATTTACAAGAGAAAAACAACCCATCAAAAAGTGGGCAAAGGATATGAACGGGCACTTCTCAAAAGAATACATTTATGGGCCAGGTGCGGTGGCTAACGCCTATAATCCCAGCACTTTGGGAGGCTGAGGTGGGTGGATCATGAGGTCAGGAGTTCCAGACCGGCGTGGCCTATATGATGAAACCTCGTCTCTACTAAAAATACCAAAATTAGCTGGGCATGGTGGTGTGTGCTGTAGTCCCAGCTGCTCAGGAGGCTGAGGCAGGGGAATTGCTTGAACTCAGGAGGCAGAGGTTGCAGTGAGCCAAGATTGTGCCACTGCACTCCAGCCTGTGTGACAGAGCAAGACTTGGTCTCCAAAAAAAAAAAAAAAAAAAAAAACACACACACATTTATGCAGCCAACAAACATGAAAAACAGGTCATCATCACTGGTCATTAGATAAATGCAAATCAAAACCACAATGAGATACCATCTCATGCCAGTTAGAATGGTGATCATTAAAAAGTCAGGAAACAACAGATGATGGAGAGGATGTGGAAAAATAGGAACACTTTTACACTGTTGGTGGGAGTGTAAATTAGTTCAACCATTGTGGAAGTCAGTGTGGTGATTCCTCAGAGATCTAGAATTAGAAATACCATTTGACCCAGCAATCCCATTACTGGGTATATAGCCAAAGGATTATAAATCATTCTGCTATAAAGACACATGCACACGTATGTTTATTGCGGCACTATTCACAATAGCAAAGACTTGGAACCAACCCAAATGCCATTAATGACAGACTGGATAAAGAAAATATGGCACATATACACCATGGAATACTATGCAGCCATAAAAAAGGACGAGTTCATGTCCTTTGCAGGGACATGGATGAATCTGGGAACCATCATTCTCAGCAAACTAAAACAAGAACAGAAAACCTAACACTGCATGTTCTCACTCATAAGTGCGAGTTGAACAATGAGAACACATGGACACAGGGAGGGGAACATCACACACTGGGGCCTGTGGTGGGCGGGTGAGGGGCTAGGGGAGAGATAGCATTAAGAGACATACCTAATGTAGATGACGAGTTGATGGGTGCAGCAAACCACCATACACGTGTATACCGATGTAACAAACCTGTATGTTCTGCACATGTACCCCAGAACTTAAAGTATAATAATAATAATAATAAAGAATCCAGTCATTGTTTTAAAGAATTAGTGTCATGGGAATGTACAATTTCAGGGAAATTATGTTTTAGTGGCTTTTTAACGTGTAAAAGGAACCTATTATTCCTAGCTTGCACATGTTTCTCCTAAAGTTATAACTCATTGTAAGGAAGGAAGTTTTGTCATTGTACCTTGATTATCTTCTTCAAATATATTTTAGAGACAGGATCTTGCTCTGTTACCCAAGCTGGAGTCCAGTGGTATGATCATTGTTCACTGTAGCCTTGAATTCCCAGGCTCAAGGATCCTCTCACCTCAGCCTCCCCAGTCCCTAGGACTACAGGCATGTGCCACCATGCCCAGATAATATTTTCTATTTGTTTGTGGAGACAGGGTCTTGCTATGTTGCCCAGGCTGGTCTTAAACTCCTGGCTGTAAGCGATCCTCCCATCCCAGCCTCCCAAAATGTTGGGATTACCGGCATGAGCCACAGTGTCAGGCCCAGATACTAAATTATCATTGAAACATACCTCTAGTCTATTATTGACAGTTTTCAAATAAAAGGAACTATTCAAAACTTTTCAATTTTCTTTGTCCTTTTGCTCCTTTATACTATAAGAAGAATGCACTAGCATAAAGGTACTATTAGAGCACCCAAGGCTCAAGTTGATCTTCAGTATTGTATCTTACTATGCTTTCTCAGTATTTTAAGTGTTTGAACCATACATCTTGGAAATGTGTTTTAATTATAAAATAGATGGCCACAAAACAGAAAAGTTTATTTACAAACTGAAACTAAACTTCAAAACATTGAACCTCTTTAGTGATTTAAACTTGTGTCATGCCAAACTGTCTTTTATGTGAATCAATGTTTCCTATTTTTAGCTTGAAAAATGCTCTCTCCACCCAAGAAAGACACCAATAACAACATTTTAATTTTAGAGGAATTGGTCAACTTCTTCAAAGAACACAATAAAAGTAGAACTTGTTTCACAGTAGTCACTTTCTTTTTTTTAAAAAACGGAATTCCATCAGCTTTAAATCCTCTGATTGCTTTTGAAAATGTTCCTACAAATATGTACCTCTAAATATTTCATTTAATGGTTTCTTTGAATAAAATTTATCATATGAATAAGCAACAAACATTATCTATGTAGTAATTAATCATATTAGTCATGGAGTATTTGCTAAGTATATTATTGATTAAATGTTAACTATACCTCATACTAAGAACAGTGTTTTGCTTTTATGAGCTTCAGAAAACATTCTCTAGCAAAATTATCAGCAAAAGATTAGTTTAAAATGGGGTGGTACAATATTCCCTCAATTAAAAAGCTGAAAGTCAGACTAGGAGCAAGGAAATATGATTTTTTCTGTAGTTTTGGCTCCTCACTTGTTGTGTGACCATAGATGAGACAGTAAAACACTTTAAACCTCATTTTCATCATAAAGATAACAGAATTATCTCCAAAATTGCTTTCAGCTCTTAAACCCCGTGATTCTGATGAAGGGCTAAGAGAAATTCAGGGAGCACCAGAAACGTATCTTAGTACCTCTGCCTAGATTCTTCCCCTCTCAGGGATGTTACCATATCAATCATCACACATATCAGCTGTGTCTTAATGACATTTAAAAATGTTGATCACAGCTTTAAAAAAATATCTGAAACAGACATTCCCACTTACAGCGATTGTTTTCTCTCTCCTCTCATTCATAATCCCCCTTCTTGAGTTATGTATACATCCTGCCTCACCTGCCATTCTCTCTTCAACCCAATCCAATCTGGCCTTTGCCACTTAAACTCTCCTAGTTACAATCACTAAAGCCTTCCTATTGCTAAAGCGAAACTGCATTCTTCACTCCCAAATTAAAACATTTCTCTTTCTCAACCTCCTTTGCTAGCATCTTCTCCTAAGTTTTAAATGTTGGGGTCTTCAGAGCTCTGTCTAATGTCTTGTATTTACTCAGTATGCACTCCTTGGTTGGTATCAGCAATTCACATAGCTTTTGTCTACATGCTTGTGACCCATAAATTTATATTTGCACCTAAACCTCTCTTCTGAGGTCACAACTTATATTTATAACTGCTTACCTCAAGGATGCAGGCTGATAAAGGCTCCATTATTTTGTTGATGTGCCATCTGTGATATGTGGCTCCCCAGTACGATGGCCGGGAAAGAGTGGCTGGATTGTGCAGCAGCTTCTCACCATCTCTGGCCGGAAGTAACGTTCTTCACTTTCTCCCACATTTCATTGGTCAGAGCGAGTCACAGTTCTCTGCGTAACTCCAACAGTGCTGGGAAGTATAGTTTCTTAGACACCCAGAAAGGAACTAGATAGTATTGGTGAGCACAAGTAGTATCTACCACAAAAAGAATTGTATTTGACTTCTTTTTTCCCTTTTCCCGTAACCATCACTTCCTAAATGTTTCTTTAGTATATCTAATTTTCTCTATCTCTACCTGTGGCAGGTGAGAGATGCACTGCCCAGATCAGCCTTCAAGAAAGGGCTTTTTGCCTCAGCTGCTGAAAATGCTTTCGGCAGACAGCCTGCAGCTGTCTGCTTTTTGAGGGTCTGTCTCAGCTGCATGGCCTCAGCTTGGGCACTATCTAGCCCAAGTGCACACCCTTCTTGAGATGGCCTACACCCCATGATTTATTTGTAGCAGAGTATGACTGGTGCTTTCCAACTCTCCTCCCTCTGTGAAATCTTGTTTTCTTTCTTCAGGGAAGGGATTAGGATGAGGAGAAATTAACAAAATACCAACATTTTAAATACAGATAAGATCAAGCCCCTTCTTTGCACATGTGTTAATGTTTAACACAGACACTGCATAACGAATTCTATTTAAGTATCTGTTTTTGGAAGAAACAACCTATGCAAGTTGATAATGAGAAAGGTCTGAGAAAGTTGCTGATAAGATAGGGTTTAGGAGCCAGACCACTTTCAGCATACTGCAGTGGGGACCCTCTCTCTGGTAAGTGGAACATAGACATCTCTGGGCATAAGGTGGGTGAATGCTCTGTTATTAAAACTCTCTAGATTAGTAAGTCATGAAGGTATGCCATTGGGGGTGGGGAGGGCACACACTAGCTGGTGTGAAGTATCAGAACTTTGAGAAGCACTGGGGAAATAGTTACCATAATGATAACAAGAACAGATGGCTATTGCTAAGCTCATTACAACCCAAGAAAAAAATAATGAAAAACTATGAGCAATTGAACACCAAACATGAAATCCAATGCATCTTTATGATAGCTTACGAAAACACTCTTGTGCTGCAAGAAGGCAGAGGAAGCTGAGGAGCAGGAGTGAATGGTGTAGTAGAGCTCCAGATAAGGTTAAATGCCCCATTGAGGCAGGTCAGTTATGACAATATCAAGGTACGGCTGGGAAAAATGGGACCCTGACACTTGAGAACATCTGGTTGTGAGTGTCCCTAGAAATTTTGAACCCCAGACTCTTCTGAATTCCAAAAATGCAGAAGTGGGCCACCCCTTCTTCATAAGGGCTGTCCACCCACCTTACTTGAAGGTTATGAAGAGCCCTCTCCCTCACAAAATAACATGTGCCTCCTGTTATGGCCACTAGGCATTAACACTAGCGTTAACTCATTGCATAACCCAGCCAAAAAATGTGCTAGTTCCAATAAGGCTTAGTTCCTTAAAGAAGCTGCAAGACCTAGCCATTGTGTATTGGCAGGTACTGCAGGGGAACCTGTGGGTTTGATTCCTGAGAGTACTTAATCAAGCAGGCCCAAAAATTAAATCAGGCAAGTAAGAGTTTATTGATATGGGAGCATTCTTGTGAAATAGGATTTAATGGTTTGGTAAGGACTCCAGGTGATGGTACATACAAGATGGCTTCTGGAACCATAGAAAAAGCAATGACCAATGCTATGTGAAGTTGCAATATAGACAATATTTGCAGACAGTAGATAAAAGGATTTAAAAACCCATGGAAGTGGGCACGCTGGAGTAAATATACTTTGCAAAGTCGGGAGCCCCACCTGATGGTAATGTCCTATGGGAAGGCCTATAAAAGACACCAATTACCAAGGTCATAAACAATGTGCTGGTGTGGGGCACTGACATCA
The DNA here is from genome assembly GCF_000001405.40 of Homo sapiens. NCBI lineage: Eukaryota > Metazoa > Chordata > Mammalia > Primates > Hominidae > Homo > Homo sapiens. The sequence continues at coordinate 186,822,351 of NC_000002.12, forward strand.
GTAAAAGTTCAGTGGTGGCTCTCTTCTATAACCCAGGGTTGATGGTAGGAGAGGCTCTTACTATTAAGTTCACTGATAGCAGTGGGTTAAACACCTAATAAAGGCCAGGTGGTACCACTTAACTGCCAAAATCTAAGTGAATGCAATTACTGTAATAAGCGGCAGGGTCAGAGTAGCAGCCAGGAGGCCTGACCCACAGAGATGGAAATAGTTTATTAAACAAATTGTCACTAGGGGCAAAACAGATGGGACTACAACAAAGGTACTCCAGCTTGCGCTGTTGGAAGAAATCAAGGATGAATGACCAGGAGACCAAGGGCAACTGCACTGGTTAAGAGTCATAATCTAGTGCCAAGTTGCTGGACATGAGGTAGTTTTCAGACCCAAAACCCACTGACTGAGGAGGCCAAGACTCCAGCAGGAAGGAAATTGAAATACCATAGCAATATACTTAAAAATGCATTTCCCCCTCCTTCCACAAAAGTAATTTACTTGGATAATTTTTTGAATAATTGGCCATCCAGATTTGCCCAGAACTGAGGGGTGCCTTGGAACATGAGACTCTTGTCTTAAAATTAGAACTCTCCCAAGCAAACTGATTTGTTAGTCACCCTAGTGCCATACATTAAAAGGGGGACAGCCAAACATTTAAGGTTTGTTGGACACAGTCAGAAATGACAGTCATACTCAAGACCTGAAGCATCATTATGCCCCCTCTAGAGTGGGGCCATATAGAGACCAGGTAGTAAATGGAATCCTGGGAAACATCTGGCTTTTCTTGGGCCCACTGTTTCTTCAGATCTCTTAAGTGGTCATTTCCCTAGTCCCTGAAAGTATAATTGAGAATAACATACTAAATGCTACAAGCCTCACATTGGGTTATTGGCCTGTGGCATAAAGGCAATCATAGAAGAGGGGGAAAGTGTAAGTCTTTAAAATTGTTACACAAATTCAGCAAATATAATAAATCAAAACCAATGTCACTTCCCTAAGTGGATGGTGAAAATTAGTGCCATCCTCTTAAGAATCTAGAAGATGCAGAGTTGTTAGTCCTGATTAAATCTCCATCAAATTCACCAGCATGGCCCTTGCAAAAACTGGAAGGATTCTGAAAGATGAGAGCAGAATACTGCAAACTCAATGAAATAGTAATCCCAATTGTGGCAGCCATGCCAGATATGGTATTTTTGCTACGGGAGATCATTACATTCTCAGGTACATGATGTAAGTCCATTAATTTGGTGAATGTATTCTACTCTGCTAAGGTCAGAAAGGGCTCTTGTTCACACAGAATAGGCAATATTATATATTTGCAGTTTTGACCTAGGATTATGTCAACTCTCCTGTCCTCTAAACTATTTGAACATCTTGCAGAACAGTACATTGATTTACTGCATCAATGCTGTTACGTTAATTGGGCCAGACGGGCAAGAAGTTATCATAATCCTCGTTAAGACAAAAGTGCTCTACAGAATGGAAGATAAACCCTACAAAGATTCAGGGGCCTTCACATTATTAAAATTATAGGGTTCCTATGAACAGGGACATGCCAGGATATTCATTCCAAAATAAAAGACAACTGATCACATCTTGTACTTCTCACCACAAAAAAAGAAGCTCAACATCTTTGAGTTATATGAGTGGCAAATTTCACTATCCTACATGTGGGATTACTGCTGTGGCCCATATGCTGGATAATACCAATGGCTGTCAGATTTGGGGGGACCCAGAACAGGAAAAAACTCTGCTGCAAGTCTAGACAGTGGTATGAGCAGTTCTGCTACTTGGGCCATGCAACCTGGTAGACTCTATGGTATTAGAGGTATTGGTGGTAGGTAAAGATGAGTTTTGGAGCTTCTGGAAAGCCCAATATGGGGAATCACACGTATGTACCTGACGTTTTGGAACAAGGCCATGCAATATGCCTTTGAAAAACAACTCATGGCATGCCCTGGTGGAGATGGGACACCTGACCATGGGATACCAATTGATCATTTATCCGCAATTGCCCATCAGCAGCTGGGGTCTGTCAGATAGATCCATTGCATCACAGAGCTGGCAGCAATCCGTTATAATACAGAATTGGTAAGTCCAGATGTGAGCATGAACAATATCAGAAGATGCTTGAGCAGAGAGCCCAGACTCCCATGTTATCCACCAGTGTTGGACACTGCCCCTTCTTTGGCTCATATCTACAATAAGCTTACACAGAAGGAAAAGACTTGGGCTTGGTTTCTGGATGGGTCATCTGGGTATGTGCGTGCAATCTGAAAATGGATGGCAACTGCCATTGGTCAGAGCTAGTCCCAAAATCTGCCTAACTCCAATGATGCTGGAAAGTGTAGTTTCTCAAATGCCTGGAAAGGAGCCAGACAGTATTGGTGAGCACAAGTAATATCTAGCACAAAAAGCATTTTTAGACTTGTTTTTCTTCTTTTCCTTACTGATCACCTTTCTAAATGTTTCTTTAATTTGTCTAATTTTCTCTATCTCTCCTTATGGTAGATGGGAGATGCATTGCCCAGACTGACCTTAAAAGACAGTGGCGAGAAAATTTTTTTCCCATGGACAGAGCTTTTGGCAGTGCCTTCTCCCATATGTTCATCCACATGCCTTTACCCTAGACTTACTTGCGTACAATCTTTCAATTTCTCCTCTTCTAGGCCCTGACCAGCCTGTCATATTATTCACCACTACCCAGAAGTATGTTTTATGCTGATCTCAGTCCATTTCCTCTTCCTCAGAAATAAGGTAAACTTTATTCTTAGAAATCAGACAGGTTTTTTGCAATTTATTTTGTCTATTTAAAAAACTGAAAAATTGTTTAACTTCTCCTCGTTGAGTCACCTAATTTACATCCCCAACTCTGAGCAAAGCTTGCTTATGTAGTCAAGGAATCATTACTGTATTAGTTAATTTCTACTCTCTTTTTACAATCATGAATATTTGGTATATTGTATATTACTGCAATAATAAAATAAAAATTGCTGAATGATCATTAACCAGTTTGACTAGCGTGAGAATAGTATCCATATTATATCTTTCTCATAACTAAAAAATGAATTTTATGGCATTGTCTCAATTAGCATTCCAACTTTTTACCGTTGATAGCCCTATATATATATATTTTTTTTTTTCCTAAAACACTGTCTATCCTTTTTGAAGGGTTCTTTTAAAAAGAAGAGTGAAAAACAAGCAATGGGGAAAGGATTCCCTATCTAATAAGTGGGGCGGGGAGAACTAGATAGCAATATGCAAAAAATTGAAGCTGGACCCTTTCCTTACACCTTCTACAAAAATTAACTCTAGATGGATTAAAGACTTAAACATAAAACCTAAAACCATAAAAACCCTGGAAGAAAACCTAGGCAATACCATTCAGGACATAGGCACGGCCAAAGATTTAATAACAAAAACACTGCAACAAAAGCAAAAATTGACAAATGGGTTGTAATTAAACTAAAGAGCTTCTGCACAGAAAAATAAACTATCATCAGAGTGAACAGACAACCTATAGAATGGGAGAAAATTTTTGCAATCTACCTGACAAAGGTCTAATATCCAGAGTCTACAAGGAACTTAAACAAAATTACAAGAAAAAAAAAAAAAACAAACCATCCCATTAAAAAGTCGGCGAAGGACATGAACAGACACTTCACAAAAGAAGACATTCATGTGGCCAACACATATGAAAGAAAGCTTAACATCACTGATCATTAGAGAAATGCAAATCAAAACCACAATGAGATACCATCTCATGCCAGCCAGAATGATGATTATTAAAAAGTCAAGAAACAACAGATGCTGGTGAGGTTGTGGAGAAAAGGAAATGCTTTTACACTGTTGGGAGTGTAAATTAGTTCAACCATTGTGGAAGATACTGTGGCGATTCCTCAAAGATCTAGCAGCAAAAATACCATTTGACTCAGCAATTCCATTACTGGGTATATATGCAAAGGAATACAAGCCATTCTATTATAAAGATACATGCACATGAATGTTCATTGCAGCACTATTCACAATCGCAATTGGTTGATTTGGGAATCAACTCGAATGCCCATCAATGATAGACTGGATAAAGAAAATGTGGTACGTATACACCATAGAACACTATGCAGCCATAAAAAGGAATGAGATCATGTCCTTTGCAGGGACATGAATGGAGCCAGAAGCCATTATCCTCAGGAAATTAACACAGGAACAGAAAACCAAGCACTGCATGTTCTCATTTATAAGTGAGAGCTGAATGATGAGAAGACATGGACACCTGGTGGGGAACAACCCACACTGGGGCCTGTCTTGGGGGCAGAGGGAAGAAGAGCATCAGGAAGAATAGCTAATGGATGCTGGGCTTAATACCTAGGTGATAGGTTGATCTGTGTAGCAAACCACCACAACACTTGTTTACCTATGTAACAAACCTGCACATCCTGCACATGTACCCTGGTACTTAAAATTTACGTTCATGAAAAAGATTAAAAAATAAATAAGGAGAGTGAAATATCTATGGGAACATAAATAATATTTTATTAGTTGGAAAATTATTTTGCAGTTTCCTTAACTCTATCTTTCAAGACAAGTAGGCTAATAAAATTCTGAATTGCTGACAAATATATTTGGCCATCCATCTTTATGTCAGAAGCAAGACAAACTTTCATTCAATTTTCAAATGCAGCTCATATTATAATTAACTCTGTTACTGTTTCTGAACTACATTTTATTAATTACTTTCTGTTTGTGATTAACCTCAATTTAATCACTTATTTAAATGCAAATTCTCTTCAAAGAATTTTGCTTGATATCTTCAATATTTGTTTCATAGACCTATGTATTCCATTATTACCATGATAAAAAATATCATGTGATATTTTTTCCTTGTGACAGATAATAAAAATCAATATAGCATCAATAATTTTAAAAATATTTGAAAAGAAACTGAGCCATATAATTTAAAAATAAACAAAAATCTAAGGGTTACATTTTTTCAAATGAACATTTTGAAACAATAGTTACTTTGAAAATAGAGCAGATTTTAAATAACAGATTCTTCGATAATAGTGATTGTATCAAGAAATTTGGTAGTACTTATATAAGTTTCTTGAAAATAAAACATTAAGACCATTATAAATGTGACATAGCTGATAGTATTTCATTTTATTTTCATTTTATGTATAAGAAAACTCCTTTATGGAGTTTTTTAAGGTTTTTTTTTATAGGTTTGTGGTAATTACTAGTGCAAGAAAAATGCAAAAAATACAGAAGTACCGGGGAGTAATCCCTGCATGTTATGTGCTACCGTGAAAAATATTTGAAAACAGTGACTCAAAGTAGGAAAAATCTATTTCCTTAATTTAAGTAAAACATTTCTAAAATCAGAGTAAAATAAGATAAAGGCTCTAAAAATTATTCATTATTTATAACATCCTGAATATATTCATGAAGACACCTAATGCTGTAAGTCATATAAGTAATAGAATCATTTCCTTTAAGTGTAGTGAGCTGTTTATAGGTAAGTAGGCAAATTCCAACAGAGAATTTTATATACATTTGTCAAGACTATGTGTGCTTTTTATGTTCTATATAAAACATTTTTTTATATTCAACATTCAAATATTTTCAGATAGTAAACTTTTTCACAATTGAACTCCTTCTATTATTAAAGATAGCTCAGTACTTTTTGTATTTACAGAGTGAGACACAGGCTGTCTTGATAGATGACTACATTTTCGTGTAATTTCCCCCATACAGTTACTATACCTTTTAGACAAACTAAGTTTAGCTGTGCTCCAATTGACAATAAGATTGAAATCCTCTGGAAGTAAAGTTGATCTCTTGTTGTCCTCTCTTATTTTAGTGGCAGGAGTCTTCTTTAGGTTGTGGTTATTACATTTACAGCCTTTGGTCATCCGGCTTAGACTAGTGTGAAATTTTCCACTGATGCATGGACTTTCCATTGCAGTGGGACACACAATATTCTTATGAACAATAGGAGGAAGCAGTGTTTGAGATGGTATTTTCCCAAATGACACAGTGGGTAAATCTTGAAGATACCTGGGAAAATGTTGGCTAATTTTATAATCATAGGTTAATTTTTTTGAATTTGAATTATCTAATTTGATAGAGCATAGATTATCTATTGTTGTATTTTCATAGGCATCTTTTGGGCTTTGAGGTGTATTCAATTCATCAAAATTACACTGAGGTATGCTAGGTAAAATTCCAAGTCTATTTTGTTTTAAGACTAATCCAGTACCAGGAATAAAAAGATCTGGTTCTTTCTGCTTTGATAGATGAATGATGTCTCTGTTTGAAACAGACTGATGTGCTTGTCCATTCACTGCTGAATTTTTCCAAGTTAAAGGGTTATATATAACTTGTCCATCAATAGGGCATGAATTGCACTTGTGGAATAACCAGTTGTCAATACACTTCCTGTGAAACTTTAAAAAAAAGGTAAGCTAATCAGAACTATACCAATCTTGTTTATAATATTATTCAAGTAAATTTCCCCCAGTTTCATAATTTTATGATTAAAAATATTTAGCAAAATTGAAAAATAATTATTTATCAAGTTTTATGAAAATATTTTGAAGAAGTTAACTTCTAAATATAACTATGTAGGGACTGATTTCCATTTTCGATATTAAAATGCAAAGACTTTTATGGATAGCATTTGTAATTTTGTTAAAAATTCTCTACTTAAAGTTATTCATTTCACTGCTACTTATTTCTAATGAAAATTATTTTAAAAGTCATAACCAACTGGGGTTGAAAATGGATCTGATAACAGTAAAATATAAAATAACAAATTAAGTTTTTGAAAATAAAACAATTAGCCATTTTAACTAAGGATGACTCTAAAGCTTTATTACTGAAGCTTTGTTTGTTTACTGAACCAACTTCATTTCAGAAAAAAAGTTGGTTATCAACCACTATATAGTTGCTTATCAATTATATAGTGATCAAGTAGTATTATGCTGATTCTAATGAGTTCATGTGAAATAATAATTATGTCAACTTAGGCATTTCTGTTTCATCTTAAGAATCATAAAAATACATAGCAAAATATTAGTATTCTATAACCTTTTTTCTTTTTACAGATAACTAAAGTAGATAAAGGAATCTAACTTAAAGTACCATTTTATCTTTCCTAGATAGTATATACAGAAATGAGTACTAATTAATATAAAGACATCCTCAGGGAGAAAGCTGCCTTCTCGATAGTCTCTGTGGTAGTTCTTTCTATATGTGCTGTGCAATGTGAACACCTCTGTACAGAGCACAACTCAAAAGTAAAAGGACAGACTTAAATTGTCACTTCATTTGTGAAAACTGACCCTACAGGGAAAGTAAAACTAAAATGATGTGACTTTTACCTTGTGAGTACATGGTAGCAATCTTGTATGTTGACCAAGATGAAATGCCTTCAAACAAAGTAGACACTGGTAGCCTGGAGCAAGCAGCTTACTATTCTTAGTAATCAGTTGGAGAGGCAGTGATCTTACAATGTGTTTTGGTGTGTAAACTTGGCTGAATGAGAATAAGCAGAGACATGAGTGTTTACATGTTATTATAGATCAGGAAGTGATCAATAGCACAGGTAAATAGTCTCTATATAAATAATGCAATCGAACCCTAGGTTTTCTTGAACTAAAGATAATAAATCTCATATATTATAAAGTTAAAAAAATCTATTTTATTGATCCTGAACAATATGGATCCAACTTCATAAAGAACAAAGTTTTTGGCTGAGCATGATGGCTCACGCCTGTAATCCCAGCACTTCTGGGAGACTGAGGTGGGTGGATTACCTGAGGTCAGGAGTTTGAGACCAGCCTGGCCAACATGGCAAAACCCCATCTCTAATAAAAATATAGAAAAATTAGCCGGGCATGGTGGCAGGTGCCTGTAATCACAGCTACTCAAGAGGCTGTGGCAGGAGTATCCCTTGGACCCAGGAGGTGGAGGTTGCAGTGAGCCGAGATCACGGCACTGTACTTCAGCCTGGACAACACAGTGAGACTTCACCTCAAAGAGAAAAAAAAGTTTTAAGTAGTCACATCAAATAAAAATGCTAACCTAAAATTTTTGAGTTTGAGTCGCACTTTAATGTCAATAAAATCAGACCATATACTCAAATTATAATATTTTAGTCTGAGCCAACAATTAGGCAAGTGTTTAGAAAAATACAACCCAATTTACTCTGTCTTCTGGTAGGAAGTGAAGGGTATGGTAAGCCACATTAAATATTCCAGGCTACTATGATAAATTGGTAGATCATAAGAGATAAGGAAATTTGTTTTCATCTGGGGTATATTCTTACCACTTCAATACTGTTAGACTATGTTAATAGTCTAACTCTAAAAGTACCAGCTCCATTTTTTTGTACCAAACATACTGACATAACTAAGATGGTATACTATGAATTAACTGCTATTTGATGCCACTCCAACTGGTAAAACAGAACAACAAATCTTTAAGAGAAAAAAAAGCTTGGTTAAAAGGTCAGATGCATTCCTATCATTCAAAAGTCATTCAGAACAAAGTTCAAATATATTCTTCAGAAAAGTTTGTACTTCTCATTACTCTACAGATATATCCTCACCATATTACAGAAATTGCTTTTACCAGGGTCCTCTAATTTCAATTAAAATGTATATTTTTAGTACTCTTTTAAGGTTGTTACCTACTGTTTCTTATCCTGAAATTCTCTTACTTATTCCATTTTCTCTGCCTAAAATGTCCTTCTTCTCCTAATGTTCTCCTTCTCAACTCCCTGTCCCCCAATATCTCCTAAGTCCAACCGTTAGTTATACAACTTAGCATTCTAACAGGATGAAGTATGATGCTTGTGCAGGGAAAATGGAGTTGCAAAGCCTTTGTATAGGCTCATTTTACGCCCCACAAGAGCTCTGGTTTCCAATGTGTGTGGAGTACCCATGGGCATGGGCTATATATCAACTGAAGTCTGGATACAAACTTACATATACATGTGTATGTATACGTGTGTGGGGGTACAGGTGTATTATAGGCATGTGTATAAATATATATTATATATATATATTTAATGAGAACAAGCACATTTTTTGTTTAGTTGATTCACTGAAATTATTACTTTTAGTTTCTATTTTATCCCATGCTTAAAAAGTCGTGACCCAGCCATCCCGTTACTGGGTATATACCCAAAGGATTATAAATCATGCTGCTATAAAGACACATGCACACGTATGTTTATTGCGGCACTATTCACAATAGCAAAGACTTGGAACCAACCCAAATGTCCAACAATGATAGACTGGATTAAGAAAATGTAGCACATATACACCATGGAATACTATGCAGCCATAAAAAATGATGAGCTCATGTCCTTTGTAGGGACACGGATGAAGCTGGAAACCATCATTCTCAGCAAACTATCGCAAGGACAAAAAACCAAACACCGCATGTTCTCACTCATAGGTGGGAATTGAACAATGGGAACACATGGACACAGGAAGGGGAACATCACACACCGAGGACTGTTGTGGGGTGGGGGAGGGGGAAGGGATAGCATTAGGAGTTATACCTAATGCTAAATGACGAGTTAATGGGTGCAGCACACCAACATGGCACATGTATACATATGTAACAAACCTGCACGTTGTGCACATGTACCCTACAACTTAAAGTATAATAATAAAAAAAAGTTGTCTCTTTTCTATGTGTTTCATAATGTACACAATCTTTTAACATTATACAACATGCTATATTTTCTTTTTTTCTTTCTTTTCTATTTTTTTTTTGAGATGGAGTCTCATTCTGTTGCCTCGGTTGGAGTACAGAATTGCCATTTTGGCTCACTGCAACCTCCGGCTTCCAGGTTCAAGCAATTCTCCTGCCTCAGCCTCCCGAGTAGCTGGGATTACAGGTATGTGCCACCACACCCCGCTAATTTTTTTTTGTTTTTTTTTTAGTAGAGGCATGGTTTCACCATGTTGGCCAGGCTGGTCTCGAACTTCTGACCTCAGGTGATCCACCTGCCTTGGTCTCCCAAAGTGCTAGGATTACAGGCGTGAGCCACAGCGCCCGGCCTAAATTTTCTGTAATTGAACAGGACTATTGCAAAAGGTCTGGAGACCTCTCCACTAATAATGTTCTTAATCAATGTTCTGAAATATAACCAATCTGCTAGGCACTCTTCTTCCAACAGGGTGAAGTAGAGGGTAGAGAGAGGGGGAATGAAGCAAAAAAGACTTTCTTCCCCCAAAGGCCAATTATTTCAAATGCAAATTTCAAATATCTTTGAATCTGTTTTTTATTTAAACATAACTGATGTCAGTTTCAATTTTACATTTATGTCGATGATTATTTGATTACTGAGGAAACTACTGTATCCCTCATATCTAGTATAGTTTCTGGTCAAATTAAAAATAATAGATAACATTATTTGAATATTTATTGTGTTTGTTAACTCATTTCATACTCACAAAATTCCTACAAGGTTGGTTTTAACAATTATTCCCATTTTAAAGATGAGGAAAATGTGGCAGATAGAAGTGAAGTAACTAGTCCACAAGCCACATAGCCAATGTGTAGTTGAACTATGATTGGATTCAAGCAGTCTTACTCTACAGCCCTGCTCTTCAACTGGATGGTACAATGCCACCTAGTATCTAAGTGCTTAATAATAATTAAATAATAAATAAAAGAATAAATAAAACTTATTCAAATTGAGAAGTTATTCAAAGATTCTGTCATACAACAAATATAAAATTTACTGGGAACCTCACCCTTGCTTTTCTTGAAAATGTGACATCTTTTCTTCAATCTCATTTTTAGTATCTATGTATTTTACAACTTCATCTGCTCTTTTTTCTAGTGATCTCCATTTTTGGTTTCTTTTCTGTAATAGGTAAAAGTAGATGTTACTTTGCAAAGTCGTGGATATTTTCATTTTGTGGAGAAAAATTAGTTGGTTGCGTATCAATAATGTGAACAATACACAATATTTTAAGCATATATATTATTTTTCAACATGTTAAAGTACTTACAAATTATTAGTCTCATATTGTATTGCATAGCTACTATAATGGCATTACTTTTTAAGGTAAAAAATAACAATAATTGTGTATGTTTTATTTTATCTTGTCTGGTAAGTAGAAGGTAGTGTTATTATTCAGCATCAGGAGATACTTTTTAAGTGTACGGTTTAAATTATCCCAGTAAAGTTCCATGTTTCATTATTGCTTATGTAAGAAAATTTAAGAGAAAATCATAAATGTTTTGGTTTTACGTTATAAGCCAATTTGTAATGTTGAGAGCTTTTTAAAAACTAATGTTCAAGTTTGATGGCTATAATTTCTGTTCTGAAAATTTATTCATAATGTCATCAGATGTTTCTTATAGTATTAGATTTTATAAATTACCAGTGTAAGAACTGGTTGCTTTGTGCATCCTTATGAAAAAGAGTTCTCCTAAAAATATGGCTTTAGGTTTGTATTAAAAACCAATCAGCTCTGTTCCACAGTGTTATGTATTCTTCTTATTCTTACACTGACTTAGCTCTACAACAGGACAAATAGAAACACTGTATTAGATTCAAGATGGATACTGTACCTCACGAAATGTAAACGTGTGGGAAAGATGGCAGCAGCTATCAAAACATTCCTGGCATAAGTGATATTCTATGCATTCGGTACACCTAAAAATACAAAACATCAAAACACGCAAGAAAAAAAAATCCAATTATTGTGATGGTTTTGGGTGAAAAATTCTGACCAAAACTTCCTGGGAACAATCCAAACATGACAAGGTTCACCTCAAGTCACACTGTGTATTAGTTTCCTGTTGCTGCTGTAAAAATTTACTACAAACTTAACTTAAACTGCACAAATGTATTATCTTACAGTTCCATTGGATAGAAGTCTGAGATGAGTTTCAATGTGTTAAAACCAAGGGGTTGGCAGGGCTGTGTTACTTTTAGGGGGCTCTAGGGGAGAATCTATTTCCTTGCTCTTTCCATCTTCTAGAGTAGGGGTCCCCAACCCCAGGCGCTGACCTGGTCTGTGGCCTGTTCAGAACCGGGACATACAGCAGGAGGTGAATTGTGGGAGAGCAAATCTCCTCCTTCTGTCAGATCAGCGGTGGCATCAGATTCTCATAGGAGTGTGAACCCTATTGTGAACTGCGCACATGAGAGATCTAGGTTGTGTGCTCCTTATGAGAATCTAATGCCTGATGATCTGAGGTGGAACAGTCTCATCCTGAAACCATCCCCCAATAACCCCCATGGAAAAATTGTCTTCCAAAAAACTGGTCGCTGGTGCCAAAATGTTTGAGGACTGCTGTTCTAGAGACTGCCTACATTTATTAGCTTGTGACCCTTTTCCTCCATTTTCAAAACAAACAACGTAGCATCTCTCTGCCTTTCTTCCACAGTCACATTTCCCTCTGACTTTCTTGCCTCCCTCTTCTACTTTTAAGAACCTGTATGATTATACAAGACTTATCCAAGCAATCCAGGATAACCTCTTTATTTCAAGGTCAGTGATTAGAAACCTTAATTTCATCTGCAACCTTAATTCCTCTATGACATACAAGTTCTGGGCGTAAGGATGTGGACGTTTTAGGAAGTCCATTATTTTGTCTACCACATGCCCCTTCCATGATGCCTTCTCAGACTACCTTAGCTTTCATTTACCTCTTTCTCTACATTCTTACAGGATGTACAGTCTATTAGATATTCTGTCATTTGATTATCCAGTGCTGCTTTCCAGTTGTTTCATGAATGCCAGAGTTAGAGTTGGCAGCATACTTCTTGAAAATAAAAATTATATTATTTTTTCCCCACAGAATGGAAAAAGGTAAACATATAAAAGATCTCAATAAAAACTATTGACAAGTCAAAAAAACCCACTTTCCATAAAAGCCCAATCTCAAGGTTATATTGTTTATAAAAATTTTGTCACAAGTAGAGGATTTTAAATTACTTGCAACATAATTTACCAAACTGAAAATATTCTGAGCAGTAGTCAAGTAAACTTATTATTCAAGTTATCAAATATTTAGAAGATTATTGCCATGAGAAATTTAAGAAAATATGTCCCTCAGACATCTTAAAAGAAGCAACTGCTAATTTATTCATTATTACTCTTTGTACATACAGGGAAGATTTTAATAATTAACACCAATGGGTTGGACAAATGGTGCCATTTATTCAATACATCAAAGTATGCTGGGCTAAAAAAAGTTAAGCATCTCTGTATTTTAACATATATCTAGTAATTTCGGAATTAACCTCTTAAAAGATGAAGTAGTTAAATTCTGAAATTCTGATGAAGAAGGAATGAAGAAACTTTCTAGTTAATCTTGTCTCCTACTCAATGTGTTCCTAAAGGAAATGGAAATAGTTTTTCAGACTGATGACTGAAATGTCAGTACTCAAGGGAATGGAAGATGGATGGAGTCACACACATTGAAAATGCATTCTTTAATTTGTAAAAGAGAATGGAGACAGAGATGAGTAATTGTTAGCCAGATCCGTAGAGGAGAAGTTATGAGACAAGAAAAGATTCTCAAAGGGGAGTGTAGGGTCACTAGTGGGCAGGGGGCAGGATAGTGGGCCATGTGTTTACTTAGTAGGAAGAATAATGCCCCAGGACAGAAAGAGCAGTCAGAAAGCTCTGAGTGACAGGAGTGCACTGTCATCAACAACATACCTAAGCAATATTTGTACTAAAGCTGCCTGTAAACCATTTGGGGAACATTGATTGTAAGCACTGAGAATTTTACACTGTGGCCCTCACATGTCCTTGTTCCCCCACATGTCCCAGCCCCCACTTTTACATGTGACCTTATCCCCTCCATGACTGGTCCTATCCACCCCTCTTGAGAAAATTTAAATGCCCATACGATGGCTGCTAATACCAAAGATCAAGTCCTTCCTTTTCCTGGAATCCTCTTTGACCAACATTCCTGAACCTAGCTGAATATCCCTTATTAAAAATTTATAAAAATTCTGTACTTCCACCCCAAGTTAGAATCCTCCCTAGGAGCCTTCTCAGGCCAGCCATTTTCCAGTAAATACTTTTGTTAATAATCAACTTTCTTTTGTGTTACACATACAGAAAACAAAACTAAATTCAAAGGAGAAAGGTATAATTTGCTGTTGGATGTGATAATGTTTTACGGTTTTATGACAGAGTTTTAATATATATATAAATTAGATTGGGCTCATCATAATGTAATTCAAGAAGGCTGAAAAATAAACTGATACATTTCAAAAAAATGTGACAAAGATTGAAATAATGTTTTCTTCTTAATGTACTGTTAACTTAAAATTTTAATTAAGAAAATACAAATTTCCTAGGCATAGCAATTAATTTATGTTTTATCGTGAGAATTGTGGGAAAGTTTGGGGGTTACTCACAGTGAAAATTGTTTGCTCTAATAATTACTATGTTTTTGTAGTTGTTGAAGTATAAGATATGAAATAAAACAAAACCTGTACTCATTGCCATTTGGAGTAGGGGGGACTGGATTAAATATTCAGTCAATCCAGTCAATGTCTCTCTGGCCCAATCTTCGGAATTTTTGGCAATGACTTCAAAGGTAGTTCAAAGAAAGTTACAGAGGGTGAGAGATCCAGCAAGGCTCTAAGCTTGGAAACCTATGTAGGCTAAAGCCACCTATCCTGTGTCCAGAGCTTCTAGGATGGGGTGCTACTTCAGACCCAATCTGGACCAGAGCTCAAACCAATACCCTTGAACAGGAGAAGAAAATAAAACGATTGGAGTTCCTGAGATACTGGACTGAGATAGAAGTCAGTCTGTGAGTCCTAAATAAGCAGTCGTCACACAAGTCAAACAGTATATGCAGGAAGAGGGAGGCTACAGAACGGGTACTCTAATGCTCAAAGTTTCCTGATGTAAAAAAATAAAAAAGAACACATGCTTATAATTTACGGATAACACTTACTTATAACACTTCCCCTCAATTGGAAACTGTTTGCAGTTATTACAGGGAATCCCAAGGTGTTTGTCCAGTCTCTCTTTTTCTGCTGCAGCTACTAGTTTGCTAGAGTTTTTGAATTCCTCCAAAATCAGTTTTAATGGTGCAAACTCTTTCCTGCACAGAGGACATTTCAACATGGAAGTGTTTGATGTACTCTGATAATTAGCTAAGATCTTCATGCATTTTATATGAATACTATTGCCACAGCCAAACCTATGAGAGATAAAATTGAAGTTTACCATTTGTATAGAGCAGTTTTACATATCCATTGTATATATATATATATATTATATATATATTTATATAAATAAAATTTCCTGTGCTACCATCTTTATTCCACAAAAAAATAGATTCTGAACTGATTTTCAGCTATAGCTTGATTACACACACACACTCACTCATTCTAGTAATCTATCATCTTTAATACATCAGAATTCCAAACTTAAATTTTCCTTCATTCCAATGAAATGGTGAAAGATTTTGCATCATTAAAATATTTTCATTTGTAAAGTGAGAATGAATATAGGCTTAACACAAAGGAGAATAATAATTATTATTATTTTAATAAAATGCTTCACTGAGAGCAGGGGTGCCACCATACTTTTCCAGAAGTCACACAATACATGGTAGTACCAAAGAAATATCTGCTGAGAGAAATACCATTTTGGAAAGTAGTTAATAATTTTACAATATGCAATAGAAGCAGACACATGAACAACTACAGTGTGGACAAAAGTTTTGTTAAATTATCAGAAGAAAAAAGAATGATCAGGAGAAAAAAATTGCAATGGAAAATGACTGTCCAAATTTTTCAAGTCCAACTTTATAGTGCTGTGAAGAAAAGTATGAACATTAGACTCTCAATAAAGATTTAAAGTATAATAAAAAAATTAAAAATAAAATAAAATAAAAGTAGACAGCTGATCTGAGGTCTAACAAAACAAGAATTGGTTATGTAGACAGAATGAAAGGGATGAAAGAAATATTATTGTTGGCATTAATGAGTAAAAAAAAAAAAAGATTTGTACATATGTGAAAATTGAATTATTTAGGTTTAAAGATAGAATTTTGAAAAACTAAAAATAATTTTTGTAATTTCAAAGTAAAATAATCTTTACTTTCAGAAAAGTCTTTATAACTATAATAAACCATCACATTTATTCATGTGTATAAAATAAAAACACAGAAATTACTCTACCCTTGTTACTTAAGGTGGGAAGAGGAATAATTGTGGAATTATGTTTCAGTTTTTACCCTTGTAGTGTAGCTCAGAAAGATTTAGAGTAAGAGCATATATTTAGCTCAAAACATATATATACACACACATATATATGTTGCTTCCTAACATATATGTTATATATAATATATATATTTCTATGATATATATTTATATATTATAGATATTATATTTATATTGTAATATATTATAATATATTTATATTATATATATTATATATATGTGTGTGTGTTAGGAAATAAAAGAATGTTAATTAAGTATAAATTAGCAGTAGGTAAAGTTGTCTATTTTTTCCCTATCATGTCTCCTAAGGTAATAAATCAGAAATATGTTTTAGAATTTTTAATTAGTTTTAAGAATCTAAAGAAAAAGTACATCACCTGCAAAAGGTGACAGGAAGCTTTTTCTCTAAAAGTAGCTCTTGACAAATAGAGCAGATATCCTCTGAATCAATTTCCTTCTGTTTAATGTACCCATCTTCTTCAACATGTTCATTTTCGTCATTTGTTCCTGGTTGGGGAGTTTGAACTCGATGTATCCCCCGAAGCAAGTCACTTATCTCTCTTTCTCCAAGACCCAGTTGTAAAGCAGCTAGTGAGAAATCCCAAAGTATTAAAATCCAGTCATAAAATTGGAGCTACAGAGAGGTAACAACTTATGCTGAAAGTTAGAATTTTCTTTCAAATATCAGAGAGACAGTTTTGATTGAATTATCACACTGACATTGACCCCTTCTTTACATTTTTTTCAGAGCCAAAATGTCAGAAAAGAGTCATTTAAAAAAATATAAAAATTATTATTTTTTCTTGTAACTGAAAAAGAGTCAATGCAAACAGTGCACTTGAATATGATAGTGTTCATCCTTGGATTGGTGTTACAATCATGTCTTATACTTCGACCTGTTCACTAGTCCATAAACAAATATTTTGTCAACATATAAGAATATTAAAATAAATGGGACATGAATACATGAGGAGGAAACTGATATCCGAGTAGCTACTGTAATTATTTGTTAGATGAATAAGTGAATTAAATAATAATGGAAGAGCAAGACTTAATTAATTGTGCCTATTTTCTGTTTCTGTTTTGTGTACCTACAAAAGCGTGTCTCATTAGTCTTATCCTCAACAGATTTGGTCAGTGTTTCTCAGGACAATCTATTAGTTACTATATTGCTTGCACCATTGGGATGTGCATTTTTTGAATTCTGTATTTTCTCTATCCTGCAATCCTTAAAGGAATGATGTTCTAAGTGCCTATAGTATTGATCAGGGAATCCTAGATTCTTCATTCCTTGGCCCATCCCTTTGCTGCTTCCCCCTTCCATCTCCTACTCCTGAACATGTCATAATTTAAATGCTAGTTGTTATCGGTCCCCTGCCTTCTATTGATTTTATGTATCTTTTTAATATATATGAATTAAAAATTATTTCCAAGATAATGAAATGCTCTGTTTTTCTGGAAAGACCCCCCCCAACTAAACACTAAAATACTGAAAACATCACAGTTACATTTCAATACAGAAATCGCAGTTCCCTGTCAGATGTTATGGCAAGTGGACTGTGGGAGGGCATCATACATTAATTAACCATTACTTTGCGGAAGAAGGGCTATTTGTCACAAAGACACAGCAACATCTGCTCTCTAAAAAAGGAGAGAAAAATAAAGAACAAAATATTGTGCTTTGGGGAATAAAGATGCACTGGGGCAGCAGAAATACTGAAGAATAAAATTTCATAAAAGAAGCTGGCCACAAACTGTTCTGTGTGGTAAAATGTGAATTGGAAAATAAAAGGAAGAAACAAACTCTTCTAAAATGAATTCGGAAAAATTAATGTATAAGACTATGCAGGAATATTTTGAAAGAGAAGAGCAAGACAGCTAACCGGGACTGACATCACAATGTGTTGTACAAGTAATAAATGTAATAATATATGAGATGCTCTAAATAATAAACATTGTTAAACAAAGAGGAAAAGAAGGATTATCCAATAACTGTTAACTGAGATAACTGGGTGGCAATATGGAGAAAATTAACTCAAACCAAATACCAACCTCCAACTTATACCAAAACAACTACACACTGGTGCTATTATATAATAAAGAACAAAAATAATAAAATGAGCAGAAAAAACTCCAAAGGACTATTGATACTATGGAAGAAAGACAATTTTTAAAGGGTTGAAACAATAAACATGAAAAGAACAGATGATCCAATTTAATAACACAAAAACTCCTATATGTAACAAAATTTAATAAAGCCATAGAGAAAAAACTTATAGCAGATTAGAAAAACATTTGAAAAAAGTAATGCTTATAATAATTAAGAAATGTTTGCAGTTTTATCCTAATAAATAGCCAAAATACAATTCACATAAAACACAAATAGTAAACAAGGCAGTGGAAGATGTTCAATTTTATTTGCATCAAAGGCAAATGAGTTAAAATAAGAATAAAGCACAGACACTAAAACTGACTGAATAAACACTAATAAACGTTACTATTTGTTTGCCTTATGTTATTTCTTTTGTATTTAAAAAAGTTATTTGAAGGCATTTTAGATCTTCCATAAAGGAATGTTAAATAAATATACCAGAGAATAGAAACTATTTTCTTATTTAACTTACCAGGCATTGATAGATTACTTTGAACCTTGTATCTGGTATTTTTCCTGCTTTGTGTGGCTTTCTTTCCAAAATTATAGAAATATTACTAACATGGCAAAATATTTCTATGTGTCTTTATTTTCATATTTCTTAAATATGCTGTTAATATCTTTGTATGCTTAAGTACTATAGTTAAAATGTGCCAAAAACATGAATCCAAAAAACAAATAAAACTTAAAGAAATTGACATATTTCTGAAATCACTGTAAATCAGCAAAAGTATTCTGAAAACATATTTGGCAATACATGGGGGGGAGACATAAAAATATTAACACTTCTACTCCAAAACACAGTAAGACTTTAGGCTAAGGAAATATTTGAAAAGAACAAAAAGCTTCACGTACAAAGAATATAACAAGCAGTTAGAAATAAATGCCTAATAGTGGAAGAATGTTAAATTGCTTATAATATACCATATTTAGTGAAATATTAGCTAGCCTTTAATGACTTTCATTACAGAGATTATATAGCATGAAAATATAAGGTAACAGTGTGATAAAAGCAGAACACAGAATTCTGACAGGCTATTAGGCTGTTTTATGATATATATAAAATCATAAAAGGGAAAATAGAAAATAAAAAGTTTACATCTTTCTGGTGAGAATTTAGAAAAATTTCCTTTAATGAGGTTTTAATTTTATTCATAATTATTTAATTCCAAAAAGAAGATAGTATTCACTAGTTATTGTATTTAAAAGGAACTATCAGGTGGTAAATCTAGCTTTTTTTGGGAAAATGTTTGTGAATAAAAGAATGTTCAGTGTTCAAAAATTAACATTTTTCATAATAATATTCCCATATAATCATTTTTGTCGGTCTTTGAAAAGAGAGTCTCAGGTTTCTTATATGCAACACTGGAATGTAGATAATTGCTTCCAGATTCCTTTTAGAAAAGAATCTCTGAATGATGTTCAAAACATTCCTCTTCCATTACAAGTAACATTCCCTCCACACTTATTTAAACGCTATACATAATCCTAATGAGTAATTATTTATAGTTTTCTTTATTTTTCATGTATGTTTATTCTAGCTTTAATTTAAATGATAAATTTAAGATCGCTAAGACTTTCTTTGAATATTATTAGTCTCTAGTATTACATTGTACACATGGGATTTTCTCAATGCCTACTAATTAAAATTTCTTTTAAATACAAGACACAAAAAATCTTTATTTCAGAAGGAAATATAAACTCTCAAATTATAAAGGATTAATTTTAAACATTAAAAAATTCCCTACTGTAGACTGAATGGTTGCTGTCTTCGATAAGTGCAAAGAATAATAATACAATGTAATATATTAAATTGATCAATACAAAATTGCTGTGTTTGCAGATAAAAGACATTCATATACTAGCAATACATACGATTCAATTTATAAAAAGCACCTAGCAGAGCTCCTAGCTAATATGTGGTACAATAAATATTTGTTGAATTTAATTGGGTAGAACTGCACTGTTGAATATGGTAGCCATTAGCCACAGGTAGCTATTGTGTACTTGAAATTTGACGAGTGTGACTGACAAAACAAATTTTAAATTTTGTTAAATTAAAAATTTAGTTTTTAACTTAAAGCTGATAATCTATAGTTACAGAAAAATGTATAAGTATGTAACAATTTGGATATGTGAATCTATTTTTCAGCTACAAATTTTGAGGAAGTCTATATACAGATCAAATATTTCCATTGAAAATATAGTGTCAGAGTTGAGATCTACTGTAAGTATAACAAACATGCTAGATTTTGAAGACAGTATAAAAAAAGTAAAATAGTTCATAACTTTTATATTGATTACACGTTGACACAATAATATTTTGATGTACTGGCTTAAGTTAAAATACATATTAAAGTTACTTCCCTGTTTCTTTTTACTTCTTATAATATGGCTACTAGAAAATTACATATGTATGTTATATTTCCATTGGACAGCCTCAGTATTGAAGCTTGTGAAAATGATATGGAAGAATAGTGTAGAGAATAAGACTTTGGAGAGAGGGTCAACATTTAACTTCAGTGAATACAATGGAGAAGTCAAAAAGAAAACAATATGTATAAAACCATACAACCTAGTCATCACGCATGAAGGGACTGAGAGAGAGGCTTAAGAAGAGGCTGACATTTTAGAAAGAATCTGCCTATCTAGAAGGTGAAAGACAAAGTGCAAAGTTCAGGCATTGGAAACAAGGAGGCTACACAGAATGGTACTAAGGGCTGAGGAAAGTGGAACAAAGGTAAGAATGAGTATGGAGAAATAGAAACACTTGAGAAATATGTAGGATGTAAAACAAGCAGGATTTGTGGTATGGGTAGATACATGGCAGAAGAGGACGAGAGAGAAAAAAATCAGAGAGAATATCAAGGTTTACAGCTTTGAAGAGAAAATAAAAAGGAAAGCCAGTATGTGAGGTAGGGAATCTAAGAGGGGAGCACAGATGGAGAAATCAGTATTTAAGATGCCCATGGGACCTCCAAATTGAGCTTCCCAGAAAGCAACTGGAAATACTGGTCTGCTGCTAAGATTGGGAATCACTGATACAGAGTTAACAGTTGGAGACATGGAAAATGGGAGACATTTCTAAAAAAATATGTAGAGTGAAAAAAGAGAAAATCCCTGTGAAACACTAATGGTAATTAATTATCTGGTATAATTTTTAAAATATGTTTACTGTGATTGTAATTGTATAATAGCTAGGGGGAAATAAACTTGCCTAAATAAAACCAATTCTTTTTGAATAGAAAAAATTTAAAACTAATTATCACTTTAATTATTCATGAATATCAGAAACATTTATTAATACTTTTAAAAATGCAGTTGTTAGATGGGTCTAGTATTGGTCAAACAATTCCTTAACTGCAGTTAACCCTTTGACAATGACAGTATCTTTATTATAAGATGTACAAATTTAAGTGACCTGTATTGCAATTATTTTTCTTTCTCTCTTATTTTTGAGAACTCTGGAATTTAAACTTATATAAATATATAACTGACTCCAAACTCAATTTAAGTACTCACTTAAAAACTACATTTTACTCTGCTTTTGTTTAGCAAAACAATTTCATTCAGCAAACATTTTTGAATAAAATAATGTGCCATGCCAACAGTCTATTTCTGGGATCTAAAAAAATCACATTTGCTATTTTTCTCACAATTAAAATAATTTTAGACACAGAAACCACTGTAACCTTTTCTTAGAATACATAAATGTTTTCCTACTTAATAACTGGCCATTGTTTCATACCTGTTTTTATTAAGTGCCTATGAGTTTGAAAATGACATATAAAGTTACATTTTTTTAAAGATGAAAAATGTTCCAAGTGTCTTAAGTTTAAGAAGCTGAGCTACTGATAGTTACGATTCCCTAGAAAAGTAACCATCTAAATTTAGAAAATGTTAAATAAAACATTCTTATATTTGTTAACTTCAAAGTAGTAAAATAAAAAAAAAACACAAAAAACCCAAACCCCAAAACTTACATTCATGGTTCCTTGGAAGCTTGAATTTTTTCAACAAGACCCTAACATTCACAAGTAGAAAAAAAATCAAGACATTTATTTTTGGCATAAACTCAAAAGACATTTAAAAATATTTAGAATAGAAATTGAATTATAAGATTTATATTATGGAAAGTGTTATGAATAAACTTAAAAATCATCAATTTTCTGTTATAATAGTTGTTAAACTTATGTTTTAAAATAAGCATATGTGAAAAAAGTATGATTAATGAAAACAAATGACATTTGGTGTGAAGAGATTTGTCAGAGAGAGTCCATGTATTTCTTACGACATACAGTTATTCAAAGGGAAAGGATAATGAGGGGATTTAGGTTTTTATGGTACTGCCTTTAAACTTCTCTGGAAAGGCAGTAATTTTCTGGATAGTGTACCAAATGGCTGTTTTCCTACATATACCTCTCTAACGCATGATATAAAAAAATTTTTTTTAAATTTTACCAATAAAATGGAATGCGACTTTTTAAAAAATGTGGGAAATGCCTATTAAATTATTATTCAAAGATACTAAATATACTTTAGTATATGAAGCACTTTGATTATATTTCCATTTACTTAATGGTTACAATATTGTACAACATGAGTTATATAATAATCAAAAGAGAATACCCTTCCCCTGACATAAAATGAAAATGGAAAAAAAACTATTTTAAATATAATCATAATACCAAATTGTAAGTTGTGAAAGGACCATATTTTATCTTTATGTCAACTAGAGTAAATAACTTGTGTTACTAGATGCTTAATAAAAAGTGATCGAAATAAAAGAGCAGAAAACTTAGTAAAAACATTAGAAATAATTATATAACTTTTTTACTTCTAAAGAAAAGCACTAGAAATGGGAAAGTAAGTCATAATCTTTTCTTAATTTCTTATTTTTTCATGTTAACTATCAAATAAATTAAAATAATATTAATAATTTGTTAGTATGAGTATAGGTAGGCAAAACAAAATGAGTTGATTTGTATTTAAGCTTAAGGAACTTTTTTTTCATTTCTAAAGGTCAATTACCCTACAAATAGATTCTCACACTAGAGGAAAAATTTCAGATTTAATAGACATAATCTTCAATAGAGTTCTACTTCTATCTTGAAAGATTTATAGTTAAAGTCAACAAAATTATACACTGGGGAAATAACATCCTATTCAATAAATAGTGCTGGGAAAATTGCAGCCATATGCAGAAGAATAAAAGTGGACTCATAACTTTCACCATATACAAAAATTAACTCAAGATGGATTAAAGACCTAAATGTGAGACCTTAAACTACAAAAACTCTTGAAGAAAAACTAGGAAACTCTTCTGGACATTGGCCTGGGCAAAGAATTTATGATCAAGTCTTCATAAGAAAATGCAACAAAAAGAAAAATAGTTTAATAGACTTAATTAAACTATAAAGCTTCTGCACAGCAAATGAAACAATCAACAGAGTGAACAGACAACCTAAAGAATGTTAAGAAATATTTGCAAACTACGTATTTGACAAAGAGCTAACATCCTGAATCTATAAGGAACTGAAACAACTCAACAGGAAAAAACCTAATAACCTCATTAAAAAGTGGGCAAAGGACATGAACAGACATTTTTCAAAATAAGATATACAAGTGGCCAACAAACATAATAAAATGCTCAACATCACTAATCATCAGAGAAGTGGAAATTATAACCACAATGAGATATCATCTTATACATGTCATAATGACTATTATTAAAAGGTCAAAAAACAACAAATGTCGATAAGGACCTGGAGAAAGGGGAATGCTTATATACTATTGCTAGGAATGTAAATTAGTTCAACCTTTATGAAAAACAGTACGGCGATTTCTCAAAAAACTAAAAATAGAACTACCATGACCCAGCAATCCTATTCCTGGGTATATGGCTACTGGGCAAGAAATCATTATATCAAAAGATAGCTGAACTCATATGTTTATCACAGCACTATTCACAACAGCAAAGATACGGAATCAACCTAAGTATCCATAATGGTGGGCATAAAAATATACCACATTAATAAAATGTGTGTATAAACATATATATATACACACACACACACATATATATATATATATAATGTAATAGAACTCAGCCATAAAAATTAATGAACTCATGTCTTTTGTAGCAGCATGGATGGAACTGGAGGCCAATATCCTAAGTTAAATAATTCGGAAATAGAAAGTCAAATACTGCATGTTCTCAGTTGTAAGTGAAAGCTAAACAATGGGTCACATGGACATATAGAGTGAAATAAGACATCAGAGACTACAAAAACTGGGAGGGTGGGAAGGGAGTAAGGCTGAAAAATCACTTATTGGGTACAATGTTCACTATTGGGGTGATTAGTACACTATAAGTCCAGACTTCACCACTATGCAATATATGCATGTAAGAAACCTGAACTTTTTATAAAAAATAAATAACCTGAACTATTTATAAAAATACATGAAAATTTAAAGTGATTCATAGTCAAATGTTAACTGAAAAGGAAAATATTTTGAAACTTGACTGCCATAGGCCAATACGGAAAAGGTGAACACTTTCAACCTATGTATACATGTAGAAAATGGAACATTTGATATTCAAGAAAACGTGATTTTGGAAACACAATTTGTGGAAGCACAGCAATATCTCAAATGAACCATATAATTATCAGCAGTGATGGGATCAGGATTTTTCCCCCGTTTTATAGTTAGATTTCACATTTGTACATGAGAATCTAAAATTGATTTTTTCTATTTAAAAGCATTAACATTATAAAATGGTTCTCAATTTAAATGTTATTCAATTTTCAGAATAAAATGAAATACTGAAAAATTTATTGGTAAGCTATGACCATTTTAACTTTATATTCCCCAAACACCAAATTTCTTTAATTTTGTTGTTATTGAAACCATGACAAAGGCAAAATATTTAACACACCAAGATGTTCCTTCATGGAAGATCTTCATTTGAAAAGTCACTTACCAGCAGATATGCTTACAAAGTTCCCCTCCTTTCGGAAATGTGGAACAGTTACAAACGTGAGGATTTCCTAGAAAAACCTTTAAAGGAAAAATGCATACTTAAAAAGACCAGTAAAATTTGAGAGTTAGAGCAAAACTGAGTTAATAAAAGAGATTTGAAGAGGTAATTTAGTTTAGGTGATTCAAAAAGGTTGAATAGATTCTACTGGAGAATCTTAATTCTTGATACTAGTCTCTAGGCTTCATTATTTATCTTTGTTAGCAAATTAACAAATTAGGATGGTTTTAAAGTGACCTGCCCTTAGGCAGGTGAAAATAAATCTAATTCCCAAAGTCAGAGAAGAAAAAAAGCAAATATCAACCCATAAATTCCTCACAGTAAGGAAATTCTACTTTGGGGTGGAGCTAAGCACCTTTTGTAAGGTAGCTCATTTTGGATTTTTGTTTGGTGCATTTGAGTCGGTGAATTTATTTAATTTTATTCAAGAGGACAAAATTTATTCACCAAGACTAGTTTGGCTAAAACTATTAAATACAGTAAGTATTGAAGCAACAAAGTAAAAAAAGATGCTTTAAATAAGCACAGACTAGTAAATTGCATTCAATTCTTAAACTTCACGGCACTAACGTAAAATTTTGTAAGTCAACTCCTAGGAGGTAGTGCAGTGGCTAATTTTTGAGTGGTTAAGGATGGGATATGCAATTATGAAATATCTGTGGTCTTTCAGTAAACTTGAATTTTTATTCATTAATATCTTTCCAAGGTATTGCCATTTAAACCATCCTTTAATAGGGCCTTCATACAGTTTCAGAGTGAGCAAAGAGTAAAGGGAAACCTATTTATTTATTTAGAAAATATTTACAGTATGCTAGCAGATTGTAGAATTTTCATTTCGTTTGATTTACAGGACTAAGGACCACTAACAACAGATCCAAGAACACATGTAATGCCAACCAGGTATTCATACGCCTCTGACATTTTCAAGCCTAAAGATCAAGAGCCATCATCTTTTACAAGAGTTGCAGTTTGGTCTTAACCTCCAAAAAAGAAACTTCTAATAAATACTATTTCCTTCTGTAATTTCACGTATTTTAGAGTCTGGAACACTCGTGGGAAGGCGCTTTCGGGGGTGAGGCAGCAAGTATCCGCAGAGATTGTGATGGTGGCTACGCACATTGGGTATGCCAGTGGGGGAACCTGGTGGGCGGGGATGATGGCCAACTGGGGGCGGTAGGGGCGGTAGTTACTCGGAAATCCATGTATTCCGGCTCCTCCTCCCTCAGCAGGAAGCCAGTGGGGCCCATCTCTCGTAGGAGGTAGATGCTGCTACTCAGCGCCTGGTCTTGGTGCCAGCTGAGCCTCTCGCTCAAGTGTCTTCGCCTTTCAGAGGCCTTATAGCCTCGGCGAAGCATGCTGGGTGCGGGCGGAGGCGGCCCCTCTGCTCGGCTCACTGAGGCGCCAGCCGGTCTCCAAGACGACGGCGTGCAGGCTGGTTGCCTTGGTGACGGTGGTTGGGCTCGGGGTGTCCCGGTGTGCCCTGCGCCGAAGAAGAGCGGGCGACAAAGGTGCGGGATGGCATGGATTCTGCAACTCTCCCCAGCCTCCACTGCGTTTCGAAGCGACGCCCTTGACTGAGGAGTGTTTTTAATAATCATCTGGCCGACTTGGAAGCTGGAGGCCGAAGGCATAGCTGTCAATTTTCTTGCGTTCCTTCTGCTTCCTCGGGGCAGAGATGGTGAAATCTACTTGTTAGGACAGTTGCAAACCCGATTGCAGTCTGGGCTCTGGATGCTGAAATTATCCTGTGATGATTCATCATCTTTAACAGAAAGCCGAGGTTACAGAGCCCAGAGTGATTTTTGACGTTCCACAATATTCCACGAACATTTTCTGATTGCTCACTATATGCATAGATTGACTGAGTCTCTGGGGGAAAGATGTAGAAGACAGGAGTTCTAAACCCTAGGAAGTGCATCACCGGTAGTGGCGCCGGCTGTAGTCCCAGCTACTTGGGAGGAAACCAGATCCTTAAGTCATTTCTCTCTGCCTCTCTCTCTCTCTCTCTCTCTCTCTCTCTCTCTCTCTGTGTGTGTGTGTGTGTGTGTGTGTGTTGGAGGGGAAATGGTCTTCCAAGTGAGGGAACATTTTTTAATTGCATGTTTGGGTAGGGGTGGGTGTTGGGGATGGTACAGCCAGAATGGTGGATGGTGGTACGTCCTGAATGGTGGCACAGAATCCATTGACTATGGGTACATGAAACTTACAAATCTGTATACTAAGGAATAAGAGTTTCAAGGTATGCAATGTTTGTACCTCCAATAATTTAAATTGTCTCTGAGGTTTGTTTACCACATTTTAGGGGGAAAACTGTAATAAAGTATGGGTCAACATTTTGAGTCATAATTACTGAAAAAAGAAGCCACATTACTAGAATCTCTATAGGAAATTAAAAGCAGGAGATAGCACTACTTGGAGGTCCAGTAACCTTTGCCTTGGTGGCCAAAGATAGAGCATATTTGTCCTATTTTATCATGGGCAGAAATCATAACTAGATTATGTCAACAGCAGGAGAGTTCTCAGAAAATGGCAAGGGCAAAAGATGAAAGAAGATGATGGTAATGGCAGCTTTCACAGGTGAGACACCTGGATAAACATCATCCAACCCTTAAAGTCTTAGGTCTAAGGTCTAAGGTTTTAATTTACTAAATTTTATTTTTATTCTCCTATTCTGACTAATAACAACTCACATTCATACTACCATACTCCCAACTTTAGAATCAATTTAATGGTACTAGATGTTAAAGAAATACATTATAACATTAGAAAAAAACTCACATATCAAGAGCAAAAGAAATTATAAATTGGATTAAATTATTTTACATATTGATATGTATAATTTTAAAAACTCAATAAATTAATGACTCCATATTTGCTATATAATATGATGAGTTGGGCTTCAGAGTGAGGACATTTTATTCAACCATCAATTTTTTTTCTCTCTCTCTTTATATACATGTGTGTACATATAAAATAAAGTTATAAAATTTTTAAAAGCAAACAGCAAAAATTGTTAAAGCTGTTGTGTTTTAGTTATAGCTAGTGATACTTGTTTACTTGCTCCATGTATAAGTGATAAACATTTTCAAAGGGTCGCATGTTTAAGACACAATAGTCATTATATCAATGGAATATAGGTTCATAAATTCCATTTTGGGGGATGGTAAAAATAATGGTGTTTATGCTTTCATAGAAGTTAAAAAGTGAAAGCACAGATTGCTAGACAGAACTTCATTCTATTTGTAAGATATTTGTTTTGATATCTGTCAGTTATGACTTTAAAAACATTTTTATAGTCAGGTGACTATCCCATATGTTTGCTTCATCTCTTAAGAGTGTGTGATAGGGGTAATATTTTGAAAATATTAAATTGGAGAATTAAATATCCTCCTTCAGGTATATTTTGTGGCATATTTCCCCATGTGAGAGGGAGGTGATTACTGCAAAAAACAAAGCTGTGGGCTGGGTGCGGTGGCTCATGCCTGTAATCCCAGCATTTTGGGAGGTCAAGGCTGGGGGAATTGCTTGAGCTCAGGAGTTTGAGACCAGTCTGGGCCACATGGCAAAACCCTGTCTCTACAAAAAATACAAAAATTAGCTGGGCGTAGTGATGCGTGGCTGTAGTCCCAGCTACTTGGGAGGCTGAGGTGTGAGGATCACTTGAGCCTGAGAGGTGGAGGTTGCAGTGAGCAGAGATTGTGCTGCTGCACTCCAGCCTGTGTGACAGAGTAAGACCCTGTCTCAAAAAAAAAAAAAAAAAAAAAAAGATGCTTGAGTTTCATGGATCAATAAACCTGAGTTTCTTGGATTAATTTTTAGCCTCTTTAGCAATACAATTGTCATGAAAGACAGGTATTAAAAAGTTATGATGGCTCCCGTTAAGACAGAAAAAACTGAACCTAGAGTATTAGACCTTGGAATTATATGGAAAAGAATGCTCTAGGAAGTAGGAAGAAGAGTGATGGAAGTCACTAGAAGAAGTCAGCTTGCCAGTCTCCAAATGGGCATGTGTGAGTTGGGTTGAGGGCGGAATATATGGAGTGATGGATTGAAACATTGAGATGAGTTTAAGATGACTGAATACCTGGAGCAGGTGTGTGTGTATAGCATACTTCTGTAATGGTGTTAGAGAGTTGCAGGCTACTAGGAAACTTCAGCTTTTTGCCATGTCTAACACATGGCAAGCAATATTCAGAGGTGCCTGTGGAAGACAGGTAAATGATCTGGTTCTCAAGGATTAAAAACATGAAATGGATACAAGAGTTTGTGTTTATTTCTAGAGATCAGGCACAAAAGAAAGGCAGAATACTGGTATCTGACAAAGAAGATACAGAATTAATTGACTTCAAGACTGGAAGCAAATAGAACTAAGGATTCCAGAGGGAGGCACCAGCACAACCACCTTAAAAAAAGTCAAAACTCGCAACTCATTGTTCACTAACAAGGAACAATTCAGACTGCCCATATTGCAGAAGTGACCAGCAAGAGTCTAGGGGACACTGTGTAAATTTAAGGTCATCAGCTTTTGTTATCAGACACGTGTTTACAGAGCTTTTATTTCCTCATACACTCATGTATCTTTTTGAGATGAAATAGGGAATGAGTGGAAATCTAAAATTCTAGGCATTTTATCCTTAATAGTGATTATGATGGTCTTAACATTCCACTTAGCTTGACTAAACTTTAGACAGATTTTTTCCTGACTGTAGATTCTTGACCTCCCTTTTCTTAGAGTATTTACTTCGGAAAACTTGGAATTATAAATTCTTTCTCTACCCCTTTAAGATGTAAATATTCTTGCAG
The DNA here is from genome assembly GCF_000001405.40 of Homo sapiens. Taxonomy (NCBI): domain Eukaryota; kingdom Metazoa; phylum Chordata; class Mammalia; order Primates; family Hominidae; genus Homo; species Homo sapiens. The sequence goes on from NC_000002.12 coordinate 186,852,579, forward strand.
CCTCTTGTAGATGTGACAACTAGTCATGTCTTTCTCAAGGACCTGGGAGGCATTCTTTGAAATAGAATCAACAATAAAAATAGTGCTCTCGTATCCTAGTCTTTGCAGCAGCATAGAAGCCTAATTTAGATAAGTGCCAATTAGCAAATACAGGTGGCTTAGTCACATTGGCCAACCTTCACCCTAAAGTCCTCCAGTACTTTTCCACTAGTTTACCTCCAGGTGCAGGAAACCACCATGGCACGTGTGAATCTATGTAACAAAACTACACGTTCTGCACATGTACTCCAGAACGTAAAGTATAATAATAATAAAAAATATAAAAACTGCCACCTTTTGTTTCAGTAGTCATGTTTAATCTCACTCCCATATTGCAGTAGACTTTAATAAAGTCTTCCTTGCTTGTTTAACTCCATCCAATGCAGTTTTTCTTTGACAGTGAACACCATTTATCTAAAAGACTATTTGGTAATTAAGTCAGGCTAAATTATATTTTGCTGAGTTTTTTTCTTGTGAACAAAGAAAGTGAAGTCTATCAAAAGCAACTGGACCATTTATAGAGAAAATATTTTAAACTTTTTGCACATAAAAGTGTAATATGAATAAATATATAACCCACTATGAGTGTGACTGGGACTTTAAGATGCCAGAATAAGTAGATAATGTTAGTTTCTCCCCCATTGACTAGCCTAAAAAAAGTCAGGTTTCAACCTCTGACAATGAAGAGAACTAAAGAGGGCTGAGGTAGGCAGAATTTTCAGAATGACCCCAGTGACCCCAATGACCCTTACCCTTGTATAATTTCTTCCTCTGTGAATATGTAGTGTTATGTGACAAAAGAGATTTTGCAGGTATAATTGTGGTTACTAATCATTTGATTTTGAGTTAATTAAAAGGGAGATAACTATGGTTGGCCTCATCTTATCTCATAAACTCTTTAAAGGCAGTTTTCTCTGGCTGGTGACAGAAGGAGAAGTCAGAATGGAAGCAATTTTTTTTTTTTTTTGGCCAGCTTTGAAGATGGAAGGGGCCATGTGACAAGGAATTCTGTGGCCTCTGGAAGAAGAAAGTGGCCTCTGGCTGACCACCAGCAAGGAAATGGAGTCCTTAGACCTTGAGCAGCAAAGGACTGGATTTTTGGCAGCAACTTGAATGGGCTTGAAAGCAGATTCTTCTGCAGAGCTTCCAGAGAAGAGCACAGTCTGGATAACACATTGATTTCAACCTTGTGAGACAGTGAGCAGAGAGCCTAGCTGAGACTGCCTGTACTTCTGACCTATATATCTGTAAACTGGTAAATGGATATTGTTTTAAGTCACTAAATTTGTGATAATTTCTTTTGCAGCAATAGAAAAAGAATATGGGGCCACTGGCAAATTAACAGTTTCAACAACCTACTAGAAGAACAAATATGGGTGGAAGAATGCTGACTGATGAAATGAGGAGTAATTGATGGCAAGAACATGGAACAGATTACTTCTCATCTGCCAGCATTGGGTTGGACAATAGAATCACTTTAGCTAGTTTTACTTACAAAGGAATTTACTATAGGATATATGTTAGCTTGTAGGCTGACTAGAAGGGCCCAGAATCAAGCTTTAATTCCACCCTAAAGTGAGGCATTCAGGAAACTTGTTCACTTATACCATGAGATTTTTCCAGTGGAAATTCCTCTGAGTCATTCAAAAAGCTAGGGACTAAACATTGTACCTTTATTCTCATTGTTGCAGTGAAAACAAAGGACTTCATAACTGTGATTGCTAGTTGGGCTGCGTGGTCTCAAGAACTTTATTATTGCCTTTTAAGTCCTGGCAGAAGACAGTCAAGTATTTATAATCTAAAAGTTAAAAAAATCTGGAGAACATAGAAAGGTGGTAGAAAAAAATTGGAGAGTTACCAAAATGGATAAGGGGGCAGGAGAATTCAAACAATTTGACAAGCCGAAAGACCAAGATATTAAAAAGACAATCAGAATAAGAAGGGTTTTTTTGTTGTTCTAGAAATGATTTTTTAATTAAGAAACTCAACAGAAATTTTGAAAGATAAAGTCAATTATCTAGATGTAGAGCAAAAAGAAAAAAGATGGAAAATATTAAAAAGAAAGAAAGAGGGCTAAGCTAAAATGTACAAATTTAGACCATTATGATTTTCAAAAGGCAGAGTGAAGGGAAGGAAATTATCAAAGATGATAATAGAAAAAATTTCCTAGGATAATTGGGAGAACTATATCTTCAAATAAAAAGGGCTTGTCAAATGCTGAGCAGTACAAATGGATAATGATTCATACCTAGATATGTGGCTGAGAAATTTTGAAATGTTGAAAATAAAGAGAAAAACCTAGCCATTTACAAAATGAAAAAAAGATACAAATGGGCAAAAACAAGATAAGAATTAGAGTCTTTATTTGCATCAGGGATCCTAAATGACTTGGAAAAGTTCTGAGGGAAAATGATACTGACACTAGAATTTTATGTCTAGCTATGTTATCAAACAAATGTAAGGACAAAATCAAGTCATTTTCAGACATATAGGATTCAGAAAGCTTATCCCCCATTCATGAATAATGAGTAAAGCACAGGGATATATGTGAGAAAAACCAGGAATGTATAATTTTATGTTTAAATGGTTCTTATTATCACCAGCTCTTCTTTTTATATCATAGCTTCTCCATTCTCTTTATTTAGCAGATTCATCTCTTGGTTGGTTTGAATGACTTCTTGAATAATTTTTTGCGGAGAAAGCATGAGCAGTATACTTTTTGTCTTGAATAACCTAAATTATTTAAAATTGCTTTCACACGTAAATGACCATTTGGCTGGTTATGCAATACTTGGATTAAAATCTTTCTCCTACAACTGTAAAGATATTGCTATATTTTTGCAAGTGAACCATAATATATAGGGTATAAATCTGACACCGGCCAAATTTTTTAACCTTTATGTATTGATAGCATGTTTCTTCCTGGAAGATTTTAAATTCGTCGTTTTTAAGACTTCAACCAAGATAATTTCATAAGTTGTGTTTCACTGATTTTTTCTGCTATGTCATCAACTGACTTTTTTATTCTGTGACGTTATTGATTATTGCTTCTGTTCTATTGCTTCAGATTCTTTTTAAGGAACCCAAATTATCTTGTACTTTGTTCCTATTTTATTTGCTTGTTTTTAGTTAGTCTTATCTATTGTTTTATTCTTCCTCATTTTTTTTCTCAATCTTCTGCTTTCTGGGAGAGCTTTTCATGTTTTTCCTCTTTATCCTGATGCATTGAAAATTATGTCATTTGCATATTTATTTTAGAACACTAAAAATTATCGTTCTTTTGCTATCTTTGCCTGTCGCTCATGCAGTTTTAAAAAATCTCAGCCACTTGTTTAATTGCAGATAGTTATTATATAACATTTTTAACTTTTTTATAGAGGCTATGTTTTAGCTAATTTTACTAATCATATAAAACAGATGTTATTAAATATAATATCTTTTTAAAAAGCACATGCTTTCTCTACCTCTTGAGTGGTATGCCTTTTTGTTATTGTTACAGAATTTTTCCTAGTTGCATTTTTCTTTTTATTCATTTTTAATAGGGTTAATTCCTTCCAAGTTTGGTATTTGCCCCTAAAAGAGGACAGATGGAGTCTTCTCGTTTTGCCTCAGTTTCTACTTGGGATTATCAGAATCCTCTTGTAGCATTTTAGACATGCGGAATTGTTCGTAGTTCAGTGATCTGGGAATAGGAAGAAGCTAGGACTGTGGTCAATACCACTTGGGGAACTTGTCTCTGTGAGGTTTCTTCTTGTATTTTGTGAAACAATTTTTTCAGCGGTTTTACCCACTGTGGTCCAAGCTCCTTTCTAAATCTGTTGCCCACAGCATCAAAAAGACGTCTGATGTTAAAGGGCAAAACTCCTTACTAATGACACTAGTATTTTATTTTGTGTGGCTTTCTTTATCTTTAGGTTCTTGAAGTCATCTTGCTGTCCCTGTTGCTACTACATTTCACATAGTCAGGGTTCAAGTCATTGTTTTTTGTAGACAAGCTCCTTGATTACTAGCACAGTCTACATCAGGGGTGTCCAATCCTTTGGTTTTCCTGGGCCATATTTGAAGAAGAGCTGTCTTGGGTCACACGTGAAATACGCTAACACTAATGATAGCTGATGAGCTAAAAATATTGCAATAAAAACCTGATAATATTTTAAGAAAGTTTATGAATTTGTGTTAGGTTTCATTCAAAGCCCACCTGGGCTGCATGTGGCCCATAGGCCATGGGTTGGACATGCTTGGATGGTGTATCTTCCTGGTTCCTCTTGCACAATTCTCTTCAAATAATAAATAATGCAGATCAGTGTTCCAGGTTTTCTTCTATACTTTGCATGTAGTTCATCTTTATGTCATAAAGAAGTCAAGTAGGGTCAGATGCTTTGTTTTAGCTGCCAACTGGATTCTGGGAACTACTTTTTTTTTTTTTTTTTAATTGAGACAGGGGTCTCACTGTGTCACCCAGGCTAGAGTGCAGTGGCACCATCTTGGCTTACTGCAACCTCTGACTCCTGGACTCAAGAGATCTTCCCACCTCAGCCTCTTGAGTAGCTGGGACCACAGGCCCACATCACCACACCTGGCTAATTTTTTTGTATTTCTTAGGTGGAGATGGGATTTTGCCATGTTACCCAGGCTAGTCTGGAACTCCTGAGCTCAAATGACCTCCCAACCTTGACCTCCCAAAATGCTGGGATTACAGGCATAAGCCACAGCACCTGGCTTGGGCACTATATTTTATGAGGGGTTCTTAGAACATTTAAAAGGGCATGCGTTTTAAAAAGGCATACATATGAAAGAATACAATTTTGATCTATGTCATTCAAGAGGGCTTGATGTTTTAGAGAGACAGACTTTGGCTCATTGTAAAAAGGAACTTTCGAACAATTTCAGCTTTCCAAAAATGAACTGGCTCTCTCACGCTGCTTGGAGATTCCTATCACAGAAAACATTTCATGGCATTCTGAATGCCAATATTCAGGATTACTGTGGAAGGTTTTCTTGCCCAGATGGGAAAGTGTCCTAAATATCCTATCTAAAAGACATTTCAGCTTTAAGAGTCTATGATTATTTTGTTTTAAGTTATATGACAAAGCTTTAAATGTTGTTTTGTTGTTTTAAAGCTTAAGCTAGTTGCCTCTCATTGTTTACTTCCCATAGAAACTGTGTCTAATTTGAAATTTATACACGTTTCAGTAGTATTCATGAATCTTTTCTATAATATAAAAATGCAATATTATCTTAGTTACCATACTAAAAGAAAATCAATGTGAACGCATTTTGAGAGTTTTCTAAACATATACACAACTTTCAAAATTCAATGTGTAAATGTTAAGTATCTTATTCATTGGAGGATCTTTCTTGTGGAACTCTTGGGCCTTAATGTCACCAGTGTAAATATTTGATGTTAGGGTCTATGTAAATAAAAAACAAATTAATATTCAATAAAATTGTGTATTTTTGTCTTAATTGTTTAATCATTATCTTGGAAAATACATCCAGTCTATTTCTTCTCTTTACCATCCAGATGGTGATTTTTCTGATATTATATTGGCATTATTCTCAACTGCAAAGCTGATCTATAATTAAAATATATTATTGAGTATTGCCTTTGTAACAAATGACAACACCTGCAATTCTCAGAGAAGAGCCAAAAGAATATGATTATAAATAGAAAAATATGACATTCCTTAAGCAAAAGGAATGGAAGTGTGTGTGTGTGTGTGAGTGTATGTGTGTGTGTGTGTGTTTGTGTTCAGAGTCAGCAAGAATACATCGTACTTTGACACGGGAGAAATATTTTTTTTTTGAAAAACTAATTTCAACTTCTAATTTAGATGTCGGTGGTACATATGCAGGTTTATTATATGGGTATATTGCATGACACTAAGGTTTGGAGTAGAAATAATTCTGTCACCCAGGCAGAGAGCGTAGTACTTAATAGGTAGGTTTTCAGTCCTCCCCACTTACTCTGTCTCCTCCCTCCAGTATTCTCCAGTTTCGATTGTTCTCATCTTTAAATATCTATAAGTGGCCAATGTTTAGCTTCCACTAATAAGTGAGAATATGTGGTGTTTGGTTTTCTGTTCCTGTGCTCATTTGCTTAGGGTGATGGCCTCCAGGTGCATCCATGTTGCTGCAAAGGATATAATTTGATTCTTTTTCATGTCTGCATGGTATTCCACTGTGTATATATACTACATTTTCTTTGTCCAATCCACCATTGATGGGCACCTAGGTTGATTCCATGTATTTCCTATTGTGAATAGTGCTGCAATGCACATATAAGTGTGTGTGTCTTTTTTGTAGAATAATTTATTTTTCTTTGCATATATACCCTGTAATGGGATTGCTGGGTCAAATGGTAGTTTTGTTTTTAGTTCTCTGAGAAGTCTCCCTGGGAGAAATCTTAAAGTGACATGATGCCTCAGAGCAAATATCCATGTGAATATTATCCCATCTTTTGATTTCCAAAAATTATTTCCTGAGCTCCACTGATGTGGTTCTACATTGGTCTGTGCAATGTTGGCATAAGTAAGACAAAGAAAAAAAAGAGGGCTCTACTGAACACCTATGCTTATCTCTCGGTAACTCGCTCCTTCTCGAATCTCTGGTACATAGGAGGTAGCATGCATCATTTTACCTCTATTTACAGGTACTTGGACCAAGAGTGGACACTATATTTAATGAGAGTTCACAGACTAGTCTGACTTCAGTGGCCTGGCTCACAAAGATGGTCTAGGCTTCCTTTGTTAGAAACGGAGTTAAGATTTGAGGAGAAGGGTTGTTTTCTTTTCTGGCAGGGGGTGTTGTCATGGGGGTATAGTAATAAGCAGATTTATGAAGTGCTGCATGGTCACACTAATGACAAAGCACTAAAGTAAAGCTTTTTGGACTCCTGCTGCCAAAGTCACCAGAGCTACCATGAATATATGACGCTCTCTAGTCCTAACCTCACTGAAGTTTATTTCTATTGTAGTCCCTCCTTCCAGATTATTGTGTGATTTCTTAGTTATTTACTACTATAAACCTGCTTGTTTGAACTAGTTCAAGTGAGTCTCTGTTTTTTTGTGACCAAATGAGTAACAAAAATGATTCTCTGCATTAATTTAATGGTTGTAGAGATGTAAAAGAAAGAATGGGTTTAAGGTGTAGAATCAAAATACCTTAGAAATCCAAAAGACATGGATGATAGGGAGAAGGAAGAGTCAGAGATGAGTCCCAAACCCTTGCCAATAGGTAACACAGAAGACAGAACAGGGATTGAAAGAAACATATTGAAGTCCAGGTTAGACATGTTAAGACTGTGGTGCCTGTGATTTTTTGTTATTGTTGTTTTTTGGTTTTTTTTTTTTGAGACAGGGTCTTGCTCTGTCACCAGGCTGGAGTGCAGTGGCATGATCTCGGCTCACTGCAACCTCCATCTCCCAGGTTCAAGTGATTCACCTGCCTCAGCTTCCCGCATAGCTGGGACTACAGGCGCACACCACCACGATCAGCTAATATTTTTTGTATTTTAGTAGAGACAGGGCTTCACCATGTTGGCCAGGATGGTCTCAATCTCCTGACCTCGTGATCAGTCCTCCTTGGCCTCCCAAAGTGCTGGGATTACAGGCATGAGCTACTGTGCTAGGCCAACTGTGAGATTTTTAATGGAGATGCATATTAAAAAGTTGGATATGTAAGTGTGGACTCACTTTCATGTGCTACTCTTTTTTTTTTTTTTCCAGGAAAGAAGGCTTAGTTGATATAAAAATCTTACATTCAATTATTTATGATTAAGGATTTTGACAATTGAAGGTTTAACTGGTAAATTGACATAGACTGCATCAAACTAATATAACATCATGCTATTAATGAGGTTTCATTCCTTTAAAATAACCTCGTTTTGGAGGCACAAATTTTGAAGAATTAGTCATGAATTTATGATGTCTCCAAGGTAATTTAGGTGTGGAAGTGCACAGCTAGACTCTCTAAATATCATCTTTGGTTCTATTGCATTGGAACACTTATAAACCAATATCTTTAGTGTATTTTGGCTTTCCTCTCAGTGACCCAAGTGGCAAAAAGATCTATTAGCTAAATAAGCACACAAGGTTGCTTCTTGGTAAATTAAACATATGAATCTAAATAATGTATTTTCCAAAACCCCACTGAAGCTATAGTAAAGGAATATTATGAAAGACATGAACCCACAAGTCAAAAGGAATCAGAGTGGAGACAACAGCAACATAATTTTGGAAAATGAAATGATGGATAAGTGGTAGGCATTATAGCAAACTTATGAAAACTCTATACTAAACTTGTGTTGCAAAAGGTAAGAACCAGTTCAATTTACTTTGAAGAATTTTAAAAGAGCCAAGGATTTATGTGATTAGCTACCTTTGGCAGTTGGAGGGTCCAGTGGGATGTATTTTATAAAAAGGAAAACTAATTGAAAGCTGCTTAGGAAGGAGTTACATTCCTGGTTCTCCTTTCTCAGTCTGAAAATTTAGGTAATTGCCTCCATCCAAGTAAATCAGCAGAGATTTGTTCTCTGGAGGAGGTCAAACAAAAGGGCATTGAGGGATACCAAGCATAATTAGTGATATCTTACCAAAAAAGTGGTATTAAGTTAACATGCATACTGGAGGCTGAATCCCACCCCCTCCTTACTCTACCCTATAACTAGATTACTGGTTATCAGAAATTTGCCTTCCAAGAAGAAAATAGTAAGAGTCTTCTCTAGAGAATCTGATGAAAATGTAAATATTAATTAGAGGGGCTCCCTGATGGCATGGTCCAGCCAGATTACCTGCAGTGATGTTTACAGTCAGAAAGCCCCTCCTGCCCACTCAGTGTTTCAAACTGGGGTTTTTCATCACCGACTCTAAAATATGAGCTGACAATCAAGGCTTATAAATCTAAGGGTGACCTTTAACATAAAAGATGCAGATCAAATAGCTAAAAGTAAAAAACTATGAGGTCGAAACGGAGATTCTGCAGAGAGAAAATCATAAAAATTTGCATAATATTTTTAGAGAGATGTCTATAGAAACAAAGGAACAGAATGCTATAATAAAGACATATTAAGATAATAAAAATGAGATTTTAGTAATTTAAATTATTACAAAGAAAAGATAATTGTAAGAGCTGAGAAAGTTCCCTCCCAAATAATCAAACAATAACAAAAAAAGACAACAAAAACTAATTCACCATCACCATCACCGTCAACAACAAAAAACAGAATAAGAATTCAAGTGAGGAAATATTGGAAGAGAGCACAACAGTTTCACTACCCAATTAACAGAAATTCCGGAAAGAGACCAGATAAAAGAAATGGGAAGAAAATTTCAAAAATAATTTTACAACATTTCCTGGAACTGATTCGAGGGCTCCTCAAGTATAACACATTTGCTGAGTACGGATGTATAGGTTGGGCATGGAACCACTCCAAGGAAGCACTGTGTATGCATAAGCGAAGTCATGCAGTTCACACCTACAGGTGGTGGCTCTGCGTCCTACCAAGACCGATGGACATGAAATTTCATAATTCTGGGGAATGACAGAAGATCCTACACTCTGTGGGGGGTGTGTGTGTGTGTGTGTGTGTGTGTGTGTGTGTGTGTATGAGAGAGAGAGAGAGAAAGGAAGATAGGGAGAGAGGGAGAGAATGAGAGAGATGAAAGAAGTGGGAGGGAGAGAGAGAGGAGGGAAGGAGAGGGAGGGAGAGAGGAAGGAAAGGGGAGAAAGAGAGAGAAACTAAAGGATCTAGAATCAGAATTGATTTTTACTTCTCATCAACAGCAGTGAAACCATGAGACAAAGAGTAATGCCTTCAAAATTCTAAGGAAAAGTAATTTCTAACTTAGAGTTCTATACCTAGCCAAGTACTATACTTACAACCTAGGTGACAAAATTATCTGTATACCAAACCCTTATGACATGCAGTTTACCTATATAACAAACATGTATATGTACCCTTGAAACTGAAAAAAAGCAAAAGCATAATAAAACAAATCTTACATGTTTGAAAATGTTTCTTATCTGCATAATGGTAAGTTTGGGGAAGGGGAAATGGGATGTAGAGAAGAGAGGACCATTTTTGTCTCAACAAACACTGATTATTTTAGCTACATTTAAAAAACCAAATTTGATTAAAACAAAAATGAAGAAAAAGCTACTGATTACTTTTAAAAACCAAATTTTTATGGAATTTGGTGAGGTATTATTTGAAAACCAACAGCATCTGCTTTCAATCATTTCAAGCAATTTTTCACTAAATTGGCACCAAGGCCATCTTGCCTTTTGGCATGTTTATGATATGTATATCATGTGAGTCTGTGTGTATGTGTGTATTATTTATTCTACAGCTTAAGGGTGAAAAGCTTAAAAATGGATTTCTTGGAAGCATTGGGATCCTATTTTTATTCCACTAGGTGTCAGCATAGTACCGTGAACCTGAATGCTATTGGGTTAGCAATCATTAAATCATTGCTTGTTCATAAACATGTTTTTATTTATCTTTCCAAAAATGATGATGTGAAATTTAGATTTAATAATGTAATCATCTTCTGCATTGTAATCATTATTCTCTACTCAAATGTTCCTTTTCCCCCTACCTATTCAGATTAGTATGAGCTGCTTAAATTAGTTAACCTTTGGTGCTAATATACATCAGGGAATAGAAAAAGAAAACAACTACTGACAGAAATGACAGCAATGAATGTGTTTCCTGCATCTGAACTTTGGATTTTCAGTCAGTGTTTTTTTTTTTTTTTAGTAGGTTAAGAGAGACATTTGGCTGACTGGGAAGATCAAAAGTATAACATTTCCACCATCTGTTATCTAGTTTATAAATATGCTTTAAAGGATATGAGCAATAATTGACTAGTTTAGTGCCATGGCAACTGATAAGTGTTCTTGTTAAGAGGACGTGTTGGGTAATTATTGTTAGATATTTTTAACTTATTTATTCCCCCTCTGACTAATCACTGTAGCATCATTGGCTTTGGCTTTGTATTGACTTGACCTTGACTCATCTCAACATCAGCCATACATATACCTATATGTGTATATGTGGATGTATATATATACACACACATATATAAACTCACATAGACACACATATAAATGTCAACAAATACAAGGAGCATGTCTATCTTTATTTTCTGTTTATTATAATTAGAAAAGTGGCTGAAACGTAATAGGTATGCGATAAATATTTGTTAGACGAATTATTTAAAGACAATTTGATAATATATATGTGTAAGAGATTTAATTATTAAGACTTGGTCACTTATGGATGCAGATAATTAGGAAATGAGAAAGTCCCTTGGGGTTTCTAATTTAGAAGTCTTGGTGGTGGCATTCATAACTACGTGGGACTCCAGGAAGAGTTGTAAGTTCAGCAGGATAGATAATGAGTTCAGATTCTGCCATTTTGAGGCAGTGGAGTGGACAGCAAACTGAAGCTGTCTGATAGGCATTGGCTATAAAGCTCATACATTTTGTAAAAATATTTGAGCGGGAGATACAGTAATTATCATGATGTAGAATGGGTCAGAGAGTAGATAAGTTTACCCAGGCAGGGTTTGTTCAATGAGGAGAGAAAAAGGCCAAGGGCAGAAACCTTGCAGAATAACATTTTAGGAATAGTGTACAATGAAAGGGAATCCTGAAAAAGAAGCTGGAAAGGAAAGAATAAAGTGTTAAGCATAAAAAGTAGTGAATTTTGGACGGGCGCAGTGACTCATACCTGTAATCCCAGCACTTTGGGAGGCTGAGGCAGGCAGATCATGAGGTCAAGAGATGGAGACCATCCTGGCCAACATGGTGAAACCCCGTCTCTACTAAAAATACAAAAATTAGCTGAGTGTGGTGGCACGTCCTGTAGTTCCAGCTACTTGGGAGGCTGAGGCAGGAGAATCACTGGAACCCAGGATGCGGAGGTTACAGTGAGCCGAGCCGAGATCACACCACTGCACTCCAGCCTGGTGACACAGCGAGACTCCGTCTCAAAAACAAAAAACAAAAAACAAGAAACAAAACCCAAACAACAACAACAAAGTAGTGAATTTCAAGAGAAATAGAATGGTCACCAGGGTCAAATGCTGCAAAGTAGTCCAGCCATATAAGCAATAAAAGGCACATATTTATGAATTAGGAAATTGTTGGTGACTCTGCTATGGAGTTATGAGAAGAGATTACCATTTACAGTATGACTGAGGATGACATAGGACATGAAAGAGTAATATAGTGAATACGGACTGTAGACTCTACTTCGATGGAATATGACTATTCAAAGAAAGGGAATAAAGAACTTGGCAGCTCAAGGTTTGCTAACGCCAGCTGCCCCAAGGTTGAGATTTTATGGAATAGTTAATCAGCAGTCTTCAAACTGAGATATGTACAGTTCTTGAGGTCCATGAAGACTTTACCAAGTACATAGGGTTGAAATAATTTAGAGATTAATGTCTATATCCTCCATTCCACATACACTCTTTGCTAATATTAATTGGCCTTAGAGCTTTAGTTAAAATATCATACTTGTTTTCTTTTCCTACTTTCCTTTTGCAACTACACTTCTCTTGCTTTATCAAACAAAATCACATATTATCTAATCTGATGTTGATCATCCCAGGGTATAAAATCATGGAGACATCAAACAAAAGAAAAATTTGTATTGATGATGAGAAAGTGAATTTCCTCAATGATTCAGAAACAAAATTTTTTGAACGTCAGGGAGTTTCTAATTTTTTGCTTTCAAAACAATTGAAGGAACTGATAAATCATTAAAATATAATTTTTGATAATACATCCCTATGTGACTTTTGGCATATAACATGAAAGGATTTCAATAGTGGATTTATGTTGCTAATACCAAAACATCCATTTCCACCTGTCCTATCCCACATTATTACAAAAAATTTTTCTCATATTTATAAAAACAACCAAATTAGGAATTAAATGTATGCTGAACACTGTCCTTCATCATAAGTAATATTTAGTCATTGCACATAAACTAATTAGAAATGAAACAAAAAAAGAAAAATAATCTCACAGGGTACAAAGAAAAGTGGGAAAGAGAAGAGCATTGGTACTCACAACTGAAGGAGGATTGAGTAGAATGGGAATGAGAACATATGAGAGGTAAGGTCAGTAAGGGGCTTGAATTCTGTGCTGGGCTGGGTAGACAGGGACATAATGGAGTCAATGATTCTAGATTTGAGAGTTCTCAGTAGAGGTGGACTGAAGTGTCAGGTGATGTCCAACGAGGCCAACTATCTGTGACTCCAGTTTTCCCTCAGGATTCATGATTTTAGAAAGGCACTTAGGACAATGACTGTGATGGGATGAATCCTGAAGAGAACACTCTCATCAGATGGTGGGAGGAGATTCAATGTATCTGAGAACACTCATCTCTTGAGGAGTAAGAGCTTGACTGCTTTCTTCACTACAGTATTTTTAAAGCTTAGAACTCTGCCTGGCAGAGGGTGCTCAGATATTTTCTGTTAAATGAATTAGCAATGACTGGCAATAGCCAAGACTCCTGAGTCTTCACTTAGTGGAACTAGAGTGGCCTTTTAACAGAACCTATTTGCATTTACACATTATGTGTTCACGCTATATAGAGAAGGAAAAAAAACGCCAAAATACGTATTTATGTTCATATAATTCAGTTTGAAAGTTCTCTTTCAAATAAATCTCACATGTCTTTCATTAGCTAAAATAAGAGATAAAGTGTTACACATAATCCCCCAAAAGAACATAAGTCATAACTCAAGTTATAATATTAATTAAAATAAATTATATAAACTAGCATTAAATTATTTGCTATGACAATATACATAAAGAAAAAAAGTGGGTGACAGCAGACAAAAAAAGGCTAAAAGCATTACTTAAACTTGGCGTCATGAGGTGATGTTGTCAGAGACTTAGCTTTTAATAGGCCAGAATGATCATGTAAAATAAAACAAGCAACAATCTTAAACTGACATTCCGGGAACATGGGAATGATTTTGAAGTTAAAAACTGTTTTTAGAATAACAGTCCTAATGATATTTTCTGCCAATTAAAAAGGCTATAATTGACAGCTGTTTTAGTCAAGAATTGTTTAGTTGTAATGTATAGAAATCCTATTTTAATTAGTTTTAACCAAAAATGGGGATTTATTGGCCCCCAAAAACTGCACCCTGGAAGCCCAGGGTACACCTAGCTTTAGCATAGCTGGATGCAGGGGGTTAAATGATATCATTAAGACAATCCTCTTTCTTATTTTCTTGGTCTTGTTTTCTTTTGTGTTGCATTTATTTCTAGGTAGACTTTCCCTACTAAAAGAGCCTCAAGAGTCCAAGCTTGTATGGTACCTGAAGCTCTGCGGGAGAATATACATTTTCCTGATAGCTTTAACCAAAACAGCTGGAGGGCTTCTGTGGGCTTGGTGTGGGCCATATACCTAGCATGAAACATTTATGATGGTCGGTACAATGTAGTCCTCTGAGTGACCAGAGCTGGGCTCTTTGTGTCCCTGGGGAAAAGGTTGGTGTCTTCACCTGTTTGTGCTGCTAAAACAAAATACCACAGACTGGGTAACTGATAAACAATAGAAATTTGTTTCTCTTGTTTCTGGAAACCAGGAAGTCCAAGATCAAGGTTCCAGCAGGTTTGGTGTATGGTGAGGGCTGCCCTCTTGGCTTCCAAGGTGGTAGCTTGTTGCTCCATCCTTTAGAGTTGAGGAATGCTGTCCTCACATGGCAGAAGGGAGGGAAAGGCAAGAAAGTGATCCCTTTAACCTTAAACCTTAAACCTTTTTATATGGGTGCTAAGCTCATTCTTGAAGCCAGAGCCTTCATGACTTAATCACCTCCTAGAGGACACACCTCTTGATTCTGTTGCATTGGGGATTAAGTTTCAACATGAATTTTGGAGGGGACACCATCATTCAAACCATAGGAGCTGGTGATAGAGGCATCCCTATCTGAACCCTTGGATTAAAAATCCCACCCCCGCCCACCTCCCCCCAGATAGATTGTCTCTGTAGAAGAATTCCAAAGGAAGGTAAGCAGTTCAGGGAATGTAGGTGGCTCTTCTTCTTAAGGTCAATCGGGATTTGAAGTTCCTTCCATTTTGTTGTTTCTCTGTTCCTTAATGCTGAAGCTATCTCATTGGCACCAGCCCATAAGAAAGGGGAAGGAGGAAGTAGAGGAAAGATAAAGAGGAAGGTAACTTCCATTTAAGGAAACGATCTGGAAGTTGTTCACATTAGTTCTTTTTCATATCATATGACCATTCCTGATGGCAGAAGAGTCCAGGAAAAATAGAGTTCTGTTACTAAAAGAAGGAAGGTCAGGATGTATAATAGGACAAGTAGTTGTCTCTGTACCATTTACTTCTTTTTACTTTCAGATATACAAACATTTAAAGATTAAATTTAAAAATTACTTTTACAGGAGGACATAGCTAAAAATGTGTCTTAATATGGGAAAACGGAAAACGAAATTTCTGTTCCACATTAAAAGAATCAGTTGCAATATAAGTGGTTAGTATATTTTAAAGTCCTTCACTTATGGCTGTACAATTGAGAGATGCTTTAATTTTTGACATTATTATGTGCATTTCAAAAATAATATTAACATATATTTTTACTTTTGAAAGAATGGATATTGATACTCTCAAAAGAATTATAAATATTTTGATTTTGTACTTTTAATGTCATTGGTTAGTATATCAATATTTTTAGAAAACAAAATTAACTATCTTGATTTTACAAAGAACCAAATTGTTCTACTGTAAAAGAGTAGACTAAAAATTCAGGTCTAATAGAATTGCAAGATTTTATCTCTTTCTAATGCTAAAAAGTTACTGAACTGGAAAAAGTATAATTTAATATGTTACTCGCTTGCCAAAAAAATAAAAGATGCCTGGCTTGGATTTTATCCAGGAAGACATCTGTTTGCCTGGAACTAATAATAGCACAATCCTAATGATGTGCCAAACAAGTTATTTTAATAGAATGCTTTGTTTTGGGAGGTTAAGTTTGGTTACTCAGCAAAACTGCTGTGTTTGTAAAGGTATTGTGTTTGAATCTTCAAGTAGGGAAGCTGGTGGGAAAGTTGGTGAGAGATGCTGAACATTTTAAAGATAAAGCTAAACTGATAGGGTATGCTTCATTTCTAAATGACTTTTCAAGATTAGAGAATGGATGCAAGGTAGTAGCAAATCACAATTCAAGTTTTAAAATTGATACTGGAGATTCTCCATTGTTTCAAAAGGCAAAGATATTCATTCCAATGTCTAGTGGCTATTTCTCAAAACCTATTCAAAGTAAAAATTCTACTTAGTTCAGTTTGGTCCCTTTATTTTTCACCTTTAGCATTTCCCTAAAATTATAAAACATCTAGATGGAGGGAAGAAGAAATAGTTAAATATTTGAATGTTTGGTCTATATGATTTAAAACAGCTAGATGTTTAAAATCATAGAAATAATTGAATTTTTGATTTTATTTAAACTTGCTATTGTATATACTTAGCACATTAGCCACTGATGTAACTGATTAGTAACTGTTTTTTTGTATTATAAAAAACTTTACCATGTGAACTAAATCAAAAGAAATAATGTCATAGGGAAAGTCATTTATAAGCCTTTTTGGCCTGTCGAGTAATTTTTGCAATTGCTCTGTTCATTCTCATTGTGCCAACACTGCTTCCATTTAAGCATTAGGCCAATGGCGGATACTCATTAAAGAAATATGTCTGAAATTTCTTCCAATATGGCCTTAGGTGTTAATTCAGAGGCATCATCTAACCCAAAATGAGAGGCTAAAATGCTTCTTTTAACAAGATTAAGTACTAGAGAATAACTATTGTAAGAAAATACTTACTAATTTATATTTTACTTTTTCGAACTAGAGTATTAATGATATAGTTGAAGCAGTATAAAGAGGCTAATGCCTTAACATTAAAATAAGGTTTTCTATGTAAGTAATTTCTACACAAAGAAATTTTGTAAGATTCACATTTTCTGAAAAATTTTTAAACTGAAATATGACTGCTATGATGTTTTGTATAATAAATTTGTATTAATTAGCTACCTTCTAAAGGCACATGAAATTCTGAATGATGTATGCAGAGAACACAGCCAGAAGAACATTTTCTGGCTAAATCCAGCTTCACATGTTGCCATTGACCATGGGAAACAGATTTTGGTGAAAACAAATGCTAAGAATATTCCAGGAACTTTCTGGAACACCTGGATTTTTTTTTTTCTTAATTAACTAGTCTCTACTGAAATGATTTTCTAGGCCTAGGCTACTTTAGGGGTAGGGTCTTTAAAATACAATTTAATTCTAGTTCCCCAGATGGAGTTTCAGACCATATTGTATAGTCTCGAGGAGAAATATTAATGTAGGAAGTTGTAATATACACTACTAGTTGCCTTTGCCAGAGAAATTGCCCAACTATTTTTTAAAATTTAAATATAATATACACGTAGTAAAAGTAAAACCCCTTTTGTGTGTACAGTTCTATGAATTCTGGGAAATTTATACAGTTGTATAACTATTATCACAATCAAGATAGAGACCATTTCCATTATTGGAACAATCTCCTTCATGCTTCTGTAATCAATCCCCTTCCCCAATCCGGAGTCTCTGAAAACCACTGATCTTATTTCTATCCCTCTAGTTCTTACTTTTTTTAGAATGTCATAGATTGAATCACATAGTGTGTAGCTTTTGAGCCTGGCTTCTTTCACTTAGCATGATGCTTTTGAGATTCATCCATGTTATTATGTGTATCAGTAGTTTCTCTTCTTCTTCTTCTTCATTCTTCCTTCTTTCTTCTTTCTCCTTTCTCCTCCTCCTTCTCTTTTTCCTCCTCCTCCTCCTCCTCCTCCTCCTCCTCCTCCTTCTTTCTTCTTTCTTCTTCTTTTCTGGAGACTCACCCCCTCTGAATGCTAAAGGAATCAAAGATGTGTTTGTGCAAACTTAGAAGCAGTCTGAGCCAGGTGGTCACCGTGGCTCACGCCTGTAATCCCAGCACTTTGGGAGGCTGAGGAGGGCGGATCATGAGGTCAGGAGATTGAGACCATCATGGTAACACGGAGAAACCCTGTCTCTACTAAAAATACAAAAGTTAGCCGGGCGTGGTGGCAAGAGCCTGTAATCCCAGCTACTCACGAGGCTGAGGCAGGAGAATCGCTTGAACCCGGGAGGCGGAGGTTGCAGTGAGCCGAGATCGCGCCACTGCACTCCAGCCTGGCGACAGAGCAAGACTCTGTCTCAAAAAAACAAAACAAAACAAAAAGAAGTGGTCTTAGCCAATCATGGCAATCCTATTTTCCTTAGTCAGGGAGTCCATTTCTCATAATTCTTTTCACCTAGGAATCACCATGTGTCTGTTCAGACAAAGAAGAAGCAAGGGGAAATCGGTTGGAGAACATTTAGGAAAGATGTCTCTTTCTCATATTAAAAAAAAGGAACAAATACAAACTTGTCATAGTCCAGTCCCACTGGTTTCTCCCTCCCCCTTCCAGATTCCCGTTTCTAGACAAATTACATCTGGAGCTATGGTAGCCATCTTGCAAGTCTAAAGGAGAGGCCAAGAGAACTGTAGAAAGCCCCTGAACTTTGTCATCATTAGCTCAACAACAAACCTTAAAACTGCCCACCTTCGGATTATTGATTATGTGAGATAATTGAAAGTGTTTGTTATTTTAGACATTTTATTATGTTATTTGCAGTAAATGACATTCCTTGCTGAGAAAACTGTCAGTCTAGAAACCAGTTCGGATTGCAATTGCGGCACACAATTATAGAATTTTGATTACCGTAGTTACAAAACCTGTACCACTACTTTCTACAGTAACTTCATATTGTGCTTGAAATGAGTTGGTATCTAAGGCATTTTCCTGAGGAATTCCAAAGTATCCATTCACTTGAATGATTACAGTTCCACCTCTTTGGGGTTTGCCTTGGTGTTCACTTACTGTACTTGCTCCAATATTTTCTGTACTGGTTTCAGATCTCTGAAAACTATATTATTCACTGATTAAGATATTGCAGTTAACTTCTGTAGTCAAATTTAGCATGATTTTTATATTATTATCTAGAAAAGAGGAGAGAATTAACTAGAAAATTTAAGGAGCCTAGATCACAATGTGTTAGCAATGCTATCATTAGAGTCTCACAATAGTTAATAGACAGTAACTCAAATAATGCATTTTGTTATATTAAGTTAGGCATAATATATAACCTTAAAATAAATAATAGGATATATCCTTTACTTTGTGGAACTGGGGAAACGTGTTAATACCTTTAAAACAAAATAGAAAATGAATAAAAATGATTTCTTTAGGTAGACCCACATTTTTATTTGGAGTCTATTCAATATATGCTATTATTACTTACTATTAAGTACTTGGCTCCAAGTTATTCCAACCAAGGTCCTTGTAATTTTGCAGCAACTGAACAGGAAATCCTGTGCTTAAAGAATTGTTCTGTTTGGCATTAATGTAGGGATGCGCCTAGTGGGAATAGCCTGAGAGAGTAATTGGCCCTACAGAAATATTGGAATAATATAAAACTATAAAAAAACTATAAGATATTTTTGTTAATGAAATATATTTATGCTAATAATTTAGAGGAAAGAAGATAATTTCAGGTTTAAGTCTGTTTTATATTAAACTCTTTTTCAAGGAGGGTGGGGGCCAATGTTACTGACTAAAACAAGTGCCCATATGCAGCTAGCTTATTTATCCAAAAATAAACTAGAAAGATATTTTAAATAAATTATTCTTCTATATTTAAGACATATTATGAAATATTTCTTGAAATAGTACTAAGAATAAGAAAGTAGATTATCTAAAGGATCTTTGAATTTGTCTTGAGCTTGTCTTGATTTATAACTCAGAATCAAAAAGTTCTTAGAGACGTCTATTTTTGTTGTTTCAAGTGCTCTGATTTACCCAATGATGTGCATACTTTTTTTTTCCGAGTTGGAAGAAAAGAGGTGAAGTTACAGAGAAAGTAGCTACAATTGCCCATAATCTATTCCCATATCTCATCTGTGCTACAGTCCACAGGAGAATGTCGCACTTGAGAGCCACCATCTGCTGTGGGTACATGGAGATAGAGTTTGAGAAACAACAGATCTACTTAAATTACACTATATATTTGAGAAAACCAGTGG
Organism: Homo sapiens; assembly: GCF_000001405.40. Classification (NCBI taxonomy): domain Eukaryota; kingdom Metazoa; phylum Chordata; class Mammalia; order Primates; family Hominidae; genus Homo; species Homo sapiens. The sequence goes on from NC_000002.12 coordinate 186,872,784, forward strand.
TCAGAGAGGTGAAATAAATAACTTGCTTAATATAAAATAGCTATTCAGAGACCCAGGAAAAAAACATCTTCAAGTAGAAATAAGTACACTTTGGACCTATTCGTATATGTGCCATTAACTTGTTAGAAATGGCAGTAGAAAAGTGACTCTAACTGTGACCAATGACTTACCAAATGTATGTAATTTATAGATTTGGGACACTGTGTGCAAGAAAGGTCACATTCCCTGTGTAAATTTAGCATGGTCGCATCTTCTGTCTCAGAATCCTGACTGCAGCCAACAATTATTTTAGTCATTGGAGGAGAGTTAACTAATATTAACCAATAATTGTTTGTGCTGCATGACTCAAATAGGATGATGAGCCAATCAGGGAGAAGGATCAGGTGGCTGTAGAGTTTAGAGAGTTTAAGGTGGCAGCCACAATGAGAGAGAGTGATTCAATGTAGACACAGAAATAAGAAGAGATAGTCATATATGGAACACTTATTACATACTATAAGCATCATTCTAAGCGCTTTACGTCTCTAATGTCCCAACAGCTTTATTAGGAAGCTTCTGTTTTGATTCACATTTTTCAGATGAGGAAAATAAAACTTATTTAAACTACTAGTTTATCTAAAGTCATACAGTTAGTAAATAGTAGAACAAGATTTTGGACTTCGGTAGTCTGACTCGAGGCCCATATTCTTGGGCAGTGAGAGAAGCTGAGATGTGATGAGCAGCCAGATACTACAAACTTCAGTTTTCAGATCTGGTTTTCTTAAAGGCTGTGTTTTCTTCATTTTTTGTGTTCTATGAGATTTACCCTATACCCTCTTTTCACATTTTTACAAGAGCTAAGTTTGTTCCTTTAACAAAAACAGCCTGTGCTAAATGTTGGGAAATTAGGTGCTGAGAGTAGAAGACTGCAGAAACAAGGTATTGGAGCTATTTACAGTGTATGAAATACCAGACAGGGTAGCATTTTAACAAAGACATCTCCAACTGGAGGTAAGAGATATGGACTACAGAAAGATGGAGAGAGTGAGGATTTACAAGTAATGATTATATTGAAATCCTAGAAATTCTGAGAATTACTATGTGCCAAATTTAGACTCAGAATTTTAACACTGTTCTAGAGTCCCAAGAGCTGGGAGTGGAGTGAAATGTCAGTTTTAGAAGGTTTCTAAAAAAATCTGTACTCTTATCTGACACTTGTAAGATGGTCAAAATATGTTGAGTGTTGTACATTCCATGAAATAGATTTGTAATTTACCTGAGTAATTCCATTTGAGAAAAAATGGACAAGTTGATACAAATGTTGTCCCAATGACTATTCTTTGAATTTCTTTTTTTTTTTTTTGAGACAGTGTCTCCCTCTGTCGCCCAGGCTGGAGTGCAGTGGCACGATCTCGGCTCACTGCAAGCTCTGCCTCCTGGGTTCACACCATTCTCCTGCCTCAGCCTCCTGAGTAGCTGGGACTACAGGCACCCGCCACCATGCCCAGCTAATTTTTTGTATTTTTAGTAGAGACGGGGTTTCACCGTGTTAGCCAGGATGGTCTTGATCTCCTGACCTCGTGATCTGCCCGCCTTGGCCTCCCAAAGTGCTGGGATTACAGGTGCGAGCCACAGCACCCGGCCTATTTGAATTTCATCATTAGGTTGCAATCATATCTCAAACAAAGTGATTTGTGTGCTATGAAACTATAGTACTCTTTTTTTAACTAGCTTAACAATTAAGTACACAGTATAGCATAGTTAACTAGAAGCACATTATTGTAGAGTAGATCTCTAGAACTTTTCATATTGCATAACTGAAGCTTTATGCCCATTAAAAAGCAATTCTCCATTTCCCTCTCCTCCAAATTCCTGAAAAACATCATTCTACTTTCTGCTTTTATGAGTTTGACTACTTTACCTACCTCATAGAAGTAGAATATATTGCAATATTTGTCCTTCTGAGACTGGCTTATTTCACTTGGCATAATGTCCTCAAGGTTCATCCATGTCACTTCTGACAGATTTTCCTTTTTTAAATGGCTGAAAAATATTTCATTGTATATATATAAGCCATATTTTAATAAACATATATTTTTAACTGAGAAATAAAAATTACACATTATCACATAAAACATATTCTGAAATAGGTATATATTGTGCAATGGCTAAATTGAGCTAACTGATATATGTATTACCTCACATTCTCGTTTTTGTGGTGAGAACACTTAAAATCTAATCTCTACGAATTTTAAGAATACGACATGAGGGGACTTCAAAGAGTTTGTGAAAAATGAAATCAAACGATAAAAATTAAAGATATAAACTTTATTTCTCAATATAAGTTCTATCAAGTTTAAGACACTTTTGTAGTGATGATACCAGCCGTTTAGTCCATCCCATTAGAACTGAGAGTCCTGGGAATTTAACCATATCGATGCAGTCTTTTTTTTACATTAACTGGTGAAAAATAAGTGCATTTTAAAGATTTTTTAAGATTAGGACAAAAATAAGCCAAAGGAGCCAAATCAGCACTGTAAGGTGAATGACTAATGAGCGGAATCAGCAGGAACATTGTTATGGTAGAGAAGGACTCTCTGGTGAAGATTTCCTGGGCATTTTTTGGTTAAAGCTTAGCTAACTTTCTCAAAACCCTCTCATAATAAGCAGATGTTATCATTTTTTGGCCTTTCAGGAAGTCAACAAGCAAAATGCCTTAAGCATCTCTAAAATTGTTGCTATGACCTTTGCTCTTGACCAGTCCCCTTGTGCTTTGACTGGAACACTTCCACCTTTTGGTAGCCATTGCTTTGATTGTGCTTTGTCTTCACGATAATACTGGCAAAGCTATGTTTTGTCTCCTGATACAATTCTTCAAAGCAATGCTTCAGGAGCTTTCTTCTACTTGTTTAAAATTTCCATTGAAAGCTTTGCTCTTCTCTGCAGTTGATCTGGGTGCAATGGTTTTGGCAACCATCAAGTGGAAAGTTTGCTTAACTTTAATTTTTTAGTAAGAATTGTGTAAACTGGGCCAACTGAGATGTCTATAATGTTGGCTATTTTTTCTATTATTAATCATTGGTCTTCTTCAATTATGCCATGAACAAGATTAATTTCCTCCTTGCAAATTGATGTGAATGGTCTGCTACTGCAGGCTTCATTTTCAACATGTCTGATCTCTCCTTAGAATGAGTTATCCATTTGTAAACTGCTGATTTCTTTGGGGCAATGTCTCCATAAACTTTTCATAAAGCACCAGTGATTTCAGCATTCTTTTACCCAGGGTTCACCATAAATTTGATATTTATGTTTGCTTCAATTTTAGTAGAATTCATGTTGTTCAAATAGGGGCTCCTTTCAAACTGATGTCCTTCCTCATGCCTGAAACTAGGTCCTGTTCAGACATGCCATAACAAGTTAGTATGAGTTTATTTTGGTGCAGGAAAACTTTGAAATCTATGCATAGTTTTTGATAATACACATTTTCCATGAACTTTTAAAAGTCCCCTCCTGGCCGGGCGTGGTGGCTCATGCCTGTAATTCCAGCACTTTGGGAGGCCAAGATGGGCAGATCATGGGGTCAGGAGATCAAGACCATCCTGGCGAACACGGTGAAACCCCATCTCTACTAAAAAATATAAAAAATTAGCTGGGCGTGGTGGCTGGTGCCTGTAGTCCCAGCTACTCGGGAGGCTGAGGCAGGAGAATGGCATGAACCCAGGAGGTGGATGTTGCAGTGAGCCAAGATGGCGCCACTGCACTCCAGCCTGGGCAACAGACTAAGACTCCATCTCAAAAAAAAAAAAAAAAAAACGTCCCCTCCTATGCTATTATTAAATATAATCACCATGTGGTACACCATATAGATCTCTTGAACTTTTTTTTTCTATCTCACTAAAATTTTGTGCCTTTTGACAAACAACTACTGCCACCCTTAACCCCTGCTACCTACCATTCTGCTTTCTACTTCTGAGTTCAACTTTTCTAGATTCCACGTCTAAGTGAGATCATGCAGTATTTGTCTTTCTGTGCTTGGTTTATTTCTCTAAGCATTATTTCATTCAAGTTCATCCATGTTGTTGCAAATGACAAGATTTTCTTCTTTTTTAAAGCTGAAGAGTATCGTATTGTGTGTATATATCACATTTTCTTTGTTCATTTGTTGATGAACACTTAGATTGACTCCATATCTTGGTCATTGTGGATAATATTGCAAGAACCATGGGATTGCAGGTTATCTCTTCAACATACTGATTTCATTTCCTTTGGATATACCCTGGAGTGAAATTTATGGATCTACCATGTAGTAGTTCTACTTTTAATTTTTTGAGAAATTTCTATTCTGTTCTTTATAATGTCTATACTAATTTACATTGCAACCAACAGTGTGCAAGTATTCCCTTTTCTTTCCAACCTTGCCAAAGACTTGTTATCTTTTTTGTTTTTTTTGTTTTAGTGATAGCCATTCTAACAGATGTGAGATGATTTATCACTATGGTTTTAATTTGCATTTCTCTGATTACTAGTGATTTTGAGCATTTAAAAATATACCTGTGGGCCATTTGTATGTCTTCTTGTTGAGAAATATTTATTTAGGTCCTTTGTCTATTTTTAATTGGGTTATTTTTAAATTGGATTATTTGTTTTCTTACTACTGAGTCTACTATTTGTTTTCTTACTACTATTTGTTTTCTTACTACTGAGTCCGAGTTATTTATATGTTTTGGATATTGACCCCTTATCAGATGTATGGTTTGCAAATATTTTCTACCATTCTGTAGGTTGTCTTCAATCTGTTGATTTTTCTCTTGGCTATGCAGAAGTTTTTAGTTAATCTCATTTGTCTATTTTTGCTTTTGTTGTCTGTTCTTTTGGGTTTATATTTAAAAAATCCTTGCCAAGACCAATTTCATGCAGGTTTTCTCTTGTTTTCTTTTAGCAACTTTTACAGTTTCAAGTGTTACCCTTAAGTTTTAATCCATGTTAAGTCGATTTTTGTATCTAGTGTGAGATAAGGATCTAATTTCATTCTTTTGCATGTGGATAATCAGTTGTCCCAAAACCATTTATTGAAGAAACATTCCTTTCCTCATTGTATCTTGGGACCTTTGTCAAAAATCAATGACCATAAACATGTGGATTTATTTCTGGGATCTCTATTCTGTTCTCTTGGTCAGTTTTCATGTCAGTATCAGGCTGTTTTGATTACTGTAGCTTCATAGTGTATTTTGAAGTCAGGCAGTGTGTTGCCTCCAACTTTGTTCTTTTTGCTCAAGATTGCTTTGGCCGTTCAGGGTCTTTTGTGCTTCAATAAAATTTTAAGTTTTATTTCAATTTCTGTGAAAATGTTATTGTTATTTTGGTAGGGATTGCATTTAATCTGTAGATCGTATTAAGTAGTGTGGACATTTTAACAATATTAATTCTTCCAACCTATGAACACAGGATATCTTTTAGTTTATTTGTATCTTCTTCAATCTCTTAGATCAATATTTTAGTTTTCAATGTACAGGCCTTTTGCCTTCTTGGTTAAATTTATTCCTAGGTATTTTATCATATTATATTTTTAGCTATTATAGATGGGATTGTTTTCTTGATTTCTTTTTTGGATAGTTCATTGTTAGTGTATAGAAATCCTTCTGATTTTTGTATGTTCATTTTGTGTCCTGCAACCTTACTGAATTTGCTTATTAGTCATAATGTTTTTTTTGTGTGTGTGTGTGTGGAGTCTTCAGAGTTTTTTGTATATAAGATCATGTTATCCAGAAACAGGGACAACTTAACTTTTTACTTTTCAATGTGGATCCCTTTTATTTCTTTCTCTTGCCTAATTGTTCTGGCTAGGACTTCTAGTACCATGTTGAATAGAAGTGGTAGGTATGGGCATCCTTGTCTTGTTCCTGATCTTAGAAGGAAAGCTTCTGTTAGCTGTGGGTTTATCATAGATAGCTTTTATTGTGTTGAGATATGTTCCTTCTGCACCTAATTTGTTGAGAGTTTTTATTATAAAAGAATGTTATATTTTGTCAAATGTTTTTTCTACATCTATTGAGATGATCATGTGATTTTTGTTCTTCATTCTTTAATGTGTGGTGTATCACATTTATAGATTTGCATATGTAGAACTGTCCTTGCATTCCTGGGGTAAATCCCATTTTATTATAGTGAACAATCCTTTTAAAATGCTGTTAAATTCAATTTTCTAGTATTTTGTTGAGGGTTTTTGCATCTATGTTCATTACAGTATTGGCCTATAATTTTTATTTCTTCTAGTGTCCTTGTCTAGCTTTAGTATCAAAGTAATCCTGGCCTCATAAAAGGAGGTAGAAAGTGTTCCCTCTTCTTCAGTTATTTGAAAGAGCTTGAGAAGGATTGATATTAGTTCTTTTTTTTCTTTTTTGAGATGGAGTTTCACCCTTGTCGCCCAGGCTGGAGTGCAATGGTGTGATCTTGGCTCACTGCAACCTCTGCCTCCCAGGTTCAAGTAATTTTCCTGCCCTGAGTAGCTGGGATTACAGGCTGGTGCCACCACGCCTGGCTAATTTTTGTATTTTTAGTAGAGATGGGGTTTCACTATGTTGGCCAGGCTGGCCTCGAACTCCTGACCTCAGGTGATCCACCTACCTTGGCCTCCTGAAGTCCTAGGATTACAGGCATGAGCCACCGTGCCTGGTGATATTAGTTCTTTACATATTTGGTAGAATAGAGCTGTGTAGTCATCAGTTCCTTGGCTTTTCTTAGATGGCAATCTTTGTGTTACTGATTCACTGTCCTTACTTGTTATAGGTCTACTTCAGATTTTTCTTTTTCTTCATGAGTCATCCTTTGTAGGTTATGTGTGCCTAGGAATTTATCCACTTTTTTTTCTAGGCTATTTAATTTGTTGGTATATAATTATTTATTAAGAATAGTCTCTTGTGATACTTAGTATTTCTGTGGTATCAGTTATTCTTCTTTCATTTCTGATTTAGTTTGATTATTCTATCTTATTTCTTAGTCTAGCTAAAGATTTGTCAATTTTGCTCACTTTTTTGAAAAACCAACTTTGTTAATTTTTTTCTAGTTTCTATTTCATTTCTATTTCCATATATTTGTCAATTTTCCAGTTTTTCTACTGCTATAGATATATAGTTTCATTCTATTGTGGTTGGAAAAATACCTTCATATGATTTCAATCTTCTTAAATTTGTTAAGACTTGTTTTGTGACCTAACATATGATCTATCATGGAGAATGTCCCATGTGAACTTGTCAAATATGTGTATTCTGGTGCTGTTGGGTGGAATATGTGTATATATATATATATGTGTGTGTGTGTGTGTGTGTGTGTGTGTATGTATATATATGTGTGTGTACATATATAAATTTAGTGTATTCGCTTGAGGATTTTTACATCTATGTCGAAAGTAGTATATTGAAGTCTGCTATTATTATTTTGTTGCCTATTTTGCCCTTCAATTCTGTCAATGATTGCTTCACATATTTAAGTGCTGTGATGTTGAGTGCAGATAGATGATAGATAGATAGATAGATAGATAGATAGATAGATAGATAGATAGATAGATAGTTATATCTTCCTGTTACAATAGTAACAAGTTGAACCTGTTCTTAACTTGTTATTATTATATCCTTCTTTGTCTCTTTGTGACACTTTATTAAAGTCAATTTTAATAAAGACATTTTATTAAAGTCAATTAATTAAAGTCAATTTTGTCTAAGTATGGCTATTCTTGCTCTTTTGGTTACCATTTGCCTGAAATATCTTTCTCCATCCTTTTATTTTCAGCCTATGTGTGTCATTAAATCTAAGGTGAGTCTCTTATAGTCAGCATATAGTTGGATCTTGTCTTTTTTTTAACCACTATGTCTACTCTAGATTTTTTTATTGTTGAGTTTAATCCGTGGACACTTAAAGTAATTATTGATAGGGAAAAATTTACTACCTCAGTTTTGTTAATTGCTTTCTATCTCATAGTTCTTTTGCCCCTCTTTTCCTCTCTTGTTGTCTTCCTTTGTGTTTCATTGATTTTTTTTTTTTTTGTAGGGACATGCTTTGATTCCTCTCTCATTTGTGTATCTTATATTGGCATTTTCTGTGTGGTTACCATGATGCTTACATAAAACATCTTATAGTTATAACAATCCATTTTAAGCTGATAACTTCAGTTCAATTGCATACAAAAACTACATTTTTGCCCCCTCTTCATGTTATTAATGTCACAAATTACATCTTTTAATATTGTGTATCTATTAACATTTTAATATAGTTGTAGTTATTTTCATACTTTCGTCTCTTAACTCTATACCAAAATTAAAAGTGATTTTTGCACTACAATTACGTTATTATTGTATTTTGTATTTGTCTATATATTTACCTTTATCAACAAGCTTTACAGTTTATATAATTGTATAGAAGTTGCTGTTGCTGTTTTATCTCTTTTATTTCAACTTGAAGGACTCTTTAGCATTTCTGGTAAAGCAGGTCTTACAGTGGTGAACTGTCTCAGCTTTTGCTTATCTGAGAAACTTTGTATTTTTCCTTTATTTTTGAGAAAGAGTTTCACCTAATCTAGTACTCTTTGTTGGCAGTTTTTTCATTTTAGCACTTTGAATATGCCATCAATACCATTACACTCTCTTCTCATCTGTAAGATTTCTGTAGAGAAGTATGCTGATAGTCTAATGGGAGTTGTCTTGTAAATCACAAGTTGCTACTCTCTTGCTGCTTTCAAAAGTCTTTCTTTGTCTGAATTTTGACAATTTGATTATAATGTGGCATGGCGTGGATTTCTTTGGATCTTCCTAATTTGGTTAGATTGGGTGTCTTAAATCTAGGTGTTTATTTTCTTCCCCAGATTTGGAAAGTTTTCATCAATTAAAAAAATAAATTTTATGTTTCTCTTCCTCTCTCTTCTTCTGCAATTTCCATAGTGCATATATTGGTCCACTTGATGGTGTTCTATAAGAAGCTTAGGTCGTCTTCACTTCTTTTCTTCTTTTCCTTTTTGTTCCTCTGACTGGGTAATTTAAAATGACTCAAGTTTAGTTATTCTCTTTTCTTCTTGGTCAAGTGTGCTGTTGAAACTCTTTAGTAAATTTTTTAGTTCACTCACTGCATTCTTCCTCTCCAAAATTTCTGTTAAGTTCTTTTTTATATTTTCTGTTTCTTTATTGAAATTATCTTTTTGTTCATGTATCATTTTTGCTCAGCTCATTGAGCATATTTATGGTTATTTCAAATTATTTGTTGGGAAATTTACATACCTTCATTTCTTTATGGTTGGTTTTTGGAATTTTTTTTTTTGTATCTTTGATTGGATTATTTTCCTCTTTTCCTTCATGTTCCTTGTAACTTTGTGTTGGTACCTATGCATTTGAAAAGACAGTCACCTCTCCTAGTCTTTACAGATTGACTTTATAAAAGGAAAAGACATTCACTAATCAGCTTAGCTAGAGATTTTGAGAATTTCTGAAACATTTTCTATGGATGTATCTTCTCTGAGCATGTTGCTCAGCTTGTTCTTGTTCTCAGTGGCCCGCAGGCATCTAGAAGATATTGGGTCTTATCAGCACCCCAAGTTTTACTAAACAGAAACCAGTGCCTCAGGCATCCCCTCCAAAAGCTGGATCTTTGGATGCATATTCCACTCTTCTCTTTTCCCCCTGAGGGAGAGTCCACTGAGCTATATTGTCTTCTCTCTGCTGTACCATGGGCCCTCTAGAGCAGGAGCACATTGCTCAGCTTGTTTTTCTTTTCATTGGTCCCTAGCCATCTAGATTATGCTGAGTGCTGTCCATGTTTTGAGATAAAAGAGACAGAAATCAGTCCCTTGGACAGCTCCCCCAAAAGCCAAAACACCTGTCCTGTTCTTTTCTTTGCAACCTGAGCAATAGACCATAAAGTCATTATCAGCGTCTGCCTGCTGTACTGTGGTCCCTCTGAAGCAACAGCATGCTATTCAGCTCTATTGTTCGTAGTGGCCCCCAGGCAGCCAGAGTATTCTGGGTCCCATCAGCATTCCAAGAAAGATCAGACAGAAGCTGATCCCCTTGGCAGCTTCCACTAAAGTCAGAACATTGGGCATGTATTTCCATCTTCTCTTTTACTCCCTAGGGAGAAGCCAGGAGCTGAGTGTTTCTTCCTGATCATGTGGCATTGTGCCAGGGAAAAGTACTGTGGCAAAAGAGAATAGGATGCTATGAATTTTTCTACTAGCTTTGATACAATTGGTTTCCTGTTTCCTTGGGGATAAAAAGAGTCTTTTAACTGGTTTCTAGATTTCTCATAAAGGGAATGAGGGTAGGTATTATTGAATCGATATCTCCATGAGAGGGAGGAGGGTCTGGGGCCTTTTATTCTGACATCTTGCTGATGTTACCTATAACATTTTTTTTGTGGTTGAGTTTTTAAAATATTTTGTGTAGAAATTAACATTAGTGTTTATTCATTGTAAATAATTATATATACATTGATAAATTCGGTACTAATTTTACTTCTAATCATTCTCAAAAGTTAATGTTTATATAAAGCTGCTAGTTTTGACTATTCATGGACTTGATGAATTAGAAAATAGAAAATATTGGTAAAAAATTTATACATTTAAGGTATTATTATTAATAATGTATTTAATTCTCCAGTCTTAGATTTTACTGGGGAACTCCTGTAAATTTTATCAGCACTTGAATCTGAAACTCACATCCCTGTTCAGTTACCCATTGGCCTATCACATGTAGTAATGGAATGACGTATGCCTAAGGGATACATTTGACCAACATACAGTTCTTTCTATGACCATGATTTTTAGCCCAAATTCCAATATAGTTTTCTTAGTGAGCAGAACTAGAATTCAAAGCAGTCTCAGAAGCACCTCTTATCCTTTATCCCAAGGTGCAAAATAGAATTGGCCTAAATTTCCCACTCTGTATTTCTTTTCTACTGGAGTTTTCTCTGGTTTCACCTGGCCCCAATCCAAGCAGAAGGAACCTCTAGGACCTATCTTATCCCATTAGCTTCAAGACACAAAACACCCACAAGAAGTAGAGACACAATTTACTTACTTACCACAAACTCAATGCAATGCTGATAGGATGACTAATTGTATGTCATTTAGTTCGTCCCAGACTAGAGGTTGCAAAATGGTGGCTCATGAGCCAAGTTCAGCTAATAGATCTGTTTGTTTGTCTAGCCCAGTGTTTGTAAAAAGTAATTTTGAATATGTTGTCACAATTTTAAAATTGGGTTGTTTTATATAGAAATCTGGATTCTAGATTTCTCCTGAAAAATTAAAGATCCGAAAGAGTGGACTCAAATTCCTTAAGGTAATAATAAGTTGAAATTGAATAGAGCTGCCTTCTTTACTTGGGGAATACTTTCTTCATTTTGTCCAATTGCCCCGTCAACTATATTCATTTACATTATCTTTCTAGTGTGGGTGGCCTTTTGGTTTTGTGACCCTGACGTAACACAACAGCATAGTTCTTTCTCTTGGGATAGTTTGAATAGAAGGATGTACATTTAAGGGTGGGGATGGGGAGAGGGCAAGGAGATTTGAATGGGTGACTATCAATATTCTGCCTAATGGAATCTCCTAAGAGACTGAATTAATTCAGTTGGGAATAAATCTATTGTAACTTAAATGTAGATAATCCATATATTTGTATTTGATTAAAAAATGTATAGAAGTTTACATTAGTCCTTGACCTTTTTAACACAATGGAGTTGAGAATCAATTTCTAATAATTATTGTGAGTAAATTCTTTTGGTAAAGGGCATTGCAAGGGAGTAATTTACTGCCTGTTATGGTTTTCTTGTTAGTTTCTTCAGTTTACCTTAGTATGTTTTCATTGTCTGGAAGGACTGAAATTTGCAGAAGTGATTTTCTAGTGCCATAGTAAAAAAGATTAGCAGTGACAGTTTTCTAAAATATATGTTTCCTACCAGAAGCAGCCTTCTCAGCCCATTTCCTTTAATGATATCTGGTGAGGATCTGATAAGCTTTATTCTACTTGACAGAGGTCAAAGGGCATTGTCTTCCTCTTCAATCCAGCAGCCAACAACAAAACCAGTCATATGTTATCACCATCACACAGGAAGCTGCAGGCTTGCTTGTGTTAAACAGAGCACAAATACAGGAAAAGTGTCAGCCGGGTTAAAAGCTGGTAGAGCTGTGCTAGGAGAACATTATGCTAATAACATTACAGACAGAACTGAAGATATATGATTAAATTTCAGCATAGAGTAATTAGAAATCCTTAAACATTGAAAAAATATAAAAAGTGGCTGTGGCCATATTATTTTCCTTTATTTGAAATGATGACTCCATTTTTAAAAATAGGAAAATAGCAGTTAAATAAAAAGTTATGTCTGGAAATAGCACAATTTCGCAAAACATGCAATTAAAAAGTTGTTAATAATTTTAAGATTGTTTCCCTCTGTTTTGTATGATAAAAATTCCTAATTATATTATCTTATTTCAAAAGAAAAGACAATCTATTTTGTGTTAATGTTTTGTCATAAATACAAATTTGTGCCTTTTAAAAACTAAAGAACTCATTTCACTGAGGAAGGGGTGTGTGCCTGGTTTTAAGGTGTTACCTGGGTCAAGGTGGGTATATTCTAGAGATATATACCAATAGAGTTTTATGTTCCATATTGGACTTCTTAAAAAAAAGATCTGAAAAGTTTTGCATAATGTTTTCTAAATTCTTTCCATTAAAAATATTAAAAACTATGAATTACAAAAACCTCTAAAGAGAAAATAAACAAAAATAATACTATATACAACTCTGCATTAACACAGTGACTGTGAACATTTTAATTCATTTCTATCTATATTTTTCAATATATTTTCAAGAGTTCAGTCCATTGCATGTGTGTGTATAGGCACATGTATACACACACACATATATACTCAAGCACAAACATGTAGATACACAAATACATTTATAACTTTGAATGTCACCTTCTTTTAACAAATTAACATTATATCAAACATTTTCATGTTTTTTGTATTTGTCATAGTCTTCATTTTTAATAGCTGTATCTGGTTTCATTGATTGAACATGCTATAATTTATTTATTCAGTGAGCAATTGTAGGGGATGTACAAATATTTTTCTTTATTGGGACACTTAACATTTCCTGAGTACCTTAGGGATAGTGCCTCTCTATATGTTGTATCTTCTAATGGCCATGATCAGGAAGGGCCTTGTCATGTGAATAAACTATTGGACATAGTGGACCTGTTGTAATGCACGTGCCCTTAGTATAAAGTAATTAAATAGTAAAATGTAAAGTTGCTGCTTCTAGGGAATAGTTAATGGTGTTGCATAGAAAGTATTGTTTTCTGTACAAACACATAACTCAGTTCCAGTTTGGATTCAAGAGTGTAGTCTGTTGAAGAGACTTAAAATAGATATTGTCCAGTTAGAACAGAATTTTGTAGGTTCCCTGCCAAAGTAAAGACAGAGAAAACTCATGTTTGAGGTAATACCAGGGTTAATAAGTAAAAATAGTACAAAAACTCTGTCTTAATGAGTGCTTTCTTGTTTGGGTATGTTACATACCCTACTTGGGATATATGTGATATATGTATGCCCATTTGTATTGGAAACACTATGCTGGTTTTGCACTTTTGCTTTTAGGACCCAAGAAAAATTCTAATAGTCATACATTGATTATTTTCTCTGAATGTCAGTCATAAAGAACCAAACACAAAAGTCCTAATGCACAGCACACCTTTATCAGAGAGTGCTTGTCATCATCCCCAGGAATATTACTGTGTCTTTTCAGACAATAAAGAAAGAAAATATTATTGCTTTACTGTCTCTCTCTCCCCCTTCACCTCTCCCTCCCTCCCTTCCTTCCTTCCTTTTGTTTTTTTTCTTCTTCCTATTTTAGGTTTCTTTTCTCCCTTGCCCCACCTACATGTCTTTCTTGGTTTAAAGGAGAGGACTCAAAAACCAGACTTTTTTAAAAAACAGATACATTTTAGCTATTGAGTATCTTATGCCACAGAGGATAATATGAAATAAAGGATTATTTTGATCTTCATAGGAATAATGATGTTTTAAATAATTCTATTATGACTCTAAATTTCTGTTGACATTATCAGTTTTTTAACATTGGAAAATTCTATTTTTTCTAATTGTAGCATTGGGTAAATATATTTAATGTTTTTTCACAGAGAATTTTTCTTAAAAAACCATAATATAAAGAAAAGAGAAGCCTACTGCCCCAAAATAAACTCTGCCTATTTTTATTTAGGAAAATCATACACTGAAATATCAAAAGGAAGACAGAATATGATTTAGCTAGTTAGTTTTGTGTTGGGCTGATGCTGGACATGACAACAAAGAGTCTTTCTCTGCTGCATCCAGATGTTACGAGGCGATTAAACTTGGGTTTAACTGACCCAGGAGAATCAACTGGCTGCTAGAGCAGCCCTGCTTCTGGCTTTGTGGAGATCAAGGAAAGCCCTTTCAGCGTGTCTGAGAGCCAGATCCAGGGTGTCTCAGGCAAGCTGGGGAGCACGTTGGCAAAATCTCTGGGATTGTGCAATCTCTCTGTTTTTTTTTCCTGACTTTTTCCTCTCAAGAACATATGCCTAAATTGGGCCATGCAGCTGTGTGAGGGTGGAGTGCTTACACTTAGAGCTCTTAGGTCTGAGGGTGCGGGGTCAATGGTACATTAGTTCCTCCTCTCAGCATCACCCTGAGAAACTTTAGAAGTAATCCCTTGAGGTTTGTTCGTAACCTGATTTTTCACCCTAAATGTTAACATAGGGCTTGCCTTTTCTTGATATTACACATATGTAGCTAGCAGCTCTCAGACAGTTTGAAAAATGTTTCACTTGCTTTCAGAAGTCTAATGACAAATGACAGTGACAAATGACAAATGGTTTATTTCAAAGAAGAAACTTAAGTTTAGTTGTCAGTTTAAAGAAGTCTACATTTCTGTAATATTATTTTAAAGTTTTACAGATACTTTATTAATCAGAGTATCGATTATAGAAAATGCAAAAAGCTCATATAATTCTGTTTAAAAACACATTTTGAAATAGTCCCAACTATACTCACCCCTGGGTGTCTTTGAATTATAGAACAGATGTTTCAACATCCTTAAGGAAGAACTTGATTCTTAGGGCAAAGTTAATGTTGCAAGAGCAAGGAACAATTTGTTAGAGTACTTATCATGGTCCTCAGGAACATTATTCTGTGCCCTCTTGGACCCAAAGACATTACATTTTGTTATTACTGAGTCTGCTTGATTCCTCCTCCTCTTATTTTTCCTCCTCCTTTTCCTTATCTTCTTCTCCACCTCCTCCTCTTCATCTTCTTTCTTCTTCCCACCCTTCACTACCCCCATCCTCCCTTAAAGAAAATACTTGATAATTAAATTTAAAAACTTTATATACAATGATGCTGTTGATTTCCAAAGTATCTTACTAGGAATAGAATACTACAATAAGAATAATAAAAATGTAACAGATTATTGATGATATAGTATTTATGAAACTATTGTAGTCAATATAATTTAATCTAATAGAATTCTATTTTTATAACTATAAAAACCAAACTTTAGATATTCTTCTTTCAATTCATGTTCCACTAACATATTTTTGTCACTGATGAATGGAAAAAATAATTGCTACAGTTGTGTTTTCAGAATGGTGCATAGACATTTATTTCATTAGTGATAATGTCTTCTCATTAGAAACTCAGGGTTTTGTATGTAATCTAAGGTAACTTTTCATTTTCTATGAACCGGCTCAAGTCAAACTACAAGGGAAGACTATAAAATGGAAGATTAATCCAAACAAATTTACCTCTCGACTTTTTAAGAACATAATGAATACTTGTGTGTGTGTGTGTGTGTGTAACACAATTAACGAAGCACATTTACCTTTATTTGTTCATTAAGTCTTTAGCAAGCATTCTTTAAACAAATATTTATTGACCACTTTAAATTCACTTTGAGGCACAGAGATGCTTCAAAGAGCTGACAGTATTTTGAAAAAGTTCTCTCTTTTAATCTTCACAACTCTTTGAGATATATAAAGCCCCTCTGTAACCACGACTAATATTAGAGTTCCAAGTGAATGAAAATTAGTGGAATAACAGCTGAAGTTGTGCTTTTACGTTTCCCTTAAATTGATCATATTCTTCATATTCTAAAAGCAGTTACAAAGTAGTTAAGGTAGTTGCTATTATTATTATTACTGAAAAGAAAAAGATAAGAGAAGACAAGGGAAGTAGTAATCTAGCATTCAATGAGTATCTTAGAGGCTAGGTACTTTACAGATGTTTCATTCAATTTTTCCCACAGCTCTGAGAGTTATATACAATTTACATTTTACAGATGAGAAATTGAAGCTGATTGTGGTTAAGTAACTTATCTAAGTCACAGAGTTGGAACCAGAGAATGAATCTCACATTTTCTGATTATAAATCCTTTTTTTGTGACACACATTTTTCTTTTGGGATCTCTTCATATACGAATACAAACATGAAAGAAAGGGAAGTGATAGAGAACGGAAGCTAAGTAAAAGTTAACCGTGAATTAAGGTTTCCTCAAGTTTAATCACACGGAGACATTCTGTACTGCTGTCTTAAAAACAAGCTACTAAGGGCATACATTAGTAAAAGAGTCTTGAATTTCGCCATTTATTGTCGACCAGGAGCCTCTGGCAGAACAGTTCTTAATTTCACAATTCCATGATGAAATAATCTGGTGCTATGCAACCTTTGGTACGTCTCTAAATCCCAGGGGATGGGAATGTTGAATAAAATTCATATTCAGAAAATGAAAAAAGGCTTGTATATATTTTCATGACAAGGTAATAAAATGATGTAGTGACTATGACTAACAAAATTTATCTCAATTATTGTAGCAGATTGAATACACATTTGGTATGACTAGACTGATCCCAAATGAATATTCTTAGACACTCCTAAGTATTGATGAAAGTGAGTATGTGTGAGAGAATGATTCAGTCCCTAGATAATTATAGAGAAATGAAGTTATTAGAATGATTTTGGTAGTAAGTAAAAGAAAATGATACTTAAGTGAAATAGTTTAAAGCTATTTTTAGTATAGAAAAAATGCTAAATAAATAAATATTGAGCATAACAAATCTGGCTCTTTTATCTGTTAGATGAACCCTCCTTTAAACCAAGTATGTGTGATCAACAAATTTTTCATATTTAGTAATAATAACCATCTATTATTGAGAACCCACTCTGTGCCAGTCACTATTGTTTTGACTTTTATTTAATATTCATAATATTCCTAGTAGAAATTACTATTCACATTTCACAAATTAGGAAATTGAGGATCATACAGAAACCATAAAGCCAATTAGGAATGAATTAATATTGAACTCAGATTTATCTGATACCAAAGCCTGAGGTTTTTCCTTTTACACTGTGCATTAGGGGAATTTTCAGCTGATCTATTCTGTGCCAATCCTACCTCTCCATGCTCCTTTGACTACCCAGCACCCTTGACCACTCATTACTCCCTCACCCTGTTTGGCCACAACTAAGTGGGCAGGGTCCCTGTACCTTGAAAGGTATGAGCCTAAACTCTGCTCTCTCTTTCCTCTTTCACTTCATAAACTCACACAGTAATTTCACCCAGGCCAATTCCTTCTTTTCTCAACTTTATCCATACAGAGGTATGATTCAGAAAGTGGCAAGATCTCAAGGTTTTTACTCAAGTTTGTTTGTATGAGTGGAGGATGTGAAGGATGAAGATCATGGTAAGCAAAGGTGGGTGCCTACATGGCTTCTCCTCGGCTTTATTTCTGACAATACAAGCAGAGCACACCAATGGGTGTTCCTGTGCTTTTCTGTCTTTGTGTTAATGAAGTCATCCTTTGATTCTCATTCTCCTCTTGATCCTGGCGTGCAGACCCCTCCTGCCATCCAACCAAGAATGATGCTGCGTAGGGCAAGGTTTGTCCATTCCTGGGTACATGCCATAATGCCCAGGATATTAAAATTTTAATATCTTAAAACTATTAAAAGATATTAAAAGTTTTAATATCTTAAAAACTTTTCTTCAACTACATCATATTGTCTCTCATTTTCTTCATTATGCTTGAAATGATTTCACTTTTAGAAAACCCAATGATATTTGTTTATTGTAAAGGCATTGTTACAATAAAATAATTCTGTAACTACAGTAATTTATTTTGACTTTTTCTGTGTAAGTGAATGGGGGGGTAAAGAGGGGAGTCTTGATGTAAGTGTTCAATTATAATGTTCATATATCAATCACATGGAGATATCTTGATTGGCAGAAGGAGACCCCATTTACTCCTTGTGTTGTAGCTAATCTCTTCTTGTAAATACAGAATATCATTATGGAATTTTGGAAGCTTTGAGGTTGGGGAAGCCAGAGAGTCAAATTCCAAGAGGTCAACAGGTCACACAGAGTAGAATTATGACATTGGTGACTTCACTCTGGTCCAACTTCACAGGCCCAGAGACTCAATCTTGTCAATACCCTATAATTAGTCAGATGTGTTGGATGACTCACACTAACTAAATTCACAGGAGATTGAAGTGTATAAATCATAAAGGCAGCATGTTATTTGACAATAAGGAATGTAAGAGCCAACATAATCCAACACTCCTGTCTTCTTGCCAGAGTGCTTTTTTCCCACAAATAACCAGAAATAGATTTTATGTACATGGGATCAGGATAAGTTACATATTTGATCTGAGGCTTTACTAGCATTTCTGCAATAGAAATAAGTGTGGGCTAGTAAACAGTGTCTACTTATCTCTGCTTGGATGGACCGCTGCCAACATTTGTCTTTCTGGTTATATTGCTCATGATTAATACATTTTTCTTTGTGTTTCCAAATACATTACTCTAGTTACAATCTAGTCTTTTTTTGAGCATCTTTAAATAACATTCTAATATGTGGTGGATATAATAATGAAGTGCCATTTGAACACTGTAGGGAAAGATTTGTACTGATTTAGTTTTTAACAACTATATTTACCCTGTGAAAACATACTGGGGAAACTGGATTCTATAATTATTGTTAGTGATACTTTCTTAGTCAAGTCATAGGCTATCAATGGATACACAGATAGAATTGACACTACCAAAAAATCCCAGAGAAAGAAAAATATTTTAAAAATGAATGTAACATGCAATTTAGAAAACAAAGCAAGCAAAACATATCTATTATAATTCCAAATTGTACACTACAATTTAAAGAGAAAATTCCAGGATTATGTCAACCACATAAAAATTTTGTTGTAAGATGAATCAATCCTGAACTTCAACCAAAGTAATTTGTTTTCTGAAATGCCTAAAGGACCTGAGTAGGATAGTCTTACTGAATGAAATGGTCACATAAAGAGCCACAAAGTCACATTCTAATCTAAATATAAGCAGTTGCTATTGTAGCACTGTCAAATACTATCTAGTGTTATATAAATATTTTCTCTCCAGTTGACCAACTGGTAGGAACTAGATGAGTATAGGACCAGATAAAAAATTGCTAGAAATATTTTCTTCCTTTTCACTGTTAATTTAGATAAAGTGTCTTGAGGTGGGTAAACAACAGGGAAGAGGAATACTCAGTTTCTTATTAGATAAATATAAGCTCTGAAAAAAGGGTAGGCCCATTCATTTATGTTAAAAATTCATACCTGCAAAATGTCATTTGCCTATACACACAACTGCTTCTGTTCTGTATTCTATGCTTTCTAGGTCACAGGTACAATACTACCTTTTTCCCCACTGAAGAGGTCAATGAAGTCCTCTGAATTGATTTTATCAATACCACCGATTTACCTTTACAGTTTATCTCATTTTATATTTTATACATAATAATATGAAATGTATTAACATTTTATAAATTCATATAAGATATTAAGTTTTAGATTTGTTTAAGGAGTTATGTTATATAATTTGTAAAGGGGATCATCAACTTCTGGTTTCTACTTGTCTTTTAAATCAAAGATTAACTTAAACTAGACAACTGACTCCCCACTCCAAGTTTGGCCGTCACCTTGGGTAGCATTTTCTATGTAGATGGCCCATCTGCTTCTCCGCTCGGGTCTTTAATCCCCACATCTGTGGTGTCCTTTACTTCCAGAGTACTTCATCCAGCTGTTCTCTAAGCTACATTCTAGACTTTTTTTTTTTTTAATAGTTCATTACTTCTTCTCCTTTCCAATGTTAGAGCCAAGCAACCAATTATCAATTCCATATCCATTACAGCTCAATGGTTCTCAGTCTTGGTTGCACTTTAGAGTATCTGGAGACAATTTCAAAATTTCTGCATTTCAGATTCATTAAATTGGAATCTCTAGAGGTGGGATCCAAGAATCAGTATATTATACAGCTCCCCAGGTGATACCAATATGCAGCCACAGATGAGAACCACATTTTAAACTCTTGCATTCAGTTATTCTCCTATGCCTGTTATTGAAACACTGAACCTTCAGCTGTCTCCAAGCCTCATTTTCCCTTGTTCTTTGCTCCACTGACTTCTTGTTTCATTCACCAGTGCACCATCAATCGTGGATTAACCTGAAGGTCCTTGCATGCCTCAGCATGTGGCTGGCTGAGCACTGGTGGTGAAAATCACAGAATAGGTCAGGACGGTGCCAGCACTGGTTCTTCATTTTCAATTGCACCTGGGTTCTCAGTGTTGGTTATTTCATGTTCCCATTCTCCACAATACATATTTGAAACATGCTTTACTTTTCTCAGACTACAAATTACCTGGCTTTAAGAATTCAGAGTAACTTTATTTTTCCTGACATATCAAATGTTCTCATTTTTCCTCCCTTCCCAGCCTTAAACTTTCTACTTTATTGTTTTGTATCTCACAACTTGTGTTTTCATTCAGTTACCAAAACCCGAACATCTCCTCTGAGTTATGTTTTCTATCCCTCCTTATATCAAAGATCTCAAAAACCATGTGGTTTATATATTTTAAGACTTTGTCAATTTCTCAGTATTGCTGCAATTATGACCTTCAATTGGGCATCCACTTTTTTTCTTGATTGCTGAAATAGTCTCCAATAGGTCTCCCTGCCTCTAGTCTGCCTCTTTCTGAGCAATTCTCTAGAGTGATATATCCAAAACGCATACCATATTGTGTCTTTCTTTTGCTAGTCAGTTTATCAGCTTTACCTTTATTATAAAGTCTAAATTGCCAGACACACTGGCTAATGCCTTTAATCTCAGCACTTTGGGAGGCGGAGGCGTGTGGATTGCTTTGAGCTCAGGTTCAAGATTAGCCTGGCCAACATGGTGAAACCCCATCTCTACTAAAAAATACAAAAATTAGCTGGGCATGGTCGTACCTACCTGTAGTCCCAGCTGCTTGGGAGGCTTGAGTCATGAGAATTGCTTGAACCTGGGAGGTGGAGGCTACAGTGACCAGAGATCATGTCACTGTGAAGCAGCCTCATTGTCTGGGGTAACACTCGAGGTTTGTTGTCTCATAGCCATGAGAACAAGGATGCAGACACACAAAGAGTGAGATTGACGATGGAAGTTTAATAGGCAAAAGAAAGAGAATAGCTCTCTGCTGCACACAGGGGTCCCAGAAAAATGGGTTGCTGGATCCACAGTGAAATGCAGGGGGTTTTATAGATGAGCTGGTGAGGAGGAGGTGTTTGATTTACATAGGGAATGAAAAACTGGTTGGAACAGGTGTGCCATTTGCATAGGATGTGAATCTCTGGTAGCCCCCACCCTAATCTTTTATTATGCCTCTGCCTGAGCTGTGCCATGTTGCCCATTTCTTCATTACTATACACGTGGTAACAAAAAAGGGAAGATGGAGCCTCTATGTTGGACAGGCCTTGCCCCTGGGTAGCTCTTTTCTATTGGCGTAGCTGCCAGCATTCCCCGTGCAAGCTTCCGGCTTGCTTATCTATGTTTACAGCTTGATTTTTTCAGGCTGCTCTTGTTAGAAAAGAACTGATTTGGGGGTTGCCTTTTGTTAGAGGGGAAGCTCTGCCAAGGACTCTTTTGCCCTCACTATCTGCCTAAATCATTTCTTTCTACCTCCTGTATCAACTGCACTCCAGCCCAGGCAACAGAGTGAGACGCTAGTCTCAAAAACAACCAACCAACCAGTTTAAATTGCGGACTTGGGCTTAAAGGCTCTCAATCTGTCCTCTGTCTTTGCTGCTTCATATCAAGCATTGTACAAAATCCTGTTGCTTATATATCTTAAATATTTGTTCATTTGTCAGTACGGTTCCCTCTGCCTGGAACATTCTTTTCTCCCCTCCTTCATTAGCTCAGTTTAGCATCCCTTTTCCTAAGAAGCCATTCCCTAAATAAGTCTGGGTCTAGGGGCCCCTCTGCTTAGTGTCATTCTTCTTGGCTCTTCTACATCTACCATCATGATTATCCTGTTGTTTTGGAAGATTTTTTTCTCTGTGTATAATATTCCCCATAAACTATAAGTGCTCTAAGGGTAAGGATGACAATAATGTTCACTTTGTCTCCAATGTTTAGCATATAATTGGTTCCTAATAGGTTTTAATAAATAATTGGTGAATACATTCAAGTAAATGTTAAAATACTTCTAATGGTTATTATATAATAAGATTCATTAAGAACTCCACGGAATTTCATAATGCAATAAAAAACTCAATAGAGAACTATAAATAATAATGAAAATCCTGGGGCTTGAGTGAAAATTAGGTTAGTGATCTCATGTTTATATTTTTATTTTTGAGAACTTTTTCCATATTTGATACACTGAACATGATTACCAATTCACCAGAAAGCTCATTAGGCATACATAGATAGAGAAGAATGCAATATTTATTTGTGGTCTGAAAATCACTTGAAAAATCTGGGCCAAAAATATGTCCTTGTTTGCTGAAGGTGAGCAACACAGGCTTTGGAGCTAGACAAACCTGTTTGTGAAAATTGAATCCACTATCAACCATGTAACCTTGGGTGAATTACTACTGAATCCTTAGTTTTTATTTATTTAATTTTATTTTATTATTATTTTTGAGACAGAGTCTTGCACTGTTGCCCGGGCTGGAGAGCAGTGGTGCGATCTTGGCTCACTGCAACCTCTGCCTCCCGGGTTCAAGCAATTCTCCTGCCTCAGCCTCCTCAGTAACTGGGATTACAGGTGCCTGCCACCACACCCAGCTATTTTTTTTGTATTTTTAGTAGAGACGGGATTTCACCATGTTCTCCAGGCTGGTCTTGAACTCCTGACCTTGTGATTCACCTGCCTTGGCCCCCCAAAGTGCTGGGATTACAGGCATGAGCCACTGCACCCGGCCTGAAGCCTTAGTTTTGTGTTTTTGTTTTTTCTTATACTTTAAGTTCTAGAGTACATGTGCACAACATGCAGGTTTTATACATAGCTATACATGTGCCGTGTTGGTTTGCTGCATCCATCAACTCATCATTTACATTAGGTATTTCTCCTAATGCTATCCCTCCCCCAGGTCCCCACCCCTCGACAGGCCCCAGTGTGTGATTTTCCCTGCCCTGTGTCCAAGTGACAGCATTATTCAATTCCCACCTCTGAGTGAGAACATGCAGTGTTTGGTTTCCTGTCCTTCCAATAGTTTGCTGAGAGTGATGGTTTCCAGCTTCATCCACGTCCCTGCAAAGGACATGAACTTATCCTTTTTTATGGCTGCATACTATTCCATGGTGTATATGTGCCACATTTTCTTAATCCAGTCTACCATTGATGGACATTTGGGTTGGTTCCAAGTCTTTACTATTGTGAATAGTGACACAATAAACACACGTGTGCATGTATCTTTATAGTAGCATGATTTATAATCCCTTGGGTATATACCCAGTAATGGGATGGCTGGATCAAATGGTAATTCTAGTTCTAGATCGTTGAGGAATCACCACACTGTCTTCCACAATGGTTGAACTAATATACACTCCCACCAACAGTGTAAAAGTGTTCCTATTTCTCCACCTCCTCTGCAGCATCTGTTGTTTCCTGACTTTTTAATGGTCACCATTCTAACTGGCATGAGATGGTATCTCATTGTGGTTTTGATTTGCATTTCTCTGATGGCCAGTGATGATGAGCATTTTTTCATGTGTCTGTTGGCTGCATAGATGTCTTCTTTTGAGAAGCGTCTGTTCATATCCTTTGCCCATTTTTTTGATGGGGTTGTTTGTTTTTGTAAATTTGTTTGAGTTCTTTGTAGATTCTGGATATTAGCCCTTTGTCAGATGGGTAGATTGCAAAAATTTTCTCCCATTCTGTAGGTTGCCTGTTCACTCTGATGGTAATTTATTTTGCTGTACAGAAGCTCTTTAGTTTAATTAGACCCCATTTGTCTATTTTGGCTTTTGTTGCTATTGCTTTTGGTGTTTTAGTCATGAAGTCCTTACCCATGCATATGTCCTGAATGGTATTGCCTAGGTTTTCTTCTAGGGTTTTTATGGTTTTTAGGCTTAACATTTAAGTCTTTAATCCATCTTGAAGTAATTTTTGTATAAGGTGTAAGGAAGGGATCCAGTTTCAGCTTTCTACATGTGAATAGCCAGTTTTCCCAGCAGCATTTATTAAATAGGGAATCCTTTCCCCATTTCTTGTTTTTGTCAGGTTTATCAAAGATCAGATGGTTGTAGATGTGTGGTGTTATTTCTGAGGCCTCTGTTCTGTTCCATTGAGCTATATCTCTGTTTTGGTACCAGTACCATGCTGTTTTGGTTACTGTAGCCTTGTAGTATAGTTTGAAGTCAGGTAGTGTGATGCCTCCAGCTTTGTTCTTTTGGCTTAGGATTGACTTGGTGATGCAGGCTCTTTTTTGGTTCCATATGAACTTTAAAGTGGTTTTTTCCAATTCTGTGAAGAAAGTCATTGGTAGCTTGATGGGGATGGCATTGAATCTATAAATTACCTTGGGCAGTATGGCCATTTTCACGACATTGATTCTTCCTACCCCTGAGCATGGAATATTCTTCCATTTGTTTGTGTCCTCTTTTATTTCATTGAGCAGTGGTTTGTAGTTCTCCTTGAAGAGGTCCTATACATCCCTTGTAAGTTGGATTCTTAGGTATTTTATTCTCTTTGTAGCAATTGTGAATGGGAGTTCACTCATGATTTGGCTCTCTGTATGTCTGTTGATGGTGTATAGGAATGCTTGTGATTTTTGCACATCAATTTTGTATCCCGAGACTTTGCTGAAGTTGCTTATCAGCTTAAGGAGATTTGGGGCTGAGAAGATGGAATTTTCTAAATATACAATCATGTCATCTGCAAACAGGGACAACTGGACTTCCTCATTTCCTAATTGAATACCCTTTATTTCTTTCTCTTGCCTGATTGCTCTGGCCAGAACTTCCAATACTATGTTGAATAGGAGTGGTGAGAGAGGGGATCCCTGTCTTGTGCTGGCTTTCAAAGGGAATGCTTCCAGTTTTTGCCCATTCAGTATGATATTGGCTGTGGGTTTGTCATAAATATCTCTTATTATTTTGAGATACGTTCCATCAATACCTAGTTTATTGAGAGTTTTTAGCATGAAGGGGTGTTGAATTTTGTCAAAGGCCTTTTCTGCATCTATTGAGATATTCATGTGGTTTTTGTCTTTAGTTCTGTTTATATTCTGGATTACATTTATTGATTTGCATATGTTGAACCAGCCTTGCATCCGAGGGATGAAGCTGACTTGTTCATGGTGGATAAGCTTTTTGATGTGCTGCTGGATTCGGTTTGCCAGTATTTTATTGAGGATTTTTGCATCAATGTTCATCAGGGATATTGGTCTAAAATTCTCTTTTTTGGTTGTGTCTCTGCCAGGCTTTGGTATCAGGATGATGCTGGCCTCATAAAATGAGTTGAGGAGGATTCCCTCTTTTTCTATTGATTGGAATAGTTTCAGAAGGAATGGTACCAGCTTCTCCTTGTACCTCTGGTAGAATTCGGCTGTGAATCCTTCTGGTCCTGGAAATTTTTTGGTTGGTAAGCTATTAATTCTTGCCTCAATTTCAGAGCCTGTTATTAGTCTATTCAGAGATTCAACTTCTTCCTGGTTTAGTCTTGGGAGGGTGTATGTGTCCAGGAATTTATCCATCTCTTTTAGATTTTCTAGTTTGTTTGCATAGAGATATTTATAGTATTCTCTGATGGTAGTTTGTATTTCTGTGGGATCGGTGGTGCTATCCCCTTTATCATTTTTTATTGCATATATTTGATTCTTCTCTCTTTTCTTCTTTATTAGTCTTGCTAGTGATCTATCAATTTTGTTGATCTTTTCTAAAAACCAGCTTATGGATTCATTGATTTTTTGAAGGGTTGTTTGTGTCTCCATCTCTTTCAATTCTGCTCTGATCTTAGTTGTTTCTTGCCTTCTGCTAGCTTTTGAATTTGTTTGCTCTTGCTTCTCTAGTTCTTTTAATTGTGATGTTAGGGTGTCAATTTTAGATCTTTCCTGCTTTCTCTTGTGGGCATTTAGTGGTATAAATTTCCCTCTACACACTACTTTAAATGTGTCCCAGAGATTCTGGTATGTTGTGTCTTTGTTCTCATTGGTTTCAAAGAACATCTTTATTTCTGCCTTCATTTCATTATTTACCCAGTAGTCATTCAGGAGCAGGTTGTTCAGTTTCCATGTAGTTGTGTGGTTTTGAGTGAGTTTCTTAATCCTGAGTTCTAATTTGATTGTACTGTTGTCTGAGAGACAGTTTGTTGTGATTTCTATTCTTTTCCATTTGCTGAGGAGTGCTTTACTTCCAATTATGTGGTCAATTTTAGAATAAGTGGGATGTAATGCTGAGAAGAATGTATATTCTGTTGATTTGGGGAAGAGAGTTCTGTAGGTGTCTGTTGGGTCTGCTTGGTACAGAGCCGAGTTTGGGTCCTGGATATCCTTGTTAACCTTATGTGTCATTGATCTGTCTAATATTGACAGTGGGTTGTTAAAATCTCCCATTATTAATGTGAGGGAGTCTAAGTCTCTTTGTAGGTCTCTAAGGACTTGCTTTATGAATCTGGGTACTCCTGTATTGGGTGCATATATATTTAGGATAGTTAGCTCTTCTTGTTGCATTGATCCCTTTACCATTATGTAATGCCCTTCTTTGTCTCTTTTGATCTTTGTTGGTTTAAATTCTGTTTTATCAGAGACTAGGATTGCAACCCCTGTTTTTTGTTTTTTGTTTTTTTTGTTTTTTGTTTTTTGTTTTGCTTTCCATTTGCTTTGTAGATCTTCCTTCATCCCTTCATTTTGAGCCTATGTGCATCTTTGCATGTGAGATGGGTCTCTTGAATACAGCACACTGATGGGTCTTGACTCTTTATTCAATTTGCCAGTCTGTGTCTTCTAATTGGGGCCTTTAGCCCATTTACATTTAAGGTTAATATTGTTATGTGTGAATTTGATCCTGTCATTATGATATTCTCTGGTTATTTTGCCTGTTAATTGATGCAGTTTCTTCATAGCATTGATGGTCTTTACAATTTGGCATGGTTTTGCAGTGGCTGGTACCAGTTGTTCCTTTCCATGTTTAGTGCTTCCTTCAGGAGCTCTTGTAAGGCAGGCCTGGTGGTGACAAAATCTCTCAGCATTTGCTTACCTGTAAAGGATTTTATTTCTCCTTCACTTATGAAGCTTAGTTTGGCTGGATATGAAGTTCTGGGTTGAAAATTCTTTCTTCAAGAATGTAGAATATTGGCCCCCACTCTCTTCTGGCTTGTACGGTTTCGGCCAAGAGATCTGCTGTTAGTCTGATGGGCTTCCCTTTGTGGGTAACTCAACCTTTTTCTGTGGCTGCCCTTAACAATTTTTCCTTCATTTCAACCTTGGTGAATCTGACAATTATGTATCTTGGGGTTGCTCTTCGCGAGGAGTATCTTTGTGGTGTTCTCTGTATTTCTGGAATTTGAATGTTGGCCTCCTTGCTAGGTTTGGGAAGTTCTCCTGGATAATATCCTGCAGAGTGTTTTCCAACTTGGTTCCATTCTCCCCATCACTTTCAGGTACACCAATCAAATGTAGGTTTGCTCTTTTCACATCATCCCATATTTCTTGGAGACTTTGTTTGTTTCTTTATACTCTTTTTTCTCTAACCTTGTCTTCTCGCTTTATTTCATTAATTTGATCTTCAATCACTGATACCCTTTCTTCCAGTTGATCGAATTGGCTATTGCAGCTTGTGCATGCTTCACGAAGTTCTCATGCCATGGTTTTCAGCTCCATCAGGTCATTTAAGGTCTTCTCTACACTGTTTATTCTAGTTAGCCATTCATCTAATCTTTTTTCAAGGTTTTTAGCTTCCTTGTGATGAGTTCGAACATCCTCCTTTAGCTTGGAGAAGTTTGTTATTACCAACCTTCTGAAGCCTACTTCTGTCAACTCGTCAAAGCCATTCTCCATCCAGCTTTGTTCCATTGCTGGCGAGGAGCTGCGATCCTTTGGAGAAGAGGTACTCCGATTTTTAGAATTTTCAGCTTTTCTGCTCTGGTTTCTCCCCATCTTTGTGGGTTTATATACCTTTGGTCTTTGATGTTGGTGACCTACAGATGGGGTTTTGGTGTAGATGAACTTTTTGTTGATGTTGATGCTATTCCTTTCTGTTTGTTAGTTTTCCTTCTAACAGTCAGGTCCCTCAGCTGCAGTCTGTTGGAGTTTGCTGGAGTTCCACTCCAGACCCTGTTTTGGTGGGTATCACCATAGGAGGCTGCAGAACAGCAAGTATTGCTGCCTGATCCTTCCTTTGGAAGCTTTGTCCCAGGGAGGCAGCCACCTATATGAGGTGTCTGTCAGCCCTTACTGGGAGGTGTCTCCCAGTTAGGCTACATGGGGGGTCAGGGACCCACTTGAGGAGGCAGTCTGTCCGTTCTCAGAGCTCAAATGCCATGCTGGAAGAACCACTGCTCTCTTCAGAGCTGTCCAACAGAGACATTTAAGTCTGCAGAAGTTGTCTGCTGCCTTTTGTTCAGCTATCCCCTGCCCACAGAGATGGAGTCTAGAGGCAGTAGGCCTTGTTGAGCTGTAGTGGGCTCCGCCCAGTTCAAGCTTCCTGGCTGCTTTGTTTACCTACTCAAGCCTTAGCAATGGAGGATGCCCCTCAGCAATGGCAGACGACCCTCAGCAATGGCAGACACTGCTGTCTTGCAGATCGATCTCAAACTGCTGTGTTAGCAGTGAACAAGGCTCTGTGGGCATGGGACCCGCCGAACCAGGCACAGGAGAGAATCACCTTGTCTGCCATTTGCTAAGTCCTTGGGAAAAGCACAGTATTTGGGCGGGAGTGCCTCGTTTTTCCAGGTAGTCTGTCACAGCTTCCCTTAGCTAGGAAAGGGAAATCCCCCAATCCCTTGCACTTCCTGGGCGTGCGACACACCTCCCACCCCCTGCTTCAGCTTGCCCTCCGTGGGCTGCACCCACTGTCCAACTGGTCCCAATGAGATGAATCAGTTACCTCAGTTGGAAATGCAGAAACCACCCATCTTCTGTGACGATCGTGCTGAGAGCTGCAGACCGGAGCTGTTCCTATTCAGCCATCTTGGAAATCCCTCACCACTTAGTTTTTAATCTGTAAAGCGAAGACAATTAAGCTTGCATCACAGGGCTGTCATGTAGGTTAAATGAGACAATGTATATAAAGTTCCAAATAAAGTACCTGCTAAAGTAGATGGTCAATAGTTTTGTTCCTTTTACAGTGGCACCTAAAATGCTATCATTATTTTGGATTAAAGTATATCTCCAAGAACTCCCTGTTAAATGCAATTATCGAACATGACAAGCAAACATTTGTGTTTGTGCACGTGGTGTGTTTATTTATTCTTCTCTATGGTAATACAATTCTGACAGCTGGTCACAAAAAGAGTGGATAGAGTGTGTTATGGCCTTTTAAGAGGCATGAGAGATGGTGTGATAAGACATTGACTAGGGTGAGGTTTAAGCCTATACCTCAGTGCTAGGACTCTATAGAAAACATTGGATCCTTGGAAAAGAGGGAGATAAAGCCTCAACGCTGAGGCAGACAGCAGGGCTGTTGGACAGGGAAGAGTGCATCTAAGATAGGTTTCAACCTCCTTATATTTTAATTCAGACAAACTGGTTTATCTCATTTGGCTTTTGAGAACCCAAAAGGAGACATTTATGTTGAGGTTACTAAACTGTGCATCCTGGAGCATTTCTGTGAATCTGGGCCTTTCAGTGTTTTCAGGTTAACAATTCTTTACTTCTGTCACCTCTCTTTGTTCATATTAAAGTACAAATACCCTGTGGAAACTATTCAGTAAAAATGCGGCCCTTTGAAACAAGTGATTTCTAGTTAAAATCATCTGAATAATTTTGCTGCTTAGTTTTTATCTTGCACTCTATTTTTGTGCATCAAGAAATTTAGACATTTAAAGATATGCATGTTGAATTAAAATAAAAAAGAAACACAAAATAGTAAATTTTTGATACTGTCACTAAGTTATGATGAATTTCTCTTTCAATACTTAAAATTCTCTTAAGAAGTGTGAAGTGTTTTCTATTAGCTGAATTGCATTTACATTTATAATCTAGCCAGGTTTGGGGAATTTCATTAAAAACCTTGTTAAAATTCTTACGCAGCATTTACATTTCACTTAGCTATCACAAGAGGGAGTAAGAGCTCTGCTTAATTTTATATATTTTCAAACTTTTCCCAAGATAAGTTGTATAAAAAGAACCCCCTTGAGTGCTGATGATGAAATTATTTACCTTTTCCCTAATTCATCTAAGAATTCCTTTATTAACACTTAATTTGGAACTGACATGACAGTGTAGTCAAGCAAATAAAAGTTAAATTCATGAAAATATTAGAATCTTTGCATTTAATACACGATCATTTTGCAAAACATCTGAGTGTATTTTTTATACAGGTTGGCTAATCTGCCTGAGTTAGCTATCATGTTTTTAGCATTTAGGTTATTGCAACAAAGCTTTTTATTGACAATGATGCAACATAATAATGAAATATGTTTCAAAGGTGAAAAATAAGCTTTTAGGAGAAAAACTTGAAATTCCTTTTCTAGGATTTCTGTAACTTATGAAAGTTCACTGTTTTCCCTTCTAATTTTATTGTTTTCCTGAAAAAGCTGTGTGCTAAAGTGCACACAATCACTTTATATACTTTGACATTCCACACATCATTAGATGGTTTTGAGAAAAAGTGTAAAATATCTCCTATGGAAAGTACAACATTGCTGATCTTTGTAAAGTTTCTTAAGAAATGAAAATTTGTGAAATCCCTTTTTCATCACATCAGTATGTTTTTCTTATATTCTTTAACAGAATAGGTATAATTTCCCCAGAAGATTGCTTCTTCCAGCTTAAAAATAAAGGGCTAAGACTTGAGAATCTGTTGCTATTTAAGAAAAGAGGTTCCCAAACTTAATATTGAATGGGTAATGCATATGTTTTGCTTTATGAATAAAAGACAGACATTATGATGAACTGATGCTACAACATGTTTTTAATTTAATTTATTTATTTTGATAGCTTTATGGGCATGAATGGTTTTTGGTTATATGGATAAATTTTGTAGTGGTGAAGTCTGGGCTTTTAGTGTACCCGTCCCCTGGATAGTGTACATCGTACCCATCCCCTGGGTAGTGTACATCGTACCCCTCCCCTGGATAGTGTACATCGTACCCATCCCCTGGATAGTGTACATTGTACCCATCCATTCCTGAGGTACTTCACTTAGGATAAAGGCCTTCAGTTCCATCCAAGTTGCTGCAAAATACATTATTTCATTCCTTATGGCTGAGTAGTATTCCATGGCATGTATACACCATATTTTCTTTATCCACTTATTGATTGATGGGCACTTTGGTTGATTTCATCTTGCAATTGTACAACACATTTTTTTAAGCTTGAATGTAGCTGTGGATTGTTTTCCTTATCTAAAATTCCCACAAAGATGTGGGAGCAAGATATTGTACAGCAACATGTGTAGAGCAAGATATTTATTAAAATAAATTATATAGCTTAATATATAAATCCTTTCTCACTTCTCATGAAATATATAGATATTAAATGACCTAAAAATTTTGTTTTTTGGAATATCTATGGAAACTATTCAATAAAAATGTGGGTCTTGGCTACAAGTCATTTCTAGTTAAATTTATCTGAAGAATTTTGCTGACTACTTACCATTTTTAAACTTTGATTTTACAGTAGGAACTCTGACCTGCAAAAGAAACACTTGTTACTGTTTTTAATGCCTTAGCTATTAACACATCAGCTAACTCCATTCAAACTTCTGGGAATCCTGAAAAAATGGCAGAGCTTCCCCACCCCACCCACTGCTCCCAAAGTTTCCCACAGTTATTTTTTTCCCTCATGTGGTTTAAGCTTATTAAAGTATGATTATGATGGGTCATTTGTAATAAAAATTCAAAAGAAGTGATTCTAAACACATAGCCTCAGAGCAGTTAGATCACAGTTATTTTACAGGGAGAAATACAAGTTATACTTTTATTTTAAATAGCACAATTCTAAAATCCCATATTAGTTAGTGAGTTGCTAAACTACTAGAATTAGCCTCAGGAAAAATTTCTTTTCATGTAAAATAATACAAATATAAAATATAATACCTATGAAAGGAAGTTCTAGCACTTGGTCTTGTTGGGTCTATCACTTTTATTATTGAACTTGTATTAGTGATAGAAAATTAAAGAACACATTAATTTACTTAATGTAAGGCAAGAAAATTTTACAACAAAAGCATATGTATGAATTCAATTTAAAGTTCAATAATGAATACCATTCTTTAATTATTGAAAAGATATCTGTCGTACACCTGCCATTTACTTAATCATTTCAATCTAGCTTGTTTAAAAATGAATTTAAAGTGATTTACATAAATGTAAAAGATCGGAGAAGAGAAAATAATTGATATTAATAGAAGGGATGAAACAAATCAAAATATGAAAGAAAATATAAGCGTGAAACAAGTAAATGCCCTCTCATCCTACTTTTTATTGTTTCTTTTTCTTCTAACAGTCAGTGGGACAGAATAGAACACAGTCAAAAATTTTATTGGTCATACATTAAAAACAATCTAATTTCTCTAGAAAATCCCAACTATGGTATTGAGAGCAGAGAAAGTATTTTTCCTTTTGGTTTTTACAGAGACAACACTGCATAAATGAATGAATAACTCTCCACGACATTTTTACAGTGAATTACTACTTCCTTGAAATTGTATACTAAGCACTGGGGATTCAAAGATGATTTTAATCCAGTCCATGCTCTCAAGTTGTGATTTAGCTAAGGAGTTAGACATAAATGTATAATTAAAATACAACACAGTGAGTTATATGATACAGGCAAAATCAAAATATTGTGAGTACAAAAATATCCTGTGGGAGAAAATGTTTTTAATGAGGAGTTAAATGATATTTGTTTCCATTCAATAACATATAATAACAAAAGAAGTTCTATAGGTCATAATGTCTCATCTTTAATATTTATTCCTGTAGCTACAGACCCTCATTGCTTTATTCTTGAACTAGTTTAATTGTGTCTCATCTGGTCTTATCCCCTTCAAATATTTTCTATATTGGTTCTAGATATTCATTGAACTAAAGGTCATAAGTGATACATGATTTAAAGTGTATTATGAAATAAATTGCAAACTCTTTATCTTCTATTTAATTTTGTATATGATCAGACCACAAAGTATCCCTATAAATTATACACTTTTTTGAGAACAGTAATCTTTGTATTTCTTTTATTTCCAGCATCTATTCTAGCATCTTGCACATAATATATGCTCAAAAATACTAGTAAAAAGCACTGGATAAATGAATTCAGCTGGTTTAATAATGGAACACTCCTTTAACCTTTCTGTTAGTAGGCATTTTGAGAAAATACCAAAAATTCAATAATGCTCTTTAATTTTGTATTGAAAAAATATGTCCATTAAATACTGTAATACATAAATTTTACTACAGTACAATTTTCTTAATACTGTTTGGTGACTACCTATGAAAGAAATTAATATTAAATTTTGATTTACTGGAAAAATCATGTATTCTTTTATATACATAGGAAAGTATCCTATGAGATCTGTCATTTCTATGTCTATCACTATAGTATGTTTGTATGTATGTATATATATATACACATATATATAGACATTTCAAGCATTATCAGCTTGCTGTAAAATCAAAAGACTTCAGCATGATTTCAAGATCCATTCAATGCAGCAGTATTCTATGTAAATCTTAATATGTTTCTAGGTGAATCCATGGTTATCAATAGCCATGATCTTAGCAGAGCAGCAAAATAAAGATCACATTCACATATTGGATATATGAAAGGCATATTAGATATTTAATAGCAATAATAATCTAATGTACTCTATTACCTTTATTTCATAATGCTTTTAATATTATCTATTTTAAAATGATAGAATTACCTCATAGATAGATTATTCAGAGAATATTGACCAAAACAGAGGTGGCAAACCTTTGATTAAAACTTGATTGTGGCAAATCAAAGCTTGGTGACATTTTTGAAGAGGTTAAATCAGAATTTATCCATTTAATTATGCTTTGTAGAATGCTGCAAGTTTTTGGAAAAACACATTTTGTGAATTTTATTTAATATCTAATATTAACTAAAATATGTATACATTTATATGACATTCAGATTAGAATTAGTTATTCATTTATTACATTACAACTACAGCTATTGGGTATCTTTTGTGTGCTAGTCATGAGACAAGTGTTGGAAGTAAAAATGTGATTTATAACTTCATGTCATCTTCAGTTCAGTTACAAAGATTTTTCACGGGGTATTTTATAATAAGAGCCCGGAAGAAGTGAAGAGAATTTGGGGAAAGCTTCCAGTGTTCTAGAAGCATATTAAAGGAAGAGTGGGAGCTAACAAGTCAAAGAGGAAAAGAAGAGAAATGCAGGGTAGAGCAGCCTGGACTGCTTGGAAAATTAGAGGCTCTTTGATCTTGCCAGAGAACAAATTGCTAAATAAGGAGTGGCAGAAATGAGACCATTCGAGTTATTCATTTATGTAACTATTTAGTCAACAAATTTTATTAAGCGATATTATCTAATTTGTTCAATTTTAAGACATGTTTATTATTAATATCTGCCATCATGGAGCATCTCTCTGGGATTAGATGACAAAGGCATTTGAGTAACATATTAAAGAGGTTGTAATTTATCCTTTTGGCAATGGCACGTCATTCACAGTTTAATCAGGGATTTGAGTGGAGTGGGTCAGGTTTGTGTTTTAGATAAATTACTGTGGTAATTGTGCAAGGCACACAAATGCAGAGGGAGAGAATTTACTTGTGGGGCTACTATCTGCTGTAAGATAGTCAAGACATTAACTAGGGCAGGGAAGGAATGAGAATGAGGAAGTAACCTGTTTCAGAATTATCATATAGAATGACAAGCTTATAACTGCTTGGATCTGGGGTATGATGGAGAGGGAAGAGTTGATGATACCTGTGTGTTTCTAGCTTGTTTGGTTAAATGGATTGAGGATAGCACCACCAACTAAGACAGTACAGGACAATTCAGTTTAGAAAGAAACATTTTTTTTTCTCCTAATAGCAAACCTATGGAAATCAAAAGGATATTCTTAAATCCATATGATATTCATGATCTTCCAGAACACTGAATGTTTTTGTTATTCTTTCTTTTATTCTCCAATTCCATTAAACAGTGTGAAATAGAATGGCAAAAATGAGAGAAGAACAAACGTAAGTGATAAATGGAGAGCTTAGACTTCCTATTATCACCCATAAAAAATCCACTTATTTGAAAATTATTTAACCAGGCCTTTAATACAAGCATCTACTATTGCATTGTAATTTGTTTATTGAATGTGAATTTTTCATTAAAATCATAGGACTTTCATTGTAATAGGCAGAAAGTAGAGAGAAAAATATATTTTGCAGTGTAAGGATGTAGGCTTTTAAGTGGGGATCAGAATCCAAGTGGCCTGGCTTCTGCTTCATTTCCTTCCCCAATCAAAATTAGCTGCCTTGCTACCTTATAAACTGCATATTTGCTTGCTAATTTTTATTTAAATTATATAACCAACCCAGAGTTTGCAATCCTTATGTTTGGATAAGTGACGCAGAACAGTTTGAAAGTTCACTCTTGTTTTTAATGATTTTAGTCCAAAACAACTCAAAACCTTTATACAGCTCTTCCAGTAGCTTTCATTTTTACCTACAATTAACTTGTTTCCTATAAGGATTAATTTATATAGTGCTCATACAATAACTTATTACTCTGTGTAGCTTCTATTACATGAAATATTTGGAAATATTTTCCTTTTAATCTCTGAAAAAGTCCTGATGATCCAGTTGCAGTTATTTAATAAAGTGGAGAGTTTAAATTTGAGACTGTAGAAACACTTCCATTTTTCATCTCTTCCTTCCTACCATAGAAATTTTTGTGAAAGGGATTCCTGGTGCTATTTCTGCCATTTGCTGACATACATTTTGTTCCAAGAGGGCACACCCTGTGAGTGTGGGAATAAAACTCTTCTGGGCAGAGACTCTAGTGCTGCAATTATCTTAGATGAGGCTATGGGTTGCTTGATTTCTCCAGGGAGTCTGGTAATGTAGCTCAACCTCTCCTGTTGCAGTTCCAGCGACACTTGTTTTCCAATGCGCAATCCTATTGTAATTATCTCACCTCTAACCTCAAATCACATGAACCTTCTAATTCTGTCCCATTGCCGAAACCAATTTAGGAAAGACTTTATAATAATAATATTAGAGGGGAATTTATGCTTTCAATGCTGCCTGTCAGTTGTAATACTTCTAAAATTCAAATAGAGATGCTATGAGAGACCCTGCTGCATTACAGAATAGGGAAAAAGTTTGTTAAAGAGAACCAGTCAGTGCTTTGACTTATGGTTTCCATTTCAATTACTAAGATTTTATGTTTTTTTTTTTTTTTTTTTTTTTGAGACAGGCTCTTGCTCTGTCACCCAGGCTGGAGTGCAGTGGCATGATCAAGGCTGACTGCAGCCTCAACCTCCAGGGCTCAAGTGATCCTCCCACCTCAGCCTCCTGAGTAGCTGGGACTACAGGCACATGCCACCACACCCAGCTATTTTTTTTGTTTGATTTTTTTTTTGTAGAGATGGCATTTCACTATGTTGCTCAGGCTGGTCTCAAACTCCTGAGCTCAAGTGATCCACCCGCCTGGACCTCCCAAAGTGCTGGGATTATAGGTATGAGCCACCACACCTGGCCTCTAGATTAAGATTTAATTGGACTGGATTAGTTGGACATATTTCTAATGCTGTACACATTTGAATACCTTTTAGTGCCAACTTTAAATAAGCAATTCCCAATTCATCACTTTCAGCATTAAATAAAAATACAGAATTGTCAATACTTGGTATTGGAGCTAAAACTGAACTCTTAACATGATAATAAGCATAACTGTCATCTGCAGAAAGCTTACTATGTACCTTACTATATAGTATTTAGCTGGGTACCTGCATTATCTTCTTTAATCATCACATTATGGCAATATTGTGGGTTCTGGAGCCAGTCTGCTTGAGTTTAAATTCTGGCTCTACCACTTATAAGTTGTGTGACTTTGATTAAGTTATCAAACCTCTTTGTGCTTTAGTTTAAGTAGGGTAACAACACTTAGCTCACAGAGCTGCTAGGAGGATTAAATTAGTTATCGTATGAACAATGCCTAGGATACAGTAAATACTCAATAAATGTTAGCGATTATTTTTCTTATTTTACTTATTAAATAGTTTAGGTACCTTACTTAAGATTAGATATTTCAAAAATGTTGATTTTGGGATATTGGGAGTTTGAGTTCTTGAACTTTATAGCCAGCATACTTACCCACTAGGCTTTGTTATGCCAGTATTACAGAATTGTTTGTTTTGAGAGCACCTTCGGATATAAAATAAGGTGATGTAGCAAAATAAAAGAACAGATAGACAAGACTGGTCTTTTCTCATCGTGTTCTACTTGACTTTTTCTGATGTCAGTTGCAATAGAAATCTCTGTGTGCCAGGGAAGGACAATCTCTGAGCTGAGAATATATATCAATAGAAACTTCAAAACTGTAATTCAGTGAAGTAATTGATACAATGGAGGGTCAGTGAAACATTTAGAGGGAGCAGAGGAGAAGCATTCTGTACTGCTTAGTGAGCTCTGGGAAAAGTCACAGCAATTCAGCTGAGATCTGAGGGATGAGTAGGGGCTCCTCAGGTGGAGACGATGATGGAAGGATTCCAGCAGGTAGAAGAACATGTGCGAAGCTGAAGAGTGGGGAGCAAGCTTGGCATACTGGGGAACATCCTTAGAATTGTTTAGAATCACTGGAGAGTAGAGACTATTCTGAAGAGTGATACGTGATGCAGGAAGTGGCAGGAGACAGTCAGATAGGCAGGCTAGTGTCAGATAAAAGATGTTGTATGCTATGTGGTTATGTCAGAGTTTTACCGTGAGGGGAGGTATTATGCAATAGAAACATAACCTGCAAAGGCAACTATAGATATAAACCAAGTCTGGGACACCACGTAGAAGAAATTCCCAGGCAAAGTTTTTGCTTGGCCACTCAATGGATTATATTTTGTGTCAGTATCAGGAATTGTGGGAAACAATAACACATGGTTACTGTCTTTAATATACCAATAACTCAATAGAGGAGCCAGAAGAGCAGCGGAGGCAAGGACAGCCAACGAAGCTGTGGGTGGCAGAGCCTGCCTCCTCTGTGCCCTTTAACAGCTTGGTCCTCATCAAGTCTGTCTTTTAGAGTGTCTGTATTTCATGGTAGCAGCTGCCTTCTCTCATTGTCTCAGGTTCTTAGAGGAGGAGCAGCCAACCTCCACTGGTCTTGGGTGACAAGAAAAGCCCTTGGCACAACCCGCTGGGGGGTCCCGGTTCGACGTTTACACAGGCTGTGAGGACGGTGGGCTTCAGGCTCCCACCCTACCTTGGAATGCCAGGGAGGCCCTGGTTCTAGTGTCAGTACCGTGGAGTCCCCTCACCTTGTCCCTCCTCAGCCAGCAGAGGCCCAGGCCAGGCAAATGGAGGAAGTGGCTGGGGCCCTTCTTCACCCCAGAACCCAAAAGTTAGTCAGGGCTCAACCCAGAGGCCTGTGACAGTGTCAATAAAGTTTAGCTTTGTAAGTGAAAGAAAAAGAAGATTGAGTATCATAACAAATAAATTGTCTTTTTATTCTACTTCAATTCCCCTTTATTTGTATTTCCGTTATTTCATTATGAGTCGGCATAACTGCTAACTGAGGATAAGTTTAGGGTGAACAAGAAGATGGTATATTTAATTTATTGGAATGAATTTCTTCATATATAATGCTATTTAGTTTTCATATGAAGGATTGGATGTGGATAGGCTGGCTAGATTAGCTTTGTCTTAGATTTAATAATATTAGCAAATTTGAGGAAAGCAGCTTAAACAGAAGCTGTAGTTTAAATACTAGCAAAGTTCCGCCCGGTGTGGTGGCTCACAGCTGTAATCCCAGCACCTTGGGAGGCCGAGGTGAGTGTATAACTAGGTCAGGAGTTCGAGACCAGCCTGGCCAACATGGTGAAACCCCGTCTCTACCAAAAA
Source organism: Homo sapiens (assembly GCF_000001405.40). Taxonomy (NCBI): domain Eukaryota; kingdom Metazoa; phylum Chordata; class Mammalia; order Primates; family Hominidae; genus Homo; species Homo sapiens. The sequence goes on from NC_000002.12 coordinate 186,912,341, forward strand.
TACAAAAATTAGCTGGTGTGGTAGCGGGCACCTGTAATCCCAGCTACTCGGGAGGCTGAGGCAGGAAAATTGCTTGAACCCGGGAGGCGGGGTTTGCAGTGAGCCAAGATTGTGCCACTGCCTTCCAGCCTGGGCGACAGAGCGAGATTCCATCTCAAATAAATAAATAAATAAATAAATAAATAAATAAATACTAGCAAAGTTTGATAACATGGGCAATGGTGAGACTTTGACAATTATCTTCTAATCTACTAATGCTCTCTTTGAGTGCAGTCTAGAGTTTATTTTGACACTAGAATTTTTATCAGCTTAAATTTCTGATATCTATTTTTTTCTAGCTGATTCTTCATGTCTACTTGGGTTTATTTTATTGCAGTCTATTTTTGTTTTAAACTTTTTTGCTTGGTTTAAATTGTTGTATTCTTTTGTCTATTTGAACACACAAAACATGCTTGTTTTAAAATCTTCATGAGCCTGTTCCATAAAATTAATTTCATTTAGGGTGAATTCCTGTTACAGATTTTTTTTTGGTGTGGTTTTCTGAGTGTCTTAGCATTAATTTTGAATTGTCTTTTTGAATTTAAGATTGCAATCTCATTTTGTGTGAGAGTTCATGTTTTTGCTGTCTTATTTCTCTCTTTTTTTTTCTCTCAGATTCCCACTATTTGTTTTTCATGCACCCCTTAGGCTCTGAGTCCAGTATGGGATCATATAATGGCATTTTGTGCTCTTGTTCTTCAGTGATGTTGGAGACATCACAGATCCACACACGGAGGAATTGAATGGCTTCAGCTCAGTTTCTGTTTGCATAGCTAAGCCTTCATTCCCTCTTCCGCCCCAAGCCAACAGAACAACAATCCATTCTGTTTTTCAGCCTCTTGTCATTAATGGACAGTGAAGCCACACTGTAGCCCCTACCTGCAAACAGTAGGCTGTTCATGTCTTACAGAGGACACTTATAGTACTTCTCACCCTGCAAGAGCCCTTCTGAGCTGCCACAATCTACTTTTGGTCCATGGAATTATTTGTCCTGTGTCTGTCTCAGTGGGATGTCTTCTTTGTTTTCTCTTTTAAATTTTATTTTCTTTTACATATTCCTGATTATTTTTAATAGCACTGATTATACTCAGTACTTATTTATTTATTTCCGGTCTTTATACTCCACTAGAATGTAAACTTCTATGGCAAGAATCTTATTCATTGTTAAATTGCAGATTTCTAGAACAGTTCCTTGGACATAATTGGCTTTGTAAATGAATTTCAACCCATTGTATGTTTTCTTTATAAGTAGGAGAAATAACCACCAGAAGAAATAAACAAAAGCTTAAAATGAAAAAAGAAATTTCATATTTAAAAACATTTTTAGGAGATAAATAGTTTTACCTTCAGTTTTCATTCTCACATCATCAATCTCACCTTTTTTTCTAAGTCATCTCAGAATACGTGAACTACTAATTCCCATCTTAGACGGAAAATCTCCCTTGATCTCATATTTCCACATTCCTCTCCAGCTGCTCATACAGTTTCCATACTATGCTTCACATCAAAATATTCCCAAATAATAGTATAGCATCACTACACTTTTTACCTCGTGTGTATTGTTCAACTCTATAATCTAGCTTGCTTCCTCATCCCTCCACTGACACTATGCTTGTCCGTGTCAGCAGCAAAAAAGGGCCTCTTCTCTGTCCTCATCAGGCAGTAAGCAGCATCTAACACAGCATTCAACATAATTGATCACTTCCTCTTTTTGCAAGCACTTTTCTCTCTCAGGTCACTATAGTATCGCACTTCTCTGGATTTTCTATTACTTCACTGGCTGCTCCTTTCCAGTCTCTGTTGGTTCCTCATCTACTTTTGGACCTTTAGATACTGAAGTTGCGGCCGGGCATGGTGGCATGCCTGTAATTCTGGCACTTTGGGAGGCTGAGGCGGGTGGATCACCTGAGGTCAGGAGTTTGAGACCAGCCTAACCAACATGGCGAAACCCTTCTCTACTAAAGATATGAAAATTAGCCAGGTGTGGTGGTGCATGCCCGTAATCCCAGCTACTTGGGGGGGCTGAGGAAGGAGAATTGCTTGAACCCAGGAGGCAGAAGTTGCAGTGAGCCGAGATCATGCCACTGCACTCCAGCCCAGGCAACAGAGTAAGACTCCATCTCAAAGAAAAAAAAATAAGTAGACGCAACTGGAATAAGACCATAGAGAAAACAAAGAAGAAATAAAGAGGGAGAAGTTACTTTCAATTAGGTGATCAGAAAAGTCATATCTGAGGATACTTTAAGATGAATAGATATTTAACCTGAGAAGTAAACAAACTGCAAAACCATATTCATATAGAGATTTTAAGAAAACCAAATTGATACTTGGTAAAATGCTAAATTTTGTTCATTATGTAAACTCAAGGACTCTATTTTGCTTGTTTCTTCTGATTTGCTTTTCACACCAGTTGATGCATAGATCCCTTAACTGGCAAAAATTATACTACATATACAACCAACATAAGAAACAATCCTTCGCTTTCATATTAATTGATACAAATTCATAGCTGTGAACTATATTTCTTTACAGATATTGGACCTCAATATTTTTGTGAGTGACTAAATTTTTGTGACCATTTACAAATTTATTAAAACCTTTAATTTATATTCTAAGATGGAGATTTATGATTGTTTTCAAAATGACAGTTCATTTACATTTTAATTTATAAATGTTTTAACTGAGTAATTTATTTTTGTCAGCACAAGCTCCCGTAACTGGAACTCAGATATAACATGAGGAAATTTAAAGCTACTTTTTAATTTAATTAAACATCTCAAAAATATGTTTATAAAAATTAGTCCGTTGTTTTATAACCTTTAGATGCTTGTTTCTTCCTCTTGAAGACCTTTTCCTCCAGTTGAGTGTTATGTTTTGGCAAGGCTTAAATAAACTGAATCATCTGAGATTAGATTCTATTAAAAGGTCAAGATGATTTTAGACTTTAAAAGTTATGGCTTGAGTTATAATTCTATTAGAAATTTATTGGCCGGGCACAGTGGCTCACGCCTGTAATCCCAGCACTTTGGGAGGCAGAGGTGGGTGGATCACAAGGTCAGGAGATCGAGACCATCCTGGCTAACACGGTGAAACCCCAACTCTACTAAAAATACAAAAAATTAGCCAGGCCTGGTGGCGGGTGCCTGTAGTCCCAGCTACTCGGGAGGCTGAGGCAGGAGAATGGTGTGAACCCAGGAGGCGGAGCTGGCAGTGAGCCGAGATGGTGCCACTGCACTCCAGCCTGGGCGACAGAGCAAGACTCCATCTCAAAAAAAAAAAAAAAAAAAGAAATTTATTAAAATTCTTTAAAAAATGTATTAAACTAAATTATATGTTTATCCTGTATCTAATGATGGGAGAAGCTGCTCTTACAATACTATTAACTGTTGTTAATATCCAAAAAGGATATATTGTGAAAACACACACACCACACACACGTGCACACACACACGTTCACACACTCCAATTTGTAGCTTTAAGGATTTCTTGTTTAGATGAGTGCTTTGAATTTCTAGGAGCTGGAAACTAACTAGACAATAGAGTTCTACATTTTGATTCAGAAAGTTTTCTCTTGCATAAGATAGTATTGTTTTGTTATTATTTTATAAGTGCCATTTGTTATTGTTGTTAAAGCACTATTTAATGGATTTTGTCATCCAGAACCATATTCTTACAAGCTTTTATTTTAATAACACCAAAATCAGCCGGGTGCAGTGGCTCACACTTGTAATCCCAGCACTTTGGGAGGCCGAGGCGGGTGGATCATCTGAGGTCAGGAGTTCAAGACCAGCCTGGCCAACCTGGTTAAAACCCGTCTCCACCAAAAATACAAAAATCAGCTCGGCGTGGTGGCAGGTGCCTGTAATCCCAGCTTCTCAGGAGGCTGAGGCGGGAGAATTGCAGTGAGCCGAGATTGTGCCATCACACTCCAGCCTGGGCGACAGAGTGAGACTCCATCTCAAAAAACAAAAAAAAGAAAAGAAAAGAAAGCCAAAATGTGAAAATATTCATGCCTCATTAACTAGCTACTGTTTTATTGGGAAAATAATTTAAAAATAATACTTTTCATTTAATTTATGAAGCATAAATATACTTTATACAAAGTATACATTTAAATATACCTATTTTAACTGTATTCTAGTGTATTAGTTCATTTTGCATTGCTATAAGGGAATACCTGAAACCAGGTAATTTATAAAGAAAAGTGGCTTATTTGGCTTGCAGTTATGCAGGCTGCACAAGAAGCATAGCACCAGTGGCTCCTTCACTTGAGGGCCTCAGGAGGCTTTCAATTACAGTGGAAGATGAAGGGGAAGTAAGCATGTCACATGGCAAGAGAGGGAAAAAGAGAGAGAGAGGGAAGGTCCCAGACCTTTTTTAAGAACCAAATCTACATGAACTCATTACTGTGGAGAAGGCACCTAGCCATTCATGAGGAACCCACCCCCATGACCCAAACACCTCCCACTAGCCCCCACCTCCAATACTGTGGATCACATTTTAACATGAAATTTGGAAAAGACAAATATCCAAACTATATCACCTAGTGATATAGGTAAGATACTTTTGAAGCAATGCAGTGAATTTGAGAAAAAGGGAGTATTTTATTTGAGTAGAAAATAGAATTGAGATCCAGAGAGTTCATTGCTATTCCACTGCCTGGCTTTCAAGAATAACATATGCTCAAGTAATCCATTATGTGGTATCCTTTAACCATCTATCTGTTAGTAAGTCCCAGATGCCCTGAAATCTCCTCCAAATTTGGAATTTGGAATGTTACTATTTTTCTACTGTTCAGACTCTAGATGTTTTTTAAAAATAAAATTCAAAAGCCTCTTGAAGTAGTAAGAACTAAATAATAAATGTTTGTCTAGTACACCACAGTTGTTAGATAACAGCTCACTAAGGATTAGGACAATCTTTTAGGCCATAGGGAAGGTAAATGAAGGTGGGGGAAAAAGTTAAATTTTGGGTTAGGATTAACCTTTTCTATGTGTAAAATGAAGACAGGAATGAACTGAAGCAAAATTTTCCCCTTCATCTTGCTTTGTATAACATGTGGCTGTGTTTACTTGGTGTTTCACACAAGAATTTTGTGAACTTCATAAGAATTCCTCAGCATGTTTTTAGGATTAGAGATATTATGATAACTGGGTATTGGAGTGATTAACTAACCATTCATATGTTTTCATGTGTTTGTCCTGCATTTGTTAACTGATAGGCTTCCTGTTTAATTGAATAAAAATGTATTTTTTTTGATTGGCAGCTTCTGTTTGTGTAGCTAGATTTTAAGATATTATTCAGGGAATTCAGACATGTCATCACCGTGACCTTGGTGTCTGTCCTCTTACTTGAAAAGGTTGATTGAACGGGAAATGTTTCAATTAGAAGAACGGATTTGGATGGAAGTACGATTAAAGAATCTAGTGTTTGAGTGGGAAGAATAACTTTTCTGCTCAATCATGAATCATGAATCCTGCTTTTCATCACTTAAAAAAAATAGGAAAGGGCAAGGTGTCTTACCCAGAAGTAATATATTATTTATGTAGTCCTTGATGTATGACCCAGAGTTAGTAGTTAATATTCCATGAGCTGACCTAACCAGTTGTACAATGGTTTGGTTCAGTAATGCACATAGTGTGCCCTTACCAACATGCATTGCCATCTTCCCTGTAAACAAAACGACTGCATCATGGTATGACGAATGCAAAGGAATTTATCTTTGCCACAGGGTTGCAAATCACATACTCATCCCAGATCTTCATCCATACAACTTGTTTTGTGAAGAGCAACTACACAGGTGCGTTATGCTGAACCCAAACACAATTGTGACTGTACCAGAGAAATGGAACTAACAATTTTCTCAAGTGTTTATGTTGAACACAATTACCTACTCAAAAAACCACAATAGTAGGAATGTGTTTTTACAGAACCCCTTTCTATTTTTCATTTTTGAGAATTTTTTTAAATTCAAATGAATATCAAAGATTCTCATCTTTCTTACCTATGAAGGACTTGCCACTTATCTGTCAAATTATATTGCTTTTTCTCCAAAACAGTGAAAATTGTTTATATTAGACCATGACTAGACTGTCTTCCTCAATAGAGAATTCAGTACTAATATTTATGGGAGCATACTGCTACCTATGCTGATTTATTATTAGCATTTTTACTGTTAGAATTTTATTGACCTTTAAAAGTTTTTCCTCCCTTCAAATTGCAAGCTTCCCAGAAGGAGAGGTTTGTGTATTCTGATCTAATGTTCATGGTTCTCATACGACGTAGTGCTCAGTTGCTTCCAGTCCCTGATGCCAAAAATGTTGGGGACTGCTGTTGTATAGCATTCCTTTGGAGTTCTATCGTAACTCTTTCCAGTCCTGATTGTGTAGCAGAAATGCTATTTACCTTTGATAGTCAGTGTCAATGTGGTCAACCAATAGCATACTTGTGATTTTTAGCTCTTTACCTAGAGACAAGAGGAAATCAAAATTATCAATAGTCAGCCTGTGTTTCTGATTCAGAGAAAGTTTTATTGTGTTTATTGGTATACACATCTCTTTCTTGGGTACTAAAGTTTATAGGAATGTCAATTCCTCAGCTAAAAAGCAAACAATTTATAAGATCCTTAGATATAATTATAGGAGCTTCATTTGCACGTCTTCTTCATACTAAAATTTGTGCATTTTTAGATAAACAGAAGCATATATTAACTCAGAGAGAAAAATGCATCCTGTAAGTTAGTGTCCCAACTTTACAAAAAGTCTTGTCTGCAAACTGGTAGTGCAGCTAAGTTTATAAACTATCCCATAAGATTACTGCCCTTGGACATGAGCTCACTGATTTAAGATGTGAGGCAGGTACCTGGATTGGAAGTAATATTTTTTTGGAATGCTTCCTTGGCAATGAAAAGGCCACCCTTTAATTAAACAATGGTCAGGTAGCTGGCTAGTTCCCTTAGGGTATCACGTTTGACCACCATTTCTGGCAAATTGGACATTCAGTAGTAGCAGCAGTTAACTAAGCTCATGTATAATGATCATTCTTGTTACCATAACAACTTTGTTTATAAACCTGAAGTCCCGGGCCAACTGTGGAAGGAGTATGACTCATATTCACATTCAGCTTATACATCTGGATTAAGCCTCCTCTTATGTGGAGTAGAGTGTATTCTGGTTAGAATCCACATGGGATACAAATATTTTTATGATTTGGACTTTTTTCAAGTATTCCATCCACATACTCCTTTCCAAGCTTACTTGTCTCTAATTCTTCTTCTTCTTCTTCTTTTTTTTCCAATTCTCAATCTCCCTCTTTCCTAATTTATACTAACAATTGCCCAACTACCCAAAATAAGAGTTAATTCTTACATTTCAGTGGGTGGACAAGAAAATTGTTCTGCTCAATGCTTTGTCCACTAGGAATATTACAAGAGTTATACTATGTAATAACAACTCAAAAGCTTTCAGTAATGTCTCTCTCACTTAATACTGAGAATATGTAAACATGTGGGTATGTCTTTGTATGTGTCTATGTGTATTAACATGCACCATTAGGATCCAAATAGAACATTATATAACCTAAGGAAAAAAATCATCAAAAGAAATAAACTGAACTTTGAAATCAGAGAATTTACGTGATTGTGTTTCTAGCAATAGTCAAGTAATTTACATATACAAGCAGATGACAGAAAATCCACAATTAAGATACGAAAAAGCGAAAAGTGATCTTCTTTTACAGCCACAAAACAAGCATATTGGATATTAGCTTACCAGTCTGTCACTCAAGATTTTTGACAGCTTAAAGTCAATGCATCCGAAGGCAATCTAACCCCTAAGAGCTATGGAACAAATTCTTTGAATTAAATTTTACTTTTATTCTAGTTCTTACTTTCCCGGCTCACAACTTATTTTAATCTTATTATATTTTTTAAGCTCTAGACTCATTGATTACTCTTAAATTATGTAAATGCTTCAAATAATCTTAACATATCACTTCTCTTAGGGAGATTTTTTTCAGGCCAATATGTTCTAATATTTTAAGATATCTTATTTAGAGTGGATGAATCACAACTGCCAATGCCCAGAAAAGGTAAAGAATTCCCAGGCAGAAGGGCAATAACAGTGGTGTCTCCACATCTTAGTTGTTCTTTTCTCTCCCTTGAGCCATTCTACAGTAATTCCATTCTGTGCTGGTAGAGAGTCCCTGCTCAGAAACACTGTCCAAATCAAGAAAGAATAAGAAAAGTAAGATCCTGTAGTGAATAGTTTTTTGGTAACATCTTTACTGAGATATATAATCCTCATATCATAAAATTCACCCATTTAAGTGTACAGTTAATGATTTTTAGTTTATTTACAAAGTTGTATAAACATTTAATTTTAAAACATGTTTATCACCACAAAAAGAAATCTCCTACCCTTTTAGCTTTCATCCCCCAACCTCTTGATTTCTCCCTAACCCTAAGCAAACACTAACCTACTTTCTGTCTCTATAGATTTGCTTATTCTGGACATTTATATAATTGGTATCTGATAATATATTGCCCTTTGTGATTGACTTCTTTTAGTCAACAGTTTTGATTAGCCCAGAAAGCACTAGGTTAACCCAGTCATTTAAAAAGTGTTGATATAGAGCATTGTGTGGATGACATTTGGAAGCTATTGAAGAATTGTTCTTTCTTCTTCTTCTTCTTACTTTTTTTGAGACAGAGTTTCACTCTTGTTGCCCAGGCTGGAGTGCAATGGCATGATCTCGGCTCACTGCAACCTCCACCTCCCGGGTTCAAGCAATTCTCCTGCCTCAGCCTCCCGAGTAGCTGGGATTACAGGAACGCACCACCTCACCTGGTTAATTTTGTATTTTTGGTATAGATGGGGTTTCTCCATGTTGGTCAGGCTGGTCTCGAACTCACTCTTGACCTCGGGTGATCTGCCTGCCTTGGCCTCCCAAAGTGCTGGGATTACCGACATGAGCCACCATGCCCAGCTAGAATTGTTGTTCTTAAAGGTCCAGCTCAGGCCAAACACAGTGGCTCACGCCTGTAATCCCAGCACTTTGGGAGGCCGAAGCAGGCAGATCACAAGGTCGGGAGTTTGAGACCAGCCTGACCAACATGGTGAAACCCCATGTCTACTAAAAATACAAAAAGTACCCAGGGGTGGTGGCATGTGCCTGTAGTCCCAGCTACTCGGGAGGCTGAGGCAGGAGAATGGCTTGAACCCGGGAAGTGGAGGTTGCAGTCAACTGAGATCGCGCCATTGCACTCCAACCTGGGCAACAGAGTGAGACTCTGTCTCAAAAAAAAAAAAAAAAAAGAAGGTCCAGCAGCTTAATTTCCACCTCCTGCAGGAACGCTTTGTGACTGCCAATCCCATTTGTAGTCAGCGTATCATGGTTAATAATCCTAATTATTACTATTAATTAATATTCCAGGTACCATATGCTAGGTAGTGTGCTCAGTACTTAACATGCTTATTTTATTTAATCTACACTGTGAAGTAAATATTATTATTTCCATTTAACAGTTGATGAAGCAATTTTTTTTGAGACAAAAAAAATATATATATATTTCTCTGCCAACCAGTTTAGAGTGCAGTGGCACAATCATAGCTCACTGCAGGCACAAACTCCTGGGCTCCAGCAGTCCTCCTTCCTCTCCTTGTTGGACAGCTGGGACTGCAGGCACATGTCACCATGCCTGACTAATTTTATAATTTTTATTTTTAGTAGAGACAGAGTCTCACTATTTTGCCCAGGCTGGTCTTAAACGCCTGGCCTCAAGGGATCCTCCCGCTTCAGCCTCCCAAAGTGCTGGGATTACAGGGATGAACCACCATGCCTGGTAGCGGAAACATTTTAAAAGAATCTAAATGGTTTTCCTAAGATTTCATAACTCAGGGTTCCTGGGCTGTTGGGTATGCACTATGAAAAAGTATCCACTTGTAATTGTTGCACCTTGAGTTCTTGTTTCACAAAGTTCCAGGAAGAAGCTCAGCCCCAGAAAAACAAAAACAGATTCAAGTCAGAGATGCATGAGTTGGAGATTTACTTTAGAGAACTCCCCTTATTATCACATGAAAATTCCTGTCCAGGGAGGAGCTTATCCGCCACTTTGTATACATAATGACGTATGTAGAAGCAGAGCAGTGCACCTGCGCTGCCTTTACTCCACATCTACATAAAAATGACCCAGCATACACATGAAAAAATGCTCATCATCACTGGTCATCAGAGAAATGCAAATCAAAACCACAATGAGATACCATCTCACACCAGTTAGAATGGCAATCATTAAAAAGTCAGGAAACAACAGGTGCTGGAGAGGATGTGGAGAAATAGGAACACTTTTACACTGTTGGTGGGACTGTAAACTAGTTCAACCATTGTGGAAGTCAGTGTGGCAATTCCTCAGGGATCTAGAACTGGAAATACCATTTGACCCAGCCATCCCATTACTGGGTATATACCCAAAGGACTATAAATCATGCTGCTATAAAGACACATGCACATGTATGTTTATTGTGGCATTATTCACAATAGCAAAGACTTGGAACCAACCCAAATGTCCAACAATGATAGACTGGATTAAGAAAATGTGGCACATATACACCATGGAATACTATGCAGCCATAAAAAATGATGAGTTCATGTCCTTTGTAGGGACATGGATGAAAGTGGAAATCATCATTCTCAGTAAACTATCGCAAGAACAAAAAACCAAACACCGCATATTCTCACTCATAGGTGGGAATTGAACAATGAGATCACATGGACACAGGAAGGGGAATATCACACTCTGGGGACTGTTGTGGGGTGGGGGGAGAGGGGGAGGGGTAGCATCGGGAGATATACCTAATGCTAGATGATGAGTTAGTGGGTGCAGCGCACCAGCATGGCACATGCATACATATGTAACTAACCTGCACAATGTGCACATGTACCCTAAAACTTAAAGTATAATAAAAAATAAAAAAAAAAAGACCCAGCAAAACAGCCCAATTAAAAACTCTATGTTGGCCCAGCATGGAGGCTCACGCCTGTAATCCCAGCACTTTGGGATGCCGAGGCAGGTGGATCACGAGGTCAGGAGATCAAGACCATCCTGGCTAGCACGGTGAAACCCTGTCTCCACTAAAAACACACACACACAAAATTAGCCGGGCGTGGTGGTGGGCACCTGTAGTCCTAGCTACTCGGGAGGCTGAGGCAGAAGAATGGTGTGAACCCGGGAGGCAGAGCTTGCAGTGAGCCAAGAGTGCGCCACTGCAATCCAGCCTGGGTGACAGAGCGAGACTCCATCTCAAAAACAAAAACAAAAACAAAAAAAACCACAACCCTATGTTCGCCATCGTAAGGCACTGCTTTAGGAACTATCCTGGGCATCCTCCTTACAAGTAGTGAATCCCCTTGTGAAATCCACCCTGGTTGTGGTCATTGGACTGTCAGTTGCCAAGTGATGGAACCCACTGGTTGTGTGTGTCCAAGAATTTTATAATAAATCATAAATTTTCAAGCCTAGGTCTGTCTGATTACAAAGTTTAAGCAAGTGATTTTCAAACTGTAGTGCATGTCAAAATCATCTGAAGGGCTTGAGGAAACAAACAAACAAACAAACAGAAAACAGATTTCATGGCAACCCATCCCTAGCAGGTGTTACTGGGGTCTTAGAATCTGAATTTTAATAAGTACACCAAGTGTTTCTGATGTTGATGGCTCACTGAGCATACTTTAAAAATTATTGACTGCTCTTATTTTTCATGTTATACTACTGATTACTATTCTACATAGCTTTTTTGATTTTTATTTGTACTACAATTTAACTTTTCATTAAAATATTGTGTGTGAGTGTGTCTATTATATTGTAAGTAGGCTTTAACTGCTACAATTGTCATATACTTATTTTTGTATATTCTGTAGAACCCAATGCCTATCCTTGAAATATTGGGGCCTCCTAAATATTTGAACTGAATTGATACAAGGCAAGAAATCATAATTTCCAGATGTTTGCTGTTTAGTAGACCTATGTACCTGAAATCTGAGTATTGCAATGGCAGAAAGTAGTGAGGGTACATTTTTGGATGGACCTGTCTTGGTAAGGAGGTGAGACTCACAAAGCAGATTAGCAGTATGAAGATTATATATATATGTATACATATATATATATGAAAGTAAATATGAATAGAGTATAATGGCTTTGTTTTAAAATGAGCTAAAATTGGAAAATTTGGAATAGAGGGTTCTTGATAGAGGACTTTCAATGCTAGGGTATGGAATAAACACTTTATCTTAAAAGCCAAAGGTTGCTACTACAGGTTCTTGAGCAAGGAAATGAAAAGCTGAGAGCAGTGTGAGAGATTATGTTACTAAACTTCTGCAGTATTAAAAGCAAGGTGAAAGAAACAAAACTGTTACAATAATTTAAGAAATAGATGATAAAAACATGGAATATAATGATGTTTAGAAAAACATCTTCAAATTTGGGGTAGTAGGTAAAAGATTTGTCAGGACTTTGGTATATTATCTTTCAACTAAACACTTTTTTTTTAAGTTGAAAGGCAATTTAGACCCTCAACTCATCTCTCAATTTTAAGATTTTTAAAGAGGTAATTATGAAGCATATATAATTAACTAGCCATGGTGCTAGATAATATTGATTCAAAGATTAATAAAATACAGTTCCTGCATTTAAGAAGTTTACAAGTTGGGGGCTGGGCATGGTGGCTCACAACTGTAATCCCAGCACTTTGGGAGGCCGAGTCGGGTGGACCACTTGAGGTCAGGAGTTTGAGACCAGCCTGGCCAACATGGCGAAACCCCGTCTCTACTAAAAATATAAAAATTAGCTGGGCATGGTGGTGGGTGCCTGTAATTCCAGTTATTCAGGAAGCCGAGGCAGGAAAATCGCTTGAACCGGGGAGGTGGAGTTTGCAGGGAGCCAAGATGGTGCCACTGCACTCGAGCCTGGGCAACAGAATGAGACCCTGTCTCAAAAAAAAAAAAAAAAAAGTTCACAAATTGGAAGGAGTCAGACATTCTTAAGACATTGTGCATTATATATGTTTAACAGAGAAAATGAGCTAATTAACTAGACTCACATAAAAGAATTATCTCAAAAATGATATATTTTCAATTACTTATATGTAAAACATTTTGTCAAATTACTATTTATAAATTTATAGTCATTTGTATGCTTCAAAATGTTTTGAAATATACAATTTAATTATATATTAGTGGGTTTCATAGGCAAGAAAGAGGGAAGTAGCTCCCTGTACAGAGACAGAAGGAAGTGGGCCCCAAGCAGAGAGAGGGATCCCCAAGTGTGGGGGTGGGGGGTGGGGAACAGCCAGTTATATTAGGAAGCTGGAGGAGGTGGTGTCTGATTTGCATAGGGTCCAGGAGATTGGTCTGACCAAGTATGTCATTTATGTAGCCTGGGAAAAAACTGGCCCCCCAACCTTGCCTTTTAATGTGCAAATGTACATTAATATGCTATTTGCAATGTGCTATTGCAAACCAAATATACCGAATCTCTTTTCTGATAGTTTTTAAAAACTGAGCTCAGGAAAATGTGAATCAAATGATAAAACAAACTTTTTATTGGTCTCACTGATCCAAAAGCTCTTCCTATTGAAAAGTCTACTATTTGTATATTTTCATTATATGCTTCTTAAAAATGAAGTTAAATTGTAATACTGAAATGTACTCTACTTGTCTTATGATTTTGTTGTTTAGCTTAAAACTTTTAAATACATGTAATGAGGTAAATTAATATTAAAATGTGTTTCCATGTTAGTAAACTAATAACCTGACAGGTCAATGTTTTAAAACTTTTAAGTTGGAATGAGATTTTATACTGTTTGTAGTAGAGAAACTGATTTAATAATTTAAATAAAAAAAAGGTTCAAATTCTGGAAAATCAACTAGATCAATCTATGTAAATAACTTGCTCTTAAAAGTTTAGTATGATTTAAATTTATGTACTAAAATTGTGTTATAAAATTATAATAAAAAATCTAAATTTTTGATGTATCTATATTTAATAATGTGTTAGCATTTGCTTTGCTCTCTAAGGCAATAATGATACATGAGTCTTACATTCATAAAACCTTTGATATTTATAAAGTTCAAGGAAGTTATCAAAGTATGATATATTTTATTATAAAGAAAACAATGCAAGCAAATATATTACTCTGTAATAAAAGAAAAATTACTTAATTTTTCCAATGTGAACAAGTAAAGTAGAAAATTCACAAGGTTATAGTTTAATTGAGTTTAGAAATATGAATTATTCACTGGCTATGAAAATGAAATGGGGAACAGAGAAACTTTGACATTGTTTTAGGCTGCTGCCCTAGATAAGTTATAGTGATGTTTGAAAGAAAGCCACTGTAGCTTTAAATAATTTACAGACTCTCTGGATAAATGTATCCTGCTGCTTTCGTCTCTACTGACTTATGAATAAAGAGTGACATGTAGCAGGAATTCAGTGCTGCAGCAGATGTTGAAGAAGAAAACTTCAATTACAGAGAATATTAGTGGGAGATTTTTTTTCAAATTTATATCACAATCATGGTGCATAGCTCATAGTAGTTGTTCAATAAATATTTTTAGTGGAATAATGAAGAGGTTGGGAATGAATTCTAAAAACCTATGACAATTAAATTATGAATTACCTCTAGCTCTCATCAAAGAGAAACAGGTTTTCAAGTGTACACTTGGCATAATCCCCATAGAGAAGCATATTTAAAAATGTCCAAGGCGGGTGGATTGCCTGAGGGTGGGAGTTCGAGACCAGCCTGACCAACATGGAGAAACCCCATCTCTACTAAAAACACAAAATTAGCCAGGCATGGTGGCACATTCCTGTACACCCAGCTACTCAGGAGGCTGAGGCGGGAGAATCACTTCAACCTGGGAGGCGGAGGTGCGGTGAGCCAAGATGGCGCCATTGCACTCCAGCCTGGGCAAGAGTGAAACTCAATCTCAAAATAAATAAATAAATAAATAAATAAATAAATAAATAAATAAGTTTAAAATGTTTTATTTTAATAAAAGAAAGCCTCCAGTGAAATTTTTATAGCATTTTCCACACATGACTTATTAGTTCAATGATTATCAATGAATAAAATCAAAGTAAGGTTTATAACTTCAAATTTGATGAAAATCTTAAAAAGAATAGCTTCTTGTTCTGTTATTAAAATTTAGATTGCAGCTATGACAAAAATATATGGGCTGTATTTAAAATTTTAGCTTTCTCTTCACACAAATGGTACAACTGTTCTTTATCATAATTTTACTCAGTTGAGTAATAAATACACTTTGGTGTATCTTTCCACTTCCTAAGGTTCTGTCCTTTCTTTTACAGTTTCTTATCAAAGCTGGCAGACATCCTACATCTGTCTTCAAACCCTTAGCAGAGTTTTGAAGTTTAGGAGGAGCTTTATTTGGGGTTATCTCTCTTTGCTTCTTGTAGTCTGAAGTAAAATAATTTGAGTGTAAGAAACACTAAAAACAAATAATATATTGTCTCATGCCCTTGGTTTGTCTTCCTTTTCTAAATAAGAGATGCATTGTATAGTGTGTCTGTGGAATTTTACAGTTTCCTACCATGAGAGAAATGCTGAGGGGACCTTTACTATTTTTCAGACATTCTGCACCCTTAAGATAAATGTGGCATTTGCATTTATAGGCTGTTACAGTTTAGAGTGACTGAGGTGATTTGTTAAAGTGCTTTGTAAAATTCAAAATTATTTTGTCATTGTTTGACATGCATCTTGTCTGCTACTGAAGTAAGGGTGAGAAAACAGGAAGACAAAACAACTTGAGCTAAAGTACTTGGTGGGTCCATATTTTGTATAGGATTACTCAGTGTTGGGCAATGCCTTGCAAGTTTCAGATCAGTCTACCTAGTTGAGAAATTTAATTTTAGAAATCATTCAGAAAAAAGGAGAGAAACACAATTGATTTTTTTTACAAATGACTTTTTTTTCGTTAGTTTTTTGTGGAGTTGTATTTTTATGAACAGCATTTATTTCTCTGTTAATACAAGCATGTATACTTGGCCTTGAGAGAGGTGAAAACATGGAATGGTATGGAGATAGTGCTGTTGTAGTCCTGGTTCCTCCCCTTGTTAGCCATCGTACTCTCTAGAGAGCTTAGTCTCTCTCAGACTGTTTCTCAGTTAGATGGGGATAAAAATTCCTCCTTGCTTTCGTCACGTAGTTGTTGCAATGTATCCATCTATATTTTAAGACATAAATTTATCTTTAGTAACTGTTAGTAACAATACCCCTGAACAAGATGAGCATTGTCTTTGTCCTCAAGGATTTACTAGTAAGGCATGAATACCTGGAAGGTTTTTTGAAGAAGGGTGTGATAAACACCACCAAGAAGAGTAAAGTCAGTTATCATTCTGCAAGCAAAGCTTCTCCTCAGGAATGCGGGGCTAAACATTATCCCTTGACTTTTAGTTATGTCAGAAGAAAAACCAACAACAAAGATATAATTGGGGGGAAAAAAACCCTCATCAGAAAGACTACTCTGTCACCCCCAGGTGTGAAGTGGGCTGATTTAGATTACTTATGTATTTATTTATTTACTTATTTATTTCAACTTTCATTTTAGGTTCATGGGATACATGTGCAAGTTTGTTACATGGGCATATGCGTGATGCTGAGGTTTAGGGTATGAATGATCCCCTCAGCCAGGTAGTGAGCATGATTTAGATATTTCTTTTTCTTCCCTTCTCTTTTTCCCTGTAGGCGGGTTATATTAGGCATATGCCTTTACATATTGTTCAAATGGGAAGAACTGCCCCAATGATATCTCTTTATTTATAGCAAATTTTGATCCTGCATTTACAAGGTATCTAACTGAACCAAATTATTTCATCTTAAGTAATTTGGATGTACCCTTTATGCAAGAGTTAGATTCAGAGGGGACCAAAGAAATGGTTTGTGTCTCTGGTCTTCTCCTAGGGGATAACGAACAATAACAGATTTCTAATTGAGGTGCATCATTGGTTCTATCACTGTATTTTAAAATGTTTTCTCAATTTATTTCCTTTATGTATACAGTTTTATCTAAAATAAAAATAATTTTTGATAACTAAGATTGTTAACAACTTTTTGATGACAAACAAAAAGTTGAGAGTCTTAGTTTAATTACATCATCTTAATTTCTCTTGTTCTTCAAATGTAAAATTAGAGCATTTCATTAACTGATTTCCCCTCAAGATTTCTCTCCTATTAGTTTTTCCTTGAGTTTTAAAATTGGTTTCATTTTCCCTACTTTCATACTCCACATCTTACACTTGTAGTGGAAATTTTTATTCAACTGCGTAAAGAAAACTCTTTCTGGAGAAAGGGGGTGGCCAAGAGAAGGGAAAGTGATGTGGCAGTGAATTTTTGGTGGTTCTACGGTTATTAAAAAGTTAGCCTCAAGGTTATGGTAGAAAGGGTGATTAAAAATATAAAAATTTGTAAATCTAAAATCTAGGTAAGAGGAAGAGGACTCTCAGTGCTGATTATATTCTTTGTTCCCTATCGGTTTATCAACTGTGTTGTGCTTTGACTTCTTATTTTTTTCCCAGAAAAACTTCTGATTTTTTTTATTACATGACTTATGATTAATTATGTTATATCCTGTTAGTGATCTCACAGTTTTTTATGTTTCTAATTTTAATGGATACATAATAGTTGTACATATTTATGGGGTACATGTGATATTTTGATACAAGCATACAATGTGTGATGAGTAAATCTGGGTAATTGGGATATTCGTCACCTCAAACATTTATTATTACTTTGTGTTGGAAACATTCTAAATCTACTCTTCTAATTATTCTAAAATATACAATAAATTATCATTAACGCTAGCTGCCCTATAGTGCTATTGAGTACTAGATCTTATTCCTCTGTCTAGCTGTATTTTGTACTCTTAACCAACCTGTACCTATTTATTGCCAATTCCCTCACCACCCTTCCCAGCATCTGGTGACTACCATTCTACTCTCTACTTCCATGAGATCAATTGATTTTTGCTCCCATATGTGAGAAAAAATATGTGATTTTTGTCTTCCTGTGCCTGGCTTATTACACTCAATGTCCTCCCGTTCCATTCATGTTGCAACAAATGACAGGATTTTATTTTTTATGGCTGAATAATATTCCACTGTTTATATATGCTACATTTTCTTTATCCATTCATTAGCTGATGGACACTTCCATATCCTGGCTATTGTGAACAGTGCTGCAATAAGCTTAGGAGTGCAAATATCTCTTTGATATACTGATTTCCTTTCTTTTGGATATATATCTATAAGTGGTATTGCTGGGTCATATGGTAATTCTAATTTTAGTTTTCTGAGGAACCTCCATACTATTTTCCATAATGGCTATACTAATTTACATTTTTACCCACATCCTTGCTAGCATTTTGTTTTCTGTCTTTTTGATAGCCATTTTAACTGCAGTGAGAGGATCATTGTGGTTTTGATTTTCATTTCCCTGCTTTTTCCATCGTTCCTTTTTCTCTTTTACTTTTATTGCTCCTTGTGGAAGACTAAGATTTCGCACTATTCCATCTTCTCCTTTCTACCGGTTCTGAACACATGTTCCTTTTCTAATCCCCTAGAGATTACTCTGGAAATTTTAATATGCAAATTTTACTTAATAAACTATATGTTTAATAGATATTTTTGTCATTCTTCCCCAAATTTAACCATGTAAAAATGTTTTAGCTATAGTCATTCTTCTAAATATTATGCTATGATTATCCAATATTTTATTTCTAGCTTATTTTAATCCCACAAATTGGACTTTATTATTATTGTTTTATTCAGTCAATGTTTGTTTAGATTTACCCAAGTGTTTCTATATTCTCAGCTTTTTATTCTTTCGTGCCTCACAACTTTCTTTCTAGGGCCAGCCTACTTTTTCCTAAAGTATCTTTAGAAGTTCCTTGCTCACAGCCTGCTTCTGTGTTGGGGAAGCATTCATTGTGATTGATTGTTGTCCATGACAGTCAGATCCCCAAAGTCCCACGTGCCAGGCTCTGCCATTGGTTTCCACTGGAGAGCAAAAAAGATGACCCACGTGCCATCTGAGCTCCACTTGCTGGTGGTGTTCCTTACTCTCAAATCAGGCACCCTGGTGGTAGCCTGATTTACATTCATTCTGGCATTTTTTTTCTTTCTCACAGCATCTTAAGCATAAAGAAACTGATGCTTAGAGGAATTCGATAATTTGCTCAAATTGAATAGTGGAAAAACAAAAAGGACACGCTTGAGGTTGCATAGCATATTATACCATTTTTATGGAAGTAATGTTATATCCCAGGTTCCTATAATAAAAATCATCAGAATTCCCTTCAGGACTCTGGTCGGGAATAAAGGAAAATGTTAAATGCTCAAATTAAAAAACTTTAAGCAGGCCGGGTACGGTAGCTCACGCCTGTAATCCAAGCACTTTGGGAGGCCAAGGCAGGCAGATCACGTCCTGGCTAACACGGTGAAACCCCGTCTCTACTAAAAATACAAAAAATTAGCCGGGCGTAGTGGCGGGTGCCTGTAGTCCCAGCTACTCAGGAGGCTGAGGCAGAAGAATGGTGAGAACCTGGGAGGCGGAGCTTGTAGTGAGCCGAGATCACGCCACTGCACTCCAGCCTGGGTGACAGAGCGAGACTCCGTCTCACAAAAAAAAAAAAAAAAAAAAAAAAAAAACTTTAAGCAAAGTAATGTATAGTAGGCAGGCCATTCTTAATATCTCTGTATTTTATTTATTTTTATTTTTTTGCTCTTTATTTTCTAATAAAACCTTGACAGAGAATAATCTTCATTTGCAAAATAAGTGCTGGTATTCTTATAACATAACCCATATCTTAGAACAGGAACAAAAATCTGGAATGGTTTCCTTTCTCTTACCAACAGTGCTGGCAAGGTTGTAGAGGTTACTGAGAAAAGGGTGTGGAGTTATCTGGAAATCTAAGGAGAAATCAGGCATGCATGTGAATGGCTACCCTTCAAACAATATCAATTTAATGCTTTTTACTTTCTCTAGAAAACCAATGAGTAGTGTACCACCTGGAGGGTCAGGTCAACCACCTGGGATTAGGAAAGATGCACAGCAAGACTTTCACTACCCCAAATCTCTCATGGATGCAGTCTATAAATTAAAGTCTCACTTGGTGTCCAGTTCCTTTTCTGTAAATAAATTTTGGGGGGCTCACCTCCCATGCCCAGAAGAAAGAAATGTATGCACACAAGGACATACATTTAGACAGACAGATCTTGCCGGGTTTCCCCACTCAGCCTGTTAACATCGGATTATACTTTTTTTGTCCAGTCATATTTCTATGTGCTTGTCCATATTTTGTTAAACCTAAGCATAAAAAATGAACAATTTCCTCTCTATCTTTCGGTCTTTATTCTGAAGACTCTTATGGATACATGTTACATAAATTTGTATGCCTTTTCTCCAATTAAACTGCCTTTTGTGAATTGATTTTTCAGCAAACCTTCAGAGAGTCAAGAAGAAAGTTCTCCCTTGGCCCCTACAAAATGTCTTCTGGGAGAGTAATTCTACCAGTTATTTCCATCTAAATTTCAATGACTTCATACATGGCTGAGATAAGCAACACCTGGAAAGAAGAGCATGATGAAATAGGGAACAGAACAGTTATAATTGAGAATAGGTGATAGGAAAATGTGACTATTTGTGATAAAACCAGTAAATTTTAAAGAGCTAAAGGTTCACAGTGGAGAGGGACCTAGGAACAGAGCTTTGAGACAGGCACTGAAATAAAGAGAATTGACAAGGCAAAAAGAAACCATGCTGGTCAAGCCACTTAGATACTATTGCGCCATTTTTCTTTGCATCTTTCATTAAACTGCCAGAAAATGAAATGCATTTTATCTTTATGGTGTATATTATCTAGTGAAGTGCCTTAAACGTAGTAAGTATCCAATTAATCTCTGATTAAAAAGAAAAATGGCTAATGAACATGTAAGTGTCATCTAAATGTAACATATATTCCCCTCAAAGAGATGTAGGGAACCTTAACCTACAACAAAATTTCAGGCAATCAATGCATAAGAACACAACGTAGTTCAACAACAATTTTTAAATATATGCTAAAATATGAAAAAAAAACATCATTTGTCATGAATGACTGAGCTGTTGGAAAACTGACAAATCTCCGAGGGGTCAAAAATAACAATTTTTTAAAAAGTTGTCTCGTTGGTACGTAATATCCTAGAGCCTGAATTTTCATGGGCCATGCACTAGATGAAAGACAAACTTTGGACCCAGAAAATGAGATCAGTTTGGAGACCTCTTCCTAAAGCAAGAACGCAGAAAAAGCAATAGCCTCGATGAGAGAACTCAGAAATAATTTTCAAAATATTATCAAATATATAAAATGTATACTACTGTATAGCAACCTATATAGTAATACACACTGATATATAACTCAATATAAATGTAAACTTTAAATTATGTTTCATTTTATTCCCTTAGTAATTTAAACCATTTATTATATACTTCATGGTATGTCCACATTACCATACATAGTATGTCATAGCACAAATTAAAACGTTCCAGTAATTTACCATGTGTTAATTTTTAAAAATTGTCAGTGTAACCTTCTGTTTAACTGTTTTTCTACAACTAATTAAGTGATGCCTTTATTTGAAACATGATTAGACATGGGAAACCATAACATTCTGTGAAGGAATCCCCCATCAAATTGGTAGAATGTAGACAATCATTTAATTAACATTGTTTATAATAACAAATAATGTTTTTCATGTTTATAATACCTATATTCAATTAAGTCATAAAAATTACTTATTGGATCACATTTAATTAGGTTGTACCTAATCCTTCAGGTCATATGAAAAATGATACATTATGGCATTTAGAAGGATGAGTTCTGGCACCAGGATGTCTGTTTCAAATTTCAGCTCTGTCATGTAGGTGTTTAGAAACCTCCTTGGGCCTCATTTCTCTCATCTATTATAATGGTGGAACTTACATAATTCAATATGCATTTCAAACAGTACCCGGAACATAACAAGAGCTATGTGTAGCTCTCATTTTATTAATAAAACTAATGCTGTAAATAATTTTACTCCTCTTATCGCATGGAGATGAAATTAAATGTAGTGGAGAAACAGGGAAACCAGCCTAGTTCCCAATCATCCCCTGCTGCCTTTCTCCTATTGCTAAGTGTATACGGTACCGGCAGAGCTCAGAGCACTCTCCCAGTGCCTGCCTGAGCTTTGTCACTGCCCATCCTCTCTTTACTCTCTTTCTAGATCATTTGTAGCAATATTCCCAAGGTTGCTAAGTTTTCAGTAAGTAGCCACATGACAGCAAAACTGATGATTGCTAACTGTCAGTAGGTACCCACAACCTTGGTATGTAGCAAATTTCTAGCTATTATAATAAGAATGGGTAATAGTAATATTATAATTTTTAATTAAGAAAGTTTCATTAAATAAGACCTATGCCATGATCTGTGAGCATATTTAATTACTGGATATAAAGATTTTTGAGAAAACACTCTAGAGAAACATGTTATAATAATCAAAAAATATGTAATAATTTTAATGTATTTAAAGAGAAAATACAAATCTTGTTAAATTTTATTAAATTTCCATATGCTAGAGATACATAATTATTAAGTATTTTATTGTCCTCAATTTGATAGCATGAAAATACCACAATTTCAGGGATCTCTGTATAACATTAATTTAGAGATTCATGAAGGACTTACTTAGTGAAATCATGGGATAAAGAAATGTAGGATATTCAAGAAGAAAGAGACAAAAGAAGGGGGAGAAAAGAAAAATATAGGTATGTCTTATAGGGTGTGATTTGAAAAACTTGCCTCAAGGAAATTCAAATATCAAAAGGACTCAAGAATATCTGCATGAGTTTCTCTTTTAGTGAAACATGAATTTTAGGTATTGTTATTTTTTGTTTGCATTTGTTTGAATTTTTCCCAGTATGAAATTTGTTTTTATTTGAAAAAATTAGATTTTCAAAAATGCATAAATGAGATAGAAAATAATCACTTATCCATCAAATCAGATATAGCCATCAAATCAGATACAACTTCAAAACTTGATGCTAATTTTTCCAAATTATCTTTATTATATATGTGTACCCATATTTAGGAACACATATCTTTTTAAAAAGAAAACTGCAATGTTACAATTTTGATATATTGTTTTAGAACTTTAAAAAATGTAACCATATAATACAGATGAATAAAAGCACAAAACTATATTAACATTTTTCATAGTTTCATTATTGTTCAATGTAGGCATATATGTTCAATGTTTACTTAAATTATCCTACTTTGTTGGATATTAAGGTTAATTGAATTTTTCCTGATATACATTTTTCTTTTGTGAACATATTATTTTCCCACTAGTTTCATTGTATTAAGATACATTTCTGGAAGTGGAGTTCTGGAAGTGGAAGTGGAGTTTCATGGTAAATATTGTTTAAATATTTATTTAGGTCTATATCATCATTATTATTGTCTATCTCTGAATTTACAGCTATATCAATATAACCAAATAGTACTCCAGAAAAGCTGTAACAGTTTAAAGACCCATCAATATTATATATTATATGACAGAACAGTAGATATTTTCCTTTTGACCTAATTAATTATCTTTTTCTGGTCTGAAATTTTAAATGTCTGTGAAGTCTCATCTACCATTGTTTACCTTTACGGTTTCTGTCTTGGTATCATGCCTAGGAAAACCTCCCTTTGTGACTGAACTTTAATTCTATTTTCTTTGCATGAAGAAAAATATTATACATGTATCCTTTAACTTCTTAATGATTTAGCAAATTTTACAGAAACAGCTATGCATAAATGGAAACTATGCTCTCTCCCTCTCTTTTTTTTAGACTACTTGGGGTATTTCCAGTTATAAAATGTTGGTTAGTTTATCTTTATATTTAAAAAATATTTAAACTAATAAGAATACTCGAACTGAATGAGATATTTAAATAAGGGTCAATAATCTGAAATGGTTTTCTTTAACCTAGCCTCTGTACTTAGTTACCATTTTGGGTTTTGGTAGGATGGAGAACAAGGACGTTAACGTTAGGAACAAAGAGTAAAAGAAATAGAATCGTTCAATACTGAGAGGAAAACAGAAGAGAAAGAAAATGCTTGAGAAAAACATTGATTTTATTTAGGAGATATCACATATTATATTATTATCTCAATCATTGAATTCTACCAGTGAATTTTTTATACTCTAGTTGTTCAGATATCTCATAATCATTCCACATCTTAAAAGTCCGTATTCCCTCTCTCTCTCTCTCTGATGTTGAAATGTGAATTTTAAAAATGTGTGGCTAAATACTTTTCTTTCCTAGTAGTTTGGAAAATTAACAGTAGTTTTAGGCTTCAAAGTTCTCTTTTGCAGAGCAGCAAATTAAATAATTGAATAAAAATATTAATTTTCATGTATGTTATCTTAGCCAAGTAGGGAAAAAAAGCATAACACATTCCAGCAAGAAATGACATTACAAAAATCTGCTTTGTAAAGTCCCATGTTGAAAGGTCAGTATTAATCACAATTAATGACACTTCTTCAGAACAGAATAATGTTAACAATGTAAGTCCTTAAGCAAAATTTAGATCCCAGCAATATTAAACAAAAATAATTTTAGGGCTTGACCTGGTCCTGAGAGATTATTTTTGCAATGGTGTTTAAAGGTAGTAATAAACACTCTCCTCCAAGAGGGAAGCAAAGCTCGAAACACTCAAACAAAACTTAAATTAGCGAATGATTAACATGTAAATGTGGTGATTTAATGATTCATTTGTTCATTCAACAAATATTTACTGAGTGTATATCCTATGCCAAGCCCTATTCTAGGGATTTCCCCTATAGCAGAGAAAAACACACAGCAGATAAGACATCATAACCTTCTCAGCATAAGTTTTAGGGTCTAAACAATTTTTTTACTCTTCCTCAGATATTATTATTATATTTTCTTCTTTAACCCCGAGCTTCATATAAACACTAATGTTTAGATTTATCATTTACTCCCTTTTTTTCCTTGTTATGTGTTCAATATTACATGTTCTGCCGATGAACTGAAATGCTGTCTGAAATTATTTCTTAAAGTACATTTTCTTTAATGATTTCTACCTGTATATCTTCAATAATATCCTGGCAGCTACCTTAGGATGGAATTCTGTATATTGGTGTCCTGTGAACTCACAGGTGAGAAGACATAATAATATTTTCCTGCAAAATACTTATAGCTAGTAATCATTCATAGCTTGTAAAGAGAAGGTGCAAGAGAGAAGCCAGGCAGGCATTATACATTTTTAGGTACAAGGTGGAGTCTAAAATATCACAAGAAGGAAAACAGATACTTAAAACAGAAGCTAATATTTAAGGCAAAATGGGTAAAGAGAAATGGCTCTGTATATAAATGACAAGATTAGAGAGTCCATACTTGAATGGTTAGGAGACAAAAGTAAGAAATTAAGTATTAATAGAAAACAGAATTGGGTCGTCCTTGTTAAGTAGGTTAAAAACAGCATTAAGAAACAGGACAAAATGTGGCCTTAGATTGTCTGAGATCAGAAGAAACACAAGCAGAGAATTTAAGTGATCATGGATCACCGGCTGAGTTATGGGGTTTGTTAGTATATGAAACCTTAAGAAGTTTTATCTTTATCTTATCAAAGCAGAAATTTCTATGTATATATAACACCTTCAAGTGGAAGGACCAGGTCTATCCACCTTTATGTCATTAGAGTCATGTCTGAATGTAAGGATGTGTTTTCCAGTTGGATTAATGACTCAGTACTGGGTCAGTGTTAGTATTCTCAAAACAGATAAGGTAAGTCAGATAGTGATGGGAAGATTTTTCTGTGTTTAATGGCTTGGTTTTATCTCCCTTTTATGTATTCCTCTCACTCCATCTGGTATGAAGTGAGGTACTAACAATGGAGGCTCTAATCTAAGACAAAGTGCCTGTTTTTACAATCTAAAAAGAATATTTAAGTGTGCATCTAATACTTCCATGCTTTGGTATGTCTTTGGTATTTTCTAATATGTATGACTTCAGACATCATTACGTCTACTAAAGATTTATACCTTCTCTACACTCCAGCTAGTGTTTGAAAGACAGAGTTAAAGACATAAAATGGATGGGAATGTCCTATAGAGGAAATTTCTTCCTTATTGATAGAAAAAGTGCAGGGAAAATAAAGTCTTATTTTGCAAACAGGAAACAAAAAAGTGTGTAGACTTTTAGTATCTTAAATCAATGTTGGCACACAGTGTAAGAATGTTTCAGATTTTTATATATCAGTTAGCTTCATGTGATAATTATATGTTAGATAACAGAAAATTTATGAGAAATTTTATAGCCACTTCAAGATCATAGAGAAAATTAAAACTTATTTGAAAGCGTGATGCTCTTAAAGGTACAAGAGTTCCAGGAAATTTGAAAAATTAGACTATTAATAATCTCAAATACCTGAGAGAAAAGATTAAGGACTCAATTGAAAATAAATGTTTATTTTAATGCTGTCAAGCTTTATATTGTAACTTCTTGTTTTCTTTTCTGCTTGCACTACTAGATTGAAGTTTTCTTGAAAGAAGGGCTCTCTCTTATCGTTTATCAATCTGTTCTCAGAATCAGCCCAATGCCTGGCTCATATTAGGCGCACAAAAAATATTTGTTGAATTAATAAAAGTGTAGAGGAATAAATGGAAGCTTTAAAAACCATTTGAACTGCTAAGAGCTTTCCATTGCAAAATGAGTGAAAATGCCATTCATAGTGAAGACATTTTCTCACCAAACAGCACACTAAGTCTTTGACTAGCTAAATTTATTGTTAATTGATTAAAATAAATTATTTGAAAAACCAAAGCTATATTGATCAGTTTTTTTCCTTTGTCTGAGGGTATGGATTTCCCTAAAATTTATTTTTCCTTGTGTTTTCTTAATTTATTTTCAAATAGATATTAATAACAATTCTTACTGTTATTTAAAAAACACAGTAAAAAGTTATATTTTAACAGGCTAGTTGTATAATTAGTTGTCTTATTAGCCACCTTCAAATTCAACGAAAGATCAAGTCTTTGTTGTTGTTGTTGTTGTTGTTGTTGCTGTTGTTGAGACAGAATCTCGTTCTGTTGCCCAGGATGGAGTGCAGTGGCACAATCTCGGCTCACTGCAACCTCCACCTCCCAGGTTCAAGTGATTCTCCTGCGTCAGCCTCCCAAGTAGCTGGGACTATAGGTGCGCACCATCATGCCTGGCTAATTTTTGTATTTTTAGTAGAGGTGCGATTTCACCATGTTGGCCAGGCTGGTCTTGAACTCTTGACCTCAGGTGATCTGCCCACCTCGGCCTCCCAAAGTGCTGGGATTACAGGCATGAGCCACCATGCCCGGCCGAAGACCAAGTCTTAAAAGTGATTTTAGATCAATGCTTTTGAGGTTAATCCCATAATTCACTAGACTGTATTGTGAAGTCTATTGTGGTTTCATAGTTCGCAAAACTTTGAGAAAATAACCAAAAATAACAGCTGCTTATTCTTACATTAAATATTTATCTATAATATTTATTATGTACAATATAAAATTTTAATCTTAAGTTTGGATGTTCATTATAATAATCACCACAATAAATATTTTTATTCATCTAGAATGTAGATGTGTCTAGAAAAGAAAAATCTAAGAAACTCTTCTGTAAATAATTATCAAATAAAATGTCATTTAAACACTTGATCAAATCTATGAAAATACATTTCTGAGAATAATCATTTAATTTTTTTCTTATGTTTGTAGGAGGTAATGAGTGAATATTTTATTACCAATATGTATCTTCATAAAATAATCTTGACTATGTATAGAAAGAGCTAAACATAGATGGACTCAATCTCTTTATAACACATCTGTTTGACTTGACAAGGGAAACTGTTGAATGGATAGAGTATAACATACAAGGCCACTTATGACCCGTCTGTTTTCTTATACTGTTCAAAGTAGACACAGATCTCACATCATAAATAATCAGTGCAGTATGTTTTCCACAAAAGCCTGAAACACAAGTCTATTTCTGGAGTTATAAGGATGTGTGAAGATGTCATCATTTAATTGCTTTCCTTTGCATAATAAAGTTGATAGCCTCAAATAAGGTGACCAATTTTCTACTATTAACCTTGCCCCGTTTGCTTTCATGGAATGGAAATTTGACATTCAAAATCTTTAGTCTAGTTATTTGCTCAGGCTCATTAAATCAGAGATGAAAGACATTGTGTCAATTCCAGAACTTGATTTATGAGACATGAAAACTTAAAACAAGAAAATGAGCCATGTAGTCATTTTGGCATTTCGCTATCAGTGCTTCCAGCCATTGGCTGCATTAGTGAAAGCATTTTTTAGACATGGGATAAAACTGCATTACACTACACACTCCTACACATACACAAACACACAGATATAAATGCATGAAAGAATGGTGAAACTGAATTATGTCCTATAGTCTAGTTAACAATATTGTGCCATTGTTAATTTCCTGTTGCTATTGTTCTATAATTATACAAGATGCATCACTAGGTGAAGCTGGGTGAAGGGTACATGGTTCTCTGTGTACTGTTTTTATTTTTTTCATGTTCTAATGTGTTTACAATTATTTCAAAATAAAAAGTTAAAAAAAAGGCTAAAGAAAGTGGGAGCCTATTTGATGAAAATGGCCCTAGGTTAAGAATCAGAAATCCATAAAACTTTGGGCAAGTCACGTAACCTCAGGTTTAGGTTTCATTCTCTGTAAAATTCTGGTGGATGGACTAAAGGATTGGCAGGGATACTTTTAGCTTATGATTAGGATACCGATTTGAAAGATGGAATTGGTGAACATTTTTCTGATCCAGAAAACATTTTTCAGCAGATCAAAAGTTTTCATAAAATAATTTTCTAAAGGTAAAACATTTGAAATAAAATGCTGTAAATATATAGTGATTCCAATGTATATTTCATGAGCTTTCCCCATATTTGCTATGTAGTTGAAAATGTGTATGAATGTGCTTATTGGCTATGTTTGCCTTTGTAGTTTAATAACATAGGTAGCCTGTTAAAGTTGTGGCCATATATTATTAAAATTACATGTGATTAGAGAAAATTCACTAACCAGGTTTTAGTCTGTATATATATGTAAGACTTGAAAAACATGTATGGATCAAAAACAAACCCTGCATGCTTTTCAAAATTCAATGTTTAATTTTTAGAATAAAAATTTTTCCATCATTTATTTTTAAAAGTTACTTTTGGAAATAATAATGCTCTTATATCATGTTCTGACTGTCATCAACTTTATGTACATTGTGTCATTCAATCCTCATTACAAAATATGAAATACACTTTATTATTCCCTGAAGAAGTGGAGAAGCAAATAAAGTTTAAGTCCTGTGACTAAGATCTCACAGCTGGTAAATGGTAATACTGAGAAGTCTTCTCTGACTTTGAAGGCAGTGTTTTTTCCACTGTACCACTTTGTCTCTGAGAATGGATTTGTTTGGCAATTACCATCAACAGGGTTTCTCCTGTTTCCACAAGCAAGTCGTATTTGTAGCCAGTGGGAAGAAGAGAAAAGAACAAAAGCACATGCCCCTTTTTTATAAGCACATGAATGACTTCTGTTCCCATCCCATTTGTCAGAACTTAGTTTTGCAGATTATCCTGGGGAGGTTTGGGAATGCTGATTTTAAACTAGGCAGCCATGTGCTCAGCTAAAATTTACAGATTTTACTAATAAATAAAGGGAAGAATAGATATTAGGAAAACAAGGCAACCAGGAGTCTTTTCTTCTCTGAGTTTTGGTACTCTGTGACCTTGGACAAATTTCTGATCTTATCTGAGCCTCAGTTTTGACCTGTGCGAAATGAGGATAATAGTATCATGCCTGTAATCCCAGCACTTTAGGAGGCCCACGCAGGTGGATTGCTTGAGCCTGGGAGTTGGAGACCAGCCTGGACAACATGGTGAAATCCTGTCTCTACAAAAAATCCAAAAATTAGCCAGACACGGTGTCATGTGTCTGTTGTCCCAGCTACTCGGGAGGCCGAGGTGGGAGGATCATTTGTGCCTAAGAGGTTGAGGCTACAGTAAGCTGTGATCGCACCACTGTACTCCAGCCTGGGCAACAGAGCAAGAACCTGTCTCAAAAGATAAAAAGAAAGAAGAGTCTCTGAAGGAAGGTTGTACTTGAATAGGAGTCTTCACAACAGCCAACTGTCTGAATTGCAAGAAGCGATGGCTGAATCGATATTGGGCCCTTAAAATCCATATTCTGACTTTGGAAGTATCTGTAACTTAACACTTCTACAGACTGAAGTTAAAATGTGCATAAGTAGGCTGGGCACAGTGCCTCATGCTTATAATCCCAGCACTCTGGGAGGCCAAGATGGGCAGATCATCTGAGGTTAGGAGTTTGAGACCAGCCTGGCCAACATGGTGAAACCCCATCTCTACTGAAAAAACAAAAATTAGCTGGGCGTGGTGGCACGCACCTGTAATCCCAACTACTTGGGAGGTTGAGGCACAAGAATCGCTTGATCCCAGGAGGTGGATGTTACAGTGAGCAGAGATGGCACCACTGCTCTCCAGCCTGGGCAACAGAGTGAGACTCCATCTCAAAAAAAAAAAAAAAAAAGTGCGTAAGTGCTGCCTGATGGTGACCACTGGAATTGGGAACCAGAAAATTTCCAGATGTGGCAATATAGTACATATCATTAGAGAGACAATCATTTTGTTGCTGTTTCTTGGGCATTAATTGAAACTACCCGTGTGACTGAAAGACGTATGATAATCTTAAAATCTGATATACCTATGATGTCTTGGGTGATCTCAGAGAAAACTTCTGCTGAGGAAGCCATTGACCAGAAGAACTGACACTGTAATAAAATGGAAATGGAAATGACACTATAATAAAAATGTTCCTGTATAAAATGTGCCTACTTATGCACATTTTATACAAGAACACACTACTGGAGGAATGCAAGGAGGTTCTCATCATATTCATGAATGGGTAGCCTCATTTCCTCTAGGACGTACTTTGGAACCCTCTGAGGAACTACCAGATTGTATAGCTACTTGGAGGCAGGGCAGGGGGCAGGGTGGTTTATAAACAGCCCTTGATTGATCAACAAAAAGCTGCCTGGTTTACAGATAACAAGTTCCATAGTGGATGGTCAGCATCCTGTTTGGAAGGCTCTGCACTATGACCAAATAATGCAAAAATTATAACTGAAGAAGTTGAGAACAAATAAGCTCAGTGGCTGGATTGCATGCTGGTTTCCTCGCAGTGATGGAAGAATTGAACAATTCCCCAAAGTCTGAGTGCATTCCAACTCATGGGCATTGGCCAGTGGATGGCTACATGGTCAGGAAGATGGGCAATGAAAAACTGGATTATTAAAGGAACATCCATATGGATCATGGCCTTATGAGCATCAGTAAGAATTTAAGGGATGTGGCTGGGCACGGTGGCTCATGCCTGTAATCCCACTTTGGGAGGCCAAGGCAGGCAGATTGCCTGAGGTCAGGAGTTGAAGACCAGCCTGGTCAATATGGTGAAACCCCGTCTCTGCTAAAAATATAAAAATTAGCCGGGCATGGTGGTGGGTGCCTGTAGTCCCAGCCACTCGGGAGGCTAAGGCCGGAGAATCACTTGAACTGGGGAGGCGGAGGTTGCAGTGAGCTGAGATCGTGCCACTGCACTCCAACCTGGGTGATAGAGAAAGACTGTCTTAAATAAAATAAAATAATTAATTAAATTAAAAATAAATAAATAAATAACAACGCCCATGGCTTATATACAGTGAGAAGAATGAGGCTAATGCTGATTTATTCACTGACTTGGGTCCTATAAGTAAAGTAGTCAAATCACCCTTGAAATCTCTTAAATCACTAGGCCCTGTGCCCAAGACTCCCCCAAACCAAGAATAGTACTAATTTTAGACCAGTGTAACAGAGACCCTACCTAGGAACCCGTGGTTCAGAGGGCTCCACTGTGGCCCTCCTCCAGTCAAACCTACCAGGGGTGAAGAGTCAGTCAGGCCCAAAGGATGTGTCCATCTGGACCTTGTACACCCCTGACCCCAACCTCTAGACTAATCTCAGGGGATGAGAAACTCTCAATTCTCTGTACAAATGGCCTGAGCCCACTTCCAAGGCCTGAATAGGCCTCTTCCCCAGGTCCAACTTTCCAAAGGGAGGTCACACCACCAGTGTGGGCCCCTCAGATCAAGCGGTGACAAAAGGCAGCTGTTTGGTAATGTGAAAGGAGCTTGGACGTGTGAGCTGGGTGGCCCATGCTTCTACACGAAGCCCCTTGCCATGCAGACAGAGCCAGCAGTGGGAAGTGAGGAGGGTGGCCTATAGAGCTTGAGCCAGCTCTCCTGGTGCTGCTCACACTGCAGTAGAACTCTGAGGAGCCTGAGTCCTTTGACTTTGACCTGGTCTTTCACCCCATCTCATAGGAATATTTGTCACGGCAGGAGGACAGAATATATTTCTCTGTTAGCTTGATTTATAACTTGTACATGTTTAAACATGTTAAGTGTGGATGTCCATTTGTACTCTAGCCCAGGATCCCACACATGACAGGAGGCCTGGCCAAGAACTAATTGTTATCTTTTGAGACTGAGCCTCGCTGTGTCACCCAGGCTGGTGTGCAGTGGTGTGATCTTGGTTTACTGCAACCTCCACTTCCCAGGTTCAAGCGACTCTCATGCTTCAGCCTCCTGAGTAGTTGGGACTACAGGCATACTCGACAACGCCCTGCTAATTTTTTGTATTTTCAGTAGAGATGGGGTTTCACCATGTTGGCCAGGCTGGTCTCGAACTCCTGCCTCAAGCGATTTGCCCTCCTTGGCCTCTCAAAGTGCTGGGATTGCAGGCATGAGCCACTGTGCCCAGCCTGATTTACATTTTAGTTTTGGTCTCTTTTTGCCTGAGTGTAAGGCCAACAGGTATCACTTGCGTAGGAGAGAAGGACAATGAGACAAAATGAGGCTGGGCACAGTGGCTCACGCCTGTCATCCCAGCACTTTGGGAGGCCCAGGTGGGCGGATCACTTGAGGTCAGAAGTTCGGGACAATGAGACAAAATGATTATTTTTTCATCCCCCTCTTCTTTTTAAAAATATATTTGTTTACTGTTTTTCCCAACATCTTTGGTTAAATTCATGAAGGTATAAAATTGTACAGATGATGTGTTTCCTTTAGCTGAGATCCAAGTAGGGGTAGTTCTTGGGGATCCCTGTCAGCAAAGCCCACGCTTAAATTTTTTTTTTTTTTTGAGACGGAGTTTTGTTCTTGTTGCCCAGGCTGGAGTGCAATGGCACGATCTTGGCTCACTGCAACCTCCACCTCCCGGGTTCAAGTGATTCTCCTGCCTGAGCCTCCCAAGTAGCTGGGATTACAGGTGTGCACCACCATGCCAGGCTAATTTTATATCTTTAGTAGAGATGGGGTTTCACCATATTGGTCAGGCTGGTCTTGAACTTTTGACCTCAAGTGATCAACTCCTCTTAGCCTCCCAAAAATGCTGGGATTACAGGCGTGAGCCACCGTGCCCGGCTCCATTGTCAAAATTTGATATGACAAAGGCGACTCAGTTTTCTCTCCATGTCTGTTTTTTCTGTATCATAACTACTGTCTTCCGTTATCAGGCCTGAAAAGGCAGGTGCAGCCAAGAAATCAACACTAAGAAGGTTTTTTTGGATGCTGATATCAGCTAGTGGAAATCTTCAGTGGTAATTCAAGCAAATCTTGGTTTTCTCCCTGAAGGCCATTTGGGAGGCCAAGATAGGCAGATCACTTGAAGTCAGGAGTTTGAGAGCAGCCTGGCCAACATAGTGAAACCCCGTCTCTACTAAAAATACAGAATTACCTGAGCATGGTGGTGCATGCCTGTAGTCCCAGCTACTTGGGAGACTGAGGCAGAAGAATCGCTTGAACCTGGGAAGCGGAGGTTGCAGTGAGCGGAGATCATGCCACTGCACTCTAGCCTGGGTGACAGAGTGAGACTCTGTCTCAAAAAAAAAAAAAAAAAAAAATGAAATTCAGAGCCTCATGCCCACCCAGACCTACTGAATCTGAGTCTATACTTCAACACACTCTCTCAGTGATTTGTTTGATTACTGTTTGAGAAACAGTTATTAAAAAGCTACTGGGGACTGGGTGCGTGGCTCACACCTGTCATCCTAGCACTTTGGGAGGCTGAGGCAAGGAGGATCCCTTGAGCCCAGGAGTTCGAGTCCAGCCTGGGCATCATAGGGAGGCACTGTCTCTACAAAAAATAAAATAAAAGAATTAGCCAGGTGTGGTGGTATATATGCCTGTGGTCCCAGCTACTTGGGAGGCTGAGGTGGGAGGATTGCTCAAGTCTGGGAGGTTGAGGCTGAGTGAGCCATGATCTTGTCACTGCATTCCAGCCTGGGTGACAGAGTGAGTCCCTATCTCAAAAAAAAAAAATATTGTTTTTAAGCTATTGGATAGCTCACAGACTCTCCAGAGGCTAGAGAGCCAGATTTGGTGATGTTGCCATCAGGTCCAACACCCACATCACTCCACAGAGGGGACAATCCCAGTGCCCAGGTCACCAGGCAAGAACAGATGCCTGCACTGCCAACAGTGTGCAGCCAACTTCACAGGAGAGCCACCATCTCCTTCTCACCTCACCCTGCAGCCTATGTGGGCCCAGCCCCTTCATCATTCTCTAGCTTCTAACCCAAGGCAGATGCAGAAGGCTGCTGGGGCCAGGCCACAGCCTGTCCCTCAGCTTAGAGGAGACCAGGAGAGGGAGTGGCATTTTCACTTTAAGTAATGAGAGCACAGGTGTGCCTCATAAAGGAGGAGAGGCTTCAAAACACCTGCAAGGGAGTTCAGCTGCTGTGTGGCCAAAAAAAGAATGACATGATAGATGTCTGCTCCCCGCGTTTCTTTTTTTTTTTCTGGAAGAATTGTGGAGTCCAGCCCTGCCACTACCTGCCTAGTCACCTTTACCAAGGTCAGGAATATCTCACATTCTGTTTCCTCATCTTTAGTATTACGGTATTTTAATACGATGCTTTCTATTGTTAAAAGAAAAACTTCAGCCAAATTAAATTAAAAGGAGTTCAATTGAGCAATGAACAATTGCAATTTGGGCAGCCCCTAGAATCACAGCAGATTCAGAGAGACTCCAGGGGTGCCTTGTGGTCAGAACAAATTTACAGACAAAAAAAGTAAAGTGATGTACAGAAATCGGAAGTGAGGTACAGAAACACCTGGGTTGGTTACAACTAGGCGTTTGCCTTATTTGAACACAGTTGAAAAACTCAGCAGTGTATGAGTGGTTGAAGTATGGCTTCTGGGATTGGTCAAGACTCAGTGATTGTCTAATAGTAACAGAGTTAAAATAGACATGTTATATATGCATATTATTTTAAAAAATGTTTTGGGGATATAATCTACATACCATAAAATCCACTTATATTAAGGGTATAATTCCATTATTTTGAATAAATTACTTACTTGTGCAGCCATTGCATTTTCATCCATTAGAACATTTCCATCACCCCAAAAAATTTCCTCCTGCCCATTGATGGAATCCCCATTCCCACCCCTAGCCCCAGGCAAACACCAATCTACCGTCTGTCTCTATAGATTGGCCTTTTCTGGACTCTTCTTGCAAAGGGAACCATGTGTGGTATTTTGTGTCTGCCTTCTTTCTGTCACTCGGCATGATGTTTTTGAGGGTCATCCATGTTGTGGGATCAGTACTTTCTATTTGTCTGAAGAAGGAGTAGGTGTGGTAGAGAAGGCTTAGGCTTCAGAGACTATCACACTTGTGTTGCATCCACACCTGGAAACTCAGAATGTCAGTTCAGTTACTCCACACTCCCATACAAGAGAAACAGAATCCCTTTACCTGGAATACAGATTTCTCCTCATTACTCTCTGGCATCTGCTTCCCCGGGGCTAGATTGAAAGGCAACTATACCTCAGCAATAGTGTCTCACCATCCAGGGACACAGATACAGGGCAAAACATCAGAACCTCACTGCGGCCCTCTGCTCCTCTCCTACTCAACACTTCATCACCCCTAACGACAAAGCAGCCACAGGTATCCATCTGGAACCATTCTTTGTCTTTCCTCAGGCCAGTGTATCTGGATGTGCTAAAGAGCCCGGGGATAAACTCCCCCAACACAGGCAACTGGAGGGAGATGGGAAGGCAGGAGAGGAAAGCGGCAGGATAATTCATAAATTAAACAGACAAGCAGAAGCAACAATACAGTTATAGCCCAAACAGCCACAGAGACACAAACTTACTTAAGATATAGATACCTATATGCAGGCTCTCAAAGTTTTTATTTTCTTACCATTAAGTTTATTTACCCTGGCTGTTCTCATAGTGTATCAAATATTTACTCTGCTAAAAAATGATAAAAATAGAATTAAGAAAACATCATGATAGCCAGGCACACTGGTGTGTACTTGTAATCCCAGCTACTCAGGTGGCTGAGACAGGAGGGTGATTTGAGGCCAGGACATCCAGTCTAGCTTGGGCAACATAGTGATACCCTGTATAAAAACAATTAAAATTAAAATTACAAATTAAAAAGAAGACATTTTGATATTGCAAAAAGCATTTAGACCCCGAGCTGAGGAAAACTGCCAGAGGGAGATGCTTCTGACATGCCCTATTCCAGTGGTCCCCAATCCTGGCTGCACATTAGAATCACCTAGGAAGCTGTTAAAAAGGTACAAATGTGGGCCGGGCATGGTGGCTCACACCTCTAATCCCAGCACTTTGGAAGGCTGAGGCGGGCGGATTGCCTGAGCTCAGGAGCTTGAGACCAGCCTGGGCAACATGGCGAAACCCCGTCTCTACTAAAAATACAAAAAATTAGGCTTGGTGGTGCGTGCCTGTAATCTCAGCTACTCAGGAGGCTGAGGCACGAGAATCACCTGAACTCAGGAGGCAGAGGTTGCAGTAAGCCGAGATTGTGCCACTGCACTTCAGTCTGGGCGACAGAGTGAGACTCTGCCTCAAAAAAAATAAAATAAAATAAAATAAAATAAAAAAGTACAAATGTGGCCAGGCATGGGGGCTCAGTCTGTAATCCCAAAACTATGGGAGGCTGAGGCAGGAGAATCACTTAAGCCTGGGAATTTGAGATCAGCCTGGGCAACATAGTGAGACCCCCATCTCTAAAAAAAAAATTGTAATTAGCTGGGTGTAGTGGTGTGTGCCTGTAGTCTCAGCTCCTCCAGCTCCAGAGTCTGAGGTGGGAAGATCACCTGAACCTGGAAGGTCAAGGCTGCAGAGAGCTGTGATCATGCTACTGCACTCCAGCTTAGGTGACAGTGAAACCCTATCTCAAAAAAAAAAAAAAAAAAATGTACAAAGGCCCAGGCCCCTCCCCGCCCCGAATTGTATTAGTTTCCTGTGTCTGTCACAACAAATTAACAAATTACAAAAAAAAAAAAAAAACAACCAAACTTGTTGGCTGAAACCACACTCACTTCTGTACTTCTGTAGCAATTCTGGAGCCTAGAAGTCTAAAACCAAGGTGTCAGCAGCAGGGGCGAGTTCCTCACAAGGCTGTAAGGAAGAACTCTGCCTTGTCTCTTCCAGTTTCTGGTTGTTCCGATGTTCCTTGCCTTGTGACTGCATAGTTGCAATTTCTGCCTCCATCTTCATGTGACCTCTTCCTGTTCTTCATGGGACTCCTCTGGGTATCTCTTACAAGGACACTTGTAGTTGGATTTAGAGCCATTGAGCTAATCTGTGATAATCTCATCTGAGATCTTTAATTATACCTGCAAATACCCTTTTTCCAAATAAGCTAAATTCATAGTTTATAGGATATGAACATATCTTTATGGAAATGACCGCTCAACCCACTATACATAACCAAGTAAATCAAGAGACTATAGGGTGAAACCTGGGCATTAGCTTTTTTTTTTTTTTTAAATACAGGGTCTCCCTCTGTTGTCCAGGCTGTAGTGTGAACACAGCTCATTGCAGCCTTGACCTCCTGGGTTCAAGTGATCCTTCTTCCTCGGCCTCCCAAAACGCTGGGATTACAGGTATGAGCCACCACGCCCCACCAGCATTCATATTTTTTAAAGGTCCTTGGGTGATTCCAAGGTTCAGCCAAAGTTGAGAATCACTGATCTACTTGAACTGCCATGTTGTGCCCAGCAGAGGTTCTGAGTACAAACAGACAAGAAGCCCAAAAAAGAGACCAAAGGATGTTTCTGGCCCCTAAACACATGCAAAACTGAGATCAAGTGGACTGCCCCATCCCAAAGAGAAGAGGGCTGTGCTTGGAAACTGGGAATCCCCATGGAATAATGTAAGGAATGCCCAGTGGGATGGGAGAAGCTTCTAGGGTTTTTATTTGTTTCTTTGTGGTTTTTGACGGGTCAAGTTCTCCTCTGTCACCCAGGCTTGAGTGTAGTGGCACGATCATGACTCACTGCAGCCTGAAACTCTTGGGCTCAAGCAATCCTCCCACCTTAGCCTCCTGAGTAGCTGGGACTAGGGAGCGTGGCACCACACCCAGCTAGGTTTCTTTTTAGAGATGGGGGCCTCATGATGTTGCCCAGGCTGGTCTCAAGCTCCTGGGCTCAATTGATCCTCCCACCTCAGCCTCCCGAAGTGTTGGGATTGCAGGCATGAGCAGTTTCTAGTTTTTAAGGTTTAGAATCTGTTCATAGGACATAGTGTTGCTAAAGCTTAAGGAGAAAGCCTTGAAGTCAGATAAATCTGGTTTCAAATACCACCTCTGTCATTTTCTTGCTATGTGACCTTGGGCAAGCTACATAACCGCTCCACGTTTTAGTTGTCTTGTCTCTCAAAACAGGACAAGACAGCAGCTGCCCTGATATCTGTTACTGAAGATGTAGTTATCAATGGAATTGAGAAATGATGACCCCAACTCCCAAGGTGTTGACTCTTCAGATACATAAATAAATGGAAAACAGTGAGAAGCAAGGTAAAGTGTAATCCTTCAGTGATTTTTTTTTTTTTTTGAGACAGAGTCTCGCTCTGTCACTCAGGCTAGAGTGCAGTGGTGCAATGTTGGCTCACTGCAACCTCCACCTCCCAGGTTCAAGCGATTCTTGTGTCTCAGTCTCCTGAGTAGCTGGGACTACAGGCATGTGCCACCACACCCAGCTAATTTTTTGTATTTTTAGTAGACACGGGGTTTTACCATGTTATCCAGACTGGTCTCCAACTCCTGACCTCAAATGATCCACCCACCTCGGTTGGCTTCCTAAAGTGCTGGGATTACAGGCGTGAGCCACCGCGCCCAGCTGCCTTCAATGATTTTTATCTGTAACAGCTAAAATGAAAGTAAAGGAGAGTGCTGGGGCAGATTCTGGTGCTTTGCCACGCTTGGACTTCAGCTGGTCAGAGCTACAGTTATTAGTCTCAGGACCATTCTCTAATGGAAAAATTGTGCCTGAACAACAGATAACAGTGTTACAAAGTCAGGATGGCAAGGCTGTGCAAACCCAAGAAACTACTAAAGCAGAGGATATAATGTGAAGGAAGGTCTCATTTGTTGATCGATATCTGCAGCCTCCTGAGGAAGTTTTACCAAAATAGATTGTGAGAGTGACTGAGGAGCAGCCTTCTAGATTTTGAATGCTGCGGAGCAGAAGAGCATGTCTGGATTGCTGCAGGACCCACAGTTTATTATGAAACAATCAAAGATGCCTGTATGTGATCCCAACACATGGCAGGTTGCCTCTCAGGGGTCAGCTAGCCTGCTGGAATGGAGAAATGCCGCTGTAAAGTTTGTTTACCCTGAGAAGGTAAATAGACATTTCCCTTCTTTACATGCTAAGTGACCTCCCCAGATGAGGCAGCTGATTTGTCACATATCAAATCCAGGCTGGACTGGCTTTATAATGATGAGGATGTTCATCCCCTCATATGTCCCTTACCCAGGTCATAGCACCTAGGTATTGATGCAGGTGAGCTCCCAAATTGGTGCTCAGCCCAGGAAAGTTCTTGGCTTCACACAGGAAAGAATTTGAGAGCGAACTGACACAGTAAAGTGAAAACAAATCAAGTTTATTAGACCAACAGAGTGCAAGAAAATGGCTGCTCCATAGACAGAGGAGGCCACCCCATAGGGAGCGCAGCACTAGAGTATCGCTGGCTAGCTGTGTTTATAGCTACTCCCTAATTATAAGCTAAATAAGCGGCAGGTTATTCACGAATTTTCTACAAAAGAGGTTGGGAGTTCCCAGGACTAAGGGTTCCTCCCCTTTTTTTTTTTTTAATTATACTTTAAGTTTTAGGGTACATGTGCACATTGTGCAGGTTAGTTACATATGTATACATGTGCCATGCTGGTGCGCTGCACCCACTAACTCGTCATCTAGCATTAGGTATATCTCCCAATGCTATCCCTCCCCCCTCCCCCCACCTCACCACAGTCCCCAGAGTGTGATATTCCCCTTCCTGTGTCCATGTGATCTCATTGTTCAATTCCCACCTATGAGTGAGAATATGCGGTGTTTGGTTTTTTGTTCTTGCGATAGTTTACTGAGAATGATGATTTCCAATTTCATCCATGTCCCTACAAAGGACATGAACTCATCATTTTTTATGGCTGCATAGTATTCCATGGTGTATATGTGCCACATTTTCTTAATCCAGTCTATCATTGTTGGACATTTGGGTTGATTCCAAGTCTTTGCTATTGTGAATAATGCTGCAATAAACATACGTGTGCATGTGTCTTTATAGCAGCATGATTTATAGTCATTTGGGTATATACCCAGTAATGGGATGGCTGGGTCAAATGGTATTTCTAGTTCTAGATCCCTGAGGAATCGCCACACTGACTTCCACAATGGTTGAACTAGTTTACAGTCCCACCAACAGTGTAAAAGTGTTCCTATTTCTCCACATCCTCTCCAGCACCTGTTGTTTCCTGACTTTTTAATGATTGCCATTCTAACTGGTGTGAGATGATATCTCATAGTGGTTTTGATTTGCATTTCTCTGATGGCCAGTGATGATGAGCATTTTTTCATGTGTTTTTTGGCTGCATAAATGTCTTCTTTTGAGAAGTGTCTGTTCATGTCCTTCGCCCACTTTTTGATGGGGTTGTTTGTTTTTTTCTTGTAAATTTGTTTGAGTTCATTGTAGATTCTGGATATTAGCCCTTTGTCAGATGAGTAGGTTGCGAAAATTTTCTCCCATGTTGTAGGTTGCCTGTTCACTCTGATGGTTGTTTCTTTTGCTGTGCAGAAGCTCTTTAGTTTAATTAGATCCCATTTGTCAATTTTGGCTTTTGTTGCCATTGCTTTTGGTGTTTTGGACATAAAGTCCTTGCCCATGCCTATGTCCCCTTTTAAACCATATAAAGTAACTTCCTAGGGCATCGCCATGACATTTGTAAACTGTCACAATTGCTGGTGGGACTGTCTTCTAGCATGCAAATGTATTACAGTTAGCGTATAATGAGCAGTGAGGGGAACTAGAGGTTGCTTTTGTTGCCAACTTGGTTTTAGATGGTTTTGGCTAGTTTCTTTACTGCATCTTTTTTTTTTTTTTTTTTGAGATAGAGTGTCTGTCGCCCAGGCTGGAGTGCAGTGGCACAATCTTGGGTCACTGCAACCTCCGCCTCCTGGGTTCAAGTGATTCTCCTGCCTCAGCCTCCTGAGTAGCTGGGACTACAGGCGCATGCCACCACGCCAGGCTAATTTTTTTGTATTTTTAGTGGAGACGGGGTTTCACCGTGTTAGCCAGGATAGTATCCCGATCTCCAGACCTCGTGATCTGCCCGCCTCGGCCTTCCAAAGTGCTGGGATTACAGGCGTGAGCCACCGCACCCGGCCTACTGCATCCTTTTTGATCAGATCCTGTTTCAATCAACTAGGTTGCGACTAGTGCTCAGAAAACAAGGCCTGCTAATCTCCTGCCTCAGTGTGATTACGTGAGTTCCTTTTGCACAGGAATCCCATGGAAACTTACTGCTGCAAAATCAAGCACAGTTCAAATCATATCAGATTGGTTATCTCAGCTTCCCCTCATGGGTCTTACAGATGCCAAGAAAATGATGCCCATTCACAAAAGAATGGGCAAAGTCAAAGGAAATAGTCAAGAGACTTGTCCCAGCAGGGTGAAAACTTTCAAATATAAGAACTGGGATGGGCTGGGCGTGGTGGCTCATGCGTGTAATCCTAGCACTTTGGGAGGCTGAAGTGGGTGGATCGCTTGAGGTCAGGAGTTCAAGATCATCCTGGCAAAACTGGTGAAGCCCCATCTCTACTAAAAATACAAAAATTAGCCAGACATGGTGGTGCATGCCTGTATTCCCAGCTACTCAGGAGGCTGAAGCAGGAGAATTGCTCGAACCCAGGAGGTGGAGGTTGCAGTGAGCCAAGATAGCACCATTGCACTCTAGCCTGGGTGGCAGAGCAAGACTCCATCTCAAAAAAAAAAAAGAACTAGGATGAAAATGCTGAATATTGATGAATCAAAAGAAAAATCTTATCGCAGCACTATGGGAGATTCAGTGGACTCACAGTTGCCCCTGCTGGTGTCCCAACATTGAAGGGCCTTAAACAGATTCACCCCATTTACCTGAGTTTGCAGGAATTTGAAAAGACTAAAGGCAAAGATGAAAATGAGAAATCTGACCTCGAATCACTGGGGCTAGTGGTCAGGCATATTAATCAGGACAAACACTGATGCAGGGGTCAGGTTCTCTTGGCCTGATCCTCAACAA
The DNA here is from genome assembly GCF_000001405.40 of Homo sapiens. NCBI lineage: Eukaryota > Metazoa > Chordata > Mammalia > Primates > Hominidae > Homo > Homo sapiens. The sequence continues at coordinate 186,955,194 of NC_000002.12, forward strand.
CACACCTGGGGCTTGTGCATATGTGTGAGGATAACGAACACGGAGTGGAGAAAAACTTCTGAGAGTTCTTCCCACAGGATCCCAATGCATTATGTTATCAAAACCTGTTAGTGAAGTCATAACTGGGTGACAGTTTGCTAGGGAGCATCTGGGGATATAAAGATTGATGAGATGAAGGTGAAAGTTTGGATGAAAACTGGAACATTAGAACGGACTTCATGTGAACTGCTTGTGTCTCCTCTACCTAAGTGTGTTATTAGATGGAGTCATGTCTGACTGGGAGCACTTCCCATTCCTAGTATTATAAAATCAAAGGTATGTAAGTTTGCCCTTCTGCAATCATTAATTGGGCATACTAAATGGGAACCTATAGAGTTGCCTGAGCCCACATAGCTTGTTAATTTGACACAGTGTCAGATGAATCCTAGTAGACAAAAAGAGAATACCACTTTAATTGCTGACATGTTAGAAGTTGGAGTGCTGATACTAACAAATTTTCTGTACAAATGTCCTGTGTGGCCCATGAAAAAGGGAAGTGGCTCATCAAGACTACAGTAGATTTTCCAGGCTTGAATAAAGTAGTCCTGGCCGGGCGTGGTGGCTCATGCCTGTAATCCCAGCACTTGGGGAGGCCAAGGTGGGCGGATCACCTGGTGTCAGGAGTTCAAGACCAGCCTGGCCAACATGGTGAAACTCTGCCACTACTAAAAATACAAAATTAGCCAGGCATGGTGGCATGTGCCTGTAATTCCAGCTACTCAGGAGGCTGAGGCAGTAAAATTGTTTGAACCTGGGAGGCAGAGATTGCAGAGAGCCAAGATTGTGCCACTGCACTCCAGCCTGGGCAACAAAGTGAGACTCCATCTCAAAACAAACAAACAAACAACACAAAAATAAGCTCGGCATGGTGGTGCACATCTGTAGCTACTCGGGAGGCTGGGGCAGGAGAATCGCTTGAACTCAAGAGGTGGAGGTTGCAGTGAGACGAGATCAGGCCATTGCACTCCAGCCTGGGCAACAGTTTGAGACTCCATCTCAAAAAAGTAAAAAATAAATAAATAAATAAAAATAAAGTAGTCCTGACTACAGCACCAGCAGTTCCTGATATGGTTTCAATCATGCAAAAAATACAATGTCTTGCAAATGTTTTTTCTTTATCACAATCTCGTACAAGAGTTAAACATGGTTTGTCTTTATGTGGGAAGGATCTCAGCTTACTACATTGTATTGCCACATGGTTATTTGAATTCACCAGTTTACTGCTGTGTCAATACGCTGCATTGCTAATGCCACAATCACATCAGAAACTGAAAAACAAGCCAGGATTGACTTAATGCAGTAGTGAACAGTCATCACTAACACAGGCTGGTTGACCAATCTAGCAAAGATCCCAGAGTCCATATCAATGGTGGAATTCTCAGGAATAACCTGGGCAGGAGCTATCACATCCCACAGGCAGCTAAACTAGACTCTCTTGTTATCTACTACTGGAACTCAGTGAGAAGCACAGGGTCGGGTGGGTTGTTTGGATTTGGAAGACACATTCTGCATCTGGAAAGAGTGCGAGCTCTTATCTATTAAGGCTGAAGAAAGGCTGTATTTGAATGGGAGCCATCACAATAGCAGTCTATGACTGAATTTCAAGAATTGATGTCTGGATATATATTGGGCCCTTATGGTCCACTCTGATATGATTTTGGAAGTTCAGTCAGTTCAATCAGCACTCTTTTTTTTTTTTTTTTTTTGAGACAGAGTTTCGCTCTTGTTGCCCAGGCTGGAGTGCAATGGTGCGCTCTTGGCTCACTGCAACTTCTGCCTCCTGGGTTCAAGTGATTCTCCTGCCTCAGCCCCCAAAGTAGCTGGGATTACAGACGCCCACCACCACATGGGCCAGGCTAATTTTTGTATTTTTAGTGGAGACAGGGTTTCACTATGTTAGCCAGGCTGGTCTTAAACTCCTGACCACAGGTGATTCACCAGCCTGAATCCCAAAGTGCTGGGATTACAGGCATGAACCACCTCGCTCAGCCTCAGTCAGCACTCTTATCTGCAGGCTTCACATCTCCTTGGTTCACGTTAACATTCCTAAAGTAGATGGTCAGCATCCTGTTTGGAAACCTCCCCACTCTAACCAACTGATGGTAAAACAAATTGAAGAGGTTGAGAACAAGTAAGCTCAGTAAGCTGAATTGCATGCTATTTTCCTTGCAGTGGTGGAAGAATTAAACAACAATTAGAGCCCTGTAGTCCAGGTGCATTCCAACTCATGGGCATTGGCCAACAGCTGGCCATGTGGTCAGGAAGAGGAACAATGGAAAACTGGATTGTTAGTGGGGTGTCCAGCTGGGCGCGGTGGCTCACGCCTGTAATCCCAGCACTTTGGGAGGCTGAGGCGGGTGGATCGCCTGATGTTGGGAGTTCAAGACCAACCTGACATGGAGAAACCGTGTCTCTATTAAAAATACAAAATTAGCCGGGCATGGTGGCGCATGCCTGTAATCCCAGCTATTTGGGAGGCTGAGGCAGGAGAATCACTTGAACCTGGGAGGCAGAGGTTGTGGTGAGCTGAGATCGCACCATTGCACTCCAGCCTGGGCAACAAGAGCAAAACTCTGTCTAGAAAAAAGAAAAAAGGGGGTGTCCATATGGAACATGGCCTTATGGAAATCACTATGGGAATTAAAGGGATGCATTAAATAGGACATATTAATGCCCATCAGAAGAACCTTTTTCCCAGACTGGAAAGTGATTGGAACCCCAAGTGGATATCATGGTACATCCAAGGTGGCCAACTGGGCCCATGAAATGAGTGGACATTGGGGGCAGCAGCAATGCAGAGAGGGGTGATCATAGATACATAGTCTTCTGCACCCCCAGAAGCATAAAATGCCAACAAGAACTGTCCTCACTGCCCTCCAACCCGGCTCACATCCCTACTGACTCCCCACCATGCCAGCTCACTCTCCCATTTGGTGTCCCTTTTGTGTAATATCTCTTTTCCCACTGTTGGAAACTCATTAGCCTGGCTAATATGGTGAAATCCCATACCTACTAAAAATACAAAAGTTAGCTGGGCATGGTAACAGGCACCTGTAGTCCCAGCTACTCTGGTGCATAGGTAGGAGAATCACTTGAACCTGGGAGGCAGAGGTTGCAGTGAGCCAAGATTGCACCACTGCACTCCAGCCTGGGCGACAGAGCAAGACTCCGTCTCAAAAAAAAAAAAAAAGCTTCTCTTGGCTGGGCATGGTGGCTCATGCCTGTACTCCCACCACTTTGGAGGCCAAGACAGTAGAACTTGAGGCCAGGAGTTCAAGACCAGCCTGGGCAACATAGTGAGATCTTGTCTCTTAGAAAAAAAAATTTTGTTTTTTGAAATGAAGTCAGCATATGCTGCCCAGGCTGGAGTGCAGTGGTGTGATGTCGGCTCACTGCAACCTCCGCCTCCCAGGTTGAAGCAATTCTCCTGCCTCAGCCTCCCTAGTAACTGGAACTACAGGCGCCCACCACCAAGCCTGGCTAATTTTTTTTTTTTTTTTTTTTTTTTAAGCAGAGACAGGGTTTCACCATATTGGCCAGGCTGGTCTTGAACTCCTGACCTTGTGATCCTCCCTCCTCGGTCTCCCAAAGTGCTGGGATTACAGGTGTGAGCCATCGCGCCAGGCCAGAAAAATTTTAAAAGTAGTCAAGTGCGCCATGTGCCTGTAATCCCAGCTACTCCAGAAGATGATGGGGGTAGGACCACTTGAGCCCCGGAGGTCAAGGCTGCAGTGAGCCATGATGGCACCACTGCACTCCGGAGAGAAAATATGTCTTAAAAAAAACAAAACAGGCCAGGCACGGTGGCTCATGTCTGTAAACTCAGCACTTTGGGAGGACGAGGTGGGCGGATCACAAGGTCAGGAGTTCAAGACCAGCCTGACCAACATGGTTAAACCCCGTCTCTACTAAAGATACAAAAATTAGCTGGCATGGTAGTGGGTGCCTGTAATCCCAGCTACTCGGGAGGCTGAGGCAAGAGAATTGCCTCAACCCGCGAGGTGGAGGTTGCAGTGAGCTGAGGTTGTGCTACTGCACTGCACCGGGAGACAGAGCAGGTCTTGGTGAAAAACAAAACAAAACAAAACAAAACAAAACAAAACAAAACAAAACAAAAAAACATTCTTCGGTATTCAGCTATAGTGTATTATACAGTACCTTAAAATTCTAGCAAGATGCAAGGAATAGCTACCCTTGAAGTGAGACTTCAACCTCTTTGTTTCTTGTTCCCAATATGTTTATTTGACGTGGTGGAGAATTACAGATGGTTGGTTTTTGTTTGCTTTTTTAAACATGGTTTCACTCTGTCGCCCAGGCAGTGAGGCGATCATGGCTCACTGCAGCCTTGACCTCCCTGGCTCAAGTGTCCTCCTATCCACCTCCCACGTAGCTGGCACTACAGGTGCACGCCACCACATCTGGCTAATTTTTTTATTTTTATTTTTTGTAGAGATGAGATCTTGCCATGTTGCCCAGACTGGTCGCAAACTCCTGAGCTTAAGCACTCCTCTTGCCTCAGCCTCCCAAGGTGCTGGGATTACAGGCATGAGACGTCACACACAGCCTGATAATTACTGACAAATTGAGGTAATATGGGAAATAAGAAAAAACAATCCATATCTAAACATTTCATTTTAAATTCAATGCTCTTTGGTGACTGTTTCCACATATACCAGTTTTTTTGTTTTTTGGTTTTTTTTGAGACAGAGTCTTGCTCTGTTGCCTGGGCTGGAGTGCAGTGGTGTAATCTCGGCTCACTGCAACCTCCGCCTCCCGGGTTCAAGCCATTCTCCTGCCTCAGCCTCCTGAGTAGCTGGGATTACAGGCAGGTGCCATCATGCCCGGCAAATTTTGTTATTTTTAGTAGAGACGCCTCGGCCTCCCAACTTATTGGGATTACAGGCATGATCCACCACATTTAGCCTTACATATATCTGTTTTTAAAAGCTCTTCACTCTAGGTTTTATTTAGTTAGTTAGTTAGTTTTTGGAGACAGGGTCTTACTCTGTCACCCAGGCTGGAGTGCAGCAGCACAATCTCAGCTCACTGCAACCTCCGATTCCTGGGTTCAAGTGATTCCCAGGCCTCAACCTCCCAAGTAACTGGGATTACAGGCGCATGCCACCACGCTCAGCTAATTTCTGTATTTTTTTTTTTTTTGTAGAGACCAGGTTTCGCTATGTTAGCCAGGCTGATCTTGACCTCCTGACCTCAAGTGACCCACCCACCTCGGCCTCCCAAAGTGCTGGGGTTACAGGCATAAGCCACTGCACCCTGGTATTATTTAAATTGTATACTTTTTCATTGTCAAACAATTAGAAAATTTACATTTGGAACTGATATGTACCTTGTCCTGCAGTGTAGCTTTCTGCTGTTGTTTATCAGGGACTAGGTTTCTCAAGTGTTGCTCAGAGAAAATTGGCAACAATGGTTTAGAGAACCTATGGGGTTGGTGCCAGATGGGCTGGGAGTCAGCATTGTCTGAATTAGATATTGGAGTTGATGACCCCTCACCCCCAGGCACCTTCTACTCAAATTATCATAGTTAGTGGGATATTGACAACTACTACGGAATCTCTTTGTACACAGCACAGGGCCTGGAAAACAGTCAGCGTTTAATGAATATTTACTGGCTGGCTGAGATTCCTGCAAAAGCATAACTCTGCTACAAGGTTCTCAGGTGGATGCTGATTATGACTTTAAAGTTCTTGTACAGTTCACAAACTCTTTTCACATGTGCTACAGATAATTTTAAGAATTCAAGGCTGGGTGTGGTGGCTCACATCTGGAATTCTAGCATTTTTGGAGATCCAAGCAGGAAGATCATTTGAGTTCAGGAGTTCAAGACCAGCCTGGGCAACATAGGGAGACACCATTTCAACAACAACAACAACAACAACAACAACAACAACAACAAATTAGCCAGGTGTGGTGACAGCGCCTGTAGTCCCAGCTATTCAGGAAGCTAAGGTGGGAGGATCACTTGAACCTGAGAGATCCAGTTTGCAATGAGCCATGATTGTTTCACTGCACTCCAGCCTGGGCAACAGAGGGAGACCTTATCTCAAAAACGAAATAAACTGTTGTATCTGTGTCTTCCTATAAAATTCTATCATTTGAACTTAGGACTCTTTTCATCAAATCCTTTATTTACACCATCCAAAAAGAATTTATTTGATGGAATGAAACCACTGTGAGTCCCCTGTGGTTCTAGAATACAGCACCTTTTTTTTTTTTTTTTTTTTTTTTTTGAGACTGCAACCTCTGCTTCCCAGGTTCAGGTGATTCTCCTGCCTCAGCCTTCCGAGTAGCTCGGACTACAGGCACCCACCGCCACACCCAGGTAATTTTTGTATTTTTTTTCTTTTTTCTTTTTTGAGACAGAATCTTGCTCAGTCGCCCAGGCAGGAGTGCAGTGACGCGATCTCGGCTCACTGCAAGCTCCGCCTCCCAGGTTCACGCCATTCTCCTGCCTCAGCCTCTCAAGTCGCTGGGATTACAGGCGCCCGCCACCATGCCCGGCTAATTTTATTTATTTACTTATTTATTTATTATTATTATACTTTAAGTTTTAGGGTACATGTGCACAATGTGCAGGTTAGTTACATATGTATACATGTGCCATGCTGGTGCGCTGCACCCACTAACTCGTCATCTAGCATCAGGTGTATCTGCCAATGCTATCCCTCCCCCTCCCCCCACCCCTTTCGAGACAGAATCTGGCTCTCTCGCCCAGGCTGGAGTGCAGTGGCGCGATCTCGGCTCACTACAAGCTCCGCCTCCTGGGTTCACGCCATTCTCCTGCCACAGCCTCCCGAGTAGTTGGGACTGCAGGCACCCGCCACCACGACCGGCTAATTTTTTTGTAGTTTTGAGAGGTGACATCGTGCTGGCTCGCTCTTGGCGCCTCCTCGGCCCGGTGCCCACTCTGGCCGCGCTTGAGGAGCCTTTCAGCCCACCGCTGCACTGAGGGATCCCCTCTCTGTGCTGGCCGAGGCCAGAGCCCGCTCCCTCTGCTTGCGGGAAGGTGTGGAGGGAGAGACGCCGGCTGGAACTGGGGCTGCCCGCGGTGCTCGCGGGCCAGAGTGAGTTCCGGGTGGATGCGGGCTCGGCAGGCCCCGAACTCAGAGCAGCGCGCCGGGCAGTGAAGGGCTTAGCACCCAGGCCAGCAGCTGCGGAGGGTGCGCTGGGTCCCCCAGCACTGACGGCCCGCCCGCGCCCCACTTGAATTCTCGCAGGGCCTCAGCTGCCTCCCCACAGTGCAGGGCTTGGGACCTGCAGCCCGCCATGCCCGAGCTCCGCACCCCCGCCGTGAGCTGCTGCGTGGCCGCCCCCTGCTCCGCAGCGCCCGGTCCTGTAGGCCGCCAAGGGCTGAGGAGTGCGGGCTAACAGCCCAGGACTGGCGGGCAGCTCCCCCAGGCGGCCCTAGCGGGGGATCCATTAGGTGAAGCCAGCTGGGCTCCTGAGTTGAGTGGGGACTTGGAGAACTTTTATGTCTAGCTGGAGGATTGTAAATGCACCAATCAGCACTCTGTGTTTAGCTAAAGGTTTGTAAACGTACCAATCACTGCTCTGTGTCTAGCTAATCTAGTGGGGACTTGGAGAACTTTTGTCTAGCTAAAGGATTGTAAATGCACCAATCAGCACCCTGTGTCTAGCTCAAGGTTTATAAACGCACCAATCAGTGCTCTTCGTCTAGCTGATCTAGTGGGGAGTTGGAGAACTTTTGTGTCTAGCTAAAGGATTGTAAATGCACCCATCAGCAGTCTGTGCCTAGCTCAAGGTTTGTAAATGCACCAATCAGCACCCTGTCAAAATGGACCAATCAGCTCTCTGTAAAATGGGCCAATCAGCTCTCTGTAAGATGGACCAATTAGCAGGATGTGGGTGGGGCCAGATACCAGAATAAAAGCAGGCTGCCTGAGGTAGCAGTGCCAACCTGCTGGGGTCTCCTTCCTCACTATGGTAGGTTTGTTCTTTCGCTCTTTGCAGTAAATATTGCTGTTGCTCACACTTTGGTCTGCACTGCGTTTGTGAGCTGTAATACTCATTGCAAAGGTCTGCAGCTTGACTCTTGAGGCCAGCGAGAGCACGAACCCACTGAGAGAAATGAACAACTCCAGACGTGCCACCTTAAAAGCTGTAACATTCACCACGAAGGTGTGCAGCTTCACTTCTGAAGCCACCGAGACCACGAACCCCACCAGAAGGAAGAAACTCCAAACACATCCGAACATCGGAAGGAACAAACTCCGGACACACCATCTTTAAGAACTGTAACACTCACCGCGAGGGTTCACAGCTTCATTCTTGAAGTCAGTGAGACCAAGAACCCACCAATTTTGGACACAGTTTTAGTAGAGATGGGGTTTCACCGTGTTAGCCAGGATGGTCTTGATCTCCTGACCTCATGATCTGCCCGTCTCGGCCTCCCCTGGTGCTGGGATTACAGGTATGAGCCGCCGCACCCGGCCAATTTTTGTTTTTTTAGCAGAGATGGGGTTTCACCATGTTGGCCAGGATGGTCCCTATCTCTTGACCTAGTGATCCACCTGCCTCGCCTCCCAAAGTGCTGGGAGTGTACCAGCATGCCCGGATGATTTTTTTATTTTTAGTAGAGACGGAGTTTCACCATGTTGGCTAGGGTGGTCTGAAACTCCTGGCCTTAGGTAATAATACACCCACCTCGGCCTCCCAATGTGCTGGGATTAGAGGTGAGCCACTGTTCCCGGCCTCCAGGCTTTTAATGACAAATACAACTGGCATAAATGGGTATTGAGAATGAGCGTGGCTGAGTCTTAGGCAGCATGCTGTTGAATTTTTCAGAGCACAGATATACAGATTATCCAAAATTCCTGTCAGCCACCGGTGTTTTATAGGAGAGTGGAGAATGTCAGTTAATTTGGCCATTCAGGTAGTGGAGTTAGGAGAGTGTCTGCCCTGTCCACTGTGTGGAAGTTGAAGTCGTTATCCACTCTCCTGTGGCTGGACATTCCAGTGGTTTCCAGTTCTCAAATGTGCACTCTCACGATGATCCTTAGGATGAATTTCTGGAGGTGTAATTTTGCTATGTATGTATATAGATGTAGATGCTCCCACATGTACTTTGTCTTTGAGACAAACTGCCAGATAACCAAAAAGTGTGTGCCAGATTTCATCAGATTGTAGGAGAGTGTCCATTTTCATGTTCTCTCTTCAAAATTGAAAATGGTGACAGGTTAAATGTGGTTCACGTCTATAATCCCTGCAGTTTGGGAGGCTGAGGCAGGAGGATCCCCTGAGGCCAGGAGTTTGAAGCTAGCTCGGCAGCATAGGGAGACCCCCATCTCTGCAAAAATTTTAAAAAATATATGAGCCAGGCATTCTGGCATGCACCTGTATGTAGCCCCAGCTACCCTGGAGGCTGAGGTGAGAGGATTGCTTTACCTCAGGAGTTTGAAGCTGCAGTGAGCCATGACCACACCACACTGTATTACACCCTAGGTGACAGAGCAAGACCTTGTCTAAAAAAATTTTTTTAAATAAAAAAAAACAAATAATTTTGTGAGAATAAATCTACAAAACGTGCTCAGTTTGATAGGTAAAATTTTAAATTGCATCATTAGTTTGTATTGATATACAAATGCATATTTTTCTTTTGAAACATTATCCTTCTTTGTGACCTGATGAGCATAACCTGTGTTCACTTTTCAGTTCAGGTGTTAACCTGTTTCCTGTTGGTTTGCATTCACTCTTTATTTATTTTTATTTATTTATTTTTTATAGGGTCTCACTCTATTGCCCAGGCTGGGGTGCAGTGGTACAGTCTTGGCTCACTGCAACCTCTGTCTCCCGAGTTCAAGTGATTCTCCTGCCTCAGCCTCCCAAGTTGATGGAATTACAGGTGTGTGCCACAACACTTGGCTAATTTTTGTATTTTCAGTAGAAACAGGGTTTCACCATGTTGGCCATGCTGGTCTCAAACTCCTGATGTCAGGTAATCCACCTGCCTTGGCCTTCCAAAGTGTTAGGATTAGAGCATGAGCCACAGCGCCTGGTCCTACTCTTTATTAATTATGGATAATAAACCTTAGTCCATTACTGATAGCAAAATGTTCACATTATGTTTGCTTTTTTCATTGAGCAACATTGGAACTGTCATTCATTTTAATATAAGCCTAAGGAGGACACAGCTTGGATTTTAACATTTAATACAGATAATTTTGGGGTAGTTTAAATGTTTCTTTATTTGGTTAATTTGTACATATTTGTTCATGTTTATTCAATGTGATTATCAAGATTCTTTGAGACCCCTGTTTAAAACAGTAATTTGTATATTCTTGGAACTTCTCAGGTAAAGGATTATAGCATAGCATAAGTTGTAGCACATAAGATCTTTGCTGCTATTGCATAATAGGTTATGTCCTCTGACTAAAAGTAACAATGACTTGGAGTGTTTTATATGGCTCTCTTTTTTTGAACAGGTGTTTCTTTGCCTTTCAGAAATATAAGGGTTTGAATTAAAATATTTTATGCCACCTGTGTTGCTGGAACCTAAATCATATTTGTAGGGAAGAAGGATGAAGAGGGAGATATTTATGGTGAGTGTTTAACCTCTGAATTTGTCTTCATGGCTGACTTTGGGGATCAATCATAAAATCATACCTGTGTTCAGTCTGGTGTAACTTTTAAAGTGATTGAGATATTTATTAACCCAGTTATTTATTCTTGGATGTTATTATCATTTTAGAGCTTTCTTTGAAAATCTGTCATTTGTTAATTGAGACATCTTGTTTGAAACAATGTGCAGCATAACAGAGAAATCATAGGCCATCATTTGAGTGACATTTATTGTATGTGGTCCATGATCCTTGAAAGTCTACTTTGTCTGTGTTTTTTGAGCACTCCTTACCTTGGTCCCCTATTTTTGCTAAGTTGGGGTTTAGTCTGAAAGGCTAAAGGTGAGGAGATTGTGTGTTCCCTTATTGGGGCCTAAGCTTGCCACATGGCGCGTTTCATAGATTGTCATAGGCTCCCACTGCAGAATACATGGTGATGGCCCACCGTAGCAGGGCTACCCATCCTCGGTCCTATGGTCAGACACCACCCATCTGCCAAGGATTATTGCCCCACATTGACTCCAGACTATGGGCTTCAGGAAGACCCTGGAGGACAGATTTGTAGGAAGGATGGGGGTTCACTCTGTCAAAGTGTGTATCCTTGAGTGACTTAGTTTTTGTTCAAATGGAAATTTAAATTCTTTCTAAAAGGAAAAAAATTACACAGAAGATACGTTATTATAGTGTGTTGCTGTCATTAAATTTATCTAATGAAATAAATAGATAAACAGATACTGTCTCTCCCTCTGATGGGGATGTGTTGATGGTGTTCTTAGGAGAGGACCGTGTGGAAAACTTGCCTCTGAGGCCCCCAGGCCTAAGGTCCTCCATCCTCCCATGGAGGCTGTTTGCTGTCGCACTGGAGGAATGCTTTTCCTCTTAGGACAATCATGGCTTGTAGCAGAGCAGGAGACTGCATTGGTCAGGGGATTCCGAGTGGATCTACATGGCTGGGTTTAAGTCCCAGCTCTGCCAATTGTCAAGGCTGTGATACTAGGCAAATACTTCTCCTGAGCCTCAGTTTATTCTGTAAAATGAGGGTGACAGGCCGGATGTGGTGGCTCATGCCTGTAATCCCAGCACTTTGGGAGGCCAAGGTGGGCAGATCACTTGAACCCAGGAGATTGAGACCAGCCTGGGGAACATGGTGAAACTCTGTCTCTAAAAAGATTACAAAATTACCAGGCATGGTGGCACACACCTATAGTCGCGGTTACTTGGGAGTCTAAGGTGGGAGGATTGCTTGAGCCTAGGAGGCAGAGGTTGTAGTGAGTTGAGGTCATGCTGCTGCACTCCAGCCTAGGCGACAGGGCCAGACCATGGCTCAAATTAAAAAAAAAAAAAAAAGAAAAGAAAAGAGAGTGCCAGGCATACCCTTCTTACAGGGAAGTGAGAGGTAAAGGAGAAAATGCAGCAGATGCTTGCCCCTGTCTCTGGCTGAACTTGGACAGATTCAAAAGAGGGAAATACAAGGTTTTGAAGAAATTAGGAGCTCAGAACAGGGCTGATCAGAACTCTAGGAGAGGCTGGGCACAGTGGCTCATGCCTGTAATGCCAGCACTTTGGGAGGCTGAGGCAGGCAAATCACCTGAGGTCGGGAGTTCTAGACCAGACAGGACAATATGGCGAAGTCTCATCTCTACTAAAAATACAAAAAATTAGCCAGTCATGGTGGTACATGCCTGTAATCCCAGCTACTCAGGAGGCTGAGGCAGGAGAATCACTTGAACCCGGGAGGCAGAGGCTGCAGTGAGCAGAGATCGTGCCATTGCACTACAGCCTGGGCAACAAGAGGGAAACTGTCACAAAACAAAAACAAACAAACAAAAAACTCTGGGAGAGACCTCCATTCAAGAGTATGGTCCAAGGCATTGGGTACCTGTTGTGAGGGCTCAGAGCTCAGGAGTAAAGCAGCCCAGGCTATCAGCTGGGGTGGAGGGATAACCTGTGGCCCACTTTTGCTTGGTCTTTGTGCAGAAGAGTCTGCATCTCAGGTCCATCCCTCTCACCTCCAGCTTGCCCTGAGTACAACTTAGAACCATTGTGTGGATGGTGGGCAGCAGGAATTGTCCTGGACAGGCCCCTCCCTGGTTTGGTCAGCCCTGCTTGAATGGGGTCTTTGCGAGGAATCTTTTCAGAGGCTGTCATCTCTAGAAGGTTGGCCAACAGGTGGAGATGAACACAGCAGTTACTTTGGTTAAGAAAAGTGGCGAAAAACTATAGTGCAGCCCATTGCATTCTGGGTTAGCCTCTCATAGTTATAAAGAATGCAAAACCCTGTCCTATTGGAAGCGACTTGCTGGCAAAAGAATTCCTCCCTGTCCCCAAGTTTCCTCTGGTTACTGCTTTGCTATGTCGTCTTTCTGTCCCTCCACTGCCTGGCAGCTTGGAAGAAGCCAGTATGTTCCTACAGCTCTAACCCAGAGCAAATCTTCTCTGAAAACGCCAGGAAGTTGGACATGAGCAAGAATTTTAAAATCATTTTGGAACTGTGAAAATTGAGATATGATTGTCCTGTTCTTGTCTTACCTAACTAAAACAGAGAGGCCGAAAGTAAAATGCACTAGGGTACATAACATTGTTCCAAGAATGTAATTCTCTGTGAGGCTGGCTGCTGAAACTGTGGGCTGTCACCTGAAACCAGTTTTATCTAATGGCTGCCGAAACCTGCTATGATTCTAAGAATAGTTTCACCCATTGCTGTCACTGAACAGTCAAAACCTGCCAGCTCTCCACATTCTTACTGTGCCAACGAATTTTTTCAAAGAGCAATACAACTTTTTTTTGTTGTTTTTTTTGGAGACAGGGTCTCACTCTGTCACTCAGGCTGGAGTACAGTGCGTGGTCACAGCTCACTGCAGTCTCAACCTTCCAGGCCCAACCGATCCTCCTGCCTGAGCCTCCTGAGCACACCACCATACCTGGCTATTTTTATTTTTAATTTTTTTGTGCAGACAGAGTCTCCCTGTGTTGACCAAGCTAGTCACAAACTACTTGACTCAAGGGATCTTTCCACCTCGGCCTCCCAAAGTGCTAGGATTACAGGCATGAGCCATGATGCCTGGCCCAACATTAAAAAAAAATAAAACCTCTAACCTTCTCTTTGTTCTTCAGACATAGACCATCCAGTCTGTGCATATGCTTTGAATTGTAATTCTTTCCAAGTAAAACATTTTTCGAGGTGCAGTTGCTCATATCTCTAATCCCAGCACTTTGGGAGGCCAAGGTGGGAGGATGGCTTGAAACCAGGAGTTCCAGACCAGCCTGGATAACATAGCAAAACCTCATCTCTACAAAAACTAAAAAATTAATTGTATGTGATAGCACACAGCTGTAGTCCCAGGTACTCAGGAGGCTGAGGTGGGAGAATTGTTTGAGCCCAGGAGTTCGAGGCTACAGTGAGGTGTGATCACACCACTGCACTCTAGCCTGGGCAACAGAGCCAGACCCTGTCTCAAAAAATAAAGAAACAACAACAACAAAAATTTTAATCTGAGAGATTTTTCTCTATATTTTATTTGACTTCAACAGAACTATTTCATGTTGTCTTTTTTTCCAGGCAGTTTTGCATTTGTGCCTTTTGTAGAAGAAAGTATCATTAATTGTTTTTCTGGCAGGATGGAAGACGTTAAAGTTAAAAATTGAGAGAAAATCAGTCTGATGATGGGTTAGAGCAGAGGCTGTGGGCTCCCTCAGTGACTCGGCAGGTAGAGTGGAACTCCCGGCAGAAAGAGATGTTGCATCCTACACGAGAGGCCCACAGCCTCCCCTTGCCACCTGAAAATGAGGCAGGCGGTGCCAGCAGCGTGACCCTCTGGAGTAGGGTGGCGGATCAGTGTCAATTATTCAGCATTTGGTTGACATTCAGGCACAGCTTGGTGGGAGGAATTGGATGAAAATGCTACTCTAGAGTTGAGTATGTGGTAGAGATAGGCTCCTGATGCTGTGCTATGAGGCTGAGGGAACCAGGAGGAACCATAGAATCACAGCCTTCCATAGGGGTGAGGTTGAGAGGGTCTAATCCATCTAAGGAGAAACAAGCTGAAGAAGGTAGCCTAGGCTGGCTGTTTGAATCGTAATCATGCTCATTTTGGAGGAGAGTAGAAAACAGCCATGACTATTTGGGATGTGCATGACTTTTCACTTCATACTGGCGATGGGCCCACTCTACTGTCCTTGATCTGGGGTCTCCCCTGCTCCACTTCACCAGAATTTCAGAAACTCAGGCTGGGTCTCCTCCTGGCCATTCTAGCACCATTCAAAAGTAATCCCCCCACCTTCCTGATCCTCCACACCTGTTTCTCCCCTTTTCCCTCTAGACAAAAAGTCTCATTTTTTGTAACTATATCTCCCACTTCTTCAATTTCAGTCCTCTCCACTAACAAAGTTGCTTTGTTTGTAAATCTATCTCCCAGCTCTTCAACTTCCCCTCAGTTACTGGCTGGTGCTCCTTGTTCCTTTCCTTTGTCATTCCTCTTGTGGGGGAAGATCAGCATTCTGTTTGCATTTGGACATTTTCTCCCCACCTTCTGACCTTTCCATCTTGGCGCACTCTCTGTCAATGGGGGCATTGACTGTTGCCACCATCTTGGTTGCTTTTCTGTGTGACCCTCAGGTCCATGGCTTCTCCCTGGTCTGTCCCTCACCATTACCCCGACTCCCAACTCATTTTATTATGGTTGGGACTCTGTCTCCTGTTTTACAAAATGAATTCACCTTATTGCTTTATCCAATTATGAAAATACAGGGTGATTTAAAAATTCACATAGTGCAGAAAGACGTCAAAAAGAAGTAAACAGTTGTCTGAAATCATAGGCAAGGTGGCTGAACTCAACATTTTGGTGACTGAGAGGATAACGTTCCAGGTATGATGAAATTCTCACATGGATTACATAATTTTACATATAACTTAATTTATTATCTTTTCTGCTGTTTTACTCAACAATTTGTCCTGGGTTTTTACGTCAGTAAATATAAACACGTAATTTTAAAAGCTTTTGTGTCAGGAGTTTGAGACCAGTCTGGCCAACATGGTGAAACCCCTTCTCTACTAAAAATACAAAAATTAGCTGGGCGCAGTGGTGGGCGCCTGTAATCCCAGCTACTTGGGAGGCTGAGGCAGGAGAATCAGTTGGACCCGGGACGTGGAGGTTGCAGTGAGCTGAAATTGTGCCACTGCACCTCAGCCTGGGCAACAGAGTGAGACTCCATCCCTAATTTAAAACAACAGCAACAGAAAGTCTGAGCGTGGTGGCTCACACCTTTAATTCCAGCACTTTGGGAGGCCAAGATTGGTGGATCATCTCAGGTCAGGAGCTCAAGACCAGCGTGGCCAAAATGGTGAAACCCTGCCTCTACTAAAATTACAAAAAATTAGCCGAGCATTGTGGTACATGCCTGTAATTCCAGCTACTTGGGAGGCTGAGGCAGGAGAATCACTTGAACCCGGGAGGCGGAGGTTGCAGTGAGCTGAGATGGCACCACTGTACTCCAGCCTGGGTGACAGAACAAGACTCTGTCTGGGTGGGTGAGGTGGGGGTGTGGAGAAGCTTTTGTGGAACAGTTCAGAGGAACACAGAAGAAGAGACATTGTGCTAATGCCCTTCATCCCTGTTGCTGTCTTAGATAGCTGTCTGTGCATGGCCAGGGTAATCATTTCACTAAATAGTCATTAAATATTCTAGTTTGTATCTTTCAAAGATAACTTTATTTATTTATTTTTGAGACAGAGTCTTGCTCTGTCGCCCAGGCTGGAGTGCAATGGCAAGATCTCAGCTCACTGCAAACTCCGCCTCCCTGGCTCAAGCAATTCTCCTGCCTCAGCCTTAAGTAGCTGGGATTACAGACACCCACCACCACACCCAACTATTTTTTGATATTTTTAGTAGAGACAGGGTTTTGCCATGTTGGTCAGGCTGGTCTGGATCTCCTGACCTCAGGTGACCCACCCACCTTGGCCTCCCAAAATGCTGGGATTACAGGCATGAGCCACCACACCCGGCCTCAAAGAGAACTTTTAAAAAATACCCCAAATAGTTAACAATAATTCATTATTATTGTCACATAGGCAGTGTTCAGAGTCCCCTCGCTGTCTCAAAATTGGAAAAGTTTGTTTGTATCAGGGTCTAGATTATTTTTTAATGGCTGTGTGGGTACGCTATTTGGATGTACCCTCATTTTGTTGATGGACTGTGAACTGAATGTCATTTACATGGTGAAACCCTATCCTCCTAAAGGGATGGTGTTAGGAGGTGGGGCCTTTGGGAGGTGATTAGGGATGGATAAGGTCCTGAGGGCGAAGCCGCCACAATGAGATAAATTCTCTTAACAGAGGCCCCAATATGAGCTTGTTCTCTTTCCACCTTGTGAGAATGCAGCAAGGAGCCAGCCTCAGCAACCAGAAAGTGGGCCCTGATCATTGACTTCTACCCTCCAGAACCGTGAAAAATCATCTGTTGTTTGTAAGGCACCATGGCTTTGGAGCTTTGGTATAGCAGCCCGAAGAGACATCTAGGTTGTTTGCAATGGTTTGTCTTTATTTGACCATATCTATGATGAATATACTAGAATTGGTTTTGGCTCTTATTTACTCAGGCTGAAACTCCAGCTGGAGTTGCCCTAAAATTGTTGGCAGAGGAATTCCCACATGGGAGTGCCCCAGTCCCTATGGAAATGGGACTTGTTGGGACTCCAAAGAAGGAAGCACCAAGCTCCAGGGTGATTGGTTCAAAGTGTTCATTAGGGGAACTTACTGGGTGCTGTCACATGTGCCCGGATAGACACCCAGAGAAAAGGATGTTCTGCTTAGGTATGTCCCTGTCAAGGGTGTCACAGTATGGAGTTTATAGGAAAGGTTCAGGAATTTGGCTCAGGGCCGGTGCCAGTTTCTTTCCACATTTTGGGTAATAATCCAAACATCTTTGTTAGTGCCTGGGAATATTCACGGCCCCAGCTTGGGTTCAACCTTGTGAGAGAAATGCAGCTGCCCAGCTCACAGAGCAGTCAAAGCACGTGGTGTTTCTTGGTCAGGACAGGAGAGAAAGGGGGAGAACTGGGGGACCTCACAGCTCCTCTTGCCAGGTTCTCGGAGGTGGAGTTACAGGGTCACAGAGGAAGGACCGGGAGGGTTGGGCAGGAGCCTAGCACCAGAGCCGGGTTTGTCTCTGCTCACATCTCTGCCAGTCCAGCAGTGGAGGTTTTCCTTTTCATTTCTCTCAGTATAAATGGGATGGAATGCAGTGGCTTATGTTTTCACAGCTTAGTGTCTTTCGTGTATTTTCCCAGGAGGAGTTTGTGCTTTAATTGACTTAACAGTTCTTATCCAAAGCACCATGCCTGGCTAATTTTGTATTTTTACTAGAGATGGGTTTTCTTCATGTTGGTCGGGCTGGTCTCAAACTCCTGACCTCAGGTGTTCTGCCCACCTCAGCCTCCCAAAGTGCTGGGATTACAGGCGTGAGCCACTGCGCCCGGCCCTCAAGGGTTCTTATGACTGAAAAAACCTGAATGTGAATGATCACATACTATAGAATGCACAGCTATTAAGTATAGAGCTGAGTGATTTTTAAAAATCTTGCACACTTGTGTCACTACCACCCAGGTGACGCTACAAGCCATACAAGATCCTCCCGGGCAGTGCCCTCCCTCTTGGGGGGTTTGCTTCTCATGCTCAATGTCAAGCCTATGAGAAGTCAACTATGCTTCCAACAGTAATACCTTGTTCCCCGAACGTACCTCCTTTGTCCATTCTTCTACTGTTAAAGGAGTTTGATTATTTCCCATTTTTGGCAATGACAACAAACTAGTTTTGAACATCTTGCCACAGGCTTTGGTGTACATCTGTGTGTGCTCCTGTTGAGTATTTAAACAGGGTGGCACAGCGGGGTGGTAGGGCAAGTGGTGAGCCCATGGGGTCTCCCTCGCATGCCCAACAGTTTTTCAGAGTATGCAGCACGTGGGAGCCTTTTCCTGTTCCTTGGTTACCAGCATGTGGTGTCACTGCACAACAGCTTTTAGCCATTTTGTTTGGTGTGCGTTGGTTAGCACTGGGGTTTCGATTTGCATTTCGTAGTAATTAAGCATGTTGAGCACTTTTTCTTGTGCTTACTGGCTTTCAAATGACCTTTATTGTCAGATGCCTGTTACAGTCTCTTGTCCACTTAAAAGAGTGGGTTGTTTGGCTGGGCACGGTGACTCACGCCTGTAATCCCAGCACTTTGGGAAACTGAGATGGGATGATGGCTTGAAGCCAGGAGTTCACAACCAACCTGGGCAACACAGCAAAGACCCCATATTGACCAAAGCCTGGGCAACAGATCCCATCTCTTAAAAAAGCGGGGGGCTATTTTTCTTTGTATAGTGATTTGTAGGTCTTCTTTGTCTATATTCGACATAATCCTGGGTCATGTCTATGTATTGCAAGTATGTCCTCCCTGTCTCTGGCTTGCTTTTAATAAAATTTTTTTTGAGACGGAGTCTTGCTGTGTCGCGAGGCTAGAGTGGAGTGGCACGATCTCAGCTCACTGCAGCTTCTACCTCCTGGGTTCAAGCGATTCTCCTGCCTCAGCCTCCTGAGTAGCTGGGACTACAGGCACGTGCCACCACACCAGCTAATTTTTGTATTTTTTTTTTTTAGTAGAGACAGGGTTTCACCATGTTGGCCAGGATGGTCTCGATCTATTGACCTCATGATCCGCCTGCCTCGGCCTCCTGAAGTGCTGGGATTACAGGCATGAGCCACCACGCCTGGCCTGCTTTTAAAAAATTGTTAAGGGTTTATTTTAATGAAGAGATTATTGATTGATTGTTCTGCTTATTTCTATTGAAACATTGCTTCTGCGCTAGTCTCTTTTTCCTTCTTCCATTCAAATTACTCATTTGTTAGTGCTTTTTACATCATTCTGTGTGCCTTAGTTTTTTGTTTTTGTTTTTGTTTATTTTTTTGAGACAGAATCTTGCTCTGTCGCCCAGGCTGGAGTGCAGCATCATGATCTTGGCTCGCTGCAATCTCCGCCTCCCGGGTTCAAGCAATTCTCCTGCCTCACTTCCCGAGTAGCTGGGATTATAGGCGCCCACCACCACGCCTGGCTAATTTTAGTACTTTTTAGTAGAGACAGGGTTTCACCATGTTGGCCAGGCTGGTCTTGAACTCCTGACCTCAGGTGATCCACCCACCTCGGCCTCCCAAAGTGCTGGAATTACAGGCGTGAGCCACTGCGCCTGGCCTAAAAAATTATTTTTAGAGAGACTGCATCTCATTCTGTTGCCTAGGCTAATCTTGAACTCCTGAAACCTGGATATTTTCTCTAGCTTTGTCTCATGTACAGCAGGTCTGTCTCTTGAGACCTCATCTCACTTTTGTCAGACTCCAATAGTTAGAAGCAAGTCAATAGATCAGCCCACCAGTAGATCAGCCCTCACAAAGGGAAGGCTTTAGATGAGGCCATGAATTCCTGATAGCAGGATGGTTGGGCCATTCCAGAGGTCTGCACACCTTACCTGTGGGAGTGAGATTTCTTTCAGGCCTGCTTTCCGTAGTGCCAAGGGAGCTACTGGCCACTCTAGGCTGGGGTTCTCACAGCTGAGCCCCAGAGCAAACTTCCCCTTCAAGAACCTTGTGTTGGAACTGCCTGAGTCCGTGGCCAGATAGAAGAAAGATGCCTCTTGTCTGTGGGCTGTACTCATTCTGGAGTCTGAGGGAGTGTCTAAGTGCCTACATAGGCGCCGCAAGAATGGGTTAAGCAGAGACAGTTCTCATAAGGAGAATCTGGGTGCTGTTGCAAGGAGGGCCAGGGGCTCCAGTGGGGCACAAACAACTGAGGCATTGGCATCAGGTTCCCATTGATGAAGCAGTTATTTGTAGTATTGGTCTGTCTCTTTTCCAGGGCTCCCCAAAATCTGTTTCTTTTTTCTTTCTTTTTTTTTTTTTTTTTTGACATGGAGTCTCACTCTGTGACCCAGGCTGGAGTGCAGTGGCACAATATCAGCTCACTGCCACCTCTGTCTACTGGGTTTCAGTGATTCTCCTGCCTCAGCCTCCTGAGTAGCTAGAACTCCAGGCGTGAGGTACCACACCCGTCTAATTTTTGTATTTTTAGTAGAGATGGAGTTTTGCCATGTTGGCCTGGCTAGTCTCAAACTCCTGACCTCAAATGATCTGCCTGTCTCGGCCTCCCAAAGTGCTGGGATTACAGGTGTGAGCCACTGTGACTGGTCCCAAATCTGTTTCTCAGCTTCTCAAAATCACACCCAAAACTTGTGGTATTGATTAAAAATGCATGTATTATGCATTTTAATTTGCAATATTAGTATATTAGTGTTTTCTGCTTTATAACATGGGATATGTTTCTTCCAGTCATTAAATATATCCCTCAATGAAGTTAGGTAGCTTTCTTCTTGGCTCTGCGTACTTTTTAATATTACAATTATTCCTGGGTATTTTATTTTTGGATGGATAATGTGAAAATGATTTAATTTTTCATTTTTTCTACCACATTATTGGTCATGTACAGGCAAGCTATTGATATAATATTTTTTCTGTTGATGTTCATGGGGGCAAAGTGTGATGAATTTGCATGTGTCTTTCTGTTACCTTGTGGAACTGGTGCAGCCACCATCAGGTGGCTTCAGCATTCCTGCCTGTCTCAGTGCTTCTGACCTTTGACTAGTTAATCATGATGCTGGTTATGGAGCTGCGATGTACATGTGGGTAAAAACTTGTTCAGTTAGAGTGGGCGTTAACCTTATCAAGTGCGTTCCTGAGGCAGTGTGGCCAGTAGTATGTGCAGATTTCTAACGTGTCCGTGTGTGGCTTTGTCTCCAGTTCCCTATTAGTAGATGTTTTCAATGTGCCTGGTCATAAATATCTACAAATGAGATTGGTTGTAATGTTCTTGTTCTGTGGCCTCATTTTCAGATTTTTGTATCATTATTATACTTTTTAAAACCTCTCCTCTTCCATACTGTTATTTGGCCCCCCGGCTTGGTGTTTTCTTACTTTCCTGCTAGAACATCACCTGCATTTCAGCTAAGAAGCCACTGCCTGGGGGCCAGATCCCACCCACTGCCTGTTCTTGTCAGCAGTTTTGTTGTTGTTGTTGTTGTTGAGACAGAGTCTTGCTCTGTCTCAACACAGGCTGTCACAGGCTGTCTGTCAGAGGCTGGAGTGCAGTGGCACAATCTCGGCTCACTGCAAGCTCTGCCTCCCGGGTTTACGCCATTCTCCTGCCTCAGCCTCCCGAGTAGCTGGGACTACAGTTGCCCGCCACTACACCCGGCTAATTTTTTGTATTTTTAGTAGAGATGGGGTTTTGCCATGTTAGCCAGGATGGTCTTGATCTCCTGACCTTGTGATCCGCCTGCCTCGGCCCCCAAAAGTGCTGGGATTACAGGTGTCAGCCACCGCACATGGCCTCTTGTCAGTAGTTTTTTATTGGAACATCGTTTTATTAGAACTCAACCATGATGATTTGTTTACAGTCATCTTTGGCTGCTTTCTTGCCACAGTGGCATAGTTGAGAACTTGTGATGAGGACTCGAGGACCCTCAAGCCTGAATTATTTATGGGGTAGCCCTTTAAGAAGAAGTTTTTGACCCTCTGCTTGCATCTCCCTGACCCCTCCCAGGCCTATTCAGTCTAGACTGCAGGGCACTTGCTTCAGCACTTTTCTTAGCTGGCAAAATTCCTGCCCTTACAGTTTATGGTTCAGTGGGGGAATAATAGGTAATAAAGAATAAGTATAGTGTACAGTAAATTAGAAAGTGCAAGAAGAGTCAAGCTGGGAGGAGTGAGCAGAAGTGGGAGGCTTGCACAGGCCACACTGAGGTTCTGGGTTTGTGCCCAGTTTGGCTGCTCTTCCACCTGTGTGCTGGCCCCACATTTCTTCCCCACAGGGACCTTCCAGAGTGGACTGTCTTCTCGCCTCTTTTCATCAGTGCCTTCCTTGGTGGCCTGTGGATCCCCAGAGGAAGAGTCTCCTGGACTGAGCACATGGGCGTGGTCACCACAGGGCCATGTGGCCAAAGTGTTGAGTGGTTGGGAGGGGAAGCTGGAGGGGGAGTAGTGGGAGACAGTGTGGGTGGGCACCATCTCCTTTCTGCAGAGTCTCTTTCTTGCTTAGGAGTTTGCACCTGTTGTGTGGGCAATGAGCGCAACTTCAGGGTTATGAGAATTGTGGTCACTTGTGCATTTTTTTAAAAAGGTAGCAGTAATAGGACCCTCTTCCAGGACTGTATTAAATCAGTGGCATTTGTAAAGCCTGGACCTCAATGAGCAGTAGAAAGATTTGCTAAATGAAGCAAAGTTATCATATTCAAATTTGTGGTTCTCTGCTGGGCACGGTGGCTCACACCTGTAATCCCAGCACTTTGGGAGGCCGAGGCAGGTGGATCACCTAAGATCAGAAGTTCGAGACCAGCCTGCCAACGTGGCAAAACCTGGTCTCTACTAAAAATACAAAAAATTAGCTGGATGTGGTGGCAGGTGCCTATAATCCCAGCTACTTGGGAGGCTGAGGCAGGAGAATCACTTGAACTTGGGAGGTGGAAGTTGCAGTGAGCCGAGGTCACACCATTGCACTCCAGCCTGGGCAACAAGAAACTCCGTCTCAAAAAAAAAAAAGAAAAAAAACACAAATTTTTAGTTCTCATTTTTAATTGCTTTGG
The DNA here is from genome assembly GCF_000001405.40 of Homo sapiens. NCBI lineage: Eukaryota > Metazoa > Chordata > Mammalia > Primates > Hominidae > Homo > Homo sapiens. The sequence goes on from NC_000002.12 coordinate 186,978,494, forward strand.
CTTTTTCTAGCAGTGATTTTTTTGGGAACATGTGTTTTACTTTTATTGCCGCTACTAATGGTATAGTTTAATAAAAGATAGAAGAGAATAGTTAACTTTTATTTCCAGTAACTACAAACACAAATGGTTGAGCATGGTTTTTCTAAGAAAAATTAAGGATAGTTCTAGCTGAGTACATTTGCCATCAGTTAATGCATTGATTTTTTTGACAGCTTGACTTCTTGGTAGGTTTGCATCTTGAGTATAAATTCTTCATAGGAAAATAAGTCCAGAGCACTTATCTTTAAAAAATAGCAATTTCAGCAACTCATTTAAAAAATATAACAATTTGTGTTTTGATGCTGATTATCAAGTTCTTGTAGGTGATAGCCTAAGTGCTACAAAGTGTAAGGAAGAAAGACTCCTGTGAATGGCATGTTTCAGGTGGTGTAACGAATAATTTTTTGAAGTCCGTATTTGTGGTTGTATGATTGACTAAACATTAACCTGTAAGACTGACTTAACATTAAATCATAATGAAGCTATAATTGGATGTACATTCTTGTATTGATAATTGTGTTAATCGATTAAGTTGTTGGATGACCTTGGACCATCTTAATGTTTAAAGTGACAGTGGGAACAAGACTCACATAGGACAGGACATGGGAGGTTACAAACCAGGGCCTCGGATCGTGCGAGGCTCACACAGGATTGTCAGGAGCGCGGTAGAGCTCACAATTTTTTGCTGTGTAGATAGGTATTAAAGTTTTTTGCTTGGATTTTTTTTGTTTTGTTATTTTTATTGTGTTTATTTTTCCAAATATATTGGATCCAAGGTTGTTTGAATCTCAGGATGCAGAGGACCGACTCTATTAGAAACTGATTTCTGTGAGCAACAACATAATGGGATTTATAAAGCTGGTTACAACAGCAGGCATTGCTGTAGTCCCTGCGCGGGGCTGTGTGTGGGTGCGCTACATCCTTGGGCATTGTCCCTCTGTAATGGGGCCCAACTTGCTGGAGTTCCATTGAGGCAGGCCTCAGCACTAGGCAGTGAACAGATCCCGTTTCTGAGGTGTCTTCTACATGTTCTGCTGCCACGGGGATGACAAGCAACCTCGGCTCCACCCGTCTGCAACAATGTGTAAAGCCAATTCCCTACTGAAGGCAGGGAATGCCACCACCTCCCACCTGCAGTCCCTGACCCTGTGCAGTTTACACAGTGTCCCTTCATTCGTAAGTTGTCACGTGAAGAAAGAAGTCAGTAGCAAAGTGACCCTCTTATGGAGTTATGAAATGGGGTTGCTATGGGGAACAATGATCTGCAGGGGACCCTGGGGGCTGGCATGGCCTTAACACTAAGCAAGTGAGAAGGCAGCCATCCTTTGACAGCTACTGTTTGTCCAGCATGAAGGTAAGTTAGTCCCAGTGACTCCAGTAGACCACGATGGTGATAATGTAAGAGGGGCACTAACTTGACATAAAGGCCTTATATGTGCTGCACTAAGAGCTTCACAGATACATACTCACCTGCCTGGTCTCACCCAGCATGACTTATCACGGTTTCATCAACCTAGATTTACCCATCTGCCTTATTAACATCCTGGCCATAATCATCCGGTATTACTTTCCAAGCCTTATGCACCAGGTTGAACACTTGGTAACCTGGACTTACCCTACTGGCATTAGCCTCATGTCCTTACCAACCTGATTACCCAACTAACAGGCTTAACCAGTTGGCCTTCACAATTATACTCAACCTTCAGGTCTTGCTTACCTGTCCTAGCCCCACTGGCCTTTACCTAGTGTCATTAGTCACTGGATATTCCCCTGGCCTTACTCTTCTGGTCTTCACCTATTGGCCTTTCCCACCTGGTCTTACCCACCTGGCCTTACTCACTAGGACTTAACTACTTGTCCTTTATTAAACTTACAGGCTTACTTACCTGCCGTATTCACCTTCGCAGCCTCAACTAGCATGACTTAATCTGCTGGCCTCATATCCATCTGAGTTTAATCATCTAGCTTTATTCAGCTATCCTTCACCTTCTAGCTTTCCTCTCACTGTCTCACCCACCCAATATTAGCCTCCTGTCATTATTTAGCTGGCGTAGTGACTAGGTTTTAATGCTCCTGGCTGTTTCTCCTTGATTGACTGGCCTGGTGTTACTCAAATAGTTTTTTATTCAGCTGGATTTACACACCTGGTTTAACAACCTTTCCTTACTCAGTAGACTTATTAACCTCACTGCCTCAATCACCTTATTTTCCTGGTGTTGTTAGACAAGCTTAATCCATGTGGCCCTATATCAAACTCCTGGCCTTACTGACACAGGCTTCATTGCCTAACCTAAAAGTCTCGGCCTTACCCACCTCGCCATAATTTCCCGCCGTCATTCACCTATTCTCACCCACTTGGCTAACTTTGTTGGTCTTAATCTGCCATCAAGATGCACCTGATCTTACCCACGAGCCCTTACTCCTCTGTCCTTATACCCTGGGCTTAACGCCCTCTCTGGTGAGACCCCAGGAGCCTCCCTCACTGGGCTTAACCTTATGGGCTTTAACCTCATAGCCTTAACAAATTGGATTAACTGCCTGGTTTTCCCACCTAGTCTTACCAAACGTGGCCTTCACACTTGGTGTATACAGCTGTCCTTAACCCCTGGTTAACCATATTATTAACCTTATAGCCATACTCACCTGCCCTCTTCAGCTGCCTGGCCCCAGCCAGCATGACTTAATCTGCTGGCTTTATACCCTACTGGTGTTTACCACCTGGTTTATTCAGCTGGCCTTTACATCCTTACCTTCCCCACAGTCTTACCCACCTAACAGTTTCCTCTAGTCATCATATGACTGGCTTGGCAACTTGCTCTTAACCCTACCAGGTGTTTCCCCTGTTGATTTCACAGACTGGGTTACTGAAATAGTCCTTAATTGAGCTGTATTTAGACACCTGGTTTTAACAACCAGGCCGAACTCAGCCAACCTTAATCTGATTGCGTTCATCACCTTATTTTATCCTCATTGTATGACGAACTTGACGTTATCCATCTGGCCTTATTAACTTCCTGGCCCTACTTGCCCAGTGTTCATGACTTTGCCTAAAAATCCTGGCCTTACCCGCCTGGCCATAACTTCCTGCCATTGTCCACGTGTTCTTACTCACCTGGTTTTAATTCGCTGGCCTCAATCTCCTGTCAAGACCCAGCTGATTTTACTCACTAAGGTTTACCCACGTGGCTTATGAAGCTCCTGCCATTGCTCCCCTGCCCTTTCTTTCTGGCCTTATCCACATCATTTTATGGCCCTGGCCAGACCCGATTAGACTTCCCTACCTGGCCTAACCCTATGGGTCTTAACCTCAAGGCCTTGATAACCTGGATTAGCTACCTAGTTTTCCCACCTAGTCTTACTGATTATACATGATGAACATGGCCTCCACCTTGGTTTTTGCAACTGTCCCTAGCCTTCTGGTTTTATCTAACAGGAATTAAGCCCCTGGATTTATCTCTCTAGGTTTTCTCCTTTGGTTTTATCATCAACATTCCCTTTTTCCCTAGTTTTACCACCAACTCCTTGCTCCAGCTGCAGCCACAGTGCCCTATTTAGACATTTTACATTGCCCACCTGGCTTTAAACTCATTACCTTCCCAATCTAGATGACCAACTTAGCTTAGTAAGCTGGCATTCGCACCTGACCTTAACCTTTCATTCTAAGTCATGTGGCCTTAACATCCTGACCCTGTTTACCTAGTATTAACCTCTATTAACCTCTTCACATTACCCAGGTGGAGTTAGCCACCTAGCTCTATTTAGGAAGGCCTTAACTTACTGGCCTAAGCCACCCAGACTATTCAATCACTTGGCTTCCTAAATTGGTTGTAACTTCACGTTTTTGCCAACTTACATTTACCCACCTGCCTTATGAAACTCTTGGCCTTACTCATCTAGTATAAATCTTCTGTCCTTAACCTTCTAGTTGTATCTACGAAGGCTTAACCCATTGGATTTACCTCCCTAGGTTCACTCCCCTAAACTTATCACCCTTTACTTATTCCTGAGATTCCTGGACATAGACACCTTGCATTACTCATCTGGATTTACCCACCTGGCCTTAACCTCATGGCCTTACCATCCAGGATTACCAACTTAGCTTACCTCCCTGGCCTTCCTGCCTGGCCTTAACGTTCCATTCTAACTTACATGGCCTTAACCTTCTGGCCTAATGTGCCTAAACTCTTTGCTTTACCCACTTAAACTCAGCCACCTAGTTGTATTCAGGGAGATCTTAACTTGCTGGTCTTACCCATCTGGCTTTTTAAATAGTTTGGCTTCCTGACCCGGCCTTAACCTCATGGTTTTGCCAACTTAGATTTACCCACCTGCCTTATGAACCTCCTGGCCTTACTCATTCAATATTAATCCCCTGGCCTTGTGAATCTGACTTACCCACTTGGCCTTACCCTACGGGCCTTAACATCATGTCCTTACCAACCAGAATTACCCAGCTGATTTTACCTACCCAGCCTTACCCTGTTGTCCTTCACAATTAGTCTCAATTTTCTTGTCTTATTTAGCTGTCCCACCCCTACTGGCCTTAACCTAGTGTCATTATCAGCTTTCCCAGCCCCTGGCTTTACTTTCCTGGCCTTTACCTATTGGCCTTCCCACATGACTGTATTTTCTTGTCCTTACCCACTTGGCCTTGTGCAAGTACTGGCTTCACCCAATAGGCCTTCTGCAACCAACATTATTAACCCGACAGCCATACTCACCTGCTGTATTCACCTGCCTGGCCTCAGCTGGCATAACATGATTTAATCTGTTGGGCTCATACCCATCTGGTGTTGACTACCTCGTTTTATTCAGCAGACCTTCACTTCCTCACCTTCCCCGCACTGTCTTGCCCACCTAGTATTAGTTTCCTTTCATCATTTAGCTGGCTTGGCAACTTGGCATTTAACCTACTGGGAATGTCTCCATTGATTTACTGGCCCGGGGCTACCCAAATAGCCTTTTATTCAGCTAAATATAAATGCGTGGTTTTAACAACCTGGCCTTACTCACCAGATGTTATTAACCTCGTTTTCTTAATTACTTTACCCTCATGGCATTATTAAACAAACTTCATTCATGTGGCTCTATGAAATTCCTGCCCTTACTGACCTAAGCTTAATTTCTTGTCCTTACTAAATGTCTTGGCCTTATCTACCTGACATAACTTCTCGCCATTATCCTCTTGTTCTTACCCAGCTGGCTTTAATTTCCTGGCCTCAATCTGCTGTCAAAACCTACCAGCTCTTGCCCATGGTGCCTTACTGCCCTTTCTCTACTCCCTGGCCTTACCCATCACATTTTATTTATTTATTTTTTGAGGAGGAGTCTCCCTCTGTCACCAGGCTGGAGTGCAGTGGCGCAGTCTCGGCTCACTGCAACCTCCAACTCCCTGGTTTAAGCAATTCTCCTGCCTCAGCCTCCCGAGGGGCTGGGATTACAGGCCTGTGCCACCACGCCTAGCTAATTTTTGCATTTTTAGTAGAGACGAGGTTTCACCATGTTGGCCAGGCTGGTCTTGAACTTCTGTCCTCAAGTGATCCACCTGCCTCGGCCTCCCAAAGTTCTGGGATTACAGTCGTGAGCCACTGCACCTGGCCAACCCACCTCATTTTATCACCCTTGACAGAACCCATTAGCTTTCCACACCTAGCCTAAACCTATGGTCCTTAACCTCATGGTCTCAACAACCTGGATTATCTACCTAGTTTTCCCACCTAGTCTTACCCATTGTGGGTTTCATGCTAAGTTTATACAACTGTCCTTAACCTTCTAGTTTTATTTACCAGGGCTTAGCCCCTGGTCTTATTTTCCTAAACTTACCTCCCTAGGTTTCCTCCCCTGGACGTATTTCCCTGCCCTTATTACCTGGATTTCCCACCGCACCCTAACTTAACACACCTTACATTTCCCATTTGGACCTACCCATCCAGCCTTCACCTCATGGCTTCAATAGCTTACCAACCTGGCCTTTTCATCTAGCCTTATCCTTTCATTCTTAGTCACATGGCCTCAACCTCCTAGCCTAATCTGCCTGGCATTAACCTCTCAGCCTTACCCAGTTGGAGTTACCACCTAGCTGTATTCAGTGGCCTTAACTTACTGGCTTTACACACCTGGCTTTTTCAATGGCTTGGCTTCCTGACCCGGTGTTAACCTCATGGTTTTGCCAAAATAAATTTACCCAGCTGCCTATTAACCTCCTGACCTTACTCATTCAGCATTATTCTGCTGGCCTTATGCACCTGGCTTACCCACCTGGCCTTACTCTGCTGGCCTTAACCTTATGTCCTTACCAACCCGAATCACCCGACTGATTTTATCTACTCAGCCTTACCCATTTGGCCTTCACGATTAGTCCCAGTTTCTGGTCTTACTCACATCTCTCAACCCTACTGGCCTTAACCTAGTGGAATTATCCTCAGTCCTGACCCTTGGCCTTACTTTCCCGGCCCTCACCTATTGGCATTTCCCTATGGCCTTAAACACTAGGCCTTCCCCACCCAACCTTATTAACCTTAGGGCCATACTCACCAGCCATGTTCACCTGCCTGGTCTCAGACAGCATGATTTAATCTGCTGGCTTCATGCCCAACTGGTGTCAACTCCCTAGTTTTATTCAGCTCGACTTAACCTCCTCACCTTCCCTTCACTGTCTTACCCACCTAGTATTAGCCACCTGTCATTATTTGGCTGGCTTGCTGACTTGGCCTTAACTCTCCTGCATGTTTCTGCTATTAATTTACCAGCCTGGTGTTACCCAAATAGTCTTTTATTCAGCTGGATTTATACACCTGGTTTTAACAACCTGGCCACACTCAGCCAAAGTTACTAACCTTCTTACCTTCATCACCTTATCTTGTCCACATGGTATTAGGAGCCTGGCATTATCCGTCTGACCTTATTAACCTCCTGGCCTTACTCACCCAGACTTAATTGCATGGCCTAAAAGTCCTGGTCTTACACTCCTGGCCATAAGTTCCCACCCACCATTATCCACCGGTCCTTATCCACCTGGCTTTCATTTGCTGGCCTCAATCTCTGGTCATGACCCACCTAATCTTGCCCCCCCAGAGGCCTTTGTCCCCTTCCTTTACTCCCTGGCCTTGCCCCACTCTTGTTACCCCTCTGGCCAGACGCATTAATCTTCGTCACCAGACCTAACCCTATGGGCCTTCACCTCATGGCCTCAACAACCTGCATTAGCAACCATGTTTTCCCACCTGGTCTTACCGATCATGCATGACCCAAATGGCCTTCACATTGGTTTACACAACTGTCCTTAATCTTCTGGTTTTATCTACCAGGGCTTAACCCCTGGATTCACCTCTCTAACGTTTACTCCCCTAACCTAATCTGCCTGCCCTTATTCCCTATATTTAACTCCCACCCCCGGACTTAGAAACTTTGCATTAGCCATCTGGACTTACCCATATTGCCTTAACCTCATGGGTTTACTAACCTGGTGACCAACATAGCTTACCAACCTGGCCATCCCACCTGGCCTTTACCTTTTGTTCTATTATTATTATTATACTTTATGTTCTGGGATACATGTGCAGAACATGCAGGTTTGTTATGTAGGTATACACGTGCCATGGTGGTTTGCTGAACCTGTCAAGCCATCATCTACACTGGGTATTTCTCCCAATGCTATCCCTCCCCTAGTCACCCACCCCCCGATAGGCCCCAATGTGTGATGTTCCCCTCCCTGTTTCCATGTATTCTCATTTTTCAACTCCCAATTATGAGCGAAAACATGAGGTATTTCGTTTTCTGTTCTTGCGTTAGTTTGCTGAGAATGATGGTTTCCAGCTTCATCCATGTCCCTGCATAGGACGTGAACTCCTCCTTTTTTATGGCTGTGTAGTGTTCCATGGTGTAAATGTGCCACATTTTGTTTATCCAGTCTACCATTGATGGGCATTTGGGTTGACTCCAAGTCTTTGCTGTTGTTAACAGTGATGCAATAAATGTATGTGCGCATGTGTCTTTATAGTAGAATGATTTATAATCCTTTGGTTATATCCCCAGTAATGGGATTGCTGGCTCAAATGATATTTCTAGTTCTAGATCCTTGAGGAGTTGCCACACTGTCTTCTACAATGGTTTACACTCCCACCAACAGTGTAAAAGCATTCCTATTTCTCCACATCCTCTCCAGCATCTGTTGTTTCCGGACTTTTTAATGATTGCCATTCTAACTGATGTGAGATGTTATCTCATTGTGATTTTGATTTGCATTTCTCTAATGACCAGTGATGATGAGCTTTTTTTCATATGTTTGTTTTTTTCTTGTAAATTTGTTAAAGTTCTTTGTAGATTCTGGATATTAGCCCTTTGTCAGATGGATAGATTGCAAAAATTTTCTTCCATTCTGTAGGTTGCCTGTTCACACTGATTATAGTTTCATTTGCAGTGCAGAAGCTCTTTAGTTTAATTAGATCCCAGTTGTCAATTTTAGTTTTTGTTGCCATTGCATTTGGTATTTTAGTCATGAAGTCTTTGCCCATGCTTATGTCCTGAATGGTATTGCCTAGGTTTTCTTCTAGAGTTTTTATAGTTTTAGGTCTTACATTTAAGTCTTTAATCCATCTTGAGTTAATTTTTGTATAAGGTGTAGGGAAAGGATCTAGTTTCAGCTTTGGGTAGCCAGTTTTCCCAATACCATTTTTTAAATAGGGAATCCTTTTCCCAGTGCTTGTTTGTGTCAGGTCTGTCAAAGATCAGATGGTTGTAGATGTGTGGCGTTATTTCTGAGGCCTCTGTTCTGTTCCATTGGTCTATATATCTGTTTTGGTACCAGTACCATGCTGTTTTTGTTACTGTAGCCTTGTAGTATAGTTTGAAGTCAGGTAGTGTAATGCCTCCAGCTTTGTTCTTTTTTCTTAGGATTGTCTTGACTATGTGAGCTCTTTTTTTGGTTCCATATGAAATTTAAAGTAGTTTTTTTTTTTCAATTCTGTGAAGAAAGTCAGTGGTAGCTTATTGGGGATAGCACTGAATCTATAAATTACTCTGGGTAGTATGGCCATTTTCACGATATTGATTCTTCCTATCCATGAGCATGGAATGTTTTTCCATTTGTTTGTGTCCTCTCTTATTTTCTTTAGCAGTGGTTTGTAGTTCTCCTTGAAGAGGTCCTTCACATCCCTTGTAAGTTGGATTCCTAGATATTCTCTTTGTAGCAATTGTGAATGGGAGTTCTCTCATGATTTGGCTCTCTGTTTGTCTGTTATTGGTGTATAAGAATGCTCGTGATTTTTGCACATTGATTTTGTATCCTGAGACTTTGCTGAAGTTGCTTATCAGTTTAACGAGATTTTGGGCTGAGACAATGGGGTTTTCTAAATATACAATCATGTCATCTGCAGACAGAGACAATTTGACTTTCTAGTTTCCTAATCGAATACCATTTATTTCTTTCTCTTGCTAGATTGCCCTGGTTAGAACTTCCAATACTGTGTTGAATAGGAGTGGTGAGCGAGGGCTTCCTTGTCTTGTGCCAGTTTTCAAAGGGAATGCTTCCGGGTTTTGCCCATTCAGTATGATATTGGCTATGGGTTTGTCATAAATAGCTCTTATTATTTTGAGATACGTTCCATCAATATTTAGTTTATTGAGAGTTTTTAGCATGAAGGGCTGTTAAATTTTGTTAAATTCCTTTTCTGCATCTGTTCAGATAATCGTGGTTTTTGTCATTGGTTCTGCTTATGTGATGGGTTACATTTATTGATTTGTGTATGTTGAACCAGCCTTGCATCCCAGGGATGAAGCCTACTTGATCATGGTGGATAACCTTTTTGATGTGCTGCTAGATTCAGTTTGCTAGTATTTTACTGAGGATTTTTGCATCGATGTTTGTTAGGGATATTGGCCTGAAATTTCCTTTTTTTGTTGTTGTGTCTTTACCAGGTTTTGGTACCAGGATGATGTTGGCCTCATAGAATGTGTTAGGGAGGATTCCCTCTTTTTCTATTGTTTGGAATAGTTTTAGAAGGAATGGTACCAGCTCCTCTTTGTACCTCTGTTAGAATTTGGCTGTGAATCCACCCAGTTTTAAACTTATTTTGGTTGGTAGGCTATTAATTACCACCTCAATTTCAGAAGTTGTTATCGCTCTATTCAGGGATTCGACTTCGTGGTTTAGTCTGGGAGGGTGCATGTGTCTAGGAATTTATTCATCGCTTCTAGATTTTCTTTTTCTTTTTCTTTCTTTTTTTTTTTTTTGAGACGGAGTCTTACTCTGTCACCCAGGCTGGAGTGCAGTGGCGTGATCTTGGCTCACTGCAAGCTCTGCCTCCTGGTTTCACAGCATTATCCTGCCTCAGCCTCCTGAGTAGCTGGGACTACAGGCGCCCACCATCACAGCCGGCTAATTTTTTTTTGTATTTTTTTTTAGTAGAGATGGGGTTTCACCATGTTAGCCAGGATGGTCTCGATCTCCTGACCTCATGATCCACCCGCCTCGGCCTCCCAAAGTGCTGGAATTACAGGCATGAGCCACCGCTCCAGGCCTAGATTTTCTAGTTTATTTGCATAGAGGTGTTTATAGTATTCTCTGATGGTAGTTTGTATTTCTTTGGGGTCAGTGGTGATACCCCCCTTTATCATTTTTTATTGTGTCTATTTGATTCTTCTCTGTTTTCTTCTTTATTAGTGTGGCTAGTGGTCTATTTGTTGATCTTTTCAAAAACCCAGCTGCTGGATTCATTGATTTTTTTTTTTGAGGGTTTTTTCATGTCTCTATCTCCTTCAGTTCTCCTCTGATCTTAGTTATTTCTTGTCTTCTGCTAGCTTTTGAATTTGTTTGCTCTTGCTTCTCTAGTTCTTTTAATTGTGATGTTAGGGTGTCGATTTTAGATCTTTCCTGCTTTCTCTTGTGGGCATTTAGTGCCATAAATTTTTCTCTAGACATTGCTTTAAATGTGTCCCAGAGATTCTGGTACATTGTGTCTTTGTTCTCATTGGTTTCAAAGAACTTCATGAAGCATACACAAATATCAATAGCTGAATCAATCATGTGGAAAAGGATATCAGAGATTGAGGATCAACATAATGAAATAAAGCAAGAAGACAAGATTATAGAAAAAAGAGTGAAAAGAAATGGACAAAGCCTCCAAGAAACTATGAGACTATGTGGAAAGACCAAATCTACATTTGATTGGTATACCTGAAAGTGGCGGAGAGAATGGAAACAAGTTGGAAACATTCTTCAGGATATTACCCAGGAGAACTTCCCCAGCCTAGCAAGACAGGCCAACACTCAAATTCAGGAAATACAGAGAACACCACAAAGATACTCCTCAAGAAGGATAACCCCAAGACACATAATAGTCAGATTCACCAAGGTTGAAATAAAGGAAAAAATGTTAAGGGCAGCCAGAGAGAAAGGTCGGGTTACCCCCAAAGGGAATCCCGTCAGACTAAGAGCGGATCTCTTGGCAGAAACCCTACAATCCAGAAGAGAGTGGGGGCCAATATTCAACATTCTTAAAGAAAAGAATTTTCAACCCAGAATTTCATACCCAGCCAAACTAAGCTTAATAAGCAAAGGAGAAATAAAATCCTTTACAGACAAGCAAACATTGAGAGATTTTGTCACCACCAGGTCTGCCTTACAGGAGCTCCTGAAGGAAGCACTAAACATGGAAAGGTATGACTGGGACCAGCCACTGCAAAAACATACCAAATTGTAAAGACCATCGATGCTCTGAAGAAACTGCATCAACTAACAGGCAAAATAACCAGCTAGCGTCATAGTGACAGGATCAAATTCACACATAACAATATTAACCTTGAATGTAAACGGACTAAATGCCCCAATTAAAAGACACAGACTGGCAAATTGGATAAAGGGTCAAGACCTTTTGGTCTTTGTTCTGTTATATTCAAGAGACCCATCTCATGTGCGAAGACACATAGGCTCAAAATAAAGGGATGGAGGGATATTTACCAAGCAAATGGAAAGAAAATGAAAAGGGAGTTGCAATCCTAGTCTCTGATAAAACAGACTTTAAGCCAACAAAGATCAGAAGAGACAAAGAACGCCATTACATGATGGTAAAAGGATCAATGCAACAAGAAGAGCTAACTATCCTAAATATATATGCACCCAATACAGGAGCACCCAGATTCATAAAGCAAGTTCTTAGAGACATACAAAGAGTTTTAGACTCTCACACAATAATAGTGGGAGACTTTAACACCTCACTGTCAATATTAGATTAACGAGACAGAAAATTAACGAGGATATCCAGGACTTGAACTCAGCTCTGGACCAAGAAGACCTAATAGACATCTACAGAAATCTCCACCCTAGATCAACAGAATATACATTTTTCTCAGCACCACATCACACTTATTCTCACATTGACCACATAATTGGAAGTAAAACACTCCTGAGCAAATGCAAAAGAACGGAAATCATAACAAACCATCTCTCAGATCACAGTGCAATCAAATTAGAACTCAGGATTAAGAAGTCACTCAAAACTGCACAACTACATGGAATGGAAACTGAACAACCTGCTCCTGAATGACTACTGGGTAAATAACGAAGTGAAGGCAGAAATAACGAGGCTCTTTGAAACCAATGAGAACAAAAACACAACATAACAGAATCTCTGGGACACATTTAAAGCAGTGTGTAGAGGGAAATTATAGCACTATGTGCCCACAAGCAAAAGTAGGAAAGATCTAAAATTGACACCCTAACATCACAATTAAAAGAACTGGAGAAGCAAGAGCAAACACATTCAAAAGGTAACTAGCTTTCTTCACTGATTTCCACCTAACAAAATCTCTGTCCTGTGTACTTCTTATCTCTCCAGACCTCTTTGATCTTGCCTTTGCTCTAAACTCTATCCTGTTAAGTGATAAATGTCTTAAACAGTAAGTTTGTGGAGTTCCCTTCCTTGACTTCTGGCTCTTCTTAAAGATGTCTGTTTATGATTTGAAAATTCAGATAACACATTTTTAATTTCTGGAGGATTAAAAATGGCATCGAGAGGCCAGGCACAGTGGCTTACACCTGTAATTTCAGCACTTTGGGGGGCCGAGGCAGGAAGATCACCTGATGTTGGTAGTTTGGGACCAGCCTGACCAACTTGGAGAAACCCCGTCTCTACTAAAAATACAAAATTAGCTGGACATGGTGGCACGTGCTTGTAATCCCAGCTACTCTGGAGGCTGAGGAAGGAGAATAGCTTGAACCTGGGAGGCGAAGGCTGCAGTGAGCTGAAATCGCACCATTGCACTCCAGCCTGAGCAAGAGCGAAACTATCTCAAAAAAATAAAAAAATGGCATAGAGACATTGTTGTAATGGTGATTTAATATTTGAATGGCTTTCTTTGAACATGGAATGTTTCATTCTTGAAAAATTTTATTTTAACCATCACATCACTCTTCTGTTATTTCAAACACTAGATGTCTCTATAGTGCCAGTCTCATTCTGCTTACTACTTGGGAAGGCTAGTTCAGCCTAGAATTGTACTGGATTTAGAGTAAGGAGATGTCAGTTTGACAGTGTTAGCTCTGAGAAGACCCCAGCATTTTCAATAATGTGTACCCTCTTAGATTCTATGTGGCTAAATTTCAGCGATGATCTTTCCTGCTTACAGAAACAATGATAACACTACTTTATCTTTGTATAGTAGTAGAATGTTTTTAGAGCCATCTACATGTGTTCATGTGTTCTGTCCTCACGGCAATCTTGCAAGCCAGGTACTATTATTTCAGTTTTTATAGTTGAAGAAACTGAGGCCTAGATATGTTACAGAACATTAATAAGTTGACATAGCAACTAGTTACTGAACCCACATTCACTCACAGATTCTCTGATTTTAAATCCATCACTCTTTCCTCTACATAAAACCACTTCTGTCTATATAAGCACTGTTAGTAGCTTCCTGATTTACATATGTTTTGATGAACAAAAATATATCTCTTCATATTACACATTACAACTTTAAACACACAAAATATAACCTGAGCCATCTTTAGGACAGATGTTAGTTCTTTCTTCTCCTTCAGTAATATAAAGGTGTTATAGTTCTACTTTACTGTGATTGTTTGTAAAACCCTAATGAACACTTGTCTTCTAGCTGATGCTTATAGATTGGTTTACATGCTCTAATAATATGTATGGGTTAGACTGCTCCTGTCTTTAGTCTGAACCTTGGGTAACCCCAGTTTGTGATTAGCTTTGAAGAGGTATACGTGTGAGCCGACATTCCTCTGTGTACTTTACTGGCTGCCAGGAGAAACATTTAATTTCCTGGTGGGAGAAAATTATCTCTAAAGGAAGAGTCCCATTCTTTCTATTGTTACTCTAAGGTTCCCTGGATGGTTTCAATCTCAATAATGCACAAATAAGAACTCCCTTAGGTTATGGTTAAGTAAATATATATAGGAAGTGTTCTTCCTTGCTAGTTTGTGTATTTTACATGATAATAAATCAGTCCTTTCTTGATAGGTAACACCCATGGACATTTTTGAAATTATGTCCTAGTAAAGTTGTTGGTATCTTACTTTTCTTAAAAAAGCATATCAAAATATAACAATATGTAAAATGAACTGTAACATTTGATCAGCAGTTCTATATACTTTACAATTATATATAAAACTCATAACTAATTTTGAAATTATGTTCAAGAAATGAAGAGGATCCTGTTATTTATTGGAGTTGAAAGTCCTGAACATTTAGTAAACCCTCCAATTTTTCTGGTTTAATGTAAGAGTAAATGTTGCTTTTGAGTTATAAAAGGGTAAATGTGATCATTTTATTATATAGGAAAGACATTTAAAGTAAAAGGTTTACATTTTCATGAAGAATTCCAATTGTTATTCAAGTTTTAGTCTCATGTACAATTTATGTGTGTCATTGGCCAAAAATTTAATGATGCATAATATCTGTAACATTCCTGGGGATTTTTGTTTATATTTTAGTTTTTTTCTTTTTCAAGGTGATGTAGATTCATATAATTTCTGTTTCTTTTTCATTTTATGTAAAAAATGTAGTACTCTATTTTCTAGCTGATAGGTGGCTTCCCTGGCAGTCAAGAAATAACATTGTCTTTGATGATAGACTAATGTTTCAATTTCCATTTCTTGCTATGTGATAATGGAGAAATTTCCTATCTATGGTTCTATTTCGTCATATAATGGAATGGCGAGATGCAAAATGCAATAACCTGTGTAATGTGTTCAGCTAAAGGCTTGGAATATGATGAGTTGTCAGTAAAGGTCTCCATTGTTATCAAAGGCACTTCTCTAGAAAAACGTGACTATTCCCATCGTTGGTTGTTTTCTTTTTTCCACATTACAGGGTTGTTGCTTATTCATTCGTTAATAAAGAACATTCAAAATATCTCTTCAGAGAGTATAATAAATAAGCTCGCATTAATGTATTATTAATATGTACCTGTAATCTTTTAGGGGAATACATAATGACTTTTAATAAAAAATGATGTAATCATTCTTGGGAAACTTCAGTTTAGAAACCTATAAAACGTAATTTTTATTTTTTCAGAAAAAAATATATATGTGTGTAATGAAAGGAAGAAGAATAAATCAGCTTTACAGCTAAATTGGCACTTTCAGTCTGTGATCAGACATTCAGTTGAAGTGATATTCTTTAAAAGAAGAGGAAGAATCAGTTGGAAAAGTGATCGTTAGTACAACACTACAATGTGTTGGTCATTAAACTAGCCTTCAAAATAAGAATTGAATAGGAAAAGATATAGAGGGCAGATATAAATATATATAAATGTAAATATAAATATATAATATATGTAAATATAAAGATATAAATAAGAAAAGGAAATACTCATCAAAGAAACCAGGGGACCACAAGGTTAAAGAGGGGAAAAAGAAACATGAGGAAGAGTTTAAAGACTAGAATGAACAAATAGGATTGATTGTTCTACTAATGTTTTTAGTGGCAGCAAATTCAATAACGAAACTCATCTCTCCTGCTTAAAACAAGTGGCTGTGTAGAGCAGCAAACATAGGGAGGAACATTCTCTGTTCCTCTCTGGATTGTCTTTTATGTCCCAAAATAACCCAGATGAAGTAATGAGCTGATATTCAACAATATCTTGAGTGTGAGATAGAAACGTTTAATAGTACCTATTAAACACATTTTTGGAAATACATGATGTTAATAGGTACATTATATCAATGATTAATTGAATATTTCACTATAATTTTTTTAATAATATAGTTATAATTAGAACAATAATTTTAAAATAACATAATTTTCTAAAAATAAAATTAAAAAAATAAAGTTTTACCCAAAGAAAGAAGGATAAATCAGTTTGAATGTTTAACACTTTAGTTTTAGACTTTTGGGGGTATGTAATATTTCACATTCAGAAATGGAATACCTAAAAAGGAATCTTAATAAATAAAAATGTTACTTTTTATTTTAGAAATAGGATTTTAATGTTTGATTTAACAGTAAAGCTTATATGGATTATATGATCATTTCTTTTGAATTTATTTCCAATTTGTCATATAAAGGTAATTATTTTCAGCAATTTGAAAGTTTTCTATTTAAAAATAAACTTTTTTCTTTTCTTTCTCTTGCTTCTCTCCAACTCAAAGTTTTTAAAAAATTGAAAAAAGTAACAGTTGATTTGCAATACTTTATAACTTTCTCCCCTGAAAATACGGGTTTAAATGCTCTTTAAGTTACAAATGGAATGAGTCAGATGACCTGAATTTGCTCTTCTGTGACTTTCTGTGTTGATTTCAGAATTACTCTTGCCAACTCTATTTGAGAAGAGTCCAGTGATGAAATAACCAGAGTTGAAACCTGCTTGTTCAGAACATGACTTTAGCTACTATTGACATTTTCCTATTTTCTTTAGTTAAGAAATTCAACGAATGTTAGCAAGGAGAGGAGGGACCCAATCTTCAAGACTAGTAGGGTGTTCTTGAAGCCAGCTCTAATTTAGTGTGTGTGTGTGTGTGTGTGTGTGTGTGTGTGGTGTGCATGTGTATGTTTATATGTTTTCAAGTGATATTTAAATTTTTTTAACCAACATATTTTATTAAACACCAAGATTTCATTATCCATTCTAGATATTTGGTTTAAAAAATTTTTACAGAGTCTAAAATTTGAAAACATTTCGACAATGCCATTATTTCAGATCATTAATAAAATATTAAATATGGATATACAAATTTATTTAAATATACTGGTTTTGCCCTCTATTAGGAAGATATGTGCCATTAACTGATAAAAGTCATACTTTAACATTTGACATTTTGATTTGACACTACACAGAAATGAGAGATAAATATAAGCATTTTTCACAATGTATAATTAATTCAAACAAAGAAATTACTCAAGTGACAGAGATGAGAAGAAATTTTCAAGTCAGTGTCACAAGTAGAAGCTGAAGTCCTGGGATTCTATTTGGTAAGGAGTTTAAAATAATATATAGACCTTAATGACTGAAGTTTTGCATTTTAGCATCTAAATGGGTACTGGAAGTAGGGCTTCAACAAATACAGAACCTGTAAAATTTAGTTTACCTGTGAAAGGAGGACTAGGTAAAGTTTGCCACCAGTCTAAGTACGTAGTATGGAGTACTGTTATTTCAAAGTTATCTTCAATAAATTGAAAACTTAATCCATTGTGAAACTGTGAGATTGACTTAATTTGTGAGACACAACCCTAAGTCAAGGAATTAACCTAGGTGCCAGCAAAAGCAAAAATAGTAATTTGTAATCGTATACCATCTCAAAATGTTATTTAGGTTTTATTGGTTTATTGAGGAGAGACAACTCATTAGGAAAACACATTTTATTTTTAATAATTGTCTCTGATCGCAGTCTGGAGATACCCAATCCTGTGTCTCTGACTGAGATTAGCCTATTAGCTTCTAGAGTTGCAACCATATAAATGGATGCTGCTTTGTGGAACACATTAATTGGTTCTTCAGGGTCCTATGAGTGTCTTTCCCTTGTTTGATGTGGAAATCTGAACCCCTGGTTCTAACTTCTTCCTTTTCTCTTTAGCTCTTGCCATAGTTAGTGGCCCACAACTTCGTGAGGGTTTACCAAAAAGACAACTGATGTCTTTAGAAAATTGTGAGAAACTCACATTCTGTAATTTTTCCTGTTCTTGTTTCTACCTTGGGTTTTCCTGGCCAAATAAAGAGTTTTGCTAAGTTTAGCTGAGAAATACTCATACCTGACTTAGAGGGAAATAAGTGGTTTCGATAACTGCAAGTTGTTTTAGTGATCCTCTTTCTTTCGCCTATTCCTGTCTGCAGGAAGGGAAAATATTGCATTTCTTCCACATGGAGGGGTGTGTGAAGAGAGAAAAAACTTTTCGCTGTGAATGTGCATCCCACAAAAATACACCTTTTTCTAACTTTCATCTTGTACTGAATTAAGAGTGAGGGTGGTAGTTCTGGTTTTGCAGGAGAATTGCCTTTCAGCAAACCTTTCACGGGTAGGTGACATGAAGAGCTGAAAAATCATTGTATTGAGACTTGGGATGCTTAGTGCTTTTCTCTCATCTAGGAGGCTCAGCATCCGTTTCTGGTACCCAGGACCAAATAACATTTTGTTATAACAGAGTAGAAATAAAATTTAAAAATATTCAGAAAATTTAGAATTGAAAATAGTAATTAGTATTATTATTCACAGAATCTAAAGGAAACATCAAATTATGCACTTTGAAAAAGAAGGAGAGGGAACAATGAATAGGATGCAAAATTAAAGAAATTGATTAAAGTGTGGATTAACATCTCTGCAAAGAAATGAATTAACCTGTAGATGAATCTAAATAAACAACGAATGTCAGAAGCAATAATAAAAATAATGGTGATGACTAATTTTGAGCGCTTTAAAAAAAAGATGGAGCTCAACTTGAATGAAAAAAATCAGAGATAAATGACTAGAGTTAAAGCTCAACTTGCATGAAAAAATCAGAGATGAATGACTGGAGTTAAAGCTTTCTCAAATCGGATTTTCTGGAGGGAGCTAGTGATAGTGATTAAATTTTCACTCTGTTAGGTCAAGAATGCATGTAACATATTTAAGGATAAACTCTATAGAAGAGCAATAGAATTTAAAACAAACACAAACTAATAAAAGATTCAGTTTTAATAAAGGAAAGAGCAATAAGTAAATTTAAAAAAGGTATTCCAAGCACTTGGGAGTTGAAAAAACAAGTAAATAAAAACCAGGAGACATAAAATAAAATACAAAATGAGGTATTAAAAACATAAATGCTAATGATAAATTTACCTCTTAAAAGATAGGTAATTTCAAATTAAATTTTTAAAATCCAGTTGTGACCAGGTACAGTGACCCATGCCTGTAATCTCAGCAGTTTGGGCGGCCAAGGCAGGAAGACTGCTTAACCCAGGAGTTTGAGACCAGCCTGGGCAATATAGTGAGACCTCATCTCTACAAAAAGATATAAAAATTAGCCAAGTGTGGTGGCGCATGCCTGTAGTCCTAGCTATTCAGGATGCTGAGGTGGGAGCATTTCTTGAGCCCAGAAGGTGGAGGTTGCAGTGAGCCGTGATTATGCCACTGTATTCCAGTCCAGGTGACAGAATGAGACCTGTTTTTTTTTTTTTTAAATCTAGTTACATGCCGTTTATGAGAAATACACCTACACATGATCATAATGAAAAGATGAAAATAGTGAAATGTGAAAACATATGCGGGCAAAGATGAACCCAACAACTATTTTGCAATATTAATGAAAGGCAAAATAGGCCTTGAAACAAAAAGGACTTTAAGGAAAAGTGATGGTCTAATTCATTAAAAAATACAGCAATCCTGAATACCTATATGTTAAAAGCAAATAATATCCTGAAAAAATGCATAAAGTGAAAATCAATAGTATTAAAGTTGAAATGGACAAATTATCAATTGTAGTGGGAGATTTTGACATAATTTTCATAAAATGACAGGCTGCATATATAGAACACTACAAACAATAAGTAGGTGAAGCAAATTGTTTTCAAACACCCACAAAGTATTTTAAAAATTTATTTAAAAAGTTTATGTACCATAAATTTGCTCTTTTTTCATGTAGAGTTCTTGCAATTTTCTTTTGCCTTTTCTAGAAAATAATATACATGGAATTACTCTGTATATTAACTTTGGAAAAAGGTTTATTTCTCTTAGAATAATAGAGTTAAGATTCATTCATTTCTTGCATGCATCAATACTTTATTCCTTCTTATTGCTGTATAGTATTTCATTATATGAATGCATCACATTTATTTATCTAGTCCCCAAGTGAGGGACATTTGTGTTGTTTCCAGTTTCTGATGAAACTAACACATTTGTTTTAAAATTACCATATTTGTGTGAATGTGGGTTTTTATCACACTTAGGTAAATGCTAAAATGTAGGGTTATTGAGCTATATGCTAAGTGTATGTTTGACTTTATAAGGCATTGTTTTCTAGAGTGGCTGTGCCATTTTGCATTCTCTTCAGCTATGTATGAGAGTTTCTGTTGGTTTGCATCTCTGCTAGCACTTGGCATTGTCAGTTTTTTTGTGTGTTTTCTTTTATAGGCATTCTAATAAATAAGTAATTGTAATTTTCATTTAAATAAAGTAAAAGATAATTTTATATTATCTTTTAAATATATTACTGGATTCAGATTTTTGAGGATCTTTTTTGTTTATGTTCATGAGAAATAGTGCATTGTAGTTTACTTTTCTTGTAATATTTTTTGTTGATTTTGGTATCAAGGTAATCTTGGTTTCATAAAATGAGTTGGGAAATATATACCCCTCAGCCTCAGCTTCCTTTTCTGGAAGAAATTATGTGAAATTAGTATTATTTCTTTGTTAAATATTTAGTAAAATTTACCATCTGGGATTAGAGTTTTTATTTTTGGAAGTTTTTAAATAAAATATTTAATTTTCTACTAGATGAAGACATAGACAATTTACTATTTAGTGAGTTTTGGTTATTTTACATTTTTCAAGGAAGTGGTCTATCACATTTAAGCTGTTTAAATCATGGGCATAGAGTTGTTGGTACTATTAGTCTTTTAATATCTGTGGAGTCTGTGGGAGTACATGTCTTTCATTCCTTACATAGTTAATTTTTGTTTTCATTTATTTCAAAATATTTTTCAAGTTCCCACTCTACTACTTGTTTGACTCATGGTTTATTTAATTTTCAAATATTTAGGTGCTTTACAGATTTTTTTCTGTTACTCGTGTTTGGAAAATATAATGTATAATATATACAAAATATAATTTGATTTTTTCTGAATTTGTTGAGGTGTTTTATGGTCTATGTTGGTGAATGTTCCATGTGCACTAGAGGAGAATATGCATTCTTCTACTAGTGGGCAAGAGTGTTCTACAAATGTCAATTAGGTCAAGTTGGTTGATAGTGTTGTTCATGCCTTCTGTGTCCTTACTGATTTTCTATCTACTTGCTCTCTCATGTCCATTACATTTACATACATTGGAACCTTTCTAGAAATGTTATAAAATTTGATTTCAAAAGTCATATATATTTTTATAAACTGAGAGGAGAAAAACATTAAATTATATTTATTCAGATACCCAAGCATTTCTTTTGCTTTATCCTCATTCTTAAGGTTACAAGTTTCCCTTTGTTATAATTTCCCTTAAGTCTTGTTTGGGTTTAAACTATTTTTCTGAACTTCTTGAATTTTTTCTGTAAATTTATATTTTTCACTGAACTTGGAGGAAGTTTTTCATCCACTATATCTTCAAATATTTTTCTTCACCAATCAGTTTTTCCCTTTACTTCATAGATGCCAATGACACCACTACTAGATTTTTTGAATCTTGTTATTATATTATCTACAGGCCCTAGAGGCTCTGGCCATTTTCATTTTCAATCTTTTCTCTCTGTTATTTAGACTAGATAATTTTTATTGATCAATTTTTAAGTTTACTGACTTTTTCCTCTGTCATCTCTATTCCTTATTGAACCTGTCTAGGAAATTTTAAAATTTCAAGTGTTGTGTTGTATTTTTTACTTTTTAAATGTCCAGTTTTTCCCTTTTCTTTTTCCAGTAGTTTCTATTGCTCTGTTAAGAACGTCTTTATTTCCATTAATTTCAAGAGCGTTCACCTTTGCCTCATGGAGCATGGTTATCATAGCTACAATAAAGTCTTTTTTCCAACATCTGGATCATCTTAGATTTGACATTTGTTGATTGTTGTTTCAGTGGAAAACAGGTCCAATTTTTTTTTTATTATTTGTATGTTGAGCAATTTTGCATTGCATCTTCAAAGTTTTGAGTAATGTGTTGTGAGAGTCTGCATCTTGTTAAAATCTTCTGAAGTTTTTTTGTTTACTAATAAATCCAGTTGGGTTCAGACCATGAGTTCTATCTTGCCTTCCACTGGTGCTAGTTCGAATGTCAGTTCAGGGTTTAAAGTCTTTATTGTTATCTGAAACAGTCAGGGATTAGTATAAGACTTTGGAGCTGATTCACAGACAATTCTTAAAGCTTTTGCTATGCTGCTTTGGATGTGTTCCATTCAGGCAGAGTTTGGGGGTACACCAGGGAATTTTCTTCTTCACTTCTTATTTATTTATTTATTTTTTATTTTTATTATTTCTTTTGGAGGTGTTGAGACCTGCTTGATTTATTCCGATTATTTAATACACAATTATACAATTGTGATCCCAAACTGTGCAAAGTGAGCCTTCAACTGCAGCTGAGGAGAGGGCAGGAATGATATACCTGGGGACGGTGGTGAGTCAGGAATGACGGGAAGGTGGCCATGATCAGGGAAGCCTCCTTCCCAGGGCCAGGGACAGGGGAGTGGCCTGAGGAGCAGGACCCAAGGGTAGCCCAGGGCCGGGGAAGTGGGCAGAGACCTCCCGTTGGCCTAGGTCAAGAGCTCAGAAGTGCCACATGGCTGAGGGGTTAGTGGCCCAGGAAGTGCCAGAGGCAGGGCCAGGAGAGCACCATTTCCTCGGGGGCTGGGGGCAGGGAGGTGCCCTACAGGAGAAGCCAGGAGGGGCCTCTTGTCCCTGTGGTGGGGGCCGGGCTGGAGCAGGCTGCAGCAAGAAAGACCTGAGGCATGCGCAGGGCCTGAGAGCCTGGCTGGCTGGGCTGGTGTGTGTGTGTTGGGGGGTTCCCAGGGCACTCTGGCCCAGGGAGCAGTTCTGATTCTGCAGGCGATGCCCAGCAAGAGGCTGCAGACCCCTCAGAACTTCCCCTCCTTTCTCCCTGGAAAGGAGCTGGGGAACCTATAGTGCAAGTCTGTGGACCACTCAGTTATGGAGGGAGGCTGTGCCTGAAAGTGGACACTGCGGTATGCCCCTTCCACCACCTTGGCCTCCACTGCTGTCCTCAGTACAGCCGCTTCTCCTAAGAGTGCAGGCCATGGACGCCACCCTTGATCTGGGCCGACATGGTTTGCTTCTCAAAATTCAGTTCTCCTGAGTACATCATGGACTGAAGGACAGACAGGCTGCGGCCCAATATCCTGGCAGCCAGGCTGGATGCCCGCTATGAGGTAGGACACGAACTTATGAATGGATCCTTTGTCCTGGATGGAGCCCAAGACACCCTGCGCGATCTTCACCTTATTCCCCTTGCTGACGTATCATTTCTGGCTGCTGCTGCTCTTCTCCATGGCATCCAGTGAGCCCATGCCCTGGTACTTCTTGAGCCGCACCCCATCTGAGAAGAAATACTCGCCGGGGTCCTACGTGGTGGTGGCCAGCAGGGAGCCCATCATCACTGTGGAGGCTCCAAGGGCCAGGGCCTTAACCACGTGCCCCACGGTCTAGATGCCGCCATCGGCTATGATGGACACACCAAAGCACAGGGCATACTCGGCCACCTTGTACAATGCAGTGCCCTGGGGCCCACCGCAGGCCATCACTTCCTGGGTGATGCAGATGGAGCCGCAGCCCATACCTATGCGCAGCCCGTCCACCGCAGCGTCAATCAGGTTTTTGGCCTGGGCGGCTGTCATCCCAATCACCTGGAGGTGGGGGTACTTCTGTTTGATGTAATGCACCGTGGCAATCTGATACACCGAGTTCCCTTGGGACAAGTCCAAGACTACGACGTCTACCCCCGCCTGGGTGAGCAAGTCCAGGCGGTATTTGTCATCCTCAGGGGTGCCCACAGCTGCCCCACGCAGTAGCTGCTTGTGGGAATCCTTGGAGGCCAGAGGGTAGTCTCTGTTCTTCTTCAGGTCGGTGCAGGTGATCATGGCCACCAGCTCATCGGATCATTGACGAAAGACAGCTTCCCTTTCTTGCTATGCTGCAGGATCTCATTTGCCTCTTTCAACATCAGGCCTGCTGGAGCCAACACTGAGGAGGGTGGTGTGGTCCTCCTCAGCAAGAAAGTTGATGTCTCTGGAGGTGACGATGCCCACCAGCTTGCTGCCTATGGTGCCCGTCTCAGTGATGGGGATGCCAGAGAAGCCATGCCGCATCTTGGCCTCCAACACATCACCCACAGTGTGCGAGGGGGTCAGCACCACCGGGTCCGTGATGAAGCCCTGTTCAAACTTCTTGACCTTCCGCACCTCCTTGGCCTGGAACTCTGGGGTGCAGTTGTGGTGAATGAAACCAATACCTCCCATCAGAGCCATTGCAATGGCTATGTCGGCCTGTCACAGTGTCCGTGGGGGAGGAAATGAGCGGAGTCTTCAGCGTGATCTTCCGGGTCAGGGCTGAGGTCAGGTCCGCCTCATCAGCTATGAAGTCTGTGAATCCTGGGAGA
Source organism: Homo sapiens (assembly GCF_000001405.40). Taxonomy (NCBI): domain Eukaryota; kingdom Metazoa; phylum Chordata; class Mammalia; order Primates; family Hominidae; genus Homo; species Homo sapiens. The sequence goes on from NC_000002.12 coordinate 187,003,268, forward strand.
ATCAGGAAGTCGTCGTAGGTGAGGCAGTCGGCGCTGGCAAAGAGCTGCTGCGCGGGGAGCCAGTTATCGGGCACATAGTCGGTGCCGCCCCTGATCAGGTAGTCCGTCATGCTGCCGCGAAACCCTGCGACATCCGCGCGCAGCCGCCTGCTGCTGCTGCCCCCGCGCTGCGGCCATGCTGCCGCTGCGAGCCGGGCGGGGCCGCTTCTCTCTCTCTCTCTCTTTTTTTTTTTCTTTTTAAATAATTTTCTCTCTCAGAGTCTGTCTCTCAGGGTCCTCTTTTCCCAGTCCCTCTGGCCAGGAGTCTTCTAAGTTTTCCACACAGTTGCACAGTTCTGTGTTATTGGATATACCCGGGGGATGAAGTAATGAAAGAAAAGACTGAAAATAAAAATGGGAATTCCTTCCACAGTCTTTACACACAGAGGCCCCTAGAGGCCCATTTTCCTGGTTCCTCTGTCCAGAAAGATGGATTTCTAGGGCTTACATTCATGCTGCTGCCTCTACATGCACTGAAGCTGGTCAATGAAGCTGGCCTTGGGGCAGAGGGAGAGAAAAACACATTGGGATTTCACCTTCAACCTCCACTTTCCACCTCTCAGGGTCCCAGTTTCTTAGTACTCTGACAGAAAACCAGGGTTTTCTCAAAGTTTTTGCTGTCTGTTCCCATCACATTGTTCCCTGATTTGGCCCATCCTTAAGCCAAGACCAGATGATCTTGAAGGAAAATATCCTAGGAAACTCACTATTGGCATACTGGTCATTTTTTGAGTTTTGATGTCGCTCCTCAACCTCCTTGCTATTATTTTGTTTCGGAATCATCCTCAGGTAAGTGTTTTAGTATTTTGTCCTGAATTTTTAATTGTAATGAGTGAAAGAGAAAGATTCTAGCAGGCTTACTTCATCTTGGCTGGCACCTGAAGTCCATCCATAGGATATATTTTTAAATTGTTCATGTACTTGGCCACAAAGAAAGTCTCTAAGAGTTGGTAACACACAAAACATGTTCTCTGAAAACATTGCAATAAAATTAGTAAAGAATGCCAAAATGTGCTTTTCCGAATATTTTATAGCTTAAAGCAGAAATCAGATTGCAATTTATAAACTATTTAGATCTGAAAAACAAGAGAAGCACAACTGATAGACTACAACAAAAAGTATACTCACAGGAAAAATGTTAACCTTAAATGTCTGTACTAGGACAAAACAATTGGAAAATTATTAGCTAAATATTTAACTGAGCAATGATTAAGTGAAGAAGTTAGAAAAATAGTAAATCTTAAGAAGGTAGAAAGAAGTAATAATAACAGAAATAAAGGAATTTAGAAAACCAAGCCACAATAGGGAGATTCAGCATAGAATAAAGTTTGTTTTTTAGAAAAGATAAAAAACTTACACAAACCTCTAACAACATTAATCAAGAAAAACCAAAAATAGTCTACATTTTCATATTAAATTATTGAATAGTAAATTATGTATTAATATTTAATATAAAAATATAGATGTAATGGAATATTTCCTAGAGAATTAAACCTTATTAAAATCGATCCAGGAAGATATTTTAAAACTGAATACACTTACATCCATTAGGGAAATGCAATCAGTTGGGAAAATAAAAAGGAGTCCTAGTTATTGACATGCTTTTATCAAACTATCAGGCAATACGTAACTATTAACTTTTAAATTTTTCTAGAGAACAGATAATGTGTTCCTGGTCAGACACTTACTAACTGTATTCCTAGGTAAATGCTTAACACTCTCACTGGCTTAATTAGGATAATGACCAGAGTACCTACCACATAGAACTGTGATGATTAAATGGCAAAAACAAAAGAGATATGCTAAGAGCACTGACTGACATATAGTAAGTGCAAAATAAGTGTTAGCTATTCTTTTCTTCTTATTATTATGGTACCAAAACCAGAAAAGGTTAGTGCTTAAAAGAAATTCTTTAGACCAGTATTACTTAATATAGATGTAAAGATACTAAGTAACACATTAGCTAACTAGATTCAGCAAAATATTAAAAATGCATCATGGCCAAATAATATGTATTCTAGGATTTCAAGGATGACTTAATATTAAAAATTTTGTTAATCTTAATATATTACTATGTTAACAGATTAAAAGAGAAAAAGTTTATGATTGATTCAGTAGATTCAGAAAACTCATGCAATAAATGCAGCACCCATTTGTAATGAAAACTTTTCACAAACTGGGAAAAGGAAGGTACTTGCTCACTTACCAAAGTGTATCTAAACCTGTAGCAAATACTATTAATGGTGAAACCTTACAAGATCTCCATTAAAGTAGGGAGCTATGCAAGAATTTTATAGGAGTTCGTAATTAATGCAGTAAGACAAGGATAACAAGTAAGAAGAATGAGAATTGGCATGGGAGAAACTAAATTTCATTATTTGCATATGATGTAATTATGTATATATAAAATCTGAGATGGCTTATAAATGAATTATTGGCACTAATAAGAGGTCAGCATGTTCCTGGATATAGAATGAATATATAAAAATCATTGACATTCTTATTTATTCCCTATATGCTTAAACTGTTACAGAAACTAAGATCAAATTCATAAGAGGTACAAAAACTAAAAGGTACCTGAATATTTACTGAAGGATATGAGAGAATGCCAAAAAACTGGATATTAATTGATGGGAAAAGTTAATACTGTTAGGAAATAAATTCTCCTCCAATTAATTTACAAACCCTATATAGTATCAGTTAAACTAACTCTAAAATTTCTTTGGAATGTGAAAGGATCAGGAATATCTAAGCCTTTTTTTTAGTGAGAAAGGAGAAGACATTCTTTGCAGATATGAGGAGAAACTGTAAAAGTGTAAGTATTCAGCTGTCTTACTATTTGTACAGGCTAGACAAACCAACTAATGGAAAGGAACAAAGAACCCAGACAAAGACTTATGCATATGTAAGAACTCAGTTCAGGCATTATTAATTGGTTGTGAAATAACAAAGTTTTAAATAAATGGTTCCAGGTAAAATTAATTATCCTTATTAAAAATTTGCAATTCATAACACATTAAAATAAATTCCAGATAGATTAAAGACCCCAATATGAGAAAAAATTTATAAAGATTTTGGAAGGAAATATAGGAGAATCACATATTTTAAAGAGGATGATAATAAGCACAAAAGTTTAAAGAAAATTATTGATAACCTTGACCTTATTAAAATGTAAGGCTCTGTAATACAGGAGACATTGAAGAAAGTTAATAAAAAATAATAATTGAAGAAAAGCAATTTATGACGTTTGTAACAACAAAATATTGGTATCTTACTATAGTAAAAAAGTCTTCTGAAAATGAATATAAGCATAAGACAAATTACCTAACTGAAAATTGGGTAAATCAAACAAACTGAAGATTCTATTTAAAAAAGAAGCTGGAAAGATAGACAGCTGAAAAGATCTTTAATCTGAATAGTTGAGGGAGCATGCTAATGGATTTGAAAATGGAATACCATTTCACAGTCACCACTGGCAGACCTCTGACAACTAAAACGTCGACAATACTTAGCTTTTGGAGGTGTGGAGAAACAAGCTCTCATATGCTCTCAGTGGCTGTGTAAATGAGTCAACTACTTTGGAAAAACACTTAGATAATATCAAGGAAAGTGGACTGTGAGTATAGTAGATATCCCAGAAATTCCATTTCTAGGTGGATGCTCTACTGTTTTTTATGTGCATAAGAAAACATGTACAAGATTATTCCTTGTAGCACTGTTGTTAAAAGAAAAAAGTGGGATACCATCTAAATATTTATCAAGAAAGAAACAAGTAATTTATCATATATTTAGTAGACTACCATCTGGCAGTTAAATTAAATGAACTAGATCTACATGAATCATCTTTGGTACATTTTGAAACCATAAGGTTAAATTAAAAATTAATTGCCAGGCATGGTGGCTCACACCTGTAATCCCAGCACTTTAGGAGGCCAAGGCAGGTGGATCGCTTGAGCTTAGGAGTTCAAGACCAGCCTGGGCAACATGGCAAAACCCCATCTCTCCAAAAATTAGCTGGGCAGGGTGGCGCACCCCTGTAGTCCCAGCAACTTGAAAGGCTGAGGTGGGAGGATCACTTCAGTCTGAGAGGGGGAGGTTGCAGTGAGCTGAGATTGCTCTACTACATTTCTGCCTGCGTGCCAGAGTAAGAGACTGTCTCAGATAAATAAATAAATAATAAATAAATAATTGGGCCGAGCGCAGTGGCTCACGACTGTAATCCCAGCACTTTGGGAGGCCAAGGTGGGTGGATCAGGAGGTCAGGAGATCTAGACCAACCTGGCCAATATGGTGAAACCCCGTCTCTACTAAAAATACAAAAATTCGCCCTGAGTGGTGGCGTGTGCCTGTAGTCCCAGCTATACTCAGGAGGCTGAGGCGGAAGAATCGCTTGAACCCAGGAGGCGGAGGTTGCAGTGAGCTGAGTTCATGCCACTGCACTCCAGCCTGGGCGACAGAGCAAGACTCGGTCTCAAAATAAATAAATAAATAAATACATACATACATACATAATTGAGCTGCAAATATGTATTCATACAAAATTAAAAATAATGTAAAATGATTCCTATAATTTTGCTGGCAAAATTTTATGTGGTTAAGAGCAATAAAAATCAACATAGGAAGGATATATATTCTATCGAGATATTAATCATGTCTGGAAACGGAGGGTGTCAGGTAGAAGGGAATGAGTAATTCAGGTAAAAGGACTAGAGAAGGAAGTGAGAGGGGTTTTCTCTGTATCTGTCATTTTTCTTTTTTTTTCCCAAAAGTTTCTGAAACAGTTAAAAATTTAACATTTTTTAGATCTGAGTGTTAGGTACAAACTTATTTTTAAGTGTTTGAAAGATTTCATAATAAAGAAGAAAAAATGTAAAAATTAATTAACAAAAGAAGATACAACCACTTTGTTTTCTGTGCTGAGTGATGCACAGCTGTATTGGCTGTAGTGTTGAGCAGCAGAGCTTCACATTTCTGCTGACTTTACATGTGAACTTGAGCTGAGCCTCACAGAGGGAATGTGTAAGCTAGAGAAGTCAAAGTCAAGAGGGAGAGAGGATACTGCTATGACTAATTATTATTATTATTTTAAGTAACCACAAGATTATCCACACAAACTCATGTAACTATGAGCCTTTTATAGAAATTGACATATTTTGCTATTATTTTTTATACTTCTTTTCTCCTCTGGAAAAGGGGGGAAAGTGCTGGCAAAGTAAAGTTTGGTGAAACTGCTGTTCTTTGTTTCCTTGAAAGCCATATGCTAGCATATAGTCATAGGGAATAGTGTTGCTTTCTCTTCCAGAATTAGTTTATCTGGTATAATTTAAGGTATATAACCCAGGGAACATATTGGTGCTGGATTTAAATCTTTGGATTTTTCTAGTTTCTCTGTATATGTTTGATTTTGAGAGTTTTAAAAATTTAGTGCTAAATTGCATTGACTAGTACTACAGAATAAAATTGTAGTTTTTGCCAGGTAATCTCTTCCTCCCACCCCTAATACCACACATGCATACACACACAGTTTTTTTCCCATCAATTTTTGTTGCATTTTAAATAAAATTAAGGGATTATTTATAAAAATTAGGCACATATTAGCAATTCAGATCAATTTAAAAAGTTGAAATGGTTTTGTATGTCAACCTGAAGCAATGACTTTAAAAAGTAATATAATTTCATTATATGACAATATTAAATAATTCCTCTGGTTGTGAGAAGCAAAGTTAGGGTTAGCTGGTGCAGTGATTAATTTTATGTGTCAACTTGGTTAGGCTGTAGTGTCCCATTATGTGGTCAAACACCAATCTAGACATTTTTGTGAAGGTGGTTTTTAGATGTGATTGATAGCTAATTAATAGACTTTGGGTACAGCAGATTACCCTCCAAAATGTGGGTGGGCCTCATCCCATTAGTTGAGGCCTTAAGAACAAAGACAGTGATTTTCCAAAGAAGGAATTCTTCTCTATAATATAGAAATCCTGCCTGGGTTTCCAGCCTGTGGTCCTGTGGAACTTGGACTCAGGACTGCAACAGCAACTCTCATTCGACTATACGTGCTGGCCTGGCCTATGTAGTTTGTACGTGCCAGCCCTCACAATTGCATGTTACAATTCCTTAAAATCAATCAATTTCTCTGCCTCTTTCTCTGCCTCTCTATCTCTATCTATAGACATGAATATATCTATAAAGATATCTAGATAGCTATTTATCCTATCTTATCTATCTATCATCTTTCTATCACCTATCTCTATCTATCTATCTATCTATCTATCTATCTATCTATCTATCTATCTATATCTAGATACATAGACACCTCTCTCAATCCCTTCCCCCTTCTTCATTTTATTAGTTCAGTTTTTTTTCTAGAGAACCCTAATATAGTTGGCTATTAGCCAGTTGAAATTAGTCATCATCAGTATTAGATTTTTCCAACTATTGTAACATATTCTAGGTATACAAACTTTTGCAAACACCTATGACAGTTTTTCTTCCCACAGGACAAATGAGCTTATTTGGGAATATGCAGGGTGTTGCAATCTAGGATATGCAGCCTATGATGCATCATAGGTATACCCCTGGGGTAGGAACTTCTTCGTCTCATGTAAAGATGACTATGTAAGCAGCCTTGAAAAAAGGTGCATAGGTCACTGAAACTCATTATAGGAGTTGGTGTTTGTTCATGGGTAGAAACAACCTTGCCAGGTAAGTATTCTTGTGCAGATGGCTAATCTGGAACACTGGTCTTGAGGAATGCCATGTGATAAGTCCTGTTACAGTCATGTGTGCATAATAGCTCCTCCTTATGCTTCCTGCCTCCATTTTGTTAGGGTTTTGACATGAGTCACTCCATTTTGATACTGGCAACTTTCACAGGCTCAACTCTGAATACAACGAGGACAAGAGGGGATTTAGGGCCAAGGAGCAGAGTTAAGGGGTCAGTGGATGAAAAAATTACTAAGAGGTGACATTAAAGTTAGGGAGATTCTTGTTGAATTGCCTTAACAGGATTCTTGGCAAAGGCAGGCTAAGATGATAAGATAGCAAGGATAGGGAATAAGGAATTTAACCACATTTAGACGGCGATCAGGGTGGGAGGATGACAGCAGAATTTCTTGCTAAGACTGGGCTGGGAAGGCTTAGTTGACAAGAGGCCTCAGAGAAGCCTGACTAAAGTTTGGTCAAGGAGAGTTTCTGTCACATTTAATGGGTCTGAGATCTCAAATGCACGTCTTAATGCAACCTGTAACCCAGGTAACCATATTTAAGTGGACACTTCTGATTTTGATAAGGGTTAAATACTTATGAGGTCTCTGTTAGGCCTGCCCCATATCTTTTACACCTGCTTCTTTCCTGTAAAGGCCAAGAGGGAGATTGGGCATCAACACAGCCCTAGGGCTGCCCTGGCTTTATTTCAAGAGTTTACAGCTATTCTGGAAGCTGAGGTAGGAGGAATGCTTGAGCCCAGGAGTTTGAGGCTTCAGTGAGTTATGATTATGCCACTGCACTCCAGCCAGAGTGAGAGATTGAGACCCTGTCTCACAGAAACAAAGAGTTTAAATTGCTGTAAGATTGGTGAACAGACCATCTCCATACGTGGTTGGGTCACATGCTCATTCAGCCCCACTCGGTGCTTCTGAACAAAGCTGCCCTTTCCACTCTTATCTCAGCCTCCTAGTATGAATGGCATCCCCTTCCCCTCTCTGCACACACCCTTTTCTGCACACTCCCCTCTCTGCACACTCCCCTCTCTGCACACACTCCTCTCTCTGTCCCATGCAGGCCCAGCGCCCCCCAATTAAGGGGCTATGCTCCCTGTTCATCCGGGCTTGCATCAGAACCATGTCTAGGACAGTTTTTTTAATGCCAAAAATAATTGAACTCCATTTACGGCACTGACTGGAAAACAGTTGCCCATATTTGGGATTCGAAGTACACAAGCAATTACTAACGCCTAGACTGAATCCCTCTATGTGACCCTCTCCCTGTAGCTTTCCACCCTTCCATGACAAAGAGACAAGAGGAAGCCCTGTGTCCAGAAGGATGTCCTGGTGAAACAGCTGTAAGGAACAGGAACATGTAGTAGCATGTATAAGGCTGTTTTACAGAGTTGGAAGGGACAAGAAAACAGAAAAGTGAAGCGGAAAGTGAGTCCTTGGTATGCTGGCTATTAATCATCAACATAGTAAGAGAGAAACAATTTTCTAATTTCTGTAGGACCTGGACATAAAATAGTGTGGCTTCCACACATGGATAATTCAATCTGTGTGTACTGAAGTAGGAGTGAAAAAAAAGAAAGCTTTGAACCCACTGTAGGAAGAAGGAGGATGTTAACAACTCCACCCTTTCCTCTGCCTTGTGCTTAAATCTTTCTTTGTGTTCTATTGTGTGATCTGGACACTTGGGAGATAATTTTTTCTGGAAAGAGCAACTGGGCAACTAGAATGTTTGCAGAGGGGAGTTGAATAATTAAAAATTTTAAATGGCAGACACATGATTTACTTGGGTTTCCTACACACCCAGTTCTGCCAATAAATAGATGAGATCAGTTTTTTCATCTGTGAAATAAAGGAGTTGGATGTCTTCACTAGATGATCTCTACAGTCTCTTACAGTTTAAAAATTTTATGAAAAAGTAAAATGCAGAGAAAAAACAGTTAAGGTCTCTTACTCTCCTCTCAACCACAGGACAACCAGGTTTACAATTTGGTTTATTATTTCCATATGAAGAGTGGTTGTTACACAAAGAAAGAAAAGAAAGAGAATTTATTTTATAAACTAAATATACAAAGCACTACTGAAAATAGACTGTGGATACAGCCAGAAGTTTAATAACAGTACTTACCTGTAGTTTTAGCTTTTCAGAAATAAAGCGAAGTTCATATTAGTTAAAAGAGATCCTGGCAAAATATTTAATCTTAATAGGGGGAATATAAAAAGTTATTTTAAGTTGTATTTTCTGCCTGTACTATTTTTGAAAACTATTTTTTATGAGCCTTATTTTTTCATCTTTAAAATCGGAATAACAATTTCCTAATTAGGTGCTTATAAACATTAAATGAAGTATTATATGTGAAACTCCCTAATATATCCAATGCCGACTCTTAGCTTGCAAACATTCTCTTCCTTTCTTCTTTGGTATTGCTCATCTTGATGATCTATTCATCAGTATTTCTCTGTTGCCAAGCTGGAAAGCTAGAGTGACCATAAATCAATGCTTTTCAAACTGTGGTGATATAATCAATTTACGCAGACAGTATTTTAAAATAGAAACAATGGAATATAAAAAATTAGAGACCATTGCAAATACAACGGTACAAATTGCAATAATACTAAGCAAAGATATGTATTATTTTGTAAAACTTTGTTGATTAGAGAGTATGTTTGTGTATGGGGAGGCTCAGGAGAGGGAAGGTCTTTTGATATAGAATGCATTTCTTTTTACAGTAAAAATGTCGTCTGAGAAACACTATCCTAAGATATGCTGTGTCTCTCCTATGTGCAATTGTTCTCCAGCTTATCAATTTTATCTTCTGAAGAAACTTCGGATCTTTACCCCTTTCTATTTTCTGCCATTGCCTTAGTGTAAGCCTTAATAATTTTAGTTTCCTTGTCGTCAAAATTTTTCACACTCCAAACTGCTACTCGAGATCTTCCTAATAAAATTTATATCTAAACAGGTGAACCCTACAGACAGACGCTATTTTTAGAGTGAAGGGTCAGTGTTTAATAACCATTACATGTATTGGGGGTGTTTCAAATATACGGTTGTAAAATAAACTAATATCTCAGACACTTCTTGAGTTCCCCTCATGCCTTTCTCAGTTTCAAATTTTGTTCCAGCCTCAGCCTGTGGAACAGTTAGATCCTTGCAGAATTCTGTAACTCTCTGCAGTGACAATTACTCATCTCTAGTATGCATCCTTTGCTGACTGTCTAGCTGACTTAGTGCAGGGCAGTAGAGCAGAATCATCTTTTAAAACTGTAAGTCAGACCACTTCGCTCCTCAGTCTAAGCCCTTCGGTGGCTTCACTTGCTGGCTCCACTCCAAATCCACATCCTCACACTGGCCTACAGGTCCCCATATGATTGATTCCTCATGTCCTTATGTCTTATTTATCAGCTCACCCTTCTCTTTCCCTTGATCACCGTTCCTCTGTTGGAGATAATGCCTCTGTATTTTTATTATTATTGTTCTGGATTGAGACTTGAAAATGAACCCATGTCTGACTCAGGATGAGAATATTTGGGAAGGGAGAAGCTGAGTCTTGCTTACTTCTGTGATTTTTCACAGTCAATGGATGGGGTCAGGCCCACTTAGTGGGTTAGGATTCAGTCAACTGATTGAGTATGTGTTCAGCTGTCTGGGAGTGGGATAGGTGGTGTAAACGTATCCTCATGAGCATCCTCCCAAACCCATCTGATAACAAACTGATTCCTGCAAACCGCATACCTTATCAGATAGGACTCTGTTGTCAATAAAGTTAATGTAGAATAGTGGCTGAAGGCTGAAGAATAGAATAACAGCTAAGGGAAAAGTAAAGATACAGAACTCAACAAGCAGTGAAATGTTTATTTACAACCCTGGGTTGGGGGTACATAATCTCATCAACTCAGATAATTAAATGTTATGAAAAAAGATCATAATAACAATAACTGATCTGAGGTAACAAATATACTCCTGACTATGGTTAGAATGTTTGTGTCCCCTCCAAAAGTCATGTTGAAGCTTAATCCCCAATACAGCAGTATTAAGAGGTGTGGCCTTTAGGAGATGATTAGGTCATAAGGGCTCCACCCTCATGAATGGATTAATGTTTTTTAAAAGGGCTGAAGGGAACTAACTCAATCCCTTTTCTGCCCTTTCATCCCTTCTGCCATGTGAGGACGTAGTGTTCATGGCTCCATCTTGGAAGGAGAGACTGAGCCCTCACTAGACAACAAACCTGCTCATGCCTTGTTATTAAATTTCCCAGCCTTCAGAACTGCGAAAAATAAATTTCCATTATTTATAACATACCTGTTCTTAGGTATTTTCTTATAGCAGATCAAATTAAAACATTCTTTTTGGTCAGGTAAGCATAAATACTTAAATTTAGGGAAAAAAAGTAAATATTTGATGAAGTAGAATAATCTCATAAAATCAATATTTTGGGTTTTTTTTTTTTTTTTGGACAAAGTCTCTTTCTGTCACCAGGCTAGAGTGCTGTGGCATGATCCCGGCTCCCTGCAAACTCCGACTCCCTGGTTCAGGCGATTCTCCTGCCTTAGCCTCCTGAGTAGCTGGAATTACAGCTGGAATCACCATGCCCAGCTAATTTTTGTATTTTTAGTAGAGATGGGGTTTCACCATGTTGGCCAGGATGGTCTCAATCTCCTGACCTTGTGATTTGCCTGCCTTGGCCTTCCAAAGTGCTGGTATTACAGGTGTGAGCCACTGTACCCGGCCCAATATTTTGGTTTTTAAACATTTAAAATAATCATGATAATGAGAATCTATACTGATTAAGATATATGAACTATTTGACAGAGTGTAAAAGATCAGAAACACAGACATATTGGCTCTGTCAAAATTTTAATTTGAAATGTGTAGGAGAATTTTATTTGTATATTTAAGAAAAACTGATTTACATTTATATTTGGTTCATTCAATTTACGAAAGTTGCTTAAACACCTAGCAGTAATTTGCTAGTTAGGCATTTGTATTAGTTTTCTAAGTTGCTGTAATAAAGGACCACAGACGGAAGGCTTAAACAACAGAAATGGATTGTTTCACAGTTCTGGAGTCTAGAAGTCTGCAGTCAAGTTGTTGGCCAGGTTGGTTCCTTCTGAGGGCTCTCATGGAGACTCTGTCCCATGCCCTTCTCCAGGCTTCTGGTGGTTTTCTGGCAATCTTTAGTCTTGTCCCTTGACTTGAAGAAGCATCACCTTGATCTCTGCCTCCTTCTTCACACGTTATTATTTCTGTATGTGTTCCTGTGTCCAAATTTTCCAGTTTTATAAAGACACATCAGTCAAATTGGATTAGAAACCCACCCACTCCTATATAATCTTACTTTAACTAAGTGTGTCTGCAGTGACCCTACGTCCAAATAATTTTGCATTCTGAGGTGCTGGGAATTTCTTCAACATATGAATTTCTGAAAGACACAGTTAAACCCATAATAGTGTTTGTTTGACTTATCAGAAGTTTGAATCGTTTTAAAAAATCAGCTATTTTTTTAAATGATAGAGTAAATTTTGCCATTTTTATTTTAAATAGACTTAAGATTTTAAAAATTTGCATTGACATGAAAAATTTAGATTAAAGATTTTTAATTTTAATTAATGAGGTAAAACACAGGCAGTTTTGTGTTTTTTTGGTTTTTGTTTTTGTGTTTGGACAAAAGATATATTATGCAAACACTAACTTAAAAAACTTCCAGTGGTGGACACATGACTGAGGCCTGACTGTTCAGCAGAATCCACTTCCCTAGCTGCAATGATTCGTTCAGTGAGGCACATGTGACCCAAGTCAGTCCAACCAGAGCTAATCTCAGGACTTCCTTGTGCAACTGAAAATAGGGGTTCCCTGTTCCCCTGGGGTTGCTGTCATTAAGAATAGTGTAAACCTGGAGCTGTCAGGGGTCACTATTCAGAATCTGAAAATGAGGCTAATACAAAGGAAAGTGGACTCAAGAAATGAAGAGACTCATGGCCCAAGTGATGTAAGTTGAGCTCCCAGACACTGCTAACACAGGCAATTTTAAATTTTGCTTTCCACACTTACATCTTCCTAGGTATTAAACACTCAACCAACACTGTTTACCAGTCCAAGGTCAGCTGAACATAATACTGTATGCCACGACCTTGGTCACCAATAATTCTTTATGTGCATTCAACTTGTACCTAAAAAATAAAAAACATACTGAGACTTCTAGTTCATTCCATAAAAATCTGAATCAATGTGGGTTTATTTTTATTTCGTGACTAGAACTAATTGAAATAGAAAACTAAGCTAGCTTGAAGTGGCTTATTTTCACATTGGAGACTGGAATATAGAAATTAGACTTTTGCCATTATTATGACATTAAAGCAATCTGGAGTAAATTGCCTTCAAATATACAGAGTTGATAAAGTCAATTTTGGCACAGTTTGTATTATAGGACTGATATAATCATTCTGATTTCCCTGTGTACCAAATACACAAAGATTAATGTTTTTCAAAAACATTATACAATGTTATACAATTTCAAAAAGTTATACAATTTTTCTTTAATAGTTTTTATATATTAGGTATAAAAATTTATTACACCATTTTATAAGTAGATGTTCTAAAGAGACGAATCTGATTAAAAACCATATGCCTAGGTTGATGTTATCCCATTAGTACTTTTAAATGTATTTTGTGTCTGTTAAATAGAAAATAGAATACTCATATGGTTTTGCTCTGTGTCCCCACCCAAATATCATCTTGTAGCTCCCGTAATTCCCACATGTGAATTGTGGGAGGGACCTGGTGGGAGATAATTGAATCATGGATCTTTCCTGTGCTGTTTTTGTGATAAGTCACATGAGATCTGATGGTTTTAAAAGTGGGAGTTTCCCTGCACAAGCTCTCTGCCTTGTCTGCTGCCATGTAAGACTTGCCTTTCACCTTCTGCCACGATTGTGAGGTCTCCACAACCACAGGGAACTGTAAGTCCATTAAACCTCTTTCTTTTGTAAATTGCCCAGTCTCGGATATGTCTTTATCAACAGTGTAAAAATGGACTAATACAAATACTAAAACTTGGTTCCTAGTCTCTTCACTTATTACCTTCTTTAACCATTAAAAAAAATATAACTTCAGTACTGAATTAGTGCAATATTTTCACACTAAAAAACCCCCACAAACCCTTCATCTTTAATGTTATTTGCAAGAGCAAAAGAAAATTAAGTACCACAACTAAACAAGTCAAATAAATTTTAATATTAAATATACCTTTTCAAACCTTTTGAAGTGTATTATTGGATATACTTTTTCAAATGTTAGTATTAAATATAGCATTTTAAACCTGACTTACTCCTCCCTGGTATATATGTGTGTGTAAAAGGAGGTAACACTGCCATTGTGTCTCTTTCTCTGTCTCCTCAGGCTGAAAATCAATGAATTTGTTTAAATTGTTGACTAGATTATTATGGCAGCAGAGGTTTATTTTTATTTTTAAAAAATTTATGTGATTGGAATGTGAAGACGTCTATCTCCTTATTTGGAAAGATAAGAATAGGGTCCAGGGGGAACATGTGTTAGTTTGAGTTGTTGATCTGAGGAACTATAAAGGTTTGTGTTCGTCAGAATCAATGTTGCGGTAGTTATGGAAACAGGGAGATCACTGTGAGCTAAGGCCTTAGGGAACTCTGTAAACCAGAAGGAAGAACACAGAAGCTGAGGGCTAACGTGTTCTGAATTTGATGCATGTAATTCTAAGAATTTTTTTAGAGTGCACTACAATAATCGTTACTACATGTAAACATATAGCACAACTTCCATGGGAAGAGAGTTTTGCCAGATTTTAAAATCTATTGTTTTTTGAACTACATTTTTTTTTACCTTCTATTGCATTCAACATTTTGCTCAGTAAAATTTGCTGTACAAGTGTCCCTGAAATGCAGTTCTTATTTGCTCAGCAAACTAGATTCTTGCAATCTATCCTGGAGAAGTCATTCGAGAAAGTTGGCCAGTTCCATACTTTTCAAGGTTTATTTTAAATCTCTATTGCGTGGCAAAGCAAGACAGAACCCCCTACACCCCCCGAAAACCCTACATCATTAAGAATAAAATTCAGTCTTTCTAGGTCCTTCCTGATCTCAATTAATTTCTTAAGAATTGATTTAGTTCCCATTTTAGGGCTCTTCTCCCTAGAATTTTGTAGCCCAAGGCCCCATTGTAAGATGTTTGAAACTTATAAATAAAAATATTGTTCAATTCAGGGTTAGGATGAATGATTCTGGGTCAGCTAGGTAACTATCTTTAAGTATGTCTTCAGTGAAATCTAAAGATGGTAATGAAAATATTGATCTATTATCTTTATAATAATTTGAAATTTTTAGGACTGAAGGTTTAAAAAATTCTAAAAATTTAAACATAAAAAATAAAAGCATGAGTAGACCATAAATGAAAATTTCATTATCATAAAACTTGCTACTGTCTGAGGCAGAATTCTTTTGAGTCTCTTTATCACAGCAATTTTGTTGGGTATAATTATCTCGATTTAACATAGGAGAGGCCTGAAACCCAGAAAAGTGATAGAATCTGACAAAAACATATAGTTGCTTGAAGGGGAGACTCAGAGTTTGAATTTATTTCTCATTTCAAAGTCCCATTGTTTCCAATACAACATGCTGTTCCCCAGAGACAATATTTAAAATGAGAAAATATCATTCCTTATCCCCTTGATATACTGAGTGACCATTTGTTTAAAAAGAGAACGTATCCAAAGCAAACATAATGAAGATTTCTTTCCTTTTCTGTTTTTTCAGCTGATGTAAAGTTTTGATGTTAAAACTAAAAATGAAGTTTTCATTAAATAGAAAACTTCTCAGCAGAGAATTAAGTGTTTTTCAAGGAAATCTAATTTATTTATTTTTCAGCAATAGGGTACACTAACTAAAAATGTGGTCTTCATTTTTTCCTGTTTCTTTTTTTTTTTTGTGCCAAACATTGATGAGGTGAAGTTAAAAGAAGAAAATAAAAGAAACCAAACCAAATCAAACCAAACCATAAACAATTGTTTTTTATACACTGCAAGCAATGGAGGGCGTACAAACTTAAATTTACCTTTCAGGTAAATCTTAACTTTGGATAACTTTCCTGAGCCCATTCAGTTAAAGAAATGTACAGGAATTACACAACCATTGCTTGTGGAAAATCTTGAAGTAACTCAGATACATATATATTTTACTTTAAAAGCTAAGAGTTCTGATGACTCTTGCTGAGTGCATATTTCAGGCAGTTTCTTTAGGAAAATATATATTTTTGTATGTTTTTAATTATTTTTTATGTGTGCGGAGATGAGGGTGTTATTTTTCAGTCTGAGGGATAGGTTAGAATTAGTCTGAGTTAGAATAGCTGAAGTTCTTTATAGAATTTTTGTAACAATTATTATCCAATATGCAAAAACAGGTTTATTGCCCCACTACTCTGCTTATATAAATTTCTTAGACAAAATATTTACATTGCATAGCTAAACCCATTTTGTGGCTAATATATCGAAGATGGACAGCCACTCTACTGGTCAACACATTAGGTTAGACATAAACAGAAAAGTGAGTATGAGGTCAACTCTAGACCATGGAATTTCTCAGAACAGCTGGTGATAAGCTGTACCTCCATTTGTAGCTGAGATTTTATGCCACAGTCTTCCCAAGCAGTATTCATATTCTAGGTGGGTCTTTTAGTACCTAGTAAGTAACTGTTAGAGGTATCCTTGCTCTAGGGGTAGGACAAATGGCTTGTGTCAGGGATAAATCCTTAGATTTGGACTCAGATACTGCTGGCTAGCTGCATATCTTTTAATAAAGCACTGCATTTCTAAATATGTCCAGACTTAAGTGTACTCTTGTCACTTCAAATACTTATTAACTGAGGCAACCTGTGGCCCACAAGTGAATAGGAGCTGAGACAGAAATCTCTGTGAAGGTCAAACCCTCATGACATCATGCTTTAAGAGAAACTATAAAAATGAATTTGGACTGGATTTGGCATTTCTTAATGTGTACAGGACTACTGATAACCTTGTTCATAGTATTATTTAAAACAAAATTATCTAGAATAAACCGATAGATGATTATGTTCAGATGTAAATTTTCTCTGAGTAAGACGGCAAAGGCACACCCAACTTCTTGGTTTTTCCAAAGGCAGAATTGTGACATTTTTAAACATCCTGTGAAGTGGCTCACTTTGAATTGGGAAAATAATGAGAAGGGAGAATTTAAACTACAGGTTTTTTTTTCCTCTAAGAGTGTACCTGGAACTTGTATTATGGGCACATTTATGCTATGTTTAATCTCCTGATCATGGGCTTGAACTTGGTATATGAAAGTAGAGACTGTATTTGTTTTATTCACTATTTATTCATTATACTGACCTCCATATTATCTGACACGTATGTGCTTCCTCCCCCAAGAAAACCTTTTATTGAGGTATAATTTACATATCAATAAAATATACAGATTTTTAAGAGTATAGTTTAATGGGTTTTGTCAAATTTATACATCTGTGTAACCACCACCCCAGTCAAGATACAGAACACTTCCATCACTCAAGAAACTATCTCCGTGCCTCTTTCCAGTCAACATCTTCCCTTGCCCACCAGGCAACTACAGTTCTAATTTCTTTTACTTTGGCTTAGTTTGGCTATAATAATAATGATATATTGTATACTCCTGTGGTAATCTTCTTTTATTCAGCATAATGTTTTTGAGATTCATCTACCTTATTGTTACATCCTTAGGTGCTCTTTTTTATCGTTGAGTAGCACTAGAGTATATGAATCCACAATGTTTTTATCCATTTACTTGCAGGAGCCTTTAGGATGTTTCCAATTTGAGGTTATAAATAATATCGTTTCTATAAACATTCTTGTACAAGTATTATTGCAAAAGTATGTTTTTATTCCTCTTCGATAAATATGTAGGAGCAAAATTGCTACATAATTTGGGTAGGTATATGTTTAACTTTATAACAAATTTCTAAATATTTTCTGAAAATGATTGATTATTTTATAATATCACTCAACCAAATATGAGGGCTCCAGTTGCCCCACATTTTCACCAAAAATTGTATTTTAAGTTTTTAAAATTTGAGGGCTTGGTGAGGTGTCATGTCGGTAATCCCAGCATTTGGAGAGGCCGAGGAAGGAGGATTGCTTGAGCCCAAGAGTTTGATACCAGTCTGGGAAGCATAACAAGACCATATCTCCATTTTTTAAAATTAGTTAGGCATGGCAGCATGTGCACATAACCTAGCTACTTGGGAGACTGAGGCAGGAGGATAGTTGAGCCTAGGAGTTCAAGGCTGCTGTGAGCTATGATTGTGTCACTGCACTCCAGCCTGAGCAACAGATTAAGATCCTGTCTCAAAAAAAAAAAAAAAAAAATTAGTCATCTTTGAAGATGTGAACTATCTCATTGTCGTTTTGATTTACATTTCCCTAATGAATAATGATATTTTTCCCTATGTGACAAAATATCGAGCAATGAAAAATGATATTGGGCAGATTTCATATGTCTATTGATCATTCATATATCTTTCTTTGTGAAATGTCTGTTAAGGGTTTACCCACTTACAAAATTAGGTTGTTTGACTTTTTAATTATTGAATTATAGAAGCTTCTAAAATATATTTTAGGCAAGTTCCTTTGTCATATATCTATATTGCATGTTTTCTCCCAGTTTGTGATAGGTCTTTTTATTTTCTTAATGGTATTTTCTATTGAATAGAAATATCTAATTTTGATAAAGTGTAATTTATAATTTTTCTTCAACAGTTATGATTTTTCATAAGGCTTTGCCTGCCCATATTTGCAAATATATTCTATATTTAAAATTTTTTATAGCTTTAGCCACTTAGTTTAGGTGTATGACCCATGTCAAATTAATTTTTGTGTATGGTGTGAGTAGGGGTCAAATCTATCATAAGTAGACAGAAAGGTAGAAAAGGAATGCCTTTACAGAAAAGACATAAATGCAACCCATAAGCTCTAAGAACAATCATATGTGGTAACAATTTAAGTTCTTTAGGTTGTTTTGAATTCCTTTATAGTAGAGTGTTCAATAAAATCTTATTCATGTTACAAAACAAGAGACAGTGGCTCTTGTAATGTCTTAAGAAAGAACTGAAATAAATCAGCCTGAGTGACTCCAGTTCTTAAGTACAAAGGGGAAAAAAATTTCAAGGATTCTTAAAAACGTTTGGGGAGAGGCTTTGAGATGGCTTGCCTCCTCCACAAAGAATATCCAAAACAGTGAGTTTATGATAACACTTTGAATAGAGCATTGAAGAGAGAACACTAAAATTCAGCAGAGAAGTGAAGGGAAACAGCTAAGACACAGAAGAAGAGGGAAGTGAGGCAGCTGGCCCAGCTGGGATTGGCAATGTATTAGTCCATTTACACACTGCTATGAAGAACTTCCTGAGACTGGATAATTTATAAAGGAAAAAGGTTTAATTGACTCACAGTTCTGCATGGCTGAGGAGGAACTTGAAATCATGGTGGAAGTGGCCGCAGGCACCGTCTGCACAAGGTGTCAGGAGAAAGACAGCTTGTGAAGGAGGAACTGTCAAACACTTAACAAAACCATCAGATCTCATGAGAATTCACTGACTGTCATGAGAACAGCGAGAGGAAACTGCTCCCATCATTCAATCACTTTCCTCCCTTGACATGTGGGGATTATAATTCGAGATGAGATTTGGGTGGGGACACGGAGCCAAACTGTATCAGGCGAGGATATGATAGAGGTTCTCCAATGCAGGGAAAGTCAGTGAGAGATCCCCCAGTGGTCCTAGTGCTTGAGCATGCTGCCTGGGTGACTGGAGATTACACTGTCCCATCTGTTGCTCTAGGCACACATGTGGACCATCAGAATGCCTGACAAAAGACCCAGTCCTACTTCTGCCAGTTTCCAAGAGTGCCATCCAGGAACCTGGAGATTGCCTTGTCCCATCTGTCACCTCAGGAGCATACATACACCATTAGGATGTCTGACAAAAGACTCACCCCTCCCTCTGTACTCCTCACTATCTGCTGCTGGTGCCCAGCATGCTGTCTGGGGGCCTGGAGATCACCTCACACCACCCACCATAGCCTTTGCCTGTGTGTACCACTGGGGGGCCTGAAGACAGGCCCACTCTGCCTGGTACCATTTTCCCAATGACTGTGCACGGTGCCCTGGGGGCCAGGAAATCACTCTGCCCCATTGATATCTCTGGGTGTGCACATACACCATAAGAATATCTAACAGTAGGCCCAGAATGCTTGCCACTGGCACCCAAGCATGCTCACTGGAGGCCTGGAGATCACCTACCACCACATTCCTATGCCCATATACATTATCAAGGGGCCTAAAGAGAGAAGTGCACCACCTGGCCCTTCATCCAGTGTCCAAGTGTATCATCTTAGGGTCTTGAAATCACCATACTCCACCCGTTACCATCAGCATCTGTTCACCCCTCCCAGGAATCTGGGGACTGGCTTGCCCAGCCTGTTGCTGCCACTACTAGTACCAGCACATGCCACTTGGGAACGTGAGGGTTGGGCTGCCACTGCTACTGCCATTGCCAATGCCGTACATGCTGCCCAGGGGCCTGAGGATCCACCAAACTTCCTACCCTACTGTTGCTACTGCTGACACGTGAACAAGCCATGTGAAAGCCCAAGAGTTGGCCCACCTAGACCCACTAACACTGTTATCTGTATATGCTGTCCAGGGGCCTAAGGACAGGAATGCCAGGCCTACTACTGTCACCACCGGAGCCTCAGAACTAACCCACCTGGCATTACTGTACCCTTCAAGGCCTCATCACAGCCTCCTGTGACCTCTCAGATTAAGCCACTGAAGAAATCACAGACTCCACTGATGCTGGTTACAGCAGTAGAAATCATACAGAGAGTACACTACTGCATGCACCTAGGATCAAGGCTAATGTGTCCTACCCAACCAACACTAGAGATACAGCTACAGAAAAAAGTATTTCCCTATGAAAACCTATTTAAAAAATATAAAGAGGTAACCATTACAATAGATGCACAGATGTTAATGTACAAATGCAAGAAACATGAGAAAGCAAGAAAACATGACACTTAAAGAGGGACAAAGTAATTATCTAGCAACAGAGTTCAGTGAAAAACAAATTTTTGAGATGCCTAAAAGAGAATTCACGGCTGGGCATGGTGACTCACGCCTGTAATCCCAGCACTTTGAGAGGCCAAAGCAGGCAGATCATGAGATCAGGAGTTTGAGACCAGCCTGGCCAACATGGTGAAATCCCATTTCTACTAAAAATACAAAAATTAGCCGGGCGTGGTGACACAGACCTGTATATCCCAGGTACTTGGGAGACTGAGTCAGGAGAGTTGCTTGAACCTGGGAAGTGAAGGTTGCAGTGAGCAAAGATCATGCCACTTATCTCCAGCCTGGGTGACGGAGCAAGACTTCGTCTCAAAAAAAAAAAAAAAAAAAAAAAAAATTCAAAATAATAGTATTAAAGAAGCTCAGTGAGATATAAGATAACACAAATAAACTATACAAAAACTCAGAAAATAATTTAGGATATGAAAGAGAAATTCATTGAAGAAATAGATCTCATAAAAAAGAACCAAACATTGGGAAGCCGAGGCAGGCAGATAACAAGGTCAAGAGATCGAGACCATCCTGGCCAATATGGTGAAACCCCATCTCTACTAAAAATATAAAAATTAGCTGGGTGTGGTGGTGCATGCCTGTAGTTCCAGCTCCTCAGGAGCCTGAGGCAGGAGAATCACTTGAACCTGGGAGGTGGAGGTTGCAGTGATCCGCGATCACGCCAGTGCACTTCAGCCTGGGCAACAGAATGAGACTCTGTCTCAAAAAAAAAAGAAAAGAAAAGAACCAAACAGAAATTATAGAACTGAAGAATTCAATAAATGAAAAAAAAGTGCAATTAAGAGCTTCAATAATAGACTGGATCAAGAAGAAAAAACAATTTCAAAACTTGAACACAAGTCTTTTGAAGTAACTCAGTCAGACAAAAATAAGAAAGAAAAGAATAAAAAAGAATAAAGTCAGGCTATGTGACATATGGGACACGAGAAAGTGAGCAAATATTCAAATTTTTGGTGTTCCATAAAATGTAGAGAAGGAAAATGTCATAGAAAACCTATTTAATGGAATAATAGCTGAAAACTTCCCCAGTCTCACAAGAGACAGCTATTCAAACACAGGAAGTTCAAAGATTCCTAAACAGATATGACCCAAAAGATCTTATTCAAAGCACGCTGTAGTCAAATTCAAAAGTCAATGACAAAGAGAATGCTAAAAACAGCAAGAGAAAAGTGTCAAGTCAAACATAAGAGAAACTCCATCACTCTAACAGCAAATTTTTCAGCAGAAACATTACAGGACAGGAGAAAATGGGATGATATATTCAAAGTGCTGAAAGAAAAAAACCCAGCCAGTCAATAATACTATACTAGCTAACCCTCAAAAATGAAATAATATTTTTAAAACAAAACAAAACAAAAAAAACGGAGGGAATTCATCACCACTAGTCCAGCCCTACAAGAAATGCTTAAAAACATCCTGCATTTGACAGTAACAGGATGATATCTACCATCATGAAAACACACATAAGTATTACCCTGGTAGAGCAGTCACACAAATGAGAAAGAGAAATGACTCCAATTTTACCACTACAAAAAAAAAAAAAAAACACTCCAATGATAAATAATAAAAGAGAAAGGAACAAAAGATAAACAAAAACAATAAAAATGTCAGTTAACAAAATGTCAGGAATAAGTCCTTAGTCCTTACCTATCGATAATGACTTTTAATGAAATCAGATTTAAATCTCCACCTAAGAGATATAAACTAGCTGAATGAATGAAAAAAGGCCCAAGTATTTGCTGTCTACAAGAAACTCACCTAACCCATAAAGACATATAGACTGAAATTGAAAAGATGGACAAAGATATTTCATATAAACAGAGATAAAAAAACAAGCAGAAATAACTATACTTATATATTAGGTAAAACAGACTTTGAGTCAAAAGCAGTAAAAAGAGACAAAAGATCATTATACCATTATAAATGGATCAATTCATCAAGAAGATATAATGGTATATATAAATATATATACACAAGATATAATGGTATATATACATATACCATTATATATATATGTGTGTGTGTGTGTGTATGTGTGTGTGTGTGTGTATATATATATATATACACACATTCAACACCAGACCACCAAGCTATATAAAGCAATTATTATTAGATCTAAAGGAAGAGAGATACTCCAATACAGTAATAGTTGGGGACCTCAACACCCCACTGTCAGCATTAGAAAGATCATCTAGATAGAAAATCAATAAGAAAATCTTGGATTTAAACTGTGCTTTAGATCAAATATATCTAACATACATTCATAGAACATTTTATCCAATAGCTGCAGAATACACATTCTCATTAACACATGGAACATTCTCCAAGATACATCATGTGTTAGGACTCAAAACAAGTCTCAACAAAGTTAATATATATATGCATGTATATATATTATATATAGTGTGTGTGTGTGTGTGTGTATATATATATATATATGTATAGTGTCTTCTCAGACCACAACGGAGTAAAACTTTGGAAACTGTACAAATATTAGTATGTAGAAATTGAACAACATGCTCTTGAACAACCATTGGGTCAGTGAATAAATTAATTTAAAAATTTAACAATTTTTGGAAACAAATAAAAATTGAAACACTATGATATGGTTTGACTGTGTGCCTACCAAAATATCATCTCAAATTGTAATCCAAATTGTTATCTGCATGTGTTGAGGTAGGGACCTTCTAGGAGGTGATTGGATCATGGGGGCATTTCCCCCCATGCGGTTTTTGTGATAGTGAGTTCTCATGAAATCTGGTTGCTTGGTAAGTGTTTGGCACTTCCCCCTTCTCTCTCTCTGCTTTGGCATGGTAAGACATGCCTTGCTTCCCCTTCACCTTGTGCCATGATTGTAAGTTTCCTGAGGCCTCCTCAATCATGCAGAGCTGTGAGTCCATTAAACCTCTTGTTTTCATAAATTACTGAGTGTCAGGTAGTATCTTTATAGTAATGTGATAACAGACTAATACAGAGAACTGGTACCAGCAGAGTGAGGTGCTGCTATAAAGATAACCTGAAAATGTGGAATTGACTTTGGAACTGGGTAATAGGAAGAGGTTGGAATAGTTTGGAGGGCTCAGAAGAAGAGAGGATGATGTGGGAAAGTTTGGAACTTCTTAGGGATTTGTTGAATGGCTTTGACCAAAATGCTGATAGTGATATGGACAATGAAGTCCAGGCTGAGGTGGTCTCAGATGGAGATGAGGTACTTGTTGGGAACTGGCATAAATTTGACTCTTGCTATGTTTTAGCATAGAGAATGGTGGCATTTTGCCCCTGCTCTAGAGATCTCTGGAACTTTGAACTCGAGAGGGATGATTTAGGGTATCTGGTGGAAGAAATTTATAAGTGGCAAAGCATTCAAGAGGAAAAAAAGCATAAAAGTTAAAAAAATTTGCAGCCGGACGATGTGATAGCAAAGAAAAACCCATTTTCTGGGGAGAAATTTAAGCCAGCTGCAGAAATTTGCATAAGTAAAGAAGAGCTGAATGTTAATCACTGTATTAGTCCATTTTCATGCTGCTGATACCTGCGACTGGGCAATTAACAAAAGAGAGAGGTTTAATGAACTCACAGTTCCACATGGCTGGGGAGGCCTCACAATCATGGTGGAGGATGAAAGGCACATCTCACATGGTGGGAGACAAGAGAAGAGAGCTTGTGCAGAGAAATTCCCCTTTATAAAATCATCAGATCTCATGAGATTTATTCACTATCATGAGAACAGCACAGGAAAGACCTGCGCCAAGGATTCAGTTACCTCCCACTGAATCCCTCCCACAACACATGGGAATTGTGGGAGTTACAATTCAAGATGAGATTTGGGTGGGAACTCTGTCAAATCATATGAATCACCAAGACATGGGGAAAAATGTCTCTGGGGCATGTCAGAGACCTTCACAGTAGCCCCTCCCATCCCAGGCCTGGAAGCCTAGGAGGGAAAAATGATTTCTTGAGCTAGGCCCAGGGACTCCCTGCTCTGTGAAGCCTTGGGATATGGTGCCCTGGGTCCCAGCTGCTTTAGCTCTAGTCATGGATAAAAGGGGCCAAGGTACAGCTCAGGCCATTGCTTCAGAGGGTGAAAGCTCCAGGTCTTGGCAGCTTCCAGTGGTGTTGGTCCTGTGGATATACAGTAGAGAAGAATTGAGATTTGGGAAACTCTACCTAGATTTCAGAGGATATATGGAAATGCCTGGATGTCCAGACAAAAGTTTTCTATCGGGGCAGAGTCCTCATGGAGAACCTCTGCTGGGGCAGTACAGAAGGAAAATGTGGGGTTGGAGCCCCCACACAGAGTTCCCACTGGGGAACTTCTTAGTAGAGCTATGAGAAGAGGGCCACCATCCTCCAGATTCCAGAATGGTACATCCACCTACAGCTTCTACCATGCACCTGGAAAAGCCACAGACGCTCAATGCCAGCCATGAAAGCAGCCAGGAGGGGGGATGTACCCTGCAAAGCCACAGGGGCAGAGCTGCCTAAGGCCATGGTTGCTCACCTCTTGCATCAGTGTGCCCTGGATGTGAGACATGGAGTCAAATAATACCATTTCGGAACTTTAAGATTTGACCGCACCACTGGATTTTGGACTTGCGTGGAGCCTGTAGCCCCTTTGTTTTGGCCAACTTCTCCCATTTGAAATGGGTGTATTTACCCAATGCCCGCACCCTCATTGTACCTAGGAAGTAACCAACTTGCTTCTTATTTTGCAGGCTCATAGGCAGAAAGGACTTGCCTTGACTCAGATGAGACTTTGTCCTTGGACTTTGGGTCAGTGCTGGAATGAGTTAAGACTTTGGGGGACCGTTGCTAAGGCATGATTGTGTTTTGAAATGTGAGGTCATGAGATTTGGGAGGGGACAGGGATGATATACTTTGGCTGTGTCCCCACCCAAATCTCATCTTGAATTGTAGTTTCCATAATCCCCACATGTCATGGGAGGAACCCAGTGGGAAGTAATTGAATTATGGGAGTGATTAGCCCCATGCTGCTCTTCTGATGATAATAAGGTGTTCTCATGAGATCTGATGGTTTTATAAGGGGCTTCCTCCTTTGCTTAGCACTTATTTTCTCTCCTGCCACCCTGCGAAGGGGTGCCTTCCACCATGATTGTAAGTTTTCTGAGGCCTTCCCAGCCATGCAGAACTATGAGTAAATTAAACTTCTTTTCTTTATAAATTTCCCATTCATGGGTATTTCTTCATAGGAGTGTGAGAACAGACTAATACAACGATAAAAGCTGTCAACAAACTAGACATAGAAGGAACACACCACAATGTAATAAAGGGCATATATGACAAACACACATCTTGGATCATACTGAATGTAGAAAACCTGAAAGCATTTGCTCTAAGAACTGGAACAGGATAAGAATGGCCACTTTTACCACTCCTCTTAAGCAGAGTACTGGCATCCCTAGCCAGAGCAATCAGGCAAAATAAGAAAAAAAGTTACCCAAATTAGAAAATAGGAAATCTAATTATTGCTCTTTGCAGATCACATGATCTTATATTTAGAAAAATCTAAAGACTCCACCAAAAGACTCTTAGATATCATAAAGAAATTCAGTAATTTTGAAGGATACAAAATCAACTTAAAAATCAGAAGCATTTCTTTTCTTTTCTTTTTTTTTGAGACAGAGTCTAGCTCTATCTCCCAGGCTGGAGTACAGTGGTGTGATCTCGGCTCACTGCAACCTCCATCCCCCAGGTTCAAGCAATTCTTCTGTCTCAGCCTCCCAAGTAGCTGGGATTACAGGTGTGTGTCACCACACCCGGCTAATTTTCGTATTTTTAGGAGAGACAGGTTTTCACCATGTTGGCCAGGCTGGTCTCAAACTCCTGACCTCAGGTGATTCATCCACCTTGGCCTCCCAAAGTGCTGGGATTACAGGCATGAGTCACCATGCCCAGCCCAATCAGAAGCATTTCCATACATTCATAGTGAAGTAGCTGAAAAAGAAATAAAGAAGGCCATCCTGTTTACAATAGCTACAAAATTTAAAGTATCTAGGAATAAACGTAACCAAAGAAGTAAAATACCTCTACGAAAAATACTATAAAACACTGACGAAAGATACTTAAAAGGACACAAATAAGTGGAAAGACATTCCATAATTTTGGATTGAAAGAATTAATATTATTAGAATTACATACTACTCAAAGCAATCCACAGATTCTATGCAATCCCTATCAAAATGCCAGCGAATTTTTTAACAGAAATAGAAAGAAAACAATCCTAAAATTGACCAAAAAAGAACCCAAATAGCCAAAGCCATCCTGAGCAAAAAGAACAAATCTAGAGGCATCACACTACCTGACTTCAAAATATATTACAAGGCTATAGTAACCAAAACAGCCTGATATTGGTGTATAAGCAGACACATAGATCAATGAAACAGCATAAAGAACCCAGCAATAAATCCAAGCACTTATAGACAACTGATGTTTCTCAAGGTGTCAAGAACATACATTGGTGAAAAGACACACTCTTCAATAAGTGACACTGGGAAAATTGGATATCTACATGGAGAAAACTGATACTAGACCCTTGTTTCTCACCAATACAAACAAACAAACAAAACAAAACAAAACTCAACATGGATTAAAGATTTAAATGTGAAACCCAAATGTAAAAAACTCCTAGAAGAAAACATAGGGGAAACATTCTAGTACATTGGCTTAGCCAAAAAATTTTTGGTTATGACTTCAGAAGCATAGACTACAAAAATAAGAACAGACAAATCTGACTATATTAAACTAAAAACCTTTATATAACATAAACAGCAGAGTGAAGAGACAATCTGTCAAATGGGAAAAATATCTGCAAACTATTTATCCAATAATGGACTGATATCCAGAATATACAAAATGGCCACCAGGTATATGAAAAAATGCCCAGCATCAGTAATCATAGGGGAAATGCAAATCAAAATCACAATGTGATATCATCTTATACCAGCAAGAATGGCTATTATAAAAAAGACAAAAAATAACAAATGCTGGCAAGGATGAGAAGAAAAGGAAACTCTTATACATTATTGGTGGGAATATAAATTAGCATAATCATTATGAAAATCAGTATGGAAATTTCTCAAGAAACTACAAATAGAACTACCATAAAATAGGGTGGTTCTATTTGGGATCCAACAATCCCACTATTGGATATTTCGCCAAAGAAAAGGAAATCATTACATCAGAAGGATACTTGCATCCTCATTTTTATTGTGGAAGTATTCATAATATCAAAGATAGTCAATAAACCCAAGTATCCATCAATGGATGAATAGATAAGGAAAATATGGTATATATACACTATGGAATACTATTAGGCCATAAAAGAGAATGAAATCATGTCATTTGCAGCAACATGGATTGAAATGGAAGTCATTATATTAAAGGAAATAAGCCAGGCACAGAAAGACAAATATTGCTTGTTCTCACTCATATGAGGCAACTAAACGAGTTGATCTCACAAAAGTCGAGAATCTAATGATATTTACCAGAGACCTGAAATGATGTGTATGTGTGTGGGGAGTTGGGGATGAAGAGAGTTAGGTTAATGGATACAACATACAGTTAGAAGAAATATGTTCTAATGTTTGACAGCACAATAGAGTGACTGTAGTTAACAATAATATGTTGTGTATTTCAAAATAGGTAGATGAGATTTGAAATATTCCTAACACAAAAAGTCATAAATGCTCAATGTAATGGATATCCAAAATACTCTGAGTTGATTATCACACATTCTATGCATGTATCAAAATGTCGCTTGTCCCCTATAAACATGTACAAATAATACATATTAATTAAAAAAATTGAGGCCAGGCACAGTGGCTCATGATATAATCCCAGCACTTTGTGTGGTCAAGGCTGGTGGACTGCTCGAGCTCAGGAGTTTGAGATCAGCCTAGGAAACATGGCGAAATTCTGTCTCTACAAAAAATACAAAAGTTAGCCGGTCCTGGTGGTGTGTGCCTATAGTCCCAGGTACTCAGGAGGCTGTGGTGAGAGGAATACTTGATCCTGGAAGATTGAGGTTGCAGTGAGCTGTGATCTCCAGCCGGGGTGACAGAGCGAGATCTTGTCTCAAAGAATACATAAATAAATAAAATAAATTTAGAGACATTGTAAAGATAAATTAAATCTTGCATTTAGATTATGGGCACTCCAAGTTACCGTAGCTTGAGTACTAATGCAATGTGACTTTTTATTTTTTGAGACGGAGTCTCGCTCTGTCGCCCAGGCTGGAGTGCAGTGGCGCGATCTCGGCTCACTGCAAGCTCTGCCTCCGGGTTTCACACCATTCTCCTGCCTCAGCCCCCTGAGTAGCTGAGACTACAGGCGCCCGCCACCACGCCCGGCTAATTTTTTGTATTTTCAGTAGAGATGGGGTTTCACCATGTTAGCCAGGATGGTCTCGATCTCCTGACCTCGTGGTCCTCCCGCCTCCCAAAGCCCTGGGATTACAAGTGTGAGCCACCGCGCCTGGCCGCAATGTAACATTTTTTTAACTCTTTTGCCAGTGATCTTGAGCTCTGTTTTACGTTACATTAGCATATGTTACTCTGTACATTAATATATTAAGAAATGCATAGAAATTTAAATGCATATTCACATATCTGACTAATAAAAGTTTCTCTTCATTCAACACTGACATTTTGGGGGGAATCCAATGATGATAATGGCTAGTGTCTTAAAAGTAAATTGATTATGATTTGTGAGCGATATGTATGATTCAAACTGGAAAATATCCACAGCAAGAAGTGCCTAGTTTCTTCAACAGATAACTTTCAAGGACCAGAGAGAGAGAGATTATTGATTAAATGATGAGATGTAACAGCCAATTAAAGTGCATGAGCTTTATTAGGATCTCATTTCAAACAAATTATAATTATATGACAATTGGGAAAATATAAACATTATTCAGAAATTTGATAATAGTTGAAGTTTCTGTTAATTTTGAGGGCATGATAATGATAACATGATTGAGTTGGTGGTTGATAATAGGTAATATGTACATGATAATTCATTTATTCTTGATTGTTTTTGAAATTTTCCATTAAAAAAGTAAATTGATACTAGAGAGAGATTTTCATTTAACAAAAATAAGTTACAACTTTGATAAAACGTGAAGACCTGGGTTTAGATTCCATCTTGAAATTCCTACTGAAGCTTACTATTAATAATGTGAAAACTTATTTTTATGGTGAATAAAATTATTATTATTAATTACCAATCAGAACTGTGGCTAAACCCGTATTTTTACATGAAATCTCACAATTTTTCTGAAAGGGCCCATCTAAATGTGAGCAAATGCAATGCAGAAACCTCATACCTATTAAGATTTTTAAGTAACTGAATTATTTTCTCACATTATTTTCTTGGATAACTCACCTTCTTTGACATTTTATGTCAGTTTCTCTGAAGTAGGAGGAAAATAATTATATATTTTGCTTGTAAGACAGATATCAGGAAATGTTGATAACAAAGATGTTTCTCAGTTTAAACATTTGGAATCTGAGGCTGAGGTATTTGTAAGCAAAGGTAGACTTATGTCAGTTTTTTGTTCATTGGATCTCCAAAGTTCCCTGTAACCCTTGACTCAGACTATAAGCCTATACCAGTTTGACCACATTGGCTAAGATAACTAGTTTAGTGTGTAATTACAGTAAGGAAGATGATATAATCAATTAATACTAAAAATTATTGGCTAATATTGATTGAGTGCTCATAATTTATCTAGTGCTGTGTTAAACATTTTTTGTTTTGTTTTGTGTTTGTTTGTTTTTTTACAAAACTCCATTTACCTCACAACAAACCAGTGAGATATGTGCAATTCTTACCTACCTATAGATGAAACTGAGGCTCGAAAAAATCTTAAACAGTTTTCCTACTCCTGGCAGGTGATGGATTTTAAATTGAATGTAGACATTATTTACTTAATAAATTTTTTTAAAGAGTTTGCCATTGTCTAGGGTACTAGTTTTTTTATCTTTTTAGAAATTGAAATTGGCTCAACCATATATTATACTCAATTATATATCCCATAGTGAACATTTAAAAAAATTCTCAAAATATTAGAGAATAATAAGCCCTTCTAATACTCTGGAGAATTTTAATAACTGTCTGATTCAAGCAGAAAGGCAGAAAAAGCACATGGTGATTCAGCTTTTTTGAGTACAAGAATATGATAGATCACTCTTAGTAACTGTAGCCTTGAAGATGAAATAAATGTGAACATAAGGCATAAAAAGAGAGCAATTTCAGAGAACAGGCAAATCTGAAAAGAAAAGTAAGGTGTTTATACAATGACTACATTGATTGATTTTTATTTTGTATTAATGAGTTGAAATTTAATTATCATCCTCATTCTGTTGTTCAGTAGCTCACCTCCAGACAAACTAGCTCCACAGTCTTTCTTTTGTTCCTAATCTATGTCATTGGATACCACATGCCTTAGATCATATTAAACATTGTCCTCTAATTTGTTGACTTACTCATGAGCTGCTCTTTTCCTCCCTTCCTTGCTCTTATTATTTCTTTGTAGCAACTACTCTCAAATGTTCTGAAAGCATTGATTTCTTATGGAGCTTTATGTCTAGACAGAAAGAAAAGGTCTGGCAAATCATTCAAATGTTTATGTAAACCAATGAACCAAACAGCTAATCAACACATTGTGGCATCCATGACTTCTATTAATAAACAAGAATGATTTCACCTCTACTTGTCCTCCTTGTACATTTTAATCATCCCAGCAGAATATTCTGGATCTGATGTTTGCTGTGAACAGGGCAGTTGTAAAATAATTTTTTTATTTCTTAGTATATGTTAATGCATATTCTATTATTTTTATTTAAATTTAACAGAGTTTAATTGAGCTTTGATTGGTCAAGACTTGGTGATTTGTGCAAGAGTGAGTTACAGTCTGTTTACACATCCAGTTAGGTTATGTTTCACTATATACAAAGAAACCTTTAGGCCAAACTTAAAATATGTACAGAGGCGGCTTTAGGCTAAGCTTAATTTAACAATTCCTCTTTTTGTCATTCTCTCAATTTTGAAAGATTGACCAAAATTTTAGGCACTGATGTCACTCTGTCGCTGTTGTAAATGTACCTATGTGGTCTTGAATCCCACTGGGAAACAGCAGAATAATGGGTTTTGTAAGGTGGTAACAAGGACTTCAGGTTATCATTTTTTAAAGGGGTTAGAGTAGTTAGGACTACCTTGTGTTGGAATCTCCTGTTTTAGGGGGAAAAAAAAACCTGTTTTAGAAACTGTCTGTTTCCTTAAAGTTTCAGTTTGATTATGTTGTGTTTAACATGAGTGACTTCAATTTAATTTGGCCTGTTCTACTGGGGCCTAGTGCACGAGCTCAGTCCAAAACAATGGCCTCCCATAATTTTGTTTAAAAAATTCCCCCCTTTTGGTCAGATTCTCTCTTAGCTGAGAGTGTGACTAAGACATAGGTCTTTAGAATCACTCTTGGTTACCATCATTTTGGGTTCTGGTCTCAGTATGTCATTCATTGTTTATGATATCCTCATGGTCACATGTTTTTTGAGTTTTTGTCATTGCAGTTGAAAAGAGACAATTTGAAATTCTACAGATGGCTTAGTGAAAACATTTAAAACGTGAGAGAATACAATGCACCAGGGAGACTACTATTATGATTATGAGAAGGATAATACCAAGAGTTTGGAGTATGCTGTTTAGCAAGGGTCCCCATGAACCAAACCAACTAAAATTAAATAGACAAAGAATGAGCTACAGAGTCTACTTATTTCAACCAAGCAGTCTGTTTGTTAATCCCCTGCAACTGAATCTCTATAATACCCAATGTAGTCTTCTATTTGCAACTAGAAGTGTCAGCAACTGCATAGGTAATTCTCTGTTTAGCCAATAAGTAATCTAGATTTATTCTATTATTTAGCACAACTTTTGCAACACAACTTAAAGTCTGTTGTGTAACCATAGCCTTTACAGTAGAATCTGCTATAGAGGCTACTATGGGGGATAACTTTCTAATCATTGCCTCATTTACTCCAAACTGTAAAAAAAAAGAGACTTAGTAAATAATGCCCATCCAGAAGAGTGAAGGTTTCCTGGCAATGTTCTGTTAACCTATGAAGTAGGTTTAAAGAAGTGTACTGATGTTCTGTTTCTGACTGATTATGAGGCAACAAATGTACCATTAACATTTTTCACCCATACTGGCCCTTCTTCTTTTGTCTATCAAGGCAGAAATTTGTCCATGTATTAGATTGGTTGCAAAATCCTCCACAAATAAAAGTACACCCCATAGGCACAAACAAGAGACCCATTTTTTAGTTCTTTTGTTCATAGAGGAATAAGCAAAGAAAAAACTGTGAGATTAGGGTCTCACGCTACTGGGAAAGTCTTGAACCATCATCTTGGGAAAAAGCTGTTTATATCAAGGATTCTGCCTACTTCTCAGGAGAAACTTCTTTGGTTAGCTTTACCTTAAGATCCCTGATGGGCATACAGTTTCAAGATTCTGGAGGGGCCATTCTGACTGTGAGATTATGAAACTAAGGTCCAAGATCCTGAAGTTTTGCTGCAGTGTGGGTGGCAGGGGCAGTCTTTCTCTGATGTTCTCAGAAGATCATCTCCAGGTTGTAGATAATGAATGGTTTGATTGTCCTCAGGCAGTGGACAATGAAAAGCTTTCTTTACCTGGTGAAAATATACTTTGGTATAATGCATTTAAGCCTTGTATCATTTAGTCATATCAGAGTTTAGTAGTGGAAGGTACATGAGGTTCTATTATTATGTGCATAGGCCTTCCAGTGACTTTTATAAAAGGTCAGCTTATATTTTCCACTCTTAAGTGGATTTCATTGCCATCAATGTGCCATACCTTTGACCAAAGCAATCCAGTCAATTCAGTTAGCTTTGCTTAATGGTATTATATCTGTAATACCTCACTGAACAGTTTTAAAATTTGTCCAGTAAAGCAAGCACCTCTATCATTGCAGACTTTTTGTAGGAATGTCGCATGAGGGAAACACATTACCTAATGACCATTTAGCTACTTTTATAACATCATCCCTGTTTCATGAGAAGGCTTTTATACAACCAGAAAACATGCATTGAAAATGACAGTTGAATGAAATCCCTCTGTTATATGTTTAAATGACCCATCAGGTGGCAGAATTGTACCTGAATTTTTTATTGTCTTCCCTGGATTATGGGTTTGACAAACCAATCATTAGTCATAAACCATTTAGCAACTTGGAACAGTCACCACACTTATATATATGTTTTAATTTGGATCTTTTTATCTCTTCCATGATGAGTCATGGAATGCAGAGATTTTAATCATGGAAGCTTTAAAGACTCAGGAAGGACCAGACAGCCATCCAGGCTCTCCATGTGTCCATGCCTAACATTGGACTTATGTCTTCTTAAATATCAGTTTTGTTTCTCCAATTTATGTGCATAGCACTGATAACTGAGAGATTATCATAGGTGATTTGACTTAGACCATGGAGTTCATTCAAATTGCATATCTAAATAATTTCATAACTGGCTGATTTTAGCATGAAAATCTGGCAAAGTATTTTCTTGTTGTTTGATTAATTTTTGTTCTGCTTGGGTTGGCAGTTTTATAAACCAGTCACTTTCTTTATTAGAGTCCTGGGAATTCTTTCCAAGACTAAATCATATGAGCTTAAAGTTATTAAAAACCTTTATTTTAGAGGGCTTATAAGGGTTCTTTCCATCCTATTCATGAACCTTCTTGAAGACATAACACTAGGATTTTGCTTGCTTGCGAAGTTTTCAGTAACTGCATCAGAATTATGCAACTAGCTGTAAAAATGACTTAAAATGGTCATAGTTAAAGACACAATTGATGAAGAAATTTGGTTATTTCTGTGGCCTACAACAATTTTACATAATAATCATAATCATGAATGAGAGCATATACCCAAATACATTAGAATTTTAGAAATTCCATGCAATTTTGGAACATGTATTAATAAATTTATTGAAAGATAACTAGAAGGATAAACATTATTTCTTGTTTGACGATGCCTCCCATGTAATTTAATTTATCAGATAATCCTGTTGATCTCTGTTTTGGATGCTGCTGGAGCCCTCTGTATCATACCACAGTTAGAGGTCAAAAAAGAGACTTAAGTTTGAAGCTGAAATTTGATTTTGGGAAGCCTATCAAATATGTCAAATATTTAAAACACTCGACAAAAAAGAGGATCACAGGTTACTGTAAAATAATAGTCATTCGTTTAGCCGAAGTGATAATAAAAAGATTTTAGAAAATAAACCCTTTTCTTTGACAGACAGTTGTCTCAGTTTTCCAAACAATCCAAAAACCTGAGAAAGACAGCTTGAGACAGAATGTGCTTTTTCTGTCCTGTCTTTCTCTCTCTTTTGTAGTTTACTCAAAAGGTGAACCAAAATATTTTACTGTCATGTTAATATTACACAAATTTTTTTCAAAACAGAAAACCAAATTTTACCTTTATATTAACACATTATCAACACTAAAGCTAATTTTAATAAAACCTTAAGATAAATCTATCAAATATGTCTTCTGACCACATAAAAATTTCATAATCATTTTATAATGTTTTATATATTTTTCTTCTAAACTTTTTATGTTTATTTAATTTTATCTATATTTTTACTCCTTCAATTTAAAACAACTTTTAAATAACTTCTAGACAAAATACAAAATTGTTTTTTAAACAAGTACATGTTTTGATGCCTTTCTAATTTTTGTCATCAAAAGCATATCTTGCTTTTGTTAATACACTCTGTATACAGAATTGTTTCTCTCATATCTAGTAGTTTTACTTACATGTATTAACCATAATTTTAACTCTTAGTAACCCTAATTTCTAGTAAAAATTTTAGGAAAAATTTTGGTACTGTTTCATATCAATATTTGTGATGAAACCATTTCAGAAATATTTAGAAAGATGTTTCCTTAAATTACTGTTTATTACTATATCTAAATATATTTAGCTTTTCTATACTATATAAAAATAAGATGTCAAAGTATATAAACTTAAACTCATGTTTAATAATTTATTACAGTATTTTAACTTACAAATGACTCAGCTTCTATGATTATCTGTTATAATTTAAATTAACACAACATGACTTTAAGATTTTATATTACTGAAAAGAATTTTTAGACTTTGACACAGGTACCCTCCCTAATGTCTTCCGCAGTCATTCTGGGTCTCAGGTAGCAATGTAGTACCTAATATAGCTATAAAGGATAGGGCCTGAGTCCTGAGTTTACATACAAGGTGTAGAGCTCAGTGCAGGAGACAGAGCTGTGAAGACAGTGCCTGCGGTATCCAACCCCTTCCAGAATAGCCAAGAGGCAAAACTGGGGCAGGGAAGAAGGAGCCATATTGGGCTTGATTCTGCCTTGTAGATACTAGTCTAGGCATTTGAAACTTTTCCGTAGAACTCATCATGGCCATCTGTCCAGGACCGGGAACCCAGAGACACTCAACCAAAAACATAAGCTCACAGTCAAATCAAGCAAGTACTGAATTATATTTAACTGACAATTTTGAAGCCATTCTTGTTTTACTGATAATTTAAAACTAGCTTTATTTACCTAATATTACCAAATACACATAACACATATAGACATATATACATACAAACACACAGACAGAAACAGATATTATAGCTTACATAAAGGATTCCATTTGTTGGCTTTTAAATAGTTTTTCTTTTCCCCAGCAGACTATCAGTCTTACAATTATCTGTTTCATTGCCTTAAGCAAGTGTTAACTAGGCAACAATTTTGCATTTTTAAAGGGAGAACTTTTAGATGAAACAAGAAAATTTATATTTGAAAAGCACAGAGCTAACACTTTAGGCCTAAGTATTATAACATTTGCTAAAACAAAGGAAAAAATTGTGTAAGTAAAAGTTCAGTTTAAACAAGATAGTCAGAAAGGCATCTAAACAAAAGTATGACTTGTGTAAGTTCAAAACGATGGTAAGAGTTTTTATGTATACAGGCAGACACCTTACAAATAAAGATTTCCTTTATAGATGTAAATTTCTTTTAGAACAGGATTTCAAGATAGCCAGAAAATGCCAGAAAGATGTATTTCAGTTTGATAGGTGGTGATATAGTTTGGATCTGTGTCTCCACCCTAATCTCCTGTTCTATTGTAATCCAGTGTTAGAGGTGGGGCATGGTGGGAGGTAATTGGATTATGGAGGTGTTTCTCATGAATGGTTTAGTATAATCCCCTTGGTGCTGTCTCATGATAGTGAGTGAGTTCTCATGATACCTGGTTGTTTAAAAGTAGCAACTCCCTCCCCTTCTTTTGCTCCTATTCCGGCCGTGTTCCCTGTTCACCTTCTGCCATAATTGTAAGTTTCCTGAGGTCTCTCCAGAAGCCAAGAAGATGCCAGCATCATGCTTCCTGTACACTCTGCAGAACCATGAGCCAATTAAACATTTTTTCTTTATAAATTACCCAGTCTCAGGTTTCTCTTTATAGCAGTGCAAGAATGAACTAACACAAATGGTCTTTTTAAATTAGCTACTATTTCTTAGCCAAAATTACTGACTTCAGGGTGAAGCCCATTAAGGAACAGGGGAAAGAAAGCATTTTCTATTCTTGAATTCAGTATGGATAGATCTGAAAAAGAAGCAAGCCTACTTTACCCAAGCATCCACCTTTTGTAACTAAACCAAAAGGTTACCAGATTTATATTTTCTTATCAATTAGTCACTTAAGCCTTTTATTTGCTTTCTATAGTCTTTTTTAAAATCAATAAAAATATTGTAATCTTTTTAGAAGTTTCTCCACATAAACAGGCATTCCTAGATGAGACTAATTTGGGAGACCTCATTTTCAAAAGTGCACTTCTTAAGGTGCAGTGTTGTTTATTTGGAATGTTCCCTTACAATTTTAAATTACCTGTAGTATGATTTTGCCATTTCTATAAGCGTTTGCTGCTCCTGGCACCTAATATTTATTCATGTAATTGTAGGCATGGCATACAATCCTTTTGGATTGTAGGGAACCCAAAAGTCGGATTCCTAAGAAATTAAGAATCCCATTTTTACCTTGAATCTTGGCTTTGGCTCAGATCCCCTTGATCAACTTAGTCAATAACTTTTCCCTACTTAAACATGCAAGAAAAATAAACAAAGGGGTAGAACACAGAAATCCCTGCAGATTTCCAAAAGCCAAAGCTTGCACCCTTTGCAATATTGTCATTTAATAACTGGTTTCTGGCTGACCTATTCAGACATCTGAGCTCTCTAACTGGATCCAAGCCAATTAATTATTTGATCCAATTTGATCCTGACCCAGTCCAGTTTCTGTCATGACTTCTGAACACAGTTCATATAGAAATTTGCTCAAACAAACTCAGAAAGCTCAAAACACAAATCCATGGACCTTTGGGATCTGAGAGAGAGCTTACCGGTGATCCCCAGTTGACATGAAAAAGCAATGGATACCATAGGCCCAGCAGGTACCTTTCTTGGTAACTCAGTGTTCCTGGGAGTCACTAGAAACTGTACCTCAGATCCCACTTCTGACACCGTCATTTAAAAGAAAGTAAGTTAGACAGGTTACATTAAACAGAGTTTAATTGAGCAAAGAAAGATCTTCAAACTGGATAGCCTCCTGAGCCAGAATATGCTCAGAGAGACTCCTTTACTAGATTTTTTAAAAATTTACTATTCATTTCTATTGTAAAATATACATAACATATGATTTACCATTT
Source organism: Homo sapiens (assembly GCF_000001405.40). Taxonomy (NCBI): domain Eukaryota; kingdom Metazoa; phylum Chordata; class Mammalia; order Primates; family Hominidae; genus Homo; species Homo sapiens. Next base: position 187,041,964 of record NC_000002.12, read on the forward strand.
TAACCATCTTTAAGTGTACAACTCACTGGCATTACGTATAGTCACATAGTTGGGCAATGTCATCACCATCCATGTGCAGATCTTTTTTTTATCATCTCAAATTGAAATTTTGTATCCATTAAACAATAACTACCCAATACTTATTCCCCATATCTTTTGGCAATTTTAATGCTACTTTCTGTCTCCAGGGATGACTTTTCCAGGTACCTCACATAAGTGAAAGAATATATTTGTCCTTTTGTCTCTGGCTTATTTTACTTAGTGTAATGTTGTCAAGATTATTCTATATTGTAGCATGTATCAGCCTTGTTGATAGATCTTTTATAAATGAAGATTTCAGAAAATGCCAACATTGTCAAGGAGACACTTCCCCTGCCTCAGAAAGTTAATAAGATAAACATTAGGATTTCTGATTTTGACTAGATATATTTACTAGGCTATTTAACTACATTTCAAAAGACTTTCTTATAATAATATGTTTCTGGAAAACTACACAGTGAATGACTTGGCCACATAGTAAATAATTTAGTTGGCTAACATCTCTGGAGGAGGTAGTTTCAGAATGCCTATCTTTATAAAAATGGGCATAGGTCTTTGTCTGAAATTAGGAAATTTTTCAACATAAATATTATTGTGATCTATAGACTGTAACCTTTAACTTGCTCCTTTTCATCAACTATAAGATCAAATTCTTGGCACAATATAATAGCATTCCAACATCTAGTGAAAACAGATGTCTCTTTTATTAAAATAAAGAGAATAAAACTGAAATGTTTTCAGTTTTCACTTAGCTTCTTAACTTTTAAAATATCTGTCATCAGTATATTTGATTATGTGCTTAAAATCCAACAGTCCTTCATGTAAAAACCATAGTTTAATATATTCATATTGGAATACAGCTTGCACGTAAAATCATTGAAACTGCACATTTTCTTTGCTTTATATTTGTATTTTCCTGACATAAAATGTGTAAGTTATTATATAAATATATTTTAATTGATCATTTGAATTGAATATTTATTGTGCCATATTACATTTTGTACATTTTTTCACACACATCATCTTATTTACTAGATTCATTCAACTAACTTTACTGAGAACCTGCACTATGTCACTTTATTCTAGAAAATTAAAATGCAATTGTAAAGAAGACAGAAATGGACCATCTTTACATAGCTTTTATTAACTACTGGGGAATATAGACAAATAGATCTTTGTAATGCAGTGTGAGATATGCTATGATAGGTACAGAGGGATAGCAGACACATAGACGAGTGTACAATAAACATATTCTGTGAAAGCTGAGGACCCTAAGAAGAACATAATGACTGAACAGAAAACCGTGCTATTTTTGCTTTGTGGTAAACCAAAGGAGTACTTATAGGTAGATCAAGATACTCTTCAGAAAGTTAATGTGAGTCTCCAGTTAATGGACAGATGGATAATACATGACTCCAAGTTTCATTTCTTAGATTAAGTTATGTTTGATGTAACTTGAGTTTTGAGCCTAAAAAATGTAAAACAATAAACAGACATCCAGCAAATGCACCCATTGGTACCTAGATCATGCACAGCTACTTTTAAGTGTACACACAAAACTGTTTGTGACATGTACTCCAAGGAAACTTAGGTGGCAGTAATTTTCAAATCATTTGGAATTTGGTGAGTATCCATCAAAGATGGTTACTTTAGCTTTAGAGTAGTTGCTGTGTTGCTTGTCTTTCCAGCAAGAGCTGGCTAGCAAGTTTTTTGTTTATTTAGGCTTCTTCTATTCAAATTTCCCAAACCATGCAAGGTGTGTGTGTGTGTGTGTGTGTGTGTGTGTTCAAAAGACAACCAGATTATTCAGACAGTAATTGTTTTATTTATTTTTATTTTTTTATTTTTTTGAGACAGAGTTTTACTCTTGTCACCCAGGCTGGAGTGCAATGGCGGGATCTCAGCTCACTGCAACCTCCAACTCCTGGGTTAAAGCGATTCTCCTGCCTCAGCCTCCTGAGTAGCTGGGATTACAGGCACCTGCCTGTAAAAGATAAACGTTGAACAAATAATCATTTGATGAGTAATACAAGGGGAAATGTAGAATTTTATGCAAAATAAAACAGGAAGACCCAGTGTAGGTTCTCAGTTCAGAAGTTTTCCTGAAAAAGTAAGATGAGACCTGAAGTATTAATAGAAATTTGCAAAGTGAGATTGGGGGATAGGGTGTTCTAGGCAGAGGAAACAACTTATGGTAAACATTCAAGCAAAGAAGATAGAATCTCACATTTTAAGGATTTAGAGAGGAAGAATGCAGTGTCTTAGATGAGAAAAAGGAGCATCAGGAGTATCATCTAAAAATTTAAGACTTAATTTTAAGAGCAATGAAGTTCTATGAAAGCATTTGAAATGAAGATTTGACATGACCAGATTTTGTTTTAAGAGGTCACATTGATATAGTTTGAACGTGTGTCCCTGCCCAAATCTCATATTGAAATGTAATCTGCAATGCTGGAGGTGGGGCCTGGTGGGAGGTGATTGGATTATGGGGGTGGATTTCTCATGAATGGTTTAGCACCATCCCCTTTGGTACTGCCCTGGTGATAGTGAGTGAGTTCTCCTGATATCTGGTTGTTTAAAAGTGCTTAGGCCCTCCTGCCTCACTTTCTTGCTCTCGCTTTTGCTGTGTGAGGAGCCCTTTGCCTTCTGCCGTATTTGGAAGCTTCCTGAGGCCTCCCCAGAAGTAGATACTTCTATGCTTCCTGTGCAACCTGCAGAGCCATGAGCCAGTTAAATCTCTTTTCCTATAAATTACCAGTATCAGGTATTTCTTTATAGAAATATGAGAATGTCCTGCCACCCACTCAAACTTAAACTTTTGATGAGAGTAGGAATGGGGTGCAGTGTACTGATTTGAGACATAATTATGAGGTAAAAACCAAGAGGACTTGATGATTGGTATCATGTAGAAGTATAGTAATTTTCCTGAGTGTGAAGTACTTGGGAAAAATTCTATAAGTGGATGATGACCTAGCATGCATTCAAATAGCATATAGCAAATAGTCAAAAGATATTTGCTGAATGAACACCTCATGTATATATCTGTTTAAAAATTGAAGATGACAAAGTTAGAATGTAGGTTTTGGAAAAATAATCGAATGGATGATTATTGGAAAGTGAAATGGGCCACACAGACAATGTGGCTTCAAAAGCAAGGAAGAATTAGGACAGCTCTTTGAGCAATCCTACTTAACTGATGAGTAGAAATGGAAAGCAGGCAAAGAATTCTGAAAAGGAGTAGAGTAAGATGAAGAAAAACTGGGAAAGCATGTTATCATTAATAGAAAATTGAAAGTGTTTCAGAAAGAGGGTATTGTCAATATTGTGTGATGCTTCTCATATTAGATAAGAACTGAGTGCTGACCGGCTCTGGAGATACAGAATGTTTGGTACTATAAATGAGAACATTTTCGATAGAATAGTGAAGGCTGCAATCAGGCTGGGTTTGAGAACTGAGTGACAGATAAGCAATACTTGGGGAGAGTGATATGGCTAGGCTTTATGTCCCCACCCAGATCTCATCTTGAATTGTAATGCCCATAATCCCTAGACATCAAGGGAGAGACCAGGACCAGGTGGAGGTAATTGAATAATGGGGGCGATTTCTCCCATGCTGTTCTCATAACAGTGAGTGAGTTCTCATGACACCTGATGATTTTACAAGGCGCTCTTCCCTCTTTGCTCAGCACTTCTTCCTGCTGCCTTGTGAAGAAGGTGCCTTGTTTCCCCTTCGCCTTCCACCATGATTGTAAGTTTTCTGAGGCCTCTCCAGCCATGCTGAACTGTGAGTCAGTTAAACCTCTTCCCTTTATCAATTACTCGGTCTCTAGCAGTTCTTTTTAGTAGTATGGAAATGGACTAATACAGAGAGCAACAGAAGATAACTCATTCAAGACATTTGAAAAAGAAATATAAATAAGAAATAGCAGAGGTTATTCAGGCAAGGGTGAAAATCCTAGCTTTGCCATTTGTTATTTATACGACTTCCAGTAATTACCCAATTTTTGTTTAAGCAAAAATTTAAGACTTTGGAATTAGCAAAAGAGGTTACTGTATATCTTTCAATCAAATACTGGAGCCTCTGGAAATTACCTGATTCTACAGGGATATGCATGTTTGTTACTGACTAAACTCTGTAGAGATACTTTTAATAAAAGTTTACTTGTAGAACACAGAATAACACAGATAATTCTTGCTTATAAACATGCAAATAAATTTAGTCTAGTAGAGATTAAACTTACCTATTCCAGAGAGAAAACAGTTTTTTTAATTCCATGTTAAAATTCATATCACCATTCCTCTATTCCACATAACTTGGTGATTTTTGGTCATCTTTGAATTCACTGTAACATCCATCTTGGTCCCTCATTTATCTAAAGAGATTAATCATTCACACATGTTCATTTTATATTTGTATAAAAGTTATGATTGTAACACTTTAAAAGGGTTTTTTTATAAGTATCAATTTGCTGTCTGGGCAATGAGTTGTTGAGAGAGTTAATTAAAATACTTTAAGTAAAAATGCTTAACACATTGGCTTAAAAAGAAATTTGAGGTAATTGCTGGAGAGGAACGTGCGGTTAAGTGCAGGTGTTTTGTTTTTAAATAGTGTGAGAAACTTCAGCATGTCTGAATCCAATGGAAAGGAGCCAGTAGGGAGGGAAGGCCTCATGGTATAGGACAGAGGAGGAAAAATTAACTGATCAGGATCTGATAGATGATGGGAAGAAAAGGAAGGTAGATCATTTGGGCAGAAATTGATTTTTTTAAAATTAAATTTATAACTATTATGGGTACATAGTATATGTATATATTTAAAGAGTACATGAGATATTTTAACACAGGCATACAATGCATAGTAATCACATCAGGGCAAATGGGGTATTCATTATCTCAAGCTTTTATCATTTCTTTGTATTACAAACATTCCAGTGATACTCTTAGTTATTTCAAAATGTACAATAACTTTTTGTTTACTGTAGTATTGCTGTTGTGCTATCAAATACTAGATCTTATTCATTCTATCTGTTTATATTTTGTACCCATTAACAATTCCATTTTTCCCTGACCCTGCTACGCTTTCCAGTCTCTGGAAATCATCATTCTATTCTCCATCTCCATGAGTTCAGCTATTTTAATTTTAGCTCCCACAGATGACTGAGAACATGCATAGTTTGTCTTTCTGTGCGTGTGCAATTTGTCTTTCTGTGCCTGGCTTATTTCACTTAACACAATGTCCTTCAGTCCATTCATATTGTTGCAAATGACAAGATCACATTCTTTTTTTATGGCTGAATAGCTCTCCACTGGGTATATGTAGCACATTTTCTTTATTCATTTGTCTGTTGATGGACACTTAGGTTGCTTCCACATATTGGCTATTGTGAATAGTGCTGCAATAAACAAGAGGGTAGATATCTCTTTGATATACTGACTTCCTTTCTTTTGGGTATTAAAATGGGAGGTGGGATTGCTGGATCATACGGTAGTTCTATTTATAGTTTCTGAGGAATCTCCAAACTATTCTCCATAGTTTCTCTACTAAATTACACTCCCACCAGCCATATATGAGGGTTCTCTTTACTTCACATCCTCACCAGCATTTGTTATTGCCTGCCTTTTGGATAAAAGCCATTTCAATTGGGGTGAGATAATATCTTATTGTGGCTTTGATTGACATTTCTCTGATGATCAATGATATTGAACACCTTTTCATATATTAATTGGCCATTTGTATGTTTTCTTTGGAAAAATGTCTATTCAGGTCCTTTGTCCATATTTAAAATTGGCTATTTGTTTTTTGCTATTGAGTTGTATGAGTTCCTTATATGTTTTGGATATTAATTCTTTTTGATTGATGGTTTGCAAATATTTTCTTCCACTCCATAGATTGCCTTTTTATTTTAATAGTTGTTTCATTTGCTACACAGAAGTTTTTTAGTTTGATGTAGCCCTACTTGTTTATTTTTGCCTTTGTTGCCTATGCTTTCAATGTCATATCCAAAAAATCATTGCAAAGACCAATGTGAAGGAGATTTTTACTTATATTTTCTTCTAGGAGTTCTAAATATAGCGGTATCAGATCTTATAATTAAGTTTTTAATCCATTTTGAGTTGATTTTTATATGTGGTATAGGGCAAGGGTACAATTTCATTCTTTTGCATATGGATAGTCAGTTTTCCCAACATCATTTATTGAAGAGACTTTTCTTTACCCATTGTGTATTTTTGGTGCCCTTGTTAAAGATCAGTTGGCCATACATGCATGGATTTGTTTCTGTATTCTCTATTCTGTTGCATTGGTCTGTTTTTGTGCTAATAACATATTCTTTTGATTATTATCGTTTTGTAATATAGTTTGAAGTCAGACTATGAATCTCCCAGTTGTAGTCTTTTTCATCAAGATTGCTTTGGCTACTTGAGTTCTTTCGTGGTTCCATATGAACTTTGGGATTTTTTTTCTATTTCTGTGACTTGTCCTCTTCTTTCCTTCCACTCTTTTGGAGTCCCAGTGTCTATTCTATTGTTTCCATCTTTATTTCTATATGTACCCACTGTTTAGCTCTCACTTATAAGTGAAAAAATGTGGTATTTGATTTTATGTTTCTGCATTATTTCACTTAGGATAATTGGCTCCAGCTCCATCCATGTTGCTGCAAACAACACGATTTTTGTTCTTTTTTTTTATGGCTGCATAGTATTCTATGGTGTATATATACTATATTTTCTTTATCCAATCCAATTGACAGACACTTATGTTGATTCTATGACTTTGCTATTGTGAATAGTACTGCAGTAAACATGTAAGTGTGGTGTCTTTTTGGTAAAACAATGTATTTTCCTTAGGGTAGATATCCAGTAGTGGGGTTGTTGGGTCAAAAGGTCATTGTATTTTTAGTTCTTTGAGAAATCTTTATACTATTTTTCATAGGAGTTGAACTAATTTATTTTCCCACCAAGAGTATATAAGCATTCCTATTTTCTCTGCTTTCTTACCAACATCTGTTATTGTTTGACTTTTTAGTAATGGCCATTGTGAGTAGTATGAGATGGTATCTTATTGTGGTTTTAATTTGCATTTGATCTCTGATGATTAGTGATGTTGAACTTTTTTTCATAAGTTTTTTGGCCATGTGTATGTCTTCTTTGGAGAAGTGTCTGTTCATGTACTTTGCCCATATTTTAATGGTTATTTTTCTTGTTGCTTTAAGTTCCTTCTCGATTTTGGATATTAGTTTTTTGTTGGATGCATAATTTACAAATGTTTTCTCCCATTCTGTAGGTTGTTTGTTTTCTCTCTCTCTTTTTTTTTTTTTTTAAGACGGAGTCTTGCTCTGTTGCTGAGGCTGGAGTCCAGGGGCGCTATCTCGGCTCACTGCAAGCTCTGCCTCCCGGGTTCACACCATTCTCCTGCCTCAGCCTCCCAAGTAGCTGGGACTATAGGTGTCCGCCACCACTGCCAGCTACTTTTTTTGTATTTTTAGTAGAGACGGGGTTTCACCATGTTAGCCAGGATGATCTCGATCTCCTGACCTCATGATCCGCCCACCTCAGCCTCCCAAAGTGCTGGGATTACAGGTGTGAGCCACTGCGCCCAGCCCTGTTTTTTCTATTGATAATTTCTTATGCTGTGCAGAAGCTCTTTAATTTAATTAACTCCTATTTGTCTATTTTTGTTTGTGTTGCCTTTGCTTTTATGGTCTTAGTCATAAATTCTTTGCCTAGGACAATGTCCAGAAGAGTTTTTCTTAGGTTTCATGCTAGAATTTTTACATTTTCAGGTCTTAAATTTAAGTCTTTAATCCATTTTGCATGAATTTTTGTATATGGTTAGAGGTAGGGATCCAGTTTCATTCTGCATATGGCTAATCAGTTTACCCAGCACCATTTATTGAATAGGGTATCCTTTTCCCCATTATTTATTTTTGTCAGTTTTGTCAAAGATAAGGCGATTGTAGGTATTTAGCTTTATTTTGGGGTTCTTTATTCTATATTATTGATCTATATGCCTATTTTTGTACTAGTACCAAGCTGTTTTTGTTACTATAGCCTTGTAGTAGCGTTGGAAGTCAGGTAATGTGATGCCCCTGGCTTTGTCCTTTTTGCTTAGGATTGCTTTGGCTATTCACACTCTTCTTTTGGTTTCAAATGAATTTTAGAATTGTGTTTTCCAATTTTGTGATAAATGACCTTGGTAATTTTACAAAAATTGCATTGAATCTGTGGATTGCCTTGGGCAGTATGATCATTTTAATTTATTAATTTTTCCAATCTATGAACATGGCATGTTTTTCCATTTGTTTATGTCATCTATGATTTCTTTCATCAGTGTTTTGTAGTTCTCCTTGTAGAGATCTTTCACCTCCTTGGTTAAATATTCCTAAATATCTTTTTGTGTGGCTGTTGTAAATGGGATTGATTCCTTGATTTGGTTCTCATCTTGAACATTTTTGAAATGTTCTTGAACATTATCGAAATCCTGCTGATTTTTATAAATTGATTTTGTATCCTTAAACTTTGCTGAAGTCATTTATCAGGTTGAGGAGGTTTTTTTGTAGCAATCTTTAGGGTTTTCTAGGTATAGGATGATATCATCGGTTAGCAGAGATAATTTGACTTCCTCTTTTTCTGTTTGGATGCTTTTTATTTGTTTCTCTTGCTCAATTACTATGGCTAGGACTTCCAGTACTATGTGGAATAAGAGTGGTGAGAGTGGGCATCCTTGTTCCAGTTTTAAGGGGGATAGTTTCACTTTTCCCCATTCAGTATGATGTCGACTGTGGGTTTGTCATCGATGACTCATCATTTTGAGATAGGTTCCCTTGATGCCTAGTTTATTGAGGATTTTTATCATAAAGGGATGTTGGATTTTATCAAATGCTTTTTCTGCATCTATAGAAGTGATCAAATGGTTTTTGTTTTACATTCTGTTAATGTGGTGAATCACATTTATTTATTTGCATATGTGGAATCATCCTTGCATCTCAGGAATAAAACTCACTTGATCATGATAAATTACCTTGTTGATGTACTGCTGGATTTGGTTAGCTCATATTTTGTTGAGGGTTTGTACATCTGTGTTCATCAGTGATGTTGGCGTAGTTTTCTTTTTTTGTTATGTTACTGCCAGATTTTGGTATCAGGATGATGCTAGTTTCACAGAGGGAGGAAACTCCTCCTTGAATTTTTACAATAGTTTCAGTAGGATTGGTACCAGCTCTTTTTTGTGTGTCTAGTAGAATTCAGCTGTGAATTTCTCTGGTTCAGGGATTTTTTTGGTTGGCCAATTTTTTATTACTGATTTGTTAGTTTTGTAACTCATTATTTGTCTGCTCATGATTTCAGTTTCTTCCTGGTTTAAGTTTGGGTGGTTGTGTGTTTCCAGGAATTTATCCATTTTTAGTTTGTGTGGATACAGGTGTTCACTGTAGTTTCTGAGGATCTTTTGTATTCCTGTGGTATCAGCTGTAATGTCATCTTTGTTATTTCTGGTTGTGCATATTTGGATCGTCTCTGTTCTTTGTTAATCTAGCTTGTGGTTTATTAATCTTGTTTGTCTTTTCATAGAACCAACTTTTGGTTTCATAGATCCTTTGTATGGTTTTTCAGTCTCAGTTTCATTTAGTTCTGCTCTGATCTTTGTTATTTCTTCTGCTAGATTTATGTTTGGTTTCTTCTTCATTTTCTAGTTGCTTTAGGTGAAATATTAGGCTGTCAATTTGAGATCTTTATGTCTTTATGATGTAGGCATTTCATGCTATAAACTTTCCTCTTAACACTGCTTTTGCTGTCTCCCAGAGGTTGTGGTATGTTGTATCTCTATTTTCATTTATTTCAAAACCTTTTTTGATTTCTCCCGTAATTTCATTTTTAACTCAAAAAAGCCATTCAGGAGCAAATTGTATATTTTCCATGTACTTGTGTGGTTTTGAGAGTTTCTTTTGGTATTGATTTCTAATTTTATTCTACTGTGGGCTGAGAAGATGCTTGTTATGATTCCAATTTTTTGAATTTAGGGAGACTTGCTTTCTGACCAAACATGTGGTAAATTGTAGAGAACGCTCCAGTAGCAGAAGAGAAAATGTATATTCTGTGGTTGTTGAGTGGAGTATTCTGTAGATGTCTATTAGAGCCATTTTGTGAAGAGTCCAATTTAAGTATAGAGTTCTTTGTTAATTTTCTAACCTCAGTGATCTGTTTAGTACTGTCACTGCTGTTTTGAAGTCTGCTACTACAATTGTATGGCTATCTCTTTCTTTTGTTAGGCATAGAAGTATTTGTTTTATAAATCATTGTGATCCTGTTTGTGTGCATATATATTTAGGATGGCTAAATCTTTTTGTTGAACTGGAAAACTTATCATTATATAATGGCCTTCCTTGTCTTTTTTTTACTGTTGTTATTTTAAAGTCTTTTTTATCTGATACAAGAATAGTAAGTGGTGCTATTTTGTTGTTTTTTATTTATATGATAGATCTTTCTCCATCCTTTCATTTTGAGACTGTGGGTGTCCATATACATGAGATGTGTCTCTTGAAGGCAGGAGGTAGGTCTTAGTTTTTTAAAACCCAATTTGCCACTCTATCTCTTTTAAGTGGAGTGCTGAGGCCATTTCCATTCAAGGTTTTTATTGGTATGTGAGGGTTTGTTCCTATCATGGTGTTTGGATTGCTTTGTAGTCTCAATTATATAGTTTGTTTATAGGATCTGTAAGCTTTGTATTTATGTGTGCTTTTATAGTAGCATTTCATTTCCATGTTTAGAACTCCTTTTAGTATTTCTTCTGGGTATGGTCTGGTGGTGATGAATTCCTTTAGTGTGTACTTGTGTGGAAAAGACTTTATTTTTTTTCATTTATGAAGCTTAGTTTGGCAGCATATGAAATTCTTGGCTGGCATTTTTTTTTTCTTTAAGAAGGGTAAAAATAGCTCCCCAGTCTCTTCTGGCTTGTAAGATTTCTGCTGAGAAGTCTGCTGTTAGTCTGATGGGATTTCCTTTATAGGTAATCTGGTTATTTTCTCTAGCTGCCTTTAAGATTTTTTCTTTTACATTTAGTTTGGATAGTCTAATGATTATGTAACTTGGGGATGGTCATCTTGTATAGTATCTCACAGATGTTTTTTGAATTTCTTCGATCTGGATGTCAACCTTTCTAGCTAGAGCAGGGAAATTTTACTGAATTATTTCCTCAAATATGTTTTTCAAGTTGCTTACTTTTGCTTTTCTTTCTCAGGAATGCCAGTAAGTCATAGGTTTTGTTACTTTACATAACTCTATATTTATGAGAGACTTTGTTTGCCTTAACTAAGTTAATTCAAAAGACTGGTCTTAAAGCTCTAAAATTCTTTCTTCTGGTTGGTCTGGTCTATTGTTAAAGCTTCCAACTCTATTTTGAAATTTCTTTAGTGAATTTTTCAATTTCAGAGGTTCTATTTGGTTTTAACATATCTATCTCATCTTTTACATCCTGAATCATTTTTCTAGGTTCTTTGTGTTAGATTTCAACTTTTTTTTGGTTTTTTTTTTTTTTTTTTCTTTGAGACAGAGTCTTGCTCTGTCGCCTCGGCTGGAGTGCAGTGGCGCCATCTCGGCTCACTGCAAGCTCCGCCTCCTGGATTCATGCCATTCTCCTGCCTCAGCCTCCTGAGTAGCTGGGACTACAGGCGCCCGCCACTACGCCCGGCTAATTTTTTGCATATTTTAGTAGAGATGGAGTTTCACCGTGTTAGCTAGGATGGTCTCAATCTCCTGACCTCGTGATCCGCCCGCCTCGGCCTCCCAAAGTGCTGGGATTACAGGCGTGAGCCACCGCGACCGGCCAAAGGTTTTTGTTTTTATTTTTATTTCTGAGATGGAGTCTCGCTCTGTGACCCAGGCTGGAGTACAGTGGCGTGATCTTGGCTCACTGCAAGCTCCACCTCCCAGGTTCATGCCGTTCTCCTGCCTCAGCCTTCCGAGTAGCTGGGACTACAGATGCCCGCCACCAGGCCCAGCTAATTTATTTTTGTATTTTTAGTAGAGACGGGGTTTCACCGTGTTAGCCAGGATGGTCTCGATATCCTGACCTCGTGATCCACCCGCCTCGGCCTCCCAAAGTTCTGGGATTACAGGCGTGAGCCACCACGCCCGGCCCTTTCTTTTGGATCTTATTTGGTTACCTTGCAATTTATATTTTGAATTCTTTGTCATTTCAGACTTTGCATTTTGCTTAGTATCCATTCCTAGAGAGCAAGAGAGCTAGTGTAATCCTTTGGAGGTGTCAAGGCATTCTGGCCTTTTTTACTGCTGTAGTTCTTGTGATGAACTCTTTTTCTCATGTGAACGTGCTGTTTCTTCTTACTTTTGAATATGCTATCATTTGGGTGAAACTTTTTAATTTTTGTGTTCTTTTTCTCTTGAGAGTATGACTGTGATGTTTGTTATTAGTGATTGTTTAGCTTCATTTCTGGGTGCTTTCAGGGGGCCAAGACTGGGTTACTTGGTTGTGGATAGCTTCTCTGTGGTGTCTTTATTGGATGCTGCTTTGTGGTAATGTATTGGATGTATGAGCTGACACACGCTGTATTATGTGGGGCTGAGGGTGCAGAGGACTCAGAAAGCTTATTTCATGGGCTAGCACTAAGCCCCTCAAGCAGCAGGCTTTTAATTTGCTTGTGCAGTTCAGGCTGCAGTCCAGTAGGTGACACTTAAGAGCAGTAGCTGGTGGGCCCTCAGGTGAGATGATGACCAGTGGAAGCACCCACGCTGATGGGGTCATTGCAAGAAGAGATTGTGCTTGGGTGCTCTGAGATACCGGGGAAATGGATAGAGAGGTGTACAAGCTCTTCATCATAACCTGACAGAAATGCTATCTGCTTTCCTATTGTGCCTGGTCATAGGGCGTATGACCTTAAGTTCATGAAGACTTTGTCCTTTGTTTCCTGGCCACAGTACAGCTGTGGGCACTGGATATGCCCTTCTGACACCTCCTGCAAAAATAGTCTTGGGGGAAGAGACACTGCTCTCATTCTAGAGCAGGCAACTCCATGGCTTGTCTGTCCTCCATTGCTGGGATACTGCCCTCTGTGTAAGGAGGGGGAGTTGAGTTGTATACACCCAGGTGGCATGGGCTCACTTTCAGTGGGGATGTGGCTACTACAAAAAGCATGAAAAAATGCTTTCTCTGAGTGCACACACACCAGCCCCCAGTGAAAAGGACTGCTGCTGCATCTGCAACAGTGGCTAAGGGAAGGGTTTGGAGATGTTCCCCTTTCCATGTCTGTTCCTGGGCATCGGTGCTGCCACCTTCACCAGCTGGAGCTGTGCTCCTATTTTCTTTGTCCCCAGAGGGGATTTGGTGAGCTGCAATCCCCTCTTCCCTAAGCATGGCCTATGCTGAGGCTTAGATCTCCAGGAGTCCCACAGCTTCCCAGGGACCTGCTGGTCCACTGTGCTTACCAAAGTCAGAGTGGGTTGTAGGGAACATTTTGGGGTGATCTGGGGGTGTGGTGACTCAAAGGCACATTCTCAAGCAGAGCAGTGGCCACCACAGCTGCACAAGCAGTATGGTACCTGTCATCTTAGTTCAGGTGTACAGGGAGTGCAGACATGCCTGTGCAATCTGGCTTCCCAGTTCTTTGTCCTCTGGAACTCCCCAAATCATTATTGATAGTGTTGCTGTGGGTCACAAGAGCAGAAGTGTTTCTCAACAGTTTGGCAGTCAGCCAACTGTTGCAGGGGTGAAGACAGCAGAGATGTTTTTCTGTCTACCCCTTCCGTGAGGCTCTGAGTTCCTCAGGGGTTCATCCCTGCCAGACTCTTGCTGCTTTCCTTTTCTGCAACCCAACTTCTTTCTGTGGGCACTCTAATGGGTCCTGGCCCACTTCCCTCAGTTTTCCATGCATAACTTGTCCATTCACCAGTAACTGTGATCTTCTTTCTGAGGAGAACTGACATCCAATGTCCCTAGTTAGACATCCTGAAAAAAAAAAAAAGAAATATATTTCCATTTATTTGTGTCTTCAATATCTTTTATCAATGCCTTGGCAAGCCAAGGCATTTTCTTTGAGGCATGGGCCGGATCCTTTTAGTTTTTGAATTTTTTCTGATGTGAATGGTGAGAAGCAATTCTTTGCTCAACTTTCTTGTTATTTCTGAATTGATAATATCACTTAAAATTCTATAGCTATAGTAATTTCTTGCATATTTTTATATCATGAACCTTTTCTAAACTGTTACATGTTTTTCCAAACCATGAATTTTAATGGTTGTAGAATTGGAAAATAAACATTTGTCCTTCTTGCCACCACTTTGGTATTTCCAGAGTCTGATTAACGGAAAAATATATTTGTTGGAATCTGCTCTAAATAGAAGATTTTTTTTCTTCAGGTTATTAACCACTATGACAATTTAAATTTTAGTATTAAATTAATTAATTCAGAACTATTAGTAAATAAAAATACATTTGACTAGATTTTAAACAAAAATCCTTTATCTATATGTAATTATTTATATATGTGTGAATATATCCAAAGAGACATAGAAAGAAAAGACTTAATATGCCTCTAAAAGTCATCTTACGATTATAAGTTAAATGCTTCTTACATGTTAGAGCTATGGGCTAATTCACTGTATAAGTCACTAATGATTGCATAACATTAGAATGACGACTTCTTTTCTTAAGCTACATGGGGGTATAGTTGATAATTTTATGTGTTATTATATTGCATACATCATTTAAAATAGCTTGCATGTAATGCAGCACAGCAACCAGTCAAACTGTTGCTATGACAACAGTATTGGTTCTTTTCTAATTAGCAGCATAGGATGCTGCTTAAATCTACTGGCATTGAGTCAAGTAGTAAGGGTATTGTCATTATCATGCTTTTTCTCAGTTCAGGACAGTTAAATATATCAATTTATAATTTTTTCATTAAATAAGAGGTCAGCTAACCATAGTCCATTGGCTAAATTTGGCCTGGTGCCTGTTTTAGTAAATAAAGTTTTATTGGAACATACCTATCACCAATGATTTACATACATAATGTCTATGACTGCTTTTGTTCTACAATGGCAGATTGAGTATTTGCAGGAGAAACCATATGGCCCCCAAACCAAAAATACTATCTGGCGTTTTACAAAAAAGTTTGCTGACCTTGCATTAAATTTTGAATTTAGTCTTGTAAAAGATCTATAATTTTGACTTACCTCATGAAATTTCTTTAGGCATCAAGACCAGTCTGGCCTACATGGAGCAACCCCATCTCTACTAAAAATGCAAAAAATTAGCTGGGTGTGGTGGCGGGTGCCTGTAATCCTAGCTACTTGGGAGGCTGAGACAGGAGAATTGCTTGAATCTGGGAGGCGGAGGTTGCAGTGAGTCAAGATCGCACCATTGCACTCCAGCCTGGGCAACAGTGCAAGGCTCTGTCTGGAAAAAAAAAAAAAAAAAAAAAAAAAAAAAAAAAAAAAAAAAAGGGACAACTAATAAATATAAATACATTCAAGAACTGATTACTTGGAAAACAAAACATTAGATAAATTATTAGTTATCCAAATAAAATAAAACAAAAAAGATTCAAAGAGTAAAGATGGTAACCTCATTAAGCATTTCTCGTGTTCCTTCCACCCTGAAATTTTATCTGCTCCTTCAGAGAACATCTGGAACTGACTAGCAGCTGGCTGCATGTGAGACCTTGGGCCATGAGAGGAATCTAACAGTCAAAGCTGGCCTACTGCTTGGGCTGAGACTAACATGGCCCCCAGGACATGTCACTGCCTGTATGACATTGAGGAGCAGTTGAACAGTAGAGCAAAGCCTGCTATGCCTGAGATTACAAAACAAGCATCTAGAGAAATAGAACAGCTGCAGGTGACAGAAAACAATTTAAGTAAAAACAAAAACAATATAAACTTTAATAAAATTCAAGCACTGTGGAAAAAAGAGCTCTCAAACTTTTAAAAATGTAATATTTTTACATTTTTGAAGCAAATTATTCAGGGGATTAGTAAAAGCAAAATGATTAACATTAAGACCTAAAATAGTGGCAGACAGGAGTAGCTCAATAATAAATAATAAAATAAGGTAAAGAATATATAATAAAGTAATAAGTAATATAACATAAAATGTGAATAATAGGGTTCCACAAATGGAAGTGCCAACAATTGGAGAAGAGACAATAATTCAAAAATTAATAGAAGAAAATTTTATTCAGATGAAGAAAGACAAATAGTCTACATTTTTCATAATAAGAGGTACCTACTTAGTGTTTTCTGGTGCTACAAGTTTCATTTGCAAAAAAGGAGAAAAGAAAATAAGAATAGTGTCTCATCTGCAACTTCAGCTGTTAGAATATATTTACAATAAATTACAGACTATTTGAAAGACAGCTAGAGCCCAACCCAAGCCAAGTTTACATTTAGCTGCCAGGAGAAAGGAAAATATTTGAGAATATTAACATATTTAAAGTGTGTATCATCCATAGAAATCATCTGAGGCAAACTACCAAGTAAATAACTAATTAAATAACAAATGAATCAAAACATGTTTCTAATCATGGGTGAAGAGGATGAGTAGAGGAAACAACTGTTAGGTGCTGAGGTTAAAAATGTATATATGTGTATAGTTATAGCTGAATGTTATAGGCTGGGAGTATAAGACCAAACAGGAACCCTTGAAATGGAGGAATATGCTGCAAGGAATACCATCATGCTATTCCAGAAAAAATAGTAAATGAAAAAGGATAAAAAAATAAAGTATTCTAAGAGTTTCATCTTATAAGGGTGTTGCGAGTAGGATGTTATGAGAGTTTTATAGGGGAAAAACAGGATCTTTTTCTTTTAAATAGTTGCTGATTATTATGCTAGGAAAAAGAAAGAAAGGGACTGATGAAAGTATAGTAACCAAACTAAACAGCATTAATAAAGGACAAAGAAAGAAAAGGAAAAAACAATTAGATAAATTAGCAATATTAAGGAAAAGAAAAACAAGAACACAATAAAGAAAAATAGAAAATAAAATATGATAGAAGAAATAGAATAATATATATTAGTCATTATGTTATATATGAATGAATTGCATTTACCCATTAAAAGATAGTGACTCAAAAAGCAGAACTGACTTTCATTACATTATTTCAAAAACATGGCTTAATAAATATACAAAATGTCTAAATCCTTAGATATTATGATTTTAAAAAAAATTTTTGCATGAATTGGTTAAAAATTGAACATGTATTGGCCTCAAAAATGCATTTTAAAGTATGGACATTTTTATAGGGCAGTTTATTTGTTCATATTCACATAAAATTAGAAATAGTTTTAATAGCTTAATCTTGATATATTAACCACCTGGTATTTAATAGTCATCATTCTAAATAATACATGAATAAAAAAGGAAATCATTTGAAAAATCATGAATGATCTAGCAAAGAAAAATAAAAATACATTACATTAGAGTCCAGCAAAAAAACCTCACAAAATATAAATACACACACGCATGCGCACACACACGCACACACACACACACACACACACAGAGCTAGGAGTGAAGTATGAGTGAATGAACTAGGAGGAAGTAGTCAATAAAGATAAAAGTAGAAATTAATAAAATAAAAAAGTATAAAGAATAGATAACTCCAATAGCTAGTTCTTTGAAAAAGCCAATAAAGTAGGTAAACCTCTTAGAAATTTGAAGGAAAAAAATGGGACAGAATAAATGAGAAAAGATACATAGCCAGAAAATTTGAAGTTATTAGAACATGAGACATTTCAACATACAAATCTATGGCAACAAATTTAAAAATAATGAAAAGCCAGTTGTCTATTAGCAGGACATAAACTAACCAAGAAATAAAGAATTGGAAATCTTGGATAAACTGCTTATTGCTGACAAGATGAGGAGATTGCTTAGTAATCTACCACTGAAAATGAAAGGAAGACCAGATGGCTTTCAGCTAACCTCTTCTAACTTTTAAGGAACAGAGAATTCCAATATTATTTGAGCTATTTAAAATCCAAGAAAAATCTGTAACTTTGCCTAATTTATTTCATAATGCTGATGTACCTTTAAAAACAAATGTTTTATTTACAGTATTGTATGGGGGATGGGACTGGTTCCAGGACCACCATGGATGCTCAGACCCAAAGATGCTATAGTCCCTTATATAAAATGATGTAGTATTTCCATATAACCTATGCGCATCCTTCCATATGCCTTACATCATCTCTAGATTACTTGGAATACTTAAGACAATGTAAATGCTATATAAGGAATTGTTATACTATATTTTTATTTGTATTTTTATTGCTGTATTGTTATTTTTAATTTAAAACTTTTTTCCAAATATTTTAAATCTGTGGTTGGTTGAATCTGTGGATGTGGAACCCAGACAAAGAGCACCGACTGTATTAAAATTAAAAAAAAATTAACCAAAACTATTCACCATTCTCTTTTTTAAGTATGGGAACAGAAAATCTAAATAAAATCTTTGTAAAAAGACTCTAGCAGTGTACCAAAGAAAGTGTTGTGAATAAGAATGTTTATTGAGGGATGCAAGGGCATTTCAATATCAGGGGATTATCAAACTAATCCATTTCATCAAAAATTAAAGAAGAAAATTGACATATTTATATCAATTTGCTGAAAATGTACTTGATAAAATTAAAGCTATTCCTAATGCAAAGGCTATGTTAAATAGGAATTATATGAAACAAATAAAATTTAATAGTACCTATCCTGCAAAATCTACAGCAGATAGTATTCTAAGTGGCAAAACATTAAAACCATTTAAATAACAGTAAGAAACTATAGAGAAATTCTTGAGGTAGTCTCTTGTTTTGGGGATTCTAGTTCATTAAGAAAAGAAAAATGATTGGTAGAGATCTTGACAAAGAAAAGTTGAAACTAAACCTTTTTGTGAATGATATATTTCATAACAAGAATACATAAAACTTCTAGTTAAAAAATAAATTAATAAAATAATTTGGTACAGTAACTGCATATAAAATAAATATACAAAATACAGATTTTCCCTATATTAGCAATAAACACTTAAAAATGGAAAGTTCATATTAGCAAAAACATAAAATAATTATGAATAAATTTTAAAATAAGGGCAGGACACGTAAAAATCAAAAAATTTAATTAAAGAGAATAAAGTAAGATTTGAGAAAATAAAGAGACATAAAAACAATTGTGCAAACAAAATATGACACTTCTTTTTGCATAGAGAAATTTAACATCATAAAATGCCAATTCTCCCATAATTAATTTACAAACTTAATTCAATTCCAAATAGAGCTCAACAGAATTTTTAAGAATTGGTTAAAATGATCTTTAAGCTCATTTAAGAGTATGCATATCTTAGGGTATCTAACAAAAAACATGAAAAAATATTTAGGGACTTGCTTTTATCAATAAAATAACAATATGTCAAATAAAACCCAGAGTGAAACAGTAGTCAAAGTGGTAAAAACAGATTTTATTTAGAAACTGTTGGAATGGGGGAAAGAGACCTCAGTATAGAACTAATTTCAATAATAAGTACAACAAGGAGGCCTGGGGATTTATAGCCAAGAAGCAGGTGGGAGGCTGTTGATGGATGAAAAATTACTAAGAGGAGACATCAAGGGCTGGGGGATTCTTGCTAAATGACTTAACAGGATTTTTGCTAAAAGCAGGCCAGATTGATCATATATCAAGGGTGGAGGGTGAGAAATTTGATTAGATATTGAGGGTAGAAAATTTTCTCTAAACTAATTAGCAGCATTCTTGCTAAAACCAGATATGCAGGCCCACCAAGGACAGAGACCAATGTTGAGGCCTATTTGAGAAGAGGACTCAGAGGAGCCCATCTAAAGTTTGCTCAAGGAGATAGACTTTGTCACATGAAAGTAATATTGTGGTACCGGAATAATAAAAGAACAAATATTTAAACAAAAATTGATATTCATATACATTTGAATGTAATATATGACAAAGGTGGTGTTTTAATTCATGAAAAAAGATAATTATTTAATAGAAAGTATTATTAATACTATACTATCTAGAATAAAATGAAATTAGACCTGTATCTTATTATACCAATACAAAAATCAATATTAAACTAAAGCAACAGAAAATGCTGCCAAAAAATCTAGGATACTATAGGTATAACTTAGGGATGAGGGAGATCTTATTCAACGCTAGAAACCCACAGCTATAAAAAGTGATAGATTCCTTTAATTACAAGTTAAAGATGCCATTATAAATCAATAAACAAATAATGGATTTGGAAAGTATATTCAAAGTGAAAAGATTAGAATGTTATTATCTATAATAAGCAAGAAACTTAAAAAGGTACAGTAAAAATATGGTGTAAAAGAACAAAAATGATACACCCGTATAGGTCACTCATGAATGTAACTTGCAGGACTGAAAGTGAGTCTTGGGCCAGAGAGTGAGTGGTGAGTGAATGGAAAGGCCTAGGGCATTACTGTATATTTTTATATTACTGGCAGTGCAGTAGGTCTGTTTACACCAGCATCATCAAAACACACGCGTAACATATTCCACTATGATGTTAAGATGGTTACGAAGTCACTAGGTGATAGGACTTTTTTAGCTCCATCATAATTTTGTGGGATTGTCATTGCCTATGCGGTCCATCACTGACCTAAATGTCATTATACGGCATATGACTGTATTGCTGTAGTGATGTTGACAGGAACAGCAAGCAAAGAAGAGACAGCTTTCTTTGTCTCCTCCAGCTTTTTAGTTTCCCTCCGGGAGACTCCTTATTGGCACATCCCTACAGGGAGCCAGCTGGCAAAGGGGAAATTGTTTTGCCCTGCCCTAGCCCCAGCATCATGTAGTAGCATGGAATGGTGGGCCTAAAGGGGAAAGACAGTATATTAATAACCAGCCAAACATTGCCAACACATTTAAAAATTGATAATGGAAGAGATGATTTTTAAGAAAAATACAGATTGCAAAAAGGTCCCCAGAAGAGAAATAAACACCAAAGAGGTCTAATGCCATTAAGAAATTAAGTTGTTATAGACCAGCTATTTTAAACACACACACACACACACACACACACACACACACACACACACACACACAGGCATCTGCAAACACAGTTCACCAACTTTGTAAAACCTTCAAAGCACACAAAATTCTGATGCTTTTTAAGCTGCTCTAAAGCATAGCAATAAAAGGATGTTCTTTTAACATACTCTTTTAATACTAAGCTCTGAGAAGTAAAGGAAAAAAGAAAATTATATGCTAATTTTATTTATGGTTATTAATATATCTAGTGTCTTAAAATACATACCTGAATAATTAGAGTGAATTGTCTAGAAAATAAAATAACTTTTGTCTGTGTTATCTACACTTCAAATGTAAAATGAGTATGTTCTATTCTCTCTTTTTTTTTGCTGAGTGAATATAAACACAGTTATAAATGTGTACTAATAATGGGCTATGTACATTTGGGTTGAATTAATTTACTATCAGATATAAGGTGGCTCTCAAATCCGGCTGCACATTAGCTTCACCTGGAGAGCTTCAAAAAATTCTGATCCCCAGCTGCATCGCAGACCAATTAAATCAGAAAACTCTCCAGGTGGGACTCAGGCCTCAGTATTTGTAAAACTCTCCAGTTGAATACAATGAAAGCCAAGCTGTCAATTACTGAACATGATAACATAGTAGCATAATTTTAAATTTAAAAAGTTTAGTGACTACCAGCTTGATATTAGCAAATGAGTTTCTAAGTCAAAATATTTTGCAGAATAGACATCTAATATTTAAACAAATTTAAATTATTTTTCCAGCGTAGGGAACTGTTAATAGCTGAAAACTTCAGGGAGCCATAGAAGTCATATTCACTACCCTATGAAGTCTGCAGCACTCAAAAATATTTTATTATTGAAATGCAACATTATTTCCAAAGTTTGAGTTAATTTTAATAAAATATAATTGCTCATTAAGCAGTATAAATGAGCATTCAAAGTATTTATTATATTTTAAAAAGTTTATAGGATGATTAAGATTAGAAAGTGTAAATATAATATTGGTATGTGTGATGGTTAATTTTATGTCACTTTACTAGGCCACAGTACCCAGATATTTTATCAAATACCAGTCTACATGTTGCTGTAAAGGTATTTTTTAGGTGAGATTGATATTTAAACCAGTAGATCTTGAGTAAAACATATTGCCTTCCATAACGTGAAGAAGTGTCATCTAATCAGTAGAAGGTCTTAAGAAAAAATGTTGCCTTAAAAAAGAGGGAATTGTGGCTCCAGGTTGCTTTGTTTTTTTTGTTGTTTGTTTGTTTGTTTGTTTTTTTGAGACGGAGTCTAGCTCTGTTGCCCAGGCTGGAGTGCAGTGGCGTGATCTCGGCTCACTGAAATCTCTGCCTCCCAGGTTCAAGGGATTCTCCTGCCTCAGCCTTCTGAGTAGCTTGGATTACAGATGTTCACCCCACGCCTGGCTAATTTTTGTATTTTTAGTAGAGAGGGTGTTTTGCCATGTTAGCCAGGTTGGTCTCAAACTCCTGACCTCAGGTGATCCACCTGCCTCGGCCTCCCAAAGTGCTGGGAACCGCGCTGGGCCTCCAGGTTGCTTTTGAGCTTGAACTTTGACAACTTTTTTCTGGGTCTCCAGCTTGGCGCAGTATACTTAAATGGGGCACAATTGAGGGGTATGAAAAATCATTTAATTCTCATTTTTAACCTTACTTGTGTCATTAATGTTTTCTAATATAATTGCAAATTAAAAATTTAAACATTTCCCTTAGCTGTTGTCAAAAAGATAGTGTCCTCAGCAACTCAGGATGTTTGTTCTTTTAGAGGACACATTGGGACCAATTCCCAAAGTGGCTTTTTTTTTTTTTTTTCAACAAATCTAGCTCCTGGTTGGGAAGAGCTTGTACCTCTGAGATTTGTCCAGAGGGGGATTTTCAAAGTTTCACATAAATATTTTGATTCATTTTGGGAAAAGAATTGGGATCATGAGATTGCTTAAGTTTATTTTGCTTTCTTAAAATTTGTTTTTATTTTTCATATTTTTGTTTTTATTGTTTCATTCTTATGGGACCTCCAATTATTTCTCCACTGTGTCTAGTCTTATAAGGAATACAAAAATATTGCCAATTAAGGTAATTACTCTGTTGTTTACATGAGACAATAAATGGATGAAACAATTTGCATGAGAATACGAAGTAGAGAACTGAAGATTCTTTGAGCTAAATTTGTTCTTTAACCTTGGGATCCTCTGGATGAGAGTTTTGATGTCTTTGATTAATCACTTGTGCAATTACCTCCGTTACTCAGTCCAAATTTATTGCTTCTGTGGGCAATGTTTCTTCAAATTGTTGGACCACACCCTCAAAAACATTCTACTTCATCCCATCTAACTCCTTTTAGGCAGTATGCCTCACAAGTTGAGAATCTTCTTGGTTGGTAAAGAGAGAAAGAATATGAAATCAAGATAAATCCAGGAAATTTTTTCAAGCTTTATTTCTTTTTGGTTGTATTAAGGAAAGAAAATAAATCCTCTTCAGATGGACAAATATTGGGGTTCCTATCATTTCCTGGAGTCTAGCACATATAAAGTTTAAGATTAGAAAGGTATTTTTAAACAATTCGTCATGCTAGGGAAGGCAATGAATTCTTTCAGCATATGAATTAAGATGAAAAATATTTGCTAGCAGCAGAGTGATCTTTGCTGTAAAAGATTTAATCCTCTGAGGCCAGACTAGGGTGGTTTTGTCCCCTTCTCTTCTCCATCTTTACGACATTAAGGTTTCCCTCTCTCTCTTTATCTCATCTCGTATTCAGCTGCAATGCCTAGGAGAAGAAAGTAAAAGGCCTACAAAGCACTCCCTGGAGGCCTTATATCAGAGGAGGTGGAATACTACAGGAAGAGGGAAGTGCCTAATGGAATTGAGCGCTAGGAAGGGGAGTGGAGAGGAAAGAGATCTTGGAGAACAACTCTGCAGAGAGATTGGGATTTTGAGGTGTGCTTCCAGGGTCCTAAACCACCTGTGGGTATTTATTCACAATGCAGGTTCCTAGGCCTTAACTCTAGGCCTTATAAAGCTAGATTTCTGAGGAGGAATTTTAGAAATCTACAGTTTCTGCATATAGCTAGCCAGTTATCCCAGCACCATTTATTGAACAGGGAGTCTTTTCCCTGTTGCTAGTTTTCGTCAGGTTTGTTGAAGATCAGATAGTTGTAGGTGCATGGTCTTATTTCTTGGTGCTCTATTCTGTTCCAGTGGTTTATGTGCCTGTTTTTGTATCAGTGGTACCATGCTGTTTTGGTTACTTTAGCCCTGTAGTACAGTTCGAAGTCAGGTAATGTGATGCCTCCAGCTTTGTTATTTTTGCTTTTGATTTCCTTGGCTATTCGGGTTCTTTTTTGGTTCCATATAAATTTTAAGATAGTTTTCTCTAGTTCTGTGAAGAATGTCATTGATTGATAGGAATAGCATTGGATCTGTACATTGCTTTGGGCACTATGGCCATTTTAATGATATTGATTCTTCCTATCCATGAGCATGGAATGCTTTCCATTTGTTTGTGTCTTCTCAGATTTTGATGAGCAGTGTTCTGTAATTCTCATTGTAGAGATCATTCACCTCCCTGATTAGCTGTATTCCTAGGTATTTTATTTTTCTGTGGCAATTGTGAATGAGATTGCTTTCCTGATTCCTTGGCTGTTACTAGTATATAGGAATGCTGGTGATTTTTGTACATTAATTTTGTATCCTGAAACTTTGCTGCAGTTGTTTATCAGCTGGGGAAGCTTTTGGGGAAAGAATATGTGGTTTTCTAGATATAGAATCATGTCAACTGCAAACAGAGATCATTTGAATTCCTCTCTTCCTATTTGGATGCCCTTTATTTCTTTCTCTTGCCTGATTGCTCTGGCTAGGACCTCCAATGCTATGTTGAGTAGAGGTGGTGAGAGAGGTCATCCTTGTCTTGTGCTGGGTTTCAAGGGGAATGCTTCCAGCTTTTGCCTATTCAGTATGATGTTGCCTATGGGTTTGTCATAGATTGCTTTTATTATTTTGAGGTACTTCCTTTAATACCTAGTTTATTGAAAGTTTTTAACATAAAGGGATGTTGAATTTTATAGAAAGCGTGCTTTGCATTTATTGAGATAATCATGTAGGTTTTTGTCTTTAGTTCTGTTTATGTGATGAATCACATTTATTAATTTGTATATGTTGAATCAACCTTGCATCCCAGGGATGAAGCCTACTTAATCATGGTGGAGTAGCTTTTTGATGTGC
Source organism: Homo sapiens (assembly GCF_000001405.40). NCBI lineage: Eukaryota > Metazoa > Chordata > Mammalia > Primates > Hominidae > Homo > Homo sapiens. Next base: position 187,067,271 of record NC_000002.12, read on the forward strand.
TTCTGGATTTGGTTTGCCAGTATTTTATTGAGGATTTTCACATTGAGATTCATCAGTGATATTGGCTTGAAGTTTTCTTTTTTTTTGTTGTGTCTCTGCCAGGTTTTGGTATCAGGATGATGCTGGCTTCATAAAAGGAGGGGGAGTCCCTCCTTTTCAGTTCTTTTGGAATAGTTTCAGTAGGAATGATACCAGCTCTTCTTTGTACATTTGGTAGAATTTGGCTGTGAATCCATCAAGTCCTGTGCTTTTTTTTGTTGGTAGGCTATAAGCTGGACCCCTTAATTACACAATATAAAAAAATCAACTCAAGATGTTTTAAAGACTTAAATGTAAAACCCAAAACTGTAAAAACCCTGGAAGACAATGTAGGCAATACCATTCTGGACATAGGAAAGGGCAAGGATTTCATGACCAAGACACCAAAAGCAATTACAACAAAAACAAAAATTGACAAATGGCATCTAATTAAACTTAAGAGCTCTGCACAGCAAAATAAACTATTAACAGAGTAAAAAAACAACCTACAGAATGGTTGCAAACTGTGCATCTGACAAAGGTCTACTATCTGTATTTATGTGGCATTTAAACACATTTATAACAGAAAAATAAGCCCATTTAAAAGTGGGGAAAAGGCATTAACAGACACTTTTCAGAAGAAGACTTACCTGTGACCAAGAAACATATGAAAAAAGGCTCAATATCACTGATCATTAGAGAAATGTGAACCAAAACCACAATGAGACACCATGTCACATGCCAGTCAGCATTGCTATTGTTAAAAAGTCAAAAAATAACAGATGCTGGTGAGGTTGTGGAGAAACAGGAACACTTATACACTGTTGGTGGGAGTGTAAATTAGTTTGACCATTGTGAAAAGCAGCCTGGTGATTCCTCAAAGAGCTAAAAGCAGAACTCTCATTTAACCCAGCCATCCCATTACTGGGTACATACCCAGAGGAATATAAAGCATTCTACCACAAATACACAACGCATGTTCACTCCAGCACTATTCACAATAGTAAATACGTGGAATCAACCTAAATGCCTATCAGTGACAAATTGGATAAAGAAAATGTGATACATATACACCATGGAATACTACTGATGTAGGATTTTTCTTCTCAGTCATTTTGCAAGCTGGGGACTTCTGGCCAGTGACACCCCACCTGGGCCTCATTAGGCTATGCTACTGTGCCCTAGCTCACCTGTGTTATAGCTTGTACTCATGTTTGGCAGTTCCTGAGCTCTTGTATCTTGCCCAAGAAGAATGGGCATATGCTGGACATTGAAGGATGAGGAAAGCGGAGAAGAATTTTATTGATTGATGAAACAGCTTTCCGCAGAGTGGGGACGTGAAAATGGTCAACCAACCCGAAAGTGGGAAAGTCCCCTGGTGTGACTGGGTCCAGGATCTTTTATGGACTCAGAATAGGGAGTGCATGCTGATTGGTTTGTGAGTATGCAAAAAAGGGTAAAGCAAAGACAGCACTCAAAGGTGGGCATGACAGTGTAGAAAATCAATTAGGAAAGGGTAGGTGTATGTAAAATGGGTGAAGGTTGGGGATCAGTCAGAGGAAAGCATGCCAAACGGAAAGACAAGTTCTCAATCTGGTCTGAAGATTTAACTTGTGGCTTGAGTTTCAGGCTTTAAACTGTTTTCGGCTTTGAGGTGGGATTTCACTGGGGACCCGCCCTTAACCTGCCTAGGCATTTGGCTGCCTCCTAACACTCTCACTATGCAACTGCCAAAAAGAATGAGGACATGTCTTTTGTGAAAACATGGAGCAAGCTGGAGGCTATTGTCCTTAGCAAACTGACGCAGGAACAGAAAACAAAATACTGCATCTTCTTACTTATATGTAGGAGCTAAATGATGAGAACTCATGAACACAAAGAATGAAACAGACATTGGGGTCTACTTGAGGTTGGAGGTGAGAGTAGGGAGAGAAGCAGAAAAAATAACACTTGACACTAGGCTTAATAGCTGGGTTATGAGATCATCTGTACAACAAACCCCCATGACAAGAGTTTACATACATAACAAACCTTCACATGTATTCTGGGACCTAAAGTAAAAGTTAAAAATAAAAGAAATCCAGATTTTATGCAGGTGTTAAGAAATATTAAAGAAATATTGCTCCATGGTTAAAATAAGACAGATGCAGTATGAATTGATTAAACTAAATAAATTACTCTTGACTTTGCTACCTTGAAGACTCTGTCTCCTTGTAGTCAAAATTACATGTAATGTTTCCTTGGTTTCATGTATGTGTATGGTTAGCTAAAAAGACCTATTAGTATGCTTCATGTATGCTCTCTGTGTATGTGTGTGTGTGTGTGTGTGTGTGTGTGTGTGTGTGTGTGTGTGTGTGTGTACTAATAGCCCTCTCTTCTATAGTATGCGGGATATTAGGAAGATAACTTCTAGTTAGGTAACAGCTGAATCTTCATGGCCTAAAAGCCAAAGGAGACTTCATATATCTCCAGCATTATTTGTAGATTTTATTTATTTTTGAATGTTATATTGTAATCTTACTTCCCCTGATGGAAGTAAGTAATGGATGGCAATAACTTTTCATTTCTTCTCCACAAATTGTTTGCATTATGTACTTCTCAACCTTAATCCTAATGCCAAACTTTTTTGGCAAATAAAATAATTTGCTTCAAAATATTTAAATCCTTTCCCCACAAATTGCTTGCATTTTGTGTATCTCAACTTTAATGCTAATGCTCACTTTTTCTGCAAATAAAATTAAAAATTTACTCTGAAATATTTTAACATTTTGCTCTAACTTGTCTTCACCATGACCGATATCATTTCTTAGTCATCAGTAGCCAAAAATCTATCTACAGAACGTTTGAAAGTGTTTTCAGAAGCATACCATAAACATAATTTCTTCTCAATTTTTGTAAATAACCATTTCCTTTGAATAAAAATATCTACTTATTGTTGATCAGTTGAAAAATTCTGAAAAGTTAAAGAAGTAAATTAAAGTTACCTGTAAATACATTGCTAATAGAATTTTAATATGTATTTATTTTTATATGTGTAGCATATATATTACTCACACAAAATTGTCTGTATTCATCAAACATAGATAGTGGGGTTATACCATACTTTTGAAAAAGTATTGAGTCTTTTCAATGATCAGTTCATGGATATTTTTACATGCCATTTAAAATCATTGTAAGATATGTATTATAACTGCATAATATTCCATCATGTAGATTTTTACCATGCCACTAAAGTGTAAATTAGTAATACTGTCAGTATTGTAACATTTTAAAAGTCTGGTAGATGGTCAGCTCAAAGGCATCCTCCAGGCCCTATCCATTAAGGCTCTATCCATCATCATGACTCCTGATTTCAATTGATTTGAAGTGTTTGCTAGTCACAGTGATCTGTGGGAGACAAAGGCAACAAAACAATCTTATCTCTAGGGCAAAATTTCTCAGCCTTGGCACTACTGACATTAACAATTCTTTTAAAAAATTGTCACATAAGAATTGTACATATTTATGAAGCACAACGTGGTTTGTTTTTCTGATACAGGTATACCTTGTGTGATGATGAAATCAGGGTAACTAGCACACATATCATACAGTTATTTCTTTGTGGTGAAAACATTCAGATAATGTCCTTAGTAAGCTTTTTGGCTGGATAAGTCTTTATTGTGGGGGCTGTTATGTGCATTGTTGGATATTTACCAGCATCCCTGGCCTCTACCTATATGATGCCATTAGCATCTCCTATTCCCCACCCAGGTGTGACAATAAAAACTGTTTCTAGACATTGTCGATGTTTCCTGGGCAGAGTAAAGGGGAATCACACTGGATGAAGAACCACTATTCAAAAGCAATTGGTCTTTAACTGTCTGTACTCATAAACCCATGCAAGTGGTATAAATGAGGTTCTCTCTCAGGTGGGATCTTGAGAGACAAAACAAAAACATGGGGAACCACTGTTAACAAGATTAAAGTCGTGTTTATGAGATATACTTGAGCAGTTCATTACTCTTTATGTTCATAATTACATTTTAGCTCATTCCACTTTATTGTGAATAACTGTGAAAAGTTTGAGGGAGGTAGATAATTGAGGAGGGATTCAGGTCAATCATCTTATTTGAAAACAAAATTCAAAGCATGCGTTTGCCTCATGGTGATGAGCATTGTTATTTACTAAAAACAGAGTTAATGAGCTTTTTTAAAATCGCAGATACTCTTTCTCTTGGTCTAGATCTTTATTCCCCCTTTTTTCTCATGAAACTGTATGTATTATAACTTAAAATGACCAACAGTCACAGTTGAAATTCAGGTTGCTGTGTATAGTCATGCATGTTATGTACTGTACATCCAGGAGCTGCTTGTCATTCAAAACAGTTCTGATGTTATTGTGTTTGCTGGAGTTGGGGGGACAACCTGCTGCAGTCTTGGGACATTTATCTAATTGTACTCCCTCTTCTACTGATAACTGCTGAAACTAAAATTCAGTGTTCGGCCAGGCACGGTGGCTCACACCTGTAATCCTAGCACTTTGGGAGGCCGAGGCTGGTGGATAACTAGGTCAGCAGATCGAGAATATCCTGGGTAACATGGTGAAACTCTGTCTCTACTAAAAATACAAAAAATTAGCCAGCCGTGGTGGCACGCGCCTGTAGTTCCAGCTACTCAGGAGGCTGAGGGGGAGAATCGCTTGAACCTGGAGGCGGAGGTTGCAGTGAGCCAAGATCATGCCACTGCACTCCAGCCTGGGCAACAGAGAGAGACTCCGTCTCAAAAATGAAGGGGAGAGAGAGAGAGAGAGACAGGGAGAGAGGGAGGGAGGGAGGGAGAGGGAGAGGGAGGGAGGGAGAGAGAGAGAGAGGGAGAAATTCAGTGTTCTAAAATTCAATGATTTCTACTCTGTGACTATGCAAAAACATCTGCTTATTAACACTAACTGAAACGGCCTCTCACATTTTAGGGTGTAATTTGTTCACATATCTCATAGGATTGTGATTAGTTTAGAAACTGTTTCCCTGTACAAGGATATATTTCTTTCCTCAGCCCTTTTCTGCCTATAAAGCCAACTTTCTCCACTAAGCTCATTGGAACCCTCATTCTATTTTGTGACTCTGGAATTGCAATTAAAAGCCAATTAGACCTTTCAACTATATTTGCTGTATTTGTGTCTTTTGACAGTTCCAAGTCACTACTTGCTATTCTTTTGGCAACAGTGTAAATTTTCTGTTAAGAATCTACCAGACATTGCCTCTTCTCTACATATGCTTGAGTAGGGCTCCTCCATGACTCAGGAGTAAAGCATGGTACCTGGCCCTAAAATAATCATTGCATTATATTTCCCTGGCTTCAATGGTAGGTTAAGGATAGACATGGAAGTCAATCGAAATCATCAGGAAACAACGAGACTTCTGCTACTTCTATTCTTTCTAAAAAGGGGAAGACAGACACAAAACTACAGGGCATTTGCCAGGAACTTCGGACAGTAGAATGCAGGTGGTAAAGAGATAAATTTTAAGGATAATGATTCACTGTAGATATCAGAAATTGTTAGATACATCCACTTTCTCCCACTCCTATTACCTCAATTTATTATGCTCCCACTGTGTATATGGTGTAGCACTAACATTTGTATGTATTAGATGATTAACTGAAAGATAAAAATCTTTTCAATAAGGAAATTTTTTCAAACAAGGATATTGAATTTCATTCTGGTATGTGAAGTGAAATGGAAAGTGAAAAATGTAAATATAGAATGGCAGTGGTTTAATTTGATATAGCTTGACATTATTGGGAAACATTATTTGTGCTCATGTTTTTTTCTTCACTGTGAGAATTGAACATACACATAATTCTTACTGGTTTGTACTTTTAATCAAATGGGTGATGGGGAGGATAGAGTTTGAAGGAAGTTCCATGATTATCAATGGTTAGCAAGAGGGCACCGAAGGTGAAATAGACTTGAGTACATCTAAAGATGCCAGGAATCTGAGAACTAAGCTTAACTGACAGTATTGCCTATCCAGCTATTTGGATGATTATGTTTGCCATACATATTGATGTGGTTTGGATTTGTGTCCTTGCCCAAATCTTGTGCTGAATTGTAATTCTCAGTGTTGGGAGTGGGCCCTGGTGGGAGGTGATTGGATCATGGTGGCATGTTTTCCCCTTTGGTGCTGTTCTCATGATAGAGTTGTCACAGATCTGGTTGTTTAAAAGTGTGTGGTACTGCCCCCTCAGACCTCCTGCTCTGGTCATGTAAGATGTGCCTGCTTCCCCTTTGTCTTCTGCCGTGATTGTAATTTTCCTGAGGCTTCCCCAGAAGCACAAGCTGCAACACTTCCTTTACAGCCTATAGAACCGTGAGCCAATTAAATCTCTTTCCTTTGTAAGTTACCCAGTCCCAGGTATTTCTTTAAGGCAATGCAAAAATGGACTAATACATATATATAGTAGACTTGTAAACAATATAGTTGAGTAATAACAAAAAAACTTGAAAAACTTAATTTTTCTGATTGAATGTCAATATAACAATACTTCCATAATAATACTTGGTTTAATTGTGTCATGTCAATGAAATCTGTTTATTATGAGGTAAAACTATGGCTCCTGATCACAGGACATGCTATAGTATAAAAAGCACATGAATCTGGAATCTTCTTTCCCAATCTTAATTCCATTAATGATATACTATATCACCATAGTCACTTATTTCCTCATTTGCTTGTAAGATGTAGATAAAAATTTCAAGCATTTTTATGAGAAGAAAATGTTTGCAAAGTTGGTCAAGAAATATGAGCTACATAGAATTATTAAGTATTTTATGTCAGTAAAAGAAACGAAGTGATCAGTTGTGAGATTCTCTAAATAAATTTTTCTATACATTACGTTTTTTGAAAATTTGGTAGAGTGATTAGAGAAACTCAATATTTTTAAAGATTTCTCAGCCCCCCAAAAGGAAAATGGACCATTTGTTTTACATCACCCATTTGTTTCAGAGTGGAAACAGCTGAAGCATCATGCAGCCAAAGAATCATGTCATAATTCTGAAAACTACCCTGCATACTATTCCAAATAAGAAATAGTCATTTAATCATAGAATCTTAATTCTGAGAAACATTTTTTAGGCCACTAAAAAAAGTTTTATAAATGAGGAAACAGAAGATAAAAGGCTTACTGACTTATAGTTTTCTCAGATACTTCTGATTTCCAATTTTAGTTTTATTCACTGTGAAAAGTAAATAAACTGTGTTCTAAATTCATTGTACACCAAGATTTAAGGGTGTTTGGGCTCAATTTTTGGGCAGTTGAAGAAAGTGCTCAGAATTTGGTGATATCCCATAATAATTTTGAATATACATATACTGTATATGATTTTTGAGCAGTAATATTTCCAAAATTTCACCACTGTAGCTTTCAGGCCATCATATCATCAATGGTCTGTCAACCTGGTACCACAACTTAAATGAAAGATACTTGAAATTGTTGTAGCATTTTTTCTGTGGACGACTGAAATCTAGCAAATTAATGAGACAAAACGGCTACATTTCAGGGCATTATGCTTGTGTCACCAAGACCTGATTCTCATTTTAAAAGAATATGCATTACAATGAGAAACCAAATGTTTTATAGTGATGGTATCAGTTAGGGTTCAGTTGCAGATGTCAGGAATCATGTTTGCCAGTTTAAGTAGAAAGACAGTAAACTTTTCATTGTTTAAAGATTATGGGTGAATAGTTCCAATAAGACCTGAGTATTTGAAAATATAGTGATGTAGAGGAGAATTAAAAGACATAGAGGAAGGAAGAAAATAAGGGAAGGTATAAAGGAGAAAAGAAAGGAGGGAAGGATGTAGGATATGTTGGTATCCCTGCCAGATCCTTTTTATTGGATGAGGAAGCCATCCTCCAGCTGTGCAAGTGTTAAGCTAACTCTGGAGAATTGTCCTTGGCTGACCCGATTCTCATGGGCTAATTCTTGTGAGGTTATATGCCTCCCTGGGGCAGCCAATGAGTGACTTTACAAGGTACAAAGGCCCAGCCCTCTTGCTTCCAGGTGACGCAACTCTGTCAGTGTGATTTCCACTCTGGACTAGACTTTCCCTGAGGCCACATGGTTGCCAGCTCTTTCTCCTTTCCTCTCCTTCCCATCTTCTCATATAGGTTTTTCCTAAAGAGTACTTCCACACAAAATCATATGTGCCTTAAACCCTGTCTCAGTCCCTGCTTCTAGGGAAGCCTACTTAAGAGAAAGGAAAAAAGAAATAGAAACAGAAAGCAAACAAACCTTGTCATCCGGCCTTGAGAGACATTTATGATACCATTAAACCCAGGAAAATTATATTACGTGCCTTTGTCTTCCACTGTAATTTACTAGAGAACCTAGTCTCTTCCCAACCATTCTTTAAAATTTTTCACTGAAAACTCAATATGAGCACCCACTTGTAGCAAATATATTGAGATCAATTCTACTGCCAAATGCAGATTTCTCATGAAACTCACACAGAAGGAACCAGAAAAGGAACAAACTTGATTTCTTTGTTGAAGCATATTGATTTCATTTGAAGGGATTAGTGTTAGAATGAATAGAGGTTATTCTTACTTTATCCAGTGGATCTGAATAAATACAATGAAGCTTGTCATGCGAGTAGGTTAAAAAAAAAAGAGAAAGCTTCAGAGAGTGTTTACCTAAACACATGATATTCGTGCTGATTAATAAAAAGAAGACAGAAGACAGAAGGTACATTTCTAATACGATGAAGCATTTATCCGACATTCTAAGGGCATTTACATGTTATTCCCTCTGTGTGTGTGTGTGTGTGTGTGTGTGCGCGTGTGTGTGTGTGGTGGTAGGCAGAATACTACCCTTCACCCCAGAGATGTCCATGTCTTAATTGTGGAGCCTGTTACTAGGTCAGGTTACATGGCAAAGGGAAATTAAGGCTGCTTATCTGCTGAATTTAATGTGGGAGAGTGCCTGGATTATCCAGGTGGGTCCAATGTAATCGTAAGAGTCCTTAAAAAAGGAAGCAGGAGGCACATTTGCCTTAAATTAATGTTAAAGTGGTGCCATGAAGATGGCAGGGGGCCACCAGCCAAGGAATGCTGGCAGCCTTTAGAATCTGGAAAAAGGAAGGAAATGGATTTTCCCCTAGAGCCTGCAGAAGGAATGCAGCCCTGTTGAGATTTGATTTTCGCTTAGAAGACCTGTCAGACTTCTGACCTACAGAACTGTAAAATAATTTGTTTTGTGTTAAACCACTAAGGTAATTATAATTTGTTATAGTAGTGATGGGAACCTAATACAGTGTGTTTTTAAAAATGTTATTGTATTTTTTCCAACTATAACAATAGTTAAATGAGCACATGGTTGTTCCTATAAAAGAGAGAGATACAGAAAAATGTAATACATTTTCTTCTTTCAGCATCAGCACCTGAGCTAAGCAATGTTTCATGTCCTTCTCTAATTTTGCTATTGTTGTACAAACATAGTCTTGTGACCACATAGTTATTTTTATAATTAATTGTTTGCAAAAAATGGGATTATCTCTTCTTTTTTTCACTTAAACATAATATGGGCCTTATTCCATGTCAACTGGTTTAAAAAATCTTAACCTTTTGTTTTTATAGTTTTGAAATTTTCCATAAGGTTGATATAGTTTACTCCATCATTTCTTATTGATGAATTTCTAGTTTTTGTTGTTGTTGCTATGTGTTTTTTTTGCCATGATATACAATGCTGTAATTAATAATGCTCCTGTGTGCATATTTATATGTGCTGAAACTTTTATATTTATATAATTTGTTTACTGAAAATGAGAATGCTAAATTTTGTTTATTTTTTAATCTGGCACTTATAGGCCAAGTATATCATCAAATGTAACAAAGATAATCTCTAAACCTCACTCTAAAATTAACTTTATCCTTTTATTTCACTACATTTAGGATTTCAGCTACTAACATGCAAAAAGAAAAAATCAACTGGTGTTTTTTTCTCTTATTCCCAAACCTATATTATTAAAAAATATATTAAAAGTGAGAGAATTCTCATAAAGATGAGCAGCAAAGGAAAGCAAAATGTCTACGTATTTTCTTCTAAAATTCTAAGATTACTTGAGGATGTAGCATTAATTATCAATCTCTAGATCGTACTTGCCACCAGTAGTGGTGGGTTTTTTTTTTTCCCTGCAGGGTTCAGTTATAAAACGTGCTGAGACCTCAATGGAAACTAAGCAGGAAGAGGTGTAAGGGAGTACATATTTAGGGAAAATTAACTAGAATTTAGAGCTGCCCTACTAGAAAAGTTGTGAAATAAATTACAATATCAAAACAAACGCAAGTTTTACAGGCTCTGATATGGGGAGTAAGCTATGACATCTATGGTACCTACCATGCTGGGAAGGGGAGGCCATATTTAGTAATGGTATAATCGGTATGTGAAATAACATGGTGGGACTGGAAAAAGATTTTAACATTTGCTGTCGTTTTCTGTTTAAGTTTCTTCTATCACCTAGTGCTTCCAGTGCCCATGGATGAGATCTTTGGTAGGTCTCATACTTTGTATAAGTCTCTTAAGTTAAAAAAAAAAAAAAAAAAGTTTGCTTCTCCCTCCTAATCAGAAAACCCCACTCATTTCATTGATTAAAATTCCAATCCCATGTAATGGGCAAATGACAGACTTCATTGTGCATTCATCTCTCTCTTCCAGTGCTAATGCTCATTCCAGCTAGAGGTTTGCATTAGGGGTGGGGAAAGGTGATGTCTTTATGTTCATCTGTATCTTCTTAGCACTGCTACTCCTATCCAAGTCTCTGGACTGCTGCTGCCTCTGCCATGGTGGGAGTTTGGAAGGGAGGAGAATTAAGAGGTTGGAAAGGTCTTATGTGACCAGCTTAGGTAGTATCTGTTGTTGATTTTCTCTGGACTTGGCTGTTGTTTAAAGTGACTCTCTCATGGCTGTTCAGCAAACCACTTCGTGATTTTCCTGAAGCTCTTTCTACGTGGATAGAAATTCTCCTTCATCTATTCATTTATGATTCCCATACAGCCTTTGTACCTGGCTATAAACCTTTAGCCTCCCTTGCTGAGATTATCTTGCCCTTCACAGGAAGCCCTCTTGGTCATCATTCACAACCTCTTCAGGCTATGTCTGTGTCCCATGGACCCACACGTTGTCCTTGGGAAACCTGGCCCTAGACCCACTGTGACATGAGTCATCTGCTTTCCTAACCAGCCCTGTACTCTGCAACCACATGCTGTTTTAGTCAGACTCTTGCCCTTTACACAGCCAGGCTTGAGTTGGAGACTAGACTAGATGTCCTCAAACTCCAGGGAACTTTGTTTGTCAAACTCCTCAAGAAACAGTCTCCTTAATGTCTTGCTCATCTTACTTCTGATGGGGGCAAACTCCCTACATGTCCCCACATGCCTTCTCCAGCCCTATAGCAACCATCTCCAAAGAAATCTTTCTGTTCTCCAATGTAGGCGTGTGCCTCTCCAACTACTTTAAAAAGTCAGAGGTGAGTGGAAATCTCACGTTAACAAAGCAGATTCACAGATGGCTCTTTCACAATCCTGCTTAGGTAGTCTAGTATTTCACATTAGAAAATTAAAGCATTTGGCACCTACTGTCCTGGACTTCAGTGGAAACCAACAGAAACAGTCCCATTCAATATCCTATTACTTTGGTCAGACTTGTGGATCCTGGAAAGCACAGCCAGTGGCTAAAACTCTAGAAAATGAGAACCAGGCCCTGGAGGTGATGTGGCTGGCAGGAATAAAGCAAAATATTGGAATATCATTCAAATAGGCTGACGTTCAATGCAGGATTCCAGTGTTAAAAGAGGTGGTACAGTTGGAAATTTAGAGCAAAAACTAGTTCTAAGTCCTGGGAAAATATAGTAGATCTGGGAGGGAAAAATCAGCAAGCTTGTGTCCAGGCTGCTTATGGCACACACTACACGCTAGTTGTTAATATACTTATATTAGTAGATTATTATTAATACTGAGAATTAATTTTATACCAGTGGAAGCTAGAGATTATCATCTATATGGTGCTTATTTTGAAAAGTGTCGTTGGTTAAATATGATTATGGTCACATACAAGGATCATATATAGATTTAAAATAGTTTTTATATCAGTTATTTGACTGTGGTATTAGACTCAAAGTAATGATTTTGAAATTGGAAACTGGCTTTTCTATTGTTTCAAGGACTATATGAGCTGAGTCTGCTCTCAGGTATTAATGATACAGGTGTTGAGTTTCTGCACTTTTTCCAGGTACTTTGCTGGGTGCTGATAGAATGAGGATGAGCTTCTGCCCCTGTGGAGCTCAGTCTAAATTGAGGTGTCTCTGAGGTCAGGTAGAAGTGAATGATGTTACTGCTACTGTTTTGTCCTTATCTTCCTAGACTCTTTTCCTTTTGATCCTGTTATATTTATGAGTATCTTTAATTTAAAAGGAGCAAGGACAGACAGAATTGGTTAAACTGAGGTAAATTCTGACACATTTTAAAGCTTGGATGAAAGTTACATAAGAATCTGGATACAAAAAAAGGTAAGAATTATTAGAGATTATAAATCACCAGTGCTCCCATTTGTATGAAAATTGTGTTCTAAATTATTAATTTTTATATTAATTGAATCAGAAAAAGTAGCAGAGTTTAATTGCTTTCTTTAAAATCTCTAAAATTAGGGGAAAAGTTTTTTCTTGTCTTAACCTTCTTACATTTCATTCTATTCTGTTTTAATGTTTGCTTCATTTCCAGACCAGACTGTGGCAGAAGGCCAGCTGCAATCTGAAAGAGATCAGTCACGGTCTTTAGTGTATTAAGAATATGTTCATATTAATAGATTTCCTCTAAGGATATCTTACATCACCATTCGAGAGCCAAGTTTAAAATATTGTGTATAATATTTTGAACACGGAGATTTCATGGAGACAACAGGTGCCAGTCTGTATATGTGTGCGTCTTCGATTGCTGTCATTAAATGGGTTTAATTCCATTGAGTTTGAAAGTGACTCTTTGTTTTTGAGTCTCTGTAAATTAAAATACTAAGCGACTAAGCATCTTCAGAATTTCTACTTTTTGTTGCTGTAACAGTATACTGCATATCAGTGTACATTTGTTAAAGGTAAGCCTGCTTGGGACAAAAGACGCAAAAGAACACAGGCGCAATTCGGTGCTGAGGTCAGAGATAAAGATTGGATTTCTTCAATCCTATTCTTGGAAATAGAACTTATAAATCTTTAAGGTTGGGTGGGACCTTAGAGAACATGTAATCTAATCATCTAATTTTACAGGTGAGGAAATTACACCCTATAATGGAAACTTAACCTTTCTTTGCCCAAATAGTTTTTGAAATATTATTAGTACTGAGAATTAATTTTATACCAGTGGAAGCTAGAGATTATCATCTATATGGTGCTTATTTTGAAAAGTGTCATTGGTTAAATATGATTATGGTCACATACAAGGATCATATATAGATTTAAAATAGTTTTTATATCAGTTATTTGACTGTGGTATTAGACTCAAAGTAATGATTTTGAAATTGGAAACTGGCTCAAAACTGTGTTTACCCGCTCCACTGTAATATAATTTTAAACTAACATTTCTGAAGGAAACTGAACAGTCTAATTGTGCAGTTTTCTTGGAAATGATTGGTTTAAACTTAAGTAAGTGAATTTAATTAAATTATAATTAAAATTTAATTACAAAGTAAAATTAATAAATATTTAATAGTTAAGTCTAATTATTTGATATCTGGAATAGAAATCAAGGATCTACTATTCTCTACATAGGTTAGACAAAGACTGCCATATGACTGGGAATATTTATTGTGTGAATGGTTGGAAGGGTTCACTGCCTTGGACCCCTTTTCGTATGGGCTGAGAGGCCTGTCAGTTTCAGGCTGTAACCCCTCACTAGGAAGCTGTCTGAAATAACAGTGCAAATACAATAGTTTATGGTCCATCTAAGGGTGGAAATTAATGAGACAGGCAGACAATCAGGGGAGGACACAGTTTACTTTCCCTTGGAAATTGACAGCCTGAATATTTACAATTTATTTATGATTTGCTCAAATGGAAACAGCCTTATTTTTTCATACCCTATCCTTTTTAGTTACTTTTTGATTCTCTGAATCAAGAATTGCTCTTTGCAAAAGAGGAAAGTAGAAACCCACCCCTGTGTTACGTCTTTTGACCACAATGGTAATCATTCTTCCAATTTTACTCTTAACACTCCAGATATCTTAAGCATAAAGATCTTTAAGGTATTGTGTGCATATGTGACAGTTTTATGTGAATCTATTTAAGATTTTAAGAGCAAGGAAAGATTCTGAAATGCTTCTTTTTCTGCCATTGCAAAACTGACATGTTAATCTTTTATCTTTGTGACAGATGCTAGGAGTGTGGTAGCATAGATTGAATTTTCTTTTAGGCAGGCCTCCCAGTTCCAGAGAATGAATACAGTACTAAAAATAAACAGTAGTACAATGAGAATATTTGTAACCTGGCAATTTTACATTCAAAGAGAGAGTACATAAATGTATTTAAGAAGGAGCTGAAACAGACTTCTTTTAAGATACATGTATATATAATGTTGCAAAATGATTTTTAAAAATATGCAACTGAAAATGGCAAATGTAGTTTGAACTCATAAGTATTGGGGTGATGGGGAAGGAATAGATCTTGTTGTGTACTTACTATATGCAAGATAAAGTGTTAGGTGCTGTGCAAATATTGTTTCCTTTAAATTTGACAACATCCCTGCACATATGAAACAATTGCCTTTGGCTGTCAGATGAGGAATTGGAGTAACAGAAATTAAGTAACTTGCCTAGCTAAAGTCATAGGTCATGTAAAGATGGAGTTAGTATTGTAGATCAAGTTTGCCTGATTTGAATAGGGGAAGATGGGTGTGGGATCACTATTTTTTTCTTTTGTTCAGTAAAAAGATTCACTACTTAATCTGAAATTTTTTCGGAGTACTATTGATTGGCATAGCTTGTAGCTCAGCCACAGGCACAGGTTATACATGAGGCATAATGGAAGCAATAATTAATGGTACATTTCTTTCCCTTAAATCCTCATCTTGAACACATGGACACAGGAGGGGAACATCACACACCGGGACCTGTCGGGGTGTGGGACGCTAGGGGAGGGATAGCATTAGGAGAAATAGCTAATGTAGGTGATAGGTTGATGGGTGCAGCAAACCACATGGCACATGTATACCTATGTAACAAAACTGCATGTTCTGCACATGTACTCCAGAACTTAAAGTATAATAAAAATAAATCCTCATCTTATCCATTACCAAAACTCTCCATTCTCTAGAAAGCACACCTCAAATATATTTGTTTCTACTGTTTTGTTTTTATGAACCTGATCCAAATCACCATCACGATATTCTCAAGATTCTTGTTGATGACCTCAATATTCCCCTCTTTGGTCTTCCTGCTTCCATTCTGGCTACCTCCAATGTGTTCTCCAGGGTTTAAATGAAGAAATTGTTCTAAGTGTAAATTAGAACTTCCTGATTATAACTTTTTATTGTCTTCTCAATCTGTTTAGAATAAAATCAAACGTTCTTAATGTGGTGGACAAGTCTCTTAGTTTTATGGCTTTTGGCCACCTCTCTATGTGCTTATCTAATATCACTCTCCTCAATATTTCTTATACTTTAGCCACACTTGGTTTTTTTTTTCTATATACCAACCTTTATTCTGCCTTAGGAGCTTGTGTATGTCATGATTTCTGCCTGGAAGATTCTATCCCATTATTTCCATAATCTAAAAATAATCTTTTCTATGGCTGGTTAGCTTGAATGTCAACTACTTAACTACTCAGATTATCTAGACTACTGTAAATCCCATTGTGCTTTTTCTTAATAGCATTTAAAATCAATTTGTCATATTATGGAGATTTTTTGTTTGTTTATTTATGTACAGACTATACTAAACTCTAAGTTCAAAGACAATATACTTTGAGTTTACCACAGTGTATTCTCCCTTTAATTCAATGCTGAGCACAAAGGTTAGGGTTCAGTCCATATTAGTTGAGCAAATTGAATAAAATCAGCATAATCAACTTTACTTGTTTATTCTGTGATTCTTAATAAAATGAAAACCTGAGGATCAATTATTATATACATTAATTGGTCACTTAGTTACATCATAACAAGGGAAGTGTTTTTTAAGAGTGAAAGGTATTATGCTGTAAGGAAGACAAAAGATGGAGCAACTGATTTTTGCCTCAGAAAAGAATTCACTGACATGGTGATGTAAACTAGGTTTTAATGATGAGTTACAATTTTTTTAGGTTAAGAAAGCTAAATAGATTTTGGAGGATATTTGAGAGAATGGGAAGGTATAGATTGGCTAAATAAAAAGCTTCTGGGTACAAGGTAGGAGCACAAGCTGGTTGGAATAATGATGGAAGAGGAGCCCCAAAGTAAAATTGCTTTGAATATGCTTCTATTCGAGAATATGAAGTTTCCAATAGGAAAGTGACATGATCCCTATTGCTTTATAGGAAGGTAGTGTGTGAGTAAAATACACTGAAATTGGGAAAAACTGGTGAGAACAGTTAGGATGGTATTAAGATATTCCATCCAAGAAATGCTGGAAGACTTAGTTGATTGATTAATTTCGTTTTAGCTATGCAACAGAGATGATAATATCTGCTGGAATATGGAAATTCTGACTTCAAAAGAAGTAATTAGAAGTACTTATATATTATTTATCTGGGAATGTTTCCATCTATATTCTTTGTCAGTCATGTGTTTGATTTTTAAACATTTTTCTTTAGTATACTTTTTTCTAGAATACATTACATTTGAAAGTAGGGTACTCCTCTAACAGAGTTTATATTTATTATGCAAGTGCCAGGTACAATGAAATGAAGAACATGGTAAACTCTACAGTATTTGAGAATAGGTGGCAGAGAGACTTTATAAATCATGTGATACTTGAGCTAAGACCTAATACATGGGGGCAGGTTCACTTCAGGCAGAAGGAGCAGCTTAAGCAAAGGCAAAGAGGCATGGTCTGAGCCAGGAAACACAATTAATGTAATATGCCTGAACTACAGAAATAATAGAAGTGAAGATTGTCATGTGTCCATTGATTGTGGACTTTGGCTGAGCAAACGGGAGCTTGGATGAAATACATTAATAATTTTTTTACCATTTTTGGACTCTGAGCGTGTAGTCACCTAAAAGTGAGACTGCAGACATATACATATAACTGAGCAAGTTATAGCTATTTAAATGCTATTTCAATAGCTAGATTCTTACCACCACAAATATTCTAAATGTTCTCTTTTTCTCATTGCAAACCTCAACCTTCAAACCCAACCTTACCTCACCAATGTCTTGTGATATATGGCTTTGAAGAGGGAGCCATCTGACAAGACATGATGCAACTTCCTATCTCCTGGCTTCAAAGCTCCTCCTCCTTTTGCCTATCTGACCCCCATCCTATGCTCTCTTTTCTGATCTGTTATCCCCATTACACTACTCTTTGAAGGAAAGAATAAATCTGCCATCACTAGTTTTACCTCCTACTCACCCTTAACCTCTTGCAATCCAGTTACTTTCCTTACTGCTCTTTGTAATTATTTTTGTAATTCCTCAAATTCCAGGGTGAATTAACTTTTTTCAGTCCTTCTAAGTTTTAGGCCCACTTGTTGACTCTCCATTCCCCCTTGGCCTGCATGCGTGACAACCTCCTTGTTTTCTTTAAATATTCCCTTTTTGACATCTCATCTTTTGTTCTTCCACGTGGATTAATCCTCAGTTATTTCCTTTATTCAATCTCTCTTTTTCTCTAGATTCTCAATTAACCTTTTTTTTTTTTTTTGCTGTATGGATAATTACCAGATTAATATCTATAAATCCAATTTATCTCCAGGGTCCAGATCCACATTTCTAAACTTCTGGTTAAAAATGTTTTCGTTCTTCTGTATTCTGTTAGTTCTTCAAACTCAAGCAGTATTGCAGATTTTAAGCCAATAACTCTTTCTTCATTCTGTCAGAGAACCAGCAATTTCCCAGTTGTTCATGCTTCTCAGGCAAGCTACTTTCTCTTCTTAGTCTTTCATGTGTAATACTGACAATTGAATATTGAGGCAATTTCTTTCACTGAGCTTATTTTAGTTTCTCCTTTCATTCTCATTGCTGTACTTTGGCTCATAGCCTTATTTCCCCTTGTCTACAAAAGCATGATGCCATGCTAACGTGCCATGCTAACATGTTCTCACTTGATCCTTTGAATATGCTGAAGCCAGACTATTTTAGACCAGTGGGGGAAAAACATCCCACCATTCCCCAGATAAAAAAAATCTTCAATGGCTCCCTAATTCCTACAAAATTTAGAGAAAACTTCCCAGTCAATATTTAAAAGTTCCCTCTTAAATTTTGTACTTGCCTATAAAAATTATAACTTCTGCTTTTACTTAAGTTATTTTAAAAACAATCCCTTTATTTTGTTTATGGATAGTGTATTAATAATCTATTGCTGCATAACAAATTAACCCAAAATTTAGCAGCTTAAGAAATACAAATATATTACCTCACAATTTCTGTGGCTTGGGAATCTGGGCATGGCTTAACTGAGTCTTCTCCTTCATAGCCTTTGGTGAGGCTGCAAGGTACTGTCCAAGGCTAGAGTATCATCTGAAGGCTTGTTAGGGAAAGGATGCATTTCCAAGCTCATTTATTTAGTTTTGGTAGGATTTAGTTCTCTGAGCGTTGTTGAACTGAGACCCTCAGTGCTTTACTGGATGTTGGCTGAGGGCTACTCTCAGTTCCTTGCTATATCATCTCCTCCAACATGTCAATTTCCTTCAATCACAGCCATCAAAAGAGATTTTGCTAGGAAGATATAATCTATTCTCTTATGCATCCCAATCATGGAAGTGTCTTGTCATCCTATCACCTTTGACATTTTCTATCAATTAGAAGCAAATCACAGATTATGCTGATACTAATGGCAAGGGAATTACATAAGAGTATAAATAGCATGAGGAAGGGATAATTGAGAACATCTTAGAAGTCTCCTGGCACAGACAGATTGGATTCGTAAATGCATGCAAGCAGCAAATGGATAACATCCTTATTACAGCCCCAGTGAGAGGTGGTCTTGATAGAAAATGAATAGGGAAAATCCTTTCAATGGCCAGAAGTTCACATGATACACCTGGTTATCTACTTTTTGTGGAAGGAGAAATGGCCTGAGATTAGGTTTGTATAGACTTATGAACAGTGGCAAATGACTTAGCCAACTGTTCAGGAACCTGGAAGGAGACTATTTGGATGACTGAGGACAGAAATCTGGACAGAAATGGGACAAAGGCATTTGGTTGTATATGTGGGAGTACGTTTTAGAATCTTTAATTAAATATTAATGCCAAAATCTTTAATTAAATATTAATGCCAATAAGAAAGCACCTACAAGATAAGAAGCCCTAAGCAACAAAGTAGACAAAAAGACTTGGACATCAACAAAATTTGCCACCAGCCATCCTGGTAATAGCATGATAGGCACCCTAGTGCTAGCATATGTGTGAAGAGGTGCAGTGGTTGGGATAGAAGCTATGCATGAATCCAACAGTATGGACTCTAACATGCTAAGACTGGTCTACCTCCTATTGTCACAAAATAACCACCCTGTCAGTAACAGAGGCCGAGACTAAGTCCCTGATTATGGCATCAACCTCTGAACAGACTAACTGCCTACTTTGTGTCAAGTAGAAAACGTTGAACCCTTGCATTCATAGAAAGGCCAGTGATGACTGATAATAGCAGAAATGTATTTTGGGGATGGGTTTGCATTTCCAACCTGTAGGGCCTCAGATCACACTAATATCTAAGTTAGGTTTACACAGTGTTTGATGCACCAGCATGAACTCCTAACAACACCATGTCCATCCAGACGACCCATTTTTTGTCAAAGGAGGTGTGAGAATGGGCCCATTACTGCTGTGGTCCACATCTAATGACAAATGGATGCATGAATATAAAGTTTTTCTTTCCTGGCCCAACACAAGGCCATTCTGAAGTCTCTTTATAGTTCCAGAGCTCCATATGGGTCAGCTGAAGCTGTCTTTGGGACTTCATTGCAGCTCAACTTCTTCCTCTTCCCTGTCCTGCTATGGCTCTTCCCATTTCCACACAAGTTTTTGTTTCCAAAACTCTTCTTAATACACATTCTGCATGTTAATGTTTATCTCTGTCAGTGTCTGCTTCCTGCGATATACAATCTGGCCCATCAACATGCTAGCAAAGATTTCATATTAAGGAAAAATAGTAGGAAACATAGTCGCATTCCACAGTATTATGATTTTAAGGAGTTCAAAAATATTTTTATCATAAAACGTCTTATGAAGATATAAAATAAATGGATTCATGAAATTATAGTGTCAGCCTATAATTATAGTTCTAAAATAGGTTGAATAGTTGAAGTGAGATTTTATGGAATAAATAGGCAAAGTATTTCACTAACTTTGAGATGTTTTGCAGTAAAAAATGTTAACAATAGAGATTTTTAAAATTCTAGAATTGACAATTAGTTGTGGCTACATTTATATTTGAGGAGAAGTAAAAAACTGACAAAATTTACAATGTTGTAAACATATAGGCAGTCATTCTGATTTTTTAAAAAAATAATTAGTTGTGGGGTTTTTAGTTGATAAAATGTAGATCTCATTTTAAATAATATGAAATAGTTTTAAAATTCTATTTACAGTCCTTTTGCTATGTGATCTATCATTTTATATTTTGAATACTTTTCTGTTATATTTGTCACAAATCTCTATTTCTCTGATGCTAAGATAATGAATTGATTGACAGTTTTTATTGTATTGTGTTTTCTCAGCTGAAAGAAAAGAGTTTATCTCTCTTATCCCACAATACACTGTCTGTGTATAATATTGTAAGTAAAAAGACCTAAACTCCCAAACAAAGGCTCTTTTAAAATTATTTTAATTATTTGTGAAGAGAGTGGCTAGTTGTTTGGAGCTTAAATGTGATAGAAAGTGAGACAAAAACTTGTAAGATGTTGTCTGGTATTGTATATGCGACTACACTCAGCAAGGAAGCTCTGATGTGGCTAGAATGATGTCCAAGATGACGATTTCATACATATGTCTGAGGGCTTAGCCCTGAATGATGGATAGAATACCTCAGTTCTCCTCCATGTGGCTTCTCTTTTCATGTTGTCTTTCATCATTTATTATTCTGGCCTGAGCTTCTTTATATGGCAACTGGCTTCCCAGAGAGCTAAAATAAAAACTTGTAATATCCAGGCCTTGAAGTCACATAGCATAACTTCCATCATACTATTGGTCAAAGGGTATCATAAGGTCAGCCCAGATTTAAAGGGAAGGAACATATCTTTTACCTCTTAATGGGAAGAGTGGCAAAATTATGTCAATAAGGGGCATATTCCACAGGAGGAATTATTGCATCTATCTTTGGAAACCATTTGCCGCATCAGAGTTATAGAGAGTGGCAAGGCTTGCTATTGTGGATAGAGTTGTCAGGGAAGTTATGGCTAAGGTGGTGACATCAGACTAGGAGGTTCAATGAAATACATAAATGAACTATATGAATATAAGGGAAGAAAGAGCCTTGTCTCCGAGGAAAAATTGATAGCAAAAGTCCCTAAACTGGAAACAAGCCTGGAGTGTTGGATAAATTCTTGAGTTTCTTGTGGTGGTTCAGGCAAAAAAAAAAATTGTCTCTTGATCTAATTTTTGAGATTTTTTGAGAGTGGTGAGTTCTTTAATTTGTGTATGTTTTGAAATAGAACTGATATGATTTCCTTTTGGATTATATGTTAGGTGTGAAAAAGAAGAATCAAAGATCATCTATAAGGTTTTGGGCCTAAATCTAAGTAAATAGTGTTGCTATTTAATGAGATGAGATGAAGTTCTGTGGGAGTGGAATGGGTGTGTGTGACAAATAAAAACTCAGTATTGAATATTTTATTTGAGATTCCTATGGATATCAAAGTGAAGATGCTGAGTAGGAAATTAGATTTACATAAAAGTCTAGAATTCAGTAGAAAGAATAAGGCTAGATATAAAAAATTTAGGATTTCTCATATTTGATTTAAAAAATGTGATTTCATCCAGAAAGTGATTGTAAAAAGACAAAAGAAGAGGCTTGGGTACTAAGTTCTGGAGCAATCTATAGGGGTTAGGAAGGGCAGGAAGATCTGGCAAAGAAGTTTGACATGGGAAGCAACTGGTGCTGACTGTCAACTAGGGCAACAATGTCATGAAAGTAAGTATTGAAACTTTTTGCAAAAAGATGGGAATTATCAACAGTGACAAATGATATCGAGAAGCCAAGTGAGATGAGAACTGAGATCTGACTGTTGGATAATTGTAGAACTTTGGGGAACAGAGCTGTTTCAGTGGAAGGTAGAGCTAGGAAAGGAAGTGTAAATAGTATGTATTAAAAATACATATTTTTTTCTGACAATGGGAGGAAAGAAATGGGGCATGCTTTTTGTTGATGGGAATGATCCACATGGAGAAAAAAAATGATGATGCAAAAGACAGGGGAAAGCAAAGTGTTTCAGATTGTAAGAGGGGCCGGGCGCGGTGGCTCACGCCTGTAATCCCAGCACTTTGGGAGGCCGAGGTGGGTGGATCACGAGGTCAGGAGATCGAGACCATCCTGGCTAACACGGTGAAACCCCGTCTCTACTAAAAATACAAAAAAAAATTAGCCGGGCGTGGTGGCGGGCGCCAGTAGTCGCAGCTACTCGGGAGGCTGAGGCAGGAGAATGGCGTGAACCCGGGAGGCGGAGCTTATAGTGAGCCGAGATCGCGCCACTGCACTCCAGCTTGGGCGACAGAGTGAGACTCCGTCTCAAAAACAAAAAACAAAAAAAGTGAAACAAAAAACAAAACAGATTGTAAGAGGAAGGAGAAAAAATATTCAGCTGGGACTTCGATAGGGATAAGTGCTTTTTATCCTCTTTAATAAGTGGATAAAAATAATATGAAAAATATAGTTTGAGGCTGAAAAGTTATAACTTTGGTAGATTTAATAGTGGAAGATATAATTTTTTTCCTGAAATTTCTATATTTTCTAAGTGAATTAAAATCAAGGTGATCAGCTAAGAATGAGGTGGTAGTATAGAGTTTTGAAATTTCCAGAAGAAAGGGGTGAAAAAATTATTTTGTAGGAATGACATATGAATTGACTAAAGAAATGTATACAGTCACCAGGCAGCACTAACAGAACAGTTGAGGTTCGTTGTAATAAATTTAAATTGGCTAGTATAATATTCGGTGTTTTTCTTCATGTACACAAAGTTACCTAGGCACAGGAGTAGAATAAGTGGCTTTTCAGAGTTGGGATTTTTCCACATGATATGAAATGAAGGTAGGATAAGGGAGCTGAAAAACCACAATTTTTTAACTACAGAGAATGATTAAAAGAATGAATCGTGGAATCCAAGTTAGGCAAGGGAGGAAGTGAGGAAAATTAAGAGGGTATTGGTAAGTAAAAAGAGATAGAGTTAGTGGGCTGAAAATCCTGGTGAAATGGAACTTGGAAGGTTGTAAGAATATATAACTAACTTCCTTTCAGATCCCTGAAGATGTGGCACCCCTTGGAGGGGAATTAGGATGAAGAATGACTACGGTAGCAGAGACCAAAGGTAGCACAAGTCTTGGGAATGGATGAGAGCATCATTGACCGGGATTACATATCCTGGCAACCTAGGGAATTGAGGGTAGTATTTAACTTACTTTTAAGCAAGAAACCAATGGAGAATTTCTTATACATCTTAATATTTATGTTTGTATGTGCATTTGTTTGCATTTTTGAGGATAGTGGAGTTTTGAAAGGGTTAAAGGAATTTTCCACTTTTATAAATTATAACATGCTCAAATGTTTTTAAAATGTTAAACGTCACTTCAATTTGAAAATCAGAAAAGAAACAAGGCTTTACTGGCTATATAACTTGAGTGCAATATGATATAAAGCATTAAGATATCTAAAGAAAGAATGTCTCAATTTGATGCAAGCTGGTTAGTCATGGGAGCCTTTAAAAAAGAATCATGAGGGCAAATTTGGCAGTTTTCATCCAAGCACTACCCAGGAGAGAAGGACATTTAGCCAACAGACTGTGAGTACACTGACTCCATGGGCAAGCCTATCCCTGTTTTAAGATGAATTCATCAGCTGTCTGACCCTAATGCCATTAAACATTGGCTTCATTTAACTTCTTTGTTTTGGTTCCACATTTATTAAACAATCTTCTGATTATTATTTGTCTTTCTGTGTGTGTGCCTACAGGGACACAATGTGTTGCTCATATGGGCTTCAATATTTTAATTCCTGTAAATTATTTCACATTTAAATGAAGTCAGATTCTGGTTTTATTTATCTACCTCAGGAGCTTGGATAATATGAGCTGGTTCTTGAGAAGTGAATTTTCTTTTGGAATGCTGACAAAAATCAGGTTATTAGGCATGTAAAACCACAAGCCAATTCATGGGCTATGGTAAACCCACCAAGGTGAAGCATACCACCCTGTGAGGCCTCTTGGGAGGCAGCCAGCCTTTCCTCTGGCAAAGTCCCCTGTAGTTACTGTGCACAGTGTCTATCTACGCTTGGAACTCTAGCTCCAATTTTGCCTCTCCTGTGGTGTCTTCTCTGGGCCTTTCCTCCACTTTTAGCTGTTTCAAGGTGCATTTTATCTGTCATGCAATCTTCTGGGATCCCAGAGAGGCTTGCCTGCTCAAAAATAAAAGTGTCCCAGGAGTCACTTTAGATTTCTTCTTATGGAAAGGATATATGACTGATTGAAGTTTGTCCTTAGAATCCCCCAGACAAAAGTTCTATCTTCATGTTTTCAGCCTAGAAAAGAAGGCTTTAACCATATCCTTACTCAAATAGAGTATTTTAGGTTCTTTGAGAGGGAGGGCTAGGGCCTGTATGCAGGTTATCCTCATAATCTACTTTTGTGCAGAGGTGGAATAATGATCTTTGGTATAGACAAACACATCAGGATTTTGGATGTTAAAAAAAACAGAAAGTTTGCTCACTGGCATGTGGTAGGAGGCTAAAATGGAAATACTTGCCATCCATTTCTCAGTGGAAATACAGCTGTGGTAATTGATATTCCAAAGGAATCATTTATGCCAGTGTATATATAAGTGAGGGTAATGATATAATTTGTCACTTAAACGAAGCCACTTTGAGAATGAAAGTGTGTATTATTAATTATGCCAGGTCAACAGAAATAAACTAGAATTGTCCTGCATAAACAAATGTATGGTTATCCTACACATAGGATGGACTGATAACGAGCAGTTGTAGGTCAGTATAACCATACTGTTTGTTAATAGCCATCATCTGCTATGATTGGTCAGTACTTTATTTTGATATGTACTGTATGTGCTGTACTGTTTGAAAAACATTTTTTAAAACTATCATCCTGGCATATAAGGATGAAGTGTTTATAACTTTAAAAAATCTGAAAATTTGCTTAAGCCTAATAAAGATCAAGGAAGATTATTCTAAGTAATGAAGTGCAAGAGAAATAGTTTGTTTATGATATAGAGCCTCACTGACTATCAATAAGGTATTTTATATTCTTTTTTGTATGAAGATATTAAGAGGGGATACATTGGAAATATGTACTTTGGGGGAGGGGCTATTTTTTCAGTTATTATATATTTTTTTATCTCCAAGGTAAAATAATATCATAATAAAAACCTTTTAAAAACATCATATTGCAAGCATATTTTATGCAATTTGTCATCTTTCTAGTCCTATTTTTTAAGTGATTCCATTGAATATCATTGAGAAGGGCATATTAAATTATCATTCCTTTATAGCTTTACCTTGAGACTCTTCCTGATTTGTATTTTTTTGCTATCATTGATAATAAAGCAGTTATTGCTAGAATGATGTTTTTACTATATATTTATAAACATAGAATTAATGAGAAAAATAAAACACTTCATACTCAACATACATTGTAAAATAGTTGTGAGAGATCATACTAACTTATACTGTTAGTAATTGTGAATGGAAGTGAAGGTCACTTAAAATCTGTAGATCCCATTTTTAATAACAAGTTTATCCCTTGTGATCAACTTAGATAAATTTTTATATAAGGAGATATTTGCTTTTCTGCATAATAACTTTTAGTTATAGCTAGGTACTAAATTTCTCAGAAATGAACTGCTTTTGTCTTTAAAATCTTATTCAAAATAATACACATTATTTAAACAATAAATTGCTCTGTTTAAATCAGTACTCTTTATAAATTATGCATTTGTAAATATTATTTACAGATGAGCTATCTATTGAAAGACATTTCCTTTCTTGTGCAACTTACTGTTTCCTCAAAAAAAAATTGTCTTCTATTTTGTTTTAATCTTTTTTGTATCTTTCATTAACTCATCCCCAAACACTACCAGAAGTGTAAATATCCACCATTATGTTCAAATGCATTCATTAATCTATGAGACATAATCTTTATTTTACTGGTCAGGAAATCTGTTCTCTGTCCTGGGGGGAGACACTATTTCTGTCTTCCAAGGCTATTTGCTATATAAACATCCTTGAAAGATAGTCTGAAACATCCTATCCTGAAAGATAGACTGAAACAGAAGCTGACATAAGACATAGAGAAATGTGAGAGACTCATGGAGAAATGTCTTTCATTAATATACTTGAGTCTATTTCTGGGCTTTCTATTCTATTACACTGGTCTATTTGTCTATTCATGTTAGTACCACATTCCTTAAATTATAGAGGCTTCATAGTATGTTTTAATAACTTGTAGGAGTAGACACCCTTATAGATTTTCCTGGTTAGTGTTTTCCTGACTATTCTTACATTTATTATAAATCAACTTAGGGATAAGTGACATCTTTATGTTGTTGAGTCATTCCACTTAAGAACAGTGGGTGTGTATTTATGCAAGTTTACTTTTTGCTTTTCAGGAGTTGTCTAAATTTTTCTAACATAGTTTTACGCATTTCTTGTTCTGTTTATTTCTAAATATTTAATCTTCTTTTTGCCATTGCAGTTTTTCTGTTTTAGTGCAATTTAAATGATTGTTTGCATATATGAATACTATTGATTTCTGTGTATTACTTTATCTTACTTATTGAATTCTTTTTTTTTGTTTGTTTGAGCTAGTTTTATCATTAGTTCTCTGGGTTTTCCAGGTATGCTATAATATCTTGTTATTTACCAATTCCTATTCCTGTCATTAATTTATCTCATTTAAATGCATTTAATACCTCTTGTCCAGTGTTATAGATCGTGTCTTGCCTTGTTCCTTACCTTAGAAGAATTCAGTATTTCATCATTAAGATGCTAACGGAATAAGTTATATATCTATATTTTGTCATGTTAAGAAAACATCAATCAATTTCTATTTTCTTGAGTATTTTTAGAAAATAAACAAATTAGGAAATATTTCAAAGGTTTCTTTAGCATTTATGAAAATAATAATACAGTTATTTCTCCTTAGATCTACTTATATTACTGGGGATTTCCTAATATCGGACCAACCTTTCATTCCTACAGAATATTCCACTTGGTCATGCAGTATTATTTTCTCAATGTAGTGTTGAATTCCATTTGCTAATATTTTATTTAGTACTCTTACATTGATATTCATAAGTGATATTGGTCTATACTACAGTTTTCTTTTTGTACTATGTTAGGTTTACATATCAGTGTTATATTTGCTTGGTTAAAAATAATTCGGACATTTTCTTTCATTTTCAGTGCTCTGAAACAACCTACAGAACACTTGATTCTTTTTTTGGAAATGTTGGAGGAGTTCCACAATGAAACTTTCTTTTTTGTGGGGGGCGGTGTGTGTGTGTGTGTGTGTGTGTGTGTGTCTGTGTGGGGAGGGGTATTCCTCTTTAATCTACATTAATTGTTGTGTTTAGGCTTCCTGTCTCTAATGTAATCTGTATTTCCCCTGAAAATTAGACATATTAAGTAGATTTTCAGATATATTTGTAGACAAGTCTGAAAATCTGTTTCATAATTTACTTTAATATTTTTATGTTGAAATGTTTTTCTGTAATTTTGTATTTTGCATATTTGTATTTTCTTTTTTTTTCTAAATCAAATAAGCTGGTGGCTGTATTTGTTAATTAAAAAAAACCCCAGGATTTTGGTGAATTAGTTAGGGTTACAATTTTCCTATTCTCTGCCTCATTAATTTCAATTTATCTTTATAATTTCCTTATGTTTTCTTTTGGTTAACTTTGTCGTTCTCTCTCTACTTTTGGCACAAAAATTAATTCATTTATTTGCATTCTATTAATTACAACATGTCTTTAATCTCATTTATTTCTGACTCCTGCTAAAAATGTATCTTTGTGTAAGTACTGTTTTCATTATCATTATTTTTAAAATTATTTTTTAGTTTGTATTTCCCCTTTCAAAACAGTTACTTAGTATAATTAAAAGTTCTCAAAAAGTTGAGAAATACTAATAAGCATCTTTTAGAGATTATTGGTTAGACTTGCAATATCCTTACCTACTTTTTAAATCCCTTGATCTGTCTTGTACCCAGAGTGTTAAAGTTTATGAAAATATTTCTATTCACATCTTCCTACATCTTCTGTAGCTTTTTATTCACTCCAGAGAGGTATTTTCTGTGATATTTACTATATAGTTTATTTATAACGATTGTATCTTTATTGTGAATTATGGTTTTTAGCATTAAAAAGTAACTCCATTGTCATATTTAGTCGTAAATTGTGCTTTGTCTGACACCAGGATCATTATTCCTACTGTTTTTATTCACCTAGTATAATTTTGTTAATCTTTATTTTTAATCTGTTTTGTGTCTGTCTCTCATATGCAGCTTATCGTTGAGTCTACCTTTTTGAGCCAAATTTAAATCATTTTTCTTTTAATAGGTTAACTAACTCATTCATTTTAATTATACTACTCACATGTTTGTTCCCAACTTTCATAATGTCTTATCATTATATATATTTTATATTATGCTTATTTTTTCCTACAAGATGCATACTTTTGGCTCTTTACATTTTATTTTTTAAAGTTGTTTTTATATTTAGGAAGGCTTTTGTTTTTGTTCTAGTGCTTTTATACACTAAATTTTAAAAATGCCTTTAGTTCCCTGTTTTCTTATTTAATGTTTATTAGGTGTGTCTATTTTTAAAGGTATCTCTTTACTTCCACCTATTGCCTGTATATCAATCAATGAGCTAATTCTATTTCTTGTCCTCCATTTTTAGTATATTATTTTTATTTTTCACACAACATATTTGTGCGATGCTTTCTTTATCTCTCTTTTTTGCTGAAATTTGTTTCCATTTATCAATTTCAGAAGAAATTCATCCTCTAGGAAATTCCTTAAGAATAGCTCATAAGTATAGAATTCTAAAGCTTTCATTACATTTAATATTTGATAGTCAACTTGTATGATATAGCATGCTTGGTTCATACTTTCTTTCACTGAGTATTTTTTTTTAATGCTGTTCCATTTCTGCCTTGCTGTGGTTGCGTTTGACAAGACTTATA
Organism: Homo sapiens; assembly: GCF_000001405.40. Taxonomy (NCBI): domain Eukaryota; kingdom Metazoa; phylum Chordata; class Mammalia; order Primates; family Hominidae; genus Homo; species Homo sapiens. The sequence continues at coordinate 187,096,841 of NC_000002.12, forward strand.
CTAGTCCGGCACTTTTTTCCCTCTGAAATTTGATATTTGGCTTAGAGGATCTGAGAAATTTTTGTCTTTATCATTTAAAGTCTAATAGTTTTACAACGTTTTATCTGTGATTTTTCTGGTACATTTTCTCATATACTTGATGGGGTAAATGTTGGTCTTTTTATTTCTGGACATCTTACTGAAATATAGTTTTAAATATTAGTGCATTTATGTTGGTTTGCCATTTTTTTTTCCTTTAAGGGATTTCAATTATACCCATGCATTCTTTCTTTTTCTTTTATCTTTTTTTTCTTCTGGTTTTCTTTTTCAATGCTTTTCTTTAAGACCTCGTATTTACAACTGACCTGTGGGTATCCTGTAACTAAGTCTGCGTTTCTAAAAATATTTTATCTTTTTCTTCCATATTTTTTCTAAACTTAATATTCTTTTTATTTCTTCCTGTTTTATGTCCATCTTATTATTAATTATTGAAGTTTTGATTTAAATTTTTTTTCTCAAACTTCTTGTTGGAATATATTTTATTCTCAGCTTGGACAGTTGTCTTATATATTTCTTCTGCTTCAAAGTTTTTTTAGGGTTGGGTTTTCATCAGTTGAAGTGTGTTAAAACTTATTACCTGATTTATTTTTTGTAGGAACGTTGTATTGATTTATTTAGTTTTCTCCTGTTTATTTTGTGGTTTTGGGATAATTTGCAAGATTCTTAGTTCAATGGTATCTTTTCTCTCAGTAGAGTAAAATCAAGTTTCTTTAGTTGATTTTACTTTTTGGTTGTAGTGGGGCAGGAGTTGTGTGCTTCTAATTTTTTGGTCTTTTATTTTTATGTTACAGATTGCTAAATTTTTTTAGAAACCATTTTCCTCTTTACTATACAATTTCCAAAGTATACTTTTCCCTTCTTCTTTTGCATTTTTCTTTTCCAGAAACTATACCTTGCAAAGACTGCAGGTTTAAACCATGTCCATTTAAGTATCTTCTCCGTTATCACTGCTTTCACACACCAGAATACATTTCTAATAGTTTCACATTTAGCCTAAACTTTCTCTTTGTAGTTTTGGAGCAACCTTAGACCTCTTGCAAGTTCCATACTTCTTTCTGCTCCTGCAGTTTTTCACAAAATGCCCCTGTTCATCACAGAGGCTTGTGGTAGTGTGAGATATCATTCACTAGACTTTTGTGTTTTATTTTTTTTATTAAAAAAAGCTTGATTATTTTGAATCTTGGCTATTTTGTGTCTTCTGTTTATCTGAAGAGCACGGTTTGTGTAGTTTTATATGTTCTTTTGTTCTGTATTCTTTTAGAAGGCTATATGGAGAGGGAACAAAGACATAGGCAGCCATCATTTTTTTTGGCCATCCAAAATTTTCCCCTTTTCCTTTATAGATAGGTTTAAAAAAATCTTACAACTTTTCCCCTCTTCCTCTTTATCCTCTACTTGGCGAGGTATCTATTGCCACAAATCCTGAACATTGAGCCTTTGCAGTGCATGTGAAGTTTGTTCTTGCCTTTCCTCACTGCCAGAGTCAGATCTGGATTTTTTTTGGCTTTGCTGTCATTTGGCTCTGCTAAGTCACACTAATCAGTGACCTGAAAACATTCACTTAGTGACCTGCTTTCCAGCTACCAAACATTATTATTAACTCTTCTCCTATTTTCCATACATTTGGGCATTTTTTTGCTTTGAACTATATGTACTTTTACATCTGTGAGTTTTAGAATATTTGATTATGGAAGGTGTGAGGGTTTATGAGTGTTCTTAATCCACAATCTTTATCCAGAGGTTTTCGTTTGTTTGTTTGCTTTTGTTTAGAGACAGGGTCTTGCTCTGTTGCTTAGGCTGGAGTGCAGTGGGATAATTTTAACTCATTTTAACTTTTTTTTTATTATTATACTTTAAGTTCTAGGGTACATGTGCACAACGTGCAGGTTTGTTACATATGTATACATGTGCTAAGTTGGTGTGCTGCACCCATTAACTCGTCATTTACATTAGGTATATCTCCTGATGCTTTCCCTCCCCCCTCCCCCACCCCACGACAGGCCCCAGTGTGTGATATTCCCCTTCCTGTGTCCAAGCATTCTCATTGTTCAGTTCCCACCTATGAGTGGGAACATGCAGCGTTTGCTCTTCTGTCCTTGCGATAGTTTGCTGAGAATGATGGTTTCCAGCTTCATCCATGTCCATACAAAGGACATGAACTCATCCTTTTTATGGCTGCATAGTATTCCATGGTGTATATGTGCCACATTTTCTTAATCCAGTCTGTCATCGATGGGCGTTTGGGGTGGTTCCAAGTCTTTGCTATTGTGAATAGTGCCACAATAAACATACATGTGCATGTGTCTTTATAGCAGCATGATTTATAATCCTTTGGGTATATACCCAGTAATGGGATGGCTGGGTCAAATGGTATTTCTGGTTCTAGATTCTTGAGGAATCGCCACACTGACTTCCACAATGGTTGAATAGTTTACAGTCCCACCAACAGTGTAAAAGTGTTCCTATTTCTCCACATCCTCTGCAGCACCTGTTGTTCCCTGACTTTTTAATGATCGCCATTCTAACTGGTATGAGATGGTATCTCATTGTGGTTTTGATTTGCATTTCTCTGATGACCAGTGATGATGAGCATTTTTTCATGTGTCTGTTGGCTGCATAAATGTCTTCTTTTGAGAAGTGTCTTTTCATATCCTTTGCCCACTTTTTGATGGGGTTGTTTGATTTTTTCTTGTAAATTTGTTTAAGTTCTTGTCAGATGGGTAGACTGCAAAAAATTTCCCCCATTCTATAGGTTGCCTGTTCACTCTGATGGTAGTTTCTTTTGCTGTGCAGAAGCTCTTTAGTTTAATTAGATCCCATTTGTCAATTTTGGCTTTTGTTGCCATTGCTTTTGGTGTTTTAGATATGAAGTCCTTGCCCATGCCTATGTCCTGAATGGTATTGCCTAGGTTTTCTTCTAGCGTTTTTATGGTTGTAATGAGACACAGCTAAAGATTTTCAGGAAAAAGTTACCTTTGTTATGTATTCTGAGAAAATTATAATATGCAAGACATAAAGGATGTTGTCATCTAGTGTTTTAGAAAGAAAGGAGAATTTGGGCAATAATTCTTCATTTGTATGATATATTAAAATTTTCTTGGGATCTTTTAAAAAATAATATAGAGTCTTAAGCCTTACTCCTGTAGTTTTGGATTTAGTAAGTCTTAGTTAGAACCTTAATATATATATACTTAATCATCCCAGTGAATTCTGGTACTGTTATTTTAGGGATCGCACTTTGAGATATAATAAACTATGGATAGACTTTAAAAAATAAATTACAGCCATTTCCATATTTCTGTGAATTTCCGTGGTAATTTAAAGTGTTATTGGTAACACTTGTCTTGAGAGGCTTGGCTATGGTAGCTATTACTATTATTCATCAATATTCACTTCTCCTCTACTACTGGGACAAAAAAGTTGTGTTTATATACCCTCTTAAATGTTCCTATAACAAAATATTAGGAAAATTAAAGCAGTTAAAATAAGATAATAATGTCTATTTCATTTGTTAATTAATTTTCGTAACACACTAGCCTCTATGGAGTTGCTCAAAAGAGTAAATAAACCCTTATTAGTACTTATTCTGGAGGATTTCATGTGGGAGGCACCTCTATTGAAAAATCAATACTTTTATTTTTGGACATTTTTTCTTTTGATATTTGATTTGCATTTTATACTTGAAACCATTCTTTCATTTTTGTTTGTGATGTTTTACTCTGCGTACAATTTCTTCTTCTAACAGCTGTCATGGAATCCCTGTCTGTACCTTACCTATGTTTTGGTTTCTCTAGATGATGAGTGACAATGTTTTTTTGGTGGTGGTGGAGTAAGAAAGGTAGGAAGATAAACCAAAACTCACAGATGTCACAGGTGTCTTCCCTCCCCTTCCCTCCCCTTTCCTTCTCTTCTTTTCTTTTTTCTTCTTTTCTTTTCTTTCAACAGTCTCATTCTGTCACCTAGGCTGGAGTGCAGTGGTGCAATCTTGGCTCACTGCGTCCTCTGCCTCCCGAGTTCAAGCAATTCTCCTGCCTCAGCTTCTCGACTAGCTGGGATTACCGGTGCCCGCCACTACGCCCGGCTAATTTTTGTATTTTTTAGTAGAGACGGCATTTCACCATGTTAGCCAGGCTAGTCTCGAACTCCTGACTTCAAGTGATTGCCCCCTTAGCTGCCCAAAGTGCTGGGATTACAGAGGTGAACCACTGTGCCTAGCCAAGTGACAGTTTTTTTAGGTGGTCCCAGGTCTCCCTCTGTTCAGTGGAAATGGAATATGCTACATAGCCTATATTCTATGTCTGTCATTTATAAACATATCTGCTAAACTTAGTTAAGATACATTCAGACATTTTTGGATGATGAAATAAGAAAGATATATCACTAGAACATGTTTATTATGTGCTTTTTCCTAACATAGAAATATATTCTTTATTTATTTAATAAATATAAAAAGAAGTATAGGAGAAATGAAGTATGACCTTCAAAGACGAAAGACGATTGCAGTAGTAATTGATATAGTATTTTGAGTAGAAAACTGTTTAGTCACTGTTGGCAGAAAATGACTTTAAATTTTTATTAGAACAGCTCTGGAAGCAGCTACACTCTTGTACCCAATTAAGTGTCTTTTGTTTGCTAACTTTTATTGAGAACTTATTATTCACCAGACACTGTTCTGATTCTCTGTATGGAAAAAGTCAATTAATCCTTATTTTAATGCTGTGAAGTAGGTGCTATTATTATCTTAATTTTAAAGATAAATAGATGAGCATGATGAATATGGTTAATAATAATTTGTTGTTTGATTAAAATTTACTAAGACAGCAGATTTCAAGTGTCCTTACCACATACACACACACACACACACACACACACACAATGGTAACTATGTAAAATATGTTAGTTTGTGGTAATCATTACACAGTGTACATGTGTATCAAATTACCATGTCATACATCTTGAATATATTCAATTTACGATAGTCAATTATATCTCAATAAAACTGGAAAAAATAAATATAAATAATCTGAAAAACAAGAAAATTAAGTAATATGTCCCTGATTGCTTAGGTAATAATTGAAAGAACTAGGATTTGTGCCTAGGTGTCTTCCTCAGAGTTTTTTATCTTAAAAATTGCACTATGATTATTTATTTAACTTGTGGGAGATGGCATTATCCATCTGTGTCTCTGAGATAATTCAAACCTTCTAGCCTGGGGCCTTGCACACAAAGTTTTATATTTATAGGCTGTGTCTCTGTATTTAAACAACGCAAGGCATACTTACACTCTTTACTAACCAGAAGGCCATGTAGCAGAAAAAAATGTTTTGCCTCCTTTATTTGAATGAATTCAAAATTAGCAAAATCTAGTTACCTGTAGAAACAGAAAATTAGAAATATTATAAATTAGGAAGCAACAGTAATGCATCTGCATAGTGCTTCTTAACCCATTTTCAAAGTTATAGTGATTTTACTTAGGAATTAGTATTCTCAAAAATACTATGCTTTGTCTTTTTGTGTTATTACATATGTTTTTCTTACTATTCATGAGATTTCTCAAGAGGTATGCTTTCATAAACTGTGAATCAAACAATACCTATTGTGTAATGCTGAGATGGACAGCAGTTATGCCTTTATTGCTTTTCAGAGTGTATTATTTGGGGATTAAAGTGGAAGAAATCCAGATGGCTGCAATAATTTTGTCTTGGGTAATTCTTCACTTGTTCAGTAGACATTACTGATACATAATATTGAAAGCCAACTTTTAAAAGAAGTTTGGAACCATCTCTACCAAAGGGAATTCTGCCATAGCTAGTTCACTATCCCAGAGAAAACAAGATGTGATCACAACATGTTCTGTCTTACTTACTGGTTCTTTCATTTGCTTGGGATGCATGCAGTTCTAAATATTACTTATTACTAATTCAACCAACGAAGCAAATATATAGCAGAGACTGGACATTAAAAATTTTTAGGTAAATATTTTGGATATATATAGTTTTACATCTTCTTATTTATTTAATCAATTCAAATGGAAATTGAACCCCAGGTTAAAACCTTCAAGGTAGCAACTTTCAGAATTTGTGTATATCTCAAGCGGAAATCGGTGTCTTCTTTGAGGCTCGTATTTTGTGAGATATATCTGAAATTCTGGCTTCAACAAGGATGTGTAAACATTATTGTAAGTGACAAACACTCTTTTCAAATACAGACTGCCTCTTGTTCTTTGTGTATATCCAGCATCTAAATCAGTACCTGGCACAGAACAGGCAAATGATACATATCTGTAGAGTGAATGAATTAAACAATAATAATATTTGTCTCTGTTGGATAGTTTGTTTTTTTTCCATGTAGAAAAATTTTATTTTTTTATTTTTATTATTTTATTTTATTTTAATATTTGTTGCAGTGTCTACTTTTTTTCTGGGCTCTGTATTCTGTTGTATTCGTCTGTGTGTCTGTTTTTTTGCCAGCACCATACTGTTTTTTAAAAAATCAACTTACTTTAAATTGACAAATAAAAAATTATACAGCGGTCCCCCCCTTATCTGTAGGGAATACATTCCAAGACCTACAGTAAATACCTGTAACCTCAGAAAGTGCTGAACCCTATACACACCATGTATTTTAATACTGTAAATATATAACTACAGTAAAGTTTAAATTATAATTCAGACAAAATGATAGATTAATAACAATAATAATAAAATAGAAGAATTAAGTAAAATAAGGGTTACTTGAACATAAGCACTAGTAACCTAGACTACTAACTGACTGACATTCAGGTAGCGTATACTTTGTAGGTATGCTGCGCAAAGGAATGATTTGCATCCTGGGCAGGTAGGAGTTGGGGGGCAAGAGATTTCATCACTACTCAAAATGGCACGCAATTTAAAACATATACATTGTTTATTTATGGAAGTTTCCATTTAATATTTTGGACCATGGTTGACCTAACTAAGGCAACTGAAACCATGGAAAGCAAAACCATGGATAAGGGGGAACTACTGTATACATTTATGGTGTACAACATGATATCCTGAAATATGTATACATGTTGAAGGGCTAAATCATATTAATTGACATATATATTTTGTCATACAGTCACAGTGTATGTTTAATATATACATATCTCCCACTGGTCATCAGTGAAAATAGCATAAATCTCAAATTATCTAAATCTGACTTTACCGAGGCAAAGAGCAAAAACTTGAATTTCAACAGGATATAGGATGGTGAGGTATGTGTTTTTACTTGGAAGAAATCCTGAAATTGTATAAAGGGAGTATTTAGATTTGATTTAATAAGCCATTATCAACATTGGAGACAGTGAAATCTGAATATTGTTTTTGGATTTGGATGCAGAATATGAATTGTTCCAGAGAATGTGGAAGCAGAATATGGAAGCAAAAAAGACAAAAACACCTGTCTGTAGATATGGGCTAATTGTTTAATAAAGGGGAAAATAAACATATATTTCAATTGTACGCAATAACCTTGGAATTAATTTAAACAATGACCGCTCAACTTATTTTAAGTTTCGGGGTGTAATAATTCACTACGCTTTTCACTGATTCCAAGACAAGACAAAGAAGTGACAAATAATTGGAGATCAGCTCAGTATAAGTAGGGGTCATAAGAGAATCTAAGCTATTGCTTGGGAGTGGGTACAGTAACCTCAGAGCAGAGGGCAATCTTGGTGGAGCAAGAATTTAATAAATGTGGGTTAGAAGCCAAGAGAAGAAGCACCTGTTATATTTTCTTTCCAACTTTAATTATTTATAATTCCTTAAATACTTATCCATATTGAATTAGAATTAGAATAGTCAAAAACCCCAGATCATGCTCACTGAAGGTGACGCTAGAAAATACAAAGTAATGATGACCTGTAAAGTTAAATGCTGAGGATAAAAAGAGAGTTTTGTTTTGGACCGTGTAGATCTTCCCAGCGTGTCAGCATTCTATACTTTGAAGTAGTGAGGTTTCTAGAGCTCTGGGCATGCCATAATTAATTTACTAGAGCAAAAGCACACCGAAAGCCAAGCAAAAGATTTTTGAACTGGCCGATTTTTTATTTTTTATTTTTGCCTTATTTACCACTCCTCCTTTCCATGTTTATTTCATCATCACAAACTACCAGTTTATTAACCAAAACATTCCCTCATTGTTATGTGTATTGATTTTATGGTACATGTCCAAAGAAAAAAAAATAAAGCTTCTTAATAAATAAGCTCCCTGAAACCCAATGCTGCAGGTAATTATATTTGTTCTAATGCATTCTTCTTATGTTAAATATTCTCATTGTTTTCGATATAAATTTTTATTTGTTTTCATTTGAAAGCCTGTTCAACACATTTTCTTCACGGCTTTTGAAATATTGACAAATTCTCAACATATATCATTTTGGACTGTCACGGATGAACCACCCTCTTTCTCAGAAGTTGGCAAAATCTACTTTTGTCTGATCAGCCAAATTGGCTGTATTGCTGCCTCTTAACCCTGCCTTTTAACAAGTGCCAAGACACTTTGCGGGAAAATTGCAAATGGGAGAAACATGAGCATTTGTTGAGACTCTCTCTACTATCTGATTAGGAGATTATGTTACTTGTCCTTTTTGGAGTAGAATTCTCCTTATAAAAATTTTCCCTATCCAGTGATTTTTCAATGTCCCCAGGAGAATTCCTGGGAAGTTAAACCTGAGAATGCTGTTCCAGAATCTTCCTGAAGTCCAGGACTTTTTAGAGTAGTTGAATAAAAAATAACATGCCAGAGTACATACTTTGGTTATTCAGAACAACACAATCCATAAAAACAGAAAGAAATATAGTAAAACATTTCTTTATGTACCTATTCACCTTTTGAAGTGCAGTGATTAATTTATCTTAGCAAATGAGTCTTATAAGTGTAACTTGTCTTTACTTTTCTCTCTCAACATTCTGTCCTGTGAAATCTTGTTAAGACACTCATGGGCTCCACTGTCACCCATGTGGAAAATATTTCTACATTTATCTTTCTTGTCATGGCAACATTTTCTAGTCCAGTCTTTGTGATATTTTAAAGCCATATAATGGAATTTAATAATAGCCACTGCATTATTTTTACATAATACTTTTAACCTTTAAAACACTTTTACCTTAGATTTGTTTTATATTAGAATAATGTCTTATGATACTAAAATCATGTTAATTTGCTATTCTGGCACTAGAATGTATTAAATGGAATTCTAACCAAATTATCTATGTTAGAAATAGTTATTTTTCACATGAAGAAAGTATTGATTCTTGCTTTAAATTTCTTGTTCAATATCTGGAATATTGTTTGTAGTCCATGATACTACACTGTAAGAGGAACAAATGGAAGCTATCTGGATTATAAACATTCCTGCAAAGCAATAATATGAACAGTAGCTGAGAATGGTTAACTGGATAAAAGGAACAATTTGGAGTTCTGTGTGGTTCTACAAGAAGTAATACCAATAGATTGAAGTTAAAGTGAGATGGAATTAAGTACAATTTAAGGAATACATTTTTTTATGCATGCTTGTATCCATGGCTCCTAGAGTGGTATCTGGCAAATGGCTAGCTCACAGGAAATGTTTGTCATTGTAGATGATCAAAGATGAATATATCAAGCTTTCTCTAAAAGGAGTGAGTTTATTGTCACTGCATATATCAGGCAGAGGTTGTATAAACAAACTTTCATTGAAAATGTTGTAGAAAGAAATCCTGCATTGGGAGTGAGCTTGCACTACATGCATCACCTCTTAGTTTCTTTCCATATTTATGTATGTATAATTGTATAAATTCTTATCCCTATTGAACAGCCTTATGTTGGTGTCTCTATGCTATGTCTAACACTTAACAAGGTAAAAGTTTTCCTTTTAATATGAAGGTCTTTCTCCCTTTTTTACAGTTGTGCTTTTCACTCCCTCAAAATAGTAGGCTACTAATAGTCCACTGTTAACCAGAAGTCTTATCGATAACATAAGCAGTCAATTAAGACATCTTTTATATATGCATTATATACTATATTCTTACAATAAAGTAAGCTAAAGAAAAGAAAATGCTGCTAAGAAAATCATAAGGAAGAGAAAATACATCTACAATACCTCAGTGTATTTATTAATACCATAAGTTTATATAATCCATTTATAAGATGAATTTTCTGTCTGAAATGTGGGGCAACTACAGCTGCAGACCTCAGCTTACTATACATATGAAGCAATTCAACTTTTTCTTGTGATATCATGACTTTTCTCTGCTTCTTGGAAGCGCTTTCAGCATCACTAGTGGCACTTCATCTGGGTCCCATGATATTACTCAAGGCTTACGGTTTTGCCCTAAACATGATGAAAAATAAGCAAGATCACTTTTTACTATGATACATAATTTACTGGAGAGATGAACTGCTCATGAGGAGATGATTACTGTCATTTTAAGCAGATACTTGCAACACAAGCTCATTGTAATAGAACAGAGATTATGAAATTATTATAGCAGTGCAGTATGTACTTCAGTTCATTTTATGCAGTTGTGATTTAATACTGCATCTTTACATTTGTTTACATTTCTCTCAACTGCTAATGGTATCATGTAGCTGTGTAGGGGTGTGTGTGCAATTTTTAATACATTTTAACTTTTTATGGGATTGATGTGCTACCTACTGCGCTAATGGGGAACCTAAATTTTAACATTTTATAGTAGATCTGTGTATATTTTATTGTAGTACATTATAAAATAGTATATATATTTTATGCATTCATAACATACCTTTTTCTTAAGTTTTTCTATATTTCCAGGCTACACAGTTTATCTTTAAATTGTTCAAATCTCCAAAAATATTTCCAATATATTTATTGAAAAAATAATCCATAGATAAGTGGACCCATGCAGTTCAAACCTGTGTTCAAGGATCAAGTATATATAGGAAAATGATTGACTTTTGTATATTAAACTTATATGCTGCAACTTTGCTGTATTGCTCCTTTATTCCAGGAGTTTTACAAAATTCTTTTGAATTTTAGTTTGTTTCAGTTTTATTGAGATAAAACTATATATATAGATCTATAACTATATATATATAATTTATATATACATGAACCTGCCTTGCAAAGCATGTTAAAAGAAAATCTTTATATATATATAAAATTATAGATCTATACATATAGATCTATAACTATAGATAAAATTGATATATAAATCTATATATAACTATAGATACCTATAGATCTATAGATATATAGCATTTTATATATATATATATAAAATAGATATATATATATAAAGATTTTCTTTTAACATGCCTTGCAAGGCAGATTCATTGGCAACAAATTTCCTAAATTTTTGCTTGTTTAAGAAAGTCTTATTTTTTTCTTTACTTTTGGGGGATAATTTCACCAGCCTCAAAATTCTAGGTTGGTGATTTCGTTCTCCTAATACTTCAAATGTTTCAGTTCACTCTCTTCTTGGCTGTACGGTTTCTGAGGAGGAGTTGGATACGGTTCTTACCTTTGCTCCTCTGTAAATAAGATGTTTTTCTCCTCTGGCTTCTTTCAAGATTTTCTTTTTTCTGTTTGATTTTCTATCTAGGTATAACATACCTAGGTATAGTTATTTATTTATTTATTTAGGCATTTATGCTACTGGTCTTTTCTCACGTTCCTAGATCTGGAACGTGATCTGGTTTGATGTCTGACATTAATTTGGGGGAAATTAGTAATCATTGTTTCAAATATTTCTTATGTTTCTCTCTCTTTTTCTCTTATCCTGGTATTCCCATTGTACATGTTACACCTTCTGTAGTGTCTCAACAGTCCTTGGAAATTCTGTCTTGGTGTTTTATTTAAGTCTTTGTTCTCTTTGTTTTTCAGTTTTAGAGATTCTATTGATATATCCCCAAGCTCAGAGATTCTTCCTCAGCAGTATTCAGTCTAGTAATAAGCCCATCAAATATATATTTTTTTTATGTTATGGTGTTCTTGATATCTTAACATTTCTTTTGTTCTTTCTTGAATGTCCATCTCTCTGCTTTGAGCATCCATTATTTCTTGCATGCTGTCTACTTTCTCCATTAGTGGCCTTGGTATATTAATCATAGTTGTTCTAAATTCCTGCTTTGAAAACTCCAACTTTCCTCATTTGATAATTTTCCTGCTTTTATAATTCCAACACTCCTGTCATATTTGAGTCTGCTTCTGTCATATCTGACTCTGTCTTCTCAAATTATGTTTATTGCCTTCTTGTATGTCTTGTAACTTTTTCTTGATAACTGGGCATGAATCTTTGAATACAAGGAACTCTGTAAATAGGCCTTTACCTGGTTCTTTAAATAGGTCTTTAGTGATGTGGTGGTAAGGTTTTTGGGGAGGATAAGCATTCCATAGTTCTATGATTAGGTCTCAGTCTTAGTGGGCCTATGCTTCTGGACTGTGAATTTCATAAGTGCTTCTCAGTATACACATCACTCTTCCTTTGGTAAGACAAAATAGCTAGAATGGGCTGGAGTTGGTTATTTTTCTTCCTTCAGGTCTGTTAGGCTCCCATAAAACCCCAGCTGGTAAGGCTCTGCTTACACAGTTTCTCCTAAGGGTAGACTTTGTTAAGAAGAACGAAATGCTTGAATATATTTTAAATGGTAACTTTTCCCCATTCTCCTTTTGAAAGCATCGGGAACTTTTCTCTGATTTTTATTGTGAGAACCTGGATGAGGTTCTAGAAGTAAAACTAAGAAAAGTAGGGAGATCCCCCAAGACTGGGTGCCCCTAGAGTTTTTGACTTTTAGGCTTGTCCCCCAATTTGCCTCTGGCAATGTATTAATTACAGTTTGGGATTTTCTACCTGTCAATGATTCCTATGGAGGCTTCTACTCCAGTAATTGGTGATTCTCTGTACTCATATGTCTGTTTCTCCCATTTGGGGGACAAGAGTTTGCCCTGTGATCTGAGTTTCTTGTGGATCTAAGAAGAGTTGTTGACTTTTTTTTTTTTTTAAGTTTGTTCAGCTTTTTACTTGTTTGGCTAAAGTGGCAACTTGCAAGCTCCTTATTTCCTGGACCAGAAACTAAAAGTCTGCCTGTGATTTTTCAAAGTCCTCAGAATATGTCAGTTTGGTGATGTTTTCTTCTCATGTTGGACCAGAAAATATTATTTTCCTTTTCAAAATATACTACTACTCCTGGTAAAAATCAACTCATTTTTCAAAAAAACAATAAATTTAACACATTTTCTGTATTGTGGGATAACTTTCTAGTCCAAGTCAGTATCTCATAGTCTTCAGAGGATTCATTATTGGATTGTTGCTTGTTTGACAAATCACATGAAAACGATATTATCATAGTGTGTGTATTTTTTAAAATTTTAACTGTTGCATTTTTATCATCTTCTTTTGTAACTTTTTCTGTTGTTGAGGTAAAAAAAGTTTATAAACATATATTTCATTTAAAAGGTGCTAAATAAATGCTATTTTTAATTGGTTTCCTCTAAAGAGCTGTTTGCCAGTAGGTAAGATTAGTATGCTATATCTTATGAGTTGAAATCTAAATGAGAAACTAAGGTGATTTCTTCTTATTTTTTAAGCTTCTCTGAGTAATTCCAGTTGCTGTTTTTGCAAACTAGAGATAACTTTTTAAAATATGAAAAAAATAAGAAAGTGCTTTAAGTATCTATTAATACACAACACAACTTTGTCAATTGAAGCAATTGCCCATTTAGTTTCAAAGTTGCAGAGGAGTAAAGCTGTAAATCAGTGGGAACTATCATTACCAGCAAATCTAGAAACATTTAGTGAGCATTTGGTAACCACTAAGATATAGTAATCACCGCCATGGTATTCATGGTATATTGGTTCTCTGGGCTCCTGTCACTATTCTGTTCTTGGGGTACCCAGATACAAATCTCATGGTGACTTGTACTTACATTCTTGAAAATGCCCTCAATCTATTGACAAAATAAAAAATAAAAATTAAAAAAAGAAGGGTGATGTTTTAGAAATTTAGATAATGGCATATTATGCAACAATATTTGGCAATTTAGTGATTCTTAAATGTTCGAGGAGGAAAAAACTTTTTTTGTTGTTTCTCTTCTCACCTTCTCAGATTTTTCAAATCTTTCTTGTCTAATGACAGTTGCCTAGGTATCTCTTGAGATGATAAAAAATGTCCTCAAATAATATTTTAGTATATTCTCAATGAAATATAAAATAAGAACAAATTATATTATTTTATGATTTTAAGAATTATTTATTCATTAATCCAGTTATCAGATATTTGTAGAAGACCAAATAATGCTAGGAACTGTCTATCATTTTGTAATGGGATACAAAGATTAAGGTGAACAGCTCTTGCTCTATAATATAGCTTGGAGAGGGAAAAAATTAAACCCATAATTATAATAAATAACAAATTACTATAATATAGATCATAATGAATATGAAGAAGAACATTCATTTCATTGCCTAAACACTGACATACTAAATGATATTTCAGAGATGCTCATGTGTTTGGCAAGAAAACTGTAGGAAGGCGGTCTAGGCATGTGAAAAGACTGTGAACTCGAAAAAACAAGAGACTTTTAAGAAACTACAGATAGTTCAACCTGGCAAAAGAACAGTATGTGTTTGTGTGTGTGTCTGTGGGGGTTATGGGTGTGTGTGTGTGTGTCTGTGTGCATAATAAAAAGAAATGAGACTGTAAAGGTGGGTAGAAGGAATATGATCACTTAAGCCCTGTTTTACATTTCTTAGGATCTGAGGTTTATTGAAATAGAGACATTACCAGATTTTAAGTAGAAGAAATATAATCAGATTTGTTCTTTTGGGAAGATTGCCCTGGTTTCAGTATGCTTGGGTTGAAGCATACTGTGTGGAAATGGGTATTGGAAGCATATTATGTGGAATTGGGAGTCGTAAGGCAAATTAATAGCCATAGAACAAGTTGATAAAAGTCTATACTATGTTACTGGTAATGGGAATGTGGGCCATGGGAGGTTCCAGATTTGAAAGATGTTTAGGAGGTAGATGACAGACATTTAAGAGCAATAAATGAAGGTGATGAAGAAAAGGAAGTGATATATATTTCTGGCCTGGGAAAATGGATGCCATAAAATGCTGTTACCTTCATAAGCAATGAAGAACAAGAAACTAAATTTAGGGAAGAAGGTAAGTAATTCAATTTTTGGCATACTGAGCTTCAGGTGTTTGAGGGACAATTGGGTGGACATATCCAGAAGGCAGTTATGTATATGTTTCTAGATCAAAGAAGTAGTTCTTGGATAGAGTTATAAAAATCATTGAAGAATGTGTGGCAGTTGAAATCATCATGGTGTGCATTGAGAAGAAAAATTGTGCAAGGTTGGCACTGTGAATAGCATTAAAAGTTGAAGTAAAAAACAAAAAGCATGTCGCTAAAAAGGAGTAGTCATGACAATAGGAAAAAATAAGAAAAAGTAGTGTCATGGAAGCCATGAGTGAAAGAGATATCCAAGATTTATTTAGGAGTAGTCAATATGAGATGTTGTATTCAGCTCTAGGAGCATAAAAATGGAAATAAATCTACTGGATTTATCATGTAAAAGGTTGTTAGTGTCTCTAACAAAAAAAAATATTACAATGGTGGTAGAAGCCAAAGTCACATTCTGAAAATTCCATAAGCTAAGTGTAATAGAGTCCTAACAAATTTATAAAATGATATAATATTTTAAAATATTTGTTATTTTTCTTTTTCTTTGCTACATCAGAAAACCAAAATAGCCAGAGGTACAGCTAATGCTTTGATGAAGGTATTTTATCCTTTATTACTCTTTTTTTTAAAGTAATAGCACCTAATTTAACTAGACTTTACTTTCCCAGCTTTGGACTAAGACAGTAACTTTTATTTCTGTTTCTAAGTGGTCAATAAATCTAAAGTAGAAGTGGAAGCCAAGCATAATGCACCATTGTTTATTTCTAACTAAATGCATTTGGTTTCTTAGTTCTTTTTGTTTTATACTTGGAGAACAAATTTTAATAATTTTTTCAATTAAAGATGGTTGGTGCTCTTACACTTTTCAAAACTGAAAGCATAACTAAGTCCAGATGAATTATTATAAGGAAAGGAACTATTTTACTCTGTGACAGCCTTGGAACATATTAGAAAGATTTTGAATACAGTGATGTCTATTAATTGACTTTAAAGTCAACATTAAAAAATAAAAGCAGGGAACAATTTGTGGGTAAGAAGAGAGGTTTATGAGAATTTATGGAAAAACTATGATCTAATTCGAGTCTTTGTATATAAAAAGTTTTATTTTTATCTATGGTGTTTGCTATAAAATTTTTGTTGCAATATATTTTAAATAAAAACTAGTGATCATTAAAATAAAAGTTTTTGAATGATATAGCATATAAATTCTTTCAGGCAGTGACCAAATTCTCAAATAAGTTTAAATTTAAATTTATTATTTTACTTGCTCTCTCTTCCCTCAACTATGCAAATATTATTTTATAAAATAATGTATTTAGGAATGCAATAATATAGATTTGATTAGAATTGTAGTTTTTGCTTGTGCACTGGATTCGTTTTTGATTTTTTTAAAAGTCACCCTGTTTAATAAAAGTGCTTCTACAATTTGTGTCTAATTTGAACATGACTACTGAGAGACTGTATTTTATTTCCTAGTAGAGTTTCCATCAGGCAGTGAACAAAGAGAAAATAATAGATGTTTTTTAGGAAGGAAAACAAAACAATGTTCTTCTTGGTCAATGGAAGTACGTCTCTTGGGTAATAATGGGTGCAAATTATGTACTGAAACTCATCATAAAACCTTCAAAAGCAAACTAAAAAGGCATATAGAGCAGTAATTTTAAAAATCAAAATATGTTCTAAAATATTTTTATAACTTAGATTGAACAGTTTGTACTGTGGAAACACATTTAATGTTCTTTCTTTTTAGGGTTTAACTATTGGTCAGGAAAATTAATGTTTAATGTCACAGAAAAGACATTCCATTTCTAAAATGATTGTTAATTCATAACATGGCCACTTTATTTGCAGAACTTAAATATAGTAAAACATGGTCTAAAACTTGAACCTAGAATAAAACCAAAGAAATTACAAATTATTTCTCCTTATATATATTTTTTATTTTGTAATATTATTTTTCTCTCTCTGTAAGATATAATGACAGATTAAATATCTTTCTCAGGTAATGATTTTCATTTAGTTAACAAATGTTTACTAAGCCCTTCCTATGTGGTAGGCATTCTAAGTACAGAATGAATCGAGAAACATGGAAAACAGCAGTGAACCAAAGAAACACAATAAATATCAGAATAATTATAACATTTCACATTAATAATATTCAGTACCATCTGCCCTAGGCAATGCATTTTAAATGTAAATATTTTAGATACAGGTTGGTAGAAAGTTGAACTCTGCCAACTGTATTATATAAAATGAGAAAGCTTTACAGGATTGCTACAATAAGCGCCTCTCATGTGTCTATTTCTATTGTCATCTGAAAAGGAAATTTAAAAAGAACTAAAAAAAATAGATCAATCTGTATTTAAAGAACAAAATAAACAATGGAATCAATGGCTGTTCTGACTGTCAATGCTGTCAAATGATTTTTTTTTCCACCTACACTCAAAATAAGCAGTTCTCTCCTGTGTAGGGGGTTGCAGAAAAATAGTTTTGCCACCGACTCACTGTTGGATAACTGAGGGAAGAAAAGCCAGAAAACTTCAAGGAGTCCTTAGCATACTAAATAAATTATTTTAAATTTTTCAAAACGTGTTTTTTTTCTTTCACTAATTCCTTCATTTATACGTTCTCTCTATGAGAGATGTGCTGATGTAGCAGGAATATTTTTAAACAAAGAAGTTCAGGAAATCCAAAGAATTAAAGGTACAATCTTCCCAGCTCATGTTTATTTGCTTGCTTCTTTTGACAAGTTCTCAAAAGCACTCTTACCATCACATAATTTATAGTGTTATATTTGCCATGGGCTATTATTGAGATAGCTGGACCATCCTCAGTTTATTCATAAACTGCTCTTCTTTGATGCAGAGTCAAAAGAAGAGATCAATTTGCACATTTACTGCAATTAAGAAAAATAATTATCCTTTGACTCCCAATTAGAAGGCCTGGCCTTAATGAGATTGATAGGATCATTTTAGAGATTGTCTACATTTGATTGCAAGCAATAGAAAATAACCCAGGCATCTTATCCAAAACTCAAAGGAAATTATTAAGAGGATACTGGGTTATTCAATAGGATCCAAGGGAAATTTAAGCAACTAGATTTTAGGAATAGCAAAAACCGGAACAGTGCTATGACTCTTAGAAACCATAAGATACTCTACAGTTTCTTATAGGAGGGCCATGGGGTGTGGACCTGAAAAGAACACTAAATATCGAAATGCTTTTTCGTTGCTTCATGCTCAGAGTCTATCCTACTAGTATACCAAGTAACTTTTCAAGGCATTTCTCCTTTCAGGCCAATTTCTCTTTCAGACCCAGATTGTAAAATTGACACACTAAAAATGGTTACTATAAAGGTAAGGAATGATAAATCCAAGAAAAGAAAGTCAAAGGAACATTGCCCAATGCCCAGAGCATAGTCTAAGGCGCACATGTTGGTTTTTCCTAGTTGGGGTACATCTATCTTACGAAAGTCTAGCCCTTGGTTCTAGGATCCCTGCAACTATCGTTGGACTTGAGCTGTTTCAACACTTCTTTTCAAAGGAGTGAAGTGGGATTATGGTTTAGAAGATCTGCTATCTCTTTAGAGTTTAACTTATTAATAATCAAACTTTCATATTTTTGGGAAATAATAAAATGAAATTCTTTTTGAATTTCCTTACCACTGTTGCTTATAATCTTATGAGTTATGTTATTTAATTTTTGTATTAGTTGAGGAGCTTATATGAATTTTAATTCCGGAAGGAGACATCAGAGAAGCCTTGTAAAAATATTTTATGCTCTTTGCTTTCCTGCCCTACACAGCTTCTTCCTTTAAATCACTGCATGGTACATGCTGTGGTCACTGGCATCCTGCATGTTTGAATCAGAACTTCTTTCCTCCATCATATCACTTCTCATCTGCTTCTGATCTTTACATTTTCACCCTGACCTTATATCCAATCCTCAGTTTTGCCTTCATGTTCTATTCTTCCACCTACTATCAACTCTCATCCTGTAGTTTTCCACCTTGGTTTGTGTTCCTGGCTTGGAACATGGTTATTCATTTTGTTACAATGTGAACATGCTTATTTTGCCTTGGGGAATTGAGGATAATCACTCTTCCTGCCCTGAAGAATCCCT
This sequence comes from Homo sapiens, assembly GCF_000001405.40. Taxonomy (NCBI): domain Eukaryota; kingdom Metazoa; phylum Chordata; class Mammalia; order Primates; family Hominidae; genus Homo; species Homo sapiens. The sequence goes on from NC_000002.12 coordinate 187,116,173, forward strand.
GTAGATGATGTTTCCACTAGCATCACCCTAGATCCACAAGTGGAGTCCATATGGAACTGACAGGTCGAAAGAGGAATTTTTCAAAGAGTAAAGTTTTGAAACAATATATGAAGAGTTACTATAAGGCAGAGATATTCCTTGTTTTTAGATTTTTAGGTATTCTGTTAAAATACTATTTAAGAATTTTTTATATATAATAGGAAGTCAACTATATATAGATGATTTAGATACAACACGTTAGTGTCTAAACATGTACATCAGATTGAACCTCATGACCAATGACAATATTAACATCCAAATAATTTGAAACAGGCCTTTTAAATCTTTGAAATGGCTGTATTTATCATGCCTTATTCTAGTAATTTGGTTGCATTAATAGTGCTTGAGGTTAAATTGGTCATTGAATAGGATTTATCATTGTTGTAAGTTATCAGTATACTCAAATTTACATAATCTGTAACAGTACTACTGCATGAATATGGAAAGCATAGTGTATTTTCTCAAGTTGGTTTTCAGAACTCTGATTAATGTTTATATGATGAGAATACTATTACAATGTTAATTTATTGCAAGTATAATGTATTTACTTAAACATACTTTTAAAAGCATGATGTTACAAAATCTCCTTTTAAAAAAACTATAAGTAATAGTTATTAAGGGTTCCCAGGAGAGCAGTTTTATTTCTTGTAAAAATATTAAATTCAGCTATTTAAAAACTTATGTCTTTCAGTATCAAGTTACATTGTTAAAAAATACAATGAATCTGATATATAAATTTGATGAGATATAACCTAAGCATAGTTATTTCTAAAAGTTTCTATTTGATTTACTGATTTTTTTTTTTTTTTTTTTTTTTTTTTTAGATGGAGTCTTGCTCTGTCACCCAGGCTGGAGTGCAATGGTGCAATCTCTGCTCACTACAACCTCTGCCTGCCTGGTTCAAGTGATTCTTGTGCCTCAGCCTCTGGAGTAGCTGGGACTATAGGAGCCACCATGCCTGGCTAATTTTTGTATTTTGTGTAGAGACGGGGTTTTACCATGTTGGCCAGGCTGGTCTCGAACTCCTGACTTCAAGTAAGCTTCCTGCCTAGGCCTCCCAAAGTGCTAGGGTTATAGGCGTGAGCCACTGCATTGGCAATCCACTGATATTTCTAATATTCATGTTAAGTGACAGAAGACCACCAGAATTTGATTTCTAGCCACTTTGCTCTAGGGTGGGTGGTGGTAGGTAACTGAAATTTCCTCTGGCTTCATCTTCTTGGGGGTGCAAGCGGGGTCTCTGCAATTCATAGGTGAGTTTCCATTTTGTTTATACAGGACTTTACACTAAATGCACCTCAAGTACTTTCAGAAATCCCAATGAGGTGAATCAAATGTACTGAGGAGTGAGCACAATCATTTTAGGCATTATAGTACTACTCCTGGTACTCCTTTTGTCTGACCACTGCAATTAGTTCTTAAGAGTACAACAGTCTCCATGGGCTCCAGTGGGTGGCAATGTTTTTCATGAGGATTCACTGGGCTCCTCTCCATTGTCTTGGCCACTACCGCCCCTGTGCTCCTGTGCTGCAATCTTGTAATGGATGCTTTGCATGTTTCCCTGATCACTGCACTGCTTTACTGGATTTTCATGACACTGAAGCTGTTTCATGGTCAAAGAGAAAGTGGAGACTGCATCTCTATTTACATTACACCATCTGAAAGGTCCTAAAACAGCTCTATTTCTACACCCAGTGTTGCGTAGTGTTTTTAGTTAAGAAATTACATTATTACTTACAATCTCTTTGCCTTTTGTAGAACTCAACCATAATTTGAGATCTGGGCTAGGAGACAAAGCTGGTGATAAAAATCATACTTTGTTTCTCCATTTCTACATTGATGCTTCCTTTCTGGGTCAGACTCCTCTTGTCTGGCTGTTTCTTTTTTCATCTCTCTGGATGGATTATCTCTTAGGGTGTTAATTGGTCCTTATGAAAACAGATTTCTGTTGAGCTTATACCAGTTTACTAGACAGACTAATGTTTGAATCCTTTTTCAATTTTTTCTTCCCTTGTTTCTTTTTTTCCCTTCCTCTCTCTCCCTTTCTTCTTTCTTTTTTTAAAAATCATCTTCTTATCATCAAATGTATTTCATATATGTCTAAGTAAAAATCACATACTAAAATAAAAGAGGTACTGTTAGCTGTAGAAGAGATCCGAGTTACCCCGAGCGGTTCTGAAGCAACTTCAGTCTTTGCCTCTTCAGAAGAAAGAAATCGTCTGAGGGGCATAAAACAGAAAAAGAGACCGAGGAAAGTTCCAGAGCAGGAATGGAAGTTTATTTAACGGGCTTTAGAACAGGAAAGAACCCTTGGACAAGATCCAAGTGAGTGCCTGAATGTCAAAGAGAGACAAAAAGAGCCTTTAACTTTGATCCTGAGATTTTATAGGCTGCCTTTTTCCCATGATTCTTCCCTTAGGGTGGGCTTCCTATGTGGGCAGTGCCTTCCTTACCCTTGGGAATTGAGCATGCGCAGTGTGTTTAGAAAGTTGTACGCATGCCTGGAAGTTTTTTCTCATGGCACCTGCATTCAGTTAACACGTTTAATGTTAATAGCTGTGGATCATCAGGAGATTGTCTTACCTTTCGGCTGCTGAATTATCATTTTTAGAGAGGCATTGTGATAATCCTGGAACCATCACATTTTAATTAAAATGTATTTTTAAAGCATTATGTAAAATGATGACAAGGTAGAATTCAAATAAGGAAAATCTTAATTCATTCAGCTAACATTTAATTTCTCTTACCTTTATTGAGAACCCATTTTAGATTCTCATATGTTTGAGTAAAATAATAATTCTATAAGTTATAATAGAAGTAAGCCCAAACAATATCAGCCAAATAGAAGGCCATTTTGGAGGTGAGCAGCAGGCATATTTCCAAATTTGAAAGAACAGAAATGTGATTGAAAATCAGACTTGTTTTGTGTTTACTATCCATCATTTTCAATGCCTTCACCAAAATTTACACTCTCACCTAGTCAGAGGGGAAAAATGCAAGTTGTAACAAAGTTCACCTGAATTTCCTGCCCTATCTCCTGGAAGAGACTAAAACTCACCCTAACTTTATGACAATTCCCCTTAGGAAATAGGAGATTCTTCTAAGCATGCAGAAATAATTTTCAAAGTGCCATTAGGAATGTTCCCATAACCAACTTTTTTTTTTTCCTATAAGGACCTAAAAACTATTTTTACTTCATAATTCAAATAGAGACAAATTGAGAAATGGTCTTGGTTAGTTTCTTACTGTCTGTTCACCACATCTGATTTTCAATTTAATTTATTGAACATTATGTTGAGTATTTACTACATAGATTATACTGTTTAAGTTTTGGGAGGAATTAAAAATGACAAAGGCATAATTCCTACTTTGAGGATTTCACAATCAACTGGAAGAGACTTTAAATTCAATTTTTTCAGCAAAGATCTATTGGAAGCTATGATATAAGGGACATAAACTAATAAGGAAATTCATATAAAATATTGATTAATTCTGATAGGGATGATGGATATCCATGATGAAAGTAGAATTATGGCCTGTCTTTGGAAGACGTGAACAGTTGCAATAGACGGGTTTTTGGGGAGAGATAATCGAAAAGACAGTCTAAGTAATGTACACAGCTTTAGAAAAGCACTGATGTGAGAAGTATTAGGATGATGGATAATGTGGGAAAGTAGAACCATGGGAGTTTGGGAGGGTACACTGAAGGAAGGGACAAAAAAGGCAAATTGGGACTAGTTTGTGGAAGACTAAAATGGTATGCTGAGGATTTTGGACTTTATTCTCAGTGTATTGTGGAGGAATTGCAAGTTTTGTATCAAAGATACATGAAGAAATTTCTCTTAGAACAAATTTGTGACCGGGTGTGGTGGCTCATGCCTATAAGCCCAGCACTGTGGAAGGCCAAGGTAGGCAGATCGCTTGAGCCCAGGAGTTCAAGACCAGTCTGGAAAACATAGTAAGACCCCATCTCTACTAAAAATACAAAAAAATTTAGCTGGGCATGGTGATGCATGCCTGTAATCCAGCTACTCGGGAGGCTGGAGTGGGAGAATCGCTTGAGCCCAGGAGGCAGAGGTTGGAGTGAGCTGTGATTGCTCCCCTGCATTCCAGTCTGGGTGACACTGAGACCCTATCTTAAAGAAAAAAAAAAGAACAAATTTGTGTTTTGATACATTGGAAAGGCTGGAAACTGAGAATATGGTTTCATTATAAGTCTCTGTAATAGCTGAGGGAACCATAAGGTGCCAACTAGAATTTTTACTATTATTCCTGAATTGGCTGAGACCTAAGAACAGAAAGTGTTCCTCAATCTAAAGGAAGCATCAATCAGCCTACAGTTGGAGAAAGCCACCTCACAACTGTGCCAACTGAATGTTAGCCATACTCCCAAGAATATTCTACCACCTTCCTTTCTAGTCATAATAAGAAGGGTTAGAGAGATACGCGTCGTTGGCTTTATGGGTTGAATAGTATTTTAGTGGGAGTTTATTCCCTCTCTTTAAAGGGTATAGGTGCTTTTTACAGAATAAAACCTCATAAGGAAAATCCTACGAAAATCAAGATTAGAGGTATCTGAGCAAAGGCACTGGCATCTCATTCTCTTGTTGGAATCATAATAAGTTGCCAGCATGTAGTACCACCCTGATGTTACTCAGATATCATAGTAGGTAGTGTGGGAGTCCTTGGGATGTAATTTTGGAGTCCTGGGAATATGGGGTAATTTTCTGTTTGGTTACATCCTACTACTATTGGAAAGAAAAGGGAATTGTTTGATGTGTGGGCTATAAAATTTGTTGAAAATATCTGTAACAGCCAAAATGAGCAGGACATAAAGTTTAAGAAAAACATCTATCGCATATTGACTATTTGCACTGTTTGAAGGACCCTACAATGTATGCATTGTAGAAGAGGTACCTCACTCTTCCCATAGCTCTGTGTGAAGGATCAACCATTGGGTAACTTGATGTCACATCCAACTTAACAAATACATTAGGGGTGTACCAAAGGCAGACATATCCCCCTGAAGGAGTTTCTAACTATGTCCTTTGTACAAGTTAGACAAAAGCACCACTGAGTGGACACAGCCTTGAGAAACAGAGTGGGGACTGGATTTCAGCATCCAATTACCTCATTCGCTGGGCACCCTTGTGCATAGACTGCACAACTCCACGTGGTGGTTCTACTTATCAGCAAGGAGGGCAGGGGTGACACTGAACACTGCCCCAAGAGAACCACGTACACCAACTCTGAAGCATAGCATGATTAGCAGAGATGATCAGTGTCAGACTCAATCGGTGAGTCTCGGAACACCTTTTATCGGTATGTGGGCCGTAACATTAGGACATTTTTGTCTTCTCTGTCCTCCTTTCTGCCTTCTACAGCAGAGAAACTAGTGCCTAGATAAAAAAGAAGAAATGTCTCTAAGCCAGGCCACCACGCACTCCCTCACTCTTTGGCAATCAAAGCTTACTCTTCAATGTGGAGGTGGGAGATGGGAGGACACAAGCACATAAACATAGAACAAAGTTTAAGAATAGTCTTTTTGAGGAAACCAGAACTGAGTCTTAAAAATAAAATGACACAATGACAATAGCCAAATGTAACATGAAAGGGATGGAATTTAGCCAAAATAATATTAAGTGGAACAACATAACATGGTTGAAAGGTTATTACTGGAAAAATTAAAATTATTTATGCTTGTACCCTGATGACTTGAAACTCTTTCGATAAACTGATTACACATTAAACTTAGGACTTGAATTAAAAAAAAAATAAGTGGAAATGTAAGTCAAAACAAATTGTTTAACCTAATTTGTAAATTTTCCAGCCATGAAATTTCTTCTCTCTGTTCTTCCTCCTTTGTCTAATTTTCCTTCCTAAATCAGAAGTTTTGGGGATATTGTGGTCTATAGCCACACTTTACATCTACACATTGTCAAATTTGATATATTTGTATGTTTTCTAATAAGCCCTTTGAAAACTGCAGCACATTCAATTTCTACTTGCTCAGTCTCTGAAATCTAGTCATTTTAACTCTAGATAGCACTGTTTTTAAATATAGAAAATAAAAAATATACTCTTCTTTAAATGTCCTATAAAACTATTTTCATGTATATTTCTGTCATCCTTATTTCTCTGGTGACATATGCAGTTTCTTTTTATTGTTTACTTTTTCTTTAAAATGAGAGATGAAATAACATTATTTCAAGGAGCTGAAAAGTCAGTCTAAAATTATTTAGTGAATTTCATCTGTGGAAACATTTTTCTTTTGGTCATTTTGTATTTCCAGTGAACTACATTTTAGATTTCACAAATTAGAGATGAAAATGTGCATCAGAGCCTTTATTTAAAGCAATATACTAATCAGGAGAACAATTTATTTTTAAATATAACTATTTCTCAGAATCACTGGTTTATATTGAGAGCTTATCTGGAGGTTCTAGCACAGTAGCACAACTACCAGTACACCCTGGATGATGAACAGTCCTCCTCTATCTGGGAAGGTTGCTCTCTTTGACTAAGCTCTCAGCTTCAGAAGGGATGCACATGGAACAGTAAGGTTGAAAGGGGCACCTGCCTAGCCAGACAGATCAGCCCAAACAACCCTGGTGATCAATGGAGCGATGTTGCAGCCAGATGACCTTCACTAGTTTATTTTGAAATATTCATCTGCATCACTAGATTTTTTTCAAAGAAATTTAACTACATGTTAACATATACAATACAATTCGTGTACCAGTATGAAAATACATTATTGTAGTAAGTTCTACATTTTCATGAAGAAAAGAAAATTAAACATATCTTAATTGTACAAATAGTTTAAGCCAATATTGACTTTAGAATACTAGAATTAGTCAAAATATAGGTCTTTTAAATTACTTCAGTACTAAGTTTCTTACTAGGCTTGAAAGACACCCTATTCTCATTAGTGATATATTTACTTACCAAATACTAGGGTGGATGCCTGCAGTATATCACTTATATATGCATTTTATGTTGTTTTTTATTTCAAGTTTAGAGTAAAATTTTTGACATCACATTCTGAGATTACATTTTCTCCTGAGCTAATAGCACCCTACATGTTGGATATAGATGAAATGTTAAAATCCAATTCTGATTCCCCTCATTAAGTGAATTAACAAGAGTTATATTATTGCTGTGTAACAGAACCAGAATTTACACGAAGGAATCCCCAATTTTCAGTTTAGGGTTATATTTCCCATAACTTATGATGTCTATATTTTAAGTAAACTTTTTTTCTAACAAAAAAGACTGATGTGACTCAGTTTATAGTGTGTATCCAATCTGTCACATGCAAATGATGTTGAAATTCCTGGAAAACAAGAATGAAGTGATGGAAGATCATCACTTGATATTGCTTATCTCTTTAGTTCTGTCTTAAAATATCTTTTGAAACCAGTATTTTTTTCTTCATTTCTTTCAATAGCCAACACAAACTTTGTTAAGAGAGATAAGAAAAAAGGAAAAATTAGAAAAAATATTATTCCAGGGTGTCTTAGGGCTGTTAAAAACTACTGAAAAGGATTTACATTTTCAAAGAATCAGGGATGTAGTCTCCTTCCTCATAATTATGCAGAAGAATACACAAACGGTAGTTAAAATGTTAAATGATCTAGGAATAATACAGCCAATGAGGTCTATGGTATAATATTGTTATCAAAAATATGGAAAATAGTATTTCTAAAGAAGAATATGGAATTCATTTTCTGGGAGTAGAAACTATGCATGACCTCAGTCTTCAAGAACTGTAAGTTTTGCAAAGTTTGTCAACTTCAGGATAAAATACAAATTCCTTAACTTAGTGAACGAGATTTTGTGACTTGCCACTGCCCACATCTTCAGCTTTGTTTCTGCTATCTTCCCACATTTTCTGTGCACTTTTATCACTCCTGGGTATAGGTACTTTCCTAAACTTTCTTTTCTCTCTATTTTTGGCAAATGGTAGTATCTTAGTTTTCCCCCAGCTCAGTTTTCAAGACTCAGCTTAGGTGAAGTGTCACTGTGTAATTGTAAAATTCTCTGTAACCCACCATCCAATCGTTTTCAAAGGATTTTTTACCTGTGTTCAAAACTTAGTGAGCAAACACATTTTTAATACCTATCTCTTTATTATTAATGCATCTAGTGCATAATTTCTGGTCATAAAATATTTATTCAATAAATAAATGATGTTAGAGTTAAGAAATAGAAATGAATACAAACAAAGCATATTTGCCTCAGTTAGGGGTTATTTGCCTAATCCAGCAGATCAGATCTTGCCTCCCTTCTATGAGCATATCTTGTACTTTTTCTCTAAAAATTTCTGCAAGAAAAAACAGGACTGTGAAATGCTTTTTGCTTTCACACATTATTCATAAAAGAATGACATTTTAATTTTTACAAATTGAGATGTCTTTTGTCACACCCAGTGATATCAGCCAGGCTCACCTCTGATGTCAGTGAGTTTACTATAGTTCATTTCTACATGGACGGGTCAGCCTCTAGTGCAAAAGACTCGAGCAGGGCAGGCGTTTTGGCTACACAGAGATGTAACAGGATCACAGGGCTTCACATCAGTTAACATAATCTGTATTCCCAGTAGTGAATTCCAACTGGCCTCAGTAAAATTGGAATTTGCTTATAATTAAACAAGGAAGGAGACTGAAAACCCAGACACAAGTTTACAATGGACTAACTCCCATTGTTAATTATCAGAGCTATCAGACTTTCGAATTGTAGTTTTTATTAAAATGATGTCATGCAAACACACACACACGTACTATGCATATATCTATCACGGATTTTTTTCTTTCTAGTCAATCATTCTATTGATAAAGCCATTTTTTCATAGTTAACTTTAGCTAAAAAACACATGATCACAAAACAAAACATGGTCTCTATTTTTATTGGATACAGCGTCTTCATTTCCAGGGGTAAATTGCTTACATTTGTATTTTTAACACTCATACATCAGAAATGTTTAATTAAAATAACCCACAGGTGAGGAATTTTAGTCTGGTTTTATTTTTCTTCATACTATTGTCAATGCTCTCTTACCTGTGGATTTCACAGTTTGCCTTCCAGGAAGTCTTCAGGATTGTGTGATTAGAAGAGGGGAAGGGGAGAAAAGCTTGCAAGGCAACTTCAAGAGCTAGGAATCACTTCACAGAGATATAAAATAAAAGGGTGGTCATTTTTATCTTTTTCCATTTACCCTAGCTATGTTTTGTTTTTAACTGATGAGTTTTTTCCATTTAGAAAGAGACCTAATACTCAAGCTTGATTTTCATTTTTTGCCTTGGCCCAAAGAACCTGAAATAAGGCCCAGAATGACTTTGCTTACTTTAATGTTACCATTCTCATCTTAAAGATTTTTATTTAGAAGTGTCTAGGAACAGTTTAGTTACATTTCTCATGAAGTTAAAGGAAAACTTACTGCAAAGGCTCAACTATGAAGCAATTTATTACTTTTTAGTTCTGAGAAAAATCTTTTTTGTCCAAGGGTGAGATTAATTTAATTCTAAATTTGAACATCAAATTCCATGGCTAAGGAAGTACATATAATGGGCACATTTTAGAAGAATCTTTATGTTAGATTCTAAATTCTAATTCTGTGATTCTGTCAATTTCCACTTGCAATGTACCATCATGTCACATGAAGGAAGCCACTAAGGTCTAAATCTTAAGGCATAATTTTCAGAAAAGAGAGATTGTAATATAAATCTGAAGAAAGATGAATTTGAGTTGGGTTATTTGGTTTTTCTTTTTCCTTTTCACTTGAGTTATGCTTAAACAATAGCAAATAACATTTTTTCCTAATCTTTTTTTTTGTAGGGAGAATGTGTAGAAACAGTGATGGTCAAGACTAGAAAGAAGGAATTTGTAGAGGAAAAATAATATCAATGTTGTAACCTCATAGAAAGTATCTCCTAATTTGTTGTTTTTCAGTTTCTCCCTCTTCATTCCAGTGTAGGTTACTCTAAGTAATCATTCTAGTTTCATTTGCTAGAATCATGATGGTGATATGTGAGTTGCATTATATTTTACAGGAAATTGAATGTTCCACAGTATTTTATAAGGTATATGGATATTGATATGTATTTATATTTCAGTACAAATTAACTACGAGTATACATAACCATGTGACTGCAGCTATATTTCCATAGGTTCAAACGATATTAAATGAAGGTGTATTATAGCAGAATTGTAACCCTTACGTCATCAGAAGCTGTGTTAGATCTAGAGACAAGCAACCCTGTCTGTTTCTGTCTCATGGGCATTAATAAATCTCCCTCCTTTTCTGTTTTTCTTGTGTTTCTACAGCATTTTTTTCTGAATATCTGTTCTAATCTCCCATTACTGCTGACCAGTTGACTTCTGATTTTTTTCTTCCTAATCAGTTTAATTTTTTCCTGTCTTCACAGCTTCTGGCTATTCACAGTTTCTGCTATGAATTATGAGGTAATTCTACTCAATTTTTATGACCTTAACTCCAAGTTTTCTCCCAGCTTTTAGCTCCTGCTGCTAGCTGCCTTGCTCTCTTTAGGTTTCTCATTTCAAATTCCAAAAGGGATTTGATTGGCCCAACTCCACTTTTGGCATCAGACCATGCCATAAATCAATTCCAGTCTTTAAATTGGATGTTGTTAGGTCCAATCAATTGTAGTTGTTGGAGTCACATCATGAGATGCAATTAAATTTAGAAGAGACCACGAGTGTATTAAGAAAAATGTTAGAAACAAAGTAGTCAACTCTGAAGCTTCTGGAGCAAGAGCCGTATCTGTTTAACTTGTAAGATTTTTCAGCACAACAATACTAGGAAAAGGAAATTTATATTATAATTTTGATATTCATCTATTCAAGTAATATTATTTTTATATGTCATTGAATGACTACGTGCCAAGCAGTATTCTAGGCTGTAAGGTTATATTGCTGATCAAAATAAAAGTAAACTGCCTGCTCTTATGGAGCTTGCATCTTCATGGAGAGAAACAACAATAAAAAATGAAAAATAAAGGTGGTAAGTGGTATAAGGGTGATATTAAATATTATGGAAAAGAATAAAGCAAGTTAAAAGGCCAGAGACCTAGGTATGTGTCTAGGGTGATGGAAGGAATTGTTATTTTACATAACATTGTTAGGTTTGTTCTCTTTGAGAAGATTTGAATAGAGACATGAATCAAACCCTTCCTTGGCTAATTACCTCCGTCTGTTCTCAAAGGAGTTTTCTCACACTGATATGTTTTAATATCCTTAAAACAAGAAGGGCTTCAGTGTTTTTTGTTTTTGTTCTTTGTTTGCTTTACACTGCTGAGAAAAAAGAATATTGACAAGAATATGTTCTCCTTTTGCAGTCAGTATTGAATAAAGTATTGCAGTCAATATTTAATCCCATTCCCAAGGGATGGGAAAGCTGCTTATGGTCCTGTCCAGGAGAAAAATAAAAGAATCTGAGTCCTTAATGACTGCTGAAAAGAAAGCCGAGACTAAGACTGAATCTGAAATGAGGTCTCGGGTCTTGGGTATTCTTAAGGTCGAATGTTTGTGTTCTTCCAAAATTCATATGTTGAAATACTAACCCCCAAAGTGATTGTATTAGGAGGTGAGACCTTTTGGAGGTAATTGCATCATGAGGACAAAGCCTTTATGCATGGGATTAGTGCCCGGTAGAAGAGGCTCCAGAGAGACCCTTGCTCCATCCACCATGTAAGGACAGAGCAAGAAGGCCTTGTCTATGAACCAGGAAATGGGCCCTCATCAGACACTAAATCTGCTGGTTGCCTTGATCTTGGATTTCCCAGCCACCAAAACGATTGAGAAATACTTTTTTTGTTTGTTTGTAAGCTACCCGGTTTACAGTATTTTGTTTTTACCATCCGCAAAAGACTAAGACATATGTTAGTTATGTAATGGCTTAATAATATCTAGAACATAACTCATTTTATATTCCCATGTCGACCTTATGTTTTGATGTCATGTTGCACTATATCAAATCTCTCAAAGTAGAATCCCATATTCAACTCAATCCTATTTTCTCTCGTGTTCCTTCCACATGCAGTTAGTCACCAGTTCACATTAAACATCTGCAAAACATGTTCTCTGCTTTGTTTCTTTTGCCATGGTCTTCATCCATGCCATTGTAATTTTTACCTTAAATTATTGAAACATCCTCCCAACTAGTCTCCTTGACACTGATTATTTTCTATCCAGAGTTGTCATCAAAAATAGACAAAGGTGATCTTTCTATACATTGACTTAAAATTAGCTGAAAGCTCTTCATTGCTTTGTGTGGAGATTTCAAACACTAAGCTCTGGTATTGATCAGACTTAGATTTGAATACATCTTTGTTTATCATTCCATGCCTTAATTTTCTCATCTCCCACCACAATCTCCCATGAATTGCAAAACTCTTACCCTTCTTCCAAGACCCATTTCAAGTGTCATCATTGAGGGGGAAGGGAAATACTTCCTACACATGCTGACTCTTTCCATGTGGAAGAATCTCTACAATAATCTCTACTTTTATGTTCTCTACTTACATCCTCTCTTGTCCTTCTAAGGAGAGACAGAAAGACTTCTGATTGGTTAGTTTGAGAGGAAGAACTGGACATGTGTGCTTCTGCCCTTTCATCTCACGTTCTCTGTGAGCTGGCTGATAAAGAGGACATGTTTTTTTTCTCATCTTTCTGCCATGTGGTGAGAGTAACCTGCTCTCATCTTCCTAATCTGAGGCTCAATATCACTAAGCCCATTTTTAGCACATATGTAAGGCACCTATAATAGATTAAGTACTCAATAAATTATTGTTAAACAGATATTGAATGAATATGAAAAATTTGGTTTTTCATTTACCTGAAGAGGTCTGTCATGGAAATGTGATGATTTGGTGTACCTCTTTTGAGTCCCAATAATCGACTTCAAGAAACTTTTCTCTAAAATCTTTGGTAAGTGTAAATACCTCTTCAGTGGATACTGAATTATCTGTGCAGTAGAATTACCATGGGGTGCTTATGAAATTTTCTACAAATTCCTGGGCATACCCCTAAGTTTGTGATGTGGTGTATTGGAGGTCTAGGTCAAGAGCTGATCATTTTAACAGGCACTGCAGATGATCCTTTACATAGAGTTTGACTACTGTCTTTAAGTTCTTAAAGAACTTTGTTTATATCTCATTACTATATTTTGTTTATTCACACTCCTGTTTTCCCTAGTAGGTTATGAACTTATCAGGGATGTTTGGTCTTAGCATTTCAAAAACATAGTACAGAACCTGAAACCTGGTAACTAGTCAGTACATGTTTGTTAAATAAATGTTTGTTGATGAAGTCACACAGGAGCCTTGAATTTTCTATTTCATTTCTCAAGCAAGCATTTTGGGGTATTTAAAAAAGAATACAATGAAGACATCATTATTCCATTACATAAGCTTACATTCATTCATGAACAGTCCAACATTCATGTATTTTTCCAACTATGTAGCATTTGGCATGTTCAAAAAATATTAAACATCTTTTTTCATGCATGATTCATAAATCTACACTAAACTGACATAAAGCCTTTTTACAAAATGCAGGGTAAAATAATAAGTAATTACAAGCCTATACTATGTATAATGTATTTTTTAAAAAAACGTTATCCTGAGTTCTGGACACATAAATACATCAAAATGTTTTAGGTTGCCTAGCTTTCACTTGCATGTATTTTTTTCATCTAGCCACAACTGCATATTTGCTAGGCAACAGAAAGAAGAAAGTCTTTTTTAAAACATAAATCTGTGAATTCTCCTCAAGAGAGACATAGGCAATATTTGCTGCATCACTTAGGGAGTGAAAGGAAAGAGGGAAAAAATCAGATTAGCTTCTTTGCAGCTGTGTTTCGGTATTCAAGACCACACCTGGACAGGGTAAAGCTTCTCTGATTATAAACCTTTGGCAAAAAGTAAAAGTTACTGCCTGAAAAAGCAGACTATTTCTTTGGGGATTCCTTTTGGCTATTTCAGTATTTAACAGATGTACTAGCTTAAGCTTTATACTTTGAAAATAGAATGGAGCATGGAGAAGCACTGCATCCTCCTATTGAAAAGTCTCACGGTAAATTGGGGTGTTTAAAATGTATTTAGAAATTGGCAATATATCACCCAGAAACATCTCCTTAAATCTCTTCATTTTATCCTGAAGTATAGTAATTTATCATGTATAGTTCTGATATGAGTATGGTATTTGTATACTATAATTACAAAACTCATAATTTTGTAAATGTTTACAACTGAGGTTGGGATCCACATATATTCCAAGTCTGAAGTACCAAATGACAAATATTATTGTGATTATCTGTTTTATTTGTATATAAGGCATATCTTGAGATGCACACACACACACACACACACACACACACACACACACTTGGCTTCCTTAATGTAATCAGTCCCCATTATCAGTGGTAAAATAATCATATCTTTTTGTCATTTAAATACAACTGGTAAATATTTTTATTGCACAATATTCATAGTTGAATAACAATGATAAGACAAACAGTAAATGAACTACTTGCCTTCCATAAACATTCATTGTCTTCACAGGAAGTTTAAATATAATTTACATGAAAATGTTCTAGTGATACAGGAGTAACAAAGCCTATCTAATGGTAAATGCTATTTTAATGGCTTAGAGTTAGTTCATGGGACCAGTTTTTATATCCAGTGTCAACACTAGGAACTTTCATTAAAACCACAGTAATTCCCATGAGAATTATTTTATATAGATAAGCATCACACTTTAAAAAGCCACCCAGGAAGAAGTGCCGAAGTGCTTGTACTTATATTGCTAGTAGTCAATTATATCTTCTATATCTATTTTGGGGGTCATAAGAAATATACGAAAATACCAGTAATATTCCATCATAAAAAGAGCAAAATCTTGCCATTTGTAACAACATGGATAAATGTGGAAGTACATTTTGCTAAGTGAAATAAGCCAGGCATAGACAATTACTACATGACCTCACTTATTTGTAGAATCTAAAAAAGTTGAACTCATAGAAGCAGAGAGTAGAAAGGTGGTTGCCAGGGGCTGGAGGTGGGGGAAGACGGGAGATGTTGGTCAAAGAGTACAAACTGCCAGCTATGAGATAAGTAAGTTCTGGGGATCTAATGTATAGTGTGGTGACTGTGCTTAATAGTACCGTATCGCCCACTTTTTGATGGGGCTGTTTGTTTTCTTCTTGTAAGTTCTTTTTAAATTCTGGATATTAGCCCTTTGTCAGATGGATAGATTGTGAAAATTTTCCCCCATTCTGTAGGTTGCCTGTTCACTCTGATGATAGTTTCTTTTGCTGTGCAGAAGCTGTTTAGTTTAATTAGATCCCATATGTCTATTTTGGCTTCTGTTGCCATTGCTTTTGTTGTTTTAGTCATAAAGTCATGGCCCATGCCTGTGTTCTGAATGGCATTGCCTAGGTTTTCTTTTAGGGTTTTTATGGTTTTAGGTCTTATGTTTAAGTCATTAATCCATCTTGAGTTAATTTTTGTATAAGGTGTAAAGAAGGGATCTGCAAAGACTTGGAACCAACCCAAATGCCCATCAATGATAGACTGGATAAAGAAAATGTGGCACATATGCACCATGGAATACTATGCAGCCGTAAAAATGGATGAGTTCATGTCCTTTGCAGGGACGTGGATGATGCTGGAAACCAGAAAACAATCTCAAGCAAACTATCACAAGAACAGAGAACCAAACACCACATGTTCTCACTCATAAGTGGGAGTTGAACAATGAGAACACATGGACACAGGGAGGGGAACATCACACACTGGAGCCTGTCCAGGGGTGGGGGTCTAGGGGAGGGATAGCATTAGGAGAAATACCTAATGTAGATGATGGGTTGAAGGGTGCAGCAAACCACCTTGGCACATGTATACCTATGTAACAAACCTGCACGTTCTGCACATGTACCCCAGAACTTAAAAAGTATAATAAACAACCACAATTTACTAAAGTTCTGTACTATTAAGTGCTGATTTTCACAGCTTAAAAAATCGTATTGACTCATTTATCATCTTATATTCCTTTAAGTTGAAAACATAAATTGTTGACAGTAAAAACAATTTTAACAAAAAGAGCACTTGGGCTTACTGAATCTGAAAAATTGAATCTAAAAAATATAAAAAGTAATTGAATCTTTAAAAATAAAGTTCAATCTCTCTGTTTCAGTTTCAGCAACTGTAAAATAAAGGAGACAAACTACATAATGTATAAGGTTCATTTATTTTTTAAACATTTTTCAGTCAACGTATTTATCAACTGCTTACTATATACCTGATTTCTGCTATGTGTGAAGCATATGTGTAGGTATTGTGATTGTTGTGATAAAGAAGACTAAGTTCTACCTGCTTTGGAGTTTACATTCTGGTAGGGGAACAGACAGTAAACCAATAAGCGAAAAAGTACATGATTTCAGATAGCAGGAAGTATAACAGCAGGCAAGGAAGGGAATAGCAAGTGACTGCAATGGAGTGCTATTTGACTGACATTTTATCAGAGCCAAATGAGAAGAACCTAGTCATAGAAAGACATAGTAAAGTGTTTTCACTGTGGAAGCAGGAGGAAGTTTCCCAAGTATGCTAGTGAATTTGGTGGGGTCAAGGAATAATGAGAAGTCCAGTATTGCTGGAACATGGTAAGCAAAAGAGAGGTAGTAGGAGAGAGGTCTAAAAAGTACTTGGAGTTGTCCGGGCGCAGTGGCTCACCCCCAGCACTTTGCGAGGTCAAGGTGGGTGGATCACTTACAGTCAGGAGTTCGAGAGCAGCCTGGCCAACATGGTAAAACCCCATCTCTACTGCAAAATATAAAAAAAATTAGCTGGGTGTGGTGGTGGGCCCCTGTAATCCCAGCTACTTGGGAGGCTGAGGCAGGAGAATCACTCAAACCTGTGAGTAGGAAGTTGCAGTGAGCCGAGATCATGCCATTGCACTCTAGTCAGGGTGACAGAGTGAGACTCTGTTTCCAAAAAAAAAAAAAAAAAAGTACTTGGAAGTACTTGGACTCAAACTATGTTGGGTTTGGTAAGGAGTTTGGATTTTATTTTAAATGCTATGAAAAGCCATTGTAAATTTTAAACAAAGGATCTGATGTCAGCTTATCTAACAAAAAGAATAATGTGATATGTGGAGAGAACCATTCTGTGCTAAGTATTATGGACCAGTTGCATGTGTATGTGTATGGATATGAATTATGCATATACATAACTAAATATGATTTAAATCATATGGTCCTGTAAACATTTGTAATAATTGAAAATATGTCAATAAAAATACAGTTGAAAAACAACATCCAGTGAAAAATCTTAATATGTAGAAAGACAGTGTGAAGTACTTATTGACACCTGGATGTTGGATGTCACTGTACCAGGGAACCATGGACCTGCAGCAGTAGGAGGACATACTGCCTGCAGGTGTGAAGGTGCAAAAAGAGAGAGCAATGTTATTAGAGCTAGGTAAGAACTGGTGACCTGGAAGTCAGGAGACAAAGCTGTCGATATAGAGAAACATTTTCTGCCAGATCATAACACGAAATCACAGAGAAAGCAACGCAGGAGGCAATACCCTGATGTCTACTGCTGGTCTCTCTAATTGACTGAAACCAATTCAATGTCTGAAGGCAAGGGAGGCTGGATGCTGCAGTTTAGAGGCCAGCCTCCCAGGGCACAGAGTGAGACAGACAAAAGTAGAGATGGATTTTTGTGAACAGAAGGAGGTAAATGAGGTGTGTTTGTTTACATAGTTAATTCTCACAACACTATATGGTAGGTACTTTTGTTATCCTTAATTCACAAATGAGAAATATCCCTATGCCACAAACCACAGAGGTTAGCTACTTTATCTGTGTAAGTGCTCAAGGAAAGATTTAATCCCAGTCTCCAGGGAAACTATTGAAAGCAATGTTTTCAGTTTCCCTGAAATTGAGTTTGAAGAAGGGCCACTTCCAGGCATGAGACTCATCATGCCTTTGGATGATACTACACTGCATTGGCAGCATTGATATCACAAATTTAAGGGAGATAAAGGCATCCTTTTGGAGGATATTCATGTTTGTGAATAGGAGGCATTCCTTAGCTCTCAACTGAAAAATCCCAAGAAAATAACTTCTAAACTGTGGAAGAAGAGAAGACTGACATCTCCTTTCCAGTTGAATGACTGCTTATCCACCAAGATTGTTGACCTGACTCATGATATCAGATTAGGAGGAGAGACCTTTGAAGATATAACAGTGCATTTTGATAGAGTGAGTCAAGATCTGTCCCCTCCCTTAAATTCCTGGTTCCCTAGATATACAGAAGATAAATTATGCCTATTTACAGTACTACATATTGAACACCACAAAAGAAGTTTGGACATAAGAGGAATTTATATGGTGTTACAATCTGGGTATCAGTTGCAAGATGTGACCTCATCTTGTCAGGGACCACCAAAACTTAAGGAAGCCACTGGGAATTGAGTTGTTCATTAATGATGCCTGTTGAGGTCAAACTGGTCACTCTTGCTCTGTAGGCAAGCAATAGGTTAGCAGTGATGACCAACAGAGCAGAGACTTCCACTTCACCAACAGCTAAAATGTGAGATGCCCTTTTCCTTTTGAATTGATCATGAAACTGAAGCTTTAAAATGAAGAGGACAAAGTCAAATTAATTGGCATAAGCCTTTTACAAAAGTTAGAAAATCAAACTGTCAAATCTTTTTAGAAGTCTTCTGTTCACCAGAAAAGTGGTTTGACAGAGCATTGCTGGTAAACATTATTAGAAAATGAAGATAATTTCATGTTATAATTGAATGAGTTATACATGCTTTGATTTTAGATTATACTTTTGAATCACATCCTTTTGAGAACAAAGTGATGCATAAATAAGTAAATACATTCTAGTCCTCAGGTTTTGCTACTTATGTGTTTTATTTTTTTAAACTATAAGTTCTGGGATACCTGTTCAGAACATACAGTTTTGTTACATAGGTATACATGTGCCATGGTGGTTTGCTGCACCCATTAACCCGTCACCTATATTAGGTATTTCTCCTAATGCTATCCCTCCTCTAGCCCCCCACTGCTCGACAGGCCTGGTGTGTGATGTTCTCCTCCCTGTGTCCATGTGCTGTCATTGTTCAACTCCCACTTATGAGTGAGAACATGTGGTGTTTGGTTTTCTGTCCTTGTAGTAGTTTGCTTGAGATAGTTTCCTGGTTTCCAGCATCATCCATGTCCCTGCAAAGGACATGAACTCATCCATTTTTATGGCTGCATAGTATTCCATGGTGTATATGTGCCACATTTTCTTTATCCAGTCTATCATTGATGGGCATTTGGGTTGGTTCCAATTCTTTGCTATTGTGAATAGTGTATGTAGTAATACTATATATAATATACTACCCAGAATTGTATGAAATGCTGAGAAATGGCTAAAGAGTTCTAAATATCTTTGAGCTACATTATGTTTTAAAATAAGGCAGATCATCTACCATTTTCTCTGTGAAAACTTTTAATATATCTTAAAATAGCAATAAAGTAAAGACACAGGAAACTTCCTGGGGATTAAGGGCTGGCTAGAATTAAAGGCCAAATGCTTTCAACAACTTCTAATCAAAGATGAATCCTCAGGAAATGCCTTGTATCCTCATGATTATTGTTTAATTAAAGTTCCTTACTTGCATTTAATCTGCTACCTCTTTATGGTTTGTTAATTATTAATCTTGAGGCCTCTGTGATAAATGGCCTTTCTCCTTGACTTCGTTTTCATACACTTGCCCCATTCCTAAACACGTGTCCTTGGGGAAAAATTAATGAATCCTAAAACACCCTACAAAATGTACATATTAATTTATTTCTTAACTGTAGAATAGTATATTTATTTCAATGGTATTTAAAGCAAAATGCAAGTAAAACTCTGCTGACCTCCATCCTGTAAATAACATCCTTGCCTAGTATAATAACAATATCATTTTTAAATCATCTTGAATACAAATTGCTTCTCCTATATAATTGTTTTTATAACTGTAAGAAAAAGAGCTAAAAGACAACAACCAAGGCAATTTATTTTATGTTTTTGAGAAATGAAAATCCTGACAGCTACTGAATAATTTACTCTCATCTGAATACCGACTGTAAATTTTATGTATGAGGAATGGGAATGATTTGTTTTCAAACTACAGGTAATATGAGTTTTCTTCCAGCCTCTCAGCAGTTGAATTTCCTTTGAGTGCTTAAAAATGCCAAGCCATCTTTAAGGTGTTTCCTTTGCAACTTGCCTCTTGTAAGAAATGCTAACATATGAGGGAAATAGTATACATATATGGTTTATTGCTTGAGAGTATTATTAGCAGCTGCTTTTTAAATGTATTCTTTAAAAAAATGTAGGTTGTAATCCTTTCCACTGAAACCTAGGAGTAGCTAAATAATGAGGCTAAGCTCAGGAAATGTCAGAGGAAGGTGCATCCTGGGAGTGTGTTAGTCCATCACTTTCAGGAAGGGACAATCTAGTCTTCTGTCAAGTTGGTCTGTTCAGGCTTTCTCCATGTGGCAAGCTTCCTCCGATTCATGCCTCTGTAAGTAGTTATAGTTCAAATAGGAGTGGCTGTCCTAGGTTTCAAACTCCCCTTCTAGGAAAATGTTTCCATCATTCACCATTTCCTACAATTGTTATACCTCAAGCTGAAAAAGCTATGCCTAGCTGGGAAAAGGCGGGATTCTGGAACTCTCCTTTTCCGGTCTATCACCTGAATTAAAGCCAGAGGGAGGGGAAAGGGATATAGCACATCATGATATCTCCACTGAAATGGAATTTTACAAAAAGTTTTAGAAACGTACAGCTGATTCCTGAATGCATGCTTTAATTTGCATAGACATAGAACTAACTAGGAAATTTGGTATTTCCAAAGTTAGGTTTATAATACTCTTGACATTTTTTCACTCCACCCCACCTTTCTTACATATTTGTAGCATTCTAAGTTACTTTATTTGAAAGTAATTAAACAGAGCTACGGTGGGATCACATTCTTTCTTTTTCCTCTTGACAAATGAAAGCCCAGCTCAATGGCTGTCCAGCTGATAGCCTGCAATATGGAGTCTGAGCTGGACTGTTAAAAAGAGTGTTTGCACATTTCCTGGGCACTCTGGACTCACCTGTTTTTTCTGCAGTATTTGTTGATAAAATTGAGGTTTAAAAAAACAGTAGTCCATGAATTCTTCCCAGTTATCTTCTATCATAGGAATTTTCATAGGCTGCTTTGTAGGCATTTTTCAAACCTCTATCCATCACCTCCCATAAGGACACCACACTATCATATTATCCAAGAAAAAAAGACTTCTTATTTTCCATCAGAATGAAAATAATCTTTAAATCAAGGATAACCCTTGATATAATGCCAGTGTAAATTCATAGCATCCATGCTTTCTCCCAGAATAAAAATAGAAAATGATATAAGATTAAAGGTTTTATGTTATTGTTATAGCAAGTGGGAATTCTAAAGAATAAATATTCTTACTGTGGTTATAATAACTTCTTTTCATGGGCAATTTTCACATGTAGGTAAAACTTAAAAGATTGTATGCTTATGTTCATAGCATCTACAACATAGACTAATAATGTTCACCCACATACAACACTAGAAAATTGCACGTAAAATTGCAGCAAAGATAAATTGCCTAGAAAATTCTTTAAGAATTTTTTGCCCCTTTTAAAGATAGAAGGGAAGAAAATCGTCCTTTCTGACTTACTCATTCTCCTAGTGTTGAGTATATTAGATAAAATTATCAGTTGTGCAAAATTATCGGAGAGGAAAACGTAAACATCTCTAGGCAGTTCTCAAACTGTCTTCTTTTAGTTAAATATGGACACAAAACTATTAAATAGTTTTAAAAAGTATTTAAACTCTGTTTTTCTGTCCCTCTTCCTAGTTGCCTTTTTTTGATGTTTCAGAGATTTTTTTTTTTAAGTATATGTTATTTGCCATTTCTCTTATCTCTCTTTGTGAAATTAAACAGTTTTTTCCACAAAGAGTTGTTTTGTTTAAACCACTCATGGGTGCAGGAGGGGACATGAGCAGTTTTGATGCAATTCTCATATTCAGTCGCTACTTTTGGAAGTGTCTCCAGCCACCAAGGAGGGACTCTAGAGGAATGTCCAAAGCTGCTGTCCTTCCTCTTCTGCTGAGGCTCTCTGTGCCACTGGCCAGCAGGGTGCAGTGTCTTTCTTGGCTTTAGCTTTATTTTTCAAGATATTTTCTGGCCTCATCAGGGTCACTTTTTTTATTGTCAGCCAGCTTCTGAACTCTCAGGAACAGACAACCTCACAAACAAAATGATATTATGAAAAACAGACCCCAGATATTGGCACATCAGCAAAACAGATGGGGATTTGGGAAAGCAAAAAAAAAAAAAAAAAAAAAAAAAAGGAAAAAACTTCTTTGGAAAGATTGCCATTTCTCTACTATATACAAAATGTTGCTCCATACTCTACTATCCAAAGCATTACGAATTTTAACTTAAACAAGAGAATTCTAATGCAATTACATTAAAAGAGAACATGTTGCATAAGTCAATAGAAGGGATCCAATTGTAAGATTTTAAAGAATTTGCTTGTCAAAGTCTCTGGATTACTGGTTATGAACTTTTGTCTAACAACTTCAGAGGCTCAGCAAATTTAAATAACTGAAACAAAATTTATTAATAAGAATTGTTTATATAAACTTTAAAGACTTTTTTTGATTAAAATCCTTAGTCTTTCTAACTAACCTAAGTTTAAAATGATTGATTAAAGAAATGTGAAATTAAATTTTTTTCCCAACATTGAGATCTAACATTTATAGAACGTTTACAATGGGGGAGACACTATATTTGTAAACATCTGAATTATCCCATTTAAGCCTCAAAATAACCCTATAATAAAGATAATTTGATCATCTCATATTTTAAAAGATGGAGAAACTGAGAAGTATGCAACGTGGTCCAGCTCACACAGCTAGTTCATGGTGGAGCTGGACTGGGCTCCTGGCAGTCTGATTCCAGTCAGTGCTCTTAGCTACTAGACCTTACTAACTCCCGTTTCATTCAGTCCCTCTTGATGCCTGTGGTTCTCAACTTTGATTACACACTAAATAATTGAAGATTTAAAAATAATACCAATGCCCAAGTCTTATTTCAGAGCCATTAAGTCAGAATTTCTGTAGTGGGGAGATTTCATCTGGGCGTTAGTAACTTTTTAAAAATTGGGATTATTCTGAATTGCAATCAAGATTTAGAACTGCTGTTTAAACCAACAATTGTTTCAGGCAGTGAGGCTACAAGATGAAAATGATAAAAAGTTCCTTCCCTCATAGGGGAGTGTATTCATTTCCTGTGGCTGGTGTAACAAATTATCACCAACTGAGTGGCTTAAAACAACAGAAATTTATTTTCTCACAGTTTTTGATGCCAGAAGTCTGAGATCAAGGTTATGGCAGGGCTATTCTCTCTTGGGAGGCTCTAGGGGAGAGTTCATTTCTTGTCTCTTCCAGCTTCTGGTGGCTGCCAGCAGTCTTTGGCTTGTGGCCACACATGTGATTGCATTTAAGGCTCACCTGGATAATCTCCCCACCCAAAGATCCTTATTTAATTACTGTGCAAAGACCCTTTTTCTAAATAAAGTAACATTTACAGGTTGCAGAAATTAGGATTTGATATACTTGAGTGGCTATTATTCAACCTACTAGAAGGAGTTGAACAACTGGAGAGAGAATTTAAACATAGATTAAACATGCTATTAAGATAATGATGATATTTATAATAGTTCCAGAGAAGTTAGGGAGACAAAAGGAATCCACACTTTAACCAAAGGTTTTTTAGTTTACTCACCTGATAGTCTCTTAATACAGATTACTCTCCATTTGTAAAGGCTATGCTTTAAAGTGACTATTACTTCCCAGGTTTAATTTTTATTTTAAAACAGTGGATCTCAAATTTTATCATGAATCAGGATTATTGATCTGGGATGGGGTAATGGCAAAGAATGGATATTTGACTCATTTATGGTTATTTAATAATTTAATGATCTGGTGAAAAGGGTGAGAATATGTATATATGTATGACATTTTTATAAAATATTCTTTTATCCTTGGGTTATTAATATCTAATTTTTTATAATGCTTATTAACTCTTACAAAAATCATAATTCTTAAGAGGTAATACAGATGTATTATAGAATGTTCAATGCCAGTACTTTTTTCAAGCTAAATATATCTGTAAATATTTGTTTATCGATTCAAACTTTTTAAAAAACAAAAATGCCATTTTAAATAGTAGATCTCTTGGAGCTTACCGAAGCTATTGTTGAGCATTTGGAATTGCCTAGAAATTGACAATAGATTTTTCTAATAAAAATGTGACTAATGATGTAAAACCTTCTCACTTCCAAAATTAATCTGCAGTTCAATGTAAAGACCACAACTTTAGGAAAGAGTATAACTCTGCAACTGGCCAGCAAAGTTGCTTATCCTTATCGATCACATGGGATTAACAGTATTTATTCTTAGAATTTTTGTGAGGATTAAATGAGAGTACATACTTAAAGTTTCCAGCACAGAACCTAACCTGGATTTGATTCTTAAAAAAAAAAAAAAAAATTGTCAATTGTAGAAAAGGTCAATAGTTGCAGGGTCACAAGAAATAATTCACAAGTTCTAAGGATGTTCATTTCTTGTTGGAATTGTTAGCATCTCACACAATCTTAGAGGTCTCTAAATAGATATTAGATATTGATTATAATTAGTTCTTGAACAGAGGATCAGAGTAATGAAGTCATTGGTTCTACAAAGGTTTATGTCTTAATGAGTTTAGACATAATTTGACTTTGTTCTGCATAGAAAGCCCAAGTACACACTGTGAACTCTTTCTTACTGAATTTCACTGATATAGATCTTCTATTCAAATTTTTATGGTTATTTTAAACACTACATGTATGCTCTAAGTCATGAGTTAGAATCCAAATCTAGCCACAATCATGGACATAAAGAATATCACGTTTTCAATTTTATTTTCTATGCCATCCAAAAACACTGTAGCAGATTTAATTTTATTTTTCAATAAAATGTATTTGATCAGCAAAATAAAATAATCTAAGAAACATTAACTTTATAAACATACAAATGATCTTTACCCTGTGCTCAAAGCATTTTATTTCCTGAGAGTTACTGAACAATGTTTTCAGGCAATTTTAAATGAATTCACTTCACATAATATTGAATCTAGACTCTTTTCCAATGTATACAATGTTATATATTCTGAAGGGAAAATGACATTATTTTGATACATTTCATTTTAAGACTTAGTTCAGAAATTTTGTTTTGTACTATATGCATTTTGAATGTCTTAAGCATAGAGAAAAAAATTGAATGTTCTACTAGGGCAGATATTTAAGCATCTGAAGTTTAATCCAATTGTTAAATGCACAGGTTTAAGCATTACTTCTGAGAAAATAAAGGTATAGATTTACAAAGGCATAGATTTACAAAGGTAAAGGCATCAAATTCTCAAATTTTCTCCAGAAGGAGAACTTCTTACATAATGTAACACATTTTATTTAGAAATAAAATAAGTTGCCTAATTTCACTCACTGGAAGTGACGTAGCCAGGATTCAGTACATAAGTACCTTAGACTTTGGGATGCTCGCTCTTAACTACTTTAGTCTATATATCTTTTTCTTAAAGCCCTCAACTTGTGGCATTTATCTTACTAGATTTACTTTCACCATTTTTATATTGTTATAAACATTTGTGTGTGTGTGTGTGTGTGTGTGTGTGTGTGTGTAAAACTGAGATCTCACTTGCCTTTTCTTTTAAATTTTACCACTATCAACCTTTTATTTTCACTTCATTTACCTTAAAATTTTTGTTTGTCTACTTTTGTCCCCCCCCATGTTATTAGGCTATAGGAAACAACATTTCATGTGATTCATTAGAGAACATTTAATAGTTATTTAATAATAATCATAAAAGTAGAACCCTGAAGAATAAATGGGTCTTTATATAAAACATAAATATCTAAAAATAAGAAAATAGTTATGTAATCTGTATTGATGGATATATATATATATATATAAAATGGCTGAGGCATGGAGGGGATTTAATTAATGGCCATTATATATATATATATATGTATATATCCATAAACACAGATTTATAATTATTGCTTTATGAATTTATCTTTTAAACTGGACAGGAGATTTTAAAGAGTTACAAACAAAGCACACATATTGTGAATTCTCTCAGTTTTTATCTGTAAATTTCTTACTTAATTATGGATATATATATATATATAATGGTTAAGACATGGAGGGGATTTAATTAATGGCTTTTGATTAAAAGGGCAGTAACTAGAAATTTAAAAGTAATGTGAAAAATAAACACACACAAAAACCTTATAAACCATTATGAATACCATGGGAACAAAATAAAGTATTGGGAAAAATGGCAATGAGGAGGTAGAATGCTTTTATCTGAAAATTAGCTGAACATTTAAGGTATATGATCATAAAAGGAACAATCTCAATTAAAAAACAAAAATCTTCATGTATTGATAATATGATGTATATTGGTAAAATATTTATAATCTTGGTACAATTCTATTTTTGTTAAAATTTGAGGGATAACACAAAAGTTATAAACAATTTAAAACTTGAATATAAACTCAATAAATTGGAATTTTATTTGAAGTGTTAACATTGTTTATAATTGCATAATTTTATCCTTTGCTCCATGTAATTTGAAAAATAATTATCCTTCAGGATTTTATAAATAATAAGGGGTATGCAATTTTAAATCAAAGGACGTTCTCAAGGCACCTCACCCTTACTTTAGTATTCATGAGTAAGTAATTATACAAATGTTGTTGAATGAGCTTAGATAATTTACTAAAATCAAGAAAATTACTGCCAAAAAGTAATTAGTATTTCCAATGCTAAATGAAATAAAAGTGTCTTTTTCAAATATTGTTTCATATTCAGAAAGTCAGGTTTCACCTTGGAAAATACATTTAGGATATGATTTATTTATTAAGAAATTGACCAAGCTCAAACTCATTAATTTGGTCATTGGGAATGACAGAATAAGAACCTTTCAAAAATCTGCTCCTCCATAAAAAAAAAAAAAAAATGGCAGTACTATCAAAGTAGTCAAAATATAGTTTTCCATAACTCTAGAAATTAATTGAAGTCTTAGAATAATTAGAGGAGTATTTATTCAAGAAAAATGGCTGGGTCTTGATAAGACCTCAAGCTTTGTGGTAGTTTAACTTCCTCTATTTCCGTCCCACTCTCCCTAGCTTGATCACAATCTTGAAAATCAATAGCTCTGCAATGGAGGTAGAAAATAGCTTATCGATCACTGCAGTGAGTAGAACAGATTTGGAGATCCTCCAAAGCATTATTCTCAATTAATTGTCATTAATTTTCTGGAGGTTCCCTGAAAACCCTTACTCACAGGACTTGTCCTTATTTTACCTGAATCAGCACTTATTCATTGCAAACAGCATTTTCACTGGAAATATTTGTGAAAAATCAGTGATAATAGTTTGACATTGTAGCTGCCTGAGGCGGAGCTATCAGGTGGGCAAATAAGAAGCTGACCAGAAATATTAAAAAGAAGAACTGGGGAAGGAGATGTTGTCATAGGTGTCTTTAGCTCTAACATGTTTAGAGCTGTCTAAACTTCTAAGTATTAAAGAGACACCCCAATACACATGCAGAGCCTGAGAAAACTGATTGGTTTGAGTAATTTAAGGATTTTTCTGTTCAAAAATTGGCTGACCACTAAGTTAATTGAGCAGAGATATCAGTGGCCAGTTTGGTAAAGAATATAGATTTTACAGAATTAGTCCAGGGAAGTCACTAAACAAACAACAACAACAAATGACAACACAGGAATAACAACAATACACCCTTGAGAAGGGGGCTCTAATTTCCAGAGTTGCCATGTTATATTATTTTAAATGCCCAGTTTTCAAAAAAATTATGAGACATGCAAATAAGAAACAATGGCCTCTACACAAGAATAAAGAAGTAGTAAATACAAACTATTTTTGAGGAAGCTGTGTTAGACTTACTAGTTAAATATTTTAAATTAACTATTTTTAATATGTTCAAAAACTAAGGGAATCCATGTCTAAGAATTGAAGGAAAATGTGTAAGCAATGTCTCCTCAAATTTAGAATACTAATAAACACTAGAGTTGAAAAGTACAATAATTGAAATGAATTCACGAGAGGTACTGAAGCAGATTTGAGTTGTCAGAAAGAGTCAGCAAACTTGAATATTGGTCCATTGAGATCATCCACCTTGAGGAACAAACAGAAAAGAAATGAATAAAAATTAAGCAAGCCTTAGAGACTTATGTGACACCATAAAATGTACAAACATATGCACAATGTAAATTCTAGAAGGAGCAGAGGTGGGGAAAAAGAGGCAAAATAATATTTCAAGAAATAATCATTAAAAACTTTCAAAATTTTATAAAAAACAGCAACCTACACAGCCAGGAAAGCCCATGAACTCCAAGTAGAATATACTAAAAGATATTCAGATCTAGGCATATAATAATCAAACTATAGAAAGAGAAAGAGAACTTTGAAAGCAGCAAGAGAGCAGCAACTCATCAACATGAGAATCCTAAATTGGATTTAACAGCTGATTTCTCATCAGAATCCATGGAGGTAATAAGGCACTGATGTGACACATTTAAAGTAAATTTTTAATGATTGTCAACCAAGAATTCTAAGTCCATTGAAACCGTTATTCAAAAGTGAAGGAAAAAGTAAGAAATTTACAGATTAAAACTGAGAGAATTCACCCTGCAATACTAGAAGACACCCTAAAATAATTTCTTAGAAAACTCTTAACTAAAAGGGAGTCCTTCACATTTCAAGGAAAGGACACTAAAAAGTAAATTGAATTCACATGAGAAAATAAAGAGCATCAGTAAAGGTAACTATAAGGGAAACATAAAGTACAATATGTGTGTTTTGTTTGTAACTCTTTAAAATCTCCTATCTAGTTTAAAAGACAAATTCATAAAGCAATAATTATAAACTTGTGTTGATGGATATATACATAAATTTATATGACAGAAACACAAAGGAACAGGAAATAAATGGAGACATATAGAACCAAAGTTTTTGTATATTACTGAAGTTAAGTTGGTATTAATTCAAACTAGAGGGTTATTGGTTAAAATATTAATTGTAATCCCAGGGAAACCACAAAAAGCTCAAAAAATGTATAAAAAATGACAAGATAGGTTAGAAAATATTTAATATAAAATAAAGCATTAGTGGAGGATAGAGAAACAAAAAATAAAAAAGCCACAGAAAACAAATAGTAAAATAGCCGATGTAAATCTTGTCAATAAGTATATTAAGTATAAATAGATTAATTATTCCATCTAAAGGCAGAAATTGGCATAACAGATTAAAAAAACATGATCTAACTATATATCCTCTATAGGAGATTTACTTTAGATTCAAAGACTCAAATAGATTATATGTAAAAGGATAGAAAAATATACTCCAAGCAAATAGTAAACAAAGAAGAGCTTGAGTGGCTATATTAATCTAAGATAAAATAGACTTTAGACACAATTATTGTAAGAGATAAGGATGTTGATAATGATAGAAGGCTCAATCCACCAAGAACATACAGCAATAAAAACATATATCAACCAAAAAACAGTGCCTTATGATAGCAACCTTAAGAGAACTGGAATAACTAACTATATCAGAAAAATTGACTTTAAACAAGAAATGTTATTATAGAGAAGAGCAGATATTTCATAATGATAAAAAGCTCAATCTATCAAGAATGAGCAAGAATTTACATATATGGCTCTAACAACAACTCTAATATACATGCAGCAAAATACTACACAACTGAATGGAGAAATAGACAATTCAGCTATAATAGTTATACACTTCAGTATTCCATTTATAATAATGGATAGAACAAATAGACAAGGGATGAACAATTAAATACAATACTGGAATAACACCATAGACCAACTAGACCTAACAGACGTCTGTAGAATGCCCAACAACCACAGAATATACATCTGTCTAAAGTGTACATGGAACATTCTCTAGTATAGACCATATGTTTAGCCATAAAACAAATATAAAAAATATAAAATGATTGAAATAACACAAAGCACATTACCTGAATAGAAGGGAATAAAATTAGAAACCAATAATGGAAAGGATTTGGGAAATTTATAAATACGTAAAAATTAACTTTGAGGTGAATATAAAAGATAATAAAACATACCAAAACTTACAGGACACAGCTAAAGTAGTGCTTAGAGAAAAATTTATACCTGAAAATGCCTTTCCTAAAAAAGAGAAAAAGATCTTAAATCTATAACCTAAGCAGCCACCTTAATAAATTAAAAAAGTGACCATAAACTAAACCCTCCAAAAGTAGACAAAAGTAAGAATTAGTAGTGGAAATAAATAAGATAGAAATATTTTACAAGTAGCAAAAAGAAATGAAACCAGAATTTGGTTCCTTAAAAAGATCACCAAAATTGACAAATTTCTAGCTAGATTTACCAAGAAACAAATAGAAAATACTTAAATTACTAAAATCAGTAATGAAAGAGAGGAGTTATTACAGAAATAAAAAGAATTATGAGAGAATACTATGAACCATTGTATGATAATGCTTTAGATAACTTAGATGAAGTGGAAAATTCCTAGAAAGAAACTACAAAAACTGACTCAAGAAAAGATAGTAATTCTAAATAGTCCTACAAGAATTAAACTGACCCACCTACCCCCTTTCCCCGCCCAAACAAAACCATCACAGATGGCTTAACTGATCAGTTCTACCAAATTTTAACCAAGATTTAATATCCATCCTTCATAAACTCTTATGAAAAATAGGAGAAGAGAATATTTCCGAACTTGTTTTATGAGATCAATATTACTCTGATACTTAAACCAGACAAAGACACCATGAGAAAACTATGGACAAATATCCTCTGTGAATATAGATTAAAAAGTCTTCAACAAAATACTAGCAAACCAAATCTGGCAACATGTACATTGTATTACACAATATGAAAAAAGTGGGATTTATTTCAGAAGCAAAAGATTGATTCACACATGAAAATCAATCAGTGTAATTCACCATATTAATAGAATAATTAATGAAAGCTGCGTGCTTATTTAATATATGCAGAAAAGGTATTTAACAGAATCCAATATCCTTTCATAATAAGAACACTCAACAGCCTAGGATCTCCAATGAGGTAAGAGCATCTACACAAAACCCACAGCTAACAGCATGCTTAATGGTAAAAGATTGAAGATTTCTCCTTAAGATCAGGAACAAGACAAGGATGTACACTCTGACGCGTTGTATTCAACACTATACTTAAGGTTCTACCCAAGGCAATTAGATAAGAAAATAATGTCATCCAGATTGAAAAGGAAGAAGTAAAATTATTTCTGTATGAAGATAACATGATTCTAAAAGCCTAAGAAATCCACCAAAAGTGATTAGAACTAATAAGTGAGTTTAGCAAGCTTTTCCAGATACAAGGTCAATATACAGATTGTATGCTTATGATTTTTTAAGTAAAAGTTTTGTTATAGTAAAAGTGGTAGATCTAAATTCACAAAGTTATAAATGTTATAGATTTGTAAAGAAATTGTGAGGAATCCATATGTTTGCATACTGTGGAATCATTAAAAATAAGTAGAATCTGTATGCTTACTGAGATACAAAAATTATCAGATTACTGATATTAAGTATAAACATGTGGTAGATTAATTGCACTTATAGCCCCATTTCTTTTCTTTCTGCATTTAATCAATTGTGATGTTCCTTTGCAAAGGGACCCCACCCTTTGTAATTTACCTTGGTGAGAGAATTAGGCAGAAGTGTTAGTGTGCCAGTTCTTAGTCTTTAGGTAATTTTGCATAATTCCACTTGCTCCCTCTTGCATGTCTGTGATTGCAACCTGAAGAGCATGCTCAGATTAGCTCACACTGGTCTCAATTCACCTCAGCTGAATTCAACCTAGATCCAAAGACTCTAAACCCCAAGAAGAATAAGCACGCTAAGAGGAGGTTGGCAGAGCTGTTCATCCCTGAGCAGCTGAACCCTGAGATGCTCAAGAAATAAATGTTCATTATGTATGCTACTGAGTTTCTGAGTGATTTGTATCCCAGAAAAAGCTAAAGCATATGGACCTATTTTAGTAAGAAAAATATGCATATGGTCAAGCATGACAAAACATGTTTAGCGAGGTAAAGCAAATGATTAACTGTGGTTATTTTAGCATTATGAGTATGAGTAATTTTATTTTTTCTGGATAATCATGTATTATTTTGCTATGGTGGAATTTTCAATAAAAATGATAATAGGTTAAAATTGTTTATCTTCCTTTTTAAAGGGAATAAATCAGTGTTGAAAGTTTATTACTCCAAATTAAAATTTTTCCTTAGAAAGTTTGAAATGGTTTCTGACTCTGAGTAAGCTTAAAGTGATAGAAATAAAGGTATATAAATAAACTATTTAATATTATAATGCTTAGATTTAGTGGCTTTTACTGACTCTATTTTGGGCTATATAAAAATCTGAAAGTATTGTATGGAATTGAAATACAGATTTTAGTTTCCTCTATTTTCTTACCAAAATGTGAATAGTGTGTTTTTTTGCCATTAAAAATGTTATCCAACTTCTTCATGGATAAAAAGTAATTTTTCCAGGAATATTCTCTTTGAAAAAGTTAAAACAATGTTTTGAAATGCACCTACAGTACTTAGTGGATGATATTTGAGACAACGGCAGAATATCTTTGCTTTTGATCTAAAACAGGCGAGATGAATTCATCCATAGCTCTAAAATGTGCCTTGGGAGCCTTGTAGGTTTTGTAGTGTTAAATTGCTTTCACAGATGACTGTTAAAGTCTGAGAAAATTTAGAAGTTATATTTCACATTTCTCTTTTCCTCAGTCTTCACATCCAATCCATCAGCAAGTCCTGACGCTACTTTTCTTCACCTCCACTTTTATCATGATATTGTCAAAATATAATTTTTAAAGTTAGAAACAGGACTTTCTTACAAATGTCAAGTAAGCATATGCCAAACATTGATTTAAATCATTATTAAAGGAGTCAGCAGGATGATAAAGGTAGTTCAAGGGGCATTTGGAGAACAGAGACTGTTAGGAAAGGTATACTGAAATAAATTTGCTAGGTTGGGCACAAAACTGGTTAATACCTTGCAGAGCAATAAAGTATAACCTTTCTTCTGGAAAGAAATTATATATCTCCAATGGACAAAAACTACAAATGAACATATAACATTACAGAGTCCTAGCTTTAATCAATAGTAAACAGCAAAGCAAGCAAGGGTACATACTAGGGAATTAAATTATTCTTGGGTGATCCTGTTAGATAATGTCCTAGTATGACACTGAAATAACATGCAGATATTATTAGCAATTTTGGGTAATTTTTTTTAACAGTTCTCCATTGTTATTATAAATAACCTTAATCACAAATAAAGGCCAGCCTTCTGGTGTTTGGGCCTAATTGACACAGATTGGGAAAAGGTATTAATAACTACATAAACTTTTTTATAGTATGGTCAGCAAGTATAGTCATTCAGTTTTGAGCAACTCTTATCGTCAGAGAATTAATTTCTTTCTAGAATTCAAGACATATCTTCATGTGGCCTTGGACCAACTCAGTTCTCCCTCATTTCTCCTGTAGTTCTCAAGGATAATTGTAGAATGTAGAATGTGCTGGGAATGCAACATTCTGAGACAAAGGGGGAAAAAGCCTGGCTCTGTTCCTGTTTCTCAGAGAAATAGGATTTTCTTGAATGCTTTATCCCAGCATGTTGTGTTTCTCCAGAGGTATAAAACCCAGGTGGGCTCCCTCAGCTGTGGTGCAAGTGAGGCACATGTGGACAAGATTTCACCTATCCCGGACAGCTTTTCTGATGAGTCTTAAAAAGCCAGCTTGCCCTTGAATCCTAGGCTTCTGGGTTATTTACTGCCTACTTATGAGTAATAAATTTGCTTTGCTTAATTTGTTGTGTGAATGCTCCTTCTCATTGGACTTGTGCAAATAGTAGAAATTGCAGCCCAAGATGCAGTAAGCTGTAATTGTAACCAGTGCACAGAGAACATTGCATGTGGAAAACACTGAAAATAATAAGAATATACTAAAATAAATTGTATCGGATGAAATATAACTACAAATTCTTTTCTTTTCTGTTTTTTTCATCAAGTCTTTGCTTCCTCCACTTAAACTTGGATTGGTCTTGTGACTTTCTTTAACCAACACAATTAAGCAGAAATGGTGGTTCTGTGTCTGTCTTTGCACTACTATATCATTCTGGAACCATGTCTGACATAGCATAGGTCCTCAAAATAAATATTTACTGAATAAATGAATAAAAATATAATGATGTTTGTTTTAACACTATTTGCCCTGTTGACAAGTGAGTTATCAAGACGTATACATTTTACTGAAAGGAAACTACATGTTTTACCTCTGTACTAAGACGTTTTCTAAATAAAACTTCTTACTAGAGCAAGCAGTATCCTCCTGTTTTTATGAGTCACCCTCTCTCCCAGAAGTTCAGAATTCTTGTGCTGGCTGTTCTACATCATAGCAGCAGCCTATGTTGAGTTCTTTACTAGTGGTGTCCCACTGTCTTTTAAAATACATTCCTTGTTTTTATTTAAACCCCTGGAAGTCTCTGCCATGGCATGACGAGTAATAATAAGTTTATCAGATAAATCAATCTCTGTCTCTGTATTAACCATGTAAGAGAAAACACAGAATAAAGATTAGGGGTTTGGAATCAGAAAGATTCTGATGTGAGTTATAACACTCAAGTTCAGCTAGTAAGGGTGGTGAATTTAGACCAGTATGAATTTAGACCATTATTTTATTTCTTGAGACTCATATGTAAATTGGGGAACATAATACTACCTAGTAAGGTGTTATAAGGATTAAAAGGAGCTATGTATATATAGTTTCTATTGTATAGTAAAGGGTTAACTTATTGTGGCTATTATAGGAACTGATTTTTCCCCAAATATCATATTGCCTTTTAGTAGATGTCTCCAAAAGAAGTTGAAAACTGTAATTGTGAGAGATAGGAGAGATCTTGGGTTAGGTGCCTCTTTCTAGATAGCCATTTCCATCTCCTTCTCCTAGGGCTAACACTGCTTACTTTTAAAAAAGACACTTCCAGACATAAATGGTGAATTTTTGAACTATGGTTAACTAATTCTAGCCAAACAGTTAAATTCTATTTCCAGGAATTCCTGTGATATTTGTATCTGCAGTAAATTAAGAATTATAAAATCTGAAATCATATTTATGGTAGCTGTTTTACAGTTCTGCTTCTATAATACATAAGCTTGATAGAATCTCTTGATGTGATTTTTTCTAAGCCCTACCGCTCAAATAATCATTTACTACTGTGACAATCTACGTGTCTAGAAGAGTTTTAAATATGGATTGTTTAACAAGTTTCCCCTATTCTAACAAGCATTCTTCTTTTGTAGATTCTGCAGAAATGGAATCTGAACAGATCACCTTGAACGTATGAGGTTCAGGTGAAGAGCTGGATGAGGAGTAATTTAAAGCATGTTGAATTAACAAATAGCAAAACAGACAGATAATATTCTTTGGTCCTTGTGAAAAAGTAGTTATAAAAAGATTTTTCCTAATTCCTGAAGTTTCTATTATTTAAAAATGAACTAAAATCTTAGAACCCATTTCAGGTTACTTGGTTCATCTGGTCTCAGCTCAAAAAAGATGTTATCACTACTCCTTCAATAGCAAATTAACTCTTACTTGCTAGAGATATATATTTATAATTGAACTTCCTTTTATTGAAATTAGCTTCTGCAGAATCACAGCTGATGAATTCATCTTATTTCTTTTTTCTTTTCTTTCTTTTTCTTCTTTTTTTTTTTCTGAGACAGTGTCTCACTCTGTAACTCAGGCTGGAGAGCAGTGTCATGATCACAACTCACTGCAGCTTCGACCTCAAGGGGCTCAGATGATCCTCCCGATCCTCCCACCTCAACCTCCTGGGTAGCTGAGACTACAGGCACACACCACCACACCTGGCTAATTTTTATACTATTTTGTAGAGACAGGGTTTCTCCATGTTGCCGAGGCTGGTCTCAAATTTGTGGGCTCAAGCCATCCGCCTGTCTCGGCTTCCCAAAGTGATGGGATTACAGGTGTGAGCCACTGCACCTGGCTTTGAATTCATCTTCTATTACTATATTCTACAATTAAGAGTTTAGTTTTGAGGTTAGGTTTTATTTTTTTCACCCATAAAATTTAGAACATGGATTGTTAAACAGCACATTTGGAGTGCTTGCTGTTGAAACATATTGACTTCACTTTAGAAAGGGTAATTTAGGCTCTTTTGCTCTCCTGGTTTTTGGTTATGGCATTAAAGTTATGCTTTCATGCTGTGAAGATTTAATTAGTATTACAGTGAATATAACCAATGTTGATATTCAGATTACCCTCATATTTTCTCCCTCAACAATTATTGGGGAGCTATACTGGAAATCACATGAACTCATTACCTGTATTTGGTTTAGGAATAGCCTAACATTGTTTAAAAGAGAATGGCTTTAGAGTGCTCAAATTTTCCATAAAACTCTGTGTGCTCCATTTAAAAGAATCAGCTGTTCTACTTTTGTATGAGCTGTCCTCTGCTATGCTTACTCTGGTGGCAGGAATCACCTTTCTAAGGTGACACAGAGGCAGTAAAAGCCATTCGGTCAGTGCCAGTGATGTTCAGGTTACGTCTGTGACTGATCTCATCATTTTCAGTGCTTTATTCTTGAAATCCATTATCCATTCAGTAATATCATAACATTGGGGGAAAAAACTATTTCCTTTTGGGCTTCAACAGAATAAATTAAAATTATTTAGTTTGTATGTATCTGAAAGATATCCTAACAGGTCTGGCTAACTAAGTCAGCTTTTGTCACTCAACCAGCACACAGTCTTTACTATTTACAGCATTTGTAGCTTTTTTTTTTTTTCAGTCATTTCTTATAAATTAACCAGATCATAAAAAGCCTCAATGTTTAAAAATGTTATTTTGCTTTAAAAAGTCAATGTTTAAAAAGTTATTTTGCTTCAATTGCTTTTTAGTAAAGATAATAATACTGTAGTTGACTCTGAAAGTTTTCTGATACCTAAAAGCCTGTCACAATGCAAATCAAACTATGTGAATCTGTTTCCAAAATAAAGTCAAAATAAAAGAAGCAAGCCACTCAGTAGAGATTCAAGGTGGGGCTTAGGGGAATTTTAGACTTTTCCCAGTTTCCACTGGCACTTTTCACCTCACCTATGCACCCGAATACATATTCACAGAGATGACTTCATCAATAACTTTCCTTCTCTTGTGTAAAATATTATGCAATGCTCCATCAAAGCTAGTATTCTAATCTCATCCCCTTCCTACATTTCTTCTTCATAAAAATTTGGTAACTTCCGCTGATATCACCCTCAGTTTCCTCCTATGTGGTCTGAAGACATTGAACTCGATGGCACATGATCTGTTACGTCTTTACATTTCTATTATAAATGTTTTCATCCAGTGGTATGTCCAGATGAATAATGAGATTGAAGTGAGTTAAATAGTAAATGTAAAGTTTTCTGCAAAAAGTATATATGTGTAGGAAGTGTACACTGATGTTATTTCAGTGGTTTCTCATCCCTGAACTTGGAAGTGTTCTCTTTCTAGGTGGTGAACACTATACTAGTTATTGACTGCAATGAAACAAACATAGGAAACACATTTGTTTAAGGATATCACTTTCTACTGGAGAAGAAAGGACAAATACAAACACTGTACATTGGATTACGAGACAGCAAAGAAGACTGGCCTGATATATATAAAACATGGTTCTTGTTCGTAAGAGATACTTAATAAACATATTTGTTTATTTAATATTTTGGAGACATATATTTTGATTATTTTTTGTGTTCTGTATCCCAGAAAATGATATCATTATCCCGCTTACTCAAACTAGAACCCTGGATTTCTTTGCTCTTTATTTCCTCCTTGTTCTTGCTTATTCTCCATAAGCATTCAATCACCTGCTGAACTTGTCTACTTCTTGCATCCCCACTCTACGACCATAGTTCAAACTATTATTATTTCACTCCTAAATTATTGCAAAAGCTTAGCGCAGTTTATCTCGTTCCTTTTCTGATATTCTTCAATTTATCTTCTAAGCTTCATTCATACTAAATTTTTTTTCAGTTTTTAGAATTCCCCATGTTTTCTTATTTTTATATTTCTATACCTCTTGGTTTTTTTTTTTTGTTACTAAGATACCATATCCCCTTCTTATGGTAAATTCGTTAACTTAGATATGACTTATTTCTAATATTTTTTGAGCTCTAAGATCTGGGTTAGGTGTCTTTCCTACATTCTTGTACACAAAATTGCACTACCTCTATAGTTATTGTCCCCAGATTACATTTTAATTGTCTGTTTGTATATTTGTATCAGTAACTACACCACAAACCCTCTGAGACCTAAAAATCTGTTTTGTCTAGTATTGTATCTTTAGCATATACAATTAAACCTGATATTCAGTAATCATTGATTGAACTGATAGATAGAGGATGAGGGTTGGCAAACTATGAGCTGTGGGCCAGCCAGCCATTTTTGTAAATAAATTTTTATTGGAACACAGTCATGCCCATTAGTGTATGAATTTTCTGTGGCTTTTTAGCACTACAGTAGCAGAGATACAAATTGGAGCAGACACTCTATGATCTGCAAATCTGAAATATTTACCATAAAAAGTTTGGTGACCATTGTTACGGGGCTATGCAAGTTTTTTATTTCTTCTTGAGGGAGCTATGGCAGTTTGTATCTTTCAAGAAATTTTCTCTTTCAAACTAAATTATCAAATTTATTAACATAAATTTGTTCAAAATATTCCTAAATTATTCTTTTTAATATCTGAGGGTCTGCAGTGATTCTCCTTTTATATCCCCAATATTTATAATTTGTGTGTTCTCTGTTTTTTCATAATTAATTTGACTAGAAGTTTATCAAATGTTTTGGTCTTTTAAAATAGCTAGATTTTAGTTTCAATGATCTCATTAACTTTTTCTGTTTTCAGTCTCACTGATGTAAGCTTTTATATTTATTATTTTATTCGTTCTGCTTGCTTAGGGTATAATTTGCTCTCTATTTCTAGTTTTTTTTTTTTTTTAAGGATATTTATCTTGCTTGGAGTTCCATGAGTGTCTTATCTATAGTTTGTTGTTTTTCATCACTTTTAGACAATTCTGAGCCATTAGGTTTTCAAATTTTCTTCTATTCTGTTCACTTTTTCATTTTGGATGTCAATTGCACATATGTTGGACCATTTGATGTAGTCACACGGTTCTTGGATGCTCTTTTCTCTTATTTTTCCTCTATTCCTTTTCTGTGTTTCTTTGTGTAATACTAATGTTTAAATTGGTAGGATTTTAATACAGCAGATTACTATCTGAAATGTGGGTGGGCCCCATTCACTCAGCTGAAGGACTTAAGAAAACAAAAAATGACTGAGATCCTTTGAGGAAGAGGAAATTATGCCTCCAGATTGCCTGTGGACTTGAATTGCAAAATAAATTCTTCTCTGGGTCCCCAGCCTTCTGGCCTGCTCTTCAGATTTCAGACTTGCCAGCCCCCACAATTGCATGAATCAAGTACTTAAAATTAATCCTATTAATTCTTTTTCTCTGGAGAATCCCAACTAATGCAAGCCAACACAAACCCACCACCTAATCCCTGAGTCAGTGGTACATATTTTAGGTGTTTGTTACAGTAGCATCTCATTTCCCGTGCCAATTTCTGTTTCATTTACCTATTTCTGTGAATCATCTCGAAATTTAGGAGATTAAAATAATAACCATTTTACTTGCTCACAATTTGCATGTCAAAAATTTGGGTAAGGCAGGCCTGGATTATCTCTGCTCTGTGATATCTAAGACTTCATTTTGAGTGACTCAAATGGATGGAGGATATTGGAATGGTT
Organism: Homo sapiens; assembly: GCF_000001405.40. NCBI lineage: Eukaryota > Metazoa > Chordata > Mammalia > Primates > Hominidae > Homo > Homo sapiens. The sequence goes on from NC_000002.12 coordinate 187,156,332, forward strand.
TGATTTAGACCATGTGTCTGTGGCCTTAGTCTCGGATGACAGGTACATTGCTTCATTCTCTTTTATATATCAATGTGTCTAACTTGAACATCTTCACTGCATAGCCATTTCAGTGTCTCAAAAAGATTTCAATATACAAGCACTTACCAAGACTCTGCTCACATCATATTTGCTATATTGGTCTGCTCAAGCTTCCATAACAAAAGGCCACAGGTAAAGTGGTGTAAACAAAAGAAATTTATTTCTCACTGTTCTGGAGTCTGGAAGTCTGAGATCAAGGTACCCTCAAGGTTGGTTTCTCTTGAGCCCTCTTTCCTTGTCTTTCCATCCTCTCTCTGTGTCCTCACATGACTTTTTCTCTGTGCACTCACATCCCTGGTATCTTTTTCTCTTCTCATAAGGACACTAGTCCTATTTGAATAAGGCCCCACAGTCTAGGCTCCAGAAGAGAGAAAAATAAATTGCTACTGTTTGTATATTATCTTGTCTAAAGTATTTTGTTATAGTATTCCAAGTGGACTAAGATACTTTTGTAAAGGCTCAGTCTTCAAATATAGTTACATTGTGGGTTAGGGCTTCAACCTGCAAATTTTGGAGAGCTGGTATAATTCAGTCCATAATATTTTCCAGTGTCCCATTTGGCAAAGCAGGATACATGGCCAAGCCCAGAGTCAACTTGGAAGGTAGACCAGTATACTGGGGGCAGGAAGACTGGAGATGTGGTGCAATAGGTTTCCATCAATATTGTGCCAATTGGAGAAAGATGTATTTACAGCTCAGAGAAACAGCTGCTTTCTGACAATCATTTTATTTATTTATTTTTTACATAATTGCTTTTGTGGTCTCCTTTTCTGCAATGTCAGTCAGCGCAACGTATCTTATTTACCTTTGTAATTGCTTCACAGGGTACACATTAACCTACTACTCATAGGTCAAAAATGTCCTATCAAGCAATTTATTTAAAGAGGGGAGCAATGAGGAAGTTAATAGATTTTTAAAGCAAATTAAAACTCTCTTGTTGCCATTACAGTGTGAGAGATTAAATAAGTACCTCTTCATATTTCACTCACAGAAATTATCCTAAATGATTTGGTCAAATTTTAAATTTGTGGAAAAGTGTAATTCAACGTCCTGGCCAAAGACTACCAAGAACACATCTGTATTTGAGCAAGGTGGGTTTATTATTTATTGCAGTGAAGGAGAATGGACATCACAACAAACCATTGGGGTATTTTAGTCAGGATGTTATACGAGAGTTACTTCAGCCTGGGCAACAGGGTGATACCCCATCTCTACCAACAATAAAAAATTAGCTATACATGATGGCGTGCACCTGTGGGCCCAGCTACTCAGGCGGCTGAGGTAGGAGAATCACTTGAGCCCAGGTCGTCAAGGCTGTTGTGAACCATGTTTGTGTCACTGCACTCCAGCCTGGGCAACAGAGCATGACCCTGTCAAAAAAAAAAAAAGCGAGTTACTACTGGATTTCAGCTTTGGTTTGGTGATTTGGGGAAGGGCCCAAGGAATTGAGGGTTTGGTATAGATTGGGTGTTGTCCAAAAATGGGTAACATGGAAATGAGGACTCCTCTCTGTACTTAATGTACCTAATCATCAGGTACTAAACAGATCATATCTTTAAACCTGTGATTGATAAAGCATTCGTATTAGCTGGGAATGGGGAATGTTTGGGATTTTGCACTTGAACAATGTTCATATTTTCTGTGTTCAAACATCATTACAAAGTGGTCTTGTTTTGCCTTGATCTATCATGGTCAGAGAGTAGTCTTGTCTAGTGTTAATGTTCTGTGAAACTTCATGTTCAATAGGAGAGCACCAAGGCTAGCTGTCTGTATGTCAGGGGCTGCGTTTTCTTTCTAGCTAATGTTATTTCATTCTAGATCAGTTGGGAACATAATAGAAACTGCTGTTTCAATATGTTCCAAGTAAATCTTTCATATGACAAATAAGAAACTATTTGGAGTTTATCTGCGTTAGTTCCATGTTTTATTCTTTTGATTTCCTGGCTTTGACATCGAGTGAGTTTCATGAAATCCATAGGGGAAATTCCTTCCAGGTTTGCACAGTCTGGATGGAGTACTTCTCCTTATTTTCAAGGAGTATATTTTGGAGATTCATACGTTATGTGGTGCTGCTTCTAGGCAAAATTTGAGCAAATCAAGGCTTTTTGTTGTGGTGGTGTTACAACATTCCTTGTTACTTTTCTCTCATATCATTCTGTGAGCACTCCCTTCTGTCACTCTAGGTAGTCAGAATCTAGACTCTGCCTCTGAAGCACCACCCTCAGCCTGTCCTTTTGAGCTGAGTGCTTTGGGCCTTTCCTCCTTAATTACCCATCAGGATATACTTGCCCTGCTCCATTTCCTTAGTTCCCACAGCTACATCAAAAATTTGGCTAACAAATCCTTGTTAATGCTTTATTACTTTTTTAACACTTCATGACAAATCCGATTTTATTGTGCCTTCCTGGAAAAAAATCTTTTGACTTCAAAATACGAAGCCTTTCTGGACTGGAAGTATATGAGTTATTTGGGTCAAACAGATCACTTTTCTCCCCCTCAAATTTCCCAAACAAAGCTGGTGGCTTTCTATCCTGTTCGTTCTGGTTGCTGACTATTCTTTTTATACAAATCAGAGTAAGAGGATTTGCTTATTAATGTTCTGCCAGGCCTTGAACTATGAAACTAGCATCTTCATTCTGGGAAGGGTTTAAAGGACACTTTGTACTTTGGAATACCAGTTTCTTATAGGGGATAAAGGAAAGTATCTTTCATTATTTAATTACTTATTTTCAAACAATAATGTTTCTCTCTCTCTGAATCATATTTTTTTATTTGAGATACAGGATTATTCTGATTTTAGTAATAAGTGCAAATAGTTACTTAACTCAGCAGATGGTTACTATCATTTTCTTCAACAACAACAACAAAAAGATCTCTCTTATCAAAAAGAAAATGCTCTGTGGAGAGAATTCAAAGAAAAAATCATAATATTTATAGGATGATTAATTATTTTTATCAATTTGCCTTGACATCAAAGAGGATTTCACACATCCTGAGAATACCACATGGCCTCCCTAATTGTTAGATTTCTCTCCAGAGATGAAAAAATTTAAATAGTTTCACTACTGAGTAATTTATTTAACATGTGTGCTAGAATGATTTCCAGTGGTTATTGGAAGTTATCTCTTTGCAATATTAATTGCAGAAAAAGGCTTTCAACTGCTAATGTAGCAAAACAGATCAGGTGGTTCCCATCATTTGGAGTATGTGCTCTACTTGAGGGATGATGAATGGGCGGGGTACCTATCAAAGAATATATTAAAAGATGCATGTAATTCCTGACATTTCTAGGGAAGAAAGATGGCTTTACCATGGTTTTTATAAGAAGACTAAATAAATAAAAATGGGGACTTTAGGAGAGACAATTACTCAAATTTGAGTTTCAAAATACTTATTAATTAATGCAGAAAATTTGGGCAATACTAGTTAACGGTACAAAAATATAAACTTTATAATGCATTCATGAAAAGAATAAAGCTCAGAACTAACCTCCTAGACAAATGTAGGATGTCATGTAAAAATCTGCACCAAATTCAGGATTGCCTGTATTCAGGAAAATCTAGCTGTTAGAAGTAAATGGCAAAGATAATTTTTATCACAGCTTTTGGAGGAATTAACTACACTATGATCTTATTGGGACTAACCTCAAAGTGTATAATGATTTGTAATACAAAATTCTCCAGGTCAAACTATAACCAAACTCCAACTAACACTGTTGGTTACCTGTGCTAGGGTTCTCCAGAGAAAAAGAACAAATAGAATATATAGGAAGAGATTTATTATGAGAATTGGCTCACATAATTATGGAAGATGAGAAGTCTCATGATCTGCAAGTTGGAGACCCAGAAGAGCTGATGGTGTAATTTAGTCTAAGTTTGAAAATCCAAGAATCTGGTAAACCAATGGTGTAAATCCCAGTCGAAGAACAAGTAAAGACTGATGTTCCAGCTAAAGCAGGAAGACAGAAGCAAAAAGAGGTGAATTCATTTTTCCTTTACCTTTAGTTCTATTTAAGCCCTCAAGGAATTGAATGATGCCCAAACACATTAGGGAGGATAACCTACTTTACTGAGTCCATTGATTCAAACACTAGTTTCACCTGGAAACTCCTTCACATATAAATTCAGAAATATTGTTTAAACTGGACACCCCTGGTTCAGTTAAGTTGACACATAGAATTAATTATCATATAACCTTTTTTAAACAGGAATATTATTAATGATTTACTCCAACAAATTAATTTTCTCATGAAATCCACTCTATATTAAACTAAAGTTTATAAAGATTTACATTTTAAATAAAATTTACATTTTCTTTAGATAGATAAAATTATGAAACACTTTTACGTTGTTATGTGACATTTATTTATGTAATAAACTACATCCTCTGATTAATGAGTATGTCAAACATATTGTTACTTCACTTCTGGAATTCTAGTCTGAGGCACAAGGTTAATACTAATTTAACCTCAGAAACATATCCACTTTTGATAAAATATTCCATTTAGAAAAATGCCCCATATTCATTGAAGTCAACTGGTAAAAAAATATAGGTCATCAAATTGGAGAACACAGATCTTGTTAAAAACTGCTGCATTATAAAATTATATATATATATTTCATTATGTATTTTGAATTCTATCATTAAATTAAATTAGACTTCCAGAATGCTCCAATTTTGAATAGGAAGCTGCAGAAATATGTCTTCATCTAAACATTTTATTGATAGTGTATAGAGTTTTAGTGTCTTTGTGCTTCTTTTTTGCGTGGGCTTCTAGATGGTTCAAACCAAGTCCATATATATATATATATATATATATATATATGAATCTGGGGAACCAATGGTATAAATCACAGTCTGAAGACAGGTAAAGATTGTCATATACATACGTATATGTATATATATAATATATTATTTTTTTAGCTTCAAGAAGTGGAATTTTTAAGTGTGTAAAACACACACCAGCATTGTCAAACTATGTAGGCTCTCAAAGAAGATTACAGCACCTAAAGGGTCTATAAATGAAGGCATTTTAGTAGTTTTGATCGTTTAGTACTTTCAGCAGCTGTAACAAAGATAACAGTGGATTTCAAAATCTAGAATTTATTTCTCACTCATGTATAGTTTAAGCATAAGAAGTCCAGAACTTGAACTATGATTATACAAGGATCCAGAGCCTTTCTGTCTTGTTGCTTTACTTCTACCTTGTGTATTGCCAAAGGTGTGCAAGTAAACTGGCTCTTTGAGAAAAAATTACTGATTTGTATTATTTGCTGATTTTTGTTGCATAAATACTCCCACAATAGCCAATTTTAGGGTGTCAATGGTTCAAACACTGGATTGCAAAATTCCAGCTCTGGCATAAGTTAGCTCCAGCACACTACTGGGAAATGCCCTCAACCTCATGTTTAAGAAGGCTCATCAGCAGTCCCGCATTACGGCCAGAGGAAGAAGTCCTTTCGCTTATGAGTGTGACTTGATGTGGTACACATCATTTCCATTTACATCCTGCTAGTGAGAAGTCAATTACGTGTGCATGCCTAGCAGAAAAATAGGCTAGGAAATGTAGTCTTTAGTCAGTCTACTTGATTATGTGTCTAGCTAAAAACTAGATATTTGGTTCTTATGGAAAAAAAGGAAGAAAAGACATTGGTGAACAATAGCAGATTTTGCCACAAATATGCATTAACATCGGTGTCAATTTATAGTCATAATTATAAGAGGGACAATAATGACTGAAATGAAGCAAGTTGATATGAATAAGTTAATATAAGATAGCTGTTAATTTGAAATGATTTTTCCATTTCAAGTAACAAAGAAATGAATAATAACCAAAGTGCCTAATTAATAACAGGCAAAGAACAGTGCAGTGCTAAGTTAAAACAATGACAGAATGATAGATGTTCCAGAAGTTAAATATGATCTGTGTGCACTAATTATCATTATATGTTTTTCTGAAGGTTCTCTGATTGACATTTTAAAACATTTATTAAAAATTGCATTACAGTAGAACGGTTTAAGAAAAAAAATTGAACATTGAGAAGTCTTTCCCATTCCCCAACTGTCTAAAAACAAATCAACAATGACAGTTTGAGAATTTTATATTCCTAAGAGTTCAGATAGAAGAGTAAGATATCTATGGGAGGTTGTTTATAACCATAGTTGAACAACGGAGCTGGATTTTTTATTAAAAAAAAAAAAACACGAAAGTCCATGACAATCAGTACATTTCGTATAAGATTCTAGAGTTTGCATTAAAAGTACATTTATATTCCTGGATTACATTCTTCAGACCCACAAATCAAAATATCACCTCTATGCTAATCAGTGATACTGCCTACAATGTGCTACACCACCCTCCTTCAGCAAAACACCACCTATTAGACCTCCTCACATTCTGTAAGCCATTAAACTATAACCTGAAAGAGTGGTTACATTGACCTTCTTTCCTTAAGAGATTTGTCTCATGATTCTCAATCACATCAGATGTTTATTAATTTATATGTTGCAATTCTTCTGTTGTTTTAGGGGGAAAATTCCAAAAAGGGGATATTTTATATGGTTTTTTCACTTTCTCTTGTTGAATAAATTAAAAATAAAACTCTTCCTCCTAATGTAAAGAATTGACACTAGAATAGCTTTCATGTATGTAAATCTGTTTTTCTTATATGTATGATTTTCTACACTCTCAGTTATTTTATCATTCAATTATTTTTCTTTTCCTTCTTTCTTTCTTTCTTTTTTTTTTTTTTTTTTTTTTTTTGTGAGACAGTCTCGCTCTGTTGCCCAGGCTGGAGTGCAGTGGCGCGATCTCGGCTCACTGCAAGCTCCGACTCTGGGGTTCATGCCATTCCCCTGCCTCAGCCTCCCGAGTAGCTGGGACTACAGGCACCTGCCACCATGCCCAGCTAATTTTTTGTATTTTTTTAGTAGAGACGGGGTTTCACGGTGTTAGTCAGGACGGTCTCGATCTCCTGATCTCGTGATCCACCCACCTTCGCCTCCCAAAGTGCTGGGATTACAGGTGTGAGCCACCGCGCCTGGCCATTCTATTATTTTTTTATTCTGAGACTCTGAGTCACTAAAGGCATAGAGATGCTATTTTCAGTTTTTAAAATCACTATCAAACTTTCATCATTATTATTATTATTTGCCTGATACAGCTACTCATCCTCCTGTCTATGTAATACTTATTTTTTGTGTGTTTTTAATAGAGTTGATCTTTTTAAAGACCACTGGACATAGACTCAGATATGAGTTCATGTCTGGCCTTACTCTTTTCTGTAATCTTGGCCTAATCAGCTGATCTCTCGGATCTCAGTTTCTCCATTTGCAAAATGGGGATAATAATACCTGCCTTAGTGATTTATAGTGATTTGGAGGGCTTACTTTAAGAATTAACTATTTTATTTTGAAAGATCATTTTATTTGGTATTCTGTTCAAAACAGTGACTGGAATTGAGATTATATTAAAAATCTCTGATCTTTCTCATCACATTTTAGAACACATGGAAATAAATTGTCTCACCATGCAATTTTTAAAAATCCCTTAATTGCAGTATATTAAGACATTGGAACTAGAATATTTATTCTAGGAAATATTATCCTAGGGGACAATACTCTAACAATAACAACAATACATAATATTTATTGAACAGACATTAGACGAAAATCACTGTTTTAAGTGCTTTATAAGTATTAACTCATTTAATCCTCACAAGAAACCTATGGAAAAAGTATTAAATGATAAAACAGGAATATAAGTTGAATGTTTAAGACAGATACTGCCAGTGCTGTCTGTTGAAATTCAGCCTACATTCAATGCCAGAAGGCAAATTTTTCTCCAAAATATGTTTATTACATCTCTTTGTCCTTTTTTTTTTTTTTTTTTTTTTTGAGGTGGAGTCTCACTGTGTCGCCCAGGCTGGAGTGCAGAAGTGCGATCTTGGCTCACCACAACCTCCGCTTCCCAGGTTCAAGTGATTCTCTGTGCTCAGTCTCCCTAGTAGCTGGGATTACAGGCGAGCGCCACTTTTACGCCCAGCTAATTTTTTTTTTTTTTTTGTATTTTTAATAGAGACAGGGTTTCACTATTTTGGTCAGGCTGGTCTCAAACTCCTGACCTCATGATTCGCCTGCCTTGGCCTCCCAAAGTGTCAGGATTACAGGCGTGAGCCACTGCTACCAGCCTTCTTTGTCCTTAATGTCAGACTCATTGGCTTAATTTCTCTGTGGCCGCTAAGGAATATGCATTTTGGTGTGTTAACCAAAAACTCTTATTGTGTAACTTGGAAACTTCCAGTTTAAAATCTTTTTTGCTAAAATTCTCTCTTATAAAATATTACTTGGACTATACAATTTTCACTTTTATTATCATTTGTCTGCTATAGCTTTCCTCCACACCGATTTTCTATGTAGTATTTCTTTTAAGTGTGTGTCTGATAGAGGGTGTAAAAGGATTATTTTTTTTCCTAATTCAATCCAAGAATATCTGTTTTAGTGGATGATATAATCCAGTTACATTTGTTGTAATTACTAAATTTTATTTTCCAATTTGTTTGTGTTTTCTTTTAACCAGGCATTTCTTTGTCATCTTTGTCCTTTCGTACCTTCTATTTGCTCACTTTGTTTTTGTATTTTATTTTCAGTCATTTTAACCATTATATGCAAATAACTTCTTATATTTGAATTTATTCTGCTAGTTTGTACTGCTTCTTGAAGTAGTTAGCAGTTTTTTAAAATTTGAAGCCATTTCTTATTCAAATATTTCCTTATCCCATTCTTCATCTTCTCTTCCTTATGAAATCCAAGTACCCGTTGGTTGACTCTTTCACCATGACTCGTATATCTTTACACATTTTTCTTTATATTCCATTCTTTGTGCTTCAGATTGGATTTATTTTCTGAGATACTGTCCAGTTTACTGCTTCTCTCTTCAGATTTGTCTAATCTTTTATATTAGACATTACTGAGTTCTTAATTTCAGATATTCTTCAATTCTAGAATTACCATTTGATTCTTTCATATAGTTTCTAGTTCTTGGCTGAAATTGTTTGTTTTGTCATTTAATGCTTATGCATATTAACCTCCATTATTTTAAAATTATTACTCCAAATTCCAATATATGGATCTCCAGTGGATCTATTAGCTGATTTTTCTCTTCATTTTATTTTCAGTTAATTCTTTCCTTTTATTTACATTTATTTATTTATTTTTCCTGCTGCCTGTTTTTTATTGAGTATTATTGTATGTAAAAAATGTTAGATGTGATTTTATGTTTTTAGATCACATTATCTTTCTCCATAGAGGATTTTTCTTTTGACTCTGGTAGGTAGTTAAGTTGTAGCTGGTGCAAATTAATCCAATTATACTTTTAACTGATTCAAAGTTGGTCTTCAGTCTGCGAGTGTTAGTTTATTTCCAGCTCATATTTATTTCTAGGGTGTATCCTTTGGAGATACAAACTAAATATTCAGGGTCTATAGTAGAACCCCTCTTTCTTGGATGGTTCTGAGATTCAATTTTTGTCTTAAGCATTGAGAGACTGCCAAAAATGTTTTCTTTCCCCAGCTTCTTAGCCTCTCAGCTGTGCTTTCTGTTTTCCTCTTACCTTCTCTAGAGATATTGCTCTAGAATGTAACAATGCCTCTATGGGAACATTTAATCCTCCTTATCTCAACCTCAAAACTTCTGCTGTCCATTAATCCTCTAAGACATTCTCTGCTTTTTGAGAGGGGGAAGAGCAAGGAATTTCAACCACTGTTCCCTCATTATCCTGGACCACATACAACCTTCAAGCTCCATCTATCCTTATGTTTCTCTAAGCTTTTCTATTCTGCTGGTCAGGAATCACGGTGTAAATGGTAGCTGTTTATCAGACTGCTATTTTGGAGTAATTTAGGATGCTAGGCTACAGTTTTCTCATGCTCTAGATCTTCCAATCCTGTGAGATAAAGACCTATGCATAAGGGTTTCTGTTTTCCCAGTTAATTCCCAGAGCTTAGCCTGGAGCTTAGGTCATTGAGCCTCTTTCTCAGATACTGACCAGGGCCTAAAATCCAGTCATCTTCTTTCTAATTTCCCCTTCTTTGCTTTCTTTTTCAAATCTTACCAATTAGAGACAGGAAACAACTCTTCTCTACTTACTTATTGTTTCCACTTTATGGATTACAAGTCTGAACATGCTTTCACTCTTCATATTTAAAATCAAGCTTTTGAAATAACTAAAAATATACAAACAACTGTTTTCACTCTCAAACAACTGCTCTTTTAATTTGAACCCAGAGTTCTCAAAATTATAGTCTTTACTATAGTTTTATAAAAGTCAACTTAAATATAAGTAATTTGACTTTTACTTTTTATCTTAAAGTAAGATAAAAGGCAGCATACATAAATCCTTGTTGAAGTTTGGATGATTAGAAGAGTTAAGATTAAGAGTAATCTTCCACTAAATAGAGTGCTAACTCTGTAGTGTCCTGAGACAAATGATATAGCTATAGTGACAATAATAATGTCAGTCATTTATTGGGCGCATGCTGTGTTTCTTAAATGCCCACAATGTTTTGTGAATCTGTATGATTTCCTCAATAACTTTGTGAATTTATGATAATTACAAGTGAAAAAACTAAATGCTTTTAGAGGACAAGTAACTTGCCCAACTCACTAGTAAGTGGTAGCTGTGGAATTTAAGCCAAGGTCTGTCTGACTTCAAAGCTGTTTGTGTTTGTTCTCTATACGATGCATAAATTTTTAGCTATTAATAATTATAATTTACTTTATTCCTATCAATATAATAGTGGTAGTATGGAGTATCACCTGGGAAAAACAACTCAGTTTATGAAATACTGATATTCAGGTGAAATTTTATGTTATACTTGAGAAAGTGTTTTATAAGCTGTTGTAATATTTTATTTTTTCTATGTATACCTACTTTATTTTCTAGATTGTAAGTTTCTGGAGATAGGAATTTTCTTTTCTCTTTTATGTCTCTTAATATATTTATTATACTAAATCCCAAACAAATTTTTGATCATTATTGATTTCTGCTTTTTTCTAAAAAAATTAGATTATGTTTGTTAATTAATTACTTTGTAGTTGTATTATTCTATAGACTATTTTGGTGTTTGATGTTTTTTAAATTACACTTTTCATTTAACAAATGCAAACCTAAAGTTGCAATATAATTACAAGGGATTCCATATACCCTTCATTTAGATTCATTTGTTGTTAACATTTTGCCACATTCACTTTATGTCGCTCAAGACATATTGATGTGGACATTCTCATTATTATTTTCTTTTTGTTCTGGCGTAATCCATGTGAGAGTAAGCTGCGAGAGATCATGACCTTCACTCCAAACACTTCAGTGTGCATGTCTAAGAAGAAGCGCATTTTTTTGTATAATCACAGTACAATTATCAAATTCAGAAATGTTACTTTCATAGAAACTGATTATCTAATACCTTATTTATATCCAAATTTCAACTTTTTTGTCCAAATTACTGTCTTTTATAGCAACATTATTTCCTGATTCAGGATCATGGATTGCATTCGTCATGTTTTTTAAATTGCCTTTATTTTGAAATAGTTCTTCAGAATTTTACTGATTTTTATGACATTGACAGTTTTGAAGAGGCCCCTTCATTGTGTGGTTGTATCTGACTCCTTGCACCAGAAAATATATTGTCCAGGTACTTAGCGATAACTAATGTTCCTTTAAAAGGAATATAAGGGCTTTTAGAAAATATAGCTGCAGGTTAAATATAACTGCAGATAACACTAAGAGTTAAAGGGAATAATGTCAGACAACAAGGGAAAAGTTTACAAAGCTTTTTTTTTTTTCTTCACAATTTTACCCAGAACCAGCTCTGATAGTTACCATGGTCATAAGTTGAAATGAGAGTACCATTTTTTTCCTATTCTTACTGCAGACCAGGGTAATGAGATTTACCTCTGAACAATGAATGATCAAAGAGGCTTTTACCTACTGTTCCTTCAGGAAGCAAGTTTATCTCATGGTAAGCTAGTAGAGTATAGAAATCTAAATATCAAACTATAAATTCTGGAACTCAATTTGAATGTCAGAGTGGTAAGGGAAGAACACTGGGCTCAGACAGACCGAGAGATAATAACAATAATAGTATAGCAATAACAGCTATTTTTGAGCAATAAATATTTATGATCACTGTGCTAGCATTACCTTGTATCCTTAGAATAACTCAAGGTAGGTTTCATAACACCTGATTATAAGGCAGGGAACAGGTTTAGAGAGATTAAGTCAATTATCCAGCATCACAGCATCAGTCATTCAGGTAGTAAGGAAGAGAATCAGGATTATGTCATTATGTCATAGGCCTGTCTTAGCCCTAAAGAGTACTCCTTACTTACTACTAGGTTAACATTGCCTCTCAAATGCAGACTCCACCAATGTTATTTTTATGTCTTTAAGCCTCAATTTTCTCATTTTTAAAATGTTGATAACAATCTTCACAGAGTGAAAGAATTGTGTGCAAACCGACTGACTCACAATAGCTATAAAACTTCTCTTTCTAGTCAGATTCTAGACTTTCAGTTGTCAGTATATTGCTAGATAATTTTAACAGTCAAATATACATAACTATAATGCATGTTTAGATATTAGAAATAATAGTTTGAAAAAATTGCCAGGATAAAATCTCTACAACTTATCAGAGGTTAGAATAGGAATATGTATTCAGTAATTCATATTACCTAATTTTACCCAGATCTCTTCTTGTTGCTACATCCTCAAAATAATAATTTGACATTCCCTTCAACTTTCTTTTTTTTTCAGTCATGTATTTTTAGGTTTTCGAATTAACAGGAAAAAAAAAATTAGCACTGTTCTCTTTTCTCCACAGCCTTCATTTGTTTCATTTCCTCTTTTGTCACCTATCTCCTAGGCAACAAAGCAAACAAAGGAAAACCTTTTATTATCAAAAAATTAAAATAAAGAATTCAGATAAAAATTGAGGAATTGATGAGAATTGTCTGTTGAGGCTTATGTAACTGAAAAGAAAAGCAAACACTTGTTTTTTTTTAACTTCTTCCATTAACACACCAGCTGCCTCTCTAGGAACCCTCAGTGTGAAGCTGGCCCCAGAGGCCTCACTAGTGAGGGTTTGACAGTCTACAATCAACATTTGATCTTGAGCTTCTCTCCCTTACACATATCGTTATTTTTCTTTTCTTTACATGAAACTATATGTCCTGTCAGGATAAAATTACTTTACGTGTTCAAAGTAAACAAAATTGTTCATTCTAGTAAAATATCCCTCAGAAGTTTCTTCCAGGAAAACCCTAAACCAGACAAAAACTTTACAAGATTTTTTAGTTATGGTTTCAATATGTCTGCAAGTGATTTATTTTTCATAGTTCTTAAAATTTTGCTTGAAAATTATTTGCTTTTAATTCAAGAAATCCCTGCTATAATTCTCATTTGAAGAAAAAAATGTGCCAGTGAAATTTGTTAAATAAAATAATAGTTCTGAAGTAAATCAATAGCCAAACATCTACAGTGGATTTAGTGTGTAAAGGGTGGTTATGAGGCTTGGGTTATGTGGCCAGGGTGAAGCAGGATATTTCCCTGAACACTTCACTCTGGCGGGAACTGGAATGCACGGGTACTTGAACTAGCCAGCTGATTTGGCACTGGCAGGGGTGAACTCTACTCACTCAGACCTGCTGTGCTCCACCCCTCATGGGAAGGGGAGCACACAGGTGTGTGGGTACAAGAGCTGGGGCGAGTGCTTTTGGGTGCCAGCAAGGGCAAACTCTGTAGCAGCCCCATGGCAGCATCTGGAGGTGGGGGTGCCCATGACCCCTGAAGCCCCAGAAGTGTTACAGTACTGTTTTAGGTCTGCTGTCCATGGATGGCTTAAGTGTTAACAGCTCAGTGGAGCATCAGTGTGACAGCCTTTTGCACCTGCATTCATGGCACCCAAATTCTTGTCCAGCATCCAGGAGGAATAAGGTTGCACAAATAAATTGGAGATGGTAAATGTGGGGGATTTTATTTCCAATGAAAGTGGTTCTTAGCAGGAAGGGGAGCTGAAAAGGAGATGGAGTGGAGAGGTAATCTTCCCTTGAAGTCTGGCCATCCCCAGCTAGACTCCTCTCTGAAGCTACACTGTCAAGCTGTCCCCCTGAAGTCAAGCCACTTCTCTCCAACGTCCAGCTGTAGTCACTGACTTCCAGCTGCTTCTCCTCTCTCTGCTAGCTAAGCCTGGGTTTTTTGCGGGGAGGGGCAAAAGATGGGGGCGAGGTGGGCCATGGATGGTTTTGGAAAAGGCAACATTCAAGTGCAAAAACAGGGATGTAATTTCTCACTTTGGGCCATGGCATCGGGCTTTTCAGCTTGAGGGTGGGGCCCTCACCAGGGACCTGACATCTTCTGACCAGAATTTCCCTGCCTCCTGTCCCTATCATTTCCTCACTCTGAAAAGGCACATCTAACTGCTATTAGAATATGAATGATGGCCTGGCATGGTGGCTCAAGCCTGTAATCTCAGCACTTTGGGATGCCAAGGCAGGCGGATCGCCTGAGGTCAGGAGTTTGAGACCAGCCTGGCCAACATGGTGAAACCCCATCTCTACTAAAAATACAAAAATTAGCCAGTCATGGTGGCACATGCCTGTAATCCTAGCTATTCAGGAGGCTGAGGCAGGAGAATCGCTTGAAAACTCGGGAGGCAGAGGTTGCAGTGAGCCAAAATCTCACCACTGCACTCCAGCCTGGGTGGCAGAGCGAGACTTTGTCTCAAAAAAAAAAAAAAAAAGAATATGAATGCTGACTGGTCTTAGCTACTTCCTGCTGAAAGGGGGTGTTGTTTTGAGGAAAAATGGTAGTCGGATTCCTCCCAGAGGTTTGCCTAAGGGTCCCTGGAAAAAGGGAGCCATTGTCTGAGGCTCTGGTTGCCTAACCGCTTGGAGTTTGATGGCCTCTAGGTGAGAAAAAACAAGTTTATCAAGATTAAGTATGCATGGATCAAATATGTGTATTTTACAAAGAGGAGTTAAAAGAAGAGTATTTCATGCCAAAGATTACTGAAATAAGAAGTGAAATATACTAATCATCCTGAAAGCAACATTGTACGCCTGTGGTATAGAACAAAATGAAGTAAGGGCAGCAAGACTATAAAGAGGATATCAATGAAAGGTTAATTAGTAACACTAATTAAATAATAACTAAGTTTAATTATTAACACTAATCTTTTGTGATTTTTAGCTTGATGTCCCCAGTGTCCTTACATTGGTACTTCGGGTGCTCTTCAGGGTTGACAGAGGTAACTCCGTTGGCTTCCCAGGCCTTTACTCAGGTATAATGAGTCCATTAATCTATTCCAGTGACCCTCACTGCCGTAGGAGTAGAAAGAAATACAGTATAAGGTCCCTCCCAATCTGGGTTCATAGAAGGAGAAAGGGAAGGAAGTACATTTGCCAGTACTAGGTCTCCTGGGTTGAGTAGAGGTGCGCCTAGTTCCATGGGATTAGACCTTCGTTAGTTGTTTCAGTTCCTGTTGGAAATGGGCCACAGAAATTATATGTTTAATCAAATCAGAGGTTTCTTGGTCTAGCAAGAAATCATTGGTGAGAAAATGCTGTCCATACATCATTTCAAAGGGACTCAAACCTAGCTTTGAAGCAGTGTTTCTAATATGTAGTAGGGATATGGGGAGAAGGGTTGTCCAGGGGAGATGAGTAACCCAAGACAGTTTCCTGAGGTGCCTTTTGATAATATTATTTGTCTTTTCTACCTTTCCTGAAGACTGTGGTCTCCAAGCGCAATGAAGATGGTACCATATGCCTAGTGCCTTTGAGACCCCCTGGGTGACGGCCACCTTGAATGAGGGGCCATTATCATTCTGCAGGTACTTAAGGAGTCCAAAGTGAAGAATTATCTCATTAGTACTTTTATCACCTCAGAGGCTTTCTCTGTCTAACGTGGAAATGATTCTACCTAGTTAGTGAAGGTATCTATACATACTAGAAGGTACTGGATGCCCCCTTGCCTTTGGCGTATGGGTGAAATCCATTGGCCAGTCTTCCCCCAGCTAGCCTCCTATCCTCTGGGTTCCTGGAGGAATAAGACATCGGTTGAGGGGATTGATTTTAAGGCAGGTCTCTCAAGCATTAACAATCTGTTTAACCATTTGTATAATATTTTTACCTAATATAACAGTCTCTGGGCCAATTGATAGGTTTTATCCTTACCTAGGTGGAAGACCTGGTGAAGGCTTTAAAGAACTTTCTATTAGTTCATAGCCAGTAGATGAAGCTTGCCATTCTCTGATTGTAGCCATCCTGAGGACTGAAAGATGTATCCTCAAGAGGTGGCCCATTCTGTTTCCACAGGAGAATATTGAGGTTTTATTTCTCTAATGGGCCCTTCCCAGATCAGTGGAGCTTCAAGTAGATTGGAAATCTAGGGCTCTCTCACTGCTGATTTAGCTGCTTGGTCTGCCAACCTATTTCCTTTGGCTATTTCATCCATCTCTCTTTGGTGGCCTTTACAATGTATTACTGCCACCTCCTGTGGGAGGAAAACTGAGGATAATAGTGTATTAATTTCCTGATGGTATTTAATGGGAGACCTGTTAGCTGTGAGGAAGTTTCTCTCTTTCCAGATATTGGCATGGCATGGACAGCTAGGAAAGCATACTTAGAATCAGTATAAATGTTAACTGCTTTCCTTGTGCTTGAGTGCCTTCTGATGGCAATTAGTTTGACTAGTTGAGCACTTGTGCCCGAAGAGAGACATACCCCTGCTCTCAACAGTATCGTTTAGAGTAACTATTGCATACCTTGCTTTATGGATCCCTTATTCTACAAAATAACTTCCGTCTGTGAAGAGAATACAGTCTGGGCTCTCTAAGGGGGTTTCCTTGAGGTCTTCTCTGTCTGCATATGTTTGTACTACTATCTGTTCACAGTCATGTTCAAGCTCCCTAGTTTCCTCTGGGAGGAAGGTGGCTGGATTTAGGGAGGGATGGGTTCTTAATTGAACTGCAGATCTCTCTAATAGCAGAGCTTGATACCTGGGGAAGTGGCTGTCTGTTAACCAGAGACTCCCCTTAGAAGACAGCAGTCCTGCCACATTATACAGAGTGTAAACAGTTAAGTTATTCTCCATGGTTAACTTAGTAGCCTCTGGTACCAGCAAGGCTACTGCTGCAAATGCTCGGGGGCTGGCTGGCCATCCTTTGGCTACCTTAATTAAGCTCCTTACTTAGGTAGCCTACAGGCTGCTGGGCTGGACCCTGGGCCTGGGTTAGAACCCCCAGGGCCATTTCCTTTCTTTCTGACACATAAAGATTAAATGTCTTCCCTATGGGGAGATTAAGGGCTGGTACCTTAAGCAATGTGTATTTTAGTTGGTCAAAGGCCTTTCTAGCCTCCAGTTCCCAAATTAGAGAATGAGTATTAGTCGAGTGGGTCTCCTTTATTAGGTGATAAAAGGAATGAGCTATTTCACCATA
Source organism: Homo sapiens (assembly GCF_000001405.40). NCBI lineage: Eukaryota > Metazoa > Chordata > Mammalia > Primates > Hominidae > Homo > Homo sapiens. Next base: position 187,173,908 of record NC_000002.12, read on the forward strand.
TGTAGGTATCTATAGTCTGCAGAATTCTGTAATGCCTAAGAACCCCCTCAGTTGCTTCAGGGTTTTGGGGGAGGGGGAAGGAGGAGATGGGCTTAATCCTTTCTGAGCACAATGCTCTGGTTCCCTCTGACAAGATCAGGCCTAGGTACTTCACTGAAGTCTGACAGAGCTGAGCTTTAAATTTTGAAACCTTATATCCTCTGTTAGCCAGAAAATTAAGAAGAACCTTACCACCCTCCTGAGAGATTTCCTCAGTTGGAGCATAGAGGTGAATATCATCTATGTATTGTAAAACTTTAACCTGAGGATAGAGGAACTTGGAGAGGTCTCCTGACAATGCCTGCCCAAACAAGTTGGAGCGGTCTCAGAATCCCTGAGGTAACACCATCCTGGTTAACTGGGAGGTTTGGTTTGGTTTGGTTTGAGAGTGATCCTCAAATGCAAACAAATACTGGGAGTCAGGGTATAGTGGTATGCAGAAAAAGCATCCTTCAGGTCTAGGACATGAACCATTTAATTACCTCAGGTATTTGAGCTTGGAGGGTATACAGATTGGGAGCCACCAGGTGAATTGGAACCACAATCTCATTAACAAGGCGGAGGTCTTAAACTAGTTTTCATTCCATGATGGGCTTTTGTATCCCTGATGTTGGAGTATTACAAGGGCTACTGCAGGGTTTGAGGAGGCCCTGAAACCTTGATATCAATGATGGCTTCTGGTCCTTTCCTAACTTCTGGTTTCAGGGGATACTGTTTCTGGTTAGGAAAAAAGGTGGGATCCTTAAGGTGGACCCAGACAGCTATGGCGGTTCTGGCTTGGCCAATTTTGCAGTGAATGGCCCAAACTTCTGGGTTAATGTCTATCTCCACTAGGGGGAGACAAAGAGTTTGTCCTGGGACCATCATAATAGTGGTCCCCATATGGGAGAGAATATCCCTGCCCAACAATGGAGTTGGGCTTTCAGGCATAATTAGAAAGGTATGGGTAAACAAGAGGTTTTTCCAACTACAACTAAGGTGTTGGGGAAAATATCAGGTTAAAGGCCTTCCTGAGAGGCCCCTCATGGTCATGCTAAGAGAGAAGAGGGGGCCCAGATTGGAGAGGAGAACTGAGAGACCAGCCCTGGTGTCCAGAAGGAGGTCCACTTTCCTTCCTTCGATTTCCAGAACTACCTGGGGCTCCTGGATGATAATAGTGGTCTGGACCACTGGAGCTGGGAAGAGGAGAACTGGGACCCATCAGTCCTGTTGGGGCACTTGGGAGATTAGCTCTGCATCCAATGACCAGTGTTCCTGGTGACAGTCCACCTTCCAGTGGTCCCCATTGCAAATTGAACATGGTCAAGGCAGGTTCCTCATGCTGCCTGAACAATCCTTTCTAACATGTCCTGGCTTACCACATCTGTAGCAGTTAACAGGGCATCTCAGGAATTCTGGTGTTTTGGGGCTTGTGTGGTTGCCATTAAAGCCTCTGTCTCTTTTCTGTGTTTCCTTTCTCTCTGCTGGACCTCCCTTCTCTATTATAAAAGACCAAGCTGGCCACTTTTAGGCGGTTCTTTAAAATACTATCTAGTCCCAGGGCCTGTTTCTGCATCTCCCTCCTGACATCAGGGTCTTTGCCTGAGTAATACATTTGTCCTTTAGGATTAGTTGTCCCTCAGCTGAATCAGGAGATAGAGAGGTGTGCCTTACCAAGGTCTCTCCAGGAAGGCAGTGGGATTCTCATCAAATCCCTGGTCTATCATTGATAGCTTGGTATAATTGAGAGGCTGAGTTCTAGACCTACCTAAGCCCTCCATTATGCACACTTGAAAGTGTCTCCTCTTCCATTCTCTCATCTCATCACTGAGATCCTATTTAGGGTCATCCAATGATACTGCTTCACTTCTAGCTGGATAAAGTTTTACTCCCTCCCTGACACTATATGTGATTCAAAGCTCATACCCATATCTCTCTGCCACTTGCAGAGCAGCCTGCTTCTCAGTGTTAGAGTTTGATTCAAAAGTAACATAATATCTTTCAGGAGAGTTCAAATACTTGGGTTAAATTCTGGAAAGCCTGCATATATCTGTCAGGGTCATCTGAAAGCTTGCCAAGATCCCCCTTAATTTGTCTTTAGTCCTGTAGCGAGAAGGGGACCTGGACCTTACTGGGGCCAAAATCACCAGGCATCTGTTGGAGGGCTAAGAGTGAGGCTGGGGCTTGTCTAAAGTGAGGATTTCTAGGAGGGGTCAAGCAAGAGAGAGAAACTGGATAGGAAGGATGTGGTAGACCCAGAGGAGCAGGGCTGGAGGAACCTGGCTTCCTTCTGGAGGTGCCTGTGGGGTTCATTTCTTTAGTTCCCTGGGATTACCCTTGCAGCCTCTCCTGAGATGGCAAACAGGAGGGCTGGATCAATCCTACCATGTTGGCAAAGGTCTGGATTACCCTGCAAAGTAAAGAAAGCCTGTGCGTATGGGGCCTCAGACCATTAGCCCTCATATTTACAGAAAAGGTCTAACTACAGGATGGTATCAAAATGAATGATTCCCTCCTGAGGTCAAGCCAGTCCTTCCTGCAGATCATAATTTGGCCAAACCTTTGTTCAAGGGACTTTGAGGTGATTTTGCTCCAGAGTCTGAGGGTCAAAGTAGTCCCAGTGACTCAGGATATACTCCAGAGGAGTATAGACTGGGAATTGTGCAGATAGCTGGTGGCCCATTCTGAAACACAGGGAAATAGGCATCCCTTATTTCCCTTCCATCTTTCAGTAATAACCCAGGGTGTGAGGGAGAGAGAAAATGGGTGTCCCCACTTTCTTTTCTCTCTTTTTATCCCCAAGACCTGGCGATCTTAGACAGATACCTTCCATGGGTGCCACTGAAGCCTGCACTTGTGAGACAGAGAGGGCCTGTGCCTCCATTCCCCCTATGGTTGGCAGCCTTTGTGTTCCCTGGGCCTTATCTATGCCATGGAAAATGGCCTCCTTCCATGAAGCAGTGGCTTAATCAGCAGGAATTAGTCCTACTCATTTACACTGCACCTGTGGCCTGGCTTTGGATTCCTCAGATCTGGTTTTCCTTTCTAGGGCCTCAACCTAAAATTTAGAATTGAGTTTGGGACAAAAAGATGTCTCAGGGGGAGCATGGATTTATGTAGATTAAGTTCCTGACAGGCCTTGCCAAATTTTCAGTTATTAGCTGTTGGGGTCATTCCTCTGTTACCTCCCTATCATAAGCAGAGTGATGAGGTAGGAAAAGAACTCTCTTGCACGGAAAAGAAAGAGGGAAAAAAACAGCTTAAGAGAGGTGAAAGAACCTCTTGCTGTATGCAGATGGGTTCCTTTAATCATTGTATCCCTCCTCTGGTTTAGACTGGCCAGTGTTTCCTTCCTCGGCCAGGGGAGGAAAGACTCTATGGGTGGGTGGCGGACGGGGCCTGTGAGTGGGAAACACTGGCTAGCTGGCCGCGTGGTGTCCCTGGCTCCTTAGGCTGCCCTGAGTCACTGGCGGGAGCTGTGCTTCTCTCCCATCCAGTGTGGCCATTAAGCGTGGCACATGCATGCTGCCAACATGCCCAAGTGCTCCAGCTGGGAGGGGAGAGGGTGAGGAGGGCGCTGCCATGCACTGCACGCACCTGAAGCTATTGGGGTGAGGGTGGGGATGGAACCTCTAAGAACCGACAGAAATCATATTGTTATGAATTGCATATCTGATAGCTGGGCCAAATACTCATTCTTCCTAGTAATATTTCTGCAGCTTGTGGCAAAACACTTCACATTATAAAAGAAGAGATAGGACCCATTTCAAAGGAAAGTTACAACACTGAGCAGTGGCCTCTGTCAGATGCCTTCGGTTGACCCAGGACTTCATTCTGGTCCCACATGATGGCTAGGCCTCCATAAAGGGAAACAGAGCCAGCATTCCTTTCATCCTAAAGAAAGAGATGGCGGGTTTGCATCCTGTCCTCTGCAAGTGGCATAGCTCAGACAAGTCTGAGGACAAGAGACAGATCCGACAGATCTGCATTTACTTACACTTCTGGTGAATTCCAGGCAGACCCCAAATGAAGCAGGATATTTCCCTGACTCTTTCATGGGTGGGAACTGGAGGTAACAGGTGCTGGAACTAGCTGGCTGCTTTGGTGCCAGCAGGAGCAAATTCTACTCAATCCGATCTGCTGCACTCCACCCCTCGCAGTATGGGGAGCATGCAGGTTGCAGAGCTGGGGAGAGTGCTTTTGGGCACTGGCAGGGGCAAACTCTGTACCAGCCCCGTGGCAGCATCTGAGGGGGAAACCCATGATCCCTGAAACCCCAGAAGAAGTGTTACAGTACTCTTTTAGCTCTGCCATCTGCAGACAGCTTAAGTGTTAACAGCTCAGTGGAGGGTCAGTGTGACAGACTGTATTAGTCAGGGTTCTCTAGAGGGACAGAACTGATGGAATATATGTGAGATATATATATATATATGTATATATGGGTGTTTGTTAAGTCTTAACTCACGTGATCACAAAGTCCCACAATAGGCCGTCTGCAGGCTGAGGAGCAAGGAGAGCCAGTCTGACTTCCAAAACTGAAGACCTTGGAATCCAATGTTTGAGGGCTGGAAGCATCCAGCATAGGGGAGAGATGGAGGCTGGGGGCTAAGCCAGTCAAGGCTTTTTACGTTTTTCTGCCTCCTTTATATACTGATTGAACTGGCAGCTGATTAGATGGTACCCACCCAGATTAAGCATGGGTCTGTGTTTCCCAGTCTACTGACTCAAATGTTAATCTCTTTTGACAACACCCTCACAGACACACCCAGGATCAATACTTTGCATGCTTCAATCCAATCAAGTTGACACTCAGTATTAACCATCACAAGGTCACCCCTTGTCAACTTGAACCCATAGATATCTCCTGAGCTCACACATAATCTTCAAATAATGACAATAATAAGGTCATAATTATGCCTAACATAATACAACTATCTTTCGTACAACTGGAAATGTACCAATTCCCAACCCAAATACTGTTACACAAATTTAACAATACTTAAATGCTGATGTGAAGTCAATAAATCTTATGTCACACGATAAAAGAGAAAGGAAATAAAATGAAGATATTTTCTTCATATGAGTGTATACATGCACAAACATGTTTTGAACAAAAGAATAAGGAAATACTCATGACAATTACAGTCCTTGTTTCTGTAGCTGGTCACATGGTTGTAGCTGGTATTGATGACTACCTTCTTCTACTACCCTTTCTATATTCCCTTTGCCTTCAGCAAGCACCTCAGCAGGTCGTGGTTTTCTTCCTGGTGGTGTGACCCAAACCTTCGTTCCTGAAGTGTCTGTGTCATTTGTAGTCCTGCCTGGATTGGGCTGTTGTAGTTTCCCATTGACCCTAATCACAGGGCATGGTAATACTAAAAAATGCCCTAATGGATCTTCTCTATTCCATAAATACTCTTCCTTACTTCCCTTGTTGAGTAGCAGACTGATTTCATCTTGATAGTCTGGGTCAATCACCATAGCCAACTCTGTAACTCCTTTTTTAGCCTGTTGACTTAAAGGTAGGAGAAGCCCAAAGTGTCCAGGTGGCAATCTTAACTTCCAGTTCAGTGGTCCTTGTTATATCTCCTGATGCAGGTTTCCTCTCTCTGGAACTAAGACCTCTAGGCCAGCAGAACAAAATGTCCTAAAAACATGAAGTAAAAATTTTGCTAGTGCATCACTAGGGGTGATGGTGAGTGGTGCCACTTCCACTTCCACCTCTTGATTCCTGGACCTGTGAATTCTGGCTATGGGAGAAACAGTGCCATATGTTGGATGCTGATTCATAGCATACACGGCCTTCTGGAGAACTTTGCCCCAGCCCTGGAAAGTATGGTCAGCTAGTTGCTTTGGGATTGTATTGTGACTTCAAAAGATCATTCACCAGTCTATCAATCCAGCTGCTTCAGGATGATGAGGAACATGGTAAGACTAGTTAATTCCATTAACATGAGCCCATTACCACACTTCTTTAGCCGTAAAGTGAGTGTCTTGGTCAGAGGCAATGCCTTGTGGAATACCATGACGGTGGATAAGGCATTCCATGGTCCATGGGTGGTAGTCTTGGCAGAAGCATTGCATGCAGGATAGGCAAACCCATATCTGGAGTAAGTGTCTATTCCAGTGAAGACAAACCACTGCCCTTTCCATGATGGAAGAGGTTCAATATAATCAACCTGCCACCAGGTAGCTGGCTGATCACCCCGAGGAATGGTACCATATCGAGGGCTCGGTGTTGGTCTCTGCTTCTGGCAAATTGGGCTCTCAGCTGTGGCCATAGCCAGGTCAGCCTTGGTGAGTGTAAGTCCAAGTTGCTGAGCCTGTGTAGCCTCCATCCCTGCCACCATGCCCACTTTGTTCATGGGCCCATTGAATAATTCCAGGGTTGGCTGGGGAAAGAGGCTGAGTGATGTCCACAGAATAAGTCACCCTATCCACTTGATTATTAAAATATTCCTCTGCTGAGGTCACCCATTGGTGAGTATTCACATGGGAAACAAACATCTTTATAGTCTTTGACCACTCAGAGAAGTCCATCCACATACCTCTTCCCCAAATTTCTTTGTCATCTAGTTTCCAATTATGCTTCCTCCAAATCCCTGACCATCCAGTCAAACCATTGCCTACAACCCATGAATCAGTATATAATTGCACATCTGGCCATTTCTCCTTCCATGCAAAGTGCACAATCAGGTGTGCTGCTCAAACTTCTGACCGCTGGGAAAATTTCCCTTCACTGCTGTCATTCAGGGATGTCGTAGAAAGAGGCTGTAGTACTGCAGCTGTCGAACCTTGGGTGGTGCCTGCATATCATGCAGAACCATCTGTAACCCAGGCCCTAGTCTTCTCTACCTCTGTCAACTGATTGTAGGGAATGCTGCATGAGGCCATCAGTGCAGGCTGGGGGACAGAAGGCAAGGTGTCAGGAGTGGAGACCATGGGCACTTGAAACACTTCTTCATGCAACCTACTTGTGCCTTCAGGACCTGCTAGAGCCCAATCATGTATATACTTCCATTTGATGATGGAATGCTGCTGTGAACACCTGACTTTATGGCTAGATGGATTAGAAAGCACCCAGTTCATGACAGGCAGTTCTGGTCACATGGTGACTTGATGACCCATAGTCAAACATTCTGTTTCCACCAAAGCCCAGTAACAGGTAAAGATCTGTCTCTTAAAAAGAGCATAGCTATCTGTGGAAGATGGCAGGGCCTTGCTCCAAAATCCTAGAGGTCTCCACTGTGATTCACCTATGGAGGCCTGCCAGTGGCATCCTATCTGCCACTGACACCTCAACCACCATTGGATTGGCTGGGTCATACGGCCCAAGTGGCAGAGCAACTTGCACAGTAGTCTGGACCCGTTGCAGAGCCTTCTCCTGTTCTGGACCCCACTAAAAACTGGCAGCCTTTCAGGTCACTCAATAAATGGGCCAGAGTAACACACCCAAATGAGGAATGTGTTGCCTCCAAAATTCAAATAGGCCTACTAGGCATTGTGCCTTTTTCTTTCTTTTTTTTTTTTTTTCTTCTTTATTGTATTTTTTTTTAGATGGAGTCTTGCTCTATCACCAGGCTGGAGTGCAATGGCGCGATCTTGGCTCACTACAACCTCTGCCTCCCAGGTTCAAGTGATTCCCCTGCCTCAGCCTCCCAAGTAGTTGGGACTACACCTGGTGTGTATGTATGTATATATATATATATATATATATATATTTTTTTTTTTTTTTTTTTTTTTTTTTGGTATTTTAGTAGAGATGGGGTTTCGCTATGTTGGCCAAGATGGTCTCAATCTCCTGACCTCGTGATCTGCCTGCCTTGGCCTCCCAAAGTGCTGGGATTACAGGCGTGAGCCACCACACCCAACCGCATTGTGTCTCATTCTTGGTTGTAGGAGGGGCCAAATGCAGCAACTTATTCTTCACCTTAGAAGGACTATCTCAGCAGGCCCCACACCACTGGACCCCTAGAAATTTTACTGAGATTGAAGTTCCCTGAATTTTAGTTGGATTTATTTTCCATCCTCCTACATACAAACATCCCACCAATAAGTTCAGCATGTTTGCTGCTTCTTGCTCACTGGATCCAATCAACATGGTATCATCAATGTACTAGACCAGTATGTTATCTTGCAGAAGCAAAAAGCAGTCAAGTTCTCTCTGAATAAGATTATGACACAAAGCTGGAGAGTTGATATACCCCTGAGGTAGGACAGTAAAGGTATATTGCTGGCCTTACCAGCTGAAGGCAAATTGCTTCTGGTAGGCCTTACATTAGCAGAGAGTGAGTGTCCAGTAGTCCCCAGAATGTCTGATCATTTCCCTGTCTCCAATGCACAGTTACCCTTGTAAAAGGTCAGAGGACTCCTTGGGGAAGGATGTGAGAAAGATTCACTGCATAAATTGTTGGTAATGTAGTGGGGTCCTTCCTCAAGGGGACCTGGCCTTCCATTCATTCAAGGGGTTCTGGGTCTGTAAACTGGCTCAAGTCTGGAAATTGATTGAGGGGCTGTGATTCTTTTTTTTTTAATAATTCAAATTAATCTTCTGTGGTTTCAATCTAGAAGTTTTCTGCTTATATAAATTAAGCAGGAATGCAGTAGGCTTCCTATCAATTTCACTTATAGGATCACCATGATTAATTAGCCAATGCCAGAGCTCTACACAACTCAGACTATTCTGATTGTTGATTTCCCTCTGCTATCCATTACTGTAGCTACACCCACCTTGCATTTGATGGTTGAGTGCTGCCACTTGGCCCTTGCTACCTCACAATCTAATTATTCTCATTGTATTTGAATTTTTAGTTGAGTTACTGTGGTTCCCACTGTTAGATCTGACATACAGAGAAGAGCAATTACAGGGCTCTTCAAAGGTACAGGTGCTGCCCTAACAAATCTATTTCACATGGCATTGGTCAAGGTTATAGCTTCTGGACCCTCTCAGCTGGGATGAGTAGGTCTAAAGTGACTAATCCACTCCACCACCTCAATCTCCCTAAGCCTTTGGATCACTTCCTCAGGCATTTTCAGCTCATTCACAGTGGGCCATCTTTTAATCTATATTTCAGCTAACCAAGCTAATAAACTATTAGAACTTTTTTTAACTCCCCGAGGTGCAACATTAAATGCAGAGTCCCTACTTAGTGGGCCCAAATCAATAAATTCAGTGTCATTCAACTCTATGTTCCTTCCACCATTATCCAACACCCTTGATATCCATTCCCATGCTTGTTCTCCAGATTTCTGTTTATATAAATTTGAAAACTCAAGCAGTTCTTTTCGAGTGTAGCACACCTCCTCATAGGTCACATTCTTAGCCTCACCTCTAGGGGCCCAACGGGACTTTAGTCTAGTTATAGGACTAGGAGCAAACGGGGATGTTGGGGGTGGCTTCTGAAGAGAATCAACATAATCTTGCCGGCAACTGCCTCAGGAAAGGCCATCACTGTTGCCTCAGGCAGCACAGGGTTTATCTCCTCAGACAAAGGTGGAAAGGCTGATGGCAGCATGGGTTGGGGAGGGGATGTTGCCACTACTGGGGATGGGAAAGCTGTTTCTTCTGGCAAAAAATATTCATCAGAGTTTAAAAACTCAGTGTCCCTAGCTTTATCAGGGTCCTTTCACATGGCCCCATTCCAAGTTGCAGGGTCACATTCTTTTCCAATCAATGCCCTCACTTTAACAGTAGACACCTGGTGAGGCTGTGCATGCACCTTTCATTGCAGGTCAGCCACTTGCATGATAAGAGATTGTGTCTGCCTTTCCACAATTTTGGCTCTTTCTTTACAGGAGATAAGGATCTCACTCAGGGTAATCTTAGCAGATTTAAGGCTCAGTATCTGCTTCGGAAGCCAGGAGATCGAATCCCTGAGTTCATTATTTTATTTTTTTTTCATTACTTGATCCACTGAACTTAGGAGCGAACAACCAGATTCATTATGTTCCTTGGTTCTCCACTTATGGTCAAAGGTATTATGTATAGAGTCATTAAACTCTTTGCCTTTCATGCAGGATGAATCAGGAGTGACAGATGCATTTATTTTGCATAACTCTCTAAAGAGTTCATGCCAAGGACTATCCGTGTTCTCCATACTATTAGAAGTAAAGCCTTAGCATTTTGGGGTCTAATCATATTAATCGGACAACTCTAGAAACCCCAAAACCAATGAAAGAACTCCATCCTTAATATTCTGTTCCTCTAGAACCACTCCTCGTACAAAAATCTGTATTAGGGTTCTCTAGTGGGACAGAACTGATGTTACATATATATATATATATACACACATATACATATAAAGGGGAATTTATTGTCTTAACTCACATGATCACAAGGTCCCACAATAGGCCATCTGCAGGCTGAGGAGCAAGGAGAGCCAGTCCGAGTTCCAAAACTGAAGAACTTGGAGTCAGGTATTCAAGGGCAGGAAGCATCCAGCACAGGAGAAAAATGTAGGCTGGGAGGCTAGGCCAGTCTCTCTTTTCACATTTCTCTGCCTGCTTATATTCTAGCCATGTTGGCAGCTGATTAAATGGTGCCCACCCAGATTAAGGGTGGGTCTAAATTTCACAGCCCACTGACTCAAATGTTAATTTCCTTTGGCAACACACTCACAGACACACCCAGGATTAATACTTTGTATCTTTCAATTCAATCAAGTTGCCACTCAGTATTAACCATCACACAGCCTTTTGCACCCATACTTGTGGCACCCAAGTTCTTGTCCAGCATCCAGGAGAAATGAGGTCACACAAATTAATTTAATATGGTAAATACAGGAAATTTTATTGCTGATAAAAGTGGCTCTCAGTGGGAAGGGAAGCTGAAAAGGGGACAGAGAGGGAAAATAATCTTCCTGGCCAGACTCCTCTCTGAAGCTATGCTGTCAAGCTGTCCCTCTGAAGTCAAGCCACTTCTCTCTGACACCCAACTGTAGTCTCCAGTGTCCAGCTGCTTCTCCTTTCTCTGCCAGCTGATCCTGGGTTTTTTGGGGGGACAGAATGGGAGAGGGTTGGGCCAGGATGGTTTTGAAAAATTCAACATTTGAGCAGAAAAACAGGGATGTAAGTTCTCATTTTGGGGTGTGATCTCAGGCTTTTCACCTTGAGGGTAGGGCCCTCACTAGGGAACTGCCCCTTTCTGCCCAGAATTTCCCTGCTTCCTGTGCCTATCAAGGGCATCTGGAGTCATCAGAAAAGGCTTCTGCAACCTGCGTACAACATACAGCAATATTTCTTAATTTCTTTGACTCCTGTATACTGTTAGAACCTTTTAGCTATTTCAAGCCAAACTTGGCAAAAATAAATCAAGAAAACAGCAAGACAATGGTTGCTGCCCTTTTATAACAGAGTATTGGCCCACATATTTTAGGATTGTACAATTTGTTTTTCAATATTACAATGAGAAAATAAACTACAGTATCAGTTAAAGATTTCACCTCAGGAAATTAAAATATCAGCTGTCATAAATACATAATGTCATCACAAAACAAATACTCCATTCCAAACAACATTTCCATGTCAAGTTCAATTTGTACCTTCCACTTACCTTAGGCTAATAAAGAAGGACTTTCTCTGGGAACCGCTATGTACTATGCAATTATGTCATAAAATGAGTACCCTGTCTGTAATCAAATCACATTTTCCTCACATCTGAAGTTGACAGGTAACCCATTGATTATACCTATGTACTCTTATTGCAACGCAAACTTCTGTCACCATGGCTACCACAGGTCAGGCTAGAATGCCTAGGTGGTACTAATACTAGAAATGGCTGGCGTTTCGTGAGCACCTGCAAGGTATTAGACTCTGCAGTAGGCGGCTTTTCAACATTTGTAATTAACCTTACAAATTTAGAATTGTTTTTGCAGTACATACATAAGAAAATTAAAACTTGGGAAGGTAAAATAATTGGCCAAGAATAGACAGCTATTAGATGGCAACATTGGAATTGAAATGCAAATCTTATTTCCAAATCTAGGGAATTTCTGCCATAACTATTGCATATAAAGGCAGGTAACAGAATCATTGGAAGTAGAATAGGTGGAAATGGCCTTATTTTATGCTCCAAATATTATGGCATTCCTTTTTGGTAAGTCATTTCAAGGCTGACACTTCTATTATTATTATTTTATTGTTAACAAGTCTTATAATATTGCTACCAGGTTTCTGGCTTGGGTGGCTGAATTTGAAAATATAGGTAGGATATGTCATAAACAGCTCTTATTATTTTGAGATACGTCCCATCAATACCGAATTTATTGAGGGTTTTTAGCATGAAGGGCTGCTGAATTTTGTCAAAGGCCTTTTCTGCATCTATTGAGGTAATCATGTGGTTTTTGTCTTTGGTTCTGTTTATATGCTGGATTACGTTTATTGATTTTCGTATGTTGAACCAGCCTTGCATCCCAGGGATGAAGCCCACTTGATCATGGTGGATAAGCTTTTTGATGTGTTGCTGGATTCGGTTTGCCAGTATTTTATTGAGGATTTTCGCATCGATGTTCATCAGGGATATTGGTCTAAAATACTCTTTTTTTGTTGTGTCTCTGCCAGGCTTTGGTATCAGGATGATGCTGGCTTCATAAAATGAGTTAGGGAGGATTCCCTTTTTTTCTATTGATTGGAATAGTTTCAGAAGGAATGGTACCAGCTCCTCCTTGTACCTCTGGCAGAATTCGGCTGTGAATCTGTGTGGTCCTGTACTTTTTTTGGTTGGTAAGCTATTAATTATTGCCTCAATTTCAGAGCCTGTTATTGGTCTATTCAGAGATTCAACTTCTTCCTGGTTTAGTCTTGGGAGAGTGTATGTGTCGAGGAATTTGTCCATTTCTTCTAGATTTTCTAGTTTATTTGTGTAGAGGTGTTTATCGTATTCTCTCATGGTAGTTTGCATTTCTGTGGGATCGGTGGTGATATCCCCTTTATCATTTTTTATTGTGTCTATTTGATTCTTCCCTCTTTTCTTCTTTATTAGTCTTGCTAGTGGTCTATCAATTTTGTTGATCTTTTCAAAAAACCAGCTCTTGGATTCATTGATTTTTTGAAGGGTTTTTTATGTCTCTATTTCCTTCAGTTCTGCTCTGATCTTAGTTATTTCTTGCCTTCTGCTGGCTTTTGAATGTGTTTGCTCTTGCTTCTCTAGTTCTTTTAATTGTGATGTTAGGGTGTCAATTTTAGATCTTTTCTGCTTTCTCTTGGGAACATCACACACCGGGGCCTGTAGTGGGGTGGAGGGAGGGAGGAGGGATAGCATTAGGAGATATACCTAATGTAAATGACGAGTTAATAGGTGCAGCACACCAACATGGCACATGTATACATATGTAACAAACCTGCATGTTGTGCACATGTACCTTAGAACTTAAAGTATAGTAATAAATATATATACACAAAGATGTTAATCTAAAAAAAAAATTAAATCTGAAAAAAAAAGAAAATATAGGTAGGATAACATGTTCATTTAGTTTAAATATATTTGAATATATTAAACTTATGGTGCTTGTTTGATATCCATTTTATCTTTCCTAATCCATTGGCAAGAAAACTGCAAGCAAGCAACAGCCAGGTACACTGAGAGGGTATTGCCTTTTGACAGTACTCTATGTAAACACAGAAATTCTATGGTAGCCTTTTAAAATGTCTTTTGAGAATCAGAGTGAATCACTGTAAAGGGATAACCTTAATCACTTTTTAGAGCTGCCAGCTGGAATCTTAACTGGAAATTCTGCAGGAAGACAATGACTGACTGCTAATGCTTTCAGTTGTTGATGACCTAAAAAAAATTGCTGTATCACTCATTCTTAAAAGATTATTATTATAACTGTATTGTTTTAGTGGTGTGAAGGTACATTTCCTATTTCTTGTGATTTATAGCTCTGTATTCCCATTAATGTAGCCATTTTCCACAGGCAACTGTGCAATGAAAAGGAAAGGATTAAATCAACATTGATTCTTATTCACATGAGGTAACTTTTATCTGTGCAGATAATAATTCCTTTTTTTTGGTAATTATTTTACTTGCTTGCTTCTATATTGTTACATAATAGGCTGATGATTTCCAATTATATTTCCCATTATACACTACAGGCAACTGTCCAGGGTAGAGCGAGTGATTCATTAAAAACAAAAATGCAATGCACACGTGTAAAATTATAATGTGGCTATAAATTAAATTATCAAAATTTGAAATCATAGAAATCTGGATGTTTATCTCTGACTACTTTGCAATTTACTTTGAAAATATAGGATTTTTTGATAGTAATAAAAATATGAACTAGAGTTGCATTTTTTTGAATTGGCAGAGCACAGAATGTACACCATTCTATAAATAGTTCCTAAACATTGGATTAAACATAAATAAATAAAATTTTTAAAATTATAACTGTTTTATAGCATGCATACACACTAAATCTTTTAAGCCTATATTTTAATATAGCAAATATATATATATATATATATATATATATATATATATATATATATAGGGGCTTTATAAATATAGTTTTAAAATGTTAAGGCCTGTTCAACTCTATGTAAGAACAATTTTATCTTATTTGAAATATATTTACAGGACAGCTTTGGCCCTTTTGAGCTCAAAAAATTAACATTTCCAATTTAAATACTTTTTGTGTTTTTACATCACAGCAAAAACATATCTAGTCATCAACTTTTCTTACTGACTCATGACATGGTTTCATTAACAAGTTCATTTGAAGGTCATAGATGTTTTGCTTTCCAAATATTTCAGTCTCATTGACTGTACATTTTAACAGAAGTTTAAGGTGACATGAAAAAAATTTTATATAAACTTCAGTCAATTTTACATGGCAGAAAATATATGTTATATTAAATATAATGGCTTAATGTTTACCATGTTTTATTCTGTACATTCATGTGAAATATCACATTTCAGATAGTATTATTAAAACATTCTCTTAAAAATAGAAAACCTAGATAGCACATGTGATATGCAATATTCATCTTGAAAAAGATATGTGAGTGACTTTTGATTGGGTTACTGTCTCAGTAGCAGAATGACTATTATGTGTACAACACAACACTTAATTAACATTCTACTGTGGTAAATGAACACAATCCTCCTAAAAATTACCTTCAGGGATTTAAAGCACATGGTCTTTATGATTTCTGGGTCACAGACTCCTTAAAGGAGCATTTCTGACAATGCTATTCCCAGATATAGGCACCACCTTATGTACAATGGCAAAGATTTCAAGACCACCTGGGGACTGTATATCATCATGATGAATATTTATGTGCCTGAATGAAAAGAACAGACATCTCTTGGGTGCTTTTAGCTTTTGAGCCTATGAATCACATTTGGGGGCAACCGCAATATATTATGCCATGGATAGTCTCAACTACAAAAGGCAAAAGAGTCTCCTGCAAAATAGAAGCAAACTGAAAGTACTTTCTGCCTCATAGGATTGGTTATATTCAGACTCCTTCTTCCTCAACTTTTATTTCTCCATGCCAACCTTCTGGAAACGTTACAGGAGAAATAGCCCTTTTGTTTGCAAAAGGTGTGACAGGTTTTCTAGGTTACTTGATGATAGCGCGCTTTAGTTATGTCACTCTCCCAAGACAAATTGAGCTTTATTTTTATCTTAGAAAAAAGAAAGGAAGGGGAAATAGTGTGTTGTCATCAAATGACATAATAATTTTTATTTAGATTAGCAAAAAACCCACATTGAAATGAGAAAATAAGAGCTTATTTTTATATTTTCACCCAAAGTTGTGCTTAACATTCTTTAAAGCAATATAAATACATTTTGTAAGGATATGCAGTTACATTAATAAGATTAGTTTCATTGTTTCTAGCATCATTTTTAAGGTAACCAAGTCAAATGCCTTAATTTAAATATCTTTATCAATCAATAAGGTATGAAGAGCAAGACTTTATCTGGTAACTGCTTCCCTAAATTAGTTAAGATGATTTTGCAACTGCTAATTAAGGCCACAGAATGTGCCAGAAAATGTGATATTCTTCCAGCCTTCAGAGAATTTAATCCTATGTTTAGCTAAAATATGCACATATTAATAATTACTAAAGTACAAAACAGTAAATCCACTACTTATGGATTTACTGTTACTTATGAGACCCACATATAAAGTGAGGGTCTCATCTTACTTATGAGACCCACACATAAAGTGAGGGTCTCATCTTACTTATGAGACCCACACATAAAGTGAGGTGAATTCCTAAATATTAGTTTGTTATTGCTGGTTGGAGAAATAAAAAATAACAATTAAAGAAATGTGTATGTGTGTGATTTATACGTGTTTTAATATGTGAGCTACTTTGTACTTGGAATAATTTCTTTGTTAAAAAATCAGGGAAAAATATTTCAATGTATTGTAAAACAGTAAGTGTGGGTTAATAAATTTTATATATCCTTCCCATTACATTGACTCTGTACTTTCTGGATTTTTAACTGAGGTCTATGAGTGTTCTTCAGAGTAAATTCTCTGATATTTTAATTAAAAATGTATGTGCATATGAATGTATATGTTATTTTTCTGGAAAAAAGCTAGCTTTCATTAGCTTGTAAACAGTATCTGTGACCCAGAAAATGTCAGGAGGTTGGTACATTACCTGTCCTAATTCTAATTATTCATTGTAAACTTTAAAACAATGACTCTGAACCATTGATACGATTATTTATTCCCAGAGAGTTAGCATGAGATAATAGACTAATTAAAATCTCTTTTTGCTGGAATCGAATTACTGAAATGTTCAATGTAGAAAACAAACATTAGCCTACAGCAACCTGAAAACAAAGTATTTCATGAACTGAATAATGTAAAAGAAGAGAAATATAAGTCAAATATGATGAAATTCATTTAAAGTGGTGCTTTCCATGAGGAGAACCTTATCATACATGAACACAATTTCAAAATATTTCATGCAATTTCTATTTCTATTGGAATTATCTTTCTGCACACTTTAGATAATGTGCCAATTAGTTAACCAGTATCATCTAGGAGGAAGTTAAGTGTGAAATTATTGGAGATAATTTATTATGTAGAATATGTTCTTGTTGTATTATTAAAATATGCAAATAAAACTATGTTTTTAAATAATGATGACATATATTTATGGTTTCCAGATATGTTATAGGATGCCAAGCTAAGTGTGAATTTCAAATAATGAATAATTTTTAGCATAACTATGTCCCAAATATTGTATGGAACATACTTATCCTAAAAAAAGTCATTCATCTGAAGTTGAAATTTAACAAAGCATGCTATACCTTTATTTGCTAAATATGACAATCCTACATATATCAAATATTAAAAATTTCAGAAGCAACAGAAAACAGCAAAACTTGCACTAAATTTTCAGATAGGCAGTTTAAGAAAGAAATTCTCTTGAGAATCAGTAGTATCTGATCAAAACATAAAAATAAATGCTTTCTAGCTCTTCAACTGAATAACAGATTAATATACAGAATTAAAAAGTCATTATAAAATTAAATTTTAAATAAAGGAATGTACTATTATCTTTGATTATCACATTTAATAAAGACTCTGTATCTTTTATATTATTAAAAAAATGCCCTCTACAAATGAAATAGTTTCCAGGATTGGAGTGACTGTATCAAGAAATGCTTACAGTGGGCAGAATGTATAAAACAATGACTGAAGTGTTGGAGCACAAAAAGTTATTGATATGATTTGGTTCTGTGTTCCCACCCAAATCTCATGTTGAATTGTAATTCCCAATGTCGGAGGTAGAACGGGGTGGGAGGTGATTGGATCATGGGGGTGGTTTCTAATGGTTCAGCACCATCCCTCCAGTACTGTCTTGTGATAATAGTGTTCTCACGAGATCTGATTGTTTAAAAAGTGTGTGGCACCTTCCCATTCACTTTCTCTCTTGCCAGCCATGTGAAGACCATGATTGCTTTCCCTTCAGCCTTCCACCTTTGTAAGTTTCCTGAGGCCTCCCCAGAAGCAGAATCCTGCATAGTCTGCAGAACTGTGAGCCAATTAAAACTTTTTTCTTTATAAATTACTCTGGCCCATGTATGTCTTTAGAGCAGTATGAGAATGGACTAATACAGTTAGTTATTAAACATGAATTTACCATCCTGTAGTCATAGGAGAAACTATCTTGTAGTCATAGGAGAGTAGTCATAGAATGGTCCTGATGTATGTATGTAGAGAAAGAAGAGAAAATACATTGGAGGAAGAAATGTTGAAGGGCACTTGAAAATTGAAAAAGGATAAAGGGCAAAAGATAACCTTGGTGGTGAAAGGGCAAGGTAAAATCAGAAGTAGATGTGAATGGAAGCAAAGAGTTAAACTAGCAAGTTGGATTGAGACTATTTTATTTGGAAAAGAAAAATAAATGTAATTTATAGAGTTTGTCCAAGTTGAAAAGCCAGTTGAGAAAGGCAGGCTAAAAGGTGAGTGAGGGGAGGAGGAAATATCCACGCAGATCCCAGATAAGTTGTATAAGTTAGCAACAAAATGTATAATTGCAAGTCATACAGTCAAAGATACAGTTGTTAGGAGGTAGATTCTGAATGAGTGATGTGATGAGCTGAATGTATCATACACAGTGTCAGTTGTTGGAAATAGTTTAGTATGTCTATGTGAATATAATGACTAGTGCTTGCTATTTGTGTTTATCAAATAATATTGTTTATTGGAAAATGTAATGATATGAGAGTTGTCTAAATGGCATTTGCTTACTCTCTTGCACATTGTTTGGGTAAAAGAAGGGGTGAAGCAGTTTCACATCATTACATAGCATGTGGAATGGAAAAATGTTCAACATATATTAGTCGAATGAATAGATGAATGAGAGAAAACAAACTCAGAGGTATTCACAAATATTGTACTGAAGCAACTTCTTTTCCCAAATAGTTAAAGAACTTGTTCTTTGGCTGGAAGGTAGGAGAAAGAGGAGGATACAGAGAGATTTGTTAAAGGATATAAAATTAGAGCTAGATAAAAAAGGTAAGTTATAGTGTTCTATAGCACTGTAGGATGACTATATTTAACAATAATACATAGTTTCAAATAGGTAAAAGAAGGATATGAAATGTTCTGAACACAGAGAAGAGATAAAATATTTGAGATAATGTACATGGTAATGATACTGATCTAATCACTATACATTATGTATATCAAAACATCACTATGTACCCCATAAATATGTAAAACTAGTATATGTCAATTAAAAATTGGTCAGATGCCAAATAAGGACTTGTTGTTATATTTAATAATCTAAATTATTAAAAGATAATATTTAATAATCTAAATTATTAAAAGATAATATTTAATAATCTATAGTATTAAAATGGATCTGCTTTAGTCAGTAAGAAAAATTAGTTGTTTTTAAAAAGAAAAAGTCTCTGCTCCTTGATATCAATTTCAAGATTCAGTGCCAATACTCATGAATAGAAATAGAGATATATAAACTAAGTAGATATTCAATATAGCTAGAGCATTTTTGCAAATCACATTCAAATGGTAAAATATGGTTAAGCTCTTTTAAATTCTATGGGAAATAAAACTTTTTTAAAATAAAGAAGTTTGTTATAATTTTCAAAAGAATGAAGAGGCATATAGAAACCCATACTGAGGCAATTATGAAGAAAATACAAATCATTTAGAATTAATATGTTCTTGAAGCGCTCATAATATTTTGAAGTCCGAGAATAAATGCCCTTCTATTCAGATTCCTAGAGCTTCACAGCTGGTTGTAACACATATTCATTTAAATTAGTTTTTAAAGATATTTTAATCTTTTTTAAGAAGTTAATTTTAATCTTTTTTTAAAAAGTTTCTATTAGGATTGCTGCAATTCTAATTTAATTAATTTATACTGAAAACTGATTTATAAGAAAAAAATTAAGATACAAGGAGATATAACTTTATGCCCTCTAGACAGGGAAAAATTTAAGAAATCTGACTATCAAATGTTGGAGAGTGTGTGTGGATCAAATTTGCTGTTAAGAGTCAAAATTTGTCTAACTATTTTCAAAACAATTGAACACTTTGTTGTACAAATATCTTTTGGACCCATGATTTCTAAAAAAATCTTCGTTCAAGTGCACCTAAAGACAAAAATACAAGACTATTTTAGCAGTACAGTTTGCAAATGGAAAACACTGGAAGCAAACCTAATACACTGACAGAAAATTAACTTAAAGATTGTAATGTTTTCACAAAATGGTGCACTTCACAAGATTAATGAACTATAGTGTCATGAATGTGATGTGCCACCACAACCCCACTTTGTACCAAGACAATCAGTTTCAGCTGCCAGCAGTATTTTCTGCTGATAGTTAATAGCTAATTGCTCTTGGGGAATTACCTTTGGTCAAAGATAGCTGCTTCATGTATGGGCAGTCCACATCTAAGAGGTCACAAAGTCTGGCCACCTTACTTCTATTTGGGACTTTTCTGAAGGGTGCCCCAGCTTCAGAGCCTCCCTTGGATTTAGCAAAGTTCTCCCTTGCAACTGCACTGTAGTTCATTGTCTCCTTTACCCAATCCTCCTTTCCTCATCCCTTATAGATGTGGTTCCTGAGAGCACTTGCCAATAAATCACCTTCACACAAGTTTTGTTTCAGACTCTGTTTTCTAGGAGTCTGAACTAAGGCAGATGATATGAAGAGTAGTGTTAGAAACAGATTCTAAATGGAAATTTTGTAGCTGGGTCACCAGTTGGCTACTGGCGATGAAGACCTCATCAATGACAAAAACATTCCATGTGTATTAATCCAAGTCATAAATTTTTTGGAGACATAATACTATGTGAACATCTAGAGGAAACTTCCACAGGTGTTGCTACTTATCAGATATCCTAATAATCTTTTCCATCTCTTTCTTCTTTTTAACTATAATGTCTATTTTACAATATAAGTGGGCATTGGCAAAATTTATAGAATTGGTATAATTGCCAGATTTATTGCTTATACTAGATAGAATGGAAAACTTCAGCTTAGACAGTGGCTATAACTTTACCTGGCCTGTCTTTTAACCTCTAGGAGAAAGAATGATTGCTTTGTTTACAAGATTTACCTTTGTTATGTCTTTTCTATAACAATGTGAATGCAGGATAGAACAATTATTCCATCAACTATAATTCAAACAGTTATATAGAACAATTATTTTATCAACATATACAGTCAAATCCATTAAATGATGCTTCTTGGTTTAATTATATGGAAAGAAGTACTGCATCAATGACACTAGATGGAGTATTTATAGCACCAGGTATGATGTAGTAGAATAATTGCTAAATTTTGCTGGTTGTGAACAGAAAACAGTGTAAGTGATATACTACAAATGCAGTATCTCAATATTGGAAAGGTTTAGGGGAAATAGTAATTGTAAGGACTATGAAATCAGATGGCTATTGAGATTGGGAGGGCTTGGGGAAAATCAATGCATGGGAAAAAGCACATTTATGGTCTGGCCCTAGGGCTATTTTACCTTGATTTCCTCTCTGTCAGATACAATTTGGAGGAAACTGGTCATTCTGCAGAATATCACATTGACCCATTGTACCAATATAATGATGTTGATGATCATGTTAATCAATACGTCACAAATACTTTGGTAAGACACTTATAGTCAAGAGGATGGTAAGCTTTATGAAGATGTAGGGGCCTGTCACAATCGTGAAACTTAACAAGGTTGGGAGAAGAAGTCCAACAGTCTGCAGGATTCAAGGCCATCCTGGAAAAGACACTTCTTTATTTAAGTTATTTGAACCACTCCTCCAGAATATCAATGGGCCTCTTTTTCTGGGGTACTTGTATAAGAGAATAGTTAGTACAACAAACCATAGTCCTTACCACTGCAGCTATTTTGAAGCTAGAACTGCTACTCTTGTTTTCTCCTATTTTATGCATTCTACATTACCTTCACCATCAGCTACGAACTGATCAGCTGGCCTTAGTGTCTTAGCTAAGGGTGTCAAGTCCTCACCACTGAGGAGTCTGAGCCCCTAGTCACTATACACTTCCAGCTACTAACTACAATTGTAATTTACAGTCAAACATGGGCAAAGAAATAAGTGGCACCCAAGTAAGTCATCTAGCCAACATTTTTTTTTTTCAGACCCACATTTTGAAAAGGAGTCCTACTTCTTCCTGATGATCAGGGTAGCTAACTCTTCCAAGATGGTGATGTCAAAAGGACACACCAGGATGAAGGGGTGCCCCACTGGCCACATCTGGCACAACTTTAGTATCATAGGAAATAATGATACTAACTGATTTTAGTTCAATAAGAATTCATGAATCAATATAGAAATCAAACAGAAAGAGAGAAAAAATATTTAAAATGACTTAAAATGTTAATGATTGAGGAACTGTTGTATAGTGGTATATGGGAATTCTTTGGACTAATCTTGCAATTTGTCTGTATATTTAAAATTATTTAAAATAAGATATTAAAAGGCTAACCTTTTAAAAGTGAGACATGGAAGTTTCAAAACTAAGATTCAAAACAACAAACTGAAATAAGTTAGATCTGAGTTGTCTAGAAAAACACATAAGCCGGGTTCTTACTGACTTTTCAATGAACTTCAAAACAGGAACAGACATTTTGGTTGCCTATTGATAAATAGAATTATGATGATCTGTGGTTTGAATTTACTTATAGTCTCATTTTGGGGTTCTTGTTTCTAACTTATTTACAACTTTGTAAACTCACCATGATTCATGACTTCTGATTCATATTGCCTAGTTTATGAGACTGCATTGAATTCAGAATGCGTGCTGTGATGCCAAATTTATTTTACTAGTTTCTTATTGAATATTTAGGACTATTGAATTACTTTAAGGAAAAAAATAAATATAAACAACTATCAGGGGATACAAATGTCTTAGATGAAAATTGTCTAAAGAATTTAGAATTTTGTAGAGAAATTTGTTTAAACAAAACTATCAGCTTCATGAAATAATACACTTTAAAATAACAAATATAGAGTACCAGAAGAGTTATCACTTTTAGACTCTGAAGTGATTCTGATTATGTCAAATCAGCTATGTAGTAATTAAAGAAAAAAACTTAAATGTCATAAATTATACTACTGCTATGTTAGTAAGATACGCCTAACAAGTTACTCAAATCGTATTGCAGTCTGCAAGCACAGAAACCATTCCATGTGTATTCATCCAAGTCATAAATTTTTTGGAAACATAATACTATGCAAACATCCATAGGAAACTTTTCCACAGGTGTTGCTACATATTATCAGAGACCCCAATAATCTTCTCCTTCTTTTTCTTCTTTTTAACTATAATGTCTATTTTACAATATAAGTGGGTATTGGCAAAATTTATAGAATTGGTATAATTGCCAGATTTATTGCTTATGCTAGATAGAATGAAAAACTTCAGCTTTGTCAGTGGCTATAACTTAACCTGGCCTGTCTTTTAACCTCTAGGAGAAAGAGTGATTGCTTTGTTTACAAGATTTACCTTTGTTATGTCTTTTCTGTAACAATGTGAATGCAGGATAGAACAATTATTCCATCAACTATAATTCAAACAGTTATATAGAACAATTATTTTATCAACATATACAGTCAAATCCATTAAATGATGCTTCTTGATTTAATTATATGGAAATTTATATCAGCTAACTCTGAGTTTATCACATTGTAGATATGAAGCCAAAAAAGGGTAGAAAATCTAACATGGAGTCTCAGTGTGTGGCTCTGGGGTGGGGCCCACAGCATGTTTCAAAAGTTCCGTAAATAAGATCACCTGAAAAGCAATGAAAAGAATGTTCGGTAGGAAGCCAGATTTTTTTATTTTTTTTTTTTTAAGATTTTCATAGCAAAGCTAAGAAAAAGTAGCAATAAATGCTCTTAATTTTAGGAAAAAGAGAGTAAAGTTTTTAATTTATTTTTAGTAGTCAGTGTAATAGATTAATGAGGATGAAAGTCAAACAGGAGAGGTCAATGGAAGAGTTGGGGCAGAGAGGAAATAAGGACAATAGGAGTCAAAACCACTTTCCTCTAAGAATTGCTTACATACATTGACTAGTATCTTTCATAGGATTTTGTCAGCTAATTAGTACATATAATTCATCCATAAATCTTAATTACTGAGTCATATTATTCTGAACTAAATTATTCTCCCTCCATGACTCAGTGCTATGGAAAACATAAATATATTGCTCACATCACCCTAATAAACATGAAAGGTAAGAAAACTATGCACTAAAGGAAGTTTTTAAGAAAAAAAACTTTTCAAGTCAGTTTCTATTGGGGAAAGCAACCATTGAGAATGTAATCTATATTACAAATGTTCCTGAAAAGACAATTATACAGCAATTCAAAAAGATGTGTGTGTCTCATCATAGCATTTTGACCAGCTTTGATTTACAGAGGAGTTAATTGGTAAATCATAACAATAGTAGGAAGTGCCTCCTGATGAGAGACTCCTCCAGTGTTACTGTAATTTCTATAAAATGTTTCCTCTTTGATACTCCTTGTTTATGATAGATAGATTAAGACCATTCTTTGCACCAGGCATAACAAATGGAATTCCCTTTTTTATTTTCTAGTTTCTTAGAAGAAAATGTTTTAATAATATGCTTTGATTAATATATGCCATTTCATGTGAGGCAGTCTAATTTACTCATAAAATACTTTAGATTCTGTTTATGTGTTAGTTTAACCTTTATTTCGGTTTCATGTTATAATGATCTACTTATTTATGTTTGTGCTCTTGACCAAAATCTAATTTTAGGTTACACTTATTTATTCTTTTTAAAGATTCTACCACTGAATGGAAACATGGCATTGTTTAATTTTATTTTAAGTGGCAAACCTCAGTAGGGATTATACACTGGTAATAAACCCATTTGGGAAATGAAATTGATTGTGAAAACATATCACCAATTTCTTTAGGCCAGTATCATTTAAGTTATTCAAAGTGAGAATTTTAAACTGAATCATGTAGATCCATTTTGAACTTTGTTTATGAGAGGGCAAAATAATCTGGGTCTGTGAGCCAGGGACTATGTATCTTTAGTCCCTTAGCCACTCTTGTCCTCACTTGTCTCATTTACAGAGTGAGAAAATTGGAGTACATGTCTTCCATGGTACCTGCAACTCTGTGATCCTATGGTTTGCTTTCTTTCTACTTCATGAGTGTGACTCCAGTGTGTACAGGCAAAAATATGTCAAAGATATAGCCCTAAGTCTAGGGCCTTGTGAACTCTCCATAAATAAATAATTGAATCAGTAAATGAAGGATACTTTGAAAGGAAATCAACATAAATAAAGCCTCCCTGTCTAAATCTGCTCTTCCCTTTGCTTGGAATTTTTTTCCCCCAGTTCTTCATATGGCAAGCTCATCATCACTCTTATTGCAGATCAACTGTCACCTGACTCCTCTACCTTCTCCTTTGTTGCCACCTGTCCCAGGGAAATAGTGAAAATGCTTTATAAGGTTTCAGTTCCCTGCATTCCCCAAGAAAAATTATGTTCAGAAAACTTCTCCAAGAGATTTATTTTACTTATTTAGTTGTCCTAGTAATCATAAACACATTAGTTTGACATAATGAGTTAAACAGTGTACCTGAAGAAATTGAACATTCAAATGTAGTGAATTTAACTGATTAAAAGAGAGTGTTCTTTGGAGATTAAGCAATAATTGCAGATGTTTCATTTACTGCTTTAAAAATTCTGATTCGAGAGACTTAAACGTTCAAAGCATTTGAATAGATTACTAAACATTGAGTCTAAAATATGCAAAACCAATTGATTCTATTTTTGGCCCAGAATGCAACATTTATAATAAAAACTTAATGTATCAGCTAAAGCCTTATTAAAGTAGTAAATTTACCCTCATAAAATTGGGAGAATCACTGTGATAGAATTAGGATCCTCTAGACTGTGAGTTTCCTTGTTTTTGATGATCTTGACAGTTTTGTGTAATGATGGCCAGAAATTTATACAATGCCCTCAATTGGGTTTGTCTGGTGTTTTCCTTATAATTAGACTAGGATTATGGGCTTTTTGAAGAATGACTACAGAGGTGAAATGCTATTTTCATGTGAGAGAGTTTTGCATTCTGTTTACCATGATTAGATATCACTCCATCTAATGGTCTGAAATTATGTTATACAGATTACATGTTACTCATAGAAAATTTTTTATAAGTTGATTTATTTACCTAATATCTGTCTCTCACAAAATAGAAGGTAAGCTCCATGAAAGCAAGTATTTGCCTGTCTTGGCCATCACTCTATCCCTGGAGTATATGAAGAGTGTCAGACACATAATAGGACTGTGATTAATATTTGTTGAGTGAGTGAATAAAAGAGCGAGAAATTGTATCTTGGGTGTAAGTAGCTGAATCCCATCTTAACTCCAGCTGAATGCTGTAGTCAATATATACTATACTGTGCCAAGGTACTATATGAAGTCAGGGTTCTCTGGAGTTATAGAACTAATAGGATAGATGTATTTGTGCAGGGAAGTTTATTAGGAGAATTGACTCACATGATCACAAGGTAAAGTCCCACAATAGTTCATCTACAATCTGGGGATCCAAGAAGCCAGTCTGAGTCCTAAAACTCAAAAGAAGGGAATCCAATAGTGTAGCCTTCAGTCTGTGGCCGAAGGCCCAACAGCCCCTGGCAAATCACTGGTATAAGTTTAAGAGTCCAAAAGCTGAAGAACTTGGAGTCTGATGTTCCAGGGCAAGAAAGCACACAGCATGGGAGAAAGATGGAGGCCAGAAGACTTAGCCAGTGTAGTCTTTCACATTCTTATGTCTGCTTTTATTCTAGCCATGCTGGCAGCTGATTAGATTGTGCCCACCCAGATTGAGGGTGGGTCTCCATCTCCCAGTTCACTGACTCAAATGTTAATCTCCTTTGGCGACAGTCTCACAGACATATCCAGGAACAATACTTTGCATCCTTCAATTAAATCAAGTTGACACTAAATATTAACCATCACAAGTCCACCCCTTGTCAACTTGAACCCATACATGTCTCCTGAAATCATACATAATCTTCAAATAAAAATGATAGTAAGGTCATAATTACACCTTACGTAATACAGCTATCTTTCTGACAACCAAAAACACACCAATCCCCAACCCAAATGCTATTTCATAAAGAAAACAGCACTTAAATGCTGACAGGAAGTCAACAAATCTTATGCCCCATGATAAAGAAAAAAGAAAAACAATAAAATGAGGACATTTTCTTAATACGAGTGTATACATGCACAAAAATGTTCTTTACAAAATAAGGAGGAAATACTCATGAAGTTATACTCCTTGTTTCTGCAAATAGTCATGTTGTCATAGCTGGTATTGATGACTACCTTCTTCTAGTACCCATTCTGTATTCCCATTGCCTTCAGCAAGCACCTCAGCCTCAACAGATTGTGGTGTTTTACCTGGTGGAATGACCCAAACCTTCATTCCTGAAGGGTCTGGGCCATTTTTAGTCCTGCCTGGACTGGGCTGTTGTAGTTTCCCATTTACCTTAATCACAGGGCATGGTAATACTAAGAGACGCCTAATGGATCTCCTGTATTCCATGCATACTCTTCCTTATCTCCATTGTGGAGTAGTAGACTAATTTCATCTTAATAGCCCTGGTCAGTCAGCTCAGACAACACTGTAACACCCTTCTTAGCCTTTTGACTTAGAGATAGGAGGAGCCCACAGTGTCCAGATGCCAATCTTAACTTCCAGTTTAATGGAATCATTGTGTCTCCTGGTGGCAGAGTTTCTCCCTCCAAAACTAAGATCCCTAGGCCAGCAGAAAGTAATGCTGTGGGAACAGGTGGCAAAACTTTTGCTAGTGGATCACTAGGAGTGATGGTGAGTGGTGCCACTTCCATTTCCACCCCTTGAGTCCTGGACCCGTGAATCCTGCCTATGGGAGAAACAGTACCATATGTTGGATGCAGATTCAGAGCATACATATACAGCCTTCTGGAGAACTTTGCCTCAACCCTGCAAAGTATTGACAGCTAGTTGGCATTGTAATTATGACTTCAAAAGGCCATTCCACTGTTCCATCAATCCAGCTGCTTCAGGATGGTAAGACCAGTGAATTCTATGATCACAAGCCCACTGCTGCACTTCTTTAGCTGTAAAGTGAGTGACTTGGTCAGAGGCAATGCTATGTGGAATGCCATGATGGAGGATAAGGCATTCCATGAGGCCAGGGATGGTAGTCTTGGCAGTAGCATTGCATGCAGGATAGGCAAACCCATATCCAGAGTAAGTGTCTATTTCAATGAGGACAAACCACTGCCCTTTCCATGATGAAAGAGGTCTAATATAATTAACCTGCCATCAAGGAGCTGGCTGATAACCCTGAGGAATGGTACCATATCGAGGGCTCAGTGCTGGTCTCTGCTGCTGGCAAACTGGGCACTCAGCAGTAGCCATAGCCAGGTCAGCTTTGGGGAGTGGAAGTCCATGTTGCTGAGCCCATGCATCACCTCCATTCCTGCCATCATGGCCAATTTGTTTACATGCCCATTGAGTAATGATAGGAGAGGCTAGGGATAGAGACTGAGTGGTGTCCACAGAATGAGTCATCCTATCCACTTGATTATTAAAATCCTCTTCTGCTGAGGTAGAGTAACTCTTTGGTGAGCTCTCACATGACATACAAATATCTTCAGTTGTTGACCACTGGGAGAGGTCCATCTGCACACCTTCTTCCCAAATTTCTTTGTCACCAATTTTCAATCATGCTTCTTCCAAATCCTTGACCATCCAGCCAAACCATTGGCTACAGCCCATGAATCAGTATATAATGGCACATCTGGCCATTTCCCCTTCCAAGCAAAGTCCACAGCCAGGTGCACTGCTCGAAATTCTCACCACTGGGAAGATTTCCCTTCACTACTGTCCTTCAGGGACGTTTTAAAAAGGGGCTGTTGTGCTGCAGCTGTCCACTTTTGGGTGGTGTCCGCATATCTTGCAGAACCATCTGTAAACTAGGTTCTTGTATACTCTTGCTCTGTCAATTGATCATAGAGAACTCTGTATGAGGCCATTGGTGCAGGCTGGGAGAGAGATGGCAAGGTGGCAGGAATGGAGACTACGGGCATTTGAGCCACTTCCTCATGTAACTTACTTGTGTACTCAGGACCTGCTCTAGCCCTATCACCTATATACCACTTCCATTTGATGGAATTCCATAGAATGCTCCTATGCATGCCCCACTTTAGGCCTAGATGGGTCAGAAAACACCCAGTTCATGATAGGCAGTTCTGGTCACATGGTGACTTGATGATCCATAGTCAAACATTCAGATTGTACCAAAGCCCAGTAGCAGGCCAAGATCCTCTCTTGGATAACTACTCTCTTAAAAGGAGAGTAGTTATCTGCAGAAGTAGTTATCTGCAGAAGACCTTGCTCCAAAATCCTAGAGGTCTCTGCTCTGATTTACCTATGGGGGCCTGACAAAGGCTCCAAATGACATCCCTATCTGTCACTGATACCTCAAACACCATTGGATCTGCTGGGCCATGTGGCCCAAGTGGCAGAGCAGCTTATACAGTAGCCTGGACCTGTTGCAGAGCCTTCTCCTGTTCTGGACCCCACTCAAAACTGTCAACCTTTCAGGTCACTCGATAAATGGGCCAGAGTAACACACACAAATGAGGAATGTTTTGCCTCCAAAATTCACATAGGCTGACTAGGCATTGTGCCTCTTTCTTGGTTGTAGGAGGGGCCAAATGCAGCACCTTACCCTTCATCTTAGAAGGAATATCTCAACAGGCCCCACACCACTGGACCCCTAGAAATTTTACTGAGATAGAAGTTCCCTGAATTTTAGTTGGATTTATTTCCCATCCTTCTGTACACAAATGTCTCACCAACAAGTCCAATGTGTTTGCTACTTCTTGCTCACTGGATCCAATCAGCATAATGTCATCAATGTAATGGACCAGTGTGATGTCTTGTGGAAGGGAAGAGCCATCAGGATCTCTCCAAACAAGATTATAACACAGAACCGGACAGTTGATATACCACTGATGTAGGACAGTAAAGGTTTATTGCTGGCCTTGCCAGCTGCAGGCAAATTGCTTCTGGTCAGCCTTATGGACAGGAATGCAGAAAAAGGCATTTGCCAAATCAATGGCTGCATACCAGGGACCATGAGATGTATTAATTTGTTCAAGCAATGAAACCACATCTGGTACAGCAGTTGCAAATGGAGTCACTCCTTGGTTAAGCTTACAATAATCCACTGTCATTCTCCAAGATGCATTCATCTTCTGCACAGGCCAAATAGGAGAGTTGAGCTGGGCTTTGTTGGGAATCACCATCCTTGCATCTTTCAAGTCCTTGATGGTGGCATTAATCTCTGTAATCCCTCCAGGGATGCAATATTGTTTTTGATGTACCATTTTTCTAGGTAGAGGAAACTCTAATGACTTCCATTTGTCCTTTCCCACCATAATAGCTCTCACTTTAACAGTAAACACCTGGCAAGGCCGTGCATGCACCTTTTGTTGCAGGTCAGCCACTTGCATGATAAGAGCTTGTGTCTGATTTTCCACAACTTTAGCTCTTTCTCTACAGGAGATAAGTTATTTCTCCTATTCAGAGAAATCTGAGAAGATTTGAAGCTCACTATATGCCTCTGGATCCAGGAAAGAAAATCCCCGAGATTATCATTTTCTTTCATCACTTTGTCCAGTTAACTTAGGAGCAACCAACCAACTTCATTATATTCATTGGTTCTCCACATATGGTCAAATGTATTATGTATAGAGTTACTAAACTCCTTGCCCCTCATGAGGGGTGAATCAGGAGCATCAAATAAACTTATTTTGCATAACTCTCTAAACAATTCATGCCAAGGACTATCAGTGTTCTGCATACTATTAGAAAGAGACTCCTTAGAATTTTGAGGTCTAATCACATTAAGCAGCAGTATTAGTCTGTTCTCAAACTGCTAATAAAGACAGACCTAAGACTGAGTAATTTATAAAGTAAAGAGGTTTACTTGACTCACAGTTCCACATGGCTGGGAAGTTCTCACAATCATGGTGGAAGGTGAATGAGAAGCAAAGTCATGTCTAGCATGTCAGCAGGCAACAGAGAATGAGAGCCAAGTGAAAGAGGAAACCCCTTATAAAATCATCAGATCTCATGAGACTTATTTACTACCAGGAGAACAGTATGAGAAAAATTGCCCCCATGATTCAATTATCTCCCACTGGGTCTCTCCCACAACATGTAGGAATAATGGGAGCTACAACTCAAGTTAAGATTTGGGTGGCGATCCAGCCAAACCATATCAGCAGCCAACTCCAGAAACCCTGAAACCAACTAAATAAATCCATCCTTAAGATTCTGTGGCTCTAGAACCACTCCTGGTACAAAAATCTGTATTAGAGTTCTCTAGAGGGACAGAACTAATATGATAGATATATATATGAAGGTGAGTTTATTAGGAGTATTGACTCACATGATCACAAGGTGAAGTCTCACAATAGGTTGTCTACAAGCTGAGGGGCCAGGAAGCCAATCTGAGTCCCCAAATCTCAAAAGTAGGGAAGTCAATAGTGCAGCCCTCGGTCTGTGGCTAAAGGCCCGAGTGCCCCTGGCAAATCGCTGGTGTAAGTTTAAGAATCCAAAAGCTGAAGAACTTGGAGTTTGTTGTTTCAGGGCAAGAAGCATCCAGCATGGGAGAAAGATGGAGGCCACAAGACTTAGCCAGTGTGGACTTTCCAGGTTCTTCTGCCTGCTTTTATTCTAGCCATTCTGGCAGCTGATTAGATTGTGCCCACCCTGATTGAGGGTGGGTCTGCACCTCCCAGTTCACTGACTCAAATGTTAATCTCCTTTGGTGACACTCTCACAGACACACCCAGTAACAATGCTTTGCATCCTTTAATTCAATCAAGTTGACACTTAATATTAACCATCAAATCAGGAAGAACAGCGTTTACTCAAATTCAGTTATAAAGATCTGGCATGTATCATTTGGGAGGTGTATCACATTAGTATTCAATAAGAACATAGAAAACAGAGGCAATTTAATAGCAGGAATTAGCTACTAAGATGTTAGAAGGTTGAAAAAGCCAAATCAAGGAAGGAAAAATTAGGAACAGCAGGATGACGCTACTCCATAAAGCTGAGGAAGAATGAGGGACAAGTTCACTACCCATAGCCCATGATTATTGTACTTCCGGAGCTAAGTTGCCTGAGAGGAAATGGCACTTGCCTGTGTTGCTTTTTCTGCTTCTCTAGTAGCCACTGCTAGAAGCACTGCCAGAGCTGAAAAAAAAAAGGCCTTGTCTTTCTTCCTAACTTTCAATCTTCTTTAGTGCTTCCCATTGACAATAGGTGACTAACAGGCAGCCTTCGGGCAAGGGAGTCCAGGGAATGTATTCAAAGGCTTCCCGTGCCAGGAAAAGAGAAGGGTTGGTTGAGAGATACCAGTCACACTGAGCAAAGGAGGAATGACTGTAATATAGTTGAGATTTTATACAGTCAATAAGGTAAGTAAATTTTACTAAAAAACTATTACGAACAACACTTACAAATTATAAACAAGGTATTGTGCTACATGTTTGGGAAACTCAAAATGTATAAGAAATTAATACAAACCTTGGCTATTATGGAGGCTACTATAGTGAGAACACACACATACATAACTTAAAATATTCAAAGCAGGTGGTGATAAATATCCTAATAAGAATATAAACCAAGTAGTAACCAAGGACAACAAAAAAGGACATTAACTTTATCCAGATGTTTCCCCAGTTAATGTTAATGACTTTCTTCTTTGTCCTTAGTTACTGCTTTGTTTATATTCTTATTAAGATATTTTCAACCCCTTTGTGCTTCACTTTACTCCTTTATAAAATAAGAATAATAGTGAAAATAATAGCACCGTCTTCAACAGATTATGAGAGTATGATGGAGCCATCCATCAAAAGCTGAAAGTAAAATATTACAACAATCCTCAGACAAAATAAGGGCTTGTAAATGTTTATTAGTTTCTTATAAATGTCTTGATTGTTAATTAAAAAGCAAAACAAAATGAAGAGAAGGAGTTGGGTACTTTCCAGTGATCTGTGTCCTTTTAACATAACCTATGGACAGATGCTTTGATTACTAGACACAAGTATTCTATGTTCTTTGCAAGTATATCTTAGTAGTGAAAAATAAATTTTACAAATCACAAGTTGAAACTTGACATCTAATAAATAATTTACAAAAATCTTAAGTATATTAAAAATTTAACTCTGACTGCTTTCAAGTGCATTTAATATTGCAGTTAACACATATTTGGTTAAAGATTGAATAAAATCACTAATCAGTTGTTCTTTTGTCTATTAAGAACTTACGGAATTTTAGGTACAATGCAGTCTTTAAGGGATTTTTTCAAAGTTTATGAACCATGGAGAATACTAGACAGGAAGTGGCATGTTCTGACTTAATTTTTAATATAGTTAATAATAAAGGGAAAGGAAATTTATGGAGATTATTGTAAAACTACTACAATTATTCAGGTCAGAGATGAAGTCAGGTGAAAAGTCGTTGAGTTTTGTGTTTTAAAGGCAGAGCAGACAGAATTTGCTAATGGATTGGGTGTGAGTTTGAAGGAAAGTGGAATTCAAAGATTACCCTCGAGGTTTTTAGCCTGAGCAATTAGAAGATGGGGGCACCAGATTTTAAAAGGAGAACATGGTGTCTCCATCTTCTAAGGAACTAGGAACGAGTAAGTTGAACTGGCAAGGAGCAACCTGCTCTCGCCATGAGTCTCTGGAATCCTAGCAAGAGGAGACACTTCAACCACCATGGACACACGAGTTGGCAGGGAGAGCTGCTTAGAAGTGTGGTAAGGGCAGCAAGGCAGCTAAAGTAGAGCCCAGGGGGTTTGGTGCAGGAGTGTCTATAGTGGATCACCAGGGAAGCCCATCTCCCTAGGCTCGACTTGGTCCCACAAGAGACTTTAGCCCTGGGGGAACTGTCAGACTTGAACTCTGCAGTCCAGTCTTGCCCATTAGATGGGGTCAGTTTGTCCTGAGCACCCCTGGTCTGCTGGCTTCTCTTGGGGCTCCAGCCTCAGTCTACCTGCTTGCAGGGCAGCCTTGAGTGCCCTGGGGGCCCACATCATAACTTCTGCAGGGGCAGACCATGGCTGACTAGCAGAGAGCTCTGGCAGGGTGGCCCCTATGGCCATACATCAGCCTGCTCCCTCTCTACACTGCAGCTTCCCTGAGGCCCACAGCAAAACCCCACATCGTTTTGCCTGCACATTTGTGTACTGGTGGGTTTTGCCTTCCTTGTCCTGCCAGTGCACATGTATGCATCCACCCTGCCCTGTCACAGCTGCAGTGGCAGTGCACTCTGCCCCCCTCCCCCTGCCAGACTACCATCGCAGTGGCATCCTTGGCAGACACAGAGCCTGCCAGCCCCACCCCTACCAGTGTCCCACCCTTACACCAACACTGCTGTGTGAGTGAAACTAGGCACAGAGAACAGCAGGCCCTCCCCCTCCCTGAGCAATTATCCCTGCCTACAGCCACAGAGAATGCACACAGACCTGTGCCTGCCAGCACTCTCTCCTGTGCTACCACCACCACCCTCACAATCACATGCAAAGTCAGCAGCAAGGCTACCCCCTCCCCTCAAAGCCATGCTGTCTCTGCCACTGTGGTGAATGGCCACATGGAGGCAGGCACACTGGCACCTACTAGCTACCTGTTGCACCTGATAGGCATGTACTTTGGCACACTGCTGCTGCCACTGCTGGTGACGTGTGTGAACAAGGACAATCCCGCTGCCACCACATTACAAAATACTTTGGCCAACACCACCCATGGAAGTGTAGGGACCTGTGGTTTGGGAGCACCTCAGCCCCTGAAGACAATAGAGTCCTAACCTCGAAGAGCCAGAGAACAAAGTTGGGGCCCAATACAAGTCCCCTAGAGTTAGAGCACACAGTCCAGGAATTGGGAGCTGAGCATTGGCCCCTTAAAATCTTTCAGAAACAAACTCAGTAGGCTGAATCCACCTTATATCACAAACCCTCAAGGTCATCAAATAGGATAAAATTTAAAAAAAAAATTCATCCAAAGGTCAGCAACTTTAAAGATTAAAGAAACATCAGCCCACAAAATGAGGGAAAAAAAACAATGCAAGAACTCTCACAACTCAAAAAGCCAGAGTGCCTTCTTTCCTACAAATAACTGTACTGCCTCTCCAGCAAGTGTTCTGAACCAGGGTGAGATGCCTGAAATGACAGAAATAGAATTCAGAATATAGATAGGAGTGAAGATCATTGAGATGCAGGAGTACTTTGAAACCCAATCTAAGGAGGCTAAGTATCACAATAAGAAGAGACAGAAGCTGACAGACAAAATAGCCAGTATAGAAAAGAACATGTCTGACCTGATAGAGCTGAAAAACACACTACAATAATTTCATAATGCAATCACAAGTATTAATAGCAGAATAGATCAAGCTGAGGAAAGAATCTCAGAGCCTGATATGGTTTGGCTGTGTCCTCCCACATGTTGTGGGAGGGACCCAGTGAGAGGTAATTGAATCATGGGGGCAAGTCTTTCACATTCTGTTCCCGTGATAGTGAATACATCTCATGAGATCTGATGGTTTTTTAAAAAGGAGTTCCCTTGCACAGATTCTCTCCCTTTGCCTGCTTCCATCAACTTAAGATGTGACTTGCTCCTCCTTGCCTTCCACCATGATTGCGAGGCCTCCCCAGCTATATGGAACTTTAAGTCCATTAAACCTCTTTCTTTTGTAAATTGCCCAGTCTCGAGTATGTCTTTAACAGTAGTGTGAAAACAGAGTAATACAGTAAACTGGTACCAGTAGAGTGGGGTGCTGCTGAAAACATACCTGAAAATGTGGAAGTAACTTCAGAAGTGGGTTACAGGCAGAGGTTGGAACAGTTTGTAGGGTGCAGAAGAAGACAGGACAATGTAGGAAAGTTTGGAATTCCCTAGAGGCTTCTTGAATGGTTTTGACCAAAATGCTGATAATGATATGGACAATAAAATCCAGGCTGAGGTGGCCTCAGATGGAATTGAGGAAATTGTTGGGAACTGGAGCAAAGGTGACTCTTGTTATATTTTAGCAAAGAGACTGGTGGCACTTTGCTCTTGCCCTAGAGATTTGTGAAACTTTGTACTTGGGAGGGATGATTTGGGGTATCTGACAGAATAAATTTCTAAGCAGCAAATAACTCAAGAGGTGACTTGGGTGGTGTGAAAGGCATTCAGTTTTATAAGGGAAGCAGAGCATAAAAGTTCAGACAATTTGCAGCCTAACAGTGCAACAGAAAAGAAAATCCCTTTTTCTGAGGAGAAATTCAAGCCAGCTGCAGAAATCTGCATGAATAATGAGGAGCTGAATGTTAATCCTGAAGACAATGTGGAAAATGTCTCCAGGGCATGTTAGAGGTCTTCTTGGCAGGCCCTCTCATCACAGGCCTGGAGGTCTACAAGGAAAAAATGGTTTCATGGGTAGGCCCAGGGTCCACATGCTGTGTGCCACCTAGGGACTTGGTGCCCTGCATCTCAGCCACTCCAGCTGTGGCTGAAAGGGACCAATGTAGAGCTCAGGCCATGGCTTCAGAGGGTGCAAGCCCCAAGTCTTGGCAGCTTCCACATGGTGTTGAGCCTGCAAGTGCACAGAAGTCAGGAATTGGGGTTTGGGAACCTCCACATAGATTTCAGAAGATGTAAGAAAATGCCTGGATGCCCAGGCGGAAGTTTGCTACACAGGCAGGGCCCTCATGGAGAATCTCTGCTAGGGCAGTGCAGAAGGGAAATGTAGGGTCAGAGCCCCAACACAGAGTCCCTACTGGGGACTTCTCACCACCTAGTGGAGCTGTGAGAAGAAGGCCACAATCCTCCAGACCCCAGAATGGCAGATCCACTGACAGCTTGCATCATACACCTGGAAAAGCCGCAGTTACTCAATACCAGTTGGTGAAAGTAGCTGGGAGGAGGCTGTACCCTACAAAGCTGCAGGGGCGGAGCTGTCTCTTGCATCAGCCCACCTTTTGCATCAGCATGACCTGGATGAGAGACATGGAGTCAAAGGATATCATTTTGGAGCTAAGATTTGACTGCCCACTGGATATTGGACTTGCATGGGGCCTGTAGCCCCTTTGTTTTGGCCAATTTCTCCCATTAGGAACGGCTGTATTTTCCCAATGCCTGTACCCCGATTGTATCTAGGAAGTAACTAACTTGCTTTTAATTTTACAGGCTCATAGGTGGAGGGGACTTGCCTTGTCTCAGATGAGACTTTGGACTATGGACTTTTCAGTTAATGATGAAATGAGTTAAGACTTTAGGGGACTGTTGGGAAGGCATGATTTGTTTTGAAATGTGAGAACATGAGATTTGGGAGACGCCAGGAGTGGAATGATATGATTTGGCTGTGTCCTCACCCAAATATCATCTTGAATTCTCACACATTGTGTGAGGGACACAGTGGGAGGTAATTGAATCATGGGAGCAAGTCTTTCCCATGCTGTTCTCATGATAGGGAATGTCTCATGGGATCTGATGGTTTTTATAAAGAGGAGTTCCCCTTCACAAATTATCTCTCTTTGCCTGATGTCATCCATGTAAGAAGTGACTTGCCTTCTGCCATGATTTTGAGGCCTATCCATCCATATGGAACTGTAAGTCCATTAAAGCTCTTTCTTTTATAAATTCCCAAATCCTGGGTATGTCTTTATCACCAGCAAGAAAATGGACTACTACAGATCCTGAAGAAAGGCTTTCTGAAATAAGAAATTCAGACAAGAAAAGAGAAAAAAGAATGAAAAAAAGTGAAGAAAAGCTCCAGAAAATATGAGATTATGTAAAAAGACCAAATCGTTGACTCATTGGTGTCCCTGAAAGAGATGAAGAGAGTATAGCAACTTGGAAAACATATTTCAGGATATTATCTATGAGAACTTACCCAACCTAGCTAGAGAGACCAACATTCAAATTCAGGAAACACAGATAACCCCATGAAGATACTCCACAAGAAGATCATCCCCAAGACACATAATCATAAGATTCTCCAAGTTCAAAATGAAAGAAATAATGTTAAAGGCAGCTAGAAAGTTCAAGTCACTTACAAAGAAAGGGTCATCAGACAAATAGCAGAAACCTTACAAGCCAGAAGAGATTGGGAGTCAACATTCAACATTCTTAAATAAAAGAAATTCCAACCAAGAATTTCATATACAGACAACCTAAGATTCATAAGCAAAGCAGAAATAAGATTATTTTCAGACAAGCAAATGCTGAGTGGATTCATTACCACCAGACCCACCTTACAAGAGTTTCTGAAGGAAGCTCTAAATATGGAAAGGAAAGACCATTACCAGCCACTACATAAACGCATTTAAGTACCCAAAGCAGTGATACTATAAAGCAACCACACAAACCAGTCTGCGTAATATCCAGCTAACATCATGATGACAGGATCAAATTCACAAATACCAATACTAACTTTGAATGCAAATGGGCTAAATGCCTCAATTAAAAGGCACACTGTGGAAAGCTGGATAAAGAACCAAGACATACTGGCATGCTGTCTTCAAGAGACCCATCTCACGTGCAATGACACCCATAGGGTCAAAATAAAGGGATGGAGAAAAATCTAACAAGCAAATGGAAAATAGGAAAAACAGAGATTGTATACCTAATTTCAGACAAAACAGACTTTAAACCAACAATGACTACAAAAGATAAAGGCATTACATAATAGTGAAGAAGCATTCAGTTCAACAAAAATACTTAACTATCCTAAATATATATTATGCACCCAACACAGTATATGAAAAAGAGCTCAACAGCACTGATCATTAGAGAAATATAAGTCAAAACCATAATAAGACACCATCTCACAACAGTCAGAATGACTATTACTAAAAAGTCAAAAAATAATAGGTGCTAGCAAGGTTGCAGAGAAAAAGTAATGCTTACACATTGTTGGTAGAAGTGTAAATTGGTTTAACCATTGTGGAAAACAATGTGGTGATTCCTCACAAACCAAAAAACAGAGCTATTTTATGACCCAGCTGTCCCATTGCTGGTTATATACCCAGAGGAATATAAATTATTCTATCATAAAGACCCATACATGCAAATGTTCATTGCAGCATGATTCACAATGGCAAAGACATGGAATCAACATAAATGCCCATAAGCAGTAAACTGGATAAGGAATACATATATACCACAGCATCCTATGTAGTCATGAAAAGGAATGAGACCATGTCCTTTTCAGGGACATGGATGCAGCTGGAGAACATTAGTCTTAGCAAACTAATGCAGGAAGAGAAAACCCAATACCACATGTTCTCACTTATAAGTGGGCACTAATTGACGAAAACATATGGACACTTAGAGGAGAACAACAGACACTGGGGGCTACTGGAGAGTGGAGGGTGAGAGGAGGGAGAGGATCCGGAAAAATAACTAATGGGTAGTAGGCTTAATCCCTGGGTGATGAAATAATCTGTAAAACAAACCCCCATGACATGAGTTTTCCTATATAACAAACCTGTACATTTACCCATGAATTTAAATGTTAAAAAACTATATTTATTTGTTCAGTCATATTATTAATTAAATTAAATATGTGTTTTTAAAATCTTCTTCTCTGGAAAACTTGGCTATAGGTGGGAAAAAGAATCACTTAAATTACACAAGAATAGTATTTGTAACCTCAAACAATGCTAAAACATAATTTACTTTTAATGTAAATATTATTTATTATTGCCATTCAGTCAATGTAATTGGTGCATGGAAACATGAGACATGGAGAAAAAAAAAATATATATATATATATATATATTTCATATATAATTAATTATAACATATAAGACCTAAGTGTATTTGTGTGGACAACATTTTATAACATTCCAGTTGGCACTGGTGTTAAGTTTCTTAACTGAGAAACCAATACAGAAAGGTAAGGATGTTTTATAGGGTTCCACCCAAAGCTACTACTGATTAATTTCAAAAGATTTCCTTTGCAGATTTTCCACTGCCTTAACAGTAGCTGTGAAGCACTTGGGATGAGACACCATTTCCTTTATTTACAGGAAGTGTTGCTAAGTTGGGGCTTCTATACTTACCATGACATTTTATTTCAGAAAGATAAAGAAAAATAAGCAAGGATTTTGGCAGATGATTTCTCTGTGATTATAAAACAGGATTACCTGAAAAGTAGTGTCCTAAGGAAATAGCATTAGTGGAAACATAGTACTTATAAGGTAATCATTGTTTCTAGACATTTTGGACAATTTTTTAAATATAGAAATATCTCATTTTATTTCAAATGCTATTATTTTAATAAATTGTAGCATAAAATATGATATTAAAATATTAAATTATGGCTTTTTATGAGTAAGACACTGGCTCATTCAGCCAACTGACAACTTTTGATTTCAGATACCTCTGAGAAAGGCCAGGAGAGGTCACTGAGAGAGCAGCATTGACATAGCAACGAAGTTAGATTTCTTCCCATTGGAATTCTTCTCTACTTGTTATAAAAACACATAGAAAGATTTCATTGCTTAAGGAAGAAACTCTATATAGAATTTGTAATCTCCAAGGCTAATTCTCTCGCTTTTTTTTTTTTTTTTTGTCTTGCACGTGTTTAGCACCACATGCCAATACTACTTAGCTCACATTTTCCTGACCAAGAAGCCACTTGGGTTTAATTTTGGGCTTTCCAAAGAATCATTAGCAACAAAAAATAAATTGAGAAAATGACAGACTTTTTTTCATGAAGCATTAATGAAATTGGAGATTATGTTTTCAATAAATATTCAACTCACATTTTATTTTTATTGTAACATGAAATAACACTTCATATTCACCATAGTTATTAACATGTATACACAAATGCTAAGAGGAGATAGTTGTGTTACTTAGGTAGACACTTCAATGCGTTTATAATTTAAACTCTAGATTAAAGGTTTATCCTACATAGTGGAAAACTTAGATCTGCAAAAAGATTATACTAGATTTTCTTGGACACAACTGAGTTATTATAGTAAGCATACGTACTTTAAAAATGGATATAAAATGTATGAAGGCAAAACAAATTACTTAGTGGAGAGATCATCAAATAAGCTCAAGAACAGATTTTTAACCTCTCTTACAATATGTCATCACACAAAGAGGGTAAAATAATTTAAATCACAAAAGCATTAAGACTGATGAATATTGAAGTATCACTAAACTATCAAAATTGCCAGTTTGCAGAGATATCACATACAACGATGAACACAGAAAATTAATGACATAGGGACACATAAAAATTATTTTAGATTTTTTTCTTAGAAAAATACATGTGAAAAAGCTAACTGAAAATTTCTAGAAAGACAAGAACAACTAAAAACATTGGATGGAGTGGAAAGAAGGAAGAGTAAATTAAAGAAGAAAGAATTACAGGAAGAGAAAGTTACAGCAAGAACGAGGAATAAAAAGAGAGAAAATGAGGGGAAAGACTGACTCTACTCTGTGCAAGATGGAGAGTTTCAAATTAAAAATTCAGGCAAGAACCAAAATTTAAAGGAAAAGGAAGGAGAAACTATAAGTCATTTTAATGAGTTAGACTTGTATATTTGGGCTTTGCCCTTCTGAGAGCAATTGATCTCTTGTTGCTTCATTGATTCATACTGTTTATAATAATAAAAATGGTGTGGAGAGCTAACATATGTAAGAATTTGCTAAGTTTCAGGAATTATGC
Organism: Homo sapiens; assembly: GCF_000001405.40. Lineage (NCBI taxonomy): Eukaryota > Metazoa > Chordata > Mammalia > Primates > Hominidae > Homo > Homo sapiens. Next base: position 187,215,682 of record NC_000002.12, read on the forward strand.
TAAGCACTTTACATGCATTGTCTCTTAGAACACTTAGAGTAACTCTGTAATAGTTTACAGATGAGTATGTCAATGTTCAGGGCAATTAGGAAACTTGTTCTTGGCCACATGGTTAGTAAGAGTTTGTAAAGACAGAAGTTGCATGCCTAATTTCTAATTCCAAATCCTGAGCCATTGAATTTGCTCTGCTGTCTCCCCAAGGCTCTTCCACAGAGAAGGTCAATTCTAAAAGGAATAATAAATGTAACCCACTAGGTACTTTTTTTTTTCTTTTGGGATACTGCAGCACTCACGCTGCTAGCTTTGGCTTATAACAGAATTACAATTTGGAGCCAAACATTTCCATACCTCTTCAAAAGTATCCCTGAGGTTTATACCACAAAGAATGTTTGTGGGCAGAGTGGGAGGAGGGACAAAGAGGCACTCAACTTTGCAAAATGAAAGAAGGAAAAAAAAAAGAGAGAGAGGGAAAAGAAAGAGAAAAGGACAAAAAGAGAAAGAAGAAAGCAAGGCAGAGAAGCAAAAGTCTGAAAAAATTAGAGACATTAGACATTGTTAGAATATCAATTAGACACATTCTCTCACAAGAATAAGGGGCTTATATAACTGAAGTTTGAAACCAGAAGTGTGTGGTGATGGGATATGAAGAATGTTTGTGCAATAAAGCTAATATGTAACACATATATGAAGTAGACGCTCTTCTAACCTTTACAAATGTTACTCAGTTTAAAGCAAACCAACTTATATTCTCAGTCCTATTTTTATCCCACAGCTAAAAGTGGTAAAGGTGGGATGTGAAATGAGTGGGTTGTCTGCAGAGTCCATGGTCTAAAAGATCTCCATAAAATGTAAAACTACAATATTAGTAATATGGTTAAATCTCTTTACTTTTCTCACTGAACCATAGTAGCTTTGGGCTAGAACAATTCTTAAATATTAATGTCTAGACAAATCACTCACAGGCCTTGTTATAACCCGGATTCTAATTAGCAGGTTTGGGTTGGGATATGGGGCTCTGGATGTCTAATAACTTCCTAGGTGATATTGATGCTGTTGATCTACAGAACAACACTGTAAACAGCAAAAGTTTAATTTCCAGAAGGGAATGGGGTTGGGGACATTGTGAAATGACAAGGAGGATAGTAAAGAACCTGGGACATTATGATTATGTGTATGTGTTGGTTTTTGTCCACGATTCTTGCTTATAACTCTTATGGCCCTTGTTACAGTCTTTTGTTATAATGTTGAGTATATTATGTCTTGGGAGTAGGCCTCAGGAAACAGAATTTCTCTCTCTCTCTCTCTGCCCTTTCCTATTGTCCTTTCATTTGCCCATGACAGGACTCTAATCTGATTCTGGGTCAAAAGACCCTCCAGAAAGGGTCCTGCTCCATATCTTAGAGGAAGAAATGCTACATAGAGGCCAAGAAAAATCTGAATAGACAGGCCTTGCTAGGCTTAGATCATGTGCTTTTGTCCAATTATATTTCCACACAGATATCAATCATGCCTAGGTAATGAAGCCTCCATAAAAAACAACAACAACAACAACAACAACAACAACAACAACAAAACAGGGTTCAGAGAGATTCTGGATAGCTGACCACGCTGAGGTTCCTGAAGGGTGGTGCATCCAGGAAGGGCAGGGACGCTTCATGCCTTTTCTCCCATACTTTGCCCCATATCTCTTCATCTTTATCCTGTGTAATATCCTTTATAATAAACCTATAAACATTAGTAACTGTTTCCCTGAGTTCTGTGTGCTGCCCCAGCCAGTTATTCAAGCCTAAAGTAGGGATCAATTGGATCTCAATTTGAAGAGTTCATCAGAAGTTCCAGAAGCCCAGACTTGTGAATGGTATCTGCGTGGGGGCAGTCTTGGGGACTGAGCCCCCAACCTTTGGGATCTCCAAATAGATAGTGTCAGAATTGAACTGAAGGACACCCAGAGGGTGTCTGTTGCTTGGTTTGTGAAGAAAGACCCCCACACGTTTTGTCACAGACGTCTTCTTCTGTGTTGACTGTTATTTTGGTTGTAGTGTGAAAGCAGTGGAAAAACATGATTTTAGAGAGTTTTTCCTCAAACAGAATGGTTCAAGAACCAAAGTGGAGTTTAAACATATGATTGATAATGAATAGGCCTTTAGAAATGAAGTAGTCTTAGGGGTCATCACACTGAATGAATTTACTTCAAAGGACAGCATCCTTGAAGAGCTTGTGGCTTGGTTCCACAGCAAGTCAAGGATGAAAACTTGTGGCTCCTTTTCCTGTACTTTTGCTGTGTTCATGCTGCCACAGCAATTCTGAAGATGGTATCTGCTTTCATGGTCTAGCTCAGTCACGAAGGAGGATTAATCACGCCTATTTTTCAAAAGGAATTTGAGAACATTGTATTGTAATCTTAATTAAAACATATCCCTGGCTTGAAGAAATGTGGATGTTACAAATTAAAGGAAAAGGCTTTGTATTAGCCGGTGTTTTCCAAGAAACAAAAATGATAGGATGTGTATATGTTTACATACACACACACACACACACACACACACACACACACACACACACACACACACACACAGAGAGAGAGAGAGAGAGTGATTATAAGGAACTGGTTCATGAAATTACGTAAGCTAAATCTCAAGATCTGAAGTTGGCAAGCTAGATACCCAGGAGAGCTGATGGGTACTCGAGGAGAACCAATGGTGTAGGTTCCAGTCTGAAAGCCAACAGGCTCCACACTGAAGAAAAGCTGATGTTGTATCATAGAGTCTGAAGGACAGAAACAAACAAACAAAATGTCCCAGCTCCAGTCTAGCAGGAAGAGTTCCTTCTTATTTGCTGGAGGGTCAGTATTTTTGTTCTATGCCAGACTTCAATTGATTAAATGAGGCTCACCCACATTAGTAAAGGCAATCTGCTTTATTCAGTCCACATATTCAAAGGTGATTCTCATTCAAAAACACCCTCACAGACACACTGAAAATAATATTTGACCAAATATCTGGGCACACATGGCCCAGTCAAGTTGACACATAAAATTATCCATCACAGGCCTTGAAAACTTGACTTAATTTATGAAAAGCAGTTTATAAAGAACTATGTTAGTTTTGAAGTCACACTTAGGTTTTCAATGAATCAAGGTTGCAGATGTCCTGACACATTATACCTGGTCTAATTTCAAAACTTTGATCAGCATTGGGAACACTATTATTCTTCACATGCCCAAGAGATGGTTCTGTGCATTAATTTACTAGTACATGAGTACTAGGTTTATTATTATTATTTTTTAGTTGCCTCCTTTTGTAGTGAAAAATTAATATAGCAATTTTACTTTGGCAATACAAAAGAAGTTGATAAACTGGAAACTATTATTCAAAAGCCAGTAGCTATATAGCATAGTAATAACAACAGAAACACTGAGACAGAAGATGCTGAGTGCAAATATTGGTTCTGCTACCTCTAAACTTGTTCACTTTGATAGAGTTACTTAACTTCCCCAAATTGCAGTTTTTGCCTCTAAAAATATGAAAAGAAATAAGACCTTCCCATTGTTGTGATGAGTAAATAAAATAATACATAAGAAGTTTCCAAACCTAATACATAGTCACATAGGAATATATTGATACAGGCTAACTAATATTGCTACCATTAATTCTAATTATTTTTCTAAATAAATTGCTATTTACATTATATTTAACATGTATGGAATGTGCTGCTTTTAATACATATCCCACATTAGAACAAAGTCCATGTCCTAAGTCCTCAAAGAATGTGGACCAGAAGAAAACACATTTTGTTGTTGTTTCGGTTGTAAAATTTTTTTGAATAAATTTCTGTTTTATGATACTTTAAATGGGTATTTTATCACCATATCTTTAATAAAATCTATTGTTAGCATGTATATGGCAGTTTAATACAATTGTATTTCTTGTGTGTAAATACTTTTATGGCTTATTTTTGCCATCAGTGATTTAATTCTGATCACTTCACTTCTGAGGGGAAATTCAAAATGAATAAGAATATGTGATTTAGGGTCATTTTGTGTTTGACATTATTTAACTATGACTATTCTTGCTAAAGAATTCTGGGAATAAAGAATTTCACTTTGTGGAAAAGAGTGAAAAGAATGATTATCATGTTTGTCTCTTTATAAAATATCTTGCAGATAATAGTTAAAATTTCCAACTAATAACATAATAAGTTTCTGTTCTTCTATTACACTTATCAGTTAAAAAAGAATTTCTAAATATATTTACCAGCAAGAACGATTCACTTTGTCATCTTAATGATTTTCTAATGAAGTGTTCAGGTTTTGTCAAAATTCCCTTGGGCTCTAGGAACATGTGACAGTAACTATTTTTCTATCAATTACTTACTAGTATAAAGGAAGTTCTTATAATGCACAAAATTGTGTTATTTCTTTAACTACTCACTTGGCATTTAATAAAAAAACTGCTACTAATTCTTCAGGTAGAGAACTGAGTAAAATATACATCCAAAAGCAGTTATATAGTATTAACTAAAAAATGAACTTTGAACTAGGGGTTTCATATTTCAGTCCTCTTATGCAAATCACTTACTATTTTATCTTTTAAAAAACTTTATTGCATGCCTAAGGTTCCCCAGTCTTATAGAGATAAGCTAATTATTAGCAGCATAAAATCACAAAGATGGGGAGAAACCAGAGCAGAAAAGCTGAAAATTCTAAAAATCAGAGTGCCTCTTCTCCTCCAAAGGGTCACAGCTCCTAGCCAGCAATGGAACAATGCTGGACGGAGAATGACTGAGGAGTTGACAGAAGTAGGCTTCAGAAGATCAGTAATAACAAACTGATTCAGAATGTAAATCGACCCTCCCTACCTACACCAAATCTTTGGTTTAAAAAGAAAAAAAAAATGAAGAATAAATCTATAATGACATTGGAAAAAAATCTCTTAGCCACAAATGTTGAAAAGAATTAAAGATAGTCCTGGTGGTGACAAAAATCTCTCAGCATTTGCTTGTCTGTAAAGGATTCTATTTCTCCTTCACTTATGAAACTTAGTTTGACTGGATATGAAATTCTGGGTTGAAAATTTTTTTCTTTAAGAATGTTGAATATTGGCCCCCAATCTCTTCAGGCTTGTAGAGTTTCTGCTGAGAGATCCGCTGTTAGTCTGATGGGTTTCCCTTTGTGGGTAACCCGACCTTTCTCTCTGGCTGCCCTTAACATTTTTTCCTTCATTTCAACCTTGGTAAATCTGACAATTATGCGTCTTGTGGTTTCTCTTCTTGAGGAGTATCTTTGTTTTTGTTCTCTGTATTTCCTGAATTTGAACGTTCACCTGTCTTGCTAGGTTGGGGAAGTTCTCCTGGATAATATCCTGAAGAGTGTTTTCATTTAACAGCATGAACAAAAGAAGATATTAAACTATCACATCTATAAAATAAGAATCATTGGAGAGAGATCAGTCATATATTTTAAAAATAAAAAAATCCCGGCTGGGCACAGTGGCTCACACCTGTAATCCTGGCACTTTGGGAGGCCGAGGCAGGCGTATAACTTGAGGTCAGGAGTTCAAGACCAGCCTGGACAACATGGTGAAACCCCATCTCTACTAAAAATACAAAAATTAGCCAGGCGTGGTGGTGGGCACCTGTAATCCCAGCTACTTGGAAGGCTGAGGCAGGAGAATCACTTGAACCTGGGAGGTGGAGGTTGCAGTGACCCAGCGTCATGCCACTGCACTCCAGAGCAAGACTACGTTTCAAAAAAAAAATCATTAAAATTAAGGTTTGAAAGAAGGGCTAAAATAAGTACAGTTAAATAAATACAGTTAGTAAATATTAATTGAAAACCTAAACTGCAGTCATCTGTCAGAATAAATTAAAAAGAGGGAAAAAATGAAGTTGAAAGTGTGACATAAAAGTTCAGAGACATAGAAGACACTTCAAAAAGTTTCAGTGTATACCTCAGAGGAATTTCTGAAGTATGAAACTGAAAAATGGTAGAGAGGAAAAAATTAAATGAATAATACAGTTTTCCAGAACTGAAAAAAAAATGAAAAGACATTAGCTAGGAGTGGGCAGTATGGTGTGGAATGAGGGTTGAGGGAGGAAACAGTATCCTGAGTCGAGTGAGTAAACCAAAGGGCCACACCTAACAAAGCTAAGCATTACTAACGGTTTTCAGAAAAAATGAAACAGGTTTCCTGCAAAAAAATGAAAAACCAAGCTGACATCAGATGTCTCATAGTCAGACTAATTGTTAGAAGACAATGAAGCAGTATCAACAGAGTACTAAGGCAGACACTATGTTGTGTCTAGTTTCCTACACTCAGGAAAACATTGGCATTTAGGTGAAATGAAGAAAATAGAGATATTTTCAGCGTTCACCACCCTCAGGCCTTACTTGAGATAATTAGATAAAAATGCACACCAGTAAAATAAGAAAATAAAGACTAAGGATGAAGTAGAATTCATGGAATAATGGTGAACAACACGCAGTAACATTTAAATAGCTGTAAAATCTATAGTTATATCTAAGTTACTATTGATGCATGACATTAAAGAAAAATGGTAATAATTATTAACTAAAATTCTGGGTTACAGCATTCGAGTTGTGTGTACAAGTGAATGTGCACAGGTGTTTTGGAGTATTGGGTTTAAAGGCTCACAAAGACTTTTGCTTTATTTAATAGGAAGTCAAAGACTAATTAATGCTAGATTTTTAATAGAAAATACAAGATTAAGTGGGCATAAAAATTTTTGCTTAGCTACCATTAACAAAAGAAATCAAATATTTCTAGATAGGTAAGTGAAAAAATGAAATACTTTCAACCCATTAAAGGAAAATAAACCACACAAGATATACGTTATAGAATACACAAAATAGAATGGTTAAAATTAATGCAAATACACTGGTTATTGTATTAGTCCATTTTCACACTGCTATAAAGATACTGCCTGAGACTGGATAATTTATAAACAAAAAAGGTTTAATTGACTCACAGTTCCACACGGCCAGGGAGGCCTAAGGAAACTTACAATCACTACAAAAGACAAAGATGGAAGCAAGGCATGTCTTACACAGCAGTAGCAGGAGAGAGAGAGAGCACAGGGGTAAATGAGACTTTTAAAACCATGAGATCTCATGAGAATTCCCTCACTATCATGAGAACAGCATGGGGGAAACTGCCTCCATGATCCAATCACTCCCATCAGGTCCCTCTCTCAACACATGGGGATTACAATTCAAGATGAGATTTGGGTGAGGACACAGAGCCAAGTCATATATTATGCATCAGAAATGTGGATGTGTTTAATTTCTACAAAATACAATACTCTGAAATGAGATCAAAATACAAACTTGGCTGTACTTTCTTTCTTTTTGACTATACAGTTTGATGATATGGTCTGGCTTTGTGGCCCCACCCATATCTGATCTTGAATTGTAATTCAAATTGTAATCCCCACGTGTTGAGGAAGGGATTTCATGAAAGATGATTAGATCATGGAGGCAATTCCCCCTTGCTGTTCTCATGATAGTGAGATTTCACAAGATCTGATGGTTTTATGAGGGGCTTTCCCCCATTTCACTCTGTACTTCTCCTTCCTGCCACCATGTGAAGAAGGATGTGTTTGCAGCTTCCACTATGATTGTAAGTTTCCTGAGGCCTCCCCAGCCATGCTGAACTGTGAGTCAATTAAGCCTCTTTCCTTTATAAATTACCCAGTCTTAGGCATGTCTCTAGTAGCAGCATGAGAACAGACTAATACAGTTGGATTAGCCTAGAAAACTATCTTTTAATACCTATCACCCTACTCTATTTCCTTCATAAAAGTTCTGGGCCTCAGGGAAACATTAAACAGTTTATAGAATGAGAGATGTCTTGGTCTGTTTTGTGTTCCTGTAACAGAATACCGGAGACCCATTAGTTTATAAAGAAAAGAGGTTTATTTGGCTCATAATTCTGGTGGCTGGAAAGTTCAATATGGGGCATCTGCATCTGGTGAAGGGCCTCTTACTGCTTCAACTCATGGTGGACAATGGAAAGGGAGCTGGTATGTGCAAAGAAATCACATAGTGAAAAGCAAGAGAGAGAAACCAAGGAGTCAGACTCTTTTTAACAACCTGCTCTCTTGGGAAGTAACCTATTCCTGAGAGAGTGAGAACTCACCCTCTTAGGAGGGCATGAATCTACTCATGAGGAATCCATCCCTATGACACAAACACCTCTCACTGGCTACTCCTCAGTGCTGCCACATTGGAGATCAAATTTCAACATAGGTTTTGACTTTTGACAGGGGCAAACCAAACCGTAACAAGTGACAAGCTTTGATTTTTGCATATTAACAAGGTCATTCGGGCAATATGTGATGGGGAGGGTTAAAGAAAAGGGGCAGTTGAAATGCTCTGGAGATTCTACTTTTGATGCATTTAAATATGTCATAAGTTACTGCTTCACACATAGTCCATCTGGCACAGTATTTGATGCATAATACTGGCAATACTGAAGAATGTATACAGATCTTTAAAAAATTGCCTGTAAATAATTCTATTTAAATGCTATGGGAGAAGAGTAAGCTATGTGTGCTACAACATCATATAAAAAGAGGACTAGAATAACCTGTAGGGTAAGGAAATTTCCCTAGAGGACCTAATTTTAAATAGTGTCTCCATGATTAACAAGCATTGACTCAGGGAAATAGTAGTTGAAGAAGAGGGGAGAGTATTCCATGAAAAGGAACAGGAGGTGGAAGAAACATCATTCTGGGACTGAAAAATTACCAATATGACTGTCATGTGAAAAAAAGGGAAGGGGCATGAGATCAGAGTACATATTAATCTGGTGCAAAAGTCATTGCGGTTTATGCCATTACTTTTATTGTAAAAGCAAATGTAAATTACTTGGTTGGTGTAAAGTAATGACTTTTGCACCAACCTAACAGATGTCCAGAGTTTGGGTTAAGGATTTTTAAAAACCTCTATTCTTAGAGAAATAATAAGTCATTGTCAGTTTTAAAGCAGGAGAGAGGTGACAGTAATAGAATTTGTCTGTAAAAGAATACTCTATGTAGAGAATGGATAGTTCAGATGATATGTCTGTGGGGTGACTAGCAGTCTAGGTAAGAGTTAATGGTGATTTGGACTAGGATGCTGGTTAATGAGATGGAGAGTGGGCAAATTAGAAAATTGAATCAATAGGAATTAGTGATGCAGAATGTAAGTATGCTAGTTTTCTTTTGCTGTATAACAAATTACCATAAATTTAACAACTTAAAACAACACCCATTTATTTCCTCACAGTTCTTTATGTGGAAGTCCAGAACAATGTGGCTGGAATCTCTAGGTATCATTAGGCTGAAAGCAGAAATTTGTCATGTGTCTTCATTTATAAGCTCTGGGGAAAAACCCATTTCCAAGCTCATTAACATTGTTGGTGGAACAACTTTTGAATTGTAAATTTGAGGTCTCTATTGTCTTCCTACCTGTCAGCAGGGGGCCGCTCTCAATAACTAGATAGTATGCGCATTACTTGCCACTTGACCTCCTTTATCTTCAAAGACAGCATCACAGAATCTCCCTCCTATGGAATCTGTGTTAGTCAGTTTTCATGCTGCTGAAAAAGACATACCAGAGACTGGGCAATTTACAAAAGAGGTTTGCTTTTTAAAACCGTCAAATCTTGTGAGACTTATTCACTATCATGAGAACAGCAGGGGAAAGACCTGCCCCCATGATTCAATTACCTCCAACTGGGTACCTCCCACAACATGTGGGAATTTAAGGTGAGATTTGGGTGGGGACACAGCCAAACCATATCATTCCACTCGTGGCCCCTCCCAAATCTCATGTCCTCACATTTCAACAGCAATCATGCCTTTTCAACAGTCCCCCAAAGTCTTAACTCATTTCAGTATTAACAAAAGTCCACAGTCCAAAGTCTCATCTGACACAGGGCAAGTCCCTTCCACCTATGAGCCTGTAAAATCAAAAGCAAGTTAGTTACTTTCTAGATACACTACTGACAATATATCATGTCAATCTTTCCCCCATTCTTTCTAAAGGATATCTACAGCCTTTGACAAGGGTAACTGTGCACTGGGGAAAGGGAAATGATCAGATATTTTGGGGACTACTGGACACTGGCTCTGAGCTGATGTTGATTCCAAGGGGCCCAAAATGTCATAGTGGTCCTCCAGTTAAAGTAGGGGCTTATGGAGGTCAGGTAATTAATGGAGTTTTATCTCAGATCTGACTTACAGTGGATCCAGTGGGTTCATGGACTCATCCTGTGGTAATTTCCCCAGTGCCAGAAAGCATAATTGGCATAGACATTGACTTAGCAGATGGCAGAACCCCTACATTGGCTCCCTGACTGGTAGGGTGAGGGTTATTATGTTGGAAAAGAACAAATGGAAGCCATTAGACCTGCCTCTACCTAGAAAACTAGTAAATCAAAAACAATATTGCATCTCTGGAGGGATTGCAGAGATTAGTGCCACCATTAAGAACTTGAAAGACACAGGGGTGGTGATTCCCACCATATCCCCGTTCAACTCTCCCATTTTGCCGGTGCAGAAGAAAGATGAATCTTGGAGAATGACAGTGGATTGCTGTAAGCTTAACAAAATGGTGACTCCAATTACAGCTGCTGTACCAAACTTGCTTTCATTGCTTGAGCAAATTACATCTCTTGGCACCCGGTATGCAGCCACTGGCTTGGCAAATGCCTTTTTTTTTCCATTTCTGTCCATAAGGCTCAACAGAAGCAATTTGCCGCAGCTGGCAAGGCCAGCAGTATATGTTTACTGTTCAGCCTCAGGGGTATATCAATTCTCTGGCTTTGTGTTATAATCTTATTCAGAGAGACCTTGATCACTTTTTGCTTCTACAAGATATTGCACTGGTCTGTTACGTTGATGACATTATGCTAATGGGATCCTGTGAGCAAGAAGTAGCAAACACACTGAACCTACTTGTGAGATATTTGTCAGAGAATAGAAAATAAATTGAATTAAAATTCAGGGACCTTCTACCTCAGTAAAATTTCTAGGTGTCCAGTGGTATGGGGCTGTTGAGATAGTCCTTTTAAGATGAAGGATAAGTTGCTGCATTTGGCCTCTCCTGCAACCAAGAAAAAGACACAATGCCTAGTGGGCCTATTTGCATTCTGGAGGCAAAACATTCCTCATTTGGGTGTGTTACTCAAGCCCATTTATCAAGTGACCCAAAAGGCTGCCAATTTTGAGTGGGGTCCAAAACAGGAGAAAGCTCTGCAGCAGGTCCAGGCTGCTGTGCAAGCTGCTCTGCCACTTGGGCTATATGACCCAGAAGATCCAATGGTGGCTGAGATGTCAGTGGCAGATAAGGGTGCTGTTTGGAGCCTTTGGCAGGTCCCCATAGGTGAATCACAGTAGAGGCCTCTAGGATTTGGAGCAAGTCCCTACCATCTTCTGCAGATAACTACTCTGCTTTTGAGAGGCAGCTCTTGGCCTGTTACTGGGCTTTAGCGGAAACTGAACGTTTGACTGTGTGTCATCAAGTCTCCATATGACCTGAACTGCCTATCATGAACTGGGTGTTTTCTGACCCATCTAGCCCTAACGTGGGGGTTTTTTTTTAGGAAGCTAATATTTTGTTATTTGCTGTGGCCTTTAGTGTAACTGTTTATGATTTATGAAAATATGCTGAAGTGACAACAGAAGAAAAATCCTAATGAATAAGTTCTATTAATTTATAAGAAATGTGTGAGGTGTTATATGGAACAAAATAAACCAAGCAAGAATAAATGAGACCCCCAGGATCTATTTTACTCTTCAAACGCATAAATTTCCTACAGGGAAGAAAAAGATAATATAAAGAGAAGAAGGAGAGAATGTTCCAGCAGCAATGAAGCAACACCAGCTTTTGTGAGGGTAAGACTTGGTGGTTCATGGGGAGGCACATTGCATGATTTTGCCTCTTTAACATAACTGCATGCAAATAATAGAACCTCATAGTGAAAGTGCACCCCCGATGAGAATGCATTCAGGCAAGGAAAAAAAGAACAAGTTCTCAGCCCCCAAAACAAATAAAATAAATTGCTTGAGTTAAAATTAGCTGAAGTCAGTTCACATTCAGTAATGGTAAATCCAACAAATATTTCTTGTATAATTTTTCTACTCTTTTTTTTATGAAAAAAATAAGCCCCTATATTTGTATAAGCATACTTTATTTTCTCTGTTATGTTATAAACTCTAAACAAGCAAGTACAGAAAAAAATACATCTTTTGTAACTCTACTTTTTTTTTGAAATGCCTAAGCGTGAGAAATGGTAACATTTTCAAAACATTATATTAGGTAACAGCACTTTCATAACAAAATTCTAAAAAGGTAAATAAGTTTACAAAGTTATTTTTCAAAATTTTGTGATTCTGGGCCCATAGATGACTATTCTCATATTTCATTAATGTATTATATATAAATAGAATTGACAATGACTTTTTTGAATGAAGTATTCTATATCTGCATAAGTACCCCTGGCAGCTTCTACCAATGTTAAGGGAGGTGATGACATTGACTAATTTTCATTTTATGGAACAAAATGTTGAATCAAGCAATAAAATTCCTGAAAACAGTTTTGATGGTTGTTTTAATAAGTGCCTTAACAGTTGAATTGGTGATTTTATATCTTGATAAGTTGTGACAAGTAACATGGGCTGAGACTCTTCCCCAATAATTTAATAATTTAAGCTGTATTATTCCTGCTAATATTGACCTGGGCAAGAAAAAAGTTACAAAATGAAAAAAATCTCTGGGGCCTAGGTTTTTTCATACTTCAAATGGAGTTCACAGAACTGTTGTAAGAAATAAATGAAATAGTGCATGAGTATAATCAGGAATATAGTGATGTACAATAATAATTATCATTATAAAACAATATTTTCTCCTCAATATGGCATGCTTTTTATCCTTCACACTTCCTGGTGATCACATACAAGTCTAATTAGCATACATATTTTGATAATACTCAAACCAAACCATCTGCAATGTAGATCTCTTCTAAGATTTAGACTCATTTTTTCATTTCTTTATGAATATATATATTTTTGGCTAGGAAATAAAATGAACGTTAGCAATAAGGTTGGGTTTTTTGTTGGTGGTGGCGGTTAGAAAAAGAACCTCAACCCATCTTATTTACTGGATCCAAGGTTTCGTAGAATGTTTGTATATCTTACTCAAGGGCAACAGAACCTAACTCTTCATTCCTCCATGCTGTATTGTTTGGCATTCACTATAAACTTTTTTTTTTTTTAATGCTGGAGAAACTCAAGTCCTCTGACTATTTTCTTCATCCATTATATACAGTCTGTCACTGTGAATTGTTCATGGTTCTGCATGTGGTTTTTGCTGGTATAACCAAGAAAATCTCAAGATTTTTATACAATTTGTTACAAAACAAGCTCTTTTATTGGGCTTGGAATTACTGAGCTATGAGACTGGAGCTCTTATTTCCACTTTGTCACCACAGGAGACGAAAATGCCTAAAAATAGAGCTCAATTGGGAGAAGAACAGCTGGCACACAGAAGCTGGGGATAGCATAATGGCATCATTTGTGCCTCTTATCAATTTGTGCTTATATCTGGGCTTTTTATTTCTTCTGTTTGTGGCATTCTGGGTTGAAATCCCTGTCACTTGAAACTGAGGGATTCCTTACTCAATCACATGATTTTCTATCTCCAACATTTCCACCTTAGTTCAGATTTCCATTTCTCTCTTGGATTGCTCCAAAGCCCTACAACTGATTTCTCCTGCTGTAAATATGAGTATTTTCTGTCAGCTCTCAACTCCACAGAGCTCTCAGAATGACCTACCTAGCATACAGATCTGACTATGCCATGTCCCTGCTAAAAATATATTTTCTGACCACAGTGTAAAGAATAATATCTTTAACATTGAGTGTAGAGCCCTATGAGATGAAGCCCCCTACCTAACTCTACAACCTAGTTTATCATTTTCCCCTCTTAATATTTGTGTATCAGCAGCACTGAACAGCTAGTGTATTTCTCTTACAAACACACTGCAGTGTTTTTCAATACCTCCACTTTACTCAAGTTCTTTTGCCTAGAATACACTTTCATTTTTCGTGTCGTGGAGTCTAACTACTACTATTCATTCCCCTATGCACCAAACCTAGGTGAGGTGTCCTTAACCTGTGTTTTAGAGTCCAATAGTCGTTTTTATCATTGTATTTACCATATTATATTGAATGGATTTGCTCATCTCTAATCAATGCCCCACCTTCCTGTTATCCAACCCACACATATGACCATGTCTTTTTAAATTTTTTTTTGAATCCCTAGCACCTTAAGAAGTTCCTGAAAAATAATGCCCAGTAAATGTTTATTGAACAAATAAATGTACAGAAAAACACTACCTTGCTACTTGGCTCTTTGTTTAATTCTTCAGAAGAGGATTAAGTATGCTGCCCCAGTCTGACAGAAGTTGAATTTGTATTTCAACTTCGAAACCAAGTTTACATTAATCTTCCATTTCAGAAGAATATCTCATTGCTATTCATCAATTAAAGTCAAATTGATACTTCTGTTTTCAATTGAGCTAATGTATTGCATTAAATTTTCCTAACTTCATTACAGCTTACTGACAGCCTAATGACTGCAGTATATTTCAATTTTGCAAGAACAGAGAGTGCAGGAACCCATTCTAAATTTTTATTTGATAATCGTTACCTCTCTCCGTATGGTCACAAGAGCTTCTTTTTTTCCCCCTGTTGCTCCAGTTGGGATTTTCACCCCTTCTCTCCTTCCATTTCCACCTTTTGTACATAGCAAAAGCCAATGATGTCCTACCTCCCCAACTCTTCCAAACCCTATCCATAAGACAGCCAGTCCTTATTCTTTATCTCAGCATTATTTCAGCACATTCTAGATTAGGGTCTGATAACAAAGGACTGGCTGTACTTCTAGATAAGAGGAAAGAGGAAGGAATCCCACATGGAAGTGTCTCTCTGGTACCAGCCTTTTGTCGAGTGCTACAGCAACCCTACTTTAATGCCAGGAGCCACAGAGAGCATCTTCAGCACCACTCTATTTCTTTACATTCTGATTCTTAGAGGATTATAGATAAATAGGACTCTTAAACTGAAATCAAAACATTACTCTTTTCTCTTTTTTCCCTTTCTTATTGACACCGCTAGAAACTTGGTCCAGATTATCTAAATTTAAGAAAAATGAAACTTCTCTTACTTCTCTGCCTTTCTGTAGTTGTTGCCATCTTCTCTCCTTTCCATCACATTCAAAAGCTGTCAAAGCATAGACTACTATCTCCTCTTCTATTTCTTTCATTCATTCTTTTATTATTTTTATTATGAGATACAGCCTACATAAAAAAGAGCATAGAAAATATATATGTTTATTTGGAAGAATAATGATAAAGCAAACACCCCTGTAATCACCACTGAAGTCAACAATAAGATATTACCAGCATCTTGGAAGCTCCCCAGCTGCTGCTGTATAATCCCAAAGCCCACTTTCCCTCTTAAAGAAGTTATCCAGAAGTATGATTTTTAAAATAATAATCCTGTTACTTTTCTTTACAGTTTTATCACCTTATACAGAGCCCTAAAATATATGATTTAATGTTGCCTATTTTGCAACTTTATACATATGCTTCATGGACTACATATGTTTCTTTCACTCCATATAATGTTCATGATATTCGATTTGCCCTACATAGCTCTATGTATTTATTTTTATTGCTGTCTATATTGCTGCTGTAAGACAAGATGAATGGTCTTGTGTATGTTTCCTGCTTCATGTACAAGATTTTCCCTTGATTATAAACCTAGGATGGAATTATTGGTGTGCATCTGCAACTTTAGTAGATAAAGCCAAACTGTTTTCTGAACTCATTGTGTAAATTTACAATCCCTCTCTTAGTCTTTAAGAGTTACTACTGCTCCAAATCTTTACCAATATTACTTATTGTCAGATGTTATAAGTTTTGTAAACCAGGGGGTCTACAAAAGTTGAAAACTATCTTAATGGTTATCTAAATGTACTATTCTTACTTCTCACCCCCTCCCCCATCTCTTTTGATGTTAAAGCAAAATACACAGAGAATAAAGGACACAAAGCTGGTGTAGTGGATTGAATGGTAGCCTCCCAAGTGATATGTCCACCAGAACCTGTGAATGTGATCTTGTTTGGAAGAAGAGTCTTTGCAGATGCAATTAAGATAACGATGCTGTGAAGAGATTACCCTGGATTATCATGGGCCATATATCTAATGAGAAGTGATTTTATAAGAGAAGAGCAGGGAAAAGGACACACAGGAGAAAAGACCATGTGAAAACAGAGGCAAAAACCTGCATTATGCAGCCCCAAGCCAAGGAAAATCTGGAGTCACCAGATGAGGAAAGATTCTCTTCTAGAGACTTCAGAAAGAGTGCGACCCCCCAACACTTTGATTTTGAACTTCTGTCCTCCAGAACTATGACAGAAAAAATTTCTGCCATTTTAAGCCACCAAGTAGTAATTTCTATGATAACCCTGAGAAACTAATACAACTACTTAGTGTCTGAGAACTAGAACACCATTCTAAAATATCTAGTTGATGACTTTACTCATTACAAGACAACATGCCCCTTTTTCTCACTCCACATTCTTTATTCTAGCAGTTGTAACAAAACAAAGACAGGTAATAAGCAATGTTAATTCCATCTGCAACCTTAATTCCCCTTTGCCATGTAGCCTATGGCAGGTGAGCAACCATTACTGCCGGAGCTCCACCTCCTGTCAGATTAGCAGTGACAATGGATTCTCATAAGAGCGTGAACCATATTGTAAGCTGCACACGCAAAGGATCTAGTTTGCGCACTCTTTATCAGAATCTAACTAATGCTTGATGATCTGAGATGGAACAGTTTCATCCTAAAACCATTCACCCCCACCCCCAACCCTCATCCATGGAAAACATTGCCTTCCACTAAACTGGTTCCTGGTGCCAAAAGGGTTGGGGACTGCTGGCTTAACATAGTCACAGGTTTTGGAGATTAGGATGTGGACATCTTCAGGAGATCATTATTCTATTTACTACACTGTGAATCTCTTTTGTATTTCAACAAGGTAAGGAAGGAGATGCAGGTCATACCTAGAAGAGGTAATGATAATGGAAACAGATAAAGTTGGATAAATCACAAAGTTGGATGAACAATTAAGCCTGGGACTATGGACTCTGGCAAGAAGCCTCACTCACCCCCTCAACTCCCAACTCTGCTCTCTCTGTGACCTCGCTGCTTCCTGATTCATATTCCAGGCTGCTGGACTTCCTGTCCTGCTACATAATATCTGCCACCTAAGTTTAAAATAGTCTTTGATCTCACTAATTAATTCCATGAAAATTGACCTTGAACAAAATCTTTTCTATAAATTCATTTATCAAAAATGAATTAAAAAAACAAAATCACTTGTGTATATTTTATATTACTTCTCTAAATATATATCTTGTACTTTCCTATTTCAAGTAATTATTTCAAAGTATTTTATTCAAATATGGGTACATAGAGTGCTTTTGTAATTGCACTTAATTTGTTTCTTGATAAATTTCTCCTCATCAAATAAATAGAAAATTAACATATTCTGAATTCGATCACTATACGGTTACCACCTCTGTGAATAGGAATAATTAGCAAACATTTTACCTACATTTTTTTGCCTTTTGAGACATGAAGAATTAAAATTATGTTACTAGATACTGAATTCATAGGTCTGAGATCTAAAAATGTCTGAAGAAGAATGTGTTCAAATTAATGCCTCCTGAAAAGGTATTTAGACATTATGGATTTTTCCATTTATTGCAATTATATACAAGTTGGCTGGGCATGGTGTCTCATGCCTGTATACTCAGCACTTTTGAGGCCGAGGTGGATGGATCACCTGAGGTCAGGAGCTCGAGACCAGCCTAACCAATATGGTGAAACTCCATCTCTACTAAAAATACTAAAATTAGCCAGGTGTGGTGGCGGGAGCCAACTAGTCCCAGCTACTTGGGAGGCTGAGACAGGAGAATTGATTGAACCCGGGAGGCAGAGGTTGCAGTGAGCCGAGATGGCACCACTGCACTCCAGCCTGGGTGACAGAGACTCCGTCTACATATATGTAAGTTGTGAGTGGAATGTGCATTGACTTAAGAACATTCACATGTGAGAAGAAATTAAGTTTCAGTAGGTGATGGGAAGCAGTCTTGGTGGACTAATCTCCTACCGTTACCATCATTCTTTTTTGCAGAAATGATAATTATACTTTAGGAAATGATGACATGTAAATGAATCATCCCTCCTCCCTTCTCATGACTTAGGGAGAAGTTACACAATGAACCTATTTGCCCTGCTGCACTAGAAGCAAATTTTAGGTACCCTGGCCTCTATGGAACTGGGAGGCTTATACACTGATATTAGAGAGATGAAGGACTTGTGATTGCCAGGAAACCACTATTTTCTCCCACTTGCTCATATCCTTGCCCCAACTCTTCCCCCAAAACTGTGAGGAGACAGGTCTGAATATCCCTCAGATGAGTGAAAGATGCTCAGCTTGGCTTAAGAGACCTAAAATCTTAAGTCGTCCCTTAATGCTATCAGACTGAAGACAAGTGATAAAGAATATGTTGATAACTGATATTTGAATGGCTCTAATGTTACATGCATTTCATTATCTATTCATTTTTGCTTTAAGATGCATATAAACTGTTTCCTTTTAGTAAATGGAACCGTTTGAAAGAGAAAGGCATTTGTAAGGAAACGTTGAGAATATGTTATTAGAACATGTTTCTTTCTCCATTAGTTCATATTACATGGGTTTACATTATATGCATTTTAAATAAAATATGTTAAGATAAATGAAAATAGTTATATTTAGGCTGTTAGTATATTATACATATAAAAATATTTTGTAATAAAACTTATTTTGACATTATATAGATTTAATTTTGTTTGATCACAAATTACTATTACATTATTATTATTATTATTATTATTATACTTTAAGTTTTAGGGTACATGTGCACAATGTGCAGGTTAGTTACATAGGTATACATGTGCCATGCTGGTGTACTGCACCCATTAACTCGTCATTTAGCATTAGGTATACCTCCTAATGCTATCCCTCCCCCCTTCCCCCACCCCACAACAGTCCCGAGTGTGATGTTCCCCTTCCTGTGTCCATGTGTTCTCATTGTTCAATTCCCATCTATGAGTGAGAACATGTGGTGTTTGTTTTTTTGTCCTTGCGATAGTTTACTGAGAATGATGATTTCCAATTTCATCCATGTCCCTACAAAGGACATGAACTCATCATTTTTTATGGCTGCATAATATTCCATGGTGTATATGTGCCACATTTTCTTAATCCAGTCTATCATTGTTGGACATTTGGGTTGGTTCCAAGTCTTTGCTATCGTGAATAGTGCCGCAATAAACATATGTGTGCATGTGTCTTTATAGCAGCATGATTTATAGTCCTTTGGGTATATACCCAGTAATGGGATGGCTGGGTCAAATGGTATTTCTAGTTCTAGATCCCTGAGGAATTGCCACACTGACTTCCACAATGGTTGAACTAGTTTACAGTCCCACCAACAGTGTAAAAGTGTTCCTATTTCTCCACATCCTCTCCAGCACCTGTTGTTTCCTGACTTTTTAATGATTGCCATTCTAACTGGTGTGAGATGGTATCTCATTGTGGTTTTGATTTGCATTTCTCTGATGGCCAGTGATGATGAGCATTTTTTCATGTGTCTGTTGGCAGCATAAATGTCTTCTTTTGAGAAGTGTCTGTTCATATCCTTTGCCCACTTTTTGATGGGGTTGTTTGTTTTTTTCTTGTAAATTTGTTTGAGTTCATTGTAGATTCTGGATATTAGCTCTTTGTCAGATGAGTAGGTTGTGAAAATTTTCTCCCATTTTGTAGGTTGCCTACTCACTCTGATGGTAGTTGTTACATTGTTTACAAAGAAAACAGTATGCAAAGTTTTGTATAAATTTTAGTTAAGTGCATTTAACTTAATTTTAGTTAAGTGCATTTTTTAATATGACCTGTTTTTAAATTGGGAACTATACCCTAGTTAATAAATTAACTTTTCAGTGGAGCTGGTTATTTATATTGTTTACTGATTAATGTTTTTAATTAGCAGAACTTATTTTTTAGAGCAATTTTAGGTTTACAGAAAATTTAGCAGATCATATAGAGTTCCCATATACTCATTCTCCCTCACTCACAGCTTCTTCTATTATTAATCTCTTGCATTCTGTGGTACATTTCTTGCAGTTAATCAACATACTGAAATACTGTATTAACTAAAATCCATAGTTTACATTAGGGTTCCTCTTTGTGTTGTGCAGTCATATGGATTTTGACAAGTGTATAATGTCACATAACCACCTTTACGGTATCTTGTAGGCTAGCTTCACTGTCCTAGAAATCCCCTGTGTTTTACCTATTTATGTCTCTTCTCCCAACTTGAACCCCCGGCAACCAATGATCTTTTTTACTGTCTCTGTAGTTTTGCCTTTTCCTGCAGGTCACGTAGTTGGAATCAAACAAGATATAGCCTTCTCAGACTGGTTTCTTTTATTTAGCAATGGACACTTAAAGTTCCTCCATATTTTTGAGACTTGATAGGTCATTTCTTTATATTGCTGAATAATATTCCATTGTCTGACTGTACCACAATTTTTTTTTTATCCATTTGCCCTTTTGAGGGACATCTTTGTTGCTTCCAGTTTTTGGCAATACACCCTCTATAAAAATTCATGTGCAAGTTTTTCTGTGGATATGGCTTTTAACTCATTTGGGTAGATATCTAGGAAAGCAATTGCTTGGTTCTATGGTAAGACTATGTTTAGTTTTGTAAGCAACTAGTTTTCTACAAAGAAAACTAGTTTTCATAGAAAAGCAGCAAATATACCTTTTGTTTTTAAATATGTTAAACCTGAGGGGAATGGCTTTAAAACCCTACATATTTTACATAATCTTTTTTCATTATTTCAGTTTTTATAAAATTTCTTTTTCCCAATCCTGGTGTACTATGCACCAGGCTGACCTAAAGGAGAGGCCTTCTTTGCTTTCTATCTATAAATTTAAATTTTTTTTTGACAAATTGATACACACATGAGTTTTGACAGAAATAGAATTGCCTTGATAACTCTTCAAATGTAAGTTTAATGAGGTAAGAAATAAATAAAGATTATTTGAAATCTCAATAGAAATTCAACTATAAAAGTCAAAATAGTTTAGATAAATATATAAAGGGGAAAAGTTGAAAATGTTAAGAATACCACATATTCAACATGCAGAAAGAATCTGTCATTGAACAATGCGTCCTGGAGAGAGCAACGATTTTTAAAAAACAGTGAATGGCATATTATTGCAAACTTTGTTTCCCACAATTTATGTTCTTTTCCTAAACTGATAAAATATAATACAGTGCCTCAAATAATATTCATTTATCAAAACCACTTGATAAATATCTCTATTGTTTCTTGGGAAACTATATAGGAAAACACCCTACATTCTGCTTAATAATTTCCTTAGTAAAACAACATATTCTACTCAATATTTCTAAAATTAATTCTTTAACAAGGTGTTATATCTCTAATATCCCTAAACATGGTTTCATTAGCTAGCCAGGGTAACAGGTTGAAACCACACTAATGTGTCCCAGAAGACCTTGTTGTTTTGTATCCACTGAAAAAGAGTCATGGCAATATTGTGTTCTGTAATATAATTAGTGAGTTTCTATAGTAAAAATAAGCAAATTTCAAATAAATGATTTAGTCCTTGAGATATATGAAAAAAGTGTAAAACTTTCTTAAACTCATGCTTTCTGAAATCATTCCAATCTCATTTTTCTCTCAAGCTCCTCAGTCATGTTCTACCAACAGAATTATTAATCTTTCTGATGTTTCTACCAGACAATCCTCTCTGATGAAACATTTTTTAAATAATCATATGAAGACGTTAAAAAATTTGTTACAGAAAAACAGAACTATTGTTTTATTTTTCTAATAAATATGTAAAATATTATTAAAATGCAGTACTACATATTTTTAGATACAAATAGCTATAAATTATCCATATTTCCAAGAAAGCAAATGATGACTATTCCTACATAAATTGTTTTATTCACTGTTTAATCCATCATTAGGTTTGATAACACTTTGAAATAAAGTTTGTAAATAGTATAGGAGATAAAAAGATTCTCTAAAGACTGTTTTCAAGTTCCCCCTTTTAGTAACAATGTTCTTTACTATACATATTTATTATGAGTTAAGAGAAGAAATAGTTTTAAATTAAAAAGAATGACAAATGTCTTTACATTATTCTTTTAGCAATTACCCACTTTGTAGCAAAAAAACTATAACCCTTCAAATTTAGCTGCAGAAAAAATCCACACATTCTGTGCCACATTTATCTAATTTTATTCAATGATGACTGGCTACCTGGGTTATACGTGGTGAAGATTTGAGGAATAAGGGATAGATTAGAAAGAAATAAACAAAAAGATATAATTTCTCCATTCTCCTCTTAGTAATAGCCAGTAAATATCTGAGAGAATTGCAAAAAATACAAACTCAGTTTTCATTGAAATTAGTGATTGCAATAACAGTTGTCCATATTTAAGCATTCCACCAGACCATGATATTTTAAGCATTGAAAAATGTATTTTTGTTGGTGTAGTAACATTATTTTGTCAATTTAAAATTTAGTTTCTAAATAATTTACATCTGTAGCTCAAGACCAATTATTTTGTTATTTGTAAAATAATGGGCAGTTTCAACCCAGACAGGTGTGTGCTTTGTAGAATTGCAGTAAGCAACTATGTTATGTTATGGCAAGTTTAAATTGCAATATAATTATTATTCTCATTCAAATATTTTCTAAACATATGGAATATGATGATATAGTATTACAAGTTATACATTTAACATTTATATCAGAACTTTTACCTGTATATGAAGAACTTAAGATGAACAAAAATAATTGCTTTTGTTGAAGCAAAGTTTAGAGGTTCTGTCAATAAATATATTGTAGTCTGTGTCTGCTATGATTTGGTCAGGAAAATGGAAACCTCTCCAAATATTTCAAACAGTAAGTGATTTAAAATAGAAAATTAGAAATGAATAAAAGTACTGGAAGACTATTGGTACAAATCTCAGGAAAGCCAGAATAGGTCCAGAAAATACAGGAATAGCAGGAAAAAACCTAAATGGTCTATATCAACTGTTCATACCATTGAATTGAGTTATTTGCAGAATTAGAGATATTTTGTGAAAGGAGTCTCAGATATCACTGGCAATGTCTCATATTTGCATCTTCATATATTGGCCTACACTTCTTCAAATGCAAAAATGGCTTCTGCTTCGCTTTTCTTTCCAAATTTTGCATAATTGCTTCTCACTGGAAAACTCTATTCTGGAATCATGCTACTAACCATTATGAGAAATACGGTTTCAAGGCTTCTGGCTCTTGTAATAGAGGAGAGAGTATAAATGGTGAAATTGTTACTGACTACTGGCACACAGTTCATCTTTCTTTAAAATGTTCATAAAGATGTGTCCCAAATTGTCAAATATAAGAAAGAATTATTTGAAAATGAAAAAGTCAGCAGAAATTACTTGTAAATAACCTTAAACCATCTCATTTTCCCTCCCCCTTCATTCTCTTTAAATCTTCATACTACGTTCGTTCTTAACTCTCCCATACTTTGCTTATTCTCATCCTACTTTCACAGTTTTAGCAAAGTTTTTCAGGTAAATGGTGTTGGAGAATACTGAGCCAAGTTAGATGAAAATTCCTAAACCAAGTTTGGAGTGTGGCTTTATGGAGAGTAGGGGGTCAAGGTGACGGCCAAGGATGGGTGGCCAGTTCTTAAATTTAACAAGCTGAAATATTTTTCCACAAATGAATCCTGGACAGGTCGCAGGGAAATCCATTTCATTGTCACTGGCTACTTGAGTGGAGTTTGAGCAAGAGTGCTGGTCAGAGTGGCGCTCAGGGCATCCTGGTCAAGCAGGAGGCACAGGCCTATTGGGAACAGAGTACACCAGATCACCAAGGCCACAGCACATGGTCTATATCTTGATGATCTGCATGCTCTGGACCCAACAGACCTTTCTTTCCTGCTCCTTAGGCCAATGCTTTTTTTTTTTTTTTAAACCCGTTTAGTTTACCAATATATTTTTACCTATTTAGTTTTATTTGATGATTTAGAATATATTTATACCTTTATTTGCCAGAAATGTATTGCTTATTTAGTTTTACTTATTTCTTTACAAATTCTGAACAGATTTTTAAATAAAATATGCCAGTATTAACACTGATATTTTGGTCCAACCTGAAATAAAGTCTGACATTCATATGATATTGCCATTTGACTCACATTGCAATTACTAGAAAAACCAAGTCCTCTCTGTAACCCTAAATTGCAAATGCAATACACTCAAAACACATTACAAAATGTGGCTGAATATGATGCCCCAACTGAAGGTTTAAAACAAATTCTGCAAAGCAAATTTCTCCCTAGTATGAGGCTTATACTCTGCACAAAACTGACAATATCATGTTTTGGATAATGGGAATAGAAAAGTGAGAACAGATGAAGTTAGGAGCTTCTCAACTCTACTTTGGCCCAAAGGAAGCAGGATAAAATAAAATAAATGAGGATTCACACAGATTAGATATGTTTGCAATCTGGGGAAGAGAAACGTACTCTGCTCTGTAAACTGCTGTCTAGAAGACAACCTCTGCTGGCTGGGAAAAAATAAATGCAAAATAATTTGTTCTCACACACAACTGCTCAGAGAACAGTCTGCATTTAAATAAAATGAAGGAAATGAAAAAAAAACTAAGTGAATTAAGGATTCTAACCTGGGAGATAAAAAAAAACTACAATATAAATTTGAAGAAAGAGTATAAATAATTATTAATTATAAAATATTAGCATAATGAAGCAATGAAAAAATGTCCAAAATAATAAATAAATTTAAGAAGAAATTTTCGGCAAAAGAGATAATAAAGTAGATGAACATTTAACTAATTTAATTCAAAAGTATTTGGAAAGCTGTTGAGGGTAAAGCAAAAACTACCAAAATAAGAAATGAAAACGAATAGCAAGATTAGTTGGCTCAACCCTATGCAAACAGAATACAGATTATGATTAGTATTTACCATCTTTATCTTGTTCATTATGTACTAAAGAAACAGATTAGTATTTCATCATTATTATGATGCTCTCTGTAGATTTTTAGTAGATATACTTTATCAAATTAAGGAAGGTCCATTATATCCTAGTGTATTTGTTTCTTTTCTCATGAATGAGGGTTGAATTTTATCAGATGTTCTCTTTTTTAAAAACAATCTTTATTTTTAATTTTTGTCGGTACGTAGTAGGTGTATATATTTATGGGGTACACGAGATATTTTGATAAGGTATGCAATGTGTAATAATCACATCATGGAAAATGGGGTATCTATCCCCTCAAGCATTTATCCTTTGTTACAAACCATCCAACAGATATTCTCGTGTTATTAATTGAGATGACCATATGGTTTTCTTTTTTTCTCTGTTAATGAATCACATTATTTTCAAATGTTAAACAAACCTTGCCTTTATGGGAAAACCCCCACTTGTTAGCAGCCTCTTACTGGCTTTACAATTTCTGTAGGAATTGTAGTGATAGCCACTTTTTTTGTGTTGACAATTTATTTTCTTTCTCACTTATTACTCTTACTAATATTTTTGAAAAATTCAAAATTTGGATTTATTGACTTTTATTTCTTCTTCATATTAGTTACTTTATGTATTCTTATATTATTGTTTCTTTGTTTTATTGCATTTTTTTTCTTTTTTGAGATTGAGATGGAAGGTTGAGATCATTGATTTTTTTACCCTTTTTTATTTTCTCTTAAGCATTGCTTTAGCAGCATCCTACATGCTTTAATATGTTGTTTTTCATTACATTTCAGTTCAAAATATTTAAATATTTCTTTTGAGATTCTTTCTTTGACTCTTGGATTGGGTATACTGCTGAATTTCCAAACATGAAGATTTTTAGTTATCTTTATTATTTCTAGTTTAATAATTCCACTGTGGTCAGAGAACATCATTTGTATGGTTTCCTTTCTTTCTTTCTTTCTTTCTTTTCTTTCTTTCTTTTTTTTTTTTTTGACAGAGTCACACTCTGTCGCCCAGGCTGGAGTGCAGTGGTGTGATCTCGGCTCACTGCAAGTATGGCTTTATTTCTATGAAAATAATTAAATAATTGAGGCTTTATTTATGGGACAGCATATGGTTCATTTTGGCAAATGTTTGAAATGTACTTAAAAAATACATTGCTGTTGTAAGTAGAATGTTCTACATAGGTTGACTAGGTAAAGTTGATTAACCAATAAGTAAATCTCTAAAATTAGTAAGATTTTCTCTGCTTGTTGAAATAATTACTGAGAGAAATTTGTTATCTTTTGAAGCTGTGTTATGAAATTTCCTTTTGTCTCTAATAATATGTGTTGCTTTAAAGAGCAGCACGATGCAATAACCAACAAAACTTATCAAGCCCTTACTTTGTTCCACTCATCCTCTGAGTTTTCTGCATATATTAGCACAAAGCTAATCATCACAATTCTGTAATTACCGTAATATTTCAATTTTATAGATAAGTTAACTGAGCTTTAGAGAAACTTGCAAATGCACATATATGGTAGATGGCAGAGATGGCATTTGAACCCAGCCAGTGTAGGCCTAAATGTTCCTAATATCTTTGGAACGCTGACTTAAGCAAACGAAAATTTATGCGACATTATTTGATAGAAAGCCTCTAAAATCAGTTTGGTAATTTTTTCATTGTTGTAAAGCAGAAACTAAATGTTTTATGCTTTCGCGACATATGATTTTTTTAAACAATCCTTTTAAATATTTTTTAAAATTCCCATCTCACTGGTCATATAGGAATAGACCATTTGCCAGGTAAGTTCCATGGGCCATAGTTTGCAAACCCTTGCTCTACACCATGAAAATGTGAGTTCTCCCTGCCTCTTATGCACAAATTAAATATCATTTCAATAATGATACAATTATTTGAGTAGGAAAGAACCATGGAACCAAAAATGTATTTCATATGTGAAAAATATGTTAGCATATAAATAATATTAAAGCAAAAAAGTCCATCTTAGACGGCATGAAAGAAATACAAGCTGCTTAAAAACTTACACAAATAATTTTGAACACTTCTTAGATAACACATACTGATCTCAGAACTTTTAATTCTCTTGTCTCATTTTATCTTTATCTTTTTATCATAGCTTGGTTAATGCCTATAGCTAGTAGATAATATAATACGGATTTAACACTAGGAAAACTAATTTTAGAGTCAGAATTATAGCTTTTAATTATATGATTGAAAGTGCGTACCACTATATGCAAGAAGCACAGCTACACCTTAGTAACTGAGGCACATTGCAAGAAAAATGATAATGAAGACCTAAAAGAAACATGCAAATCTAAATTAATTAGTGGTGCCTGGGTGTGTTGCCTCATGCCTGTAGTCCTAGCACTTTGGGAGGCCCAAGTGGGTGGATAGCTTGGGTTTAGGAGTTCGAGAGCAGCATGGGCAGCATAGTGAGACCTTGTCTCTACTAAAAATTTAAAAAATTAGCTGGATGTAGTGGCACACGCCTGAAGTCCTAGCTACTCAGCAGGCTGAGGCAGGAGGATCACTTGAGCCTGGGAAATAGACGTTGCAGTGAGCTATGATTTTGTCATTGCCTCAGCCAGACAATGAATGTCATTGTTACTATGATACTGATTATCACTAAGATATATAATGAACACTAATAAAATAGAGTATTATCTTTTCTAGGGTTTATTCCTCCATTTATTTTATATCTACTAAATACAAATTATGCAAATCAAATTCTTTTATCAACGTGCATTTGAAACTCAACTTAGCAAGACAAATGAACCCCAACAAACATTCGAAAAGTAAGACCCAGATTAAAAACAACAAAAACAAAAACCCAAACTTTCTTCCAAATATTGGCTAATTTAATTAAGGGTAAAACATAATACAAAATGGTAGAAAATCTAGGAGATACACACACACACACACACACACACACACACACACAACATATATATATATATATGTGAAAGTACGTATTATTTCAGTCTGTTCAGACTGCTATAACAAACATATCATAAACTGGGTGGTTTAAACAACAAACATTGTTTTCTCACAGTTCTGGAGACTTAGACGTCCAGGATCAAGGTATTGGCAGATCTGGTGTCTGGTGAAGGCACACTTCTTTTTTCATAAATAGTCATCTTCTTGCTGCATCCTCACATGGCTGAAGGAGAGAGAGCTCTTCAAATCTCTTTTATAAGGGCACTAATTTCATTTATGAGGACTTTACCCTCATGACCTAGTTAACTTCTGAAAGCCCCACCTCCTAATACCATCACATTGGGGTTAAATTTTCAGCATACTAATTTTGGAGTCATAGAAACATTCAGTCCATAGTATATACATATTTCCTAGGATATATTCTACATTATATTATGTATTACATGTAAATATATGTTCTAGGAAATATTTTTAAAATTACATTCTACACTATGTAAAATATGGTTTAAGTAGAAATGTTCAGAGGAAAACTCATAGTGGTAATCTATAAAATTTAGAATTAAAAATAAGGCTGCTGGGCGCGGTGGCTCACGCCTGTAATCCCAGCACTTGGGGAGGCCCAGGCGGGCGGATCACGAGGTCAGGAGATCGAGACCATCCTGGCTAACACGGTGAAGCCCCATCTCTACTAAAAATACAAAAAATTAGCCGGGCATGGTGGCGGGCGCCTGTAGTCCCAGCTACTCTGGAGGCTGAGGCAGGAGAATGGCGTGAACCCGGGAGGCGGAGCTTGCAGTGAGCAGAGATCATGCCACTGCACTCCAGCCTGGATGACAGAGTGAGACTTCGTCTCAAAAATAATAATAATAATAATAATAATAATAATAATAATAATACTGGGTGCTGTGGCTCACATCTGTAATCCCAGCACCTTGGGAGGCTGAGGTGGGCGGATCACCTGAGGTGGGCAGATCACCTGAGGTCAGGAGCTCCGGACCAGTTTGTCCAGCATAGCAAAACCCCATCTCTTCTAAAAATACAAAAATTAGCCAGGCGAAGTGGTGCACAACTGTGGTCCCAGTCACTAGGGAGGCTGAGGCAGGAGAACTGTTTGAATCTGGCCGTGGAGGTTGCAATGAACCGAGATCGTGCCACTGCACTCCAGCCTGGGTGACAGAGTGAGACTCCATCTCAAAGAAAAGAAATAAAAAAAATTAAAAATATGGAAAGCATTCTATTCAAACCATTAGAAAAAAAATAAGAAAACCAGAAAATGTAAGATAAAAGCAGACATTTTATATTTATATTCTTATGCTGATACATATATCATGAATGGCTTTTTGATGCAGTGAACAGGCATACTACCACCTATCACAATTAGGAAAAAGGAGAGAAAGCCCACATAGAAATTAATAATAGTAATTAGAAAATAACCCAAAAGAGAAAATTGATGGAAATTTTAGTAAATATATTTAAAATTTTAGAAGAATTAACTCATTAGAGGAAAACATAGGGTAAACAAATTTGATCCCAGAGAGAAATTCTAAAGAGAACAGTTGTTATGGAAG
Source organism: Homo sapiens (assembly GCF_000001405.40). Lineage (NCBI taxonomy): Eukaryota > Metazoa > Chordata > Mammalia > Primates > Hominidae > Homo > Homo sapiens. The sequence goes on from NC_000002.12 coordinate 187,245,408, forward strand.
AAAAATACATTAAAGTCCTACATCCCTAAAAAGACACCAGGCTCAAATATTTTATAGGTTAGCCCTGTCAAAACTTCAAAAACAAATAATCTTGTGAGATTTTAACTGTTTCAAGAGTAAGCAAAATAGATATATTTGTTTATTAAGGATCATCAAGATAAGTAAAAAAATAAAAATGCATGACAGTATTTATAGTATGCTCCTACTTGGGTTTACAAAAAGACATTCATATCTACTCATAAGCACAAAAAAATTCTGGAATTTTATAAAAAAGTTATCTGTTGCCAGTGGCTGCCTTTAGGGCATGAGCTTCAGAAGGAGATTTGCTTTTTTGTTTTATACTGCTTTATTTTCATGAAGTGTGCATTTTTAAAGATGACTTTTTTCAATAAGCACAATATTTTTAAATAAACAATCCTAAGAGTACAATGACAAGAAGAGAGCAAAAAGACAGATGTCTTGGCAATGTGATTTGGAGTAGAAGAGCTATACTGATAAGTCCAATGACCCAAAAAGTATAAAACATAAAATTTTCAAGTAGACATCATTCAGATGTTTTCCCTTCATAATGCTACAATAAGAACATTTGAAAACCCTTGACATCTGAATATTTTGGCATCATGCAGTCTTAAGCCACAATCAGTAACCTTTTTAAACATTAAAAATGTATCATTAAATATTTAATACCATCAAAATGATGTAAGGAATAATATCACAAATACAAACTTTTGAAAACCCATCACAGAGTTTAAGTAGAAATTATCAATATAACTAAAGTCTACTCAAACATACCCTGTCTTTCTACTCATTAGATGTAGCATTCTTCCTGACTTTTTTCTCTTTTTGTATTTGTAGTATATATATATTATATATTTATTTCTATATATATACTTCTAAATATTGTTTACTTTTGCTACTTTAAAAAAGTACCAGAAAGTATTTATTTTATGTTACTTCAGTATTATTAATGTTCAGTATTATTGTGCTTGTGAAAGTTATTCATGAAATACAAGTGCCACTAATTTCTTTTCACTACCCTGTATTTTCTATTGTACTCTTTTGCAAAATTGAATTATCTTTCCCTTGTAAATGAACATTTGTATTGTTTGAGGAATTATTTATTTATTTATTTATTTTGAGAGGAAGTCTCGCTCTGTCACCCAGGCTAGAGTGCAGTGATGTGATCTCTGTTCACTGCAACCTCCGTCTCCCAGTGAGAATCAAGAGATTCTCCTGCCTCAGCCTCCCAAGTAGCTGGGGCTACAAGTATCCACCACCATGACTGGCTGATTTTTGCATTTTTAGTAGAGACGGGGTTTCACCATGTTGGCCAGGCTGGTCTCGAACTCCTGACCTCATGATCCGCCCACCTCAGCCTCCAAAAGTATTGGGATTACAGGTGTGAGCCTCTGTCCCCGGCTGAATTCCTTTTATTAAAAGCAGCTATTTTGTGACTATTGTTTTAAATGTCTCATTCTATGTGCAAGCATATCTCTAGCCAGAGTGAGTTATAGTTGGATTGCTGGGATATTTTATCTTTACAGAGAGGCAAAAAAAAATGCATCTTAAAATCAATGAAATGTGATAGATAATGTCAGAGCATGATATTAAGCAGTAATGTAAATATACACAATAAGCTTATCAGAGTGGCTCTGTAGCTGATACCAATATTTGGTATTATCAGACTTTCTAATTTTGGCTTGTCTTGTGAGCATAAAATGGTGTTCTGGTTGTAATCTTTATTTCTTAATTAATAAATATTTATATTTGACAACTTATGTAAATTGTACATAATTTCTGATTTCTTTTATTTTTTATTATTAGTATTGACAGTCTATTATTCTTTCCAAAATGAAATTAAATTAGGAGTGTTTTAAATTTTTTATTTTATGCATTTTAAAACTACATACTAATATCATGTTTTTGGGTTCTAACCATTGCATATGGGCAAAGAATAGATTCTTTGAAAAACCAATTCTCTGAATTTTATTAAATCTTGTTTTATAGCTTATTCATGATCAACTTTATATTTCAAGTTTGTTTGAGTCAATTGAATATTCTCAAGATATTGGGTAGACTATTCCATATATGTCTATTAGATCAAGCATGTGAATTGCATTATTTAAATATTCTATAGATTAGGATCTGTGAAAACAGCACATTTTTATACAATAACGGAAGTTTATCCTCAAGGTTAATTTGCTCCAAGTACAAAGTATTTTTGTAAACTGTAAGGTTGAGTTTTAATACATTTTTTATTAAACAAGGAATAGCTATTTATCCTTTCAAAATTTCATTGTTGTTGCTATTTTTTTTGGAATAAGTCAATAATGCATTAAAATTTCAGAATTTGTAAAATGAGCAAATTAATTTTTTTGTGTGAAAAATATAGTTCATAGTTGTTTAGGTGTTTATAGTTCTCCTTTTATGCATTAACAGTTTTATATAACATCTATATTTACTTTTTAATATTAGAGGAAATTTCTTGTGGTTTTGAATTGCATTTGTACTACTAGGTTCCTTTCATGAACTATTTTAATCATAGATCAAATGGCTTCTCACAAGAATTAGCTACTCAATATCTTAATAAGGTGGGCTGTCATGCAAGGCATGAAAGGAGTCAAATTTCTTTTGCTTTCAGATATCTACAATTTTATGTGTCTCTTCTGTACAAAGCCCCAAAACATTTTACAAAAAGCAAATATAGATGAACAGAAAATTCAATGTAAAATTCAATAGCTGAACTGCCTTAGAATTTTGAAGGACATACGTATACCAGTGAAATACAATACAAGTAGTTATAGAAACAAGAAAGCAGGCTGGGGCATTGGTGCTAATTTTATCTTTTGTAACTAGCCTTCAAATAAATGGGTTAAATAGTGATAAATTTCTATACCACTTTAATACATTTTAAATTTTGAGAAACTATATTGGGCAAGAAAGAATGTTAAAACCAAGGTTTCAGGAAATTACCTCATTTGAAAACATTTGAAAACAAAAATGTGGTAGTTTCCTGTATATCCTATATAGTGGTTAAATGTCTGTTAGGGATAGAAATGATTTCAGTCAAGTAATTCCACTTTCTTGAACTCTTGGCCAATCTGTTTTAATTATTACCCATTGCTACTAAACGTTCCATGGAATCAATGTTATATAATAGATTATGAATATGCTATATTCAGAAAGAGTGGTGATTACCTTCCATAGACTCCTAACTATTCTTCATGCTTATCTGATTTTCCCATTAGATACAATTTTCATTTTAAAGCAACTTATATATATATATATATCAGTACTTTTTTAGTCCTCATTGCCTATAAAACTAAGTCTAAACACACCAGTCTGGGATTAAAGACCTCCTATAAATAGCCTATCCATACACTCTGATATGTTTGAGATAGTCTATTCCAGTCTGTCTGTTGCCCTGGTATAATTATTAACCATGCCCCTTTTACTCTCAAAGTTGTCCTATTTTAGATTATGTAGTTATCTCATCCAAAATCAAATTCCAACCAATTTTTCCAATTTCATCTTGCATGAGAATGCATTTTATGAATTCACTTCTCAAACCCAAATAAATAACTTTATGTTCCCTGTATGTTTTTCCATCTTGCCATGTTTTCTTTTTTGCCTCTGTTCTCCTGTCCTCTATGAAATGACCTTCATCCCCAATTGTTTTGGTTTCACCTTCGGTAGTCATCTCAGATATCGACTCTTTCACAAAAATTGTCCTGATTCCCAGTTGAAGATAATTTCATTCTCTAATCTTTGTGTCATTTTACCTACATTCATTTAATGGTATAATTATCTGACTTGACTCGTGGTTATTAGTAAACTTCTAATCTCCACTGCTTGATTTGGTGTTTCTTGAAGGCTAAATCAATGTCTTCTAATTGTATCATTCATAGTGTCTAATATCTAGGATGTGCTCACAAAAACTGGTTGATTTAAGAAATGAAAAATTTAAAGTCATGCATTATGTTATATTAAAAAGATTCCATATCTAAAATAATCACATTAATCAGTGTAAAGGAATTGTTAAAATGACAAAATAAAATTTATGTTATTAAAAGTTGTATTAGATTTCTGCCTCTCAAATTAATGAGGATTTGACTTTATAGTCTACATAGTATATTTCAAAATTTGAAAATTTCAAAACTGTTATCTTCAAAATGTTTAAGTCCTATAAAAATACCTCAATACAATTATTTTGTGATAGTTTAAACTTTCTCTGGCTACTGACCTTCACAAAAAATTATTTAGGTGAACGACCACTAAATTTCTCCCCTGAGGGGTTACTTTAATTTAATCATATTCTAAAAATGATTTACAGCAAAATTTGAAGTTCTACATCAGTCTGAGGAGTAGTTGGAAGTTCTTTCAGTTCATTTATTCATATTTACAAAGTTGCTTTACAAAGAAAATACTGTAGTAGTATTTATGAATAGAACAAAAATAAAGCAAAAAAAGACAAAGCTCTTTCTCTAGGAAAAGGGTAGAAAATATGCATTTGAGAATAATTCCTTTTTTTCCCCTTTATTCTAATGTTGACTTACCATCAGAGGATTAATATCCCCGTGGGTCATGTATTTGGAAATAAAGAGAATACCCTGGCAAAAATATGTTTTGAAGTGAATGATAATTTTAGAAAGTAGGGAATTATATTCTAGCACAAAGGGAATTGTAGTAGGTTATTTAAAAATTTTTTTAATTTTATATATAAGTATATATATGTATATATACACACACTTAAAGGTTAAAGCAAATGTTACTGTTCTTTAAGTAAATGGGGAAAACATTGTAATGAATTATGCTCTTTTTAAATACCATATAAAAGATACAAGACAATAATTTTATTAACAATACTTCATGATCTCATTTTCTTATTTACCCCTTATATGATGTTTGTTAACAATATTGTGCCATCTCAGCAAATCAGTTTATCTAGAGATATCTCTTCAGATGCAACCTTTGATTGCTAAGATTACAGTCAACTCCATCATAGCTGAAAGAGAAACAGGCTATTCTCATTTAATTTAGGTTTCTATTTTGGCCAAAATTTTAATATTTTATTGAAATCTAAAATTACTGAAATCAGAAACAGCTTTTGTCATTGGAGAATGACAAATATTCACCTGAGTGTTTTAAACATATTGGGCCAGAAATAATGACATGTAAACATGTTTGGAAACATGTTCTGAAACATTGGACTTCATCCATTCCAAGGATCCATTTTGCCACCACTATAAAAGCACTAACTTTAACAAATCCATTGGCACAGAATAACCTTATCAACAAGATTTCCCTCAAATGGTTCCCTATTGTGTAAGGATCTTATCATATTCCTGGATTTATTATTCAAAACCCTCTGCAGTCCAACTTCCATCTAGCTCTATAACTCAGTACTTCAAGCATACTTAGGAAAAGAAACATAACTAAGCAAAACAAAGCAAATATATGCTTGCTCAGTGTCCCTTTGAGAAAAACAAAGTACATTATATGATTTAAAACAATGACAAATACTATAGTAAAAAAAATCTTTCAAATAAATATACAGATGCTCCTCGACTTTCAATGAACTGACATCCCATAACCTGTCATAAGCTGAAAATGCTGTGTTGAAAATGCATTTATTACACTTAACTTAGCAACCATCATAGCGTAGCCTAGTTTACGTTAAACATCTTCAGAACACTTACATTAGCCTACAGTTAGGCAAAATCATCTAACACAAAGCCTATTTTATAATAAAGTGCTGAATACCTCATGTAATCTATTGACTATCGTACTGAAAATTAAATTCAGAGTGGTTGTATGAGTACTGGAAGTATGGTCCCTACTGAATGCATATAGCCTTTGCACCATCATAAAGTCAAAAAATTGTAAGGTGAACTCATAAACTGAGGACTGTCTGTAACTGCTTTTTGGTAAAATATTTAGATAGTTTTAGGGAACGCATTGAATTTATTTTCCACCATTTTCCTTAGTACACTCTTTGCTCCAGCCAAATTGGCTGGCTGTTTGCTTGAATTCTCTTGCCTGCAGAGGTTCCCTTAAAATTCTCTTCTCTTTCTGCCATTGATGTAAGTCCTTTGCCCCCTTTGGAGTCTAATATACCTTACATTACTTTCCTGAGGCTAGTATTGACAGCCTAGATAGAATGAAGAATTATAGAGTCTATAATTTAGTTACACTTGGGTTGTGCTACTTTGTATTTATTATTGGTCTTTCTAGTCACCATTTATTCATTCAATAAATATTTATTGAGTGACTACTTTTTGCCAAAACATGGAGATGAAAAGATGACTGAGAACTAATTTATATATTTTGTCTTTTAATCCCCCAAAAGCGGGGACCTTGCCTAATATCTTCACATACTCTCTATACTTTGCAGAGTCACAACTCAGTATCACTGTTGATAATGAAATTCCAGGTCTAGGATGTTTTAATTTAAAATCTTTTTAAAAGTTGTCAGTGGCCAACACAGTGAAACCCCGTCTCTACTAAAAATACAAAAAATTAGCCGGGCGTGGTGGCGGGCGCCTGTAGTCCCAGCTACTGAGGAGGCTGAGGCAGGAGAATGGCGTGAACCCAGGTGGCGGAGCTTGCAGTGAGCCAAGATTGTGCCACTGCACTCTGGCCTGGGCGGGCGAAAGAGCGAGACTCCGTCTCAAAAAAAAAAAAAAAGGTGGTAGTTTATGTAACTAAAATAAAGGTAGATACTTTGGGTTTTTAAAATTATGGTATTTAAATATTACTAGTTGTATTAGTCTGTTCTCACGCTGCTAATAAAAACATACCCAAGACCTGGTGATTTATAACGGAAAGAGGTTTGTTTATTTATTTATTTATTTATTTATTTATTTATTTATTTATTTATGAGACGGAGTCTCGCTCTGTCACCCTGCTCACTGCAAGCAGGAAAGAGGTTTAAATGGAACTGACTCACAGTTCCACATGGCTGGGGAGGCCTCACAATCATGGCGGACAGCAAAGGAGGGGCAAAGTCACATCTTAAACGGCGGCAGGCAAACAGAGAGCGTTTGCAGAGGAACTCCTCTTCATAAAACCATCATATCCTGTGAGACTTACTCACTACCATAAGAACAGCACGGGAAAAACCCACCCCCATGATTCGTTACCTCACATAGGGTACCTCCCACAACACGTGGGAATTATGGGAGCTACAATTCAAGATGTGAAGTTGTGATTTAGGTGGAGACACAGCCAAACCACATCACTAGCAACAGACAATGCTTCCCGAGGCAATGGAAAGAAGCCCCATTTGTCCTTACTTTGAAAACCACTGCTTTAGAGCATACCAGCCAAACTCAGCCTTGTAAGCTTTACTTTTAAAGGCATATTTCTTCAAGGCTTATGTTTTAAAAACTACTCAAGGTAGAATCTCTACAATAGATCTGGGAAGGTGGCAGTTAACTAATCCATTAACTCTTAAAGTCAATGAACACTAGAAAAGTATTCTAATTTGTTGTTGTTTTCTACATCCAAAGGCTTTCTCCCATTATTAAAATCAGAGGAAAATTATATATAAAGTCAGAGGAAAATTAATATTTTGAATTTAACTATACAAGCCCCTAAAGTCAAACTATACCAGCTCCTAAAGTCAAATGATTATTATTTTTATGGTATCTTTTCTAGATGTATATATGTTTAGCTACACAAATGCTATCCATCATTTCAGGTATGTTAATATGTACTCTGTTTACATGGTCTCTGTAGGACTTGTAATACTCTTTTTTAATTAGTGAACTTCCTTTCTGTTTGAATGGCTTCATGTGTTCAAAAACTATTGATCTTTCTTGCTCTAAGCCGTAATTTCTTTTACTCTATTTTTTCTAGTTCTTGTGGAAAGCCTTTTCTTTTCATGTGTTTCACGTTGGCCCCACTTTTTTCTTTTTTCTTCTTCTACAGAAAGCCATTCAGCTATTTGAAGTCCAGATCAATTTCTATTTATGAAGTCTTCACTGATTATTCAAAGTTAATGTAATTCAAGCATATTTATTGTGCATATAATATAATTTATTCCCTAATCATATCCAAGTTAGCACTCCATTTTATACCATCTTGCTCTGTGCTATAATGCCTTCTTGTACATGTACAGTTCTTTAAAACAAGATTATAAATAATTAGAAGTTGAGGATTAAATGAACAGCATACCACACATAGGTTATTTCATTCCCTTTATATTTACAAATGTGCTTGACATATTTCATAGAATTTATATTATGCTAGCAATGGTTCTTAACATTTCTGAGCTTTGAATAAGTTACTTAAACTAACTAAAAAACATACAATTTTTAGAAAATTTACTTGGTATTCTTGTGTGATACTCTGACTAAGGTCCATGGATGTCTATAACTCAATTCTCTTATAATTTTTGTTAGGAATGAAGATTTATTGCTCCCATAGATGACAGGCTTATCTAAATGTCTATGTGTCTGGCCTGGAGATATGCATTTTAAGATGCCTGCCAGGTATATTTTGGACTCACTAAAGTTTAGAGAACTGTTGAAGAGATAATCCAATAAATTTGTTTTCTTAAAATTTCTTCAGAGTATTAAAACAAATTGAAGTTGAAGTATGCAACCATTTTGATATTTTTTGATGAGTAGGAAATATGATACTAATAATTTACATTTGTAAAGTGCTTTACAGTTAATACATATATATTATATAAAGTTATACATATATCTATATATGTAGTTAATATTTTGACCTTAAAACCATATACTTTATTAACTTTTACAGTATATTTGTGAAGTAGAATCTAGAAGCTAAAAAGATATAACTCTAAGCTAATTAGGATGAATTTTCAAATGTGTGACAGTTTATATCTAGTTATTGAAGGGCAATAAAACACATCTTCAGCTAATGTTACAAAATGTGCCTTGGAAGTAAATGCCAAATGACCGAATTGATTTCATCTAAAATGAAGTATGTAAAAATTTGGTGAATGTAAATATTGATCCTAGGTTCATATAAACTGTTTTGATAAAACAAAATTGCAAGGAAGCAGATAATATCAAATGCGTAAAGTTTATCAAAAATAAATAGTTGTGAAATCATTTTTTCATTGAGAATATCTTAACATGACTTTATGAGATAAGGTCAAAAAACATTTTTCAATAAGGAAGCAGCACTACCCAGAAGGGCGAGGCAGAAAGGGTTTGGTGCTAAGCTAATATAGTCTCAAATTTTGAGAATAAATTTTTTTAAAGACTATGTAATTATGATACTTTTGCTTTGTGTTTTAACCCAATATCTGTATATCTACAAGTGCAAAGTTTTAAAAATTCCAAATAGCTCCTCCTTATTATAGAGTTAATAGGACTAATCACTGTATCCGTAGACTGTCCTTTATCCGAAATGCTTGGAACTAGACATGATTCAGATCTTAGATTTTTGTTTTTGTGTTTTGGAATACATGCATTGTACTTACTAGTTTCGCATCCCAGATCTGTAAATCCAATCCAAAATGTTGCAGTGAACATGTTCTTTGATCGTCATGTCAAATGCTCCAAAATTTTCAAGCATTTTTGATTTCAGATTATTGTATTATGGACCCCCAACCTTATTAAATTCAAGAGAGGCTTCCTTACCACAGATTTTTTTAAGGCAAGATTGCTATTAATAGCAACATAGACAAAGCACATTTTCTAGGGGAAGCAATTAGTATATTCATTTATATACTTATGCACTGCACAGCAAAGTTTCAGTCAATGAGGGACCACATGTAAGATGCTGTTTCCATGGATTATAATGGAGGTGAAAAATTCCTATCACCAAGTGACATTGTAGCCACAGTAACATTGTAGCACATCACATTTGTATGTCTGTGGTGATGCTGGTGTAAACAAACCTACTATGCCACCAGTCCTATAAAATAATAGCACATACACTTATATATAGTACATAATACTTGATAATAAACCATTATGTTACTGGTTTGTGCATTTACTAAAGTATACTTTTTATCATTATTATAGAGTGTACTCCTACTTACTAAAAATACATTAACTGTAAAACAGCCTCACATAGGTCTTTCAGGAGATATTCCAGAAAAAGGCATTGTCATCATAGGGAAAGAGAATTCTATGCCTGTTATTATCCCTGAAAACCTTCTAGTGAAACAAGCTGTGGAAGTCAAAGACAGTGATGCAGATGATCCTGACCCTGTGTAAGCCTAGCGTAATGTGTGGAGTTTTGTCTTCATTTTTAACAAAAATTTTTTTAATGATAAAAGCTTATAGAGTAAGAATACAAAAAAGAAAATAGTTTTGAACAGCTGTACAATGTGTTTATGTTTTATGCTGTGTTATTACAAAAGAGTCAAAAGTTAAAAAATTGAAAAGTCTATAAAGTAAATAGTTACAGTAAGCTGTTTAATTTATTATTGAAGAAAAATATTTTTCATAAATTTAGCTTAGTCTAAGTATACCATGTTTTAAAGTCTACAGTAGTGTACAGTAACATCCTAGGCCTTCACGTTCACTCACCACTTACTCTCCAACTCACCCACACAGCAACTTCCAGTCCTGTAAGCTCCATTCATGGTAAGTTCCCTATGAAGTAGATATGGTTTGGATGTTTGTCCCACCCAAATCCCATGTCCCCAGTGTTGGAGGTGGTGCCTGGTGAGAGGTGCTTGGGTCGTCGGGGGCAGATACATCATGGCTTGGTGCTGTCCTCACAATAGCGAGTTAGTTCTTGCAAGATCTATTTAGAAGTGTGTGGTTCCTCCCCTAGCCATCTCTCTGCTCCTACTCTTTACCATGTGGCATGTTGGCTCCTGCTTCACCTTCTACATGAGTAATACCTCTCTGAGGCCTCCCCAAAGCCTGAGCAGATGCCAGCTTGTACAACCTGCGGAGCTGTGAGCCAATTCAACTTCTTTTCTTTATAAATTACCCAGTCTCAAGTATTCCTTTATAGCAACACGAGAACAGACTAATACACAGGTGTACCATTTTTTATCTTTTATGCCACAATTTTTACGATATCTTTTATGCCACAATTTTTACGATATCTTTTCTAGATGTACATATGCTTAAATACACAAATACTTACCATTGTGTTATAATTGTCTACCGCATTCAGTACAGTAACATGATCTAAAGGATAGTAGTCAGGGAGCAATAGGTTCTACCATAGAGCCTGGGTATATAGTAGGCTAAACTATCTGTTTTGTAAGTACACTCTATGATATTTGCATGATTACAAAATTGCTTAATGATACATTTCTTAGAAAATATCCCCATAGTTAAGCAATACATGACTGTATTTTCAAGTACTGTGCCTTATCTAAAGAAGTGTTTTAGTTCACTCTTGCTCACTCTCTCACTTTCTCTCTCTCTCTCTCTCTCTCTCTCTCTCTCTCTCTCTCGTTACACATGGCTATCAGAGGGCATTTTTTTTTGTATAGTTCCTTGGGAAAAACAAATGTTGCTTTCATATTTAAAAATTTTATTTTCCTCCTTGACTAACAAATATGATTGGCAAATAAAAAGACCTGTGACCTCAAAAAGCTCTGTGCGATAGTGGCTTAATTAAGGTGTTTCTTTTCATTTAATATATGGATTACCATTTATGCCAATATTATAACCAGATTATTCAATCAACAATAAGGATTTATATTTATTATGAGAAAGGCATGATTGATCAAATGTATGAATAACTATCCAACCATTACATGAGCTTGCCTTGTACACGGTGACTATCAAGCACTTATGCATGTTAATTAGAGATGTTTTGTATTCTTCCTTATGTTTCATAAAACATTTATTTTCCGCAATTTCTTTTGAATACCTTCTTCTGGGTTGACAGTTGAAAGCATTAAAGCATTTCATGAGAAATATTTTAAGGTTTTTACCTGTTCTTTGGTGGAAATAAGAATTTTCTTTCTCACAGACTGGTGCACAAAGACTCCATCTAACAGCTACCCGTATTTCCTGACAGTGACTCTGAAAGGTTAGTTTCTAAAAGTTTAAAAGTCATTTCATTATATCAGAGCTTTTATCCAAAATTCATGCTGACTGTGAAAACATATATGGGTAAGGATGATTTACTTTGAAATCATCACAAGCAAATAATATCTGGAAACTTGTACCTTTAACTTGCTGGTCATATTCTCTAAATACACTTTAAATAAACATACTAGTGTTCACTCTTTCTGAACCTATAATTATTTCACTCTCATTTGTGTTATAACAGCCATGCATGTTTGGTAATTTTATTTCTCTGATAGTTGGAAAAATATAATTTGTTCTATTGTATTTATTTATTATTTTCCAATGAGATGTTCAGTCATTGTCCCAGAAATACATAGGTTCAAAAGATAAATAAGATAGAGAATTAACCATAACATGTAGTTGCCTTATCTGAAGCAGAAAAAGATTTATTTCCTTAAAACAAAACAAAACAAAAATAATTTTCCATTCTTTACTATCTATTTATTTAATATTTGAGTTAGCTAAGCTTGGTAAAAAGGATTGCTGTGTGCTGTAATTTGAGGGTTTTCAGGACCTATTAATTAAAAAAAAGTCCTCCAAATATATAAAAAGCAGCTGCTCCAACCCACATGGCCTGATAATTTCACGCTTAGGACAAGTGAATAATGAAATATAAGAAAGTACTTTGTATTTTAGGGAGATGAGTACGGAGAGAGAGGAGCTTGGAAGTGGAGACAAATTTTAAAGCACATAAAACCTTGGAGAAGAATTTTCCTTGATATAGGATAGTAAAACAAGTATACCATTTGTCCAGGGGTGGTGCGAAGAGATTAGAAGGGCTACAGCAGCTCAAATAAACTGTTTCTAGGGCTAAATTTCCTTCCTTCCTTCCTTCCTTCCTTCCTTCCTTCCTTCCTTCCTTCCTTCCTTCCTTCCTTCCTTCCTTCTTTCTTTCTTTCTTTCTTTCTTTCTTTCTTTTCTTTCTTTCTTTCTTTCTTTCTTTCTTTCTTTCTTTCTTTCTTTCTTTCTTTCTTTCTTTCTTTCTTTCTCTTTCTTTCTTTCTCTCTCTCTCTCTTTCTTTCTTTCATTTCTTTTCTTTCTTTTCTTTCCTTTTTTTCCAGAAGTCTAGGATACTTATTATGGTGTCTTCCGGCATAATGCTTTAGAAGAAGTTAGCAAAGTATCAGTGATTAGATGAGGGCAAGACCTCCTAAGCTCCACAGATACAGTGGCTAGGACATGGAATTGTACCATTTATTTCTGAAAGATCTAAACATTGTATCTTTTTCTTTCTGTGAAAAGGTTAACATATGGCCTACACTGTAAATACCTTGTATTTTAGTCAGGAGAGGCGAGGGCATTTGGTGCTTTACTGCTATAGAGTGTTCTCATGGGAAAAAAAATAGCATTGACCCAGTGAATGAGAGCACCCAGATAAAATGATTACAACCTATTGTATAATTCCCTGATCCCACCCAGTTGTGTCATGGAACAGGATATCACACATGTATACAATGTAATTTGTATCGAACATAAGAAGCATTTGTTCCTTGATTTTTTGAAGTGTATAAACAGTAGATATTCATTTGTGTTTGTTTTATTTTAGGTATCCCAATACCTAAATATACAGAAATTACTGGAAGAAATATTCAATCTGGTGTGATATACTAGGTGAATGTATCATAAGAATTTCTGTTCCTTACAAAATTGTGAATGCAAAGTTTTAGGAATTATATTGGCTATATGATACTGATCTTTGATATCTTTGTACCTTAAAGCAAGATTTTCTTAGTGAACACTGGCATTCACAGTATTGTTTTTTCTCTGGCTATATCAAGAGCTTTAGTTGTTTTTTGTTAAATGAAAAGAATGAAGAGACTATCTTTCAGACTTAAAAGTTAAAGTTCTGTGTGCAGACTTTCATGTCATGTAGAAAAAGGAAATAAAGGGAGTTAATTGGTTTTGCTGTAATTTTTCTTCAGTGGATTAAAAAAAATCTATGCTTAAAATACTATTTAATGATAATGGGTGACAATTTCTATAAAAATACAACTTTTGTTTCTTAGAAAGTTAACTTTTTTCTATAGTTTATATAAATATGGCATTAGTCAGTAACTGTGTGTTCGGATGCCTAAAATGTATAGCTTTTTTGTTTGTTTGTTTGTTTCAAGAAGCTATGTCTTAATTAATTTAGGAGACTATAGGGTTGTTGGGAAGACACATATAAATGGAGAAGCCAGAAAAAGCTGGACACAAAAACAGATTATTAGAATGGAGCTGTACGTGGATATTAGAATTGGTGGCTTTTTAAAATAACTGAGACATAGTTGCACATTTCCATACTCCTGTGTTTACCATTGAGCTTTTTTACCGTCTTTGTATTTTTCTCTATATCATTAGTTTTCTTACTTATAATTTTGATACTCTTATAGCTTCAGTTTATCAAGCTGTTTACAACTATCCCCTCACTCTGTATTCTCTTTCTAATGACTGTTCGGTTTTAGCATCTATCAAATACCTTGATGCCTTCATTTGACAAGTCAGGTTCAAACCTGATAATCCTATTGGCTAATCTCACTTCCATGCTAGACATCATAGATGACTGTTAAATCTGAGGATTAGCTGCCTTTGGATGATTTATCCATTTTTATTTAGTTCAATCTGTGGTAGAGGCTGGATCATGTGGGTCTAAATATTAGTTAAAATTACATTGATTGGAGATCTAGAGGTTTTCCTTTAGGAAAAACTATAGGCTTGGAATAAACAATAATTGGTACATTTGAGATTTTAAAAATTCTGTCTTCTCTACATACGGCCAATAAACATATGAAAGAAAGCTCAACATTACTGATCATTAGAGAAATGCAAATAAAAACCACAATGAGATAGCATCTCACACCAATCAGAATGGCTATTATTAAAAAGTCAAAAAATAACCGGTGTGTTTGAGGTTATTGGAAAAAAAAAAAAAAGGAATGCTTTTATACTGTTGGTGGGTGTGTAAATTAGTTCAACCATTGTGGAAGACAGTGTGGTGATTCCCCAAAGACCTAGAGGCAGAAATACCATTTGATCCAGGAATCTCATTACTGGGTCTATACCCAAAGGAATATAAATCATTCTAGTGTAAACATGCATGCACATGCACTTGTATGTTCATACAGCACTATTCACAATAGCAAAGACATGGAATGCCCATCAATGATAGACTGAATAAAGAAAATGTGGTACATATACAACATGGAATACTATGCAGCCATAAGAGGAACAAGATCATGTCCTTTGCAGGGACATGGATAAAGCTGGAAGCCATTATCCTCAGCAAACTAACACAGGAACAGAAAACCAAATACCACATGTTGTCACTTATAAGTGGGAGGTGAATGATGAGAACACATGGACACATAGTGGGGAGCAACACTCACGGGCGCTTGTTGAGGACGGGGTGGGGTGAGAGGAGGGGTGAATCAGGAAGAATAGCTAATAGATGCTGGGCTTAATAGCTAGGTGATGGGATGATCTGTGCAGCAAACCACCATAGTTCATGTTTACCTATGTAACAAACCTGCACATCCTGCACCTGTGTCCCTTAATTTAAAATGAAAGTTGGAAAATAAAAAAATAGCTATCTTCTCTAACACAAGGAGCTATTCTCCAATATTATGCATCATTTATTCATTTACAACTTATTTGGCCACTCAATTCATTTTATATATATGTGTGTGTGTGTGTGTGTGTATAAATATTTGTGTGTGTATATATATATGTGTATATATGTGTGTGTATATATATATGTGTATATATATGTGTGTGTATATATATATATATATATATAAAAGGGGAGAATATATTGGATATTGGATTTTGTGTCTCTTCCTAGTTCAAGAATAAAGATACTTTATGTGATAGGGTTATTAAAGCAAACTGTCAGTCACATGACTGCTTATATGTTCCCTTGAGGCCAGGTCATTTGACTTTATATTCTTCATGTTTATAAAATGGTCCCCCTAGCCCGTCTATAACCCCAGGAGCCTTTCCTGCTGGTAGGGATGTATTTCTTACAGGATCACACTCCTTGGTACTTTGTAGGCTGGTATTTATTAGTAATACGCCCTGTAAGTGCCTCTGTCCAGTGGGCATTATGGTTCTTTCTGGTCAAGGTTCTTGGTATATTTGGAAGTGACATGCAGTTGATATATGTAGTCCCATATTCTCATCACAGTTTTCCCAGTTCAAGATGTCCTTGGTATTCAGTGCTGCACAGATATTCTTTGTAATGAATGGATGACAGTCCTTAACTGATCCTTACTTGTTTGTTTCCCACAAAGTGAAAATAAGTCCTGTATGCAATATGCAATATTTTAACTTTTTAATTTCAAAACATTAATATGATTATTAATCTTATGATCAAATAAAGTGGTTATTAACTAGCAATTATGTGCAACATTCTAATATTTGATTGTATGAATTAGATATGTCACACAACATGTGATCTTAATCTTTCAATCAATTATAAATGCTTACTCAGATATTTCTACAATGTTACCAAATTTCAATCTGAATTTATAATACGAATCAGTCTTTCCTAATTCTCACACCCCTAAAATGTCAGCTGAGTAAATTATTTACCAATAATACACTTACCAGTAAGATAGCATAGCCTTAAGTTAAAGCATTACTTTACCTAACTTCTTTTCAACTTTCAGGTTATCCTAGTCTAAGCTGTTTACTTGGATTTTCCTCTTTTAATTCTTGTATTCATCTCTGTTGATCCTAGTATTCTGATAACAGATTCTAATAATTCCCCAACCATTCCCCAAAGCTGCCCCATATACAAAAGCTGAAATAAAAGAAAAAGGAAAGTACTGTAACAAGGAAGGGGATAGAAAAGTCTTCATGTAGAAGAAGATGCCCAAGTGGAATTTTGAAAAATTAGTACTAATTTGACAAAAGTATGAGAGTAAAGGACATTTGTGGGTAACACATATTTAAAATACTCAGTGTGTAATTATTAATTCACTGATTCTATAAACATGCTTTGAAGTCCTGCTGTGTTTAGGTCTTATACAAGATGCTGGAGCTAAAGATTTAGAAAAGAGTGTCCTATAATTTATAGGGAGATTCATAATAAGTTCGGCACTTAATAAGATGAAAATAGAATAAGTGTTATGCGGAGATTGTATGCATGCACGCTGGACACTCACATATGATCACATATCTCAGCCTGGGAAGAAAGGAGTTACTGAAGACGTTCTGTATGAAATCATTTAGAAATCAATGTACTGAGGTATACTTTACATATAATAAAATGGACACATTTACTCTACAGATTGATGACTTTTGACATTCAGCTGTGAAACCTCCACCCCAATTAAGATATGTCTCAATATTCTGTAAAATTCTGTCTCTTTGCAATGTTTCCTTGTGCATCTTTTCTTGTTAGTCCTTCTGGAATAAGTAATTATTGAAATGGGTTTTTGACAGATTTCTCAGTAGTTATGTAAGAAGAACAAGAATTTGAGTAGTTATTTTAGAAAAGCAAGAAGAAAAAGCACCTCACTAAAAGCAGGGCTTCTGTCAAAGAGCATAAGAAAATGAGGCTAGAGAAGTTCGTAATTAGATGATAAAGAACACTGAAAGAAAATCTGTAGTACTTCCATGGGTTTAAACCAGGATAAGTCATAATAATAGCAGTAAAGTTAATGATGATGATAATAATAATATTGTTGAGTGTTTACCGAGAGGCAGGCACTTGTGTATGCATGATTTAATTTAACCTTGTAAAGAGGTTGCTTTTCTCATCCATTAAAGATTTGACAAGCTAGAAACTCAGTAGTATTAAATGAATTGAAGATTCACAAATAGTAAGAGCTCCTGGGAGGTATTTACACAAAAACCCTTTTCATTTTACTTTCAACATGATTTTTTTAAAACATTAACAATAAATTGATGATAGATTGAAAGCAGCAGGGCTGGGGTCCAATTTGAGAGATAATTAGGAGGTAGAATCTACAGGGCTTAATAACACATGGTTGAGGGAAGGATTTGGTAAAGAGAGTATTGAGGATCATTTTCAACTTAGATGAGTAGATGATGCAATTACCCAAGATGAAGACAATTGAAATAGAAACAGGATTGGAGATGACAAGTTCAGTGTTAGCCATGCTGAATTTAAGCATGAATGTTACTTCCAAGTGTTGAAGTATGGCAGGAATTTGGAAATACAGCTCTAAATTTTGGAAAAAAATTTCTATACTGTTAAAAAAGATGTGAAGTCATTAGTATACATATTTTAGTTAAAGCCAGAGAGAATGTAAATAATTAACAGAAAAAAAACTAAGGATAGAAGAGCAAAACATTTGTCTTTAAGGAATGTTGGGGAAAAACAAATCAAAGATAATATTAAGTAGAAAAACAACAAAAAACCCAAATAATAGAAAATAGTGTCTTGGAAATCAAGGGCTGGGTGTGTTCCAAGATGCTATTTTTTAATGACATCATGAGAAGTGAAAAGAGAAGTCGTAGAGAAGGAAAAGAAGAGTGATTAAATATGTACATTGCACTTTGAATCCAGGCAGTCACTGGAAATTTGCGTGAAAGTAGTTTCTTTGTAATGGGGAAGAAGGTGGACGGCAATGCATGGAGATTTGAATAAGAAAAAGGGACAATGCATGTAGAAAGCTCAAGATGCTCAACTTTGAGGAACGGAAACAGATGGGAATATGTTATAGGAAATCATAAAACTGAGGGAGTTGTTTTTTGCTTGATCCAGTTCCAAAAGAAATAGTCACACACACAAAAAAAAAAAAGAAGAAAAGAAAAACAAAGATAAGAAAGAGGAAAAGAGGAATTAATCATGAAGAAGAAGGATACTCATTGCAACAAAATCGTTGAGGATGTATGAGGGGTTAGTGTTTGAGCACAGGTAGAGGGATAATGTAACGAGGGTGCTGTAACATGGCCATTTGTTAGACTGACAGCGTAGGTTGGAGAGCAGGCACTTTTTGCTGAGGCAATTTCCCCAGCCTTGTGTTTATGGAACTTCAGAGTGTGACTATTCTGTTGTGGGGTGAGGTGGAGGGCTGCAAGGAAAACTACACTCTGAGGCTCACTTAAGGCATGTGCTGCCGGTAGCACTTCTGAATGAGGTGCAGAGTTAGAGGCAGTAATTACGGCATTAGCATCGCAGAGTGCCCAGTGAAAAGTTTTTGGAGGGAAGAAAATTGTTTATAATGATTGCTTTCTGTTTTAGATTTTACTCTATAAAACATTATTTCCAAAATCAGAAACCTAGATGGCCTCTAATTCTTATGATTCACTGCTCAAGAACTGTGCCTGTTTCCTCCTATTAAGTATGTTTTCTTGTGCTGTTCTGTTGCTTAGACAATTTTCTTTGGTTCTTCCTATTGCATTCTCATTGAGTTTTCTTATCTTTTCTCACATTTGTTTCCTTGTGATAGTGCAGGGCTGAGTCTTCCTGGTTCCTTCAATGGCTAGCTACATTACATTTCTTTCACTGAAAGCCTTCCCTTTTTTCTAGTGGGGACGGGCACATTGGTGTGGGAAATAGGAGAGCTGAAGAGAGAGAGAAGGGGTGTGAGTGGAAATAGTGAGTGGGGATTATATCAGTAGGCCTTTATCATCTGTCACTTTCTTTCCTGAAGTTTCAGTGATGACATTTCTGATAACATTCGTAAGAATGTAATAGAGCTGTTTTTCCTAATTTTTAATATATACTTCAGTAAATTAAGGTTCACATCATACTATAAGTTCAAGAAGTTAAATGGGAAGAAACAATTCCCTAGTCAAGCTTGAGAATATATGAGAACTTAATTTCAATGCCATACAAAAATATTCTTTGTGTGAAATAGGCAAGAGTTATTTTTTGACATGTAGATAAAATATGTTTTACAAGCGTTGACAATAGACACATTTTATAACAGCATAAACATTATAAATAAGAAAGTAGAGTATAAAAGTATTGTGTGAGAGAGGTCAATGTCAGTAAGAAATTATGAAGTTAACAAGAGGAAGAAAAAAACTGGTGTAAATAGATTGAATGAGTTGCTCTGTTAAAAAAAAAAAACAAAAAACAAAAAAACTTAGGATAGGTCATTAAATCTAGCTGTTTTAAATGTTTTAAAAATTGGAAAGTATAAGCAACATACTGGAGACTACAAATAATAATTTATCTTTAAGTATCATCAGTGATGATTGAAAGAAAATCATACAAAGCACCATGAAGTAAACATGACCTTTTTTTTTTAACTTGGTAAAGGACTTTTTATTTTATATCTCTCCAACGAATGAAAAATGCAGACAAAAAGATGTTCAACATCATGAATCATAAGGGAAATGCAAATCAAAACTACATTGAGACACCACCTCAAACCTGTTAGGATGGCTGCCATTGTAAAAACAAAACAAGTGATGGGGAGGATGTGGAGAAATTTTAACCCTTTTTCAGTATTAGTGGGAATGTAAAATGGTGCAGCCACTGTGGAAAACAGAATGGTGTGCCTCAAAAAATTAAAAATATAATTCCTACATGATTCAGCAATTCCATTTGTGGGTATATACTCAAAAGAATTGAAATCAGGGGCTCAAACAGGTATCTGTGCACCTATGTGCATAGCGGCATTATTCACAATAGTCAAAAGATGGAAGCAACCCAAGAGTGGGTTGCAATTGACATGAATGAACAAGCAAAATGAGATATACACACACAAGGAAGAATTATTCAGCCTTCAAAAGGAAGAAAGTTTTGACAACATGGTATTACACAGATGAACCTCAAGGGCATCAAGCTAAGTAAAATAAGTCAGACACCATGGGACAAATATGGTATGATTTCACTTACAGAAGCTACTTAGAATAGTCAGAATCATAGGGACAGAAAGTAGAATGCTGGGGGAGGAGGAAATAGGGAGTTATGTTTCATGGGTATGGAGATTTAGTTTTGAAAGATAAAAAAGTTCTGGAAATGGTTCATGATGATGTCATGCTATGTATATTTTTTACCACAATTAAAAAAGTAGTTTTATTTTAAAAGGCCGAAGGGTGATGAAAGTCCTCACTGCTTTATCCATCTTCGGGAGTTTTCTTCTCCATTTAATTCATTAAAAGAACTTTCAAATCTTACAATTTTCTAGGAAGCTGTTCCTGTGCAGTTTGCTCTCCTGGATTTCTCCCAAGGGACTACTGTCATGGAACAGAATTCCACTCAGGTAACATGGGGCCCAGCCAATCGCAAATGCCAACCAGGCATTTGTGTGCTGTCTTTAAGAAGAAAGGAGATGGATGGGTCTGAGGGTAAAGGAACAAGAAGGTGTGGGTAGGGGCTGAGACCAGCCTGAGTATTGGAATTTGTCCTTGACAGCTGCGGGAAAAGCCCTGTCGAGGCCTGCACAGAGGCTCCAAGTGCAGAAGTATATGTGCATGTGCCCATGTATGCTTTCACTTATGTATGTGTTCATCTATTCATGTATTCAATGAACACAATTAGCAGCTGCTGTATGCTGGGTACTGTTCTATCTAGTAGTAAACCAGCCTGGCTGGGCTTTGTCCTCATAGGAAAGATATAATGAAGGAGCTCACAGGCAAGCACACGCGTGTACAGTGAGCCCACAACTGCACTCTGATGGGGTACATTAGGCAAGTCTCATTTTTCTGGTAGCCAGTGGGAGATGCATACAGATAAATCCAACAGAGAATCAGGAGCAAGATGCAGGACAAGTCGGAGATACAATTTGTGCTCAGAATGCCGAGGCCCTTGCCAGCCATGCAAAGGTCTTAACCCTAGAGCAGCATGAAGCCATGAAGGATTCTAGGCAGTGACAGGCACGGTGAGATTCATGTTTTGGAAAGTTCCTGCAGGCTGCAGTATGAATACATAGTAGGAAGGCAGGAGGCCAGGTGAGAGAGGAGCTGGCCTGCTCCAGGAGGTAGAAGCCTCTGGAGGTGTTTAGACACCTCTAGATTGAGACATGAAGCTGGAACAAAATCATGAGATTTGGTATCCATCAGTCCACCTATTCCTACTTTTCCCTGTGTGATGCTGAGTCGATGTGCCCATAGTCTTAGTTGATGTGCTTTTAAAGTGAGAAAAGGAGCCACCTCGGCCCCTCTTTCTCTAGAGTTTCTGCTACAGTGATTGGGTGAGATCATGTGAATACAGAGCTTTGTCATCAGGGGCAAGGTGTTGCAGGCTTATTGATGAGAATGTGGATGGTGATGGTGATGGAGAACATAATTCTGGTATTTAAGGGGTTGAGGAGTGCTGCATGTACTCCACGCAGGGCAGCATACTCAGAGGTTTATGCATATCATCCAGTAGGATTTTGTACCACATTTGGAGATACATGTTACTATCCCCAAGATAATGAGAAAACAGCTCCAGAGACGCTTATGCAAGGTCACCCAGAGGAGGGGGGTCAGAAGGCAGATTCAAAACATGGTTTGTCTGGATTTAAAACTCTTATGAGCCCCACACCACCAGCCACTTAAGAAGGCAATTGTACTTTGAGATTTTATCAGTCTCAGTTGGCTTTGGGGCCAGGATGTGTGTTCATTCATTCATCAGTCCATTCAGAAAATATACATGGAGTACCTAACATTTGGCAGCCACAGCCCAAGCCCATGAAGGGAACAGTGGACAAAACACACATCTTCGCATGACTTCTTTATTGTGGTTAAAAAAAAAGACATATCATGAATTCTACTCTCTGAACAAAATTTTCAGTGTACGGTATGTACAGTATTGTTAATTGTATGCATATTGTTGCACAGCACATCTCTAGAGCTTTTTCATTCTGCCTGACTGAAACTCCACACACATTTTGCAACTCCCCATTTCTTTCTTCTCCTAGGCCGTGGCAACCACCATTCTACTTTGTTTCTGTGAGTTTGACCACTTTAAATATCCCATGTAAGTGTAATCATGCAACATTTCTCCTTACGTGACTGGCCTGTTTCACTTAGTATAATGTCCTAAAGTTTCATTCACATTGTAGCATATGACAGAATTTCCTTCCTTTATAAAACTGAATAATATTCCATTGTATATATTTACCATATTTTATTTATCCACTCATCTGTTGATGGACAATTAGGTTGAGTCCACATCTTGGCTATTATGACTAATGCTGCAATGAACATGGGAGCACAGCTAACTCTTTGAGACCCTGATCTCAATTCATTTAGATCAATACCTTGAAGTGAGATTGCTGAATCATATGGTAGTTCTATTTTTAAAATTTTGAGGAAACTTAGTACTGTTTTTCAAAGCAGCTGCACCATTTACTTTCCCACCAACAGTGCAGAAGGGTTCCAATTTCTCCACATCCTCAGCAACACTTGTTCTTTTCTTTTCTTTTTTTAAAATATTTTAATTTAGATAAAGAGATTACATGTGAGTGTTTGTTACACTGTTATGTTATGTGCTGGTGGAGATTGTGCTTCTAATTCACCCATTACCCAAATAGTGAATATTGTACCCAATAGGCATTTTTTCAGTCTTCCCTGTCCTCCCACCCTTCCCTGTTTCAGAGTAACCAGTGTCTATCACTTCCACCTTTATATCCATGTGCACCCATTGTTTAGCACTGATTTATAAATGAGAACATGTAGTATTTGATTTTCTGTTTCTGAGCTAGTTCCCTTAAGATAATGGCCTCCAGCTCCATCCATGTTGCTGCAAAGGACATTCATTCTTTTTTATGGCTATGTGGTATTCCATTTTATGTGTGTATGTGTGTGTGTGTGTGTGTATGTGTGAGTGTACATGGTATTTAATATATATATAATACATATACGTATATATGTGTATTACATCAATAAATACCAACATTTATTGATGTGATATGCCATATTAAATGTGACACACACACACACACAGACATTTTCTTTATCCAGTCAACCATTGGATAGACACTTAGGTTGGTTCTATGACTCTCCTATTGTGAATAGTGCTGTGATGAACATACAAGTGCAGGTGTCTTTTGTATACAATAATTTATTTTTCTTTGAATAAATACCCAGTGTTGGAATTGCTGAGTTGAATGGAGTTCTATTTTCAGTTCTTTGAGATACCTCCATATTGTTTTCCGTAAAGGTTGAACTAATTTGCATTCCCACCAACAGTATATGAGCATTCCCTTTTCTCTGCATACATGCCAACATCTGTTATATTTGACTTTTAATTCTAGTCATTCTGACTGTTGTGAGATAATATCTTATTGTGGTTTTAACTTATATTTCTCTGATGTTTAATGATGTTGAACAATTTTTATGTTTGTTTTACACTTATTATTTCTTCTTTTGATAAATATCTGTTCATGTCTTTGCTAGTTTTTAATAGGGTTTGTTGTTTGTATCTTATTGAGATTTTGAATTCCTTATAGATTCTGGATATTAGTCCTTTGTGAGAGGCATAATTTGCAAATATTTCTCCCATTCTGTAGGTTGTCTGTTTACTCTGTTGATTATTTCTTTTGTTGTACAGAAGGCTTTTAGTTTAATTAAATCCCATGTCTATTTTTATTTTTGTTTCATTTGATTTTGGGGTATTCATCATAAGTTATTTGCCTAGACCAATCTCCAGAGGAGTTTTTTTCTAGCTTTCTTCTAGAATTTGTATAGCTTCAGGTCTTACTTTTAAGTCTTTCATCCATATTGACTTAATTTTTATATAATGTGAGAGATAAGGGTCGGTTTTCATTCTTCTGCATATGGCTAGCCAATTTTCCCAACAACATTTTTTGAATAGGATGCCCTTTTCAAATTTGTTATTTTTGTCAACTTTACTGATGATCAGTTGGTTGTAGGTATGTGGCTTTATTTCTGGGTTCTTTATTCTGTTCCACTGATCTATGTGTCTCTTTTTGTACCAGTACCACATTGTTTTAGTTACTAAATCCTTGTAGTGTAATTTGAAGTCAGGCAATATGATGCCTCTGGATGTGTTTTTCTTGTTTAGTAATTCTTTGGCTCTTTGGGCTCTTTTTTGGTTTTGTATGAACTTTAGGACTGTTTTTTTCTAATTCCATGAAAAATGATGTTGGTAATTTGATAGGGATTGTGTTGACTCTGTGGATTATTTTGGGCAGTGTTATCATTTTAATGATATCAATTCTTCCAACCCATGAGCATGGAATGTTTTCCGTTTGTCATCTATGATTTCTTTCATCAGTGCTTTGTAATTTTCTTTGTAGAAATCTTTCACTTCCTTGCTTAAATGTGTTTATAGGTATTTCATCTATTTGTGACTATTGTAAATGTGATTGAGTTCTTGATTTGGGTCTCAGCCCAAATATTACTTTTTTAAAATAGGAAAAGTTTCATGAGTTTGCATATTCTCCTTGCACGGGGACCACGCTAATCTTTCCTGTATCATTCTAATTTTAGTATATGTGCTACTGAAGAGAGCACCAAACATTATTGATGTATTAAAAATGCTACTGACTTTTGTACATCAATTTTGTAAGGTTCATTTGCTCTATAGTCACTTATGTCCAGAGTTCCTTTGTTGATTTCCTGCCCCAATAATCTGGCGTTATCAGTAGGGTGTTGAGTTACTCACTATTATTTTATTGCTATGAATCTGTTTTCCTGGTCTAGTAGTATTTGTTTTATGAAACTGGATGCTCCAATGTTGGGTGCATATATATTTAGAATAGCTAAATCTTCTTCTTCTATTGAACCCTTCATCATTATCTAATATCCTACTTTCTATAAATTTTACTGATATTGGTTTATAGTCTGTCTTACGTGATATGAAGATGGCTGGTCATGCTCATTTTTGTTTTCCATTTGCATGGTATGTCTTTTTTTACCCCTTTACTTTGTCTGTAGTATTTAGCCAAGAGTAACTATCTTGTAGGTAGCAAGTCGTTGTGTCTTTTTTTCTTTAAAATACAATTTGCCATTTTGTATGTTTTAGGTAAAGCATTTAGGCCATTTATATTCAAGAGTAATATTGATATGAAAGGTTTTGTTCCTGTCATAGTGTTGCTAGCTAGTTGCCTTGGAGTTTCAACTGTGTAATTGCTTTATAAGGGCTGTGAGCTTTGTAGTTATGTATACTGTTACGATAGTGAATATCATCCTTTTGTTTCCATGTTACAAATTCTTTGAGTATTTTCGTTTGACTAGTCTAATGGTAATACGTTTTCTTTGTAGTTATTTGTCTGGGAAAGACTTTAGTTTTGCTTCATTTTTGAAGCTTTGTTTGGTAAGATATGAAATCCTTGACTGGTGTTTTTTATACATAAAGAGACTAAAAATAGGCTCCTAATCTCATCTGCTTATATATATACACACATATATATATGCACATATATATACACACACATATATATACATATATATGCACATATATACATATATAAGTATATATATGTATATATATATAATGTATATTGTATACGGTCTTTTGGCTTTCATTCTGGGTACTTTCAGCAGCAAAGAGTCTCTATAAATTTCTTAGTTACAGATAGCCTTTTGTGGTGTTTTTTTCAAATACTGATTCCAGTTGTGATGTATGGGACATGTGGGCAGGCTCATAGCCTCTAGTGGAGCTAGGGTGACAGAAGTCACAGGAAGCTTATCTCATTCTCTAGTGCTGTGCACTTGTCTCAGCAGATTTTCTACTGTGTTGTGACATTCAACCTCCAGGCCAGTAGGTGGTACTTATAGGTAAGATTTGGCTGCAGCTAATGCAGATTGGTACATATATTATCCTGTTTACTGGGAGAAACTCTCTATTGCCTTAGGAAGAGGGCTGATTTTTCTCAGATGAACACTCTTTTCCCATCTTCTCCTCCCTGGGATCTGAAGTGTCCTTTGCTCTTCTGGTAAATTCTCATTTTCCTTCTTGAATTGAAGCTCACAGGCTTGATCTTTACACAGTATTTTGCTATTTCCAAGTGGTTGAAAGTTGATAAAAGCCTCTAATCTTCATCTTGTTAAAAACAAATGAACAAACAAAAAACAACAAAAATATCCCACATTTGTTATTTTCTATTTTTTTAAATGCCCATCCTATCAGATGTGAGGTGATATCTCACTATTGTTTTCAGTTTCATTTCCTTGTTGATAAGTGATATTGAGAATCTTTTCATATACATGTTGCCATTTGTATGTCTTCTTTGAAGAAATGTCTATTCATATACTTATTTTGTATATTTTTAATTAAGTTTTATGGTTTTCTTGTATATTTTGGATATTAACCACTTATACAGTTTAGAAATATCTTCTCTCATTCTGTAGGTTGCCTTTTCACTCTGTTGATTGTTTCCTTTGTTGCACATAAACTTTTAGATTGACATATTCCAAATTGTCTATTTTTGTGTTTGTTGCTTGTGGTTTTGATGTTATATCCAACTTTTTGATGCCAATATAGTGTTATAAAGATTTGCCTTCATGTGTTCTTTTAGGAGTTTTATGGCTTTAGGTCTTATGTCTTTAATCCACTTAGACTTGATTTTTGCATATAGCATACGATAAAATTCCATTTTTATTTTTGCATGTAGATATTCAACTTTACCAAATCTATTTATGGAAAAGACTATCCTTTCCCCATTGTGTATTCTTGGTATCTTTGTTGGAGATCATTTGACTATACATGTGTGGGTTTATTTCTGGGCTCTCTATTCTATTTGATTGGATTACATGTCTATCTTTATGCCAGTACTATTCTCTTGATTACTATAGTCTTGTCATATGTATTGAATTTCAGAAGTGTGGGGCGTCCAGGATTGTTCTTTCTCAAGATTGTTTTGGCTCTATGGGATTCTTTGTTTCCATATTAAATTTAGTATTTTTTTTCTATTTCTGAACAAAAAGTCACTGAGATTTTGATAGGGGTTGCATTGACATTGTACATTGCTTTATGTAATAAGAACATTTTAGCAATATTAAATCTTCCAAGCCACAAACACAGTATGTCCTTCCATTTACCTATGTCTTCTTTATTCTTTGAACAATGTTTTGTAATTTTCAATATGCAAGCTTTTCACATCCCTGGATAAGTTTACCCTTAATTACTTCTTTTTGGATACTAATGTAAATAGGACTACTTTTTAAATTTCCCTTTTAGATTTTTTTTTTTTGTTGCAAGAAATACAACTGATATTTGTATGTTGATTTTGTATCTTGAAAGTTTACTGAATTTGTTTATTATTTCTAACAGGATTTTAAAAAGTCTTTAGAGTTTTCTGTATATGAGATCATGTCATCTGCAAACAGGGACTTAGGTTTGGGGGCACATATGCAGGTTTGTTATATGGGTAAGTTGCATGTTGCAGGGGTTGGTGTACATGCAACTTACCCATATAACTATGCTAATAAGCATAGTCCTGATAGATAGTTTTTTTTTTATCCTCTACCCTCAAACAGGCCCCAGTGTATATTATTCCCTTCTTTGTCCATATGTACCCAATGTTTAGCTCCCACTTATAAGTGAGAACATGCTGTATTTGGTTATCTGTTCCTACATTAATTTGCTTAGGAAAATGGCCTGCAGCTGCATCCATGTTGCTACAAACAAAAGGCATGATGGTATTCTTTTTTTTGATGGATAATGTTCCATGCTGTATAGGTACCACATGTACCACATTTTCTTTATCGAATCGCTGTTGGGCATCTAAGTTGATTCCATGTATTAGTTATTGAGAACAATGCTGCAATGAGCATACACCTGCATGTGTCTTTATGGTATAACAATTTATTTACCTTCGGATATATATCCAGTAATGCATTTTCTGGGTCAGATGGTAGTTCTGTATTAAATTCTTTGAGAAGTCTTCAAAATGCTTCCCATGATGGCTGAAATAATTTAGATTCTACCAAGCAGTACATAACCATTCCCTTTTCTCTTCAACCTTGCCAGCATATATTAATTTTTGACTTTGTTATAGTAGCCATTCTGACTGAGGTGAGATACTATCTCATTGTGGTTTTGATTTGCATTTCTCTAATGATTAGTAATGCTGAGCACTCATAATGCATTTTGGCCACATGTGCCTTCTCTTGAGAAGTGTCTGTTCATGTCCTTTTTTTTTTTAATAAAGGGGTTGTTTTCTGCTTGTAAATTTGTTAAAGTTCCTTATACATTCTGGATATTAGACCTTTGTCAGATGCACAGTTTGCAAAATATTTTCTCCCATTCTGTAAGTTGTCTGTTTACTCTATTGATAGTTTATATTTTGATGTGCGGAAACTTTATTTAGGTAACATTGGTCAATTTTCTTTCTTGTTGCAATTATGTTTAGTATCTTCATCATAAAATTTTTGCCAGGTTCTATGTTCAGAATGGAATTTCTTAGGTTATTCATATGGTTAGACTCTGTGTCCCCACCCATATCTCATCTTGAATTATAATCCCCATAATTCCCACATGTCAAGGGTGGTACCTGGTGGAAGGTGATTGGATCATAGAGGCAATTTCCCCCATGCTGTTCTCATGATAGTGAGTGAGTTCTCATGGGATCTAATGGTTTCATAAGCATTTGAGAATTCCTCCTACATGTGCTCTCTCTCTCTCTTTTTCACCTGTGCCATGTAAGACGTGCCTCTTTCCCTTCCACTATGATTGTAAATTTCCTGAGGCCTTCCCAGCCATATGGAATGAGTCTATTAAACCTCCTTCCTTTATAAATTACCCAGTCTTGGGTATTTATTTATAGCAATGTAAGAACAAAATAATACAGTTGTCTTCAAGGGTTTTTAGTTTTAACTTTAAGTCTTCAATCTATCTTGAGTTAATTATTGTATATGGTATAAGGAAGGGGTCCAGTTTCAATCTTTTGCATATGACTGGCCAGTTATCGCAGCACCATTTATTAAATACAGAGTCCTTTCTCCATTGCTTATTTTTGTCAGGTTTGTCAAAGATCAGACAGCTGTAGGTGTACAGCATTATTTCTAGCTTCTCTAGTCTATTCCATTGGTCTATGTGTCTGTTCTTGTACTAGTACCATGCTGTTTTGGTTTCTCTATCCTTTTATTATAGCTTGAAATCAGGTAATGTGATGGTTTAGCTTTGTTCTTTTTGCTTAGAATTGCTTTGACTATTCAGGCTCTTTTGTGGTTCTATATGCATTTTAGAATTTTGTGAAAAATGTAATCAGTATTGTTGTAGGTATAGCATTGAATCTGTACATTGCTTTGGGAAGTATGGCCATTTTAATGATACTGATTCTTTTTATCTATGAGAATGAAATGTGTTTCCATTTGTTTGTGTCATTCCTGATTTCTTTCAGCAGTGTTTCTTAATTCTCATTATAGAGCTTTTTCACCTCCCTGGTTAGCTCTGTTTCTGGTGTGTGTGTGTGTGTGTGTGTGTGTGTGTGTGTGTGTGTGTGTGTGCATGCGTGCTTCTTAGCTTGGATATTGTTGGTGTATGGAAATGCTTCTCATTTTTGTACACTTGTATCCTGAACCTTTGCTGAATTTGTTTAAAAGATCTAGGAGCTTTGGGCAGAGACTATGGAGTTTTCTACATATAAAATTATATCATCTGTGAAGAGAGATAGTTCAACTACCTCTCTTCCTATTTGGATGCATTTTACTTCGTTGTTTAGCTTGATTGCTCTGGCTGCAACTTCTGCTACTATGTTGAATAGGAGTGGTGAGAGTGAGCATTCTTGTCTTCTTCCAGTTCTCAAGGGGAATGCTTCCAGTTTTTGCCCATTCAGTATGATGTTGGCTGTGGGTTTGTCATAGATGCTTCTTATTTTGAGGTATATTCCTTTAATGCCTACTTTGTTGAGGGTTCTTAACATGAAGCAATGTTGAATTTTATCAAAAGTTTTTCTGCATCTATTTAGATAATCATGTGGTTTTGTTTTTAGTTCTGTTTA
The DNA here is from genome assembly GCF_000001405.40 of Homo sapiens. Taxonomy (NCBI): domain Eukaryota; kingdom Metazoa; phylum Chordata; class Mammalia; order Primates; family Hominidae; genus Homo; species Homo sapiens. The sequence continues at coordinate 187,276,237 of NC_000002.12, forward strand.
TGTGATGAATAACATTTATTGATTGGCATATCTGGAATCAACCTTGTATCCGAAGAATAAAGCCTACTTGATCATGGGGGATTACTTTTTGAATTACTGATGGAATCCGTTTGCTAGTATTTTGTTGAGAATTTTTCCATCTATGTTCATTAGGAATATTGACCTGAAGTTTTCTTTTTTCATTGTGCCTCTGCCAGGTTTTGGTATCAGAATGATCCTAGCCTCGTAGAACGAGTTAGGGAGGAAATCCTCCTGCTCTGTTTTTAAGAATAATTTCAATAGAATTTAAATCATATCTTCCTTATTGTCTGGTAGAATTCAGCTGCAAATACATCTGGTCCAGATTTTCTCTGGTGGGTAGGCCTTTTGTTATGATTAAATTTCAGAACTTGTTATTTGTCAGTTAGGTGTTTCAGTTTCTTCCTTTTTCAATCTTGGGAGGTTGCATGTTTCTAGGATTTTATCCGTTTCTTCTAAGTTTTCTAGTTTGTGTTCATAGAGGTGTTTGTAATAGTCTCCAAGGGTGTTTTCCTGTTTCTGCAGGGTCAGTGGCAATGTTTCCTTTGCCATTTCTAATTATATTTATTTATATTTAGATTATATCTAGAAAAACCTAAAGACTCCACCCAAAAAAAAAAAACTGAAGTTGTGATGAATGACTTCAGTAAAGTTGCAGGATACAAAATCAGTGTAAAAAATTAGTAATATTTCTATATTCAAAATAACGATCTAGCCAACAAAGAAATCAAGAAAGCAACCCCATGTACAGTAGCTACGAAAAAGTAACAAAATACTTAGGAATAATTTTAACCAAGGAAGTGAAAGGCCTCTATAAGGAAAACCACAAAATACCAATGAAAGAAATTGAATATGACACAAACGAATGGAAAAAGATTTGATGCTCATGTTTTAGAATAATTAATATCAATAAAATGACCATATTGCCCAAAGCAATCTATGGATTTAATGCAATCTTTGTCAAAATACCAACATCATTCTTCACAAAATCAGAAAAAAATCCTGAAATTCATATCGAATCATAAAAGAGCCTGAATCATCAAAGCAGTTCTAAACAAAAATAACTACACTGGAGGCATCACATTACCTGACTTCAAAATATGTGGCAAGGCTATCTAGCCAAAGCAGCATGATATTGGCATAAGAATAGACACATAGACCAATGGAGCAGAATAGAGAACCCACAAATAAAGCCACACATCGAGAGCCAACTGATTTTTGGAAAAGCTAACAAGAACTTACACTGGGAAAAGGACACCCTCTTGAGTAAATGGTTCTGGGAAAATTTGGATAGTCACATGCAGAAGAATGAAACTGGACCTTGTCTATCACCATAGGCAAAAATCAATTCAAATGAATTAAAGACATAAATTTAAGACCTGAAATTATAAAAATACTAGAAGAAAACAGGGAAAACTCTCCTGGACATTGTTCTAGGTAAATATTTTATGATTAACACCTCAAAAAGCACAGGCAACAAAAACAAAAACTGATAAATGGGACTATATTAAACTAAAAAGCATATGGACAAAAATCAATGGAGTGAAGAGACAACCTCTTGAAAGGAAGAAAATATTTGCGAACTATTCATTCAACACAGGACTAATATCCATCGTCTACAAGGAACTCAAACAACTCAGCAGGAAAAAAATATATGTAATCCCATTATAAAGTTGGTGAGGGGAAGAATGCTGAGTATAGGCCCTTGATGTCTTCTGGCTCAGAGTTGCTGGTGAAAAATCTGCTTTTAGCCTGATGGAGCTCCCTTTCATGCAACCTGTTTCTTCTCTCTGGCTGCCTTTAAAATTTTTTCTTCCATTTTGACCTTGGAGGATTTGATATCTGTGTGTCTTGAGGATGGTTATCTCATACGATATCTTGCAGGGATTCTCTGCATTTCCTAAATTTGAACATCAGCCTCTCTAGTGAAGTTGGGGAAGTTTTCATGGACAATATCTTGAAATATGTTTTCGAAGTCCCTCTTTTTACAGGGATGCCAATGAGTAGTATGCTTGGGGTCTTTACATAACCTGTATTTCCCAGAGGCTTCATTTATTCTTTTTTATTTTTATTTTTATTTTTATTTTGTCTGAGTTGATTCAAAGAGCCAGTTTTTTGTGTGTGAGCTCTGAGATTTTTAATCTTTGTCTATTTTGTTAATACTTCTGATTACATTATGAAATTTTTATAGTGAGTTTTTCAACTCGATCAGATCAGTTTGGTTCTTTCTTAAAATGAGTATATTCCACTTCAGCTCTTATATTGTTTTATTGTATTCCTTAGATTCCCTCGATTGGATTTCAACTTTCATTTAAATCTCAATGATCTTGATTCCTATTCATATTTCAAATTCTATGTCTGTCATTTCAGCCTGGTTAAGAACCATTGTTGGGGAACTAGTGCAGTTGCTTGCAGGTAAGAAGATACTCTGGCTTTTTTAGTTTCTTGAGTTCTTGTGTTGGTTCTTTCTTGTGTGGGCTGATGTTCCTTTAATCTTTGAAGTTGCTGTCCTTTGGATAGGGATTTTGCTTTTATATTCTTTGATACCCTTGAGGGAGTGACTGTCATATAAAGTCGGTTCAGTCAACTGGCTTCATTTCAAGAAGATTTCAGAGGATGAGGCTCAGCTGAGTACCCCTAGGCTGTATGCTTTAACTTTGAGGGGTTGGTACCAGCCCAAAGCTTTGTTCTCTGGCCCCTCCGGGTTAAGTACCTGCTGAGTTGGAGGTGTCAAGGTGTTTCTACTCTATGTCAACAGTACTGTAATGGGAGATATCATCAAAAGTTCTTTGATGGGGTTGGGCAGCAGCATCTGTATACAAGTGTGCATTAGTGGTGGTGGTGACTTGGCAGGGTCTTCAAGCATCAACTGGGTAGGACACCAACCAAGGCCAGGTAGCAGCATCTGCGAGTGCCAGTGCAAGAGTGGCAATGGTGTTTGTGCCCATGCACTCACACCAACAGTGGCGGGTGTGGTGGGGTGCGTGCTTGTGTGTACTAGTCAGGGCAGGGTGATAGGTCTGCTTGTGCATGCCAACACAATGGTGTTGGGGGACTGTAGGAGAGTGTGCTCTGGCAGAGCAGCAGGGGCAATTTTATTTATTTTTTTGAGAAGCCTTTTTTTCCCTATTGACTTCCTGTTGAATAAAGGTGGCTAGAGTGGGCATCTTCATCTTAGAAGGGCAGTTCTTCATCTTAGAAGAAAGGCTTTCAGAATTAATCTTGAGTTTGATGTTAGCTGTGGGCTTTTTATATATGGCCTTTATTACATTGAACTAGTTTATTTCTCCTCCTAGTTTGTTGAATTTTTTTTATCATTAAAGGGTATTAAATTATGTTAAATATTTTTTTAGCATCTATTTATATCATTATGTGATTTTTAAAAATTCTTCATTAATATGGTATATCATGTTGATTTTTGTATGTTGAACCATCCTTGCATCCCAGGGATAAATCTTACTTGATCAAGATGTGTGATCCTTTCAACATACTCTTAAATTCAGTTTGATCTATTTTGTTGAGTATTTGTATATCTTTTTTCATTAGAGATATTGACCTGTAATTTTCTTAGAGTGGCTTCGTCTGGCTTTGATATCAGGATGATGCTTGCTCTATCAAATGAGTTTGGAAGTGTTTTCTCCTCTTCAATTTTTTGAAAGGGTTTGGAAGAAAATAATTGGCATTAGTTTATTAAATATTTGTTAGAATTCACCAGTGAAGCTATCAGTTCTTGAGCTTCTCTTTGTTGGAGATTTTTTTATTACTGATTCTATGTAATTACTAGTTATAGATCTGTTCAATTTTTATTTAGTCATTACTTAGTCTTGGTAGATTGTATATTTCTAAAAATTTATTTCTTCTGGGTTATCTAATTTGTTGGAGAATAATTATTCATGCTAGTCTCTTATAATCCTTTTTATTTCTGTAGAGTAAGTTGTAATGTCTATCATTTCTGAATTTATTTATTTAAGGCTTCTCTATTTTTCTTAGTTCAGCTAAGGCATTCTTAAATTTTTTTATGTTTTTAAAAATTCAACTTTTGGTTTTATTATTTTTTTTCAATTTTCTTTTAGTCTCTATTTTACTTATGTAAGTCTAATCTTTATTTTCTTCCTTCTGCTAAATTTGTGTTTAGTTTTTTAAATTTAATTTGCCATTTTATATATTTTTTTCTTTTCTTCCTGTTTTCTTTTTGGAGACAGGGTCTCACTTTGTTGCCCAGACTGGATTGCAGTGGCATGATCAAAGCTCACTAGAACCTAGAACTTTGGACTCAAGTGATCCTGCCACTTCAGTCTCCCAAGTAGCTGAGAATACAAGCGTGTACCACCATGAGTGGCTAATTTTTTTAATTTTTAGTAGAGAGAAGGTCTTGCTATGTTCCCCAGGCTGGTCCTTTTCTTAGGTAGGTGTTTATCACTGTGACTTCTCTTTTAGTACTGCTTTTGCTATATTCCATAAATTTTGATATGTTGTGCTTTCATCTTTGTTTAGCTTTGAATAGCTTTGGTTACTCTGGGTCTTTTGATGTTACATATAATTTGATGTTACATACAAGATATTTTCTAAATTTTCTTTTGATTTCTTCTTTGACCCAATCATTATTCAAGAGTATGTTGTTTAATTTCCTCACATTTATTTTTTTTTCAGTTTTCCTTCTGTTATTGATTTACCCTACTACTTTTCCCAGCTCTGGTAATCATCCTTTTACTCTCTATCTCCATGAGCTCAATTACTGTAATGTTTAGATCCAACAAATAGGTGAGAACATAGGACGTTTGTCTTTCTGTGCCTGGCTTATTTCACTTAACATAATACTCTTTCATTCCATCCATGTTTTTGCAAATGACAGGATCTAATTCTTTTCTTTTAGAGTACTATTTTCATTCATCTTTTGAGGGACACTTACGTTGCTTTCAAATCTTACCTGTTGTGAACAGTGCTGCAGCAAACATGGATGTGCAGATATCTCTTTCATGTACTAATTTCCTTTCTTTTGGGTAGGAACCCAGCAGTGGGATTGCTGGATCATATGGTGGCTCAATTTTTAGCTTTTTTGAGCAAGCTTCAAATTCTTCTCAATAGTGGTTATAATAATTTGTATTCCCATCAATAGTGTACAAGAGTTCCCTTTTCTCCATATCCTTCCCAGCATTTGTTATTATCTGACTTTTGCATATAAGCCATTTTAACTGCTGTGAGATGATATGTCATTGTGGTTTTGATTTACATTTCTCTTGTGTTCAGTGACTTTGAGCATCATTTCATGTGCCTGTTTGTCATGTGTATGTCTTCATTTGACAAATGCCTATTCACTTTTTTTGCCCATTTTTGATTGGAATATTAGATTTTTACCTATAGAGTTGTTTGTGCTTCTTTTGTATTCTGTTACTAGTCCCTTGTCAGATGGGTAGTTTGAAATTTTTTTCTCCCATTTTATGGGTTGTCTCTTCACTTCCTTTGCTGTCCAGAAGCTTTTTAACTTAGTGTGATCTCATTTTTCCATTTTTGCTTTGGTTCCCTGTGCTTGTGGGGTATTATTCAGGAAATTTTTGCCCAGACCAATGTGCTAGAGATTTTCCCCAATGTTTTCTTATAGTAGTTTTATAATGTGAGATCTTATATTTACATCTTTAATCCATTTTAATATGATTTTTGTATATGGTGAAAGAGTGGGGTCAAGTTTAATTCTTCTACATATTGATATCTAGTTTTCTCAGTACCATTTATTGAAGAGACTATCTTTTCTTCAATGTATATTCTTGGCACCATTGTTAAATATGAGTTCACTGTAGCTGTATGGATTTGTTTATGGGTTTTCCATTCTATTTCTTTGGTTTTTTATATTATTTTTTGGTGTGTTTTTAATTTTCATGCTGGTACCCGTGTAACTGTTTTTATGCCAATACCCTCCTGTTCTGGTTGCTGTAGCACCAGATTTGAAGTCAGGTAATGTGATTCATCCAGCTTTGTTCCTTTTGCTCAAAATAGCTTTGGTTATTCTGGGTCTTTTGATATTACATATAAATTTTAGGATTTTTTTTTGAATTTCTGTGAAGAATGTCCTTGGTATTTTGATAAGGATTATACTGAAACTGTAGATTACTTTGGGTAGTATGGACATTTTGATGATATTGAATCTTCCAATCCATGAACATGGAATATCTTTTACCTTTTGGTGTCCACTTCAGTTTCTTTCATCAGTATTTTATAGTTTTTATCATAGAGATCTTTCACTTCTTTGATTAGGTTAATCCTTAGGTTTTTTATTTTATTTGTGGCTACTGTAAATGGGATTCCTCTTATTTATTTATTTATTTATTTTTTACCATTAGTATATAGAAATGCTATGATTTTTATATGTTGATTTTGTGTCCTGCAACTTTACTGAACTGATCAGTTCTTATAGTTTTCTTGTGGAGTCTTTAGGTTTTTTTTAAATAAAAGATTATATTATCTGCAAACAAGGATAATTTGACTTCTTCCACTCCAATTTGGATGCCCTTTATTTATTTCTCTTGTCTGATTGCTTTAACTAGGACTCCCAGTACTATGTTGAATAACAGTGGTGAAAGTGGGTATTTTTGTCACATTTTAGATGTCAGGGGAAAGCCTTTCAGATTTTCCCCTTTCAATATGATACTAGCTGGGGGTCTATCATATATGGCTTTTATTATGTTGAGATATGTTCCTTCTATACCCAGTTTTTTTGACAATTTTTATCATGAAGGGATGTTGAATTGTATCCAATGTTTTTTCAGCACCAATTGAAATGATCATATAGTTTTTGTCTTTCATTCTGTTAATGCGATGTATCATAGTGATTGATTTGTGTATGTTGCATCCCAGGGATAAGTCTTGTTTGATCATGATACATGATAATGACCTTCCTTCCTTGCATCCCAGGGATAAGTCTTGTTTGATCATGATAAATGATCTTTTTAGTGTATTGTTGAATTCAGTTTGCTTGTATTTTGTTGAGGCTTTTTGCATAAATATTCAACAGCGCATTGACTAGTAGTTTTCTTTTTTTGAAGTGTGTTTGTGTGGTTTTGGTATCAGGGTAATACTGGATTCATAGAATGAATTTGGAAATACTCCCTAACCCAATACACAGAAATGTTCTCCACATCATGCCACCACTGTGGAGGAGTGAAGAACTGAGGTTGGTAGGGGGTGGATGATATTGGAGGTTCAACTGTCTTTTTCTTCCCCTTCTGTGCCCCTTTCAGTGACATGAAGTTAAAATCAGATACTGTGAGTACTGAATTTTAGTGCTTGTGAAGGTGCTTTTCTTTTGTAGTTGTTAAATTGGTGTCCTTCTGAGTGGGACAATCAATGGAGACTTGCATTCTGCCATCTTGGTCTGACTCCCACTCTTCTTCATTTTTGAGGGAAATTTTTGCCAGACATACCATTCCAATTTGCTAGTTTGGTTTTTTTTTAACTTTAGCACTTTGAATATATTATTTTCCATTCTGGCTTGCAAGATTTCTGCTAAATCTATTTTGTAAAACATTGGTCAAGGGTATATCTGCTGGACCTTCCCAGGTGAGATAAGTAGGTTTAAAGAGACTAATCCACTCCACCATCCCAATCTCCCTAAGCCTTTGGATCCCTTCCCTACATTAACCAAGGGATATCAGGCATTTCCAGTTCACTCATGTGGGCCATCTTTTAATCCATATTTCAGCTAACCAAGCAAATAAACTATTAGAACCTTTTTTAACTCTCCAAGCTGCAACATTAAATGCAGAATCCCAACTTAGTGGGCCCAAATCAATAAGTTCAGCCTTATCCAACTCTATGTTCTTCCACCATCATCCCACACCCTTAATATCCATCCCCATGCCTGTTCTCCAGATTTCTTCTTATATAAATTTGAAAACTCAAGCAGTTCTTTGAGTGCAGCACACCTCCTCATGGGTCACATTCTGCACCTCACCTCTAGGGGCCCACCGGACTTTAGTCTTGTTATAGGTCTAGAAGCAAACAGGGGTGTTGTGTGTGGCTCCTGAGGAGAATCAACATTATCTTGCCTGATAACTGTCTCAGGGGAGGCCATCACTGTTGACTCAGGCAACACAGAGTTTATCTCCTTAGACAAGGGTGGAAAGTCTGATGGCAGCATGAGTTGGAGAGGATGTTGCCTCTACTGGGGATGAGGAAGCTGTTTGTTCTGGCAGAAATGGTTCGTCGTAGTTTAAAAACTCAGTGTCCCCAGCTTCATCAGAATCCTTTTACATGTCCCTGTTCCAAGTTGCAGGATCCCATTCTTTTCCAATCAATGCCCTCACTTCAACAGACACCTGCATGCACCTTTCATTGCAGGTCAGCCACTCACATGATAAGAGTTTGTGTCTGCCTTTCCACAATTTCAGCTCTTTCTCTACAGGAGATAAGACTCAGGGCAATCCTAGAAGATTTGAAGCTCGGTATCTGCTTCTGAAGCCAGGAGTTAGAATCCCTGAGTTCATTTTCTTTCATCACTTTGTGCAGTGAACTTAGGAGCAACCAACCAACTTCATTAGGTTCCTTCATTCTCTACATATAGTCAAAGGTATTATATATAGAGTCACTAAACTCCTTGCCTCTCACAAGCAGTGAATCAGGAGTGTCAAATGCATTTATTTGGCATAACTCTCTAAACAGTTCACACCAAGGACTATTAGTTTCTCCACACTATTAGAAGTAGAGTCCTTAGCATTTTGGAGTCTAATCATATTAAGCAGCCAGCTCCAAAAACTCCAAGACCAACAAAAGAACTCCATCCTTAGTATTTTGTTCCTCTAGAACCACTCTTGGTACCAAAATCTGAATTAGTCAGGGTTCTCTAGAGGGACGGAACTAATAGGATAGATATATATATAAAGGGAAGTTTAGAGGCCAGGCGCCGTGGCTCATGCCTCCAATCCCAGCACTTTGGGAGGCCAAGGCAGGTGGAACACCTGAGGTCAGGAGTTCAAGACCAGCCTGGCCAACATGGTAAAACCCTGTCTCTACTAAAAATACAAAAATTAGCCAGGCGTGGTGGTGGGTGCCTATAATTCCAGCTTCTTGGGAGGCTGAGGCAGGAGAATCACTTAAATCCGGGAGGTGGAGGTTGCAGTGAGCCGAAATTTTGCCATTGCACTCCAGTCTGGGCCACAGAGTGAGACTCCATCTCAATTAAAAAAAAAAAAAAAAAAGCCGGGGGAAGTTTATTAAGTAGTATTAACTCAAATCATCACAACGTCCCATAATAGGACATCTGCAAGCTAAGGAGCAAGGAAGCCAGTCTGAGTCCCAAAGCTGAAGGACTTGGAGTCCAATGTTTGAGGGCAGGAATCATCCAGCACGGGAGAGAGATGTAGGCTCGGAGGCTGAGCCAATTTAGCCTTTTCACGTTTTTTTCTGCTTGCTTTATATCCTGGCCACACTGGCAGCTGATTAGATGGTACCCACCAAGATTAAGGGTGGGTCTGTGTTTCCCAGCCCACGACTCAAATGTTAATCTCCTTTGGCAGCAGCCTCACAGACACACCCAGGATCAATACTTTGCATCCTTCATTCCAGTCAAGTTGACACTCAGTATTAACCATCACAGTTCCCATTTCCTTATCTGCAAACTGATGATAATGGTGCCTACCTCACGGTCAGGGAATTAGGTTAGAATGGGAGAGCTCTGTAATTAATAATACTATACAAAAAATATATTCTTATAAGACTGAATTATTATAAATGCATTATTTTCTTGAAATAAATTAGTACTTTGTAAATCATAAGCAAAATTATACTGCTTATACATGATGTGTGCAGAAAATAAATGTTGCCCAAAACTTTTTCAAAGCACAAATAATTTGAAAAACATGACTGTTGTGAATAGTGCAGTGTCATGTGTTTATAAAATGGGAAGCTCAATTCTACTTTATAACCATCTTCCTTTAAATCAATTTGTTTGTGTTACAGCAAGGGATACTGGGATTTATTTAATCTGGAGAGTAATAAGAAAACCCTTGTTCAGAATATCTTTTCCCTTTCTTAACCTTACAGTGTCCAAGAAAAGTTGTAGTATGAGTTAATGCTTTGCTTCTCAAAATTTATCAAATTAATAAAAATAACTCAAACTTTGTCCATTACAATTTTTCCTTAATAAGGAGAGAGTAATTATAATAATATTTATAAAGGAAATTTAACTAATAATACTTGACCAAATTAACACTTCTAAAAGTTAAAACTGTCTCATGCACTAAACATTTAATTCCTTGCTGAATGAGGTGCTTATTCTCTCCTTCATTACCCTGTGTGTTTTTTTCTCCTTTCCTTTATCCAACTTAAAGAATAATTGCTTATCTTTTGATTTTGAATTATCTTTTGATGAATTCCTTCAATACATTCTTCAAGCATTCATTAGACCAGGTATCTTCTCCTCAGCATATTAAACTTCTCACTTTCTGGGTCTCTCTTCTAAAACCAAAAATGTGTTTGAAAGTTTTCATGCAAAAAAAAAAAGAAAGAAAAAGTTTTGTTCTTTCTGCCATTCTTTGTAATCTTATTCTACATAAACTTCTATTCTTAATGAAGGCTTTTAATAGACTTGTTTCTACTTTCTTATAACTTATGTACCTCTTTAATTTGGCTTTTATTATCACTTCTCTACTGAAACGAATTTCTGAATGTGTAATCTGCTTTACCTTCAACTTTCCTCCTCTTTGAACTCTTAGCAGAATTCATTACTGTTAACTGCTGGGTATAAGTGTACTGTTTGATGGTGATTGATAGAGTTTGACTAGATCTCTGATATGCTTAAATCCTGCTTTGCCAGTTGCCTCTCTCCTGACATCATTTTCCAAACAACATTTTCCAAACAAGTGAAGCCCAATGAGTAACAGCGAATGGGAAACACATTATCACTTTAGTTTCAGCTAAACCAGTGCCAGTAACCTCCATGTCTAAGCATTTGTGAAAACAGATTATTATACACCCCAACCCAAAAGGCTATAATCACCTATATTCGTACCACTCCAACTCAACAGCAAAGTTGAAAAACTTCCAGATACCACGCAGAGATGCTAAAGTCCTTAAAATGAAACTTTTCTCTTCTCTGGATAAAGTAAAATCCCAAAGTAACCAAAGTCCATTGCTCTTCTCTCTTTTACTGTCTTATTTTGTCCATCTCTAAAAGATTTTTGCTCAGATATCTGGCTGGTCCAGATTCCTTCTACAGCATTTGCATCATGGGTTACTTTCACTGAAATGGGTGTAGCCATTTCAACACATCCAAATTTGATTCATTTAATCCTGTTTCTTATGCCTTCCATTATTCAAAAATCTCAAGAACAATCAGGTTCACAAAAATAGCCCCACACCTGATACATTCATAAAATACCAGAGATAATATAGAAATGTATTTTCTTTTTTTTTTCTTTTATTATTATACTTTAAGTTTTAGGGTACGTGTGCACATTGTGCAGGTTAGTTACATATGTATACATGTGCCATGCTGGTGCGCTGCACCCACTAACTCGTCATCTAGCATTAGGTATATCTCCCAATGCTATCCCTCCCCCCTCCCCCCACCCCACAACAGTCCCCAGAGTGTGATGTTCCCCTTCCTGTGTCCATGTGATCTCATTGTTCAGTTCCCACCTATGAGTGAGAATATGCGGTGTTTGGTTTTTTGTTCTTGCGATAGTTTACTGAGAATGATGATTTCCAATTTCATCCATGTCCCTGCGAAGGACATGAACTCATCATTTTTTATGGCTGCATAGTATTCCATGGTGTATATGTGCCACATTTTCTTAATCCAGTCTATCATTGTTGGACATTTGGGTTGGTTCCAAGTCTTTGCTATTGTGAATAGTGCCGCAATAAACATACGTGTGCATGTGTCTTTATAGCAGCATGATTTATAGTCCTTTGGGTATATACCCAATAATGGGATGGCTGGGTCAAATGGTATTTCTAGTTCTAGATCCCCGAGGAATCGCCACACTGACTTCCACAATGGTTGAACTAGTTTACAGTCCCACCAACAGTGTAAAAGTGTTCCTATTTCTCCACATCCTCTCCAGCACCTGTTGTTTCCTGACTTTTTAATGATTGCCATTCTAACTGGTGTGAGATGGTATCTCATTGTGGTTTTGATTTGTATATAAATGTATTTTCTAAGCTCCATTTCCACTGTATCAATAGAAAATAATAGGCCCTGAGCCCAGTGAATATTACATTTTGGTTCCTTCATGCTTTAGTCTGTCATAGACCCCAGCTAAGGCTCAGAAATATTTGGAATGAACTGGATACACAGAGAACATGTAATACAAACAAAAAATAAAAGCTTTTTGGTTTCTGCCTTTTTGGGACACTAGTTAGTTCATGTCAGCTGTCCAAAAACCATGACATGATTTTAAACCACACTGGGAGAGGTCTCCCTTCAAAAAGGTGTTTATCTTGTTATAGAAGCCCCAGGCTCTCTCAGCTTCAGGCAACTTCCATAGGGATATTCCAAACCTAGAGACTAAGATGAAATTCCAGTGAAAGAAACACTACTTCTTCCAAAAACCTATTTCTTAGAGTTTTAATTTTCTGGGCTTTGATTAATTTTCACTGTGACTGTTCTTTTCCACCCAGTAATTTTTTTTCTTGCAGTTGCAAGACCTCATTTCCTAATAGATAAAAGTACCATTCCCACAGTTATGTCTAAAGAAATAAGTGGAAAAATAAGAAACTAAAGCAAATGAATTTTAGATCATCCTATCTAGTGTCTCTTATTATTTCACATCACTTATAAAGATGCTAGTCCAAACCTCATTGACAAAATTTCTGCTAAATATTACTTCTTTAGTCTTTGTGAATAGCAGTCACTGTTGAAAATACATCTGTATACTAAAGATTAGCATGATTTAAGGTAAACTTTCATTTCTCTAACAAGGTCTTTAGTTCTCCACAAAGGGCTTGTGATTCAACTTCCCAGGCAACTAGACTCACTCAGTTCTCTTTTACCACAGATACTAGCCGCAATCACACCTAATGATACTTATAATAATTGTAAATCAGAACTACGAAATGCTTTTGAGCTTTAAATATACCCATATATTACTAGTACACAGATAGTAGTATCTGAATACAACACTAGTGAGACTATTTGGATATACTGGAAATAATGACAAGATTTTTATGAAATTCCAGCTAAGAATTACTCTTTCTCTGTGTGCCCAATAGTGTCTTATCGCTCATGTTTATCCTTGTCCACTTATACTCTTTTATCACTGGGACTAGAAGACTGAAAACTAATTTTATGCTCTCTGGCTTCCTGTTAGGTTAAACTTAAAGGTGGCACTGATGGTATATTGGAAGGAAAGAAGAACCATTTCCTTCCAACTTCCACTATGCTGTCCTGTGGGACTGTGGGCCTGGGCAGATAACAGAGAGCAACTGTGGGTTCCAACACATTGGTGACAGTTTTCACAGTGTCAGTGGGTGTGCAGGCCCCTGATATCTTGCTCAAAGGGCAGTTATTTGTTCACAAAATGAGAAATTCTTATGTTCCTCCAACAAGAACAGAGGGAATAGCAGCTTTCTAGTAAATCAGCCTCAGACTTGGTAACAGTTTCTTGAACTTTGGGTTAAGTCCTTCTACTTCTGTTGGCTTTTCCCATATCATTTTTACCATTTGGTATTTCAACAATACGAAAAGCTTTGTAACCAATTTCAAGACTTAAAATTTTTGGAACTTTGTTTCCCCCCTAACGGAACATAGACTGATATTGTTACTGGTATCAAGAATGAGGTCAGGAAACATATCTACAATGATAACCATCTAGGATTTGTGATTTTATCTAATTGAATTTAAATACAGAGAAAACCTCATTGCTAGTGAAACATTGAAAGCTGGTAGTCAGAAGCAGGCAGTAGCAAAATAGTCATTCACGTTGTTTGCTGTAGTTATCTGGTATGAAGTGCCCATTGAAGACAAAATTTTGGAAAGCCAAGGGTCTGTTGCTCTTGATCATAGTTGAGTAAATAATGAATAAATGGAGCATTAGGGTGGCTGCCTATGACTTAACTGGAAAGATTATGGAGGAAAAATGTCAAGCTGAATATTTTAATCAGCTCAAGTCGTTGTCAAACAACCAGAGTGCTTCTGGAATTGCCCTAAAATTATTTATTTTCTTGAATCGCCCCCAAGGCTGCTGTAAATAAAATTTATACTAAAAGTTTGATATTGTGGATGAAAAATTTACAAAAAAAATTGAATTAACAATTCAATTGTTTTTATATGAAAATCCAACCTGGGAAGAGATCACTTATACACAGTGTAATTGCACTGATTTTTGAAAAAAAAAAAAATCTCAGTTTTTGTTGGCAGAAATTTGAAGAATATGTATGGGAGTTTTCTCATAATATTAGACCAAAGATGGTAAAACATAACATTTGCATCAAATTTATAAATATTAGTACACTGAACAGAAATTCTTGGAGTAGAAATTCTATTTTAAGAAGCAGCTAGGAGTGGCTCTAAAACTGTACTTAGTTGATTGACAAACTTTGACTCAAGGGTTTTTCATATTTAATGAAGCTTAGATCCCACATCCAAAGACTTATGGTGATAGAGATGTTAGAATAAATTTAACATGTATCACTTTTCCTCCTATCCCACAGTGGGTCCAGAGAACATTCTCTTTACCAGTGAATTGAAAAATCTCGGACACTTTTGCATTGCTTGCTCTCTGAAATTTGGGTAGTGATGCAAAATCCAGTTAAAAATTTTATTACTTTATCTCAGTGGAAATGATTGAAATGGGAAAGACTGAGTGGTAGTGCTTAACGAACAGACAAGTTGAGCACAGTAGCATAGTCACCATGAAGGGAAGAACTTGGGTAATGACCAGAGTGATTTTCCTGAGGCACTGGCTAATTGTTCAATTTCTGGGACTGAAACATATGGACAATATACAAAAATATTATTGATTTATATTAAAGAATAACTCTAAACATGACATGACTTGAGTCATTAAAACAGGCATAGCCTCTGACTTAGTTTCCAGAACTTAGCCACTTTACATTCATTTGCCAGTACAAAGACTTAGAACTTCTTGAATGAAGGTGAGGACAGTAACCTAGAGAAGAGACCTGAAACATGACCACAAGTATGTACTGTTAATTTTCCTCTGTGTTTTTTCTGAAGATACCGATGGCCATTTTTCAGAATTTTTGTGCATTAGAAAATGGAAATACTCAGAACTTTATGGGAGTTTTAGAAAAAATGGCTTAGAATTGACCTTACTCACTGGGAATCTGAGCCATAATTATGGCCCCCTGGTCAGACAGAGGAGTTATTGGTGACAGAAATAAATATTGATTGGTACTAATTCCATCTTATAGTGAACCTAGTGGGTCCGTGGAAGCAACCTGTGGATATTCTCCCTATCTGCAGTGAATTGTTGGAAGATCATATTTAAGAACTGACTCAATACCCACATGGCTTCGTATTCTGTGGAGTGAGAGCTATTAAAGAAAGAAAGATTAAGTAAAAGCTTTTGAAATGACTCTCCCTACTGAAAAACAAACTAAAAACAATGCCTTTTCCCTGATAGAATTGCAGAATGAGTGTCATCATTGAAAACTTGAAAGATGCATATAGAATAACAATCATATTTCAATTTTACTCAATTATTTGACATGTACAAAAGGTGGGTAAGTCTTGCAAAATGACATTTAATTATCACAAAATTAATAAAATTGTAGGTAGTAGTGTAAGTATGACCTCTTTCCTAGAGCAAGTCAACATTTTCCTGTTGGTATGCACTATTTTTTTATTCTCGTGATTCTATCTTCTGCATTCTTAAACAGCACTCATAACAGAAGCTCATTTTGCTATGACATGTCTGTGTAGCCTAGCTTAAACTATTCTCTTTCTCTCTCTTTTTCTTAATTACTGCTATATTGACTTCCTCACATTTGTGTGATACTTCAAAGTTTACAAAGTATTTTCTCATGTATTTGTTTCTTCTTTAAAATCTATTTTAAAGTAGCTATTTTCTTCTCATTTTCCCAATGAGGAAACCAATATATATTACTAGTTTTCTCATACATAGTTAACAACTTTCCCCAGAGCAAAAGACTACCTAAGAGAAAAGAGGATACTTCAGTCTGGATTTGTTTGAGTGAATCCTAGGCCATCCATGTATTCCCTAGGAAAAGTTCCAGGGGCAGGTGAGAGATGCACTGATGCCTGCACACTGCCTTCAATAGAGATGAACCTCTTGATGGAATTATGAAAAACAAGAAAGACTTCAAAGATTCAACCCACTCATTTTACAGACAAAGAAACAGTTATAAACAGTTTGAAAAACTTTACAAATATACACCAAGAGACAAAAATTTATTTTCCTAATCTAGTAAATAAAACTCTAAGAGAAAACCAGTTGTTATTCAGTAATTCTGGTACATGACTTATGTGTAACTATAGTATATTTTTAATAATATATTGCATCTGAAATGCTGTTTCCTAAACCTTAACAATTATCATATATTATTAGTATTTATTATTATTTTTATTTTGGCTGATAATTCTAACTCTTTGCAAGTAAAAGAATACAAGTGACTTTGAAGAGCTCAAAACAAAGCAAATCCAACTAATTATTTTAGTTCAATATGTCAGGATGTCAATGATTAATGCTTTTTTCCTCCTTAAATTGTTGAAAAAAA
This sequence comes from Homo sapiens, assembly GCF_000001405.40. Taxonomy (NCBI): domain Eukaryota; kingdom Metazoa; phylum Chordata; class Mammalia; order Primates; family Hominidae; genus Homo; species Homo sapiens. The sequence continues at coordinate 187,292,947 of NC_000002.12, forward strand.
ATAAGACAAACAAATAGGAGTGAAATGTTGTGTGGGGAAGACAGCTGGTATTTGTTAACAGTATTCGTGGGTCATATTAAAGTCAGTGGGGAGCTATGGGTGGGAAAATTTCTTTTCTTTTTCCAGATGGCTCCTGTAGCTTTGCCTGTCAGAATTAAAACCTGTTGATGAAATATGAGTATGTGCCTTGAGGTCTAAGCTTCCTAAAGCTTTGAGTGGATGGGAAGATGTTCCTTAATTCTCTAGATCAATTTTTTTGCATTCTTCATCTAAGAAGGCATAATGCAATTTTGGAAGAACACAGAAATTAGCATTAAATGCCTACGTTCCAATCCCATCTATGTGGTCTTGGGCAAATAATTTAACTACTTTAGGCTAAGAATCTTTTTTTCTTCAACTTTTATTTTAGATACAGGGGTACATGTGCAGGTTTCTTATAGGTATATTGCACTCAGGTAGTAAGCATAGTACCCAATAGATAGTCTTACAACCCATGTTCCCTTTCATCCCTTTCTCTCTTGGTATTTATGTGTCTATTGTTTCCATGTTTATGTATGTATGTTCTCAATGTTTAGTTCCTGCTTATAAGTAAGAACATGAGGTATTTGGTTTTCTATTTACATGTTAATTCACTTAGAATTATGACTTCCAGCTCCATCTATGTGGCTGCAAAGGATATATTTTCATTTTTTATGGCTGTGTAGTATTCCATAGTATATATGTATTATATTGTCTTTATCCAATTTACCATTGATGGGCATGTGGTTTGATTCCATGTCATTGCTATTGTGAATATTCTGTGATGAACATACAAGTGCATGTGTGTGTGTGGTTTTTTTTTTTTTTTTTTTTTGGTATAATGATCTATTTTATTTGGGGTATATGCCTAGTTCTGGGATTTCTAGGTTGAATGGTAACTCTGTTCTAAGTTATTTGAGAAATCTCCAAACTGCTTTCCACAGTGGCTGAACTAATTTATATTCCCATCAACAGTGTATAAGTGTTCTCTTTTCTTCCACAGCCTCTCCAGCATCTGTTATTTTTTGAGTTTTTGATAGTAGCCATTCTGACAGAAACTATTAATAGAGTAAATGGACAACCTACAGTATGTGAGAAAATACTTGCAAATTATGGATCTGAAAAGGTCTAACATTCAGAATCTATAAGGAACTTAAACAAATCAATATGCAAAAAACAAATAACCCCATTAATAAATGGACAAAGGACATGAACAGATACTTCTCAAAAGAAGGCATACATTCAGCCATCGTGCATATGAAAAAATGCTCATCATCATGAATCATCAGAGAGATGCAAATCAAAACCACAATGAAGTACCATCTCAAACCAGTCAGAAAGGCTAAGAATCTTAATCCATAAAATAAAGTAAAAAATAAAACTAATGGATATATTATATGCCCAAGATTAGACAGTTGTTATAAAAATAACTTAGTGAACTATTAATCATTCCATAAATTTCAATTTAATGTTACATATGCATTTATACGTAGTGGACATGTATCAAGGATGCATATTTTCTGATCATTTCAAATGTATAATGGCAATTTCTGTTTCTGGAAATAACAAATAGTTAAATTCACATTCCAACATTAATAATTAAAAAGATGGAGAAAATATATAAAATAACTGTTTTCAGATTTTGAACAAAAATGTTGCAAAGCTATAATACCTAAGATAAAGGAAATAAATGAGATAAACCCCAGAATCCAGTTTTCTGCTTGGAGGCACGTTCTAAATGTTAACACAGAGATGGGGAGCCCAATAAGAGCATGGTATTCATGCTGAGAATAGGAGACAGATTGGATTTTTATGGCTACTGAAGTGTCTGGAATTGGTGGGATATCAGTGGAAAGGAAATTTTGTAGAGAAGTACTAAGGATGAGAAGTACTAAGGATAAGAAGTCATTCTACTATTAATTTCATACATTACTCCAAATATTTAAATCAACTGCATACCACAGGTAAAAATATATTTGAACAATTTTCTATTAAGGCATCATTAAAATAATTCAGAAATATCTAACCTTCTGGATTTGGAACTTGTAAGTATCATACCCCTCATTCCTACCCTGACATTTGAGAAAAATCTCAAACCATTGTTTTTAAGAGATAAACAGGGTGGAAAAAAAATACCCTAGTTGTTCTAAATCCAAAGGATGGCTGCATCAACATGTTAAATAATCAGAATTTAGGCATTTTTAATTAAAATACTTAAGCTCCTACTCTTCATGTCTTGTAAAGTTATACTTCTGTGAAACAGTGCCTAATTTATGTCGTGAGAATGAAAGTCATTACAAATGTCCATATTAACCTTCTATCTATTCACAAATCATAGCACAAGTTTTCAAAGCTTCTATGTAAACATTTTTTAAAAAGAATTTTCTAAACTAATTTATATTCTGATTATTCTATGTTTTTGTATACTTTAAGAGCCACATTAAGCATCAATAAAAATTGAATAAATAAATAAATAAGTAAATAAATAAAATGTAATTTAGTGTAATGTAGTGACTAAGAACATGGCTTCTGGAGCCAAAATGCTTGCATTCCAGCCCAGTTCTGTGTTTATTTGCTGGGCGATTTGGGCTATCTTACTTAACCTATCTGCTGCAGTTTTTATTCTATAAAATAAAAGAGGCAAAAGACTTAATGGTGTTAGTATGGCTTTAATACATAGAAGCCATTTCATTACAAAATATTCAGTTTTGATAACTCGTTATATTTGGTCATATTTGCTTTAGATCTCTGCCTCATTTTTAAGAATTAAAACATAAGAGATGCAGTTTAAAGTTTCCTCATTTATGTCTCTCCCCAGAGATGGTTTTTTTTTTTTTTTCTTTTGAGACGGAGTCTCGCTCAGTCGCCCAGGCTGGAGTGCAGTGGCGCGATCTGGGCTCACTGCAAGCTCCGCCTCCCGGGTTCACACCATTCTCCTGCCTCAGCCTCCCGAGTAGCTGGGACCGCAGGCACCCGCCACTATGCCCTGCTAATTTTTTTGTATTTTTAGTAGAGACGGTGTTTCACCGTGTTAGCCAGGATGGTCTCGATCTCCTGACCTCGTGATCCGCCCGCCTCGGTTTGAGAGCTTGGTTTTTATCGCTCCTATGTCTGTTATAATTTTATATGAATCTATAATTAATGTATAATATTGTTTTATATACTTAATTTGAAATTTCATGCTTATTTTGCAGATTTATTAGTGAGGATTTAAATTTTTGCAAAACGTGTATGTTAGTTCGTTTTCACGCTGCTAATAAAGACATACCCAAAACTGTGCAAATTACAAAAGAAAAGTTTATTGGACTTACAGTTCCACGTGGCTGGGGAGGCCTCACAATCATGATGGAAGGTGAAAGGCACATCTTACATGGTGGCGGCAAGAGAAAGAGAGCCAAGGGAAACAGACTTCCCTTTATCAAACCATCAGATCTCGTGACACTTATTCACTACCATGAGAACAATATGGGGGAAACTGCCCCCATGATTCAATGATCTCCCACCAAGTTCCTCTCACAACATGTGGGAATTATGGGAGTACAATTCAAGATGAGATTTGGGTAGGGACACAGAGTCAAACCATATCAATGTGATCACCTTTTATTTAAAAAATTGTGCAATCCTATCTTCTACTGACGCAAAAGTTCAGCCTTTTATCACTTGGTGTTTCAGATAAGAGATCTGATAAATAAATAGCCTTAAATTAATTATCAGAAGATCTGTTCATCTTTCATCTGTTAAAATATGTCCCACAGTTACAAAGTAATTAAAGTTCAAACACAAGTGTAGGTATAAAATTTTAGTGGCTTAAAACTGTCAAGCATTTGTTTGTAAATATCCCTTGGATGAATACAGTCAATTCTCATCAAGCTGAAAGATGGGGATGGTTTTGGTGTACACGAGTTACTGATGAGAAACTGAATAACGCTGTCTGGAAAAAAAGAGCAATAAAATACCAAAATACTCTTAACTAATAGCATAGAGAGAGAGAGAGGAAGAAATAGCTTCAGCTAGACTGCCCAGAGATATGTCTCAGCAAAATGAGCTTCTGTTACTGGGGCTGATCAAGAATGCAGGAGATAGATATCATGGGAATAAGAAAAACAGTGCCTGAATGGTACATCAGCTTGACTTGATGGCCCTCTAGGGCTTTCTTGTTCTTGTATGAGAATGTGCTTCTGTGTTCATTCATCAAAGATGGCGCTATAGCATTTCATCATAGCAAAAACATATTTTTAAATTGAGCTCTCATGGAATCTGTTATACATGGTTTCCTCATATGACACTTATGATTTGATGCTTCTGCTTCCAAGGTAATCTTACATAACTCACCTTGAATTTCATTTACTCTACTTGGCCAGAATTATATAATACATGAGATTTTACATACGAGAAAATCATTGACTAATAAGGTTTTATGAGTCAAAACAATGAAACTTTCCAGCTAACAGAGATTTATTTTCTCCGTTAACCTCATCATATTGATTTATTGTTCAGAATTATTTAAAACTAGACAGTAATTTGCCTCCTTCCACAACTTTTTTCTTTTTATCTATCACTTTGTTATTGTTTTTTGAGAATTCTTCTGGACACAGACTTGTGCCAGAAAATTCAAGTAGTTAAAAAACAAGTAACTCATATGAAGCATATTTTCAAGTACATTTTAGTATCAGGATAGAGGGCTCAGAAATGCACAAAAAGAACTATAGATACAGCTTAAACATGTTAAGAATCTTATAGAGAATAATCAAGCTAGTATGACAACACCAAGAAAGGATAGAGCATATGCAGGCATAACTAAAAGATTAAAGAAAGCAGTAAAATTAAAATAGTTCATAAACATTGATAGAAATTAAATTAATGGGGTTGGAAGAGGAGTAGGACAAAAAAACAGTGATTTTAGGGGGAAATGAAATCCACTTTGGCTGACATAAAATATTTAAAGAAATAGTAACAGAGTAAATGAGAACAGATCTTAGGGAAGTCTAAATACTGAAAGCCTGAATTTTAGTAGGCAAAGGGGAATGTGAAGAATTTGAACAGCTGACTGTCATATAAGATAAGCTTTAGGAACATCTTCTGACTTGAAAAATGTCTGAAATGTTCTTGGTGTCTTTGAAATTTAGAAAACTACATGGATATGTCTGAACATGGCTTTTTTTTTAACAGCTCCAAATCTCCTGTTCATTATTGCACTGTAGTCAAAATACAGTATTTGCTTCTGGTTTCTCATCTTGTTATGGCTTTCTACATTGTTCTACTTAAAACTCAAGATATTTTCCAAATGTGTCCTAATTATTTTGCTTTTGGCAACCCTAGTCTAATTGCCACTGTCATGTCATCCTCTACTTCAGTACATAAGTCAAGAAGTAGGTATTTAATTCCAAAATGCAATTTCAACCACGCTACTCTTGTACTAAAACTCTTTTAATGGCTGCCTATTGTTTAATTGACTACAGGTTTAAATCTAAGATCTTTTACCAAGAATTTAAGTACCTTTGTGATCTGACTCATGTCTTTCTTTCCAGCCTTATTACTTGTCCTTCTCAGAATTTTTTTCTATGTAATAGTCATTAAATAATAATTTCTTTCCATGTCATGCCCTCATATCTTTGAATCTGCCATTGTTTCCACCCAGAATGATTTTCCCTCCTTTGTCTGTTTTTATATCTTCCATTCTTTCTTGATAATATACTATAAGTATGCAGAAAGGCTTTTTCTTCTGACTTTTGCAGGCACAGTTAGTCTTCCTCTAAAATGTGTTCACAGACCCCCAGTACCACTTTTGGAAATGCAAATATTTGTTCCACTAGACTGTAAGTTATTTGAGTCAGTGCCTCTCCAGGTTAGTAGCGGAAATATAGCAAACATAAATTTTTGTTGAGTGAATGAATAAATAAAGTATCCATTCTACAGGATAGAAGCAGATACAAAACAAACATAAATATCTGTTGAGCAGATGAATGAATAAATAGGTATATCAGAAGGTTTTATTGCAAACAAATAAGAAAAATATGTGTTTATGGTAATTAGTGTATAGCTATGCTTTTAACTTGAATCCTCCTTTAGTTATTGATCATTTCTGATAATTTGGCATAGTTGAGATAATCATGGACACAGGACAAGTTTTATTGCTGCCATTAATTTAAATGTAGGCAGTTACAGTAATTTATCCTGTAAGTATTCATCTTCAGCCTGCTTAAATATTATAGAAAGAGCAATAATTGCTATAGGCAGGAATATTAAAAATGGTGATAGATAGTAGAAACCTGAAAAGGGTTAAATCCACAGAGATCTGAAAATTGGTTAGTTTGTCAAATCAAAAGCATAATGATTGTGTATCAGAAGAGGGCAGCAAAGTGCAGCCCAGGCCAAAAATCTGAACTTGACCAAGTGCCCTGATGTGAGATGAAGAGTATGACTAAAGACCCCTGGAGAGTGAGTGCAACATTTAGCAATAGAGAAGTGTAGGAGAACCAAGAAACTAATCCACTGTCTTTGTACCAAGGGCAGTAGCCAATATAATATATAAAATTTTATAAGAATATAAAAGCAGTATTGTTTTCACTCTCATTATCACATTTTAATCTTTGAAACAATTCTCCATGGCATGGATAACTAGATACTGTGTGTGGGAAACAATACTCAAAGAAGGAACTACTAGGAGAGACCAGAGCCAAGACTACTCTTAGATAACCCAGTCTAGGTGAGCATGAGGAGTGTCAGGTTGAGCAGAGGGAGAGTCTTTAAGGTTTCAGTCTAAAGAACAAAGGCCAAGAGCAGGGTCCAAGTATCACAGCAAAAGGAGAGCAGCAGGAAGCCAGAATTAGGGGACAGGTTGAGAGTCTGGATACATGATAGCTTTTGGATGGGATTGTGGGGATTAATTCTGAAGTCTTGGATAGCATTCCTCCTGACTAAAGATGACTTGTCATGCTTGTATCAGTGTGAGAACTCACATGGCTAAAAGAGATTTGTCCCGTTGGAAAACAAACCTTTTGATATTTCTTCATTGCCCAAAGTTATTAGTATGGCATTTAAAGTTGAGAATGATCTACTAATAACATTGCTATTTGTAGTCTTACTGCCTTCTTCCTATTTGATGCACTTACAGCATTTTATATATATTTCCTTTGTATAATTTAAAACATTGTATTAAACTTTTGGTTGATATATCTTTTCTCCCCGTCTTGTAGTGAGGTTGTTTCCAAAGGTAAATGTAGAATAGTGTTTTGGCTCTCCAGCATTTTTGTTGAATGAGTATGTTATTAGTACTTACCTCAGTATAGATGAATATGTTTTTTGCACTGTCATAGAGCATAACATTTTGCAACCAAATTATAGTTCACTGTCTACTTGTAACTAAAGTGATCATTACAGCCAAAATTAACACAAGTATTTTTGTATTGCAATGACAGAGGGATTCTTTGAATTGGGGCCTTATTATTAGAGGAAGTAAGTCCTAAGAAGCTCTATCGTTCCCATAAGCCTGTCAAAAAACTGCCAATGCTCAGGACTTTAAACATTTCTGCTGTTTTAATAATATTTGCACAAGGGCATAATCAGAAAGCCACAATTAAAATACACATTACAAGTGCTTACCTATCCATCTTCTCCCTTGCCCTCTATTATTTTCGAAGCCCTAATGACAAAAGAGAAAATTGCTCCTACCAGATTAAAACCTTTTGGTTTCTTTTTTACTAATAAACACGTTTTTCCCTTGGCACTCACAAAATGTAAATATTTACTTTGTAGGTTATTTTAATTATTGGATTACTCTCTGAATTATTTGAGTCACACTCAGTGCTTTCTAATTATTATCACACTTGTTTACATTTCTCTTTCTTAAATTTTAATCAGTGTATTTTGTGCTCAGTGAAGTAGCATGTCTAAAACATATTGCTTCAGACAGAAAATTAATATTGCTCAAAGATATAAAATTAATATTAATATTGGTTCAAAGATAGAAAATTAATATTGCTTTTAAAATTAAAAGTTAGGAGAACTACTTACTGAAGGCAAGCTTTATGCAATCTCTTACTCATTTTAACTGATTTAATAACAGAGCCCATATACCAATATCATGGTTGAAAGGCTTTGTGGAGAAATATTATTTTAACCACTGAAGTACCAAAAATAAACCTTCTGAAGCCATTGCTTAATTTCATATCTATATTTTAAAAGCATATCATAGGACATGGATGAAGCTGGAAACCATCATTCTCAGCAAACTATCACAAGGACAAAAAACCAAACACCGCATGTTCTCAGTCATAGGTGGGAATTTAACAATGAGAACACTTGGACACAGGAAGGGGAACATCAGAACCCGGGGCCTGTTGTGGGGTGGAGGGATGGGGGAGGGATAGCATTAGGAGATATACCCAATGTAAATGACGAGTTAATGGGTGCAGCACACCAACATGGCACATGTATACATATGTAACAAACCTGCACGTTGTGCACATGTACCCTAAAACTTAAAAGTATAATAAAAAAAGAAAAGAAAAAAAAAAGCATATCATAAATTGTTATGGATTCATTCTTCTCTTGAAGAATATTTTGCTTGATTTTGGTTTTAGCTGATATAACATAAAGTTCTGAGATTAATAAAAAGTAATTATTATAGTGTACCCCCAAATTTTTTTCTAATATTTTCTGTTTTAACCAAGTCTGTAATGCTTTCAGTGATTATATGGAAAGCAGCCATATAATTTAGATTTTTAAATGGCATAATCAAAATTTGCCCTTTGTTCCTAAAAGGACTTTCCATTTTAATAACAATACATTTATGAATGTATGCTAAAGTATAAAATGTTCAAGTATAATATTTCTGCAATTTTGTTGACAAATTAAGGCTAACATAAACTCTGAAAATGTACTGTTTACTATTTCCGCTTCCAGTATCTAAACATTTGAAGAAATGTTTCGAACTGGAGCGAAAGTATTTTATACTTGTGTCGTAAGTTTTCCACAGACCATGACATAATAAATTGTATTTTCTATTAATTTCAGAAGTATATCTTTAACATTGCAACACAATTCTAAATAAACAGGGAAAACTAACCTGAAGAAAGAAAATCATATGTTTCTTTCCATTAACAACTTATATAGTAATTTAATTTTTTTTTCTGTTAGGAGGATAAAGTGAGTAAAAATTACGAATGTCACGTTGACCTTAGAAACAGCTATTCACTGCAATCTGTGTTATTTTTAAAGCTATGATTTGGCAAGACTTCTTTGTATTTTTTAAAAAAGCAAATTCATTTAGAATATACATCTGGACAACACCATTGCCATTTAGAAGAAAACACAAAGAAGTGAACATCGAAGAGTGCTTTTCTGTGTGTACTAACTTTGCATGGCAAAAGTTCAAAAGCAGCAGGAACTTCCCATCTGTTTGCAAGCTGTCTCAGACCACTTGATTTACAGAAATTCTATTTTCCTTTTGTAAAGGGCACACTTCTCTAACATTTTAAAAGAAATTTCAGTGTTACTTAGGAGAAATGGGATCACAGTAGTAAACACACTGTTGGTGTGTATTATTTGTACACAGTAATAATTCTTAATTTGGTAATAAGAATTATACTTTCAAAACAAACGAAACCACTAATAGGTAGAATTACATTATTTATGAAAGAACTCAGAAGAAGCAATAAAAACAAATAACTGAATCATGTGAAAGCATAGTACACAGGTGATAAAACAGATTATAAAATATATAGTGGATTCAGTCAATCATTGACAGATTTTTGGAAAGATATTGCACTTGCGAGCATGTGTGCGCACACACACACACACACACACACATTTCCTTTTCAGAGTAGAAATATTGCCCTTGTATTTAGTATCCAGTTTTATCCCATTGTTTTTGAAGACCAGGATGTGATTCACTCTAAAAATAGCTTCCCCCAGTATAAAGTGTCTGAACAAAAATAGTTTGTTGTTGTACTGTTCAGGAAAGTCTAAAGATCTTTGTGTGTGTGTGTGTGTTTGTGTGTGTGTGTGTGTGTGTATGTGTGTGTAACGGTTAACAGCCTCATAACATTTCTAAATAATTACTATATAATTGAGCACGATATGCTGAAGAATTGTTTAATGGCTTCAGATATTAGGAACATAAAAGAATAAGTTAATTATTATATACAATGGTTAAGTATCAATCTTTTGTATTTATAATTAAATGCATTTTTCTTCTTTATGTAATTTATTTTAATTGTAATAACCTGGTCATATTTTTAAGTAAACACTTAAAATTTTATAATTTTCTCTTTTAATATATACTACATTTAGTATATTTTAGGTGAACCAACATCCCAGTGGGGAATGATTTTGTCTTTGTAATATAAAACACCTTATGGCACAAAAGACAAAGCAATCAAATGAGAAATTAATTATAAATATTTGTTTTCTCTTGTTATTCTTGTTTGCCTTAAATTAGATTATACTTAATTTTATTTTACAGCAGTGGGTTTTTTAATCTATCTTTTTTTAATTCAAAAATACCATTAGCCAAAACCTTACTGATGTTAGACACAATATCCACATAGTAAGAGTTTTTTAAAAGCTTCTTGTTTTACACTTGTAATTATAATTAACTTGGTGACTCTACTCAGAAGAGCAAATAAGAACATTAATTGCCATTAAATTCTGGTGATATTGACAATGAAGCACACCTTAATTTCAATAATTAAGGGTATGGTCTTCTACTAGTTTCTTCTGCTGAAGTCCAAAGGGAGCATTTTTTAGTCTACTTCAGAATTCATTCAAGTGATTTTAAGATGAATACCTATTAATGTTAATGCAATACACTGTACTTGTAAGTGACAACAAAATTCTAGAACAGCAGAATATTATTTACAACTGTAAAATTTTTAAAAAATAAATTATTAAATGGTTTTTATAATTGCAACGGCTGATACTCAATCATTTTTTCTGTCTATACTTTGTAGGGAAGTTTTCTTTTATTAATTCTCTACCAGTGTAACTCAGTGTTCAAAAGCAAGAAGCAGTCATTAGGGATGAGACAAACTCTCTTATGCATTAAAAGAACTGAGGGTTTTCTTATCTTTGCAAATGGTGATGAATATTCATTAACCTAAGAAAAGATTTGCCAGCTGCAAATCTTTGCAAGGTGCTCCAGTTCTCCAAGCCAAAAGGAAAGGAAAAATTATAAAGCCTCTATTTATCTGTACCACAAAGGATGAAGAAGATAAGCTTACAAAAGTGTTCTCGGGAGAAAAAATATCTCACTTCATACACTTTAGAGGAATATGTGCATTTAAATAAAAAACTGTGGTTTTTAGGTTTTTCTAAGGTTATCATAAAATGCCAAAAAGGGAAGAATATCTCATAATTATACTAATATTTAAGTTTATTTTTTTCTGCTATACTATAGGGATCTAGATGAAGGCTAAAGGTTTTTTCTCTTTCAAACAAAATATGACTCTCTGAACTAGCCCATATCTTACGTTATATTTAGTCAATATGAATGGGAATGGAACACTTCTGCCTTATAGGAAGCATATCTTTCTTGTAAAAATCTGGGTTGAATTCTTCAATATTAAAATATCCATTATTTCAGTGTTTTCTTGTGTTAAAATCTCAACTACATTTAAAGTGAAAAAGAAAATACTCATATATGTTAGAAAAATGTTAACTATATTTACTATCATAGTATATTTTCAGATTTTGTGTTTCTTTAGACAAGAATATTCCCACATTTTAATGCACAACCTAAAATACAAAATTTGAAAGTTTTGTCTCCATTTTTTCCCATAGTTCATAGTAAGAGTTACTAATGATCTGAAATCTATGATAATTTCTAATAGGAGAGAATGGATTTGTTTGCTTAAATCATAATTAGGAATAGTAAAACAATTATTTTGTTATTAAAATATTAGTTTATTTCATTAAAAGATGTCCGGAAGGACAATCTTTTATATGGGTACCTTAGCACAAATTGTCAAAAAAGGACCATGGCCTGCTGTGGTGATTCAAATGCGTGGTGACTTAAATGATTTAAATAATATTAGCAATGTGGACATCTTTCATTGAATGATGTCCAGAAGGACAATCCCTTAATGAAAGTTGTCCACGTTGCTAATGTTATCTTACTGGTGTCTTGGAACCATTTGGTTATGAAAAGAGGGGTAACACAAAGGAGTAGAAATGACTCATTTAAATCACCACAGCAGGCCATAGTCCTTTATTGGCAATTTGTGCTAAGGTATCTACCTAAAATGGGAAGCATTTATCTTCCTAACCCAATGTTGTCCAAATGATTATTCTTGATAAGCTGTCAATGAGAATTCTCTGATTTCCTGTAACTTTGTGGGAATTCTATGTGTCCATATTCTCCCTTCATGGAAATGAAAACAGATCCATTTCTGAAGACAGGAGACCTCCTGCTAATAAAAGTATGCTTCATGTTCTAAAATTATACCATTAGATGATCCTCATCATAATAGCACAAAGAGATCAAAAGGATTAAGGCACACTTATAAACATTTTTTCTTCTGTAGGATAGTTGGAAGATACTACTAATAAATTATTTTGGTTATCTATAATGTACTTGTGTCTATGCATAATCATTTAGAGAAAATATTTTAATGTAATATAGTATATGTACAGTAAGCTGTTTTATTATTCAGGGTATATTCATTAGTAGATCTCAAGTTTAACTGAATTTCCAAATTTAGATCCCCTTATTGGAACAATCTTCCTACTGCCTCTCACTTGCTGATTTGGCTGACTGAGAGCTGATTCTCAATATAACTTCCTCAGAGAGGCCTTATTGAGCCTCCTTCCTCTTTCTCTAGGTAAGGTAAGACACCACTTATCTTCCCCCTTCTATAACATACTATACAATGTTAGTTATTTGATTGGTAGTTATATTCCACCCCTCTCAAAACAAATTCTCAGCTCCATAAAGCTATACACTCTCTGCATGTTTATCTATTTTATACATACTGTAACCATAGCACCTAGCAAGTTGACTGACATGAAGTAGTCAATAAATAAGTGTTGAGTCAATAAATAAATACATGAAGTTTTTAGTGTTTTCCATTAGAACAACACAATTTGTTATATTGATTTTTAGTTTCATGCTCATACACTTTACTTGACTGGCATATCTTTACAAGTTGCCACCAATAATTGGTGAAACAAGATAATAGGTAGAAAATTATGGGGATGTGCAGCAAATAAGAATGATATCAGATACCTAAAACAAAAAAATATTCCACATCATAATCACCAATAATTAGTATTTTCATTCATTTATTCATTCATGTGCTGAAGTGAGCTCCTATCATGAGACACTAATGAAACAGCAATTATTAGACAGAAAATATCCCTGATCTTATGGAGGTTACGTTTTAGTAGGTGCAAACAGTCCATATAAGCAAATGAATTAAAAATAATAATGATTGAAGAAAACAAATTTTCTATATTAGTCCATTCTCACATTGCTATAAATAACTACCTGAGGTTGGGTAATTTATAAAGAAAAAATGTTTAATTGACTCACAGTTCTGCAGGCTGTACAAAAAGCATGGATTGAGAGGCCTCAGGAAACTTACAATCATGGTGGAAGGCAAAGGAGAAGGAAATACCTCTTACATGGTTGGAGCAGGAGGAAGAGAGAGAGTGAAGTGGGAGGTGCTATACACTTTCAAACAACCAGATCTCATGAGAATTCTATCATGAGACAGCACTAGGAGGATAGTGCTAAACCATTAGAACCCCCACCCCCACATGATCCAATCACCTCCCACCAGTCCCCACCTCCAATATTGGGAATTACAATTCAGGATGAGATTTGGGTGGGGATACAGAGCCAAATCATAACACAGGCCAATACAGTGGAGAGTAACTGGATGAGAAAGAGGGACAGAAAGAATCATTAAAGAAGGTGTTTGAAAAGATTGCTCTGAGGAAGTAATATTTGCCCTAATTCATAAGGAGTCAGTTAATGAAATGGATATATCAATAAAATCCAGCTTCTTTGATATCTTCAAGAAAATCATTAACCACATGAAACATATCTTAAGGGTACTCTTTAGCCTACAAATGATGGCTTGCCAAAGAGAACCTGAAAGTAATACTTATATGGTTTGGCTGTGTCCCCACCCAAATCTCATCCTGAATTATAGCTCCCATAATCCCCACGTGTCATGGGAAGGATCCGGTGAGAGGTAATTGAATCATGGGGGTGGGTCTTTCCCTTGCTGTTCTCATCATAGTGAATAAGTCTCATAAGATCTGATGGTTTTATAAAGGGGAGTTCCCCTGCACACGCTATCTTGCCTGCCACCATGTAAGATGTGACTTTGCTCTTCCTTTGCCTTCTACCATGATTGTGAGGCCTCTCCAGCCATGTGGAACTGTGAGTCCATTAAACCTCTTTCCTTTATAAATTACCCAGTCTTGGGTATATCTCTATTAGTAGCATAAAAGCAGACTAATACAAATACATTATAAATGTAAAAGTATGAGTTAACTTATAAATTAATGTAGGTTAAAAAAATCATTTTTTAGGATCATAGCAAAGAATGTAAGAAATATTCTTTATGTTTGTTTCAAAATCTGACACTGGCAAAATGTAAGATCTGCTAAACCATAGTAGATTTCAGGAGACAGAGAAATGGAAACAGAAATAGAGAGAAATAAAGAGAGTGAAAGAAAGACTCTCCTTCATATAAAGCATAGATACTATTACCAGCTTTCTTTTATTTTTGGTGTTTCCCAGAAAGCCGTGTTATCATCTATAGAAAAATATTTTTACTTAAATAGAGACAGCCAAGAATAAGGATGTTATCAGCTCTGGAATTTGCTTTGTTCAGTGGTCATGTGCAAAGTGCAGGAGATGAAAGATAGTTTAGTTCAGTTTAGTAACTGCTAAAACCAGAATAACTTTAATATGAGTTCTGTGGAATTAATCACATTAAGGGAACTTCTCACAGTACCTGACTTAGGGAAGAAGTGAATGGTTATGCGTGCAGTGTTGCTTTGTCTGATATTTGTTTGGACCCTAAGCGTTAATTATAAATGAAATTACAGATGTTATATACTATGTTTCAATTGTCAGTCTATATTTAGCAGAAACAATTTTTTAAGAATTCAGTCATTCTTTAATGTGTTGGTTATACCCGTGTAAAATTGTGATTCAAAATTTTTATATCATTATTGCACCACAAGGAAGAAACCCTAATTAATTAAAGAAAAGCATAGAGATAATCACAAAACCACACCCCTTTGCCTTCAGAAAGTAAAACAAACAAACAAACAAAATCCTGGACTAATTTTATGTGGCATTTATAAACAGTATACATTTCATTGATACTTGTATTTTCAGAACTATAGTTCTCATACTTCACCAGCAAACAAAAGAGCGTCTTCTCTTCCTCTTCTCTTTGTCTGAATATTTAGGTAAATTCATGCTTGGAACACGTAAAATTAGAAATTCTTATAGTCTTTCTTGTCATTTCAGTGCTAAATATAAAAATATTAACAAGAGTTAGCTGTGTTTTTAGTTTAACTGCTCTTTGTTTTAATATTTGTAAAATCTGTTTTTCCCTCATACACTTCAAAAAATGCATAAAATATAAATAGAAGCTTATGTAAATTTTCTCTGTACTTTGTTTGGTTTTGTTGGTAGGGAGTGGGGCACAAGTAGAAATGTAGCTCTTTATCCTGTTCTTATGTTTTGTTTCTTTAAATGAACATTTTCTGTAGCCCAGACCTCAGCAGGCTTCTGAGACCTTGTTGGTTGAGACCATTAGCTAACGCTAGTTAGTTAACTTGAACAGTTAGTCCAGAGTACCTCCACTCACATTCTGGATCTGTTGCTTTTCATCTCTGTAACCTTCTGGAAACTGCTTGACTACTCTATACCTTATTTTACTCATTGATAAAATAAAGATCATAGTATTTTTCCCACTTTATAATGTCATTGTGAGGATTGACTGAGTTAATGTATGTAGAGTGCTTAGGATACATCTTATATAGAAGCATTACACAAAATGCTAGCTGCTATTATTATTGTCACTTTCCTCCATCTGAGGGGAGAGAAATATGCAGACCTTGTGTCCTACTTCTGTCTTTGAGACCTTGAGTATTGCAAAGACAAGTGTAGGAATGAAATTATTGTAATATCAGAGAAGTTGTGAAGATTACATTGGAAAGTACTTAGAAGAGTATCTAAAATATAGACCACATTAAATAAGCGAATTTACCTAACCATATCTTTTTCTTAGTTCATAGAATTTATAGGTTATTTTTGATTCATTTACTTTTTAACAAAAAGTGTACAGTGCTAAAAGGGGAATGAGTGTCCAAGACATTTGAGTTTTACTATTGCAGAAAGATATCTCAGCTTTTATTGAGCTAAGACTTTTTAATATATTAAGTGTTTCTATGCAGTCACATCTGAGATGAATGCTACGTCTGCTATTTCTTAGTTATGTGATGTTAAGAAAGTTACAAAAGCTCTGTGAATTTCAGTTTTTTTATTTGCAAAGTGGAGTCATAATGCCTATCTAAAAAATATTTATTGTGAAGATTTAAAAGATAGATTTAGAAAACTTAGCATCATGTACAGAGCACAGAGTAGTACTATATAAATGGTATTAGATGCTCTCTAATTTTTTCCTGTCTAAATTATAATTTACTGTTTGGTTGACCTCAGCTTTTCACTGTTCTTGTGTAGTCATTCCTATTACCTACCAACTTAAATGGGCCAACATGCAAATAAAAACGTTGTTGACACAGAATACACTATACTCATGTTATAATTTTATAATGAATAGTAATAACTTTTCTGCTATGGATTATCAATATTTGATCTCAGACCATCTGTTTTCTTTTCAATGTTCTCTCACTATCCCTTCTCTTTTGTGATTTTAACTATCATCTGTCCAGGCCCTTTGGCATGAAATTTCAGTCTTCCCTATCTCCTCCTTCTTTTACTCTTTTCATAATCGAACTTTTGCAAAATATTTCTGTGTATTTCTTTGAGAGAAAATTGAGTTCATTTGCCCCCTCTTATCTATCCTATTAGAAGAATTCCTGGTGAAAGTGTTAGTCACATTACAATGTTTGGCTTTGTTTTTCACATCAATGCTCATTTGTCCTTTTATTAAAAAATCTCCACTTAACCTGCATATTCTCTTATACTTGAAATTTGAAATTTGTTGCTGAAGACCTGGATGTTCTCAGATTTTTCCTTATGTGTATGACATTTCTCTTTCTCTCTACTTCAGCATATACCCCTCTTTTTTCTTCAATTTCCTTTTATAAATTGAATAATTTAAAAATTCATCAGGATTATTGATCATTTTGAACAGTAACAAATACTATAAATATAATTTTAATTTACATTGAATTAATAATATTGTTTTGAAAGAAGGCAATATAATGATCAACAATTTTTTATTTGTTCAAATCTAGTAAAGTTCTAACTTAAGATATGTAATAATTATGACATATTTAAAATATGTCTTAGAAACTTATCTACCATAGTGGTACATAGATATATTTATAATGATGTAATAACCATAGTTTTAAGCAAACTAATTCACATTTTAATATGCATAAAATGCCACATATGCAAAAGGAAAGACATTTTCTAGCTACATATGTACTTATTTAACTTGATGGACAAACAGTGGCTGGGAAAGTGCGGTTCACCCTGATTCCTTTAAAGTCGGGATGATTCCAATTTGATGAAACAAGAATGGAGAGTGGAGAAAAAGGAAAGGTTTAAAAAATGTTATTCCACTTGCATTTGTCTTCTTTGCTAATCTCAATTTTTACATAACAGATCCATAAACTTATGACATTCTGGGTTGGATTGAATTCAGCTGTTTAGAAAAAAGCAATTACAACTATTGTCCCCAAGCCAAGATAACAACACACCAATTATGACTAGCCAAGAAGCCTGGAATTCACAAACTGCCTTATATTTATTTATTTCTTCATGTTGGCTGTTTATCAGGAAGTGACTTCAGTAAAAAGGAGCTGTAATTCATTTATTAAGTAAGCTCTCAAAACTCTAAGAAGAATGGCTCATATGCTATATTAAAAAATGACTGAATAATTTTAATGCAAATATTATTGCAGTTGATTTGACTAGCACTTTTTCTAAATCATTGGGGAAAATAAGGTCATGATGACATGGGTGAATGGTTTTTAATGTCTTTGCTTTTGTTTCTGAAACATCTTATTGATCTATGTACAGTCTCTGTGAGCAAAGGAGAGATACGTGTATGTATTTACACACACATATGTGTAAAGCATATATAATATATATATATATATATTTAATTCTCCTCAATAGTAAATCCAATACAAATTACAGTTTTAGGCATCCTAAAATCAGGTTTCAGTGTAAAGTTTGTATGAATACACAAGGCCAGTCTTGACTGAGATGATTTTGTTAGGTGTAGATTTAAAACTAACTTTCCCAAAAGTTGTTTGTAGCAAATGCTATTATTGAACACTTAAATTATAAATACTCTATTTAAATTATACCCTTATCTGTATTTCACATATTAAACAAAACACTTAGCAAAGTTTTAGAGAGCCAATTAATTTTTTAATAAACTTTTATTTTAGGATTCTTTTTATTTTTAATTTTGGGCTTCAAAAGTACTCTTAATTATTACCTTGGAATTATGGCCTTTCTGATCTCATTCATTGTCTCTCTTCCACCCCCTGCTTTTTAGGACCTTAAATTTTGGGGTGATTATGGGTCCTTTTGAGAATCTGATGAATGTTATTTACTTTCCTCTCATTTAAAAAAAATTGCGTTTTAATCCTAGCACTATGGGAGGCCGAGGTGGGTGGATTGCTTGAGCTCAGGAGTTCGAGACCAGTCTGGGCAACATGGTGAAATCCCATCTCTACAAAAATTACAAAAATTAGTCAGGTATGGTGGTGTGCTCCTGTATTCCCAGACACTCGGGAGGCTGAGGTGGGAGGATCGCATAAGCCTGGGAGGTTGAGGCTGCAGTTAGCAGTGATGGAGCCACTGCACTCCAGCCTGGGTGACAGAGTCAGACCCTGTCTCAAATAAAAAAAAAAATGTGAATCCTATAGTCTCTCCCTGGTACCCACATAAAGAACACTTTTAAACAAATATTCTTTCTTTCTCACCTTTCTACCTAAATACATATTTAGAGGCAAAATAAATCAACTATAGAAACCACAGGATGAAGGAGTATGATGATCGTGTTCATTGTAATAGACCTGAAAATTATAATTTTGGTTAACTATTTCTATATTATAGTTCTGGGTGGTATCTTGCATATACACTCACACTATCAGAGAACACATCATTTGGGGGCAAAAAATTAAGTAAAAGAAATTCCTTTTATTTATACATTTCAAATAAAAGTTTATTGAATTTGTGAAATTTGCCCTTTCTTCCAGATAGACAGTTTCATAGTGGAATTGCATAAATAATATTTTCCAAATCTCCTCCTATATACTCTTTAGAAATTTTATACTACATTTATTTATTAGCTATTTTATCTACTGAATTCCCTACTTTATTTCTTTTTCATGATACTCAGTATACTGATTTCTTTTTTCATTTAAAACTTGTTTATTACAAAAAATCTTTTATGATGTGTTTTTAGTAACACAACGCCTTGAAAATCTGTTGGCCAATAGGAACCTGATGTGAGGGGCAGGCGCGGTAGCTCACACCTGTAATCCCAGCAGTTTGGGAGGCCGAGGCGGGCAGATCACCTGAGGTCAGGGGTTTGAGACCAGCCTGGCCAACATGGTGAAACCCCGTCTATACTAAAAATACAAAAATTAGCTAGGCTAATTTTGTATTTTGATTACAGCTGGGTGCCTGTAATCCCAGCTACTTGGGAGGCTGAGGCAGGCGAATCGCTTGAGTCTGGGTAGCAGTGGTTACAGTGAGCCAAGAGCATGCCATTGAACTGTAGCCTGGGCGACAGATTGAGACTCCATCCCAAACAAACAAAGAAAAGAAGAGGAGATACGGGGAGGGGAGGGGAGGGGAGGGGAGGGGAAGGGAGGGGAGGGGAGGGGTGGAGGGGAGAAACCTGATGTGAGAAGTCTGTAACGGCTGTGATGAGAGGTGCACTGTGGCCTTTAATCACCATGAATTGCATCTCTTTCAGGACCTTCACAGTACAGATATTGAAAGAGTTTACTCCATTAACTCAATGAATCAAGGAATGAATTAAAGAAAACATGATTACCAAAACCAGGAAAAAATTTGTAATTGCTAGAATAGAAGCTAATTATGGTTGTTCCTAGTACACTGAGGTGGAAATTGGAAAGAAAGTAGAGGAGATATTTGAAATCCATAATATCTTCAGAAAACTCCATTACTAAAGTCATAGATTTTACTAACAGAGGCCAATAGATTCTTCCTTGAGGAATATTTACTTTTTATAACATAATTATCACATATCTATAATCTTCAAGTCAAATCATATTTAAATATTTAAAAAATACATGGATAGACCTGTAATTTGTAGACATAGCAATAAAAAGAGAAATCATAACTAATGGCCTTACTATGAAGGCCTGCAGCACTAATCCCAAGATCTAGAGTAAGAGATGAAATTTGATTTGATAAACCTTAGCATACTCATGCAAATTATATGATTATTATTTTAAAAAATAAGTTATTTAAATAAATAATTTATCTTAATTAAAATTACATAGGATTTACCAGCATTTTGAAATAGTGTAAATCATTATTACATTGATCACTATAATTTTAAGCTGAAAGAAAATATACAATAATTTTAAATGGATGTTTTAATAAAATTCTGACATGTAACACTAATTTATGCTTGTATAAATTCAACTTATTGTGCATTTATTATATTTGGGATGGAGGGACAGAAAAATAAAACAGTACAGTGTAGAATAGTGATATCAAAACCAATTATTACTATCACATGTAACCACTGCTATAATCACTGTGTGAGTACAAGTCCTTCGGGAGAAGAAAACAGAACAACTAATTGCCCTAGGGAGTGAGGAAAGGCCATGGATAAGGTACTTTTGAACTGCTGCTGAATGATGAGCAACGGTTTCTTAAGAGGAGGAGGTAGAGCAGGATATTCCAGGCACTGTGTTCTGAAAGCGAGTGGTGTGTTCAGAGAACAGAGAGTTAAGTGTGCTTGGCACAAAATTTTAAAGGGAGAAATGGTGACTAGAGAAATAAGTCATGACCAGGTTGCAAAAGACCTAACATTCCAGGCTAAAGATTTCAAGCTTTACACTACAGTGATGGTGAGGCAGAGAGGTCTTAGGTAGAAAAGTGAAATGATCTGGGTAAAGAATATTACATTTAGGGGCAGCATGTGAGTATCTACAGAGGGAGAGGAAACCTCAGCCAGAGGAGTTCAGATAGGAGGGAGAAATAATGCTCTAAGTGAAAGATTCTAAGGAACTGAACTAAGGCAGTTGAAAGGAAGACAGGACAGACATTAGTGAGAAAAAATTAATAGTTATAGAGATTAATTGAACATAGATACTCTGGAAAAGGGAGGAATGTAAGAGGATTTCTAAAATTTGGGCTTAAGCAAATACAGAAAACAGTAACACCCATTAAATGTAGAATACTGGGGGAGATCAATATCAGTAGGAAAAGTATATAGTTCTATTTTAAACATATTGATATGAGATGACATTGGGATATTAGGTTGGTTTTTCCAACAGCTAATCCTGCTTTTCTTTCTTTCTTTTTCTTTCTTACCTTCTTCCCTCTCTCTTTCTCTTTCTTCAATATAAGTATGATATTTGACGCCATGACACTGATTTGGATCACCCAGAGAGAGTGACTATAATTGGAGGAGGTGAGCAAGGGAATCCAGTAAATAACCTGCATTTAAGAGATGTGTAAAAGAGGAACAGTCAGTAAAGGTGACAGTGATGAAATGATCACAAAAGGAGATGGGGAAACAAAAATTCAGTGATGTCTTAGAAGTTAAGGAGGAGAGTTTCATGAAGTCAAGTCACCAGATTTAGTAAGTTCTTCAGAGACCAAAAAGTAAAAGAATATTGGCGACCTTGGCAGAAGCAGTAGGGTGAAACAGTTGAATTCATTCATTCATTTATTTATTCAACAACCATTTGTGAAAGGTCTTCTATGTACTTCGGCTTGAGACACAAATTTCTGTAATACTTATCATCACGTACATTGCACTGAAATTAGGATATGTCTATTCTATCAACAGTTTTACTCACAAAGTAGTTCATTATGGGTAGATGATCATGGTTACATTCAGTCTTTACACTGCATTCTTCTTTTAAAAATGATGTTTCTATCAAATATGTGTTTCATTATATGACATATTATTATAATATATATTATATGTATAATATATAATATATATTATACATATGTATGTATTATATATATAATACATACATATATATTATTTTCATGTATATATTATATATATACATATATATGTATATAATATATACATATATTATTTTCTGGTCTATAACCTCTTAATGAATCAAAGACGTGAACCAAATGAGGATCTCTATCAAAGTGGTTACTTAATATTTAGATACTTGAAATAAAATTTCTACAGAAAATTTTCCCATTGATCTTCACCCCTGTTCCCTCTCGCCCCACCACACACACACCCATTATCAGCAGCCACACATTATTACCTAAAATTCTCGGATAAAATGGAAATTGTACAATTGAACTTTTAAATTTAACAATTAGGAACACAAATGTTTCACTCATATTTTAACTAGTAGTACTTAAAAACAAATGATGTATTCAGTTATAATTAATATAAAATTCTAGTCTCAGATAAAATCTCTCACATTCTCACTTATGGCTATATGACTCTTAGACAAATGACTTAAATTCTCTTAACTCCCACATAAGTAAACTGGGAATTACAATACATGCTTTGCAAAGTTGTACATTAATGGGAAATAAACTAATATTTAAGAAATAGCTAAGAAAGAGCTTGGCATATAAAATAATAATAAATGGTGATTATTAATATAACAAAGTGCTTATTAAAATATATAATACACAGTAGCTGTTTAACAAATCTAATCCTAAAACTATGTTCTTCGAAATGTCCTTCATTATTTAATATCCCACTAGGCATTATAAATATCTTAACTGATTTAATTAATACAAAATTTATTTAAATGGTTATTTTTTCCTCCTTGCTGAATAACAAAAGAAATGAAGACTCAGCAAGTTAAGCAACTTGACTAAGGTGGGGAATGACAGAACTATGATTTGCATGCTGGCCTTTCTAACTGAAAATCCTGTGCAGCTAAACATTGTGTGATCCAGCCTGCTTCTCTTTTGAAACTCCTCACTTTCACCTCTTCCTCTACTTTCTGATTCATTCTATTTTCTTGTATTTTTTACTTCTCATAAATTGTTACCAGGGATCCAGAAAAGCAACTAGTTTTCTAAAACTCCTTTAGAGTATGCTTGCTCCACAGTTCAGTTAATTGGGAAACAAACAGCTTACAGTTTGACTATAAGTGATACTGTACTATAAAATCTTTCCAGGGGTATCAATGATTTTTATTAGATTTGTTAAGATTTGAAGCCAGGTGTGGTGGCTCACGCTGGTAATCCCAGCAGTTTGGGAGGCCAAGGGGGAGGATTGCTTGTGTCCAGGAGTTGGAGACCAGCCTGGTCAACATAATGAGACCTTGTCTCTATCAAAGAAAAAAATTTTTAAAAAAGCCACGAAAATTAGCTGGGCATGAGGGTGTGCACCTGTAGTTCCAGCTCCTCCGTGGGCTGAGATGGCAAGATTACTGAATGCCAGGATGTTGAGGCTATAGTGATCCATGATCTTACCAGCCTGGGCGACAGAGTGAGATGCTGTCTCAAAAAAAAAATTGATATGTCTAACAGTTTCAAATATTTTCACCAAGATAAAGATTTTTTTTCCTTTCCTGACAGATACACTGACTAATCTTTTGATGTAACTGAAAACAATCACTTTCAAAAGTGGTTCCTATGGACAGAAAAATTATAATTAAAGCAAAAGTTAGTAATACAAGTTTCAGAGCTATATTTTTTTCTTTTCATGTCATGTGAAAGAGAAAAATATCAAATTAATCAAGTGCTTGGCTATTATAATTTACTACTTAGTATCTGTTCATCCTCCCTTGTACTTGAAAAGGTTAAAAATGACAAAGGTTCTATTAATTCTTTCCCACATGCTTTTTCTCTGAACTAGAATAAATCTTGGAACGTCCTGAAGATCTTGGATGCTGATGAAAGCTTGTATTTGTTTTGGTAGAAAGGAAACTAAGAAATCACTTTCTTTTATAGTTTAGCATCTTTATTTCAATCATTCTCCCTGCTGCTTCGTCAGTAAAAAAAAAAAAAATTTTGTTTAAAGATGAAATGTTCCAGACCTTATCTTTTGAAAAATCAAAGTGGCTTTTTACTCAGTTTCTCAATTCAAAAAGTCTGCTGTCAAACTTGGTAAGATTTACTTAAATTTACTAAACCTAGTTGATAGCTGATTTTCATTTATATTTAGCAACCTAGCTCCATTCTGACTTCTGTCAGCTGCCTATCATCCTGGGAAAATTGTTTGAGTATCCAAATGTCCTTTGCTTAACATGGATTATTAATGCCGGGCCCTTGTATTTTTTTCACTTGTGTGCTATCTATGTTTAGTAAAATATTATCTTGTCTTTTAATATGTAAGCCAAACATAAATGGAACAGCCGATAGACAAAGAACATGTATACATTGGGTATAGAAAAATGGAATGATGTTAGAATTCTGAGCTAGACATCAATTTCTAGGACATAATTGTGTAGAGAAACCATGTATATTGTTTCCTAATTACCCTATTTTTTTCTTTCAAATTTGTGCATGTCTCTTCCTTTTTTTAGAAAGAGTCATGAATGTATAATCTAATCCATTAACACTCACAAGTATAACTCAGAGGGGAACGTGAATTAAAAATCTATGGTCAAAAGGAAATGAGAATTTATGACCAAAGAACTTTGTAAAAATACTTTTGCCTGAGAAGAAATAGACATGCTCAAGAAGAAATGAAAGACCGAGAGGCAGCTAATCTAATCTGGAGCAAGACTAACTGAATTGTAAATGGAAAAATCAACCTTTAGAATTTAAATCAATTATAGATATAAAGATACTTTCACTATTCATCAGTTCACATCAAGATCTATGCAATTGAATTTAAAATTTTTCTATCTTTAACAGTTTTCTGAAAAGTGCCCTGGGTGGGAATAAGGGGAATAGAATAAGTTATCTATTATTACAATGAATCACTCAGCACTCAGCAGGGAGACTTCATGTGTGTGGTACACTTAGAGACACTGGTTTTTGAAGCAGGTACACTTAAAAATATCAAAAGACAGATTTATTCTGGGTTAATTTCTTGAATATAGCATCCTGACTACTTGCAGATTTTTGTCCTTCATCAGTGTAAAAATGACTTCATTCTTAGTAAGGATGCTAGTGTTTTCCATTGATCTGTATTGTTATCATTATGATAGGAGACCAGATTTTAAAGATGTAAATCTTCTTACAGTGAGCTTGCTACCCTCTGAAAGCAAAAAATAATTTGAGCATTTTTTTAAATGTGTATGATCTCCAAGTTCTTTTGAACTATTACTCCCCACCATTCCTTTAATATTTTTTAAGCAATTCTAGGCTTTGATTGTAACAGCTGCTATTCTTTCTTTTGAGCAATGCTGCTGCAGTCATTTTCAAAGTGTTGACCCTGGTCCAGGTGCATCAGCATCAGCATCACCTGGGAACTTGTTTGAAATGCAAGTTCTCAGGTTCCCCAGACTAGCTGAATGAGTAACTATGGGGTGGACTCAGTAACTAGTGTTTTAACAAGATCTCCAGGAGATTCTGGAGCTACACATTCTCAAAGTTGCATGCTCAACTTTGAGAATCACTGCACTTCTGAACTGAGCTCTTCAATGTGTTGTGTATCCTGAATCTCTTTGGTAGTATGGTAAAGCTCATGGATATTTTCTCAGAATAGTGTTTTTAAAAATCCAAAATGAAATACGTAGATTACTTAGGAAATAGACTATATGGAAATTCAGTTATCCACATATTAAAAACAAATTTGTGATACAATAATACATGTCCTTCTTTATAAACACATTTAACTAACAAGATCTGTGCAGGTCTAATTACTGTCATAGCTTTGAAATATTGGTAACGAATAAAGTTATTTTTAGATTACTGCAACAATCACAAAGTGATATGACTATACATATGATTTATACTGGTGACATATTCACAGATATTACAAATAATATCGTGATTTATGGCCACATTTATAATGAAAAGAGAAAGTACATTTCAGCCAGCAGTTAATAAAAATAAAGATTTTCTTTTGCATTCAAGTTTATGGTTCCCTTGAATTTTGTCCATAAACTCCTAGGGGAAAAGGACCCTTGCAAGATGGGTCATTCTCAATTCATCTAGGAAAAAAAAATGCTTATCTTGTAACCTGATAAATATGGTACATTGTAAAACATAGGAGACAGGATATGAATCAAATGTGTTCTGGAAACCATAGAATAAATTGTTCTCCCCCAGGACACCTCATAACCTAACACCTGTGACAATTAAAGCGGAGCTGATCTAATAGTTTACTGGAAATTACTCACAATGCTCCACATTTTCCTGACTCATCATACATTTGTATTCATTATACTTTTAAATTTCTTTCCACATGCTTTGCAATTGTCTACTTGTCATTTTATGTATTAATTGATAACTTTTGATTCTTTAGAACCATTTAGAACCAGTTAGTTTTCAGGTCCTCTCTTCATGTTGTTATGCCAACTCCATTTGAGGAAACGGATATTCAAAGATCACAAAAACAAACCAAGGTCATGGAGCACAGTTCAGTGTCATGACTCCCACTCAGTTCCATATTTCTGGTTCTGTCTCCTGGACTTACTGGCCATAGCTGCAAAGAGGCAGGGAGCCAATGAGACCTGACCACTATTTGAGATAGCTGACTGGCAAATCAGCTGAATGAAAAGAATTTTTAAAAAAGGATTCCATTTCAGTTACTGCAGACAGACTATTCAAACAGGAAGCAGAGTATAAAAGCATGGACTACTTTCATCACGGGACAGAAGAGATAATAGACTTTCAGAAAAGGATGAGATCTATATTTTGTAGATTAGACTTTGTATAATAGGATTTTTTGCCAATTCCTTCTTTCAGAAGCCATTATTTTTAAACCATGTTTTCATCTTGAAGCTTGTTTCATTTGCCAGATTCTTTCCCCAAACCCTGGTTATCAAGGGGCAGTAGGAGGTTCTTTGAAGGGCTTTATTATACTGATTTTACTATGTTATCTCTTGCTGGGATGTGCAGCCTGATAATCTGATATGAACACTGATTTTCCTAGTCTTAACTTGATAATTTGGTAACAGTGTGACATCGACATAAATTTTCAAATTATCTATTTCATTATTTATTAACTGAGGATTATATTTGCCTTATTTTTTCAAATACAGGGAAGAGAAACAAATATTTATTTACCACCTACTATGTGCCAAGCTTTCATAATATAGAAGAAGCCAGCAGTGTAAAACAGCAAAGAAAGTAACACAACTAACTGGGCAGGCAGAGGTAGAAGAAAGGAGAGTGAACCTCTGTAAATGTTACAGCTATCAGGGAGCCAGATTTCAACAGTGAGGAGGTGTAGAAACAAAGACACTATGGTACAGGAAGAACCCATGATTATCTTGTTGGGGTGTCAGTATCTGCAAAATATCAGTAGTAGCAAGAATCACAGTATTTTTGTTATGCGGAGTGCTGAGTTTTCTTCTCTAGCTTTTTCTAGGGCTGTAGAAATGTCTACAGACAGCTGCCGATGGATAATTTAAGAAAGATGGAAGACAGGGAAAATCCGTCTAATGTGGAACAGAACACTGCATTTTTATAGGATAAAGAAGAGGGAAAGCCATATTTACTGTCAGTTTCTGTATTTCATACATAATATCTACATTTGGAAGGTCAGACGAAAGCAGAAAGGAGAACTTCCCAGTTTCTATGTGAAAGGGAGTGGGAGGACCCTTTGAGTGAAGAAACTCTTCATGAGAACCAGTGTCTCCAGAGAAAGAAAAACTGACCCACACACTCTGATGTTTAATTCAATGCTTAGGAATACAGCAGATATTTATTTTTGTTTTTATGCCAGGAAATAAAGAATTTGAAATGACCTGTAGAACAACAGTGAAGCCAGACTCAAAAATGTGTCCATTAAAGAAGCTTATTATGACTTCTGGCAGAAATGTTTTGCAATTTCACTCAGCAAGTCAAAAATAAAGACTGTTAGTTACTTTCAGGAGTGGACCAAGCTTCACAGGACCATGCAGTATAATATTTGGGCTATATAAAATTAGCTATTTTCATGGTTATTACTAAGAATTATTAAGTTGTGTCTTGTTAAAATAGCAGGTAAATGTGAGAGTTAGTATGCATAAGAAAAGCATGAAATAGCTCTATGGCAAAAAAAGAAAAAAGTAAAAAAGGCTTAACTATTTAATACTCAGTTTTCAACTGGGGACAGGAAGGAGTAACCTAAGTGAATATGGGATCATCTAATTCATTATCCAAAACTGGATACTTTTTTTTTCTTTTTCTTTTTCTTTTCTTTTTTCTTTCTTTTTTTTTTTTTTGTTTTTTTAATTTGACACAGAGTCTCACTCTGTCACCCAGGCTGGAGTGCAGTGGCGCAATCGCAGCTCACTGCAACCTCCGCCTCCCGAGTTCAAGCGGTACTCCTGCCTCAGCCTTCCAAGTGGCTGGGACTACAGGTGTACACCACCACGCCCAGCTAATTTTTGTATTTTTAGTAGAGACGGGATTTCTCCATGTTGGCCAGAATGGTCTCGATCTCTTGACCTCGTTATCCGCCTACCTCGGCCTCCCAAAGTGCTGGGATTACAGGCGTGAGCCACTGTGCCCGGCCGAAACCTGGATACTTTTATTTGGTACAAATGTTCAGGCTCCTCTTTAGTATCTTTGGGGACTGAGGAAAGAGTACAAATGGAAGCTCATATATTTGACGTTTTTCATTCAAGTATAAAAAAGAAGCCACGTAATCATTAAATAGCTTTCTATTTCTGTCTTTACTAATAATTATTCCTAAAACCCAAGAAAATTCATATCAAATTTAGAATTCCCAGAATCCTGAGTCCTTGGAGTTTTGTGAAAGAACGTGCTGGTATAGGGTGAGCTGCCCTCTGATCCCTTACTCGTGGCCCCTTACTGTTCAACCCCAGCTCCTTCTTGCACTGGTGAGGCCCCTTGTGTTTATGTAAGTCCACACTTCAGCCTGTGTATCTAAGTTGTGTGCACTTCTTTGTGTAAACAGCCATCTTATGGCCAATCCTTGAAACTAGGGGTGGATATAGAAGAGGCATCATTTATCATCAGAAAGGGAAATCCAAGCAAAACATGCATGCAGTTTCTGAATATGAGCATAAGCCATTTGGGTTTTAAGCTCTGGGGTCCCAGGTACCAAGGATATGGTTATAAGTGTTATAAAGCTTTAGGTGGACAGATTTCCTTAGTTTGAATAGCTCATCCATGGAGTGAGGGCCAGCTAGAGGAAGACCAAGGTGGGAATCTCTAAAGTGCACAGACAAAGGCAGGGGTCCTTTCTTCATGAATCTGTGGCTAGAACTGCGAATGCTAACCTGGAATTGATGCCAGAACAAGGCAACAAACCTAGACTCTTGGGAAACTGGGATGCATGGTCACCCTAAATTTATGGTGCACATGCAGTATAAACTGCAGTTTGGGTGAGCTTTCTGGACACAAAATCAGAAGGACAAAAATGAGGCTGACTGCATTTGTTACATGAACATGAAGAAATACAATTTTAAAGTGACCAAAGTGAACTTTAAGGAGAGAGTTTTCAAATTTGTGGAGATTGCTTTGGCTATCTATTTGGGCTCTCTTTTGGTTCCATATGAATTTTAGGATTTTTTTTTCTAAATCTACGAATAATGACATTGGTATTTTGATAAAGATTGCATTGAATCTTTAGACCTCTTTGAGCAGTATCATTATGTTAATAATTCTTCCAATCCATGAGGCCAGGATGTTTTTCCATTTGTTTGTTATCTACAATTTCTTTCTTTCTTTTTTTTTTTTGAGACAGAGTCTGGCTCTGTCCCCCAGGCTGGAGTGCAGTGGCACCATCTCGGCTCACTGCAAGCTCCGCCTCCCAGGTTCACGCCATTCTCCTGCCTCAGCCTCCCGAGTAGCTGGGACCACAGGTGCCCACCACCACGCCCTGCTAATTTTTTTGTATTTTTAGTAGAGACAGGGTTTCACCATGTTGGCCAGGATGGTCTCGAACTCCTGACCTCGTGATCCTCCTGCCTCGGCCTCCCAAAGTGCTAGGATTACAGGCTTGAGCCACCGCGCCCGGCCCATCTACAATTTCTATCATCAGTGTTTTGCAGTTTTCCTTGTATTGGATGTCTATGAAGAAAACGAAAACAATCATAAACAATTATCCAGAATAGACTTAAGCAAGATGACAACTTTTCCAGAACACTTATTTTGGAAAAGAAAATACTATTCGATTTAGAGGAATAATGTTTAGTTTGATTGTTCATTATTTTGTTTCATTATGAGGTAATGGATACACAGAAAATTTCTAATAAAATGATGGAGTGTTATGGATTGAATGAGTATATGCTATCATAATTTATATGTTGAAGCCTGTCTTAGTTTGTTAGTGCTACTGTAACAAAATATGTGAGACTGGGTAATTTATAAAGAACATAAATTTGTTTCTTACAGTTGAGAGGCTGAGAAATCTAAGTTCAAGGCACTGGCAGGTTCCGTGTTTTGTGAGGGTCAGTCTCTGCTTCTCAGATGCCTTTTTGCCTTGTTACTATGTCCTCACGTGGAAGAAAGCATAAGGCAAAGGTGACTACTAGTTCCCTCCAGCCCTTTTTAAAGTCACTGATACCATTCATGAGGGTTCCATCCTCATTATTTTTCTTTTTCTTTTTTATTACACAGGATCTTGCCCTGTCACCCGGACTGGAGTGCAGTGGTGCAATCACAGCTCAGTGCAGCCTTGGCATCCTGGGCTCCAGGGATCCTCCCTTTTCAACCTTTGTAGCTAAGACTATAGGCAGCACCCTCATGATTTAATCACTTCCTAAAGGCCCCATATCTTAATACTATTATATTGGGCATTAAGTTTCAACATGATTTTTGGAGGGGGACACAAACATTCAAACCATAGCAAAGCTCTGACCCCATTGTGGCTTATTTGCAGCTGAAGTAGATGAGGTCTCAAAGGAAGTAATTAAGATTTTATACTGGGATTTGAGTCTAGTTATAGGTCCAGAAGCAGAGAGGATGGTAGGGGTGGTTCCTGAAGAGATGCAGCATTGTCTTACGTGTCAGCTGCCACAGGGGATGCCATTACAATTTCCTCAGGGAATGCAGGATTTATTCCCCGCTAGGAACTAGAAAAACCAATATTACTGTGGGTGGGGAGGCCTTTTTGCTGGGGTAAGAAGGCCACTTTCAGTAAGGGTGGGGAGGCTTCTTCCACTGGCAAAGAATACTTAACAGAATTTAGAGGCTCAATGTCCCCAGCTTCATCAGGGTCTTCTCACAGGTCTCCATCTCTTCTTACAAGATCTCATTCTATCCCAAGAAATGTTGTCACTTTAACAGTAGACATTCTGCAAAGCTGGCAGTTTAACTTTTATTGTAATTTGCCCAATTGTAGGATGAGGTTCTGCATTTGATTTTTCAGCAATGTCAGCCATGTGGCTACAGGAAATAAGGCTTTTCCCCAGGGTACACCTAAAAGCTCTTAGTTCATTTATGCAGCATAGAATCTGGGAGCTTGACTCTCTAAGCTCATTCTTTTCTTTTACCACTTTGTCAGAAAACATAAGGAGCAACCAACCAATGTTATTATTATTTTTTAAGTTTTCCAAAAATGCTTGAAAGTATCATAAAGTCACTTAGTTCTGTGCTTCTTATAAGTGATTGATTAGGAGTATCCAATACAGTCATTTTATGTATCTCTATAAACATTTCAAGCCATAGACTATCAGTAGTGTCTTCCTTACTAGAAATAGAGTCATTATGATCTTTAAGTCTAATCCGATTGGAGAGCCAATTCCAGAAACTCCAGACCCAATTCAGAAAACTCATTCTTAAAATTCTGTTCTTCTGGAATCACTCTTGGTATTAAAATTCGTATTAGGTCAGAATTCTCCAGAGAAATAGAACCAATGGAATGTTGTGTGTGTGTGTGTGCGTGTGTGTGTGTTTATAGACATACATATATGTAATCTCTATACACACATACATATGTAAAGAAATAAATTTATTATGAGGGATTGACTCACACCATTATTGAGACTGTGAAGTTTCATGTTCTGTCATCTGGAAGCTGAAGGCCCAGGAAAACTAGGCATGTAGTTCCAGTCCAAACTAAAAGGCCCAAGAACAAGAGGGTTAGTTGGTGGTATAAATTCTGGTCTGAGTCCAAAGACCTGAAACCCAGCAGCACTAATATTCCAGGGTAGGAGAAGATGAATGATCCAGTTTAAAAAGAGAGAGTGAATTTTGCCCATCCTTCGTCTTTGTGTTCTGTTGAAGCCTTCAATGTATTGGATGTTGTCCAGCCACATTATTGAGAGCAAGCTTCTTTACTCAGATTATTGATTTAAATGCTGATCTCTTCCAGAAAAACCCTCACGGACACACCTAGAAATAATGTTTTACCAGTTATCTGGGTGGTATGGTTTGACTGTTTCCCCCAGGGTTCATGTGCTGGAAACTTAATCCCCAATGCAACAATGTCGAGAAGTGAGTTTGTTAAAAGGTAACTAGGTCTTCTCATGAATGGATTAATTGTGGTATTCTAGGAGTGATTTGTTATTGAGAGAGTACATTTAAGAGTGAGTTTTGCCCTCTCTTCTGCACTCTCTTTTTCCACCGTGGAATGGCACGGTAAAAAGTCCTTGCGAGACACTGGCACCTTGATATTGATCTTCCCAGCCTCCTATGAGGAGTAAATTTCTATTTTAAATAAATTACCCAGTCTCTAATATTCTGTTATAGTAACATAAACAGACTAAGACACTGAACATCCCTTAGCCCAGACAGGTTGATATATAAAATTAACCATTACAAGTGCACTCACAAGGTGAAACTCTGATGCAGTAGGATTAGTGTCTTTAAGAGGAGACACCAGAGAGCTTGCTTCCTCTCTCTCCACACGTGCAGTAAGCACATAGTGAGAGGGTGACCACCACAAACTAAAAGAAGGGGCCTCAGAATAAAACCTACCTTATAAACATATCAATCTTGGACTTTCCAGCCTCCAGAAGTGTGAGAAATAAATTTATCTTGGTTAAGCCACCCAGTCTATAGTATTTTTGCTATGGTAGCGAGAACAGACTAAGGCATGAAGGAAAAGAGACCATGG
The DNA here is from genome assembly GCF_000001405.40 of Homo sapiens. Taxonomy (NCBI): domain Eukaryota; kingdom Metazoa; phylum Chordata; class Mammalia; order Primates; family Hominidae; genus Homo; species Homo sapiens. The sequence goes on from NC_000002.12 coordinate 187,326,480, forward strand.
ACTGAATATATAAATATATTTTCAGAACATTTAAGATAATAATGGATAGAAGATCACATATATCTTGAAATAAGATGAAGAGAAAGAGGTCAAAGGAAACTTAAAATAACAATGTGAAGGACAAATTGAAATAGCAAAATATTCAAGAACCACCTTAAAATAAAATTATAGGATTAAATATTTGGAAGTGCAAGAGGGAAGAGAGATCTATTCCATTTGGCATTTGAATATAGATGGAATTTAGAGACACTAGAAAATCCATTCAACTTTGCTGAAAATGTAGGCTGAGGTTTTTAGTTGTGGTTTAAGTACTCTCAGATTGCCCAGAGATGAGGTTTAGTTTCCATTAATCTACTATGTCACTGAAATTACATGTAAAAATTTTATTTGCTTACAATTGTAATTCAAAGAAACAAAAAACTGTTATCTCTTTCCCACGCAAAAATTAACAAGGTGGATGACCCTTTCTATAGGGTTCAACACTTAACAAGTGACAATTTCAAAGCATTCTGGCCTTTTGGAGCCAAGATAACAATTAACAGCTAAAGAAGACATACATGCAGCCAACAAACATAGGAAAAAGTGCTGAATATCACTAATCATTAGAAAAATGCAAATCAATACCACCACAAGGTATCTCACACCGGTCAAATGGCTATTGTTAAAAAGTCAAAAAATAAATAAAATTAAAATAATAGGTGCTGGTGAGATTACAGAGAAAAGAGAACACTTATACACTGTTGGTGGGAGTGTAAATTACTTCAGCTACTGTGGAAAGCAGTTTGGAGATTTTTCAAAGAACTTAAACCAAAACTACCATTCAACCCAGCAATCTCTTTATTGCATATATACCCAAAGGAAAATTAATTTTTCTACCAAAAAGACACATGCATGCATTTGTTCATCACAGCAGTACTCACAATAGCAAAGAAATGGAATCAACCTAGATGCCCATTAATGGTGGACTAGGTAAAGAAAATGTGGTACATATACATCATGAATGATATGGTTTGGCTCTGGGTTCCCACCGAAATCACATGTCGAATTGTAATTCCCAGTGTTGGGGGAGGGACCTGGTAGAAGGTAATTGGATCATGGGGGCAGATTTCCTGCATGCTGTTCTCATGATAGTGAGTGAGTTCTCATGCGATCGTATGGTTTAAGAGTGTATGGCACTTCTCCCACCCCTCGCTCTCTCTCTCTTTCCTGCTGCCATGTGGAGAAGGTGTATACTTCTCTTTTGCCCTTCCGCCATGATTGTAAGTTTCCTGAGGCCTCTCAGTCATGCTTTCTGTTAAGCTTGCAGAATTGTGAGTCAACTGAACCTTTTTTCTTCATAAGTTACCTAGTCTCAGGTAGTTATTTATAGCAGTGTGAGAATGAACTAATACAGAAAATTGGTACCAGGAAAGTGGGGCATTGCTATTTTATATACCTGAAAATGTGGAGGTGACTTTGGAACTGGGTAATGAGTAGAAGACTGGAAGAGTTTGAAGGGCTCAGAAGAAGACAGAAAGATGTGAGAAAGTTTGGAACTTCCTAGAGACTTTTTGAATGGTTTTGACCAAAATGCTGACAGTAATATGAACGATGAATTACAGGCTGAAGTGGTCTCAGATGGAGATGAGGAACTTATTGGGAACTGGAGTAAATGTAACTTGCTATGCTTTAGCAAAGAAACTGGTGGCATTTTGCTCCCACCCTATAGATCTGTGAAACTTTGAACTTGAGAGAGATGATTTAGGGTATCTGACAAAAGAAACTGCTAAGCAGCAAAGCATTTATGAAGTAACATGCCTGTTTCTGAAAGTGTATGCTCACATGTGTGAACAAAAAGATGACTTTAAACTGGATTTTGTATTTAAAAGAAACACAGAGCATAAAAGTTTGGAAAATGTGCTGCCTGGCAGAATGTGGTAGAAAAATAAAAACACATTTTCTGGGGAGAAATTCAAGCCTGCTAGAGAAATTTCCATAAATAAAGAAGAGCCAAAGGTTAATAGCCAAGACAATAAGGAAAATGTCTCCAGGTCACTTCAGAGACCTTCACAACAGCCTCTTCCATCACAGGCCCAGAGGTCTAGGAGGGAAAAATGGTTTCATGAGCCAGGGCCAGGGCCCAGCTGCTCTGTGCGGCTTTGAGACATGATGCCCTGTGTTTCAGCCACTCCATCCCCAGCCATGGATAAAAGAGCTCAAGGTGCAGCCCAGGCTGTGGCTTCAGAGGGTGCAATCCCCAAGACTTCATGGCTTCCACGTGGTGTTGGGCCTGAATCTGTGCAGAAGGCAAGAGCTGAGATTTGGAAACCTTTGCCTAGGTTTCAGAGGATGCATGGAAATATCTGAATGTTCGGGCAGAAGTCTGCCGTGGAGATGGAGCCCTCTAGGGCAGTGTGCAGGGGAAATGTGAGGTTGGAGCCCCCACACAGAGTTCCCACTGGGGCACTGCCTAGTGGTGCTGTGAGAAGAGGACCACTGCCCTCCAGACCTGAGAATGGCAGATCCATTGACAGCTTGCACCATGCATCTGGAAAAGCTGCAGGCACTCAATGCCAGCCTGTGAAAGGAGCCATGGGGCCTGTACCCTACAGAACCACAGGAGTGGAACTGCCCAAGGACTTGGAAATTTATTCCTTGTGTTAGTACCTCCTGGATGTGAGACATGGAGTAAAAAGAGATTATTTTGGAGCTTTAAGATTTAATGACTGCCTTGCTGGATTTCAGGCTTATATGGGGCGTGTAACTCCTTTGTTATGGCCAATTTCCCCCTTTTGGGACAGGAGCATTTACTCAATGCTTCTACCCCATAGTGTCTTGGAAGTAACTAACTTGTTTTTCATTCTACATGTGCTTAGGCAGAAGAAACTTGCCTTATCTCAAATGAGACTTTGGACATGGACTTTTGAGTTAATTCTGGAATGAGTTAAGATTTGTGGGTACTGTTAAGAAGGCATAATTGGTTTTGAAATGTGAAAATGACATGAGATTTGGGAGGAGCCAGGGGTGAAATGATATGGTTTGGCTTTGTGTCCCCACCCAAATCTCATGTTGAATTGTAATTCCCAATTTTGAAGGAGGAACCTGGTGGGAGGTGGGTGGTTGGATCATGGGGGCAGATTTACCCTATGTTGTTCTCATGATAGTGAGTTAATTCTCACAGATATGATGGTTTAAAAGTGTGTGGCACTTCCCCCTTCACTTGCTCTCTCTCCTCCCACTATGTGAAAAAGGTGCTTGCTTCCCCTTTGCCCTTCTGCCATGTTTGTAAATTTCCTGAGGCCATTCAGTCATGCTTCCTGTTAAGCCTGTGGAACTATGAGTCAATTAAACCTCTTTTTTTTTTCATTAATTACTCAGTCTCAGGTAGTTCTTTATAGTAGTAATGTGAGTATGAACTAATACAATGGACAACTACACAGCCATAAAAAAAAATCATGTGCTTTGCAGCAGCATGAATGCAGCTAGAAGCCATTATCTTAAACAAATTAATGCAGGAACAGAAAACCAAATATTGCATCTTCTCACTTAATAAGTGGGAGTTAGACAATGAGTACACATGGACACAAAGATGAGAACAATGGACACTGGGGACTACTAGAGGAAAGTGGAGGGAAGAGGGATGAGTGTTGAAAAACTAACTGTTGGATACTATGCTCACTATCTGGGTGACAGGAACATTCATATGCCAAACCTGAGAAACACAAAATGTACCCATGTAACCTGCGTATGTACCCCTGAACCTCAAATAAAAGTAAAACAAAGCAAAACAGCTTTGAGCCTTGCCTATAAGCCCATTTATTACTCCTGGTGTTCCAGAAGTGGCATAATTTTAAAGAAGAAAACATGAGAAATTTAAAATAAAATGCTTCCTGGGGCATAATGTCATCCTACTCCACCTTCCAATGATCATTTTTTGATTCCTTTCACTGCAAATTACTTCAAAAGCATGGTCTACACACCTCTTCTCCACTGCTCTCTATGTTCTATTCATATGCCATTGCCACACTGTTGTAATTATTGAGTTACATAGTGGTTGACAGGGCTTATCTCCCCCTCCTCTCTTCTTTATTTTTTTAGAGCTTTCATTGCTATTTATTTTTATTTCTTCTCATGGAAACTAAAATCAGCACATCTAGTTTCAGAATAATTACCTACTCTTTCTTTTTTTATTTGGATCACATTTATTTTATAATTTATACAGGGGAAAATGGACATCTTTATAATCTTCTTATTCAAGAACATGGTGTATCTTTCTATGTATTGATAACCTCTGCTGTGTCCTTTAGTAGTATTTAAGATGTATTTTATATAGTTACTCATTCTTGTTTAATTTGTTCCTATATATTTTATCTTCTCTAGTGTCATTATAAGTTTGCTTCTTTCTTTCCCACTGTATCTTCTGTTATATGTGTATATAAAAAATTGATTTGTGTACATTTATTTTATATGTTGGTACATTTCTGAATTCTAGTGCTTTCTCCTCCTTTTCAAATTTCATAATTCTATTTTGTTTAGCTTTATTTGTTTGCATTGTCTAATTACATTGACTGTTTCATCTAGTTGAATATTAAATATTAATTTATGATATCTAAGCATTCACATCTTGATCCTAACTCCAGGAACAAAGATTTCAATATTTCTGTCTTGATATAATACTGACATTGGGGCTGATTTAAGTATCTCTGATCATGTAACCAAGTTTCAGTAAATTCTTTACTTGTTTTTATTTTTTAAAATTAACTGTATTTGTTGAATTTTGTCAAATGCTTTTCTACTATCTTCAGTGATGGTTATTTGGTATTTTTTATCCTTAATGTTAGTAATATAATGCATTAAATTAATAAATTTTTAAATTTTGTTTCATCCTTGGTTTCTTGAAATAAATCTTACTTGGTCATAAAATATCTTGTAACATGCATTAAATTCTGTTTGCCAATATTTTACTTACTTTTTATTGATCAATATTCATAATCGTACCTTATAACTGCAGCCCTCTTAGTCTTTTTACTCATGTCTTTGTTTCTTTGTCACTCCATTAGGGAACCCACCTGATCACCTGATCAAAGGCAATACTATTCCTTTACAATAAGTAGTTGCTGAATGACTGAATGAATCTGTAGGTAGATCTAAGGTTCAGGTAAGGTTCTTTATTTATTGTCCCACCACACTTTTCAAAATAAGAATAAAAATGAAAGAAAAATAAAATAAATTCCCTTTGCATTTGAGTTGAAATAGGTTGCTTGTTTGTTGGGTGTATCCTTCTTTTGTAGAGCATGGATGTGCAGCCAGGAATGCAGACTTTGTAAAACTCTCTGAAGTCAGCAGATACATGGCTCCACTGTGAGACCTATAGTGTTCCTACCATACACAAGCAAGTAAAGCAAATGGTCCATGTGAGGGCGACATGAGATAGATGTGGATTTCTGTCATCTTACTTGTTATAATTTCATCCTTTTTCTCTTGCATGCTGTAAGCTAGTTGCACACTAGTTTGCATACTGTTTATAACACTTTTGGAATATAGCATGGGAGTTTTCATCCAAGGGAGGTGTTGTATCTGGGTCATACTCTGAAGTTCTTTGATATAGCCTCCAATTGGAACACAGAAAATTTCATTTTGTGCTTGAAAACAATGATACCAGATCTAACTCAACTGCTTTAAATAACTACATCTACTTCTGTGAGCTATGTTGAAAAACTATTTGTGTAGTTTGAACTGTAGCTTTGAATGCTGTCTTTCATAGATTCAAGAGAAAGTTGCATAATGCAAAGGATTTAGTTTAGAAATGTCAGTTTGAAAGTAAACTGAAACATATTAGATTGTAGAATACCACTTAAACTGCTGAAGCCCTATGAAGGAATGCTTTCTTATATTGTAATGTTCCTACTATTGTGCTTTTGAAGTAGAAGATGCTCAATACACTTTATTGATTTAAATTTATTTAATAATCTCTTCTCTGTTATAAGATAACATTATTAGCTGGACATTGGGAATTTATTACCATTGGTTAGTATATATTATACTTAGATTTTGTTTTGTTTTGTTTTTTAACAAAACAAAGCTGACAGCAAATACACAATAGGTAGCATCTGTATTGACTGGTTGGTGCCTATGTAATACTACTACATATTTTCACTTTCCCCTCTGAATGCTTGAGTGTTTTTTTGTTTTTTGGTTTTGTAACTAAATACAAGTACTTTGCTCTTATATGATGTTATTCTTATGTTATTTTTATCAAATATCAGCATTAGTAGGTCATTTTAATGGTTTCCCTGCCTCCTCTGAGTGCTTATAGTCTAATTATAGTTATATTTATAGTTATATTTAATGCCTACCTTAATTTCATAGACAAGTGTATTTAATTAACATTCTTGATAACAGTATGTACTAAATATTTCCTGTATTCTGAATATCACAATTATTTTGCTGTCAGAATGATGTTTACCTTAAAAATAAATGTCCAAACCCAACTGTGTAGATAATAATAATGCTCACATATTTTGTGCTGTACTTGCACCAAGTTTATATTTAAGCTGATATCTTTTCAGATTTGTTTCTTGAGTTTATGATATTATTATTTTAAATAATTCTCCATGTAACAAACTGATGGGTATTTTAGGACTTACCTTTTTAAAAATAAACTCTAATAATTGCAGATGTGAATGTCTGGTGTGCATAAAAGAAAAGTCATGGTCTTCTGAAGGTATTTATTCTCAAAGATTCCTAGAGCTTGTCAACTTGAGAAAATAGCTTATGTTTTTGAGCCACAGTATTATTACCCATGAAAAGAGCGTAACATTTTAACAAGCTTAATACTATGTCAATAATATAGTAAATATCAATATACTGTGGCTATAATACACTGAATATCTCAAACTGACATTTCAAACTCATAAAATAGATCTGAAATAAATATTTTTCATATTCTGAAAGTGAAACATTAGATTTATGAAAAGCCTAAGACATAAGCATTTCTTACATATCATCAACAACTATATGAAAATCAATGGGTAAATTAGGGAGAATAGAAGAAATAAAACTCCAAAGAAGAATAGAGTGTCACAGTGATGCGTGTTGCAAATAAACATTATCATATTGCAGATATTGGGAGCTAAAAATAATATCCACATGTAGAGTTTTTAAAGTATTGTTTAACAAACACTTACCCTTACTATCTGCATCGAGCTTTTATATTCTTACATTGTTCCTGTTCTCTCCACATGTACTTCTGTGAGTTAAGATGTAAGACTTTAAAATGGTGTAAAATTTAGAAAGATTAGGGGATCATTTCTAGTGCAACCTTCTGGGTTACTCATTTTTATTTGTTTATTTTCTGTGAGACATTTTACAACTAAGTTGTGAAAAATGAATAATAATACAAATGCAAATTCCTTGTTTTCAGTAGAATGCAATTGATTATTGCCCACAGATAGACTTTTTTTTTTTATCTATTTGTCAATCCACTTCAGCATTTCTTATCTGCTTGTATTTGTGGGGTATTTTGAATTCTCCTTGGAATGTTATAACATCTTACAGGCTCCCTCATTAGCTAATGAGTTAAACAAAATCTTTGAAATGCGTTCATTTTATATTTGTATGAGAATCATAATTATACCTTCTTTTTAAGATGGATTAAAGACTTAAATGTAAGATGCAAAACTATAAATAAAGAAAATCTAGGAAAGATTCTTCTGCCTAGGCAAATAATTTGTGACTAAGTCCTCAAAAGGAAATACAACAAAACCAAAAATAGACAAATGAGATAATTAAACTAAAAAGCTTTTACACAGCAAAATAAATCATCAACAAAGTAAGCAGATGACCTACAGAATGGGAGAAAATATTTGCAAACAATACATCCAACAGAAGGTAAATATTCAGAATCTCCAAGAAACTCAAACAATTCAACAAGAAAAACCAAATAACCCTATTAAAAAGTGGACAAAAGACATGAACAGACATTTTTCAAAAGAAGTCATACAGGCAGTCAACAACCACATGAAAAAATTGCTCAACAGCGCTAATCATCAAAGAAATGCAAATGATAGCCACCGTGAGATACCATCAGAATGGCCATTATTAAAAAGTCAAAATGCAACAGATGTTGGTGAGGATGTGGAGAAAAAGGAATGCTTATACACTGTTGATGGCAGTAAATTGGTACAACCTTTATGAAAAACAGCATGAAAATTTCTCAATCAACTAAAAATAGATCTACCATTCAATCCAGCAATCACAGTACTGGGTATCTACCCAAAGGAAAAGAAACTATTATATCAAGAAGACACCTGTACTCGTATGCTTATTGCAGCACTTTTAACAATAGCAAAGTCATGGAATCAACCTAAGTGTCTATCATCTGGTTATTGGATTAAAGATGTGATATGTGTGTAGGTATAGATACATATATACATGCACACACTATGGAATACTACTCAGTCATAAGAAAGAATAAAATTATGTCTTTTGTGGCAACATGGTTGGACGTTGAGACCATTATCCTAAGTAAAATGACTTAGAAACAGAAAGTAAAAAAAAAACAAAAAACAAAAACACATGTTCTCACTTATAAGTGGGAGCTAATTGGTGGGTACATATGAACATGCAGAGACGAATAATAGACACTGGAGACTCTAAAAGGTGGGAAGGTGGGAGGAAGGTAAGCGAAGAAATACTACCTATTGATTATAATGTATACTTATTTGAGTGATGGTGACACTAAAAGCCCAGACTTTACAATACATCCATGTAACACAACTGCACTGGTACCCCTAATTATAGATAAATAAAATAAAATAAAGATTCTCTTTAAACACTTCTTTCTCTTTTTTTCTTTCTGCCATTTGATATAAAAATACACAATGGAATCTGTAATAGATAAAGAAAATAAGTCATCATACATTTTCAAGTTTCTGGGCTCCTTCCCCTTCTTTTTAAATAAAAAGGAATTGGCATGCATTGTAGTTTATTTGGATTTTTTAAGTCTTACATGTTTTTCAAGAAAGTGAACAGTGGATTCCCCTGATAGAGCAGTGTTATATGCTTTGACAGAGTAATGTACCTCATGAATGATATAATCTTAGGCGTCTCTTTCTTATTGGCTCCGAGAAGTGAATCCTAAGAAGCAAAGACATTTTTTTCATTTTGTTTCTCTTTTTAAAAAATTTTTCACCTATCCCCTTTAATAATTTCGTGTTTGCTTGGGGTTTTGGTTTGTTTTCATTAGGAAATTATTTTGCATTGGCGGCAGCAGTGATTGGGAATTTAGTTTCATTCTCTGATATTTGTTGATCATTGTAAATGGATTAATAAATTATAGAGCTCTATTCTTTATTGGATGAGAGACAAAGAGATTCTGATTTGCTAGTCATTTTTTCTTTTTGTCTATTTGTCTATGTTAACCCCAAATTATTTAACATTTTTATGCCCATCTGGAACGAGAATGGCTCTGATGGACTCTGATAGACTAATAAACTTTTGTTTTTCTGAGTTGCTTGTGTTTTTGAGCTGTGGCTAAAATTGTAGACTGAATCTATACACTCTTTGTATGTCTACATATAATTTGGCATGGCCTTTACCTCTCCTTGTGTGAGTGTTTAATATTTGCCTGTCTTTGGGGATTATTAATGACACATAATCTCTTAAATAGCTTCATTTTTATTGGCTTACAAAGATAAATAAATACTTACCTGAAATTAATATTTCAGAAAATAATGAAATTGAACTTCTAATTACTTTAAATGTGCTATACTTAATATCTATATTCATTAAGAAACATGCTAAGAATCTGAGAAACTAAGAAACATTTAAAGAATGCAAGTTTCTTATTAAGGTAAATCACTGGCATATGATATTAGCATATTAATTTTGGTTCAGTAAACACAACTGTCTTTTTCTCTCATTTATTAGTATTAATGATCACAGAGCATACATTATATCAACATGGGTTTGTTTGTCATAAACTTATTTAGGCTTACTGATCCAGTAAGCTAACATTACTTCTACATAATGTTTAAGATCATAAATATATATCTGTGTTCTACTGAATTGAATTATGGTCATGACTCATTTTTAATTTCAGCAGTAATTATATTTTGTGGTACATCAACTTGAAGAAAATTTCCAAGATCTTTAAGTGATTTAAAATCTTGGACTGATATTAAATCTTGGACTGATATCCATTGAGTTAATGGAAAATCACTGGATATATGGTTAATTTCTGTGTAAGAAAATATTGAACAATTCCTTTCTAAGCATAATTTTAAGTTTTTGCTTGCCATTTTTATGTATATAGAATCATTTTTTCTTTGGGTGGCATTCATTTTTGCCACTTTGTAATGGTGTAAAAGGGACGTATGTAGCTGTAGAAAATCATTTTATTTGTATTCATGAGCTTTTCTTATCTGCTAAATTGCTTGCATATAACAAACAGTTCTCAATTTTTATACCCCAGTTCTCTCTGAAATAGAAGTTGGTTACTTTGATTAAAAGTTACAATTAAGAAAAATGCTTGAGACTACAGTTAGGGGCAATAGTGACAGACTTTTGCTTTGTGTTTGCTTATTTTGTTTCTGGGTTCCTTTATACTTTGCGGACTTAGTGAGGACCTCAAAGAGCTTCTCTTTCTGGATTCTGTTTATTGGTACTTATTGTATTAGTAAATAAAAGAGAAATTTAGAAATATATTTATATTTTGATCAATTTGAAAATAGCCATGAGAAACACATTGCATATTAACAAAAATAATATCTTAGTGATAATATAAAATTGGTTATTACCTCCTGGGTTCTCTGAGATCTCTTCTAAATTACTAGTTTGTACAGAATAATAAAGAACATAATGGAGAACAAAACTTGCAAAATAAATTTTATTTCCATTAGTTTATAAGACCTGTCTGCAAAGAAGCCACGGAATATGTTAAAATGTTAGCAGAGTTTGTGCAATCTTGTTTGCCCTCAGGGTTGGTTCCTTGGTTTACTGAATATATTCAATATATTGAAACAATATATTATTTAATTTCCGTGTAATCTGCCTAGACAGAATAGATTTCAAGTCTTATCAAATTAATTTTTTATACTTTAGGTTGACATTGCTTATGTCTTTGATCAAACAAAAACAATAACAAAACCATAAAAATGACCACAAAATTTCCCCAATTATGAAGAGACTAAAATGTTTTTAAAAATGTGTTACCAGGTACTTCATTTTAAAATATGTACTGTTTCTTTGATTAAATAGGTAAACAAATATTGTTTCTCAGGCTCCCATAATCATATCTTAAATGTCCAAATTTCCTTTGATATCTTTTAAAAATTTTTGCCTTTCTAAAAATCTGATTTTATATATATACAAAAAGCAAAATAAAATTTCAAGACATATTTTACACTTAAAACTACTATTGACATTTGCCAGAGTGCCCTGGAAATTGCAAAAAATGTATTCTTTCACCTGATAAAAAATATGCAAGAGGCCGGGCATGGTGGTTCACGCCTGTAATCCCAGCAATTTGGGAGGCCGAGGCAGGCAGATCACCTGAGGTTAGGGGTTGGAGACTAGCCTGGCCAACATGGTGAAACCCTGTCTCTACTGAAAATACAAAAATTAGCCAGGTGTGGCGGTGCACGCCTGTAATCCCAGCTACAAGGAGAATCACTTGAACCCGGGCAGTGGAGGTTGCTGTGAGCCAAGATTGCGCCACTGCACTCCAGCCTAATTGTTTGCTTTATGGAAAGTCCTTAGAAGTTTATCATTGCACTCCATTTCCATAATATATTTTAATCTTTGAGGAAACACTGGTAAAAAAAATTTGCCAAGTTTTCCTATAGTTATCACTGTTCTGGCAGTGCTTTGCCTGATGAGATTAGACAACAATAAAATGTTATCAGTCATAATTTCAGTTATTATTTAAAACATTGTTTGACTACAGTCTTACTTCTTTAATTTGAATCTAGTATCTATTACACCAGTGGTCCCAAACGTTTTTGGCACCAGGGACCAGTTTTGTGGAAGACAGTTTTTTCAGGGACGAGGCAAGGGATGGTTTCTGGATGAAGGGATGAAACTATTTCACCTTACATCATCAGATATTAGTTAGATTCTCATGAGGAACTGACAAACTAGATCTCTCACATGTGCAGTTCACAATCGGGTTTGAGCTCAGCCCCACCTCTGCCTCCCTCCCATGCTTGTTGGCACCCAAAGTCCAGAAGGGGCAGAGGTGGCAGGGGGCTGGTGTGTCAGCGCTGCCCTGAGTGCATGTACACCCTGCCAGATTGTGACAGCACCCAGGCTTGGCCACAACTCTGCTCTGCCTTGGAGTTGGCACTGGGAGTAGGGACAGGCCAGGGAGTGGGAGCAGGCACTTCCAAGCCTGTGGGGGAAGGGGACTTCCCAAGCCCCTGAGAGTGTAGGGATGCCAGGTCTGGAGCCATGGCTGGGCAGCTGCAGCTGCGCCCAGGGGCACAGGAATCCTGCCCTGCCTACTCAGTAGGGGGCAGGTCTCCTGCCTGTTCCTGGCTGCCATCGGCTTCAAGGATACCGCAGCCCCGGCTGCAGCCAGCATCTTAGCAGAGGCTACTCCAGACGGGCTGCCACTGCCATCACTACTGTGCAGCCAGGGTTCCTAAGAGGGCATAGACCCTATTCTACATCAGTGGTTCTCAACTGAGACAGACTTAGTCATGAAGGTTTAGAAAACTAAAGATAATACTTAGGTCTTATGCCAAACTTACTGCATCACTTTGCTTAATGTTCTTTGTATAAAAATACATCTCAAGATTATTATGTTATAGCTCAATGTGTATTTCATTTTGTCTATTTTTAAAAAATGGATTTGTTGTTTTTCTTCCTACAGGAACAACTACATTTTCTTCTCAGTTGCATTATTATTCTTATTAAGAACCTGCATTAGAACTTTTACTTTTGAAAATTTTCACTATTAACCACAGACATTGTGATTTCTGTCATACACATATTATATCTGATCATTTTGTTTTACACTGATGCTTTCCCTGATGCTCTGCTGTAAGCTATAGACAAGAGTTTTGTCTTTAATACTGAAGGATAAACACACAAGCCCTTGGGAAAAAAAATTACAAGGCACTTCAGACTGTTGGCATGTGAAAAAACAGATGCATGAGTACGCGCTTGCACTTTCCATATAAGTGGAGTGAACCAGGATTTTGAGAGCATTTTTTCTCTGGTATCTGGCTTTTTTGGTTGCACAGGAGATGGCTTCATGAGATTGCTAATCTGAGATCCAGTTGAACAATAATTAATTTCATAAGACTGAAACAATTGATGAGGGCAATTTTATTGTGTTACTTGTGTGAAATGTTGATTTTGTTTTCATATTCTACTTACTGGATATATAGCTCAAACTCTTCTGTCTCATCTTAAGATCTCTAATCCACAATAATTGTATAAATATTGCTTTTAAAGTGAAACAATACATTTAGAAATAATAGTAGATTCTAACTTACCCTCAGAATTTTAGGGGAAAAAACATATTAAATATCCTTACTTTTCATGATAATATAGTTAATTGCATAAATCCAGTAAGAATGTACCTTCCTTTCTACCAGTATATAATAGGACAAATGGATTATACACTAAAGGACTTATGTGGAGTGTCATATATCAGAATAATGGTCATCAAATTATGCTCATATTGGGGAACAAAGTTTGACTATTTTATGGAGCCAATGCCCATAATGCTTTCCCAGGAAAACTGGCCTGGTATCTAAATCGCCTGGTAACTGGCTACACGTCCCAGCCTTATAGGTGATAAGGAAGGTCAATTTCAGGAATGCTAGAGATTACAACAAATTTTAGGGACTTTGAGGAAAAAGAAATATATTCAAATTTATAGACATAGCAGATGAAATCTGATAGACTTCTTGTGCATAGTTTATTACTGTCAAAGATAGCAAATAATATAGGCTTTCAAAAATCCAATTCAATATTCCGTTTTAAAACTTCCAGGCAGAAGTTAAATTTGTAACCATAGTGGTTGCTCAGTACTTTATAGTTAACAAATTAGATAAATTAGATGAAATGGACAAATTTCCAGAAGAAAACAAACTACTGAAACTGGCTCAAGAAGAAATAGACAATCTAAATAGACCTATATTAAGTAAAGATTAAATCAGTAACTAGACAACTACCTATATCTGGCTAGGGCCTAGATAGCTTCACCACTGAATTTATTAAAGAAGAATTAATACCAGTTATTCACAAATTCTTGCAAACCTGGAAGAGAAGGGACTACTTTCCATAACTTTCTAAGAAGTCAGTATTACTCTAATATCAAAACTACACAAATCTCAGCACTTTTGGAGGCCAAAGCTGATGGGTCAGTTGAGGCCAGCAGTTCAAGACCAGCCTGGCCAATATGGTGAAATCCTGTCTCTACTAAATATATATGTATATATTTATATTATATATTTATATTTATAGTATATATACTATAGTATATATTTAGTATATTCTGCAAGAGATCCAGAATAGCAAAAACAATTGTGAAAAAGAAGAATAAAACAGAATTCATACTTTCTGATTTCAAACTCACTACAAACAAAGGTAATAATGACAGTGTGGTTTGAGCACAAGGACAGACATATATATATATATATATATATATATATATATATATATATATATATATATATATATATATATGAAATAGAATTTTAAAATAAACCCATGAATCTATGGCTGATTGCTTTTTGATAAGGATGCCAAGACCTTTCAATGGGGAAAATGGTCTTTTCAACAAATGATCCTAGAACAAATAGCCACATTCAAAAATATATGAAGCTAGACCCTTACCTCACACCACATACAAAAATTAACTCAAAATGGATCAATGACCTATAATTTTCTATAAATTTCTTAGAAGATTTTATAGGAGTAAATCTTCATGATTTTGAATTTGGCTAAGGATTCTTAGATGTGACACTAAAAGCATGACCAACAAAAGAAAAAAATGTACTTAATAAATAATTGTTACCTTTTATGCATCAAAGGACACAATTAAGAAAGGGACAAGACAATTCACAGAATGGGAGAAAGTATTTGCAAATTATCTGAAAAGAGACCTATACATATATATTTGCAGATGTGAGTGTGTGAGACTATATATATATACATATTGATATATATATATATCAATAATAAAAAGACAACCAAATTAATAATGGACCAATAATCTGAATAAATATTCCTCCAAAAAAGATTACACATGGCCAATAGATGCTTGACATCTTTAACCATCAGAGAAATGAAAATTAAACTACCAGGTACCATTTCACATCCATTAGGATGTCTAAAATAAAAAAGACAGGTAATAACAAGTGTTGAGAAAAATGGAGAATTCAGAACCCTTCATACACTGCTGGTGGGAATGTAAAATGATCTGGCTGTTTTGCAAATGTCCTGAAAAGAAATGAAAACTTTTTTACAAACAAAAACTTGCAAACAAATGTTTATAGGTATATTATTTATAATAACCAAAAGGTAAAAGCAAAACAAACATATCCATCAACAGACAAATGAATAAATAAAATGTGGTATGTTCACCCAATGGAATAAAAGGAAACATTGATACATGCCAAAACATGAATGAATTTTAAAAACATAAGTGAAATCATTTAGTCACAAAAGGTCACATACTATATGATTACAATCATATGAAAGTCTAGAATAGGGAAATCTGTTGAGACAGAATGTAAATTAGTGATGTTTATAGCTGAAATGAAAGTAGAGATAGAGGGATAGAGAAGTGATGGCTAAAGGATACACTGTTTCTTCTCAAGGTCATAAAAATGTAATGAAATTGGTGATGGTAGCGTGTCTCTATGGATGTATTAAAATATACTCTACTAATATACTAAAAACTGCTTTGAATATGAAGTATTATATGATATGTCAAGTATATCTCAATGAAGCTGTTAAAAAGTGCACTATGGTTCTAGATTTGTAAAACCAACTTGAGGAGGTCTATATTGTAATTAACACTCTCATGTACCTATCTCAACAATAGGCCAAACCTTATTAAACTAGCAATATTTTTAATCAAGAATATTCTTTCTTTGAGATTAGTATAATCACAAGGAGGAGAGATTATAAGAAAAAAACACAAGTGTTTTAAATGGGCATTTTCTCCAGAAAACAGAAAATGATGTACATTATTATTGATCATAAAAATAAAAATTAGTTATTAAGTGGAATGCAACTGATTATTGCCCTAAGGATAGAGTGGTTTTGCACTTATTTATAAATTTATTTCAACATTTTTAATATTCTCATATAGTGTGATATTTTGAATTCTCCTTTGAATTTTTGTAACATCTTACTTGTTCCTTCATTAATTAATGAGTTAAACGAAATCTTTGAAACATTTTCATTTTATATTTGTGTGAGAGCCATGAATATGCCCTCTTTAAAAATTACCTTTAAATACTTATTTTTCTTTCTAATATTTAAACAAAACTACAAAATGAAATATAGTAGATAAAGGAGATGAATTTCTGAACATTTTCTTATTTTGAGACATCCTTTTTCTTCTTTCAGCATAAGAAGGAGTTTGCATCCATTGTAGTATAGTTGGATTTTTTTAGTTTGAAAAACAAATCATGACTTTTTCTTAATTGGTTTATTGAATTCATTTACTGGTTTACTGAAGACTTTAAAGAGGGCAAAAGATATATTTTGTTAAGAGATTTGTTAATTTTGAGAAGTATCCCATTGATTACTGTAAGAATTATGTTTATAAATTAGATTATTTGGCACTGTAGTAAATATCAGTGAAAATAAACTTTAACTCATAACTTTAATATTTTCATACAATCAAAAAATAGAGATATACTCTAGGCATAACATAAATTGTTATAATTGATCAGAATATCTTGAATATATTTTTACAGATAACTAGTGGTTTCTACTAGCAGATTAAAACCAAGAGAAAATTAAAAGTAAGTTCACATTTAAAAAAAATTATAAGCAATAAATACAGCACTACAGCCACCACTAATTCTATATACATTGGATTACATTTAAACAAACACTGCATTCCAGAATGAATATTTTATGAATAAATGCATTGGAAATTAACTTTAGGAAATAAAATGACAAATTAGAATTTAGAAAATTAAAATATGACTTTCACAAGTAATCACAGTAAAATGCAGATCTACATTTTAAAAGCTAGAAATTTCCCCAAATTTATTTTTTTGACAGCAAAGAAGTTTGCTTTAAAAAAAGTGTCAGATTTACTTTGCTTTATGAGTATGATACAAAGATATTAAGTAGCATTTAGCTTTTGAGAAATCTAACATTTAAAACTATTCTAAAAATATATGGGTACAAAACTAACAGTGATTAATCATGAATGACTGCTACGCCTCAAGACTCTACAACAGACAAACCCTGGCTATAAAATAAATCTGATCTAGAATTAATATTATAAAAGCACAACAAAAATACTTGAAAATTACATGTTTATTTTAATATAATCTCTGATCATTCAACATTTTTTACTGTCACTTCTACTGTCAAGATGGTTGAGAGTTGACAGTTTGTCTAGAAGAAGGCTGATATATGTCAACATGGTCAGCAAAGGATTTAAATATGGGTCTTTGAATAATAAATAGCTAATAATTGAGTTTATTAAAATGAATTTTTGTATAATTTAGGCAGTTGAAGGTCTAGAACAGCCTGCGTTCCTTTCTATGGCAGCTTGCTATGAAATTCATGTTTCAAACAAAACAATACTTTTTCATGCATAGATAAATTATAAATGTACTGACCAGACCATTCTATATGTTAATTCTTACGAATTTAGATAATTTGTCTTAGCAATTTGAAATAAGTTCTGAACTCACCATCTATTGACATATTGACAGCTTAAGAAACAACTTATGATGAGTAATTTGTTTCATCCATTTTAATCAGATTGACACACTTAAAAAACAGATACCCATGACTTTTCCCAAAATTGACTTTTACTAATTGAAGTCATTCTTGTTCTTTAGAGATTTCAGCGGAAAATAACATTAGAGAAACTGAATCCCATGCAAATTTCACTTTAATTCATTAGCAAGGTTTTCTTCTATCTTTATTTAATAAAGTCTGACAATAATTCAGTAAGATCTGACAATAATTTTTTCTCAATGATATATTCAAGTATTTCCCTAATTTGTATTATATACAGTAGCTCTATTAAAATATTAAAGCATTGTATATGGTATATATAGTATCCTTCTAGTTTTTTATATTTCTTGAATAGCCTGGGACATTTCCAAAGCTATATATCTTCACATAGTAAAAGTCAGTAAAGTAATATTTTAATGGGGTAAAATCTATAAAAGTAGCAGATTGGTATTTATCACAGTAGTTGTTTAAAATTTCTGGATTAGAATGTGAGTTCATTGTCAAAATGAAAAAAGAAATATGTCAAACACACCTATTATTAAGGTATGAGTTATCAAAACAAATATATTCAATAAAATAGTGACCTTGTGTTTTTAAAATAAATATATCTTATGATAGATGTTTCTGTTCTCTTAGTTCTCAAACAGACTTCTGATGCTGGCATCTGGTTGTCTTTAAAATATTTACCAAATATAGCATTCCAGACTCTATTTTATTTAAAAAATCAGCCCAGATACAGTATCAGATATTAACATACACACATTGTTGCATTATATATTTGCTTTAAAAATTACATAGGTTGTATGTATTTGATTTGAGACTATAAAATAAAATAATGGAGTATTTACAAGCTCATTTTTCACAATTTCTTTTTACAAAATTCCAAGAAAATAAGAAATCCTTCATTGATTTTCTTTATATAAAATGATTGCTAATTTGTTTATACAGTAGAAATGGAAGGGACAAAATTTATATTTACAGCTAGGAATTCCCTCCCACTGTTTGGTAAGACAGGAAGAGGTTGACAAGGTGTTTTGTAGCATCAACTAAGATGTTTTCCTAATGATATAGAAGTAGGATTGCATATTATACATCCTGTTCATCCAGTTTCCACAATGGATATGCCACAAGATATAACTGATGTGTCAGCAAATGAGTAGATCATAACAATTGTACTCAGTTGCTTTTCATAGAGAAAAGAAAGCCAGCAGGGATAATTCACTTCTGGTATTGTCCATTTGAGAGGGTAGTTACAAAAAGGACTACGGCACTCTGGGCAAAAAAAAAGTCAACTGCCCCAATCAAGATGGGATAAAGAGTTTTAAAACTAAAAGCTAATTTTCCCTTCATGTTTATAGACCTTAGCTAGGTCTCTTGGGGCAATAAGGGTAGAATCATGCCCAACATGTATGTTTAGTTTTACAGCCATTTGTTTGTGAATTCATGCAATGGTGTGCTGGAACTGGCTTACACCAGCTCAGAAAAGTTGATTGTGCTTTTCTCCAATTCCACACTTGGTGATGTCAGGTTAGTAGCGTCACATCAGGCATAGTGGGAGTATTTACTGACAAACATTACAAACCAGGATTTCTTTTTTCCCACATAGAGCTGGATGTTACACTCTTATCAACACACTACTAATTTCATGTGAAGGCTCTTCTTTATGACATTCAAAAAGTCATTTAATATTGAAGTCTTCTGGCTACAGAGTCATGGGTCCAAGTCCTTGAGTTAGGAGAAGCACAAAACAGTGAGACAACCATCCTTCTATTTTCAATTATATAAATTTTCTGGTTTTAAGAGAACATTTTCAATATCATGGATGCTTTTTCCATTTAAGTGTTCACTAGGACAGTCATGACTATAACCTGGACCATCACTGATTGTTGACACTGTGTAAGACGCACTACGAAGAGCTTCTGAGTTGGAAAAGCTGTTTCCAAATTGGATTTTGTATTGATTCCAGTTTCTTCTCAGAATTGCTTGAACCTATCAATCAAAAGGAAAACAGAAAGAACAAGAACAACCCATTAATTGAAATGAAGACACTGTTTTTGAAGCACAATTAAATAGGTCTTGGAGAAGAGCTTTTTTAAAAAAAGTTATGTTAATCAGTGAATAATATAGCTTCATTTTCTTAATTTAAAAAATTAAGTGTACCATCTTCACATTAGGAAATGTATTACAATTACATTGTACTTTACATTCCATTAATATTTTTCATGGCATGTTTTGTCTTCAAAGCTTTTATAATTCATATGTATTTATTGTTGCCAAACAAATAGGTAATCTGGACCCCCATTTACAAGATTTCATGTGCAACATTGAGTTTTATATTAATGTCTTTATTAATAGAATGAGAAGACAATTCGTGACAGGATAAGCGAAAGATACACAAAAGAAAAGAAGTTAGGATACGAAGAATACAAATCAGCAGCAGCAGCAGCAGGGCAGTAGCAGCAACCTTTGTTTCTGAGTGACTCCCATATGCCAGAAATTGTGCTACATTCTAAAAAAGGGAGCATGATATTTGTCTTCATGGAGCTTACTACATAGAGGAAAGAAAAGTGTTGAACAAATAATTATAAATCTGGTGAATATTGTGAAAAATAAATTTAGGAATGTAACCACTCCATTTTTATATATTTGAATCCTCTTCTGCTGAATAAATTTGCAGTTTAATGACTTCCTTCCCCTCTGTTTGAAGCTAGAGATCAGGGGTAGGTGGGTCCTATACAGTAAAATATTGGTCATAATGGAATGTAAGGCACAAGAGTGAATTTTCTTCATTGTCAGTCAATGGGCACAAATGAGAACATTTAAATACATCTCTAGCTCAAGTACGTTGAGGACTTTTCCATGTCTGATGAGTGAGCACACTGGCTTGGAGCAGCCTGCTTTTAGGTTATGAATGTGTTAGCCAAATCCTTGTGACCCGATCTATATCTGCCCAGAGTGGGTTTGCTTTGAATGGTCTTCCCCAAGCTCTCTATTGCTCTTTGGCTCTTTCAGTGCTTTTCCAAAGGGAATCTGAGCATCTCACAGCAATTTTCTGGTAATTCATTTTCTACGTACTGAGGTATAATTGTTTAACTTTCTACTACTTATATAGAATTCCTCAACTTTCTCTTCACTATATCCATGTATACAAATCAATATTAAATCTTTAAAAAGGGCTTACTTCTCTCTTGTTATTTCCTAGTCTAATGGATTAAAACACACACACACACACATACACACACACACAAAACCTCAATTCCTCCAATTACAAACATTCTATAGAAAATAGGTGTTCCAGGATGTCTGCAGCTTTACAGGATACTTCAGAGTTCCTGTTAAAGTATCTTATAGTCTGTCACTTAAAATAAACTCAAAGTTTTATTGTCTCATTTCATGTAGGAAAAAAGAAGGAGCAAATATAAAGCCAACAATGTGTTTAGGTAAAATTAAATGAGGTATTAAAATTATCAGTTAATTTCACTCTACTATATAGTTCAAAAATTATATAATTAAAATGAAATAACTTCGTATTGAAAGTTACATTATGATGAAGTTCAGTAACTTCAGCCCTTTCAAGCTCAATTTAAAAAATATATGGTAACCATATCTGAAGAAAACAATTTATATTCATGTAAATATGCTTTGAAAATAAAAGCATTTATAAGGCAACAAATTTATTTATCTTGCAAAAATTAAACTTTCCTCTCAATTTAGTAATATAATTCTAAATCCTCCGTATAAAATATCTAAATTCAGATAATTTAAAAATAACATCTGCATATGTAACAACCTCAAGATCATGAGCAAACTACAAATTGAATGGCTTCAGATTGTGAATTTTAAATACATATTCAGAGATTCAAAATAAAAATGACCATTGACCAATTATCTAGATACATCTGATGAGAAATATTTTTGATCCTTATTTTTTGTTTCATAAACTTCTCCTAATTTTGTTACTAAATGCTGAATTGGTTGAGTATGTAATCAATATAGTTTCTGGTTGAGGGGAAGTGGCATATAGCTTTGTATAAAAAATTCTATATAAAGTATGAGAAAAAGCTGAGAGGAAGTAATATCTTAGCTGTGAGTCTAGTACTTATAGTCTTAAAAAGGAAAGCTTAAATTCAATTTGGAAGGAAAATGGCTATTGAAATATATGACTGTTTGCTCTTAAAATATCTACTTTGATTAAGGTCATCACTCTATTTCTTCCTTGCAACTAAATCATCAGAAAAACCATAGAAAGCCAATTTCATGAACTGTGAGGTCTTACTATAGTTAAAAATAAACCTAATTAAAGATCCACAGGCCTTGTAGACTTGTTTGTTTATGTTATTTGCTCTAAGGATGTTACATTTTTCTTCTGCTTCCTCTAATACAATATCACACCTGTTAAATACGACATTAAAGCAGCTACTCTTAATAAACTTTTAATGAGAAAAAATCAGTAGGAGCAAATTTCCATTGTAAGGGAAGATAGCTGGGTGTTATTAAAGATATGAATGTTTTTATTGTTTTATGCATGACCATGTATAAGTAGTAAGGCAAATGTTTAGAATGTAACATTACAACTTTATATACCCATTAACACCCAATAAGGAACTAACTTTATACTCCTTAATGGGAATCAATTTAAAATATTTACGAAACTTTTATAAAAATTCTACGTAGTTCTCATGAAAGAATTTGGGTTTAATTGTCTGTCCTCAACAAAACTTTTTGCTCATCTTATGGAATATCTACCCTCAGGTGTTGTTAAATATAACCTTCTGATGACTAGAGTCCCTAGTTTATGATCACAGTGCACATTTTTGTCTGAGGGCACTAGGGATAAAATGAAAGTAATCCAAGCACTTGTCAAGCCACATTTATTTAACTAGTGAGAAATGCTAATAGCAAGACGTTAGCTAAAAAGTGCATAAAAGGTGGGAAAGAAAAAAACACAAATATTAAGCTAAAGGCAGGCATTTGACCTAATGTGGAAAACAAGAAGGAAACTAAGCCTGAGCAAATGATTTTAAGAAGTACATGACATAGTTGGAACAAAATGAATTTGGCAGTTGTTTCTTCATGTTATGAGAGTGGGAAAAAGTAAGAGGCATTGAGACAAAAAGGGAGGGATCACAGTATTTCTTAAGAAGAGAAATGAATCATACTGAAACAGGGATTGTATCTCCAGAGATGAAGAAAAGGAACAGATATTAGAAATGTTGTGAGGAACTGAAAGATTTGGGAACAACCTAGCTCAAACATTGTGTATTATTGTAATTTTCCAATGTCAAAATTTTCTCAATTTTAGGACATGGCAGAAGATCAAGGTTCTGTGTCCCTTTTGTTTACACAGATCGAGTGTAACAGGAGTGTTAGGCATTACTTTAGATATTCCCTGGGCACTCTTTCTAAATAAAAGAGCCAATTTGGGATTTTGATCCAAAATGATTAATGTTCCTGTTGGCACATGTGTTTTTGAAAATAAGTGATTTGACAAATCAAATAATAAGTATACTGAGAATCTCATGAAGTGGGGCATGGTGCTAAAAACTTTATCTTTCTTAGCTTGTATTTATTTTTCTGAGACCTGTGTAGAGAACTTGCTTTAATTTCCCTTTAAGAAAGATAGACACAGGCTCCTGAAATTTGCCAGCATTTGCCAAAATATCACAGCCAAGATGAAAAGTAGCATCTTTGGTGATTAAATGCATTGCTGTGTTTATTCTACACTGCCTCCTGTTACAAAATATTTTACTAGTGAGTGTGTTTTGAATATTTAAAAATTAGTTCATGGAATTAAAATCTGTTTCTGTAGATACAGAGGTCTACCTTTCCTATTTCATGCATGTTCTTTAGCATGTTGTCCATATCACTCTCATCTATATTTAATTATTACATCCTATACAAGTAGCATTTAGGGTTGTCTAATTCAGTGTATATAACATTAAATTTATAGAGGTATATAATAAAATCTATTTGAATTTTACTATCAAACAAATGATTTATCTATTTTTTGTAACTGCATTCTGTCTATGCTTCTCTGATTTCAGAAAAAGTTGCTCTTGTCTTCTGTATAGCAGAAGAATTATGGAAGTACCACTTAAATGTATGAAATATAGTCTACAATGTGTGGCAACTCTACACCTCATTACAAATAAATAAATATAGATAAATAATAATAATATAAATAAATACGTGTTGAACTTGAGATATATTTTAATTAAAAACTAAACATTGAGTTTTATTATATGTCAAGATGAGGAAGTAAAAATATTACTTAAGCAAGCGCAAATAACATGTTATAGTTTTTCATGATGTGTGCATGATTTCCAATGTTCATTTGTTTTATAGGAATGGTTGTCATAGGTTATACCAACTGGTCCCATGTGTTCCCCATCTGAAGCTTTATGATAAGCTTCACATTATCAAGTGTCTGTGTCTCACTCAGCTGCTGTCTGGATTTCTAAACTTTGTTCAATTTTGCCAAAATCCTCCTACAGGTTAAATTGTGTCGAGCAGATTAAAAACATATAAAGAGCTAAGTCAATAGAGCTCAGATTACTGAGCTATAACACATTTGTATGCATAAGAAATATGTTGGCTGGGCGCGGTGGCTCACGCCTGTAATCCCAGCACTTTGGGAGGCCGAGGCGGGCGGATCACAAGGTCAGGAGATCGAGACCATCTTGGCTAACACGGTGAAACCCCGTCTCTACTAAAAATACAAAAAATTAGCCGGGCGCGGTGGCGGGCGCCTGTAGTCCCAGCTACTCGGGAGGCTGAGGCAGGAGAATGGCGTGAACCTGGGAGGCGGAGCTTGCAGTGAGCCGAGATTGCGCCACTGCAATCCGGCCTGGGCTAAACAGCGGGACTCCGTCTCAAAAAAAAAAAAAAAAGAAATATGTTACCAGCTTTCAAAATGCCTGAAACTTCCCAAGTAGGAAACGCATGGATAAAAATCTAGAAGTACTGAAGAGTACATGGTCATGTTATGAATTAGAGCATTCTCTTCTAAATTTCCTAACCCATTGAATTTCTTCCCTGTATAACCAAGAGTTTAATTTTTAAAATCCTTTCGTATTTGCCATAAAGTTGTTTCCATAGGCTACATTGTAAGACAGGCAAAAAAGAGAAAGAGGGAAAATGAGATGATCCTATTTCTTATTTCCTATTAGAGTGTATGTTCTATGAGATTTGGGATTGCCTGGCACTGTATCTGGGGAAAAGCTCAGACTTAATGGGACTCAAAGGTATCTCAAAAGATTAGATGAATAGCATTTGAAATATTTTTAAGTGAGGTTGACTTTTCCCTGGCTTTGAACTCCAATATGACCTGAGCATTTGAGAAGGAGAGTTAAACCTATGGTAAGAGATTCTATGGTTCTTTCCCTGATGGAAACAGAATTTAACATGGTTGTTCCTGGGGAATTTATAATTTTATCTCATTTAAATACATGGATAGATAGACAGATAGCAAATATAAAATAATAGAAGGAATAAAATCAATTATCATACCTCTCCATTAAAGAAGCAGAAAATGGTAGAGACCAAAAGACCCTGTAAAAGAAAAATAGAATGATCTGAATCCAAATGGAAAGATACATGTATTTGTAATCAAATAGCTGTACAAGTAGTCAGGAGTAAACCAAAGCTATATGTATATTTAATTCCAAACTTCTCAAGCTGCCTTCTTATCAAGAATGCCATACCTGGAAGTGCATAAGGATGTGCATGATGTAGTCATATACCTCCTCTGCAATCTTTCCTTCAGGTCGCCATGGAATCAGCACAAATTCAATGCCAAGCAATGGCACCAAGATAAGAGTAGCTCTCACAGCTTTCATGTACAGATTGGATTCCGCTTGGTGTGTAACTTTTAACTTGGTGATGAGAACGCGTACAATATTTAACAAGAAAAAAAGATTCACCTAAAAACGAAATTAAATGGCATCTGAAAATCATTTCATATTTAATATTAAGAAGCATTATTCAAGTATCTCCAATTTTATAAATCTTAAAATATTTTTAATGTACAAGAATATTTTTAAAGGGTATTATTGCCTAAGGCATTAATTTATATTTCTGGAATTGTGATTTATCAATTTAACAAGTACATCAATTTTAATAAACAAGTTTTAAAAAAGTAAAATTAAATTATGGTATAATTACTGTGGAACATATTCAGTTGAAGAATATTTCAGTTTTTCTCAGCTCATTTTCACGTGCAATTAAAAAAATCTGTGGTCTAAAAACTAAAGATTTTGAACATTTTCATATCAAAGAAAATAATTGTTTATGGAAAAATGCTAATTTTTAAAGCATCCCCTCTTTATCATGTCCATATGACATACTTTCTAAATGTATATTATACCATAATAACCATTTTCATCTTTCAAACCAAAAACTTTCCTGTTTCTTCTAGTAACAATAATCTTTACAACACCTCTCCAAAGTATCACTGTAATCCTCTTTTACTTATGAGGGAACTTTGAACCAGCTGATATTCAACCCCAGTCATTCTAGAGCTAAAATAATTTGACATTCTATAAGACTTCCTGTTAATTACTGTCTGCAATGACATAATATTCACTATTTTTGTGCCTCAACAACTTTCTCGAAGAGACAGTAGTTTCTTTGGATGGGAGACATAAACCTTTGACACTCTAATGTGACTCAGCAAACAGGGTCCTACTGAAACATATTTATTTCTCTTTCTCTCGCATAATACAAGTTTATCTTTCTCTTATTTTCACCCAAGTTAGAGTTTATCTCTTTCTTATTTTCACCCAGTCAATATCTTTTACTTTGGTCCATTTTCTCTATGCCCATTCCTTATGCCTTCCATAGAATCATGAATATTAATTCCAGAAGAGCTCCATAGGGGCTAATTGCTATTCTCTTTTCTTTTTCCTCACCCTTAGTTCTGGCATCTGCCCTTTGTTTAATAATCTTAAATTTTCAATCTATGCACCAAATATAATTTATATCCACACAGTTTAAAAATTGCAAAAAATAGTAGTTTCCCATTTATTATAGAAAAGAATTAACAGAGAGCCTGCATTTGCTAAATGGACACATGTGTCATAAAAATAACTGGGCACAAAAATATTCTACCACTATTTTTAGAAAATTTAATAGAACATATGCTTCAAAAATATACAGCTCACTAAAATCCTAATGGAAACACATCTATGAAAAGCAATGTTTGCAGACACAGAAATACGATAAAGGCAAAAGCAGAATAAGCCATTTCAACAGGTGTGAGAATGAAATGTGACAAATCAACATGTCAGCTGTTATTCCACTCATCCTAATATATTCCCTTCTTAAGCATCCATTGCTCTTTAAAAAAAGATAATAATGCTCTTTTATCTGCTTAATATCAAATATTTTATAATCTTAATACATTAAATCATAAACTATAAAAAGACAGTAGAAACATTGCAATTTAGATGATCCCAATTATATGAAAATTTTTAAATGCAAAGTGCTTCTCCACATGGGAAGTCTGATTTAAAATGTGAAACTAGAAACTAGAGTTGACAATAGAGTTTATTCTATTAGCTATTTTATAAATAATTGTCTTAGAATGAATTGGATGCTATTTTTCCACACAACATAGTTTTGAGAATTATAATCCCTTCATCTTACTTTATTTTCTGTAAATATTTCCATTTACTATAAGCAAAAATAAAAGAAGAATTTTAAATTTTAGAAGAACTATGTCTGAATTTCACCCACCCTTGAGCAAAACTAGTTCAGTAGAAAAGAAGAAACCTTTAACTGACATACTCATAAAGTTTACATAGCTAGTAGGCCCATCAGGCTATTTTGATATCACAGTACCACGCTTGGGTCATGACAGGAACTGGGGTAAATCTATACAGTGGCTGTAGGACAGTTTCTGGAAGTCATTCCCAGACAATCACTTAACTATGCACTGAAGTCACCTAAATATCTGTCACTGAACCCAAATTAAATGTATCATCTCTCAACTTCCCCTCAACAGGATCTCAAAAATGCTGTAGTCACTCCAGTACCACCCTGCTCACATGGAAATGTGATGGAGGAAGTCTGAGTGGAATGACTTGTGATTAAAATATCTTATTTATAAAAATTGTGCAAAAACATATGATAACCATGAGAACAATTACTAGGGCTCTTCTGAGGAGCTTGGAATTGGCCAGGACCAAGAAGGAGCTCTGGAGCTTAAACAAGGACAGAATGATTTATCCGGACAGAAAAATAGGTTCCTAATCTTGTTTTAGGCCAACAAGATGGGAAAGTTTTAGGCAAATAATGTGGATTTTCGCTTCTTTTCTTACTGACCAGCTTGATGGGCTATATTCCTGTATTTCATCCTTACTCTTCTTCCTTAAAGTTTACATGAACAGATGTTTCCAAGGATAGTGTAGATGACGTTACATTTTGCATTTGCTAGGTGCTTTCACTTCCTGAACCTTACTGATTTAGAAGTCTGAATCATGTACCCCTCTGTGCAGCCAGATCTTTTGTAATAAAATATTGTCTTGCATTTGTTCTGGAATCTCCTGGGTAGCCCAAACGATATATTATAATTTCTTCAAGCTCTCCTCAGAGTAGAAGCATGGTATCATGCAGAAACTACAAGTGAGGAAACTTGGAAGGCATTTTTTCAAGAATTTATAATATTCTATGCACTAACTGTGCCAGATCACTTAACAGAAAGCATCTCATTTAATCCTTATAATACCCTGTGAGGTATATATTCTTATTATTCCATCATTACAGATGAGAAAACAAAGACACAGAGAGGTTAAAAACAAAATAAAACAGAAAACTTGCTCTGAGATGATACACAGGCAGCTGTGGTAGAGCCAGGATTCAGTGCTGACTCTTTTATGCACACAATGCAAAGCCAGGCAGTCTCAGGGTACAACTTAAACACAGTATGTCACTCATGCCCTTAGAATGTAGGAGAAGGAAGGGAGGCAAGTGCCTCTGCCTTTGAAATTTTCACTATAATCTACATTAAGGTATATCAAAAAATGTTATGAAAGTCATAATAAATTCTATAAGAATGGCTTAACAATGATACATTTTGAGAATGGTTTGAACAGTGATCCAACGCAACCATATACTAAACTGCAGCTAGCAAATATAGTTAAATAATAGAATATCTGTATTTAAAAAGAGTCTGAAGAGACGAATGAGGAAGCTTTGAATTTTACATGAAAAATATCACATACATACACAAGCACATATATAAATAACTTGATCGCAGCTGTAAATAAAGGGTATTTGAATAGGAGGAGAGGAAGTCAAATTGTCTGTTTGCAGATGACATAACTGTATATTTAGAAAACCCCATCGACTCAGCCAAAAAACTCCTTAAGCTGATAAGCAACTTTAGCAAAGTCTCAGGATACAAAATCAATGTGCAAAAATCACAAGCATTCCTATACAACAATAATAGACAAACAGAGAGCTAAATCATGAGTCAACTCTCAATCACAAATGCTACAAAGAGAATAAAATATCTAGGAATACAACTTCCAAGGGAAGTGAAGGACCTCTTCAAGGAGAACTACAAACCACTGCTCAAGGAAATAGGAGAGGACACAAACAAATGAAAAAACATTCCATGCTCATACATAGAAGAATCAATATCGTGAAAATGGCCATACTACCCAAAGTAATTTATAGATTCAATGCTATCCCCATCAAGCTACTATTGACTTTCTTCACAGAATTAGGAAAAACTACTTTACGTTTCATATGGAACCAAAAAAAGAGCCTGTATAGCCAAGACTAAGCAATCCTAAACAAAAAGAACAAAGCTGGAGGCGTCACGCTACCTGACTTCAAACCATACTACAAGGCCACATTAGCCAAAACAGCATGGTACTGGTACCAAAACAGATACATAGACCAATTAAACAGAACAGAGGCCTTAGAAATAACACCACACTTCTACAACCATCTGATCTTTCACAAACCTGACAAAAACCAGCAATGGGGAAAGGATTCCCTATAAAATAAATGGTGTTGGGAAAACTGGCTAGCCATATGTAGAAAACTGAAACTGGACCCTTTCTTTATACCTTATACAAAAAATAACTCAAGATGCATGAAAGACTTAAAAGTAAGACCTAAAACCATAAAAACCCTAGAAGAAAAGCGAGGCAATATCATTCAGGACATAGGCATGGGCAAAGACTTCATGACTAAAACACTAAGAGCAATGGCAACAAAAGCCAAAATTGACAAACGGGATCTAATTAAACTAAAGAGCTTCTGCACAGCAAAACAATCACCAGAGTGAACAGGCTACCTACAGAATGGGAGAAATTTTTTGCAATCTACCCATGTGACAAAGGGCTAATATCCAGAATCTACAAAGAACTTAAACAAATTTACAAGAAATAAACAATCAACGCCATCAAAAAGTGGGCAAATGATATGAACAGGCACTTCTCAAAAGAAGACATTTATGCAGCCAACAAACATATGAAAAAAAGCTAATCATGACTGGTCATTAGAGAAATGCAAATCAAAACCACAATGAGATACCATCTCACACCAGTTAGAATGGTGATCATTAAAATGTCAGGAAACAACAGATGCTGGAGAGGATGTGGAGAAATAAGAACACTTTTACAATGTTGGTGGGAGTGTAAATTAGTTCAACCATTGTGGAAGACAGTATGGTGACTCCTCAAGGATCTAGAACCAGAAATACCATTTGACCCAGCAATCCCATTACTGGGTATATACCCAAAGGATTATAAATCATTCTACTATAAAGACACATGTACACGTATGTTTTCTTGCAGCACTATTCACAATAGCAAAGACTTGAAACCAAACCAAATGCCCATCAATGATAGACTGGATAAAGAAAATGTGGCATATATACACCATGGAATACTATGCAGCCATAAAAAGAATGAATTCATGTCCTATGCAGGGACATGGATGAAGCTAGAAATGATCATTCTCAGCAAACTAACACAGGAACAGAAAACCAATCATTGCATGTTCTCACTCATAAGTGGGAGTTGAACAATGAGAAAATATGGACATAGGGAGGGGAACATCATACACTGGGGCCTGTCGGGGGGTGGGGGTGAGGGGAGGGATAGCATTAGGAGAAATACATAATGCATGTGGCGCTTAAAACCCAAATGACAGTCCCCAGAGTGTGATGTTCCCCTTCCTGTGTCCATGTGTTCTCATTGTTCAATTCCCACCTATGTTGTGGGGTCGGGGGAGGGGGGAGGGACAGCATTGGGAGATATACCTAATGCTAGATGACGAGTTAGTGGGTGCAGCGCACCAGCATGGCACATGTATACATATGTAACTAACCTGCACATTGTGCACATGTACCCTAAAACTTAAAGTATAATAATAATAAAAACAACAACAACAATGAAAGAAAAAAAAAGACCCAAATGACAGGTTGACGGGTGCAGCAAACCACCATGGCACATGCATATGTATGTAACAAACCTGCACGTTCTGCACATGTATCCCAGAACTTAAAGTATAACAACAACAACAACAAAATGAATAGCAGCTGTAACTAAAATACCACTCCTAAGGACTGTAATTGCACTATGATCTCTAATACTCTCTGAGACAAAGCATGCTAGATTGCTAGTTTGTATTAATTTACTTTCTCATTCAAATAATGTAATACACTTGTAATCCCAGCAGTTGTGGAGGCCACGGCAGAAGGATCACTGCAGCCCAAGAGTTCAAGACCAGCCTGGGCAACATAGTGAGATCCTGTCTCTATAAAAAAAAATTTTTAAAAATTATCCAAGCATAGTAGTGTATACGTATAGTCTTAGCTTCTCAAGAGCCTGAGGTGGGAGGATCCCTTAAACCCAGGAGTTGGGGGCTGCAGTGAGCTGTGATCATTCTACTGCACTCTAGTCTGGGCAACAGAGCAAGACCTTTTTTCAATTAAAATAATAAAAATAATAATAGTGTAATAAAAGCATCGAATGTGACTTCTGTTTTCCTGCAATTACACTAAAATGTCTAATTCATGCACTCACATTAACTGATAATAATTATAATGTAAAATTTGCATAGGTATTTTGTTTTTTCTTATTTGTCACCTCCCACCCCCCCCTGCTAGATTCATCCTCTATTCCTCTCTGTGCCACAGGAGGATGATGTCTGTGAACAGCTTCACCCAGACTTCCTTGCCCTGAGACATTTGCTGCATCTGGCTAATTGGAAAAACCAAAAGATAAGAGTATGGGAATAAAGATAAATTTGAGTCTTTGTTTCTGCTGCTTCTATTCTGCCAGGCTGTGGTTTTGGCAGTGGTTGTTTTTCTCTACTCAAGATCAGATCTCTTACTGGGTGACTCCTCCCAATGCTCATTTCACTGCACTAACATTTCTCTCTTCAGGTCTAGCTGTGATAACAGCATTCCATTGTTGGTCCCTAATGGCTCACCATCCCTTACTAATTAGTTCCTTTGCCTTTCCTGCGCATACATCAGATATGATACCTTCACTAAACGCTATTCATTTAAGCACTGTGAACATGCATGTCCATCTGTGTCCACTGGGACCCTGAAGGATACCATAGGCCAGATGATTCAGAAATAAAGTTGAAATGTGAGCAATGATAAGGAAAGGAGAATTTGTTACATACCAGTAAAGCAGCACAAATTGGGCCATGGATAATGTAGAGGAGATGGGTATCAGAACTGATCCAGCAACTAGAGAAAACATAATAACATTATGTTGAAAATTTTTATTTTACATTATTCCAGTAGAAATAATAAAAAGAGATTTTCTTACTTGTCATTGTAATATAAGCTTCTAGCAATGGCATGTATACAAGCAGGAATCAGTGGAAATCCTGTAATAACAAAAAAAAAAGAAAATAAATAGGCATTTTTTCTACAGATGGTATTTCAAAAATATGTAATTAAATACAAAAATTCAAAGATACTCTAGGAGCAAAAAAACTAGCCACTATATATTTGTTGAATAAACATTATTTGTATCATCAACAATACACATTATAAAGTATTAGGTATTTACATTTTTGTGTTTGTGTGTTTATGTGTGTATGTTTTCTTCTACTATAATTCATAAGTCATTTTGAATCAGTGGACTTCAGAGCTTAACTCTTAAGATGTGTTTCCTAAGCCACAAGGATTAGAAGAAATTCAGCATTCGTGTACTTTCTGTGAGATGGAATTGGCCAACATTTGGTACATTATCAGATGTGGAAAAAAGTTGAGAATCACAAGAACTTCCACTATGAGAGAGATTACTACTAGTAAGCCATTATTTGAAGAAGAGAAGAAGAAAAAAAGTGATTAATTTATGTACCAAAAATTTGGCAGCCTTTGAACATTCTAAATCAGCTCTTCCAAATATGTAATTAAGCAATGCTTTATAAAGTTAATCAGAATACACTAAAATTGTGGGTGTGCGTGTGTGTGTATATATACACCTCTGTATATGTATTTCTTTCTAGATATAGATAGTTTAGATAGATGATAGAGATATAGATAGATAGATGATAGGGTAGATAGATGATAATAGATAAGTACAACTTCAGTTTTGTTTCTGGAAACTAGTCCTGTTAAATTCATTTCTGCACTTCATATTTTGTATTATTCTAGTTATTTTTAATATGTCAGAAGTATATCACTGTTTGCTTTGTGAATAATACCACATCAGGATATTGTGTAGAAAAAATAAATCTTTTGCATGCCTTTATTCAATTACTAATCCCTCTACTCTTACCGTAAAATGACAATATTTTAAACAAATATTTTTAGAATGGAACTTCAAAGATGTTTGAACCCAATGCTCTCATTTTACACGTGGCAAAAATGAATATTCAGAATGGTACAAAGACTAAATCTTTAATTTATGATTCTACTTCTATTGTTTTAGTCACTACATATTCAGCCAAGATACCCTATTCATTGGCATATTCAATAGAAAAAAAGACACTATTATATATTGACTTGTGACTACTGAAAACAATGGATGAGTCAGTGATACTTTGCTTAAAATGTTGCAATTTACAAGAATAAGCAAAAGTTAATCACCTGATATTCTTTAAAAATGATTACTCATTGGTATATTCATATTACAAAGGAACCTGGCATCCTCCAAAGGCTTCTTTAATCCACTGAATCAACAAGTATGTATAATAACACTTACCCCAGCCAAGAAAATAATACCACATTAAATGTTGCTTCTCTGCAAACACGGCCACCACAATGAGTGTGTGTAGGTAAATGCCTTCACAGAGCATCCAAAAGTAATTACAGCCCATCAGGTAAAGATGAATGAACTGGGACACTTTGCAACTAACCTGTGAGGAAAAAAAAAACCCCAATATTTACTTGTTTATGAATTCACATGTAAAGCAATACTCTAGTTTAGCTCAGGAAACATGGAACATTCTCCCCTACACACAAAATCCTATACATTAATGATTAGGATTTGTGGAATGCCAGTCTTCGTATTCATGTAATGATGCCTTTAGTTTTTAGCCACAGACTCCAAAGATTGATAATGGTATATCTTCCAGAAAAAAAGTGTAACTTCTAAATCTACTTTATTTAGTGAATGTGTATTTTCTGAATGTGTTTTTGTTGTTATGTAATTATAAGTATAAAAGTGTCACACATAAATAACTTTACACTTATTTATATCATCATGAATCCCTTGACTGTTACATTCTGTTGGAAATAATAGTAATTTTAAAACCAATTCATTAAAAGTGCCCAAATACTTGAAAAGTTTGCATATTACATGCTCCTCATGCAAATGCTTATTAAGAAATAATCTAATACATCCATAGGTTATCCTATCCAAATATGGAGTCTGAGGGCTTTGTGTAAGTAAAAGGAGGACAAAATTATGGTTTCCCTTCCATTTTTCCTGAGGTCTCCATTTTTGCTTCTCTACTTTTAAACAGGCAGGAAGAGAGACATTCAAATTACAGTAAAGAAAACACAAAAGAGTAAGAGTGAGTTTACTCTTAAACAGGAGAATACAATTAAAGCTTTCCCAAAAATACATGACCTGTTACTCCTATTGGCTCCAGTTTCTAGTCTGAAAATCAATAAAAGTTTAGTGGCAATTATCATTATTTTTGAAATAGTTTTTTTAACCAAAAATAAAATTGAAAAGAAAATGCACTGGATTGTTAATATTGGGTCATCACAGAATAGTAATAATGGCATCTGCATAGGAGTCAGCCTAAAAATACTTTTACATATATTGTTTTATTTAATTCTTAACGGTAGTCCTATGAGGTGTACATTATCATAGGCATATATTTTATAGATAAAAAAACTTAGTACCAGAGAAGTTAAATGATTTGCTAATATTTATACATCAATCAAATCTACAACCTGAACATTCCAATTTTGTTTTCATTATATACGATGCCTCCTAACTAAAGGATATTTGTAAAACCTATTTATTCATTAAATGTATCTGCAGAATACGTAACATTAAATTTTAAATAATGTACCTGTATGTAAAACACAGCATTATATTAAAGTTCACTCAAAGGTGAAAATGAGATAGTCTACTATATGGAGAGAAATCATAAATTTCAGCTTCAACTTTTTATCTAAAGAGTTTTTAAGTATTTATATTTAATTCGGCTTCTAATTCTTGATTTCATTAAAAAAGTTAATCGATAAACCATTACAATAAAAAAGAATTAAGAGCATACTGCAGAAAAATATTTCTATGCAGGGCATTAGTAACAGAGACAAAACAAAAATATATGACAATTTATAATGTGTTTATTAAACACATCTTTGCGTACAAATATGAGATTTAGAATCTCATGCTCTGCAGCTTCAAGACAAAACTCTGAATCTCCTTGTCTTACAGAAATTCACTCTAAAATGGCAGGACATTAGCCAGATTTTTATGTTGCTAATTATACCCCAGTGTGTTTTCTAATCCAATGACTTTAGAGTGGAACATATACAAGATTAAGCAATCTGGATGCACAGGTGCAAACAATGCAGGGACTTTTAGAATTTTGAAAATTACTCTAAAAACACACATAAAACACACATGAGACTGTTTATTGACCCACTTGGTAAAAATTCTTTCCCTTCCTGATTTCAGTCACTAGATAATTTTTTCTTTTAAAAAACACTTTATATAGACACACACACACACAAAATATAGTAAATATCCCATAAACATTATAAAAGCAGATAATTTTTAAAATTTGAATGTATGTTTATGTATGCAGATATTTTAATTTAAACATTTTACATATGCATATAGCTTACACAAAATATTTACATTTAGATAAGTAAATTTTAAACTGTTTGAAAAATATGGCCTGTAAGGCAACAATTTATAAATATTTATTGAGACTGAACACTGTAGTTTTTAAAACATTATGCTATGAAGTTTAATCTTATGTAGGATATGTACAATTCATTCTTTTCCTGGTTTTATTGACTTTTTAAAGTCAGCCTGATACAAAAAATATAATTTATTTAAATTTTCCATGTGCGTGTACTATTTTTCGAATTACGCAGAGTTCATTGCTTTGAGTTTTTCATTTGGATTGAATAAATATTATGTAGTGATAAACTATTATGTGCCATAGCAAGAGGACTCTACAGCTATAAAATGAAGTGAAGATATGTGTACATGTATAAATAATTGAAGCAAAGAAATTATTACACTTTTTTATGTTCACTCTGTATCTTGGGGAATACTGAGAATACTCTGAGGGAATACTCTGTAGAGTATATGTAGCTATATTCCAATGTAGAAAGGTAAATATTTCTCAATATTCCCCAAGATATAAAGACTTGAAAATATATATATATGTCAGACTTGAAAATATACATATATGTGTACTTAATTATACACATTATGCATATATCAGCCATGTTCCCCCTTTCCCATTAGGCCCTTGAACCAAGGGCACAATCTTGGTTTACTTACAGGATTTGTGGCTACTAAGGCCTGGTTGTTGGCCACTGCAGTGAGGTGAATGATTGTTACAACAGAGTTACAAACAAATGAGAAGAACAGATTTTTGTGTAAGGTAATCCTTTGGCAACTTAGGCTCCTAAAAAGCAAGAAAAACAAGTGTGTTGACATCATGAAATGTTTTTTTATTAATCATTATTCAAATAAGATACATTCCCAATTCATAGCAGCTGATCCACTTTTGAAACAATTATTTTTTCTCCCTAAGATCCACTCATTACAAAAATCTTAATTAGGGAAAACCTGTAAGTGCTTAAAACCTAGAGACAAATGAGTTGCTCCAGAAGAGGTAGATATACATAGGGATAGAAAATTTGCCTGTACAAGTCCTCTACATGACTTTCTCTATTAATTTCTGAACATAATTAATAGTTTAATTCATTTTGCAAACAT
This sequence comes from Homo sapiens, assembly GCF_000001405.40. Classification (NCBI taxonomy): domain Eukaryota; kingdom Metazoa; phylum Chordata; class Mammalia; order Primates; family Hominidae; genus Homo; species Homo sapiens. The sequence goes on from NC_000002.12 coordinate 187,363,817, forward strand.
TGGGATTCAGTTAAGTTAGATAATTGATCAAAACTCCTGCAGCTAATTAATTTGAACACTTTGTATTTGCTGTCAGATTCTCATGTGGATAACTTTTTTCATTACACCATATATATTGTTCTGTTTAAATAAAACTGTGTGTTTTGTTGTGATGGTGGTGATTACACAGACCGATCTGGAAAAAATAACAAAGTACTCAGAATAGATGAATTGATAAAAATGTAAATTTAGCAACCAATGAGATTTGCACAGCTTTACTGAATTTTTCTAATTGGTGCAGCCATATATAAGGTAAAAATAGTACCACCTTTTACTAGAGTTCCTCTTGTATAAAACAAAAGAGAGTTCACTGTGTGGAGTTCACATAGAAGTAGATTTCAAGAAAAAGTGTCACTAATGATAACTGATGTCACTCTTAGATTGAATCCACCTCCACTCTAAGAAGATTGTGCATATATGACTGCCTGCCCGTGTTCAAGCGCTACTTCCTTTATAATGCATTTACTCAAAGGCTTATTATGGATAAAGTTTTAAAATAGTAGTATGGGATCCACTTGAACCTGAATACTTAATGTCAAGTGTGAACTCATATGAAGGAAGACCTGAGGAATTATTTCACTACAGAGGCAAAAAATTTCATGATGTGTGTGTGTGTTTTTTTTTTAAATATGCTATTAATATGGTCAACCTATATAATCCACCATATATAATTCAAGCCAAAGGCTTCTATTTTGGAAACTTTAAGGAGATCTTTACCTAATTTTATCACTAAATCTCTTTATCTTAAATAGACTGTGTGCCCAGGATATTGGAATTAGGGTGGGATGCCACGGTTTTCTATATTTAAAAATTCAGTTTAGAGTATATTGCCTCTGAAATTACCTTTCTTCCAGCCACAGGTCTGTGATTCTATATATAGCTCTAGTAATTAAAGAGCCTGGAGGCATATTTGATCCAAATCAATATTATAAATTGTCAATATATTCCTTCTACAAGACTTCTATGAAGGGATTCATGGGCAAGATGGCTCTTGGAATGATTGCTGAGTGTGTGTAAGACATTCATATGCCAACAAATAAGTGAAATCCAGCTGGAATCCATCAAAATAGAAACAACTGGAACCAGCTAGTATTTTCATATTAAAGAGTGGTTTACTTTGGCTTGACTTTGTAGTGTATAGGAGTAGTGACGCAGACAGTAATCAGGGCTTATCTACAGGTTATTGATTATATTCTATAGAAAAAAAGAATCTTTGAAACTTTTGAACAAAGGAGTGGCATGATTCCTGCTATTACTTAGAGAAATTCAACACTAAGAGAAAGACAATCGTATTTTTGATAAAATGCCACAGCAGTGACATAATTACTTTCTGTTCATTGAGCATGAAGAGAGTTAATGAATATCAGAAAAAGTCTAGTAAATAATGTTCTTTTCAAATCAGTTATATTATGTGTGGTTTATTTCTGTCATTCATCAGTGTTCCATTATGAAAGTTATAGACATATAACATTTGTTCATATGGTCTTATTTTAAAATGCCTGCTTTGAGCTTACCCCATGTCTATTGAGTGCCAAGTATTGTTTAGAGAGAGGAACTGCTTATCCATGCAAATATACATGTTTTTAGTAATACAATATAAGTAACTCAGCTACCATCAAGGGAAAAAAAGTAAAGCATTTTTCTTAACTGGGCGATTTTGTCATTTTCTGCTGAGCACACATATATCTAAGTCCATTGGCTAAGTCCATATCTATAAACAACAAAATTTCATAGTTTTAAAACTATGACGAAAAGATTGAGAAGGTTTGCTTAAACAGCAAGTAAGATATATTTGTAAGAAGTAAGTTGGAATAAAGGAAAGCAAACATGAAAGAAGACTTTCAAAAATAGAACTATTCTGCCATTAAAAAAATGAACTTCTCTCATTCACCACATTACGGATGCAACTGGAGGACACTACATTAAATGAAATAAGCCATGAACAGAAAGAAAGACTGCATGCTCTCACTCACTTGTGGAAGCTTTAAGTAAGTTGATTGCATAGAAGAAAAAAAGTAGAACTAGAGGCTGGAAAGGGTAAGGGGAGAGTGGAGATGGGGAGAGATTTGTTAAAGGATACAAAATTACAGCTAGATAAGAGGAATAGGCCGGGCGCGGTGGCTCACGCCTGTAATCCCAGCACTTTGGGAGGCCGAGGCGGGTGGATCATGAGGTCAGGAGATCGAGACCATCCTGGCTAACAAGGTGAAACCCCGTCTCTACTAAAAATACAAAAAATTAGCCGGGCGCGGTGGCGGGCGCCTGTAGTCCCAGCTACTCGGGAGGCTGAGGCAGGAGAATGGCGTGAACCCGGGAAGCGGAGCTTGCAGTGAGCCGAGATTGCGCCACTGCAGTCCGCAGTCCGGCCTGGGCGACAGAGCGAGACTCCGTCTCAAAAAAAAAAAAAAAAAAAAGAGGAATAAATTCTAGTGTTCTATATCACTGTAGGATGACTATAGTTAATAATAAGTAGTTTTAAATAGCTAGAAGGATTATGTGGGCATATTGCATGATAGTAAAAATTAGAAAAAAATTAAAGATAGCTAGAAGAAGAATATTGAATTTTCCCAACACAAAGAAATTATAAATATTTGGGAAGATGGATATGCTAATTATGCTGATCTAATCACTATGTATTGTAGATTTCTAAACATCACTATGTACCCCATAAATATGCACAGTTATTTCATGTCAATTAAAAAGTGAAATAAAATAAATAACGTGATAGAAGAGCTGAAAGATAGGAGCTAGGAACATAATAAATACATTTATATTTTAACTGTTTATATTAATAATATTCACATGTGAAAAGATTGGAAGGGAGTAAAATAAAATGCTAACTGTAGTTAGTTGATAAAAAATTTAATCCTCTTGTATACAGTTAAAGGTTAATCCTCTTTGTATAAAGTTCAATGTCCTCTATGATGGTCTATATTTCTGTTCCTCTCAGAATTCCATTTTTTTTACCCTGCTCCCACCTCAATTTGTCTTGAAAGGTAAGTACTTAAAAATGAGCTGCTGGTATATATTATCTTCCAAAAATGTCATTATTGTGAGTATAACCCCACACACACACACACACACACACACACACACACACACACACACGACATCTTATTCTCTTATTATGGGATAAAAGGATATACCATATTTCTCTTTTTAAGACCCAAACAATATCATTATGGGCAAAGTTTTGAAATAATAGAATGAAATTCCCTTGAAATTTACTGAATGTTTAATACCAAGACAAAACAAGTTCTTAAGAAGATGCATTAAATAATTTCATTACAAAGACATTAATTTAGAGTGTTTTATACAATTATTGAAATAATGTGGTCAAACTAGATAGTCCACCCTATACAACTCAAACCAAAGACTGCTGCTTTGGAAATTCTGATATCCAGTTTAGCTGCCCAAATTTTAGTAAACTGGACCATCGCCACATCATTTCATTTTGTGTTGTGTAAATATGTCCTACTGCCTAAAATACTATTTAGTTTCTTCCATTTCTACCTCCAGGCACTGTGCAACTTAAACAAATGCAGACAGATGCTAAGTAACATATGGTTTCTATCAATGTCTAGTGTAAAAATGGCACTGATTTTTCTGATGATGCATATTGTTTCCTTCTAAACATATTCATTAACACATGTAAGTAGATTGGTACAAATAAAATCAACCTGTAAGTGAAAACCAAAAACATGTAATTGGTAAACACATGGTTTGTTCAAATGAAGCCCTAAAATATTTGTATATTTTTTCAAATATTAACCTGTAACCAATTTTACCTACTTTAAATTCTTAAATATTCTTATTTTATTCAAAATAGTGAAAGCAATTATCTTAGAGTCTTAGAGAATGTTTACAAAAATCCTTCGATTTCTTTAAATTTTATAATATCCCTTTCTATCCCCGCATAACCACAGAACAGAAAATGGGGTTTGTGGGTCCAGATTGTTTGTATTTCATATTTTTTACATATAATTATTTTAAAATGCCATTTCAACATTTAAAATGCCATTTCAACATGCAATTTTGGCCAGCAGAGTTACAGAGGCAGTTGATGTTATTGTGTCAACAAAATCATTATGCTTTATATGTAATGAAACCGTGTCTTTCAATTCACTTTTGGAACAATTTTAGAAGTAAGTAGCGTCAAGTCACTATGTGTAGTTCAGACAGTGAATCTGAACTCTGCCATCTATTGATGGTATAACTTTGGGTAAATTATTTAAGATCTTGAATCTTTAATTTCCTAATCTGTAATTTAGGGCTAACAATTGTACTTCATAGGATTGGCTTAAAAGTTAGAGGAGATAAATCACTTAAAATGTTAGCATAACATCTAACCCATGATAAACACTCCATGTTAAGTTAGCTGTTGTTTTTTAGCATAATTATCATATGGTTGATTTTAATCAAACGCTCTAATGGTTTTTAGGTACAAATACTAAAATAGCATCCAGGTTTACCTCAGTAATGTCAAACTTCCTCTATATTAAAATAAGTATGTTTTAAGTAACTCAATCAAACAGAAAAATAGTCATTTTTTTTCTTACCAAACAAGAATTATCATTAGACAGAATTTCCATATGATGAAGGGCAATACATAAAGCAACCTAAATTATCTTCCCAGGAAATTTCATTCTTTCTATAGTTGTTGCCAAATTGCCAGGTTCACTATCATGCAGATCCCAAATATTATAGTACTTCATCTTCAAATTTCTGCCACTAGTATGGACAATAACCTTGCCTCTGTTTTCCATTTGCTTTTGACATGAGCTAAAAACTTCCAAACTACTTTTCTCAATACTAATTATGAGCAAAATGAATCATGAAAGGAGAAAGTACAAGCAATATAAGAATAGCACAGTCTACAAAGTATTGCTTTCTTATTCTAGCTTATCTAATTTAATTTCCAAATTCTCAGATCTTTTCCCCCAAAAAACACTAGCAACATATCCAAAAGGAAAGCCCTGTCAATCTGAACACTGCCACAAACCATAGGCAGAAAACAACAAGTATATTAAAAGAATCAGTAGTGTGACTATCTTTTGTCTATTCAATGGAACTCTCAAGTTGATGGAATCACATGTTTACATATGAGAAGTAGATATAACCTCTTTCAATAGCTCTCTTTTGGAGGCTGCTGGTGATCCAAATTAGATTAGGCCAGATTAGAAAGAGGGTGAGTATTTCAACCAAGGTGCTCAATGAAGGTCCTAGAGGATAAATTATTGCTCTTCCTCCATTATGCTCCCTCTTCCCATGCCCTTGGGCTGCTTATTTAATGAAATATAGTAGTATCAGACTGCATAAGGAATAGCCATGTCCATTTTGTATGGACAACTGATTTTCTACCATTTGTGAACTGCTTTGGTAAGACTGCTTTTCCTGGTCTTCTAGTGAGCAGGAAACCAAGAGAAGAAAGTCTTTCTGAATACCTGTGATTCTTGGGCTCCAAAACCAACCAACCAAACAAAAACCTTTTTAGAGGCAAAATTTATAATAATAGCAGCCACGATTTTTGAAACCCTTAGACTATCCCCAGCATAGAGATAAGCACTTTAAAGTTGCTATCATATTTAACAACTCCTTGAAGTATTATTGTCTTTTAATAAAATGGAGGTAAGTTTCTCAAGGTTACACTCTTATAAAAAGTGATCTATTGAGTTTGAATTTTGAAGTTCTCAAGGAAGCAATAAGGCTTCTGACTACTTTATAATCCATCTAGTCACTTACTATTGGATAGTAATATTTTGGCCACTGTTACTAGAACTGGGGAAACAGTTGTGAATAATACAAAGCAAAACCCTGACCTCATGTGACTCACACTATAGCAGAGGGTAAATAGGCACATAAATTAAACAATGTAATCCCAGATAGTGGTATGTGCTTTTTAGAAATTAAAACAGGACTAAGGGATACAAAAAGAATGTGGCCAGGGTGAGAAGAATACTTAACATACAGTTGAAACAAGAGAGTATAGAGGAGAGAAGTATTCCAAATGGGGAAGACATCCCTGTTTGTCAAAGCCCTGAGCTTAAAGTTTCTGAGGGGCAAGAACAGGCCATGTGACAGAGTACAAGGTAAACGTCCACCATGGCTTTTTTTCCATTCTACAGAATGAGTAAATTAAATTCAAAGAACATCACTTACTGAATGGCTTTTTGATTCTGAAGTTCATACTCTTTTGTGTTATATAGCTTTTTTAACAATTAATGAAAAATTGTTTACTTTATTCTGTTTTTAAATTATTCCCATCTCTTTCATGTAAGACCTTCTTGGTTTTTGACATCTTAATGTTTCATCAGCAAATATTAGCAGCATAATATCTAGTCATTCTGTTTTTTCTTTTTCCTAAATACTAAAAATATGCTACAGTTTTGAGAGTGTGCTTTGACTTTCTCATATATGTCTGTGGGTATGATCGAGAAAAATAAACTGTCTATAATAATGGAAAACCTGATTGTAAAATATATTATGACTTTTGGGAGAAAAAATGTTATTTATTTCTATTTTCTATTTCAAATAACGAAGTTTTAATCTATTCAAATAATGATATAATTTTCAAAATTTATTGTCATTCTATTGCCAGGAAAACTTAGGTATGCTTAAATTAAATAGCACATTTAATTAGCTCAAACAGAAAAGATTAAATTCATGATTCAGAATTTGCATATTTATCAAATATATCTGTAGGAATAAAGATATGTGATATTTAATGTGGATTTATAGCTTTATATTTTTTATATCTTAAGTCCAAATTATCTAATTCAGTTACTGTATTTATATTTCCATACCTGGGACTCTTCTCCATAAGCCAGTAATAGCAATGACCTTATAGCAGACAGGTTAATGTTAAAGCATGTCCATTACTTCTTGCACTACTCTGTCTGCATTCAAACCGTATACTTTATGTAGAAATGCAATTATTTTATTATATAACTAAAATGGACATATTGGAAACATTTTGGCACCATCTCACTTTATGGCATAAGAATGTTTTCACCTCTCACAACATTCAGTTGGAGAGGGATGGATTTTTATGTACACTAACTGATTAAAATTCATTAATTTGGAGATAGACCCAATAAAACATTTAAGAAAACCTATAGTTCTCACGCCTGTAATCCCAGCATTTTGGGAGGCCAAGGCGGGCAGATCACGAATTCAGGAGATCAAGATCATCCTGGCTAACACGGTGAAACCCCGTCTCTACTAAAACTACAAAAAAGTAGCCGGGCATGGTGGCGGGCTCCTGCATAGTCCCAGCTACTCAGGAGGCTGAGGCAGGAGAATGTTGTGAACCTGGGCGGGAGCTTGCAGTGAGCCAAGATCGTGCCACTGCACTCCAGCCTGGGTGACAGAGCGAGACTCCGTCTAAAAAAAAAAAAAAGTTAAATAAATAATATCTAATGTAAAGCCTGGGATACAGACCGCAGAATAGGCTATATCTCAGGACCATAGTGTATAACAAATTTACAATGAATAAATGGACGTACCGTGAGTTAAGAGAGCAAGGGTGATGCTGGGTAGGCAGTGACAGGTATGCTGTTCAGGGAATACTAGATGACTACTTTTGAACTCAGTCCTTGTCAAACCTCTGACAGTGCAGTATTGCCAGGTTTTAAATAAATGAAAAGCGAAAGTTCCAATTTGTCAAAACAGGTACAACATCAGAGTAATTAGTAGAGCAAACTCTATAGGTTTCAACGTAGGATTTCATTAATAGTTAGCTGTGTTTAAATATGGTTTAAAGATTAATCATGTGGGAGGCTGAGGCAGGAGAATCGCTTGAACCCGGGAAGCAGAGGTTGCAGTGAGCCAAGATCCCGCCACTGCACTCCAGCCTGGGCGACAGAGCAAGACTCCATTTTTTTTTTTTAAAGAAAAGATTAATCGTGCACAATTTTCAGAGAAAAGTTATAGCTTAAAGAAAAACTGTACTTGCTCTAATTGAAGAAAAATATGAAGAAACTGGAAATGAGATAACAGGTCACAATATTGGTTAAATATATTCAGATGTGATCTAAGAAAAAATGAGAATTTTGGTCATTTGTACTGAGAAGCAGAAATACAAGCACTAACAGGTTATTTTAATAAGTTAAATTGAGAATGCTTTGGTCTACCAGTTGGATAGAGGTTATTTTTTTCTGAATTTTATTTGGGACCTATGGCAAGTACCTACAAAAGATATCATTGTCTACATAGTTCCAAATATGCAACTTGGCTTCTAAATTGTTTGGGGTCAGTATCTGAATGTTAGCAAAGACGTTCTTTAAAAAAACAAACCAACAACATTTTCTTTTTTTTTTTCCCTATAAAAGTTGGGTAGATGTCATATGCTCTCTTTTCTGTGGAAAAAGATGAAGCCTTTTGTCTAGGTTGTGAGATTTGCTCTGCTCTCTGATTTTAAACGGTAATTAAAATATAATTTGTAACTAATTCCAGTAGAGTTTATTTTTTTTTTTTATCTAAAGGGTTCCACTTTGTTTTTCCAAGAATCATTACGAGTAAGAGTCATTGCCTCTCAGGGCTTGGCAAGCCCTAAAGTTACGTCTCTTTCTCTTTTCCCCTCCCTCTCTGTTCCCTTTCTTTTTATCTCCTGCTCTGACTTGTTCCTTTAATTGGCTCTAATATAAAACTGAAGTATATCTGGTGAATACTGTTTTGTGTTCTCTGTTTCTAATTTAAAGAATGGATGAGTGGTAGACTTTTCTCTCTCTAAATAAAAAATAACAAACAGTACCCTAAATCAACTTTTTGTATGGTTCTTGGTTTTTATTAGGGTGGGTCAGTGACCCTCAATTACCAAAGAAGAGGAAAAAAGTTTCCCATACCGAGTAAGCAAGAATAAGTACAGTATAAGGAACTGGGTTAAGAAACAGAAAGGATCTGCTAATAGTATTTTTATACACAGTGAATGATTTTATGTGAAACATCAGCTCCTCTAGGAATTGTTTTCAGGTTAGTTGGATGAAAGCTAATAATTTCTATTGCCCCTGACTCCACAAGAACATGATTCATGAACCATTCAAATTCAATATTTTCTGAGGTGGCCCTACTCTTCTTTGGATCTAGCTGCAGTCTTTCATCTTGTTTTACACAGATGCTTCTACTGATTTGAATTTTAGAGTCTTAGTCTAATGCCTTTCTTTGTTGATGGAGACAAATAAGGCCAGACAATCTTAAGGGACATGCTGAAGGTCACAAATAAGGCATGGGCAAGTCTGTCCTATATGTAAGCTTCAAAGCCAGTTCATGTCTTCATTCCTTAAAAATTTATTGAGTGCCTACTATGTGCAAGATCCTATGCTAAGCCCCGAGATGTGTAAAGAAACAAAGCAGAGGAGACTCCTGCTCTCACAAAGCTAGCTTTATAAAATTATTTTCGTTAATTCTAGTGGCATATCTGGTAGATCATTCTATGGAATAAATGTTAGAAGTATCTAAATTCAAAGACTAAAAATTCCTTAATATTGATTCAAAAATTGAGTAAGCTACACGGTATCTTCTGGTCATAAAAAAATCTTATTACTTTTGACTGATTTACTTAACCATAGTTTTTTCTAACATAATTATTAATTTTGTTTATAAAAATGTTCATTCAATGTTTACTTATTTTTCTACATGAATATTTTCTTTATAAACATGGTCCATTTAAAACCAGAACTTGTATTATTTAATTTTGTTTTTAAAGATCTTAATGGTATAACATACCTACCAGGGCTAAATATTTATATTCAAACCTCGTAATGGACTAATAAGAAGTGAGAACAATGCCAATCATAGATAACATTTTTTGAATCAGACGCTCTGCTTAACACTGCATCTCACTGATAACACTGCCATTATCTCAGCCTTTATAGCAAATCTATGATGTAGATACTAATATGATCTGCATTTTTAATATGTATAACTGAGGATTAGAAAAATGAAAGAACATGTTCCACGCTACACAGCAAGTAAGTGACAAAGTGGAATTTGAGACCAATACTGCCTGTCTGAAGAACACTCTCAGGCTGGGCACAGTGGCTCATGCTTGTAATCCCGACAGTTTGGGAGGCTGAGGCAGGAGGATCACTTGAGGTCAGGAGTTTGAGACCAGCCTGGGCAATATAATCAAACCCTATCTCTAAAGAAAAAAATATTTAAAAAATTATCTGGGTGTGGTGGTGTGTGCCTGTAGTCCTTGCTACTTGGGAGGCTGGGTGGGGGAGGATTGCTTGAGCCCAGGCGTTTGAAGCTGTAGTGAGCTATGATCTTGCCACTGCACTCCAGCCTGGGTGACACAGTGAGAGCCTATCTCTAAAACAAGAAAGAAAGAAAGAAAGAACACACTCTCCTGTAATGACATCTAGACATACAGAAAGTATTTAAAATGCTATACATGAGTTTTACTTGAAGACGGTTTCTCATGTTTTACCTAAGGCCTGAGAATGATAATAATAAAGGAAAATTTGCAGTTTTGCTTCTCTCTTTTCAAATTCTTCATTTTTAAAGATTTGTAGAGTCAATTAAAATAATGAAGTGAGCTAGAACACAGATCAGGAGAAATCTTGAAAATGTTAATTAATTAGAAAATAAGTAAAATTAGGTGTGAGACTAGATGATCTCTTCACTGCTTATGGCTTATAATTTCTATCTGTTGAAGTTTTACCCATCATTGAAGTGTTTGCTTCAATTAGAGTATCACCTCAGGAATCTTCAGATTCTATGAGTTAGAATGGTTCTTTCCTTTCTCAGTGTTCCCCAGGTCTTTGTAGCTCCAGAATAGCACTCATTTTTTTGTTTTGTTTTGTTTATTTTACTTTGTATTACTATTATATGAGTATTTCAGATGACTACATAAATGTATTCTGAGTGCCTATATGATTGATATAGTCTAATGAAAAAATCAGTAACTCTTACTACTCATTGACGGGCTCCTAAATGCCAGGTACTATATGAGTCTACTTTGCGTAGTATTTTCAATAACATCATGACCCACTGTAAACACACACACACACATCCCTGGGGCTTATTTAAAGCAAAATCAGGCTAAGTCCATACTATTAGCAAGTAGTGATGACAAGTTTGGAATACATCCCATGTCTTAATCATTGTATTATACTATCCATTAAAATTGAGTTGGCCGGGCGCGGTGGCTCACGCCTGTAATCCCAGCACTTTGGGAGGCCGAGGCGGGTGGATCATGAGGTCAGGAGATCGAGACCATCCTGGCTAACAAGGTGAAACCCCGTCTCTACTAAAAATACAAAAAATTAGCCGGGCGCGGTGGCGGGCGCCTGTAGTCCCAGCTACTCGGGAGGCTGAGGCAGGAGAATGGCGTGAACCCGGGAAGCGGAGCTTGCAGTGAGCCGAGATTGCGCCACTGCAGTCCGCAGTCCGGCCTGGGCGACAGAGCGAGACTCCGTCTCAAAAAAAAAAAAAAAAAAAATTGAGTTATGCCTGAATTCAACTGCATACCTCTTATACTAACTTGCCACTGAAAAATTCTTTTTTTTCCTTTCAGTTCACTATATAGAATAAACAGGTAATTGTACTTTCAGTGAAAACTTCAAGTGGAAGTAAGGTAATTATTTGAAAAACATATTTTTTCTTTTATGTAGAGGTCAAATTTCTTATATTGGCAAGACATTCATTTGCTTTAACAAAGTGTTGCCAATGTAGCATGTTATACATCTTGTTTAAAAGCATGGGCATTTTAGCAAATAACAAATGCATGTATTTATTGCACATAGTAATCTTTATTTTAAAAAATATTATTTTTCTAAAAAATTGGCCTATTTATATGTAAAACACGAGGACAGTATTTGGGAGAACCAAATTTCTGGCCTCTTTTGGAATGAGGAATGTGCCTACAGGTTACATCTTTAAAGTTAATAATTTTGTAAATATATACACAATATCATTTTTAAAAAGCACTTCTCTATAGATGAAATAAACATTCTCTGGTTTTAAATTTTAACCCTTCAATTAAAATTTAAAATTACTTGTGAATATCAGTTGAACAGTATTTGTTCTTGAATAAAACATACATAAATACAGATATAAAAATATTGAACATGATTTTATTCCAATTCTTTATCAATAAGAAATACAGTTTATGTGTGTAGACTGCTTTAAGCTTGCCAAATACTTTAACAGATACCAACTTCCCTGATATGGAGATTATATATTTTGATTAAAAAGATAACTCTTTCATTCTAATCCTCTTTATTCAAGTACTGTTTCATTCATAGATTCTTGGGTGTGGAAAGAGCATTAAAGATCCTCAGGTCTAGCTATGAACCCAGTATAGGAAAGCCATCTACTTCAACTTTCCTGAGTGACAGGAAGGCAAATGCAAGGTTCATTACATTTTGTTTAGTTATATTCGTTTTTTTAAATTTTTTTAATTGAGCTATTTTTTTCTCTGTTTATTATACCAACTGTATTCTCAATTATAGTAATTTGGATTCTTGAAATCATACATTGTGCCTTATATATTTTGTCTTTTTCTGGCTTAACACTCTTGGTGTGGTACCTTGATGCCCGGATCAGTTGATATTTTCTTCAATTTCTTCACTTGATAAGCTAATTTTTATGATATCTTGCTTTTGCTCTCATATAGTGAACTAGGAGAATAAGTGGTCTGATTTGAGATTTAAAATTGAATACTCTACATTTGTTGGTATCATTTGGCTTGCAGCATTGTTTTCACTTGGCAGCCCTACTCTTATCTAATTAGTTCACAGCAAGCATTTTCCATTAAATCTTAGACTCTTTCACATGAAGGAACATAAATAATTTTGCATTTGACTTTAGGAAATTGGTGCAGGACTTTACTTATCTTTACTAAATTCTAACTTGTTTGGGACTGTATGACTTAGAATTCTAGAAACCATTGTCCTTCCCTGTAGCCACTGGTTTTGACAGGCAAATGTAATTATTATACTTTGCAACTTTATCTTCTTCAAAAATTTAATGTGCTCGGATATTTCAACTTATGACATGCAAAATAAAAAGAGACCATTTAATCTGAAGACTTTCAGCTGTATTAGTTTTTAATTTGCAGAGATAGTGGTCTTCCAAATGTTAATTAAAATTTTACCCTATGTCTACTATCGTTAATTGCAATTCTGGAAATATTACAGTAAGTAATTCGGGAAGATTTCACTGAGGAAGTGATGCTAAAATTTAAATCTAAAAGATAAATACATTTAATTAGACTAGGGAGGAGGCAAAGAGAACAGGCAGGGCAAGTTAATGATTTTGATTTTATATTAATTACAATGGAAAATCTAAAAATTTTAAAGCAAAGAATGGCAAAATCAGGTCAATATTTGATCTAAATATTTGAAACTACTATTCTGGCTGCCTTGGTTAGAATTAAATGAAGAGAGAAAGTGAATTTACTGAGGCTAGATAGAACAAGACTGCTGGTGATGGCAGTAGTGATCAGGAAATGGAATAGATTAGAAGGGTTTCAAAAGGTTAAGTTCACAGGTTATAAGGAAAGAGTGACAGAGAAGAAAAATGAGAGAAATGTATCACAGATTACTCTTAAATTTCTGGCCAATGTGATTGGATTTCTGGTAGTGTCATTTGTAAAGATGGGTCACTCTGGAAGAAAACCAGCTTGGGTTAGGAGGAGGTAGATAATATGAATTTGTTTTGAACATGTTCATTTTGAAATATTTTTGAGATGATGTGTTTCAAGAGCCATAAAAAGATATAGACCCTTTGACCAAGAAATCCCAAGACTCTGGGAATGTAGCCTGAGAAAATAGTACAAACTATGGGAAAAGTTATAGTCAAAAATGTCCATTGCAGTGTTTTTTAATTGAAAAAATGAAAGCAATGTTAATGGTCGAAAATAGAGAATTGATAATAACAACTTTTGTACACCTACTAAATGAAAAATTATTTAGCTGCTCAAATGATTGTTTAAAAACTGTTCAGTAACATATAAAGTGCTAATGATAAAATGCTGTTATAAAAATAGTTAAAATATTTTAAATACTATAATTAAAACTGTAGAAACAATATGAAATAAAACTAGAAAAATGTTAGAAATTGCTTAATAGGGTATTAAAATTATAGGTATATATATCTTCTTTGTTTAAAATTAGTAGAAGAAGGAAGTTGGAGGAAGAAGGAGGGGTAGGAAGAGGAATAAGAGAAGAGGAGGAGGAGGAGGAAAAAGAAGAACAAGAAGAAGGAGAAGGAGAAGAAGAAACAAGAAAGAGAAGGAGGAGGAGGAGGAAAAAGAAGAACAAGAAGAAGGAGAAGGAGAAGAAGAAAGAAGAAAGAGAAGGAGCAGCAGTGGCGGTGGCAGCCACAGGAGCAAAAGGAGCAGAAGATGACTACAATGCGATGAAGATACAATGAAACATAGCTACTTACTCTTGTCACGCTGAATTCTATGATTATATATATGCTGATGATCAAAGTTATGAAAATCATGTGAAGGGATAAAATAATGCATGCATGACTTAGAATTTAACTTTCTATAAATTTAAAATTGGTTGTTGATTGCTTTGTTCAAAAAATTGGAGCTGACTCTTCCTCCTCAAAATGGAGTGAATTACAAGTAAAATTGAAAGTACAATTAAACCTTTTTAATGATGACCCGCCAAACGAGGAAAAACCCTAAACAAAGTGTATTTAGATTATATTTTTGATGATATATGTTAAATGCCTTTGCTATTATTTGCACAAAATTCCGGTTTCTAAAATGGACACTTATTCTGTTATTAAAATTGTCCAAAAGCTAAACACACAATTAAGAAGGCCTATACTATTTAACAGTTCCCAAAGCAAATACAGTTAGGTTTATATATTAGTTTGGACTCCCTTCTTATTATATGTCTTCACTTTTATATGCCTACTAATTTTGTAAAATTCAGGTTAAGATATTTCATCAGTCTCCTCTACATATTTTACAAAGCTAAGATCAACTTATTTCAACTTATTTTAAACATTATAAATCATCTATATTGGTATATTTTGTCAGACATGATGTAAATATGCACATGATGGGGCATTCACCCAAGACATCTAGTAATTTTCTTAAAATATTTTAAATTTACTTACTTGAAATAAAAGAATATGCCAAGCGAGATAAGCAGTGATGCAATAGACAATCCGTGTCCAATTATGGTCAGGTAAAACAAATTTAGTGCAGTCTGTAATTTGTATAAACAAAAAAATTTGGTTCATATCAATACTATAAGTATCTGTAATCCCACACATGCAGAAGTTCAAATTCAGTTGAATAAACTATATTTTTAGAAATATGTGATCTGATAGCCTTACAATGATGAGTTTACAAACCAATAAATACTTGAACGTGTCTGGAATGAAAAATATCTATCCAGTGAAATTATCAAAATTTATAAGTTGTATGCCTTTTTATTTTTTTAATAATTTTTTAAAAAATTAGAAGTCAAATATTAAATCTATGAGGCAAAACTTTTATTGATCTAGATTATATACTATATGAAACTAGTATTTTATATTTTGTGCACCTTCAAACAAATGCTACGTGATGATTTGTTTTGTTCAGATGTAAATGCCAGATAAAGGTTTATTTTCAAACTGAGTTTCTTTTTCCTTTGACAAATTTGAAGCTCAGAGACAAATCTCAATTTGTTAACTTAGAAGATTCTATGATCTGTACAAATGTGTTCTTTCTCATGGTTTTCACTTTTTTATTTTTATTTGTCTGCATTCCATTTATTTGTAACCTACCACTTTATTGTGTATTTGTATAATTCTCTTCCAATTCTTACCTGAATAAGCTGGGAATATGTTATTTATAAACATAATGATAGCTGGTAGTTATCAAGAGCTTACTATATGCTAATCTTTTAAGTATTTCCCTTGTGTTAAATCAATCCTTATGAAAATAATGAGGATGGAATCTATTCTTACCCTCATTTCATATATGAGGGGACTGAAGCAGAGAGATGTAAAATGGCTTTTTCAAGGTCAAACAGCTGGTAAGAAGTAGAAATAAGAAATCAGGTTTTAGGACTCACAGTTGTAATCACTGTGATAAACTGCCTCTATTACAAACACATGCAAATACATGCAAGTGTTTTCTATCGAAGCTATATTATAGTGCCAAACTGTAATTAACCTTGACTCCAATGTGTAGTGTTTAAGGATGCGATAGTTAGTGCGAATAACCTAAGACCCAGTCAGAATGAGATCCTTCTGCTGAGGGAGGGACAGGACTCTTTAAACCCTGCTGGGCTTATCCTGTTTACTTGAGCACAGTTTCAGAGGTCATTCTAGAAATTCCACTGCAAATGGAAGATTTTCCTTTTCTTACACTTTTAAGGTATGTTTTCTTTGGAAAATTTGAAACCCCAATACTGAAACATTGACTTGTAAATTACACTATTACCTAAAAGGATTGCTTTTTCAGTGTAATGACAAAATCAATAATAATTTTTTCCACGGATATATTTCTTCTTTATTCTTCTCAAATTATATTATGAAAAGGCTTTATAAGGGAATGGAATAATGACTTTATTTTCTTTAATACAGTATTGGACAAAGGAGCTGTTTAAACAGATACTGTAAGTTAAATTTCAATTCAGAATTATGACATACCTTCACTTTCTCGTGGGTGTTAACATTACACTGGGTATAATTTGTCCATGTTCTGTTGCTTGCTGGATGTCTAAACCAGTTTCCATCTTGGTCACAGATCTTTGTAACTTTTTCTTTAAAATTAAAAAAAAAGGGAAAACAGGAATTTAATTAACCTAGGATTTATTAAATAGATGTCAAGGAGATATGTAGATACATTTCTGCTTTTACCTGATGGATCAAAGTCCTGAAAGTAATCAGGGCAGAGCTGCATTGATTCAGTTCCTGCTGCAACATCGTTCCAGCAGAGCCATCCATCCCAGGTTCTGTTGCAGTAAACGCCTTAGTGGGGAAATAATAATTGGGGATAATTAAATCCTTCTACTTATACATGAAGACATAGTTTTAAAAGTGGTTTCACACTGATGTGGAGTAAAGGCTATCTACTGAAAATGCAGACATTATATGAAAATCTATATATAGAAATTATTTGGCTTCCCACCAAGTAATATTATAATAATTTCTCAATTAAATTCTAAATTAAATTTAAAAATATCTAAATATATAAAGTTTAGATTTAATTTTAATTGTCAAAGGTAGCTATTTGTTTAATAAATCAAATGGTCTTTGCTAGTTGTCCTTAGCCATAATGTAGTGATTAGCGTCCCTATGCTTAAAATAAGAAAACAATGGGAAATTAGAAACATGTTTAATTTTAGAAACTGTATGCTTAGGGCAAGGTGTTAGTATTTTCTGAAGCAAGCCAATAAATATTCCAATATTTCCTATTATACCATTGTAACCCTGAAAGATACTTATTTAGGCCCCTCCACCAAATTCTGACTCTTCATTCCTTTTCTTTTCAAATAAGGTAGAATGTTCAATAATCTCACATTTTTCTCCAAAATTAAATAAAGAACTTCTTACATTAAAATATATAAAGTTTTTTTAAGGCGTAGGTAAATTAACCGACCAATGTTCTAATGTTGTAACAGTCTATAATTAAAAAAGTAATTTTCTTTTTTTTTTTGAGACTGAGTCTTGCTCTGTCGCCAGCTGGAGTGCAGTGGTGTGATCTCGGCTCACTGCAACCTCCACCTCCCAGGTTCAAGTGATTCTCCTGCCTCAGCCTCCCAAGTGGCTGGGACTACAGGTGCCCGCCACTGCGCCCAGCTAATTTTTGTATTTTTAGTAGGGAAGAGGTTTCACCATGTTGGCCAGGATCGTCTCAATCTCTTGACCTCTTGATCCGCCCTCCTCGGCCTCCCAAAGTGCTGAGATTACAGGTGTGAGCCACCACACCCGGCCCAAAAGTAATTTTCTAACTTGTCAGATAGAGATAGAACCTTGATTGCTGCATGAGATGTTTATTGTTTTTAACAGATTTGCAAGGCAATATCGGCATTTATCTAGCCCTCATGAAAATAGAACAAAATTCTGATGGCCTGTAAGTTCAAGTAAATTGAAATAAAAACCAACAAAATTTTAATGTTTCCCCAGATAATGTTTTCTGCTATGTCATTTTTTGGACAATTATTTAAATAGTTTGAATCCATATATTTCTAGATAAAATACATTTTATGGCCTATTAGAAAAAAATTTCTTGATGTAGTTTTAGAAAGCATCTCAGATATGTCCATATCACAGCTCCAAAAGTATCTAATTCACTACAGCATTGGTAATGTGATAGAGTGCAAGGTCCAGAATTTTTGAAATTGTGTTTTATGGCATTTGAGTTAGATCTAAGTAGGTATTCCATGAAAAAAGTTTCTCTGGTCAAATGGATTTTAGAGACACAAAGTTGAAATAAAAATAGCTCTTTATTGCAAGACTTTCTAGAGTATTTAAAATTACAAAGTACATTATGAAACTTCAAGAAGGTGTATTATGCAATGATTCCAAACTTCTCTTACCACAGAATACTTTTATTATGAAACTTTACAAAGATATTCCTATTGTTCAACAATTAAATTTAAAATCTACTTTTACATAATATACAGCAAGAAGGCTTGGAAGGGTTTCAAAGTTAAAAATATCTAAAGAGTGTTAAATTTTATTTTACTGTGAGTTTTACATTTGATATTTTGAAGATAACCCTTTCTTTAAGGTTGCCAGGTAAAATATAGGACCTGTTTTTGTTATTGCTTTATCTGGCAACTCTGCTTGTGCTACTCATCTTTTATCTTCAGAATCTAGTCAAGTATCTGGTGCTTAGCAGGCTCTCAATGAATGTTATCCAAAAAAGCAAAAGAATATCTTAATGCAAACAGAAGCACTTAGATTTCATTAACTTTGCCACCAAATGTACTATGCAAAGTGTGTGTGTTATGAAAAACAACACTTTTGTATTCATTATATTATTAGGCAACCTCCTGTCAAGCAGGTTGTTAAAAAAAAAAGAAATACACAATTACATAAACTGAAAAAGTCAACTGTCATTAAGATTTGTGTTTTTGTGTTAATATTAATACTTATTTGATTTAAATATCTTTGTACCATAAAAAGAATCATACTAAAAAGATCACTGTCACATATTTTTATTGTTTTTAAAAAGCGATATAACATGATGTCATAAAATGTTCTTCAAACATAATTAAAACTGCACATATACAAAAAGGTAGCAATCTATTTTTAATAATGGACCTAAAGCACTTATAATGATATAATGGGAGTAGTTTTCTTTTAAAAATATGTCAAATGCATTTACAACTAAGTAGCCATGCTTACCTTCTGCTTGTTGAATGGGGTCTTGCATAATCTTTTGGTAACATTCATATTGAGCTGTCATGATTTTATTTCTAGTAACTCCCAACTGAATTGAGTCCTCAGGACTCTCTTCTAATTCTGCTGTAACAAGAATCTAAGGGATTAAAAAAACAACAACATCAACTTCATGAAAAGGATTATGAAAATGTGTTTGTCAAAGGCAGTCTGTCACAGTAGAAAACAGCAAGTGCGGTGATGTACTGGAAGATAAACTGGCGCTCTAGGGAAAAAACCCCAATTTGTAGTGTTTGCTATTTCCATGGTATAAATATCCCCACCATGTCCAATTTCAAAACACCAACAAGATGTCACCATTGGCAGAGTGGGAAACCACAGTTGGTTCTCAGAAGCCTGTGGTAGCCAGCTCCAGGACATTCCTTAATATGTGTTTTGGAATGTAGACAGAGATGTCTTCCAATCTGACCCGAATGTTTTTCCTGGCTCTATGAATGAAGGCAAGATATTGTCTGTCCCCTCCCCCAAAGCCTCTGCTTCCTTATTGTAAAATAGTATAAAATAGCATCAAGATAACAGAGGAGACGTATCTGGCACATGGAAATACTTACAATGTATTGCCATTGTCATGATATTTTGATAATCAAAATAATGGCAACATCATTTATGATGTTGGTAAATAGAAATTTTTCTTGTATGCACATCAATAATGTTTTTGGACAAGTTATATACTTATTTTCTTCCAATATAGTAGCACTATTTTAAGCTTCAATTCTACTTTAGTTTCCACGTGACTTTTTTTCTGATTTATAATATGAAGCCCGAATAGACCTCTTTTTTAACACTTTTAGCAGTAATTGTTGCATAATTTCTATTAACTATATCCCATAAGCTGTTATCTTCCTATCCTTCCTTTGCCTCCTCATTGTAGTATTTCTTTTTTCTAGCAGGAAGTTGAATTTAGTAAAATCAAAATGACATTCCCTCACTGGGTAGCACCTCTCAAGCTTAAGTTTTACCATTGTGTGACCACCATTTAACAATAACTCTTTCATTCCTTTGTTGTTTTAATTTCCAAATAAAGATTTATGCAGTGGTAGTGCTACACAAGTAATACATGGAAATGTAGAACATAAAGAAAATTAATATATTTGAAAAGCACGTAACTCCTGTTCTTCCCAAAAAGTCCATAAAATTGCAAAAATCCATATGATTTTTATCCCTACTTGGAACACAGACTCTGATTTGTACACGATCTTACATGAGTTCAAGAGGAAGAGTCACAATTTCTTAATTACAATAATCAGTTGCTAATCTGTTACAGAATTACCTGCAGGAAAGTAATGTTCTATGCAGCTCGCTCAGTGGAGGGTGTGAGCTTAAGTCAACTTAAAGATACCGTCTAAGAAGTGCAGGATTTGGACTGCTCCTAGACTTGGAAATATTTGCTCCTAGACTTGAAAATGTTTTCAAATACAAATGCGGACAGGAATGTAGTCTTGTTTTTTTGTTTTTTGTTTTTTTCTGGTTTAGGTTTTCTGTATTCTCCCAAGTTTCTTTGTTTCCATCTTTGTGGTGTTTGCTTGGAAACACCTCAAGAAAATTCTTAGCTGCCACAGGATTAGATGAGAGTATGTCTCTTGGTTTTTCATGTTTATAATGAGATAAGAGCACAGTCACTGTTTTATTTTGAGGTAGAGAAAAACATGGGTGATTCATTACTATAATTAAACATAAAATTAAGTGTATGAAGTATGTGACTCCTCCAGCAGAGCAATTGAGTTTTTGTCTTATTTGCCTACCTTCCACCTTGGGCCCCATATCCCCATTGTATACATGTAGAGGGGCAGATGAGTGTGCAGACTTATGCACACACTTGCCTCAAATTTAACATCAATGTCTGCTAATTTGAATGAATGATTGAGGAAATTAATTTAAAACAAAGTGTATGGTTCTAAATTGCCTTGCAATCAAGATATGTCAATCAACTGGCAGAACGGGAGAAACATCAATGAGAGAATCATTTTTTAACAGATCTAACTCTGAATCTACAATTCTGGTTGAAAATATTTTCTCTACTATGTACAACATGTACCATAGAGTCATTCCATTTTTTTTTCAATCTCTGATTACTTTCCTCTGGTGTCTTATGCATGTGTGTATTCATCTTTCCCATTCTGATCCCCTCCAATTCCTTCTCATTCTATACCTGTTATAGGACTAAAAGCATACACCGAATGAAAACACATTATTGCTGTATCAATTGGATATAAAAATGTAACTAATTTCTGTATCTAGTAACTTCATTAATATTCTTTATCAATTATAGGTATACTGGAAGCAATAACAGACATAATCATATATATTTTTATGCTTACCATAAAAAAAGGCAAGAGAACCAGAAAATACAGGGTACACTTTTTCTCCATCATTAAGCCAAAATGAAATATGCTGTATAACATAAACTGCAACAGAAAATAAAAGAAATATAATTCATCAATATTTATGAAATAAATGCAGATGATTCTCAACAGAAAATTTATTTTAAAACTACACAATAATTCAATAATTTTACTTTAAAGATTTGATAAATCATTTTTTTTAAGACAAGGTCTCACTCTGTCACCAAGGCCTAGTGCAGTGCCACAATCTTGGCTCACTGCAGCCTGGACTTCCCGAGTTCAAGCGATCCTCCCTCCTCAGCCTCCCAAGTAGATGGATTACAGGTGAGCGCCACCACACCCAGCTAATTTTTGTATTTATAGTAGAGATGGGGTTTCACCATGTTGGCCAGGATTACAAGTGTGAGCCACCCTGCCCAGCAGATTAAAATATATTAAAACTGCAAATGTTTAAGAGCATTATGGTGTCAAATGTTTAAGAACATTATGGTGTCAAATGTTAAGGAGCTTATAAATACATTTTAATTTAATTTAATTAGACTTACAAACAGAAAAACTTCTTATAGATAGATAGATAGATAAGTAATTAGAAAACAACTTGCATTTTTTGCCTTTACCAAAATTGGGATCAAATTATAAAGGTATTACAATAGAGAGTTTTTCATGGACATAAAAAATTTTGATAGCATATTTTATTATAAAGCTTACCTTTATTTCCTGTAAGTATTAATCTCATTTTCAATTTTCTGACTCTTCAGTAATTTAAGGAAGGAAATTGTTCTCAATTTCTTGAGAATCAACATCTATACATCATTAAAATGTCTTTATAATTTAATAGAAATTATTCTTCACTACTGAAAATCAATTTTTTAAAATTAGGAAATAAAAGATTCCCTAAGTCATCTACATTATTCAAATAAGGTTTCAGGGAGTGAAGAGTATCGAATAAAATATTTGTTTGAATATTTTTAATACTAAGTACAATTCTGAGCTAATGAAAAATGGCCTCTAAAATGCTACCCACTAGCTTCCTAATTCTAAGAGACAAGAAATGCTGGAGTGTTTTTCCAAATGCTTACACCCTGTGAAGTCCAGGAGCAACCTACTCCAACATATTTTCAGGATGTAGCCATAACTAAATGATATGGTTTGGCTCAGTGTCCCCACCTAAATCTCATCTTGTAGCTCACATAATTCCCATGTGTTGTGGGAGGGACCCAGTGGGAGATAAATGAATCATGGAGGTGGGTCTTTCCACTGCTGTTCTCCTGAGAGTAAATAAGGCTCACAAGATCCGATGGATTTAAAAATGGGAGCTTCCCTGCACAAGCTCTCTTCTCTTATCTGCTGCCATGATGTGATGTGCTTTTCACCTTCTGCCATGATTGTGAGGCCTTCCCAGCCACGTGAAACTGTAAGTGCATTAAACCTCTTTCTTTTGTAAATTGCCCAGTCTTGGGTATGTGTTTATCAGCAGCATGAAAACGGACTAATACACTGAACACGCAAACAATATTTTTAAAGGAGAGAAAAAATTTCCGATCAACAGATATTTGCCACTGACCTGTAAGCTTAGATTTAATTTTGTTAGGAAACTAGTAATGATTTTATGACAGGGCTAATTTGGGAAAAATAATTATAAAAACCTTTTTACGTGTTCACAGGTTTTGCTTATTATTCTTCTTATGACATTCAATGACAGCACACTATTAATTGTCACACACAATTTGTGCCATTGCTAGCCCTCGCCAATGACTCACCTAGAAGTTGTAGCAATCTTGTTTTATAGCAACCTTGTCAAGTTGTGGTTGACAAATTGAAGTTTGCAGCAGTCTTGTCAAGTTGTAGTAGTTTTCTTTTTAGTGGTAGCAATCTTTCAAATATTGTTTTCTATAGGCTAGTATGGGTTTTTATTATTAGACGATCTTGAGAAAAATATAACCAAAATACCATGAATCATTGTATTAATTTTAATAAAAGTAGTGTTGTTATAGACAGAAAACAATGAGTCAGTTTATTTAATTCAGTAATTAATAAGTTAATATTTTAGTTTTTATTAAATTTTACCATGAGAAAATTTAATTTCCCAATACTTACATGCACAATTGTCTCCAGTCTCAAATCACATTTTCTCTTGGATCATATTTGACATTGTCTTTAAGAATTTCTTAAATTCAGGGGTCAAGACCTGAAATATTGATGAATGTAATAATTTAATATTATGCTAATGACCAAAATTATTTCCATGATAAATTAAAAACTTCAAAGAAAATACTGCTACTAAGATCATATTTTTATTGAACAATTCCAACTTTGAAAAGCCTCTTTTGCTTACAATATATTTGGGTTATTATATAGCATTATATTCACAGCATGGGATGTTTCAATATGAATTATAGATCTATATTATGAGAACACACTTGGTCTAGAAATGTACATATTTTCTATGAGTAAATAATTTTTAAAGAGTAATTATGTCATTTTCACTTGAAAAATTGTTGATTTTAGATATTTACATTTTTTTCATAGAATTACTAAAATGTTTTCCTTAGGCATTTATAAGTTAGATAAATATTTCTTTATTTATTGTATCTATAGTCATATAATTCCACAAATCATTCTAAATTATACTGCCTTTAAAAATAAATTTTGTGTTTTAATCTTCTCAGTGGAGCTTTAATTATTATCAAGTATTAATAGCAAGGTGAAAGAAAGAAGAGTTGTTTTGTTTTTGGTTTTTATTTTTTTGTACACATTTTTTGTGGAAGAGTTGAAAATAGTTAACAGATACAGTAACTCCTAAAACTCTCCTTATCATATTAATGATAATTTACTAGGATTTCTGTTAACAAAAAATTAAAGCAATTTACAGTTCATTATTAGACAATACTCTTACATGCACATTTCACCTGGAAATGTGATAGGGAATGATACTGGACACTACAGATTTGTTGTGACCATTAAATGATTTTGACTATATTGTGGAGCCCTGAAAGTTCCCAACTCATGGCATACTCTTGGCTAAGTTCTATTTCCCATGCAATTTAATCTAACCTAATGAAATGCCAACCTATTCAGCTTTATTTGTTAGATTAATATAAAAATTTACTTTATAGATTCTATATACAAAATCACTTCTATATTTATTAACAGATATATTTTATTTTAAATTGATTATTTTAAACAATATCACATTCTTTATAATTATGCATTTTGCAAAACTCTATCATTTAATCCATCCCTAAATATAAAAAAGTAATTGATTTTTGTATTCATGGTTTTATATAGGCAAAATTGCTTTTGCAAATCACTGTTTGGTGTTTAACATAGTACCTGACACAACCTGAGTGCTCAAGAAATTTTTGCTAAAGAAATAAGAGATTCAATACTAAATAAATGATTGATTAATAGAGATTTAAGGATTCTTTCTGATGGGCTAATTTCTTTCTCATTGTCTGCACTTTATAAATATATCATACTTTTCTCTATTACTTCTTCTTCTTTTTTTTTTTTTTTGAGAAAGAGTCATGCTCTCGCTCTGTACCCCAAGCTGGAGTGCAGTGGTACGATCTTGGCTCACTGCAATCTCCGTCTTGCAGGTTCAAGAGATTTGCCTGCCTCAGTCTCTCGAATAACTGGTGTTACAGGCGCCCACCACTGCGCCTGGCTAATTTTTGTATTTTTAGTAGAGACAGGGTTTCACCATGTTGGCCAGGCTGGTCGCAAACTCCTGAGCTCAGGTGATCCACCCGCCTCCGCCTCCCAAAGTGCTGGGATTACAAGTGTGAGCCACCGTGCCTTGCCTCTATTACTTCTTTAATAATCACTAGTATGTTTCTTAGTATGAATGAAGATAGATAGTAACAAGTTAATGTGGCAAACTCAACCATTTTATCCCTAAATATATAGAAACCAATGAAGCAGAGCTCACATTTCTGAAGTTATCACATTTTTCCATCTAGAACTTAAAGTATAATTTATATTAGAAAAGTTACAACAATATCCCAAACCAGCTAAGCATAGCAACTTTTTTTTCAGATATATTTTATTTTAATATTTGGTCATAATTTTTTTACAAATGTTTGTTGTTTTTTATTAGATGGAGAAACTTACATCAATTTTCATTTTTTCAGGATGGTGGGGACACTGGGTAATCTAACTGAATATTTTATTTAAGTAAATTTTAAAGAACTAAAGTATGGCAAAAAGCCTTTTGAATTAAACTATAGTTTGATCTTCCTTTGATTAACTTTATCTACGAATTTATTGGAATGTATGATTATTATTAGTAACGTATCTATTTCCCTTGCAGATATGGTTTCATATCTGATTTATCTTTGCATCCTTTGTGACTGACAGTTAACAAATGTTTACCATATACATGAATGAGTAAATGAATTAAAACATGAACCAGTAAAGTACTTTAGGATCCTAAAGTCACAATCAAGAACACTGATCATAACTACTAATTGTAATTTATTTTATTAGAAAGTTTTAGACAGTGTTTGAATATGTACTGACAATGAAAATTGTTGGGATGTTTCCTATATCTACAAGTCTACTTTCTTACAAAATAAAATCCTGAAAACTATTCAGTTTTGAATTTGTGATTACTTAGATGTTAAATAAACAGTAGTTTTCTGTACTGCATTTGGAAGACATAAAGGTTAAACCACATTTAGGGCACTGTAGTACATATTTAAGATATTAGTAGTTCATATTTTTCTGAATAAAAGTATATATATTTAAATATGCTAGTAACAATGTAAATAAATATTATTCTATGTAAAAATCACGTATGTTTTACAAAATAATTTTTTAATGATTTACGCATGAGTCAGGATTAAATTACCTTTAATATGCACATGAACTCCAAATATTGAGGGGCAAAGTGCTTCAAAAGTCATGTCTGAAGGTTTTCCAAACCCCACATATTTGAAACACATTTCATCCAACATTACCATTATTTTTGTTGCTTATCTAATAGGCTTCAAAATCAGAGTTCCAAAAAGTATCTTAGTGAAATATCTCTTAGTGGTAACTAAATCATCCTGACATCAATAATTAAAAAGTATTCAACTCACAAAATATTTATTAATGCAAATAATTCCACTTTTATAGCTTTCCTTCTTTACCCTATTCCCTAATGATCTGAAAATTGTGCTACTAGGAATAAGGTGGTATTTTTCACTGTGTAAACTTGTGTATTCCTAATCAAGGGGGCAGGTGTATGGCCCCTGGGTTTGTCAAAGATAGAGCAGCAAGTTTAGGTTAGCAGCCATTCAAACACATAATGGGCACCTGTACACTCCATGAGATCTAGCAATGACCAAATCATTTGGTAGTGCAATTCACTTGAGTCATCTACTTTGCAAAGGACCTATCAAAGTTTCCTTGCCAGCAGACACGTGGTGAGAGGTAGTTATGGAGGAATCATCCCTTTCACCAAGAGGTCTCAAATTCCATAATAGATGAATCATGGCAAGGCATGTGCATAATGCCATTGCAAATATAGCTGAAAGTCAACTTAGATAGACTCTCATACTGGGAGATGAAATGATGACATTGTTCTCAGGAGAAGTATGTTTAACTGTAATCCTTGGTTTCAGCTCACTGGTTCTCTGCATACTGCCTCTAATTGGCTGATTCAGCAAGTACTTCTCTCTATATATTTAGCTTTTTCTAAATATATCTTCACTAAAATACAATTGATGCTAGTTAACCAAAGCTGTTAAGCAAATCATTTTTAATCTCTTTCAGATCTTGTTAAATTATTTACTGATAATTGAACTGCATGTTACATCATGAAATATAATAGTTTCCTTTTAATTTTGAGGACAGACCAAGCAAATAATGAAAAGAGGTCAAGTTAAGTGATTAAGCCAGCCAGAGAATTTTTCCATATGTTCCAAGGTTTGTTTAGTAGGAAAAGAACTTCAGAGTTGTGAAAGCTCTAATTTATACTGTTAAGTAAATTTGTAATCATATTGGCACTGCTAGTTGTTACTGGCATTTTCTCTTCAAGAGCTGCTAGTCTCATAGTTTCTATAAGTACTATTTTATTTTCCTTTTTAAAAATTAAACTAAGTGGTTTATTACTGGAAATGAGATAATTTTCTTTACTATGCAAAAAGAATTTTAAAAGCCCTTTATTTCAAAATGTTTTCCATGCTTTGGCCCCCAATATCTTCAATATTAAAATAAAAATGATATATTTCATCACAAAAAGAACTGTGAAAAATAAAAATGTCTTAAAATCTGAAATACCTTTTGAAATATTACTGCCTAGTCACTCAAAAATTTATGTAACTTACAATTCTGGTTTAATTTCTTAATATATTATACATCTACCAAGACAATTTTCCCAAATACTTAAATTTTAAGAGGGCAATCTTCTTGACATGCAATAGTGTAAAAGCATGTTTTATTGTACATAAGCATTAGAAACCAATGTGACTTAATCAATATTTATAAGAACACAAAAAAACATAAATCCTGAACATGCACCAGTGCCTTGCAAGCCTATTTCTTATTTTCTAAAATGTGTATTATTCCTATACATACTTTCCATTAATTTATGTTTCTTTATAATAATTCTTATTTTTCATTGAGTCACCTAGCCCTAATATTGAAAGTGTATGTTCACTCCAACATTAAGAAAAATAATAACCTAATCTTTTGTTTCTGTACTTTTGAAATAACTTCGATTTTTACAGGCTCTAAACCATACTCTGTTTTTCATTTATGTATCCATTCACTAAAAGTTGGCTAACAGAAGTACTTTCTACACATACTTAATTTGCCATAAGGTTCACCCACCTGAACCTTTGTGTGAGCAAAGTTGAGCTATGTCCTATATATTATATTACATGCTTTCCCTTACTTATGGCATATTAAACAAGCTACATATCTCTTGAATCAAAACAAGGAATAAACACTCTACTCCAATCGCAGAGTTCCACACCTGCATGGCAAATGGAAACTTATTTCAATCATTCTACACAATCTAAAAAATGTCAAAGTTCAAGAGCCTGGTTAACTTATTTTTCTCACTGCTTATTTTTGGAAAACCTAAGTCTTTGTGCTAGAATTGTTGTTGCAAGTTAATATCTTTACTTCCAATAGAGTCTTTTTATTATTTATTATTATTTTTTTAGAGAC
This sequence comes from Homo sapiens, assembly GCF_000001405.40. NCBI lineage: Eukaryota > Metazoa > Chordata > Mammalia > Primates > Hominidae > Homo > Homo sapiens. Next base: position 187,392,730 of record NC_000002.12, read on the forward strand.
AGGATGTCACTCTGCCCCAGCTGAAGTGCAGTGGTACAATCATAGCTCACTGGTGCCTTGAACTCCTAGTCTCAAGTAATCCTCTCACTTTGGTTCCCCGAATTGTTGGGATTACAGGCTTGAGCTCCTGCACCTGGCCTCCAATAAAGTATGAAAAAGAAATTCCAGTGTAAGGTTTTAGTGCCCACTTCAACCTAGCTTGGAATGTCACTCACACTTTTAATATATAAAGCAGTTAGTGAAACAAAACATAAAGAAGCTTTACTTTCCTGAAGACATGTTACGGATATAAGATTATAACTCAAGCTGTATGTCCTCTTTAGGATGTCATTTGAGTCATGCATTATTTTTTAAGCTATTGAGTGAGCAGGTGCCAAATCACTGATGTAGTAAACACCATGTCCTCAAAGTGTGAGGTTGTGGGCCACCTGCATCAGAATCACCCCCAAAACTTGGTGAAAATGTTAAAATGGCCAGGCCCCACAAAGGACGCTCTGGAACAGAACCTTTTGGAGAAGAATTTAGGAACCTGCATGTTTAGTAAGCACCCAAGTAAATTCTTGGCCTGTTATACTTGGGGAAGCACAATATAAATACTTCATCCTCACTGGGACATGCCGAAACCTGAACACATTTGTATTTCACTGTTTCTAGTTACTAGCCAGACTATTTTAAAAGCAACTATAAAGTATAAATCAAGCAAAATATTCTGCAGTGTTCCCAGGCATTATTAATGTCACAGAACTCCCAAAGCAAGTTATTCAAATATCTATTTTAAAACATACCATGTAATCTTATAATTATTTCTTTATGTGTCTCTGCCATGAGATTGTGAGCACAGTAAGAATAGGGCAGGCAGCATATTCATCTCCGGGGCTACACACCCTAACAAAGTGATCACATAAAGAGGGTATACAGAAAGTGTTTTTAAAGTAGATTGCTTATGAAATAAATTTAATCAAGTTGAAGAAACCTGATGTTTTTAGTTATTCCTAACCCTTTCAAGCCTATTATAATTTTCTGAGTCATAAAAAAAGATCATTGCCTCGATTCTACTCCAAAAATTTCTGATTCAGGTCATCTTGCTTGGGGACCAGGAACAAGCATTTTTTCAAGTTTCCCAGGTGATTTTAATATATAGCTAGGGTTGAGGATACCTGGAATAGATAGAAGATTCATGTGGTAGGCAGAATGATAGGCATACAAAACTTTCCATGCCCTATTCACCAGAATCTTTGATTACAGCTATGATTTAGGTTATGGATCTTAAAATAGAATGATTGACCTAGGTTATCTTGAGTTATCCAGGTTAGTTGCAAATAATAAATTGAGCTCTTAAAAGAAGAAAAGAAAGGGTGAAGGGTCAAAGAGATGCAGCACAAGGGGAAGCAGAAAAGATGAAAGCCTGAGAAAGAGTTGATTCCTTGTTGCTGACTCTGCTGTGGAGCCCACATGCAAGGACTAGAAAGTGGCCTCAAGCCAGCAAGGAAATGGGGACTTCAGTCCTACAACCACAAGGAATTGAATTCTGCCAACAACCTGAATGAGTATGGAGGCAGGTTCTCCCCCAGAGTCTACAAAAGGGAATGCAGCCCTGCCATTACTTTTATTTTGACCATGTAACACTTGAAACAAAGAAACAAGCCAAGGCAACAGAACTGACCAATAGAACTGTGAGATAGATAGTAAATAAATGTTGTTTTAAGTTACTAAATTTATGGTCATTTGGTACAGCTAGGATAGAAAACTAATAAAAATCCTTACCTGACAAAAATTACATTTTTTTCCATCAAACCAAAGTAGTAACTCTGCTTCCCAACTAGCCAGTCATTCCTCTTAACCTTAACAATACATTCATCCTCCTGCAAGACAATCCCATTAGCTAGAAGTGTTTCTTCTAAGCTGCTTCTAAATTGCTGTGTAATTTTAAGAAAATCAACTCAACTATTTTCTGCTTGGTTTACTCAACTAGATAATGAGTATAAAACTTGATCGTTAATTGAGCTTCCTGTTTTCTGTTGCATACTTATTAGAAGACACACACTAAAGTCAAAGAAACATATCTTTAATGCCAGTTCTTATACACTTAAACTCTCTCAACCGATTTTCTAACCTGAAAATTTGCATAAAAGTAGTGGCTGTTTTTAGAAGGTTAATGTGACCAGTAAATGAGATAATGCTAATCAATGCCTGGCTAAATCAATGTTGCCTATAACTTTTATCATAGCTCACCTTGTCGGATTATTTTAAGTGTTAAATTACATGCTAGATATAAAAAACTTGCTTAATAATAAATACACAATAAGCATTAGCTATTGCTATTTTCTGTATCCCTCTATAATTCTGTTAGTCATGGCAGTAATCATGTTGACTGAACAAACCAGGCAAATCCAGCATGCAAATTGTGACTTGGCCAAAGTCACAAAGATGCTTAGGTCTGACTCCAAGCTCAGAACTCAGGTTTTCTGACCTTAAATTTCTACCCTTTGCCCTGTATCATACTGACTCGGACAATGGAGTTGTTTATTTGCATAAAGTGAAGGACACATTTCTATTTTGCTTATTCAGTTATTTTGCTTAACCACCAGTTTTCTCATTACATGTCACTTGTACTCATCAAACACATTTATACTTTTTCCCAACAATTTCTTCTTTTCATTCCTCTTCTTAGCAATGTCATATTCGATTCTTTTACAAAGCTTACATTAATAAATGGCTTGACAACTCATACTTGCCATTCTGGCAAGGTCCCAAAATAAAAACACATGTACTGTCTCGTTTTCTAGCACTTTAAAAAATGCGTTTTAAATGAAGAAAACTTCTTCTAGAAATTAAATTTGTTACCTTACCCTATTTATTGAGCATCTACTTTTACCTAGTTTGGTAGGGTGAAGGTGGTGAGATATGTTAAGATTTCTGCCCTCAATAAAAGTATTTATCAAGTTGAAGAACAGTATTCTACTGCTTTTGAGGCTTACTTCATTGATTTCAAACACTCTCCATGGAACTCATTCATGAGGTTCTAGCGAGGGATGATTTTATCAACATTTAAAACAGGAAGTTAGTGTCTTCCTCAGTCCCATCTCTGTCATTCATTGAACCTGGGCAAATTCCATGCCTTCCCAGGTGTTTCCTACTCATCAAACAAAGCATTAGGGTAAAAGGATTAAGCCTTGGGTAAGAGTTCAAAATTTATATGAAAAGAAAAAAATGATTGTTATACAGAAACAGTTTTTACTCCTAGTAACCTAAAGCCAAAATAGCCTTAAAACCAAATCTCTCCTGACACTGTTTGTTGTTGTTGTTGTTGTTGTTGTTGTTGTTTTTCCTGTGGCTCAGGAAGACTTTGTGTATGTCTCCTACTACCTAATAGCTCACGGGAAAAAGTGGACCATTTGGCTAATTTTTCTCTCATTACATGAGAATTCAGGGAAAACATATCTAGGCCAAAAAAAATAAATAAATAAAGAAAAAAATCACTTATCTTGCTCTCACCTCTTCATATACTGCCTCTTTTGAGCTATTCTTACTTTTGAAAGGCCATTCAAGAAACGTCTAGTTCTCTCTTCTCCACTGCAGAAAGTCCAAATTAGAAAAGCAAGCACACTTCTTCATTAGCCCCCTTTCCAGATGTCTCAGAATGGAATCTGGTAAGTTCATGTACCCTAAGCTAAACTTATTACCATCATCATTGGAACAGGCTTAATGCTTATAGGACTAGAAATTAACATTTTCTGAATTTTGGCTACATTGAGTTTTTATCTTCTTTGCATTTAAGAGAAAATCACTAAGCCAAGACTTTTAAATATGCAGAGTAACAGAAATTATAAGACACATTAAAAAATGATTCAACAATGTCTAAACTCAACAAAGTAATTTAAAAAAAGAAAATTATTACATTTAAGCCATTAAATTCCTATGGATGACCTGGTATAGAAATTGCCAATTTTTAAAAGTCATCAAAAACTCTCATGAAAACTTCTAGAAAGTATTTTATTTTTGAAGAGATGCCTAAATTTAATTGTAACTATTAAAATCCACATTAAAATTCATATATAAGGAAGTATATATTGTTAATATCGTCTCACTGGTTAATGATACAGTTTTTCTTTTTCCAAAGAGATACTGAAATTTTTAAAGTAGTATCCAACTGATATTTAATAATTCACATAATGAAGGGATGATGTCTAATACCAGTTACAAGTAGAAACAGTAGTTGTACTGGTTATAAATATGAGTTAGACTTCTTGTTTTTAAAATCCAACTCAGTCACACACTAGCAAATTAAACAACTTCTTTAAGAATAGTTTTCTTTTCTGCAAAACAACTCCTACACCAGAAAGCTATTGTAAAATAAAATTAGATAATACAAACTTCTTAGAATGCACTAAATATGACTTATTATACCACATTAAAATTTTTGTAAATATAAGTAAGCTTATTATACATATTTTCATTTATTTGCCGTAATTTCAATAACACTGTATGTGGAAAACTGACTGTATTTCAAGGCGGTGGTCACATGCATCTTGAGTTTTTTTTTATCTTCTGCAGAAATAATGTGGTTGTTTTTTATTCTGTCATTTAAGTAGTTATGAAAATATCAAATAAAGTGAATTGTAAGTATATTCCCAGATAGGATATCAATCTAGTTAATATGACTGCACAATTACTAATACTGAGCCTATATATAACCCAAAGCTCTAGCAAATTTTTTATAACATTGTAATCAAATATGGACTTCTTAAAGAATATAATGCTAAGCCAATTAAAAATAAGACATAAAACCTCCCAAATTTTACTTTATTTTTTTGTTTTTTATTTGTATAAATTTAAGGGTTATAAGTGCACTTGTATTGCATGAATATAGTGCATAGTTGTGAAGTCTGGGCTTTTAGTGTAACCATCACCTGAATAGTATACATTGTACCCATTAAATAATTTCTTATCCCTCACCCCAGCTACAACCCTCCCACCCTTCTAAACCACCAAAGTTTATTATTCCACACTCTATGTCTTTGTGTGTACATTGTTTAGCTCCCGCTTATAAGTCAGAACATACAGTATTTGACTTTTTTAGTTGTTTCACTTATTTTAAATTGGTTATAATAGCCTTTCCTAACACTGTACTGGAACAACAAAAGAAAACATTGACCCTATGCTTACTTGCTTATTTAATGAACATTCCAGATTGAACAGTTGAATAACTATTAAAGAGAGATAATTTTGTGATTAAGTTTGGGACTTCACTTTACACTGTAATGTACTTACTCACGGGACTGATTTTCCCATTGTGGGCATAATTAGCCATTTTCCGGTGATTTTAGTCACCCTCTTTTTATTTGAAAGAGGCAAGCGGCCAAATCTCAGCCCAATTAGTAAAAGGTGGAAGGGAGCCTGAAAAAAATGCTTTGTACTTGATGGAACACTCTCCCTCCAGGAGATCTAATATGGAAAGAATTAATTGCTCAAAGAGCACTGAAACAAAACACATCTTTCCAGCTCTTTGGAATGAGAGCCTTATACTTATTTTCCTTCCACAAAGTCAGGAGTCAAATGCTATGTGAAAACATGTCTTGTTTTGTTTTTCCCACCAACAATAAAATCAGAAAATATATAATTCTGATATAATTTTAAGTTGCATACCAGTCCATAAGCAAAATTATGATATTCTTGTTACATTGAGCTTTCCAATCATTCTCAAAATAAAATTTATATGGCACCTACTAGCACATTCCAACTTTTAGGAGGTAGAGGAACTCTGTTGATACTGTCTGATTAGCACATCTTCTTTATTGCCCTTAATAAAATGAACCTTTTTCCCTATAGAGAATCCATTCTCTCTGGTTCAAGTAAGACCTCCCTCTTGATCACTGAAGTAGGAACTGATTGAAATCTGGTCAGACTAGCACAATCCTCTGATTAAATTTAGCTTGGTCATGGACATGTGTGGTCCAACCAACACCACTGGAATTCTCCCTGGGACATTTGTATTGTTGTTATTAGGGAAGCTTTTTCTTTCTGCTGGGGTTGCAAAGCAAGTAGGGCATGAATATCAGACGATTCTCATGCATCCTTCCTATCATACAGAGAAAATGTTAAAAAATGTGGTCAAGTGAAGGCAATTAGCTGAGATTGAGGATTGGTGGAGAATCCAATAACATTAGAGCCCTTTAATTTGGCCGTATTTGAAGGCAGATACAATTCTAGAAATCCTCACAAATTAGCCATTAAATTACGTTTTATGCCTAACTGATTTATTTGGAGCAGTGTAGTGGAATAATCACTATGTGTGGAATAAGAAGGCTCCATTTTGCATTCTGATTGTGATTGAATGCCCTGAATATTCTTAGGTTAGTCACTTTGCTGGGTCTTCGTTTCCTGACCTGTAAAATGAGATGGCTTCAAGCACCTTTTCATCTTGTAATGTAGATATTTACAGATTGTTTTCTTTTTCACAAAAGAAGAACATCATCTTTTACACCCAAAGCACATTCCATGCCCAGCAAATAGGAGTTCAAAACTGACTTTTTTATCCAAATACATCTACGGAGTAATTTTTTTCTAAAGATGAAATAGTCTTAGCAGTATATGCTCTTGGATAATCCACAACTAATATGTACCTATGGCGAGATATTCATACCCAGCTCAAAAAGTAAATGCAACTCTTAGATGAAAACATAAGGGTAAAATGTTTGTCACCTCGGGTTAGGCAATGGCTTTATAGATAGGACATTGAAAGCAAAAGTGACAAAAAACAAGTAAATTAGATGACATATAAATTATAAACTTTGTGTTCAAAGTATACTATCAAGAAAATGAAGAGACAGCACACAGAATGGGAGAAAAAAATTGCAAATCACATATTTGAAAGCGACTTATAGCTAGAATATACAAATAAAGCTTACTGCTCAATAATAAAAAGAAAAACAACCCAATTAAAAAATGGGCAGAGAAGATATGGAGTCAATCTGAGTGTCCATCAGCAGATGAATGGATAAAGAAAATATGGTATAGACACAAAACAGAATACTATTCAGCCATAAAAAAGAATGAAATCTTGTGGCATCATGGATGAGCTGGAAGGACATTATGTCATGTGAAATAAGCCCAGAAAAGAAAGATGAATACTGTATGTTCTCACTCATATGAAGAAGATAAAAAGTTGATCTCATAGAAGTAGGGTAGAATGGTAACTACTGGAGTCTGGGGTGGGTAGCAGGGAGAGAGTGATATGGAGAGAATGGTAAAAGAATACAAAATTACAGCTAGATAGGAGGAGTAAGTTCTGGTGTTGTATAGACTATGGAGTAAATACAGTTAAAAATAATTTATATTTTCAAATAGCTAGAAGAGAAGATTTTGAATGCTTTGAACACAAAGAAACAATATAAGTTCGAGGTGATTGATATGCTAGTTACTCTAACTTGATCACTACACATTGTATGTATTGAAATATCACCCCATAAATAGGTAAAATTATTATGTGTCATTTTTTTAAAAAAATTGATGGGCAAAGGATCTAACAAATACTCAATAAGCTCATGAAAAGATGTTCAATATTCTTAGTCATTAGGAAAATGCAATTCCAAACCATAATAAAATACCACTTCATACCCACTAGGATAGATATAATAAAAAAGAGAGACAATAACAAGTGTAAGAAAGAATACGGGAAATTATAACCACCATATATTGCTTATAGGAATGTAAAATAGTGTAATCATTGATAAACACCTTAGTAGTTTTTCTAAATGTTAAACATAGAGTTACTATATGACCCAGCAATTCCACTTTTAGTTATAAACTCGAGAAATAAAGACAGATATCCAAACAAACGCTTGCACACGAATATTCTTAGCATCATTTATAATAATTAAAAAATGGAAACAGCTCAAATATTCATCAATTTGTGAATGGATAAACAAAATATGATATATTCCCTATAATGAAATATTATTTGGCAATAAAGAGGAAGGAGTACTTAATGCATGCTACCTACAGCATGAATAAACCTTGTAAACATTATGCAAAGTGAAAAAAGACAGTAAAAAAAAAGAAACATATTATATGATTCCCATTTATACGAAATATCCAAAATAGGCAAATCTATAAAGGTGAAGGAGCTATTGGGGGTTACCTAGGACTCAAGGAGTGTGGCAATAGAGAGTGATTGCTAATGGGTACAGGGATTTTATTCAGAGTAATGAATGTGTTCGAAAATGATAGTTGTACTACCTTGAGAATATATACAAACCATTGAATTGTATTCTTTTTTCCTTTATATTTTAGGCTCAGAGGGTATATGTGCAGGCTTGTTACATGGGTGTATTGTGCAATGCTGAAGATTGGGCTTTTAATGATTCTATTGCCCAAGTAGGGAACATATTGAATTGTACACTTTAAGTGAGTGTTCTCATGAAGTGTACGGGTATAGCTTAGTAAAGCTGTTTTTAAAAAAGTAAATGCCAAAAGGCCATGTGTATCTAAGGAAAGACTTAATGCTGATCATTTAGTCTTCTCTCTCACCTCTCCTGCCTTCTTTAGTTAAGAGACAGATGATATTCACATTGTAAAACAAAACACATCGACCAAAGAACCTGCCTAGCTAACACAGCATATCATGCATGTAAACTCTGAATTACTCCTTCAGTTGGATACATTATTTCATATTCAACAACAAATTAATTCTATTTTATATATATAGAACTGCTTTGATTTGAAAAACATACATTTTTCTTGAAATTTATTTTCAACAACTAATTTTTAATTCATGCACAAAATATTGTCTTTCCTTTGATAAATAAATTTAAGTTTATAAAAATAACCATTGTACATAGTTGAGGGAAAAGATCTATATACATACTTAGAAAATTTCCCTTAATTTTAGATAGGATCTATAATTGTTTATCTTTTTCTCCTGTCAGTGATTTCACTTTACAGATTTTAATTTCTTATAGGAGTGGAGCACTGACAATTTACAAACAAAAATGTAGATATTTTATTATATTTGTGATTTCTGATATTTTAATTGTGTTATTACAAATAGAAACATCAAAAATACAAGAGAAATATTAGCAAGAAAAAATGTTGAACTTTGGTTTATTCTTGGAACTTGACCTAGGTTAGAAATTTTACATCCTAACTATACTCCTTCTATGGAGCTATTACATGGTGAAAGAAAACTAAAGATGGAAAAAAGAAATCAAGGAAAGAAGGAAGGAAGAAAGGAAGAAGGGAAGGAAGGAAGAAAGGAAGAAGGGAAAGAAGGAAGGAAGGCAGGAAGGAAGGAGAGAAATCAATATGTGTATCTCAGGTAAATGCACACTTTAAAAATTGTTATTTTTATTAAAAGTAAATAAAATGTTGATATACTAAAATTTGTTTCTCTGGTGTGTCTCAATTTCTTACAAATACTAGATATAACTCCATCTTAGTACCTTTTACTATATTAATACATTCATTCATTCAAACATTTATTTAAAACCTCATATGTTCCAAAAGTTATATTAAGTTCTAGGGATCCAGAAATGCTAAAAATTTCTGTTTTCAGAGATACTTAAAACTTTGTAGGAGTAGAATGATATGTACAAATATGAGTAATAAAGTATTATAGGTACTCAATTAAATTTTATGTGTCTAATTGATCAGCTGGAATGATGCATTTTACATGGAGGAAGTATGTTTGTGAGTGTGTGTGTGTGTGTATGTGAGAGAGAGAGAGAGAGACATCTACGTAGAGAATATGATACTTTTCTGGAGTGTGGACATACCAGGTGCTTGAGAGATGCAGGATACATGAGATGAGAGATGAGGCTTTCCAGTAAGACAGAAAAGCAGATTAATGGTACTTTCTGTTGTACTGAGGAGTTTTGATTTAATGCTCTAGGATAGATATTTTCATTTTGAATATCTACTCTGATTTGCTGGTAGTGGCAGCCAGAACTGCTACACTGAGCAATGTTAAAGTTAATCTAGTCCAGTGAATCAGAAAGAGTCTCCTGAGTCATTAACGATGTCTGCCATGGCAGCATCCTGAGAAGGAATGGCATGTATTCCATATATTTGCTAATGCTGTTGCATAAAATGAATAATAATTGTAGGAAAATTATGCAGTAGAGCCATATGACAAAATTTTCATTTTAGAAACATGAAATATGATGGTATTTGGAGGTGGGGCTTTTGGGAGATAATTGGGTTTAGACGAAGTGATGGGATTAACATCCTTATGAAAAGAGAAAGAAAGAGATAGGCAATCTCTCTCTGCATGCACCAAGGAGAGACCATGTGAAGATACAACCCGGAAGAGGGCCCTCACCAAGAATCCAACCATGCTGGCACCCTAATTTCAGACTTCCATGCTCCAGAAATGTAAAAAATAAATGTTTGTTGTTTTACCCACCAAGTCTATGGCAATTTGTTACAGAAGCCTTAAACTGGTATGATGCAGAAAAATATTTAAAAGAGTTATTTTAAAAGGTTTCGTGTATAAGGATGTGAGAGCTTGGCAAGTGCAAGTAAAGTAAATGGATTCCTGAAATTCAATCATGGGTATCTGAGTGGGTTCCAATCACTACTATAGAGAATACCATAGAATAAAATGGGTGGTGGGGAAATACCTGAGTGCAGTTCTCACATCTTGAAGAAAAAATTGTCCAGGAGGGTTTTTCTGCACAGTTCTGTAGATCAGCAAAGGAGGGCCTTGAAATAGAAGTTTCACGCCCATCGTCATAGGACACATTTGCAGTTAAAGAAAGGTGACATTTTGTTTGGAAAGGCAGTATGTGCTAAAACATGTATTGGAATTGAATTATAACATATTTCAAAACATTCGTGTTTAAGGAATTCAAAGTTAGTAACAAGGTGAACTGGATAAAGGGCAGAGTTTGCTAGGTACAAGGAACTAAAAGTACAAAGGCATGGGTACAGAAGTGAGTGCAGCTGTGTAACTAGAGGTAAAAGGACAGGCCTGTGAGAAGCTTGAGGTCTCTGGGGAAATTAATAAGTGGAAACCTGGAAATGTGACTTCAGTCATTTACTAGACAAAGTACCATGAACTGCTGTAATTTTACACATACCAAACGCAGCTTATTTTTAATCATTTACTCCTCTGACTAAGTCTGGGTTATAATTTAAAAATAGATCTTCCAGTGTAAAAGAAGTTGCACAGGAAGGAGATCCTTGCTGAATTAAGCTGTGCTTAAGTGAGAACTGCCGCTTAAGAACAACACGTTCCCTGTGAAAAAAGATGGCAAATCCATTTCAGTGAGCCTAACCTTTACCAAGTGCTATTATCAACTCAATTGTATGTTTTTTCCTGTTTCACAAACATGTTCCCAAAAGACTTTTAAAATAGCTTTCTTTCCTGCTAAATTGTTGTGCCAAGCACTTTTTCTGATTTGCACCCTTAACTGGACCAGGATGTGTTAAAAAAAAATGCCCCGTCATGCTTGACAGAGTTTAATAGACCTTAACAACAACAGCGAAACATTTTCCTAATGTGACTGTCCCTCCCTCACCGAATCTTAAGATGGTGCATTTTTATCAAAATATAAAATACCCTGAAGAAACTAAAGAAGCAATAGTGTCTTAAAAAGTTACTCTATTAAATAAAAACATCTAGTGAAAAATCTGTCCACCAAAGTAAGATTTTGTTTTCCTAACAAAGAGAAAAATGTCACTACAGAAAATAAAGTTTTTTATAAAAGTTCAAATCATCTAAAAAATTAATGATATGAAATGGTTCCCTAGGTATCTTATAAACACTTTTATTTATTTTTTTTTTTTGTAGAAAACACAACCATAACATCCTGGGGTCTATCTTGGTCATTTCAAAATGAATCCCATGCACTGCTGGAGTATTTTTCTCAAACTGCAGCTTGGCTCGTAGTTTACCGTGTGTGTCTGTCTTTCCAGTGAGGAGTTTCCTTACTAAATTCTTTCTGAGCTGCAATAACAATGGCAATCTCAAAAGAAAAAAAAAAGACGACGAAAGTAAGTAAAAAAGAAACAGCATCTGATGGACACTGGTGGAGGCTATGGCTAGAAAACTCACATGAATGAGGCTTTCTGGAGCAGGAGTCAGTATGGGTATCTGAATAGTATGCTGCTTTAGACAGCAGATAACAACAATGAAAAATAATAGCAGTAGGGACTTGTACCAGAGGAAAAAAAAGATAGAGCAGTAGGAAGCGAGACACAGGGCAGAGAGCACAGGTTTCACACGGAGCGACTCTGAGTTTGGATACTAGGGTTTGGATACCAGCTGTGGAACTGCAGTATTTCCTAACTGGAATGCAGGCAGAAACCTAACCTGTAAGCTTTACCTTCTGTAGCTCTAAGATGGGGAAATACATGTCTCATAAGTATATTGTGGGGGTTAAATGTAATAACCCACACAATTCCATATCACAAGGACTAGGAAGTGATAACTGCTAAGTAAGTGGTGGTCTCTCCCCTGCAGCAGAAATGGAATGTCTTGGTTTGGTTTAATTGGCCTCAGTTAGAAGACTTATAATTTTGAGTAAAATTATATGTGAACATTTAACAATGCCAACTTTCCCAGCTTTCTGTAAAGGAGGCTTTGTGAGCTCATGAACACATGGTAGGATTTTAACATATTTTAGCGTGAATAAGGATGGGCACTGTCTCCAAAATCACTTGTTTTCTCACCAATACTAATTGTCTCTGTATGCATAACACTCTGCTTTGTTACGGAGTACCTTTTAAATATATATTAACCTTCCCTTCTAAGAGTGGTAATAAACACCAGTGTTAAAGTCTCATCTTTTCTCATCATCCCGAGGACAGTATTGTTAAGGAGGTGAAGACATTTATGTCTTGTCACAAACACAGACTCTAAAATGACTTGTGTATTTGCATTATTACTCTTGATTTGTATTTGTTTCATCAATTCCTAGAGGAAGAGCAAAACCAGTGAAACTGAAGGTGTGGGATTCATTACCTGGAATTAGCACTCGGTTATTAGTTGGAGATAAATTTGTGCAAGGAGATAAAATGCAGACGGCTGAAACAGTAAGAAAGAAAAGCTTGCAGCCAGCAATTAAGCTTAGCAGAAAGTTTGTTAGTTTGGAGGAATGGCTGCTGTGTTCCTGAGATACTTAGTATGCAATAACTAGGGAAATCACTTAAGAAGTTTTGTCCTTATGAAGTACTTCCATTGGACTATTTAAGTCCTGTGTGTGTATACCTGTGTTGTCTGTATGTAGGGGTGTGTGTGTGTGTGTGTGTGTGTGTGTGTGTGCATTCACATGTGCATATGTTTTAACCATTTGGGACAAACCAATGTTGTGTCTGTTAATATAAAATAGTACCAGTGTGGGGCTCTGAAGCAGTTGGGCTTTATCACCTCACTCAGAATGACTTGTCAAAACTTGACACCAGACCACCAAACCACCATTCCCAACCAACACAAAACAAACCAAACCAAACACAACCAAAAAAAAAAACACAAATCTGATATGTTGTATGTGAAAAACATCAGTTCATCATCTAAAATTATTGTTTAAGCTCAAGAGCAACTCAAATAATTTCTTGGCTGTAATATTGCATATATTTTGTTTTAACTCTATTTTATAAAAATTATTTGTAAGCAAACGTGTTCCTTGAAAAAATGGAAGTAAATGTACTAGTGTAAATGTACAGAATATTCAATACACATGTCAAATTTAAATTTCTACTAAAATCGTCATCATAAAACATATCTTAGGTGAATTCTGTCTCTGCAAATGTAGAACACCAGTTGCTAAGAAAAAGGGAAAGGCAAATAAATAAAGAAAATAAAAGAAAAGGAAGCATTGAGAAGTCTAACTGTATATTTTTATTTTTATCTATTTTTATCTATGTATATGTTATTTTTATCTATGGTCTTTGTAACTAACCATTCCTGGTAATGCTGTGGTTGGTACTCAAAATAAAGATCCAATAATTGTTAGAAAAAAGATGTGGTTTGGTCACTTTTTGCTGTGTACATATGAGAAAGAGACAGAGACAGAGAAAGAAAAAGAAGACAGAAGGACAGTCTTACTTGGTTTATTTCCTACTAGAATAGGAGTGATGGAATCAACATTATTAAGTACACACAAATTAAAAACTGAAAAATCTTTTAGATGTATGCAGAACAGAATTTTGGAAAAAATGGAGCTATTTTGTACAATAACGCTAGTAGTGTTTGTGAAGTCTACCATCTATCTTTTTAGGACTTAACTATCATTCCCAAAAAACCTTATTTGAACTCATAACTTCTTTAGTTTCGCTCCACCTTATGCCTACAGCACAAATAGGCTGAATGTGCCTTTTGTATGTGCCTTCTAACAGCACACTATCACACTAGATAAAGTTACGTCTGTTTTTGTTTTGTTTTCTTTTTTATCTTCCCCACTAAAGGTAAAAGCTATTTGAGGGCATTGCCTTTTTAATCATTGGGATTCCCCAAGGTATTGTCTGGTATTCATTAATCTTCATAAAGTTTTTTAATGAATAAATACATGAAATAATTATCCATTACAAATATGCATCCATAGTGATGATAATTAACATTGTTTTATACTTTACGAAGTCTGATCACAGTAAAACCCACATATATTTAGGGAGAATAAAGACTGGTTAAGATAATTTGTTTTGTCTGTTTGTAAAGTAAATAAGGAAAAGCACTTGAACTACTCAAAGGAAGTGTTTTCTCACATTTTTGAAGAAAACAAGCAAAAAAATAGTAGGCAATAATAATATTGTGGCAGTTAAAATGGGAACATTGTAAACAATTTCAAATGAATTATTTCTTTTAATTCAGAAATAATGCATATTCAAAATTTTAGTAGTGCATTTTCGCCTATTAATCTTAGAAATTTGTGCTGACATTGACTTTTATATTACGAGAGAAAAACTTCAATTTTAATAATACAAGAATGAAAAGTCTTTGGGCATAAGGTAAGGACTGCTGTGCAGTGAAAGATAAATATACAAAGCATTGACACTAAATCTTTCCTTAGCAACAAGTACATATTTAGGTAACATATTGCATTTAAAAAATTCAAATAGCACTACATTGAATATGAATAAATCCAGGTTCTAATTTTAACTAAACCTGGGGATTACAGAGGAGACTGAAGTGAGGCTGGTTCCAGCAGCAACAGGTGTGATTCTAAGACTTGTTTTGCATGGTGCATTAAGCTTTGCTAATGTTCCCACCTCTATATGTTAACTTTGTTTCTGACACTAAGCAAACTCTACATAGTTTGAGCAAAATCACACCATTTATCTTTTGGTGGCCTCAGATTATTTTTATTTAATTTGTAAAATAAGATACTAGACTAGATTCTCAAGGTCCTTTTTGTTCTTTAATTCTATCATTCTGAGGGAAAAAATGTCATTACTATTACATCCAAGACATATATATTAATATAAATACATTAAGTATTGAAAGCCAAAGTTAAAAAAATAGAAAACCTTTTCTGGTTAATTTACTTCAGATATACGTGAAACAAAATATTACAGTTTGCAACACAGTGCTATTTTCATGTTTATTTATATATTTATGAAACATTTTTGGATTTTGTTTTCAGCTAGGGTGAGGTTTTTCTTTCTCCTTCCAATCCCTTATTAATAAATGAATAGGGCAACATTCTCAGAAGCATGACAGTATATATTAAAGTTTATTTAAAACATTATTGAGAAATAGAGAATCTAGAAATAAAACCCAATGATGTTTAATATGATGTTCATAAAATTATATTATGTACTACATATCTTTCCTTTAAAACATTACGATGATACAGAAGCCTAAATGCCTATTGCAGAAATAAATAAATGTATTTACTCTAACCTTGTGCTAGAGTCCTCTGTTCTGTACAGAAATTAATAGTAAATAATAAAACCCCCTTCTATGGCTGGTTTTGTTTTTGCTCTTGGGATAACTAAGGATTTTAATTTTATTGTAATTTATGTACAAATTCTCACATCTCAGAAAACCTACCAGGAAAATTTTAATGAAATAAATTAAGTAATTTAATAACTGTACAGTGGAGATAATTATATTCCAGCCAGAGTTAAAAAATAGCTACACCAAGAAAAATAATATTTATAAATGCAGTTTTTTAATCATTTTTATTCCATTCTCCTTTTCTCTGTGCTTTCTATAGTCACATTGTGCTGTATAATATTTTATAGAAATATAGAACTTGCTTTTTCCTAAAAATAAGTAGCAATTACATTTTAAAGGGAGCATGAATAAATTAATTCAGAGCACATAAAATGTTCACAACTACTCTTGGTTAGAAGTCTGAAGTCTTTCCTTCTTCTTCCCTTTCTTTCTTCCAACACTGTAACAGTCCTTGTGAGCTTTTTGTAAAGAAATCTTTTACATGTGAATGCAGTTAATTGACTCCCTTTACCAAATAATGATGGATAATAGCCTTGGTCTCCCTGGGAAAGTGTTTACAACATCAAGTCATTTTTTTTCTCCTTCCACTGGGTCAGCCTTTCAAATATATTTGCTTTGATTCGGGGAATAACCTTAGTAGGGTGTCAGGATTTCTCTCTGGATCAATAAAGGAAACGTTATTAAGATCTAAACATCTGTCAGAAGATATTTATGAAATACTTATTTTCTGATATTTTCTTTCTAAAATACTAGGCTCAAATAACTGTAGGCAAAAGAAATTTGGTACAAAATATTTGAGTTTATAGAAATGTAAGTTTAGTGCCATGACTGCATACACCATTGAAGACAGCAACTGTCCAAAGCATAACCTGCAGTGAAATTATTAAATGTCATGCTGTACCTTGGAAAAGTTTAACTTTATTCACACATTCAACAAATGCTTATTGAGCCACTGGTATGTGCCTAACACTTGGCTGGGTGTTGGGAAAATAATGGTGAATAAAAGATTAGATGCAGGCCCTTGTGAAACTATAATAGGGGAGACAGGTATTAATCAAATATTCATACAAATTCAAAATGACAAGATAGTCCTATGAAGGAAGAAGATGACCTAATCTGGAGCATTAAGGATGGTTCCCCAGAGGAAATGGTATTTTACTCACTTGATATCTGAAATTTGAGTCCTCATCGACTAGGGAAAGACTGGAGGTGGGACAAGGAGAGTGATTTGGAGGGATGAGAAAAACATAAGCAAATGCCTTCTATGGAAAGGAATGGAGGGCAGAAGGCAAGGGAGAGAGCTGTGTCAGGTGAGGCTGTGGAAGATGCAGGGACCACACTAAGCAGGGAGTTTGATGACTTGTTAAAGACTCTGGCCTTTGTCTTATTACACTGGCAAACCTGTGTTTTCAGTAGCTGACCAGAAAATAGGTGGTTTAGCACTGAGCAACAAAAATCAGAGAGAAATGGGTTAAGAAGTGAGGGTGAAAACAAGAATAAGGAGTTCCTTTGAGATTTTGGTTTTGTAAAGTCAGAAAATGGGGTATAGTGGTGGATGTGGGAGAATCTGTAGGGTAGAAAGAAGAGTTTTGTTTTTGAATGAGAGTGACATGAACATTTTAAAATATTAATGGGGGATCCATTTGAGTGGAAGAGTTTCAATGTATTAAAAGACATCACAGATATTCAATTTTTTACCAAATTGGAGGAAATGAGGTACAAGGCAGCAATGGCAATCTGTTTTACAGAAGAGAAGAGATATCTGCCCTACTTCACAAGTTGAGAAAGAAAGAAAAAAAAAAGGACACTGATTCTGATAGGCTTATAGGTGTGGAAATATGCAGGTGAGGGAGCTGTATTCTGTAAACCTCTTGTTTTGAAGCACTGGCTGTTGAGAGAGAAGGGAAATATGAAGTGGGTGTTAGGGTTTTGTAGAAAGAACAGAAGGTTTGAAAGCCTGTTTTAGACAGTGGAGGAAAGTATTGACTAAACCAAGTAGGATTTCTTTGCAGGGAATAAACTGGTTTGAGCTAAGTTTAAAGTTTGCTGGTGGGTGGGTGTAACATCAGTTCCACAGCCCACAGGGGAAGAATGTTAAGGATGAAGAAGAGCTGAAGGTGGGATCAGGGGATCATGAGGTACTATGGCTCAAGACAGAGGTGCATGTGGGCCTTGATAATCTGTGCCTTTGTACTTTGGGATGAGAGCATGGTTGAGGTAGTCTCAAGAGGCTCAAAGTGTGTGTGTGTGTTGGTGTCGGGGCAGGGGGCGGGGAGAGGTAGGTGGGGCCACAGGATTTAATGGGATTTAAATATTTTATCTAGTGCATTATCCTTCCGACTTTTATATAAAAGAATAAATAAAAGACTCATTATTTTGTCTGGTGGGTGACAGAAGAAGGAATTGCATGAAATAAAAATCAACTTCAATTACTCATGAAAGCTTTAATAGTTGGAAACCTTGCTAAACAAATTTTCTCTTTTAAATGGTACCCTTTTTACTTCTTGAATTCAGATCTCCCTAGAAATACTGAAAGAAATGTACTGAAAGCACATGGAGAAAAAAGACAGTTGAGGTAATCTTAAAAAAATTAATATAAACTCTATCAAAAGTTGTAATAACTTAACATTATGTAATATCTCTATATAACTATAAATAAGACTACTGTAAATACTACTAAATTGATTCTTGTTCATGAGTGTATGTACTAACCATGCTGATAACATTATCTGCTACACCTAAAGAGTTTTTAGGTGAAACAGCCTCACACATTGCTATAGTTGTTTAGTCAAGCAGATCCCGTATCCAACAGCAGCAATATATAAGGTAGCAAATGACCCATGGTATGATTTAGTGTTACAAGGATGAATTTGAGCCAGTTTAAATCTCTTTCAAAATTTTAACTGAGAAAAAAAAATTATTTAGTGATGGATCATGAAATGGGATACCTAGATAAATGCTAAGATGTAGAATCGGTGTCAAAACATAGGATAAAGGATACAGAATCAGGGCCATTAAATATTATGAGGTATTGTGACAGAGACAGGAGAAGCAGATAGAAGGATAAGCCAGGGAAGTAGGGGGTGTAGTAAAAAGAATTACATCCTGCCTGTAATCCCAGAACTTTGGGAGGCTGAGGCGGGCGGATCACGAGGTCAGGAGATCGAGACCAGCCTGGCCAATATGGTGAAACCCCATCTCCACTAAAAATACAAAAAATTAGCCAGGCGTGGTGGCGGGTGCCTGTAGTCACAGCTACTCGGGAGGCTGAGGCAGGAGAATGGCGTGAACCTGGGAGGCGGAGCTTGCAGACTGCACTCCAGCCTGGGCGACAGAGCGAGACTCTGTCTCAAAAAAAAAAAAAAAAAAAAAAAGAATTACATCCTGTGTGCAGAGAAAGAATTAGCACCTTTCTAACGAGAGGCATTAAGGACAGAGATGCAGAGGAGGAACAGGGATCTGGGACAGTAATGGCACAGGTTTAATGGGAGTGAAGTTACTGAGAAGGTCTGCCTGCATCCTTCCAGTTTTAGAATTGAGTTTCAGTCTGCGTGAGATACTGCTCTAAATCTTTCCTGATTTTCAGAAACATTCTTACATTTCCTATTTCCACTAGTCAGGATAGCTTGAACGGGTGTCATTTCTTAAAATCCATAGTCTGTGTGGAATGTTCATTATTTTTCTCTTGAAGTGGCCCAAAGACAAGAGAAATGATCCACAGGGTAGACTTGGAACTGAGTACTGAAAAGGGGGCTCAAGAGCATGGGCTCCAGTCTCATTATGGCATCTGACTTGGGCAACCTTTGCAAATTCGCTTATCTCTCTGACTCTTTTCTTTCCTCATCTATGAAGTTAAATATTTAAGCGAAATGATTTCTGTCTCCCTCTAATTCTAACTCTTTCTGGTTTCACACGGAAAATCTGTTTATTGTATTAAGCAGATCTTCATAAAATATATGCCTGTATCTGGAATTTAAATCATAGACTATTATCTGAATTATTCAAGCTAAGGGCAGCCTCTGCTTGACATACTATTTTAAAACTTTTTAAAAAAATAGCAGGTGGAAGATACAAGTGTGAAGAGTGAGAGTTGAATCAAGCCTCAAGGCCTTAAGGCTTAATCTAATACAAAATGGAATATTTAAATACTGTAAATGGCTTTCAGGTTTTAAAGCCTAGGACATCTCAAAATATTTGTCCTTTGGTGACTAATTCCACATATATCAATAACTAATTAGTTTTTATTGATTGTTTTCTCTCAACTGGTCCTATTATAGTTACTATGGATCATAAATATGCTTTGTTGATTGTTTTCTCTCAACTAGTACTATTAGAGTTGCTATGGATCATAAATATGCTTTGTTCTCTGCAAACTTTCAATTTGTGAGGAAGACAACATAAGCATAGTAAGCATTCAATTTATTGGTATATAAGGATTTATCTCTGTACGTTTTCAGGGAAGGAATTATCAAAGAAGGCTGGAATGCTTAGGGTTATGGAAATAGAAGCTCCAGGGAGAGGGGAAATCTAAGCTTGCCCTTAAAGAAAATGTAGGAGAAAAAGAGACAGAGGGAGAGAAAGAGAATTCTAGATAGAAGAGGTAACATGAGCGAAGACAAAAGACAGGGAAAAAAAGAGTGAACATCACATGGGCATAGCACTTACATCTGAGGATTTCAACAAGACTGAAACATTCATTGTTTTCTTTGATATCATATATAATTATATGTGATAATTATCAGCTGTTATATTTTAAACCTTGTAAGTGAATCACTATTTTTATCTGACTGTTGCTCTATCTATAACTGTTATATATTTTACCAGTTAATGTAATTATATCTTCCCTCCCATATGAGAAAAGCAAGAGAATGCGATAAGACTATAATAGAAGACATTGTAATTTACGTGTCAAAAAGACAAACCTAGGGGAAGACTAAGTCCCCAGCAAACGATAGAAATGATTCTTTCATTTGGCAATTCTTATAGAAAAACTCTGCAAAGTAATTGTTAATGGCGTGACCTTGAAATAATCCTCTTTATTTAAACTATAACTTGTATGTTGACAGTACAAGGGCTGGCACACAAAAAACTGTGATTTATATTTCAGTAGATGTAAAATACCAGAGAGGGAAATCCAGAGTTGCTTTGGTCACATTTACATCTTAAGGGAAGTGAGAGTTATTTGGCATTTGCAAAGACTGGAAATTTGCTTCTAATTATGGAGCTGGACATTGATTGAGGCTGTATTGTGTTAAGCTATGAATGTAAACTGAGGCTTTCTCTGTGTCTATGTAACTTGGGCAAATTATTTTACTCCTCTAGACTCAATATCTACATAAATAAAATGTGGATAATAATATTATATTTCATTTTATATCCTATATGTGACTATTACTTGACATATTGGAATGAGGAGAACTCAGAACATTTTCTGGCACACAACACTCAATAAATGTTAGGCATTACTATAATGAAAATTTCATATTGGATATCATTACCTGTCATCTAACAGGAGGAAAGGAAAGCATCATATCTAAATTGGGACAGCAACATAATAAATATTTTATTTATGTACATATTTTATTTGTAGGCCGGAAGCTTCTGTCTATCATGTTTTATTAGGATGTGAGTATGGGAAAGGCATGTAATTAGAGTTGCCTAAGAAAGTTAATTTGCAAATTTTTATCTAAGAAAGTTTCTGAATTTCTCAATAGTAGTCAACCCTACTCCATTCTTAATTATAAAAATAACTTTAAATTTAAAAAGTATAAATGCATGGCCACATTTTAAACCCATCACTCACACGTCTTAATGTAGGCAGCAGCATGTCATCCTGAATTTATTTAAAATTCACTTTGCATTAAGAGGAGTTGTAATTATTAGCTGCCAAGCCTGGAAGAGATTGAAAACATAACCTTTCTTTTTCCATAATATAATAATGCCTAAACTCAAAGTATATATGTGAATCTTGGCTAAAAAATGACATCTGACTGGCATCCTATTCATGATATGCCATCTTCTATCTTTATGCCAAATATACAGT
Organism: Homo sapiens; assembly: GCF_000001405.40. Taxonomy (NCBI): domain Eukaryota; kingdom Metazoa; phylum Chordata; class Mammalia; order Primates; family Hominidae; genus Homo; species Homo sapiens. The sequence continues at coordinate 187,414,671 of NC_000002.12, forward strand.
GATACACAGAAGTTGAAGAAAAACTTATGGAAATACTGACATTGAAGACAAATTTTCCTAGGACTGTAGAGGCATTCTTATTAATGTGAAACTGGACTAAGAAACAACCAGTGTCTACCCACCAGACAAACATTGGCACACACATCATCCCAAATTTACTATTTTCTTTGAATCTCAGAGAACTGAGCTGTGCCACCAGAAAATTATTTTTTTTTTTTTAAAAAAAAAAAGGTAGTCTCTTTTTTTTTCAAATGTTTTTCCCCCATCCATCCAGAAAATGAATTTCCCAGAAAACAAGAAATACATTTTCTTTGTTGATTGATTTAGTTGGTTAGGTGTGGTCACTGGTGCTGTCACAATAATCTCTGTGGTTAAATGTTAATCCCACAAGTCAAAGCCAGATAGGCAAGGAATAAAGTAGCAATATGTTAAGGTTCCTGCAGGAAGAGTTTTCTATGCATCCTACTGGTAAAAGTGTGAGAGCTCCAGATGATAAGATAAAAGGGATATAGAATATATGAAAAGTCCACACTAAGTAAATGCTTAGACAAATGCTTCCTAAATGTTAGGACTTTTGCTAAAAGCTGTGCTTATATGCCTGCTTTTGAACTTCTCACATGAAAACGGGTTTTGAAAGAACATTAGCGAATAGTGAGCACAGCCAAGGCAATTCACAAAATGTGTCTGTGGGCAAGCAGATTTGTCTTCAGGCCATGATTAGCAAACAAAATAAAACAAACAGATTTAAAAGGTGGCATGCTTGAAAAATATCAAGACACAAAGGAATCAGAGGAAAAATATACATCTGAAGTGTACTTAATAATATTGAAATGTTATATAAACTTTTGTGGTATCTAACAATGTTTGGGACAGGAAACTCTGCCAATGTGTCAGTGGTGGACCTGACCTGCCGTCTGGAAAAACCTGCCAATTATGATGACGTCAAGAAGGTGGTGAACCAGGCATCGGAGGGCCCCCTCAAGGACATTCTGGGCTACACTGAGCACCAGGTTGTCTCCTCCGACTTCAACAGTGACACCCACTCTTCCACCTTCAGTGAGGGGGCTGGCATTGCTCTCAACGACCACTTTGTCAAGCTCATTTCCTTGTATGACAATGAATTTGGCTACACCAACAGGGTGGTGGATCATGGTCCACATGGCCTCCAGAAAGTAAGACCCCTGCACCACCAGCCCCAGCAAGAGCACGAGAGGAAGAGAGAGGACCTCATTGCTGGGGAGTCCCTGCCACACTCAGTCCCCCACCACACTAAGAATCTCCCCTCTTCACAGTTTCCATGCAGACCCCCTGAAGACGGAGGGGCCTAGGGAGCCTGACCTCGTCATGTACCATCAACAAAGTCCCTTGTGCTCAGCCAATAATAATAATACAGGTATAAAGTATTATTGAAAAATGCTAAGAGAGTGGATGTTGTTTGTAGCACAAAATGCAACTCTACTAGGTAACGCATATATTAATTGGATAGACTTAGTCATTTCACAATCTATAGATAAATCAAAACCTTATGTTGTACATGATAAATGTGTATAATTTTATCTGTCAATTAAAAATAAACAAATTTACTAATGGTAATCTAATAAAGTAATGTTTAAGCAGGACATTCAGCACTTATAATTTCTGTGTGTAAATATCTAAAATTTTTCATCTTGAATGATACAGAGTTACCACGTCATACTGAATGACATAGAATATCTTCTGTACTCCTAATTTCCCTGTTATCCTAGTAATAGATCCAAATAGATACAAGAGTGGCCCTGTTTCTTACACCTAAATAAAACTTATTAAACACAGATAATATTACATACATGAAAAAGGAGAAAAAATAAAAATATTGGGAAATGTAAAGAAGAGCTAGAAATAAGACATTAAAAGGCCTTGTATTTTATTAAAAACTCTTGTGAATGCGGGATGGTCTAAAATTTTGAGTCTGATCCTTCTAGTAGATCAAGTTACCAAGTGTATGGTCTGTGGTATGAAATTAATCAATTTCTAGGAAGAAATGCTATTATACTCTGAACTAAATGCAAACAGAAAATGTAGGATTCTCTCAAAGAGAACATTCTGTAATTCAATGTATATGTTTCTCACGTGAATTACAATAATAAAAAATGTGGCAAGTTGCAAAGGGCTGTTTCTTATGTTCATCAATAAAGACCTATAATCAGGCATAAAAAAGTATTCTATAGCAATTAAATATAATGTGGTCCTTCAATCTGTTGATTTGACTTCACCTAGGAATAGACTTTGAATTATCTGAAAAAATAAATGCACTAAATATCCTTTGAGTAACCCTGACTATATATTCTTTCTCTTGAAAGGGATTTTTAGTAAATATATATTTGATAAATACAATTCTTGACGAATAATGAGGGTGAAGCTCTCTTACTGGAATAAGATTGAAAGCTTTTTGTGTCTGAAAATAAAGGCCATTTACTTTCTATACTCAAGTGAATTTTAAAATGTATTCCCAAGACAACGTTTTTCAAAACTAATATATAGATGAAAAAACTAATTGATGTTTCAAAGATATACTCAGAGTAGCATAGTTAACAACTACAACTATGACAAAAAAACAAAAAACAAGCAAACAAACAAAAAACAAACCCATAAACACACCAAAGGAAAGAAAAGAAATACTAAAAGCATCAATGGAACCCAGAAAAGCTACTTTTGGAATAGCTTCCAGAATAAACATCTTGTGACATTTATGCTGGTGAGGTTTATTATTGTATAGACTTCAATTGATTTCAATCCAAATCAAATATAGATTTAAAATATTTGATGAAATATATGCCTGTGTTACAGATAATATATGCTTATTTATTTTCCAATTTAAGCATAACTCTTAATAATTTTTAAAACAATTTTAACATGCCTTTGACCTGTAATGAACAACTACAGAACCTGAAAGTTGATTAAAGATTCAGTAGTAACATAAGTAATATTTGTGGTAAAATATTGATTTAAAAATAATGTAAACTACATTATTAAAGCTATTTAAATAGGCCATGGGAGTCAGGGAAGACAAAAGGTCTAAATACTTTTCTCTTCAATATTTTGTTTTATGGAAATATTTTTATATTGAAATAATTGTATTTAAATTTAGATTTTGTGATAAAAGTTAATTTAAAGGTATGAACTATAAAACCACCACAGGAAAGAGGATAATGTTTCAACAGTTACTTGTTAATGTAACAGTTTATACAATAAAAAGTAACCCACAGTATAGGATTTTTCACATTTACAAAGTGTCAAGTGTTTACTTCTTCATCAATATCGCCTACATTTTCATTATTTAACATCTTTGCCCAATTCCCACTGTAACCAAGTGTATTTCCATGCAGTCAAGTTACTACCCAGCTTAGTTTGAGGTTAAATGTAAAAAGCTTTGACGTTTTCTGTTCTCAGAGTCCTCCTGCAGAAGCCTTTGTTCTGACCTTTCACCCACACCCCCAGGACTTCTATTCACTAAAAATGTGGAATTATCCATGCTAATCCTGGAATTCTGGTCATTAAAAGAAAAAAAATTGTGTATATCATTCTCTGCATCAATTTCAAAAGTTATTCTTCACACCTATATTTAGAGATGCAGCTGAAGCTTAAAAATATTCAATTGGGCATATAATTTTATAAAAATAGAGCGTTCTAAAAAGAATTGAGAATCATGTAAAATTTAACCTGTTTTTACTGGATCTATAAGTCAATATAAAATATTTATTTTTCTGTGTACATTCCCATATCTACTTAATGACACTGTATCATGTTGATTTTGTCTTTTTTCTTTCATTAGCCTATATATTCTTCATGAGAGTAAATAAAACTAATCGTGTCTTAAATATCGACTTCTATTGTTATTTTGAATCTTCCTAAGGGTATAGGTCAAGGTTTATTCATTCTTACCTTACCTTCTGTTTTAGCATTTAAGACAGCTCATAGTAGACATTGGAAGATTGGTTAAATTGCTATTTAAATGACCTAGAATACAATTGTTTAAGTAATTTACCAACCTTTGCAAAGCTGAATTATATTTGTGTATTCTGTCAATATTACATAATATTAAGGTTCTGAGATGTGTTCTTTATCTTTATTCAGCTTTTCCTATATTCTAGAAAATTTCACCTTCTTCATAATAATTTCTTAGAAACTTGTGTTTTTTTTTCTTTTTTTCTTTTTTTTTTTTTTTTAGATGGAGTCTTGCTCTGTCACCAGGCTGGGGTGCAGTGGCGTGATCTCGGCTCACTGCAACCTCCGCCTCCCAGGTTCGAGCTATTTCCCCTGCCTCAGCCTCCCAAGTAGGTGGGATTACAGGCACGCACCACCACGTCTGGCTAATTTTTTTTTTTTTTTTTTTTTTTTGGTATTTTAGTAGAGACGGGTTTCACCATGTTGGCCAGGATGGTCTCAATCTCCTGACCTCATGATCCACCCGCCTCGGACTTCCAAAGTGCTGGGATTACAGGCATGAGCCACCAGGCCCTGCTGATACTATGGACTAAATTGTGTCTGCCCCCAAATTATATATTTAAGTTCTAACCCTCAATCTGGTTATATTTGGGCATGACACCTTTAAAAAGTGATTACGGTTAATGAAGTAATAAATGCGTATCCCTAATCTAATATGACTGATGTCTTCCCAAGAAGAGGAAGAGATGTCAGGGATATGCAAACACCCCTGTGAGGATGCAATAAGAAGGTGACCCTCTGCAAACAGAGAAGAGAGGCCTGAGGAGAATCCACACCTGCCAACACCTTGATCTTGGACTTCCAGTTTCCAGAACTGTTACAAAATAAATTTCAGTTGTCTAACCTTCTAGTCTATGGCTTTCATTATGGCAGCCCTTGCAAATTAATACAGTTAGCTTGGGCCAGCTCACAGAACTTAACACCAAAGTGAAAGCTGGCAAAAATTTCGAAAATTTTATAAGTGGAATTTTTTAAATTATCTAATTTTAAACACTTCCTTATTATTGAGTAGGCCATTTCATTTTTTTCAAAGATAAAAACAAAGAAATATATTTTAATTTGCAGAAGAGCAACTTATGTTAACTGAAGAAAATGCTTACTGAATATGAAGTTAAAGTAAAATGTGTTAAAAGAGCCTCCCTTAAATTATTTTAGCTAGAAGCATAAATCTGTCTCTAAACATTCTGTGATAGCAAAATGAATATAAATAGCATATTATGCCATTATAAATAGCAGTTTTAAGTGATATGATTAATAACTGTTAGTTCTGGAGTCATATGCTAATCTTTGTGGAAGCAGAAGCTGGCTCATATACTGACAACCTCTGTTTGCCCTACTAATAATTCAACCCCTAGTTGCTATTGTCACATTGAACTACAAATTCCTAACAGAAATTACTCCAAAACCTAGGAAATGAAACAGATGCTAACATTTCAAGAAAGCCTTCAGGACAAGAACATTAAAAAATCATTTTCATGTAGTGCTTGAAGTAAATCAAATCTGCTGGTATTTCATGTGCTTAAGCGATCACAGCTTTCCCAGCCAGTGAGTATCTTTAAAAGAGAGGTTTCTGTCTTTCATATCAAGTATTATTTTGATTAAAATAATCATTTAATGAACTAGATCTGGAAGAAGTCAAAGGTCTTTTATAAGATTATGACATAATAATATCTTAGAAAAATCTCTTATTTACTGAACCACTATTTATTTTCAAAGAATAGGAAAAACATTATGATAAAGCTCATCGAAGGTATAACTTATATAGGCTAATAGTTATACTTAGATTTCTTCTTCTTTGATTTTTTTTTCAAAAGAAAAAAATTTTTTTTAAGTTTTTTAAAAGAATGCATTAAAACCAGTTATAAATTCTTGTCCACTACTGCCAGGAAAAACAATAAATCAGTAGGGCCTCATGCAACTTATTTGGAAGTCCAAAATTGATGGTAAATATTATAATATGAATTTACATTTCAGAAAAATATATGTTCAAGTGCATTGTGAGTGAAAAAATAATAATTTTGAAATATGCATGTAAGAGATGTACTCTTCTGAGAGTAGAGGTGTAGGGAACACTAGGTTCAGAACAGAGGAAGAAAGAGTAAATTTTTAATATCTAGTCTTGGTTTATTGATACACAAATACAGTAATAATCCATATCTAGAGTTTTACTTTCAAATAGATTTAACATATCTGAATATTGGATACTTTGCATGAGTTTTGTGAAAAGATTGAGTTAAAGGTTTCAAAGCCATTTGAGAATTTCCTTTGAACACACTAAAGGGTATCTGTGAATACTGGCTTATTATATCATGGCTGATTTACAATAATTTACGTGTTGCCTTTCTTAGCTGGAACTGTATGTGCCAGGAATAGATTAATCCTTATGGTTACATAGATCAGCAGCAAGACCTCCCACGTGGAAGTACCTATATTCATCTTTGTCATCTGAAAATAACTTTATTAGAAAATATCACATATCTTCTTATTGCCAGCCAGGTGACTCATAGGAAAGTACAAGATAACTGAAATCAGCTACATAATCCTATAGTTCATGCACTATTTTCAAACACTTTGAAACTTACTGTTGGTAAGTAAATGTTTATCTTAATTATATCTAAATAATCTCTTCCATAATTACTCTTGTGATTGAAACCTTGTTAGGCCTCAGAAGCCTCTCGATATCAAAATAACTCATAAATTCCTACTTTTATTTGCACCTCAGAACATGAGACTTCCAGCATCCTGGAAAGTTCAAGGTGTTTCTTAAACTCTCTAAAGGGATGGTTTGCAAGCCAGTCTCTTTCATAGGACCACCATAGGCCATTCTTTCTCTAACAGTCCGATTTAATTTGTCCATGACTTCTGCCTTTATAGTCAACTGGAATGCCTTTACTCTTGCTACTATGTACTATTTTATGCTGACACTATCTCCTGATGCTCTCAAAGTCATCAACTCTTGGGCTGCCAGAGTCCTGCTACATTCTGTGCACAACTGGTGAAAAATGGCCTTCAATTTTACCCTCTGCTGTGTTGCCATCTGGGCCCTACGGCAGCACAATTCCTGTCAAGTGTTTTATTAATTCCCTCATAAAAACACCATTTTCATCTTCAGCTGTCTAGAAGCTCCAAACCAGTTCAGTGTCCAGTAAGCATAGACACCATGCCACCCTTTGAGCCTTTACATTCTCATCGTCGCAAGTTGGATCTCCCAAACAAAAGAAAACCATCCAACTTTCTTTTCCCTCTTCAACAAAATTCAAAGCTTCTTGGCACATTATTTCAAGCATACAGATGCTGGTGGGAGTGTAATAGGAAGTGGACAAAAGGAAAGATATTTGGACCAAGTATTTTATCCTGGCTCCACCTTATGAATAAAAGGAAAGTAGACATTGTCAGGAATTCACTGATGTAGCATTAAAAAATCTATTACCAAGAGATCAAAGGTAGCTAGCAGGAAATAAGATAAAGGACTGACACCCAATTGTATCCACAGGGCAAGTGTTTTTATTACTAAAATTCCAATAAAAAATTAGTGTTTCTAGAAAATAGATATTTATATCTGTGTTCAGGCAGATTAAAAAATCAATGAGTTTTAAAAATTACATTTAATGAACAGAGTGATTTATGGTTTGTTTTTGCTTTACTAATGTGCCAGCTCGATGTCTCTAATAACAAGTCTGGCTTGATAGCCCTGCTAACAAATCCAGCTTCATCTAGTACAATAGAATATATTTTTTCTGAATTCATTTCCATTTACTATCTGCTCAGTTTCTTAAATTAGAAAATAACTTGACTAATTCAATGGACAATGGATTGGATATGAATCTAAAATGAGGCAGTTTCCTGAAGCCCAGACTTAACTGTATGTGGCAATTTGCTTTGGGGCATTGTGCAAGAGAAGGTTTCTCAAATTTGTCTAATAATAGTGAGGCTCTTATAGTAAATATCACAGAATGCTTTGTTAAATTTGAAGTTCAACACATAAGAAAATGTCCAGAAGAACACATTAATGTCCAGAAGACATTACCTAATCTTGTCTTTTAGAAATTATCAGCAACATTGTGTTGCTGATAACTTCTAAGAGACAAGATTAGGTTGTTTGTGGACATTTATGGAATAGTCAGTACAAATGTATTGAAGAGAAATGGTATAATTCTGATTGTGACACTAGATTACTATTCTGTTTCTTTTAACTTTCTTGCTTCTCAATTTTTAGTGTAAAATATGAGGGGGGTATATTAAAAAGATAAAAGGATCTTTGTAATCCTAAGGAGCTAGGAAGATAGTCTACTAGAAGATATAAATATAGGGATTTTGAAAGCTCTGTGTTCAGAAATGGCATCAAAGTAATAAAGTTCCAATAGAGAAAAGGAATTACAATTCACATTACAGTATTTAGATAGGACTGTAAGAGAAATAAATAGCTCTTCCTTATTTCTCGTTTAAAATTTCAGACAAATTTGACCTTCAAAGATATGTCTGAACAATAACAATAGAACATAATAGAAAAATTGTTCTGACTGCAAAGAAATAGACCTTTCCCAACAGTCACTTCAAAATGCAAACCAGAATGTATGGTCTATATTGTTTTTAATTTAATATATCTATGTGAACAAGCATACTTCTTCCTCATTTTCATTGCATAAATTTTTACTTGGAATGCCTTTGAAGTTAAACCAATGTGCTTCAAAGTTACATGTATGTATGGTTTTTTTTTTTTTACCAACTGTACATATGTCTACAATTTCCCACCAAATATGGTATCAAATATGTAGAATCTGAGATGTTATAAAAGCATTCAAAATCATATTTTCCTCATAAAGGAAACACAAAATTGACCTTAATAGGATATTATTGAGGAATATTTTAATTATCTGGTTATAAATTCTAAGGTTTCCCAAGATTTAGAAAACTTACTCTTGGATGGCAAAATTTACTCTAAAGTATTTTGCAATTGTGTGTGTGATAGTGTTTGAAGTGACAGGGAAACCTATGTATCCTGGAAACCTATGTGTCAAGGCATTGTTTTCTGGATCATTTATTGGCATATCCAAAGGCTTGGGAAAAAACTTAGGATAAATAGAGAATAATGAACTTTTTCAGAAATAAATAACTAAGATTACTCCATGCAATAGAATCCCAAATGATTTGAAGTTAGACTTTATTATTAGTTATACAGTAAATGTGATAAACAAGTTTACCCTGTGTGATACAAAAAATAAAAAACTGCAGCATGACCATAATTTTTTCTTTATAGATAAGGGGCTCTCATGCTTAAAGTCTGATTAACATAGCCACATCTGATTTCAAAATATAGATATGCCCAATGAGGTAGTTCTTCACAATGGGAATCGCTGGTTAGGTGTTGGTTACCCAATTTCTTTTATTTAAAGTTTAATGGATATTTGATGCCATATAGACAAAACATTTGGAAGGAGTTTCAAATTCCCATCTGGAGATAGGTGTCATATAAAACAGCCTAAAAAAAATAAGAATGGTTTAAAAGGCTTGCTTGAGTTAACTAATGGTTGGCAGGTCCATTTGCCAGGCTTATTGAATCAAGCTTTACCCTCCTTTAAATGAGGGGTCTGTTTTTCCTTGGCAGGAATGTTTTAGATTCAGCATATTAAAAGCTGCAAATATTTGTGTTGGGTTTTCCTTTGTGAGCTATCTACAGCAATGTGAGAGAGCGAGTACATTTAGCCACAGCAGGAACTTCCCATAAAATCACAGTAAATGACTGTGCTTTTCTTATAAGCCACACCCTTCCTAGGCATTTCTCAAATACTTTACATAGAAATGTGTTCACTTTAACAAAAATCAATAAATGCAAATATTATTTCATTTGTTTTCATTAACTAGTAGAAATAGCAGTAATATATTGTTAATTATATTAGCAGGACCCTATAGCTTAATGCAACAAGTCAAAAGGCATCTGGCCATTCCTAAGTATTGTGACTGATGGAGTAATATAGACAAAAAAATTGGATAACCTTGGAAAAGTATGAAGATGTGCAGTTTACAAAGAGCTGGCTGAAAATTAAGGAGAAATGGCAGATTTGAAACCGTGATAGGTATAAATGAATTGTGGTATGGCCTGATTAAAAATTTTACTTCATCATATTCATACTGGAGTCTACATAATTTGGGAAGAAGAAATATTTTGTCAAAACTGATATATCCCATAAAATATAACTAACATACTTTGCAGGGAAGCTTAAGGAAGGCCTGGGAGACAAAATGGACAACAAATGTAACAATAATAATATTTAAGTGCAATAAGGTTTTTTATAATGTCATTTTTTAAAAAATAAAGTTTTTTATAATGTCTACATAAGGGAAATCAACACTGCATTGACTATTAGAATTAGTTTGGGGGTCTAATGGACTATTCCTGAAATTTGGACTGAGGGGTCAGATTATTAATGGTAGACCTGAATTTGTCTCAAAGAACAATGTTTTGGAATCTAATAAAATCTCTTCAGATACTCTCTATTTAACTGATTGCTTGTTTCAAAGGTCAATTCATTTTGGAAAAAGATTATAGATTTTTCTCACATTTTATGACAACATAAATGTTGACAACTTATGTTTTTGTTAATGTATAGTGTTATTCATTATCAAAAACAAAAACAAAAGCAAGCTATTTGCTAATAGTCATGTCACAAATATAATTATTATACATAGAATTATACAGACCCAGTTGCAATGGACCTTTCTTAACTTCCTTATAATTTATTATCCTTTTAAAACACAAGAGAAACCCATTTGGTATCTTCCACCCATAGCTTGAAAGTCTTATATTTATTTGCTTATTAGTAGTACATTTCCATCTGATACATGTAATATTAGGTTGCATTATTCTAGATCCAATTTTTCCTTCTGTAAGTGAAGTTTATGAAATAAGGTTAGTTGTTCTAGTCACAAATGCATTGTACAATGAAAAGCATGGCATTATAACTCACTATATTTTCATGATAAGAAAAAAGTATGCATATTTATTGATAAACGTATTTTAAGTGTATTCCTTATAGTGCGGGAAGTGCAAAGATGAATGAAACACTCTAGTAAAGAGCAGTGTGCTTCAAGTTTTTCTGTTGACACCTTGTGTAAAATAATTTTGAAAGAACTTCAGCCATTTCAACTGACAGATCAGTTGTAAAGCATGTAACTTTTGGCACATTTTAAATGTTGACATTCTAAACTATAACTGTTATATCATTTTTAAAAATTCACAATGAAACATAAATATAAAAGCAATTCAATATCTACCACATTCATTTAAAATAAATGAGTTCTTCACAGCGGTTGGAAATGGTACTTCATTTCTTTCTCTCCTTGAAATCATATCCCAGTCCACTACCCACCCTTCCTGTTATAGAATTTTATTCTATTAAAATTTATTTTTATACTTTAAATTATTTTTAGTGATACCCTGAAAGAGAGCCAGGAAAACTCATTATATAGAAAAAAAAAGGAATAAAGGTAGCACGGAGCAAGAAAGAAGATAAAGTGACAGGGAAATAGATCATTAGATGAGCACGTAACACTTTAAAATCTGTGAAGTTATGGTGTCTGTCATTTATTATTTTTTTTTTTTGCAGACGTGTGCATTGCTGTGATGTAAATCTCTTCTAATCTTTTCTCGTGAAAATCTTTACCCTGCTCTAAAATGTTTTGCAACAAAATTTGTACACAGATTAACATTTTATTTTGAAAGAATCCTGTCCAAATGGCGGCAAATGAATGTTTTTAAAAAGTTCTTCCAGATTGCATTATCACTACAACTTTTATAAAAAATAATGGCAATAATTATCATGTTGATAATAATAGTGGCTAACACGTCTGGAAGGCTTACTAAGCTTCAAGCACGAATCTATACATTACCTATTTATACCTCTACTTGTAGCTATCTATTTATATAGAGTGTCCACCAGGTCTGGAAACACAAACGATATATAATAAATGATTCACTGATATATATTAGATTGTAATACTTTCAAAAAGTAATATTTGATTTTCTAGAGTTATGATCACCTTACAACAATCATGTAAGGTAGGTACTATGCTTAACCCAGCTTACCTATGAGGGACCTGAAGCTCAGTCAGTTTATTAACTTTAACATGTGATTAAAAATTGATTAATTCAAGAGTTGAATCAGGCAGGCTGGTTTTAAAGTTTACACTCAAGATCAAAATGCATTATTATAGACTTTGATATATATTTTGATTCATAATTCATCTTAAACAAAAGTAAAATTTTATTTACCCTATATTATTTAATGAGATGAAGAAAGGGGAAGCTCACATGTCCTTTTGAAAGGAGGCTTGGCAAACATCAATGTATCCACCATCCCTGTCCCCTTGTTTGTGGCCTAAGAGATTGTTACACCTTCCAAAAATGCTCTCTAGTAAGATTCAGAATGGGTGATACAACACTTGTGTTTTTTGTGTGGGGAGGGAGACGTAGGTAAAAGAGGAAAAGGAAGATTGTGAAAAGAGAAGTGGAAAAGGATAACTAGCTGGAAGCTTGTAGCTTCGAAGTTTTCTCTGGCAGATCAGTTTTAGGAAGGAGATCAAATCGAGTTTGAGAATCAGGAAATTGATTTCTGTAAAAGAAGCTGTTTCTGCCTATGTGGTAAGGGTATGGATAACTCACTTCATAGGTCCTTGGTCTAGGGAAAAGTGTAACACAAAGTAAATGATGAAACTCAGTTCTATCAAAAATGAAAATGTTGTTGCATTTGAGAACCATTATGGTGGGCAATGTAGTAAAAAGGATAAGACATTCATCCTACTTTAATGTAAAACAAATTTGAAAAGAAAAAATGATAAGTAAAGAATTTCATGAAGGTATTATCGTCACTGCATATAATATGCTTTCTACTAAATTTCAATGGCAGTTTATGTTTACCTACCATATTAAATAATTGCTATTACATTGGTATCATAATTCCTCTTATGAGAGGAACTGTTCTTTCTGATAAAAGAAATTAAAAATCCACTTAGAGTAGAGCAGACTCTTGGTCATAAATGTTATCAGGTGCTCAAATATCAGGGGAAGAATTCTCCTCTCCATGAATCAAATTAGAAAATGCATTACTTTTACTCATGCAACAGAAGCTGGAAAATGAGTGACAAAAAGAAAGAATGGGGTAAAGACACAATGAAGTCAAAAAGAGAGAGGCCAAAATAGATTATTGGGAGAAATAAGTGACATCTAAAAATGGTCATTTCTACTATTTGATTTGAAGTTGTTTGCATTGGTAGTATGTGAACCTCTCCCATATCTGCTATCATGTAAATCTTTAATGAAGTCTACTGTCTGTGTGAGTGAAATTTTTTACAGAGATCAACACCAGGGCTGTTTCAGGGATCAATGCAAAGCAGAACAACTATATACACTAAAGAAGAGTCTGATTAAGGGCAAATTAACAAGGACATTGCAGGGAAGCATATTCATGAGGGATTCCACCATTTTACAGAAATAATAATAATATGAAAATCTTTTAGTGATGAAGAAGTACTGGTAGACTTTCATGGCACTTAAGATGAGACCCTCAAGGCACATGATCAAGGATGATTACCAGTACTTACTTATTTAAGCCAGTGTCATATTTAAGTCCCAGCTTTATTTTGCTGTGGAACATGTAAGTTAACATAAATGACAAGTCACACTGACCTCATTTGGTTGAATTTTAATTACTTTAATTGGAGACACTGCTCATTATACAGCAAAATGAGAATAAGTATTTGTAAACATTCTATTAACAAAAATGAATCTTTTGAATCTTTAATTATGACCTACAAGTCATTAATTGTGTCTCTCATACACATGGGAGTATACCTAATTTGAACTCTGAGAAATAGGACAGTGTGCTATAAAATTTTAAAGAGATGATAAGATGATCATTCATAAAATTGATTCATTAAGCAACACTTCAAAATACTATAAGCAGCCAGGTACAGTGGCTCACGCCTGTAATCCCAGCATTTTGGGAGGCCAAGGCGGGTGGATCACGAGGTCGGGAGATTGAGACCATCCTGGCTAACACGGAGAAACCCCATCTCTACTAAAAATACAAACAATTAGCTGGGCGTGGTGGTGGGTGCCTGTAGTCCCAGCTACTCGGGAGGCTGAGGCAGGAGAATGGCGTGAACACGGGAGGTGGAGCTTGCAGTGAGCCAAGGTCGCGCCACTGCACTCCAGCCTGGGCGACAGAGCAAGACTCCGCCTCAAAAAAAAAAAAAAAAATTACTGTAAGCATAACTTTTCTGGAGTATTTTCATATAATTTACAAATATATTTTTAGTTTATATAATATAAATATTGCTTCAATTTTAGCTGGATTAAAATTTAAATGCAAAAATTGATCTATTAAATGATTAGAAATTTATAAGTTAATATCTTTACTATTTTGGAGTCTGAAAGAACTTTCCACAAGATTACTAAACTTTACTGATAACTAGAAATAGATGCTTCTGTTGCCAAAATTCAAACTAGCCAGAGACATTTCCCTTTATATTTTTTTTATTTCCCACTTCTTACCCATCTGTCAAGTTTTGGTCAGCTGTATGATTACATAAATAAAACCATACAAAAAAAAAACCCTTGTAGTTAGAGGAATTGAACTATTATAAATCACATAGTTGGTTACAAAGAACTTCAGATGGTATTTTATTTCTAGCTATTATCTTTAGGTCAGAGAGTTACAGGCAGCTATTTCAGAACTTCAGAGCTGGGATGGACCTGAGAAATCTCACAGAAAAATCTTCTCAGTTTAGAGACAGAAATTAGGAGTTCAGGAGGGTTTTGTGATGTGCTTTATATTCCACGGCAGTGGTAGATGAGCTAAGACTGGGAGCCCCCTCTCCTAAGTGTCTGTTCTGTACTCCTTTTATTATGTTAAAATGGAAACATACATAATTCAAACTAATATGATGGCAAACTGCAATCATAGTTCTCATTTACATTTTTAATCTCCATAAAGATAATTTTTTCTACCTCTTTCTTGCTAGAATTGAAGTGAATTTACACCTTAAACTGCACTATTAGAACAAAAACAACTCAAAAGGCAGCCATTAACTTCTCACAGAAAATCTTTGCAATGCTCTACAAGTTCTGTGAGACCAGGCTAATGAAGAGAATGCACCTTTAAACTTGGACCTTTCATTATCAGCTACTTCCAATTTATCTTCTTCAAACTCTCAAACATGTTATAAGTTGAAAAACACACTTGGAAAAAATATAGTGTATTCCTCTCAGTGTTCACATGAAGACATGACTGATACACACAGATAGTGGAGGCCAAATCCAGTTCTTCCCTAGTAAGTGAATTTTCTCCCATTGTGCTCTCTTTCCTATATACCTTTATTAAGCAAACTTTGGGCCTTTTGAAAGTTGATCTGATATTACTTCACATAAAAACCATCAGGAAGAAAAATCCATCTGTCAGATATAAGTAGGCATTTTGAGCATTCAAACCTTGCTCTAAGGAACAGTGAGTCATGTGAAATGAAATGTGCAAAGGAAGCTGACACATGAAAGGACAGAACAACAATGATGAGTTCCCAAAGACATGCTGTGGGAGAAAGAACAATTATAGAGGATCTATTTTTGGGTCCAGCAGTATGAACTGGGAATTTAAAAATCACAGCTTAAGTACAGAAGGAGGAATGATGTCACCCAGCTTTAAATTTAGGAGAAAATAATTTAGTAGCCTTTAGTTTTAATTTAGGTTATTGCCATTTATTACGATGATACATTATTGAATTGTCAAACGTTTGCAGTCTAAAAACAAGTTAATGCAGGACATTTAATTTTGTAGGAAAGGCAGCTATGAGGTGTAACATTAATTGCATAATTAATATTTTATTTGCCATGGTACTATAATGCCAAACATAAATAACAAGACAAACACATCTGGAACAGCAGTCTTTCTGGAAGCACCAATGCCCCAAAAGCCTGTAGTTAATGCCCAGGATTGAAAATGAGACTCTCAGAGTGGCCAGGGAGTTCTAAAAATAATATTTAGAGTCATTTAAAGTTTTTTCTTCGCTTATAAATAAGGTTATCATCTTATGTTCCAATTATGAAAAAGTTTTACATCCATTCATAGGAATATAACAGTGACAATGTGAATAGAAAATAAGGAACTCTATAGAGAAAAGGAACTTAGTTCAAATGAGCAAATTAGCCCTATTTTATAATGTTAAACATAATTTTTTGTATATATCCATATAATTATGGTTATATGTTTTATACAGTATATATACATATAATATATGATGTCTGTGGCTAATTTTACAAAATAACTAATATTAATAAATCTAATAGGACACATTCAAATTAATTTAACACTCCCGGTAGTCTGGCCAAGAGAACAGCAATATGGAGACTAAGTCCACTGCCAAGGTGCCAAGGAAATAATTTTGTAAGTTTGACAGATGTCCATAATTCCATCTTTATTAATATTTTGTTAGATTGCCTTTCAAGGTTCTCTTTTATTCTAAAGTTAACTATATGCCTTTCCGTGAAATATTTCTTACTATTGTTAACATGGTCTTATCCTCAGCTTTACTGGAAATGCAACATGTTACTTTTATTAGGTCATGAATGTTGTTTTGTAATATATGCAATACCTGAAAGTAGGGCCATCCAAAGTTTTGACAGATGGTAGCACAAGTGGTTGGTGTATCATCGTAGGACCCTAGATGACAAGAGAACATTCCTGTGAATTTGGTAATATTATGAGTGGATGGTGGGATTTCTCAGAATTTAACCTCAAGTTAAATACTAGTGTGTTTCTTTGTTAAAACCATAAACATATATATTTCAAATGATACTTTTCAATGGAAAGTTGGGAGGAGACATACCAGGTATATTGAGGTTGTCACCATGCTAACCTGAAAGTAATCAGTAACTTTGTTCTTGGCATCATATGTCCTAAGAATAGGAACTCCAACAGGCACAAACATGGAGGCAGATAGTGCCTGTTCTTTAAGGTCTTGGCCCTAGGAAGATGTGTAATCTATGTATGAATGGCTCTGGTCTACAGGCTGGGGATATGGTAGTCCCTGCTCTCATGGAGCTTATATTATAAGGAGAAAAAAAAAGAAACAAATAAATATTAAAATGGCCAGTTTTGATAAGTGGTATGAAGGATAGTAAAGCAAGCTAAGGGAGAATAGGGAGAAATGAGAAATGTATGATGGTGGTACACTAGATAGAATAGTCACAAAAAGCATCTCTGAAGAGGTGGTATATGAGCAGTGGACCTGAAGTAAGAGAGCATACCAAGGAATGTTCAGGAGAATGGTCATTTTTAGAAGAAAGGATGACTGAGTCAATGGTTCTAAGGCAGGAATGACTTGGCTAGTTCAAAGTACAGAAAGAGAGTCAATATGGTCATAGTGGAGTGAATGAGGGCAAAGAGCATTCAAGAACTGGGTCAAAGAGGGAACCAGAGGCCAAATCTTGTCAGTAATGAGTTTTAAATCTCCATAAACAGGATGTTACTAACAAGTTAAATTCATTCCCTGTCAAACAAATATGGAAGTTACATAAATGTAGTTTACATACATCCTTTCAGGCTCAAACTAATGTTGAAAGCAAGACATAGCTAGTTTACCTTGCTTTGCATTTACACACTGTTTGAATTTTAAGAACTTGAAAAATGTCAGAATTGCATTTTGTGAATTATTTATCTTAATTAAGTCATAATGACATTTGAAAGGCTTTTAATGACCTTTTGCTTATGGAGCATCAATTTTCTACTATACCCAACAATAATCAGATCTATTGCCAATAATTTCTTTAAAGTCAACAGAGATGTTGACCCTCAAAATGTAAACCCTCAAAAATATTCAGAAAGCTTATTATTAAAAGTAATCTCTGCAACTGAATCTTTTGTAAATCAAAAATCACTTCCAATTATTTTGAAAAATTACCTTGTAAATGTTTACTCCTTCATGTGTTTTTAAAACATATTATATATCACTAAAAATTAACTAACACATTTTATAATTAGAATCATGTGGTCATATTAATTAGATGTGTATTTGTACATTGGCAAAAAGTCTGCATATACAGTCAACACACTGCATTAGGATGTTGCAGTCAAAGATGGTCCACATATATAACTGTGGTACCATAAGATTTTCATACTGTATTTTTACTGTACTTTCTATGTTTTGGTGTGTTTAAATACACAAAGACTTACGAGTGTGTTACAGTTGCCTAAAATATTTAGTACAGTGATACAGATTCGCATTCTAGGAGCAATAAGCTTCACCATACAGCCTAGATGTGTAGTAGGCTATCCTATCTAGGTTTCTGTAAGTACCCTCTGTAATGTTCGCACAATGACAAACTTGCCTAATGACACATTTCTCAGGACATATCCCAATCCTTAAGTGACACCTGACTGTATTTAGAATCTGGATTTCTAAAAGCTATTTCAGAAAAAATAAAAGTTCCTATTAGTCTCAGCCTTTATTGGCATACATATGAAATTTACCAGGTTCAAAGTTGAAGTTTATTTTGAGTATTTTCCCAACTTGCTAGAAAATACCACTAGAAGTAGAAATACTCAGAAGCATTATTTTTTTTCTGCATGGTTCTTTTTTCATCCCAGCCAAAAATGCTATGAAAGAATCTTTCCAGCTTTTTGGTGTTTGGGACATGTAAATGGTCACTTCTGGCTATCAGAAAATGTATTGATGAGTTAATTTTGGTTAATAAACATGTTGCATATATTAATAAAATTACAATGTATGTGTGAACATGTATTTACTACCTCTTCTGAAAAATATCGGTTATCTGTGGTATTAAATTATGTACTAAAATGGATTAATAGGCAAGAAGAAAGGACAAAAAGAAAACATTATTAAGCCCCAATGTGAAAGATAAAAATACCTAGAGAAAACTCAAAAGAAAGAGCTAATTTTGTTCAAGTAGCAAAACTGGCTGAAATGGTTGGACAATAAAATCCTAATCAACTAAATCTGGAAAACACAGAAAAGAAATACAGCAAATAGGGATAACACCTATACTTTCTTGATATAATGTTGCCATGGTGAAATATAACAACTTATCTGAAGAAAAAATATATAAACCTAAGTATATTTATGAAGAGAAAATCAGAACCTTGAAGAAATATACTGGTTAAATTCAGCTGATGCCTATAAAGGCAATCAAGTGAATTAAAAAATGAGGAATTATGTGAAAAACACAAACTTCAATGCTTTCTATGATGTTTTGACGCCTAAGAAATAATTTTTTACAATAGGTAGAGAGACACAATCACTCTCAGGAGATATGTAAGCTTCATAAATTATTGTAAATGTGCAACCAATTTTTAAAAAAGAAGACATACACACCCTGAATAGAATTATTCATTTTCTTCCTCTCTTTATTTTTCAAAGGAGATTTTGATAGATATTAGATAAAGTTTTTGAATAAAGAGAAATAGAAAGTTAGAGCTAAGATTCAAGACATTTTCTATCTGTGTTCTTGTTCATGAGAAATGTTATTCATACATATCCAATTTTAAAAGCAATAAAACATATTTTTGCTTTCCCTGGACCACCTAACCAAAGAGAGATACTTAATCCTTCTCTTAAATAGTTACAAGCAAAAAGTGACTTAATTATAACCCTGCAACATTAAGTCACTGCCATTCAATTAGAAACAAATGTTTCAGAGGAAAATTTTAATTCATTTAGCTTACAAATTCATTGTGACTCATAATAAGGAAAATGCAGATTAAAACCACAATGAGATGCTATGTTACACTCAGCAGACTAGCAACAATTAAAAAGTTTGACAATAATACACAGCATTAGAAAAGATATGACGCAATGGAAACCTCATACACTGTTGGTGGGAGTATAAATTGGCATAAGCATTTTGAACTGCTAGGATCCTGAAATCTCACTGAAAAATATATCCTCAAAAAATCATGGACATATGTGTACCAGGAGATATGTTAACAAAATGTTCATAGCCTCATTGTTTGTAATATCAAAACTGTGGAAGCAATCCAGATGTTCCTCAGCAGGAAAAAGGATAAATACATTGTGTTACATTCATACAATGGAACACTGTAATAGTGAAAGGAAAGAACCACAGCTATACCCATTAACAATGATTTATCTCAAGAACATAATGCTGAATGGAAGAAGCAAGTCTTCAAAGAATGTATTCAAGATAACTCCACTTTCATTAAAGTAAAAATAAAAGCAGAAAAATAAAGTAATAGTTTGCCCAGAAACCATATGTGGTAAAGTCATAAAGTAAAACAAGGAAATGATTAGTACAAGCTTAGGATAAAGGTTTACTTCTGAGAATGTCCATGTGAGTCAATCAGGGAAGAACATGATGGACAATCTTGGGTCTAGGCATACAGGAGTTTATTTATTTAAACAGTATATGTGTATGTGTTAATGTCCTTGTTTTGCTATAAAGAAATACCTGAGGCTGGGTAATTTATAAAGAAAATAGGTTGAATTGGCTCACGGTTCTGCAGGCTGTATAAGCATGGCTCCAGCATCTGTTTCTGGCAGAGCCTCAGGAAGTCTACAATCATGACAAAAGGGGAGCTGACATATCCTCATATCTCCTATCTCGTGGCAACAGAGGGAGCAAGAGAGGGAGCAGAAAGGTCCTATACTCTTTCAAACAACCAGACTTTGTGTGAACTAACTAAGCGAGAACTCACTTATCACCAAGGGGATGGTGCTAGGTCATTCATGAGGGAGCCATCCCCATGATTCAGTCTCCTTTCCACCAGGTCCCACCTCCAACACTGGGGAATCACATTTCAATATTCAACCTTCATATGAGATTTGGAGAGGACAAACATCCAAACTATATCAGTATGGTATACATAATATTCTACATACAAGAAATGTTCTTAATTATAAAGGTTTTTGTAGAAAAGTATGCAGAGTATAATTCCCTCCTAAGGAATGATGTATTTGTTATGAATCTATGTATCAAAATATATGAAATGCAATTTATTAGGGAAAGGTCAAGGGATCTGGATCGGAGATGGAGCTGCCTTATACAGTACTGATCCTATTTGAAAGTTTATTATGTGATTTAAATGTATAAATTATATATGATTTCAAGTTTATTATTATATACACAAAGGAATTTTGGAACAGCAATAATGACTAATCCTTGAATCAAGGTGTGTGTGTTTGTGCGTGCGTGTGTGTGTGTGTGTGTGTGTGTGTATTTACCCCTGAATCTGATGGTGAAAAGCGTCTACAAATTTGTAATTTGGATTATTACCAAGTTCCTAAGATTTTTAAGTTAGAATGATTCAGACAGGAAAAATGTGCCACCAACTCACAGAACTAATCATTCTCAGCCCAGAATTAAAATGGGAAGTATTACATACTTCTTGTTATTTATTGGTAGTTCAATATATATTTATAGTTATTATTTAGTTATTTGTAAAGACAATCACTTGATTTAAACATGCGTCCTACTTACTGACTTATTTTGTTATTGTTAGTTTGACTCTATTGTGTTATTATGCCCTATTCATACAACATCCAAAATACAGAAAAGAGAACACTATGTCAGGGCACACATGCATCATTTAAGCATCATCTCCATCTGTCCATTGAGCCATCCCAGACTCATTTGGTAGGTTCAGAATAAGTAGAGAGATTTTCACTTTACCAAACAGCACTGCTGCTTTAAATGTGGTATGATCAGTGTAGCCCAACCTGTAGAGGTCCTGAGAGACTGAGACAGATTTTATGACCCCTCCACTTAAAAGCAGAGTAATTATCTCGACCAATTGGGTTCAATCCTGAAACACAAGTCAGTTATTACCACCCAGGAGGTGGTATTTACTTTTCACAATTTTTTAAATAAATACTTTTCAGCTCTGATCAGAAGTAATAACCCTGAGACTTAACACTTACCATTGTCCCAGTCGAAAAGGCAGATAAGGCTTTACCATCCAAAAGTTTACACCAAGCACCTGGAAGATATTTGCATGTCAACTGAAAATGGTACCCACTGACATGCCCATTGTCCATGGCCATGTAGGCCAAAGCATCTCAATTTATGTGATTCAGCACTGGATTTTTATAATCTAACAAATTATATAAATCTAGCAAATCAAATGTCTTATTGGACTAATTTGTCTTCTTTTACAGCCTCTCCTTTTATCTTCTCTTTCTTTTCTTGTCTTTATTCTATGTGCTCCCCTTTTCTTTTAAGGTTTCTCTTACTTTCAAATTTCAAGCCTCCCTCTGATCTTTTAACTTGGTGAGCAATAATTACTAAGTTAATTTTGTTCTTAAAGTCATATCTTTCTATTCTTTAGTTGAGAATTTTGTTTGGATATACTTTGTTCTGGTTGGCTTTTCACTCTTTAATCTTGTTCCTTCCATTTCAAATTTCATTAATTTTTGGGTCAATCTCCCAAGCCTTCACATTGCATTTGTAAAAGCCACTGTCACCAGACCTGAAACAAAATGCATTGCTCTGGATTTACTCAAAAAGAGCAAAGTTTAGGATGTGCAACATTTTAAAATGTTAAATTCAATTTTAAAAACATATTTAAAACTCAGATACATATAGGCCGGGCACTGTGGCTCACGCCTGTAATCGCAGCACTTTGGGAGGCCGAGGCAGGCTGATCACGAGATCAGGAAATCAAGACCATCCTGGCTAATACAGTGAAACCCAGTCTCTATTAAAAATACAAAAAATTAGCCGGGCGTGATGGCGGCATATAGTAGAGACGGGGTTTCTTTCAAGGCTTTTATTTATGTAAAGTTTATCTTAAGTGCCTTTTACATTAT
Source organism: Homo sapiens (assembly GCF_000001405.40). Taxonomy (NCBI): domain Eukaryota; kingdom Metazoa; phylum Chordata; class Mammalia; order Primates; family Hominidae; genus Homo; species Homo sapiens. The sequence goes on from NC_000002.12 coordinate 187,437,486, forward strand.
TTCATCAAGCCTATTCAGATTAGAAATTTCCACTCTCTTGTCTTTGTAAAGACAGCCCTATTTTTTTTTCTATTTTAAGCTCCTTAGAATAAAGAAAATGTGTTGTAGAATACTGAGTTATCTTGCCATATATAAACTTATCAGAACAAATTGACTAATTTTAAAAACAAAATATAGTTTATGTTTTGTAATAATAACTTTATCAAAAATATGTTGTTTGATAATGACTGTATCAAATAAAGTCAGAAAGTTTAGGGATAAGAGTTAAGAAACAGGAAAGGATAGTGGTAGGAAGAAGCCATTTGACAATTTTTAAAAATGTTTTGAGTAATAGTTCATCTAAGACAGAGAGTTATTTAATCCAAACCAGTGTGCTGCTTATGATTTAAAATCCAGTCAGTAGTGTGATAAGAGAATATGTAGAAAAACAGTAAAATTACAACTTTGACACATTTTATATACATATTTTATCTGAATACTATGGATGTATGTTGACAATCAGTATTTTTCTCAAAGTAAAGTTATTGTTTTACTGAATGACATACATATTTGAACTCAGAAGAAAGAAAACCTTAATAGTGACATTTCTGGTAAATGAATAATTAGAATTCTGTTTTAAAAGAAAACAATAAAGTTAACACTGAATCTCAAACAAATGGGGAATCTAAATGGGAAAATAAAAGATGTATTATTATAATATGAGTTGGGTCCATTCATAATATAACTTGTGTAAAGATCCATAATGAGGCTTTCAAACAAATTATGATTTATTTAATCACAAATATGTATTTCAATTTATAAAAGAGTCCTTTGGCTGTAAGTTTAGAAAACTTCCATAACAATACAATGAGGTAAGGTCATTGACAGTTGGCATTGTTTTTAGAGTTATCTGTATTTATACATCAACACTGAAAAGCTTAATAAATTACAGACTGACAAACATGTCTGTTTACCAAACAGACGTAAAACTTTTTGGCAATTAAACAGAATTTGTATTCTGCTATAGATGTTTTTAGAAAAGATTAATTTTCTTTCCCTCAATTTCATTGCTAAGTTGTTTTTTTTTTCCTCCTTGTATAGGCTCTTTAGTGCTATTGTCCAGAAAGGCAATAAGTAACGGAATAAGGCTTTTGTTGGGAGGCAAGAGTTGGCAAGTCAGCCAGTTTCAACAAGAATTCTGCCAGTTTTAGCCATTGTGTGGCCACTTGGGGAAAGGCTTCAACATTTTATGTTAAAATACTGAGCAATCTTCTCATTTACCCTAATGTGAAAGGTCATTCCTTGGAATTTAGTAAAATCTGAACACTAAGTATATTACAGGAAGCATCTTTACTAACTTTTTTCCTTTCAAAGTCAGTGAAGAAATACATATTAGGTTGAAGTAAGAATAAAAAAATGAAAACTAATTTTTGAATATTTTCTTTTTGGAAATATACAGTGATTCTAACACCTTCAGTAATTTTACTCTGGCATCTCTTGAATAATATATAAACTCACATGAAGCCAATATCCAGTTTTCTGTGATTTAGACTCTAGTATAAAGAAACATTCATTCATTTATTCATTTAAATATTTAGTAAACAGTTTTGGGGCACCTAATATACAGGCACTTATCTAGGTGCTTCATATATATTAGTGAAATGAAAATCAGGCAGAAATCCTTGCACTGGAGCTTACGTGTTAGTGGGTGGCTGGAAAATAAAAAATAATAGCAAGGTTGGGTGCAGTGGCTCACACCTGTAATCCCAGCATTTTGGGAGGCCAGACTGGGCGGATCACTTGAGGCCAGGAGTTTGAGACCAGCCTGGCCAACATGGCGAAATCCCATCTCTACTAAAAATACAAAAATTAGCTGGGTGTGGTCACGCTGAGGTAGGAGAATTGCTCACACCCAGGAGACAGAGATTGCAGTGAGCCAAGATCATGCCCCTGCACTCCAGCCTGGGCAACAGAGCAAGACTGTGTTTCAAATAACTAACTAACTAAATACTAAACAAAACAAAACAAACAAACAAACAAAAAACCAACAAAAAAACAGTAAATATGTAAATTATAGTAGATTGGTGCAAGATGATTAGTATTACAGGAAAAAAGGACAAACTAAAATAGATAAAAAAGAAAAGAGGTCTGTGGTAGTATAGACGTAGGTTGATTTTAAATAATCATCGATGTAAGCTCTTTAGAAGAGTTCACATTGGAGCAAGATGGCAGGGTGGTGAGGGACTTAGGTATATGGATATCTGGAATAAGAACATTTTATGCTAGTTGAAAGAAACCCACAGGTAATTCTTAATTCTCCTTTAGAAAATGTGCGTCTCTTTCTTTAAATTGGTGGCAAATGAAATCAGAAGTACTGGCAGTAAGTAAACTTGTCTAGAGGTGAAGGACTTGATAAATGGAAGAAGAGACATTTAAAGCTGGAATACAAGATCTATAGGTCCATAAGTAAGGAAGATTAGCATTCTTTTCATACTCAGATGATAATGTGATGCTTATGTAATGTAGAGAAAAAGACAAATAATAAACTTAGAAATTATTCAAATAAATACTCCCTCATACTATTATTATATTACTATTATAATCTTATATCAATAAAATTATATGATGCACAATGATCTTTGTTCCTTACCCAAAATTTAATTTCATTGCAAATAGTTTTTAAACTGGAATGGATATACTGTAGTAACTGATGTCCATATGCATATTAGGTTGAACTAAAATGTCCAGACGAAAAAAAAAAGCATGTCTGTTATAAAGACTGTTTCCCTTCCATGTTGATAACATCACGCAACTATTTCTGTAAGGAAAAATGTAGACCAGAATGTAGGACAAGCCTTGAAGTCTAAACTATTTTGAGTAATTAGGGGTAGAATGTTGTCAGAGTGTAAACATCTAACATCTTTTATTTCTTTTAAAAAAGCACATGCCATTTCAAGACCTACATCATAGTTAGATTTAATGAAACATTGAGATGGAGTCTCCCTTTTCTAAGTTAGGAATCCATTAACTAAATTTATTTAACTTATTCAGACCTCTAGCTTAGGAAGCCACAAGTTATATTTAAGGTTTTGAACATATGCAGTCTTTTATGGTACTGGAGTCAGGAAAGTTGAGAACTTGCTCAACGAACTTAGCTTTCAGGATTAGTATGGAAAATTACACATTTAATGGATGTTTTTGAAGAATGCTTGTGTTATATCTAAACTCAAATATAAAGTCTTTGTTAATTTTGGTGTGTATTTACTTTGAAGGAAGTAGACTGGAATTTGGTTCATTAAATATAAACATATATTAATTTTATGATCAAAACGACTTTCACACTGATAACATGGAACATAGAACAGGAAATCCTTTTGGAAAGTGCATAATTAAGGAAGTTAGCTATTGTTAGAAATTCAATTAATTAAAAAATTAAACAATATTTAGGAAAATCATTATATGAATTTCACTCCTGCCAGGTTGTTCCAGACCTTAATATTTGCTCATATCTCATTTGAAGGCCTTCCTATCCAAATTAATGAAGACAAATATTCATCAAAGCTTTATTCTTAGGAATATCACTTTCTTTAACCTTGGTATTTGCAATGGAATTAGACACAAAAAAATATTTTTTGTCAAAGTAAGAAAGGTAAAAAATTATATTAGAAGCAATTGAAAGGGAGATATTTCAGAATATCTTAACCAAGGAAAACATAAAATTGCGAACACAGTGAATCTGGTTGTTGTTTATTTCAGGTTTTTTGATGTTTCATCAATAACTGAAGGTTTGCTACGATAATAAATATATACATATTTATTATATGTATTTGATTTATCTAATTTTTCAGACATTAAGAGATCTGATTTACCAGGTTTTGTCATTTTAGAAAACACTCTAGTTAAGATATTGAGTCTTGATCTTGTGACAAGATGAAAAATAGAGTGGCAGCCAGTATGGATTAAGACTATACACTTTGATTGGAATTGTCTTTACATAACATGGAAGTGGTGGTGTTGTTGTCCAGAGCAGGAGACCTGTCTTGTTGGCCTTCGACACCTAGCATAGGGCCAGGCACCTCATAAGTACCTCTTATGAGGTACTTCTATGGACCATATTGTTTAATCCTAGTATCCCCTAAAGGAAATAAATGTATAGTCATATGAGTTAAAATATAAATATTCTTTGACAGAAATAAACTCTGGGATGAAAAATCAGTCTGCTTCCTTCCCCCAAATGAAATATACTGCAATATTACCAGATTTTAATTTGTTTAGAAAAAGAGCAATTTTAGCATACAGGAAAATATGCTACTCTTGACCACTTGAGGCCAGAATGCAGCTATTGGGCCTATGGTTTGGAAAAAAGTGAACGTTAGACAGGCTAAGTGAGAAAACTTAGTGGAAGGAGAGGGATACCAAAAGACAGATGGAAAATTACCAACTGCAGATTGTACTTACTGTATAGTTTTTCCTAACGCCCTGCAACTCATGCTGTCTGTCTGCTGGGAAAACTCTTGGCCATTTGTTTCTGATGTCCATGTCTGTCTTTTGAATTCTGTTCCTTACTCCTTGATCTATAAAAGTATCTGAGGTGGCTTAAAAACATTATATATATATATATATATATATATATATATATATACATACACACACATATACATATACATACATACACACACACATACATACACACACATATATACGCACACATATATGTGTGTATATATGTATACATATACGTATATATATATTTTACCTTATTTTATAAGAGTAACTGTCACGTGAATTACCTGCAACATGGGTGTTTAAACTGAGAGTTGAAGAACTCTTAACATAGCTAACAAAAAGGAGATCCTATGAAACTCATGCAACTGTAAGCAAAATGAGAATCCCTTTGAATGTATTTTTTTTTAATTTATGGAAAAAAAGGTTTTGGTTTCATTACATTCTCAATGTGGGTCTTAATTTATAAAATATTCAATGATAAATTCTTAAAATGAATTATGTTAAGCCAAAACCTAAATTTTTTTTGCCATCCTATTGCACAGGCACTCTTTCTTTGTATTTTTGAAATATAATAAATAAGAAAATATAAGTGTCTTCCATTAGGTGGCAGTAATAAGTTCCTATAATAAGAACTTTAAAAAAAATGGTCAAAAACAACTTGGAATCCTAAAAGCTGAATTTATTGGATCCTTCTTAATGTTCTCATTTTGAGATTGTGGAGCTGCTATAGTAATCAAAACTAAAATTTTCCGACAGATGTCTACATTTATCTCTACTGTAGTATAGTCACACAAGTAGCAAACAAATTTGTGTAAATAAATTTACTTTTATTATCTTGTGTTAGAAGAGATTCAGTTTGGATTTGGTGAATCATATCACTATTCAACTTTGCACAACTTCAGTAATGAGAGGTCTAATAATAGATAATACACAATAGTATAATGAAATATTTAGGATGTAGATTCATAATATATGTAGGATAAAACCAGAGTTTTGTCAACGAGGATTGTGCAACTTTGGGTTTCACTGAGTTTCACATGTAAAGAAACGCAATAATTTTTGTTTAATATACCTTTTTAAATTGTTAATATGCAGGTATTTTAAAGTGCTCAAGTTCTATGGAGATAGTAATTATCAATATCAATTTTATTAGGTTCTGGCATGTATTGTATAATGGCAAAAGGATGGTCACTGTAACAACTGTAATTATAAATCACACTTGTTCACTCTTCCTGTCTTACAGATAGATTGCATTCTGTTTATCCGTATGGGTGTTGATTGTTTGGAATAAAATTTTGCATAGAAACAAATTATGTCCTCAGTCTCATTCACAACAGACTTAAGGTGAACATGAAAATTTATTGAATATGTACTAAATGCCAAGTGCTAAAAAATTTCCACGTGTTAATTCATGGATTACTTACAAAACCTTATAAAGCAATATGATTATCACTTCCACTTTATGGATGAGAAAGGGGAACTAATAAGTGGTAAATTTTGGGTTCTTATGTGGATGATCTAAATCCAAAGCGCATCACAGTGTACTTCTATAAATACCATATACCTAAATTTCTAAAATAAATGCATATTTTTTCTTAATTTATAAAGTACATTGGTATATTTGTAGAAAAGACAGAAACAAATACATCATTAAAAGTAAAATTTTAAAGACATATGCACATTGACTAATAAAACAATAAACATGTTACTCTAATATTGTTTCCATTACTAAGTACAAAATAAAAATCACAGTTTTGTATTGATGACATTCTTTTCCCATGGTTTTAACTCTCTTTGTCTATTATAATGTTATTTATTGCTCTCTGATACTTACCAAAGTTTCTATTTTTCCTTCAAATTATCCTTGGAAGAAAGGCAAAATTGAGGTGCATATGCAAAATATCTGTGTAATCATTGGTCTCAGTTTAATTAGTGAATGCGGGTTCAAATTAACACTCATTTGTAAAATTTATGAATTTGGTAGTTGGATACAAGAAAAATTTATCTTCATTTTGGTTAATAAAACCAAACCTGTGTGCTCACGAATATGCTATTGATCCTCCATGTGACTGCACTGTAAGGAGATGGGCACTTATAAACCATCTAGTTGCTATGTAAGTAAATCATTGCAATTTAACATACCAAATGATATGCTCAAAATTCACCATAATTTCATGAGAAACATAAATGAGCTTAGGTTAGCCTAAGCCTGAATAGAGAAATAACTACAGTTTTATACAAAAGTTTATGTCATATTAACACTTTTTAATTCAAAAAGATATGTTCCATGTTAAGGGAAATAAGATTTGTCTGAAAATTGGGCTCCATCCAGCAGTGTTAATAAAATATAAAACTATAGCCCCAATACCATAGGGGTTATTTATGTATTCATTTTGGCTTATGCTAGATTGAACTGGGTTGGGATTTTTGTCTTTTTAATTTTTAGTAATGGAAAAGGTGTATAACACATTTAATTTAAACCATGAAAACATTAAAAAATAAAACTTGCTTAACATTTCAAAAGTAAATACACTATTTGGGCCATTTTTGCAAACAATAATATTTTGGTGTATTAGTTTTGAATAATACTGTCTCTTAAGTAAACAAACTAATTGAAGAAAAAAATGGAAGAAATGTGTTTTAGGAAAATATTTGCAACTTATTACCTGATAATAATTCTAGTAACCTAGGAAACATAGACCCTAACTCAGTTCACAGGCAGTGATACTATTTTATATTTTTGTAAGAAGAAGTAAGACCTTATTATGTCCTTAAAAATTGAATACATTTCTTCTCTTTTTTGTAATATAGCTTATTATAATTAAATTAATTTGATTTTAAGATTATTCAAATAAGGAAAAATGCAGAGATTAATTGACCTAATCTAATTTACATGGTCCATGTGAATATATGGGAAAAGGATAGATCCATCTGGTTAGAATGTAGACTTGTATTTCTGGTAAGTTTTTATTTTCCACCTATTTGCATCATAATATTTTTGTATATTAAACGAGAAGATGTCTTGAAATAATTTGTAATCCAGTATGGTACATGTACTTTGTCAGAAAAATAGAACATACCTGAGAAATTATGAATGTTTATAGTTTACCCATGGATTTGAAAACCAGATACAGATAAATGTTTTAAATAGCTGTGTACCATTTGTCTATCTTAAGCGTATTCTCCAATATTCTGATTAAGTCAAAACTAAGATACGTTACACACTTGACTCTCATAAGAGCGTCTTTCATTAACACCCTTGCAATGATAGCGCTTGTGTTTATGGTTTAATAGCTTCTCTGAATGCCAAGCATAAGATACGCAATAAAGCAAAAGATTTTAAATACTATTTCTTGAACATATTTGTATTGTGAAAAGTCGATACTGTAATCATTATATCTCCAAAACCAGAATTATTTGATAAAGCTGTATTAAAAGTCATATATAGAGTATGAAATAAATTTTGTTTAGTGAATAAGTTTTTGATCCTTTAAAGATTATTATATTTTTTCTATAAAGATCTAGAACAATCTTTTAAAATTAAGTTACTATCAAACTTTTGCCATGTAGATAAAATTGGTAGCAAAATATTTTTACAATGTTTCCAAATATGATCTAGTTAGAAATATATAATGATGCTATTAACTGAAATTCAGTTAGTGTTTATGTGTTTATCAAATACTTTGTCCACATTAATCTGTAAAGCAAACAAGGTAATCATTTTACCTTTATATTATTTTCAATTTTTTATGAAATTTTATTTCTGTTATGCATGAAAAAATAGTATAATATGTGCAGGTGAACATAAATATTCTTACAAATATGCTAAGTATTGTCTTCATTTAAAATTCATTACATGTTCGGAGTCACCAGTGAGAAAACCATATGAATCTTGCCCATTCATTTAAAATAATTTTTAAAATTACAGACCCAGTATTATTTTAAACAATGTTTTTGTTATTCCAATTTTTCAAAGTGAATGAACAGTTTCATATATTATAAAAATCTACATATTTTAACTTTTAGTATAATGCTTTGGTATGTAAGATAGAAAAAAAATCTTGTAACAATAATCAAAAACATTATCTCTTTAAGAAATAGAATATTTCAGGTAAAACATATTTCAGCTCACATTATTCACATACTATTTCAATTCTATGTTTCATTTTACATATTTAGCATTGACTGTAGGCTCAATGCATTGATTTTATGATGCTACAAGGAAACATCTTCTAGCAAAGTAAATTCATTTCTTTATGGCTAAAAGCATGCATTGATATTCTGATATTTTCTTATCATTAAAGAAAGCACATTTTGAATACAATAATATGAATTTTTATTTCAAACTTCCAGTTATGTCCTCAAATATTTCCTTTGGCTAATGACCTTCAATGTTCATCGCCTAGTGTTTTTCAAAAGTATTTTTGGAAAACAAAGATTATAAACCATACTGTTAGTAAACTCATAAAAATTTAATCAAATTATACAAGAAAATTATGGGTTTGGGACTAGCAATTAAACAAAAATTAAGGAAGTTTGGAGAGTTTCTCATTATAAAATATGATCATAATATAATACCTCCTAAGAAAATAATCTGAATTAAAAATAATGTTGTTTTAATTTTTGTTACTAACCCACGTCATTGGGTTAGTAAATGTGTTGTTTCCACTTTCTCCCCCATTTATATAATGGCTAAAGTCACATTCTAAAAACACTTTTCCCATTTCTACACATGTGTCAGGGAACTCAGTACAACTGAAGATTGAAAAGAGAGAGAAATCAGCCATGATACTCTTAAAGAATCACAAATCTAAGAATTAATTTAAATTTTCATTATATTGAGGAATTTGTGGAAAAATTGAGTTGTAAATTACTGAGGAGTTACTCAGGATGTTTGTAGTCTATTATTAATGTGCCAGATATAAGTGATTAAGTACAGGATGCTTCCAATGCAGGACATCTTGGAAAGTATAATTGCATTTAGGTAAGAAAATATATAACTTAAAAATCATATCTATCAACATCATTTAAAATTTGACATCAAACTTTCTCCAGCAACAAATTTGTGATATATCTACACAAACAATTTATTAAGCAGACATTAGTTTCTTAAATTGTTCAGGACAGTCTGTACTATCGGAATGAGCATTAACAGATGTTTTATCCAACATTTCAGTAAGTTCCATCCTGGAAATTCTTTTTTAATAAATACTTTAATTTCTTTGTTTAATCGTCTAATATACTTCTTTGGGAAAGCTGTCACGTTTCTTTATCCACAGATATCGTGGTATCACACCCCCCTCCAAAAGCTTGCAGAGGGGAACCAGTCAAGTTGAAGTATTCTCTTAAAGATTTCAAAATTAAGAATTGTTTTAAAAATCTACATTTCCTAAACTCTAGGTTTTTTTTTTTCTTTGTAGCCGACACCATGATCCAAATAAAGAGCAAACAGTTCAGGGTTAGCAGAAGAGAGATTTAAACACATCTGGCAACAATGAACACAAAAATTAGTTCAGTAGTTACAGATATATGTGTAAATAAAGGTGAAAGGCAAATAAAAGCAAATGTAATAAATACAAAGTGATTACTTTTCAAAACTCTGCATTATGATCAACCACAGAGTAAGTGAGACTCCGAGACCCATTAAGTAGTTATTCTTTCACCTCTTTCTTACAGCTGATAACATGGAAAGTTTAAAGACCCTTCCGGGGGGAGAAATGTTTTCCAGTTGTCAAGATTCAAGCTTAGCTAATATTAGAGCTAATTTTAAAAGACATTGTTCTGTGATTAAGGTATTTGTTCAGAAATATGTCTTTTAATCCATTTAGATTTTTAATACTTGCTAAATTTATTTTCTAGAATACCATGGTAAACAATATTATCTAGTAGTATTAGATTTTGTATTCATGTTGGGGTAGTAGGCTGTATTTTCTCTAGCATGTGAAATAAGTGAGACTATGTTTCAACATTATTTCAGTGCTATCTACTAAATTCTATAATAGAAACATTGCCAAACTATATGAGAATACTACTTAGAATAAATATATTTATTTTGAATGTGCACTTACCCAGTCCAGCTCTTAAGGAAATTCTTTGTGAAATATTCTCAGGATGGAACTTTACTTTCTGAGATTCCGCAGAAGAGATTTACCCACAAGCAAGGTGGGAAAGAGTGAAAGCTTTGCAATGTGATCCTGCAATTAGGATGAGATTCAGTTAGCAGAGCTTGATGGTCCTAAAGCAGGAGGTGACACTCTCTGCTGGAGAGAGAGAGGTTGTTCTGAGTAGATTGTAAGTGTTGTCAGATTGTAAGTGATCAGCAGCAGAAGGGAAACATCAGAGCTTCCTGTTACATCACTCTGACCCCGCCTGCAGTTAGTGTTAGGTTACTTTCTTTCTCAAATAGCATACCCCAGGAAAGCAGCACTCCTTTCTTATTGTGAGACAAGAGCAAGAAGCAGCCTGAACAGAGAGAGATCATAGGCTGTGTGAATACATTGTTACCAGTAAAAAGCTGGCTGGCTTTCACCTTGACTGAGTTCTGTTAGAACTTGCCAAACAAGCTACTTGTGATTTGAAGGAAATCTGAATATAGTATTCTGCTCAAAGAATCAAAGGAGTTAGGCGTGTGTGTGTGTGTGTGTGTGTGTGTGTGTGTGTGTGTGTTGAATTATAGCTTACAAAGTATCCAGGAAAAAAAATCTAACAAATCTGTGTTCATAGCACAACACAGAAAAAAAAATTAACTGTATTCATCATAACTGGTTTTGTGATTTGGCTCTTCTTAATTTGGAGCTCTGCTAATTGGGTGCTGTTCCTCCATCAGTTCCTAAGTGCAGTTCCTAATCAGTTAATTAGATCAAGAAACTTTATCCTGCAGTTTTTAAATCTTTTATTTTTTCCTTTACCTTCTTCATAAGAACATGAGTGTATGTGTTATAAATTCAGGTTGTGTATGTGTGTGTATAGAGTGTTTCTTTTATAATATATAAGTATATATATTTGACAAAATAGCCTTTTGAATAATTCATAATTTTAAAATTATTGCACACATTTAAAAATATTTGGTATAATTATGTTATTTATAATATAAAATAATTTATACCACAATATTTGTAAGTCAATATAATCTTAAAGAAAATATAGATGTTGTAAACATAATATTATAAAATAATATAAATACAAAGGATACTTTATTTCTTAGACAAAATTTCATCTCAAAGCATAGTTTTTCCTGAATATGTTTAATACATCATTGGATATGATCAGGGGAAAATGTAAATTTAAAATGCTTTTATCATTTTTATAATTTGGTAAATGTTCGATATGAAGCAATAATTATAATCCCTATAACCTAAACAGCACTAAAAGTCACTTAATTTATCAGGGCATAAATTTTCTCATCTATAAACTAGAAGAGATAGATTTTATGTCTAAGGCTTTGAATCGACAAATTTCATAACATTTTGAAATAGATAAGATACGGTGAGGATCATTCAACTCTTAGTAAATTGTTAGTGCAATTCCAGGATAAAATGAGGTGCCATACACCTTGTAGGCAGACAAAGGAGGTAAAGGCAAAATAAATTCAGGAATATCATGTTTTTAAAGCAGGGTGCTCATGTTGACATTTTTATTGTCTGAATTAGTGGAAGAAAATGTTTATACAATCTTTGATTTTAAGACCAGTGAGATCAATATTGATTACAAAATACAGACATATAAAAAATAGATATACTTTCATCTCTATAATTATGGTTAATAGAAAAGACTTGTAAGAAACTGAGTTACACTGGTGAACCGGTTCTGATACTGTCTGGTGTGATCTTGACAAAGCTTTTTAGGCTTCATGTTCCCATCTTGAAATTCAGAGAAAAACAAATACTAGATTTAATATGAAAGTAATAATGGGTCATGTCTTCTCATCTTCCATGCTAAGTGTAATATATGAATCCTATAAAGAGATTAATATATAGTTTTTGAATTTAATTAAATCATGGAAAACTAAAACTTTTCCCAATATGTTTATAAAAGCATTGATATTTTCGTCTTTCCAAAGATTCATTTTTCTTTCTTTCCTTCCTTCCTTCCTTCCTTCTTTCTTTCTTGATGGAGTTTTTGCTCTTGTTGCACAGGCTGGAGTGCAATGACGCAATCTCAGCTCACTGCAACCTCCACCTCCCGGGTTCAAGCAATTCTCCTGCCTCAACCTCCCAAGTAGCTGGGATTACAGGCGCCCGCCACCACACCCAGCTAACATTTTGTATTTTTTTGTAGAGACAGGGTTTCACTATGTTGGCCAGACTGGTCTGAAACTCCTGACCTAAGGTGACCCGCCCACCTTGGTCTCCCAAAGTGCTGGGATTACAGACATGAGCCCCTGCGCCTGGTGAGATTCATTGATTTCATTTGCCCAATACTAGTAAGGTCTACTGAAGGAAAAAAATTCATGTTTTGAGCTCATGTCATAAGACCCTTAATCCAATGCTCTTTCTCTTCTACTCTCTATCAAGTGCTATACTTTATGGGGTGTCTAGTAGAAGTTGTATCATTTATATTTAAGTTGACGTACACATGGGCCCATGGCTGTAGTCCATGAAGACTCCTTGATAAATTTTATTAATATCATCTTTAATTCTTATTTAGACATAACAGGAAAATTGCATCCTAGTAATCCTCAAGAGCTGCCATTTTATAAACTTCAGAAAAAATAAATGGTACAAGGACTTCCAGGAAGGCATTCAGGGTATTCTAAGTTATGTAGGAGCAAGTGATAAGATAGATCATAAAAACTTCTCTAATACCTACTGAAACATGAAGGCAAATGTTTGGAAAACTGTAGCAGAGCTAAATGAAAACATTTCAATAATCAATGAAGCAATTTTGAGCCAACGTGGCATTATATGGATTTATATATTATAATCTTTCTTCAGAAGACATTAAAGCCACTTGCAATAATTTAATTAGTAGTGACCAAATTTGTATTTTGAGCTAGGTAATGTGCTAACTGTGTTTTAGTGAGATAAGTAAAAATAGAATGTTCCCTGCTATCTAGTCCTTTAATGAACAGATTGACTAGCACATGAGAAGTCAAGGGCCAAATTCTGTGAAATTAGCAACTGATGCTGCTAACATAGAATCTAGAGGTAATGATGCAGAGCACTGCAATAAGGTTTTCTGTAGAAGTGAGGAGTGGTGTATAAGTGTAGAAATATATACATGTAATGATGGACAGTCACACATTTTCATTTTAGCATCCTACATGCAGGATTTGTGCTTTTATTTGTGCTCACACATAAGGCTCACAAGCGACCTTTTCTTCCAATAGGGGATACTAGTTACTATGTCAAATGCAAGTTGACTCAAAATTAGGAGTAGGCTAACTCCAAGTTTCTGGGCTACTGTTTATATTGAATATGTTAGTTAAACCAGACCAAAATGTGGTTTGACAAATTTAATTTTCTACTGACCAAACTGACCACTTATTTTGAATTTGTATGGATACTGCCTTGGAGCATAATTCTTGCCACAAGAACAAACAAAATAAAGCAGAACACTTTTACAGGAAATATATTAAGGACAGACTTTCCCTAGTGAGAGTGCAAGAACAAGTCAAAAGAAAGACTTTTAAAATAATTATTCTGAAGTTTTAAAAGTTATTATTTTATGTTAATAATTCTTCTGTGTTCTTAATTGTCTGAAAGCAATTACTTATACTTGGTGATAATTTATGCAGTCAGCAATATTATATATAACTTGCCTTATGATAAATGCACCAATAATTTGAGGAGAAACACATAAACTTTACATCAGAAGCTTATATGTTTAAAAGCTTTACATTAAAAAACTACTTCTAGCAAGGAAATAAGTTGACCCAACCTTTTATTATTTTACCTAGCAATTGCTGTTAGCACTTTTCAAGTTGCTTTTCAAAACAAAAATAAATTGCATTTAGTAAAAGAATCTGGGTACAATGTCTGGGACATGAGAGTGAATATGCTATTATCTATTACTAAAACCAAAGGGCCGTTTTTCACTTTAATTGGGCACATAGCTATCATTTTAAAGAAGATTACAATATTATTTTAAAAATAGTTACTATGAATAAGAATTTGGAAGGTGCAGAAAACTATGTTTGAAATGAACAGTATATATATCAGGTCAGATATACAGAAATGTATACCAGGTTAATATACAGATAAATAAAACTATTTTATAGCCTATATGTAGAGTTTCTTTCAGTATTTAATAATGTATTTTCTCAAGAAAGCCAAGTAACATAAAAAATAATTGGCCAAACATTTGCCTATTTTAAAAATTCTTATATCCTGATGGATTTAGATCTTCCTGCGAACTTAGTATTTTCTTACAGATATTCATGAGTGTTGGAGGGGTGGCTATTGCTAGAATAAAGTGCTAGTACTGGCTAGTGAGCTATGTCATGGACTAATTCAAATGGATTTTTAAATCCAACAAAATTATAAATGCTTACTTTAAATGGGAGTACACAATGAACTTTCTGAGGGGAAATACCTTCAATAGAGTGATCATATGTCCTAGTTTTCTGGGGCAGTCCCAATTCATAATTTCAGGCTCAAAAATGCTCTGGTTTGAAGAAAAAAATATTATTCAGTATATGGTGAACTTAGCCATACTTATCAATAGAGCAATGACAAGTAGCACATAAATACTAAGAGTGTGTGAGTAATTTATTTGGGAAACCCAAATCTTCTTTCCAGAAGAGTTTAAAATAGTTCTTACTATTTCTAGGATGGTTTTAGTTAGCATCAAAAAAGATGCCCTTTTTAATTCTGGATATGCATTTAATGTGGATTTATTCTGAAATGCCTCTTATTTGCTAAATATCAATCTTGATTGTGAAAATAAAAGGTTTATTTATATTTGTATTTAGGCATTTCGACTTAAGTAGTATTTGATTAAATGACCAATCCCTATATTTTACATAAATAATTTAATCATTAAGTTCTAAAGATGCCAAATAGTATTCATGTCTTTCCAGTTATAACGAACTATTTTCTTCAGCTATCATCATATTTATATAACTTGTAAAAACATTAGCAACTTATATTTTTATTTTCTTTAAAAGCTTATTCATATTTAATGTTAGTCAATAACATACAGTGAGACTTTAAACATTAATGACTATGGAACTGTATGTAATGCATATATTGAAATGTATGATGGATTTGCCTAGGAACCCTTAACACCTTTGAGAAAGTGTCACATCTTTCTTTTTACAGTTTTGAGGAATCTATAGTGTCATCCTGCCATCTAGTGTTAGACATTCTCAAATTACAAAAAGTTGTTCTCTGACCAGAATAAAAATGAAATTCTATTGCTTTTTCTCTAATGAAAAAAATCTCAACAACTAGGGAATATTTCTAAGAAAACAGTCTATGTACTTGATAAATATAGTTACAAGGGGCAGGTACTTAATGTAGACTATACAAATTAAAGCCCATATAGTCAATGGAGAATATGTATTTCATCGAATTTTAAGTGCAAAGGAAAACAATGATGTAATAAATGTTAAATCACAATGTAATTTTAAAATTACAAATTAAGATGGCATACCTTCTTTTGTCTTTCTATGTATTTATCACTCCATCTGTATTCATGATTCAAAGCTAGAGATGGCTAGACCAAAGAAGACTAACTCCTACATATCTGATCAGGAATACAAATCAAATCATTGAAAACTAACAACAGAGTGATAAATGTCTCTCATGTCTGATAAACAAGGCTCTCACTATGTTAAAGCATGGAAAGCATCTGTTCCACCACTATCTGTTGGAAACAAAATCAATCATTAATTCACTATGATCCTGCTCTGGCTTAATGACTCCCACCCTGCTAACATTGCCATAGCCAGTAACTACTTGCATTTGCCACCTGAGGGCATGGGAACTGGCCCACCTAGTATGATGTAGCTCCTCCTAACACCAGTGTATACTATTTTGAAGCCTAAGGATTGTCTCACTACTGCTACTGCCATTGCCCATGCCACACATGATTCCCAGGGGACTAAAAGCCCACCCACCTGCCTTGCCCAATATTATCTCTGCCACTACCTGAGGAGAGTTGCTTGAAAGCCCCCAAATTAGCCTGTTTGCACCTGCTAACATTGATGTCCATGTGGGCTAACCAGAGACCCAAGGACAGGAACACTTGGCCCACCACTGCATCCACTGGGTCCTGAGGACTGGCCCAAGCAGAGTCCCTGTTCCCAGCAAAATCTCACCACAGCCTGCAACAACAACTGCAGCCTAAGCCACTGAGGAAATCACAAACACCACTGATGTTATTTGTAGCTGCAGATATTACACAGAGACTACATTCTCAAAATCAAAGCTAAAGTGTCCTACCCAACAAATACCATAGATATGTCTTCAGGAAAAAGTCTTCCCCTATGAAAGCCAGTTCAATGGACAAAAATAGAGAACCCAGAAATATATTTACATATCAAACTACCATCTAGTTTTCAACGAAGGCACCATTCAATAAATAGTACCAGTATCCAGAAAACTGGATTACCATATGCAGAAGAATAAAACTAGACCCCTATCTCGTATCATATATAAAAGTCAACTCAAAGTGGATTAGAGACCAAAATATAAGTCTCAAAACTGTAAAACTACTAGAAAAAAATAGGAGACACATTGATCTAGTTAAAGATTTTATGTATAAGAAGGCAGAGGCAATAAAACAAAAATAAACAAATGATACTATACTAAATTAAAAACTTCTGTATAGCAAAGGCAACAATCAACAGAATAAAGAAATAACCTGTTGAATGGGGGAAAATATTTGCTACCTTTTCATCTGACAAGGGACTAATAACAGCAAAAACTAATAACTCAATTAACAAGTAGGCAAAGAACATGAATAGACATTTTTCAATAGATGACATACAAATAGTCAACAGATATATTTTTAAAATGCTTATTATCACTGATCATCAGGGGAATGAAAATCAAAACCACAATGGGATGTCATCTTACTCCAGTTAGAATGGTTACTATTAAAAAGACAAAACACAATAGATGTCGGTGAGGATGTGGAGAAAAAAAAAAAGCTTATGTATTGTCAGTGGGAATGTAAATTAGCATAGCCATGATAAAAAACAGTATGGAGATTTATTTAAAAACTTAAAAACAGAACTACCATATGATCCAGCAATCCCACAGTATTCACAGGAAAGGAAATCAGTTTATCAAAGAGATATCTGCACCCTATGTTTATTGCAGCACTATTCATAATAGCCAAGATATTTAATCATCGTAAGTGTCCATCAGTGGATGACTAGATAAAGAAAATTTGGTTTACCTACACAATGGAATACTACTTGGCCATAAAAAGAATGAAATCTTGTCACTTGTAGCAACATGAATAGAACCGGAAATCATTATGTTAAGTAAAATAAGCCAGGCACAAAAAGTCAAATATTGCCTGTTCTCTCTCATATGTGAAAGGTTAAAAATTTGATCTCCTGGTGATAGAGACTAGAATAATAGTTACTAGAGTCTGGGAAGGGTGGGTGGGGGATAAAAAAAAAAGATTGGGTAGTGGTTACAAACATACACTTAAATACAAGGAATAGGTTCCAGTGTTCAAGGGCAAAGTAGAGTGACTAGAGTTAACAACAATGTATCATATATTTTTAAATGGCTAGAAGGGAGGACTTGAAATGTTCCCAATATAGGAAAATGGTAAGTACTCAGGTGGTAGATACTTTAAATACCCTGACTTGATTGTTACACATTCTGTGCACCTAACAAAAGACCATATGTACCCCATAAAATGTGTGACTATTATATAACAATTTTTTAAATATGTGGAAGAGGCATCAAAACAGAGTCTGCTACAAAGGCTGTTGCAGGTAGGCAACACTTGCTCAAGTGCTATACTTGGATTGCTCCTAGAGCTTGGAGACCAGTGAGCAAGAAGAGAGACACATATGTGTACATGAGGACACAGAATGTAGGGCCATGTTGACTGGGGTAAGGAATTTGTATTTTACTCCATGTGCAAGGGGTCATATAATCCAAAGTATGTTTTAGGAACATGCTGGTGGGTCTGGATGAGGTTTGGGTCAGGAGAAAAGTACAAAAACTTTCTCTAGAAATTTTTTATGACTTTCTACAAAGTATTAGTTGAAGTTAATATCCTTAGTTTTAATCACAGTCCCTTATATGTGATACTCTTAAAATTCATTTCTCATGGCATTTTTAGATTCAGAAAATAAAAATGCTACAATTAAAAGGCTCTCTTTTTTGGATTAATTGTAAGGAAGGATAAAACTAAATTTGATTTTGGATTATGTCAACTATTCTACAGTCATATGTCACTTAATAATCGGGACATATTTTGAGAAATGGGTTGTTAGGTGAGTTCATCATTGTGTGAACCTCATAGTGTGTACTTACACAAACCTAGATGGCATAGCCTACTACACCCGTAGGGTATGTGGTGTAGCCTATTGCTTCTAGGCTACAAACCTGTACAGCATGTCGCTGTACTGAATACTGTATAGGGCACTTATCACAAATGGAGCTTGCAGGACTAGAAGCTGCTCTGAGTGACTGAGTGGAGAGTGAATGTGAAGGCCTAGGACATTGCTTCATACTACTGTAGACTTTATGAATAGTGTTCTCTTAGGCTACAATAAATTTGTAAAAAAATATATATTTTTTGAAACAATAAGCTAACCTTAGCTTATTGTGTGTCTTTTACTCAATAAACTTTTTAATTTATAAAAAGTCAAATTTGATTTTAAAAGTTTTAATTTAAATTTTTGAGCTCTTTTATAATAACACTTAGCTTAACACAACTTAGCAAAACACAAACTTAGCAAAACACAAACACGTTGTACAGCTATACAAAATATTTTTTCTCCATAAGGTTTTTTCTGTTTTTAAAATTTATTTGTTTTTACTTTTTAAAGTTTTTGTTAAGAATGGAAACACAAACACATGCATTAGCCTAGGCCTACGCATGGTCAGGATCATCAATATCACTGTCTTCTACCCTCACATCCTGTCCTACTGGAAGGTCTTCAGGGGCAATAATACGCATGGAGCTGTCATCTCTGATGATAAACAATGCCTTCTTCTGGATTGTCGTCCTTCTGAACAGCCTGAGGATGTTTTACAGTTAACTTATTTTTTAATAAGTAGAAGGAAGACACTCTAAAATAATAATGTGGGATTTAGTGACTTACCCCTATAATCCTAGCACTTCGCAAGACTGAGGCAGGAGGATTGCTTGAGGCCTGGAGTTCAAGACAGTAGTGGGACTGTGTCTCTTAAAAAAAAAAAAATTTTTTTAGTTGATGGTGCACATCTGTAGTCCCAGCTACTCGGAAGGCTGAAGTGGGAGGATTGCTTGAGCCCAGGAGTTCAAGACTGTAGGGAGTCGTGATTGTACCACTGCACTACAGCCTGGGAAACAGAGCAAGACTCTGTCTCAAAAAGACTCCAAATTGAATAAGTAAAAATTAAATACAATAACAGTAAAATGTATAGTATAATAAATATATAAACCCATAACTTAATTTTATTATCATTATCAAGTATTGTGTACTGCACAAAATTGTGTGCACTATTCCTTTATATGACTGGCAGCACAGTAGGTTTCATCAGCTTCACCACAAACACAGGAGTAATCTGTTGTGCTATGACATTACAACAGCTAGGAAATCATTAGGGAATAGGAATTTTTTAGCTCCATTATAAACTTAGGGGATCACTGTCATATGTGTGGTTCATCATTGACTGAAATGCAACTCATGACAATATTTTCAAGTATTTAATATCTAGTAACACTGATGGGTCTCTGCTTTATTTTAGAGAAAGTGGGGACAGAAAAGTAGCATTGTTGAAAACCAGGATTGTTTCCAAAAATATGCTTTTTAGATATTTTCTTTATTTAATTCTGTGGAGATTTTATTCCCACTTTTTAGGTGAGGGAACGGAATCTTAGTAGTTTACTCCACTGGAAATTGGTAGAACTGAAACTTGACACTCTAGGTGTTTCATTATTGAACATGTCTTCCTTCTTTACAACATGTTACCACCAATATTTCATTATTTGAAAAATATCTAATTTGGTAAACTATTTCACATATTTTTGGAAGATAATTATATAAATTCTATGCCAAATTATATGGGTTATTGGGTCTTCAGTTAGATAATTCCACACTGAGAAAAAGAAAATTGTGAACATTAGCAAAATAGAAAAACATAACAGTTTTCAGCAAGTTCACATTAAAACATTAACAACTAACTTGGTCATTTTTCTATTTTGAATTCTGATGTCTATTCAGATCATAAATTTCCATTATTATTCATGTATGAATAATGATATAGGTTCTGAATATTTGGGAGGATGACACAAGCAATAATGATGATCATTTTTTAAGCTTTTAAAACTTCTCAGGAAAATAAGACATATGCAAATATTTTAAGATGAGTTTTATATAAATTTGTAAATAAAAAGAACAATTTACTGATTTTTGCCCTTTTAAAACCCATGTTAGAAAAATTTTCATACTAAAAATCTATTAGCACTTCCTAGACAATTATGTCAAAAAAATTTTTTTTAATTAAAAGTTATCTAATGCATATTTTTTACCTGTCCCTTAATTGATCCTGTTAACAGTACAACTACATCATATTTGTGTTCATTTCTCATTTTATAGAATTACCTTAGCAGACAAAATTTACCTCAAATTTTCTACTTTGACTTGTGATTGCCTAGCTTATTTGAATAACTATTATTACATCTCAGAGACTGTATTCTAAAACATTGAAATATTAAACAGTCAGTAAATTGTATATACCAAATGCTACCATTTTATTGAATCTTTACTATGTAGTACTGTACTAAGCCCTCTTCTATGTATGCTCTCATTTGCCCTCACAATTATTTTACAGACAAAGCAAGAGGATTGATATGAAGGCCTATTGAATTCAAATCTAAGTTGATTTGAATCCAAACCCTGTATTCTTTATCATCATATTTGATTTGGTATTTGATTTTTCTCCCATTATAGTCATAAAATAGTCTTCATGTGCATCTGCCAGTTTATTAACAACCAGTGGAGATGAGAGAAACTGTGGAATGCAGTGGTTTTAAATATTTTCTCCCTAATTAAATGACTCTGTATGTGTGTGTGTGTGTGTGTGTGTGTGTGTGTGTGTGTGTAGCTTGTGAAGAAAGAAAATAGTTAATAAAGAATATGTAAAGAGATAAATAAAGTTTCCTAACATATACAGTCATTAGCTTTAGAATTTTAAATACTTTCTCATTGAACAGTGGCAGAAACTTTCAATAAAAAATGGTAATTGTTTATTTCGTCGTCTCTGGAGTAACAATTTCTTGGCAAGATGGATCATTTAGGTAGCTCACAGCTGTTCACATCTTGAAACTCTGGAAATTTCCCTAGAGTGACTTACAAATTTTGTGGAACATTCTGTTGAGAGTGGGGAATATGTTTTAAAAAAAAATACTGTTGGAAAGTCAAAGTTCTTGCTTTCTGATTCCAAAAACTGACTAACAAGAAGGAAGTAGCAGTTTCCTCTGGCTTCTAATTTAAGAACACCTGCAGCTTAGAAAAAGAGTTCAGTAAATTAGAATTATGCCCCTTGTGCAAATACAGATTAAATATGGATTAAGTCCCTAAAGAAATTCAAGTTCATAATTGAGTTGGCTGATTTTATCTTGTAATGAAAAAGAATAGCAAATCATCAACAATGTTGACAGGAATGAGTTGATTTTGGCTACAATTAGGATTTGTCTAAAACTTAGAATAAATTGTTGATTGAGATAAAACATTTTGGTACTAGAAAAATCTAATTCTAGTTAATTATTCTTAATTAAATTTGGCTTGCTTTTTTAGAATACTTAAGAGACAAAAACGGTCTAAAAATTATTTCAAAACTTCTCATGAGGTTGAAACGCCTTGATGAGTAGTATAAATCAGATCCACATATATTATTTTCCCTACGATATATATAATATTGAGAAAGAAAAAGTTAATGGATTCAGAAATGTTTTTTGATTATAAAACCCATTATTAAGGCATTCAGAAAATCCCACAGTATGTGGGACCTCCTGTAAGGTAATTACTTGGAAGCTTCTCATAAAATCTTTTGATGTTTGGGAATTAATCAGGCACTGGAAAAGGAAATTGTAGGTATAGTCAGTTTGAAGATGTCAAGCTCCATCAGCATAGGCTATTTTTGAAGAATATAGAAGACTACTGTACATAACAACCTTATGCTGGGGGGGGTATGGATATTGCTAACAGTAGAATCCGGCCAATGTTGATTTTTATTTTTTAATCACAGAACATCTCTCCATTTTTTTTTGGCTTAACATATGTTGGTATTAGATACTTTTAAATAGAGAGTATTGCCATAAAATCTTAAAATTACCCAAACCAAAAAACTTGTTTATATAACCAGTCTAGTCCAAAACACTCATTCTAAATATAAGTAAATATGGGGCCAGAGAAATTAGATGGTCAAAAAAATTCATCCACTAGGTTAGTACTGGTACTAGAAACAGTATCTCTTAGTTTATATTCTAAAACTTTTTCCCAAAGCCTCTTTCCCATCTTTCAGCAAAGCACTACACACACATAATTGAAAGATAAGTTAGTACAAACAGACTTCTAGCAAGTAAATAGCCATTCTCCATCCCTCAGACTTCTACATTCAACTGTCTTGTGGCTTCCTTCCATTACTGTCATGGAAATATACAATTCCTTTTTATTTCTATTTCTTTGTATGTGACTTATCCCTCCACAGTCTCCTGTTCTTAGGACTTTTCTCTTCGTTACTAGAATTTGAAATTTCATGTGTGTGCAGAGGGGGTATGTCAGGCGGTTACCCTTTGTTGGGTACAACACACCATTTCAGTGAAGGGAATCTCTGTTATTCTTTTTCTGTAAGATGTCTCTCCCCTCTATTTATCTCTGCTATTTTCCAGATCCTTTTGACACTTCAAGGTAGGGCACCTGAACTAATTGCGAAATTTTATCTTTTCTATCTTCTTTTCCATCCTAATGACCTCTTCTTTCCAAAGCTTAGAGATTTTTTTTTTTAACTTTATCTTCTATTTCTTGATTTTAAAAAACCATTTATTTCATTTTAATTACCAAGAGTTTCTTTCTTATAACCTAGTGTTATCATTGGCTGATTTCTCTGTGAATACTAATTATAGAAGTTACAACAAACAGGAAAATATTTAGCTCCATTTATGTACTTCAATAACATATTTGAATTTTCAATATAAGATTTTTTTATCTAAAAGTTTTTAAAATCATCTTTTGTGGGATTTACTGTTGGGCAAATTAGGGTTTCTGTTCTATTGTGGCTAGTACATTTTTCCTAGTGTACAGAAATGCTATTGATTTTGATACAGGAGTGCTGGGAAGGGACGAGCATGGTCCCTTTAAATGATACCGAACGGGGGACAGGGAAGTGCTGGGTAGAGCAAGGCCGGTTCCTGGCTAGGGCTTCACCCTCTGGCTTGTGCCCACGAACCTAGGTGAGGACAGGCACTCCTGCCTTTGGGCCCAAATGTTGCATTTTCCAAAACCACCCTGGCCCACCACACCCCCATCCTGGGCGGATAAAAACTGAGACCCTAGCAGGCAGATAGATACACAAGCGTCTGGACGTCCAGAGGAGGGGATCAGCGGAAGAAGACACAAGCAGCCGGACATCGAGAGGATGTCGAGGGGAGCATGCCAGTGGAAGAGCACATGACAGACACTGGCAGGACAGCAGGCCATTGACTGGAGGAACGATGTGGAGTTTAGCGAGATCAGGAGGAGGAGAGCACGGGCCGCTAAGCAGAGGGACCCCTGGTGCATCTCCCATCTGGCTCCCCCATCTGCTGAGAACTACTTCTACTCAGTAAAACCTCGGACTCATTCTCCAAGCCCTCGCGTGATCTGGTTCTTCCGGTACACCACGGCAGGAAACCCTGGGATACAGAAATCCCTCCGTCCTTGTGGTAAGTAAGCGGGTCTATGAGCTGGTTAACACAAGCCTGTAGACGGCAAAACTAAAAGAGCACCCTGTAACACACGCCCACTGGGGCTTCAGGAGCTGTAAACATCCACCTCTAGTCACTGCCGTGGGGTTAGAGCCCCATGGACTGTTTGTCTGTATGCTCCCCTAGAGGTTTGAGCAGCCGGGCACTGAAGAAGCAAGCCCCTCCCCCATCACATGTCCCTTTCCGGATCTGGGAACTTTTCCCATTTCAATTTCGTATGTTCAACTTTCATATAGCAACCTTGCTAAACTCCAGTATTATTTATTTCTAATTGTTGTGCTTCAGATTATCTTGAATTTTCAATTATGATAAGCATATTATATAACTAAAATATAATGTAATATTTATATCTAATTTCTGTTCCTTGCCTTTTTGCATTAGTTATGAATTAAGATTGCTTGACTGTTGCATAGCACAGGTAGTGGACTTTAGTGGAAATGTTCTTAAAATTTTAACACAGCGTCATGCTATTGTATGTTTTTGGTTGATATCCATCCTCATATTATCAGGTATCTTTTTTAGTTTGCTAAAAGTTTTAATCATTAAACAAGCATTAACTTTCATTAAAGGATTTTTCTTTCTCCATTGATAATAATAATTTACCTTATAGTATTTTTATTATATTAAACAATAGTTAAATTTGAAATATTTTACATTTACTAAAAATTATTAGTATTACTAGTTTTTCCTTTTGCCTTAGATTCCAATATGACTTGGTTATTGATCCTGTCTTTTTAAATTCTGATATTTTATTTATCATGGATGTTTGCTATAATTTTAATTTTTTAAACATGTTGCATTACCATATTATTTATCTTGGTTACTGAGATTTTTTAACGTTCCCTTAAATGTTGTGCCTGAAGAGATTACCTCACTTGCCTCACTCTAGTCCCAGCCCTGCTAGTCAGATTACAAGTTTCAGATAGTGTTTACACGAGAAAGATATTTAGGAGTGGACTTGTGAATCAACATGGTCAATCAGACAGTCATATCTCTCTAAACAAGATGTTAGGTTCAAAGGTGACCTAAGACATTTGGGTCAATGAGCGCGAAGCCAGGACTTTAACTCAATTCTCTGAGGTAGGAGAATCCAAAAATTTTTAGAAGACTTTACCCTGAAAAGATGTGGACCTTAAATTCTGAAAGTCATATTGAAACCTTGTGCAACTAGAAAATAAAGGCAGAATATATTGAGCAGCAGAATCATGAGCCAAAGATAGACTGAGTTTTATTGACCTAATATGCGACCCTGAATCTATCTATACTAAAATCAAATTCCTCTGGTCTTTTCAGTTTTGTGATTCAAATATATCTCTGTTTTATTTCAAACTGATTGGGCTAGAAATTTTACAATCTGTGGCTGAATTGATGAGGAAATCATATTCATTGTCCTAATGCTCCATTTTATTTATTATAAGGTTAAAGTCTCTCTCTGTCTCCCTTTTCCTGGTACAATAAATTACCATGCACCTACTATCTAAATATTTCTTATATTTATAAGTACTCTGAGTAATTCTAACCAAGAAACTAGCTATGTGGTTGTAAGTAGTTCAGAAACTGGACCTGCAGGACCAACAAAAGCAAGGTTTTCTGTTCTACCTAGCAAAATGTGGGGAAAGTGATTAAAGTACATCCCAGCCAAAGTCCCTGAGAAAGCACTTAAAGTCAAAAGTTGGAAACACTAAATAAAATTGCTAATTTGCTAAAAACCAGGTAAGAGCAGGAGCCGCTGATGACAGAATCAACCAACAGCCTAGTTAGCTAGTTTAGTGTCATGATTTTTTTTCTTCTGATATAGAGATGGGCTAGGCCAAATACAATAGCCAGGATAGGAAGTTATGTAATGTATAGTTATATAACATATATTTAAATATACATGTCTATATTCATACAATTGTATATGAAATGAGTGATGAAAATATATATGTAGCAGAGTAAATTTTAAATGTATAGATTGTTAGGACATAGTGTACTAATTTGTTTGACAAATAAATTATAATATATGGGTGTGTACTTGCAATTAAAAGGCAGCTATTAACAATTCCAATTTAAGGAAATAAAACCAGAGTGTGGGAACAATCATTTTTGGTCTTAAGATTTTGTACCGTTATGATAACTAATGAGCATTGAATTCTTTATGTACTAAAATCTTTACGAGTACAACAGCCAGGTTTCATTATTCAGAATAATATATTTTACTTCTTATAATGTAAAAAATATAATCGTTTGAGTGGTTTTCAGCATGATCTGTTAATTTTGAATACAGAGAATGAACAAAGCAGGTAAATATATGTATATGCTGAATAATGTAATTCCATATACAATTCACAGTTAGATGCACTTAATTGTGGAAAATAAAGGAAGACAATAACATCAAGATCTTTTTCCAAAACACGGTAAAAATAACGTTCACATGCATTAAACATTTCAAGCCATCTCAGTATATGTCTTTCTTGAGTAAGTAGTGAACCAATGGACCAGTGGTTATTGTTGGAGAAAACAATTAGGCAACTCATCAATGCGCTATTTATACAATCTTAGTGACTATTTACCACTTCACCTAAGTAGACTTTCCCACTCATTTGAAGCTATTGCTATCTATAAATAAATGGCAACAGGAAATGTTTCACAAGGGCCTTTGATTTCCAAAACTCTCAAATTCCACAGCAAAGACTCAATTTAAGGCAATTATTTATGCACTGAATATTTGAATGAAGATGTATTATTTTCCTTAAGTGAAAAAAGCTGATACTATTTTGTAATGATAAAATTTGTATACCATAGTAGAAAATGATTTGCAATTATGTGTTAGGACTTTTCATATTCCATATTGAAACATAGTGATTCTGTAGCTGGCATCAGCTGTACCCTGACTTCACATGAATGGCCTGGAGGGGATCATATTTTTAAACAGGAAATCAGTGTGAATTAGCTGAGTAATTAACATTCAGTGTACAGTGAGCATTCTTAACTAAATCAAAGTAGTCATGAAAGAAAGTACTGTTGGTAAATCCAAAAACATACATCAAAATTAAATGGTGAGGTTGAAGGTTGTAGTTAAGTACCAACTAGTGTGAGTTCTGGGAGCATTTTGAAATGGTGGAGGAATGTACTAAATTTCTGAGGAATTAATACTGATGGGAAGGATGCAGTAAAGAGTAAAAACGGGGGCATTGTGGTTTATACCTGTAATCCCAGCACTTTGGGAGGCTGGGGCTGGAAGATTGCTTGAGCCCAGGTGTTCAAGACAAGCCTAGGTAACGTGGTGAAACTCGTCTCTACAAAAATTACATAAATTAGCTGGTGTGGTGGCCTGCACCTCTAGTCCCAGCTAGGTGGGAGGTTTCAGTGTCCTGTGATTGCACCACTGCACTCCAGCCTGGGTGACAGAGTGGGACCCTGTCTAAAAAAACATAACAAAACAAAACAAAATGAAAAAAAAAAAAAAACAAGAAAAAAGAAAAGAAAAAGAAAAAAGTAAAAAGCCTAGGGATTGGGTGAACTTTTTCGAAAAAAAAAAAAAAAAGCATAAAGATTTGGAGACTGTTTAGATGTGGTATATGAGGGAAAACAGGAAATCTAAATTGAGTTCAAAATTTCAATCCTGAAGAACAGGCAGAATTATACTATCATTGTTAGCGAGAAGTCATGAAGCTATTCATGAAGCTATTCATGAAGCTAGTCATGAAGCTAGTCATACCAAATGAATGAAATGGTTGTTTCTAAATCAGTTCCAATTCCAGTGTCAGATTTGAGGTGAACACTACAGAAACTGACATGTCTTGGAGGTTGTTGAGGTTGTTGAGGTTGTTGAGATGCCAGACTGCACATGGCTCAGCAATAAATGAAAGATACAGGTCTGGATATAGTGAATTAACTCCAGCAAAATATTAAATCCCCAAGAATGACTAGCACATGAATTTTCTAGTAGACTCTTCCCTGCTGATAATTTTCTCTTCAACAGAAATAACCTACTTTTTAAAGCATGAATTATTAGTTGCATTGTGTGCAAATCCTAATGATAACTGAATAGATTTCAGAAGGTTTAAATATTTTTGTTATTTTTAGTAAGAAAAAATATTGGGAAGCATAGTATTAAGAAGTACATATAAATAATTCCCTCTCGATTGCCATAAAACTTCTTGTTTCCATAAAGGTTCTCCTTATCATGAGTTGTATTTAACACACAATTATTCAGTCATCTTGACTGATAGAATGGGCTATGGTCAAACAAAAAAAAAAGTGAAACCAATCCAAATCAGGCAGGCACATGATGCAGAGTTGACTGTTCAAAGACAGTTTAGCTCAATATAGATGGAAGTACTGGTTAGTACAAAAGGAGAAAAACTATGTCTAAGGAGGGAAGCACATAATAGAATTCTATTATTACAATAGAATACTATAAATACAAAATTGGATAAACTTTATCAGAAGCAGGTGTTTGTCACCATTTTATATGTGAAACTCAGGAAGTTCTTGATTTTTTAAGAGCTGTATTCCTTAATCTGGTTACAGGCTATAAAGGAGATAATCATTTACATGATCATATTCTCAAACAGATGGTCACCAAATGGAATCAAAGGACTGATTTGATGTAGCCGGTAGTATGATAATTTGTAGTTAAATGAAAATACAGATAGATCCAGAAAATAAGTAATTTCCCAGTAGCCAGTTAATAAATTACAGACCTAGAATAAGCAATTTAACAAGATTAGAAAAGCAACTCTGATACAAACGTGTTGATAACAAGTACAATAAGCATAGAAAATTTAATGAACATATTAATTAAAAGCATTTTAGAAGAAAAATAGAAAATCATAGTGAAACATTTCATATAAAATATTTAGTAGAATTAATGTTACATTGCTATAACAAATTCACATATTTTTAACAAAAATTTCTTCATATGCTATTTTCACTCTCTGCTTCTTTCTTTTTCTTTTGGTTTTAATTAGGCCTCCTTTTGATATTCTTTGGATGAAACCTATAAGAGGAAGAGGAATAAATTAATGTGTGATAAAATAACACAATGAAATGTTTTATCTAAAATCTTCTCAAAGTAACTTTTAATATTTAAATCCAAAAGATGTTATTGATTTAAAAGCCTTTAATTTGTCCATGTATTCGTGTAGAACAATTTATTTTTAAGGACGTTACTTTGCATATATGAGTTAATAAAAATGGATAAGCATGCCGTTCATTTTTATTATTAGTTCCTCTTCTGTTACAAATCCATGCTTGCTTTATTTTTAAATAGTAGAAATGTGGTTGTATGTGGTTGATTAAGTTACAGATAGTTTTTATTTGCATTTTTATACTCTTCTTAGTCTTTTATAAACATGCATTACTTTTATATTCAGAAGACATTAATAAATATGTTAAAATTTTGTGCATTACAAGAAAGCTTAAAACAATTTTGGTATAGTCTTTTAAAGTGAATGCTTAGTATTTGAACACTAAAAGAATAACATGTTTAATTTGTTTTAAATTGATTCTTTTTCTATGAGGACATTAAAAGAAATTACAGTTACATATCTAGCAATATTATCTAAATGTAATTGAAGAGGACATTTATTAGCTAGATTATACTTTCTTATAATAAAGATAATTAATTTCATATCTTAATAGATTATCATTTCAATTCAATTGCTATCTTAAACACTAGTCAATTAATGGGAAGAGTATCTTCTATACCTTTTTTACATGCCCTCAGACATTCTTGTTTGGAAGTAAAATTGTTTTCATTTCCCCCACATCCACTGTACTTAAATGGGCGGCATTTCCCAATGACTGAATTGTAGTAGAATCTGTTCTCATTGGCACGACACAATCCTCTGTCTGCTGGAGTGAGACACCATGAGGGACCGTGAAATTCTAAAAACAATCAGGAAAACATGGTAAGCCATATGTGATAGTGGATTTCAGGTTTTCGTATTGTATATTGTTTATAGATTAATGTTGTTGCATGTGTATGTAAAACAGTAATCTGAATAAAGGGGTATTTAATAAAATTCGTGCATTTCAATTCTAGGAAAATGCTTAACAAAACCATGTGTCCAGTATATTGAGATCTTTCTCCAATGAATTAAAAAATCTCATTTGCTAAAGAGAAGTGTTATGATTACTCTTTATATGAACAAACTATTTGTACATAATAAAAACCACTCTTCAACAATGTAACTGCTGAAAATTTCTTACAGACACACACACACACACACACACACACACACACATCACACATATATATTAATTTACATATCATTTGTTCACAAATATTTGGCTTTAAAAAATTCTAATGAGCAAAGTTTTTATTTGTGATGTAACAAAAACACTGAAGCTGAGGAAGAGTTACTTCTCTTGACTAAGCACATGCTGACTGATGTAATACAAGCACAGTTTAAAGTGGAGGAATTCAGGTATGGCAAGTTTTAAGTTTCAAGGAATGAGTCCAGATGAGTTGTTTGTCTTGGTAGCATTTTTTTTCTCATATTTGAAGCTTAGTTCTAGATGAGTTAAATGTTTTTGCAAAGGAAGCAAATTGATTTGGATCAGACAGATAAGCTGGTTTGTCAATGGGATCAATCAATGGTTTTCAAAAACAGAAGAGAAAAATACAATTAGGGTAATAAAAGGAGCACTCATTTGCCAAATCAAAAGAGAAATTAGTTTCAGCTGAATGTTAGTTTTTAGCTCTCTGGGAATTACTGTCAGTGAGGGGCACCGAGTACTCTTCGGTAGCACAGCTAAACTGCTTGATGTTAATAAACCAGTACTACAGGTAAGTTGTATGGCAAGGAATCAATACAAGAAAACTTTAATGGCTTTGTCAAATGGTGAGATGTGATACAAGCAAATACAGAGGAGGAAGATTTGCTAAATGTCCAATATTAGCAGAAAATAGAACTTTGAGGAATCCAGTAGTTAATGAAGGTGAATAGATTGTGCTTTAAGCAAGAAGCAGTCTTTTGGCAAATAAACCCCAGATGAACAGACTGTAAAAGAAAAGAAATAAAACAAAGTGAGAAAAAAATGAAAAAAAATCTCAAATTGATATAAACATTTTTTACCACCTCCTGCCTTCTAGATATTTAAATAAGGACTAGAGTGTCTTGATATAGTAACTCAGGTAATAAAAAATATTCTGGGAAATATGAGAGGGAATGAATACTGTGAGAATAATTTATGAGAAGAAATTTGAGACAGGTGATATTTTTGTGCCAAACTATATCAATAAGATATCAGAACTATAATCAAATAAAGAGTATTTAGTTTTACTTAGGTCTTTGACTAGGTATATATGCAGTGATTTTAAGAAGACCTTCTAGGATTTGTAAAATGAAAACATCGTTTTAAATCATATGTAGCCCTTTATGTTTTACCTTCTCCTATGTGGGGATTATAGTGCGTGATTTTTAAAATAATTTTTATTGTGTATATGTGAGGTTTACAAAATGATGTTATGGGATACATATAGATAGTAAAATAGTTGCTGTAGTGAAGCAGATTAACATACCCATCTTCTCACAGTTACATTTTTGTGTGTGTGACAAGGGTAGCTAAAATCTACTTATATAACAGAAATCCCTAACACAATACTGTTTTACTAACTGTCATCTTCATGTTGTACATTAGATCTCTAGGCTTATTTATCCTACATGCCTGTATTTTGTATCCTTTGACATGATGATATGCCATCATAAATCAAAGTTGAATGGTGAGAATGTGTGCTAGACATTCTAGAAAATGTTGACATTTCCTGTCACTAAGAATCATTTATATTAGAGGAATTTTCTAGCAGTCTAGGAGAGTTATATTGTAATTGATTTGTACTATTGTACACACTTTTCCAATGTGTGGGATGTGTATTATCATCATCCTTGCACAGTGTAGAATATAAAATGATTATTAATTGCCACCACTTTGATCTCATGAGCTTCCAGTTATCACCTATGTTCAGAAACAAAAGAGATGCACTAGATGCAATTAACCTAATTTGAGAAACAGAGAAAACAGGAAATTACTATCGCTTTTTTTCCTGTTTAAACACCCACAGTAACTTCGAAATAGATGTGTATGATAAAATGATATATGACTTATACATCAATTTCACTTTAGCATTTTGTATGTAAGATATATCTGCCCACAGTAAGTTGCAGATAATATGTGTGAATGTGGTTGTAAGTTGTATCCTTCTTTGCAAATGTTAGTTGTTACGTCTAAATAGCAATGCCAGACATCAAGCCCCCTTATTCCAGAACAGAGAAAATTTTCTGATGACAGGGAGCAAACTTCTTCTCTTTTCCCACATACAACCTATAGTAAACATGGCCCAATCATAAAATCAAGGTTATTTCAAAATGGGAAAAAGCTAGGCTAGTACATATGGGGCTACAGTCCCTAGATTGGACGTATGAGAAGAGGAGCCTCTGTTATCATAGACCAAGAACAGCAGGTGAATCCTAGAACCATTTGGGCCTTTCCATTGAAGCTGAAACCATGGAAGATACACCACAGATGTGGTGGAGAGACATATGCTAGCTTCAGTCTTCCTTTGACTATCCAGTCATCCAACAAGGCCTGCCATTTACCAAATCCTTTCAGAAGCCAGAGGAGAAAGTTCCCCATAAAACCACATGAGCAGGGGATTGGTTTGAGAGCAAACAGACAGTTGACCAGCATAGATGCCAGCAGAGAAAACTTCACTAAATTATCCAAGGCATCAGATTGCCTCTACTGACACTCTTTATGACTTCTGAATCAGAGGGTGTCTGGCATGCTGCTTCTGACAGCCTGGGATTTGGTATGCAGATGCACCTATAATCAGATACTTGCTCCTACTTGTCCATGACTGATGCAATGTCAGTTGTTTATCTATCTTACTTTGCCCTGATTTCAACCACTGCTTACGCAGATCATTCAACACAACAGAGTTTTGACCCAGATCAACAGTGAGGTTCCTAACACTAGAAATGGCAATATTTCGATAGTGCATTAAAATGTGAAGTTAATCACTAAGGATATTGTATTATGTGTAATTAACTTTTAGAGGTTTTTAAAGATGCAATAAATTATTGTCAGTTAAGGAATCATTATAAGGCGGTTATTCTTCAGAACATAAATTTTACCTAATACGTAAACTAATTCATTTATCTTAAGATCATTTTAACTCTGAGCAGTAAGACTATCATTGGGTTACTATACCATAAATGACAGTAAAATTAAA
This sequence comes from Homo sapiens, assembly GCF_000001405.40. Taxonomy (NCBI): domain Eukaryota; kingdom Metazoa; phylum Chordata; class Mammalia; order Primates; family Hominidae; genus Homo; species Homo sapiens. Next base: position 187,471,282 of record NC_000002.12, read on the forward strand.
GTAATGAAGCAAATGGTTTCTTAAGAACATTTTAGTTCCATTTGAATTTTTTTCACTTCTTGAAGAGAAAAACTTCATTGTTTCCAAATAGCAAATTTATTCTACATATAGATCAGCACTCATCTATTCAAAATCCAGAATTTGCTATCTACAATGAAAGAAAATATAAAGGTTTTGCGAAATGTAATTTTTTTAGTTGAGATTATAATTATTGACAGAAAGTTAAGATAGAATAAAAAGACACTAACCTGACTTTTGTTGTTTTTCCAAAGGGAATTTAATAATCAAATGCATTCTGTCTTGATTCTGCCATTAATAACCAGTTGTGTACCTTCTGTCTACAGGGTTTTTGATAGGTTTCAGAATTCAGGGTACACTTTTTTTTTTAAATCAGGAACTATCATGATCTAGTGTGACTGCTGAACTGTAAGATGGTGCTCTAAACTCAGTTTTACAGGTAAAGTTGTTAATGTAAATTTGCTTTGAGATTTGTACAGTAAACTTTGAATCATATATTCACTTTGAATCTTTACTGTGGTATCTTTTTTATGATTCCCATTTGGCTTGCCTACTTAGGCTTTTGTTTTACTAAACAAACTAGGTTTTAAGAAATATCTTACAACTTGTTAAGTACATTTATTTTATTCTTCTAAGACTTTTTAGGGAATTGAATAACAAATCTTTTTTAAAGTTTTTTTCTCTATAATTTTGTAGTAAAGAGAAATATAAATTATTTACTGCAAATTATCTTTGTAAAACTTTGAAATAATATAAAAGTATAACAAATGTAAAACAAAATTTATCCATAATTTGATTCTTGCCCTTTAACCACTACCAATGGTTTACATATCTCCAAATTGTTTGCATATTCAAATGTATTAATATAATATTCTATATTACTATACTTGATAATATTTTGTGGCTGTGTCTCCACATTTTTATATAGGCCTCACTCTTTTTAATGTAGGTACAGTATTTCATTTTATGAGTTGACTACAGTATATTTAGTCAAATGGACATATGGATTATTATAATTTATTTTTTTCAGTACCAGACAGTGGCTCATGAACACCCATGTACACTGGTTCAGGTGCTTCCAGAGGACATACTTCTAAAATTAGAATTATGCAAAATCTATATTCAATTTATAACTTGGTAGATGTTGCTGAATTTTCCACTGAAACTTTTCACAAATTTATATGCCTACAACGACATTTAAAGTGCCTAAACCATTTAGCAAACCATGGACCTTACTGCTATGAATTTATCTCCTATTCAACACTTTTTTCTTCCCCATGCCAACAAAAGTAGAAGAGTACTATGTGGGACAAGAAACTGCTTATAGCTTGCCAAATGTTATATGAAATATCATTTATATGAAATCCAAATGTCATTAATTTGAAGATGCACTATTATTTTATGTACTATTCATAAACAAAGAAAGACACGGCCAGGCGTGGTGGCTCACACCTGTAATCCCAGCACTTTGGGAGGCCGAGGTGAGTGGATCACCTGAGGTCCAGAGTTTGAGACCAGCCTGACCAACTAGGTGAAACCCTGTCTCTACTAAGAATACAAAAATTAGCTGGGCGTGGTGGCACACGCATGTGGTCCCAGCTACTAGGGAGGCTGAGGCAGGAGAATCACTTGAACTCCGGAGGTGGAGGTTGCAAGTGAGCTGAGATTGAGCCACTGCACTTCAGCCTGGGTAACAGAACAAGACTCCATCTCGAAAAAAAAAGAAAGAAAAACATAATTACACTGTTATACACTATCAGTTATAAGTTTCATCATCATTAGAATCATGTTAAAAGGTAGAAAAACCTGCATGTTAGAATCAAGAAAATATAATAATTTATATTTTGTACCAACACACAATACATACATATATATACAAGCACATATAAATGAGAATAGAATTTATATATGTATCCATTGGGCAAATATTTAAGAGGACATGCAATCAGTTGGGAGGATGATTACTATAGAGATAGCTTTATTAGGTAGGGAGCTTAGAGATTTGCTAGGTTAAATTTTACAAAAAGATACTTTTATGCTGAGCTTATTCTATATTGTTCGGGCTCCTCCAGCAGCTACTTCCAGTCTTGAACTTTATTTACTTTGTGGTAAGTTGAAAAAAAATACAAGAAAATAGTAAATGAGATATGCTAGAATGCCAACAGTGATTGTTTCTGCATAATGTGGATATGGCCAGTTTTTCTTCTTTTATTTTCTTTTTTATTCAAATTCTTTGCAATCATAATGCTCAAGATATATGATAGAAATAATATGTTAGAGTGAGTCCAGTGTCCTGAGGTAATAGATAAAAGCCTAGAGATTAGAGATTGGAATCTGTTTCTGAGTAGGAATGTGTGGTAAACTTGTCCCTCTCTCTGTAAAAAAGAAAGAGTATGTATCTCTATTCATTAATCAGGAGAAGTGGTATTAAATTGGTGGAAAGTGATATTCTATAAAGAAAAAAAAAACGGGGAAGGGAATGGAAAAACAAGCACTGTGGAGCTTTTTTTTTTCCCCCCGCATGTGTATACTGGGCCACTTACCTGAGGATAAAGTATAGAAGGAGGGTTGCCAGTGAACTTAAAATTGAAAGGTCATAAAGAATAGACTGAGTGAAAACCTGCCCAGACAGAAACTCCCTCCACATATTAAGAGGGAAGGAAATAAATTGGGTAGATGTTCTCTGGGTTGGATTTCATTGCCTAGATACTGCGTAATCCATGGACAGAGTCCATAAAGTCATGTTTCTTCAGGGATTTGTCTAAGCAAGGCCACAAAGAAAGAAAGCCATGGTAAAATTATAGATTATACAGCTATTGAGTATACTTTATTCTAAGATAATTATATCTTATAATGCATTAGAAAAACTTTCTTCATGACATATATGTAAAATTTTAAGCCCTACAAAATTTTAGTAAAAGTAAAAAATTAACATTTAGTCTGTTGATCAGCTTTTTAGGAAGAATGGGATTTTAGTAAGCAGAGAATACAGAGAAGCATATGGGTGAAGGAAAGTGAAAACACAAAGGTCAGAATGTTTCTGGTTTGCTTGGGGGTACTTCGCAAACTCCAGGCTATCTGGAGAACATAACACAAAAAAGAGTATAGTGGGATACAAGGCTGGAAAATTACATTTAGGTCAAATTAAGAAGATTCTTGAATACTATTATATTTAGATTTTTATAATGCAGACATTAAAGAGCCACTGAAATTATTGAATAATGAAAATACAAGTTCTGATCTTGTTGAATACATGAAGCAAACTCAACCAGGCATGCTTAGGTTGAATCCAGTAACTTCTAATAGAGAAGAATATAAAATTACCACAACCGAAGCAGTTACCATGGGAGTAGCTAAAATTAAGCACCAGATTGAATTTGGGCAGGTAGAGAGCTAGAGATGAAATAATTCTAGTGTTTCTACATTCAGAAGATGTAATACTTGTCTAACATGTTATGAAACATTATAGAATAAATTCTACTTATAATAGTTGTAATTTTTGTAAATTTTGGTGGCTTTTATTCATTGTGGCTTTACTTAGAAAAATATCTGAATATAAAGAGGAAATTGTAGACTATGTCCATGGGTTAGCCAGCATCCAGGCAAACGAGTTTGAAGTGGAAGATGAAGATAGAGCTCAAGTTTTGAGAAGATAGAATATTTTAATTATGACATTGTTTAATGAATGTAAAATGTTATTGTGACTCTGTTCTCCCGTAACCCTTGTGCAGGTCTCTGTCTTAGCACGTAACACAGGCATTGAAGTCACCTATTTATTTATCTTCTTCCCTATTTGACAAAAACACCTATAAAGGACAAACTTACACTTTTATTATTCTCATACTCCCAGTACCTATGGTAGTCCCGTGTAGGAGACACTCAATGTTTGCTGAAATGAACTGAAATTAGGAAGTACACAGATCTGTACCTTAGGTCATAAGATAAAGTTGAAAATATAGGTGTATATGTCCTTCAATTAGTTATAAGATCCAAAGACAAAAAATATGTATAATTATGTTTGAATTTTCAAGTGCTATATATGTTATTTCAAAGAAACTTAGAATAAAATTTGTTAAATGAAGATATGTCAGATCAAGGTTACAGACTTTAGCTTCATTAAAAATGATCAATAACAAAATGTATACAAATAGTACTCATTTTTTGACTATAAACCTCGGATGAAAATAGGTCGTCATCATCATCATTGAAAACAACCTCAAAAATTAATACTTTGTGCTTTAATTGTGTGCTCAACAACTGGGTTAAGAATTTTATGTCTCATTACAGTTTTCCAAAAGTTTTGAGATACTTCTTGCCACATAGAACAAATGAGGAACCTGAAGCCAAGCGAAATTTTGTGATCTTTTTTTCAAGGCCACAGACTGAGTCAGCAAATAGCAGAACTGGAATTAAAAACCACATCTTTCTTTCTATAACGTCAATGCTCTCAACCACTAAGATATGTCATTCTGAAAACTAACTAGAAAATTAAGAAAATAATACCTGAGCAAAACTATTTTAATAATTTTATCAGATAAAAATAAAATTGTCACAACTTCTCCTTTAGAACTGATGTCCAAATTCCCTCTTTTCTGAAGCTCAGGTTCAGAACATGCTAAATGTACCATAGTCCACAGTTACAAACATGAAGTTGAAGTTTCCTAAGTTTGAACAGGAGAAAGAGTTCTAATCAAAATATGTCATCATACAAGGAGGCTAGAAACAAATCTTGGTGCAACAGTGCTGATTCAAACAGTATTTAGAGAGCTTGAACATTTGAAAGTAACAAGTATTGAGTTGGCATGGTCAACAGGGACTGATTCTAGAAACAACCACACCAAAGTTCCAGTCTTGCATCCATGTGATCATATCTGCACTGGTCACTCAGATCCATGTAATGCACTGGTCAATCAGATCCATGTAGTGGTATTAGATATAATCAAAACTGGAAACCCCACTTTTGATTAGATATAATCAAAAACTGGAAACCCCACTCCACTGTGTCCCTAGAAGAGGCAGAGTTGGAATTTTCCTGATCAACAGATTTTATTTATTTATTTATGAGAGAGTCTTGCTGTCATCCAGGCTGGAGTGCAGTGGCACAATTACAGCTCACTGCAGCCTCAACCTCCCTGGCTCAAGCAATCCTCCCACCTCAGCCTCCAGAATAAGTGGGTCTACGATCACAGGCCACCATACTGAGCTAATTATTTTATCTTTTGTAGAGAGAGGGTCTCTGCATGTCACCCAGGCTGGTCTTGAACTCCTGGGCTCAAGCTATCTTCCCACCCCAGCCTTCCAAAGCGCTGGTATTACAGGAGTGAGCCACTGCACCCAGCCACCATTTTGTATTAATACTTCTTAATTTCATTTCTGCAAAGATTTTCCATTACTCAAATAGAAAAAAGGTAGAGAATTACACACAACTTAGAGTAGCTCAAGTTTGTCTAAGCTATTTCTACCACATTACTAAGCTGCCCTACACCAGTCACTATTAAATTCATATTACAATAAGGATTTTTCTTTTTTTTAAGCAAAAGAAGTCTTATCAAATTAGTATTATTTATTAGTTTGTAGCTTGCATAGTATTAACTTGTAAACAATTTTTGGTTTATAGTTGTATAATGATCATAATGAATTTATTCCTACTATGTTACTGGTTCATACAAAATGAAAGTTATTTTAAGTAATTTGGCTTACAAATTGGAAGTCTGTGATTTTTTTTCCTTTTAAAGATATCTATATATTATTCAAGCTTGAGAAACACTTCTCTGGAGGACTTTTATGACTGGGGCAACAAATTATCTTGTGTTAAGACTAAAGATGGTCCAGGAAGAAAGGGATTAGAAAAGTAGACAGTGGTCATCTAGGGTGACTGCATTTTGATGGCAGTGATTTTGGCAGAGATGAAGTGCCACATTTTTGTTTCTCATCAGCATTCCTGTCAGGAAGTAGAAAACTTGCTGGGTGCTGTCCAAAACTTGTTATCTATTTTTGGAAAGCCAACTTGTCAGAAAATCAGAATATGAGGCTCCAGATTTACTATGCAGGCATCTTTAGATTATGAGGGATGTTCCTGTGCTTCTTGGTCTTAGAACACATTATGAAAGTCAAGATACTTCTTTAGAACTATGAAAGTGGACTGTGGATGAAGTGGGTTTTTTTTGTTTGTTTGTTCGTTTTTTAAGAACTGTAAACAGTGCTTGTGATGGCCTGTGGTATGCAGCTGGATGTGGAACTCTTTAGCCGGTGAGGGAGAGTTTCTCTCCAGAAAGTTCTCATGGTTTCAGTATTCCTCTACATGCAATCACACGTTCAACAAGAGGCGAGATAATAACAAGGAGATAATAACAATCTCATGCAGATTTATAAATTGATTATATCAGTGATTGTGTTTGGCTGTCCATTAGGCCCTTTGTGAACATAACACCTGTTTCAGAAGGCTAGTGATAACAAAAATCTTTTAAAAATGTATTTATGTATGCATAGATTTTATTTTCTATTTTTTCCACATAAATGGAATGTATGTCTGGAGGTCATACATTGAATACATTCAGGAGAGGGATAGAGTTTCAAGTAGCAAAAGGATCTTCAGGATGTCATCCAATTACTTTCCCTGGACCTGGAGGCTGGCAGGAGGCAATGTGGAACTGGGTCAGGTATATAGGAGTTCCCTTTCTCAGTCAGTGGCCAAATACTAGAATTGGGTTGGCAGTAGCTTTTTAAGTCTACCTGAATTTTCTTCCCCCCAGAATATCATAAAGCTGATGTAGTTCCAAGGCCCCTCTCAAGAGTTGATGTATGGGGCCAGGCAGAGTAGCTCATGCCTGTAATCCCAGCACTTTGGGTCAGGAGTTCGAGACTAGCCTGGCCAACATGATGAAACCCTGTCTCTACTGAAAATACAAATATTAGCGGGGCGTGGTGGCACATGCCTGTAATCCCAGCTACTCGGGAGGCTGAGGCAGGAGAATCCCTTGAACCTGGGAGGCGGAGATTGCAGTGAGCCGAGATCGCGCCATTGCACTCCAGCCTGGGCAATAAGAGTGAAACTCCATCTCAAAAACAGCAACAACAAAAAACAAAACAGAACAAAACAAAAACAAATAGTTGATGTATGGAAGCAAAGGGATGTATAAAAATCAGGAAAAAAATGACTTTTTTTCCATGAATAGTTAGGTCCGGTCAAAAGACTCACAACTAGCACGAACTCCTGAGAATATTCATTTTTCTTTGCTAGTTAGACATTTACAAGTGAGGTGCAGTGAGAAGACTATGTTTACTATGCATGTAAATATTAAAACTTTATTAGCAGTATGCTATCAAAGGCATCACGTATACATATAAATATTAAGGAAATGCCAAAAGCACAAATATTAACATAGGCATGAAATGCTATCCAATCCTAGAAAGAACATGGATGCATGAATGCAGAAGGCGTTCAGAAAGACTTGGTAAATATGAGCCGCATTCTTCCAACCATCATTTGTTCCTTCTTTTGTAACTGTGGATCACAAAATTGATAAATAAAAAATGTGAGTCATCTTTATATGTTTAACACTGTGGTCAATGCTGAGGGTGGGGGAAGTCTATAAACTGTATAGTACATTATGTTTTTCTTCAAAAAAATCTTGTAATCTAGACAGTGAGGCAGAGCAAACACAATATCTAATAGTACAAGTATTGAAGGAATCATAGTAAGAAGCCAGGGGAGAGAGACAGAAAGAAGGCCTCCTTATGGTAGTGAAAAGGCAGATTGGTTAAGAAGATTAGGAGGGTCAGTCAATTTTAGGTGGGGAAAATAACATAAAACATCCTTTAGAATAAGAGTGAGTAATTTGTGTTTAATGATAATGAAAAGGCCAATTTGAATGGACGGAAAAAAGTTATATTTAAGGGACAGAAAATATCTGCAATAGATAGAGGACTAGTGGACAATGCAGACAAATTTTAGGCAAGTGGATGAAGCTAAATTACCACATGATCGATGACTAGAAATAGGACAGTGATGTCAAAAAGGTCATGTATAATTTGTTACATATGACTGTTCCTTTTTGTCTCTCTCTCTCTAATATGCTTTAGTTTACTTATGTTAGATATATAATTACATTATGTGTTATATACAATATCTGAGTCATATCTGAGCTTTCTGATATCTATTTATTTATCTATTTGTCTCATGTCTATACAGCCTGGTTTGCCTAAGCCCCTATTAGTTTATGCTTATTTTGGGGGGATATCACGTTCATATATATATATATATATATATATATATATATATATATATATATGATTTAAAAATACTGAAATACTTTTAAATATAAAACTATTTTTGTAGAGTCACCAAAACGACAATTCCATTTTTAAGTCAATGCATACATATATTTAAAATAGACATATACCTTAATTTTTTAGCACCCTCTTTAACTATCATTAGTGTTCCAAATTGGATGACATGATTGTTTAGGGAATCTAACCATGAAGGATTGATGATCTGAATGAAATAAATAGGAATGAAAATGGAAGAGAGAGAAATAAACATTTCATAAAAAGCAATGAAATTTAATGAATGACTGGAAGAATATAAGTGATACAAAGAAAATTACTAATCATTCAAATTGGAATAACCAGAAAAACAGTAGAAGAACTCAAAAAGTTCGGAAAGTTGGAAATGTCGAAAAGATAAAGAACAATTATACAAATAAACATCTTTTGACCTTGAAGCCCCATGATACTCCTCTGTGACAATAATCTCAACTTGTTTCTAATGAACACATTCAAACTCTTCGAGTTTCCATATATGCATTAATTTAATTCTAGTATGAATTCTTCTTAAAATATTAGTCATGATTTTGAGACTGTATATTTACTGATGCATTTATCTGAATAACCAGAGACTTTATGAGTGTCTGAAATATAAATTTCTTCTGCAAATGGGAACTTACAAAGAAGTTGTTTAACAAATGAGAATCTAAGGCCTGGTGAATTAAGTGTATTACTCTGAATCACATGGATAATAATAATGAGTAACCCTACACGAACTGACTAGATATCAGGCACTGTCCTAAGAAAGTTATGTATTTTGACTGATTTAACCTCACAACACAACCTATCAACTTAGTACTATAATATTACCATCCTCATTTTACATTGGAAAGATGAAACTCAGGTTAAGAAATATCTTAGGGTCACACAGCTATTAGTTGAAGAGTTGGGAATTTAACGCATGTCTTCAGGCTCAAAGGTTTTTTATCTGCTATATCATTATTTCAATCATGGGGGAAATCAAGAAGAACCAGTTGTGATGGCTTTCAGTTCTAGCGTTTATGCGCAAAATTGCACACATTTAGGGAAATTGCTTTAGAAATATTTCAGGTGGAGAGAACACACATTTATTTTAACTACATGGATATACTCAACACAGCCAATCAAACTGAAATAATGCACTCACGCTCAGGGATATGCTTACAAATCATTATTTAAAATCTCTTTAAGGAAGAGTAAGACTGTCTTTGAGATTACCTAAATAACTTGTTAATATTGAAATGTGGAAATAAAAAGAAAAATTACACCGGAATTGTGCTTAGTAAGTATTCAAGTATCTCGAATCAAGAAAGCTTACTGGAAAAATATATCTTGAAAGCCATTTACAACATTCCAGTAATTAAAAATAAATAGCAATTTTTAAAAAGTCATATTATGATAATGTTTAACTAAACTTCTAAAATGCTTCCATAATATCATGAAGAAAAACATTAAAATTATATTTATAAATATTTCACTTAATAATAATTGAATTTTAGAATATTCAAATACTCTACTTAAAGATTGTTATTTAGTGGAAAGAATTTAAAGACTGGTATTCCATTTATGTTGTGGGGCAGATTATTATTCCTGTACATTGAATTGAAACTTTAAAGGATTTACAGCTTTTCAAAATAACCTGATACCACAGAGAACTTTACACGTTTGATAAAACCCTTGAAAAACAAAGTTTTATGTAAACAAAGAATTGCATTTTCTTAAACTACAATAGAATGTATTAATATAATTGTAAGCAGTGACAGATGTAATTATATTTGATTGGGGAAATTAAGAGGTGTCTGTAGATCTCAGCAAACCCCTCAGACAGAAGTGACAAGGGGTCATCTAGGTTTTAGAACAGAGTACAGGGACATCTGCATTCCCACTTCCGCATCTTGGCTGGGGCAGATTCGAAATCACGTAGGTTTTAAGAAGAATGGCAACATAGCTTCATTGACAATCCACCTTATGCCATCCTTAATATCAAATGTCTCCTAGTTACTGCAACATTGTTTCATGTTTTAGATTAGGAAGGAAGAAAGGGAGGGAAGGGAGGGGAGGGGCGGGGAAGGGAAGGGAAGGAAATGCTCTTAGAAAAAGGAAAAGGGGTCAAATTGGCCGGAGGAATGTTGATTTTGAGGCCAATATATACAATCAAAAATAAAACAGTTTTTTAGACAAATAAAGGAGACATTTGCCCTAATTTTAAATGCAGTTACGATAACATTATTCCTTAAATGTCTATTATTCTGAATAAATTATTGTTAATATTGTTTTCTTTTAAATTCATGTTGTCAATTCTTACTGCTTAGTTAATAATTTACTTTTACAAGCATTTATTTATTTGTTACAATTTTCAATGTGCATCTACACAATAAACTAAAGAAGACATATCAGAGGCCATTTAAAACTCATTAATATTACTTTCTCACACTAATTTTTATTTTGCCCTTTCTAACTTGGTAGTATGCTTACCAAAAATTTTAAATTTTATACTTCAAAAAAACTTAAGGCAAAATTATTCCCTAACCTACTCTACTCACTTTAATGATAAATGACTGCAGATCTCCACTTGAATTGGTAAAATAATTCAAACAAAAGTATTCAAGCATGTTGCAAACTGATTTCATACATTTCTTGTACTTACTGATATACTGTGTCACATGTATATTTAAACCTGTTAATTTAGTCATTCTAAATTTTCTTTTACAGCAGTAAGATTTAACGTGCTTTTGAAAATATAATAACTGAATAAAACAAAATACGAGTGAAAAATACAAAGCTGGAAAGACATAAAGAAATAATGCAACGATAGTACTTAATTTTTCAGATAAGTCAGAATCACAAAAGTATTAATTTTTACGAACGAAGTAGTATTTAAAAATTAGACTCAAGTTCATCTGGCATTCAATTCACTGCTCTACCTATTGAATGTAAGGACCTGAAGTCATTTTGAATATATCGTATTTTCCAACTCCCACTGAAAGTTTGCATCCCCTTAATGACCTCTTAAGTGTTAATTGCACACTTATTGAATGCCTACAATTTAGGGAATTTATTAATACCTGAGACAGCCATCAATTTTTTAAGATCTCACATAAGAAAGAAACATATTATAGAAAGGCATTTATACTTTAGTTCTCACACATTAATCCTCATGCTTAGGCTGGGTTGAGGGGGATAAGGGAGGATGGGGATGGGGGTCTGGGGAGGGTGTGAAATAGGCAGGACTAAAGGGTAAGTCATGTAGAGAACTTAATTCTCCTTTCACATAATAGTGTTTCAGTTATTAAAAGCACATATTATGCTCCCTCGTAGATCTCATGTCTCTTTACACTTTTCATTTCCTCTTTAATCATGTTTCAAATCCTCCTTGTGATTTCCAAGGTGTGACATTCAGTGCTGAAGCAAGACCCACAAATGATTAGATCACTGTGGGACTCAGCTGAACATTCACAGACTCTTTCTAGAAAAGTCGGAGTCAACATTTTAATGCTTCAAATCCACGTGGGCAGGGATTTTGTTTGCGTTCTGTTGGCTTGCTTGCTTAGTTGTTCGTTTGTTTGTTTGTTGTAAAGAGGAGTAGCTCAAAGCCAATCTGATTCTGATAAATGGCCAAGGTAGAGAATTCCTGGCCCAAACACTGTTTCTTTTTTTTTTATTATTATTTTAATCCTAAGATTGCAATTTTAATAGTTACAGAATTCTTCACACTCAGGCTAAGTTTATATATAAACATGCCAAGTTTACCTTTGACATGTTCACATGGACTACTTCTAAACAAAATCTTCAATATCTGAATAAGAATATGTGATTTTTATAATTTAGCTAGGATCTAACAATTTTACACTGGTAATTTTTAGCTGTTTATGTTATTTCTAACTGCCCAGATATTTGTGGTTCCTGATTATGTTTTCCAGTATTTTCACTATTTTCTCAGCTCTGCATTTTGTGGAAATATTTCCTGTATATTCGTTTAAATCTGATAAATAGGTTAACAGACAAGAACATAAAAAAGAGTCCTGCAGAATTCAAAAGAAAATTCCCTCCAGAGTGACATAACATTTAGGCATGGTTATTCAATCAATTTCTAATCTGTCCTGTGAGTAACACCAGAGACCTTGCCTAGTGTCATACTGACTTTAAAAGCACTTTAGACTGCGTTTGATGCACTGCTGTGCCAGTACAATGATTTACCATCTTACACTGAGGCTGATAATTCCTAGCACCATTTTACAAAATAAATTTGGCATAGAGTTAAATATCATATGAAAGTTTTTCATGTGATACATAATCAAAAGCTTACTTCAAAGCATACTTTAAAATAGATTAGGAAAATTGTTGCTTTTATGAGATTAAATGTCTTAAACAATTTGAATCTCAGTATTTCAACAAACACATTATTAAGCAACAACGCAGGTATATATATATATTTAAAGACATACTTCTAATACACAATCCACTTCATTGTTAGCATGATAATAGTTTCCTGGAAGCAATAAAATCCACAAGATTCTTACCAAAAAGGCTGGGAACCTTGGTTGATTGCGGAGTCAGGGAGTTATTCACAGCATTGAGCTGGGTTCCATAATTATCCACCTGGAAACCATTCGCTGGAAAAAAATACAGCCAATTAAAATAGATAAACATTGTCACAATCTCATATTTGGACTCATGAAGCGTACAACAGTTAAAAAAGCAGACTTCTGGCAATTTCATTCACATTGCTATGTTAAATTAGCAAACAGTGAATCTTTAAATATAATTGTAAGGTAATATTTCCATGAGTAACTGTAGTTCTTGGTCAAAAAAGCGTAGCAGTTAATGTTTAAGTCATCCCTTTAATAAATGTTATAGGCAGATAAAACTGAGTGACTTTAGGTGGTGGTTTTCAGTAACTGTTTGCTCTCATATTTGTATAAATGTGAAAGATTTCAGCAATTCTATTGTGCCAAAATTGTACTGCAGTATTCTCAGGAAGAAGAATTAAATAATGCAACATAAAAAGTATTAGATCTATGAAAATAATTTCTTAATTTTCTGTGCTTTTTAAAAAACTACAGTCACAAATCTCACATTGAATGCACACAAATATATCTTCATTTGCATGGCTCAAACAAAACCTGAGTATAGAATGCCATCTGAGATGCCTTAGTTTTAAAAGGATGCCTATAAATGAACTAAAATGAAATAAGAAATAAACTTACGACCATCTTCACAAATGTTCTTGCATTCTTCCAGTGTCTCAAAATTGTTCATATTGCCCAGGCATCCACCATACTTGAAACGTTCACACTGTTTTGTCTGATTGTTATAAAAATACCTGGTAATATAACCTCGACATATTCCAGGATCTTCTTCCAAAAAGCAGAAATCTGGCTTTTCTAGAAATTATAAAAATGTCAGAAAGCAATATTCTTTTGTGTAAATAAATTACTGATTTTAATAAAATTTATAAATACCTGGCTAAGTTATTGAAGGAGTAAGCATAAAAATTAAAAAGTAAAAATCTAACTTTATCCATAAATATACACTATTAAAATTATCTACCATATTTTGGGATTGGCATTTCAAATTCTAAATTTCTCATAGTAAATTAATAGGGAATTAACTGTCATTTTTTTACAAATTTAAGGAATAAAAGATTATTTTACCATGTACCACTCTTGCTTTGAAATTACAAAACATTATGGCAAAAATGTGGTTTAATTATTTTTAATATGTTCATGTGTATTAACATTTAGGGAAGGTCTATGAACATTTCAAGCTATTGAGGGTGGCTTCTCAGGAAAAGCATTGTAGTGCGTTGCTCCATTAAGAATGGTTTAAATTTTTAAAAGTTGAAAAAGAATATTTGAGGGGTAGGAAGTTTTCATGGCTAGCCTTAGAAGTTCCTGAATTCTTATGCGGGAATTAATATCTGTACTAGGTAGGACATCCTTTACTGCTGTGTCATTTTTATTTTTTCCTTCTTCTTGTCATTGGAATGACTTCAATAATGCAGAGGCAGAAAGGAAATACATGTTCAAGGATTGGAGAGGCTTTTGCAAAAGACTAATACTTCTTCTTTGATAGTGCTCCAAAGCAGGCTAAACACAGCTGTCATAAAAGTTGTGCCACTGTGATCTACATCACCAGCTCTGTCTACATGCATGCACTGTGAAAAGAAGTGAGCTAATTTTCAAAATTATTATGCTCACAGGCGTATTGGGCTTGAATTTTTAGAACAAAATTCCAATTTCTCAATTTTTTTCCTGCAAGTATATTACCATATTGGCAAAACTGAACTGTGGTAACCTTTTTTCATCTTAAAGCAACTTGTTCTTCTATGTCAGGGAAGCAATACCCACAAGTATTTTACAATAAAAAAGAACATGTATTTAATAATGTTAATGATTTCTGCAACAGTTGCAGATCTGCAAAAGAACAAACTCCTTATTGAAAAGTTATTTTATTAAGTAAAACTTCCTACTATAATATAGTTTTAAAAGTCTATTTTCTGTAACTTTTCAATGTATTAATTTGAAAGTTAACTTTGTTTCTTCTGTATTGCCTCTTGATCTTTCAAATGAATGTTTTTATGATTTTTAGTTAATTGTAATAATATGTGGGGGAAAGGAATAAAACAATTCTTTAAAATGTTATAACATTTTATAAGGTAAAAATACATTGAATTACTATCATATGATTTGTTTTAGTCTTAATGTGTACTTTTTATGAAATTTTAAATGATCTGAACAGAGGATACAAGAACTTTATGTTTGCCAAAAGTGGATGGAGGAAAAATATTGCATATAAAAAACATAAAGGTATAAAAAATTATGCTGATAAGTATAATTAAGAAATTATACATGTACATAAATATATACACCTAATATGTACCCACAAAAATTAAAAATAAACAAACAAAACCACAACAAACAATAAACTGTACAACTGAAAGTTGTTATTTTTCATATGAAACTACATTGGGAAACATGAACTTATGTGAAGACAAAGTT
The DNA here is from genome assembly GCF_000001405.40 of Homo sapiens. Taxonomy (NCBI): domain Eukaryota; kingdom Metazoa; phylum Chordata; class Mammalia; order Primates; family Hominidae; genus Homo; species Homo sapiens. The sequence continues at coordinate 187,486,605 of NC_000002.12, forward strand.
GAAAATGGACACATGTAAAATAATTCTTTTTTTGGCCTGCAGTTTAAACTACAGTTGCAAATCAAAAAATTAATTTCCCATTTTCTTCAGGTAAATAAATTAACCTTCTTATTGAATTTGCATACATAACCCTTGCTCTAAGTTGGTGCTCAGTTGCACTTGAGTAACACAGAATGCAGACTGGATAAGCTAAAGCATTATCACTGTCAACTTTTGTTTGGGCCTGAATACTTGGGAATTGTCTTGGACCAAACTTTCTTTCTAAGGGATTGTATTAAATCTCAAATCTCTTTATAATGGTCCAATGCTAGGAAGCATAATACAAAGTTCACTCGAAATTGATCAAGTCTTTGTTACAAATAGGTGTTAACATGTAAGCATTTTTAACATTCATGTGAACACAGCTTTATTCTCTAACTTTCATATATAATATGAGATAAGAATGATTGAATTCTGAATTATAAATATACACTTTATAGCATAATTTTACCTAAAAATAGTACCTGTATTTAATTTTTCTCTAATTTTATGTTTTTGGTAAAAGGTCCTAATATTTAAAGGTTGGTATTTTCTTTCACAAAAATATTTATTCTCCTTTGTAGACAAAAACTTCTTTATTATAAATATGCCATTTTGATATTACAGATAAGGCCTTCATTTAATTAAAGTACTAAACATTTTGGTCAAGATTATTTTAATATTTATAGGAATCTATTTTTTAAAATTGTAAGTACATTTAGTTATGTTTCTTGTACAAACTTTGCTATTATCTTTATTTTATACATTTTGATTCCAATTCTGGTCAGTGAATTGAGCCTAAAGATTATCAATGTGTCACAGAAATTTTCAACTCTTTCCCACATAAATAAATCAAAATAAATAAAATTAAAATGCACTTTGAATTTTGTGGTCTTTCATGTTGCGGTCTTTCATGTCCTGAGTTAAACAATTTAATCTCTTTGTTCAATATTTTCTCATTGAAATGTAAATGCCATAACTGACAATTGGACCAAATCAGTTTCCAGGCCTTTATTAAAAGGACGTTGGTTTCCCTGATCCATTGATAACATTTTTTCTTGTGCTGATATATTTGTGAAAAAGTAATTATTTTTAGCTAAAAACAATAAATGATATGATTTAAATTACACAATTAAACATACACATACATGCTAGATATTTATTTTTAAATATCTCTACTTACTTTTGCATGTATAACTGCTGACAACTCAGAGACATACATCCATTCAAGGGAATATTTGGTGAAACTTGCTAAAGCCACACAATGTTGATTAGATTAACAAGTGATTAGAGATCAGAGAAATAAAGTTAAGACTCAAAATATCTAAATCTCTATCTGGAAGGTGTTAAAATAGCATGTGTGGCTCTGGACTATGATTGAACTAAAACTAAATATCATACTACATTAGAATTAGAGTAAATACGGTGTTTGGAGCCTCCTCTGACAAATATAATGTATATATTTTCCTAATTTTTGATTATGTCCATTGAATCATGCAACAAATCATTTCAAAAATGACATGATCAATCTGTCATATGGGTTTATGATCAATCTCTTTTATGGATTTTTTTAAATCAATCTCAGAGAAACTTAAGAATTGAATATCTATACTGAATCAGGGACCAGAAAAAACAAACAAGCAAACAAACAAAAAATTGAATATCTAAATGCCTTACATAAATGCTTCAAATTTACAGACAAATAAATGTTCACCTTGTTGCAATGTTGTCTTTATAATCCTGTTTGCATTATCTGTAATCAAAAGAATATATGCATATCAATTGTCACAATTTATAAAGTAATACTATGAATTTGAATTTAACAAACAAGAGTGACATATTTATTACCATTAAAATTATTCTTATACAGAATGTCTTAATAAAAATTGAATTTCTTTTTCTTTTCTCTAAAAATTAATCTTTTCTATTTATTGTAACCATGAAGCCACTTCATTTCAATAGAGTAATGTTTTAGAAACTATGATAAAACTTTCTAACACACTTACAAAGCTGAGAATTCATAGTGACTATGTTTACTGTTCAGGATATCTATACTTAAAACAATTATTTTAAAAATGTGAAATATGAAAGTAATTCAAGCAGCCTACATTACATATAAAAATAATTTGTTAGATAACTGGGAATAAAAGTGAAATTAACCAGAATTATTTCCTTTCCTTATTCTTTCCCCTGCTTCGTTGTCTCAATCCAATTGCAAGTTTCATTATTATTACCAATGTAGAGAAGAAATGAAACAAAAGGCATCTGGGACACGTTGTTTGGTTTAACATTTGATTAACGGAATCATTTCCCTCTAAAACTGGAATGTTAGTTGTCTTTGTCCTACCATATTCCAAGTATGAATTCTAAGTTCTAATTTAAATGATAGGTAATGAAATTTAAATTGACAAAATAAATCTATGAAGTTTTAATTTGCTCGCATAGACATTAGGAAAGTTGAGTGGTATTTATTTTGTTGTGGAATTATTTGTTTTGCAGAGAAAATCTTTGGTCAAAGCAGGTTAGCATTCGTTATATGACCAGAGAGATAGAAAGGGAGCGAGAGAGAGAAGGGAAGAAAGAATGAGAGAAATAATATGAATTGGGTTATAAGCCTCTTTCAGCAACTGCATCATCCTTTTTTTCTTGAAATAGTTAATTCTTCTATGGAGAGTAAAATGTCTATGAAAGTGAAACTAACGGACCCAAACTTCTTTTCTAATTGTACTATGTTTTATTCAATAGCCTTTTAAAAAAAGAGGTGTGTGTGTGTGTGTATATGTATAGCTGTATCTATTGAGGTAAGTTTTTTGGTTTACTTTGTTTTCACTGCAACTAACCAACTTCATATTAATGTTTTCAACTAGATTGTAGACTGTCATATAACCTGACATTAAAATATTTAGATATAAAACTAATATGATTTAATTGATAAGAAGAAAGAAATGTATACATATAATGAGTACATAAGACTAGAACACTAAGCAATTTTCATT